>NC_000009.12:10010000-20010000 GCF_000001405.40 Homo sapiens
GATTACTTTGAAATCCCCTTGGCCGAGAGGAGGGGTCCATTCAGTTGGTTGAGAGGCTTGGAATTTTATTTTTGATTTACACATTTAATCTTTAGAACAATCTAATCGGTTGGTATTATTATCTTCATTTTAAGTTGAGAAAACAAATTTAGGAAATTAACTCACTTGTCCATGTTCACCCAACTAGAAATTGGAAAAGAAACTGCAATCCACATGTCTCCAAACACCATGACCTCAGGGCAAAGAGACTGAGTATAGATTTTAAATTATTTTAAAATGTAATTCATTTACATAGTAATTTTCTCAAAATGCATTAAGCAAGATGTCTACAATTGTTCGAACATGTGCGTTTATATAATTGCCTGTTTGCCTCTCAGATTTTCAGTAATGTCTGCTTGTGTTGATTTTTAAATTTAAAATTTAATTTAATTTAATTTAATTTAACTTTTGGTGGAAAATGAGGGAGGGGATTGGTGAAAAATGAGGAAAATGAGGGAGGACTTATTCAGGTATTGATGAGTTCCATAGGATGAGTTCCACACCTGGGTCAGTGTAGTGTACCTTCAAGTGGCCATGCACAGCACTCAGGCAAGTTGTATACTCAACTCAGTTAATGGTGGCTGGATTTCCAAGCCAGAGGTAACCATTAGGTCCCAACTTCTACTCTTTCACACAAATGCACATAAATAGAGATATTTTGAGAAATCAATGGAATAAAAAATCGAGGTTTGAAAACAATTTTATTTAGATCATTATGGTAATGAGGAGACCAAAAGAATGCTATGAAACTTCTGTGTTAAAACTAACTTAACACTAATAACATTTTTCACATTCCCAATTATTACATATGTCTTTGCATTCAAACCAAGGCAATAATTGTTCTAGTCAAAAGAAAAAAAAATCTAGGTAACATTTTAAATATTCTAGTGTTATCAGGAAAATTAGATCATAAAGTAATTATGGACAAGAAGCCAATACCAAAGTATTTCATCTGGTTAGGACATGGATATACTGCAAATCCTACAAAGTTGTTCATTTCATACAAATATTAAATGAATACATAAATAATTGCTTTAAGAAGAAAGTCATTCTCCACAATCCCTTCACCACACCTTATACCTGTAGAAGGCAATTATTTTAAAAAGAACATAATCACACAGATTAGACTATTTTTCTTGGATTGGAAGGTTCAGCAGAACCTTGACAGTGTTCCAAGTTGTTAACTTTTATTTCAAATACTAAAAACTGAAGATCTGATCATTAGAAAAGCATTGAATTGTAAAATATTGGTGGGTTGGATTGAATTTAGTTAAATTGTTTCCAATTTTCTTTTCCTTGGTAGTTAAGTCACTACATATCTAAAGAGATATCAAGAAGCTGGCATTTCCTAGCAATTTGGAACTTAAAATTTAACAAAACAAATAAAAGAAGAACTTATTCTAACTCATTTTTTGCTTTTAGCTGTCGAATGCATAAGTATCTTAAATTAGTTTTCATTGACTCCTCTACTTTATTTAACAAAAACCAAGGCACAATAATAAATAGACTAGCATCAAAACATAATGCCTTCCCTGCTGATAAATACCCAGTGCAAGATTGGCTTAGATAATATTTGTGTTTTTGGTTTACTTAAAAATGGGTATAAGCTTATTCCTCAAAAAAATATACATTGTAACATGTTGAACTCTGGACATTTGTGGATTTGAAATAGTAATTTATGATTACAAGTTTGAGAAGAATTTCAGAGTCATTCAGTCCCTTAGTTTTCTATTAAAACATTAATTTGAATTTAGAGAAGCATTTCTTATATCTTATCAGTCACCTCCTAAAATGGATTGTATTTAATCAGTAATCAGTACCCTCAGTTTTGGAGGTAAGGATGCAGAGACAGTGGGGATAAACCTTCATAGAGTCCCTTCCATTGTGTCTGGCCAGTGGTATTGTTTTGGCCTTTGTATGTTCCGGAAACTCGCTTTTGTTTTGCTAATTAACTTTTTATCACATTAAATCCTTCTTTTTCAATTATAAATATTGATATTGACAGGAAACATGTAGGTATAACTATTTGTGAAAAGTACTAACATATGTAAGAATTCCCTTCATCAAATGATTTTTAATATTTATTTAATTATTGAAAGTTGTTTAACATTGTAAGACGTATACAAATGGAACTTTGCAAGAATTTTGAAGAATTGTAAAAAAGTACCTCATAGAATATTAAAGGGATAATCATCTATATGACCAAATTGAAATGAGGTTTTAATCACAAGATGAAGTGAGAGATAACAAAAAGGGGGTAGGGTCGGTGGAAGATTCAGACAAGAAGAAAAAAAATTAGCTAAAAAAGTGGAAAAGCAGATGGAAAAAAAAATCGTGTTTTCCACTGTTCCTTTGAGTACTATCACAGTTGCAACTTTTCACTTATGTGTAAGATGATTTTTTAAAGTTTAAGCAATTCCCATCTCAAAAAAGTCATTCTCCACAATCCTTTCACCACACCTTATAACTAAGAAGGCATTTATTTTTAAAAAGAAAATAATCACATACATTAGATTACTAAACTATAAGAGAGAAGTCTAGTAGACAAGAATGCTATAGGAAAATGTCAGATTTTACTCACTATTTCGTTACCCAAGACTAGCACTGTTATTGGAACATGATAATTCCTCAGTGTAAGGTTTTACACCTATCACAAGAACACTGCAATGCTCAATATTTGGGTCATGTGTTAAATATAGAAAAAAGGAAAACCCCGAGTGTGTTCTTGATAGAAAGATTTCCAAGGACCAAACTGCTTGCATAGGTATTGAATCATATGTAATTGGGATAGCTGCTTAGAAGGTAAACTCCAAAGCACAAAATAACAGAAGACATACAACCCAGCAAACACAGTCAAATCAATGAGCATGAGATTAAATTATTACCTGGAAATGATCTTTGTAATTTTCAAGATCATGAATAGATAAATAAAATACTTCAATATTTTAATAATCATTTCCATGATCTGTTAGAAAAGCATATCCGCTAGAGAATAGAATAAGCACAGGAAACGAGAAGTGGCAAATCAATGATTTGAACTTCAATTACACAAATTCAAAGCCAGTATTATTTCTACCATGTTATGTTGTGAGTATACCGAGTATACCTACAATAAGTCTTTATTGTCATGATTTTGTAAAAGAATAAAAGCCTTCAGAAGTTTTTCAGTGACTTTTACAAGGCCACAGATGGACACTGGAGGAGACATCAGGTCCCTGGCCTCTAGTTAGAGAATTTTACTGTGCTAATGCTGGCGAAAGACAGTTATCACAGAAATCAAAGAATAAAATTAAATTTGTATTCAAATGTAAATTTAAGTAAATGAATATTCCATTTGTAAATAAATAATCAATCCTGATTTATGTTATTTGCATATTTTTTAAACACTTAAGACTATATAGGTACTCCTTATTTCCTCTTATAACAAGCCATACCAAAAGGGCAGGAAACAGAGATTCACCTCAGAATTTTTTACCAATTAATTTCAGAGGTAAAGTCAGTGTACAAAGCTGAAGATCATCTACTTCAGATACAATGTAGTAGCTGAAAAAAAAAATTTCAACACAGATAAGTAATTGATGGCAATTACTACAAGTGTAATAAATTTTACAAAGACTCCAGTACACATGGATGAAATACTTCACTGAGTTTTTAATAAAAATAGATGTAGGTATGCTGACAACTTCAGAATTGTTTTTCAAGGTGCTGTTTCAATGAAAGATATATTCAACTTTTATGTTTTAAATTTCTGCTAGCTATTTTATATTTTGGTTCACATAATAATGTTCTAGAATTTGATATTCTTGGTTAATATGCAGAGTCATCTCATAGGTTTTTTTGTTTGTTTCTTCTTTGTGTATAGCTCTCAAAATTTAGGTTTTGTACCCTTCTGCTTAATAGCATTGAATGAAACAAAGGACAAATCTGTAATTCTAAACATGTGTTCTTTATTTTATTCCTTAGTCTAAAGTTATCTCCAAGGTTATTAGAGTTTCTGAATAAATAAATCTTCACATGTCAGCCCCTATCATCCATTTTCAGTTGCCAACTAGAAAAATGGTATCGTAAAAGACTAGAGAGTTGTTTGCTTAAAGTTACATAACATTTCAGTCCTGAATATAATACAAACCAATTTACTGACATCAATCAGTAATGATAATGAAATGTCCCTTAAAGCAGGAAAATAAATGTTTTTCTCACTTCACAGATGAGGAAACTAAGACTCAGTGAGGCTAAGTAATTTGAGCTGCAATTCCCATTCAGGTAATTAGGTTGCAAAGCCCATATTCTTTCCACTTCTCCATTGTCTTCCAAGAAGGAATGTTACATTTACTTTTCACATTTTATTATGTAGACTGTTAATTGCATATATAAAAGTCCAGTGACCATGAAGCATTCTAGGTGCATTTTGACTTTGAGAGTTATTGCTGTATTCAAATGGTTGTTTTCTAATGACTTGGTAACATGAAAGACAATTGTATTCACTCTAGAAATAATGCATTTCCTTACAAAATTATATTTTATTTACATGTCATTAACACTTTCAGTATATTTTACTTTATTGAAAAGACACAGCCTCAACAAGTCATAAATGACAAGAGGAAGCTGACTTTACAGATGAGAAATGAAACGTGAAATAAGAATAGAACAAGGAAAGGAGAGAAACACTTTGATTTGGAACAAATGCATATTTTTAATTATCCATTAAAATTATATGATATAGACCTATTTTGGCATAAATCTGTATTGCAACAAAAGACCTTTGATGTGACTAAGTGCGTGGTTATTTCTATATTTAATTGTGTTTTTTCTTCTATCCTTAAATTGAAGAGACTTACTGCCCCACTTTATGGGGCATTTAAAAACCGCTTCAGTTAGCACTTCCCCTCATTGAATTGTTTGGGATTGAGTAATTAAAATGTCTTCAATATATGGGATCTGTAAATGGTAATAGCCACATGGCATCCACTAGAGTAGTTCTATTATGGGTAATCCACTTGAAGTAATTTCTGAAGACAAGTGTCTTACTCACAGGTATGGAACTCTCACCACCTACCTGGGCAGCTTTTCTATAATTTACTTTTATGGCTTTCAGTTTCAATTGGATTTTATAGGCTTAATGGCTTGGGAAATGATTATGGGCAACAATAACTCAGAATTGACCTTTTCAGAGTTACCAGCTTTTTCATTGGTTTAGCTAACAATGCCGCTAATTGAATTTTTCAGCAACAAAAATATGTGCAATAACAGCTGCTGACTTAGATTTTATAATTATTGTTATTACACTAAATAAATATTTAAGTAGTTAAGAAAATCATGGCAGTAAGACAAGATTATCCACAATAGCACAAAGTCAATGTGTCTATGTGAAAATAATTTACACTCAAATTACTCATGCCTCGTTTGAAAGAAACCCTTTGGGAACAATTAAAGGTGAAGTTGCAATCAACTGACAATTGAGCTCTGAGGCTGTATAGGACATAGTAGAAATATAAAGGCAGTTAGTATTTTATAGGATACTGAAGAAGTAGGAGTCAATCCAAGCCTCAACTTTAAAATGGGGATCACTGTGAGATTTAAATTGTGTACTTACTTGCAAAGCCTTTAACACAAAGCCAGGTAATTCTGATATATTACTAAAAGAAAAAGAACGAGAAGGAAGAGGAGTAGCAGAAAGAAGAGAAAGAGGTGGGGGAACCACAATAGCAGCCAGCAGCTGCCACCATTATCATAGTATCTTAAGAAATTTATTTCTCCTCTGGTAGGATCTAGAAACTAAGCAAGTTTTATAATGTAAGATACTACAAGGTCATTTTGAAACATTTCATTTCAGGATCACATTGAGAAGTACTGCTCTCCTGATCTTAAGACTTTGTACCATGTGTCCCATAAACCTCTCTCTCTAATTACCAGTTGACTGACACCACACTCTGTCTACAAGACAATATACTTGAATCGACTTCTCCTGAGGCAGGTACCAGGCTACAACCACCTTCAATGACTCCTATTGGTCTTTGTCCCTCAGAACCTGGAAATATACTGGCTATCAATCTCAATTAAATCATATGTGGTTGGTAAAGGTCTAATGTGATCTCCCTAAATATGTATACAATTTTGGGAGGTTTGTATATGTACATTTGTTATTTCTTCTTTTCGGCAAGTATTAGAAAAATGCTTGTTTTTAAAAATTTGCTAATGACATTGTTTTCTTTTAAAATACACTTGTTTATAGTAACCCATTTACAGTAGTGAGTTATAACTATTTGAATAAAGTAGCCATCCGTGTGTCCAGGGAAATGAGATAGATGATAGAAAGATTAGATAGATAGATAGATAGATAGATAGATAGATAGATAGACAGATAGATAGGGAAATTCTTTCTTATTTCAGTATGCCAAGAAATATAGATAAAATGATGGTGTCTGTAAATCATCAAAGAAAGCTAAAACTGTGGGTGAAAGTTAGAGAAAGAACAGAATAGTCTCAAAGCATGTCTCTATAGGGTACTTATTAATTATTAAAGGAAAATTGCAATTTTAAAGTGGAGAAATGTGGAGATTGTTTCCAGGTTTGTCTGTTTATTTCTAGTGAAAATGCTACTAGAAATACTACTGAAAATGCCTCCTGTGGGTTGTTTTTTTTTTCCACAGAATTTTGTTCTGTCAGCCAGGCTGGAGTGCAGTGGCAGGATGATGGCTCACTGCATCCTCGATCTCTTGGGCTCAAGCCAGCTTCCTACCTTGGCCTCCAAAGTAGCAGGGACTACATGCATGCACCATCATGTCTGGCTAATCTTTTGATTTTTTGTAGAGACAGGGTCTCGCTATGTTTCCCAAGCTGGTCTCAAAATCCTGAGCTCAAGAGATTCTCCTGCTTTGGCCTCCCAAAGTGCTGGGATTACAGGAGTGAGCCATTGTGCCCTCCTATTGTACATTTGTAAGCATTTCTTTAGGATAGTAATGAGAAGTTTGTGTCACGGTTGAAACACCTTTAGTCTCATAAGAAAATATCAAATTGTTTTCCAAACTGTTCCAATCTACATTCCCACCAGTAATGTGAATAAAGTTCCCAATCATACACATGTTTACTAACAAGTAGTAATATGCCCAATGTTTTTAGTTTTGACAGTCTGGTGGACATCGAATATTAATTATTGTGTTTAATTTGCATTTATCTTATTGATAGCATATTTTCATAAAGGTATAAGCTATTAACTTGTAAAATTTGTCCATTTCTTTGTCCATTTATTTTATCTTTTTTTTTATCAATGTTCAGGAGTCCTTTTTGTAGGTTTTACTGTTTAAGTTATATGTGTTGCATATATTTAATTTTTTGGCTTTACTAATTTTCTTTATGGACTATAAACATGTTTTATAAACAGTTCTTATTTTTATTGGTATAAAATGTATTAATCTTTTCCTTCATGGATTATACCTTATTTAAGCAAAGCTTGTCTTAGAATCCTCCACATCTTAACTATACAGATATTTTATTTTTCATGTTCCTCAAGTCTGGAAGCCTTGTTTTCAGGTTTAAATCTTTAGTTCATTTAGACTGAATGGTGTGAAGTAGGAGGCCAATTTTAATTTTTCCATATGAAAAATCAATTATCTTAGTACATATATTAAATAATCCATCTTTTCTCTGGCAATCGCATCTCTTTCTGGAATCTGTATTCTGTTCTTTACTTATTTCTGTATTACTAAACCAATGACACATTTTCTTATTATATTTATTTAATATTTTGATATTTGGGAGAATTAATTTTTCAAGAATGTCTTGATGAAACTTTCCCCAATTGAATGCCCTCATGTAAAATTGTAACCAACACTCAAATGAAGATTAAAAACATTTGAATACCCTCACTTAAAACAACACTCAAATGAAGTCCCAGAACAGCAGGGGTCCCCAGAGATCTCCCCCATGGTACATTCTAGGACTTAGCTTCTACCCAAGTGGAGTTATTATTTTTAGTTTTAACAGCATAAGTTAGTTTTATTTATTGTCTTTTTCTGACTCTTTACTTTTGATTAGTAATTTCATTACTAGATTATTAGGTTATGAAATCCCCTCTCATACACAAATACACAAAAATAAAGAACCAGGATCTGATGAGAAAGAGGAAGAATGTGAGGGAGGGAGGGGAAGAGGAGGAGAGAGAGAGAAGGAGTAGGAGGAAGGGGAGGAAGACAAAAGAAAAGGAAAGGAAAAAAAAATCTTGGAATTTAGAGGTTTTGATTGGGATTTTTCCCTTTCTATCTCTTTTATATATTCCAATAAATCAGAAGCAATAAGCCGTCAGATACAGGCAGACTTTCTCAGTGTATCTGTCAGTTTCAGAGCTTTCTTAAGTGTCTAGATCTGTGTCCCCTTATAAATTTCATGTTTATCGTGTGATACAAATAGCAGATAAAATTTTTATTTTTTAAGCTTTTAAAAATATTTGTTCTCAAATATACCATTACTCTGCTAAAATGATTTATTTAAGAATTACATTTCTTTTTTTTTTTTTTTTTTTTTTTTTTTGAGACGGAGTCTCGCTCTGTCGCCCAGGCTGGAGTGCAGTGGCGGGATCTCGGCTCACTGCAAGCTCCGCCTCCCGGGTTCATGCCATTCTCCTGCCTCAGCCTCCCAAGTAGCTGGGACTACAGGCGCCCGCCACTACGCCCGGCTAATTTTTTTTGTATTTTTAGTAGAGACGGGGTTTCACCGTTTTAGCCGGGATGGTCTCGATCTCCTGACCTCGTGATCCGCCCGCCTCGGCCTCCCAAAGTGCTGGGATTACAGGCGTGAGCCACCGCGCCCGGCCAGAATTACATTTCTAATACACACATTGTTAATATGCACAATACTTTAAGGGTATTTTTCTGCAAAAATATTTACAAATGGGATCTAATTAAACTAAAGAGCTTCTGCGCAGCAAAAGAAACTACCATCAGAGTGAACAGGCAACCTACAGAATGGGAGAAAATTTTTGCAATCTACTCATCTGACAAAGGGCTAATATCCAGAATCTACAATGAACTCAAATAAATTTACAAGAAAAAACAAACAACCCCATCAAAAAGTGGGCGAAAGATATGAACAGACACTTCTCAAAAGAAGACATTTATTCAGCCAAAAGACACATGAAAAAATGCTCACCATCACTGGCCATCAGAGAAATGCAAATCAAAACCACAGTGAGATACCATCTCACATCAGTTAGAATGGCGATCATTAAAAAGTCAGGAAAAAACAGGGGCTGGAGAGGATGTGGAGAAATAGGAACACTTTTACACTGTTGGTGGGACTGTAAACTAGTTCAACCATTGTGGAAGTCAGTGTGGCGATTCCTTAGGGATCTAGAACTAGAAATACCATTTGACCCAGCCATCCCATTACTGGGTATATACCCAAAGGATTATAAATCATGCTGCTATAAAGACACATGCACACGTATGTTTATTGTGGCACTATTCACAATAGCAAAGACTTGGAACCAAGCCAAAAGTCCAACAATGATAGACTGGATTAAGAAAATGTGGCACATATACACCATGGAATACTATGCATTCATAAAAAAGGATGAGTTCATGTCCTTTGTAGGGACATGGATGAAGCTGGAAACCGTCATTCTCAGCAAACTATCGCAAGGACAAAAAACTAAACACCGCATGTTCTCACTCATAGGTGGGAATTGAACAATGAGAACACACGGACACAGGAAGGGGAACATCACACACTGGGGCCTGTTGTGGGGTGGGGGGGAGCTGGGAGGGATAGCATTAGGAGTTATACCTAATGTTAAATGACGAGTTACTGGGTGCAGCACACCAACATGGCATATGTATACATATGTAACTAACATGCATGTTGTGCACATGTACCCTAGAACTTAAAGTATAATAAAAAAAATTATAGTGCTTTCTTAGTGGCATTGTGAGTTAATTCATATACAGGTTAATGTATATAAACGGTTTATTACAATGTTTGGCACAATAATTTTACTCTTGTTTTATATAACTCAGTTTCAGATGTTGAAGAAAGACGGAAGTTATTAATAACCTTACTTTTGTGATTTGAAGAAGTTAAATATTTATTATTAATAAGAATACTATCTTCTATTTTGAAACAGGAACCATTTTATAACCAAACAGTATTTTTAAAAGTTACTATTTTATTTGGACATTGTTTTCTCTGTGCTTAAAATGAACCAACAATTTGGCACCGCACAATACTATCCCCTAGCTTAGGTGTATATCAATACAATATTAGTTTCTTTTTCTTTTTCTTTTTTCTTTGACGGAGTCTTGCTCTGTCACCAGGCTGGAGTGCAGTGGCATGATCTCGGCTCACTGCGACCTCCACTTCTCGGGTTCAAGCGATTCTCTTGCCTCAGCCTCCCGAGTAGCTGGGACTACAGGTGTGCCGCCATCACACCCAGCTAATTTTTGTTTTTTTAGTAGAGACGGGGTTTCACCACGTTGCCCAGGATGGTCTAGATGGCTTGACTTCATGATCCTTTTTCACATTTATTATGCCACTAGAATATTCTTAGAAATACATGCTAGCCACTTAATATCAATGTGACTGGAAAATCCTATAATTCTCATCATCCCTGCCCACTTATGAATCCCTTGCTTCATCTGAAAACTCTTACTCATCCTCTGTACGGCAAACATTACCTTCTCTGTGAAGATTTGCTAGACTTATACACACCAGTATGGTTGTTCTAAACTCTGTAAAAACACAATTGTGTAGATCACTTACGTTAAACATTTCTGGTTGCTCATCAACAGCCAACCGACTCCCACATACATACACTTGCATTCCCTTCTAATAGATCTGCCTTCCATCATAGAATATGAAAATGTGAGATGCTTGATCTTGTAATGCTGCTTTCAAATGTGGTCAGTGGCACTTAAGAGAGCCTGCCTGTACATTTCTGTAGAAGGTGTTCAGGCATGAGAAAATCAAAGCCTTTGAAGCAGTCATCTTGCAGTCACCTTGTGACCGTGGGTAAATAAACCCAAGAACGGAAATCCGAGGAAAGCAGAGTTACATACAATTAGGACTTTTCCTGAATCCTCCATGACATGTGTGTCACAGGAATAACCAAACCTGGAAATTTGAACTTTCTTCCTTGTTATGTTCGATGATAAACCCCTCTAACATAAGGCAGTTTGGGTCTCATATCTGTTACTTATTTCTGATACACTGCTCTCATACATACCTTTCTAATTTATTGGCACACACAGTGAGCAATGAATAAATGTTTGTTGAATGAAAGCAACAGAGAATCACTTTCCCTTTCATATTCAGGTGCTACCCCACAAGATTATTAGTATTAGGTTGATGCAAAAGTAATCACGGTGTAGCTTAGGTGTATATCAATACAATATTAGTTTCTTTTTCTTTTTTCTTTGACGGAGTCTTGCTCTGTCACCAGGCTGGAGTGCAGTGGCATGATCTCGGCTCACTGCGACCTCCACTTCTCGGGTTCAAGCGATTCTCTTGCCTCAGCCTCCCGAGTAGCTGGGACTACAGGTGTGCCGCCATCACACCCAGCTAATTTTTGTTTTTTTAGTAGAGACGGGGTTTCACCACGTTGCCCAGGATGGTCTAGATGGCTTGACTTCATGATCCTTTTTCACATTTATTATGCCACTAGAATATTCTTAGAAATACATGCTAGCCACTTAATATCAATGTGACTGGAAAATCCTATAATTCTCATCATCCCTGCCCACTTATGAATCCCTTGCTTCATCTGAAAACTCTTACTCATCCTCTGTACGGCAAACATTACCTTCTCTGTGAAGATTTGCTAGACTTATACACACCAGTATGGTTGTTCTAAACTCTGTAAAAACACAATTGTGTAGATCACTTACGTTAAACATTTCTGGTTGCTCATCAACAGCCAACCGACTCCCACATACATACACTTGCATTCCCTTCTAATAGATCTGCCTTCCATCATAGAATATGAAAATGTGAGATGCTTGATCTTGTAATGCTGCTTTCAAATGTGGTCAGTGGCACTTAAGAGAGCCTGCCTGTACATTTCTGTAGAAGGTGTTCAGGCATGAGAAAATCAAAGCCTTTGAAGCAGTCATCTTGCAGTCACCTTGTGACCGTGGGTAAATAAACCCAAGAACGGAAATCCGAGGAAAGCAGAGTTACATACAATTAGGACTTTTCCTGAATCCTCCATGACATGTGTGTCACAGGAATAACCAAACCTGGAAATTTGAACTTTCTTCCTTGTTATGTTCGATGATAAACCCCTCTAACATAAGGCAGTTTGGGTCTCATATCTGTTACTTATTTCTGATACACTGCTCTCATACATACCTTTCTAATTTATTGGCACACACAGTGAGCAATGAATAAATGTTTGTTGAATGAAAGCAACAGAGAATCACTTTCCCTTTCATATTCAGGTGCTACCCCACAAGATTATTAGTATTAGGTTGATGCAAAAGTAATCACGGTTTTTGCCATTGAAAGTAATGGCATTACATTTCAGCAAGTAACTGGAAAGAAAATAAGGCCAAAAGGCACTTGTAGTGCACAGAATAAAAAACAAACTACACAATTTTTACACAGTGAGTATTTCATTCTAAACTATAGGAAAAAAATCATTAAATTAATTTATTGTGGTTTATGTAGATTGGGTAGCAGTTAAGATTTACATTGACTAAGTTTTATTTTAGCCACTAGAATGAATAAAATGCTATAAAGGGGAGCCAAAATGCTGAATTCCCATTTTAAAAATGATTTCTTCCATTAATTGTTTTCCTGTTCTCAATAATTCAACATTATAGAGCAGATAGCCCATTGAATTATATGGTTGTAATTAGGTTGTTCCTTTAGCATGTTTTATGCCTCAGTATTTTTATGCTTCCAGAAACATCTTATACTGGCTTTATATAAAGCTGTCTTTAAATGGAATTGTATTTTGCCTCAGAAAATATTGTACTAGACGCATATATTCTTTGTCCAACTGTTAAAATTAAAATAATATTTTACCTATTTTTATATGTATACTACAAATTCTCAAATGAAAGGAAGATTTTTGACACATTGATTATAAGCAAAACTTATTTAGATTTCTGTAAATCATTAAATATGTTTCTATGTACACGTGTGTATATACATAAATGTATCACTGTTACGACTAATCAAATTAGAATTAATCATTTTAAGTGTATAACCAATCATTATAAATTAACAGACAACAATTTATCTTCAAACTTTTCTAATAATGGAGAATTCAGGGCTTCCATTGGGAAAGGAACCTGGGCCTCTCCAGCCATGCCACAGACATGTATGCCTGAATAATGGGGTATTATAAACTGAAAAGCAAGGACTCCTGTCCGTCCTTTTGTGAAAACAAAATTCAATTCTGCACATGATTTCTTCCACGTACTTGAGAAAGTAAAGTTCTACATCTTTTCTGTATATAAAGTTAACTTCTGTGTTTGTACCATCAAATATTTCACAAATCTTTATATTCACTTGTTTTTTTCTTTTATTTTCTTCACATGATCATGATCTCTCATGCATTTTATTTGCCAGAACTTACATGGAACTATTTTTTTTTTTCTAATAAAGTGTGAGAGTTACTACAGAATTATGGGAAATTTTACTTTCTTATTAGCCTCAGCCATTCAATTATATATTGAATTGCAATTTAGGGCCTAAGTACAAATGCTACAGAAGTGTTAAGTCCAAAAAAAAAAGCTTTGGGAAAAAAAACTTCATTTAATAAAGGTTTAATAAAGGTTAACATTCTTCACATTCATGATAGACATAGCAGTGTTTCTTCTCAAAAATGCTTCTTTGTTCTTATGCTTCAAAATGACTTCAGTGGTTTACAATATAATGATTATGAATTACTTCAAGTACATATTTTTCACAATGACAGCTTTAATTGATATGCTCTAATTATTTTGGTTTAAATTAAATAGCTTATTATTTCCAATCATGAGTACTTTCTATATTTTTATATTAACACTAGATATATTTTCAATCATTTTTAGATATATTTCCAAATGTCATGTGAAAGTAATATTTGCTTTGTCAGTGTCATAAGATGTATTTTTAATGTGGGATAACAAATGTTTCAGTAATGTATAATTTAATTATGATAAGCATTTTTATCCTTGTTGGTTACAGTATTAGTATTTTATTTAAGTAATGAATTTAATTTATTCTAAAGTAAGTTTATGCACTATTACCTAAATAGAGACTTATAAATTCTAGCTGCTTCTGAACCAGGAAGGCAATTTTCTCCTGAAAGGAATTTTTATTTGTTGTTTATTTTGTTTTATTGCTCAGTGTGAATGCCTGGTGTCTTGAGAAAATGGAACCCCTTATTATATAAGTCTTTTGTGACAGACTCAACACTTTTATAGTAATTGTATAATTAACTTTCATAATGTGATACTTTAAGGAAAAATATGACATGCTGTGTTATATTCAGCACTGTAGTCATGTCCTAATTCACTAGTCTCAAGTGTTTCATTTCTGAACTCCTTACACATTTCCAATTTTGTCCAAATCCTTCAAGAAATTTAGAAATTTTATGATTCTTTTTTTTAAATTTTATTATTATTATACTTTAAGTTTTAGGGTACATGTGCACAACGTGCAGGTTTGTTACATACGTATACATGTGCCATGTTGGTGTGCTGCACCCATTAACTCGTCATTTAGCATTAGGTATATCTCCTAATGCTATCCCTCCCCCCTCCCCCCACCCCACAACAGGCCCCAGTGTGTGATGTTCCCCTTCCTGTGTCCATGTGTTCTCATTGTTCAATTCCCACCTATGAGTGAGAACATGCGGTGTTTGGTTTTCTGTCCGTGCGATAGTTTGCTGAGAATGGTGGTTTCCAGCTTCATCCATGTCCCTACAAAGGACATGAACTCATCATTTTTTATGGATGCATAGTATTCCATGGTGTATATGTGCCACATTTTCTTAATCCAGTCTATCATTGTTGGACATTTGGGTTGGTTCCAAGTCTTTGCTATTGTGAATAGTGCCGCAATAAACATACGTGTGCATGTGTCTTTATAGCAGCATGATTTACAATCCTTTGGGTATATACCCAGTAATGGGATGGCTAGGTCAAATGGTATTTCTAGTTCTAGATCCCTGAGGAATCGCCACACTGACTTCCACAATGGTTGAACTACTTTACAGTCCCACCAACAGTGTAAAAGTGTTCCTATTTCTCCACATCCTCTCCAGCATCTGTTGTTTCCTGACATTTTAATGATCGCCATTCTAACTGGTGCGAGATGGTATCTGAACTGCTTACACATTTCCAATGTCCAATTTTGTCCAAATCCTTCAAGAAATTTAGAAATTTTATGATTCTTAAGCAATTTTGCCTGAGAATGATAATTATAAAAATATGTGTAGATGTACATAACCATAATACAAACCATTAGACAGCCAGATTTAAGCTGGTTTTACCAGATTTTGCCAACTTTCATCATAGGAGAATTCACATTTCTTTCAGACTCTCTTGGTACATATAAAAGAGATTTAGAATGGGTGTTTGGCTGAGCACATTTCAAATACGATGCAAATTTTAGAGAAATCTGAGAAACTTTTTAAAAAATTAGATAACCTTTAAATCCCTCACCCACTTTTAGAAAATAAGAAATTGGATGATATTTGAAGACGATTTCCTTGGAGAGAGCTGTGCCGCCTCCACTGACTTTAAAGAAATTTGAGGTGTAACCTATTCATCCCAAGTCAAGATTGAAAGACTCTGAGGAAACCATGTGGATGATTAAATAAACACCTGTGCTACAGTTCACGGAACATTTCAACCTCACCACTTGAGAAATATAAAGGGTAAGAAAAGATCCTAACCAAAGGAAGACCAGGCAGGCATGAACAGATCTCAAGAAAGAGAAACTAGAGATTAACTCAGGATACTTCAAGGCTAAGGAAGGGTTAAGCAATGGATCTCAGTAGAGTTCACCACTTGCATAACCAGTGCTGCTCTAATATGTCTCTTGCAATTGATGGTGTTTCTGGAGAAACCACAAATGTACTGATGAGAAAGTGCCAGCTTTAAATAACGACCAGTCCAAGCCAATGCCAGTTAACTAAAAATTTGAGTGCTCCTCATACAGTTCTTTCACCATGTCCCAAAGCCAAACATTCTAAAACTGCCTTTGGCTAGCTGGAGGAGGAGAAATAGTACAAAGATTGAACAAGGAGATGGAAAGAAGCTGATGACTCCATCTTTCTTAGACTACTAGCCTACAAATGGCACAAACTTGGCAGAGAAGAGAAGTCTCAACATTAAATAACCATGGGACTGGAAATAAACTGACATTGTTTAAAAGATCTGAAATGATTGTGAACATATTTTTTAGCATCTAAAAATTACTAGAAAAGTCAAGTTGCCTGCCTAAGTTTCTCAAGAGTCATGGAAATAACTGTTTTAATAGAGTGAAACAAAAAAGACAACGATGGACAAAAAATAATTTTTGTTTATCTTAGCCCATAATCTGTGCTCATCCTTTGGAGCAGTCACAGTACAGTTACAATAATACACCTGCCATCACAAGGGGGCATTGTTTTCTCAATAGAGGAGCACTGTCAGTAATTGTAAACAGCAAAATCTGAACCTCCCCACAATTTCAGTGTAGTTTTCACAATAGACAATATTATGTATCATGACTTTGACACAACCATCACGGTGGGGACTGGATTCCATGTATGTTATACATTTACAAGAATTATTTCCTCAGAAAAAGGAAGTTGCGGTCTCACAAGCAAGTAAGACACTTGGTTTAGTGAGTGTCTTTCAAAAAAAAAAAAAAGACGTGAGAAGGATATAAAATTGCAACACACCACTAAACCTGCAGTGCTTCTCAGGTGACAGAGAAATAGCTCCAATCGATTTTAACATCCCATTAAAGGCAGCCAGCAAACCAGAGAATGTATTGTCTGCAATAATAAAGCATTTCTCTAGAGACTTGGCCTTGGTAAAATAAATAAAAAGGGGCAATTCTTTCTATTAATTCAGTTCACTCTGGCCATTGATAGGAATTAGAGTCAGATTCCTGAAAATCTTACACTTGGGGGGAAATGTCTGCTATAAATAAATAGAAAGTGAAATACAATGTGAATGAATATATTATATCATATATCTGTAGGTAACCAAAATTTCTTCTTCCAGTAATTAAAATATATGTTTAGTGAATAAATGGGAACTTTTCATCATGTTGTTAAAAATAGTTGTTTGAGATAAAAGCACAGGCAATAAAGCTGGGGGGAAAAGAGGTAGACAGAATTTGACCTTTTCCAAGCTGTCAGGGAAACAAAGATTCCCTAGTTCACAAACATGGCCCACTATCATGGAGAGATACATAGGTACCTCCTTCCAACAGTATTTTGGGTCTGCTAAGTTTCTGTACAAAAGTGCCAAAACATGATTAATATTTGGTCAAGTGTAAGCATGTCATGTGTATTATAAAATATAACAGGATAAGAGAAGAATATACATGTTCAGTCAATATATGTGGAAGCATTTGTTATAACAATATATGGCACATAAGGTTATTCTCCTTTATACTGCCTATTGAAAAATTTTGAGCATTGAACTTGTCATGGTTATGGCAAAAAATACATTTTTTCTAAAAATATTTATATAAAAATATATGCACATATATGTAATAGAAACTACTAAAGTATTAATGAAATAAAATCATACAGATTGAAGTTTCCAGTAAAAGGCATTGAACTAAATGGTAAAATATAACAGCATTACCTCTTACTTTGATATGAATTGCCTTTTTCTCCTTTAGATGAGGGTGATTATTTTGTTTTTCCTAATGGATTTTGTTTCCACTGATGAATTTTAAACATGGCTTAAAAGTATATTGGATTAAGTTTTTATTATTCCTGTAATATCTCCCACCTGTCCATTGATGGGTCATATGGTTTGACTTTGTCCCCATGCAAATCTCATGTTGAATTCCCATGTGTTGTGGGAGGGACCTGGTGGGAGGTAAATGAATCATGAGGGCGGGTCTTTCTTGTGCTGTTCTTATGATTGTGATAAGTCTCACAAGATCTGATGTTTTTTAAAAAATGAAGTTTCCCTTCACAAGCTCTCTTCTCTTATCTGCTGCCATGTGAGACATGCGTTTCACCTTCTGCCATGATCGTGAGGCCTCCCCAGCCATGTGGAACTGTAAGTCTATTAAACCTTTTTCTTTTGTAAATTGCTCAGTCTTGGGGATCTCTTTATCACCAGTGTGAAAATGGACTAATAGAGTAAATTGGTACCAGTAGAGTGGAGCGCTGCTGAAAAGATACCCAAAAATGTGGAACTGACTTCAGAACTGTGTAACAGGCAGAGGTTGCAACAGTTTGGAGGGCTCAGAAGAAGACAAGAAAATGTAGGAAAGTTTGGAACTCCCTAGAGACTTGTTGCATGGCTTTGACCAAAATGCTGATAATGATATGGATAATGAAATCCAGACTGAGGTGGTCTCAGATGGAGATGAGGGACTTGTTGGGAACTGGAGCAAAGGTGACTTTTGCTATTTCTTACCAAAGAGACTGGCAGCATTTTGTCCATGCCCTAGATATTTGTGGAACTTTGAACTTGAGGGGGATGATTTAGGCTATCTGGCGGAAGAAATTTCTAAGCAGTAAAGCATTCAAGAGGTGACTTGGGTGCTGTTAAAGGCATTCAGTTTTATAAGGAAAGCAAAGCATAAAAGAAAATCCCATTTTCGAGGAGAAATTCAAGTCGGCTGCAGACATTTGCATAAGTAATGAGGATTCAAATTCTAATCACCAAGACAATGAGGAAAATGTCTCCAGGGCATGTCAGAGGTCTTCACAGCAACTCCTGCCATCACAGGCCCAGAAGCCTAGGAGATGGCAGGGTGGGGCCCAGGGTCCCTGGGCTGTGTGCCGCCTAGGGACTTGGTGCCCTGTGTCCCAGCTGCTCCAGTTGTGGCTGAAAGGGGCCAACATAGAGCTCAGGCCATGGCTTCAGAGGGTGCAAGGCCCAAGTCTTGGCAGCTTCCATGTGGTGTTGAGCCTGTGACTACACAGAAGTCAAGAACTGGAGTTTGGGAACCTCTGCCTAGATTTCAGAGGATGTACAGAAATACCTGGATGTCCAGAAAGAAGTTTGCTGCAGGGGTGGGGTGCTCATGGAGAACCTCTGCTAGGGCAGTGTGGAAGGGAAATGTGGGGTTGGAGCCCCCATACAGAGTCCCCACTGGGGCGCTGTCTAGTGGAGCTGTGAGAAGAGAGCCACCATCCTCCAGACCCCAGAATGGTAGATCCACTGACACCTTATACTGTGCACTTGGAAAAGCCACAGACACTCAATGGCAGCTTGTGAAAGCAGCTGGGAGGGAGGCTATACCCTGCAAAGCCACAGGGGCAGCCATGGGAACCCATCTTTTCCATCAGCATGACCAGGATGTGAGACATGGAGTCAAAGGAGATCATTTTGGAGCTTTAAGATTTGACTGCCCTGCTGGATTTTGGATTTGCATGGGGCCTGTAGCCCCTTTGTTTTGGTCAATGTCTCCCATTTGGAACGGCTGTATTTCCCCAGTGCCTGTATCCCTATTGTACCTAGGAAGTAACTAATTTGCTTTTGATTTTACAGGCTCATAGGCAGAAGGAACTTGCCTTGTCTCAGATGAGACTTTGGACTGTGGAGTTTTGAGTTAATGCTGAAATGAGTTAAGACTTCGAGGGTCTGTTAGGAAGACATGATTGGTTTTGAAATATGAGAACATAAGATTTGGGAGGGGCCAGGGACAGAAAGATGTGGTTTGGCTGTGTCCCCACTCAAATTTCATCTTGAATTTCCATGTGTTGTGGGAGGGACCAGGTGGGAGGTAATTAATCATGGGGGCGGGTCTTTTCTGTGCTGTTCTCCTGATAGTAAATAAGTCTCATAAGATCTGATGGTTTTTGAAAGAGTGGGATTTCACTGAAAAAGCTTTCTTCTCCTGTCTGCCACCATATAAGATGTGCCTTTCACCTTCCGCCATGATTGTGAGGCCTCCCCAGACATGTGGCACTGTAAGTCTCTGAAACCGCTTTCTTTTGTAAATTGCCACAGTCACAGGTATGTCTTTATCAGCAGCATGAAAATGGACTAACACAGTGGGTTTGACAAGGTTTTTCGAGTTAAATGATAAGATAGGTGAGAAGGTGAGAAAGGAGTCAAATATATTTCTAGGTTTCTTTTGGGGAAACTGGGTAGATACCCTTTAATTCACAGAAATGAGAAAACAAAAGAAAAGGTGTTTGTGATAATATGAATTCAATTTTCACATATTTTAAGGTAAGCAGCTAATGTGCTATCGAATAGATATGTTGATTTGTTTCTCAGAAATAAGGCCTTAGGAGTACCTGTTGGTTTGAGTATCACGAGATAGAAATGACCCTTGAAGCTACAAGAGTAGATGAGTTCTATCATGAAAGCTATAGACTGAAAAGAGAAGAAACATGAGTGACTAGACTAATGTTAACTCCTAGGAGGGATACCTGGGAGAAGGAAAGGCTCAGGGAAATAAGAAGGGTCAAATATATGAGGGGCCTGGTGATGGGTGAGAAAAAGACTGGATTCCACGTGGAGAATCTATCCCATAGAAAAATTCCAGTTGAGAAAATCTTGGTTTTGATCAATGGTATCCTGTGTCCTGAACACTGCCCATGGATTATTTAGTGAAGATACAAACCAGGTAATTTGTCATACTCCCATCCCGCTTCATCTTCACCTTCGGACTCTATGGTTTGTCATTTTATTCACAAGCAACCTTGAACTTTGAGTACAAAGCTGCTTAAATCTTCATTGTGTTCTGGGAAAGTAGCAAACCAACTTTTCCCTATTTAAGTGTTTGGTAGATAGTAGATAACACAGATACCTTTGTGAAGTGAATGACTACTCAGAAAAAACCCAATGCAAAATGAAAGAGCAAAATTGATTAATCTATCTGTGCTTGTCTTTCTGTAGAGGAAAAATATGGACAAATTCCAGGGTCCAAGTATAGATACTGTAGCGCCAGGTAGTAATTTTCTTTTAAGACAAGCTAATAATATGCACTATGACTTGGTTAGGCAGAAATTGATCCCTAAAATATAGCTGAATTTAAGTGAATTATCTAACAGCTGGGTGACCTGTGAAAAACGCCATAATCAATACTTTACTGGTTAATACTGTTAACTCGATTGGATTGAAGGATGCAAGTATTGATCCTGGGTGTGTCTGTATGGGTGTTGCCAAAGGAGATTAACATTTGAGTCAGTGGGCTGGGGAAGGCAGACCCACCCTTAATCTGGCAGGCACCATCTAAGTAGCTGCCAGTGAATATAAAGCAGGCAGAAAAATGTGAAAAGGCGAGACTGTCCCAGCCTCCCAGCCTACATCTTTCTCCAGTGCTGGATGCTTCCTGCCCTGGAACATCGGATGCCAGGTTCTTCAGTTGTGAGACTCGGACTGGCTCTCCTCCTCCTCAAGCTTGCAGACAGCATATTGTGGGACCTTGTGATCATGTACATTAATAATACTTAAAAAACTCCATATATATATATATATATATATACACACACACACACACACATACACACACACACACATATCCTATTAGTTCTGTCCCTACTACAAATACGTCTTTAAGGATTCACAGAGTTGTGCCAGCAGAGCCTATTTTTTTTATGGAGTTTACTAGATTCGTAGATCAAAGGAATGATGTAGACACAATGTATCTGTATTTCAGAAAGGTATGCATATTTTTTGAAGACAAGAGATGGTGAATTGGCCCCTGGATAACAGAAAATTTAAAAGGATTTTGAATTGGTTCAGCAGTATTAGGTTTTGAATGAGAAGTCCCAAATAAGTGGAATCAGGAATTAGGAATGCTTTCATATTAAAGATTTAATGTAGGCTGCCTAGTCTGGAATGTCTTGAATTTGTCACTTAACATCCTACCTGCCTAGTTTTGGAGTTGAACTGAGGATTAATTAAATGTGAGCTACTATTGGAAGGAGTAGGAATGGGAAGATCTCGATTAATACTCAACACTCAAAGGAAGTTATCTGATACACTGTGAAAAACAACTGTTTTATAGAATTGGTGGTTCACACATGCAGAAATAACTTGGGTTAAATGGTTTCTTACTATAGCCATTTAATTTTCCCCTTTTCTCTTCATAGTGTAACATCTTGTAGCCCAAAACTAAAGACATTACTAAGAAAAAAATTAGTAAGCTTATCCATGACTAAGGGATTCTACAATACAGTGATCATAAATGATGTGTGCCAACAGATGGCAACTTGCCAAGATATCTTTGGAGATATTCTATGGGACACAAGTTATTCTTCCCTATTGTTTGACTCTTCAATTCTCTATAACTACCTCCCTGAAATTCTTTCACTCCCTAAACTTTCCAGAACAGTAATATTCAGATGAGATCCCTGGGGACTCTTCTATGTCTCCTCAAACTCCTGATATAGTGAATTTTTTCCACATCAGCCACATGTACAAGCTTACTTGTATGTATAAATGTAAAAACACACTTGCTACCTTGCAACATGCAGTATATCTATTCAATCTAATGCTTAGAATTAGTATTTTTGAAGAATCATTTAGTGTCAAATAGAACTTCTGGAAGTTGATAAAAATCAGGAGAAGGCGAGGATTTTTAGGATTGATTGGGATTCCCAAAATTTTATTCTATTAATTTCCATACATGACTTTTTTGTTATATCTTTTTACATTTCAACTGTATGCAATTTATATTTTTTTACTATTATTTATCTATAAAGATAGCAGTAAATTTGCATGATTTTATAGCAATGTATATGAACTTGAGTGAAGATTGAGTATTTTTAACTGATGAAGTATTCCACCCAAACCTCCACTAATCAGAAAGTGAGGGCATGAGAAGTGCTGCTGAGTCTGTAGTTTACATGAATTGGGAAAGTTGAAATTAACTAATGGCAACCTGGATGCGATAAATATTTTAAGGAGCATGTAAGTGTGTGTGTGTATGAGTGTGTTTCTGTACATGTACCTACAGAAACACACTCATACACACACAAACCTACATGCTCTTAAAATATTTATGAGAGAGAGAGAGTTGGCAAATGGGGAGGCGTGTTGCTGAGAAACATGATACCAAGAAATACTAATGCTATATACTGGTAAGAGAGAAACAATGCATTGAAACATAATAGCTACATATTTGACTTTATGGCATAAAATGTATATATAATAAGTATAGTGTATTAGCTTTTTACAAGTCATAGCTTCAGATCTCTTCGTGGATCCTCACTCAGCTATTGCTTGTGAGCCAAGGTGTCAATATATATAATATTCTAAAAATTAGCTAAAAGTAATACTAGCACAACTTTAAAATTAAAAATACTGCTTTTTATTCCAGCACATAATTTTTGTTTTATATCTATAAGTTTTAATATCACTCCTATTACTAGAGTAATTAAAAACAAAAGTAAAATCATATTATAATTATTTTTAAAAAAGAATTATTCTGTAATTAGTCAAGCAATGATGTTGACATCTTTTGAATCATGCTAGTTTTACCTTACAGCCAAGCCAAAGACTGTATTAAATTGAGCATTAAAAAGAAAAATTAGAATGAGTGAGACTTACCAATGTACAGCTTCCCCCTACAAGATGATTTTATAGCTGGAGGATGAAAAGTATCAGACTCCTCAAGATTTCCCTGAAAGGAAAAGTGAGAGATCGCTTTAATTCACATTCTCTGGCAGTTGTATTATGTCACATTTAAGTCAATTGATCAGATAAAAAAGGAAAACAGGAAAAACTGCCTTGTAGATAAATGAAATTAACAAATTAGGGCTAAGAAATGATACCTTAAAATGAGAGTCTATATTATTTCTTTGATGTAAAGTATTGTAGCCTATAATATTTAAAGAATATACAGAATCTTTTAGAAGAATCAATATCATTAAAATGGCTATACTGCCCAAAGCAATCTACAGATTAAATGCTATTCCTATTTCACTACTAATGTCATTCTTCACAGAATAAGAAAAAACTATTCTAAAATTCATATGGAAAAAAATATTGCTCTGATATAAAAGTTCATGCTGTAGGACACTAATTTGTTGATTAACCACAAACCCACTTTTTTAATGCCAAACAATTGTCTTCAATTCACAAAGAAAGTTAAAACTAAATTTATCATACTGACATTCTTTCTTACGATAATCTCTGATTATTTAACCTCTATTCCTTCTGCTAAATCATTTCTTGCACATAAATTCCTGCCTTTTACTATTTCTTCTTCTCGCACTCTGTCTCAGCTCCTGGCTCTACTTTTTTTTTTTTTTTTTTTTTTTTAAGAACTTTTAAGTTCAGGGGTACATGTGCAGTTTTGTTACATAGGGAAACGTGTCATAGGCGTTTGTTGTGCCTATTATTTCATTACCGGGGTATTAAGCCTAATATCCATTAGTTATTTTTCATGATCCTCTCCCTCCTCTCAACCTCCACCCTCCAATAGGCCCCAGTGTATGTTATTACCATCTGTGTGTCCATATGTTCTCACCATTTAGCTCCCACTTATAAGTGAGAACATGCAGTATTTGGCTTTCTGTTCCTGCTTTAGTTTTCTAAGGATAATGGTCTCCGGCTGCATCCAACAAAGTCCTGCACAGGAAATGATTTTGTTCTTTTTTATGGCTGCATAGTATTCCATGATATATATGTAACACATTTTCTTTATGCAGTCTATTATTGATGGTCATTTAGGTTGATTACACGTTTTTGCTATTGTGAATAGTGCTGCAGTGAACATACACGTGCATGTGTCTTTATAATAGAACAATTCATATTCCTTTGAGTATATGGTAATAGGATTGCTAGTAATAGGATTGCTAGTAATAGGATTGCTGGGTCAATTTTATTTTTGTCTTAAGGTCTTTGAGTAGTCTCCACACTGTCTTCCACTGTGGTTGAACTAATTTACACTACTACCAACAGTGTATAAGCATTCCTTTTTCTCCACAACCTTGCCAGCATGTATTATTTTTGACTTTTAATAATAGCCATTTTGACTAGTGTGAGATAGTGTCTCATTGTGACTTTAATTTGCATTTCTCTAATGATCAATGATGAGCTTTTTTTCAATATGGTTGTTGGCCGCATGTAGGTCTTCTTTTGAGAAGTGCCCTTTGCCCACTTTTTAATGGGGTATTTTTTTTTCTTGTAAATTTGTTTATGTTCCTTATACATACTGGATATTAGACCTTTGTCATAGGAATAGTTTGCAAAAATTTTCTCCCATTCTGTAAGTCGTCTATCTGTTGATAATTTCTTTTGCTGTGCAGAAGCTCTGTAGTTTAATTTGATCTCATCTGTTGATTTTTACTTCTGTTGCAATTGCTTTTGGCATCTTCGTCATGAAATCTTTGCCCACGCCTATGTCCTGAATGGTGTTGCCTAGGTTATCTTCCAGGGTTTTTTATAGTTTTAGGTTTTACATTTAAGTCTTTAATTTCTGGCTCTTCTTACTTCCCTATCTAGGTTGACGCTTGGTCTACCTCTCCACACCCTCATCATTTCAGCCTTCCTTCAGTCTCACCACCCTGCTAATTAACAACTCCAGACCAATCTTACAGTCCATTTCCCCCAACCCAAATGTTATGGTGCCCAAATATGATAGCTTGAGTTCCTTATTCATGAAATTCCTTATTAGTGGTTTCCTGCTCAATAATAAAAGTTTACTTCATTAAAAAAAAAAATAGGCATGAAAAGATAAGTGAGTAAATACCAGCAAGACAGCATGCTTCTGACAACTAACTTTGGCCCTTGTTCAGGAAGCGGAAATCTATATCTTCATTTGTTTGTGTTTAAAACTTAGGAGGACATAGGTGAGTGTCTAAATCATGGGGTGGAACATACCTGACCAATGATCACTTCAGATTCCCACTGGTCTGTAGGTCTAAAATAAACTTCACTCTTGGATATTCAACATTGGTATCTGGCAGTATACCCACTGATACTTATACTGCATATCTTCCAAATAAACGCAGTATTAGGTATTTCAAAGAAAGATACAAATTTAATAATTATTTTAATAAAAGTCAGAACAGGTTAGGACTGACAGTCTACATACACTAGTGGAATCTCTGCTTTCTCAGGCCTATTTTAATCCCTTTCTCCTTGACATCTAAGACATACAAATGGTAGATTGTTGACAGGTAAATGATCATCAATGTGTTACCCGCATGCTTAATTCCCTGATGTATTTCCCTGTTAAGCCTGGATAAACATTCTAAAGCCCTTTTGCTTATTAAGCATCAAGTTTATCAGCATTTAAGCATCATACTCAGATCATAGCCCACCATAAAATGAAAACTGATCACTTAGATATCAAAACAAATAGCAGCAAGGCACACATACACACACTCATGCACACACACACACACACACACACACACAATTTTGCCAGGATTCCACAAACAGCACAAATACATTTTTTTTTATTTTATTTCATTTTATTATATTTTTGAAACGGAGCCTGGTTCTGTCACCAGGCTGGAGTGCAGTGGTGCAATCTCGGCTCACTACAACCTCCACCTCCTGGGTTCAAGTGATTCTCCTACCTCAGCCTCCCAAGAAGCTGGATTACAGGCACGTGCCACCACACCCCACTAATTTTTGTATTTTTAGTAGAGACAGGGTTTCATCATGTTGGCCAGGATGGTCTCGATCTCTTGACCTTGTGATCTGCCCGCCTCGGCCTCCCAAAGTGCTGGGATTACAGGCCTGAGCCAAATTTTTATTATTTATTTATTTATTTATTTATTTAGATAGCACCTCACTCTGTTGCTCAAGGTGAGTGCAGTGGCATGATCATGGTTTACTGCAGCTTCAATCTCCCAGGCTTAAGTGATCCTACCACCCCAGTCTCCTTGAAGTAGCTGGGACTACAGGTATGTCCCACCATGCCTAGCTAATTTTTTAATGTTTTGTTTTGAAGAGACAGAGATTCACTATGTTGCCCAGAATGGTCTCGGACTCCTGGACTCAAGCAGTCCTTCTGCCTCAGCCTCCCAAAGTGCTGGGATTACAGCACCATGCACCACAAAATAATATTTAAAATAGAAAACCGATATGGCTTGGATCTTTGTCCCCACCCAAATCTCATATCAAATCATAATCCTCAATGTTGGAGGTGGGGCCTGGTGGGAGGTGATTGTATCAGGAGGGCAGTTTCTAATGTTTTAACACCATCCCCCTTGGTGGTGTTGCAGCAGGAGTGAGTAACAATGAGATCTGGTTGTTTAAAAGTGTGCAGCACCTCTCTGCACCCTTCCTCCTGTTGCGGCCATATGAAGATGCCTGCTCCAGCTTCACCTTCTGCCATGAGTAAAAGCTCCCTGAGGGCTCCCCAGCCATGCTTTGGTATATTGTGGAAATGTAAACTAATTAAACCTCTTTTATTTATAAATTACCCAGTCTTGAGTATTTCTTTATAGCAGTGGAAAAAAAAAAAAAAAAAAACAAGCTAATTCAGAAACTGACACATTCACTTTACATTTAAGGGGTGGTTTAACCAAGACAAGTTCTCCATGGGAATTGACTACTAATATTTGAGAGAGGATCAATCTTCGTTTTCTTGGAAAAGATGTCATTTATCTTACATGCAAAAAGACGTTTTGTTAACCTGCAACTTTAATATCTAGAAAATAATTCCATTGAAGGTAGCTTTAAAGAGAGCTCAAATATCTCATCTTAAATGAGAAAGAAAAATGAAACAAATGAAGCTCTTATAGGCTTTGCATCCTACATAGTTATTATGTTCTTCATTTTATTTTCAGTAATGTTCTCTCAAAAAGTAGTTTAATTTCACTACCTCTATTTCCAAACCTTTCATCACACCTTGTATATGAGAGTCTATCTACAGACATTGATATGTCTGAAA
Source organism: Homo sapiens (assembly GCF_000001405.40). Lineage (NCBI taxonomy): Eukaryota > Metazoa > Chordata > Mammalia > Primates > Hominidae > Homo > Homo sapiens. The sequence goes on from NC_000009.12 coordinate 10,038,021, forward strand.
TTGCCAATGACCCTCATATTTATAATTCCAAATGCAGACTTGAATTTATTTTATCTGTCACATCTCATATTTGGTTCTACTGAACATGAGTACCATTTTACAACTTATCTCCTGATTTCCATGATGCTACTTTTCTCTTGTTTTCTTCCTGTAACTCTATTTATTCCTTCTTAATTATTGACCATGTATATCTCATGAAATTTCTTCTCAGGACTTCATCTTTAACATTTTGCCCTTATCATTCTACAACATCTCTCATGATGGCCTAATACAAAGCCATAGCTTGAATAATAACCTATTACTGATAAATCCCAAATATATAGCCCCCAAATTGGACATTTTTACATCAGTATCCCAAAGACACCTTTGATTCAACTTGTGAAAATATCCAATTACCTTTATTCTATTAATTTGATTTTGTGTTCTCTATCTCAGTGAACAATAACAATAGATAACATTGATTAAGCACTTATAATGTATCTTACACTTCTGATATCTTATGTAGTTACTCCACAACCTCATATTGGAGATACTAATATTATCACCATTTTGAAAATCACAGAACTGATCCTCAAAGAGGTAAAGTTACTTGCCTGAATTCACACAGCTAATAATTATTAGAGTTGGGACCTGAACAGACTGCCTGCACACTTCAACATTACACCTTGAAAATATTTGCCCAGTTGCACAAATCAGATAATTTGGACTCACTTTATATTTTTCTTTTATTCATCTATTCTCAGAGAACTGTAATCACTTAGTTCTCTAGATTATGGGTATAAAATGTTGTATTATTATTGTATCTATTCCCTCCCCTCAATCCCTATGGCCCTGACCTTGGTTTATATCCTCATTTCTCTCCCAGATTGTTTTAACAATTATTGCCCTTTACACTAGCCTCTAACGCTGACGATAAACTTTAATCTCTGACCTTGATTCCAAACACTTTATTCTTTTGTTGCTTACAGTGAGTCTAGGTACAAAAATGTATGACTATGAAAAAAGTTACCCTAAATGCCATCTTAGTTTTTAATTGGCTACATGAAAAAGATGTACAGGCATGTACGTAGGTTTGTTGTTCACAAAACTCTTCCTATCCCTATAACTCAATTTCCTATAGAATTAAATTCAAATCATCAAAATTATAATTGAATTCCTGAAAAACTTGAAATCATCTACAAAAATTATGAAATAAAAGTGATCATCCTATTTCTACTGTGACAATTTAAAACTTTAATTTGAATCAACAGAAAATGAATACAAAGAAAGACCATAATTTATTTGTCAGGTAAAGACTGAAAAATCCCAATTGTCCATGTCCCTATAGCCAATTATTTGAATGCTATGTCAAAATAAAGTTTTGAGGAAAAAGGACCTATATGAGTTTTCTCGACCAAAATGTAAGGTATATAAATCTCTATTATCTGTGTATGTTTACATATATACAATAGAAGTTGCAATTAAAATGGTGAAAGTTACACAAGTAAGCTAGATTACTACTATGTATTCAAACACACTTTAATTTCCACCTGAAAAACATTTTCCTTATATAAAGAACACTTAGCTTATGAACTAAAACTCCTGGGTTAAAATGTCCTAGCTATCTGTGTTCTAAGGAAAGTCACTAAGTATGGCCCTCAGTTTTCTTTTCTGGGGGAAAAAAAAACAAAGGGGTATGATTGTACTACATGAATTCTAAGACTTTTTTTTATTATTCTGCTTTAACCCCTTCTGATTGAGATATATTTATCAAATTGGATACGACTGCTTTGGTATCATCATGTGAATCATAGAGAGGACAAAATTTAAAGATGAAAACAATCAATAAAACAATATTATGTCTGTTTGGCAAACAAAGAATATGAGACATCTATGATTTAAAATTTGAGCTTCACAATTTTAATTATTCTAATTTCTAAGGAAAATATTCAGAAGCTTAAATGCCATTCTCCTAAATTGCCTTTAGTTCAAGGGCATAGCAGTCAGAATTTCAAAGGCATGCACGTTGTTTTCAGCAATGCATGGCTTTGCTGCAAAGTGAGGATAGGACTGGAATGAAAATAGTGAAAGACAGCAGCAAAATCAGTGTTTGGTAGGTAATACTCTATCTAGAAAAATAAGCTCAAATTAGAGAAAGAAGTAAGGTGAGCAAGCTTTTTTTGGTTAAACGGATTCATAAAAATGAATGTGCTGTTGACCAGAGAACCCAAAAGTCTTCCCATTTTGTTGTCGTTTGATGTTATTGAATTAGGAACACTGACAGTTTTTATGCATGCTGGATGTAGCTTTGAATAAATGGATAGCCATCCAGCACATTCAACAATCGGTCGAAACATTTTAGATACACCTAATAAGGGGTACGAGGAGCAGATGTGCTTCTGCCCAAACTACATACTGAGAATTCCAATTATACAGGCAGCCAAATTACTATAACCTAATTGCCACTACCCTGAGTGTGGGATGCAATCACTGCTTATTCACCCTTGTTTTTCCAAATAACCATTAGTGATCCTCTCAACAGACTATCCAGCTATGTAGGGAGAATCAGCAGCAAGCTACTTAGCAACGAGAGGCTATATTTGGTTTCTGCAGACTTGTTTATGGAACTCACATAGTTAACTTCTTCCTAAATCAGTGGTCATGGGCTAAAATGGCTTAAACATTTTCTTCCCTAGCAAGAAAAGATTCTTTTAAAAATGAGAGAGAAACAATGAAAGAATCTAGTAAAAATGTATTAAATGCAAAATTAAATTGAGCACTGATAAACCTCACTTTTAAAGGTACTTTATCAAATTGAAATGTGTTCTTCCATCTCAGTTTCACACAAAGTGCAATATGTGCTATTTGAAAATTAGATAATCTGCTTAAGAGCTATTATTGGGCAACTCCACCCTCTTGCTAACCAAATTTACTGTAATGTGGGTGAGACTGCTTTTTCTTTCACAATTTCTATTTGTTGTTTTGAAGAGTGATACATTTTTAAATGTTTTTCATTTGCTTAAAGTAAATGTATTTCACTGTTTTTGAAAAACAAGAATGTAAAAACATAATTTTTCATAAAAGCATATGCTTTCTCTAAAAGAAAAATATATTTAAACAACTCACAAAAGCACATTATGCAGTAGTGAAAGAAAACAGCTTTTAAATATAACTATTGTAAATGATATTTTGTTTTTTCATGCCCACACAAAAATTTGTCATTTGAGACATGTGTAGTTGTATATTGAGGTAGTTTGAAATTATGTGAAAGACTGACTATATCCTTGAAGAGGTTTCAATTTTTATTTTGAATGTGCTAGAAAGTAAATAAATAGAAATGTGAAATTCAGTGGAACTGATTTCTAGGAAAATAAGGCCTAAAAAGAAACAGACTTTTAGATCTTATTTACAGAAAGTAGTTTTCTGAGTAGGTCAATAACCCACTTTTTAAGGACCTAAAATAAGATAGGACTACTGAAATAAGCATATTATGTTTTAGAGCAACTATTTCAATTTTTTTTTTATTTTCTACTGTATAAAATCAAGGAGTGGAGAAGGTGCAAAATCCTTCAATTACCTTGTTATATTAGAGACTTTACTAGATTCATTTAAAAAGTGTAATATGAGCAAGAAACATAAAAAATCTCATCAGTCTAGGTATCAATGTTATGAAAATGTCACTAACTTATTTAATTTTACTGAAATTATAATTTTCTTTGCACAATCATATACAGAAAATGATTAAGCACTTTTACAAAATTGCATTGCTTTGGACAAAGAAAAAATTCATTTCTTAAAGTTAATGTAACTTAAATAAGATATAAACTTTAGATCTATGCTGTATCCCATTAGGAGTTGCCTTCCCTGTGAATCCTAAATATAACATATGATCTCATCTGCTCATGGCAAAATAACATCCTCCTTAGAAGCACATCTTCAGTGACAGAATTTCTGGAATGTATTCCTAGCTGAAGTAAAGCAGCATCTGCAGTACTACACAATCGTCCTCAGAAGTATTGCTGTTTGGAAGCAGAATGACAATGAATAATGTTAAGAAATAGGGCACTGCCCCTGTGGGAACACAGCAGCAGAGGTAGCAAAATGCTAAAACTTTCGACTGCTTTTTTCCAGAGATTTAAACACTGGCAAATAAGGCCCTGTAGGCATATAAAAGATAAGAGCAAATTTAACCCCCTTTTCACCTGTTCAGCTGCCACAGGGGTCATTTCTCTATGTGTAATTTAAAATTTGTTCCATTTCTGCCATACTATTATGCAGTTCTGAGGAATCAGCAAAAAGAGGCATGCGGAGATAGAAGACTCAGAGATGAATCCTCAAAGTAGATTAATCTATTAAATGCAATCTATTAAAGCACCATAGATTGCCAACTTACACAAAGGTAGCTCTATAGAGCTGCAGAAAAGAAACCTACCTGTCCAGACCATTTCCTGAGAACCCAGAATTCTGCTAGCCCTGCTCTAGGGTAGAATTCCACCCTCAGCACTTTTAGACTATTGCCATATGCTGGGATCCTTATTAAGATGCAGTTACCCTCAGGAAAGGTAACAAGCAGAGCTACTAGCAGGACTACTAACACATTAGTGTTGGTGAAGAAACTGACAGAGATGATGCTGATTGTGGAAGGTAAAATACAAAGAACTGAGAAAATTGGAGGACCACCAGATGAGGGAGATGCAAATAGAAAGACTGAAGGCTACATTGGTAGGTGTAGCTTGGCACCAACACTAGCATACACTGTCCTTTTCCCCACCAGACCTCATTCAAATAAATCTAAATGACAAGTAATTATCCAGAATTTTAAAAATCTTGACAATAATTTATTGCAAATGGAAAGAAAATTTCCAGGAAATTATTTCTTTACCTAATATGAATGTATTTGTGAAAAAGTCTTTGAATCCCTATAACATGTAAACAGTTGAAGAGTTTAATCTAAGAGATCAGTAAAGAAAGAACACTGAATTTTAACTGAGAATACTTGAGTTCTAATCTGAGTTCTAACACAAATCAAATGTAGTCATTCATTGGATATTTCTGAATTAAATTTCTCATCTACACAAACAGAGGGCAGTAAGAGCAGGTAATCTCTAGGATATAATAAAGCTCTAAAGACACAAAGCTATAGAAAATAAAATGTTTTCTGGTTGTGAATTAAAAATACAAATGTGATATTGCCTCTCTGATACACTTAGGCATCAGTTTTTATAAAACCTGCAATTTATATGTAAAACTAGTATCTTATTAGTTAAATAATCAAAGTGAATAAAATCACATGGGTTTGAAAGGTAGCATATCCATTGCTTTACTTAGAGATCAAAATGATGCTTGATAAAGAAAGCCATTTTCATATTCCAACTATAAAGCCCTCTCTTTAAATGTGATGTTTTATCTATGGGGAGTATTGCAGAAAACAAAGGCTGGCTATTACTCCTGGTAAAGGAGTAAAATCCTATAGCTTAGAGATCTTTGCCTTCTCTCAATGAAACTCTATGGGATTCAGAGGTAAATTTGGAGTTCCTATGAGCCTTCTAAAACTGTCTGTAAAATTTTGTGTGAGGTGCATATGTACATTTTTCTAAGATGTTTTATAGTTTAGGTCCACAATTCAGAGTGTTTTATGATGCAAAAAAGGTGAGATGATGGTTCACACCTAAAGATCAAAATGATATAAAGAAACAAGAAGAAATATGATGTTGCCAAGGAGACATTCTAGGTAAGGATGAAGCCACTGGTGCTGCAGAATCATCCCTTGATTATTTCATGTAGGATCTACCTGCACACAGCTGCAAAATTCCAAAGTCTATTTTATCTTTAGTAAGATAAATATCCAAATTAGTGAGTATACAAAATGACTTGCAGTTCCAAAACAAGTATTTTGATCATAAGCTGTGAGAATTGTGATTTATATTAACTCTTCTATTCTGATTACTGGCTATTTTTTATTATTTGTAACACAGAGACAAAAGCTCAGAATTTGTAACAAATATTTAGAGCCTTCAAGTTCCCTTTGTAGAGGGTCTAACATGAGAGAGAGGAGGTCTGTCTCAGGAATGTCATGAAAGATACCAGGGGAAGTTGTTTCTTGTTCAACACCCTGGCCATCTACTGTTGAAGACATCTATAATTCACTGGAACTGTGAATGTGTAGAATGGATATTCTCCCTATAATTGTGTTTCTGAGTATTTTCAACATGAGTAAGAGAATAAGGTCTATGAGTTTTTCTCTAAAATAATACTTTCTGATTGAATAATACAGAGGACATAATAGATTATCATCAAATTTTAGAGGATATAAATTATGCTACTAAATTTTTCTTTATATTTAAAAATTGTTCAGCGATGAAGCCTTTGTTCTGATTTACTGTGCTGGCTCTATACCCCAGGATAATATGTTTTCAGATGTAAAAATTGGATCAGACTTAGTTGATAGTTATATTTCTTCATAAAAAGAGAACAAACAGAGGTGTTAAAATCATTGCTATCTGAACAAATGTACAAAGTAGCCACAAATACAGGGAATCTAGATTTGAGAATTATCAAATAATTTGCTCTCATTTTTCATTTCTCAGTGTTCTCAAACATTATCTCATTTAATTGTCGCTAGAACCATATTAGATCATTAATATCATACACAATACACAGACTAAGAAATTAAAGCTCAGGGAGGCTGGGAAGTTTTCTGAAGTTTTCAGAGAGAGTAAGTAATAGAGCTGAGACTGGAACCCAAATTAAAATTGTTATTATTATAATCACACAGCAGCACAAACCTTCAGAAGCTATGGGATAGATTTTGCAACTTCATTGGAATAGACAAGACATGATTTTAGTTATCATGGGCTCAGTATCCATTACACTGACATTTTGGGACAATTCAATATTATCTCTCCCTTTCACTATCAGTTTATGAGTCATTTCAATGAGAGTCAACTAATAATTACAGTTCCAGAATCTCTTTCATATTGCAGCATATAGAGGCTACTCTCTATGCTGTTCCAGATGGTATGCATAGTCAATGCAGAAATTGCTCACTATGTATTTTGGGAAAGAACATTTATTCAAGATTCAGAGGTCAAAATGAGGTCTGGTAATCATCTATGAACTAATTTGCTCATCCTGTTTTTAAATTTGAATTATTAGCAGACAGTTCAGAAAATATCTATTTTAACTTTTCTTTGGCCAAAGTAGTATCCCTTTATTAACAGGCAAATTTGTTCAGAAGTTTCTTAAATAAAAATAATATTTTTTTGGAAAAACATTTTAACAATTAGCAAAACACTTAAAATGGGAAAATAATGTTTACATATTAGAACAGTGACATAGAACTGAATTCATATAAATTGAAAGTCTTGGGACAAGCAAATTAGCATCTGTATAAAGTGGCTACCGTATTTTCTATATCTGTACTTAATCTGAATGAAAAATAGCCTTGATTATCAAGGATTGTTTATATTGCAACTTTAAAACAACAAATGTGACCTCAGAAGTATCCATCTAAACAATAAGATATTTTTTATATTCACTATCTGCCTTTAGGTGTATATGTTTCAGCTATCATTTTGAGAATAATTTCTAGGTTATTTGGAGTAAATGTAAAATGGAATGAATAAAATACATTTAGCTAATATACTCTTAAGATCCACAAAACCATACTGTATGATAATCATTCCTATTTTAAATATATAGCTTATTTGATATAATTCCATAATATATAAAGATGACTACCTCAGATAACATATCTCATAACAAAGCAAACGTTTGCTACAAATGCTTTGCCACTAGTCTGTGCTGTTGTATCAGAAACATTTATTTTCATCAAATGATTTTTTTAAAAGGAGCTAGCTGCATTTATTCTGTGTTAAGAATCACAATTGTATGATACCTCATGATGTTTTCAATTTTCTATAATATTGGGGAAAATCGTCAATTAAAACTAAATATAAATCTATCAATGGTCCTTTTTGTTTCTAAATCCAAGAAAGATGGCATTTTTAATACTTATTGTTAAACTAGAAAATATGAGGCATGATAAGCTACAAAATAATACCTTCCTTTAATTTGATATACAGAAATATTCTAGCAGCTGGATTTTGCTAATGATCAACTACTTTGCACACATTACTAACAAATCATCATTAAGCGGCTTTTCCAGATGACTTCATTAGTGACAATAGATAAACACACAAAAGTACAAAGCATTAGAGATAATTTCAATATTATATTCTGCTTTATCTAATTATTTTCTCAGTTATCCATACAATTTTTAAGATTTCCCTGGGTAAAACACAACTGCATCTTTGAACTTCTAACATTTTATCTTAGAAAAATTTCTTATAGTTCACTGAGGAATTTGAGAAACTTAAATTATAGCCACAATATTCAAAGTTGTTTCAGGGATTTAGAAAAATATGGACGTTTAAAACCAAAACTAATCCTGTAATCTTTTTTTACCTTTAAAAAATTATTTTTCAAAATTCCCTACATTGATTTTTCTAGGCACATGTCACTCTGAAAAACAGAATGAAAAATATTAAAGATTATCAGAAGTTGCCTCGGATGCTTCAATGTTTCTCACAAAACAAGGCATATCTAAATATAGATGTTATTTACTTGCAACTATGCAATGGTTTGTTTTAGAGAAAAATACATTCAATTAAACATGGACCACTTACTTGAAATGATAAGATGGATGATTGCACTCAGAGAGCAATTAATATTCCTCACTCAATTAATAAAGATTCACAAGTATATGCTGTTATTCTGAATAATATTTCTATAGTGAAGACAAGTTAGTTTAGGCAAATGCCTTCCTTGTTTAAAAATGGAAATACCACGAAAACTGAGCTAGTCTCAAAACATCACGACACCTGTCATATAAAAATGTGTTTTGCACACTCAGTGAACAACAATTACAGACATCCAAAGTGAAATATTTTATTGATAATAAGTAGATCAAATATGCATGGAAATTGTATATTCAATTTTAAATGCCAAGGACATTTTGTTCCCATGAGTGTTTTACTACATAAACATCTTTTTCTATCTTGTATGACAAAGAATGATTTTTAAGAGTCAGCTCACCTATAGTTTGAATATTTCCACCTATAGCATACGTAAGTTAAAATTATTATTTTGTGAACATAAAATTACAATGTTTGAAGACTACAATATGAAGGAGTGGCACTGGTGTGCAAATCTCTGCTCCAAACCTTTAATAAATATATTGATCTAGGATTGTATCCTAATCTATCTATATTTTAGTTTCCTCATAGGTAAAATGAAGATAAAATCAACTAACTGTGTGTGTGTGTGTGTGTGTGTGTGCGTGTGTGTGTGTGCTTGTGTGATAATGCCTGTAGATATTTTAGCATATCTGGCATTTGCTGAACACACAATGATTGTTAGATATATGTTACAATTATTTATTTCATTTTATTAGTTTGAATAAATAAAATTCTGAAGAGCAAATCAGGCTCTACAAAATGTAGCCAAGGAAAATATCTTCCTTGTGTTTGCAATTTAGCATCCCTCAACTTTTGTTTCAACACTGCCCACATACTTTTTTGTTCCCACCTCTATGGCTCCAACATTTATACCCCTGCCAAAATTTGTGTTGACTCTATAACTATGTAAACATTGAAATTTCATTTTTTCTTATGGTGCATCACTGCAATAGGAAAACACTGGGAAATTAAGTTTTATTCTCACAGTGTTAATTTGTTTACTTCCTTGAAAAATCAGGTGGGTGACCATAGGCAATTCATTTAATTTGACTCAGACATAATTATTTCATCTACCAAAGACAACTACTAACTTCTCAAAATTGGTGCAAGTGTGGTTAAATGGGCTAATAGAGGTAAAAAGCCTAGCACAGAAATATTAGCTCCTCTCACTACCCACCTTACTCTATTTCTTTTCCTGTCTTTCCAACAGGATTACCAAATAATCCTCATTTCTGATAGTTCCCATTATAACAGAGTGAACTTTCCAGTTTCCTAAATAAGCATTAGCTGTCTCTGAGTTGTATGCTAGCTCTGCTCTTGAATCCAGCCATCTATTTCTCGCTGCAAAGCAGAAAACATATACAAGGTTTCCTACGTGAGACAGATATTTGCCACATTTTTATTGCCTGGTTTTCTAGCATCTAGCAGGGACTAGTTCCTTGATCTTCTGCATTGCTTTATTGCTTGTCTTAACCTCAGCCCTCATGTCCTTTGTACTCCTTGTTCTGCCTTGCTAACCTTTTCTTCTTAAATTCTTACTTCGATCTCTGTTTCAGTTCTGGTCAATAAGTACTCAAGACTCACTAGCCCCCAGTACTTCAGGTCTGCTTACTGACCCCTTATATTGTTTATACCCATGATTTCATGGTGACCTTCAACTTCGGTGTAAATGCTGGGTACTGGCTTCTTATATAATCTTTGACCTGTGCTTCTGACCATTGCTATCTGGATTCATTCCAGCTGTCTACTTGTTTTTATATTCACTGATTCATTTTGGTTTCCAGTTTTATTACATATCTTTAATCCCTACTCTTCCAGTGATAGATTCCCATATTTTTTACTACTAATTTCATTAATACTCTAAAACCACTCTAGAAACTGCTGGGGGAAAAAAATCTTCGAGGAGGTAGGATTTATGACCTCAGCATGCAAGGCAAGGAAAGTAGTTTCCTATAACTTTTCATTCATATATTTAATCCTCTTAGCTCCTTATCAACCCAGAAAACTAACGTTGACCATCAACTCCCACCCTTCCCCAAAACAAATCCTATTATCAAGTGTTTCTTTCACTAAAATGCTAACAATTCATAGTAACTTAAATGGTAAACTCCCCAAAGATATCTGAATTTTAACAGAGTCAAATTTAGCAAGCAGAAAGAGCAGAAAGGTGGTGGTAGGATGATTACGCAGGATTAGGATGCCTGGAATTATAAGGTATTTGAGTGATTAGGGAGGAGCCCTGACACTCGGGTAGTTCAAGAGCAAAAGAGAGCTGCAGTCCTTGAACTGGATAAAGATGAGGTTTGAGAAAAAAGATGGAGATGTTTAAAATGTAAGTGGCATAAAAGAAATGAGAAAAGCAGAGCATTAGAGAAAAAAAGCAGTGATGTCAATTGGCAGCTAGAGCAGACACTGATACCACTTCAATGTGGCGTTTGCGGAAAAAGGAGGCATGGAGTGTTCAGGCTGGAAGGGATCCCTGCAATCATCTAGCGCAGCCTCCTCATTTTTCCAGGACAGACATTTAACATACATCATTATTTTCCTGCTTCTTGTGGGTCCATACTTAGAAACTGGCCCTGCATCTTCAATACTTTCAGAAATAGTAGCTTCTTTAGAACATACTGAACTGGATTAAAAGGAGAAGCAGCTTCTCTGGTTAAAAAAAAAAAAGAAAGAAAGAAAGAAAGAAAGAAAGAAAAGAAAAAAAAAAACCCTTCTATATGTGTGTAGAACACACTTTGCCATCTGTTCCTTTTTCCACTTCAAGTCAGTTTCCCTTTTTTACATCCAGTGATGTAATGCTGCAAAAGATTTGAGGTCATTGTTAATAAAGTTATAAGGGAATCTTTTGAAGAGAAAGTTAATTTGCTATATATACTATGTGAGGGATATTCATAGTTTTCCAACAGTAATGCTCTGCAGTTTATAAGAATCTTCAGTAAAGAAAGACGAGTGTATACCAAGTAGGGCTGATTTTATTTCAAATATTTTTAAATAAAACCTTTATAGCAGTGCTACCTGTAAATATTCTAGTGACAACTTCATGCTTGATGAGTAGAAATGCTTGTAGGCCAAGTCCTTGTACTTATCTAAAATAGCAAAACATTTACACCTGACAAGGGACTTTGGTGTGAGACAGTTAGTCAAGTTTCATTGTAGGGTAGCATGACCTGTCTCAGAATCTAGTCAATTATTTTGTCATTTATCACAATCTAATCATAGCACTTATCACAAACTTTTTTATGTGCTTATTTACTTTTTCATCAGGAAGAAGGTTCTGTGAAGCCTGAGATCTCATCTGTTAGTGCCATTCCCTATTACCAGCACCTGGAATAATAGGTTCAAAATAAATATCTGTCGAATTAAAGGACCAATGGGAATTAGAGAAGATTGTGGCATGGGGCCTGAGCAGATCCCCAAGAATGAGGGTGACTAAGAAAAGAGGAAGACAAAGCAATTATGTTTCAGGGGCAGTAGGTGGGGATGTGCTTGGCCATACTTGCAGGCTGATGCAATGACCTTAAAGAAATTATGACTCGGCCGGGCTCGGTGGCTCACCCTGTAATCCTAGCACTTTGGGAGGCTGAGGAGGGCTGATCACAAGGTCAGGAGTTGGAGACCAGCCTGGCCAATATGGTGAAACATCATCTTTACTAAAAATACAAAAAAACTAGCCAGGCGTGGTGGCGCGCGTCTGTAGTCCCAGCTACTTGGGAGGCTGAGGCAGGAGAATTGCTTGAACCCAGGAGGTGGAGGTTGCAGTGAGCCGAAATAGTGCCACTGCACTCCAGCCTGGGCAATAAAGAGAGAGTCTGTCTCAAAAAAAAAAAAAAAAAAAAAAAAAAAAAAAGACTATGTCAATTTAAAAACTAACTCTAACTTGATTTGGGGCAATAAAACTAACAAAACTTAAGGAAATGTTCAAAATATGTAAAATTGTATTTTCAGTAAATGATTATCTAATAAACCAACAATAAGACAAATATCCATGGAACTCTCCCAAATGTATATCCTTACCTTATTTTATTTTATCGTATCTTTCATTCTTAACCCTAAATTTCCTGTCCAATTTTGGGTGAGTTGTGGGTCTCCATACATACTGGACTCCAAAAATTAATTCTCTATCTAACTATCTATTAGAAAATTACATAAAATCAAATGTTGATTCACTTTCCTGTTTAAACATTGTGAAAAGGGTAAGCATATGTAATGCTTATTTTTCATAAATATTAAAACTTCCTAAATAGTGTAAAATATATATTATCCCATGCTATGCTAAATGTACTTTAAGCATAATAAAAGTTGTTATATTCTCACAACAGATTTGACACCCACATAAAAAAGAAAAAAATGCAGAAGCCACTGAATTCTGGGTACCTAATATATTACTTTCTACAAGCATAGAATGAAGTCATTTTTATTTTTAAGCAAAGGGCTCATTTTGTATGTTAGAGAAGAAAAAGAAAAGAATATCCATAATTTTGAAGAAAAGAGTTGTTTCGGGAAAACATGACTTAGCTATCATTTGGTAATTATTGCTCAGTACTATTTTTTAAAGTATTAGAAATAGTAACCAGTACTCATTCTTCTCCTACTGTGAGCCCTCTTGCAGCTAGCACATTTTAATTCCTCTTCTCCTGCTGTTAGTCATCTCCAGTTTTTTCCTCCATGATATCTGTGATATTACAATCTTTTTTTTCAGTTTTTTTACATTTTATTATTATTATACTTTAAGTTTTAGGGTTCATGTGCACAACATGCAGGTTTGTTACATATGTATACGTGTGCCATGTTGGTGTGCTGCACCCATTAACTCGTCATTTAGCATTAGGTATATCTCCTAATGCTATCCCTCCCCACTCCCCCCACCCCACAACAGTCCCCGGTGTGTGATGTTCCCCTTCCTGTGTCCATGTGTTCTCATTGTTCAATTCCCACCTGTGAGTGAGAACATTCTTATGTCAAGGAATGGTGTATTGCTTCTTCTGTGCCAGGCACCCTGTACCCCTTTTCTGTAGTCAAAAAAGAATATTATCTTCTTCGACGGACACAATTACTCTTCTCTTTCAAATATGGTTATGTTTTAATTCTCTTTTTATTCAGATAAGAAATGCTACACAAATTTAATTTTCAAATTCACATATTAGTTAAAAATATACCACAGCAACCACATGTTTTACTTAATTAATTATTTAGGCTCCTCTCTTTTTGTTTTTGTTTTTGAGACAAGGTTTTGCTCTGTTACCCAGGCTGGAGTACAGTGTTGTGATCACAGCTCATTGCAGTGTCAACCTCCTGGGCTCAAGCAAACCTCCTGTCTCAGGCTTCCGAGTAGCTGGGACCACAGGCAGGTGCCACCATGCTCAGCTATTTTTCTATTTTTTGTAGTGACAGATTTTCACCATGTTTCCCAGGCTGATCACAAACTGTTATTATTTACATTGTAATCTGATCTTCATATAGCACCATCATATGCCTCAAGGGCTGCTTCACCTGCCTTTACAAATCAATACTGCCTACTAACAGAATAAAGTAGAGTACAAGAAGGAAACTTTCTCTAAGGATGAGCTCATTCAAACACTGAGGTTAAAAAAGGCGCCTGCTTAGTGGCAAACTCCCAAAAGAAGCAGCACAGGAGGGAGATGTGCTAAGAGTTGGAATTGTGTCATTCCCCACCTTCAAATCATCTGTTCAACTGTAACTTGAAAATACTGAGAAACCTGCCTTTAAGGTAAAATCAGGCCAAGCTATGCAAAAAAGGAGAAACTGACATTTATGGAGCACCTATTATATTTCAGGTATTGTAAAACTGGGTATTTTTCACACATTCTCTGATTTAATTCTGAAAACACATGAGATGGTTATTACCATCTCTATTTATATTTTTTTACAGGTGTAAAACTAAGGCTAAGGTCACACAGCTAAAAAAGATCCAGGCTCAAACATGAGTTTCTCATTCAAAGTCTATGCTTTTCCTCCTGAAACATCACAAACTTTCTTCTTTCTATCGAAATTCTTTCTTTCTTCAAAATGTATCCATCTATCCAACTATTCATCTACTCTACTCATTCTTTCTTTTTACCTTTCCCTCTCTATTTCCCATCTCACCTCCATTCCTATGGCAAAGACATACTTAACATTTACTCTGTACCAGTTACTACATTAAATATCAGGAACTCACTGTGAAGAGTATATTTTTTATATTATATTTCAATAATTCTTTACATGTATTTACTTGTAAATAACTATCTAAGTGGCATTCTAATGTAAGATGTGCATAATGCATATAATGAACAAACATATATGTCATATTAATACATTTTCTCATGAGGAAAATAGATAAGGCAAATGTTTTGCCCTTGAGATGCTGATGTAAGCAAAATATAGAGATTAACTACATGAAATTCCAGAAAGATTGACTTATGATCCATGTATGCTTAAAAGGATGATTTATTGTTAATAAACAAAGATGACCTGACTTTTAAGTGTACAATAAGCATTGAAAGCTGTTTGAAGTTTAATATTTTAGCTGCAACAATTAGAAAACACAAAGAAGCCCAATGCCTTATTTCTGCAATCATATTCTCTTTTGTTCTTAGTATTCCAAGATGAGGTAGTCTGAGTTTTTGCCCCTCATGGATATCAGTAGGTTTTACAAGTGAGGGAACTTGACTGAGGCATTTGGTCAGGAGTTTAAATATTTCATGAGGAACGTGAAATGTGATGTATTGTAACTACAGAGAGAAGAAAAAGCTATGGATCTTCTCAGTGGGTAAATACTGGAAGCATATATTCCTATACCTACTATAGATAATGAATCCCATCAAGAAACAATGACCTCATAAATGAACAGCAGTTGAACCCTGGCAACTCTTTATAGCTCATTGAGGTTTTCAGGCAATATCTTGTATCTTGTAATCATCACAGAATGCTTGATACATTTTACCATTCTAATTTATGAAGATACTAGAAAGCTATGATATTAGTTCTGTCTTCATTCTGTATAGGACATAGGATGACTTCGCAACTTTTTTTTTGGCAACAGTCTCACTCTGTAGCCCAGGCTGGAGTTAAGTGGTATGATCTTGGCTCACTGCAACCTCCGCCTCACGGGTTCAAGAGAGTCTCGTGCCTCATCCTACTGAGTAGCGGGGATTACAGGTGTACGCCAACACACCCGGCTAATTTTTGTGTTTTTAGTAAAGACGAGGTTTCATCATGTTGGCCAGGCTGGTTTTGAACTCCTGACCTCAAGTGATACACCCACCTCAGCATCCCAAAGCACTGGGATTACAGGCATGAGCCACCACACCCTGCGACTTTAAAACTTTGATTCAAATATTTTCTTTGTTTATTAAACTTTCCAAATATAAAAACTTGTCACCTGTCTACTCTATTTAAAACTAGTCAGAATCATAACAAAAAATCCCCAATGGCCAATGATGGAAACAAAATATTTGACAGATATGTGGTAATGACACAAATGATATTGTGCTTAATAAACTATAGATACTATTTGTATTTATAATATCTGTAATTTGAAGAGGCAATAACAGATACCAGCAGAGAAATTTTATGCGTCTCTCATTCATGAGGACTACATAATCTATAAAATTTGCAAGATTTGTTTTTAAAGATGGGATTGCTAGGATATTAATATTTGCCTAGAACCAAGATGCCCTTAAAGTTTCCCTTAGTTGACTACACTGTAGAAAGGCTTCCTTCTAACTAATTCCCCTGCTGTCCATTTTCTTAGAGCACTTACTTTAGAAAACTTGTAATTGTAAATCCTTTCCTGGACCTTTTGAGATGTGAATCTCCCACAACCCAGAAAGGTCTTTTTCAAGGACGTGGGAGCCATTCCTTTGAAATGGTATCAAGATAGGGCCCCTGTTTTTCTGTTTCACTGGGAGAGTAGGAGTCTAACTTCAATATGCAGGAATTAGCAAACACAGGTGGCCTAATCACACTGACCAGGCTTTCACTAATGTCAGCAAGCATTTAAAAATCCTCCTACCTTTTGTTTTAGTAAAGTTGAATACAGTCTTTTTCCTACTGGAATAGTCTTAAAGAAAGTCATCCTGGCCCTTATAAACTGAATGTTTTTGTCCCCTCAAAATCCATATGTTGAAGTCCTCATACCCTGTGTGATGGTATTTGGGGGTGGGGTCTTTAGGAGATAATTAGGTTTAGACGATGTCATGAGTGCTGGGTCTTCATCATGGGATTCGTGTCCATATTAAAAGAAAGAAAAAAAGAAAGAAAGATCAGTGTTTTCTCTCTTTCCCTCTCTTTTTCTATCTCTCTGCCATGTGAGGACCCAGCAAGAAGGTGGCCCTCTGCAAGTTGAAGAGGGCCTTCACCAGGAATTGAATCTTCCTAATCTTTGATCTTTGACTTTCCACCCTCCAGACCCTAAGAAATAAATGTCTATTGTTTACGCCACCTAGTACATGGTATTTTGTTATAGAAATACATGCTGACCAAGACACTTGCCTGCTTTACTGGTCTGGTGCGACTTTTCTTTGACACTCACTATACTAATGATCTTCTACTTGTGTATTTAAAGTAATGGAGTTTACAAAGATCGGCATGATAAATATAGTTACTATCCATTGAATACTTACGAATAGGAGACATTTTCCATATACTCTTTCACTTAATTTAGTCCTCTCATCTGTGTTCTAATGGAGTAGTTACTATTTTTAAGCTCAGTATATAGATAAGGAAACTGAGACTTGGAAACTCAAAATAGCTTTCCTGAGGCCACAAATCTAGCAAATGGTCGATCCAGGATTTAAACACAGGAATCTGACTTTAGGGTCCTCACTCTTAATCACTTCATTATGATATATGGGGGCAATTATCACAATATCTGAGATTTCATTCAACTGTCCAACATCATTAAACACAGTTTTATTTTGCAGTATGTGTATATATACTGAATTATGAATAACCATAGGAACAATACCCATCTTTGCAAAGAGGGCTGCACCCAGAAGAAAAAGCTAGCATGTTCCCAAGAGAAATTGTGATTCAGTTAAGTCCAGAGGAACATTATATATAAATATAATGTATAATGTATACATTATACATTATGTATATACAAATGTATACATTATGTGTGTGTATATATATATAAATGTATAATGTATAAATGAGTGTGTGTGTACTTACTGCAACATCTGATTAATGTGAAGGAAAGAGAAATAAGATAAAGTAGCATCTAATGAAGCACACTTGTTTCTGCACTGTAGTCTATGATTTCTGAAAGTACTTCTTAAGAATATGTCATTAAAGAGCCGGGCGCAGTGGCTCACACCTGTAATTCTAGCACTTGGGGAGGCCGAGGTGAGCGGACCATGAGGTCAGGAGTTTGAGACCAGCCTGACCAACATGGTAAAGCACTGTCTCTACTAAAAATACAAAAATTAGGTAGACATGGTGGCATGTGCCTGTTATCCCAGCTAGTCAGCAGGCTGAGGCAGGATAATTGCTTAAACCTGGGAGGCGGAGATTGCAGTGAGCTGAGATCACGCCACTGCATTCCAACCTGGGTGACAGAGAGAGACTCCATCTCAAAAAAAAAAAAAAGTGTCTATTAAAAAATCTGACTTTCTGAAGATGCACCTTTCTTCAGGTGCAAAAAGTATCAATAAAAGATACCCACAGGAGGATAACCTCTTTTATTAGCTGCTGGAAAGAAAAAAAAAAACTATTGAATAAAGAAGTCAGTCTTTTTATTTTGTATTTAATTAAAAAAACAAACATTTTACTCTGTTCTTTGTTTTTAAATCGCCTTAGTGTTTTTAATAGTAAGTCAGTTTGCTTTTAAAACAGAATTATGAATAACCATAGGAACAATATCCATCTTTGCAAAGAGGCCCACATCCAAAAGTAAAAGCTAGCATGTTCCCAAGAGTAACTGTGATTCAGTTAAGTCAAGAGGGGCATAATATTGATCCAAAAACAAACTTCTCTACCGGGAGTCATTGAAAGGAATTTAATGAGCCACATTCTCCCTATGTATGGGTTATATCATGGGAATAAATTAAGCTCTTTTGCAAGCTGTATTAACTCTTACAGGTCACTTGAGTATTATTTATTGCACAGAAGCAGGGACTTGCAGACAATCCATCTTAAAATTTATAAATTGTTCAACCTTGAAAATTCTGCCTACATATTCACTTTGGGATTGTTATTTTTGGTTATAAAAATAGGTGAATTTGTATCAAGTAGAGAATTGTAAACATAAGCAGAAATATAATGTTCATAAATACAAGGCAAAGTAGAAATTAAAGGATACCAAATTGCAAGTCAGCAAAGCTGGTTCCTAGTCCCATCTTATTCCCCAAATATCTAACCTTGGATGGTTCTCCTAAATTTTCCTGGATTTAATTTATCATTTCTGAGATGCTGTGGCTGTGAATCATAAAGTTCTGGAAGGCTGTACAATATTTATAAAGAATCTGCACATTTGCATTGATATCAAACATTATCTACAAACATAGTAAACTACTGGTGCACTACTATCAGTCTGAGTATAGTCAGGATCACAAAGGCCATGAAAGATAATTTAACAGAGGAAATTTAATGAAGGAAATAGTCACAAAGATGTTGAGGAGGTGAAAAGCCACCAGGGTATGGAAAGAAGCCCAGAGTTTAACAGCAGCATTAGCTGTTTTGTACCAGCATCAGTTGAAGTAAACTTCCAAACATTCGCACTCTTTCTTTCATAGACCTAAGGACATTAAAGAAGAAAAAAATCCTCCCTAAACATTTGGAGTATTCTTCGTAAGTTGCTTAATATCAGTAAGATTAAAAGGTAAGTAGTGTGGCTCACGCCTGTAATCCCAGCACTTGGGAGGTCAAGGCGGGTGGATCACGAGGTCAGGAGTTACAGACCATCCTGACCAACATGGTGAAACCCCATCTCTACTAAAATACAAAAAAATTAGCTGGGCGTGGTGCACGTGTCTGTAGTCCCAGCTACTTGGGAATCTGAGGGAGGGGAGTTGCTTGAACCAGGAGACAGAGGTTGCAGTGAGAGGAGATCATACAACTGCCCTCCAGCCTGGGCAACAGAGTGAGACTCCGTCTCAAAAAAAAACAAAAAAAAAACAAAAAAAAAGTGAGTAGTGGAATAATTCAGGACTTGAAGAAGCACACCACTGGCTCATGACAGTGACATGGATATTAAATAAGAATGACTTTAGTCTGTTTTGGAAAGGGAGAGTTTATTTTGGGTAACACGTAAGATGATTGCATTTTGTTAAAGGAGAGTATTCTTAAAATGCCAGTATACGGGTATGTGTGTAGTGCTGAGAAGACAAGAGTGGAAATGTAATAAATGTTTGATTGTTTTGGCTACTCAACACCCTTTCTCTCCTGTGAAGGTATCTCTTTTCCATTACCTTCGTTCTAGTGATTCTCATTGAGAAAACAAAACAAAAACTCATGTCTTATTCTCCCCCTTTTGAGTTATGTATTCACATCTTAAAACTGCTTGATATTAACACAAGTAACTATAAGTTAACCTAGTAATGCCACACCAGACACTGCAACCCATATGTTATAGTTTAACAATGTATAGCCAATCGATAGCTATGTTATTTTAATGTAAATTCTTGGTAAACAACTCAAGAATTGGCCCTCACTTCCCTTTAAAAAAACCACTTGCAATTGCTACTTATCAAAATGTATACTCCAGACAATTTAAATCTATGCTCCCAGGTTACAATCTTCAAGTTATCCCAAATAAACTCTCTACTTATGTTAATTTTGCCTCAATTTCTTTCTTTAAGATTGATACCATGAACCTGAATATCATGGATCCTGCTATCAACTGAGTCATGAGGATTAGACTAAGGTGGTAGTGTTTGATGCAATATGGGCCAATTAGATTCTCTCTTATGGGAATTTAAAACATTTCCAGAGACAATAGCTTCTCATATTGAGTTATTTAATGGAACATTCAAAAGAAGGTCCATAAGTTTGCAATACTGACATCCCCTGCTCAGTCACAGCACCTATATTTCCCAGGCGCTGGATAGGCACCATTGTTTTTTTCCAATTTTGGAGTTATGCACCACATTTTAGTTGTAAATATTTAACATGCCTGTTGCTTTGTTTCTATCGTTTGAAATAAAATAACCTTAACTGAGACAGCACATAGGATAATATCTGGTTCTCTGAAATAGGTAGAATTTCTTTTTTTGTCTCAGTATTGGAGCTTTTTTAAAACCAACAAAATAAAATATATAAATAAATTCATTTACTTTGAACATGTATGTACATGCTAAGTTGAATTTGACAAAATTCCATGAAAGTGGATCAGTGAGAATGTGTAGAGGCAACTACTTCAGTCTCGTCTCCCTTGCTAACAGCATTATGTGTTGGCCTGAAGCAGTAAGTTCAAATTTAAGATTATTTTAGTGCCAGCTGAGTCTCAAGAGTGAGCCTGAACTGGAAAAGGGGATTAGTTTAGACATGTTCTTCACATACTCCTGCTCAGCAGTTCAGCCAATATTTACAACTTCCATGTTGCGCAATACTCATGGGCTTCTCCTCAAGGATTTGCATAGCAACCTCGGGTAAATTTAAGAGAAACATATGGCAACCTGTATTCCTGGGAGGCCACAGTCACAATTGCAGCATCCATTGGACCATTCTATTTTACAAGGCAGTTGCTGGTACTAACCATTTCTTACAGTAATATGCAAAGGGGTAAATCACTTAGGGTGTAGTTTACTTCTTGCCAGCATACTTTGGTATATATTAAAGGCTCAAGAGAAAGAGGTTTTATTTATGGACTATGACCTTACTTTGAATTAGAGAATTTAGGTGCTTAGCATTTGAACAGATTGTAAAACTCTTGTCTTTTATTATTTTCTCTATTTCTTTTTCTCATATTTTAGCTATAGATACAAAATTAGATATGAGGATTAACAAATTACTACATCTCAAATCGTTTTTAATTTGTAAGCGTCATAAACATAAAAATATCTTATTGGTTGAGAACAATAATAAAATATTTAAGAAATTAAAAAAAAAACACTAAGCTTTACCTGTGGATATTTTAAGAGTATGGAAAATAAGGTTACTTTGGAAAATTCAAAATAAATATGCTTCATTAGCACATAATTGGAATGACAATGGCAAAAATGTTATTCTCAAAATATTGCTGCATTCAGAGATAAAAATGTAAGTAAGATTATTATATTGCACAGATATTTTTACTCCTTCTAATATTAGTGTTGACTATCAACCAATGAAAAAATCTTTATGAATTTCTAGGTTAGATGCTTCCGATATTCTATTTCCCTGACAACCAATATTCAAAGAATATAAGGAGGTACGACTGCATAATGTGTTTGCTAAAATAGCTTTGTCTACCAAAGCAAAACCTCCTAAAGTGGCCTTAAACTTGATGATAATAACACATTTCATTTCTGTCCTCAGCTTTCAAGTCCCAATTTCATATATGCGTTATAACGTTAAATTGAAGGTTTATTGGTTAAAAGAATATTTTTAAAAAATAGAAGGAAAGAGAGGGAAAGAAAAGAATGGGGAGAAAGAAAACTACTTTCTAAATGCAAATTCACTCAGATACATTGTCCCATCCACAAACTCTTTCCCGTTAAAATAACACAACGCTTTCTACCTACTCAAAGTGTCATTACTGCCTTCTTATTTGAATTAAATATAGGTCAGCTCATGTGTGTAAAATTACGAAAACCCTACAAATATATGAGGTATAATTTCATTTGTCCACTAGAGGGCACTATTGTAATCTCATGAACATGACAGAAATGTGTCAAAGTATTTTTTTAATGTACATAAAAGGGAAATACAGTGTTAAAAGCAAATTGCATTTTTAATTGCCACCAACCTCTAAATACATGACAAATTGCATGCAAATTAGATTTAATTTATCTTATGTTTTATAGGTTCACAAAAGGCTTTTTAAAAAGTATTATATTTGAAAGTTCAGTTTCTATTTTCCCACCATCAGCATACCAATCACAGGTCTTGCTTTTCTTTCTTTCTTTCTTTCTTTCTTCCTTTCTTTCTTTCTTTCTTTCTTTCTTCCTTCCTTCCTTCCTTTCCTTTCTTTCTTCCTTCCTTCTTTCCTTCCTTCCTTCCTTCCTTCCTTCCTTCTTTCTTTCTTTCTTTCTTTCTTTCTTTCTTTCTTTCTTTCTTTCTTTCTTTCTCTCTCTTCCTTTCTTCCTTTCTGTCTTCTTGCTTTCTTTCTTTCCTCTCTTTCTGTCTCTCTCTCTTTCTTTTCTCTCTGACTATCTCTCAGAACATGAGAATACAAAAGAAAAACAATGGTCACATTTTGGGGTCAGGTATATGGTGTTCAGCCAAGGGTATGATATATTCCTTTTGATTTAAATAGAAAAGAAATACTTGCTCATTTAAGTTACTCTCCACTGCTACCCTCCTATGTAACAATGAAAATGCATAACAAGTTCAACAGCCATAATAGGGAAAGACAATGCATATCCTGCAACAGGAAAGGAGAAAGAAGAAAAATATATAACTTGTTCCAATGAGCAAATGAATCACAGAAATAGAATGGAAAGGACCTATTATGCATTGAAGACTATAACTTAGGGAAAACACAGTTCCACTTATGTTTATTTCAGATTACATTGCTTAGCATTTATACTGTTCTTCCAACAACAGCTCTCTCTTTCGCCTTCTCACATCACACACATCTCATAATTGTCTGTGGTAGCTTTTTTCTCAGCTCAAATGAGATTGCTTTGAAGACTAAGTTCACACACTAGAGTAATTAACTACATAATTAGTCTAGAGTGAATCTTATATTGTCTTCTATGATACCTTCCTATTCCCCACCATGTCATTTAATAAAAGCTGCCACTATTTCTAATGCCCAAATTAGGAAATTTAAGAGGCTGATTTATCCAGCCAGAAAGGGAAAAATGAAAGGACAAGAAACATTCTTTTTCACAGAGGAATCTGAAAATAGTTTAGGGCTGCGGAATAGATGTTAGAATGAACATCTTTTCACTTATGTAAAATGAAGGTTTTTGGGGATTGTAATGATCAGCCTAAGTGACTACAATTTATACCAGTGGTTCTAACAGTATAGTCTCTGGACCTGCAGCTTTATTATCACCCGGAACTCGCTAGAAATGCAGCAAATTATTAGGCCCCACCCACAAATACTGAATCGGAAACTCTGGAAATGGAGTCTGGTGATCTAAGCCTTAACAAGCCCTCCAGGGGATTATAACGCACACTAGAATTCGAGAACCATTGATTGATTGATACTGTTAAAAGATTGAATAAAAAACTAAAATCGTGACTCTCATACAATTTTCAACAATCGTATTTCAATTTACTCAACTCACTAATGAGGAGGGTGGTAGGATGTTACAACCAGCTCAAAGGAGAACTCAAATAACTACATATATCTAGGCATTAAAAGATGCTGAAATAAATTTACATAAGATGTAAGACTTTTCTATCCACAGCGTGATAAGTAATTGTATTCCACCAAGCACAATCCATTAGCCTTTCTATGGAGCATTTATAAAATTATTGGTTTTCAGCCAGGTGCAGTGGCTCGATGCCTGTAATCCCAGCATTTTGGGAGGCCAAGGTGGGAGGATTACCTAAGGTCAGGAGTTCAAAACCAGCCTGGCCAACATGGTGAAACCCCGTCTCTACTAAAAATACAAAAAATAGCTGGGCGTGGTGGCAGCAGCCTGTAATCACAGCTATTTGGTAGGCTGAGGCAGGAGAATCACTTAAACCCGCAAGGCAGAGGTTGCAGTTAGCCAAGATCACTCCATCGTATTCCAGCCTGGGCGAAAAGAGTGAAACTCAGTCTCAAGAAAATAAAAGATAAAAGATAAAAACTGGTCTTCTACAACAGAGTTGTTAAGTAGCCGATAGCACTTAGGGAGAGGTACCCTACTTAGGAAAGTAATATTTTTTTTCTCTCTCTTGCCCATTTCAACATCTTTCACATTTTTTTTCCCCTGAAAATCTATGTAACTCATGCTTCCCAAAGGCTAATTATGGTTAAACATCTTTCATCTTGGAATTTCTGAGTCATGCCAGCTCAACATACTAATTTTAAGCCTGTGACTCAGTCTTGCTCCCAATTTACCTCTGTTAATGAATTAGTTGAGACAACATGAGAATGAGAGAGATGAAATAGTTTGTCTTATTTTGTAGGTACCATGAGAACATTTTATTGCCCTAAGAATTAATATGTTAAGAAAAGACTGTGGAAACAGAACACCAATATATTGAATTTTTAGTATAGCCAATAAATTGATGTCATTTGCAGATCATGTGCATGGGAGTGAAATTCTGCTTAATTAGCAGTAGGAATCGACTGTACCAAATACAGCAAGTACACTAATATGTTATTCTATGTAACAAGGTCAAGTTCTGCAAAGAAGAATTGTGTAAATTCAGCAAAATTCAACTGTTCCACTTCTGTCAACGTTTTAACCAATTCATACTGACATAGCTACTCAAGTTATAAAACTGAATCTGTCAATACCAGAGAAAATAAAGCATTTCTCATCCTTTCTTAAGAAATAAATGTCCCACTATACATATCAGTTGTCAATATCAAATTGGGTTCAATTATACATTTAAAGTATCTATTGATAAAAAAGAGTAATAACATATAGTATAGTAAGAAAAAAAGCGTTATGAAGAGCAAAAAGAGAAATCTTGGGGTTTATGATCTAGATATCTAAATACCTAGTTGGTAAACCTTGGAAATATTTTAACTTCCTTCAGTCTTAGCTTTCACATCTTTGAACTGAACAGATAGCTACTCTATGGCAGAATACCGCATATGTAATAAAAGAATCATCAGTTCTAATACAAAACACATTAGTGTCATATGTACTTGATTACAAATATACACAATTTGGTAAATTACGGTGTGAAAGCCCTATAATATTCAGATATAGAATCTGAGGTATATGAGGGTAGGTGAAAAGTACTCCACATTTCTTGCAATGTAGCAATACCAGCTAGTTCAGAGGTAACTGGACTGTGAAACATCTATTGCAGGTAGCAGTACTGGGGAAAAACAAAAACAAAAAACAAAAACAACACCTCAGAATCTCTAGCTCCCAGTGGATAGTCCTCAAATTACAAAGTTCAAAGAGCATGACTATTAGCCAGTATTATGACTAAAAACCTTCCCTCACAGCTATTAATGGAACACAATAGTAAAAACACACCAAATGTGTTCCCTAACCCTTCATATATTTTCTGTTTTTTTTTCAGAGTACTTTTCTCAGCTTGTAATGAATATCCTTCCTTTGTTCTTCATTTATTTAGGTCTTTTTTTGTCTTCAATGTGTAACTTAAAAGACAATTTTTTTTCACTTTTTCTGTCTTATCTTTACCAGAATTATTCCTCTTTGTTTCTCTTAAAAATTCTGTATACCTCAAGTTAGCTTTTATTTAATTCTGCATTACAGTATGGTGAATTGTTTTGAGGGGCATGACAATGCTGTATTAACTTAAAACCTTAATGTCCAACAGAGTACTAGAATCTTAATTAGCTGTACAACAAATGTTTGCTAAATTTGAATAATAGATATTCTAATACCCAGATTACCTCAAAAAAGATGAAAAACATGAGAAGACTATAAATCAAATCTATATAGGCTTCCTATTATTTCATGTATCTGGAGGCAGGAAAATATATTTATCTCTGATATCTACTTTTCTCTTCCAGTGAAATCAAACTCCTTTCCATCAGGGGATTGTGGTTAATGGTCTATCATTTTAAGCACCATCATCACAAATTCTACAAGCCTGAACCTCTCCAAGAAGCTCAGAGTATGTTTGGTCTTATTATTTCCCAAACATCCTCCCTCTTACAAAAGGGGAGATGTATTTGAGAGACATTAAGCAATTAACCCACAAAAACCATATGACCAAAGCCATATGTCACCCCCAACCTGAGGGACAGAATCATTTACACCCTAAACCTCAGCATAATGTTATAAACTTGTATAAAAAAAACTTGCACATGTACTCCCTGAATCTAAAATAAAAGTTGAAATTATAAAATAAATAAATAATTGTTTGAATTACTTAAAAGAAAACTAGAGTTGCTATTTTATGGCCTTGGCCAGTGTCTTACATATTAAAGGAGAATGCTGCACTAAATTTGACTGCTCCACAGTGACTTTCCTAAAATTTCCAGTCTATTCAGTCAATAGTGATTTGAATTTTAACATTTAATTAAGAACCAGGGAAATCGAACTAGGTATAAAAAGATGTTTCAAAGCATACATAGTAATTTGCCTTGCCTAGATTGCTACGCTGTCTCTGGAAATTATCAAATAAAATCTTCTGCCTAATACTTTGTTGTGACTTGGATTAGAAAGAAAGAAAGAAAGAAAGAAAGAAAGAAAGAAAGAAAGAAAGAAAGAAAAGGATGCTTTGCAGAGGTCCAGAAACTTATCATTTCCAGTACATGTATTTATTGCCTGAGAAGACAACTCTAACCCAAGGTAGTTGGCGCAGAGTTGCACGATGTTAGTCAGTGGATCCATGGTTGCTTTCTGTTATTAGCCACCAGCCCCATAAAAGTCAAAATTTTTGACAAAAACAAAACACCATGCAGCTTTGTTGTGGTCAGATGGCTTTACTTTTCATGCTTTGAAGCAAGAACTCCATTAGGCTTTTTTTTTATTTTTTTTCTTGGGAGAAGGCCTATTTTATTTGCTTGCACCACTAGACCATTTGATTTTTGTTATAGTGCTCAACCATTTTCAGTACAAATAAAATCAAATTTTTGGTCTGATACATTTGTGTTCCCTAGGGCCTGAAAGGAAATGTTCTTTTAAAAAATTTTCTTAGCTACAGATTGCTTTAGTTACAAAGGCAAACCCTAAATATCAACCAATATGTGGAAGAGCTGGAAGGTTCAGATAGAAGGACTGCAAAATCCAGTCAAGAAACAAAGCAAGGTAGTAGCCCTGTTATTGCTCCTTAAATGTTTTCCCAAAGAAACGGGGAAGAAAAGTATTTTCCGGTGATTAAGAAAATAAAGGAAATCAATCATGACCAGTTATACTGGGGGGAGTGGGCTGAGACAACTGGTGTCTATTTCCAACCAATTTCTTCTTTATTAGTATTTCTTTGATGTTACTGGTATCACAAAGCAAATTAAGCAACTGCAAAATTTCCTTAAGACATCATTTTGAAGATAGCACAAAAGTAGCTAAATTTTATCATTCACAAATGTTCAGATTATTTGATACTAATATCTTCTAGCAAAATGCCATTTCACATGGAACTTGAAGTGAAATATTTGTCCCTAGTAAAGTGAATGGCTTATTTAGTGGATGGTTGGTCTTTTTGCCAATTCTGCAGGATACTTTTTTTTTATTTTTAAGGCAACAATTTTGGCACAGGCAAAATAAAGCATACTTTGTTATGTTTATTGTTATGAATAAACAATAAACAAGTTTATCATTACCAATAAAGCTTCACAATTCTGAACTTTAACCACTATCCTGAAAATATGTTTATCTATTTGCATTAAAAAAAGCAGTGGCAAATTTAACACCCGTTTCAATGGATTCCTGATTTACAACCATGGTTCCTTCTCTTGAGGAGAGGCCCTTTAACCACTTCACTAATTGAAGCTATTAATTATAATTTTATTTATAATTTCATTACCAGGTTTCAAAAAATGTATACATAATCACACATATGACTCATTTCAACATGTATGACACTTAGTAGCTCTTTTCATGGAATAAGCTGAAATGGAGTAGCTCAAAAGCTGTTATTTTTAGCATAAAATCATGCCTCCATGGGGGGACTTCCTACTGCATAGCTTATTCTCCATGACATTGGCATGCACCACAGCTTCCTTTAAACTTCTTCAATGCAATATGCCTGAAGGACCAAAACGATGCTAGATTTCCCTAAGTCTGAGATACTCAGAGCAGTACACACTCTTTGACACTTTCACTAAACAAAAGCATTTTTTATTATTTTATTGTTGTGTGCTTGTTTTTGCTTCTGGATTGTTGCTGGTTTCAATACTACTATGTGTACTCATATATTCTCACAATATTTGTACTGTCTCGTGTTTCTTAAGTCTCTGAATGCTAGAGTAAAACATATCTTACAGAAATCTCACTCCTTGTCTAAACTGTTGCTTTGATGTAAGAGTTGGTTGTCCTTCTGGAAAAAAAAAAAATAGGCTAGGTTTCAGAAGATGTTCTCTAGAGTGCATTCCTCTCCAAACAGGAAAAAGAAACTTGGGCATTTGGCCGTGCTTATGAGGGTGATGTTGGTGGCACTATTCTCTCCAAGTAAGTACTAATGGATGGTCCAGGATAAAATTGGGATTGCAGTGCTTGGCATTGTGAATCATATAAAACAAAATAATCAAAATCCTATGTTCCTACCAATTTATAAATCCACAGGTCCTTTGGAGGAGAGCAGTACCATTTATCTCCTGTTACTTCAGTTCGGCAAATGTAGCTCTCCCTTAGCTGGATTTGATATTTTACTGTATTGTGTACTAACAGTAAATAGCTACAATTATAATGGCACGTGTTTCCAAAGGGTCTTACAGATTCTAAGAAATGTCATCAGTTTTAAAACTGTCATCAGTTTTCAAAGATATTGTTTTTCCAATGTTATACATCTTTCACAGAGCACTAACATAATTTTCAGTTTACTCATGTGGAAACTTAGACACAGAAGGATAAAAAGCAGTGAGATATCTAACAATTCTAATACTAGCATCTAAAATTGACTGCTTTGCACTTACATACATGATTATTAATCCTGAGACTCTGCGAGGAGGTATTATTATCTCTTATTAACAGCTAAGTATTATTATACTTACGAAGGATTACAGGCAAAGAAGGGTAGGTAATTTGGCCAAGGTCACCCCATTATAATGGTAAAGCTAGAGTTCAAACCAAAGTCTTTTTTACTCTAAAGACCATGCTTTTTCCATTATTCATTACTCATATCCCTATCTCCCACCCCAACAGCACAAACGAGTTAGATGCAGTGATGACCTAATAAATGTTTAATAACTATCTCTCTGGATGAAAAAGCCTAGATTGTAGCACTTGCCAATTTTTCTGGTGAAATACTCCCATTATGGTCAATTTCAATCTACCCATGTGATGTTACTGAACCTGAAGTTGGGAAGAGATGGCTCTTGGGATTTTGTGCTAGCTGACTCCAGCGCCACACTGAATCACAATTTAAACTTTTCCTTCTATATTTCTGATACAATCCTGAGTTCCTTCGCTCTAGGTCTTCCAGTTCTGGTAAAAAAATAATGGATTCAACAGGTCTATTGAAATTACCAACACATCTAGGAACACTGAGTTTATAGAGTTGTTTTTGCTTTACAAGAAAGACAACTGGTTGCAGGAGAAAGCATATCAGACAAAGAGTAAGAATAATTGATCTGAGCTTACATTCCAAATCTGCCATTTGCTGGATAACCGAATGTGGAAAAGGTGGTGAAAAGCCTTTATCTTTCAGGAACTTGGCCTTTTCATCATGAAAATGAATATAATAACCCCTATATGAATTGCCTTCAAGGTGAGTATCATATAAGATAATCCATCCTGAAGTATTTTATATATAAAAATGTGAAGAAGATATAGAGTGTAAATGATACCAGTGATACTCTCCTGGTCCTTTGGATTGGTCTGCTACACATTCCATGCCCTTTCACACACAAACTACTTAATTTCATCTACGTAATATGGGAATATGTCAGAAATAACATAGACTTTGAAGATGCGAGGTATACAATAGTGGGGACTGTGTTTTCAACCACCAAACCATATTTGTCCCTCTTTTTTTTTTCAGCTTCTCTAAGTTAATACTTAGAAACTGGTGTAACCACAAGAGCTTTTGATGTACCTTTACTCTGTGCCTATTGCCTCTGCTAGGACTGAATCAGCATTTCTATTTCCAAGTTGGAGCAGGTGGAAGGCCACTAACAGTGAAAAAAGAGTGGAATGCCAAGAAGAATGAGCACAGAAATATACTCTCCCTTTTTTTCACTCTGTTTAGTACACATGTTGTCTTTGTATTTTTGGCCCTTTTAAATGCACCCTACATATCCATAAAGAATAAGCAATATTTGAAATAAAAGCCATCCTGTGCATTCGTAGACTGCCTTCAGACTTCTTTCAGGTTCAGTTTATTCCCACCATATTAAACAGTTTGTTTATCATTATAATCTTTGCCCTTCAGCAAAATTAGTTCTTTGTCCTCTTTTGGCTGCCAGATCCTATTCAGCCTTTTGGATCTGGCAGCTTGGTTTTATTGTGTCAACCCATGGTTTCTTCACAAAATGGCTTTCATCATTCTGCCTATCCCTGTGGCATTGTGCAGCTTCCATCTATCTGACAGGGAAGGGAGATAAGACATTTCCCCCAATCTTCTGAATAGACACAGGCTGGAGATGGTAACCCAGACTACAAGAATCCCAGAATATAAGAAGGCAACAAGGTCAATGAGTCTCATTACTAAGCAGAGTGCAAACAAGAAGTTGTTCCCTTTGTGATACTCCATTACAGTTCCAGGAGTGTGAGCACCTGCAGGAATCAGGCTGTGAACATTAGCCCCTTGCTGGTTTGTAGTGCTATACTATGCCAGGCTCCCTATTGGAGCTGGATTTTCTCCTCTACATACCTTTCCAAACTGCCTGACCATTTTTTAATTGTGAATAGCTCCAGTGGAGTTGCTCCCAGGATTTCTCTAGAGAAAATAATGCTTTTTCTTTCTCTCACAAAACCAGATACAGTTATTCAGAATTATGGTGCACAAGTCTGGTGTTTGATCAGTTAGCTTAACACTCAACATAATTAGCCACTGAGACTTGACTTTGACCCCAATACAAAAAGATTTCAATTTTAAAATTAAAAAGAAGTAGTGCATATGAGTAATGACTCATATTCTTAGTTTTAGGGAAAAAACAGAGATAATTGTGAATCAGAAGTCATACACTTTGACAATTATGACAATTATGAAATGAACAAACTGATATGTGTTGACATGTTTCTGTATCTTGCTTCAATTTTTCCTGCTTTTTAAAATAATTAATATCTACTAAATTATATATACTATAAAAGAAGAGATCCTATGTATTTGCTATTTAGCACACATAGTATAAATGATGCTCTAGGATACTATTTCAAAATATGTGCCATGAACACACTGATTATTGTTAAAACACATATTCTTGGGGTGAAACCAAGACCTACTGATTCCAAATTTTTGGTGTGAAGCAGGGGAATGTCAAAGATTAATAACAACAAAAAAGGTAATTCCCTTGCTCAGTAGAAGTGGAAATTACCAACATAGGACTAATATATGGGCCAGTTGGGCACAGAGAGGAAATTGGTTTTTATGTTGGCTTTTCTGGCTTAGGCAATAAACTGTCTGTTTTGTCCACTTTTTTGTCCATTGCACCATTTTTGACCCTGCAGCTTTTCAAGCTCTTCCATTCCCTCATTACTGTTTATCTTAATTACTTAAACAGTATTCAAAGAAATGACAAAGTCAAAGATAGAGGATTATAAAGTTTTTCTCTAACCTTTGTATGTACCTCTTGTTCAATAAAATTAATTACAGATTGTAATTTCTTTAAGTTGGGTTCAGCATCTTTGTAGCATTGAGAGTAATATTTAGCACAATAATTTATGCATTTCTATGAAAGATTTTCAGCTCTTTACATAAGAAATGCTGCAACAGAAAGTAACACTAGGAATAATTAAAACATGCATAAATTAACAACATTATATTTGAATAAAATTAAAAGAGTCATTTATGGAGATCATAAAATCACATTACTATATACTTCTTTGATTACATTTTAATTAATAACAGAAGTATTTAATCAGAAAAAATATTTTGCTTAGGATTTTTCAAAAAATTATGCAGTCAGTCTTTACATCAATGTTTCTTGTTAAAATGAAATTTTCAATGACTATTTAGTAAGTTTTATTATGTGTAAGACTCTCCACCGGCCACTATCATATATATTACAGTTAATTTCTAAGCTATTCTATCAGGAAGAGATTATGATTACCTTATTTTGTAGATTAAAAAAATAGAGTCATGAGTCCACAAAAATCCCTAGAATGAGCAAGTGAGTACAGCAAGTTTCAGGACAAATGGTAATTAGGGAAACATCAACTTCTTTCTTCCATATGAGAAATGAACAATTTGAATTTCAAATGTAAGAAAAGATTATGATAGTACAAAAATCAAATACGTGGTATAAATTTAACAAATGATGTACAGAATCTGTATGTGAAAAACTACAAAACTCTGATGAAAGAAATCAAAGAAAATCTAAATACATGGAGAGAGATTTCATGATTACAGATTGGAAGACTCAAACAATATTGCCAAGATGTCAATTTTTCCCTACATGAATATAGATCTAACACAATTTTCATTCAAATCCAAGCAAGATATTTTGTATATATGGATAACCTGATTCTTGATTGTAAAATTTATGTGGAAAGGGAGAAGGCATAGGATATCCAGAACAATAGTGGACATGAGGAACAAAGTTATATGACTCACTCTACTTGATTTCAAGACTTACCGTAGAGCTACAGTAACCAAGTCAGTGGGATATTGGTGGAAGAATACATGCATATCAATGAAACAGAATACAGAGTTCAGAAATAGACCTACACAAATATAGTCAACCCATCTTTGAAAAAAGAGTAAAGCCACTTCAGTGGAGAAAATCATTACCAGAAATGGTGCTGAAATGTGTATGTCTATATGCAAAAAAAGGAAAGAAACTAGACATAGAGCTAATAACTTTTATAACTCAAAACTCAAAAATTAACTCAAACAAGGATTGTAGGTCTAAAAATAAGTCTAAAACTCTAAAAATTCTAGAATAAAACATGAGAAAAATTTATGTGACTTGATTTGGTGATGAGTGTTTAGGTATAACACCATAAGAATGGTGCATATGAGTAATGACTCATATTCTTAGTTTCAGGGAAAAAAAACAGAGATAATCAATGACCAGAAATCATACACCTTGACAATTATGAGAATTATAAAATGAACAAGCTGATATATGTTGATATGTTTCTGTATCTTGCTTCAATTTTTTTCGTTTTTTTAAAATAATTATTATCTACTAAATTATATATTCTGTAAATGAAGAGATCCTGTGTATTTGCTACTTAGCACACATAGTATAAATGATGAAAAAATTGGTAAGGTTTACTTAATTAAAATTAATTATACTCTGTAAAAGAGAAGAAAAAGATTAAACATAGACTGGGAGAATATATTTGCAAATTACATATCTAATAATATACTTGTATATGAAATATACAATAATTCTTAAAACTCATCAATAAGAAAATAAAGCCATTCAAAACATAAGCAAAAGATATAGGTGGCAAGTTAAGTATATGAAAATATGCTCAATATTTCGCATCAGAGGAATGCAAATTAAAGCAACAATGAGCCATCACTACATATCTAGCAGAGTAGCTAAAATAAAATAAAATAAAAAACTGATCATGTCAATTGTCAGTGAGTATATAGTGTGTCCAGAGTTGGTTCCTTCCAGTGGGTTCGTGATCTTGCCGACTTCAAGAATGGAGCCATGGACCTTCGCAGTGAGCGTTATAGCTCTTCAAGATGGCACGAACCCAAAGAGAGAGCAGCAACAAGATTTATTGTGAAGGTCGAAAGAACACAGCTTCCACAGCATGGAAGGGGACATGAGCGGGTTGCCACTGCTGGCTGGGGTGGCCAGCTTTTATTACCTTATTTGTCCCCTCCCATGTTCCATTTTTGTCCTATCAGAGTGCCCTTTTTCCAATCCTCCCTGCAATTGACTGCTTTTAGGATCGTGCTTATTGTTGCATTTTACAGAGCACTGATTGGTGCATTTTACAATCCTCTTGCTAGCTACATAGCGCTGATTGGGGCGTTTTTACAGAGCACTGATTGGTGCACTTTGGAAGATAGTTGTGTAGTTTTCTGCAAAGCTACATGAAGTCTTATCATACGATCCAATTATCACTTTCTAGTTATTTACTAAACTGATTTGAAAATATATAGCCACATAAAATGTTTATAGCAGTTTTATTAATAACTTCCTTAAACTGGAAGCAACCAAGATGTCCTTCAGTAGGTGAATAGACAAGCAAATTGTGGTATATCCATAGAGTAGAATACTTCAACTTAAAATGAATGAGCTATTAAGCCATACAAAATATCGATTAATACATTTTGCTAAGTGAGCCAAACCAGTCCAAAATGGTGACAGGTAAAACTATAGAGATAGTAAAGAAATCAGTGGTTATATGGGGTTTAGTGGAGAGGAGAACGTTGAATAGATGAAGCCCACAAGGTTTTAGGGCAGTGAAACTTTACCTTATGATACTGTAATGGGATATATATATAGTTGTGGGATACCAGGATGGAATGCAGGCTGTAACATAAGACTCTGTATTACAAATTCAGGAAACAATCTCATTAAAGGGAGTAGGGTGAGCAGAAGGGGCTGCCATAAGTAACTTTGGAAATGAATGTTGTCTCTAAAACTAAAAGCAAAGGAAATTTCACATAAATACTATACTATAGTTGATAAAGTTGTCTGTCACTGTCACAGCCAAGAGGAGCCTACAGAGACATGATAATGAAAAACGGTATTCTGGATGTGATAGTAGAATAAAGAAATAACATTAGGTAAAAATTAAATAAATCCCAGTAAGCATGCACTTTAGTTAATAAAAGAGAAAGAAATATTTGATTTGCTAAAAATCCCAAAGCTGAAAGATGGCAGTTGGAAGATGGTTGGTGACTAGTTCCCCTGTCTAGTTCCTTTGCCTTTGAGTCCAGTGGTCTTCCTACTATGAGGAAAGAGGTCTCATCAGCATGCATTGGACAATGACTCATTTCTACATCGTTGACATGTGCCAATAGTTGAGGAACTAAAAGCCTCTTATTGACAAGGGCCAGATTATTCAACTAGATTATGTCACATTTATCCTCTACTCCCTGTTGTGAGTGAACTACTATACTGGGTTCTGAGAATTTTTGAAAGATTTTTCAAAAAGTGACTAATTTTCTTAAAATATACATTAATAGTTTATAAATTGTATGGACTGACATAACTTTTGAAACCAGCATAGCTAGAAAATTGAATTAAAGAGAAATTTCAAGTATTCTTGATAAGAGGTAAAGTGCACATAAAATACTGTGATGCTTATAATCACCAAATAAATATGCTCCAGGGTGAAACATTACCTTGTGTAAGCTGTCACAGAATTTGCGTGGAGGTATTTCAGATACCCACCACAATTTCAGTTATTCAAATGGCCTACTCAATTCTGCCGATGTTTACTGGATAGAATCATGGCATCATACAATATTTGGCTCCTCTCATTGGCCTGCTTATGTGCCATTTAAGACCATGGGCCAGTTGGCTTTATTTCTCATCTCTGCAGGCTCCTATAGTGGCCTGAGAATGTTTAGATAACTATAATATCCACAGCAATGCAAAATAGCTTGCAGTTTGTGAGACCAAATCCAAAGCCACTGCCATGTCTAGAAACACAGAAATAAAAGAATATGGCTCTATTCCAGTCCCTCATCATGCATCAATGTACTCAGGGTGTTATTGGCTCAGTTTGGATCTCTGGAACTTCTAAAGCTGACAGAGGAGTAGTATTTATTATTTTTAAAAGGTGTGAGAACATTAGAGGATCTGATTAATGTTTTGGATGCTCTTTTCAGAAAAAAATAATGCACAGACACATTCTATTTTCACTTGATTTCATGATGCTTTCTCTGATCCCACTAAAGCCCATGGATAGCAGTTAATGTCACCAGTTTTTGAGGTTATTCAGAAATTCCTCTGTACCAGCTCTGATTTAGAGGAAAGAGTGGGCTCCTGTGAACTTCCTGCACATGTTGTGCATTCAGCTTATGTTTCCAAACCAGAGTAGTGGGAAGGAAATGATAAGCTCTGCTGAAGCACACACAGTATATATAGCATCAATCCGAAGCCATCTGAAATGTTGTAATATAGCCACCATTTCAGGCCTCTAGTAATGATGGAAGCATTGCTTCCCTAAACCTCTTTATGAAAGATTTTTATTTCTCCAGAAGTTTTTGAGAAATATTACTTAGTCAAACGATTTAGGTGTCCTTTCCTTTCAATAAGTGAGGAGATAGGGGAAGAGAGAGAAAAATAAAATTTGAATAAATCCCAAATTTATAAATTCATTCTGTGTGGATTTCATGGAGTAATAAGTTATTGATGCAAATATTGATATGGGCATCACATGAAGATTTTCAGTGGATTATATTCATTTCTGTCAACGAATAAAATACAGTGAAATAAGGCTTGTATCTTTTGCTGAGTACTTGCAATAACCTACATTCATTTTTATTACTGAAAACCTACTTGCTAAAAATGAGACCCCCCGAAGGTGCATAATTATTATTAACTACAAAGCAAAAACTTAGTACATTATTTGACATCTACTTTTTTCCACATTTTATTTTTATAGTCTCCAGGATAATTGTGAAAAAACAGATTCAAAACATATCTAAGCCAACTATGAAAGTAATTTACTTACTTTATGGCATGCTCATTCATTTTCCACAGTATTTCTCATCTTGTTATTGATATAACTTTTTATAACTTATTTGATTTATATACTTTATTATTTTATGAAATAAATAATATTTTATATTAATCCATCATGTATTTATTGTTATGATTATGGGGGATTTTAATCAGTTTTGTTCACTGATAAATCACAAGTGTCTAGACAGTACTTTGTGCATAGAAGGCACTCAGTATATATTTGCTCAATGAATACATCATTTTTTTCATCTTTGTTTCTCTCATTTTCTGGGGGGGAGGGGGAAAATTGGTTGTGCTCTGGATAAAAGTGAGTTATTATATTAGACATACAATTCCAGGATCTTTGTAAAATTGAAGCTTTAGAGTCTACCTTAAATTTTAAACACACTAATTTTTCAAATAACCAAGGGCTGAGGTTCTTTTCATTTCTAGAAGCATCTATCCAAGATATCTGCTTCATCTTCTATAACGATATGTTATGAATATATTTTCTTCTACATAAATGCTTTAAAGAAGTCTTCACACTCACAGTTTTCTTTCCATGGAGTAGCAAAAATATTCTACTCAGAGTACGCCCTGAATCAGTTAAACTAATAATCTATTTTGAGTTCCTGACAAAGGTTATTAAATTCTGGCCTCAGTACCTCCATAATGGTTACCTGATCTATTCCCTCTTCCCATTTTCACTGCCAACATCTTCATATTCCCATTATTTGTCATTTAAAGTACTGTATGTGGCCCTCTGGCTTCTTGAGTGCAGGTTTGAGGGTCTACGTCTTGCACTGCCTGCCGCCTCTATCTCCCTCATCTCCAGTTTTATTTCCAGTACTTCCACGTACATGCTGCAAGCTATCTTCTTGAACCACGGTACTCATCATCCTATACTGCTCAAAAACCAGCTGGGGAGAAAGGTTTAAGAGCGGGTGTAAACCTTATCTCTGTGGGAAGATTTTCTCAGATTTACCTTCCTCAGCTCTGTTTCTTTGGAAATGTAGGAAAAGGAAACTGTGTTACTAGGCATCATTGCTTATTAACTCTGACTGGAGGACTGCATCTGTACTGGGAGGACCCTGAATGGATATATAGACCCTGAAGGTCCATATGATAAAACTCTATAAAAACATGCAGTAAATGAGAAGCCTTAACCTCACTGTTTGGTGCTTCTTGGAAAAAGCATGGCCCCTGAGCAGGTCTGTCAGCTCCTCTCACGGGCTGTCATATATGAGCCTTGCCTAGGCTGAAGTGACCATCATGTACTCATGGGGTCCCAACCCTTAAAACTGAGCATGCCCCTTGTGCTGCCTGGGGAGCAGTGCCAAGATGGCAGTAAGAACTCCAGAGGAAAATGTATTTGAGAAAATCACGCTGACATGCTCTCTTTCCAATCTTATATCCTTCCTCACAGCTAAATAAACCTAGCGCACATTACAGCTAATGGTGCTCTACGAACATGAAGGTCAATTTGAAACCAAGACCATTGCTGTATTTGTAGAGTAGATGTTGCAGCACCAATGATTCTTTCATTGCTTAGCCATATAGCTTGGTACACACTATGTACAACCTGACTTCAACATTATTTCCCTTTTCCTTGCAAAACAAAATCTGATGTCCATAGCTGAAGGTAAAACACATTACATCCGGAGACTTACTACAGACACCAAACAAATTGTGGTTCGAATAAAACTTCACGTTCATTTTATTTATTTCCCACTCCTTATACATAGTGCTTGATAAAATGTTATGTAACAATTATGTGAATGAATTATCAACCTAGCAATACCTGTAGCTTTTTTTGTAATACTTT
Source organism: Homo sapiens (assembly GCF_000001405.40). NCBI lineage: Eukaryota > Metazoa > Chordata > Mammalia > Primates > Hominidae > Homo > Homo sapiens. The sequence continues at coordinate 10,077,214 of NC_000009.12, forward strand.
ATCATCCTTTGCCTGCTCACCCCTTTCTCCCATTATCCCTAACATCCACATCTAAACATGTTACTTTTCTGTAAAATGTATCAGAGATTTCACATATTTCCAGTAATTCATGCAAATGTACTCTAGCTTCCTAACTTGTGGTTCTCAAAATTCATTTGCTTAAGATTCACTTGTGAAGCTTTTAGAAATGTACTTTTCAAATTTACCTCTAGAGATTCTAAAATTAGAGCTAGATTAGGGCTCAGAATCTGTATTTAAACACTGTGTTTGGAGTATTTATTACTTTTTTTAACTTTTAGGTTCAGAGGTATATGTGCAGGTTTATTATACAGATAAGTTGCATGTCACTGGGGTTTGGTGTACAGATTATTTTGCTATCCAGGTAATAAGCATAGTATCCAATAGGTAATTTTTCAATCTTCACCGTCCTCCGTTCCTCCTCTCTCAAGTAGGCACCCATGTCTGTTGTTCCCTTCTTTGTGTCCATATGTACTCAATATTTAGCTCCCACTTAATAAGTAAGAACCTTTGGTATTTGTTTTTCTGTTCTCAAGTTAGTTCACTTAGGATAATGGCCTTCAGCTCCAACCATGTTGCTGCAAAGGACATGATCTCTCTTTTTTTTTTTTTAAAAGGTTGCACAGTGGAATCGGCATTTTTAAATAGCCTTCTCTGTTCATTCTGGTTTTGGTAATCCACCTACCATAATGTTAGTATTACTATACTCTAAGTAACTTGTGGACACCACATTCATATTTGTATCTCCTCTACACTTTAAAAATAGTAATTGATATATGTAAATTCTCAATTTTGATTGGAATGAATTATCTACAGACAAGTGGCTGGAGATGGAATAATTCCAAGGACCCTGAGAAATATTAGAAAATAACTTAGTAACTCCAAAATAAGAAAGAAAAAAAATCTTTAAACATACATACATTTCTAAATATAATCAAATATCTTATACCAATAATTATGCAAAATCATAGATCTCAGGGTTAGAAAGAACCCACCTAGGGCCGGGCACAGTGGCTTACGCATGTAATCCCAGCACTTTGGGAGGCTGAGGTGGGCAGATTGCGAGGTCAGAAGTTCGAGACCAGCCTAACCAACATGGTGAAACCCCATCTCTTCCAAAAAAAAAAAAAAAAAATTAGCTGGGTGTGGTGGTGTGCCCCTATAATCCCAGCTACTCAGGAGGCTGAGGAAGGAGAATTGCTTGAACCTGGGAGGTGGAGCTCGTAGTGAGCCAAGATCATGCCACTGCACTCCAGCCTGGGCGACAGACCAAGACTCCATCTAAAAAAAAAAAAAAAAAAAAAAAAGAAAGAACCCACCCATATAATCCTATGTAGCCCTCTACTCATTGTTGGCATCATTAAATATCCCAATCAGGGGGTGTTTGGTCATCTAGTCTCTCCTTCACTTTTCAGACAGTGAGTTAATCATTATTTACCAACTTCATAAAATAACCTGTATAACAAATCTCCACAGTTCTCTTCTGATTGCTGTTTCAAAATGTGCCTCCTAGGAATTTATATTCAATGTTTCCTATTCTTTCTTCTGTGAAATGTCTGCTTCCTCTTTCAGGTGATAATTCTTCAAATATTTTAGAGATTGTTTTAGTGTTTTCCCCCTACACATTTCCTCCTAACAACATTAAATATAAGACATGGTTTTCAGACTCCTCACCATCTGGTTGCCTTCTTCTGAAACTTTTCTGGTTGAACATTATCCAGCTTAAATCTACTTTCAATCGTTAACATGAGTAGAACTTTTTTTTCTTTTTCTTTTTTTTGGGTTGAAATTTAAACAATTATGTGCACATAACTTTCAGATCTTTGTCCTTTACACCTGGGTGTACCTGTATTTTAAAACTTAAAATGTCCTCTTAAGAGACCAAATTCTTTTATTGCTATCCCTCCCTCTAAGCTGATTTCAAATACCCATTCTGGGAAGGTAAAAATGGTACTGGCAAGCTTCCGAACTCCATGTTTCCAGGTTAAGGTTGTGCCTGACTGTCTAATCTAGGCTGATCTGATCCAGACGGGCGTGCCATTGCAGCTATTCTGATGGCTTTACTCTTCCAGATGGCAAATTCACTGTTGGCCACGTATGCAGGGATTTCATTAAAAGAAATGGTAATACGCTTTTTAAACTAAAATATGTATTGGCAGGAATGAAATCCCGAGGCCACCCCTGGGTTGTTGTGTTTTTGTTGCTGTATTTTTCCCCTCCCCTGAAGCATCCAGGCAGGAGGCACTCCAGAATCAAGACCCTTTGTTTTTCACATGGCTCTTTTTCACCATGCCACTGCACTGCCACATGTTTGAGTGTGGGCATCAAGGATAGAGATTTGGATTTTAATTCAGGCCCTGCTGCTAATTCTATGATATTGAATTAAATATGGTACCTTGAAACTAACCCTGATTTCTCTCACTTCAGTTGTTTCATCTGTTAAACCCCAAGATCTTTCACAGCTGTAAATCTTCGTGCTAGTCATTCTGCGAGTTGGCTTTGGATACATTAAGGTTCGTTTTCCTCACCTTTGTGATGTATACTCAGCAAATGCAAAGTCATTCTGAAATCTACTGCAAAATAGGTCTATTGTCACCGACCCTAAAGGATATGAAGTGCACATAGTTAGATGTTTGCTATGAATAATTGTCAGCAAATACATGAATAAAACTTCAGAGTATCCAAGGTAATTAAATCTTGCTTTTTTTTTTTTTTTTCCAGCTTGGTATGTACAACCCCTTCCCAACACATGTCACTGTCAAATGTGTGGACAGAATAAACAAGGAATTTTGTAACAGCAGAGAACATAACTTAAGAGACAACAAACACAAATAGAGAAGAAGGGGAAAATTCCACTAATGGTCTAAGTAAAACCTAAATGCAAAGAGAACAGCATACATTTAAATGATAAGTGAAGGAAGCTCTCTGTAACAGCCTGACAGCATATCCTCTAAAGGAAACTAGCTACAAATCATCACCATTATAGCTGGTAGCACAGAGTAGCAAAACAGTTCACACTAAAGGAAAATCAGACAGGAGCAGGCAAACCCAAAATAGAAATAGAAATAATGACAATTTCACCAGAGGACAAAATGCTGTATCTCCTTTATTAGACTAAATGTGAAATGTTAACACTGTATGCAGAGTACATGTGATAGGGAGGCATTGGTATTCAAACCACTTGTCATTGCTACACTGTAATCCAATCATGACACAAGGAGAAAAGTAGAGAAATTAGAAATGCATTAGAAGAAACAAGAAAATTGGGAATGTGAAGGGTGACAAGCTTAAACTGCTTAAACTCCTAGCCCTGGCCTCGCAGAAGACTCATATTTATTTGAAACCATTAAGAAACATGTTCTACATGCAAATAACAGTACAGTTAACATAAAAGGCTTTGCCTTATCTCAATATAAAATGCTAGATAAAATCCATTATCACACACATTGTATATATTTCAAAAAATGAAAATAACTCCCTTTCTTTTCTTTATAGGGACTCCTACTCCTTAGCTAGGGAGGCAAAGAGAAGTGATAAAATACTATTTTATGCTCTTGACCATTAAAAAGCTACCATTTTGAAAATTAAATTTCTGGCAAGCTAGACATACTGAGACATACAGTTATTGGTATGAATATTCTAAAAACATTACGTAAATATTGGAACAAATACATCTGATAATTAAAATAAATTATGACCATATATTTGTTTCTTGCCTACTCTCAGGAACAATTATCTCTTATTTTAAGAGACTGTAGGTACATCATTTGAGTAAATTATAATATTTCTTAATTTATAACACCCAAATAACTTGTATGGAATATCTACTAAGAATATTTCTCTTTCTCCTTTTTTTAAACCTGCTATTTCCATCTTATAGTTAAGGCATAAGGATAAATAAGCATGCTTCTAGATAATTCTTTGAAATAAATATTAATTCTTAAATTCACAGACATTATTTTAAATATTATGAAGTTAATAACTTTCAAAATAATACTACTGTAATATAGCAGTGTGCTTGTTCAAGATTCTGATACACATCAATAATTAGTTACCTAGATATTGAAGACTTTGTTTTAAAGATTATAATCAATTATAAAGAAAAAGGCAATGGGGGTTACAATTGGACTGAACGCTTGTATCCCCTCCAATTTTGTATGTTGATATCCTAACCCCTAGTGTGATGATACTAGGAGGTGGAGCGTTTGGGAGGCAATTAGGTCATGAAGGTGGAGCCCACGTAACTGGAATTAGTGCCCTAATAAAAGAGACCTTCACAGTTCTCTTGCTGTCTTTCTACAAAGTGAGTAGACAGCCTTCTGCCAGCCAAGAGAGGGCCCTCACCGCAACCTGACCATGCTAGGGCCCTGATCTGAGACTTTCAGCCTTCATAACTATAAGAAAGAAATTTCTGTTGTTTATGAACCACCCAGTCTATGGTGCTTTGTGATAGCACCCCAAGCAATGGGTAAAGTAAGACAGGGGTGTTATTATATTTTTGATATAAGGAAATAGCATTGGTTTTCACGTTTTGGTGTTGCAAATAGATGGAGTTTCTAAATCCACCAATTTTATTCGGGTTTTAAATTTTTTCTTAGTCATGAAAATAGCTGAGTGCTTATTAATCATTTGATTACGGTATGATGCAGTCATACACCTCTCATCTGATCATTTACAGCATAATACAGTCATAACCAGTGTTTTGTAATTAACTAAAAAATTTACACTTAGGCCACAGAGAGATTTAGGAGAAGCTAAGTTTATTCTACTTTAATTGGACTGAATATAAGGGTTATACCTCATTAAAATATCAACAATAAATCTGTGTGTAGGTGACTTGGTTTGGAAGATGCAAATGTGTTGGCTCCATACAAAATGAACCTCTTCATTATAATCCAAAATTCAATGATAGCACAGATCTTCTAAGCAATTTCACAAATCTACTTTCCTGGAATCAATTACTGAATTAAGTTAGAATAATAAACGTTAAAGGATGCAAACATAGTGTTTGATTGATTAGTTGGTACAGGTTTAGAATTATCTCTCATCACCTTTTTCACACTTATCAAATGAATTGACACATTTGACCTGTGACTTGGGGATGTCCCAAACACGGTCAAGATGTACAGCATATCATAAGAGCAATCATCCTACATAAGAGTTGCTGCTTTGACATTGACAAGGCGTGTGCACTGATTATGCTGTAGGATGTGGATGTACTGATTTATGTATATGGCTACAGGATTTGACAGCAAACAATTCTATCAACTGGAAATTAGCAAGTACTGTGAATTACAAATTACAAGACAGAAAAAGAAAGAGAGGGAAAGGCAGAGAGGTGAAGTTATGTAGAAACTTCATATGCATCTCAAGTTTGAGCATTTGAGAAGTTATAAGGCCAAAAAGTAACTCAAAAATGATGCCTGATCCCTAGTAGTGCACTTAAATACATGAACTTAAGAACAGCTGACAAACTAAATATGTTGCTTCATGTTTATTAAATGATGAGAGAGAGAGTATTTTATTAAAGAAGGGAATCTGTACTAGGAAGGAAAGCACACCCCTTTCTTCTACTCCTCCTACACACACACACACACACACACACACAAACACACACACACACACACACACACCCTAGATTTATTTTGGGGTTGTCAATGGTAAAACTCCATTATTTGTTTACATTGATGATTATTCAAAAGGAAACTAAACGACAGTTCTTACTTTAAGAAAACAACAGCCACAACAAAGACTCAAAAGTCAACATTAAAGACTTTCTCCCTCTTTAATTTTCTTATTTGATTTTTTGAACCTATATAAATAAATCCCATATCTATAATGCATTTTTCCTTCTTCTCTCTGCTTCTTTATTTATGATGATATTCTATACCCTATAAAATATACCCTATCCTTAAAGATTTCCCTGACCCTCTTAGTCCCCAGAAATTGTTCTCTTATTATTTCTTATGATAGAGCCTATCTAACTCACTCATACATGATATCTTACAGTAATAGCTTGTCTTTTTACATCATATTAAATTCGGTCTCCATTTGGATTAGAAGTCCTTTTATAAGCAGTTGCCTAGTCTTATAAGTCTTAAGCATTCTCAATGCCTATGTAGGTTTTCATATACACAGATTAGATTTTCAAAATGTGGCTGTATGAAAAGGGCATGACATGATACACAATGCTTGTTGTAAAGAGAAATAGATATACTTCTGAATCATTTGCTTCTCAAAGCCTGGATAAACAGTTAGTGAGCTAATTTTTATCAGCAAATTCATGTCTATAAAACACATTTTAATAAAAGCATAAAGTTTTAATGAGAACTTAATATATAAATGCAAATTCAGGTTATTTAACAGTGGAAGATGACACAATAGAAGAAGCCCTCACAGCCAACAGTAATCTACAGTCATCTAGAGCAGTGGTTACCAATCTTTTTGGCACCAGAGATGAGCTTTGTGGAAGATAATTTTTTCTATGGTAGGAGTCGGGGGTGGATGAGGATCATCAGGCTTTAGATTCTCATAAGGAGCACGCGACCTAGATCCCTCACATGTGCAGTTTACAATAGAGTTCATGCTTCCTTGATAATCTAATGCCACAGCTGATCTGATAGGAGGTGGAGCTCAAGCAATAATGCTCACCTCTTGCTATTTGGCCCAGTTCCTAACAGACCAGTCCCTGTCTGCACTAGTCCACAGCACTGGAGTTGGGGACACCTGAATAGAGAACTAGGCTCAAGGTCATACTTGGTCACTTAATGACCATGTGACTTTAGATAGATCATTTAAACTTCCTAAAATCTCCTAAGCCTCTATATCCCAATTTTAGAAACACAGTTAATAATAGGCATTGTAACTATCTCCTAGGTTATAAGTACTAAGTGACATAAGTTAAAATAGTAATACATTATAATGTTCCACAATATTTTAAGTGTTGTTTTGTTAGAAAAAATGATGAGTGATTATATGAGCTATAATATTTGTATGCATAGCTATCTTTTCTGAAGTACAGAAAGCATATTTTAAAATTTTGTTTCTCCAAAGATAATATAAATCCTTCTGTAATGTTAGTTACTATGTTGGAAATCTATAGCTAACTTTCAAATAATGAGGTACGCCAAACTGTATATCTGTTAAATTGTGAGAAGAACTGAAGAAAATATAGGAATCTATACTATGAATAAAATGATAGAAGGGAAAAAATAAAATCCATGATTAAACCAGTTTTTGTTTATCATATATTATTTATAACTATGCCAGAATTGTAACCCACTCACACATTATTCTGCATGAGTAGCTATGGCAGTGTTTACTGGAGTTCTTAGATATTGATATTAATTTCCTTATAAGTGTCACTAGTTGGAAAGAACACTTGATTATTGCATTTGGGAGTCAACAAACACTTTCTGTAAAAGTTTAAATAATATTTTTTTTTAGGTTTTACAAGACACACAACTTCGCAACTCTGCCTTGTGGTGTGAAAATAGCCTTAGATAATATGTAAAACATCAGTCATGGTTGTGTTTACATCTTTATTTACAAAATTCAATAGTAGACCAAATTTAGTTCACAAGCTGTAGTTTCCTGGTTCCTATTTAGTTCAACACAGCATGCTTAGAACATAATACATAAATCTTACAGAAACCCTAGCATACATAGAAGATCTCAATAGGAGTCTCAACTCTCGTAGATAAAAACACACAGGATGATAGCATGAAGGTGCACAGATATAAACCATATCATGATTTGAAGTAGTCCAGAGAAATAAATATCAATGTCTTTTAAAGTAAAGGATGTCCTCTGGGTGTGTAGTATGGTGGGCTGGTACATGAACATTCATTAGGAATGGTTACAAAATATTTGAATTTCTCCTTCATTCTCTTTTAATATTTCTATTTGTGTAAGTAAAATAATGTAAAAACCATTTAGTACAGTATTATATGCATAATATTTGTGTAATTTATAAATAAGTATATACCAATTTTGACAACACGCCTTCTCAACTGACGTGGCGAGAATTTTTTAAAAAACTACATCAGTGGGGCCAAGATAACCGATTATTTTTAAGTTCCTGATTAACATTGACATCATGGTGAACCTGGCCAAAATAATTTTGAATATAAGAGGTAATAAATTTATTTATAACTGCTGGAGATATTTTTAAGCAATAGGAATAGCTTTCAGGATCCTAAACCTGTGACAGAAAGATTGAGTTCTTCACTGAGAAACCTTGTTTCTGTTGGTCATTTCATCTTTTTGTGTTGAGAAATAAGACTCCAGCCAGCACAATATGTCATAAGAGATGTAAGTGGAAAAGGGAAAGAGATGCTGGTCATAAGCTAAATCTCAGGAAATGAGACACAGAGAAGAAAAGTGAGAGACTCAGGAAGAATACTGGCGCCTGCCTGTGCATGCCTCCCATCACCATCACACACATTCATAGACACATACATGACACACACACACACGCACAAAGGCAAAGATGGCTATTTGCTTAGCAACAACTCCCCAGGTGAAACACAAGTAGGTGAAACCATCATTTTGCCATTTATTTTTCAGGTAAAACATTCTGCCTCATCAGTTTCCTTAGAGGTCACCTGTAACGTTGGTAAATGTTTTTCAGTATATTTCAGGGCAGTGTGATGAACTGCCAACCCTACTCTATGAAAGTCTCTGATCCATGAAATCTAATATGATATGAGGCTAAATAGATAAAAACAACATAAAATCCTAGCAGTATATTAAGCAACCAGTGGTGGTGCAATTTAATGACTATATGACCAATTCAATTCAATATATAGAAATTAGTTGCGAGGATAACTGAAAAACACTTTAAAAATGATCTGACTATAAATGTGTAAGAATTGATAAAGGTTTTAGCATATTGGGGGCACGTAATGAGGGCTAAAAATGGGTGTATTTCATAGTGAAAATGCAAAGTCTAATAGTAAAAATCCTAAATATATCATTTGTGTAACAGCGCTGTAGACTTATTTGCAATTTTAGATGTGATCCTCCATAAAAAATAGTATACGACTGATCCCCCATCAGTACTATGCTGTCTGGGAGTCTGTTTCCTTACAGTGCCGTAAAATTTATCAACAGTAGAACAACCCAACTATCCTCTCCTTTTCAGCCACTGTGATTGCTACTGAAGGAAAATTTCCCATAATATGGAGCTCAGTCCCTTAAGTCCTAGTTCAAACTATTGCCTGTCTCAGTGGTATGAAGTGGAAAGCGAATCTATTTCACATTAGATAGGTCTGTGCTTGACTTGAAATCTCTGTCCCTTTCTAGCTGTTATAAACTTGGACAAATACTTTTAATGCTGTGATCCTCATTTTAGGCAAGCAAAGTGTTCCTTCCTGATTGTGAGGATTAAGGTTAAGTTCAAGTGTGCAGGTCCTATGTCTAATTATATAGGCAATGCTGAAAGGATCAACTGCAGCCCTAGGAAGAGCTCCCTAATCCATTCATTATTATATCTTGTTTAAGATAAATGAAACAAAAATGCAAACACAACTTCGCTGTTGCAACTTTTCTTTCATAATTTGCTTTCATTTCAGGAGATGAGTTCAAATCTCTGCTCCACTATTTACAATTTAAATGCCTTTTGTGTATATGTGCATCCATCTATAAAACTGATCTATACAATTTAATGAATTAATACACATAAAAAGTTTATAGCAGTCTCCACTTTTAGGAAATATTAAGACTGTGATTTTGGACTTCCAAAAGGACTCAAACTTAATTTAGGATTCAGCAATATCATTTGCTGACGATTGAACTAATCTGCTATAAGCCTTTTACAAATTTCTGGGATAAATATTTTTAAGAAAAGAAAACAAAAAACAAAGAATCAAACAATGCTTGATTTTTCTCAAATATGTTTTAGAGTTTTTTTTTTTTTAGAAACTGAAAAGTAGTATGTAATATGTATAATAAAGACTTCGCAAAAAGTTACACTTTTCTTAAACTAAACTTTATACATACACATATGCATATTGCACTCATTTTATATTTAAAATTCTTCTCCCAAATGGAAATGCTCATCTTCACTTTGGCACAAAGATAGCATTAGGACTCAATTTTAAGCCACTAAAATTTTGAATTTACATAAAAGTAATACCTACAAGTATTATTACTAGATGTTCCAATAATGCTAAGTATGTTTTTACACTATCTATTGAAGATGTGGGCAACTTCTGTTCTCAATATTGATCCTTCAGAGTGTAGTTTATCCATTATATCACTACAACTACAGCCTCCTATCAAACCCGAGCAAAGTGTTCTCAGGCAGAGTGGGACCAGGAAGAAATCTGGTAACACTAAGAGACTAATATTATAATAACTGATCTTCCGGAGTGCTATGAGAACTCTCCAAAACATCCCTTCACAGAGCACCCAAAGGAAATTAAGCATTCATCTTGCTTTGAAGGTGGAACCGGGTGATTCAATGTTTTATAACTGAATATACTAATAGAATATGAGTGCTTAATATTGCAACAATTATTATGGGAAGCACTTGGCACCACTATACAAACAAAAAGACATTTACTGTGAGGGAAAATAGAAAGTATCACGGTAACTTCTTTATCTAAAAGTGTAAACTTGTCCTTATGGAAAGTTTATATGATTCAATGTAATACTTCTCATGTAAGCATAATCATTTTGCAGACTACTAATACAGGGTCTAGTTTTTGGCAAAGCATAAATTTTTCCCAAGATGAAATCAAGCATATTTCATGTATGTGTCCTAATATGCTTGCAATACTTAGCATGAATTACTTTATGACAGTACAACTTCAACTTCTTATTTATGTATTCATCCATTCACGAATTTACTTATTCAACTAATATTTATTGTCTAGTTTGTAGTAAGAAAAAACATTATTAGCAAACTTGCTGTTAGAGACAGCCATCTTTTTCTATTGCAATAGCATCAGGCTAGATTATATCTTCATGACAATCCACAAAATGAACTTTATACCTACCAAAGTGTATTGTACCAGTAGGAAATTTCTTCTTTACCTAAACACCATGGCTTTTCATAGGAAAATGTAATTGGAATTTCCAGCTGTGCTGAAAGAACTGAATATGCCTCTATTAGAAACAATTCTTCAATATATAAGACTTTCATGTCTATGGACCCCAAGTACACATCTTCTGACTTATGATCAGATAATAGGACAAATGATTTAGTGTTAGGATCCTCTTAGAAAATTCAAGATATACACTCTTCAAGTATAAAGATGAAGAAAGGCAGATATGAGTCCTATAGTTTATTAGTCTCTTTTCTGTCTATATGGAAGAAGGTGATGCTAGGTCCATTTCATCTTCAGGAAGATAAAGGAACTGGAGTTTTACTGAACACAAAATGTCTGCAATGTGGGGGCAGTAGTCAAGTATTACTGACGTTTAGCAAAACTAATCAGTCTCTCTTTATTTTAGTTTCCTTGTTTATAAAATAGACAGAAACATGTTTCCTATCTACATCTTTGGATGTTATCAGTCTGGTGTAATATACATAAGCTGGCCAGCATAATAGCTAATCACAAAATATACTCACTAAAGTTTAGCTATGAATGGATATCGTATTTCTTTGTTGGGTGATGGAAAAATTCTGGAATTTTTGGGGTGATGGAAATATTCTGGTGGTGATGGCTGCACAGCCTTCTGAATATACTACTAACAATAGATTGTATGTTTTAAAGTGGTGAATTTAGGGGCCAAGAGAAAAGGACCAATTGAGGCTAGGAATCAGAGACAAGCTTGAACCCATCAGAGACAAGACCCCATCTCTATAAAGATTTAAAAAATTAGCCAGGCATCATGGTGCCCATGTAGTCCCAGCTACTTAGGAGGCTGAGGTGGAAGGATTGCTTAAGCCTAGGAGTTTGAGGTTGCAGTGAGCTATGATAGTGCCAAGCATCACAGCCTGGGTGACAGAATGAGAATCAGTCTCAAAATAAATAAATAAATAAATAAATAAATAAATAGAAATAAAATGATGAATTTCATTTTATGCAAAATTTTGTTTATTATATCCCAAGTAAAAATAAAAAATGTTTAGTTATGATAGTATTTATGATAATACAAGTTAGTAATGCAAAAGATCTTGTATATGGAATAGACTTATTTTGCCTTCTTTTTGTTTTAAAAAAGTATGGCATGTAAAAAAATGTTCTGACACAGTAATGGCTATCATAAGATTGAATTATTGTAGTAATACCATAAAATGTAATAATGGTGAGTGGGATTAGCAACAGGAAGGATTAGAAGAATGTCATAATAATGTTGAGGTAAACTGAGTTAAAAAGATTTGCTGTGATTTCATGATCATGATCTAGGTGATTAAGTATACCTGCATATTGCTAAAAGTAGGCAATACTGAAGAGTCATACAACAGAATAAGGTATAACTTCCAAGCCAATTGAACTACTATTTAAAAAGTCACCATTGAGAAGTTAGTAATTTAAATAATTCCCAATATCTGGAATTCAGATTGTACTCTGGCCAAATTCTAACTTCTCTACATATATTAAATGAACTAGGTGACGGGCATCGGGGCAACCAGAAAACTTGTAAAATCTTTTAGTTCAAGGGTAGAACCATCAGACACCTGACTGTGTGAGCTACTAACCTTCTGATTCAAATGTATGATGTAATTAAAAATATCCTGGGAAAGCATTTAGAATTTAAGGTGATTAATGAAATAGTCTATTATTTAGATCTATTTTTCATAAGGCAAGATATTCCAACACATGCAGAGAGTGAAGGACACTATCTACAAGACTGTATAAGAAATTGCTTGATTGCTTTATCTGGGAATTATGGACAGTTCAAAATATACTTCTCACTAAAACTAAGCATATCCATATAGCATAGCAGGAATTTCCATCCCAGTAACTGTTATTTCACTTTTTAAAATCTGCTTATTACTTTCCATATTTAAAACATTTTAGGGTTGTTCTAAACAACAGTGTCAAAAATCTAAATTTGACTGACTTATGATTTAGTGTTTATTCATTCTACTATCAAGAACCTGAGACAATGTGGAATTAGCCAGACTAGCTTATTCACCAAGTACCTTAGTCATTCAGTAGAATTTGATCATCAAAATATAGAATTATAATTATTCAGGTCTCAAACACTGCAGTGAGGGACGTATATTGATTCATGGCAATTCTTAAAGGGCAAAATCTGCAATGGTAATTCTTTAAAACCTCTGGGAAAAATAAAGCCATTCACCATGATTTTAACAACTTTATTTTGGTTGATTTTAGTCAAATATTTTCATTTGATACATATTTTTAATGTATTTTAATGTATTTTATGGTAAAGGGCAAAATACTCACTTGCAGCCCAAAAGATTAAAGTATACATAAATAAAAAAACCACCAACTAAGAACCAGAATAAATAAAGTAAATGATTTTTTTTAATGTAGAAAGCAGGATTTATCATGCTACATTTAGTTGAATCTAGTATGCAAACTTATTTACATGTTAACTCAGAAATAGAATAGCATATTACAATCAATGACATATTTTGATCGGCAGCATTTTTCTTAGTGAACTATAAAATATTAGTGTATCAATCACCATGTAATATCTTAAACGGTAACTTTTGTCTTACAAAAATCTACACCAAAGGACATTTGTGTATATAAATGAAATATACACACACACACACACACACACACACACACACACACACACATGCATGTGGTAGAGTAACTGTCCAGAGGCAAATGTTGCCTCATTTTCCATTTCTGACATTAGTCGCTGCTGTCATACATCATTTCCATAATTATACCTGGTATATGTAAAACAAATAATGGCAGAGCTTGACTTCTTAACAGGAAAAAATTAATGAGCAATTTTAAAAATGCATAGATTATAAAATATGTAAGATTTGAACTGGAATTTAGAAATTATCAGAGGTATTCAAGTACTAGTATTAATTATGGCATAATTTGAGATAATCTTTTAACTCTCTTCTTTCATAAAATAATCATTTATGTCTCTCTGGCAAGATTGGGATGTCCCAATAGTAAAAGGAGAATTATTTGAAAATGTATCATTGAGAAGAGTTAATTATTTTTGTTACTATATTTAAAATACATCCCTCTACTGACCAATTCATTACTGAACTATCCAGTACTGAAAACTGATTTTTAAATTGTTCTGAAAATATTAGCAAGTAGAGTTATATGTCAAAAATATAAAAATATACATTTCAAATGAGATTATAAATACTACTTCCTAAAATAGAAATTTTAAATATTTGTTCCTTTGGATTGGTATCACAAAGTCTTAAGTCTAAACATTTTCAAGTTAGTTCAAAATAATTGTTGTTTGGAATTGTCAACTGCATGTCAATTAAACGACAGGAAATGTTTCCCCAAATAATACATTTTTAGAATCTTGATTTGGACATTTTCTTGCAAAGGTTAGAAAGCAGGGTCATTTATTAATAAGACTGTTACAGATCATGATTGCAAATCCATATATTCTTCATAAATAAGAATATGTATCTCATTTTTCTTAGAAGCAAGGCAGGCATCCAGTTTATTAAAAAATAGCATCATCATTAAGAAACAAGTTCAAAAGAAGTTGGTTACCAGAACCTGTCCTTTTTCTCTCCCGGAAATTATTAATGGATCCTTTAAAGGACGACTCCAGATGACCTCGGCTTCAGAGTAGTAGTACAGTACAAGGTGTGTATGAGCATAGATAACTTAGGGTTTATAATGAGATTGTACATTTTGGCCTACACTTGACTCCTGTCCACAAGCTTAAAAATGAAGGAAGTAATGATTAAAGGAAGAAACCATATAATGTATTTTCTGCCAGAGTTCCATGCAACGAGGTAAAAAGTTGACAGTAGAACTTAAGGGAATAGCTGTGTCTACCAAACCACCTATGCCTCATGTAAATATTGACCTAAGAAACACTAGCTTGCTGTGTGTCAAGCAATAAATAAGCACACATTTCTGAGCAAAATGCCCATTTAGATATATAATTGCAGATATGCTTCTGTTATTCCTTAATAAATTTTAGGTATCATACATATAAGCACTGAATTCAGAAAAGGTGATAATGCCTAACTTGACAGAACATTGTAGACCAATCCATTAATTATACAGCTGCCCCCAAACACTCCTCTAAAAGCATCACTGATGTGATATTTCTGCTGAGAAAATTTGGAAATGGTTTAAGTCATATTATATTATGGTCAAAATTACCTGTAATCATTATTTGCCAAAATGTGTCCTACAAAAACTGCAAATTTTAAATTTTGTATAAAATATTACATTATTCCTTTCAAAATACAATGCCACTTTCAACAGAAATAGAAAAATGAAATTATTCTAAAATTCAAAAAAGAGCCCAAATAGCCAAGTCAATCCTATGCAAAAAGAACAAACCCGAGGCATCATATTACCTGATTTTACACTATACTATAAAGATATAGTAACCAAAACAGCATAGTATTGGTACAAAAGCACACATACAGACCAACAGAACAGACTAGAGAGCCCAGCAATAAAGTCACATACCTACAACCACCTGATCTGCAACAAAGTTGACAAAATAAGCAATGGGAAAAAGACTCCCTATTCAATTAATGGTGCTGGGATAACTGGCCCGCCATATACAGACGAATGAAACTGGACTCCTGCCTTTTACCATGTACAAAAATTAACTCAAGATAGACTGAAGATTTAGATGTAAAACTTCAAACTGTAAAAATTCTAGAAGAAAACCTAGGACATACCTGTCTCAACATTGGCTTTGGCAAATAATTTATGATCAAGTCCCCAAAAGCAATTGCAACAAAAACAAAAATTGAAAAATAGGATCTAATTAAACTAAAGCCCTTCTGCACACGAAAAGAAAAGGAAAAGAGTAAACAGAAAACCTACAAAATGAGAGAAAATATAAGCAAACTATGCATCAAGAAAAGTCTAAAATCTGGAATCTACAAGAAACTTAAATCAACAAGCAAAATTAAATAATCAAATTAAAAAATGAGTAAAAGACAGGAACAGACACATTTCATAAGATGACATACAAATGGCCAACAAACATGAAAAAAATCCTCATCATGATGAATTATCAGAGAAATGCAAATCAAACTCACAATGCGACAGTTTCTTATACTACCAGTCAGAATGGCGATTCCTAAAAAGTCCAAAATTGATAGATCCTGGCATGGCAGCAGAAAAACGGGAATGCTTATACTCTGTTGGTGGGAATCCAAATTAGTTCAGCCACTATGGAAAACTGTTTGGAGATTTCGCAAAGAACTTAAAAGTACTTTTTGACCTAGTAATCCCATTACTGGGTATATATCCAAAGGAAAATACATTGTTCTATCAAAAAGACATATGTATTCATAAGTTCATTACAACACCATTTACAATAACAAACACATGGAATCAACCCAGGTGCCCATCTATGGTGGATCGGATAAACAAAATTTGATACATCTTGGAATACTATGCAGCCATAAAAAGAACAAAATCGTGTCCTTTGCAGTAACATGGATGCAGCTGGAGACCATTACCATAAGCAAATTAATGCAGCAACAGAAAAATAAATACTGCATGTTCTCACTTGTAAATGGGAGCTAAACATTGAGTATGCATGAATATAAAGATAGGAACAGTAGACACGGGGGACTACTAGAGCAGGGAGAGAGAAGTGGATGAGTGGGCTAAAAAATCCCTATAGGGTACTATGCTCACTACCTGGGTGATAGGATCATCTGTACCCCAAAACCTCAGCATCATGCAATATATCCACATAACAAATCTGCACATGTACCTGTTGAATCCAAAATCAACGTTAAAAATAAAATAAAATAAAATATATGTTTAAAGCTTCCAGAATTGTAGGATTAGCTGACCGCTGTCTTGGTTTTAATATTTTACTCTGTCTATCCTCCTATTTATCCTATTTATTTAAAATAATTTTTCCTTCTTTCTTTATATATAAATATTCATAGTAAATTCCAACCCCTAAGAGACCTATTATGATGGCTTTAATGTAAAATTACTCACAAGTCAGAGTCACTGGATGTTGAATGAGAAGAGAATGTCCTTAATATAAATTTGACATGATTTTCCAGATTCATAGAGCCACTTGAAGAAAAGGCATTGAAAATCAATTCCATGCTCCTTCTTTCCTAAACAATCATTTATGTCTTAATTAATAGATCTAAGAAACCAGAGCAACATTAAAATCATTAGAAATAAATAAACAACAGTATGGTTTTTTTTTTCTTTCTTTCTTTTTTTTTTTTTTTTCTGAAATGGGGCAGAGTAACTGTTCAGAGAAACCCGTTATCTTATTTCCCATTTCGGACATTACCCACATCTGTCATATGGAGACATAGCATATCTATAATCATGTTTAGTTTATGTAAAACAAGATGCTGCAGAGCTTGACTTCTCAACAGGAATTGAAGTAAGGAATTAAAATAATGGCTCTCATGGCAAAATACTGCTGTGATGACAGTAAGCTAATTTTCCAGGCCTAAGAATTTCAAAAAATGTTTTGACAACCAACAGTGAAAAGCTTTCATCCTTGTTTCACTCTTACACTAAGTGCCAGGTTTTTATGCATTAGTAATCGTGGACTACTTCAAAAGCAAGAATATTAGCATTACTGATTTGTTTTCCATTCTCACATAAAGGTTTCTCACACTTTAAAATGTCCTATATGCTGTTTTAGGATTCATTACAATAATAATAAACTTCTAAGCGGGGTATTACAACCTTAAGGTGTCAGCATAGAATTTTTTTAAAAAATAGAAAACTATGCACAATTTTCAAAGAGGAAAGAGGCATAGGTGAGATATTTTGTCATTTTGCTGTTCAAAAAAAAATCCTGTATATATGAAGTCTCACAATGATACCTCAAATAGTAGAGAAATTCTTTCACTTTAATGGATTTAACTTTATATATTCTCTTTCTTTTTTCAATGCTAAATCTGAAAAACACAGTTAAATATAAATAAGATAAAAGTACCCAATATCCCATAGATGGAGCATAATATAGACTACTTCATTACTTTTTCCAGGAGTCTGGAAATGCCTGTCAGGAATCCATAGTTGTTCCATATTTTACTTCAGAATCTATGAATGCATTATCCACAACATACCTGCATGTCATCTCTGATACTGACAATGCAACATTACAGAAAATAGATCAGCCCTACTGACATGAATGCAGTCTTATCCCTTCTGATTACTCATAATCAACAACTGCATTTCAATACAGAAGACTAGACAGTGGTGCCTTCTCTATATACCAGACAGCGTGAATAACAAACATGATATTTGATAAAATAATGAAGACTGAGATAATATGCATAGATTTTATTAACCTAATGCACAAAACATATCAATATTAATCTGAAACAGTTAAACTTCAAAGTCATTATGTGTTACATGATAATTAGCCATAATTACTCTTTACATGAGTTATTATCAATGGCATTAATTTATACAACCAAAATGCATCCTACTTCATGGATAAATACATGTATACATAATAGTTTGAATGATTTAAACTGCCATTATCTCTATCTACCCAGACCTCTGACATTGAATATATTAAAGCACAAGGGTCATATGTACTTTTTCCTATTAAAAAGTCAGTGGTTCTCTTGCCATTATATCCAATCTCTCATGCTTAGGTGTTGACATTGCTGGGGTGAACTCATCTGTTCCCATTCTATGTGAATTCTGTATATTCCTTTGCCCTATATCCACATCTGAGGAGACTTTGAAACACAACTAATATTCAGTAGGCTTACCGCATTAGAGTTTGGATTGACCATTCTGATTACATACGAGCGTAAACACCATCTTGAACAATGGAGGAAATATCATACAGGCAATAATGTTATTTCTTCTACGGTACACTACTAGAATTGGGCACTGGTCTGACATATAGAACAGGAAAAGTTACTAAGATATAAATTGAGATACATATCTGCAATTCTCTTTCATAGCTATCTTTTAAAACTGAATCTGTAGAACAACCAAAGTGGTGTGAAACATTCTCTATACATCACCCCTTTTATCTAACTGGCTGACAGAAACTGTTTAAAAAATGCTACTTCTCCACATCGTCTCCAGCACCTGTTGTTTCCTGACTTTTTAATGATCGCCATTCTAACTGGCGTGAGATGGTATCTCATTGTGGTTTTGATTTGCATTTCTCTGATGGCCAGTGATGATGAGCATTTTTTCATGTGTCTTTTGGCTGCATAAATGTCTTCTTTTGAGAAGTGTCTGTTCATGTCCAATGCCCACTTTTTGATGGGGTTTTTTGTTTTTTTCTTGTAAATTTGTTTGAATTCATGGTAGATTCTGGATATTAGCCCTTTGTCAGATGAGTAGGTTGCAAAAATTCTCTCCCATTCGGTAGGTTGCCTGTTCACTCTGATGGTAGTTTCTTTTGCTGTGCAGAAGCTCTTTAGTTTAATTAGATCCCATTTATCAATTTTGGCTTTTGTTGCCATTGCTTTTGGTGTTTTAGACATGAAGTCCTTGCCCATGCCTATGTCCTGAATGGTAATGCCTAGGTTTTCTTCTAGGGTTTTTATGCTTTTAGGTCTAACACTGAAGTCTTTAATCCATCTTGAATTAATTTTTTTAAGATGTAAGGAAGGGATCCAGTTTCAGCTTTCTACATATGGCTAGCCAATTTTCCCAGCACCATTTATTAAATAGGGAATCCTTTCCTCATTGCTTGTTTTGGTCAGGTTTGTCAAAGATCAGATAGTTGTAGATATGCAGCATTATTTCTGAGGGCTCTGTTCTGTTCCATTGATCTATATCTCTGTTTTGGTACCAGTACCATGCTGTTTTGGTTACTGTAGCCTTGTAGTATAGTTTGAAGTCAGGTAACAGGATGCCTCCAGCTTTGTTCTTTTGGCTTAGGATTGACTTGGTAATGCGGGCTCTTTTTTGGTTCCATATGAACTTTAAAGTAGTTTTTTCCAATTCTGTGAAGAAAGTCATTGGTAGCTTGATGAGGATGGCATTGAATCTATAAATTACGTTGGGCAGTATGGCCATTTTCACAACATTGATTCTTCCTACCCATGAGCATGGAATGTTCTTCCATTTGTTTGTATCCTCTTTTATTTCCTTGAGCAGTGTTTTGTAGTTCTCCTTGAAGAGGTCCTTCACATCCCTTGTAAGTTGAATTCCTAGGTATTTTATTCTCTTTGAAGCAATTGTGAATGGGAGTTCACTCATGATTTGGCTCTCTGTTTGTCTGTTATTGGTGTATAAGAACGCTTGTGATTTTTGCACATTGATTTTGTATCCTGAGACTTTGCTGAAGTTGCTTATCAGCTTAAGGAGATTTTGGGCTGAGACGATGGGGTTTTCTAGATATACAATCATGTCGTCTGCAAACAGGGACAATTTGACTTCCTCTTTTCCTAATTGAATGCCCTTTATTTCCTTCTCCTGCCTGATTGCCCTGGCCAGAACTTCCAACACTATGTTGAATAGGAGTGGTGAGAGAGGGCATCCCTGTGTTGTGCCAGTTTTCAAAGGGAATGCTTCCAGCTTTTGTCCATTCAGTATGATATTGGCTGTAGGAACACTTTCACACTGTTGGCGAGACTGCAAACTAGTTCAACCATTGTGGAAGTCGGTGTAGCGATTCCTCAGGGATCTAGAACTTGAAATACCATTTGACCCAGCCATCCCATTACGGGGTACATACCCAAAGGATTATAAATCATGCTGCTATAAAGACACATGCACACGTATGTTTATTGCGGCACTATTCACAATAGCAAAGACTTGGAACCAATCCAAATGTCCAACAATGATAGACTGGATTAAGAAAATGTGGCATATATACACCATGGAATACTATGGAGCCATAAAAAATGATGAGTTCATGTCCTTTGTAGGGACATGGATGAAGCTGGAAACCGTCATTCTCAGCAAACTATCGCAAGGACAAAAAACCAAACACCGCGTGTTCTCACTCACAGGTGGGAATTGAACAATGAGAACACATGGACACAGGAAGGGGAACATCACACACCAGGGATGGTTGTGGGGTTGGGGGAGGGGGGAGGGATAGCATTAGGAGATATACCTAATGCTAAATGACGAGTTAATGTGTGCAGCACACCAACATGGCACATGTATACGTATGTAACAAACCTGCACGTTGTGCACATGTACCCTAAAACTTAAAGTATAATAATAATAAAATAAAATAAAAATAAAAATAAAAAATGCTACTTCTTTCCTACTTGAGCGCACACTCTCATATTTCAGTGGAAAGAGGTAGAGGTATCTTTCTGAGCCATATTTTTCTCAGACTAGCAGAGTAAAAGAGCAGAACACAGTTTTGTTTTTGGAGAAAAACATTAGTTACTTCAAGTAACTTTCCTACTTCAGTCAGTTTTTAATGTTCTAAATTCAAGCCTTTAGAATGTCCAAGAGCTGACCTATTATCCTAACTTTATGGATGAAGAAACTGCACATAAAACCAGTTGAATGGCAAAGACATGCAGGTGGTTAACTGCGGTACTGGAATTTGAAATCTGAACTCTGTTCATATGATTAAAGATCACTGCACTTCACCATTTCAGTTCCCAGTATACAATATTTTTCTCATTTCTACAGGTTAAAAATTGGAGCAAGAAGTCAAATAGAATTTCATAGACAGCAAAACTGACCAAAATAGAACAATGGGTGTACCCTCTTTTGACAATATCATCTTTTGGAACATTCTAAGCTGCGCTCAGTTACAGAAATATGTGGTAGCCCTGTCATAATTTCATTAATAAATGACATTGCTCTTGAGTTCCATAGAAGCTCATTGAGACTAGTAGTTTTTGTTATGGTTTTAATTTCAAGATTATTTTTTGAAAGTCAGCATAAGTGTACTTATTAAGAGCCTGGGGTCTAAAATCAGACTTCATGGGTACAAACCCAGAAAAACTACATTAAGAGCAGTGTGTGACCTTCAGCAAATTACCTAACCTCTCTATGATTCAGTTTTTTTCACCTGTAAAATCGGAATAAAATAACATCCTCCAAAAGGGTTGGTGAGAATCACATGAGTTAATATAATAGAGTCCATTTTCCTAAGCAAATTAATGTAGGAATAAAAATTAAATACTGCACTACTATATGAGTTATAGTAAATTATACGAGTTAATATATGTAAATTCCCAGCATATAGTAAATACAATTTAAGTGGTTGATATTATTATTTTCTATTTTGTGAAATTTGCAATTAACTGAATTATTTGAGGTTTCTGACCATGCTATCTAGAAACAAATAAAACTTTGATGTATTTCATATTAATTATTATGCTCACTTGAAAAGGCCATCCTAAGCAATGAGGTAGCAACAATGAAGGCCAAGTTAAAATGATCTCACAGCCCATAGAGCTTTTTCGCTATCATCGTATGTTGGGTCTGCTTTTTTTAGTAATAAAAGAGTGTGGAAGTGGAGCAAACTTATCTTAAAGATTCAAGTTTACTAAATCCTGATTGTTAAAAGAAGATTGGGTAAGATTAGAAATTTAAAAAAAAGATTCGGAGACATTTTATGAAAGATAGTTTAGAAGAAAAAATGGTATCACAACTAAACTAGTATAAGACATACTGCATCCTCTATAATCTATGAATGCACATTAACATTTTAAAGGATTTGAAATTCATCCAGCATATATAAACATGTGTGATTTTATAAATTCACCTTCTCCCAAATGTATATGTGTTTTCGGTGTGAGTATGCATATGGGTAAACCTTAATGAGTAACATTATTAACTGTTCTTCCATAGGATATGTTTTGAGAAATGCTTGTCACCTAGTTTACACCAAGTATTATTTCTTAGTTTAGACTTAATTCCACAATTGAACAGATGGGTTTTTCTGAGGAATGAGGTAGAAAAATGGTAACAGCAACAAACTGAGAATGTTTAGTACATAGCATTTCACTAAGCACTTTCCATCCATCTCATTTAATAGTTAGAACAATATGAAGTCTAAATACCATATTATCCTCAATCTATAGAGAAAATTTAAATATCCATCCCAAGTTCAAATGGGTAGAAAGAAGTGGAATTTGAACCAAAGCAGTCTAGTTGCAAAGCCTACTCTCTTAGACTGATCTCTATTATTTCTCCAGGTAGAGAAGGCAATTGCAAGAATCAAAAATATCTGACAAACTAGACACTCGGAAATACATTTAGAAAGGAGGATGATCTCAGAGCCACTGGAAGTCATTTACAAAGAAGTCAGCAACCACAGGGAATATGCAACAATGAGAATTTCATAGGAGTTTTATTACTGTAAGACTCTTTTTGTTATTATTTATAGTTTTAATACTAATGGTAACAGAAATAAAAATTTTCAAATATATACATGTTGGAGCGTTACAGATTGGGAAGTAAGAAGAATGAATATATATTGAGCACCTCGTAAGTGTCATGTTCTGTTCCTCACTGACATGCATTGTCTTACTTTACCTATTGATCCTATAAGCTGGGGACGATCCTCCTTGTTTTGTAGAAGAGAAAATTGAAGCTTAAATCTATTAGGAAACTTGTCAATGAATCAAATAATAATAAAGAAACAAATACTAAAAGAGCAGGCAGCATACTGAGATAACGAAAAAGGTCAGTGAGATTATTTTAACTTGGTCTTCATTGTTGCTTCCTCATTTCCTTAGGATGGGCTTTTCAAGTTGGCATTATAATTAATATTAAATAAATATTCCAAAGTTTATTTGTTTCTAGACAGCCTGGCCAGAAACCTCAAATAATTTCACTTAATTGCAAGTTTTACATTCAGATGGGACTGACTGAAAGTTTCTCCTATAACACAGGTGAGAAAGTGGGGCATATGGGAAACTGCTTGGCTCATGACTGAGAGGAACCCCAAGAAGCAGAGGAGGTGTTAGCCTAGAAAGCAAGTAAAAGTAGATTTACTATGGGACTCGCTGAAAGTAAGGAATGAAGGTGTGGAAATTGATGTAGGTGTGAAATTTTAAAAATGCCTCCTCAAGCAGATAAAATGCAAAAAGTCACCCAATTTGCAGAAGCATAAATTGCAATATGACAGTCCTTTCACTGCTAATATAGTGTCATCCTAGGATGTAGTATCAGGTAAGTAGAGTATGGCTAGTTTCTCACCTTCCATCCTCTGCTAGATACCTTTGAACAGGGCACAAACTTAGCAATGACAAGAGTGCCACTGGACATGAGGAGCCAACTTAAAATTTAAAGGTGAGCCCACTAAGGCTTTTACCATAGAAGGATCACCTTCAATGATAGAAACAGTTCTTACCTCCATTTCAGGGCATATAGTCAGCTTTTTCCACAGATGCTTTGCACAGGTCCTATTACTACACCTATACGGTATATTTTAAGGGTGAAACAACCACATACAAATAAAAGCTAATTTTATATTGGAAGGTGTATTGTGCAATGGAAAGGTGACCTCAACTGTACTCAGTAAGAGTGATATAAAATCATAAATCCTAGCCACAGCTGCGGTATATTAGAGGCCACACATTACATTTGTAAACAATTGCAAATCCATTCTGGGGACAGTGCTGAGTGACCTGGTTTTAGGTGCTGTAAGGGACAGCATTGGAAACATGTATTTAAGGATACACTGCTAACTCCTTAGCTACAAGAAGAAAAGCCATATGTCAATTGGCCAGCCATACACATCCCACGTTTTATAGAAATTCTAAAAAGGAGGCACATTTGTAATTTATATTTTAATGTTGATTAATCACAGATATGTTAAATTTTTACCCATTTTGTTTTAATAAATACAAATGCATATAATAACATATTTGAGAGCTTTTATAAATCGGTTGTTCCCCCACATTGATTACATGACCAGTTGGCTTTTCATGCCTTATAAAATCACTACTCATTCTCTCTCATTTTATAATATGCATTATCTTTTGAGACTCACATTGGATCAAGATATTTCATCTAAAATTTGCCATAGATCCTTCAATACATTCTGTTGCCTGGGGTATTGAATTTGATGAAACATTCCTCCTGAGTAGAAAACAAAAACAACTGTAAACAAAAATCAGGTACAGAAAGCTCCAGATTATTGCTAGAAGGATGTCAATATAAAAAAACCCACTAAACTTATTATTAATTTTAAAACTCCCTAGAACTAATGTCAATATTATTATTTTGCCTATTAATCTCAGATAAACAAAACATGTCACAACATCTACCATCCCTTGCTGGATTATTATTATATTACTTATATTAATAAAATACTCATAAATAAAATAGTAAAACATTCATAAGATTCTAATCAAATATTGAATTTATGCACAATTTTAGCCTCTGGATTTCAGATATTCCCCTAGATATTTCTCCTGAGGTGATATTGTTAGTAGCACTGTCTATCACTTTTGCCAATTCACTCTGATATATGTCTTCAGTTTACCCAAGTGCTTCAAAATGAGTATAAAGAAAAATTTTCTATTTCATAAAAAGGGTTTTCAAAATTACCTTTACAAAATATCAGAAACATTACACTTACATTCTAGTCAAATTCTTACAATGGAAAACTGCTCACAAAATGAAAGCTATATTTTTCTGATAATTTTCCCAATGTATTTCACATTCATTATCATAATAATTACATTCATTTCTTCATTCATTCCTTCAATATCTCTTCTTCAAAACACACACTTTATGCCGACTTCAGGAAGAATAAGAGTAGGACTTAATGTCTAGAAACCAATTAAACATGTTAAATTTAATAATGTAAACAACATGTTAAAGGGATTACGAAGAGCTGAGGGAGTCGGTCTATAGACCTAGTATAGCTGAGGGAGAGAAAATGGCTGAACAAGGAGCACGCATCTTGGAATGGTTTTCAAACAATTTTTACTTACACAGCACTAATATCTGCACATGCTTTTAATTACTTTATATAGCTTGTCCTTTTTAAGTAAATCTGGAGTTCCCTTTTCATAACTATCTATATATTTCTTGATTATCACAATTTTCTTCCTAAAACCAGGAGGTAAGATAGACATTGACAAGATTATTGCCATTGAGTTATGACATTTTAAACTGCATATTATATATATATATATATTTATTTAAGAGCATTGCAGTAAGAAAACTTTAAAAATGAATAAAAACCACATTCCACTATGGTTTAATTAGCAAAAAATAGTCACAAAAGCTCACCCCAAATATCTGGAGCAAAATGGAAACTACCCAAGAGTCTCATTAGAGAAAGGGAATTATACAATATAAGCCCCCTAAAGCCCTTTGTGGTTTTATGGTTGTGCTTTTGTCTTAGGTTTCATTTTGAGACTCAGTGTGAAGGTCTGAGGGTTCATTGTCTCTCCTTGATCCCTCCCCACCACTGAGTTCTATTAGATATTTTCTATTTCCTCCCAAATGGAGCTCTGGAGTCTTAGGGATGCTTATCCTTACAGGCAGCAGAGTCAGGACTGGTCCAGACACTCTTCCACAGGCCAATATATCATGTTCTTGCTTGGTGTTCTCAAGAATTTAGAAAAATTAAAAGTGGAGTTAAAGAATTTAATGGCTTGTTGACAGCACCATTCTTCACAATAGCCAAGAAGTGGAAGCAACCCAAGTGTCTATCGATGGATGAATGGATAAACAAAATAAATAAAATGTGGTATATCCATACAACGGAAAATCATTCCACCTTAGAAAGGAAGGACATTCTGACACATACCACCATGTGTAGGAAACTTAAGGACATTATGTTAAGTGAAATAAGCCAGTCACAAAAGGACAAATACTGTTCGATTCCACTTATATGAGGTACCCAGAGTAGTCAAAGTCATAGAGACAGAAAGTGGAATGGTGGGTGCCAGGGGCTGGGAGAGGAGGGAAGGAGGAGTGATTGTATAATGGGTACAGAATTTCTGTTTTACAAGACAAAAAGAGTTCTGGAGATGGATGGTGGTGATAGTTGCACAAGAATGTGAATGTACTTAATGCCACGGAACTGTATAGTTACAAATGGTTAAGGTGATAAATTTTATGTTATATATATACATTTTATAATTAAAAAAAGAATTTAATGGCTTGATGAATTCTTTAAAAATATCTGTTGAACTTCCTATATACACGAACACACATATGCACACACACATAATGCAGGTCTATAATAATAGAAATCATAAATTTTATCTGGTATATGACAAGTTAAAATTATATGCAATATGATTATGTAACTCATAGCCAAAATTATGAAAATAACTATAATGGGATTGTTTTGCATAGCAATTGTGTATATTATGTCATTACATTAGAATGCAATTTGTAATAATATTTTCTTTGATTGCTCTCAGGTATGCTATTTAAAAGTTATTTTATATTAAAACGCCAGTACTTATAAACCAGCTTAATTTGTGGATTTATCTGAAAATCATTATTTTAAACTCAAAGTCAATACAGTAAAATGGTCAAAATTATTTGTTCAAAAATATTTAAAATCCAACATGTAGGTGGAGTAATCCAAGTATTTAAGAAGCAACAGCTTTATACTGGTCCTTAGCATAGACGATGATTTGCTCCTGCCTTAGTCTCCTGTCGTGTTTCCTGCTACATATTCCAGCTACTCTCATTTCTTGGCAGCTGTATTGTAGTTTTCAACTTTTCAATGTCTTTGCACATGCTAGGCTTTCACAACACATTTTTCTCCCTTTGTATATCTGGGAAAAGACTCCAAATAATGCTTTACATTTCAGTCCATTAATGCCTCCTTTGGGACATCTTTCCTGAACTAGCCTTTGTCTCATTCTCCATAACTCTGAAATAGCATTATTTACCTTTGGAATGAGGACTCTTTGAGGATGGGAATTATTATCATTTATTATTTTACTGATTTTTTTTCTAATGGCTACTAAAGTACTCTCCACATTAGAAATTCAATTAGTCTTGAGGGATTAAAATTAGTCAACGGCCCATATTTGAAAATCACATTAATTCATCTTGAAGTATAAGTTAATATCTATTATTGAAGTAATTGTCTAACCACCTAGTTCCTTTTATGGTACTGTTTTTATGATTGCTGCAACATAATTTTTAATAAGAATAGTTAGGTAGAAAAGCTACATTTAGAGAGGAATGTTATTTCTGCAGTGGCAGTGTTTTATGGCAAGTGCATGGGATTAGAAGGTAAGAAAGCATGATTCTTGCCCCTCCACTTTTACCTCTACTTTCTACGAATTTCTATTTCCTTATCTGTGAGATGAAGCAGTTCAGTTAGATGACTTCTCAAATTTTTGCAGCTCTGTGATTCTAACAATTGGTAATTTGCCCATCTCTCACTCCCTCTGCCAACCTGAATTGGACCAGTTTACTATTTTCTAAAAATCCAGGTTTTTAATACCAAAAGATGTCTGAATTACTAACATGCTACTTGTGTTCATATTATTGTATATAAGAAGCTTCTGAAAAACCTGTTCTATTTTTATTTCAAAAACAGTACAAGTGAAAGTGTAGTCTCTCTTTCATGATGCCACCATGGAGGCACAGATTTCAGGACCCCTGCAATAGGGAAAGGTAGCCAAGGGTCTTACATGACATTGAATATGCTTTTTACTTGGAAACACAAAATCACCTCCACTCACATTTTGTTGGCCAAAGCAAGTCATATGATCACCAAGGGGATGAATGCCCAGAAAGAGACAAAACAAGAACAAGAATCCTGATCTATCACATATTCAAAAAAAAAAAAAAAAAAAAAAAAGGACATTCTTTTGTAACTACTCCTTTTCCCCTGACCTAATTTGTGCATAATATACCATGGCACTAAAAATATTGCACTTATTGAATTCAATAAGTTTTTGAATTCAATTTTGTGAACAGACCACAGATCTTTTAACAAGTTCTCTCCTCTACCACTACTCCATGCAGAAAATAAGGTTGATTCCTATTTTTCTATTCTGCAATATATTGTTCTAGGACCTCCTAGAAATGACATTTTGATGTCAAAGATAATCCACATTTAATTTTTTGATCGATTCTTTACATTTGGCCTGCAGAAAGTCTATCAATTTAATAATTTATTCATTACAGGCTGAGGTTTATAGTGTACCTACTGTATATAAAACTTAACCTGGAAGTTTTGGCTTCAAGGCAGAATATGACATGCTTATTGAAATGGTATGCATAAAGAGGGAAAGTATAGTAACACAAAGAAAGAAAGAATTTACTGAGCTGTGAAAGTGACGGACACACAGAAAGTTCTAAACAAAATGAAACAAAACAAAAGTGGATTTATCTCAGCCTCTAACAAGAAGTAAAGTTTAAAAGGCATTGGGTTATGAGAGGACCATCTAGATGATAGAATCAACATCATCAGAAGAATAGTGACAAGAAATGTTGAGATGTATTTAGAAAAAAAAATTGACCATTTGAACTAAAATAAAAACGTGTCTTTCTCTTTCTTTTTTAAATAGACATAGAAAAAAAGCAGGAAGAACATCAGGCTAAAATATACAGAAAATTTAAGGTCAGCTTAAATATGTAAAATGTCTATATGTTTCATTGAAACTTTTGGCAGTGACATACAGAAAGGAAAGGGAGAGTGAAAGCTACTGCCAAAGTTTGGAATTGATGCCATAAGGGGAAAAATTTTAGTAGGGAGGTTGGCAGAGAAGAGGAAAAGGTAACAGCCACTGTAAAGGATGAGATATTAACAAGCTGAATGAAGGGATGAGGAAGAAATCGATGATGACACTATGGGCTTGAGCCTGGGGAACTAGAAAATATGCAGAGCACTAACTTAAAATACAAATGAGGGGAATATGTGGGTTTCATGGAAGAACATATAAATTTACCTTTGAAACATTAAGACTAATGGGATAACAAAAATGAAAGTGGACTTGGCAGATGGAAACGGTAAATGAAATACCGGTCAGAGATGGATATGCACACACACTCTCTTAGTTGTGGCCAGCAACATTGTAGAAATGGATGGAATCTAAGAAATCTAATGAAGGTCCACATTTGGGAGATGTGAGGAAGAGGAGGCGCCAACAAAAATATGAAATAATCAAATCAGGGTATGGAATATCTTAGTTATAAAGATCATGCTGCATAAACATGACTCATTTTTTTGTTGTAAATAGAATTTTACAGAAGCAGCCCTGGAATTGCCGTTAGAATGACCCCCAGAGTTTATTGATTAACTTTGCCACTTACCGGCTGTGTAAGCCTAGGCAAGTTTACTACCTGTTCTTAAGCAATCTCATCTGTCCAGCATGAATGATGATGCTAAGTACACGTGTTTGTTATGAGGATACACAACATAATGCATGTAATAGTACCTGGCACCATTCCTAACAAGTGTTCAATAAATATAAGTTTAATCCAGATACATTGCTTTTTAGTCTAATTGTTTCCACAGTATCTGGTAAATGACTTATATGTAGTATGTGCTAAATAAACATTTGTTGCATTAGGGACTGGGAAAAGATAGACATTAGAACTGCAATGTCAACTGCAATATGATTAAACTCATTGTCCTTCCTGGATTATTCCCTGAAAACATTTTCTCAGTGGCCTAAAGGTATTACTAACTTCCTTAGTTCAACATACTCACAAACATTATACTTTATATCTGGCATTATTAATAATTTCTTTAGTGTAAAAGTCATTGGTTCTGATCATTCAGATACGGGTGATTCTCTGCACTTGGAGGCAAATGGCAGCATTGTACTTTTTGGCTGCCATGTGGTTGAAAGAGGGTGAGTGACTAGCTTAGGATGGATGTTGTGGGAATAAGTGACATCTGTGGGTGTCCAATCAACCTGATTCTTGGAGTCAAGTCATTGTTGCTGCTTTAGAACACTAGGAATTTGTTATATTGTTTTCTTTTCTTTTGTCTTTATTTTTTAAATTGAAGAATAAAAATTGCATAGTTTTATGGTAGACAGCATGATGTCTCGATATACATACATTGTAGACTGGCTAAATCAAGCCAATTAACATATACGTAACTTCACAAACGTATTTTTTTTGTAGCGAGAACACTTTGAAATCTACTCTCTTTGCAATTTTCAAGTGTACAGTATATTGTTATTAACTATAGTCACTGTGATGTATGATAGATCTCTTGAACTAATTCCTTCTGTCTAACTGAAATTTTGTATTTTTTTTTACCATCTCTCTAATCCCCAGCCCACCCCATCCCAGCTTCTGGTACCCAAGATCCTACTCTCTGCTTCTATAAATTTGAACTTCTGAGGTACCATATATAAATGAGCTTCTCAAAAAATCAAAAAATCCAACTGCCATATGATCCTGCAATCCTACTGCTGGGTATTTATCCAAAAAAATATAAAATCAATATGTTGAAGAGATTTCTGCACTCTCATATTTACTGCAGCATTATTCACAATAGTCAAGCTATGGAATCAACTTAAGTGTATATCAGTGAATGAATGGAAAAAAATGTGGTATTTGCACACAAAGGGATACTATTCATCCTTAAAAAAGAGGAAAGCCTGTCCTGTATAAGAACAGATAAACCTGGAGGACATTATGTTAACTGAATTAAGTCAGGCACGTAAAGAGGGTTTTTTTTTTTGTTACTTCAGCATAACTTATTCCATAATATAATACTATACTCAGCCTATTGTTGAGAAAGTCCTTTCCAGATTCCCTCGCTTGAAAACCTCAGCACCTTCAGTAGCACTAGGACTAGCATATCATTTGCACGTTCACACTTTAAGAATGAGGTAAGGCACTAAAACAGGCTACTGTATCAGAAACCAACTAGCATAAAAAAAGAAACAATGTGAACATGTTGCCATATTTTTAAGTAGTCAGCAAAGTTGATTCCTTAAAAATCTAAACAGGAGGCTAAAAAGAGGTTTTCTACAAGCAAGTTCTTTCTGTTACTGCATTTTTATTTCTTGCTTCTGTGAAGTTTTGTTTCTGATAGATGACTACTGTATTCTCATACGGATGCAGAGAAGAGGACTGGTATTAAAGCTGATGAGTGATGTTACAGTCAGTAAAGAAACGGTTGATGTTAAATTGGCTGGCTAGTAGATATTTTGGGGAACAAAGTAATTTTTCCTAATAAAAGCTGTCAAGTTGTTTGCTGTAAGAAGTAAAATAAAATCGCATGTACTACATAATTGCCAAATCCTATTGTACTCAAATATCCTATCAGATACCTACTACTTTAAATAAATGCCTTCTGAACTAATTCTTTACCAAGTTTGGGAACCATAAACCAGGGCAAATATAATAATCAACTTTTACTCAGGCAACTCTATTTCAGATTTTCTACTAAGGTGCTGACTACCTAACTATTATTATGTTCATCTTCTTTGACCCAAGTCATATTTAAGTGAATGTGTTCACTGCTGTTATTGGTACCTGACAACGGGTTGAGTGATGGGGTGTCTGATAGTATTTCCATGGCAGTATTACTAGTGGTTGATAAAGCCAGACCTCTAGGGTCCAATTTTCTGAAACTCATGGGGAAAAATAGGAGCTAGAAAATGAACTATCTGGTTATATATTTTTTTCATTGTTGCAAGGAGACTATTTTCAAGAAAGATTGTGACAGGAATAAAAAGACAAGGACAAGCAGCCCCAAACTGTCAAAATCCTAGCATTTTTCAGCTGTTTCCTGATATATGCCAATGTTTTATGCCAAAAAGAAAAAAAAAAAGCAGAAGAAGAAAAGTTTCTTTTCTCAAAGATGATGTCAACATATCTGATGCATTGTGTGAGGAAAAATGTAGATGCTATAATTTATTGTTTGTTATTAATTTCAAGGACAGATTAAATTTCCTCATAATAGGGCAGAACACCCTGACACAAACCGTCTGCTAAGTACTTATTGACACAAAGTTGAAAAGCAATTCTTTCATCTAGAAAGACAGCTCTCTTTCATCTACAGCACTAAATCAAATTATGAAGTAGCTCCTACATTCCAGGCTCTGCTCTAGTTGCACAAACTTGGAATTTCATTCTCTACCATCTCCCTGTGAAGTTGTTATTATTGCTGTCATTCTGTAGGAAGAGAAAACTGTGTCTTAGGTTCGGTCCTTTCTTCAACATCGCATGACTAAGAAGCAGTGTCACAGTGCTTTTACATTTGGTTTTCTGTCTGACTCTAAAGGGATGAGCTCTCCATTATAGCCCAGCTGCCTTCCTCTCCCAACAACAAACACTAATAAATGAAAAAGTGAATCACAGAGAGAAAGAATTTGAAAAGAAAATGAGATGAGAAAGGGGGAAACAAAAACATGAGAAAGTTTGGTTGCCTGAGATTGTTTCAAAATGGAGGAAAAGAGCAATTTTGTCTCAACTTGCCAAATTAAGCAAGGTCAGTTAAAGGCTATATCTTGCCAAAAGAAAGCTTACTGACTGGGCATTGGCCTATCCAATCCGTAAAAGGTTGGCAAAAATTATTGTGGGAAAGTCACTTAATACAGAAATAGCTCCTGGCTAATTGAGAGAAAAAACAGTTAGAAAGGATATGACAGCCTCCTTTTCTTAAATATTAGGTAGAATTTATTATGAGACTTAATTTCATAATATCTAATGCAGCCGACTTTTAAACTAGCTAAAGCTTAACAAGAATTTTAGTGAATTTTTTTAAAGAGACCCTCATGATCTGGACTGCTATTTATTTTGTATTTGATGTATGAGGATTTTTGATTTGGGGATAAAATTGTCTTTCTGGATTCAACACATGAGAGAGTGCTGGGTTCTAGAACTGTTTACTTTCTGTATGGCTTTATATACATTCTTTGAGTTCCTGTGCCACTTTTAACTTATTTGTAAAAAGGGGAGAATACAATGCTTTAAGATTTTATTAGAATAAAATTAGATAATGAATGCCATGACATTTTCCAAATAATTCTATGCAAATGAAAATGGTGTTTATAATCTGTGTGCTTCCAGTTTAGTTTCTTTTTTTTTTTTTTTTTTTTTTTTTTTGAGACGGAGTCTCGCTCTGTCGCCCAGGCTGGAGTGCAGTGGCGGGATCTCGGCTCACTGCAAGCTCCGCCTCCTGGGTTCATGCCATTCTCCTGCCTCAGCCTCCCAAGTAGCTGGGACTACAGGCGCCCGCCACTACGCCCAGCTAATTTTTTGTATTTTTAGTAGAGACGGGGTTTCACCGTTTTAGCCGGGATGGTCTCGATCTCCTGACCTCGTGATCCGCCCGCCTCGGCCTCCCAAAGTGCTGGGATTACAGGCGTGAGCCACCGCGCCCGGCCCCAGTTTAGTTTCTTATACCAATAGAAGGTTCAGTTGTATTATTATAATATTGGCCACTTCAGTGACTCCTCTAAGTTTTCTTCCTCTTTAACCACTCCTTTCTTAGGTAATTTTGACAATTGAATGAGTAGGAGCTTGTAGGTTTTCTACTTTTCATTCTAAATTTGTTGTAATAAAAATATCATGGATTTTATAATCAGACAGGTTATAGGTTCTAGAATCAAATAAACCTGCAAGTAAATTTCACTGCTACTTCTTAGCTCTGTGATGGCAGACACATTTAGCCTCCCCAAGCTCATTTCTTCATTTATATATTGGAAGCACGAGAATTTGGAAAGATTGCATACATAAAGACAATGGTACACTAAGACTAGCTGCAGTGTATTTTTCTTTATTTCTATCAGTTTCGCATTTCAGCTAAGTCCAGCAGATGTACTTTCTTTTCACATGATTTTGCTATGTAGGCCTGATTGACTGATTGACTATGGTGGTTTAAATCAATTGTGAATAAACAACAATGTGGGTAGGCCAATGAATATCCAGGTACCTGAAGGGAAGAAGCATGCCAGATTTCCCCTTTTGCCCTAAGTGCTTTTTTGTGTTTCTGGAATTGACAAGCAAATTCGCTTTTTGGAATGGTCAGTTGTGAGGGCTTAACTTGCTTTATGC
This sequence comes from Homo sapiens, assembly GCF_000001405.40. Lineage (NCBI taxonomy): Eukaryota > Metazoa > Chordata > Mammalia > Primates > Hominidae > Homo > Homo sapiens. The sequence goes on from NC_000009.12 coordinate 10,112,208, forward strand.
CACCAGAAGCCGACTAGCCAGGAAGACAACCAGTCACAGCTGAGCTCCCAGGGTTTCTTGGAGCATGTGGTTGGCATAGCAGCCTAATTCTTATTATCTTATCCATGGAGTTAATAGGAGGCTCATTAGTGACAGATACTCTGTGTTTGCCTTGCCAAAAACAAATGGGCATATTATTTTTAAAGATTTGTTCAATGATGTATCTTCCAACTGACAATTATCTATTTTTTTTTTGTCAAGCTTTAATCTTGGCACTGAGGATTTTTAAAAATATAAGTAAATGAAGGTCACTGCTTTCTATGAATATCAAATTTGTAATGAAGGAGGTGCAGACATGCAACTGTTTTACAACCAGGATGAATGCTAGATGTGTAACAGCATATGATTAACCCTGCCCAGGCCGTGGAGGAGGCAGACTTCTCAGATAAAGTTAATTTGTTGGACCCAGATTCTAAAAGTCACGGTAAGGGAACAGAAAATCTAAAATTAAACAAAATGCATACAGGCTAGGTTTCAATTTTCTAACGAGCCAGAAGATAATTCATTTGCTAGGAAGAACGAGAACAATGATTTTTATACATGTTTCCCCTTACCTCTCTGTAGATTCCTAAGGATGACCCAATGTTCACGTCTTGTCTTAAAATATAATTCCCTACCTATATGTGACTAGTATAGACCAGTTCTCTGGTATTTTAGAGCTTGTCTGTTCTAAGCCACATGGCTTATTTTTAAAGCTGGAAGGAAGGTGTGAGGGATGCTTGCCAAAAGTGGCGATTCATCCTGCCCAGACACAGGAAGGCTTGACTCTGCCAACGCCAACCATCATCTGGGTTATAGTGAGACTCTTTCTGTGTCACACTCAAAGTTCCTTTAGTCTCAGCACTCACTTTTATCAAGCCAGCTTTGTCAGCAGCGTTTTGAGAGGATGCAAGTATAAAAATCATGGGCTCATTACAAAGAGTTTTATGGGGGAGGCTATATATTCATAATAACTAAACAGGAACTGTTTCCAGTGCTTTCATAAAAAATTTATTTGTTCTTCACAACCACCCTATGAATTATATATGATGATTGTTTTCATTTTACAAATGGGGAAACTGAGAGACAGGGAAGTGAAGTACCTTTGCTAGTTTCACTCTCAGGCCACTGGGCTCACAATGAAGTCAGGTACTTATCATTCCCACACCGTGCTTCCTCTGCACAGATACAGATGAGTTGTTAAAACTGCTGCTCAATAACTCAAACACCAACCTCCAACTTCAGAAGTCAAATAAAATATACCAGAGACTTTGTATTAGAGATAATGGATGCCATGTTTTTCAAACTTATCCAATGATAATGATCACCTAGGGAGCTTAATAAACATACAGATTCCAGACACCTCTCCAGACCTAGAGAAACAATCTCCAGCGAGAGATGAAGCAAAGCGACTGTTTACAAGTGCCTCCAGAACATTTTTATTATCAGTTAAGTTTGGCAAACACCAAATGGGGTAATTTATAAAAAAATCTTTAAGACAATGCTTCGCCACTTTAATGTGGACAAAGTCACCTGGAGATCATATTAAAATGCAGCAGTGGGGCCTGTGATTCTGCATTTCTAACAAGCTCTTAGGTTGTGCCAATGCTGCTGATACATGGGCCACATTTTGATTAGCAAGAATCTGGGAAAAGACTCAGCTGTCTAGGATACGGGATTCATTTACTGTTAGCCATAACCTTGGCCTTTTTAATCCTAGAATGTTTGTAAAAAATGAAAATTCCAGTGTCTACTCTTATAGATTCTGATTTGAAAGGACAAGGACAGTTATCAGGAATCTACTTTTTAAATAAGTAATCTCAAGTGATTTGATTCTGATGCAGATGGTTCTCAGTCCCACTTTCCATTGACAAACATGGAACATGCTGTGGAAATCAAAGCACTGTAAAGGTGGAAAGAACAGCAGTGTGCCATTATATAAGTCATTCAATCCCTTGGTTTTATCACCCACAACCTGGCGAGAATATTATGTGCCTTTATAGAGTTGTTAGGATAAAATGAGATAAGACATGAAAGCAAATAACAGCTGAGCCACCCTATTGAAGGGGTCAAAGGAAATAGGATATGGATCAAGCAAAGAACCACTTTCGGCCAAAGCAGCAGAAAAGCTTTCCTATATTTTCTTGATTCTTAGGCTATAAAGGCAATTTACAAAATCACTACATTCACTCTGTCCGCTTACTAGCTAGACAGGACCAATACCTGTCCATTATTATAAAATTATACTCTCTCGCTCGCTCTCACTCTCTCTCTCATTCTCTCTTCATATATGTGAATTTTATTCTCATAAACTTATACATATATATGTGCATATATATGCTTGTATTATATAGGTGTATATATATATGCATGCATACATATATTTGTGCATATATGTATGTTTGCAGATATGAAATATAAGTGCTTATCAATATGAAATATGCCCACATGCATATATAGATAAATTGTATAGCTTCCTTGTGAATCTAAAGACACATGTAATATAGCTAACCTTTAAAACAATGCTAATATAGCTCCTACAATATGACATTTTAGCAACATGTTTTTAATAATACATGTTCTTAAATGTTAAGCTGATTCATGTTATAGTCCCAACTTTTAGATCTCAAGTTCTACTTTAGAATATCAATAGCAATATGGAAAGATACAGGATTTTATTGTAAAATTTTCTAAGGAATTATAGTGGTCTGCTATTACCACTGTGCCTTACCCTGCTTGAAAGTTTATTACTTTTTAAAGGGAGGGGTTCATCAGCTTCTTTCTTGGAGCATTACTTATTGGATAAGAAAAAAAAACGAGAAAAAAAAAACCTTCAAAGTGCTATCTCTCACAGCCTGTGGCAAGGACAAGGTTTAGGTCAATGCCTATTACAGAAGCAGTAAAAATACGAGGATTAAAAAGAAAAGACACACACTATATTCCTTTGGGTGTATCTAGAAATTTAAAAATGTGGATTAGGTACAAACAGTGCAAATATGAAAATTACAATCAAGTGAATAAGCTTTCCATATGTTTAATGTTGTATATTTATCAGAGCCTTTCTGATTAAGTATGATACATATTTATTGAATTATAGAGAGTCATAATATGGAATGTAAGGTATAGTGCATTCTGGCACATTCTGAGAGTGAATTGTTTCAATGTAGTCTATAAAATTATGTTGCCTTTAGGTAATTAGGTGACCAAAATAATTTGAGAACTACTAGTTACATTATGAAATTTAAAAATCAGATCTCTTTGCTTCTTTACAATTTGGCCAAGGGACACTGAAAGTTAACCCACAACTTGCCATGTTTTAATGTCCAGAACTATACTCACTTTCAAGGTTGATGTGTTTTAAGACTTACATGATGGTATGGCACTTCAAGTAAAATTATATTTGTTAAAACTTTACAAGTTTTTTTTTCTTTCTGTTCCCCACTAAGGGAAAGATTCACTGTAAATCTGTGTAGCTGTATTTCCTTTTGTAAACTAAAATAGTTTAGTCTTGGATTATAACTGGAATAGTGTGATATAACAGAGTTATTGACATATTTGAATAAGTTACTTTTATCCAGATGCCTCTTAAATATAGGACAATAAATCTATATCAAAAACGGGGTACTAAAATATGTATGTGTGTATCCCAAATAAATACATTCCTAAGTAAAAACAAAATCTCTTTTGGCATGTATGACTTAGAATCTGAATAACTGGTTGTTTATGGAAACATGCAATACATAATTTAAGATAGAAAAAAAGGAGAGATGAATGACTTAGATATAGGCATATTCATGTTATGGTTTATTAGGGAACAAAATCTGCCTGTCTTCATGTTTGTATTTATAATTATATCAGGCTTAACAAGCGGGAGTAAAGTTCAACATAAACAAAAACATAATTGCTTTTTTTCTTTCCAATATCTGAACATTAAGACCATAGGAGGTTTGCAGTTGCACATTGAAATAACCACATCATCATAAAGACTCCTTATTTCTAACTGGTAAATGTCAGTCTGAATTAGATCCTATGCTACATGGATTATTAGTGTTTATGCTTCTATTGCTGACTAAGTACAATACTAATATAGACAAATGGTTATTAACTTTGAATTAGTTCAGGGGGTCACTTAATTGATTATGAATATAGGCAACAAGCCATAGTCATATTCACAGTATCTGTTTTGGTCACTAAAAGAAATCATAGATATTTTCGTATCAATTAATATTGCCACAGATACCTTAATATACCATTTATATTCATCACTATTTCAAAATTATAGCATTGAATACACACATTGTTAGGTTTTTTAGTGAAACACATATACTACTGTATCTCAAATTTGTGATATAGATTACTTTGTACTCCCTACACATTTTAATTTTATGTACATTAAAACATTATTTCGAACAGTCCAGACTGCTAAAGGAATTCACAAAAGATTAAATGCACCTGTCTTAAGCAGGAGTCAGGTCATGTCACTGCACTCCTGAAAACCCTCCAAAGGCTCCCCATTGGCTTGACTCATAGTGAAGTTCTGTAGCCTTTTGGATTCCACCAACATTAGCCCCAGACACATCACTCTGTTTCTCAAACATATTAAGCATACCCCCAACTGGGAGCCTTTGCACTTGCTCTTCCTTCTGCCTGGAATTATTTTCCCCAATATATGCATAATGTACTCATCTGCATTCATCTAGACTTTTTTCAAATGTCGCCTTCTCTTTTAGATCTATGCTAAGTATTTTATTCATAATCACATTCTTCCATACAATCTTGCTTCCCTTATGCTTCTAATTATACTACATAATTTACTATGTTTCTTTTACATCTACCCGCTCGTAGAATATAAATTCATCAGAGCAGGAATTTGTATCTTCTTTTTTTTCCTGTTTTGTTCACAACAGTATCATAACACATTTTAGGTGATCGATAAACATTTGTGCAACAAAAGAATGATATGTAAAAGTAAATGGCACTTTCAACACGGCAAGAAAACAGAGTAAATTGCCTACATAACAGTAAATTAGCCCATTTTTAGAACTGCTAAATGTAGAACCTGAGAAGTTAGACAGAAAGTTGATGTTATTCCTTTAGCATACTTGTTAACTGAAAGTGTCTATGGACAATGTATTAATTTCCTAGTGCTGCCATAAAACATTACCAAATACTTGGTGGCTTACAAAAACAAGAAAAATTTATTCTGTCACAGTTCTGGAGGCTAGAAGTACAAAATCAAGGCATTAGCAGGGACACACTCCCTACAAAAGCTCTAGGGGAGAATACGTCCTTGCTTCCTTCAGTTTTTGGTTAGTTGCAGCAGTATTAACTTCAATCTACCTCCTTCTTCACTTGGCCTTCTTCCCTGTATGGATTAAATCTCCCCGTTTTTTTTTTTTTCTTATAATAATAGCAGTCATTAGATTTAGAACCCACTCTAATTCCAGGATGATTTCACCTTGAGAAAAGACCCTATTTTCAGTTAAGGGCATTTTCACAGGAACTGGGAGTTAGGATTGGACATGTTTTTTGGTGAAACAATTCATGTCAGAAGATTAAAAAAAAATCTTGAAATTTCTGACTAAAGAAACTGAATATGTTTATTTACCTTTGTCTCCAGAGAAGATTTATGCCTTCCCAATGCTTTCATGGAATTACATGCTTTATTTTTCTGGAGGATCTTCTAATTGATTTTAAGGAAAACAAAATGATTTGTAGCTAGAGGTAAACTATCTACCAACCTGGAACTATTACCTGATACTTTCCCCCCTGGAAAAAATGTGGTAGGAAATGTCTAATGAATGTATATCACTTTCTTTCTATAGGTGCAATAGTTCACTTGTAATTAGCCACATGGAGGTACCAGAGCTAGTAAAGTCATCTACCTGTGAGGTTTGCAATGGCCATGATAAGGGAAGCATTAAATTAGAGTGTAATTGCTCAATGGCTGAAGGAAACTTCTCACATTTATTATCTATCTATCTATCTATCTATCTATCTATCTATCTACATATATCCATTATCTTATATCTATCTATAGAAACATTTATTATCTATATATCTATAGAAACATTTATTATCTATATAACTGTCTATATATTTAATATATTAATGTACATATCTTTTTGGCAATCATGCCAAAAGAAATAATATATGCTTAATTACTTGATCTAAGTGCATAAAAGCACCTAGTTTAAAGAGTTGTCCTGGTGTTAAAAAATAAAATAACAAGCCCCAAATACTTCACATAGTACCTGACACATAATAAAGATTCAACATATACTACTCAATATTATAGGCTATCGTTATTATCAGAAGTGATACATGTAAATTTTTAATTTTTGATTCAAAATCATAAATGTGCAAGTAAAAAAGAATTGGAGAATAAAAGAATTAAAGATGTTAGTTGGCTATGAGCTCAAAATAAGATAAAAATGTAATATAATATAAAAATTAATAAGCCTAATGCATTCTTGGGTTAAATTATTGGAAAAATGTGCCCTAATCGTTGGTATCTCAACACTACATTTTAATCCAATCACAACTAGAATTTGATGTTGAGTTCTAGGCACAATGTTTTGAGAATGACTTTTTCAAACCATAGGACAACTAGAAAGGTAAAGAAGCTGGGAAATACACCAAAAATAAATAAATAAATAAATAAATAAATAAATAATAATAAAGGAGATGAAGGAAGAGGGCATATTTAGCTTGAAAGAGATACATAGAATAAAAACAGCAGCTGTCTTTAATAATTTGAATAATGGTCATTTAGAAAATAGTAAAACAAATCCAAACAAAATAAAATAGACTAACCAGGGCATTAAAGTTACAACAAACGTAGAGTTCCACTTAAGAAACACCTCCTAAGTAATAGTACTGCTGAGCAGTGAAATTTACTACCTTGTCAGAAACTAAAGTTCCATAAGAAGGATAACTACTATTCATTGAGGTGATTGGCACAGAGCTAACCCCCCCTTTTTTAACTATTACAATCAAACCCAACAATAATCCTATAAGGCAGAGATTATTATCTCCATACCCTGGAAAAGGAAATATAAATTATTTGCTCTGGTCATCCAAAGACAGATTCTAAAGTTATTATCTTAACCATCTCCATAGTGTTTGCCTTCTATGGTACACTGGATTGATCACATCTGTTGAGAATCTTTTAAAAGGATATCATGCATTCTAGAGTGTAGTACATCTGACTTCTAATTTAGTACATGAAAAATGTTTAAAACGGTTCTAGTAGTAAGAGTAGTTAAAATGTAATATCGAATGTGTAAAAGGATAATTTTTATAACAGAGTATAATCATAACTCTCATCCATATATAAAATAAACGTGTCAAAGATTTTATTCAAGTCATTCATTATTGAGGGAACCGGTAAGATATTGGATGATAAAGCTGGTTGTGATAATTCAAGACCCCCCGCATGGAAATAATAAAATAATTTAAAAGTAGATGCAAAACTGATGTGTTCCACAGCAAGAAGGGAAATCATCGTCTTCTGTTAGAACAAAAATTTATTTTCCTGTCTATAAAAGCAGTCATGTGCATTACTATTAGTTATCTACAATGTACAGAGTTGTAACATAGCTCCGAGATAATGAGAGGTACAGAGACCTATTTGAATCAGAAAACGTAGGAGGGCATGCTTAGAAAATATCTAGTTTTCCAACGAAGACAGGCATTTTGGCCCACTTCAAAGTCTTTCACGATGTTTCCTTCAAGTGTTTATTATTATGATTGTACAAGCTACATAAATTGGAAATCTCAGGATAGTGATAGAAACTTAGCTTTATGTAGCATGAAAGGTAATGGCAATCTGCAATAAGCCACCCAGTGTCCTAGTGATGTTTGTATGCTGCATAAGAAAACAAAATAAAACTGACATTTGGTGCTAAGAATTTTACACTTCATAATAACAAAGTATAATTACATTTTCTGTATGTAAGGCTTTGTGCAAATGAATTACTTGCATTATTTCATATAATTTTTCCCACTAGTCATAATAATACAACAGCAGTAGCATCAATAAAAGAAATAATAATAATATTTTCCTTTAGTTAAATGGTTACTGAAACTCAAGTACTTATTTAAGTATTATCTCTTTTAATCTAAACAACCACTGCTCTGATTTAAGTACTTTTTATCCTCACTTCATTGGTGAGGAAACTGAGAACTAAAGAGTTCAATTAATTTTTCAAGCTCACACAAATCATAAGATCTCAGTCTACGTCCTCTGAAAACAGTCTTTCATTGTAATTATTACACCATTAAACTAAATTGTCAATCATAATATCAGTGCACTTTGAAGTAAGCTTATTATAAAAGTATTTGTTTATGATGTTCTTAGACACTTAGAGAAATATTAAATATGTTAGGTTTTCAAAAAGTTTCTATAGTTCTATACATCCATCAATATTATATAAATTTTGAAAAAAAATTTGCTTAAAAACATAAAAATTTAATAAGAATCCATAACCAAAAATGACATTTCTTCTTCAATAAATCCTACTTGAGGAGCCAACGATAATCCCATGAAAGCAGAGAGCTTTCTCTGACTCACTTATCTTAATAATTGCAGGCCAAATATTCAACCCTGCTATCAATCTCACCTAGCATTCCTTGATGCCCCCTTCCATAGTAATAATTTCAATAGGTTCAAAAAGAAAAGAAAAAATAGACAAAGCTCACGTAGACATTGAAGAGGGGCTCAAAATACATTACCAGCAGTAAAAATTTATTTATCTTTGATAAAGTATAATTATTATTTTTTATTGACTAAATAGGGTTGTAGAATTGTATTATGGTTTGTACCAAAGTAGACAATTCTAAGAGGTCAAGGGTGTTTTTAAAATACCTTTAATATTTCAATATTCTTTAAACTTGATTATTAGCTTGTATAGTATTGTGAATAAGAGTATTGATTATCAGAGATAATTTAATCCAATCACTGCTTTAATGATTAAATATGCCAAATTTATAGAGACTGTTTTAAATTGTCTTTCTTTAGCCATGTAATTGGAGGGAAATGGTAGCATGGATAATCCTAAATACTGAATGATTCCAAAGTTTTTTAGAGTTGGCTTTGGGATACATTTCAATTTGGAAGCAGATTTATTTCCTAATTACATTTTGCTTAGGCTAAAATTAAAATAGGCAAATAGTATTCAATATGGAATTGATGTGGCCAAAAGTGTTGTCATTGATAAGGGCAAGCCAGATTGGGCTGTAGATTCTACTACTAACAACACATAACAAAACACGAGCAATATAACGTCAACAAAAAAGAAAGATACATAAGGAGGAAATTTACAGCCTATCCAAGAATATTCAATTGATGGCATCGTTAAGAGTTAAGTCTAACTTATCTTTAATTCTTGCTCTGCTGCTGTTGTCTCTGTCTATGAGAATCTTCCATTTTCACTTATCTCTATCTCATACAATAGTTCAAAGTAGGCTTCATGTCTTACATCATTTGATAAGCAATAACTCTGTAACTTAAATATTGAGTCTCTCTCAGTATTTACGCAGACCCTTTGTAGGTACCATCCTGTTTCCAGAGTGAATTCCAAGATTTTTTTCCCTCCAACCATGAGGATTGAGGGTGAAGTGTGACATTCTCTACTGTTACCTCCCAAAGAATCCCCACTCTGACTTTGACTACAATTTCACCTCCTTCCTGCAATACCAACTCATGTTACAAAATCTCAAGACAAATCTCACACTCAGTGTATTTCTGAGATGTTCACAATAGCTTCGGGCTTTTATGTACTTAAACTTAAGTTCTTGGCCTGGTGCGGTGGCTCACGCCTGTAATCCCAGCATTGTGGGAGGTCAAGGCAGGTGGATCACCTGAGGTCAGGAGTTCAATACCAGCCTGGCCAACATGGTGAATCCCCATCTCTACTAAAAATACAAAAATTAGCTGGGCATGGTGGTGCTTGCCTGTAATCCCAGCTACTCGGGAGGCTGAGGCAGGAGAATCACTTGAACCTGGGAGGTGGAGGCTGCAGTGAGCTGAGATTGTGTCACTGCACTCCAGCCTTGGCAATGGAGCAAAACTCCATCTCAAAAAAAATTAATTTCTTGCAATTATGCAATTATCATATATGAAATACCACATTTAGAAAGTCAATGAAAATAATTTATCCAACAAAAATTATTTTATTTCAAATAGATCTAGAAATTAACAGGTATCAAAGGGCTACCGTGGGAAAGTATGGTTCTAGATGTTTAATTAAGGACAATTGGATGCAGAGAAAGACTGGAAGGTTATGAAGAATAAGAAAAAAAAACATCCTTTTGGTTGATATCATGCTGAAATGGAAGTTATGTTTGCCTACTGAACGTAAGTATATCAATAAAAACTTGATTATCATACCACACATTGGGCTCAATTAAACATTAGTGAGAATCTTCAGTTTTCTAAATCATCCTTAAAATTTATGCATCTAAATCACAGCTCTAGTTTGCATATAGATATTAATAGACAGGTATTTACAAATATCCTTAGGCCTCACTAGCCATACTCACGAAAGGGACCTAAACCATATTGACACCTTCCACCCTGACTTAACCATCACCTGGCAGCTGACTAACCACAGTGATTATACAGCAGTTGTAAACTGGAACCTGTTGGTGAGAGGAATTTCCTTGACAGAGGCAGCCTGGAAACAGATATAAAAAGATTGCGGCAGATATAAAGCAGGCAGAGCTGCCTTTAAGCGGCCCGCTTGTTAACAACTATGCTTGCCTGAGTTACACATCTGCTGATGAGGCTGTCTGCATGTTCCCTGAATCCCAGGAGGAGAACTAAAGTCAAACACCTGGCTAAACAAAGCATAGTAAAAAGCTGGACATTTAATGCAACGAACAGCAAAGGCACGTCCCACAGGACATTATTGCTGACAGTAGACGTTCCCTGAAGCAAAAAAGATATTGAGAAAGGGGACACAGTGAATTGAAGCTACATAGGTGCTCCTTCCTATCCTTTAAATTTGCCTCTGGGATTTGGCCACCTTTAGACCCAATAGACTTTAATTATAAAAATTATCTATGTGACTAATAAGTGGTGTGTTAGTGTGTGAACTTGTGAGGTGAGGAAACATTTAAGATTTTCTAGACTGCTATTTTAGGTCTTTTGTATTTTGCAGTCATCTCTATGAAGTCTTGAATTACAAAAGATAGTATTTGCTTTTATTTGCCTTTCCTTTTGATACAGGAAAACCAGTGAAGAAATGTCTTGGAAGTTGACCCTAGATTTTCTAAAGCCTCTCTCCTAATTATTCTCTATGATCTCCAGCCCTGTCCTTCATGAACCATCTTGTTATATAACTACTGACAAAAGTGGCTTGTGAAAAAGAATCCACCAACAATTCAGATGGACTTTTAAAAGATGAGGGAAAAACGTGGGCAGATCAATAAAAGAACACCGTTATTTTGGAAAACAGAAATAAAGAAAAATGACCGCATTAGTTCTACCTTGGAATAGTGAATACGTCTTTCCCCAAACTGATGCTCATGGTGTTAAGTTCTGCATTATTGCCAGTACTGTGTTTTAGTTACATTATGGCTTACACTGTTAGGTGAGCTGGCTGGAGAGTAACTTTCTGTGGACACAATGTCACATCCATAGTGCTAAGTCCATGGCAAGTATCTGGTGAATGTTTGTGGACTTAATGATATTGATATTCATGTTACTAGTAAGCATGTGTTCTTTACAACAATTTGCCAAACAATGTAGGTGTGAAGCTATCTAATTTTGTATATGGAGTGGAAACCCTGGAAGGAACATCTGAGTTTTATTGCTACTATAAGTTGAAATGCACCCAAGCTGCATTTAGAGAACTGGCCAGACTTAACTTGAAAGCCATTTACTCAGTTGAGGAACCTGACGGTCTCTTTTAAAAAGAGCACAGGATGCAGCTATGATTTGTTATATCATTTGTTATACTGTAAATAGCATTTTTAATATAATTAAAACACAAGTTAGAAGAAGTTACTCATTTCATGCATATTCATATAATAAGAATTAGTTCATATACATTTAGTGAATAAAAAGGTATTACTTTATTTTACAATTTTCCCAACACATTAATACTTTGTGCCACCAAATATTGCTCCTGAAAGTAAAGTACACTATGCAGCTAAATGCATTAATCTGTGGAAGAATATAATACAACACACCATGCGTATTCACCCCACATTTTTTCTTTCACCTCAGTTTGGCCACATGCTCTGAAATACAAGTGCTTATTGTGGATAAATAGCCAAGGATTTTGAATATTTATCCGTCAAATCCATAGTTCTTAGGTCTTAGCCCTTCCTTAGACCTCTTTCTTATCAAGCCATATATATGTCTCCTGCACTTTTTCTATACATTGTAATTTTTTGTTTATTAGGGAGTTAGCATAACTTTTTAAGTATGTTATTAATACCAATTTGTTAGGATTATTATTGTTTAATTATTATTGTTTCTGCTAATGTTGTAATAATAAAGTTGCATGGGCTTTGAGCACTCTGCTCTTAATGTATTTTTCCAATTAATCATTTTATTTACATCATCATTTCGCAGAATACAAAATTTTTCTGAAACTTTTGTGTGATTTTATAACATAAACAGATCTATTTGTGGATGTTTTAAAGGAGGAGGGATAATCTAAAGGCAAGAACGTCAAAAGAGCGCACTAGTCTCCAGAAGACCATCTTCAGAAATGGTAGAGGACCCTTGCAAATGGCTGTGAAGCCACATAGCTCATGACAGAAAAGTAAAAATACATCAAAGCAATGACTGAATGATCATCACTGTGAAAGTGAAGGTGGTTGTCTGTTAGCCTATCTCAAGAAATGTATTTAGGGTCCCATTTGATAAATATGCTGATGATTTTCTGAGGCAGAATTGATTTGAATAAAAGTAGGAGTTGTACAAACTTAAAGGTGGGAGCTCTGTGCAAGACAATATAATCAATTACCTTTATTAAGATACTATTATACTATCTTCATAGTCCCTAGCTGTTTTCTCTATCCACATTATTGCCTCATACTCCCTTCTACTTACATGTTGTGCTATTTAAAGTGGTTGTGAGGAAGAATGTGGTGAACCAAAGGAAAATAAATCAATCATTTCTTTTTTCTTTTCGTTTTTATCTTCTTTTTTATTTTTTATTTTTATTTATTTTGTTTTATTTTATTATTATTATTATTATTATTATTATTATTATTATTATTATTATTTTGAGACAGCGTCTTGCTCTGTTCCCCAGGTTGTAGTGCAGTGGCGCAATCTCGGCTCACTGCAAGCTCTGCCTCCCAGGTTCAAGCGATTCTCCTGCCTCAGCCTCCTGAGTAGCTGGGATTACAGGCGTGCGCTACCACGCTCGGCTAATTGTGTGTGTGTGTGTGTGTGTGTGTGTGTGTGTGTATTTTTAGTAGAGACGGGGTTTCACCATGTTGGTCAGGCTGGTCTCGAACTCCTTTCCTCGGGATCCGCTCGCCTCAGCCTCCCAAAGTGCTGGGATTATAGGCGTGAGCCACCGCACCCATCTTCTTTTTAAAAAATATTTTAGTAAAACTATAAGTTAGAAACAGGAAAATCAGAAGTTGGTATTGATATATGGATATAAATATGGATATAGAGGTCAATATAGATATAGCATGTAAAATGTCTAAAGATATGGTAATATATTGTGTGACCAAGAAAACTAAAAATGCATAAATAATTTTACTATCACAATAAGATGGTAAAATAGATTATTAATTTTAAACCTATAAAACACATTTTGGGAAGAGAACAGAAATAGAAATTTTTAATTTAGGCTTTCAAGCAATATACGGAAGTTGTATTTTCTTTAGCATTTGGCATGTATCCAAACTTAGTGATTCAAATATCAATCCAACAATTCAAGAATTAGATTGTGAAACAAAGGTGGGCATATACTCATACTGTTATTACAGTTGAGAAATAGTGAGCTCGATTTTCCTGACCCCCTTCTCTACTTGCTTTACAATTACCACCTAGTTTTATACGACATGGCATTTACGTATTGTACCAGTTATAATTTCCCATTAATATTTAATATTCCATAATATCATCATACTTGTTTTAATTTTTTAATAACTCACAGTCTTTTACTCATTTTCAAGGGTTCAGTATTGAAATTTGATTCCTTAAATAATACTGTTTTATATATACACACACACACACACACACACACACACACACACACATTGATATATATATATATAAAACTCTCCTGGCCACCTAAAACTTTAGAATCAATTCGTTACGAATTTTGTATAGATATTTGACCACATCAATGTTGTTATAACTCAATAACTAGTCTATACTCTTCTATTTTCCCCTTTACAGGTTTCTCATCACTTAACTTTCATCAGCAACACCAGAACACTAGATTCTTTCTTTTTTCTTTTTTATAACATGTTCAGGAAAAAGTTAACATAGCTGTCTAGATATTTAGAAGGGCCTGCTGACAGGGATGGGTATTGACTGTCATCTAGAAATTTTGCTTGAGAACTGTTCCCTCCATCACTAACTGATAAGGTTGTTCCACTGTTCAAGCTTGACGAAACTGTACAAACAATGTGATTCATAATGCTTTTCTCCTGGCAGTCTAGAATTTGGTAGTAGTAGATAGAAATTGCCATGTAACCAGCTCCCAGAATGCCTTAGACTCTGAGTCTCAAATGGACTTTTTTTTTTTTTTTTTGGCAGAAACACTGCACATGTGCTATTACATTTCATTTCTGGGTAACAGGATATTCAGTGTGGCCTCTTCAGGGAAAGCAAGGGAAACATACACATAAATTCATTCAAACAGTGCACGTATTTCTCCATCACTAATCCAGCAGTGTATCCTTACTGTGCTGCTGTAATAAATATCATACATGAGGACAACTATATCCTGAGCCCCATGTGTTCTTCTAGCAAAGCACTGAACTTCAGGTAGTAGTGGGACCACTGACACAAACGGTGCCAGAGTACTGGCACACAAGACCAATGTCCTGAGTATGATTCCTCTGTCTGTAATGGCCCACAAGACATTTCTTGTTAGTTGTCTTTCCATTATCTCAAAATAATGTGGCAAAAGAAAATAATGCCTTTTAATTCAATAAAGCACTTCATAATTCTACAAATTGAATTAATATTCTTTAGGATAGTCACTTATATTCAACATCTTAGGTTGATCCTAGAGAGCAAGACAGACATATAATAAAGAAGAGAGGTTTTGAAATCAAGCATATTTCTCTCTCAGCTTTAAATTCAAATCCCAATGTATTAGTTTAATGAACTTGGACAAGTAGGACACAACTTGGAATGGAATGGAAATTTAATATACTGTAATTATTTATTAATGATATTAATCATATTGTTTCTTATCCTTCTACCATCCTGTTATTATTCATCAAATATTATATAAAATATACAACCTACACTGGTAAATTCATTAACCTCTTCCATTTTCCCACTTGTGCCACCCCAATCTGGCCTCATTTTCTCATCTCTAAACTACTGCAATAATCTATTTTGATCTCCAGTTCCTCTCTTTCTAACATATTTCTCTAGATCAGTCTTCCGAAGTGGAAGTTTTTAAATTCTGTTACAGGTAGCCTTAAAATTCCCCGTCACTATCACAGAGATCAGTGGGGTATATAGGGTGTGGAGAATGGCAAATCACAAATCATATGATCACCAGAAAAACTCTGCTTTTTATCCATTTTATATTATGCTTCTGTTTGACATCATGTTTGGAGAAAGGCCTTGGTAGCTACAATAAGTCTGTAAAGGCACTAGTTTTAGCTGACTCAGGATGAAGTCAGATCTCTTGTCAACTCCAGGTTCTTCCCTTTCTGGCCCCAACTTTTATTCCAATGTTCTGTATCACTTCCCTTCCACATGAGTCCTTTGCTTGACTCAAAATAATTGGTTCTCTGAGCTCTGCTATAGGTTGAATTGTGTACCCCAAATTAATATGTTGAAGCCTAACACACAATGGCTTAGAATGTGACATAATTTGGAAATAAGATTATTGCAGCTGCAATAGTTAAAATGAGGCCATAGTGATGGGACTCAAATCCAATATGACTGGTGCCCTTATAAAAAGGTGACAGTTGGACATTGGCATGCACACAGGGAGCACACCATTGAAGATCAAGGCAGAGATCAGGATGATGCAGCAGAAGTCAAGGAACACCAACGACTGACAGCAAACTACCAGAAGCTATGACTGAGGCATGAAACAGAGCCTTCCCTCATGGCCCTTAGAAGAAGCCAATCCTGCTGACATTTTGATCTAGGACTTTCAGCCTCCAGAACTGCGAGACCATAAATTTCTGTTGTTTAAGCCACCCATATTGTGGCATTTTGTTATGGCAGTTCTGGCAAACTAATAGAATCCTTAAACACACTAAGCACATTGCCATTTCAATGCCTGTTTTCTCTCTGCGATACCGTCTTTAGGGACTCCCTCACCGTTAAGAACTAGTCCAAGTTTCACAACCATCACAAACTGTTTTTCTGCTGCCTGAGCTCTTGGCAAACTTCAATTTTTTGAAACACTTAATAGTACTTAATAAGTCACCTGGGAGATATTACATGTGACTTTATTAATTAATTAAAAATAAAAGCCAGACTCTTAATATAGTCTTATATATTTAAACACAAAGCTGAATTAGAGTGTCATCATGGCTACTATCATCAACATAAAATAACTGTAGTAAATTAGAATGTATATATTGGCTTTGGGAATACACAAAGATTAGTTTTACAAAATGATAAAATAATAGCTACTATTAACAAGGGTAGAGAAGACATTTTCCAATGTAACAAATAATGTATTTCAACTCCTGATATGAATTAAGAAAGAAAGCGATTGGACCTTGCTGCTTCTTGTTTGTGTATGAATTTAAAAGCCTGCTATTTGGTGATATTCATCTTGCTTTGTTTATAGATAATTTTTGTTTTACTAGCCCGAAAGTACCTAATTATCATTGACAGACTTCACAAAGTCCATGCATACTAATGGCATGTACGGATTTTCAAGAGCACTTTGAGAATCTTTTCTTTAATCATCAAAATTTGTTTAGTGTCCTTTTTAAGATCCCTAGTGGCCTCTTAATTTCAAAACTTAATATTCTGTTTTCACTGCTGTTCCTACTTGAATCTGAAAACCTATTGACATGATTGACCACTCTCTGGATCTCAAATTGCTTTCTCACTTGGATTTTATTCTCTTTTTTCTTTCCTTTTTTTTTTTTTTTTTCTCACTTATCTCACTCGTCTTTTCTTGGTTCCTTCTCCATTGTCTACCATCTCACCTACTATCAAGAAATCAGTTGCCAAATAAATGCTAGTGACAACCAGGTCTGAACCTCTGGCTCCAAATTCATTCCAGATATACTTTTCCCATGGTTTCTTGGTCAGTATGCAAGCTGGTACATTATAATTACCGTTCTGTCAGTAGCAAAGTAAAGTCTTGTATGTAAATGTCATTTGTGTGTCTTTCCACCTAAATATTTTACTTTGAATTTGCTAAATTGGCTGACTTTTGGTATTGTTAATAAATAATAATCAATAATTATTATCTCTAGCTTAAAACACCATCATCAGAGAAAACATCTAAACAAAAGCTTATTTGAGAATAAAAATGGTAGTTTGGTTTAGTGGAAATAACCAAATGTTTTTTTTTAAATATTCTTTCCCTTCACAGTATGACTTTTATGCTGTAGTCACTTGCAAATAATATTGCTGAAAATTAATTTAAAATTGGTGCACTGAAAAGTATAGTTTGATTTGTTTTTTTGATTTTGATAAGGATGTTTACAGACTTCAGACACCCTCAATGGCTCCCATTCCTCTTGTATAAATGTAAACTTTTTAGACTAGCACTAACAGTTTTACATAATCTGACTCAAATCTATTTTTTTTTTTTTTGGCTCTTTCTTATCTACTGGGACATAATATTCACATTCCAATTGAGATAGCTTATTCAACAACCATACAAATACGTGAGCTTCCTACCTCAGTATCTATGACTGTTTTCAAAGATATTCTATGTGGAATAACATACCATTTTTTTCTGTTCCTTCTATCAAAAATTGTGCCAAATTTTAGTACAAAGCCCACTTTGTCATTGATCTTTCCCCATTAACCTATGTCATATTTGCCCTCTCTTTAGAGTGATAATGATGCCATATCTATAGTTATTGAAAATATTTTTTCTACTTAACTGTGGGTTTTTTGAGGTCAAATATCAATGTCTACCTCATCTTACCAAATACAGGGCATAACACTTAGTCATCAACCAAATATTGGCAGAACTGAACTGCATTAAACACAAAGGTCTGTCTTCTGAGCATACAGTTGCAAACTTTAAAATAGAAGAAAGTATTTAGCGATTATAAGTAAAAACTAATCTAGTAAATCATTACTGAATGACAGAAATAGTACAAGTAATAACACTTCTGAACAAGAAAGGGTATTATGCTAAAGAGAAAACTGAAAAAAAATAAGCTGGAACTATAGTGTGCAGATATGATCATTTCCTCAGAGCCAAATTGTACTTTACGTTAGGCAGAGGCACTGGAAATGGAAATTGAAGTGACCTGGGAAACAAGGCTCTCAGACCTTCCTTTACAAAGAAATGTGCAAAGTAGTTCAGCACTTCTTAGAATAGAGGAGACTGGGAGCACAGAACATTCAGAAAAGAAAGGAAAGAATAGATCCCTAAAGCTCTATAAGCTACCATCAAATGCAAGATAAAAGAAGTATAAGGTGATACTAGTGTCAAGCAGCACAAAACAAGAACAAAAAGAATTGCATTTGTTGGAGGCTGGGCTGCAGAGGAGGTCACAGAAAACTGGCTGTGCTTTCTGGGAGGAATAAAGAGAGTGAGGATGGAGCAAATCTCTAAGAAAAACAATTGCTGTGTTTTAATTTTGGCCACCTGATGTTACTGTCTAACAGCAATTAGAGAGTCAAAGCTCTGAGATGAAAGACTACTGCGTGCATCTCTAAGTTCTGTCCCTTAGACACTAGATACCATAGTGTAACTTTTATGCATCAGCATCCTTCTCCGTAGAATGGGAACAATTGCAGTAGTTCAGTGCACTATTTCAACAAAGTAAGAGAGTATTCAACCATTCCACATAAAGCCTGTATTGTCAAGTGCTTAACAAATATTGTTTATTATTTTCAGTCTTTGAAGTATGTCTAAGATGCCACATTCAGGGTTGAATAAGGAAAATAAATGTAAAAATATAGTAACAAAATAACACATGTAATGTCTCAGAATCCCAAATCCGTGACCAACTTACAAATACTTAGAGTGCCATTATGTATTAAATACCTCCCATTATTTTATAATTATATATGAAGGAAGATGTAAGCTATTAAGCACTTTCTTCATAACTCGGTATCTTTCATAATTGGATCTAATATTTAACTCAGAAGTGTGTGTGTGTGGAATTGTGAAGGGCACAGTAATGGTAGAAAGTCATGGAAGATGTACTACTTCACAATTTTCTAAAGCTACCTTTAGGATGCAGTAAAGGTGGATTTGATCATTGACCTTACAATTCACACCTGTTTGGAGATTTTCCCATCGCTTTGTGACATCAAAATACGTGTAATTACAAACTGAAAATCAAAAAATATGCTCAAACAATATAGCACCTTTAATAAGTTAGAGGTGATGAGGAAAAAGGTTATGCTGTATTCTGGGTTAGCCTCTCTTCAACTACACACCATTCGGTTAGCTATTTCTAATAACTACAGTGATAAAAGTAGACAATGATATAGAGTAAATAAAAAATATTGAGGCAAAATTCATCACTGAGATAGTTTCTATGAGTGATCAGCAGTTACTACTGGTAATGATTATTCTTAAGACATTGGGTAATTTGTGATCTTTTTGTAGATTATGAAGTTAAAAAAAAACTGTACACAGAAAAATGAAAATGATGTGAGACTTTCCAGAAATTATAAGTTTCCTTGTACCAAATGTTGCTTACATCCCACCACTTCATTCTGATTTATCATTGTTTAATATATCATTGATTATTCTAAGGCAAATAGATTCTCAGACAGAATGTAATTTAAAAAAAACTTCAACTATATATTACTTGAGATTCACTCTCTTGAAAATAATTATTCACTTTAATTTAACAAACACCTGCCATATGATGAGGACTACGTTAAACATGGGAATGAGGAGATCCAAATATACTGAAATGGGAACAAATTATTTTAATAGATACAGAATGCTTCTTAAGAAGATAGCTACCTGTGTTGAGAAAAATTTCAGTACACATACTTGGAGTGGAAATTATTGACTTAGCATGTCCACCATAAGGATAGCTCTGCTATGCTAAGAATATCTGGACCAATTTGTTGGTTGACTCCAGAAAAAAGTAGAGAACAGAAGATAAATGAGTAAGAGATCAGGTAAGTGGAAGCCCATTCTGTACAGAATATTTTAGTAGGTCATGCTTCTGCTCCTTCTAACCTTAGAATGAGGTAAATATAATCTGCACATACAAGTGATATATTGAGGCCCAGAGGCCAGACAATGACAGCCAACATCTAAGATGACACCAAGGAGCCCTTCCTTCTGGTGTTTATGCCCTTATGCAATCCCCTCCCACTTTGGCCTGTATGGCCAATAGGATACAACAGAAGTGATGATATGTCACTTCCAAGATTGTTATTTTGTAGCTTCTGCCTTGGCATTGTCTCTCTTTCATGCCCTCTCGTTACTTGTTCTAGAGGAAGTCAACTTCCATGGCATGAGAACACTCAGGCAGTCCATGTAGATATAGAGGCAAAGAATTTGAACTTCCAGCACACAGCCAACGAGGACATTCACTGAGGCTGTTTACCATGGTTGGTAAAGTTGATAACCTAGAACATGTATGGTGTGGGCAGATTTTGGGGATGGAGATCACTAACGGTGCTGAAGTATATGTCCAGGTGATACAGAGGAGAACTGAAACAGCACTCACAGATACTGAAGAGACTAAGCAAATGTCAGAAAGAAAATAAAGAAAAAAAGCTGATGGGGAATTGCAGAAAGTACACCAAATATGGACTAGATTCCTACAGCTAAAAAACTAGAGTTGTGTCCAATGTTTAACTCTGCAGGTGACGGTGTTCCCACCTCACATCTAGTTTCAGAAAGGACAAAGCAGATACATATATGAATATAATACAAGAATAAAATATAAAAGCATATACCTGTACGTTATATATAAGTACATAAATGTGTACGTGCACAAATAACATAAATAACTTAAAAGGTCTGTCTACCAGAATGTAAACTAATATATAATGTATAATATGAAATAACTAATGACTATATAGTATGAAATATAACTATAAGTCCACCATAATAAAAGTAAATAATATGTAAAGTAGAAAAACAAGTAATATGTTCACCAATAGATAGTAACAAAGTTAATTAGTATGTGCCTGTTTTAAATAATTTTTGAATGAAGAATGCTTGAATTTCATAAATGAATTTAATTAATGCTATACTAACATTTATTTGAAAAATACATGATCTGGAAAGATAGTACTTGCATAATCACTGTGCTTAGTGCTTGTTATGTGATTTTTTGTTGTTGGTAAAATGTGGTGAGTTTAACTACTTTTTTCATATATCACAGTGACATATAAATGAGGGGTGTTGCTATATTACATACTTTTTTTCATTCAAGCAATGTTTTATCAAAACTAGTATGTAAAATGGGAATATTTTGTTGAGGGAGCACAGGTTGGGCAGTCTCCACAGCCATCTACTGAGCAAAATACTCCAGGCCATGGGTGCCATCCCTGCTGCACACTCACAGCAACACTACCCTGCCCAGAGGTCTCCCAGCCTTGAGCTACTGCATCAGTACACCACCCACAGACATATACCACAACCAACTCTGACTCTGCCAAGCAAAGAGGACCAGTGGGTCTCCAGAGAGCTGCAGGTCTCCTGGTGACCTTATCTTTGGCTCTGGCTGCCCCCAAGGGAGAAGGGAGCACAGCCTGACAGGTCCCTCATTGGGGTTAAGGAAATATGGGTGTGGCACCAGTGATTTGGGAGTCCCTAAGGCCCATGAATGAACTTAATAAGGGGTTCATCTATCCCCGGCTGACCACCAACTTCCCAATGACTGAACACTGCTGCAAATGTGTTAAAATACAAAACAGGCAGGCAGCTATGTAAATGCCTAACTGCTGGCCATTGTTCTTAAGTGCTGCCTACTGAGTTGCAGCCTGATTTACACCACCAAAACCATTTTTTTTCCAGCACGCTTCATCTGTGAAATCCAATGCAGGAATCTAACCACAAATATATATCCCGTACAGATACTTTGCCCTCTGAAAGCATCCAGAAATGAAGCTAGTCGTGTATATTCAACTTACACCACAGTCAAACTCTTAAGATAAATAAAAATTATATTAAAAAAAAGCCCCATCTAAACAAAAGCAACTGCGAAAAGATAAGGGAACAGCATCCTTCTCAGATGAGGAAGAATTAGTACATTAACTACGGCAATTCAAAAAGTCAGCATCTTCTTACCTTCAGACAATCACCATGGCTCCCTATTATATTAGATCCACAGCAGCTCAACCACTGAAATGGCTGAAATGACAGACATATAATTCAGAATCTGGGAGGCAAGGAAGCTCAATAAGATTCAGGAGAAAGTTGAAACCCAATCAAACGAATCCAGGAAAACGGTCCAACAGCTGAAAGATGACATAGCAATTTTTTAAAAGAACCAAATTGAACTCCTGGAATTGAAAATTTCACTACAGGAATTCCATAATTTGGTTTGAAGAATTAATAATGGAATAGACCAACCTGAGGAAAGAATCTCAGATCTTGAAGATAAGTCCTTTGAATCAGCTTAGTCAGGCAAAAATAAAGAAGAAAGAATGTTTAGAAATAAACAAAACCTTTGGAAATTACAGGATTATGTATAGAAATCAAACCTAAGACAAACTGGCATTCTTGAGAGAGTAGTAGAGAGATTAAGCAACTTGGAAACAGTATTTGAGGATACAGTCCATACAAGTTTTCCCAATCTCATTAGAGATGCCAATATGCAAATTCAAAAAATACACAGAACCCCCATGAGACACTATATAAGATGGCCAAACCCAAGATACATAGTCATCGGATTCGCCAAGGTCAATGTGATAGAAAAAAATATTAAAGACAGCTAAAAAGAAGTGTCAGATCACTTACAAAGAAAACTCCTTCAGGCTAACAGTGGACCTCTCAGCAGGAACATTACAAGCCAGGAAAGATGGGGGTCTATATTTAGCATCCTTAAAGAAGCAAAATTTCAACCAAGAATTTCATGTTCAACCAGACTAAGTTCCACAAGTGAAGAAGAAATAAAATTCTTTTCAGACAACCAAACAACACATAAATTTGTTACCACTAGACTAGTATTACAAGAGGTCCTTAAGGGAATACTAATAATAGAAATGAAAGAACAGTGCCTGCTATCATGAAAACACACTTAAGTACATTTCAGGCAGACACTATAAAGCAACTACACAATTAAGTCTACAAAAACAACCAGCTAACACCACAATGACAGGATCAAAACTCACAGATCAACATTAATCTTGATGGAAATGATCTAAAAACCTGACTTGAAAAGCACAGAATTGTAAGTTGAATTAAAAAAAAAAAAATAAGGCCCAACCAGCTATTGCCTTCAAGAGACCCACGTCATATGTAATGACACCCACAGGCTGAAAGAAAAGAAATGGAGAAAGACCTATCATGCAACTGCAAAACCAAAAAGAGCACAGGTCGATATTCTTATACTAGATAAAGCACACTTTAAACCAAAAACAGTCAAAAAGGACAGAGCAAGACATTACATAACAATAAAATATTCAATTCAACAAGAACACCTAATTATCCTAAATACATATGCAATGCAACATTGGCACTCAGATTCATAAAACAAGTACTTCTTGGACTGCAGTAAGATTTAGACAGCTGCACAAGAATAGTGGGGGACTTCAACGTTCCACTAACAGTGCTAGATAGATCATCAAGGCAGAAAACTAACAGAAATTTTGGACTTAAACTCGACACTTGACGAATTGTTCCTAATAGATATTTACAGAATACTCAACCTAACAACCGCAAAGTACACAGTCTTTTAATCTGCACTCAGAACATACTCTAAGATCAGTCACAGGCTTAATGATAAAGCAAGTCTAAATAAATTCCAAAAAATAGAAATTATACCAAACAAACTTTTCAGACCAAAGTATGATAAAAATTAAAGATTTAAACGTTAAACCTAAAACCATAAAAACCCTAGAAGAAAACCTAGGCATTACCATTCAGGACATAGGCGTGGGCAAGGACTTCATGTCCAAAACACCAAAAGCAATGGCAACAAAAGACAAAATTGACAAATGGGATCTAATTAAACTAAAGAGCTTCTGCACAGCAAAAGAAACTACCATCAGAGTGAACAGGCAACCTACAACATGGGAGAAAATTTTCGCAACCTACTCATCTGACAAAGGGCTAATATCCAGAATCTACAATGAACTCAAACAAATTTACAAGAAAAAAACAAACAACCCCATCAAAAAGTGGGTGAAGGACATGAACAGACACTTCTCAAAAGAAGACATTTATGCAGCCAAAAAACACATGAAGAAATGCTCATCATCACTGGCCATCAGAGAAATGCAAATCAAAACCACTATGAGATATCATCTCACACCAGTTAGAATGGCAATCATTAAAAAGTCAGGAAACAACAGGTGCTGGAGAGGATGTGGAGAAATAGGAACACTTTTACACTGTTGGTGGGACTGTAAACTAGTTCAACCATTGTGGAAGTCAGTGTGGCGATTCCTCAGGGATCTAGAACTAGAAATACCATTTGACCCAGACATCCCATTACTGGGTATATACCCAAATGAGTATAAATCATGCTGCTATAAAGACACATGCACACGTATGTTTATTGCGGCACTATTCACAATAGCAAAGACTTGGAACCAACCCAAATGTCCAACAATGATAGACTGGATTAAGAAAATGTGGCACATATACACCATGGAATACTATGCAGCCATAAAAAATGATGAGTTCATATCCTTTGTAGGGACATGGATGAAATTGGAAACCATCATTCTCAGTAAACTATCGCAAGAACAAAAAACCAAACACCGCATATTCTCACTCATAGGTGGGAATTGAACAATGAGATCACATGGACACAGGAAGGGGAATATCACACTCTGGGGACTGTGGTGGCGTCGGGGGAGGGGGGAGGGATAGCACTGGGAGATATACCTAATGCTAGATGACACATTAGTGGGTGCAGCGCACCAGCATGGCACATGTATACATATGTAACTAACCTGCACAATGTGCACATGTACCCTAAAACTTAGAGTATAATAAAAAAAAAAAAAAAAAAAAGAAATCATAACCAAGAATATCTCAAACTGCACAACTACATGAAAATTAAACCACTTGCACCTGAATGGCTTTTTGGTAAACAACAAAATTAAGGGAGAAATTGTAAAACTCTTTGAAATTAATAAAAACAGAAACACAACATATCAAAATCTATGTGATGCAGCTAAAGCAGGATTAAGAGGAAATGTATAGTGCTAAACACCTACATCAAGAACTTAGAAATATACCAAATTAATAATCTAACATCACACCTAGAGGAATTAGAAAATCAAGACCAAACTAATCCCAAAGCTAGCAGAAGAAAAGAAACAACAAAAATCAGAGAAGCACTGAAGAAAATTGATATGCAAAAATTCATAGAAAAGACCAACAAATTCAAAAGTGTATTTCAAAAAATAAACAAGATGTATAGACCTCTAGCTAGATAAACAAAGAGAAAAGAGATAAGATCTAAGTAACCACAATTAGAAAAGACAAAGATGACATTACAACCTATTCCACAGAAATACAAAAGATCCTCAAAGGCTACTATGAACACCCCTATCCATACAAAGTAGGAAATCCAGAGGACATGAATACATTCCTAGAAACACACAACCTCCCAAGATTGAACCATGAAAAAATTAAAAACCTAACAGACCAATAACGAGTTCCAAAATTAAATCAGTAATAAATACTCTAGCAACAACAAAACAAAACAAACAAACAAACAAACAAAAAACAAAAAGTCCAGGACCAGATGGATTCACAGCCAAATTCTAACAGATGTACATAGAGCTGGTACCAATCCTACTGAAACCATTCAAAAAAATCAAGGGAGGATGCACTATTCTCTAATTCTATGAAGCCAACATCATCCTGAAACCAAAATCTCACAGAGACACAATATCAGGACAATATTCCTGATAAGCATAGACAAAACAATCCTTGACAAAATACTAGCAAACTGAATCCAGCAGCACATCAAAAAGTTAGTTCACAATGACCAAATAGGCTTTCTTCCTGGGATGCAAGGTTGGTTCAACACATGCAAATCAGTAAATGTGATTTACCACATAAGCCAAATTAAAAACAGAAACCATATGACCTCAATAGATTCAGAAAAAGCTTTTGATAAAATCCAACATCGCTTCATGAAGTAACCCTCAGCAAACTAAGCATTGAAGGAACATAGCTCAAAATAATAAGAGCCATCTATGACAAACCTATAGCTAATATCACACCAAATGGGCAAAACTGCAACCACCCCCCTTGAGAACAAGGCAAAGATGCCCACTCTCACCGCTGCTATTCAACATAGTATTGGAAGTCCTAGCCAGAGAAATCAAGCAAGAGAAAAAAATAAAGAGGCATCCAAATAGAAAAAGAAGAAGTCAAACTATCTTTCTTCGCTAATGATATGATTCTATACCTGGAAAACCAGGAAGATTCCCCCAAAAGGCACTTAGAACTGATGAATTACTTCAGTGCAGCTTCAGGATACAAGATAAATGCATAAAATTCAGTGGAACATAACAGTCAAGCCGAGAGACAAATTAAGAATGCAAACCAATTTATAATAGCAATGAAAAAAAAATGCCCAGGAATACTGCTAATCAAGGAGATAAAAAAAACTCTACAAGTAGAATTACAAAACACTGCTGAATAAAATCAGAGATGATACAAATAAATGGAAAAACATTCCATTCTCATGGATAGAAAAATCAATATTAAAATGCCCATACTTCCCAAAGCAATTTAAAGATTCAATGGTATTCCTACCAAACTATCAACATCATTTTTCACAGAATTTGAAAAAAAAAGCTATTATAAAATTCATATGGAACCAAAATAAAAACCTGAATGGCAAAAGGTATTCTTAAGCAAACAAACAAACAAACGAAATGAGCTGGAGATATGTTATCCTACTTCAAACTGGACTACAAGGGTACAGGAACCAAACCATCACAAGGCTAGGACAAAAACCAGACACACTGGCCAGTGGAACAGAATAGAAATTACATGAATAAAGCCCTGTACCTACAACCATCTGATCTTCAGGAAAGTGAACAAAAATAAGGAATGGGGCAAAGATTCCCTATTCAATAAATACTGTGAGGATAACTGGCTAGCCATATGCAGAAGAATGAAAGTGAATCCCTATCTATCACCATACATAAAATTAACTTATGACAGATTAATGACTTAAATGAAAGAACTATAAATACAAAATTCTAGAAGAAAATCCAGAACATACTTTCTTGATATCAGCCTTGGCAAATAATTAATGGCCAAGTCCTCAAAACTAGTTGCAACAAAAACAAAAATTAACAAGTGGGGCCTAACTAAATTAAAGAGCTTCTTCTCAGCAAGAGAGTTTCTCTTGATGTGAAGAAGCTCTGACAATCTGTGCTCAGACAATCTGTGAAGACAAACCATCTGCAGAATGGGAGAAAATATTCAGAAACTATGTCATATCCAGAATCTATAAACCCCAATATCCAGAATCTATAAGAAATGTAAATTAATCAATAAGCAAAAAACAAATAACCCCATGAAAAAGTGGAGAAAGGACATGGACAGCCACTTCTCAAAAGAAGACATACAAGCAGAAAACAATCATTAATAAAAAAAAATTGATAGACCGCTAGCAAGACTAATAAAGAAAAAAAGAGAGAAGAATCAAATAGACGCAACAAAAAATGATAAAGGGGATATCACCACCGATCCCACAGAAATACAAACTACCATCAGAGAATAGTATAAACACCTCTACGCAAATAAACTAGAAAATCTAGAAGAAATGGATAAATTTCTCGACACATACACTCTCCCAAGACTAAACCAGGAAGGAGTTGAATCTCTGAATAGACCAAGAACAGGAGCTGAAATTGTGGCAATAATCAATAGCTTACCAACGAAAAAAGTCCAGGACCAGATGGATTGACAGCCGAATTCTCCCAGAGGTACAAGGAGGAACTGGTACCATTCCTTCTGAAACTATTCCAATCAATAGAAAAAAAAGGGAATCCTCCCTAACTCATTTTATGAGGCCAGCATCATCCTGATACCAAAGCCGGGCAGAGACACAACCAAAAAAGAGAATTTTAGACCAATATCCTTGATGAACATTGATGCAAAAATCCTCAATAAAATACTGGCAAACCGAATCCAGCAGCACATCAAAAAGCTTATCCACCATGATCAAGTGGGCTTCATCCCTGGGATGCAAGGCTGGTTCATTATACGCAAATCAATAAATGTAATCCAGCATATAAACAGAACCAAAGACAAAAACCACATGATTATCTCAATAGATGCAGAAAAGGCCTTTGACAAAATTCAACAACCCTTCATGCTAAAAATTCTCAATAAATTAGGTATTGATGGGACGTATCTCAAAATAATAAGAGCTATCTATGACAAACCCACAGCCAATATCATACTGAATGGGCAAAAAACTGGAAGCATTCCCTTTGAAAACTGGCACAAGACAGGGATGCCCTCTCTCACCACTCCTATTCAACATAGTGTTGGAATTTTTGGCCAGGGCAATTAGGCAGGAGAAGGAAATAAAGGGCATTCAATTAGGAAAAGAGGAAGTCAAATTGTCCCTTTTTGCAGACGACATGATTGTATATCTAGAAAACCCCATTGTCTCAGCCCAAAATCTCCTTAAGCTGATAAGCAACTTCAGCAAAGTCTCAGGATACAAAATCAATGTACAAAAATCACAAGCACTCTTATACAACAACAAGAGACAAACAGAGAGCCAAATCATGAGTGAACTCCCATTCACAATTGCTTCAAAGAGAATAAAATACTTAGGAATTCAACTTACAAGGGATGTGAAGGACCTCTCCAAGGAGAACTACAAACCACTGCTCAACGAAATAAAAGAGGATACAAACAAATGGAAGAATATTCCATGCTCATGGGTAGGAACAATCAATATCGTGAAAATGGCCATACTGCCCAAGGTAATTTACAGATTCAATGCCATCCCCATCAAGCTAACAATGACTTTCTTCACAGAATTGGAAAAAACTACTTTAAAGTTCATATGGAACCAAAAAAGAGCCCGCATTGCCAAGTCAATCCTAAGCCAAAAGAACAAAGCTGGAGGCATCACACTACCTGACTTCAAACTATGCTACAAGGCTACAGTAACCAAAACAGCATGGTACTGGTACCAAAACAGCATGGTACTGGTACCAAAACAGAGATATAGATCAATGGAACAGAACAGAGCCCTCAGAAATAAGGCCGCATATCTACAACTATCTGATCTTTGACAAACCTGACCAAAACAAGCAATGGGGAAAGGATTCCCTATTTAATAAATGGTGCTGGGAAAACTGGCTAGCCATATGTAGAAAGCTGAAACTGGATCCCTTCCTTACACCTTATACAAAAATCAATTCAAGATGGATTAAAGACTTGAATGTTAGACCTAAAACCATAAAAACCCTAGAAGAAAACCTAGGCATTACCATTCAGGACATAGGCATGGGCAAGGACTTCATGTCTAAAACACCAAAAGCAATGGCAACAAAAGCCAAAATTGACAAATGGGATCTAATTAAACTAAAGAGCTTCTGCACAGCAAAAGAAACTACCATCAGAGTGAACAGGCAACCCACAAAATGGGAGAAAATTTTCGCAACCTACTCATCTGACAAAGGGCTAATATCCAGAATCTACAATGAACTCAAACAAATTTACGAGAAAAAAACAAACAACTCCATCAAAAAGTGGGCAAAGGACATGAACAGACACTTCTCAAAAGAAGACATTTATGCATCCAAAAAACACATGAAAAAATGCTCACCATCACTAGCCATCAGAGAAATGCAAATCAAAACCACAATGAGATACCATTTCACACCAGTTAGAATGGCAATCATTAAAAAGTCAGGAAACAACAGGTGCTGGAGAGGATGTGGAGAAATAGGAACACTTTTACACTGTTGGTGGGACTGTAAACTAGTTCAACCATTGTGGAAGTCAGTGTGGCGATTCCTCAGGGATCTGGAACTAGAAATACCATTTGACCCAGCCATCCCATTACTGGGTATATACCCAAAGGACTATAAATCATGCTGCTATAAAGACACATGCACACGTATGTTTATTGTGGCATTATTCACAATAGCAAAGACTTGGAACCAACCCAAATGTCCAACAATGATAGACTGGATTAAGAAAATGTGGCACATATACACCATGGAATACTATGCAGCCATAAAAAATGATGAGTTCATGTCCTTTGTAGGGACATGGATGAAATTGAAATCATCATTCTCAGTAAACTATCACAAGGACAAAAAACCAAACACCGCATATTGTCACTCATAGGTGGGAATTGAACAATGAGAAAACATGGACACAGGAAGGGGAACATCACACTCTGGGGACTGTTGTGAGGTGGGGGGAGGGGAGAGGGATAGCATTGGGAGATATACCTAATGCTAGATGACGAGTTAGTGGGTGCAGCGCACCGGCATGGCACATGTATACATATGTAACTAATCTGCACATTGTGCACATGTATCCTAAAACTTAAAGTATAATAATAATAAATAAAATAAAATAAAATAAAAAAATAAATGCTCATTATCACTAATCAGAGAAATGCAAATCAAAACCACAATGAGATATCATCTTACACCAGTTAGAATGGCTTTTGTTAAACAGTCAGAAATATAACAGATGTTGTTAAGGCTCTGGAGAAAATGGAACACTTGTACACTGTTGGTGGGGATCTAACTTAGTTCAACCACCATGGAGAGCAGTCTGGAAATTTCTCAAAGAACTAAGAGTTGAACTGCCATTCAACCCAGCAATTCCATTACTGGGTATATACATAAAGAAAAAAAATTGTATCAAAAAGTCATATCCACTTGTATGTTCATTGCAGCACCATTCACAATAGCAAAGACATGGAGTTAACTCAGGTGTCCATCAACAGTGGGTTGCATAAAGAAAATGTGGTACATATACACCATGGGACACTATGCAGCCATAAAAAAATGAAATTATGTCCTTTGCAGCAACATGGATGCAACTGGAGGCCATTATCCTAAGCAAACTAACACAGAAGCAGAAAGCCAAATACCACATTTTCTCACTTGTAGGTGGGAACTAATCGTTGAGTACACATGAAAGTAAAGATGGAAAGAGACACTGGGGGATGCAAGAGGGGAGAGGGAGGAAGTAGGGCAAGCATTCAGAAACTACCTATTAGGTACAATGCTCACTATCTGGGAGATGGATACTTTTATACTCCAAGCCTCAGCATCATTTAATAAAACTTTGTAATAAACCTGTGATTGTACACTCTGATTCTAAAGTTGAAAAAATGAATTAATAAAATTAACATTTCCAATTACTAAAGAAAAAAATAAAGTAATTTTAAAAATAAATAGAGAATAAATGAATGTATTATATTGTCAACATTTTCACAAATTATCTTTTTAACAATTCTTAAGAAACTCTTTGCAATGTTTAACACAATTAGATCAGTGCAGTCATTATAAACTATTTCAAAAAATTCTTTAATACTCTTCTCTCCAAAAAGTAACATCTGTTCCCCATTTACTGCCCATAAAATATAGGCTGGACTTAGTAAAATAATAAATAAATATTTTTAAGGTAAGATGAAGAATTGGTGACACTCAGGCGGACTTAGGAGCTGATCAAATTTGAGCTGCTTTCATTCCTGCCTTTTCTATTTCAGTACCCAGGAACTTGCTGTATTCCCCCTGCTCTTAGGTAGGATGAATATAAAAGGCAACCCACATTGTCTAAAAATAGACCTCAGTCCACTTTGACAAAGCACTCTATCCAGCAACACTCTGCTGCCACACTCTCATTAAAACAATGGAGATGTCAGCATCATCTATTTCATTTCTACTGGAGAGCACAAGCCTTCTTCAATATTTTGACCTATCTCCACTGGAGAGGAAGAATTTGATTTGTAAAGACATGGGACTAGCTTCGTTAGATATTAATGAATCAGCTAAGGAGCCTCTATATGGCTGCTGAAACGATCTGTCAGCATTCCCATTATAAATCTCTCTCTCTAATGGATTATAATGTTAACAAAAAAATCATTTCAGAATGAAATTTGGCATGTGGTTTATACATTTCTGGGATAATACTGATTTTTTTTATTAGCCAAAATTAAAAATAAAATTAGTATTAAACTACAGCATTGTACTATAACTCAACCAACAAGAAAAGTAGGTAAGACTTGCCGGCCCACCTCTGGAAAAACTGAAAAAATATAAAGTCTCCTCCTTTATCAGGAAAAAAAATATGAAAATAAACACACCGATTTTTCAAAAAATTAATTTTTATATATATTCAGTATCCCCCCACGAAAATATCTACAGAGTTACCCTGTGACAATGAATATTAGAAGGTTTAGATTACATTTTAATAACTATTCAAAGACATTGTAAAAATTGAGATTTCTGTTTCCATAAAAATTCATTTAGGACCACATCAATTTCTTGATGAAGCCACATATAATTTCAGGCAGATTAAAATGAATGCTTGCATGTGTTTGTTTGTATTGTTGACCCTTTAACAACACAGTTTTAAACTGAATGGGTCCATCTTCTTCTGCCTCCGCCACCCCTGAAATACCAGGACCCACCTCCCCTCTTCTTCCTCCTCCTCAGCCTAAACAATGTGAAGACAAAGAGAAAGAAGACTTTTATGATGATCCACTTCCACTTAATAAATTGTAAACGTATTTTCTCTTACTTATAGTTTTCTTAATAACATTTTCTGTTCTCTACCTTACTTTATTGGAAGAATACAGAATATAATATATAGAACATACAAAATATGAGTTAATCAACTGTTTATGTTATCAGTAAGGCTTCTAGTCAATAGTAACCCATTATTAAGTTTTGGGGGAGTAAAAACTTATACATGGATTTTTGACTGTGCATGGGATTGGTACCATTAACCTCTGCATTGTACAAGAGTCTCCAGCATGTGTGTATGTGTATAAACACATATACTACACGTATATATACACACACAGACATGTATAACAGAAAAAATTCAAAGTATGATATGATATGCTTTACTTTACATAAAATATGATGGTAGAAAATCTGGAAAATGGACATAATGGCAAAATGAAAATTATTCAAAATCTCATCCAAATTAATTATATTTTGTTGAAACCAATATAAAAATACAAATATAGTGTATATGTATGCATGTTTATAAACAGTTAATTAAGATAAATTGATATGTTCTAAAACTTCAATATCAAATATTCTATTGGATTTATTTTAACATATTTGGAAATAAAAGTATGCAGATGTAATATTTTTAGACTATGAAAACTGTATCATTTCATTTTTTCCTTATGTCTTATTTTCTTAGTTTCCTCTCAGCCCAAAGCTAAAAATTAAGTGAAATCATCCATATATATATATATATATGTATATGCCTATACAGTGATCTATGCACACATATATACATACATACTATTCTATCCATCCATCCATCCATCCATGCATACATACATACATATATACATACATACATAAATTTATTCAATGAACAATTTAGTGATACTATCTAGGCAGAAAAACACTATCCTAAGTGGTAAGGATACATGGTTAATAAGACCAATAAAACCCCTGTCCTATATAAATTACAGTTTTTCAGGGAGAGAGACAAGTAATAAATAAACAAATATATAAAATAATTTCAGATGATGATATTTACACTTAAAGTGGCCGCTCCAGGAATCGGTTGAAATTATGACCTCAGGGAATAAGAATGCAGGTTGTGCCAAGAAGCTAAAGATCATAGGTAAGTTGTATTAACATGTCCCTAGAAAATAAATAGTCTTGAAAGCTAGAATTTTCTGAGGTGGAAATTTTTTCTAAAGCCCTTTAGCTTGGGCTATTTAGAGTTAAACTTATTTGGCTCTATTCAACTAGGTAGAGAAAAGTCAACACAAGAAGCCGACCGAGCACTGTACTTTGCTCCTTTTTTTGTTTGTTTGTTTTGTTTTTTCCAGCCTTGGTGGAATGGGAGAAGAAAAAAAAGAGGTTTGGGGAGAGTGGAGATTTGAGATGCTGAAGTTTTAGTCGTCCATCCACATCTTGGAGCAATACCTTGAGAAGTTCAGGAAGCCTTTACAAATATCCAATATATTTGGGGAAGCTCAATAGGGACATGAATGTGCTGCTGACAGAGACAGTTGATAAGCCAAGATCTTAGATCCAGACATGTAGGTGGCGACTTCAAGTCTGAAAATAAATGCCTGGGCACAGCCGATGGAATATTCTACCCCGTGCCAAAATGAGACCATTAACATTGTCACAGAAGCTAATAAAGGAGCAAACTAAACCAGTTACTTACAGGGGACACTATAAGGGATCTAGAGTATTTTATATGGAGATGAACCCTTTTCTATCCCTCTGACATGTTGTCCGTGCAGTGCAAAGTGGACTGCCTATATACTCAAAAGGCACTTTAAAGAGGAACACTGGGGGAGGAGAAAATGTGAAAAACAACATATAGTTCTTTTTTTTTATTATTATACTTTAAGTTTTAGGGTACATGTGCACGTTGTGCTGGTTAGTTACATATGTATACATGTGCCATGCTGGTACCCAAATGACTATAAATCATGCTGCTATAAAGACACATGCACACGTATGTTTATTGCGGCATTATTCACAATAGCAAAGACTTGAAACAACGTATAATTCTAAAAGCCTGAGTTACGTTTTAAAAATGCCTTTGCTTATTAAATAACACTGAGTTTTACTCCACTAGTCAAAATTTAATTTTTCCCAGCCAGAAGAAAGGTCTAAAAGGAAGAAGAGTTATAGAGATGCAAAAGCTACATTTGCTGGCTGGGCACAGCGGCTCATGTCTGTAATCCCAGCACTTTAGGATGCCAAGGTGTGTGGATCATCTGAGGTCAGGAGTTCAAGACCAGCCTGGCCAATATGGTAAAACCCCGTCTCTACTAAAAATAGAAAAATTAGCCAGGCATTGCGGCAGGCTCCTGTAATCCCAGCCACTTAAGAGGCTCAGGCAAGAGAATTGCTTGAACCCGGGAGGCGGAGGTTGCAGTGAGTCAAGATCACGCCACTGCACTCCAGCCTGGGCAACAAAGGGAGACTTCATCTCAAAATAAATAAATACATAAAAACATAAAAGCTATATTTGTTTTGCACATGTGAATATTGTGGTAGCAAGGTCTGAGCCCATTAGAAAAGTGAAAGTATATAGTTAAGGGCTTTGATCCACGTTTTGTTTCTTTGGAGATATCCAAAAGTCAAGAGAAATACGACTTTCTAAATCCAGAGATTTTCTACCTCATGCCCACCACCACCTTTCACTATTTTCAACTATGAAGAAGGGAATCTACATGGCTATGAGACAGCTATACAGTGTGACAAACAAGCCAAAGAAATCGGTGGAGTTGCTGGTGTTCTTGCTTCTGTACTTCTAATTCTTAGTAGCTTTCCGGGAAAGAAGGCAACACTCACAGATTGTGTATGTCTATTCTTAATCTATTTTACTTTTTTCATCTATGAGAAATAAATTGACCTATTAATAATCATTTATTCAACTGATAATTTTTAAAGTACATAAGTGTATCTGGCATGATGCTAAGTGTTGGAACAAAGACACAGTTCCTTTCTTCAAAAAGATTACAGTCTAGAAAATGAGTACAATGAAAGAAATAGAACTTCATCTCTTCAATATGATTAGGCAGCTCTCTGATTTTAAAAAATAATGGCATCACAGTATGCTATGTATCATTTCTCAAGAAGATACAAGGAAAGCAAATACTATGGAATACTGATTCAAGGAAGAGGTCAAAATACTGTTAATAATTATCAATTATATAAATAGGTGCTATTAACTGAACTGTTATTACACATCAAATATTATGTTGCAAAACATACATTGGACAAGTCAATCTCAATTTTGGCTGATAGTAGAATCACCTAGGGCCTTTTACCAACTGTAATGCCCAGGTTCACCTAGGCCAATTAAACTACCATCTCTGGGGGTAAGAACCATGTCTATGTATACTTTAAAGCTCCCCAAGTACTTCTAGTGTGCAGCCAAGTTTGAGCCCTACTATCTCAGACACATTTTAAATAAGCATTTTTTATTGGATATAGACATTTGAAAATTGGGTCTATATTTAGCTTTTCTATATACTGCTAGAGCTGAATAGTAGCAGAGAGTGTGATATGTGAGAACAGAAATGTGGTTTCAGAATAAATTAATGGCATTTCAGTGTGCTTCCTGCAGCTGGCTCAGAAAAGCAGTTCATTCATAATAGAAGGACATGAGAATATATGATTCACATTCAAATGAAGCAGAGCTCTCTCCATATTATGACCATGTAGAAACTGCAAGTAAGGAGCAGTATTCATATTACTCAAACACCAACATGAATGTAGATATTAATTTATTCCCATTAAGTTATATATCCCATGGCAGTCATGTTGCAACACAAGTTTTGTCACTTTTTCATCCAATATTTTTACTAAAACATAACATCAACAACTCAAGATAGCAAAGTTTGCTACTAGGGGCATAAACTGGGAGAATCTGGGCCAGATCTTCCCAAGAGGTGTTTCTTGTTTTGTGTGTACAAAAAGTTTTTAAAACTTGATGATTTTATGCATGAACAACATGAACAAATCCTAGTTTCCACCTTTTTTTAGACTAGTCTGTGTCCTTACATGACAAGAGTTGGCTTTAAATGAATAGCAGATGGTACATTTAGGCAAGGCACTGCCCTCCAGCGTGCCTCCGTCCTCTACCTGGTGTACACCACTTACTCGTACTCCTGCCTAGTCCCCATGACTGTTGGAATTCTAGACCTTTGGTATATTCATTATAGACCCAGGCCATGCAGCCAGAATGAATAGATTATAATTCCAGCTCATTATTGATTATCTATAAAACTGTGGACAATTCAAATGAATGGTCTGGCACAATACCTTGTCTTTTTTTTTCTTTTTTTTTTTTTCTGAGATGGAGTCTTGCTCTGTCGTCCAGGCTGGAGTGCGGTGGTGCAATCTTGGCTCCTTGCAACCTTTGCCTCCCGGGTTCAAGCAATTCTTCTGCCTCAGCCTCCCCAGTAGCTGGGATTACAGGCACCTGCCACAACACCCAGCTAATTTTTGTATTTTTAGTAGAGATGGGGTTTCACCATGTTGGCCAGGCTGGTCTTGAACTCTTGACATCATGATCCACCTGCCTCGGCCTCCCAAAGTGCTGGGATTACAGGCATGAGCCATGGCGTCTGGCCCTATCCATTATTTTTATAATTAAAAATTGTCAGGAAAAAAGCTACCTATATGTTTTAAACCTGCACACTAAATTTTAGAAATCTAGACACTAGAAATAATTTCAGAAATTCCGAATATTTATGTTTAAAGATATTTTCAAAGAATTATTTGTAATAGTGAGGAACAAAAAATAATATAAAGGTTTACCAATAAGAAATGGTGAAATACAATGGCAAAGACTTGGAACCAACCCAAATGTCCATCAATGATAGACTGGATTAAGAAAGTGTGGCACATACACACCACGGAATACTATGCAGCCATAAAAAAGGATGAGTTCATGTCCTTTGTAGGGACATGGATGAAGCTGGAAACCATCATTCTGAGCAAACCATTGCAGAAACAGAAAATCAAACACTGAATGTTCTCACTCATAGGTGGGAATTGAACAACGAGAACACATGGACACGGGGTGGGGAACATCACATACCGGGGCCTTTCGTGGGGCAGGAGGAGGGGGGAGGGATAGCATTAGGAGATATACCTAATGTAACTGACCAGTTAATGTGCAGCACACCAGCACAGCACATGTATACATATGTAACAAACCTGTAAGTTGTGCACATGTACCCTAGAACTTAAAGTAAAATAAAAAAAAAACTTAAAAATGAAAAAAATAATAATCTTTAAAAAAAAAGAAACAAAAAAAAAGAAATGGTGAAATAAATCCTGATACATCAGTGGCATGGAGTACAAGGTTTTAATTAGAAAACATGATGTAGTTTCCCTCAGAACATTTACTGTGGGTAGTAAGATAACTTGTTTAAAAGAACAGTCAGTCCACAAATTTGGAGTTCAATAAAAATTTTATAGTATCCCCAAATTCTCTTAAAAATTTCAAATTTGCTTTTGAACACAGGAAATGATTACTTTAAAAGCTTAGCCTTGTCACTCAGCCATCAATACTGCATTGTATGAGGTGAGTTGTGGATATAAAATAAGTATAATATTTGGGTGTATGAGTGTATACTTTCTAGACTTTTTTGTTAACTTTTTTTTTTTTTTTTTTTGAGACAAGAGTCTTGCTCTGTTACCAGGCTGGAGTACAGTGGTGCGATCTCGGCTCACTGTAACATTTGCCTCTGGAGTTCAAGCGATTCTCCTTTCTCAGCCTCCCGAGTAGCTGGGATTACAGGCACATGCCACCATGCCCTGCTAATTTTTGTATTTCTAGACTTTTTTGTTAACTTTTTTTTTTTTTTTTTTTTTTTTGAGACAAGAGTCTTGCTCTGTTACCAGGCTAGAGTACAGTGGTGCGATCTCGGCTCACTGCAACCTTTGCCTCTCGAGTTCAAGCGATTCTCCTTCCTCAGCCTCCCGAGTAGCTGGGATTACAGGCACATGCCACCACGCCCTGCTAATTTTTGTATTTTTAGTAGAGACTGGGTTTTACCATGTTGACCAGGCTGATCTCGAACTCCTGACCTGGTGATCCACCCACCTCGGCCTCCCAAAGTGCTGGGATTACAGGAGTGAGCCACCGTGCCCAATCTTTTTTGCTAACTTTTAAATCTTTTTTAAAAATTAAAGTTTAACTTACATACAGAAAGTTTACTATTTTTAGCATAAAATACTG
Organism: Homo sapiens; assembly: GCF_000001405.40. Classification (NCBI taxonomy): domain Eukaryota; kingdom Metazoa; phylum Chordata; class Mammalia; order Primates; family Hominidae; genus Homo; species Homo sapiens. Next base: position 10,151,645 of record NC_000009.12, read on the forward strand.
TGAGTTTTGGTAAATGCATGTAGCTGAACGACCACCACCACAATCAAGATATTAAATTGTCCCAAACCCTCAACCCACAAAATTGTCTCTGCAGCTATTTGTTGTTAAGACCTTTCTTCACCTCTAAGCCCAGGAAACCACTGATCTGTTTTCTGTCGCTGTGGTTTTACTTCTTCCAGAATCCTACAATAGCTAGGCTTCTTTCATTTAGCATAATGCATTTGAAATCTATGTTGTGTGTATCAATAATTTGTACTATCCTATGCTATGGATATACCACAGTTTATTCAGTCATGAACTGAAGGATATTTAGGCTGTTTTCAATTTGGGGCAAGTATGATTGAAGCTGCTATAAACACCTACGTATAGGTTTTAGGGAATATGTTTGTATTTTACATTCATAAATACCTAGGGTTGGGATTACTGGATATTGTAGTAAGATTCTGTTCAACTGTGCAATAAACTGCTAAACTGTTTCCAAAGGGACTATACTATTTTTTGCATTCCCACAAGCAAAGTATGAGACTTACTGTTGGCATCATTTAGCATAAGTGTTTTAAAAGTTTTAGTCGTTCTAGTAACTATGTGTAGCTCTCTCATGGTTTCAATCTGTATTTGCCTAGTGAAAAATAATTTTGAATATCTTTTTTATGTGGTTATATATTATCTGTATGTTTTTAGTTTCTATACAAAATATTTTGCTCATTTTTAGTGGATGATTTGTTTTTATTATTGTTTTGAGAGTTCTTCATATATTTTGATTACAAATCATTCATCAGATATGTGATTCACAAATATTTTCTCTTAGTTTTATCGTCATATTCTCTTAAAACGTCTTTGAAAAATTTTGCATGTATACATAGTGGAATATTATTGAGCCTTAAAGAAGAAGGAAATCAGGCCAGGTGTGGTGGCTCACGCTTGTAATCCCAGCACTTTGGGAGGCCGAGGTGGGCGGATCACCTGAGGTCAGGAGTTTGAGACCAGCCTGACCAACATGGAGAAACCTCACCTCTACTAAAAATACAAAATTAGCTGGGCGTGGTGGCACACGCCTGTAATCCCAGCTACTCAAGAGGCTGAGGCAGGAGAATAGCTTGAACCTGGAAGGCGGAGGTTGTGGTGAGCCAAGATCGCACCATTGCACTCCAGCCTGGGCAACAAGAGTGAACTCCCCCCCTACCCTCCCCCAAAAAGAAGGAAATTCTGACATTTGTGACAGCATGGATGAAGCTGGAGAACATTTTATTTACTAAGTGATATATGCCAGTCAGAGAAAGACAAATACTACATGAGCTCACATATCTGTGGAATATAAAACATTGAACTAATTGAAGTAGAGAATAGAATTGCAGTTATCAGGGGCTGATGGGTGAGGAATGGGGAGACGTTGGTCAAAGAGTAAAAGTTTCCATTAGACAGAAGAAATAAGTTCTGGACATCTATTTTACATCATGGAAACTATAGTTAATAATAATACATTGTATGTATGAAAGTTGTTGAGAGTAGATTTTAAATAATCTCATCTCCAAAAATGATAATAAGCATGTGAGGTGATAGATATGTTAATTTGATTTAATTATACTGTAATGTGTACATACATCACAATATCACATTGTACCCCATAAATATATACAATTTTTGTCATTAAAAATAAATTAAATATTTTTAAAAATGTATTTTAAATAGCAGAAATTTTTATTTTGATAAAGAAAAATTTATGATTTTGTGGGTCTTGCTTTTCATATTGTTTCTAAAAATTATTTGCTTAACCCAAAGATTAAATGATTTTATCTTTCCAGACATTTACACTTTGGGCATTTACTTTTAGGTCTATAATCTATATTTATACAATTTTTATATATTATATATATATATGTTGCTAATATGATGAATCACAATTTTTTAAACTTTAAGTTCAGGATACATGTGCAGGTTTGTTATATAGGTGAACTACTGTCACTGAGGTTTCTTGTACAGATTATTTTGTCACTCAACTATTAAGCCTAGTATTCATTAGTTATTTTTCCTAATTCTTTCTCTCCCACCCTTCACCCTCTGGGAGGTAACAGTGTCTTTTGTTCTCCTTTATGTGTTCTCATCATTTAGCTCCCACTTATAAATTAGAACATGTGGTATTTGGTTTTCTGTTCCTGCAAATGACATGATCTTGTTCTTTTTAGTGGCTGCGTAGAATTCCATGGTATATATTGTACCACATTTTTTTTAGCCAGTCTACCATTGATGGGCATGTAAGTTGATTCTATGTCTTTGATATTGTGAATAGTGTTGCAATGAACAGACACATGCATGTATTTTTATGATAGAATGATTTATAATGTTGAGGGTATACCCAGTAAAGGAGTTGCTGGGTGGAATGGTAGTTCTGTTTTGAGAAATTACCACACTGCTTTCTACAATGGTTGAATTAATTTACACTCCCTACAACAGTGTATAAGCACTTTTTTACTGCAACTTCACTAGCATCTGTAATTTTTTGACTTTTTAACTATAGCCATTCTGACTGGTGTGAGATGGTATCTCATTGTGGTTTTAATTTGCATTTCACTAATAATCAGTGATGCTGAGCTTTTTTTATATGGTTGTTGGCTGCATGTATGTCTTCTTTTGAAAAATGCCTGTTATGTTCTTTGCCCACTTTTTAATGGGGTTGTTTTCTACTTGTAAATTTGTTTAAGTTCTTTATAAATGCTGTATATTAGACCTTTGTCAAATGTACAATTTGAACAAAAATTCTGCCATTCTGTAGGTTATCTGTTTATGAATAGTTTCTTTTGTTGTGCAGAAGTTATTTAGTTTAATTAGCTCTCATTTGTCAATTTTTGCATTGGTTGCAGTTGCTTTTGATGCTTACTTCATGAAATCTGTACCCATTCCTAAACCCAGAATGTTATTGCCTAGGTTGTCTTCCAGAGTTTTTATAATTTTGGGTTTTACATTTAAATTTTTAATCCATCTTGAATTGACTTTTCTATATGGGGTCCAGTTTCAGTCTTCTGCATATAGCTAGCTAGCTATCCCAGTACCATTTATTGAATAGGGATCCCTTTCCCCATTGCTTTTATCAGCTTTATTGAAGATCAGATGGCTGTAGCAGGGTGGCCTATTTCTAGGATCTCTATACTGTTTCATTGGTCTATATGCCTGTTTTTGTACCAGTACCATGCTGTTTTGTTTACTGTAGCCCTGTAACATAATTTGAAGTCAGGTAGCATGCTGCCTCTAGCTTTGTTCTTTTTGCTTAGGATTGTCTTGGTTATTCAGCCTCTTTTTTGGTCCCATATGAATTTACTTTTTGTTTTTCTAGGTCTGTGAAGTACATAATTGGTAGTTTCATAATAATAGTATTGAATCTTTGAATTGTTTTGGGAAGTATGGCCATTTTAACAATATTGATTTTTCCTATCCATGAGCATAGAATGTTTCTCCATTTGTTTCTGTCATCCCTGATTTCTTTGAGCAGTGTTTTATTGTTCTCATTCTAGAGCTCTTTCACCTACATGGTTAGCTGTAATCCTAGGTATTTTACTCTTTTTGTGGCAATTTTGAATGAGATAGCATTCCTGATTTGGTTCTCAGTTTGACGGTTATTGGCATATTGGAATGCTGGTGATTTTTTTTTATGTTGGTTTTATATCATGAGACTTTGCTGAAGTTGTTTACCAGCTGAAGGAGCTTTTGGAACAAGACTATAGGGCTTCCTAGATATGGAGTCATGTTGTCTGCCAACAGGATAGTTTGACTTCCTCTCTTCCTATTTAGATGTGCTTTATTTCTTTCTCTTGCCTGTTTGTTCTCGCCAGGACTTCCAATAACATGTTGAATAGAAGAGATGAGAGAGGGACTCCTTGTCTTGTGACAGTTTTCAAGGGGAATGCTTTAAGCTTTTGCCCATTAAGTACAACGTTGGCTGTGTGTTTGTCATAAACGACTTATTATTTTGAGGTATGTTTCTTCAATACTACATGTTTGAGAGTTTTTAACATGAAGTGGTGTTGAATTTTATCAAAAGCTTCCTCTCCATCTATTGAGATAAGTATGTGGTTTTGTCTTTAGTTATGTTTATTTGATAAATCACATTCATTGATTTGCCTATATTGAACCAATCTTGCATCCCAGAGATAAAGCCTACTTGGTTGTGGTGGATAAGCTTTTTTAATGTGCTGCTGGACTTAGTTTGCAAGTATATCCTTGAGGATTTTTGTATCAATGTTCATCAAGGATGGTGGCCTTAAGTTGTCTTTTTGTGTTGTGTCTCTGGCATGTTTGGATATCAGGATGATGCTGGCTTCATAGAATGAGTTAGGGAAGAGTCATTTCTCCTCAATTTTTTTTGGAATAGTTTCAGTAGGAAACTCTTCTATTATGTTTTTCCAAAAAACAACTCATGGATTTTTTGCTCTTTTGAATGTTTGTGTGTGTGTGTGTGTGTGTGTGTGTGTGTGTGTGTGTGTGTGTGCCTGTCTCCTTTGGTTCAGCTCTAATTTTGGTTATTTCTTGTCTTCTGCCAGCTTTGGCATTGGTTTACTCTTGGTTCTCTAGCTCTTTTAGTTGTGATGTTAGGTTGTTAATTTGAGATTGTTCTAACTTTTTAATGTGAGGATTTAGTGCTCTAAATTTCCTTCTTAACACTGCCCTAGCTATGTGCCAGAGATTCTGGTGTGTTGTATCTTTTCTCTCATGAGTTTCAAAGAACTTCTTGATTTCTCCCTTAATTTTATTATTTACTCAAAAGTCATTCAGGAAAAGTCATTTAATTTCTATGTAACTATGAGGTTTTCAGTGATTTCTTTAGTCTTGATTTCTAATTTTATTGTGTGTGCTGTGGTCCAAGAGAGTTGTTATGGGTTCATTTATTTCGCATTTGCTGATGATTGTTTTATATATGATTGTTTGGTCTATTTTAGAGTATATGCCCTGTGGCAATGAGAACAGTGTGTATTCTTGTTTTGGGGTAGAGAGTTGTGTAGATGTCTATCAGATCCATTTGTTTCAGTGCTGAGTTCAGGTCCTCAATATCTTTGTTAATTTTCTGCCTCAGTGTTCTGTCTAATACTGTCAGTGGTGTTGTGAAATCTCCCCCTATTGTTGCATGGGAGTCTAAGTCTCTTGGAAAGTTTTTAAGAACTTGCTTTATGAATCTGAGTGCTCGTATGTTGAGTGCATATATATTTAGGATAGTTAGGTCTTCTCTTGAATTGAACCTTCTACCATTACCTAACACCCTTCTTTGTCTTTTTTCTTTGTTGGCTTAAAGTCTGTTTTGTCTGAAACTAGGATTGCAACTTCTGCTTTTTTCTGTTTTCCATTTGCCTGGCAGATTTTTCTCTATCCTTTTATTTTGAGACTATGAGTGTCACTGGCTTTGAGAAGGGTCTCTTGAAGAAAGAATACCATTGCATCTTGGTTCTATACCCAGTTTGTCACTCTGTGCCTTTTGATTGGGGGCATTTAGCCCATCTACATTCAAGTTTAGTATTGATACATGTGGATTTGATTCTGTCATCATGACATCAGCTGGCTGTTATGCAGACATTTTTTGGGGGTTGCTTTTTATAGTCAGTGGTTTGTGTACTTCAGTGTGTTTTTGTGACAATTGATAAAGGTCTTTCCTTTCCATATTTAGCGCTTCCTTCAGGAGCTCTTGTAAGGCTGGTCTGGTTTTTACAAATTCCTTCTTCATTTGCTTGTCTAAAAGGGATCTTATTTCTCCTTTGCTTATAAAGCTGAGTTTGGCAAGACATGAAGTTCTGGATTTGAATTTCTTTTCCTTAAGAATGTTGAATATTGGCCTTCAGTCTCTTCTGGATAGTAGTGTCTCTGCTGAGAGGTCTGGTGTTAGTCTCACGGGCTTCCCTTTGTAGGTAACTGGACCTTTCTCTCTTACTGCCTTTAACATTTTTTTTCCTTTCATTTTGCCCTTGGGGAATCTGATAATTATGTGACTTGGAAATGATCTTCTTGTGAAGTATCTTACTGGGTTTCTCGACATTTTTAAATGTAAATGTTGGCCTTTCTAGTTAGGTTGGGGAAATTCTCATGGATGATATCCGAAAATATGTTTTCAAGTTGGTTCCATTCCATTATCCTCATCTCTTTCAGGGACAAAAATGAATCATAGATTTGACCTCCATACATAACCTCATGCTTTTCATTAGTTTTATTTATTATTTTTTATTCTTTTTTCTCTATTCTTCTTTGACTATCTATTTTAGAAAGCCAGTCTTCAAGCTCTGAGATTCTTCCTTTGGCTTGTTCTATTGTGCTACTAATACCGGTGATTGCATTGTGAAATTATTGTAGTATGTTTTTCAACCCTATCAAGTTGTTTATGGTTTTTTGTTTGTTTGTTTGTTTGTTTTTGACAGAGTCTCACCCTGTTGCCCAGGCTGGAGTGCAATGGCGCGATAACAGCTCACTACAACCTCCTCCTCCTGAGTTCAAACAATTCTTCTGTCTCAGACCCCCGCTTAACTGGGATTACAGGTGCCCCCACCACACCCAACTAATTTTTTGTGTTTTTAGTAGAGATGGGGTTTCACCATGTTGGCCAGGCTGTTCTCGAACTCCTGACCTCATGATCTGCCCACTTCGGCCCCCTGAAGTTGTTGGGGTTACAGGCGTGAGCCACTGCACCCAGCCATTTATGTTCTTTTCTATACTGGGTATTTTATCTGTCAGCTCTTGTATAGTTTTACCATGTTTAATTTTTAAACATTTAATCAGCCATGCATTTTAGTGATAACCCCCATTTTGTAATAATGAATTGCTCTGTTAATACACTGTTGGATTTGGTTTGCTAAAATTCTGTTAGGAATTTCTGTTCTAGTACCAAAATAGCAGCCTAGAAGCAAGCTAGCTTCACTGCCACTCATAGGAAACCAGAAACAAATACATAATGCTGTGGTTATTACCATCAACATCTCAGGATTTAAAACCAGGGAGGAAACAGTTCCCTGGGCTGCAGATAAATAGAAGCATTCTGAGCATATGGTAAAAGAACCAAATATTCATATCCACGATGCCTCCTCCAAATTTGCCTGCCACCAACTGCATGGAAAATTTCCCCCTGACTTATTGTCTCTACACCGTTAAAAATGAGATTGAGATGGGCAACCAGCCTCCTCAGTACCTCAGGTCCACTGGCAGGATATTTGTATTTTCCTCAATCCACAAGAAGCATCAGGAGTGCCTAAAGGGCAAAATATCCCTAAGGATATCCAGAGACAATATGGGGAGGTGGAACTGCCATCCTCAGTCTTGGAAACTCTGCTCTATAACTCTTTCAAAGGAGACCCCAAGTCAGAGTGGCTGTTCAGCAGCACCATGTTGTAGGAGGTTTGTTCCACTGGTCCCCCTGGGCATGAACACCTAGGAAGCCTTCTCACACTAATTGGAAATTGTCTTTGGAATATCCCCCATTCCAGACAGACTGTATTCTAATTATTTACTAGAACTCAGGTAAATATGGGCTTAAGGTACCATCTACTCTCAAAAAAGGCAAAAATGTGGGGAGAAAAAGGAAAAAAAGAAATAATAAATGAATGAAAATACAAAGAAAGAAAGAAAGAAAATCAACAGGTAAGTTAAAAAGAATCTAAGCAAATATAGTCTAATTTTCTAAGCAAATATATCTAAGCAAATATAGTCAGGAAAATATTGCAAATATATCTAAGCAAATATAGTCAGGAAAAAATATTGCAAATATATCTAAGCAAATATAGTCAGGAAAAAAAAAGCCAGGCAGAGAAGTCTGGAATAAACAACTAATCTTGGAAGCACTTTAATAGATGTGCATGCACAAAAAATAACAGCAAATAGAAAACCACGACCTCCACAGACAAAGCAATAAACCTGTGACTGACCTTCACAAGACAGTAATATATGAACTCCTTGATAAATAATTTAAAATATCAATTTTAAGGAAACTCAGTGATCTCCCAGATAACATAGAAAAATAATTCAGAAATTTATCAGATAAATTATAAGAAAAAAATAATTTTTAAAATCAAACAGAAATCTTGGAAGTGAGAAATATATTTGCTGAGCAAAAAAAAATTATTAGAGGCTCTTAGTAACAGAATGGATCAAGCAGAGGAAATAATTACTGAGCTCGAAGAATGGCTATTTGAAAATACACAGCTAGAGGGAAAAAAAAGATTGAAAATTAAGGAAAGTAAGCTACCAGATATAGAAAATAACCTCAACAGGCAGAATCCGAGAATTATTGGTGTTCAAAAGGGATTTGAGCAAGAATGAGGAGAAGGAAACTTCCCTTCATTCACAAAAACAATAATACAAAACATTCTAAAACTTGGCAAAATGACAAATATCTGGGTACAGAAAGGACTCAATTCTTCCATTGAAAGTCATAGAGTGGCTGAATGGATAAAGAAACAAGATCTAAATATTTAATGCCAAAAAGAAACCCACTTCACCAATAAAGGCACATGTAGACTGAAAATGAATGGGTAGAGAATGATATTCCATACAACTGGAAACCAAAAAAAGAGGAGGAGCAGCTCTACTTATATCAGAATAAAATAGACTATTACAAACAGGTATACACCAATAAATTGGAAAACTTATTGAATACATTCCTGGGCACATATAATCTGACAAGTTTGAAGCATGAGGATATTGAGAACCTCAACAAACCAATAACAAGTAATGAGATTGAAGTCATAACAAAAAGGTTTCATAAAAGAAAAGCCCAGAATCTGTTGGCTTCACTGCTGAATTTTACCCAACCTTTCAAGAAGAATGAATACCAATTCTTCTCAAAGATCATAGCAGAACCAAGAACAAAAACCATATGGTTATTTTAATAGATACCAAAAAAGCATTCAATACAATATAATATTCCTTTATGGTAAAAATCCTCAAAAACTGGATATAGAAAAAACATACCTCATGAAAATAAAGGCTATGTAAGCCAAGCCCACAGCTAACCATTATACTAAATAGGAAAATAATGAAATCCTCTTTTATGTCTAGAACAAAACAAGGATACTCATTTTCACCACTTTTATTTAACACAGTACTGGAAGCCCTAGCCACAGAAATTAGTCAAGAGAAAGAAACAAAGGGCATCCAAATTGGGAAGAAAAACTAAAATTAGTCTTGTTTGCACATGCATGATCTTATACCTAGAAAAACCTGAAGACAACATAAAACAAAGTTAGAACTGATAAATTCAGTACAGTTGGAAGATACGGAATCAACATCCAAAAATCAGTAGCAGTTATATAATTCTTCAGTTAACAATATGAAATAGAAATCAATAAAACAATCCCATTTGCAGTAGCTACAAAGAATATAAAATGCCTAGAAATCAATTTAACCAAAGATATAAAAATCCTGTAGGAGAAAACTACAAAATACTGATGAAAGAAATTGAAGAGAACACACAGAAATGAAAAGATATTTCATGTTCATGAACTTGAAGAATATTGTTAAAATGACAATACTACTCAAAGCAGTTTACAAATTTAATGCAATCCCAATGAAAACACCAATAACATTATTCACACAAATTTTAAAATTTCTACACTGTCCATGGAATCACAAAAAGATCCTGAATAGCCAAAGCAATCCTAAACAAAAAGAACAAAGCATCACACTACCTGACTTCAAAATATACTAGGAAGCTATAGTAAATTGTACCTGCATAAAACCAGACACATACATCAATGGAGCAGAATAGAGAGAACTCAGATATAAACCTAGGCATTTACCACCAATTCATTTTTTTCACAAAGGTACCAAGAACTTACAGGGGAAATGACAATCTTTTCAATAGATGGTTCTGAGAAAACTGGATAAACATAGGTACAGGAATTAAACTAGACCCTATCTCTCACCATATATAACAATAAAATCAAAATGATTTGCAAATCTTAATCGAAGACTTGAAACCCTGAAACTATTATAAGAAAATTTAAGGATATGCTTCAGGGCAATGGTTTGGGCAAAGAATTTTCGTGTAAGACCACAAAAGCAAGGCATTGCAAGCCATAATAGCTGAATGGGATTATATCAAGCTAAAAACCTTTTGCACAAAAAAGGAAACAGTCAATAAAATAAAGACATAACTTAAATGGGAGAAAATGTTTCCAAACTATCCATCTGACAAAAGATTAATAACCAGAATATATAAGAAGCTGAAATGGCTCAATAGCAAAAAGATAATAATCTAATTGCAAAATGGGCAAAAGATCCTAAATGACATTTCTCAAAAGAAAACATACAAATGACCAAAAGTATATTTTTTAAAAAAATGCTTAACATCACTAATCATCAGAAAAATGCAAATCAAAACTACAATGAAATGTTTTACCCTAGTTAAAATGGTATTTATAAAAAAATAAAGAATATTGATGCTAGTGAGGATGTGGAGAAAGGGGAACCCTTGCACACTATTGGTGCAGGTACAAATTAGTATAGCCACTGTGGATAACTGTATGAAGGTTCCTCAATAAATGAAAAAATCACAACTACCTTAGGATCCAGCAATTCCACTGCTGGGTATAAAGCCAAGAGAAAAAATAATGAGTAAATCAAAGAAATATGTACATTCCTCATTTACTGTAGCACCCTTTACAAAAAAAATAAAAATTGAATCAACCTAATTGCCTGTCAATGTATGAATGGATAAAGGAAATGTGATATATATACACAATGAAATAATATTCAGCCATAAAAAGAACAAAATTCTGTCATTTGCAGCAATATTAATGAAACTGTATATCATTATATTAAGTGAGATAAGCCAAGCAGAGCAAGACATATATCACATATTCTCACTCCTATGTGGGAGCTAAAAAAGGAGATCTTATGAAGACAGACAGTAAATTGGTGTTTTCCAAAGGCCAGAAAGGGTAGAGAGTAGAAGGGGTTGAAGAAAGTTTGATGAATGGGTACGAACTAACAGTTTTATACGTACGTATATACACATATATACATGTATATAAACATATATATACACATATATACATGTATATGTATATACATGTATATATGTGTATATATATACATATACACGTATATATATACATATACATGTACATATATATATACATATACATATATATAAATATATATGGAGCTGGGGGCCTTGATCACCCCTCAATATTGTATAGCTTTACTTTATTAAGCTATGTTACACACAAACATTTTTTGGTTTTTGATTTTGTCACATGCATATTATTATTCTTTTCTTCTTTAGCCAGTACTTCAGGGAAAAAATGTAAGCAAGATGTATTACTTAATGTCAACAACTAGATTGGCTCCAAAAGGAATATATAATGGAAATCTATATCTGTATCTATCTACTACCTATCTAAATGTCTATCTCTCTATATAGAGAGAAAGAGAAAAACACACAAAGAGGGGGAAAGAAATAAGAAAAGGAATCATGAAATAAACTTTAAATGTGATTATTTTTTATTTTTTAAATAACCCTTATTCTACTGAGTGTCATTGTTTTTAAATTTTGATTATCCTAATTAAAAAATGATTTTGAATTATATTCTCTAATTGATCAAATATATAAATTTCTCATGGAGGCCAGTTTTTACTTTTTGCTATCTTTTTCCTGGACCCTAAATCCACCCTTCATTTCAACTTGATTTTAATTACTGTCTTTGAAAATGTACCACATATAACTTAGAAATACTTTTGCCATCATTTGAAATAAATGTAAACAAAAACCATCCTTTAACTGTTATAACATTTTAAAATATTTGCATTAGAACTTATTCTTATGTGACTATACTCACTTTTATAAAGTGAGAGTGAATTTCTAAGCTGACTAGAATAAATATGACTCAATCAACCACAATTCCATTAAAGTTGCTGTTATTTTTACATACTAAAACATATTTTAATCTCATAATTCATTTCCAAATTCATGCTATCAGTTTATTTTCTATATATAGATCAAAGACAAGATTGAAAACCAACTCAGTATATTTTAAATGGTAGGCAAGTTAGAACAACAATTTTTACTTGAGCTGACCAAGGTCAACAGCTCAAAGCACAATATATTCTCAAAGAATATTCTTCTTAGTAATCCTCTTCAAAAATATATTGAAAATCAAGTGTACCTGGATATTGCTATTTTCATGCAGGTTAATGCCAAATATCCAAGTCATATGTTCAACAATAAGACAAAAATCTATTAACATTCTTTTTGAAGGGTCATTTAGAGTATTACCATTTTCATAACTTGAATAGTCCTTTTTATTTCATATTTTGCCATTTATTTTCACAATATTAACATAAAGTAAATGTGTATTGTAGTCTATATGGCAATGAACTATTTTTAACACACACACCTAGACCCAGAATTCAAAAAGATCACTTGGCCTGAAGCACAGGATAGAAGAATATCATCACTATTCTTTCAAGTGGGAAATGCAATTTAAAAACCAATGTTCAACTGATATCTGGATATCAGTGCATAAAAATACCTGCACTAATATTTAATAACCTTGAGGGATTATAAAATACAGAACAGAGAACACATATAATAATATCTTCAGGTTTTCATTTCCACAAAACCTACAAATCTATTTTAGCACTCAAGTTAAATGGCTTCTAGAGGGCCATAAGATTACACACTTTCAAAATACAAATGACAACAATTTATTGAATCAATTAATTAGCTATTTATTATTTCAGTAACTGAATTGAACTGTTTCTAGTCATGAGTTTTCCAGATTCACTGTTTTTTCTCCCATTATACTAAGTTTGCCATCGATGCATTACAGCCAATGTCTTTCCATTGAGTTTGTTTGATGTTACCTGAAAAAAAAAATCTCCTTTTACAAGGGGCAGTATGGAAGATCTAATTGAGTGTGCTCTAGGACACTAACTTCATATTACAGTTTTGAGGATGTTCATATGGTGTGACTAAAATACAAAAGAAAATTATATGTGATTTGCATCGTCCTTATAAATCTAGAATTAATTGTTAAGTGGGCAGTTCATAAGTAAAATATCAAAGATTTATTTGAAAGTTGGTATTCAAATAGAAGTACACAAAAGAGTATATTTTATTCAAATATATATACACACATACATCCAGGTTTGATGAGTTAACAACTAATGAAGCTGACTCTAGATTATTCCTGAAGGTTTAAAGGTTTTAGAAATATAAAGGATGACAGAAAATCTAATGAGATATGCTGAGCTTGGAAGGGGACATGGAAGTAATTTGAACAAGAAAAAAAAAAAAAGACAATAGCATACATCTGATTCATCTGAACTTAGAGCACTAGACCTACACTTTAACCTGAACTATCCAAAAGTCATTAAGGATAAGAAAAGGGGAAGAAAATTGCCTCATCTTTGATGGCCTGAATCACATGTTTAATTAGAAGATGTAGGAAATACCTCAGAACTAAAGAAATTCTCAGGGCCTGGTGCCCTACAGAAACAAAAGCACAGTTCAGCAATCTCGATGGAATAGCTCACAGTCCTAACCTATAGGCTTTATTTATACAGCTCAAAAGATTACCACCCTGTAACAGGCTATTATGTCTTATATTTGCTTGGAAGTAACATCAAGTTAATCTTTTTACATCTAACATTTGATTTTTATTTGCCAAGAGTAATTTTCAAAGCATGTGACTCATATTTTGTCCTTGGTGAGAGTCTGAAGTCATGAATTTTAATAAACATGAAGCCACAGCTAAGAATCACCAAAACTTGTTAACTTGCAGGATTTCTAAGTTAAAACAGAATGAAATATATGCAATAAAAGGTAGAATAACATGCTGAAAAAATTTAATAGTGTCAAACGTAGAAAAAATATTTAGCTCTGTGTAGAAAATAAATAGCTTCTTTGTATAACAATGGCATTCTTATATATGACAATACGGCTAGTAAAATGTTTTGTTTAGTTGCCAAATAGTAAAATATTAATGTTTTAAAAGACTCAATGCTTTCAAATTAAGAATAAATCATGGCCAAAATGAGCATTGCAATAATAAGACCTAGAATAGTTGATGAATGAATTAAAATAATGGAGGACAAATTTAAATGTTTATTACAGAGCCAAACATTTCTGAAATATTTAAAACATTTATCGAAGTATTTTCTCTTAAAAAAAACCATACTGTAAATAATTACACCCATCTGAATATAATATCATGTTTATGTATTTGTAGAAATCTGAAAATTTTAAAGGCATGAGTTCTGTAAAATTAAAGAACATTTAAATATATAAATACACATGTCAATATATAGATCTATGCAGACATAATCTATGTTTTATGTAAACATAACCTATGTATTATGTAAACATATAAAGCTATATATTAAAATACAAAAGTATTTATATATAATACATATCATATATATTATGCATTATATATACATGTATGCATATTTAAATAATGCATAATATATAAATACATAAACCTGTGTATTAAAATATATGTACATATATACATACATAAACCTATGTTTTAAAATACGTATCCATAATATACATCTCTAATAGAGAAGATACTGTTTAAATTTTTAATTTTGATTGTTAGAGATACCTAGTAATAAAGGGACTGAAAAATTGAAAAAAAAAAAAAACAAAACACTCACACTGTGAGAAAAAAAAATTGTTTGAAAGCCTGCATCTGTCTAACATCCTATCAGCAGGCATATTAACTGAACAAAGCACTTGCTTTTTTCTGATGCCAATGCTGATTTTTTTTTGTTTGTTTACTTAAAACATCATTTTCATAGATATTCAAAAAGAAGCTTTGGTGTCTGTCTAGTTCATTAATAGTTTTATTAATTCAGCTAGTCATCAGGTGCAATTCATCAACCGCACAACCCTTTGTGTTCTATTTTTGCTAAATGCTTCTTCTCTGGAATTTAAATTATGAAGAAAAAGTGGCTGACTAATGTGAATTTCTCAATTTATTCATGTTCAATGAAAAGCTATTCATCAGCATAAACTCTGCTGTGAGTTCAAATCAAATTTGAACCACCTGGGAGTAAACAAAATTGTTCTTCTTCCCTAGCACTTGGAAGTGGATAATAATAACACATTTTCAAGAAAGTCAGGATACTAATATATTTAACTGAAATAAAATAAAGATGATAAGGCATCAAGTTTTTCCACTATATCAGATGTTTTGCCCATGCAATAAGAGCTTCTGAAATATTTTGGTAGTTTTATTTCCATCATTAATGCTAATTTCTTTTATATCTTGTAGGTATACAATAATCAGCTATTCTCCATACCCTATAGCATGTGCAAATTCTGTAAGACTATTATTCTACCAACTTTCCTTTAAAACATTTGAACTATTTATGGAATTGATGGTTAAAACAAAGTATTCACTTTCAGAATTGTTATTAAGCATTCAAAATCAACATTCCTATAAACCTAAAATACAGAATTTATCTACTTGAGTTTACAGGTGCTTAGACTTATAAAAGTAGACCTTTTTTTTTTTTCATAACAAATCTAAGGCTAACAGAAGCTTATGGAGTAGTATGGAGCCTGATGTGTATTTCAGAGAGAATTAAGAAATAATCTTGTAGAGAGTCTTCTCTAGTAATAGTGGAGCTAATTCTCACCTATTTTTGAGCACTCATGGCAATACAAGATTAAAGCTGGTGCTGGAGATTTTTGGGCTCATGCGTGCACGTCTAAATAAATTATCAGTAGGTTAAAAACAAAGGAACAGAATGAAATGGTAAAGTGCACATTCCCTTTCACTTATTCTTCTTGAGGACTCAAAGATACTTGGATTCAGCATATAAAAACCCATATATGTATTACAAAGTACAGGAGATCCACAGTCCTCTTCAGGAAAGAGAATTCCATTATCTATTTATCTATTAGGAAATGGAATACTCTTTTCTGAACTGTAATTTTTAGGAAAGTATTATGCATACATATATGGAATATCTTATTAGAAGTGGATGTACGGAGTTTTAAAATAGGATGATTTATGAAGTTTTCTGTTTAATACTTATTCTTAGCATACTTCCAAAGCCTCTGAGGCTATCCATTTTGTTTCCCAGGAAGCTAGATAAAGCCCAAATTCACCTTCTCCCAATATAGCTGTAAGAGTTGATACTGTGTGATAGAAGATAAAGGCCAAATTCACCTTCTCCCAATATAGCTGTAAGAGTTGATACTGTGTGATAGAAGATAAAGCCCAAATTCACCTTCTCCCTATATAGCTGTAAGAGTTCATACTGTGTGATAGAAGAGACCAAAATGTGCAAAGAGCTACAGCCCTGTGAGGAGCCTGCAGTGCATTGCAACTTGAGTTTCAATCTGAACTGTATGGACAGAGCTCATTGTACCTCAGTGACCATTATCCTTGGAAGTGAGGGTAGGAAGTGAAAGGAGGCAATTCACGTGTTTTTCCTTGAAGCTATATTTTAAGACTGTGTAGAACATCTTGAAGTTTGGAAACATATTTGCTTTTGCAGGTGATGGCATTTTCTAAAATATTATTACAAAATATATGAAAATTGCATTGTAGTTGTCACAATAAATCAAACATCTTACATAATAATGTAATAAAATCTAGTTTAACATTATAATTTTATTCAATTATTTCATCCACATTGAGATATTTACTAAGTCATGAAGTTTATATAGATCATGAGATGTAAAAGATCTGCTATTACTAATTTGATTTAAAAATCCCATGTTCATTATAATAGGTAGTGCTGCTTAAAATGTCTGTGTAATGATCTACACTATTATCTGCAGCACAATGATGTTTTCACAGCTGCTGTTTGCCTGGAATCAGCCATGTCCTTTGTGAAACCTTGCCTCGGCATGGGCTCTTATTCCTAACATTTGCCTTTTAAAATCTCTATAGAGATCTAACAGAAAATTCACAAGAACAGCATCTTTTGTGCTTCTCTTTCTCTGAAAATACCAAAGCAGCAGTGTATCTTCCCATATTTAAAAAAGAAAGAAAATGTTTTAATCTTTCATTTTCCAATATAAAGTTTTTAGCCAAAAAAGTATTTATTAAAAGAAAATAGATCTGTCACTCACTAATTCAATGACTAACTACATAAGTTTAAATTTACTTTTTCTTTGAGTATCAGACAAAAGTAAAACAAACTAGGAATTTCAGTTCTCTTTCTGAAAAATGAAGTATATATTACATAATGAAATATACATATATATACACACACACGGCGCTAGCAATTAAATCTAAAATGTTTACTTTATCTAGAAGTAGGGCAAACAGAATTTAATTCTTTGTTTGTTTCCCTCTAATATTTGTCATGTCTTATGGACTGGAGGAGCCAATCCACCTGTCAGGAGTTTATTGCAGAAAAATGGTAACTTCTGGGAAATAATTCATCCTAAAAATTGTCAGAAACCAGCTTGGTTCAATATACAGATATCTTTCAGAATGGAGAGATAATCCTGAAAACAGCAATGTTACTAATAATAGTTAACCCCTTACTCCCATCCCCATTAATGTATTGATGTCCAAATCCTATGAAAGGAAGAAAAAACCTATGAATAAAAGCAGGCCGGGCGCGGTGGCTCACGCCTGTAATCCCAGCACTTTGGGAGGCCGAGGCAGGCGGATCACGAGGTCAGGAGATCGAGACCATCCTGGCTAACACAGTGAAACCCCGTCTCTACTGAAAATACAAAAAATTAGCCGGGCGTGGTGGCGGGCACCTGTAATCCCAGCTACCTGGGAGGCTGAGGCAGGAGAATGGCGTGAACCCCGGAGGCGGAGCTTGCAGTGAGCAGAGATCGCGCCACTGCACTCCAGCCTGGGCGAAAGAGCGAGACTCTGTCTCAAAAAAAAAAAAAAAAAAAAGCAATGAGTAGGACCACATTTCTTGTAATGACAGAGAACTGAGGTGGCTGTACCTTCCACAAATAACAATTCTAAAGTGAAAAAATTATAAAATAGGTCAACTATTTAAAGGTACTGTAAAAAACCCAATGTAGAGAGAATCCAAAGGAAATTCTAATCTTGAGTGTGGCTTTTTGACCAACTTCTACAACTTCTTCTATAGCTGCAGGAAATACCAGAACAAAACTCTACATCCTTGCCAGTAAAAGGTGCTGTAGATGAGTGTTTAGGCAGAAAATCTCCAAATTGTATCATCTATAATTCCCAGTTTTCAACCAAAAATTAGTAGACATGCAAAGAAATAAGAAAGTAAAATCCATGCTAGTATGCTCAATAGAAGGTGATTCCAAGTGGGTCAAAATATTAGATTTAGTTTATAAAGTCTTTAAAGCAGCTATAATAAATATATTCAAATAAGAAAAGATAAATACACTCAAATGATTAAGGAAAAATATGTTCTCAATATGATACTCTCTTATCACAAAATGCAAGTGAGACATTCTTCAACTTTGACATGCAGCACAGAAAACAGAAGGGACTTTTGCATATCAAGAATTTCAAAGAATGATAGAGAAACTTTGGTACATCAAATATGCCAATGCATTTATCACATGCAGGCAGCACTGGACAAAACTTCTGGAAGCAGTAGCTCAGAATCTGATCCTGAGCTGCTGTAGGGAGCATTATTGAGAATATAGACAACTACCTCTTTTTGCACAGGCCTCATTCTTCTCAAAGTGGCCATTGAAAGAACTGGCAAGGTCCCTTCTGATGGGCATATTTTACTGAGAAAGCTTTTTATATTAGAGGACTCTCAAATAAAATTAAATTATTCTTTGAAAGAAAAAATAAAATCGTGTTTTAGAAATCATTTTTTGGCCAGGCGTGCAGGCTCACACCTGTAATCCCAGCACTTTGGGAGGCCGAGGCAGGCAGATCACGAGGTCAGGAGATCGGCTCCTGGCTAACACGGTGAAACCCCGTCTCTACTAAAAACACAAAAAATTAACCAGGCGTGGTGGCAGGCGCCTGTAGTCCCAGCTACTCTGGAGGCTGAGGCAGGAGAATGATGTGAACCCGGGAGGCGGAGCTTGCAGTGAGTCGAGATCGCACCACTGCACTCCAGCCTGGGCGACAGAGCAAGACTCCGTCTCAAAGAAAACAAAAAGGAATCATTTTCTAAACAATACAGTTAGTCACAACCTGTATTATTCCAAATACAAATATTATCATTTTTGACAACACAGTATCTTCCAGTTGCTTTTCTATGTTTCTTTTTGATTAGCAATTGTATATCATCACACTAATAGACATTATGGATGGGTAAACATTCATAACAACATTTTTTAAATACTAGGACTGAACACTGATTCAAGAACACACCCTCATTACTCTTCTCCACCCGGTATAATTTTCACCAAGTCCTTTTCCTTGATTTCACTAAGATGCAATCATTACTTCTGCAGTCTAGCACCATTACAATTTGGTGCTTGGCACATATTAGGCAAACCATATATATTTGTTGAAATACATGAGACAAATGCCCCAAACAGCAACAATGTACATTTATAAAGCCCCATTTACTGCAGAAGTGAATTAAGTATTTAGAGAGTTATATCTATACCTGGGAGATCTACTGTTCAACTTCTTAAATACTCATTTTACCCATTGATATGGTTTGGCTGTGTCCCCACCCAAATCTCATCCTGAGTTGTAGCTCTCATAATTCCCACATGTTGTGGGAGGGACCTGGTGGAGACAATTTAATCACGGGGGTGGTTTCCTCCATACGGTTCTTGATATGGTTCCTGATACGAGATCTGATGGTTTTATAAGGAGAAACCCTTTCGCTTGGCTCTCATTCTCTCTTGCCACGGACATGTAGGAAGTTCCTTTCACCTTCTGACATGATTTGAGGCGTCCCCAGCCACGTAGAACTGTGGCTTAAACCTCTTTTTCTTTATAAATTACTCAGTCTCTGGTATATCTTTATTTTTATTTTTATTTTTTGAGACAGACTCTCGCTCTGTCTCCCAGCCTGGAGTGCAGCGGCGCAATCTCGGCTCACTGCGAGCTCCGCCTCCCGGGTTCACGCCATTCTCCTGCCTCAGCCTCCTGAGTAGCTGGGACCACAGGCGCCCGCTACCACGCCCGGCTAATTTTTGTATTTTTAGTAGAGACGGGGTTTCACTGTGTTAACCAGGATGGTCTCGATCTCCTGACCTTGTGATCCACCCGCCGTGGCCTCCCAAAGTGCTGGGATTACAGGCATGAGCCACCGCGCCTGGCCTGGTATATCTTTATTAGCAGTGTGAAAATGGATTAATAACCCCCATCATGCTGTTTTTTTCCAAACCCAGGAATAGTAGGCAGTAGAAAGGACAGAATCACTCTATTATTTAGGTATGAAAAGACATGGTGTTATATTTTCCTTGGTCAATATTTCAAGGAGCCAAATGATACCATTCCAGCCTCATAAGAATTTATTTCAAGTTCCAAAGATTGGTTGGTAAATTTATTTCAATGATGGAGCAATGAAAATATGTTTACACTGAATACCAAATACACATATGATGGTTCTTAAGGAGTCAAAATCTAAAGACGACCAACTGAAAAAGTTACTTGGTTCTAGTGGCAGATTTTTGTTTATAGGCAGTGGTATAAATTATCGTCTGTTTTTTGTTAGACTGCCAGTGCTAAAATCTCACCTGAAGGACAAGTCAAAATCTCTTGCAGCCTATAATATATTTATAAGCTACCTCTTATAAATGTTCATCTACTAATATCACCACCCCATATGCAGAGATCCTGTAAGAATAATATTGTATTTTGATCTTATTAAAGACAGTTAACAAAATATTACAATTATATTATTAATAATACAAATTTATTTTGTTAACAAATCAAGTAGTTGAAATCTTACCTACTGAATTACTTGAAAGTGATATTATTTGAATCTGTTCTAACATCTAACCACTTTCTATCCATAATTCTCCATGTGAGCCACTACATCATGCCTTGTTGGGACCTGCCATTCTAGCTCCTTCACATTTGATGCGGCTGGTTAACCTATTCATAGCTGACTCTTCTTCAACCTCATTTAATGCTGAACTGAATTAGGAGAACAGGAGCACAAAGTGGCTATGACAGAAGTTGGGAACGTTTCCAAGAAAGTTTATAATACAGAGAGCAATTGTGTTTTGCTATCTGCTGATTAAATCCAATCACAGGCCTGCTAGTGATACCCAGGCCACTTAGCATTCAGTGTTGGGTTATGGTATATATGTGAAGAGGAATAAACTGAAATGTATATGGAATCAAAGATAAACCTTATCAGCTGACTAGATGGATGAACCTTACAGAGGAGATACCCATGCATACTTATAAATAAAAATGTTAACTTAAATAAAACTAATAGTGAAAAGGACAAGGTTCTATTGTCACATAAATATGACTGGAGTCTCCTTTTTCCTTTGTAAAAGTGAAGCCATTGATTGGTGAGTATTAATTACCTAACAAATAATTCATATTACAGAATAGAATGTGGCCATTTTTTATCTCTATTTGGAATATAACATTAGCGTATGATTACAGATGGCAGAATCATATATCAACATTTTATTGTGATTAGATACACTTGTGAAGGGGGGATTTATTTTGAAGTGTTGGAGAATGCTCTTTAGCGTATTCTAGTAGTGTTTTAAAATTTTGTTAGGTATAAAAACTTTAAGATCCTTTGAAAAGAAATTAGAAAACAAAATATTATAAATAATGGAGTGTTACAGGACACTTATTAAATTGGCTAAGGTATTATTTTTACTATTATAAAGTACAAAAAATGAGTTAAGGAAAGTTTAAGTGATTTGCCCGTAGTGACTCACAGCTAGTAAGATGTAGGGTCAGAATTCCCCCATAGATTATCACATACTGTTATGATCTCATCAAAACTGAAGTCATTCATGTTCCAGAAGGATAATGTCCCCAAATTTCCACACATTCCCAGATTGACCAATGTTGTTATTTACATAGGAATATTCTCCTTTATCTTACCATTTCCAAATAACAATTGGCCCTAAAATCTTTTCAGAACATTTTTTTTTAACACACAGAAGAGATTTTAGTACTTTACAAGAGGATATCTCACACCTAAGGATAAACAGAAAATAACAAAGACTCATAGGGATGCATGTGCTTGTGCAGCTGTCAGTCCTCATTCTTGAGGTAAACGCCTTTGTGTCTGATGCTCTCACAGCACACTAGATTGAAAGGTGAATCTCAGGACAATTACAAGTAATAACAAGCCTTGAGCCTTGTAGTCTCACACAAATAGTTAAACCTTGAATGTTAAATTTTAGATAGCCAAGGTTTGACTTAGTGCTATAATAATGTTGGTCATACTTATGTACTGAATTTTGAGGAAAATTCTTTCCTACCATGTGCAGAAATAAATGCCAGCCAT
Source organism: Homo sapiens (assembly GCF_000001405.40). Taxonomy (NCBI): domain Eukaryota; kingdom Metazoa; phylum Chordata; class Mammalia; order Primates; family Hominidae; genus Homo; species Homo sapiens. Next base: position 10,173,992 of record NC_000009.12, read on the forward strand.
ATGTGTATGCATATACAATTAAGTAATCTATTTAGAACTCTATGTCTGAGCAGTAATGAGCTTTTGTTTGGCATCACTTACTAAATTAAGACAATTTGCCTAATGTGGTAGAGGTGAGGGTTAAAAATTTCACTCCCAGAAATATTTTGAATTTTTGGTTATTGCTATGGTTTGAATGTTTGTCCTGCTAAACCTCAGGTTGAAATTTGATCCCAATGTTGGAGGTGGAATCTTATGGGAGATGTTTGGGTCCTGGGGGAGGATAACTCATGTCCTTCCTTGGAACTGAGTGAGTTCTCACCCAATTAATTCCAGTGATAGCTGACTGTTAAAAACAGCCTGGAAATTCATCCATTTCTCTCTTGCTTCCTCTCTCACCAAGTGACCTCTGCACAGGCTGGCTCCCTTTCACCTTCCACCATGAGTGGAAGGAAAATGAGGCCCTCAACAGAAATAGGGGCCCAATTTTTAACTTTTGGAGACATCAGAATTGTGAGCCAAAGAAACTTTTAAATTTATAAATCACCCAGCTTCAGGTATTTCTTTTTAGCAACACCAAATGTACTATGCCAACTATCATACATCAACGAAAGATTTTTTTTTCCTAGCTTTCTTTCCAAAGATTTGGAATTTAAATTTTTTTACATTTTGAAGTAGTCTGTGTATGTATTTCCCCAAAAAAAGTGAAATCAACTAATCATAAGTGCATATATATACATATATATGTACAGATGCCTACGGTAATTTCAACAAATGTTTATAGAAAAACCATAAAAGAGGCATAATTTATTAAGAACTAATAATAAAAAAGTAACCCCATAGTAAATTAAACTCTATGCTTAATGTTAAAGTTAGTCTACTTTCTTTTGTTTCAGGAATTGGACATTGTTACAGCTTTTCTCAAATACAGAAATCCTTAATGGTAATCAGTAAAATTAGTAAAAATGAATGCTTGAAATTACTTGAGAAAATAGCTAGCTTGAGATTGTCTATTATTAAATACATTTCTTAAAATAACCCATTAGTAGTGAGGATTAGACTCATTTGCTAAGTTAGTGATGAAAAATGATTCTTCTTTATTTGACAATAAAGCCTTAGGTATTGCCCTTTGGGTTAAGAGAGATAAGAACTACTCAATGGAAGAAGCTGGATCAATCCAAAAATTATCAGGATGCTGTGCCTGCAATAGTACTGCTACTTACTAGCTCTCTTAAATCTGATAAGGTCACTTAGCCTCACCAAAATTTCAGTCTCTTCCCTTGAAAAACTAATATACTACTATTATTTATTGTCAGAAAGAAAATATGAGGATTAGAAGTCATGTTAAGAAAAAGCATCTGGCTTACCCATGGTTCTTAATGAATGATAGCTCTTATTATTTGAGTCTCATCCTATCAACAAGCAAATCAATTATTTATCTAAATTTAAAAACATAAGAAAAATGGAATATACATAATATAACATTAAATATGGTTACCTTAAGATATAATGATTAAGAATACCAAATACTTTTCTGCAGTAACTATCTGAACAGAAAGTGATGGCCTAAGATTTTTTATGTGTTAACTTTGAATGTAATGGAAAACCTTGCAATCCCTTAACATACAGATCATAGGTTCATTAGCAAACTAATGTTACCCTGTGGTACAGATTGTTATATTTAAATATTAAAGTATGTTGAAATATTCTTTCCATTTGATTTAATTTCTAATTTTCAAAAATCTTTCTTTAAAGCAAATCATTAAATTAGTCAAAGTATGTGGAATAGTATGACCATATATAGCCTTGACGTATGAGGTTGTCATAAGTAATGTTATACTCAACACAGTAACACAACTTTGTCTGGAATTAGAAAGAAAAAGAGAACAAAACTAAAATTAAAATAAATCTCCACATGGATACAATAAGACATAAAGGAAGGTTATTCTTAATAGCATTTTCCAACATCTTTTTGTACTTTTGGCTGCAAAGTAGAGTAACAATAGACATAAAACTAAACTGCAAATGGCTTGTTATTGTTCCTTTGAAATGCAATGTATTGTGAACAATATTTGTTTGGGATATTTTCATTTATTTGGTGGAAAATGGTCATAAAAGCAAAGGTTTTTTTTCTTTGAGGAGCATAAATTGTTACATTACTTTAAATACTTCTTACTCAATATAGCACAATGCTTTGTATTAACCTTTTAATATTACATGTAAATCCAGTATTTTATTTGAACATCATTTATTTGTACAAGTAACTATTTTTATATAAATTTTTTTTCAACTCAAGGTTTTTAATGTGTTTTTTTTTCCCTATTCCAAATTTGGTAGACGTCTAAATCATCTTTTAGGAATGTAAAAAGCTAGGCATTTTAAAAACAGAAAATTCTAGGCAGTTTACCTTTCAACAATCTAAACCAAATCACTCAGATTATCCATAAAATTGTCCAGAACCAATACAAGGAAAAAAGCAACATTTTGACCTATGTATCAGAAATCAAATCAATTATCAGACCTGTAAGTAAACCAAAAGAGGATCCATGCAGGCAGAGATAAATCCTAAATCTCAGGGTACTTTGACAGTCACATAGTAAAAGTGATTGGAAAAGGTTATCTTGAACAAAGGTTCTTTTCAAGCACATAAATCATACAAATAATTATCTCTCTGAGGTGACAGGGGCCTAGGAAGTGAACTACTTTAGGAGTAGCCTCCAGAGATCCTCAACCATGTTTATGAGCCGCACAGTCATCTCTATAAAAGACAAGCTCCAGTTGAGTAAACCATGTTAAGTACTACATTCCAAAGAAGAAAAACTGTGAATAGAAAAGTTAACATAATGCACCATTGATATGGAATAAACACTTAATGTCTAGTTTTTTTATCAATAAAGTGAGTGGGATCAGTTTTTCTTATTTATTCACTGAAGCACATTCTTATAAAAGACAAACAGCAAGCACAGCATATTTATTGCATGGTAGCTCTCTTATACAGTGTTGTTGATGTTTGTTTCATTTTTTTGCTCATCCATGTAACCTACACATGTTACAACCAGCATGCTAGGTACATGGGATATAATAAGATTGAGTCCCTTCACAAATCTTATACATTAAAAAAGAATTGAGAAAAATAAATGGAAATGAAAGTTGCTTCACATTGTGATTAATATTCTAGAGGGGTAGTATACTTGGTTTCATCGTGGAGTGCTTCCTGCATTTAAACTCAGTCCAAGGATGAGTAGGAAATTGCCAGGAAAGGTGAGTAAGGAGCCAATGTTGAAAGAGAAGAATATAAATGTGGAAGTTCAGGGAAGAGAATGATAAATTGAAGATGCCTAATAAATCCAGAGTGGCACAGATGAAGAGGACAAGGGCAGGTAGAAGAGGTAGAAAACCAAGGGGCTATAACAAATGGCATTGTATGCTAGAATAATGAGTTTGTGCTTCAGAACAAAGGAAAGTTGTTAAAATGTTGTAAAAAAAAAAAAAAAGACTGACACTATGAAAGTTGCATATTGGAAAGAACACACTGGTGGCAGTATAGAAAACAAATGGAAAGATAGGCGGGACAGGAAGACCAGAGGAAAAACAGATGAATTAGGAGGCTTTCTTGTATTTGTGGTGAACTATGATAGGGGCTCAAATCAGGCTGCTGTCAACGGGAATGAAATTATGTGAATGAATTGGAGATATAGTTTAAAGGGTAGAATTAGCAGGACTTAATAATTAATTGTTAACTCTTTTTGAATTGGGGTATGTTCTTTTGACCATTATTCTTTCTTCTCTTAGCTCTGCCTATGTTCTGGAGGGGTCATATTTAAATACTGACTCATCTGTAAATTTCAAGTCAGTAGTTCTCTTTATTGCACATTTTCAAAGTGGTTGTTATCTACTATCCACTTCCTTTTATAATTAAAAAAAGATTATCTACATCAAATATAAGGTACCAGAAATAGCCAATTGCAAACCAAAATGGGAGCAGTCCAGAGATAGGTGGCTAGTAAGAGCTAAACTAGAGGAGCACTTTCTAGTTGTTAATTTTTTCCTTCTTCCACTTAGTGAATCATTACTTGCACTGCTTTCCTTGTACTTCTCTTATTTACCCTCTAGACTGCATTAGTGAGCAATTATAGTAAGGACTGGTTGTCCACCAGAATGACTGGAATGGAGAGACTGTAAGTTTCTAAGTTGTAAAAGATATTTACTTCCCTTGGAATGGGATTGGGGCACAAGGAAGGATTGTGCCAATGGAAAGCTAGAGTTTTCCCTAAGTTTCCATACTCACTTAGAGGTATAAAATCTAGGGCCCGGGATATTGTTTCTTTCCACCTTCCCTACCAACATGTCACTGGACCAGACAGTTGATATTGTTAAGGAAATAAAAGATGGAATCACATGAAAAAAACACAAAGCTTCTGAGGGATATGAGCACTTCAATTAATTTGTTTTAAAAGAAGAGAGGAGCCAAATTAGAGGAGCCAAAATTTGTAGGAAAGGATAAAAATATTTGAACGCCTTCCAGGTGATAAAAGAGAAAACTGGATATGAAAAATATAATTGAGGAAATACGGATTTCAACAGATGAACAGTATAGCAAAATGTACGTAGAAAAAGAACAAACTATTAAGTTGGAAGATCAAATTGCTGGCCTCCTACACAATGAAATTTAAAAAGAAATAATAAGTGAAGAGTTCAGATACATCAGGATTTCTCAGAATTGGTACTATTGATATTCTAGGCCATATAATATTGTGTTGTGAGGGGCTTTCCTGTGCATTATAGGATGTTTAGCAACATCCTGGTCTTACTCACTAGATGTGAGGAGTACCCCCAAGTTGGGACAACCAAAGATGTTTTCAGACATTTACAAATGCACACTGGGGGATAAAATGTCCCGGTTGAAACTACAATATATAGATAAGTAAAAATGTATTTCTATGAGTCACAAAAAAGTAATAAATACAGGTGAGGAAATACAGGAATGGGGAACAATACTTTTCTAGAATTAAAAAATAAATGAAATATGATAAAATAGTTCATGAACAATCAAATAAGAGAGATTAAAAATAATATCTAAGTATGCTATAGATAAAATGCTAAATATTAAACCAAAATTTTAATGGTCATAATTTTCAAAAAGCAAAAGTAGGTCACCTAAAATATAGAATGAGTTAGACATCATTCATATCAACAGCAGTGGATGCAGCAAGACACTAAAGTAACATTTAAATATTGAAGAAAAAGAACTTTGAGCCAGGAATGCTTTTTTCAGCTTAAAAGAAAACAATTAAATTTGAGCTGAAAGCAGATGTATCTGGTATAAAAAGTTATAGAAAGCACAAATATCAAAAGTCTTTTTGAATAACTCTTAGAAGATATTGCCAACATAGAAAGCAGTCAATCTAGAAAACTTCAGTAAGATATGGAAACAAGGTGAATAAAGAAGTTAGTAAATTTACTTTTGTCTAAATGAACAATAGTAATGATAAAATATAGTCCTAAATGTCCAGAATAATAATTTCAAGTTTTACTAATATAGTATTTATATATTGCTTGGAAATAAGAGTATTTTGAGGAAAAGGGGTCAGACAGGGAAGTAAGTGCATATTAAAATTGTTACTTTGGGATATGATAACTTACATTTATTATAGGTTTATTGCATGCAATGCAATTTTCAAGATGTGTTACCTATATTCACCCATTCAATCCTCACTAAAACACAATAAGGTAAATAACCATTATTATTATTTAATTTAAAATGAAGTACTGAAGCGGAGACTAACTTGCCCAGGGTTAGTATTCAACCTAGCCAGTCTGGCTAAACAGCCTACCCTCTTCAGCAGTAAGCCTACAGTTGACTAGAAGATGATACTATTATTTAGGTTTAGACAATAACTGCAAAACTAAGCATACTATTTTATTTAGCTAGCAAAATTAAATTTGATAATCTAGAATATTTCATTGAAAGGAAGTCTTAAAAAGGGAAAATATGTCATAAATAAAAAGTTGAAATAAGATATGACAACATATGATAGCAATTAGAATAAATATTAGTAGGCTAATCAGAAGATAGAGACTTACAATTTTTAACTTATTAAAACAGAATCACAGGTTAACCTTACATCATCTATAATACACACATACAGTTCCAAAAGATATACAATATTTGAAAATTTAAAACATATGTTTAAAAAATATCAGAAAATATTTCAATCAAATTATATATAGGATAGACATTTTATTTCACATAAAGGGAAATTCAAGGCAACAGGAAGACCTAAAGCACAAAGATGTTTCTTATACACTGGTAAAAGAAACAATATGTCCACAGGATAAAAGCCAAAGTTCTAAAAGTAAAAACAGCCCACATGATCTGCAACTTCCTCCCTTTCATCACTGACCTCCTTTCCTACTACTCTTCCCCTTGTTCAGTTGGGTTGAGACACACCAGCTCAAATAAATGTGAAAACTTAAATAAAATATTATATTTCTGGTGGATCATTTCACTGATGAACACTAACAAACTTCTCAAGAGAGTCCATCTAATTTTCCAGAAATTTTTAAGATGAAAATTGCCTATTTTAAATTAATGATAGTAATTTAACTTTGATACCAAAACCAGATAAAGTACAAAAAAAAAAAAAAAAAACTCATGGGCTAATTTACTTTATGAACTATACTTAAAAATACTAAAAAAATAGATTAGCTTACCAAATCAACAGTATATTATTAAAATGTCATCATAATGATGTATGATTTATCCCAGAAATGCAAAGGTGACTCAACCTTTGATTATTTATAAATGTAAATATTTACATGTATCAGTCAAAGGATAGAAATCACATGATCATCTCATTTATGCAGGAGAAAAATGATTTTATGAAGTTAAAAATATTAATGATGGAAAAGAAAATCAGAAAATTGGATTAGAATTAAATTTCCATAACCCTATAAAAATACCCTAAAAATCCAAGTAAATATCATATTCAATGAATAAACTTTAGAATTTATTAAGATTAAGAATAGCATCAGGATTGTCTTCTACCACTCCTACTGTGTAGCACAGAACTGAAGTTCCTAGGTAATGCTGTAAGTCAAGAAAAACAAATGCATCATATAGGCTTGAAATTAAGAGATAAAATAACAAATATTTGTTAATGAATGATTATGATTTTTATATAGACAATTCAGGATAGTCATCTAATCTTTAGAGCTAAAAATAGGAGTTTGTTTACCATAATATAATTTTATATGAGCAATTTTCAACCAGAAAATGTAAGATATCATTTGCAATAAAAAGAGAAACTACAACAAAGCTTTTTAAAAATTCTAACATAATAAAGGCTACGACTAGCGTATATGGAATTTCAAAACTCTATCAGAAGACATAAAACTACTCCCCAAATTTAGAGAAATTCTGTGTTCACAGTTGAAGTGACTTGACATTGTGGATATCTGTTTTTCTAAATTCATTTATCTCTTAGTGCAATTCACTTCTAAACCTGTTTTAAGAGACTTCACCAACACTAACTTTTTTTTTAAGAGACTTCACAAACACTAACTTTTTTTTTCAGTTAAAGATCATCAGTTGGTAAAACAATTTTGAGATATAAGAGCAAAAATAGAGAACTGATTCTGTCAGATACTAAGGTATATTATAAAACATAGTAATTAAGATATCATTGTACTTCTGCAGTTACTATCAAATGGAGTAGCATAAGTGATGGCCTAAAAACATAATCTATGGCAAGGTGAACTGTTAGTAAATGGTGTTTGAAAATTTTCTCATTACATGGAGGAAAAAAAAAACTGACCTCATGCCATATATGAAAATTAACTTCAAATGGATAAAATACTAAAATGGGAAAGAAAAATCTACATTGACAACAAAAAAAATAGTATAAGATACTATGTTTGGAACTCTGAGACAGAAAAGCTTTCTTAAATATGACTATGTATCATAAATACTAAAAAAAAAAAAAAAAAAAAAAAAAAGGAATGGCTGGGTGCAGTGGCTCACGCCTGTAATCCCAGCACTTTGTGAGGCCAAGGCAGGCAGATCACAAGGTCAGGAGATCGAGACCATCCTGGCTAATACGGTGAAACCTGTCTCTACTAAAAATACAAAAAAAAAAAAAAATCCGGGTGTGGTGGTGTGTGCCTGTAGTCCCAGCTATTCGGGAGGCTGAGGCAGGAGAATCGCTTGAACTAGGGAGGCAGAGGTTGCAGTGAGCTGAGATCATGCCATCTTGTTCCAGTCTGGGCAGCACAGTGAGACTCTGCCTCAAAAAAAAAAAAAAAAAAAAGAAAAGAAAAAAGAAAGGAATGCATTTACTGCATCAAAATGATAGATTTTTAACCAAAGTGCATCACAGACAAAAATAAATGTATGGATAAAAGCATCAGAGAATATACTTGGAATGTCTAAATTATAGGGAATTAATGACTCTTCCACATTCTCTGGAAAATAGGGGAGATCAAATTGAAAAATATGATAAGTATAACAATCATAATAACAACAACAGATGCAGAGCTCTTACTATTTATCAGTAATATCTCTAAGTGTTTAACATCTATTTACTTATTTAATATTATTAATACAAAAATTCACAGAGGGGGAAACCAAAATGACAAGTAAGTATTTTGAAGATATATTCTAACATACTAGGAAATAAATAAATGGACAGTAAAACACTTGATTTCACTTTATAAACAGTAGTTTGGCAAAAAATGTAAAGGAAGAAAATATTAAGTTATAAATAGAGAGGCAGTTGGGACTCATGTACTTCAAGTGGGTGTATAAATTAGTGCAATCATCCTAGAAATAATCTGGCAATACTTTATGACAGTATGCATGTATGTATATCACCCAACAATTCCATTCCTACAGGCTCTTATGCACTAAAATATGAAGACAGCAGTTAAATGACACCATGTACTTGATCAGAAACAGGCTCTCAACCAAATTACTTGGCTCATTTAATGTATTTTTCTATATATTGGCTTCTAATCTTGGCTAAGTTATTTAATCTCTTGCTGTCTACATTTTAAAAAGGTAAGTGGGGATAATAATGATTTTAATAAGAATAAGAATAATGCTATTTTCTTGTTAGAGTTGTTATGGATTTTAACTACGACAACTTCTTAGATCAGATCCTAGCACATAGTAAAGTGTTCAATTTTTTAAAGGAAGTGTTTGCCATTTTTTTAAAGAAACAATACACATTTTATCATCCATGAATGGAGAGGAGATATACTAAATATATTAGAATGGGTACCTCAGAAAAACAGAGGACTATGATTGGGAACAAGGCAGGAGAAAAGAAGACAATAATAATAAGAGTTGTATTGCATGGATGGATGATGACTGTTTCATGAACTAGGATTATGATCAATTTATATTTATAATCCTTTGCGCAAAGGAAGTGCTTAAGGAATGTATATCTCTGAAGGACTACAGTGTTGAGTAACTGCAGAGACTGTTAATGTTTTTTAAATGTGTTCATGTAACTATTGTTTAAGATCAAATAACTAGATCAGCATGAGGAATTATTTAAAAGAGACAGAGAGAATATGAGAAGAAGAAATGCTGTTGCAGGTGTTTGATTTATTTAATTTCTTTCTTTTTTTTCACCTTTTCTCAAGGACTTGGATCTAGACAGCATCTAAGGCTGGAATTTAAAAAGTAAAGGAAAAGAGGAGAGATGAAAAATGAAAAAGTAAGTGAAGGGGACAAAGAGAGGACACAAGAAACAATTGTAAAGTTACTTTTTTCAGATAAAATAAAACGTCAAAGAAAAAGCTCCAAGAAAATCAAAGCCTTTTTAGTGATGAATAAACTAGTAGGCAAACAATGAAATGCCAATGCATATTAAAAAGTAAAGACAGAACCACAAAGGAGAGATAACTATTATAATTGTGTTCTGATTGAATGCTCATAAGGAAATAGAATCATTTTCCCCTCACATACAATAATGTTGAGAATCTTCAAGCATTTTAAATTCATACATTAAAATTTTAACACATCTGGTCACATGCACGTATACATCTCTTAGATCTAAAGGTATTTTTCCACTATTTAAGGAAAGAATCATAAGGTAGGATAGGAATAATTCCAAAACCTTTCAATAATGAGATGATGCACTGGTTTCAATAAAAAAGAAATTTTAGGCCGGGTGCAGTGGGTCTTGCCTGTTAACCCAGTATTTTGGGAGGCCGAGGTGGGCAGATTACTTGATGTCAGGGGTTCGAGACCAGCCTGGCCAACATGGCGAAACCACATCTCTACCAAAAATAGAAAAATTAGCCAGACGTGGTGGCATGCGCCTGTAATCCCAGCTGCTCGGGAGGCTGAGGCATGAGAATCACTTGAACCCGGGAGGCAGAGGTTGCAATGAGCCAAGATGGCACCACGGCACTCCAGCCTGGAAAACAGAGCGAGGCTCCATTAAAAAATATAAATAAATAAATAAATAATAAATTTTAGAATTCAATAACCTAGACACTAAAACTCTGAGACAAGAATTAGGGTACATGGATCTGTGAATCCCCAGCCCTAGCACAATGCATAGAATATAGTATGTGTTTGGTAAACGTTTGTTATACTTTGATAGCAATTCGTTATTTAAATAAAGGTTTTGGTGAATAGTGGAATTATGCCCACCTCTTTCCCTGGTAAGAACCATCATACTCTTAGTTCCTTCCCCCAGTTTCTTTGCTGCTTTCACCTCTCTTCTTCTGGTTTATAAAATAATTAATATGTGGGGGCAGAATAAGCAATATCTCTTGAGTCAGTCAAAGTGATAAATGCGAGGTTTCCTGAGGATCAAATAAGAGAAGGCATGTAAAACCCTTGGTGTCCTGTTTGACATAGAGAAAACTCTGTAATTGGCAGTGAGTTTTTTTATTCCTTTTTACACATCACACCTGAAGGGCAGGAAGACTTAAAGCACATGTAATAAAGGTCTATAACCACAGCAGTGTTTGTGAAAGTGAAAATCATTGCCACATTCATAACCTTTTGTGTAAAAAATCAGACACTCTATTTCCCAAGTCAAGGAGATTAATGCAGTATAAACAAACAACATCATGAAAGTGTAAAAATATATATTTAAAAAAAATCTACCAGCTCTTTTGTAACACTATTATCAGAACAGCATTAAAGATGATCTCACTGTTAATCTTTACAGAATTTGAAACTCTTTTCTATATGAGGTCCCAGCTGTTTGTGAACTCTGATTTACTAAGATTTACTACATTTAATGAGAGTACAAAAGCGGGTTTTCAACTACCAGGATATATTTGAGGCCAAGAGAAGAAAATAAAAGCCACTGAGCATGTGAAGCAATAATTTCGATGATACTTTCCAATTTCGAATGATGCATAAACTTCCATTACAATGAGAAATTTGCTGTTTGCTTTGAGAAGTCTTGTCACTACTCTTGAAGAAAAGGGAGAAAGAAAATTAGCATTTATATCTTTCCTCCTTTGTGGTAAACTGTATTCTAGGCACTTCACATATATTAATTAACTCAGTTAATCCTCACATAATCCTTAGGGAATGGCTGTTATCTGCGTTTTACAAACACCCCAGGGAGAATTGGTAACTTGTCTAATGTTATACGGCTAATATGTGCAAGACAACGGTTAGAACACAGGCTAATTTGACTCTAAGACCTGTGCTTTTTAAATGTCAGTTATCTTCTGTTTATATCTGTATTGCAGATTATAATTAATGTGTTAACATACATTCACTGTAGAACCAGCGGTTTTTTTTTTCCCTGTTGTTGTTACTTGTGGAATCTACATATGAGGGTTGTGACCTAACTTGTTTCCTGGGAAGCATCATAACATTCTATCATAATATGATGCAGGAGTAGATAATAAAACCTGCCATGTCTATTTCTTGTGGAGAGGGCAAGTGTTTAATAAAAAGCCTTCAGCATAAATAATGAGAGGTTCCAGAGTGATTTCTAGCAGAGCCTTTTGTTTGTCAACATTTGAACATTATTCTCCAAAATAATGGCTCAGGTTTGAGAGGTAGTATTGACAATTTCACTTGTATACCAGAACATGCACAGTGGTAGAAGATAATTATGCTAGAAATAAACAATATTTTTTTTTTTTATTGAGGGCAGTATGAAAGTAGAGGACTCATCCTCAACAAACTTTTGATACAATCCAGACTATTGGATCAACGTTTTTGATTGGAACTTGGAAAAGTTAAATATAATTAAACTCAACCTGAGAGTCAATTATTCTCCCACAGTTGACCTATATGCAACGTAGCATCAATATTATCTGCATAATTTGTAAATTTAAATTTATATGATCAATCTTTTGCTTTTAATTTATTGTTGTATAGATTAAATATTTTGCAATCTTGTTTACTTGGGACCAATTTTCTCATTTGATTTCAGTTCTTAAATGACTAAAATATAAAGTAAGAAAAAAGCATTTTATCACATTAATGCAACACTTGCAATTTGATTTAACAATATGATAGATGAAAGCATGAGGCTATTATAACACAATGCATTTATCATCTTTACGAATCCTCCCCTAAACAGAATTAACACTGAACCATTTCCAGTGAGGTTTCTAAAATGACTAGCCTTGCCAAGATAGGTTTTTGGCTCATAAATAACATAGTAGAAAAAAATAAAATCACTGAATGCTATAAAAATGCAGTATCGGGAATTACTAAAGTGTGAAACATTAAGTACACTACTCAAAATGGCATTCTCAAATGTATAAATTATTTATCTGTATGACAGAGCCTAGACTACTGTCACAAGATACAGAAAACTGAGTTTTCAGATTATTTTAACATCTGGGGAAGACTACTGAAAAACAAAAAAAACTCTAAGATACTAGCATCCATATTAAATAACTCCACAATTAGGAAACCTATTGACTTCATGTTGTTGATATATTTAGAAACCCCCATGATTAATGTTCTTGAGAGCAGTAACAGTCCTATTACTCACTCATCATACCAGGAGAGAAAAGGAATTTTGCTTTAATATTTACAGAGCATAACAGGAGAGAAAAGGTATTTTGCTTTTTAAGAAATCAACATAAGAAAAATTCTAACATGTTTTATTCAATTTATACAACTTTCTTCTTGCTAATAATCCATAAATGCTCTTTTAAAAACTTCTTAATTTGATTGCCTGATTTTTTATATCTTTCATGGTTAAAATGCTGTGTTTTTTTTAACCTTTCTGTCTCTTACAGCATGCAACACAGCATCGTGTGTGAAATAGGATGAATAGATGAATCAGCTCTCTCACCCTTTTTAAAACTAGAATATAGCACAGCATTTGACTTACATGCAGTTTACCAAAAACTGAGAGGTAGCCAATATCATCTACATTGCCTAGATATATTTAGGATCCTGACTTTTATTATATTAGGAGCTTCCAAATTATCATCATTTAGGCATTTGCACAAAGACCTCTCAACAAAAATTTACTTTACAGTTTGCTGGAGTTTAGTGATTCTTTCTTTGGAATCCCAACTGGTCCCATCTATTTACTGAGAGCTTTGAACTTGGCCTTTCGAATTCCTTCCAGTTCTAACTTGCAGTGAGTATCTGTAAGGTTACTAACACCATATTTCTAAAATAAAGACAGTAGGTACATCGCTCTCCAATACTGAAACTTTTCTCCCTTCAGCCGTGAAGGAAAATCTGCCCTGGGGGGCGGAACCAGGTGCAACGGAGGTTTTCTGCTTTAGAAAGATGCTCCTCTGCTTTCATGGGTTATTCTGCCACATCTGTAGAAATAACTATTTGTAGCTGACCCCAGGACTTCATCACCTCTCACTAGAATTGTGGCAAAGGTCCCCCACCTGGTCTAACCTAGCTCTCCTATTCATACTTTACAATCTGGCTAGAATTATCTTTCCTAAATGTAGTTTGGAGTTTGGTCACTTTATTCCACTTGTCAAAAATTGGCAGTTTTCAGTTTTCTCTTTGTTTATGGAATCCATATTAAATTATTTAGTTTGACATTGAGAAGTCTCTACAATTGAGGTCCAATGCATCTTTCTGGCAACACTTTAATACACCATTTCTTCTCATGTTTTAATATCTCTGCTAACATTATTTAACATTATTTCGAAAACCCATGGTATTTCATGCTAAAGTCATTTCATTTATGCGGTTTGTCCCAATGAGTAATGCTATTCACCCTTTTCCTGCCAATTCTACTTATTTTCATTCATTTTATGGATATGCATTCAGTAAGTCAAATATCCTAGATGACACTGTAATTGATTAATTGGAAATTAGTATTAAAGTATAACTCATGAAAGCATGGTAATGGCATGCCTTAATACTCTGTTTAATCTTAAATAATATATAAATTATTAGGAGTGAGAAATTACTTGTAAAGTAATCTGAATGAAAATTCCTTCATCAGTTTTTGAATTCCACTTGAATCCTTTATAGTTGTCTTTCCTAGACTTAATTTATAACATCTTAGAAACTTGTTAACTTTTTTTGACTTTCCAAATCATTCAACTTAGTCTTCTTGGAAATAACTAGCTTTTTCAATATTTTTTTTTCATTTTGTATAACACTTAGATAAATAGTATCTTTTTTTTTTTTACAAATAAAACTGTCATTCTCAACTCTAGGAATGGCAAGATATTTTGGAAAGCATGTATCTCAATAGGCACTAGTAGAAGTCATGGGTGTGCATGAGCATTCACATGTCATTGGCACTGCATGGTAGGTTTTATTTAGAGAATGAAGACATAAGATTCACCAGAAGCAAATAGGTTGATTAATTTGTATACTACAATGTACCAGGTACTGTGACTACAAAAGACACTATGAGTACAACAATTGTATCAGTTATTTATGAGGCAAAACTAACAACCCCACAACTTGGAGCTTAACACAATAATTGTATGATTCTGGGGGTTGGGAATTTAACTGGCTTTGCCTGGGGTCACTCAGTCTGCTGTAACCATTTGAAGGCTCAACTGTGGCTAGGTAGTCTTACATGTAGGGTATTCCAGTTTCCATTACTTTTTTTTTTTCTGTCCTGACTGAGAAATAGAAAGTGTCTTCGCCAACTCTCTTACCTGTCCAGGCAGCACATCTGATGTCCATTGTGAGGATGTGCTGCAGCCTCCCTCTGTATGTAAGTTCTATGAATAAATGCTTTGGACTGGTCGCCCTGGAGTTTAGTGCTTCTTTCTTTGGAATCCTAACTGGTCCCATCTAGGAAAGGTCTGGGGAATTTCACTGTGGGAATTGCCCTGCTGCCACTTTTAGGGTGACTCCAGCTGCTGGCTGCAGGAGGAAACATGTTCTCATAAACATATGTGGAGTTGGTGCTGGCTGAGTTCCATACGCATGGGTCTTTCATCCTCAAGGAAGCTAGCCCAGAATTCCTTACACGGGGCTATCAGAGTAGAAAGAGTTGGGATTAAATGTGATAACACCACTAAAGGCCCAACCTTATCATCTCTGCTGCATTTTATAAGTTAAATTAAGTCACAAATCCAGCTCAGATTCAATGGGATGGAGAATATATTCCACCCTTGGAAGAGAGCTATTATAATATCACTTTTAAAAGGAAGTGTGCATGCGAGGAATTTGTAGCATGTTTTGCAATGTTCCACAACATGCAGCAGGACAAACAGGAATCCTGCCCTCACAGAAAGCAGTAATGAAGAAAGGCAAGCAAAGAAACAACGGCTGTAAAAAAAAATATTTTAAAAGGGCAATTACAAGGCACTATAAGAAAATACAGAAGTATATCACTAAATTTTCTGAGAAATCAAAACATTCTTTCTAGAAAAATCATATATAAACCAAGACTCAAAGAAGGAGTAGGAGTTAGTTTGGCAAGGAATGAGGGAATGGGAGAGAGAGTTTTCTGAATTAAAGGTACAGCAGGGTATGCATAAAGGCCTGGAAACAAAACAGAGCACGGAAGAGAAAGCAAGAGGATGTTCACTGCAAGGAGGATCAGAAAATGGAGGTAAGAGATAAAAAGAGGACACCAGAATCCAAAGACCAACGACATTCTGTTAAAGAGTTGAGCTCTGAGAATTAGGAGAAGCTGCCAACAGATTAGAAAAGTCAAAGTGGGGCCAGGCGCGGTGGGTCACGCCCGTAATCCCAGCATTTTGGGAGGCTGAGGGGGGTGGATCACCTGAGGTCAGGAGTTCGAGATCAGCCTGACCAATATGGTGAAACCTCGTCTCTACTAAAAATACAAAAATTAGCAGGGTGTGGTGCAGTGGTCCTGAATCCCAGCTACTTGGGTGGCTGAGACAGGACAATTGCTTGAACCAGGAGGTGGAGGTTGCAGTGAATTGAGATCCAAGATCATGCAATCATGACACTGCACTCCAGCACTGCAGCCTGGGCGTCAGAGACTCTATCTCCAGAAAAAAAAAAAAAAAAAAAAAAAAAAAAAAAAAACAAAAAGTCAAAGTGGGCCAGGCGCTGTGGCTTATGCCTGTAATCCCAGTACTTTGTGAGGCCGAGGCAGGTGGATCACCTGAGGTCAGGAGTTCAAGACTAGCCTGGCCAACATGGCGAAACCCCATCTCTACTAAAAATACAAAAACTACCCATGTGTGATGGTGGGCGCCTGTAATTCCAACTGCTCGGGAGGCTGAGGCAGGATAATTGCTTGAACCTGGAAGGCAGAAAGTACAGTAAGCCAAGATCATGCCATTGCACTCCAGCCTGGGCAACAAGAGCAAAACTCTGTCTCAAAAAAAAAAAAAAAAAAAAAAAAAGTCAAAGTGGTGTTCAGATCAGCATTTTAGAAAAACAACTCAAGATGCAGTTGTACAACGTGAGGTTTATGAGTCTAGCAACAAAATAAGTAGGCTGCTGAAGTAATACACAGGGTATGGGGTTTACCTGTGGCCAGCAGCCTCTCTAAGTAAATGTGAATCTAACTAAGGCACCAGTTAACTATTGTTACTGGGAATAAGAAAAAGCAATAAAATAGTATGATATCCCTTTATTTAGTCAATGTAAGACAAGTTGCCAGAGGAGATTGGACCACTTCACTAATAATTGGCCTCTCAACTTTTTGGATGCCAGTAATTACAAAATAAATAAATAAATAAATAAAAATCAGGACTCAAGACTGTTAATAACATCAGGCTGAAAATTTATGTGACACTTTTTCATAAGATATGCTCATTTGAATAAGAAAGAAATGATGTTTTACTCATTTGGAGAATTAACACAAAAAGTTAGGGGTAAATTAAAATATAATTTTTACCTCTGAGAAATATATTAATATCAGTGAATCAATTTCCTTAAAAACAAAAAATATATATTCTATTTTATTTTTCTTTCTTATAAAACCAATTTATAAAACTAATACAAATGACAGACATTGCTTTAAGTATTAATTACTGCTACAGCTACTACTAATAATATAGAAATTAAAGGGTTCCTGGAGAGGCTAATGCTATTTTATGCATTTACAAATTGAAAGAAGGAATTGTAAGGGTAATTGAGCTCAGGAGAAGGGAAAAAATGCCTGCAATTTCCAGTCTTCTATATATTCCTGCAACACATTCCAAACTTTAGTTTTCTAAAAATGGAAAACCATCCCACACACAAACTAAGTTTTTAGATATCCCTATACTTTGTTTGTATTGCTCTCTTTCCCCCAAATGTCCATCAAAATATACTTGATCAGAGGGTTGCTTAGTGACCCTCTCGTTCCACTTCCTCTGATAATCTTTCTATGATTTCCCCAGGCTCTCAGTGACTTCCTCAGTGTTCTCATAGTATTTTTTAAATGTACAATTGCAGTAGCAGTAGTAGGAAGCATTTATGACATTGTTCTTAGCTATTTGCTTATTTTTCTTTTCTTCTCTATATGACTTCGTCAAAACTACTTAGATGTTTTCTTTTCATTAGTTTCTAGTAGAAATATCAAAGTATAAGTTCCCAAGACTCACTGAACGGTGTGTCTGCAAAGCTGATGATGGTGGTTAGCAAATCACAGGTACTGGTTGAATTATTAGAAATTGTTTTGTTGGTAATCAAATGAATACTTGAAGAAAGATGGATGAAACAACTAAGAGTAGGACCTTAGCCAAGGCCTGTGATACATATTTTATCATAACTGAACCTTTTGTGAATTCCAGAAGAAACTTTGTGAAAAGTATCAAGAGTAATGACCCTTAGGTTGAATGAGCTGCTGCCATTTTTGTTTTTAAATAGGCAGATACCTACAGCACTGTGAAAGGAAGTGAAGATTTTTGGAGTGTCACTGAATAAACGGAGCTCACTTAATTGCCTGAGATGTTATGTAAAAACTCTGTAGTTGTTTCATATGGCTGCTGTAAGAAAATTGCCACACACTTGGTAGCTTAATACAACAGAAATTTATTCTTTCACAGTTCTGGAGGCCAGAACCCAAATGAGTATCACTGGGTAGAAGTCAAAGTATTGGCAAGGTCACGATCCAGGAAAAAAAAAAAAAAAAAAAAAAAAAGCTGTTACATTTTATCACTACATTCCTTCCTTTAAAAAATCTTATAGACACAGACCAACAACTTAGTGGTTTCAATAGGAGGACAGTGATGGTACTTAGATCAAAATGTTTTCTGCACTATTCAAATGACTGTGCTCTCAAATTGGGTAAGATTTACATAGGAAGACCAGAGACATTGAACCTGGTCTTTTATATCCCTCACTAGCTTCCAAATCCTAACCTTGCTCTCAGATTATGAAAACACATGCTTGGAAAGGAATAGCTCAACTAGAGAGAGATAACCACTTTCTATGGATCTCAGTAGACAAAAATAAGCTTAGCCTGAAACCAATGTTAATGAGGATTTCAGAATCACAAGAGCAAAACGGTACAATAGGGACGTGTGAGTCTACACTTATGATTCTAAGAAGGATAACAGCCTAAAGCTTCCTAAGCAGGGAGACATCTACCTTATTTCCCAAGAGCTCTATGAATTGAGTTCCAAAATCATCATGAAAATCCTTTTCTAGTATTTAAGTATTTTCCCTTTTCCTTGTATAAAATCCAAATTTCCCTTATTACAGTATAGGCCAATTTTGTTTCTTCTTCAGCAGGTATGTTCAGCCAAAAATAGCTTTGTCAATTTCCAGATTTTTCAATTTCCCATTCCCTCCTTTATCAACCCCCTTCCCCGTTAAATGATCTCTGGTCTTTAGAGACTCTATTATTGTCATTTTATCTTTTTTTTTCCTTTTTAAACTTTTATGTAGTTTATGTAAGGTTTTACATAAGTTACATTTCCAGGTTCTTTTCCTGAAAATTTTTACTTTATTTATGACTTTTTAAACTTGACCTGGGGAAAAAAATTCTACTCAGACATCCCACCTAGACTGTGTTTAAAACCTAAAGCCTCTGTGTGCGGTTGGGCTGGGATGAAGGAGATAGAGTAGGATCTAGTAAAGAAGTACAGACTTGCAGATTACCCATGAGAGGTCGAGAGTTAAATAAAGTACTAGCATGGGAACAGAGTAATTGTCAAAAGGCAAACAAATGTAAAAGCGGGGGTGGGAGGGAACCAACACCTTTGAGTATTGGCAGTATTTTGTGAACGGATACAGGAATGAGGGTTGTTCCCAGTTTTAAAATGTCAAGATACAGTGTTTCTGAATGCATTCAAAAAGATTCTTTTCAGGATGCCAATAACCTGTTACAGAATTTCTTTGTAAGATTCTATTAGCACTTCTTCTTGTAGCAAAGGTTCTCCTATTTTGGGTAACACGTATGGTATCTGGAAAGAGTTTTAGGAAAGCAATTGAATATTTCAGATACAAAAAGTAATATATCTTTAAACTACTTTAAATAATAAATAACTTGGCACTCATATGGGCACTGACGAAGAAAAAATGCAAAATTTTAAAAATTAAATTAAGGAAACATAGAATCACATGCTTTGTTAGATGCTCCGAAACACGTTCCATTATAACTGTTAAAGTGATCAACTATTGCTGTGCTCAAAGTTAGAACAAAGAACAATAAACTGAAAATTCTCCCGTTCACCTATTTATGTTCACCTCTTTCTCCAAAGTACTTCTAAAATAAATGATAACACCCAAATACGTACTCAGTATTCAAAGCAACGTTCAGCCAAAATACAATTTTGGAGGAATAAAATCAGTCACCAATGTAATTTTTCAATACTTAGCTTATCATTGATGCCTCTTCCCATCGTGCTTCTCACTTTATCCTCTTTATTCTGGACTGTCCCTTATCAGAATTTACCCTAGTTACTCTCATTTTAGAAAATATCAAATACATTAATCCACAGGAAGCAAATTAACTACCATTTGCTGAGCATCATATAGCTATTCATATATATATATATATATATATATATATAGAGAGAGAGAGAGAGAGAGAGAGAGAGAGAGAGAGAGAGAGAGAGAGAGAGAGCTATTCACATTCATATTTTGTAATTGGCAGAATGGCTGTTAGAGATTATATAATTATAAAGTGAGAATTGTTTATTGATCAGGAATCTGAGGTTGAAAGATGTTAAATTCTTTGCAAGATCATACAACCGTTATATGTTTGAATTACTCCTATTCTGGTTCAGTCTGTTAACACATGAACCTACCTCATACCCACTTCAGCCATATCACATATGCTAATAGAAGCACTATAAATTATTTCTCCTATGTAAAACTAAATCTAAAAATACTTCCCACACAATTACATACATTGGTTACAATGTTCAAAGAACGTGAACATTAAAGAGAATATGAAAATATTTTTCTATATCTTAATAATTTTTCTAGTTCCATTGATTACAACAGCTGACATTTATTAAAGGCTTACAGTATTTCAAACACTCTTCTATACTTTTTAAGGATCATTTCCTTTCACAGCCACAACTCTAATGAGATGTTATATTAGTTAGACTTAAGTTTGGCAGTGACTGACAGAAGAAAAAAATAACAAGGATTTTCATTTAATTTTTTTTTTTTTTTTTGAGACAGAGTCTTGTTCAGGCTGGAGTTCAGTGGTATGGTCCCGGCTCACTGTAACCTCTGCCTCCTGGGTTCAAGCAATTCTCCTGCCTCAGCCTTCCAAGTAGCTGGCACTACAGGCACCCGTGACCATACCCGGCTATTTTTTTTTTTTTTTTTTTTTTTGTATTTTTAGTAGAGACAGGGTTTCACTATGTTGGCCAGGCTGGTCTTGACCTTTCAACAAGCATTTGTAACAGGATGAATAAAAACGGAAGGGAATATTGTACAATGCCAGGCATGAGCCTTAACATCTCTATGTCTCACTTTCCTCATTTGGAAAAGGAAGGTAATGATTGAGCCTACATATTTAGAGACTGCAGTTAGTTTTTCTCAAAATCCTTTGCCCTCTTCTGTTTTGTTAGAGACCCCAATTTTAGATGGTTAAATGGCCTTTCATAATCAAGATTGCATTTCCTAGCCTGTTTGCTGTTACCTGTCCATGTGACTGTTTTCTGGCCAATGAGATGTGAGAAATATCATGTACCAGTTTCTGGGAGCCAAGGTCTTTCACATCAGACTATTCTCAGACCACCTACCCAGATATTTACTTAAAAGGGAAATAGGCCAGACGCCGTGGCTCACGCCTGTGATCCCAGGTCAACTTTAGTATAAGGTATAATTTATCCCTCTGTCATCCAACCATCTATTTCTTACCTGCACCAAAAATAATTCAAGGTTATTTGCAAAGATAGATATGGTACCAAATAAGATAAAAAAATAAATAAAGCAGTAAAGAAGCCATGGGGAAGGGTGGAGGAGATGAAGCCTGAAATAATTTAATTATCAAATTAAGCTAGATTCCATACAAGATTCTAGTCACAAATAAAAAGAGACAAACTTGATGTATCTACCAACACGGATGAATTACAAAACACTATGTTAAGTAAAAGTAGCCAGACATGAAAAAACTATAACTTGTATGATTCCATTTGTACTACTTTGTTGAAAAGGCAAATCAGTGATAAAAATGAAATCAGTGGTTTCCAAGGACTGGACTGGAAGTGGAGGAGGGGGATTGACTATAGAAAGGCAAGAAAGAACTCTACGGGGGATGAAAATATTTCATAACTAGATTGTGGTAGTTCTTTCTATACACTTATAGAAATATGAGACTATATACACTTATCAAAAATCATTGAACTTTAATGCATGGACTTTATTGTACATAAATAATGGTTTAATAATATGACATAAAGTACAATATCTTGCTACACTGTTTAGCTGAGGATCACCATTTCTCTCTGAGTTTTGTAAACCCAGTGTAAAGATTGACATACAATCAGTTACAAGATCTTTGATGTCACTAATAAGAGGACCTCACTCATAACATTTTCACTTGAATAATAAATTTGTCAATATATGTAAAGTGCTTTGAAAACATCTGGCACAAATTAAGTGCCAGAAGTATTAGTTCCCACTACCATGACTCTTAAATTACATTCTTAGGTCACCTGAACATCCGTCGAAAGACAAAATGTTATGTAACACCCCTCTGCATAGACTCTGGGTACTCTTTTAATGCCTTATCATTTCCTATAAGAAAAGACAGCAAATGCTAATTCATTATAGTAAGGTGACAAATTAGTATTAAAATTGTACTATATTTAAAGGAATTGCCTTCAAGGGAAAATTCATATGAAAAAAGTGAGAATAATTCAACCCTACAGTCTGAATATAATACATCATGGTAGGCATAGTTACCTCAGGGTTAAAATATACATAAAACAAACAAACATAGTGCAGTGGACTGAATGTTTGCATACCCCCAGAATTTACATGTCAGCATCCTAACCTGTAAAGTGATAGTGTTCAGAAGTGGGGCTCTTAGGAAGTGATTAGGCCACATGGGCACCTCCACTATGAATAGGACTAGTGTTTTTATAAATGAAAAGCATTTTCACTTGCCCTTCTGCTAAGTGAGGTTACAGTGAAGAAGATGGTCCTCTATGAACAAAGAAGATGGCCCTCATCGGAACCTGACCATGCTGGCACGCTGATCTCAGATTTTCAGGCCCCAGAACTCTGAGAAATAAATTTCTGTTCTTTATAAGCCCCCTAGTTTATGCTGTTTTGTTATAGGCACCTTAATGAACTAAGATGCACAGGAGTAGAAATAAAACTGTGTCGTGTTGCCAAACAGTCAAGAGTTTGAAGTTGAAAGACTGCCACTCTGCACCCCCACCCCACCACTCCCTTTTGGCTCTAGCCTGACCTTTCCTCTTTTGATGCATTCTGTTTATGATAACTTACTTTTACTTTGGATAAGACAGAGAATCTAATTATAAATTTAGTCAATGAGAAAACTGGGTAGGAATTAAACTGAGTTTAAAATATGACAGCAGCCATGTATACCGAGGATGTGAATGGATTCCAACAGAATAGAAATGTGAGATCATTCCCTTTAATAGAATTGCTTTCCTTTCTCTTACAAGACATTAAAAACTTTGCTTGGACAATGCAACAGGAGGCATTACTCCCTATATAATTTTATCATATTTTTCCTCTTAGCAAATTCATGCTTTACTTATTACAGGGAACTATATCTCTGTAAGAAATAAGAGGTACGTTTTGACTGTCTTTACATTGAACAAATCAGCCCTTTGAAAGGGTCAGTGGTCTTATATAACACAGTTAGGCACAGAGAGATACAAGAATCAAAGAATGTATTTCACCAGTAGGTAGTGTTAGAAGCTTCAGGAAAAGCAGAGTCCTGAATGCTGATAGGGGAAGGCTGAGATATGCAGTTTATAGAGAAGAATTTTTATTCAGAGTCCTGGTAGGCCATGGGAGGGATGGGTCTGTAAGGCAGTTATAGAGGAGAAAGAGAACAGAGAAGTAAGTAGAGCAAGAACAAGCACTCAGATCTGTAAGCAAAGACCCAAAAATAGCTTTCAGATAAGGTTGATGGCATCTCAGAATGTTAATGAAATATAACTTAATACTTCTATGAAGTATAAGCCATGCTTCCTACTTGAAAATTTTTTTAAACATTGAAATTATTTTCAACCTAGAGATAATTTAATCTTTTAAAATTGTTTCTTCTATTCATATAGTTTTTAAAAGCTTCTCTATTAAATAGAAGAATAAATCTTTCTTCTAATACATATCTAACACTAAAATTAGTACTTTCATATTGTATATATAATGATACCCATTGTTTTCCTTAAAAAGAGAAATAGTTGGAAGGATGAACCTCATGCAAATTAAAGCTATAAGAAGAACTAACAACAAGAATGAATCTCACAGAAATGCATCACTATATAGTTGAGGGGAAAGAATAGGTACAGTATGATAATTTCTAGTGTAGCAACACTGACAGGTCAGAGTATATGCTGTGAAAAACAGGAGTAGTGGTCAGGCATGAATGATAGTGCCTGAAAGGAAGATGGAGTTAGGCAGCATCTTACAACCATTGGCCAAGTATGAGCAGCAGTAACAAATGGAGTACAGTAATAGAAGCTGAAAGTTGTAATGATTGCCTGAAGAGGCGGGTCAAAAAAAGATTCACAGGACATTTGATGCCTGAAGGCATTAGCATTATGGGCATAATTGGAAAAAATGAGAAGCAGGATCCATTACAGGACTGTTAGAGGCAAGGACAAAGGTAACATTGAAAGGATAAAATGAAATTTCATTTTTACTGATGGTGGTTAATCAAAACCTTGGAAGCAGATAAACAACTGAAAAGGTTTACTTAATATCATACCTATTCTGCAGCAGATTAATAAGCCTTTTTAGTTCTCCAAGATAGAAAAATGAATCCATTATTCCCAGTGATAATTTATTTTATCATATGTTTCTTTACAAAATTGGCTTAAATATTACCGTTGTAAATGTATGAGATGAGATTTATATTTAATTGCTCATTGTATACAAGTTGACAATAAAAAGACACATGTTAAAGAGGCTTAGGGGTCACTTTTTTCAGAATTGTCCTTTTAAACTTTGAATGGTTCAAATTTTGCTAAGTGATGTTCACAGAGTTATGAGAAGACAATCCCTTATGTTGGCATAAGATACCTACACAGAATTTTCTTTTTCCTAATTCTTTCCAAATTCTTTTTTTTTTTCTTCAGGCTTTCAAATCCTCTTTCATGGTATAGAAGAGAGATCACATTCTGGCACTTCTTAGGAGTGGATGCAGTACTCACAATATGCTCTATTCGAACTGATTCTTATTTATTTTATAATGTATATTTCCTCGTATATTTGTTAAAAAACAATATATGGTCTAAGGCATTCTATTTCTTACCGTAATTACTTAGTGTATAGTTAGTTCTTTCTAATATATGACAATTCTCACTGAGAAATCAGATTTTGACTATTCGTACTCCTACAAATGACCTACGTATAATGATAGGAGAAACTTGTCCACAATCAGTATTAACAGATCAATGTTTATGGGAAGTTTGACAGTACTCACATGATACCTGCCCACCTCTGTTCTTTATTCTGTCGTGAAAACTTTAGGCATCAGGCACTCTTGCTTTATCTTCTAATCAAAACAGAGACCAGGAATTAGAAACAGTGAGAACCCCCTGTGTTTCAAGAAATGGGTGAGGGCTCTGTACAGGTCATCTTATATATTTCTCTTAATCACCTAGGAAGTTAAATATTATATTATTCTCATTTCTCAGATGTGGATAATATAATATTTATTACTTAAGAATAGATACCACATAGCTTCCCTTAAGACACAAAACCAGGAAGGAGCAAATCTGAATTTCCAACCCACCCAAGTCTGATTCCAAAGCCCGGATCCACCAGATCATTTTGCACATTGGTTCATGTTTTTGATCTCCTATCTTTCCAACAAAACTATAAACATTGATATCATTAAAGTAAAAAGATGGAGGCAATACCAACATAACTACCACTTAACACAAGTACATGGGCACTCGCGCGCACACACGCACACACACACACACACACACACATCCTTCATACTGAGGAAATAACAAATATATTTCAAAGATTATTTTAAGTTAGAATTAAAATACAATTATTTATCCTAGCATACTAAGGTTTTTTACTGTTTTTCTTCTATACAGATGTGTAAAAATTTTATATCATGTAATATTAGTGATCAACACATTTTGTGACGTGCAATATGTACTTCTGAACCCTTGAAAGACTCATGCTTTCTTTTACCTCCCTCTTGTTTCAGTAATTCACCTCTTTGACATAATGCTAATTAACAAAGAGACCAAGAAAAATTGTCTTTCTAAGTATCTATCCATCTATTTTTTAAATCTGTTTCCCATAGACTGATAAGCTGACTGGTATAACATATAGATCAGTGGTTTTCAACTGGGAAATTTTTTTCCACCCAGGGCAAATTTGGTAATATGTGCAGACTTTTTTTATTGTCACAACTATGGAGGAGAGAAGGAAGATGCTATTGACAGTTAATAGAGGCCAGGAATGCTGCTAAACATTAAACAAGGCATAAGACAGTCCCCAAGAAGAAAGAATTATCTAGGCCAAAATATTAATAGTGCAGTTGAAAAACGAAATGCTAGATGTTTACATCATTTAAGAAAGAGAAGACCATATGACTGACTACCTTTCATGGCTATCCAGTTACATTACAACAAAGGAAACACATTAACAGAGTTTCTCAAGGAGGCAAATAAACAGAATCACAAAGACATATTCTCAAGGGGAGTTATTGCAGAAAGGACTTAGAAGTAAACAGTTACAATCATGCAGAGGAAGGGGATGAAAAACATTTGCAGAATGTTATAGCTAAGATGCTACTTATTTGTTCAATTTATTGGTAGAATTTTACCTGAGGAAAAATATAAACATAAATTGATGTCAATTGAAAGCATCTAGCATATTTGCAAAGGATGGTTGTAAAATACTAAGAAGAACCAGGAAACTAAGTAAACTTCCTTTTTAATTTTTGGTAAATAAAAACAAGTTTGCATTTATTAATCATGAGTCATTGGCACCTAGAAATAAAAGACACAGCTTATATACTCACACAGCTAACTGGATAGAGAGGGAGAAATCACAATTATTCTAAAGCATAATGAATAATTATATCCAATGATCATAGCCTTGGAGTTACAAAATGTTTGGAGTTATAAAAATGGTACGGAAAATGGCACATCTGACTCTTGCTTGGAAAAGACAGTGCAATGGTGAAAGAAAACAATACATACTCCAATGCTTCTGTGAAGGAAACCATTTCAACATGGAACATTTTGAATGAACATAGTATAAAAAGCCATAAAGGTGTGAAACATTGATTTAGAAAATCTGATAAGATAAAGTCACTTAAAAGAAATATGTACAAATGTGTTAGTTATGGCATTAGTTATAATGATAAAAAGGTGGTTTTCAAAATTTGAAAAAAATCTATCCAAATGTAAATTGGCATACTTAAAGTCCTTCAACATTGGCAAATGTTTAAAGCATAGATCTTGCTAGATGAATAAAACAAGTTACAAATGATTTTATAATATAATGTCATTTTAGGATAAAGTGTAATGTGCTATGTATGCATAGGAGTATATTTAATTGTCATCTTTTTAAAGGCTGAATAATATTCCATTAAATAAGTGTGCATATATATGTGTGTGTGTGCATGTGTGTGTGTATATGAATTTTCTTTATCTGTTTTATTTCTTGATAGACAATTATTTTGCTTCCATATCTTAGGTATTGTGAATAATGCAAGGTGCTGGATATGTTAATTAGCTTGATTGAATCATTCAACAAAGCAAACATATATGTAAGCATCACATTGTATCCCATGAATGTATGCGATTATGATTTGTCAACCATAAATAACATTTTAAGAACAAATACATTGAAAATACATCAAAATCTGATTTTTGAAATAAGAAATCTTAACAGTTGTTAAATTTGAGAGGTACAATTTTCAGTAAACTTTTTTTTTTCCAGTGTGTTTTTCTACGTTCTCCAAGTTTTCTACACAGATCAGGCCACGTCTGAATTATTGTTTTCAATTATTTGGCAACATGTTTTCCAATATATTTTGAACAGTTGATCATTCAGATGAAAGAAATAAGAACAGTGAGAAAACTGTATGTGTTTTCAAATAGAGGCTGTTTAGGCTGAGAAAGAGAAGCTCAATGAAGTAAATGGTAGCTGCCCTCAAATTTCTACAGTGCTTTTATATTCAAAGGAATTTAGTAAAATATATGCTGCTCTTGAGAACAAAACCTTAGCCTCCAAAAGAGAGCTTACATAAAGAGAGTTTGGGCTTATTACAAAAATAACATTCTAATAATACAGTCATAGCATCCTCAGATTTCTTGGAAAGCAGGAGCCCCCCCACAACCAGGAGTTTCAAACAGAGGCTACTGACCTTCTGCCTGTCATGTTATTGAACAGATTCCAGCTTTTGGTGGGAATTGCATCGAGATAACCTTAGTCTAAGGTGCTTTTCCCACTTCCAAATGCTGTTGTAAGTACAGGGCTGGCATTAGAAAGGATACTAAATAAAATGAAAAAAAAAAACTTTGCATCTTTTTATTTAGCTGTCATGATTGTTTGCATTTCTTTTTTCAACATGTGCATTTCTTCAAATTATCCTATGTTTCATGATTTAAATAGTCATTTAGGAAGTTAAAAGGGCTGACTTGAGGGGTGCTTCAAATGCCATAGCACCTGGATGCCTACTTATAAAAATTATATGGATATATATATATATATATATATATATATGCACCAGTGAATAGTTAATATGTGTTAATTATATGTCAATGTATGATGCAGTTTGATCTTTCACAAGTGGCCTAACCTAAAACTTAAAAGAGATAGAAGGAGCTTGATCTCCATCCTCCTCGCTGCTCTCTGCCAATGTGAGGATACAAGGAAAAGATGGCCAAAGTATTAGGTGCTAACCAGGAAGCAGGCCCTTACCAGACACTGAATCTGTGGGTACCTTGATCTTGGACCACCTAACCTCCAGAACTATGAGAAATAATTTCTGTCATTTAAGCCACCCAGACAACGGTATTCTGTTATAGAAATTTAAACTAAGGTATATAGCATAGATACAGACAGAGATAAAGATTATAGTTAGATATACGTGTACTTCTCTTGATGTATCAGAGTGGAGGGACACTGTGGATTTCAATCCAAGTGAGTTCCTGAGAAATCAGTTCCTGTTTACTGTCTTCTCCCTCTCTCTCTTTTTTTTTTTTTTTTTTAATGTGAATTGTGAGTTTCTGGAAGGAAGTATTCATGTGTTATTGGTTTTTACCTGACGGCTTGGTGGCTAGCACACAGGAAGCACTCAATAAATCATTGGTGTATAAATTGAAAGTTGCTTAAAATTAACTAGTTTTCCTGGAGTTCAGAAGAAAATAAACCTAGCCCTAGTTAACACCAGCTGTTAGAGGTATTTTATACTACAGTTTGTCAGCTTTGGCTACCCCCCAGGACATTTGGTAGGTTTGGCAAAGTATCATTGATGAAAAGGCCACACCCACATTTTGAAGCAGAAACTTGAATGTTGAGGGTAAGGCATCTATATTTTAAAAGATTTATCAGTAATTCTGGTAATTTTGTGGTTTTACAATGACTTCTGTTCATAGCCATCTGCTCACAGACAAGGGGCTAGATAAGCTCTATGGATCCAGGATTCCATCATTTATTCCACTATTCCAAGAAATAAAGATCCTTAATTGGGACAATTCTGCTTCTCCCTACTAAGAATTATCTTTAGTGCATGCACATACCTAAAATGGAAAAAAATTGCTTTTGTGTATGCCTGTGACAGATACACAACCATTCTGTATTACAAACTTCTCAGTCGAGTCTGGTAATAACATATAATTAAAATAAATGAGTTCATCTTAAGTTATTAGATCACACCATGATTTTCCTAACCTATAAATTATAAAGATTAGAGAAAACAAATTTGCAAGGGCAAAGTTGAAGCTAAATCCTATCATCATTTCTATCCCTGCCTCAATTTTGTTAGGATTTGATGGCAGAATCTGTGAATCAGATGCATGTTTTCCCTCCCCCACTCCCCAATAGTGAAAAAAGAAAATAGCTTCTAATTTTTGTTTTCCAATCTACCAGCTTGTGCCATTGCTGCTAAATCTCTGGCTTTCTAGGTGCTCTCCTGGTAACCTCTCCATGCTTTAATTTTGAAGGCATTGACCTCTATGAGATTTGAATGTTCTTCCTTGCCTTTCCCAATTACTCCATTTTTCAGTGTGTACAGCAAGCTGTCAGATTTCCTCCTCCACGTGAAAATCTCTTTGGGTTTGCTTGCTTCTATGTGTTCTGAAAAAAAACAACTCAGTTTTGGTCAACTCTGTCTCAGAGTATCTGTTCCACACCATGACAGTTTATAATACTAGAGAATAGCTTTACTGATTTTGAAAAATCCTCTAAATACATAAAAGGCCAGATGTTTCCACACTAAGTTTTATCACTCCCATCTGATGGGGAAGGACCTCATTCATGGCTGTTTCCAGTGAATGGAATTTCCGTCATCTAGTTGGCTAGCATTAAATATTTGTTGAACAAGCAGATAAATTGAGATGATAGTTTGGGTACAATAAATACAAAGAACATATCATTTGTTCTGATTTATAAATTTAGACTCAATTTTTTCAAGCTTAGTAATGTGTATAACTATGACAAAGGCAGTATTGATGTTGATATAAAAAATATGACTGGTCAAAACTCTCTTACTAGAGGAAGATTTGATTGGAAAAAGTGTCTGCAATCTGAGAATAAAGCGTATATTCAGCAAAATTAATATCTAATACATGTAATTTTATCAGAAAATACATTTTAAAATTAGAAGCAATCTCTAGTTGTCAAATCTGTAAACAATTTTTAGAACCCAAAGTAACAAATACATCCAGGTACACAACAAGTCTAGGACTTGTCTCTAAAATTATTACTTACTAAGGCTATAGTCTGTGAAGTGCCAAATCAAATATAATTCCTTTATTCTATGATTTTTTATAAGGAACATTTGAGTACAAATTAATACTTTGAATGCTATAATTCTATTTTTAACAAGCTCTGCAAAACTTTGCATTATTTTGAGAAGCTTTGTACTTGTTTTAAAGTGGCTGCCAGCCATATGCCTTATCTATGTATATGTGTATTTATTTATAAATTCTCAGGAGAATTAACTACAAGTTTTATCAAGTTTATAATATGTTAGTATTGAATTTTTCTCATCTTTCTTGTAGGATTTATCTTTAAAGTTTTATTTCAGAATTTTTTTTCAACTGCAAAAAATACAACAAAAACTTTAAATTTATGTAACATAAATGAACAGAAAATTTGAAAAGGTGAGATATATTAATTTAATAAAGTTGTGAAAGATTCCTTTTTGTGGCCACAATTCTTCTTCTTCTTTATTTTATTTTATTTTATTTTATTTTATTTTATTTTATTTTACTCTATTTTCCTGAGACAGAGTCTTACTCTGTTGCCCAGGCTGGAGTGCAGTGGCCTGATCTTGGCTCACTGCAACCTCCACCTCCCAGATTCAAGTGATTCTCCTGCCACAGCCTCTGAAGTAGCTGAGATTACAGGTGTAAGCCACCACACCAGCCTAATTTTTTATGTGTTTAGTAAAGACAGTGTTTCCCTATGTTGTTCAGGCTGGTCTTGAACTCCAGACCTCAAATGATCCGCCTGCCTTGGCCCCAAAGTGCTGGGATTACAGGCATGAGCCACCATGCCCGGCCTGCTTCATCAGCCTAAATAATAGCAATACAGTCATTGGTAATTGATTTGAAATAATATATATCTAGAATTTTAAAGTAATTCAACTATTTTATAATAATTTTAAATGAAATGTGATACTATAACTTTAAAAATAGGGTTAACTGCATTATTCACTTTGGGTTCAATTTTTCATTTATTGCAAAGATGTTGATTGAATGGCATGTGCCTTTTCTATCTTAAGCACTGGGAAAGCAAAGACGAATCAGATACAGCCCTGCTCACAATGAGCTTTTAATCTAGTAGAGGAGTCTGATATGTAAATCAACAATTCCAATAATAGCTTTATGTAAAAAAAAAAAAAAGTATTAGAAACTCAGAGGTATCAGGGAGGGCATCACAGAGCGCGTGAAGCTTTAATTGTATCTCAAAAAAAAAAAAAATTAGGAGTTTGCAAGTAGATAAGACCAGAACAGCATTCTTGTAAGGAGAAATAGCACGCATGAAATCAAAAGGAATGAAATACCACAGCATGTCTGGGAAACTCAAAGAGGCTTAGTTTTTATGAAAGCCAAGTAGTAGTAAAGGGTGCTGTGGATGTATGTAAATGCTAAACCATAAAGGGTTAGTGCCATATCTCATACCAAAGAATCTCTGCTTTCTTTTCCGAGGGCACTAGGTAGTCATCTGGAGTAATCAAGCAAAGCCAACTCCCTCCCAATAGACATACATTTGATAAAACCCCACTACTGACATTATATATCAGGCTATTGAAACAGTCCTCATGAGAGTCAACCCAATTAGAATAGGAAGAAAAGAATTAAGACTATCTGTTTTTGATGGTAATAACTTTGAAAAACTACTGGATGTATCAGATAAGGAAAGTGAAATACAGGAACAGTTCTAAATATTCTTATTGGAAGCCATGGAGAATTATATCTCAACTAAGGTGGAGACAAGGAAAAAGTTTTGTAAAGCAAAGATAATAACCTCGGTTTTAAATATAGTTTGAATTATATTTGTGATATCTAGATGGTGTTATCCATTCACAGTTTGGTATATATAGGTCCTGATCATAGCAGAAAGTTAAAGAATGGACACACAGACTTATAAATCATTAGTAGCTACATAGATTTTGAAAAAGTAACAGGAATAGAAAAATTGGTGAGACTGAGTGTAACTCAGACTAGAAACCAAGAAAACACATACCAATAAATACTGGAGCATATCATCACAATGTAAAAATTATCAGATTTGCATATTGTTCAGTTATGAACAACATTATAAAAATTCATTTTGTAAAACTGAGGTCAAATGTATACAGAGGGAAATAATGCACCAAACTTAAGTATATGAGCTGATGAGTTTTATTGTATTCATCATCTATCTATATCTCTATATGTGTATAATTATCACTTCAAACAAGATATAGAATATACCCAGCATCCCAAACAGTTCTTTTATGCTCCTTCCTGGACAAAGACCACTTCTTTTCCTCACTCCATAAGAAATTACACATCTAATTTTTCCCACTTTAGATTTGTTTTCTTTTCTTGAACTTTTACAGTTATAGATAATGCATTTTTTTGTCTGATCTCTTTAATTCAGCATAACATTTTTGAGCTTTATGGTTTTGTATATATCAACAGTTAATTCTTTCTCTGCATTTATGTTCATGAGAGACATTGGTCTGTAATTTCATTTTCTTCTAATGTTATTTATCAGGTATTAATTGGTATTAGGGTTATGCTGGCATCATAAAAATAACTAGAAAGGGTTCACTCTTTCCCCACTATTTTCTAAAAATATTTTGTGTAGAACTGGTATTAATTCTTTCTAAAATATATAATGCACTAATAAAAATATTATTATGTAACTAAATAGTAATTGTATTCTAATGAAAATATTAGCCCCATTAAAACACTACTTGACTCAGAATGTATGTTTGTAGTTTTTTAAATATTCTATTACAAATTAATATTTTGATAAAGAGCAAGAAACTTGTCATTTATATCTTGTTCTCTTTCATAGTGTTACAAAAATTATATATATATTTAATAATTCTCAACCCCTTGAATAATTGTGTAAAAGTGAGTATAAATGTCAAAAAAAATCCTGGAAGTAGGAAACACTATTAAAAAGTGTTATATCTTCTCGTATGGAAGCAAAACAACAACAACAACAGAAAAAAAATAAAAACTAATTTTTAAAAAGGAAAAAAGTAATTTACCTATGTTGCTACATTTAGCAGTGCATCAATTCCCACACATTCAGAGTTGTTTCCTTGGAGAAGCTTTGTATTATTAACATTTTCCCCACTAGACCTGCACATACACAACATAAATAGAGCATCAGAAGTTGTCGATCATAAACCTAAATATAGCTCTAGGCTGTCAAGTTTCTGGTTCCCAGGAGTAACAACAACAAAACCTATGTAATGAGGACTTTGCTGTTAAAGTCTTCTCTGGGAAACACTTGTGTTACCTCGTAATTTATCATAAACTCTATTTGATATTCTGCATCTGGTAGTGAGGTATAAGACTGAAACCGCGGCGGGGCGCGGTGGCTCAGGCCCGTAATCCCAGCACTTTGGGTGGCCGAGGAGGGCGGATCACGAGGTCAGGAGATCGACGCCATCCTGGCTAACACGGTGAAACCCCGTCTCTACTAAAAATACAAAAAATTAGCCGGGCGTGGTGGCGGGCGCCTGTAGTCCCAGCTACTCGGGAGGCTGAGGCAGGAGAAGGGCGTGAACCCGGGAGGCGGAGCTTGCAGTGAACGGAGATCGCGCCACTGCACTCCAGCCTGGGCGACAGAGCGAGACTGCGTCTCAAAAAATAAAAAGACTAAAACCGCTTGAACAGGAACAGAAACTCTGAACACATAAAATGCAACTAAATTCACTGCAGTTTTATCCAGAAGTTATTTCATCTTTTAATTTCTACAACTCTAAATCCTTGGGAGTCTGCTCCCCCATTTTGTTTTAACAAACATGCCCTGAATTTTTGTCAATATAAGCTGTTTGGGAAGGAATAGAAAAGAGAAAATATCCATTTATTGCTAGAAATAAGTAGAAAAACAGGAATATAAAATTAAGCCACTATCTTGAGTAAATATAAAAATGAAACAGATGCTTATTAATTAAGTGTGGGCAGGTAGATGACAAGGCACCGAGGCATATTGCACCAGCTGTGAAGAATTTAGACAGCTTTTATCCTACCGGACCATTTATTCATTACGTAACAGACACCTTAAGGAGTAGAAAAGGTGACAAAACAAAATGATATAAAGAGCTAAGAGTTCAGTTTTCTAAACTTTGAACACTACTTGGTTTGGTTTTATCTGCTTTTCTAAGGAATAATCTGGCTTCCATGTTTAAGTTTTATGAATGCTGCAGTTCGTGATTTTTTTTCCACTGGAAACTGTGTGACTACAATATTATTTATGAAATTGTATTGCATACAATATGCCAAGAAGATAGACAGCACTGCTTTAAGTATAGAATCAACTTTTCCAAGGAGTCCATAATAGCAAGGATTTGGAAAGAAGTAAAATATCTAGGCAGAGAAAAACCCATGAAAACACAAATCCACTAATCCATGGTTTATAGCAAATCTATATAACAGTAAATTTTTGAAAATGAAAAATAAAATTTAAATGGCTTCTTATAAGACACTCTGATGACCAATCAATCTCATTTTTTAAATTATACTTCTGCTCAGATTAGTGGCAATCGAATTTCTTCATTTAGAACATTTGATAATGGGCCATTAGGGAAGGGAAGTCCAATCAATTCAAACTTGTTTCCCTCCTCCCAGCCCCCCACTGCCCCTTGCTCCCATGTTCTCGCATAGAACTGGATTCCAGTAACATTGACAGTTGATCCTTAGTCCCTAAGGTTTTTTTTAAGTTGTTATAACTTTTCTACCTGACTTTATTTTTTATACTATATGATTTTCTTTGGATTTTATTGTGCATTGGTACACAGGGCCTTTGATCTCGTATTTTTCAATATTCTACTTATCTCAAAAGGAAAAATAAAAAACAGACAAAAGTCCTTTAAAGACAATGAACAAAAATACATAATGCAGAGATGGAATTAGAACTAAATGAGAAAAAACATTTTCTACATCAAAAAAGGGAAATTTTAAAAAATGATCTACAAGTTTATTCCTTCCATATATGAGAACATTAAAGGCCAGAAATAATGTAAATCTGGTGCTTTTGTTTTGATTAGGACAAATAAGTACAATATTTCTAGAAAACAATGTAACAATCAGTACCAAGAATCAATGTAACATTCAGATCTTCAGTTTATTATATTCTCTTCCTGTAAATTTATACTAAAGAAATAATTTTAAAAGGTGAAAAAGTTTATTTCTGAAAACATGTAGTAAAAAATAAGGAAAACTATTCATTTCTACAAATTAAAAAAATTTCAACTGAATTACCAATTCATGTGACCTTTATGCCAGCTATTAAAATACAATTGTGAAAAATATAAAGTACCATGTGCAACTTACATTATTGAGATTCACCAATTACATTTAAGAGAGTAATACCCATTTGTGAATTCCATCTCTATATATTGCTTCTTAAAGCCATACAGAGGAGAGAAAAAAATGTCAGAGAGCTCAGACAAAAGTGAGAAGATGGAGAGATAATAGTATGAAAACACAATTGAGGCATTTTCATAGGTATCCAGAAAATATGGAAACAATTACCAATTATCCATGGATCAATAACTAAGGTAGCATCTTGTAGACACTGCATTGACCACTTAGAAGACAACACCAATATTTTGTAGCTCTTGGGGTATGGGAAAGAATGCCAAGGAGGGGGGGCTTCTTGCACATTTGTCATCAATTTCCACTAGTTATAAGTCCTCAATAAAGTGACTCATGTCATGATATGAGGATATTTAGAAACTCTCAATGTTAACATGTAATCTGTATATATACATATATATACACACATATGTTTATATATGTATATGTTTATATATATTTCCATATACATAATACAAGAAGTTGTTTGATTTTATATATATAAAATGCTTATATATATTTAAAATGTTTATATATAATGTTTATATATATAAAATCAAAAAACTTCATATATATATATATATATATATATATGTATGTATGTATGTATGTATAATCAAACCACTTCTTACTCTGCTTGAACAGCTGTGATGTTTCTTTCCAGGTTTGCAAGTTCAGAGCTGATGCTAAACAAAGTAAGTCATTCCATAAAATTCACCTATACACAATGGCAAACAGATAAATGAGAAAAAGGGTACACATTTTTGTGTAAATAAATAAATGACAAAATAAACTTGAAAAACACAGTATATGATTTTTAAATTACTGTATGAAACAATTACCTTAATATTTAATATATCTTGGGAAAAAGGGGGAGATTGGTAAAAATAAAAAATGAAAACAGCTGATGCTTTGGGGTAAGCAATTAATTTCTTTATTTCCTTTAGTTTTATTGTAATGCCATCTGTGGACGAAATAGAAGTTCATAGCAACAGAAATAAAAGCCATTGATTTAAGTGCCTGAAGAGCACTTTGAAAGGAAAAAACTAGAATTCTAAAACAAGGAAAAATAATGCATCTTCAAGGGCAAATGCGTCTGAAGACAAATCTATGAAAAATTTCAGGTATGACTTGGGCTAAACTAGTGTTTCAAAGATAATTGTCTAAATTCTGAATATTTAGATGGTCACCTTGCACTAATCTGGGAGCTGTAGTTCTTGAGTAGAGGACCATGGATGAAGCTGTGAGGCATAACATGATCACATCAGCATGTGTCACTCAATAAATGTACTGAATGGTAAATGCCCACCAGATCTTCTGCTGCTCCATCTCTGCCAACAGAGGTGCTCCGGAACACAGCAGAGGAACTCGTTAAAGATACAATGAGCCCTAAATAGAAATTACATAATGTCTTTTGCCCCAACATGGATGGAATTGTGGCTACTACCTTAAGGGAAACAACTCAGGAACTGAAGGTCAAAAACCATATATTCTTACTTAGAAGTGAGAGCTAAACAGTGTGCAAACATGGACATAGAGCACAGAATAATAGGCATTGGGAAATCGGAAGAGTAAGAAGAAGAGAGGGGGGTGAGGGATGAGAAATTACTTAACAGGTACAATGTACATTATTCAGGTGATGGTTGCACTAAAAGCCCAGACTTTACCACTATGCAATATGCTCATGTAACAAAACTGCACTTGTACTCCTTAAATGTATACAACATTTTTTAAAACAAGATACAGCAGGTCAATTTTGTCCATACGATTGAATGTTGGATAAAATTTGAGTAGATGTTGTTTAGGAAGACTAAATATGACTTGGAGAACAGTAACCAGTGGAATGACCTTTCCAATTCTATCTAGCAGACATTGTTCAATTTACACTATACCATTCTCTCAGTGACAACTTCAGAGGTTTTCTCACAGCCCTGACACTCACTTAATATGACCATAAGCCGTAAATCAAGTAGCCTTCTTAGATGAATATAAACATAATGTTTGTGCAAGCAAAAGAAAGAGTAGGATGGAAGAAGGAGACCATAAAAAATGGAACTCATAGAAATTGATATCAAGGCATCTTAATTTATCATTTGGTAGCAGCTAAGCATAAACGTGTAGCTAAAAGTCTTATATAATAAGTAAATTATGAAGAAAAGAATGCTGTTAGACCAAAAGAGCAGAATATGTATGTTCCATATGATTAAGTCAGTTTGAAGACAATATTAAAGATGAAATTTCAATTGATTGCATTATTCATTTTCATAGTGAGTCCTTTATTCCAACAGGAGTGTTTTACACTGATCATAATAAGAATGACATCCTATAGTTTAAAAGCTCCAAATATTTACTCAAAAGCATAGTTAGATATATTATCATTCAGTATCTGTGTAAAAATAAGTATTTGTCATCCCTAATCATTCTCTGGATGTGTGATTTAATCTTTTCCCCATAAACCAGGTCACCATTGAGAGCCTCTGTTCAAAAAATTTTACAATCTTGTTACTGTATTGTCAAGAGGAAGACAGTGATTTCACAGCTGAACTTGCTGGAGTCCTACAAGGTTTCACCCACAGAATCAAGGAGCCTACTTTTGTAACCTACTCTTTCTTTCCCACAAGGCTTGAGTGATTGCACGTCTGAGACTATTAAGGAATTCCGGCAGATGTGCATGACAGTGCTATTTATCTCAGACAGTTCTTTCAGAAATGCAATGAAGTTATTACTAGAATTTTGCA
The DNA here is from genome assembly GCF_000001405.40 of Homo sapiens. Classification (NCBI taxonomy): domain Eukaryota; kingdom Metazoa; phylum Chordata; class Mammalia; order Primates; family Hominidae; genus Homo; species Homo sapiens. The sequence continues at coordinate 10,212,967 of NC_000009.12, forward strand.
CAACGTAACCTTAATCTACCATTTTCTAATAGTTACCCTTGTATCATTGTTTGGCTTTTAAAAAGCTATTAAATGTATAACAAAAAATATAGGTTAAAGCTACACAAGTTTTCAAGTGTTGATAAACCTTTGGCACCATAGAGATGTAAGTTTATTGTATCATGAAAAATGTACTTTTATTTTTAACAAAACAGTTTTCTTTTCACTTCTACTTCATTTTTTTAACAATACAGATTTGTTTTTACTTATATTTCTGTATTGTATTCACTAGATGGCAGAGTAAGCAAGTCAAAACATTATAAAATAGAGTTATAACAATCTACTCCTGAAATCCTGAGAGAATAAGGATTGTTGTGGCCCAGGATAATCAGGGAATGTTTCAGAGAGGAAGCAAACTTTGTGTACAAGTGGCATGTGTCCTTTCCAGACCAAGGCTTATAAGAAGCATCTCTGCCTCCTTCATGTTCTGTCTTTCACTATCTGTCAGGTGGATGCAGAGGACTTCAGGTCCTAAGAGATGGAATAACCAAGAATGGGGAAGTTTGGATCACACATCTGAGGAAATCCACCTGCTAAGAGAGCAAGATATAGTATTTCATTACGTTAAACCACTAAAGTGTTGGAGGTTATTCACTAAACCAGTTTGCATATTTCTAACAAAAATGCTTAATGCTGATTTTCTTTATTTCATTTGAAAAGAATATATGTTTATTTCCCCTTATTTTAGATGTTACATTATTTATTGAAGTAAGATCTGCCTTGGAATAATGAGTCCTGGACAAAACAAATAACACTTTTGTTGTTACCAAAATACAAGGGTGTAACTTCTCTTTCCATATACATAAGACTTCCTATATTATCACCCTTAGTTTTCTTATTCATTTATAATTTATGAAATACTTACTGAGATTATACAAGCTTCAGAACCTGTTTTCATTCCTGTCTTGATGGTTAAGATTTACAGCATATTGCTGGGAAGAAAAAATTCTGGCTGCTGGATCCCTCCTTCCCTATTTCAATCCCTTTAACCCCACAATTATCTATCAACAGCTGTAAAGGCATATCTTCATCAAATCCTTCAATAAGCCCCTCATATATGTAAAAGAAGGACATTTTACACGTGAATTCTTATGTTTAAATTTGAAGGAATTTTACTAGTATGCTTTGCTTTAATTTTTACATCACATGCAATCATTCTATTTAAATGTGGAAATTATACTGTTAAAGGCTAGAAAAATATGGAAATTCCCATCTACAAGTATCAGTGACAACCACTACCTTCTTCATTTGCAATTAATTCTTTTTGTTTGTTTGTTTGTTTGTTTTTGAGACAGACTTTCACTCTTGTCGCCCAGGCTGGAGTATAATGATGTTGTGTTGGCTCACTGCAACCTCTACCTCCTGGGTTCAAGTGATTCTCCTGCCTCTGCCTCCAGAGTAGCTGGGATTACCAAGCCCAACTATTTTTTTTTTTTTTTTTTTGCATTTTAATATAGATGGGGTTTCACCATGTTGGCCAGGTTGATCTCGAACTTCTGACCTCAGATGATCCACCTGCCTCAGCCTCCCAAAGTGCTAAGAATACACACCCGAGCTATTGCACCCAGCCAACTATTAATTCTTACTGGAAATTTTGCTTGCATATAGGGAAATTGGCTGTAGGTGTTGCTGTATAAAAACATGTTTATCACCTAACACAAGGCCTGCCTCTATGCAATCCTTCAGTCCAGCATTTTATGAAGAATCACAATTCAGATAGAGATGCCAGAATGCAAAATTTCTGTGCAAAGATTTTCTCCATTATCCTTTTTGTATTGGTCTCTTTGCCAACATGTAGCTAATATATTAAACTGAGTCTTTTACTCTTGGGACAAGACTGGTCTGGGTGCTCTCACATTGTACATGAATGGGCCCTGAATCCTCTAAGGGGATTCATACATCTTGGTTATTTTACTCTAGGAATGTCTGTTGAAGCTTGAGTTTTGGACATCTCTGGGGAAATGGACAAGTGCTGAATGAGATATTTCGGACAGGTGGAATCTTACATTGGACAATGAAGTAGAAGCTGATTCCATACTCTAGTCTTAAAATGTATCCTGTGCTCTTCCCAAAATGTTATCTTGCCTCCAAGCACAATCTTTTCTTTCTCAAAATTTTAAGATACTATTATCGACAAAAATTATGAAACAGATGAGAAAATAAGGTACCATAAATAAAAGTCAGAAAAATAAAACATTAAGGAGTCAGACCTACACAGACTGAAGATATTCAATGAAACAAGAGGCTCTAAGAATTGACTGATGGATTTGGAGAAAAAAAAAAGCAAAGCTCTTCTAGGAATAAAGAATATAATTAAATGATAAACTGAATGAATGGGTTAAACAATATATTAGACATTTTACAAAAGAAGAAACAAAGATAGGTACTAAAATATGAAGAGCTATTCAGTATTCTTAGATATCAGGGGAATGTAAATTTAACCTCGTGAGACACATTTTAATATGTATCAGGCCTACATAATTTTGTAGTCAGGCAACATTAAGTTAATTAATACAGAACAATAAGTGATCCTCCAACATACCAGTGAGAATGAAAACTGTCAACTTGGGAAAATAATTTGATATTATCTAGTTATTTGCTACATGGACACACCATATTACCCAGGAATGAAACACCTGGATATATGCCAGAGGGGAGTTTTGCATATGCATATCAATAAATATGTGAGAATGTTCAAAATAGTGTTATTTGTAACAAACACTGGAAACAATCCAGTTGTCTGTCAAAACTGGAATTATTAATTAAATTGAGGTATACTTGTTTAATACAATGTATATCAACATCCTTAAAATTAAAAAGTATAATTTGAAGTAAAAAGAAAATTAAATAAAAACATATATTATGATGCTATTTATAAGATTCAAAAACAAAATAGAGGCTGGGGATGCTGCTAGACAACATATAAATCAGAGGACAGACCTTCACACCACGTTTTAGGCCTGAATATCAATAGTGGCAAGACTGAGAAACTTTTTCTAAGGAAAAGTGAGAGCATAATTAATACCAATTTTAGGAAAAATTTTAAAATATGGAATTAGCATTATTGATTTTCCCTTTAGATTTTTCCTTTTACTAACACTGTCTTTATTTAAAATGTTGATATCTTTTTCATTATTGATTTCTAAGTTGATTTGAATTATTTTAACATACTGCATTAAAATATTATTTATTCTGATTCCTGAGGTTTTTGGCACCCCCTTAAGGTTTGGGGCCTGAGAGTGAGCCTCCCTGGCCTCACTGCAGTTTCAGTCTTAGAGAAGGAGTGCAGGTAGAAGGACGGAAGGGGTTAGAGAGCTTCAAAAATATTGATATTCTATTTCTTAATCTAGGGTATAGATACAGGTGGGGGTTCACTTTATTATTTTTATTAAACTATCCATATAGCTTATATACAGTCTTTATATACACCATTAAAACTAAAATGAATTTAAAAGATCAATTAACTATGGTTAACTTATATGCTCTAAATTTATATTTTGTATCAACTATTAGACATCTGCTGTCTATTATTAAATAGTATACACATATCACCTATGATTTTTGTTTGGGTCAATATTAAGAGAATACTAAAAATGCATACAATGATGTTTCTCCTATAAATCCACAAATGTTATAGATGCTTATAAAACTTATTCTAACACCTAACTTACCTCTGTTCACAATAGAGCTCTCTTGAATTTTTTGATAGTGTTGGAAGTATACGGAATAAATTCACTTCAACTGTGGTTTATTTCCTGAATCCCGAAAAGCAGTGATTTGACATGCAAGTGCAACACTTCTATCTCTTTCTAATTCAATAGCAAAATTCTGCAATGATTCTGTTCGTTAGAGGGATAGGAGTCTTTCATATATTCAATTTCTGTCTTCCATGGGGATGTTCACTCTAGTGGTAGCTTTCTGTTCATTCCTCCACTAGTCAAAAAATGAAAATCCAGAACATATTCATTATATGGTTATTTCCTTTTTATTGTTATTGGCCTGCAACTATAATCCTGCAATTAGGACAATAATGATTACAATACAGTGTAGAAAATTGTATTCTCATTTACTTGACTCTTCTGTTCCTTATTTCAATTAAGTGCTCAAGTGGCATTGAAACTAGCTTCCCACTAGATTTTACTTTGCTTTACCTCAAATTTCTAAAGAAGTTGTATTTACTTGTGAAACATGTTTAAATGATTTAGATTTAAGTTATACTTTGTTATTGGCACATCTAGTATCAGCATTACATTTTATTGGCCTCTTCCAGGCCAACACAGACACGCAGGTACAAACACATACAAACACACACACTACACAAAGATTAGCCTCTGAGACCTGAAAGAAAATTAGAAACCCAACTCAGCCTCCCCCTCCTCCATATCTCAAAGCAAGTTAATGAGTGGTTTGTACTCCCAAAGCTGAGATCTTGAAAGAGGGATGTGAACAGAAGGCAAGTATATTTCTGTTAACCTTTTCTCAGCATAGTACACATTTAAAATTGATCACAGCATTCTTTCTATTTAGCCATGAAAGGAGTATCAAAATATTCTACTGTAGGAGGCCACCACCAGTATATCTCAGTTAGTACTTGAGATGAGCTTAATGCCTTCTCTGTCCAAGAGGAAAAAATGAAATTTAATTCAACTAAACCATCTAAAGCTCCTTGTCAGAGTAAGGTCACATCATCATAGTAGTCATGATGTAAGAAATTCAACTACATGTATATAATAATGGCCTATCATGTGCCCAGGCCATTGGGAGTTAACCAACATAGATCTCCATTTAGGAAGGAGATGCAAGGAGAATAATGATTGTGGAAAAACCTATGCTTAAGAAAGTGGAGCAGCTTAAGGAGCTTTCAAGATGCTCCATTGGCCCTTAGAATGTTATTTAGCAGGCAACGGGTTTGAAAACCTGACTCTTCCCATAGAAGCTTATGTTTAAAGGCCTATGACATGACACACACAAAACCTGTGGTAATCTTTTTTCGGGGTAGGGGGGTTAATTCTATTTTTCTGTTAATATAACATAAATTTAGTGATTGAGGTGACACATTTATTAAGTAGATTCTATTCTGGCCAGAAACTATTAGATTTTTATTAGTAAAGAAGAAAAACAGAGAGCCACTGCTTTTGGAAACAGCCTTTGCATAGGCTTCTGGATGTTCTTTCTTACGAATAGCGTCTTAGTAAAGGCAGACTTAAAAATACAAATAATGTAACAGATATTAAAAACAAGCAAGCACACAAACAAATGAAAAATCCAAACAGTAAACTAAGTTTTCTCTGTATCTATCTCACCTGTACCTACATTTTCTTAATTTTTACCACCCAAGAGGTTTGAAAGAAATTGTTCAGTTACCTTTAATTTTAAAATATAGTTTTTAGAATAAAATATTTTAAAGTGCAATATGTATCTTATGGGGGCAGCATTACTTTTGTCACTTCAAAATTTTTAGCCTTTAGTATTTTAATTAGGCAGTGAATTTGATAAACCTTACTCAACATAAATGTCACGTTCTAGTGGTTTTTATGAGCAAAGTCACCTACTTACCTTTACCTCTAAGAGATACAGTGTATACGACCTTGGATTGGAGTGAATTAGAAATTAGAATAAGAAAAGATACCATAATATGTAGTCTGAATCCATTTACAAAATAATTGGAGAGTATACTCCATTAATAGACATAAAGAAATGTCTGGTATAAAGTTCACCAAATGCACTGGATATTTATAAATAGGGAGCCTTGGTCTTGGTGATTTATAACATTCTACGTGTTGTTACTATGTTGCTTGAATTGTTCATAATTGTCATATATTTATTATAAAAACAGTTAAGGTTATTATTATGAAACAAAATAAAATGTTCATAGAACACAAGTCTTGAAGTTAAACAATATGGTAAGAATACTGCATATGACATATTTAACTATATACAGAGAGAAAATTAAAAGTAAGAAGAAAAAATTGTTACTGCATTTTGTTTACCCACTAACATTGAGCTAAAAACAAACCGAGGCACCACTTGAAAGTTAAAAACCCAAATTCAAAGCTGTGCCACAAGCTGTAACTACTTAATCAAAGATATATCCAAAAAATAATAAATTAGAAAGGACTGACGGGGGATCTGATAGACATCTTCATTTATCTCTCAGGTGTAAGAAAACCTATATATATATTCTCCAAAAGAACACTCCAATAAATCAAACCCTCAATAGCATGTAAAGGTTTATAGTTAAGGTAATTGAAGGAAAGAGGTATTTCAAACCATTTATCCAAATTTTGCTGCAAATTCTCTAAGCATTAGATTATGAATTCTTATAAGTAAATACTGCTCCACACCTGCTCTTACAGAAATTTTCCTTGGGAATGAGTCTGTCAAGATTCTTTTTCCAGCCTGAGATTTGGGAGTTAATTTCTATTCATGCTGAAATCACTGGCATTAATTGGGTTTACCCCCTTCTGATTTACGAGCAAAGGAATGTAATTTAAATTCTAGGAGGGATGAGAGGCCCATTTGTGTAGAGTTAACTCCTTCAGGGTAAAAAGTTGGGGGGAAAGGTCCCAGTAATTTGGATAGCAAAGCTTTTGATAAAGGTTTCCTTAAATTGGTTCCGGATTTCCTATTAATCAAATAAATTTTTTAAAAAATTTATTTTTTAAACTTTAATCTTCTAGTTTTTCCATACATAAAAATCACTAGTAATATCAAATCTCTTTTTAACTAGTAAGAACTTAATATCCTTACCACATTGTTTAAATATGTTGCTAAATTGACTTTAAAAATTATATTTCACTACCCTTGTTTTACTATTTTGTGGCTGTTAGCCACACAGAAGTAACAAAATAATGAACAAAGCCAGAAAGATTCATTTCATAAATACAAAAATGAATAACTTGAATGTAGCAAAAGAGCTACATTGTTATATACAATCTGGATAGGAGTATGATCTATGATTTCTATAATTTAATAAAATGAAGAAATTAAAAATATAAAAATCAAAATTATAACAAGAAGGTTTACACACACAGAATAACTGGTTGGAAAATAATTTTACATATTTTATACCTATTAACGTGTTTATCTTAAATAGTATCTCAATTTACATAAAAAGACTAGCATTAAAATTTTTTTTAGTATCACTTTTAAGGTCATTTTCATTTATAAATGTAGTGAATAATAAATTGCAGTATAACACAAAAGAATATTAACATAATCTGTTTTTAAAATGATGAAAAATTACTAATATTTATACTTACTATGTTGCAGGCACTATTATTAGTCTTACTTATGTTAATTATACGAGCTTTCACTGCAACCCTAGAAACTATTTGGTGAAATTATGCCCATTTCATAGATTCAGAAACTGAGAACCAAATACTTTAAACTACTCACGTAACTTTACATAGTAGTTGGTGGAACCAAAAAGAATACCCAGGCAAGTATATCTCTAGAGTCCAGTTCTTTTCCATTGTGCTATACTCATGAAAGTTAAATGGTGAAAACATTTTGCATCAAATGATTAATAAATCACAAGCTGTCATTACAAATTTAAAAAGTTAATTGACAGCTGTCCTGTTACAATTATTTTTAAATTTATATTAAAATAATACATCTTGCACCTGCCTAAGAGACATAAAATATCCTAAAACTTCATAGGAGCAAGAATGGTGCATTGTAAAAAGTATACGTTTTTATATTATTATAAGATATATATTGCATATGCTATCATTCATAATATCTATTATATGTGTTTGTATATATGCACATGCTATTATCTGATATGAGTTTTCCTTTTGCTAAACTTATAAATTTTATAAATGGCATTAAATTTATGCAATTTTGAAGTATGAGACTCAGGCTTGGGAAATAGAAGAGAAGAGAGAAAGCTAAAGGGCACAAGGAAGAAATGGACAAAAAATAAATAAATAAAACAAAGAAATAAATATATTAAGAAATAAAAACGAAATGGTACACAGAAGGTCACTGTGAACAGCAGGAAGAATCCCCCGAGGAAGAAAAGTTTTACTAGTGGTTTGAGATGCTGTTTTCTTTTCCTCCATACAGTTTCAAGCCTATGTTATCAGAGAGTCCATGCTCACTGGGAAAAGAAGTTGGTGAAATATTTCCCTATCAATGTCTTCCTATAAAGAACATAAACATGGAAGGTTGAAAAGTATTTTCCCTTTGTTATTGTCTCCAGTCGTTGGTGTGCAGAAATAAATTACAGAATTTGGGTACTGAACGGGAGCTCAGATACAAACATATTCATGCTCACGTGCGCGTGCACACACACATATACGCAAACACAGACACACACCTCTGCATACTCGATATCATTTTTATATGATATGGAAAAAATTAGACTAAAAATCTAAAAAACATGGATTCTAGAACTATCCTTTTTCCTAAGGGATTTTTTAAGCTTCCAACTTTCATTTGTATTGTCAATAAAAATGTATATATTGAACACAACAGTTTTTAAGGTTCTCTGCAGTTGTGAAATAGTAATATAAAATTTATTATTTATCCGCTATTCCTTAGAGTCCCTGAGCCAATAGGAATGCATTTATTTTTATGAATACATTAAAAATAATACTACATACAATGTCTTTATATTAGAGTTGAGGGATTTCTCCCTTCTGGTGTGTATAAATAGATGTATTTTTAAGAAGCATTAAGTACATCCACAATTTTTTACCAATGTTGTTTCTCACTTTTACAAAGCAATGTATAGCAACTAAATTATTAAACTAGTGTTCATGGCTAAAAAACTGTTTTTTTTTTCCATTTCACTTCTTACCTGCTATATCATTATAATACAAGCACTTGTGAAAGCAAACATTGAGTAGTAGACCATAAATGCTTTGTATTATCTTGATCTAAAAATGGTATTTTTACAATTATTAAACTTGAAACAAATCTTATAACAAACACAATTAGATAGGCTAACAACATTGCTCTTCAACAGAACAAACTTGTTACTTATATCAGAAATAGAAAACTGTGAGAAAAAAAATGCCAGCTAAACTTTCAGGTTACAGAAGTGTAAATTACCCATGATCACAATGTATAAAATCACAGTTTGCAAAATTGTCTAGTTTTCTCTTATTACTGAAACTGAAAGTTTTCAGAATTGAATAGATGAAAATATATTTGTATAAAATTATTTTTAACTCAGACTTTTTCCTCTCATCTGTGACAACTTTTCCTGCTATGAGAGTTCATATTTCATGCAAGAATAGTCTTACATAGAGGTATTTACTACAGTTGTTTGTTCTGTTCATCTGTTGCTTTTTTAGGAAAATACAATAACCATAAATCTGTGTAAAAGAGAAAATAAATAGAAATTGGCCACTGTTTCTAAAACAAAAACAAATAAAACAATACTTTGGGTCAACTTTACCTCAGTTATCTAAACACCCTTAATAGCATCCTATGTCTTTATTGTCAGTTCTCATTTTTAATTCCAACAAAGCTGGCTGTCAAGCCATATTATGCAGTGACTTAATATGAGTGGACATTTGAAAACATCTTACAATGTAGAATATATTTTTCCTACTCACTATTACGTATCATCCTTACCAATATTGTATAAATATCCTTAACTTGTTCTGGAGTAGCCCAAGGAACAGAAATCGTAAATGCTCATAGAGGTAAACCATCAGTGGCTCATCGAGGTAAATACAGACATGAGTTTAAAAAGCCATGGTCAAATGACTATGCAATTCCTAATGGGTATTGTTCTTCAGTATATGAAAATAGGTAGTAATTTTGTGATCTGAAATGACAATAAAACAATTTCAGAAAGAAAGAAAAGGAAGGAAACTTACTCCATCCCACTAGATTCTTATTAACCAAAGCTCTGGAAAATCTCAAAGAAAGATAAAAATGTGTTGTGTTTCTCTATTTGTGTTTGGTGGAGGGCAGTGGTAGTGGGGTCAGAAGAGGTGTTGAGGTTCTATACCAAGCCAGAGGGAAAGAAGTGAAAGACAGAGAATGAAGAGTAAAAATTAGCAACAATTTTAGAAAATAAAGAGGCTTATTTTCTTAATATTGTTCATCCTCTCTTTTCATTGTTTCTGCTCTATTCAATTACTTTGTTTCTTTTTGTTTTGTTCCTTCTTTTCCTCATGCATTTTCCTAATGTGTCTCTTCTCTTGCTAGTCTCTTTCCCCTCCTTCCCCTTCTCTTACCCTCTCCCCCTTCTCCCCTTCCTCTTCCTCCTTTTCTTACTTCTGTTTCTTCTGTACCTTTTACCCTATTTTCCATTGCCTTTGTCCATTTTATGCCCATGTCCTGGCACTAAACTAAGACTAGATTGAAAGTCAGAACCTCCTGGTTTGCTTAAGTAGTTATTAAAGTAGTTAACCCAGCAGGACGTGGTGGCTCACACCTGTAATCTCAGCAGTTTGGGATTCTGAGGCGGGCAGATCACTTGAGGCCAGGAGTTAGGACCAGCCTGGCCAATGTGGCAAAACCCTGTCTTTACTAAAAATAGGAGAAGTATCTGGGTGTGGTGATGTGGGCCTGTCATCCCAGCTACTCAAGAAGCTGAGGTGAGAGAATTGTTTGAACTTGGGAGACGGAGGTTGCATTGAGCCAAGATCACAATCATGCCACTGCACTCCAGCTTGGGTGACAGAATGAGATTCTGTCTCAAATAATAATAATAATAATAATAATAATAATAATAATAATAATAAAGTAGAGTAGTTAAACCACTGTATTCCATTAAAACAAACAATAAAACCTCTGGGTAACAGAAGCAAAAGAAAATTGTAATTTATTTCTAATAATAGCTTCCATATACACAAAACATGCTTTTGCAAATCCTGGAAAAGTGCTATAAGAAAAAAATAAACAACTTAATCTATACACACTATTCTTCATCACAGTAAATGCATACTTGTTTAGACTTTCCAATGGCTTTATGTAGGCCAAAAACTTCTTACTGCAGAGTTCTATATAATATAGCATATGATTACGTTGATTTGAAAATTATTTCAGGTTAAATAATATATTCTAAAATAAAACAACAATAAGTGACAAATCTTCATATAATATTAAGTCTATGAAGATAATTTCAGTTGCCTCTTGAGAATAATAACACCAATACAAATATTAAGAAGGATAATCATAGAATCCATTCTGTTTGTTGAATGCTTACATTATGTAAACCACTATATAAATTATCTTATTTAAAATAAGATAGTATATACCTTAATAACATCTACCATATGAGGTATATATTACACATGCGCAGATTAGTCAAATAAAGAGTTTATAAAATGTGCACAAATTTGTATGGATTAGAATTATGTCAGATTAATTCTAGAACTTACTATTGTCTATTCTTTTCTTATTATATTTAAGTTTTAGGGTACATGAGCACAATGTGCAGGTTAGTTACATATGCATACATGTGCCATCTCTATTCTTAAATGGTAGAAAAAATGTTAATTTTTAAAACTCTTTACAGTAGTGCTTATTTAAATTATCGTATGATTTTTCTCTACTTAAACACTTAAGGTATTGTTGAAATTCTGCCATGCCTATCCTTTTGTGATATTTTAAAATCTGAAGTCATTTAACCATTTTTTAAGTATAATATTGATAGTTTCTTGTTAGAAAAAAATAATGTGCCATTGACCCTTGAACATCATGAGTTTGAAATGCGCTGGTCCACTGACACACACATTTTCTTCCACTTTCACTTCCACTGAGACAGGAAGACCAACTCTCCTCTTCCTCCTCCGCCTTAGCCAACTCAGTATGAACACAATGAGGATGAAGACCTTTATGATGATCCACCTCTACTTAACAGCTAGTAAATACATTTTCTATTCCTTATGATTTTCTTAATAACATTTTCTTTTCTCTGGTGTAACTTATTGTAAGAATACAGTACATAATACAAATTACATACAACATATGTGTTAATTAACTGTTTATGTTATCAGTAAGGCTTTCAGTCAAAAGTAGGCTGTTAATAGTTAAGCTTTTGGGGAGCCAAAAGTTATACATAGATTTCTGACTGTGTGAGGGTCAGCACTTCTAACCTCCACATTGTTCAGAGGTCAGCTGTGTGGCTATAACATTAATCTATAGCTCCATGTCATAAAACTTTAACTTAAAATTTATATTTTTATTATCAAAAGAGATGAATACAGTCTTATATAAATGAATTTTAGTAGTTTATAGTAAAAAGATATTTTATTTTAAAAAATAGAATAATATTTAGATCTTATGGTTACTATAATCACAAATGTTAAGTATATTCATAAAGCAAAACAAACTACTTTATACAAGTCTGAAGTGCTATACACCGTAATTTGTTTCCTAAGTTTAATGTATGTAGCCTTCTTAAGCAAGATAAAAGAGCTGATATTAACAGTCCGCTTATTTTACTTTCAGAGACATTAAACTAATGACAAGTTAGCTCGTGTTTTTAATGTAAGATCATAGAGGGTGATATGAGGATGAAAAGTTGGCACTGCTTTTATTGGCTAGACAATGGATCATGAGAAAATGAAATATTACCATGAACAGAAGCTGCTGTGGTGTGCTGCCTGCTTATTTGGTTGGTTGTGCTGAGACTTGATTCAACTCCTTGCTTTTCTCTTTTGCAAAAGTGTTGGAATATGCCAGTCTAGGAACAAGAAAAGTCTACTCTTATTCATTAACTGTCGTATTCATACTGTGGATACATGCCTCAACTGCAAGAGCATTACTTAAAAATTAAATGAATCCCATAAATAATGCTATTTCCTTTTGAAGAACTAATGTTCATGGTTCTCAATGAGAATGTGTTAAGGTGTATTGGAATAAGACATCTTTATCCATCAACATAGATCAATCTAATTTAGCCAATGAGAGCAAACAAGTAAAGAAATGGGGCTTGAGAAGAATAACAACTTTATTGAGAACTTATTTTACCTTATGCCAGACCTTATGCTATGTCCAGTACATGTATCTTATTTAAGTCCTACTGCAGTTTAAGGTTTGCATAATTTCCATTCAAGGCCTGCTACATAATGTATAGATTCCAGAGCAAAATTAAGACATAGGATCCCAGCTGGAATGCACAAGTCAATATCCATTGTCCAGTGGTCAGCCGCCCCAATGCATGATGGATGGATGATCCCCCCAAAATTGTACCTCCTGTTGGGATGCACTTAGTACCTGGATAAGGGTGGGTAAGAGGCTTCTGCCAACTCACCTACTGAATGTACAGTGTGGCTACCAGCCAATGGATTAGATGGCCACAGCTTTGCTCTGTTCCAAAACACTGTGGAGCTCATGTCCATGCCTCCTTGCCCTGTGACCATGAGAGTGGAGAACAGCAATGGAATATAGTCCTCCCTCCAGTTTCCTCTCCAGGTGGAGGGTGACAACAGCCACAGAAAGGTACAGAGAAAAAGAGGCTGAGTATGAGGGAGGCAGCTGAGAAACTCTCCTAGATCCAGAGACAGAGAGGCTGCATGAGGTGAAGCAGTGCAGGAATGAGGCTCCAAGCACTCAAAATATACTCCATTTCCCCAAAAGCTCAACTTGCTAAACAAGAATTTAAAGATAAAACCAATATGGATTTCAAGATGCGAACCAAACCGCATTAAATCTCAAGTACTAAGCTCTGGATCCTATGTAACCATACTGTTCACTTGCCCATGAAGCTAGCCCTTTTCCCATTTTACAAATGATAACATTGCCCAAAGTCTGTTTGTCAGCATGAGATAAAATCTGTGTGTATGTGTTGTAGGGACTCATCAGGGAACAGGGATAGATCAATAGTTTAAACTCTAACTTATGTTTTTTCCACTACGTCTAATTGCCTGTATATATTTACCACTCATTAAATTAATGGAAAATGTTTTATAATATACTCCTTATTTTTCAACTATTTGGGGGGTAAATATAGAATTAGAACAAGAAATAGATACAAGGAATATAATGTTTTTGTAGAGGACTGATGAAATATAAACGACGTTGGCAAAATTATCAAAACTCTGCCCCATCAACAAATAGGTGATGACAACATCTATACATAATTTCATGTTCTCAACCTCAATATTGACTATCACACGAAAAATTAATAGAAAAAGTTATAAAATGGAAGCTAATATTGTAGCTTGTCAAAGCTGCAGGTATTTTTCACGTGGCCATGATTTGTTCAGACTTGTTTACTATTACTGTCATCTCCGGTCTAGTGTGAGAGGATGTGAAATTGCATGTTGAAAATTACTCTATAGAAAAATGGTATGGGAAGTCATGAATTATAACTTCTACAAAGCCATTAAAATAATGAAAAGTCAAGAATGAAGTTGGATTAAAAATATGTTGTAAGGGATTACAAAAATACACAAATCAATGGTCAGGTGTTCTTCAGAGAAGCGTGGCAGAAATAATTTAAATAACTTCTATTACCTAATTCAACATAAAAATATTACTCTTTCGCGTGAAAACTTTACAGTCTCTCTGTGGTTCAGCTATCCAAGGTTTGGCTCAAAAATCACTTCCCTTAACTGCATTGCCCGTTTGTCTCTACTTCCAGGCTAGATAAGGTGATCCTCCTCAATGATGCCTTGAGTCCTGGGTGCATTTTTCATCCATCCTTAGAAAGTGATGCTGTAATTGTTTATAATGTTCTGTTACTTCTGATTCTCAGCGACTTCAGGAAAAACAGAGACCTATGTATTTTGTTTATTTGCTTGCTTGTTTGTTTTGTATCATCTGTGTTTATCAGTGTGTCCAGAAAATAGAAAACATTCCTTCAACACTGAATGAATGAGAGAGTGAATGAGAGAATGGGCCTATGTTTTCTACCTGAGGCCAGAGTTATTATTTGCTTTGTCCGGCCCTACTTGGCTGAGGACTCGCAAGACATTTCCCTACACATCGTCAAATCTTCATAATCTCTAACTACTCAAAACTCTTTCCAGTCATTCAGAAAGGCCTAGAAATTTTTCTTGTTAATATAACTACAGAAAGGCTAAAGTAAAAATTCTGGCTGTAATATAGGTGGTCATTTGTTACACATTTTAGGCCCATTATGATTAAAAGAGATTTTGGATACCTCAAAATTTAGCTACTTAAAACTTTAAAAAAAGAGAGAGAAAATATCCAAAGTTCTAGATACTTCATTTCCAATAAAATCTTGGAACACAACTCGTTTAGAAGGAAGGGAAGAGATATGTGCCTCTATAGAAATGACTGTACAAGTAATGGGCTTATTTCCAACATTGAACCTCAAGGAAGCTTTCCTGTTAATGTTTGAATAGTTTGTTTTCACATTTTGTTTGCTTAAGTCAACTAGAAAAGGCACTTTTAAGATTGAGAAGGTGTGGTCCCACATCCACAGGATATTTCTGTATATTAAACACTTAGCATTAGCCAGCCTTCAGGTTAATATTGATTGTTATCTGGATAATATTGGACATTAGCCTATTGCTTGTCATAGAACTCTAAGAACTATAATTAGCTCTAACCATAAAGCATGTGTTAGGTAGAAAATGACTTTTCGAATATAAGAAAATCCACTGGAGCTACCCCTAGAGCACAGTAAATATTTGCCATCAGCTACCTATTCCTCATGATTCTTGTAAAGGTATATTTTTTTCACCTGCTCTATCTGTATTTCTTTATGATTAAAAGAGGGTAATTTTTAAAAAAAGTAAAAGTAAATAAAGCTATTGATAGAATATATTATATGTATAAATTACATATATGTTATATAATATATAACATCATTTCATATATGTATAAATATGTGATATAAAATTATATATTATTTATATGTAACTTTATATAGATATAAAAGTTTATCTCTGCTTATAGATATTTCCAAATTAAAATGCTGCTAGCTTTATGTTAACCTCAGAATATTTTCAAACTGTAATTGCAAAATAGTGTCTACTATGGGAGTGTAAAAACACTAAATAAGGCATTGCTTCTTAATTCCTCAGTTGTTGACATTTCAGAAGCACTAAGATCAAAGCCTGATGTTTTGCCGGTATATGAGATCAACAACAACCAGTTGTAAGCAATGACTGTGATATAAGACATTTATGCAGCCAAAAGACACATGACAAAATGCTCATCATCACTGGCCATCAGAGAAATGCAAATCAAAACCACAATGAGATACTATCTCACACCAATTAGAATGGCGATCATTAAAAAATCAGGAAACAACAGGTGCTGGAGAGGATGTGGAGAAATAGGAACACTTTTACACTGTTGGCGGGACTGTAAACTAGTTCAATCATTGTGGAAGTCACTGTGGCAATTCCTCAGGGATCTAGAACTAGCAATACCATTTGACCCAGCCATCCCATTACTGGGTATATACCCAAAGGACTATAAATCATGCTGCTATAAAGACACATGCACACGTATGTTTATTGCGGCACTATTCACAATAGCAAAGACTTGGAACCAACCCAAATGTCCAACAGTGATAGACTGGATTAAGAAAATGTGGCACATAAACACCACGGAATACTATGCAGCCACAAAAAATGATGAGTTCATGTCCTTTGTAGGGACATGGATGAAGCTGGAAGCTATCAGTCTCAGCACACTATCACAAGGACAAAAAACCAAACACCGCATGTTCTCACTCATAGGTGGGAATTGAACAATGAGAACACATGGACATAGATTGGGGAACATCACACTCCGGGGATGGTTGTGGGGTGGGGGGAGGTGGGAGGGATAGCATCAGGAGATATACCTAATGCTAAATGACGAGTTAATGGGTGCAGCACACCAACATAGCACACGTATACATATGTAACAAACCTGCACGTTATGCACATGTACCCTAAAACTTAAAGTATAATAATAAAAAAAGATAAAAACAAAACAAGAAAAAAAGAAATAAGACAAAGATCCTTTTTAATTCCACTTCACAAGCTTATATTAAAGAACAATTATTACATGTATAATTAATACACTCGTATATATTTTGGGATGGCAAACTGTTGTGGGCATGTGTAGCACATTTCAATTCTCAAGTTAGGCTCTTGATATTAATACCTTTCATGTATAAGCTGGTGCATTAGTCAGAGACCTCATGGATAATACTTTTAAGGTGAGGATAGTCAGTATATTCAGCATCAGCTGAATGTCAAAGACTGCCAGTCAATCATCAAAAGATAGGAGAAAAGGTTGGAACAAATCCCTCCCTTGCAGTCCTTGGAAGGAATCAATCCTACCAACATCTTCATCTTTCACTTCCAGATTCCAGGACTCAGACAATACATTGCGTTGTGTTAAGCCATTCGATTTATGGGACTTTGTTGTGGAAGCTGTAACAAACTAATATAATGTGTATCCTTGATATCTCCCTGATCTTCTTAGTCTTTTCTTACCAAAACAGCTATCTATCTCTCTATGTATCTATCTATGTATCTATGTATCTATGTATCTATCTATCTATCTATCTATCTATCTATCTATCTATCTGTCTATCTACCTATCCATCTATTATCTATGTATCTATCTATCAAGCACTGAGATCAGGGAAATGTATTTGTGGTTCCTTGGACCCTGAGATTTATACCTGTTTTCCTTCTGCCTAATATGCCCTAAACACTAAGTGAAGCCACTTAGTCATTTCAGCTTTGAAACCCAAATTAAAATTTTGTGGTTGTTCTTAAAGTTTCATCCAAGTTTTTTGCTTGTTCATCTTTGCTTTTGCTTTTGAGTTAAGGCACAGGATATAAAACTATGTTCATTATGTGTACCAACCTATAACAGAAGGTTTCAGTTCTCTACCATTGTTACTTATATGCATTTATTTACTTAAGTTGTTACTTATTTGCATCGGTTGTGGAAGGAGCACTGTCCAGCCCAGAGTGCTTCTAGCGTTTAAAGTTTGTTTTACATATTTATGCTAATAACTCTAGGCTATCACGTACATTGGTAGATTATTGAGAATCTTATCTACTTGAAGTTCCTTTGGGTCTGTAAGATGCTTATGAGGAGGACTTGGGGCTGCTAGTCATCTACCTGACAAAATAACCTCCTGGACTGGTCAAAAGGAAGACACAGAAGCTTGCCTGAAATGGAAAAGCTTCAAAAGCCAAATCTGGTAAGTCTTAGGGATTCCTATAAAGATAAATTATAAACCAGAAGTAACAGTTGACTCCAATTAAGCGTTCAAGTTTTAATCAAGTGTGACATACAAATGTATGCTTTCATGTATGATGAAGATGGAAGAATATATGAAATAATGAAAAAGAGAAAGGAGGCAAAGAAACAAAACTGATAGCACATGGAATAGAGAGAGGCTGTGAGGGGGGAAAACACTCAGAGAACAAAGAAAAAAAAAATGGAAGGGTTTGCAGGAAGGGATAATATAGGTCACTTAAGTGGAAAAAAAGTGCAATTACCTAAAAACCAGTCAAGCTAAGTATAAAAGGACAAACTATCATCACTCTGGTGGTAAATTTATGGAAATTATTGTATAGTCTCTGCTGATTAATTGGTGAGTTCTTGGACAGAAGAATATTTGGGATGGGGGTGGAGATGGAGGTGGGGTAGGGAGGAGGTGGTGCACATACACATGCATGCGTGAACCTGTGTGTTACTTCCTCTCTGTACCCTTAACACTTAGGCAATTTGCCTGGCAAATAGTAAGTGCTTAATAAATGCTTGTTGAATGAGTGATTTTTGGCTAGCCATTTACATTTATTAACTTTGTGATAATTTGAAAATTATTGAAAGAAATGTTCTGCTGTGGTTTGGATATGGTTTGTCCCCACCAAAGCTCATGTTTAAATGTGATTCCCAATGTGGTGGTATTGGGAAGCAGGGCCCTGTGGAGGTATTTGGCAGCACCCTGTAGAGGTGGATCTCTCATGAATATCTTAGTGACATTCTCTTGGTAGTGAATTATCTTGCACTCTCCCAAGACTGTATTAGTTCTCTTGGGAATGAATTAGAGAGAGAGAGAGAGAGAGAGAGAGAGAGAGAGTGTGTGTGTGTGTGTGTGTGTGTGTGTGTGTGTGTGTGAGGTGCACTCTGGCTGTTATAAAGCGAGGTTCCTCCTCCTGTCTGGTCCCTCTTCCCGTGTGTCTGCTTCCCCTTTGACCTTCTATCATATTTTGCCCTAGCACCAAAGCCCTCACCAGAAGCTGAGGAGATGACAGTGCCATGCCCCTTGAACTTCCCAGCCTGCAGGACCTTGAGCTAAATACACCTTTTTTCCTTTATAAGTTTCTCCGGTTCAGGTATTCTGTTACAGCCACACAAAACAGACTATGACAGGTTCTTAATGAGATAACTGAAATGATCCACTAATCCAGAAATTATACTCTCCTCTAAAACATTAGTAAAAAAAGAATATGACAGTAGGGTTTGGATGAAGTCAAATATCTGGATGTTTCCCACTTCCCTTTGAGTTTCCTAGAAACAGAGCTCTTGAGATACCTAAGGAAAGTCTGGCACTGGAGTAAAGGAAGAGTACAACAAAGCATCACTTCTACTAAATCGATTTGTATCATATTCAGGCCCTGCAGGTTTGCAAAATGTGCTTCCAGCAGATGGCGTTTTGCATAGATAATAAAGATGTTTGCATCTCCAGAGTCTTGTAATTACCTTAAGAATTAGGAGAAGGAAAATAGAAAAGAAGAGGGGTAAATTCCTTCTGCTTCCCCTCCTTTTAAGCTCCATTATCATAATCTGTATCCCATTTCAATTTTCATCACTCTCAGAAGAATACAACAAACTGATAGGGAATGAGAGTAGTCTGGATTGAAAAGACAATTTAATTGCTCTGCTGAAAAAGAAACTCAACTCACACAAAACAGGGCCAACCTTTTCCATTTGATCTTACAGCTCAAATGTCAACTATGCCATACGTTTTATGTGACTTGAAAGAACAAAAATGGAAACAAAGATTTTAAACATTCCATTCTTCCTCACTATCATTTTATCCACTGAAAAAGGGAAAAACCCTCACTGGCATTCAACAAACTTAAAACAAGCATCAGGAATGTGTCAAGGTCGCCACAAACTACAGTAGCATATGTGAAGCTCCTTGACTGTATTTAGTGAAATTTGTTGATGGTGTTGTGTATTAAATTACTGAAACCTTTCAGAATTCTGGCTTGCAAAGCACATGGAAAATAAATAGTGTGGCTACTGTTGGTGCATTCATTTGCATATCAATGAAGATAATTCTGCTAGTTTCATAGAAATGATAGTGACTAAGGTCTAAGAAGGAAAGTGAGGGGCTTGGATGTACACAGAGGTTGCTAAAATTCTTCCTGCTTGCATGCCAACATTTCAAATAATTTTCCCAGTAAGATAAGCTAGATCCTTCATTGTTTTGTGTTCTCTGAGACAGCATTATGGAAGCCTGAATAGGGCTAAAGAGGCGGATGTTTTGAATTCTCATCCAACAATTTTTTTCATAAAAAATAATTCTCTGCCAAAATTTCAAAGTCCAACAGCTTGAGATCTCTGTCTCTTTTCCTTTTTAGTTTCATCCATTTGAAAAAAAATCAGATTAAATAAAATATGAACATTTTATTTCAAGAAAGCCAAGTTATGAGCAATACCAAGAAATGAACAGATTTTTTTCATTATATTTTACTTGCCAATTGCAATCATGCTACTTGTAAAATCTACAGTTCAGTATATAGACATTATTAGTTCTGTCAAAAATGTGAAGGAACATTGGGAAAGCTTAAGCTAACTTTTCAGATAATGAAAGATAAATTTTCATATTCAGCTTGGGAATTCGTATAACAGACAACATAACGCCTGGACTATTTTTAAATATCTAAATATTTAAGAAGACCATGATTTGAATCAATATATCATAGCAAAAATGAGTAGCCCTAGTAAGAGGACTCAGGGGCAAATCAAAAGTTTTACCTTTAATTGGAATCACTGACATAGTGCCCATGTGCATTCTTCTAATTTCCCTTTATTCTTAATAACCACCCAGAATGAAAGCAAGATGATCACGCCTGTAATCCCAGCACTTTTGGAGGCCGAGGCGGGTGGTTCACCTTAGGTCAGGAATTCGAGACCAGCCTGGCCAACATGGTGAAACCCTGTGTCTACTAATAATACAAAAAATTAGCCAAGCATGATGGCATACACCTGTAATCACAGCTACTCAGGAGGCTGATGCAGGAGAATTGCTTGAACCCGGGAGGCAGAGAGCTCCATCTCAAAAATTAATTAATTAATAAATAATTAATAAAAAATAAATAAAATATGAAGATCCCCTTCAATCTTAAAATAACCATCTTACAAAATCATGTTTTTAAATAGACCTATTAAGAAGACTAACAGAGATCTGCGGAACACATATTTTGTAAATTGATGGCTTTTACTGGCCCTAAAACACCCAAAAGTTAATATTGTTTTTCCTTAACATACATATTTCCCTAAACTATCGCATGACATATAATTCTATTTTAGTTCATTAACTAGAGAATTAAACCCTTAGAGGATAGGAAATGTTTACCTGTATACCTAAAATTGGTATATGGAATTATCAAAGCAGTAAGAAATTTAACAACCAAAAATATAAAACAAGGAACAATTAAGAATTATTCAAGAAATTCGAGTAAAGAAATGAAAACTTCTGGAAATGCATTGCTAAATTTCAAAGCTATAAAAGTTGTTAAATAATACTTTAAAAAGTGTTTAACTTATTTAAATAAATAAGTGATCAAACTCTTTAATTTTGCTTCTAATATCAAGATGAGGTTCGGTAGAGAATGAAGTGAATCCTGTTTATCTCACAACAATAATAAGAGCCAAACTGAAATATATTTTACTTACCACAACAGATTTCTAAATATACTTCGGGAGATTAACTTACTACTGAACTGAGTCTGCAATTCTTCTTATATATTACCCTTAATACATGTTTCTAATTTATGAAACAAGATTATAATAGTTATAGTTAGATCATTAAAATATTTTAGTGCAACATACAATTATTATGTGTGTGTTTATATATAAGGATATATATATATAAACACTTAGCCTTAATCATTACACAATATTAGAAGCTTATCTTTCGTATTAAGATCATCAATCATTTTAATTTTCTAGACAGCCCTTACTTTTTACCCTTTCTACACCCTCTATTTTGTTTTAACAATTAACTTACTTCAATGGTAGAATGTTTAAATATTGTGAATGTTAATTTAATCAATTACACATTATTAGTGAAGGATTTAGCTAAACGGATTACATTTTTAAGAAGTCTCTGAATTTCCATAACCTTATTTTAGCAATGCCATATAAAAGACAATGATACACCCAGTGTGAAATCATGTAGGTATGCCAAAATGTACCAGGACTTCTTAAAAACAATCATCACTGTGTTCCATTTACTAAGGAAAATTCCCTCGTCGCGCATCAGAAAGACTCAGGACGCTAAAGAGTATAGCTAGCTGCTCATGTCAGAAAGGGTGGAACCAGGAAGGCTATGGTATCCCACTTAACCATTAGCCAGCACATATTGTGGACAGATTTAAATTAGAAGACACTTGGTGATATCACTTAAGCCTATTTCTGGACTCCTGCAGGAAAACAAATGCTGGCACAAAAGAAAACTGCCAAACACCAGCTGGTCTGGTAGTCAACATTTATGAGCTCTTGGCATTTCATAATGTGTCTTACATGTGAGAAAATCCATTGTCATTAAACTCTTTTATCCATTCGTGATCTCACTTTATAGATTATGTAAGAAAACATCCCAGCAAGTGGACACATGCTTAAGTATCTAATGAGCGATTAAAATGAAATTTTAAAATGAAAATGACCTACAATAGGACCACTTAAAACATAACTTGGGCAATTCTAGTATTAGTAGACTGTCTCGCATGTCTTCTTTGTGTGAGACATAACCTTTGGGGTGTGAATTATTTTAGTGCATTCCAGAACCTCAGGGTCTATAGTTATTCTCAAATACAGTGGTTCTGGGAACTAGCCTGCTTGGAACTGGGCGAGGAAAGCTGTGATGTAATGTGGATTTACACTAGAAAACAGGATAATTTTCTGACCCTTGAAAATGACCTTAAAGTCATTTTTCAAAAAGGGCCTTTTCAAAACTCTAGGGTTTTTTACTATAACTAATTTCACGTCCTAACCTCTGACTGTCCGAGACACAGATATACCTGCACTCTACAGAGAATTCTAGCCAGGAAGCTAAGTCATTGCCAAGGCCATTTAAGAGACTGAATTGGCTCAAGTTTGATACAGATTTAATTGGCAAATGGATCTGAATTTATTCTGGTTCTTGTTCTGTCTTTTGAGCCTGTTAAGTCATTTAGACCAGGGAAAGATTCTGGCGTACTAAGAATGTTTAGAAAAGGCTCCTATCTTGACAGTTAGGCTTAAAATGGATGACTTCTGACAGGAATGCTTGGAAGATAATCATTCACTTCTTTCCATCAATTCCATGTTATCCCAAGGGTTTGTTCAACAGATGGACATAATTTGCATACTTGACTACCGCAGTTTTCTTAATTGCATTTTCCCAGCACATTCTATTATATTTGCAGTATTAGATTTCCCTTATAATTTCACTTTGAAAAATATACACAATATATAATAAGTTATTATATTTTCTATATGGTGGATCATTCTGCAAAACCTAACACCTGGAAACTGTAGGCATTTAGGATATATTGAAAATCTATTACCACACTCTAAGCTCAACTATGACATCTCTCAAACTTATTTAATACCTCTATTTTGAAATAAGCCTTCATGTTTTAGTTCAAAATACTTCACAATATATTTGTATGTTAGGATATTGCATAATCCAGTAACTATGTACAATATTTTAATATTTTAAGGTTAATTTTTGTTTATAACTGACCATTAACCTGTAAAAAATACTTACACCATTAAGTATTAAAAATATTATTCTTTGGTGGGGGGGCTGAAAAGATGAATAGGTGACTCACAGATAATTTTTAGAGCAGTGAGAATATTCTGTATGATACAATAATGTTAATACATGTCATTATACATTTGTCCAAATCCACACAAAGTACAATACCAAGAGTCAACCCTAATGTAAACTATGGTATTTGGATGATCATGATGTATTGATGCATCAGCTATGACAAATATGCCGCTCTGGTGGGGGATGTTGATAATGGGTGAGGCTATGCATGGGTTGGTGTAGGAAGTATTGGGAATCTTTGTACCATCCTCTCAATTTTGATGTGAATTTAAAGGTGCTCCAAAAAGAAAAAAATAGTCTCAAAAAAGGCCACAATTATTTTTAAACATAGAACTCCAGACTGCTGTTTACCATTTTTATTTTTAATGTTATATCATTGTTATGCTGAATTAATATCTTTATTCTTCATGATAAGTGTGCATTTTTCAAGTCTGGTAGTTCTTCATTAACCCTAGGGAAGTTCCTGAAATTGTCACTGAAAATTTCTTAAGGGATACATACCAATAGGGAGAAGGAAGACTGTTGACAATTTATTCAGCAACATTTACTGCTTATTTGTTTAAAAATTTAAGCAAGCCTTCTAATTAAGATTTCTCACTACTCAAAAGACACATGACATGAACAAAAATTCTCCAAATGTTTAATTGCTTTAAGTACTATAGTGCCTAAGGCCAACATCTCTTTCCTTGACCCTCCTCTTCCTAGGTCTGCAAATCTGTTTCAGCATCTCATTTCTGCCCCTGACATGGAACATGTTAAATGAAAAACAAAATCCAGAAGATAGTGAAGAGAAATAACACTGTCATTAAGGGGAACATGATGCAACATAGCATCACCATCATTATGAGTATAGTGTCCATGTTGGACCAGATTTCATCATGCAAATTAGCACCTATTACAAAGACTTCCAAATAGATAAAATCTTATATTAGAAGTGATATTTCTGAAGAGCTTCTGAGAGTTCAACATATTTTTTAACAAATGATTTGATTTTTAAAATATATTCAAAAGTAGGCATTTGCAACATTGTTACCTATTAATTGCAGCTACAGGGCCGAGTTCCCATTTGCTTTTTTTTTTAAAAATCCTTTCTCTGATTCTCAAGTGAAAACAACGAAATAGAGCCATTTTGTATTACTTCACATGAGAGAAAGAGTTGTTTTAATGTTAGTGTGAAAGCTGACCATACAAATTGGGGTCATTTTGTCATACCTGCTCTAAAGGACAGGAAGAAAAAGCACTCAGGGCACATAACGTTGCTTCAATAATGTAATTCTCTCCAAGTCTGGCTGCTGAAACTGCCTGTTGTAACCTGAAACCAATCTAATAGCTACTGAGACAACCTACTAGGACTCTAAGACTAGTTTCCCCCACCACCATCTCTTACCAATCAGAACTTGCCAGTTCCTGAAAAACTTTACTAGTGCTACTGAATTTTCTTTCAGAACAATATGTAACATTTCTCCATGTTATCAAACTTCCAACCTTCTCCTTGTTCTTTGGACATACCAAAGATCATCCAGCCTGTGTATACGCTCCAGAATGCAATTCTTGCTTCCAAAATAAAACACTTAAAATTTAAAGATTTGTCTCTATATTTTGATGTTGACTTTAGCTATCGAAAGCATATACTTTTCCTTAAATGTATACAATTTCATCAGGATTCCCAAAGAGGCTAATTAACCTATATTCATGGGATTAATATGCAGATATGAAAATCCTATCTAAAAATTGTAGACAATAATATATAGCAAACTATGTTATGCCTAGAAATAATATTCTCCAAGCTAATTTTGTTAATTATGAGTTTTGAAGAAACAAAAGTTGGGATAATTGAATAATGTTTAAGGTGAAATGGAATTTTTATTTAAACTTTTGTTCTGGTGACTGTTCACAGAAGCAGTACTACTTCCTAGGGGAGATTTTGAAAACCTGGGAGGCAGTATGTTTTGTTTGTCAGATCGATTTATGACAACATGGGAATTTTAGCAGGTAAGGTCAGGACAGTCCTGCACATCGAAGAAGGCTTCCATGTCCAATATGGTTTTGAATATCCTATTGGGCAACAAGGGGAAAAAGAATCTGTTTGGAGTAATCTGAGTCTTAATCCTAATCCTGTTTTACATAAAACACAAAGGATTCTGATACATTTTAAGTTATAGACTAAGTTTCCATAAAGCAATCTCTATCTAAATTTAAAAAAGATTAATCTTAGAGAGACTTTCCTTTAAATCAATAGTTGTTTTCCATCAGGCAAAGTCACATTACCTCCATAGGAATACTGCTGATGATGTTTGATAGAATTATACAATGAATGTGACTAAAATGGTATAATAAATGTGATAAAGTAAATCTGTATTTATAGCTGACTCATTAAAGACATTCTATGTATAGGTGCAAAAAAAGCATATGATTACTTCATTAGGTCTTCATAGTAAGATTTCCCAAGCAAGCATTAATAAAATAAAAGAAATTTAACTATTTCATTGTAAATTACTCACCCTTTATTTCTGCTTTTCATTTTAAGTGGGGGATTTGTACTAATAGGGTTGAACTTACACTTCATTTCCAGGTAGTGAAAGGGAATTTGCAAAATATATGTTAAAATAAAATGCATCAAGTCTAATAGGGTTGATAACAGCTGTGATAGCAGAATAATAATAATGAACGTTTTATTATGCATATCATTGCTGAGAGCTTAGTGGTGTGACACTATAGGAAATATGATAACTACTGAATCCAGAAAAAAATGACAATAATGATAATGTTATGAATATGTGGAGTCTCACAAAATGATAACGCAATCTGAAGGCCTAAGAAGCAGCCTCAGAAGCAGTTTCTCTCTGATCTTCTCCCGCCCTCCTGCCTCTTGCCCCTCAGTCTCCCCTGAGGTAAGCCATACAATCTCTTTTCCCCAAGGTTGGTCTAGAACCCTTTTTCCCCAAAGCCAGCTGTAAAACCTAAAAATATTACTCTAACCTCTCTCCACCTCTTCCTGAGTCACGATTGGCCATTAAGAGATTAAGACCTTCATTCCAGAGGGTCCTACCCCATACTGAGGAGGGAAAAGTGTCGCACAGAGGGATCAAGAAACATCTAAACAGACAGGCCTTGCTGAGTTGTCCCACCCAATCTATTAGCATTAGATTATATACTTTTTGTATAATCGTATTTCTATGTGGTGGTTCATATAACCTAAATAAAATATACTTCATATAACCTAAATAAAAATATACTTCATATAACCTAAATAAAAACAGATCGTTTTCTCTGTACCTTTGATTCTTCCTTCTGAAGGCTCCCATGCTATGTAAAACTATCAAATACACTTGCTATGCCTTTATCTTGTTAACCTGTCTTTTGATAAAGGGGTTTCAGCCATGACCCTTATGATAGAGAGGAAAGGGAACTTCCCTTTTTCACTCCTAGAGAAACAGAAGGTCCAGGGCAGAAAGGTGAGGAAAAACGCCTTAAGTACAGGAAAAGAGAATGAAAGCTGGGACTGAGGAATGCATCATAAAAGATCACATTTATACTATGATGTAAAGTGGGTAAGAAATCAGCTTCTTTATCTTACAGGAAAAGTAAACCACAGACCTATATCACTCATGAACATAGATATAAACTTAGTAACACAATTTTAAGAAGTGTATAAAAATATATAAAACAATATGTACAGAAGGATAATACAAAATGACAAAATGTTAATTTTTTAAATTGATTATTAATGCCTAATAAAGATATAATAGGTCAATAACCCCTAACAAATAACAGCTAAAATGATAAATCTGCATGAAGAAAATATGGATTAAATCCTAGTGGCATTTAATTTGTTAATGGTCTCTTAGACAGGATTTTTGAATCATGAACTACAAAATTAAATTAGAATCCATCAAAATTAAAATAATTAGACTTTTTCAAAACCTAAACCTTTTGCTCATTAAAAGATACATTACTTCAATTCAATATACAAATTAGGAGAAGGCATTTGTAAAACACATACAACAAAGGCCTCATATATTACAATTTGAAAGAAAGATATAAATACCAGAGTAGAAAAAAAAAAATGACAAAAGATTTGAACAGACATTTCACCAAAAATATCTATATGGATTACAAATAAGCTCATAAAAAGATGCTCAACATCATTAACTATTAAAGAAATTCAAAATTAAACCATGATGAGATACTACTCTGTACTGATTACATTTGTTAAAATTAAAATAACTGATTATATCAAGTGTTAGTGAGGATACAGAGGAACTGGAACTGTCATATGCTACTAGTGGGAATGTAAAATGGTGCAGAAATTTTGTAAAATATTTCAACAGTTTTACAAAAATTTAAAAATGCACTTATCATATGACCCAATCATTTCATTCCTAGAGATTTACCCACAAGAAACGAAAGAATGTGTCCATTCAAAGACTTGTAAATAAACGTTCATAGAAGCTTTGTCTGTAATAGCCAAGAACTGACAAGAGTAGACGGCCTTCAACAAGTCAATGGAAAACCAAATTATAGTATAGCCATGCAATGAACTACTACTTCACAACAAAAAGTAACAAACTATTGATAAATATAACAACACGGGTAATTCAAATAATGATAACTACTGAAAGAAAAATACAAAGCACATTGCATGATTTCAATCATATAAAATTCTATTAAGTGCAACTACTTTACAGTGAGAAAAAGTAGATCGGTGTTTTTCCTGAAAACCAGGGTTGGTGGAGGAACGGTTATTATAAAGGGGCACCAAGAAACTTTTGGGGATGATGGATCTGTTTATTATTTTCATGTGGGTATAATTTCATAAATAAATACATATGTCAAACATATCCAACTGTACACTTTAAATAGGGACAATTTATTGTGTTGTCAATGATACTGCAATAAAGCTGTAAAGTTGATATTCTATGAAGGTAAGTTGTTAAGAAGTCAGCTATTTAAAATAACTAACGGCACATAAAACCAAAGCTATATTTCTTATTTACAAATGGACTGACCTTGTTAAAAGTTAATTTAAACAACACGCTGTTTTCATGTCAGCACTGGAGTAAAAGGCTAAAGAAACTCAGACAAGAGGAAAAAGGTGCCATGAATTAAAGACTATATGACCTGTGAAGAGGAAAACCTGAAAACAAAAGACTATAAAAGGTATGTGATCAATTTAGCATAAATATTTTCTGTACCATTAGCTTTCTAACTGCATTTTTTCCAGAACCCTATGACTGGCTGCACTGGAATAAGGGCAAGAGACAGGATCATTTTCAGTTCTCTAAACTGTTTGCAATAACATAATTTCTGCTTTTTCTTTGTTTTATTTCTTTAAGCTCCCATATAAATTTCATCTGAGCAAATAACTTTAGGCTGAAATGTTGAAGCCACTTCACTGCAGTAGGCCAAAAGAGAGATTAGAATAGGGCAGCGCCAAAACTCATTTTAAACACATTTTTGTATAATCACTCAGCTCTCATAATAGATTTGGATACTATGATTCATATGAATTAGATCACAGGTACCAACGTTCAGTGTTCAGGCAACAGAAATATGTAAGTCCCTACTGTGTACCAGGCTTTCTGCTAGATCCAGGGATAGAGTGATATGTTGCTTTACTTGAGTGTTAGAGGCAGGCATTGAATACATTTTTTTTTTTTTGCATTTTTGACTAACATGGTGTATCTTCAGTGCCATGTAAAATCAATCAGCTTAAGGGCTTACTTAATTAAAAAAAAATCTCCGTCTAGGGCTTAGATTAGATCAATAGGTTTTTATTTTTATTTTTCTTTCTAGTGGTGGAGGAAACAGCACAATTTTCCACTAATTAAGTGAGCCAATGGCTGATTATTTTACAACCTTGCTACTTCTTTCTGGGTGTGACCAAGAAATTTGATGTAACGTATCATTGTTCCAGCAGAAAATGAAAATTGCTGGAGTTTGAGAGAAAAAGGAAGGGAAGAGAGGGAGGGAGGGAGGGAGAGAGAGAGAGAGAGCCAAAGACAAAGATATGGTTATGTTTCAAAAATGAAAAGTTTTAACAGTTCATACACATTTCTGGTTTTGTAACTGCCTCTAAACTATAACTTTGATTTACACAGCCTGAGGCAATTTAGTTCCATTGTCCCTTTGCACTTTATGGACAATTTAACTGATCCCTGTCAAAAATCCAAGGATATTCACTCTTGAGGAGGGAGTTATTCAGAGACTTCATTACTGTCTTGCTTATTTCTATCTGAAGTTGCTGCTTTGAGACTAAATTTCCTTTTATTATGAAAACTGAATGGTTCCCACATTTATATGCTATCTTTTGTAAGCATTTGGCCACAGCTAAAGTGGCTATTGCTTTTGAGACCTGTTTAATTTTCTTTTCATATTAAATGTTAATGTTTTATGTTTATCACTTTGTCTACCTTGTGTATTGCAAAATTTCTTGCTGGTTGTGGAGGTTTAATCATAAGATCATTTTATTAGTCAAAACTTACATTTCTATAACACTACAGATTTATATTTATGGTTTGAGTCGTCATCAATGTCCTTCCACCTATACAATTGCATAGGTCCTCTTAACTGATTTCCAATCAACATTCTATATTCTATTTCCTGTAAGATCCACCCTTCACACTGCTACCACAATTTTCTTCTGAAATCCCATTGGGATACTTAAAAAAAGAGATATGTATATTTTCTTCATTGTTGGAGATATACATAGTAACAATAGTAACTACAAACACCTGGTATATAATCCTACTCACAATCTTGCTCCAACCTCTAATTACTATCTTGCTCCAACCTCTAATTCAAGCCTCCTATTTCACCAGTCATATTTACAAGTCATCCAACCTTTGAACCTTTATCCTCCCAAACCTAAAGACATATATGTATTCATATTTTATGTCCTGGATTAATCATTTTTTTTTCTGTCCAGAATCAGGTCCCTGCACCGAACTGCTAGATTTACATCAAAGTTTGATCATTTGTTGTATAACACTAGGTAAATTAACCTCTTAACAGCTTGTTCATCTCTAAAGTAGGATCATAATTATGCTTTCTCACAGGTTTGGGAGGATTAAATGTAATATACGTAAAGTGCATAGAATGAGACTATAGAGAGCCTACAATCACTGTTTACTACTAATCACTTTTTTTTTCATTGTAGTAATCTAATGGTATCCCACTCAAACTTTGAGCTCTGGATTAAAATCAACCTGCCTGTGAATCACTACTTGGCCTCCCTTACAGTGTTAGTCATTGTATTCTTTTACATCAAACATACATCTTCATTATCTCTTCATTGTGCTCTAATATTTGTTTCAATGCATCCTCATTAAATTGTAATCTCCCCAAAAGCAGAGATATTGATTTATGCAGTCTGCCTCTCTTGTGCCCACCACAATGCACTGTACATGGTAGATGGTTGATAAAGGTCTGTTAGACCCTGGCTGCTGAATGCATCTTTACAAGTATGTTGATATGTGTGGCATGAGGTCCAACTGACCACATTTCTGTGGACACTGAAGAGATACAGGTAGAGAGATCTGAGTTTATAGTCAAAACAAATTTCATTTTTTACAACAAAAGTAGTTTATTAGGTTAAGCAGGAGGAAAAAAATTCCTCTTGAATTTTGGATATGAGCCAGGGAATCATCCTACCATTCCTAAGATGAAAATAAAACATTATTTCATACCAGTTCAAATCTCATAGAGCCCCTCTTGAAAATATAATGGCCCATATGGAAAAAAATTGGCTAAAGGAACTGAAGTTCAAACAATATTTAAAACAGGGAGAGAAGTAGGTTTGCACCTTCTTTAATGGAACAGTGATTTTAGAATGCATGCCCTTCTTATCAGGGCTCTACTTTTAAAGCATGCTGTTTTCTAGCTGCTTCTATATTGACTTTTCTAAGCCCAAGGCATAATCTTTTGGACTCCAGACATGAGTCTACTTGAGAGCTTATTACACAATTTATTTTGATTATCAGTATACTGGAAAACTCTTCTCATTTTCCCATTTCTTAATCATTAATAATAAAAATGAAACAATAATGAAAGCATTTTAGAACATTCACACAATGTATCTAATTTCTCAAACAGAAATATTATTTCTAATGATGACATAAAGTTTGACATTTTACATATTATTGACAGACATTTTACCCTAAACATAGTGAAAAATGAAATTAAATTTCATCATCACTCAGCTGAGCAAAATGTAGATTCCAACATACCCTGGACCAGTTTTCCTCCAAGGATAGATTAGTCATATGTTATAGAAACCTGTGTAAAGCAGAGACAGCATTAAATATAATCAACATATATTCCTTTACATACAGAGTAACCTGAGGTTATAAGGTAAAGCCATATAGTGCGTAGGTAATCTGATAATCAAAGTATTGAATAATTAAGAGTATTTAATCACACCATTTTATCTATGATTTCCAAAATAAAATTATACTAGTATTTTCAACAAAATGACTCCGTACACAATGCATACCTATCTGTTCAATTAATACTCACTGATGGCCTACTATGTACAAAATGTGCAAGGTGGCCCCACAAGCACTACATGATAAATATTGGTGCACTCGCTCTTTTCATTCATTAGACAATGCACACTTTGAAAGACAAAGAAGTGACTTGCTTCTTGTGTGTTGTTAATACAGGTATGTTAGATGTATGAATAAATTAATGAGTGAATAATGAAATGAATAAACAAACTATGAAAAAAGAAACTGTCCTTCTACTGAAGGCATTTAATCTATGTGTATATGTGTGTGTATTGGGACAGGGGGAAGACAGATGTGGCAGGGAGAGAGATTGATAAAGTAGGTGAGGCAATATATGAAGGGTGCAAGCTAAGTAAGCTCAAATAAGGAAGAGATAGTATCAAGTAAGGGATTTTCTTAAAGCTTCAAGAATGAGGTGGCATGTGAGATATTTTGAAGAATTAAATTTTGACACATACTATAAGCCAAATCAGTGATAGAACACTTTCTATCCAAAAGCAAGAATTGAACATGAAATAAGTTAAACCACATTAGGAAATAAAAATTTCCTATTTTGTATTTCCTTTGGCCTCCCAAGAATGTTTTTTTCTTCTCCTGCTTTTTAAACCCTCTAGCAATCACATACTTCACAATAATGGTTAAAAGAATAATCCAACTCTTAAATACAGCTATGCAACTACTAGATATAAAAGCTTTGGAAATGTATTTAAGTTTTTAAAGTATGAGTCTCTGTATTCATAAAGTGAAACATTAGTACCAACTCGATTGGCTATTTTTGTTTTGTTTTGTTTTGAGATGGAGTTTCGCTCTTGTTGCCCCGGCTGGAGTGCAATAGCTCGGTCTTGGCTCACTGCAACCTCCACCTCTCAGATTCAAGTAATTCTCCTGCCTCAGCCTCCCAAGTAGGTGGGATTACAGGTGCCCACCATCATGCCCAGATAATTTTTGTATTTGTAGTAGAGATGGGTTTTCACCATGTTGGCCAGTCTGCTCTCCAACTCTTGACCTCAGGTGATCCATCCCCCTTGGGGTACCAAAGTCCTGGGGGTGCGGTGTGAGCCACCGCACCTGGCCAAGATACATGTTTTAAAATAGTTCTAATTCCTGCAGAGTTCAAATAAACAACTACTTAGGGCAGGAAGATTGTTAGATGATGATGCCTATGACGACAGTGATGAAGAAAGAAAAGGAAACCTAAGTACACTTTTTGAGGTTTTAGTTTGTGCCTGGTACTCTTTACGTATTTTTAAAATAATCCTTAAAGCAAAATTTCCAAAGCTTATGTATCTAGTAGTTGCATACCTGTATTTAACTACTCGAGAGGCTGAGGCAGGAGAATCGCTTGAACCTGGGAGGCTGAGGTTGCAGTGAGCCGAGATCACACCATTGCACTCCAGTCTGGGCAACAAGAGCAAAACTCTGTCTCAATAAATAAATAAATAAACAATAAATATAAAATAAATAAATAATAAAACAAATAAAATAAAATGTCTTAAGGCAGTTAATACTGGTAGATTTACTGTGAGCACAAACTAAATACTCACTAACTTTGTTTAAAAATACAGAATTGCTATAGGGTCAAAGAGAAAAAATCTTCACATGCATAAAATGTAAGGCAACTTTACTAGAAAATCAAACCTTTTTAATCTTTGACTACAAGGTGTTACACAAAGTAAAACTAGTTTGATTAGTCATAATTGTTAATAGTTCATATTAATGAGAAACCTACATACCTAGAGAGACAATAGTATCTCAAATTCCCATGCCTAAATGGTACTTCCAAAGTCAGACTTCATGACATTGCAACTTGAACTTAATCAAAAATGATTAAGATCCATGTTTCAGAAAATAGAAGGAAAGCTATGTGCATTTTCCTCCTAGAGGTATTAAAATAAGAAGATCCCTATTAAAGCTTTATTAATTACGTAAAAAATTAATCCCTAAACAATAAGTTAGAGACAAAATGTAGTTTTATACAGTAACTTTTAAACATGTTTTAGTGGGGTTTTTATTTTCATAATTTACACACACATTACCATATTCTCTAAATACTTTATGATCCAACACTTTATAAATTCAGCGTTATTTCCAGTTATAGTTGCTGTCACATTTGTGTCATTTCCACAGATATTTCCCCCTGAATGTCCCAACATTATTTTTGCACTTAATGTTGGTTTATGGGATTGTAGAAATAAAAGAAAATTCATACATCTCACTGTTTTTCATGTTTATTTGCTTTTCATTTTGGCTGACTTCCCTGGGAGCCAGAGGAGAGAAAGAAGTGGCAAGGGAGATAAGAGGATTATGTCCCTGATGGTAGAGAAAGAAAGAAAGAAGACAAATAAATACAACGAGGTGGCAATGGGAAGTAACGCAGTGATATGGTTTGTCTCTGTGTCCCCACCCAAACCTCATCTTGTAGCTCCCATAATTCCTATGTGTTATGGGAGGGACCCAGTGATAGACGATTGAATTATGGGGGCAGGTTTTTCCCATGCTGTTCTCATGATAGTGAATAGGTCTCACAAGACCTGATGGCTTTAAAATGGGAGGTGCCCTGTGCAAGCCCTCTCTCTTGCCTGCTGCCATGTGAAATGTGCCTTTCACTTTCTGCCATGATTAGGAGACCTCCCCAGCCATGTGGAACTGTAAGTCCAATAAACCTCTTTCTTTCTTAAATTGCCCATTCTCAGGTATGTCTTTATCAGCAGCGTGGAAACGGACTAATACATACAGAGTGGAGGCAAGCAGTAAGGGTTAAAGTGTCAAGAGGAGGCTCTCAGTCAACGTTTTTTGGGGTGATCCTAAGAAATTTGTAAACAATTATGCCTCATACTTAAGAACATACATAAAAATTACGAATTATTACCATTCTACAACCTCTAAGTTAGGAAGTTTTGGCAGCACTTATTGAAGAAAAACTTGGAAAAGAAACTTAGGGAATGGGCGAAAATGAGCTATTCACCAAAACAAGAAATGTTACTTTTCCAACATGGATCGTGTTAAACATTAGTTCTACAGAATGTCAAAGGGTACATATAGCAAAAAAAAAAAAAAATAAAAAAAATAAAGCGAGAAACCAAAATGATAGATTATCTGACCAAATTAATTTGGAGATTGTAGGTTAAGCAAAATAAAAGTTTCCGTACCAGACAAATTATGAGAACCATGAAAAAGAGAGTCATTCTAAATGTCCATCATGAGGTTGCTTGAGAGATGTGAGTTCTTTAGAATACACTTTTGGACGTGCCTTCTTTAAACTAATGGCATGCTCTTCTCTCATGAGGTGAGAAATTGTTTGGAAGAGTTTGGGTAGCTCAAAAATCTTGTGTCATCCACTGGGAATAAAAAGATGACTAAAATATGACCCCTGTACATAAGCTTCTTATGCACAGAGGTGATATTTTATCTTTTTTTTAGCAATATTGATACTAGATTTCCACTCAAATGCAGTTTTATAGTCTGTTATAGGGAATTCATATTTACCTAAGGGGTCAGTAATACGTAGTAGCCTAGAAGTTTGATCCCCTAAATCAGACAGTGAAGGCCTACTGCTTCTCTGCTCCTTCAATTTCAAGCAAAGATGTTTCTTCTGCAGATCTTATATATCTTAAGTCAGCAAATTTGACCTGCATTTCAAAATCTTCAACACCAGGTAAGTGACTAAAAGTGATTTTGAGACATCTATGCTTTTATCTCCCATCCTATACTTGCACTGGGAAGGAGATAGAAAAAAAAGGTTACAGCCATTAATCACTAAAGACAAGATCCAGTGATTGTTCACCTTGTGAAAAGTAAACTTAGTTCTCTTTTGTGTTGTGGTCAGCATGCTCTCCATAACATAAAAAGACATCATTGTACTTGATTTTTTTCCATGAGTAACAGGTATGTTAGTTCTCAGCGTCTCTTCTTGTTTCAAGATCTATAGGAACCACGAGAAAGAGTTTAAATTTTGACCCGGTAATAGCCAAGATCGGACCTCAAAATGTCCCTTCCTTGAAGCTGGTTTGATACCATTAGGCAAAAGCACACTGCCTGAGTAATTACTCTGTCTGACAGGAGCAAAGGATGGTCACTGGCCAACTATAAGTTAGGTAAAGAAACTTATCTGAAATTTTATTTATGACACAGATTTAGAAATCATTTCTTTTAAAATTTTATTGCATTTTTTCCAACACATTTTCCTATTGGTTTGTCTTATGAGAAGCACTAATGTTAAGGAATTTCTTTCTTGTTCCTACAATTAGACAATATATTAATTTTCCTACCATAAATGCAGTTGTCTTGCATTTTAAGGTCTGGTAACAAATATCATACAGAGCTACCTATGAATTCAAGTACATTTAGGTGACGGCATCACAGTCTATAGATGGCAGGGCCTGCAATAAGCTAGAAAATGACTGCTACATTTGAAAAAAATAAAATAAATAAATAAAGCGCTTAAATATTTTCCTCTAAACACAATTAGAGACACATGCATACATCTGCCAATTAATAAAAATGTTGATTTTGATGTTAATGTACAAAAATCACCACACCTAAATCTGTCATAAATTTGTCTAAAATGAATATTAAGATGGGACCTCAGCTTTCATTCTAGTTACTGTACTTTTCATATTCTATTTAAATCAAAGTACTTAGTATGTATTATCTGAGGATTATGATACCTTTAGCACAGCATAAAGTGAACATTTATTGTTTTAAAGCATTAACTTTAGGAGGCGGGAAATGAAGAATCTGATAAAAGTGACTATAAAAAAGTAAAAAAGCAAGTGACTTCCTTCAAGATTCAGTTTAGGGTAATGAAATATATGCCATGTATGTTCTCTGACCCTTTACTCATCTATATAACCAAATTTTAAATTAACCACAATAATTTTATAAGACAGCTGAACAGTTTCTACACTTTTGAACTCCTGCCAAGACAAGATGTACTGGAACCAAATTTCGCAATGTCAGAAAGCCTAGAAAGTCTTTATAAAGCTTAGATTAACATCAGATCAAATTTGGACTCTTAAAAGGGGCTTGGCTATTTTC
Organism: Homo sapiens; assembly: GCF_000001405.40. Lineage (NCBI taxonomy): Eukaryota > Metazoa > Chordata > Mammalia > Primates > Hominidae > Homo > Homo sapiens. The sequence goes on from NC_000009.12 coordinate 10,250,506, forward strand.
AAGCTTTTCCCAAAATGATATTTAGCAAGAGACAAGCAATAATCCCTCTTTAAGCTTAATCTCAGATTTAAAATCCTTTGATCAATCAACAAACACTTATTGAACACAAAATATTTTAGTTACACAGGAGAAAATAAAATCTAAGTCAAAGGAAAAAATAGATAATTTTTTATCACTTCAATTCTGGAACTATAGGCTATATGTTGGTTCACTTCCCCAAGTATATGCTCCAAGAAGCACAAAGGTTCAGGGAAGAAACTGTTTATATGTTTTACTATATATATAAAATAATATGTGGAATAAGATATATGCATAAGTATACATATTTATATGTGTATAATCATATGTAAATAGGTATAAATATATATAATTATGAGGTAAAAATGTTTGTATACTGGCATCCACATCTTTTCTAAAAAATATTTGATTATAAAACAATATGCCATACCAAAATTCAGTGCTACAAAAGTTTTTCATTTGTCAGAAATGTAATTGTTTATGTTATCATTTGTAATACCTACCAACTAATTGAATTAGAGGGCTACATAGGGGTCTTTGAACAAGATGAAGTTTAGTATTGTCCATATAGCAATATCAAATTACTTAAAATTAACAGAAAAACAAAACATCCTATTAATTAAATAACATGTTCAATTGATTAAATAACATGCTCAAAACAGTCTATTTTGGACAACCCTTATGTGACCAGCACTATGCTAGGCACTTTCATGTGAACATTATAAATTAGCCTTCACAATCACACTAAAAGTCCACTATCACTATTCAAATTTTTAGACATGAATCTCTACCTTTCACAGATAAAAATTAAGTAAATCAAGGTCATATGGCTAAATAGTAGGTCCTCTAAAATAAGAGACTAAACTCTTTCCATTCTTTTTTTTTTTTAATTTTTTTCCTAGTGAGTAGGATTATCAGATCGAGGTTAAGAGTTGGGCTCTGTATCTTCATTTCGAGTTATGTGATTTACAACAAGTTGCTTAGCTCTGTTTTCTAATCTTCACAATGGATAATACAATAAAATCCACATTATATGAATGAGCTTGTGTAATGTGAATGACAGTACCTGTATAATAAATCACACAGAACATCACAGAGCACATGGCAACCACCCAATAAAAGTTAGCTAATATTACTACAAGTTCACTCTGTGATCCTTAGTGAGTCACTTTGAACAGATTATAGTTTCCTAATATGGCCTTAGCAGTAGTCCACTTGCTCATATCGCAATGTGACCTTGCAACTTCTCCATAATATGATCTCTTATTTGTGGAATCTGAAAAAGTTGAACTCATAGAAATAGTAGAATGATGGTTACCAGAGGCTGAGAGGGTGGGTTAGGGAAAGGGGAAATGTTGGTTTCAGGGTTAGAATTTCTGGTGATCCATTGCAGAGTAAGGTGGCTATAATTAATAATAATGTATTGTATATTTCAAAGTTTCTAAAAGAGTAGTTTGTAAACATACGCACCACAAAAAATAGTAAGTGTGTGAATTGATGGGTATGTTAATTAGCCTGATTTGCTCATTCTACCAATGTATACATGTATTCAAACATCATTTTGTACCCCACAGATATATACAATTACTATTTGTCAATTAAGAATAAAAATAATTTTTTAAACTAAAAAAGAGAGAGAGAGAGAACCTATGTCTTCTTTCTTTGAAGCTGCATGAAACTTTGTGACAGCCTCAATCAATACAGCACGATGGACATGAAATGGTGTGTTCTGCAAAGTTAGATCACAAAATGCAATAGTGTCTGTGTGCCACTCCTTCATCTCCATCTCTATCTCTTCTTGCTGTTGGAATCCAGTCACCATGCTGTGAGTAATCACAGGCCACAAGTAGAGGTTATGTGTACACTTTCAAGCCAACAACTCCAGATAGGCTTCCAGCCAGCTGCCATCATCAACTGCCAAGCTAAAGCCTTTGAAGTAACACCAGCCTCCTCCATTGTCTCCCCCATTTTCATGAGAAACCCTGAGGGAAAGCCACCGAGCCCAACCCAGTCACTCCCAGAGTAATAAGAGATATTATTATTCTGATATTATATATTATGTATTAATGATATTATATATTAATGAGTGATCAGTATTGTTTTAAGAAACTGTTTGGGGATGATTTGTTACATAGCGATAGATAAATTAGCATAATCACCAAGATTTCTTTTTCATTATTTTTTACTTAAAAAAGCCAAATTAAATATATTTCAGAATTAGTTTGATTTACAAATACATACACAGTCACAGAGCCGAAGTGTATTTTTTTTCTTTTTTGAGACAAACACTCACTCTGTCGCCCAGGCTGGAGTACAGTGGCATGATCTCGACTCACTGCAACCTCCGCCTCCCGGGTTCAAGAGATTTTTCTGCCTCAGCCTCCCGAGTAGCTGGGATTACAGGTGTGCGCCACCACACCCGGCTCATTTTTATATTTTTAGTAGAGATGAGGTTTCAACATATTGGCCAGAGTGGTCTCAAACTCTTGACCTCAGGTGATCCGTCTGCCTTGGCCTCCCAAATGCTGGGATTAGAGGTATGAGCCACTGTGCCTGGCCACGTATTTTATTTTATTTTTTCTAAATGAATAGACCTTTTAAGGATACAGAGCTTCACAGTTAAATTTGATGATTAAAAAAATTTCTGATATGTAGAAATAAAGGGGGTGACCCATCACTACTCTGATGTCTGGCATACGATTATGAACAAAAGTGACAAATATGTATCTTAAGGGACTGTGGGTCTTCACAGAATGGAATCCTTCTTCCTAAGGCCAAGAGAAGAGTATTTCCATCAGTAATTGCCATAGTACCAGCAATTTTATGCTCTTCCTCTTATGGGGCCAGCTGAAGAAAGTTCTGACTCTTTTAATAAAGAAGACAAGGCATGCAGTAGCTAAATTGCCCAGAAACTTTGATGGTAAACATCCACTCAGCGGCTCAGCTGCTCAGGAATATGTAACCAAACAACTCTTTTAACGCATAAAACTAAAAGCCAATTCTCCTCCAATTAAAACATAGTACATGTCTGAATTCAAGATGCTAATTATAATTGAGTTTCATCGCTCAGCTTTATTTATAAGGGCTGGAGGCTTTCAACTGTTTCAAGAAAAATCTGTTGGACGAAGGAAGAAAAATCTCTCAGAGTGGCATTTGCTTGGGTAGTATCAGCCCATTCTATAAAGAGAAGTTTACTGCATTAAATACATTGATGAAAAAAATGATTTTTTAAAATATAGAGCTATATGTATATTGCAATAGGCAAACTCTAATTTTCACAGGGAATGAAATGCTTTTATTCATTGGCTATATGGAACTGTAGTTCTTCATCAGGAAAGAAGCCCATGATAACTCTGTGAAGTAGAATGATGTAGAATATCACTCTTGCCAGCAATGCAGCTTTTTTAAAAAGAAAAATATCCAAAAACAAAATTTTAAATAAGATTAAACAACCCTAATTCTATAGCAATACATATGTAATTATGTTGAAAATAATAACACATTTCCCCGTAATCTTAAAGAAAGCACGTTTTCTGAGCAAATTTTGCAAAAGGAGCTATCTAGCTAATCATCATACTGTCCGCAGAGAACAAGTCAACTCATAATCACATACTTTCTCTTCCTCCAGTTTTAAATTTTTGTTTATTTACCTTTTATCATTTATAAGTGGATATTTATTGTAAGTTGGCAAATCATCTGTGGGTGCATGCATATAAAAGTAAGTAACTGAATGTATAAGTTATTTAAAATCCAAAAGTAATAACTGTAAGGCTTTGATTTACCAAGATTGCTTAATAGTGTTTTGGATTTTTCCCCTGGTAATAAACAATATGAATTACATAATAAAATATATTTGTTTAATATTTGGGCCAACTTTTTATTATTCACAGTGCATGTCCTAGTTTGTCAAATAGGCAAGACTTTATCTATTTTTTCTTGTTGCCAGGCTGATGGCCATCTCGGTGTGCATGATGTAACATCTTCAGTAGATGGCAAAGGAATAAAGCATAAAAACGATTTAGCCCCATCAGCTATTTAGAGGAAGGCTGTGCTCAGTGACAATCGAGATGACTGAAGACTTTTAATTATCTTTGCAGTCCTCACATTACAAATAGAGTAAAAGATTCCCAAAAGGAAGGGGATCCTTTTGACTGCCAGATGTGGGAAGGAAAGAATGAGATTAGAGGATATCCTTCTAAACACATACCCTGACATGATTTTCTGTCCTGCTCAGGGGTCACAAAGACTCAAATGTGGACAGAATTTCTATAAGCTATGCTTATCATCTGTATTTACTCTGGCGGGTGCCTGTCTCCCAGGAGACTCATGATAAGCAGCAATAATTGCAGTGTCTTGTAGACAAAAGGATCAAATCTCTGTTCTCTGATGACTTTTAAGAAATCCAAATATATATTACAATTTTTTCACTTGCTTCTTATGTGCTGTATAAAATCTCTTGCTTTTTGAAATCCTGGTAGCTTCAATATATGTTTAGAAAACATGGCTTTGTAGATATGATGCAAAGAAAAGGAAGAGGACAATAACAACAACAATTAGCAAGAATGTTTAATTTGCCAAGTATAGTACAGAGTGTTTTACATCTGGCTCTGCTAACCTCAAAGAGTTGCTCTTTCACATGAGGTGATTTAAAATAGGGTCAAGTGTTGCTTAAGGAGGGGGATACATTCTGAGAAATGCATTATTAGGCAATTTATTCTCTATGTGAACATCATAGAGTGCTTTTACACAAACCTAGACGGTACAGCCTACTACACACCTAGGCTATACAGTATAGCCTACCTATTGCTCCGAGGCTACAAACCTGTATAGCATGTTAATACTGAATGCCATAAGCAATTATAACACAATAGTAAGTGTTTGTGCATCTAAACATATTTAAACACAGAAAAGGTACAATATAAATACAGTATAAAAGATAAAAGTGATACACCTGCATAAGGCACTTAGCATGAATGGAGGCTATAGGACTGGAAGTTGATCTAGGTGAGAGGTGCGCGAATATAAAGGCCTAGGACATTACACTACTATAGATTTTATAAACACTGTATGCTTAGGCTACAGAAAATGTATACAAAAATATTTTTATTTCTTCAATAATAAACTTAGCTTACTATAACTTTTTGACTTTATAAACTTTTAAGTTTTTTAAACTTTTTAGTTTTTAGATTAGCACTAAGCTTAAAACATAAACACATTGTGCAGCTGTACAAAAATTTCTTTTTAAATATCCTTATTCTATACAGTTTAAGAATTTTTTAGTCATTATTACTATTATTTACTTTTAAAACTGTTTTGAAAAACTAAGACACAAACACACATCGTAGCCTAGACCAGGGATTCATAACCCCCAGGCCCGGACTGGTACTGCTCTAGTACCTGTCCTTGGCGTGTTAGGAACCAGGTTGCACAGAAGGAGGTGAGCAGCAGGTGAGCGAGCACTACTGCCTGAGCTCCACCTCCTGTCAGTTCAGCAGCAGCATTAGATTATCACAGGAGTGCAAACACTACTGTAAACTGCATATGTGAGGAGTCTAGGTGTGTGCTCTTTATAAGAATTTAATGCCTGATGATCTGTGGTGGAACAGTTTCATCCTGAAACCAACCCACCCTCTCCCATTGCCCTCAGTTTGTGGAAAAATTGTATTCCACAAAACCAGTCCCTGGTGCCAAAAAGGTTGGGGGCTGCTGGCCTAGACCTCTACAGGGTCAGTATCATCAATATCTTTGTCTTCCATCTCCACATCTTGTCCCACTGGAAGGTCTTCGGGGGTAATAACACACATGCAGCTGTCACTTTGATAACAATGCCTTTCTCTGGAATAACTCCTGAGGGACCTGCTTGAATTACAGCTTTTTTTTTTTTTAATAAGTAGGAGTACACTCTAACATAATAAAAATACAGTATACTATATAAAAAGTGATGGAAAATTTTAGCTCCATTATAATCTTATGGGACCATTGGGGTATATGTGGTCCATCACTGAGTGAAACGTCATTATGTGGCACTTAACTGTAATTTTGTCAAGTGGTTTTTTATTATTTCCTTTGAGCTATCCTTGCCTTACACTTTGTGTCAATGATTTGAGAAATTCAACTAATCAGTTATCAGATAACTGACCAAGTCTCCGTCCCATTAAAGTCTTAAGTGACTGCCTTTGCCACTAACGTGTAGGATAAAATTTTATCTGTTCTACCTGCTTCTCTAGGCTCAGTATTCATCATGTGTCTTTTGAAAATGGCAGGTTTCCTCCTGCCACATCATCTTTGCACATGGTGTTTCCCCTGCAAGGAATTCTAGCCCTATCCCACCCACTTCTTATAAATACTCTATTTACTTAACTCCTGTTGGTTCTTCACATCTTAGTTCCATCACTTCCTCTACCATTCTTTCTTCATAATGTTCAAATTATGATAAATATCCCATTATATACTCTATATATCAATACATTTCAGGCCATGGAGCACATATATCTGATTGAATTTTGGTTAGAATCTGTTTCCTCCTCAAGACTGAAGGCTCCCTAAGTACAGACAAAAAATGTTAATTTTTCTTCACTGAGTTGAGTGGCTGGCATAATGCTCAGTAAATGTTAATAAGATAAGAAGATAAATTAATGACTGAAGAACTTAACATATACTGGTTTTAGACACGTTTTTGCTTCTCAATTAACTGCCTGTGATACAAGGAGAAAAGGTTGCCTATATCTGGTCCTAAACAATTTGCCTATATCTGCTCCACAGCATAACATTACTTTGCTTGCTCCACTCAAATCTTTATGTAATTATGTACTTGACCTCTAACTGGAGAGGAGGTACTGGTAGAGAAAGGCTCCCAGGGGCTATGGCAAACCAGGGGCATCCTTCTGAGCAAAATTGCTAGGCAAAGAGTCAAAATCACCATCAGAGAGAAAAATTCATAGCCAGGAGGTAAACAGTATGCATCATATCCAATTGATTAGGCAAGCACAGAAATAAAAGAGTAATGATAAGAATATCACAGAATATTACAAAGGGTACAATTTGGGCTGACTTCCTAAATCAAAATGATTTATATGGTGCCATATACATTTCATCCTTTGCTTCCTCTCTGTTAGAATAGCTGTAATATCTGAGAGGAGAGACATCTGACCCCACCTGGACCAGTCAGGCGCTCAACCCACTAACCACCTCAACTGGTCTATGCATGGGCATAGACCAACGTAGGCCAAGCTGAATCCTCCTCTGAAAATTTAAAAACTCAGAATAAGGTAAATGGGCTAAATAATACAAGGCCAACTAAAATGTTAAGATGCTAATGGTCATATGCATTCATCATATTAGAAAAACTAAAATAAAACAAAATAACACCCTTTCTGTGGCAGAAAATAATGAAACAAGCATTCATAGAGAGAAGAAAGCGGGTGTGTGTTATGTGCAAAAACAAAATAAAGGAAGGGAAGGAGAAGGTAGGTGGCAGGGGCAGGAAGCTTGTGGGGAGAAGGGGGCAGGAAGGTGGTGGAGAGAAAGTGAGTCAGTCGGTAGATTTCAATTTTCCTTAATTCTAGCCATCCTTCAGCCAATTCCACTCCTGGTCTTCCAAAGATTGGATGTATTATCCCAACAGATATCCTTTCTCGTCTAAACTAGTTGTAGTTGGGTTAAGAGAGTACAGAAAGACTGGGTAGAATTCAAACATTAATTGAGGTAGTGATTCAGAACTCAGGTTTGACACATTTCTGCTTAGGCAGCCCTCTACTTCCCCGTGCATGGTCATGGGAGCTGAGGGCTTTTGGGAGGGTGAAAAATGTTGCATTAATGTGGTCTCACCAGGTTGCACCATGAGAAGGGATGAAGGTAGAATATTATAACATAAGAGAACAGAGGAACATAGGCTTATAAGAGGCTATCTTGCCATAATATCTCGGAGTGCTGACTACTAATAATGTGTTTAGATCATAATGAAACTTGATTAAATTTATGTAAGCAATTGAGGTATTTTTACATGTACACTTTCATTTAGCAATTCTTGTAAAAATCAATGAAAAGTAATAATTTTATCCACAATAGTGGCAAGCCAACAATCATCTGAATACTCACTGCTGTATCTTTATCTGTACCTACATCTTTTTTGGTATTGCCTATAGAAATACCAAATTTGTATGGAGTATACATATAGGCACTAGAGTGTGGTTTCAGGTTTCAGTCAGGTATCGTTTTGTATCTCTCTCTCTTTCTCTCTCTTTCTTTCAAATCCTAAGGAAAAACAAGTGGTTAAAAATTCAGAGTAGGGGAAACAACTGAATACACTATCGTTTTTATTTTTTATACTTAATTTATAATTCAATACAACCATTTACTGTATGGTGGAGAATGGATTTGTGCAAATAAAATATGATAAATTCAACTTTAAAACAGTATTGTTGAACTTATTTGTTTATAATTTTAAAGGTATCTGTTTCTGTTGTTGTTGTTGTTTGTTTCTTTTGTTTTGTTTTGTTTTTTGTTTTTTTTGTTTTTGAGACGGAGTCTCACTCTGTCGCCCAGGCTGGAGTGCAGTGGCGCCATCTCAGCTCACTGCAAGCTCCACCTCCCGGGTTCACACTATTCTTCTGCCTCAGCCTCCGGAGTAGCTGGGAATACAGGTGCCTGCCACCACGCCCGGCTAATTTTTTTTGTATTTTTAGTAGAGAAGGGGTTTCACCGTGTTAGTCAGGATGGTCTCTATCTCCTGACCTCGTGATCAGCCCGCCTCGGCCTCCCAAAGTGCTGGGATTACAGGCGTGAGCCACCGCGCCCGGCCGGTATCTGTTTCTTATGTGTAGTGATTGACGTTCTTTTTCTTCCTCACCAATATGTGGTCATCATTTGATTGCTGACTTCCCCTTCATATGGAAGCCAGGGATAATGACATTGCTTATACAAAGGCCCCAAAGGCCTCTACTCCTATTCTTGACCCTCTAGACTTAAGAAATCCTCCAAATAGGAGTCGCTGCTGTTTTACACCTTTAGGATCAGCCCAAGACAGTTCCTGACGCAATATGAACCAAGTGGAAAAAGTGTCAGTGGTGATGATTTTTTTTTCAATCGATTAATTCACACAGTTTTTCTATAATTTTCCTTTAAACTGTCATCATTTTGGCCTAGTTAATAAAAAGTGGGTATCAACTTTAGTTCCTCAACAAATACTCCTGTTTATTGAATTATAAAACAGTCCAGAAGCTCAGCTTTTGTAGCATAGGCCCTGATGATCTGCCTGGTTCCTGTTAGCTCCGTTTTGCACACACTCAGGTCTTGATTTCCAAAGTCCCAGGCAGAGAATCTACTGTGTGACGTCACACTTTTGAAGATGGCCTCCTGCATGAACTCCCTCTGTCATACTGACCCCACCAGAGTGGATATGCACAAGCATCAGGCCCGTTTCAACCACACTCCCTTTCACAGTGGAGCTGAGTTCATCTCAGGTTCTGAGACAGTCCACACCACTCTCTGCCTCCGGCTAGTCCTTTGTGGTGGTTGTATCTGCAGGCCTCATTTTGAAGCTCCCTACTACACTAAAACAATCTTAGGATATATTTATACTAAAAAAAATTGTTTATCTGAAATCAACATTTAACCATGTTCCCTGTGGTATTATGTGTTAAATGTGGAAACCGTAAATGTGACTAGACTGTTTCTTAGACCCTATATCATCCCCAGGGAAGTCATGTCCAGAATGTGGGTCAGTACCAAATACACAGAACCCCTTGGGCAGTTTCAGAACCTTACCCGGCCCAAGAAAACACAGAGATATAATGTTAAATTTCACAGTCTTGTCCTAATTATATCCTTTTATCAGTAACTCACACTCAAGTTTTACAGAAGACTTTTGTGTACTCCAGGTCTCAGTTTTTTTTGTCAACAGATACAGAGTTTCCCATAGGTAATCTCAAAAGGGTCTTCCAAGTCAACATTTTACGCATTCCAACTAAGATGTATTTCTCCCTCAAACCTCAGCATTTCTGAATAGAAAACTTGATTTTATCTTGTGATCCTAAATCCTTAGATCCCATATTTCCATGTCCTCAAGAATTGAGCTCCTTAAGAATGTCTAAATCTGTAGTCATGCAGTAGTGTGGTAGTGAATGTCACTACAGGGTGATACTTATCCTGATGACATGAGAATATTCTACATTCCTCAAGTTTTTTTGACAGAGAAAGAGCATGCAAGTTCCCATTAACATAATTAACAAAAGGGAGATTGTACTTACACTTGTAAATTTCCTTTTAGGGCAACATTGTTCTGCACATGATTACAAGTCCCTACTAATAGCCTTGTTTGTCCCTTGCCAGCAGTTTAGAATAGAAACTAAAAATTTAAGCGTGATTTTCTTGCTGCTCTTTCTAATTCTTGTATAGTCAAGGGAATTATATTATTTAGGGCATATATACATGTGTGTGTGTATATATATATGTGTGTATATATATGTATATATATGTGTATATATGTATATATGTGTGTATATATATTATATATGTGTATATATATTATATATGTGTATATATATTATATATATGTGTGTATATATATATATATAGAGAGAGAGTCACTTTTCTGAATAAACTACAAGCCTTTGTTATTTAAATGAAACTAACTTTTAAAGACTGGATCCAAAAGATCAAAACAACTTGGAGAAAACAAAACAAAACAAAAACCTAGAGGATCATAGAAACTAGACACCTGCTATCAAATGAATCTTAGAATTCACGTGACACATGCTTTTTCAAATGGAAAAAAAAGAAATGCTCTATGTCATTTGAAATAATATATGAGTTAAGTGTAATATCTCAATGACTGGCATTGCTAATGTTATGAACATTTGAAATTGAGCTACCCTGGTGGAGTTCAATTGAAATTAGGACATTAAAATCAGACATAGATACAGACAAAGAAAGATACATTATAACTTTGTAAAAGTAAAACAATATAAATGCTCAGTAAAATAATGAGAACAAAGTCAAAGAATGTTGTGTGTGTGTATATATACATATGTATAGAGAGAGTTGGCATTTAATTTGATCCAATCTAAGCTTCTAAGAAAGACTGTACTAGTATATTTATATAGTCTTCAGAGAAAACAATGATGCAGTATAATTTCTAGTGTTTAAAAATCCAAATCAGTTAATCTAAAATAATTATGCTAATAACATGGTTTAACAGAGTAAGAAACGAATGGAATCATTCCTTGAACTCAGCTCTCTTATAAAAAGTGATAATGGCATAAGGCAATAGTAAATATATAGGAGCAAGAAAACTGAATTTTTTCTATACCAGGTATCAAAGTAGATGGGAAGCCTTAAGGTATACTAGTCTGCTGGGAATAAAGAAACAAGCTTCACCTTCTAGAATACAGTAAATTTGGCAGCCACTCTTAGATTGTTTTGAGGAGAAATATATAGATTCAGGGAATTAATATGTCCAACAAATAATGTCTCCCCTAGAATATTTGATTGCCCCACAATCAAAGAGAGAAGATAATCAAAGGCCGAAGATGCTACTTAATATGACCAGGTCACCTATTACATGCATATTAAACCATTTAATTGACAAATGAAGCTGTAAGGATTAAGACTGAAATTATTTAAAAATCAGTGGTCTAAAAAGGTGAAATTAAAAGAAAAATTAAAAAAAAATTAATTTGTGCTTTTCAAGAAATGGTGAAAATGTTAAAGAATAAACAATATTTTGAAAAAGGGACTACAAACTATAAAATAGGATAATTACACTAATGCTATTTACCATTTTTGAGCATATATTTTAGTTTGATACTATCACAATACCTTACAGAGTGCATCTCATTTACTCATCAGGCATGTTTATGAGGTAGACTCTGTCATCGGTATGTGACAGGGGAGAAATATGTTCAGAAGATTTGAGCCATTTGTTCAAAATCACCTAAGAAATAGTGAAGCCATGAATAAAACTGAGGTCTGAAATCCAAGTTCATGTTGTTAACTACTATCCTATACCATCCATGTAGGATACATAATTGTTCACTGATGATAAGCTCAAGTGTATTGACAAATAGCAAAAACAGAGACATTGGTACTGCAAAGCAGAAGATTCTGGATCAAATACAGGCTTAGATGCTGACCAGCTATATGAGCATGAATAAGTCACTTTACCTCTCTGGGACTTATTTTTCTTATTGGTAAAATTAGGAAGCCAAAGGTGATAGATTTTCACAGTGAGAGTCCACAGTTTTTTCATGCCTCCCTGTATCCACACATTTGCACAGACCCTTTGCACACTGATGCTTGATGTGTGATATGGTTTGGCTGTCTCCTCACCAAATCTCATCTTGAATTGTAGCTCCCATAATTCCCACATGTTGTGGGAGGGACCTGAGGGGAGATAATTGAATAAAGGGGGCAGTTTCCCACATACTGTTCTCGTGGTAGTGAATACATCTCAAGAGATCTGATGGTTTTAAAAGGGGTTTCCCCTTTCACTTGGCTCTCATGATCTCTTGCCTGCCACCATGTAAGGTGTGCCTTTCACCTTCCACCATTATTGTGAGGCCTCCCCAGCCATGTGGAACTGTGAGTCCATGAAACCTATTTTTCTTTATAAATTACTCAGTCTCAGGTATGTCTTTATCAGCAGCATAGCAACAAACCAATACAGTAAATTGGTACCAGTAGAATAGGGTGTTGCTGTAAAGTTACCTGAAAATGTGGAACTGACTTTGGAACTGAGTAACAGGCAGAGGTTGAAACAGTTTGGAAGGCTCAGAAGAAGACAGGAGTATGTGGGAAAGTTTGGAACTTCCTAGAGACTTGGAGGGCTCAGAAGACAGGAAAATGTGGCGAAGTTTGGAATTTCCTAGAGACTTGTTGGATGGCTTTGACCAAAATCCTGATAGTGATATCAAAAATGAGGTCCAGGCTAAGGTGGTCTCAGATGGAGATGAGGAACTTGTTGGGAACTGGAGTAAAGGTCACTCTTGCTAGGCAAAAAGACTGGTGACATTTTGTCCCTGCCCTAGAGATCTGTGGAATTTTGAACTTGAGAGAGATGATTTAAGGTATCTGGCGGAAGAAATTTCTAGGCAACAAAGTGTTCAAGAGGAAGCAAAAAATAAGAGTTTGGAAAATTTGCAGCCTGACAATGCAATAGACAAGCAAAATCCATTTTCTGGGGAGAAATTCAAGCGTGCTGCAGAAATTTGCAGAATTTGCATAAATAACAAGGAGCCCAATGTTAATCACCAAGACAATGGTGAAAACGTCCCTAGGGCATGTCAGAGACCTTTGCAGCAGCCCCTCTTATCACAGGCCTGGAGGCATAGGAGGAAAAATGGTTTCGTAGGCCAGGCCAGGGACCCTCCTGCTGTTTGCTGCCTAGGGACTTGGTGTTCTGCATCTCAAAGGCTCCATCCATGGCGAAAATGGGCCAAGGTACAGCTCAGGGCATGGCTTCAGAGGGTGCAAGCCCCAAGGCTTGGCAGCTTCCACAGGGTGCTGAGCCTGCGAGTGCACAGAAGTCAAGAATTGAGGTTTGGGAACTTCCGCCTAGTTTTCAGAGGATATATGGGAACACCTGGAAGTCCAGGCAGAAGTTTGCTTCAGGAGTGGAGTCCTCATGGAGAACCTCTGCTAGGACAGTGTGGAAGGGAAATGTGGGGTTGAAGCCCCCACATAGAGTCCCCACTGGGGCGCTGCCTAGTGGAGCTGTAAGAAGAGGGCTGCCATCATCCAGACCCCAGAATTGTAGATCCATTGACAGCTTGCACCATGTTCCTGGAAAGGTCACAGACACTCAATGGCAGTCCACAAAGGCAGCCAGGAGAGGGGCTGTACCCTGCACAGCCACAGGGTTGGAGCTGCCCAAGACCATGGGAACCCACCTCTTGCATCAGCATTACTTGGATGTGAGACATGGAGTCAAAGGAGATCATTTTGGAGCTTTAAGATTTGACTGCCCTGCTGGATTTTGGACTTGCATGGGGCCTTTAGTCCCTTTGTTTTGGCCATTCTCTCCCATTTGGAACAGCTGTATTTACCCAATGCCTGTACCCCCATTGTATCTAGGAAGTAGCTAACTTGCTTTTGATTTTACAGCCTCATAGGCCAAAGGGACTTGCCTTGTTTCAGATGAGACTTTGGACTGTTGAGTTAATGCCGAAATTAGTTAAGACTTTCGGGATCTCTTGGGAAGCCATGATTAATTTTGAAATCTGAGGACACGAGATTTGGGAGGGACCAGGGGCGGAATGATATGGTTTTGCTGTGTTCCCACCCAAGTCTCATCTTGAATTATAGCTCCCATAATCCCCACGTGTTGTGGGAGGGACCCAGGGGGAGATAATTGAATCATGGGGGCAGTTCCCCCATACTGTTCTCATGGTAGTGAATAAGTCTCATGAGATCTGATGGTTTTATAAGGGGTTTCCCCTTTCACATAGCTTTCATTCTCTCTTGCCTGACACCATGTTTGACATGGCCTTCACCTTCCACCATGACTGTGAGGCCTTCCCAGTCATGGGGAACTGAGTCCATGAGGCCTATTTTTCTTTATAAATTACTCAGTCTGGGGTATGTCTTTGTCAGCAGCACGAAAACAGACTAATACAGTATGACACCGTGACTCCCTTTAGTCAATGAGAAAATAGCAAATATGATACAATCAGAGGCTTGAAAACTTCCTGCCTCCTGGAGCTTACTCTCCCTTGCTGCTTTTGGAAGTCCTACAACAGCATCTATTTGAATAAGTCTGGGCTAGCCTGTACAAAACATATGACTCAGTCTTCCTGACCACATCAGCTAACAGCCAGTAACAACCATCAGACATAAAAATGAGGCCCTCTATGACAAACAAACTTGGCCCACCCGCCAGCTGACCGTAGCCACATGAGTGAGTCCAGGAAAAGCCATTATAGAATAACTGCTCTGCTGAGTTGAATCCTAACTGCTGACAGAATTATGAGCTAACAAATGCTTGTTGTTTTAAGCCAGGGATGCAAAAACTTACTCTGTAAAGGGCCAGATAGTAAACATTTTAAGCTCTGTGGGCCATGTGGTCTCTATCACAACTACTCAACTCTGTCATTGTAGCACAAAGGCAGCCACAGACAACAAGTAAATAAATGAGCAAGGCTGTGTTCCAATAAAATGTCATTTACAAAAACAGGCAGCAAAAATAAATAAGGAAACAAATAGGCAGCATCCGGACCTGATCCATAGGCAACAGTTTGCTGACACTTGTTTTAAGCCAGTAAGGTCTGGGAGTGTTTGTTATATATCAAAACCTAACTGATACTTTGATCAAGATGAGCTTATTAAAATTCTGTCATTAGAAGTTGCATTATAAGTGAAATCAGCATTACAGTAATCTAGTTTATGTCCCGCAAAAATATAAAGCTTTCATCACTGAATAGAATAAGAAATGCTTGCATTTCTCCAAATTTATTTTCAATGCAAGTGATCATGTAAAACTTTGAATATATTACTAAACTTATATTAACTAGAAAAAATATAAATATAACTAAAACTTCACGCAATACCTTTTTCATGGCCCTATGGAGACCCACACCATCACACATGCACACATGTGCTTACACATGTGGACAGACACACACATACACACACACAGACCCAAGTTAGAACACAATTTTTAAAAGCACTAGTTAAGTGTGCCTTAAAATGCATTACAGTTGCTAAGCAAAATTATAAACCAAGCAATGTAAGGAGTGTTAAGAATTAAAATAGCCCTTGAAAATGAAAAAAAAAATTGCAAGTATCTTAGTATGTGTATTATTATTTAATACAAATTTTTAAATGTAGCCCTTCATAAGATATGCCAGATGTAAATGTAGTTCTAATATGT
Source organism: Homo sapiens (assembly GCF_000001405.40). Classification (NCBI taxonomy): domain Eukaryota; kingdom Metazoa; phylum Chordata; class Mammalia; order Primates; family Hominidae; genus Homo; species Homo sapiens. The sequence goes on from NC_000009.12 coordinate 10,266,389, forward strand.
AAGAAGGAAGAGAAAGCAATAAGAGAATGGATGAGGCTAAGGAACATGGTAGCTCTAAAGACCTGGATGTCACTGGAAGCTGAATGAGACTAATTTTGATTCAAATATGTCACTTATAATTTATGCAGAATATATCTTGAAAGAAATCCGGTTAATGTTATTAACTAATGGTATTATTTTTACTGTAAAATTGCACTGATAACATCAAGTGTATTTGTGCGGCATGGGGTATGGAAAGTGGATAGGAGAGAATGTAAAGAGAATACTTAGCAAGGACTACAATTTGAATTGAGCTTGAGAGGAAACTATAGTTTCAGGAAAAGCGAGAATAGCACTGCATTGCAGGCTAATTTTAGAAAAAAAAAATCTATAACCTAGATAAGTTACTGTTGCAACCCACCTAGGTTAAAAAATTTAGCGTGTAAAGCCCATTAAGAACATTCTGGAAGTTGTCAAACTATTGTCAGAAAACTTCATGAAGAAACCAGGGAATAATTTCTGCCTTTAAAAGTAGTCAGGGGGTTGGGCATGGTGGCTCACATCTGTAATCCCAGCACTTTGGGAGGCCGAGGCGGGCGAATCACCAGGTCAGGAGTTCGAGACCAGCCTGGCTAACATGGTGAAACCCCGTCTCTACTAAAAACACAAAAAAAATTAACTGGGAGTGGTAGCGGTCCCCTGTAATGCAGTTACTCGGGAGGCTGAGGCAGGAGAGTCGCCTGAACTCGGGGGGCAGAGGTTGCAGTGAGCCGACATCACACTACTGCACTCCAGCCCGGGCGACAGAGTGAGACTCCGTCTCAAAAAAAAAAAAAAAAAGGAAAAAACAAAAAAGTAGTCAGGGATGGAGCAGATGGAGTTACACCAACACTTTTGGAAGTAGGTTGAATGATGTAAATAAAAAATAGATATACAAATTATAGGCACTTAGTATCTCAGGAACACTAGCGTCTTGACACTAAGTGTTAAGAACAAATTTATATAGGAAGCAACTATGGTTTAAGCAATGAAAAAAATGTACGTTAATGTATTATTAGAGTCGTGGTTTATGAATAAAAAGATGAATTCATAATTTTTTTAATGGTTAAGTTTTTCAGTCACTGATAGCAAATGATTGACACCTACTAGCAAGATATGAGAAAGAAAGAAAATTCTTGCCCAAGGCATTTCTTGGTTAAGAATTACCTTACATTTTAAGAATAACTAGAGTTTATTTTTGGACTGGAATATAAATTGGTACAATGTTTCTTAAAACATTTTGGCATGTCTTACCAGGAGTCTTAAATGCTTATGCATTTGATCAGACTCTCTTCATAATAGTAAATATAAATGTTATGCACAAAAATGTTCATTAAAGTCTTATTTTTTTAATTGATAACAACAGGAAGACCAACAATAAGAAAATGCTGTATACATTTAATAAACTATCTGGCCATTAAAATTTTGGAATAGTTTCTATGCTCTGAGAAACTTATTATTAGGTGAATACAGTAAAAGTGAAATAAAAATCACACATATCTAATGATCTTGTTTATGTAAAAGATTTACTTGTAGAGAAAATTTTGTCAAAATTTATGCTAAAAAAATATGCTAAAAAAATAGTGATTAACAGCCAGGTGTGGTAGCTCATCCCTATAATCCCAGTACTTTGGGATGCTGTGGCAGAATTGTTGGAGGCTAGGAGTTCAAGACCAACCTAAGCAACATAGCAAACCCCCATCTCCATCTTTTTTTTTTTTTTTTTTTAAATAATTGGCTGAGTGTGGTAGTGTGCTTGTTTAGTCTTAGCTACTCAGGAGGCTGATGCTGGAGAATCGCTTGAACCCAGGAGTTGCAGGCTGCAGTAAGCTACGATCATGCCACTGCACACCAGCCTGGGCAGCAGAGCAAGACTCTGTTGCTATAAATAATAATAATAATAATAATAATAACGATAATAATAATAATAGTGGTTATAACAGAGGGGCAGCATTTTTTATTTGTTATTTTTAAATGTTCTAAATTTGTAACTATGTATTATACTAATAGTTTTCTTAGGGATTTAAATATATAGTTTCAGAGAATACGATTCCTTTGACCTCAAAAACTCTAAAGTGCTCCTTAGTTTGGCATTCAAGGCTAACAATCTGTTACCAAGTAACTTTTGATCCTTCTGACACTCTTCCTTTCCACCTAACACAGATAGATTGATCTTTCTATTTCATCATAAGTTTGTATTTCTCCAGTTCAGGGCTTTTGCTGAGTTCCATTTGTACAAAACACCTCATCTGTTACTCACATTGTCTCCTTCCTGTTTTTAAATCCCCTTTCTAGTACTATATCCTCTCATCCCAGAATCCCTATTTAACCACAATGTTGAACAACTCTCTCAACGGCTACCGTCTGTTTTATGCTACCTTTTCAACGCTAAGTGATAGAAACAAACTTAAACTGGCCTTTACAAAAGGGGTGAAGAGGGTTGGCTAAATATATTCGCCCATCTAGGGCAGGGATTTTCAGTCTCAGCAACATTGGCATTATTTGTTGTCCTGTGCGTTGTAGAATGCCTGGCAGTATCCCTGGCCTCTAGCCATCGAATGTCAGTAGCGCCCTCCAGTGTCACAATCAAAAATATCTCCAGCCACTGCCAAATATCCCCTGGGACAAAATCTCTAGCTGAGAACCACTGCTTTAAGAGGAAACTAAAAGTTCACATGCTCAAACCTTTTGCTCCTCCATCCAAAAGATTTTCACTCCACAAGCTTACTGCTGCCAGCCCCATACCTTGAACATACCAGATTAAACACTCCAGGAAAAAAAATGCATTGTTTAAAATAACAACTCTTGTAAGAAGTCTAATGCAATTTCTAATTGCCCTAACTATGAATTAATCTATTTGATCCACGTAAGAGGACAAGCAAGGGCTTGTGTATGTGTATATGCTACAATGGTGCTACATACTTAGCTGATAATGAGATAAACATGTGGTTCCTATTGAGTAATATTTTTGTTTGTTTGTATGTATGCATGTATATATGTGCATGTGTAAGTTTTAAACAGTAAGAAGTGTCAACAAATATACATATTTGCCCTGTTCTGAGGGTTGCTTTCATCATTATACAACCACCTGAGGAAAGAAAACCCTTTGATTTCTAAGAAAAGAGAGGGTGCTCTACTGTTGCTTACACTTTTTTCTCTGCCTAGTAAGACTGTAAGCTGCTTAAAGGCAAGCAATGTGTTTTTAACATTGGTGAAGGTGGGTACCTTCCAGAGTGCTGTCTTGTAGAAAGTTCAAGATATAGTCCTTTATTAACTGTAACTTTAAAAATTACAACATAACTTACTGGAACTTTTTAAGTCACCGAGAATAAAATGTTCTCATAATTTGTGTTTTACAAAAATATCTACAATTCTATAAAAATCTTCTGAAAAAAGAAAAATTATGTTCTGTAAAACATAATTCTAAAAAGTAAACTTCAAAAAAATTAAAAACTGCTTTAATACTTTTATTAATTTTTTTCCTTAGTAAACGTTAAATTTGACATCTAAACCCAAGTATGTATAATATGACAGAAATTATAAGATTCAAATAGGGAAATACAGAATAAAATACTAAATGTAAGCTTCTTGAGAGGAGGAAATACATGTTACAATGGCGCTACATAATTAGCTGATAATGAGATTAAAAGTTGAGTCCTGTTCAGTAGTATTTTTGTTTGTATGCATGTATATATGTGCATGTGTAAGTTTTAAACAGTAAGAAGTGTCAACAAGTATACATAAACTTATGGAAATATAATTACATACATATATTTTTAAAATCTTTAATTCATCTTCCTTAATCAAATTATTAAAAAAGATTATTATATCATAAATGTTTTTTAAGAATGGTAGCAATAGTTTTTTTGAAAATAAAAGTTTATTATGCTGATATAGCATTCATATTACAACATATTTGTAAAATAGGATGTTATAAGGCAATGCATCTCTAGTTAAGGGCAATAGTCTCAAGTTAAGAAAATATAATTTCAAGTTGAATTTCAAAGAGTTTGAAAGCAAACTAATGAGACTTGTTGTATATATTTTTGCTTCCTATAATTTTACAAAGCAATTTTTATCTGTCAGAGAGGGCTGTGCCAGATATTGAGAAAGCCTAATTTGAATAAGATGTTAAATGCAGAACTGCCATACAAAAATCAAAATAAAAACCTGACTTCCATACCAGATTTTTTGATCTTCAACTCCTTGGAAAACACTTCAGGCTCAATAATGACAATTAAATTTAAATGGAAGTTTTCTTCAGCATAAAAAATTGTGGTATTGGATGCATGTGGAGTATATCTTGACTTGAATGCATTATTTCTTTCAAATATACAACTAGAATATAGACTATTTTCTGATCCTATAAGAAATGATCTGAAATATACATTGTACAGTTTTTCCTAACATTATGTAAATTCTTTGTCATAATATTTTATTTTACTTATTTTTTTATGTTTCTTTTGTAGTCTGGAGTGCAGTGGTGCAATCATAGCTCACTGCAGTCTTGAACTCCTGAGCTCAAGTGATTCTCCTTCCTCAGCCTCCCAGGACTAGAAGAGTGCCCCACCATGTGCAGCTAATAGAAAAGAAAAAAATGTAGAGATAGGGTCTTGCTATGTTGCCCAGGTTGGTCTTGAACTTCTGGCCTCAAGTGATCTTTTGTTTCGGCCTCCCAAAGTACTGAAATTACAGACCTGAACCATGGTGCCTGGCCTGGACCTAACATTTTAATAGATAATACTAAGTGTAGAGATAAAAAGTGAGCCATATTTTCCCATACTTGCATTTAAAATATTTTAATATTTACTATTTTAAATTCCTTAAAATGTTATTTTATAAATAATTGATATGTTTTTGGAACAGAAGACAATCTATGTACATTTGCATTTTTAGGTGTTACAAATACTATTTAACACCAGCAGATACATCAAATCTACTGCTTATTTTTGAGTAATTAAAATTTAAAGAGTAACTCAGAGTCTCTTTATGACTTCTAAGAATCTAATGGTTCAAAGAACATTGAACTTCACAAAAATTGCAATGAAAAAATATTCTTAATTATCTCAAGTGTTTTCTTATAAATTAATAAGCATCACTAACCAATACTGATAAATTCAATTGTTTCTTTTCTTTTCTTTTCTTTTTTTTTTTGAGACGGAATCTTGCTCTGTCGCCCAGACCAGAGTGCGGTGGAATAATCTCGGCTCACTGCAACCTCCGCCTCCCAGGTTCAAGCAATCCTCCTGCCTCAGCCTCCTGAGTAGCTGGCATTATCGGCGTCTGCCACCACACCCGGCTAATTTTTGTGTTTTTAGTAGAGATGAGGTTTCACCATGTTGGCCAGGCTGGTCTCGAACTCCTGACCTCAGGTGATCCACCCACCTCGGCCTCCCAAATTTCTGGGATTACAGGTGTGAGACACTGCACCTGGCCCTCAATTGTTTCTTATATCATTGGAATTCTTCTTTGATTTTTTTTTAAATTTTATTTGTCTGTATGTGAATTCTCTTCCAGTCTATTTTCTAAGCATTGTTCAGTAACAACTTCATGAAGATGAAATTTTTGTACCATATCATTCATCCATTTAAAATATGAATTTTGTTATATTCACAGAGTTTTGAAATTATAGAACATTTTCATCCCTTAGAAAGAAACCCCATACTCTTTAACAGTCACTCATCATTTCCCCCTAATCCCTTCCCAGCAGTAGCCAATCATAAACGTGCTTTCTCTATGTATCTCTCTATATCTACTGGCCTATTTTGGATATTTCACATAAACGAAATCATATAATATGTGGTCTCCTTTGTGACTGGCTTCTTTCGCTTAACATAATGTTTTCAAGATACATTCATCTTGTAACATGTATCAGCACTTCGCTTTTTATTGCCAATAATATTCCATTTTATAGACAAAATATTTTATTTTTACATTTATGTGTTGATGGATATTTGAGTTATTTCTACTTTTTGACTACTGTAAAGAGTGCATCTGTGAACATTTACGTACAAATTTTGGGGTGGACATATGTGTTCATTTTTCTTGGATATATAACCAGGCATGGATTGCTTTGTTTTTTGAAAACAGGATAACTCACTGTTAAACACATAGTTCTTGTATCCTATTTTCTTCATGTAATTTTCATTCCCTTAATAGCTGATAAAAAACCTATATATTTTGTTAAGAGACAGCACTATGTTTCATGCCTGTGAAATTTGTAAAACATAATTTAATATGACAATTTTCTCTTTCCATTTCACAAATCCCCCTAGTGTTTGAACTCACATAAGTAATAGTTTATCCACTATTTTCATTTGAGAACCTGTTTAGGGAGTCAGTAAATTAAGCTGTATTCAACTTGACATTTTTCTATAAACAGAAATGTTTGCCTTTTTAAAATTCTAATATATGGTTAAGAGAACTGAGAGAATACCACACATGTGTGAATTTTTGAAGACTTTTATCTTAACTTTTAATAAATGTCTTTCTTCTGTGGGGTGAGCAATTGAAATGTTGTCCATCAGTATTCTGTCTCAATTCAGTAGAGATGAAAAATGCCTGATGTCACTGTCAAACATAGAAAGATTTGATGAGCAAACCCACAGGAAAAATTGGCTTTTCCCAGAAATGCTCTGATGATTGGCACAATGTGTATGCAGCTGTTTTCCTCTAATTTCCAGTTCTGATATTCAGAGAAGAACTTACCTTTTGCAGATGATGTACCTGTAATGTGACAATACATAATCCCACAAGGGAATATCACTAAGGATTTATGATACACATGAGAGCTTGGAAATGCCCTTTTAGACCAAATATAGTTCTAGCATCTGTGTCCCTCTTTGGCTCCTCAGTTTATAGATCTCTGATTTCATATTGCCACACCATGGGGTACATATTAGATTGTAAATATTAATTGAGTAAATAAATGAAGGAATATTGTGAAGAATATATTTTTCCAAGCCTATAAGAAAATTGTTTTAATACCATAATAGAAATAGGGTCTTTTTCAGTGGCCAACTACATTAGATATGGTATATTAGAGTTAGATAAAAATTTAAAGAAAGAAAAAAGTAGTCAAGTACCAACTAATGTTTAACCTGACTGAAGTCCAAGCCAAAAATTCTGAGGCAGTAGAAATGCATTTATTTTGTTAAAAATATCTTAGGGTGATTCCTAAGTGTATATCAGAATTTCTCCAAGGACATATGCAATCCACAGTACAGAAATTGATAGAAATAGAGAATGACTTCTTTATTCAAAGAACCACTAAGAAGGGAATGGTGCACTAAGCTGTCAGAAAAATACTTCTGATTTCTGGTGTGTAGTCAAGTTTGTATAATCAGTATTAAATGTCACAGTGTAGACTATGGTTATCAGGTAGTAGCATACCATAAAGGTTAAAACACAATGGCCTTGCTTATATCTTGATGTACTTTATTGAGATAATAGAGCATTTTTGGAGCTACAAATATTTATTTAACAATACACTGTGCTTCTTTTTGAAAACAAAAGTTTTTAGCTAACTCAGTGTAACAATAGCTATGTAATGTAGTTTTTAAAATCCTCATGCTTTGTGTCACAAGATGGACATACTACTTCTGTTTGTATCCTCCTAACAGAATTTCATTCTTGAGAAATTCATTTAATGGCTGTGGGTTTCTGTTTCTTCAGGTGTAAATGAAAGCTCTGCCCACCAGTTAACCTCCAAAGTTCTGTCCAACTCTGATATTTAATGCTCCCATTACAGGGAAAACATGGAACAAAATTAGACGGCAGGTAAGCCATATGAAAACTGGATCATTTCAGACAGAAATCCAATTTGAACTGTTTATTAATAACTTTTGTATGTGACATTGGGGAGAAATGAAAACAGATTGACTTGCTAGGAATTCCTTCTGAGGACAAGGGTTATAGCTAACAAGTGACTGAATCCTTTGGCAGTTGGACACTAACCAGAAGTGCTATGACAACAGGAGGCTGTCTCTAAATATAGTGCCTCAAAAACGACATTCTCCAAATAGTTTCCTGCAACCATTAGTGCATATAAATTCTTCGAGTTAAAAAAGGAGAATTTGGTTTGCGCTAGTATGATCTAAATTGATATTTAAATTAGAAGACAAGTATGGCTTTGGCCAAAATGCAGACAATTTTAAAAAGACACCAAATGTCCTGAATATTGGGCTTGCATTCACCACCTTTCACAAACTTTGTCTTTAGATATTGCTCATAGTTACAAATGTCTAGTAGCTTAAGGAATAATGGAACTTAATTTTCTTTTTCATTCCTCCTATTGTGTGGTGAGTTTTGAAATAAAGAAAAGCTATTCCATTTAAATATTTTAAAATAACTTAGAAGCTACATTTACATTTTTCTGTAACTCCATTTATTTTCTGACACCTCTCCTTCTAAAATCCCTTTTGTCCTTAGGACATTCAGGATCTAGACAGCAGCAATGGAAATGTGCCCTCAGGAATAATGACGGTGGAATAGATGGTATGGGTGTATTGTAGTGACTAGGGATGGAGCCACAAAGCATTGAACAGTTCTACCTAGAAAATTTACATATATCATGTAACTAGGTATTGCATACATATTTCTGAGTTTATGGTACAGTTAAGTAAAAGGGCTTGGAAATCAGGGCACTAGTTTTCACATTTCAATAGGGCTGCTATGTATGTTTGTGCAAACTCTTGTCTTCACAAGGATAGCACATCTAAAAGGACACTGTATTACAGTGATTATAGATTCCCAAATTACAGCAAAACCTTCCTGTAGGTGGCAGCGAAGTATCTTTTTTCTTTTTACAAAAAAACTTTAAATTCTGATAATTTTTCTGAAAGAAGTTTCTTAAGTAAAGGAAACTTGTTCTTTTCTTATTTATAAAAAGATACCATATGGGGTAGAGAGGTCCAGCATCTGAGATGTGCTATTTTCAAGATCTAAACCTTTAGATAGTTTAACTTCTTTGAAACTTAATTTCAGCCTTGGTCAATAAGTAAATAAATTGAGAGGGATGAGAGAGAGAAAAAGAGAGAGAGAGAATTGATGTACTTATAAATTTATTTGAAGATTAAATCATACTACCTACACACATTTAGTACTCCATAACTGGTATTATAATCAGGTGTTGATCATAGATAGTGTTATATTTAGTATCATTTTGGGGAAATGAAGGGAAGTTCGATTCCATTATTGGGATAGACTACCAAAAAAGGGGCCAGTATCCATTCCCTCTCTTTCAAGGTCAAATAGAGGTAGAAATTGCTAGAAACTAGGTTAAGTTCACCTGTCCCAGAATTGCAGGAGAGAATTCTTAGAAGCATTTAACTAAATGGTCACGTTAACAAATCAGAGAGATGCAGCATAGAGGCAGGAAATGGTGGAGCCAAAAGTGAAGCATGCCTCAGAAATACATTTGTGATGCCCCAAGTGGAGAAAAATCCCTGAGGGACATGAAATGAAAGAAGAGAAACTCAAAATCAATATGGCACAAGGGGTTTGAGAGCCAGTGTAACTTGGGATAATTCTGAATGAGTGACTCATTTCCTCTTTCAGGCTACAGTGTTAAATACATTTATAAGCATTTGACAAATTTTCAGGTATCTTGTCCCTTTCAGTTGGACCTTAGTGACCCTGTACTAATGTTTAGCACAGGATTGCTGGAGACACCTAATCTTCTGAGAAAGTTTTTACAACAATGCCATCTGGACAGATAGTAACCATAGAAAATGAATATTACAAAACAGTCATTTCAAAAAATAATTTTTGTAGAGGATCTCAGGTTAAACATATGAACAGGCCTTAATCCAGCCATTGCTTTCATTTGCATATTTAGTTTTATTTGGGAAATGTCACATGTTCAGCTCATTAACAAATGCATGACACAGCTACACAATCCTGCACATTCCTTCCTTTCTTTGATGCCCCTATTATTTGCCCCCAAGGACAATGCAAGAGAAAAGTAGCCAATTTGCTCATTAAAAGAGAACTCAGTTGAAAATGACAACTAATTTCAGCCATTTGAGAAATGACTGGATCTCAGTATGTATAGTATCTTGGTAAATCAAGACAAAGCCATTAAAATTATTGTATAAAATTAATTTGAGCAACAAGTCTTTAGACAAATTCATTGCATTAGCCTCTAGGTACTTCTATAATCTAATATCGAAAGTCATAGTAGATAAAGATATGAGTTTTAAAGCCTATAAAATTCACTCTTGTATATCATACACCTACCTAATTGATTAAAAGATACATATATTGCACCTGGCATATGCCTAGAAAGTAAATTATTCTTATGGCTGGCAATAATAGGACTAATCATGTCAGAACAGAAGGCCAGGTAGTAGAGAAAGTAAAGTACTCTTATTGTTAAAAAATTATAGGTCTAATACTTTTAGAGGTGAGAAAAGCCAACCCAAATTAGAGTTGTTGGCCAGATCACCATGACTTTCTCTGCTCTTCTTTGAGTACACAAACTATACAAAGTTTGGTACAATCAGAATCTAAATGTAATGCGAGAACATATCAGTGGGATATGGTAAAGAATAATCCAATTATTTTGCCCTGGATACCTCCCTCATGGCATGTCCAAAGGCCAGGCATAGAAGGAGAGTGAGAGAAAGGAAGTAGCAGAGGGCTACCCCTCCACCAGGTGGCAAAGACCCCTGATTCATCATGTTTATAGCCTAGTTATAGCTGATCTGGAGGTTAATGTCTCATGCAGTATCATCTTTAAGTCTTATAAACTTGATCTTTTGGTTTAGTAAAAAAACAACATAAACATAAAACATAAACATAAACATACAACATAAACATAAACATAAAACATAAACATAAAAAAAAAACAACAAACCCTGAGTTGAGTTATAAACAAACTGAACAATATATACCATCTGGTGCCTTTATCCCAAATCCATTTTCCTTACTTATTTTTCCAAAATAATCTTCCATCAAAATTTGGAATTTTAGAAGAACAAAAACGACAATGATCCAGGGCCAGCCCTGACTCTCGGCACCACTAGTTTAGTTGTGTAACTTAAATAAATTTCTTTGCTTCTCTATGTACAAGTTTCCTCATTTGTAGATGGGAATAATCATAGAGCCTAACATATGATCTAAGTTTAAGATAAGCATATAAACTGATTAGCTGAGTGTCTGATATAGAAAATTCAATAAATACTGGCTAATGTCATGATTGTATTCGAGGGTTAACTTTCCTGATTCTTGTATAACTACTGCTATCTGAGTTCTATCCCTACAGTAAAGAAATCCTCATGATTCAATTAATATATGCTCTTTTGTGATATTTCTGTACTCTATGTAGATCTTACCTCAAGTGTCAAAGAATCACCTACATAGTGGAGTTACATGAAAACTAAATCCTTCCCCAAGGAGATTCTGAGGAGATTCTGGCAACTGGCCCACAGGCTGAGTGCATTAGGGATACTTTAAAAGAGTGCTTTGAGGCCGGGCTCGGTGGCTCATGCCTGTAATCTCAGCACTTTGGGAGGGTGAGGCGGGCGGATCATGAGGTCGGGAGATCGAGACCATCGTGGCTAACGAGGGAGAAAACCCTGTCTCTACTAAAAATACAAAAAATTGGCCGGGTGTGGTGGCGGACGCCTGTAGTCCCAGCTACTCGGGAGGCTGAGGCAGGAGAATGGCGTGAACTTGGGAGGTGGAGCGAAGAGCCGAGATAGCGCCACTGCACTCCAGCCTGGGCGACAGAGCGAGACTCTGTCTCAAAAAACAAAACAAAACAAAAGGGTGCTTTGATCAACTTGTGGCCTCTAGGAACAAATATGAAGAAAGTTATTAAAAAATAATGTTTGAGAAAATAATTATAACATACTTTTCATCTTCCAGATTTTGTTTCATTAGTATAGGGTAGACATATGATAGTCTATGCCTGTCCTTAATAAGAAAATACAGGCTTCCACAGCTTTCTGGGAGACTGCTGTACAAACAAAGTGGTTCAGGAGGTCCTGGAGGTGAGCTTGAGGTCAGTAGAGGGAGAGGCTCAGATTTGCTGCATTGCCTCCCTCCAAAATCAGACAACTTCTGGCTTCATCTAATTTGCACATAGTAATAAGATTCTAAGTAAGATTCCACTGCAGAACAGGAAAGAAAGAACTCATGTGTGTGCCTATGTGTGTGTGTGTTGCTGCTCCAAAAAGTTCTATCTCCTGATCTAGGTTTTACATTTTCCTCACTTAGAATATAAACACAACACCATAAATTTTCAAATCACATTAAACTTTACTACTGATTCGAAGATAATGATTTTTATGCCAATCCGTAAGTTTGAATATATATAAACTTACATCTTATCTTCATGTGTGGTAAAAGGTTTTTTTTTTGTTTTGTTTTGTTTTGTTTTTCAGATGGAGTCTCGCTCTGTTGCCCAGGCTGGAGTGCAGTAGCGCGATCTCGGCTCACTGCAAGCTCCGTCTCCTTGGTTCAAGCCATTCTCCTGCCTCAGCCTCCCGAGTAGCTGGGACTACAGGCACACACCACCACGCCAGGCTAATTTTTTGTATTTTTAGTAGAGACGGGGCTTCACCGTGTTAGCCAGGATGATCTCGATCTCCTGGCCTCGTGATCTGCCCGCCTTGGCCTCCCAAAGTGCTGGGCTCACAGGCCTGAGCCACCGCGCCTGGCCCCATGTATGGTAAAAGTTTTTAACGGAACTCTGCCTCAATCCTCACTTCTCTTTGGATAATCAATCATAATTCTTACTGTTCTCCAATTCATCCCTCCACTCTTGTCAGTAGTAAGAACATATTAACAAGTGTAGTTCAAGGGCATATGATCATCCACATATAGCAGAGCTTAACTGAAAAAATATTGAATGTAGAAAATGAGGAAAAAATCAGATATCACCTTCATTAAAACAGACATGCTTTTTAATTACGTTAGACATAACAGTTTGGTGATTTAGGAAACAGAACAGAAATGCATGACCCTTTAGGCCCTAGACCTGCTACTAGCTCATAAGACTTGGTCAACTGTAATAGTCATTCATCCCTGAATGATTTCTTGGTCTTTCTTCTTTACCTACTGTAATCTTTCTTCCTACTAGATCTGCATGTTCACAGTATCACTTTTATCATTTCACTGATAAAACTTTCGGAATACTATTTAAACTCCTTTGCTGGAGGTTGGTCATTTATATCTTACTCAAGCTACTTTCACGTGTCTACTCAACCTTCATTATGTGTTCAAAACTATTTATTAGGTACCTAGGTACTATATGCTAGACACTATGCTAGCTTATGAGCATACAGTGCAAAACAGAAAAAAAAAAAAAAGCCTTTCCTCTGAGCGACAGTTAAAATGTCAAGCTTTCAGAACACTATAAGGGATCTAAGTGGCGTAGTCACTAAGTGTGGGTAATCTGCCATGAGTAGTCCTGAATTGATACTTTCATCATTAATACCAGTGCCCTTTTCTAGAAATATTTGTTATCCTCATTTATATAAATTCTTATCTTTTAACTAGTAAGAATTCCACCCTATTCACAGTCCTCGTACTGACATATAGTTCATCCTAAATCTTCAGTTTTTAAAATCCTGGATCTCAGTCCCTTATGATGCTATGGTAATACTATGAGAATGATACTACATTCTGTACTTAATATAATTTTTATTGTTAAATATATGTTTAGTACAATAAACCATTATATATACATAACTGCTGAAAGATTCAAATAAATCAGGAGATCTAGCTTGAAAAGCCTAGATTTTTTTTGATTGTTTTTGTTTACCATTGTCTCCAGTAGAAGTTTCCTTCCAAAATTACCTAAGGAGTTTTAACAATAAAGAGTAATGTAGTTAAATTTACTAGTAATCAATTACCTGAGGTTGAAATTTTTCTAGATTCTCAGAAACACAGTTGACAGGATGAGAAGTAGATGAAGTAGGAGAAAAATATTTAAATACATAAACACCACACACACACACACACACACACACACACATGTGAGACATATATTCTAAGATGCCTAAAAGCATAGACCATCTCCACCAAATTCAGAATGATTAGAGTAATAAAGATGAGTTCAGAATAATTAAACAATATAAATAAATGTTTGTGATTCTCAAAGTCTATTGTGTGTAAGAAACACACGAAGATCCTGTTACTGGGCTCCACTCCCAGAGTCTCTGATTCAGTAAGTCTAGGATAAAACCTCAAATTTGCATATTTTTTTGAGACAGGCTCTTACTCTGTCACATAGGCTGGAGTGCTGTGGCACAATCAGATCATATAGCTTGCTGCTGCCCCAACCTCCTAGATTCAAGTGTTCCCCCATCTCAGCCTCCTGAGTAGCTAGGACTACAGGCATGCACCACAACACATGGCAATTTTTTTTTTTTTATTTTCTGTAGAGATGAGGTTCCACTTTGTTGTCCAGGCTGGTCTTGAACTCCTGGGCTCAAGCTGTCCTCTCTCCTAGGCCTCCCAAGGTGCTAAGATTACAAGTGTGAGCCACATGCACCAGGCCAAATTTGAATTTTTAAAAAGTTCCCAGGTGTGCTAATGCCAGTGGTTCAGGAATCACATTTGAGAACCACTGGTCTAGAAAGAAACAAATTCTATATGTAAACCAGCACATTCATCTAGCAGTTTTGCTTCATTTATGATACTCTAATTTTCCCAAGCAAATCTGTAAACTCCTTGAAGTCTTCGTATCTCCAAGAACAGCAATCTCTCCTTACACTAAGTGAATATTCTAATGAGTAAATAACAAATGAAAAGAAACATCTGAAAATGAGTAAAAACAAGTCAACAATAATGATTAAAGTTTTCCAGGGACTTAAATAAATATTTGAGTGGGAAATGGTGGTTAGTTTAGATGTTAACTCTAAGCATAATGTAGATACCAAAAATTATTTTTCAGTTGTATCATTTGCTACATATTGAAATCATGATATTTAGAAAAATAAGGCTGGCTCTCACCTTTCACAGTTAATGGATGAGATGAGGTGAAAGGCAGCCAGCATTCTATTCATGCTTTGCTTTATGGAAATGTCCAAATCTCACCTAATATCCAAAAGCTACAGTTGCTCTTGTGAAGCCAGAAAGTGGCTGAGAAGAGAATGGAGTCTCAAACTATGGTTCATTTAAGACTAGGCATTTTAATTTTTTTACTTTGCTACTTAAACAAAAAGTTGGATGTAATCCCAATTGAATTTTAGACTCCATAGATGTGCAAAATTTAGACTGAGCTAGTAATAGACCATACATATGTAACAAGTTCTGCTATTTTATACTAAAATTGTTGAATCCTTTGTAATACTCTGAAGTAAAATGACTATCATATGAAAACTCATCCTCATTAAATTTTGAAAAAACCTGTTTAACACGTACTGAAGGTCAGGACTACAATTTTAAAAATGACTCGAAAGGTTTTTTAAGTGAACATCTTGAAATTTTCTAGAACAAGGATTAGCATTCTATTGCATTTATCATGTAATACAAACTATTTTAGAACTATTTTATCATCTGAAATTCCTGAGCTTATCTTTCATGATTATAAAATTCCAAAAATATTGGGGGCCTAAGTAGTTAAAATAATAAAAAAAAAAAAGGTGCAAAGTAAGCCTTTGATGAAAGCCTGTAGGAATCAGCTAATTTTCCAATAGATAATTTTAGGCTTATGAAGAAATGCTAGATGAAACAATGAAAGCAGTCATGGAAAGATCATGACTTTCTACTCTGGTAGAACTGGGTTTGAATCCAGACTCTGCCACCTAATAGCTCCATGATATAGAGAATTTACTTAATATCCTTTGCTCTCTAAAATGGGAATGATAACAATAACCTTATAGGATTAGGCAGTAACTTAATTGACATAGCACAGTGTCTGACTCATAACGGATATGGAAATGCTTTTTGAGAATGAATGTTAATTGTTCAATACAGAACTTTGTATGTGGACTATGACTAAAATAGGTTTGTCTGAAAAGAAACAAGGATACTTTTTCACTCCAGATAAGTCACTTAGACAAGATAAGCCTTCAGTCTTCTAATCTATAAAATGTCGAGGTTGAGTTAGATGATTTCCCAGGGTACTTATTTTATTATTCTATTATATTCTAAACTGCTGCTCTAAGAAATTTCCAATTTAAATGATATTAAGATTATGTAGCAGATAAATTACCCTAATGTTAGCTATGAAATATCTGAAGGCTGTGGCTCTCAACCCTGGCTGTACATTAGAATCAACTGAGCAGCTTTAAAAAATACTCACATCCCCCAACTTACATAGAATATTAAAGAAGTACAGCTTTCACACTGATTTTTTTTAAGTTGCATGGTGATTCTGATTGTAGTTAGGATTTAGAACCATCAGCTTCAAAGACAGCCATAAATATGCCAGCTGTAAGAGAAGTTAAGATCAGAAGTAGCAAGAATCCCATTCTGTTTCCCAGGCAAAGCATACCCTGATACACGTGTACCTCAAAGAAACCTTCCTTGAAGTCCCTCACCAAAACTCTATTCTCTCATTTCTATCTGTCTATCACATAGCACCTTCAAACTCAATTTGTTCATAATCAAATTCATTTTTTCATTAATATCTGTTCTTTTGCATGATTTTCATTTCTGTTAAGAAAACCTCCATTTTCCAATTTTTCAAGTTCTATTATTCTCCAGCTTGAAATTTAAGACTTTCTCTTCTACCATAATTCCTCAAAACCTGCCTGCATATGTACACACACACACACACACACACAAACACAACTACTCAACCAATTAATTTATATTTTACATTTAAAATTATTTTTCTGGTAAAGCTTCCTCTGAATTTCCCAAAACTAGGACACATGTCCTGATGTATGTGCTTATAGCTCCTGGTCCTTTCATCCATAAGAAATATGAATTCAGTGTTAGGTTTATTTCTATGATCTATTGTTTAACATATATCTTCACCATTAGAATGTGAAGTCCATAAAGGCAAAGACAATGTTTTTGCTATTTATCCCTAGAAATAAGACGAGGTCCTCAACACGATAAGAATTCAATAAATATTTGTTGAGTAAGTTAACTAAAGATTAAATTGTCTCTTTGTTATTGTTATTTGCACTTATTTAGTTATTGGTAAGTCTGAGCATCTTTTATTATGTCTATTGGTCTTGTGCATTTCTTCTGCGAATTAGTTTCACTATGGTATAATCATCCAGACTCATTCAAGTCCAGTAATCTATTCATCAGTAAACAGAGATCAGGTCTCCATTGATATAGGTGAAATTCTAACTGTCTCTTTGGTATCAAAATTTACAGTTCATCATCAAGAACTGCCATATAGGATAAAAACTTTCATCTGATTGACCTAATATCTTTAGGTTTGTGTATTTTCTGAAGTAAAGTCCTTTCAATCCTTATGCTTTGCAACACTACAGAATTTTATGTGTGCAGATCTTTTAGTTATCTGCCATTCTGAAACTGGTTAGGGTCAGTGTGACTAGAATTCACAAGTCCTATATGTTGCACCATGAGGAAATTGGGTCTGGTTCTAGGGCACAGGATGGACTCCTATTCCAGTTCCTTCTCTCATGGTTTGTGAGACCCTGGCAAGCTCTTAGTCTTTTTTCTGCTCTTATTTCTTAATTGAAAAAGAAATAATTTAGACTAGATGCACTCTCTGCTCGGCTTATCTCTGACATTCTGTGATTATTAGAATTACTTACAATTTATTGTTGAGATTGGATTTTTCCTACAAATTCTGTGGAGTTAGGTGTCCTAGTCTTGCATGTACATGTGCACATATTTGGCACTCCAGCCTGTGTGACAGAGACCCCATCTCAAAATAAAAACATTAAAAAATTAACAAAAAAATAAAAATCTCTGATGCAAATGGTTCTTAGCCTTAAATATTCAGGAAAGGTGCATAAGATTAAACACTATTGAAGCCAATAGTATTCATATACTCAAACTACTATAAAAGTTTGTTTTTAATGTTAGGATCAACCTATAAACAAAAACTGATGTCTCAAGCATAGTAGAAAAACCATGTATGTGCATATGATATAAAATTATCAAAGTTGGAAAATGCTTTTATTTGGGAAACATTCTATCTTTTTTCTGTAAGAGATCACTTAATAGTTTTCTATTGCTGTAGAAAATTACTACAAACTTAGCAGCTTAAAATAATACTATGTTATTATCTCATAGTTCTTGTGGGTCAGAAATATAGGCATGGCTTAGTTGGTTTCTTTGTTCAGGTTCTCAAAAGGCTTCAACCAAGTGTTGGCTAGGCTTAGTCTCTTATGAGGCTCAGGGTCTTCCAAGCTCATTTGGTTGTCACCAGGATTCATTTCCTTGCAGTTGTACAACTCATGAAACCTTGATTCTGCAAGGCCAGGAGGAGAGAGAGAGAGAGAGCATCTGCTGCTTCTAGTCTCTTCTCTTTGGAATCCTTTTAAGGATTCCCCCTGATAAGGTCACTTAAGGAGACAGGGAATGTAAGGAATTGAGATTCATCTTAGAATTCTGCATAGCACATTCACACATAGTCTATAACATAATCTGAATGAGTCTTCTATATCAGCACTTCATTTTGGACACTATTCCAAATGGTATGAATGTTTAATTTTAACTGCTATTTTGAACATTTTATGAAAGTTATGAATATTTAATTTTAACTGCTTACTGGAACTAAAAATTTACTTTTAATTGGTCTAATAACTGTAATAAATATTTTTATCAGTTATTAACTCTAAGAATCTCTTGAAACTTAGGGTCCTAAGTTAAAATGTAAAATAACCCAGTCCTCCAATATACCTGCTTTTATCACTTGCATACGATACTGTAAGAATACACTTTTTGTAAAACTTAGCAAAGAGACTACTTGTTTTCACGTGAGAAAATAAAAGTGCAGAAAGAATATCTACAAAACGACTGCATTTTTTATTTATTTTTCTTTTATGTTATGAACTTTAAAAAGCATTTTGTCGGGGTTCAGAACATCAAAATGTTGCATATTCCCAAGTGCAATTTCATTCTTTGTGGCAAAACACCCATAAGTAATATTTTAACATGTGTCTAAAGTTAATTATTCTTATAGAAACATTACATGATTTTTAAAAAGCACACACAGCCTTTGAAGCAAGGCTGCTTGGGTTGAACCCCAGTGCCATCACTAACCAGTTACATGACACTGGACATGTTTCATATTATTTTGGGGTCTCATCTTTTTTTTTTTTTTTTTTTTTTTGAAACAGAGTCTCGCTCTGTCGCCCAGGCTGGAGGGCGGTGGTGCCATCTAGGCTCACTGCAAGCTCCGCCTCCCAGGTTCACGCCATTCTCCTGCCTCAGCCTCCCGAGTAGCTGGGATTACAGGCGCCTGCCACCATGCCTGGCTAACTTTTTGTATTTTTAGTAGAGACCGGTTTCACCGTGTTAGCCAGGATGGTTTCGATCTCCTGACCTCGCGATCCGCCCGCCTCGGCCTCCCAAAGTGCTGGGATACAGGCGTGAGCTACTGTGCCCGGCCGGGGTCTCATTTTTCTTAGCAATAAAGTAAGCCATAATAGGTACCAGACTCAATAGGATTATGTAGAAGATTAACTTTTTAGTTATATTTGTTTCTATACACTGAGAAAGGGCCTAATAGTTAGCATTAATAAGGGTATATATGTGTATGTATATGCATGTATGTTTGTGTTAAATATATATTTATGTATTTTTAAATCCATACATAACAATTATGCCTTTCAATTCTAGACTTGTCCTTTTGTATGCATGTACCAAATAAGGAAATCAGTAACTAGCTATTAAAGCACAAAGACAAAAATAATAGCAATATTGCTTTAAAAAATATCTGATGTCCCAGCCTGTGCAACATAGCAAAACCCCGTCTCTACAAAAAAATTCAAAAATTAGCCAGGCATAGTGATATGTGCCTGCAGCGACAGTTACTCAGGAAGTTGAGGCAGGAGGATTGCTTGAGCCCAGAAGGCAGAGATTGCAGTGAGCCATAATTGTGTCATGGCACTCCAGCCTGTGTGACAGAGTGAGACCTCATTAGAAAATAAATACATTTAAAAAAATTAAAAATTAAAAAAAAATTAAATCTCTGATGCAAAAGGTTCTTAGCCTTAAATCTGCAGGAAAGGGTGCATAAGATTAAACACTATTGAAGCCAATGGTATTTATATACTCAAACTACTATAAATGTTTTTTTGTTTGTTTGCTTGCTTTTGAGACAGAGTATTGCACTCTCTCCCGGGCTGGAGTGCAGTGGCAGGATCTTGGCTCACTGCAGCCTCTGCCTCCCATGTTCAAGCAATTCTCCTTGCTACAGCATCCCAAGTAGCTGGTATTACAGGCGCCCAAGACCAAGCCCGACTAATTTTTTTGTATTTTTACTAGAGACGGGGTTTCACTATGTTGGCCAGGCTGGTCTTGAACTCCTGACCTCATGATCCACCCGCCTCAGCCTCCCAAAGTGCTGAGATTACAGGCATAACCCACCGTGCACAGCCTACATGTTTGTTGTTAATGTTGGTATCAACCCATACACAAAAACTGATGTCTTAAGCATGGTAGAGAAACTAGAATGTAAGGTTAGCGAACTTGAAAATGCAAAAGTAAAGTTAGAGCTAGTAGGAAACAGCTCAGCAAATAAGAAAGAGAAGATAGAAAACATTGCCAATAAAAAAGATGTTTTACTCAGGCGACTAACTTACTGGTGAAGCCAAGGAGCTCATTAATTATACAAAAAAGATGGTTTCTATAGTTTAGACTATTAAAATTCCACTTTTGGACCAAAGGTAAAAATTGACAAGGGTAGCGTCACAATTAGCATGTGGAGTGTTTGTGCTAACTGTGATACTTTTAGATAAAGATTTCTCAAGATCTAGGCAGACAGAGGCCTGGGACCTGTAGCTGGGTGAGTAGGGCCAAACCGGCTTAAAACCACTAGCGTATGCAACAGGATGCCTCTACATAGCAAAAACCTGTACACTCATAGCAAAAATGAAATGTCTTATAGCATGTCATATTCTTCCTGCATTCAGTCCCCGCATGGAGACTGTTTCTGGTTAAATGACCCCATGCACCCTATGAATCTGAGTGCCATGAAAAGTATCTACATAATGATGCCGCCATTGCTACTGCATGTATCCTAAAACCAGGCCTCTCCCCTGGGAGAGTAGCAAGGTGTCAGGTGGTGCCATGAGAAATGCAATAACACAAGCTCAACCAGGAAGCCTCATAGTTCCAGGTGGAGTCTGTTCTCTCTTCTACTGGGCAGGATTTTCTTGCTTATCCTTTCTGTTTAGGCTTCAGGTTCTGCCATATTGCTATGCACTCTCTCTCCCACCTTTGATCTCCTTTCCTTTCTTCTTTAATACATTAACTAGCAACTATCCCAATTTAGAAGCATTCCTTAGGCAGGAAAGAAATTATTGTCCAATCGTTCCAGAGCGATTCTTCAGCCAAAATGACCAACATAGTGTTTTGCCAGACAGAGGGGGTTTTCTCTCCTAAGAGACATTCTGACTCCAACCCCTAATTTTTATTTCTCCTATACATATGTTGCATGATTTATGTTTTAAGAAGTTTGAATAACTTGCAAAGCCTCAAATTCAATAATGACTAGAGCAATCCTAGTCTTAAGATTGGGAGATGAATATGAATCAATTAAGAATTCAAAAATTTTTTCTAAAATACTTTAAAAATTTTGACCACAAACCTTTGTTGGAAGACTTGGAAACACAGAATCAACTGCAGAAAAAATTGGGGGTGGGGGGTGGGTGAGGGTGGGGATGGTGGTTAATTTTGTCTTAATCCTCTTAAGAATGGAAAAACTTTAAAAAATTAACTTAAAGCTTCCATAACCACCAAGAAAAGCAAAATTTGTTCATATTATCCAGTTAAAACGATCATAGATTTTTTTAAAAATTCCATTTGTTGTACCTAATTCTTTGATCACCAGCTGGATCATTAATTTAAAAACAATTATACCATTGCCCATTCTCAAATATAAGATGATAAACATCAGTTTATTAACTTAATGACCCAAGTAAAGAAACAATACAACTTAGCTTTTGTTTTCAGAAATGCAGAAGTAGAACTCACTTATAGGTCAAGTATAGCATGAAAGAACAAAAATCTGCAATATCTAAAAGTCCACTACAAATAAAATATGATGCACGCAAATGCAGGATCCTCTAGAGGCCAGGAAAGAACAGCAGGAGAATTTGCTTAAGACATGCAGTTCTTATCCTATCTAATTAAAGAATTAGAAGAAAAATGAAGCACCGCAGTAATGACATGCTTTTGGTATTTAAAAGCATCTCTGGCATGAAAGCTTTATCTCTGCCTCATTTACTTTACAAATTCTAAAATATAGACATGGCAAGAGCCCAGATTAGAATTGGAAAATTAAAAACTTTTTTTCTGCTTTTTGAAGGGTTTATTTCAGAGATGCTAAAATTGGATTATATGAAAATATAGCATAAATTAGAGAGGAGTCTAACCTTGCTATCATCTGTACTTAAAAAAACTGACTATATAATCGGCATCAATAAGGCACTCAGTTGGGAGTATAAGATGTAGAATAACCAAGACAAAGCTCCCTAACTTACTCCAAATTAAGATGGAGAGTTTTTTTTTTTTTTATTTCTTTTTGTTTCTCTTTTATATTCTCTGGAAAACCAAAGGCCAGTTTCAAATTTAATGAAAAGCCTTCCAGGATGGGATGAGTATAAGAGTCTATGCTATAAAGTTGAAAGGCTCTAGAAATGAGGTAGGTTATACAAAGTTTGGGTAGATTTATTCACAACCTTCTTATTTATGGACTTATTCATATACTATGTATTATTTTATGTATTTATTAACAGGATCTATGTGTCATTTCCCCCAATTTAAGAAAGCAAGGCAGCAACTTTTACACTTTTGTTTCTTATGTGTTTTTCAGTGAACATCTACTGAGTGTAAACTACAGAGCAAGCTCCAGCTGAGGTGTTGGAGATGTGCAGGGGAGCACAGAGGAAAACCCTGCTTAGGTTGATGTGACTGCCTAACATCAAAGACAATACTGAGGCAAAGGAGGTCCCCCAAACACCTACAATCACTATGACGAGAAATTTGTCTTGAAATCTGAAAGATGAGTGAAAATAACCTGGTAGGTTGCTTCCCCTACCGCCCCGCCATTTGTGCTAATATTCCAACTGGTCTTTAATTAGGAAAAAGAAGAGAAAAAGAAAAAGAAAATGACTTCTAATATCGGAAGGTTCTTTATTCAACACAGCACTCTAGGACATTGTAAACAAAGGGCTAAATAGGAAATCTTGCCATATAATTTGGCACTAAACATTTATTCAACATGTATTTTAAAGTACTTGTTATGCATATGAGGTTTAAAATATAGTAAGGTACATAGGATATGTATACAAGAAATTGTAATAAAGAATAGAATAAAATGTATGGAAAGAGAGGTACAGATAGAATCTTAAGCAGTGTTCAGAGAAAAACAGATCCCTTATGTGCAGCTGCTGAGGAGCGGTAGGGTAAAAAGGGTTATAGTTAAATTTTCATATATTCATTTGTTTCAGTGAAATTTAAAAGTTGGCATTTTGGTCAATTTGGATTTTTCCTAAATGCTTATCATGAATTAAAATAACAAAGAAAATCTGACAGGATGACCATAATACATTACTGAAATTTTAATACTCAAATCATTATCCAGGAGCTTCCCCAAAGGTGTGTAAAAATAACTACATTAAATGGTGATTGTGAGTGGGTGGTTGCTGCTATCCACAAACTGCATATCAGAAGGTACCCAAAATACTGTTCATTTATTCAATAGTAGTCAATGTATTTCTTCCCTCAGTACTCTTCTATCCTGTTCCCTTTGTATGACAGGCTGATTATTATTTCCCAGAACTGTTGACAAAGACAATCTTAAGCTGCTTCTTTTACTCTTTTTCATACTGCAACGATCTAAAGGAGGCATTGATGCACATGTAAACCCATAAATCAGGTTCCGACTGAAGAAAAAGAATGTCAGACATTTGCTTTCAGGATTATGGTACTACATGAGAAAGCTGTAGTTGTATCACAGTGCAGCTTAATTCTGGAAAGCTTCTCTTTTACTTTCCTCCATATGTTTAAAAATTACAGATTCCAATGACATACATTATAATATATGCATAGAGTAAGAAATTAAGGAATTATATTATTGACTCCTGCAATAGGTTAATTTTCCTTACATTATTTTTATTTTTGGTTTTAATTAAGGAGAGCAAAGGAGATGTGTTATTTAAAAATGCATTTATAGCTGACATGCATTATGTTTAGGAGACAAAAAGACAACAGAAGCATTCTCCAGATAATAAAGTATAATAAATAAGTGTCAAGGTCATGAAGTGTCATTGTTATTTGGGAGGAATTATTGTTAATTAGCATCATAATTAAATAAAAATATTTCAACAAAGGAAGTACACATGCAAAATCCTACAGATACTGTTGAATATAAAATAAACCCTCTTGATCTAGAAATGCTAGGCTAAAGCTAGAGAACTGTTTGTTGTTTAGCTAATATTGACCCATCTAACAGTCTGACCTTCCTTTTTTTAAAAACAAATTCCATTGTTTAGAGAATCTACACTTTTTTTTTTTTTTTTGCTCCTTACTGGTAATTTCTTTAAGAATGAGCATATAGTGAGATTCCTCTTGAGATATGAAGAAAAACTTCCTAAGGGGCTTCTGAGAAAGGTTTCTTCAGTGATAAATAGAGACTCACAGACAGATGGGGCCTTTTCTCTTCCACTGAACACTAGAGTCTCCCTGGGTTTCCTAAAAAGAGCAGCCATCATGCAGTCACCAGGAGTGGCAGCTGAGGACAAAGTCAACCAGATGCAGAGGCAAAGTAGAAAGAATATGTAGTAGATGGAATGATGGTCTCAAAACATGGTCAACATCCTAATCCTTGACATCCTAATCCTTGAATGTTTGAATGTTGCCTTATAGGGCAAAAGAAACTTTTCAGAGATGATTAAGGGAAGATATTGAGATGGGAAGATGAGCGGAGATTATTTGGGTGGACCCTACATATAATCACAAGTGTTTTTAATAAACAGTGGAGCAAAGGTAGATTTTACCATAGAGAGGAGAATTTAATGTGATAGAAGCAGAGAGAGAGACTTGAAGATGCTACACTGCTGGCTTTGAAAATGGAGGAAGAGGCCCTAAGCCAAGAAACGCAGGTCTAGATTCTGGGAACAGAAAAGGAACCAAATTCTCCTCTACAGTCTCAGAAGGGAAAGCAGCCCTGAAGATACCTTCACTTCACACAGTGAAACTTATTTCAGACTTCTGGACTCCAGGACTGTACAAAAATAATTTTGTGCTGTTTTAAGGTATTAGGTTTGTGGAAATTTGTTGCAGAAGCCAGAGGAAACTAATGGAGACGTAAAGAAAATTTGAAAGAGCCACTGAATTAATGCACCTTGGAGCCACTCATTTATAGTACTGATAAGTGCACCGGGGAATTATCTGAGTGGCAGTGATGGCTGTTTTCTACAGTAAAGATCTGGTTAATGGGTTTACATTTTTGCTGAAGTTACTGGACCTTCTAAATTTCCATGCACTAAGTAGCCTTAGAGTAAGCTCTCCATTATTTTAAGTAATTTTGGTCCCTATATTATGAAAAGTTCTAAGGCGTTAATCCTAACCCAGGAAAAATGTAAATCATTCATCGTAATTTTATTATAATTAATCCTGAAAGCTATCCTCATAAAAGACAGCACATTTTCAATTGCCCAAGTAAAAGATACTGAGGAGACATGTTGAATCTATTTTTCTCTCACACTTCACCTATAATCTGTCAGCACATCCTTCAGCTCCGCCTTCAATGTCTCTGAAATCAGACTACTTGTCTCTCCCCTTTCTTAATGCCACTATCCTAGTCCAAACCACCTTATAGTGTTAGCCTTCAGCTGTTCTTCCTGACATCACCCTTATAAAAATATATACAATGGATCATGTTATTCTGCTCAAAACCTTCCAATACCTTCTCATTTCTCTTGGAATAAAAGCAAAAGTCTCAAAAATTGTCTACAAAGATCATATGATCTGTACAGCCTAGATATCAGAGTGAAGAAGACACAAGCTAAGTTCAGAAGACTGACCCAAAATAGCCCACAGAAAACATGTAACATAAGAGAGGAACCAACTGTTATTTTTGGGCAATCTTAGGGTTGGTTGCTACCCAACAAAATCTAGTGAAATCAAATGAAATATGTCAAAAACATCCCTTTTTTGTTCTTTTTTTTAACCACCTGAAATCATACACTAATTAATTTATTTAACTTTCCGGCACTCTCCTGATGAATGACTGTAGGATTTTTCTGTTTTTTTTTCCACTATTTTATTAAGCCCCCAACACATAAAATACAGTTTCTTCCATTTAATGTTACTGAATGAGGAACACTTAATGAGTGTTATAATGTGTGTATATAAATTAATGTTACATTAGTTAGTAAGTTACATAAAAGAATAAGTCACTACAAATAATGGCCAATACTACCCACTTTTGTATTCCAGATGATCGTTTACAGTAAAATGTTCATTCAATATTTGTTGAATGAATAATTTCTCATAAACTGGACATATAAAGCAAAGAATAGGAACACTGTGAAGGAAGTTTTATTGATGTCACTTTAAATATTATAATTTCAGTAGTATAACCAGGATCATGCAGATAATGGCTAATACAGAATTTCATTCTTGAAATCTCTGGCCTTGAATTCTTTATTTACTGCTTCCACATCAAAATTAAGTACACAACTAGAAAGTTCAAGAAAAAATATTGGGGTTTTCCTGAAAGAGGTATAGAAAAAAAATTGGAAAAATCTGTACTTCATTATCTTGTAAATAATGATTCTTTTTCCTTAGACTAATATGCAGTTTTTTCTCTGTATATCAATTTAAAAACAGACACACACATTAGAAATGGACATTGTTTCAAGTTATACAGAATTAACAATGTTTTAGAGGAGGAGATCCAGCATTTGATATTATTTACTGTAGATTCTTCAGAAACAAACAAACAAACAAAAAGGCTAAAAAAGTAAAACACGTAGGATATTAAATCATGTTAGAAAAACTTTATTCACACTTGCTCCATCATTAAGTTTAGGATACTCCTTGGGAGTTTATACAGTCTAACAGTAAGATAAAAGGAAGTACTCCATTATAAAGTGGGCAGTAACTTTATGAATCCCCTTTCTCCCCATGATGGCAAAAGCTTAAATTATACATCCATTTTCCAAAGTTTGGGAAAATTCACTGTTAAGTTATACTCCTTGGGGATGTTTTGAGATGTAATTCTAGCCTTCATTGGTGGAAAGAACAGCCACTTGTCTCCAGAGTGACTGCTGATGACTTTTGCAAAGACACCAAGGTGAGACATGGAGTTAGATAGGTCTTACTACTGATTTGTTGAAATGTTCTTAAGAACAGCAAGGAATAAATATTGTGGGCAAAATGTTTTCTGCATTTCTTACTGTGGTTGCTCAGTAATATGCCTTCTGCAAACCCACAATTTAAATGTGTGACAGATTTTCACTGATTTTCCATTACTTATGGCATATTCTGTAATAAACATTGAGCATGACAAGTGTCCAGGAATCTACAAAGTTCTATCGACATTATTGCAAAATATATGAAACATTTGGCTGAATTGGTGTCTTGATTGGAAATTGGCAATATCTCATTTTTATATTGGTTGTTTCAGTAAACACTGCCCAAAAACCTTTTTCCCCCAATTTCCCAAGTTTATTGATAAAGAGTAAGAGAGATACCAGCCAGGCTAAACCTCAAATGAGTTGATAATGTTCAGTGGTTCTGAGTACAATGAGATGTTCATCTATTGAAAATACAGGAAGAAAAAAATTCCATTAAGATAAAATATCTAATTTGGAAAAGGCAAAAAGATGGGGAAAAGAGTCACATTATTGGGTGGTTACAAGCTAAAGCATAAAAACCATTAAAAACAATTATTTTATGTGGTGCTTTCCACAATTTGGACAATGACTGTAAATCAAGTCAACTCAAAAGCCTTATTTTTTTCCCAGAAAACATTTGCATTTTTAACTGAAAACAGTCAAACTCCTAAAAAATGACTGATGTATCCATTTGTTTTGATTTTATGCATACATTTCTCTGGACATTTTCTTATCTCATTAGAAAATTCTAAATATTTATAGTTGGAAAAGACCTCAGAGACTGTTTAATCTAACCTCTACTTTACAGAGATAAGCAAATAGGCTCAGAATTTCTAAGAGGTAAATTATGTAGCTAGAATGTATCAGAAATTAGGTGGATTGTAATTTCTGTCCTTTCACTTCAGGCCAGTGCTATTTTCTCTTCACTTTACCAACTATCTTTGATATCTGTAACCTAAATGACAAATTAAATGTTTATTTACTGATACTAAATGGAGTAGCAATAATGGAAAATAGGTTTTGGAACGCCACGTTTGTTTATTGTATGGTTTGACATCCATTTGTTTTCCTTAAGAATAAATATAATATCAATTTACCATAGTAAGTTCTTCTAGTCAGATGGATTTTTCTCAATACAGTTATGGTGATTTAATACGACATACTGATAAAAGAGGAAAACTTAATCGTTGAACATCTTTACAAAAACAGTTTTGGTCTTTAATCATTGTTGAAAATCTCTAAAGGATATTGTATACATGGATTGCCTTAATGTCTATTTTTGCTTTACTTTAGCACACACACACCCTTTAATGTTTTGTGCTATGTGCTCCTTTTTCCTAAAAACAAAGACCATCAAACAATTCTGGATATTTTAAGATTTCGGTTAACACCAATTAAAGACATAAAATTAGTTTCATTGCTAAAAGAGCAAGAGCCATAACACCTAAGCTTCAGTTTCACCCAAACTATAGGTGATTTTCAAATTTATTAAAACCTGAGGTGATTGCTTTTAGCACATGGAGAAATTACCAAGAATATCAACTACCATCATTGTTAGAGAAGTAGTTGTTCAAGTATTTGTGATAAGCCAAAAACAACAAAACTAAATCAGTCCCAGCTCCACCAGTTTGAGTAAGACCTGCTTTCTCTTAGGTTCTCCGATTACTCCCTTCTCTGTGATTACACAGCATTCACATACTTTTATTAAATATCTTATTTGTTTACATCACTCTCTGTTTCCTTAGTATGGTAGGCAGAATGGTCCTTCAATATATCCATATTCTATTTCCTGGGTCTTGTAAATATGCTACTTTACATGGCAAAAGGAATTCTTCAGATGTAATTAAAGTATGAACTTTATGATATTGACATCATCCTACGTTACCCTTACCCGGGTGGGTCCAATCTATTCACATGAGCCTTGAAAGCAGAGAACTTTCCCTGGCTGGAGCAGAAGAGATGTGGCAGAAGAAGTCAAATTTGAATTGTGTGTGGGGCTTTCTGTACCTTTGCTACTTTGAAGATGGAAGGGAGAGCAATTAACGGCTTCCTCAGATCTCAGACTAACTGTCCACATTGACCAAGAGAATAATCTTCATTTTCTCAGTGTAAGGTTCCTTACAGACAGTGATTCTAAAGGACAGACAGAACCACATGGCAACATAATTACACAAGTACACAACTATTTATCACCACTAAACATGAACCACAGATGGGAGAAAGCACAAGATTATGCCCATAAAGATGATTCAAAGTATACACAATCAGCTAATTTAATATTAGATAAAGTATTTTCTATTCAATTGCATTCTTGTTCTGTGTAAAAATAACGTCTGGATTCTTTAAATTTCTATTTACTGCATTAAGTAATATTGAAACCAACCCAATAGTCACATAAGTAGTTCTTTTGGATAAAAATAGAAATTGACCCTTCTGGTATCAAAGCCTGAAACTTATATTCGTTTTATCTGAGTTCCTTCTTCAGGAAAGGACCCCCCTCACCCAGCCATGCCTCTCAAAAAGCATCCAAGAACTGAGACTCACCAGATCACTCACTTAGACATCTCATTTTGTTTCCTTACCCCAACCTAATTTGTATTTTCTAACACATGGTTAAATTTCTTCTCTGCTATATAAACCCCTAACTCGAGTCAGTTATGGATCTGGAGTTGAGACTGATCTCCCATATCCTTGGCTGCAGCACCCGATTAAAGCCTTCTTTCTTGTCAATACTCTACTCCTTGCCTCAGTCATTGGCTGTCTGTGCAGTGAGCTGCAAGACCTAGATTGAACCATCAGTGTTTCAATAACAATGTCATTGGCACAGGAAGGGACACCTCAGGTATCTGGGAGTGAGATATAAGTAGCTCAGCCTCTGCACAATCCTCAGTTTACTGTAGTGAAATTCCAGGCATGGTTTTCACTGTCATTGCTTCTGAGGTAGCAAAAATAAATATAATGACGATTGACCTCTCTTAGATTGTTTCTTTTTTCTTAAGGTTTTGTTGACCACTTCAGGTTCTCCTGAATTCACTAGATTTATTGATTTTATTTCTGTAATTAAGGTTACAATATTTCCCATTCTTCATTAGAAAAGAAGAGTTTGACAATGCCCATCCACTTCAAACAGTGCTACTCATACTTTTTGATTGATAAGCCCCTAATAACACAGTATGGTAAATCTGAGTTTCCAGGGAACATAGAGCACAAATGGAGAAAGTCTGCATCAGAAATTTTATATATATATATATATAAAATATATATATATTTTTATTATACTTTAATTTCTAGGGTACATGTGCACCATGTGCAGGTTTGTTACATATGTATACATGTGCCATGTTGTGTGCTGCAACTGCATGAGAAAACTGAATTTTATTTTTAATTTAATTTGTGGCACCATCTATAACATTATTTTTTTAAGTATTTGAATCATATAAATAAAAATAAATTACAAGAAACTGTACCATTTTGTCCTTCAATTTTGTATATCCCTTTGCACACCAAGTGTGGGAGGCATAGACTTAGACTATCTTCTTTCACTTGCCTCATGATTCTAAGAAAAAGCAGAGGTTAGGCAAACATACTCTGTTTGGCCTGGGTTTTTCTTCCAGCAAGTATTTCTTCCAGTAGGGAAAGTGAATTCCCAGGGTGAGCCTGAGTAACAGTGATGCTTAGAGTTTAGAGATGGCACATCTCTGTAATGAGTTGTGTTTTTTTTTTTTTCCCTAAAAATATGCAAGTTGCTGGTGTACACTCTAGGATAAAATAATGTGTGAATACAGAAATGAATCAATAATCACTCAATTTACAAATCATATTCATATGGAGTAATGTGACTAATTCTTGGCTCTGTACTAAAAGTAAAACTATGAGTTTCAACTCTAGCTCTTTAATTACAGCTACTGGAAAATGACAGGAATTTTGGTACAGTAAGTATCTGCTTGAATGTTTACTTCGGATTATGTCAGCTCTAGTCCAACCACTTGCAAACATTTCAGACATAGAAATAAGGCATTTCCAAGGCACCCTTCATATTAAAAAGCTCTGCTACTATGGTGGCTATTTCCTATGGCATTTCTAAAGCAACACGTCTAAGGAATATGGGCATTTCTACCTGTAATGATCCAAAATATCAGACAGAAAAAGATGGTTCCCAAGAGTAACAAAATATATGCAAAACATAGAAATTGGCAGTCCAAGGTTATCCTTTAATTTGGAGGCGCTTGCATTAAAGAGAAAA
Organism: Homo sapiens; assembly: GCF_000001405.40. NCBI lineage: Eukaryota > Metazoa > Chordata > Mammalia > Primates > Hominidae > Homo > Homo sapiens. Next base: position 10,298,111 of record NC_000009.12, read on the forward strand.
ACATAAAATAATAAAAACATATATCATGAATTTTCTTTTTCATCACTACTAAATCAAACAACAATCTTCTTTATTTTCTGCAATAGTTCTTAATAGGTTTTTACCCTGGCAGGGAATGTAACTGCTTGTTCCCTAAAATAGAAATCAGGTTGCCTCGCCTGAAAAGTTAAAATTAGGAATGCATTACAGGTTCCAATAATAATATATTGTAAAAGATCCATTACTCAACAAAGGAACCTATTTGCCAAATTAGAGTTCCATTGGTTCCAATTATAGTACGATATGATCCTTGCCAAGCCATGCATTCAATTTCCAATAACGATAAAAGAATATGTTAGAGTTAAGTTCAAAGAGAATTCTTGCAGACTGAATTTTAAAATGCATCTTTTCATTCTGCTGATGCACACTCATTTGTTTAATACTTTTCACTTAATTGCCATCATTCTCAGACAAAAATATTTAGTTTTTGTTATCACACAATAAATAAAATGTGAAGATATAGACAAAATACAAGGTAGACCCATTTCCCATGATTGTGATGCCTTCTTTCAAAGAAATGAAAATTTACATATATACATATATAATATATACACAGGTATGTATATATTTAGCACAGTCTGAAAGACATACCATATCTAACAAATATAATAATAATTATTATTGTCACTGAAAGGCATTCTCTACTAGTTCCATGACATTTAATTTCTAACTTGCTTTATAAGGCTTTGTATATTTAAGCACTGAAAATAGAGACCAGCTGTTTCTTGAAGGCACTGAGATATTTTTAATTATATTTTGCCCATCTAGTTCATTGATTAGAAAGTACCTAGAAACTTTCTCAATGCTTAGTTTCTTCATCCGTAAACTAAGCTGAAATAGAAGCTACCTCACTGTCACTACATTATTAAGCTAATTAATGAATACATGCATTGCCATTGTAGAGTGTCTGATAATGTAGTAAATGTTCAATTAAGTGTTGGTCACTAACTTTTCTGGGATTACTATTTTACATTTGTAAATGTAATATACATTTATATTTTTTAATATTCACATTTTAAAATCTATTTTTACATAGTAATTTCACACTCAATATTGGGTAGAACTACTATTATCATCATCAACAATGGATAATCATTGAGAACTTATTAACTGCAGAATATTTTGGACTATTGTCTATTTTTCTAACTTATGAGTTATAATTGTCAGAAATCTGTAATGTGTGTGCTTTCAATGCCAGAATGAATATGACAAAGAACTTCCCTGGAAGGCAAGGGACTGAGATGTTAATTTCAGCTACCCTATAAACTAGCTGCATGATTATGAAAAAGATGTTAACATCTGTAGAATTTATAATCCTTAGATGTAAATGGAGACCTTGAATGTGCAGATCTTTCTAGAAATGTGTGTAGGAGGTTTTTGTCAGGTCAAGGTCCTTATAAGGGAAGAATACTCACTTCCTGAAGGTAAATTTTACATTATAATTGCTAAGCAGACCTTACATTGGCCAAGGCAGTGCTCTCTCACCCTGTAGACCATCAACCCCATTAGGCAATTCATCAGAAGATTGGTAGGCCTGGAGTCACTACAGGTCATAACAGCTGGTTTTTATAGCTGGAAGCAGATACATTTAGAACTGATAATACAGTCAAGCAAACTAAATATTTGCATATGAATGGTAAGGCAAATACTCGTGGAAATAGTTTGTATCTTTACATTGCTATAATTTATCTCTATCACTGATGCTTTTTCCCATTAAATATATTAATGCATAAAGTAACTCACAATCAAATATTGCCAGCCCAGTGTCATTGCTCTCATATAGAAAACTTGGTGTACTAATCTGACTCACTATGTATTCATTTTATAATATATCTCTGAAAGGCCAATCTTATATTCATTGCACTAATAAATCCTATACATTGTTAAAAATCTCTAAAATAATTCCCATTTTAAAAGTTTACAATTCTAAATGTTACCATTCCATCCTGATAGTCTGTATCAACAGCTGATTAATTGTTTGATAAACATAAGTAGTAAGAAAACAACAACAACAAAAAAGTAAAATTCACGTAGTATAGTTTATAGTTAAAATTCTAATGGGAAGATTTGCTGGCAAGATGGCCGAATAGGGACAGCTCCGGTCTTCACAACCCGCAGAACAGGAGATTCCCTCTGGTGCCTATGCCACCAGGGCCCTGGGTTTCAAGCAGAAAACTGGGCAGCCATTTGGGCAGACACTGAGCTAGCTGCAGGAGTTTAGTTTTCATACCCCAGTGGCACCTGGAATGCCAGCAAGACAGAACCATTCCCTCCCCTGGAAAGGGGGCTGAAGCCAGAGACACAAGTGGTCTGGCTCTGTGGGTCCCCCCTCCACCACCCGGAGCCCAGCAAGCTAAGATCCTGGCTTGAAATTCTCACTGCCAGCACAGAAGTCTGAGGTTGACCTGGGACACTCAAGCTTGGTGAGGGAAGGGGCGTCTGCCATTGCTGAGGCTTGAGTAAGTGGTTTTACCCTCACAGTGTAAACAAAGCCACCAGGAAGTTTGAAATGGGCTGAGCCTACTGCAGCTCAGCAAGGCTGCTGCAGCCAGACTGCCTCTCTAGATTCCTCCTCTCTAGGCAGGGTATCTCTGAAAAAAAGGCAGCAGCCCAGGTGAGGGACTTATAGATAAGACCCCCATCTCCCTGAGACCGAGCACCTGGGGGAAGGGGCGGCTGTGGGTGCAGCTTCAGCAGACTTAAACATTCCTGCCTGATAGCTCTGAAGAGAGCCATGGCTCTCCCAGCACAGTGTTCGAGCTCTGATAAGGGTCAGACTGCCTCCTCAAGTGGATCATTGACCCCCATGTATCCTGACTGGAAGACATCTCCCAGTAGGGGCTGACAGACACCTCATACAGGAAAGCTCTGGCTGGCGTCTGGCAATTGCCCCTCTGGGATGAAGCTTCCAGAGGAAGGAACAGGAAGCAATCTTTGCTGTTCTGCAGTCTCTGCTGGTGATACCCAGGCAAAGAGGGACTGGAGTGGACCTCCAGCAAACTCCAGCAGACCTACAGCAGAGGGGGGTGACTGTTAGGAGGAAAACTAACAAACAGAAAGGAAGAGCATCAACATCAACAAAAGGGACGTCCACTCAGAGACCCCATCCGAAGGTCACCAACATCAAAGACCAAAGGTAGATAAATCCACAAAGATGGGGAGAAACCAGCACAAAAAGGCTGAAAACTCCAAAAACCAGAACTCTTCTTCTCCTACAAGAGATTACAGCTCCTCACCAGCAAGGGAACAAAACTGGACGGAGAATGAATTTGATGAATTGACAGAAGTAAGCCTCAGAAGGTGGGTAATAACAAACTCCTCCGAGCTAAAGAGGCATGTTCTAACCCTTCGCAAGGAAGCTAAGAACTTTGACAAAAGGTTAGACAAATTGCTAACTAGAATAACCAGTATAGAGAAGAACATAAATAAACTGATAGAGCTGAAAAACACAGCACAAGAACTTTGTGAAGCATACACAAGTATCAATAGCCAAACTGATCAAGGGGAAAAAAAGGATATCAGAGATTGAAGATCAACTTAATGAAATAAAGCGAGAAGACAAGATCAGAGAAAAAGGAATGAAAAGAAATGAACAAAGACTCCAGGAAATATGGGACTATGTGAAAAGACCAAATCTACATTTGATTGGTGTACCTGAAAGTGATGAGGAGAAAGTAAACAAGTTGGAAAACACTCTTCAGGGTATTATCCAGGAAAACTTCACCAACGTAGCAAGACAGGCCAACATTCAAATTCAGGAAATACAGAGAACACCACAAAGATACTCCTTGAGAAGAGCAACCCCAAGACACATAATCGTCAGATTCACCAAGGTTGAAATGAAGGAAAAAATGTTAAGGGCAGCCAGAGGGAAAGCTTGGGTTACCCACAAAGGGAAGCCCATCAAACTAACAGCGGATCTCTTGGCAGAAACCCTACAAGCCAGAAGAGAGTGGGGGCCAATATTCAACATTCTTAAAGAATTTTCAACCCAGAATTTCTTATCCAGCCAAACAAAGCTTCATAAGTGAAGGAGAAATAAAATCCTTTATAGGCAAGCAAATGCTGAGAGATTTTGTCACCACCAGGCTTGCCTTACAAGAGCTCCTGAAGGAAGCACTAAACATGGAAGGGAACAACTGGTACCAGCCACTGCAAAAACATACCAAATTGTAAAGACCATCGACACTATGAAGAAACTACATCAACTAATGGGCAAAATAACCAGCTAGAATCATAAAGACAGGATCAAATTCACACATAACAATATTAACCGTAAATGTAAATGGGCTATGCCCCAATTTAAAGACACAGACTGGCAAACTGGATAAAGAGTCAACTCCCATTGGTGTGCTGTATTCGGGAGACCCATCTCACGTGCAAAGACACACATATGCTCAAAATAGAGGGATGGAGAAATATTTACCAAGCAAATAGAAAGCAAAAATAGCACGGGTTACAATCGTAGTCTCTGATAAAACAGACTTTAAAACAACAAAGATCAAAAGAGACAAAGAAGGGCATTACATAATGGTAAAGGGATCAATGCAACAAGAAGAGCTAACTGTCCCAAATATATATGCACCCAATACAGGAGCACCCAGATTCACGAAACCATTTCTTAGATACCTGCAAAGAGACTTAGACGCCCACACAATAATAGTGGGAAACTGTAACACCCCACTGTCAATATTAGACAGATCAAGACAGAAAATTAACAAGGATATTCAAGACTTAAACTCAGCTCTGAACCAAGTGGACCTAATAGACATCAATAGAACTCTCCACCCCAAATCAACAGAATATACATTCTTCTCAGCACCACATCACACTTATTCTAAAATTAACCACATAAGTGGAAGTAAAACACTCCTCAGGGAATGCAAAACAATAGCAATCATAACAAACAGTCTCTCAGACCACAGTGCAATCAAGTTAGAACTCAGGATTAATAAACTCACTCAAAACTGCACAACTACATATAAGCTGAACAATGTGCTCCTGAATGACTACTGAGTAAACAATGAAATTAAGACAGAAATAAAGATGTTATTTGAAACCAATGAGAACAAAGTCACGATGTACCAGAATCTCTGGGACACATTTAAAGCAGTGTTTAGGGGAAATTTATAGCACTAAATACCCACAGGAGAAAGCAGAAAACATCTAAATTCGATACCCTAACATCACAATTAAAAGAACGAGTGAAGCAAGAGCAAACAAATTCAAAAGCTAGCAGAAGACAAGAAATAACTAAGATCAGAGCAGAACTGAAGGAGATAGAAACACAAAAAAAAACCTTCAAAAAATAAATTAATCCAGGAGCTGTTTTTTATAAAAGATCAACAAAATAGATAGACCACTAGACAGACTAATAAAGAAGAAAAGAGAGAAGGATCAAATAGATGCAATAAAAAATAATAAAGGGGATATCACCACTGATCCTACAGTAATACAAACTACCATCAGAGAATACTATAATCATCTGTAGGCAAATAAACTAGAAAATCTAGAAGAAATGGATAAATTCATGGACACATACACCCTCCCAAGACTAAACCAAGAAGAAGTCCAATCTCTGAATAGACCAATACAAAGTTCTGAAATTGAGGCAGTTATTAATAGTCTACCAACCAAAAAATGTCCAGGACCAGATGGATTCACAGCCAAATTCTACCAGAGGTTCAAAGAGGAGCTGGTACCTTTCTTTCTGAAACTATTCCAAGCAACAAAAAAAGATGGAATCCTCCCTAACTTATTTTATGAGGCCAGCATCATCCTGATGCTGAAACCCGGAAGAGACACAACAAAAAAAGATAATTTCAGGCTAATATCCCTGATGAACATTGATGCAAAAATCCTTAATAAAATACTGGCAAAGTGATTCCAGCAGCACATCAAAACGCTCATCCACCACAATCAAGGTGGCTTCATCCCTGGGATGCAAGGCTGGTTCAACATATGCAAATCAATATATGTAATCCATCACATAAACAGAACCAATGACAAAAAACACATGATTATCTCAATAAATGCAGAAAAGGCTTCCAACAAAATTCAACAGCCCTTCATGCAAAAACTCTCAATACGCTAGGTACTGACGGAATGTATCTCAAAATAGTAAGAGCTATTTATGACAAACCCACAGTCAATATCATACAGAATGGGGAAAAACCAGAAGCATTTCCTTTGAAAACCGGCACAAGACAAGGATGCCCTCTCTCTCCACTCCTATTCAACATAGTATTGGAAGTTCTGGCCGGTGAATCAGGCAGGAGAAAGAAATAAACAGTATTCAAATGGGAAGAGAGGAAGTCAAATTGTCTCTGTTTGCAGATGACATGATTGTATATTTAGGAAACCCCATCGTCTCAGCCCTATATCTCCTTAAGCTGATAAGCAACTTCAGCAAAGTCTCAGGATACAAAACCAATGTGCAAAAATCACAAGGATCCCTATATACAAATAATAGACAGAGATTCAAATCATGAGTGAACTCCCATTCACAATTTTTACAAAGAGAAAAAAATACCTAGGAATCTAACTTACAAGGTATGTGAAAAACCTCTTCAAGGAGACCTATAAGCCACTGCTCAAGCAAATAAGAGAGGACACAAACAATTGGAAAAACATTCCATTCTTATAGATAGGAAGAATCAATTCATGAAAATGGCCATACTGCCCAAAGTAATTTATAGATTCAATGCTATTTCCGTCAAGCTACCATTGACTTTCTTCACAGAATTGGAAAAAAACTACTTTAAAGTTCATATGGAACCAAAAAAGATCCTGCATTGCCGAGACAATCCTAAGCAAAGAGAACAAAGCTGGAGGCATCACACTACCTGACTTCAAACTATACTACAAGGCTACATCAAAACAGCATGGTACTAGTACCAAAACAGATATATACACCCATGGAACAGAACAGAGACTTCAGAAATAACACCACACATCTACAACCATCTGATCTTTGACAAACCTGACAAAAACAAGCAATGGGGAAAGGATTCCCTATTTAATAAATGGTGTTGGGAAAACTGAATAGGCATATGCAGAAAAAACTGAAACTGGATCCCTTGCTTACACCTTATAGCAAAATTAACTCAAGATGGATTAAAGACTTAAACGTAAGACCTAAAACCATAAAAACCCTAGAAGAAAACCTAGGCAATACCATTCAGGACATAGGCATGGGCAAAGACTTCATGACTAAAACACCAAAAGCAATGGCAAAAAAAAAAAAAAAAAAAAGCCAAAATTGACAAATGGGATCTGATTAAACTAAAGAGCTTCTGCACAGCAAAAGAAACTATCATCAGAGTGAACAGGCAACCTACAGAATGGGAGAAAATTTTGGCAGTCTATCCATCTGACAAAGGGCTAATATCCAGAATCTACAAAGAGCTTAAACAAATTTAAAAGAAAGAAAACAAACAACCCCATCAAAAAGTGGGTGAAGGATATGAACACACACTTCTGAAAAGAAGACATTTATGCAGCCAACAAACATAAGAAAAGAAGCTCATCATCACTGGTCATTAGAGAAATACAAATCAAAACTACAATGAGATACCTTCTCACTTCAGTTACAATGGCAATAATTAAAAAGTCAGGAAACAACAGATGCCGGAGAGGATGTGGAGAAATAGGAACACTTTTACACTGTTGGTGGGAGTTTAAATTAGTACAACCATTGTGGAAGAGAGTGTGGCGATTCCTCAAGGATCTAGAACTAGAAATACCATTTGACCCAGCAATCCCACTACTGGGTATATACCCAAAGGATTATAAATTATTCTACTATAAAGACATATACACATATATGTTTATTGCAGTGCTGTTCCTAGTAGCAAAGACTTGGAATCAACCCAAATGCCCATCAATGATAGACTGGATAAAGAAAATGTGGCACATATACACCAGGGAATCCTATGCATCCACAAAAAAGGACGAGTTCATGTCCTTTGCAGGGACATGGATGAAGCTGGAAACCATCATTTTCAGCAAACGAACACAAAAACAGAAAACCAAACACCGCATGTTCCCACTCATAAGTGGGAGTTGAACAATGAGAACACATGGACACAGGGAGGGGAACATCACATGCTGGGGCCTGTCGTGGGGTGGGGGGGGCTAGGGGAGGGATAGCATTAGGAGAAACACCTAATGTAGATTGCGGGTTGATTGGTGTTGCAAACCACCATGGCATGTGTATACCTATGTAACAAACCTGCATGTTCTGCACATGTACCCCAAAACTTAAAGTATAATAATAATAACAATAATAAAATTCTAATGGGAAAAATGGCTAGTAAACTTTCTAAATAGTTCTCATTATTTTTCCTGTCACCACACAGAGCAAAGTTTTTCAAATATGCGATACAATATATAGAAACTAAGGTAATAATGAGAGTTTAACCTAATCAATCGAGTTTAAGTTCCCCAAGCAGTTTCTCAATAAAAGTTAGTAATAATTAAAATTAAGAGCCTTTAATTGCCCAGTTTTCCATAAGTATATGTGTTGCTCTTTATATCCAACCAGAGTCTCAAAATTCTATGTTGTCTTGAATTCACTTGCTTCAAGTATCAACAGCTCCTCATTGAGCTAATTTGTGATACAATGTGTGTATTCTAAATGAACTCAGCTGTACTGTTTCTGTGAGTTCTAGTATTATCTCATTGGCATCCTAATTATAAATCTGCTATTATTCATTTTTCTCTTATCAAACTATGTTTATACAAAAATAATAAAACCCTACGGTAGAAACACAAGCAATTCATTTTGTATTGATTCATACTATTTGAAAGTGTTTATGGGGTACATGTGATATTTTGTTAGATGCATAGAATATGTAATAATCAAGTCTGGATATTTAGGATATCTGTCACTTTGAACATTTATCATTTATATTTGTTGGAAACATTTCCAGTTCTTTATTCTATCTAATTTGAAACATATAATGCATTGTTGTTAACTATAGTTACCCTACTTTATTATAAACATGAGCACTTATTCCTTCTATCGAAATGTATGTTTTTACCAATTAAATAACCTGTTTTCATCCACCACCAAACATCTCCACACACACAAATCCTTCCCGGGATGTAACTATCATGCTACCTCCATGAAATAAACATTTTTAGCTCTCACATATGAGTAAGAACATATGACATCTGTCTTTCTGTGCCTGGCTTATTTCACTTAACATAATGACCCACATTTCCATCCATGTTGCTATAAATGACAGGACTGTGTTCTTTCTTATGGCTGAATAGTATTCCATCATGTTTTCTTTATCCATTCATTCATTGATGGGTACTTAGGTTGATTTCATAGCTTTACTATTGTAAATAGAGCTACAATATACATGGAGGTGAAGATATCTCTTTAATATATGGCTTTCTTTTCCTTCAGTAGTGGGATTGCTGCATCATATGGTAGTTCTATTTTTAGTTATTGTTTGAGAAATATCCATACTGTTTTCCATAATGGATGTACTAATTTACATTCTCACCAACAGTGTATAACAGTTCCCTTAAATACTGGATGTAAAAGATACATCCTTGCCAGCATCTCTTATTTTTTGTCCTTTGATAATAGCCATTCTAACTGGGGTAGAATGATATATCATTGTGGTTTGGGTTGGCATTTTTTTAATGTTTGGTGATGCTAAACGCTTTTTTCATTTAATTTTGTGCCATTTGTATGTCTTATTTTGAAAAATATCTATTCATATCATTTGCCCTGTTTTTATTGGGATTATTTGATTTTTGTTGTTGAATTGTTTGAGTTCCTTGTATTCTGGATCTTAGTTCCTTACAGGATGAATAGTTTGCAAATATTTTTTCTCATTCAACAGGTTGTCTCTTCACTTTCTTGATTTTTTTTCCCTTGCTGTGCAGAGTTTTTAGTTTAATATAGTTTTATTTGTCTATTTTTGTTTATATTGCCTGTACTTTTCAGGTGTTAGCCATAAAATCTTTGCCTACATCAATGTCCTGAAGTGTTTTTCCTGTTTTCTTATAGTAGTTTTGTAATTTCACCTCTTGCATTTAAGACCTTAATCTATTTTGAGTTGACTTTTGTATATAGTGAGAGATAGCATCTGGCTTCATTATTCTGCATATGGATGTCCAATGTTCCCAGCATCATTTATTAAAGAGAATGTCATTTTCCTAATATATATTCTCAGTATCTTTGCTAAAAATATTTGGCTATAAATACATAAATTTAATTCTTGGTTATATTTTCCATTCCATTAGTCTATGTGTCTGTTTTTACACCAACACCATGCTGTCTTGTTTACTGTAGCTTTGTAGTATATTTTGAAGTTAAATAGTGTGATGTCGCCAGCTTTGTTCTTTGTGTTCAAGATTGCTTTGGCTATTTGGGGTCTTTTGTGGTTTCATAAAAATTTAAAGATTTTATTCTATTTCTGTGAATAATACCATTAGTATTTTGATACAGTTTGCATTGAATATTTGCATTATTTTGGGAGGTATAGTCATGTTAACAATATTACATTGTCTGATTCATTATCATGGGATGTCTTTTCATTTGTAATCTTTCCAATTTCTTTGATTACTGGTATGCAGTTTTCCTTGCAGAGGTTTTTCACCTCCTCAAGCAGTTCGTTTCTATCATTCTTTTTATAGCTGCATTATATTTCACTGCACAGAAATATCAGAATTGTGTTAACCGGTTTTGTCTGTCACTGGGCGGTTAGACTGCTTCCAACTGTTTACTATTATAAAAATGTTGCAATAAATATCCTTATGATTAAAATTATTACATACTTGTGTGAATATATTATGGGGCAAAATCCTAAAAGTGGAATTGTTGGGTCTAAGATATATACTTTATTTTGATATATAAAGCCAAATTTTTCTCAGTGTATTTTATCACCTCACTCTCCTATCAAGAGTATATATGGGTACTAGTTTTAACAAATCCTAAGCAACTCAGCATCCTTTTCAAATGTACTCAGAGATGACGGATTTCATCTCCATATTGATCCTTCAAACTTCTAAACAATTGAAGAGAACTAAGGATGAAAAAATATGTCCTTTTAATTTTTCCACTTACTTTCTTTCTCCTTTTCTTATTTTCTTCTTCACTTAAAAAATGGCTTATTAATTTCATAAATACTATTCCTTTGAAACCCAACTGATTTCTTTCTTCCTTTTGTTTTTTTGTTTTGTTGTGTTGTGTTTTTTGAAGACAGAGTCTCACTCTGTTGCCTAGGCTGAAGTGTAATGGCACAATCTCGACTCACTTCAACCTCCCCTTCCCGGGTTCAATCGATTCTCCTGCCTCAGCCTCCTGAGTAGCTCGGACTACAGGCATGCACCACCACATCCAGCTATTTCTTTTTTTTTTTTTTGTATTTTTAGTAGAGAAGGGGTTTCACCATGTTGGTCAGGCTGGTTTCAAACTCCTGACCTCAAATGATCTGCCCACCTCAGCCTACCAAAGTGCTGGGATTAAAGGCATGAACCACCACACCTGGCGCCAACTAATTTCTTTCTGACAACAGTTTCTTCATCTTTTTCACAATCAACACTATCCTCTCTTTATATTTTATAAATATAGATATATACATATGTGTCTGCTACGATAAATTTGACGTCAATTTAAACAAAAAAATTAGAACTATTTTTAAACGAAGAAACTTTAAGAAGGGCACAATTTTGCAGGCTACGCAGTATTTGACAACATTTTTGGACAACATTTGTGTTAGCACCTTATCACTTGGTATCACTGATTCTGTCACTTTTCTTTTGTTCCAAAATGTGCAGCATGTCATAAAACTTTTAATGAAATAATATGTTCAGAGTTTATTACTTTTTGAGATAACTGGAGATCCCCTGAGGTATCATACAATCAAAGCTGGGAACTCTTCCTCACAATTGGTAAAATGGTGTTTTATTAACCAATTACTCTCTTTTTGGACACACGAACAAGAAGCCTTTATGGAGACTTAAAATCATGTAAGAATAGTGTAAAGCAATAAAATCCATGTCCAACTCTTCTCATTTGTTTCAGGGACAAACTGAAGATTCTAAAAATGGTATGAGGAGAAATGTATGTAGCATTTAAGAGAAAAGCCAGTAAAAGAAAAAGATTGTTCATTAATGTACATAGCAAAAGAAATATCAAGGCAAAATATACCTTCTCTTGCCCCCTGCCAACTGATACAAAAATGGAAAACATGATTTCAGAAGTACAGAGGCTTATCAAAAGAAAAAAAATTCAACGTTATCATTATTAGTCATGCCTATTTTAATAAAGAAGCACAAAATCTAGTCAAGTTCAATATAAACCTCATGCAGATAAATGGAAGGTTTAGGAAAGAGGTTGATGAGGAATGTAATGTTTCTGTGACAAAAGAAAGGGAAGAAACATATTCACTGAGAGTTAGAAAAAAAAATGTAATTTTAAAGGGAAAGGAATAATGGAAATTTGGATCTTTCCCAGGTTCTTGGGGAAAGTGTTTACACGAATCCCAATGGACATTAAAGCTTTTGGCTGAAACTCTATTGTCTCCTTTTGTTGATAAGCCTTTGGTATATGTATGCATTCCTGAATAGACACACTTACGTGTAACACTGTCTTCTAATAACAGACAGCTGTAGTGAAATTTTGACAAGTCTGAATAGTTGTTAAACGCAAAAGGCTGCAAAGATGATTTTTTTCATTAATATGTTGTTACTCTGGGCAGAGGACAGCTGAGTCCAAAAGAACTTTGAGAACAAGCTGCTTGTTCCAGTAACCTGCTGTACCTATGCATTCAAACTTTCTTTGCCACAGAAGAAGCATGTGTGGTAAATGGGAACCAATTTGATTGCAAACTTCATTTGGCCAGTTTCCTATAAATGTGGATGCAAGATCCAACTTTGCATATTCAAATTGGGAATATTTATATACCGATTTTTTTTTTACTTTTTATTTTACTTATGCTTTACATGTGGTATGCAATCAGCAGTCTTCCCTTCCTTTTTCTCTAGTACTAGGGAAAAAACCTAGGAAGGTGCTGGTTTTACTTATACTGTCTTAACTTTGTCTTTCTTAATATTGCTAACCCATAGGAGAAAAATTTAGTCTTCACAATGCCTTTTTCTAAACTTAAAGTTAACCTTTATACTGATCAAGAAAAGAACTAAGGAAGCTTATAATTATATGTACCAGAATGACTAAAAAATGTGAAAATCTAAACAAAAATGCAATCTCTTCTGAGAATCTAAGACATAAGTATTAGTTTTGGCTTCGCTACTCATTTTGCCAAATAATCTTCAAAGAATCCTCATCTTATTTTGAAATTCAGTTCTCTCATCTACAAAATCAAGATAAATATAATTGCACTCTCTGCTTCATTGGGATATTTGTATGCTCATTCTATCCTGCATTTACACATTTATTTAGCAACTATTTATTGTGTACCTACTATGTGTTGGGCACCAAGCTGTTGTGAGAACCAAATGAAAATTAAAGCACATAAAGCTACCTTTAAAACAGAAAAGTTAGCATATTTTTTCAGGTTATTGATAGTAGTGGCATTGTATTATTCCTTGTATAATCAGACTCAACTCTAGGAATTATAAGATCAATTTACAATACAAAGATAACTAGGTTAGCCATAATGTGCTTTCCATCCTCACTGTTAACCACACGCGGTAATTCTGATGACATAAAATGCTTTTTCAGGTGAGCTTGGTGTGAGATCGAATTGTCAGGACTGCCCATTGGGAGAGATGTCATAGAGCTTTATTTACCACTTTTTTTTTCTCTCTCTCTTCCCTGGCCTCCAACATTCACAGACACATCTGGTTCTGCCAGTTAATTGCTTGTGTTTCTCACACAGTGACCAATAAGGTCTCATCTCACCTCATTGTTATTATTCACCTTTGAGAGTTGTGGCTACTTAAAAAAATAAAAACAACCAGAGTCCAGTGAGATGGAATATAGTCAGTAGTCAGACATGATTTGGTACTGTCATTTGATGAGAGAATCTTTGAATGCCTATTATGAGATTTTATGTTATAACTGATTTTTCATTACATACTCCAGTGCCAACATTGGAATAAAAAGGTAAAGTAAATTATTTCTGCATATTGGGGCTATCCACTCTTCCTCATCCATTTGAGGCTATTTTGTAAAGAACATTGATTTCTTAAAATATTGATTTTGTTTTTGATAAAGTAAGCACATACACAATTAAATAGTATTTTAGTACTGTAGGAATATGGAAGTATTGATTACTACTAACATGAAGTAGAATATATAGACGCCTTTTAGTTTTGTTGGATTAGAAACGGATTTTCAATAGGAAAACTCTAATAAGGTATTTTATAAAAACCTATCATAAGAAGTTTTAAAATTTATAAACTCTTGCTTAAAGAAAAGATTTGCCTGCATCCTTTACCTGATATGAAAATAAATGAATGGTAACATTCTTATCATCTATGTTTGTGTAACTGAATAGCATATATTATCTATCTCTAAAACATAAGTGCTTTATATATAAAAGCATGACAAACATATAAACAGAAAAGAGAGTAAGACAATAAAAATGATGCTAAAGTAGCAAGTCACCCAAAAAACAATCTAAGGAAATCCAAAGGTACCATTTCACTGACCTTGGAAAGAGAAATTTTGTTGTATTTGTGCTAAAGTTCAGGAGCAAATGTGAAAGTTTGAAATGTAATTTTATGAAATATAAAATTTCTTGTCATCTAGATTACTTTTTGTGAAGAACGAACACATTCTTGGTAACTATAATTACATACAGAGTAAAACAAACCCATCCTTTAGTCTGTCAATGGTCCTGACACTATGAAAACATAGTGGTTGAAGATAACCAGACACAACCTTGATTATCAATAATGATTGGATATATGTCCTCTCCATTCTTCCTCTCTCCGCAGGCTTTACTGTTAGCAATCTCCATAGGCAAAACCTTTCTGAAGACCAGATTGGAACAGAAATTTGAAAAGAAATGCTGAAAGGAGCCTACATAAGAGCATAACTTCCACCATTTGACAATTCAGTCCAGGAAACCATCCCGATAATTCCTGATAATTACACACAGCTTGACAGTGTTAACTTGGACTCTTTCTCTTATGCACTATTCATATAGGTTGCTGTAGCTCATAATTATATATTTGAAGAAAAGAGAGAGTATACAAACCTAAAAATAAACAATATGTACAAAGACAGCAGACATGGTCAGAGACAGGTACAGATTACACACACACACACACACACAAATTTTTAAAAAGTCCCTAATACTCCTTATTTTGTTCATTTTCACTTCACAGTGCTACTAGAATAGTTTTCCCAAGACAAAACTATCAATTATCATAGGATTTCAAAATTTAAAATCCTGCATATAGCTCTTAATCAACTTGAAGATAAAGTAGCTATTTCTCAGCAAGGGATGTAAAGCCATCTATGTGTGGCTCCCAGGTTGGAATCTGGCATAAACTCCACCTAAATCTACATGTATAGCCATTAAGTCTACTGCCAGTTCCCAGGACCAGCCACTTGGATGCATTTGCATCTGCTTCCGATGTGTTTTTACTGAATTTCACTGTGTGTTGAATTCAGTCACCATTCAAAATTTAGCTAAACTAACACCGCCTGTTAGAGGCCTTCCATAATACCTTTCCCTTACTATGCAGAGAGAGATGTATAAATGATGCATGGGCCATTACGATAGGTGCCATAGAGAGGTATAGGGAAAGAGGTAAGGAAAAGTCTCACGGTTCAGACTAGACAGATCATTTATCACCCTAGTGCTTTCTGTTCAACTTCATGGAGGTAGTGGTCTTTAAGCTGTGGAGATTTAATAAATGGACGTGATGATACAGGAGTGGTAACAGAAGCTTATAAGTGAGAGATAGTTTAAAATAATTTTTTCATTAGCCTAATAAATGTGAATTTTAATCTTCAGGTAGAGAAGATATTCAGAATGTTACGAAGCAGGAAAGAAACAGTCAGTTATTCTGTAGAAATATTAATATGGTAGATACATACAAAATGCATTTGTATGGGAAAGGATATTCTGGAAGTGTGAAGAACAGATTGAAAATTATTATGATAGGACAGGAGAAAAAGCCTCCAACCAGGACAAGGTTGGAATAAAAAGGGTGAAATTTCCAAATATTTTAGAAACAGAATCAAAGGATTTGTCACTTTTTTACAGGTGAAGGATGAGATTTAAGAAGTGAGAAGATGACTTTGGGATTTTGAATCTTGATGAAAAGAAATATAGCAGGAACAAGTAAACAAATAAGAATCAGGAACTCCTGAGTAGGCAGTGGACGATGAGTTTAGATTTGTCATAGAAAATTTGAGTTTATGTTGGCACATCATATTAGAAGGGACTGTGAGGCAATTGGAAATGCATTCCTGAAGTTTGGGAGAGAGCTCAAGGCTGAAATACATATTTGATAGTAGTTTTCATTGTGTCAGTGAGAAATTATAAATAGGTTATAGATTAGATAGAGATAATAGATGATACAGATAAATAAATAATCATGAGTATACATCATGACACAAGCCAAGGGGGGAAACTTGCAAGAGTACAACAGTGATCAACACTATCCACTAGCCACTATTGATAGACTATTTTGAATGAATGGTTGAGGCAGGATTAGAAGTTATGTCTTCAAATTCCAAGTTTTCTCTTTTGACATTATTATACAGCCAAGTATCACACTCATCCTTTCAGAATTGCAGGTTTTCTCTGGTATTTGAGTGCTTGGTCATAAGTTTCTTCAGGGCTGTGGGACAAGATAATATAGATTTGTACCTCCTAACTCTACTTCCTTGCCATTTAAGTGCATCTGGGAATGATGTGAGAGGTAGTGGATAGAAAAGATTTACAAACATATATAGAGAAAAGAAAGAGAAATAGCAAGTTGACATTAAAATGTATGCACATGTAGTTCATTTTCATGATTAGAAAATATATAATTATGATTCATTTTTTATATGAGAGATCTAGCATGAATGGCTTGATTATTATGCTTGTGTCACTTTTATCATTTGAGCTTTCAGTTTCATCTCTAAAATGTTTGTTTTTAAAATAAGGTCAATCACAGATTGCATGATTTGGGAAGCCAGCTGTAAGGTATGCCTACCTATAAAATATGAGATATATCTAAATCATCAGCAGAATAAATGTAGTTTATTTTGTAAACTTCAGGACCTAATATCATAAATGTCTTAACTTTATTACATCTATCAGTATACTTACCTCTTCTGAAATTGGAATGTCTATATGAAACTATAGGTTTCATATATGAAACAATTAAACAATTAGATTATTAATTGGGGGTTACTTTTAAATTTATTATATGCAATATGACAGTAACTCAAAACCAAATTTCTGGAACTTTTAAACAATGTGTTTGCATTGTATTTCTATGCATGTTTTAGAGTGTCTCAATTTTACTATCATAAATGTTTAACATTAATTCATCCTTAATATGTCTCCTAAGATACGACAAATAATTTGTGTGGGTTAAAGTAAAACATACCTTGCTCCATTAGCCCTTTACAGTTCCGCAGGGCACAGCAATAGGCCCCATGGAACTATTGAGAAGAATTAACCTTCCTTTGGCAGCCTCTACCAATTTTGCACTCAAGCTGGTTGATCCCCAGAGAGTGGCTCATTTGTTAGTTGGTGGCTTATGCCATTTATAGTAGTATATTTTAAGAAATGAGTCTTTCTCATGAAAGTTTCATGCTGCATCAATTTCATAATGATTTTCTCTAGGTTTATCATAAAACTTGGAATCGCTTTTGGATCCAGATTAGCCACTGTGGAATTCATAAGAAAATAAGAGATAGTTTAAGACACAAAGTGAGCTGAACATAGTATTTTGGGTTTTAAATTTATAATGGTGTTGTAATATATATATATATGATGCTAAGGTAATTTATGTGTATGTGTCTATATATATATATATACATATATACACATACATATGTATATATGTATATCTATGTATATATACATAGATATACATATATATAGACACACACACATATATGATAAAGACGACTGTGCACTATTATACAAAATATAAGAAAAGTATACTATTCCCAATAATTTAATAATTTAGCATATTGTCCTCTACTATAAATGTAAAGGTCCTTTGACATTTGGAAAATGCAACCTTAGTTATAGTAACAGAAGACACCGCAATTACTTTCCCAACAACCTAATACTTGAAGGGCAAATGAGAGAAAAACCCCAACTCAGAATAGTCCTTGCATGAGTGGGTTATGTATTATGATTCACATTATAATAGATTAAATAATATTGGATAAATAACAGAAAACAAAAAGAAAAGCCAAAGGAATATACTTGGTCTATATTTGCATTTTTGAATTGTGAATGATTTCATTTGGTCTTTTTCCAGAAAATTCACTATGGTTTTATGTTCAAAGCCAGCTTTATAGTGAATCAACACAATTCTCAAAATGTTAAATTAGAAGATTTTTAATGTACCTTTTCTGACATATCCATACATTTTTCCACATATAGTACTAACAGCAACTGCTATCAGATATTAGTAAGAGATTATTCTAATCTAAAAAAGATTTTTTAGATTAAGATTTTAGCATTGCAGCCAGAATGCTTTCAATCTTGGCTTGGTAAATACAGATTCAACAACAGCAAAGTAATTTCCCAAGTGAATAAGAAGCTAACAATTTACACTGTAGGCTGAGTGTTTTAACTATAGATTTTAAACCTGATCCCAATTGCTTTTTAAGGAGTCTCTAAATATTAAAAAAAATTAAAAACAAAACAAAAAACAAAACATGCATGCATTCACAAAGCAAGCAATTCTATTTTCTGTACAGAGATCCCTATTAGTTTGCTAATACATTGTTTAGAAAATGTAATTCCGTACACAGTGGGTTTATTTCCCTTGTGACACTGGCTATTGAGCCTAACATTTTGAGCAATATAGAAACACTAATGCAAAAACCTAGCCTATATAAAGCATTTTGTCATGTACAGGTAAACCATAACAAAAATATAATTGGGGGCTAGTGTTTTTTGCCTGTATTACCTATCTAATTTAATTAGTTAATTAGATTTTTATGCTATCATTTGAAAGTAGATTTGAATAAGTTTCTCCTTTTTAATGATAATGTGAAACCATGCAGATTATGTTACTAAAATATTTCAATTTTACTTTTGTTCATAGGCCAAACTTTCATTAGCACATTTAGGTAAAATTTTCTTTTGTCAAACAAATTTGGCAGTTTTGAATACTTATATGGAGCAAAAAAAGGAAAGTATAATGCCTGGAAACTAGAGTCAGAAGAAGAGAGTATAAAGTAATAAGATAACACAGCAAGTTTAAAAGAATATGCAGTTGATCTTCAACTGCAACTAAACTTTACTGGAAGGTGGACCCCATGTTGCTAAATCTTTTAATGTTTTTGAGAGAAGATTTTTAAAAATCTATTGTTTTTTATAAGCAATCTTAATTTTTAAATGTTGCAACCTATTCATATAAATTTAAAATTAATAAACAGATTTTTTAAAGCAAACACAAATAAAAAAATTACTTTCATTGTCGAAATCATTTGGCCCCAATGTGGTCTATAAGCTGGCCATGTATAACGTCTGACTATTCTACTTACACTAGAAAATTTACCTTTGGCTCACATGTGATACATATGTATAATGATGATTTTTAATACTTGATAGTTAAGGTATCCTAAATTCCAGCTTCACTTCTCTAATTTTCACAATAGATATGACATTTGAATAACTACTAAAACCTATTTTTGCATGTCCTGTTTTTTTATCTAAAATTTAACTATTTAGTCATTTTACATATGTCTGTCTACTACTTGTTCTGTTGCTACGTTTTTTCCCCTAGTAAATGAAATCAAACTTACAAACTTTGGCTAATATTTTGACAGAATAGATATCTACTTATAAGTCATGACTATTGCAATATGGAGGCTTGCTCTTCCTGCATTCCTTCTGTTTACATCCATGAAGATTTTACGTGACTGCCTTTGGTTAAGTCAACCCCAGTGGTACAATAATAAAATAGATAATTTTTCTCACATAACAAGAAGTCAGAAGATGGGCATCAGCATCTGCTCAGAAAATTACCAGGGGTCTAGGCTAGATCAAGTGTCCTCTTGTGTATCTTTGATTCTTAACTTTAATCCTTATGACCATAATATAGTTACTTCACCTCCAGGTGTGGAATCAGGGTAACAGGAAGTAAAACAGAGGACATATTAAAGGGCCTCAGGTTCCCGTCAG
This sequence comes from Homo sapiens, assembly GCF_000001405.40. NCBI lineage: Eukaryota > Metazoa > Chordata > Mammalia > Primates > Hominidae > Homo > Homo sapiens. The sequence goes on from NC_000009.12 coordinate 10,318,462, forward strand.
GCCTTACCCGTGCCTCTTAGTCAGCAAAGTAATTGCTTTCCCAGGACCCGTATTCTGTGTATGTTCCCTCACTTCTCACCACCTGGAACTGGGTTATAGGATTACTGCTAGCTACATTGGAGTCCACAGAAGGGAGTTCGTTTATATTTATTTATTTATTTAATTTTTTGAGACAGGGTCTCACTCTATCACCCAGGCTGGAGTGCAGTGGCACGATCTTGGCTCACTGCATCCTCTGCCCCCTAGCTCAGGTGATCCTCCCACTTAAGTTTCCAGAGTAGTTGGGGCTAGGGGTGGTTGCCACCACATCCAGCCATATTTGTCTTTAATGGGAACACTGCTGGCTCAAATCAGATTAAATTTGGTAGTTAAGGTATTATGTAGTAGCAGAGAATGTTTCCTTGTCAGGCATTGAGCAACATCTGCCTAGTATGGTGATTCTACTCATAAGTCTGAAAATAGGGCTAAGAACTACCAGAAGACTTCTGAGAGCTATCAGCCAGGAAACAAAAACATGTTGTTGCTGCTGCTGCTTTTCCCTCTCCTTCTTCCCCTCTTTCTCCCCTTCCATCTTTTATGGAATCATGTGACCAACTCTTAAGAAATCATTCATTATAGAAAAATAGAAATAAATGTGGCAACGCACACTGTGTCTATTGGCAAGACACCACCAGCATAAGCTACTTATTATATGATGATTCAAAAGGATGGGCAGGGGACAGTGACTACCTTAGCTGTAATGCATTATTAATCAGTCTCTGAAACTGTAATTACTTTCTGATTCTGTCTCTTCAAGCTTGCAAACAACTGCACTTAACAGTCTTCTCCTCTGCAGATGACTTAGTGCTCATTTCATACTGTGGTTTACAGTCAGTTATTGCATTAGATTTCATATCTGAGATTCACTCAACTAATAAGTACATCTGAAATTCAAAATATGTGCAAGGCATTATCTACTATATGGATGACAGCTTCTGTGGGTGCTCTCTAGAACCTCATTTTACAAGCTCAATTACCAAACTAATTTTAAAAATCTCTGGATCATATTTTTTGTAAGGGGAAACAAGGAAGTGATGTAAAGATATCATCTCTTTCTTTCAATTAGTTTTTGTTAAAGAGAGTCACACCTTAACATAAAATTCATTTTCACCACATTTTTTTAAATAACGGAATGGATATACAGGATTGAAAATGAATGATGATGAATGCAGTTAGAAGTATAACTACTCATCTAGTGTTTGTAAAACCTATGCTTTTACATTCTTATTGATATTAATAAAGACTAATTTATAGCAATAAAGAGTACTTAAAGAGAGATCACGAGAGACAGCTAAATATGTACAAAAACTCTGTTACAACATAGGATGTCAGGCTAGGGGTTTAGCTAAAATGCTTGGTAGTAACATGTTTTCACTTCCTACCATAAGTTAATTCATATTATCATCAACCTACTCAGTTCAAACAGTGCCAACCTAAAAAATATATTTTTCAGTGAATTATTTCTAAACACCAAATGTCATTTCTCATGGAAATTCTAATAAAATGCCTAAAATGCATTATCTGACATTTTAGTGGATCAGTAAGTAGCTTGCCAATTGAAATTCTAAAATCTTTACATGTTATAGATTTCAGCTTTCTGTTCTAAACTCTTGACTTTTTAAAGAATAATTTACATCTCTATGCAACTATTTAACAAGGGATGTCTAAACATCAATTTCAATTATAAATAATGATTCCAGTTACACATGTACATTGCATTATGAAGAACCTAGCAATTGAGCAGTTCTGCACTTAATATTGATAAATAATGTCTCAGACTTGCTTAAGTCAGCAATGCCTACAGCTGAGGGGAAAAAAAGCTGACTACATAAGCTTGAATATTTTCCCTGTTTTAATCACACTAACCTTTATTAATATATGGATTGATAATTTAGCAAATCTTGGCCAGGTTTCCTCCTAAAAAGGTAGAATAAAGCATCATTATTTTTTAGTCAACTGCTTTGTCATGTGCTTGGTAGGCACCTTTTGCAAAAACGAATGTATCTTCTGATATTGCAACATCTCTTTCATCAGTATAAAAATTTAGGTTATTATTACCCAAAGAATTCAATCCTATAACCCAAAATATAACCCTGCAATATGAGAGGTCTCATATTTTAATGACATCATTAAAATTCAACTAATGCTATTGTTTTCTCTTTATCAGTTCTTAGAAACTACTACTGAGACCATTGATTTGAGGCTCCTTCCATTCATTCATTGATTTTTGTTTGTTTGTTTGCTTTGAGACAGGGTCTCACTCTGTCACCAGGCTGGAGTACAGTGGCATGATCTTGGCTCACTGCAACCTCTGCCTTCTGGGCTCAAGTGATCCTCCCATCTTAGCCTCCCGAGTAGCTGGGATTACAAATGTGTGCAACAATGCCCAGTAAATTTTTGTGGTTTTTGTAGAAACAGGGTTTTTCCATGTTGCCGAGGCTGGTCTCGAACTCCTGGGCTCAAGCAATCCGACCTTGGCCTCCTAAAGTGCTGAGATTACAGATGTGAGCCACTACGCCTAGCCCATTGATTCTTTCATGAAATGTGTGTAGAGTATTGGCTAAAATTTACACACTGGGTGGAAAACAAGATAGCCTCCATTCTCATGCAGCTTTAGTAATGCGACATACTTTACATTAATAATGATTTCAGCAACACTAATAATTATTTAAGCAATCATTTATAATGATAATAACTACTCCAAAGGGGAAAAAAAACAATGAGAACTGCTGTAAGAGAGTGTCTGATACACTCCTAACAGAAACTGCAGAGTTAGCACTGCAGTCAGAGAAAACATCTCTGAGGAAATAATATTGAAGCTGCAATATGAAGAGTGAGAAGGGCATTGATTGGTCAAATGAAGGGTTGAGGAAAGAATTGTAAATGCAAAATGAGTAGTAGGTGCAACAAACAGAAAACAGAATTATAAAGAAGAAACTGAGGGGACCAAAGAAACAGAGAAGCTTAATATGGTTTGGAAGATAAGATAAACAAGATTAGGTTGGAAAAATAACAAGACAAAGTGGAATGTGGTTGATTGTCTGAGTATAGATTTCATTTCAAATCAGAGCAATGAAACGATTTTGAAGGGGTTTTAAAAGCGGGGGTGGAATGGATAGCAACATAAATAATCTTTAAGTATTAAAACAAAATCAACTCTTTTATTTGTTTATTAAAAATTTAAAAGAAACAATGGTGGGATGATATTTATGTAGGTCACATTTATGTTTGAAACTGCCACCCAAGTAGATTAATATATAGAATTAAGAAACAGCTGATTAGAATGGCTGACTCCTATGAAATTCAAATGATCATTGCAAAAACATTACTGAATATCATGGGTAAATGTTTCAGTTTTTTTCGGAAGAGGAATTCGCATTACTCTCTTAAGCATTTTAACTTTGAAATGAATGTGTCAAAAAAGCCAGGAAGGAAGATTTATTAGTTAGAGATGCATATTAATGTAACTGAAATCTTAAATATAATGGCAGAAATGGTAGTATGGTGAAGAGTATGTCCCAGGATTTCAAAATAAATTCAAATCAAAAGACGGAGTGAGGAAAATTTATGCTCTGAACCATCCGCATGAGGGTTATTACATTAGTGTTTCTAACAAGCTCAAACCAAACCCCCATTAAATATTTGATCAGCTTGTGAAAGACCAGCATGTACTCTTCACAACCATGAATATGAACATCTTGCAGTCAGTTTAATGCATGACAGACCCATAAAAAAGATTATACATGATAAAATGGTGCAGTGTTGGCACATCTTAACTGCATAAAAAAATAAAAGTGAAGGAAACCACAAAACAACAAATGCAAGCTAAAGCTAGTACACAATAAGCTATGTTAGGAAGACACAATTGCAGGCTGAGTCAGGAGGTTACATGCTAGCCCCAAATCTGACTATTTCACACAGGAACTAAGGATTTTTCTGTTGTCTTGGGACAATATGTCAAACCTATAATATACAGTGATTTTAGGATACTCGAGCCTAGCTTATATATTTGCATCTACAACTGAACTTTAATAAAGAAATGCCAAATCAATTTTCTCCCTCAAACCTTAATATATAAGTTTGCTATTATACTTGTCACTTCCATTTGTGGTAATTTTCTTTGGGTTAAAATATTTAGAAATAAATTAAAAAGCAAAAATATATTCAAAAAGAGGGGAGATGGCAATTATCACATCAACCAATTTGCACATTGGTACCAATTGGTTTTGTATCTGAGAGTTCACTTAGCAGAGAGACAGCAAGAAATAGTACATTTTAAAGGACTAAAATAAACACATTTGGACCTGGGAAAGGTGAAGAAATCCAAGTGCCAACATGTCATCAGGGAGGGACTCCTCATCTGGGAACAGGAAGGAAGATGTTGATCTGTGTTACCTAGGGAAGTGTTCTGAATAAAACCAATTCTAATGTATGGGAATGTTCAGGAATAAAAGTAACTATGGGGAAGATACAGATTCTATTAAAATTAGCATTACAACAAAATTATTTGATTCATAATTTTACCTAACAAGCTATTGAAGAAACTATTGCTTCTACTTCTAAACAATCTATTTCAAAATACATTTAAAGAGGAAAAATGAACATTTTAACTATTCAGTTAAAACCTAAATATACATCAATTCTTTCTATTTTCTTTCTCTTTTTCTTTCTCTCTTTCTTTTCTTTTTCTTTCTTTCTTCTTCCCTCCCCTCCCCTCCCCTTCCCTTCTCTCCCCTCCCCTCCCCTCCCCTTCCCTTCTCTCCCCTCCCCTCCCCTCCCCTCTCCTCCCCTCCCCTCCCCTCCCATTCCCTTCCTCTTTTTCAGATGGGGTCTCACTCCATTGGAATGCAGTGGTGTGATTTTGCCTCACAGCAATCTCAGCCTCCTGGGCTCTAACAATTCTCCCATCTCAGCCATCCAAGTAGCTTGGACTGCAGGTGCAATCCACTATGCCTGGCTAATTTTGTTTATTTATTTATGTATTTATTAGAGACAAGGTCTCACTGTGTTTCTCAGACTGGTCTCAAACTCCTGGGCTCAAGAGATCCTCCTGCCTCGGCCTCCCAAAGTAACTGCAACTCTTTCTACATCTGGGCAAAGATGGAGGGGCATCAATGGAGAGAAAGGAGAGTCCACTGAATGACTGAATTTGGCAATTTAATATTGATAATAAATGTCATCTGTTTAATATGCAGTTGCTATTTAGTTCTAATCTTAAACTTTGTCTGCTGAAAGACGATTTATGCATACTTTCCTGTCTGGAGATTTTAAATATTGGGATATAATATATTAATAAGTGTATTATTTATTCCACATTGTATCAAAAAGAAGAGATAACCTCCAAGTTTACAAGTGATCAGAACAGCTACTCAGAAAATGATTTTAAGACAAGCTATTGAGGGACAGAATAGAAGAGCACTTGTTCTCTAAGGAAAAAAAATTCTGAGAATTAACTTGTGAGAATTTTTAAGAGAAATTAAAAATAAATTGGATAATTGCCTTCCATTGAATTAAGTTAGCAGAACCTGGAAACATTTAAAATTGGTTGCTATATTGATTCATGTCTTTCTTTAAATAAAGCAAACCCTTTGTAAATTATAATGTCTCTCCTCTCACTCTCCTGTAATTATAAAGTATGAGAACACTGAGGATTGATTGGCTCTTCTCTAAAGAGAGGGACTATAGCTTTCACAATGGACTTGATCAATATGCAACCCCTTATAAGAATAAATTCCAATTATTAGATGCTTTGATAGCCCACCCCTTCTCTTAGACCAACCTTTAAACAAATAGTATCAATGCAGATATTAATAATACCTTATAATATCTCCTTGGTAGTAGCTTGAATGAAGATTTTTAACACACAGGGTTTAGAAAATTTTATTCATTATTGATGCAGAAATAATTGATGGCAAGTCGGTATGACTTCATAGCAAGAATGAAATTCAAAGACAAGTTATATGGCCAACAAGTAGATGGATAATATTGTTAGTATCAATGTTATTAAAAGGATATGCATAGTAGTTGCCTGAGACATCTGTCTCTCCACTGATTCCAGAGTTGATTGAGCTGATCCGACTGTGAAGTCAGATGGCACTCCTTCAATGGCTTCATATGCGTTCCAAGATCCCTATATTTCACCAAATGCAGCGCATTTTCTGATAGAATCTGCTGTGATCTAGGGTATTCCTATTGATCACCCCGCCTTCAAAGAAACACTCAGTCTTTTTGTATAACCATTATTAGATTTTGAAAACATAACCTCTATTCCAAGCTTTTGAAATACTCTATCAATAATGATACCTCACTTACTGTAAGATTTGCTATCAGAAATCTCTACATGTTCTCAAAGTTTTGGAACTAATTTAACAATCAAATGTATAAGTCAACAAAGCAAATCAAAATTTCAAATTTTACCAACACACATACCATCTTAATCAATATATAATGTACTTTCCTATACTTTATTTAAATGAGGGCCATAATACATTTTTTAAGTTGTTATTGTTAAACAACATGATATTTCCCTAGTATATGTTAAAGTTGGTACTCAGGTCCAGGTGGCTCTAGGTTTCACCTCCTCCCCAATCTACTACTCAGTGTAAAATGGAGACAAGTATTCTAGAAGAGTGTTTATCAAACCTTAAGTTCCAACAAATAGTTTGGGGGTCTTGTTAAAAGGCAGATTCTGTTTCAGTAAGTGTGAGGTGGGCCTAAGACTCTGAATTCCTGACAAGCACACAGGAAATGCTGCTACTATTGTTATGCTGGCCACATGTTGAGATACAAGGCCTAGTTATACAGTAGGCAATTTTAAAAACGTTTTAATGTTCTACTGAGGCAGCACTTAAATCCCCATTCTGGCCATATCTCTTTTTGTTTTTTGGGGAAGATGAATTCTGAGCAAATACACACTACTACAAACTATTTTTAATATTACATGCAATTTTAACCCTACTGTCTTTATAAACAATTAACACTAAGTTAGGTTTACTCTCTTAATTACAAGGAAAGAGAAAGTAATAATGAGGAATTGCAAACTGCTAAACAATATCTCTGATTTATTTTTAAGTTTGCTGATTTTTTCATACTTTAAAAGCTTTATTATAAGGAAATAAAAGAGAAGTCATGAGGCATTAAAAATGTTTAATTGTTTGAACATACCAAACAATAGCTACACCTTTCAAAACAACCAAACTGCAGGCTGATTAAATTTGTTTAACCTGTAAGATACATATCATATTCAATAATTAGTTAATTGATGCCTGATTTTTCAAAATAATGACTAAAGGAAGAATTTTGCCTGGGTTAAAAATTGATTTTGGATAGAGTACAGATGTATAGTAACAATTTTGTAAAAGAATAAGGATAATTTTTCATTAGTTTAACTGACAAAAGTGAATACAAAATTTACACCCCACTGTAATAATTTTTTTATGTAACAAACAGAAACTGCTTTCAGATCATTTTGTTTTCACATTGAGAAATATATCTGAGCAAGTATCTAAAAAGATATGTTTGTCCAAACCGAGATTTTGATCCACTGATTAATTGTAAGGTAGATATATATTTTCTTTTTTATATAAATATATTCACTTCTGCTAAGCTAAAAACCAAACAAAACTAAAAAACAATCTACCATATTTGATTGGACAATTTTCAAAAAAATTTTAGTTTTAATAAGAAAAGCTAGCAGCTAGACTGGGCAATTTTTGTGTTCTTTAATAAAAGGCTGTCACATAATTCAGGTAAAATGCTAATGTCCAAAAAAGAGTTCCTCTAAACTGACGTGGTCATTTTAGTAATCTGACTATACACAGAAGGCTATGTGTATTATATTTTTAAGCCATTACTTTGATATTCTTTGTGTGAATACATTGATTTATTAACTAAACAAAGTTTAAAGTACCTTATAGTACAGAATTTTGATAGAAAAATAATAGAAATTAGTTAGATATTATGAAATATGCTAATGAGCCAAAGCCAAAAAGTTGAATATTTATTTGTTTGTTGTTGTTGTTGTTAAATCTCTGGTCCATTATAGATAAATTGTTTTTACACCCATTTTTTACTTTCAAATTGCTTCACATTTTGGTTTTATTGAATATTAATTATGAAAATAATATTTGAAAATATCAAAAATTATTGCTTTTACATTTTTGAAAATGTGAAGCATGAAGAAAAGCATCTATAAAACCTACTCTCAGAAAATGCCTCTTTCATCCATTTTATATAAACATTTTTGTGTTTTTGTATATTATAATATTTCTAAATAGAAAAAGGGGCTCTCTACCGGTTTGTTTGTTTTTTTACCTTTTAAAATGTACTTTGACAATTTTCTATTTATGATCATGAGATATCAATAAGACAAGCTCTTTAAGGCAATGTGCATTCTTTGAACCTAAAATTTATTTGGAATACAATAGAACTATGAGAACAAAAACTTCAGTGAACACTTTGATAGGAAACATCTGCACATCTGACAATCTATGTTCAAACGATCTTGTAATTTTTTTGTGGTTGTTTAATTTGTTTGATAAATTAACTGATTCTCTACTAGACAATTAAGAGGCACTGAAGACATTAAACATGCACATATATCATGTACATTACATATATAAATATATTACAGATATATATGTGTGTGCATTTGTGCACATATATGTGTGTGTATATATATATATATATATATATATATGATAGCATACTATTCTGTAAATCTTGCAGTTCAGCAGGAAATGAAAAAGAAAACAATCAATTTTATTTAGAGCTAATACGAACCCTAAATAAAATACTTACTCTCATGGCAGTTGATTTATCTAATAGAAACGACCAGATCATTTATCATTTGTTGGGCTAACATAAGTATTTGAGATAAATTGATCATAAAATGTATGTGTTTCCACATACTATTATCTATCACTTCCCAATAATTGCTAATTAAAGGAATTATTGTAAGGTCTCACGTGTGTGTGTACCAGAAAGATTTAATAAAAATAACTACCAATTTTTCACCAATCTCTAGAATATTCTATATTATATCATTGGGTTTGGAAACCGTTTCCTGGAGAAACATAACAAAATCTAGAGCTCTTGCATAAATTAAATATATATTAAAACATTTCTTAGACAAGTTTGAAGGAAAAGAAATGCATTTCAGTGGCAAAACCTCAGATTTACAAGAAGTGCTATTTGAAACTATTTTTTTTCCACTTTCCAAACCTCCTGAGGAAGAAAGTACAAAAAAGTGAATACTCATTTTCCAGTCATTTACATCAGGACAAGAATTTCTAGAACTCAAACCAATGCCAAACTTTTTGAGAAGGTCTCCTGTCAGGGCTGTCTGGTAGTTCCAGGGCTCCTGAAGAACCCAGGTCTATTCTTTGATACCTATTTGAAAGAACAAGATTTGGGTCCTTGCAGCTGTACATTGCAGTAACAATTTCTGGAGTTTTTATTATAAAAATTATCCTGTCTGTAGGTTGGGATATAAAATAAAGAGATAATACTTATATATTTCATGTTGTAAGCTTCCTGCCCCTGTAGATGAGCTTCCATCTTTAAAGCAAAACAACACTAAACAAACAAAAAAACTTTTGACTCAGTTGGCCCTATACAGATCAGAAAAAAATTTAGAAATCCTAAGGAAGGTTGAGAACCATTCTTTTTATCAGTGATTTAAATATACTGTAATACACTCTTAGTAGCTCAGAGACACAGATTAAGTTTTTTATTTTCTTATTTTTCTTATTTTCTTAGTAGCTCAGAGACACATATTAAGTTTTTTATTTTCTTATTTTTCATGATCATGTGTATTGAATTACACCCGGTACTTGAAAATGCATTTGCACAGGAGACTGTAAAACTGGTAGGGGGGTTTCTGGGGTGCTCTTGCCTTAAAAAGTAAGAGCAGCTTTTTATGGTTTTTCAAGATTTGAGAGTATAGAAATCATTTTTTAAAATGTGCATTGCACACCCCTACAAACTTCTCTTTGCCCATAGGAACTTGTTAGCAACTTAAACAAACACATGGAGAAACAAAGTCACTTTATCTCCAGAAATCGATTCAACATAGCTATTTTAAAGAGTTTTCCCGAGACTTTGAATGACTTGCTGGAGGTAAACATTAAAAATGTTATGCACCAAGAGAAAATATTTGATTATACGTTACATAAGTTCAGGCCTTCAGATGGGAATGAATTCATCTCTATGCAGCAAAAGAATAATTTCTTAATTAATGGTAGAAATAGAGGAAACATGAAGACAGAAGTCCAACTCATTGGAACTTTAGAATCAGAAAGTAATTCCTTTTGGTTTTATGGCATCTTGCTCACTTCCAACTCTGATAGGACAAAATGTCATTTCGATGGAAGATCTCTGACTAGCCCAGTTCTTTCGCACCTTTGTTAACATGGCCTGAGATTGTTTCTACCTTCTCCAGATATGGCTACACTGTGCAAAATATATACTGTATCAGCTCTTCAGTGTCAGAATCTTGCTTTTTGATGATAAAACTGATCTTTATTTTACTAATCTCACTACTATTTTCCAAATAATGAATTTGGAACACCAGCTTAATACATTGGAAATTATAGTTGTTTTTCTGTTGAATATGAGAGTTGCCTATGAAGTGTGGTTTTATCTTTCCCATATATTCTTTTTAATATTCCAAAATATTCAATGATAAGGTCTTAACTTATCATTGTGCAATTTATATCATTTGACAATAAATCGCAAACACACTGGTTGCTTTTTGTTTGCCTGTGTTACCTTTTGTTTTATTTGTCATTGCCCTCTTTGCCATTTGGGCAATACATGACTTATTTCAAGAAAGCGAACTGGGAATTAAAATATATTTTTTAATGTGCATGTTCTAAGGGATTTAAGAGTAGTAATACTATTTTAAAATAAAATTTAAAAAGTTATTGTATGTTTTCAGCTGCTTATTTGTCATGTCATTGGATAGCATGTAAAATCATGAAGTCTGTTCATGAATATTTTTTCTACTTGCACTTCTGATAGGTAATCAAATGGTCTGTCTGTCTCTCTTGGCTTTTGATTAGAAACAACTTAATCAGTACATCGCATGCTTAATGTCTTGTGGTTAAGCCATTTTATACAAATACCTGTTTTTAAAAAGATACAAGTATACTTTTCTTATATAAAGGTTGGAAAAATAGAACGTGTGAAATAATGACACCTATAATCTTACAACATGCACACAACTTTACTGACTTACTACAGTGATATTCTTTCACAATATTGAGTTCATGCTACATATGCCATTTTGTATGCTTTTTCTATTTAATGTGATATTGTATACATGTTTCTACCATTTAAAATTGCATAACCATTTTGATGCGCATGGCATAGTCTGTCATGTATAAAAAATTACTTAAGTTGCTACTGAAGATTCACATTTTCTACATTTCTTTATATTTTAAATAATACAGAAAAATCTTTTATAGATATTTGAAATGTAAAATCACTGGATTAGGAATAAAAGTTGGACTCTAGTAGACATCTATAGAACTATATTCCTGTACTTTTTTTTCTGAAAATTGTGCTTTTTTTATTTCATCTATGTTTCTGAGGAGGTAACTGTCAATTTGTATAACAAGAACTTGCCCTCTGTCACAGGAAACTTAAATACTTTTCTAAGACATTTTAACTGGGACTATGAGATTGACCTTACTCTGCTCTGTGTGGTTGTACTTTGTAAATCCCAATAGCTAATGATGGTGTATTCCAACATCTGGATTGAGTGTACAGAGGAACCATGTCTGCTGTTAGAGGAAAAATAATAAAACAGATATACAAAGAGTAGCAGTAACAAAGAGCAGAGAATAAAGGCAAGTTGCAAATTCTCACGGAGACCAATTCCTGGGCAGATTTGCACTCCTGACTGTGGGTTATTATAAGATAATGTAGGAATCTTCTATGTTTATTACAATCTTCCCCCAACACATTTTTTGTTCCTTTTTCCATATTTGGTTTCTAAAACTTCAAAAGCTTATAATCAAAGGGTATCAATATTTTAAAGTTTCTTGATGCATACTGCCTGTGCTATATTTTATTGCATCACCTTAACTAAACTGGAACTACATTTTCCATAAATTCATTCCCTAAATGGTTTGAAGTAAGATTTGGCCACAAGAGATATTTGCACACGATTTTGTAAGTAGAGAAGTGGTAGTAATGTTTACTCTCCAAAGGTGGATGTAGGGTGTTAGGCTCAGGAGCAGCTTGCATGCATCCCTGGCCTACTGCTGACTTAATATAGGCAGAGGGCAGCAAAAAGCCATGTAACCCCTTAAGCTCCTTTGATTCTCCTTCTCATACTTCTCAAATTTGCATCAAGTGCATGTGTGGCTCACTGGTAAAGTTAGCCAACTTCTCTTGCAGGTCATCTATACCATCAATATTGGTGGTGGTGAGAAACATACAAGAATTCCAGTTTATCTTTATGGGTCCCAGTTCATCCTTGTGGATTTCAGTTTTGTCCTTGTTCTCCTCTACTTCACAATCATTCTTCCTTCCTAATGGTTCAGCTGACTTACAGCAATGTCACTCTCAACACCAGATGCAGATGCCTTCTGCAAACTACTCCATCAACTCTCACAATTCCATAAGATCTAAGCCCTATAATAAATGCCATAGTTTGTATCATCATAGTGATCTTGCTTCTCACCAAATACTGCCTAACGCAGATACTGGTTTGAAAGAGGAGTGCTACTGCAATAAAAACAGCATGGTTTGGAGCAGCAAAACCATCTGGCCATGGCTTTGGACCCCTGCAGTACGAGGAAGCTAAAAGGGCATTGAGAAGACTATTAATAGAAGCTTGTCTAGCTTGAAGGAGGCTGTCAGTGCAGACTGAAGAGAAGCCAGCAATTAAGCCTTCCATCTGAAAGCCCAGACACTGTGGAGCAGAGGCAAACCATTTCCCCATTCCCTGTCTGAATTCCCTGATTCACAGTTTTTTTGTGTTTTAACTAGTCTTGAAGTGGTTAGTTAAATAGTAAGAGATGGTTCATAAAGAATTTGGTGCTGAAAGTGGAGCAGTCAGAGTTGCATCTGCTTTCCTGCTCTTGTGTTATACACTATGCTTCTAGAATCCTGTGGGCTTAGAGGAAATTCCCCATTTTTGCTTGTTAGTCCAAATTGAGTTTTTAAAACTTGCCACCAAAAAGACTCCCAACCTATTAGAAACAAACTGTTTGAAATTTTGTCATGCAGATTGATATCTAAAAATTTACTGTGTCCTTACTTATTTTTATGCAATTTTAGATGAAAAAATACCTCTTAGATAAAAACTCATGATCACTTTCAGTTGGCATTTTTGTATAAATTTAAATAAGTTATTTTGTTCAATAAGGTATGTGGTCATTCATTAAATCATCTAGGAAATATTTACTGAGTTATCTCAATGTTCAGGGTAGGGGATTAAGCAAGGAGAAGGATATATCGAATCACAGTTTTTCTGAGTAGTTAATCACACACTAGCAGCAATAAGACATGCAAACAGAAACTAACACATTTCCTTGATTCTATAATGCATTTATTTTTTACATTTAAATTGTTTTAAAATCAGGGCACATCATATACTGATGGATGCATTTCATGTGAAAGTGTTGCTTCTTTTCCCTTGAAAATTTGCTATTAAATCAACAATGGCTTCTAATCATCCAGAATGTCTTAGGAGAAAGAAACTATAATATTGCAGAAGTTAATATACCATAAATACCATGAGAGATGTCAGGAGTCTTAAAATGTTTCACCAGCTGAGATAATATAAGAAGACTATGAAGAATTTCAACAGGGTTTCGAAGAGGAGAGCAAAGAGGCTTGACATTCAGCAAGGATCTCCTGCCCATATATAAATGAACTTTCTTCTAATCCTCAAAACAGCTTTCAGCAGTAGGAATTATCTTCACTTCCCTGATCATACAACTGAGGTTCAGATTAGTGAGCAGAGAAAAAAACATCTTTGACTTTCGAACCCATATGTCTCTAAATTGAAGTGTACACTCTTTTTAGAAAATAATATTGAGGGAATTCACATAGTATGACATACTACATGCAGCATATAACGTGTACTACCTACACCCCATGTTCTAAATCCTATATGTAAAATAAAACTCAGTAGGTACTAATACTAACCTCACTTTATGAATGAGAAAACCGAGACCTGAAAAAATAAAGTAAGTTTTTCAAGGTCACACAATTAATAAACAACAGAGCTGCATTCTGAACTCTTGCAGTCCGGTGAAAGAGTCTGTCTTTTTAACCACTGTGTCATGAGCCTCTCAGGACAGTTTAAGCAAAACGCTTTGTCCCGAATCTCTAAGCACCTGATTAAAAGATGCAGCCCCCTAACTTTTGATTTCCCTTTCCAAGCTCTACTGATCACCTTTTAACATACAATTGTAATATTTATTATGTATATAACGTAATGTTTGTTGCTACCGCCTTCAAGTAAACTCCTCAAAGAAAGATATTTTTTAATCTGCTTTGATCATGGATGTATCTTAACAGCTTGAATCACGCCTGACACAAGGTAGGACTTCAATAGGTATTTGCTGAATAAATAAGTGATTGATTTCTGTAAAATACGAAGTGAGGATATTCAGTGAGTGAACAGTAAGTGGAGAGAAACAGAGGCATGGAAGTAAGAGTTGTGTTCTGAGACTCCGATTAGTGCAGTTTGCCTAAGGCGTCAGGTGGGAGCAGAAAATTCAGTAAGCAGATCTCCCTGAAAGGGGGGTTGAAGTCACCCAGGAACAACCACAGGAGCCTTTGGTCCCTCGCGTTTTGTTTATAGCTTGTTCAGCACTAGACACTGGAAAGGAGGGCAGGAAGACATCAAAGTAGCTGTACCGTTCATATTATTTTCTTCCTTTGGCAGCTATTTTCTCTATTTCCTGCTGACACTACAATTTCAGCGATTTAATGATACAATTGTTTCTGAAAACGACACAGAAACAGATACCCTCAGCCATTTAATTGGCTGCCCTGAAGAAGTGGAATCTGCTGTTTTCTAATTTCATTTTTGAGGGGTTTGAGAATATGGAAAGGCTAGAAGAAAGACAATATTTACTTCCATTTAAAAAGGTAAAATCTTAGCAAGGAATTTTAAACTCAGCCCAGTTAATTAAGGTCTGCTATTTCCATGGCATACACCAGGATATCTACGAAGAGTTTATTTGATTCTTGCAAAGATATTACTAAAACTAAAGAAGCACAGTGCTGTTAGAAAAGTCTTATTTCTTCTCCTGTACATTTTAGGTTTTGTCTACCTAGGTCTCTAGGATTGTTGTGGAATTAGCTCCTGCATCTATGCACTTGACTGAGACTTGCTACCTTCTCAATATTTGAACTAATAAATTAAATACAAGAACATTTATACTTTCTGTTGTTGAAGAAAATTTCCCTCATTCTGCAAAATGTTACAGAAATAACATTAAAGTTGACCCAAGTTTTCCTCATTTTTCTTCTTAACATAAAAAATGAAATACTAAATTTCTAAACAGGCAAGTATATATAGTGGAAAGAATATGGTTAGTATATAAAATATTATGATATCAATGACCAGGTGCTGAAGCTAAGTATTGTGTATAAAGTAAGTATACACAATATACTAAAGATAGGGGAAGGCCTGAAAATAATTCTTCAACTTAGTTAACAAAGAAGACTCTGAAAAAAGGTTATAAGATAATAGGCAAATATACCTATATGTTATATCAAATGTTAAAAGGTGACTTTTCTTTATCACATTGATAGAATAAATCAGAAAATAACATAATAATACCAATAGATCCAGAAAAAGGATTTGACAAAATCCAACTTCCACTCATGATAAAATCTCTCAGTAAACGAGGAATAGAAGGGAGCTTCCTCAACTTGGTAAAAAATATCTATCCCACCCCCCACCACCAAAAAATATAACATACTGAAAACATCACATTGGTGAGAAGCTCGAGGCTTTCTTTCTAAGATCAGGAATAAAGCAACAATATTCCCTCTCAATATTCATTTCAAACAATATACTGGAAATCATAGATAATATTACGAGAAAAGGAAATCAATTTACTTTGTTTGAGAAGGAAGAAATAAAACCGTCTTTGCTTGCGGATGACAAGATCACCTATGCAGAAAATCCAGAACAACAACAACAACAAAAATCTCATGGAACTAATCAGCCGTTATAGCAAGGATTCAGCACACAAGGTCAACAAAGAAAAGTCACTTTTCCTTTGATTGACAGTGATAAGTCAATCACTGTCTTAACCACCAGCAATTAACAAGTGGAATTTGAAACTAAAAATACAATATTATTTACATTAGTGCCCAAGAAAATGAAATACTTTGGCATAAATCTAACAAAATATGTATGTGATATACATGATACACACTATGAAACTCTGATGAAAGAAATTAAAAATCTAAGTAAATGGAGAAATATTCCATGTTCAAGAACAAGAAGACTCAATGTCAACATAACAGTTCTTCCCAAATTAATCTAAATATGTAATGCAATCCCAATCAAAACCCCAGCCAGTTATATTTTGGATATTGACAAACTGATTGTTAAGCTAACATGTAGAAGCAAAAACCCAGAATAGCCAAGCCAATATAGAAGGAGAAGAACAAAGTCCAGGACTGACACTACCTGACCTCAAGACTTAATATAAAGCCACAGTACTCAAGACTGTGTGGTACTGGCAAAATAACAGATAAAAAGATCAATGGAACAGAAAGAGCACCTAGAAACAGACTCACATAAACATAGTCAACTGATCTTTCACAAAGAAACAATTGCAAAGCAATGGATAAAAGATCACCTTTCCAACAAATGGTGCCTGGTACAAATAGACATTACTATGCAAAAATAAATGAAAAAATGAATCTACTCACAAATCTTGCACCCTTAACAAAAGTTAACTCAAAACATATCACAGACCCAAGTGTAAAAGCCAAAACTATGAAACTCTTACAAGATATCATAGAAGAAAATGTAGATGATCTTGGGTTTGATGATGACATTAGATAGAACAACAAAGGCATGATCCATGAAATAAATAAATGATAAACTGGAATTCGTTAAAATAAAAAATTCCAGCTGAAAAAAGACACTGTCAAGAGAATGAAAAGACAAGCCAGTGACTGTAAGAAAATATTTGTAAAAGAGATATCTGACAAAGGAATGTTATCTAAAATATACAAAGAAAAACAAAAACTAAACAATAAGAAACAAACAACTTCATTAAAAAATGGGCCAAAGACATTAACAGGCATTTCACCAAAGAATATATACACACGGCAAATAAGCATGTGAAAAGATGCTCACCATGTCATCAGGGAAAAGCAACTTAAAACAACATAGAGATATCAGTACGTACTTATTAGAATGGCCAAAATCCAGAATACTGAAAACACTAAATGCTGTCAAGGATGTGGAACAACAGGAACACTCATTCATTGCTGGTGGGAGTGCAAATGGCACATCCAGTTTGGAAGAGAGTTTGGCAGTTTCTTACAAAACTAAACAGATTTTTGCCACCTAATCCAGCAATTGTGCTCCTTGGTATTTACCCCACGGAGCTGAAAACTTATGTTCACACAGAAAAACTTCATACAGATGTTTCTAGCAGCTTTATTGATATGGTATGCTTCTAATTAATAAATGTGAATACTAAAATAAGTGAAAGACTTAAGTCTTTTTTTAAAAGTGAATACTAAAATAAGTGAAAGAATACTAAATAAGTGAAAGACTTACCTGAGATTCAGAAAGGCTGAATCTCAGAATTTGGGTGGAAGAGAATTAGTAAGCAGAAGGAGAATACCAGTTTTGTGTGGCTCCTAAAGTGACTACCGGAAGGAAACGAGCATGAGGATTATGGGTGGGAGTTTTTTGTGGGCCAGAAAATGGTTCACATAATTTTGCCTATTTTGCATTTGCCAGAATTCAGTCACAAATAAAAAATAATATGAAAAGAGCCAGGATTAGCAAGCATAGAATAAATCAGAAAATAACATAATAATACCAATAGATCCAGAAAAAGGATTTGACAAAATCCAACTTCCACTCATGATAAAATCTCCAGTAGCCAAGAATATTAGGTCTAGGTAATATTTATGTCTGTCCTAGATGGTTGGAAGGTTGAAAATAAAAAGAATGAATAAAAAAAATCGAGGAGGGGAGACAAAAAAGTCGACAAATAACAATCGGCAGAAACTATAAAGAGCTATATCTAAAACAAAATACTAAGGGGACACAGGGACTAGGGTATTAGACCAGTAATGAAATCTGGAAAATACTACTAGAACTAGACTGTGAAGGAAAACTGGAGCTTTGGAAGTTGGATTTAGGGACTAAAGTCATTCTCTATAGACAGAGATGAAATGGTTCCAGATGTGCAATGAAGAAATAAATAGCCCAGGAAATTCTGAATGGAGAATATCCATTCAAGGTCGTAGTCAAGGAGCCATCTGACAAACTAGACAAGGTGAGTTAGTTTGCGACTGCAGCAACTTCAGCAAATACTGGCATCTACACAACCTTGCTTATTTAATTTCTAAAAAAACAAACAAAAAAGACAACAAAAACTTTCCTTTTCAACTTTATAGTTCTAAAATCGAGTGGCCCAATTTTGGTTTATTAAATGTGTGGAAAATATTGTATTAAATTACTTTAAATCACTTTTGCAAACACCATTTATGAAACAGAATTTTCCCCCTCATTATTATATATGTACACATTTTATAATAAATTCCAAATAAAATGTTAAAGGGTGAGTATACATGTATATATAGATACAAGATACAGATATGCTATTCAACGTAGCACACTTTGCTCTTCCTGATTTATACCAAATGGATTTAGATATAGTTTCAAAGAATCATATCTATCTCTCCACTTTTCATGCATCTGAATAGGAAATTTATGTGAACAAAACAGAGATAGTATAGTTTAATAGGTCCTAAAGAAATGCATAACATTTTAACATATGGAGGTTGTGCTCTAACAAACTTTAATACAAAACAATATTTTGTATATTCACTCATGCATTTTTTTCCTTTGCAATTTGGGAATTTAAAAAAACCAACAGTTTTATATGTAATTAAAACAATGCTTAAGTCATAAAACTCTTTTGTAATACTCAAAACTAAATCTTATTTATACTTATGTGTCAGGAACTTTACCTGCATTAACTTAATTAACACTTAGAGCCAGTCTATGAGGTAGACATTTTTACAGGTGCGGGAACTGAGGCTCAGAAACATTTGAAAACTTCTTCAAGATTATACAAATAGCAAATGGTGGAACCCACAATTTTACCCGTATAACATTTTTTTCAGAATCCATGCTTTTGATCTCCTTGCCAAGCTGTTTCCCATATTATATCTTTTATGTTAAAATACGTTTTCAGCAATTGCATTTTCTTAACACTTTCCTAATATAAAATTTTTTTTAAATTTATCTTGTTGGGAAAAACGCAAACTTTTTCACTCATTTCTCCATATCAGGTATTAAAGAGTCATGAAGTAAGTTTATTCATATCATATGAGCTTCATTCTATTTTGAGTCCAAAGACCAACTGAAAATGCATAAAAAGATTATATATGGAATACCACTGGGTCTTGCTAGCAGTATCAAAGTTATGTTAGGAAACAGTGCTGAGAAACCATGTTCATTGCCAGTTCTCAGCACAATTGGCTACCAGGAGTCATGTATAGTAAGTGCTATAGCTCAGTGCCTGCACAGCCTCACCTTTTCTGCTAATGAGTAACATTCTAGCAAGCAGAGGACTGATTCCTGAGACAGTTGCCTGAAATTTAATGCTCGATTTCTATCCATACCAATATAACTTTCAACTGATAGTCCTTCCACACGCAGACAAATGAAACTGACAAAAGACCTGTCAGTTACAAGCCAATAATGCATTTCAACAAATAATTTTTTGTGTGCCCAGCACATACTGTGGGTATTCAGTGTTCATCCCAAAACCCCACAAGGTTGGCCTATTTTGACTTTTATCACATCTATAGATAAAGGTGTAGTGTTATCTTTCTTTCCCACCCCAAACTGTACTCATCTTTTTATTGCAAATACCTGGCTAAAGGAAATGTCAAACCTTATATATAGAATTTACTTGAATAGGTCCTACGTCAAAGTGCTGCTTTCTTAGAAGCTCAAAACTGTTAATATGTATTGACTTAGCAAAAAGAACTCTAATGGCAAAGGCATTGCTTTTGAGAGAGATAGCCCATGTTTGGAACAGGAGAAAAAAAATACATATTTTTCTCTAAGAAAGTGAGGAGAGATTCAATATAGAATGGATAAGCTTAGCAGATATATAGCTTATAGGATAAATGAATATAAATTAAATAGAGTACATTGCTAAAGAGGACCTGGGGTCATAAATATAATGTAGACAAAAAAAAAAATTCCAACACAGAAGAAAGATTCATGGATATAAATTCAACTGAGCAAGAACAAAGTAAATTGTTCAGAGTTCAGCTGTCATTACTTGCAAGATCATAGACAATAAGCAGCAGAGTATCCAGGTGGTATTGTTTAGCTTTATTAGTGGATACATGTAAGTCCTGGAAGAAGGTTTGTAAAATGAGGAGAGTCCTGAAGATTAAAAAGGAATCCTCATTAGGAGAGAAGTTGATATTGGTCATCTAACATTAGGGCAGAAAATTTTCAGACCACTTTCTTCTATAAGTGTTACAACCATGCAGTTGACATTTTAGGAACTAAATCAGTCTTAATTTGCATAAAGGCTTTTTCATTGTTGTTCTTTTGTTATACAATCAAAATGCTTTAGCATAACACACCTTCTTCCTGTTTGTTTTGCTCTTCAAGAGAAAAGTAAGCATCCCTTACTTTTCCTTCCCTTCATCTGAAGTGCAAATTTAAGGTAAACAGGAATCTTCAAAGCACAAAAAGCATTTTCACTCTGAAAGACTTCTTATCTTGGAAGAAATGAGATTCCAGGATAATAAAAAGCTATCATGATATCTATTCTCTCCCTTACTTGACAGGGATTTTCAAGATGGATCGGCAAGATAGAAAGGGAATTTATTCATTCTACCAATACTTATGAAGAAAAGGGCATTTGGGATGAAAATGGATATTGGGACCTCCTCAAAGTTGCTATAGAAACCCGGGTGATTACAGCTAATGGTGTGGGGAGAAGTCCTGTTATCTTTAAGAGATTAACAGGAAACCTTGGTCTCATTATTTTTTCACTCCCCACATTGCTCTGATGATAGCAATGTACAGATTAGAACCAACAAACAACAATAATAACAAAACAACACCTTCAATATCTCCTTGTTTATAAAGTAAAAATATAATTTTGAAAATTGAGCTTCAAAAGCTTCCATCAACAAATCCCACTCCAACCTTCTGAAATAACACCTTATTCTTCATAACTATATTCTTTGATTTAGCATATGCCATATTGACAATATATCCCTATTTATTTCCACCTTCAGGTTTCTGTTCATACTCTCCTCTCTAAAGAAAATGATTTTATATAACTCCACATAAATACATCTCATCCAAAAAAATGCTAATTACTTGTTCAATAATTATTTCATACTACAAGAGTTAAAGTAGCCTCTGTCTTCTAAATGCTCATTCCACATTATCTGGACAAGTTCTCAATGTCTACCTGTGATACGGTTATGTACATTTGTTGTCAATGTTTTTCCCCATGTTTACAAATATCATTATATGTAATGTTCTCATAGCGACCAGTTTTCAAAGAATTGCTAGCTGGGAGTCAATAGCAAAAGCATACCAATCTTTACAGCATATACAGGGTCAACCCAAGTGGATCTGTCACGATTTAGTTTTCTCTTAGCACCTTGAACTATGCACTGTATCACACAGCTGGCTATATCACACCAGTGTGAGATTATATACTATTTGTATTGGTCTCTTTTTGTTTTTTGTTTTTGGTTTAAGTACAAAATTGTATGATGCCAAAGGTGAACATCTTCAAAGTCAGAAATATTCAGAATTAAAAACTAGCTCAGATATTAAATAGCCCTACATATTTGGATAAACTACCAACCATCCTAGAGCCTTAATTTCTTTCTACAACAGAAATAAAACCATTTTTCTTACAATATTTTTGTGAGGATTAAATAAGATGATTCACATTAAGAATCTAGGACATGGAAAGTCCTCAAATGGATGCCAACATCTCATGAGCAATACTGTCAGAAGATTCCATAATTCACTTTGAAGATTTCTCCAAAGTGTATAGCAAGACTAAATCCAGGTGGCACACCATTAGTGCACTGACCATATGTGATTTAAGCAGGGATAAGAACATGGTTTCATGTTTTAAATATTATTTCTCAAATGAGAAGCTATTATTATGCAATGGATAGAATTCAGTTTCTTATTATCTATTTCTAGTTCACAGATATTACTTACTAGTTGTGTGACTTTGAGACAGGTCCTTTACTTCCTTGATTCTTCACTTCTTCACCTGCAAAAATGAGGACATTGGGCTAGATCCATTATTTTACATTAATTTTTAAAAGTATTGGTTTCTTCATTCTGTGAATAAAATTGTATGGAAGTACAAAAACTGAAAGCATTAAAAGCAGAGTTGTTCTGAATAATACAAGGAGAAAATCTAGGACCTCCAACTTTCGGTATTGATTTGTCCATGGTTAACAGCAGATTCATGAAAAATTGTAACACTTAATCAGTTACTAAGGCTTACTCAGAAAGTACATACAAGAAATGCCAAACGCTAGGCCACTATAGTCACAGAATATTACCTAAAGAAAAATAGCCTTTGAAGCTCCAAGAATTGTGCTGAGTACATTGTCTAATTAGCTGAAAATTATAAAGTGAAATTATACAACTTTAATGATTGAATAAAGAAAAAAATGTGGCTCATAAAAGATAATATAGCAAACAAATTAGAGTGATCAGACATTAATGTTTTGCGTTTCAAAGATAATATTGGGTGCAAAATTCATATGGATGAGTTATGTCTTCACACTTTCAATATTGTTAAGCATGTGTCAAGATGGCCACAGTATTGTAGAATGGTCAGTATGCAAAAATTATGCAAGAAATCATGTAAGAAATGAAACATGTGGCTTTAGAGTTGATAGATGGTTTTAACATTGTAACATTATAGTTCTGGGCTATTTACAAAACCTCTCTAAACTGCTGCTTATCTGTAAAATGAAAATAGCAATTTGGTCTTCTTTTCATTTGTTTGTTATTATTAAAGGATATTTGATATAGAAAGCACCAGCTGATATTGAGTTCCTAAGTAATATTAATTCTTTTTTCCCCTCTCCTTTTATGTAGTTCCATATGTATTGTTAATATTACTCAGCATAGAGTGTTAAGCAATCTTAGCAACTCAACTTTTTAATGGTATCTTTCACAGTGGTTTCTAGCTTTCTAACCTTTTGAAGCTGTTAAAATAAAGTCAAATAATGATACTGCTGTGGCTTAAGTGTATGCTAGGATCAATAAATTGTGGTTCTTGGAATAAATTGCAATTAAAGGGATAGCACTTGATTGCTTGACAGTAGGTAGTCTTTTTGGCCCAAAGAAACTTGAGTATCAATCTGATTCATAAGCTAATTAGTATGGACTTCACTTTCATTTCACTGGAAGATCATCAGATCGTATTGACTCCTGTCCACATCATGAGTGCGCCCTTGATACTGGCCTGTGTCACTTATAGGTAACAAATCCTCTTCACTTGTTTACTTTGCTTATTCAAGATTATAGTAAGCATTTTTAATCAAATAGAATATAGAAGAAATTTAACATGTTTGTAAATAAGCACTCTAATAGCTCTAAAAACTTCAATACTATTGCCTGCCTTTTTACATTTCTATACATTTAGGATAAAACATGTCTTAATTCAGATATGATAAATGTATCAACATTGTAAAGAACGATGACTGTTACTGAATCTTTGTAGCAATAGAAAAATTTATATAACAACTAATTATACACTAGAAAACACAACAGGATCGATATTTCATGGTAAATTATTTGAATTAATCTAAAAATAAAGAGTCAAAGTATTGTCCTCAAATGTATAAATACACTTACTTAGAGTATATTATTTTATTGTTCTTAATTTTCCGCACCTTCTATTCCATGTGGTGTTTTATATGTAATAAATTCCAGCATATACCTGTATAACTATTGAATGAATATAAGCCATTCAGAGACTAAAGCAAAGTAAGTTAAGCAATCCCTTGGACTGTAAATTCCATTAAGATAAATAATGTGCTTGTGTGTTTTCTTCCTCTATATTATCTACTTACCAGCATATGTCCATCCAGAGATTAAATAAATGTTTTGAATGAACAAACTAAAAAGGTTGGATTTCTGAAAATGACTGTTTAAATATAAAGTATCTTCTCCATTTAAATAGCCTGACCTCCATACCTCTTGTTTGTTACACACTTTTTATTTTTTATACTTTAAGTTCTAGGGTACATGTGCACAACGTGCAGTTTTGATACCTAGGTACACATGTGCCATGTTGGTTTGTTGCACACATCAATTCCTCATTTACATTAGGTATTTCTCCTAATGCTATCCCTCCCCCAGCCCCCGACCCCCTGACAGGCCCTGTTGTGTGATGTTCCTCACCCTGTGTCCAGGTGATCTCCTTATTCACTTCCCACCTATGAGTGAGAACGTGCGATGTTTGGTTTTCTGTTCCTGTGTTAGTTTGCTGAGAATGATGGTTTCCAGCTTCATCCATGTCCCTGCAAAGGACATGAACTCATCCTTTTTTATGGCTGCATTATATTCCATGGTGTATATGTGCCAAATTTTCTTAATCCAGTCTGTCATTGATGGACATTCTGGTTGGTTCCAAGTCTTTGCTGTTGTGAATAGTGCTGCAATATACATATATGTGCATGTGTCTTTATAGTAGCATGATTTATAATCCTTTGGGTATATACCCAGTAACGGGATTGCTGGGTCAAATGGTATTTCTTGTTCTAGGTCCTTGAGGAATCGCCACAATGTCTTCCACATGATTGAACTAATTTACAGTCCCACCAACAGTGAAAAAGTGTTTCTATTTCTCCACAACATCTCCAGCATCTGTTGTTTCCTGACTTTTTAGTGATTGCCATTCTAACTGGAGTAAGATGTTATCTCACTGTGGTTTTCATTTGCATTTCTCTGATGGCCAGTGATGATGAGCATTATTTTCATGTGTCTGTTGGCTGCATAAATGTCTTCTTTTGAGAAGTGTCTGTTCATATCCTTTGCCCACTTTTTGATGGGGTTGTTTGTTTTTTTCTTGTAAATTTGTTTGAGCTCTTCGTTTTCTTGTAAATTTGTTTGAGCTCTTCGTAGATTCTGGATATTAGCTCTTTGTCAGATGGGTGGATTGCAAAATTTTTCTCCCATTCTGTAGGTTGCCTGTTCATTCTGATGGTAGTTTTTTTTTTTTTTTTTTTTTTTTTTTTTGCTGTGCAGAAGCTCTTTAGTTTAATTAGATCCCATTTGTCTATTTTGGCTTTTGTTGCCATTGCTTTTGGTGTTTTAGACATGAAGTCCTTGCCCATGCCTATGTCCTGAATGGTATTGCCTAGGTTTTCTTCTAGGGTTTTTATGGTTTTAGGTCTTACATTTAAGTCTTTAATCCATCTTGAATTAATTTTTGTATAAGGTGTAAGGAAGGGATCCAGTTTCATCTTTCTACATATGGCTAGCCAGTTTTCCCAGCACCATTTATTGAATAGAGAATCCTTTCTCCATTTCTTGTTTTTGTCAGGTTTGTCATACATCAGATGGTTGTAGATGTGTGGTGTTATTTCTGAGGCCTCTGTTCTGTTCCATTGGTCTATATGTCTGTTTTGGTACCAGCACCATGCTGTTTTGGTTACTGTAGTCTTGTAGTATAGCTTGAAGTCAGGTAGCATGATGCCTCCAGCTTTGTTTCTTTTTGCTTAGGATTGTCTTGGCAATGTAGGCTCTTTTTTGGTTTCATACAAACTTTAAAGTAGTTTTTTTCCAATTCTGTGAAGAAAGTCTTTGGTAGCTTGATGAGGATGGCATTGAATCTATAAATTACCTTGGGTAGTATGGCCATTTTCACGATATTGATTCTTCCTATCCATGAGCATGGAATGTTCTTCCATTTGTTTGTGCCCTCTTTTATTTCATTGAGCAGTGGTTTGTAGTTCTCATTGGTCCTTCACATCCCTGGTAAGTTGGATACCTAGGTATTTTATTCACTTTGTAGCAATTCTGAATGGGAGTTCACGCATGATTTGGTTCTCTGTTTGTCTGTTATTGGAGTTATACACTTTTTCAAAAAGCAAACCAAAATCAGAATCAAATAAATAATTTTCTCATGCCTTGCTTTCTCTGTTGTCTCATATTTATGTTATTCATTTTAGATGCTATTATAAATCTAAAATCATATAAATCTCCTATTATACTATAATAATGTAATTTTATCTTTCTGAGCATTAAATCCTTTCTCCCCATCATAGAATGGAAACTTGGTGAAGACTATGGCTAAAAAAGACTTATCTTTTTGGTATGCTGATGAATTCCAATCACCCACCATTGCATCTGATTCATTGCAAGTGGTCAATATTTACTGGGCAAATTCAAAATTATCAAAATTCAAAATAATCAAAATTATAAATTTTAAATAATATTTCAGACAACCTCAATTTACACATGGAAATATATTTTCATAAATTTATAGTGAACATTTTTTCTTTTTTTAAATTTTGTTATTATACTTTAAGTTCTGGGATATATGGCAGGTTTGTTACATAGGTATACACATGCCATCGTGGTTTGCTGCACCCATCAACCTGTCATCTACATTAGATATTTCTCCTAATCCTATCCCTCCCCTAGCCCCCCACCCCCCACATGCCCCAGTGTGTGAGGTTCCTCTCCACCTGCCCATTTGTTCTCATTGTTCTACTCCCACTTATGAGTGAGAACATGCGGTGTTTGGTTTTCTGTTCTTATGTTAGTTTGCTGAGAATGATGGTTTCTAGCTTCATCCATGTCCCTGCAAAGGACATGAACTCATCCTTTTTGTGGCTACACAGTATTCCACGGTGTATATGTGCCACATTTTCTTTTTCCAGTCTATCATTGATGGACATTTGTGTTGGTTCCAAGTCTTTGCTATTGTGAACAGTGTTGCAAAACACATACGTGTGCATATGTCTTTATAGTAGAATGATTTGTAATCCTTTGGGTATAATCCCAGTAATGGGATTGCTGAGTCAAATGGTATTTCTGGTTCTGGATCCTTGAACAATCGCCACATGTCTTCCACATGCTTGAAGTAATTTACACTCCCACCAACAGTGTAAAAGCATTCCTATTTCTCCACATCCTCTCCAGCATCTGTTGTTTCCTGACTTTTTAATGATCGCCATTCTAACTGATGTGAGATGGTATTTCATTGCGGTTTTGATTTGCAGTCCTCTAATAACCAATATCAATCATTTAACCTCTTTCATATATGACAACACAGAAAATATATGGAATTTAAGCAATTATATTGAAACACAATTTAAAACAGTACAAGCAGTGATAGTATTTGAAATTAATAGGATTCTAAGCTCAAAATGCTTAAGTAAATGTTTCCATGTAAAAATTGGTAGAAGTCTATGAAAAGAATTAGAAGCAAAACATATTCCCTAGCTCTTAATGTCATCCAAAACAAGAACCTGTGTTCCTTGAAAGCAAAATATATGTCTTATTGACCTTGTTATGTCCAGGAATGAACATGACACCTGGTTCATTTTGAGGCTTCAATTCATGTTTTAAATGCCTTAATAAATGAATCAATCAACTAGGAGGTTCAGAATGTTTAGGAATTGAAAATTGACACATAAAGTATGAGGAGGACAAAATAAAGACTGAAAAATTATATAAGAATATATGATACAGTAATTTAATAATTTAATATCAAAAAACTATTCATGTGCTATAGTTTCATAAGATTATGTTTTATTCTAAACTGCAAGTGATATTAGAATTCCAGAAAATATAAAGTATGTTTGCATAGGTAGATTTTTTAAACATTCATGATGAGGCATTATCTTTTTCCATTCTAAGGTCAGTGACCTCAGATTCGAGTTGTAGATAATATTTGACAGCATCTTTTCCCCATGCCTGTAAACTGATCTGGTAATGAGAGAGGATATCTTGTTTTCCTGTACTTGTGTTACATTTACTGAAGTGAATGGGTGGAAAAGTTTGCACAGGTGTGGGTCTGAAAGCAAGAGGTAATGTAATTTCACAGAACATGTGATTTGTCATAGGCCTTACAGCAAGGGTCATAGCTCTGAGTAATCTTAGATCTATCCATCTGTCTAATTATCAATTTGTTAGAAATCTTGCAATAAAGAATTATAGTTTTATGAGCTGCATAATTATGATGTCATTACAATAAACCAAATGTTTAAATACTTTTATCTTTCAGGTGGCCACATGCTAGACCATGGGAAAAAAAATAAAAATTATCTTTTCTGTCCTTACTATAAGGCACACCTCCCCTCCTAACTCCCTGAAATTTCACTCTCATCAGCCCAGATCTCCACCACACACCCAGTTGTCTTTCTCTACTCTTCTTTTCTCATTCCTCTCTTTACACTTCATTGTCTGCCACTGTTATTCAATGGGGCTAGTCCAGAACTAGTCCTGCCTCTATGAGCATATTTTGTTTTTCCTCCATGTATTTTTCCTCTCAAATTATTTCTTTGTAAATAAAATTTTTGTTGATGCATAATAGATGTACATAGTTTCAGGTATATGTGATAATTTAATTCACTAGCATACTTTGTATGATTTGTAAAGATGGAATGTCCATCATCTTAGCTATTTGTCTTTTTTTTTTTTTTTTTTGAGATGGAGTTTTGCTCTTATTGCCCAGGCTGGAGTGCAACGGCACAATCTCGGCTCACTGCAACCTCTGCCCCCTGGGTTCAAGCAATTCTCCTGCCTCAGCCTCCCAAGTAGCTGGGATTACAGGTGTCTGCCACTACACCCGGCTAATTTTTACATTTTTAGTAGAGACGGGGTTTCTCCATGTTGGTCAGGCTAGTCTCGAATTCCCAACCTCAGGTGACCACCCACCTCAGCCTCCCAAAGTGCTGAGATTACAGGCGTGAGTCACTGCACCCGGCCAGCTATTTGTCTTTATGCTGGAAACATTCTAATTATTATTTGCTAGCTATTTTGAAATGTACAATAGGCTGTGAGCAGTGGCTCACGCCTGTAATCCAAGCACTTTGGGAGGCCGAGGCAGGAGGATCATCTGAGGTCAGGAGTTTGAGACCAGCCTGGCCAACATAGGGAAAACCTATCTCTACTAAAAATACAAAAATTAGCCCAGCGTGGTGCATGTGCCTGGAGTCCCTGCTATTCAGGAGGCTGAGGCAGGGAGAATCGCTTGAACCCAGGAGGTGGTGGCTGCAGTGACCCGAGATCATGCCACTGCACTCCAGCCTGGGAAGCAGAGCAAGACTTCGTCTAAAAAAACAAAATGTACAATAGATTCTTGTGAACTATAGTCACACTATTTATCTATCAAGCACTAAATCTTATTTTATGTCAAACCTTATATTTGTACCCATTAATCAACTTCTCTTCCTCTCTCCTTCCCAGTTATCCTTCCTGGCTTACGTAGGATTACTTTTTTTAAGGCAATGTTAGGATTGGTCAGAGCTTCTAACTATAAACTCTAAAATATCCATTCACCTATGCCAATGATCTACTTTCTCAATATGAAATGTTGTTATCTAAGTTTCTAAGAGTGCTGTTTAATTTTAGGTAAAATGAATGTTAGAAAACAGCATTTAGAGGGACAAAAACAACCAAAATGATTTAAAACAGGGTTGACAAGCATATGCTGCAAGCGGTAAAACACTGCCCCTTACGTGGTGCACATCAACACTCAGTCAAAACTCCTTCCCTCTAAGCAAGGATGCAGCCTCTGAATTCTTCTGAGTAATATTCCCTTGGTCAGATAAAGCATAAAACTTGTCTTCTCTGTATTAAAAATGTACCTTTTAGTATATGCTATTGAAAAATGAAAAAAAGTTTACCTCCCCTGTTTGCATATAACATTTGTTACGTTATTTCATTTTAAAAATCTTGTAAAGTTTTTCTAATAATGTGAGTAAAACGCTATTACGGAACTTCGATATATGTGTGAAAGGAAAATAAATATTGGGACCTTAAACTCACTAAGCTAAAAGGAAAAGTCCAGCTGGGAACTTGGTCACGCAAGCCTGCCTGCTATTTTGATCCCTAAATAAGATGGCTACAAAGATGAAAAGCTATATACCTCCCTAACATTTTGCCCACAAGTAAACTCCTTGTGTGCCCCAAGATTTTTACCTTCAAGCTTATCTGTCAAAGTTCACCATGGCAGTGTAATTGATCAACCTATCAATTATCTTTGCAGGTACAGGGGACATAGGACAGAACTCAGAGTCATCCCTCTGCACACCTGAAACAAATGCATATCTGATTGTTTCCTCTGCCTTATTGTCTATGTTATATTATATAAAAATTCAGACTCACTGAGCAGGACGAAGCCATTAATATTCTCCCCTACTGCAATCTCACATGATAACTGTGTATTTCTCAACATCCTGTCCTTTCCCCTTTAAATTTGAAGCCCTCAAAATCATCTTTGGGGAAAGTCATAGACCTGTCTCCAGTGGGGTGGGGGGTGGGGGGCATCCTTAACTTTGGCAAATAAACCTCCTAAAATGAGACCTGCCTGGATCATTTTCCTTGATTGACATATGCACACAAACACGCACACAAACACACATTCATACATATTTTCTAGCTGTAATTACTGCCCCTGCAGATAAATTATTCCAGTTAACATTGTGGCCTATGTTCCCATCTGTCATACCTAAATAAACAAGTTACTAAATAGGAAATATGCACAGACACATACACAAAAATGCATATACATAAACCTCTCTATTTGATGTCCTGTGGATTTGTTTCCATGTCCCTCAGTATTTTTTAGAGTGTCATTTGAATAGGTCTTTAAGTTAAAATTAATTTTGACTGTGTGAATACATGAAAAAAAGTATAAAAAGGTCATTTTCATTTCATAATATCTGTTGAATTTAGGCTTAATTTAAAAATAATCATTAAAAATAAAAACAAATTTTAAAAATCACCTTTGGTAGGCTGAATAATTGCATCACAAAGAAGTCCACATGATAATTCTAAGTACCCATGAATATCTTACAGGTGCATGCCACCATCCCCAGCTAATTTTTTGTATTTTTAATAGAGACAGGGTTTCACCATATTGGCCAGGTAGGTCTCGAACTCCTGACCTCAGGTGGTCGGCCCACCTCGTCCCCCAAAGTGCTGGGATTACAGGCATGAGCCACTGTGCCCAGCCGGGATCCTTTTTGTTTTAAATAATTGAAAGAGAAACAGCAATGCCTATCAAGGCAGCTGGATTGGTCAAATTACCTTGGAGGACAATATAAGTTCACAGACTAGAAAAGTCTATGTGACACTATTGATTAGACAATACTTCACTAATTAATATAGACCCATTTCATTGGTGTGCAGAGTATACATGTTTTTTTTTCTTCTCAGCACCCTGGATTATATCTTAAGAAAGATGCAGCATAGAGGCCTTATCAGTTTTTAAATGTTTCAGGCATTAATTAGCAAAGACTCTCTTTTTGTTGTCAAAATATAGTCAAGGGAACTATAAGAAGAAACTTTAAAGACCAAGTCAATTTATCTTGTAAATAGTCATTCTAAACAATTCTGTTATCTAAATATTACCTTTATTTTACATGATATTTATTTGATATAATATACTTTAGGGTGGCTCACTTAATCTTTCCAGATTTCATTTTACTTATTATTAATAGTATACAATTATTTTATAAAATCAAAAAAAATTAAGCATTTACTTTGAGTCTCTCTGCTAAGCTTTTTACATATATTTTGTCATTTAATCCTCATTACAATATACAAAACATATTGTCATTATTTCTATTTTACAGATGATGAAACAGAGGTGCCAAAAGATAAGTAATTTTCTAAGATCAGGATCTTGGTTAGTGGTCAAATGGGCCATCTGCCAAAACAGTCTATACTGTATTACACTGTATATAAAAAGATAATAAAGGCTTCTGCACAACCTCTCAAAACAATAATTAGGATTAAATTCATCCATGCATTGATTTCTACATTCCATCATAAAGCTAATGGTCATCGTGCACTTAGAATGTGCTCACCAAATATTGAGCGTGGTGGGATACAGCTATGAACAAAGAGACAGGTGTTTGGCCTTATGGAGTTTACAGGATAGGTGGAAAGACATCGTAATTCCTTAGAGTCATAAAATGGTGATGATATAAAAAAGAAAGTACAGTGAGCTATGATAATAGCAGAGAAGAGATGGGTATAATACTGAAGAAAGGAGCCAAAGGTCAGTTTTAGGGAGATGGCATTTGAGCTAAGATACACAAAAGGAGGTTCACTAGGAAGATACCAAAAAGAGAAGTCATGATACATAAAGTCACTTTATAAAGTGTTAAAGAATTGTAAAATTTGAGGCATTAAGCATTAAAAGAGAGTTGTGACAAATGTGTTGAAGAAAAATATGCTTGCAAACTCAGTTGTAAATTTTTTTTTAATCATCTACTATCGTGGATTATCTAAATTACTGTCGCCCTCCATTTATGTGGATAATGAGTTGACTAAGTATTGAACATGTTTAAAATAGCTGAACCCTGTCTTTTCCTGGCTCCACACATTGCCTATCATATGGTCGACACTAACCAATCTGTTTCTTTTACTGCCCAATTACACTTTGATAGTGATTAAGAGTCACATACACACATCTTCTTTGTAGAAAAGGGAATGGATTTGTTCAAATGGGACCTCTTACTCACCATTAAGAAAATATATTGTATTGGAGTCATGAAGTGATTACTGACTGCTAAATAGCCACGTTGGAGTCAATCATAGCTGGAACCCTTAGCTTTTAGCTGTGGGAAACAGAGGATCAAAAGCTATAATTTATCCAAGAAATAATACTGGGCAATCAGAGGTTAGTACCTCTCATATTTTAATTCTAACTTTTTTTTTTTTTTAATGACAGAGAGGGTTCCTAAAATCTTTTATCACATTTGCACTAGAAAAAAAAATGTAAACTTTTTCTCTGTTTCTTAATTTCCTAAGCTTTTTGAGGAATGAAAATTTGAAAACGCAGGAAAATGTAGAGGCCTAGAACATAATAGACACATTCATTTCCCAAATGATGGTACTTTGATAGTGAAAGGGGATGGGTCACAAATGGAGATGGGCATAGATGTGTTAGCAAACCTCCTTAGGAAAATGTGCCCTAAAAACAGACCGAGTTTTGAGTCAGTATTAGCTATGTATGCCAATTAACTGTGGAGGCATTGATAGGTAAATCCTATTTCATTAAGCTTCATTTTGAGAACCACAAGTGGTGGAAAGAGAACTGAATAAAGTGGCTTCTTATTCACCAATCTCTGGACTCTGCTTGTAGTTCTAAAGCAAATCATATTTATCTCATTAACCTTTGGCAGGCAGTTCATTTTCACCTCATTTTTGAAACTAAATTGAGTTTTCTTCACTGGATTTTTAAGAAATCACTGTACTAAAATCAAAATACATAAAATTACTTTATCCTGTTTTAATATCAATGGATTATTTTAATTATACAAACACTCCTGCTGATCTGGGTCCTTGTTTCATCGCTAGAAGTACTTGACTCAATATTAGTACATCACTTCAATTGGGCAGATTCTTATACTCGATTGAATGTTTTGACCATTCTCATTCCTATTCTTCTTCCATCCTCTCTAACACATTTTGTTTGACTAAGGCTGAATTAACATGATTTATTGCTATTCAAGTAGAAATTTTACATCACCTTTGCAGACAGAGCAGTTGAGGTCTTGCATATGAAACACACAATTGTCTTACATGTAAGGTCAAAGTAATGAAATATAGATCAGAAGGAGAAATAGCTATATATGCATAAGCATGTTTATTTATAATTCCAAGAGCATAGGTAATTGAATGTATTGCTTGTTCAAGCATTTTGAGGTGTTGGATACAAGCCTTTCTTACTATCTATTACTATTTGATTATTCAATGATGAAGTGGTTATATTTCTATTGCTCTATATACTCACTATAATATTTAAATCTGTTGTGTAAATGACTAAAGGTAAGTACAATCTGCAAAATAGGCTAAAATCTTTTTTATGCAGGATTTTATCTAGAGAAATCCTCATTAACTCTCACCTCTCTGCCCCTCTTTAAGCATAATACTGATTCCTAAATGCTGCAATACCTTTAGGTGGTTTTTTAATCATAAAATAAATATTAACTTATATTCAACAGTTTTTGGTTGAGTGAAATACTCATGAAATTGATAAGCCACAGAGGGTATGTATGTGAGGC
The DNA here is from genome assembly GCF_000001405.40 of Homo sapiens. NCBI lineage: Eukaryota > Metazoa > Chordata > Mammalia > Primates > Hominidae > Homo > Homo sapiens. Next base: position 10,353,022 of record NC_000009.12, read on the forward strand.
AAGGTATATATGGTAATTTGCCTTTTAACAAGTCCCTTAAAATTACCAGAAAATCAAATTTTCAAACAACTTACCAGCTAGTTTACCTGAATTCAAAATAGAATAATCTTCTTTAAAATAATCATCTCTATATACTCGGCTAAATCACAACTTTATATTTGAATTTATTTCTCCCTTAAAATTAGGATTTCAGAGGTGAAGTTGTGGTCATATTAATGGTGTTGAGGTAGTCCTAATGTTCTTACAAAAAACACATCCTCTGTGAAAAACTTACAATAATGGTCCTAGGATAAGAATGGAACCACTAAGGACAAAATCTAATGCTTTTCCTTTTCCTGGCATTTGACTATTTCAGAGTTTGTTTATTCCACTTCCTAACAGCACTTTTCAGTCATCAATATTAATTGAATACTTTGTTCACATCATTATAATAAGAACTATTTTAATTCTAATATATTCTGTTCTCAAGAATACAACATTTCTTACCACTCCTGCCAACCTCTGCATGGGAGAAGAGAGGATTTGGAGGTATAGAGAGGATGAGTAAAAATTTTCAGCAGAAGAGTTACAAGTTTTTAATATAGAGTCTCTTAAAGACTGCAAATAAGATTAGAGAGTCAAAATAATCTTACACTGTTTAAAAATCAAGACTATCCCTCACAAAATGAGAGCAAGCTCTTTAAAATGAATTTAAAGTTTTTAACAACCGTACACCAAAATATAATTTAAACCCTATTCATTAACTTTAAACTCATGTCCAAAAAAAAGGCGTTGGAATAATTTATTAGAAAATATGGCTTGGTAAAATTTTTTCCATGTTGCTTTGGAAAACTACCACAAAACACAACCAATAACTATTAAAATTAAATAAGTCATTAGGAATCTCCAAAGGAATTCACCCATAAAAAAATCAATTGAGTAAATTTTTTACTTATTAAATAACTGAAGCATAAGAAAGACATAAAGAATAATATAGTGAACTTCCATGCACTCAAAACCTAGTTTAAATATGGAATATTATCAATAAAATTTAAATCCACTGTATTGCACTTCCAAAATACATTATCCTCCTACCCTCTCAAGTACTAGCCATTTAATCGGTAATTGCAATTTTCATGCTCTTCCTACATATACAAATATCCCTAAACAATAGATAACATTGTCCAGCATATTTTAATACAACTGGGATCATCCATTATGAATGCTTTTGCAATTTGCTTAGCTTTACCTTTGCAGAATCCATTTAATGATAAACATTTGTTGCTATACATCTTCTATTTATCTTTTATCTCTATGTATATCAAATATTGATAGACATTTCAGCAAAATACATTTAGGATTTTCTAATTTCTGACTGTTAAAAGGCTAAGAGAATCAATCAACTTTAGGTTCAAATTCCCAAATTCCAATCTTGTCCTCTTCATCACTTTTATGAATGAAGCCTCTTGGTTTCCGGTTTTTAATAAATGTGCACAAGACAGTCACATTTGATTCCTACCTCATCGTAGTATTTGCCCCTAGAGATTTTCCTTAAGTTCTTTGACTCTCAAATATGCTTTTACAAGAATGTTTATTGTATTTTACTTAGCAATTTTATCTTCTATTCAGTTTGTATTAAGAACTTGTTTTAAAATACCTTATCTGTCATATTACTAGAAGGATTATATGAGGACACTGATGAAACATGAGGCTACTGCTAGGGTGACGTTATATCTTCATTTCTTTTGTCACTTCCATCTTCATGTCATTTTTTACTGTGGCATGGGAAATGCATCTGACAGTTCTAATGGAGAGAAGGAAAGACATGAGAAGGATGTGTGCCGTACGTGCTTTGTGTGTCTAGTACATATCATAATTTTGCATGTGCTCATGGTACTTTCCTCTGACTTCAGCATGTGTCCCATTGTCCTTGATGAAAATATGCTAAAATCAATTTTTACATTGTATTTGCTAAATAGATGTATACTTCCTCATGCAAGGCTTATAAATGTATTATTTCTCTTAAATAAATTATTCAGAAAATAAATTTCTTAGAATTGTAAATCATTATATATTTCTACTTTGGCAAATTTTATTCTGGCAAAATAGCTCAGTTATTTTGAGCTAGATGTAAAATTCTACAAAATTTTGACATTTACTTCAAAGTTTTTTTCATATAATTTAAGTTATTAAGAAACGTATGAGGCAAAATATGTATCTTGGTATTTAATAGAGCATTGTGTGAAATTTGTCTTCTTGGGATATTAGCAAGCAAGCAAAACTCAAAATGCTATTTTTGGTCAACTAAATTTGGGAACTACTCAAGGTACTCAGACTTCCCAGGTTCAATACTTTGCTAATGTGAACTGTTATATTTTTAAAACATATTGCACCATGGAATGTTTTGTTAACAATTGAGAGCTTATAGAACTTCTGTTCTATAGACGACACTTTAGAAAATACTGCTATATTTCTTTTCTTTTTTTTTTTTTTTTGAGACGGAGTCTCACTCTTATTGCCTAGACTGGAGTGCAACGGCACGATCTCAGCTCAATGCAACCTCCGCCTCCTGGGTTCAAGCGATTCTCCTTCCTCAGCCTCCAGAGTAGCTGGGATTACAGGCATGCACGACCATGTCCGGCTAATTTTGTATTTTTAGTAGAGACGGGGTTTCACCATGTTGGTCAGGGTGATCTTGAACTCCCGACCTCAGGTGATCCGCCCACCTCGGCCTCCCAAAGCGCTGGGATTACAGGCGTGAGCCACCGCGGCCGGCCGCTGCTATATTTCAATCCTTTAAATATATACTTAAAACATAGAGTATGAAAGAAACACTATGATATACTACTCATTTTAACTAGTATGCGAATTTGAGATGTTAAAATCTAGGTAAATATTGTCAGTAGAAATTTAATGATTGTGTCTACTAAGTTAAAATCTAAAGTCGTATTAGAGAGTACACTGAGATGTACACTGGGAATGATATGGACTTAAAATATTAATATCTATTAAGCGAATATATTAACATAACATTCCAAATTTTTAGTTCATTTGATTTCCATTTTTGGTTGTCAGGGTTTTGAGGGAGCTTTAAATAAAAGAGAAAATTGCCTTTTTTTTTTTTCAGGTATTTGTTTTGTTTGTATCAACCAAGCTCTGAACTGCCTGGCCACAGGCTAGTGTGGCTTCCTAAAAGCCTATTCATACACTTCAGAAATATTAGCAACAAGAAGTAAAGTGGTGAAGACAGTGCCTCAAGGAGATTATTTATCTATCAGGAATTGTCTGTTCCATGCTGCCCATGCCAAAGGTCAATCTGATGACTTTACCATGAAGGGATACATAAGACTCACTGAATAGATATTTCTCTCAAATTGGTTTGTTCTATATACTCAAAATGATATTTGAAAATGCTGTCCAGTGATATTTGAATAATTGTTCTGTAGGGTTGTATACTTTTAAAATTTACACAAATTTCACTTATTCTGTCATTGTTAAATAAAACTATATAGGCACTTAATATTCCCATTATGCAGAAAGGAAGACTCAGAAAAAGGATACATAACTACAGTTGCAGAGATGAACATAATGCGTTTTTACCTTAAATCTTATTTTTTCCTAAATTGTGAGTAGTGGTTTTCCAAACATTATGGCTCATGTATTCATAAAAATGTTTTTTTTCTTTTTTCTTTTTTTTTGAGACAGAGTCTCACTCTGTCGCCACGTTGTAGTGCAGTGGCACTATTTCAGCTTACAGAAACCTCTGTCTCCCAAGTTCAAGGGGTTCTCCTGCCTCAGCCTTCTGAGTAGCTGGGATTACAGCTGCCTGCCACCATGCCCGGCTAATTTTTGTTTTTTTAGTAGAGACGGGGGTTTCACCATGTTGGTCAGGATGGTCTCAAACTCCTGACCTCAGGTGATCCACCCACCTCGGCCTCCCAAAGTGCTGGGATTACAAGTGTGAGCCACCACGCCCGGCCCATAAGAACAGTTTTAAAAAGAATATAGGCACCACCAATATTTGTGTACTATTCACTTTCACTTATAAATGATGTAAATATACTACTAAATTATATTAGTGTTTATGTCTTTAAAACAAAGCAGAAAACACTCCAAAAAATAAGAAAAGAAGAACTAGCAAATATAACAGAAACATAAATCCTCATCTATTTCTCCTAGACCCCCTAGATCATTTTATGTACTGAAGCACTGTACACCAGGTATTTTTGAGAACACTGCTTAAGGGTGTGTTTATATTAGATTTTTCTGTGTTTGATTTGATTTAACCATCACAAAACTACATTTTTGAGCACTCTTTACTAGAAAAAACTATTTTCACTTGGATTCGTTCCTTGATAATAATTGGCACTATTATTCAGAATGAATTCTAGTGTTCAATGCCTTGATTTCAGGACTTGGCTTTTACTTGATGCATGTCAAACAGCAAACTATTTAACCTCTGTTCAGTGCCAGTAAAATGGAATAAGATTAGCATTTACATGGTGGAGTTGTGAATAATAAATCAGCTAATACGTATGCAAAGTGCTTAGAGCAGAACTTGGCACATAGTAAATGCTGAAAACATACTGGTTTAATATTAGCATTATTATATCCTTTTGTGCTGGTAGGAAAGTTTAGATATTTTTGTTTCTTTAAAGTGAAAACAAGTTTGTTAGAGAATTAAAGAAACAAAAGAATGGCTACTCCATAGGCAGAGCAGCTGGAGATGCTTTTCAAATAATTTAAAAACAACGACTATGCATAAAGTGCCGGAATAGGCACTAAGTATATGCAATGATGTGAATAATTTTCCCTGACATTAAAATGCCTTGTGATCAAAACCCATGAGGTCACTGGGGACTTTTTGGTACTGTATTAAAGAAAAAGAATTATATAAACAGAAATCAGATGGCTATTCCAAGCTAAAGAAATATTCCAAGCTAAAGCAATATTGACCAAATTGATAAAATAGCAATAATGATATATCTCCAGGTACTCCATAGTCAAAAGCACTAACTACTGTGCTCAATACTTGGATGAGACAACCTCATCAGAAGACTAATATTTAAAATGCAAGAAAGCTACATATCTGATAGAGGACAAAACCCTGATCTGATTATCTAAGGTATCATATTATCATATTTATCCACAAATATGTACATATATTATGTATCTATGAAAAATAGCATGGTGAGATAATGAGATTCTACATAATGAATTAACAGTGTTTTGTCTTCATCAAAAGATAATACTTTTGTCCAGAAATTCTTCAAATACAGAACTAAGCATCTTTAATCATGCTAATTAGCATAAATTTAATGCATGGTGAACCTATTTGGGAATAAAGATAGCAAATAAATAATGTGTAAGTTTTATTAATTATTCTGAATTTTACATCTTATAGGGTATTATAATTTCATTGATCAATGAAGCAATCTTTGTTTTAACATCTAATTACAAATATTAGACAGTATATTTACTTTAGTTTGGCACCCTAGTATTTATGAAACTTTTTTATTAAATAGCTGCAATGTCAATGAATTAAATTTGAAAGATTTATGTCTCTTAGCATCACATTCAAAATAGCAAACTGTCTGAAAAATTTAGAGTTAGAAAAAGATATCCTGTGTTTAATTTGATTATTATATTCTACTATTAGCTCAGTATACACCATCTTAAGAAAAGTACACATATATATATAAAGTTTTTAATCTGAAATATTATACTGTAACATAATTGCATTTTGTGCCCAACAGAATTGCTTGTTCATTTGATAGAAAATTAATATCATTAAAATAAGTCCACTAAAATCATATATTTTGAGCTTCACTAAGTAATGCATATTGTATTATGTTGTATATTGTTTTCTGTATAATTATTTAGTAAACATGTGTATCTTCCATGGTTGCTGGTTGGTATACTGTAGTATGCAAAGGTCATTTGTAAACTCATACTTTGCCATAGAATTCACATCTTTGTTTTAATATTACTATTGAAATGTGACTGGCTAAGTTGTTTTTTCCTTGCCTATGTGTGTATATATATTACAAGTCTAATACCTAATGTCACAATGTGGAACAACGGTACCAATGCAAAAGGATTTTTTTCAAAAATTTGGAAATTCTTAGTTTTATTTATATCATGAGATCTATTGTTAACATTATAATATTCATTGTTCAGCCATCCTTTCTACATAAATTAAAATAATGGGAAGATGTAGGTGCAAAGATTGTGGGTGAACATGGTGTATGTATGTGTGCATTTAATTTTTTTAAGCAAAGTAATACATATATGATTATAAGCCATGTAGTAAAGAAGAGCTTATAATTAAAACAGTTACATCTCTTCTCTTCTTTATTCCCCCAGTTTTACTCCCCAGTTGTAAATATTATTACATCTTTAAGTTGTTTCTTCTGTTAATTTCCTTCCCAACTCTTGGTAATAAGTAAATATTTTAAATAAGGCCCAAAAGCATTTTGTCACTTTTAAATCTCAAAAAATGCTAACATTAAAATGTACCTAAGCTTTTCAGTAACAAGAAGATTTTGGCACAAATTATTAATCTCTTTTCTTTATTTCTGAAAGCAAGGAAGAAAAGCAGTATTAACTGGCAGTGTAATGGGTTGAACATAAATCTCGAAAATATCTGTTTTATAATTAAAAATAATTGTGTGTGCTGCAGCGAACTAAGTTCTGCAGTGTAATTAAACCTATTTAACATACATTAACTCTATAAGTAATTTGCATAAATTATTCTGCTTAACAATTTTAGTGTACACTAGGGGATACTGTGATTTTTATCAATGCATTCTATTCACTGAATGGATAATGATATGGTTTTAAAAGTTGAGATGTAATTATAACCCCCATAGAAGCTCCAAATCAAGAGTGTTACAGGCTGTTGGAATAATTTGCCAAATTACAGGGAGAATTGTATATGTTGTTTTGAAAGCTGCATTTGAATCTTTTATACAAATTTTTGGCCAATGTCAGCTACAGATTTACATTTTTCTCAATGTTCCTTTTCAGATCTATTAGTTCACGTTAGGCTTTTATTAAGAGAAATTGCATTATGCATAGAGTTCTATATAACTATTGTCATAATTTGTCCTACTGAAAAACGCAGATACTGAATTTTATGTGATACATAGTAATATAATAAAACTAGAGGCTGGAAATTTGAGTTCTTACTCTTGATTTGGACACTATCAGGCCAGTCACTCAGAGCAAGTTGGATTATCAATCCTGGCTTCAGTTTCTTTGCCTATGCAACACAATGTTATTGGACTTTAATAAAAATTTAGAAAGGGTATTTTAAGTACATCACAAAACTCATCACAATTAGTTTTATATGCTGCTCCATTTATTTTACTATATCAGACAATGTCATGCCATTGCTAGCCATTCTGCAGGGCATGTCATTGTCTAGAAAAAAGACTTTAATCCACATAACATGTCACATTTTCTTTTGTTCCCTCTATCATTCTCCTTCTCTTCCACTTTGCAAAGGCAAAGTATTGGAAAGGACATAGAGTTGTCAGAGAGTGTGAGAAAGAAGTCACGACATGGCATGCACCAGCTTTTCTCTTGTCCCAAGCAGCCAAGAAAATATTACAGACCAGAAGTTTTCTAATATTTTTTTGAATCCCTTTAGATTCATAAAAATTATTGATGACCCCCCAAAAGCTTTATTTAGCACGGTTTTTAATCTAATGATATTTACTGTATTAAATATTAAAATGAAGATCTTTGAAAACATTTACATTTTGTTAACTGATAAAAGCAATCTCATTAAAGGGTCCTGTAAAATTTGTCATTAAGGCCAGGCGCGGTGGCTCACGCCTGTAATCCCAGCACTTTGGGAGGCCAAGACGGGCAGATCGCGAGGTCAGGAGATCGAGGCCATCCTGGCTAACACGATGAAACCCCGTCTCTACTAAAAATACAAAAAATTAGCCGGGCGTGGTGCCGGGCGCCTGTAGTCCCAGCTACTCGGGAGGCTGAGGCAGGAGAATGGCGTGAACACGGGAGGCGGAGCTTGTAGTGAGCCGAGATGGAGCCACTGCACTCCAGCCTGGGCGACAGCGAGACTCTGTCTCAAAAACAAAACAAACAAATAAACAAAAAATTGTCATTAAGACCCCTTATTTTGAAAGTCAAAAAGTATTGAGAAGATTGGCATTGTTTGACATTAAAATTTCTATATTGTATGGCTTAACAGAAGACAGGTAGATTCTTCCATCTGCTTTCAATCTGTTGTGGTATCTCATGTCATGGAGCTTCTTGAAATCTTCACTGTATACTCATAAGAGAAAAGAGTGAAAAATGCAAATAACCCCCTGGTGTTATCGAAATAGTTTGATGTCACAGATTTTCAGAAAGGGTTTTGTTCTCAGACCACAGTTTGTGAACCACCGATGTAGACAAGGGTACAGGGGTAAGTTACAAAATGCTGTGCTTTGAGTAGCAGAGTGGACAGTTGGGTGTGGGGCAGGAAAAAAAGGGGCTGAAAGGCCAATCCCTGACCACAAGTAGCATGTATACAGTTGTGTCTACTATACACCCGAAATAAGCATTCAAAATGCACAGAGAATCAGTAAAGAATCTGAATTAATTGATACCCATTTCTACTTGGAAAAGAAACAAAATTCTATGTCAAAATCTCTATTAGGAACACTTACTATTATATGATCGTTCATTAACTTTTACCATTCCTGTTAGGTATTGAATAGTATTATACTATTTAAAAGAATAAGAGTCACCACTTTTACTAAAACTCATGATAAGGAACCAAGGTAAGCAAGAATTAAATACCTGCTCATATACCAATAAACTATACTGAGGAAGCAGAGATTAAGGAGAAAGAGCATGGAGACATGAGCAAGGCTCAGAGCAAATTAGATGGGCACACATATTTCTTCTATGCAGAGAACAAAAGAAAAAGTTATCTCTGATTATGCAAAAATGAAGGAAATGTATCATGGTTAAGATGTCAGCATTTTCATGTTCATGTTTTCAGTCCAGGACAGAATCTGGAGAATGGGGTCTTCTCCATCAACATCTAGTCAGCAACTGCCACAGCTTAACTAATGAGATGCTTCAGGATCCACTGGTGGCTGATTTCATAAGAAAATTTGTACATAAGCCAAAGCTTGAGCTAATCGCTCAACAATCATACTCAGAAAAGAGAAACGTACTAGTGAAATGTTTATTTCACTACCATAACAGTAACAATTTCTCACACTTACATGGAGCTTATTATATGTCAGGCATTGCCCTGTGAACTTTGTGTATTTCGGCCCCATTGATCTTCACAACAATCCTCTGACAGAGAAATTTTTTTTTTTTTTTTTTTCAGATGAGAGAATTGAGGAAAAGAGCTTTTAAACCCAGGCAGTCTGGCTCCAGTATATCAAAAGGAACTGAGCAATGACTGAATCTGGGCAAAGCTATACAACAAAAGAATATGTAGAAGGTTTTCTAAAAATTCAATGTCTAGAGAAGTCTACTTCTTGAAATTCTTACTCTTACACACGAATTTTCTCTACCTCTCTCAGAGCACAATCGAGTGATAACAGCTGGAGTAAAATAACTTTGTCAGCCCGGCGTGGTGGCTCACGCCTGGAATCCCAGCACTTTGGGAGGCCGAGGCTGGCAGATCACGAGGTCAGGAGATCGAGACCAGCCTGGCCAACATGATGAAACCCCGTCTCTATTAAAAATATAAAAATTAGCCAGGCATGGTGTCACGTGCCTGTAATCCCAGCTACTTAGGAGGCTGAGGCAGAAGAATCGCTTGAACCCGGGAGGTGGAGGTGGCAGTGAGCCGACATCGTGCCACTGCACTCCAGCTTGGGCGACAGAGTGAGACTTCATCTCAAAATAAATAAAAAAATAAATAAATAACTTTGCCTAGTCTCTTCACCACTGTATCTTTAGAACCCAGAACAATGACTAGTATAGAACAGGCTTTTAATAAATATTTTTGGAATAGAAGTCTGCTATTTATAATGTAAGTTTATATCAGAAATTCAGTGAAGTACAGCTGGAAAGTGAGGTTCTTTGTTTAGTTTTGATTCTCCAGCAACTCTATTATCTATCTGTTGCTAATCTCTAGATTTTCTGATTTATTTTTTCTCAAATTTTAATATTTATACAACAAATTGTGAATCTTGTTAAAATGCAGATTATGATTTGGAGGTTCTTGAATGAGGCCTGAAGTTCCACATTTTTAAGAAGTTCCCAGGTGAGGTCAAGGCTATTGGTCCAAGGACAACTCTTTGAGTATCAAAGTCTTAAAAGTAAATAATAGATATGACTTTCAGCTTTAAGTAAATCAAAATCACTTACAAGTTATAATAAGAAATAGTAAATAAGCCCTCTGTGCATCAAGATTTCTTTACACACTTCCCTTCTTATTTTCACTGTCGCCATTATTTTAGGACAAACTGAAAAGTGACATTTCTCACTGCTACTGGAATTGTCACATGTGATGTTAAATTCTTCAAGCTCCACTTGGGGACATGGTGCAATGATTTGTCTGGATATTTCCAACTGTAAATGTTTTCTCTATGACCTTTTCTATGGATTAAACACAAATCAACACATATTTAACCATTTGAAAAGGCAAGATATCTTACAGTTAAAATTAGAATGGAAAAATGCAAAATCATCCACGTCAACATTTTTTTGGATTCATTCATGATTCCAGGATTTCAATAGATAACCATTGTCCAAATAAACCAATAAAATGTGACCCCTTATGGGTTTTTTTGCAATGAAAAGGTCAGGCTTGATTCCATTCATTTCACACATGTAGATAGATGCTATGGAAAATTTTAAAGAAAGTAATCAGTATTTATTTAGCAAATACTGTTACGATATTTAATTGCTTCTGGACACTATTCTAAGTATTATAGGAATTTTTTTTGCTTCCCAGGCATAACTTCCCAATCAATATGTACTATTATTATTGCCTCCACATTTTCGGGTTTTTTTTTTTTTTTTTTTTTTTTTTGAGATGGAGTCTTGCTCTGTTGCCCAGGCTGGAGTGCAGTGACGTGATCTCGGCTCACTACAAGCTCCCCCTCCCGGGTTCATGCCATTCTCCTACCTCAGCCTCCGGAGTAGCTGGGACTACAGGCGCCCGCCACCATGCCCGGATAATTTTTTTTGTATTTTTAGTAGAGATAGGGTTTCACCGCGTTAGCCAGGATGGTCTCGATCTCCTGACCTCGTGATCCGCCTGTCTTGGCCTCCCAAAGTGCTGGGATTACAGGCATGAGCCACCACTCCCAGTCTATTACCTCCACGTTTTAGGTGACAAAGCCAAAGCACTGCAAAGTTAAATATGTCACCCAAGCTATAGCATCTATTTGATGGGCTAATCAAGGACTCTGGCTTCAGCATCTGTACTCTAACAGCCCTGACTTCACCACTATACAATCTATGCACGTAACAAAATTACACTTGTAACCCATATATTTATACAAATTTTAAAAATCTGTACTCCTAACTGCTGTACTCCAGGCTGCTTCTCTTTATGCATTTCTTAGAAAAATATATTTGAAATTTTCAAAGAGTTGAAATATTCTATCCAACTATATCTTTAACCTCAAGAATCAGACTTCCTCCAGCAACTTACATGTCACAGATTGAATATCAACAAATAATTAAGATATAGAACAATCAGGCCTACAAAATTGCCAGGGAAGTGGGGCATGGTCTTTCTTCTCCATCATATCCCCTGGGTTCACATTAATTTTCACTGAGCATATTCTGCTATAATAAGCTAATCTATTATCTCTATTACCATACGATATCTATATTTTCGTAGCTCACTAAAATTTCAGAATTACATTTCCAATTGTGCATTAGACATCCCCACTTAACGCTGTACAATGGTAAGAGAAAGTAAACATATCAATCTCCTACAAAGATGTTCTTTGTCGAAATAAGCCAATAAGCGCTGTGCTGAATGATATTACCACCTGCTCATTAATTAGGAATCTCAGAGACATCTTAACAATTCTCTCTTTTTTTCTTTATTACATCAAAGTGTACCAACCAATATTAATTTTACCTCAGGCGAGACTACATTAGCTGAAGGACTCATCATCTCTTCTTTGGACTATTGTGGTACCTCCTGACTTTCTCATGGCTCCCAGTTCTCCAATTATTCTTTGATACTCTCCTCAGACAGGCTTTTTAAAACCACATACAGTCTTTCCACTTGCAGGTTAAAAAATGTTAAGTTGTCCACTCTGCTTATAGATTTAAGCCCAAACTACTTAGTAAGGCATACAAGGACATTGCTAACGTAACCCCTGACTATGTTTCCAGCCACAGTCCCAACTATTTCTCTTCCCAAGTAGCTACATCAGCTTCTCACTTCAACAAACCATGCCCTTTAAAATCTTCTTAGCACACACTTTTTCTGTTCTGTCTAGAATATTCCTGTCCATATTTTCAGCTTGACAGTTTTTATTTATTCTTCAAGATGATTCTTTATACTTGAAGTATTTTCCTATTTCCTCAAGTAGAATGTACTTTATCACTGACTTTCTATCGTACTTTAAATGTATTTTCTGAGACACTCCAGATTATCGACTTCTAGCAGGCAAGGGATTCTCTCATAGTTTTTAGAACATAAGAGGAGCTCAGTCAACATTTACTGAATAAATAAATAAAAACAAACCATTAGGTTTAACCAATGGTTTTCTATTTTCTACTTCATAACTTTTGATATTGAAATAATAGTTCAATAGTTAATACTACAAATAATATTAATTATAATAAATAATAGGGCATTTTATCTCCCACATTGCTATGTCAATAATTTCTCCGATTTGGATGGAAAATATTTGTAGAAAGCACAGCAATGAGAGTAAATTATATTAATAGTTTCATAAATCCCCAAAATATCCTCTACTCTGTTTCCATAGTCATGCCTTTCCAGAGGGGAGAATAAACTAAACAGTCAAATGCAGAATGGTGTAGGCTGTTGACTGCCAAGAGAAAGGAAAAGCCATTCATGTTGAGTTCAACATAGATTTCATTATCAGGAATGTGCTAAAAAACACTGTCACTGCTGTGGTCCCAATGTAGGTGGTTTGTCTGACATGTGGGAGGCTCATCTTTGGTTGAAACATGCTGTAGTGCTGCTGATATATGGCTCTGCGATGTATGCTTCCCTATGCCATCTGTAAATACAGGTGGTTCCTGCTTTATGCCATGATCTCTTTCTGGAAACCCAACTGGAGAGAAAACAATAGCAAACATTATTTTCTGTACATTCACATAAACTGCTATGTATACAGAATACGGAAGGCTCATAAAGGTGAGAAAGTTTGCAGTTATCATTTTGACCTCTAGATGGTGATGCTGCTCTGGTTTGACATTTGCACTATAACTCACATTGCTGGAGTTGCACTAGATTGTTGTTCCCAGGACAGCCAAAAACTGTGGAATGAGCACACTATACCAGACAAAGTGGATCTTGAGATAAGCAAAATATAGAGATGTAAAGCAGTGAATTGTTATACTTAAGACTAAATAGAACTTTTACTGATGTATGTAGACTCACAACATAAAATTGTCATATTTGTTATTTTTGCTATTTTTATAATTATAATCATGGGAATTCTAATTGTGAAATACATCTGAAAGTAGATGAGTGATGTAATGAACCTCCATTTGCTCACAACTCAGCTTAAGCAATTATCAAGACACAACCTATCTTGTTCATATTTATTGCCACGTACTTGCTCCATGTTTTGATGCCACATACATACGTGCACTAAAAAAACTCATAATTCTCCTTGGCAAAACTGACTTTGTGAAAACATTTTACTTGAAATCACTCTTTGAAGAGAAGACTATGAGTATAGACTATTAATTTTTGAAAAGAACACCAGGATAATGATTAGGAAGAAGGAAGTTTCTTGGCTTTATTTCATGACCTGGGTGGTGAATACATGGGTGGGTTTGCTTTGCTGTAATTCACCTAGACTTATAACTTGTGTACTTTTCTGTATACATAGTTTATTTTCACAAAAGAAAAAAGAAACAGACAAACATAAAAAAAAAAAAAAAGGACCTGTGCCTTATATATCCTGTCCTCTTGATAGATACAGGTTTACAATGTAGAGTAGCTATTCCTTATTGAAAAATGGAATCACTTAGAGTAATGACAAAAATGTATTTAACTTGCAAGTTAAGAGAGAAATTAAGGAGAAAATTCAATTGTGCCAAAGCCTTCCACTGTCTTTCTTACCTAAAGGGTAACGAAGAAATCCTTGGTGTTTACCTTAAGAAACCCTCTTAAGAGCTCAAGTCATCTTGACCTTTCTTTAAATGGAAGATATAATAATCATAAAAGGAAGAGTTCTGCCCACTTCCTTGCCTACCTCTTTACCTACTGTGTTACCGTTTGAGCCAACCACTGCCACTGGGTTGGTTTGCAGCTTTGTGGGGATACAAGGAACACAAATACTTGAGTAAAATAATGTTGAAAGTTTCACGTCCTGGAAGCCCAATGGGGAAATAAATAACAAGCCAAAAGCAAAATAAAAGTGCAATGATTGTAAAAGTAAAAAGAATTAAAGGAGATAAGTCAATATGAATAAAAGTGAAAAATGAGAAGGCGGGGAGAAGAGAGTATGTAAGAAGCTGTTCTCACTTGCCACAGATGCCTTTCTTTACTACTCCTTTGATTCTTCTCTCCTCTAAGCTCTTAGAGTGTTCAAAGTGTTATTTTATGTCAAGAAAGGCAAAATGGGATACAGACAGTATCTACTCTAAATTCAGACAATGCTTGATTGGAACTTGTAGGAAAGTACTTTACCTCCTTGTGTTTTAGCTCCCATAGCTATAAAAAAGGGTTAAGAAAATCTGCTTTACATGTATATTTCACTTATTAGAGACAAAATATATCAGCACATTGTTGGTGATCAATGAGTAACAGCCATTACTGTTATTATTAATTACTATCATTTTTATGTTTGTTGTATTATCTAACTTATATCTAATAGTATTAGAAATAAGCTAGGGCTATAGCAGGTGTTTTCAACCATAGACAAGCATAATTTGAGTGTAAGCAGAGACAGCCTTAGGGGCTATATGTGCTGCCTTTGACACATATTGGTAAGTTGTCTTTAAAATATGTAAGACAAAAATGATGAGTTTTCCTCTTTATATGTTGTTTTCAGTAGTGTATGTTACTGATATTCACTAATTTTACAATTTACTTAGAAAAAAAGAGAGTAAATGTAATACAAAAAGAAGTTATCTAACTCATAGATAGAAGACCTACAATGTCTTCTAAAGATATCTAATGAAAGACTTAGAAATGGATTTTCTTTGCTAGAGACAGTGATGACACCTTACTTGTCCTTCTATTTTTGTTCTAAGTTCACCTACTGAAATGAAATAGTACATGATGGATAGTAAATAATACCTCTCACCCTTCTCAGGAATACATTCAATGCAATGGGTTTTGTTTAAATCGATAAATTAGAGGTGTTTATTTGAAAGCAATGTCATTAAAGTAATAGAGTTTTAATGCAGGATACAGAAATATTAGAAAGAATACAGAACATTGTAATTGAGTAATTTTAGGAAATTTCTGTCCTTTTAAAGGTAGGCTGTGATTACTAGATATTAATCTCACTTATGGGAAGGAACTAAAAAGACTTATGATCAAGTCTAGCATAATCTTTTCTTAAACATATGATGATGTTAATATTACAAAACTCAGCCTGGGCATAATTAGACCTATTTTGGAATGCTAATGGAAAGACATATGGCAAATCATGATACAAAAATTTACTGATTCATAGAAGGACCTTTCATCAACATTTTTACCTAACTAAATTAGTGATTTTCTTGAGCTTAAAAAGATGAAGTAGCCAGAGGATATGATTAAGCAGCAAAACACACAGGACAGAGCTATTTTACCCATTTTAATGGCTTCAGTCATATCTGTTCTGGGGAATATGTGTTTTTTTTAATTATGTTTGATAAAATTAAGCAAAACAAAAACACAGTGCCAAGTGTCTCAACTTAGGCATGCACCATGGTTAAAAAAATTGTGCTAAATTTGAAGTCAAAAGATGTATAGACTAGTTCTTGTTTCTCCATTTACTAGCTAATAAAACTTATGCAAATTATTTTTCCTCTTAGGGTCCATTTATTTAATGATAAAATAAGGAGTTTAGACCTTGGCAAATACTTTCTAAAATTCTTAGCAGTTTTAACAGTTCAAGATGCCATTATCCTTTATTTTCTATTCAATTAGCACATTGCATCTATTTTCCCAAAAGATCAAACATGAAATGGCAGGTGTGCTTCAATTCTCATAGCCAGGCATCTAGTGTTCTTGTCCTGGTGGTGTGGTGGTAATGGCGGGGACAGAGTGGAGACAGTAGTGAGAGAACAAAGAAAGTAGGTGAGACAGCTGAGTGTATCCATACGAACAGCCACAATTGTAATAGCAAGTACCTAAACACAACTTTGAAAGCCAAGTGTTTTCTAGTATGTATAAGAATGAGGCTAGTGGAAATGAAACCAGATGATTTTTAAAGAAATACCCTAAAAGGAAAAAATTCCTCTTCTAACTATCAGCCCATTTAATTTGGTTCTTCTAAGTAATAATTGCTGACTGCTGCCTAGTCGCCCCATTCTCTTTTTCTATACACTGAATATTTCACCAGACTGACGGCTTCTGGATCAGACAGTAAGTCTTGAAAGCTAATCTTCAATACTTTCCAAAAGAATAGCATTAAGTGAGCTACACAGCACATTAGAATTTTTTAATGAATAAAAAATACCTATCTCTCGGTTAAGTTTTAAGAAAGCATAAATAGCATGTCATATTAAATAGAAACATAGTGTCAAAAAAAGAACAATAATGAGAACAAGTAGTGAGCTTGTGCTTAATTATATGCGAGGCATTGTCCTAATACTATACATATATTATTTCATCAAACTGTCATAGCCATATTATGATGCAGGCACTATTATTATCCCTTTTCTACAGATGTTGAAACTGGGACAGAGAAAGATCCAGTACATTGAATGAGGTCTTACAGCTCACAATGGAACAAAGACTGAAACAAGAGACTTGAACCATCACTTATTTGATGGTTTGCTTATCAGTAGGACGTTGTTAAGTCACATATTTGAGAACATTATTTATTTTCACAGTTCTTATGTTGAAAAGCCTCACTTATCTTTTTCTTCTCATTAAAAATGTAGTGAATGTAATCAGTGAAAGGAAGTATTAGAACGCATGTTCACAAGCAAGCCACTTAACTGTGCTTTACTAAAATTTTCAGGTGAAGAGTGACTGCATTAATTTAATTTTCAGCGGAAGACACTAACGCTGTGAAATATTTTCCTTTCTTGGGGCTATTCTATTTTTAGTGTAAGAATTCTCTGACATAGTACAATACTTACTGTTTCATGTCAACCTGAAAATCAAACGGTTCTATACTAAACTTCTACATGTTTGGCCTTGGGAAACATTTATGTAGAATTTTGAAATACATTGAAATTGAATTAATCAAATCAAAAATTAAATGAAAATACATTTTGAATTGAAGTCTTTCTATGAAATTTCTGCAGACAGAATATTTTACTCATCTAAATATATTTAGAAATCTTCAAAAATATACCATGCTTAATATTTCATAATTAAGAAGCTAGAATTTTTTCTTAAATATTAAAAAATTCTACCTACATGCATCCCTTTTTAAAGTAGTCTGAAAAGTCAGTTTGATGGTCCCATTTCCTACCTAATGCTGTCTTTGATAAAAGATCTCTTCTCTCCTGAGATCACAGATGCAGACATATAATGAGTTTCTCTGTGATCAATAATCCTCACCCCTGGTCTGAGTGAGTGTTCAGAGGAGTTAAACATGTGATCTTTGCCTGAAGTATTTCTGTTTGATGGAATTGGCAGAAAATATGCCTCTTTTCAAAATGATTTTAATATTTTTCTCAGAATAAAATAGGTAAATTTAAAATTTAAAGTTATAATGAAAAGCATTAGTTTCCCTATCCAACCAAATTTGTGCTTCTCAGTGATCATATTTTTCAACACTTTCAGCTTTTTTCTATTATTATATATCTCCATTTTTCTAAATTATAGGCTTATGCTCTTATTGTAAAATTTTGAATGTTAGATATTGTCCACTGAAGACAATATGAATGATATATATTTAAATACCTTACAGTCTCTCATCCACACATACTTGCTGTCTTCCATGCAACCAATATAGTATAGTGACATAACCAGTTGCTACCGAGGGTTTATGCTACTATCGTTGGCTATATAACTGAGTTGAACTGCATATTAGTATTATGTTTATTTTCTTGTACAACTTTTTCCTCACTGTTTCGCTCTATTTTTACATCTTACTTTTCAAATTAATATTGTCACAAACCTTTTGATACCATTTAAAATGATATCTGGTATTAGCTACCAGAGCACTTTGTCCTCCTGCTCCAAACTGAACAAGTTATTTATCTGTCTGTTGAGTCCTCTTCAGAATTCCAGTTATCATTATCTTGGAAACTTCTTCTCTTTTCTCCTGTAATGAATATTCAATTCCCTTAACCCAACTCTCCCTCTTGTCACACTACTCCATTTTGGTGGAGATCATCTCAGAACATCTTCCTGACAAATATACACATGAAGTAAATGTGCACATTTGGAAATATAGCATAAAGGAAATTGATCATTTACATGATTAGAAAGTTGGCTGAGCATATAAATTTAGTATAGAAACCATTTTCTTGGAATATTTTGGGAGCATATGGTGTATGTCTCAGAATTACATACCTACTGCCTTGTACCTCTCACTGTTGCTGGTAAAACAGCTGATTGCATTTTGATTCTCATTCCTGTTATGTGATCTACTTTAACTCTTGGGTCATGGAAATGACCCAACTACTTCTTAGTTGAAAGATGTGATGCTAATGGCTAACAGCTATTTATCAACCACATGCACAGTGGGGAGTAGGGCACAGACAAAGGAGTTTGGAATCCAGTAATGGTAGGAGAAAATGGGGCCAACACAAAGTCAGAGCAAGTGCTGAAAATAGAAAGAAAGAAGGAGAAAGAGAATAATTTTTAAAACAGACTTTAGTACAATACAGTTTTCTTTTCATTTTGAAATTCATTAATAACTGCTTTATTACAATGACCTCCCTTCCTCTCCTTTAGATTTCCACGTATACTTAGTAGTAATATGAAATTATATGATAAATTATTCATATCAATGCCCTCTGTTTTGTTGTTTGCATTATTTGACAGGTTTTGAGTAGGTTGTAAAAGTGCCACATGCCTT
Source organism: Homo sapiens (assembly GCF_000001405.40). NCBI lineage: Eukaryota > Metazoa > Chordata > Mammalia > Primates > Hominidae > Homo > Homo sapiens. The sequence continues at coordinate 10,372,353 of NC_000009.12, forward strand.
TGTGTTTCTGATTAGTATTCCTTTTGTTCCTGGAAGTTTTTGCTTAGATATTTTTGTCATGTAATTCAGGACTTTGGATAGTCAATGACACATATCTGGATTGTAGCTCATACCACTTGTTAGTAAAAGAGTGCCGCCTTGTTCCTGTTTGCCTTGAATTCTTACCTTAAATTTTACTTTGTCTGCCATTAACACTTTTCATACCCATGACATTTTCTATTACCTTTGCATTGCTGCCTTTCCTTTTACTCTAAACTTTTACATATTCCATTACGTCCTAGAGCCTCCATCAGTGCCTGGCTCATGGTGAGTACATAGTGAGTATGTTACAAAATGGATAACTTGTAAGTTCAGTCGCTTCATGAGTTTGCAATTAACTAGCGTTCTTGTTAATGTTTATATGCACAAAATCTCATTACAAAGTGTGACTAGCTTTTAGGCCTAAAGGTAGAACCAAAAGTATGCAAAATATTTGTTTTTATACATTATTATTATTATTATTAATTATTATTATTGAGATGTAGTCTTGCTCTATCACCCAGGTTGGAGTGCAGTGGTGCGATCTTGGCTTCCGAGTTCAAGCAATTCTCCTGCCTCAACCTCCTGAGTAGCTTGGGTTATAGTCACCCACCACCATGCCCAGCTAATTTTTGTATTTTTAGTAGAGACAGGGTTTCACCATGCCAACCAGACTGGTCTCAAACTCCTGACCTCAAGTGATCCGCCAGCCTTGGCCTCCCAAAGTGCTAGGATTACAGCTTGAGTCACTGTGCCCGGCCTGTCTTTATACTTAAAAAAAAAAAAAAAATTGATGAAGTTTACAAAAATTCAACATAAAGCATAATATATCTAATGGGTTAAAAGTGAGGTTAATCTATTCAGACTGTGAGTAAAACCAATAAAAGTAATCAACTTTATAGAGTCAAATAAAAAATTTCATTGCATGAATTGATCTGAATTTAGCCTCTACTGAAAACCTATTTATGTTTTCAAGTAACTTTCCTTGTTCTCTATACTTGGACAGTTCTTGGAATCTAACATTCAGATTATTTTGTATTTGAATACAACTTAACTTTCAGTATATGAGCTTTGTTGGCCTCACTTATATATTTACTCATCATTAATTGAATCATCACCTTGTGAAACAGCATACAAGTGTTTGAAATAAGTAGCTAGAACTGGACACTGGATCATTAGTTAAGCTAATGCCCTTCAATAACTGTGTGAAGTCAAAGGAAAATAGAAAATTGTGTCTCTTATTGCAGGAACCTGAGCCTTTTCCCCAGCTATAGGCACCTTGATGATCTTTGCCTCAATTTCTCTTTTTTCACTCTTTCTCTTTCCAATATCTGTTCTTCTTACCTTTCTTGAGACATACCACCTTTACGCCTTGCCATATTTCTCAGTTTGTGTAAAAATCAGAAGATTTGTCAATACCAAACCCATGTTTCAACATGTCAACAATTAGCTGGAGCTTAGCAGCTGCTGACTCCTGAAGCCAAAAACTACACTCTTCATTTTACCATATTTTATTCCCTATCCACTTCATTTATTTACATTATCATCATGTTCCTTTAGGTTGTTGAGTTCACATCAATCACAGGCATATCTACCTGGTTGGTGTTTGGTCAGATCATCCCCCGAAATATCTGTTTATATCAACATTTTCAGGCCTTAATTTAGTACAAATACTATGCATGCCTCTTTAGCTGTGAGATAGATAAAGTAGTTATGTATAAGTTATGTATAAGTAGGAATCCTTAGGAAAGCCCTTTTGAGGGTCCTCTTTGCAAATACCAACATAGTTATTAGTTATTAAAAAATTTCCCTTTCTGGTCATCAAAATGACTCTTGAATTAGTTGATGCTATAGGCCTTAATGCATAAACAAGTAGAGGCAATTGTGTCAAAATACAGAAGTTTGAATTTGCAGGCAGGTGCAATGTAAGAATTATAATTGTATTTGATTTAAGTGATAGTGCATTATCTAGGGGTTAAATGTGCATATAAATATTTGGCTGCTCTTGATAAACAACATAACTAGTCCAGTTGGCTCTTCCCTTGATACTCTTTCAGGGAAAGGCTAATGCAAAAAGACAAGCACTCTGGTCCGTGCTTGTTCTTTTCCACCCGCCAGAACTTGCCCACGGAATAACTGTCTCTTTCCTGATCATAGGAGCCACACTCAGATGCCTCAGGAACCCACAGATCATCAGATTAATATATGAATTGGAATTGAATTGGAGAACCTAATCCTGCCTACGTTTAGTGTCCTCTCCCTTCATTTTAAAAGAAGTGGGAGGTGGTAATATGAAGCGTGATGCAGTTTTCCACACATTTGCTAGCTCCATGTTCTCTATGATTGGAAAGGACCCACTTGATTAGAAAAAAATGAACCTCTTCTAATTCATAAGTAAAATATACTTCTTCTGTAATCAGTTAATTTTGGTGGGGGGCGGTATATATGACTACTTGAAAACAGTACTGATGTAATTTGTGACCTCTCACTAAACAGTCATTAAAAATTTCAAATTTGAAAATTCACCCTATGCTCAATAATTTGGAACTGCAGTGAAACATTGGGTTACAGCAGCATGGGATATTTATTTCATATAATTGTATTGAACTATGGAAACATAGAAAAACTAGATAAAAACATCTTTGAATTATTGTTAACTACAGGTTTATAGAACTGGGTTGCTTATATTAAAATAGGTTCTTTATGTAAATTGGCTGGATCAATAAGCAAGGTTCAAAGAATCTGAAAAAAATAGACAATTTACTTTTTCTACATGGCAACATAGATATTTTCAGACCACTTCTTACTGGGGCAAGTAACTAAATTTCTAAGTAGAGGCTTGTACTTGCATTATCATGTTGCTTGACCAAGGTGATTTGTATGCTTAAAATTATATACAGAATGCTTTGGGGGATAATTCTATGCATGCAGAACTGGATCTATTTTAAAACTATAAGTCTGATCCTTTTATTTCTTTTTACTGTCTACGTTATTATGTGCATTTCTGGTTCAATTTCCCAAGTTACAAGGTACCTTCATGTCCTCTGAATTTAATAACCATGAGACTACCTAATTGTCATTTCAGCCTCTTTATAGCAAGTGAGGAGAAGATATCTGAAATGTATTTTTAAATATTCTTTAATCAGACATGCGATGAATCCCAAAGCAAAACCATGTTAGTATGTTCTATCTTTGCTAATCAGATTCCCTTGGAAATAACAAAAAGAATAGTTCAGTAATTTAAAAACTGGCACATTATTGCTTTAATAGGAATTGTGAATATTTTATCACCATAATCCCCAATGAATAATTCTGCTTTGTTACTTTCCCTTTGAGGAGAAGAGTACTTGAAGTTATGATATGTGGTGATAGAATATCTGGAAAACCTTTGAGATTTTTTACCAAGTGACTCTGAAAATCTTGGGTATTCTCTTCAGAATAAGAGATAGTGTTCACAATGTGGAGCAATTATTTGTCAAATTTTTCTAAATATTGAGATTAGCTTATCGTGCCCTATTTTGAATTTGCATTTATCCTTTCATTTGTTTCAAATCTGTTGCATATTAACTAGCTTTCTTTTAAGTCTCTAGGATTTCTTCATTAACATAGTATCTTTGCCTTTTGTTATAATGTCATACACTCTTATTCACACGATATTTTTATCAAAGATATTTTACTGACTTGCCTATTCTGTGTAAGGGACTATGGCTGATAAAGTGTTGTTCATCTCATATTTAATGTGCTTCCCTGCATTTTTCAGAATACTTTGTAATTAGGTAAAGGTTATAAGACTAGTTACTACTGATGTGTGATGAGCCAAAATGAATGAAGTCATTTCTTATCAGGTATTATTAATTGCTGATATGCTACCTGTTTTTTTTTCTGTTTCCTGCTGCATTACCTTGGAAACTTTGGATCTGAACAGTGCAGCTACTGTGGACTATCCTGTTCAATAAAGAAACAGTTATGTACAGCATAAGAAAACTAGAGCAAAGGAAAAATTATAGAACAAATATGGTTATTTAAGAAATAATATTAATATATTAAATGCATGCCTTGATATTCTGCTTGCCTTCTAGAGGGGCCTCAAAATTCATTCTAAATTTGTAAGTAGTAAAAATGTATAAAAAGGAAACATAATTCGTTACTTGCTTTATAAAAATAACCAGTTGATTGGAGGAAAGCAATTATTACTGGAATTAAGACAGGCAGAAAATCATCCCCCTATCTCATAGACAGGGTATCATGATCTAAACGAACCTATTTATTCTTCAATGCTATTTAAATACAGAGCCATGTAATTTTGCAGTCAGAGAAGATAATTCTAAAATTTATTTGGTTATATAAATCCTCAAAGCACATGACTCTTTAGGTTATGTTTTTATTTTTTAATTGTATTTTTTGTGGGTACATAGGAAGTGTATACTTATGAGGTACATGAGATGTTTTGATACAGATATGCAATGTGTAATAGTCGCATCATGTAAAATAGAGTACGTAACCCTTCAAGCATTTATCCTTTGTGTTATAAACAATCCAATTATAGTCTTTTAGTGACTTTTAAATGTACAATTAAATTGTTATTGACTATAGTCACCCTGTAGTGCTATCAAATACTAGGTCTTATTCATTATTTTTATTTTATTTGTACCCATTAACCATCCCCCCCTTCCACCCACCCTCTATTACCCTTTCCAGCCGCTGGTAACCATCCTTCTACTATCCATGGCTGTAAGTTCAATTATTTTCGTTTTTAGATCCCACAAATAAGTGAGAAATGTGATGTTTGTCTTTCTGTGCCTGGCTTATTTCACTTAGCATAATGATCTCCAATTCCATCCATGTTGTTGCAAATGACAGGATCTCATTCTTTTTATGGATGAATAGCACTCCATTATGTATAAGTACCACATTTTCTTTTATTATTATTATTATTATACTTTAAGTTCTAGGGTACACGAGCACAATATGCAGTTTTGTTACATATGTATACATGTGCCATGTTGGTGTGTTGCACCCATTAACTCGTCATTTATATTAGGTATATCTCCTAATGCTATCCCTCCCCTCTCCCCCCACCCCACAACAGGCCCCGGTGTGTGATGTTCCCCTTCCTGTGTCCAAGTGTTCTCATTGTTCAATTCCCACCTATGAGTGAGAACAGGCGATGTTTGTTTTTTTTGTCCTTGCAATAGTTTGCTGAGAATGGTGGTTTCCAGCTTCACCCATGTCCCTACAAAGGACATGAACTCATCATTTTTTATGGCTGCATAGTATTCCATGGTGTATATATGCCAAGAATGGCGATCATTAAAAAGTCAGGGAACAACAGGTGCTGGAGAGGATATGGAGAAATAGGAACACTTTTATACTGTTGGTGGGACTGTAAACTGGTTCAACCATTGTGGAAGTACCACATTTTCTTTATCCATTCATCTACTGATGGGCACTTAGGTTGTTTTCAATTTTGGCTACTGTGAACAGTGCTGCAACAAACATGGAAGTGCAGAGATCTCATTGATACACTGATTTCATTTCTTTTGGGTGTATATGTGGGAGTAGGATTGTTGGATCATACGGTAGCTCTATTTTTAGTTTTTTGAGGACCCTCCAAATTGTTCTCCATAGTGGTCGTATTAATTTACATCCCTGCTAACAGCATATGAGGGTTCCCTTTTCTCCACATCCTCTCCAGCATTTGTTATTACAGCCTGTCTTTTGGATATAAGCATTTTAAATGGAGAGAGATGATGTATTATTGCAGTTTTGATTTGCATTTCTCTGATGATCAATGATGGTGAACACCTTTTCATATGCCTGCTTCTTAAATGTTCTGGTTATTTATCTCTTGTCTGATGAGCAGGTTGAAAATATAGTTTCCAGTTCTGTGGGTTGTCTCTTTACTTTGTTAATGGTCTCCTCGGCTGCACAGAAGCTTTTAACTTAATGTGATCCCTTCTGTCCATTTTTGCTTAGGTTATCTGGGCTTGTAGGGTATTGCTCAAAAAATTTTGCCCAGATCAATGTTCTGGAAGTTTTCCACAATGTTTAATTGTAGTAGTTTTATAGTTTGAGGTCTTAAGTTTAAGTCTTTAATCCATTTTGATTTCTGTATAGGGTGAGAGATAGTAGACCCCTATCTCTAGTTTCATTCTTCTGCATGTGAATACCCAGTTTTCCAAGAATCATTTATTGAAGAGACTGTCTTTCCCCTCAGTATGTTATTGGAACCTATATCAAAAATGAGTTCACCATAGGTATATGGACTTGTTTCTGGGTTCTCTATTTTGTTCCATTGGTCTATGTGTCTGTTTTTATTCCAGTGCCATGCTGTTTTGGTTAGTATAGCTGTGTATTATAATTTGAAGTCAGGTAATGTGAATCCCCTGGTTTTGTACCTTTTGCATAGAATAGTTTTGGCTATTCTGTGTCTTTTGTGGTTCCATATAAATTGCAGAATTTTATTTTCTATTTCTGTGAAGAATGTCATTGGTATTTTAATAGGGATTGTATTGAATCTGTAGATGACTTTGGGTAGTACGGACATTTTAATAATATTGATTCTTCCAGTTCATGAACATGGAATAGCTCTCCATTTTTTGGTGTCCTCTTCAATTTCTTTCCTTGATGTTTTATAGTTTTCATTATAGAGATCTTTCACTTCTTTGGTTAAGTTAATTCCAAAGTATTTAATTTTATTTCTGGTATTGTAAATGGCATTCCTTTTTAAATTTCTTTTTTCAGATCAGTCACTGTTGGCATAGAGAAATGCTACTGATTTTTTTTAATTTTACTATTATTATACTTTAAGTTTTAGGGTACATGTGCACAATCCTGCAAATTTAAAGGATTTGTTTGTTAGTTCTAATAGTTTTTTTTGTGTGTGTGTGTGTGTGTAGTCATTAGGTTTTTCCAAATATAAGATCATATCATCTACAAACAAGGATAATTCTACTTCTTCCTTTCCAATTTAGATGAACTTTATTTCTTTTTCTTGTCTGATTGCTCTAGCTGGGAGTTCCTGTATTATGTTGAGTAACAATGGTAAAAGTTAGCATCCTTGTTGCATTCCAGATCTTAGAGGAAAGGCTTACAAAATGGATAATTCCTGAGGTTCATTTAGGTCAGAATTTATTTTTACTTATTCCATATGAATTTTTCAACATCATGCAAATACTCCAACATTTAAATATACTATATTACTAGCATGAAATTCTACTGTAAGTATTTAAAGAAATACATTTTTATGTCTAGTCATTTGTATTCTGTTAAAAAGTATAACAGTTCAAAAAGAATATTTCCTTAAAAAGTATAAGTAAAAATTTCTGCATTAGTTTGATGGTTGTGCCTTAAAACCTTTATGTCTTTCTAACTTATTTATGATCAAAAATATTAGAGAAACATAATGTAGTTTGAACTATGTGGTACATTTCTCACAAATGTGTGTAGAGATTACCAAATATCTGAGTGTTGTTATAGATAATATATTTTGTCTGATTCTTTTTTAGTTAATGTATTTTATTTCTATTTATATACTCAAAATCTTGGTAGAAAATCTAAGACTATTCATTGTTGTTTATATTTTCTTTTTTATCTTTAGAGATGAGGTCTTACTCTGTTGCCCAGGCTAGCAGGCTAGAATGCGGTGGCACAAGCATTACTCACAGCAAGCTGGAAATGCTGGCCTCAAGCGATCCTCCTGCCTCAGTCATCAGAGTGGCTGAGAATACAGGCAGGAGCCACTCAACAATTTCTTTCTTTCTTTTGATAAAGCTATTTTGCCAATTTGATTTCTAATTAACGTTCAAAGAGAACCAAAAAGAAACACATAGAGATGTTGCATTTCTTGAAAGCATAATATCAAAAAGGAAAACGCTGTCTTTCCTAAAACGCTTTGCTATGCAAACTTAAAATTTCATGGATGTTCTTTGGAAATCAATGACCCATGAGAGCAAACCATGTACAATGCATTATGGGTCAATACAAATCTTAAGAATAAAATATGAGAGTAAGATGGTTTTGAACATGATTTTCAATTGCATTTGTATCTTTTGAAATTTTAGGAATGATATATTTAGCTTCTTTGCATCAGAAAGGTTTATTTAGCAGGCCTCTAAAAACGAAACACATATCATAGTACCCTTCACTAATCAGCAAAATGTGTCTTTACTACCACATGACTGAAACAAAAAGTGCCATCATGTGTCCCACAGTTTTTATTCAAAAGGAAAGTACTGTTTACCAATTTACCTTAGGCATTTTATAAAATTGAGGCATTAGTGGAGTATTCTGAAGTCCACGGAACAAAATCCACTAGTAATTGTGAAAAACGTTTGTAAATTGAAATATGAACATAACCATAGAAAAATTATTTCTGCAGCCCTTGTCATCCCAGCTCAAATAAATATCACAACAATTTCCATTTTTTTCCTAGTTTGATACCTAGATATTCTGTGCCATGTATATTTGAGTTCAATTGTGATTAGTCGATTATGCTATGATCAGAATAGTTTTATCATCTTTACCAGTTTGAAAAATGCACTTCACACATTGAAAATAGTTTTTCACAGGTATATTTCACACTTAGTTACTCCAAAGAGAATTGACATATGGTAGTGATATTTAAAAATCCACAGGCTGCTTAGAATGGAGAGAGATTAGTAGGACGCTCAACTCAGTAATCATAGACTATTAATTCAACTAAAATATAAAATAATTAAAATATAAGACCAAAAAAAAAAGACAAAAAGTAACCCAAACCCTGTATTATTTTTTAAATGCTCCCAACTATACATCATGGACGATTACTCACTATCTTTTTCTTTTTTATTATTTTCTGACCACACATCGCCTTTACAAATTTTATCTTTTCTTTAGTTGTGAAGTAGTTTTCTACTTAAACTGCCACCATTTCTTAAGTATTTTAGTTGCCTAGGAAACATACAAAGGTTTTGCTGCAATAGCAGGTATTCATTTAACCACCAAATTCCCTCTGTAAGCCAGATTCATCATTTCTATATTGCAGAAGCCTTCAGCGGAGCACTTGACTGCAGCCAACTGGCTTGTTAGCATATCATGCTTTCAATAGAGTGAAATGGGTCAAACAGATTTTCAGAGATCTTTAAGCACAGAATTATGGTCCTCCCAAAATGATTCAGAGTATCATTTCCTTGACATTCATGGTCCCACAGACCAAGCATCTATTTTGTTTCTGTTAGTCTAACCTGTTATCTGGCTACAAAAGCACACATTAGCACTGGAGAGGGATCACTTTATTCTCTCTCTTTTCAAAGGACATAACTCTTTCAGGAAACTAGGATGTAGTTTACCACATACAAAGTTATCTACAGATTTTTTGGCTCTGTGTGACTTTTATATATTATATTTGTGTAGCACTAGTGTGGAGGAAAATAATATTATGTCATACATAATGGCTTATTATAACTGCTAGGTATTTCACCAGTGGCATTATTGGAGGATAACTTAATCTCTGTAGCTCTCAGTTTTCCCAATGTAAAAAGTGATAATAGTAATATCTAAACCCAAAGTTTATTGTAATATATTTAATTTATATAAAATTATCTCTTTTGTTTCTTATAACAGAGAATAGTTCTACCATCTTCCCAGTTCACAAGTAAGAAAACTGAACCTTTCTTACATCTTACTTCTTATTCTTCAAATCCAGTAAGTCGTCTAATGTCTGCAATTCACTGTCATTGCTATTTCCAAAACTGGTACTTATTTGGTATTAAAGTCTGAGGTTGGACTGTTTTAATTCTCAACAATGATGCCAAACTGATCTTTCTAATACGTAATAGCTGACTCTGTCATTTAATTTCAGTAACTCCACATGAAACTTCAGATTTCTAATATAGGCATTTAAAGCCTTTCTTTTTCAAACTCTTGTTTGTATTCTTCTTCTTATGAGTTGACAAATAAACACATATCAGTCTAGCTTATTGAATTATTTCTAGTTATCTTTATATTGTATGCTTTACTTTTCACTCCAGTGCCTCTGCATTGTAATTGTTTACCTGGAACTTCTGGATTCTAGAACTGACTTGCCATTAGCCATTTTTATTTCCACAACAGAAACATTACCTCGTCTATGAAGAATTATTGAAATACAATCTGAATTGAGTATTCCTGCTTTTATGTTGTAGAATAGGATAAAATAGAGATTATGACAGGTTCACTATCATATACCCATGTCTACTGTCCCATATGACATATATTGAACAATGTTTGCTTAAAATAAAGTTCTTAATCAGCATACCAGTATATATCACAGGATGAGGTTTCATATTAAACAGAATTCATACAAGTATGCCTGATATAGTTAATGAAACAGGAAACCCTAAGATATCTATTTTTATCCACTAATTTGCATGAGTAAAATAAATATAACGGCATTTGTCAAGGAAGATGGTCCCTGCACAAAATGCAAAGCACAAATGATAATAATGGGGCTATTTTTAAATTTTTTATATAAAAGCTTCTGATAGAATCTTCCTTAATACCATGGTGTGGAAGTGTGGTGTAGAGTGAGGAGAGAGACCGTCCCTTTAGTTCTCCAAGGGACAATGAGCTTCTGAATGAGTTGGAAAGTGACACTGATATTTGGATTACTACTGTTAATATAATCACATTGGTATTCATGGGCTAGTGATGCCTTAAGTCATTGTTCATATTTTTAAATAGTCATACAAAGAAGGGACATGGAAACATATTGTGAACATATTCACTTAGCTTGTCTTTATATTTTTACCTTAAAATGATAGAAACCATGAACTTACAGGTATTGGCTGTTAGGCATTATTCACAATTTAAATACCTTCTGTTCAGTTATTACAAACATTCTTATCAGATAAAATGTAACTGTTTTCAAACACTAGTTAAACATCAAGGACCACTATACTCTTTAATAACCAAGCAATTTTAGGTTAAAAAGAGAATGCCTTTAATTAAAATCACCTTTAATAGATAATGCTCTATGCTCAGGCCCTAATGTTCTCATTTCAGTTATGACACATTTCAAAGGATGGGACTATATGTCATGCTTCCTTTGCTCCTTTCTTCTGCAATAAATGCATGGAACTAATGTGGTTGATAAGGCTTATGTTTTACTTCAAATGGAAAGGAGTAAGTTTTTGGAAGACAATTCAGTTGACATCTTCAGCTGTTCTTATTTTAACTCACTTTTCTTTTTTTAATTTCAGGTTGAAAATGGATGACACCTTATCAGATCATCAAAGCACAGTATTACCAGAGTTATAGTGTTGAATGTGTTTCATCTGCACCATTTCTAAGTAATAATTCATCACAAATGACAAGATAGAATCTCTAGCAATAAGATTTTGGGTCATCGTCATCCTATAGACTTCAAAAGAAACACAGGCACTCAAACGTCTGACTCTAATCATAAGTTAGCATAATAGGAACGATGGCAATAGAAGAGTATGTTTAGCTGATATCATTTGGAAATGGGAACATGAGCACGTGATTACAGCGTAAGCAAAAGAAACAATTTATCTATCTTAAGAATATTAACCATAGGTTTAATCTACCAAGGAGTTTTGAAAATATCATTTCAAAATCATTAAAGAGGGCAGGCACATGAAGACAGAGAGGAGAAGGATGGTTACCAAAGACTGAGAAGGGTAGTGCAGGGACTGAGGAGGAGGTGGGGATGGTTAATGGGTACAAAAAAAAAAAAAAATAGAAAAAGACCTAGTATTTGATGGCACAGCAGGGTGACTATAGTCAATAATAATTTATTCATACATTTAAAAATAACTAAGAGTATAATTGGATTGTTTGTAACACAAAGGATAAATGCTTGAAGGAATGGATATACTATTTCACATGATGTGAACAGTATGCATTACATGCCTATATCAAAATATCTCATGTACCCCATAAATATATACACCTACTAGGTACCCACAAAAATTAAAATAAAAATATTTTAAAATGTGGTAGGTATTAGTCTCTATACTTTTTCTTGACTGGGTGATTTCCTGGGATTCATTACAATTTTCTGATTCTATATGATCAAAAATAATAAAAAATGTTAATTGAATCAATAATACATATATTGAGCAAAATAAGTTATTTCAAAAATATATTGAAGTACAATTGGAAGGAAAATACCAAGAACTTTACATGTCTGTGAAATTAAAAAGGTAGGAATGATAGCCCCAATCCTAGTCAACAGAGTAAAATATCACAAAACTTGTGAAAAAATAAAAACGGATTTTTTTAAAAAGTGGAATTAGTTTTAAAAAATTGTATAAGAAATAAGAACGTTTGTCAAAGTTAGATTTAAAAGCAGAAACCCTGTAAGCATACATGATGCAAATTTAAAAACTGAAAAAAGGATAATCTCTAAATTTGTCAGAAAAAAAAAACCTCCTTCTCCATCTTAAAGAGGTACATTTGAATTAAAATATATTGCGAAGGATAATATGATTTTTAACGATGTATAAAATTGTTCTTGTTGTTTCTTAAACCATAACTTAAACTCTGATTTACATCTTAAATGTGGACTCTCACTGGGATTCTAACATCATTCTTAGCCTCAAATATCCACTTCCCTGGCTTCTCCTCTCTATGTTTATAATGTAAATGGCTCACAAGGTTATTTCTCCTTCCTCCATCTGTATCTCTCACCATTCCTAACCTTACGGGTTATTTTTCAATTTGGATTAGTCCCCTCTCACATTTTTACATATTGTAGTATTAGGTTCTTCAAAGCTAACCACAAATACTACTTGTTTTTTTTCCAAAAAGTTTATTACTCCAGCCAAAAGTAAGTTTATTCCCTTTTTAATTTTTAAAGCTCTTTGTGCCTCTGACTGGGAAAATATCATACATATCCTCATGTTCTGGTTATATATGCAGTGTGTATGTGTGTCTTATCTCTCCCACTAAACTTTAAGCTCCTTAAGGACTATTAGAGTCTAATTAATGGTTATTTTTTCTTGTAGGCTTTAGCATGTATTCTTCACAGTGGAGGGTTCCAATCTGTGAATGATGAGAATATAACATATCTCATTCATTTATTCAGCAAAAAATGTATCTATATACTGAGAGACCAATAAAAAAGAGTATACATTTCAGTGATTCTTAATGTAAGTAAGTTCAAAGAATATAAGCTCCAAGTGTGAGTATATTCTCTTTCCTGAAAATGAAAGATGTTATTGTGGAATATGAAGGGCTTTTTTCTCGGAGAGTCCTGACTTCCACTTAACAGCTGTGTGGGCTTGAGCAAATTAATCTCTTTCAGCTTCAGTTCATTCACTTATAAAATATAGATAATATTTCACTTATGGCTTATCATAAATGGCAAATTGCAAATATGAAACTTTCCAGCTTAGTGCCTGACACATAGATGGCTATCACAAAAGAAATGAACATTATGAGATTCTCTGGTGAAAGGTGATAGATGGTCAATAATGTAAATACTAAATTCTTTTCTTTAAAGTAAAGCTTAGAACAATACTTTTTATGATTATAAGAGATAATTATATTTTTTACACATGAAATAATACTAGCAAAAAATCACATATTCTGTTTTATTAAAACAGCATCTTTTGAACAATTATTTCTCTAAGTTGTCATATTTCTTTACCTTTGGATTTTTTTTCTTTAAAAGAAATAAAAATATACTGACCCAATTTTTCGAACTGTTTTTAAAATTGAAGGCATGAAATTCAGTCTTTACTTAGCAAGTGGATTTTATTATCCAGAATTTAAAATCCACTGGCTATGATAAAATACATAGAGTCAAGCTCAGACCCAAGGTTTAGAGCGAGTTTATATTTCTGACTTATGGCAGGTGGAAGAACCACCAACACACACGTACAGAAAGACCTTATTTAGCCCAATGGACATATTTTTCTGTAGAAACAGAAATTTCCCCTCCTTTCCACATTGCTATACAATGGATATTTTGGTCTTCTCATTCTCTCATATTTTAGCCTAACTAGTATCCTGAAGAAACCTTTTCCTATATTTATCTCTTCCTCCATCATCAATCTTTATCACATAGGGTTGAGGAAATGATTTAGGTCTGGAGATAAAGGGCATTGCATTTTGCTGTCCACAGGGACTGTGCACATGAAACAAACCAGAAAATGACAGGTCTAGTAACCAACTTCACGCTAATGGAGGGAAAGACACTTTTCTGTCTCTGGTTGAACCTGAATTTAGGAGGTTGTAGACCATTAGCTGATAGAAGTCATTTTGCTGCCTTTTAGAAATTAAGAACAAAGCCCAAAGACCAAAAAAACAAAACAAAACAAAACAAACAAACAAACAAAAAACAGAGAGAGAGAGAGACAAATAAAAGAAGAGAGAAGAGAGACAATTCTACAATTCTGTGTTAGGAAGAACAATGGATCCCCAAAAATAGCCACACCCTAGAAGCTGTGAGTATGTTATATTAGGTGTAGGGTGAATTAAGGGTGCAGGTGGAATTAAGGCTGCTAATAAAATGACATTAAGATAGAAAGATTATCCTCTCAGGTCCAATGTAATCCCAAAGGTCATTACAAGATGGAAGAGGGAGGCAGGAGAGTCAGTGTCAGAGTAATACAATATGGCAAACACTCCATCAGTCATTGCTGGTTCAAATGTGGAAGGGGGCCATGAGTCAAGGAATGGGGGTAGCCTCCAGAAGCTGGAAATAGAGAAAAAAATAAAAAGATTGTTCGCAAGAATCTCCAGAAAGGATCACAGCCCTACCTATACCTTGCTTTTAGCCCAGTGATTCCCATTGCTGAGCTCACCAAATGTAAGGTAATAAATTTGTGTTGTTTTAAGGCACTAACTTCGCAGTAATTCTTTATAGCAGCAATAGGAAACTAACACAGTCGTTTAACAATTTGTACAGTCTCCAATAATGCCTGTGTCTTTTCAGTGACATGAGCCATATGTTTTTTCTTTATGTTTTCTAAGGTTGATGCCTTATAGTTTACTAGTTAGGCACTACAACTAAGTACAGGTTAAGGAAAAGGCTTTACTGGGGAAATGTGTAAGTGAGGATTCAGTTATATCAGAAGGCATAGGTCTCCTCATCCTCATTAGCTTCCCACTGTGAGGCTAATGGGGCTGGCTGAACACAGTAAGAGTAGGTGTTCTGGCAATGGACCTGGCCTCGCCTTTCCTCCCTGGGAAATTACATTGTGGATCCACTTCACCAGGTCTTCTCCTCTTGCTCAACTTTGAATAATACATTTCCCCAGTAAAGCCTATTACTTAAACCATACTTTGTGTCATTGTACAATTCACTCTGAGAACTTGGTACATGACAAATGAAAGCTTCAAGAGGACTCACCTTGCATCATGACAGCTTAGCACATTTGAGACCATTTCTGTCATTTACAGCTGAGCTAGTCATTACTGATACCTGTTGAATACGATTTAAAAAAAAAAAAAGATTTTGTCTTTTTTTTTTTTTTTTTTTTTTTTGAGAAAAGGTCTCACTATGTTGCTCAGGCTGGTATCAAACTCCTTGGCTCAAGCACTCTGCCTGCCTCGGCCTCCCAAAGTGCTGGAATTACAGGAGTGAGCCACTGTGCCCAGCAATTTTGTCTTCTTTTTAGAGTTGTCTCAAGCATTGATCTTAAATTCTCTAGAGTACACTGGGAACTTCACTGATTCATTCCTTCAGACAACACAATTCATTAAGCAGAGAATTGCAACTTACATGCTAAAAACATGATAAATACCATTTCTCTCCTCAAAGAGTTAATGGATTAAAAGGGAAAATGGAAATGTAAATATAAATTACAATGCAATACAAAAGATGCTATAATATGGGTATTTGTAAGGTAAGGAAATAGGAAGATAACAGAGAAACGTGTGATTCAAAGATATTAGCTTTATATAGAATCTGGACTCAACTATCATTATTCTCTTCCCAAATGGAAAGGAAGTACATCCTGAGATAAAATGATTAAAAAGAAATATGCTTCCTGACTAGGGAATACAAGTCTGCATTTCTTGGCAGGAGAAGTGACTAAATCTGTCAACTCAAGGAGAGGCTTGACTATAGTAGATGCTTAATGAATACTTGTGGAATGAATGTCTAAATGGATAATTAGCAAAAAAAAAAAAAAAAGCTAATGGTGCCTAAATGATCTTACTAATCAGTACAACTAATAAACACATGCATTTTGAAGTAATTTATATTTATAGTTAGAAATTAAAATATTATATTGAATTTATCTTTGACAAATAACATACTATAATGACAAAAGGAAGGCAGAGGCTTTGGACTTAAGAAAATTTGCTGCAGACACCAGCAAACCTGGGTTTGAGTCCTGCCTATTGATCACTGTGACCTTAGTCATGTCACTTAACTTTGATAAGTTAGTTTCTTCCTCTTTAAAAGTAAAATAATGTTGGAACCTATTCTTTAGGAAGTGTGAGGAATAGAGGTAGAAATGCATTTGAAATACTTAGCAGAGAGACTAGAATTTAGTAAGCATTCAATAAATGTTAGCTCTAATAATAACCAATTGTAAGTATTATCCATAGGAAAAAAGGTGTTAAACATCAAATGAAATTGTATAGAAGTTGAAAGATTTAATCAAGAAAAATAATAACTTCAATATAAGTATTATTATAAGAGATCCCATTGGAGTAATCATTTGTTGTGATTTTGGCCCATATGTTTATGTCAGAGAAATGGAACGTGGCCAAAGATTTTCAAATAATTGTGTAAAATTGCTCCTGTTATGTAAAATTAATTGAGGCCTTGCTTCAGCAGCTGTTATGTGTACATAGAGGCTGCAAACCCTATTAAAGAGAATGGTAACCATATAATCATGTTTTTCACACATTATTTTGTGCTATCACAATGAAAGGTTTACAAATAACAGTGACTCATTTAAATATTATTGACACAATGAAATGCTCCCAGTGTGAGAATTACTCCCTAGGAATAGATCTGACATTTTGGAAATTAGATGATTTCTTATCAGAGTGCTATTTTAATATAACATTACAAACTATTTTTCAAGATATCCCATGTTACTGATAACCACTCAAGCTAAACATTTACACTGGTCAATGCCAGCAATCCACACACAGTAATTTGGCATCACCTGTAACTGTTCCCTTTGTTTCACATAGCCAAGAAGTCTTCTATAAACACTTCAAAAGTATTTTTGTGAGACAAAATAATTCATATACATTATTTTGTGTAGTCTGCACTGTATTTATATCTGTAATGCAGATAAATAAATCCATATTCAGATGGTTAAAAGACATACAGCCAAAATCATAGCACATGACCTCTGTTCTGACTCCACATCCTTGATTTTCTCCATACCACTCATCATTGACTCCACCTCCACATCATTATAATAAATACCACATAAAATACTTTACAAACATGCTTTCATATTAGTTCGGTTTCTCCATGTAATTTTAAATTTTTAGCAGTCATCTATTCGAGATCCTTCTTTTTTTCTTATCTTATTTGACTTTGAAGGCACCTTTAGAAGTAGAAAACAGGTGGAGCTTACCATTGCTGACAAGGGATATTGTGATCTAATGATTCCATTATTAATTAAGAGAATCTATAGCTTTTACAGTCAATGCACAGCTGATAATTAATGAGCTCAAGATAATTTTCTGTTTTTTCTTTAGATGACTTTACATGGCTCACAATTGCAATTAATTTTTTGATAAATTGCCCATTAGGAGCAAATAAAGAAAATATTGTGTACTGTAAGGACACATATACAGTACAGATTAAACACAACATAATTTCATATAAATCATTTCATATGCTGTATATCTTACTTATCTCTGTATTATAGATAAGAACAGTGACATTCAAAATAGCTAAAAGACAACCAAAATCATACCATGTGGTCTTAGACTCTGCCACACCCTTTGCTTTCACCACATCACCTCCATTTCATTATAATCAATACACCACAGACATAATTTAAAATCCAAGTGAGGCTCAGCTTGGCTGCCTCATCTCTTCTTTTCTGGATTAACACTAGCCTGTGAAGATACTGGTTACCTGAGAGTCGGTAAAGGCAGTTGAAATGCAATTCTTCAGAGAAAACTGTTAAAAGGAGGCTTATTTCTGCCCACGAGTTTGCAGTAACAGTAGTCCTCTCCGAAAGAATGCACATACTGTATGTGAAACCTAAGATAATCTCAATAGAGTGGTCAGTGTTTGACTATGAAGCTTAAGGAAATCTGGAAGAATGATAATGAAATCATTTTCACTTTTTGGCCATGACCTCTCAGATCAGAACATACTTTTCTCTTCAAGATGGGGAAATAAGTGCAAGAAAGGGGCTCTCTGAGACTAAACACTTCTAGGAATATAACAATTTCTTGGAATAGACTAATTCCCCAGGCTTGCTCTTATCTGATTTATTCATATGACACATGTCTGCAGGTTCTAGACTTGAGCCTAAACTTATTTTGCTAAGACATTTAATATGGATCATGCTATAGGCTTTTGGGCTTAAAATAGACACATAAATTTCCCAAAGCATTATAAAATTATTGGTCCACTACCAACATCTGTCAATGTCCCCAGCTAACAGTCACCAGAAATAAAATGGTTGATGAAGTTTGGTCCCTTGACTTTACAATGGAGGAGAACACTCACCATGGGGAACTGTGCAGTGTCTCACTAAGAGGCTGTTAGAAAGAAAGACCCATTACAGTATTGGGGATTGTGTTAAATTACTTGGGGAAGCATTAAGTAAATTAGGCCTTTTCTCTGGATTGGATGCAGTTGGAAATCAGGAGTAATTCTCTTTTTAGGTATCTTAAAAATTATTATATGGAAGGCAGAGAGAACAAAGAAGGCCAAGCTGTAATTGGTAAAGAAGCAACATATCAGGATGAGAGATATTTGATTATTTTTGTGGTTTGGACAATATTCACATTATTATCTACATTAAAATCTGACAGTTTTCTTTTTGTCTTGATCCATCATAGTCAGAGAGGGGCCTAATATAATGTTTTTCCGTTACATTCTTTATGCTCAACAGAAGAATAGCCTGTTGAGCATGGTCTAGCCTTAAGTGTTAGGGAAACTTCAATTATCACAAAGGAATGGCTGACAGTACTAGGGCAGTTCCTGTCTGTTAGAAGCTGCTTATTTTTCTTATAGTTAAGACAGATATGAATGCCTGTATAGTCAATAGTAAATCTCTGTCAACATTTCCTTTAAAATATACCCTGAGTATAACCATTGCTCAAACCTTTCCTTGCTCCAACCTTCATCCAAGTCAACATTACTGATTACTTGGACCTCTGCTTCTAGTGGGTTCCCCAGAAAGTTCTGTCACCATTTAACAGCAAGAGTGGTCTCTTCCAATATAAATTAGAATATTTTACTCTCCTGTGCACAAATTCCAATGGGTTCCCATTGCCCTTAGACCAGTATCCAGATCCTTACTGTGAACTTACTCATGGTTATTTCTCAGATATTTTTTCACTGCTACTCATGGCATCTTGGGTTTCTGCACTTGCTATATCTATTATCAAGAGTTCTTTTTCTCCAGGTCATCACAAGTTTCACTTCATACCTCCTTCAGGTTTCTGCTCAAATGGTCACCTGTTGGCAAAACCTTCCTTAAACTCTTTTATGCCTCTTCCCTTCCCTACTACGTTTTATTTTTCTTCTTCTTCTTCATAGCATTTCATCACTACTGTATTTAAATTATTTATTTGGGTATCTATTTATTGTTTGTCTCTTCTTCTGTAATGTAAATTCAATGAGGCCCAGAACTACATCTGGCCACAGCTGTATCCTAAGAGTTTAGTGCATTTTCTATCGTATAGCAAAGATATAATCATGCATAATGTATGTATCCACAATATGGATTTAGTCACTAGCCACATGAGGATCAGGTTGATTCTATGGTTAGGTGGCATTACTTTGAATCATATAAAACTTCTTTCTGCAAGTAAAGAAGGTTACATATTAGTCATTTGAGATCACCTGATTAGATAAGAATTCCCCATTACCAAGAATCAAAGGGAGTCAGCCCCATTCTGAAGCAGACCAATTTGAGGGATAAAAACTCTACTGCATGAAATGCACCCAGTTATGTAACATCATTCCTTATTTTATTTAATGAATATTTATCCAGAATGTTTCACCTCTGCCTTTTACACAGTGCAGTGAATGTAAAAAGGAATAAAAACCTTATTCCTTCAAATAATACACTGAGGAAAGATGGCTACACAATATAATATGGGATTAAAATGCCCTTATAGAGTTAGAGCATGCATTTTAATGGGAATCCAGAGAAGAGAATTCGGAATTCTGCCAGAATATTATGTCTTATTTGAGGTTTTATGAATGAGCAGGAGTTCACTGAAAAAACAGAAAAAGGATTGGAGGACCATTCGGATGGAAGGAAGAACATGGGCAAAGCTTGGATATGTAAGGGAGCATGTGCTATTTTGGAAGTACAGACATTTGCTGGAATAGAAAGAATGGAGCAGATTTCTGAGGCCTTCAGTGGGTGGAGTAGGCAGGTCTTGGTATAGAATCCTGTGATTCATCACAGTGGGGTCTGCTGGATTCTCAGTCCTCAAAGTAGCAGAGCAGAGCAGTCTAGGAGCTTTGGGAATTTGGACTTTCCATTGTGAGCCATATTCTAGCTGTGTCAATACTCTTACCCTGAACTCCTGATGCTCACTCCTTAGCCTTTCCTATACAACAGTGTTTGTAGTTTGTAGTGTGACATGCATAGTCACTAAAAATTTGTCTATCTTTATGCTCAAAATATCCATTATAAAATATTTAGATCTGAAAATCTTTGATATAGTGTCCATAGTAATAAACTTCTGTAGCAAGTGAATATAATCACTAGTAAAAAATGTACTGACAGAAAAAGTAACAATTGGTCTGCTATTTTGTGTGTGTGTGTGTGTTTGTGTGTGTGTGTATGTGGTCAGAACCAAAGAGAGCAGAAGCTATGTATGAGTACATATTTCTTATGATCCATATCATAATGAGATTAATACATTAGACCCATTTCTTTCAAGGTTCTGATTTATATTTGTTACATTAGTTTCCCTTTGATTTCAAGAAACATGCAAAAGAGAAAGAGAAATGTATAAAATAGAAACTGATGGGGCCAGGTATGATGACTCATGCCTCTAATCCCAGCACTTTGGGAAGCCAAGGAGGGAGGATTGCTTAAGACCAGGAGTTCAAGGCTAGTCTGGGCAATATAGCAAGACCCAGTACTTATTCTGCAAGTATATATATATATTAGAGAGAGAGAGAGAGAGACACTCTATTGGGTCTTGCTATATATATATAATATATATAATATATATATAATCAAATATATAAATACATATAATCAAATATTTAAATAAATCTTATCTAATCAAGTGATCCCAAATGACTAATATGTAACCTTCTTTACTTGCAGAATAAAGTTTTATATGATTCGAAGTAATGCCACCTAACCATAGAATCATCCTGATCCTTATGTGGCGAGTGACTAAATCCATATTGTGGATATATACATTATGCTTGATTATATCTTTGCTATATGCTAGAAAATGCACTAAACTCTTAGGATACAGCTGTGACCAGATGTAGTTCCAGGCCTCATGGAATTTACATTACAGAAGAAGAGACAAACAATAAATAGATACCCATATATACATATTATATATATATATATATATAGAGAGAGAAACATATCTATCTCTCTCTATATATGGAGATATATATACATATATATCTTTATATAAAGATATCTATATATATAGATATATATACATATATATCTATATATAAAGATATATATAAAGATAATATATAATATATATTTCTATTTCTATTATATATAATATATAGAAAATATAACCATTTGTCTTATATAAGTAAAATTCTCATTTGCCTCAACATACTTCTTTTGAAAACTTGAAATCTAGTTTAGTAACTTAGATATAATTTAAGGTTTCAACAACTGGATCAAGCCCTTATCTTGAATAATTTGGCAATAAATGAATAATGCCTTCTTCTTAGTTAGGAACATACAAAGGACAAACACTATCACTTAGTAGCAGTATGATCTTAGCAAAATTTTCTATCAACCTTTTTCATCAATAATAATAATTGCTACATAAACTAAGTTGGAATGTATAGAAGAGAATGCACACCATGAAACCTTAGGATGCAAATAAATTTCCAAAACCACGTAGTCTATCCAAACACTCTTTAAGTGAGTAACTCGCACATCCTAATAGTCACTGAATGTCATGTGATTAATAACCTTCATAAAAATAGCCTTTTGTGACATCTGGGGCACAATTTTATTTACTTTAAATAGTAAATGTACAATGATTTAAAATAAGCCATTTAATAATTTAGATTTTTGATTTTTGTTAAATAGAATAAACGTCAATATAAACTTTACAAAATAAAATTAGAAACTTGAATGATGTAATCTATTTTAGGTACCAAGATGGTCATTCCAAAGATAATGCTTTTATGGTGCTGATGAATGTGGATTTAATATGCATTTACTGAATCAACTTATGTGTTGCCACCATTTTTTCTTTTTCTTTTTTTTTTTTTTTTTTAGTCAGCTGTCAGTAACACTGGGTTCTGCTGCCTGCACTTTATCAATAAACGTGTGCTCTCCTACCGCTTGGTAAATGCTGAGAAATGTCTCTTAGTGAACCTCTATTTCTGCAGGCTTTCTTTTTATTATTATTATTATTATACTTAAAGTTCTAGGGTACATGTGCACAGCCTGCAGGTTTGTTAACACATGTATACATGTGCCATGTTGGTGTGCTGCACCCATTAACTTGTCATTTACATTAGGTATATCTCCTAATGCTATCCCTCCCCCATCCCCCCACCCCACAACAGGCCCCAGTGTGTGAGGCTTCCCTTCCTGTGTCCAAGTGTTCTCATTGTTCATTTCTCACCTATGAGTGAGAACATGCGGTGTTTGGTTTTTTCTCATTGCGATAGTTTGCTGAGAATGATGGTTTGCAGCTTCATCCATGTCCCTTTTACAAAGGCTTCTGCAGGCTCTCTAAAGGCAGTCACCATGCCCTTTATTTCTTTCAAAATACTATCATTACTGAAAAAAACTTCAATTAAACTTATCCAATATACGACATTGTGTCAGGTTTTAGGCAAAGCAATGAGAAATAAGATGATTATTGACCACAAAGATATTAACGTTTTGAGAAACAAATGTATATATAACTAATGACTAATTGTTGTCCTGCCATCCCATAGATTGCCATTCACCTCTCAGGGCCAAATTAATGATATTCATACACATAAGCTGATCCACAGGGGCCAAATAAGTTCTCCCTTCCAAAGATTTACACTTGTGCATAGGAATCCTAGTTTTAAATACCTGAATGAAGTGTAATAATCACAAGTGTGGAAGGAAAAGGCAAACAAAACAGTGAAAAACGTGCAATTTCCAGGAGAATAAATGAATTGTTTGTTCCTAGAGAAGGATCTGGAAACACTGTGGTCCTGAAGTAGCAGAGGAAGAAGAAGGAAGAAGAAGCCACAGAGGGACATAGAGAGAATGAGAGAGAGAGAGAGAGAGAGAGAGACAGCGAGAGACACAGCGAGAGACAGAAGGAGAAAGGGAGAGGGGTAATGATTTCCTGGTGCCTTTAGAACGTTCCAGTTTTCAGTTCCAATCCTTCGTGAGCCTGAATGCATCCCTGTGCTTGGACTCCATGAAAACCCCTCAGATTGTTATACCTCCTCACCTTTTTATACTCTATGTAATGCAAGATGGATCCTTTACTTACAAATGATAATTTTAGTTGAAACTAATGTGATATAATAAGGAAATTAGGACCCTCTAGACTTTATCTCAGAAATAGCAAGTTTATTTTACTTTCCCTGAAATCTTCTGATCATTGTTAAGGTGGAGGAATGAGCTATGCTTTAGGAGGGAGATGCTGAGGTAGCCTGCGGGAGCTGGCTTGGCAATAGACCATGTAATTCTTCAGGATCTATTGGCCTATTGGACTCAAACTGTTGGGAAGGGTTGTAAAATATGTTGATTATTTAGGATCTAATTATCTAAATTATTCATCATCCTTTCTTTTTCTTCTCCCCCAGTTCTATTCTTCTGTCAATTCTTTCAAAACTAGCTTTAATCCTATTAATCCCTCTGCCAGATTCTGGGAAGAGAATTAGAGAGACAGTGTAACTGAAATCAATCCATCTGGTTAGCTCTTAGACACCTAGTAAAAGATTTGATGGAAATACGAGTAAAGCACCTTCTTAATGAGATTTGGGAAATAACTGCAGATTTCATTTATGTCTGTTCAACCTGACTAATGGGGAAGTATACATAACAATTGCCTGTAATGCAATACTGAATAAAACTTGCTGATTTTCCCCAGGGACACTGTAACTGTTCATTACTTTACACTGCAGTATAAATTGGCCCAGTGGGGAGGCAGGCATAGATTGAAGGGAGCTGTGAACAAAATTACATAGCTAACACTGCAGGCACCTCCTCCATACTTGAGGCCCTGGAATCAGGCTCTTAATACATACAGTCAAACAATCTTTCTGACAATTGCAGGTCACATACCTAGCTACACGTCTGGGGAAACTACAGGCAGGTGTGGGGCTCTTACAAATAGCTTAGAAATATATACCACTTGCTCCCAACACCACCACTGGGTAACTAGTCCAGAAAATGTGTCTCCTTTATAGGATTAACAGCTTGCTATCTCTCTCGAAAAGGCAACAATTTAAACAATATTCAAATTGGAAAAAAATTAAATGTTGACAGGAACGTTCTTGCATTTGCACACCAGATTTACCAGTTAACACCTATGTGACTTGTCACAAATTAACTACTCTATGTTGCAGTTTCCATAGCTGTATAATGGACATGATAATGGTACATCCGTCAGACATTTGTTGTGTCAGTTAAACAACATGTAAGTGTCCCAGCAAGTAACTAGGTCATGAAAGTGCTGTACTTGTTACCTAGCAATGTTATTGTTGTTGTTGCTCTTGACAACCTATTATAATTCTGACCTCAATCCTTTTGTTTTTGGAGAGGGAACAAGGCAAAATGGAAAATAATAGTGGACTAATCATAATTGACACAGTTTTAAAATTATTTACATATATAGTCATGCACTGACAACAAACAGCATTTCAGCCAATGACCGACCACATATCTAACAGTGATCCCATAATATTATAATACTATATTTTTACTGTATCTTTTATATGTTTAATACACAAATACTTACCTTGTGTTACTATTACCTACGGTATTTAGCACAGTAATATGCTGTGCAGGCCTGTGGCCTAGGAGCAATAGGCTTCTAGAGTGAAACCTACAAGTGGTGGGAAGAAAAGGGGTATTTGAGCTGGAGGATGTGTAACTAAGAAAATGGATTATAGGCTATACCATATAGTCTAGCTGTATAGTAGGCAATATCATATAGGTTTGTGTAAGTACACTCCACGATGTTTGCACAATAACCAAATCATTTAACCATGCATTTCTCAGAATGTATTGTTGTCATTAAGTGACACATGACTGATATTAATTAGGAGCAGGTAAAATTAATACATTAACTGAATTGTATGCATCATCCATTGTTCTACCATCTCTCAAATCAAAACAATATTTTCTGGCCTTCCTCTGCTTGTGTGTTTAGCAATTTATATAATATGTTAACCAGAACCAGGTGCAGTGGGCTCACACCTGTCATCCCAACACTTGGGAAGGTGGAGGCCAGAGGAGTGCTTGAGACCAGGAGTCTGAGACCAGCCTGGACAACACAGCGAGACCCTGTCATTACAAATATTTAAAAATAATTAGCCAGGCATGGCGGTATATGCCTACAATCCCAGCTACTCGGAACCTGAATTGGGAAAAATTGCTTGAGTCCCGAAGTTCGAGGCTGTAGTGTACTATGATTGTGCCACTGCACTCCAGCCTGGACTACAGATATGTCTATATCTATATCTATATCTACCTATATCTATATATATATTTGTATAACTGTATTCTTTTACTATAACCCATAACCCATAACCATGAGAAAAACAGCTTTCAATGCATTTTGCTAATCTTTCTAGTGAATTATTAAAACTGTGGGTGGACCTGAAGACTTCCAAACTTTATAAGAACCTACTATGTGCTAGATATGGACCCTGGCACTATAGATATAAATACAAATGAAAAACATTTTCTTCCATAATGCTTCTTATAATTCAGTGTAAAAATATATTTCCAACTAACTTCACCGTGTTGTTATGAGGAGCAGAGAAAGTAATCGGTATTAGTAGTCGTGATAATAATGATGATGATAAAAATGGCGGCCACGTATGCATATTGTGTTTTTAATATGGAAGACCTTTTCAAAGTGCTATCATATAATTATTACAACAATTCTATGAGGAGGTTATTTTCATCCTCATTTTAGAAGTGAGAAAACTGAGGCATAAAAGGAATAAATAACTTATCTAAGATCAGACTGCTAGGAAATCATGGATCTGAGGCTTTAGGCTATTTGAGCCAAAAATTGTGCTTGATTATCTCCAACATGGGAATCTCCTAACACAGTGTCTGGCATGATGAGAATGTCTAATAAATGTCAGACTGATTTCTCTTCTGTAGGGTCTCATTCAGAATATTATCTGAAGTGAGATTGAGAGTGGTTGGCTCCTGCAGAGATGAGGTCTTTACTTAAATATAGAATGATTGTTAAGAAATATGATATCACCAAACGAAATATACTCATCAAGACCTGTGCAGGAAGAAACTGAAAGATTCCTAGATTTGTAAATTAGAGAAGGATTGCAAAGATGAGACAACTGATAAAGCTGTATTTATCAGAGAATGGGAAAAGCTTAGATATACTTTTTTGATTTCAAATGTTTCCACTGTTAAACACTTACATATCAATGCTTTGAAAGCATAGACGCTCTAATTCACAGGAAACACAGTAGTGGTTTTAAGCAGAAATACAACATTAACATTAGAGTATATTTTTATTCAAAAAAATCCAAAACATTTTCATAAGTGTTATTTAATACAACAAACACTGAGTTCCTAAAATGTGTTCAGGCAGTGGTGTAGATGCTGAAAATATAAAGAACCACATGAAACTAGTTTTAAGAGGCTTCATGAAGCTATGCATGTTCTTGAATAAAAATATCTAGTGATGGTATAATTCATTAGAAATAGATATGAGGGGCATAAGAGGACAAGGTTACCTATACCTATGTGGAGGCTTGTTCAGAGAAAATTTCAGAGATGAGGTGACATCTGAACTAGTTTTAAAAACTGATCAAGAATATTTAGGCATATGATATGTGGGAGAAAGATATTCTAGGCAGTGAGAATCTAAGAAAGAGCATGATATATTAAAGAAACTGAAAATAGTTCAGTGCTTCTAGAGTGAAACCTACAAGTGGTGGGAAGAAAAGGGGTATTTGAGCTGGAGGATGCGTAGCTAAGAAAATGGATAGGAATGGGACCCTAAAAGACTTGTGCGCCATTTTAAAGATGTTATATTTATGCTGTTGGCAATGGGAAACCATAAATCATTAAAAGTAGGGGAGTAACATCAGATTTTTATTTCAGAAATACTTCTCTCTCAAAAGTTACATTTTAGAGGAAAAACTTAGTTATGTCCTATTTTATAGAGCATAACTCCGATATAGTGGTTAAGCATGTGTTCACAGAAGCCAGAGGAAATACATTCAATTCTCGTCTCCTTCACTTATGTAGTAGTCAGGCAGGTCAACTGAAGTCTGTGTGAGTTACTCTTCTCATTTATAAAAGAAGGATAATAATAGTGCTCACTCACAGACCTGTTGTAAGAATTAATTGAGATAACAGATATTAAGTATTTACAACAGAGAAAGTCTTCAATAAATGGGGTTAATTATTAATGTGGTTATTATATTATTACTATTATCATTTTCTCTAGTCAAGACAAGTACTTTAAATTTTAAAATAAATACATTTTTTCATGTAATTAGTTGACTTATTTTTCTTTATAATAATGTAACTCCTTGTGTTTTTGCAAATTGGTAACAGGTAAGCCATAGCTAGCACCAAAAGTAATAATGTTACTTTAAAATGCATTCACTGGGGATCAAAGTAAAAAATGAAATAAATCTGTAAAAATCAGCTTTAGAATTTGCATCACTTCAGGCAAACTAAAACATCAAATGGAATATTGTTGAAAATTTAGCAAGTTTGAAAGGATTAGTAAAAAATTCCTTGAACTAAAATGTCAACTGAATTTCTAAAAAAAATAATAATAATCAGAGTAATTTTAAACATATTAAAATTATCAAAAATGTTTTTCCTATTTCCTTCTTAGTTTTTACTGATATTATATTTTAAAATTATATATTATTGTCCCTCATAACCAATGATCTGATAGTTTACTTAGGAGCTAAAAGTGCATTCAGTGTTATTTATCTATTTCTTTGTGTTTCCTTTGTATTCAATGCTATTTAACTATTTCTTTGTATTCCTCCAATTCCTTTCTTTACTCCTTAAACATATATATTCAAAGACTATTCATTACAACTACAATTATTTCCTCACAAATCAATTTCCAATCAGGTCAAGACCCAATAAAAACTTTTATTGCCTGTTCTCATAGGCCTAGATGTTTAACTAGATATTAAATATAAAATGCTTTGCTTGGCATTTAAATTTAATCCTCAGTTAGGTACCTTACTCTACATACCAATTTTTAGTTAGAAACTTAAAGTTTCTCTCTAAAAATGACCGTTTTCTTTTTCCGCTTGTTCAATTTTGCCTAAAACATCTTACTTTGCACTTGCAATTGTGCTACTTTATTTTATTTAATACAGCAGTAGCATCGCTGGAAATAATAAATTTTTCAAGGACAGGAGCTAGGTTCTGTCTTGCCTGAAGTAATTTACTTGAAGTGATCTCTAGATGACAAGTCTATCAAGTGGACATTAGCTGGAAAAAGGAGTCTCTTGGGAGATAGTCCAGAACATGTCTTTCCAATGGGCAGAGTATCATTCCTAAACGGATAAAATTGGTTCCTATGGCAAAAGGTATTAGATATGAAAATGGTGTATGGCCTTCCAAAAGCTCACAGTATGTAAACAGGTATATATAGTATATCTGTGGTGTAACAGTATATCTATAGTATTAAATTATATATATAAACAGGTACATACAGTATGTCTGTGATATAACAGTATATCTATAGTATTAAATTATCATCTAATACTATAGATATACTGTTATATCACAGACATACTGTATGTACATAATAAAATGGCATTCAGATATAAAAAATAATTATCATCTAGAATTTCTTCCTTTGTATGATTACAATGGGATACTCAGGATAATTTACAAAATAAAAATTTCATATGTGTCCTACCCCCATAACAGCATATGTAAATATGAGGCTTTTTCCAAGTTTCTTTAAATTCCTAAGTTTGAATCAAACCCTCACTTTAATATATTTACATCTGATAATCATATTTGCCAGTTTATGAATTTGCCCAAAATAAAAAGTTTAAATGTAGAAATTGAACATATTCCAGAGATACAGCACTGGAATAAAACACCCTATAAGAAATCCAATTCTAAAATGAGATTTGAAAAATATTCATAAAGTTTAAAATCAGAGTAAAATGACTGTGGTTTTGAAGGGAAAAAAATCAAAAGAAAAAGGGTATAAAATGTAAATGGTGTTCCTATGTAATTAAAGAGCAGGTACTAGGCCAGCCACTGTTTCACAGAGCAATAAATACTTAAATATTATTTAGATATCTTCAGATTGTCTTATGAACATGCCCATGCAATAAATAGCTACATGGGGATTTATGAAATATCTTGAGATTACAGAACTGACAAAAATATTTATAACAATTATACTTCTATGAACTCTCTGGGATTCTGAAGGGAATCATATTCCAATTCCTAAGATATGTTTTAAAGGTCAAATTTAATCTGTGATTCTAACATTAATGCATTTGGAAATATGTTTTATATCTACTGAGCATCAGATTATAATTTTAATTTTAAGATGAGAAAATAGCAAATCCATAAGGCAAAGTAAAGCATTCATTTAGTATCTGAAGATTTCTGAAAAACATCTTGTGGTAAAAGTCATAGTAAAATATCTTTTTATTAACTACAGTATACATGAACATAAATGTTGTAAATTATGTTATCCCTGACAAGAATATCATTATCCCCTCCTGAATTTACATAAACTGAAGAAACTAAACTAAATAAATGAAATACCTTAGTTGTTAGCTTGACTAAATCATTTTTCCCAGCCTAATTTTGTCTATCTCTGACAGATTTCAATCTATGTTAAACTCATCTCATTTTATTGAAACGGAATTTTCTAAGGTCTCCAGTCATCTAATGTGGGAAAAATACCAAGGCCTCTCTTTCTTTCAAAACCATGAATGTCTTTATTGCCTTGAAGCCTAAGGAGTAGTAGGCTTTAGACATTTATTACATTTCTACCTAGCCATTAGATCTGTTTGAATTGGTGTGCTTCTTTCGCTTTTCACCGCTTCCTCACAGCACATCAATTATTTAATTCTTAGAAACTACTGAAGAAACTGGTAGGTAACTCAATTCTCAGCCTAGGTTCCCCACATCAACATAAATAGTTTCAGTCCAGCCATACCAATATGTATTGCCATAGATTAGGTATAGAAATAAAGGTGCAGTTAAATTTTTAATAACTGAAAAACAAAAGCAAATATAAAAATAAAGCTTTGGCCTTAAGCACTTTGTTTTTCCATTTGCTTTTGTTTTTCTGTTATTTGTGTGTGTGTGTAAATATATATATATATATATATATATATATATATGAAAAATGTAGTGAATGATCAATTTCCTAAGGTCAGTCTTGATATTTTAAAAAGTTGTAAAGATTGAATGAAAATCTAAGTACACAGAAAGGATAAGTTAAACCATGCTTTAACTATTTTGAAATTTTAGTTAATTAATTTTTTTAATTTTAAATTTCAAATAATTTTTCTAATTGAATAACTCTTCACACCTATTAGAATTGACAAAATCCACTGACTCAGCAAATGCTGGCCAGGATGTGCATTAACATGAACTCTCATTCACTGCTTTTGGGAGAGCGAAAAGGTACACTTTGGCAGTTTCTAACAGAACTAAACACACTCTGACCATGGGCTCCAGCAAGTGAGCTCCTAGATGAACAATAAACAAATTGTAGTACATACAGACCATGAAATATTACTGAGTACTAAAAGGAAATAAGATATCAAGCCATGAAAAGACAGGGAGGAAAATTAAATGCATAATACTAAGTGAAAGCCAATACAAAAAGGCTACACACTATATGACTGTAACTATATGACATTCCGGAAAAGGCGAAACTGTGGAGACAGTTAAAAGACCAGTGGTTCTCAGTGATTAGGACAAAGGGAAGGATGAATAGGCAGAACACAGAGGATTTTTAGGGCACTAAAAATACTCTGTACGATACTATAAAGGTAGATACATGCCATTACAACATTAGTCCAAATCCACAGAATGTACCACAGCGAGAGTGAATCCTAATGGAAACCATGGACTTTGGGTGATAGTGATGTATCATGTAGTAATGACAAATCCACCACTCTGGTGGAGGATGGTCACTGTTGGACAGGCCATGCATACGTGAAGGTAGACAGTGTATGCAAACTGTACTTTCCGTTCAAATTTTGCTGTGAATGTAAGACTGCTGAAAACAATAAAGTTGACAAAAAAATTTAAAGTAATAAATAAATAATAAACAAACAAACAAATGCAGAGCTGAGATTCTCAACCAGGGGTGGTGGAAGGTGGTTATAGATTTCTAAATAGTTGTTTTTCAGTTTCAAAGCCTCTGCATTTTCTTTGTGAAATTGTTTAATATACACATAGGTGATTTTTTGACTTTTTGAGAGAAAGTTCAAAACTTTCATACTTTGTTCCAGAACAGTTAAGAACCCCTGCAGAGAGATAGTCAAGAGTTATTGTATCAGTTCTTATTTGTATTATTTTAAATGTTATTTGATTTTTTCAAAAGTACATAATCTTTGTTAATTAAACAGTTTAGATAATCATAGTACACAAATGATGTTCATTTATAAATACAGCTCTATTTTAAACTTAAGCCATGTTGGTGACACGTCCAAAATCAACCAGTGACCATTAAATAATGACAAGTAGCAATTATTGAGTATGAACTTCTAGAAATTATCATTTCATGTTCTGGCATCTTATTTGGAATATCAAACTGTATTAATAAAATCACTATTAAATATTAAATCTTAATAACAGGACATTTTTATACCTGCAAGTAGAGAAAGCTCTATAGTTCCCAAGCCAATTTCAGATCCTCAGCACTGACAAACATGTATCAGCCAAAATTTGTGTCTACAGAAACAGGTCTAACTTGATCTTTGTTGTAGTGAGCTAGGATATGACTTTCTTCCCTAGCCTTCTAAACTACTGAGGAGAGTTGGCTAGTAAAAATGAGAGAATAGCAATGATGAGATAACACTTCAATCTCATCCTCCACAGCCATGTGTGAACGCCACTAAATACTGTGGCAATGGAAAGGGCCAGCTTCAGACTGATGTAATTTCATCCCTTCTTGCTTGTGAACAATCAGAAGAGCAATCTCATCACATGCTTGGATTAACCAACAATTAACTGGCTATCGGCATATAACTGGCAGGCAAGTCCTAAAGAAACTACAAAATTAACCTTCCAAAAAAGGAACTGGGGTCAGCTCTTAGATAGATTCATGTCAAAATGCCAGACCATTATCTTAATAGAGAGAATTTTGCAGGAATCTAAAGCCTTCGAAAGCTACCATGCATCTTGGTTTGATTATGGCATTATAACAAGTAAGTTTTTCGTTTAAAATAATTATCTTGTTTAACAGACAGTGACATGGAATTTTTACTTATATTTTCTACAAATCTGTTAACAAGAAAAGTAAACTTTCTGGTCCTGGAGGGGAGAAAATAAAACAGATAATAATACTTCAACCAGTATAGTAGAGCAAGGGTTAGGGAAAAACACAGTTGCCACAGTACAACATATATAGAATATGATTAATTCACTAAACAAGGAAATAAAATAAAAGCAACTGATATAAATAATTTTTATTCTGCTCTGACTGTCTGGTTCAGAATCTTCTCAATCACTTATATATTAGTTTATACTGCGTAAAAATTAAAGAAGTGTATGTACAGAAATTTTGTAGTGATCCAATAACAAGCTTATATCTGCAAATAAATACAGTTAAATGGAAACTCAATAATATGGACCAAAAGAATAACTTCAACTAGTAAATATTAACTAACTTAACAATAAGATGGTTTGGTGAAGCCTAATTACATCAATTCAAGGGAAGACGATAGGCATCAAGATTTTATTAAAATAAAATTTAAAAGAATTACTTTATAGGAATACATAATATAAAAAAAGGAATAAAAACTTAAAGATTGGACTACCTCAAGTGTTGAGTTCTACAGCATATTAATGCTCTTAAACTATATCAATGTATATTATTATGTGAATGTTATAAGGATTAATCACAAAATGTTCTTGTAAACTATCCATTATAAGATACATTAGCTCAGATCAATATTTCTTGGAAATAGAAGATATATTCTAATGTATATTAATTAGAAATTACTGATGTTACTAGCTGAGAAATATTGAATAAAATATTTTCTCGGCTAGAGAAATATTCCTCTAGCTGAGAAATATTGAATAAAAGCAGAAATAAGGATGATATTTGTTATTTATATATGATAGTTATAATTTCAGCAGTTCACATAATTTAAAAAGAGAAAATTTTATTAGTTTATTCATCTAATAAGTAACCATTTAAGTTACCATATAACCAGATTTAATTATAAAACTAATATCACATTTGTACAAAATACCTAATATTATAGTGGAATAACAAACGAAAATTGAAGAAATAGTAAGAATGTATGTCATGTCTACACAGATTTCATAGTATTCATTTGCGTAAAGAAAAAAGTGAACTGTGTGTACCCTATCAAAAATCTTGACAACATTCTGACTTTGGAAATTAGAAAAATGCATCCATACCCCACAGAGCAAGCATCACCTGTTCTACTGCAGGAAAAGACACCATAAAATATAAAACAAAATATCTGCAACCAACATGAAACACATTGCTGGTGTGTAGAGGTCTGCCCATATACTGTAACTTTAGCTGTAAATATCTATGACAGAAGAATTTTCACTTTTAGCATGTGTATATCAATTTTCTCTAAAGGTGGTTTCAATTTAATCAGCACAAAATCAAAAATGAGAGCCAGATTTCACATGTCAGCATGGGTGAGCAAGAAAAATAGATGTAAAAAGATTTTGAAAATTGTTAGACTAAAGATGTTCATAGAGTCCATTTCAATCTCACGATCTCACAGGATCCCTGTGGTGAGTGGAAATGGCAACAGACAGGAGCAATCACCTATTTACTGATTTACTAGAAAAATATATGGTCATCTTCAGTGGTCTCAGTAGTTACAATAAATGGGCAATGTTCAATTATTTTTGTATTAATGTCATCAGACCATAGACACAATTTCCTATAGTATTTTCTTAATGTTTACTTACAAACCCATCAAATAAATATTATAATGCCCAACGTCTTCTCACCAACAAATTTAAAAAATGCCAAAATATCTCTGATACCGGGCAGACATGCAGATAAGTGGAAACTTAATTATTGGAAAGAGTCTGAAGGTTTAATCTATGATTATAAAATTAAAATAAAAAATATTGTTCTATATGATTATGTCATTATACCCAATAATGTCTTAGGCTATGGATTTAAAATGAATATGGTGTGATAATTGGATGAATGTTATATATACACATAAGAAATGCCACTCAAGACACACAGATGTGAATATCTTTGCGAGAATATCCTCGTTTTCATCATAATTCTTATGTTGAGTTTCATTTTATTATAAACTTCCATGTATTCTAAGTATGAGATTTTGAAAAATGGATGAAAATATATATCCTACCTACTAATATAGTTGGTTGGCTAGCACCATTCCTAATAGAAATCAGCTGCAAACAGCTTTCGGCACACCAAAGTTTTCCTTAGGTAGAAGAAAGGTTAAACTCTAAGTCATAAGGTTTACAACTTTTTAGAAAGTTGCCAGAAATTCCCAGTGATTTGGCCAATACTCTTCTGTTTAGTGAACTTAGTTTACTGATGATAGGGTTTCTATATCAGTATGTTTAAATTCATGACCTATTTTGATAATGGTGGCATGTATGTATAATGATTTTTCTAATAAAATGGTAACCTGCTAGATTACCTGCTAGATTTCTAATAAAATGGTAACCTGCTAGAAGGAAATTGTATTTTGTTCCAGAATGCTACATACTGCAAATGTTTCAATTTTTTTTTAAATTTTAACAAATTAAAATTTGTTTTGGATATAAATTATCAACTCATAGTAAGACTTTTTCATGGGGAAACTTTTGGAAGAAGGCGATGATTTCTCAAAAGCTTATTTTATCTAATATGTTACATGTAAGATCTTATATGTTACATGTGTATACATATCACACATGCACCTACATATATGGTAAGACAAGGGGTAGAACATTATAGTTTACTATGGTGATGAACCCCATGGCATTTCCCTGCCTTGTTATCTTTGCTTGTGTTTCTTCTACCTTTCTTGTGACTCCGACTTATCTGAAAACAAGTGACAACCAACCTAAGGTTCTGGTTCCTGTAATGATTTTGGACCAAGAATGAAGCCTTCCTAAACTGGGTATTTTTAAGTCTCTCTCTCTCTAGAATGTGGTTATGGGCTAAATTCTGCTTGTCTAGGTCTCTATTATTTCCTTAGAATAATACTATGTGAAATTTGGAGTTAGCCTGCTATGTAATGCTATAATCTTTCACTATGTCCATGGATAGGCAAAGAGCTGACGGTCTGTAATAAAAAAGCATCTTAAATAAGAAAGTAAATTTCAAAGATGGTGCAATGGAATCTCAGTAACTTTCAATGACTGCACAAGTTCATCCAGCTAGGAATTAAGGCTAGGAAGAGAAAGCTGGTATTTTTTAGGCTGATTTGTATTTTATCACCCCTGCTTAATCTAATGTGGACCTCTAGAATTGCATTTCTAGCTTTGCCAGATAATACTTCTATATATATTAGTTTCCTCTTACAGAGTATAGGTCCCATGAAGAAAAGTGGCAGGCATGACTCTTCTTTGCATGCTACTGGTACTGTATTTATCGTGTAACAACTTGGGTTTAATCCTTGACTCCCTCACTTGGGCAGTGTGTTTAGTCTTTCTAAGACTCAGTTGACCTTTCCAAGTTTCTACACCTTAGAACATTGAGGGAATTACAGAAACAATGTCAAATGCTTTGCAAGATACCTGGAAACTTCAGTGCTCAGTATATGTTAGATATTGTTATTTTCATCCTTTTGCTCATTAGCATTTATAAAGTGCTTTGACTATAAACCTGTTCAATAGATATATGCTGAATATTAATATGAAACTAAATTAAATGTAAGACTATAGATCAGGAATTGTCAAGCTGCAGCCCATGTTCCAAATCTGGCCTACAGCCTGTTTTTGTACCTCCAAGAAGCTACAAAGGGTTTCACATTTTTAAGGGATTATAAAAATAAAAACAAAGAAAAATACGTAACATAAATATATGTGGGCTACAACACACAAAATATCTAACTTTTTAAAGAAAAAGTGTGCCAACTTCTGTTATGCATATAGAGTATGACTTGTTAAAAATATAGAAATATCTTTTGATGAGAAAATCTAGAAAACTCTCCTGATAAATCTTTAGTATGATTGGGCACCTTTCTAAAATTTATAAAGTTGTGTAACTAATGGTATAGCTTTAATAAGCTGATATCCTTTCTTACAGTTCCTTCCCTCTCCAGTTAATCCTTCATATTATGGTCATACTAATCACCCTAATAGCATCATTGTTATCACATCACTCAATTTGTCAAAAATACATCCATAAATATGAACATGACTAAAGAATTGAGTTTAAATTCTTTCACCAATATTTAAGGCTAAACTCTTACTCACTTTTAAAAATTTATCTCCTACCTTTCTAGGACATTTATATGGAATACCAGTTATACTCTACTCTTAATACTACATTTATGCATATACATTGTGGTTTTAAAACATGACCACATCATACTTGACACTTTTCTCTTTAAATAATAGAATCTCATTTGCCTTTATGTAGGCCAGGTGTGTAAATTTGCTTCTAATAAATACAAATAGTGGAAATGATGTTATATTGCTTTCAAGGTGTGTTTCTATGAAGACACTCAGAAGCGGCCCATAGAGACAGGATCTAAGGCCTCTTACTAACAGCCAGCACCACAATACCAGCCATGTGAGTGAGCCATCTTGGAAGCAGATTTTCCAGCCCCATTCAAGCCTTCAGGTGACTGCAGCCCTGACTGACATCTTGACTACAACCTCACAAGAAACCCTGAGCCAGAAGTGTTCAAATTAGCAGCTCCCAAATTCCTGACTCACAGAAACTGTGTAATTAATAAATATTTATTGTTGCATCAAGCCACGAATTCTTGGGATAATTTGGAATAATTATATAGCAATAGATAATAAATATAATATATCAATGGATGCCATGATAGAACAACTTTTGATTCTGTTTTCTCTTTATTCAAACCCATCAGCTCTGATAGTTCAAATAAACTTCATCTTCTTTTCTAAAGACTTTCATTAAACAAATGTGCTAATAACCAGGTAATTAACTGGACATATTTTGTGTATATATATATATATATACACACACACACACAATATATAATATATATAATATATATATAAAACATAAATTTATGATATATTTTACATATTCCTCTCTCTGCATCTCTATCTTAAGTCTTCAACCCAAACAATCCTCAAAGGGCAGAGGTTTCATAATATGACTCTCAGCAGTAAGCTAGGACATCTGCTGATAGTTTGCCTTTGATAATTATACTTTAATTACACTTATCAAGATGGTTTATAGACACAAACTGTTGATGTAGTGAATGTCTCCAAAATTTAGGGACATTGATACACACATAATAAAAATTATAAGACCATTTCTTATGTATTCATAGCTTCTTACATCAAATCTATTTAAATAACTGAAAAAAAGTACTTGTACCAAGTGACATAAAAAGGAACAGTCATTGTTAATCTAAATAATAACATTGATTCAGACAAAGATTTATCTTTAAATAAAACCATTTTTCCCAATCTTAACAAGTGTGATCAATAGATATAAAAGTAAAGAAGTGTAAGAGTTTGCTCATTGGAAATGCCAAAACCAACTAAATTTCACACACTGTTTTACTGATAATATGAATGAGTGGTTAAGACTAGTGTGTTTGGAATCAGTCTGCCTACGTTTAAATCACAGCTAAACTTACCACATGAATTACCCTCCATGTTAGTTAGCTTTTCCAGGCATCAGTTCCTTATCAATAATATGGGGCTGAGTTTTATTACCTTCATTTAGGAATAAATAAGAAAATTTGAGTCAGGCACTAGTACGGAGCCTGGCACATGCTAAGAGATCAGCAAATGTTTGCCTGTTACCTTTTTAAATTTATTTACTTTTACTATTTACATTATTGTTCAGAATGAGATTAACAGTAGACTGCCATGACAAAGAATTTGAATGATGTAAAATTCTAAGTGAACTTCTAAGGCTTTTAAACTGGTATATTTTGTATTTTTCAATAGGCCTCTAAATCACCTAATGAGAAGAAATTGTATCCCAGACCAATTTTGAAGGATACTACTACTTGGCAACCAAAATCCTTTAATCCTCTTGTAGTAAAGGAATTATAACTTGTAGTTGACTTTCCAGTTAGGAACAGGATTTCCCAGTTCATCATGAAAGGATGCAACCATATGTCTAAGTTCTTATCAATAATGTATAACTGAAACATGTTTAATTTCTCCTTCATTTGCTTAAGAGGAAATTGTTGACTCTGCACTTCTGCTCTTTGATGCCCAGAATGGTGATATTCAGAAAGTGTTGGAAACCTGTGTCTTAAACTTGGCAGATTCACCATCATCCTATGTTCCTAAATTAACCCCTTGAATTAGACTTACTTGCTGATTTGCTATATTGTGCCTGAATTTGCAAACAGGTAATAAACAAATTGCTGTAGTCATTTGCTATTTGATTTTTTTTACTTATTAGCTACTAATTATTAGCTACTAATAATTCTTTAATATACCCTATATTAGTTTAATAGGACTTTATATAATCATTAGTAATTGCAGTGGCCTCTAGGTAAAAAAGCTGAAAATTATTAGATGTTTAATGATTATGATCAAGTTAAAACATTAAAAACAAACTATTAAATATCCCATATAATCCATATTTATGAATAAACTTGGGGTAAAACCATTTCAAATATTTATGATGGCAATTAAGAATGCATATGGATGAAAAGTACTTAAATTGTTCTTAATATAACAAATATACTGTACTTCAAAATTAGCATGCATTTAGACCTGCAACTATAAAAATGAATTTCATAACTTTTTTGATGTTTTAATGCTGAGTGTCCATTTCATGATAAATTCTATTCATGTAAACTCTGCAGTGCATTAGAAACAGCCTGAGGGAAGATTTGAAGCCAAATGAGAAGAATTTGAAGACTAATTCCTCAACTTAACATAAGCTATACTAATAAAGAAGAGAGAAGATCCAAATAACATAATTAGAAATGAAAAAAGGAATGTTACCACTGACCCCACAGAAATAAAAATAACAATTAGAAACTACTACGAACATCTCTATGCACACAAAATAGAAAACCTAGAAAAGATGGACAAATTCCTGGACACACTCACCCTTCTAAGACTGAATCAGAAAGAAATTGATTCCCTGAACAGACCAATAATTAGCTTCAAAACTGAATCAGTAATAAGTAGCCTGCCAACCAAAAAAAAAGCTTAGGACCAGATGTAGTATTCATAGCCAAATTCTACCAGACCTATGTAAAGAGCTGGTACCATTCCTACTGAAACTATTCTTTAAAAATTGAGGCTGGACACTTCCCCAGCTCATTTTATGAGGGCAGAATCATCCTGATACCAAAACCTTGCAGATATACACACACGCACGCACACACACACACAAACACACACACACACACACACACACACACACACCCCTTGAAGCCAATATTCTTGATGAACATTGATGCGAAAACCCTCAAAAAACACTTGAAAACTGAATCCAGCAACACATCAAAAAGCTTATCCACAACGATCAAGTAGGCTTCATCTCCAGGATGCAAGGTTGCTTCAACGTACACAAATCAATAAAAGTGTGATTCATCACATAAAGAGAAGTAAAGGCAAAAGCCACATGATTATCTCAACAGATGCAAAAAAGGCTTTAAATAAAATTCAACATCCCTTCATGTTAAAAATTCTCAATAAACTAGGTATTGAAGGAACATACTTCAAAATAATAAAAGCCACCCATGGCAGACCCACAACCAACATCATACCAAAAAGGGAAAACCTGAAAGCTTTCCCCTTGAAAACCAGGACAAGACAAGGATGTCCTCTCTCACCACTCCTATTCAACATAGTATTGAAAGTCATAGGAAGAGCAATCAGGCAAGAGAAAGATATAAAAAGAATCCATATAGGAAGAGAGGAAGTCAAACTATCTCTGCAGATGACATGATTCTATATCTAGAAAACCCCACAGTCTCAACCCAAAAGCTCTTTCAGCTAAGAAACAACTTCAGCTAAGTCTCAGGATATAAAATCAATGTACAAAAGTCAATAGTATTCCTGTACACCAACAACGACCAAGTTGAAAGTCAAATCCGGAATGCAGTGTCATTCACAATTGCCATGTAAATAACAAAATACTTAGAAAAACAGCTCACGAGGGATGTAAAAGATCTCTATGATAAGAACTACAAAATATTGCCCAAAGAATCAGAGATGACCCAAACAAATGGAAACATACTCCACGCTCAGGAATAGGAAGAATCAATATCATTAAAATGGCCATACTGCCCAAAGCAATTTACAGATTCAATTCTATTCCTATGAAATTACCAATGGCATTCTTCAAAGAACTAGAAAAACTATTTAAAAATTTATATGGAACCAAAAAAAGAGCCCAAATAGCGAAGGCAATCTCGAGCAAAAAGAACAAAGCTGGAGGCATCACATTACCTGACTTGAAACTACACTACGTGGCTACAGTATACAAAACAGCAAGATATTGGTACAAAAACAGGCACATAGACAAATGGAACAGACTAGAAAACCCAGACATAAGGCTGTTCACCTATGACCATCTGATCCTCAACAAAGCTGACAAAAACAAGCATGGGGAAAGGACTCCCTAGTCAACATATAATGCTGGGATGACTGGCTAGACATGCAGCAGATTGAAACTGGGTCCCTTTCTTACACCATATAGAAAGATCAACTTAAGATGAATAAAGTCTTAAATGTAAAATCCCAAACTATAAAAACCTTGGAAGACAACCTAGGCAAAAACATTCTGCACATAGAAATGGGCAAAGATTTCATGACTAAGATGCCAAAAGCAATAACGATAAAAGCAAAAATTGACAAATGGGATCTAATTAAACTTAAGAGCTTGGGCACAGCGAAAGCAACTATCAGCAGAGTAAAGAGACAACCTACAGAATGGGAAAAAATATTTGCAAACTACGTGTCTGACAAAGGTCTAACATCTAGCGTCTATAGGGAACTTAAAATAAAAATTAAAAAACCATTAAAAAGTAGACAAATTACCTGAACACTTTTCAAAAGAAGACATACATGAGGCCAACAAGCACATGAAAAAAGCTCAATATTACTGATCATTAGAGAAATGCAAATCAAAACCACAGTGAGATACCATCTCACACCAGTCAGAATTGCTATTATTAAAAAGTCAAAACATAATAGATGCTGGCAAGATCATGCAGAAAAAGGAACACTTAGACACTGTTGGTGGATGTGTAAATTAGTTCAACTATTGTGGAAAGCAGCGTGGCAATTCCTCCAAGAGCTAAAAACAGAACTGTGATTTGACTCAGCAATCCCATTACTGGCTATATGCCCAGAAGAATATAAATTATTCTACCATAAAGACACATGCACGTGAATGTTCATTGCAGCACTATTCACAATAGCAAAGACATGAAATTAACCTAAACACCCATCAATGATAGATGGGATAAAGAAAATGTGGTACACATACACCATGGAATACTATGCAGCCATAAAAAGAATGAGATCATATCTTTTGTGGAAACATGGATGGAACGGAATGCCATTATCCTCAGCAAACTAATGCAGAAACAGAAAGGCAAATACCACATGTTCTCAGTTATAAGAATGATGAGAACTCATGGATACAAAGAAAGGAAAAACAGATACTGGGGTCTACTTGAGGGTGAAGGATGGGAAGAAAGAGAGGAGCAGAAATAATAACTATTGGTTACTAGGTTTAATATCTAGTATTAATAGGTGATGAAGTAATCTGTACAACAAATTTCTGCGACACGAGTTTACCTACATAACAAAC
The DNA here is from genome assembly GCF_000001405.40 of Homo sapiens. Taxonomy (NCBI): domain Eukaryota; kingdom Metazoa; phylum Chordata; class Mammalia; order Primates; family Hominidae; genus Homo; species Homo sapiens. The sequence continues at coordinate 10,415,064 of NC_000009.12, forward strand.
CTGCACATATACCCTTCAACTTAAAATAAAAGTAAAAATAAATAGATAAATATAAAAAACATAGCCTAAATACACCAAATAATTTGTGACTTAGCTTCTTCTTTTATAAACTAATGATTAAAAATAAATATACCTCACAATGTTGCTGTAAAGGGTAATTGAGATTATATACATAATATATAAATGAACTCTAAAGTACTTTATATATGCACTTTATTCCTCAGAGAACAAGAATGTCTTATACACACACACACATATATATGTACAAACATACAATATTTCTGGTAAAATTTTTGGTAATGTCCTATTTTATATGCTCAGAACAAATGGGTTGTTTTATTATTCAACAAGTTATGGACTCTTTTATATTTGCCATTAGAATGGTTATCATTTTAATATTTCCTAAAATCAAACTAGTATTAAGAAAGTCAGGTAAGAGAAAGATTTATTAAGATAATTTTGGGCAACAGCTTTTTTGTTCCTTTGTTTGATTAATTCTTGCTGTCCTTAAAGATAAGAAAACACTCCTAGAGCTAGGCAATTAGAAAGCCATTGGTTATCTATGAAAGTGGTTTTGATAGAGAGACGTGATTTTGCCAAATTGCAAAGTATTAAAAAGTGAATCATTGCTGAAATGTGGAAGCAACATATGTAAATCTTAATTCCCCCAATTCTTTGTTGTGAAAGAAGACAGATCAGAGAAAGAGGAGGGTTTAGAGAGGCAAGAGGTGGTGATTTTTACAGAAAAAGAGGGCATGAGAATATCATAAGGACATTTTTAAAACTAAAGACAATGATGGAGACAATGCATGAAGTGAGAAGAAACAGCGGAGAGAAAGAAATCCAGAGAGAGAACATTTACAGGAGAGTCTAAGCAGCACAGAGCCAAGATGCACCTTTTTAAAAACAGCTTTATCGAGTTTTAATTCCAAAATTAATTTTGAGAGACAACAGAGACATTTTTTTCAAAGATAAGAAAAAAGTGTTTAAAAATACAAAACAAGCAGGACATGGTGGCTCATGCCTGTAATCCCAGTACTTTGAGAGGCCGAGGCGGGCGGATCACTTGAGGTCAGGAGTTCAAGATCAGCCTGGCCAACATGGTGAAACCCCACCTCTACTAAAAAAAAAAAAATTAGAAAAAATTAGCCAGGCATGGTGGCATGTGCCTGTAGTCCCAGCTACTCAGGAGGCTGAGGCAGGAGAATTGCTTGAACCTGGGAGGCAGAGTGTTGCAGTGAGCCAAGATAGTACCATTGCACTCCAGCCTGGGCAAGAGAGTATGACTCCTTCTCAAAAAAGCAAAACAAACACAAAAGCAACAGACAAACAAACACCCAATGTTTGAAATAGAAATGCTCAAGATGAGTGGTATAAAGAAGAAATAATTTGAAAGAAGTTGAAGAAGAGAACAAATGTTAAAAGAAATAGGAAGAAAAAGTAGAGATTTCACTGGGAAAATAAAGCATGTGTTACTAAAAAAGCGATGAGAAAAAGAACAGCTTATGAGAAAACAAACAGTGAAAATTGTCAAATATAAGTTTCCAGAAAATACTAGAAAACAACTGTTGGTATGGCAAAGGTGAGTTTTTTTCTTACTGTTGTAAAGCAGTAAGAAATATCACATATCACGGTATCTAGTACCGTAATAGAGACTTAAGAGTATCTCTGTGGAGATTGCAATGTCAAGATATTTATAAGTTTGGGGGACTGGCTGAAGGTGGGTGTTTCCATACAGTGGGTGAATTCAGACTAGGCAAGGATGCTGTTATAATAGTGTAGAATTGATGGGCATAGCAAGGAGAGAGTTCTGAGGTGAGGGTTCTAAGAGTCCTGGAAAATAATTGTTTGATGCTATTAAACAGTTGCACAGCAAATAGATTTTGCAGGAACTCTCTGAAACAAATCTTTAGGTTCTAAACAACTTTTATCTTCCAGACAAGAGTTGCCTTGAATAGTAGAGGGTGTTGATGAAGACAGTGGAATAATAAACTTATGTTAGTGAAGACAACAAACTGTGGGGTTGCAGATGTTTTTGCTCTCACTCCGTTCATTTAAGAAAAAGTGGAACTAGATATGTTTCCAATTTATGGCAAGAATTTCTCTCCTAGGAAGGGATGATATTGAAGGAACATAGTTCAACCTAGTCAATCAAGTTCTATTAAGACAAGTATTCAAAATCTTCAAAACTTATTACATTCTAATAATCGACCTGTGTACCTTCTTCCAATGAAAGGGTGAACATTGATTTTTAGAGATTTTAAGAATGCCTTGTAAACTTTGTTGGATTTTTTATTTTCTTCATTCTTGAAACCTCAAAATGATCTCTGAAGAATATCTTATCTTTGCCTGGCCCCCTAACTCTGTGCTCTTTCTTCATAACATAAATACATTTAAATTGTAAGTATAACTAAGAAGTATAGCAAGTGTAATGTGACTTTGCCAAGTTATTATGATTTGCACATTTTAGCTTAAAAGAAACTAAATATTATAGTTAATAAGCATGGTAATATTTATTTGCCTTATAATAACCATATATCAATAATAACATATATAAATAAATATAGATTCTGAAGCATTTAGTAATGCATGTTATTACTTAATATTAGAAAGTAACAAAAAATTAAAATTAAAATTGGAAACAATAGTAGCAAGGAAGACCCTTCCCCATGAGAATACATGAGAAAACTGGGACCTAAGACAAGGAGCTCTGAATATAGCCAATATGAACTGAATCTTAATTAGAGAAGCGATCTAGTCTTCACTGTTTGCATATTCAAATCTTCCATTAACTTGCCAGCAGCACTTCAGTTTTAACATATCTTCAGGACTTCATTAAATGAATCTAGATGGTTTTTTTTTTAAGTTTTAAAACATTTACACTGTGAATATATCATTTTACTTATTTATGGAGTTTAACAGATTAGTTAATGACATCTCCTAAAGCAGAAAAAAAGGAAGAAAAAATGGGAAAGAAACCATGAAAGACAAACGATTAAGTAATTTAGATTTTTTTAAATTAAAACTACAAGGCAAAGCGAAATATATGGCGCTTGCTATTGTTTTAAAAGGCAGTGAAAATAAAGAAGCATAATGGTATAATTATAAACCTTTGAATTTCTTCACTGACAAAAGCATTCAATCTATTAATGCAGCAAAAGTGTGTTTATATCTAGCTCAAGACAAATATAATAGCATTATGTTTCCCAATGGTATAATTTTAAACACTGTCTATAAATGAAAAATGTACACTTCGCCCTTGGTTAATTTTTTTAAGTATCCCTTTGCCCTTGGTTAATTAAACAGAAAGTAGGATTCCATTGTGAGAGTTCTCTCTACTAGTGGGGCCTTCCTTCTACATTTAAAATGAAGCCTTCCCCTCTACACACACACACACACACACACACACACACACACACACACACACACACACACTTCATATCCTTCCTTCTGCTGTAATTTTCTCCATAGCATTTATCACCATCTGGCATACCTGTTAATTTTAAATCTTTGTTATTACTTATTTGGTTAAGGTTTCTCTTTCCCACTCCCACTTCCACCCTAGAATATTCAGCAATATAATAACAGGAACATTGTTTTGTTCCCTGCTTTATTTCCAGGGCCTAGGTCACTATCTGTCACATAATAGGTACTCATTAATAATAATTGCAGAAAAAGAGGCAGAAGGAAGAAATGGTTGGAAGGAAAAAAGAAGGAAATTATTATTATAGGTGAGTTATTAACTGGACAACAGAGATAAACAGCAGAGGGACAGAATTAGATTCCTAAGCCCTCCTAGAAGTGATTTCCTGTTTCACTTTTATTTCACTACAGTATCAAGGAAAGAGGGCCTAGAGCTGGATCTCTTCTGGGAATAGTCTCTACTCTCACTTGTTTTTCCTTGGCATCTGTTTTTCCCCAACTCTCATTACACTGGGCAATTTAGGACTTAGCAGAGAAGTGGTCAAGGACAGCACTAAGCCTGGCATTAGGGCTGAAGTACTCTTAGCCCCACCTACACAAAAATTGGTCCCACGTAGGGTCTATGTTTGTTTGAGGACAAAACTTCATAGCAATAAAAAAACCACTTGTGTAAAAATCACTAATGACTTTCATGTTGCAAAATCCCGTAAATGATTTTCAGGCCTCAAGCCCTGTGATATCCCATCAGTGGTCAAAAAAGATGGCCATGTGTCTTTTAAGCTTTCTGCTAGTTTCATTTCCGTAACACTGGACTCTAATCTTTTGTTTCTAGCACACTGGTCGCTTCTCTCCTAACATTAGTGATGTTTACTACATTATCAGGGCTATAAAACAGTAGAAGGCATAGTTCCGTTCTTTTTACCTAAAACTCTATTTTATATCAAATTATGGCCATTATAAACATTAAATGAAAATAAAGTTAAAAAGACTGAGATAAAGATAAAACAGCAATATTTCTAAATGCTGTCTAATTGCAATGGCTTTATATTATCATCAGCAAATAAATCAGGTCAGAATATACATGATATACTTTGATTAAGATATATTATTAATAATTATGTATGAAAATCCAAGCTTTCAATAGCTTTCTTAATTTTTTTAAACACTTAGTCTGATCTCTTGGTTGTCTTCATCTTATGAAGTGCCAATGAAGAGGTCCAATTAGGATTTAGAAAAGATTCTGCTATGCCATTTTCTTGTTATTTCCTGTGAGCTCATTATTATCATGTACAATCTGAAATTTCTTTACATTAATACTTCAAAGCAGTCTGTTCATTTAGTGAGACATATTTTAGTTAATACTAGAAAATTCAATATTTAAACATACTTCATATATTTATTATTTATTTGGTTAAGTTTTGCTTCTAGAAACCCCCACACTAGAAAGCTCAGCTCCACAATTGCTCAACTTTACTAGGCATAGATAATCAGATTTATAATTTATTGATTGGAAAAAAATATATAAAATACTGCTCTCGATGTCTTTATACTGTTTAATTTCTATTGTATCCTAAGAATGAAAATGATGATAAAATAATGACAATAATAATAATCATCATAAAATGAGTAAAAAGAGGAGGAAGAAAAGGAAGGAAAAGGATTAGAAGCTATCATTTTTTGGATGACTTTGCTATGTGTCAAGAATTCTTCTAAACAAATTGCATGTATAATAATAATAATTTCTATCAGGAATTAACATTGAGTTTACTCTGAGAATTTATTCCCTCTTAATTTTTGGATGAACAACAGGTAATCTCTTGTCCTTTGACATCTTTACTAGTCTTTAGGATTTCTCAGATAATATTGAAAATGGCTCAACAATTCTCCAAATCCTTTCATTTTCATAGGACATAATTCACCTTGACTTAGAGATTAGAACTAAATTAGGGGAGACATAGAGATTGGTGGCCAAGGTTGAGAGTGCTTGAAGGGGGAAATAATCTCTTGCTGAGCAATTACTCTCCATTTTGGTTTATTTGTTTTTATTAGTCCTTTAAGGTACAAACGACGGGGGGGCTGAAGCAGATTAAAGGGCCAGGAGTAAATTACCATATTCTTCTCCAAGAAGTGGGCATACTCCTTGGTTATTTTCTTATACCGAATTCTCAACTGAACTCCTAATCCTTATCCTGAGTGGCTTCAAATGTCTACTAATAAAATGTTTTATATTTCAACAAACATTAACAGATTTGAGCTACATTTTCTTATTCATTCTAAAGTATCTATTCTTTATCACTTAAATATTGTTAGATATTTCAGTGTGCTTTTATACTGTCAGAGTTAGGTACCTTCTTTTTTTTTATTCTTTATAAGTTATTGTAATGAATGGATATTATTTCTAAGACTCCCACATTTTGCTACTGTTACAGAAATTGTCTCATGCTTTCTTCACTGAGGAGGCCAATGTGCATTTATCATTTACACAGGGATTCCAATCATTTGGCTTCCCTGGGCCACATTGGAAGACAAAGAATTTCTTGGGCCATACATAAAATACACTAACACTAACAATAGCTGATTAGCTTAAAAAAAGAAAAGCAAAAAAATCTCATAATGTCTTAAGAAAGTTTACTAATTTGTGTTGGGCTGCATTCAAAGCCATCCACGGGATGCAGGTTGGACAAGCTTGATCTACAAAAAAATTCACTACTTCAGGGGGTTCTGCACTGCAGATTACGGGAGGAGTTCCCTAGCTAGGTGCACATGCCACTTAGACCTCATACTTACCTATATTTTCTTCTCTTTTTCTTGCTCACCCCCACACATACACACACTCATGTTTATTCTTATTTCTACTGTAATATATTGACAGCAATGTTGGCAACATTAGATTAAATGGAGCAAGGTTCCGTTGATGAAAACCATATCCAGATAGAAGAGATATGAATTATACTTCTTGGTAAATTATTTGGCCATTTCTGATTGGCTATAACAACTAACAAATATAATAAAATACCATTTCCATTTTTACTGAGCCAGTTTAAGGAGATAATGATAAATTATAACAACAGATTTTACTGTCCAATTTTATGAACGTGGTCCAGTTTAGGTTTTATATACTAGTTCTACAAAGCATTGCATACCATATATCAAAAAGGTATCATTTGACATAGGCAATAGTGATCCATTTGGTTTCTAAATGTACATTCTACCTATCAATATCAGTAACCGTCTCTTTCATAGAAACTTGCTTGTTATTTTCGTTTACTTTATTACTGTTTTTCATTCCATTTTGTGCTCAGTTTTATCTATAATCTTAGTTAATATATTTCTATTTTTATATTTTTTTCTGCTTTGGTTAATTTTATTCATATGCCAATAACAGCAGTCCTTTATTATTCATCCAGAAAACTCTGTGGGAACCCAGAAAAGTAGATCCAGATATGAAATTATAGATTAGTATGGAGAATGATTTAAGTATAAAAATTCATTCATTATAGAAATATTCAAAGAGTATCTACTTTGCTTCAGACACTGCAATTGAAACAACATCACGCTACCTGACTTCAAACTATACTACAAGGATACAGTAACCAAAACAGCGTGGTACTGGTACCAAAACAAGATATAGACCAATGGAACAGAACAGAGGCCTCAGAAATGACACCACACATCTACAACCATCTGATCGTTGACAAACCTGACAAAAACAAGAAATGGGGAAAGGATTCCCTATTTAATAAATGGTGCTGGGAAAACTGGCTAGCCATATGTAGAAGGCTGAAACTGGATCCCTTCTTGTAACTTATACAAAAATTAATTCAAGATGGATTAAAGACTTAAATGTTAGACCTGAAACCATAAAAACCATACAGGAAAACCTAGGCAATACCATTCAGGACATAGGCATGGGTAAGGTCTTCATGACTAAAACACCAAAAGCAATGGTAACAAAAGCCAAAATAGACAAATGGGATCTAATTAAACTAAGAGCTTCTACACAGCAAAAGAAACTACCATCAGAGTAAACAGGCAACCTACAGAATGGGAGAAAATTTTTGCAATCTACCCATCTGACAAAGGTGGGTAGAGTCTACAAAGAACTTAAACAAATTTACAAGAAAAAAAACAAACAACCCCATCAAAGAATGGGCAAAGGATATGAACACACACTTCTGAAAAGAAGACATTTATGCTGCCAACAGACACTTAAAAAAGTGCTCGTCATCACTGGCCATCAGAGAAATGCAAATCAAAACCACAATGAGATACTATCTCACACAAGTTAGAATGGCGATCATTAAAAAGTCAGGAAACAACAGATGCTGGAGTGGATGTGGAGAAATAGGAAAGCTTTTACACTGTTGGTGGGAGTGTAAACAAGTTCAACCATTGTGGAAGACAGTGTGGCGATTCCTCAAGGATCTAGAACTAGAAATACCATTTGACCCAGCCATCCCATTACTGGGTATATACCCAAAGGATTATAAATCATGCCACTATAAAGACACATGCACACATATGTTTATTGTGGCACTATTCACAATAGCAAAGACTTGGAACCAACCCAAATGTCCATCAATGATAGACTGGATTAAGAAAACGTGGCACATATACACCATGGAATACTATGCAGCCATAAAAAAGGATGAATTCATGTCCTTTGTAGGGACATGGATGAAGCTGGAAACCATCATTCTGAGTAAACTATCACAAGGACAGAAAACCAAGCACCGCATGTTCTCACTCATAGGTGGGAATTGAACAATGAGAACACTTGGACACAGGGTGGGGAACATCACACTCTGGGGTCTGTCATGGGGTGGAGGGCAGGGAGAGGGATACTATTAGGAGAAATACCTAATGTAAACGACAGGTTAATGTGTGCAGCAAACCAACATGGCACATGTATACATATGTAACAAACCTGCATGTTGTGCATATGTACCCTAGAACTTAAAATATAATTTAAAAAAAGGAAGATTAATACAACTCAGTCCTTGTTCTAAAGGAGATTATGGTCACATCTCTACACAAAGATATGCTAGTATCATTCCCTCTTTTGTTTCATTTTATTAGATTTCTCCGAGACAGTGCCAGTGGCATTCAAAGCAAATTATAATGGCAGAATGAAAAGTAGCAACACTGCAAGTGTAAGGTGTTTTTTAGAGATGCTCCTGTTAATGCAGAGACATAGCAATTGGGTAGCATTAAATTATGCCCCCACATAAAATTTAAGTATTCAAAACCTGAATGTAAGTTTACTCATACCGGAAAAATCATACTTAAAATCACTGTTTCAGTCCATGACGTGTATACAGACATGGTGATTTCCACTGCATGTTTTTAGGTTTGGGATGCACCCGCTAGATTTTGGAAATAAGTTGGAACCTATAGTTTTTTGCTGTATTTTTTCCCTTTTCTTTTAAATGCTAATAAAATGTTGAATTCTCAAGTCTGAACCTTTCACTAAGATTTTCCAATAGAGGGTATATTCTTTTTCAGAATTCAACAAATTAATTGCGGAAAGCTACTTCAGCGACTAAAAATGTCCTGTTTGTTTCAGAAGCAAGAAAATAGATTACATTAAAACATTTTGTTTGAGTTAAATGTGTGCCTTACAGTTCAAAACGAAGAATTGGTGGAACATTATGGTCATATCCAGAGACTTTATGAATGAAAATAGATTAACATTAGATGAAAATGGTATGTGTGATACTTATTATGTTATGAATGTATCAGGTAGAATGATTAATAAGCATTGGCCAAAAAAAGAACATCTAAATCAAAATGGCCATAAATAAAGCTTGATAATATGGTTTCCTTTTCTCTCTCTCTCTCTCTCTCTCTCTCTCTCAGGAATTATGAGATCTGTTATTATATTTTTAGGTAACTGTTCAGAACTATTATTCCCATAACAGCAACTTTCCATAAATGAGTCTCTGTGGCAATGGTCTATCATAGAAATCTTTGTTCACCATTTGAAAAGGAGGGATTGAAAACTATAAATTTGTCAAAAAATAACACATCAGCAGTCAGACAGGGGAAAGTATCATGTGGATGCTCTCCTGACGCTTACTTGTCCTCTCTCCCACCTGTCTTACGAAGGGCAAGTGGATAATAAAATGAGGAAAACCATGACAGGGATGTATGTAATGCAACGAAGAACAAGCAAAGGGGTTTGGAAACCCAGAGTCACCGAGTTTCTAATGCTCATAAATGGTAAATGACCACCACTAGAAGGATTTATGTGTTCAATATTCACTGCTATACTTCCCTTTAAAAACTAAAACGAAAACCCTGCTGGAAATAAATAAAAAATGTAAGAGATACTACTATTTTTGCAGTTATTACTGAATAGCATGCTGGTTCTACTTCTCTAATAATCACTTTTTTACCATAATGTAAATGATTAAATGAATAGTCTTACTCTCTCCAAAATAGTAGGAATTCATGTGTTATATTACTTTAGTGTTGCATTCCAAGTTAAAATGCAAAGGCAATGCAAATTGTGCAGTTTCTTTAGCTTAATGAAAATAGAGTACCTATATATAGGGTTTATAGTTTTACATGTAAATCCATATATTTCAGAACAATATAAAAAGAAACAGGATTTTAATAAGAGTCTTGGTGTTCATGCTATAAATAAAATCAACTCCAGAGACCAGTGATAATGGTCTAGTAAATATAAAATGGCTGCTGAGTTTGCTGGCAGCTTACAGTCAGCTCATTAGAGTTATTCAAATGTTTGCTTCATAAAGGAATTAGTGAGGTATTAAAATGCTAAACAAAAAAAATCCAATAATGTTTCAGCCTCAGTGTTGCACATACTTTACAACACATTAAACCAATATTTCCCTCTTCTATTACCTATCATAGTCACCAGAACATTCTCATTTTGTTCAACTTTATAATAACATTATTTGTGAAAACATAGAGCAACCTTTCTCTCTATCTCTCTCCCCCTGTGCTCTATTTATCATCAGTAATGTGCTACTTTGTTCTCCAAGCACTGAGGTATGTCCTTATAGCATAGGCTCCCTTATAAAGGTTTTTACCCACATAAGAGTCCATAATATCATGCTCATACTAAACTCATTTCAAACAAAATGCTAATCATCTCTGGATTCTGTTGTTTTTCCACAAGTAAAAACTAAAATTTGTTTTTTAGTCTGTTGAGATGTTCATCAGATTTACATTTTCCTTCTCATTACAGAACTTTAAAATGAGCCACACTTCACGGCTCAAAGTGTGGAAGATGTCATTAAACCAGCAGTCTAATCAAGAAGGTGTAAAAATTTTAATTAAACTAATAGCAGGCTGACTCAATTATTATAAAATATATTAAAACACATGCTGTACATGTGATTATATTCATAAGTCATATACAATTTTTATTTACTTTTCTGAACATCTTATTAAATTGAACTATTTCTTTGTAGATCGTATATAGACAATATTCAAGAATATATACATATACACACATACACATATGAATATATAAGGAAGTATATATACATACATACACTATTATAAATACCACTCTATAAAAATGTAATATTTTGGATATGGATCATTTCACTGTTTGCTTTTTTAGAACAGATAATGATGCAATACTAAAGCCAATGCTTAAGAAATCTCTTTCTATACCTTCCCTTGCATGTGAATATTGCTTTTCCTATTTTAGCTTGGTGTTATTCCTAAAATCAGCAACTCTTGCTTTTTAAAAATGGCAAAATTCAACTTTGTTAATGGGTGCCAAATTAAACCCTAAGTTTAAGTTAATCAATTCTCATTTCATGAGTATTGTCATTGCTCTGAGTTACTTTTTTTTCCTTTAATTGAGCCCTCATTCTTGCTTTTTCTATCGGTTACTTTGCTTGTACTTATTTTCTTCAAAAAAGCCCAAAAATTTTCGAAGGACTTGTATGTATAATTCTACATAATTTTTCTAAGAAAAAAATCTATAGTTATCACCAAAAGCATAAATATCAGGGTTTTTGCTATGAAAACTTGTAATCATGGCTTTGTTTAAAAGCCATTGGTCCATATTCACCTCATTTCTAGATGTCTTACAGAGCTCCATTCTTAAGGAAACTGGATAAGATAGCAGTATAACTTCACACTGACAAAGAGATGTTCCCTCTGACTGCAGAAACAACTGCAGAATCAACAATCCAAAGTAAGGGCCAACTTCTCGGATGCTAACAATGCCACTTTTGCATTTACCTGAAGTGGACTATAGTTTTTTTGCAGAGGCAGAGATGAAAATTAACAATTACCTTGGATTGGCATATTGGCCTGAATAATACTGTAGCCAAAACGCATCACACAACTTTCCATTCTTCCTCTGCTCTTGTGTCCACAGGTTGGCAAAGGACGTCTGTCACTGTTTCTGAATCTTCCAATGTTATAAATTTCAAAGGTAAACACATTTTTCAAACATGTTTTAGAAAACAAAGATGACAAAGAGGCCCAATGTATCAATATTAAGAAAATTAAAGAGTCTTACAAGAGATTTCTTCACAAAAGATCTGTATTATTGCTGCAAAGAGGTATTTTGGGGGGTATTGTTTTTCTTTTAATTTATTAATTACACTAATATGTATCACTTGTCTCTGAAGCAGATAAAATGTAGATTCAGTAGATAAATCTATTTTTTAAAACAACAGCCTCTACTTTAACAGCTATGACAGCATATAAAAACAGGTGGCCATGCTTTTGGCCAGGATTTATACTATCATTTTTTCTATGAATAACTTCCTGATAAAAGATGTCTAGATATCTTCCAAACAAATACAGTGTAAGCACACCACTATGAAACCTATGCCTCACTAAATATGATTATAACAAACATTGTCAAGAAAAATAACCTTTTATAATTCCTTTTAGAAACTTAATTGCTAAGGCCACACTCAGGTTTTGGTATGGAGAGATCAAGACCTACTTCAATAGCTGCTGGCTCTCAGTTGTACTTCTGAGCCATCTTTAAACTACTTAGTAAGCATTACTCCAGATGGCCCATCGGCAGCTGACAGCAATTCTACCCACCACTGCATATGGTCCACTGATGGTTGATAATTGTCATTCAGGTAAAACTCACTAGAGCTATGTGCCAATCATAAAACACTCACTAAAAAGGGGATCAAAGCCTGAGCGGACATGTAGTTTCTGTCCCGATTAGATAAATAATTAGTCACTTTCAATGGAAAGCTTCCCTTGGATATAGCAAAAAAAAGAAACCAAAATAAAACAAAACAGAAAAATCAACCCACTGGGGTGGAAAATGTTTGTTAAAATATTTTGCATGAGTGATTGGCCACTAAAACCACCGCCTACCTCCATGTGAATTATTTTATGTATTTTAAACCCACTTAACTGATATATTTTTTAATAAAAATGGAGTAGAGAACACATTTTAACTTAAGCATATTCTTTCAAAAACCATAAAACTGTTTTCCACAGTTGCATGCATGTTTGTATTTTAAAATATTTGTTAAGTAATAAGTTTAAATAAATACAATTTAAACCTCATTTAAGTGTTCCTGGACGGGCACGGTGGCTCACACCTGTAATCTCAGCACTTTGGGAGGCCAAGGCGGGAATACCATAAAGGTCAGGAGTTTGAGACCAGCCTGGCCAACATGGTGAAACCCCATCTCTACTAAAAATAAAAAAATAAAATAGCTGGGTGTGGTGGCTCATGGCTGTAATCCCAGCTACTTGGGAGGCTGAGGCGGGAGAATTGTTTGAACCGGGGAGACAGATGTTGCAGCGAGCTGAGATCATGCCACTGCACGACAGAGCAAGACTCTGTCTTGGGGGAAAAAAAATCATATTGCAGAATTTCTTTTATTTCTTTATAATGCCTCAGTAACATGGCTAACTCATAACAGATCTACCTTTAAATACCAACTGTTTAAAATTAATAAGCTATAAATTCTGGGTAAAATATTTTCTAAAAGTGCCACATGTTGCAAACAGTTATTTTTACCTTTTTGTCTCAATGCTGTTGATACCTATGTTTACTTTATATTTTAGGGAGAATATGAGAGTAAGAAAACTTTGGAATAAGCCTTGACAACTCAACCTTCTTAAGATCCCACTGTTCTCATGTCACATATAGGTTCAGAGAGGATGTTATTTTTAATAAACTTTAAAAGGTCAATATAAAGAATCAAAATTACTCAGTTGCAAAAATCTGCTTAGCCAAATATCTCTTACTAAAATCTATGGAATATTCTATTTGGTCCATGGTCTAAACTTTTGGAATAATGAGTGACTGTATTTGTGAGGGGAATATAGACAAAACACATGAGTGGAGCTTTGGTAATTGTATTCCTCTTGATTTGAGGAAATGCAGCCTGGCATACATGTAACAGCATATAAGCTGGAGTCAGACTCACATGGCCCTAGACAACTCACTTAAAATTCCTAAGTCACGAAAGTTTCTGTAGTTATAAAATAAAGATAATAGTACCTGTCGCATAGGGTTGGTTGTGGCAATGTCTGGGGCATAGTAAATCCTTAAAAAGTGGAAGATACTATCATCAAATTAATTTTCATCATGTGATGATAAAAATTTAAATTTATGTTTTTAAATTTAAATTTATCTAGAACTAGAAAATAACTACAGTATTTAATTGTATAAAATTTGTATCAATAAAAATAATGCCAAACTTAACACAGAACATTATAGATATTGTTAAGTACACAGAGAAAAGAAAACTTTTCTACACTGTTGGTAGGAATGTAAATTAGTACAGCCACTATGGAAAAAAAGTATGAAGAGTTCGCAAAGAAGTAAAAATAGAACTACCATTTAACCCAGCAATCCCACTACTGGGTATCTACTCAAAGGAAAATAAATCAATACATCTAAAAGAAACCCTGCAGTTTCATGTTAATCTCAGCACTATTCACAAAAGCAAAATATAGAATCAACCTAAGGGTCTATCAACGAATGAATAAAGTGCGGTGTATATGCACAGTAAGATACTATTCAGTTATAAAAAAGAATGAAACCTTGTCATTTTCAGCAACATGGATGGAACTGGAGGCCATTATCTTAAGTGAAACAAGCCAGGCCCAGAAAGAAAAAATATCGCATGTTCTCACTCATAAGTGAGGGATAAAAAATGTGTTCACATAGGCATATAATGACAGATAATATATAGATATATATTCTATATATGTTCACATGGACATACAATGATAGAGTATAATGATAGATAATGAAGACTCAGGGGGCTAAGGGGAGTGGAAGGGGGGAGGATGATGATGAATTAGTTAATGGATAAAATGTATGTTATGAATTTCTTTTGAATACATCATATTAATTGTTTTCACAACTGTAGGAAGTAAGTAGGGCATTGTTCCCCTTCCTTAGACAAAATTAAGGCACAGGGAGGTTATATAATTTGCCTACATTCAAAATATTTTCATTGTAAAAGGCACAATTTAAACCAAGATGACCCTATTCCCTATGCCACTGCTCTCACCAGCTCCCTGTGTTACCACTAATTCCTATATTTGGTACTCTTTATAAACTTTCTATTATATAATAGCTTATGTTCTATTAAGAGTTATGTTCTCCATAAATGCCTCAGCTTGAGTAAATGTAGAACAACCTTCATGTATTTCCCTCCATAAGGGAGATGATAATGGATAAAATAATTTGATTTATGGTTCAGACTAAGAAATTTAGAATATTTTTCCTTCTTATAAAATGTTTTAAAAGACAATTTGATATCCTTAACATTTCTCATTGCAGGCAAATATTGATCCTTTTATCTCAAAATTATTTTGTACTTTAATTTAAAAAAAGAAATTAAAACTAATTAATGTAAATCTATAAATGAGTTTTTGCAACATTGACAATTATTTAAATAATGGTTAAATTACTTTACGCGTGTGAGTATGCCTCTCTATATACAGATAGATAGATACGTATGTATGTATATAATGAAAATAAATTCAATTTGAAATATAAGCTGCAAATGCCTATAATTTAGAAAATATTTTCACTCTTTATAAGGCATATAATTATATGTAAAATTAGGACATTCAACACAATGCTAATATTTTGATTTAGTCTCTTATATTTAAGATAGTCTGCTGAAACAAAATGTATACAACAACAAATACCTCCGTCAGAATAATAATGCAAATTAATTATGCCTGAGTTCTATAAAAATATATAACTGAAATATACTTATAGAAATCTATTATTAGTTAATATTAGTGTTGGCAAAAGGTCAAAAAAGATTGTTATGTTTTAGTCATTTTAATAATGATTAGTACATGGTAGGAGGCAATAGACCTGTCTTCCATAAGCCATCATACCCCTTTTTTATCCCTGATGTTAATCAGAAGTTGACAACACTTAGTGATAAAGAAAAGTTCAAAATGCTTTGATTATATGGACATATTTTAAGCTTTTATACACTTAAATAATATTGGCTATCAAAATTAAAACTTCTTTATATACATAAATAATAACCTATACCTTGAATGTCATCTGAATGCTTATCACACAGTAAGCTAGTTAGAAGTATATATGAACTACCAGAGAATAATACTTGAAATCACAGACAATGCAGACATTTCTCAGCTCCATTAACATAAGCCTCTCAAGAGAGCTCTAAAAGTCTCCTTTTATTGATTCTCTCCTTTTATTTTCTTATTTTCCTAAATTTCATCGTTCAGAATCACTGTTTGAAAGGTTTCTTTCCAGTTTAGCCATATGTAGAAAGCTGAAACTGGATCCCTTCCTTACACTTTATGCAAAAATCAATTCAAGATGGATTAAAGACTTAAACGTTAGACCTAAAACCATAAAAACCCTAGAAGAAAACCTAGGCATTACCATTCAGGACATAGGCATGGGCAAGGACTTCATGTCTAAAACACCAAAAGCAATGGCAACAAAAGACAAAATTGACAAGTGGGATCTAATGAAACTAAAGAGCTTCTGCACAGCAGAAGAAACTACCATCAGAGTGAACAGGCAACCTACAAAATGGGAGAAAATTTTCGCAACCTACTCATCTGACAAAGGGCTAATATCCAGAATCTACAATGAACTCAAACAAATTTACAAGAAAAAAACAAACAACCCCATCAAAAAGTGGGCGAAGGACATGAACAGACACTTCTCAAAAGAAGACATTTATGCAGCCAAAAAGCACATGAAAAAATGCTCGTCATCACTGGCCATCAGAGAAATGCAAATCAAAACCACAATGAGATACCATCTCACACCAGTTAGAATGGCAATCATTAAAAAGTCAGGAAATAACAGGTGCTGGAGAGGATGTGGAGAAATAGGAAGACTTTTACACTGTTGGTGGGACTGTAAACTAGTTCAACCATTGTGGAAGACAGTGTGGTGATTCCTTAGGGATCTAGAGCTAGAAATACCATTTGACCCAGCCATCCATTACTGGGTATATACCCAAAGGACTATAAATCATGCTGCTATAAAGACACATGCACACGTATGTTTATTGTGGCATTATTCACAATAGCAAAGACTTGAAACCAACCCAAATGTCCAACAATGACAGACTGGATTAAGAAAATGTGGCACATATACAACATGGAATACTATGCAGCCATAAAAAAATGATGAGTTCATGTCCTTTGTAGGGACATGGATGAAATTGGAAATCATCATTCTCAGTAAACTATCGCAAGAACAAAAAACCAAACACCGCATATTCTCACTCATAGGCGGGAATTGAACAATGAGATCACATGGACACAGGAAGGGGAATATCACACTCTGGGGACTGTGGTGGGGTGGGGGGAGGGGGGAGGGATAGCATTGGGAGATATACCTAATGCTAGATGACGATTTAGTGGGTGCAGCGCACCAGCATGGCACATGTATACATATGTAACTAACCTGCACAATGTGCACATGTACCCTAAAACTTAAAGTATAATAAAAAAAAAAGAAAGGTTTCTTTCCAAGTTCAAATTCTCAACTAATTTATCCTAGTTTTTCTCCTTTTCCCTCAACACTAATTCTTCACCAAAAGCTGGCATCTCTAGCTCTTAACACCTGTCACATTCTTTTCTTTCTCTCAATCCTCACGACTTCTTAGATCAGAAGTGGACTAGTGAAACCATCACTGAGCCCAGTATTACAACCTGATCATTGAATATACTGATTAAAACACCAATGCCCTCAAATGCAGCAGTATCTAAAGGACAACGTTAAATGTTTTATAATGCTATATGAGGTTCTTCTGATCTTTCACTAGCCTTCTATGCTCCAGGGTCTCCCTTCTTCACTCACATCTCCTTTCTATATGAATGCTGGGACCAAACAAACTACTCCTATTTCCCGAGGATGACAGGTTGTTTCATACCTCATTATTTTTGCTCATAGTGTCCAGTGTTCCTTCTTTATTGGAGCTTACCCCATCCCCTTTTCATTTGCTATCACATTTGCCTTCCATTGAGAACACCTGTTTGCCTTTCTTGTCAGGTCCATACGTAAGTCCCTGTTACTAATATAGCTCCTCCTTTTTTTGTTTTAGTTTAATAAGATCATGGTATTAAGTATTATTACAATTCAAAGTGTGCAGAGACAATGATGTATGTGTTTGTCCTTTTCTTTAGGGAAGATGTTACTAGATCAAAAGCAGCTGTCATGCAATAACTCATCTGAAGACCCATATGGAAAGAGACCTTATTACCTTTCCTAGTCCTTTACTTTTATCTATTTCTGTAAATATAAGTTTATATACACACAGGCTCTTGTGCCATTTGCTGTCTTCATTAATATAAAAATATATTTTGAGATACACGCTGTCATCTACTGGACATAAATGTCTTCAGCACTTCTTATCACAGGTACTTTCCAGTTTTGCTAATCGAGGTATATAAAACACCTACTAGTTTCAGGACATAGTTCAAGGGACTCCTACACTGTAAAGCCAGTCCTATCCTCATTGCTCAATTTCTGATAGGGATATCCTCTGCTCTTTGCATTTCAGTTACGTATATTACAGCATTATTATTCTGATTCACCTAGGAAGAAATATGCTCTTATGTCATCTGTCTAATAATGTCAGATATTCTGTGTGATGAATGTTACCACATGGAAAACTTGTCACCTAATTTGGAGGGTGTGTTTGGAAATAGATAAAAGCAATGGGGAGGAATACAACATTATAAAAAAGTAGTAATTTTATAATTAATGTTCAAAACTAAAAGTTGACTCCCAGAGTCTATGCTTAGGAGATGACAGCTATATTTTTAACATAAATATTTCTATTAAAGAATGCTTTTAATGTAAATATATAAAAACCTTTGAAGAAAATTTAAGAAAACTCTTTATAAAGTGAATAAAGGAATCTATAGGTTCTTTTAGTCTCACAATTGATCAGAATACTGTATTTTAAAACATTACATATTTATTTGGAATACCATTGGTAATGTAATAAATCAATCACTATAAACAAAAAGTGTTATTAATTCCAAAGACACCTGTGATATTTCAGATGAAAATTATAAACAATTATTATGCAACATTTTAATCTGAATACTATATTTTAAATGTCATCATAGAGAAGAGACATCTTAATGCCCTTGACTACATCATATAACCCACAAAAATATGTCTGCAATGATGGGAGAATGCAATTATTTTTTTTATTTCAAATTTAGTTGACTCTCTAGCCTTCAGTATAAATAAAATATGTTTAAATAAACTCCATATGCATCACTCAGTCTCCCATATAAAGGTACCAAATAAGACCTATGCCTTATTTCATAATGAAAAGGTACCTCAAGGCACTTTTTAAACTAGAAAGCATGATGCAAATGTATTAGATCAAAGATTCCCGACTACAAAAATTCAATGTTTCAGTTCAATTAATAACTAAAATTTATAGTCAACTCTTAAGAAAATGTTAAATATTCTAAATTAGAGAATAATTATCATTGGTTTGCTTTGCTTAGCTCTCCATCTTATATTTATTCTAGCAACCTAAATATTCAAGAGTTTAAGAAAGGAGTATCAGACATTCTTTCTCTTAAAAAAGAATGCCTCTGTATTTGACAATAGTGATCAGCAGTATCCTACTATAATATGTACTCATTCATAGTAAAGGCTAACAGAGTCACAACAAAGCCTATACTTAAAATGATTGTTTGAAAACAGCAGGAGTTAAATAACTTTTCTTTCAAATATAAACACTTGCCCACACTGTTGCTATTGGTGGAGAAGATTCTTTTCTCTGCATGTAATTTGTTTTGTCAAAGCTTATTTTCTGTTTCGCACAATGAGAACTTTATTATATGCAGTTATAGTCTCTGTTTTCTGCCACTTTTATGAATCTTATAAATCTGGACTGGTTATGGCTCCCAGTTAACATGATGCTGCCCTTTGCACTTCTTTAGTGCATCTTAATTTTTTGGCTTCATGCACTGAGTGAGGTACAATCTCTATGCTACCCCGAGCGCTGGACTAGGAATTGGTAGATGAGGAGGAAAACTCTCAAGAGAGCAAATACGAAACACTAAACTGCGAATTTTTCAATTTTATTTGAATCTCAAGTAAGAATATTTTTTGAAGGACAGTTTTGCTCATTATTTCCTAAAGAAGGGGCATTACTGCTCCAAGGACTCGAGGAAGCCAATGCAAGTTGGCACTATTTGAGCAAAGTTCAAAAGTACAATCTGTGGAAACTGAACAAGAAGAACACTTGTTCCCTCAAGTGTAGCCAGTGCTAACAGTGCAAATGAACAGGATCCAGCAGGAAATCCATATCTTCCAGAAGGTGCTGTCTTTACAACATTGTAATAAGGTATCCTAATAGCACTTTACACGACTCATACAGAATGCAAAGTTTCTCAAAGCATTTAGCCCTCGTTTTCACAATTATTTTAGTATATTCAATTTCACAGAAAGAAATCAAAAGACAGACAGGTGAAGTGATTTGCTCATGGTCTTATGAGTAAAGAGGAACAGAGCCAGTTTTACAGTCTGAATTTTCCTTACTCCTGCTACTTTGCTCTTTTTCCTGGATCAATGTGCTCATCACTGCATTAGACCTCTGTTATAAATCACTACTTCAAATTATTCTTATTTATTTATATTGTACTTTATTCATTCCAAATAATATTTGAAGACACTTTAAGAATTGCTTACAGCACAGCAGGAAAAATGAATATCTGGATGAATATAAAATAAACTAATAATCATGCATAAAATATGTTTTATTATCCTGTATAATTATTTAATGAGGGTTACACATTTTGGCTCTCAGCAACTTCACAGACAAGACAAAGGAAGAAAAGGATGAGTTATAAAAATCAGTCTACTAAAACAAATCAATTATTCAGAAGTGAGTTTTCCAGTGGCTTATGGCCCATATAGTGTCAGTTGATGAGGCTGCCTTTGCTTTTCATGTTTTCAGACCTTTAAAAGTACCTATTTTTGTGTTTCAAAAATGGACATACACACACAAATACACTGTACAGAGACAACGCAGCATTTCTGGACTATCAATTCCCTAAGATGATTAAAGCGGTATAACACAAAGTGAAAGAAGTTTGAAAAGTCATTTAGTAAACTGTGACCATTTGTCAAGTTTCTTAGAAGAATAACACCCTCAATAAACTGCTCTTTTAGAACACATTAGAAGATGATAATATGTCAAAAATACTAATGTAACATTTTTCTTGAAAAGACAGTGTTTACAATCAAGATAATTCTTCTCTCTATATAGACATTGATATATGTGTATGAATATATATGTATATGTATACACACATATATAAATCACATAAATTGTTTTCAGTGTCCACATTAGCATTAGAAATAAAGAGAAATGAAAGGATGCTCTATTTGCTTCTCCCAACCCTCACTATAAATGCCTTTCACTCAAAGTTCATATCATATTGTATAAGGCAATGTGATAAGACAGTATGATAAGGTGACAATTTGTAAGACAGGAATTAATATTCATCATTTGAGAAATAGAATAAATCATAATGAATTAGTCTCCAACACATTTTGTTATATGTATACAGTACACATATTATATTATATAAAATGCACGTATTCTTACTATAATCTTTTCCTTACACACACACATATACACACACACCCCTACACATATGTATATAATGCATAAACTCTTACTTTTCTCTCTTCTAGTGCTTGAAATAAGTTCTAATCAATTAAAATTATTTAAACATTTATTCTTCAGCTTGTCTCTATTATTTCCTGTTTTATTTGGATGAATCTCTGTCCAAAATACTGACAGGTTTTCTGTCCACGAGCTTGTCAAACATTCCTCATGATTGCCATGGAGGAATGGAGGAGAACTAACGCCTGAGGCTTGGTTCAGGAGGGGCTTGAAAACAGAGTTTAAGAGCTAATATACTCACGGAACTAAATATGTACTAAATGTAGATGCAAGATGTCCACTTACATGTGCCAACTTGTCAGTTAAGTGTCAATGTGTGGGCTGAGCTTAACTGGGTAGTCATTTTGGAAGCAGTCCCTTAGCTGCTGAGATAAGTATATATGCAATAACCACCTTCTTAGCACAACAACTTGACCTAATTTTACAATTCCCCGTGTTTCCCTGAAGAATGGTACATTTACAGAACCCATCATCCCTATATACTTGCTTTCTGTCATCATTAGTGATCCTCATGAGACTATATGAAATTTGAAATGGTTTTGGAATCCACATTTTAATCATAGATAGCCAATATCTTTTAACAGAAAGCACTATTTAGAAGTATATTTCAAAAACTATAAACCAGCTTCAAAAATGTTACATACATTAAATAGATTGCACAAATACATATATTCAGACTATTGCAAATTGATAGCTTTTTCCCTCCTGAGTTTCCAGATACTGTTTAAGGTGTTGCCAGTTAAATATGATCAGCACTGATGTGGTATTTCCAATTTGACTTTCAGATCATGTAGCACAAAATTAGCACAGAACATTAATCCAAAAATTAATGTGGCTTGATATCAGAAGTTACCTTAAGGATGCTAAGTTATGTATGAACGATGCTTGATTACTCTTCAAACTTTGAGATACTATTCCTTTAAAGCATGAGGGTTATTTCACTGAATATTGTCAATATTTCCGTGTCTGTGTTTCTCTACTTTTTAATATCTGTTATTGAGCAAACCTACAGTGTAAG
Organism: Homo sapiens; assembly: GCF_000001405.40. NCBI lineage: Eukaryota > Metazoa > Chordata > Mammalia > Primates > Hominidae > Homo > Homo sapiens. The sequence continues at coordinate 10,437,675 of NC_000009.12, forward strand.
ACCTTGTGCTGAGAAGCAGATATCTTCAAAGAAGGGTGACATGGTTCTATCTTCAAAAATTCCAACGATTCCACAGAATAGTCCATTTTTGTTTTATCAGATATATATATATCTGATAAAATGCTATATATATCTGATAAAATGCCTTTCACTCAAAGTGAGTTTTCTAGTGGCTTATGGCCCATATAGTGTCAGTAGATGAGGCCGCCTTTCCTTTTCATGTATTCAGACCTTTAAAAGTACCTATTCTGTGTTTCAAAAATGGACATACACACAAAAATACACTGTACAGAGACAACACAGCATTTCTGGACTATCAGCTCCCTAAGTCTACATATATATATATATATATATAGTGAAGGGTCATGTTCCTATAATATAAAAGACAAACTCATGGTTCAGAAAAATTTGATTTACTCAAAATAACATATTTACTAAGTACTAGGGCCAATATTCAGCACAGGTGGTCCATTTATTAAGTAAGTCATTTTCATTTTCCTTTTTGGTTCAGTTTTCATTCATATAACAATTACTGAGTGCCTATACAGATAGTCTCCAACTTTATGGTCTAATTAATGATGGAGGTAACCTCATCGTGTGTCAAGGAGCATCTGGAATTATAAGGGTTCCATTTATGATTTTTGGACTTTATGATAGGTTTATCAGATTATCAAATGCATTATCAGTTTATGATATTTTTGACTTACGATGGGTTTATCACAACATAATCCCATTGTAAATAGAGGAGCATCTATACGGTGATAAACAACACCACATTGAGAAAATTAAGGAAAATCAGAGATAGACTTCAACTTCAAGTAATTTATGAGTCTTTGGACTCCAATTCGATGTTTTTGTTTCCGCCACTCCCAAGGTTGTCTGGCAACTGGTTGATTTCACATTCCATTATTATAATAATTATTGTTTTTGTTTTTTAATGAGTTATTATCTCTATTTATATAATTCCTATTTCAGCAGTATATGTGGATCTCTTTCAAGACCTCTGTATTTACAGTTTGGCAAAGGAACTGGCATACTGAAAGAGAAAAAATATAAACTTTTAAAATCTTTTTATTATAAAGCTCATTAATTCAGTCTCTCCTTATAGTAGAGAGCTCAGATTTTCATCATCTGTGGGAAGGGTTATATCTACTTGCCAGGTGTTTGATGGGTAGCTGTCTGCTATTTCATGACCATAGTTTCTGAAACTGAAGTGGAGGAGACAGTATGAGAGAGGTTCTGTAGAATGTGAGACCAAGGGTCCCAGTGAGTCATATCTCTGTGTATCCACGCTTTTTGTTGTCCCCTGTTTGGACCAGAGAGACCATGTGACTTGACTGCTAAATGGGATATTAACAAACATGATACAGCAGAGGTCTGAAAAGTGCTTGTCCGTTGGAGCTTACCTTCACTTGCCACTGAGAATTCCTCTGCCACCAGCTTAAACTGTCAACTCACAGCATGTTTTAAGCCATTTAGTCTGTTTCACAGCAATAAACAACAAATACAGAGACCTTCGTTCAGACTCCGGCATGTTTTGTGTCACTCACGCGTTTGAGAGTACTTCCCCTGAATGACTTTTTATGACCCAGCTAGGGAGAAAAAGGATGCCCCAAGCATTGTCACTACTAAGTCTAGAGCAATGCTGGCAACTAATGCTATCGTCATGGCCAGCTGTGAAAAATCAAGCAAACAAACAAAACCCTACATCTGGATTACTTCTATTAAATTAAATTGTATTCAAGGAAAAAGTACTAGAATGAAAAAGGAAGATAAACAGGATTGTTAAGCTTGAAGTTACATTGGACATTTATTTACAAGGTAGTGGTCTTGGACACATATTTAAGGGTGAAGAACAGAATGAAAAACTCTCTGAATTCAAGGGTTTCACTATTAAGTCAGGCAGAAAGTAACTATGATCAGGAAAAAAAAAGGTAAGATATTTTTGTGCAAACTATAAAGTGAGTTTTAAAAAAGAACAAAATAACAACAACAACAAAAAATAAAAATAAGAAAGACACAGACTGTTTGGAATTTTCCACAATTATTTTTCCTACTTTTCACAGCCCTCTCCCTCTCTTACTTTCTCTGTGATGGTGGTGGGAGGAGCCAAGGGAGCAAGTAATAGGGCAGGAATGAAAATCATTATTTTTCTTCTTAAATAATGTTTCTTGTTGATACATTCATTTACACTGTACTGTTTATTTTTAATCTTCCCTAATTTTTAAATTGGGTTGAAATTTTTCAAGTGCTCATCTGTTATCTGTGTTGTTACGGTTTTGTAATATAACGTTTGCATAAACTTAGAAATACATGTATCCTGGAACTTAAAGTATAACAATAATAAAAATATATATATAATAGTTTCAAATATAAATTTTGCATCTACTAAGTTAAATATCCTAATTAAGCTTTTACATAAATGGTTAAAAAATCGGCTATTACTATTTTTACTATTAGTAATAACTGCTCTGGCAATATAATAAATGTACTTTACTAGAATTATCTTGAATTTGTTATAGGAAACTATAAAAACAGTTTTTGTTTGAAGCATCAGGTATTCCTTTAAATACTCAATAAGTTAAAACAACATTTTCTAAGATTGCAAAAAGTTTATTTTTGTTGTCATTTTAGTTAGTTTTTTAAGTTAGTGCTATGAATTTTTAAAAAGAGCTTCTTCAAAATACAATTTGCTATAAAATATACAGTACTATCATATAAATCATATCAGCATAGATATGAACACTCCATAGAAATATTTTAAGAACAGCTGGAAACTTCCTGGTAATTCATATGTAAAGAAAGGGTGGTCTGGAGATTTGAGTGGAGATAAATGGATAAGAAAAAGGAGAAAGAACTGGTGATGAGACATAGAGAAAGATAGAGCAAGAAAACAGCAGAGGCGCTGGTGAGAAGGGGTTAAAATCAGGAACCACAGCAAAAGTAAACGTGTTAATGGTAAATGCAGACCAAACTTGAAAGCAATGAGAAATCTAGGTTGGACAGATCATTTCACCTCGAGAGCCAATAATATGAAATAATAGCCAATTGTAATAGAGTATATTTTATTAGGTGTGGGCAGTTTCTCAAATTAAAACCAATATTAAGGTTGTAGAGGAACACAAATCCTGTCTGGATCCATTTACTTCAACACTAATCTCCATGGCAATGAATTGTTCTAAATTACTAATTTATAAGTAGAAAGATACTGAAATTTGGAATATAGACTCCTGGAGATGAAACCACTGAATGTGAATCCCTATGTTCACACACTTAGTACCTCTATTTTAATCAAAATCATTTTTTACTCTTACTTCAAAGAAATAGCAAAAATATTTCACAGAGTGAAAATATCCACATGTTCTCAAATTTCTAAAGCTATAACCTTATTTAGGACTTCATCGTTTCCAACCCAAATTTTGGCTTTCGCTTTCTATCCAGTCTCATGTCCTCCAATTTTGCTCTCTCCTAGTCCACCATCCACAAAGCTACCAGACTGATGCATTTAAAATGAAAATCTTTCATATTAGTTACCTTACAATCATTCAACTGCTTTCCACAATAAAAGCTCATATATTGGAGCATACGGTGAAAGGCCTTTCCTGATTTGATCTGTATTTATCTCTTTACAAGTACTAAGAGACCAAGATGGACTTCCTTTACTCTTTCCTATGTATCAGGCAGTATAGGCATTCTGAATGTTTTGAATTTTCTCAAAAGTGCCAGGTTCTTTCATGTTGCTTTACTTTTCAAATCAGATTTTCTATTCAGAATGCTTTTCTTCCCTTTGACACCGAATATATTTATTACATTTCAAGCCTCAGTCCAAATGTCACCATTTCTGTAAAAACTTTCCAATTGCTTCCAATAAAGTATTTTTTTTTCCTTTCTGTTCTCATCATATCTCAACTTATCCTTATTATTGTGCTTATTACTTACTATACTATACTCATCTGTTCATGAGTTGGTATTTACACTTAACCATAAGTCAATGAATGGTCAGTGACAATATTTTAAATATCTTTGCAATATCTGTTTGTATCTGGCACATACAGCAGGTAGTTAATAAATCAAAATAAATAAATGAATGAGTGGTTTAAGTCAAATAAATCCACGACAAATAAATACACTAGTAATATATTCATTTAGTATGTAAGAGGTATTCTCTAGTTCATTTATTTAATATTTGCATACATACTACCATACCTATTAGTAAATTACAATCATTGGCTATCAGTTGACAAGACTAAATATGTCTACTGTCACAAGACACATCATGTCTGATGACTAAAAAAACTGGAGAAAAAAGTTGAAAAATTTTTAAAGCTTATTTTTTATTTTAGTATACGCTAAATATAAATGTTTGAAGACCTTACATAATCACTAACTATAGCTGATTCTCTCATAAAATTCTACAAATCTAGTTCTTGAGCTTAGTCAAATACATTTGATTTGAGCTTATTATCCTCAACTAAAATACCTTAAATGCAGAATTTGTTATTGATTATTCAGTAAATGTAATTTAAAATGTTTCTTAAATCCTTATTTTTAACCAATATTTAATTATTTCTTTCCAAAGTTATTATCCTTTTGGTATGAGAACAAATCTGCAATCAAGGAAAAAGGGTATTGAAGGAAGTAGAAAAGATTTCTGAATAGGTTTTAGTAGCACTTGCTAATTTACTTGATTAGTTCAAAAGTTGCAGAATTATGTAAGTCTGAAAGGTAGGAGAATGTTACAGATAGTTTGACCTATAAGAATAAGTTTGATCCGATATTGGTTTATGTGGAGGCATAGAGAAGGGGCAATCCAACAGATTCTGAAGAATGACTCTAAAGCTATAGGTAGGTCAGCAAAGGGATCTCTGATTTGCTTCTTTTTTCCTCCAGATAGGTAAATTAACAAAGCAAGGGTTAATAAGGGAGAGAACTTGGTAGCAAATAGTCAGAGAAACTGAGTCCCTGCCATTGCTGAGTTCTTGCAAGAAATGTTCATTTGAAAATTTGTAGGTTAGAGTACATTTACAAGGGGAAAACAAGGCAAGCATAAATCTTTACTTCTGCTTGTAAAACCATTGTTAAATGTTGTCTATAATGATAAGAAGTTAAAACTGGTAGTATTATGGTCCTATTTTTGCTTGTTGGGAAAATAGGATACACTAATAATTAGACTAAAATATACAGTATGGCAGCCACCCTATCATGTTTCTTGAAAAACTGACAAATTACCCTTTCTTGACATGTATTAGTTGATTGTTGTATGTGTAGAAATGAATGTATTCACACATGTCTGTTTGGATATTCTTTTGAGGGATCAAGTAGAATTTTCTCCTTTGGCATAGAATTATACATTTTAAGATAATTAGGAAAATGAACAGAGGAATAGAATTCTGCCTTCTAATGTGAGCAATTTCAGAAAAAAAAAAAAAGGCCTGGATGGTGTTTGTGTTTTTTTATTAGAGATAGAGTCATGTGTTAATGTGGATTGTCTGAAATAAAGTCAGTTCACTATAAAATGTTCACATTGAGACTATATATTCTTAGAATCCGGTCACATATACCAAAAAATTAATGAAACCTGCAGCATAATTTTTCTACCTTGTGGAACTATCAGATAAAGTAATGTCTGATGATAAATTGGGTTTATGGTGAGCCGCTACATTCAATCTATGGTAGTAAATCTTCCAAACTAACTTCACATAGCCTGCAAGCCAGAGTCAATGTACTGTTCACCAACTGTCCCTTGAATCAAACGAAATTTGACATACTAGTATTCCCCTAAGAAATTATCTCTTATATGAAGTTACAAAGAGCTCACAATAATACTGAGAAAAGAAATATTCTGAATAAAGTAATTGAAATTCTCTTTCAAATACACTCCATTACTTCAGTAGATATCCATTTATACCTTAATGTTACATTACTTGATGCCTCATAGATTTTTTTTCTTTGCGTGGAATGCAGATAGACATTCTCATATCAAATAAGATTTATTGCTAAATAGCTTTCCCATGAGGTCTGCTTGCCTTTCCCTTAGGAATTCTCCTCAGTATTAGAGTCCATTACCTGTTAACTACAAGCTATTTCATAAAGTGCCTGGCTTCAGAAGATGTTAATTAGAAAAAAAAAAGCTAATAATTTAGGACTACACAGAGCTATTTACCTCAAATTCACACACACACACACACACAAATGTTTTTCCAACCTCTTATGAGAAATCCTAGAATTCATTTTTTTTTCAATTTACTTGTTGGTGTCTCCTATAAGTTGCTTTACTCTATTTATATTAATAGGCCACACTGAGTGCTGATTGTGGCTTTCTTTAAACCAGTTGCCCAACATTCATATTCCTGCCAAGTTAGACTGTATAAATTGAAGTCAAGGGTCAATAATTATCCAGTGACTATTTAACTCAACATGCTTACATTTCTGTTGTAGCTGCCAGAATATTCAGAAGCCAAATAAAAACCAATAAAAGCCATCAGCTTATGTTAGGTGACTGTATCACCTATTCTATCCCCTTACTTTGATTACCTCTGCTTTGTTTTATTCTGAAATATTTTATTCTATGATGTTTAACGTATATGCAATTTAGGTGCTTTCAAAATAGACAATATCTAAATTTTAAGTAATAAAAGATATTTAATGACTCACAAAGAAGAATACGGCCTATTTGAAAAATGCATAGCTCCATAGTGGTAAGTAGATAAAAACACCTTTACAGACATAAATACTAACATTATATAGGCAAAATTATTCAACTCTTCCAATTCCATATTAATGGGTAATTAATGTTTCTTAACTTTCTTTACTGAGGTTGTAGGACATGTGATATTATTCTACTTTAACTCCAGCAATCAAGGAAACACAGTGGGATCTACAGAATGAATATTCCACTAAAGACAAGATACATGCCTACTATGACAATTATATGAAATATAAAGGAAGATTAATGACAAGTTTATTTAGGAATGTAATGAAAGTGAAATGTTATTTGGAAACTCTTATGATTCCATGAGATATAACAAAGACAAAAAAAAAGACCTAATAGAAATTTCCAATTTAAATACAATAAAGTGTAATAAAAGTGTATCATGATTTTGGAGACATAATGTTCAGATAATCTTTCTGAATAAATTAGACTTTGTGTTTAAAATTAACTAACTTTTTCTAATTTTTAAAATTGTTTCATGCATTACATGTCAACAATTAGAAAGCCACTTTTCTCACAGAAAAATAGAGTAGGAAAAATTGTACATGTATACAGAAGAACAATACAAAACACAGAAAATACAAATGTTGTTAAGAGAAGGGCACATGCTATTGGCCTGGAAGAGTGAGATGAAGAGTTCAGTTGAGAATATTAGGAAAAAGCAAAGGTATAGAGGATTTCAAACATTATGGATAAATAAGGTGCTTTGGTGAGAAGGAATTTCTTGTGGACAAAAAGAAACAAAAGGAAAAGAGAGCATAAAGGTACAAGAAACCAAAAAATCTTGCACTTACAGGAGGAACTAATTATAGAAAAGTGGTATGAGCTAAGCCCACAAAGATCAAATTATAGCCAGATCACAGAAGGTCTTGTCAACTGTGAAGGAGTCAGAACTACTTTGAGTTGCAATTGTTGACTTTGAAGCACTTGAGCAGAAAAGAAATGTTGTTGGAGTTGCATTTTTAGGCAGGTACAGAGAGAAGCTGGAAACAGGGAAACTAATGAGGACATGTCTGCAATAGGAGCAATGAAGTAAATGGAGGTCTACACTACTGCTATGGCAACAGAAATGAAAAGAAAGGAACACATTTGAAAAATGGCAACAGAAATGGAAAGAAAGGAATACATTTGAGAAATATATAGAAGATCTATGCATACAGGACTTAGTAACCAGTTACAAATTGGGTAGAAGAGAAAAGTTGAAGTATACTTAGAATTTGGTTTGCATGTCTGGAAGACCAATGAAACCATTAAGATAGAGTGAGTCAGGGACAAGGGCTGGCTTGAGAACAGTGGCTGAGCAGATGGAACACTTAATTTGGGAAGCACTAACAAGAAAGTAAAACAAAAACATCATGCCTAAAAATGAGCATAGGTACCAGAAGCACAGGCATAATGAGGTCAAGACAAAATGAGAAGCATGAAGAAGTGAAAGCAAGTGAGGTCTACTTTTAAGAAGTTTAGTGCTAAAAAAAACTAACAACAACAAAAAGAACACAGAAAAGATATGTTGAATAAGTGGTAGGAGTTTGGTTTGCTTGTTGGTTTCTTATATTAACCTAGGAGCAGGTAAACCAAAATGTGTGTATTCAGAAGTGAAAAGGGCCCAGTGGAGAGGGCAAGATCAAAGATTCAGTAAAGATTCTTAACACAGGATCCAGTATCATTCCAGAGCGGGGAAGTACCCAAATTCAAGCCCACATGTTCAGCCTCTAGAAAAAGAAAACCACCTTCTCCACCCCACCCCCTTTGAAATAGAAAGAGGAGAAAGGATTTGATGCTACAGGTAGTCCGAGATAAAAATGAAGAAAGCTAAGGAGAGTCATATTTGACAGCTTTGACTTAATAATATGTTTTTAAAAATATGTTGAGAGGAAAGAAGTGCAGGAAAAAATGGAATATGAAGAGAGTAGGAAAGGTCTGAAACTGTAGCTCCATGGAATATTCAAAGGAGTTAGGAAGAGATGAATATAAGAACTATTGAAGAGTAGTGCTGGTTTGGCTTAACTTTTTATTAAAACTATTTTTTTCTTTTTTTTTTTTTTTTTTTTTTTGCTATGACAACCATTGCACAGCTAAAAGATTGAAATTCTCCTCTTTTAGTGGGACCCAATATACTTTCCAATAACTCCAAGAAAATCAAATAGTATAGAAATACACTCTAGATTTTAAAAAATCATAAATGTGTTCTTTTCAAACTGAGGAGCAAGATATCATTAAATAAAATATGATGTAAGTGTGCCTAAGTGAAGTTGTTTAGATATTTTGTGTGCATGGCATGAAGCCATGGGACTTGATGTTTGATTTATCTGCAAGAAAACCTGCTGCCCTAATCACCAGTAAACCTCAGGAGACTTTTGCATATCAAAGGGACAAATTGTTTCAATATTACGGGTATTTAAAAGGAAACTGGATCCATGAAGAGAGTGATGACTTTGAAAAGAAATGCAAAAAGGTTTTCAGAAATCATGGGCCTAATGTTTGTGCCACAGCATACTGCCCATGCTTATATACCTCCAGTTATGCAGAATATGTACAAGCAAGGACACGTTTACAGAACTCCATATAAGTGCAAAGGGTATTTAGTGAGACGATCAGCCCAAATATACTCTGATAAACCTAGGCACTTCATAACATTATAACAATAATTTGCTCACATAGGTATTGAGATTTAGTGGTTCAGAGAGAAAACTTTTGCCAACTTTCATCCCATGTATCCTGGCAGGGCGATTCCTGTAGTGGAAGCAGCTTTTAGGAAGAAAAGTCTCCTTTCTAGATCTCCTGATGTGCAGCAAGGTAGCTAACAGGAGATCCATTTCAGCCTGCGTGCAGCAAAATTTAGTGCCAAGTCAGCTAATTTTGTAGTCTACACTTGAGCACATGGCATGCAGAGAAATAATTGTCATGGAAGTTAATGAGAAGACTCTATTTTAGGTTAACCACGTCCTCTGTCATGTCCTACACCATCATCTTCCTTGATTGAAGGTACCTTTGGGCTCTCATTTGCTACTGTTAATATTCTCAGCTTTTCACATAACTATCTCTGAACACTCTGGCTTTTGGGAGCTTGGTGGAAACCTGAACCTCTGCCATCAGATGTGGTTTTGCCAACATTTTCTGAGATCAAATCATTCTTCAGACCAAATTGCCTTCCACTATTCCCATCCACCACATCTCCTGTTTTAGAGCATTGAAAAACAATAATATAACTAATCATACTATATACAAATATTTGTTTTTTATTTCTCAAATACAGACAGGAATACAGAAAGAAAAATGCAAGACTAAGAACCCAAAGAGGTCCATCACAGTGAAGTACATGACCAGAGCTTTTGATCTACCACCCAGTTTCCTTCCTCATTCTTCAAGTAAGAAGGTCAGACTTCAGGTTCTCTATTATTTACTGCTCTATTATTCTATGCAAAGTAGTATAAGTGACATGCTGGGTAATATAAAACAATGGAAGAGGTGAATTAGGATACTCAGAATTCACATTAACAGAGAAACTTGAAATCAAGCACAACCTATGTGCTGAGAATATTGAGAATAATCATACTGTCTAACAGTTTGACACTGGCACACATAGTCCCCATTATAATCACTGTGTGTGAGTGTGTGTGTTTGTGTGTATAATGTGTGTAGCTATAAGTGCATGTATAAGTATCTCTATTTTTTAGTTGAGGAAACTGAGCCCCAAATATAATTGAATTATTCATTACGCAATTGTAACTGAGGCTACAAATTCAAGTCTTTTCGAGTCTTAAGACAGCATTAACTTTACTACATTACCATAACTAAATAGGGTGGAAAAATTCCTAACTTAAGGTTTTGATTCTTCCAAACTTTTAAGCCTTGAATGACAGATAACATAATTAGAGAGTTGGTGATAGCCTGGCTCTTGAGAAACTGGCCAAACAGAGGGCAACAAAGAGGTCTACTTCTGTATATATAGATAGCTGCTGCTTTTGAGTGTTTCTGAACAGACTAAAGTAAAAGGAAAGTAGCCACAATGGCTCCAATGGCTCCTGCCCTGTCATATTAATCAAGATCATATAAATCAGGTAAGTACTAAGTATAATAAGTATAATACTTAGTGAAAGGTGGTTCATCTAAAACATAGAGATGAAATATAATAGGAAGTGGGTAAAGTGGCAAGTGATAGTGAACACCTTAAATATACCTTACCGGTAGTGGTTTAAACTTTACATGTATGATTTGTATGATTTGATCCCTTCTTCACTACCATCTATTAAAATGAAAATTACTTTTTTCCTATTTTACATCTGAGGATATTAGAGCTAAGGATGTTTAGTTAACTTGGCCAAGGAGCCAGCCTAATAACTGGCAAAGTGGAAAGAGTCTTTATCTGTTCTCCCAGCCCAATGCTCTGTCCAACGCATCAAATCACACTCAAGGGCATTTTGCATGCCCAAGAGAAAGCATTCTCTCCAAATAGAGAAGGGATCCACTTACCACATTATTATCTCTTACTAATATTTCATGCTTTTTCAAATTTAGAGTCTTTGCAAATACTTCATTAACTTAGTAATGATTATACTTAATGAAAATAGCAGTTATTCATATCTTTGAACTTAAGACAAAACCAATATAATTTTAAATTGTACCCTAGAACTTAAAGTATAATAAAAAAAGATTCTCTCCCTCTCCGTCTCCCACTTTCCACGGTCTCCCTCTGATGCCCAGCCGAGGCTGGACTGTACTGCCGCCATCTCGGCTCACTGCAACCTCCCTGCCTGATTCTCCTGCCTCAGCCTGCCAAGTGCCTGGGATTGCGGGCGGGTGCCGCCACGCCTGACTGGTTTTTGTATTTTTTGGTGGAGACGAGGTTTCGCCGCGTTGGCCGGGCTGGTCTCCAGCTCCTGACGGCGAGTGATCTGCCCACCTGGGCCTCCCGAGGCGCCGGGATTGCAGACGGAGTCTCGCTCACTCAGTGCTCAATGTCGCCCAGGCTGGAGTGCAGTGGCGTGATCTCCGCTCGCTACAACCTCCACCTCCCAGCCGCCTGCCTTGGCCTCCCAAAGTACCAAGATGGCAGCCTCCGCCCGGCGGCCACCCCGTCTGGGAAGTGAGGAGCCTCTCTGCCTGGCTGCCCATCGTCTGGGATGTGAGGAGCCCCTCTGCCCAGCCACCCAGTCTGGGAAGTGAGGAGCGTCTCTGCCCGGCCGCCATCCCGTCTAAGTGAGGAGGGTCTCTGCCCAGCCGCCCATCGTCTGAGATGTGGGGAGCGCCTCTGCCCCGCCGCCCCGTCTGGGATGTGAGGAGCGCCTCTGCCCGGCCGCCCCGTCTGAGAAGTGAGGAGCCCCTCTGCCCGGCAGCCACCCCATCTGGGAGGTGTACCCAACAGCTCATTGAGAACGGGCCATGATGACGATGGCGGTTTTGTCGAATAGAAAAGGGGGAAATGTGGGGAAAAGAAAGAGAGATCAGATTGTTACTGTGTCTGTATAGAAAGAAGTAGACATAGGAGACTCCATTTTGTTCTGTACTAAGAAAAATTCTTCTGCCTTGGGATGCTGTTAATCTATAACCTTACCCCCAACCCCGTGCTCTCTGAAACATGTGCTGTGTCCACTCAGGGTTAAATGGATTAAGGGCGGTGCAAGATGTGCTTTGTTAAACAGATGCTTGAAGGCAGCATGCTCCTTAAGAGTCATCACCACTCCGTAATCTCAAGTACCCAGGGACACAAACACTGCGGAAGGCCGCAGGGTCCTCTGCCTAGGAAAACCAGAGACCCTTGTTCACATGTTTATCTGATGACCTTCCCTCCACTATTGTCCTATGACCCTGGCAAATCCCCCTCTCCAAGAAACACCCAAGAATGATCAATAAATACTAAAAAAAATAAATAAATAAACATAAATAAATAAAAATAAAAAACAAAAAAAGATTATTATGCACATAACTGTATATAAAAATGCATCATGTATATGCCATATAATAAAATACGTGCTTAACTTCTTTATCTAATTGTCATACTAGCTTGCTGTTGGGAACTATAAGCAATTTGTATTATTTAAGGCATGCTATTTGTCAATAATTCAGAGAGATTTTCAAGAATGTGCACCACGATTATTTATTGCTTTATTCAAAGCCTTTCAGAATTTATAGTCCCTAATCTGTAGTTTATATTTTACGAATCCTTAGGTATGCAAAAACTGAGAGAGGAGTCCAGTTCCATTTTAAATTAAGCTATTATCCTTGAAAAGAACTGTAATATTAAAATTTGATCATATATTTTACTGTCTTGTTGTTTGGCAAATGTGCTTTCCTCAGTCCGTGCACTGATCAGTTTGTAGTCATTATTTAAAACCATCCTGCTGGCCTTTGTTCTTTCTGTGAAAAGGCTTAATTCAGAAGACTTAAAAGATTTTAGTGAATATGACTGCTGCTCTACCATCACGTCTTAAAAAATTGTTGGCTGTTATTATTTGGGGGGCACTTACATTCTTTGGAAAGAAAATAAACAGGTTATTCATATAGAATTTCAACATTTTTAATCATTCTTAACACATTTGATTTATAAAAATCTCTAAGTACTCTGAGAAGTCAAAACCCATATTGCTAGCAATCCTACATGTAACTCACTAGAGGGTTTGTAAATGCCACTTAATAACATGATAGATAATCTTGACACTTTACTCAAGAATTCTGCATTTTTATGTTTTTAGTCCACCATATTAAGAGGTTTTAAAAGTATTTAAGTATACGTATTTTGATATTTCTGATTAGTTTGACTCACTACACAGTTTAAAACACCTCAAGTGGCAAAATATACACTAATAGATACCAATTTGAGGCTCTATTTTGAACAAAACACTGTTTCAGGTGTGCTGGGGCCAAGCAGAGAAATAAATTATTGTTACAATTTATGAATTACATTTGCTTATTTCCTTATTTCACTAGAGAATTAATTTCTGAAACAAAATGACTGGAGTCTGTGATTACAAATAATGTCATCATTCTGTTTTATATAATAAAGTCAATCCCATGGCAATTGTGGCTTTTTCTTTTTTAATACTCAAATGCAGTTGAGTATTGTGGATGAGATCCTTAATGAGACATCCTTGGTTTGAATCTTGGTCCTTTCTACTTCCCGCTTGTCTGATCTGGTGCATATCTTCAGACTGTTCATTATCTGTAATCGGATGATTAAAATACTATCTACCTCGTAGTGTTGTTTCAAGGATTAAATGAATTTCACACATTCAGCAACTAGATCAGTGACATCAGTGTGTGGCACAAAGCAGGTACTATAAAAGTGTTCTTATCCTTGTTATATTGAAGTCTGTAAACAAATTTCACTAATAAAGTGGTTTTCTAAGTATTCATGTGTGTTTTTCAATTAGAAATTAGGCTCATTTTAATTTACTTGTTCTTAATACGAATGCTTTCTTAGCTCCTTCTAAAACTATCTGAACAAAATGAGACAACACTAAACCTCACCCTACTCGTATGTTACATACCACAGTAACTTCATAGCGTCAGTTAAAGGTATTATTTTCGAATTAAAGCTTAATTATTTCTTCTGTGGGAAGAAGGAGAAGCAAATATGAAAGCCTACCTCTGGAGCAAAGAAAGAGCTTTCCTGTTAGCTTCTGAATTAAAAATTCCTTACACTTCTTATTTATATCCTTAATAATTTACAGTTTCATCAGTGAGACTAGTAGAAGAAGCTTCAAGTTCAAGAGCAATTCCAAATTGTTTTGAAGAGGTATTATCAATAGATTATTACATGCAAATAGAAGAATACACAAAGAAAGCTTTGTACTTTATTGTGTATATATATGGCACATTTTCTTCCTTCATTAATCCATTGGTGGACACTCAGGCTTTTCCATACGTTGGTCATTGTGAATGATGCTTCAGGGAACATGGGGGTACAGACATATTTTTAAGATACTGATTTCATTTACTTTGAATATGTGCCTTTAAGAGTGATTGATGGATTTTACGGTAACTCTATTTTTATTTTTTTTTGAAGATCATTCATACTTTTTCCATAATGGCTATACCAATTTACATTCCCACCAACAGTAGACAGAGTTCCCATTTCTCCACACTCTCACCAAAACTTGTTATCTTCTTTTTTTATATTGGCCACCCTAACATGTGGGAAGGAATATCTCATTGTACTTTTGATATGCATTTTCCTGATTAGTGTTGTTCACCTCTCTGATGATTAATGATTTACCTAGTGGCCATTTGTATGTCTTCTGAAAAAATGTCTATTCATTTAAAAAAATCAGATTATTCATTTGTTTCATTTCGTTTTGTTAGCTATTGAGTTGTATGAGTTTCTTATATATTTTGGATTTTGCCTCATGTCAGATACATGGTTTGCAATTATTTTTTCTTATAACATTGGTTGCCTTTTCATCTATGAGTTGTTTCCATTGTTGTGCATAAGGATTCTAGTTTGATGTAGTCTCATGTTTATTTTTGCTTTTGTTTTCTCCGTTTTTGGAATCAGATCCAAGAAATCACTGTGAAGAGCATATCAATGAGCATTTCTCTTATGTTTTATTTTGGGAGTTTTATGGTTTCAGACCTTATATTTAGAGATCCTTAATCCATTTTGAGTTGATTTTTGTGTGTGGTATGAGTTTAATTCCATTTGTTTGTATGTGAATATATAATTTTCTTAACATCATTTATTGATCATCCTATCTTTTCTCCATTGTATATTCTTTAAGCTCTTGTCAAGGATTAGTTGCCCATATATAGATGATTTTATTTCTGTCTCCATATTCTGTTCTTTTGGTTTATGTGTCTGTTTTCATACCAATACCATACTGTTTTGATTACTATAGACTTGTAATATAGTTTGAAATCAGGTAATGTGATGTCTCCAGCTATTTGTTCTTTCTCAAGATTCTTTGACTATTCATGAGATTTTGTGGTTCCATATAAATTTTAGAAGTTCTTTTAATTTAAAAAATAACTTAAGAAGTTTGGTAGATATTGAACTGATCTGTATGCCACATTGGATAGTATAGATATTTTAGCAATATTAATTGTTCCAATTCACAACCATGGGATTTCTTTCCAATTATGTGTATTCTTCAATATCTTCCCTCAATGTTTTATAGTTTTCAGTGTCCTTCATCTCCTTGGTTAAATGTATTCCTAAGTATTTTATTTTTATAGCTCTTGCAAATGAGATTGCTTTTTTAAAATTATTTTTCAGGCATTTCATTGTTAGTGTATTGAAATGCTACCACTTGTGTATGTTGATTTAGAATCCTGCAACTTTACTGAATTTATTATGTCTCACCAGTTATTTTTTTTTGTGGGGGTGTTAACATTTCTCTACACAAGATTATGTCATTTGTAAACCAAAACCATGTACCTTCTTCCCTTCCAATGTGGATGTCTTTTATTTTTGTTCTTGCCTAATTGTTGTTTAGGATTTTCAGTACTATGTTCAATGAAACTGGTAAGAATGATAACCCTTGTCTTCTTCTAGATATTAGAAAAAAAGCTTTCAGCATTTCACCATTGAGCGTGAGTCAGCTGTAGGCTTGTCATATATGGCCTTTATCATGTTGAGGTTACCCCAAACAATAGGCTGGTATTTAAAGTTCTTTTGTGATTTAACTATGTATTTTCTGAAAACAAGCATAATACAAGATAGTATCCACCAGTTATTAATGCCCTATAATAACGAAAGCCATCTGTCATTAGAGTCTGTTTCTATGAAAAAAATAGCAAACTATACCTACTAAACTGTAATCAACAGATTATAGTTGATAAACAGAATCTGGATACCCAGATTTCCATTTTATCATTTCAGCTAGTTATTGTTTAATTACAAAGGCCACATATTTCCTTGCTTTCCTGAACATTTGCCATCTGTTCCCAATACTAGATATAACTACCCTTCTCTATTCCTCACCTAAATCCTTATACTGCTGATGACTTTGGAAAATAGTACAGGGTTTTACAGTCTAATCATGACAATACATCTCCAGGATCCTTGAGCCAAATACATTCCTCAGAATACTTTTTTTAAAAAACTGAAATTGATTACTTGTACTTTGTCATCACCAAAAATATCTGTAGCAAGACATACTGTTCTCAGCATCCACTTCTACCATCCTCACTATTGTAACTCACAGTAGACTATGCCTCCTACTTTACTGAAAAGATACAAACCATTACCTAGCAATCATTCTTCCACCTTAAACATATTCCATATTTTCTACCTCTTCTCTCCCATAGTTCTTGCATCAGAATGTGTTCATCCTGAAATTATTCTTTGTGCTTCAATTTTTCATTCTTAGCTTAATCCAGGATTTGCATTAATTGTTTCCTCTTGCCTTTGGACCCTTCATCCATTTACTTGCTTCCCTGTACCCAAAGCACATATGCAGAATTTTTCTTTAATTCTAAAAATGTTTACACACACACACACACACATGCACATGCACACACACATATAATAGAAAACTCTAAGAGTGGTCCTAAAGATGAAACAAAGTGATCAAATGTACTGAGTGCAGACAAAAAAGTTCAAAACCTCAGTAACAGGCAAGAAATTAAAGTTGAGAGGACAAAAATATTTTTAGAATATTTTCTCCAGAGATGCATAGTGTATATTTGACTTTTTAAGAATACTTTTTAAAAATGTCCTATTCCATACCATCTCTCAACTAACCTGTTATCACCTTGTTATTGGTTTTCTGTCTCCCCACATTTTAAGAAAACTGCTCACTCAAAGCTTATCAATGATCTTCTTGACACAAACTGATGATGTAACTCTTTTTTCAGCCTCCTCTGGAGCCTCTGTAGCACTGCTGACGAGAGCTTTCCAATTGTTTTTTTCTTTCATTACTTTACGTGAAAGAATTCCCATTGTTCTGCTTTTATTTCTCTGCTTTCAGTTACTAAGGTATTTATCCTCCTTTCGACCTTTAAAAATTCCTTCCATCTCTAATTTCAGTGTTTTAGTTCCTTAACTTTACTGTCCTCTACTTGGTCCTCAACTATCACCTTATGCAAAAACGTCTAGCTCTATATTTCTTGTCTTAACCTATCCTTTAAGTCATACTTACATGTCCAATGACTTTTTTTACATCTCCACTCTGATGCCCCAGCCACACCTCAAACTCAACATTTTTTAAACCTGCCATCACCCACATTATTTTGCTTTACAGTAGTTTTTAATTCCTTTTGTTCGTGATCTCTCTCCTTCTCTCTCTCCCCTTTTGTCTCTCCCATTCGTCACCATATAATTTGGATAGAAACTTTATGGGACATATTCATCCTTTGTTGAGAACCAATACAATATGTTCTCCAAATTCTGTGAAATGATTGGTAAAACCTTTGTTCATTAAGTTGTTCAAAATTTCAGCGATGTAGATCTTTCTTCATCATTTATTTATAAGGAAAAAACTATTACTCCTACTGAATGTGATTACTTTCAGTAGAATATAAAATATGTAAAACCAATTGTGTTACCTTTTTTGCTTTGACTGCTAGGAAATCACAAAATAAGATGTAATGTAGTTACAAAAAATATTAGAAGTTTGTTTCTAATCCCTTGTTCTTCTATTTCTGTTTTAATTCTCATATTATATAGCTGTCTTTGTTATAAGCCAACCCAAAATTGTTTATGCCTCAGGCTCACTAGAACCAAGTAGAAAGAAGTCTTGTAGTCTTTGTCTATTACATAAAGATGAAATACACAGATAGTTTGGGCTCATTAAGTAAACTACTTCAGACTCTGTTCCATTCATAAAACCCGATAAGGCTAAGCAACTTCAGCAGCAGGAGAAATAGGAACCTATAAAAATGTAACAGAAAAATACAACAAATTAAATGGGTATAGTTTTAAAGTGCTGTTTTGAAATACCATTTCATAGCTATCATTGTTTAAAAACCTGATAATAATTTTTGAAGCTCCATTTACCAAGTGAATCAAAACCTCTGCATAACGTGTATTGCACTTGCCATGCAATCACTAAGCATGATGGTGTTGGTTAGCACTATTAGAGGTGGAAACATTTCAATTTATTTTTGTTTGTTTAAAAGATCAAAGTGAGAACTTTAACTCTAGAGACACATTAAATCCAGAGATTAGGACTATAGTTTAAGAAAATCAATTTTTTTCTTGTTTGTTTGCTAGTTTTCATTAACAAATGTTATGGATCAGTCGTCAAATAGATAGCACCTTTCTCTGGAAAAAGAACACAAATTCTGGCAAAACAGTAAGGCAGGCTTTGATGCAGACTCAGACACAGCAGATTTGTCCCAGATTCAGAGATTCATCTTTTTCAGTGTGTTTTCTTTTCTTACTAACCATCTCTTACAGGCAATGCAATGGAAACACATTTGTAGTCTATTTTATACTTCCTTAATTTTCTTCAAACAGCTTTGCAGATGATACAGAATATAACTCATTTCTGTATCTAGGACTTTCTTTGTTAGAAAATTCATTGCATATATATAGGCTGCCCCCAATTCATGAACAGGTAGTAGTCCAAAAACTAATTGTTTAAATCAGTAGCTAGGAATATGAAGCACATTTTTTCTTTAAATTGACTTTATATGAAGTACTGTATACTGGTTTCAGAATTACTTATAAAAGCCAAAATAGCTCCAATTTCTTGAGACTCTGTTAAATGTCAGAAAAAATATTGTATATTATACACATCTCATTGTTTTATTAACTTTTTTCTTTTTTATTGAGCTAATGCATATAATCAGAAACTTCCTGACGTGCACATATCTTAAATGTAGAGCTGGAGTTTCAGTAACAGTTTATTGAAGTATAATTTGAATGCCATAAAATTCATTCATTTTAAGGGTTCAATTAAACAATTTATTTTTATATGTGTATATACCTATAAAATGGCTACCTGGATCGGGATATTGAAAGTTTCCTTTTGCCTCTTTTCAGTCATACCCATGCCATTCCATGGAAGTAACCATTATTTGAACTTCTATTTCCACAGATTGTTTTTTCCTGCTCATGACTTTATATTCATGAAATTAGTCATCATATAGTCTATAAAGTCTTGGTTATTTCTGAGAACGCTTCTTTCAGTGTCTTCACGTGTATTAGTAGTGTAGCATTCCATTTTAAGAATACACCACACTTCATTTATTTCTTCTACTATTGACAGACATTAAAATTATTTCCATTTTGGGGCTGTTATAGATAAAGCTGCCATGAGTACTGAAATCTCTAGGTGAACTATTACTGGATCAAAGAGACAGTGTATGTTTACTTGTAGCAGAAACTTTCAGAAAGTTTCCAAAGTAGCTGTGGCAATTTTTATTCCCACCAGCAAGGTATGAGTGTTCCTATTTCTGTTTATTACTACCAAAACACACTGTCAGTCAATAGAAATGTTGTTGGGTGTGTTGTGCTACTTCATTGTAATTTAAATTTGCATACCTTTTTTGAAAACATAAAATTGACATACCCATAGCCAGACTAACTAAACAAATAGAGATAAGACTTATATATAAAATCAGAAATGTAAAGGATCATAAGGAACCTTTATTAATAGCTATACACCAACAAATTTGATAAATTAGAGAAAATTGATACATTACTCAAAAATATGAATTACAAAAGTGAATCAGGAATAAATAGAAAGCCTGAACAGACCAATAACAATAAAAGAGATTGAAGCATTAATTAAAAATCTCCCAGGAAAGAAAAACCCAGGACCCAATGGCTTTATAGCTGAATTTGACCAAACTTTTAAATAAAAATTAATATTAATCCTTCTTAACTTCTTCCATAATAGAGCTGGAGGGCATAATTTCACATTTTATGAAGCCAGCATCACCTTGAGACCTAAGACAAAGATATCCCAAGGAAAGAAAACTATAGGCCAATATCTCTGAAGAACATTATTGCAAAAATTACTCGACAAAATATTAGCAAATTAAATTCAACATCCCATCAAAAGAGTATATTTCATGATCAAGTGGGATTTATCCTTATCTAAAAGGTTGTTTTAACATATGCAAATCAACCAATGGATACATCATGTTAACAGACTGAAAGATATAACCACATGATCATAACAACTGAAGCAGGTAAAAACATTAGACAAAATTCAACGTTCTTTCTTGACAAAGCCTCTCAACAGTTTAGACATAGACGAAAAGTTCTTCACCGTAGTAAAGGACATTTGTTTAAAAAGCACAGCTAACATCATAATAAGTGGGGAGAAACTGAAAGCTTTTCCTTTAACATCTGGTACGAAGCAAAGATGCCCATTCTTGCCACTTCTATTTAACACAGTACTGAAGTACTACAAAGAGTAGACAAGAAAAAGAAATAAATGCTATCCAAGTAAAAAAGGAAGAAGAAAAATTATCTGTATTTGCAAATGATACCCTTTATGTAGAAAACGTCAAAGACACCACCAAAAACTGTTAGGTCTAATAAATGAATTCAATAAAGTTGCAGAATATAAAATCAACATGCAAAACATCATATCATTTCTTTTATTTTTTAACTTTAAAAAGGATTTTTTTTTATTACACTTTTAAGTCCTGGGGTATATGTGCAGAACATGGAGGTTTGTTACATAGTTACACACGTTCCGTGGTGGTTTGCTGCACCTATCAACCCGTCATCTACATTAGGTATTTCTCCTAATGCTATCCCTCCCCTAGCCCCCCATCCATGACAGGCCCCAGTGTGTGATGTTCCTCTCTCTGTGTCCCTGTGTTCTCATCGTTCAGCTCCCACTCATGAGTAAGAACATCTGGTGTTCGGTTCTCTGTCCTTGTGCCAGTTTGCTGAGAATGATGGTTCCTAGCTTCATCCATGTCCCTGCAAAAGACATGAACTTATCCTTTTTTATGGCTGCATAATATTCCATGGTGTAGATGTGCCACATTGTCTTTATCCAATGTATTATTGATGGGCATTTGGGTTTGTTCTGAGTCTTTGCTGAATTGTGAATTGTGCCGCAATAGACATATATGTGCATGCGTCTTTACAGTAGAATGATTTATAATCCTTTGGGTATATACCCAGTAATGGGATTGCTGGGTCAAATGGTATTACTGGTTCTAGATCCTTGAGGAATCACCACACCATCTTCCACAATGGTTGAACTAATTTACACTCCCACCAACAGTGTAAAAGCATTCCTACTTCTCCACATCCTCTCCAGCATCTGTTGTTTCCTGACTTTTTAATGATCGCCATTCTAACTAACATGAGATGGTATCTCACTGTGGTTTTGATTTGCATTTCTCTAACGACCCGTGATGAAGAGCTTTTTTTTTTTCATACGTTTGTTGGTTGCCTAAATGTCTTCTTTTGAGAAGTGTCTGTTCACACCCTTTGCCCACTTTTTGATGGGATTGTTTTTTCTTGTAAATTTATTTAAGTTCCTTGTGGATTCTGGATATTAGCCCTTTGTCAGATGGATAGATTGCAAAATAAATTTATCAGTATTTTAATTAAATATTTTAAAGAAATAATATTAAGAAAAGAAATTTAATAGTATAGTTTCTCCTTAAATATTAACTGCACTTTTTCCAATTTTTTATTATGGCAAATATATATAACATAAAACTTCCTATTTTAACAATTTTAAGTGTACAGTTAAGTGGCATTAAATACATTCATAATGTTGTGTAGTCAGAGAGTTTCGGAGATGGATGGCGGTGATGGTTACCCAACTTTGGAGCATATCTATACACAAATAACGACCTAGACCAAAAATAAATCAAGAAAACAATCCCATTTACAATAGCATAAAAAGCTTAGGAATAAACTCAACCAAGGAGGTGAAAGACCCGTAAACTGAAAACTAGAAAATACAGATAAAAAAAATTAAATAGGACACAAATAAGTGAAAAGCTATTCCATGCTTATGGATCAGAAACACTAACTGTTAAAATGTTAACACTACATAAAGCAATAAATAGATTCAATGCAGTCCCTATCAAAATCCCAGTGGCATTATTCACAAAAATAGATAAAAAAACCCTAAAATTTGTATGAAACCACAAAAGATCTTGAATAGCCAAAACAATTCTGAAAAAAAAAAAAGTTGAAAACATCATACTTCCTGATTCAAAAGTATATTACAAAGCTATAGCAATCAAAAGAATGTGATACTTGCATACAGATACACAGACCAGTGGAAGAGATTAAAGAGCCCCAAAATAAATCTAAACATATACAGTCAACTAATTTTTGACAAGGGCACCAAAAATACACATGAGGAAAGGACAATGTCTTCAATAAATTTGCTGGATTTACATATCTGGATTTACAAACCTGGATTGACATATCCGAGACAATGAAATGGAATCCTTCTCTTACACCATACACAAAAATCAACTCAAAATGGATGAGAGACCTAAACATAAGACTTGAAATCATAAAACTCCTAGTAGAGAACATAGAGGAAAAGCTCCTTGACATTAGTCTTAGCAATGATTTATTGGGTATCACACCAGAAACTTAGGCTACAAAAGCAAACATAAATAAAAGAAACGGCATCAAATAAAAAGTTTCTTCTCAGCAAAAGAAAAAATCAACAAAATGAGAAGGTAATCAACAGACTGGGAAAAAACATATTTTCAAACCATATAACAAATAAGGGGTTAATATCCAAGATTTACACATAATTCATACAACTTAATATAGTAAGAAATATATAACCTGATTAAAAACTGGACAAAAGACTCGAATAGACATTTCTCCAAAGATGACATAAAAATGTCTAACAAGGACATGAAAAAGTGCTCAACACCACTAATTCCACAGGAAATACAATTCAAAACTCTATATATCCTCATAACTGTTAGGATAACTATTATAAAAAAGATAAGAGATAACAGGTGTTGGTAAGAATGGGGGAAAAAAGGAAACTCTTGTACTGTGTTGGTGCAGGCATTATGGGAAACAGTGTCAGATTTCTAATGAAATTAAAAATAGAACTACCATTCTAAGAAAATAAAATCACCACCTCATAAAGATATCTGCAATCCTATGTTCATTGTAGCTTTATTCACAATAGTCGAGCTATGAAAATAATCTAGGTGCCTATCAATGAAAAAATGGATGAAGAAACTATCATAGTTTATGAACATTATTCAGCCTTTTGCAAAGGAGATCCTGTCACTTGTCACAATATGAATGGACCTAGAGGATACTATGCTGGATCAAATAAGCCAGACACAGAAAAAAACATGTTGCATGATCTTCCTTGCATGACATTCTTTTTTTTTTTTTTTTTTTAAGATGGAGTCTCGCTCTGTCTCCCAGGCTGGAGTGCAGTGGCACGATATCAGCTCACTGCAACCTCTGCGTCCTGGGTTCAAGCAATTCTCCTGTTTCAGCCTCCTGAGTAACTGGGATTACAGGCGTGAGCCTCCAGGCCCAGCTAATTTTGTATTTTTAGTAGAGACGGGGTTTAACCATGTTGGCCAGGCTGGTCTCGAGCTCCTGACCTCAGGTAATCCGCCCGCCCCAGCCTCCCAAAGTTCTCGGATTACAGGCGTGAATCACCACACCCGGTCTATCTTGCTTGTATGTGAAATTTTAAAAAAGATCAAATATATAGAGATGGAAAATAAAATACTGGTTACCAGGGTCAGGCTGTGGGAGGCAGAAGCTATGAGGAGATGTAGGTCAATCGATACAAAGTATCAAATATTTAGGATTAACACATTGAGAGATTTAATGTAAACTATGAGGAATGATAGTTAGCGTATTATATACAGGAGTTTTGGTAAATGAGTAAATTATAGCTGCTTTTGTCACAAGGGGGCAAAAATAAGTAAATATGTGAGCTGACAGTACACAATACAGTTTATTTTAAAAAATAAAATAAAATTGCCTTTCTCTCTTAAGGAATTCATGTAGAAATATTTCTATATGAATATTGGTCATTTCCTTTTTATTTGAATGTGTAGGAGTATTTTATATAATCTGCAAATGAGTCTACTATCTATCTCAGTGACTTTTAAGAAAGGTAATATGATCTACACTTAAATGATGGTAAAAATGAGATTCTGGAAAGTAAACTAATTCACCAAACACACACATCTTGTAAGTGGTAGAAGCAGTACCGGATTTAGCCTGGCTCATTCAAAAGCCTGTGCTCTTTAGAGCATTCCACACTGTGGGGCACATAATGTAAGATATAACCAGGACATAAGAAAAACTATCTTGGGGGAAATGAGGTATCAGAAACATTTTTGTCTGGATAAGAGTAAGAGATGTGCCTATTTCCACCAGTCCCCCTTTCTGAACAGTGAGAGTGAGCTAGTATTGGAAGTGCATTGAGAAGGAAGTAAGATATCTAAAGGAAAAAAAAGAAGGATATAAGTAAAAAAAAAAAATACTGCATTTCACAAACTTTGTTGAAAGAGATACTAGTTACAGGACATATTTTCTTGCTGTCCTGAGAAAGTAGTACATTGTAAAATGTATAAAAATTAATATACAAATTAGCATATTAATTATTGTATATAATTATCTTAAATTTATGTAATATAGCATTTTAAAAATTATTTGAAAAGAGAACAGTTTTCCAGAGAGTGTGTATATATACACACACATATATAATATAAAAATATATATTATATATATGCCATACTCATTTGAGTAATAGTCATTATCTGGGTGTGGTTATCACAAATGATGTTTTTCTGTTGCTTTTCTAAAATTTCTAAATTTTGATGATGTATGTAATGCCTACTATATGTTGAGTTGAAAATGGGTTCAGTTATCTAATATATTATGTATACATTAAGACACCATCATATGCTTATATATTTCTGAATATACGATAATTATAACTTGTTTCTGGGTGCTAGGATTACAAGCTTTTTGTTGTTACAATTTTAACGAGCATTTATTTGAGAAGTGATTGGGAGAACTATATATGAGAATTCATGTTGCTCAAATATGTATCTGCTTACCAGAAGTTAAGCAGATGATACATATAAAATAGAAACCAATTTAATAGAGAGAGACAGAGGATGAAAAAGGAGATGACAGATATTGAAAACACAGAACACAGAAGTAGAACTGAATTAATAAACAAGAATAAGTTGTTTATTTCAATTCACTTGGTTTATAACTCTTTACAAAAAGATTTGAAAGAATTAAAGAAAACTTTTCAAAACTACAAAAAAAGTGTTGAGATTGAATTCACAATGACCTCAGTACAATTGTTAAGGAAATAGTCTTAAATTTCAAGGAAAAAGAGGGTTTTTTTTTCTATGTCTATAAGAGAACAAAAGCAAACTCTTTCAAAGAAGCCAAAGCATTATTGTTTCAGAGTTCTCTGCTGTGACACTCAACTTCAGACACTAACAGAGGAATAACTTCAGAGTCTTACAAAAAAGAGGTGTGATCCAAGAAAAAAAGAGGTGTGATCCAAGAACTCTGCTTTACCCAAGCAAGTTGTAATTCACATATGAAGATGAGAGAAAAATGATTTCAGATCTGTGAACTTTCATAAAATTTACCATCAAAATACCCCTTTTATTCTGCAGAGGTTGAAAAAATAAAATAGAATTATAAATAAATAAGAGAACTTCTGTACATGGACATTCATTACTATACACCAAAATCAGGAGAATAACTCTTTATTTTAAAAAGATAATCCTCTGTTAGCATAAAGTATAAGTACAAATACCTATAACTATAAATACCTATAGCTATAAACATATTAAAAGTTATCAGATTAAGAAAGAAAAATGTGGCCATGTGCAGTGGCTCACGCCTGTAATCCCAGCACTCTTGGAAGCTGAGGCGGGTGGATAACTTGAGGTCAGGAGTTTCAGACCAGCCTGACCAACATGGTGAAACCCCATCTCTACTAAAAAAAAATTTTAAATGCAAAAATAAAGATTTTAAAAAGCTGGGCATGGCACTAGAATTGCTCGAACCCGGAGGCTAAATTTGCAGTGTGCCGAGGTCATGTCACTGCACTCCAGCCTGAGCGATGGAGTGAGACACCAAAGAAAGAGAGAAAGAGAGAGAGAGAGATAGAGAGACAGAGAGAGAGAGAGAGAGACAGAGAGGAAAGGAGGAAAGGAGGAGAGGAGAAAGGGAGGAAGGGAGAAAGACAGGAAGATGAAGATGAAGATGAAGATGAAGAGAACGAAAGATAAATTCTGACCATTACAGCTACTTTGTGTGTGTGTGAGGAGAGCATACAGAATAAGGTACACCCCTATATCACAGATTAAAAGGGAAGGAAATAAAAATTATAATAGAAATGCATAAAGGTCCTAGTGACCTAATTATGATTTGAATCCAATCTTATAAAATAAAAATTAACTTTTTAAATATTTTTTAAAGTAGAAAAAAAAACTCATCGTCTCATGTAACCCAGAGATAAAAGGATATTTCAATGTAACAACGGTAATGTCAGTAGGCTAAAAACATTAAATTGCTTATCATTAAAAAATTCCAGGTGAAAATTTGACATCCCTCCCAATAAAATACTTTTGAAAAATAAAATAAAATACTATTTTAGAAATAGTCATATAGCCTAAAACTAACATTACAATCAATGACAAAATGATGGTCAAAGACCCCTTCAAATTCAGTAACAAACAAGGCTATGAATCACAACCAATATTGCTCAACATTATAGGGAATCCTGCTAATTTAAAAGACAGAGCAAATAAAAATATGTGTTATAAAGGTGAATAGTGTTATTTATAGAAAACACTGAGTGCCTTGGAAGGTATCAGATTAATTCCCACTAATAACAATAAAGAAAGTCAATAATGAATCCTGGTTAGTAATACATAATCAAATAATATTTATGTAATTCAGCAAAGATCATTAGCACACACAACAGACATTTGTTTGCTTATAACAACAGCATATGTACATGACATGTAAAACCTTTGCCACCTGCCACACTAGCCGCAACAAAGTTCTTTTAGATAACTCCCCTGCGCAAAAAAGGAGGTGTTCATAACATTTTTTTGAGTCCAAGTAGATGCAAATAAATGGAAATACATATAATGAACTGGGGTCGCTCTATTAATACCATATCACTATAGTAAATATATAGGCTTACCACAATTCCACCTACTAAAGAGTGTCGTCATGTGCCACATGACATTTCAGTCAATGACAGACTGCTTATACAACGGTGGTCTCATAAGATTATACCGGAACTGAAAAATTTCTATCACCTGGTGTTATTGTAGCCATTGTAACTTCATACTGAAAAGCATCACCTTTTCTGTGTTTAGATAGGTTTATATACACAAATACCTACACTGTGCTACAATTCCCTACAGTACTCAGTACAGCAACATGCTGTACAGGCTTGTAGCCTAGAAGAACCAGGCTATGCCATATAGCCTAGGTGTGTAGGCTATACCATGTAGGTTTGTGTAAGCACATTCTCAATTTCACACAATGCTGACCTCACCTAACATGGCATTTATCAGAATATGTCTTCATTGTTAAGCAGCGCATGACTGTTTATACAGATCCTAAATACTATAAACTAACTGCTACACAGTTCCAAATAGTAAATACTATATGAATATAAAAATGCATAGATTTAGGAAAATTTCAAATACAATCAAAATACAGTTTTAGAACTATGATTACCGATTGAAAAACTTATGTGGAGAAATGAATGAGCGAAACTAAAAATAGCAATTCTCAATTTGCAGTAGCTGGGGATACTACTGTGATGCCTCTTGCCTATGATTTGTTGAATGATAAATCTTTTCTTCACGGTATTTGTTTCTATCCTCCAACAATCAGATGAGGTAAGTACTTTTATTATGATTTCTCTGTTTTATTCATACAATGAGAAAACTGATGCTCAGGAAGCCTAATATCTAGCCTGAAATTATACTAGCGAAATAATGGAGTCAGTATTTGAATGCAGGCAGACTTCACTGCTTCTCTCTCAATTATTTGAAGATAAATATCATAAAAGAAATTTTATGCCGGGTGCGGTGGCTGATGCCTGTAATCTCAGCACTTTGGGAGGCTGAGGCGGGAGGACCACCTGAAGTCGGGAGTTCGAGACCAGCCTGACCAACATGAAGAAACCCTGTTTCTACTAAAAATACAAAATTGACCAGGCGTGGTGGCGCATGCCTGTAATCCCAGCTACTCGGGAGGCTGAGGCAGGAGAATCACTTGAACCCAGGAGGCAGAGGTTGCGGTGAGCCAAGATTGTGCCATTGCACTCCAGCCTGGGCAACAAGAGCGAAACTCCAACTCAAAAAAAAAAAAAAAAAAAAAAAAAAAAGAAAAGAAATTTTATAACAACGTGTATAGCTCTAAAGTGAAAATCAGAAATGTAAAGCAGAATTCAGACTTCGAGCATCTGAAAACTTCACATAAAGTTTAAAAAATGGTAAAGTAAGCTTCTCAAATACAAAGGGGGAATTATGACTAGATGGCTTAGTGGCAAAACCTGCATAGCAATTCAAGGAAAGGGAGAAATAGAAGCATAATTCACATAAGGCTTTAAAATAATTTTCAGACTGGACTACAAAACTTGCCACCAAGCAGGTGTGAGAGATGTAGATGCTGAATGTCCAGAGGATGCACTCTTTTCTAGGAAACTATGATAGCAAATACTATGAGCATATTAGAGTTCCCCGGGAACCACATAGATGATGGCAACCATCCATCAACCTTTATCCAATCCACTCTGACCTGTGACTACCCTCACTCAGAAGACATTGCCAGTTGTTTTGAAGTGTGCTATGACCAAGCACCAAGAAGTTTCTAGTCTATCAATGTTAACAGAGTACAGTGAGAAGAGTATACAATTTCACTACTTATGGGGGCAGATAAAAAACTTGGCTCTACTCTCAATAGTTGTGGGATGTTAGATCTGGCATCTGCCAAAAGGGAATAAACCTGTCAATATACTGTGTTGTTTTAAGAATCTGTAACAATTTGCTTGTGAAATATCTGCATAATTCCTGGAACAGCAATTAAGTTGTTTTCCTATCATATTATTACGAATATGATGATAACCAAAATTATTATTATTGGCATCCTAAGAATCTTCTCCACAAGTCTTACTACACATGCACTGCACCCTCCCCATATTACTAAAACTCAAAATGAATAACAGATTTTAATAGACACTCCTTCATCTGCATCAAGGGGAAACTGCATGCACACAAATTTATTACTTACACAAAATTTTTAAATATATAAACGTGTGTGTACATGTGTGATAGTTGTGATTAAAATTACAATTATATCAATATATATGTATGACAAAAATATACATTCCAAAAAAATGGATGATATATATGTGTGTAAACACAACACAATAGAGATGCAAATTGTAATGGAGTAGAGAGAGAAGAGGGAACAAATAAAATATAAAAGGATAGCTACATAGAAAATGTTTATCTAAAGCAAAGAAATATAAATTAAAAACAAACCTAATTTATTTTTGTCATCATTCAAGTAAAAAACATAAAGATACTTCTCAAAGGAGGCATTTATTTGGCCAGCTAACATATGAAAAAAAAATCTCATCATCATTGGTCATTAGAGAAACACAAATCAAAACCACAATGGGATACCATCTGATGCCAGTTAGAATGGCAACCATTAAAAAGTCAGGAAACAACAGAGGCTGGAAAGGATGTGGAGAAATAGGAAAACTTTTACACTGTTGGTGGGAGTGTAAATTAGTTCAACCATTGTGGAAGACAATGTGGCATTTCCTCAAGGATCTAGAACCAGAAATACCATTTGACCCAGCCATCCTGTTACTGGGTATATACCCACAGGATTATAAATCATTCTACTCTAAAGACACATGCACATATATGTTTATTGCAGTACAATTCACAATAGCAAAACTTGTAACCAACCCAAAGGCCCACCAATGATAGACTGGATAAAGACAATGTGGCACATCTACACCATGGAATACTATGCAGCCATAAAAAAGGATGAGTTCATGTCCTTTGCAGAGACACAGATCAAGCTGGAAACCATCATTCTCAGCAAACTGACACAGGAATAGAAAACCAAACACCATATGTTCTCACTCATAAGAGGGAGGTGAACAATGAGAACACATGGACACCGGGAGGGGAACATCACACACGGGCCTGTTGGGCAGTAGGGGGCCAGGGGAGGGATAGCATTAAAAGAAATACTTAATGTAGATGATGGGTTGATGGGTGCAGCAAACCACCATGGCACATGTATACCTATGTAACTAACCTGCACATTCTGCACATGTATCCCAGAACTTAAAATATAATAAAAACATTAAAAAGAATAAAGGAAGTCAGAGGGAAAGGCTTATTAAAACAAAACAGAACTCTTGAGAGGATGTCTTTCCTCTCAATGACAAATTCAGCAGTGAATGTTTATGTATATTTATGCATATATAAGGTATTATGAGCAAAAATGAATGGTTACTAGGAAGGCAAAAATGGTGGAATATTATCCAATGAATACATTTAATTACTCAAAGTAATATATTAAAGAAGAAAGGTCATATATTCTTGCCCACAGATTCAGAAAGCCCATTTGACAAAAGTCAATATCCATTTATGGAATGGATGTAGAAGTAAGTGAATTAGAAAAAAAGTTATCCAGAATTGTAAATATAACTACCCAAAACCTATAGTAAATAACACACTTAATGCTGAAATTAAAAATTATCCTCTTTAAAGATAGGTATATAGTAAGTATGTCTACTACTCATGCCTTTATTCAAATAGTATACTAGATTTCATAGCTGGCAAAAGAGTTATACCAATCCAAATGGAAGAAACAAAAGACAAACATTATGGTTGCCCATACAGAAAACAACTTCAGTTATGAAGTAGACCCAGACAACTTTCAGAATATTCAGCACTTTTTCATTCCTCTACACAAGCAACAAAATACCAGAAAATATTTTAAAAGTCAGCATTTATAAAAGTGTCTAAACTATCAGGTGTATGGCAAAAAATTGAACAAAATAATTGAAAAACATTATAAAACAGGACATAAGCGTGAAAGATGTGCAGAAGCAGAGAGAAATCCTTGCATTATTAGATGAAAAGATCATTAAAGATAGCAATGCACTAATTATACTAGATTCAGTGCAATTTCAGTCAAAATTCCAAAGGAAATTTTATGAAACGTGAAAAGCTCACACTAAAGTTCAGAGAACACAGTCGGTGGCAATGTAAATTAGTATAGCCATTATGAAAAACAGTATGGCGCTTCCTCAAAGAACTAAAAATAGAGCTACTATATGACCAAGCCATTCTACTGCTGAGTATATATCCAAAAGAAAGAAAAACTGCATATAAAAGAGTTGTGTGCACTCCCACGTTTATCACAGCACTATTCACAGTAGCCAATATATAGAACCAACCCAAGTGTCCATGAATGAATGGATAAAGAAAATGTCATATGTATACATAATGGAATATTATTCAGCCATAGAAACTAAAATCCTGACATTTGTAGCAACATGGATAAAACTGGAAGGCATTATGTTAAGTGAAATAACCCAGGCATTGAAAGACAAATTTGCATGTACTCACTCATATGTGAGAGCTGAAAAAAAAAAAAAATCTCATGAAGGTAGTCAATAGACTGGTGTTACCAGAGGCTGGGTAGGGTATTTGGGAGGGGGAATAAAGAGGCGTTGGTTAACAGGTAGTGTTTGGTACCAAAATAGGGGGCTTATATTTAACAATGATTTATTGTATATTTCAGTAACTAGAAGATATGGAATAGTCCCAACACAAACAAATGACAAATGTTTGAGGTAATGGATGTGCTAAATACCCACATTTGATCATTAAACATTATATGTTTGTATCAAAATATAATACACACCACATAAATATGTACAACTATTAGGTATCCATAAAAAAATTAAAAACAAAAATAAAAAATAAAGCTCAGGGAACAGTGAAGACTCAAAAATAGCAATATAAGATGTATCTTATGTGAAGTATCAAAATCCATTATATAGCTAAAGTAGATAAAATTATCATAGTAAATGGATTTCAATGTCAAGTTTATAAAAACCTTCTAAGAAAAACAGTCTGATGCAATCTATATAAAATATAAATACATAAAATTATGTTTCAATGTATATTATGTAATGAAAGTATGAAGACTTCCAGGGAAATAATTCACCCTAACTTCCTGATAGCGGTGACTCCTCAGGAGAAAAAGAAGTGGTAATAAATGGGATAGACTAGGGTTTTGTTGTGGATGCCCTCCTCTGCATTGTAGGTTATTTAACAACATTTTTGGCTTTACCCTTTGGTTAATAATAGCTCCCTTCTCCCCAGTTGTGACAAGCAAAACTGTTTTCAGAAATTTTCCCCTCTGAGGCAGGGGAGAAAAACTGCTTCTAGTAGAGAACCACTGGAATAGACTATCTTTAGTATCAGTTCTCAAAAGGAAACAGGAGTGGTGGAGGGTATCAGAAGAAAGATATGAAATAAAATTATAAAATATATTGCAGCACTATTCACAATAGCAAAGACTGGAACCAACCAAATGCCCATCAATGAGAAACTGGATAAAGAAAATGTGGCACATATACAAGATGGAATATTATGCAGCCATAAAAACAATGAGTTCACGTCCTTTGCAGGACATGGATGAAGCTGGAAACATCATTCTCAGCAAACTAACACAGGAAAGAAAACCAAACACCACACGTTCTCACTTATAAGCGGGAGTTGAACAATGAGAACACATGGACACAGGGAGGGGAACATCACACACCAGGGCCTGTTGTGGGTTGGGGGCTAGGGGAAGGACACAGCATTAGGAGAAACACCTAATATAGATGATGGGTTGATGGGGGCAGCAAACCACCATGGCATGTGTATACCTATGTAATTAACCTGCACGTTATGCACATGTATCCCGGAACTTAAACTATAATAAAAAATAAATAAAATAAAATTATAAAATGTCAATCTCTACTGAATTGGGGGTTTGGGGGTCATGGGTGTCAGCTAAATTATTTCTTTGTACTTTTTAAATTGTTTGAAAGGTTTCATATTTTAAAAGTTTCATCAGGTAGTATGACTCTGTAGTTTAATTGTTTAGAGTACTAGTTGTAGTTTAAGACTGCCCTGGCTTGTCATCTGAGTTTTTAGTGTTTGTA
The DNA here is from genome assembly GCF_000001405.40 of Homo sapiens. Lineage (NCBI taxonomy): Eukaryota > Metazoa > Chordata > Mammalia > Primates > Hominidae > Homo > Homo sapiens. The sequence goes on from NC_000009.12 coordinate 10,471,521, forward strand.
TGATTTTGTACCTGTTTCTTATTTTCTTCAAATCTCAGTTTCCAAATCTGGTATCTGTGAAAATTAAATGAAATAACCCACATGAACATCTTAGCACAGTGTCTCATACACAGTATGTGCTAAAACATAATTTTATTATCAACTGAAATTAATATTTCTTTGCTCATAAAGACTTCATGGAAATATTTATGATATATAGATAAAGAAGTCATCGTTATAGTAATAAGTATAACCATAACATATTTTATATTTTAAGTTGAAGAGATGTCAGAAAATATTTATAAAATCAATTTTAGCTTTAAAATGAAAACACACAAGTAAATTATACCTAGACCATAATTATTTGAAAAGGAAATGAACAAAAATAGCAAACCAAAACATCATAAGATAATAAATATCAAAGAAGTCACAAGGCCCGACAATTCAAAAAACGATCTTTGTGATTATTTCAATTTATGCCTCATGTTTAAAATGACACATGTGAGTTTAAATTCAAAATTTTATTTAGCTTATGAGATATCACAAAATGATAAAATTTTTGCTACATGCTAATAAGGGCAAGTAAGAACAAGATATTCAACATAAATTTAAAATTATATGAAAATTTTAATTAGAATACAGTAAATGAACTATTTGTCCAAGTCCTTATTTAAAAGGTGTTAGAATAAGTCTAGAGCAAAAGAAGTATAAAAGCAATGTTTGACTTTAGAACTTTATGCATAATGAACCTCTTTTTCAAGACTTCCTAAGTATCTGACACTGCAAACTCATTTATTCTCTAAAATCCAGGACAATGACACCTTGAAATTAAATGTTTGTACTATTCAATATTTGTTAAGTTTCACATTACAGAGATGGGTAACTTTGCATTCAAGAATTTATAATTTATCTTTTGCAAATGTGGTCCACAAACCTTGACTTTCTTTAACATAGGATGTCTGGTAAAGCCATTCTTGAGGCAGGTTGGAGTAGTTGGGGACTGGCGGAAACAAGTGGCAATATCAGTGAAGTATAGAATCACAGGCTACTTCGGTCATCTATTCACAAGGCTGAGCAGGAGCTCTTGAGCATCTTCACAATGTTTGGGATAACTCTGCTATGTGTAATAACAACCTTCTTTTGAATAGTATCCAATGCCTGGAAAAATCCTAGATGTTCAGAAACAGATTTTTTTTTCTATTTTCCTCTGTACCTAGGTAGCTAGAATTCTCTTATACATGGAGAATACTTATAACATCCTAGAAAACTCAAATTAAACATATATCTGATATAGCAAACCTAAATCATTACTTACTGAGAAAACAATCATTATAATTATAACTCAAGTTATTTAAAAATATTTCAAAAAGGGACAAGGAGAAAAATTTTAAAAAAATTATAGTATTTAAAAACAATTAAAAGTGAGTTAAGCAAGAGATTATATTGCATATAAATTGTTTACTTAATACATTAAGTTTATTTAATACATTATTTCTTAATGTATTAAACATTAAGCTTATTTAATACATTAAGATTATTTTAATGTATATGACCAAATTAAATTTTAATTGTTATATCACGCTCCAGTACCCAAAATTATTTTAAGCACTTAAAATTGGCCGACATAGAAATTTGGTGTTCTTGTGATCCGACACATGTGGCCACATTAAATTCAAACAGCTGTAATTTTGTCTTTTAAAGAAATAAACATTAGAATCAATTAGAACACAGAATGGTTATCATGGAGAGGTAGATATGACTTAGAAAAAAATTCATGTTGAAAGTAGAGACATCTCTCACATTCACATACCAAAAAGCACATCTTCCCCTCAAAATCTGTGTAGTTGGAAAGCCACCATAGTTATGGTTGTGTCTGGATACTAGCATGTCTCACTTTTATCTAGAGATATCTCAGTGCTATTAATTGACAATAGTGAACTTGGAAGAAGAGATAATCTATCAATCTCATATTCCAACTATAAAAACTAATGAACAAGACTGAGCTTGCACATGCGTGAGTGTGAGTGTGTATGTGTACACATATGTGTTTGTATGGAATTGTAACATCAGAACTAAATTTACTCATTTTGTAACTAAAATACCAAATGTTGATTTTTGAGTAGGTACATCATTTCTGATTGACATTTTTTATGAACTCAATATTTTGCAAATCCCACCACTCCTTCCAAACAGAAATAAATAAATGAAAGTGTTCAGTGATCCTAACATTTGAAAAGCTTAAAGAGACATTTAGGGAGGATAAATATTCTTGGAAGTTGTGTTAAATATTCTTGAAACATTCTTGGATCATTATAAATTATTGCCCCATTGTTTTTATAAAGTAAGTGTCAAATTAAAAGCTCCTCTTAATGTTGATGATTCAGTGCAAATTATTTCATTTTATATTAGATTCCCCTTGAAAGGAAAGTTTCAGAAATGGGATTTTGTCACTACCAGGCCTGCTTTACAAGAGCTCCTGAAGGAAGCACTAAATATGGAAAGGAAAAACCAGTACCAGTCACTGCAAAAACACACAAAAATATAAAGACCAGTGACACTATGAATAAACTGCATCAACTAATGTGCAAAATAACCAGCTAGCATCATCACGACAGGATCAAATTCACACATAACAATATGAACCTTAAATGTAAATGGGCTAAATGCCCAATTAAAAGACACAGGCTGGCAAGTTGGAGAGAGTCAAGATTCATCAGTGTGCTGTATTCAGGAGACCCATCTCACGTTCAAAGACATACATAGGCTCAAAATAAAGGGATGGAGGAATATTTACCAAGCAAATGGAAAGCAGAAAAAAAAAAAGCAGGGGTTGCAATCCTAGTCTCTGAAAAAAAACAGACTTTAAACCAACAAAGGTCAAAAGAGACAAAGAAGGGCATTACATAATGGTAAAGGGATCAATGCAAAAAGAAGAGCTAGCTATCCTAAATATGTATGCACCCGCTACAGGAGCACCCAGATTCATAAAACAAATTCTTAGAGACCTACAAAGAGACTTGGACTCCCACACAATAATAGTAGGAGACTTTAACACCCCACTGTCAATATTAGATCAAAGAGGCAGAAAATTAACAAGGATGTTCAAGACTTGAACTCGGCTTTGGACCAAGCAGATCTAATAGATATGTATAGAACTCTACACACCAAATCAACAGAATATACACTCCTCAGCACCACATACCACCTACTCTAAAACAGACCACATAATTTGAAGTAAAACACTACTCAGCAAATACAAAAGAATGGAAATCATAACAAACAGTCACTCAGACCACAGTGCAATCAAATTAGAACTCAGAAGTAAGAAACTCACTCAAAACCACAGAACTACATGGAAACTGAACAACCTGCTCCTGAATGACTACTCGGTAAATAAATAAATTAAGACAGAAATAATGAAATTCTTTGAAAGCAATGAGAACAAAGAGACAACGTACCAGTGTCTCTGGGACACAGTTAAATCAGTATGTAGAGGGAAATGTATAGTACTAAATGTCCACAGGAGAAAGCAAGAAAGATCTAAAATTGACATGCTAACATGACAACTTAAAGAACTAGAGAAGCAAGAGCAAACCAATTCAAAAGCTAGCAGAAGACAAGAAATAACTAAGATTAGAGCAGAATTGAAGGAGACAGAGACATGAAAAACCCTTCAAAAAATCAGTGAATCCAGGAGCGGATTTTTTTGAAAAGATTAACCAAATATATAGATCACTAGCCAGACTAATAAAGAAGAAAAGGGAGAAGAATCAAATAGACACAATAAAAAATGATAAAGGGGATATCACCACTGATTCCACAGAAATAGAAACTACCAACAGAGAATATTATAAACACCTCTACACAAATCAACTGGAAAATGTAGAAGAAATGGATAAATTCCTGGACACATAAACCCTCCCAAGACTAAACAAAGAAGTCGAATCCCTGAATATAGGAATAAAAAGTTCTGAAATTGAGGAAATAACTAATAGCCTACCAACCAAAAAAAAGCCCAGGACCAGATGGATTCACAGCCGAATTCTACCACAGGTACAAAGAGGAGCTGGTACCATTACTTCTGAAACTATTCCAAACAATAGAAAAAAAGGGACTCCTCCTCAACTCATGGGGCCAGAATCATCCTGATTCCAAAACCTGGCAGAGACACAACTAGTAAAGAAAATTTCAGGCCAATATCCCTGATTAACATGATGCAAAAATTCTCAATAAAATACTAGCAAATCAAATCCAGCAGCAAATCAAAAAGCTTATCTACCACGATCAAGTCGGTTTCATCCCCAGGATGCAAGGCTGGTTCAATATATGCATATCAATAAATGTAATCCATCATATAAGTAGAACCAATGACAAAAAAAAACATATGATTATCTCAGTAGATGCAGAAAAGGCCTTCAATACAAATTCAACATCCCTTCATGCTAAAAACTCTCAATAAACTAGATATTGATAGAAGATATCTCAAAATAATAAAATCTATTTATAACAAGCCCATAGCCAATATCATACTGAATGGGGAAAAGCTGGAAGGATTCCCTTTGAAAACTGGCACAAAACAAGTTATGCCCCCTCTCACCTCTCCTATTCAACATAGTTTTTGAAGTTCTGGCCAGGGCAGTGAGGCAGGAGAAAGAAATAAAGGGTATTCAAATGGGAAAAGAGGAAGTCAAATTGTCTCTGTTTGCAGATGACATGATTGTATATTTAGAAAACCCCATAGTCTCAGCCCAAAAACTCCTTAAGCTAATAAACAACTTCAGCAAAGTCTCAGGACACAAAATCAATTTGCAAAAATCACAAGCATTCCTATACACCAATAGTAGACAAACAGAAAGCCAAATCATGAGTGAACTCCCATTCACAATTGCTACAAAGAGGAGAATAAAATACCTAGAAATACAACTTACAAGGGACATGAAGGACCTCTTCAAGGAGAACTACAATCCACTACTAAAGGAAGTAAAAGAGGACACAAACAAATGGAAAAAACATTCCATACTCATGGGTAGGAAGAATCAATATTGTGAAAATGGCCATGCAGACCAAAGTAATTTATAGATTCTATGCTATTCCCATCAAGCTACCATTGACCTTCTTCACAGAGCTAGGAAAAACTAATTTAAATTTTATACGGAACCAAAAAATAGCCCATATAGCCAAGACAATCCTAAGCAAAAACAACAAAGCCAGAGACATCATGCTACCTGACTTCAAACTACATTACAAGGCAACAGTAACCAAAACAGCATGGTACTGGTACAAAAACAGATATACAGACCAAGGGAACAGAATAGAAGTCTCAGAAATAACACCACACATCTACAACCATCATATCTTCGACATACCTGACAACAAGCAATAGGTAAAGAATTCCTTATTTAATAAATGGTGCTGTAAAAACAAGGCTAGCCATATCCAGAAAACAGAAATTGGACCCCTTACTTAGACGTTATAGAAAAATTAAGATGGATTAAAGACTTAAATGTAAGATCTAAAACCTTAAAAACCGTAGAAGGAAACCTAGGCAATACCATTCAGGACATAGGCATGGGCAAAGAGTTCATGACTAAAACACAAAAAGCAATGGCAACATAAGCCAAAACTGACAAATGGAATCTAGTTAAACTAAAGAGCTTCTGCACAGCAAAAGAAACTATCATCAGAGTGAACAGGCAACCTAAAGAATGGGATAAAATTTTTGCAGTTTATCCATCTGACAAAGGGCTAAATTCCAGAATCTACAAGGAACTTAAACAAATTTACAAGAAAAAAATAAACAACCCCATCAAAGAGTGGGTGAAATTTGTGAACAGACACTTCCCAAAGGGGCATTTATTTGGCCAACAAACGCGTGAAAAAAAGCTCATCATCAGTGGTCATCAGAGAAATGCAAATCAAAACCACAATGAGATACCATCTCAAGCCAGTTAGAATGGTGATCATTAAAAAGTCAGGAAACAACAGATGTTGAAGAGGATGTGGAGAAATAAGAATGCTTTTACACTGTTGGCGGGAGAGTAAATTAGTTCGACCATTGTGGAAGACAGTGTGGTGATTCTTCAAGGATCTAGAACCAGAAATACCATTTGACCCAGCAATCCCATTACTGGGTATATACCCAAAGGATTATAAATCATTCTACTCTAAAAACACATGCACACGTAGGTTATTGCATCACTATTCACAATAGCAAAGACTTGGAACCAACCCAAATGCCCATCAGTGATACACTGGATAAAGATAATGTGACACATATATACCATGGAATACTATGCAGCCATAAAAAAGGATGAGTTCATGTCCTTTGCAGTAACATGGATGAAGCTGGAAACCATCATCCTCAGCAAACTAACACAGGAACAGAAAACCAAACACTGCATTTTCTCACTCATAAGTGGGAGCTGAACAATGAGAACACATGAACACAGGGAGGTGGACATCACACCGAGAACTGTCAGGGGATGGGGGACAAGGGGAGGGAGAGCATTAGCACAAATACCTAATGCATGTGGGGCTCTAAACCTAGATAACAGGTTGATAGGTGCAGGAAACCACCATGGTACATGTATACCTATGTAACAAACCTGCACGTTTAGCACATGTATCCCAGAACTTAAAGTAAAATGGAAAAAAAAAAGATTTCAATCAGAATACCACCCGAATTCACAGTATGTTAAACTAGAAAAGTATAGTCATTATTTCCCATTGAAAACCTAATAAGCATTATTACACTTACAAGTAAGATGGCAAGAAGCCCATTTTTCACTTACATATTACCCACATGTTGTATAAAATATAAAATATGAATTTTAAGCTTACCATTTGCTATGTGATTTTGGGCATATAATCTGAGTGTTTTCAGCCACGGCCTTGATACCTGTACAAAGGAGATAATACCCGTATCTGGAAACTACTTAGCATTTCCCAGTGGAAGCTATTCATATCACCCCTTTAATTAGACTCCTGCCTAGAAGATGCATTTTTCTATAGCACTGTGCCCTTTATAAAGATGAGACAGTTAAGCAACATATAATTAAATTAAACATATCTTATTACATTAGTGAACTAGAGAAGTAGTTCAGTTTGTCTGATTTCTTTTCCAGCTGAGAAAAACACTAAACTTTCCATTTTACAATTTCTGCTGCTCATTTTTGACTTAATAACATATCAAAATACAATTACAGAGTTACTATATTCTGTAATATATATGTATATGTATATAAATATATATATATTCACTCAAATAAGTTGAGGAAAATTTCAGAAACAAATTCTATTGCCTATGGATCTGAATGTTGCATTTCCCTTATGATAACTGAAACTGAACAAGAAAATTCAGAAAAATATTAGTATTTACTATCCAGTGAGATCTTGAAATGAAATTTCAAACCTAAAATATAAATCTATTTATGTCTCTCCATACATAAATCTATTTTTAAGAGAAATATTAATAATTGAATAAAAAGTTTTTTAAAAGCCCTTCAAAAACGATGAAAACTTTTCAAACATTACACAATTTTCACAGAAGTTACAGTGTAATTAAGTCAGAAGCAAAGTTTCCTGGTAGTGTTTTCCATACAGAATGTTTGGCTAGGCTAAAATAAAATGAATAAATATAATACTAAATTCTATACTCGTATAATTCTCAGAATGCTAAGAAATAATGGCACAGAATTTCCAGGCACATTCTGTTACATGATATTCCAAACATGCCCTGGGCGTTTACACACATGGTACAACAAACTAACCTTAGAGGTACTTGTGTGTCATGTGCAGAGCATTAGCCAATCTTCATATTTCAGGCTTTTAAAGACCAACACATAGGAAAGGTGGAAAAAAACAAAGGGAGATGCTTGTAATACATCATTTCTTTGAAAGCCCCTAGTGGTGGGGATGGGGATAAAGGAAACCTAAAAGAAACTCAAACTTAACTTGTACTCTAACCCGGCACGACTTCAACTTTAAACCACACATTTTGAAGAATAACATGCAGACAGAATATACTTTGAAAATGTTGAAAGGATTCCAGTAATCAAGTGACAACTCCTTAACCAAGACCAAGCTAGCCTGGGTAACACGGTGAAACCCCATCTCTAAAAAAAGAAAACATAAATAAATAAATAAATAAATAAATAAATAAACAAAAATACAAAAATTTGCCAAGCATAGTGGTGTGCACTGGTAGTCCCAGCTACTTGGGAGGCTGAGGTAAGGTCGCTTGAGCCCAGGGTTCCAGGCTGCAGTGGGCCTTGATTACACGACTGTACTTCAGCCTGGGCAACAGGGTGAGATCCCATCTTAGAAAAAGAACAAACCGCGGAGCTGTGGTGCTGAAAAGTACATTCCTAAAGACTGTTTCAAGAGTCTTCAATCTGAAGGGGCTTGTTATTGCAGGGATGTTAAAGAAAATCCGGGGTCTTAAAATTTTTCGTTTTTAAGAATCAAATTTTCTACCCCTAATAAAAAGGGAGAAGTCTGGAGGCAAGCTTTATCAGGAAGATATGAATGATTGTTCTCATCCTGGTGAAAGTATACTCCAATAAATAGGTCTCATAAGCTAATGGTTTTATGACCTATTTTGCTGGGCAGGGAGAAAACAAAAAACAAACAAAAAATTAAACAGAAGATAAATTCAACCCCATGGCAAGTGTGCCACACTCAGATGATGTCCTATTCTCGGCCCAACTTGGTTTGTCCCCAATACAGAATTTTCAACAGAGAAGCACATATCTAATTTTCTCAAACATGACTTTGAGGGTCACAAGTTCTATCCATTCTCTACCAGGCAGCTGAGAAAATGAGCAGAGAATAAAGACCATCATATTCCCACCCTCCAGCTAGGATTATAAGGGGAATGAAGCAAGCTAGTATTACAAGGGGAAGAAAGTAAGTATTATAAGGTAGTATTACCTGAGAAGGTGAGTCAATGCAATGTTACAAACGCTATTTTGGTGGCAATTCATATGCCATACTCAAAGATTAATAAATAGAAAAAAAGCAAGACATTTTTTATAAACTTCCGAAGAAATAAGGAAGAAAGAAAGCATGCAAAAGACAATGAAAACAGATAATTTGAAAAATATTATCTCAAAGAAGAGAATAAAATATTAACATATTTATACAATATTAAATAAAAACAATTTTACAGATTACAGGAATATTTTTCAATGTGAACTCTCAGGAAACAAAAGTAAAAATGAGTAAACAGAATGGCATTTGTATCATTGAATCAAACTATAAAAGAAAGAGTTCCACAAGCCTACAAGGAGAGTTAACTGTGTTAATTACAAAATTGAGAAAAAAAAACTTATTCAATATTTCCACAACTTATTTAAATGCTAGGGAAATTATCCTACTGTAAGACACTAGTATTCCTGATAAAAATGCTTAAACTCTTCTTTGATACCCTGTAATAAGATTGGAACTTGTTCTGGGAAGCCATTCATTTACTCCAGTGACTCAAGTCGAGTCAATAATAACATGCAAGCAGGTTCTTCCCTGCATCTCATTTGGTACTTTTTTTTTTTTAAACAGTTCTGTTTGTTATAGATGATCATTAAAAATCTATCCTGCTCAAGAAAAAAAAGGAGAGGTGTTCTGAAATATTTATGGATGAAATAATGTGGTGCCTGTAATTTGCTCCACTTAAAAAAATCCAGTGGCAGGGGTAGTTAAGGGCATAGACGGTATATGGATATTATCAAGCCAATGAATGTCATTTGGGTGAGGGGCATTTTAGGTTCATTCTAGTATACACTTGTGCATGTTTGAAATTTTTATAATAAAAAGTAAAACAAAACAAAACAAAAAATATCCTATTGGATTTTTTATGGAGAAATTATATGATTCAAATTACAGCTAATCTGATATTCATATTGAATATAAAAACATATTCATAGATATCACCGACTCAGAAATAATATTATCCATTTATCCTTCCCAAAAGACATAACTGAGTAATGTAACATGAATCCTGAAGGAAGACTCACAGATGTATTTAAGAAGACAAGGATTTGCCTGATTTGTGTGTTATCAATGTCTCTTAGCCTCATGAGAAAGAAGTTAAAATATAGTTTTTGAATGCATAAGTGAATGAATGATTGAATGATTAAAGAAGTCATGACAGCCATGAACTTATTGTAAATACTCAGCCCATAATCATTAAATGTTAAAAATCCTCATAGGTATGCTATAGAGTGAAAACATTTTTTAATTATATTAAAATTGGCTAAAAATCTCAGAATATAGAGACAAAACCGAAGAGCAGTAGCAGTCGAAGTAAGGCAATGGGAAAGTGTAACTACATATATTTTCTCATCTTTTAAGAGAGGTAGAGGACAACCAGCAGATTCATTTGCTTCTGAAATACAGCAATTGAAAATTAAGTGTAAAATATAAGCTTAATTTTTAAAAGGAGACAAAATTATATTTAAGACTTAGACTTTATCCTCTCCAGACTTTCAGAGGGGTACAAAATGAAAGAAGGCATGGAGTGAAAAAAAGAGGAAAGAAATATAAAAAAGTGAATAAAAATAAAATGAAGAAAATAAGATAAAAAAAACAAATGTTGGCCGGGCGCGGTGGCTCACGCCTGTAATCCCAGCATTTTGGGAGGCCCAGGCGGGAGAATCACGAGGTCAGGAGATTGAGACCAGCCCGGCTAACACAGTGAAACCCCATCTCTACTAAAAATACAAAAAATTAGCCGGGCGTGGTGGCGGGTGCCTGTAGTCCCAGCTACTGAGGAGGCTGAGGCAGGAGAATGGCATGAACCCGGGAGGTGGAGCTTACAGTGAGCCGAGATGGCGCCACTGCACTCCAGCCTGGGCGACAGAGCAAGACTCCGTTTCAATAAATAAATAAATAAATAAGTAAATAAATAAATCAATCAATAATATTATAACAATAATTAGGCAAGATAAAGAAATAAAGGGCATTCAAATTGGAAAAGTGGAAATCAAATTATCTATTTGCCAATGATATGATCTTATCTTAGAAAACCCTAAAAGACCCCTCCAAAAGATTATGATTTAATAAATCTCTTTGGAGAAGACCCCTCAAAAAGATTATGATTTAATAAATGAATTCAGAAAAGTTTCAGGTTGCAAAATCAATGTACATAAACCAGTAGCACTGTTATACACCAACAATGACCAAGATGAGAATCAAACCAAGAACCCAATCCCTTTTACAACAGGTACAAAAAAATAAAATACCTATGAATATACTTAACCAACTAGGTGAAAAATCTCCAAGGGGAACTACAAAATTCTGCTGAAAGAAATCACAGATGACACGAACAAATGGAAAGAATCAATATTGTGGAAATGACCACACTTCCAAAAGCAATTGACAGATTGAATGCAATCCCTATTACAATAACAACATGATTCTTTACAGAATTAGAAAAGATAATCTTGAAATTCATATGGAACCAAAAAAGAGCAGAAATAGCCAAGGCAATCCTAAGCAAAAAGAACAAATCTGGAGGCATCGTATGACTCAACTTCAAATTATATTGTAAGGCTATAGTAACCAAACAGCATGGCACTAGTGAAAGCAGATACACAGATCAATGGAACACAATAGAGAATCCAGAAATAAACTCAAATACTTACAACCAACTGATCATCAACAAATCATATAAAAACACAAATTGGGGAAAGGACATTCTATTCCATATATTTTGCTGAGAAAATTGGATAGCCACGTGTAGAAAAATGAAACTGGATCCTTATTTCTCACCATGTACAAAAATGAACTCAAGATGGATTAAAGACTTAAATCTAACCCCTAACACCATAAATTCTAAATAAAAACCTAGGAAACACTATTCTGGATACTGGCCTAGGCAAATAATTTATGATGAAGACCCCAAAAGCAAATGCAAGAAAAATAAATAAATGAGACCTACTTAAACTAAAAAAGTTTCTGTACAGCAAAAGAAATAATCGTCAGGGTAAAGAGAGAATCTACAGAATGAAAAAAAAAATTGTCAACTCTGCACCTGACAAAAGACTAATATCCAGCATCCACAAGGAAACAAATTAGCAAGCAAAAATCAAATAACCCCATGAAAAAGTGGGCAAAGAACATGAATAGACATTTCTTAATAGAAGATATATAAATGGCCAACAAACATATGAAAAAAAAGCACTCAATGTCACTAATCATCAGGGAATTACAAATTAAAACTGCAATGAGATATCACCTTACTGTAGCCAGCATGGCCATTATTAAAAAGTCAAAAAACAATAGATGTTGGCACGGATGTGGTGCAAAGGGAACACAAACACACTGCCGGTGAGAATGTAAATTAATACAACCTCTCTGGAAAACAATATGGAGATTTCTCAAGGAACTAAAAGTAGATCCACCATTCAACTGAGCAAACCCACTACTGCTCATCTATCCAAAGGGAATTAAATCATCATATCAAAAAACATTCAAACATGTATATCGCAGTAAAATTCACAATTGCAAAGATATGAAATCAAAATAAGTGTCCAACAACCAGTGAATGAATATAGAAAATGCGGTATGTGTGTAAACATACACACACACAGACACACACACCATGGAATACTGCTTGGTCATAAAAAATGATAAAATAATGTATTTGCAGCAACTTGGATGGAACTGGATTCTTTAATCTAAGAGAAGTAACTCAGAAATGAGAAAGCAAATACTACATGTTCTCACTTATACGTGAGAGTTAAGCTATGGGTACACGAGGTCAGACAGAGTAGTACAATGGACATTGGAGACTCAGAAAAGGGGAGTGTGGAAAGACAGTTGTACCCCTACCTATTGTGTTACAACATATACTATGTGGGTTATGAATACATTGAAATTCCAGACTTTACCACTATACAATTCATCTATGTAACCAAAAACCACTTGCAATCCTAAAGCTCTTAAAGATTTTTAAGGACCCTCCAAGCTGTTTTCCATAGTAGTTGTATTATTTACATTCTCACGACAAGTGTACGAGGGTTCTCTTTTCTCCATATCCTTGTTGAGTATTTGTTATTGCCTGTCTTTTGGATAAAAGCCATTTTAACTGGGATAAGATGATATTTCATAATAGTTTTGATTTGCATTTCTCTGATGATCAATGATTTGGAGCACCTTTTCATATGTCTGCCATTGAGAAATATCTATTTAGATTTTTTGCTCATTTTTAGTCAGATTATTATATTTTTTCCTATATAGTTGTTTGAGCTCCTTATGTATTCTGGTCATTACTCCCTTGTAAGATGTGTAGTTTGCAAATATTTTCTCTTATTCTGTGCGTTGTCTCTTCACTTTTTTTTCCTTTGCTGTGCAGAAGCTCTACCTTGATGTGATTCAATGTGTCCACTTTTCCTTTAGATACCCATGCTTATGGGATATTTCTCAAGAAATACTACCCAGATCAATGTCCCAGAGAGTTTCTCTAATGTTTTCTTGTAGTAGTTTCATAGTTTACGGTCTTAGATTTAAGTGTTTAATCAATTTTTACTTGATTTTTTTTTTGCATATGAAAGGAGATAGAGGTCTAGTTTCATTCTTCTGCATATAGATATCCAGTTTTTCCAGCACTATTTATTCACCAGATTGTCTTTTCTCCAGTGTATTTTTGGCATATTTCTTGAAAATGAGTTCACTGCAGGTATGTAAACTTCTTTCTGCATTCTCTTCTCTGTTCCATTGGTCTACGTGTCTGTTATTATGCCAGTGCCATGATGTTTAGGTTACTATAGCCCTGTGGTATGATTTAAAGTCAGGTATGTGATACTTCCAATTTTATTAACTTTGCCCATCACAGTTTAGACTATTCTGAGTCTTTTGTGGATCCATATAACTTTGAGAATTTTTTTCTATTTCTATGAGAAATGTCATTGGCATTTTGACAGGAATTGCATTGAATCTGCAGATTACTATGGGTTGTATGGACATTTTAACAATATTGATTCTTTCAATCCATGAACATGGAGTATCTTTCCATGTTTTGGTGTCCCCTTTAATTTCTTTCATCAATATTGTACAGTTTTCATTATAGGCATCTTTCACTTCTTTGGTTAAGTTAATTCCTAGGTATTTAATTTTATTTGTGGTTATTGTCAATGAAATTTTTAACATTTCTTTTTCAGATTGTTCCCTTTTGGCATATAGAAATACTGCTGATTTTTGTGTGTTGATATTATATCCTGAAAATTTAATGAATTTGTTTATCAGTTCTAGTATTTTTTTTGGTGGAATCTTTAGGTTTTTCCAAATACATGATCATATCGTTTGCAGACAAGAATAATTTCACTTCTTGTTCCTGCATACAATTGAAATAGATTGTTCAGTTTATTGGCAGGCAGTTTCTCATAGTAGATACTAATAATCCTTTGAATTTCTGTGGTATCAGTTGCAGTATCTCCTTAATCAGTAATGTTGAGCTTCTTTCATATGCTCATTGGCTGCATAAATGTCTTCTTTCGAGGAGTGTCTGTTCACATCTTTTTCCCACTTTTTGATGTTTTTTTTTTTCTTGTAAATTTGTTTCAGTTCCTTGTAAATTCTGGATATTGGACCTTTATCAGGTGGGTGGATTGCAAAAATTTTCTCCCATTCTGTAGGTTGCCTGTTCACTCTGATGGTAGTTTCTTTTGCTGTGCAGAAGCTCTATAGTTTAATTAGATCCCATTTGTCAATGTTGGCTTTTGTTCCAATTGTTTCTGGGATTTTGTCATGAAGTCTTTGCCCACGCCTATGTCCTGAATTGTATTTCCTAGGTTTATTCTAGGGTTTTTATGGTTTTGGGTTTTACCTTTAAGTCTTTAATCCACCTTGAGTTAATTTTTGTATAAGGTATAAGGAAGGGGTCCAATTTCAGTTTTCTGCATATGGCTGGACAGTTTTCCCAGCACCGTTTACTGAATAGGAGATTCTCTCCCCATTGCTTGTTTTGGGCAGGTTTGTCAAAGATCAGATAGTTGTAGATGTGTGGTGTTATTTCTGAGGTCTCTGTTCTGCTCCATTGGTCTATATGTCTTCTTAGTTTCTTTATTGGCCCATTGGTAATTAATGAGTATATTATTTAACGTCTATTTATTTGAACAGTTTCCTAAACTCTTTTTACTGATTTCTAGTTTTACTCCATTGTAGTCAGAGAAGATGCCTGATATTATTTCAATTTTTTAAATGTTTTAGGACATTTTTGTGACATAACATGTGGTCTATACTTGAGAATGATTCATGTGCTGAGGGGAGGAATGTGTATTCTGAAGCCATTGGTTAAAATGATCTGTAAATGTTTATTAGTTCCATTTGGTCTTTAGTACAGATTAAACTTGATGTTTCTTCATTGATTTTCTTTCTAGAAGATCTGTCCCATGTTGAATATGTGGTGTTGAAATCTCCAGCTATTATTTTATTGGGGCCTACATCTCTATTTAGCTCTAATAACTTTTGCTTTATATATCTGGGTGCTCCAGTGTTGGATGCATACATACTTAAAACTGTTATATCCTCTTGATTAATTGACTTATTTATCATTATATACTGGCACTCTTTTTCTCTTTTTATAGTTTGTCTTGAAATCTATTTGGTATCACGAGTATAGCTACTCTCACTCTTCCTGGTTTCCATGGGCATATCTCTTTCCATTCCTTTATTTTCAGTCTATGGGTACCCTTATAGGTGAAGTGTGTTTCTTATAGGCAACAGATCATTGGGTCTTCTTTTTCTATCCATTTGACCACTCTGTTTTTTGATTGAAGAGCTTAGTCCACTTACATTCAATGTTACTATTGATAAGGAAGGACTTACTCCTGCCATTTTGTTTGTTGTTTTCTGTTTGTTTTCTGATCTTCTCTTCCTTCTTTCTTCCCTTCCTGTCTTCTCTTTAGTTAAGGTAATTTTCTCCTGTGATATGATTTAGTTTTGTTCTTTTCATTTTTTGTTGATACATTATAAGTTTTTGGTTTGAGTTTACCATGAGGCTTGCAAATACTATCTTATAATATCTTATAACCCATTATTTTAAGCTGATAACAACTTCACATTGTTTGCATAAACAAACAAAAAGCAAACGAATATAGACACAGGAAGAGAAGACCAAATACGGCATGTTCTCACTCATAAGTGGGAGTTGAACAATGAATACACATGGACACAGGGAGGGGAATGACACATAACAGGGCCTGTTGGGGGGTGGAGGGTGAGGGGAGGGAACTTAGAGGACAAATTGATAGGTGCAGCAAACCACCATGGCACATGTATACCTATGTATGTAACAAACCTGCATGTTCTGCACATGCATTCTATTATTTTTAGAAGAACTTTTTTTTTTTTTAAAAAGGAGACTTGTAGAGGTACTACCTCTATTATCTTGGGCAATATCTGGAAGAATTCTCTGAATTACCAGGTAGAGACTCTTGTTCTCTTCCCTTAATTTCTCCCAAATGAACACAGTCTCTCTCTCTCTCTCTCTCTCTCTCTCTCTCTCTCTCTCTGTTCTGAACCACCTGGAGCTGGGGGGTGGTGTGACACAAGCAACCCTGTGGCCACCATGACTAAGACTGTGCCAGGTCGGCTGGGCATGGTGGCTCGCGCCTGTAATCCTAGCACTTTGGGAGCCCGAGCCGGGTGGATCACAAGGTCAGGAGATCGAGACCATCCTGGCTAACACGATGAAACCCCATCTCTACTAAAAATACAAAAAATTAGCTGGGCGCGGTGGCGGGCGCCTGTAGTCCCAGCTACTCAGGAGGCTGAGGCAGGAGAATGGCACGAACCTGGGAGGCGGAGCTTGCAGTGAGCCGAGATCGCACCACTGCACTCCAGCCTGGGCAACAGAGTGAGACTCTGTCTCAAAAAAAAAAAAAAAAAAAAAGACTGCCAGGTCACACCTGAAGCCAGCATAGCACTGTGTCTTGCCCAAGGCCCACTGTAATCATTCCCTGACTATGGCCTGTGTTTGTTCAAGGTCCTGGGACTCTACAATCAGCAGGTGGCAATGTCAGGCAGGCCTGTGTCCTTCCATTCAGGATGGCAAGTTCCCCTAGGCCTCAAGAGTTTTTGGAGGTGCTGTCTGGGAGCCAGGGATTAGGATAAAATACATTAGAAGTCTACTTGGTGATCTATTTTACTGCAGATGATCTGGCACTCAAACCATGAGACTCAGTCCTTCCCACTCTTCCCTCCCCTTTCCAAAGGCAGAGAACTCTCATCAACGGCCACCGCCACCACAGGCCCATGGGGAGTACTGCCAGACCATCATCAATGTTCCCTTAGGGCCCAAAGTCTCTTCAGCCAGATGTGGTGAATATTACCCGACTTGGGACTCATCTTTCAGGGCAGTGGGCTCCCCTCTGGCACAGGAGAGGTCCAGAAATGCAGTCCAATAGCCAAGTCCTAGAATCAAGGACCCCAAGTGTCCGCTTGGTGCTCTACCCCACTGTATCTTAGCTGGTACCTAATGTGCAAGACAAAGTTCCCTTTGTTTTTCCTTCCACTTTTCTTAGGTGGAAGGAGTCTTGCCCCATAGACACCACAGCTGGGAACGTGCTGAGCCTCACCTGAAGCCAGCAAGTCTAAGAGTCTCACCCAAAGCCCTTAACATAGTACTAAGTATCACTGCTGATCACTCGGGGCCCAGGAACTCCTCAATTATCAGGCGATATATCCTGCCAGGACTGGGTCATTGCCTTCAAGGCATCAAGTATCCTTCTGCCCCTGGGTGTGTCTAGAAATGTCATCCAAGAGCTAGGGCCTGGAAAGGGGACCTTATTACCCTGACTGGCACCTTATCCTACTGCGGCTGAGCTGGTATCCAAGATGCAAAACAAAGTCTTCACCACCTTTCCCTCTATTCTCCTCCAGTGGAGATAAGAAGTCTCTTTTGGAGCCACAAGCCATGCAGCCTGGGGTCAGGGGAGGGGTGATGACAGCAATCCCTTAGCTGACCTAACTAGTGTCTCAGTATGGCACATGTACACTGTCTCTGTGCCCAGTTCAGCACTAGGACTCACCTAGAAGTTGTAGTCCTTGTGGCCTAGACTGCCTTTCAAGTTTATTTAGAGCTCCAGAGCACTTTGGCCTGCAGCTGCTGAGACTTGGGGAGACTACCATCATTGTAGTACCTCTGCAGCTGCTGCAAGTCTTGCAGATCCTCAAGTTCGGACCACTGGGATCAGCAATTTCCCTCTGGCTAGGGATGGTTTAAATGGTCCCTCCATGGTTAGTTATCAGCTGAGTTTGGTCTAGTTTTGTTTTCTGTTATGATAGGGCAGCACTGAGTTCAATGCCTTAAAATTGGTGTGCTTTCCTCTCCCCAGCACACAGAAACACTCCATGCATAAAGCTGCAGCTGCTGGGGAATGGGGGAGGGATAGCATTGGTGACTCCAGACTATTTTGCTTACCTCTTCAGTGCCTCTTTCAGCAATATAAAGTTAAAACCACGTACTTTGAGTGCTCACTTGATTTTTGGTTCTTATGAAGGCGCATTGTTTTGTGTTTATGTAGATAGTTGTTAAATTGGTGTCCTTGTCAGGGAAGAGAATAATCAGTAGAGACTCCCATTCTCCCATCTTTCTCCTAGATCTCAGTAGTCAATTTAAAGTAGGCTTAATTGTTTAAGTGATCAATCCACTAGGGAAATCTTTTGGAGGGATATAGTTATTTTTCTCTATATCAACATTTAAATTGGTAGACAGGAGAAAATGATTATTAGGGAACTAATGACATCCTTTACATACAATTGCAAAAGCAGTGTGTGATAATAAAGAGTATTTATTTTATATTAATGAATGATTTAAATATCTGACAACTAATATATATTTACCAACAATAAGATGAAAGAAAAACAGAAAATAGGATGTAAAAGACAGTGTTCATAAAAATAATTATTGCCATCATCCTAATAGAAGGTCTTGTATATTATGCTTGGAATTTGCAGTAACCATTCTATTACATGCCCTACTTTTATAGATACCTCTCTTCTTTCCTTCTCAAATCAGTCTGTCATAAAGTCCCTGGATTAATTCAGCCTAAAGCATTTTTGACATTTCTTAAGTTTATTTGTCATTAGTTTGGCTTGAAATTTAAATGATTTTGCAATCTGGTCTCAATTTGCTTTTCAATTTTTCTCTATATTCTCCTTATGTAAGTTACAGTTTTCCTCCTGTCTTTAAATCATATTTCACACTCTAGTTTTTATCCATGCATAAGGCTTTACCTATTACTTCCATAACATTCCCTTATACATTTCAGGCAAATATTTTGGTACTTGGCTTGATCCTCCAGGGAACATTTATTTGAAATTATATGTCATTTAGCATATTTTGCTTTTTGCTTTGCGCCTTTTAAAAAGTTATTAACAACTTTACTACTCCTACTGTTTAAATTCTGGAAGAATAGGTTATAAGTGGGGTTATAATCACTTTTGCATTTCTCTATCTTAATACTGTACACATAATCACTAGATTTACACACATATACAAACATATATAATTTATTTGCTTTGCAAAAATTTGGTCTTTACATTCCCACCAGATTGCAAGCTTCCTGAATGCAAAGAGTTGAACTGCCTTGTTCACAGTTATATACCTGGCCGCTATAAGCATATCCAGGATATCCTGTGTTCAATAAATAATTGATAAATGAATACATGAATATGAGTAATCACAAATGAATGTTAAAGGTAATATATTGAATGGATTCATTCTTATATTGAAAAATGCAACGTATAATCACATATTATTAGCTTATAATTTCTGAAATTTAATGGACAAGACCACCTTTCTTTTCATTGAGGAATACATGTTTCTAATAATTTTAGACTCTAATGTCTAATAATTTTAGATTCTAATGTCAAGTAAGACATAAGAATTAGATCACTGAAGACATGACATTTTCTGTATTTTATAGTCTACTTGTATTTCTAATAGCAATTATAAAGAATCACGAAGTAAATATCAATATGGAATCTTTAGGTATAGATGCTACATCATTTTTATTGCATGCCTACAAGATGAACAAAAAAAACCCATTGAAATGGTTAAAATTATAAAGGGCCAAATGAGCAAAAATATTTCCACATAGATGATTTACAACTAGATAAAAAAAAATTTAGGCCCCATTAAAAGACCTGGAGGCTTGCTTTTAGAGAAAAAAGTAGTATTTCTAAGACGATATGCCACAATTTTCAGGGTTTCTTTCTTTTTTTTTTTATTATACTTTAAGTTCCGGGATATATGTGCAGAACATGCAGGTTTGTTACATAGGTATACATGTGCCATGGTGGTTTGCTGCACTCATCAACCCATCATCTACATTAGGTATTTGTTCTAATGCTCTCCCTCTCCTAGTCCCACACCCCACAACAGGCCCCAGTGTGTGATGTTCCCCTCCCTGTGTCCATGTGTTCTCATTGTTCAACTCCCACTTATGAGTGAGAACATGCAGTGTTTGGTTTTCTGTTCCTGTGTTAGTTTGCTGAGAATGATGGTTTCCAGCTTCATCTATGTCCCTGCAAAGGATGTGAACTCATTGTTTTTTATGGCTGCATAGTATTCCATCGTGTACATGTGCCACATTGTCTTTATCCAGTCTATCATTGATGGGCATTTGGGTTGATTCCAAGTTTTGCTACTAGGAACAGCGCCACAATAAATATATGTGTGTATGTGTCTTTATAGTAGAATAATTTATAATCTTTTGGGTATATACCCAGTAATGGGATGGCTGGGTCAAATGGTATTACTGGTTCTAGATCCTTAAGAATTGCCACACAGTCTTCCACAATGGTTGAACTAATTTACTCCCCCCACCAACAGTGTAAAAGTGTTCCTATTTTTTCACATCCCCTCCAGCATCTGTTGTTTCCTGACTTTTTAATGATTGCCATTCTAGCTGGCATGAGATGGTATCTCATTGTGGTTTTGATTTGCATCTCTCTGGTGACCAGGGATGATTAGCTTTTTTTCATATGTTTATTGGCCACATAAATGTCTTTTTTTGAGAAATGTCTGTTCATATCCTTTGCCCAGTTTTTGATGGGGTTATTTGTCTTTTTCTTGTAAATTTGTTTACATTCCTTGTAGATTCTGGATATTAGCCCTTTGTCAGACGGATAGATGGCAAAAATTTTCTCACATTCTGTAGGTTGCCTGTTCACTCTGATGAGACTTTCTTTTGATGTGCAGAAGCTCTTTACTTTAATTAGATCCCATTTGTCAATTTTGGCTTTTGTTGCCATTGCTTTTGGTGTTATTCATGAAGTCTATGCCCATGTCTATGTCCTGAGTGGTATTGCCTAGACTTTCTTTCAGGGTTTTTATGGCTGTAGGTCTTACGTTTAAATCTCAGCCCTAAATCTCGTTAAGCAGATAAGCAACTTAAGCAAGGTCTCAGGATACAAAATCAATGTGCAAAAATCACAAGCATTCCTACACACAAATAATAGACAAATAGCCACATAATAAGAGAACTCCCATTCACAATTGCTACAAATAGAATACAATACCTAGGAATACAACTTACAAGAGATGTGAGGGACCTGTTCAAGGAGAACTTCAAACCCCTGCTGACGGAAATAAGAGAGCACAGAAACAAATGGAAAATCATCTCATGCTTATGGATAGGAATAATCAATATCGTGAAAATGGGCATACTACCTAAAGTAATTTTTGGATTCAATGCTATCCCCATCAAGCTACCATTGACTTTCTTCACAGAATTAGAAAAAACTACACTAATTTCACATGGAACCAAAAAAAGAACCTGTATAGCCATAACAATCCTAAGCAAAAAGAACAAAGCTGGAGGCATCACCCTACCTGAATTCAAACTATACTACAAGCCTACAGTAAACAAAACAGCATGGTACTGGTACCAAAACAGATATATAGACCAATGGAACAGAACAGAGGCCTCAGAAATAATGCCACACATCTACAACTATGTGACCTTTGACAAACCTGACAGAAACAAGCAATGGGGAAAGGATTCCCTATGTAATAAATGGTGTTGGGAAAATTGGCTAGCCATATGCAGAAAACTGAAACTGGACCCCTTCCTTACACCTTATACAAAAATTAATACAGGGTTTCTTTTAATAACACTTGGTCAATTGTTGAGGACTGTGTTTGCCTAATACCACATAACATCAAACACTCCTATTCTTATATTTTCATTTTCTAAAGCTTTAAAGTTTGGAAATTTATAAAGTTAAAAATAAGATTTCCCCCATAGAATAGATTCATATGTAACATCTTTTCACTTCTCCCAAGACTCTCAACTCTTTAACTGTAATTTAAGTGTGCCATACACACACAAATACACCTTTTACCTAGAATACTATTAATTATACCTAATAACTATGATCTGTTTAAGTTACATGAACTAATACAGCAATTATGGCTAAATACAACTAGCAAGTGAAGGTAGATGATGCCATATCTATTTGACATACTGTATTCAACATTAATCTTTATGTTTCTTATCTTAGCATAAATTTGTATACCAGATGCCTTCTTGTAATTAACACGCTGGGATTTGTGAGCAGTAGATTTTGCTGGTAACAAACTCCATCAAGTCGACATCTGTGATTTATACCTCCAACTCCTTTTCAATATATTTACATAATCAGTTCAATTTAAGCCCAGATTATACATTCTTCTTACATTTTTATAAGCAATATCCTCTAAAGATAGTTTAAAAGTAAATCAAGGTAAAATTTAATTCTTTCTTCTTTTCTAATCAAAACACTTATCATGAACATATAATCAAATTCTCTGATTACATGCATTTCTATTTTAAAAGAAAAAATAGGTGATTTTCTTCTGATAAATATATATAAGATCATTTACTCTAATTTCTGTCAACACAATCATATCCACATCATTATATGTACATAGCTTTATAAGCATTTTAACAGTATTGGCCTCATATTGTTCTTTGGAATTATGCCTAGATGCTATTAGTCTCATTTAACTACTAAGGAAATTGAGTTTCAAGAGGTCAGATGACTTGATTAAGATGGTTTAAATTCCAGCATTATAATTTTTTTGTTTTGTTTACCTGCTGTATGTAAGGGAAGATTTTAGGTCTTTTCTCTCAGTCTGGGGCTTTTTTTTTTTCACTCTAACAAATTGTTTTTAAACACAGGTAATTGTAAAACTTAAAAAAATTTTCTATTACGGTATAAATGTAAGATGTTATTTAATATAAAAATTTTACAGATGAATCTGATTATTTATAAGATATATTAATCATAGTATATTTAATGTCAGTTTCAGATACTGTATATTAAGATAGAATTGTTTTGATATAATTTTATTCCTAAAAATTCTAGTATTGGGCAAATTATAGCATATAATGTATTGTAAAAATTCTAGAAGATGCATTTGACATATTGTTGACATACAGATTTGGTAATCAAATGTATTGTTGCCATATCATCACTAAAAATCTGTCTTAACATAAGAATATTGCTGATAATTTTATGTCGTGCTCAAGGTAAATAATTGATCAAATGTGAACTACATTTTCACATTTATCACATGATTTTTATTTTATCACATGATAAAATGTGAACTAAAGGAATACATATCCTTTAATAGGAAAGAAGTTTATTTGTCACCTATGCCCTAGTTTCTCAATGTTGTACAATCACAAAGAGAATAAGAGAGAGAAATGGAGTAGAGTTATCAGAAATCAGTAAGAGTGTGTTAGAATTAAAGGAGTGCACTTGGGTACTCTACTGATGAAACATCTCTTTTCCACAAAGTCAAGTCAGAAATCACTCAGACTTGAGAGACATAAGGAAAGACTGGAGCTTAAATAGAAAATCCACTTCACTCAAATCCTGATTTTACAATTGTTCTGCTGTTAAGAGAGGAATCTGGGCTTCCAGATGTCAGCTGATGGTGATAGTATTTCTCACCTAAAATGAATCCTCATTCACCTTTTATTATTCTCCTATAGGAATTTGTTCTGCCTAGAATTATCCTCTCTGATAATAATGTCTGATAACTCTAACAGCTTTTACTATGTACTATTCACTGTTTTAGGTGTCTTATATTCATTGTCTCATGTAAGTTTTGGCAGTTATATAATTGAGCTAAAAATTTCAGTAAGGATAAAAGAGGAAAATATTCTAATATATTTAATACATAATTCCTAAGTGGAAACATAGAGACTGTATGAAACATTGTAAGCTATAAATACACAATTTAATAATAAATGCTAAGAAACAACATGATTGCTGGTATGGAGCATTTAAAATGTGAAACATTTAAATGTAAAAAATTATTACTTAATGGTATATGTTACATAGAATCTGTAGTCTATTTTATTTAGCCAGTTAAATTTACTGATTGGGAGGAATAAATTGTATTTTACTACCATATAGAGAAATACAAATTGGCTGAGTTTTTACATTATCAAAGTTGTATTTAGTATTGCATGTGTTTCATAACATCAATGATATGTTTTATGAAAAGCATTTGATCAAGGTTATTAAATATTTTTAAATTATTGTATTATTAATCTAGAGTAACTGCCCATAATATATATTACTATTTCAATATGTAGAAACAAAACCATAATTTCATAATATTTTAACATTAAAAAACAGCCTTTGTTTAATTATTAGTGATGGCTATAATATAAAAAATGTATTTAATGCAGACCTAATTTAGGGTATTGTTATCTTCGAATTTTTGTAAGAGCACTTGAAGCTATTACCAGAACTGCCAGTTAAGACAAAAACACATTTAAGTACAGAAAGATAAAATTTTCTGGATATTCACTACTAACACTCTGGCATTTTTCGAACATCAGGCAAAGATATATAAGCCCTACTTTATATAATAAAACAGGAACAAATGTATTAAATTTATTAAATCATTTATTTATTAAACTATTTAGCAGCTAATTTATTAAATCTATTTGTTTTTGCACTAAGAATATTTGACATTTGCAACATTAATATTTTAAAAACCTGCTTTAAGTTCTGTGAGAAATCTCCAAACTGGTTTCTACAATAGCTGAAATAATTTACATTCCCACCAACAGTGTATTAGCCTTCCCTTTTCTCTGCAGCCTCACCAACATCTGTTCTTTTTTGACTTTTGAATAATAGCCATTCTGACTGGTGTAAGATAGTAACTCATTGTGGTTTTAATTTGCATTTCTCTGATAATTAGTGATGTTGAGCATTTTTGCATATGCTTATTGGCTGCTTGTATATCTTCTTTTGAGAGGTGTGTGTTCAGGTACTTTGCCCACACTTTAACGGGGTTATGTGATTTTTGCTTGTTGAACTGCTTAAGTTCCCTATAGATTCTGGATATTAGACCTTTGTCAGATGCATAGTTTGCAAGTATTTTCTCCCATTCTGTAGACTGTCTGTTTACTTTGTTGATAGTTTATTTTTCTGTGCAGAAGCATGAAATACTACACAGCCATAAAAAAGAATGGAATAATGTCCTTTGCACCAACATGGATGCAGATGGTGGCCATAATCCTAAGTGAATTATCACAGGAACATAAAACCAAATACCTTATGTTCTTACTTATAAATAGGAGCTAAACACTGGGCACACATGGACATAAACTTGGGAACAACAGATGCTGCAGGCTAATAGAGGGTGGAGGGAGGAATGGGGGCGTGGGGCAAAAACTACCTTACTAGTACTATGCTCACCACCTGAGTGATGAGATCCATACCCCTAACTTCAGCATCATGCAACATACTCATGCGGTAAACCTGTACCTGTATCCCTGTATCTAAAATTAAAGTTGAATTTTAAAAAACTTGCATTATTTCTGTATCTTTTATCACGTGACATATACATGTATACTAGATTGTAAGCTCCATAAATCAAGGGCATGCCTGTCTCTTCTAACCATGTACTCTCAGCCTTTAATACATTGTTTGGTACACAGTTCATGCTCAAGAAATCTAATTTAATGAATGATTGCAGGAGGTTAGTCATCTGGTTTTCAGACATATATAAATGTAGTTCAAACATGTATTTTATTTGCGCATTTAAAAGTCTATAATTGAAGTTAGTTTTTAGAATATTCTTTAATGTTTTATGGTGCAAGGATTAATCTTATTTTTATAATAAATGCAATGGCGGATATGCTAAATTATTTTGAAATTTTAAGCAAATTTATTGTTGAGAATATAAAATTATGTTTAAAAAGAAAAGAATATGAATAATGTGTGTATATACTTAACTATGTAATATATATTTACGAATGAAAGATTTGCTATTATGTTTATCTTCTACTTTTATTCTAAAATTAACGTTTATTGTTTTATAAAAATATCCACAGTCTTCTGACTATAAAAAACAGTATTAATAGTAAACAAAATATTTAAAAATGTGATAGGAGAACTTTTATGTACCATACACTGGATTGCTTATCTAGTCTGTTGGTTAATAGCTGGACTTTTTATTATTAGCTTCACATTAAAAGATTAGCTAAAAGAAGGTCATGACTTCAGTTAACAGAAATATTGCTCATGTTTTGCTTGCTTCATGCATAATTTATAATCTATTTGAACCAAATGAGCTGCAGAGCAATATTACAATTAACATTCAGCTCTTCCATGGATTTGGTTGAACTCCCTTTAGGATACTGTTTGTAATGAGTAGCAAGACATGACATGCTACCTAACATGCCACCACGGATTCTGATGCTTAGCTTTTTAAAGAAAGGAGTCTCAATACATTAAAATGAAGTTATGACTTCCTCCTAAGGGCCTAGAAGGTGAACAAAACAATCAAGTTACAGGAGAGAAAAGGTTATCTTAAAAATAATCTGAATTTATAATTGATAAGCAATATGAAACACAGTATTTTTGTTTGCATACCAAAAAAATTAACTGTTAGCTTTATTGGCACTAATAATTATCCTATCATTTGCTTCATGTCAATTGGTTATACCACATTAAAGGAAGGCTTCCTTGCACCTGGGTCAAAACAGGTCACATCAAATTTCTCTTTTATTTCAAATATCTCCTCAAATCTGTAAACAGAATGACAAAGAAAACTTACTTTTAAGATATACGCATTTTTGTATGAACCAACATTTTCAGTAATTTGACTATAATAGATATCTTATAGCCTGAGACACAAAAAAAAGGTAAGAACAATTGGTGTTGTATATTATAAATAGCAATTAAGGTAAAATTTTCACACCAATAAACTTATAAGAAAAAAAGACTTAAAACCTTCTTGGCCGGGCGCGGTGGCTCACGCCTGTAATCCCAGCACTTTGGGAGGCCGAGGCGGGCGGATCACGAGGTCAGGAGATCGAGACCATCCCGGCTAAAAAACGGTGAAACCCCGTCTCTACTAAAAATACAAAAAATTAGCCGGGCGTAGTGGCGGGCGCCTGTAGTCCCAGCTACTTGGGAGGCTGAGGCAGGAGAATGGCGTGAACCCGGGAGGCGGAGCTTGCAGTGAGCCGAGATCCCGCCACTGCACTCCAGCCTGGGCGACAGAGCGAGACTCCGTCTCAAAAAAAAAAAAAAAAAAAACCTTCTTGAATATCTATTCCCTCAGCAAAAGTTGGGGCAACTTTATATCTCAGTTAATGTTACATTTGTTACCAAAGAAAATTCAACAAGATTCAAGTATTTAAGCTGAACTGTCTGCCCAGCTACCACTAGATTTATCCTTCTGTACACATACCAAGCTTGAGGTTTTTAAAATGAGAAGGTCCTCATTGTTCAACTCCCACTTATGTGTGAGAACATGCAGTGTTTGGTTTTCTGTTCTTGTGTTAGTTTGCCCAGAACTTAATGTATAATAAAAAAGAGAAAGTCCTTACTAAACTCGATAGATTATTATTACTAGGGATAAACAAAGACCATATATTCAACCTGCCACCATCTTTTTTGTATCTGCCCAAAACATCTTAAAATCTCTTACCATCAATCATACCGGACAGTTCATGTTTTCCTGAAAAATGTCTACATTATTAACTGTTTGTGAGGCTGCTGTCAAATGTGACTAATGAAAATGTTTGAAAAGCATTTTTAAATGTGTGTGATTAATCAAATCCTATATGGCTGCTCTGCAATTTCTAAATAGATATGAACTTGTTTCTAAATTTATGCACAAGCCACCAGAATTAAAGGTGTAATCAAATCCCAGATGTGAATCCATTCTGAGGTCTTATTTTCAAACTAAATTTGTAGGTTTCTCCTCTTCCCTTGATTTAAGACCACCATGTCCCACATTAAGTTTCTTATCATTATTTTTCCACTATCCAAAAACTTTTTCATAATATTTATTGTCATGTGCCAAAGAGTGGAATTTTATTTTTCAAGTAGTTATCCTACCAGGTTATAGATATATCTTTTTAAAAAAATGTTAATTTTAAAAAATTACAAAATTTGCTTTCAGAAGCAGAGATTCCTGGAGGATGGATGAAAAGTCTCATAATTAGCTTTAGAGTATTGCCTGTGCCAGCTTTCTTTCT
This sequence comes from Homo sapiens, assembly GCF_000001405.40. Taxonomy (NCBI): domain Eukaryota; kingdom Metazoa; phylum Chordata; class Mammalia; order Primates; family Hominidae; genus Homo; species Homo sapiens. The sequence continues at coordinate 10,500,002 of NC_000009.12, forward strand.
CTGTCCCCAAACCAAATATCTTTATAAGACCATGACCTTTTTCCAATATTGGAATATTTTTCTATTTTAAATCATCAAATATATACATTTCTACTAACGGATTTCTCCCATAAGAAGCTATGGCTTCAATAATACATTTATTTAGTACTTCTAGTTACAACTTTCATGCATATGTATTACATTTGGTTCTTGCAAGCATTCTGTAGGTCAGTAAACTAACTTTCTGTAAGAAAATGCATTCAAAGATGGCCTATCCCTGAAACTATTAACTCCTTGAAGGCCACAGACTTCATTCAGAACCTGAAAAAAAATGCATACTCTTTTTCCAAGAAAAACACAAGAATATATAAAAATGCATACAGATTTGAAGTTTCAGAGGGTTCATGGACAACCTTGATTCTTTTGTTAATTTTTAATTTTTGTGAATACATAGTAGGTATCTATATTTTTATGTGAAATATGTTGATACTGGCATGTAATGGATAATAATCCCTTCAGGGTATGTAGAGCACCCATCCCATCAAGCATTTATCCTTTGTTTTACAAACAATCTAACTATACTCTTTTAGCTATCTTAAAATGTACGATTAAATTATTATTTACTATAGTCACTCTGTAGTGCTAGCAAATAATGGATCTTTTCATCCTTTCTAGTTTTTGTACCCATTAGCCATTCCAACTTCCCCCCAACCCCTCCCCAACTACCCTTCCCAGACTCTTGTAACAATCCTACTCTCTATCTCCATGAATTCAATTGTTTTAATTTTTAGCTTCCATAAATAAGCAAGGACATGAGAAGTGTGTCTTTTTGTGCATAGCTTATTTCACTTAACATAATGACCTCCAGTTCCATCCATGTTATTGCGACCGACAGAATATCATTTTGAATAGTGTTCCCTTTTGTATATATACCACGTTTTCTTTATCCGTTCATCTGCTAATGGACACTTAGGTTGCTTACAAACCTTGGCTATTGTGAACAGTGCTGGAAGAAATATGGGAATACAGATGTCTTTATCATATACTGATTTCCTTAATTTGGGGTATATGCCCAGCAGTGGGGTTGCTGTATCTTATGGTAGCTCTATTTTTAGTTTTTTTGAGGAACTTCCAAATTGTTCTTCTTAGTGGTTGTACTAATTTACATTCCCACCAACAGTGTAGTAGGGTTCCCTTTTCTCTACATCCTCATTGGCATTCACTGGTGCCTATCTTTGGGATAAAAGCCATTTTAACTGGGGTGAGATGATATCTCATTGTAGTCTTGATTTGTATTTCTCTGCTGATCAATGATGTTGAGCAACTTTTTAGATATCTGTTTGCCATTTGTATTTTTTAGTTTGACAAAGGTCTGAATAAACATTTGTCCATTTTTAAATCAGATTTTTTTCTATAGAGTCATCTGAGCTCCTTATATATTCTGGTTATTAACCCCTTGTCAGATGGACTGTTTGCAAATATTTTGTCCTATTCTGTGGGCTGTGTGTTTACTTCGTTGACTTCAATTATTAAATTAAGAAGCTGAGATCTACCTAATCACTCACACCCAGCAGATTTAACTGACCTTAAAGTTCATATCATTAATTAACAGTACTAAAAGTTACATAAAACCATGAGAGAAAACAACTTGGGGGAATTAGACAAAGGGACAGTATTCTTAAGAATATATTATTTGTTCTTCACTGATGTTTTCCTAGTACTGATAGGGAACAAAATAAAGGGTAGGATATATTAATAGAGTGGGACTTTAAGTATTAATCGTCTCTCAGATTCAAGTTACAAAATAAATACACTCTAATTGCTTTGTTGACAAATTCAACACAGAAGGTATAGACGAATGCTTCTCAATTCTGGAAGCACATTAGAATCACACAAGGAGTATTAAAAAAATTACCCTTGTCTACGATCCTATCCCCTGAGAGATACTGATTTACCTGGTCCATTATAGAGTTTTGACATCATTATGTTTTTAAAGCTCCTCAGGAGATTCTAGTGTACAGAGTTGAGAACCACTGCTATATAGAAACCAATAAGAAGAAAATCGAGCTTAATTTTTTTTAAGAAAATAGTGTGCTATTGTGAAAGAGGTCCCAAGCAAGAGAAAAGAAAACAAACATTTCATGGTGAGAAAAGAAAGCCAACATGCAAATTAGCAAAGAGAGGGATTTTCAAGTAAATTTTGTCAAATTAAGGAAAACCTATTAAAAAGATGAAGAAGAAAAATAATCTTCCTATGGCCAGAAAATTAAAAGGAATTAAGACTACATTAGAGAAATTGTAACTATATAAATAATAAAAATATAAGGAGAAAGAACATATAAAATTTTTGATAAATCCAAATTTAAGCAGTATACATGAGTTATGAAGGAGAGACTTTACAGAGAACCCAAGAATCACATAAATATGTTATTATAATTAATTTAGCTATTTGCAAATTTAAAATTAGTATTAATCTCTATACACAATAAGGTAAAAAAGTTGACTCCACAAGACACAATTTTCACCCAACTATTTGATTAAAGGTCAGATGTTCTCATAAGTTCTGCCAGCTTTAATATTTTTTTGCAAGCAAGTTAGTGGAAAAATACAGAATAAATAGAGTACCTATCAAATTCAAAGACCCCATTGCCTAAGCAGGCTAAAAACGAAACACTGTGCATGCACACACATACATACACAGATACAAAAACTGTAATATATGTAAGCATTTCAAAAATGTAGGTATGTATCTTATACTGTTGCATGTAGTTATCTAGCAAAGAAACCAGTTGACCCATAAAATATCCATTTAGTTTTCAGATAATAATATAATACATTAATAGTAATAGAATCACTGAATCTTAGAGTCCGAAGATAATTTATATGGTTAATTCCTTCTCTAAAACATTCTAACATATTGATAGCAATCCCTCTAAAACATACATAGCAGAAAGCCATAGATTCAGTATCTGTATTCTTTCCATTGCATTGTCCATCAACTTATAAATTGTTTTTGCTTTATTTTGAAAACTTTAATCATTGATAATCCTTGTTTTCCTTTAGAATGTCAATTTTCTTTTTGAACTATGGTTACCACAACTCGGTCCAATACTCCCATTTTTGTCTCTCCAATGTATGATGATTTACAGAATTAAAAGAATGGTTATCTGGAGAGTGAACAGTGAAGAATTCATTGAGACACAGCTGCAATACAAAAAAAAAAAAAACAAAAAAAAACACCATTTTTTTCCCAGAAAAGTTTGGAAAATTTAATAATTAAGTGAATAAATTATGGTCACTTTGTCGTGATCATCAATATTACTAAACAAGCCATGTATATAGCAAAAGAAGGTTCGTTTTTAAGATTATAAGTTAGAGTTCAAAGTGATTTAATTTTCAATGGTAATAAATACCTTAATATTATCTACCAAAAATATTGAATAATATCCAAATAATCAAGTCAATTTTTTTATTTTTAGAATTAAGATTTCTAATAGTACCTAAAGGGATTTAAAATGTTTAATTGGAGAAGAGAGGGGCAGGATATATAGAAAAAGATATTTAACCTAATTATTTTGGGTACTTTATCTTTTACTTAACAAACATTTTTGAGAGACTACTTTGGCAGGTACTATTGGATATTGGAGGTTCTGAAAATATAGCAGTAAAGAAAATAGACAAAACTATCTTACCTCCTGGAGATTACACTTTAGTAGGCCAGATTAAAGATAAATGAATAGACTATATGGTGGGTGAGACAATTATACGTGCTAGGAAGGAAAATAAAGCCAAATAGGGGACAATAGATGTCCAGGGTAAGGAAAGAGACTGTAATTTTAGAAAAGATATACGAAGGCTGGGCGCGGGGGCTCACACCTGTAATCCCAGCACTTTGGGAGGCCGAGGTGGGCGGATCATAAGGTCAGGAGATCAAGACCATCCTGGCTAACACGGTGAAACCCCATCTCTACTAAAAATACAAAAAATTAGCCGGGCGTGGTGGCGGGCGCCTGTAGTCCCAGCTACTCCGGAGACTGAAGCAGGAGAATGGCGTGAACCCGGGAGGCAGAGCTTGCAGTGAGCCGAGATCGCGCCACTGCACTCCAGCATGGGGCACAGAGCGAGACTCTGTCTCAAAAAAAAAAAAAAAAAAAAAAAAAAGATGTACGGGGAAAGTGTCATTGAATGGCGATTCTTGAGTCTAAAGCCAAAGGCGGTAACTATTGCTGTAACAGGTGTGATATATGCATCGAACTCTCTCCTATCTACATGTACACAAACAGTCTTAAAATGAACATCACTGCAAGCCAGTATTATGATTAACAGTTAATTTGACTCTCTAGACTTTTTATTTAAATATCTAGATTAAATCCACCCACAGCTCCAAGTGACAGAACACTTCGGTTTACTCTGCTTAGTAGGCTTCTGTATAGACTTAATTTCCATGCAAATGAAAGTAATTTTGATTGCCACATGGTATTATTGCCTCAGAAACGATGGACATTTAGAAACTTTTGGTGCAAGTTTCCAAAGATAAGAGCTTGGAAGCAGAAGGGAGAGCCATATCAATTCAGAGTGTAACAGCAATATCAAGATAAATTTGTTTGGAACTTTGATTTTACATAGCAACTCTTCCGAATTCGTCAATTGCACAACCCTATGAGGTAAACAGGACACTTCCTTTTATCAGCATTTTATAGAGAAAGAAACTGAGATTCAGAAAAAATAAAATTACTTCTCCACAGGCATAAAGCTAATTACTAAAGAATTACGTACTAAAATCTGTGTCTTCTTATTCCTAATTCATGTCCTTTTTCAATTCATTTACCTGACTACCCCACATGCCTTCTCCCTGCCAAGATGAAATTATCTCTTACTATTATATTAGGAGATGGATGTGCACCTGTCTGTTAATGTTAACAGAGGAAAGGGGTTGCTGAGTGTCTATAAAGCTGACTTGTAACACTGGTGTATCTGCTACAACATTGGCTCTACATACATATCAAGCAATTTTGAACTGCTCAAACACCATGCCAATCTTAATGCAAGAGCTGTCATAGCCAGAGATTCTAGGATACCATCAGAAATTGCAGTCTTGCAAAAGAAAAAAGGCAAAACCTTAAAGTGAACAGGCTTCAAGTTCGGGTAGCAAGTAATATGTCTGCTACAAGGATATACATGTCCTCCACGCTGTGATTTCTCAATATGATTAAGGTAGTCTAATTCAAATTCATTCAGCTTATCTGAGGTATTGCAAAAGTGCTGTTGCAGTCACTGGTGACAGTATTCCCAAAGAGAGGCAATTAGACTTCACTAGATTTAAAGTTTAGGTCTCATTATATATGATATTTTCAGCTGGTACACATATTGTAGTTTTCATGAAAGAGCTGCATAAAACAAGGGTTCCTGTTTGAGCTCCACTGATCCTTTAAGAATGCTGACTGCCAAACTGCCAATTGTGTTCTCAAAGAATAGACATATCAGCCACTGAGTCAAACAGCTACGAAGCTCTCACCTGTCAACAGTGGGTAATCAAGAAACAACTGAAAGATATACCTTCAGAATGCCAGAATAAAGTGTTAGGAAACATCGGATTGCTATAAAACTTTCCCTCCTGTAGTCACCAGGCATACCATGGGTTAAAGCAAGCATGCTCCAAAGCCACATCTTTCTCCACATCTTTCTTGAACAGCAACAACAAAAAGTTAAAAAAAAAAAAACTGCAGATTAAACCCAGCTATAGTTCCATGTTATCAAAGAAATACTATTTTAAGTGAGTATATGTCATTGCTATTGAGGAAAAAGCATGTACATCTAGCATAGAAGCCAACAGGAAATTATTCATAACAGAATTATGTTTTACATAACACTTTAACTTAAATTTTAAGCAATATTTTAATTAGATATATCAATACATAAGCAGAAAAATAATCAATAAGTAGAAGGTGTATGAAAAGATGAGGGAGTCAATTCAGTGATCATAGTCTTGAGGTATGTCAGCTATAATGATCATTTTACTCACATTTCTCCCAAGATGGTGAACATAAATATCATTGAATCAAGGTACTATTTAAAAGACAAATAGATGGTATGAAGGTTATTGATTGCAAGTGGCAATGTTTTTCTAATACATATTTCATAGAAGAATGTAAAGATTCTCTATGAATCCAGAAGAACAGATGGGTAAGGGGAAATGGATACTTTTAAAGCTTCAAGACTTTTTTTATCACTTTTAAAAAACATTTTGAGATAATTTTAGCTTTATAAAAGATGTGCAAAAATAGTATGAAGAATTACCATATACCTGTTCCCCAAATTCTCCATATACATCTTTTATAAAAATAGGACATTTGTCAAATTGAAAAGTAACCTTGGTACCATACTATTAGCCAAAGTAGAGAACTTTGATTTCATCAGTTTTTCCATTAATGTACTTGTATTCAAAATCATGATTTCGACTAATTTATGTACATTTTAAAATAACTAAAATAGTATAATTGGATTGTTTGTAGCACAAAGAAAGGATAAATGCTTGAGGTGATTGGTACCCCACTTACCATGATGTGATTATTATGCATTGTATACCTATATCTCATGTACCATATAAATATACACACCTACTATGTATTCACACAAATTAAAAATAAAAAAATTATATTATTGTTGCTCCAAGATCTAATCCAGACTACTACAATCTATTTAGTTGTCAGGGAGCCACAGTTTCCTGCAATCAGTGACATTTCTTCAGTTTATCTTTCATGGCCTTCACTCTGTTAAAGAACACTGTCAATTATATTTTAGAATGTATTTTTGTAACGTACTTCAATTTGGGTTTGCGTGATATTTCCTTATGATTAGACTAAAATTAGACATTTTTGGGAAGTCATCCACAGAGATAATGTACCCTTCTCTGTGCATTAAATTGGGGGCATATATTGAATACCCTTAATTTCTTTCTCCTGCCTGATTGCCCTGGCCAGAACTTCCAACACTATGTTGAATAGGAGTGGTGAGAGAGGGCATCCCTGTCTTGTGCCTGTTTTCAAAGGGAATGTTTCCTGTTTTTGCCCATTCAGTATCCCAAAATCTCCTTAAGTTGATAAGCAACTTCAGCAAAGTCTCGGGATAAAAAATCAATGTGCAAAAATCACAAGCATTCTTATACACCAATAACAGACAAACAGAGAGCCAGATCATGAGTGAACTCCCATTCACGATTGCTTCAAAGAGAATAAAATACCTAGGAATCCAACTTACAAGGGATGTGAAGGACCTCTTCAATGATAACTACAAACCACTGCTCAATGAAATAAAAGAGGACACAAAACAAATGGAAGAACATTCCATGCTCATGGATAGGAAGAATCAATATCATGAAAATGGCCATATTGCCCAAGGTAATTTATAGATTCAATGCCATCCCCATCAAGCTACCAATGACTTTCTTCACAGAATTGGAAAAAACTACTTTAAAGATCATATGGAACCAAAAAATAGCCCGCATTGCCAAGACAATCCTAAGCCAAAAGAACAAAGCTGGAGGAATCACGCTACCTGACTTCAAACTATACTACAAGACTACAGTAACCAAAACAGCATGCCACTGGTACCAAAACAGAGATATAGACCAATGGAACGGAACAGAGCCCTCAGAAATAATATCACACATCTACAACCATCTAATCTTTGACAAACGTGACAAAAACAAGAAATGGGGAAAGGAGTCGCTATTTAATAAATGGTGCTGGGAAAACTGGCTAGCCATATGTAGAAAGCTGAAACTGGATCCTTTCCTTATGCCTTGTGCAAAAATTAATTCAAGGTGGATTAAAGACTTAAATGTTAGACCTAAAACCATAAAAACCCTAGAAGAAAACCTAGGCAACACCATTCAGGACATAGGCATGGGCAAGGACTTCATGTCTAAAACACCAAAAGCAATGGCAACAAAAGCCAAAACTGACAAATGGGATCTAATTAAACTAAAGAACTTTGGCACAGCAAAAGAAACTACCATCAGAGTGAACAGGCAACCTACAGAATGGGAGAAAATTTTTGCAATCTACTTATCTGACAAAGGGCTAATATCCACAATCTACAAAGAACTCAAACAAATTTACGAGAAGTAAACAACCCCATCAAAAAGTGGGTGAAGGATATGAACAGACACTTCTCAAAAGAAGACGTTTATGCAGCCAACAGATACATGAAAAAATGCTCATCAGCACTGGCCATCAGAGAAATGCAAATCAAAACCACTATGAGATACCATCTCACACCAGTTAGAATGGCGATCATTAAAAAGTCAGGAAACAACAGGTGCTGGAGAGGATGTGGAGAAATAGGAACACTTTTACACTGTTGGTGGGACTGTAAACTAGTTCAACCATTGTGGAAGACAGTGCGGCGATTCCTCAGGGATCTAGAACTAGAAATACCACTGGACCCAGCCATCCCATTACTGGGTATATACCCAAAGGATTATAAATCATGCTGCTATGAAGACACATGCACACGTATGTTTATTGTGGCACTATTCACAATAGCAAAGACTTGGAACCAACCCAAATGGCCATCAATAATAGAATGGATTAAGAAAATGTGGCACATATACACCATGGATACTATGCAGCCATAAAAAAGGATGAGTTGATGTCCTTTGTAGGGACATGGATGAAGCTAGAAACCATCATTCTCAGCAAACTATCGCAAGGACAAAAAAACAAACACCGCATGTTCTCACTCATAGGTGGGAATTGAACAATGGAACACTTGGACACAGGAAGGGGAACATCACACACTGGGGCCTGTCGTGGGGTGGGGGTAGAGGGGAAGGAAAGCATTAGGAGATATACCTAATATAAATGACGAGTTAATAGGTGCAGCACACCAACATGGTACATGTATACATATGTAACAAACCTGCACTTTGTGCACATGTACCCTAGAACTTAGAGTATAATAAAAAAATAAAATAATAGTAAAAATATAAATTGGAGGCATATAATGTCGATATGTGTTTTTAGTGATACTAACTTTGAACCCATGGCTAAAGGAAATACCTGCTATGATTCTCCACTGTAAATTTATTATTTTTTCCTTTGTAATTATAAAATATTTAGGGGGATATAATAAATATCTATGCACATATTATATATGCAGGTAAACTTTGACCTACTTATATGAAGATCCATAGGAGGAATTTGCCTGCAACTCCATATTAAAAATCATTGCAGGATAATGTGGTGTAATAATGATTTCTATTTTCCTCATTCATCCTTCAGTTTTAATTGAGGTTCCTCTGTGTAGTAATTTATTTGCCATTTGTTTATTTCTTCAGTTGTTTATAATACTCATATTTGATTCATAGATATGGATTTTATTCTTTGGAATCTAATCTTATGTTACGGTTATTTTACTCCTCTTGTTGTTTCAGCTTCATCCATTAGGTACTCTTTCATGTTGGCTCCTGTGCCCTTTTGATTGATCCATCTATCTATCTATCTATCTATCTATCTATCTAATGATCATTATAGCTGACTTACCTATAATAAATATATTTACATTTAATAAATATTATATATATATATATATATATATTTTACTCACTTACTTACTTTCTGGCATCACAAGATTCTCCAGGTACATTTGGCGTTTTTTAATGCCCTCACTCACCTTGCATTGTCTCTACTGCACTCTTACGATTGACTGTATGTCCAAGGAGCCCTGGTTCCATGATACAGAGGACAGTATTTCAAAACCAAGATCTGGATGCTACTATGTTCCTTGTTATTAGAATGTTACAATTTCTAGCACCTATTAGGATATGGAGCTAAGATATATATGCATGTATACCAACTCATATATATACAGGTATATATTTATTCCTCTATTTATCTGTATATAAGTTTTAAAACTATAATTCCATTTCAGTACCTCCAATGCCAATGAGCATCACGAGGTTCACTCTAGTATTCCTATTTCCTTATTGGTAGCTGCTTTCTACAACAGAAAGAATTCGAGTTCTTATGATATAATATATTTAATACTTTGCTCAGCTCTAGTATACATATAAATTAATTTCAGAATTTCAACCAGTAACCCTTTAAGGATCAAAATTATCAACTAGAGTACAGTGTTTGGGAACTGTTTCTTTGTATTTGGCCTTAGAATATGAAGTCAAATGTCAATTTGCCAAAGTTGCTTAGTTTCATTCCTTTCTTTCCCATACCACTCAGTATGGGTCTATGATTCATTGTTAATACAGTTAGAATCGTTTTGTCACAGCCTGCACTCCATGTACCCCCTCGACAATCTGATTGATCTTTACAATTCACATACACAAATTTCACTTTTTATAGTACACAGCTTTATGGGTTTGAAAACTGAAGTTCACCACTACTGTCACATATAGAACAGTTCCCTCTCCTCAGAAATTTCACTGTGTTATACCTTCCTAAAAGATCCAATGATGTGTTTTCTTACCTAGTGTTTTCTTTTTTAAAAGCATCATATAAATAGGGATTATGCAAAATGTTGCTTTCGGCATATCGCTTTTTTGTTTGCTTTGCTTTTTGTGTATTTTTAATTTCTAATTTTTATGAATACATATTTGTACACATTTATGGAGTACACATTATATTTTAACATGAGCATGCAAGGTGTAATGATCTTATCTGGGTAATGGGGATGTCCATCATTTTAAACATTGATTATTTCTTTGTGTTGGAAACATTCCAAATCTACTCTTCTAGTTATTTTAAAATTTAGAGTAAATTATTGTTAACTATAGTTGCCCTATTGTGCTACAAAACACTAGTTCTTACCTAACCGCATTTTTGTACCTATTAACCAACCCTTCTTCATCCTTCCCTCCCCAGTATCCTTCCCAGCCTCTGGTAATCACCATTCTATTCACTACCTCCATGAGATGAATACTTTTAGTTCCCACATATGACTGGGAACGTAAGACATTTGTATTTCTGTGACTGGTTTACTTAATGTAACATAATGTTCTCCACTTCCATCCATGTTATTGTAAATGTACTTATGATTCATACATGTTATTGTAAATGTACTTATGATTCATACATGTTATTGTGTGAACAACAGTGTATCCTTTTTATCATTGAGAATAATTCCAGTGTATGGAATGGATGTGTATATCAGAGGTTATTTACTCATTTCATAGTCGAAGTATGTGTGAGTTATTTACAATTTTTTGGCAATTATGAACTTTCTAAAACCTTCATAGGCAAGTTAATTTGTGTGAATATGTTTCTAATTCTCTCAGATAAATACCTAGGAGTGGGATTGCCAGGTCAGAAGATAGGTGTATCTTTAATGTTACTAGAAACTGCCAAATTGTCTTCCAAAGCGGTTGTACCACTTTACCTCACCGGCATTTGCTGTTGCCATTTCTCTTTATTTATGTATTTACTGAGATGGAGTCTTGATCTGTCACCCAGGCTGTAGTGCGATGGTGCTATCTTGGCTCACTGCAACTTCTGCCTCCTGGGTTCATGCAATTACCCTGCCTCAGCCTCCTGAGTAGCTAGGACTACAGGTGTGCGCCACCACACCCTGGTATTTTTTTTTTTTTTTTTTGTATTTTTAGTACAGACAGGATTTCATCATGTTGGTCAGGCTGGTCTTGAACTCCTGACCTCATGATCCACCCGCCTAGGCCTCCCAAAGTGCTGAGATTACAGGTGGGAACCACCACACCTGGCTACCATTTCTTTAAAAACTTTTTAGACATTCTATAGTTGTGTAATGGCATTTCATTTTACGTTATATATCCCTTTACCACATGTCCTTTACTCAACTTCTCCATATACATCTTATAAAACCATGGAACCATATACATATCTGTGTGTGTGTGTGTGTGTGTGTGTGTATATACACACACACATATATATACATATATATATACGTGTATATATATATACGTGTATATATATATACGTGTGTGTATATATATATACGTGTGTGTGTATATATATATACGTGTGTGTATATATATATATACGTGTGTGTATATATATATGTATATATATATATACACACACGTATATATATATGAAGTAAAAACTATGATTAGGACTAAGAAACACAGAAAAACCACCATTCAAGAGGTTGCCAGATCAGGCTATAGATGGCATGGTAATAAGAAGATAGGCTGTTAGATGTAGTTACAAAAAAAGCTTATTTACCTTAACAAAAAAAATCAGTAAAAATTAAAGGATGTCAAGACAAATTATACTGATAGAGTAAGTAATGAAATGTCACAAATAGGAAAGAGAGGGAGAGAGAATGTGTGACTATGTGAGTAGAAGATTTCAAGAAACTGTGAAATGAATGACGCAATAATCATTGAGAGAAAGTATACTGCCAAGAATGGTGAGTTTGCATAGAATAAAAAATGTTGACCATGGGTAAATGCTAATGGAAAGGGCCGGAGGAAAGGCTTGAAGATGCTATACAGAGAGATAGTGCTCCTATGATCCATAAGTATGCGGTGGTGGGTTGGGGGGAATGGAGCTTAGACAAATGATTTTTATTTAATTTCTACTTTAACAGAAAGCAGCAATCAAAGTTGAACGCACAAGTACCTTCATTTCTCATGGTGAGTCAGGTTTCTATTTTATTTCTGAAGAGAAAATAGGTCAATTTGTTGAGAGGGAAGGAGGAAATGGAAGAAAGGTTGTGGGTGGAGAGTACAGGACTTTGGTGAGGTTTTGGAGAAAAATACAAGCTACCTAATAAAAATCACACAAAAGGTTTGATAAGCACATTAAGGACCAACCTAAGGTTGCAAACCAGGGTTTAGAGTATTAAAGTATAACTAGAGAAGACAAATATTTGATCTTTTTATTGCACTGGAGTTGAAACTGTCCATGTGGTAGAAAGGAAAGAAAAAAAAATAATTTAAGGGTACTGTCAAGAGGACTGAAATTACTTATCATGAGATCTAGGATAGATATTATTTAAATAAATGAAAGAACTACCAGTTTGGAAGAAAAATGAACAGAATTGTACTGATTTTTGTGTTATCAGAGCCAAAGACAACCTGGTGAAAAATAGCTGAGGAGAAGATGATCTTCAGTTAACATTATTGAAGGATAGAAAATGGTACCAGTATTTTGTTTTTGTTTTTCTTTTTGTCACTGTTATTATTTGGTTTTATGATTGTGTGTGTATGTGTGTGTGTGTGTGTGTGATTTAATGAAGCGTTTATTTTAAAAATGTTGTTTGGAAGTTATATAAGGATAATGTCTAAACTGTAGTTACCAGTATGAGGAATATCAGTATATCAGTGAATGACTATAAGTGCAACAGGACAAGCAGTTTTTCTTGTGAGACACTCAGCTGTTAGTTTAGGAGGAAGTTAAACAATTTGGATGTGGTTAAGAGTGTTTACTATGGAATGGAATTTCAAAAATACAATGAAAATATTTTAAAGTGAGAGAAGAAATTGGGAGTGGGAAGAATCATCAAAGAAGAGCAATGGCAATTGCAAGCATACAGGAAATAAGGAACAGGTAGATAAGTTAGTCATTAGAGCTGGTTACCAAATCAATTCCGCTTTTTCTGGGAACATGGTAAGATTGTAATTTTCATCTCCTTTGAAGTTGGGCATGTCCAAGTGATTTGACTTGGCTAATGTAATGTGAGGGAAGGTGATGTGTGTCACTTCCTGGTGAATACTTTGAAAGTCAGGGCCTGATTTGCCAAGTCTCTATCTCACTGTGGCAGTAGTCAATGATTAGGGCCTCCCTGGCAACTCACATTGGACACACAGTGCAAAAGAAATTTTTAAAACTGTGTCAAATCACTGATCACTGGGGATTCTTTTTAAATTCAGCATAACCTAGGCCTCCTGACTGAAAAATGAGCAAGATACCAGGATGAGCCATGGTATTCTCAGGGTTCCAAGCAATGCAAAACCGTGGAAATAAAGTTACTTCAAAGAAGGCACACAGATGGAGAATCAAATGACAATGACTTGACAATGCTTACTGTTCCCTTATGTGTAAGCTTTGTAGATCAGTATTACACTACATTAATGTCAATTCATATCAGCTAACAAATCCAATCTACATTTTAAATCAATTATTCATATGGAACAAGTGAGTAAAGGTCAGTTTATAACTTGGATAACATATTTATAAAATGAATAATCAACTACCAATCAATAAATACAAATTTATACATAGATACATATATTTACTTGTTCATTTTTGTACAAGTATAGATACTTCTAAACTCTGCATATTTAATTTTTCTTTTATGTATTTTTTTTTATAAACTCTTCTTTGGGGAGCAAAATCAAAATTTTAAGAATTACAATTACATTTAGAACTTTGATTGATAAAATATGATATGATCATTAGCAGTCTTTAACATTCATAATTTGAGCATTTAATCATATATAGTATATATACACCATAGTTTGTTATAGACATATATAGTTATATATATAAAATAAACTTTTTTATAAATAGGAAGGTGATTTGATTTTCTCTTAGGCAATGAATATTTTTTATTTTATTGCAGTAAATATTCAAATTATTTCCAAATTGCACTTATTTTTTCTGTATTATTCATGGTTTTGGAATTCAGTAACTTTTCAAGAACTTTTATTTGAATAGTTAACCAAGTGACTTTTTTTTCCTCTTGAGAATTTAAAGTTAAAAAAGGAATGCAAAACAAACATATTCTTTATTGTATTATACAGACTAGATAAATTTACGTATAAGCAAGATAGTTTGTTGTTGATGTATCCAGATTTAATAGGCATCACAGTGGTCCCAAAATGTATCCACATGGTTCTTTAAAAAGTATGAATTTCTACTACTAGAAACATACATGTTTACATAGTAGTTCACCATTAAAAAGAAATTATTTTTTAAAAATGCAAATGCTTCTGGGAACCAGGGTAAAAAGATGGATTAAATTAATTCATATAAAATTGTTGATGATTTTTATCAGATTCAATTGTTTTCTGAAGAGGAAAAAAGAGAGATTGTTAGTACTTAAAAAGTAATGTAATAAAATCACCTAAAAATTGACAAAATAAGAATAAAGCTTTGCTACATATAATATTATCCCACCCACAATTTCTCAATCTGTATCTAATTTATAGGCCTTTTAAGACAAAAGCCAGTTTCCCATACCAACTTTCTAACACAGCACCAAACACACTGGCAAGTATAACTTCAACAGATTCTTGCTGCTAATGGTAATGTATTCTTCTCAGACACCAATTCTCATGAACTATGAGAAAAGAAGAGAAATATAAATTTTTTATGCTCCATGTCTTTTGAAAAATGCTAAATACTGAAGTTGCTGGATATCTAATGATAAAGCCTTTGTGGTCCACAATCAAAACTATAGACTACTTGGTCTTTTATTACCATAAAAGGGCAAC
The DNA here is from genome assembly GCF_000001405.40 of Homo sapiens. NCBI lineage: Eukaryota > Metazoa > Chordata > Mammalia > Primates > Hominidae > Homo > Homo sapiens. The sequence continues at coordinate 10,515,414 of NC_000009.12, forward strand.
GCCATTTGGCGATATACACTATTGCTAGCTTGAAGAACAAGAAAAAGTACAACATAGGAGCTATGATCTTATGAATAATGTTTAAATTTTTTCTTCATAGTTTCAGCATATTTTATTTTAGGCCCAAGTAATATTTTTACATTTTTATTGTTTTAATTTTTATTTAAAATTTGTAGTAAGAATACTTAATATAAGATCTACCTTCTTAACAGATTTTTAAAAGTACAATACAGTCTTGTTAACTCTAGGCATGATATTTCACAGCAAATCTCTAGAACTTATTCATCTTGGCTAACTTAAATTATACACCTGCTGAATAGTAACTCCCTATTTCTCTTTCACTCAGACCCCAGCAACCACCATGCTACTCACTGCTTCTATTAGTTTGATTATTTTTCATACCTTGGAATCATGCAGTATTTGTCCTTCGTTGACTGTCTTATTTTACCTAGCATAATATCCTCAAGGCTCATCCATGTTGTCACATATGGCAGAATTTTCTTTTTTATGGCTGAGTAAGATTCCTTTGTATGGATATACTACATTTTACTCATCCATTCATCTGTGGACATTTAGGTTGTTTCCACATGTTTGTTATTGTGAATAGAGATGCAGTGTACATGGTAGTGCTAATATCTTTTTTAAGATATTTATTGAAATTATTTTGAACAAATATCCAAAAATAGGATTGATGGGTCATATGGTAGCTCTATTTTTTATTTTTTGAAAAACTTCCACAATATTTTCCACAGTTGTTTCACATTTTATATTCCTACTAACAGCGTTCAAGGGTTCCAATTTTTCTATATCCTGATCAACACTTGTCTTTTTTTAAAAAAAATAATAGTCATCCTAACTGGCATGAGGTGATATCTCATTGTGGTTTTGATTTGCACTTCTTGACAATTAGTGATGTTGAGCACATTCTTATATATCTGTTAGCCATTTTTATGTCTTCTTTGGAGAAATCTCTACTTAAGCCCTTAGCTCATTTTTTAATGAGGTTATTAGATTTTTGGAAATGAGCTGTAGGAGTTCCTTATGTATATTAAAAATTAAACCTTTATCAGATATATGGTTTGCAAATATTTTCTCCAACTCCTTAGGTTTCCTTTTCACTCTGTTGATTGCTCTCTTTGCTGTGTAAAAGGTTTTTAGTTTTATGTAGACATACTTGTTTATTTTCTCTTAATTTGCCTGTGCTTTTAGAGTCATATCCATGAAATCACTGACAAGGCTAATATCATGAAGCTTTTACTCTGTGTTTTCTTTTAGGAGTTTTAGAGTTTCAAGTCTCATGTTCAACCCTTTAATTCCTTTTCAGTTTATTGCTGTGTCTTTTGTAAGATAAGGGTCCAATTTTATTATTTTGCATTTGAATATCTAGTTTTCCCAGCACCATTTGCTGAAGAAACTATTATTTTCCAATCTTGTATGCTTGGTAACCTTGTGAAAGGTCAGTTGACCAATCATGCGTGCTTTCACTTCTGGATTTGCTATTCTATTTCATTGGCCTATATGTGTCTTTATGTTTGTACCATACTGTTTTAATTACTGTAGCTTTGTCATATATTTTGAAATCAGGAATTTCAATGCTTTCAATTTTGTTCTTTCTTAAGGTTATTTTGTGGATTCAGGGTCATTTGTAATTCCACAAAAAATTTTAGATTTTTTTTCTATTTCATTAAGAAATGCCATTTGAATTTTGACAGATATTGCACTGAATCTGTAGATAATTTTAGGTAGTATAGACATGTAAACAGTATCCAGTATCCCAATTCATGAACATGGGATGTATCTCCATTTGTTTGTGTGATTTGATTTTTTTCATCAGTGTTTTGTATTTTTCAGTGTACAAGTTTCTTACCTCCTCAGTTAAGTTTATTCCTAAGTGATTATTTCTTATAGGTGCTATGGTAAATGGGATTGTTTTCATAATAAATTTTGCAGATAGTTTTCTGTTAGTGTATCAACAATGCAACTGATTTTTGCATGTTGATTTTATTTACTAAAATTTTACTCAATTTGTTTATTATTTCTAGAAGTATTTTTTGTGGACTCTAGGGTTTTCTACACATAAGATCATGTCATTTGCATTTTTCCTTCATAGATTATTACTAGTTTTCAGATTAGGAGAAGAGAACAAACTATTTTGTCCAATGTAATTTTCAGAACTACATTAATATTATGTGTAGTATATATATGAATGTATCAATATCTATAGTTATAGCTGTCTATATACATATATACATTTATGTAACACCTCTCATTTGTGTATAATGTTATTGCAGTTACTGGTGAGAGTACAATGTACAAAGACAGAAGAAAGGGTCTTTGCTTCCAAGTTGGAAATGTTAACACCAGTAATCTTTTTAATAAATATATTTCTCCATTGACATAATATTCATTTATAGGTGTTTACCTTTTGAATTTAAAATGTGTGTTTAAAGAATCTGTATAAGTCAATGAAAATGAATAATTTTACTTTTCTATATGCTGAAAGATCCACTGGTTCTAAGGTAGAGAGTTTTGAACAGAGTTTGGAACTTATTGAATACGAATTGGAATATATTGAATATGAACATTACTAAATATATACAGGTATAAATTCTATAACCACTTAGAGAAGAAAGGAAAAAACTGTCACATGGGTGAATGGACTCAATGACCTCAATCCATTGTTCTATTCCATTGTTCTAACTAGAACATAATAGCATTGTTATTGAATACCTGTGTACTGATCACCTGACAAATAATTCAAATTTGATATTAATAGTGAGAAAATTAAGGATAATAATTTTATGTTTTTTTAAATGGTTCAATATCTTTCAATCACCAACTACATAAATCATGAAGAACATTTCATTAGGGAAGCTGAAGAGCCTGGCGTATGGTTGTACATCTCACTTCCAGAGACTGGTAAATTCACTTATCGTATCTATTAATTACCTACATGTAGGGCAAATTTTACAAGTAGAAAAAAATTAAGCACCATGTTGGCAATCAGTCCAGTGGAAATTGAGTGTGAAATAAAGATGTTTCATTCCATCAAGTTTAAGGAATTAAAAGTCAAATGTGTACAGCTTGGTCAAGGTTAAAATTTATGTTAAGATCATTTACAATTTTTTTTTTTTTTTGAGACGGAGTCTCGCACTGTCACCCAGGCTGGAGTGCAGCGGCCCAATCTTGGCTCACTTCAAGCTCCGCCTCCCAGGTTCACGCCATTCTGCTGCCTCAGCCTCCCAAGTAGCTGGGACTACAGGCGCCCGCCACCACACCCGGCTAATTTTTTGTATTTTTAGTACAGACAGGGTTTTACCGTGTTAGCCAAGATGGTCTTGATCTCCTGACCTCGTGATCTGCCCGCCTTGGCCTCCCAAAGTGCTGGGATTACAGGCGTGAGCCACCGCGCTCAGCCTTACATTGTTTTTTTTTTTTAAATAATAATTGAAATTGTTTTAACAGCCATTTCAAAATAATTAAAATAAATCCTCTTCATACATAAAAGATAATGAACAGGGCAAGAAGATGCCATGCTAATTTTCTTTTTCTGGGTAGATTATTTTTTTAATGGTCAGAAGAAACCTGCACTCTTATCTCCTATTTTCAGCTAACTCTTACCTTTTGCCTCCCAGCTTTCTGATACTACAAATCCAGCAGCATATCCTCATTGTCAGACGAGAAACTTGAAAGGGATTTCATATGGTGAAAACAGTTAGATAACTCTTGAGGACAAAATGGCAATGTAAAAATATCCTCCTCCAGCTTTGCCAGTACACAAAAAATCTAGGTCATTTTATTCAGCGGGAGAAGTTATTAGAAGAACTCCTCTCATTTCCTCCACAAAAAAAAAAAAAAAAAAAAAAAAAGCAACCTCACAAAATTTAATGACCTGCGAATTCTCCTCTGGGGAAGGTACCATGCCCTAGACATTTCATTAAATATATATGTACTGTTACTAAGACTTTAAAAATCTGATGATTGAAAACACATTACAAAAATAACATAATAAAGATATTCAAACATCTAACAATTAACCAATATATGCCAAACAAAATGTTTGGCAGAATTTTAAATGAACAGAAATTGAGCCAACTCCATTTTTAAATAACTTCTTAGAGCTGAGTATAATGTGTCTTAGCACATAGAGGCATACCTCATTTTATCATGCTTCACAGCTATTGCATTTTTTTATAAACTGATGTTTCTGGTAAGTCTGTATTGAGCAAGTCCATCAGTGCCAATTTTGCAATAGCATGTGCTCAACTCATCCCTGTGTCACATTTTGGTAATTCTCTTAAAATTTCCAACTTTATTATTATTATTATTATATCTGTTACGGTGATTTGTGATCAGAGAATCTTTGATGTTACTATTGTCATTGTTTCGGGGACTCATAAACCATGTCCATATAAAACAGTAAACTTGATTAACTAATGTTATGTGTGTTCCGACTGTTCCAAAGTCCTGCATCCCCCCATCAATTTCCCTCTCCTCAGGCTCCCCTATTCCCTGAGACACTACAATATTAACATTAGCCTAATTACCAAAAACCACCTATGCCCCCAAAACTAGAGAAATACAAAAATTAGTCCAGTTAATAATTCAACAATGGCCTCTAAGTATTCAAGTAAAAGGAAGAGTCCCATATCCCTCCATTTAAATCAAAAGCTAGAAATGATTAAGCTTAGTGAGGAAAGCATGTCAAAAGCCAAGACAGCCCAAAAACTAGGCCTCTTGTGCCAGTTTGTCAAGTTGCAAATGCAAAGGAAGAGTTATTGAAGCAAAAGTGCTACTCCAGTGAACACACGGATAATAAGATAGCAAAACAACCTTATTGCTGATATGAAGTAAATTGTGGTGGTCTACATAGAAAATCAAACCAACCACATTTCCTTAAGCCAAGCCCTAAACCAGAGCACAAACCTAACTCTCTTAATCCTACAAAGACTAAGAAAGGTGATGAAGCTGAAGAAGAAAATCTTGAAACTAGCAGAGGTTGGTTCATGAGGTTTAAGGAAAGAAGCCATCTCCATAACATAAAAGTGCAAGGTGAAGCAGCAAGTGCTGATGTAGAAGCTACGGCAAGTTATCCAGAAGATCTAGCTAAGATACTTAATGGAATTGGCTACACTCACCAATAGATTTTTAATTAAGAAGAAACAGACTTCTATTGGAAGAAGCATACCATCTTAGACCTTCATAGCTAGAGAAGGGAAGTCGATGCTTGGCTTCAAAGCTTCCAAGGACAGGTTGACTCTCTTGCTAGGAGCTAATGCAGCTGGTGACTTTAAGTTGAAGCTAATTCTCATTTACCATTCCCCATATCCTAGGGCCCATTAGAATTATGTTAAATCTACTCTGCCTGTGTTCTATAAATGGAACAACAAAGCCTAGATGACAGCACATCTGTTTACAGCACAGTAAATAGAATATTTTTAAACCCACTGTTGAGACCACCCTGCTCAGAGAAAAACAGATTCCTTTCTAAATATGACTGCTTATTGACAATGCATCTAGTTGCCAAGGTGCAAGAAGATTAATGTTGTTTTATGCCCAGTAACACAACATGTAGCCTATGGATCAAGGAGTAAATTTTTACTTTCAAGTCATTATTTTAGAAATACAGTTCATAAGGCTGTAGCTTCCATAGATAGTGATTCTTCTGATAGATCTGGGAAAAGTGCACTGAAAACCTTCCGGAAAGGATTCACCATTCTAGATGCCATTAAGAACATTTGTGACTCATGGGAGCAGATCACAGTATCAACATGAACAGTAGATTGGAAAAAGTAGGTTCCAACTCTCACAGATGACTTTCAGGGTTCAAGATTTCCATGGATGAAGTTACTACAGAGGTGGTGGAAACAGCAAAAGAACTAGAATTAGAAATGGATCCCGAATATGTGACTGAATTGCTGGAATGTCACGTTAAAGACTGAATTGGTGAGGAGTTGCTTCTTGTGGATGAGCCGAGGAAGTGGTTTCTTGAGGTGGGATCTACTCCTGGTGAAGATGTAGCGAACATTTTTCAAAAGACAATAAATGATTAGAATATTCCATAAACTTAGTAAATAAAGCAGTGGCAGGATTTGAGAGGATTGTCTCCAATTTTGAAAGAATGTCTACTATAGTCAAAGTGCCATCAGAGAGCATTGCATGCTGCAGAGAAATCCTTCGTGAAAATCTGAGACAATCAATGCAACAAAATCATTCTTATTTTAAGACACTGCCACAGCCATCCACCCTAACCTTCGACAACCACCACCCAGATTAGTCAAAAGCAATTAGCATGGTGGCGGGACCCTACACTGGCAAGAAATTATGACCGACTGATGGGATAGATGACTGTTAGAATTTTTAGCAATAAAGTATTTGTAATAAAGGTATGTACATTGTTTTTATAAACATAATGCTATTGCACAATTAATAGGCTACAGTATAGTTTAGTCATAATCATTATATGAAATGGGGAACCAAAAAATATGTACAATGTGCTTTTTTGCAATATTTGCTTTATTGCAGTGGTCTAGAACCTGCACTCTCTCTGAGGTATGTCTGTATGGTCTTTTTGATCCATAAGTACACAAACTGTTAGGGAAGGGATGTATACATATGTGTATATCCACACACTCATAGATGGATATAATATTTAAGGAAAACAGGGAGATTAGGTGTGAAGGAAAGGTACTGGTGGTACCTGACTTCAAATACCGAAAGGTTTGGTCTTCCTGACTTACCTCCTCCCAGTGCTACTCCATAGGCAGTGGATATTGAAGGAATTGTGCCTTTAACACTAAGGAGTCTCTGAAGGGACTATTCTTTGTAAACTAATGCCAGGGCCAATATCTGCAAAAACTTGGGGCAGTAAAATATGAGGCTCTGAATACACAGCCCTCAAGTGTGTGGTGTGGACATCACAAGCGTCCTCTTCAGTGGTGCTTATATATGATAATTCAGAATTTGCACAAAGCTTTTGAGAGGTGCTTTTCTATTAAAGGCTGAGAAAGCCTGTTTTATTTTTTAAGACCTCTCACCACATGGTGTAATTTCCAAAAGCTTGAACTTTCTAAAGGAATAAACAAACCTGATTACTTACCTATGTCAGAATGTTTGGAATTTGTGCCTCTTAAAAGTAATAGCAATAAAGGTGAATCCAGATTTTACAGAAAGGACTGATGTACTGAGAGAAGCTTATAACTCTGAAAGCACCAACTGTGACCTACTGGGAAGGGTAGACTCAACCTGAACCATCATATAATGTTTTACTTTATTTTCAATATGATGATACAGGTTCAAGAATAATTTCAGTTTTCAGACTGAAAACTGAGAAAGAAACTGAGGGTTCTTTCAGTCTGAGAACCCTCAATTTTGATGAAATTAGCACAGTAAAGCTGAACTTTTAAAAAAGTTGAAAATAAAAAATTAATGCATAAATAGAAATATTAATTATTTTATAGCATAAATACAACAGTGTTCATCTAAGAAGGGTATTTCCTAAATGAGAAGCTAGGTTTTTAATCATAATTTTTATTAATGTTCTGTGAGGGGGTTCATAAATAAGTATATAATATGAAGTACTAGTTTACAATCAATTTTTTGATGAAATATTCCTCTTACAGCCAAACACCTGTTTCACGTTTGTTGGATGTATAATTAATGCAGCCTAATGAACATGCTTCATCAAAATTTCTCTGTGGTTGAAAAATAAAATCAGAGTGGTAGGTCTTGCCAATTAGAACATTTGGGAAATATACATTAAAATGTTTTAAGTACATATCGTGATGTTTTAATTTAAGGCAGAGTGTGCCTAGATTGCAAAATCCTATATGAAATCACGTAACAAATGCTACGATTTACCACTACATAGTACCACGTATAATCAACACTTGTGTTGCCTGCCTGGATTCTCTAGAAGGCGTGTGTATTTCCTGCATGCCTTGATATATTAGGTGTCTATGACAAAGCAACTGTCCCAAGCAACACTTCTCCTAGCTCAGCAAGTCTCCTACTGTTCCCACTTCAGTCTTTTCTTTCCTCAGCCATGCCCTGCAATCATAATGAAGGCATTCATCCTTCTGACAATAAGTCTGACTTCAACCCTTTAATATAAACAAGCAGGTAGAACTGTAAGAAAAAATATCTTTCTAATAAAATACCCCCAATATTTTTCAAGTATATTTATCTGTATATATATATATATATATATAGACAGAAAGAAAGGGAGAGAGAGAGAGAGAGAGAAATAAAGAGAGAGAGAGAGAGAGAAAGCGGCTCTAATATGTTTGTTTACAGGTGAAATTTTACATAAATGGCTATTGATTCTCTTTATGATTACTTTTGAAAATAAATGATGTGTCCATTGATAGAAGTAAAAAGTCAAACATAATGCTGGTAATTTTGATTTCAGGGGCCTAACTATATATTCTAGATACCAAAAACTTTTATCATTTAATTAATAAAATGTAAAATGCTCATTCAGTGTGTTTGGGCTGCCATAAAAAAAGGTCACAGGTATGATGGCTTAAACAACCGAAATATATTTTCTCTCAGTTCTGCAAGCTAGAAGTCCAAGATGATGGTGCCAACATGGTCAGTTTAAGCTAAGGGTGGTTCTCTGGCTTGCAGAAGGTGTCCGTCTTATAAGTCCTCACGTGAACTTTCCTTGGTACACGCACAGATTTCCCACACTCTCTCTTTCTTCCTCTTCTAAGGCCACCGATCCTATAGAAAGGCCTCATCTCCAGATGCAGTTACATAAGGGAATCAACATGTAAATTTGATGTGTTAGGAGCCGTTCAATCCTTAGCATGTTCCAAAGAAACTAGGCACTTGGGAGCATCTATCACACCACTACCTGCAAGATTTACATTTGTTCCGAGGCAGCGCAAAATGTGGAGGCAGTTCTAAATTTAAAGTCATTGTGTTTGATACATAGTTTACTGTACGATAAGTTTATTACTAGTTTTATTTTTTAATTTTAAGCAACTACATCTGAAACATACACACGCTAACATGGTATGTCTATGTATCTATAACTTAATAAAATAGGAAAATGAAATTATCCTAACACCATAAGCCATAAAATAAAAATATTTTTCAGAAAAAAAAAATCATTGCATTAACAGACCAAATCCTTTATGAAGTCAATGTTGTATTCCGTCAAAAATCTTTAAAAGAAATACATTTTTCAATAAGGATATGTGTTGCCATTGAGAGCACATAGTCTCTTCAGCATTTGGATTCAGCATATATTGCAGCAGTCAACCATTTTTCAGTTAAGAGGAGTGTTTTATCCCCTAGTAACGTATAATCTCACTTTGAGAAGAGAAAATCGAGTTCATGGACAACTACTAAAAACAGTTTTCAATTAAATTCATACTATTATAGGCTATTTTTATTTCATTTTTACATTGTAAAAGAAGGTACCTGTTACTGTTTTTAAATCATAGCTACAGGTGAATTTAAAAAGATAGGGGTAAATTGTAAAAACAAACCAAAATATGATGCTAAAAAAAAAAGCAAAATAAGTGTAATATATTCTTGGTGGGCTCATAGTAGGGTAGATCACAACACTAAGACCTATATCATATGTTTCTTCTCTGCAGACAAATGCTTCGGTTTCTATTTTCAGGGTAGTGGTCTTTATTTTCTCTCAAATGATATTATCAGGAAGAAGTATTATTTTGACAGTTCTTTTATTCCAAGAGAATAAAGTTAGTACATTTATCCAAATTATTATTTAATTTCCCAGGATTCTAGTTATCAGATTTGTCAAGCCATATAAAATATGAAATTCATAAATATTTCTAATATTTCTTTTCACAAATTTCTGAAGAAGCCCTGCAATAATAACATTAGAAACATGTAGATATATTTCAGATAAAAGTCTCCCTATATAATGGTTGAACAGGATGCCACAATGCAAAGAATGGCAGAGAATTTTCACCTGCTTAGTGTTGGTATTCTAATCTTGCTCAGAGTACTTTTTCTATACCAAGCCACCCAATCATTATATACTCAGTACAAATTACAGATGATATGAAAATTAATCCAACAAAAACTTAAGATTTCAGGGCACAACCTAAACAACTGTAATTGATTTATAGTTTCTAATCACATAGTTCTAAGTTGATGTTATTTGCTTCTTGCTTTAGGCAAGCTCTTTATTGTCTTACTTCAGAGTCTTGAGGAAATAAACTCATTTAGAAATCATAAAATTAAATTATGAATAAAAATATTCTCCACACATATCCAGAAAGCTTGAGCCATCAATTTTCACAAGTCAGGGAAGGATCCACAAAGATTTTCAAAGTGTGTGTGTGTGTGTGTGTGTGTGTGTGTATTTTCCCTGAAAAACTGATACATTGAAGAATCCATCTGCCATTGAGTCATCACAGGGTTCTCGCTTTCCACTTTGTTTTTACATTTGTTCTTCGCCCACTTAACAAAAAGTAAAGCCCACTTCTCAAACATCCTGTGTTAAATGCATTGCCCTAATACTGTGCTATCCAAGACATAGTTACTAACCTCATGCGGTTATTTACATTTAAATTAATTAAAAGTAAATAAGGTTAAAAATTCAGCTTATCAGCCTACTGCCCACATTTCAATTTACTCAGTAGACTTATCTGACCTAGTGGGTGTTGTATTAAGCAGTGAAGATTAGAACATTCCTGCTGTCATAGAAAGTTCTTTTGAAAAACACTGTTCTAAGATATAAAGTCTCTCTGAGGGGCAACACTGCCAACTATAGGTCAATACCAACTAAGTCTTTGAAGAATAAAATAGCGCATTTCATTCAGATGAAGTTCTGTTGAGAAATAAAAGGAAATGAAAATTAAAGGAGAAAATCATGTACTCTTTCTGACAATAATTTCTTGGGCACATATTTCAAAAATGGATGATTGTGAGTATAATATTGCTAAAGTGTGGCTATATCATTGAACACATTTTTAAGTATAATAATTATTTCTAAATAAACATGTTATAATTACTGAAAATCATACCCATGCCAATTTCATCTTATAAGGAAAATGATAGATTTGAGAATAAATAAGTAAAAGGATGTACATGTTTTAAAAAATTATTTCAGGAGCTTATAAGGAGAATATTTTGAAGGTAGTTATACAAAACTCCTTTTGGTTCTCACACCAGAAATCTCTTATAACCAATCTCTTCATTCTCTGATATTCCTAATAAGTTTCCACACAGTACCCTCCTTACTCCTGTTCTTTAATTTAATTATCTTTCAATACCCTTTACATAAAAGAGTTACCCAAATTTTAAAACAATTTCTTCCACCCACCCCTACTGGCAATAGATACAGTATTGAGGTTCCTTAAAGTTACAGTAGTGCAGTAGAGAAGAAGGAAATTTTATTAACTTGTCGATTCTCAATGAGAGAATTGCCAAGCAAACCTCAGAAAGAGGGGAATGGCTAAGGCAAGCATAATATGTGTCTGTGAGGAAAAGCTTCATTATCTATGTGTTCATCCTCATCTGCAGATGGCAACAAATTGAGGAACATGGGTCCAGAAATCCAGTTTCTCCTTTCTAACTACTATTCTTATTCCTCTTAGCCTGCTCCAAGGAGTCTTATTTAATATAAATGTACAATTGAAAAGCAACTCTATTTACTTAAGATAGCTCTCACCAACTTCAGAGTAATAAATTAGACAAAAGACAAATACAATTGGAAAGAGTTATTTATCACCAGGCTATGGTGTGAATAGACAGAAACTAAGAATAAACAATTAAATTGATTTCAGGCTTTGCCATTTCTCTTCATTTCTTTAAAACAGATAAATATGCTCGCAAGTCTGCTCATGCCTCCCACTACAGAGGCAGGGGCATTCATGACTCAGTTTACCACCGATGCAGTAAAGAACAGCCTCAAACAGCCCGTCTCAAACAAATGAGATAAGAGACTAGGTAACAATAATTAGTGACACACCTGGGAGGTCTGTTTCAAAACACATGAACTACTGAATACAGATTATGTATTCAATGATAAAGAGGAACTAAGAATAAAAGCGTAAGCTAATTCCAAATGCATTAGGTAGACTGGAAGAAGACAATTCCAAAGAAAAGCCATAAATGGCTTGTACATTGTCATAAAATTTAAAAAGCAACAAGGTTAATACATGTAGAATAGCTTAAAACCACAAAGAACACTAGAGATGTAAACCACTGGAAAATGAAACAACAGGAGGTTAATTTGAGAATTTCCCCTAAAATTCAATCAACTTTAAGGACCTACAAATGTAATCACCATAAGAAGATTCACACTGATAATTCCGTTAACACTAACTAGAATGATTTGCTTTCTAAGTTTATGTAACAAGTAGAGCCATTATATCAGCAGATGGGATTTTTCTTTAGCAATAATTACTTATGCATATAATTCATTCTGCCTAGTTCAAGATAATAGTTGCATATTCAATATTTATGGCATTATGAGAAAGATAATTATGTGGCTTTCAAGTGAATTACCCTTGATTATAGTTTTCTTGTTTTTATATACACTATATTCTAAATAATCCATAGTAAATATTGATAATAATTTAAAAGATTAAAGCTAATCATGACCTAAACCTTCCATTGATTCAATTTCCTTTCTCACAAAACCTCAACAAGGATTCTTCACATCATACCCTATAACACACACACACACTGAGTTGAAAGCTCAGCAAGGGCAGGAGCCTGATGCAGATCTCTACAGTGAATCCTGCTCTAAATTCCTCCAGAAGAAATGTTTCTTTCTTACTGTTCTCATCATGAGGCCACAGAAAGAAGGAGTTAAAAACATGGATGCTCCAGGCAGATATCCTGAGTCTGATTCCAAGTTCTACCACAGACCTGCTGTGCATCCGTGCATGAGTTATTCAAACTCTCTGGACCTCCCCATCTCCAGTTTCCACATCTGCTAATCTACCTCTTAGGATTGTCAGAGTAAACTGAGTTCACATATATAAATGCTTCAAACAGTACCTGACACATAATCCATGCTGCTACTATTAATGTGGAGACCACCTTCATTATAGAACCTGTTACAGTATATTATAACATCTTTTACCACCACAAGAATGTCAAATTTAGGAATATATATTCTATTAAAATATATACAAAATATGACATTTGTATCATATGTATACTCAGGGCCTAGCCCAATGGCCAGCACACATTGACAATTGATGCTGTATAAATAGATGTTTGATCACCTAAATGGCATGCACATAAGTTGACACACAACTTGTCCAGTAATTTGGGCATTAATTAACATTGGTATATAGCTTGCTTGTATAATCCTGACTTCTTCTGAAGGCAGTTGAGATTTAACTGTGAGTGTCTTTAAATATTCTCTAACAATTACTCCTTTATCCATACTATTTCAACAACATTAAATGATGTTTTTATAGTTATATATTCATATTAGTTACTCAAGTTTTTAAAAGAAATTAAACATAATTAAAACAGATTTATATCTATATATGTTTGTGTGGATAGGGTTAGTTTTGTGGTGGATGGAAAAAAGAGAAATTGACTTTTTTAATTAAGAAAAATAGATGTGCCGGAAAAATTTATGGCTTAGGTTTAGTGAAGCTCCTAGTTTAGTTTCTTTCTTTTTTATTTGTTCATGCTATAAAATAATTCATTTTCATGACAATGAAAGCAAAAAATAGATTTGATCTCCTTGATTTATTTTAGCTGATGCATTCACATATCTCTTTTAAATGCAAGAACTCAACTATTCTAGGATCTAGAACCAGAAATACCATTTGATCCAGCAATCTCATTACTGGGTATATACCCAAAGGATTATAAATCATTCTACTATAAAGACACATTCACACGTATGTTTATTGTGGCACTGTTCACAATAGCAAAGACTTGGAACCAACCCAATTGCCCATCAAGGTTAGACTGGATAAACAATATGTGGCACATATACACCATGGAATACTATTCAGCCATAAAAAAGAATGAGTTCATGTTTTTTGCAGGGACATGGATAAAGCTGGAAACCTTCATTCTCAGTAAACTAACACAGGAACAGAAAACCAAGCACTGCATGTTCTCACTCATAAGTGGGAGTTGAACAATGAGAACATATGGGCACAGGGAGGGGAACATCATACACGGGGCCTGTTGGGGGATGGGGGGCAAGGGGAAGGATAGCATTAGGAGAAATACCTAATGTAGATGATGGCTTGATGGGTGCAGCAAACCACCATGGCACATATATACGTATGTAACAAAACTGCACGTTCTGCACATGTATCCCAGAATGTAAAGTATAATAATAATAATAAAAAGAATGAGTTCATGTCTTTTGCAGGGACATGGATGAAGCTGGAAGCCATCATTCTCAGCAAACTTACACAGAAACACAAAACCAAACACCACATGTTCTCACTCATAAGTGGGAGTTGGACAATGAGAACACATGGAAACAAGGAGGGGAACATCACACACTGGGGCCTGTCTTGGGGTGGGGGGCAAGAGAAGGGAGAGCATTAAGACAAATACCTAAGGCATGTGGTACTTAAGACCTAGACGACAGGTTGTTAGGGGCAGAAAACCACCATGGCCCATGTATACCTATGTAACAAACCTGCATGTTCTGCACATGTATCCCAGAACTTAAGATTAAAAAAGTCAATTTAAAAAAAATATTGCAGTGATTGACACCCGTACTTAAGAATATTTAGAAAACTGTTTAGACAATACATCTTCTAAAATAAAGTCTATAGTAAAATTATCTTTTTCTTTCAGCCTGAAATTCCTGTGGCCTGATATTAGACTCAAACTTAATCTATACATCCATGTTAGAGAGTAGGTTTTATACTTAGTTCATTATTTAAAGGTATCCAGTGGCAAAAATAGGAGTGTACCAAATTAGACTTTTTAGAGGAAAAAAATCTAAAATGATTATAATTTACGAAAAAGTAAGAAATGCAAAAAGTTTAAACCCCATGCAAATGGAGTACATCTTTTTTACAAACTCACTTTTGTCTTGCAAAAAGTACATTTTTTTCAGAACAAGTGTTCCCTAATAGCAATTAGCACACTTACCACGTTTTGAATGCTAAGTATTATTGTCAGAAAAAGAAGTCAATAAAAGGTAGTAACTGATCCCAGTGCTGATTCAGGGAAAGCATACAATGAGCCTGCAATAGTGAGCTGTGTGTGAACATAGCATAGAGCTCAGGAAATGATGGGACTATGGCAAAATAATAATTAATCATAATGATAATAAGAGCCAGATTAAAAGAACTCTCACAGGCTTAATTTAGGAAATCTGACAATCAAAATAAATAATGATGACAGTGAACTATAATGTATTGAACTAGAAGAAAAATTCACATGTTAAAACAGATATCAAATAAATAAATAAATAAACAGGAGAATAGTGAAAGTTCATCCTCACAGCAGACTACCACTGCTAAATGTAGAAGATATTAGAAAAATGCCCTATTAAATCCACCATAGTTATAATTAATCGATACAGACAATGGATGCTAAAATCAGTAGACAATTTTTTTTTTTTTGAGACAGATTCTTGCTCTGTCAGCCAGGCTAAAGTGCCACTGTGCGATTGTGGCTCACTCCAACCTCCACTTCCCAGGTTCAAGTAATTCTCCTGCGTAAGCCTTCCGAGTGGCTGGGATTGCAGGTGCAAGCCACCACGCCCGGCTAATTTTTGTATTTTTAGTAGAGACGGGGTTTCACCATGTTGGTCAGGCTGGTCTTAAACTCCTGACCTCAAGTGATCCGCCCTCCTCAGTCTCCCAAATGGCTGGGATTGCAGGCATGAGCCACTATGCCCGGCCAATGGATAAAATTTTAATGGAAAATGGGATATATACACAGACTTAAAAGATCTACATCATATTACAGTCAGTTCTGCTATAACAGAATAAGTGTTCCTAAAAATCACCATACTATGCAAAAATGCACAACAAAAACATAGGGATGATGGGGAAATGGGATGACAGACAGAATACTCAAAGACAGCATCACTGACACATTAAAATAGATGGGAGCCTAATAAAAATGGTAGCATATTAAATAATGAAGTAATATATAAACTACAATAAATATGGCACTTTACCTTGAAAAAGACTTGAAATTTGCTTATATTCATGAGTGTTGGAAGAATTGTAGCTTGTAAATCATTGTGAAGTGGTGAAAGGGAAGTTCTCTGACATTGGATACAAAGTTGTAATATCAAATATGGCTGGCTTTAAGGTGTATGCATGTATGCATTTTGTGTCTTTCTACATGCCATGGCTCAACTGGGTGCAATTTTCTGTGTTCATTTAGTGTTTCTCCATGACAAAAATCACAAATAAACAAACACAATTGTAGCTTTGCTGCAATAATTTTCTGATGTATCAATGGTATTCCAACAAATTTACATTTTCAAAGAAATGTAATAGCAGAACTAACTATAGTTATTGTAAAGTGGACAATGGTAACTTTCCCATGGAGAACTCCAACAGACCCTGCCTTCACCAAGTGATCAGAATTAACCTTATTTAATAGTGGGAATAACTGTATTACATGCCATGTAATTCATTTAATACTTTATTTTAAAATTACTCTCCCACTTGTTGGGGAGCCTAATTTCATTTAGCAGTTTGTAAAACAAGCATTAATTTAAATTAATGGACTTTTAAGCTGATATTTGTTGCAGAAGCTTATATATAAGATTTTAGATTACTTCAGTGCCACACCCACCTTTATGTGTTTGCATCCAACTATGATAAATTTATGTATGTCACGACAGTGGGGACGCTGTGAGCTGAACAGCAAATCACTCTAATTAAGGTTGATGACAAGAACAAACTGAGGAAACTGGTAGGCCTCTGTAAAATTGACAGAGAGGGACAACCTCATAAACTGGTTGGTTGTAGTCATGTAGTAGTTAAGCAGTATGGCAAAGAATCTCAGGCCAAGAAAGTCACTGAAAATATTTCAAATACAAAAAATGAACAAATGACACATTGGTTAGTGTTCCTAAAATAAATAAATAAATAAATAAAAAATACATAAAAATGACCCTATCCAAATGGCCAGATGAACAGTGTCTGTGCACCTTTTGTAAGACTTCTGTTGAATGTGGTTGTGCTGTAAAAGTCCTATATATATACACTATATATATATTTATATAATATATATAAATCCTATATATATTAGATATTTATATATATTAGATATTTCTAATATATATATTAGATATTTCTTTAAAAACATTGCACCAGGGAATCTCTCCTAAATAGCAGGTTTTATTCTTTTAATCAATGAGAATTACCTAATAAATAAAAGTTTTCTTTTTTGCTTTGTGTGTAAGGACTCTTAGAATAAAATTCAATGCTTCCAGACTAAAATTCTCTTAGGTTGTGGTTTTCATGTATTTACCTGATCCCTCAGTTTTATGGCTCCTCATGTAAATTTTCAGAAAGCCATCTGCTATTTTTTTAGTTTGTCCCCACCAAAACTCATGCTGATACATGATTCCCAGTGTGGCAGTGTTGGGATGTAGGGTCTAGAGGAAGGCATTTGGATCATAAGAGTAGCTCCTTCATGAATAGATTAATGCCCTCTAATGCTCTCCAGATAGGGTGAGTTCTCCTGGGAATGGATTAGCTACGGGGTTATTAAAAACAGTCTGGCATCCTGGGTTTTTCTCTCTTGCTTCCTCTCTCCTACATGATCTCTTTGCATACACAGGTTCCATTCCTGCTTTCCTCCAGGAGTGGAAGCAGCCTGAGGCCCTCACCAGATGTCACCACTCAATTGTAAACCTTCTGGCCACCAGAATGGTGAGCTAAATAAACATATTTTCTTTATAAATCACCTGGTCTCAGGAATTCTGTGATAGCAACACAAATTGAACTAAGACAGCATCCAGCCATCATACATCACTTATGTATTTAGCAATTAATTAGCTGTTGACAAGGAAAAATATTCTTATATTGTGTCTTATTTGTAGATGAGAAAATTCTTTGGAGATGAAATTTACAATCATAGAGTGGGTATATACACTCAGCTGTCTCGCTGAGTCTTTGCTGATTTATTTCCATTGTATTGAAATTAGTCTAATTTTTGGTGTTTTTTTTTCAGTAATGTATTAAAGAGTATGAAACACATAAACCTCATGTCACACACTTATAAATAATAATAAATAATGGTAATATGAATTAATAATGAATAGTCCCATGTATAACAAAATGATACAAACTAACACCTCCATCTGCATTAATATGCACCCAATTATATAGATATCAGGGAATTAAGAGCTTTTTAAAATAATCGACAGGCTAGTAAGAATATAATAATAAATTAAAAACTTTTCACTATTATCTATGTTTTAAAGCCATATTTCATGCATACTTTCATCTGAACACTAGTGACCTATTTTATAATAAAAACACTATTTTATAAGCATTTCAGAGCATATAACTAGTTTCACCTTTTTTTATTAGGAAGTTTTTTTTAATTAAAATTGCTCAGTTAAAAGTTAAGTTTGTAGCCTATTTTTTTCTAAGGGAATATTTTATTTATTAATAAATATAAAATATTTGTTATCCTTTTTCAATATTCATAGTGAAATGTATTTTTATTTGAAACCAATTTCACTGAAAGTTTTAAATTTTTAAGAAGAGTTCTAAAAAATATTTCATTAAGGGAAACCCTTACTATCATTGTCAGGTTGTTTAAGGATTATATCAGCATTGTAGTGTAATGTGATTCAAAGATGGCAATACTCTCTCCATATCTTTTAAACTTTAACATCAGAGTTCTAAAAAGATGTTAAAATTACTCTATGGGACCATCTTCCAAAGTTAAAAACTTAAAATACAGCATATTAGATAAATTCTCCCATTTCAAATTAAAAAGCAATGGTTTTGTATGGAAGAAAACATATTACTTCACCCATTATTAACTTTCATGATAAAATATTTTATTTAATTTAAATATAATAGTGTGACCAAAGTTTACTTTAAAATGATGATTTTGGTGTTTGACTTTTCTAATTCAGAAAACATAATTGAAGGCAAAAGCAATGGTTTTGATATGAGCTTCCTAGGCAGGTATTTTTATAGCCCATTAACATAAATATGTGATTAAAATTATTCAGAAGCATTTAGATAGGAATTTCACAATGGAAACATAAAACCTTAACACAACAGGACCAAATTTTTGTTTAATTCGTCCTTACTAGGTTGGCAGACACAAGTCATGCCCTTCAAGGTTTCCAACGGCAAATGCTACTATCTACTAAGAAGAAGAAGAAAAAAAAGCAGATTACTTTTAATTTTCTATTAATCATCTGCATTTCTGCTTCAATTTGAGAGGCACCATTTCATTTAATTAGTCCTCTCATTATAAATATTTTCCACAGTGATTCAGTTGACACAAGTTTTCTGACACTGACTGTGCAGATGGCACAAAACTGGTGTCTGGTCTCAAAGGAACTATTTGACCATTGCAATAAAAGAGCAATAAACAAAATAGCAACATTGCAGCCCACTTCAGTTTATGTAGGCAGTCAGCCTTTTATCGCTGTAAAACCTTGAAATGGATGTATGAGCTTTGCTGCTATAAACAAAGAGTTGTTTACAGCTGGGGGATGGCAGGTACCAACAGTGGACTGGAGCTTCAGCAGCCTGAATGTCAGGAACTGACTAATGTGAAGAAACATATTGTGGCTTGTTTTATGGAGAATATGTTTTATAAACCCCAAGGGACCATTTATCACAAATTCATCCACTCTGTAGCAGATTGCTGCTTTAATGTTGAATACTGGATTTCAGTCAGGTTTTCAACTAAAAAATTGAGGGGAAAAGTCCAAATGTTATTTTGTTTCTGTTTGCTTCATATTGATGAATCTCAAATTTCAGCATAGAAAATCCATTTTAACAACTCATCCTCTCCCTTAAACAAACTAAATATTTTATGATTTGGGGCTGATTCATTAGAAAATTTACATCTACTTACCGTCGTGAGCTGTTTCAACAATGCCATTTATTTGTAATCTGGTGAGCTTACTGTATGCCAACATCTTTAAAAAAAAGTGTCTAACAAAAATGCACTTTGCTAATGGGCATTGGAAAATGTATACTGTTTCCCATAAAATGAAATAATCAAGTCACCACAGCAAGAGTTTTTATAGCCTTTTTTAAAAAAAGTCAATAAATAAAGCCACAAGGATATTTCACAGAGATGTCATGGTTGATAACCATTAAGTGAATATAATATATTTGACTTTACTCATTACATATAAAACATCATTACATGAGAAAACAACAGCTCATCTCAGTCTCATGAAACTGTGCACAGCAAGTTGAAAATTGATATCTAGCCTTGTGTCAGCAACTCTCCCTGTTGTAGGTGAATCCAGGCATATGGAATAATATGTCCCAAGATACCCTTTTACCTCTTTATGGCCTCTATTGTCACAAAGTGAGAAAGCAGACATAGGTTTCACACAGGTATGCTTGTCTTAATACTCGACAAAACAGTTGGTTTTGGGCTTCAAAAATCAAAGGAAAGTATTTGGGGAAATAATAACCGTGAAGAGGGTATAAAAGAGTTTTTTTCCAGTGGTTAGCAAACCTCTTACAGCGGAATCACTTGTGAGTGAGCGGGTGTCGTGCTAGACTACTGTTTAGATTCCTGGACCAAATCCTAATCCATAGAGCCAAATTCTTCAGAGGCAGGACCAAGGAATATGTCTGCTTAAGAAACTCCAAATATTACTGTGATACACATATACAGGTGAATTATTAAAGCAATTATATAGGAAAAAGTATAAATATAAGTGTAATATCATCTGTGCACAGATAGTGAACATTTAAAAATTTGGGGGATTCAGAGAAATTCTCTTGTAAGTCACAGAATTTTATTGATTTCTTCTAATTTCTGCCTTAAAGCTTTTCTCCTTGTCCTTTCAAGATTTCTTCTTTTGTTCTGCTGCTGTTGACTCAAGCATAGAATACAATTCGTTTTAGGTTAAAATCTAGACTAATCCATACATTTATTATTTTCATGTTTATGAGAAACTTCATAATAATAATTTTAAATAAACTTCCCTATCCTATTAGGAATTGGATCTGTTTGCCTAACTACCATCCATTACAAGTAGAGTTAGAATGGCTCAATCAATGTGCTTTCTGGTTATGTTTTGCTGGAACTATGCAGTTCTGAGTGTAAAAAATGCACACTCCACGCTGATAAGCACTTCCTGTTCCTGGTTAACACAGAATGCATTGCTTGTATAAATACTGGCCCAGGGAACACTGCAGAGAATAAAAAACATAAGTGAAAAGTCAGCTGTCTCATTAAAAGTGAGGTTAATACCTCAGAACTCCTCTTCTTCTACCTGAGGTTTGAATGTAACCATTGGATCATGCCCTATTTCATGGTACCAATTTTCTTTTAAATCTAATTAGTAATTGGCAATGCTTTATTTCCAGCTATTAGAGTTTCACCTAAGCCAGCAACTAATAGTAAAGCAGTACGGTTATTAGGTAATTCAAATGAAAGCTTCAAAGCTCCTTTTCCTTCTGGGGAATCTCAAACTATCCCATAATTGGGTTGGGCATTTCTTTTCTAGCTCTGAAATAGCATTCTGTGGGATGAACAGCATTTGCTCCTTTTTAGAGATAAATAATTCTAAAAACTATAGGACTATTGTCACCAAATAAAGATGCATGGCGAGATCTATCAGATTATAATCACTAAATTAGGTCATATAGTTTAACAACGTATTTCTTATGTGAAAGAAATGATTTAAAAAATCTAAGTGGCTTAAGAGAGTTTATTCTAGAGCTGACATGATATCTCTTACAACTCAGCCTTCTTCACACACTGATTTGTTAATGTCAGCCTTAATTCCAAATTCTGTTAATGAGCTCAACAACACATTCTGTTTTGTTTCCTATTTTTGTTCTTGAACTTGTTTTTGCTGCTGTTAATTTGTGTTGTACTTATTTTTATAATGTGAGATCGAGTATGTAAATCATAATTGGCTGAAAAATAGCTATGTAAAAATTGGGCATTAACATAAACTAAAAATTGTCAAAATTGAAATTGCAATGATTTTTGGTATTTACTTCAACTCTCTTTCTTTACATTGTTTTTTCTTGAACTGTCAAATCATTGTCTATTCCTTCTATCCATCAAAGTTTTGTGCTTTTCTTTACATGATTTCCTCCAAATATTTAGCTAATGTATCTGTTTTCTCCTTCAGTGAACACTCCTTCAGTGAGTTTCTGATTATATCCATATTTATATTTATCATCATAATGTCTTAAAATTCTCTCTTATAATCTCATAAAAGTTTCCTAATAACTAAATCTTACATGACTTAAACTGAAACAAGCCAGGCTTTTCCTTATTCCTCTATGCAGGTATCCTAAAGATGGTTGCCAGATCAGCACCCTTATAGTGTAACCAGGAAGCATGTTAAGAATGCAGATTCTCAGGCCCCAACCCAGTCGAACTGAATTAGAAATTCTGAGGATGACACCTCGCAATCTGTGTTTTACCAAGCCTTCCACCTAAAATTTGGAACCTCTGGTGTAGAATATAAAACCCAGCTCCTTGATGTCAGACAGACCTGAATCTGAGTTTAGGCTTGTCAACTTGCATAGTCTTAATCAAATTGCTTAACTCTGATTGGCCCAGCTTGAATCACAGTGCCTATCCCTATCCAATCACTGTGTTCAAATAAATGGGAGGATTTGTTTGGCTTATCCATCCTTGGCCATGAGACGACACTGTGGATAGAGAGGTGAGAAAGCCTCATCATAAAATAAATAAATAAATAAATAAATAAATAAATAAATAAATAAATAAATAAATAAATAAAAAGGGAGAGGAGTGGTTCTGTAAAGAAAGAGATGATGAAGAAAAACATTTTCTGTTCTCAATGACTTTGTTCATATTTCCCCCTCTCTATTCTTCATCTAAGGATCTGTAACCATTTACTTTCTTCCAGGCTTGAATAAAAATCAATTATTTTCAGGAGCTTTCTTCGGTTAATCCCTCTCTCTATATATACACAATTTTACCACACTTGAAAATACAATCTTTATACAATTTCTTTATGATGATTCCCATGCCAGTTTTCCTACATGATTGGTTTTCTGACTGTGCTATAAATTATATAAGACAGGAACACTGATTCTCCCCTCTCATCTCCCTTGCATTTTGTTAAGTTCTCCCATATATAGGATGTACTGAATAAATTCTTTCAAGTTGTTAATCCTGTTTATCTTTTAGATTCCAATCTAAATCATATAAAGGACTTGAGACATTATCTTATTTTTTCTTAAAATGTGTAACAAATTTATTTAAAATTATGTTTTGAGTATACAGATCTTATAATTGAAAACCCTGATAAATATCTTGAATCTTGATATATAGTATCATGGAATTTTTTAAACAAGCTGCTTCTACCTTATTTTCTCAGAAGTTTAAGGTGTTTATAAATACTAACTTCTAATACTCCAGTTACACAGTCATTTCCTGGGTCACCAGCCTGTGCCTGGAGGACCTTATCCAGGGAGTAAAGTTTTGGTAATGGCTCTTCCCTAAATCCAAAGCATCACTCTTTCCACATTAATGCAAATGCTCCTGAGAACTGAAAATACCCCTTTCTCTCCATCCTGATCTTGCACTTACTTATACAGGTCAAATTAGGGACAATCCTTTCAAGAGAAAACAGCATTTGAATTTATCATTATTGTTTATCACTTTTTTGTTGTTGTTTTGAGGTGGAGTCTCGCTCTGTTGCCCAGGTTGGAGTGCAGTGGTGTGATCTCAGCTCACTGCAACCACTGTCTTTCAGGATCGAGCAATTCTCCCACATCAGCCTCCCAAGTAGTTGGGATTACAGGCGACCGCCATCATGCCGGGCTAATTTTTGTATTTTTAGTAGAGACGGTTTTTTGCCACGTTGGCCAGGCTGGTCTCAAACTCCTGACCTAAGGTGATCTGCCTGCCTTGGCCTCCCAAAGTGCTGGGATTACAGGCGTGAGCCACCACGCCTGGCCTGTTTATCATTTTAATAGAAAGTCTAACTCCATGTTTTATGTTTGACTGCTGACAGCTTTCAAATCCCAACAGTCCTTTCACCCTTCTGCCCCACACAGGGCCAAGCTGATAAGAAAGTCTATGAGCTCCCTTTTTTGGTGCCAACTTGAAGTTTAAACTACATAAAAGCCCTACTCTGTGAGCACACAAGCCCCTCATCTTAGTTCCACCCACTAACCACTATTAAAACCTATGGCTGTGGACCCTCTTTGCTCTCTGTCAAGACATTTTCAGATCCGCTTTGGAGGCGGACCTCCTTTCCCAGATAGCTCACAATATGAGTCATAAGAGTTTCATCACCTCTTGTTGTATGGGTGGCATCATCAATCTTGACATCTCAAATTTTAGGTGAGGGGCCCATCTTGCGTCTGTGGTGTATCAACAACAATCATTATTATCATTGTATGCCAATTAATCAGCAATGTTTTAAATACTTCTCTGGAATTCTTCTTTGTATTCAGATAAACTAAATCAACATAGTGGGGCAAACTATGTTTGTTGGTTTGTTTATTTATTTATTTTGAGGTGGAGTCTTGCTCTGTTATTTTGAGGTTGGAGTGCAGTGGCATGGTCTTGGCTCACTCAACCTCCTCCTCCCAGGTTCAACCAATTCTCCTCCCTCAGCCTCCAGAGTAGTTGGGACAACTGGCGTGCACCACTATGCCCGGCTAATTTGTGTATTTTTGAGAGACAGGGTTTCACCATGCTGGCCAGACTGGTCTCAAACTCCTGACCTAAAGTGATCTTCCTGCCTCGGCCTCCCAGAGTGCTGGGATTGCAGGCATGAGCCACCGGACCCGGGCATATTGTTCTTTTAAATTGGTGTTCTGTGTAAAAGTCAGAAATTCTGGGTTATCAGTCCTAAAGTCCATTACCCTCAATTAGTCTGAATGTGCCTACCATCTTTCTGAATCTTGTATGAGGAAGATTTAAAGAAATCAAACCACTAAATTATCTTTTATTACTCCTTTTCCCATGTATAATTTGCTAAGTAGTAGTTTTGGAGTTTTTAACCAATATTTCTGAAAATATCTCATTTTGCTTGCTTCTTTTCATCCATTCCTACATGTTTAGTTTGCATTTGTAACTTATATTAATGTTACAATTCAGGCTAAAAGGTGTAATGTGTTCCAAATCCACTGGCTAGGTGGATGCATTTTTCCCTGCTCAAAAAGAATGTGGTAATTTTTGTTTCTTTATTTGTTTAAGTATACAACTCTCAAGGCTGAGGTTGAAATTTGGCTTTGTTTACAAGTAACATGAAGTGGTGTGTAGACTCAGACTAGAACTTAATGGATGTTTTTCAAATCATAAAACTACTCTGCAGTTTGGCACAATTTAGAATGACTGGCAGGCTCCCCTTAGCAGAGGCCAAAGAATGAAATACCAGGGGTGTTGCAGGTCAGTGCACTGGCAGGGGTGTATGGGAAAGCTTGCCTGGCTTTAGCTCCTGCAATTACTCACTCAAGTTCATGCACGATAAAATTGAATCAAGTAAAAAAAGAAACCATTAAACATTGATACGCACTACACATTGACCCAAGGATGAAAAAGAGACTATTTTCCATATGCTTCCTTTATTTATCTGCTTTATGGCATAAAACAGGACTTAATTATACTATTTTATTCCCATAGATAGTGCCCTGTAAGAGTTGGAAAATGTATTCATTCTTTAAATGCTGATATAAGAAAAGAAGGATTGTAACATCAATCTAAGCTGCCTTGATTAAAGATATAATGAGAGAACAGGACAACCAAAAGGAAAGATGTCAGTTCCTGTCATTTCCACAGAAAAACATATCCAATTGACGGAACTTATTTTTTAAGTGTTATAAATTTCCAGTTCTATACAGTCACCAGGACCTTTATGTACATTATTTCATTTAATCATAAAAGGATTATATGTTCCAAATTCTTAAGGCAAATGCATTTTCAATTGTCTGTTGATTATTAAAGAGTAAAAAATCATAAGTTTATGCAGTGAGTGTATTTTCCGATTCTTATCTCCTTATATATATTTATATAATACACAAATAAAAATAATTGTGTCAATAAAGAAAAAGTTAGTTACCATTATTACATATTAAATAAATATATGTTTGTTATTCTTTATATTTATTTTTTGTCTTGACAACTACAATTTTAAATAAACATATCACCACAGGTTTTTAAAAAGGCACTAACATGTTTAATACTTTAATCAGACAATTCTATGGAAATTTAACTTCTATAAAAGGTAATATAAAGATACATTTATAATATGTAGCCTATTGCATGCAACTGAAGACCCCTCCAAAATGGGTTAAATATATTTAATAACAAATGAGATTTTTACCAATAAAAGTGTAAGACAGTTGACAACTTTCATCAATTATTTGATTGTGTATTTTCCCCTGGCAGATAAAACTGAAGTTCCATTAATTGGCATAATTATTATGTTGTTAAGGTATTTGTACCCTAACAGGTCATAACCCCATTTATAAACATAGTAATTAATAAATTAATGCACGTGGCCAATTATTTCTCAAGGTGAGAAATAAAGTCTTAAAATATAGACTTTTGTAATTCCTTCTTATCTTGAAAGACTAATAAAAGACTTCAGATATAATAAATTTAATCAAAATCTACTTGCAGTTATAATGACAAATTTTACTTAATAAACACAGCTGCTTTGTACTAAGAATAGCCTCCTCCTGTCAATCTCTGGTAATTCTGCATCAGCTCATACTGTATTACAAAACAGCATGAATTTTTTATAAGTTCACTGAAAGGGTTTGAAAGATGGTATTCTACTTACTATCCACTTGTTGCTTGGCTTTAAATTGCTATGTAAGGATTTAAAGAAAAGTACAAAACATAAATCTTAAATATTTTATTTAAATCAGGTACTCTATATTAGAACTTGGTCATTCTCAACCATGACCTCTAATACCTTACATAGTTATAAATACATTTTGTTGAATTTTAAAAACATGCTCATATCTGATAAAATTACTTAAATACCTAGTGATGTTGTCTTATTAGAATTAATTAATTGTTATTATTTCACCTTATAAACATTTCTTATTTATTTTTCTCTCAGAGTTATAATAGTTGTTGATCACTTACCTTTATATTGGTAACACATATATTCACAGTGAAATATTGTAGCTGGAAATATTTACTATAGATTTTCTTCCTTTTTTTAATTAACTAATTTATTTATTTTTTTGAGACAGAGTTTCACTCTTGTTGCCCAGGCTGGAGTGCAATGGTGTGATCTTGGCTCACCACAACCTCCGCCTCCTGGGTTCAAGCAATTCTCCTGCCTCAGTCTCCTGAGTAGCTGGGATTACAGACATGCACTACCACGCCAGGCTAATTTTGTATTTTTATTTTATTTGTTTATTTATTTGTATTTAATTTTAGTAGAGATGGGGTGTCTCCATGTTGGTCGCACTGGTCTTGAACTCCCAACCTCAGGTGATGCACCTTCCTTGGTCTCCCAAAGTGCTGGGATTACAGGCGTAATCTACCTCAACAGGACAATTTTGTATTTTTAGTAGAGATGGGGCTTATCCACGTTGGTCGCACTGGTCCTGAACTCCCGACCTCAGGTGATCCACCCTCCTTGGCCTCCCAAAGTGCTGGGATTACAGGTGCAAGCCACCACGCCCGGCCACTAGCTTTTCATTTTTAACTAACATGATAAAGGGGAAGGCATAAAGCTAAGTTTGTCTAACTCTACATTTAAGCTAAAAATTTGTCTAAAGCAATTTATGAAATATTATATAATTTACTTATATAATTTGATTTCGGAGACACCTTTATAACAATCTAATTAAAATACCAAATTCTGACTGCTAAGAGTTCTTTGCAGAGCTGAAAAATTTACTCATAGAATTTGTGTGTGAGTAAAATATAAAATTCTGGTTTCCTTAACTCTACCAGTTTGAAGAGTTTAATATATATATATACACACACACACACACACACACACACAAACACACACACACGTACACACACACACATATACATATATGTAAATATATGTTTATGACCACAGATGTGTTCCTGATCTATCAGCATTATTGGAAAATAACATTATGTTGTCTTAAGGCATCGTGCTTAAGCACAAGATGGGCTAGTTCCTTTGAAGTTGGACATTTGAACTATAGTAAACTCTAAGCTTTTGCAACATAACTTGCCAAGGGATAGAGATGGTTGGCTCTGGTGCCAAGAGCTATTAATACATCGCAGTCAACAACCTTTCACTGTTTGCATAAATAATAGTAGTATATAACCACAATGCAACATCTTAACAGAAACATAAAATACAGATAGGGTTTGAACCATATCTCAGAGGTATATCCAAGTGCTAAGATGTCGGGGAATCTGCTTGTGATAGAAAAGATCCAATGTGGAGCCTGATTGAAGGTAGAGGAGGGCAGCAATAATATAGAAAAGTTCCACCCAATGAATGCATGTCTCAAGATCTGACCACTATTTCAACATTTTTCACACCACTCCTTTAAGGTACTATATCATCATAGTCTTAATAACTTTGAAAAACAAATAGAACTATAGTTTATAAGGAACAATAATTGTCCTTCCCTACTTTATAAGTAGGCTCTTTCTACATATTTATATACTTCCACATATAAGGTTTCTGAGATAAACATATCTTTATATATCATAAATATATCTTTAAAATTATGTATGGTGTCCCTAGAAATAAAGTGCTAAGGATAAATCTGTCACAGGGACAAAGTTTCATAAGATAGTCTAAAATATGTTATTTTGAAAGAGGTTTATATAAATGAGAAGACAAAAATGTACCATTTTAACAGAAACAAAAGTGATACAACAGCTTATCGGCATACTACTATAATAGAATGTCTTTTCATTGTTGCTTTTTTCTTAATTCTTTTCATTGTTGCTTTTTTCTTTAACAGTGTACTTAAAAACACATTTTAAATGATAATGTGACTTAAATGTCTCTCAATAATGGGATAAAGCAATTTTTCTTCAGTGATCTATCCTAGATCTGAAGAAAAGAGAATTATCACCCATCATTTGCTAACCAGCAACCAGTATTTAAGGCTCTAGGACTATAAGCACTCTACACTTTGGAAAGCTCGTCAGGTCAGACAATCATTTTAAAGATTTTTGAGTATCAAATGTGTAATCTGACAACATCCTCTTTTTGAAAAGTAGGTTTTCTTCCTACTGAACAAATGCAGCTTGAAAATAGGAATAGCCAAAGTCTTGAGTATATTTCACTTTAATGCTTATCAGCAAAATGACTAATGGTCCTACATTTCAATGACAAAATAATTTTGGACATTACTACATAAAAATAGGGAAATGTTCCTCAAATATATAATAAAATTTCAGAACTCAAATTCTGTCCCGTACTTACCTAGAAAAACAAGCACATAAATAAAATGTAATTTTTTTCTGGTTCAGGAAATGGTCGCATCTCTCTTTTCTTTAACTTTTATAAGTTTAAGTTTTAGATATGTAAAAGGGAGAAATGTCAATAAACCGAACTGCATTAGAGACGTATTTTACTGTTCCACTTTAAATATGGAAAGACTTCTAAGACAACTGGGCAGAGCAAACTCCCACAAGGGTGTGGTTTCTATGGAGCCCCTCTTTCATACAAGGCCTACATATGGCACCTGTTCAGAAGCTGCATATCAGAGATGTCTTTAGGACTTTACTCAAAAGGTACTGATGGAAGATGCAAAGTGGGGAGAGAGAATTCTTTCCCTTCCCTGCATGCCTGGAGGTATTCATAGCCTACCATGAAGATGAAAATTGTGTGGCTGTATTGTTAGATATATAGTTTTCAAGCATGAGGGGTCATTTCTTTCAGATATTTTAGCATGCTTTTGAAAAGGGCTATTTACACTATACACACAGGCCTTAATACAATCTGGTTTATGGCTAATTAGTTCAACTGGTTGTAGCACAGAGATTATAAATGTAAAGTTTATTTTAATCCCTTGTTTATTTATTGATTGATTTTGTATTTATTTTGATCCAGGTAATATTGTCCTTCCATTCAAAGCATACCATGTTTAATTGAGCAACTACTCAAAAATAAGTTATGCATATAGACCAAGAGAAACTTGCACAAATTAGTGTAAAGAAATAACTGAATGTAGAAGTATAAATAAAGGAAAAACAGTTCTGTTGAGGAGCCGTCTCTTTCAGAAGTTTTCTCTGGAAGAACCCCAAGCTGAGCAAAGTTCTTTCTTATTGCTAGACAATAGAATTCTTGGCATTTCTTTCTTTACTTCCTCTCTTGTATTTATTTTTATATGTGAGTTTTCCTAAATTTGTACTATTATTCCATGGAACACAAGGCACAGCAGAAGCTCTTTGAATATGGATTCCCTGATCAAATTAGGCTGGCATATTATAATAGAGTCTCATCTTCAGGAATGAATGCATCTTAGCACATTCGACTATATAAGAAGTAGTGCAAACAAAGTAACATTTTTTTTAAAACCCTGAATATTTTCAGCAACTCTTATTCAGGAAAGGGACACAACTATCATTAGCTTTATCCTACCAGTAATTATAAATATCCCTTGGGACCAACATTACTCTATTAGTGAGGGATAGTATTGGCCTGTGAGTAAATGAAAACACAAACAGACCCATAAACAAATTACATGTGCATGTATTTATTTTTTTTTCTATGTAACAAAAATTCTGGAAAGTAGCTGTTCTTAGTTTGAGGTTAGTGGCTCATGTGTATATTAAAGCCTTGATATGTGATATTATCTTAACATTTTCCTCATGTCTCCATGAAGGAACCAGTAGTTCTAGCTATCAAATCCATTTTCTATGCAAAAGAGAGAAGAAAATGAGAAAGAAGAAAGGTAATTTTCTGAAAAGCCTCAGCAAACTTTAGTTTATTGCTCATTGGTTGCAGCAAAGTCACAGAGAAATCTTTACTGCAAAGAAGTAGGGGAATTTTTTTTTTTAATTTTACATATTTTCACCTAGGAAAATATCAGGGTCTATTAGTTAAAAGTGAGGAAAGAACAAATATTGTATAAACAATTGGTACTAATTGACACAATTTCCTGGGTCAAAATATGGAAAGCATTATATGCCTTTCTAGGAGAGGATCCATTTTTATTGAATGTTGCATCCTTATCAATGAAGCATAATAGATAGTCAATTAGTAATATTAATGTGAGCCCTATAGAAAGGGTTCTAGCAACATATAAAAGTATAGTTTGCAAGAGGTACATATGAATAACAATGTTTGCATTGTACAAAAACTTCAACGGCCAGATAGATGGATACATAGCAAAATAGGGAAAAATAGAAAATTCCCCATTACAACCCTAACTAGTATATTAAGGATATTAGCCATAGTTCTTGAAGCAAAATTTGACCAAGTTTGACCAGCACTGTACAGGTAAGAGTTTTTTAATCGTGTGAGGGACCACTAAAGCTGTTAATGGAGGCAGGTCATCTGCTGTAGGGTTCATTAAGCCTCACCAAGACTCCAATATAATAGTCCTACAGGTCATATGACGCTTTTTCTCTAAGTGTAGGCTAACAAATAAACTTTCTTATTTCAAGTCAACCTATAACATACCTCAATATCAACAGAAGAATTGGGGCAGGGTGGGGATGACAGAGAGCAACACATTTCTGCTAGTAGAAAAAGTTTCTCATTTACAATTTCACAAATTGTTCTCATTTTACAATTTTACAAATTATTCTAAGGTTTTATTGATTTATAGAATGTAGTTTGATTAATGGTTCTTACCAAGGGTTTTTTTTTTCTTTTAAGTCACTGCCAGATTTGGTGCTAAGTCTGTTTCCAGAACTGCAAAACTTTAGCACCAAAACTTGACCTCCAGTAGATACACAAAGATGTTACCATGCTCTAGAGTCTGTGAAAAACATTAGTCTTTTGATACCTTCTCAGATGTGAAAGCATTGTCTAATAAACATGTGTTTAGAGCAACTTTGACCTGTGAGATTAAAAAAATCTCATTCCCCTCTTCCCTGACACCTACCTTACACATAAGAAACACATATATGAATAATATATTTATAGTATATGCTTCATTCTAGTGTCTTTTTCTATATAAGTAGTATTGTGTACCATCAAGACATTCATCACATAACTGTAGACATAACAAACATATACATATATGTTATATATATATATATAAGTGTACA
The DNA here is from genome assembly GCF_000001405.40 of Homo sapiens. Lineage (NCBI taxonomy): Eukaryota > Metazoa > Chordata > Mammalia > Primates > Hominidae > Homo > Homo sapiens. The sequence continues at coordinate 10,547,724 of NC_000009.12, forward strand.
TATAGCAACACTTGGTGAATTTAAAAATATAGAAGAGGTGGAAGATGCTAAGCAATGGAGGAAGTAACAATGACAGATTGCTGTATTTTTAAAGATGAATACTGTTATTTTATCTTCCATCTCTTGGTGCTATATGAGGAATAACATGATATTTGGTTGGGATCGTGTTTTAATAGAGATGTAGTTGCATGGTAATTTCAGTAATGGATTTCTCTAAGTTTGTAATCAATCATGAGCTAAAGACATGTTTACAAACATGATAATTCAGATTAATCTGATGGGCTATTGAGAGAGAGAAAAGACAGAGCTCTAGCAGTTGCTGTGGGTGGAAAACATTTTATGAGCCTCTCACAGCTCTGAGACAGTGAACCTCCGCTTTTTAAAAAGCTTAAAAAAAGAGGTAAACAAAATTTAAATTAGAATACTTAACCATATTTAAAGTTGGGCAAAAGTCTGGGAAGTGACAGAAACTCATATATTAATTGACTCAAGATTAGAACATATGCGGAATGAGCTTTCCTTTTAAATGTAAGTAATCTTTTACTCTCTATATATAAGTTGTTGCTTTTTCTCCTCCTAAGAATAAGGAGAACTTGGCTATCAATCATACACAGAAGGAGATACTCTCTGCCACCCAGCTATTAAATGAAGAAATGTACATTTTCTACTTCATATATCAGGCCTACTGATATATTTTCATCTATGGCATCAATCACTATAGGAGCTTAAGTACTTGAAAATGGGAACCCAAGGGGCTCAGCCACCACCAATGAGGGCTCAGCTGTTCTGTGAAAGCCTGGAAAAGTGAAACATCTGAAAGACCTAAAAATACAGCTTAGAGTCTCAGCGTAAGCACTGACCATGTGGTGTCCCTGGCTCCTGGAATCACACAGAGGATTTGAATAACTTGTGCAAATTCTAAAGACAAAGAAAAAAGTGGTAGCACTGAGTTTCTCACTAGTGATTTCCAGAATGTGAAGGAAACCAGGCATCCTTTGCCACTAGATTAACTTTGAGCAACATCTTAGAATGCTGGGAGATGTGTGCACTCCAGGAGAACTGCCAATGTCACAGACAAAAGGTTTCAGCATAATTATAAAGTCTCCATGGGGGAAAGAAGCACAGTATCTCACTGGAGAAATGGAAATGATCTTTAGGACACTGTTAATGTGCATAAAATTCTGGATAGCAACCAACTGTGAACACATAACCATTAAATCGCAAAGGAAAATAAGAGAAAAAAATTGCATGTGTCTGCTTTGAACATTTTCCACAAGCAACTTCATGTATGAGACAATTATGGCAAGTTTAAATTTTGTGGTTTTGTTCAATTCAAAAGGAAAGCTATTATATTAATTACATCAACTTATAGACACTTTGTCTTATCAATATATGTCCTGCGTAATACTCAGGATTATAGAATAATTGTTCTGTGTAGCATATAAAAACTGTCTCCTGGTATTCCTAATTCTTAACCATGTATTATTAACTAATGTAAGTACTGCTTTTAAAAGTAGTTGAACATAATGCAATGTTGTGTCAAATAACCCTGTTAGACTTCTACATCCAAACCGAACAGCCCTCTAATCACCAGTGAGAATCTAGAGTTTCAGGAGTTGATTCCGATGAAGGATTAGCTTTTAACTAAAGGAAAAAAGGAAAGGGGAAAGTTGGGAAAATAGAAAAAAAATTGTCTATCATTTAGTCTAAATTAATCCCCTTCTCCCCCATCCTTGCAAGACAAAGTGGCTATGCTACAGGATGAAGGTAGCAGGACTCATTCCAGCAGAGATTAGGTGCAACTTGGAGTATGTACGTAGCAATATAAGAGTCAGGCTGAGAACTACAGAGAGAACTTGACACAGATCATTATGTTTAGACCCCTGAGGGCCATGTCCCTATCCGTCAGTGTATATCCACTCCAGAAGATTATCTCCCTTCCTTAAGGAGATTCTAGTCTGAGAGTATAAATCCTTAGCTCTAGGAAAAGCCATGTGTACTTCTATGTTGTTTGTCTTCTTCATAAAAACTATCTGATAATTCTTGGGAGTATTCCACTGTACTTCCAGAGAAGAGACCAGGTTTTAAAAAGATTTTTTTTTAATTTAGATTAAAAGGTAATGAAAAAATAATGGTTCACAGAACAATTCCCTCCTCCCAACCAATGTGTCTTCTATCATTCCTCAAAATTGTTACCCCAACTTTATTGTGTTACCCATCCTCATCTTTCCTTTAAGCATAGTGCCTTGAACGTTTCCAAGTATTTCACCCCTCTGGCAGGATTGATGAGGATGGATAGGTTGGATCCCATCAGTGACATTTTCAGAACAATGAAATCTAAGTGCATCACAGATGAAAGAAGAGAAAAGTGACTTAAGGGACTGTCTGATTACAAATGCAAATGCAAAGCTGCTCCTGACAATAACCCATTGCTAATCAATTTCCTATAACTTTCACTACAGTTTCCTATTCCAAACATTCTTCACTATCCACAAGTCCCCTTTGCTAAACTATTAACTGACAAAATAAATCAAGTACTTTCTTTTATACATATATAATTTTTTAAATTTAGATTCAGAGGATACATGTACAGGTTTGCTACATGGGTATTTTGCGTGATGCTGAGGTGTAATTTGGATTTCCTTTAAGCAGAGTCTGACATGATGATTTGGGTGAAGTTAGTCTAGGATTTAATTCCAGGAAACAGAAGTGAGGGAGTAGGGAAGGATGAAAGACAATAAAGTGTGCTTCACTGAGCTGGTTGCTGATTTAGGCAAATGGAAATCAATCTTTTTGGAGACCCTCTGAGGAGTCCTGTAGAACCTACCTCAGAATTACCACACTGAAAGACAGGAAGGCTGGTAAAATTAGACTCATTTCACCCATTGGTTGAAAATGGTCCTTGGGTGCACACAAACCCAAAGGCACATACACTTTGGAGCTGAGAGAGTGTGTTTTAGAGAAAGCCTAAGGCAAAAAAGCAGAAATACCCCATGATATGTGCTTCAGGTGGGATGCTGGAAAGATGCAAAGAACTATCTATCTCAGCTTCAGCTCTTCTGAAATTGGTTGGGCAAAAGAAAGGTGCCACCAGTGGCCAGATATAAGCTTTTTCTCCACCTCTACCTCTCTTTCTAAATGTTATTCCACACATCATTACATATATTGGCATGGTTCCCATGGCCTTATTCACTTCGGTATTAACTTTCATTCTCCTATGGCTGTACACTGTACACACATTTCTAAACTTGCCCTTCATAACCAAAACCAGGTCTCCCTTAATAGCATGGAGACTTTGACACAACTCTGTCATTAAAATTACATATTAGGCTGAGTGCAGTGGCTCATGCCTGTAATCGCAGTCCTTTGAAAAGCCAAAGTGGGAGCATCACTTGAGGCCAGAAGTCCAAGACCAGCCTGGGCAACAGAGTGACACCCCCAACTCTGCAAAGAAACCTTAAAAAAAGTAGCCATGTATCATGTCACACACTTGTAGTCCCAGCTACTTGGAAGGCTGAGGCAGGAGGATCCCTCATGTCCAGAGGTTCCAGGTTACAGTGAGCTATGATTATGCCACTGCACTCCAGTTTGGACTACACAGGGAGACCTTGTCACCAAAAATAAAAAATAAAAATAAAAATTACATATTTACCACCGTGATTCATGTTCCTTGTGCTATGGTTTGAATGTCTATGTTCCTCAAAAATATATATGTTGAAATCGTGACCCTGAAGGTGACAGTATTAGGGAGTAGAGACTTTTAAGAGGTGATTATGAAGGTCCTGAAGAAGAAGGCCTCATGAATGGGAATTGTGCCTTTGTAAAACAGGCCCTAAAGAGCTGCCTTGCCCTCTCCACATGCATTAAGTCTATATCTATAAACCAGACATGGAATCTGCCAGTACCTTGATTTTGAAATTTCCTGGCTCTATTATAGAATTATAAGAAATAAACTTCTGTTGTTTACAAGTTACCCAGTCTATGGCATTTTGCTACAGTACCTTGAATGAACTAAGACAACTTGCTTCCCACTATTGCTTCCAGACCATTCATGTTGGGCTTTGGCAGGATCCAAGCTGAGAAAGTACCAGCATATGCCCAGAAAAAAAACTAGTGAAAAATGACTTTACATTATTCAGAATCCTGAGACTTGAAACATGCTGTCTTTCATTTCTACCATGTTTGGTTACTACTTCAAGTACTCCCTTTCTGCACATTCATCCACTCAGTCGAATTTTCTACTTTGCATGCATGTTTTCAACACCTAATGCCAAATCACTTCTCTATGGAGGTGCTTTGGAGTCTTCAAGCAAACATCTCTCCCACAAATTTTCAAAGGATTCATGTTATATCACTTGGCTCAAATGAATGATTGTCTCTTTTTATTAGTACAATTTTGCAGTCATTTCAAGAGGTTCATCCTCCTATTCACACTGTTAATGGAGTTTTGAGGTGGTGGTATCATTTTTTTGTAACTCCAAGTTAGTGTGTGCAGGCCATTCGACACTAATAGAACAGAAAACCAAGCTTTTTTATCTGTATTAAGAATTTAAGGTATCATCATTCCAGTCCAAAAGTTTCTAAATTCTCTAAATATGAATGAGCTATCACACCATGCTTTTGGATACCTATTGCTCCCCAAACTCTTAATTTTGCAATCACAGAGAATTTCTTGAGTGCTGAAACCTTAAACTCCATCATGCTCTTGACCCAAACTTATTATTTCACACTCTTCTCATTCTTCTGTCTTTTTTTTCTACATGATCATGTGTAACAGTGTCTTGACCCTTTTGTTAAGTTTTTCAGTTTTTCCTCCTATCTCCAGCCATCTTAGAATCCCATAATGCATCACATTTATATCCCTACCACTGTGGACGCTAGATCAACCAATTGCTCTTTCCTCTCTCCAACTTCCATTCTGTTGTCAAAAAATAACATATCTGAATGCAAGAGGAGCACTGCAGATTTATGGCAGGAGATTTCTATTTCCTTTCAGTCTTCTAGAGAAAAGAGAAAGAAGTGGCCATTCTGCTCTCCCATGGAAAGAAAAAAAAAACTCACATTGGATAAGCAACAGGATCTTCACATGGCAACAGCACAGGTTGAGGCATTCCTATCTTCTCTGTATGGAAAAAAGGAAACCTATTCTTGTCCTAAATTGGGTCCCATGACTCTCCCAATAGATACAATCCAGTTTCTGGAGATTCACGTTGCTTGATATAGTAGTCTTGATGATGGAGTTTATGATGACTATTTGTCCTAGGGTAGATTTATTTACAGTTCAAAGTGGGACACAAGAATTCAGCTGAGGCAGTCTGTGCCTCCAGTTGACCATTCCCTGAGCCCATCATAGTGATCACTAGCAACATCTCCATGCTGAGAATCACAGAAGCACATCTGGATTTGTTATATTCCTGTCCATCCAGCCTAAGGAGGAGAGAATGTAGTAGGATACAGCACAGTCCCCACCCAGGCAGAAAGCAAAGTAATAATTGCATGTGGAAGATCATTTATGAGCATATCTTAGATCCTAGCAGAAAATGAAAAACACCTAGAAGGCTGAAACTTTTGTGATTATGCTTGAGATGGGTCAAGTCATAGACTCATATGTTAACAATCTTTATTTTTTTTTTTTTTACTTAAAGATGTAATGGTTATACAGGAAAAAAATCCTACACATAAAATAGTTCACAAAAAATAATTAAAATTCTCATCCCTGAGTTGTATTCCAAAAAGAAACAGCTATAACTTGTTTGTTATGTATACCTCCAGAGATTTTTCCAAAATATGCAAGTATGTACATATTCTCTCCAAGGATAGACATTCACCTGTGTACTTTCTTTTTATAACACAAAATCATTTCATATGCAACTGAGTTTCATCTGGCTTTATTTACTTGTCAATATATTTTAGGACTCTTTCTAAAGTGGCATGTATAAATCAAACAAATCCAATTCATTTTAAGAACTGTGAATATATATGTATACACACATATATTCAAAGAGAGAGAGAAGGAGAAAGAACTATGCAGCTAGTTTTCTTATTAATAATGTTTATAGTGTTTTAAAATCTTCCAGTTACACAAATTAGTCAATGAATGTAATTAATATATGTTTTTACTCACTTGTACAGCTATATCTGTTAGATTTATACAGTTTAAATTACTGAGTTAAAGTATGCTAAAAATTTACATTTTGGTAAACTCAGTTTCTGGGAGACTGCTGTTTTTAATTTTTTCTACCAATATTGTTCTTTAATATCCCCTTTATTATATTTTCTTGGATAAGTAGTGTGGGAAACATGTTTGACCTGATTTCCATACAAGAACATCACAAAGTTACATTTCTTAATCTCTTAATCCCATGCAAATGTCCATCCCAAATCTACTGGATTAAGAGCTTTTAATGATGAGACCTTTTAGTGTATAACTCAACCCTTTCTGCATGCCGTTAAACTCTACTGTTCCTTGCCCTTAAATGGAAATATGTTTCCTCACTTAAATTGGCTCTTTTTCAGGATGTTACTTTTTCCCCAATGGATTTTACTTCTCTGGTGAAGTCATTCAATAATCTCATGGACCTTTAGCTTGTTCACCTGAACAAAATAGAAGCAGCAAACTATAAATAATTTCCAGGACCATTTCCAGGTGCAATCTTCTTAGCTCCATACTTTTTCATATCTGTGTGGCTTTAAAACATACTTAGAAACTTTCAGAGTAATTACTCTCTTCCCTTATTAATTTAAATATTCCAGCTCAATTTTTCTGATCATTGAATATTATCCACAGTTTTTTCTTTAACCCTCTAGTTTCATAACAGCATCAGGTATTTGAGAATTCCAATTTCCAGGATAATATATTATTTGACCTTTGCTATTAACATTTTTATACATCCCTAAAGATGATTAACAGGTTTATACATTTCTTTTTTTAATTTTTTTTGTTTTTGTTTTTTTCAAGATGGAGTCTCGCTTTGTCGCTCAGACTGGACTGCAGTGGCACCATCTTGGCTCCCTGCAAGCTCCGCCTCCCGGCTTCACGCCATTCTCCTGCCTCAGCCTCCCGAGTAGCTGGGACTACAGGCGCCCGCCACCACGCCCGGCTAATTTTTTGTATTTTTAGTAGACAGGGGGTTTCACTGTGTTAGCCAGGATGGTCTCGATCTCCTGACCTCGTGATCCGCCCACCTGGGCCTCCCAAAGTGCTGGGATTACAGGCGTGAGCCACCGCTCCAGGCTATACATTTCTAAAGATCATGATGTCTACCATTTAGATAAGAATGTGTTAGAGTAGTGATTAAATTGCCACCCATTTCCATTGCTCTAAATTATGAAATTGTTATAATTTATTTGACTGGTCCAGCTAGAGTCTTTGTAAAAGATCAGTTAAAAACAAACAACACACAAAAAACCTTTAAACTACTGTCAGAAAACCTTTCCACTGCAACCTAAAATATCTAAAAATGACCTGATTCCAAATCCTATATTATCCAATTTTTACATAGCTAAAACCAAGCCTTATATATTTGTCAAAGTAAGGAGTATGTTGTGGTGCTTCCAGAAGAAAATAAAAGACAAACTCATTAGTTACAGGTACAACAAATAAAATTCGCAAAACGTTTTATCATATACCTAAAAAATGGTTATCTTACTTCAAATTGTATCAATAGGAAGGAAGATATTACCTATTACACAATAGCAGTTAGTCTTCAGATGTGTTTCAAACTTAACTGGGGGTATTCCCTTGCAGTTCTGGGCTGAAATCCAAGCTATTAGGAGCACTTGGGTTTTTGCAGCCCTAGCATGCCTTTCCCCACCTCCAAAACTACATTCGATCAAACAAGATTAGGGTAAACCAGTCTCCTACAAAAGGCAAGAATACTCAACATTCTAATTACCGGCCTTGAAAATGTATTCCTTTTTGCACACAGACAAATCCTTTTTATTACATGAAAACAAATATGCCCTGAAATTTGGAATACTCAGATAATTTTAAAAATTGAAAAGAAGTTTTACAAACAAGTGCTAGAAAAAAACCACAAAACTCAATCATCAGAATAAACACTGCCAAACAAATAAGAAACTAGATTCCTCTAAGATTCTTTCAAGTAAAAGACATTGTAAATATTGAGTACTAAGAAAATATCAAATTAGTGAATAAAATAAAAAGGTCATGGTGGGGCAGAAGAATAAAGAGCGTGAAGAGAATAGAGAAAATACAGGGAAATGTATGCTAGTGAAGTAAAAATGAAATAGCATAGTTGATGAGAATACATATTAATTATAAACCTTCAGATTACAACAAATTTCAGTAACAAAATAGTTTTTAAAACATAAATACCTTTTGCAACTGTTTTTTATACTTCTGAGGCCTCATCCTAAAAAGTTATCTGAGACTGCAATCAGTATTTGCAACCAAAGATGTTTACTCAATAGTATTTTTGTAGTAAAAACAAACAAAAAATAGGACTGATCTAAATGTCAAACTTTAGAGAAATTACTAAGTAGATCATTTCCTATCAATATAATAGCTATACAAAATGTTAGGTAGAAATGTAAAATAATTCGAAATTTTACAATGTATGTGATCTTAATAGAGTGGTAAATATTTAGGAAAAAAAAACATGGAAGGAGATATGCTAAACCTGGTTACAAATGGGGGATATTATGAAAACAGTGTTTTTCCATGACACTATATCATTTTAGGTATATTTTATATTTTCTATAGGGCACATATATTACTAACATTCCTATTTAAAATGCAAGGAAAAACGTAGAAAATACTGAGAGTCACGTGGTGATACAACGTAATTAAAGAAAGGCCCTCAAAAGTTTAAAAGTCCTTAATAATTGTTACTTTTCCTGTTTTTAATCCCTAGGCTCAAATTTTGTTGACTTTAACAGAGCCCTGAAATCGCACCAATAAGTATTTTGTTGACAATTATTTTTACAAGATCTTGAGTTTTTAATGAACATCTAAAAACAGGAGGAACACATTTAACAACAGGTGTGGGCAGATAAATGGATTAAAATCTAAATATGAGATTAATTATATTTTAGAAATGTACTGCGGGAAGATGGATTGGTACAATACAGTAAAAATACTTCAACTAATTTTAAGCAACAGATAGTGATTTGCTATCCAATACAATCAAGAGTGAAAAAAATGCTAACTTGGTTAGAAACGTTGAAAAAATAATACAAAGAAAACGGGTAAGTACAAGTAATATATCAGTTAAATAGCAGACATCCTATGAAATTACGGATATACCAGGTGGACAACATTCCTGTATGGTTATATTACTTATGAAAAACAGGCTGAATTTACTTGTAATTCAGGTTTTCAAGCACATAATTGAAATTACACCATGGCTTTCATTACAAAGGACCATTTGATTAAAAGAAATGCAACCCAGTCAAATTAGTAGAAATAACAGAAGATTTATATTAAGGAAACAAAAAACATGGGATGGAAAGAATTTCATAGATATTGTAAAGTCATAAGCATCTGTTTTCTGCTTCTCTTTTTCTCTGTCTCTCATTTAAAAGGATGCCCCATCCTATGAAAGGATTTAAAAAAATAAAATGTCAACATAACACAGTATTGTCAAAAGATTAGCAGAGAGAGTGAATACCTGTCTCCAACGCAGCATTCTTTCTCTCTTTCTCCCTCTCTCCTCCCTCTCCCTAACCTTTCTCTTTCATTGTTATGTTTGATTTTGTTTTTGTTTTTTCCTTTTACTGGGCTGCACAACTCAGCAAAATGTAAACCTGCTTAAGTTAGATCCAGCTTTCCCATAACTTGTTATTCACAAAGTTTTCACTGCTGCTCTGCTATCACTGTCCCCAAATCTCCAAACCTGTACAGTTTCAGTGCTTCCAAAACTTTGAGTATATTTCTGTGTTCCTGGTTCAAATTTTCAAAAGAGAAATCTGATGGGCTCAGCTTAGATTAAATGTTTACCCCTGGACCAGTCTACTGCAGCAACATATGGAATTACCTTAGAAAAACGTAGGCAGCTGGGATAACTCCTCGGGAAGGGCTAAGGAGGTCATTTCCAAAGAGAAGGCATACAGTTTGCAGAAGAAGTGTTTCAGACTTCTCTACTACATAGCATATATATTTATGTCACGTTCTAAGAAGCATGTAAATGTTTTATAGCAAAATTATTATCATCAGGACTGTTTTAATGAGCCTGTGACCTGTGCAATTTGCACAGCATTCTGCACAGAGAAGAGCCCAACACATGTGCTCTGTTGGAATCTTGTTGAAATTCTTAATACTACTGGAACAAATGGCCCCTGCATTTTCATTTCATACTGGACTCATAATTTCTATGGTTGTATCTGACTACAGTCCTTGCTACTGAAATGCACAAATTCCTTAAACTGGACAAGGCTAATATGCTGAAAGAGTGCCCTTTTTGACTCCTTCAGACTTAGTGCCCCAAAGAACAGAAGATAAAAGTAGTCACTGACATTCTAAAACAGTAATTTAAGACTATGCTAATACACTCAATATATTGAAGTATCACCATTTATCTTAAATTGTATTAAAATCCAATCATCTTTGATATAGATCATTTTAGATGGGATATTAATTATAAGTAGATGATGGAGGAAAAAATAATAAAAGTTTCAGAGTCCTGGTAAAAGTAATTTGACTTTAAGATTCTTGATAATATTCCTGAATCCCTAGTGTTTAGCAAATCCACCAAGGAGATGTACCTTCATACACATTTCATCATGTTGTCTGAACCTTCTCTGACCCCTCTCCAACCTCTCCAGCTTGAGAACACAGTAGGTGCAGCTACTTAGCCATGTGGCCTTGGGCAAGCTACTTAACATTTCTCAGCCTAGTTAATTTATTACAGCATTTACCATGATGTTTTACAATTTATGTCACTTTTTGTCTACCTACCAGACTATTTGGTAGGTTCTTCCCAAAGGGGGGAGTTTCTTTTTTATTTTTGTATTGCAAGTGCTAAATACAGTGACCAGCACATAGTACAACCTTTACAAGTGTTTGAAGAATGGATGGATGAATGGATTCACTCAATGAGAATTTTGTAAGCATGTAAAAACAATATTCCCTAGTTTACTAAAAACCAAAACAAAGCATTTGTTTAAGGAAATAACCACCAGAAAAACAACACAGTCTTGGAATTGCAACTCTTTTCACACATCTTGTTAGGAATTATGTTTTAAAAGGTATGCATGTGAAAGGAAAAACTGATCACCTTTACCAGAATTACTGAAAATCCTATTTCTATATTATATATTTTGTTGGGGAGGTTTCCACATCCGGAGGCTTGGAGACAAGGTTAAGTAAGCATCAACTTCATGAGAGTAAAAACAAATGTAATATGAGTTAAATACAGGACTTAGAAAATAGAAAAACATGAAGACCTTAAATGCTTCCACTGAAGAGAAAGATTTCTTAAAAGTTTTAAGAATCCCATGAGGATCTGATGGAAAAACCTATCTTAAGGACATTTTATATGCATACAAATTATAGTATTAAGTTGCAGGGGTTATACAAGTCCTCTAAAATTTATTCATGCACATCCAAATGTATACAGACTTGCAATATTAATTTACTATGCTATCCATTAACCAAATGTGATTATTTAAATTTAACTAAAATTAAAATTTCAGTTCTTCCATCATCAGTCACATTCCAAATAATCAATGGCCACACAGTTCTATTTAAGTTACATTTTTAAAATTATTTTTTGTTTTAGAAATAATCTCTCATAGTCCCAACACTGCTGATACACACTAAGCTTTCTTTCTGAATCTAAAATAAAAATTGAAATTTAATAAGAAGTACAAATGAGATCTAATTAAACTAAAGAGCTTCTGCACAGCAAAAGAAGCTACCATCAGAGTGAACAGGCAACCCACAAAATGGGAGAAAATTTTCACAACCTACTCACCTGAAAAAGGGCTAATATCCAGAATCTACAATGAACTCAAACAAATTCAGAAGAAAAAAACAAACAACCCCATCAAAAAGTGGGCGAAGGACATGAACAGACACTTCTCAAAAGAAGACATTTATGCAGCCAAAAAACACATGAAAAAATGCTCACCATCACTGGCCATCAGAGAAATGCAAATCAAAACCACAATGAGATATCATCTCACACCAGTTAGAATGGCAATCATTAAAAAGTCAGGAAACAACAGGTGCTGGAGAGGATATGGAGAAATAGGAACACTTTTACACTGTTGGTGGGACCGTAAACTAGTTCAATCATTGTGGAAGTCAGTGTGGCGATTCTTCAGGGATCTAGAACTAGAAATACCATTTGACCCAGCCATCCATTACTGGGTATATACCCAAAGGACTATAAATCATGTTGCTATAAAAACACATGCACACGTATGTTTATCGCGGCACTATTCACAATAGCAAAGACATGGAACCAACCCAAATGTCCATCAATGATAGAATGGATTAAGAAAATGTGGCACATATACACCATGGAATACTATGCAGCCATAAAAAATGATGAGTTCATGTCCTTTGTAGGGACATGGATGAAATTGGAAATCATCATTCTCAGTAAACTATTGCAAGAACAAAAAAACAAACACCGCATATTCTCACTCAAAGGTGGGAATTGAACAATGATAACACATGGACACAGGAAGGGGAACATCACACTCTGGGGACAGTTGTGGGGTGGGGGGAGTGGGGAGGGATAGCACTGGGAGATATACCTAATGCTAGATGACGAGTTAGTGGGTGCAGCGCACCAGCATGGCACATGTATACATATGTAACTAACCTGCACATTGTGCACATGTACCCTAAAACTTAAAGTATAATAATAAAAACAATAAAAAAATAAACAAAAATTCAAATGAAGGTTGATGTCCAGTTTAATCAAATATGGAGTAAGAATAAGAGAATCTACACACATGCAAAACTCAAAGAAATATCATACATCCAATCCCCAGAATACAGTGCATAAAGTGCTGTACCAGTCGCAGTAAACCAAGAATAATTAAATGACATTTAAATGAAGTATGAACCAATTAAAATTACAAATTTAGTTCCTCTGTCACACTAACCATATTTCAAGTGTTCAATAGCAACAGGATGCTAGTGGCTACCATACTGTACAGCATAAATATAGAGCCTGTCCATCACTGTGGAAAGTTCTGCTGAACAAGACTGACACAGACCTCAGAGAGTGCTTAACCTAGAAGAAGTGTGATCTTGATGAATGTGGGTGAATTGGGTGGGGAGAAATTCTGTTCGGATAAAGTGTAAATATGAGTATTTCGTAGTGAGCCTAAAGTTGATTTTTTTCAATTCTTCCAAATACTAATTCCATGAATATATAAAATTGACTTCAATGCAAAAATGACAACCAACAGTAGCATTGTATTTTAGATGGTGTCTAGATTTTGGTTTTAAACAGACCCATGGTTGAAATCCATGTCTTCTGTTTTAAGCTGGGTGAAACTTTAGAGCAGGTTATTGACTTTTTCATTTGAAAAGTAGGAATAGTAGCACTTATCTGTCAGGGTCGTTTTATAAGATGGAAACAGAAGACCTGAAGCACTTATTTAACAAGTATATTTAAGATATGGTAGCAAATGTAAAGATACTTTTGACATGGAGTAGTCTCAGATTCCCTTTAGTATGTTTGATTGATTTTAATGATCAGTGTTGAATAATTTGTGTTATTTCTCCACTGCAACTTGATTATACTGAACGTGATTATATGCACTTATCATCTTTACACCCCTATTACCTAGAATACTGCATAGCACACATCAGTCTTTCAAAAAAAATTTGTTGAATGAATATGTGTTCAAGGCTACAGATTCAATAGAGACCAAATATAACCCAGGAATAAAACCCAGGACTCCCAAATCTGTGTGGTGATTCAGTTCAAAGTGCAATAGACAGAGAAGGAAAATGTCTTCATTTTCTATTTTGTGACATAATCTTTCTATCCTCAGAAGGTTTCACTTTTTGTTTTGTGACATAATCTTTCTGCACTCAATTTCCTTCTCTGTAAAATGAAGAACCGAGATTACATGATCCATCAGCACTTCAGCTGATTCTCTGACTCTTGGCTTTTAATATTAATATCTCCCCCACTTATACTATAGCATATCCCACAGGATATAGGATAATAAAATCCTCTGGCTTATAAATAAGTATGTATTTTATGTTTCAGAGGTCAATTAATGCCACAGAATGCCTTTAATTGTATTACTGCTCTTATTTATTTTTGTTTAAAGAAGGAATATTTAAGGCTACATTTGTAAGTAATGAAAGAAAGTATAATACTTGCAAAACATAAACTGATAACATTAATTGAGGAGTGAAACATATTCCATTATCTCTTTTGTATTTACTGCTCTATCTCATTATGAATCCTTTCATCCTATATGTGAGACATCCATATCCAAGAACCTGAAGATGATGGTCTGTCTTGAGATATAAATCACTCTGCCAAGTGTTCTTTTTACCTATGTACTATGACCACTTCTCTGAACTCAAATAGAAACATCTAGTGAGTATTCAGTTCTTCTTCAACGTAATGGAGGGTTTCTTATAATGTAATGAAATGTTCGTTAACTTTTTTTTTTTTTTGCTGCCTGTATGTTCAGTGTCTATAATCAGCACAATTAGAAGTAACAAAAGCTCTTTGAGAAAACTGTTCTGTATGTTTGTCTGTTTTGTTAAGGGAAGAGCAGCAATATAATAATAAAAGTTGAAAGTTACTGAAGCATTTTAGTTCATGCATCTATTTGAAATACAAATGATCCAAAACTTTAATAATAGAAACATCTTGAAATCCTGAATAATTATTTTATTATATTGATATCACATAAATATGAGTACATGAATGTACTTTCAGAAAGTTAATACGTCATTAAATTTATTTTCCATATATTTATAGAAAACTGTAATGTTAATTGTAATGTGCCATGCAAACAAGTATTATTTCACTGACTCAAATTTTCTACATGCATAGAATAGTCCAAATGACACAGCACAATGAGTCAGAAAGCCTGTACTGCAGTTCCATTTCTGAGCCACCTTTCAGTCATGTGACTATAAGCACATTGGAGACTTAGAGTCAAGATTTGCTCAGATACTTGATTTATATCATGCTTTGTAAAATGATTTGTAGAAAAAAAGCAAAAGCCATATATAGATACCCAGCCATGATTGTTGTAACTATATTTAAAGTATGTAGTTAATATATAAGATTCACATTTAAAAAAATTATAGAAATGATGAGACATTAAGGCCTAATAAGGAAGTGAGGCTACTACAGAGCCTAGACATAATCTGTGGGAATGCCTATCCTTCAAATATTCCCTAGGGCATGATATCTGTGTAATTCCCCACTTGTCATGGAAAATTGCTCTGAATACCAGAAACATGCTAGGACAAATACAGCATTCCTGACTGTCAGCAGTGGTTTTCCTGGGTTTGGTCACATGACTCAAATTGAGCCAATAAGAACTCTTCCTTATGATTTGTTAAAATCCAGCTGGCAGAAAGGAATCCTTTCCTTTTGAAGTTAAAGTTATGAAGGTGTAAGTTCTAATGTGCCATTCATCATGGATTCAGGTCAGGAAAATAGCCAGAAGGAAGAAATGAGAAAAAAAGAGACAGAAAACTATCCAGCCATATGTACACTTGTGACACAGGCACAGATGTGTACCCCAACAGTCCTAAGACTCAAATCATATTTCTCATTATTTGAGTATGGAAACCAGTGTTTCCCTCTTAATATTTTAGCTAATCCTACCTGACTTTCCAACTTTTATCATAAATATTACTAATGAATTAGTTACATTATTTAAAATATATTTATTTCAATGTAGAAATTCAATTTCAAAAATTATGCTTAAATACCCTGTCATTGAAACACTGTTGTTGTTGTTGTTTTGTTGTTATCATCGTTATTTTTTTTTATCTTTTAAATTTTGGAGGAGGTGTGCAGACTTTTGCTTTACGTGTCTAAATGGTTGTATAAATAAGATGTTTTGCTTTTGAACAAATTTTGATGTTGAGTAAAACAATTTTTGAAGTAACTGTATTATATCATATATAGAGTGACATAATTATTTATTTATTTATCTATTTATAAAATAGCATTGGTTTTGTGGTATGTTTAAAGAGACATGTCCTGTGTAAATAAGATCTATAAAATTATGTTTGATAGAAAAGACATACTCTACAGCCCACTTATTTTGAAACATCATCTGTGCCAGTTGTTTCCCCTACCTACATCCTCTTTTTTTCTCTCTCTCTTTTGAGAAAGGATCTTGCTCTGTTACACAGACTGGAGAGCACTGGTGCGATCATGGCTTACTGCAGCCTCTGGGGCTCAAGTAATCCTCCCACCTCAGCCTCCCGAGTGCTGGGACTACTCGGGAGTGTGCACCACCACACTAGGCTATTCTTTTTTTTTTTTTTTTTTTTTTTTGAGACATAGGGGTTTCCCTGTTCTGCCTAGGCTTGTCTGGAATTCCTGGGCTAAAGTGATCCTCCCACCTCAGCCTCCCAAATTGCTGGGATTACAGGCACGAGCTGCTGAGTCCAGCCTCATATCCGAATTTTAAAATAGACGAAACCGTTTTCCAGTGAACTATATTTTCCCTGATTTCTTCGTAACTGACTTCTTTTAAATTTTGGCAGTAGGAGGCACTGAAGGAACTAAGAAGGTTGATTAAAAGAAAAAAAAAAAAGAAATTTTCTGCTTCTGTTTCTAGCAGTATGATAGTTCCTGGAAGTGGCCATATTAGCTGGGCTAAAGTGATTCTTTCCAAGGGCAGATAGCCTAAGAAGAGCTATATCCTTTAGAGCATTTCTAGCCTCAATGGAGGCAACATCCCTGTTGAATCCATGGCTAACTGCAAGACTAATAGCACAAAATTGGGTGCAGACTCAGGGGCTCACCAATATTACTTTTGATTCCCAAATTCACTCTTATCTACCTTTTGCTGTTCTAGCCTTTCAAACTCTTATGACTAATTTACTGTATTAACTACCTGCCCCTTCTCATTTGAAACACCTAGAATAGTTTTCCTTTTAATGAATAGACCATAATGAATACTTACACAGCATTCTTTTTCATTTTATTTTTGGATATAGTCCTGAGAAAGTTTTACATGCTATTCAGTTAATTAATAACCTGTCTAACTTCATCTTCTCTCTTTCATAAATAACCAGTTGACTATATTAGGGCATGAAGTCCAACAATGATGGCTTGGCTAAATTTGAAACTTTCTAGGCCTCTAATTTTCTAATCAATTACATGAAGGAATTCCTAATGTAGCATATTTTTTATAAGCCATGTATTGCTCATCATTTGCCTACAGACACTGTGATATACATAATAAATTTGATTTCTCAAAGATTACACTTAAAATATACAGGAATATATATATATAAATGTAGGCACGTATTTCTATTTAAAGACATATTTCACCAAAAGACCCTATCATCTGCCAAATCATTCAAACAGAAACTTAAAATTATTCATAAATTAGATTATGAAAATAAAATTTTAAGTAATCTCCCTCATGCTCAACTTCATCATTTTAATGCTCTTTTTCTACTGTATAAATATTCCTTGGTGGTTCATAATTGCCTTTAAGATTTATCTGTATAATTGAACAATTATTTTTGTAGCAAAAATTATGGACCAAGCATAATGTATTAAGAATGCTGAATTAGACACAATCTTGACTTTATACAGTTTATGATCTGGTAAAGGAAATTGACTTTCAGAAAAACAGCCCAACAAATAATTTAGGAGATTGTGTTTATAGTAAGTACTGCAAAATTTTAAAATGCTGTTACGGAACTGTATAAATTTTTAAACACACACAAACACACCCCTTTGGATAATGTATAACAACATCAGCAGTAACCAGGCTTCCTTTCTTACCAATCCCTAACTTATACCCAGTATAGCAACCTAGCTTACTATAGCCCTAAGTTTTCTCAGACGTCATCTTACTCTTTTACTTATCTGAGCCTTTGCAAATTCCATTTCTTAACTCTGGCACACATTTACTTCATCACTTTTTCCTTGTTAATATACAGAAAAATACAATACATATACATGCACACACCCACACACACACAGTATGTATAATACATATAAATGTTCAAGCCCCTCCTTTTTCTCTAAGGTTAACCACTAATTTGACTTTTACTTCATCATTCTTCTGCTTTTCTTCATAATTTTGCTTCCTATTTACATCCTTAACATTATGGTATAAGGTTGTCTATTTTTGAGTTTTATGTTAATGGAAACATACTACATGTATTGTCTTTCATGTCTTTTATTCAATATCATGTAGAATTCATCAATTTTGTTGGGAGTCACGGTAATTTGATAAATTTCTTTGCTCAGGTACTCATCACATTAATTTGTCACTATTTAACAATTCAACCTTTGTGAGCACTTGTGCCTTTCCAGGTTTTTAAGATGATGAACAATGCTTCTGTATATATTCATATATGTATATTTTTTGGTGTCTATTTAAAAGTTTTTAAATTTCTATCTAGAATTTGCTGGATTGTAGGGTGTGTATATTGTCAGCTTTTCTATAGAATGTCTTAGTATTTTACAAAAAGGATGTGCCAATTTACAACTGCAGTGTATGAAAATTCCCAATTGTTTTACAGTCTTAGTAATATTTAGTATTGTTAGACTTAAAAAATTTGCAACTAACCTGGAATGTAATTTTTAAAACTTAAGTAGATTTTCATATGATAACTGGTTATTTCGATTTCCTCTTTGTGAAATGCCTAAGGTGGTTGTTTTTCTGATTTGTAGGAGTTCTATGTTCTGTATATTAGTTAATTAGCTGTCTGTTACACATATTGGAAATATGTTTTCTCATTCAGTGTCTTTTCTTTTCACTCTCATTATGGTATTTTCTGGACAGAAGTTCTTAGTTTTAATGCAACTGAAGTCAGCTTCTTCTCCTTCATGGTTTGCGTTTTTTTGCGACTTAAGAAATTTTCCCTTACCTTGAGTCATGAAGATACTCTCATAGCATCTTCCAAGTTTTTAAGTAACTTCTTTAGGTATCTTCCAGGAACTGATTTGAATGTGGAATGAGTAGGGTTCAAAATCATTCTCTCCCTTATCCTCATAGGAATAGTCTGTTTATCCAGCACTATTAAAACATTTCTTTTCATTTTCACATGACTACCTCTCACTCAATATTTAGGATTCTGTTAAAATGTTTTATTTACTCTATAAATACTTCTGTGAAACTCCCTCTTTCCTTCCTGAGCAATCCCTATGGTACGTGACTCTCCACCCATGTGCTTACATAGTATGTTTGCTTTTCTCTCTCCTAGTATTTAGTAATTAGTGTTGTGAGAGCCTACATATTGTCTCTCTCAGTGAACTACCAGTGCCTTTAAGAACAGAGATACACTAAGTAATCTTTATATTTCATATACCTAGAACCATTTTTAGAATAAATGATATGACAATCCAGACTTCACTAAATCTTAATTTACTGTGGTCACAAAATGAAAATGAAATACTTCTTAATGTGTTTCAAGGAAAAAATCTATCACATATTCATAATAATACAAATTTCAATTTTTGAGACTATTATTAGGTAAATACTATAGCTTTTCTGCAAAAAATAATTAGAATATAAAACTTCTATTTCCTTAAGTGATAAGTTTTCAATTGTAATTTTATAGTATATTATCTGTAACCAGTTTCCAAAGAACACCACCATAATGTGACCTTATTTTGAAAGACAATCTGAAGCAGGTCAGGTTGTATTAGAGTGGGTGCTTATAGCCCTACCCTTTTGTTTTTCCTTGATATCCATGAGTTGGTCTCTAAAGTTATTTTAGAATCTGATAGTCAAATGGAATAAACTGTAAAAATCATGACTCTCTGTAACAGTAAATACAAACTTTTAAATACACATTGTTTTAAAAAAACCTTTGGTTTTTCTACTACCAAATAATTATTTGTCTCTGAATTTTTGTCTATATATATACATATATATTTAGTGTTCAGTATTTAACCTTCTAATTATGTATGTATATAGTTTAGAATTCAGGTGTCACCAGTTAAACCATTGCATTAATTTTCATTAAATTATTGGAAACAATCAATATGATTTTTGCATTTTTTTGTCTTAATAATATATCATTGTTTTATTTTTTATTTTTTTATTTTTTATTTTATTTATTTGTTATTTTTTAAAATTTTATTATTATTATCCTTTAAGTTTTAGGGTACACTTGCACAACGTGCAGGTTTGTTACATATGTATACATGTGCCATGTTGGTGTGCTGCACCCATTAACTCGTCATTTAGCATTAGGTATATCTCCTAATGCTACCCCTCCCCCCTCCCCCCAGCCCACAACAGTCCCCAGTGTGTGATGTTCCCCTTCCTGTGTCCATGTGTTCTCATTGTTCAATTCCCACCTATGAGTGAGAACATGCGGTGTTTGGTTTTTTGTCCTTGTGATAGTTTGCCAAGAATGATGGTTTCCAGCTTCATCCATGTCCCTGCAAAGGACACGAACTCATCATTTTTTATGGCTGCATAGTATTCCATGGTGTATATGTGCCACATTTTCTTAATCCAGTCTATCATTGTTGGACATTTGGGTTGGTTCCAAGTCTTTGCTATTGTGAATAGTGCCGCAATAAACATACGTGTGCATGTGTCTTCATAGCAGCATGATTTATAATCCTTTGGGTATATACCCAGTAATGGGATGGCTGGGTCAAATGGTATTTCTAGTTCTAGATCCCCGAGGAATCGCCCCACTGACTTCCACAATGGTTGAACTAGTTTACAGTCCCACCAACAGTGTAAAAGTGTTCCTATTTCTAATAATGCCACATATCTACAACTATCTGATTGTTGACAAACCTGACAAAAACAAGAAATGGGGAAAGGATTCCCTATTTAATAAATGGTGCTGGGAAAACTGGCTAGCCATATGTAGAAAGCTAAAACTGGATCCCTTCCTTACACTTTATACAAAAATTAATTCAAGACGGATTAAAGACTTAAACGTTAGACCTAAAACCATAAAATCCCCAGAAGAAAACCTAGGCAATACCATGCAGGACATACGCTTGGGCAAGGACTTCATGTCTAAAACACCAAAAGCAATGGCAACAAAAGCCAAAATTGACAAATGGGATCTAATTAAACTAAAGAGCTTCTGCACAGCAAAAGAAACTACCATCAGAGTGAACAGGCAACCTACAGAATGGGAGAAAATTTTTACAACCTACTCACCTGACAAAGGGCTAATATCCAGAATCTACCATGAACTCAAACAAATTTACAAGAAAAAAACAAAAACCCATCAAAAAATGGGCGAAGGATATGAACAGACACTTCTAAAAAGAAGACATTTATGCAGCCAAAAAACACATGAAAAAATGCTCATCATCACTGGCCATCAGAGAAATGCAAATCAAAACCACAGTGAGATACCATTTCACACCAGTTAGAATGGCGATGATTAAAAAGTCAGGTAACAACAGGTGCATTATTGTTTAGAGTAAGACTTTACTCTTATCTCCAGAAGGCTCACAGCCAAAGTAGTGCTCAATTTTAAAACCTACACCAGTATTCCCGGTTAACATATCTATTTCTTCTCCCTTTCATGACCTGGTTTTCTGAATTTTTAAATTATTATTTTAATAACTTATTGGAATACATTCTCTTTAATCTGAGTTACTAAAATTCATCCTGTATACTTGTGTATATGCATGTCTCTCTCTCTCTCTCTCTCTCTCTCTGTGTGTATATATATATACAGGCTTTTTACCTCCATTGAGTAGATACTATACAAATATATTGTAAATTAGGGTTGATAAATTATTAGGATTAATTTCATAGCTATGTAATTCATTATAACATTTTCTCTATAATCCACTTTTTCTTAATTTTCTGTTAGATTCAATCACACATATTTCTCCAAAGTGAGACAATTATTGAATTGCATTTTATTCAATCATGTGACCACAATTCAATAGGTAAATTATATTTTGGTGTGCTTTACCTCGAGTAAATTAAAATAATGCATATAACTAATGAGCTTGGTATATTTGTGGATGTAAAGAAAAATATTTTCCAAATAGTAAATACTGCAAAGTGACACAGTAGTTCTAGTGTTACTCATTAGATATACTCAATGTCTTGCTCTGAATGTGTTTTTTATGATATATAATATGTCTATAAAATAAGCCAACCTTAACCTATTACTTATATATACTAAACAGGTCATTTTCGTATAAAACTATGATCTTTGTCAAATGTATAAAGTGTAAAATTATTAACTTATATTCTTGGATTTTCTAAAAAATAAAAAAAAGAATCTTAAGGAGACTGTTCATGGGTCTCTCTCACCCATCTTTCTCCTTCACAAATCACTGGACTTTATGTAATCTGTTTTTGCATTTGTTATCCATACTCTCCATTTTGATAAATTAGAATATCCAAGGATATCCATCTTGTTTGACCATTCAAGTAATAATACATTATCAGACTAAACTCATTAAGAAGTCCAAAGGATATTACCACCTGGCTACTGCAAGAAAGTGGCCCAAAGGTCACAAATGATTATGGGGAGCTGAAATTGCCAAACAAGATTAGACATATCAGGAGTGTGTTCTCTCTCTCAATTCTAAAATAAGGCAACATAATTACTACAAAAAGATATTGAAAGGACAGATATTGATGAACACATATAGTATGAGCGGAAGAATAGAACAAACCTTATGTAAATTGGAATTCTGAAGAACTTAGATCAGGTTCTGGAAAAATGCACACACATACACACACACACACACATTCTCACACACAGTGGGATGGGAACCTTATTATTTTATTCCATGGCCTGGCCCAGCTTTCTCCAGCATTTTGCTAGTCAGGACCATCTACCCATTCAACTCCCTCCTTTGCCTGAAAATTTACAAATGCGATTTTCCCAAATCTAGGACATTTATATGGTTACACTACACTGGAGATTAAGGGTCACTCTGTCTTCAAGCCTGGAGCTCAGGCTTCAAGTGCTCTATTGGCTTACTATCTCCTATGTCGTCAGTATTACTGGAGGCACTCCCAGTTGCAAACAAGGTGAGTCTTCTTTTTTTTTTTTTGTACAGGGTTACTATTCTTTCCATATATGGCTCCTTTACTCCAGAGCATTTTAGGCGATAGAAATGAAGGCCTCAAACCCATAACAGTGTGCAGCAGAATATACCAGAAGGTCATGCTGCTGGTTTTTGTGGCATTTCCATTAATCTTCCTTACTATTTTATGCATATTTGCATTATAGTGAAGTATTTTTTAAAATATGAATGGCATTATATATGACATGCAGCATATTTTGTTTTTTTAAGAATATAAACTAGTTAAAATATATGAGGTTAATTATTGACTGCAGTTTTTAAATCTGATTTTTCTTATGTGAAAACACTATCAGATCATACTTGGGTTTCAGTAGATACGAAGAAAATTAATTTAGAAAAATTTACTTGACTTTGTTAAAGTTAATTAAAAACTGATACCACAGCCCTCTGACATTTACATTATACCTATCTTTAGTATACAAATATTTTCAGGACACTTTGGTATTTCTTTATGAGTAGAGGATAATACCTTTATTTCATGTGTTGTCATCAGATATCATAAATGCTGTGTTAAATTTTAATGGTTTCCATGATATAGTAAAGAAACTAGCTTTCGGAATGAGACAGGCCTTGATTTAAATCCAGGTTCCCTTACTTATTGGATGACAGACCTTGGAACTGTATTGTTTTCTGTGAACCTCAGTTCCCTCATCTGTAAAGTGGTCATGACCACCATCAAGGAATGTTACTATAAAACTGTGTATGTAAAATGCCAATATATAAAACAGTGGTCCCCAAACCGTTTTCAGCACCAGGGACCACTTTCATGGAAGACAGTTTTTCCGGGACTGGGGCAGGGGGATGGATTCCAGATGAAATTGTTCCACCTCAGATCATCAGGCACTAGATTCTCATAAGGAACAGGCGACCTAGATCTCTCACATGAGCAGTTCACAATAGGGTTCATGCTCCTGTGAGAATTGAATGCCGCTGCTGATCTGAAAGGAGGCGGAGCTCAGGCAGTAAGGCTTGCTCGCCCACTACTCACCTCCTGCTGAGAGGCCCCATTCCTAACAGGTCACAGAACAGACCAGTACCAGTCTGCTGCCCAGGGGTTGGGGACACCTGATATAAGAGGCTTTGAAATACTGTGCATGCTTCCTAATACATTACTCTATGTATTAGACATACAGACATAGAAACAGTGACAGGAAACATTGAACTCCATAAGGCCACGATTATTAGAAAATGAAACAAAGCCATATTTTCTCAATATGTATGACTAAGAACTCATGTACCTGCATAGTAAAGTATAGAATTTTTGGAAAATCATTAACTCTTCCAGGCTTAGGGGCTATATAGGGAAATACAATAAAATGAGTGTTTTAAAGCTGTGCAATCATTACAATGATAATCGGGCCAGTATATCTAGCTCTACTGTAGGACTCACAATTTATATTATCTAATAAGTGTCATTCCTGGAGGAAACAACCATTGTTTAAACAAAAAGTGCAGTATTGTTAAGTCATTGACCATCATTGTCTTCTGGACAAATCATCTCAATATCACACTTTGAAGAAAGTGATTTGACCAACTCTTTAAACTTGTTCCTATGAGGTAAAGTGGGACAAAGAATGATGTCCTCAAGACCAAAAACAGTGATGAAGGAAGCTAATTGCAAGTGAAATCCATAGCATAAAGCTGTCAGCATGTAGATGGGGGAGGAAGAGCTATTCTTACCAACTAAAAAAAGCAGTTGTCCATGCCTGTGATGTGTGTTTATAATTCAGAATAAGAAATAAATCTTAGGATTAATTTACATAGAATATTTATTCTATGTACTCAACTCTCCACTGAATCAAGTAAATGTATTGACTCCAGACATGAACATGCTAAATAGCTTTTACTAATAAACAACATCACTTTTGGTGGAAAACTGATGTCTCTCTAGAACCAGAATGAAACAGTGTCCATCCACAGAGCTCACTCCAATTTGCCCCGTTTCTTTTTTTTATTTTTTTAAACTTTTAAGTTTTTTTCAAGGTAGCTGCTGATGCTTTTGTTTTATAGCATGTGTGCAGAAAATTAACAGGATGCATCCATTCCAGATGAGGTACTGTATAGAAGAACCACTATTGGATTTCCAGATGGGAAAGTGATTGTTGAGTTGTCAACTGAAATTTGACAGGATCTGGGCAATTACCAACAGAATTAGCAGATACCTTACTTGTGAGTATACGAGTAGTCCCCAATACGTGATGCCTCCAACACCTCCCCCACAAAAATAGAACAAGATTCTCAACTCCTGAATTTAGAAATATGTGCTAATTTCACCAAAAGAATTAATCTTATTTTATATCTGTACATTTTGATGTTTTTTTACTTTATCAATAAAAAACACACACGAATGTTGAATGTTATTTAATCCCAATAAATCTATTCCTGTTTGCGCATGAATACAAGTTCCCAAATGCAAGTAACCCCAACTCAAAATCCTGAAGGTCGCAAATTTATTTCTGTATACACATCCAGTAATTATTCACATTTGAGTTCAGATATCCTCATAGTGCACACAGGTCCAGTCATTTTGTTAGGAACAAGAAACAGTATTTGTATGGAGGAAGGCAAGATGGCCAACTAGACATAGCCAGGAGGAAGTCTTTCACCAAGAGACCAGGGCTCAGGAAGACTGACACACTCCTAGCAAATTTTCAGGAGGAAGGCATTGAGAGCAGATGGAGAGAAGACACAGATGCTAGGCTGAAGGGGGAGGAAGCTGGGAATCCTGCACGGGGCTACAGCGCACCTGGACTCTTTCCTGGCCCCTAGTGAAAAGGAAATAGTATTTGTATCTCAAGTATTTTCTGGAAATAAGAAAAAATAATAAATAAGAAAATGAGGAAGTTGAAGGAGTAGGAAAGAGAAGAAAGGCAAATGTGAGAGAAGCGGAATTGTTTCTAGTAAAGACATGGAAGGTAAGAAAGATGAGTAAGTGAAGCAGACCACCATGGCACGTGTATACCTATGTAACAAAACTGCACATTCTGCACATGTACCTTAAAACTTAAAGTAGAATAAAATAAATAAATTAATAAACCCAGGACAGTGAAGCAGGATGGAAGTGGATAGGCATGGGTCATGTGGGGAGTTTGCCAAGGAAGAATTCCGAATGTTAAAATCAGTAACCTGAGGTATATAATCCAAATTCAAATAGAGATTTAGATATTGAAACAAATGAGGGACACTCATTCTATGTAAGACATCTATAACAAATACAATGATTTTGTAACTACCTCATTGAAGTTCACAGGAAGTAAGAGAAATGATAGATGTGTGTGTGTGTGTGCGTGCATGTGTGTGTATTGTTTTAAGTTTTCTGGGTCTATCTCTGCCCTCCAATCTTATTTTTTTAACTAACAGTTTCAAGTTTGTCATTACAGAGATTCTATCCAGGTTGTCAGGAAAGCATAAGAGGAACCGTTGAACTTCAAAATGCTAATCCATTCTCAGGAAATGAAGCAGCATAGTATATTGAAATAATTACTGTACTCTGAGGTAGTCGGTACAGGTATAATTCCAAATCTGTGACTATAGAGAAGTACACATCACCCCTGTCTTCAGGTTCTTATCAGTAAAAGGAAGATACAACTACAACTAGAGAGAAAGGAAAAAAAATATATCATTTCTAAGCTCTGGCTAAGATAGGGAAAGTTTATGATTCAAATACATTTGTGGGTTAATGTTCATTAAGATTTTGAATAGCTTACACAGGAAGTTTTCATAGCAAATTTGAGAAAATGAATCATTATATGATCTAAGAAAGTATGCTTCCATTTCTATATTAACTTATATCAAATTCACATTACATTAGATAAATTATAAATGGTTCAAATATATATGTGTGTGTGTATATATATACACACACATCAAATAGATATGTGTGTGCATATATATATATATATATATCTTAGATTCTCTTTCTTCCCCCCATTTAAAAATAATTACCTAAAGAAATTGCCTTTTCCCATTTGTCTACAAAAAAGAATTTAAGAAGACTTTCTAAAAGTATTTGAGAATAAATCTCACAGGAACTACAGAAAAGTGCAATGTGGAGTAAAAAAATCAACAAAGAAAAAAATCATCAGGAAAGATACAAAAACTACTTTTAATGTATGAGAAATATTTTTCACATCATGATGAGATTAGGCAGTATGACCAACATCCTTTAGATTACTGAAATCACTGGCTATTTTCACTTGAAAACATAAAATAATTTTCTTCCCAATTATTTGACACTGTAGACATCAACAAAAATAGGTAGGTCCTTTCAAAGATTAGTAATCATCATTATTAAGAATTTAAAGATGATCAAGATCAATTTCCCAATACTAATTACAATTAAACAAACAATCTTGAAGAATATGAAAGTTGGGAAAAATACTAATATTTACCATTCATTAAATAACTACAAAATTAAAAAAGAACATAAAAAAGTTCTTTCTCTAGGAAAAAATGATGTGTTCTACCTAGTCATTGCATTTTATGAGGGCCACAAATAGATTTTTTTAGTCATGATCTAAAGTAGAAAAGCAGTTGCAAAACACCAGTGTCTTTGTTTATGATCTAGAAATTAACTGTGCACATTCTCCTTGGTAATTAAGCAAAAAAAGTCTTCTTTTAAATCAGTCTTGTAAAGTATGGCTTTATTTTAGATTCAGGATGAGTAAAATGCATGACAGACAATTCCATGCCTGCTATACCTGCCTGCCAAGAAAAGAAAGTGGTCATTTATGGTGATTACAAACCTTATTAAGTGAACTCTCTAGGTCATATCTTCAAAAGAGACAGGTAGCATTGCTTGATGTATTTTCTTTTCTAGCTCCAGTCTCTCTCTCTCTGTCTCTCTTCCCCACATATTTTTTCTGTTCCTCTCCCCAACCCTTTCTCTCCCTAGGGGTTCCAACATCATTGCTACATTGCTCAGGAGATGAATCCATTTTCTTTCTGCTAATTCCTCTTCCTGGGAAGATGGAGAATCTCCTCATTGATTTTGACTGGGGAATTATTTTTTTTAAGAGTAGAACAGACTTCTGACCTTTCAAATGATCAGATTAGGATGGTTATTTTCACATTATTAAGTAATCAAGGAACATATGCATTAGAAAGAGTTTGGTTCACAGGCAGGCCTGTTGGAGTCTAAAAAAAATATTTTCTACTGACAATTAACCCAGATTCCATTTCTTCCCTTGCCTATGAATCACTTGGGAAGCTAAAATGCATTTTAACATTGCATTTTGCCTAAAGGCTATCAGTAAAATTTAATTTTCTTACTGCATTGATTTTTCCATCATAAGTTGTAACAGTCTAATGATATCTTATAAGAATTTTCAGTATTGAGGAAAAGGATGCAAATGATTTACCAATGATAACTGTCTGGGATATACTGTGACTTTGAGGGAAACTTTCTGTTGCTTTTTAATGGCTGATTGTTTAAAAATATGGTACATTTAAGAACTCTGAGAGAGTTTAATATGTTACCCCTCCTTAAAAATAGAATCTCAGTATTTAAAACCAATACATGATTTTTGGGCAAGAAATTCAGGGTCCACGTAAAAGGCTGACTGTTATTGCAAAAACATAATGTTGCACAGTGAAATAAGGTGACTGAAAGACATTAGAGCATGGCGGACTCACCTCTTAGACTAGGCTACATTTGATAAAGGTTGACTGATTTTCTTCCCTGCTAAACGATTGTCTCATCACTGAAGCTTCAGCAAAACTTAAAATAACCATGTTGAGAAAACATAAAAAATAGAACCAGTGTCACAGTAAAATCAACAGAGGATTCAATATGCCATATGTTCAATAGCTCCAAGGGAATATTTTAATTATTATTTCACTTTGTCTTAAACACAACAGTTGATTACAAATATAAAATAAACATTTGTGAACAAAAAATTAACCAAGTTAAATACATCATTGTTAACAAGGGTAGATGCCACCAAATGGAAAATGTCTTAATTGCCAACACTCACCCTTATATTTAATATGTTCATGTGGCCATGTCTCTAGTACTTATTTTCATGCAATTTTATTTCTACTTTTTTTTTTAACATTTAAAGGGCTTGAAATAGAAATGGAGAACATCTGTTTCAAAGAAATAAATTGTTCTTTAAAATGTCATCAAAATAATGTAGAAAGCCAATCCTTTTCCTATTTTTAAAGCTGTAATTTTTTTTTTAAACCACTATGCATACTGGGGTACTTTTATGGAAAGAAATAAAGAAAACTGCATGTCTTCATTGTTTAACAAGGATATCCATTTCCAAGTAAGTTAACTGATATACCCATGCCAAATGAACATTCAAAATGTTTAGTTTCATTTTATAAACTAATGTGTCTTTTCTTTAGTCAGTGGAACCAGAAGACATTTATAATTACCAACTAATTATGATCCATTCACTAATGTCTGTCATCACTGCTGAGCTATTGATCATTCATATTGAATGGTAAGTCAAATTACAGATTGAAGGCAAATTTCTGAGACTGTGATGTTAATAATCAGCTTTGGCTTTTAAAACCTCCAACTGATATTGACTGGATCATGTCTTACCTTGTATTTATCACTCTGTTCTCCTGTTGAGCCTCCAAAAGAATTAAGCCCTACCAACATCTTTCTTTTCACCCAGTGGGCCTCAGTTTGGACTTACAAACTCAAGAAAAATGAAATAATGAATTTTAATTGTTTTATGCAACTGTCTGTAGCAATTTGTTACAGCAGCAGTAGGAAACTAACACACTGATAAAATATGATTTACCAGACTAAATGGTTAAGCACTTACCTATAAATTAAAAATCAACATAGAACTTAAGATATTTTATTGATTAAAACAAGCAAACTTACACACATAAAACACATATCACTAAAATATTTTTGAAGGCCTTCAAATTACAAAAAGCAATTTACATTATAGTAATAGTTCATGTTTATAGTACAGGAACAAGAATGAGTTAAACTAAATATTCCAAATCAGTACAAGTTATTTCCTTTTTTTTTTTTTTTTGAGACAGAGTCTCACTGTCACCCAGGCTGGAGTGCAATGGCGTGATCTCGGCTCACTGCAACCTCCGCCTCCCAGGTTCAAGCGATTCTCTTGCCTCAGCTTCCTAAGTAGCTGGGATTACAGGTGCACCATCACACCTGGCTAATTTTTGTATTTTTAGGAGAGACGGGGTTTCACCTTGTTGGTTAGGTTGGTCTCAAACTCCTGACCTCAGGTGATCCACCTGCCTCGGCCTCCCAAAGTGCTGAGATTACAGGCATGAGCCACCACACCCAGCCCATTACAAGGTATTTCACTGAGGGTTTCTCGAATGTCTCCTAAATTTTCTAAACACAATTAGATGCACAGATTATAATGATTTGAGTTTAGGAAGATATTGTAATATGTATGTTTCCTATATATACAGAACCAGTAAAATTCATACTTATAAAATTATATATATTATCTGAATAGTTATGTTCAGTTTTAAATACCTTTATTTTAGGGGTTCTTACAAATTTTTCATTCATGTTATACAAAAATGCAGATTACCAAAATATAAATTATATCCATCAATACACGATTCAAAAACAGAAAAGGTCCAATAGAAACTGTTGATTACCTAGTCTTCTTCGTTATGCTGCTATATGAGTCATTTATATTCTTACAAATAAAAAAGATTGACCAATAACTGGGAATCCAGAAACTCACCTCTTCTCATAGAAGTAAATAATTGAGATTTTGTCATGCCCAAAAGTATTGTGTGAATCAGTAACACACTACAGCATTGCCACTTTCGTTCATATTAGTTTTTTTTGAATAATTTCAACTTTTATTTTAGATTTGGGGGTACATGTGCAGATTTGTTACATGGGTATATTGTATAACTCAGAGGTTTGGGGTACAAACAATCCCGTCATCCAGGTGGTGAGTATAGTACCCAATAGTCGTGTTTTGTTTTGTTTTGTTTTTAAATCTACATTTTATCTTCTATTTTTATTTTATTTTATTTTGCTTTAAGTTCCGGGATACATGTGCAGAATGTGCAGGTTTGTTACGTAGGTATACATGTGCCATGGTGATTTGCTGCACCTCTCAACCCATCACCTAGGTTTTAAGCCCCACATGCATTAGGTATTTATCCTAATGCTCCTCCTCCCTCTGTCCTCCACCCCTTGACAGGCCCTGATGTGTGTTGTTCCCCTCCCTGTGTGGATTACTATGCAGCCATAAAAAAAGAATGAGATCATGTCCTTTGCAGGTACATAGATGAAGCTGGAAGCCATCATTCTCAGCAAACTAACACAAGAACAGAAAATCAAACATCACATGTTCTCATCCAATAGTAGCTTTTTTGCCCTCCCACTCCCCATAGTAGTCCCCAGTGTCTATTGTTCCCATCTTTATGTCCAGGTATACATGTTTAGCTCCCACTTATAAGTGAGAACGTGAAGTATTTGGTTTCCTGTTCCTGTGTTAATTCACTTAGGACAGTGGCCTCCAGCTGCACCCATGTTGCTGCAAAGAACATGATTTTGTTCTTTTTTATGGCTGCATAGCATTTAATGTTGTATATGTACCACATTTTCTTTATCCAGTCCACTGTTGATGGGCACCTAGGTTGGTTCCATGTCTTTTCTATTGTCAGTAGTACTGTGATTAACATATAAGCGCATGAGTGTTTTTGGTAGAACGTTTTATTTTCTTTTGGATATATACCCAGTAATGGGATTGCTGGGTCAAATAATAGTTCTAAGTTCTGTGAGAAATCTCCAAACTGCTTTCCACAATGGCTAAACTAATTTACATTTTCATCAATGTGTATAACTGTTCCCTTTTCTCCAAGACCTCACCAATATCTAATATTTTTTGATATTTTTAATAGCCGTTCTAACTGGTGTGAGATAATTCTCGTGGTTTTGATTTGAATTTTTCTGGTGATTGACAACATTAAGCATTTTTTCACGTGTTTGTTGGCCACTTGAATGCCTTTCTTTTTTTTAAGAAGTGTCTATTCATGCCCTTTGTCAATGTTCAATGGGGTTGTTTTTTGCGTGTTGAATTGTTCAAGTTCCTTATAAATTCTAGATATTAGTTTTCACTCAGTTCTGAAATGTATAGAAACCTGAACATTAGAGGGTTAACTCTTTGTTGTTCTAGCTTAATTAAGCATAAATTATAACAATGAAATACTTCATGTGTGTCTTCTATTAAATTCAGGAGAACCTAGCCTCACTCTTTTTTCTATAAAAGTGACAATAACACATTTTAGTAAAATCTCTAGCTTACCTAAGGTTAAACAACCTTTCGAAGCAATAACATTGGCATCACTATAAGCATTTCAGCACATCTTAGCTAGAGTGTGAAATAATTTTGATATGACTATGCCATTTTTAAAATAAAATATTACATTCTTTGTCTTGGGAATGTGATTTGATTTCAATCAACAGTATATAAACCTGTACCAATATATTCATCCTTAATGTAAAGTATAAGTCTATGTGCCTAGGCACATATGTGAATTCAATGATGATTTAAAACACTTTTTGGTTCTTGTATATTTTCTTGTTTCCTTTGTTTTACATTTTTAATTGCATAAAATTTTGTTAATATCAATTATTTCAATCATTTTATTATAAGATATGGGATTGAGTAGAAATGCTGTCTGGAATTTGGCAGTCTAGGTGAAAGAGTATTAATAATACTAATAATCATAATAGTAGTATTGGGTGTAACTCTCATATTCTGAAATGTTATGAATTATAATACATGAAAGTTAAAATTATAAATTATAATAGTCAAAGAAGAATAAACCAGGTCTCACAGAGACAAAGTGATTGCACTGTAAAACATGGGTAGTACACCTAGTCTCATAGTCAGAGTATCTGATCCTTAAATAAATTTTTATTTCACCATATCCTTTTATCTGATACATTTAAACTACCATTAGACACACATAAATCTTAATATATCATAGACTTGCATGTCTAATGAGAACCAAATAGTTCACTGATTTCCTCAAATATAGGAAATGTTTGTCAGAGAAGCACTGTTCTCACAGTAAAAGGCAGCAAAGCACAGGAGCCTATATTGCAAACCTGGGATCCTGGCTGCATGTGTTCCCATTCTTGGTTCTGCCACTTCTCGGATGCGTAACCTTATGCAAATTACAAATGCCATCTCTGGGCTTCAATTTCCTCCTTTCTAAAATAAAGATGGACAATATCCTTATCCCACAGAGCTATTATGAGAATTAATAGTTACTATCTAGGAAGTACTTATAACGCTACCTGGTGCATATTAAGCACTGTAGAAGTATTTGTTCAACAAATGAAAAACAGTATTAAGTCTCAAAACAACTGTCAATCTTAAAAAGAACCAGTTATATTCCAAATTCTAAAGAAATATATAAGAAATGCAAGACAAAATATTTTTCTTGCATCTACTCCACCCTTGAAAGGAGACTGACAAGTTTATAGACTGCTCATCTGTTTATTCATAGCTATAACCAAACAATTTAAACCTTCTCTTTCAACATTATGATGAATGTCATGGTAGGGGCAGTTAAGAAAGCAAACACTTTTCAAAAAGTTCTTGAGGTAATATTCAAAGAGTGATGAGACAGAAGTATTCATAATTTCTGCTAATTTAGAACTTTGATGCTATTCCCAATGATAGTTACCAGGAATCAAATTAATGCCAGTACACTTAGCAGGGTTTGTGTATTTTGTGTACAATTACCCACCACATGCTGGAATAAGACAACTCGCTTGCTGTGTTAATTGGGTAAATCACCATTTTTATTTCACTATCCCTCAGTTTAGTCTCAGCAGTTTAGGTCATTTCTGAGGAATATAAGGGTATTAAATAGAAATTAAATGATGCTTTTTAACAAGTGAAGATACTTAAGTTCTCCACAGACAGATGCTTTAAATACAGGTTCTTATATTAATAATATTTATCAGAAGATAAGCACCATCAAGCTACATCACCCATAAGAAAGTAGAATTTTCAATCATTATCACAAATAATAAATTCATAACAATAACCTAGAATTAAGCATTTATGCTATTCAAGGATTCCTGAATTCTGAAGTTGGAAATTTGGGGGATAATAAGATATCCTTTTGGCAGCCATGACAAGTTAAGTTTTTCTAGAAATTTAGTCAGGTGCTTCTTGGCAGTCCTGTGCTTTATTCTACCCAGAAATTAGGGTATGTCATGTGGGATCTAACCAAATATTAGAGTTAGAATATAGCTCAAGGTGCCCCTGGATTAATGGCCATCCGGTGAAACTGTTTATCAACAAGAAGCAGCATGAGCCATTATCAGTTTTTGATCAATAAAGATTGATTTCTATACCGGACCTTGTTTTTTCA
Source organism: Homo sapiens (assembly GCF_000001405.40). NCBI lineage: Eukaryota > Metazoa > Chordata > Mammalia > Primates > Hominidae > Homo > Homo sapiens. Next base: position 10,582,289 of record NC_000009.12, read on the forward strand.
TACCTCTGTCCTCATATTTTCCTTTTCTCTTTTAGCTCTGCCTATACTGTTGGTATTCTTTCCTACTCCCAAGCATAAGGTTTCAACAAAATGTGAAATCAAAGTTATGCTAATATCAATTTAGAATCAATGTTAAAGTTCTCCTCAAATCCACTTTACTCAGCTGTATATTTTGTTAGCTTGTTTCTACTTTATCCATATTATAAAACTATTTTAATTTTTCTTTCATTTTCATTTAGCAAAAGCACAGTCTCAGAGTTGACAACACCCTAAAAGTTTCCTCTACTACATATCTGGGATGACTAGCCATCTAACCTTGAATATTTCCATTTTAGGGTGTATTTAATATCTATCCATCCATTTAGTATACCCTTATGAAGTGCTCCTTATGCCTTAGATAATCGTGTAAAAAGATAAATGCAGACCTACTGACAAAAAAACTTATATTGTTACAGAATTAATAACACTAAACAAAAAACTACACACACCATTGAGATAAATACTGTGCAGAAGTAATTCAGGGTACTGTGAAAGTCATTAATGGTGTAAACTAACCTAGAAAACTACGTCAGGTGACAAAGAAGGGTTTCTTATTAGGAAGTAATATTTAGGCTAACATGTAAGGGAGGAATAAAAGTGAAATGACATAGGATAGAGGGAGGAAAAAATAGAAGTGTATTTGATAGAAGAAAGAGCATGAACTAATGTCTATATTAGGCTAATCTATAATTCAGTCCAGCAAGTATGACCTTTGGATGATAAAGTCTGGGAGTGGGTGGTATTAAAAAAAGAAAAACACACACAGAGGTGAAGAGTTGGGTGATGCAGCAGTTAGAACCTTTGTTCTTTTGCTGTTTATCTATCTGTTTGTTAAGTATCCCAATGCAGAAGTTTCAGGCAGAGAAGTAAAGTTATTGTGGAAGAAGGAAGTTCACGAGGAGTTGGGTCAGCAGAAAGATGCACAAATAGCGGGTGACCTACCTTTTAGAAGAGGACAAAAGCTAACATGTGAGATGGTATGCTTTTCTGTGTATTGACTAAGGAGGTAAGAGTCTTTTTTTTTTCAGTCATGCCAGTTTCTTGGAGGATATTGGGCTCTTGAGACTAATGATTAAGCAAACTGAAATGCAGACAGAGGTCCCCTGGTTGTGGTTATAAACTAGAAGTTCTTTTTTTTTTTTTAGACGGAGTCTCGCCCTGTTGCCCAGGCTGGACTGCCGTGGCGCGATCTGGGCTCACTGCAAGCTCCGCCTCCCGGGTTCACACCATTCTCCTGCCTCAGCCTCCTGAGTAGCTGGGATACAGCAAGCCTCCTGAGTAGCTGGGACTACAGGCACCCGCCACCACGCCCGGCTAATTTTTTGTATTTTTAGTAGAGACAGAGTTTCACCATGTTAGTCAGGATGGTCTCGATCTCCTGACCTCGTGATGCGCCTGCCTCGGCCTCCCAAAGTGCTGGGATTACAGGCGTGAGCCACCGCGCCCGGCCACAGGTGTTCTATATAGTTCAGTGGTATTGATAGCTATGCTCTTTGAAAGGACAGCTGTGTTATTTCGAAGGGCAGCTGTCAGAAGCGCATTAAATAATGTCAAAGCACTGAGTTAATGTCTAGAAACCTCAGAGAAGACTACTTTAGGTAATGTCTACCTTTCTTCCCACTGAAAACATGGGATGGTATAAGGTACACCAGTAACAATTCTGAGCATTGCCAGCCTAAAAGGAGCTTTCCTCTGTTAGTGAATTGTGAGTCAATAAGGAGACATTTTCTCTTAGAAATGTCTTTCTCACATTAAGCCTGAGATGAATGCTTGTGTGTTGGCACTTGAAATCCTTACCCCTCTTCTTCTCTCTCCTATATCACAAGTGCTCTAGCATGACTGGCATGACAATTACAAAAAAAAAAAAGAAAGAAAAAAAAAGAAAGGCTCTTATCTCTTTCTTCCTTGGTCAATGCATGAAAAAGCATAAGCCTAGGAACTGTATTTGGCTCCTATCCCAACATGGATCTATCAAAATACAGCTTAGTTTCCACCAATGAGATGCACTTGTACAACACAGAAGATAAACAGAATTATTTCTGACAATGGCATGAAGTTATGTGGTTTCAATACAAAAAAGAATTTGCAGTAGCCTCTAGATTTTCCTCAATAAAACACCTACTTTGGTGCTGCAAGTAGACATGATCACTCAGTAGAGTCTACTGTAGTTCCAGATCTGGGTTTCAGCTGACATTTCTGATTCTTTGAAAGCCAGTGGTGAACCCAAGAACTAATGGTAGACTTCTTTACATTTTCTCTTCCAGCTCTTGTAAAGGATTTACAAGCACCATTTTTCCTCTCTATGATATCTTCCTGTTTAAACTACCTAGATTTGTGTCACTCAATTGAATAATGACATATATCAGTAGAAATAAGTCGCTGAGACAAAAAGCCAGATCTTGTTTACCTGTTCAAAGAAGCGATGTACAGTTGGTGTGCAGTACACATTTGTTCAATGAATAAATATATGAATAAAACATAAGAAGTATCTGACTCCAGTTGTTCAATGCAAGGAAGCTTCTTGGACTATTTCTGAACCAGAAATTTGATCCCATCACTAAAGCAACATTCATATGTTAGATGCACCTTTAAACCATCACCCAAACTACTCTCAGGCCAAAAATTGCATGATGTGTAATTGAACACTTTTTAGCTTTCAGACGATAAATAACTGATGATGACATAAAGTGCCAAACTAATCTCACCTCCATTTCAGTCATGTATTGTGATTTTGACTCCCCTTAAATAAATTGTGAAATAGGCTTATATAACACAATATTGATATTTAGTAATATTAAATATAGTTTCCCGTCAGTGGGGAGAATTACACAAATAGTGATGAATGGGAGAAGGAAGAGCACTAAAAGTAGTAATAATTATTATTAATACTTTAATTTAATCTTATTTTCATAATATTGAAGTAATAACTTATTTTTTGTGCTCATCCTTCTCTTGGATATTTGCTATTTGTGTAATTCTCCCATTGATGAAAGCCCATATTTAGATACTATCTTATACTTCACCTTTTACATGCTCTTCTAAATCTCATCCAGACATCTCATTAGGAGATAGCCAATTAACAAATTTACCTTTAGAAGTCAAAAGACAGACATATTCTCCAATTCAGAAAAAAAAAATCACGTTTCTCCAGAAAGCTTTTAGAAAATGAATATTTCAAACCCAAAGAATTTCAGGGCTGAAAATTTGGTGGGGAAATCTCACATCATGCCATGTTATCTAAATCAGCAATAAATATACTGAACCTAAAATATGTAATGTTTTATACGTTGCTTTTTTAAAAAATATAGTGAAGGGGGAAATTTAAAGTATCTCTAAATTGTAGGAATGCAATCAAAGGAGCATTAGAGAAATAGTATACATACACACACACATACACAAACACACCACACATAACACACACAAGTGTGTGGGGGGAAAAGGGCCCTTATTAAATACTGGAGACTTTCCAGGATAATACCTGATTTATTTCCAGTTTTGATATTTTAAACAGATTTTAGTTTACAAAAATAACCTATTTTACACATTTAAAAACAACATGCATGGGAAAGTCATATGAAAATAAATTCCACTCAGTGATATAACTAGGTTAGCAAGAAAAACCTGAAATCTAATGTTGACAAATGAAAAGTAATACAGCGTGAGTACAAAGCTATAAATCTAAATGTTGTATGAGAAATTCATACTTAATATATTTATTTGAAGCTAGATAGGTAAGATGTTCTTTTCAAAACACAGTGCAGTAAAGAAATTTACATAAAAGTAAATTATAAGAGATTTAAGCATTCAAAAATTTTTCTGAGAATCCTGTTGTTGTTTATTAGACAAACGTCTCTCCACAATCTGCAATGAAAGATACAGCAGAGAGACTCAATACGAGCAAATAATTATTTTTATCTACAATTAAATGGCATGAACTGTGAGGACAAGAGAGAAAAAATGTGAATCATACACCTTTGTAACCTTTACAAAGATGGTGAGAAGAGTTTTACAAGAAAGAATACTAAATATAGACTGGTATCATGCCAACTTCAAATTGCTATATTCAGCTCAATAAAAAAGTGAAATAGAAAAGAGCAATCATGAGAACGAAAATATTCAAAAAAGATGTCGAAAAGCACTGTTTTAAAGAAAGCCCAAAAATTGCATGGAAATTCTCTATATAGTACCTTGTGAGACTAAATCTACCGCAGTTAGTCATGAGGGAAATAAATGACAACGATAGTAAGAATCTAAAAAGAATGAATTATGTTCTTATATGTCTTTCATCAGGTTTGCTTGCGGGCATAAGACTTTCTCAGAAAGTAAAATGAAGCAATGACTAAAGTGCCGAGAATGAATTATTCCTTCTTACTATCTAGAAAAGTGTAAGTTACTGTCAATCCTGAAATGATTCTTCAAAAATTTGTGTTTGCACATACATGCTCACTTATAGACAACTTTTTTTTTTTTTTTTACCATGCTTCTTTGTCATCAATATAATTAACTTTCAGATTCAGGATTGCTCTCATTTTGTAGATTTTCCTTTGTTTTTTAACCCCACAAAGTATTTAATCAACACACTTTTGCTTATCATTTTGCATTTTACATGATAATACCCTGGCTATATTTATCTAAACAATTAAGGGTAGATGGTGAAGACAGGCTATTTCACCATCAAGATCCTAGAAATATAACATTTAATAAATAGATCACTGTTAAAATTTCATGGTGATATTTATCACTAACAACAAATCACATGAGGTGTTATTACATGGATAAAGTGAAGTGGTGAAGGTGTAATCATGAAAAGACCCATTGTGACAGGTAATACACAAACAAGTCAAAGAAGCTGACAGCAAAGGTCCTTACATTCAGCTGTAAGGAAGCTGCAAAGAACAGCTCAGGCATCTGCCGCCCTGCCTCCTTTAGGATAAATTTATCCTGGGCAGGAAACACTAAAATATTTTTCACAAAACTATCGTCTGGATAAAATTAAATTCATTAACAAGTTCAATGGACCTGATAAAGGCTCAATGAGAATAATTCATTGATTAGAGTTTAATGAGTATCTATGGCATATATAACATTTTGAGTTTAATTCAAACAGAATCCATATCATAAGAGTGAAAATTAATAATAAAAATAATGGCAATAATAAGTAAGGAGAGTTGCAGGAGGAAAGAGGAGAAAGGGAGATGCTAATATTTAAGGAAAGCTTATGAGGAGTTGGTTTTGTTAAAAATACCTGATCCAGATTATTGCATTTCCTCATCACTCTTTCAGAAAAATTATCTGAGATTTGGAGAAGCCAAATGGCCAAGAGCATATAGCTTGTCAGCAGAGAACCCCATTCTGGTTTATACCTGCTCACTTAAGGACTAAATTCATATATAACATGTAGTTGGCACTTAACAAGGTACTCAAGATGCAAAACTGAAGATATAGTCTATTCCCTCCACACTTTAGTCTAGTGAAGGGACCCATAGAGCTCAGGAGTAGGTATAAGGGCTGTATAAACACAGATGATGGAAAAAGCAAGGACAACTCATGGAAAGCTGAAAATAGGACATAGGCCCCAAAATGGAATTAAAGCAGATCTTTCTGACAATAAGTTCATATTCCTAGTTTACTAGATGAAAATACAGCTCATATATCAGGGTTATCCTCACAAAAGATAATTCCAGTACCAAGTAGCTAATTGATCATAGAAGACAATGCTGTGTAAGTTCTAAAGTGTTACATAAAAAGTGTTTTAGAAAGGGAATAAGATGACTGATTTACCAGGCAGACAAATAGGAGTCCCATAATAATAACTTGTCAGACTCTATTTTATGCCCAATGCTGTACATAGTTTCTAGTTCAAAGAGATGTCAATGACAAATTAATGAGTGCTCTCAGTTTTATAGTTGCAGTTTTGTTGACTCCAAGGTTTGTGGTCTTTGTAAGGTAGTGCAAAGTACATGAGTAAAATGATGCTTATGACAGGAACAAATATTCTGCAAGTACAAATTTTCCACTTAGTAACTATCTTACAAACTCTGTTCAGTAAGTATTCAAACAGTCAATGTGGGACCATGAAGGTGTCATTTTGGCTTATTGTACACACACACACACACACACACACACACTCACAATGATAGTTATACAAACAAACCAGAAATAAATATTAATCTAAGCTATCCAAATAAATGGCCCAGCCATGGAATCAGAACTCATACTATTGATATTAGAAGATCAACACAGTTATATTTGAAAGACATATATTGAAAATTATAAAGCAAATATTCAGTAAAAGACTATTGCTCAGTATTTTAAAATTTCTACTGAATATTAAATTACTAAGTATATTTCAATATGAGAAATTATCATCTTTGATATTCTCTAAACAAGGGTCTGGAAGACACTTAAAAGGCGATCTCTTCCTTTAGGTCTTTAGTCAAATGCCTCTTTATTAGCAAAAGTCTCTCTGGCCCCCTATTTCAAATTGTATACCCTACTTCAACACTGCCTATACTCCCTTTACTGCTTTATTTTATTTTCTCCTTAGCAGATAACAGTATCTAATATATTTTTTCTTTTAACATTTTACTTGGTCTATTTCTCTCACTAGAATCTAAGCCTCATCTGGGGAAGATAACTTACTGAATGAGTAATATTGTAGAACCTTTTCGTCTCACAAAAGAAGAAAATGAATATATATTTGCTCATGACTTATCAGGGCTGGACCCAAATAATTGCATAGAGTTGTCTCATGTATAGAATGTTACCTAAACTCAGGCTTTTAGCTGTAGGTAAAGTTGAAATCATATCTAATTGAAAGTCAGAAAACACAGTAGGAATCCTCACATTAACCTATAAAAGGATTTCAGAAATGTCTGTGTGGGTCAGATAAACAGGTCAAAAAGATCTGGAGAAACCTTGTTATCAAGAGCAACTGAAAATCTCCTTGAAAGAGAACACAGCCTATAAGAGGGAAGAACACAAACTGAACTTGACCCAATAACAAAGTTTTAGTCACAGGGAAAGAAAGGAAATTATCAGTGAAGTGTGGGACCAGTCACTCAGATTAATCTGGGTTAAGTTTCACACATTTGAGTCCTGTGAAGAAAAGAGAGTTGAAAAGGAGCTTATAAGTAAAACTGAAGAAGCTGTTTCAATAAATGACTAAGACATTAGAGCATAAGTAGCCACCCTCTAGTAAAGTATAAAAGAAAAAGTAAAGGGGGAGAGACAGACAGAGGCATTCTTGCCAAACTCAGGAATGAATTACTGTGGTAACAGCTATAAAGGACTCCAGTGCCTCAACTATGAAAGAGGATAAAACCTTTGACCCAGCAAATTCCTGACACGAGACAGCAGAAACTGATGGATACAGTGGCATCTATGAGATATCAGATATTCATAGAAGTAGGCAGCAGAAGGCTTAGAATCAGGATAAGAGGAAAGCAAGCATTAGAGGAGGTCAAGTGATAGCTGATTTGACTTTTGATTGAATTTACATTTGAACAGGTGAAATATCTGCCTGGAACGCCTAAGAATATTTAGCATGTTTTACAGAAGGCTAAGAAATGCATAAGCTAGAATATTTTAAAAACAAATTTAATTTGTTATTACTATTAATATGACTCCATTTGTAGCCACCTATAGGACATAGAAATTCACATTAAAGAAAGAAGTACAAAACTAATTGAAAATAAAAATAACCAAGTGTAATAATGTTCCAAGTTTGACACCATGTCAATGAGGTGAAAACAGCAACAATCTACAATATCATACTTTCTCAATTAAACTTCTGAGCACTAGTATAAAGTGATAATTAGCAAGATTCAAATTTTATTGCCTTAAGAACAATCATACAAATTAGGGTATTCAGGCTGAAATTAAGTCTATAATATTTACTAATAACAGGTAGTAGTTGGAAAATGTCATGTAACTATTACAAGCACTTTTATCTACAATCATGACAATCTTTTTTTTACATTTTAAAAATCAGCTTAATTGAGGTATAATTTATATACAATTAAATGCACCTATTTTAAATGAGCAGTTTTTCAAACACATATACCCAGGTAATTACTACGCCAAGAGATAGAATATATTTATTATCCTAAAATTACCACTTGCTCCTTTATAGTCAATCTTCCACATCTTCTCCTCTGCCAGACAACTACTGATCTCATTTCTAACACTATAAATTCTAATATTCTGTTTTAGAACTTCATATTAATAAAAGCATACTGTATATAATATGTTGTCTCTGGCTTCTTTTTGTAAACACTATCTTAGATTCATTTTCATTCTTGAGTGTATCAGTAGTTCATTCTTTTTTATTGCTGTATAGTATTCCTTTGTATGGAAATACAGTAATTGCTTATTCATTCTCCATCAAATTCATTTTTGAAGCAGTCTCCTCCTCTATACAGGCACTCCCCCAAAATCTCCTTTAGGAGTTTCACAAATGTAAAACAAAAACCCATTCATTATTTCTAGTAGAAAACTACATAAGTCACTATTAGCCTGGAGGCAAATGTTATATACTGAAAACTGAATACCTTGTATAATGCAAATTATATAAAATATATATAAATTATATAAATATATTACACTGTATATAGGTTATACCTAAATAAAGCTGATTTAAGAATGTTTGAAAAACAGATCTTCATAATTGACTTTTTTGTGGATAAAAATGAGGTCATACCTTGAGGGAAGGACTACTTACAATCCCAAGGAAAAGACTGATGGGCAGATTCCAATATGGCCCCAAAGATCCCAGCCTCTTAGGATGCTCACACTTCCTTATTTAGACCTGTTTTGTGTGGACCCTGCTGAATGACCCAATTCTACTGAGGTCATAAAAGGCAGGGTGGCATTTCTTTCTATTGCTTGTGCTTACTCCATCTCTATTTATATTATTTTTTGTTGGTGCATGTGTATGTGTGTATGTCTGTGGTTTGACAGTGGCAGACAAATTTAAAGAATAAAGATTAATTTATTTTGTGTGACTGTAAAAAGCACCATGCCTGTACTACTGGCACGTGTTTTGAGAAGACAAATGCTCTTGTGGAGCTATCTTAATTTTGTCTTGTTTTGCTTTGAGAGTTGTTTGCAGGAGATGTGAACACAGGATGAAAAGATTTCATAAAGAATTCAAGGAGAGTTGTCATCTAATGCTGCAGAATATTTAAAACAATGCAAACTAGACCCTCCCATTAATGTACATTTCTTATTCATTGCAAGATCTATTAAAATCACCTTGTTGGAAACAGAAAACGAGGTCACACCTTGAGGGAAGGACTATTTACTGTCCCAAGAAAAACACTTTGGTGGGCAGCCTCCAATAAGGCCCCAAATATGCCAGCCTCATGGAATTCTCATACTTTCTTATTCCCACCTGTTGTGTGTGGACTGTGCTTAGTGACTCAATTCTCCTGAGGTCATAAAAGGCAGGGTGGCATTTCTTTCTGTTGCTCATGCTTATTTCACCTCTATTTCCTACCATGTCACAGGCAGCCCTAGCAAGCCCACATGGCAAGGTATTGTAGTTGAGACATGGATCCTCCAGACTGAGTCAGTCCTGACGTGGCTACAGACCCTAACTCCCACCCCTGACAATTTGATTGCAGCCTTGTAAGAGATTCTGAGCTAGAATCACACAGCTGAGACACTCTCAGAAACTTTTTAGTTGTTTTAAGTCACTCAGCATAAGAGTACTTTGTTGCGCAGCAACAGATAAATAACAGAAGGCCTAACCTAGAACAAAACACAGAAACTCTAGTGATGAGTATTAAGACTGAAGCAAGCAAGAAAGTTATTTTGCCAAAACATCCTAGGAATTGGTCTGAACTCCCCAGGAAGATAGCTATATGACACTCACGGAAAAGGGTTAATGGAAAGGAGCTGTGAGCTAAGTGGGGAGATGTCCTAGAAGGTCCCAGGATGACATATGTGAGCCAGTAGACTAAATCTCACCAAATGCAGCAGCCAATTTAATTACCCTTTGGGTAAACTTACTCATTATTATCACCAAAACTTCAGAAAAGGCTGTTTAAAATGACAGCTTGGTTTCTCCTTTTGTGAAGAGGGGAAAAAATTGTTTCGTGATGGGGAGAAGATATTGAAGGACAGAACATTACAGTATCTCATGAATAAAGACTTGGGACCCCAGCTACAGGTAATAGCCATGTCAGTTATAGGTGGCCAAGCAGTGGTTCAATATGTCTACTGGTAGTGAGAGGGGAAGCCAGCTGGACTTACTGGGTTGAGTGGGGACTTGGAGAACTTTTCTGTCTTACAAGAGGATTGTAAGATGCACCAATCAGCACTCTGTAGCTAGCAAGGGTATTGTAAAATGCACAAATCAGAGCTCTGTAAAAACGCACCAATCAGCGCTTTGTAGCTAGCAAGAAGATTGTAAAACACACCAATCAGTGCCCTGTAAAATGCACCAATAAGCAGGAGTCTAAAAGTAGCCAATCGCAGGGAGGATTGAAAAACGGGAACACTGACAGGACAGAAACGGAACATGGGCGGGGACTAATAAGGAAATAAAAGCTGGCCACGCTAGCCCAGCAGCAGCAACCTGCTCTTGTCCCCTTCCACACTGTGGAAGCTTTGTTCTTTCATGTTCTTTCGCTCTTCACAATAAATCTTGCTGCTGCTCACTCTTTGGGTCTGTGCCATCTTTAAGAGCTGTAACACTCACCACGAAGGTCTGCGGCATCATTCTTGAAGTCAGCAAGACCACGAACCCACCAGAAGGAACCAAGTCCAGACACAGTAGAATATAATACAATGTGGCACTTTGAAAAGTGGAGCAAATAAGAAGAACATAGAGTTGTATCCTAAAGCAGTGCCTCTTAAACCATAATAGAAAACACCTGGGGATCTTGTTAAATAATGGCGATAATTCAAACAGTCTGGGGTCAGGCCTGAGCTTTTGCATTTCGAACAAGCTCCCAGGAGATACCCATGCTGCTGTCCATAAACTATAATTTGAGTAATAAATGTATACAGCACATGTAAGAGTGATTACTCACGAGGACATAAAGAAATAAAATATTGGAATGGACATTACTAGAAGCCTCAAATTCCTACAATTAAAAAGGTGGGAACTCAGTCATAAATATTTGGATGTTATTACAAGTATGACTTCATTTCATATTAATAGACTGGTTAAACCTAGAAGAACAATATACAACATATAGAAGAGATTAGGGATTTTGAAGTCACCAGTGGCTTCAGATCTGTGTTCTTGTTCTAAATATGTCTATATTTATTTAAGGCTATATCATGAATAGTCCTGTTTTAATATATATGACAGACTTCATATTAATACAAAGAGATTTTGAATTTTCTAAAAATTTTGGCAGACAACATTTTTTATCTTGATCCAGAGAAATGTTAATGAATGATTTTAAAATGAAGGGAAAATCTTGAAGCAAAATATGTTTTTCCATAAAAAAACTAAGCCTATTTGTAACCTTGAAAAAAATGTCTTTTTTTCTTATTGCATAGACAGAACACAGGAAATCTACAATTTCCAAAATATTTCCTCCAGCCCCAAATGGTGCTTTCTCTTTTCATACAAAGCTTTTCTCTCTCAATGCCATTACAGTTTTCTGCTTTGTCTTAAAAACATTTATTCAGCACATAGCAACATTAAGTTATTAAAACGGGAAGTATTGAAATTTTTCCCTTTCTCGCTATAAGAATAACTAAACTTTTTGTGTTGTGCTTCCATCTTTTCTACTTATTTTAAATCATTTATTTCAGTTGCTTTCCCCTTCCAAATAAGTTATAGCCTGTTATGTAGAATATGCCTAAACAAGCAGATTACATAATCTACTTTACTATAATTACAGAGGACACTTTACTTCTAGTTTTGAGAAAACATTTGTTTTCTATGCATTTCCCTTAAATATAAATGAAGGAGAAATTATATTGCACATGTCTTCAGTAAAACTGAACTGTATAATGTTTTTGCAGTCCTTATTACTGACACTAGAAGTGCCCTTTTATATTTCAATTTTCATTTAACTAAATTCAAAAAGATAAAGCACCTATGAAATTATGATCAATGATTAATACCAAATCAGTCTAAATGCAAGCAAGAAGCTTAATAAAGCAAAAATAAAGTGATGCTATTTATACCTGAGTTTTCAGTTAATTTATTTTCTTTGAACTGCTGATTGCCTTGAAAGGCAGATATAGAAATGCCTTCAATAAAATGCTACATTTCTCAAACAACCTGCTATGTTGTTGGAGTTTAATGGCTGACAGACTAATGAGAACGAATGGCTTACAATCTTCCAAGACTGACCCACTTAGTCATTCACACCATCCATCGAATGAGAGACTGCTTCAGAGGTACAAGGTCACACCCTTGCAACAATTATTCTGTCTAATGAGGTGTCACAAGAAATCTACTGGTTCAAAGGTGTGTGGTAGGGGCAGCTGGGCATAAAATATTTGGTGTCCTTGCACCGAAGTGTAGATACACATTTCTGAGCAGCTCTTTGTCACAATACCATATTAAATGAAAAATGCTACTTAGTTATGGAATCATTTGCACTTTAAAGAGATAGAAGTGATACAAATTTTACTTTCATGTTGTCAAGGATTTGTTGGGGTGGGGCAACTTCGGAGACATTTTCCCCCCAAAGCTCAATGACAGGTTGACTTAATTATTCAAATAACTATTTATAGGCGATAATTAGACCATATGTTAATCTCAGAGTTTAAAATAACCAATTTGCTTATATTGTTTCGTTCTTGTCTAACTCTGCAGAGGTACAATTTTCAGAGTGAAAATGAGGCTTAGGTCAAATCAAAGCATCCATTAACATATTATTGTGTCTACAGAAATCCATAGGACTGTATTAATTATCTAGGCAGCTGATGTAAAGAATTTTTTTAGTGTTAATTGCTAATTAAAGAAAATCAATGGTGAAAAGTAAATTAAAAATAAAAAGAGATGAACTATAAAAGATAATGAGGCAATTTACAACTAATTGAATAGCTTTACACAAATTTTCCCTCAAATAGCCAATAATTACTTCCAAATAAGTTGGAAAAATCAGTGATAATTCAGTAAGCTTCTTGGCTCTAAATTTCTGCAAAGGGAAGCAAAGTAGGACCCTTTAAAACATGTTTTCTTCTCGGTTGGTACACCAAATAGGCTAATCTTCCATAGACAAGTGGGTTCTTTTTGGCGGCTCATTTTGCTACACAGATACAGAGTCACACCTATGATTTAAATATAATTTGCCTATATTATTTAATATTTCTGGGTACTTTTAATTTAATTGATTCACAATTATTATTATATATTTATAATAAAAAATTAGAATTATGTACATATGTCAGTGATCTGCATTAGCTGTTTTCCAAAGCACATCTTAAAGTGGATTTTAAAATAATCTTTCTGTAAGCTCTAACACTTTACTAGTGGGGGGAAAGAAGCTAATATTCCATTATATATCAGAGTACTTTTTCCCTTATACATTTAAGATGTTTTAAAAATTAAGAACATAATATGATATCTTACAATAAGATTGTCAAGTGTATATCAAAGACTGCGATCTAAAAGAGAAAGGATCAGATACTGTCATTGCCTCCACCCTTTAATCGTGTGATTTGTAGTGCATTTCTTTAAAAAATTATTAAAGCTATTTTCCTTTCAAATCGTTTTTCTTCTAATCCACCAGTTATATACACACAAATAGATACATGCGTTTATACCTACATTTGCTGTCTGATTTATTCCTACAAAAACACATTAAGTTAGATAATAGGATGTCTGTTTCACAGATGAGAAAATGGCAGTTTTCTGACTCTAGTAACTGTCTCACGTTCAGTAATCCAGTAAGCACTGAAGCTGGAACGGAAATCAGAGTTTGACTACTTCTAAATCTCAGGTTCTTTAATAAGACAGAACTTACATTGAACACACAAAAAGTAAAAGTTGTTAAAATTTCCCAAAGAATTTTATGTCTATAGTAACATATATGTTATACCCATATACACACACATATATGTTAGCTAACTTACTCCCATTTACTGAGCCCCTGTCATACAGAGACACTAGATTAAGCCTTTATAGTCAAATAATTATGAAGGTATATTTTGTTCTAAAATAATGTTTTATGGTTATAAACAATAACTAATTGTAAAGGCAGTATAAATTAAAAGAAACAAAGAATAAGCACATATATTTAAATGTAGACTACTTATTATGGAATGGCATAATTTAATGATTATATTAATTATTTTGTAATAAGCAGGGAATTAAATAAGTTAACCCATGCTTCCACATTGAGTGTAATGATAAACATCCCTAAGAGCTGGTAGAATGTGAAAAATTAGAACCTAGTAGTAAAGAATGGGAAGTTAAAGAGAAGAAATTTACTTTGTCAGGGATAATATGATTTATATATGTGAGAACTGGCTAAATTCTAAGGTACTAGCTTCATAGTTGTTAATAATATCTGCTTTTAATATTAGAATAGCATTTTGTTACACTGCATGAACATGAAAAACGTGCAATACATGAGACATGACTGGTAGTAAAAACCAAGTCTTAGGTAGTATATGTAATTTTCCCAAGTTAATCAAATAAAACATAAATATTTATAGGTGTTTTTTAAAGGAGCTACTTCCAACAGCCTAAAAACATGTAACTATCTTTGTGTGATGGTTATTACAGGGTCCTATCTAGGTTATAGTCTTGGATTTATTTTCCATATATATATATATTTCACATATATATTTCACATATATATATTTCACATATATGTATGACCAAGGATTGCTGGAGGAAACAAATGCTTTATTACGAATAGTACAAAAGGTAAGTTAGGACATAAAAGGGTTCCAAAAACAATTTCTCTCCAAAATATGTTACTTGGTACCAAGACTGCCCCTTTTAATTGTTTATCATATGCAAATACACATGTTACTATCTTTATATCCTATAATAACTCAATATTTTATTTGATTTTATTTATCAAAAGGAACTTTATAACAAGCTATGCTTCGAATGAATATGCTTTGAGCACTGTCAGGGTTTCATTCTTCAAATAAATTTACTCACTTAATGTAATGATTCACCATTTGACTCCAAAAAGATAAACTGGCATTTTCTTAGCATTGGAATATCAAATTAGTAGAAATCAAAAAATGCAGTTGGGCTTCATTTAATATCCACTTTAAAATAATGCATGACTTGAAACTTTGTTAAGGAGTTAAAACAGCTCATTTAGATTGGAAAATATTTTTAATTAACGCATTCTGCACTTCAACAGCAGGTTCTATAATGTAAATGCAGTGGTAAGCAAAGATTTCATTAACTTCCACCAGAAGTCCCAGATTTAGGAATATCGGCTGTAATTAGAAAAATTAAAGCTACACTTCAGAATTAATTGAAATTATTAAAGTATTTACTGTTGCATTATTTACACCTAGAATGTCAGCAAGAAGCATAAACTTTCTAGTGAATAATTCTATAGTTTATATTAAGAACATAACAGGACTTCCATTGAACATTGAGTCTTTCCAGGTGGGCCTTCTATAAGCTTTCATCGCATTTTGATTATCTGGACAATTACATAAAAACTCTTTGCTGGGAAAGCATGACGGCTAATGCATTCTTGATGGATGGGTGTGACGTAATATATAGGCATTTGCTGCCCTCATGAAATCTACCAGCAGGACTCACTGGAAACTGAGATATTCTTATTGGACAATTGCACTGTGTATGGAGTGACAAGAAAGCCACAGATTGAGGTCCAGTTTTCTAAATGTAGAAGATAAAACATGAAGAGATGTGAATTATAACTGTAGAGTATCAGTGTTGTTTTTGTTATTATTTGATTTTCCTTAGATATTACTCCGAACTTGAACATATTATATTCAGTTTTACATAAGTATTATACATTTTGAATTTGCTAGCTCGAAGTAAACATTTCTTCAGAAAGTAAAATTAGCCTAATATTAAAATTTTAAGTAAATAAAACTCTGCTCATGATTTCTGCTTGGAACTCACCAATACAGCAAATGCAGATACAGCAGCATGGAAGGGACATAATGGTAAAGATATCACAGCAACATTTTAGAAACCTTCTATAAAATGTTATATGTTTAGGTTATTCTGTGCAGAAAATAAAATTATCCAAAAAGCCAGTCACATTCCTTATTGCACAGAAAGCTGGACTGGACGTTGTCACCTGGATTCTAATTTCACCTTTACTTCTGAGAAATTTGCCATAAGAATTTGGCATTCAACATTATGGAGCCTCTTCTTCCTCATTAGTGAATTAAATGTTTTGAACCATTTTTATATATGTATGTGTGTGTGTGTGTGTGTGTGTGTGTGTGGTGTGTGGTGTGTGTGTGTGTGTGTGTGTAGATGGATAGACAGAGAGGTAAATAGGTAGAAAATCCAAACTAGAGTAGATAACAAAATATCTGAATCACCTATTACAGATTCAGAGAGTAAAGGAGACTAGTAGATGATATAAAGAAAGGAAGAGAAAGAATGTATGACACTACCAATTTTTGATATGATGAGGAGTAAATAGGTAAAACAGAGAATACAAACTCCAGTATCTATTTTTCTGTTCCTCTTACTAATAACAGCCACTCTCAAATTTTAGCTAGGTACACAACTAAACAGCTATGGGACTACATTTCCCAGCTTCACGTGCAACTGGGTATGACCACTTATCTAGGTTCAATGGCACTGACATGGAAATTGCTTTGTGCGGCGAAATTGGACCTATTTTCCTTGATTTCAATTTAGTCCATGATCCAAATCTGACCCTGTAGATGAGGACCATTCCCTAGGTGATGATCGAGCAATGTGATGGCAGAAACCTGTATCTACGAATGACCATGAAAAAAACCATGTCATCCCATCAGCCTGAACTACTCACCTTACGACTGTTAAATGATTATAATTGAGTTATTATCTGAGTATGATGATTATAATGACCAATAATTCCACTTTGTTTCCTATACTTGTTTGGGAAGTCTTATGGTTACAGTAGCTTAGTCTTTAACTTATACAACAATGAATGCTGAATATTTAAATTATAATATGCACTTTTCTACTGCAGTGTAGCATATGGGTTAACAAATACTTTAAATGTATTTGATTTGACATTAATCAGGAATTCTGACATATGACCCCAAAACTTGGGGACAGGGTGGTTAAGAATTCTTAGACTGGCTATTCTATGGGCATAAATAAACAAATAGGCAAAGAACCACTGTTTGCCAGGACAAATATTGCAACATTTTCTTCAAAGTTTGGTCATGAAAATTTCCAAACTATTCTTCTATTCATTTGGTTGTTAAGTTACTTAATCAGAAAACTCAATTTTAAGATTTTACACATATTGAAATGATTCAAGATTGCTCTATTTTAAAAAATAGCCTATTTTTCTCCTTCACTTCTCGAAGTTTTCATCAATAACAGAAGAGCTTGATTATTTCCCCTTCTAATCAGAGGCTTTTACGCTTCCCAGTTATTTCAATCTCCCCAACAGATCAGCATCAATAATCATCATGCTTAATCACTGACTCAAAGAAGCAGTCTCCCAATATTATGGGTTCTTTAGATGATAGGAATATTTTACTATTGATAATATTGACATTTTCATAATTGCCACATTATTTTTGGCTTGTGACCTAAAGAAAGTGTTCATGTAATATATTTAAAGGTCATTTAAAATACAGAGATGGAGGTTGTAATTGTATTACTTACTTTATTTTACCACATAGTATTCAAAATCTGGATTACCTTTCCTAAGACATATCAAAATTGATCAACTTAAAATGATTTGTTTAAACCATTATATAAATCAATTTTCTTTAAAGATCTTTTTTAATTGGTAATTCCATAGAAACTTGGTCATATGTTATATAAATATTAAAAAAAGTTTTCTGGAATTTCTTATTATCAAAGCTACACTTTAAAAAATCATATCATATACACTCTCCCTTTTTAATCTGTATCCTTCTTTTCAATGTAGATTTTATGTTGTACAATGCGTGCCACAAGCCCAGAAAGTACACCCAATTTCTTAAGATTGATGAGAGTAACTCTATACATGCCATACTCAACAGATGTTAGAGCAACATCTCCAGCAACAAAGACCTGGAGCTCAGCCAATCTGTGAGCAACAAAGTACATGTCTACAGAGGCCAGGCTAAGTAAGAAACTCACACAGCTCCAGGATGGTGAGCCAAAGGTAGCTAACCACTTCAGAGTTGGCAGGGGAGACACAACATAAAATTTAGCTAGAGGTCATTACTTTGTATGGCAGACACTGGCTGCTGCTGGGAAACAACAGAAAACTGATCAATTTGTTGTGCAGAATAATATAGTAGGTGGTTCATCATGAGCAAATCCACAAAAACAGAGGTCCCTCAAAAGTTGGATTTCATGGTATATATGTTATTAACTAGAAAGAAGTCTCATACAGAGTACTATATATGATACTCTGAAATCAGATTCAAAATTAGTGCTTGAAGAGAAAATGCATATAATATTACAAAATATGAGACAGCCTCTCCAACAGAGAAAAGGCAATTATAAATCTTCATTATCACATCATTTTCATCATAAGCTAACTAAATTATTCAATTTAAACTTCAAGGTGTTTTTAGCTTTATTATAAAATTCTACAGGGGAAAATAGCAAGAAATAAAGATGAAAAGGTAGTTTGCAATTTAGGTAATGAAGATTCCTTGATGTCACACCAAGATTTTTTCTTAACATTACCCTACATTAAATTAAAAATAATAATATTTTAATCATGATCATATTTGCATTTTAAAATTCCCATTGGTGGCAGAAAAAACGAATAGAGTAAGTAAGGTAGAGTCAGGGAGACAGTAGGTAGCCATCCAAGTAATATTTGGTAAGGCCTTGAAGTAAAGTTATGGCCAAAGGGAAGAATTTGATTTAAAAAAAAAATGTTGGCCTGATAGGACTTGATCACTAATAGGTATCATTTTTATGGTAGGCCCCTACTGTGCTAAATGTGGAGGCTACCATAAATTTGATGAGACAACCTACATTTCTAAAGTAATATACTGTCTTACAGTTGCAAATTTTGCTTATTTTAGCTAAATAACTGGACTTACTACATCTGTTTGTCTGTGGAGACCTAATCCAATATATCTTGTACTATATATACTGTATTTTCAAATTATATTGCATATAATGATTATATTAAATATCTAGAATAGTGACTACAAAACAAAAACTTTGGACCTGAATTTTATATCTTCTTTCTTTGTAAAAATAAAGGAAATAAAATTATATTATTGCTGATGTGTTAAATATTTGAGGACTTCTTTGTGTTGCTTTTTTAACCACTGCTCCTTCTCCAAGCTTTTCAGCGACAGAAGGCAAAAACTCTAGCTCATAACAAACAGTTTAAGAGTTTAGCAGTTCCATGAAGGTCTCCAGTGGAAAAGTTTACATCATCAAAAACTGCTCAGGTTGGCATATTTTCTACTCCTTAATTCTCATTTACAACTGAAAATTCATTGAATTTTCTTAACAAGTAATCAGAAGACCTTAGGGAAGAAAGGAGCTGTCTCATAGGGGAAAAGATAATCCAATTATCCTGTTCACTACGTGTTTACATATCTTTCACACCTGAAAGGAAGAGATTTGGTGCTCATGAAATAAATGTCACAAAACAACTCAACTTTAACTTTCTATTTTATATATTTTAACTTCCGATTTTTGTATGTATTTTATGCATCCCTCCTAATGTAGGGAAACGCAATTTTGTATATGTGCTTTGCCATCTTGTGGTATTAATTAAAATTTTAACCTGACAAATGTATACCTGAGACATAAGAAGTGTCGATCCAATTCGCTGTGAAAGAGCAAAGGTAATATTTTTCATTCAATTTTTAAAATTCACATAACATTTCTGATAATTTCATATAACAAAGACGTTTCTCTTGTCCTTTCAAAATTAGGGCACCAGGTTTCAATCAATACACAGGCAGCATTTCTCATATATTAGAAGCCCAATAAATGTTTACTGAGGATTATTTTATTCAACTTTTTAAAAAAATTTGATGAATATGGAGATAACAGTTTCACTTTCATCTCCAGGTAATCTGAAGATTAAACCATGAGTTATGTTGTAACTCTGTGTCAGGTGAGCAGCCATGCTAGATATAAGAACAGTGATCAACGTATGAGAAAGACAAATAAGAAAATAAAAGTAATTTACGGTTATAATCAAGTAAAATTTCAACAAATTTAATACAATGTGACGCAGTGGTGTAAATAAGAGACAGAATAGATGGCAATGAGGCATAGGTAATACATAGTTCACCACAAATAATTGTAATTAAAATGACTCTTAGAAGGCCAATTTTTGGTTTTCTGCTTCCTACTCATTTCTTTGCTGATTATAATCAGTATCCTTACATTTTATCTTGCATCAGTTAATCACAACAGTCTCATTTCATTATTATGTGGGGCATGCATTAAAATACTCTGAATTATAGTAACTGGCAGATGGGACCCTGTTGATCCTAAATGTCACTCCACTCCACCATGAGCTTATCTTCCCTACCTCCACGTTGCTATTCCACCATGCCTCTCATATGAGGTGAACTAACTCAAAACTCTTGGTTGGTTCAAAAATTGTGGCTTTTGGTCATGGATTATCAAGTACAACAAGGTGTTTAAGGAGCTGATATACCATAAAATCTGACGCCAAGAGGCTGTAGAGGTTAGAGTGGTAGGAACTGAATGAATTAATCTTCCCAGGAAAAGGGACCCGAGCTTGAAGGGCCACCCCAGGGAAAGGCAGAGAGCACAGCAGGTTCTCTTTCTGACAGATTGGAAATCCCAAAGGAAGAAAAAAATACACTCAGAAGCATTTGTGCCACGCTTAACTCTCAACTTTGGGAGGAGATACACTGGAGTTAGTTTTCCTTGATATGATTTGCCCTCTGCTTCTTTGTTCCCCTGGGCAGCACTTTTACAGTATCTGTCCTCCTGCATTCACATTTGTGATCATTTACTTATGATAACTTGTGCTCACTTCATTTGAAAGAATTTGTCTTATAAAAGCAGATCCACAATCTCACACTTTTTCTGCTTTTCATGTACAGAATCTAGATAACTGTAGCATTTACCTTCCGTACTAATATGCACATCTGGGAAAATACGTTATTAACTTTAGGCAACTTAACCTCTATGTGCTTTAGTTTTCTCATTTATAAATCAAAGATAATGATTGTACCAACTTCACAGGAATGATATGGGTATAAATAAGTTAATGCATGGAAAGCACTTAAAATAGTGACTGGCAGATATGAAGCAGTCAATAAGTGTTGGCTATTATTATTACCTTCTATCTGAAGATTTCTCAAGAACTCATGAGGCAGTATATAAGAGATAAAATTCAAGAAACCAAGAAGAATAAAAAGATCATAGTGACCTTGAAACCATCTCTGATTTAGAAACAAAAAAGTGTAATTACATACTTCTTTTAATCCCACTACAAGAAGTGATAAACTACATATGAGCTGCAGATTATTATATGGATGAGAAGGATGAATGAGTTGTAAGAGAAATGCACAATACAGACAATAGTATAATCTATTTAATAATGTTAATAACACACCCTTTAATTGTTCATAAGGCCAACATAGTCATTCCTGTGTGTCACCATAGCTCCCTATGAAGTTAAAAAACATAGGCAGAAGAGGGGAACTTGGCAATAGAAACAGAAATAGGAAGAGAACTGATGAGTAATGGAGGAAAGAAAAGCCTGCCATGGTGAGGACCATATATTCTGACCTATTCTGACCATATTCTGACCTAGCTTCTTCATCTCTGTATTCAGCAGCATTTGATTCACACCAAAGCATTCTTGAATATGGCCTGAAATTCCTTTCTCTTAAAATAGCTATCTATATCTGTATCTATAATACCATCAGAATATCTCTCAGAATGCACTGATGTAATACTTCAAAAAGCCAGTATGAATGTGTCTTAGTGAATGTGTAATTTGTTTTATTAAATCCTGGCATGTTTTCCAAGTGGGAGAGGTGTATGGGAAAATAGGAAGACTTCAAGCCCCTAAAAAAAATAAAAATAAAAAGGAAGGAATATCCTCCTGAGGGGCAGGAAAATGGGAGAATAAAGCACTAGACTTAATCCCTGAGACAATTATACTGCAAGAAAGCCTTGTTGCTTGCAACCACACAGGTATAAATGATGAGGCTAAGCTATTCTTTCAGAGCTAACCACATATGTTTCCTAGGAGAAAACAAATGGCTAGCACATATGACACACAATAAATACATCTATTCAGAGGAGTTGCCACTGGAATTCTTACACACTAAAATTATAAGCCATGGTCCATTGAAACAGGTACCATAGATAAGTGTTAATTGAGAACTAATTGAATGTATTATATAATAAAATAGGAAATTACAAATGGGAAATATTTTTTCTATACTTGTGATGCACATAATTTAGCTTTAAAATTTACAGGTATAAAAGTTTTTTGAAGGTGAAACAATATATCATCTTGGCACTGTTTTTCAAAAGTTCCTGCTGAGTAGTACTTTGATAAAGGTTTTCAGGGGGAATAAAAAAGGAAACTCTTCAAACTTAAGTCATAGATGTTTCCATGATTTTTTTTAAGAGAAATCAAGACGTGAACTTAGGGTAACTTATTAACTTCAGCAGTATCTAACAATCCCACTACATTTCTAAACATTTAAATTGCACTTTTGCCTTCCTCTTTGGTTATTTGATCCAAAGTACACATTATAAGTCCTCTTATAAGAATATCTCACCTCAAAAGGTACAGGAAGAATTTCCTCATTTTTCTCTGTCTATTCTCTTTCCTGAGAAAACCAAAGCACTTCTGCTATTATGCTTTGGTTATAGCTGAAAATAACATGAGTCTTGACTGTAACTGCTATTGTATTCTATGAATTTGGAAATATAAGGGACTGGTGCATAGACTGTAAACTGCTGCAGTGGTCTGGCGATTTATTTGTGTTTTTATATTGTGTCAATATTAGGATAGTACGGCGTATTTTTATCATGCTTTACTGCCTTTCTAGAACTTTGGAGAGTTGAACACACATAAGGAATTAGCACTGGAGTGAGAAGATGATGAAGGGTGCCAAGAAATTCCAGTGGAAAACAGCATAGACTGCAACTGCCTAATAAGCAACACAGCTTCCACCTAGGTTCTAAAAGCAATAGCTGTGACTCAGGATGACAGCAAAGGAGAAGGACAATAAGGTAAGTGTAGATACGTATCTGGAAATTTTTCTGTGATATAAAGGGAGAAATGCCTTAGGGAAGAGATTCCTTTTTCTCTATGGAATCAAAAATTTTATGATAACGTGGATACATTTTATAAGACCATAAGATGGTCACAATTGGGTAGTTTCAAATTGCTAGCACATGGCTGTTTTACTCAGCACTCCTTGACACATAGGAGACTCAATACATATTTGGGACTAGATAATATTATATGATTTATGCTGCCGTATTATGCATATTGCATAATCCTGACTAGTGATTCTGACTTGACAACATTTACAAGCTTGAAAATAGAAGAGGGTGCAACCTCTGCAAGTAGTTTGAAAATAGAAGAGGGTGCAACTTCTAAGAGTAGTGCATAATGTGAATATGGTACCTGAATTATTGTCCTATCCTTGATTTCTGTAGCAAAATCAAACAGGAATTACTATGGTTCATGAATAAACTGTCCTTCTCAATGGTTCCAGATGGTTATATTGTTATCAACAGCAAAAAAACGGAAAAGTGACAAGATAAAAGTGTGAGCCAGACTTCCCTAGAAATCTGATGACCACCTAACCCCAAGGTGAAAGATTTATCTTTCATCCTGATAACCATTTGGGTGAAGAATAAGAAATGAAATAATTCTGTCTCTAGCGTGAGATTAATGAGTCACTCCTTCTACCATTCTCTACCCCCTCCATCCTTTTCCACTGAGTAGAATTTCTAACTTTGATTATAAAGATTTGAGGCCAATTATTGGGAAAAAATCCCAAGGATGCTAGCTTATGTGAGTATTTTTCCTAAATTCTAAATACAGGTTTTTCGTAAGTGGCCTACACTGGTTCCACTTTAGAAACAGGAAACACTCCATTACTTCTTCTTTATTTTCTTTTTTTTTTTTTCTGTTTCTGTGCTCTAAATTAACCTTTCCTGGAACTTGAGATAAAATATGAGGTTTGGGTTATTTTCTATGTGGTATAAAGAAGCTATATCTAGGCCTTTATCTTAACTGAGCAAGGACTATTTAACCAGACAAGGGAATGGAAGTATTCCTATGATACGTATGTCATGTTACATGTGGGTAGTAGTAAAAAATGCATGTGAACACAATGCTTGCCTGGCTTTGTTCTCTGTTCGTGTAGCTGCTGAAGGAGTCCCCTTTTTAACACAAACTACATTTGAGAACTATAACTTTGGACAGTTTGTAAAATCTATAATTCACAGAAGTTCTAATATGATGAATGCATTGAGACTTCTGTAGCTGATTACGTAAATATTTGCAAACTTAAAAATGAATTATTTCAAAAGTTCATGAATTCTGTATTTAATCATAATACTTTAATTGTTCCCTTACAGAGTAAATCAGATAGCATTATATATGCAATGATTCATACAAGGCATCCCAGTAGAAAAGACACACATTTAATTTAAGCTATCTCTGATCTCATGTGAAATGTATATAATCGAATATGAAATTATTCTCTTCCTTTTTAGCATCTAATGTAAGTAAATGTATTTGAGAATATAGAGGTAAAATATTTTTGCTTCATGGTTATTTCAAATTTAAAATATTTACTTATTATAATATAGTATTTAGAAAATACATGGACTCATTATTAAAGGCAACGCTTTGGTAATATGGTGTATTGTTGAACTTTGATTTAAGAACTAATTAGAGAGCAATTTGTTATGTTACATACTAGTCTAAGTCATTTCTTTTTGACTGTTTGATTATTATACATACACTTTTAAACTTTTGAGTACACCATTTTCACTAAGTCCTATTTTGAAGAGAACAGATGTTTTTAAACACACACAGATACATAAATGCTCACATGCAAACACAAAATAAAATGCAATTGAAGTCTCTACAATTAATCAGCTATATTGGCTATATTTTACAATTTAAAAAAATAAGTATAGCATGATCTCCCAGACTTCAGTGATTTAAAATGTACATTTCATAGAGATACATATCTACTTGCTGCAACTCAAATATTCCTATCACATATAGAAAACAATTGGTCATATTGATTTTCCTAGAAGAAAAAAAAAGTTTCCAATTTCATCAGTTATATCACATGAATTATAATGAAAAATAAATTATTGGTTTTCTTTAAGAAAAGCAAGCATTTAAAATTAACATTGCATATATTCCTTCTTTGTATTCATTTTCCATGATTGGAAGTTTTGTTATTACATTTTTTTAAAGTTAATGTATTGTATCCTACAAGATCAATGAAACTATTTTATTGATAATGTAGTTAGAGGTGTAAAAATTATTGTCTGTGTATTTACTTGGCAATATAGCATGTGAGATGGTACTGAACAAGGATGGAAAACCTCTCTGTGAAACTGGGATATTCAACCAACTTTGATATCTTTTATTTTTGAAGTTCTCAATTTCCTCTTTAAAATGCAAGGGTTCAAATAATTTTTTCTATGGTTCTTTCTAGCTCTTACAGTCTACATGTATGTAAGGAATAATATATATTTATTTAAATTGTGCATATTTATCCAAATGTGATGCTGCAAAATAGCATACATAGAGATTTCAGAGTGGGAAAAAGGAAGACCAAAGACACTAAGCATCCCCTTTTACTTATTTTCTTCTCATATCCTTCTGATATTGGGTACAGTAATAAAATCCAAAAATAATTATACATGTAATATGCTCTCAGTGGCAGCAGCATAGGGTCATTTAGAGAAACTTGAGTCCACCTCTTCCCTTCCATAATCTCCATCCTGCTCCTTCAAAAACACTCCAAATAAACATTCAATCTCAATCTACGTAACAAGAGTGTCCAGGCACTGCTGACCTGACTTCAGGACAATTTCCTTAGCCCTCTTTCAAACAAGATGGCTGCCCCTAACTCCTACAGGATTCTCAAACTGCCACAGTATAATCTGAGAATTTGCAAAATGCAACTTCAGTTATATTCAGTATATTAGTCACATAGCTTGAAAGACTTTCAAATTGCTAAGCCAATTTATTTACCTGACAGAGGTACAGAGAGTCCAGATTACCTCCTTAGGGTCACACTTCCAATTGTAGTGATGAAAGATAAACTCAAAACCTTTGTTACTACAATCACATCAGTGTTCTCCTAACGGGTAATGTTCATTTTTTGATTCTTCATTAATTCTTCTTCATTCAGTGAATTTTAAGAGTTTTGAAAAGCTTGTTACAAGTACAGTTAATGTCTACATTGTTTGACTGTATCAGGAGACATTTATTTATTCTTTACGGATGCCAAATGCTTTTGACAATCCTAAAAAAATAAAACAGTGAACCGACAGTAGTGGTAAAGAAATTGCACTTTAATACATAAGAAGATAAGTTCAAATGGCATTGAACTGGGTACAAAATTCTACTTATTTAATTTTCATTATAACTTTTAAATTAGCATTCTTGAATATTTGTCATATCA
The DNA here is from genome assembly GCF_000001405.40 of Homo sapiens. Classification (NCBI taxonomy): domain Eukaryota; kingdom Metazoa; phylum Chordata; class Mammalia; order Primates; family Hominidae; genus Homo; species Homo sapiens. The sequence continues at coordinate 10,609,076 of NC_000009.12, forward strand.
TTTGCATTGTTAAAGTTTATTAAATTCAGGATAGGTGTAAGCCCAAAAATATGTAACTGAAATTAAAGTGTTTCCTCCAAACAACAGAGAGAACTTGAAATAATGTTATTTGCTGCATTAAATGTGAGACATACATAGATAGTAGCTAGATCAATAGAGACACATGGATAGATATATTTAATTCTGTAATTTTGAAAATCACATTTTTTTCAGAATTTTCTAAAAAGACATTAAGTAGGTAAGTTTCAAACATGTAACATGCATTTCAGGTCACCTATTATCAAATTATTATATAAATTCTGTTCACTCACCACCCTCTACCATAATCCAGTTTTAGAATTGTAAAGTTACATTAATCACACTTCTCTAACTGCAGAACAGTTTACACCAGTGGTAACCACAATAATTGTCATGTGCACTATTAGTCATTCCTAAAATTTTAACATAATATTCTGCTAATTCTTGGATATAACTAGCAATATTTTAGCTTTTCACTTACTCTCCAGCATTATTAAAGAAAAATGTGCATTTGCAGAACTCTGCACCTGCATACATTTGGATTCCTGCATCCTACTAGTAATACACAGGAAAGATATCATGGCATTCCATAAAGAATAAAGCAAAAAAAGTTATGAATAGCTCAACCTTCCAATATCACATCTAATTAGCATTGTTTTCTTTCTAAATTAAGTGTATTTAGTAAATAGTAATCATGCCTTGAGTTCCATAAAATATAAGACCATGTGGTCAACAAAATCATCTTTATGTTGCTATAGTTACAAGAGTAGGCTTGTAAATTTTATGTTAATATTAAAAGAAAAGAAAAACATGTTTGCCTTCACCAACAGCAACTGAAAGCAAATGCAGGTATACAGCACTTTATTAGAAAGAACCCCTTTAGTAAGCACATGTAAGAGGAATTAATCATTCATTCCCTGCAGACTGCTTATGTATTTCATCGGGCCATTATCTGATCTGAATAACAAGAACAATTGCATAATAAAACACATTACTGCTGACACTAGCAACTTTCTTCTCAACTTTAAAGTTGCAACTACCTCTGTACAGGACAGAGAGCTGGTGGCCAAAAAGGTGACAATTTAATCACCCATCCTGCTTTGCCATTTTTATCTGTTATTATATAGAGACAGGGATCAAATGCATGTGCAAGCTTTACTAGAAACAGCTTTCATTCAGGCTATTTTCCTTAGCACTATGACATAATTACAACAGAGGCAGAATGTATGTCAGGTTAGTTTTAATGTTACTTACAAATATTTGCTTTCAGAAATTCAAAAAGAATGCACAAATCTGTCATGTCTTCTCTACTGTGTAAAATATGTCCTATACTAATATATGTAATAACATGTTTGAACCACTGTTAAATTTGCCCTACTTAGGTACAATCTTCCCCTTTATTTTTCAATAATTAAGTTTTTTTTTTTCCAAATATCAGATAGCCTCTCGGACATGTGAGGTCAGAAATGAGTAGAGGTTATGTGCTATAATCCAAATCTGATCAGCCAAGGGCTTCATTTTAAATCACTTAAATTCATTTTTAAACCAATAATAGAAATGTTAGCTAAGAGCAGTAATATGTCTAAGAAAACTCATTTGGATAAGAAATTAAATAATAATCAAGAAACAATGACACATCTTTCTCAAATGATTCCATATATGATAACTTCATGTCAACCAATTCATTAACTGTTCTATTGTCCTGTCTCATTACCCTAAAAACTTATGGCCCAAGATATTTAGAGCTTTCAACACTGAGTAATCAAAACAACTCTAAAACATCTCTACTTTTTTGTAATAATTGTAACTTAGCTTACTCTTATAATTTCTAAAACCAATCCCCCATGAATACAGATGCTTTTATATACTCACTTAAGTAAATAAGGAGGTAAAAATATACTCATTCTACCATTATCAACAATTAAATACAAGGAAGCCCTTAGGTATAATTAATAATAAGCTGCTTTATTGAAAGAAATTCTCTGAGATAAGTACTTTTACTTTTCAATCTGGTTTTTAACTTATAAGGGGTTTTTATTAAAAAGTATGTATTATACTGAGAAAGAAATTAACAGTTAAAGATAAAAGGGATAAACTTTTTCTAATCACTATTAGACTCTAGTCAGTATAAGTACTACCATGTCAAAAAACTTAGGATTTGTTAAAAATCAGGTCTGTTTTGTCTAAGTTGCAACTCCTACTGTATCTACTGTATATGTAACAATGCAAGAAGAATTAGATTCAGAATCCATTTGGCAGTGATAAAGAAAAAAATGCTGAAATGTTATTGATTCTCTCCCTCTTGTGCAAAACAAACTGAGTCAACTATATTTTTCCTGACATAACACAAAGGTTTTATTTAGATATTACAAAATATTGGCAAATGTTAGACTACATGTTTTTTATATATATGTATAATGAACTTATTAACCCTTTTGTAGAAAGAAGAGTGTCCTACTTCTGTAAAAAGAAATGCTACAGCTACTGACATGGTGATGTTAGCCCCAAGAGGAATACTGCCTGCAAAAGTTTTTGATGCAGAGATATTCAGCCTTAGGAGACACCTTAAACCTGTCACTGGCTGCTGAGCCCTGTCAGAGTTTATAACCCGCTGTGTCAAAGTCACAGTCTCAGCCCTGCCCTCTCCAAAGTATTTTTCACATTCTCTCTCCAAATTAAGTTCATTCTAATTCTCCAACTATTCTAGTTCCAGGATTTTCCTCCAATTATTATCTCCTTACAGGCATGAAGAAATCGCAACAGAATTTTCATCTGGTCTTTCAAACCATCCTTATTAACTTTCCCTTTTCCGCCCCCCCCCCCTTTTTTTTTCTAGAGCTTTTCAGAACTAAAGATAAAACAACCAACCAACTGAAGTCAGAGTAGGGTGGGAGTTAGCATGGATTAGGGCTGAGGTTGAAGGTGGCAGGAGAAGTGAGCCAGTAGGGTTAGATTTTTCAAGCTTTTTCTAGATAACCACCCTTAAATCTTAGAACCAACCAATGTTTAACAAAGCAGGCTTCCAATAGCCCTTGAACAATAAACGTTTAAAAATCAGTTTTCCAGTAAGGCTGCCCATACTGATCCCATATCGAAGTCTTCTAAGGGCTCTTCCAAAAAAAAAAAAAAAAGAAAAAAATGCTTAGCGAACCACTTCTCAAATAGGAGCTACTGAAGTTATATAAGTCAAGTTATTCCCAGGTAAAATGAATAAACTGTCCACAGCATTGGACATTGGGCATTGAAAAGCATCAGCATATGCTTCACTTTAGAGAAAAGAAAGACAGAAGCACAGTTTACTTACTAAAGCAGCCGCTCCAGTCCTCCTTGGAAACCCTGAGGAGTCTTCTCTTTTCTTTCCTACCAGTCAAATAAAGAATTGTCTTTCTATTCCACACAGGCCCAGAATAAACTGCAAAAAGGGATGGCACATGCACAGCAGCCCGTCAGGGTTTGGCTTTGGTGGGGTGCTTCGATTTCTGATTGTTTCAAAAGTGGGATCTTCTTTTCCGGAGGGAGGGGGCAAAGGAAGAAAAAGAAAGCGCGCTCGGAAAGCCGGCTTGGGTCCTGCTAATTATTCTGAAGGCAAAGTACCTGCACTCTCCCCGCCGAGGCTGGCTGGCGGCGCCGCGCCGGAGGGGAGGAGGCTCGGGAGGAGGAGGAGAAAGAGCAGCGGGAGGACTCGGGCTGGGAGGGGAGCGCAGGGTTGGGGAGGCCGATGAGCGGCTCCCGGCTCCTCGGAGAAGCAGCCGAGACGGCAAGGAGGAGGCGAGGCTCTGTCGGGGCGAGGCGCTGCCCCCACGCGCTCCGGCCGCCGGCTGCGGGCGCGGCTGGGCGGGGAGCCGAGGCGGCCGCTCCCGCACTCGCTCGCTCGCTCGCTGGCGCTCCCTCCTCGTCTCGCTCGCACTCACAGGCACACACCCCACGTCTCCAGCAGCTGCCGCTCGGCCTCACGCACTCACCTGCATTTCCTTAACGAGCCACTTGATGGCTGCCAGCGGCGTGGGCCCCGCTCCGGCGGGCGGGGGCCGGGGCGGGGAGAACGCGGCGCGGGATGCTCCGAGCGCCCGCTGGGGAGAGAAGCGGCGGCGGCGGCGGCGCTGCGGGCGCGCCAGATGGGGCGGGAGGAGGGGAGACCCGGCACCCACCGGCCCAGAGCTGCCTGACGCGGCCTGGGCGGACCCCGCCGCCCGGGTGCCTAGGCACGATTCCAGGGATCCAGGGTAAAGCGGTTCGCGCGGGAACAGGAGGATATGTCAGGCACAGGCTATTCCCCATCACTATAGCCACAGAGGACTGGTCCAGATGCGGATCCCGATCTGTGCTTCTTCAGGTGTTCGCGTGCTTTCGGTTATTATTATTATTATTATTTTCCGAGGGAGGCTGTCGGTAACACCTAAGGGGTAGTGGGTGTTAATAGCTGGGGGACGTACATTTGATTTGCAATGGAATCGATGCTTATGAAGAGCAGACTTAGGGAGGTGAAGGGCAGGGGCACAGGGGTTGCTTGGCGGAGGGGGTGTACTTCGGCTGAGCTGGATGGAGTTTTCAGTCGGGGCGCTTGGCAGTCTGGCTGGGCTTGAGGGAGGGATAGAGCTCTGCCAAGGTGGTAGCTGAGAAGGGAAAACCTGTACAAGAGTTGCTGAGAATATGCCTCGCTGCAGAGGAGAGGACATGGATGCAGGGAGCGGATTCTTCCCCACCTCCTCCTTACCCCAAGGTAGAGTGGGGTATCGGAGTGCATCAGATGTGGTGTACCACAGACTCGGGAGACAGGGGAGGAGGAACTTAGACCCCCAGCGAAACTAGAAATAAGGTTTGGAGCTGGGGGGAGAAGAAGGGGCAGGATGAGAGAAAAACAGCAGGAAGCTTTTTGTCATTTTACTATCTTTCATGTCTCATCAGAGCATACAGCTATAGGCAACAAATGCTCTGTCTCTTGATAAACAGAGAGCAATGTCACCATGTCGGTGCGTTTTCTAAAAAGCCAAAATAATTATCCTGTTTGTAATATGCAACACAGAGCATTCCAGGTACCATCTGGTCAAAGGTTCTGTAAGCACTGTAGAAGAAAACAAATAAAAAAAGAACAACGAAAAACCAGTTATCCATCTACTTTCCTTATATGTCAATGATCTAATCGCAGAAATGTCACTTTCTCCCGAAGAGAAATAAAGCTTAGTCACTATAGGTGGAATTTTCCCCAGGGTCCCTTCACCTTTTTCTTTTCATACCTTCTCCACTGCTTGCTGTGTCCCTTTGCTCTTTAAAAGGGACCCTTCTCCTGAACCCACGCGCTGCCGGGTTCCCTGCTCAGCCTCCCTAAAGCCACGGAGCCTACCCATCCAAGAAGGTTCCCATGCACAAACAGTCATCATCACTTAAAAAGGTTCTTGGAAATGACAAGATATGAACGAAAAAAAATTACACCATATGTGCAAGTGTGTGTGCATGTGTACATATTTTTGTAATTATACAAAGCACTTGCCCCTCTTACGGTGCTGTCTCCCCAAGATGATGATGACTGACTCATATTCTCTCTCTCTCCCTCCCTCCTTCTCCCTTTCTGCACAAATACACACCACTCACTCCTGTCTCAGTTCCTTCCTGTCAGTGTTCAATAATGGTTTTACATGAACTTTCTGTTAGGCAGCCTCTGACTACCAAGGGCGAGTTGGAGTGGATTGGTAGGAGGGAGGCTGGTCTCAATGATGCCGCTCTGTTTCCTGCCATCCCTCAGTCATTACATACACTACTGTACTTAATGCCAAGTAGAAGCAGAAATGATTTCCTCTCTTGCTAGTCACAATAATATATTTGTCCTCCCTCAGAAACACAAGTAATTAATAATAAAAGAAATAATGCATCTTGAAACCATGGGAAGAGCAGATGGAGGCTGATGTGGTTGTGTTAGTCACCTTTTCTGTTGTTGTTGTTGCAAAGACAACGTGACCACCTCTCCCTTTCTACTGCTTCTGGTGGGTTAAGCAAAGCATTTGGCCCTTTTACTGTATTCTCTTTTCCATCTTTCCCTTGACAATAGTTTGTGTGTTTTAAGTAAAGATTTCATTCTGCCAACCCGCAGGAAGCTTTTAACAAGATGCAGCTGAGCGTGTCGATATCTTATATCTTTTTACTGCTGCATGGGGGTGTTCAGCAACTTGAAACTCTTCTCTACTTCAGCTCCAGGCTGGGATCTCACAGAGACAGTGCTCCCTGGGGCTGATTTACTCTTGCTCCTGTACAACTATCCTTTGGTGTCCTCTGGAAAACAAAGAATATTTTAAACAATGGAAGAATCAGTGTTATACTCAATCCCCTTCCTCCTACCTCCTCCCCACATAATAATATCACAAATGTTCAATGGATTAGCTTATTGTAGAGATTTTATTATTAATTACATCTGAGAATTGGATTGAGATATCTTACTTGAAGGTGATTGCACCAAGCTTAAGGAGTTAAGAAAATTTTATTATCTAACTACCTAGCTACACTTCCTGTAACATTATAATTTATTTCTCCTTCTTCAATAAAAAGGCAGATGCAAATGTCCGCTTTAAGTTATTGCCATATATTTACTCTTAAAAATCAGTAACCTATCTGAATTGGTTGTTGTCAGTGGACCACGTGTTTAAAACAACCATAACAAATGTAAGATAAAAATAACCAAAAAGGGACAGTGAAATTGGGCCAACAAAGCATGGTCCTGAATATCAGTTGCTTTGAGGTTCCCTTTATTTTAACACATTTCTTTATTTATCAAATCTACATTTAGCTTTGTTATATATAGGCTTATAATTAATTTTAACAGCCTGCTGTAAGGAGAAGAAATCTCAAAATTTACATTTGTATTTTGGATTTTTGAGGGAAATAAGTAATTTCCTTCCTGACTCAGTTTTTAAATTAGAATTTGCAATACATAAATAGCAACTACACAGCAATAATTTCCTGTTCTAGTATGTTATTTAAATGTTTTGAGAGCATCATGAGGAAATTTCCTAATTATACAGCACTCCATATTGTGGAATTGAATAAAGAGATAATTCCATATTGTGGAATTGAATAAAGAGATAATTCCATAGTGTGGAATGGAATAAAGAGATAAAAGGGTAATAAGGAAGCCAGGGAGAGCAAGTAACCTGTTGGAAAGGAGACAAGGATCTAGGAGGTGTTCGAAGCCCAATCTGTAGGTAGGTTGGATTTGTCAGCAGTAGACTCTCACACTTTGACTATTGTTTGTTTGTTTGCTTTGCCTCAGTCTGCAGTAATGGTGTTCACTTAATTTATTCTCCCTTTTCTCCACTTTTCGTTCTAAAGTTATGCCACTTGGCAGAAACTACAAGTAGAAACAATTTTATATTGATAACATAAAATCATGCAGAAAACCATGTACTTAATGAATCAAACTGCTCATACTTATTTCATGTGGGAAAAGATAATCTCCTGCTCTTTAACTTTTATTTAGTCAATGGAAGTACAATTTCAATTGACTAAATGGGTATAATTTACCCAATTTCTTATAGATGGTTGGATACCAAGAAAGCTGCTCAGGAAACCTTACAACACAATGGAAAAAGTGAGTTGACTATATAATTATTCAATGAGTTGTCTATATAATTATCCAATTTAAGGAGTCTTAATGAAGTCATATTTGAGATGGTTGTAGGTACAAGGTATAGATGTCATTCCACTGAAATCATGATGTAGCTAATGCTAAATTACACACAATCTAAAGGCTTCAGGTTTTGACATAATGTACACATTTATTTTCTCACTTATTGTGCTGGTAGCTTTCTATCCCTGCCCCTCTATTTAATCCCAACCTCAGACCCCTCATGTGCTCTTTTCTGTGCTCTATGGATTAATCTTTAGGTATTGTACTAACCTGGTTTCCCTTGTCCCCTGGTTTCTGTTTGGGTTTTGTCAATGAGAGGCACCAGAAAGGGGCAGGAGGAGAGAAAAAGCAGGGCCATGTTTCCCCCATTTGCAGCATAACTTGGCACTGTGGTTCTTTCTGGCAGTGGCTACACAGTCTTTTCTTGTCACCACCTTTCCATAGCTCTACCTCATATTTTCCCCCAATATCCCCATTGTATCTGTTGCTCCTTCAGCTTTCCACTATGGCTAGCAATTAAAATAGCCAGTATCCCTCATGGGATCCCATAACACAGCTACCCTTCTAGAAAGTATCCCTTATCGAAATTCTCTTTAAAATGATTCCTGATTGTGCCTTCCATTTCCTCCTGATACTCTGAATCATCCATTTCTGTTTTTTAAATTCATAGTATTCAAAGATATAATTTTTATTCAATTGTCCTAGGTTTAACAAATATATTGTCTAATGTGTAGAGAAGTGCCAAAACATTATTATTACTCAAAATGAAAATAACTGTAACATACCACAAGAAAATGTTTGATGGTACAGCTGTGATGGTAAAGTTCATGTGTCAACTTCAGTGGACTAAGAGATGCCCAGATAAATAGAGAAGCATTATTTCTGGGTAAGTCTGCAAAGGTATATTTGGAAGACAGTAGTATTTGAATCAGTAGACTGAGTTAAGAAGATCATACTCACCAGTGTGGACAGGAATCATCTAATCCAGTGGGGGCCAGAATAGAACAAAAAGGCAGAGGAAAGGTGAATTCTGTCTTGCTCTCTCTATCTCACTCTATTTCTGTCTTTCTCTCTCCCTCCCTCTGTTACTCTCTACCTCTCCCCATCTTTCCTTGATCTGGGAAGCTGACACCCATTTTCTCTTGTGCTCAGACATTGGAGCTCCTGGTTAAGCCTTCAGACTCCAGGAGGCACACCATTGGGCTCCTCAAGTTCTCACCCCTTTGGTCTCAGACTGAATTATACCACCAACTTCCCTGGTTCTCCACCTTGCAGATGGCAGATTGTGGAACTTCTTGGCCTCCATAGTTGCATGAAGCAATTCTCATATTAATTCGCCACTTACATATCTATACATATTCTCTTGGGTCTGTTTCTCTGGAGAACCCTGACTTATACATGACCTTCATGTATAGCTAAATAACAATGTATTAATATTTTCCACAGAGGTGTCATGTCTCTGTATATTAAATGATCCAAGGCCAGGCGCGGTGGCTCACGCCTGTAATCCCAGCACTTTGGGAGGCCAAGGTGGGCAGAGGAGGTCAGGAGTTTGAGACCAGCCTGGCCAATATGGTGAAACACCTTCTCTACTAAAAAAATGTTAGCTGGGCATGGTGGCGCACACCTGTAATCCCAGCCACTTGAGAGGCTGAGGAGGGAGAATTGCTAGAACCTGGGAGATGGAAGTTGCAGTGAGCCAAGATTATGCCACTGCACTCCAGCCTGGGTGACAGAGCGTGACACTGTCTCAATAAAAATAAAAATATATGATACAGATTCATCAAAATTATAAAACTACCTCAGTTTTTAAAAAACATGTTTGTCACTGTTTTATGGTATCTGATTGCAAAATTACAATAATGATGGCTAGTATTTATTAGTTGATGAAACACAACCATAATTTGTAAGGTATAGTAATTCCCATCAACTTTAGAAACTGAATTAGCAATCAAAACTATATATATCCATTCTTTTAATTATTTTTAAAAGCCTATAATAAGGATGTTAAAGGTAAAGCTAAGTTTTCAATAATAACCCTAAAATAACTGCATTATGCATATCCTTTGGAAAGAAAGAGAGCAATGAGGGATGGATTTAAAATATTCTATCTACCAAGTTATTTTATGCAAATAGTTTTTAAAATAACATCATATAAATTAACAAAGATCAGGGCAAGTTCCTTAATCAAAGTAAAATATTAAATATAATTTTAAAGAGAAAATTTAATAGTTCCTATGAGTTTTTTGCCTATTTTGACCTTAAAAATTAATAAACAGTTATCACATTCAAGATCTTACCTATACATATCTACTTAAGACACTGTAAATTTTGCTTCTTCTGATACTGAGTAATGTTGCATTTTCTTTTATAAATGAGACATAAGGATGATAGCAACCACACATGCACACTCCAGAGATTGTTCTAACTTCCCTCCACCCCTTCTTTTGAAACAGGGTCTTGCTCTGTTGCCCAGCCTGTATCACAATCTCAGCTCACTGCAACCACCTCTCGAAGTCAAGCAATTATCCCACCTCAGCCTCCTAAGAAGCTGGGACCACAGGCGAGAGCCACCACACCTGGCTTATTGTTTTTTGCATGTTTAGTAGAGATGAGGTTTCGCCATGTTGCCCAGGCTGGTCTTGAACTCCTGAGCTCGAGCGATCTGCCACCCTCTGCATCCCAAAGTGTTAGGATTACAGGTGTGAGCTGCATGCCTGGCCTAACTTTTTCAGGTGTATTAACACTATGCCATCTAAATTTTGCATCTAACAAAACTCATTTTCAGAAAACAGGTTGATTGGAGGTCATGGAACGGTTAAATATTAGAGCTGAGACTTGTATCCAGGCAGTCTGGCTCCTGAGTCTCTGTGCTTAACCAATATTCAGTGTTATACAAATCGTTTTCTTAACTCTGTATGCCTTTTCTTTCCTAAGTTCAGAGGCTTCCGAAAAATTTAGCTGAAAGTGAGAAATTCCTATTCAGTGAATGGAGACTATAGAGTAGAGCCGGTGCCAAAGGATAATTGTGGGACCGTCTCAGAGAACTAAGTTTCAATTTTTAAAGTGGGTCTTTTAATTTATATTTCTATTTGAGTCATTTTGTATTTTATTTATTTTCATATGACCAATCATCTTGTGTTCCACATATCTAATGATATAATCAAAAATTATATAGAAAAGAGTTAAACAAATTTATGATTTTTTCTAACTAAATTATTTACAAGTCTGTTCTATTACCATAATTTACTATATTTGCTAATTTTCCCTTTTGTAAAATTATTTTTATCTATTCACATTTTCTTATTTCCTACCTTCATCTATAAACAGGAGAAAAAAATTATGTAAAGCCAGTGCCTCTCTTTTATAATAAGGGGTCAACTATTTGGAACCTCCATAAGATTTCCCCCTTTTTTAGTGAAGGACAATATGTTTTTCAGGTACTTACTCCCGACCTTTGGTTTATATGTAATGATATTGTGGCAGGAAAAAAATATAGTGGCCTTTATATATACCACAGGCTTTATGTACATTTTAAATATTTAAAATTGTAAAATGTTAAAAATGTAAGTAAAAGGAAAACAAGATGACAACCATATCATTATGAGACTATTATTTTTAGCATTATAAACTTACAGATGATAAGCCAATTATACTATTTCTTTTTATGGAACGATATGTAAAGTAAATAAAAGTAACAAGTATATACACATCTTGTTTTTCATGTATCAATATTATAGCACACAAGATGATTTGACCCAGCACCGTAAGTTTTAACCTCATTTTTACAGATGAAACAACTAAATGCAGTTTGTGTGAAGTGTTCATTTTTATATGGCTAATGAGTGATTGAGGTCCTTCTATTTCCTGGAATCCTCTTATCTTATCATAACTTAAAGAATAGTACTAATTTTAAAACATATTACATGTAATGTATTTTTAAAGATATCTGTAGGAATATATGTGTCTTATTTAAATTTAGGAAATTTTTGTTCTTTAAATTACAATGTGTGTGTTTTCCTAAGCCCCCACTCTCATATTCTAAGAAAAAAAAATTACCACATTAATGTTTTAAACAATTTAAAATAAGAAATTAAAAAAAAGACTGCTATGTTCAGAAAAGGAAAGCATCAAGACTTCTCACAGGAAGTCTTCTAGAGAGGGTAGTAAAATGGTGTGCCTAGTGAGGAGTCATCTTTTTTTGTTTTTTGTTTTACAGAGTCTTACTCGGTCACCCAGGCAGGAGGGCAGTGGCATGATGTTGGCTCACTGCAACTTCTACCGCCCGGGTTCAAGCGATTCTCCTGCCTCAGCCTCCCGAGTAGCTGGGATTACACGTGCCTGCCACCGCGCCTGGATAGTTTTTGTATTTTTAGTAGAGATGAGGTTTCACCATCTTGGTCAGGCTGGTCTTGAACTCCTGACCTCGTGATCCACCCTCCTCGGCCTCCCAAAGTCCTGGGATTACAGGTGTGAACCACCGCGCCCAGCCGAAGAGTCATCTTTACGAGTACTTTTCACTATCCCTAGGATTAATCAGACTACTTAGCAGAGTTTCATCTAAGCTATTAAAACATGAATATAATGTGGATATACAATATGAATATGAATGTGATAATGGGGAAAGGATATATTAATGCTAGTGTGTTCTCCCCAAAAAATCTCCTACTGCATCAGGCCTCACTTTCTCAGACACACACATGCAAGCACACCCGGGCATCCACACTCAGAGCAAATGAGGTTACACTTTTCCTTGCTTAGCCTTTATGCTCCTATCCTGAGCTCTAAGGCTTTTGCTTCTGTTTCTCAGACTTCTGTTCCTTATACAGAAATAGACAAACATACACCACACTGGAGAAGTGGGAAGAAATCTGAATGGGTATGAAGAGACTCAGACCAGATATTTCTGGAAATACAGATTGGAAATATAAGATTTGAGGCAGTTATAGTTTCTTGAGCAACTACAAGATGTGGAAAAGTTGGAAAGAAAAGAAAAACACGGTGTGTTATAGAAGTGTCACTGAACCAGGAACTCAATATTTTTTTTGAAGGGTTCATTACTGAAGACTGGATTACATTTCTATTACTTTTTTGTTTTTAAATCTTTTGTCTATTTGGGTAATCAAAAGCTTTCACACCACACCTTAAAGAGCCTGGAATGTGGGGGGATTTTACACACATATACACCATTACACACTGGGACATATATAGTTTTCAAGCAAGCAAATATAGGTTACAAAGTTACATAGTTTATAAATTAATTTGAAAATATGATTATCCTGAAAAGATATCAGCATAATTTTAACATAGATTGGATATATGTTTTCATTTATATTAAATGCCATTGTTTTCTAATTATCACATTTTCTAAATAATATTTTACTTAAATGTGTTTTTTCTTAATGATAACACAAATACATTACTTAAATTGAAGTTTTAGTTAAATGATATTTTTAAAAATCCTTAGTGACAATTATGATACTGCTTCTGAAAATAAAATGTCTACATATTAATATTAATAAATGTAATCAAATAAATAAAATATTTTAAATTTAATTTCTTTCATATAAATATAAACACTTTTTTCATTTTTACTCTAGTAGAAATGCAAAAATTATTATTGAAAGCAAAATTCTTTTAGAGGAGTTAAATCAGTGCTTCTTAGATATTTTTATTTCCAAAGGCTCCACCCTCAATCTCTGCTTAGTAAGTCCTATGCACACTCATGATACAAAAAAATTTAGATTAGACTCATCCAGACAAAAGAGATACCAGTTACATTTTCCATTCTTTCTTGCATTTCCATGTTACCAATAACAGGTGTCAGATAGATAAGATCAAAAGCAATACAGGCCTGTCATACATTTGTTTAAAATACAACCTGTGTGTCTTTTAGTGTTGTGGGAAGGAGGTACCAATTTTAGTGGATTTAACCAAACATATGTTGTGAGAGTGTATTAGTCAGTTCTCACAATGCTCTAAAGAAATACCTGAGACTGGGTAATTTATAAAGAAAGGAGATTTAATTGGCTCACAGTTATGAATGCTGTATAGGAAGCATGAGGCTGGCATCTGCTCAGCTTCTAGGGAGGCCTCAGAAAAATTACAATCACGGTGGAAAGTAAAGGGGAAACAGGCACATCTTACATGGCTGGAGCAGGAGCAAGAATGAGTGAGGGAGGTGCTACATACTTTTAAACAACCAGATCTCATGATAACTCACTCACGTACTATCATGAGAACCACATAGAAGAAATGATGCCAACCCATTTATGAGAACTCTGTCCCCCTGATTCAATGACCTCCCACTAGACCCAACCTCCAACACTGGGGATTACAATTCTACAAGAGATTTGGTGGGAATATAGATCCAGACAATATCATTCTGCCTCTGGCCCCTCCAAATTCATCTTTTCACATTGGAAAATACAATCATGCCTTCTCAACAATTCCCCAAATTCTTAATTCATTGCAGCATTAAGTCAAAACTCCAAGGTTGAAAGTATCATCTGAGAAAAGGCAAGTCCCTTCCACCTATGAGCATGTAAAATCAAAAACAAGTTAGTTACTTCCAAGATAAAATGGGGTTATAGGCATTGGGTAAATACTCCTGTTTCAAAAGGGAAAATTGGCCAAAAGAAAGAGACTACAGACCCCTCACAAGTCTGAAACTCAGCAGGGCAGTCATTAAATCTCAACGCTCCAAAATAATCTCACTCGAATCCATGTCTCCCATCCAGGGCACGTGGGTGCAAGCGATTGGCTCCGGCAGCTCCGCCCCTGTGGCTTTGCAAAGTTCAACCCCTGTAACTGCTCTTGTGGGCTTGTGTTGAGTGCTTGCAGCTTTTGCAGATTCAGGGTGCAAGCTGCTGGTAGCTCTACCATTCTGGGGTCTGGAGAATGGTGGCCCTCTTCTCAGGACTCCACTAGGCAATACCCCAGTGGGGACTCTGCGTGGGGCCTCCAACCCTAGATTTTCCCTCTGCACTGCCTTAATAGAGGTTTTCTGAGAGGGCTTCACCCCTACAGCAGGTTTCTGCCTGGGCATCCATGCCTTTCCATACATCTGAAATCTAGGTGGAGGCTCCCAAGCCACATCTCTTGCACTCTGTGCCCCGACAGGCTTAACACCATATGGAAGCTGCCGAGGCTTATGGCTTGCAGCCTCTGAAACAGTGATCCAACTGCACCTGGGCACATTTTAGGACTGGCTAGAGCTGGAGTGGCTGGGACACAGGAAACAGTGTCTGGAGGCTGCACAGAGTGGTGGGAAAACCATTCTTTCCTTCTAGACTTCTGGGTCTGTGATGGGTGAGCTGTCATGAATATCTCTGAAATGCCTTTGAGGCATTTTCCCCATTGTCTTAGATATTAGCACTAGGCTCCTTTTTATTTATGCAGCTAGCTTGAATTCCTTCACTAAAAATAGGTGTTTCTTTCCTACCACATGCCCAGGCTACAAAGTTTCCAAACTTGAACATGCTACTTCCCTTTTATTTAGATTTAAATGATTTATTTGCTCACACATTTGAGCATAAGTTGTTAGAAGCAGCCAGGTAACAGTTTGAATGTTTTGCTGCTTACACATTTCTTCTGCCAGATACTCTAAATTGTCACTCTCAAGTTCAAATTTCCACAAATCCCTAGAGAGGAAGCACAATGCAGTACCAGAAATAAGCAGCATTGGTGCATGTTAAAACAAAGGAAACAGGGTTTCTCCTTTTTGTAGAAAGTGCTAGTTAATAAGTAAGAAAAGCAATGAAAATTTGTGGGTCCAGATATCAAAGTGCTTCTGAATAGTTGAATTCATACTGCAGAAAATTACAGTTGGTTGAATGCATTTCTCAAAATTATTTGAAGAATGAAACATGTTCCCTTATAATGTTAATTAAAATGCAACAGGTGTGTGTGTGTGTATCCATTCATCATTATGTTACATATGCAAAGAAAAAGACAGTATGTACTGTAATATCTAGGGCTATATTAAACTTTTTGTGTCTGTATTTTCTAAAAGAGAATGATTTAATTATCAGAATTATGTTTTAAATAGATGCAAGTTTAAATTTTATTTGTAATACATTCTGAGAGTTGGTAAGTGTTTTTATTCTAAAATATTCACATTGTTCCCAGTAGAATCGATATAGAATTTATGAGAGCTTAAATTAATTACTATATGCAAATGTTTGCAATAAGCCTACTTGCATAATACTTTCTCTATTTTTCACCATGCCTTCAACCCTACTGTATGTATTACATAGCAAAAGATGGAAAAATGAGTGTTTCACCTTGTTTGAAAAGTTTCACAAAATTAAATTTGGAAGAAAGTCTTTGTATATTTTTTAAGTATCTTCAGATCTTCCTTCTATAATAAAAATTATAAAGATTAGTTTAACTTTGTACATTATGTCTCTTTTCACAAAAAGTGTTTTCAGTCTTAAAAGGAACAAAATGATAACTAAGTATTTCCAGAAATAAAATAGTTCAAGAAGTTCAAACATGTGGACTTTGAATGTTTTTCATATGCATATTATTTTTCTAAATTTACTTAAATTAATCAGAATTGTGCTACTGGAATAACCTTCAAAATTTATAAGGTAATTTGTTTCAAATTGAGTGGCCCACTGAAATTTCAGGTTTTAACAATCCAAATTGAGAAGAGAATTTTAAAGTATAAGAGGAATCACTTAATACTGAGTACATAAATGATGGAACACATTTAAATGTGTGTTTTTTTTAAATCATGTTATTGCTTAGTGTTCTTAAATCTTGTTATGGAGGTTGCAACCTATTGATTGTGTCTTACGAGATTTTATTAGGATATATGAAGAACCATCATATAACTTCTATGAATCACTCTATATTTCTTGAACTAAAGCTAATGATTTTCAAGCACAGAATGAGAACCAATCAACTCATAGCAAAATACTGATTACATAATGGATACATTATTTTCTTATATCAATGTGATGACAGCTTGATTTCTAGCTTGTTTTTGATAAACTACAGTGAGTAGAATTCTAACTATAAAAATATGTTCCTATGACATATTTTCTAAACAAAAACAAGGTAAATGACAATAACAAATTTCATTTGTTTTAATTTTAAGTATTATAAGTCATTAAAAGGTAAGATGCTATAGATCAGTATTTTAAGAATGCAGTAATTAACTTGAATAGTCATAACTTTCTGAAACACAAAAAGAGATAAACATGGGTTAGGGGCTTGTTTGTCCTTGTAGTTAATCTGCATTGTATTACTTTATTTCATTTTTCCAGTTGAAATAGAAATCTCTTAAGGAAGATGATGCTTTAGCAAAGGAATTTTATGGGTTATTTTTTCCCCTTTTGAAGTTTTCAGTGGACGTAGCTTTTTGAGATAATTATTTTCCCTGGTAGCGGATTCCCAAGATAAGGAACTGACTTTTCCTATTACAAGTACTAATTTCCTAAGTGGTTTTAGTGGTTTGAACATTTGTCCAGGACTAACAAGAAAGAAACCACCAGCATGTATCATATAGACCACCAAAGAGCCATCAGACTCAAGTGGCTTTCAGTCACCATCAACCTCAGGTCTCTGAAAAATACAGTTTCACAATTTTTGCTTGTAAGTCTTTCTATCTTTCTGCCTGATATTACGTCCCCATATTTTAAGGTCTACATATAAAGATCTTACAATAAAATATCAAAATAGTGAACCAAATATTTTAAGATTGAATAGTATCATCAGAGCTCTGTTCCACGACCTGCCTATTATCTGGCAAGTCTGAGTTTCTTGCTCCCATTTTGCAGGTGAATCAGCAGAAGATAATTCACTTTTCTGCATTGAATTGTAAGTAGCAACTTTAGTAAGAATTACTTTCCTTAAAAACAATTATGGAAGGCAATGAAATATAATGTTTATATGTGTGAACTAAAGGAGCCAAACTGCCTAGGTTCAAATCCTTGTTCCACTTGCCAGATGTTTAACTCTTGGTAAATAATTTGGTCTTTATGAGAGTGTATTTCCTTAACTTTCCTTCCAGGTAACTTTTCTTCTCCATATAATGGGCATAATAAATGTTCCTGTTTCCTTCTCTATAAAAATGAGAATAAAAATAATATCTAATTCACAGGATTGTTGCTAGGAATATGACATATAAAGAAATGATGACTGGTAGGCAGCATATGAGAACTAATTCTTGCTATGGTAAAGAATACGGATGAACTATATTGCTCAGTTTCCCTTGCCAGACATTTCCTCTTTCATTGCTCCTCTTCTTTAAGTGTTCAAAGTAGGTAACATTTGGAGGGTCTGTCAAAACCACACCTCTGCCTTAAAACTACTCCTCACCAGCACTTCCCAATATAGGGACTCTATTGAAGAAAATACTCCTCACCAGCATTTCCTGCTAATGAACTCTATTGGCACCACCTACAACATGATCACAGCTGATTATCTAGGAGGGGAAAG
This sequence comes from Homo sapiens, assembly GCF_000001405.40. Lineage (NCBI taxonomy): Eukaryota > Metazoa > Chordata > Mammalia > Primates > Hominidae > Homo > Homo sapiens. Next base: position 10,627,158 of record NC_000009.12, read on the forward strand.
CTGATCTACGGGAAAACAGAACGTCTTATTTGCTACATTTTGTGTTCTGAGGATTTGATTAAAGAGATCCAAAAAACATAGTCTAAAGGGCATGTGTTGTGGAACTCGGAAGTTTTGTGGATTTGGAGCAGGCAAACCTATTCAGCCATGTATTCACAGAAAAAAATTAACTGAAACAGGGAAGAAGAAGAAAGCACCTGGGAGATGGGGAGAGAAGAGAGTCCATGCAGTTATTGAGAGTGATGTCTCAGCCCCTGACTCTCTTTCTTTACCTCATTTAACCTTGTAAAAAGGCTGGCAAAAATCTGTCTTCTCAACGTGAATTTAAAGAAAGCTGTGCTCACCTAATAAATTTGAACTTGGATGAGTGATTTCTGTATCTTCCAACTAAATGATCTCTACCTCAAACAGGTGTTTTTACATTGCAGAACCGTAAGCATATCATTCTGTGAAAAATGCATTATGGGACAAGTACAAGCAAACTGTGGAGGATGAGAGGAGTGAGTTGATTCCAGGCCATGCCACGCATTTCTGTGCTGAAAATGAACTTTTGAAGAACTTGTTTCTCTCATATTCACAATAGATATTTGGAAAGAAGCCAATAAACAGCGATTGTGAAGCAGAAAGAAAAAAAGTTTGCAGAAAATCTATACAAGTGTTTAGAAGGGACAATTTAAAACAGGTAGGCTTCTACAACAGCATGTTTAAGTAGTTGACAAGGTCGTTTCAGTTTACTCAGAGACTTGGAAGAGAAGGAGCCAAGGAAGAAGACAAAATGATAAGGATGACGATGATACCTGTATTTTAGTGAAAGCAGTAACATCATAGGAAGCCTGCAAAGCAAAATATAAAAAACTCAAAGGATTATTTGTAATAGATTTGAGGCAGAATACTAATTCTGCCTTAGACAAATGAATTTATCTCCCAACTTTCAGCCTTTTCACCCTAATAACAATGTTTATCATGTAGGATTGTTATGAAGATTAAAAATAAGGACTTTGTCCTCAAGAAGACCTGGGTTCCCATCCTGATTCATAATAAAGGCTCAACATTATTTTTTTCTTATAATGATTTTTATAATTGCTTCCAAATCACTGGGGTTTTTAATGAAAAGAGAAATGGATATCTAGCTTCAATCAACAAGCTTCAAAAAACAAACATAGGGATTTTAGCCCAGAGTTTTACTACAATTATTCCTTATTTATTATTAAATTGTTTGAAATTATTATTCATTATTAAACTGTTTATAGTTTATCCACATAGTGGCTTGCATTTCTGAATAACACATCAGATATCGAGAGACATCAGACCTCTGTAATCTTTATTTGCTCACTTTTGTAATGGCCTATCTCTCAATCCTACATTGCATTTAAAACATAACTCCTTTTTTGCTCATAATATGAACACTTGCGGTATTTATTCCTTCAATTATAATAGGGACTCGTAATTTCTCAAATGAAATCTTAAATCCTTAGTGAATTCTTAAGTTAATTTATAAGGAATTTTATAACTTTCATGCTCTATAATGACTAGCATCTTGTGTGAGTCACTTAACCTCTCTAATATCAGTTTCTTCACCTGTAAGGTACGGTTAATAAAAACTAACCCTTATTATGTCACCAAGTTTTTGTGACAACTATATCTCACTGGTAGAATCCTGGGAAATGTCTACAAACTCTACAAGGCCAGCTACCATCACAAAACAAACAACCACAGCTCAAAGTGGTAAGTTTTATCAAAAAGTCTATATATAATCAATCCTGTTTTTATATTTTATATATTTTTCACCATTTCTCTAAATTCAGCCCTCTCTATTCACCATAAACCCATGTCCCAAAAGAGGAAGTAGAGAAGAGCATCACTGTGCACATTAAGGAAAGTTAAATCACAAATGAAAACTTCACCACCAATGTGAGAGAATCTGCCTTTTCAGTGACTCATGACCAGTCAATTATATTTGGAGTCCTTCTTTGAGAATAAGATACTACATTTTCCTTGGCACTGACAGTAGGGTTGCAGTATATGCTTCTAATTGCCTACCCAATATTCATCCTCATATTCTTTCATATTAATCTGAGGGTATTGGGGGTGGGGAAATAAGCCTAGATAAAATTGGTCATCTTCCAAACACCCTTATTGATTGTTGCCCACGGCAAACAACTCTGGCCAATTAAATGCAAGAGTCACCTAGTGGGGCTTTCTGGAAATTTTTGACCAAAGAACATATTCAGTTTTTATGCTCTCTTTGGCCTTTTCAACTTCTGGCTTCTAGTCAGGAACCCTGACACTATGCCTATGAGATTGAAAGGATGATAGGTAAAAGATAAATGACATCCAGGTGCCTGCTATCATCACTGAGGCAACCCTAGACTGCCAGACTCCTAACTTCTTGTTCCATGTAGAAACTAAGTCTTTATCATTGTAGGGCACAGTTGGTTGAACTTTCTTTCTTATGCCCATAGCCAAAAGTGTTCATCACTTTAACTGAAATCATTTTCAAAATTCTAATATCAAGATATAAGTGATTGTTATTAAATTTATTTTATAATATGAATATGAAAAAGATGAAGAAAATGCAAAATATTTTAAGATGAATGGAATTTAAAATGTTAATTTGCAGATATATTAAACATGCATGCAAAGGAACAAGAGAAAATAGAGAACATAGTAGAATCAGTGAGTCAGGTTTAAAATGAATATAGTTGATCAGGCTTCAGTTTGAACCCTCCTTTAAAGCCTCCTCAATAGAAGGCACCAGTAAAAGTAGAAACCCTTCCTTTGTTAAGGCAATGTGCACATTTTCATTATTCATTTTATTATGTTATACACACACACACACACACATATATATACATACACATATATATTTCTTATAAATCTATGAATTACATTAAAAATCTAAGAAAGCAAAGGGAAAAATAAAGATTGCATAAGATTGTGAGGAAGAAGTATTTCGGTTACCAATTTGATTTCACAAATGATCTGCTTACTCCATTAATTTAAGGTCACTTGTTAGATTTATGTCAGAGCAACTTCATGAATCTACATTAAACAATAGGAAGACAAAGGCACTTACAGCAATTACACTTTCGAAAGAAGATCAACTGATTTGTGTTCATTCTAAATAATATGGAAGCAATTATTATTCAGTTGCTAAACTGTATATCTTGAATCATCACTTCATAGTATTTTGAAGTTAAAAAGGAACTTTAAGAATGTACAGTTCAACTCCTTTTTCTCCATTATGCAAAAACTGAGTACTGCAACAGTATTGGAATTACCCAAAGACCTTCTTTCAATTCAATTATTTCAGGAAAAAAATGTCAACTTCAGGTCAACTTTTATTTCCTGTTGCTAATAGTACTTGAATTGTCTTCTCCCAACTTACAACTAAAAGTAACTATAGGCCCAGCGCAGTGGCTCACACCTGTAATCCCAGCACTTTGGGAGGCCGAGGTGGGTGGATCACCTGAGGTCAAGAGTTCAAGAACAGCCTGGCCAACATGGTGAAACCCCGTCTCTACTAATAATACAAGAATTAGCTGGGCATGGCGGCACATGTCTGTAATCCCAGCTACTTGGGAGGCTGAGGCAGGAGAATCTCTTGAGCCTGGAAGGTGGAGGTTGCAGTGAGCCAAGATGGCACCACTGCACTCCAGCCTGGGCAGCAGAGTAAGACTCTGTCTCCAGACAAAAAACAAACAAACAAACAAAAAACTATAAAAATGGTAACTGTGAATAACACTAGTAGAGTTTTAATATTGAAATCTAAGAATATAAAGGCATGTAGGCACATAAGTAACTAGAATCCTTCATTCACTTGGGCATTCAAAGGAGCAAATTATCTTGAACTAAGGCATAGTTAATAAAAATTCATTCTTGTTTCCTTTCAGAAGCTAATTTTTCAAATAACAATGAGCATTAAAGACACTTTCTTTTTGCATATTAAAGGAGATTATTTAAATGCTTTATATTCATCTGTCAAATTATGATAAAAGAGATATTTTACATTGCATGTTCCCTTGGCATCCTTTGGTTCCATGAGATCAATGGAAGTTATATATATCTTACTAGTAAGAATTTACCTTTATTTTTTCTTGGATTTTCTGAAACTCAAAGGACACTGCAGCTCCTGGACAAAGTTTCTTTTCATTAACATTGAAAACTAAAGATAAAAGGAAACAACAGACAGTTTGGTTGACAATTTAACTAATAACTTATGGTAACAGCATGCAAAAGGTTTTTAACTCACCTGAATGGTTTTTGTTTGCTTCTTTGTTTTGGTCTATAGATTGAACGTTGGTAAAAGAGCAAGCAACCCTACAGCTCCCAATCTATTTTCTGAAGGGTTAAGAGTTGTGCTACTCTCAACACTTTCTCCTTCTTTCCCCCTCTGTATATGCCTATCTGCTTCTTTCCTTCCCCTCTGAGAGACTAATTTCTAACACAAAACACAGCTAAAGAAATGTGATTATATGGCTGAAAAAAACAATCAGCTCAAGACAAGCATCATAGTCAAGGGTAACCATAAGAATAGCAGTGCAATATTGGAGAGAGATGAGAGATGTCAAGAATGTTAGTTTCTTTCTTATATTGGGCAATAATATTATTTAGCAGAGAAAAAAAAACTAGACAATCAGAGTAATCACTATGACTGTGATTCATATTCCGAATTCCATAATACGTTTCAAGGATCTGAAGAACTCCTTGTAATTATATGTAAGTTTCTCTATTTACACACATCTATGCAGTATATGACCATTTGATTGCAAACAACAGAAATACAACTCAAAATTGTTTAGAGAAAAGAGGTAGATTTGTTGACTCATAAACAAAGCAGATGAAAGAACACAGGAGAAATTTCAGCTGAAACAAACCAGGAACTTCGGTATCATTAAAATCTCTGTCCCTTGTCCTTTTCTCACAAAAAAAAAAAAAAAAAAAAAAAAAAAAACCATACTGGTTTCATTATATCCCACTCAAACCAGGGTATCTATGACACATTGGAACATGGCTGGATTCAGGTTTGATTCATACAGTGAAGGCTTGGCAACTAGAAAAGAGATTCTGCCACAATTTCCAATTACAAAATTCCTGTGAAAGTATGCTTGTTGGTTAAGTTTGGGTCATAAATGGTTCATGTTTTAATTATGGTGTCCAAATAAATGTAATATTATTATTTTCCCAGTTCAAATTATATACACAACAAAATTGATCATAATGGAAGAAGCTATGATTAGCTTAATACATTTAAAGCAAATGACTTGAAGAAGAACTTCTCAAATTAAGAGAGGGACTATTTGGTTTCTACACTAATCATTTTTTTTTGTAAAACTGGTTAGCCTAGCACAAGCACACAGACACAACATATGCCAAAGATAGTGTGGTGATATTGCTAAAACTTTTGATTACAGAATTTATATTCATCTTTTAACTTTTGACTACCTCACTAATTTCTTATTTAGACTGCGGTTTTTTATACTTATATTGATCCAGATATATACAATGCCTAAAAATTTTAAGCCCAGGGGATAAAATATAAAACAAGAACCAAATATAGATTCCCTTCAAAAGAATGAATAAAATGCTGGATAAATTATATCTGGGCCATCGTTAACCTATTTTTAAATGAAATTTTCAGTTTCAGAACCCATTTTTAGTTTTGGCATGTTCCTTATGTGAACATGTATTATATTTCATGTAGTCCTATGTTATCTGTAATTTTTCTAATCTTATCCTTTTTCTTAATTTCATCAAATTATAAAAATGTGTTATTTTAATGAAAACAAACAACTCCAAATACAGAAATTTACTGAGTAAAATAATTAAAGTCTTAGCCTCTATTACCTGCTCATCCCCCAGAATGAGTCACTGTTAAAAGTTTATAGAATAGCTGTTTAGATATTTTTCTTTACATATGCACATATAATCAAACACTCTTAAATTTTTGATTATACTAAAATATCATATTAGTATTTATCTGGTACTAGCTTTATTCAGGCAATAAAAATCAAGGATTTCCTCTTTTTAAGTACTATATGCTAATTAGCTCAGATTTTTAAAATTGTACAATATTCCATCATGTTAATGAATGCTACCAAATATTGGGCATATAATATATGCTGGTTAATATTCTGAACACTTTAAATATAATACATAAATCCTAACAAAAAATCCATGATGTGAGAATTAATATTGTAGCTCTTTTATTGATGGGGAAAATGTGGCAAACTGAGCTTATTTTCCCAATACTTTACCTAGCCATTCTTTTAGTGCTGGATTTTCAGGAAATCTTAAATATTCTTACTATTATAAATGCTACACTGGAAAACTTTCGCTGTAAAAAGAATTGTAAGATTAATTTTTAGAATTGCCCTTCAAAATTGCTTACTGTCCACAAATGACACTGACTAATTTAAATCTTTTAATGTTTTTGTTAGTCTGAGAGGTAAACATTTGTACTTAACTGACTCTTGAATTTATCGTTCTTGGATGAAAAAAGTATATTTTCATGGATTTTTAAATGACATAAACATGTGTTTTACATATAGATTTGCTTATATTCTTACCCATTGCAACTGGGTTATCTTTTTCTTAATGATCTATAGTTCTCTCTCTCTCTCTTTTTTTTTATTTTTTATTTATTTTTTGAGGGGGCATGAAAATGAAAACATGTCACTCAGATATTCTCTGTGGGGCGCCATAGTGACTACTCTTGGTCACCCCGCATTGCTTCTGTGGATCTACTGTCACATTTTCTCCCATAGAATGCTTTTCAAGAGCTACTCCTAGCCAATGGCTGAGCAGCAGGAAATACAAAGGCAGGCTCATTCCAGTGAGAATTGCCAGTTCTTTAGGTGTGACTTTGGCTGGAAGGCTTCCCAGCAGGCTGGCAGAAATTATCCTGTAACTATTTACTTGAGAGTATTAGACTCTTCCTACCTAAGCCTCTTATATTCTCTCTTCACATTGTCTCCAGCATGGGGTCTAAATACCCCACCATCAACTGTGACTCGGTGTTTGCTTTTAGATTAATATAAACTAATGCACTATCCAGTTTTATTTATGAGAGTCTTTTACTATATAGAAGTTTCTTACTTTTGTTTCGGTTTTGATTTTTGTCAAAATTATCTTTGCCACTAAGGTTCTACCTTTCATCGATGCCTTAGAAAGATTTTCTGGGCCGGGCGCGGTGGCTCACGCCTGTAATCCCAGCGCTTTGGGAGGCGGAGGTGGGCGGATCACGAGGTCAAGAGATCGAGACCATCCTGGCTAACACGGTGAAACCCCGTCTCTACTAAAAATACAAAAAAATTAGCCGGCCGTGGTGGCGGGCACCTGTAGTCCCAACTACTTAGGAGGCTGAGGCAGGAGAATGATGAACTCAGGAGGAAGAGCTTGCAGTGAGCCAAGATGGCATCACTGCACTCCAGCCTGGGCAACAGAGCGAGACTCCATCTCAAAAAACAAAAACAAAAAGAAAGAAAGAAAGAAAGAAAGATTTTCTAACACATATTTGGGGAAAAAAATTGTTTTATTTTTTGTTCCAGTACTTCTATGGTTTTAAAATTTTCTTTAGTCCACATACCCAGTTTAAGTTGTTTAATGGTGTAAGATAAAATTCTAATTTTAAACTATTTTCCAGATACATAGTTTCCCCAATATCATTTGTGGAAATAACCAATCTGTTCCCTACCACAGTTAATCACTAAATTCCTATAGAAATATGTATTTATTTCTTGGTGCTTTCATAAGTTCTGATTTATTTGTAAATATTTACTGTAATTTTGAAATAACGTGTGGAAATTTGGTGTAGTGTATTTCCACCATTTTGCTTTTTCAAATTCTACTTTGCTCTTTTTTTTTTTTTTGGCTATTCTTCTATTCTTCTATATTTATTTCTTTCAACTGAATATCAGAATCAATTTACATTAACAAACAATTTGGACACATTCTTGAAATTATACTTCCTATCAATTCACTGAAGGTACAGAAGACTTAAATATTTAAAATATTAATTCTTCCCTTTCAGAGACATGGTAGATTTCATAATACATTCAGGTATTCTTCTTTCCCTTTTGTAAAGTTTCATAGTTTTTGGCATATAGTGCTTGTTGTTGCTTGTTAAATTGAATCCTAGGTGTTTTATAGATTTTGCTCTAATGCTTAATTTACTTTTAAAAGTCTTTTATTGATGCTGTTGTTACAAGCCATTGAATTGCAAAGAGTTTTATGTATTTTCTGAACATAATATTTCTATTCATAACCATAAAACCACTATTTTTTCAAGATATGAAAAAGAAAATTAACTAGAATTATTTGAAATTAACCTTGGCTGCTTGGCAACTTGGATATTTTTCCTATCTCATTTATAACTGAGCCATCAAAATCAACAGTTCCTATTTATTTGCTCCATATTTGGATTATCCTTGAAGAATCGTGAAAACTAAAATTTTTCAAGGACTAAGACTAATTTTACATCTTTTCATATCTTAGCTTTACCTTTCATTTAATTTGCATATTTCTAAAACATAGAAACAGTTATTTGGTACCTTGTTGAAAATATAATTATTGGAGGCAAGCCAGAGCAAGGCAAAATGCATAATTTACATCATCTTATCAGCTCTTAAGTAGGACACATGTAATAGGACCCCAGATTACGTTCCATGCAACTGAACATATTGTTGTGCAACATTTTAAGCAAGCTCTCCAAATTCTAATCCTAGTGCACTAGTTGTTTCATTATTAAGTGAAATATATCAGTAACATCTTTAACACTTTGATTTGGGGATTTGAACTTAGAAGAGTGAAGCATCATGATTGCTCTGACACACAATTCCTGTCATTTAATAAAGACACTCATTATCTTTTGTTGAAAGCAAAACAAAAGAAAAGATTGCCTGGCTACCCAGAAGTGGAGACTATTTATGAATGAATGGTTCATAGAAGTTTAATTAATATTGTCATGTTACATTTAAAATTTTTATTCAGTACATGTCAAAAACGAATTTTGGGAAATAAGGCAGAATAGCTAGTGAACATCTTAAAACATTTTACTTATCAGAGGGCACACTATATAAAGGTGCTGAAATAAAGTGGCTACAGGTATGTGCTTAAAGAACAAAAACTAGAATTTGTCTAATACTTTACAGTTTTTGAAGCATATGTATTGAGTTTCATATTCAGCCGCTCAGTATTTGGATCTGGCTCAGCCTAGGTCCCTTGGAAACTCTGTGGCACTAATTTGTTCAATGAACATTGTGTTTGCCCTTGCCTACACCCAAGCAGATCTTAGGGTAGATTTTATAGTTATAAAGAAATGACTGCTTTAAAAAGGGCCTGAGAGGTTTCCTACTTTTCCTTGTTTTTCATTGACCTTATTCCATTTTTTCATTGATTTCCTGTTTCCTGTTCATGGTTATAAGAAAGAGCATATTTCTTCCAACTTCCTCCTCTTGGAATAGAAGAAAATAAGACAATTAAAAACATTGGAAGATTTACTTAATTATATATACTCTTCCAAGTGACATATATATGTATGTGTGTATGTGTGTGTGTGTGTGTGTGTATACACACATAAGATATATATCCTTCCATTAAATCCTTGTGACTATTTTTATTATCACCATTATTCTAATGAGAAAACTGTGGCTTAGTGAGTTTAAATAACTTAACCCAAATTCATATAATAGTAAATCCTGGAGCCAGAGCTCTGACTACAGTATTTATTCTTTGGAGAAAAGTCAGGTGAAAATGGTACCAAATATTTGCCCGGGAGTGCTCTAAACCTTTAACAACTGCGAACTACTTCTGAGCCACTTATACATTCATTCATTAACATTTATTTTGTGCATATAATATGTGCTAGGCCTTGTTCTAAGCACTGGGGACATAGCAGTGCTGACAGTGCTTACCTTAAGGGTAGAGAAAAAGACTATTTACATAATGCATTTATATAAATAAGAAATATCAGTGCTTGGAAGAAAAACAATTTTTAGAAACCCAAGGTCATTTGATAAAAAGCGACTGGTCTGGGTTGGGGTGGGGAAGCTGTAGACTCAACGATCCGAAAAGAACAATCTCAGTGTGTTTCACTAACAGTAGGAAGGTTTCTGTGAGTGAAGTTAAGCAAACAAGTGGAAAGAAGAGAAGAAAGGGGTAGGCAGGAGAGAGAACTTCTAGGGCCAAAGACAAGAATAAGGTGTTTGGATTTTACTCTAAGTGTGATAGTAAGAAAATTTATTACATCATGTAAATATGCTTTCCTATGAAAAATATTTTTTTCTCCTCAAGTATTCTAATACTTTTTCCAAGGTCAACTGCAGGACAAAATAAAATATACCATTTTAAAATAATGTATTTAAAGTATTAAGTTTATGAAGTTTTCCCTAGAACACAGGGGGAAAGGCTACCATTTAAAGCAAGATAACTCTGATCCTAACTCAGATTTAAAAGAAAAAAATATGTAGCACTGCCTTCTGGTTGACTACAGTCTGGCTAGTAGACATAAAAATATGAATTTCATAGTAACTAGTCTTTTGGCTTACAGATTTGCTCTTATGATCTATTTTAACAGATAAATCAGCATATTTTATTTACCCTATGAATTACACTTATTTCCTCCCTGTGATAGCCAGAATAATGCCACCCCATAGATGTCACACACTAATCTACAAAAACCTGCAGATACATGAGGTTACATAAAAAGGAAAATTAAGGTTTCAGATAGCATTAAGGTTGTTAATCATCTGACCTAATAATATTCATATTATTTTTGATGATCCAGTGGGCCATATGGAATTGCAAAGGTCCTTATGTGTGGAAGAAGAAATTAGAAAAAGAATGATAGAGATGCTGTGTAAGAAAAATGAGGCCCGACATTGCTGGCTTTTATGATGGAGTAAGGAGACCATTACCCAGGAAAGAGGGTGGAAAAGTGGCCTCTAGAAAGTGGAAGAGGAAAAGAAACAGATTTTACCCTAGAGATTCCAGAAAAGAGCATAGGCTTGCAAACACCTTGGTTTTAGTCCAATGATGCTCTTCTGTTTTACACAAAGCATAAGATAATAAATTTGTCTTGTTTAAGCCAGTAAAGTTGTAGTAACTTGTCACAGCAGAAAAATGCATAAAAATATTATACCCTCTCATCTAGAATGTAATCACTAATATGGCTTGAATTTTTGTTTCTTGAATTACTGAACTATGCTTAATACCTAGAACAGTGTTAGGTATTTCCTATAAAGATTTGCCAAACGGATGACTGAATGAATTATACCAACATTCTGCTCAAGACCACTCAATGGCATTTTATTTCATTGATTGTAAAAGAAAAAATCCTACAGTTCTACCAAATCTTCACTGCACTCTCTAGTATACTACTTTATTAGTTTTATCTTCTTGTAGATTTCTTTCTGAACACTATACCTCAGCAGTAATGAACTCCTTTTAATTTCTCTGGATATTGAGTATGCTCCCATCTCTGAGATGTTGTTCATTCTATTTCCTCTGCCTGGGATACTTATTCGCACATATCCCCCTGTCTTTCTGTATCACGTCCTTCAGGCCTTGCACAGCATCCATTTAGCAGTGAAGTCTTCTCTGACCAAACTATTTAGATTGTGGCCCCTTGGCACATCCTTTTCCTCTGCTTTATTATTCTCCATTGCCTTATTGCTGTCTGCATATATTCTTATTAATTATTTGCTTATGTCTATTCCTCATTAGAACATGAACTCCAATAAGGCAATTTTTTTTTCTGTTTCCTTCTCTGATATGCTTGGCATATAGCAGATTTTCAACAGGTATTAATTGAACAGATCTTACTGTGCCAACATGGGTCTGTCTTTAAATGCCACATACATGGCTAAAGCACCTCAAAAGATCACTCCTGGAGAGACTGTAATTTATTCAAGAAAACAAAGATTGACAGGGTGTAGGTTAGAGTCTGAAATCTGCAGCACTGCTCAGCAACGGTCAATTGAAAGGGAGCCAAAATGTCTGCAGAAATACATTAATAAAGACTTTAAATGTTAATATTGTTTTCTGAGTAAGAGCATAAACAAAGATTAAGACTTTAAAGTAATTTTAGTGAAACAAGAACCAAGCAATTCAGTAAAGATTACATGAGGCAAGAGAATCAAGAGGCACAATAGTGAACCAGAAAAAGCAAGGCCGTGTGCTTAGCCACCTAAGTTACATGTTACCTGGGTTCTCTGATAGGAAAGGAATAGATAGTGATAGAAGAAGCCATTGCACATCTATTTTGGTTTATATAGCACAAGGCTGAAGTGTACATTGTTGTTCCCATTTCCGAGAACATAATAAGCAGCTTTCATCAAATTGTATTGGTATCGTCACAAAATCCCAAGCCCCTTTGAATGAGACATTGAGATTATCTGGAAAAATGCACAATATTACTGATGAGGCAAGATCCTACTGCTCAAATTTCACTGACTTAAATAGGACATCATCTTGTCAGAATTCAGCCCCTGCGAGTCCAGGTAAGCCCTACAACACACTAACCATACTCTCTGTCAGTACTATTATCTGTAACATTATTACAATGTACAGCAACCAGTCTTCCACTTGTTCTATAGGGGAGGCAAAACTTTACTTCTACTCTTGTAGGGTCCTGACTGGGCCTGAGAATTAAATTGACATAAGCTAGAGCAACATGAGAAAAGCATACAATTTAATATGAGCATTATGTGATAAAACGTATTAGTCTGTTCTTGCATTGTTATAAAGAACCACCTGACACTACGTAATTTATAAAAAGAAAAAAAAAGAGGTTTAATTGGCTCACAGTTCTGCATGCTGTACAGGAAGCATGCCTGAGGAAGCCTCAGAAAACTTACAGTCATGGTGGAAGGTACAGAGGAAGGAGGCACATTTTACATGGCCCGAGCAGAAGGAAGAGAGAGAGAAGGGGAAAGTGCTACACACTTTTATAGACAACCAGATCTTGTGAGAACTCATTCAATATTACAAGAATAGCAAGGGGGATTTCTATGATCCAATCACCTCTCACCAGGCCCCTCTTCCAACACTGGGGATTACAATCTGATATGAGATTTAGGTGGGGACACAGTCCCAAGCCATATCACATGGAAAGACTCATAAGGAAATAAAGATTCAAAGAAGTGGCAAAACCTAAAGGTTTTATATTAGTTTGGACAAAGAGAGACAATTGTTTAAAAGTAATTGTATTATCTGGGGACACTAAAGGAAGAAAAAAATTACTTTAACACTATCTTTACAGATTCTCTCATAGATGACTCCCCAGGAAAGAATGTTTCTTTTCTTCTGGTACAGGGAGAGCATCTTTCACTTGAGAGTTTTTATCTCCAGGTTTCAGGAAGAAAGGAGGGATTAGAATGCCCTTTTTGCATTTGATCTTTTTCAGGTGCCTTTAGGTCAAAGTAATCCTTATATCAAATTTGCGTATTTTGAGGAACATATTCTGCTACCCTTCAGTTTCAAATGCAGAGCATGGCTGTGCCAACAAGGGAATCCCTGAAGTTTCTTTTGCCACCTAAAAAGAAAGAGAACATACTCAAACTGCTTTCCATGTTTCCTGCCACAAACAGAGCTTTGGATACTGAGATTTAATGGGCTGTGAGGAGGGGGGTGTGTGTGCCTTCTTGAAGAGGCTGAAGTTTAGATTAACCATTAACATAGTAAGCAGATGTTCATTGACAGGAGAGATGAGTGGGAGCTGTTTATTATTATTATTATTATTATTATTATTATTATACTTTGAGTTCTAGGGTACATGTGCACAACATGCAGGTTTGTTGCATATGTATACATGTGCCATGTTGGTGTGCTGCACCCATTAACTCATCATTCACATTAGATATATCTCCTAATGCTATCCCTCCCCCCTCCCCCGACCCCACGCTGATCCTTCTCAGATGGTGTTCTCAGCTCACTAGTACGTTTTTATCGAATACCAATAAATTAACCTTCTTGTTTCGGTTGTTCTAAAGTATGTCCACACAGTTCTCCCTATTTATGCCTTTATTTTCATCCTTCGCTGGAGTTGGGCTGACATAATCCCGTTAAATCAAGATATCAGAACAGATGGATTCTATCTGTGTTAGACTGGTTTTCCTTCTTCTTCTTTGCATTTGTCATGTCCAATTATTTTTGTACCCACCTAACAGCAATATTATAACAACTAGCATTTATATCACTATATACAATGGGCACAATAGCATTTCATAAGCTGCTTTTGGTTTAAAATTTGCAATAACTTTGTGAGGTAGGTCACTAGCCGCATTTTGCAGATAATTAAAATAAGAGGTAGGTAATTTTCTTAAATTATAAATTTCAAATGGCAAGAAAAACATTTAAACTTGTATTTTAGGACCCCAAATCAATGATTTTATATTAATTGAAAATATACCTTTTTGATTTGTTAAATGTCTGTAGAACAGAAGCAAAAAAACTATATTTTTTACGTTGCATTTACTTCTTCTCTAGTCAAAAGTAACAGAGATAAAGCTAAATAAAGATGATTATTGGTATTATGCATATTAAACTCATTTTTTAAGCCCATTAAAAGGAAGGCAAAAGGACCAGTTGTTTAGTATATTATGGTTTGTGTTTACTCTGTCAATATAATCATGAAATACAAATAAATATTTATTGAGCATGAGAAAGGAAGCATCAGTTTGCTAATCCCCTCCCCCTACAATGAAACTATTTTGAACAAAGATACTTGAAAATAAGTCACATTTTGAAAGGACACATAAAGTACACATTCCTAATCAAACAAAACTTTACACTGATTTTCTTTTTCCTTCAAAGGGACTGAAGTTGTAAGGATGTGAAAGTAGAATTAATTTTGTTTCGTCGAGTTATTGACTCCTAGGTCGATAGCGTTTTAATATCCATCATATTCAGACTATCTAAACTGGATACCTAAATTTCCTCTGGGAATTTCTTCTTTTCTTTTGTTTTCTTTTTTTAGAATTTAGTAAAGGAAATCTTTTAGATTCATTTATCTGAAACAAACACACTGTTGGACTTTAAATAACTGAAGAAGAAGCATATTTCAAACAAATCTTTCAGCAATATGATTTCCAAATCTAAAATTTGCTCTGGTTTATAGCTTAGACTTACAGTCAGCTAAGATACTCAGGTTTTTTAGCCTTAATCTAAATTTAAATAAAGGTTACATTAATTTCCATCTTGCAATTCTTCCTTTTCTTCATATTGGTCTTTTCAAAATGTCACTTAATTTTGAACCTCATTATTTTTCCACTATTTTTCCTAATAACTACAGTTTCTCATCAATAGAGGGTTTCCAGATTTTCTAAAATTTCTTCATAACACTAATGTCGAATAAACTCAGTACAAAAAATTGTTATAGTAATAGCCTTTAAAATATGGGTCTTACATGAAGAAAAATACATCTAGTGTGAATAAACTTTTAAAATTATTTTTATCCACAAAATCTGTAAGAATACCAGGTACCTATTTTGGCAAATACAAGTTTGATTCACACTTAACTCCTCCACTCTGGTTTAAATGTCACTTTTAACTTGTTCAACATTGCTCAACTAACATGAATAAAACATCTTATATTATATAATAATTCCTGTTTTGTCAGGTAACCTTAAATGTTCTCTTAAGCTTTTTACTTGCCCGATAATATCAGTTCAGAATTGATGTCAACATTGTAAATGATTATTTTAGCTATTCTTATACATAACTTTTCTATCATCTATAGTAACATAATTTAAGTGGTTACTAAAGTACATCTTTTTATTAAAGGCTTATAAAAAACACAAAGAGAGCTGTAATAATAACAATCACAATATGGCTTTAATTTTAAGAGCGATTTAATATCCATTATGTCATTTGACATTCTCAATAATCCAGTAGTTAAAGGGCCAGTTATTATCCCTCTTTTATACAGAAGAAAACCGGGACTCGTAAAGTTTAAGTGACAAGTCCAAGGTCATTTTGCTAATATGTGGAAATGCAGTCATGAAGGTCAGTGCTTTTTCTATTCCACAAAAAAGCAACACTGCTTTGATACAACTTTGAACGTTGATGAAGGAAAAAATATTTTCTTATTGCTATATATAAGAAGCAAAATGCAGCATTTTTACTGTAGCTCTGAAACAGAGTTAATTGGCTTTGTGCATTTCGATGGTGCTTATAGCGTATATCTTATTTATGAAGGAAAAAAACACATTTCGTTCCTAACAGTTCTGAAAATAAATACAAATTGTATTGAAAGCAAATACATAAAAGAAGTAATGGCATGTTAGGGGCTTTTGTTGTTGTTTTTAAATGAAATTTTATAAGATAAAAATTATCCAGATGGTTTTGTTCCATGAAAAGTATCTTGAAATGCTGTCCATTATAAATCCTTTATCCTTATTGCAGCTTTTTTTTTTAAGATACACACATATCAGAGAAGACAGCATAGACAAAGACTGATTTCTTAAAATTAAACCGATTAACAATTACTTTGTTAGGTTAATATAATGTGTTGCAATTTATTCATTAAGTGGCTTATAAAGCTCAAGTGTTCAATTTTTGGCACTCCACTTTAATATTAGCTATGCCACCTTAGTAATCATTTACCCAAAGACCATTTCCAACACACATCTGAAGAAGGTCATGATAATTCTAGTAAAACACCCACCAGCATTGCCAGGCTAACCATCCATCTGATCCTTTAGAGCCAAGTAAAAAAATATTAAATCCAAAAGTTCTGTATCAAAACATATTATTAGTCTGCCAGAATTTTGGTAACTTGAAATAAATTAGGGGAAAGAACACACATTCATACTAAACTTAAACCATTTACAACTCTTGAAATAAAAGTTTTTTTATTTTTCCCTAAACTTTCTGACAATTTAGATATTTATGCTCTCCTAAATTTCTATAAAAGTCTAAGAATATTTCCTTGATTTATATATTTCCTTTATGTAATCCTGGAAATATTAAATAATCTCTTTATACACCATAACTTACATTTTAAGCAGTCTTTTTTTTAAAATATCCTATCAATATTCAATGTGTTGAGTGATGAACATTTATACATGAGAAATTTGTAAGGTTCCAAAATTTCAATTATTTAGTTAAAACAGATCATATATTCTCATAAACTGGAAAGGTGGCATATGACCTTCTTATATATTAATCTTCTTAACTATAATGGAAGGCTCTGACATTTTAGGCTATAAAAGTGTGGCTCACTACCTCTACAGTATGGACAATCATCTTGCCTCTCTGAAAATGTTCCTTCTGATTGTGTTTAAAATAAGGTCATTTTAAGAAGCAAATGCTTTCTACTCCCTCTATTCACTTTATGGACACCCATTTATAGTAGCTATTTTAGCTATTCTTATATATAACTTTTCTGTCATCTATAGTAACATAATTTCAGTGGCTACCTAAGTACAGATTGTAGTAATATTGTATAAAAGAAATTTCCAGATATTGAAAAAGATAAAACATTATAATCCTGAGAAAAAAAATTACAAAGACAAAAAGAGGGGTAGGAAGGTTTCCATCTAGGAAAAGATGGTAAGTAATTACAAACAGTGTTATGTATTTTCAAATCTGAATTATATGTAAAAAAAATGCAGTCAGAAGAAGCAAATTTGCAGAGAATATATTTGAGTTGCAGTACTTCAAACGCAAGCATGTTTCCTATTATACGTACAATTTACATGTAAACTTTATGTGGTAAAATTTAGTTAGCATGTACGATATCTTACTATATTACACACAATAAACCAGAAAAGTAGTTGTTATTATTATCTCCATTTTGTTGGTAAGATAACTAAAACTCAGGATCAATTAATTTTCCCAAGTCAGAATTCAAAGTGAGGGGTGTTTAACTCCTAGATGAGTATTCCTCCCACTATATTGTTTGAAAGGACATTCTATAACTTGTTTGCCTGTTCATCAACAACTAACCAGAATATAGCCTACAAGATTCATTTTTATTCATATGTGCAAAATGCATTTCATGTATGTGTCATAAACTCAAATGACCTTATTTTATACCATTTCATTCTCTATTGATTGGTTTTACAGAAAATGTAAACACTTCGCAAAGATGTACGGTTATCTCTTTTGTGTAATAGTGTACTTTACGAACATAGAAGACATAAAGGCAACTCACAAAAAAAGTTATTTAAAACGTTAAAGTCAATGAATAAGACCTTTGTCCAAAAAGTTATGTGGAATACTGTGGAATACATATCTAGGAATGATCCAGTAACAACATGAAGTAAGTTAGGATAGTAACATATGGACGAGGTATACATACAAAGCCAGGTGTCCACCACAGACTCCCATGTGAATAAGGGTGACTGACACTACATAGCCTGGAAACCCCAGGGACTAAAGATGGGAAGGGATGGCAGCAACTGGGTGCCAGTTTCCTCTTTCTGTGCCAATAATTCAGAGCAGAGAGACTGATAGACCTTGTGTGTATATGTATATATGCACACACACATATCATATGTGTACACACACATATATTATATCTGTGTATGGGTGTGTGTATTTATAAAGACAAACATGCATTCAAATGTTGAAAAGATAGGTTGTATAAATAACCAATTATTTAGAAATTGGGAGTCTTTTGGCTATTTATTCATTTTGGTAAATATCCAGATCCCACTCTGTAGTAAAATGTAACAAAAATAAAAATGTCATCAGGCTCTTTAGTATTGGAAAGAACATGGCATATAAGAACAATGGAGTTGTTTGCTTAATGTATGTGCACTTTGGTTCTTTTGTACATAGAGGAGGATTTCATTATATACACTAGATCACATAATTACAAATAGAATATAGAATCAGATTATGTGGATCTAGCTCTAGCAGTGAAACTACTTGACTTTAGATCCAATTTCAATTTCCTTGTTTCTAAAATAAAAGTAATTAATATTCATTTTTCAAAGAATAATTAGAGGATTGAATTAGACAATGTACAATATATGCTCAGCAAATGTAAACCTATAGTTTGTATTCATACATAATAACAAATGTTCTTAAAATTTTTTTACTACCACTCAAAAAAAAAATCATTCTTAGGTACATTTGGGAAAACTTAAACATAAAAAATAAAAAAGAAGTTTAAAACTTTTGCTTGCACTTATTATTTTTGACTATTTCTATCATTTTTAGCAAGATTATTACGACTCACACATTTTCTAGAATGCAAATCTCAAAATCCAAACATATTTATAAATGTTATGTTTGTTTAATAAATATATATGTTTAATATTGCTGATGGGCCTTTCTGAGAGCTTATTGAACACTGTAGTTAATTTTCAAGTATAACAAGGCAAAAAGATCAAGGGTTTTCATAAGAAATTAGCTCATTTTGTCTGCAAAAAATACAAAAAAGTAGCTCCTTCAAAAATTAGAATATGATTCCAAAGAGCATCTAAATTTAGAAAGGCTTATCTTACCTGAACTTTCAAACCTGTTGAAAATTCCTCATGAGGATCTTTCATTCTCTCATTATTTCTCTATCTTTGAAATATTGATACTTGCTCTCTCAGTTTTCTTTCATTTTATTTCATCAAGGGTTGCATACTTCATTTTCCTCTTTATATGAACTTCAAATATATCTTCTATTTATCCTTCAGCAGCATGGCTCATCTTCTTAACTACAGTGACAATAAACCTGAAAAATTACTGAGGAAATACGCCTTATTTCAAAACAAAATGAGCTTTTCACCCAAAAGCCCCTGATTATATCTCTCCTTTAGATATTTTAAAAATGTGTTCTTATGTACTTCAATGTAGCATATTTGCCCTTGGAATAACTTTTTACCTTTTTTATTATATTCAGTCCATATAAAATATGGTAGTCAGAGTTGAAATTAACTAAGAAAATTTAAAACACAAGCAAGCAGAGAAAAAAATATGTTATTGCATCACTATATCAATTTATTTTACAAAAGTTCTGTCTCTCCAACTTTCGTTAAAATTATCCATTGTTGATTTGGAGGGTGGAGAACAGTGGTTGATGGAGAAAAATAACTGCCTTTTAAACACAGGCTAAAAACTGGCCTGCTGAATATCTGAATCAATTAAAAAACCTGGCTAACTGCAGAGGCTTATGCTACTGTCTTGTTGGCTGGGCAGGTGAGACCTTATACCTCATGCTTTTAGATTTGCCTGCTCAGTTGAAAATGCCTATCTTCTTCTACAGAAAAAAAAAAAAAGATTTTTTAAAAAATCATAGTTATTTATATGCCGCAAGATGAGCCCAATTAAATTAGTCATATTCTGGTTTAAAATAGCATAATAAATTCAGGGGTCTCAACCTATGTTGCTAACATTTTATGTATTTCCAGCGAGAGAGCTGAGCTAGACAATGACACTAAGTACCTGTGTAATTTTAAATAAATCACTTAACTTTTCTGAACCTTGTTACTTCAGTATTACACAGGTTCCTCTCTACCCTCAATTTAAGATTATAAAGTAGATGAAAGATTATAGAATTTACTTTTTCATCTTTTAATAAAAAGCATAAAATTTTACCTATTAAAAAGTATTAAAGGCCAGGCACAGTAGCTTACGCCTGTAATCTCAGCACTTTGGGAGGCTGAGGCAGGAGGTTCATTTGAGGTCAGGAGCTCACAACCAGCCTGAGTAACATAAGTGAGATCCCATTTTGAAAAAATTAAAAAAATAAAACATTAGCCGGCCGGTGTGGTGCACACTTGTGGTCCCAGCTACTCGAGAGGCTGAGGTGGATCACTTGAGCCCAGAGATAGACGTTGCAGTATGCTGTGATCACACCACTGCACTTCAGTCTGGCAACAAAGCAAGACTCAATCTCAATTAAAATATTTCAATAACTTGTATTTCACCAATTCAACTGTAAGTTCTGATACTACTAAACCACTCCCCCTATAGCTGCATTATGAAATGTTTGATAGGTGCTTAGGAAGTGAGAATCCTAATGACAACATCTGCAATTGTTACTTACCAAAGGGTGAGCATTATGCTAATAGTTACAGTAAATTAAAGCCAAACATTGAAAAAAAAAGATTGACTATGTAATTCATCATCCAAATCTTGATGTTTTTGAGAATAAAAGGAGCTGCATTAATGATTATACTAGTAGAACAGGCTTAAACTGAGAATGTCTTGGGCATATATATATATATGCTTAAACTGAGAATGTCTTGGGTATATATATATATACCATAAATTCATGGTATATGAATTATGAATTCATATATGTATATAAAATAAATGTCTGCATGAGCAAGGAGAAAAATGTGTAATGATATGTACCAGGGAATAAAAATCACTTTCCAGTGTTGGATGGAATTGAAAGTAGTGGTGGAAATAAAATTATAAGCTTTTTGCTATGTTGTTTCATTGGTTATAAAACATGAATTAGCTGATTTTGAAATTTGAAGTAACATTAAAAATTAAAAATAAAAGTGATACCAAAAATATCTCCCAACAGTCGGAAGATGTTTCACTTAGATGATGGCATTCAATTGAAAATGCTGAAATAACTATTTCCCAAGGGCACACAGTGAGTAACATACAAACCTGGGACCAAACTTTGTGTACCACACTGCCTTCTCGTTATGTTTCCCATAAGATTTCTTGGTTGACCATTATGGGAATTCATACTTCTTCATTATAGATAAGGCTCTGTCAATAATTGCAATTATCAGCATTTTGCCCTCAGGGACTTGAGATATTAAATAAGAAGAGCATTTGTTACATCCATGACTAGAGCCATCCTTTGTGACATTCATTTCATAAATATCTAGCAACTATTGTTCTCAGTTGGAATAACCAACAATATCCAGTATATAAAAATGAATAATAGTTTACTAGCTTTAAATTCAAAGTTTACTGAAGTTCATGAAAATATGACATTAAAGTCTATTCAAATATGTATCAAATGAGAAAATTATGCAAACTGTAATCTATTCCTAAGCTATGATTCTTATCACCCTTATTGTCAAGAGATGATTGGGACTGTATACAAATGAGAATGTGTCATAAATTATGTGGTGAGTCAGTGAGTTGTCTCCTTCCTTTATTAAGTGTTTGGACAGTACATATAAATTTGGAGAAAAAATTTAAAACAGCATTTTTCACAATACCTTCTATTGAGTCATTCAGGTATTCATCAAATATTTGTTTAGTTCCCAACATGTGCTAGGCATTTTGCTAAGCACTACGCTGAAGTAGTGAATAGAATATATACTCACTTTTCTTATAGGGCTTACAAATTATTAAAACTTTAAATATTGAACAATTATCATGCCTTATGTAAAAATGTGCAATCTGCTAAAAGAGATGTGTAACCATGAGTTATGACTTAGTGTGAGGAGTAAGGAAAAGTGCTTAAGTCTTCAAAATTTCCTGGAAGTTAACCAGTTAGGATTGTGAGTGTACTAGAAGAATAAAGAAGAGTAAAATTAAAGAGTATGCAAATGATCTGAAGTGATAATAGGCCTTTCATAAGAACTGAATAATTGTCAATGTAGGTGGCACTATTTTTTCTAGGAATTTTTGTATTGTAAATGCTTGGAGATAACAATTTGGTGACATGTCTCTTACATCTATGGATGATTCTTCATACTTTATTTGCATAAGAAGCACATTATTTTTAACTATAGTGTATGCTTTGGGTATCACTGGAGGATAAAGTTCCCCCAAATCGCCTCTTTGCATTGTTGCTCTGAATTAGTAGAAAAATGAGAAGAGAGTAGTGAGCAAATTTTGTGAACAAAATTTTAAAAGCTTATGAGTTGATGTAACATCTTTGGAGGATAACTAGTTAGGCACTAAACTACTTTCTTTTAATGTTAATTATGTTTCTGCACTGTTACACAATTGTGCTGTTTTTACAGTTAGTTGTCGCAGGAAAGCATCTTTCTTATTAACAATATGAGTATGAAATTAGGACTCTGTAAAGAGGAGAAGCAACGTGAAGCAAAGAAAGACATGTGATGTCTGGCTGTCTCCCTGTTGGTGATAGTAACATTGCTTGTTGGGTTAAAGGGTAATTGTCTTATCTTTTCCACTGGAAAATTACACTTTTCCTCTAGTATCCAGCAAGCAATCTAAGCAGTGAAACTTTGTAATTATGCAAACATACATTTCACCCAATGGTTAATCCAGAATTAAAGAAAAAAATGTGCCTTTAGATAAAAACTACAAAGGGGCCAAGCAAGATACACAAAAATATAGTAATTTCTTTGCATATATTAATAAAGTTCCAGATAATCAAATATAAAGAAAATATTTTTAAAAAGAAAAAGGAGGGAGTCATCAAGGTGGCTGGCTTAAGTTACCTGGCACTCGCCTCCTTTACAAAGAAGGACCATAATAGTGAGGAGATACTTAGATATTGAATAGAGCATCCAAAAGCCAGCACTGGAATTCAGCCTTTGAGGCATAGAAAGAGATGGAAGTGAAATGGTTGTTTCAGCCAGCATTGGCTCAGAACCAGCAGAAACTTCCCACTGTGGGTAAAAGGTAGGTGAAAGATCTGCATCAGTCCACATTCCCATTGGAGATTTCTGCTATACCCGCTATGGCGGAGCCCTTTGACCCTTGTGGGCCCTGAGACTTGTGTAAGGACCTGCATAGGGTCCATGCAGTGGCCCCATTCCAGAGAGGAAATTCATGCTGGGTTCCACATTTCCCCCGAGACCCAAGAAATCATGGGATGGTGTAATTTTGAGGTATCAGACCCCACAAGACTACATCCTGCCCCAGGCCCATGAACCCCTGCATCTCCATGTCCCTGAAACCCTGCTGACATCACCCCATGTCCACACAGAAGGCTGCAGCATCATCATGCTGGGCAGACTCAGTAATGTGGCCAAGGCCCTAGCATTCTAGCACACCCTGGAAAAAGGGTGGTGCAGCACACTGGAAAGTTTGCCCCCAGGTCAAAAAGAGCCAAAGAATGTGTTCCCCAGAGCCTGAGAGCCACCTGCCTTGGTCCAGTGCCAGTTATAGCACCCCACACCCCTAGCTGCAGGGCCACTGCACAACTGCGTGGGCATTTAAGGAGACTGAAAACCAGCCCTTCCCACCTACACTGCCACTGCCTCTATGCCATCTGGGAGCCTAGGGATTGATCTACCCTGTCTGCCACCAGCTGGTGGTCGCTGACCCTATAAGGGGATGTTAAGGACAGGATATCCCCACCCAGAACCACCCTTGCAAGTGCCCATGTGCATCATCTGGGGGCCTGGGCATGGGCTTCCCTAGCCTGCTGGCAGCAACAGATGTGATCAGAGCCTGGTGACTGATCAACACATCCGCTGCAGCCTGTACCTGCACACACCATCAGGGACCCTGGGGATGGGTCTGCTCTTCTTGGTGCCACCCCTGCCAGTGCTTATGCACATTGTCTGAGGGCTTGGGGATCAATGTTTTCCTACCTCACTGACAGCATTTGCATACTCCTCCTGTCCCCAGGCCCCTTCAGCCTGATGCCATCACTGCTGCTGGCACCAACATGCACATATCACCTGAGGGCCTGGGGACTAAATCAGCCAGTCTGCTGTGGCCACTGCCGGTGCCAGTATGTGCTGCCTGCAGGCCTGAGGGTTGACCTAACATCACAACTGCCATCACCAATGCTGTGCACACCACCCAGAGGCACATAAACCCACCTGAAAGCCTGACCCACTGCTGCCACTGTTGGCACCCAAGAAAGCTGTCTGGAGGTTCCAAGATCAACCTGTTCAGACCAGTACCACTACTTTCTGTGTATGCCACAAGGGAGCCCAAGAATCCTCATACTTACCATGCCACCACCACCACTGGGGCCCAAGGACTGATGCAACTGATGTCCCCATTCCCAGCAAAACTTCATCACAGAATCTACAGACAACCACAGCTTAAGCCAATGAGGAACTCACAGACACCACTGACACTGACTACAGCCTAATAAATCATACACAGACTACACTATTGCACCCACCCAGAATCAAACCCAAAGTAACCTACTCAACCAATACCATACATACATCTTGAGGAAAAAGTTCTCCCTAACAAAAGCAAATTCAAAAAATTAGAAGTGACTATCACACCAAATGCACAGATATCAATGTAAGAACACTAGAAACATGAAAAAGCAAGGAAGCATGACACTTACAAAGGAACACAGCAATCCTCCATCAACAGATTCTAACACCAACAAAAATCTATGAAATTCCTTAAAAATAACTGGAACCTGTGATATTAAATAAGTGCATTAAGATGCAAGAGAACACAGATAAACAGCACAAATAAATCAGAAAAAAACAATTCAGGATATGAATGAGAAATTCAGTAAAGAGGTAGAAGAGATACACATCATTAAAAGAACCAAACTGAAATCCTGGAAATGAATAATTCAATGAGTAAAATAAAAAATACAGTAGAGATTTTCAATGATAGAGTAGCTCAAGCAGAAGACAGAAGAAGTCAAATCTTCTGAAATATCCCAATCAGACCAGAAAAGGAAACTAAGAGAAACAAAAAATAATTAAAAAGAATGAACAAAGCTTACATTACATATTAAACACAATAAAATGACCCAATATTCAAATTTTGGTGTGTTCCAGCATAGATAACCTGTTCAACAGAATAATAGCTGAGGAATTCACATGTCTTGCAAGAGATATAGATATCCAGTTATAGAAAGCTCAAAGATCTCCAAATATATTCAATCCAAAAAGGACTTCTCAAAGGCACAGTATAGTTGAAATGTTAAAAGTAAAAGACAAAAAGAGAATTTCAAAAACAGCAGGGGAAAAGCATCATGTCACATATAAGGGAACCCTCACCAGAGTAACAGCATTTTTCTCAGCAGAACATTTATATGCCAGGATAAAACAAAATGATGTATCCAAAATACTGAAAGAAAAACAAACTGCTAACCAAGAATACTATAACTAGAAATTCTATCCTTCAAAACTAATGGAGAAATAACATCTTTCTCAGACCAGCAAAAACTGAAGGAATTCATCAACACTATACCAGTCTTACAAGAAATGCTGAAGGAAGTCCTACATCTAGAAGTGAAAAGATCGTATCTCTTATCATTGAAAAAACATAAAAATTCACAAATCACTACTAATGCAGACACCCAAAAGAGAAAGGACACAAACATTACCATTATAAAAAAAAAAAAACTGCAATGGTAAACAATAAGAGAGAAGGAAAGGAACAAAAGGATATACAGAACAATTAACAGAATAACAAGAATAAGTCATGTGAATGAAAATGCATTAATATTAACCCTGAATGAAAATGCATTAAATTAACCACTTAAAATATAAAAACTGGTTGAATGAATTATAAAAAGCAAAATGAATCAAACATGGCCCAGCTATGTGCTGTCTTTAAGGAACTTACTTCACCTGTAAAGAAACACAGAGACTGAAAGTGAAGGGATAGAATAAGGTATGCCACGCAACTGGAAACCAAAAGAGAACAGAAATAGCTATACTTACAGAAAAATAGACTTTAAATTAAGAGCAGTAAAAAGAGACAAAGAAGGTGACTATATAATGATAAAAAACTTAATTCAGCAAGAGGATATAACAACTCTAGATATATATGCACCCAAAACCAGAACACACAGCAAATATTACTAGATATAAGGAAAGAATAAACTCTAGTACAACAATACTTGGGGACTTACTTCAACATTCCATAGTTAGTATTGGATGAGTCTTCCAGACAGAAAATGAACAACAAAAGATCAGATTTCAACTACACCATAAACCAAATGGACCTAACACATATTTACATAACATTTCACCAAAAGCTGTAGAATACACATTCTTTTCATTAGCATATAAAACATTCCTCAGGATTAACCATATGTTAATACACACAAAAAGTCTCAACAAACTTATAAAAATTGAAATTAAATAATATGCTTCCTACTGAACTTTTAAGTTCATAATGAAATTAAAAAGGAAATCAAAAAAGTGAAGCAGATGAGGCTGGGTGTGGTGGCTCACGCCTGTAATCCCAGCACTTTGGGAGGCCGAGGCGGGTGGATCACAAGGTCAGGAGATTGAGACCATCCTGGCTAACAGGTGAAACCCCGTCTCTATTAAAAATACAAAAAATTAGCCGGGCGTGGTGGCGGGCGCCTGTAGTCCCAGCTACTCGGGAGGCTGAGGCAGGAGAATGGCGGAACCTGGGAGGCGGAGCTCGCAGTGAGCCGAGATCGTGCCACTGTACTCCAGCCTGGGCGACAGAGCAAGACTCCGTGTCAAAAAAATAAAAAATAAAAAAATTGAAACAGATGAAAATGAAAGCACACCATATCAAAACTATTGGGTTACAGCAAAAGCAGTGGTAAGTAGAAACTTTATAGCAATAAATGCCTACATTATGAAGAAGAAATATTTCAAGTTAACAACCTCAAGGAACTAGAAATGCAAGAGCAACCCGAACCCAAAACTAGTAGAAGGAAAGAAATAAAGGTCAGAGAAGAATTTAACAAAACTGGGGCTACAATAATACACAGGATAAAAAAAAAGGTATTTTTTAAGATAAAAACCTATAAAATGCTAGCTAACCAGGAAAAAAGAAAAAGAAAAAAGGACTCAAATAAATAAAATAAGAAGTGAAAATGGAAACAATAACTGCTACTACTCTTTTTTTTTTTTTTTTTTTTTTTTTGAAACGGAGTCTCACTCTGTCGCCCAGGCTGTAGTGCCGTGGCCCGATATCAGCTCACTGCAAGCTCCGCCTCCCAGGTTCACGCCATTCTCCTGCCTCAGCCTCCCGAGTAGCTGGGACTACAGGTGCCCGCCACCACGCCGGCTAATATTTTTCTGGATTTTTAGTAGAGATGGGGTTTCACCCTTTTAGCCAGGATGGTCTCGATCTCCTGACCTCATGATCCTCCTGCCTCGGCCTCCCAAAGTGCTGGGGTTACGGGTGTGAGCCACTGTGCCCAGCACTGCTACTACTCTTATTCAACATAATACTGGAAGTTCTAGTCAAAGCAATCAGCCAAGAGAGATCGAAAAATCATCCAAATTGGAAAAGAGGAAGTCAAATTGTCACTTTTTGCAGATGACATAATTTATCTGTAGAACCACCTAATGCTTTCTCAAAAATTTAGGGAACTGATAAATTCAGTAAAGTTACAAGATACAAAATCAATATACAAAAGTCATTACTGTTTACATATCCCAATAAGTAACTAGCTGAAAAAGAAATCTCATTTACAGTAGCTACACAAAATACCTTGGAACAAATTTAACCACAGAGGTATAAAATGCCTGTGAGGAAAACTACAAAACACTTGTTGAAGAAATTGAAGAGAACACAAACAAATGGAAAGACATCCCATGCTTATGGGTCAAAAAAAATAATTGTTAAAATGACCACAACACCAAAACTAGTCTACAAATTCAATGTAATTCCTTTAACAATACCATTAACATTCTCATGTATGGAATCACAAAAGTCTCCAATTAACCAAAACAATACTGAGCAAAAAGAACAAAGCTGGAGGCATCACACTACCTGACTTTAAATGTTAATACAAACCTATAGCAATCAAAACATCATAGTATTGGTATAAAAATAGAAACTTTTCTAATGGAACAAAATAGAAAACTGAGAAATCACATAATTATAGGCAACCGATTTTCTAAAAAGATGCCAAGAACATATTGAGGACAGGACACTCTCTTTAATTACTGGTGCTAGGAAACTGGATATCCATAGGCAGAGTAATAAAACTAGACCATTATCTCTCACCAAATATAAAAATCAACTCACAGTGAATTAAAGATTTAAATGGAGGACCCAAAACTATAAAATTACTGAGAGAAAACACTCAGGACATTGGTTTAGGCAAAGATTTTATGGCTAAGACATCAAAAGCCCAGGTAACAAAAACAAAATGGCAAATATATCTATATTAAATGAAAATGCTTCTGCACAGCAAAGGAAAGAAACAACCGAGTGAAGAGACAACCTTTTGAATGGAAGAAAAGATTTGCACATTATTTCTTGGCAAAAGACTAATTCCCAGTATATACGAGAAACTCAAACAACTCGCCAACAAAAAGACAAATAATCTCATTAAAAAGTAGGCAAAGGACCTAACTAGAAACATGTTTCAAAAAAAGACATACAAGTGGCCAAAAGGTATATAAAACATGCCGAACATCCCCAATCTTCAGGGAAATGAAAATAAAAACCACAGTCAGATATAATCTTACCCCAGTTGGAATGGCTATTATCAAAATTACAAAAAAATAAATGCTGGTGAGGATGCAGAGAAAAGGGATCTCTTGTACACTGTTGGTGGGAATCCAAATTAGCATAGCAACTATGGAAAACTATATGGAGGTTTATCAAAAAAGTAAAAATAGAACTGCCATATCATTTAGCAACATTTAGCAATTCCACTACTTGATACTTATTCAAATGAAAGGAAATCAGTATATCAAAAGGATATCTACACTCCAATATATACTGAAATACTATTTACAATAGCCAATATATGAAATCAATCTTAAGTGTCCATCAGTGGATGAATGGATAAAGAAAATGTGGTATATATTCACAGTGGAATACTCTTCAGCCATAAAAAGAGTGAAGTCCTGTCATTTGCAACTACATGCATGGAACCTGAAGTCATTAAATTAAGCAAAATAAACCAGGCACAGAAAAACAAATATTATATGTTCTCATATGTGGGGGCTAAAAACATTGATCCCATGTAGGCAGAGGAAGGGTGGGGATGAGGGATGAAGAGAGCTTGGTTAATGGGTACAAACACAGTTGACAGAAGAAACAAATTTGTGTTTTGCCGCACAGTGGGATGACTACAGTTAACAATAATTTATTGTATAGTCCAAAATAGCTAGCAGATTTGAAATATTCCCAACACAAGAAAGTATGAAGATTTGAAGTGATGGATATCCTCAATATCATGATTTGATTATTATATATTGAATGAGTGTATCTAAATTTCACATGTACCCCATACATATGTATAATTACTATGTATCTATAAACAAAATCAAAAAAGCAAAAGAAAACCAAAGCAGGAGAAAAATAAAGAGAAGGAAAAGAAAATTCATGATTGGATAGCAATGATTTTAAGTATAGAATTCTCATCAGATTTAATAGATGTCAGAATGAAAATGATCTGATATCTTCTACATTTTGATAAATAATTATTAATCAAAATTTGCATAACTAGTAAGCTCTCTTTTAAGAGTGCAAAATAAATTTTAACATCCCTATTTTTCATTGATAGAAAAACTTTTATATTCAGTTTATTAGTAATGTTATTGAAATAACAATAGAAATTATGTAAAACCAGAAAACACAAAATTGAATTCCACTTCCAGCTCAACAAACAGCTTTAGTGTAAACTTGTTTGTGTGACTCAGCTAGACCTAGGCAACTCTGCAAGGAGGAAACTGGAAAATAAATGCCCTGACCTCAATTTCCTTGCTCCAAGCTGGAAGGTAAAATACCCCACGATGGAGTCCACATATTTCAGCCTCCAGTAACAAAGAAGGTATGAAAATGGTGGTGGAGGATAGATCCAGAATGGCAAACAAAAATAGTGTTAACTTCCAAGACCACAGCCTTGTTTTTGATATCCAGTTCTAGTATTTATGTATCCAATAACACTGTTTACTCAAACTCATGGTGAACATGTGTTCACACTATTTCATATAGTCAATAGATTACAAAATCCAAATAGAGAACCCAAAGAGAAACTTGAAAAAGCAGGAAATGCAAATGCATATAAAACAATTTTCCACTTCTTCCACTGAGACTTATACTTGTAAGTAATTTTTTAAGAAAATATTTAAATGGATATATAATTTTTAAAATACAAAAATAAAAAATTCAAATACATGTGAAACAACTGTGAAATTAATTGTTGTCAAATCATATTAAAAATTATTATACAATATTTTTATCATTTCACTTTGCCAGATTCTTAAATGCTATCATTGAATGCTGCTCAGTTAGTAATTATAATACCAATATCACAGACTTCTCTTAAGCATATATATGAAAAAACTAATATGGAAATGTACCTAGGCATCCAAAAATAATTGGTAACTTTTGTCTCGGTCATTTTTCTTCAAAGAATCTCGTTTTAAAAATCTATAAAAGATGTTAATTTATGTATAAACATATCTACCGTTCATTGCACTTATACTAAATTGAGCAATAGTAAATTATAACACCACCATATAAAGAATATGTTTTGTTAACAAAAGTTTTAAGGTGAAATGTAAAAAATCTTTATGTGAAGTGGAAAAAGCAAAATTAAGGAATCACCATTATTCAGGGAATAAAGGAAATATAACAAAGCATAATCACGGTTATTTTGATATGGAGGATGCTATGGTTTGAATGTATGTGCCTCTCCAACATTCATATGTTGGAACTTAAAACCCACGGTAATGTTATTAAGAGGTAGGACCTTTTGGAACATGATTAAGTCATGAGAGCTTCACCCTTGTAAATAGATTAATGTCCTTGTAAAACAGGCTTCAGAATGCTTCCTGGCCATTCCATCTATTCTGTCATGTGAAGACACAGTATCCATCCCTTTTTGCTTCCTAATCTGTTAGTGCCTTGATCTTGGGCTTCCCAGCATCCAGAACTGTGATAAATACATTTCTGTTCTTTCTAAATTACCTACTCTAAGGTGTTTTGCTCTAGCAGCAAAAATAAACTAAGACAGTGGAATTATAATGACAGTTATTACCTGTATTATAATATCGGAATTTTCCAAGTGTCTTACAATTATCCTTGTTAATTTCCTGATCATCAGAATAATTAGATAAAAGAAAATCAGTCAAATCTATACAGTCAAAAAGTTGACTTAGAAGTCTGGGTTAAAATCTTTTCAAATATACACACACACATAAGCATATGTGTATGTATACAATATATATATGTAACTATACAGTATAGAGAAACTCTGTGAAAGAAAATTAAGACTGTCAGTTCATAATTACACCTTATATGTGTAAGGTTTGTATATGTTTACAGGGGTTTGTAGTTGCATATGCACCTTTATGTGTTTTCTTTGTAAAAGACTTCATAGTGCTTTTATGGGTGGCAATTTTTCTTTATTTCATTCAGAAAGTGCTTAAGGTTTTGTTGGCTTGTTTATTCTTAATGATCAAACTAAACTTCATGAACAAAGAAACACACATTTTTCCTAGCAAGGTGAAGGAAAAGAATAGCTGTCCTTCACAAGTTCAAATCACGCTTTAAAAAAATCTATTACAAGTTAAATGCCATTAGGGTAACAGATTCATTGCATCAAGCATCTGATTCTTGTGGTGGACATGGTATAATGATGACTAGGAAACCATCCATCTTCTTTTTGACAGGTGACCTATTTTAGAATCAGAAAGGCCATCAAAGGAAAGTTACTTTACTCATGTTTGTTCCTTTAATCCTCACTCAAAATTACTTAGATGATTTGCGGGACAAGAGCTCTTTAATTTTTTAATTTTTTTTTTTTTTTTTGAGGCGGAGTCTTGCTCTGTCGCCCAGGTAATGCAGTGGTGCTCACTGCAACCTCCGCCTTCAGGGTTCAAGCAATTCTTCTGCTTCAGCCTCCTGAGTAGCTGGCACTACAGGCACATGCCACCAAGTCCACCTAATTTTTGTGTTTTTAGTAGAGACGGGGTTTCACCATTTCGGCCAGGAATGCTTGATCTCTTGATTGATCTCGTGATCCACTCGCC
This sequence comes from Homo sapiens, assembly GCF_000001405.40. Taxonomy (NCBI): domain Eukaryota; kingdom Metazoa; phylum Chordata; class Mammalia; order Primates; family Hominidae; genus Homo; species Homo sapiens. Next base: position 10,659,914 of record NC_000009.12, read on the forward strand.
TCGGCATCTCAAAGTGCTGGGATTACAGGCATGAGCCACCGCGCCCGGCTGCCTTTTAATTTTTTTAATCTAATTATATTCACGTGTATGAGGATATACCAAATTATTATTTTTGACATAATTGATAAGTTTTTAAACAATAAACAATTTTGGGACTGTAACAAGCAGATGCTAAAATTATTGAATGTACCAGTAAATACTATTTTCTGTAATTTCATTTTTATTTAGAATTTGTCAGTCAATACTTTGTAGTTTTTCTTTGAGGTTCCCATATGCAGAACACTAGAAATGGTGATGTAGAAATGCAAAATGCATAATCAATTGTTAAAATGCTGCTTTATTTTCTAAATATTATACACTGTTTTTTTAATTTCATGAATCTGTTTTACTATAAATGATTAGTCAGCCAATAATTATCTTTTGAGATCTCTGTTTAAATTAATATCCACAAAATAAATGTAACTGAGCATCAGAAGGGCCATTGGTGTTCTGTTACTGATGTGTTAGCTCTAACATGAAGGTAGCAATTTATCATCATGCTATAAATAGAAAAAACAGAGTGGACGGCATTGGCTGGTCTTGTTTTTTTAAATATTCCTTCAGGGTAAATGATGACATAACCTAATTACAGTGATGGAGCTTTCATTGTAGGGAAAATTGTTATCTTATTTAACAATCAAGTAATTAGCTTCTTTATTGGATGGTTTGCTGTATGTTACTAATTAAGCTATCCACTGGAATTTATTAAAAGTCAGTGAAAAAACTGCTGCTATAACATTAAAGCAGTCAGCTCAATAGAAATGCAATTGATATTACGTAATTTTGTCAATTAAACATGTTTACAGTTCCTTCTCTACAAAAAGTTACAACATATTCACATGGGATTTTAGGGTAGAGCCTATATCTTCCCAAGACTTATATGTTGTAGCTTGAGTGTTTTAGGTTATAAAAGAAAAAATAATTAACAATACTAAATGGAGACAAATTAGTTTTTTAATCTTCAGTGTTTACAAAATTAAGGTGCATTTACAATATTTGTTTAAATGCCTAAGTGTGTGTATTAATACCGTAAACTTTCTTGTTGATAATTGCAGTTCATGACCAATTCCAATATTCATTTTACTGCTAAAATTCCATGGTAATTTAATAAATATAATGCAATATGATTTAGTGGTATTCAATTTACTGCTTTGGGGATTAAAACTCTACTAAGAAAGGATGCTTCCGCATGCTAAGAAAGATTTTGTGTCAAATAGATATACTGAACACCTGAACACCTTGTGTTTGTAATTTACTGTGTCATGAGCCATGGAACCCAAAGGCCATGATTTCTGGCATGGAGCTCTGGTATGGTCTAGCAGCAAAGACAGGCAACAAACCAATTATTAGGATTCATTACAGAACTACAAGTGTGAAAGTGATGTGAAGGAGGTTGTGAGGGAAGAGAAACAATGAAGATCTGACAAAGCCATGGAGCATCAAGAAAGGCTTCCCTCTTGTAGGGTCTTTTAATCTGAGAACAGAAGGATGGGTATGAGTCAGTAGATAGAGCTGGAGGGGGATACCTCCATGCAGAATTAACAGTAAGTGCTGAAGTCTAGAGAGAGGAGAGATCATGGGATACGTAAAACATTTTTTCAAAGTTCTAGTATGACTAGAAAGAAGATGATGAATAATCATTGCACCACTTATTGGCATGTGACCATAAACTAGTCATTGAAGCTTTCTGAATGAAGTTTTCTCTTCAGAGAAACCTGGGGATTGCCCTAGAGTTTGTTGAACCACATAAATAGCCCTTTATGTGGATAATGAAGGTCAAATACCAGTAAACTTACATGGCTTATCCCAATGTAAATTTAAGAGAGGTGCTGCCAGTTTTATATTCATGTAAAGGTATTAAATTCCTGTAATTAAACCACATCAAAAGCTGTCCAAAAAGTGTTTAATACAAAAGTGTTTAATACAACCTTCTTTTGAACTGAATGTTTTAAAAATCACACTTTTAAGCTTTTGGCAGTGCTTAGCTTTAACATCATTGCAAAACAGACCTTGCCCCTCAAAGACACTTGTCTGATGATGTGTGTATTTAAAGCTGCTGGTAACTGACTGTTGCTGTTTTTAGCACTGCTTTGGCTGTCTAAATCTAGTCAAGACAAATTATACCTGGGCGGTGTTGGCAATAGTTGGAGCACTTGAGTGAAACATCCCTTTGATAGTTAGATTACACTTGTCTTCCGAGTTCAGTGTAAATGTAATTTGAGAGGATTGTTGCTTGTTTCTGGTAAGTGTTGTGACTGGAAGATGAAAATATGTCACACTGGCTTGTTGGCTCTACTTGGAAAAGACATGGAACTGCCACAGGCAAGAAGAAACAAAATGTTTCATTGTCTACATTAAACTCTAAGAACTTAAAAGATCTGCTGTGTAAACAAAGTTGATGTACTCTTTGTTCACTAACTTCTTGCAACTCCAAAATAAGAGGTGCTCTGGGCACCATTTTTTCATGGTTATTGAAGGATTATTGTTTAAGAGAAAAGTTTTCCCTCCCAGAAAATATTGGCTATTCACATTTGTGATATATCAGAAGAAAGGGAAAGCAAATATCCCATCTGGAAAAGAGATGGTGGAAAATGTTCACTGTGGGATACAATTCTATCATTTAAAAATACATTACTCTTGAAATAACTCCCATATTTTTAGAAGAGGACAAATTTTCACCTAGAATATAGAAGAGAAATAATAACACAACAAACAAGAATCACTTCCAAAGATCTCTTATTAGTTACCAAGGAATACACGTATCAACTAAGTTGCGACCCTAGGAAAGGAAAGCAAAATTTATTTGATTTTTGGCTCCATGGCTATATAAAATATGGGTTTGGAGAATATAATTATACTTTATATTTATTCTAGAATATGATTAAGGTTGTTTTGCATACTATTATTATTCTACCTCAGGGTAATAATAAACCATGTGTACCTACTATGGGATAGACATTTTGATTTCTTCATTTTATACTTAATAACAACAACAAAAATTCTGGTGGGCATAGGTACTTGAACTGATGTAAATTAGGATGACCTTAGCCATAAGTTAGAATCTTTTCTTAGGTAGTTTCTGTTTAATGAAATGAGGTCAGAGTATACTGAAAGCCTGTATCTGGTAGGATTTATTTTTATTTTGGTGGTGGTTTCTTTTAATTGTTTTCTCTATTGCCAATTTCTTCCCATTTCCCTTCCATCTGTCTTTCAGAGTTTGATACTAGATTAGGTGCCAGACATAGTGTTTGTCGATGATATGAATTTCCATTTCCTTCTGAGTCTTTATGAGTATTTTAGTAAGAAGTTGGGGGAGGTTGTATTGATAGATATATGAGAATGAAAATTTGAATCAAGTTTTAAATATAATCTTTAAGTTCTAGTTAAATTTTAAAAAATGCTATAGCTCTAAGAACATATAGATTCAAAGACTAAAAATAGTGGAGTAACTGACAGGCAATGGAAGACAATGCTGTCACGTTTATAGATAGAAAAGTTAGTGCCTTTAATACCTTAGTAAAGATTTATAGAATAATGTAAAGAGAAGGGAGAAGAGATATGACATATAATTACATGGAAGGAAAAAAGTGAATTCATGATAAAACATTAATTTTTTCTAAGATTGTATAGATTAGATGTGCTCATGAGCTCTAAACCAGATTGGCAGGTCAGCATATATTTGAAGGAGGCCATATCTGGATTTTTCTTGGGGATTTTCTCCAAAAGTACTCTTTTGTTCAGTTTTCAAGTAGAAAACTGACACATGAGGTTGACTCCAGATTGAATACTGAATGACAGTTTCAGGAATACATTTTGGATATAATAGAATTTAAATGAAAAGGAAACCCTAAAATGATAGTAGAGTAAGCATGAGAATAAGTGAACCCAGAAATTGTGGGAAGAGTTCAAAAGAAAAAGACAAAAGTTAACAAGGAATTGTATCAATGATTATGCAAGTGTATGGTGCAGTGATGTTTTGATGGGAGTGGGTATGGCATCACACTGATATTCTGGGATTGAGTGTTACTGTTGTAGAACCTAGACTGTCCTGTCTAATACACATATGTAAGTGACCGTCTTATTATAACCTGAAAATTGGGTATCCAAGCCCTCATTGTTATAGATGAGAAGACAGAGGCTCAAGGGGTTAAGGAAGAGTGAAGAAGATGTGAAGGTGCTAATTCATCACTTACAGCTTGAAATGTTGACCACTGTGATGATGGATTTGTCCAACTATAGTTGTGGAGTTCAGAAACATATATTCCAATATTTCCTGTGATCTAGTTAGAACTCAAAGCAATGAGCACTGCATTAGTATTCCTGCAATGGAAGAACTTCAGCTTCACAAATGGAAGGAAATGTTCAGAAAACAAAGTGGATAACATTGGTTGTCTTGTCTTATTTTCTTTGTGTAATATTCAGAAAAAGAATCCACATCATAACTTTTTATTACATTAAACTAAACAATTATAATCTTGAAAATGTGTGATTTGGAGTTCTATGCACCAGTGCCTACATTGTCTCCTACTTTTTTATGTTCAATAATTTATGTTTTTAAAAATCAAATTATTTCATTTAAAATGGTTAATAGTACATCCTCAAAAAATGTATAACATTAAAATAATCCTTGCTCTTCACTCACAGTTGATTTTCATGTCAGATAATCCCAAATGAATTTTTGTACATTAAAAACAGGCAGGTATAGTACAACTTGTGAGATTAATTTCCATTTATCAGGATAGAAAGAATGGATATTAAGAATTGAATTCACAGCTAGGTGTCAAAAGCAAAACTACAACAACATAACATACATGCTTAATATTTTCATAAAGTCATCCCATTCTCTGGCAAGAAATTTCAATTAGTGACTATTAATCAAATTTAAGTAACTCGGATATTATAGTTTCTTAACTTAAAATTGATACTGGTAATGAGATTTCAATCTCTAAATGATTAATTTGAGATCATACATTTGTTGTACCTTTAGTCAAGGCCCAATAAATAGATGTGAAATAACATGGGAAAATGAAAACAACTTTAATAATTTGGGGAATTCTCCTTCTTTCACATTTTGCTTTCTAACACTATAAATTAAGTGAATCTTCAATGGAACCGTTGAAAGTAAGCATTAGTTTTGGTAAAAAGATTTATACTATATCCTTGCTTAATTGTTTTCTATAATTCTTCTTCGGATTCATTGCCTGGAAGGTGTTAAAAGCAAAACTTATCAATTTTGATTCTTTTTGCAAACTATCTCCCAACCAAGCCAGCATTCCTTACCCTGGAGGTGATTCTGAATGCTGATACTAGTTGACGTCTAAAAAGATTCTCAATGAGAACTAGCAATGCTCTGGTAAATTCTAGCTTCTTACTATGACAGCTCAACATTGCTTCTAGAATTTCTGTTTAATGGTATACTTAGTAAATTTTAATATACAAATATAAGAATAATATAAAGAAACATCATTAACATATTTTAAAATCTTCTGCTTTTAATATTAGTGGTCATATAAAAGATGCCTTTCTACTCTTTAACATTCCTAAAACAACTATATATATATATATATATATATATACACACACACAATATATATAATACACTATATATACTATATATAATAATATAGTATAATAAAACGCAAGACCATTATGTTTTACATAACCTAAAAGCAATTAAATCAAACAACCCAGAATTATGTATCAGATATTTTTCTTATTTTTTCAAATGTATAACAAGTTTAATGAAACTGAAATTGTGATCAAATACACAAATATGGTAAAATGACAACTACCTTATCTGTTTGACCTACTTTGCCTTTTGTGCTTCTCATACCTTATGATAGCAATGAAATTACAAATATTTTTCCTGTAGACATTACTGAGGAGAAATTAGAAACTATACTAAAGTGTGAAATATAAGAATATATACATTTCCTGTTTAATATGTACATGTACCTGCAAATTAGTTAGACTTCCTAAGGTATTATCTTTGTTATATGAGTTCTTTTCTCAGTTATTTCCAGTGCATAGCTCACTTTTATTTCTTTCTAAGGCTAAAGTTGATAATGCAGGTGTGGAGAGAGACAGGGCCTGTAGATTAGCACCAGGTGAAATCTGTATTGCCAGTAAAAGGAAAAGAACAAAGCAAGAAAGAAATCAGTGGTGCAAAACTGTATATTCTGGTTAGTACCAGTACTTTCTTTTCATTAGAACTAGGTCACTTATGGTGAACAATGGAGGAAAATAGAATTGTGACCTAAATAAGGTGCATGATTCTTACCTCATTTATTTATTTATTTATTCATCACCCATTTAGGAACACCTAATAATAATAGATTTAATTCTTGAGAACTTACTCATGTCAGAATCTTTGTATCCAAGTATTAAAAAACTACTCAACATGGCAGCTACTACCAGTCTTATTTGAGTGATAAAGACCTTCAGGATTCCAGAAGCTAAGAAACATATCCAAGCTCTTAGACTCGTTGCATGCTGGAACATTTGGGCACAGGTTTGTTTTATTTCAATCTGTACTCCTTTCAACGACTGTATTAGGCATTCTTTTATACTGATAAATTTTGTACAAATTTGAATAGGAAGAAAAGTACAAAAGGTATCAAAAAGAAAAAAATGTATATAGCATATATTAATAACAAAGCAAAGACTTTCAAAATTTGGCCTATAAATATTTTTCTTTTCTTTTTGAGACAGAGTCTCATTCTGTCGCCCAGGCTGGAGCGCAGTGGTGCAATCTCCCGTCACCGCAAGCTCCGCCTCCCGGGTTCCCGCCATTCTCCTGCCTCAGCCTCCCATGTAGCTGGGACTACAGGTGCCCGCCACCACGCCTGGCTAATTTTTTGTACTTTTAGTAGAGACGGGGTTTCACTGTGTTAGCCAGGATGGTCTAGATCACCTGACCTCGTGATCAGCCAGCCTCAGCCTCCCAAAGTGCTGGGATTACAGGCGTGAGCCACTGCGCCCAGCCCTGGCCTATAAATATTTCAATTCAGATTTACACATATATGTATTTTAAAAAGGTTACAATTAACAGATCACTGTTTGTATTAATGAAAGTCTGTCAATAAAACAAAGCAAGAGTAATCTAGAATAACAATTCCTGGTCATTTCTGCCACTACAGAAACAATGAAAATACTAAAAAGAAAAACTGGCAGCATTTATAAAACTGTATTCACTATCGGCCGGGCGCAGTGGCTCACGCCTGTAATCCCAACACTTTGGGAGTCTGAGGTGGGTGGATCACCTGAGGTCAGGAGATCAAGACCAGCCTGGCCAACATGGTGAAACCCCATCTCTACTTAAAATACAAAAAATTGACTGGGCATGGTGGTGGCACCTGTAATCCCAGCTACATGGAAGGCTTAGGCAGGAGAATCACTTGAACCTGGGAGGCTGAGGTTGCAGTGAGCCGAGATCCCGCCACGGCACTCCAGCCTGGGCAACAAGAGTGTGACTTTGCCTCAAAAAAAAAAAAAAAAAAAAAAAAAATCTGTACTCACTATCTATCTCGAAAAATAATATATTTCTTCTTTAGTGAATTTCCCTGTCTTTCTCTTTCTTTCTTCTTTTTTTCTCTTTCTTTTTCTTTCTTTTTTTTTTTTTTTTTTTTTTTTTTTTTTTTTTTTTTGATACAGGGTCTCCCTCTGTCATGATCTGGGTTGGAGTGCAGTGGTGCAATCATGGCTCACTGCAACTTTGACTTCCTATGTTCAAGTAATTCTCCCACCTCAGCCTTTTGTGTAGCTAGGACTACAGGCACACAACCATACCCCGCTATTTTTTGTATTTTTTGTAGAGACAGGGTTTTGCTATATTGCCCAGGTTGTTCTCAAACTCCTGGGCTCAAGCAATCTGCCCAACTCGGCCACCCAAAGTGCTGGGATTATAGGCACGAGTCACCTGTCTGGCCTTTAGTAAATTTCTTGTATTCCCTTTTTAAAAAAGATTATTTTTATCTAACTATCTAACTAACGTCTATTTATTAGCTTTTACTTTAGGTTCAGGGGTACATGGTTAGGTTTGTTTTATAGGTCAATTGTGTGACACTGGGTTTGGTGTACAGATTATTTAGTCACCTAGGTAATAAGCTTAGCACTTGATAAGTAGTTTTTGTTTGTTTGTTTGTTTGCTTGTTTTTTTTTATCTTCACTCTCCCTCTCTTCCACCCTCAAGTAGGCTCTGCTGTCTCTAGTTCCCTTCTTTGTGTCTATACGTACCGAATAGTTATCTCTCATTTACAAAAGAGAACATATGGCATTTGTTTTTCTCTTCCTGTGTTAACTCACTTAGGATAAATGGCTTCCAGGTCCACCCATGTTGCTGTAAAGGACATGATCTAGTTCTTTTTTATGGCTACATAGTATTCCATGGCTTATACGTATCACAATTCCTATATGCAGTCTGTTGTTGATGGGCACCTAGGTTGATTCAATGTCTGCTATTGTGAATAGTGCTGTGATAAACATAATGCACATGTATCTTTATGGTAGAACAATTTATGTTTCTTCAGGTAGTTACCCAAAATTGGGATTGCTGGGTTGAATGGTAATTCTACTTGAGCTCTTTGAGAAATTGACAAATTGCTTTCCATAATGTCTGAACTAACTTACATTCACAACAGCAGTATGTAAACATTTCCTTTTCTTTGCAACCTTCACTAGCATCTGCTATTTTTTGACTTTTTAATGATAGCCATTCTGACCAGTGTGAGATGGTATCTCATTGTGGTTTTGAGTTGCACTTCTTTAAAGATAAATAATGTTAAGCATTTTTTTGTATGCTTATTGGCTGCATTTATGCCTTCTTTTGAAAAATGTCTGTTCATGTCTGTTGCCCACTTTCTAATGGGGTTGTTTGTTTTTTGCTTGTTACTTTAAGTTTCTTAAAGATTCTGGACAATAAACCTTTGTCAAATGCACAGTTTGCAAATATTTTCTGCTATTCTGTAGATTGTTTATTCTGTTCACAGTTTCTTTTGCTGTGTAGAAACTCTTTAAATAGATCCCATTTGTCCGTTTTTGTTTTTGTTCCAATTGCTTTTGGCCTCTTCATCATGAAATTTTTGCCAGGGCTTATGCCCAGAATGGTATTTTCTAGGTTATCTTCCAGGGTTTTTATAATTTGAGATTTTACATTTAAGTCTGTAATGCATCTTGAGTTGATTTTTGCATATGGTGTAAGGAAGGGGTCCAGTTTCTATCTTCTGCATTTCTGCATATGACTAGCCGGTTATCCAAGCACCATTTATTTAATAGAGGGTCCTTTCCCTATTGCTTATTATTGTTGACTTTGTTGAAGATCAGCTGATTGTAGGTGTGTGGCTTTATTTCTGTGTTCTCTATTCTATTCCATTGGTCTTATGTGTCTGTTTTGTACCAGTATCATGCTGTTTTGGTTATTGTAGCTTTGTAGTATAGTTTGAAGTCAGGTAATGTGATGCCTCCAGGTTTGTTCCTTTCGCTTAGGATTGCCTTGGTTATATGTGCTCTTTTTTGGTTCCATATGAATTTTAAAATAGTTTTTTTCAAATTCTATGAAGAATGCCATTGGTAGTTTCATAGGTATAGCATTGAATCTGTAAATTGCTTCGGGCAGTATAGCCATTTTAATGATATTGATTCTTCCTATCTATGAACATGGGGTGTTTTTCCATCTCTGATTTATTTGAGCAGTATTTTATAATTCTTGTTGTAGAGACCTTTCACCTCCCTGGTTAACTGTATTTCCTGGTATTTTATTCTTCTTGTGGCTATTGTCAATAGGACTGTGTTCTTGATTTGGTTCTCAGTTTGGGTGTTGTTTATATATAGGAATGCTAGTGATTTTTGTACATCGATTTTTGTATCCTGAAACTGCTGAAGTTGTTTATGAGATCAAGGAGCTTTTGGGCAGAAGCTGTGAGATTTTCTAGTTAAAGAATCATATTGTCTGCAAACAGTAATAGTTTGACTCCTCTCTTACTATTTGGATGCCGTTTATTTCTTTCTCATGCCTAATTACTCTGACCAGGATTTCTAGTACTATGTCGAATAGGAATGGTGAGAGATGTCATACTTGTCTTGGGCTGATTTTCAAGGGGAATCCTTCCCATTCAGTATGATGTTGGCTGTGGGTTTGTCATAGATGGCTCATTATTTTGCAGCATGTCATGTATCTTTTCTCTTATTTGGAGACAGAGTCTCACTCTGTCGCTCAGGCTGGAGTGCAGTGGTGTGATCTCAGCTCACTGCAATCTCTGCCTCCTGGTCTCAAGCGATTCTCATGCCTCAGCCTCCTGAGTAGCTGGGACTACAGGCATGTGCCACCACACCCAGCTAATTTTTCTTTTTTGTATTTTTTGTAGAGACAGGGTTTCACCATGTTGCCCACACTAGTCTTGAAATCCTGAGTTCAGGCAATCTGCCTGTCTCGGCCTCCCAAAGTGCTGGGATTACAGGAGTGAGCCACTGCACCCACCTACAGTATGTTTCTTTAATGCCTAGTTTGTTGAGGATTTTTAACATGAAGGGATGTTGAATTATATTGAAAGCCTTTTCTGAATTTATCGAGATAATCATGTGTTTTTTGTCTTTAGTTCTGTTCATGGGATGAATTACATTTGTTGATTTGCCTATGTTGAACAAACTTTGCATCCCAGAAATAAAGCCTACTTTATCATGGTGGATTAGCTTTTTGAGGTGCTTCTGGATTTGGTTTGCTAGTATTTTGTTGATAATTTTTGCATCTATGTTGCTCAAGGATATTGGCCTGAAGTTTTCTTTTTTTTGTTGTATCACTGCCAGGTTTTGGTATCACAATGATAGTGGCCTCATAAAATGAGTTAGGAATGAATCCCTCCTCCTCAATTTTTTTGATTAGTTTCAGTAGGAATAATACCAGTTCTTTTTTATACATTTGGTAGAATTTGGCTATGAATTCATCTGGTCCTGGGCTTTCTCTTTTTGGTAGGCTTTTTATTATGGATTCAGTTTTGGAACTCATTATTGGTCTGTTCAGGGATTTAACTTCTTTCTGGTTCAATCTTTGGAGGTTGTGTGTTTCCTGGAATTAATCCATTTCTTCCAGGATTTTTAGCGTGTGAGCATAGAGTATTTGTAGTAGTCTACAAGGGCTTTTTTTCCCCCTGTGAGGTCAATGATCATATCTTCTTTTCATTTCTGATCATGTTTGTTTAGCTCTTCTCTCTTTTTTTGTCTTTATTCATCTCGCTAATGGTGTATCAATCTTGCTTATTCTTCCAAAGAACAAATTTCTTTTATTGTCGGTTATTGTCTGACAATAAAAAGTCTTTTATGGTCAATTGTAATCAACAAATTAACCGATCTTTTGTATGGTTTTTCACATCTCAATTTTTTTTCAGTTCAGCTCTGATTTTGGTTATTTCTCATCTTCTGCAGGTTTTTGGGTTGGTTTGCTCTTGTTTCTCTGGTTCCTTTAGGTAGCATATTTAGTTGTTAATTTGAGATCTTTCTGACTTTTTGATGTGGATGTAGCACTATAAACCTTTATCTTAACACTATTTTGGCTGTGTCCCAGAGATTCTGCTATATTGTATCTTCGTTTTCATTAGTTTAAAATAATTTCTTAATTTCTGCTTAATTTGTTTTCTCAAGTGTCATTTATGAGCAGGTTGTTTAACTTCTTGAAATTTTATGGTTTGAGTGATTTTTTTAGTATTAATTTCTATTTTTATTCTGCTGTAGTCCAAGAGTATGGTCGGTATGATTTCAGATTTTTTTTAATATGCTGAAGATTGTTTTGTCTGATTGTGTGGTAGATTTTAGAGTATGTGCCACATGCAGATAAGAAAAACATATATTCTGTTTTTTGGAATGTAGACTTCTGTATATGTTTATTGGGTGCATTTGGTCAAGTGTCAAGTTCAGGTTATATATATCTTTGTTAGTTTTCTGCCTCAATTATCTATGTAATACTGTCAGTGGAGTGTTGAAGTCTCCCACTATTATTATGTAGAAATCTAAGTCTCCTCATAGGTCTCAAAGAACTTGCGTTACGAACCTGTGTGCTCCTGAATTGGGTGCATATATATTTAGGATAGTTAAGTATTCTTGTTGAATTGAACTCTTTACCATTATGTAAGCATATCTTTATCTTTTTTAATCTTTGTTGGTTTAAAGGCTGTTTTGTCTGATATTAGAATAGCAAGTCCTGATTTTTTTTTTCTGTTTTCCACTAGTTTGGTAGATTCTTCTCCATCTTACTTCAAGCCTGTGGGTGTCACTGCATGTGAGATGGATCTCTTGAAGACAGCATATCATTGTGTCTTGATTCTTTATTCAGTTTGCCACTCCGTGTTTTTAATTGGGGCACTTAGCCGATTTTCATTAAAGATTAATATTGAAATGTGCAGATTTGATCCTGCCATCATATTGTTAGCTGGTTCTTAGGCAGATCTGTTTGTGTGGCTTCATTATAGTTTCAATGGTCTATGTACTTAAGTTTTTGTGGTGGCTGGTAACAGTCTTTCTATATTAGAACTCCTTTCAGAATCTCTTTTAAGGGAGGTCTGGTGGTAACAAATTCCCTTAATATTTTCCTGTCAGAGAAGGATCTCCTTTCTCCTCTGCTTATGAAGCTTTCTTTGGCTGGACATGAAATTCTTGGTTGGAAATTCTTTCCTTTGAGAATGCTGAATATAGACCCACAATCTCTTCTAGCTGATAGGGTTTCTGCTGAAACCTGCCCCTTCTCTCTAGCCACCTTTAACGGTTTTCCTTTCATTTTGACATTGGAGAATCTGATGACTATATGTCTGAGGGATGGTTTTATTGTGTAGTATCTTGCAGGGCTTCTCTGCATTTCCTGAATTTAAATTTTGGCCTCTCTAGCAAGACTGGAGAAATTTTCACGGAAGATATCCTGAAATATGTTTTCCAAGTTGCTTTCTTTCTCCTTCTCTCTTTCAGGGATGCCAACGAGTCACACATTTGGTCTCTTTCCATAATTCCATATTTCTTGGAGGTTTTATTCATTCTTTTTTTAAAAAAATTGTCTAACTCAGTTAGTTTGGAGAACCAGTATTCAAGCTCTGAAATTCTTTCTTCTGCTTAGTCTAGCCTGCTGTTAATACTTATAACTGCATTATAAAATCCTTTCAGTGTGTTTTTGACTTCATCATATTAGTTTGGTTCTTTCTTATGATGGTTATTTCATCTACTAGCTTCTGTATCATTTTATTGAAATCCTTAGAAACCTTGGATTGGGTTTTTACTTACTCCTGAATCTTGATGATCTTCATTCCTAACTATATTCTGAATTCTATTTCTGTCATTTCAACCATTTCAGCCTGGTTAAGAGTCCTTGCTGGGGAATTAGTGTGCTCATTTGGAAGAAAGAAAACACTATTTTTTTGAGTTGCTAGATTTCTTGCAGTGGTTCTTTCTCGTCTGTGTAGACTGATGTTCTTTTAACTGTGGTGTAATCTGAGTATAGTCATTGACTTCCAGATATTTTCAGAGGGTTGAAGCTGAGTGCAGGGAGTGCAGGGTCTTTATTTATAGTTGCATTCTTGCCCTTGGTTTTACAGGGGAATATATCAGCCAGGTATTTTTGGTATTGAAATTTGTGCTGTAATCCCGCATATGGTGCTTAATTGTAATGGACCTGTGATAGGCTCTTCCTCAGCCACATGGCTCCTCTGTGTCTCCACATTATTGCAGCTGTGCTCCATCTCAATGCTCTGAAAGTGTGGGCTCATCTCCCTTTGAATGCTGGTTGCAGATCTTGTCTTGGAACTCCCAAAATGCACACTGTAGCTCTGGGGTGAGCTCAGGCTTTATGTTCCTTCCCGAGAGTGGAGGCAGTAAGAGAAGTGATCATAGCAGTGGCTGTGGTAGAGAGCCTTTCACTTGTCTCTTGAAGATCCACTACCAAGGCAGAGCTCCTCCCAATCAGTGTGATTGGCCCAAGGTGTGGCAGCTGCATGGTAGGCTTAAGCCAGGAGGCCCAGCCTGGTGATGAGCAAGGTGGGCAGGGGATTCGTGTGGGAGACAAATTGGCCTCTCCTCCTTAGGGTGGCTGCAGCTTTCTGGAGTTGTAGTTAAAGCATTCAGGATCTTTGCTTCCTCCCAGGTCTGAGGGCAGTAAAGGTGACACCACTGCAGCAACAATGACAGAGGGGATTTCAATTGCCTCTGGGAGCTGCACCTCAGAGAAATATAGAGCTGCTGCTTTTGGGAATGTTCAGGCATAGGGTGGGGAAGCTGTGCTGCTGGCCAAAGCTGGGAGCCCAACTTGGTGAAAAATTAGGGATTGAGGGCTCACAGAGAGATGAGACTGGGGTCCCTTCTCTACTGTGGCTGTGTCTTCTCCAGATTGAAGGTACTAGTGGCAGAACTGCTACTGTGGCAGTGACAGAGGGATTGTTGGTTGCCTCTGTGAGCCCCTCCCCAGGGAAACACATAGCCATTAACATTGGGAATGCCCAGCTGGGGATGGGTTGGCTTATGTTCAGTCCTGAGCTAGCAGCCCTGCCTGGTGATGAGTGGGGCATTGGGGCTCGCAGGGAAGAGAGCCTGGGCTTCTCTCCTTCCGGTGGCTGCAGTGTGTTGGAGGTTGCAGCATAGTAACAGGGCCTTTTGTCCCTTCCCCAGAGGAAGAGACAGCCAGCCATTTTTGTGGCCCCACAGCTCTCACTTCAGTTGCCCTCAGGCTCAGGAGGGAATGTAGTTGTTGGAGACTGATGCAGAACCCCCTGCACAGCACAACAGCCTTACTGATAAGCAGCCAGACTGTTTTCCACATGGGTCCCTACCTCTGCTACTCTTCCCTGGAGAGTGCCTTCCTACTTAGGCCCCCAGCACTATCACTCTGCCACCATCTGAACACTTTAGTCAGTGGCAGTTCTGCATTTCTCTGAGGAGGAAATCCCACAGACAACCCACAGCCCTCCTGCCATTGCAGCAGCAGTGGTCCCACCCTTACTGCCCTCAGGCTAGAGAAGGAATAAAGGGCCTGGTTACTACGCTGGATCCTCCAATACACTGCAGCCACCAGAAGGAGAGAAGCCCAGGCTCTCTCCTGTGAGCCCCCATGCCCCCTTCATCACAAGGCAGGGCCCCCAGCTCAGGAATGAAGATCAGCAACCCTATCCCCAGCTCAACATTCGCACTGGTAGTGTCTCTGTGTTTCCCGGGAAAGGGGCTCTCAGAGGCAACCAACAGGCCCTCTGCCACTGCCACAGCAGCAGTTTTGGCCCTGCTGATCTCAGACCGGAGAAGAAACAATGAACCTGAGGGCTTTACTCGTACTTCCAGCAAGACACACTCACTATACAGAGAGAAGCCCAGTCTCTTCTATCTGTGAGCCCTTGACTCCTGAGGGCTCCCAGCTTGGGCCAGCAGCATAGCCACTCCACCCCATGGCTGAACATTCCTAATAGCAGCAGCTCTGTTTCTCTGAGGTGGAGTTCCCAGAGGCGATTAAAAGCCCCTGTCATTGTTGCTACAGTCGTATCTCCCTTGCTACACTCAGACTAGGAGGTCTGTCCAAAGAAAATTCAGAGCTTCTCCCAGCCTGAGAACTCAGGAGGACCTGGGGCAGCCCACTAGTGTCCGAGGTTAGTGGACCTTATCCTGAGAGATGTAGTGGTGGTAAAGCCTACAGTTCATTGCCTCTCAGTCCCATTATTTTGGTCCCTTTCCTGGGGGCATGTGAGGGAACATGGCTTCCCCTGTTGCTGGAGCTGCAGCCACTGGTGCTGGGGTGCCTGAGTGGCAGCTCTGCCCAGACTCCTCATAGTTCTTTCTGTGTTGGTCTGCAGGCCCTGATTGAAGGGTGGTGGTGGTCATGGGGGATTTCTTGGGTCCAGGGATGCAACAGTCCATGACAGAAGTATAGGTCCCCCAGGATTCTCACTCACTCATTCACTCACTCACTCACTCACTCACTCACTCACTCACTCACTCACTGTTTTCCTGTAGTCAGGGGCCTCCCCTGGCTCCATGCCACTCCTGGCTGGGCAGTTGTCCTGTCTTGCTCTTCTCCATTCTCTGTGGGTCGCATTGTTTTCTTGAAGAATCTCAATGTCTCCACCTGGATGTTCCAGTTGAACCACTATTGTTTATTAGCCACTTTTCTCTCCTTGAGAACAGCACGTATTAGATGCTTCTAATCAGCCATCTTGGCTCCATCCTCAATTTTTCTTATATATTCTAATACAGTTTTTAATATTTTAATGGGCATGGAAGCAAACCTAATTTCTGAGCAGGCAACTTTGTATTCACTGCTATAACTCCTGGAATTACAAGAAGAAAGAAGGCAGTATATTTGCTATCTATTTAATGCTTACATTAACACATAGTTGTATTTTATTTTTATATTTGGAGAAATTAAGACATACAGAGAAAGTCAATAGTATGCCTAAGGCTCACCTAACTATTAAATGTGTGAGGCTAGGTTTAAGTCCATATCTACCTAACCAAAAATGTTATAATGTAGAGTACCTTTTTGGTTAGATATGGACTTAAACATAGCCTCAAACATTGTACAATGTAGAGTCTTTTAAAAAAGATAATATTCTCAACCTTTCAATAAAGGCAAACAAATAAACAAACAAAAACTAATAGAAAGATTGGGAGGCAAAGAATGTAGAAATGTATGACAGATCATTTCCCTCTTTTGTGCTCCTCTCAGAATCTCTATATCTTTTCCCTGAAATTCAACATCAGGGGCTACTGACAGCATTAGGAGATACATTTGACTTTTATTTATTTATATATATTTTTAGAGATGGGGTCTCACTCCATTGCTGAGACTGGAGTGTGCTGGCATGATCATAGCTCACCGTAAGCTTGAACTCCTGGGCTTAAGAGGTCCTCCCTCCTCAGCTTCCTGCAGGTGATACATTTTAGATAATAATGATTTAAGTTAGCTTAAAGAAAATATGTCAGGAAGACCATCTTTTGATATTTTTGACTGCAAATATCAATTTCCTATTGTAATGGAACAATGGATATATTTTGAAGATACCTTTGATTTTTAAAATAGCTATATGATTGTAATAAAATGGTCATCAAAAATTCTCATTTTGCCAGGTGTGGTGGTGCCTGCTGGTAGTCCCAGCTATGGAGGAGGCTGAGGTGGCCGGATCATTGAGCCTAGGATTTCAACACTAGCCTGGGAAACATTGTGAGACTTGGTTTAAAAACAAAACAAAAAAAAATCCTCATTTTTTTCCTATTTAAAGTCCTTTGCATAAAATCTTACAGTATATATTCTTTATATAAGCATATGGTCTGAGAAATAAAAGGAATAAATTTATCTGGTAACTTCCTTCCTTCCCTAGATGACAAGAAATGTACTTTCCATTTTGTCCTGATTGCTAGGAGGCTTCAAACTAACTACTAGGCTTTTGTCTTTTATTATCTTTGTTTGAATGTGTTTATCTGAGTGCATGCAATTTTATTCTAATGTACCACAAATAGTTTCTAGCACTTAGTTTTATACAAACAAACATACAAAATTAATGTGCCAAAAATATTTTGGTGTTATAACAGGTGTCCATTTTTAAAATATACTTTGTTAATATATTTTATTAAAATTGTCTTGTGTTAAGTCAACCCCACTTTAATCTCTTAGCAATTGATATGATTAATTCAAGGTCATATTAACTTCTCTTTATACTATTTTTCTTCCTCCTTCTCCCTTTAATGTTTAGATATGATGTTTATTAAAAAAATTAGAGATGTTTTACTATATCATGGTAAGGAATATTTAGTACTCTCATTGTATTGTCTGACAAGGAACTAAGTTTGCATGCTTTGCTGAGGCAACATAGTTGCAATTAATCTTAAGCAGACTGTATATGGTGGTTTCAGTTTAATTCTTAATGGGTTATATTGTACATAATAAAATTACCGCAGAGAATTGATGAGTAGCATTTAATTAATAGATGGCAGCCTGATCTTAAAGACTGGAATTTCTAAGTTCTCAAAGACATAACAATTCTTGAGAAAAATATATAAAACATAGTAAAAATATAAAGTGGTGTATTTATGTAGACAATGTAAGCACAGGCTACGAGGGCAAGTGGAGGGAAGGTTATTGATATTTCAAGTATCCGTGGATAGTAGTGGGGTTGCCCAGAGAGCACCTGGGTTGCCCAGAGAGCATAGCCTGAAGAAAAGGTTTGAACACCACCACTTCCTTACAAGACAGGAGTGAGGCAAAAGGGAAATGAATCCAGGAAAGAGGAAGAGCAAATAAAACAACACCTTACTAAGCATGACTCAAACTCATGAGATTTTCTCCAAAAGGGTAAAATAAATAAACGCTTCACAGTACTGTTATTCCTGAGGAGTGAAATAGAATAATTTATCTTGTGGCTCCTATACGTTACTGACCAAATTTTACTTCCTGGATTGTGATTTTTATTTGCATTTCTGGGATCCCTATGTGTGGGTCCAGAACAGACCTGCACTGTCTCATTCTTCAGGAAATAGGGGAGCTCCAAAGTAGGAGAAAATTGGAGTTCAGAGCATCCGCGAGATGAGGCAACCTTGGGTTGTACCTGATGGAGCTGGTTGGAGTATACACATTGTGAGTTATCATAAAGGAAGCTTAGTCTGGAAAAAAAAAACAGCTGAAGTTTTGAGAGTCATCAAGGTTGACATGATCTGCAATTAGACACGAGAGGAGACGGACCGACCAGTCCTCAGGTTTGCTGATGCTCTCACATTATTTCCAGCTACTTAATATAGTATATTACCTCCGTGGTTGTAAGGTGTCCTCACTTCTACCCCAGGAGGTGAGGTAGGGGTCCAATCCATGACAGAATCTCCTTTAAGGATAATAACTATTTTAAGGAATCCATCTGTGGAGCAGACCCAACACTATTTTTTTTCCATCAATTATTCACAGGAAATTATCCCGAAAGGCCCAAGGTAGAAGCTAGAGGAAGAGATGTCAATGCAATATAGGTTGATTATATGGGAGTCTGGGCCACAAGTTCACATAATTTTCTCATGCTTCCTGGATCTGCTGAGGCCAGATCACACATATTATTTCCATTGTACAATGGATGGTTGCTTCACATTCCCACACTTATGACTCAGCAGTTCTAATAATATACAAGTTAAAATAAACAGTTTTGGTCTCATAGACATTTCATGTCCTATGGTCAGAATCTCACTCTATAATTAGTAATACATTAGAAGTTATTTTTTTAATAAAGATTTTTTTTTGGCTGTAGAAATCTTGAACTTGACCTATAGCCTAGGCTTCTATATATCACTTTTCTTACTGGGGCTTGCCAGATATTCAATATAGCATCCAAAATATACTACAGATACTTGTAGCAGTTTTATGTCTTCTGTATCACATACTTTGAGTGACATCAACTATGGTCTTGGCCTGCTTTAGAATACACTCCTGCTCCTAGTATCACTAAAAACTGGCAGCTTTTTCAGTCACTCAATAAATGAACCATAGGAGTATTTATGAAGTATGTTATACATGTGGCTTCAAAAACCCAAGGTGGCTCACCAAGAACCATAATTAGGAAATGTGAGGTGCACTAAATTATTATCCACCATACAAAGAATGTTCTGATATACTTCAGCTGATTTGAACCCCTAAAAATTTCACTGATATAGCATATTCTTGACTTGCTGATATAGCAAGTCTCTGCATATTCAACAGAATTTTTTTCCATCATGTGTGGCATTTAGATGTTGTCCTTGTGCCTATGGAACACTTGTTAGTTTCTGATCATTGGGTCCAATTAGCATGATACAACATTATTGTAGACTGGCATGACGTTGTGCAGACTAGCAAGAAGATTAATGTTCTTACAGAGTGTATCATGAATGTGAGCATAGGCATGAACATAGCACTGGGGCCATCTTTGAATTTGTGCTGCTGTTCATACTACGTGATGGCAGACTACTTTGGATTCCCCCTATTGTCTGTAATCAAGAAGAGTGTATTCGCCAAATCAATTTAGTGTGCCAAGTGCCAGAGAACATGGGGAATTGCACCAATAAATACGCCATAACAAGCACGTAGTTGCAATTGAGGCTATACCTAGCGTAAAGGTGAGTTACTCAGCCCATAGCCACCTATCTACCATTTCTTTAATTTTTTTCCCAGCAGTTCACAAGGTAAATTGAATGGGGATATCATAGGAATCATTACCCCTGCATTTATTAAGTATTTGATGGTGGTGTCTATTTTAGTAATTCATCCTGAGATATAATATCCCTTCTTATGTATTCTCCAGAACTGAGGAGAGTTTTTGCTTGGCCATTTCTACCATAATGGCTCTTAGTACACAGATAATAAATCAATGTAAAGATTCTGCCAGCTGTTAAATATATTAGATTCAATTATCCCCTTGGGGACTGTGTTAGTCCATTTTCACACTGCCGATAAAGACATACCCGAGACTGGGAAGAAAAATAGGTTTAATGAGCTTACAGTTCCACATGGCTGGGGAGGCCTCAAAATCAAGGTGGAAGGCAAGGAGGAGCAAGTCACATCTTACATGGATGGCAGCAGGCAAAGAGAAGAGAGTTTGTGCAGGGAAACTCCCATTTTTAAAACCATCAGGTCTCTTGAAACTTATTCACTATCATGAGAACAGCATGGGAAAGACCTACCCCCATGTTTCAATTACCTCCCACGAGATCCCTCCCACAACATGTGGGAATTCAAGATGAGATTTGGGTGGGAACACAGACAAATCATATCAGGGACAAGGGAAATAATTGTAGGGTGGTTGGGTAGACATGTTGGATACATAGCATAGTCAGACAGTCTTGGGGGCCAAACTATATCAATCTCCTGGGGTCTAAGTTCTCCAATCTAACTGAGGGATGATGATGATATTTTAGTTCCTCCATTATTAGCTTCTACTCAGAATCTTTATGTAATAGTCTTTAAAGTGTGTTTCATTCCTCTCTCCCAATACAGCTATCCTAGTATTGGCCACAGTTCCCTTTTGGGAAGGATCAAGGGGATATTTACTGAATTTAATTGCAGTGATATGACAGAATGCGTTGTCAAAGGGACCTTGATTTTCCTTTAATCAATGGCATCTGGGTCTGTGAATTGACTTAAATCTGGAATTTTTGTGTGACCACATTTGTTCCATTTTGATGGCTGGTGTCAGTTATCAATTTCACAAGTTCTCATTTTATTTATTTTTCATATATGCCAATCAATGTACAATTATGCTTATAATTTATCTTTTTTTCTAGAACACTAGGATCTATTTGCCATTACCACAGATACCTATGTATCAAGACATCCTTATTTCCATTCTCTTCTTGTTACCCACTAGTGTAATTACATCAATCTTGCCTCTAAACATCATCTGTGTAGTTCTGTCACAGTACAATTAAATCTATGGCCTAATTTTCTGCTGTGTGCTCTATACTCATAGATGTCAAGGTGCTGCATAAATGAAGCCATAGAGGCCCTGTGGCTTTCATTGAATGCCTCAGATTGGCAACTGGCTGCTGTAAGCCTGTAATTTTCTCTTTCAAAGTTTCCAATATTATTAACAAAAGCCCACCCAATCCACAGTCTCTATAATTATCATTGTCCCCATACCATATAAACATACAGCCACTACATATCCTAAAGTCTGATCTTCCATATACACCACATCCCATTTAACCACAAGGGAATGACTTAATAATATGTCACGACATGCCAGAGCTTATCACTAGTCCCTTTTAACACCAGCAAAGAGATCTTTACAGCTGAGGCTCATCAGTAATGCAGCTTTAATAAATTAAACTAAGGTTCACTTTCTTGGGTCATTCCTGGTATCAACTGTCTTAGACTGAATTTCTGAGAAACGGAGCCTGAAGCAAATGCTATGTGTTAGAGCTTTATTCAAGAGCATGATCCTTGGAGCAGGGACAAGGGCAAAGGAAAGTGAGGCAGGGAAGAAACGAGAGCTGATATGGGGGTGCACTCTCAGGCTGACCACTGCATGGTAGGAAGTGTGATTGGTTGCTTGATCACACCAGAATAACTTCCAAGAAGCCTTATTATTAACTGCTTCTCAGGACAGGTCATGAATACAAAGGAATGGAGAAAAATTTGTCTCCCTTTGGTTAAAGATTCACATTCAGAGTTATACTTCCTTCTCACTTGCAGGTGGCTTAGACGTAGGTAGCAAATGCTTAAATGATATCTTATGCCTCAGCATCAACAGAGAAGCCTGGGCAAAGGGCAGAAGTTATTCATTAGATCCATGAATAGAGTGGTGATAATTTTGGTCAGAATCCACACAAAGGGGATGCCTGTGCTTTGACTGGGGGTGCATCAACTATCACCCCTGGCCAGCTGGAAGAAGTGTAGTAAAGAAGATATGAAGGAAGATGTATAAGTGGCATCTGATAAAAATACTTACTAGCTGTCTGACCTGCTAGAGTTTGCTTTGTTCCTTTGATTAAGTTGCTTCCTCTATATCATAAAAATAATAATTGTAAAATCTTAATTAGTTGCTCTGCAAATTATATGGCATCTTGTTTGTAAATATTTTTCAAAGCACTTGGAATCTATAAGAAATATTAACTATTATTGCTATTTTCAGGAAGGTAAGTCTTGTAGTCTAAAGTAAAACTTGAAATATCCCTAGTTATTTCTTAATCTTCTTGTAAAATACTTTATATGTAAAGTATCAGAAAATATTGCTAGAGGCATTTGGAGTATTTTGTGTCATGGAGCTGTGAAGGAAACATGCATTTAATATTGGCTCAATTAGATTTCTTATTTTTATTGAAAAATAAAGATAAGCAACTTGCAAGATAGTCAACATGAAAGAAGAGAGCATCTTTTTTCTCTTGCCATTTTCACAAAAATAGAAAAATCCAACCATGCATTTTCTAGATACAATTCAAACTAGCAATGTTTGTAAACTACTGTGCTTGGAGATTCTTTCAACATTAAGACATCAACTCATATGCATATTATAGTAGAGATAGTTTTGTCTTCTTTGTATGCAGTATGTATTCTCTCTTCTTCTATCAGCAACTTAATGTAATGAGAATCATCTTTCCCATAACCGGGCTGTAATTGGGAAAGCTAATCCCACCCTTTGATCCAGGGCTGGAATGTAATTCTGGTCTGGTCAATCCACATGTTCACTTCCCCATGGCAATTGACTCAGGATGGGTCACTTGTCGTGAATCAGTCCGATGAAGATCAATCTTAAGATTTGTTAGAAATAGTATATGCAATGATTGTCATGAATATAGATGTGAGACTGAACTTGCTGTGAATATCTTTCTATGTTGGAAATTTCTATCTGAATGATGCCAAGAAAGGGAATGTAGAGTTAGTTAAATTATGGCAAAAAAAGGAAAAAATAAGGGAGAAGTGTAATCTTGATGACAACTGTTTGAGGCCTGGTTTCAACTACACATAAAGTATCCATTATTCCTAAACCATTCAGATGTCACTACTAATACTACAACTTTAATTACTACTAATATTGTCTTGATTTAGTCTTCTCTTACTTTTAATCAAGTATATATTGATCCATTAGCTGTATATTTTGGTTCATTAATTATAATAAATGTGCTATAGTAATAAAAGATGGTAACAATAGTGGGCACTGAGTGGGAAATATACAGGAACTTTTCGTATTACCTTTGTTACTTTTTCATAAGTTTAAAACTATTCTAAAATACAAAGTTTATTTAAAACAAGTATCCTGGGTAGTATGAATCTGCTTTGCTATGTTATACTGTCCAAAGATCCTCTTTCTAATAAACCTTAATCTTAGGTCAAGAAGGTAAAGAGGCCAGGCGCGGTGGATCAAACCTGTAATCTCAGCACTTTGGGAGGCCAAGGTGGGCAGATCACTAGGTCAGGAGTTCAAGACCAGCCTGGTCAACATGGTGAAACCCCATCTCTATTGAAAATACAAAAATTAGCTGGCCATAGTGGCACATGCCTGTAAACCCAGCTACTTGGAAGGCTGAGGCAGGAGAATTGCTTGAACCGGGACCCAGGAGGCAGAGGTTGCAGTGAGCCGAGATCGTGCCACTGCACTCCAGTCTGGGCTACAGAGCTAGATTCTCTTTCAACAAA
This sequence comes from Homo sapiens, assembly GCF_000001405.40. NCBI lineage: Eukaryota > Metazoa > Chordata > Mammalia > Primates > Hominidae > Homo > Homo sapiens. The sequence goes on from NC_000009.12 coordinate 10,684,041, forward strand.
AGAAAAGAAGGTAAAGAACATCCATTTATCTAATATTCATACTTATGTAATTTGTGCTCCCTGAACCCATGGACAGATAAATCTCAAAACACAGCTACATATGGTCAGTATGCAGCACAAAGTTTTTAATGAAGAGGAGTAAATGAAAAAGGATGAATAAAATGAAATTATAACAATCATTTTGATTTATAGTCTGGTAAACCATGGTCAGCTTTATATCTTTGTTTTTTATGATCCTAACATCTACTCTATTTCCTATATAATAACTAGACGCAGGGTCTTTATTTTTATTTTCTCTGTCAATCTTGTATCAATCAAGGCTCAGTAAATCAAGGTTTGTAATATTTTCTTATTTGGTGTTTCTTATATAACTTTTTGTCAGAGTATTGTTTAAAGAATATTGTGTATTTAAATTACAAAACCACCTCATCCCCAACTAACAGAGAGTGAGTTTTGTTTTTTTATTGTTGTTAGTTAAGATATGCACCCTCCAGTGATTACTCTGTGGAGAAATCAGCATTTAATATATAACCTGAAGATGGTCAATAACTTCAATTTCAAAAGAATAACAAAAGTGGTGTAACTAAACTGAGTATACTTAATTAAAAAATCCTAGCCCCAGTCTTATACCTTGTGTAACATGGCTTTTAGTTAGCCTGCTTTGATCTCTTTTCTAGGATTTTTAAAATAAAAAGGACCTAGTCAATTTCACATAGGGGCAGGGAGGATGTATTAAAACTTCCAGAGGCTCTTCATAGCTCCCAGGGCAAGTCTCATGGCATTCATGCTCATAAAACTCAGAAGGAATACGAAGAAAAAGAAATATAGTACTTATAAATTAATATTCAAAATAAAATGTAGACGTCTATAGACTTAAAAAACAGGGATTATTGTGAAAAATGATTTTCTTTTCATTTTTCTATAAAATATATTATTGTCTGGTCCTGGGAGTTTAGATAATAGAGTTTGATGTAGTAGAATTCCCAGGAAGAGGAGTGGGAGAAATAAATGAAAATCCTTTCACTTCTAATTCTACAGGAATTTGAAAGAAAAAGTAGACGAGCAAAGACATTGAAGAAGTCTAGATCAGGATGGTCATATGATCTGATTTCCCAGCATTGAAATTGCAAGGACAGCAATGTTTGGAGAAGCATGAATTAGTTTGAATTTGAAGTCAACTTCGTGTGGGATATTGCCCAGCCACCTCCTTGGGATGCAGGGAACAGAATCCTGCATAGTGTCCCTGTGGTAACATTGGAATCTTGGGCACGATTGGAAGGTAGAGCTGTGTTGTTAGGGAAAAAGAAGGTCTAGTTTGTGTTTCAATTACCTCTGTGTTCCTGTGTGTCACTGACATGTGTAGGGATCAGAGGGCAACGTGACTTCCTGTGATTGATGGCAAGGTAATCTCATAGGAGATGCCATTAGACCAAAAAGGCCATGTGTTAGATGGTAGAAGCAGCAGAAATTTAAAGTCAATTCAAGAGGAAAGAGCCTTAGACACTATTGAAACCATGAAACAAAAGATATTGCCAGCTTGTTGCCAACAAAATCACCAGCTATCACTAGCTGTTGCCAACAGAATCAGGCAAAATAGCAGCTCAGTTAAACAGGACTGTAGTGTAAAAGCTAGGGCATATTATATAGTAGCTGAACTAGGCTCTTTCCCCATAACTGAAGGTCATGTCATCAGCTATGCCTCTATTCTTATATACCCTAAAGGTATCTTAGACAATGTAAGAGAAGCTTGATGCGTTTTGAATCATTCAAGAAGACACATTTGCTGAAGAAAAAAAAAGATAATAAATTAGATAATGCTGAGATTCACAAATAAATGTAGTCTTTACTTAATTTTACTGCTGCCTAGCTATTGGAGGGTAGGAAGCAAGATGGAACAGTTATAGAAAAATGCAGGATCTTTATTCCCTTTGTACATAGGAGCATACTGTGAATCTTTCTGCAATCCTGCAAAACACGTTTGTGACTTCTCAATTTCAGATGATTTTATCATCAAGTCAGCTAAATTCTCTCAATCTCCAGTTTGCAGTCAATTTCTAGATACAATCTCCAAGTTCAGGTTGAATTTAGCATCAAATCTAATGTTTCTATCTTGTTGCTATGTTCCAGATATCTTGAAACAGCCTTGAGTAGTCATTGTCCTGGATCCTGTCACTCTAGTTGCTGTATCATAGTAGTTCTAACCTGATTGAGCTATATATTATTTTTTACAGATTTTTCTTTCCAATTTACTTCCTCAAAATTATTCTTGTGAACTTTGCTGCCTTCTCCAGTTATTTTCAACCATATTTCTCATTGCTGGTCTCCAAGCCACATTTAATACTGAGTTGTGTGTCATATTGTTTGGTCTCCTTTCAGTCAACTTCTGCTCATTATAAAACTGGCTTTCCTGAGACTGGTGTGTATATGATCATCCTGAAATAACTTTCCTGCATCTAAAAAGGCACAGATGGAAGATACATAAAACTAACCGGAAGAATGGTTAATTACTAGGAAACACATACAGAGCTGACAACACAGATTTGCATGCAGGAGTCAATTAGCTAATGATTAGGGACACGCAAAAGGTGTGAAAAGGGCTGCATCTTCTGATCTCCCTTAGGTCATTCTTACCTCTTTGCTCTCAGAGCACATTAATTGCAACTCAACCATAGCACATATTTCATTCTTTTGTCCATTTCTGCAAGGGGTTTATCTGTCTTCTTTCTCAACATTCTTATGTTTTATTTATTATTCTCTAGAATATTTTATAGGGCACTGCTTTACAAGATATAGATACTGAATATCGATTGCAACCAATTTTATTAATTTTGAGAGAAGATACGTGTTCTACGTCTATCTTCAATATACACATACATTGTCAGCACAACTTCTACATATTAAATACACCTAAAATGAGCACATTAGCTGTATCGTACTTACAGAAATTAGGTGAGGGTGTGAGGAGCACGATGCAAAGAAAAAAAGAAAGGAGCAAGGAATTATCCAGACAGAAAAAAAAGAGATAAACAGCCATTTTCATTTCTCTGAAGTCTTAGACTGAGTCATGTATGTTACTGCAGCCTTTTATGAGAGGCATGATGTGCCAATAGGACATCCCTGAATGCCATAATTCTAATTTTATGGGCTCTAGCACAGGTCTTTAAAATGAAAAGTAGGGCCACCTTGAAACCTTTTCCTTTAAGAAAGGGAGGTGTGCAAATATTTATTTTGAGTCTACAATATTCCAGGGACTAGGAAGGGTGTGCCATTTACCATTTTTTCTCAGAGAGTTCAGTCTCTACAGCAACTGAAACAATCATATATTTTACCAAAATAATTACTCAAGTAGCTACTTGAGAATTTATTTGCATCACTGTAGTGGTTTTGTAAAACAGTGTTTGATTTGTAACCCTGAGCTTAGTTGATTCCAAATATTTTTCAACAATTTCTCCCTCTGGTCAATATCTCATTCCAGTTCTCCCTAGTCAGTCTTCAAATTAAGAGTCTCTGATCATCCTTTCTTTCAAATTTGTAGTTTTGTCAGGTCTTCTTCTTTCTCAGTTCTAATTGATGTTGGTAATTTATTGTGCCTCTGAAACTTTTTTTTTTTTTTCCATTGTAGAGATTTCTTTACATACTAAACCTCTTCTCAGCAGGTTCCTTTACCTCCTTGGAAACCAATATAACCAAACAGCAATGTTAATTAACACTTCTGTTTTACCATCACACAACTGTTATACCTATTTTACAAAACAGCACAGAGCATTAGGTATTGTTTTCTGAGGTGTAGTTTATTTTATGCTGTCATTAATCCAACTGCTGTTTGATGGATTCATTTATTCTTCATAAAAGCCTCCAAGGTGCCAGGCACTACTGGGATGGCTGCTAACTGTGTAAAGGCAGCCCCGGGAGAGCTCAGGGCATCATGAGGGAATCTAATACGCTTGGAGTACAATGTTGCATGTGTTGGGAGAGAGACTTCTCTAAACACAGGGGACATAGAGAAGGAAGACTCATTCCACTATGGGGGTGCAGATGGTGTTGTGAGGCGCCACCCAGAACCTTTTCTGGATTGAGGCTCTTTTTCTCCTTCCTGCTGGGATAAATTCCTCCTTAGTAATTATCCTGAGCTGAAGAGATCCCCTTTGTCCAATGTCATGGTTCTTCCCCAGGGAACGCCCTTATTCAACATTATTCGATGACTTGCCTCCCTTTCTTCAAGTAGAGACATCTTTGAACATCCTTCCTGGCTCCAGCTAACCCCGTAGGATTGGCTGAGAGCTCTGTTCTAACTGTATCATAGTTCACTTTCTCCTCTGACCAATACTGCTTCCTTCATTTCTCATATACATTGTTGCTGAAAACATCTCCAATAAACTTCCTATAAATACGTCTCAGAGAGTCACAGAGAATTCAGCCTACAATAAAGTTGAATTGGGGAAAGTCTATACATAATTTTGAGGGTAGTCCAAGCAAACGGCACAGACATGACATGGTCTTGTGTAGGGAGTAATTAGAGGTTTGACTTTACAGCCCCAGAGAGTGTGTTTATAGGTGATGGATGTATGGAAGATTGGGGTGGGGTGATGGTGTGGGCAGTGGCCAGCATTGAGGCTCAAGGTGCAGGAATATGCCTGTTGTTAAGAACCAGGGAAGCCTTGCTAAGGAGTTACTGGAGGCTTTCAAACAGAGAAGTGACATGAACAAATTCCTCTAGGGAGAAAATTGTAACAACCATATAGAGAAAGGGAGAAAGGATTGAAGACAGTGAGAGCTATGACAGGAGTCAATTAGAAAGATTTTATGGTAGGTCACACCGAAAAAAAAGAAAAAGGTAAGGACATGTGAAGTGAAATATAAAGGATTTATTGACTTAGGTAAAGGAGTTAAGAGAAGGCGAGTAATCAAAATAACTTCAAGAATTCCAGGGCTGGGCACGGTGGCTCATGCCTGTAATCCCAACACTTTGGGAGGCTGAGGCGGGCAGATCACAAGGTCAGGAGTTTGAGATCAGCCTGGCCAATATGGTGAAACCCCCTCTCTGCTAAAAATACAAAAATTAGCCTGGCATCGTGGTGCACGCCTGTAGTCCCAGCTACTCGGGAGGCTGAGGCAGAAGAATTGCTTGAGCCCGGGAGGCCGAGGTTGCAATGAGCCGAGATTGTGCCACTGCACTCCAGCCTGGATATTAAAAAAAAAAAAAGAATTCCCGGTTGTGAAATTGGAGAATTCTTTGACAAAGATGAAAAATACAGGAAGCAGTGAAAGAATTTAGACTTTATGCTTATATAATTACCTTCTATAATCCTCAGAACCCAATACTAAAAATGTGGAAAAAACACAAAGTTCATGGCATTGTCAAAATGAAAAAAAAAAAGAATTCATGTGAAAGCCTCAGAACAATGCCTGGCATATAGTATGCACTCCCTTTATTAGTTTGATAATGAGGTGGATCTTCACTATATCAATCTAGAGATGGATAAGGAAACCACATACTGTTAAATATACTATTTCTCTTTCAGAAGTAAGAAAATGTATCATAAATTTTAGATGATCCTCGATGTATTTTGAAAGCTAGCACCCCAACAAGCAAGAATCTCAAAAGCAATTTTCTATTTTATGTTTAAATCATTGTTACCTACACTCTTCTTTCCAAGGTCTTATGTCATGGTTGAGAAATCAATAGCAAAAAGCAAGTACTTCAGTAAACAGTAAGTCAAGAACAGCGTCTAATTCTGCTCTGCAAAGTTCCCAGCACTCTAGAGGTACTCAAATATGAAATGACATCTTTACTTTTCCTAAGCTGAAAATAATTTAAGTTTTTAAGTATCATCATCAAACTTGGGTTGCCAATATGTAATGTTTCCTCTTAATAATTAGAGCCAGTTTTTACTGACTGTCCCTTCTATGCCAAGCACTAAATGAATCATTTTATATATATTATCTGTAATATTATTAGTATTCCTATGAGACTTTGATTCAGGTTTTTAATTCCACCTGAAGATTTGGGGTGTTGAATAATTGGCTCAAGGTCATTGCAGACCTTGGGTTGCAGAGTAGATTTTTACCCAGGGCTGTGTGCATTTACACCTGACTAGCTAAATCATTCCTGAAAATTATCCTGCCAATCCAGAGTGCAAGTCAGAAGTGAATGATGCTTATGTTTTTTGCCTGTTAATTCATTGGATTGCTTTCCAGGTTCATAAAAACACCACTAAAAAGTAAGTTAGTGAGGTACAGATGTGGCAATTAATAGGTTCATACAAAAGATGTTGCCTATTGAAGGACACTGAGCATGTTTGGTAATATACAACTATTTACATTTCTCTCTGCATACCAAAGATAAGGAGCAGGCAATAGTTGGATTAGCAATCAGTGGAACTTAAAAGGAAGAAGGCAGAATAAGACAAGAAAGCAAAATCATCCTCAGTATGTGGATAATTCACTCCATATCTGTTGTATGTGTGTGTGTGGGTGCGTGTGTGTGTGGGTGCGTGTGCGTGCGTGTGCATTTAATTCAAAGCATGTGATACTTTTGCTTCATTTTATACCAGATTTTCAGTAGTCTCTTCTCTCACACCCAGAAGAATGTTTGTTAGATTTAGCATGATTGATGTAGATGTAGCTGCTACCAATGTACCTGTCATTTAGTTGTTAAGAAAAGTGCAGTCGTACAACTTTTCTGTTGGGCCGTCACCTTTCTTTATACAAAAGCTGTCTTTCAAGTATGACAGCAGTGGCCAAGATGAGCAGGAGAAGCACTTTAAATGTCAACCTTCTATGGTAGTTTTATTGAGCTATACACATTTTCATGGCCTTGCTGCTTTTTACATGCATTGGAGAGGTGGATAACTATTAAAAGTAGTGAGAAAACAGTATCACAGTTTTAAAAGATACAATGAAAATTTAAAAGACATAATGAAACTATTCATGAAGGGTAATGAAATAAATTTTCATTTATCTGTGGAATATTGAAAATTTAATTACTTTGCTAGATAAAGGACAATCAATATTGAATAAATACAGTGATGCATATTTACTTCTATGTTTTTGTTATACATAGCACTAGTAACAAGAAAATATGTTTTAAATGATGAGCAAAAAATAGTAATTACCGACCGGGCATGGTGGTTCATGCCTGTAATCCCAGCACTTTGGGATGCCGAGGCGGGCAGGTCACCTGAGGTCAGGAGTTCGAGACCAGTCTGGTCAACATGGCAAAACCCCATCTCTACTAAAAATACACACATTAGCCAGGCATGGTGGCGTGTGCCTGTAACTCCAGCTACTCGGGAGGCTAAGGCAAGAGAATCGTTTAAACCCGGGAGGTGGAGGTTGCAGTGAGCCAAGATCATGCCATTTCACACCAGCTTGGGTACAAGAGTGAAACTCCGACTCAAAAAAAAAAAAATAGTAAATAGAAATTACCACAACCCTTCCATTAGATATAGCTATGAATATAATTTCCAAGTATATTTTTCAAGACTTATTTTTCACTAAACCTAAACACATTAAAAATAAGATAATTTTTAAAGCTTTAAAAAGAAGTTAGGTCAATTTGGGGTCTATAGGAAATATTCACTTTTATCAGATGTTATACATATTTTTATTACTTCCATATACCACTCATGCTGTGTTTATGTTTATAGGTAAAATTTCAGCTTCTGGGTAATTTTAAAATTAATCATGCTAACATGAATAATATCTTACTTGCTTGCAATGATTATTGAATAACTCCTGGTCAATTATGACAAAACTCAAAAAGAACCCATGATAATCATTATTATTGATTTACAATTAAAAAAATTAAGTTGACCTTAGATTTCTCTTATCAAAACCAATAACAGTATAGGAAAGACAGAAGGGAAAACATCAATCACATTTCACTAATTTCAATCTAACTTGAGAAGAATGTTAATAACATAATTTTTTTACTTACAACTTTACAGAATAAAGTGGATTTTGTTGCTAAAGAGCACAAAATGACAGTTGACTTTCTAGTCCATTAGCAAAATGTAAAATGCAATGCTAAATGTCACTATTGCCTTCTTAAACTCTACTAAGTATGGTTTTAATATTGATTCTTGCACATATCATATATTCTCTGGCATTCAGTGCTTTTGATGACAGGTTGTGTTACAAATCACTCATATCTTTCATCTTCATCTTTAGATATACATTTTTTATACATTTTTATTATATTGCCTGTATTCCTATAGTCGGGATTATAAATGCACTTTACTTGTTGGAAAGAGACAGTTTTATTGCATTAAATTTAATGCACCAGGAGAAATAGAAATCATGAAAAGAGAAAAGGTTAAGAATAATGTCTGTCTTATGGCCTAAGGTACAACTATGAACAATAATAATAATAATTGAAAAAAAAAAACCAAGGCCTCATCTGAAACATAATCCATTAAGGTAATTTTAGAAGCAACAATAATACTTTAAATTTGTACAGAAATTTAGTTTCATAGTGCTTTTACGTACATTGTCTTATATGATCTTTGGAACCACCCTGTGATATAGAAAAATTATTATTTTTTCTATTATCCAAAACCAGTTACTAACCAGCAATTATGAACGATTATGTGATTTGTTCAAAGTTGTAGGGCTAATAACTGGTGATATAAAAAATGAAAGATGTCATGTTCCTGAACCTGTAATTTTATTTTATACTCCGCTATGGATTAATTCTGTCTAGAGTAAATATAAGTTAAAAACAACAACATATATAAGCCAACAAATTTTAACTTGTCCCTCTTTTCTCACTTTTGTTTCTCTGTAATCCAGTAGGAAAATATTATAACTTTGTGCCTGGAAAAATGTTCAACATTCAAGAGAACTCATCCAGTGATTTGAACTGATAGAAAAATGAATTAAGACAGGATTCTGGCTGGGCGCGGTGGCTCACGCCTATAATCCCAGCACTTTGGGAGGCCGAGGCGGGTGGATCATGAGGTCAGGAGATGGAGACCAACCTGGCTAACACGGTGAAACCCCGTCTCTACTAAATATATATAAAAAAAAAATTAGCCGGGCATGGTGGCAGGTGCCTGTAGTCCCAGCTGCTTGGGAGGCTGAGGCAGGAGAATGGCGTGAACCCGGGAGGCGGAGCTTGCAGTGAGCCGAGATGGCGCCACCGCACTCCAGCCTGGGCGACAGTGTGAGACTCCGTCTCAAAAAAAAAAAAAAAAAAGAGACAGGATTCCATGCTCTTGAATATAGTGCCAAAGCATTGCTGATTCTTGATCATTCCCATGAGTGCTCTGAAACTAGTTAATTTGTGCTTTCCATGTCACTGTAATTACAATGTTTTGTTTAAATGTATAGTGTTATATAGTGATTGGCTAAATTATCATTTGACCTTGCGTATTTATGTTTATGTTAAATAGTGTACAATGAATATCCAATGAAAATAATATGGATATATCATACTAATGGCCAGGAAATTTTTTTTCTTCTTGGCTTTAATTCTTTTGACTACCTTACAAATAATAGCAATAACAGATTATATTTACTTAAATTTAGTTGAAAGGAGAATTAGATCTATTATTTTTGCCGGTCTGAGCTGGAGACCATGAGTTCCTATTAGATTGACCCATGGGTCATATACATTATATTAGATACACATATTTCTTGCCTCACTGGAACGCAATAAAATTCAAATAGCATAGAACTATATAGGCTTTGTAAAGTTTCATTTAATTTCATATAAAAACTAGGCTTACTGGGTATATGCTAATAATTCTCAAATGAATATGCATTACCAATTATTTTTAACAACCATGAATATCCTAATAGTAGTTTAAATGTGTGCATTGTTTTACTGTATATATTGATTGTAGAGGATCATTCTTTGATCCTCATGATAGCCTCAAGTCATGCAGAATTAAGCTTTTTTTAGGTGTTTATGTGTGGCAAAACTAGTAAGACCCCCATCCAACTCATTAAATCTTCTGTACCCATACAAAAACTATAAATCTCAGCCTTACTTGCAGTTATTTTTGTAATTTAGGCCATGTAACTGGGTTTTAGCTAATGCAATGGAGTAGAAGGGTGTTCTATGCCTAGACATAAGGCTTGGTCTGTCATCCTCCATAATCTCTTTTAGTTGAAAGAGCATGGGAGTTATGCTGAAAATAGTGATGTTATAAATAGAAATAGCCTAGATTTTTGAGTCATTTTTTGGAAGAATCCAAGAGAACCTATGGTACACATTGGAATTTGAATGGATAACAAACTAATTTTTGTCGAATGAAGTCACTGAGTTTTATAGTTTAGTTAGTACTACACCAGCATTCAGCCTACCTATCTGATATATCATGCTGTTTTGGTTACTGTAGCCCTTTAGTATAGTTTGAACTTCAGTAAGCATGATGCTTCCAGCTTTGCTCTTTTTGCTTAGGATTGCCTTGGCTATTTGGGCTCTTTCTTTGGTTCCATATCAACTTTAAAATAGGTTTTTTCTTGTTCTGTGAAGAATGTCAATAGTAGTTTGTGTAGAATAGCATTGAATCTATAAATCGCTTTAAGGAGTATAGACATTTTAACGACATTGAGTCTTTCTGTCCAAGAGCATGGAATGTTTTTCCATTTGTTTGTATCATCTCTGATTTTTTTTAGTAGTAGTTTATAGTTGTCGTTGTAGAGATCATTCACCTCCCTTGTTATCTGTATTCCTAGGTATTTTATTCTTTTTTTGTGGCAATTATGAATGAGAGTTTGTTCCTGACTGGACTCTCAGCCTGACTCTTTTTGGTAAATGGGAATGCGAGTGATTTTTGCACATTGATTTGTATCCTGAGATGTTGCTGAAGTGGTTTATTGGCTTAAGAAGCTTTGGGGCTGAGACGATGGGGTTTTCTAGATATAGGATTATGTCATCTGCAAACAGGGATAGTTTGACTTCCTCTCTTCCTATTTGGATGCTCTTTACTTCTTTTTCTTGCCCGATTGTTCTGGCCAGGACTTCCAATACTATGTTGAATAGAAGTGGTGACAGAGGGCATCCTTGTCTTGTACTTGTTTTCAAGGGGAATGCTTCCAACTTTTCCCTATTTAGCATGATGTTGGCTGTAGGTTTGTCATATGTGGCTGTTATTATTTTGAGGTATGTTTCTAAACCCTCATGACACAGGTTTACCTATGTAACAAACCTGTGCATGTACTCCTGAACTTAAAAGGTTTTTGTTTGTTTGTTTTAAAAAAAGAAGTTAGGGACTGGATAAGAGGAAACTGAAATCAGAAGCTAGAAAGTAGGTGAATCGAGTCATGCAGTGGCAAAAAACCTTGATTATCTGTGGTATATTTGAAAGCAAACTGTGGACCTATTAAGCTTGTGGCTCTTAAGGAAAAAAGTTGGAATTCATTATCTTAGCACACTTTCTTGTTTGTTATTGGTATAAATAGATAAGAAATTATAAGCAATAATGAGTTTACGGTAGAATTTAAAAGATCATGAGCAAATTGCAGTGTTGGAAAAGCTAACTGCTGCTATATGCCAAACAATAAAAAATTAATTTAAGATATATACATTTTTCCATTATCCCAGTAAAAATTTTCAGTTGTTTAAAGTGACCCAGGGATAATGTCAGCATAAGGTAGATAGCCACTATTAAATTGAGTGAGACAGATGTGACAGTGAGAAAGTAGAACAATATAAGCAGATTTGAAAACTATGTCTATTAAAAGAACTTAAGTTTGGAACAGACAAGAACCAAATATATTTGACACCTACAAAGTTTTGAGGAAAATAGGGACCGTAAAAAAGTTAAGATATGTTAATACTTAGAACTCTTAAGAGTTCATCCTTCATGAGCAATAGGCACATTTCAAAAGCCTCTAGCTCTCCAGGAGTTCAGGCTCTTCCAAAACCACTTTAAATGATAAAATGAATAATGAACTAGGAGGAACTTTCCAGGATGTGGAGCCAGGACCAAGAAAAACTATGGACAAGACAGCTTGTCTCATACAGTGGATTTAGAGATTGATTAAAAAAAAATCAAATAACTCCCCGACACTTCTAGGGTATAGGGGTTTCACAATATCAGCTCACTGGTGTTTCAGAATTACTAGAGACCAATGACTATAAGGTCTCCTCTTAATTCCCTTTCCAAATTGAAGTACTTATTCTGGATATCCAGGCTCTCTGCATAGTGTGTGAATTTATCTGTCTGTAGTCAGGTGACTAAACTTTCTGTTCAAGGGGCATGATCATTTAGACTTCTAGGAGAATATACAGGTTTTCAGGATCTATGGTCAGGGCTGTGTATGACTTAAAGATCATGGAGTTTAAACTGGATTTAATAACTGGGTGAGTCTCTGTGTTGTGCTCCTTAGGAAAAAATAAATTGTGTTCTATGGGTAGGAAAAAAAGAGAAACAGATATTTGGTGAACATAAAAGGGAATTATAGCAGAGACACTACATTACCAACTGCTCTAGCTAGTGTGGGACCATATAACTGGATAGTGGCAATGTGACCACTATCTTTAGTGTGGGAACAAGTGATATGTACTATTTCTAGGCCTGACCATGAACTTCCTTGCACAGTCATTCACACTGCCTTTCACTTTTGGGACAAGCAGAAAGGCTACATAAAAGATGGTGGAGTAAATTGCCAGTAACCTGGTTCACTCTATTACTGCCTGGAGGATGGTCACCAAGAAAAACTCCCTACCTGAAAAGGATTCTGTATCCAAGAAGATAAGTAAGTTTTATTGCTTAAATTTACTAAGATTTGGGTGTCTATTTGTTACTTGAACACAGCATAGCCTGTCCTATCTAATAAAATATGTTTCACTCAGCTAACAGATGTAGCAATGTTTCATACAATTTTGTGCATCAAGCACTTAGCACAGTTCATAGTACAAAGTAAGAACAAACAATTTCTATTCAGTGGGTATTTGTTTATGTAATGAGTTAGATTAGAAGTTCAGACAGATAATATTTTACAGATGAGGAAACAAAGATCACCCATATGCAGTGAATTGAATTATTGTTCCCAATTCTTCACCTCCCAGCAGCAAGGTTATAAATGAACCACCTTTAACTTGCATTTTTTTTTTTTTTTTTTTTTTAGTGTGGTGTCTCTGTGGGGTCACAATGTATTTGCCTATCCCATTGATATTGGGCTTGCCAGGTGACTTGCTTTAGCCAATAGGATGAGTGTGTAAGTTACACCATGCTAATTCTCAGTTAAAGAGTTAAGAAGTGTTCCGGTTTCCGCTTGCCTCTCAGGCAGGGCTTCTTTCAGGTCATAAAAATAGTGCACCCAGGGAGCTGCTAGTTTCAGAAGGAGATGTGAGAAAACAAGAATCCACCTGAAGACTGGAGCCCAGCTCAGCCGAACCATTGTAATCCAGCTAAGATTGCTAAAACCTCAGGAATTCACAGACCTGAGAGCTATAAAAAGGAAAATAAATAAAAATAAGGTTGTAGGAGAGAGAGATTTTAAGGTTGTTTGCTACACAACAAAAAGTGACTACTACAATGAATTTAATAGCTGGAAATTGAATTTAGCCTTTCACTATACAATGGGAAAGATTCATTTTAAATTTAAACAGTAATTCTTCTATTTAGTTCCTACTAAATGTTTAAGTTGGAATGCATCTTTAGTCTTTAAACTGTTTTATTTTTATTTCTTGATATTTATTTCACTCTGTAATTTACCATTAAAAAAGGACTTTTAACTTTTAAAAAGTCATCACTCAAAAGAAATTTGTTTCCCCAATTACAAAAATTAACAAGATAAAGAAACATAAATTAAAAATTTAAAAATGGCCATTTTAAAGATTGCTACTTTTCTCCTCTTATGAAAATATTCAACTCTAATGGATTTTGTTAATATCTCTCAGGTCCTCTATGGCATTTAAGAAATAACATTCACTGGAGTTTATACAATATAACTATGCAATTACTTTCCGCATCTTCGATGTGTAATGTGGGGAAATGCTCATTTATGGTTTTTTTTTTTTAGGCTAGCCCCATATATTTAACAGCAAACAGTTTACTAGCAAAACCAAGATGCCTCCTAATTACCTGAATTTATTTTTAGCACTTTCTCCATTAACTATGCATTAGAAAAATGTTTTTATAACTTATCCCATTAAGTATCATTATCAATATTGTGCTGTCATATCTTCCATGACCCTCCTTTCTGTGTGGGCTTCCCTGTTTATTTTATAGTAAATCTTTTAAAATGCAAATTTTATTCCCTCTTTCCCTGTGAGCTAGATTTAAGACCTCTTCCCTGAAGTGACCGTTCCTTCTTTCACTTTAGTCAAAAACTGATAACAGTCTTGGCAGTAGGAATGAATTTACTACTCAATTAAAGTTACTAGAAAATTCGGGCAAAAGTACTATACTGGTTGGACAGTTAGACACTACCTCTGTGGCATTAAATTTAGTATTTTATGTACTGGAACTAAGACTAGGAGAGATTACATTCTAAATTGCACATACAGAACATCTTGGTATAATATACATGGTTTATTGGTATAAAACAATGCATTATTACTGGAAGTGTTAGATAAATTTTAAATGTATGTGAAATTGCCAATCAGCATTTTTCCAGTTCTATTTTCTACTATATATTTACTAATTGCTTTATAATAATTAAGAAAAGAGAAAAATACTTACGAAGACAAGATAGAATACATTAAATGGTAGAATTTCAATATTTGTAATTTGTTTTTATTATTTGTTCCTGTATTTTTCTATTTAAATCCTTTATCTTAGCAAATACAGGTGCAAAATGATAGTCATAACACGTACAACATTTAAAATAAAATATATGTCTTATGAGGAAAAAATAATCTTTCCATTCTTGTCTTCGTAAGCCTATATTTAACTTAATGTGAAAGCAGGAGGAGAGTTTCATTGTTTGGGCTTTTGAAAATGAAAGTCAGATAATAGTTTTCAAGTTTATTCATCAGGAAACTTATCACATTTTAACAAGTCTTCCATTTAGAAAAATCTTTTTATTTTTCTTTTGGACATTCACTGGTGACTTAGCATGACAAATTTTATTCATTCTAAAATAGTACAGGAAAATCTGATGTTATCACTTAGAATATTAAATACTATATTGTAAGTTTAGGTTAAAATGAATAGTGTCAAAGGCAGTTCAACCTCAAAGGAAGAAACAGAAAATAGGATAACATGATCCTAAATTTTTACCTGACCTGATTTTATCAATACGTGTTACTCTATGCAACAAAGTTTTTGTGGCCAATGACCTTATATTACTTCTGTATCTTTAGTGCAGTTGTTCTTAACCTTGGCACTACTGACATTTGGAACTGAATAATTCTTTTGTGGGAGGTTGTCTTGTTCATTTCAGGATGCTTAAAAGCGTCCTCAGCCTCTACCCATATAAATATCCTTGACTCAATGCATAGAAAGCATTCTAGATGATAGTACCTTATTCTTGCCTGATATTGCCTCCAAGATGATGCTTTAGATTTTCTTTCAGCAGGACTTCCTTACGCACTGTCAGATCAGCAGCAGTGGGGTGATGTATTCTGTGTTACAGCCAGTGGATCCTGATTAGATGCTTTTTGGGAATTACCTGGCTGTCAATAAGGCATTCTGTAAGCACCTGCATAGTGGTGCTGGCTGAGGCCCAGAAAGAAGAAAAAGCAAACTCCCACTCTGAATAGGTACCTATTCCTTTGTAAATGAACCACATGAAACCTGTAGTATAAAAGGGCCCAATATAGTCAACTTGGAACTAGGTAGCCATTTGGTCTACCTAATAATGTCATACTATTACTTATTGTATGTAAGCATTGGTCTGTATTGTTGGAATTGGGGAAATTCACAGGTGGTGGTAACAGTAGTTTAGCTCAGGTAAGTAGAATGCATACTTCTGGGTGCATGCCTGACTTCTGTCCTTGTTATCATAGCCTAGTCTTTAATGTATGCATAATGATAGTATTGTGGTGGCTGCTGGCATTTCTGTATCAACTAACATGAACTGGTTGAGCATTACTTTCACTTGGAAGTTTGATGCCTCTTCCCTGGTGTGTGTATTCTGGTAGGCATTCTTACTTCATGCCTAATACCCTATGTCCAAACATATACCTTTACCCTAGACTTCCTTGAGTAAATCTTTTAATCATTTTCTTCCCAAGTCCATCATCAACTAATCCAGCCATTTTCACTGCCCATTAGTCTGCATATGTTATAACCTTAGGTCAATTCTCCTTCCACATAGAGTAAATGTCCAAGTGCTCCTGTCTTATGAGAGTCTTTGAAGCCTAACCTTGAGTGAAGCCACCATTCCTTTCTGGCTAGCTTCCACATAATAAGCAAAACCACATGTAAAATATGCTTGGGCTTTTTCCTTATCTTGTAGCTGTTTTTAAGTGATTCACCCAAAGGGTCTGTTGAGCCCACTGAACTTTCTGACTCAGTGCATCTGACAGTACCAGACTCATCATGGGAAGTTACAGGCAGTCAAGATTCAAACCTTCTGCTTCTACCAGTGCTCAGTAGCATTACAGGAGCTATTTGAAAAATGACTTCAAATTTTTTATTGCATATTGCATACCCTTGCTCCAGAATCCCAGGATGCACCAGAGCTTGCCATAACTCCACACTGAATCTTTTCCCCACATCCATACTTCAACTTCAAAGATTATGTTGAATCATACAACCCACAGTGCTGCTGCTCACACTGCAGCCTGGAAGTGCTGAAGTGTGAAGCCCCTTTCAAAGCTGGAAACCTTCCCTTTCTCCCTGTATGTGGGCTGGAGCAGTATTTGAGGGTGTACAATGTGTTTTCTTCGGAACTCGAGGAGGTCTACTAGGAGTTATACTTCCTTCTTTAGAGTAGGAGATGAAAACAAAATACAGCAATTTATCTTTTACATTAGAGGGGATGTCCTGTCATGTCCCTTACTACTGCACCATTAAAACTTTACAGTAGTGACTGGTCCTTTAATCATTGAATGGTTTATCTTCCAGCCTCTGAAACACACGTGTCCTACCAAAGCCAACTGGAGCCACTTCTTGTTTATCCTTCCTAATGAGCATAATGTCATTGATGTAATAAATCAACATAATGTTCTGCAGGATGTCTAGACAGTCCAGATCTCTTTTTACTATATTATGACAGAGTGTAATAGAGTTAACACAGTCCTTTGGCAAACAGTAAATGGATATTCTTGTTTGGTCCAAGGGAACGGGAACGAGAGCTGTTTCTTATCCTTTTTGCTAAATGAATATCAAACATATTTACAAAATCAATGGCCACATAGTCTACCCAAGTTTGATTACTCTGCTCTACCAAACATATCACATTTGGCACAGCAGCTGCAATTGCAGTTACTATTTGGTTAAGTCTACAGTGTTGTATAGTTATTCATTGGGATTCAGGATCCATCCGGCTTCTGCATGAGTCAGACTAGTAGATTAAAGGAAGATATAATGGGAACAATTATTGCTGCATCTTTTTATTCTATCAACTTGCATGGAAAAGTAAGCTGCATATTTTATATCCTTAAACATGGTAATATATCTCTGACATTCCTCCTGGTAATCTGGCCTTCCCCCATTATGAAGGCACCCTCACAGGCAAAAGACCCAAACTCTAGTGTTACTTTAACTGCTAAGTATATCAATTCCAAATATATATTCAGATTTCAAGAAAATTTCCACCAAGCAGACCTGTGGAATCCATTTTAAGTTGGATTTTAGTCAGGATTCTATTATCTGAACTCACATGACCCCACATTAGGGGAGCCATAAGGCCACTTTAGTTCTGCAGGCATTAATGCTAACGTAAACTCTGTGTTCAACTGTCCTCAAAATATCTCTGTGTTTCTCTTTCCCCAGTGTACAGTAAATGACCCATAGGTAATAGCCCAAGTAAATGGCCATAGGTCCCTGGAAAAAACCTAGAGAAAATATTACGGTGTGTCCTTGCCGAGGTGTTGTAGGGTACTTAACCAGGAGGAACGAACCACCATGTCAGTTTATAGTTTCTGGGTCTGAAATAGGTATACATAATACTTACTTTCCTAAGCCTTTTAATCCCATCCTCTGCCACCTGTCATGGCAATTCAGGCTTATCAACCCCTGGATGGATTATGCTGTGACTTAATCCTGTTTGTAGGTTTAGAGGCCAGAAAAGGAAATGGCTACAGCTTTTGAGGGACAGCAGCTTCCGTGAGTAAATACCTTTGTAGTGTTTTCTGATTTGGAGGGAAGGTGTGGGTTTTATGGGGTGAGGTAGCCCACTTCTTCAAGCTCAGAACATTAAGAAAAGTCTAGAGAGTTAAAAAAAACAACAAAACTCCAGAGTTTGTTAGCCTGTTCTCACTATGCTATAAAGAAATACCTGAGACTGGGTAATTCATAAAGGAAAGAGGTTTAATTGGCTCATGGTTCTGCAGGCTGTACAGGAAGCATGATGTTGGCCATCTACTAGACTTTTGGGGAGGCCTCAGGAAACTTACAATTATGGCAGAAGGCAAAGGGGAAGCTAGCATTTTACATAACAGGAGCAGGAGGAAGAGAGAGAGGGGGAAGGTGTTACACACTTTTAAACAACTAGATCTCACAAGAATTAACTCACTATTGTGACACAGTATAAAGGGGAAAATCCCACCCACACACATGATCCAATCACCTCCCACCAGGCTCAACCTCCGATACTGGGGATTACAATTTGACATGAGATTTGGGTGGGAACACAGATCCAAACCATATTACAGGGCATCTACTTAGATGTCCCAGTCTTGGGTCAGGGTCCCAGGTTTCCCAACTTGGGCCTGATCTGTGGCAAAACAGATCTGCTATCATTGAACACTGAATGGCCTTTGAATTTTAGCAATCTGTTTTTCAAATTCTTGGCTTGATCTTAGTTTTTCCTGATCACTCAGAACAAGAGAAAAAGGCTACTTTGGCTTCTTTGTGATATACCAAAGAGATTATCTGGCTCTCACAGTTGTTTTTTGTTTGTTTGTTTTGTAATTGCAACTTTAATTTTAAATGTAGGGGTTACATGTACAGGTCTGTTATATGGGTATATTATAGGATGCAGAGGTTTGGGATACAATTGAATACATCCCCCAGGAAGTGAGCATTAAACCCAACACTTTTTGAACCCTTGCCTCACTCCCTTTTTCCCTTCTGTAGTAGGCCCTGGTCTCTATTGTTGCCATGTTTATGTCCAAAAGTACCCATTGTTTAGCTCCCACTTATAAGTGAGAACATGTGGTATTTGATTTTCTGTTTCCTCATTAGTTGGCTTAGGATAATGGCCTCTAGCTGTATGTATGTTACTGCGAAAGACATGACGTCATTCTTTTTTAATGGCTATTTAGTATTCCATGGTGTATATGTACCACAGTTTCTTTATCCAATCCACAGTTGATGGGCACCCAGGTGGAGTCCACATCTTTGCTATTGTGAATAGTGCTACAATTAACATAAAAGTGCATATTTTTGGTAGAACAATTTATTTTATTTTGGATATATATTCATTAATAGGATCGCAGGGTCAAATGGTAGTTCTGTTGTAAGTTCTTTGAGAAAACTCCAAACTCATTTTCACAGTGGCTGAACTAATCTACATTCCTACCAACAGTATATAAGTACTCCCTTTTCTCCACAGCCTTGCCAGCATCTGTTTTTGTTTTTTGTTTTTAATAATAGGCATTCTGACTGGTGTGAGATGGCATATCATGGTTTTGATTTGCATTTCTCTGATGATTAGTAATGTTGAGCATTTTTTCCATATGTTTGTTGGCTGCTTGTATTTCTTCTTTTGAGAAGTGTCTGTTCATGTCTTTTGCTCACTTCTTAATGGGGTTATTTGTTTTTTGCTTGTTGAATTAAGTTCCTTATAGATTCTGGATATTAGACCTTTGCTGGATGCATAGTTTGCAAATATTTATTTCTCATTCCATAGCTTGTCTGTTTACTTTGTTTATAGTTTCTTTTGCTGTGCAGAAGCACCTTAGTTTAGTTAGGTCCCACTTGTCAATATTTATTTTTGTTGCAATTGCTTTTGAGGACTTAGCCATAAATTATTTTCCAAGGCTGATGTCCAGAATTGTCTTTCTTAGGTTTTCTCCTAGGATTCTATAGTTTTAGGTATTCCATTTAAATCTTTAATCCATCTTGAGTTAATTTTTTGTACATGGTAAAAGGTACAGGTCCAGTTTCATTCTTTCACATATAGTTATCCAGTTATCCCCAGCACCATTCAGTATTTTATTATTAGTCTACATCAAGGCAATTTATCAATAAGCATCCAATTCTTTTATTTTTATACTGACACCTCCCTTATACATTTCAGATGCTTGGGTTATGACACTGTATTTGCCTCCACTCACATTCCATTCCATATCACCATGGGTAAAAACTTTAAGAATTAAACTGCCACCATATCCCAGGAAATCTTTGCACATCATTTATCTCCATGAAAGGGACTTCATTTCCAGCTGGATGGTGAATGAATAGGCTGTGGCAAAACTTCAGCTCAGAATCAGCTTTCTCAGAGCCTTGAAATAACTGTCAAAGTTGATTTTTTGGAGAAGCAGAAGTTAAGATGAAGTTAAGAGCGTAAAATGATTTTGGGGGTTTAACATCAGTTAATCCCACAAGGTAAGAAGTAGGATTGGGCAGGTGAACTTCTAGATAAAGCCATGAGTCTGACAAATCTCTGCCAATGAAATGATGGGCTCCAGAGCAAAGAATGTCTGCTTTGGATATTCTGCCTTAGTTGAAAATGGGGAGCCCCTTGTAATTACCTTGCTTTGAGAGGATGGGACTCCAGCTTCAATACTGAAAACACTAAGAACTAGGAGCTCTTAGCAAACCCCAACCCTTGTAACTGGGAGGCACTCCCTCCTTGAGGAGGAATCTGTGGTGCTGACTCACCATCAAAACATGAGTCTTCAGACTTTCTAAACTAATTGTCATGTTGGTTTTGTGAAAGTGTTTGGCAAAAGACATGCTGTTCTGTGTAATAAAATGGGAAAAGATTTTGACTTAGTTTCTTGGGAATATAAGCAGATAGAGGGAAAGAAAGAAAAGAGAAGGGAGTGAGGTAGGGAGAGAGGGAGAGGGAGGGAGAGGGGATAGAGAGGAAAGAAGGGAGAGACACATACAGAGAGAGGGAAGAGTCCTAAACTTCTAGAGAAAAAGCAAAGAGGATCTGATTTTTTTTTTGAAATGCTATAACAAACACTTTTCAGTCTTTTGAAACTTTTAATAAAGTTTTGAATAAAATAAAGATCAGTGCTTCATTTTGGTTGAAATCAAGTGAAATATTTTTTGTTCTAGATCCGGAGTGATACAGTGTAGAGCAAAAGAACCACAACTGGATAATAAGATAATTCATAATTTGAAACCCTTCCATAGATGACACTGAAACTTTCCTACCTCCTAATTCTAATAACCATATGAAGTATCTATGATTGCCCCTATATGGAAGAGAATGGGAGAAGTCATCATGTATTGAAATCCCACAGCCTGGAAATAGCAGAGCCAAAATTAAAATCTCAAATCTGTGGACTGTGTTCCCATTCAGACTTAGAACAAATATTTAAACAAATACTTGGTTTTGGTTCCCAGAAGCAAAACACTGGAATCATTGTTCACTCCCGTTTACTTTTTCTATTCTACACATCTAATCAGTTGATAATATATGAGCAGCCTTTATTTACAGGACTCTTTAACAATTTTTCTTTTGGTTCCTATTTGCCACCACTGATACCCAGACCCCACAATGCTTCAATCCCAAATTTCTGTGACTAGCCTCCTACATTTCCTCCTCAAACTTTTATCTCTGCATATTTATAAAACGCAATTATCACCTGGCTATTTTATTATTCAAAAATGATCAGGGATTCCTCATGGCTTATTTTTATATGTTCAATCATTTTTGGTGTTTAGTACATGTCAGCAAGCATGTTAGGTGTTGGGGTACAATGATGCATAAAGGCCTAGTCCTTGCTCTTGGGAATGTCACACAGTTGTAGACGTGGCAGAACACAGAGAGGAAAGTATGGATTTGCATGGAGCAGCATAGGTAATATGGAAAGGGAGATTTGTGATGATTATATCACTCTTAGCCTCTTCAACCTGTCCTTCCTGTTGAGCTCCACTCTCCCAATTTTTTTCTAGCCACCAGCCAACAAAAATGTCCCATTCCTATTTGAACAGTATTTTAGTTTGACCCTCATACACAAAGCTCTTGCTCACCTTTTATCTTTGTTCATTATTCCTGCCCGAGATGGCTTTCAACAACTTGTGTCTGTGCATGCACATCTTTTTCCAGCTTTTAAAAGATAAGCACAAAAGCCAAGGTTTTGTTTCTATCATAGAGATTTACCAGACAATTGAAGGCCATACCATTTGTTCTCTTCTCTAAATCCCTTTTGCACATAACTGATTACATCCCACTCTTAGAATTTCTCTATACGTTATTGAATTCAGCATGAGAATATCATCTTTAAAATTAGCTCTTTTATTCATCAAGGGGTTATTCTAAACTAGGCAGCACAATTAAATAGGACCCTGTTTCTATTTTACTCACCTTATAGAGAAGTAGAAATAGATGGATGGTTTAACCCATCATTGAACAGCTGTTTTCAGGACTCCTATCAAATACCTCAGCAAATGTTTTATGTATTCTGGGTATGTGGTAAACAAGTCAGAGTTCTTGTTTTAATGAAGTTTATAACCTAGTAATACAGATGTATTAAAATAAACAAATTAAAACTATATTTATAGACTTGGAGATAATGAAATTAAAGAAGGAGGATATAAGCAAGAATGCCTGGGATTCTGCAACTTTTTCAGAGTAGTCTGAAAATGTCTTGTCAAAAGAGTCAAAACGATATCCATTCTATTAACTCCTCCCTCATATGACAAGGAGCTAGTCATATGGCAAACATAGGAAGGGGCATTTCAGGCGAAGAAAATACTGTTGCAAAAGCCTGGAAAGCTAAAGTAACCAGAGCAAGTGAAGCAGGAAGTTGTACAAGAAGCTGGAGAAAAAGGCTCTTATTGTTAGCAAACAGTGACATTTGGAATTATTTCTCGTTGATTTTCTTATTAGAAATGCTTTGTACTCTCTGGTGGAGTATGGGATACTGATGGCTCTTGACATTTTGTTGTTTTATATGCACATCAATTGAAAACTAGGATCATAATTTTTTAGTGATAATATCTTATAAGGGTTATGTCTAATCTTCCCAAAATGGCTTTACAATTTAGTCCTCCTTAAAATTTCAAGTATCAAAAATAAAGAACTAACACTATGCTGGCATCTCTGACAGCAAACCAATTCCTGAATTAAGTTGTTGGTGGGAGTGGGACATATTTCAAAGCTTAAAAAACGGTAAAAAGCTAACCCACCAATTTAATAGAGAGGAAAATACAACGAACCTGTTTGCTACAGTTCTAGCCCTGGTTCAGGTGACCTATAATTGAAATACTCTGAGTAATCTCATTTTTTTTTCAGGTTTAATTAAATAAATCTATACCCTGGAGTTTTCCCTTCTTCTATTGTCTCTAGTCTCTGAGGTAATGTAGAAATTTGCCGACTGCTAGGGTAGTTTAATTAATGTAACAATTTTAATTCTAGCTAATATTAGTATTTAGTATATATCAAACATTTTGCTAAGTATCTTGTTTGTACTTTTTAAATTTAATTATCTCAGAGCTCTATGAGAGATGTGTTATGATTATCCTTATTTATAAGATTAATAAACAGAGGCTAAGAAAATTAATTTGCTTCAGGTCACACAATTAGTAAGTGACAGAAACAGGATTTGAATCCAGGCAGCTTGATTTTTTAATTTACACTTAACCACCACTCTTTCAAATTAAACCAAACAAAACCCACAAATTTGAAAATATATTTGGAAATCTGAATTATATGTATTTTCAATTTCTAATAATCAAATTAGATAATTATAAATACACCATATCTTTTCATGTAATACTTTAACAGTGAAATACCTCAGTAAAAAACCAACACACTCAGAGTATTACATATATTATGTAATTTTGGGGTAATAAGACAACAAATATGAATTGGTGATGCAAACATGGTTTTATAAATAGAGAGCATGGTAAGAAAAATTCCTAATTTTATTTTTTTCAATAAATTCCTTTTATGAATTCAGTGTACCTTCATCAATTCTCCATCTCAGTTGCTGCACGTACCATAAAGAAATAAAATGCCCATGCCTATATCCCGAGTGGTATTGCCTAGGTTTTCATGTCTAAAACATCAAAAGCAATGGCAACAAAAGCCAAAATTGACAAATGGGATCTAATTAAACTAAAGAACTTCGGCACAGCAAAAGAAACTACCATCAGAGTGAAGAGGCAACCTACAAAATGGGAGGAAATTTTTGCAATCTACTCATCTGACAAAGGGCTAATATCCACAATCTACAAAGAACTCAAACAAATTTACAAGAAGAAAACAACCCCATCAAAAAGTGGGTGAAGGATATGAACAGACACTTCTCAAAAGAAGACATTTATGCAGCCAACAGACACATGAAAAAATGCTCATCATCACTGGCCATCAGAGAAATGCAAATCAAAACCACAATGAGATACCAACCATCTCACACCAGTTAGAATGGCAATCATTAACAAGTCAGGAAACAACAGGTGCTGGAGAGGATGTGGAGAAATAGGAACACTTTTACACTGTTGGTGGGACTGTAAACTAGTTCAACCATTGTGGAAGACAGTGTGGCGATTCCTCAGGGCTCTAGAACCAGAAATACCATTGGACGCAGCCATCCCATTACTGGGTATATACCCAAAGGATTATAAAACACGCTGCTATAAAGACTCATGCACACGTATGTTTATTGCGGCACTATTCACAATAGCAAAGACGTGGAACCAACCCAAATGTCCATCAATGATAGACTGGATTAAGAAAATGTGGCACATATACACCATGGAATACTATGCAACCATAAAAAATGATGAGTTCATGTCATTTGTAGAGACATGGATGAAGCTGCAAACCATCATTCTCAGCAAACTATTGCAAGGACAAAAAACCAAACACCGCATGTTCTCTCTCATAGGCGGGAATTGAACAATGAGAACACTTGGACACAGAAAGGGGAACATCACACACTGGGGCCTGTTGTGGGGTGGGGGGACGGGAGAGGGATAGCATTAGGAGACATACCTAATGTTAAATGACGAGCTAATGGGTGCAGGACACCAACATGGCACATGTATACATATGTAACAAACCTGCACATTGTGCACATGTACCCTAAAACTTAAAGTATAATTAAAAAAAAAAGAAATAAAATGATGTCTTCTCAAATATCTCGGAGTTAATTTTAGAGATCACTGTGTGTGTTTTGTGTGTACATAATTATAGGTAATGCTTAATAAAAAGGATGCTTAACAATGAACTTGCTATTGTACACAGGGGGATTTTTAGCTTTCAGAGCATTATGTATGCACTTCTCCCACCACACGATTACAGATTAATTATTCCAGAGTGATTTTCTGACATCATGATGTAAAACATCCATATGTTTAACTGTTGAAACACATTCCAACACGATAGAACAATAATGACAAAATAAATAAAAAATCTAAAAATAAATTATTCTTAGCTTTGTGTATCTATCAAATAATTTAGGGTCATTTTTACTTTTTTCTGTTTTGAGTCTTTTATTTTCTTTAGCTATCCCTTGATTTTGAAGTCGTGTGTTTGTGTGTGTGTGTGTTTGTGTTTGTATGTGTGTGATGTTTGAATTATTTCACCTTTGTCCTATGTATTTTCTAGACTCTATTCTTTTTATGAGAGGTCTGAGCATCAATGGTCAGAGAGTAATATAAAGATTTGAATTGATTCAGAGATATACAGGTGCATATGCTTGTACCAGCAACTGAGGACTTGGGCAACAAGAAAGGCATCCTCTTTACTGGGGCCACCACTACCTAGATTTTTCCGCTTGTAGGAGCAAGGGAAGGTCAGCCCAGTCTGGACAGACATCTGATTTTTGAAAAATGTTTAAACTCCTTAATTTAAAATGTTGGTCTTTAATTCCAAAATATTTTAAGATGTCTGTGCCACACAAAATATGTGCACAGCCTGTCATTTAAAACTACAAAGTATAATGGGATTGACTCTGAAGTTTAATAAGAGTTATCAATTATTAGTTACTCTTGCTATCGAAGCCTCCAATTTTTTTTTACATAGAACATAAAAATGATACTATATCACACTGATTGTTTAGAGTATTATAAAATGTAACACATGAAGGTTCTGCGCACATTTCCTGATACACAGAAAGATTTATTTAAATTTTAATTATCTTTTCTTTATGTCTTTTTTTACTCTTGCCACATATTTATTTGGCTAAATGTGTGTTACTTATCTATTCTCTAAATCTTCCTCTGCCCCCACTTCCTCCTCAAATTTGTCTAGCCTTTATTAATTTATTGTTTTTATTATTCTATGATTGTTGTCATTAAATACATCTTCATTTAAACATAATGTGTTTTCCCTTTGCTTTGCTGATATTTTCATTGCAAAATCGAAAATAAAGGGAGCAAACATTAAGTGGGCTTCTAATCTGACCTGCAACTATGAGTGATTCACAGCAGCTTGCTGAAAAATGGAACTTCTTAACTTTCATTGTGAAGAAAAGAGTTAAACAAATTTAATGTGTTTTCAATAAAAACTCTCCATTATGGGTATTTGGATGATCCCTTGAAAAGCCTGCCCTGTTAAGCTTCACAGGGGATGAATGTGAGGGCAGCCATCATGCAGTCATGGAAAAAGTTCCAGATTTCCCTGTTTGATTTATTTATATTCTGCTGCATCTTTCATTGTTCCTTACATAACTCTTACTGAGTCTTCTGAGAAATCCCTTCAGATTAATAGTGCCTGCGCAGTTACCAAAACTTTCCTTTGTTTTCTAGATTATAGTCATTGTTTTTTTCTATCTGACTCAATAATTCCAAGGACTTTAAACATAAATGTTCATGTTTGGCATGACCTGGAGTTTTTTCAGTGTTTTTTACTGTTCTATGTTTTCACATACAATACGATGTTTCATGGGCAATATAAAGTAAATGTAATGTATATCTTACAGAAAAGAAATAATTTATAGATCTACTCTGTCTACATACTTTCTATTTATTTCTATATAATTTTGATGGTTGAATACTAAAACATATGTTCATTCACTACATTTTCATAAAAAGTGTATTTTAATTTTAATAAAGAAATGAATATGTGGTTCTAAAACATTAACTAAATATTTTTAATATCTCATCATGACAAGACTGGATAATATATTGATTTGAAAGCACAAAAACGAATGGACTTTTATGACTCCATATACCCGGAAATATATGTTCCTCTGTACGTACAATTGAGAACCATACATAGTTCTATTTTATAAGTAACACTAAGGCAAAAAAAAAATCTAATTTTTATTCTTTTATTTTTACTTGTAAATTTCATTCTTTTGTTCAGAGACTTGGTTCTTTGTGTTTCTTAAATGGTAGTTGAAAGAATGATTTTATTCCTTCATTTTTATAAAGAAGTAAACACAGAAAACATATTTTCAATTGAACTGTGGTACCTTACTCTTCAGGAGGTACTATTTCATAAACACTTCATATTATAAATTTTTTTCATAAAGCAATGGTCTGTTTACTGGTAAATTTCAAGGAACATATTAAAACAATCAATTTTAGAGATTGTTATTATTTTACAGTTTTACTTCTCTCATATCATATATAGCAATTGATACTGGAACCTGAAATGTATAGTACAATAAAAAACATTAAAAACCAATCTCACATATAAAATACATTAAAAACTAATTAAAATCAAAACATATAAAATCTATCAATAAATTAAAATAAAAAGAATGCTTTAATATGAGAAACTCTACTAATATAATGCATTATATCAGTAGGTGAAGGGAGAAAAACTGTATAATCATGATAGATGCCCCAGAAAAGCAATAATGAGCATGTATCTTTAATTAAAACTCTTAGCAAACTACGAGTAAAAGGATAAAAGTATCTGTCACAAAGTAAAATTGATTATACTCAATAATCAAAATATAGAAACAAATTAAGTAAGAAACATTCAAAACAATTTAAGAGAAATAATGAAAACAGCAGTGGAATGTTGAAATAACTTGTGTTCCTCCTTAAGATAATGAGCTGTTAATGAAGGTTGAAGTAGCCTTAGCATTAGGGACATTTCCATTTAACTTAGGGGCAAGACGATGTTGGCCTTTATGATCATTATTTTTTTTTAACATCCTGCTAGAAGTTCCAGTATCATTATTTAGGGAAGCAAATTTAAAAAAAATACAAATTTATAATCAAAAGAGGAAAATAATATTAATCGCTGATTACATGATTTTCTACTTTGGAAATCCAAGAAAACTAACTAAAAACTGATTAAAACTTATCTGTCCATTAACATAGCTGGATTGAATATAAGAAATAAAATTTTCCTATATTCTAATAATAAACACTCAAAATAGAAAATAAGGAGCCACATACAACAGCAGGATAAATGTAAAATTCTAAGCAATTAACTAAAAGGTATTTCTGGAACTGTATGAAATAAAACTACATACATTTCCTATGGAATTTAAAAGAAATACAAAAATAAATAAATATAATTTTTTTTAAATAAATAGACTTGTGGACACCTAAGAATATCTTAACTCAAATCCTAAACTTTGGGAAGGCATAGTAAACTGGACTAAGTCATTCTAAATACCATTTGGATACATATTGATTTAGAATTAAAATAGTAAATGTGAGAGGAGCTTTCCCTCACAATCATTAAAATCTTTATAAACATACTATCAAGAAAAACATAGAGTATGCTGGGCCTGGTGGCTCATGTCCGAAATCCTACCATTTTGGGTGGCCAAGGTGGGAAGATTGCTTGAGGCTAGGAGTTTGAAACCAGCCTGAGCAATACAGTGAGACCCTGTCTCTGCAAAAAATTTAACAAAATAGTGAGGCATTGTGGTGTACGCTTAAGTCCCAGTTACTCGAGGGGCTGAGGTGGGATGATCGCTTTAGCTGGTAGTTCAAGGCTGCAGGGAGCCATCCATGATTGTGCCACTGTACTCCAGCCTGCGCAACAAAGTGAGACCCTGTCTCTCATAAATTTTTTTAAAAAAATAAGTATTAAATAAAACATTGGAATAACAGCAACAAAGTGCAAGGATAATAGGTCAAGGCAAGAGTGATGAAAGTTCAGAAACAAAGGCAATTTTGCATAATAATTTAGTTAAAATGAATATTAAATTGGCATTTTAAGTAGGTAGAATGACCAAAGGGATTAACCAATAAATGACAATAGAATAATTGGCTAACAGCACACATCCCTACATCACATTTTATCCCAAAATAAATCCCTGATGAATTAAGGACTTATGGTTATTGACATTATATTTAATCTTTATCCTCAGAAATTTATTTTACTAGTAAATACCTAGTGTTTCTGAGGACACTTCAATATATTGTGAATTGAGTGTGAATTTTTACAAAATTTCTAGGAAGTAATTTGTCAATATGTGTTTAATGTTTTAAAAACATTCATAATAGTTGATTTACAAATTTTTTGCTTAGAAATATATTTTCAAATATTCCATAACATTTAGAAAAGTCTTCATTAATATATGATAACAATAGCAAAATCTTGCAAACACTGACAGTATTTATCAATATGGGATTGGTTGGTTAAATAAATTAAGGAAACTTCAAACGTTTATCTGTGGTCATTAAAATAGGACTATATATTATTTATATAGAGTTGTCCAAATTTCCCATTCCTCCTTCTCTCTCCCTCTCTCTCCCCATCTATATATAGGTATTTAACATACACACAAATAACATACACAAATTGAAAGTACATATACTATAAAGCCAGTAATTGTCAGAGGTAATAATATACTCTCTTAAAATTTCTTTTTCTTTTATTTGCATTTTCTGATGCTGTTTTCTCTTCATTAAGTTTATGGATTATTCACAAATTATGTTACTCTTATGTCCATAGGAAAATAATTTTAAGTATTTCTGTGAAGGATACCTTTGTTAATTACATTTTCTTTGATTGATAATTTTCTATAAAGATACCTGTGGTTCTAATCAGACTGTAAATAGAGACCTAATATCTCATACATCTTTATATTTCTCAATATACCTACAATTCTGCTCAATGATTAATAAATATTGGCTGTATTAGTATATCAAATGTGGTACCATCATTTTTAAAGTAGTCTGTTAATGCTGAAAATACTGAGATTAACAAACATAAACTTATAATCGTGGCCTTTAAAAACAAACCAAAATTATTTAACAGCTAGTGGATCAATTAATATGATATGGGCCAATAAATTATCTACAGACAGAAGCATCATGCAGCGTTCTCTGGCAAAACGAGTACTGTATTACAAGGATGACTTAGGACTCAGCCAAGTAAAGAAGCTGAGAGACTTGGGTCTTTTACAGAGAAGAGGCAGAATGTGAAGGAAACCAGAACAAAAATATCAACAAAATATCAACTTTCAAAAGTCATTTTCTTTTTTGAAAAGTTGAATTATTAGATGCTCAAAGGCAGGGAAAGGTAGTAGAGGCTGCTAGATCTCCAAGAGCCTTCAGTGATGTACCAAGAGGTTTAAATTTTATCTTTAAAATAAAGGAAAGCCTTTGACATAGGTTAAGTATGGAAAGGGAAAATGTTCACACGGTATTGGAAAGCATTTTGAGATTTTACATATCCCAGATGTAGAAGTCCTTTGGAAACTTTGGAAATATAGTATTGCCTCCTGGTATACTGAACTGGAATTGGACACTAAATAAGTTCCTTTTTTCCCCATAAAATTTTCCTCTAATACACTTTTGCCTTTTTCAATGCAATATGCATGGGCCTTTTATATTTTATACATATAAAGATAAAACTGAACAAACATATATTAGTAAGTAACAAATAATAGAGTAAAATTGATCATCATAAATAATAATGGTAGAGCACAGACATGATTCAAATGTGGAAAGTGTTCTGGGTGAGACAAGTTGAAAGAAAAGCCTTGAAAGAAACAGCTAATATGAATTCACTGTGATGAAGAAATAGCAGTAAGGTATCAAAATACACAACAGTTAGCAGAAACTGACTCACATTTGGGGGCTTGATACGCAATGAAGAGACCTTATAGATGAGTGAGTAAAGTGCTAGAAGAATCACTTTTCCACGTGGAAGTGGGGAAAATAGACATATTAAAGATGTAAAAAATCAAAACTTTATAAAAATGATAGAATATAAATGAATGTCTTTCTGTCCTATACGAGAAAAAAATTTACAAAAGACACGTAAAACAGAAATAAAAAATGCACAATAAACTACTTTATTAGAAAAGGCACAAAAATCAGAGTGGGAGAAGATATTCAGAACTTACTAAAATTGTACTTATCAGGATACATAAATAAATCCTTCATAGAAAAAAGGCAAATAAAAAATAGAAATATGAATGGGCATAAAAAAGTCCAAAGGGTAAATAAGCCCTAATGAACAAGAAATATATATGTATCGTGTGTGTGTGTAAATATATATATATATATATATTAAGATTAGAAAAGAAAAAGTCAGAAGGAGTCTAATTGGGAATTAGGTGAATGCCTAACGATTTACCATTTAAATTGTCAGAAAATTGCTCTGTTTAATGAGGGGAATGAACAGGAGCATTGTTGTGATGGAGAAGGACTCTCTGATGAAGCTTTGCTGGGTGTTGTTCTGCTCAAGTTTTGACTTTCTCAAAACACTCTCATTATAAGCAGATGTTCTTATTATTCTTGTTCATTCTTTAGCCTTCCAGAAAGCAACAAGAAAAATGCCTCAAGCATCCCAAAAGATTGTTGCCATGATCTCTGCTCTTGACTGGTCAACTTTGCTTTGAATGGCCCACTTCCTCTTCTTGGTAGCCATTGCTTTGCTAGTGCTTTGTGCTTTGTCTTCAAGATCATACTGGGAAAGCGATGTTTTATATCCTGTTACTTTTTTTTTTAATATCATGGGTACATAGTAGGTGTATATATTTATGGGTATATGACATATTTTGAAATAGGCATACAATGCATAATAACCACAAAGGGTAAGTGGGGTATCCATCACCTCAAACATATATGTTTTCATTGTTTTACAAACAACCCAATTATACACTTTATTTTTGCATTCATTAACCATTCCCTTTTCCCCTCAGCCTACTACCCTTCCCAGCCTCTGGCAATCATCATTCTAGTCTCTATCTACAAGAGTTCAGTTGTTTTAATTTTTGTCTCTTGCAAATAGGTGAGAACATGTGAAATTTGTCATTCTGTGCCTGCTTTATTTCACTTAACATAATAACCTCCAGTTTCATCCATGTTGTTGCAAATGACAGGATCTCATTATTTTGTATGGATGAATAGTTCTCCATTGCACGTATGTACCTCTTTTTTATTTACTTGTCTTTTTTATAGATACTTAGGTTGTTTCCAAATCTTGGCTATTGTGAATATGCTGCAATAAACATAGGAATGCAGATATGTCTTTGATATACTGATTTCTTTTGGGATATATAGCTAGCAA
This sequence comes from Homo sapiens, assembly GCF_000001405.40. Taxonomy (NCBI): domain Eukaryota; kingdom Metazoa; phylum Chordata; class Mammalia; order Primates; family Hominidae; genus Homo; species Homo sapiens. The sequence goes on from NC_000009.12 coordinate 10,716,678, forward strand.
TGGGATTGCTGGATCATATGGTAGCTCAATTTTCAGCTTTTTGGGGAAACTTCCAAATTGTTCTCCCTAATGGTTGTATTAACTTACATTTCTTATTTTGAGAAATGTCTGTTCACATCTTTCACCCATTTTTAAGTGCATTATTAGAATTTTTTCCTGCAGAGTTTTTGAGCTCCTTATATATATCCTCTTTATTCATCCGATTACAATTCTTCAAATAAATGCTTCAGGATCTTGATCCTGCTTCTTTAAAATTCCCATTGAAAGCTCTGTTCTTGTCTGCAGCTAATCTGGGCACAACAGTTTTAGCATGCACTGAGTAGAAAGTCTGCTCAACTTTAATTTTTCAGTCAGAATTGTGTAAGTTGCACCAGGTGAGATGCCTATGGTGTTGATTATTTTTGCTGTTAATCATCAGTCCTCTTCAATTAGGGCATGAACAAGATTAATTTTTTTCCTCACATGTTGATGTGGGTGGTCTGCTTCTGTGTGCTTCATTTTCCACATCATCTTGTCCCTTCTTAAAATGAGTTATTCATTGTGGAGCTTGCAGTGAGCCGAGATCGTGCCACTGCACTCCAGCCTGGGTGACAGAGCAAGACTCTGTCTCAAAAAAAAAAAAAAAAAAAGAGCTATTCATTTGTAAACCGCTGATTTCTTTGGAACATTGTCCCCATAAACTTTTTGTAGAGCATTAGTGATTTCACCATTCTTCCACCCAAGCTTCACCATGAATTTAATATTTGTTCTCGCTTCATTTTTAACAAAATTTATGTTGCTCTAATGTGGGCCCTATTCAAACTGATGTCTTATTCTCTTTGTGCTTTAAAATAGATCTTATTCAGACATGTTATAAAAATTTAGTATGTGCTTATTTTGGGGCAGAACATAATTTGAAACCCTTGCATAAGTTTTTCATAATATGCATTTTCATAAACTTTTTGAAGTCCTATTTTGTCTAAAGTTTGACTGTATACATACAATATAACTAACAAAAACTCATTTCTAAGAAAATTCTTGCACAAATGAGGTAGGAGATAGTCACAAACATGCTCTCTGAGTATTATTTGTAGTATGTGGGACATGAAAGAATGCATAAAAAGGGGTAAGTTGTAAAAATATTATATTATTTCCATATACTTTACATGGGATACTACACTATTACTTAAAATAAATGATCTAAATCTTATGGATCCCAAAAGAGGTTGAATAAAGAAGCCAGATATAGATGATTTCATGGGTATAATTTTGGGAAGCACATGATTTTTATAAATGTACAGCCTTTATATACGTAACAAAAGTATATAAACGGGAGAGCTTCAGGTCAAATTCATGGTAATTGTATCTGGGGATGAAGAGGAATGGGGCTTTGGAGGTGAACGCAGGGACTTCAACTCTAATTTTTGTAAAATTATGTTGAAAATATGTTCATATGATAGTCTTTATTTGTTTATTTGAAGAGGTAGTTACTTGAATGTTCATTATATTAGTCTTTGTAGTTTCAAGTTTTAAAAAATCACTCTTTTGAAAATAAGATTGGACTGGGCTTATCTAGAAAAATAGGATATGTTTAAAAGAAAATATATTGAGGATTAAGTTCAAATGATATAATAGTACAAAATAATTAATAATTTGTAATCATGTTACTAGAGTGAAATAAAAACTGGCATTTGAAATTCTTCTGGAAATTGCATATTAGATAGAAGAACTAAGGTGATGGTTCAGGAAATATGTTAAATGTGTTTAAATGTTGAACTCACGAAGGACACTACAAGGATATATGGTCCTTTTGTGTGAATTACTGAAGGTACCCTCTCCATAGGAATGAATTACAAAATCACATATGTTTCTTATGGATGTATGATAATATAGCATCCCTTCCTCTGGCTTATGCAACACCAGGCCTAGAAAGTGACTTGACTAACTGGATTTCAGCACTCAATTACACCCCTAGCCAGGAGCTTCCCTGCACTGGTAATACTCAACAAATTTAATCTTTAATCATGCTGCTGTGGAAATTTTATGACATAAGAGAGCATCAGTATTGCATATTTTGGCTTATTCCTATACTTTGTGTAGCATAAAATGCATTATCCATTCTGCTGATAATATGATTTTAGAGTTTATATTCATGAGCAATGCAAGTTTTAGTAATTTTACTGTAGTCTCTACCTAGGCGTAGTCATAGAGTAACCAAAATTTATGCCAGACAAATTATCAGAATTCACCTGAAACCTCTTGTTTCTGAGTTTTGGTATCTTATAGTCAACCTGGGCCAGCTATAACAGGTTGATAGCTTATAACTTCTATGGATATGTCAAAGAACCATATATACACTCATACATACATACATATATTTGTATAATTTGTATATTTCTGTCTATGTTTATGTACATACACACACACACACACACACACACACGCACCTGTTGAGTGTTGTTAATGTGGGCCAGATAAACAGCTTCAGAGGGAGTTAAAGAAAGATGCCATCTTTGAACCCACTCGTGAATGGCTCATTATCTGCTATATTCACTTATTTTGTTCACCAAAGTTGCAGCCTCTGAAACCAATAATGAAAAATGCACCTTGATACTTCTATTGTCTGTAATGAACCTAATCACATACTGCAAAAGAACATATCTTATGTGTTTGACTATAATTAACCAATACTAAAACTTAAAAGACCTATAGCTTTGTATAAGCTCCATTTCCACTTAAGTACAATGTGGTTGTACATTTTAAAATATAAGAATTTCTCATGTTAATAAGAATCTCTAATGTTATTGTGTTTGTGTCCATGAATGTACACACACACACACACAAACACACACACACACATACACACACACACATCTATAAATGAACCTGGCCGTAGCCAATATTTTGAATTTTTAGTCCAGCAAGTGAGCCATAAATAATACAAATATTCTGCAAGTTATTTGGGCCAAAATATAGGGAAGGCAAACTAAGTCCTGGAAAATCATGAGTACAGATGTCAGAGAGGGACAATAAAAATATTAAGTTTTAATAATTAAACCTCTGGGCTGAGATAAGCTGAATTGGATACAGTGGAATGAAAAGGAAGCAGAAGGAATGGTATCCAAAACAGCATGGTGCTGGTACCAAAACAGAGATATAGACCAATGGAACAGAACAGAGCCCTCAGAAATAATACCACACATTTACAACTATCTGATCTTTGACAAACCTGACAAAAACAAGAAATGGGGAAAGGATTCCCTATTTAACAAATGGTGCTGGGAAAACTGGCTAGCCATATGTAGAAAGCTGAAACTGGATCCCTTCCTTATACCTTACACAAAAATTTATTCAAGATGGATTAAAGACTTCAATGTTAGACCTAAAACCATAAAATCCCTAGAAGAAAACCTAGGCAATACCATTCAGGACATAGGCATGGGCAAGGACATGATATCTAAAACACCAAAAGCAATGGCAACAAAAGCCAAAGTTGACAAATGGGATCTAATTAAACTAAAGAGCTTCTGCACAGCAAAAGAAACTACCATCAGAGTGAACAGGCAACCTACAGAATGGGAGAAAAATTTTGCAATCTACTCATCTGACAAAGGACTAATATCCAGAATCTACAAAGAACTCAAACAAATTTACAAGAAAAAAACAAATAACCCCATCAACAAGTGGGCGAAGGATATGAACAGACACTTCTCAAAAGAAGACATTTATGCAGCCAACAGACACATGAAAAAATGCTCATCATCACTGGCCATCAGAGAAATGCAAATCAAAACCACAATGAGACACCATGTCACACCAGTTAGAATGGCAATCATTAAAAAGTCAGGAAACAACAGGTGCTAGGGAGGATGTGGAGAAATAGGAACACTTTTACACTGTTGGTGGGACTGTAAACTAGTTCAGCCATTGTGGAAGACAGTGTGGTGATTCCTCAGGGATCTAGAACTAGAAATACCATTTGACCTAGCCATCCATTACTGCGTATATACCCAAAGGAATATAAATCATGCTGCTATAAAGACACATGCACATGTATGTTTATTGCGGCACTACTCACAATAGCAAAGACTTGGAACCAACCCAAATGTCCAACAATGATAGACTGGATTAAGAAAATGTGGCACATATACACCATGGATACTATGCAGCCATAAAAAATGATGAGTTCATGTCCTTTGTAGGGACATGGATGAAGCTGGAAACCATCATTCTTAGCAAACTATTGCAAGGACGAAAAACCAAACACCGCATGTTCTCACTCATAGGTGGGAACTGAAGAATGAGAACACTTGGACACAGGAAAGGTAACATCACGCACTGGGGCCTGTTGTGGGGTAGGGAGAGAGGGGAGGGATAGCATTAGGAGATATACCTAATGTAAATGACGAGTTAATGGGTTCAGCACACCAACATGGCACATGTATACATATGTAACAAACCTGCACGTTGTGCACATGTACCCTAGAACTTAAGGTATAATAAAAAATAAATAAATAAATAAATAAATAATAAATAAATATAAGGAAAAAAAGCTAAGAGAGAGAAATGGGAAAGAAAACATTAGAATATGCCTTCCCTGAGAAAAATCTACACCTTAAGAAAAAACTAGGAGTTTGGAAAGAGCACTATTCTGAAAGTTAGGAGACAAAGATTTTAAATGAGTCTCTGACATTACAAAGTTGTTGATTTCTGGGCAAATCATCTCCCTTGCCTGGGCCATGTTTATTTATCCAGCTGCTCTTGCATCTCCATGTCCCTCCAAGACACTATAAGCCTTCATAATCCCTTTTCATGGTATGCAGAGATTACTGTTAATGAGGTGCCTATCCTTTAATCTTATCTATGCAACATCAGCACCATTTTTTAATTCAATGTTTTTTGCCACAATCTCACTAACAGCTGGCCATTGCAAAAGTTTTGAATCTATCAGCAAGTCAGATTCCCAGTAGTTCACAGTATGGTGTTCATGCTCCACTGAAAAACTCTACTTCCTTTAATAAATTCCAAGGCCTTAAAACATCTTAAAACATGGAGTTCAGTGGAACAACTTTGGTATTACATAATCATCAACTGTCCCTTCAATATCCTAGTATTTTCTCCACAGAATTTTACCATATTAGGTCTGAGTATTTATATCAGTCTCTTCAAGTGGTATTGTTTTAAATCTATTAAGAACAAATTCAGCTTAGCGGGGAGACCAACATAGGTATCGCTTGGGGAAAGTGCAAAATTATTTGTAGAATAAAATCTCCCCAAAAATAGTTAGACCAGTCAGACCTATTAGCAGCATTTTCAAAGTAGACAAAAATAGTGCACAATTATGACCCCCTGAAATTCTCATCCTAGGCGTTCACGTTTGGGTATATTAACAAGTGAAGAAAGAAGAGTCATCTCAGATGTTCAGGAAGCTCAACTGGCCCTGCAAAGTCTAGCCAGAGAGATGCAGTTCAAATAGGCTTGCATGGATGTTTGCTGAGCACCACCACATCAAGACCAATGCATTTCATAAATCTCATGCTCATCGTTATACAACATGAAATATAATTAGAGTGAGATTCAGTAGAGTCAGGCCTGAGTCCTCACAGATTTGATTTAACACTCTCAGTTTCCACAAGCTAAAGCAGTTTGGTCATAGTAATTTCTTGAATTTTTAGCTATTGCATTAGCATCAGAGCTAGTTTCCCAGATGTTCCTGAGAGTCATCCTAATAGTCCCTCAGACCTGCTATAAAGCCTTTCCTAACCAGGATCAAACCCTAATTTAAGCAGGCTGGAGCCTGAAGCACATGATGTTTCTGGGGCCCTTTGTGGGTACAAAAGTGGACTGTACTGCCCTTCTCATTACAGAGCACCAGTTAAAGGTGACAAAAAAGACAACACAGAGTAACAACGTAGGAATTTAGAGGAGGAGGAAGGAGATGCTATCTAAAAAAGACAGCAATCCAAAGACAATCCCAAGAGTGTGAGCTGAGGCTTAGAAATTGGCCGGAGGGAAAAGAGTAAGTGAGCTGGGAAGCCATTGCTGGAAGCCTGTGAAGGATTCTGAGAAGACTACCTAGAAGAAATAATTTGAACTGCCCAGCATATAGTCAGTTACATCTTGGTTAGGCATTGCTCTGACTGTAAGCCTTCTGCAAAAATGTTATTATAAAGCCTGTGTCAATCCTTCCTCCAAGTAGGATGGATGGATGGATGGATGGATGGATGGATGGATGGATGGATGCATGGATAAAGGAATTGATATTAATGAAATAATATACAAAATACTTTCATTTTCTGTGTAAATACAAGTTTCTTTTATTTTCTAAACTATCTTTAAAAGCATTAATATCAGACCCTTAAAGCCAGGGAGTTCTGCCAAATGGTTGCATTGTTAATAATGTGGCCACCATGGTGGTTAAAGATTCAAATTCTATGGAGTCAGAAAGAAATCCCAGAAGATTTGAAATTAACTGTGTGTATATTTTAATATATGAATGCTTCTAAATATGTTTTCAAAGTTCATATGGATTGACTGTCCCTCTGACTAACTTCTTAGAGTAATTCTTAGTGGTACAGAATCTTTTAAAGAAATCTTGCATTGACATTTTCTATGTGTTTGACATTGGGCTGTTATTTTAAACTCTTCAATCTTAAATTTGCCTCATCTTCAAAATTGAAACGCCAATGTCTCAGTCAAAGTTGTTATGGAAATTAGTGGAATGATTCATGTAATGTGCCCAATGTCTGTTTGTCACTCAAGAAATGCTCAAAAAATGAATTTTTTTACTAACTTTATGAACTTCCAGAAAAGGTATATGATATTTAGAAATTAACAATGAGATGAAAATCATATAATTCTAGCACAAAATTATAACACAAATTATGTGGAAACTATAATTTTATATGTAATGATATCAAGGATACATTTAAAACAAAAAAAGCCATTAACTAATAAATTCTATGATATTTCTATACTCATAACACAAATAATATTACAAAGTCTAAATGACTTAAACCCTTCTAAATATTAGTTGTGAATCACTAAGTAAAATAATTCTTTAAAATTATATTTAAATATAACCCTGTTATAAATATTCTCTGCTTTTTGTTATTTTTCTATTGTACAAGTAATACATGAAGTTACAAAAAATGCCTGTGACCAAAGTATATTTTCAAAAATCATGTTAGGCTATCCCTGGAGATAACCCCTGCTAACACATTGTAAATAAGTTTCTAGAGCATGTATATATCCTTTTATGCATATGCATACATGCATATAGGCATGCTTTTAGAAAAATAGGAACATATAATCATGTTATAAATACAATTTTGTACACTTCTTATTCAATTATACATCCATTTTCTTAATGTCCTTAACAACTTTCCAAGTAAAATATGCTGCAATATACTGTGTAATACAGTGACTGAACAGAGGTGTAGCTATTCTGAATTCTGACGTAAAGAAGTTGCTTTAGAGATCAGAGGCTTCTGGACACTGGGTTATAATTTTATTTTATAAAATAGAACATCTTGTTCTATTTTTAAGTTTTTCACTTAGTCCTTAACCCATATTTTATTCCATGGTTTTGAAACCATGACATAGAGGTTTGTAAAATACCTTGTGATCTTTGGTTGAAAATGCTGAATATTATTATAACTATTTATCGTCACACAGTAGAAACCCTTGACTTGAAAAGGCATTGTTTTGTTTTCCTGATGCAATAGAGGAAGTTATTGTGTTTTTGGCTGTAGCTATTGCTATTAATTCTCCAACTTTTATGTCCATGAACCACCATCCTCAAATTCTTTTCTTCCAATTTTCATCAATATAGCTATATATAATCTTGCTTTTGCAGTGAGAAAACACGGACCAACAATGCATTACAATTGACAAGCTTATGTAAAATTAAATATTACCTTTTGACTTGAGCAGACCTTCATACCAGCTCTGAATTTGAAATCATTTTTCATATGAACCTATGCATTAATTGAGTATTATAAGACAATCAGTAGGCAACAATATTAACATCAAACATTTTCTTTATTAATAAGTATTAGTAGTAATAAAAATTTCCATTACTCAGCATTCAAAGTCAACAAAACTCAATTAGCAATGACCTTATTTACCTAGAATAGATGACAAATAGTTTCTTATAACTCAGTAATATAAAAAAATCGTTTAAAACAAAGATTTAAACAAGTTATTTTAACCACAAACACAATTTGAGAATTTAACTCAAGTAGGTTACTCATACCATTATCATGATACTGTGATTTGATACTATGATTTTTTTCTATGTTCCATCATAGGTTTATTTCCTAAAATGCCTTCTTCATCAACAACCTATTAGTTGTTAAGGTATCATACTTTCTGCCTAAATCTTACAGTCTTTAAAAAAATAACGAGTCAGAGTACTAAATTTTGCATGTTCTGAAAACGTACTAGAGAATGCTACCCATAAAGAGATGGCATTTTATAGTGAGCCTGAGGAGAGCATAATTCCATTTACATCTTGACCTCTAACCTCATCTATATATTGCCCAAATGGCAGTGACATTGATCAGTAAGTTGTAATAGAAGAAAACACTCCATGGCAACATAACATAGGACATTCATATTCTCTACCTGCCACTGCTGTGTGGATTGAATCGACTGGCAGAGGCAGTAAGAACTTAATTGAAAGCCTGATTCTCATTTATTTGTCATGTGTCCTGGAAAAGCTACTTTTCCTTTTGAGCATTGGTCTCATTTTTAATATGGGAATAAGAGTACTTTTCTTGCATAGCAGTTTGGAAGACTGCAACTGCTGTATATACTAGCTGGGACCCGCTCCCAGTACCTACTAGCAATTTGAGGAAAGGTAACTATAATTATGATAGTTGTTGTCAAACATGCCACTCAAATTTTCCGGGAAATAGGCTAGAGAGTCTTTATGTTTTTCTCCCACCTGCCCCTTCATTGACCCCATCTGCATTTTAAGATAGAAAAATTTATTATACCACTTGAAAGCAATTGAGTAAACGAAAGAAAACAATACAATAAAATACTGTCTATGGCAAGTACCTCGATCGATCAGACACCCTTATTCAAGAACTTCCTTCACCAAGAAACTTAATTCAAAACTTTCTTCTTTTTTACCCTCTCTCGCACCCTTCTTTATCTTCCCCTTTCTCTCTTTTTCTCAAATTTACTCTTCTTTCTCCCTTTTACTTCTCTCTCTCTCTCCACACACACACACACACACACACACACACACACACACACAGAACAAGGGCATGCAAGCACATGCACAGAAACATCTAACAATTTATTCCAAAGCTATTTTTTATTCTTCTATTTTCATTTACAGACACTCTAAAATATTTTTTTCATCACTATCTTTTTTATTATTATTATTATACTTTAAGTTTTAGGGTACATGTGCACAATGTGCAGGTTACATATGTATATATGTGCCATGCTGGTGTGCTGCACCCATTAACTCGTCATTTAGCATTAGGTATATCTCCTAATGCTATCCCTCCCCCCTCCCCCCACCCCACAACAGTCCCCAGAGTGTGATGTTCCCCTTCCTGTGTCCATGTGTTCTCATTGTTCAATTCCCACCTATGAGTGAGAACATGCAGTGTTTGGTTTTTTTGTCCTTGCGATAGTTTACTGAGAATGATGATTTCCAATTTCATCCATGTCCCCACAAAGGATATGAACTCATCATTTTTTATGGCTGCATAGTATTCCAGGGATCTAGAACTAGAAATACCATTTGACCCAGCCATCCCATTACTGGGTATATACCCAAAGGACTATAAATCATGCTGCTATAAAGACACATGCACACATATGTTTATTGTGGCACTATTCACAATAGCAAAGATTTGGAACCAACCCAAATGTCCAACAATGATAGACTGGATTAAGACACTCTAAAATATTTTTAAGGATTTTTGTGCTTACTAGAAAGACTGTCAATGATGTCTCTGACTTCAAGCTTTGAGGAATCGGTGCTTTTTTCTTCTTAGAAATTTATGCATGCAAATATCATATAGTAGCCTTACACAAGCAATAGTGTAGGCTTTTAATGTAAAACATGTAGAAGAATATCTTCAGTTAACTCCTGATAAATTCTGAGAATAACATATATATGTTATTATATACATATATATATTCATATATCCCTGAGGTCTGTTTAGATATTTATTTCTAAAGGTCCTTTTGCCTATATAAAAGACTCTACTTTCATTTTTCTCTCTCTCTATCCTATCTCCTCTTAATGCAACATATAATATTTATGAGCCATATATCTTTTTATTTTTGCATTAAGAAGGAGTTGTCATTCTACTTATGATCCAATGTTTTTTGTTAATTGTGTTCTCTTTCCTATTATACAAAACTCCCGAAATAGTTAAGTTAAAAATCTGGTGCTTAAATTTCAAAAAACTATGATGATTAAAAAAGCAGTTGTAATGATTAAATAATGGCAGCCCTTTTCTGCCTTCCGCTCTCCTATCTGATGTTGGCTTTGAAATCTGTTCTGAAGCCTCTGAATTTTGGGGCAAGTTTTCCTCATGGGTGTTAGATATTTGGATGTAGCATGAACTGAAAGAAAATGTGAAGGATGAAATCTCCCAACTAATATGCCTCCAAAGTTACATCAGGATTCACAAAATAAGATATTAGAAGGATGTGGCAGTATTACATTGTTCAGCAGCATCGCAAACCATCTGAATTGTAAGTGATATTCAGTGACCTCAGCTTGTCCTTGACGTTTGCTAGCAAAAAGATACTGCTGCAGTTAGAGCCCTGGCAGTGACTGGAGTCAGATTTAAAATGAAGAATGCTGCTGTTTTTGTCTCTACAAAACCAAGCTTGTAGAGCTTCTGAGAAGTACACCTGGCCTTTTAATGCATTAAAATGTTTTTTTCTGTAGTGTCATGCTCTTCCATGAAGCTAAGTAAATTGTTTCTCACGAGCAGGTAGCAAGTAATACGCCTGTGAACTTTCACTAATTCAAGTAGACTTACTGGGAAAATTTTTTTTCTGGGAAACCTTTTTGAATGCAGTTTTCAAGTGAGGAGATTGGATTAAATGGGAGAACATTGAAAAACTGACAACGCTAAATGCACTCTTAAAATGGTTTGAACCTACTTCTCATTCTTAATTTACCAGAAATTGTAACTTTTTCAAATGAACAAAAACAAAACAAACAAACAAAAAAAACCTTTGCATCCTTTAAAGATTAATGTCAGTTGAGGGTTTTTTGTTTTTTTTTTAAGTTCTAGGGTACATGTGCAGGATGTGCAGGTTTGTTACATAGGTAAACCTGTTCCATGGTGGTTTGCTGCACCTATTAACCCATTACCTAGGTATTAGCCCAGCATGCATTAGCTATTTTTCCTAATGCTCTCCCTCCTCCACCCCACCCCTGACAGGCCACAGTATGTGTTGTTCCCCTCCCTGTGTCCATGTGTTCTCATTGTCCAGCTCCCATTTATAAGTGAGAACATGTAGTTTTTGGTTTTCTGTTTCTGCATTAGTTTGCTGAGGATAATGGCTTCCAGCTCCATCCATGTCCCTGCAGAGGACATTATCTCATTCCTTTTTATGGCTACATAGTATTCCATGGTGTATATGTACCACATTTCTTTACCCAGCCTACAATTGATGAGCATTTGGGTTGATTCCATGTCTTTGCTATTGTGGATAGTGCTGCAATGAACATATGTAAGCATGTATCTTTGTAGTAGAATGATTTATATTCCTTTGAGTATATACCCAGTAATGGGATTGCTGGTTCAAATGATATTTCTGGTTCAAATGGTATTTCTGGTTCTGGTTCTAGATTTTTGAGGAACTGCAACACCGTCTTCAACAATGGTTGAACTAATCTACATTCCCACCAACAGTGTAAAAGTGTTCCTATTTCTCCACAAACTCACTAGCATCTGTTGTTTCATGGCTTTTTAATAATCACCATTCTGACTGTCATGACATCATATCTCACTGTGGTTTTGATTTGCATTTATCTAATGATCAGTGATGTTGAGTTTTTTTTCCTCTTAAGCTTTAAGTAAAGTAAGTTGTGGAGGAAAAAAGTGTGTTGGAATAAACTAATAAACTCACTATGGGTGAAGATCCATAGTTCTGCTAATATAAATTTGACATAATAACTACTGAGTATACTTTTTAATTAAGTTAGAGATAAAATGCATAGATTCTTATTGAATTTTTATATTATGCGTGATATTCACACAGAGGAACTATCCATTGAACAGGGGGGAGATGAGTCTTATCTCATTATTACTTCTCAATAATGGAATTGACTGACGTATTTTAAACAGACATTCAAAAAGTATCTCAGGTTAACCTTTGTATGCAATTTAGATGCAAAGCCTTTGCAAAATAGGACTCTACAATTAAATACATTGAAAATACTCATTAAGATGGTCAAACCAGCCCTTTTACATCCACGCTGAAATTACTCACAGATTATCCAGAGTCTGGAAGAAACTACAGAAATAGATCTGGCAATATAATATATTTTTAGTTGCAGGGTAATAACTCAATAAGATACATGTTATTGACTGAGTTCCTCCAAACTATTGTTTCTTAGTTTTGTTTATGGATTCAATGTTATTGTTCAATATGTGCAAAAGCTGCATAAATTATTGTAGTGCACAGGCAGTATGAAACCACCAATTTACTTCACCTCACCACAGCATTAAATGTCAAGGTGTCAAGTTGTCCCTTCAGGTTTCACTGGCAAATGTAAATTATTGCTAATAGAATGCAGCAGTGAAATTTCTGAATAACAAATGACTTTGAAAGCATCACTACTAGAAGGAACTATAGGACACTTGAGATAATTTATGATACAAATATTTTCAAAAGCTGGTCTGCTTGGAAGGTTGATTTCTAAATGTAAAATAAATAACTGACAGAGTTCTGTGTTTTCAACTCATCCTCCTGCAATTTCTGTCAAATATATTCTTAAAGAAGTACTAGCTCTGACTGCAAACCTGCAGTGCCCTTAGAGTTCTAAAGTACTTGGTGGAAGACTCAGCTTCAAATGAATTCCCAAGTTTCCTCCAAACTAGCTTTCCTTAAACAAAAAAGATTCATATATTCTCATTTCATATAATATATGGTGTATATTTAACATTCTAAAATATCCGAGAGCTTCTCAATGCTCTGACATCCTGCATTTATTTTCCTTACTATACTGCTCCCTACCCATTTTCAGTTGGGTGGCCATACCTATAAAGGAGTAGGGAATACTACTCGTTCTATATACTTTTTACTGGAACATCTAGCAAATTCATTAAACTTTGAAGGAAATTGTGAAGGTAGGTTCCACGAAAAAGCTTAGAGAAAACTATCAGTAAAAACAATCGATGACAGAAACCAAAAAGATCTCCACTATTTGCAATAAATTCTTCCATTTGGGCTCAGTCAAGGCAAGAATTCAGCAGGACAGACATAGATACAACTAAAAGGATCATAAAGGCCTGCACTATATGTTAATTTTTTTCTTCACATAATTTCATATAGAAAAGTAAACCTAGAAGCCATCATGCAAGATCTGCTATAAATATCAATACCTTGAAACATTAAGTAAAAATATATCATAATGGTCATAGCTATATACCTACATGGGAAATTGGAAGTAAATTGTTTACTAAAATGGTAACTTTTGGATTTCCTCAGTGTCTATTTACCCTTTATTACATATTCTATTTTGGTAATGTTTTAACCCAATTAGCCCATGTGTAAGCATGCACTGTCAAACTCAGAATTTCTTAGTAATTTTGGAATAATTGTTTTTAATGAAAAAATGAATATAAATGAAATATGTTCATCTGAAAGAAGAGGTTAAATTACTGCTAGACTTCAAAGTAAATAGTTTTTCAGTGATTTTCAATGTAGGCACACATTCTTAAAACAATAGAAGTAACCTTGGAAGATGACCTTTGGAAAAATGTTCTACTCCTCAAAGTTTTCATTCCATCATTTAACTTATTTTAATATGCCTTACATTTTTCCTACCAACTCCTTTAAACAGAAAAGTAAAATCCTCTATACTTGTAATATGTGATTCTAAAGTTGTTTATATAATTTTACTAATGTCATGGTAAAATTATTTTTATGCTTATCGCCTTTCTTTTGTACAAACAGATAAACTTGGCTACATATATGCTTCTAGATCTATTATGAGGTTTCTCAACATTTGTTGAACATAAAAATCATTTGGAGGCCTTGTTAGAATTGTGATTTTCATTTCCGTTTCCAAAGATATGACTGATATGCTAGGAGTGACATGGGACTCAGAAATCTGCACTTTGGCAAGTTAGCCCATATGACCTGGATATTGGTGTTACATGGTACACACTTTGAGTAAAAGTAGCAATGGCAGTACTTGGCAGGTGCCTTATAAGCAGACATATGAATCAAATAAACTCAAAATATTTTTCAATCTAGGACTTCATAATTAATCTATCCACTAATTAATTTACCACTAATCTGATCATTATTAATGGAATAGATTTATTATTTTATAATATATAATAAATTTAATAAATAATTACAATTATTCCATTATTTATTAATGGAACAGATTTGGGAGTAAAGCTTCCTATAATAGTTTCAATATTACTTTACTGTTGAATTTAAAGTTAAGAATATTTCAATACTATTTTATTGTTAAATTTAAATTAAGAATGAGGAGATGGAACAAGATATAGGGGAAATTGTGAACTTTGGAACCAGATACATCTGGATTGGAGTTACAACTCTGCCACTTACGAGATGTGTAACTTTAGGGAATAGTCTTAATTGTTGAGACTCAGTTTTTGTTTTGTTTTCTAAATGATAGAGCCAACAATAACTTTGCAGGATGATTATAAGAAATAAAAATAATTTTTGAGTTTGTATCTGACCAGTAATAGGGCAGCCATACATATTTTATTAAAAACTGTAACTATTTTACTTTGTCTTCTTGTAGAAAAGTGTACCATTGTTTGGTTTGCCTAGTGATTGAGTATTGATTACCACTGGCAATTAACTGCTGAATCCTCTCAAATTTTTTTTAAGGTTCAGGCCACCTTTATTTTTTACCAGGATTATTACAAAAGCTTCCTAATTATTATCCATGACTCTAATCTTCCTCTCTTTTAATCCATTTCCTGTCAAATACCCAGGTGGATTATATTAAAATCCAAGTCTACTGAGACATCTCCCTGATGCTTAAAATTAGCAGTGGTTTCCTATTGTACTCAGAAAACAGGTCACTCTAAGCAGTCTTTCATGATTTTGACATTGCTTATGTCTCCTGCATTATTTCTAATCATTCCTAATTTACTTCTTAGTTTCTAGCCATATAGACACTGCAAATTGCATGAAGAAACTAAGCTCTCTCTTACCTATTTCTTACACATATTACACTACCCTTTACCTGGCTTACCTGTACACACATATCAGAAATGACATAAGACATTCCTTCTTCTTACATGCTCTACACCACTCACTAGGCTGTTTGATTTTACTTTCTCAGAAATCTCGCTATGACATGTACAACAAATACGACACTGAATTGTAGTTGCTTTTACTTGCCACCCTACTCCAGTGGATCATGAGCCCCTTGAGACTGGACATTACATTTCTTTACTTATATTCCAATGCGCAACACAGTGCTTGCCTCATAACACTTCTCCTTAAAGGTATTTGTTGAAATAATGAAGGCATTATCTTATTCAATGCAACAGTGTCAGAGAAGTTTCCAGGCTCTGGATTTATCATCTAAACTTAACGGTTGTGGTAAAGAGGGAAATATGGTCAAGTTAAAGGCCAATAGGAAGTCCTAAGACTATCAAGCTTCTAGATAATACAAAGTGGTTTTCAGAAAGAACATAGGCATTGAAGGCTTTGGAACAACCCTCTTGTAAGTGCAGCTAGATACATTTCGCTGCAAAACATATTCTCTGTCACACAGTATGTTTCACAGTGTTTTTCTAGCTCTGCAATAATAGAAGCCAGTGTTTTCAGTATTCTTCACTCCATCTTGCAAACGTGACTATGAAAGAAGAAATATGCTAAAAATTCAGAAACTAAAGGACTATGATTAGCCCTTTATTACTTTGGTTTATATTTATACTTTCTTAAAAAACTGAAAATCACTTTTGTTTAAAACCAAGGTTTTTCCTAATGCATTACAAACATTCTTGAACTGAGCAAGAAATAATTTTACATTTCACCCACCTATGTATTGTGTACCTAAAGTTATTTTTGCCTATGAATACAGTATGTTTTACTATTTTTAATTTCAACATTGGAAATACTAATTTCACAAAAAATATATTAAGTACCTACAATTTGCTAGACAATGTGCTAGACACTCAAGATAAAAGGGTAAACTCTTCTAAGCACATGTGATCATAAATATCACAAATTTACCTCGAGTAAAGTTGCATTTTCAACAATGATTTTGAAGTGTTCTTTGAATCTTTTGTTAAATTTTACTTTAAAGTAGTTTTTAAGTATTTTGTAAATTGACTTTGATAAAGGACAGCATGCATATTTTAGAAAGTATTCTGATTATAAAATTCCTCAAATCTCTATATTTAGAGGTATTATATACCTAGCTAAAATGCTAAGTAAATTAGTAAGTGGGAAAAAAAACTTTGGGACCTCTTTAAATTCCTCATATTAAAATTAATCTTAAATCATGTATCTAATTGTTATTGTAATGAAAATAGATGAGTGTTTTTATCATAATTATCTACTTATAGTTATTATACCTAAAAAATTAATAGGAAATATAGCATGGAGATTGACAGAATACTTGAGTAGTGAGATATATTTTTCTATAATTTTACTATGAAGAGAATGAGATAAGCCATTAACATAGATTAAATACATGTTGCAAACAGCCATAGTGTGAAGGTCTTTACATATGTTACTGAAACCCACATGGATATCGTGATGTTAATTTTTTAATACACAAATTGCCTAGTATAGTGCTTGGGATGCAATAACAAAGAATAAATTAAAATACTCGTTATTCTTTACAACCAGCTTGAAGAAAAAATTTCCCCATTTCACAGATAAGGAAAATAAGCTTCAAAAACATTGTATTTTGCCCAAAGTCACATTGCTTAGAAGTGGCAAACCAAGATTCAACCAATTTCTATTCACCTTTCGTGTTCTTATTCAAAGTCACTTTTCTGGGATCTGTACCCTGTAGACCAAGGCATCTTGTTAGTACCTTCCAAAAAATTGAGTGAAGACTACATATTTCCTTATATGGTACTCCCCACTTCTTTACCTCCCTTTTCTACAGGAGAGTCCCATCATTTTCCCTGAACAATCATATTACTCTGTTGTAATACTATTTACAATCTACTGAAAGAACTTGAGGACCTATTACAGACGTTTCAGTTATGGGTGTGATACAACAGAAGAAATCAGGAAACGGGTGTTAGAAAGTTTAGTGTCAGTCATTAAAAGAGAACGCTTGTTATAGGTGGGGAAAATATTAGAAATATAAGTTAATAAAGGTGAAGCTGCTTTGTAAAGAAAAAATTTGAATCTTTGAGGAGACTAAACGTTAGGTTGGAAGACCAAAATTAAAAATTATTGCACTACTTTATGAGTAGGAAGAAATTCTATTTGTGAACATTTTCAAGGAAAGGCTGATGATTTTCTCTCAGAAACATATAAAATCCATTATTATATCTGGGTAGATTAGATGACTTTTTATTCCTTTGCAACTCTGAGATATGTTTAAAAGTGACTTTTGCTTTTAGTGGTCTTCATATTTCAGAACCTGACATTCTGCTTGACCCATAGTTAAGGATGTAGTAGTTTTTTTTTACCTTATAAAATAGATGTCTTGGCTTCACTTCAATATTTACTGTAAGCAAAAAAAAACATTATCCAGGGACAACATTTTTGCAGGTACACTGTCTCTTAAATAGATATCCAAGAATAAAAGTCTTTAAAAATATTTCTGGGAAAATTTTCATCCTGGTGTCCTACTTATTGATGCATTTTTCTCTCAAGTCTATTAATGAAATAATTTCCCTTTTCAGAATATGGGTATACGCTGTTTATCTGGCTAGTTTAATGATGAGCATTGGTTATAAAAGATGCTTTGATCAAACAATCTTCATAACAGCCTGAAAAAGAAACATCTTTAGAACCAAGAGTTAAAAGAATGTTGAGCCTCTTCAGGAAAAATATCCTATCTGGAGAAAGAAGATTGTGGCTATTTATTGTAGCAATCATAAGTACAGTAAAGACTGGGAAAAAGTTATCATTCAGTTTTAATCAGGTTACTCAAATAGAACAGCTGCAAGCAGAGATTGCTGTTTAGGCTGAAAATGGGAAAGACTCTTTCTTATAAAGTATAATGCTGTAGGGTCATATATAAAAAATGGAACCTTTTTTGCTTTTTTCCATAACAAAGCATAAAAGCATGTTTTAACCAGTTTTAGGCCTAACTGGATATTGATTACTATCACCATACAATGGCCCAGATATACTTTCAAGGACAAAGGTGGGTAAAAAAATTCATTTAATCATAAAATTCATCCTTTTTTATACATTTTGTTTTCTTGAATTATTATTTTCCACTTATTAATGATCATGAAAGCCAGAAGTTTGAATGAAAGTTTCTTTAAGTCTCCCAATATCACCTGTAGTAAGGTTTTAAGTTGCCAACAAACAACAGAAGCTATTTTTTAAAACAGTGAATCCTGCTTATTCATTTAAATACTAAAGTTTTTAATATTCATTTTTTCCTTGGGGTAAGTAGAGATGCATTAATTGATCCATGATGTTCTGGGATAGTTTTTCTTCTAAAGGAAGAATCTAGGAAATCAGCAGACATAAAATGTTGCCATCATGATTTAATTAGGATCAGTCTAATACAATTACATATAAAATATCAATTTTCTTTAAGGAATATCAAGGTAATGCCCAGGTTTAATTCTGCAAGTGTTTGGAACCTTATAGGCTGTGATCAGCTATGATCTCTTTTTAAAAAGTTGAAATAAAAAATACTTCCTTCACTTTCTAATCTTTGCATGAGATAATCCAAATTAACTGCTCTGGGGCCATAACTGGCACTCATAAATAACCTGCTGTCTATAGGCACTGGCCTTCATGTTTACTTGATTCTTTCTGTCTTCCTAGAGGCAAAGAAAAGAAACTTCTGTAGAAGGGATATTTTCAGTGCATAATAATCTTCACCTCAAAAGCTTTTCTTTTCACTTCAGAAATCACTAGCTGTATTTGCTACTCTTTGCGGATAGCATCTGATGGTATCTCTGGCTAGTATGTGGTCATTAGTGTCAACCTTTTTTCTTTCTTTCAGTGCTATCCTTGTACATAATTTGCCATTTTGGTAATAGTTATTTGAGCATTTGAAGCTTAAATAACAAAGACTGTGATAATTTTTGGAGTGTTTTAATAGGCTGTAATAGGCTAGAATAATCCAGTTTCTTTTATTTTAAGATCATCCTATTGACATTCAGGGAAACTTCGTCTGTAAAAAAGAAAGATACAATTTAGGTCAATCAAAAATGTGTATGCAGCCAGGTGCAGTGACTCAAGCCTGTAATCCCAGCATTTTGGGAGGCCGGGGTGGATGGATCACTTCAGCTCAAGAGTTCAAGACCAGCCTGGCCAACATGGTGAAACCCTGTGTCTATTAAAAATACAGAAATTAGCGGTGCTTGGTGGCACATGCCTGTAATCCCAGCTGCTCCAGAGGCTGAGGCGGTAGAATCGCTTGAACCCGGAAGGCAGAGGTTGCAGTGAGCTGAGATCATGCCACTGCACTCCAGCATGGGTAACAGAGTGAGACGCTGTTTCAAAAACAAAAAACAAACAAAAAGGTGTTTTGGGGGGTGGTGGTGAAGGAATGTAGCTTAAGTTTGGAAATAGGCTGTGTTTTCAAAAACACGAAGCCACAGGCATCCTCAAGCAATGTTGATGGGAGTAGAAGTGTGTATACAATTAGCGGTAGACACTTGTTTTGAGGACACGTTTTTAAGAAAGAAAAAAATGTTGACTTTCCCTTCTTACTGCCCTCCAAAGAGGCCTTACCTGGTGGCTCAGCATCACCATGACTCCTTAAGAATTAGTGTTTCATTATTTTATAAGAATCATAAACTCATTAGCTCATCATTTAGAAATGATTAATGTATTATTGTCTACTTCAGATAGGTATTGCAAAGTAAGACTCTCAGGAAATGATTCAAGGGAAGGACATTTGAGATCTCAAATACTTGATAGACATAGTATTTAAGTAGCTTGAAGGTCTTCCAACTGGTGAACCCATCCAGTGGCAAGCATAAAAATGAGATACACATGCAAGGTGTCAGCAAACAATGAAAGACTGAAGGGAAGACCCAAAGGCCAATTTAGTCCTTTATAATTTGTGGATATTTATAACTACAATTAGGCCACTGATTTGTGAATTGAAAAAATGCAAAATAAAAAATGGTTTTGAAAAATTATTAACCATAGATATTTTCATTTAAATGATATGCAAGCCCAAAGGGAAACACTCACAAAAGAGGATATCCTGGCTGATTCTAGGACATTGTTCTGGGTCATAACTGGTACTATCTATGGGGAACCTGTAAGTATACATAATTAGAAAATCCTTGGGTCCTTTGACCCAAGAGCATATGAGAAGCTCCTTAAATATGGGTCAATAAGAATTCAGTTATTAGTTCTTAATTTATGGTCTTACGTGATAATAAACATTGTTCCCAGGTATTGTAAGACCCTCATGGCAAGGGGAAGATATCAAATCCAATAAAGTCTTATTTGGATTGCCTAGGATACGGCTTCTGTGCTGCCCACAGATGTTACTTTAACTTCCTACCCAGGAACAGAAGATGAATGGTGAAACTTTCAATTGTATCCTTTGTCATGCCATTCTTGTATCTTTTTGACATAAATTAAGGCTTGTAGCTGGACAGAATTACTCTGCCAAATATGGAAAGTAATGTCATTCTTTCATATTTGTGGTCAAGAATGGCACCACAAACTGCTAGATCTCCAAAATACATAGCTTGGAAGCCATTTCTGTAAGAGAAGGTGTATTAGTCCATTCTCATATTGCCATGAAGAAATACCATCCTGGGAGATGGAGGTTGTAGTGAGCCAAGAAAGTGCCACTGCACTCCAGCCTGGGTGACAGAGCAAGACTCTGTCTCAAAAATAATAATAATAAATAAAAACAAATAAACAAAATTAAAAAAAAGAAATACCTGAAACTGGGTAATTTATAAAGAGAACGATGTTTAATGGACTCACACTTCCACATGCCTGGGGAGGCCTCACAATCACGGCAGAGGCGAAGGAGGAGCAAACGCCCATCTTACATGACAGCAGGCAAGAGAAAATGTGTGGGGGCACTACCCTTTATAAAACTATCAGTTCGCATGAGACTTATTCACTATCACGGAAACAACCCACCCCCATGATTTCATTACCTCCCACTGAGTTCCTCCCATGACACATGGGGATTATGGGAGCTACAATTCAAGATGAGATTTGGCTGTGGACACAGCCAAACCATATCAGAAGGCATATATTGTTTAAGGTTTTAGTGATTGTGCAGAATTAGGACATGCATTACAAGTTGCATTGATAATTTTAACATTAAAGTGTGCCTTATATAGACATTAATTTTGGAAATGTGTATACTTTAAAATATTCATAAGCCCATAACAAATTTATTAAACAAACAATGTGGGGCAAATAATAGCATCAGCACATGGTAGAGGCCGAAACTCCTGAGCAGAATTGTCAGCAGATGCATGCATTCCCAGATCACTCAGCATCATACAAAGCATGATGCTGAGGCCCATATGCAGTTGTTGTAACCTAGGGCTCTGCCCTACCAGGGAGACTCTTGCTTCTTATTTCTCTTCCTTTCGATAAGCATCCAAGAGGCCTTGTCACTGTAACAGATTTGCTGAGCTGGGGAAAAAAGAACTTGATATTGGCATTGGGAATTCTGCTGGAGGGGAAGGGCAGAATACATAACTCCAAACTCAGTCTTTTTTGTTTAATTTTTAATTATTATGAATATAAATAATTGTACATATTTATGGAGTACATGTGATATTTTGATACAAGCATACAATGTGTAATGATCAAATCAAGGTAATTGGGGTATTTATCACCTCAAGCACTTATAATTTATTTGTGTTAGAAACGTTCCAATTTTACTTTTAGTTATTTTGAAATATACAATTATTGTTAACTATAATTGCCCTGTTGTGCTATGGAACACTGGATTTATTCCTCTCATCTAACTGCGTTTTTGTACTGATTAG
Organism: Homo sapiens; assembly: GCF_000001405.40. Taxonomy (NCBI): domain Eukaryota; kingdom Metazoa; phylum Chordata; class Mammalia; order Primates; family Hominidae; genus Homo; species Homo sapiens. Next base: position 10,739,012 of record NC_000009.12, read on the forward strand.
CCAACACCTCTTCATCCTCCAATTACCCTTCTCAGACTCGTAACCACCATTCAACTTTCTATCTCCATGAGTTCAATTTATTAGTAAAAGCATGTGATATTTGTCTTCTGGACCTGACTTACTCCACTTAACATAATAACCTCAAGTTCCATCCACTCAGTCTTCTTTTCATGCAAAAAGTCTCACATTGGAAAATTAGTATTCTATGTTACCTTTTATACAGTGATGTTTCAAGATGTTATGGATGCACTGCCTCCCATTTTTCCCCCACTTGATTCTTTCTCCAAGACATCTGGAGGCTCTAGAAGCTGGCTTGCTAGAAAGCAGTTGAAGAGCATCTCAGAAGGAGAATGCAACCAATGGGGCTATTATACCCAGTGTACTAAATGCTCCCATTTTGCCTTTTTAGCTAATCCTTTGGGTATCCCCCTTTCTCTGCACACACAGTTTCTAGAACTGTTCCCCCTTTAAAATAATGTTTCCTAGCTTGTTACTTATTACTGGCCATCAGATTCTTAAATAGTTGTCTAACTTCTAATATGCATCACACCAAACATCAGCTTCTACTAGACTAACTAGGTAGTATCACCCGCAGCAGACCCAGCCTCCTACTAGCAATTAATAAATTTTAAGATTCTGTCCAGACTCCGTGTCAGCCTACTATTTCCTGAAGCTATGTTATGCCAGAGGACTCCAGACACTATGGACCTTTTCTTTGCATATCTTCTTCTTTTTTCTCCTGGCTTGCTGGAAGGCAAAGCATCCACCTCTCATAGGCTCTCTAGTGAACCACCCTTGTTCCCGTGGATGAAAGTGCCCCACCTCCAGATACTGCAGTTGAACCTTCCTTCCGTACACTGAAACAATGTGTGCCCCATGTTGGGTGTAACGATTAAGCAAAAAACTTGAGAGGAACACCAGTAGCATCACTTGATTTAGGTTTTAACTCATATAATTAAAGATTATATGAGTTTTCTCTTACTTGGCAGACTTCAGAGCAATGTACTTTGGCTATAGTACAGCTGTCCACACCATGTGTCAGGATTCCAGAAATGGTTCCTTGCTCATTGTTTCCCTTAAGAATGCAGCCAGAATATGTGTGGTCTTATCAGAAGGAGAAACATATTTTGGGCTTGGCCACTGTGGTAGATATGAAGACGCATAGCCTTAAATTTCCCTTCAAGGAATAACTTACTAACTAGCTATAGAAAATGTGGTTCAGAAAAAGCATCTAGCTGTCATTGCCTTTGGGGTCTGCTTTAGTTTAAGAGAGCTTCCTTAAATTAGTCAACATCCTTCCCAGAGTAACCAATCTTCTGCAGTATGAGATTAAGTCAGATTTAGGGAGAAAAGGTCAGCATAAAGACAGGAGTGCATCCTCATCCCATTGCCACTTAGCTACCTTGAATCAAATGAGTGAGAAAAATTATCAATTGGGACTGGCTTTCCATGTCATCATAAAGGTATATCTATCTAAGTAGCAATAGAGAATATATTTTATTGAAAAGTTTTTGGCCATATTTTAAAATTTTAAATATTTATACATACTATAAATGTATAATATCTTTTTGTATCTTTCCTTAGGCCAAGTATTGCACATTGGAACATTCCTGGTTCTAGTGTACAAAAACAAACAAAATAACAACCAAAAAAAATTGATAGAATCTAAATGTACACTTCTAAGTTTTCATTTAAATTTTGCATAAATGATCTAAAAGAGTCTGAACTCTGAGTCCTAACTGCCATCATTGTTGAGCAAAAGTCTTGAGCAAATATGAAGAGAAATGTTTGATATAGACTGGAAATTATAGGTAGGAGAGTTAACTGACCACAAATATCCTGCCTATTGGAAATTGTGGGGCTGTGTTTCTTTAGAGGGACCTCACCTCCCTGTTCTCCCTTTTGTTTGGGTCAAGAATGAATGTGGTCTCATGTGGGAGAATAAACATTTTGGATTCAGGCACTAAGCAGTCTGAGGTTATATGCTGGATAATTTAGGAAGGCCTTGGGGGAAAACTAACATGCTAGAACCTAGAAACTTTGGGAAATCCATTCCTGTGGAAAGTTGAGCTGTGTACAGTTTCTACAGTGGGGAAGAATGGTGGTTTGTTAATTTGTTAACTAATTTGTTAACAGGCAAAACAGAGATTGACTTTGGTCATTCACCAGAAAATTCAATTGCTCTCTACTGTCTACAGAATGACTCTGCAGAATAGATAGGAATAAAACCAATGTTTCCAAAGGTAAAAAGTGTACAGGTACAATGTTTACAGAAAAGGACAGGATTTGTGTTCCATCAGCAGCCAATCAAATATTATTATTGCTTTTCTTTTTGATTTAGCAGTGTATACATGAAAAAAGGAATTTCATTTCTTTCAATTATTATGTTCTTTAATATATTGGCTTAAATTTCCTGTTTACCTGTAACCCATACATAGATCAAGAGAAAGGAATTTTAGGTTAAAGAATTATTTAATCTTTGCATATATATTTCTTAGGGAGATACAGTTTTAGACCTGCAGTTTCTATGCTGTTCATCTAGACCAAACATGTGAAATTTGAATATTAGCTACCTTAAGTACTAGGTATATTTCTTGGACCAAAACATTTCTATAACTATATAAACATTTTTATATGATTAAAGGCAAAGATAAGATGTGCTGTATAGATTTTAATTGCTTATTAAAATATACATATTAGCCAGGTGTGGCAGTATGCAGCTGTAGTCCCAGCTACTCAGGAGGCTAAGGCAGGAGAATCGCTTGAACCTGAGAGGTGGAGTGAGCTGAGATTGCGCCACTGCACTTCAGACTGGGTGACAGAGTGAGACACTGTCTCAAAAAAAAATCTATATCTATATTTATATTAGAAATTCATAATTTATCTTGTAAATGTGTTTAAGTTCTTTGTAGATTCTGGATACTAGCCCTTTGTCAGATGGATAGAGTGCAAACATTTTCTCCCATTCTGTAGGTTACCTGTTCACTCTGATGATAGTTTTTTTTTCTGTGCAGAAGCTCTTTAGTTTAATCAGATCCCATTTGTCTATTTTGGCTTTTGTTGCCATTTCTTTGGTGTTTTAGTCATGAAGTCTTTGCCCATGCCTATGTCCTGAATGGAACATGTCCTGAATGGTATTGTCTAGGTTTTCTTCTAGGGTTTTTATGGTTTTAAGTCTTACATTTAAGTCTTTAATCCATCTTGAGTTGATTTTTGTATAAGATGTAAGGAAGGGATCCAGTTTCAGCTTTCTGCATATGGCTATCCAGTTTTCCCAACACCATTTATTAAACAGGAAATTCTTTCACTATTGCTTGTTTTGATCAGGGTTGTCAAAGATCAAATGGTTGTAGATGTGTGGCATTATTTCTGAGGCCTCTGTTCTGTTCCATTGGTCTATATGTCTGGTTTGGTAAGAGTACCATTCTGTTTTTGTTACTGTAGCCTTGTAGTATAGTCTGAAGTCAGGTAGTGTGATGCCTCTAGCTTTGTTCTTTTGCTTACGATTATCTTGGCTGTGCAGGTTCTTTTTTGGTTCCACATGAAATTTAAAGTCGTTTTTTCCAGTTCTGTGAAGAAAGTCAATGGTAGCTTGATCGGGATAGCATTGAATCTATAAATTACTTTGGGCAGTATGGCCATTTTGACGATATTGATTCTTCCTATCCATGAGCATAGAATGTTTTTCCATTTATTTGTGTCCTCTGTTATTTCCTTGAGCAGTGGTTTGTAGTTCTCCTTGAAGAGGTCCTTCACATTCCTTGAAAAAGTCAGCAAAGGATATGAACAGACACTTCTCAAAAGAAGACATTTATGCAGCCAACGAACATTGAAAAAAAGCTCATCATCACTGGTCATTAGAGAAATGCAAAGCAAAACCACAATGAGATACCACCTCATGGCAGTTAGAATGGTGATCATTAAAAAGTCAGGAAACAACAGGTGCTGGAGAGGATGTGGAGAAATAGGAATGCTTTTCCACTGTTGATAGGAGTGTAAATCAGTTCAACCATTGTGGAAGACAGAGTGGCAATTCCTCAAAGATCTAGAACTAGAAATACCATTTGACCCAGCGATCCCATTACCAGGTATATACTCAAAAGATTATAAATCATTCTACAATAAAGACACATGCACACATATGTTTATTGCAGCACTGTTCACAATAGCAAAGTCTTGGAACCAACCCAAATGCCCATCAATGATAGACTGGATAAAGAAAATATGGCACATATGCACCATGGAATACTATGCAGCCATAAAATAGGATGACTTCATGTCCTTTGCAGGGACATGAATGACATTGGGAACATCATTCACAGAAAACTAACACAAGAACAGAAAATCAAACATCGCATGTTCTCACTCTTAAGTGGGAGTTGAACAATGAGAACACATGGAGACAGGGAGGGGAACATCACAAACTGAGGCTTGCCGGCGGGTGAGGGGCTAGGGGAGGGATAGCATTAGGAGAAATTCCTAATGTAGATGACGGGTTGATGGGTGCAGCAAACCACCATGGCACGTATATACCTATGTAACAAACCTGCACGTTCTGCACATGTTCCCCAATACTTAAAGTATAATAACAAAAGGAAATTCATAATTTAAAAAGTAAAGGAATCCCAGCACTTTGGGAGTCCGATGCAGGCGAATCATGAGGTCAGGAGATCAATACCATCCTGGCTAACACGGTGAAACCCCGTCTCTACTAAAAATACAAAAAAATTAGCCGGGCGTGGCGGTGGGCGCCGGTAGTCTCAGCTACTCAGGAGGCTGAGGAAGGAAAATGGCGTGAACCTGGGAGGCGGAGCTTGCGGTGAGTAGAGATCGCCCCACTGCACTCCTTGACTTCCTGTAGATGCTATAATAGTAAAAAAAAAAAAAAAAACTAATTGATAACCAAATTGTAAGAAAAAAAACTCTCATTGTTCTGACTGGCCTCTAATAGTCCAACTTATTTTAGACAGCCATGTAGCATTCTAAAAATCTCAGGAGGCTAATCAAGAAATCATGCCCTAGATTTTTGTAAACTGCTTTTTCTTGTGGGTTATTCTTAATACGCTCTTCTCTTCTGGCTTTTTCTACTGGGAAATATTATTGGAACACATTACCATCTACCCTTGCAAATTATTGAGCCTATTCTTATTGAGGCAAATATGACAGCCCCTACTCTTCAGAAAAGTTTAGAATACTTCTTTAAATTGGGATATAGTGACCTAGACTCCAATCTCCAATGCCAAGTTCTCACATATTCTCTCTCTCTCTCTCTTTTTTTTGTCTGCAAAACATAAGGGGTATTAAGTCAGTGAGGACATTTTTACTATCTCTAGTGCCAGTTTGCAGGCAGTATAGTACAGTGGTTAAAAGCTAGGACTCTAGGGACAAATGGCTTCAGTTCAAAAACTAGTTCTAGGATTTACTGCTAGCCCCTCTTCCTCCAACAATTTTAGCACAATGCCTGACATAGGCAGTAAATAAAAGTATTTTAATAGAAAAATAAATATTATATCTTAAACAGTGTTTGAAATTTACTGGAATCAACTTTTAAAGCATAGCTTCTCCTCATCTTTTAGGAAAGTACTATGGTTTAATAAAAATAAATGGACTTTGCCTTTATACATCCAGGGCTTTTTTCCTAAGGTCACCAAATGAGCTGTTTTAATCCTTTTATGAGCTTCAGTTCTCATTCTTTTGAAACAAAACTGATCTGAAAGTATATTGTGACAATTAAATGAGATTATCTATATAAAGTGCACAGGACAATGCTGGTTCACGTTAGGCACCCAGCCAGGGTTATAGGATCCAACATAGCCCAGCTCATTTGACCCATCCACCCTAGCTAAAACATGCTGAGTTTGCAGAAAGTCTCGTTATTAGTTCTGACTTTGGCCTGGCAGTTTCCAAAATCTAAAATGCTCTCTTTTACCTTTCTAATTAAATTTGAAAGCCATTCCTGAACTCCTAAATTTATAAATTTTAAACACCAATATTTCACAAATAATAGCTGTTTTAATTTTTAGTTTGGTTTCACAATAGAAAATCTGCAGTCTTTTAATAAGAATAATAAGTGAATATTTTAGCTCCCTCATTCATTTGTCAATTTCACGAAGAGATTTATATAATGTGGAAGTCAAATTTTTAACTTACTGGTAAGACATGAAACATTTATTCAATGAGGTGCTAAATATTGGTCTAATTCAAAAAATCTGCTAGTCACTATTAACATTAGAGATCTACCGTATCTTAATATGTTACATATAATTAGTACTAATCTTCAATCATTTGGCATTTAAAGACATTAAAAGCTACTCAAATTATCTAGCTAAGAAGCAGCTGGTAATTGATAATATCTACCTCTAGCCTTAGAAAATTGTAATCTCAGCTGGATGTCTCCAGATGGGGTTATAAAAAAAAAGAAATCACGTTTCTCATTGCTCTCAGTAACACTTCAGATCAAACAAAGAGAAAGAATATAAAATGCTAAGAATTAAAAACTGAATTTATTCATCATTTCATTATTCCTGACATTTTTCTTAAAGTGGCTGAAAAAAAAAGAACTACATTTAGAGGAGAAAAAAAATAAACTAGTCTCTTTAGTTTTTCTAGGTAATGTTAGCTTTTTCAATACCGTAACTGGTAATTTAACCTTACAGATGTGTTTAATAGCAACAGCCAATTCTCAGGTTACAGATACCACATCTTGAGTTTTCTCTCAAAGTCGGAATGAGACAATTGGTGATTGATAAATACTGGCTGATAAACATGTCCACCATTCAATTCAGCTAGGGTCCATGAGATAGAGAAAGAAAGATGGACTGGTCAAGGTTGGAATGCTGGTTTTGCCACTACATAGCATAAAACAAGAAATTTGCCTGGGTGTGGTGGTTCATGCCTGTAATCCCAGCACTTTGGGAGGCTGAGGTGGGTGGATTACCTGATGTCAGGAGTTCGAGACCAGCCTGGCCACTGTGGTGACACCCTGTCTCTACTAAATAAATACAAAAAATCAGCCAGGCATGGTAGCTCATGCCTGTAACCACGGTTGCTCTCCAGATGCTGAGGCAGGGGAATCAATTGAACCTGGGGGGCAGAGGTTGCAGAGAGCCGAGATTGTGCCACTGCACTCTAGCCTGGGTGACAGAGCGAGACTCTGCCTCAAAACAACAAACAAAGAAATACAAAATCTAATACATGAAGCTTCAGCTTTTTTTTCTATAAAATGTAGCAAATGATACCTACTCAAGACAGAGCAAATTCACATTGGTAATATATATAATTATAACCCTCTGGAGCCTGGCTATTCAATGTGTTGTCCATAAATGAGCAGAATTGTCATAACTGAGGAGTTGAATGAAATGCAGTATCTCAACCTGAGACCTCTTGAATCAGAATTCAGTTCTCATATGGGGCCCAAGATCTAAATTTTTAACAAGCTCTCATTTGATGCTGATGTTGCTGATTCCAAAACACATGATGGGTAACAAGGCTTTAGTGTCCCCAATGTATACCACTCAAATCAGACAAATTTATACGTGAGCTGTATAATTTTAGATTTTATTAGAAAAGCTGTAACAGGAATATAACTAATATATCATGATATTTGATCCAAAGGAGAGCAAATATCTTCACCCCCAAGACTTCTGATATAATTGGTCTGAGTTTAGGGCAATTGGTTGAGTTTAGGCATTGGTATTTTTTAGATACCTCTCCAGGTGAATCTAGAGCACAGTTGGAATTGAGAACAAATGATAGAGATAGCATCAGGCATGGACACTGGAAGAAGCAAATAAAACAACGCAAGAGAAAAAGGACTGTGACAGGCAGAATCATGCCCCAGCCCCTTGCAAGAAGTCCACACCCTAATCCCTGGAATCTGTAAATATGTTACCTTCAAAGCAAAAGAAAATTGCAGATATGACTAAAGCTATGGAACTAGAGATGAGAGATTATCCTGGATTATGACATGGACAAAATCTAATCCTGTAAATTCTTAAAAGTAGAAGAAAGAAGCAGAAGATTATCTCAGAGAGATGTGGTAGAAGAAGAGGCAAGACTGGCATGAGAGGGACTTGACCTGCTGTTGCTGTCTTCAGAGGTGGAGAAAGAGGACCACATTAGCCAAGAATTCTGGCAGGCTCTAGAAACTCTGAATAAACCTGGCTGATAACCAGCAAGTACATGAATTTGGTGAATGACCTGAATAAGCAAGGAAATAGATTTTTCCTTAGAGCTGTCAGAAGGAACACTACCCTGCCAACACTTTGATATTAGGCCAGTGAGAAACGTATTGGACTTTTGACCTATAGAAATGTATGAGAATACATTTGTGTGTGTGTGTGTGTGTGTGTGTGTGTGTGTGTTGTATTTTGGCACTCCAGTTTATTATTTTTCTAACTTGTGTGTGTGTGTGTGTGTGGTGTGTGTGTGTGTGTGTTGTATTTGGCACCCAAATTTATTTTTCTAACTTTTAATTTGTATGGGTATATTTGTGGGTACATGAGTTATTTTGATACAGGCATTCAATGTGTAATAACTACATTAGGATAAATTACATCAAGCATTTATCATCCTTTGTGTTATGGATGTTCCAATTATACTTTTTAAGATGTTATTTTTAAAGTACAATAAATTATTGTTGACTATAGTCACCCTGTTAAGCTATCAAATCATTTGTCTTTTTTTAATCGCTAAAAGGTGTGCTCATTTCTTTCAAAAACCATAGAAAATTTATACAAGGATACAGTCCATTGTATTGCCTTAAGCCTCTTATTTAAAGATCAACTCTTATATACCCAAAGGATTATAAATCACTATACTATAAAGACACATGCAGATCTACGTTTATTCTGGCACTGTTCACAATAGCAAAGACTTGGAACCAACCCAAATGCCCATCAGTGATAGACTGGATAAAGAAAATGTGGCACATATACACCATGGAATACTATGCAGCCATAAAAAAGAATGAGTTCAAGTCCTTTGCAGGGACATGGATGAGGCTGGAAACCATCATTCTCAGCAAACTAACACTAGAACAGAAAACCAAACACTGCATGTTCCCACTCATAAGTGAGAGTTGAACAATAAGAACACATGGTCACAGGGAGGGGAATATCACACACCAGGGCCTGTCAGGGGTGGGGGCTAGGGGAGGGATAGCATTAGGAGAAACACCTAATGTAGATGACAGGTTGATGGGTGCAGCAAACCACCATGGCACTTGTATACATATGTAACAAACCTGCAAGTTCTGCGCATGTATCTCAGAAAGTAAATTATAAAAATAAAAGAAGATCAACTGTTGAAATAATAAGTCAGTGTTTTCTAATGAAAAGGTTTGTTCTACACTGATATGCTGATATGCTTTTAAACATAAGATAATGAGAAATATAAATTTTGTGGGTTTTTTTGGAAACCTGCAAGAAACCTCTGAACTAATTGAATAACATGACAATGATACCAGTAGGTAACATTTATTGAATGCCTACTGTGTGTCAGGCAGTGTTTTAATGTTATGTTATCCTCGTAACAACTCTAGGAGGAAAGTACAATTATTCTCCTTCATCATAGATATGGATGTTGAAATATACAAATGTCAGGCAAGAGTGATATGAATGGGTTTTAAATAGCCCAAGCTGTTTAATCTATAACACTACTGATGTAAAGAAAATTAGAATATCTCCTTGTAAATACAGATGCAATAAATGAAACTCAGAAGGATTAATTATCAGGATGTCACACTGCCAGCAAGTCATAAAAGCTTGATTTTTAAGTTCCTGGCAAAGTCATCATTTCACTGAAATATAAAATGTAGATAAAGTTTAAATAGAGACAACTGAAATAGTCTCTGCCATAAAGTAGATAATAATCAATACATGGACTAAGTTTGATGAAGTAAAAGTTGGTATTTCTCTAACTTTCATGTGTAGGCAAGATAAAGAAGCTTTCTTGAGTAGCTAAGGAGAATGACCTTAAGAAAGACAAAAGCAAACCACCATTCAATTATGTCATTAAGACCTCAATATGCACTCAGAAACAATTTCTGAAATGAGTCAGATATCTATTTAGTGGTAATCTGAAACACTTGAACTGGAGATTAGTTGTGAAACAAAAGAATTGTTCTACTGTGTATTGTTTTCCTTTACTCTAGGAAGTACATAAAAACACAGCTAGTGGAGGAAGGGAAGAAAAAGAAGGGCAGCAAGATGTTGCAGAATCTTATTTTTTTCTTCCTCACATGCATAAGGAGCAGAATAAAATAAAGTCCTCCAAAGAATAGGACTTTACTGTCCTGCCTGCCCTCCCCGCTCCACTCCAGTTTTTCTTAAGCCCTTCATCTGAGAGGCCTGGAGATAAAAGGAGTTAGTTATCTTAGTAGATAAAGGACACCACTAGAGAAAAAATTAAATAAAGATTTAGAGATGGGCAAAAGTGTGTGGAATGGCAAAGGGACACCTTGACAGAATGAAGCCTTATAAAAAGTGTCAGTGAATTTATAGACCAAAGAGAGAGTGAGAGAGAGAGAGAGAGAGAGAGAGAGAGAGAGAGAGAGAGAGACGCTTACAGACTATTTATTTACAGAAAGCTAAAAGATTTCTTTTTCAGGAGTAAGAGTTTTCATGTTAGATATTGTGAACCCTCTCACATAACATATTGACTTTTTTTGTAGTGTGTCCTCTGAAAACATTTTACATGAGGAATGCAAAATTCAATTATAAACAAATATTAGCTGTGCTGGCCAAGTTCTTCCGTAACAGAGCTTAATATATTTTCCTACAATCATTTATTGTTTCCCCTCAAAAGATGCTAGGCTGAATTAGTCAATGAGCTAAAAGAAATATTTGAAATGTGTGAAGTATTCATTTAGTATTGTGCTAGGCAACAACTCCTCACTTATCTATAATTCATTGGTTATGAGAACATAGCTAAAAACCGGGGGAATGAGAGAAAAGCTCTGTCTAAATCACCAAAGCAGTATTTTATTCTAAAGACAGCTTTGCCAAATCTTGGATGTTTTTACATTATATGCAATTCAAATATATAGGATTGTTTTATTGCTCAGTCTATAGAATATAGGAGGTAAATTTTTTTTTGAAAGGAAGCTTTTTTTAATTATTATACTTTAAGTTTTAGGGTACATGTGTACAATGTGCAGGTTTGTTATATATGTATACATGTGTCATGTTGGTGTGCTGCACCCATTAACTTGTCATTCAGCATTAGCTATATCTCCTAATGCTATCCCTCCCCCCTCCCCCCACCCAACAACAGTCCCCAGTGTGTGATGTTCCCCTTCTTGTGTCCATGTGTTCTCATTGTTCAATTCCCACCTATGAGTGAGAACATGCGGTGTTTGGTTTTTTGTCCTTGTGATAGTTTGCTGAGAATGATGGTTTCCAGCTTCATCCATGTCCCTACAAAGGACATGAACTCATCCTTTTTTATGGCCGCATAGTATTCCATGGTGTATATGTGCCACATTTTCTTAATCCAGTCTATCATTGTTGGACATTTGGGTGGGTTCCAAGTCTTTGCTATTGTGAATAGCGCCGCAATAAACATATGTGTGCATGTGCCTTTATAGCAGCATGATTTATAATCCTTTGGGTATATACCCAGTAATGGGATGGCTGGGTCAAATGTTATTTCTAGTTCTAGATCCCTGAGGAATCGCCACACCGACTTCCACAATGGTTGAACTAGTTTACAGTCCCACCAACAGCGTAAAAGTGTTCCTATTTCTCCACATCCTCTCCAGGAGCTGGTTTTTTGAAAAGATCAACAAAATGGATAGACCGCTAGTAAGACTAATAAAGAAGAAAAGAGAGAAGAATCAAATCGATGCAATAAAAAATGATAAAGGGGATATCACCACCGATCCCACAGAAATACAAACTACCATCAGAGAATACTATAAACACCTCTACGCAAATAAACTAGAAAATCTAGAAGAAATGGATAAATTTCTCAACACATACACTTTCCCAAGACAAAACCAGGAAGAAGTTGAATCTCTGAATAGACCAATAACAGGCTCTGAAATTGACGCAATAATTAATAGCCTACCAACCAAAAAAAGTCCAGGACCAGATGGATTCACAGCCAAATTCTACCAGAGGTACAAGGAGGAGCTGGTACCATTCCTTCTGAGACTATTCCAATCAATAGAAAAAGAGGGAATCCTCCCTACCTCATTTTATGAGGCCAGCATCATCCTGATACCAAAGCCTGGCAGAGACACAACAAAAAAAGAGAATTTTAGACCAATATCCTTGATGAACATTGATGCAAAAATCCTCAGTAAAATACTGGCAAACCGAATCCAGCAACACATCAAAAAGCTTATCCACCATGATCAAGTGGGCTTCATCTCTGGGATACAAGACTGGTTCAACATATGAAAATCAATAAACATAATCCAGCATATAAACAGAACCAAAGACAAAAACCACATGATTATCTCAATAGATGCAGAAAAAGCCTTTGACAAAATTCAACAACCTTTCATGCTAAAAACTCTCAATAAATTAGGTATTGATGGGACATATCTCAAAATAATAAGAGCTATCTGTGACAAACCCACAGCCAATATCATACTGAATGGGCAAAAACTGGAAGCATTCCCTTTGAAAACTGGCACAAGACAGGGATGCCCTCTCTCACCACTCCTATTCAACATAGTGTTGGAAGTTCTGGCCAGGACAATCAGGCAGGAGAAGGGAATAAAGGACATTCAATTAGGAAAAGAGGAAGTCAAATTGTCCCTGTTTGCAGATGACATGATTGTATATCTAGAAAACCCCATCATTGTCTCAGCCCAAAATCTCCTTAAGCTGATAAGCAACTTCAGCAAAGTCTCAGGATACAAAATCAATGTGCAAAAATCACAAGCATTCTTATACACCAAAAACAGACAAACAGAGAGCCAAATCATGAGAGAACTCCCATTCACAATTGCTTCAAAGACGAGGTAACTTTTTTTGGGGACAGGGTCTAGCTTGGTCACCCAGACTGGACTGCAGTGGTGCACTTACACCTTACTGCAGCTTTGAACTTCAGAGTTGAAGTGATCCTCCCACCTCAGACTCCTGAGCTGGGACTACAGTTGCATGCCACAACACCTGGCTAATTTTTTAATTAATGTTATGTGGAGATGGAGTCTCACTATGTTGACTAGGCTGGTCTCACACTCCTGGCCTCAAGCAATCCTCCTGCCTGGGCCTCCCAAAATGTTAAAATTTAAATTAGAAGGTGAGATTTCTCATATTGAAACTCCTAGCTCTAGACCCAGCCATATCACATTTAAAAAACCACTATGCATATATAGTTACCTAATTGCAAAATGGTGTAAGTACCAAGATAGTTACTGTTTCTTCTCCTGCACTTTTTTTAAGCAGTAAAATATTGTAAGAAAAATAAACTCCCATTCTGAGGTTTAAAAAGTGTGGCTCATCTACACAATAGATTAATATGCATCCATTTTTTAAAAGAGTGTGTTCTAGTGTACCAATGTGGAAGGACTGAGAAAATACATTAAGTGAAAAACAGCAAGATATATCATGATCCCATTTGAATTGTTAAAAGAAAAACTTTAAACTAATTAAACTTGACATATTTATCCTGAACAAATAATTCCTGAGTCCGGTGGTATAAGTACAAGGAGAAGTTGAGGGCTGCACTAGACGGTGTGAGTGGCGTGCTTTCGTAGACCAAAGGCAGATGCAAAGTAGAGAAATCACCTGATTGGCTACAGCTAGGCAACTGTCTTTTTTGGGTATAGTGTGATGAGTTGGCGGCCTGTGATTAGCTGAACTCAGCTGTTTGTTATTCCCCTAAGTTAGGTTTCCATTTATCTAAGTACTAAGTTAAGACTGCAATTTATTATACAGAAACTCGAAGTATGGATACAGCCTCAGGCTAATGGCCTCCTGCTTATTTAATTCTATAATATAAAAATATAATTTTTAATGTTTGAAAGCCATAAACATTAATGAAAATATATTTAAAATGTAAGTTGATTTTGTATGGAAAATGAGAGTAGGATGAGAAGGGGTTGTATAGCCAAATCACAGGCATTTTACAGACAGACACTGAGCTGAAGGGAGGAGGCTAAGTAAGTTGCCAAAGCTATACCATTGGAATCCCGTATTGAAACCTAGAAGTCCAGCACCAGAGGATATTCAAGTCACTATTCTGCAATGTTGCTTTTCATGAGAATACAATTAAACGTACATATTAAAATGCCAATTTCGTGGCTGATATTTTTAAATCCATCTAACTACTTATTCAACTCTGCTTCACCTTAAAACAAATGAAAACGAAAAAGCAAATTAAAAAAAAAAAACAACAAAAAATAATCCTCTTCCCTCAGATTTGCATCTCTATATTATCAAGTTTGAGTGTGCACACTTTACAAAATATTCCAAGGTTCGGCAGTCTTTCACAAAACAACTTTGCCCTCTAGAATTCCCAGGCACATATTATCTCCAAATTCTGGCTTGTAGAAAATGTGGTGATCTATGAACAAAAACGTGTTTAGAGGCCATTCACCAGAGCCCTGCAATCAGCACTAACTATCATAAGCTTCAGAATGAAATTCACATATTGATTTTAATTTATAAATCCCCTTCTGGTGGACTGCCACATTGCCTTAGTAGATTACCTCTGCACCTGTAAATCATCCTGCAGCTGGGATGGGTTGTACCACTTATAAGCCCGATTCTTTGATTTAAATGTTAGGGGACTGAAGGCAGATGTTTTCATTAATCTTCCATGTGTTTTTTTCTTACACATTTTTCTTCAGGATAGTATGAAGATAATTATACTTTTAACCTTCCTTGATTTATAATATAAGCTATTTGGCTTATAGATAGCACAATGTAAGAGGAGTTAGCTCTTGGCAAATTTGTGAAGTAACTATTTTTAGAAATTGCAACTTTCTTATTTAACCTCTTTCTTTTCTATCCTCTAAGATCCCTCTTCCACCCCCTCAGGCATCCACTGCTGTGACAGTTTTCTCCTCTTTATATTTTAACATCTACTTTCCTTGCAGCAAATCATATGCAACTATTACTAGTTTTTAAATGTTATCTCCACCGTAGCTTAAACCTCAATAGGATCAACTCCTTTAAGGAAAGCTTTAAGGTTACCTTTCGTCAGGGGTGCATCATGTGAGGTGGTCAATTTCTGGAGTATCTGCGAAGCTCATAATAATGCTTTATATATCCTCTGTATCAAAGCAATGGAAGCCATATTTGTTCTACCCACACTCATCACTGGCTACAGTTAATTGGATGAAGTGTGGCCATTTGACACAGGTTTAGCCAATTGAATTCTCACAATCAAGAAATTTTATTTGGTAACAAGGACTTCTAATTGAGATTCAAATAGCGATAGAAATTCTCAAGAGTTGCGACTCTGCCTTCAATTGTCCATCAATAACATATGAGATAAATCAGGGCTGTAAAAAATAAGGAATGAAGAGTTTAGATGTGAATAAAATGTCACGCAGGAGAGACACAAATTGTTTGTGAATTCTCGTTCCATTTCTCTTGCTGAATTCAATAGGAGAGCTTTATTTCCTTGTGAAAATTAGCCCATTTTAATTTAGATCAAATTTGTTTCTATTACTTGCAAACAAAAGAAACTAATTGATATATAATGACACCTACTACCCTTCCATTTCAGAATAAGATGATCCAATATTCTTTGTGAAAATAAACACTTCACTCACATTCTTTAGGCTTAGATAAAATCGCTTCCACCTCTAATTCCAGAGTATAGCTTTTAATTTAAGCTGACCAGCTAGATCATCATTGTGTGATTGAATTAGGGATGGACTGAAAGTGCATTGACAGCTAATGGAATGAAGGAAATATTTGTTGGAATTTCTGAGAGACTTGCGCTTATCTTGCAGGAATTGAACTTGCAGTTTCTGGTCTAGAACAACAGGAACTCTCTTGCTCTCAACAAGTGCTTGTTTATATAAAAGTGCAATAAACCTACAGAAAGTGAAACCATGCAACTTAAGGGAGATGGGGGAAGAGAGAGGGAGATACAGGGCTCTAGTGGTATCATTTGAGCCCCCGGTTCAAATCCTGTTGTACTGGTTACATGCTCTATCTTGTAACCAAGACTCCTGGCTGATACAGGGCTCCCCAAATGCTACTGTGCCAGTGTTGCTTTCTTTATCTAACTTATGTGTCATTCTCTGAAATAAAAGACAAATTTCAAATGGTAGTATTCGATTTAAATTTATATTTTCTAAAGAGAAAAGAAATCATTCATTTAGTTTTTTCTTAATTTATATAACAAGGACAATTTATTGTGTACTCCATTTTTTGAAGTGCAGCATTTCAGTAAAGACTAGGTATTGCATAGAAAAAAAAATAACAGGATTTGCAGACCATAGTTTCCCCCTAATTTTACTATATACTAGCTATATAAAGAAGAGGAAATCATTCTCTCTATATTGATTTGAAGAACAAAACTGGAGGCATCACACTGACTTCAAACTACGTTATGAGGCTACAGTAACCCAAACAACATGGTATTTGTAGAAAAACAGACACATAGACTGGAACAGAATCGAAAACTCAGAAATAAAGCCACAAACCTGCAAGCAGCTGATCTTCAACAGGGACAACAAAAAGGAACGGGGAAAGGATTTCCTATGCTCTAAATGGTGCTGGAATAACTGGCTAGCCATATGCGGAATAAATCTTTCACCACATATAAAAATTAACTCAAGATGGTTTAAAGATTTAATGTAAGACATCAAACTACAAAAATCCTAGACGGAAACCTAGGAAATGCCCTTCTATTCATCAGCCTTGGCAAATAATTTTTGACTAAGTCCCCAAAAACAATTGCAACAAAAACAAAAAGCAATAAGTGAGATCTAATTAAACTAAGGAGCCTCTGCACAACAAAAGAAACTATCAACAGATCAACAAAGTAAATAAACAACCTACAGAATGGGAGAAAATAATTGCAAACTGTGCATCTCACAAAGGTATAGTAATCAGAATCTGTAAGGAACTTAAACAAATTAACAATAAAAAAACCCCACAAATAACCCATTAAAATGGGCAAAGGACATGAATAGATTTCTCAAAAGAAGAATACAAGCAGCCAACAAACATGAAAAAATGCTCAACATCACTAATTGTCAGAGAAATGCAAATTAAAACAACCATGAAATGCTATTGCACACAGGTCAGAATGGCTTCTATCTAAAAGTCAAAAAACCAATAGATGACAGTGAGTAATTGCTCACGATTATGGCCTCCAACTGCATTCACATTGCTGCAAAGGACATGATTTTGTTCTTTTTTATGGCTGTGTACTATTTCATGCTACATATGTATCACATTTTCTTTATCCAATCCATCATTAGCGGGCACCTAAGCTGATTCCATGTCTTTGCTATTGTGAATAGCTCAGTGATGAATATAACTAGTGCATGTGTCTTTTGATGCCAGTGAGGCTGTGGATGCCAGTGAGGCTGTGGAGAAAAGGGGACACTTATACAGTCTTAGTGGGAATGTAAATTAGTTCAGCCACTATAGAAAGCAGTTTAGGTATTTCTCAAAGAAGTTAAAACAGAGTGACCATTTGACCCAGCAATTACATTACTGGGTATATGCCTGAAGAAAAAGATTATTATACCAAAAAGACACATGCACTAGTTATATTCATCACTGAGCTAGTCACGATAGCAAAGACATGGAATCAACTTAGGTGCCCGCCAATGATGGATTGGATAAAGAAAATGTGATACATATGTAGCATGAAATAGTACACAGCCATAAAAAAGAACAAAATCATGTCCTTTGCAGTAACATGAATGCAGCTGGAGGCCATAATCATAAGCAAATTTTTCAGGAACAGAAAACAAAAGACCACATGTTCTCACTTATTAAGTGTGAGCTAAATACTGAACACACATGGACATAAACATGGGAACAACTGACACTGCAGACTACAAGAGAGAGGAGAGAGGGAGGCATGGGTTGAAAAACTATTGAGTACTATGCTCACTACCTGGGTGCAATATACCCATGAAAGAAATCTGTACATATACCCCCATATTTAAAATAAAAGTTAAATAAATAAATAAATAAATAAATAACATAATATCTACCCAGTAAAGTCATAAGTTTCCTGTGCAGATGAAGTGACAGGTTGTTGTGTTTAAATCTCTTTGGAAATATTTGCAGTGTTATACATATACACCTATGTATACTTCAGAAGTTAAAATGTAACCCCTTAACTTTGGGAGGCCGAGGCGGGCGGATCACCAGGTCAGGAGATCGAGACCATCCTGGCTAACACGGTGAAACCCCGTCTCTACTAAAAATACAAAACATTAGCCGGGCGTGGTGGCGGGCGCCTGTGGTCCCAGCTACTCGGGAGGCTGAGGCAGGAGAATGGCGTGAACCCGGGAGGCGGAGCTTGCAGTGAGCCGAGATCGCGCCACTGCACTCCAGCCTGGGCGACAGAGCGAGACTCCGTCTCAAAAAAAAAAAAAAAAAAAAAAAAAAGGAACCCCTTAGGTTTTTAGATTTCTTCTCAAAGTTAATACCTAGAATATAACATCAAGGTTCATGAGGTCTCTAATTTCCATCTGAACAATGAAATTCAAAGAAGGGCTTCTATTCCGTTTGTGGGTTGCCATAGTTCAATATTAGTGAAGAGTCCAATTGAAGTAGCATAAGAAGAGTTGGTCTTACAGAATTTAGCCTCAGATTACAAGTAAGCAATTTTCTGCTCCTTGCAGGTTTTTAATTGTGATGAAATTTATTGCAGAGCAGAAGGATGGCTAGAAGTTAAGAAAATTATTTTTAAACTTTCAACTAATAGCATAGTTCTTTGAATTACCGATTTGTTGAAAATCAGACAATTTATTTAATCAAAGTACATATTTTCAGTACATTTTTTGCTTTAACAATCAAGTATACATTTAGATTATACTGATGAGTCAACAAACATTCAGCTTGATTATTCATGTAGTAACAGTTGTATTCTTATGTTCTTGAAATTCTGTGAGAGAGATATAAAATAACCAAATCTCATCACTGAAATGTTGATATGAATTAATTTAACATTAGATCCTTTTCTCTGCTTGTGCTTTACTTTGGTAATACTATGACACTCATATTTATACAACTGTTGGGTATTGTTATATCCAATGTTTTATCTGTTTGTTTCTACTACAAATTTTTGAGCTCCTAGGTGATATGGCTTATATTTTAATTACTATGTACTCCTAGTGCCTAAAACATAGCAGGTTCAATAACTGTTTGTTGAATGAATGAATGCAAAATATTGCTTATGGAGTACCTTCCTGGTTATAAAGAAGAACATCAAATTAGTTATTTGGTCTGCCCAAATATCAGTGTCACTAATGGTATGAAAATTCAAAAACAAAACAAAATAATGTTTTGAGGAAATCTTTTCCACTTTGAGGAAAAAGTGGAATTGGATTTCTTCTTAATGAAATATAGCAAAAAGAATTTTCATGTATTTTCCTGCTTTTAATGTTAACAAGGAATGCAATGGGACAGATACTTTAAAAAGTAATACTTTTTTCTTCTTATTTAAATAGGAACATATGTTCATTGTACATACTTTAGTAATTATATAAAAGGTGAGAAATTAAATGGAAAGTACCCCTTATATAACTATTCCAACAATAACTGATGACATTTGTTTGTAGTATTTTCACACACACACACACAGACACAGACACACACACACACACACACAAACACACACACAATAATATGCTCATTGATAAACCAGAATACCCCAGGCCTTGAGACATATTTCAAAGTCAAATTTTTTCTTCCTCATTCTTAGAATTCTGATTGTTATATATTTTTTTTAACTGTCAGGCATCCTGAGAAATAGTTAACATTGGGTCAGGAATGCCATAATATTAATTTGTGGGAAGGGAGAGACTCCCCAGTTTAGCCTCGAATCCAGTCTTCTACACGGAGTACTTTTAGTAGAGGTAGGATTTGCAGGGGAGGGTAGTTTTTGCAGTAAGTGGCCGAATTGCCTGGCCTGCCCAGGAAAGGGTGAAGCTCCCAATATTGCCGTTTTCAAATGATTGGAGGGGTTGTAAACTTCTGGCCTCTTCTTGCCTAGTTGAATTCTGGTCTCAGTAGAGTGGTAGAAAGGTGAATGTTATCACCAGGAAGACTTTCCGTAGGCAATTGAGTTCAGAGAGGGAGAGTAAGTAGATTTAGATTTACTTGTATCAGATTCCAGAGAGTTCCTGTACTTCTGATAAATGGCAAGAAATGAGCTAGTGGTAGACTGATTCATGGGCCAGTGTGAGGAAATACTAGATTTCTTCGGGTATATTTGGAGATTGGAAGCTCCTAAGAGGGGGGAAAATTACTTCCTGTTAAATGTTTTAAATGGAACAGAAAGGCTAATGGAACTTTATTTTGATCTTCTAATTGTAAAACCTTTTACATATTGAGGCTTTTGATATTTTTTACATAGTGAGGCTTTTGATATTTTTATTTGAAATAGGTGTTGAAAATACTCTTTCTAATTTTTTAATTGTCAGTCCTATGGAATTTTACAAAGATTTTATCTGGTATTAAAATAGTAGTATCTATTACTATTTTCTTTTACGGTTTCTTATTTTGCTTTTATACATTGAGAAACCATTGCAGCTTAATTTTTTCTTTCTTTTTTTAAACAAAATTATTTGTAAGTTATTAAGCTGTTTATCTAAATAAATGACAAAAAGGAGATACATTTTATTTTATCTCTAAATATAACTGAAACAAAGAGTTTTGTTTTCATAAAGCTTGTGAAATTCTCCCCATTTCCGGTTAGTGACTTATAAAGTAAAATTATAAAAAGTAAATTACGTATGCAATTTTCTCAAAAATTTAAATTATTTTACTGATAATATTGATTTCATCAAATCACCTCTTACAAACCTGAGGTATATTGATACCTATATCTCAGAGTAAATTCAGGACACATTGTAAATTTTTACCGCATTTTTCAAGTAGATGAGAATCATCATTAGTGTAGATATAAATGAGATCACGACATATCCAATAAAATAATCAAAGAAGGTTAAAATTTGAGCTTAATGATAATAAGCAAATATTGGACTTCTTGGAAAGAAATAAAAATGTATTGACTAAAAAGATAAATATCAATAATTTTATTCAAGTTAAAAAATTATACTTACTGTATAAAACAAAGTGCTACACAATAATTATTATTCAAAGTACAGAACATATCATTCTAGAGGGTGTGTGGGGGGGGTAGTAAACTCTCCTGTATCCAATAATTTTTACAAGAAGTTTTGAAATAAAAACAAATGTAATTCTTATATATAATCAATGTGTAAAGGATACTTTTTTTGTTGTTTTTTATGAGTCAGAGTCTCACTCTGTTGACCAGGCTGGATTGCAGTGATAGAGTCTCATCTCACTGCAACCTCCGCCTCTGGCATTCAAGCGATTCTCAGCCTCCTGAGTAGCTGGGATTACAGGCACATGCCACCATGCCCAGCTAATTTTTGTATTTTTTTGGTAGAGACGGGGTTTCACTGTGTTGGCCAGTCTGGTCTCGAACTCCTGGCCTAGAGTGATCTGCCCATCTTGGCCTCCAGAGTGCTGGGATTATAGGCATGAGCCACCACACCTGGCCAAGGATACATTTTTGAAGCTACAGTGATAACCAGGAATGAAGTATTAGAGTTGTAACCTCATTAATTAAACTGTACAATTTTTGTTTTTAAGAAAAGTGACCATTTGCTGGTCTAAAGGAATTGAAGTAAGACTTCATATCATTATGGCTAGTGAAAATACCAAGGAACTTTAAATGAGAGAAATACAATTAATTTTCTTATACGGTAGTAGATGTTGCCTGTAAAAACAGCTGAGCCTAACTGAAATGATTAGAGGTAACAAAAGAAATATATGCATTTGTAAATTATTTTCACCTATAAACAGTAAATTTCATTATATACCACTTATTATATGTATATTGTGATATTGTGATAAAAGTAGTATTTGCATTATCATGGAAATCTAACAATTTTCATTTTCACTGTCTCTTGACAGTAGTTTAATGTTTTAATATTTAATTCCCATTACAACTCCTCAACGCTCTTTCCAATTTCTGTCTCTTTCCTCAAAAATCCAAACGCCCTGTTTTCTCTCACTTTCTGTATATATTGTACATACACAATATATATACCGCTTTATGGATTCATCCACCTTTATGGATTTATCATAGCAAAAATGCCTGAAAATTCCTGAATTAATTGTATGTCCATTTAAAATTTTCTGTCTGTTTTCACTCATCCCATTTTTTAGCTTTAACATATGTATCTCTGCTATACTCCTTCTTACTCTCTTTCAGGAGATCTTGTTTTCAGCTCTATCCTCTCTTGCATCATTAGCTTTTATTTCTCTATGATCTTTTACAAAATGTCTGTGTGCCTGCTCCAGTCCCATTCTCCTAAATATCCTTTCTCTCTCATGGTTAAATTGCCATCAATCTCTTCCCTTGATTTCACTGTCAGACACATCCAAAGGGCAGTCTGTTGTTGTTTCCATTTCGATATATTTATAAACTAACAACATTTTTATTGAATTATAACATATGCAGAAATTTGAGTATGTGTTCAACGTGATGAATTTTTAAAAAGGGAGAGACCCATGTAACCAGCACCCAGAGAAATAAATAGGTATTTTCCAGCACCCCAGAAGCTCCCAACATGTCTTGCTCCTTTCACTACCCCTACCAAAGATAATCACTGTGTTGACATTAAATATCAGAATAATTTTGCCTGTTTCTGAGCATTTCGTAATAAGCAGAATTATACAGCATGTAGTCTTTTTTTGTCTAACTTCATTACTGAATGTGTTGTTGTGAGTAACTTGATTTATGTTCATTGTTCTATAAAACCCATATGAGAATATACCACAATGTTTTTAGCCATTCTATGGCGATGGGCATTTGGGTTGTTTTAACTTTTGGTTATTAAGAATAAAGCTGCTCGGGAGGCTGAAGCAGGAGAATCACTTGAACCCAGGAGGCAGAGGTTGCATTGAGCTCAGATTGTGCCACTGCACTCCAGCCTGGCGACAGAGCAAGACGCCATCTCAAAAAAGAAGGAGAGGGAGAGAGGGAGGGGGAGGGGGAGGGAGAATGCTGCTGCTAATCAAGACTAGCCTGGACAATATGGTGAAACCCCATCTCTATCAAAAATACAAAAAATGAGCCAGGCATGGTGGCCTGCGTCTGTGGTCCCAGCTACTTGGGAGGCTGAGGAAGTAGGGTCCCTTGAATCCAGGAGGCGGAGGTTGCAGTGAGCTGTGGTCCCGGTGGTTGCACCACTGCACTCCATCCTGGGCGACAGAGTGAGAACCTATCTCAAAAACAAAAACAGCAAAAAAAGAATAAAACTGCTAAGGACATTCATGTATATCTTTTGACGATCATGTTGATGCATTTCTGCTGCTTCATTTTTAAGTGTGCCTTTTGCTGGGTCATAAGGTTAGCATAAGGTCAACTTCAGTGGGTAACTGCAGAACAGTTTTTCAAAGTGGTTGCAACATTTTACTCTCCTATAAGCAGTATATGAATTCCTGTTGATCCACATTCTGACCAACATTTAGACATGTATTTTTAATTTCAGCTATTTGAGTGCATTTTTCTAACGGAAGATTTAAATTTTAAATGCCTTTTTTACATTTTAAATTTGTCTTTTTTTTAAAAGCCATTTTAGTTGTGGGTAGTAATGTCTTGGTGTGATTTTAATTTGCATTTCCATGATGATTTAATGAAGTCGAACACATTTCATGTTGATTGACCATTTGAATAACTCTTGTGTGAAGACTGTTCAGTATTTTGCTGTTTTTTTTCCTATTGAATTGTCTTCCTTTTTCTTAATGATTTGCAGTTCTTTTTAAAGTGTGGATATGAGTTGTTTGTTTGATATATTATTTTTTTCTACCATGTGGTTTTTTCACCTAATTCTCTTAATAGTGTCTTTTTTTTTTTTTTTTTTTTTTTTTTGAGACGGAGTCTCGCTCTGTCGCCCAGGCCAGACTGCAGACTGCAGTGGCGCAATCTCGGCTCACTGCAAGCTCCGCTTCCCGGGTTCACGCCATTCTCCTGCCTCAGCCTCCCGAGTAGCTGGGACTACAGGCGCCCGCCACCGCGCCCGGCTAATTTTTTGTATTTTTAGTAGAGACGGGGTTTCACCTTGTTAGCCAGGATGGTCTCGATCTCCTGACCTCATGATCCACCCGCCTCGGCCTCCCAAAGTGCTGGGATTACAGGCGTGAGCCACGGCGCCCGGCCAATAGTGTCTTTTAAGGAACAGAGACTTTTTACTTTTCATTTACTATTTTTTATTTCTCTTTTTATTTTTATTTGTATTTTCTATTATACTTCATGTTCTGGGATACATGTGCAGAACGTGCAGGTTTGTAAGAGAGGTATACATGTGCCATGGTGCTTTGCTGCACCCATCAACCCATCATCTACACTAGGAATTTCTCCTAATGCTTTCCCTCCCCTAGTCCCCCACCCCCCGACAGGGCCCAGTGTGTGATGTTTCCCTCCCTGTGTCCATGTGTTCTCATTGTTCAACTCCCACTTATGAGTGAGAATATGCAGTGCTTGGTTTTCTGTTACTGTGTTAGTTTGCTGAGAATGATGGTTTCCAGCTTTATCCATGTCCCTGCAAAGGACATCAACTCGTCCTTTTTTTATGGCTGCATAGTATTCCATGGTGTATATGTGCCACATTTTCTTTATCCAGTCTATCATTGATGTGCATTTGGGTTGATTCCAAGTCTTTGCTATTGTGAACAGTGCCACAATAAACATATGTGTGCATGGGTCTTTATAGTAGAATGATTTATAATCCTTTGGGTATATACCCAGTACTATTCCTTCTGAAACTATTCCAAACAATAGAAAAAGAGGGACTCCTCCCTAACTCATTTTACTTTTCATTTATGCTTCATAATATTTGCATCTTGTTTAAAATTTTTTTTTTCCTACCACAATCATGAAGATATTTGCTAGCATTTCATTCCTAAAGCTTTATTATCATGCCATTTACATGTAAATCTCTGACATTTTTTTTTGGTGTATTTTGTGATATATGATCAAGGTTTTTTTTTCTTTGAATGCCACATGCAGGGCAAATTAAAAAAATATTCCACAAAAACATCCAATTGGCTCAGACTATTTTTGAAAAAGAACATTCTTTCCTTACTGCCCTACAGTGTTAAGAATATCACTGTGGCAGGCAGCCTCCAAGATGGCTCTCCACAACCCCCTCCTTCAATATTCACATTCTTGTATAATGCCCTCCTAAATTGTGTCAGACTGAGTCGGAGGGACAAATAAGGTTTAGCAGAAATAATAGTATGTCTTTTCTCATATTAAGCTATGAAAGACTGTGCTTTCCATTTTGGGCACCCTCTCATTTGTTCTCTTTCTCTTACGGCATTTGCTGGAGGAAACCAGCTACTATGAAGGCTTATGAGAGACCCATGTGATAAAGAGCTGAAGCCTCCTACCGAATAAGACCTGAGTGAGGTTGGAAGTGTGTACTGCAGCCCTGAAGCTGTCAGCTTGACTGCAACCTCAAGAGAGACCCTAAGCCAGAACCACCCAGCTAAGCTGCTCCAGAATTTCCGACTTAAAGAAACTGTGTGAGATGATAAATGTATGCTTTATAAGCTGCCACATTTTGCAAAAATTTGTTAAGCAAATATATGACAACTACAATCACCAAATGACTATATGTTAGTTTATTTATGGACTCTCTTCTGCTCCATTGGTCTATTTTTTTCTCTCGTTGTATCGCCACTACACTGAATAATTATCATATTATTAAAATAAATCTCTTTATCTGATAATGTAAGTACTCAGATGTTGTTGTTCTCCCAGATTGCCTTTGGTATTCCTGCCCTTTTAAATTTTCATACGGATTTTAGAAGCAGCTCATCAATTTTCATATACTCACAAATACACACACACACACACAGAAACAAGATATCTGCAGTGACTTTGATAGGGATTTAATTGAATCGATGGATTAATTGGGCAGAATTGACACATTTAAAACGCTAAGTAGTCTAAATCATTAACATCCCTCAGTTTAATTAGGTCTTTAAAAAATATCTACCAATATTGCTTAGTGCTATAAATTGTAGAAATCTTATTCGTTTAAAAAGTTTTAAAATTCTATTGAAATAAAAATACGTCAACTTTTTTTCTAACTTTTTGGCTGTTACATAGAAATACAAGTATATTCTATTACCTCATGTCAGTTATTATTATAATTCTAATAGTTTTTCTTGTAAATTCCTTTGAGTTTTCTATATATACAATCACATTGTCTACCAAAAAAAGTGACAATTTTATTTCTTCCTTTCAAATTCATATTTTTTATGCCACTGTCCAGGACCTTGGTTCAATTTGTAAAAGAGGTGTTATACTGCACATAGGTTTATTTCTCTTTATCTCTATTATTTTCAATATCCAAGGGAAATATTTTAACTCATCAATATATGATGTTTGATGTAGTTTTTTTCTTTGGTCAATATCCTTTATCATATCAAAGACATTGCCTTTTATTCTCCTATGAGTTCTTAATCATGAATAGATGATATTCATTTTTGTCAAGTAATTTTTCTGTATCTATTGAAATATTCACGTTTCATTCTTTTTCTGTTCCTGTTTATAGTGATGAATTTCAATGGTTGACTTGCTTATAATTTTATATTTTTCAAACATTTTTATAAAAGAAAATTCAATCATACAAATAAGTCAAAAGAATTTTACAAGGAACACCCATATTCCTACCACCTACATTTTATAATTAAGATGATCCTATAATTGCTTCATCACATAACTATCCCTCTATCCATTCATCACTCCATCATTTGAGAAGACGATTCCTGAGACCGGGCATGGTGACTCACGCCTGTAATCCCAGCACTTTGGGAGGCCAAGGCAGGCAGATCACTAGAGGTCAAGAGTTCGAGACCAGCCTGGCCAACGCAATGAAACCCCACCTCTACTAAAAATACAAAAGGTACCCCGGTATGGTGACAGGCACCTGTAATCCCAGCTACTGGGGAGGCTGGGGCACGAGAATCACTTGAACCCAGGAGGCGGAGGTTGCAGTGAGCTGAGATTGCAGCACTGAATTCTAGCCTGGGTGACAGAGCCAGACTCAGTCTCAAACAAAAACAAAAACAAAAATGAAAACATAAACAAAAAAAAAAAGGAAAAGAAAAGAAAATGATTACTGAATGTTCAACCAATCCTGGACTAAATTCCACTTGGTTTAATGTGTTATCACTTCTTATATTTCCGGAGTAATTTACCATTATTTTGTTAGGCATTTGCACCTACGTTTGGAAATCACTTCTACGTTTATTTTGTCTGTAATATTCTTGTGAGGTTTTGTGACTTAAGATATGTTAACCTCATGAAATGAGTTCTCCAGTGTTCCCTTTTCTTTGAAAAGAATATATAGATTCTCTGATAAGAATATATAGATTCTCGGATAAGAATATATAGATTCTCGGATAAGAATATATTCTCTGATAAGGATATACAGATTGGTGGTACTTTAAAAAAAAACATTTGAGGGGAAATTCAGTGATATAATTAGCTGGCATTGGAGTTTTTATGGGGAAGTTTTATAATAATGAACTCAATTTATTTAATAAACATAACTACTTAGGATTTCTTTTTCAGTTTAAGTAGGTTGTGTTTTTCAAAAAATTTGTCTTTCTCTAAATTTTCAGCTTTAATGGGATAAAGTTATTCATAATATCTTTCTATTGAGATTTTAATGTCTGTGGTATCATTAGTGATGTCACATTTTTCTTTTTTGTATTCATAATCTGTGGTTTCTTTTGACAACACTTGGCTTTGTTTTGTTTCATTGCCCTTTTGTTTTCTGTGTTTTTTTTTTTATTTATTCTCTACCTTTATTTCCTTCTTTTAGTTTCTTAGGTTTGATTTTCTATTTGTTATCTTTAATCTTAAGTTTCATTTCTAATAAGTGTATTTAAAACTAAAAATTTTCCTCTAAGCACTGCTTTAGATATATTCTACAAATTTTGCCATAAGAGATTATGATTATCCAGTCCAAAACATTACTTACTTCTTTTGTAATTTCTACTGTGAAAAATGGGCTGATTTCTGTGATTAATAAAGTAAACTGAATAATTTTATATTTGTTAGGTTTGTTTTATGACCCATACTATTATCAGTTTGATGAATGTTCCATGAACACCTCAAAAAAATTAATATATTGTTATTTGTTGATAAAACATTATTTAATATAATTAGTTCTAGTTTAGTAAATATAAAATTGTACTGTTAGAAATTATACAATTTCATTTTTTCCAGCTTTCCCTGGAAGTAGTGTTTAACATCTGTCTCTCTGATTGTGAATTTGTCTTGTCCTCCTTTTAATTTTTTCATTTTTGCTTTATTTATTTTGAAGTGATATTATTGGATACAGGCAGATTTAGAACTGTTAAATATTTCCAATAGAATGATCTCTTTGCCATTTCAAATATTTTCTTTTATCTTTAATAATACTTCTTTACTTGGAGTTTTCTTTAATGTTACCATAGTTTCAACTGTTTGGTTTATTTTTCTGTGTTCTTGTTGTTAATATTTGCAGAGTATCTTTTTTCACCCTTTTATTTTCCATCTTTATATGCTTTATATTTAAGGTATGTTTCAGGTAAGTGGAAAATTGACACTTTTTTTCCTTTTAATTGAACTATTTTATTTTTAACTGAATTAACAATGGTGTGTTGGTTTATATCTACCATCAAACTGTTTGTTTGCTATTTGACCCACAGTTTGGAGTTTCATTTTTCTTCCATTTCTTTTTACATATTAATCAATGTATTTTATTGTTCCATATAGTTCAATTAGATTAGTTACATCAAAAGTGTTTTTGTATGTTAACATTAGGGATTGCAGTATGCATCCTCAATTTATTACGTTCTGATACAAATTATTATGTTCCACTTGCTCAATACACTAGTTCCTTAGAACCATTTACTTCTACTCATTCTCCTCCTGCTTTTGCACGATTGTTGTCAAATACAAACTTTGACTTATATTTTAGTTTCCACAGGTTATTACTGTTACTGTTTTGTATTGTCATTTCTTATTTTACATTATTTACATATTTACTCTTTCCATTAAACTCCATTTCTTTCTGAATTTATGTGTTTTCTTCTGAGTTCATTTTCACTCTGCTTTCAGTATTTGTTTTATTAAAACTATGCTAAAAACAAAATTTCTAGGGGTTTTCAGTCTGAAAACATATTTATTTTTCTACCATTATTAGAACTATGTTTTCAGTAGACATAGGTATCTTTCTAAAATTTTATTGTATATACTAAGGTGTACAATATGATATACTGATATACATATGTATATAGAGAGAAAGGTTACTACAGTCAAGCATGTTAACATAGCCATCATCTCACATAGCCATATATGTATGTGTGTGTGTGTGTGTGTGTGTGTGTGTGTGTATAGTGGTAACAGCACCTAAAATCTTCTTTCTTAACATATTTCTAGTAGACAATAGTATTAACTATAGTTCTATTCTGTACATTAGAGCTCTAGACTTATTCATCCTAAAGAACTGCAACTCTATACTCTTTTTATCTGTATCTCTCCATCTCCCTGCCCCCTACTCTGGTAACTACTGTTTTTTCTATTTTTGTGTACTCAACTTTTTGATATTGTCATTGCATATTGCAGTATCTTCATCCTTTTTGAGGACTAATAATATTTCATCATATTTATAAACCACAATTTCTTTATCCATTCACCCATCAACAGATACTTAGGTTGTTTCCATATCTTGGCTACTGTGAATAATGCTGCAATAAAAATGAGAATATCTTTGGTGAGATATCCAGTGAAAGGGATATTGGGTAAAATGTTAGCTCTGTTTTTAATGTTTTGAGGAACTTCCATACTGTTTTTCATAGTGTCTGAAATAATTTACATTGCCATGAGTAATGCACAAGGGATCTTTTTTTCTCCACATCCCTGTCATCACTTGTTATCTCTTCTCATTTTGACAATAAGTACCCTAACAGGTCCAAGGGAATTTGTTCCCAAGGTTTTGATTTGCTTTTTCTTGGTGATTATTGATGTTGAGCCCTTTTCATATACTTGTTGGTCATTTCTATGACTTCTTCGGAGAAATGTTTATTCAGCTCCTTGGTGCATTTTTAAATTGGGTTATTTATTTATTTCACTATTGAGTTATGTGAATTTCTTATATATTTTGGATATTAACCTTCTATCAGATATATGGTTCAAACGTATTTTCTCCCAATCCACAGACACCCTTTTCATTTTCTTGGCTGTTTCCTTTGCTGTGCAGAAGCTTTTTAGTTTGATGTAGTCCCACTTCCTTTTCTGTTTTTGTGGCCTGGTCTTTTGGTGTGATATCAAAAACAATCATTGCCAAAGCCAACATCAAGGAGCTTTTTCCCTGTGTTTTCCTCAAGGAATTTTATAGTTTCATGTGTTATGTTTAGGTCTTTAATCCATTTTTAGTCTAACTTTGTGTATAGTGTAAGATAAAGGCCCAGATATGAACAGACACTTCTCAAAAGAAGACATTTATGCAGCCAACAGACACATGAAAAATGGTCATCACCACTGGCCATCAGAGAAATGCAAATCAAAACCACAATGAGATAGCATCTCACACCAGTTAGAATGGCGATCATTAAAAAGTCAGGAAACAACAGGTGCTGGAGAGGATGTGGAGAAATAGGAACACTTTTACACTGTTGGTGGGACTGTAAACTAGTTCAACCATTGTGGAAGACATTGTGGCAATTCCTCAAGGATCTAGAACTAGAAATACCATTTAACCCACCCATCCCATTACTGGGTATATACCCAAAGGATTATAAATCATGCTGCTATAAAGATACATGCACACGTATGTTTAGTGCGGCACTGTTCACGATAGCAAAGACTTGGAACCAACCCAAATGTCCATCAATGATAGGCTGGATTAAGAAAATGTGGCACATATACACCATGGAATACTATGCAGCCATGAAAAAGGATGAGTTCATGTCCTTTGTAGGGACGTGGATGAAGCTGCAAACCATCATTCTCAGCAATCTATCGCAAGGACAAAAAAACCAAACACTGCATATTCTCACGCATAGGTGGGAATTGAACAATGAGAACACTTGGACACAGGAAGAGGAACATCACACACCGGGGCCTGTCCTGGGACTGGGGGAGAGGGGAGGGATAGCATTAGGAGATATACCTAATGTAAATGACAAGTTAATGGGTGCAGCATACCAACATGGCGCATGTATACATGTGTAACAAACCTGCACGTTGTGCACATGTACCCTAGAGCTTAAAGTATAGTAAAAAAAAAAAGTCATATTAGACTTTAAAAAGAAAAAAAAGATAAAGGCCCAATTTTATTCTTTTGTACATGAATATCCAGTTTTTTAACACCATGTCTTGAAGAGACTATATATTTTCAAACAACAGAAGTAGAGGGAATACTTCCAATTTCATTCTATAATGGCCTGATACCTGAATTCTATGATATTCATTCCTGATACCAAATCCAGACAAAACACCACAAGATAAGAAAATTGTATGTCAATACCTTTGATGACTACAGTTGCAAAAATTTTCAATAAAAAGCAGCAAACTGAATTAAGCAGATGTTTATCAAAAAGATTAAACATTATGTCAAGTTGAATTCATCCCTAAGATGCAAGGTTGTTTTAATATATGCCAATCAATCAATGTGATACATCCTATTAACAGAATGTAAGATTAAAACCACTTAATCATCTCAATAAATACATGAAAATAATTTGACAAACGTCAATGACCTTTCTTGAAAAAAACTCTCAGCAATTTAGGTATAGAAGGAAATTTCCTCAATATAGCAAAGACCATTTATAAAAAGTGTACAACTAACATCACAACTAATGGGGAAAAACTAAAAACTTTTCCCCTAAGATCAGGTACAAGGCAAGGATGGCCAATCTCACAATTTCCATTCAACATAGTACTAGAAGTACTAGTAAGAACAATCAGGCAAGGAAAGAAATAAAGGGCATCCAGATAGGAGAGGAAGAAGTAAAATTTTTCTTATTTACAGATAGCCTGATCCTATAAGTAGAAAACTCTAAAGACTCCTCCTACATACACACAAAAACTCATTAAAACTAATAAATAAATATGGTAAAGTTGCAGTCTACAAAATCGACAAGCAAAAATCATTTACATTTCTTTACATCATTAATGACCTATCTGAAAGAAAATTAAGTGTGCATATATCAATTTGATTTTTTTCAGCCCTCTTGATATATTATTCAATTTGGTCTACTCCTGTCAAAAAATACAAAACAAAACAAACAGACAAAGAGAGAATAGCAAAAATCATTGACAAAATGCATCCCACTTTAATCTACCTTTCTCTGTTTCATAATCTTCCTTTATTCTTCTCTTTCACCAAACTATTATCTCATTCCCAAAGACATCTTCTCTATCCTTGCCTTTGCACCTTCGCTCACACTCCTTCCTTCACCTGCTAAAACCTTTATCAACATCTCTTCTTGACAAATTAGTATCCATATTTTTTTCCGATAATATTGTCTTTTATTTTATTTATTTATTTTTTTTGAGACGGAGTCTCTCACTGTCACCCGGGTTGGAGTGCAATGGTGCGATCTTGGCTCACTGCAACCTCTGCCTCCCAGGTTCACGCAATTTTTCTGCCTCAGCCTCCCAAGTAGCTGGGATTACAGGTGCACACCACCACCTGGCTAATTTTTTGTATTTTTAGTAGAGACAGGGTTTCACTATGTTGGCCAGACCAGTCTTGAACTTCTGACCTCGTGACCCACCCACCTTGGCATCCCAAAGTGCTGGGATTACAGGTGTGAGCCACTGTGCCTGGCCAATATTCTCCTTTTATATATAGAATTCTTGTTTCCCTTTAAAAGTGATTTGGGTGAAATGTCAATCAAGGTAATTGATCTTATTTTCCCCAAAGATGATAACATAATCCAATCAAGTTCAAATAGATATTGTTGTCCTCACGGCATATAAATTTTGAGTTTAGTTGCCCAAAGAATGAGAATGATTATGGTTGATTCTCCCCCATGATGATACATTATAGAAATACTGTAATTGTCCTTGTTACCTTGTTCTTCTCTACTTATTTTTAAAACTGATTCTTTTTTATGTTACCTAGAAAAGTAAAAGGAATACATATTGCATTAGTGAGACTAAATATATTATTTAATTAAATGCTGGATATACCTATAGTTTCTGTAAGAGAACAACCAAGAAGTTGAGTAGGGTTAAATCCATGACATTTGAAGAGTAGACAAAAGAAGACTTAGGATACCAAGATCAAAACCTAAAACTACTGTGTTCTAAAAAGGGGTTCTCTTCTGCAAGTTTATAGACTCCATCCAAAGATAAAAGAAACAGTGATGGAATATAGGATTTTTAATAAATATATTTATTTATTTTGTCATGAAGACAAATGTAAGGTTTCTGAACTTGAGGCAGACTATTATTGTTACTTACAACAATAACTGTATTGGCTCCCCATACTCCATTCTCTTCTTTAGGGTAATGTAATGAGAACCAGATGGCTAGCCATGTGTTTATGAATGAGTATCTACCATAGAAAAGGAACCACAACATTATGAGTCTGGAGTTTATATGAAAACGGCTATAGACCTACTCTCCCCTATTCATTAGAGTGGAAGAGAAAACTAATCTCCCTAATGTAAACAAATATTATTTCTAAAGAAAAATAAATACCTAATTTATGACTCTTTAGAATATAGATGACTGACCTCTGGTTTTATTAAATTTTAAAGTATAAACTTATGGTTTTTGGAGATGAGGAACCTCTACATATTTCCAGAGGTTTCTATTTATTCAATAGTCTGTTAAGTTCAAAATCTTGTTCTTTAGCTGAGATGCCAGTTTTTTATGTTCAGAGAAATCTAACCATGCAGAAACATGAAAATGCTTTCTCTGCAGTTGAGCAAAGAGTCGCTGCTATTTTGCCATAAATAAAAAATTAAATTTAGTTAGAGGTTGGCTGAAGAGAGAATAGGCTGTCTTATGACATAATGAATTATCTATTACAATACTCATTTAAGCATATGGTCAAGTTGACCATTTAGAAGAGGTGTTACAATGGGGATTTAAGCATTCAACAAGTCGTTAGACTAGATGGCTGTAACATCCAGACATGGCAGGAAACAGATGGCACACTTAAATAGGGATATAGAAAACAGCTTAATGAATGAATTTTTCGTAAAGCATGGTATGATGAAGGGAAGCTAAAAGAAGACAGTGGAGCATCCTGGGACTAGGAACAACGGGAACTATTACCACCCTAAAGTTGAAGATATAAGGGGAGTGAGTGATTGCCAAAACTCAGAGAGCTCAGTCACTTCCTCTGTGGGAAGGGCCGCAAAACAGGAACTAGGATGTTAGATGAAGAATACAGCCATTGCAACCTCCTGTGGCCTGGTAGGTAGGATGCTGGGGAAATAAATATTTTGACATCTCTTTGATGTCACTTCTACTACCCAACCTCAGTCTTCTGCTGGTACCTTCCATTTGTCAAATCCAACAGGAAAATAGAATGCAAGAGAATCCAGTTGACACTAGCCACAGAGGTCATTCACTCAGTGCACACATCCTTATGGCAAGAAGGCATCTAATACCTAGCCCAGACACTTAAAAGTACATGTGAACTTACATGAAACCCAAAAGTCTCTGATTCTGTGAAACGCTTATCCTATTCAATTCTTTTAAGAAAAGTCACACAGCATGAAGGAAACACTTAAGGGCATAAATGAACAGTTCCTGTATAGAAACAGATAAGTTTAAGTCAGGCATTAAATAAAAATCGACATAACTTGATGTCAAGGGTTAAATGAGCCTCCACTAACGGAGAAAACTAAGCTTTACTTGCTCCTGGTTTTTTTTTTTTTTGACCCATGTACATTATCCTGAAATCACCAGGCTAGACCATGAGCCAATTTGCTTTCAAATCTTTTCTTCTTTCAGGCAGACACTGTAAGAGTCAAGGATCTGTACCATCTGGGCCAGATGAAAGGAGACCCAGTGCTGGGTGCCAATAGCATACTGATTACACTACGTTATGAAACATCTCACTCTTTCCCTGTGAGGCTTCACTGAAAAGACTTCACAGACAGTACCATATGTCAGTGAGAGCTGCAGTATCTAGTCAAGAGTTGGGAGAAGCAAGTGTTAAAGCTACTAATTCCTTGTGTTTTAGTTTCAAATCTGTACTCTACAAGTAATAGGGAGAGTTGAAATAAAAATGCTTTTATCTGTCACTTTTCATATCATTTAAAATTTTGACCGGCAGTCGATAGTAATGGAATCAAGATATTCAAAGCAATTTTATGCTTCCTTCTGTCATAAATTAAAATGTTTCATTAACTAAACAAATTCTCAATGGCATAAATCAACCCACACTAAGTAAATCATAGTGAGAACCAAATTGTAATTCCATAAAAGTGATTAAGTGCTGGCATGATACAGTGATATATATCATCTGCAGTAGAGACTGATTATTCAGTATCTGTATGTTCTATTTTAGACTGGCTAATTTCCTACATGTTAGGTATTTTCCTTGGAAATATTTAAGGAAAAACTACATATCACATGAAATTTTATATTTTGGTTTTATTTTGGAATGTTTCTTGTCAGAGCTTCTTCATTACAGTATACTTTGAAATATGGCTAATGGGTGCTTCACAAATTTGAAAACCTATACTGTAAAATATATTTACCCTAGGATGGAAATGACCTTGTCAGTAGAGTCAAATATTTCTGAAGTACAAGATTTATTCTTTCTGATGTTATGAACAATAGATTGCTTTCAATTATTCCTTTTAGAAATTCTTTTTTCGTCATCTGAATGAAGCATGGAAATTTAAAGATTGTATTTAATAGCTTTTGAGACATATTGATGTAATTATTATATGGATATAAAACAAATCAAATAATTATAAACAACTTACTTGTGCAATGCTCTGAGGATGTTTAGTTCTGATGTACTCGGACAACCCCACCACATAAAGCTACTACAACAACCTCTAATCTTGCTTCCATGTTTAACATCAACATGCTATTCTTCACAGAACAATGAAAGCAATCAAGTAAAAAACGCGAATCAGGTCATAGTACTCACCAGCTCAAAACCTTCTAATGATGGTCCATCAAAATTAACACAGACACAGAATCTTCACAATTTCCCCAAGACCCTTCATCATTTTGTCACTACTCCAGTCTCATGCTTTCCTACTGTTTCAGCTCATTGTGCTTCTTTTATGCAATCTTCGTAGCTGTTTTTCAAACCCATCAAAATGGCCCTCATAACCCTTACCCAACCCAACTCACGCTTGATATGTGCTTCTTTCTCACAGATATTCACATTGCTATCTCCCCTATCCCACTGCAATTTCTGTTGAAATATCATCTTCTTAGACAGTTCTTAACCATCTTGCCTAAATTATTAGCCTCCATCACACCTGATATCTAAATACCCTTACCAAGCTTCTTCACTTTTATGTGTTTTATGGGTAGTTTCATATATATATGTATGTATGTATATATGTGTGTATGTGTGTGTGTATGTTTATGTATATGTACATGTATGCAGAATTATATACAATTTGTTTAGTATCTGTCTCCACTCTTGGGATATAAGTTCTATGTAAGCATTTTTATTTACTCATGGCATAAATGGGGTCATTCACTTAACAAGAGTTCACTAAATTTTTATAGAATTAATACATATAAACCTTTGAATTACATATACTGACAAGATAGTCTATTTTGTTATATTCCAATAGATGTCATTTGTAAGATAATATCACTAACTGGGAGTTAATGACAGTTGGATCTTTATTCTGAAATACATGATATAGCTCAGTGCTTATACCTGGGCAACTGAGGCTCCTGTTCTAAGACTCAGGCCTCAATGGACTCTGCACTTCAGAGAGACTCCTTCAAAGTTTTCAAAAAATCCTTTTAAGATCTGAGCTTGTGGCCAGCAGTGCCAAGTAGTTGGGGTGCCCCAGGCTAAACCTAGGTGTACTGATCATTAGTGCCCTTTGATGCTTGAGACTAGCCATCTAGGAAGCCCAGTCAGAAATCTGCATGGGCCCTAATTACCATCTCTTATCATTGGGTTGTTTTCTATCTCTTAACCACTCCCAACCCCTACATGTGGCATTGACCCAATGTCTTAAGGAGCCCTGGCACTTCAGCTTATGAGGTTGTCCCCGGGCCCTGTGGGTTAGGTCCTATTTCTATGACGATGGCCAAGCAAGAAGTGTTACTTTTGTAGAAATGTGTAAAACTGAACTTCCATAATATTGCTGATCCAGTCTCCTTTGGTCACATTCTCGTTTTAAGCTCAGAACATATTCAGAGGTATGAGATACCAACATGGGACTGCCAACCTTTGAGATTGAGCTGTTGTGTGGGCTGTTGGGTTGGTTCTCAGATCTCTGTGTTCCAGATGTAGTGCTACCTCCACACTTGTATTTTAGAGTAGTAGAGGTGACAGCAAGCATAATTTGTCCTGTGGCATCTCTGTAATTCTAGTAACAGGGCATCACCTATCCCCCTTCACAAACACCTCCCTCCTCTAAAACTTCTGAGACCTTTGCTTCATACAACATAGGTTTCTTTTATTTATTTATTTATTTATTTTTGCAGTTCTTTTTTGCCTTAGGCCAAGGTGATGACATCATGATCTCCTAGGTTGGTCTCAAGCCATGCTGGATGAGGGATGGGTATTTTTTGCTTGAATTTTACCACTCTTCTCATTTTGCCTGTGGGCTCCTTGCCTATGCTGATTGCAGTTTATGGAAGGCAGGTACAGTCAAGGTTGGAAGTGATCACATTCTAGCAATGCAGTCATCATCAGGACCCAAAGAATGAACTCAAGAAATGACAAAGTTGAAAAATGTTTTGGTTTAACTTTATTCTATAATGTTCAGAGCAGCGAATTCATATGATTAATGAATGCATTGTCTTTCACATTTTCCTGCATTGTCTGGGAAATATTCGCATTTGTGGCCGTGAGAAAAGCATAGAAACAACTTTTGAAAGAGTCATTGGAACCCGCTATTCACCCATGTTACAAGGAATGATGCAAAGTCATGAGTAATGATGTAGCCATCATTAAGTAAAAGGATTTAGGGAACTTCAGAGTTAGAGTACTGAAGATGACCTAGTTTGGATTGAGAAAATTCATGGAGCATCATGGTGAAGGTAGTAGTTCTGGAAAAGCTACTGGAGATAAGACAGGTACTAAAGCTGAACCAGCTGATGGGTACGAACCACTATTCCAAGAATCTGTTTAAAATTCAGACTTTTAGTCATGATAAATTAAAATTATCTTTGTGATAAAACATCCATGTTGTTTTAATAGAGATGGATTCTAAAGAGTCATGGATTGTGAACATTAACAACTTTGCTACCATTTTCTTATGGTGGGATATATGTACTTAGCTAGAAATAGCATATTTGATTATAAAGCACATGGACACATGATCTCTTGATATCAAAGGAAAGAGATGATAACTTGGCCCTGCAAAGTGTTTTCAGGTTCAATGTTGGAACACCAAATAAATATGTGCATATCTCACCTTTTACTCATAATTCTAAGTCTTTATATATAAGTTAGTATGCTTCATGTAGGCTAATGGATTTAATAATGTGTTTTTAAATCATTTTGTTTGTATAGACAAGGTCCTTTAAATATTTTCAGGGTCCCCTAAACTGTAGGGACATCCTTGGTGCCAAACTCTGCCTTTAAAATTAAAATAGATATGCTAAGCACTGTATCCCTCTTTAATGATAAGATGTACAAGGTACAATAACTTGATCTTTACCTTAAAGGGTAAGTGCAAGACCACTGGGACACTATAAACTTCACCAATTTACCAGGGCCCTAAAAATCTGTAGGATTTTTTTCTTAAACTCGGGCAGTATGTGTCTTACATGAGTATTAGGTTTACTTGCCACCTACTTTTCATAGGTCTTATTAGAATTATGACATCAATATACTGCACCAACATAATCTTCTGCAGACGTCAAAACCATCATGCTGCTAGATGGGCAGTTCCAAGATGGCCAAATAGGAACAGCTCCAGGCTACAGCTCCCAGTGTGAGCAACGCAGAAGACAGGTGATTTCTGCATTTCCAACTGAGGTACTGGGTTCATCTCACTGGGGCTTGTTGGACAGTGGGTGCAGGACAGTGGGTGCAGCCCACCGAGAATGAGCTGAAGCAGGGCAAGGCATTGTCTCACCCAAGAAGCGCAAGGGGTCAGGGAATTCCCTTTCCTAGCCAAGGGAAGCTGTGACACACAGCACCTGGAAAATTGGGTCACTCCCACCCTAATACTGGGCTTTTCCAATGGTATTAGCAAACAGCACACCAGGAGATTATATCACGTGCCTGGCTCAGAGGGTCCCATGCCCAGGGAGCCTTGCTCATTGCTAGCACAGCAGTCTGAGATCGAACTGCAAGGCAGCAGTGAGGCTGGGGGAGGGGCGCCCACCATTGCTGAGGCTTGAGTAGTTAAACAAAGAGGCCAAGAAGCTCTGAGTGGAGCCCACTGCAGCTCAAGGAGGCCTGCCTGCCTCTGTAGACTCCATCTTTGGGGACAGGGTATAGCCGAACAAAAGGCAGCAAACCTCACAGACTTACATGTCCCTGTTTGACAGCTTTGAAGAGAGTAGTGGTTCTCCCAGCATGGAGTTTGAGATCTGAGAACAGACAGACTGCCTCCTCAAGTGGGTCCCTGACCCCTGAGTAGCCTAACTGGGAGGCACCCCCAAGTAGGGGCAGACTGACACACCACACCACATGGCCGGGTACTGCTCTGAGACGAAGCTTCCAGAGGAACGATCAGGCAGCAACATTTGCTGTTCAGTAATATTCGCTGTTCTGCAGCCTCTGCTGCTGATACCCAGGCAAACAGGGTCTGGAGTGGACCTCCAGCAAACTCCAACAGACCTGCAGCTGAGGGTCCTGACTGTTAGAAGGAAAACTGACAAACAGAAAGGAAATCCACACAAAAACCCCATCTGTATGTCACCATCATCAAAGACCAAAGGTACATAAAAACACAAAGATGGGGAAAAAACAGAGCAGAAAAGCTGAAAATTCTAAAAATCACAGCGCCTCCCCACTTTCAAAGGAATGCAGCTCCTTGCCAGCAATGGAACAAAGCTGGATGGAGAATGACTTTGACGAGTTGAGAGAAGAAGGCTTCAGACGATCAAACTTCTCCGAGATAAAGGAGGAAGTTCGAACCCATTGCAAAGAAGCTAAAAACTTTAAAAAAAGATTAGACGAATTGCTAACTAGAATAACCAATGTAGAGAAGGCCTTAAATGACCTAATGGAGCTGAAAACCATGGGACGAGAACTACATGACAAATGCACAAGCTTCAGTAGCCAATTAGATCAGCTGGAAGAAAGGGTATGAGTGATTGAAGATCAAATGAATGAAGTGAAGTGAGAAGAGAAGTTTAGAGTAAAAAGAGTAAAAAGAAATGAACAAAGCCTCCAAGAAATATGAGACTATGTGAAAAGACCAAATCTACGTCTGATTGGTGTACCTGAAAGTGACGGGGAGAATTGAACCAACTTGGAAAACACTCTGCAGGATATTGTCCAGGAGAACTTCCCCAATCTAGCAAGGCAGGCCAACATTCAGATTCAGGAAATACAGAGAACACAACAAGGATACTCCTTGAGAAGGGCAACTCCAAGACACATAATTGTCAGATTCACCAAATTGACATGAAGGAAAAAATGTACAGGGCAGCCAGAAAGAAAGGTCGGGTTACCCTCAAAGGGAAGCCCATCAGACTAACAGCGGATCTCTCAGCAGAAACTCTACAAGCCAGAAGAGAGTGGGGGCCAATATTCAACATACATAAAGAGAAGAATTTTCAACACAGAATTTCATATCCAGGCAAACTAAACTTCATAGTGAAGGAGAAATAAAATCCTTTATAGACAAGTAAATGCTGAGAGAGATTTTGTCACCACCAGGCCTGCCCTACAAGAGCTCCTGAAGGAAGCACTAAACATGGAAAGGAACAACCGGTACCGGACACTGCAAAAACATGCCAAATTGCAAAGACCATCGAGGCTAGGAAGAAACTGCATCAACTGATGAGCAAAATAACCAGCTAACATCATAATGACAGGATCAAATTCACACATAACAATATTAACCTTAAATGTAAATGGGCTAAATGCTCCAGTAAAAAGACACAGACTGGCAAGTTAGATAAAGAGTCAAGACCCATCAGTGTGCTGTATTCAGGAAACCCATCTCACATGCAGAGACACACATAGGCTCAGAATAAAGGGATGGAGGAAGATCTACCAAGCAAATGGAAAACAAAAAAAGGCAGGGGTTGCAATCCTAGTCTCTGATAAAAACAGACTTTAAACCAACAAAGATCAAAAGAGACAAGGAAGGCCATTACATAATGCTAAAGGGATCAATTCAACAAGAAGAGCTAACTATCTTAAATATATATGCACCCAATACAAGAGCACCCAGATTCATAAAGCAAGTCCTTAGAGACCTACAAAGAGACTTAGACTCCCACACAATAATAATGGGAGATTTTAACACCCCACTGTCAACATTAGACAGATCAATGAGACAGAAAGTTAAAAAGGATATCCAGGAATTTAACTCAGCTCTGCACCAAGTGGACCTAATAGACATCTACAGAACTCTCCACCCCAAATCAACAGAATATACATTCTTCTCAGCACCACATCGAACTTATTCCAAAATTGAC
Organism: Homo sapiens; assembly: GCF_000001405.40. NCBI lineage: Eukaryota > Metazoa > Chordata > Mammalia > Primates > Hominidae > Homo > Homo sapiens. The sequence goes on from NC_000009.12 coordinate 10,781,006, forward strand.
CACATAGTTGGAAGTAAAGCACTCCTCAGCAAATGTAAAAGAACACAAATTATAAAGAACTGTCTCTCAGACCACAGTACAATCAAACTAGAACTCAGGATTAAGAAACTCTCTCAAAACCGCTCAACTACGTGGAAACTGAACAACCTGCTCCTAAATGACTACTGGGTACATAATAAAATGAAGGCAGAAATAAAGATGTTCTTTGAAACCAATAGGAACAAAGACACAAAATACCAGAATCTTTGGGACACATTCAAAGCAGTGTGTAGAGGGAAATTTACAGCACTAAATGTCCGCAAGAGAAAGAAGGAAAGATCTAAAATTGACACCCTAACATCACAATTAAAAAAACTAGACTAGCAAGGGCAAACACATCAAAAGCTAGCAGAAAGCAAGAAATAATGAAGATCAGAGGAGAACTGAAGGAGATGGAGACAGAAAAAAACCCTTCAAAAAAATCAATGAATCCAGGAGCTGGTTTTTTGAAGAGATCAACAAAATTGATAGACCACTAGCAAGACTAATAAAGAAGAAAAGAGAGAAGAATCAAATAGATGCAATAAAAAATGATAAAGAGGATATCACCACCAATCCCACAGAAATACAAACTACCATCAGAGAATACTATATAGACCTCCATGCAAATAAACTAGAAAATCTAGAAGAAATGGATAAATTCCTCGACACATACACCCTCCCAAGACTAAACCAGGAAGAAGTTGAATCCCTGAATAGACCAATAACAGGCTCTGAAATTGAGGCAATAATTAATAGCCTACCAACCAAAAAAGTCCAGGACCAGATGGATTCACAGCCGAATTCTCCCAGAGGTACAAGGAGGAGCTGGTACCATTCCTTCTGAAACTATTCCAGTCAATAGAAAAAGAGGGAATCCTCCCTAACTCATTTTATGAGGCCAGCATCATCCTGATACCAAAGCCTGGCAGAGACAAAACAAAAAAAGAGAATTTTAGACCAATATCCCTGATGAACATCGATACAAAAATCCTCAATAAAATACTGGCAAACCAAATCTAGCAGCACATCAAAAAGCTTATCCACCATGATCAAGTGGGCTTCATCTCTGGGATACAAGACTGGTTCAACATATACAAACCAATAAATGTAATCCAGCATATAAACAGAAACAAAGACAAACACCACATGATTATCTCAATAGATGCAGAAAAGGCCTTTGACAAAATTCAACAATACTTCATGCTAAAAACTCTCAATAAATTAGGTATTGATGGGATGTATCTCAAAATAATAAGAGCTATTTATGACAAACCCACAGCCAATATCATACTGAATGGGCAAAAACTGGAAGCATTCCCTTTGAAAACTGGCACAAGACAGGGATGCCCTCTCTCACCACTCCTATTCAACATAGTGTTGGAAGTTCTGGCCAGGGCAATCAGGCAGGAGAAATAAATAAAGGGTATTCAATTAGGAAATGAGGAAGTCAAATTGTCCCTGTTCGCAGATGACATGATTGTATATCTAGAAAACCCCATAGTCTCAGCCCAAAATCTCCTTAAGCTGATAAGCAACTTCAGCAAAGTCTCAGGATACAAAATTAATGTGCAAAAATCACAAGCATTCTTATACACCAATAACAGACAGAGAGCCAAATCATGAGTGAACTCCCATTCACAATTGCTTCAAAGAGAATAAAATACCTAGGAATCCAACTTATAAGGGATGTGAAGGAACTCTTCAAGGAGAACTACAAACCACTGCTCAACGAAATAAAAGAGGACAGAAACCAGTGGAAGAACATTCCATGCTCATGGGTAGGAAGAATCAATATCATGAAAATGGCCATACTGCCCAAGGTAATTTATAGATTCAATGCCATCCCCATCAAGCTACCAATGACTTTCTTCAAAGAACTGGAAAAAACTACTTTAAAGTTCATATGGAACCAAAAAAGAGCCCGCATTGCCAAGTCAATCCTAAGCCAAAAGAACAAAGCTGGAGGCATCACGCTACCTGACTTCAAACTATACTACAAGGCTACAGTAACCAAAACAGCATGGTACTGGTATCAAAACAGAGATATAGACCAATGGAACAGAACAGAGCCCTCAGAAATAATACCACACTTCTACAACCATCTGATCTTTGACAAACCTGACAAAAACAAGAAATGAGGAAAGGATTCCCTATTTAATAAATGGTGCTGGGAAAACTGGCTAGCCATATGGAGAAAGCTGAAACTGGATCCCTTCCTTACACCTTATACAAAAATTAATTCAAGATGGATTAAAGGCTTAAATGTTAGACCTAAAACCATAAAAACCGTAGAAGAAAACCTAGGCAATACCATTCAGGACATAGGCATGGGCAAGCACTGATGTCTAAAACACCAACAGCAATGGCAACAAAAGCCAAAATTGACAAATGGGATCTAATTAAACTAAAGAGCTTCTGCACAGCAAAAGAAACTACCAACAGAGTGAAAAGACAACCTACAGAATGGGAGAAAATTTCTCCAATCTACTCATCTGACAAAGGGCTAATATCCAGAATCTACAATGAACTCAAACAAATTTACAAGAAAAAAACAAACAACCCCATCAAGTGGGCAAAGGATGTGAACAGACACTTCTCAAAAGAAAACATTTATGCAGCCAACAGACACATGAAAAAACGGTCATCATGACTGGCCACCAGAGAAATGCAAATCAAAACCACAATGAGATATCATCTCACGCCAGTTAGAATGGTGATCATTAAAAAGTCAGGAAACAACAGGTGCTGGAGAGGATGTGGAGAAATAGGAACACTTTTACACTGTTGGTGGGACTGTAAACTAGTTCAACCTTTGTGGAAGACAGTGTGGCGATTCCTCAAGGATCTAGAACCAGAAATATCATTTGACCCAGCCATCCCATTACTGGGTATACACCCAAAGGATTATAAATCATGCTGCTATAAAGACACAGGCACACGTACATTTAGTGCAGCACTATTCACAATAGCAAAGACTTGGAACCAACCCAAATGTCCAACGGTGATAGATTGGATTAAGAAAATGTGGCACATATACACCATGGAATACTATGCAGCCATAAAAAAGGATGAGTTCATGTCCTTTGTAGGGACTTGGAAAAATAGAAGCTAGAAACCATCATTCTCAGCAAACTATCTCAAGGACAGAAAACCAAACACCGCATGTTCTCACTCATAGGTGGGAATTGAAGAATGAGAACATTTGGACACAGGAAGGGGAACATCACACACCAGGGCCCGTCGTGGGGTGGGGGGAGGGGGAGGGATAGCATTAGGAGATATACCTAATGTAAATGACGAGTTAATGGGTGCAGCACACCAACATGGCACATGTATACATATGTAACAAACCTGCACGTTGTGCACATGTACCCTAGAACTTAAAGCATAAAAAAAAATCAATCATGCTCATTGCATGTCATATTTTGATAAGGAGGAGAGTTAATATAGCTCTGGAAACCATGAATATATACTATTATATTTTCTAAAAGGACAATGGCTTTTTATTCACTTCATTCCTGGTGACTGAAAAAAAATTCAAATCAATGACCACATAATAAATGTAAAAGGATATTTTGAAATTTTCCAATAGATACATGATATAATACACAGCAATGGGAATTGGTGCTATAACCTGGTTATGTTTACAACAGTGCATGGACCTCTACCATAATCCAATTTGTTTTTGCAGAAACTATACGAACCAATTGAAGAGAAATATGAAGTATCCTATTATTTCTGCAATCTTGAAGACTTTGAATTTAACCCTTATCTCTACAATTTTACCAAAAATGTGATATTGCTTCTGACAAAGTCTCCTGACTAGGATGTGTTTGTGTAGGTGGGTGACGAGTTGGGGAAGTTGGTTCAAGGACTTTCATTTTACACTTCCTACAATAATGGATATTCTTTCATAGGTCAGAGAACCAAACATGAGGGTTCAGTTACCATTTATCTATAACCATTCCAATTATGCATTTGGGGATCAGAAAAAATACTGTAAGGTGTGTCCATAGATGCTTTTGACTCACTGTAAGATGGATGTCAGTCAGGAATCCATCTATATCCTGTATTCCATAATACCCTACCCTAATAAACTAGTCATAATGATATTTTAAAGCCCATGACATAAGTAATAGTTTAGACCATGATTCTAACAACTTTCAAATTATGTCAGTACTTTCATTTCACTGATTTTTTTAATTCTCATAAATGACTACAGGTCCCTTTGGGAAAGATTTCAAGGAATAGTTATTTTATATATTTTTAGCGACAGTTCAAGACTTTTAAAAGACATATTAGCATACATAATCAATGAATTCTGAAACTCACAGGCTTAGAACAGGTTAAGGGCTGCTGCTTTGTTACTGTGGCAACAGATATAAGCCTTTGTCCACAAGCCCTTGATTTTTTCTTTTTTCTCGTCATGCAGGTCAAAACATGTCATTGCTGATTGCACATCCAATCTTTCCCTAAGAACATCATGCTCTCTGCTCAACTTCGTAGGTTCTGGCAGGTCACATGCCCAACAGTTACCTATCTACTGTTGCTGTCTATAATGGTAATTAAATACACCTTGAGGCTGATTGATAATTGCTGCCACCTAACCTCCAAGAGGCCAGAATTTTATAGTCTCCATTGATCTAAGGGTCCTAGTTCCATGCAAAAATCTTTTGTCAACCCTGGACTCTGAGAACAGTCACTGCGGAGCTTCTCAAGAATGCTGATGCCCCCAGAAATATCTTCCTTAGTGAAGAGAAGGCTTTCTTGTCTCTTTGCAGGACATAATCTGGCAGATTATCTGGTCATACATGATAAATATGTTTATATTTGTGTGCCTTTTGACCCATTCTTCAATACACCGTAAGTACAATTCGACATGTCTATTTATTTACTGTACTCTGTCATCATGTTCAAACTTTAAAGAGCAACTCAAGCAAAGTTTTAGAATTGGCTCCCGATTTATTTGGCAGGGCATTAAATTCTAAGGCATAACATGAGATTTATCTCATGTTAATAATTCTTCCCTATCCAGGCTCATATTCTACCCACATCCTCCATTTCAATATTCTCAAAATCCAAACTTACCCATATTTCACTGTTTCTGCTATTACTTATTAACTAGCTGCTACATCTCTTTTTTTTATGTGTGTCCCATTCAGGCTATACAGAAAGCTAATACTGCTTGTTATCTAGAGGCAATGTGAGAAGTCAGGAGGGGACATTTTGGAGAAAAAGCATTATCTCCTAAAGAAATCTCCATATGTGAATTTTGTGCGTAGTCCCCAGGCAGAGATATTCCCGCTGTAGGAAGAGTAGGTTACTTCCACTAGTAATCCAAGTACTGTTCTGCAGAATCTGTTTTCAGGCATATGCACCCAAATGATCCCATCCCTGTTTTCAGGGTTTACATTCTTCCCTATCAAGTCGTGATTTTCTGAAATAGGAATGCTATCAAGGCAATACATTCAGCCTCCTTTGTAATTTTGCCACCTTTCAAATTAAATTCTTGGCTTGATTATCAACACAGTCTTCACTGTAGCTGCAGAAGACGAAGATCTCTTTAAAACACTGTCCTGCACTCCTGCAGTCCTTCACATTTTTACAGCATGCACATAATATGGGAATGGCTAACTTGTTTTAAAGAAGGTTTTTACCCATTTTAACAGCCATTAGCAAATCTGGACCACTGACATTTTTTTTTTTTTTGAGACGGAGTCTCGCTCTGTCACCCAGGCTGGAGTGCAGTGGCGCAGCCTCGGCTCACTGCAAGCTCTGCCTTCCGGGTTCACGCCATTCTCCTGCCTCAGCCTCTCCGAGTAGCTGGGACTACAGGCGCCCGCCACCACGCCCGGCTAATTTTTTTTTTATTTTTTATTTTTAGTAGAGACGGGGTTTCACCGTGGTCTCGATCTCCTGACCTCGTGATCCACCCGCCTCGGCCTCCCAAAGTGCTGGGATTACAAGCGTGAGCCACCGCGCCCGGCCTGACATTCTTTATATTATCACCTTCCCATTGCCTTCAAATGCTGCAGAGCTTCACACAAGTCCATTTCTTCTATTCTTTCACATCTTCTAATCCAAAATAATGGGACAGATTATTAATCGTTGCTTTACGGCATCCCGGGAGTTAGTAGTACCCATGTACTGCTAGTAATGGGGTTTTGTGGCTATTTGATCAGTGCGTGATCTAGTTCTAAATCCCATCCTGAGGGTTGCCTTCTAACACCTCTTCCACAACTGCATACACTAGTTGGCAGATCCTAAAAACAAGGCATTAGACAATAATTTATAAATGGTAGTTTATCTGGAAGGTGATCTCTGGAAGCAGAGATGAGGGAAGTAGGAGAGTGACAGGGAAAAGGGAAGACAAATATAAAATATAATACTAAGATATTACTCCTATGGACAACTGGATCTAAATCCTACTCGGGGTCTTCTATGTTACCCTGTAAAGTACATCTCTGAATAAACTCTATGGATGTAGATAAGGAGGCTGAAACATTTAAGCCTCCAGTTTCTACTTCACTGGTTGAAAGATAACTATCCCCATGCTCTTCTCTGGGCCTGTATATGAGATAAGAAAACATCTATGATCTTGGAAACAGGAAAAAAATAGAATAAGCTTGAATACTGTCAAACCCAGCTACAGCTCAAGTGAGCTGAGGAAATGTTGTTTATAGAATCACCAATACATGCTACAAGGCCGAAGTAGTTTTACATGAAAAAAATTTGCAAACTTTTAACTAACAAATAATCCTCATATTGCATAAAATATTTCAAAGAAGTAAAAGGTATAGTTACAACATTTATTTTGTAGAGCTGATACAACTTTTCAAACAAGAAAGAATAAGAATAGAAAATTCTATATTAATTTTATTTGTGAATGCAGATAAAAAATTCTAAAGAAAACATTGACAAATTTAATTTGGCTATGTATTAAAAAGGTAGTATCTACTGACCAGGTATACAATATCATAGAACTTCAGGAAAATTTCAACATTTTAGTAAAATGTATCAATATATCTCAACACACTAATAAAATGAAAGTCCAAATAATCATCCTAACAGATGCAGAAAAATTATGTAATAGAATGTAATACACATTCACAATGAAAATCTGCTTAGTAAATTAAAAACAGAAGATAACTTATTTAATGTGGTAAAGATACATGACAAAATCTCACAGAAAATATAGTCTGGGTTGATATTTTAGAAATATTTCCTTTAAGGACAAAGGTAACTATCATAACCTCTATTTATTTAATATTTTACTTGAAGTTCTAGGTGCAACATCAATTATAAATAGGAATAGGTAGATAAATTATGAAGAAAAACACATATTTTATCTCTCATTTGCAAACACTATAGTTATTTGCATGACAAATCCAAGGGATTTCATAAACTGTGAGAATGAATTAGTTAATTCATTAAGGTTGTATATTTGTCAGTGTATAAAATTAAAACCATTGGTGTTCTTCATGAATGACCAATTAGAAAATGGAAGACACCAAAAAAAAATGCTATTTCTAATAACATAGAAACCTATATGAACTACATTTAATAAATATGCATAGAAGCATTATAAAGTCATTATAAAATATTATTTAAAAAATATGAGTAACTTAAAAATAAGCCTGAATAAATGGAATATTGATGCACATTGATGAAAGAGAAGATTCAATTTTTTTTTATTATTATACTTTAAATTTTAGGGTACATGTGCACAATATGCAGGTTTGTTACATATGTATACATGTGCCATGTTGGTGTGCTGCACCCATTAACTCGTCATTTACATTAGGTATATCTCCTAATGCTATCCCTCCCCGCTTCCCCCACCCCACAACAGGCCCCGGGGTGTGATGTTCCCCTTCCTGTGTCCAAGTGTTCTCATTGTTCAATTCCCACCTATGAGTGAGAACATGAGGTGTTTGGTTTTTATTTATGCAGCCAAAAGACACATGAAAAGATGCTTATCATCACTGGCCATCAGAGAAATGCAAATCAAAACCACAGTGAGATACCATCTCACACCAGTTAGAATGGCAATCATTAAAAAGCCAGGAAACAGCAGGTATTGGAGAGGATGTGGAGAAACAGGAACAATTTTACACTGTTGGTAGGACTGTAAACTAGTTCAACCATTGTAGAAGTCAGTGTGGTGATTCCTCAAGGATCTAGAACTAGAAATACCATTTGACCCAGCCATCCCATTACTGGGTATATAACCAAAGGAGTATAAATCATGCTGCTATAAAGACGCATGCACACGTATGTTTATTGTGGCACTATTCACAATAGCAAAGACTTGGAACCAACCCAAATGTCCAACAATGATAGACTGGATTAAGAAAATGTGGCATATATACACCATGGAATACTATGGAGCCATAAAAAATGATGAGTTCATGTCCTTTGTAGGGACATGAATGAAGCTGGAAACCACCATTCTCAGCAAACTATCACAAGGAGAAGATTCAATTTTCTAATGATGTCAGCTTTCCTCAAATTATTCAATAAATTTATTGCAAATTTAATTAATAACCCAAAATGATCTTTGAGGCACTAAGCAAATATTCTAAAACTCATATGGAAATTAAAAACTTAATAAAGAAATACAAATAGTAAGACATAAGGGGATTACATAACACATCAACATGAAGCATAAAACTATAGTGTGATTTGAAATATACACCCATAAAACTGTTGATAGGGTGGAGAGGCAGAAGTGAGACAAAGCCTATAAAGAAACTTACTGTATTTCATGGGCAACATTACAAATTAATGGGTAATACTAAACTATTTAAGAAATGGCATTTGGATAATCAAATCTCAGTATTACAAAATGACAATAGATCTCTATTGTAGAGTCTACTAAAGGGCAACTTCTGGATATAAAAAAGACATAAATTGGAGAGAAATATGAGAGGTTGTTTTGACTTCAGGTAAATAAAAAGCATGATAATAGATTTGATTCATTAAAATTAATTTTTACAGAACATGGGATGTCATAGATGATGTTAAAGACCAGCCAAGATTGGGAGCTAATGTTGCAACACAGATAATTGACAAATGTTTAACATACAGAATTCACAAAATTTACAGTTTGATAAAGAAAAGGTAAATGAAATGGGCAAAACATATGAAAGTGACGGCAGCGATGGCCCATCTGGAGCAGCTGCTTCAAGGATACGAGCTGCAGCAGGAGAGGGACGACCAGGGCTGCATTCTCCCCAGGGATGTTCTTGGTCAGAGAGCCATGAACAAGCAAGAGCCCCGCCCCCTTACTGAGTTGGTGGGGCAGGCGCCCATGCTCCCAGGCTCAGCCACTGCCACCCAGCTGTGGCTCCAGATCCCAGTATACCAGTGCTCTCAGGGGCCTGGGAAGCCCCTTGCCCCACAAGCTTGAAAGTGTCTGCTCCTGCTCCCTGGCTCTCCCTCTCCCAGCACCCACTCCAGGGCAGAACAAGGTTGTGGCTGAGTCCAGGTGCCATCGTGACCAGGCCAGGTGTGCATGCATTCGGGGTGGTGTTGACGTGCCAGCCCCTGACGCGTCAGCTCCCCCTGGATTTTGGGTGCCTATGAGCATGGGAGGGAGGCTAAAGGGGGTCTGAGGTTGGCTTGGTGCGGGCCTGTAGGCACCCCTCAGCACAAACTGCCTGCGCACCATAGACAGCATGTTGATGGTAGCAAGGGGCAGACAGAATCCTGGACAAAAAGGGGTGGGTTTCAGGTGAAATCCCACCTTCAAGCTAGGAATGGTCTGAAGCCTGGGGGCCAGGCTGCCAGTTCTGCATGGAGGCCGTGGCCCAGAATGAGAAGTTATGGTGATGTTTCTGGGCCTGCCCATGGCCACTGATGGACCAATCAGCAGTATGTCCTCCCTTCTGAGCCCATAAAATCCCTAGTCTCAGCTAGGCTTAGACAGATGCTGGAACTACCAGTTGCAGGAAGGAGCTACCAACTTTGGGTTTCCCTGAGTTGTCAGGACAACCTGCTTGTGGAAAGGAGCTACCCGCTCTGGGTATGAGTTGTTCTGTCACTCAATAAAGCTCCTCTCTGCCTTGCTCACCCTCCAGTTGCCTGCACACCTCATTCTTCCTGGACTTGGAACAAGAACTTGGGACCTGCTGTATGGCAGAACTGAAAGAACAGTAACACAAACAGCACTGAAACATGCCCCCACTTGCCACACTGCAGGAAACGAGAATAAGAGAAGAGCTACAGTCCTTTGGGGAGCCCAGAAGTAGGGGCTCCCCAAGCCAGGGCTGTGAGACTTTCTTTGGGGCTCTGCATATCCTAGTTTCCAAGTGCCACTGCATTCCCCTCATTCGGACATGGGTGCCTGCACTGGAAGCTGCTTATGGTACATCTGATCCAGCTGCAGCTTCACATGGAGCCAGAACCTGTGCTGGTGCCTGGAGCTGCCCCCTCCCACTGACAGCAACAGCTGGCATGCCTAGCTGTGTGGAGTGGCCAGACCCCACACTTGCTCCACTCCACACCTGGCTCACCCTTGGCAGGCATGGGATACTGGATGGTAGTGTGAGCCAAGCATAGCCTGCCTGACCAAGTGGGCATAATGAGCCCAATAGGCCCAAGCAAAAACTCAGGCAGAGGTTCCGCTGGCCACAGAGGATTCCAACTGGAAAAGTGACACCCTAAGGGTCTCATGACAAAAGCATGACACAAAAGAGGAAACTTGAGTAGCCAACAGCATAGGAAAAAATACTCAGCAATTTTAGTTATCAGTGATTAAATGATATGAAAAAGAATGTTATGAAAACCAAAGAAACCACAATATTATGCCACTTTATATTGGTAATAAATTTATAAAATCCTGGTGGGAATTAGTAAAATAATTTACTGTACACTAAAATTCTTAAATTCCAATCGTAACTGAAAGCAACAACCATAAAGAAACTTCTGTTCACATATGCCAGAAAACGTGTACAAGGATGACCAGGAACCATGGAAGTATTTTTTCTCTCTCTTTCTCTTTGTTTTTATTTTCTTATGATGAGGGCACTTTACATGAGATCTGCCCTTTTAACAGATTTTTGAGTGTACAATAAGGTATTGTCAATTACAGCAACCATGTTGTACAGCAGGTATCTAAAAATTATCTAGCATAACTGAAACTTTATATACTTTGATTGGCAACTCTCTGTTTCCCTCTTCTTCCAGATTCAATGATTTTGACTATTTTAGGTACCTCACATAAGTAAAATCATACAGTATTTGTACTGTTACTGGCTGATTTCCCCTAGTATAATGTCTTCCAGGTTCATTTACACTGTTGCATATTGCAGTATTTTCTCTTTTTAAAGCTGAATAATATTCTACTGGATGTATATACCACATTTTCTTTATGCACTCATTAATCATTGGTCATTTAGGTTGTTTTCACATCTTGGCTATTGTCAATAGTGCTGCCATCAACATAAGAATGCCAATATATCCTTAAACCCTGATTTCAATTCTTTTGGTTAAATACCCAGAAATAGGAAGCTGCAAAATGTGGCAGTATTATTTTTAGTTTTCTGAAGAACCTCTATACTGTTCTCCACAGCAGCTGTGTCATTTTGCATTTTTGCTAACAATGTAAAAGTTTCCAATGTCTGCACATTCTTGCCAACACTCGTTTGTTTGTTTTTTTAAATAATAGCTATCCTACAATATGTGATGTGATATTGTGATTTTAACTTTTATTTCTCTAATCATTAGTGACATTGAGTATCTTTTTGGACACTTATCACCCATAAGTATGTTCTTTTTGGGGGAAAATGTCTATTTCAGTTCTCAACCCATTTTAATAGAGTTATTAGTTTTTTGTTGTTGTTGTTGTTTTGTTGAGTTGTTTGAGTTTCTCAGACATTTTGGAAATTAGCCCCCAGCCAGATATTTGATTTCTAAAATTGTTCTCCCAATCTATAGGTTGGCTTTTCATTTTGTTGATGGTTTCCTTTGCTGTGAAGAAGCTTTTTAAGTTTGATGTAGCCCCACTGGTGTATTTTCACTTTTGTTACCTGTCCTTTTGTGCCCTACTTATGAAATTATTGCCAAGAATAATGTAATGAAGAATTTTCTCTATAATTTCTTCCAGGAGTTTTGTAGTTTTAGATCATACATTCAAGTCTTTAGTCCATTTTGAGTTCATATTTGTGCATAGTATAAGATCAAAATCCAATTTCATTTTTTTCATATGACTATCTGGTTTTTCCAACATTGTTGTTGAAAAGTCTAATCACTTCCCGACATGTATTCTTGGCATTTTATCAAAGGACAGTTGTCCATATACTCATGGATTTATTTCTGCACACTCTATTTGCTTCCATTAGTCTATATGCCTGTTTTGATGCCAGTGCAATACTGTTTTAGTAATTGTAGCTCTTCTCTTATTCTCGTTTCCAGCATTGTGGCAAGTAGGGGCATGTTTCAGTGCTGTTTGTGTTACTGTTCTTTCAGTCTGTGTTACTATTCTTTCAGTTCTGCCATATAGCAGGTCTTAGAAATCAGGAAGTGTGATGCCTCCCTAGCTTGGTTCTTTTTCAATAGTGTTTTGGCTACTTTGGGTCCTTTGTGATTCCAGATAAACTTTAGAATTGTGTTTTTAATTTCTGTTAAAAATTCCATTGGGATTGTGATGAGGATTGCATTCAATTTATAAATTGCCATTGAATAGTATGAACATTTTGTCAATATTTTATTTTCCAATCAATGAACATGGGATGTGTTTCCATTTGTTTCTATCTTCTTTAGTTTCTGTCATCAATGTTTTGTACTTTACAGTGTGCAAGTCTTTCAATTCTATATTAGGGTTCTTCAGAAGAACAGAACCAATAGAACATATGTATATATAAAAGGGAGTCAATTAAGGAGAACTGGCTCATGCAATTACAAAGAAAAGTCCCATGATAGGCCATCTACAAGCTGGGGAAAGAGAGAAGCTAGTAGTGTGGCTTAGTCCAACTCCCAAAGCTTCAAAACCAGGGAAGCTGACAGTGCAGCTTTCAGTTTGAGGCAGAAGGCCCAAGAGCCCCTGAGAAGCCATGAGTGCAAATCCCAGAGTCCAAAGGCTGAAGAACCTGGAGTCTGAAGTTCAAGGGCATGAGGAGATGAAGCAAGTGTCTGGGATGGGAAGAGAGAGAGAGACAGAAAAGTCAGCAAGTAACTTTATTCCCTCTTCTTCTTCCTGCTTTGTTTCAAATGTACTGGCAGTAAACCGGATTTTGTCCATCCACACTGAGGGTGGGTCTTCCTCTCCCAGGCCACTGACTCAAATATCAATTTCTGGAAACAGCCTCACAGACACTCCCAGAAACAATACTTTAGTAGCCATCTAGCCATCCCCCAATCCAGTCAACTTGACACTTATCATTAACCAACACAACTTCACTGCTTGTAAACTTGGAATCTATGACCACCTCCTTAAATTATACTTGCTCTCCAAATAAAGGCAATAACAATTTTGTAATTTCACCTAACATAATAAAACTACCATTTGTACAACTGAAAATCCACTAATCTTTAACATAAGAAATCTTACATAAAATTAACAACACTTAAATGCTGATATGAAGTCAATACATCTTATGTTAAATGATAAAGGAATGAGAAAGGAAATAAAACAAAGACAATTGCATAATACAGGTGTATGTATGCACAATCATATTTTTAGCAAAATAAGGAGGAAATAATTATGGAAATTACAGTCCTCATTTCTGTTACTGGTCATCTGGTCATCACTGGTATCGACAGCTACCTTCTTCTATTACTCATCCTGTATTATCTTTGCCTTCAGGAAGCACCTCAGGTGGTTGTGGTTTATTACTTGGTGAAGTGACCCATACTTTCATTTCTGAAGGGTCCGGGCCATTTTTAATCCTGCCTAGACTGGTTGTTGTAGTTTCCCATTGACCTTAATTGCTAGACAGTGCAGTTCTAAGAGATGCCTTGTGGGATCTCCTATATTCCAGATATACTCTTCCTTACCTCCACTGTGGAGTAGTAGTCTGATTTTATCTTGATAATCCAGGTCAACAGCCAACACCAAAACTCCCTTCTTAGCCTGTTGACTTAGTGGCAGGTGGAGACCCAAGTGGCAAGGTGGCAGTCTTAACTTCCAGTTCAATGGAATCATTGTTGTGTCTCCTAGTGATAGCATTTTTCCCTCTGGAACTAAGTCCTCTAGGCCAGCCATAATGTTGTGGGAACAGGAAGCAAAAATTTTGCCAGTGGGTCACTTTGGATGATGAGTGGTACCACTTACACTTCTATCTCTTGATTCCTTGACCCATTAATCCTGGCTATGAGAGAAATAGTACCATATATTGGATGCTGATTCATGGCATATATACCCTTCTGGAGAACTTTGCTGCAGTCCTGCAAAGAATTATCCCCTAGTTGGCACTGTAATCGTGATTTCAAAAGGCCATTGCACTTTTCCCTTAATGCAGCTGCTTCAGGATGATGGGCAACATGGTAAGGCCAGCGAATGCAATGAGCAAAAGCCTTTGCTACACCTCTTTGTGAAGTAAATTCCTTGGTGAGAAGCAATGCTGTGTGAAGTACCATGGAGGTGGATGAGGCATTCTGTGAGTTCACGTGTGGCAGTCTTGGCAGAAGCATTGCATTCAGGAAAAGCAAACTCATATCCAAAGTGTCTATTCCAGTACAGACAAACTGCTACCCATTCCATGAGGGAAATCATCCAAAGTAATCGATCTGCCATCAGCTAGCTGGCTGATCACCCTGAGAAATGGTGACATATTGAGGACTCAGTGTTTCTCTCTGCTGTTAGACTGGGCACTCAGCAGTGGTGGTAGCCAGGTCAGACTTGGTGATTTGCAGTCCATGTTGCTAAGCTCATGCATAGCCTCCATTCTTTCTACCATGACCACTTTATTAATGAGCCCACTTTATTAATGGCTGAGTAAAGGGGCTATGTGGAGTTCAAATTACAGAACAGGTCATCCTATCCACTTGATTATTAGAATGCCCCTCTGCTGAGGTCACACTTTTGTGAGCATTAACATGAGACACAAAGAGCTTCACTTTTTTTTTACCACTCAGAGTGGTCCATTTACATACCTCTTCCCCAGATTTATTTGTTGCCAATTATCCAGTTATGCTCCTTTCAAGATTCTGGTCACCCAGCCAAACAATTGGGTACAGCCCATGAATCAGTATATAATCACACATCTGGCCATTTCTTTCTCCAAGTAAAGTGCACAACCAGGTGCATTGTTCAAAGTTCTGCTCACTGGAAAGATTTGCCTTCACCACCTTCCTTCATGGATGTCCCAGAAAGGTCCGGTAGTGCTGCAGCTGTCCAGTTTCAGGTGGTGCCTGCGTCAGGCAGAACCACCTGTAAACTAGGGCCTAGTATTCTCTTCCTGTAAACTTCAAGTTCCTCATATGGAACTCCCTATGAGGTCATTGGTGCAGGCTTGGAGAGAGAAGGCAGGGCGGCATGAGTGGGGAACCTGGGCATTTGGGCCACTTCCTTATGTAACTTACTTGCGCCTTCAGGACTTGCTCAAGACTGATCATGTATATACCACTTCCATTTGATACTGGAATGCTACTATGCACATCCAACTTTATGGCTAGATGGGTCAGAAAGCACACAGTTCATACTACGAAGTTCAGATTGCCTGATAACTTGGTGCAAATGCATGATAACTTGATAGTCAAATGTTCAGTTTCTATCAAGGGCAGTGGTAGGCCATGATCTGTCTCTCAAAAGACTAGTTATCTGCAGAAGATGGTAGGACCTTGCTCCAAAACCCTAAAGGCCTTTGTTGTGATTCATTTACAGGGCCCTACCAAAGGCTCCAAACAGTATCCATATCTGCTGTTTGGGCACCACAAGTACCATTGGATCTGCTGGGTCATAAGGCCCAAGTGGCAGAGTAGCCTGGACCTGTTGCAGAGCCTTCTTCTGTTCTGGGACTAACAGTCTGTTTTTTTTTTTTTTTAATATGTTTATTATACTTTAAGTTCTGGGATACATGTGCAGAACGTGCAGGTTTGTTACATAGGTATACACATTTCATGGTGGTTTCCTGCACTCATCAACCCATCATCTACATTAGGAATTTCTCCTAATGCTATCCCTCCCCTAGTCCCCCACCACCTGACAGGCCCCAGTGTGTGATGTTCACCTCCCTGTGTCCATGTGTTCTCATTGTTCAACTCACACTTATGAGTGAGAATATGTGGTGTTTGGTTTTCTGTTATTGTGTTAGTTTGCCGAGAATGATGGTTTCCAGTTTCATCCATGTCCCCGCAAAGGACATGAACTCGTCCTTTTTTATGGCTGCCTAGTATACCATGGTATAGATGTGCCACATTTTCTTTATCCAGTCTATCAATGACGGGCATTTGGGTTGGTTCCAAGTCTTTGCTATGGTGAACAGTGCCACAATAAACATATGTGTGCATGTGTCTTTGTAGTGGAATGATTTATAATCCTTTGGGTATATACCCAATAATAGGATTGCTGGGTCAAATGGTATTTCTGGTTCTAGATCCTTGAAGAATCACAGAAGGATATGAATTAACAGCCTTTTGGATCACTCAATAAATAGGCCAGAGCACCCCACCCAAATGAGGAATGTACTGCCTGCAAAATAAAATTCAAATAGACTGATTTGGTTTGGCTCTGCATCCCTACCCAAATCTCATCTTGAATTGTACTCCCATAATTCCCACGTGTTATTGGAGGGACCTGGTGGGAGATATTTGGATCATGGGGGTGGTTTCCCACCTATTGTTCTCATACTAGTGAATAAGTCTCACGAGATCTGATGGCTTTATCAGTGTTTCTGCTTTTCTGTCTTTCTCATTCTGTCTTTGCCTGCTGCGATCCATATAAGACAGGACTTGCTCCTCTTTGCTTTCCACCAAGACTGTGAGCCTTCCCCAGCTATGTGGAACTGTAGATCCAATTAAACCTCTTTCTTTTGTAAATTGTCCAGTCTCAGTCATGTCTTTATCAGCAGCATAAAAACGGACTAATACATAGACCTGCTAGACTAATACATAGATCCCCTTTCTTGGTTGTAGGAGGGACCAAATTCAACAACTTATATCCTTTACCTTAGAAGAAATATTTTGACAAGCCCCACACCACTGGATCCTAGAAATTTCACTTAGGTAAAAGAGTCTGATTTATTTCCCACTGCCTGACATGAAAAGGTCTCACCAATAAGTCCAGAGTGGTATATCCCTGAGGTAGGATAGTAAAGGTATATTTCTGGCCTTGCCAGCTGAAGGCAAATTGCTTCTGATGGGCCTTATGGACAAGTATGTAGAAAAAGGCATTTGCCAGATCAACAGCTGCATGCCAGGTACATTTAATTTTATTTCTGTGGCATTAGTTGTAATGTCTTCTCTTTGATTTCTGATTTTATTTATTTAAGTCTATGAGTCTTCTCTCTTATTTTCTTAGTTTAGCTAAAATTTTGTCAATTTTATGTTTTCAGAAAATCAACTCTTATGATTGTTTTTGCTTTTCTATCCTCTATTTTTAAATTTCTGTTCTAATCAGTAATCAGTATTATTTCCTCTTTTTGGGTAACTTTGAGCAGAGTTTATTCTCCTTTTTCTAGATCTTTGAGATGTAAAGTTAGATTTTTAATTTTGAGACATTTATTCTTTTTAAATGTGAGTGTTTATCACTGTAAACTTTCCTCTTGGTACTGCTTTTGCTACATTCTACATGTTTTCGTATGTTATATTTTCATTTCTGTTTGTCTCAATGTGCGTGTGTATATATGTTTTTTGGGGTTTATTTATTTATTTATTTATTTTAGACAGAGTCTAGCTCTGTTGCCCAGGCTGGAGTGCAGTGGCATGATCTTGGCTCACTGCAACTTCCACCTTCCAGGTTCAAGGGATTCTCCTACCCCAGCCTCCCAAGTAGCTGGGATTACAGATGTGCACCACCACCCCTGGCTAATTTTTGTATTTTTAGTAGAAACGGGGCTTCGACATGTTGGCCAGGCTGGTCTCAAACTCCTGATCTCAGGTGATCCACCCGCCTCGGCCTCCCAAAGTGCTGGGTTTACAGGCATGAGCCACTGTGCCTGGCCTGTCTCAATACATTTTTAATTTCCCTCTTAATTTCTCTTTTGAACCATTAGTTGTTTAATAGTGTGTTGTTTGGTTGCAAATATTTGTGAATTTTGTAGTTTTCTTTCAGCTATTGATTTCTAGTTTCATTCCATAGTGGTTGGAAAAGATACTGGATATAATTTTAATCTTATGTTTATTAAGAATTGATCTGTAACCTAACATGACTGATGGTCTAGTTGAAGAATATTCCATGTGTGTTTGAGAATAATGTATATTCTTCTGCTATTGGGTGAGAATTTAAATACATCTGGTTAGTCCATTTAGCCTACAGTATTGTTCAAGTCTGCTGTTTCTTTGTTGATTTTCTGTTGGTTGTTCTATCCATTATAAAAGTGGGGTATTAAAGTATTCTATTATTAATGTATTCTGCCCATTTCTTTTTTTCAATTCTGTCAATGTTCCCTTTCAAATATAAGTGTCTAATTTTGGATGCATGTATATTTATAATTGTTCTATTTTCCTGGTGAATAGTCATTTGTATCATTACATAATGTTCTTCTTTGTCTCTTGTGACTGTTTTTGACATAATGTCTATTTTAATTGACATAAATATAGCCACCTCTGCTCCCTCTTGGTTACTATCTCCATGGGATACATTTTCCTATCCCTTCACTTTCAGAAGTTCTTAAATCTAAAGTGAGACACTTGTGGTTAGCACAGTTGGATCTTATATTTTTATTTAAAAAAAATCCATTCAGCCATTTCATGTCTTTTGATTTGGGAGTTTAAACTATTTACATTTGAAGTAAATACAGTTATGCACCCACGTATCGCATAATGACCTTTTGGTCAATGATGGACCACATATTCAAGATTATAATAGATTATAATGGTGATAAAATATTTCTACCACTTAGTGATGTTGTAGCTGTCATAGCATCACAGGACGACATGTTATTCATGTGTTAGTGGTGATGTTTGTATAAATAAACCAACTGCACTGCAAGTCATATAAAAGTCTACCACAAACAATTATGTATACAATACATAATACCTGATAATGATGATAAATTCCCACAACTATGGCTTACGTATTTACTATACTATACTTTTTATTATTATTTTAGAGTGCACTCCTTCTATTTAAAAAATAAAGTTAACTGCATCATGGCCTCAGGCAGGTCCTTCAGCAGGTCTTCCAGATAAAGGCACTGTTACCAAAGGACATGACAGTTCCATGTGTATTACTGCCCCTGAAGACCTTCCAGTGGGACAAAGTGTGAAGATAGAAGACAGTAATATTGATGATCCTGACCCAATATAGGCCTCGGATAATGTGTGTGTTTGTGTCATAGTTTTAACAAGAAAGTTTAAAAAGTAAAAATAAATAAAAACAATTTTAAATAGAAAAATGCTTATAGAATAAGGATATAAAAAAGAATGTATTTTTGTACAACTGTACAACGTGTCTGTTTTAACCTAAGCATTATTACAAGAGTCAAAAAGTTAATAAAAATTTAGAAGTATATGAAGTTAAAATGTTACAGTAAGCTGAAGTTAATTTCTTATTGAAGAAAGAAAAACATTTTTAAATAAATTTAGTTTAGCCTAAGTGTGCAGTGTTTATAAAGTATACAGTAGCATACAGTAATATCTTATACCTTCACATTCACTTATCATTCACTCACTGACTCAATTAGAACAACTCCAGTCCTGTAATCTTCATCTATGGTGTGTGCCCTACACAGGTGTACATCTTCTTTTAAATATTTTTTACCATATTTTTACTATGCCTTTGCCTTGTTTAGACATCTTTAGATACATATATACTGACCATTGTCTTACGATCACCTACAGTATTCAGTACAGTAACATGCTGTACAGTTTTCTAACCTAGGCGCAATAGGCTATACCATATGGCCTACATGCATAGTAGTTTGTACCATCTAGGTTTGTGTAAATACACTCTATGGTGTTTGCACAATGATGAAATTGCCCAAAGATTTCACAGAACATATCCTTGCCATTAAGTGATGCTTGACTATATTGATATGGAACAATTTTCTACTCCCCTTTTCAAAACAAAGTTGTTTGTCTTATAGTTCTTTTGTTCCTTTTTCTCTCTTCCTGGTTTATTCTGTGTTTTGTTAATTTTGTTGTTGACATGCATTGATTTTTTTCTCTTTCTATTTTATGTAATTTCAATGGTACGTTATTTTTGTGGTTACCACGGGGCTTACATAAATTATCTTTAATTATAACAGTCTTTTTAAAGTTGATAACAACTTAACTTCCATCACAAACAAAAATTCTATATTTTACCCTCACACACACTTTACGTATTGATGCCACATTTTACATCTATGTATATTGTGCATTTGTTTCATACTTTTAGTTACAGTTATTTTAAATACTTTTATATTTTAACATTTGTACTTGAATTAAAAGTTATTTAATGATCACCATTCCAATAATACACGTTCTGGTTTTGTCTACATAGTTAGCTTTACCAATGAGCTTTATACTTTCTTAAACTATTGTATCACCATTTCTCTTTGGTTCAAGTTGAAGAATTCTCTTTAGCATTTCTTGTAAGGCAGATCTAGTAGTGATGAAGGACTTCAGCTTCTGTTTGTATGTGAAAGTCTTTATCTATCTTTCCTTTTTGAAGGACAATTTTGCCAAGTATAGTATTCACACTTGACAAGTTTTTTTTTCTTTTTTTCAGCATTCTGAATATATCATCTCATTCACTTTGAACTGCAGAATTTGTGGTGAAAAAATCCACTTTTAGTCTTTTTAATATTACCTTGTATATGACAAATCACTTTTCTCTTGCAGCTTTCAAAATTCTCTTTGTCTTTGACATCTGAAAATATGATTATAATGTGTCTCAGTGTGAATTTCTTTAGATTCTTCTCACTTGAGGTCATTTGGGTTTTCTGTATCTGAATGTGAATTTCCTTGCCCAGATTTAGTAAATTTTCAGTTATTATTCCTTTGAATAATCTTTCTGCTCCTTTATCGTTCTTCTTCTTTTTAGACTTCTATAATACATATATTGTCCAACTTAATGGCATCTTATAAGTCCTGTCATAAGCTTTCTTTGCTCTTTTTCATTGCTTTTTCTTCCTCCTCTGACAGGATATTTTCACATAATCTATCCTTAAGTTGACTGATAATTTCTGCTGCATTAGTCTGCTTGCTGTTGAACTCTTTCACTGAAATTTTTTTAAAAAAATTTATTCATTGTTGAAAGTCTTACTTTGTCATGAATTGTTCTCCCGAGTTCATTAAGCCTATTTATGACAATTATTTTGAATTATCTCTCTGGTAACTTATATCTCTGCTTCCTGAGGGTTAATTCCTGGAGATTTATCTTCTGTCTGTATTGTGGGTATAGTTCCCTGTTTACTCCTTTAGGCTTTCTCCCAGAAAATTTGGAACTTCTGCACATGGTTCAACTCTTTTCCTCTCAGGCAGAGGCTGGAAGCTGGAGCATTTCACCACTTACCCCATGTTGAGCCATGGGGAAGAGCTGTGGTGAAAGCCCACATGCTGGTTCAACCTACCGGCTTGCCCCCCAAAGGTCTAGGCTATGCTGGACCCTCTCAATGCTTTAAGAAAGGAGACATAAAAGCCAGTCCCTCAGATAACACCCAGAAATTTGAGACATTGGGTGCGCTGTCTAAGGCTTTTCCTACCCAAGGAGTAGCTGGGGGCTGAAAGTTATTTTTTGCTTCACTCACCTCCATGTTGAGCCAGAGAGAGGGCCTTTGTTGAATATCTGTATGCTAGTTAAAACCACTGCCTTTGTTACGTTAGGTCCCATCAGCACTCCAAGACAGTAAGATAAAAGCCACTCTCTTGGGCAATACCAAGAAAAACTGAGGTGTGGATATGCTGTCCAACTCTCTGCATCCTCAGGGAGAATCTGAGGATTTCCTCACGACTGCATGTACAGTGCTGTGCCAGGGTGGGGATTACGGTGAGAGGGTGTTGCTAATTTAAACGCGACTGGCTTTGCACTCACCCATGGTACAGGAGCTTTTCCACTAGTTCCCAGATTTCTCACGAAAACAATTGATCTGCATATTGCCGTTATACTTGTGTGTCCCTAGGGGGAAAGAGAGTCCAGGGATTCTTGTTTCACTATGTTGTTGATGTCACTTGGAAGTTCTTTTGTTCATTTTTTGAGTCAGGGTCTCACTCTGTTGCCCAGGCTGGAATGCAGTGGGGTGATTATAGCTCACTGCAGCCTTGAACTCCCAACTTCAAACAATCCTCCTACCTCTGCCTCCCAAGTAGCTGGGACTATAGTCACACACTATATGCCTGGCTAATTTTTACATTTTTTGTAGAGACAGGGTCTCACTATGTTGCCAGGGCTAATCTAAAACTCCTGCCCTCAATCAATCCTCCTGTCTTGACTTACCAAAGTAGAAGTATTTTTTATTGTAGGGAAAACTGGAAACAATTTAAATGGAAAAAGATAAATGAAAATCAATGAAGTATACTAATATAATGTAATATATACAGCTGTTACTATTAATGAAAAAGATATAAATTCCAAATAATGAATTTAAAAGTAAATTGAAGAATAAAAACTGACATATATCATTAATATAATTAAATAGTACTATATGTTTGTCATCAATAATATACTAATATTTAACAAAATATTAAATAATATGGGTCAATATAACAATAAAATAAAACTACAGTCCTTCATTTAAATTAAATAAAATAATTTGCCAGGCAGTTACTAGGCATTGGAAATAAAGTTGCTGAATAATTGTAACCCTTTGAAGAATTTATAGACCAGTAGAAAAAAAAAAATTCTAAGGCA
This sequence comes from Homo sapiens, assembly GCF_000001405.40. Classification (NCBI taxonomy): domain Eukaryota; kingdom Metazoa; phylum Chordata; class Mammalia; order Primates; family Hominidae; genus Homo; species Homo sapiens. The sequence goes on from NC_000009.12 coordinate 10,803,963, forward strand.
GCGGCGCTGGTGATGGTATCAAGAAGAGAACAGAAGTTGTGGTAAATGTGCATAGTAAGGTGAACATGTTAAATCCATTTCCTGCTTCCTATCTTTGTGAGCCATTTGATTCCTTTATTTACAGTTTACCAAAGAAGTTCCAGCATTTCAACTTCCTTTAATATAAGCCACCATGGGCCTACATTTTAGTCAACCAATCAATTAAGCAATAGAGATACTGCTGGCTTAGCTGCTCATGGTAATATGTGCTAAATTCAGAATCTCTGGGCCATCTTTCCATATCAAGAATTTAGCTCAATCCATCAGCATTTTCCTTTCTCCCTGGTATAATTGCTTTACAATCCATTTACAATATATACTCCAAAGTCTCTACAGGTGTTAAATGGATAATAATTATAAAAATATTTTGTTGTGTATAGCATCTTGTCTCATTTCACATTTTGGTATGTACTCATCCTGTTGTGGTGGGTACCTGTTTATTTCCCTGTGGCCTGCTGGTATTTGAGCCTAGTTACGGATCAAGGAATAATCAGGGTGTTAAGGCTGATTGTTAAGGAGGACCAGTATTCACTTTAAATGCAATTAACTCATACTTGATGATTATGTTTTTCAGACAAAGGGAGACAAAGCTGATAAGGAAAGCTTAAATTTCAATGCATAGAGTTTAGCTAACAGTATGAGTGGGAGAAGGAATTCTACAGGGAGCCAAGACAGAGCAAGGGATCAACAGCATAAAAGGGCATGGTGAGAGGGAGGAGTCCCACATACAATCGAGTACACAATAATGCAGTAACTCCCGAGACACAAGTCAGTAATAGTTAAAGGAAGACCACATCATAGGTGTCCTTTTAAATGATATGTAGGTTTTAGATTTTGGACAAAGAGCTATTAAATACTTTTGAGCAAAGGAGAAATATAGTCATATTAGAACTTTAGACAGAACACTCTGGCTAAAATGTGAAGAATGGATTTTAGATGGGCAAAATGGACAATACAAATTTTGATGTTTATGTTGCTAATATTTGGAAATAAATATTGTGAAAAATAAGACATTTAATTGATTAAAGGCAATGAGTATGGGGGAGTTACTTGCCAGTGGAAAGCTTAAAATTAAGTGGCATGAGAACAAATATACTGAAATAAGTGTTATAAAACCTTTTGTTCTGAACTCATGTGTCTTTTTAAACTATTTGACCTTGAATATGGGAATCAAAAGCACCTATTATTAGTGGCTTTTGTGTGTCAACATTTAAGCAGCAGAATGCATAAAGAAAGAGAATACGCTCAGATGAAACCCAGAGGAAATTTAGAATATGGCTATTTTGCAACTGGTGAGTTTCTGGCAGGGAAATTGGAATAGAGATGAATTTTCTGGAAGAAGTATAAAGAAGTTTTGTGCAGGTTGTTAAAACAATGGTGATTGAATCTAAATATCCGTAGACAGATGAAAGTATAAAAGATGTAGTAAATACATATATTGAAATATTATACAGGCTTATAAAAGAAGAACATTCTATTACATGCTACATGGATAAAACTAGAGGACATAATGATAAGTAAACTATGACAGCCAGAAAATGACAAATACTTTAAGATCCTACTCATATGAAGTATTTAAGAGTCAAAATCAGAGAAAGAGAAAGTACAATGATGGTTGCCAAGGATGGAGAGATAGCAGAAGGAGAGTTAGTGCTTAATAAATACAGAATTTTAGTTTTGAAAGATGAAAGAGTTCTAGAAGATTCACAACAATGTGAATATACATTGAGTAGTGCTAAGGCACTACTCAAATATACACATAAAAATGCTTGACTGTAAATTTAATGTTATGCATTTTTACCACATTTTAAAAAAACAAATAAACAATGGAGAGTATAGTGTGAAATTTGTGCCCAAGCTCTGCATGGCAGATTGATTTTTGAGCCCTTTCACAGAAATATTTTTATCACTAAATATTATATAAGTTATTTCCTGAAAGATGTTTGAGGCTTTGGAAAAAAACAAAGCTATAAAGTCATGGGAATAATGAGGAGCAGTGGCACTCATGGGCCTGGGCAGAGTGGAGGGAAAGCATGTGTGAAGGGAGTGAATTTTTTTTCTTTCTTCACTTTTTTTTAATATTAAGATAAAACTGACATATGGTGAAAAGCAGTTTCCACAAATGCATTTAACTGTCACCATCACTGTAGTCAAGATATGGAAAATATCCAACCCAACACAAAGTTCCCTCCTGCCTCTTTTCACTCAGTTCCTGCCTTCCAAAGCTAACTGTTGTACTAATAATTCCTACTATCATAGGAATAATTCAGTAAAGATTTCTAAAAGGACTAGTTGTTTGAAGTCATAGTGGCTTAGATCTCATGCATATTAGGGAATTCTGTGGAATTAAGGATATCATAGCTGACTTTTAAAATGTAGGGATAAGAGGAAGGATGGCAGAAATATCAGGAGAGAAGACTGAATGGGGCAAGAGCCAGAAAATTCAGAAATTTTAGTTCATTGAAAATAAGTTTATAGGCCTGCCTAATGGCTCATGCCTGTAATCCCAGCACTTTGGGAGGCCAAGGTATGAGGATCACTTGAGCCTAGGAATCTGAGACCGGCCTGGACAACATGGGAAGACCTCATCTCTACAAAAAATTAAAAAATTAGCTGAGCATGGTGGCATGTGCCTGTGGTTCCAGCTACTTAGGAGTCCAAGGTTAGAGGATTGCTTGAGCCCAGGAGGTTCGAGGCAGGAGTGAGTTGTGATTGTGCTACTGCACTCCAGCCTGTGTGACACAATAAGGCCGTGTCAAAAAACAAAACAAAAAAAAAAAGAAAGAAAGAAACAAGAGGAAAGAAAGAAAGAGAGAAAGAGAGAGAGAAAAAAAGAAAAATAAGCTTTATATATTCAACTACATCAATGGTTTTTAAATTTTACTATGCTTTAGAATCATCTGTAGAATCTTCAAAATGTTCAGTTGCAAAGATTTCTCTCTCTTTTATGAGATACTGGTTTGTTAGGCCTGAAAGAAGCCCAAACACTAATACAGGTCCTCTGATCCCTGTGAAATTTGTGATAACTAGGGCCGTAGACCAGTGACTTTCAAAGCTCAGCATGCATCACAGGCTCCTGGGGAGTTAGATTAAAGCCAGCACAGCCCCAGGCTTTCTGATGTATTACATCTGGGTAGAATTTCGGGGTCTGAATTTTCAACAGATCTCATCTAGTAAGGTGAGGCTGATGGGAGGACCATATTTTGAGAACTACCATGTGGGACATCGATTTATTACCAGTTTAGAATGTCCAACAGAATCACTAGGGGATCTTACTAAAAATACCTACATGCAGAACCCAACCCTCATACCTCCCCTCTTTCCTAACTCCTGCTCTGCTCCCAACTTACCCTCATCCCTATTTCTGATATGCCCTAGAATAGGAGATGTAGTTTGAAAGCTCTTTCTAGGTTGAGTTGTTAGAAAATCAAACGTGATAACAAATCAAAAGTGTTCTTAACCATAAAGGGCAATATGTATGAAATATATTAATTTTGTTTCTAACAGTATACCAATATTACACAATACAGTCTCAAGTTCAGAACAATTCCTGTGTGATCCAAGTTGCCAAGCTGTATATTTAGAATGAGAGGGGAAAAATCTTACAGAGGAACAATAGAAATATGATACATTTTAGAAACAGTTATTATCTGTTTTTATGCCTATTTGTATAAATGTTAGAAATGTTAGTTTGTATCTTACACTCTGTGTTATGCAGTGAACAGCAGTATTTGATTAACTGTGTGTCCTTGTATGCTATTTGCTTGATATTTAGAAGTACTTTAGTTCAAAACACATCACACCCTGAGTGTGCTTGGTAAAGTGGGAATTGTTTTCACAGGTACTAAATGATAAAATATTGATAGAAAAAGAGAACCAACTCACATTCTGTAATCATTATGGAGAGTTCAGTGGAAGAAAATGGGGCAAAGACCAGCCTTTCAAATAATACCTACTGAATAAAAGCAATTTTTCTGTGATAAATCGAAGAAGGTAATTGTGAAGTGGAATAACCACTTTCTTCAGAAAGTCCCTCCCAACAAAATAAGAACGTATGGTAAACTCTTATAAAAGGTGTCAGCTGAAGATGGTTGTAGTATGAGGTTATTATTCTACTTTCTCCAGTTCTAGAAAAGGAAATTCAAAATAAAAATAGCTCTTTGAAACATACTGTGATTACATTGTGTGGGAAAACAAAAATGAAACAACCGCCACCAAAAAAAAAAAAAAAAAACCACACAAAAAAAAAAACAAAACAAAACTGCCTTTGATCAACTCATTAAAACTATTAAAAAGCAACATTCCAAATATATCTTCCTTAAAAATGTTTTGGATTAGAAAAGTAAATCTTTCAGAATTGCCTTTTTCTGCTTTATAAGGATTTTCCTTTCTGTCTTGAGAAGCTAAAAGAAGAGAGTTGGATAAGAGAGAAAAGTCAAAATGCCAGAGCTCAAGGCAAGCAAGAGAAGAAGGCAAACTTTCCAGTCCATCACTGATAATATTTTTTTTGCTTTGTTTTAATCCTTATAAAGTGGAGGTTGTAAATGTGTTTGGTGAATATTTATTAAACTTCATTTAATGCTGAGTGAATATATAGCCACTAGAATAGTTAGGAACTAGAAGGTATGTAGTAGTCATGATCTTGCTTTTAAGACTAATTCCAGCTGCAGTCAGACCTCACCAGAAGTCAACACTGTTCCAGGCTTGAGGAAACTCACTTTGAGATTGATAAAGTGGAGTAATTAAGTTAACGGCTTGGTTCCCATATCTTAAGGTGTCAAAGAGCAGGTGAACTTTCAGGAAATGAAGGAGCCAGAGCCAGCTAGAACACAAACCATTTGAGAAGCAGGTGGAAGAACAGGGTAAGTGTATCTAGATTAAATCAGGCTAGGTTAAGAGGAGTAACTATTGGCAACTGTTTCTAGGAGAAATGAGCTAAATATAATTATGACAAATTCAAATGCCCAGCAAGATACATTTGTTAAAATCTTGTGTTAAATTATTTACCACTTTATCTCTTCTATAGTGACTACATTATTTACATTTCTGCTATCACAATAAAATGAATTTTGGTATATAGCCTTTTATTTATTTTTATTAGAAACAGGCAATATATATTTGAAACAGGTAATATATATTTACCCAAAATATATTAGTAGTCACATAGTACAACTTTGGCTGCATTTCCAATTTTTTTGTTCTTTCTTTTTTCTTTTTTTTTTTTTTTTTTCTCAGACAGGCTCTTGCCCCATCACCCAGGCTGGAGTGCAGTGGTGTAATCTCAACTTCACTGTAGTCTCTACCTCCTAGGCTCAAATGATCGTCCCATCTCAGCCTCCCAAGTAGCTGGGACTACAGGTGCACCACCATGTCTGGCTATTTTTTGTATTTTTTTGGTGGAGATGGAGTTTTGCCATGTTGCCAGGCTGGTCTTGAAAATCTGGGCACAAATGATCCCTCTGCCTGGGCGTCCCAAAGTGCTGAGATTACAGGCGTGAGCCACCGTGTCCCGCTCCATTTCCAATTTCTGTTTTATAAGGGGTATGTATTAGTCTTCCTTTAACAACACAGAACACAAAACTTGAAACATTCACAGAGTATATTCTTGAATGGACTGTCATGTTGTATAAAAAGTCTGCCTGAGACTGTGTTATTTAGAGAAGATAGTCAAAGGGATCAGCAATTCAACTCTAAATTCTTCTCTTAGATTTAGTTAGGTGTACTTAGATCACAAGTGACTAGTCCATGCAATATCACCTTCTCTCTCTGAGGTCCTTTCTGAGGTTATATCCTCAGCTTTTGCTAAAGGATGTTATAAGAAATAGCTATTTGGAAATGAGTTTGTCATTTAGCACAAAGCTGTAATAAAGAGCATGGTGGAGTACATTGTTTATAAACATCCCAGATGAAAAATGTCTTTGGGAATTTATTCTTGCAAGAACTTTTTCTTCTAAGTAACATGTTTTCTACAACAAATATACATGGTAACTTCTCCCACTGCCCCCACACCCCACACCAAAATATACCTAAAAGGCTAAGAGAATGAATTCCAGAGACTGGTTCTATGGCTTATGTCCTAAAAAATGACTAGGTAAGTAATATGGTTTGGTTGTGTCCCCACCCAAATCTCATCTTGAATTATAGTTCCCATAATTCCCACATGTCATGGGAGGGACCAGTTGGAGATAACTGAATCATGGGGGCGCTTTCCCCCATCCTGTCCTTCTGATAGTGAGTTAGTTTCCATGAGATCTGATGGTTTTATAAGGGGCTTCCTCCTTCACTGAGCACTTATTTTCTCTTCTGCTTCCCTGTGAAGAGGTGCCTTCTGCCAATCATGGCAAGTTTCCTGGGGCCTCCCCCACCATGTGAAACTGTGTGTCAATCAAACCTCTTTCCTTTATAAATTACTAGTCTTGGTATTTCTTCACAGCAGTGTGAGAAAGGACTAATTCAGTAAGTCGTTTTTTTCTTTTTTTTTTACCCTTTATAAGACATAGTATCAACGTGTTTCTAATTGTGCTTGCTGTTTGAAGAGTAAATTGATCCTCGATCTTTAAAGAAATATGGCTTCTGGAAGTTTACTCCTCTCAGTTTCTAAAGATCAACTCGTATTACACTTCTATGTTAAATTATTGATATTTTCTACATTATACTGCCTCTATCTTTTTCTCTACTCACAATATTCCTCACCATAATTTTTGGGTGTTCTGACTCAGAAAGTTTGTTTCATATAGTGTCAAGTCAATATAGCAATGAGGACAATCATTCATAGCATTATATAAAATTAAAACCCTGGACTTAAAAGAAGATGTAAAAGTTATTTAAATCCAGTCACTTACAAGAATTCTATCTAAAATATCTATACACTGTAGGTGGGTGCCCACTGTATAGATTTTAACCACTCCTAAGACTGTTCAATCCAGTCTGTTATAAATCTGTATAACTACCCACAATTATAGTTATATCAATTTAGAATGAACATACAAATGTTACATGGCACTCTTAAATACCAAAAGCTAGTTATTTTCTATAGAAGGAAGCCAACAGATTAATAGACTTCCTTTTTTTTCCTCCTCAGAGACAGAAATTTGTGGATATAGATTTTCACTTGGGCTTCTGGGATCACCCTGGCCCCTCTTACATTTAGATCTCTTTGGGAAATATCTCACAGCAGATTTTATTTTTTATTCAAAATTTCTTAGTCTTTTAAATAATACTAAAAGTTCATAGCACCAAACTGATCCTATATATTAATCTAATAAATAAAATAACACATTTAAGTTTCATAAAACAAATAAAAACACTATTTTAAAAAATAAACTTTGTCATGCAAAGAAGGTGACTTTAAAGGGAACTATTGAAAGGATAACTATTTCCACTCTGAAATTAATAAATTACAAATATATCTAAGTACCTTTTATATTAATTGTCTTATTTTGTTTTCATATCTACATTTTTGTGTACACCATGATTTTCCTAGAATTTAGTACAATTTGCTCTGCATTCAATAAGTATGTAATACAGTATTATGCAACCTAGGATATGTGAAATGGAATATAATGAGATAATTCTGAATTTAGAATATTTCAAGTAGCAGTAGATTTTAAGCTAGAAAGCTAGATTTAGATTACCTTTAAATATAGTATTGCATATATTATCATCACTAGTGCTTCCACCAGAAATTTATCAACTACATTAGCTATGAAAAGGACTTGGCAAAAATACTGAGTGTGATGATCAAGGCGGAAGACCCAGGGAAGCAAAAACTGCTTCAATGATCCCAGGCCTTAGGGCACATGTCAAGTAGACCCTAAATCATACCCAAATCCCAATCAGGTGTTGCCAGTGGGGAGTGGAATCCTTATGTATGTCCAGGCCTTCTTTCATTGGCCAAGCTTTGTCCTTAAGACCAGTCTGTATGAATCTTCAATGAAGCTAGCTAGGATAAGGGACAAGGCTATAGCCTGGACTAAGTCAGGGACTTAGACATTAATCCTAGATGTATATATCAAACCCAATTTCTTGCTGTGCTTCATAATTTTAATATCTTGTGCCTCCTGGCTATATTATATTGGCACTTCAAATTCAGTATGTCTAAATTAATAAATAATTGTCACCACCCCTCTGCTTCCCTTTCAGTTGCTTGCTTTCATTACAAATGACTGCTAATTTCTGCATTTTGCCCACATAAGAAATCCTCTGTCTCACCTAAAACCTCACATCTGAGAGGTCACCAAATACCGTAATTTCTACCCTGTAAATATCTTCAGAATTTATATATTCTTTCTCTCTTTTTTGCTTCATACATCTAGTTATAGTTTTCATCATCTCGTTTCCTTACTGTATTTTGGCTTCAATTTTTGGCCACTTCTGTTAGCAAAGAGATCATTCTAAAATGCCTATTTTTCTGTACGAAATCCTACAGAGGTCTCTTATTTCCTAGTTAAAAAACTCACTAGGATAGCAACATTTTTCTGTTCCAGTCCCTGTTGGCTGTTTTTAAAAACAACAATCTCCCACTTTTTTTTCTACAAGCCTATCTGATATTTCTACAAGCCTATCTGATATTTTCTACTGTTTTTTTCTGAAGCCTATCTGATATTTCCAAGTCTCTATTCTTTCTCATACCTAGTTGTTTTTAGATATGCTATTACCTCTGCTGAGAAAGATCTTAATTCAAATCCTTGTTCCCTTATGATTCTATTCTCTGACCTTTAAGCTCCAATTCAAGTGTTACTTTTGGGTATCTGCTCTGACCATCCTCCATCTCCATCAATCTCCTGTACCCGCTAGGACTGCTGACACACACACACACACGCACACACACACACACACAAAATCAGGCATTTAGTCACTCTCCCTTTCATTTTTATTCCTTTAGCAAAGGCATTGTTAAATGTGCATTTATAAAAGTGTGTTTTCCTCACAACTTCAAATTCCTTAAAGGCTGAGATCAAGCCTTATTAATATTTATATCCTCAGGTCCTGGCACATAATGGGTTTTCAATTTCTTTTCCCAGCTTTCTTCCTCTCTAATAAATCCCGAGAAAGTACCTTTGTAAACACAGATCTGGTCATGTTATTCCATTACTCAAAAACCTCAATCAAGCCTTCATCCTAACAGATACATTCTAAAGTCTTTAGCATGACTTAGATCCTTCAATATTTGGTCCCAACATCATCTCCTGTTACTCTTAGCACATCTGACACAGTTTCCCAAACACAACCTCTGCTATCTACAACATATCTGTATTCATGCCACTCACATGGTCTAATTGATCTTTACGTGGTCAACATCTAGTAAGATGCTTAGCAAAAAGGACCACTAAACATTTGTTAAAAAAAAATAAATGAAAGATTGAACATATTAACTTGTGTCAGACTATGGTATTATACATGAGAACAATGAATAGCTATAACAATGTATTTCCACTTTCAAAGTGACAACTCACCACTTCCATGGAATTGAAATTTTGACAACACAGGAAATGCTACCATGGCAACCCAAAATAATGAGGGAAACAAAAATAAATCATGGATTGAGAAACATTTCTCCTGTTTGAGGCACCTGTGAGTTTTCCAGGTGATTCAGGACACTTGGTATAGTTTTAAGAGTTAAATTATCTGTTAGCCTAGAAAAATATTTCTTATCAGTGTCTTTTCCTGACATATTATAGGTAGAAGTAAATTCATATTTTGTTTATTGAGACAACATAGAAGCAAATTTCAGTGCACTCTAAATACAAACTATAACGTTACTCTTTAGGGTAACATCATTAGCAATGATATTGGATTAAGATTATTACTTTATTTTGTAATATCACATATTTCCATTTCATATGCCTAATACAAACAATTCACTACAGTGGATATTACTGTTACCCTCCAGCATCCACTCTCCTTTCATTCTTGTGAAAACACTCACTTCTCATTCATCACACTCAAACTTCATGCCTAATTTTTAAAGCAATGCACATATTACATTTCCCTAATGAAATGGATAGCTCAGGTTTGGGCACTTTCCCTTAGAAAGTATAATCACTGCACATTTCAGAATTTTTGCTTATATTACAGTTATTATTTCTGTGTCTTAGTGATACTCTGTAAACCTGTTTTCCAAGTTTAATGAGTACATTTATGAGAAATATGATGTCAGAGAAAGCAAAGGAATATCTCTCTAAATATTTTATATGGTATTAAAACTTTTGTTCACATTAATACTTCAGCAATCTGAAAATTGGCACCCTGCATTTGCTGTATTAAGACGGTCATCCAAAATTTGAAAAACCAATTTGTCAAATTATAAAAGCAAGCATATGGCAACGTTTACAAATATATGGAAACTAAATAACACACCCAAACAGTCAATCGCTGAATCAAAGAAGAATTCAAAGAGGATTTAAAGTATTCTGACTGATCTGTAAAAATGCTCTTATTGATTTCTAATTTTGTTTCACTGTGGTCATAAAAGATACTTGTTATGATTTTGGTCTTTAAATTGGTGAAGACTCATTTTGTGTCCTAAAATGTGATCTATCCTGGAGAAGTTTCATATGCATTTTGGAAGACTGTGTATTCTTCTATTGTTGGGTGAAAAATTCTGCATCTGTGTAAGTCCATTTGATCCATATTGTTGTTCAAGCTTGCTGTGTCTTTGTTGATTTTCTGTCTGGATATTCCATACATTATTGAAAGTGGGCTATTGAAGTCTCCTACTATTATTATAGTTCCCTATGTCTTCTGCTTACTTAGGATTGCTTTAAATATATAGATTTAATTGAGAATAACTGACCTTTTGACAATATAGAGTCTTTCTCTTCATGAACATGGGACATTTCTCCATTTACTTAGTTCTTTGATTTCATTCATCAGAATTTCATAGTTTTGAGAGAAAATATTCAGAAACTGTGTATCTGACAAGGGTAAAATATACAGTCTGAATAGTAGACCCTTAGAAATTTAAGCAATGTGAAAAGCAAAAAACAAATAGCCTCGTTAAAAATTGGGCAAAAGACATGAACAGACACTTCTCAAAAGAAGATGTACAAGTAGTCAAAAAACATGTGAAAAATGCTCAACATCACTAATAGAGAAATGCAAATTAAAACCACAATGAGATATCATCTCATACCATTCAGAATGCCTATTATTAAAAAGTTATATATATATATATATATATATATATATATATATATATATATATATATAGCAGATGCTGGCAAGGCTGTGGAGAAAAGAAACACTTATACACTGTTGGTGGGAATGTAAATTTGTTCAGCCATGGCAGCAAGCAACTTAGAGATTTCTCAAAGAACTTAAAACAGAACTATTACTTGACCCAGCCATCCCATTATTGGGTCTATATCCAAAGGAAAATAAATCATTCTACCAAAAAGGCACATGCACTCCTATGTTCATTGCAGCACTATTCACAATATTAAAGACATGGAATCAACCTACGTGCCCATCAGTGGTGGACTGGATAAAGAAAATGTGGTACAGGCTGGATACAGTGGCTCATACCTATAATCTCAGCATTTTGGGAGGCTGAGAAGGGAGGATTGATTTATCTTAGGGTTCAAGACCAGCTAGGGCAACATAGTGACATCCTGTCTCTACAATTTTTTTTAAACAAGCCAGGTGTGTTGGCATGCATCTGTGGTCCTAGCTACTCAGGAGTAGCTTCTCAGGAGGCTGACATGGGAATATTACTTCAGTCTGGGAGGTTGAGGCTGCATTTAGCCATGATTGTGCCACTACACTTCTGCCTGGGCAACAGTGCAAGGCCTTGTCTCAAAAACAAAAGAAAAAAAATAAAATGTGGTACGTATACATCATGGAATACTATACAGTAATAAAAAGAGTTAAATCGTGTTCTTTACAGCAACATAGATGCAGCTGGAGGCCATAATCCTAAGTGAATTAATGCAGGAACACAAAACCAAATACTGCATGTTCTCAATTATAAGTGGGAGCTAAAATCAGGTATACATGGACATAAAGTTGGGAAAAACAGACACTAGATACTACTAGATGGGGGAGAGACGGAGGAGGGTAAGAACTGAAAAACTAACTCTTGGGTACTATGCTCACTACCTGGGTAATGAGATCAATCATACCTCAAACCTCAGCATCATGCAATATACCATGCAACAAACCTGTACATATACCCACTGAATCTAAAATAAAAGTTGTAATTATCTTAAAAAATGAATTTAAGGATAAAGTAAAAAAAATTAAGAATTTCTGAGTTTTTGTCATATATTATTTTTTAGAACTCTCCAGAGAAACAGAATTGATTATATAGACACACACACACAGACACGCACACACAGATACATAATGTCTGTATGTGTGTGTATATATATATATTTTGATTACGTGTGTATGTATACATATACATATACACATACACATGTATATATATATATATGCGTGTACATACATATACATACACACATAACCAAGAAATATTATATATATGGAAAGAAATACCAGAAAATAGCTATTAGGAGAATAGGCTCAGTGAATTATGGAAGCTAAGAAGTCCCATGATAGGTTGTCCACTAGCTGGAGAACCAGAAGAGCTGGTAGGGCAACACAGTTAAGTTTGAAGGCCTCAGAACTAAGAAAGATGATGGTGTAACTCTCATTCTGAAGACAAAGGTCAGAAAACCTAGTGAGTAACTGATGCAGGTCCCAGAGTCCAAAGTTCAGAAAAGCTGGAGTCCTGATGTCCAAGGGTAGTAGAAGATTGTCCTGGCTTTGTCAGAGATAGAGTAAGAAGTAGCCCTTTCTTCACATTTTTGTTTCATCTGGACACCAGATGATTGGATTTTGTCTGCCCACACTGATGGAAGATCTCCCCCATTCAGTCTACCAACACATGCTAATCTTTTTCAGAAATTTTTTCAGAGATGCACCTGAGGAGGCTCAATCACTCTAATGAAAAGCAAAACCACATGAGTTTCCTCTCAGGGGCCATGGAATGGGTTCAGTGCCTATGGAAGAACTGAGGATAAATATTGCTTTACCAGCCAACTGAGTATCCCTTAATTCAGTCAAGTGGGTACCAAAAATCAACCATCACTTAGATCTTGTACATATTTTCTTAGATTCGTACCTAAACATTTCATTTTGGGGAGTGCAAATGTAAATGGTATCTTGTTTTAAATTTCAGATTTTACTTTTTCATTGCTGATATATAGAAAAGCAACTGACTTTTGTGTAGTGAACTTATCCTGAAACCTAATAACTAATAAACTAATAACTGCTTATAGTTCCAGTTTTTTTGTTGATTCTTTCAGATTGTTTACAATCATGTCATTTGTAAACAAAAGCAGTTTTATTTCTTCCTTCTCAATCCTCATCACTTTTTTTCCTTTCCTTATCTTATTTCATTCCAGTATGGCACTGAAAAGGAGTCATGAGGGGGGAACCATTGCTTTCTTCCTAACGTTACTGGGAAAACTTTGAGTTTCTCACTATTAAGTATAATATTAGCTGTAGGGATTTGTAGGTATTCTTTATTGAATTCAAGAAGTTTATATATATTCCTAGTTTAACTGAGGGTTTTTATGTTGTAATAATTTTGAGTATTGTCAAATGCTTTTTTCCGAAATTCCAAATATGATCATGTAATCTGCAATTTTCAAGATGATCCATTAAGACCAAATGGACTTAGACAGCTACTAAACTTTTCACTCAACAACAGAAGAATACACATTCTTCTCAAGCACACATGAAACTTCTCCAGGATAGATTATATATTAGATCATAAAATAATTTTTCTGAAACAGAGTCTTGCTCTGTTACCCAGGTTGAAGTGCAGTGGCATGATCTCAGCCCACTGCAACCGGTCCCTTGTGGGGTCAAGCCATCCTCTTGCCTCAACTCCCTGAGTAGCTGGGAGTACAAGTGTGTACCATCATGCCCAGCTAATTTTTGTAATTTTTGTAGAGGCAGTGTTTCTGCATGTTGTCCAGGCTGGTATCAAACTCTTGAGCTCAAGTGATCTGCCTACCTCATCCTCCCAAAGTGCTGGGATTACAGGCATGAATCACCATGCTTGGGTACAAAATGGATCTTAACTAATTTAAAGAAGATAAAAATCATACCCCATGTCTTTTTTTACTACAGTGAAACAAAATTAGAAATCAATAGCAGCAACAAAACATCAATTAATGTAATCCATCATTGCATTTATAACACACATACACACACACACACAAACAAATATTTTTTTGTGTTAATTTGTTGGAATACTGTATTAGTCCACTCTCACAATGGTATAAAGAACTTCCCTGAGGGTGAGTAATTTATAAAGCAAAGAGTTTTAATTGACTCACAGTTCTGCATGGCTGGGGAGGCCTCAGGAAACATAGTTATGGCAGAAGGGGAAGCAGGCACATTTTTCACAAGGTGGCAGGAGAGCAAAGAGCAGGGGAAACCACCACTTACAAAATCACTGGATCTTGTGAGAACTCACTCACTATCAAGAGAACAGCATGGGGGAATCGCCCCCATAATCCTATCACCTCCCTCCCTCACCAGGTGGGAATTAAAAATTAAGATGAGATTTGGGAGAGGACACAGAGCCAAATCATATCACTCCCCAAATATCATGTCCTTTCACATTTCAAAACAAATAATGCCTTCCCAACAGTCCCCCAAAGTCTTAACTCATTTCAGCATTAAGTCAAAAGTCCATAGTCTAAATACTCATTTGGGACAAAGTAATCAAAAGTAAGTTAGTTACTTCCTAGATACAATGGGGGTACAGGAATTGGCTAAATGCTCCCTTCCAAATGGGAGAAATTGGCCCAAAAAAGCAGCTACAGGCCCCATGAAAGTTCAAAATTCAGTGGGGCGGTCATTAAATCTTAATGCTCCAAAATGATCTCCTTTGACTCCATGTTTCACATTCAGGGCATGCTGATGCAAGGGGTGGACTCCCACCACCTTGGCCAGCTCCCTCATGGCCTGGCACTGAATGCAGCTTTTTTAGGTGCACAGTGCAAGCTGTCAGTAGATCTACTACTTTGGGGTCTAGAGGATGGTGGCCCTCTTCTCACAGCTCCACTAAACAGTGCCCCAGTGGGGACTCTCTATAGGTTCCAACCCCACATTTCCTTTCCTCACTGCCCCAGCAAAGGTTCTTTATGAGGGCTCTGCCCCTGCAGCAGATTTCTGCCTGGACATCCAGGCATTTCCATACACCCACTGAAATCTATGTGGAGGTTCCCTAACCTCAATTCTTTACTTCTGTGCACCCACAGGCCCAACTCCACATGGAAAATGCCAAGGCTTGGGGCTTGCACCCTCTGTAGCAATGGCCTGAGCTGTACATTGGCCCCTTTTAGCCACAGCTGGGACACAGGGTGCCTAGTCCTGGGGCTTCACAGAGCAGCAGCGGGGCTCTGGGACCAGCCCAAGAAACCATATTATTCTCCTAGCCTCTGGGCCTGTGATGGAAAGTGTTGCAGTGAAATTCCCTGACGTGCCCTGGAGACATTTTCCCCATTGTCTTGGTTATTAACATTCAGCTCCCGGTTACCTATAAAATTTTTGAGCAGGCTTGAATTTCTCCCCAGAAAATGGGTTTTTCTTTTCTGTTACATTGTCAAATTGCAAATTTTCCAAACTTTAATGCTCTGCTTCCCTTTTAAACATAAGTTCTAATTTCAGATCATCTCTCTCAAGTTCAGAGTTCCACAAGTCTCTAGAGCAGGGGTAAATTGCTGCTAGTCTCTTTGTTAAGCATAACAAAAGTGACATTTGCTCCAGTTCCCAATGTGTTCCTCATCTCCACCTAAGAATATCTCAGCCTGTACTTCATTGCCCATATCACTCTCAGCATTTTTATTAACACCATTCAACAAGTCTTCAGGAAATTTGAAACTTTCCCACATGTTCCTATCTTCTTCTGAGCCCTCCAAACTGTTCCAGTATCTGCCTGTTACCCAGTTCCAAAGTCGCTTTCACATTTTCAGGTATCTTTATAGCAGTGCTGTACTCTCTGTGGTACCAATTTACTGTATCAGATTGTTTTCACACTGCTATAAAGAACTTCCCTGAGACTGAGTAATTTGTAAAGGAAAGAGGTTTAATTGACTCTCAGTTCCATATGGCTGAGGATGCCTCAGGGAACTTACAATCATGGTGGAAGGGAAGCAGACACCTTCTTCACAAGGTGGCAGGAGAGCGAAGAGCAGGAGAAACTGCCACTAATAGAACAATCAGATCTCGTGAGAACTCACTACCAGGAGAACAGCATGGTGGAACTGCCCCCATGATCCAATCATCTCCCTCCCTAGACATGTGGGGATTACAGGTCCCTCCTTTTACACATGGGGATTAAAATTTGAGATGAGACGTGGGTGCGGACACAGAGCCAAACCCTATAAATTACATTGATTTTTGAATGTTGACCCAGGCTTGCATATCTGGGATAAATCTAACTTGGTTATGGAACAGAATTCTTTTAGTATATTGTTGGATTTGATTTGCTAATACAGTAGTCCCCTCATATTCTCAGGGGAATATGTCCCATGACTCCCAGTGGATGCTTAAAATTGCTGATAGTATCAAACCCTGTGCATACTATGTATTTTCCTATGTACTTACCTGTGATAAATTTTAATTTATAAATTAAGTACACTAAGATTAATAATGATAATGAATAATAAAACAGAACAATTATAACAATATGCCAGCATCATTACTTTTGTGCTTTGGGATCATTATTAAGTAAAATGAGAGTTACTTGAACGCAAGTAATACAATTCTGTGACAGTTGATCTGATGACAGAGATGGCTAGTAAGTGGCCCACAGGCAAGTAGCATATACAGGGTGGATACACTGAAGAGAGGGATAATTCACATCCTAGGCAGAGTGGAACGGAACAATACAGGAGTTCATCACGCTGCTCAAAACAGCGTGCAATTTAAGACTGATGAATTGTTTATCTCTGAAGTTTTCCATTTAATATTTTCAGACCACTGTCAACTGTAAGTAATCAAAGATACAGAAAGTGAAACTACAGATAAGGGGGACTACTGTATTTTGTTGGGGATTTTTCATTTGTGTTCATGAGAAATACTCTATTTTTTACACATATGATCCCGAATATATTAAAAAATCGCTAAAGAGGCTTAAGAGCATAGCTGAGTTTTCCTTTCATAAATCAACAGGACAAGAATATAAGTTATTGAAGAAATCTCCCAATCTTTCTTTCAAATACAAATGAACATGTGTTCCCATTGAAAGAACAAACTAATATTAAATCTTTGGAAGTTATACTAACTTTTAAAAAATATCATTATTATCTGGGAATTCAAACTGTTCCTACTAATCTCTTTCTTTTACATTTAGATTTTGTTTCTAGTTTTTGACTCCTGAAGGTCAGTATGATATCTTAAAGGCTGGGTGATTTTAGGGTAAGGGATTTTGTTTTAAATAATTCCTATAGTGTCACCTTTTAGTCCTCAACCTGGATTCTGGCATCACTCAATTCACATCCAACTTCTTCCTTAGATGCTACTATTCCTGTTGCTGTTTCCACAATTCCTAGATCATATTTTGCCCTAATTCCTGGCATCAGTTGCCTTTTGGATATTACCTCCTGACTCTTCCCAGAGACCAGGGGTGGAAGATTTTTTTTAATGAGTTCTTGCATGGAACAATTCTGGCTCTATATTCTCTTGTCCCATGACGTTTATTCCTAACACGACCTGATGCCTGAGCATTTTATGATTTAATAAGAATTTATGGCAGCATAAGAGTGAATGAAATACACTCAAAATGCAGCATGTAGTGTGAACAGATAAGAAAACAGAAATGGATACTAAAAGGACATCAAGATCTAAAGTTCAGAGAGATAAGGAACCACCAGAAAAAATCTCAGAAAAGTAGGTGGGAAACCAGCTTAATGACATATGAATTAAATTAGGAGAGACTTTCAAGATGTAAAACAAATTAAACCATGCAAGGTAATCCAGAAACCTAAAGAGTATGAAGAATAAATTTAACACTCGGATTTTGGCAATTAAGAGATTCTTTTTTTTTTTAATTATACTTTAAGTTTTAGGGTACATGTGCACAACGTGCAGGTTAGTTACATATGTATACATGTGCCATGTTGGTGTGCTGCACCCATTAAGTCGTCATTTAGCATTAGGTATATCTCCTAATGCTATCCCTCCCCCCTCCCCCCACCCCACAACAGTCCCTGGTGTGTGATGTTCCCCTTCCTGTGTCCATGTGTTCTCTCTTGTTAACCTTTGAGTTAGTGGCTCTGAATAGCAATGGAGCATACATAGTGATAAGTAGTGGACTCTGAAATCGGACTGCTTGAATTCACCAGCTTTACAACTTACTAGTTACGTGACCTTGGGCAAATCACTTAAATTCTATGATCCTTAGTTACTTTATCTGCAAAATGGGTATCATAAGAGTAATTTTCTCATATGGTTGTGATTTTAAATGAGTTATTATATCTAAAGAACTCAGAATAGTATCTGGCACATAACTATGTAAATGGTCTTGAATATGCACCACCCAGATTTTCTTTCAAAGAAAGACTTACTATCTGAGTTTCTAGAAGAGTTGTCAATAAATACCTTTCAGTTGTCATATTCTTTTGGGGTTACCTTAGGCGGAGACTCACCACACCCAAAGTCATGCTCTTTCCAAGAGAGCATACATCCAATAAGTGATTAAGAGACAACAAATAGGTCCAACTATTTCAGTGCAGCCAGCACAGAAGATCTGTGATGGGATAACTCCAAAGTTTCTATCAGGCTGATCAAGCCTTTTTTTCTTAGGCAAGCATGGTGATTCTAAGCCTTTTCCATTTCTAATAAACATCTTACACACTGAAGTTTTCCCAACAGTGTTTCTCAGTGAACTCAAATTGTGACATAAGTGTAGTTTGCTTTTATATTTTTAGTTGGATATATGGGTGAATCAGATGGCAGTAGTAGCATTAGATTTTTTTCTGAATGCTTTATTTACTGACTGTGTTATTAAAACCATATTAGTATTAATCCTAAATGAAGTTTTAAAGTTTATTCTCCTATTTATTATCATAGTAACTTCCAAAGAATTTGCACAGAAACATAACCTATTTTTTCATGATAAACTAAACTCTTAAAAGCTAGTTTCTATAAAGAGAAATAGCCATTAAAAATCACTGTTGACTTTTAGGTAGCAGAAAGTAAATTACAAATAGTATAAGTAGTCATCTTCTCTATGAAATACCCAACATACTATATGTGGGTATTTGTGTGCTAAAAATGATTATTTTGCCAAATTAAAATAACAGATCAAAATGTTAGGCACAAATTGATATTATGCTCATTAAAATGAACATAACATTAAAAAAAACCCTGGAATTCACAAAACCCATAGAAACAAGAAACATACCAAACAATTTAAGGTTTCTATAATGATAGGTATGGGGGTTTTGATCCAAGAGATCTACAACATAATGAACAAATTATAACAAATCTATAGAGACTGAGCTTTTATTTTTAGCTCCTGAATAACGAGATCTGACATAAAAATATCTCTCTGTTCCTCCAACCCACTTTCAAGGACCTCATTTTTTTCATCTTTTGACTTCTAACTGCATTTTTTAAATGTCTGAGTTCAAATGGTTGTGAGAACTTCATATGACTAAGTTATGTGTGAAGGAAAATAAAGCACCAGAATGTGAGTGGGGGATTATTTAGTGGTTAGCTTTCCATCAGTTCTCCTTCTGAGAAGGACTCATGAAATTGTCAATGGCTTTAGAGGACAGCATAATTTAAGTGAAGCATAAGGAAGATTTTCCTCATTGGCAATGGTTGTTAAAAACTGAAATGAGTTTTCAAAAAAGAGATTGTAGAACAGATAAGAAAGGGATATCTTTAAATATAGTCTAGATTAAGGCCGGGGGCGGTGGATCATGCCTGTAATCCCAGCACATTGGGAGGCCGAGGCAGGCAGATCACCTGAGGTCAGGAGTTCGAGAACAAGCCTGCCCAACATGGTGAAACCCCATCTCTACTAAAAATACAAAAATTAGTCGGGTGTCGTGGTGGACGCCTGTAATCCCAGCCACTTGGGAAGCTGAGGCAGGAAAATCGCTTGAACCCAGGATATGGAGGTTGCAGTGAGCTGAGATTGTGCCACTGTACTCCAGCCTGGGCAACAAGAGCAAAACTCTATATCCAAAATATATATATACATATATATATATGTATATATATATATGTGTGTGTATATATATGTGTGTGTATATATATGTGTGTGTATATATATGTATATATATTATATAGTCTAGATATTACAAAATATTGGCTGAACAATAGTTCTGCCTAAAGAAAAATATGTGTGTGTGTGTGTGTGTGTGTGTGTGTGTGTGTGTGTGTGTGTGTGTATTGGGGGATTTCAAGTAAGAATCTTTCAATTTCAATTGAATCTATAATATGACTTGATATGGAAGCTTCCTTGAAAAACATCATCAATAACACAATAAACATCGATTAAGACCACTAACTCAAAATTGTCCTATTAAAAATATATCACTATATCTAAAATATTATTTTAAATATACCTAATGCATTTTATTTTGAATAGCTGAAACTTACTCTCAATTTGGTTGTTATGTAAATGAAAACAATGCTTTCCTAAGTAATGCTTATTACTTTAAAAATTCTAATTTTTCAGAGACTTAAAAGACATATTTCTCCCCAAGTTCTTATTCACAATGGATTTCAGCCTTAGATAACGTTTCTCTTAGAACAGAGATGGGATGAAAAGTGAGCCAAAATATTAATGTAAAAATAATAAATCATCTGGCTCAGTTTTCTTTTCTTTTTTTCTTTTTTTGAGATGGAGTTTCACTGTGGAGTGAAATGACACGATCTCGGTTCACTGGAACCTCCACCTCCTGGGTTGAAGCAATTCTCCTGCCTCAGCCTCCAGAGTAGCTGGGACTACAGGCATGCGCCACCACACCTGGCTAATTTTTGTATTTTTAGTAGAGATGTGGTTTCGCCACGTTGGTCAGACCGGTCTCAAACTCCGGACGTAAGGCAATCCACCCACCTAAGCTTCCCAAAGTGCTGGGATTACAGGCATGAGCCACTGCGCGTGGCCTAGCTTTCCAGGTTCCACAGAGATCATAGTGGAAATGACTGTTTTTAAAACTTTTATTTTAGGTTTGGGGGTACATGTGAAGGTTTGTTACACAGGTAAACTTATGTCATGGGGGGTTGTTGTACAGATTATTTCCTCACCCAGGAATTAAGCTCAGTACCCAATAGTTATCTTTTCTGCTCCTCTCCCTCCTCCCACCCTCCACTCCCAGGTAGACTCCAGTTTCCTTCTTTGTGTTCATAAGTTCTCATCATTTAGCTCCCACTACTTATAAGTGACAACATACGGTATTTGGTTTTCTGTTCGTGCATTAGTTTGCTATGGATAATGGCCTCTAGCTTCATCCATGTTCCCACAAAAAATAACATGATCTCATTCCTTTTTATGACCACATTGGGTTCCATGGTATATATATACCACATTTTCTTTATCCAGTCTCTCATAGTTGAGCATTTAGATTGATTCTATGTCTTCATTATTGTGAATAGTGCTATAATAAACATTCCTGTGCATGTGTCTTTATGGTAGAATGATACTGGATATTAGGCCTTTGTCAGATGCATAGTTTGCAAATATTTTCTCCCATTCTTCATGTTGTTTGCTTACTCTGTTGATAGTTCCTTTTGCTGTGCAGAAGCTCTAAAGTTAATTATATCCCACCTGTCAATGTTTGTTTTTGTTGTGATTGCTTTTGTGGGCTTTGTCATGAAATATTTGCCCGTTCCTATGTCCAGGATGGTATTGCCTAGGTTGTCTTCCAGGGTGTTTATAGTTTGGGGTTTTACATTTAAATTTTTAATCAATCTTGAGTTGATTTTTGTATACAGTGTAAGGAAAGGGTCCAGCTTTAGTCTTCTGCATATTGCTAACCAGCTATGCCAGCACCACTTACTGAATAAGGAGTCTTTCCCCCACTGCTTGTTTTTGCCAGCTTTATCAAATATCAGATGGTCATAGGTGTATAGCGTTATTTCTGGTATCTCTATTCTGTTCCATTGGTTTATGTGCATGTTTTTGTACTAGTACCATGTTGTTTTGGTTACTGTCACCCTGTACTATAGTTCAAAGTCAAATAAGGTGATGCCTTCAGCTTTGCTCTTTTTGCTGAGGATTGCTTTGGCTATTTGGGCACTTTTTTGAGTTGTAATAGTTTTTTTCTAGTTCTGTGAAGAATGTCATTGGTAGTTTTATAGGAATAGCATTGAGCCTGTAAATTGCTTGGGGAAGTATGGTCATTTTAGTGATATTAATGCTGCCTATCCATGAGCATGGGATGGTTTTCATTTTTTTTTTTTTTTTTTGGTCTTCTCTGATTTCTTTAAGTAACGTTTTGTAATTCTCACTGTAGAAATAGTTCACCTCCCTGGTTACCTCTATTTCTATGTATTTTATCCTTTTGTGGCCACTGTGAATGGGACTGCCTTTCTTATTTGGCTCTTGGATTGGCTGTTGGGTTATAAGAATGCTAGAGATTTTTGTAGATTGATTTTGTATCCTGAAACCTTGCTGAAGTTGTTTCTCAGCTGAAGAAGCTTTAGGAACAAGACTATGGGGTTTTCTAGATACAGAATTATGTTGTCTGCAAATAGAGATAGATTTACTTTCTTTCTTCTTATCTGGATGCACTTTCTTTCTTTCTCTTGCCTTAATGTTCTGGCCAGGACTTCCAATATTATGTTGAATATGAGTGGTGAGAAAAGACATAATAGTCTTGTGCCATTTTTCAAGAGGAACAAGTCCAGCCTTTGCTCACTGAGTATAACGTTGGCTGTGGGTTTGTCATAAATACGACTTATTATTTTGAGGTATGTTCCTTCAATACCTAGTTGAGAGTTTTTAACTGAAGGGGTGTGAAATTTTATCAAAAGATCCTTCTGTGTCTATTGAGATAATTATGTGGTTTTCGTCTTTAGTTCTGTTTATGTGGTGAATCGCATTTATTTATCTACATGTGTTAAACCAACCTTGCATCCTGGGGATAAAGCCTACTTGCTCATGGTGGATAAGCTTTTTGATGTGTTGCTGGATTTGGTTTGCAAGTATTTTGTTGAGGATTTTTGCATCAATGTTCATCAAGGATATTGGCCTGAAGTTTTCTTTGTGTGTATGTGTGTGTCTCTGCCAGGTTTTGGTATCAGAATGATGCTGGCTTCACAGAAGGATTTGGGGAGGATTCTTTCCTTATCAACTTTTATGAATAGTTTCTGTAGGAATGGTACCAGCTCTTCTTTGTACATCTGGTAGAATTCTTCTGTGAATCCATCAGGACTTCGGCTTTTTTTTTTTTTTTTTTTTTTGGTTGGTAGGCTATTTATTACTCATTTAATTTCAGAGCTTGTTATTGGTCTGTTCAGGGAATCGATTTCTTTCTGGTTCAGTCTGGGGAGGGTATATGTGTCCAGAAATTTATCCTCTCTTCTAGACTTTTTAGTTTACATGTATAGAGGTGTTCATAGTAGATTCTAATGGTTGCTCGTATTTCTGTGGGGTCAGTGGTAACATTTCCTTCATCATTTGTAATTGTGTTCATTTGGAGCTTTTCTCTTTTTTTCTTTATTAGTCTAGCTAGTGGCCTATATATCTTATTAATTTTTTCAAAAAAAAAAACAGCTCCTGGATTCATTGATCATTTGAATAGGTTTCCCTGTCTCAATTTCCTTCAGTTCAGTTCTGATGTTAGTTATTTCTGGTCTTCTGCTATCTTTGATTTGCTCTTGCTTATCTTATTCTTTCAGTTGTAATGTTAGGTTAATTTGAGATCTTTCTAATTTTTTGATGTGGGCATTTAGGGCTGTGAATTCCTCTCTTAATACTGCCTTTGCTGTGTTCTAGAGATTCTGGTATGTTGTATCTCTGTTCTCATTATTTTCAAATATCTTCTTGATTTCAGCTTAAATTTTATTCAGAAGCACGTTGTTTAATTTCCATGTAATTGCATGGTTTTGAGTGACTTTCTTTTTTTTTTTTTTTTTTTTTTTTTTTTTTTTTTTTTTTTTGAGACGGAGTCTCGCTCTGTCGCCCAGGCTGGAGTGCAGTGGCGCGATCTCGGCTCACTGCAAGCTCCGCCTCCCGGGTTCACGCCATTCTCCTGCCTCAGCCTCCCGAGTAGCTGGGACTACAGGCGCCCGCTACCACGCCCGGCTAATTTTTTGTATTTTTAGTAGAGACGGGGTTTCACCGTGTTAGCCAGGATGGTCTCGATCTCCTGACCTCGTGATCCACCCGCCTCGGCCTCCCAAAGTGCTGGGATTACAGGCGTGGGCCACCGCGCCCGGCCTTGAGTGACTTTCTTAGTTGTGACTTCTATTTTTATCGGACTGAGATTCAAAAGTGTGTTTGTTATGATTCTGGTTCCTTTGTGTTTGCTGAAGATTGATTTATGTTCAATTATGTGGTCGATTTTAGAGTATGTGCCATGCAACAAAGAGAATGTATAATCTGGCTTTTTGGATTGAAGAATTCTGTAGAGATCTATCAAATCCATTTGGTCCAATGTTGAGTTCAGGTCCAGAATATCTTTGTTAATTTTCTGCCTTGAAGACCTGCCTAATGCTGTAAGTAGAGTTTTGAAGTCTTCCACTATTATTGTGTGAGATCCTATGTCTCTTTGAAGGTCTCCAAGTGCTTGCTATATAAATATGGGTGCTTCTGTGTTAGGTGCATATATATTTAGGATAGTTAGATGTTCTTGTTGAACTGAACTGTTTACCATTATGTAATGCCATCTTGATCTTTTGTGATCTTTGTTGGTTTGAAATCTGTTTTGTCTGAAATTAGTACTGGAATCCCTGCTTCTTTATGTTTTCTATTTGCTTGGTACATTTACCTTCATCCCTTTATTTTGTTATTACATGTGAGATGGATCTCTTGATGACAGCATACCATTGGGTCTTGCTTTTTCATACAGTTTGCCACCCTGGTCCTTTTCAGTAGGACATTTACCACAATTACATTCAATGTTAGTATTGATATTAGTGGATTCGATCCTGTCATTGTATTTCTAGTTGGTTATTATGCTGGCTTGTTTGTGTGGTTGCGTTACAGTGACACTGGGCTTTGTGTTTAAGTGTGTTTTTGTATTAGCTCGTAGAGGTCTTTCCTTTCTATATTTAGTGCACCTTTCTAGATCTCTTGTAAGGAAGGTCTGGTAGTCACTCATTTTATGAAATCTTGAGCCCAAATCCTCCATCATCTGTACACTGCTTAACATGAAAAGGAGCAAAATTTGAGTTAAACAATTTGAACCAGTCCAGCTACAAAATGGTAAATGAAAACAGAGAGTGGGGGTGTGGAGTTTTTGCTTTATACTACAGAGTTTCTAACACAAGAAGGCAGCAATTCCCCAGTGCAACACCAAACTGCTTCCCACTGTTCCCCAAAGCACAGTGATTTAATAATAATAGTCAAAGTTCTAAGAAAGTTTCAAGGAAAATAAGGACAGAACCCCTGTAGCCCTGTGCAGGGCCTACCATTGAGGAATCAAGTTGTTAAGAACCTGTGATTGGCTAAATCTCTTGGGGAGAGCACCTTCATAGAATCTCCAGCACCAGACCTCAGTTTTTCCATTTGTAAAAGAGAGTATTGGAGAGAGTGGGAGATCCAGTAGACTTCCAGATCAAAGTTATTGTGCTCCTGGTTGTACTCCAGCACATTCTGCTTGATCCTAGATGAGTTGACCCATGTTACAAAGTCCTCCATTCTGCACATGACAAGGAAGGTAGGGTGGGTAACCATGTCAGGGCCCATGCACATATGGCCTTGCTCCACAAAGGCCACAGCAGCCTGAAGGTGCTTCATGATGTGCAGCTTGAGTAGCATAGTAGACAGGTGGTGGTGGCAGAAGAATGAGGCCATAATTAAGTGACAGAGCTTGACTGAGCCACGTGTAGGCACCAGGCTGAGAGCATACAGCTTGTCTAGCAGTGCAGCTGAAACACACATGCAGAATGGGTCACGCTCAGGCAGGTCTTACAGGCATGCCATGCTCTCTTACACACGGTATGGCTCAGCTGATTGTAGCACCTGTTGTCCTCCCACTGCTTCAACTGGTAATGCCACTGTATGCACAGCTCATGCAGGTTGTGATCAGTGACCTCCCAATTCAGGAAGTCCACCTGCTTCAGCAGGTTCTGCACATGGAATTTAAGCTTCCGCACCATGATGGTGGCAGCCGGAATGGCAGGACCAAAATGACTTTTAAACCAAGTTTATGATTGCCATACCCTTGCCCCAGGATCTGTGTTCTGTGGGGAGGGTTGGAGAACACTTTGAGAAGCATATGCTGCACTGTTCTCAAAATCACTGACTGTAGCCCATTCTCCTCAAAACAAATTTCTCTCTGTGAGAGTGTTTGCCTTTCTTGTAAGTTTACCAAACATATAAGATAGACCTCAGCAACCCCAGAAATGTTCTAGTTATATACTTTATGAAATCATTATTGGTTTGCTAAGACATAAGTATAAAAAATAATTAATAAAAATCAAAACAATTTGATTAATATTGCCATAATTCTAAAACACGGTGAATGTTGTATAACAGATACTTAATCTGATAAATCTTCTCTTCTTTGAAGTTTCTTCTAAAATCAACAAGATTTTAATTATTTTTTCAATCATTTATTTGCAGGGATATCCTTATTTGATTATTATTCCTCACAGATGGAAAACTATCTTTCTTTTTTTTTTTCTTGAGATGGAGTTTTGCTCTTGTTGCCCAGGCTGGAGTGCAATAGCACAACCTTGGTTCACTGCAACTGCTTCCTTCTGGGTTCAAGTGATTCTCCTGTCTCAGCCTCCTGAGTTGCTGGGATTACAGGCGCCCGCCACTATGCCCAGTTAATTTTTGGTATTTTTAGTAGAGACGGATTTCACCATGTTGGCCAGCCTGGTCTCGAACTCCTCACCTCAGGTGATCCACCCACCTCAGCTTCCCAAAGTGCTGGGATTACAGGCGTGAGCCACCACGCCCAGGCAAAAACTATCTTCTAAACCCAATATTCATGGCTGTCTTTACTTTGACACCTAGTGTAGGTTGGTCCAATTTATTCATTTGTTTCATGCAATTTTACTTAATTTCTATGAAGTACCAGGTAATTTGCTAGTTCTAAAGCTATAGAGCGATAACTAGAGCTATAACTCGGTTCTCTTTCAAACAACCAAGGTCTAGCATGTGGGGCAGATACATCAATAGACAATAATGCAACCATAAGATAAAATGTAAGCACAGGTGGCTAAGCAAACAATAATAATAATAATAAAATGGAAACAAAGCTAGGGCCTTAGAAAGTCTCAAAAAGTAAATAAATCCTGATCTGAATTGTGATGATATGAGAAATTAATCAGGAATAATATAAGTAGGCTGGATTGGATGGCGTGGTTCAGGGAAACAAGCACCAGATCTCTCAGGCAAGAGGTGAGGGATATGCTGAATCTTGCCATAAACAAGCATCAGAGTTTTTCTCTGGGAACCACAGGTAATTAACTATTGATGTAACTCAGTGCAAAGTGCATGGAGTTGACAGATGATGCTGGAGATGCAGGTAAAGAAAAATCTTGCTTTGGACTTCATGATTTAGGCAATAGGAAATAAAAGGATTTTAGGTGAGGATGTGATATAACCAGATTAAGTGTGACAAATGGTTTGGAAGGGTCAAAGCTGGTGGAAGGATTATTCCACTTATCAATTGTAAGAGGTCACACGATTGTGTAACTTTTCTGAGCCTCAGCTTTCTCATGTGATCACGCACACATACAAAGATATTATTAGCTTCATTTCAAAGTTGTTGCAAGAGTAGAGGATGTGTCTATAAAGCAGCTAGTACAGTGACAGGAATCTATTAGATAATTATTAAGTGGATTCTTTTTTACAAGCTCCAGCCTCTGGAATATTAGTCTCCATTTCTACAAGGAAGATGATTTTTCCTTATAACATAATATATATTTTTTTCTCTTTCTTATAACAACTCACTCTTTCAGATGAATACAAGAATGGGGAGGTAGCTCTCCTGCTGAGAATGAACACATAGAGTTATGTGCTTAGAAAAGGAAACATGTCATTTCAAAATAGCTATTTCAAAGACATATCATACATTGATACATTGCATGCATTTTGCAGCTTAAACTAAAAATCCAGGCACAAATCATGATTCAGGAAACTCCAATTCTGCTATTTTGCCATACAATCACGAAGGCGAGGTGTCTGCTAAAGCCTTCCTTGTGAAGAATGGTTCCTAGCACCAAGCAAATCTAAATATATTTTTACAGGTGGATAGATTGTTAGTTTCCAAGTCAGCTTGTCATGGTGAGTGATATTTATGTGTGAAGATCAGCCAAAAAGTTGTTCACATTACCAGTTTCTCTTTCTTGGCTATAATTTTCATCAAAGTCAATGAACCAGATAAATAAAAATGTGGGTATGTTTGCATATGTGCACATTGTGTATGCTTTTCTCCTATATCCTGTCCTCCAGTTGGTTTATCTCCCCCAAATTCATGATGAATACCTCAAGGACAGAAAATGCTTCCTGGTAAACATTTTTTTGCTTGATTCCAAATTAGGCTTTGAAAGAGAGAAGAACATTTTCAAATGCTTTCAGAAAAGTAAGATCCTATGTTGCAGATTTAATATTTTTCAAAGTTATGCCTAAGGAAATGCTCAGAAAATTAGCAACTGGACAGACTGGTTGAAATTGTCTCCCTTGTGGAATACAGCATTAACTTCAGAGAAATTTGACTCTGTGATTGAATGGAAATTATGCAGTGTAGTGACTCGTAGTCATGGGTTAAAATAATTTGTAAGGCTTAATTAATTGCTACAACAACTGATAGCCCTGTCAAATTGGCAAGTAAGTTCATTGATCTTAAAATTCAGCTGAGCTCAAGAGAAAGACTGACAAAATAATTTGTAGACTGTAAAAGAGACAGCTAGAGATAATGCGTATGAAGGTGGAGTAGAGGATATACCACCAGGAGAGATAAAACAGGGATGGTATTTTCAAGGAAATATTATGCTTACATAGCTCCAGAGACAAGACCCCAGGAACCAAATTATCTATCCTTCTTGTGTATTGTACATAAGGGATTTCTTGTACTTTTAATGATCTACATTTCAGTTTACACTGAGCACATAATAAATGGATCAGATTGTGTGCGAAGTTCATTTCATCTCCAGTTTTGAAAGCAAAAATATCCTGACATTTGGTTATTAAAAGAAGAATAAGTGCCTTCTTTTATATGAACTTCCAACTCTCAGATTCCACGTAATCCTCCCAAGGATGAAATGAATCTGATGCATTCCTCTCTTTTATGTTAAGAACAAATTAGTATGCTTTGCCCTGTAGTTTAGAGATCTTTTATAAACTGAAGACTCCCTGTTACCCAAAGTAGCAGGATACCCCTCATCAATGTTCACTCACTGATGGAATGAATAAGAAATGAAAACAATGGACAATTTCTCCACTTTTCCCAAGATTTATAAATGAGAAAATCCAATCCCTGAACATAGTAACTGAATTGCAGTACAGAATTTCTTATCACTTAAGCTCTTCCTATAATCAGCAGCAATCTTGATGTCCATTGTATTGTGCACACAGAGGGCAAAATAATCATATTAGCCATGTCACAATGTAATCTTGCAAACAGTCATGGAGTATGTAAATAATAATGAAAACAATAATTAGAAAGAAGAGGCACAGTATTGACATTTAGTGCAGCAGTTCCAGAAACAAGAGTCTGGATAAAACTTAGATACTTGGTATCAGACACCTTTTATGTTGCACATCAGACCACCTCAGCCTCACTGGTCTCCTGTCTCTGGAACCTCTGGTAACTTTCTATATCCCAGCCCTTGGCTACTGTGATTAACTCTGTTTGAGTTCCTCCCTCAGCTCGAGTCTACCCTGATAAAAAGTCATGTCTATGGACTTTCAGAAGATAATTATGCAAAACTGAGCAAGCAGTCTCACTTAACTCTAGTAATTGATCCTTAAAGTGACTTTTCTCCTTCCCTGCCTCATTATTTTTTACCTTCTGCTCTCTGGAATTACCCTCCCTTGTAAACTGGTAGTCTATAAGGCTTTGCCTTTGTTAAATAAAATCTATGGGAGGCTTTTTTTCTGGACTGAGCTCCTGCACTAGACCCCAACATACCAAACCAAAGTGGAGTCACTAATGCGAAGGTTTCACATCACCAAACCTAAGCATAAGCTGTTGACTTGTAAGATCTGACCTTCCAAAAATCAGGACAGAGATTATAGCCAAGGCTATAATATATATAGCCAGATCAGTTTTCTGGAAAACAAACAAGCAAAGAAACAAATAACAACAACAACAACAAATACAGGAGATTCACAGCAACCAAACAAAAGGGGGCCAGTCAACCTGACTCAGTAAAATAAAGTCCCCTCCGCGTTAACCCATGCAAATAAAGTAACCTGAAGTAACCCGACGTTAACAAATCTGCTTTTTTCACTCTGTTATTTCCTTGATCCAACTCAAGCTACCTTAGAAAAAACTGTTTTGTCCCAATGGAATGCCTTTCTGTTTCATAAACAGAGTGCTGCCCTGTTCATAAATCCTTAATAAAAGCTAACCAGATCTTTAAAATTCAACTTGTTGAAATTTTGTTCTGTGATAATTTGCATTTGTTTTCTGCAACCTACATTATAACATAACATCTTTTCAAAGTAATAAAGAGAAAATACTTCTTATATTAAAATGGATTAGCATGGTGCCAAAAAGATGTAAAAATTAAAATACTATGACTTCTTTTTATTGGAAACTGACAGCTCTATGCCTTCTAAAGTAATAAGGAAATATCCAGCTATTCTAAATTTCTCATATATTTATCTCTGGGCAAAGTATTTGGGGAACAACAATATTTATACTATTAATTTCAAAAGAAAGTATAAAATGTGTGAATTGCTGGTTTGTCATAGCTAGGGCAGTTTAGTGGGTCTGTTTGTGTGTATTCATGTCGCTTTTGCTTTGGAGTAGGAATCCTTAGATCTAGTGAATATGTTCATATCAGTAACTGTAGTTATTAAAAAACTCAATAATTGCAGCCTGAACCATGTTTCAGACCCTGCAGGTTATGCTGTTGTCTCCTCTACTCATTTCCCATACTCCTACTTCAGGGCATCTTGCCTGAAGGACTACTTTCCACTATTGTGAAACAAAGGTTTTTATTTCTCTCATTTAAACTGTCAGTGCACTACTTTTCTTCATGATTATCTTTCCAACAAAGTTCTTAAATAAATTCTCTAAGGAAGAGTCAAAATGTAGAGGAAATTAATGAACTGGAGATTTCTGAATTTTTGTATAAATATATTCATATATGAAATTTCAACGAAAATTCTAATTTAAATAAGGCAAGAGGGATGAATTAAGGAAAATATACATTTGTAAACACTGGGGTGAATGACATTTCCTGGTCCTTGAAAAAGCTTTCAACATAGAGCTAAGCTCTTCAGAGAGTGACACGTTGGGATTACAAACTCGGAAAAAATACACTAACAATGAAATATATCACTACACTTACATTTCATTTGTTTGTTTCATTTCTGATAAATTATTAGGATAAATGTCTGTGTGCATGAACCTTTCAATTGAAAGTAAAATGTGATCCTATATATATCATATTGAGAGGTGACAGTGTGCTGGCAGCCCTCGCAGCGCTTGCTTGCTCTCAGCTCCTCCTCGGCCTCTGCGCCCACTCTGGCCATGCTTGAGGAGCCCTTAAGCCCACTGCTGCACTGTGGGAGCCCCTTTCTGGGCTGGCCAAGGCCGGAGCCGGCTCCCTCAGCTTGCAGGAAGGTGTTGGGGGAGTGATGCGGGTGGGAACTGGGGCTGCGCGCCCAGCGTGAGTTTTCAGTGGGCGTGGGCTCGGCGGCCTCCACACTCGGAGCGGCTGGCCAGCACCACCGGCCCCAGGCAGTAAGGGACTTAGCACCCAGGCCAGCAGCTGCAGAGGGTGCGCTGGGTCCCCCAGCAGTGCCGGCCTGCTGGTGTTGCACTCAAATTCTCATGGGGCCTCAGCTGCCTCCCCACGGGGCAGGACTTGGGACCTGCAGCCCACCATGCCTGAGCCTACCCCCTCCCACCATGGGCTCCTGCACAGCTCAAGCCTCCACAAACAGCACTGCCCCCTGCTCCATGGCGCCTGGTCCCATTGACCACCCAAGGGCTGGGGAGTATGGATGCATGGTGTTGGACTGGAAGTCAGTTCCACCTGCGGCCCCCGTGCAGGATCCCTGGGTGAAGCCAGCTATGCTCCTGAGTCTAGTGGGGACTTAGAGAACCTTTATGTCTAGCTAAGGGATTGTAAATACACCAATCAGCACTCTGTGTGTAGCTCAAGGTTTGTAAACACACCAATCAGCACCCTGTGTCTAGCTCAAGGTTTGTAAATGCACCAATCAGCACTCTGTATCTAGCTAATCCGGTGGGGACTTGGAGAACTTTTGTGTCTAGCTCAGGGATTGTAAACACACCAATCAGCACCCTGTCAAAACGGACCAATCAGCTCTCTGTAAAACAGACCAATCAGCTCTCTGTAAAATGGACCAATCAGCAGGATGTGGGTGGGGCCAGATAAAGGAATAAAAGCAGGCTGCCTGAGCCAGCAGTGGCAACCCACTCAGGTCCCCTTCCACACTCTGGAAGCTTTGTTTTTTCGCTCTTTGCAACAAATCTTGCTGCTGCTCACTCTTTGGGTCCACACGGCCTTTATGAGCTGTAACACTCACTGTGAAGATCTGCAGTTTCACTCCTGAGCCAGTGAGACAGCGAACCCACTGGGAGGAATGAACAGCTCCAGATGGGAGGAAAGAACAAACTCCAAACATTCCGCCTTTAAGAACTGTAACACTCACTGCGAGGGTCCGCGGCTTCATTCTTGAAGTCAGTGAGACTAAGAACCCACTAATTCCGGACGTAATATTGTTTCACTCTAAAAAACTTTTTTTTTTTAACCATTTGATTATTTTTTCTAGCACACATCTATTTAAAAACTTTGAAGTTCCAGGATTGACCTAGCCATGAAAATTACAAGGACAACTTGGGTGGGGCACGGTGGCTCACGCCTGTAATCCCAGCACTTCGGGAGGCTGAGGTGGGCAAATCACGAGGTCAGGAGATCAAGACCATCCTGGCTAACGTGGTGAAACCACATCTCTACTAAAAAAAAAAAAATAGAAAAAATTAGCCGGGTGTGGTGGTGGGCACCTGTAGTCCTAGCTAGCCGGGAGGCTGAGGCAGGAGAATGGCATGAACCTGGGAGGTGGAGCTTGCAGTGAGCAGAAATCACACCACTGTCACTCCAGCCTGGGTGACAGAGTGAGACTCCGTCTCAAAAAAAAAAAATTACAAGGACAACTTAAACATAGTTTTGATCCTCAACTGGCAACAAATAGATTCTAGAATTAATAAAGCAAATTAAAAGTGATGTTTTATTATAACCCATGTTATGATAAATTTCTATCGGAGAATTACTGAATCACAAGGTAAAAGCATTTGTATTGGGGTTACATTAGACAGGGCTTAAAGGTTAAGGATCAAGGGAAATGTCTATGAGCAGATAAAAATATGGTAATTAAGAATGAATTGAAGCTATTTGAACACATATTGTACTTTGGGTTTGGAAAGAGTATATTCCACATAATATTAACAAGCATGCTGGTGTTAAATAGCATAATGCAAGTGCAGAATATTCAAGTCATTGTGGCTATGGCTTGAGCATAGATTGAGGGATAGAGTAGAATAAGATGAGGTATAAGAGAGACACAGTGTAGATAAAGCTAAACTAATTGAATATTATTCTGAAATCATTTGAAGCAATTGAAATCCTTTTTTTAAAAAGGAAATTTTGTGATGAAGATTGTGTTTGAAGAGATCTCTAGCTCAGTATGTGTAGGAAGACCAGAGCAGAGTCCAACTGGAGACAGAGACTAGTTAAGCATCTACTGCTTTACTCTAAGAAAAAATGGTGAGTGTCAAAAGTTAAAACAGTGGAAATAATAATAGAGAATAGGATGTCAGTGGGGTGGACATTAGAAAGAAAAGTCGATTGATCTTGGTGATAATGTTTTTATGTACAAACAAGTTTCTGACTGAGGCAAACTGACAGTGGGTGCTAGTGCCCTTTGATTAATAAAGGAAATAAGGCCTAAGAAGATGCTTGGGAGCAAGGGGCAATTATGAGTTCATTAATGTGTAAAATTTGAGATGTGTTTTGGGAAAGACACTTGGCAATGTCTTAAAATGCGGGTTACAGTCATGTGCCACATAATGATGTTCTGGTCAATGATGGACCACATATAAAAGATGGTGGTCCCATAAGATTTATAACGGCGCTGAAAAATTCCTATTGCCTAATAATGTCATAGTCATTGCAGTCATATACTCATGTGTTTGTGGTGATGCTAGTGTAAAAACATGTACTGTGCTTCCAGTCATATAAAAATATAGTGCATATAGTTATACACAGTAGACAATACTTGATAACGTTGGTAAATGACTATGTTTCTGGCTTACGTCTTTACCATACTATACTTTTTATTGTGATTTTGGACTGTATTCCATCTGTTTATTTTTTTAAAAAGTTGACTGTAAAACAACGTCAGGCAGGTCCTTCAGGAGACATTCCAGCAGAAGGCATTATTATAATAGAAGGTGAGAGCTCCATGCATGGTTTTGCACCTGAAGAGCTTCTAGTGGGACAAGATGTGGACGTGGAAGACAGTGATACTGATGATCCTGACCCTTTGTAGGCTTAGGCTAACGTGTGTGTTTGTGTCATAGTTTTTAACAAAAATGTTTAAAACATAAAAAAAAAAAATCAAAAATTTAAAAATAGAAAAAGCTTATAGAATAAGGATATAAAAAAATTTTCTACAACTATACAATGTGTTTGTATTTTAAGCTAAGTATGATTTCAAAAGACTCAAAAAGTTTAAAAAATGAAGTTTATAAAGCAAAAAAGTTACAATAAGCTAAGGCAAATTTATTATTGAAGAAAAAAGTGGTTTTTGTTTTTTTTTTTGAGATGGAGTTTTTCTCTGTCACCCGGGCTGGAGTGCAGTGGTGTGATCTAGGCTCACTGCAAGCTCCGCCTCCCAGGTTCATGCCATTCTCCTGCCTCAGCCTCCCGAGTAGCTAGGACTACAGGCGCCCACCACCACACCCCGCTTTTTGTATTTTTAGTAGAGACGGGGTTTCACGGTGTTAACCACGATGGTCTCGATCTCCTGGCCTCATGATCCGCCCGCCTCAGCCTCCCAAAGTGCTGGGATTACAGGAGTGAGCTACCATGCCTGGTCAAGAAAAAGGTATTTTAAAATAAAGTTATCGCACCATAAGTATACAGAGTTTATAAAGCCTACAGAAGTATACTGTGTCCTGGGCCTTCAGATTTACCACCACTCATTTCCTGACTCACTCAGAGCAACTTTCAGTTAGTTCTTCAAGCTTCATTCACGGTAAGTACCCTATGCAAATGTACCATTTTTAATCTTTAATACCATATTTTTACTGTACTATTTATATGTTTAGATACACAAATACTTACTATTGAGTTATTATTGCCTATAGTATCCAGTACAATAACATACTGTACAGGTTTATAGCCTAGGAGCAATAGCTATATCATATAGCCTAGGTGTATAATAAATAGGCTATATGATCTAAGTTTATGTAAGTGTACTCCATGATGTTTACACAAGAATCAAATCACCTAACAATGCATTTCTCAGAATGTATTCTCATCCTTAAGCAACACATGCCTGTAAAAGTATAGTTCTAAATTTTAAGAGGGCGACTTTGACCTAAGATATATATTTGGAAGTTTATTGCATTTAAGTGATAACTGAAAATAGAAAATTGAATAAGATTTCCCAAAGTTATACAATTTAAAAGATATAATAGACAGCAGAGCATTTCTGGAAATTTGCATTTCAAATTTAAGTATAAGAAGACCAACTAGTGAGGAGTACCAAGAAGGAACAAATGTAGTGGTAATAACATCAAAGGTGATGGTGATAACAACCACCAAGTATTAGATATTTAACAGCATGTATTAGCAACTGAGTTACATACTTCACATACATTACCTCACTCTTAGTTTGCAACAAATCTATAATTGAGATTATATTGTTATTATCTACTTTTAAAGATAAGAAAACCAAGGCTCAGAATTGTTGCCAATTTACATAAATACTGTAGTTACTATCAGGTATACTGGATGTGGCAGAGTGTATTTTCCAAAAATGTAATAACATTTCCCATTATGAATACTGTCCTATAAACTAGGTGATCAAAAGGTCATGCACTTTTTCTTTGCTCTGCTAGGACTGTCACTTTTAGCAGAAGTCTCCATGGTGTGAGGAAGCCCCAGCAGCAGGTATAGAGGTCCACATGGAGAGGATCACAACCAAGCTGAGTGGACTTTCAGCATCACTAAGTCATGTAAGTCATGTAAGTGAAGGACGATTACTGTTGCTTTAAGCCACTAAGTTTTGAGTTAGATTTTTATGCAAAAATAGACAAATAATACAGATTTTGGCACCTAAAAGTGGAGAGTAGACATAAAAACACCTAACACCAGTGACATTGACATTGAGACTAGGCAATAAGTTAAAGCTGAAAATGCTTTGAGGAGACTCTTGAAAAAAAGCCTAGGACCTCAAGAAGGTTATGGGTGAGAATAGAAAAGTAATGAAAATGTGACAAAGTTTTACCAAAGGGAAGCCTTGTTATATACGGAGTATTGAATTTTGAGAGTTCTTTATACAAGTCCTTTGTTAGAGAGGTGATTTGCAAATATTCTCCCCAACTGTGGCTTTTATTTTCCCTCACTGTTTTCTTTTCAGTCACTTAAAAGTGACCTTTAATAAGCAGAAGTTCTTAATTTTGATAAATTACAATTTATTATTGTTTTTTATTGTGTGTCCACTTACTGTTGCATTTAAGAAACTGATATCTTATCCCAAGTCACAAAGATTTTTACCTGTTCACTTTTAACAGTTTTATAGTTCCATATTTTGCATGTACATGTCTACAATTTATTTTGAGTTATACATGTATGCTTGTGAGTGTGAGGACTATATCAAGGTTTTTGTTTGTTTTGTTTTGTGTGCTGTGTATGCATATATTCAATGGTATCAGCACTATTTATTTAAAAGAGTATCTTCTCTTCATTAATTGCTTTTCCACATTTGTTAAAAATCAATTGACTGTAAGTGGCTCCATTTCTGGACTGTTCATTCTGTTCCATTTTCCTACTTTCTACCTTTTATCAATACCACACTTTTGATTGCTCCAGCTTTTTAGTAAATCTTAAAATCCAGTAGTGAGAGTCCTCCAACTTAATTTTTCTGTAGAAAAATCATTTTGGCTTCTAATTATTTATCTTTCCATATAAATTTCAATATTGACTACAATATTAACTACAAAAAGTCCTGTTGGGACTTAATGACATTTTGTTGAGTTTATCACTTTGGGAAAAAGTGATGTCTTAACAACAATGACTCTTCTTATCCGTAAACATGATAGATCTCTTATTTTGTTCTTAATTTTATTTAACATAATTTGGTAGCTTTGTGTCTTCAGACCTTGCACATACTTTGTATCTCATAATTTTGACCCTATGTAAATGTTAATTTAAAAATTACTTTCTGATTTTTTATTGCTAGTATACAAGCATACAATTGATTCTTGTATTTTGAGTTTATATCCTTTAATCTTTCTAAGCTCAGGTATTACTTATCATAGTATTTGTTGTAGATTCTTTGAATTGCCTTTCACAGACCATCATGTTAAGGCAAACAGAGACAGTTTTATTTCTTCTTTCTCAATCTGTATGCAATTGTTTTCTATTTCTTGCTTTATTGCCCTGGATTGGACCTTCAGGAGAACACTGAATAAGAGTAGCGAGAATGGGCATCCATTTTCTTTTTTCTTTCCTCCCCCCGAGATGGATTCTCGCTCTGTCGCCCAGGCTGGAGTGGAGTGCCGAGATCTCAGCTCACTGCAAACTCCGTCGCCCGGTTCAAGCAATTCTGCTGCCTCAGCCTCCTGAGTAGCTGGGATTACAGGCGTGCACCCAGCTAATTTTTGTATTTTTAGTAGGGACGGAGTTTCATCACGTTAGCCAGGCTGGTCTCGAACTCCTGACCTCATGATCTGCCCACCTCGGCCTCCCAAAGTGTTGGGATTATCTATGCCCGGCCACTATTTTCTTAATCTTTCTTACAAGAAGAGCATTCAGTCTTTCACCATTCAGTATGACATTAGTTGTAGGTTTATGGTATATGCCCTGTCATAGAGAAAAGTTATTTTCTATTCCTAGTTTACAGTGTTTAATCATAAATCAATACTGAATTTGGTGAATATTTTTTCCGTATTCATTGGGGTGCTCATATAGGTTTTCTTGTTTATTCTTTTGAAAAGGTGAATTAATTTATTTTCAAATGTAGAACTAATCTTGCATTCACAGAGTAAACTCACTTTTCCATAAAGTATTATCACAAGTTTGAACACACAGATATATATTCTTTTTATATATTGTTTAGCATATTTGATACGCACTAAATACACTAAAATTGAGAAAGAAAATTTGCATCTCTATAAGGGCTGGTGAAAATTAAACAGATAATTTTTCCTTCCAATGTTTTCTTCTGGTTTTGGTGTAAGAAAATGATGGCTTCATTGAATAAATGAGGAAGTTTCCTTTTCTTCAATTTTCTATAAGCGTTTTCTTAGAATTGCTATTCTTTCTTCCTTAATTTTTGGTAGAAATGACCAGAGAAAACTTCTGTGCCTGGCATTTTATTTTTGGAAAAATTTTAAATTACAAATTTAATTTTTGAAATCTATTTAAAGCTCTTCAGGCTACTTATTCAGGTTACTCCTCACTGAATGCCATTATTTTGCATCTTTCATAGGATTTGTCCATTTAATCTAAATTGTCAAATTGGTCGACATAAAGTTTTTATACTTAACTATTTTATGTAACACATTGCCACAATATGTAATGCTTAAAATGACCAGCATTTATTGTCTCAAACTCTCCTGGTTGGGAATTCGGGAGCAGATTAGCTGGATGTTTTTGGCTCAAGGTCTCTCACGTGGTTGCAGTCCTCAAAAGAATTGAATGTCAGAGTATCCAGTTCAAAGACAAATCACTCACACGGCTGTTGGAAGAAGACCT
Source organism: Homo sapiens (assembly GCF_000001405.40). Taxonomy (NCBI): domain Eukaryota; kingdom Metazoa; phylum Chordata; class Mammalia; order Primates; family Hominidae; genus Homo; species Homo sapiens. Next base: position 10,843,350 of record NC_000009.12, read on the forward strand.
GGGTTCCTTGATGACTCTTGGCAGGAAGCCTTATTTCCTTACCACATGGTTCTGTACATAAGCTGCTTATGTGCTTAAGTATCCTCACAATATGAAAACTCCCAGAGCAAGTGATTCAAGAGAGAGAAGGAAGCCACTATGTCTTTCATTATGTAGCTTCTAAGCTGGTACATAATCATTTCTACCTTACATTATTCATTAGAAACAAATCACCAAATCAAGCCCTCACTGAGAAGAGCACAATAAAGCTCTACTTTTCAAAGGGGGACTTATAAAGAATTATAGAAATATTTTTAAACTGCCACAGGTTATTCAGATTTCTCACTTATTATTTTATCTGATTTATAGGGATATTCTCTCTCTCAATTTTGATAGTGGTAGTTTTGTCATCTCCCTTTTTTGCATGGTTAATTTGGCTAGAAGTAGATTCAACGTATCAGTTTTTACAAATAACTGTTTTTTATTTGATTTATTTTATGATTTATTTATTTTTTTCAGAGACAGGATCTTGATCTGTCACAAAGGCTTGAGTGCAGTTGCACAATCATAGCTCACTGCCTCCTCCATCTCCTGGGCACGCGATCCTCCTGCCTCAGCATCCTGAGTAGGTGGGAATATAGGCACACACCATGATGACTGGCATATATATACAGTGATGACAGAGTCTCACAATGTTGCCCAGGCTCATCTCAAACTCCTAGCCTCCCGCAGTCCTCTCACCTCAGCCTCCCAAATGCTAGTGTTAAATGCATGAGCCATCATGCTCAGCCTATTTGATTTTACACATTGTTTTCTATATTATTACTTGTGCTTTTATCTTTATCTTATTCTACATATTTTGGGTTACAGTTCCTCTTTTTATTTGCTTTATTAAATGGAATATTAGGTCATTAGTTTGAGACCTTTCTACTTTTCTAATACAGACATTTAGTGCTATAAGTATCCCTCTAAGCCCCATTGTAGCTATATTCCATAAATTTGATAACTGCATTTATGTTCATTCTGCTTAAAACACTTTCTAATTTGCTTTTTGTCTTTGATCATGGGTTGGTTAGAGATGCTTCATTTCTTATATTTGGAAATTTTAAAAATATCTTGTTATTCATTTTAAATTTAATTATCTTGCAGAAAGCATACTTTAAATAGTTTGAATCCTTTTAAATCTACTGAGCATAATTTTGTTGCTCAGAATATGGTCTATCCTGGTAACAGTTTCATGTGGCCTTGAGGAGAATGAATGGTCATTCTACATTGTTGAGTGGCATATTTTACCAATACCAAGCAGGTTAAATTAGTTGATAGACTGTTTAAGCCTTCTATGTTATTACTGATTTTGTGTCAAAATTTTCTATCACTTATTGAGAGAAGAGTGTTGATGTATCCAATTATAATTGTGAATTTATCTATTTATTTTTACAGTCCTCTGAGTTTTTGCTTTGTAAATCTGTGAGTCTTGTTACTGAGTTTATAAATAGTCAGGGTTTTTCTGTCCTTTTGGTAAACTTATGAAGTGACAGTCTTTATCCATGTTAGAATATTTTTCTCTGCAATATAGTTCATTTGATATTAATATAACTCCTTTAGTTTTGATTACTTTTGGCATGGTAGATATTTTTCCACCTTTTCACTTTATATCTTTAAATTTAGTTGGGCTTCTTATATTCAGCACATGATCAGGTATAGATTTTTCTAATCTGATAATCTCTTCCTTTCAACTGGATTATGTACCATTTGAATTTAATGTGGTTATTGACATGGTTGGATTTAAATCTACCACATTACTGTTTTCTATTATCCAAATGCCCCTCTGTCCCTGTTTTTCCCTATTTTCTGTTTTCTATAGAATAAATGAGTATTTTCTATCATTCCATTTTATAAACTTGCTTATTTGCTCTATTCTTTTCTTCCAGTTCATTTAATGGTTAGTTAAGTTTTATATTATACATCCTCAACTGATCACAGTCAATCTTTAAATGATATTACACCACTTCATATATAGTATAAGAACCATCCATGAGCATCCTTCTATTTTGCCTCTCAGTTTTTTGCTGCTGCTACCATACATTTTGGTTATAAGATTTAACCTCACAAACATTTTTATTATTTTTGCTCAACACATTATATTTTAAAGAGATTAAAAGAATACATTTTATATTTGCCACATATTTGCCATTCTTTTGCTCTTTATTCTATTGCTTGAGTTCTGGTTTCCACATGGCAACAGTTTTCTTCTGCATAAAACATTTTAATAGTTCTTAATTTTTAAACATCTTATTTCCTTTATCATCTTTTGATAATTTTTTTCCAGTTTTGGTATAGCTAAAAAAATTTACCTTTTATTTTATTTTATTTTATTATTATTATTATTATTATTATTATTATTATTATACATTAAGTTTTAGGGTACATGTGCACAATGTGCAGGTTAGTTACATATGTACACGTGCCATGCTGGTGCGCTGCACCCACTAACTTGTCATCTAGCATTAGGTATATCTCCCAATGCTCTCCCTCCCCTCACCCCACAACAGTCCCCAGAGTGTGATGTTCCCCTTCCTGTGTCCATGTGTTCTCATTGTTCAATTCCCACCTATGAGTGAGAATATGCGGTGTTTGGTTTTTTGTCCTTGCGATAGTTTGCTGAGAATGATGATTTCCAATTTCATCCATGTCCCTACAAAGGACATGAACTCATCATTTTTTATGGCTGCATAGTGTTCCATGGTGTATATGTGCCACATTTTCTTAATCCAGTCTATCATTGTTGGACATTTGGGTTGGTTCCAAGTCTTTGCTATTGTGAATAATTCCGCAATAAACATATGTGTGCATGTGTCTTTATAGCAGCATGATTTATAGTCCTTTGGGTATATACCCAGTAATGGGATGGCTGGGTCAAATGGTATTTCTAGTTCTAGATCCCTGAGGAATAGCCACACTGACTTCCACAATGGTTGAACTAGTTTACAGTCCCACCAACAGTGTAAAAGTGTTCCTATTTCTCCACATCCTCTCCAGCACCTGTTGTTTTCTGACTTTTTAATGATTGCCATTCTAACTGGTGTGAGATGGTATCTCATTGTGGTTTTGATTTGCATTTCTCTGATGGCCAGTGATGGTGAGCATTTTTTCATGTGTTTTTTGGCTGCATAACGGTCTTCTTTTGAGAAGTGTCTGTTCATATCCTTCGACCACTTGTTGATGGGGTTGTTTGTTTTTTTCTTGTAAATTTGTTTGAGTTCATTGTAGATTCTGGATATTAGCCCTTTGTCAGATGAGTAGATTGGAGAAATTTCTCCCATTCTGTAGGTTGTCTGTTCACTCTGTTGGTAGTTTCTTTTGCTGTGCAGAAGCTCTTTAGTTTAATTAGATCCCATTTGTCAATTTTGGCTTTTGTTGCCATTGCTGTTGGTGTTTTAGACATCAGTCCTTGCGCATGCCTATGTCCTGAATGGTATTGCCTAGGTTTCCTTCTAGGGTTTTTATGGTTTTAGGTCTAACATTTAAGTCTTTAATCCGTCTTGAATTAATTTTTGTATAAGGTGTAAGGAAGGGATCCAGTTTCAGCTTTCTACCTATGGCTAGCCAGTTTTCCCAGCACCATTTATTAAATAGGGAATCCTTTCCTCATTTCTTGTTTTTGTCAGGTTTTTCAAAGATCAGATGGTTGTAGAGGTATGGTATTATTTCTGAGGGCTCTGTTCTGTTCCATTGGTCTATATCTCTGTTTTGATACCAGTACCATGCTGTTTTGATTACTGTAGCCTTGTAGTATAGTTTGAAGTCAGGTAGCATGATGCCTCCAGCATCCAGTTTTCTTCTGCATAAAACATTTTAATATTTCTTAATTTTTAAACATCTTATTTCCTTTATCATCTTTTGATAATTTTTTTCCAGTTTTGGTATAGCTAAAAAAATTTACCTTTTATTTTAAAAATATACTTTTAATATTAGGATAGATCACATTTAGAAAAACATTGTAAAGATAGTACAGAAAATGTCTTTATATATCACATCCAGTATTCTCTATATTAATATCACATATTAGCATGTTACATTTGTCAAATTAACAAATATTAATGCATTACTATTCACTAAATTTCACACTATATTTTCATTTAATAATTTTTATTTTGTTTTATTATCTGATCCCGAATACCATAATATATTTAGTTATCATGAAAGTGAATACTCTTTCTAGGATGACTGCAAAAATACAAAAACAACAGTAAAAAGCAATGTTACAAAGAATCATAGGACGGACTTAACCAGCCCTGTGATTTATTGTGCTCAGGACGAAATAATCACTCGACAGATATTTATGAAGCTCCTCTATGTAACCAACATTTAATAATGCATTTTCCTCTACTCTCATATAAAAACATATAATTTTAGTTTCCCAACCAAGCAGAAAACTGTGTATTTCTTGATCCCTATTGGTCAAAGATAAAACCAAAAACAATAAAAAATTATAAGTGATGAAATTCACAGAACTTATGAAGCACTTTTCCAACCAGTTATTATGTATAGAGTTAATTCTATTGTCCAGCAAGATATTTTCTAGTCAATAGCTTCTGGGAATCATTCCAAATTGTCAGTCCTATTTCTTATTCTTAATCATCATTATTAGTGTTATTTTCAGTAGTTGTAATAATTTTTCCCAAAACATACACTGTTGAAGCCCTAAATACACCAATGAATAAAAATAATACATATATAGTACTTTGAGTATACATTTGATATTGTAGCAAACAAAAGAAATATGCCTTCTTAGCTGTTTCAATTGCTATCTGTTAATTCTGAGGCTGCTTATTTCTTGTTTGTTTATCTGTTTATCTGGAACAGATAAAGGTCTATAAAGCAACTGAGGACAGGATTGCCCCAAACAAAGTGTATACTTTTATTGGTACAATTATGAATTCATTTGAAATGCCTTTCTTAACTCCCATTTTGGGATATTCTTAGCAGGATTAAAGGATTTCAATCTGGATTAAGGGATTAGGTAATTCATAAACTAGTGATTCATTTTAGAAAAGAAGGAAACATATTCATTTAGATTCTTTTTGTCAAGGAATGAATGACTATTCTTTGCAACATGATTTTTTTCTATTTAAGCTGAAACAACAATACATTTATGTTTTTTCTAGTCCTTTGCTATCTTGATCCTCTGTTCATCTTTTACACTGAATACTTGAATATGCCTTCAGGGCTATAAAAAGAACATTATAATAAGGTTAAGCATTACCACTTTGGGATGATAATGTTAGGCAATCATTGCTTTAATTTACAATAAATATGATATAGCAAAAACAGAAAAAAAATGAATATTTGTGTAAAGAATACTCCCTACATGCTTTGATTTCCAGAGAAAATAAAAGACAGAAAATCATTTTTGGATACTTGTATTTTCACCATAAAGACTTTTCTAAAGCTTAGATTTACAAAGATTATTCCCATAAGTGATCCATCAAATAACTCACTTACTTGAATGGTGTCCATTCCTCTTTTATTTCTAATGAGCAGACCTCGGATATGATACCTGAAATCATAACCATAGCCTCAGTTAGCTACTTTGTTGGGCAATGGTGTTGAGCTACTGAACATTTCAGTCTAAGGAGATTCCTGCAAAGTGAAACTTCTTGCTCCTTTCAGCATATTCTTATCAGAAACAATCCCAAAAACCTGGCTGAATTCCATGTGAGAACATGACACTCCCTGGCAAAAAGGCTATAGGGAGCACAGGATAAACCAGAGCCTCATAAAACTACATAGCAGCTTACTTGTGAAAAGCCATGCTAGATTCATAATTTTTGAAAAGTATTCTTGATGCATTTCTTATTGTTAATTCAAATTATTCTGCCTTCTTTTGAGAAGTGTCTGTTCATGTCCTTTGCCCACTTTTTGATGGGGTTGTTTGTTTTTTTCTTGTAAATTTGTTTGAGTTCATTGTAGATTCTGGATATTAGCCCTTTGTCAGATGAGTAGGTTGCAAAAATTTTCTCCCATTTTGTAGGCTGCCTGTTCACTCTGATGGTAGTTTCTTTTGCTGTGCAGAAGCTCTTTAGTTTAATTAGATCCCATTTGACAATTTTGGCTTTTGTTGCCATTGCTTTTGGTGTTTTAGACATGAAGTCCTTGCCCATGCCTATGTCCTGAATGGTATTGCCTAGGTTTTCTTCTAGGCTTTTTATGGTTTTAGGTCTAACATTTAAGTCTTTAATCTATCTTGAATTAATTTTTGTATAAGTTGTAAGGAAGGGATCCAGTTTCAGCTTTCTACCTATGGCTAGCCAGTTTTCCCAGCACCATTTATTAAATAGGGAATCCTTTCCCCATTGCTTGTTTTTGTCAGGTTTGTCAAAGATCAGATAGTTGTAGATATGTGGCCTTATTTCTGAGGGCTCTGTTCTGTTCCATTGATCTATATCTCTGTTTTGGTACCAGTACCATGCTGTTTTGGTTACTGTAGCCTTGTAGTATAGTTTGAAGTCAGGTAGCATGATGCCTCCAGCGTTGTTCTTTTGGCTTAGGATTGACTTGGCGATGCAGGCTCTTTTTTGGTTCCATATGAACTTTAAAGTAGTTTTCTCCAATTCCGTGAAGAAAGTCATTGGTAGCTTGATGGGGATGGCATTGAATCTGTAAATTACCTTGGGCAGTATGGCCATTTTCACGATATTGATTCTTCCTACCCATGAGCATGGAATGTTCTTCCATTTTTTTATATCCTCTTTTATTTCATTGAGCAGTGGTTTGTAGTTCTCGTTGAAGAGGTCCTTCACGTCCTTTGTAAGTTGGATTCCTAGATATTTTATTCTCTTTGAAGCAATTGTGAATGGGAGTTCACTCATGATTTGGCTCTCTGTTTGTCTGTTATTTGTTTATAAGAATGCTTGTGATTTTTGCACATTAATTTTGTATCCTGAGACTTTGCTGAAGTTGCTTATCCGCTTAAGAAGATTTTGGGCTGAGACAATGGGGTTTTCTAGATATAAAATCATGTCATCTGCAAACAGGGACAATTTGACTTCCTCTTTTCCTAATTGAATACCCTTTATTCCCTTCTCCTGCCTGATTTCCCTGGTCAGAACTTCCAACACTATGTTGAATAGGAGTGGTGAGAGAGGGTATCCCTGTCTTGTGCCAGTTTTCAGAGGGAATGCTTCCAGTTTTTGCCCATTCAGTATGATATTGGCTGTGGGTTTGTGATAGATAGCTCTTATTATTTTGAGATACGTCCCATCAATACCTAATTTATTGAGAGGTTTTAGCATGAAGGGTTGTTGAATTTTGTCAAAGGCCTTTTCTGCATCCATTGAGATAATTATGTGTTTTTTGTCTTTGGTTCTGTTTATATACTGGATTACATTTATTGATTTGTGTATATTGAACCAGCCTTGCATCCCAGGGATGAAGCCCACTTGATCATGGTGGATAAGCTTTTTGATGTGCTGCTGGATTCGGTTTGCCAGTATTTTATTGAGGATTTTTGCATCAATGTTCATCAAGGATATTGGTCTAAAATTCTCTTTTTTGGTTGTGTCTCTGCCCGGCTTTGGTATCAGGATGATGCTGGCCTCATAAAATGAGTTAGGGAGGATTCCCTCTTTTTCTATTGATTGGAATAGTTTCAGAAGGAATGGTACCAGTTCCTCCTTGTACCTCTGGGAGAATTCGGCTGTGAATCCATCTGGTCCTGGTCTCTTTTTGGTTGGTAAGCTATTATTGCCACAATTTCAGAGCTTGTTATTGGTCTATTCAGAGATTCAACTTCTTCCTGGTTTAGTCTTGGGAGGGTGTATATGTCGAGGAATTTATCCATTTCTTCTAGATTTTCTAGTTTATGTGCATAGAGGTGTTTGTAGTATTCTCTGATGGTAGTTTGTATTTCTGTGCGATCGGTGGTGATATCCCCTTTATCATTTTTTATTGCGTCTATTTGATTCTTCTCTCTTTTCTTCTTTATTAGTCTTGCTAGTGGTCTATCAATTTTGTTGATCCTTTCAAAAAACCAGCTCCTGGATTCATTAATTTTTTGAAGGGTATTTTGTGTCTCTATTTCCTTCAGTTCTGCTCTGATTTTAGTTATTTCTTGCCTTCTGCTAGCTTTTGAATGTGTTTGCTCTTGTTTTTCTAGTTCTTTTAATTGTGATGTTAGGGTGTCAATTTTGGATCTTTCCTGCTTTCTCTTGTGGGCATTTAGTGCTATAAATTTCCCTCTACACACTGCTTTGAATGTGTCCCAGAGATTCTGGTATGTTGTGTCTTTGTTCTCGTTGGTTTCAAAGAACATCTTTATTTCTGCCTTCATTTCGTTATGTACCCAGTAGTCATTCAGGAGAAGGTTGTTCAGTTTCCATGTAGTTGAGTGGTTTTGAGTGAGTTTCTTAATCCTGAGTTCTAGTTTGATTGCACTAAGAAGACATTTATGCAGCCAAAAAACACATGAAAAAATGCTCACCATCACTGGCCATCAGAGAAATGCAAATCAAAACCACAATGAGATACCATCTCACACCAGTTAGAATGGCAATCATTAAAAAGTCAGGAAACAACAGGTGCTGGAGAGGATGTGGAGAAATAGGAACACTTTTACACTGTTGGTGGGACTGTAAACTAGTTCAACCATTGTGGAAGTCAGTGTGGCGATTCCTCAGGGACCTAGAACTAGAAATACCATTTGACCCAGCCATCCCATTACTGGGTATATACCCAAAGGACTATAAATCATGCTGCTATAAAGACACGTGAACACGTATGTTTATTGCGGCACTATTCACAATAGCAAAGACTTGGAACCAACCCAAATGTCCAACAATGATAGACTGGATTAAGAAAATGTGGCACATATACACCATGGAATACTATGCAGCCATAAAAAACGATGAGTTCATGTCCTTTGTAGGGACATGGATGAAATTGGAAATCATCATTCTCAGTAAACTATTGCAAGAATAAAAAACCAAACACCACCTATTCTCACTCATAGGTGGGAATTGAACAATGAGAACACATGGACACAGGAAGGGGAACATCACACTCTGGGGACTGTTGTGGGGTGGGAGGAGTGGGGAGGGATAGCATTAGGAGATATACCTAATGCTAAATGACGAGTTAATGGGTGCAGCACACCAGCATGGCACATGTATACATATGTAACTAACCTACACATTGTGCACATGTACCCTAAAACATAAAGTATAATAATAATAAAATAAAATAAAATAAAAAAATTATTCTGCCTTCTTTTGTCTTTTTCTTCTTATAGAGTTACCTCCTCCCAAAACATGTTGAAGATTTTAAAACTATCCATCTGTTACCTCATATTTCCCCAGTCCTTCCTGTTAGTTCATTTTAAATTTCGACTCCAGAAGACCACACTGGCAGCTTACTTCTCTGCCTGTAGCCTCCAAGAGGCTCCTAGCTACTTGTCTTGATTTCCTTGCTTATCCTCATGTTTATCTTTCCATCTGGAAAAAAATTATGCTGCCATAGAGAAGAAACCCTATTGATAACTGAAGTCATAAAATATTTCTGATAAATATTTTTTCATACGTTTTGTTGCCACAGCTTTTCATTAAGCAGTAGTAATTCAAAACAGATAAGAGCATGGACACAGGAGCCAGACAGTTTGATTCATCTAGTTTGACCAATTCCTGTATTGGTGATCTTGGACAAATTGTTTAACTGTTAGTAGCTGTCTCATAGTAACTACTATATAAATGATAGTATTTTTATTTGCAAAGAAACAAAATATCATCATCATTAAGGCATGGATCAGACATCTTCTCCACTGAGTTATTTCAGGTTCTCAGGGAAAATCTGGTTGATTAGGAAGATTCCTGGTAATGTATCTTTCAGAAAAAAAAAAAAAAAACAATTCAATTTACCTACATACTTTAATTTTGTGTACTAAACAATTTTAAAATTTCCATGGATATATGTGTTTTGGAAATATATTATGGTAGTATTTCTAAGACGTTTAGGAGTTAATTAGCCATTCATCGTGGTGCATGCCTGAAGGCCCAGCTACCAAGAAGCTGAGGTGAGAGGATCACCTGCTCTCCTTTGGAGGTCAAGGCTGCAGTGGGTTGTGATCTTGCCACTGCACTCCAGGCTGGATGAGAGAAAAAAGAGCATGTCTCAAAAAAAAAAAAAAAAAAAAAAGGAAAAAGAAAAAGAAAAGAAAAGAAAACAATGCCCACCCTGTGGTTTTAAATTTTCTTTTTCAGATTTTTGTTTTTTACTCTTTTTTTGTACGCTTTTGATTTTAGGGGGCAGCAACTTCCCTAAAATGCTAGAAGCCCACAGCAGATTCAGATCAAACAAATATAGTTTCATTTTCTTCTACTGTTTTGCTTTGGGAAAACGTCGAAAGATAGTGAATACTTATTTACTGTGCTGGTTTTTGTTGAGTTAATATTTCCTATCTCATGTTTTTAGATATAAATAAAAATTACAGAACTACTTGATATCTTTCTAATCCCAAGCATTCATTTTAACTTTTTGTATTTTAAACATTACTGTTTCTTTAATTGCCATACCATAAGTATTTACAGGTTTTGAATGATATGCACAGCACGTTTCTAAATACTTTAGGCAATTGTCAAGACAACACTGATAGTCAAAGATTTATGGAGACATGTAGTATGAGGTAGACCCATCAGATAAGCAAATTTTGATTAGGTAGATAAGGAAAATATATGATATTTAAAGGCTTGTTACATTATCAATTTTGTTACTGAACTTCCCCAAATATGTGGAACCTCAAATTGGACCCAAATATATAAATATATTTATACCTATATGTGTAGATATTTGTAGATATATTTTATGTGTAGATATGTGTAGATATATTTTATCTGTGAATGTCTAGCAACTGACAAGAGCAAAAACAGGCCCACTTCCACTTGTTTATCTTGTTTAGACATTTAAACTTCCAGCTGTAATCATTAATTACTTAGGGGCAAAAATTTGAAGACGTTCATAGAAGTTGCCACTCCCTTAGAAAAGGAAATTATGTAATTCATTACATTCAATGGGAATAAAGTTGAGCTCTTACTGAAAAAAGTCAGTTTTTTTAACTTTCCTCTACAAATTTTCAAAAAACTAGATGAAAAGAAACATTAAGAGTATTTGTAAATATATAAAGAAATCTTCAAGTCTTTCTATATCAATTATTTTAGTTAGTAAGTGATGACATTACTGATTTCAATTACATATATAGGTTATACTATTGTTATCAAATTGTAACTGACTTTTTATTAAAATTATTTCATGTCCAACTTCACAAATCTTTGAAAAGCATTAATTTATTTCCAATTCTGTTAATTTAAATTATTTTGCTTTCTTTTGTCTTTTACATCTTGGCTTTCTCCTCACATTACTTTTGACCAACTTGACTGATCTAAGACAAAAATTACAATAGCTGTATATTTTAACTTAGATGATCTATATTATATATATAGCAATCAATAATTTTAACTCTTTATTCTTAAAATGATCCATATTATTTTCCCTTGCATCATATTTTATTTCCTGAAAAGTAGAGAATACTAATAAAATAATTTCAGGGCTTCTCCTAGCAAATCCTAGTTAATTGTGTCGGATTGACATCAGAGATAAAAGCAAGGCAAAACAAAATGTAAAGACTCAATGTCGCTAAAAGAAAAGAAGAAAAGAATAAGTTTAACAAATATTTAGAAGTAAGAATGTAGATAGAGAAGTATTATCCTAGTTGCTATTAGTAGTCTGCTCATGTTCCCTCTGATCCCCTTACCAAGTCATGCACACAGGCTGTGTTTGCTCCTTCATGCTCTGTAGCCAAGAGCATCACTGTCAGAGAACTGTTTCTTAGATGCTAGGACCTACTCTGTGTATCAGTATATGCCAAACAGCAGCAGGTGGCCCTTTCACAATGACTGACAGATAAGACAGTATGAATACACCAGTTTCCTAGTCTCATAATTGGACCAACACTGGATCTCCAGAACATCCATGTAGATTTAACCTAAATAATTATCTGGGGATTTGGGTTGGCACAAGATCCTTGCTTCAACTCTTTCCCTTCCCATCCCACTGCCTCAACTGCCTATTGTTTTTTCCTGGGAATCCTTCCTAATAAACCACTTTCAAAAAAATCCTCATTTGCTTTTGGGAAACCAACCCAAATATGAGTGACAACTGATTAAGTCCTGTTAATAAAGTCACCACCTAGGCTTGTGAAGAGTGACATATTGATGATAAGTGAAATCCATCCTACAGAATCCCAGAACATTTCATCATTTGGAGACACTCTGAGAAACAAGGTAAATGCAGTGAGCTTAAAAGGAGATTGGTTGAAAATCTGTTTAAAAAGCACTTGGAACTCTATGGCTCACATCCTCATATGCTTATGCCCTGCTAGAAAACAGCATAGACTTGGAGATACCAAATATTGTAGAAAATAGGAGAAGTAAGGATTAGAGTAAACACTGCATTATAAATATGCTGGACTCAGCTGTCTTTCCTTCCCTGGTTCCCAGAAAGTCAGGAGACAAGTACACATAACCTACTCCAACTGTAAATGTGCACCTCCACCAAAATTAAGCAAACTATCTTGTCACTATAAATAAGCCTAGGAAAAAGATTTTTGATATCATAGTTATAAGTGTTCCACTGAAAATGCAACATTGACATTAAATCACCACCAGGTGGCCAGTTCTGTCAATGAATCAACTCACACTTAAATAGGAAAGGGCAGCTAGGGGTCCACAGCAACCTAGGGAAAACCTCCGCCAGTGAAAAAGGAGATAAAATAAACAAATAGAAGAAAAGAATGCCTAGGAAACAAAGACTAAAGAAAACTAATTTATTTTCAGGATGAGAGCAATGCTGAATATAAGCATAAAACATGTATGCTATAAAAAATCGGAGGACAAACAAGCTCTTGGAAATTACAAAGATAATTACTTATATACTATTCCTTCCCTCACCAGAATGGTCAGCAGAAACATTTAAGGACATCTCTTCAACAGTAAAAAAAGTCAAAACTAAGAATTGAGAAATACTGCTACAATTAGCAATTTGGAGTATAAATCAAAAATCTCCAACATCTTTTTAACAGGATTTCCAAAAACAGAAAAAGAGGGAAGAGAAAGTTAGCAAAACAGTAGTAGAAGAAAGGTCTCCAAAACCCAAGAATTCCAGTCTCCATTATGAAAGAATCCATCAAATTTCTTGTATAATGAAAGGGAAGAGGCCCACACTAAGGTACATTTCCCAGCAGTTTCAGGAAAACAGGAACAAAGAAGAGCTTAGTGTCCAGAAATGAAGAAGGAAAAAAGTTACAGTGACAAAAAAGAGGGAAAAAATGGTATCGTTTCTTAGCAGCACACTAGATTTTATAAAACAGTGCCTTCATTATTATGTGTAGGTGGATGATAGATTGACGACATTTTCATATATGCAAAGCTTCAAATAATTATCTCTTAAGATCCTCTTTTTAGAAATCTACTGGGAAATGGGCTTTAGTAAACAAAGCAGCTAAAAATGAGAAAGATACAGGGTACAGTAAAGCAGTGAAGCCTTTGCCCTTATTAAGGATATATTCTATTAAAAGAGAGGCAATAAGTAAGTATATGAAAAGTGTGATAAATGTTAAACAGAAAAACAAAACAGGATAAAGAGACTGAGATATGACGGTTGGGAGATACTTTGGATGAGTTGCAAAAGACAGCTTTCTAGGGCATGAAGGAAATATAGGAGAGCCAAATGAATACCTGGGTGAAAAGTGTCCTAGGCAATGGGGGTAGCAAATACATCCCTGAGAAAGAAGGATGTTTGGCTTCATGAACAGCAGGGTAACAAGTGGCTGAAGCAGACAATGAGCTGCAGTGGAGATTAGGTCACCAGCTTGGAGAAATAGTGAGAGTCCATGTCATGTGGGGCTGCTAGGGTTTGAAAGATGCTTTAGATTGTATTCTAAATGTGATTGCCCATGAGAATCTGCTGGAGGATTGAGCAAGGAAGTAGTATGACTTGATTCACATTTTTAAAAACCCTGATAGATGGAGAATAGCTGACAGGAAATGATGCATAGACTGGATTAAGAAAATGTGGCACATAAACACCATGGAATACTATGCAGCCATAAAAAAGGATGAGTTTGTGTCCTTTGTAGGGACATGGATGAAGCTGGAAACCATCATTCTCAGCAAACTATCGCAAGGACAAAAAACCAAACACCACATGTTCTCACTCATAGGTGGGAATTGAACAATGGGAACAGATGGATACAGGAAGGGGAACATCACACACCGGGGACTGTTGTGGGGTCGGGGGAAGGGAATGGGATAGCATTAGGAGATATACCTAATGATAAATGATGAGTTAATGGGTGCAGCACACCAACATGGCACATGTATACATATGTAACAAACCTGCACGTTGTGCACATGTACCCTAAAACTTAAAGTATAATAATAATAAAATTAAAAAAAAGCAAGAAGACCAGGTAGGCTACTGTACTTGTTTTGTCTGTTTAACTTTCAATATTCATTGTGCCTCCTTTGCTCTCAAAATCCTAATAGTTTCAATAATTTAAATCAAGACTGACATGATCATTTCCACTTATATTTGAGACATTTTGGCACATAAGTCCATAAGTGTAATAAGATAACAATAATCTGACAGGAGACAACAAACAACAAAAAATTCCAGAGATAATTTCCCTAGAACTCAGTTCTCATATAATATGACTATTTTCTTATTTGTAACCATACATTATGACATCTATTAATGAAGAGTATATACAAATGTTAAAATGGCTGATGTGTATTTATATACTGTAGAACCAGTGTTCAAAATGGCTGATGTATGTTAATAGTATGAGGCTAGATATGACATTTTGAGTCTCGAAAAATAAATAATTGAGTGGGGAGGAGAAGAAAAATAAGTAATCTGTTTACATGCTCAGAAGGTTTTAAAGATTTTTTTATTTCAATAGTTTTAGGGGTACAAATGGCTTTTGGTTACATGGGTAAATTGTATAATGGTGAAGTCTGGACTTGTAGTGTACCTATCACCCAGATAGTGTTCATTGCACCCAATAGGTGATTTTTTCTTTTTTACCCCTCACTCCCCTCCCTTGTTCATCCCTTCTGAGTCTCCAATGTCCATTATACCACTCTGTACAACTGTGTGTATGCATGGCTTAGCTCCCACTTGTGAGACCATACATGCTCAGATTTTGAACTTTTGCAGAAAAAAAACCTGAATTACAGAAAATTGCTTCCCTATAATACCAACACCTTCACCAAGTAAAGTTAACCTGATGATCTAATCAAATATATGAAGAGATAATTGTCTATTTGATAGTCATGCCAATTTTCTTTTGTCTTTTTTGCGTGGTTGCCATTTTATTTTTTACTCTCATTGGAAAAAATATGTTTTGATTAAAAGAAGCATATTCTTAAATGGAAGAAATGTTTGTTTTAAAGCAGCCATCATTATATTAAATTTAACCTGGGACATATGCTAAAAATGGAAGCTGGTGTCATAATGTGCTTCTGGTCCTCTGGGAAAGTTTTTAACTCAGCAGGCTATGAAGATCATGATAAATCCTCAGGACAGTAATCCAGAAACTGCTAATGATTGCATTCTTACATGTTAAAGAAGATGTGCAGAGTCAGCAAAGAACACTTAAATACAAGCAGGAAGAAGATGGAAATCAAGGCCTGCTTGCACAAGGGAATCTTTTACATGCAGACTACAGTTTTTACGCTTAAAAGTTGTCAAGAAGCTCTATTACCACATATTCCAAATGATGCACTGATTAAGGAAGGTCAGTATGTCTTTTGGGAGGTTGACAGTCATGATATAGTAACTATGCAAAGCTGCAAGTCTCTGGAGTAATATTTGTGTCTAATCTATACGGTCACAGGAAATATAACTGCCAAAAATGCCATATTTATCATCTTGAGTAGTTTTATCAGCACTACCTGATGTCGTACTCAAAAGAAAAATCACCAAAAATTTGCTTGGTCATTCAATCATGTATCCTTTGTGAAATGTGCTTGAGGCAATCTCTGTACCTGGTGCTCACATAATAAAGGTGAAAATGAGACACTGTCCCTGCCCTCATTGTGCTAAAAAATAAGAGAAAAAAAGATAAATAAAATATTTTAATATAATGTGATAACTGCTATCATAGAAGCAAAATCAAAATGTTAGAGAAAGTGCCACCTTAGCTTGAGGATTCTCCATAAAATGTATACACAAACCTAAGAATAAGGAAGAACTAATAAAAGGTATAATCAAAGATGCCTTTTTAAGCATGAGAAAACAAAAAAATAAATTAATATTTTTACATTCTCTAAGTTCTTTAACAACTCTAGCACTAAAGTCTTCCTGTTTTGAATCTACCTCTATTGCTTTTCTACTATACTGCACAAGCAAAAGGTTTTTTTTAAATTAATTTCTGATCGTATAAATATTTAGAATGTTCCTCTTACATATGATTGCCTTTTTTAGAATTTGGCAATAGCATTGCAAACAAAAATAGACATATTTTCTTTGATATAGCTTATATAAGAGCAGGGATATATTATTCAAATAAATACAAAAGTAAAAATTAGTATTTAGCTTCCAATATAAGGACCATGCTGCTAACACCAACCCTCCAGCAATTAACCACTACAAAATGTGCACAAAATACAAAAATAATTACTTGAAGGTTTTGTAGGGTGAAATGTGCAGGCAGGATTTGAAGGGGAGTCAAAATATGGAAAATGGGATCAGAGGAGGATGGTTCTTATTTTGCAGGTTTAGTTTGAGGATAGGCCATGATCACTACCCAGCCCAGGGCAGCTGAAGCTCCATAAGAAAACCTGCAATCTTTCTGTCTTGTAAAACTATAAAAGAACGGCTGAAGGGCCATAGTCACCAGGAAGTGAGGGAGCAATCCTGAACAAAGAGTGTCGCAGCAAAGGAACCCCAGTTCCTGTGTGTTAACTCTGACCAAGTAGCTGGCTAATGCTTGAACAATAAACACCTTAGACAAGGTGCAAAAATTTAACGGAGAAAGGGTCTTCCCCCCACTGTAGATGGGAAAGGTTTTGCATTTTGAGTCTAACTACATCACTACCTGTTGAAACAAACAAAAAATTTAAGACTTTTCTGAAGGAATATAATAAAATCCACAGCCTCCACAAAATAACATTCACAGTGTCCAAAATAATATTTAAAATTATGTGAGTATAAGAAATATAGGGAAATGTGGAAATTTGACCCATTTACGAAAGAAAAGCATCAGAGATCAATGCTGAGATGACTCAGATATCATAGTTCAAGGACATTAACAGGTGGTGTTACTATGTTCAATGAATTAAAAGAAGTAGCATTATGATGAATGGAAAGATGTGAAATCTCAAAAGAGAAATATAAAAGATTTTAAATCAATCAGATGGAAACTTTAGAACTATGAAGATACATTACCTGAAATAAAAAATTTCTGGAATGGGCTCAATAGCAGAGAAAAGAGTCAGTGGCCTTGGAGATAACAAATAGAATTTATTGAATTTTAAGAACAGAGAAAAAATAATAGGAAAAAAATAATCAGGGAGTCAGGATCCCTATTGTGTGGAAATAGATCTAAAATATGTGTAGAGTTCCAAAAGAGAGAAGGAACAAATGATAGAAAAAAATATTTGAAGAGATAATGAAAATAACTAATTTGGAGAAACACAAATGAACAGTTTTAAGATATTCGGTGAACCCCACATGGGTTTAGCATGAACAAAACTATGCACACATCATAATCAATGCACTAAAGACAAAGATAAAGAGTAAATCTTGAAAGCAGCTAGAGAAAAACAACATATTACAATTGTTTTAGAAAAAAATTGAGTGACAGGGACTTCTCAGAAAAATGTATGAAGGCAATAAGATAGAAGTCCAGTATCTTTAAAGAACTGAAAGAAAAAAGTAAATAAACTATCAAATCAGATTTCCATATCTAGCAAAATATGATTCAGAAATAAAGGCATGCTAAAGACATTTCAGATAAATAAATATAAAAAAAATATGCAAAATCTTTCAGAATATAGACAAGAAATTAGTTTCCCCAACTTGTTTTAGGAGGCCATCATAAATATTATACCAAAACCTGCAGACATTAAAACTATAAATAAAGTTAGGTACAAATAGTCCTCATGCACATAAACATAAATATTTGTAAAACATATTAGCATATTAATTCAATGTTAGATATGGTTCATCCCAGAAATGCAAGGCTTAACATATGAAAATCATAGGAATAACAATTGAATATAATAGGGCTATAGGAACAAGGTTACGTGCAAGTATTAACTGTGTGCATGTATATGTATACACACGTACATTCACAATAAAAGATTGGAAGTAAATTAAAATAAAAAATTCCACTTAAAATATTATTAAAAATCTACTTAGGAATGAATGTAACAAATGTTAAAGGACTTTTAACTGAAAACTATAAAAGATAGTTGAGAAAATGTAAATACAACAGACACAATAATGAAGAAATAGTCTCTGCTGATGCGTAGGAAGACTCAATACTGTTAAGTTGGCAATTTTTCTCAAATTAACCTTCAAATGTACCCTATTCTCAATCAAAATACTACTAGTGTATATATATATATTAGATATTGACAAGCTGATTCTAATATCTATGTGGAAAGTTAACAACATAGAATAACCAAAGCAATAACAAGAACAAAAAGAAAACTGTAACACTTATATTATGTGAAAACTCATTTTCCATCTGTTTTTATCCAGTAATATAGTCCTTGCACAAGAATCATCTTCATAGATTAATGGGAAAAATAGAGTTCGGAAATAAACCCGCACCTATTTGGTTGAGTAATTTTTTTTAAAACAAAGGTGTCAAGGCAATCAACTGGGAACAGAAAGACCTTTCACAAATGGTGCTGTGAAAATTAGAAATCCACAAGGAAAAGCAAAAAAAAAGCATCTTTCCTTCCCTCACATCATACATGAAAGAGAACACAAAGTGAATTATGAGTCTAAAAGTAAAAATGAAAGTATAGTACTTTTAGAAGAAAACAAAGAAAATCCATGTGACTTTGGTGTCAGCAAAGATGATATAAATAGGGTATAAAACCATAAGCCACTAAAGAAAAAAATAATAAATTGAATATTATGAAAAATTTTTAAATGATCTTCAAAGACCCTGTTAGGAAGAGACAAGTCATAACCTGGGAGATATTATGAATAACACATAGAGCTGACAAAGTGCTTATATCCCTCTAGAATGTATAAAGAACTCTTACAACTTAATCATAAGAAGATAAATGCTTCAAAAAAATAGGTAGATCTCAGCAGATATTTTTCAAAAGAAGTTGTAAGTTATAAGTGCATGAAATGCATGTGTCTCATTAGGAAAATCCAAAGTAAAACCACAGCAATATACTACTACACTCCCATGAGAATGGTTAAGAATGGTTAAAATTAAAAAGCTAACAATAGTTGGTATTGATAACCATATGGAACAATTTGAACTCTTATAAACTGCTGATATGCATGTCAAATAGTACCACGTTGGAAAACCAAGAAATCTGCAAGTTTCTTAAAACATTAAACTTCCACCTGACAGATGACCCAAGGTATTTATTTAAGAAACACAAAAACATACCTCAATTCAGTTGAAAAACAATAAAGACAGACAGATACATAGAGAGACAAGTGGTTGGGAGTCAGAAATTTCAGGTTCTGTTGGTTGAAATACTGTTTTAAAGCCACTTTTGACAAAGCAAGTAAGTATGCAGACCAACATTTTCCAACATTAAACTAACTAAAGGAGTATATCTGAATAATAAACTTAATATCATGTCATCATAAGCATCACTAGTAAATCCAAGAAGAAAGTCAGAGATGGAATAAATAACTGGAAGCCACACTGTATGCAGATGCCAAAAAATAGGCAGCTAGTAATACACCATGGCCTATGATTAATGCAAGAGAGATGGTCAGAAACAAGGCCTGAGGTTGAAAGAGAAGTTGCTCTTAGCTAGAGAGGAACTTTTAAAGAGAAAATACTCAGAGTAAAGCCACACATTTCTGTCTAGAAAAGAAATATCTGACGTGTTCAGCTCAAGGTTTAATCTACCCAGATAAAGGGCAAATATAGCATGCTGACTGGGGTAAAAAGTAAAGGATGAAGGATTAAAAGATGGATTGTAAGAAGATTCTATTTTTTTCAGAGAAAAACAAAGAAAAAAATGAGAATAGATCAACATAGCAAATCGAGGTAAAAACAGAAGGTTGCTAGGGAAAATTGGAATAACTCATGGACTCTAATTTAGTTTTCAGACTAAAGAGGAATGTCAAAAGCAAGGACCAAAAAGAGCATTTGGACTAAGACCAAAAACTAAGAGTTTTTCTTAGTCCAAAGAGATTTAAATCATTGTGTCTCTGATCAGAAACTCACAAGTTACAAATAATCGAAATGTGAGAGCACCTACACCTAACCCTTCTCTAGGGAACACCACACTGCTGTAGCCATTGCGCCTGTTATGAAAACACACAACTATTAAAAGAATTTGTAAATTCTGAGATAGAGTAAGGGGGAAAATATGAAAAGCAGAAAGAGCACATATGGAGGCTTATTCTGATGTTTGAATTTCAGACAAGGCCTGTCCCATCTTTTGAGATCTCTGCCCAAATATATATATCTTTCTATAATATCTGAGTTTCTATTTTAACCCTTATACAAAAAATATAGTTTTTTGAAATGAAAATTCAGTTGGCTGGCATGAGAAATTAGATACTGTCCTCATATGATATGAGTAAATTTAATAATCAATGGTATATGGGAATTTCAATAAGTCAATAATTAGTTGAGTTATGGAAGTTTTGATTATGATGAGACAAATGATTTGCAAACAGTATTAGTAAAGAAAAGCAGTGAAAATAGTAGTAGAAACTAAGATAAATAGATAAAGAATGTAGGAAAGGAAGAGAGAAAAGTACTGAAAGTTTTCTTAGGCCTCTTCTGCATCAGATATGGATGGGGAGAACATGGGTGTATCTTTCTTCTCCTTCCTGAATTATGCAACCCACTTCTTCTCCTTGACACCAAAAATAGGCTAGTTATGGTGCAATAATTGAATCTCATTGTAGATTAAATAAACTGTAGTGGATTGTTTGAGTGTGGGAATCTTAGTGCCAATTGTAGTATTCCTTTGTTTTTATGTTACAAATATGTGTTTTAAATAAAAAATGAATTTGTAGTTTAGGAAGGTAGAGAATGGTGACATACTTCAATTATTAGTAATGGCCCCAACTCCTTTAGGATTGTGGTTAAGTTGCAATCTTTAACTCTTTATGTGTAAGTTTTTATTATTTTGAAATGAGGCTAGAAATGCCATAACCTAAAGTAGAAATTGTATTTAAAACAAAAGAAACAAAGAACATATCTTCACTGATCTGAGGTAGCTCAAGCAGAGGTAGCTCTAACAGAGGCAAAACAGTAACTTTGAAAATAATTATTGTCACATTGGCAATCACCAGTGATACTTGCACTCAAGGGTTTCTTTATCATTGGTATCTAGAAAAGTTGAAGGAGGAAGATACAATGGCCTAACTTTTATTAAAGTACAATAATATGTAATCTGAGCATCTAACAGGTGGAAAGTTGACATTCAAATTTGATACTCAAAATATAAAAACACCGATTGAATCCTGTTTATCCTTTAGTGAATGTGTATTTAAAATCAGGTGGTCATCAACTAAAATTGAGAACTGCATAGGTTTTGAGTATACTAGGGTTTAGTTTCTGATCATAATTCCGTTCTTATAGTTCAGTCAATTATTTTACAGGTTGTGAGAATGACACTCCTGGAAACATTTTTGTGTACCATATTTCTAAATATTTCACCTAATGATTTGACATTTTATAGAATGAGAAAAGTATTCCGAGACACAGCATCAAGCTGTTTGCTGTTAGGGGTAAAAATCACATTGGCGAGAGTAGCTAAACTTTTACAAAATCTTCCAAAATGGGTATCTCCAGAATAAAAGCTATCAGGCTGTTTATATGTACAAAGAGAGATAGAAGCCTGAGGAAAGAAAGGAAAAGGATGTGGTAGGCAAAGTCAAGTTACTGAGAAGTATATGCCTGGAAAGAAATGTACACAGTGTTTTATAATAAGATTTTAGGTCTTCTATTAAGATTCAATTCATTTATTGTTGGAATATTAAATTGCACATTTGAGTTCCTGGTAATTGAATTACTGATGGTCATACCAAAATCTTTTATTAGGAGTAAATTTCAGTTTAAAACTACCTGTTGGATACGAGTTTTGAAAATGACATGGTACTAGAGTGTGGTTTAATACCTTTGCCAAACTAATTAATTCTCCACTAATTTATGTTTCAATTCAGACAGTTTTTATCACAGTGTGTTTAAATTTGAAGACTAGGAGCATGAATCAAAATGTCACTGGGCCCATGAATTAGTGAAAGATGGAACAATGTGTCAGCATTAAATTGGTGAATAGCAACAGCAAGAATTATCTACATGGGGATCAATATTGCTATTTAACTTGATGCTACAAATATTTGACCTTATAGATGTTAACTATTCTTGGATTACACTTGCTTACTCCCATTGCCAAATTATGAAAATCTGGTAAGACTAAAATTATTTTTTAAAGTTAATTATTATAATTATCATGGCATACTGAAAAGAAGCTGATTAAAATATTGTTTATATTCACAAAAATATCTACATTTTATAAAGGAATACATTCTTTATTATTCATAGACACTACTGGTGTATAAAGTTCAACTACATGCTGTGTTATTTATATTCACAAAAAATGACATCTATATTCTATAAAGGAATACATATTTTATTATTCATAGTCACTACTGGTGTATAAAGTTCAACTATGTGCCATATGTCAATTATTATCAAATGAGATATGAAAGAGTCACCTTTACATAAGCATTTATTGCTACACACATATACATATATATACTACACACATATACATATATACACATAGTTTCATATGTATATACACACACACATACACACATATGGTTAAAGCATAAGTATATATAATTTTACTAGATTCTAAATTGTGTCTAGAGTCAAGATCATTAAAAACCAATGATGGAAGAGGAAAAATGCCTTGAAAGACATTTAAAATTGCACCAAGATAATGAGAATTGTGCATATTTGAAACATGATAGTCAAATGAAATTATTTTAGAGAATGAAATGATGAGAGATAAGACTATAAATGTTAGTATGTTCAAGAAAATGAATATACTAAAAATAGACAAACATTTGACCTAAAACAGGCTTTAAAGTCAGACATATAAGGAATATGAAAAAGAGATGGACAATCTAATATCAAATAGCACTTATTAGATAAATAAATACATATATAAATGAGTATAAAAATTATCTTCCAGATAGGACAAAGAAATGCACGGTTTTGTTGCCCCGTTTAAATATGGGAAACAAATATGAGACACAAAAATGTTTCCAGTAATGTCATTCTCACCACTTGGAAAACAATTGGTGAGACTGGCCTGTAAGAATGGAATTATGATCAGAAAGTAAATGCTTCTGTACTCAAAGATGTGCGATCATGGTTGTTGCACATCTGGAAGAAAACCATGTCATTTTCTGGTTATTATTGGGAAATACTTTTATGGGTCCTCTATAAGGTAGCTTAAGAAATCTAACTGTACTCATCATAATTCATGAGAAGTGCACGTACAAGTCTTAGTTAAGCACAGGGAGACTCGGGTGGGGTGAAGACAGGGAGAAATGTAGGGAACCTACCTCCTCCAAAAGACAGAGAGAAAAGAGCGTTTTGAAGTTTGGTATAAATATTTAAAACCAAATATGTTTTTTGAATACAACTCATTTTTTAGTTGTTTCTCCAACTCACCCAGATTTGTATCGTTTCATCTGATCTATTCTTTTTTTCTATGGACATTGATATAAGGCCCAGTTCTTAGAATAGATGTCAAAGAATATTGTGAAGTCAGCACATTAGTTCACATCACTGACTGATTTTCATGCTTTCTTATATCTGTGCAAAATATTAATACTTTTATTCACTTAGAGTAAATACCAGTCAACAGGCTTTTTCTAAAAACTTAATGATTCCCTGCAGAGTATGTAAGAGAAGTCAGAGTTTGGAAATTATAATTGGCATAGTGAAAATACAGATAGGTCTGGAATATTAAACTGAGGCTAGAGAAAAAATGGTAGGGATGAATTATTGCTACTTATATTCAGGATCAATCTACATCTTGGAATAATCATTATTTAGGACATGACTCTGTTGGAAAGTAGTGGGTCTAAGAACATATGTAACACACACACACACACACAGAGTTAGTGTATTATTTTATCAGATGGAGTCTGCTCTATTAGCAGTATCACAGTTAACACTGGCTTCAGTGGGTGGTTTCACCTGCCTCTCTCCACGCAAATAAAATGGGCAATATAAGAAAGAAGCATAGGTATCCTATGTGTCTCCTAAGTTTAGTTACAATCATAGAACTTAAAAGCTATAATAAAACTTAGAACCACATTACTCACCCTCTATTTGGTATAATATTAGAAAAGTAGCTCTCTAGAATGGAAAAACAAACAAAAACATTATATGTTAAAATATGGTAAGAGACATTTGCATAAGCAAAGGTAGTGTATTTCTTTAGAACTTTTCAGAGCTGATTTGGGGCTTCCAGAGTCATTGCCTTTTATACCCCAACATACTCTTGTATTTAGTCCTTAAGGCTGAGGCCCATGTTAGTAGCTTTGAGAAATAGTGTCCCCGTTCTGCTCATCATGATAATCAGCTCACAAATTCAAGTGGGCTGTCCAGAGAAGAAGTATAAACAAGGGGCACAAACATAGAAAAAATAGGGGTTAAGAATATTTTGTCTCTGGAGTCAGGAGGCACTAGATGTTTATCCCACTTCTATTAGCTGTGTGAACTTGAATAAATAAATCCCTTAAGCCCCAGTTTCCTCACATTAAAAATAAGGCTGTTTAAGCCCCATTAAAAAGTCAGCAAAAAACTTAAAAAGACACTTTTCAAAAGAAAACAAACATGTGGCCAATAAGCAAATGAAAAAAAGCTTAACATCACTGATGATTAGAGAAATGTAAATCACAACCACAATGGCATATCATCTCACACCAGTCAGAATGGCTATTATTAAAAAGTCAGAAAATAACAGATGCTCACGAGGTAGTGGAGAAAAAGGAACACTTACACGTTGACGGGAGTGTAAATTAGTTCAACCATTGTGGGAGACAGTGTGGTGATTCCGCAAAGACCAAAAAACAGAAATACCAATTGGCCGAGAAATCCCATTACTGGGTAAATACCCAAAGGAATAAAAATTATTCTATTATAAAGATATATGCACATGTATGTTCAGTGCAGCACTGTTCACGATAGCAAAGACATGGAATCAACCTAAATGCCCATCAATGGTAGACTAGATAAAGAAAATGTGGTACATGTACACCATGGAATACTATGAAGCCATAAAAAAGAACGAGATTATGTCCTTTGCAGGGATATGGATGGAGTTGGAGGCCATTATCCTTAGAAAACTAACGCAGAAACAGCAAACCAAACACCACATGTTCTCATAAGTTGGAGCCAAATGATGAGAACACATGGACATATAGAGCGGAACAACAAATAGTGGGGCCTAACAGAAAGCAGAGGTTGTGAGGAGGGAGAAGATCAAGAAAAATAACTAATGGGTGCTAGGCTTAATAGCTGGGTGAAAAAATCATCTGTACAACAAACCCCCATGACACAAGTTTACCTATATATCAAACCTGCACTTATAGTCTTAAATTTAAATGTTAAAATACATACACTATAAATAGTAGGGCTGCAGAGAGGGTTTAATATAAAATTTTAATATGTTACTATTATTATTTTTATTAGCTTTTTCTAACCATCCATCACTATTTTAATGGAGTATCAGCTTCATCTCCAATTCTGAAAAGTAGCTCTTTCATTGGTTTTCTTAAAATGGTATCAAAGAAAAACAGATATCCCTTAGATGAAATTGAGAGACTTTATTTCCAAAGACACTGTATAAAAGAATCCTGAAGTAGTAACTGTTATTTTTGTATTGTTATAAAATAATAAGTGCTGTTATTTTAATTAAAGTATGAAAATCTCTCTCTCTCTCTCTCACACACACAAACACACACACACAAAAACTTACTTTTTTTTGTCTTGTATTCTATGTGAAAGGACCTTTAACTGGTCCTAGTGGCATCATATTAATGAGTGATCTTCAGATAGCATATCAATTTTAAGGATGATTTCAAGTATGGCTTTCTCTACTGAAAATGCTTAATACTTCAGAGAACAGGACATATGCCAATCTCTTCTGAGAATCTGAATTAATGAGCAAAATGTTATTCTTTTGTCAGCCTGATCATGTAATGTATTATTATGCTAATTACTTTAAGTAGCTTATATTTTGTCCCTGAAGGTTTTATTCCTTAAAATCACAATGCTAATGTCTCTTTCCTAAACTTATTTATATGGAAAACAATGATACAGTTAAGCCCCAAGAACTCCTCAATAGCTGTAGACAAATAAAAAGCACACTAAAGAACTATAGTTAAATATATTTTAAGACAGAAAAGCTGTTGTGTAAAAAAAAAAAAAAAAGCTATCTGAAAACTAAAATTAAGTTATCCTCTCTTATAAAAATAAAAGGATGAGTGTGCTATTGTTACAATATTGAAAGGATACATATGATCCAATTTTAAAAAGTAGTTCTCCACCCTAATTCTGCATTAGGATTAGGATGGCTTAAAGAGCTTAAGCCAGGGCAATGCCTGAGCCACACCTAATACCAATTAGATAAATTGGTGGAGCCTATAATTAATATTTTTACAAATCTTTCAAGGTGTTATAATGTGCAGAAAGGCATTCAAACTACTGATCTAAAACATTGCTCCCTATAAACAATGGCTTCTAAACTTATTTTGTATCATGGGAGTTTTTGAAAATCAGACAATAGCTATTGGTCCTTCTCTACCTAGAAAAATGCACCCATACACATACACAACCACATAACATATCCACATAGACACCCAAACACATGCTCACACTTGCACACACACGATTTTACATATGACTTTAAGGACAACCCCAAATTCCTGAAGCCCAATGAAGAAACCTGGCTTTGGCCGGGCGTGGTGTCTCACGCCTGTAATCCCAGCACTTTGGGAGGCCCAGGCGGGTGGATCACGAGGTCAGGAGATGGAGACCATCCTGGCTAACACGGTGAAACCCCGTCTCTACTAAAAATGCAAAAAAAATTAGCCGGGTGTGGTGGTGGGCGCCCGTAGTCCCAGCTACTCTGGAGGCTGAGGCAGGAGAATGGCGTGAACCCGGGAGGCGGAGCTTGCAGTGAGCCGAGATCGCGCCACTGCACTCCAGCCTGGGCGACAGAGCGAGACTCCATCTCAAAAAAAAAAAAAAAAAAAAAGAAACCTGGCTTTAAGAGCAAAACTTAAATGATTTCAAGAGGAAAAGAAGCTGTTGCTCTTTCAATGGATCAAGTAACATCACCTAGGTAATTGCGTCACAATTTAAAAATCACTTGCGTTAATGACATTCCTTTGTAGCTGCAACATAAACATGCTTACATTCTCAACACAAGTGGAGAGAGATCAACCTGTGCATGTTCTGTGTGACCATGAGTAATTTACTTCCCCACTTCGTCTGTTTTTTTAAATCTGATAAATGAATAAATTGGTAAAATGTGGAGTAATAATTCAATGAAACATATAATACTGACATTGAAAGCAATCAATGAATATAAGCTGCCACTATTACTTTTGTTTTTATTTATTTCTATTAAAGATAGCTTTATATGCCTGTAGACTTAATGAAATTTCCCATGTAGTATTTTTACTTCAAGAAAATAGTTACATTAATAAAGCAAAGAAGAGCAAACAAGCCATAAATAAACAAAACAATGATCATGATGGCCATTTCCATCTCTTTACATTGATTTAATTCAAGTTTGGTTAAAGATACTGAGAGATTGTTTGTGCTTCCATTCTTAAAATCTATTTCTATTACATTCACTAAAGGGGGTATTTAAGGGAAAAGTTCAGCATTGTGTTGCTGCCTCATGCCAACTTTTTGTCCACTTTGCCTCTTAGATAAGAGTACTTCTACATAAAACAAGTCAATTTTAGTTGTTAATTAAACAGTATTGCCATTCATATTTGTATTAGTCCATTTCACACTGCTATGAAGAAGTACCAGCGACTGGATAATTTATAAAGGAAAGAGGCTTAATTGACTCACAGTTCTGCATGGCTTGGAAGACCTCAGGAAACTTACAGTCATGGTGGAAGGGAAAGCAGGTACCTTCTTCACAAGTCAGCAGGAAAGAGAGCATGTTAAGGAGGAACTATCACACACTTATAAAACCATCATATCTCCTGAGAACTCATAAACTATCCTGAGAACACATGAGGGTAACCACCCCCTGAACCAATCACCTCCCTCTCTCAACATGTGGGGATTACAGGTCACTCCCTTGACACATGAGAATTAAAATTTGAGATGAGATTCCGGTGGGGACACAGAGCCAAACTATATCATTCCACTCCTGGCCCCTCCCAAATCTCACGTTTTTTCACATTTCAAAACCAATTATGCCTTCCCAACAGTCCCACAGATAGTCTTATCTCGTTCCAGCATTAACCCAAAAGTCCACAGTCCAAAATCTCATCTGAGACAAGGCAAGTCCCTTCTGCCAATGAGCCTGTAAAATCAAAAGCAAGTTAGTTACTTCTTAGATAAAATGAAGGTACAGGCATTGGTTAAATGCTCCTGTTCCAAATGGGAGACACTGGCCAAAACAAAACAGCTACATGCCCCATGCAAGTCCAAAATCTAGCAGGACATTCATTAAATCTTAAAGCTCCAAAATGATCTCCTTTGACTCCATGTCTCACATTCAGGGCATGCTGATGCAAGGGGTGGGCTCCAACAGTCTTGGGCAGCTCTTTCATGGGCTTGCATTGAGTGCCTGTGGCTTTTCTAGGCACATGGTGCAAGCTGTCAGTGGATCTACCATTCTGGGGGCTGAAGGATGGTGACCCTCTTCTCATAGTTCCACTAGTCAGTGACCAGTGGGGAACCTGTGTGGGGGCTCCAACCTCACATTTCCTTTCTGCACTGCCCCAGCAGAGGTTCTTCATGAGGGTCTGCCCCTGCAGCAAACTTCTGCCTGGACATCCAGGCATTTCCATACAACCTCTGAAATCTAGGTGGAGGTTCCTAAACCTCAATTCTTGACTTCTGTGCACACGCAGGCCCAACACCACATGTAAGTCACCAGGGCTTGGGGTTTGCACCCTCTAAAGCAATGACCTGAGCACTACACTGGACCCTTTTAGCCATGGCTGGGACACAGGGCACAAACTTCCTAGGCTGCCTACAGCAGGAGGGGGGCCTGGGCCAGATCCAGGGAACCATTTTTCCCTCCTAGGACTCGAGGCCTGTAATAGGAGGGGCTATTGTGAAGGTTTCTGTTATGCCCTGGAAACATTTTCCCTATTGTCTTGGCTATAAACATTTGACTTCTTGTTAGTTATGCAGATTTCTGCAACTGAATTGACTTTCTCCCCAGAAAATGGGTTTTTCTTTTCTACCTAATGGTCAGACTGCAAATTTTTCAAACTTGTATGCTTTGCTTGCTCTTGAACACTTTGCTGCTTACAAATTTCTTCTGCCACATACCCTAAATCACCTCTCTGAAGTTCGAAGTTTCACAGATCTCTAGGGCAGGGACAAAATGCCACCAGTCTCTTGGCTTAAGCATAGCAAGAGTTACTTTTGCTCCAGTTCCCAATAAGTTCCTCATCTCCACCTGAGACTACCTCAGCCTGGACTTCATTTTCCATATCACTATCAGCATTTTGGTCAAAACCATTAAACAAGTCTCTAGAAAGTCCCA
Source organism: Homo sapiens (assembly GCF_000001405.40). Classification (NCBI taxonomy): domain Eukaryota; kingdom Metazoa; phylum Chordata; class Mammalia; order Primates; family Hominidae; genus Homo; species Homo sapiens. The sequence continues at coordinate 10,873,385 of NC_000009.12, forward strand.
AACTTTCCCACAGTTTCCTGTCTTCTTCTGAGGCCTCCAAACTGTTCCAACCTCTGCCTGTTACCCAGTTCCAAAGTTGCTTTCACATTTTTGGGTATCATTATAGCAGTGCCCCACTCCCAGTATCAATTTACTGCATTAGTCCATTTTTACATTGCTATAAAAAATACCTGAGACTGGATAATTTATAAAGAAGGGAAGTTTAATTGACTCATAGTTCCACATGGCTAGAGAGGCCTCAGGAAACTTAAAATCATACAGAAGGGGAGGCAGATACCTTCTTCACAAATCAGCATGAAAAAAAGCATGTGAAGGAGGAGCTCTCAAACTTTTATAAAACCATCAGATCTCATAACTCATTCACTATCATGAGAACAGAATGGGGGAAACTGTCCACATGATCCAATCACCTCACTCCCTCAACATCTGGGGATTACACATCCCTCTCTCAATATGTGGGAATGACAATTTGAGAAGACATTTGGGTTGGGACACACAGTCAAATCATATCAATATTTTTTCATAGTAAAAATTAATATTATTTCTAGATCATACCTCTAAAATACTGTCATCATTTCAAACTCAGATTTCAATATCCTGGCCCCTCTTCCACATGATTGTTGACATGACATGGTAAATAATAATTTTATTTTAAAATATCTTAACCCTGATTTTTAGTTCTCTCTCTCTTTCTCTTTTCAAACTTCCAAAGGCTACTTACAACTTTTAAAGAAATCTAACACTTCAAGATGTGAAAAACACCTTGAAACTGAAACTGACAAAGTGAATCACATCCCTCTCCCAATTAAGATCTACGCAGACAGAGATGTTCATATGTGTGATATATATACACAAACACAGCTGGGCTGAAACCCCACATTTGACTTCTTATAACTTGACTTAAAATTCTCTGAGCCCCAAACTTATATGGCTGTGCTATTCCATGAATATGGCAAAGCTCTTGTTAAATAATATAAATTTTCAATACAAATATTTATTTAATTATAAATTTGTTTAAGAAATAAAGATGATACTCTTTGAAGAAGGGAAGAATAACTTACTATAAGCCAAAGACTGCAGGCATAGAAAGCAACCTACTCTAGATCAAGCCACCTGTTAATTTGTATTGCCTTACTTCCTGGCAACCACCCTGTGAAGCAGGTATAATTGACCTCAGTTTTACAGATGAATAATCTATGTTTTAAAGGGTTAAAATACAATGAGTAACAGAGGTAGAATATGATTTATCTTCTGCTGAGATTACCTATCCTAGTATTTAGTTATGACACACTGCCCCTTTGGGTTTAAGGGATTCTAAAAGTTAGCCATTTTTCTATACTTAAGAAGTTAAAACTGAAAATAGGAGTACTTGGGTAAATCATGATACTGCAAAGAAGACTAGCATAAGGAAGATTTAAAATCACTTTTGTACTGTAAAGTAATTATAAATGTGAAATAGCAATAAAAATATTAAATGAGGCTTCTGTTGTACTAAATTTCTATAAATGGCTCTATAATTTCTCACAACTATTTCCTGCATTTATATGAAGCTTGAAACTATCACTTAATTCTATATCCTACACATGACATTCAAAATTGTAATAGAAGATCTTAAAATATTTTAAATGATTAAGTAAAAATACTACAAAGTTTTAGGTAGGCTACAAAAAGAACTGTGTGAAGTAACCTGGTGAAATTAAAGCTGTAGAGATGAATTGTGATTAAATTCAAATTATGTATAAACAGATAAACATTAAAAACTCATTTATTGTCATGAATTTTAGTCCCAGCTGAAGGTTATGTATAAACAACATGAAGAATACATCTGGATCATAAACCAATAGAAATGACAAAATCAAAGCTGATCATTTTGGTTCAAATCATCGGAGTTGAGTATTTCCATGAAGCATAGTAATGTTAGTTACTGGCTTTTAGAGAGTATCCTTGTTATTATAAATACACTCCCATCCAGTTTACACCTCAGTGATTCTATCAACATCGAATGAGTGATATAGATATTTTAAAAGATGGATTTTAGATCTTGTATAAAAACCTTCAAATTAGTACTCTTTTCTTTCCTGAAATTGGCAATACATTTAAAAAATCAAGAATTCATGTATTTTAGCAATTTTGCTTTTATATTTTCTTGATATTTCTTGAACCATTTTCCCCAATTTCTTACCCCTTTTTTACAGAACACTTTTATTGCCAACTACCTTTACAGTAGCCTAATAACATTATCTTACCAATGCTATTTGTACAAAATATTAAATTTGAGGTGTTCTTTGCAGTCTAGGCCTTGTATGGAGTTCATTAAAAGGAACATTTATATTTAAAGGCACATTTTAGATTATTCAAATGTAAATATATTTTTAAATATTTACGAAGATATAACATAGCTCCCAGACCTAATATTGATTTTTGTGTATTCAAAAATTAAAAAAAAAATCATATGTGACCTAAGCTGCAAAAAAGTGACCCATTTTGGTTGAAATTTCTTTCCTGTCTGACTCATGTCATATGGATTTGGAAGGAAATGACTACACAGGGAGAAAGAGTATTGGAAATGTGCCAATCGAGTATTCTCTGTGGAGTCTTAGAGAAAAATGGTGACAGTGATAAAGGACAAGCTGGTAAAGGACATTCTTACTTGCCTTAAACATGACTACATAAGGCAGTGGTTATGAGCTCTAGAATCAGACTTTCTGGACCTGAATACTGACTGTATCATTTAATATGTGTGTGACCTCAGAAAAATTAACTACTTTCTCTGTGGTTCAGTTTACTCACTGGAAGAATTGTGATAATAATGACATCGACATAAATTTGTTGTAAGAGCTAAGTTATCTATTAGAGGGTTTAGCATAGTCCCTTGCATATGTGAAGTGCATAATATATATATTCACATTTTAGAGGTTATCTTGTTATATTTCAGAATAGTAAAATTGTAACTCACTTTTACTCATTGTGATAGGAGAAATCATTGTAGTTTAGCGGAACCCTATTTCTCACCTCTGGAAAGACCAGCTCTTCCACTACGATTTTAATATCTGCAGAGGCTTTTATTCTCTTTTGTTTACTGCTGTATCCCCAGGGCTTAGATTAGTGCCTGAACCATAATGTGCTATCTGTGAATGTTGAAGGAATGAATCATTGGTCAACTTTCAGTTTCTCCTTGCCAGGAAACTCTCCACAATATTTTGCAGTGGAGAAAATATTCCATCCATCATGGAAATACTCTACCACATGATAGCATTCAATCTAATTATTCTTTTTTTCTTTAATCTGCTTCCTCCTGCTTCTAACTCTGTAATGGATGCCTTGGGTTGCTAGAGAATTCTAAAAATCCCTTTGATATCCCACTCAGGGTTTTCCAATTTGGGAAATCCCTTGTAAAGCAAAAGAATTTTTCTCTGCCAACCCTTGCCAAAACCTCCATACCTGGAGAATATGAAAATAATAGTAGCATTTGATATTTATTGAGTATTTACTGTGTATGCAGTAGTGAGTTAGCTATTTCATTTAATCTTCCTATCTTTCGATGATATGGATCCTAGAAACTTTTTACAAATGAGAAGATTGAAATTTGGGGAGATTAATAATTCACTAGTAAGTCTCAAACTATATTAGTCAGGGTTCTTTAGAGAGACAGAACTAATAGAATAGATGTATATATGAAGGGGAGTTTATTAAAGAGTATTGAATTACATGATCACAAGGTAAATTCCCACAATAGGCCATCTGCAAGCCGAGGAGCAAGGAAGCCAGTCCAAGTCCCAAAAACCTCAGAAGTAGGGAAGCTGGCAGTGCAGCTTTCAGTCTGTGGCCCAAGGCCGAGAGCCCCTGGCAAACCACAGGTGTAAATCCAAGAGTCCAAAAGCTGAAGAACTTGGAGTCTGATGTTTGAGGGCAGGAAGCATCCAACACAGGATAAAGATGAAGGCTGGAAGACTCACCAAGTCTGCTCCTTTCCATTTCTTCTGCCTGCTTTATTCTAGCCACTCTAGCAGCTGATTAGAAGGTGCCCACCCAGACTGAGGGTGGATCTGCCTCTCCCAGTTCACCGATTCAAATGTTAATCTCCTTTGGCAACACCCTCACAGACACACACAGGAACAATATTTTGCATCCTTCAATCCAATCAAGTTGACACTCAATATTAACCATCACACAAACTATAAGGGGCAAAACAGTTTTCACCAGTCTAATATTAACATCAATGCTCCTAAGAATCAACTAACCTCTACTTCTATCTGTGTAGTCAGTGTTCAGTACCAAAGCTATCAGGAGCTCTGATCATTTCACACACACCAGGGTATGAAGGACTGACAATAAGTTAACTATCAATTACCAGGCTAACTCTGTCTGAATATGTTTTTGCTAAGAATGTTACCTTAAACAAAAATATATTAAACCTAATGAAAGAAATTTAATGGTGAATTTCAGATCCCATGACAGGTAAATGGAATAGATAATTTGGGACTAGAAACTTTCTAGAGTTAACAACCTTCATAAAATTTTGACCTGAGTTTCACTTTCAAATTCATCCATATATGTACTTTCCCTTTTAACACCTATAAAATAAATACATATTCTACTCACTAATTAATAAATCAGTTCAATCATTCAACTCAAGGATTTTTAGAATGTCTACTCTATGGTAAACATTGTTTTAGACTTGGAGGTGAATGACTTCAGGAAGTTTACAACTTATGGCAGGGAAAAGACATTTATGTACATAATTAGAGTACAATAAGATAAACACTACAAGAAAGACACCTATTATGAAAATGGGAATAAATTGTTCATTGAGAAAAACTTCACTGGAGCAGTTACATTTAACTGTGACTGGGGACAGCGGGGAGGTAGTACAGAATGGTGAAAGAAATTTACCAGCTGGAATAGCTTGTGTAGGGAATTCTAGATAGAGAAAAGATATGCAAAGGCATGGAGGACTGAAGAAATTCAACTTACTGAGAGAATTAAGATTAATAGGCTATGAACAATCATGTTCTGATGACTTCAATGACTACGGTCACAATTAGTTCTGAGTTTGTGTCTTGAATGTTGGGACTGCTCATCAGATGGTCCTCCTCGCCTCTATCAATTTTAGGTATCTGAGTTACCTCATTTTCTCCAGGGCTTTAATTAGCTGCTACCAGAATCCGGTGGTGGCTCTTTGGGGCCTTCCAGTATATTATCACATAGATAAGCCAATCTCATCAAAATTAGACAATTCTGAAACACAGAATAAAGCCTGGATGAAAGGAAAGAGATCTTTGCAAATGTTAAAGGAATAAAAATTTGTAGGTGGGAGAAATTTCAAAAGTAACAACTAGTAAGAATTCATGTTCTGCTTAATAAAGTTACAGATAATTACTCATAGAAGTGTTTTTACTTCCATAAGTGTGTTTTCATGTAGGAGTTAGTATACAAACATATATTTCTTTGCTCCATCAGGCGCAAGAGCCTAAAAGAAATGATACCCCAGTAACAATGTACATACCATGGGCCCATATGTCAGTTACAAATAGCATTCTCCAAAGAAAGGAATCAGGGCTCATTGGAGCAATGGCTGATTCTAGGATTGCTAGGATTTTCTGAGAAGTTGCGTGCCACATTTAATTTGGAATCAGTAAATTGTGGGTATTTTTGTCCTGCCACTGACTGGGATTTTGGGCAAGTCATTCTCACATCTAAATCTCAATTCCCTGTGTCAGCTAGAACCTGAGCTTTGCTTGCCCTAAGATTCATGCAAATAGGAGTCCCAGTGAAGGATCTGAAAGCCAGATCTAGCTATGAACTATTTATATGAGGAACTGTGGAATTTCCTGGGAAATAGCTTATTGAAAGGAAAGGTAGAATTCGGGCACAGAGGCCTAAAAACAATGCCCAAGGATCTGATACGGGAGAAAGGGAAAGAAAGCAATTGAACAGCCCACTGTTAATTATCACATTATTTGTAGCTCAATCTTCACCAATGTGTGCTTAGATCTGAGAAGAGGGAGTGGGTAGAAAGCATAGATATAGTTCTTTTGCTAAAATCTCTGAACATCAAAGCACAGTCTAGGGATTCATGGATTAGCACAGTTAAGGAAGTGGAATCCTTTTCCCACATAAGTGGAAAGTATGGTATGTTTTATTTTGCATTAAGACCTCAGAGGTCTCAGCTTTCTTTGCAGGTCCCAGCAGCTCTAAGATACAGACACAGCAGAGTAGTTTCCATCCCATGTGCCACAATGTGTGATTCCTTTGCAGTCTCTTATACCAGAGATGGAAGTTTTGGTGTTCCGAGTTCCACTGTGTTACCCCTCAGAAACAGGTTTGAAGAGGAGTAGGGTCTTTCCATAAGTTTGAGACAAATATGGAATGAATTAATTAGATTCTTTTTTTTTTTTTTTTTTTTTTTTTTGAGACGGATTTTTTGCTCTAGCTGCCCAGGCTGGAGTGCAATGTCATGATCTCGGCTCACCACAACCTCTGCCTCCCAGGTTGCAGTGATTCTCCTGCCTCAGCCTCCCGAGTAGCCAGGATTACAGGCATGCTCCACCATGCCCGGCTAGTTTTGTATTTTAGTACAGACCTTTGTATTTTTAGGTTTCTCCATGTTGGTCAGGCTTGTCTCGAACTCCCAACCTCAGGTGATCTGCCCACCTTGGCCTCCCAAAGTGCTGGGATTACAGGCCTGAGCCACTGTGCCCACCCAATTAATTAGATTCTGATGTCCTATAATTGTAGACAGTGATAAACTCAGGGAAACAATATTTGTTATTATGCTTGAACAATGGAAGCTAAGAAACATGTAGAAGGCCGGGGGCGGTAGTTCAAGCCTGTAATCCCAGCACTTCGGGAGGCCAAGGTGGGCGGATCATGAGGTCAGGAGATTGAGACTGTCCTGGCTAACACGGTGAAACCCTGTCTCTACTAAAAATACAAAAAATTAGCCGGTCGTGGTGGCAGGCACCTGTAGTTCCAGCTACTCGGGAGGCTGAGGCAGGAGAGTGGCGTGAACCCGGGAGGCAGAGCTTGCAGTGAGCCGAGATCGCGCCACTGCACTCCAGCCTGGGCGACAGAGCAAGACTCCATCTCAAAAAAAAAAAAAGAAAGAAAGAAAGAAAGAAATGTAGAATAGGAATTTCTAATTATTAAAATTGATATTGCATAAAATTTGAGGTAGAATTCCAATATCAGAAAAATTGGAGTTACTCTTGTAGAGGAGTGACATACTCTATCTTAAGATCTCAGTGTTCAGCATCTCTCTTATTTCCTGAAAATACCTAAGAATATTCTCAATGAAATGAAAATAAGGGCACCCCAGAATGCAGATTGAAAAAATATCTAACTGATTGATGGCTAAGATGCTACCTACATTTAGATAATTGTTGGCTCTAAGCCACTGAGAAGGCTTATTATAGAAACATTGTTGCTGATTCTCAAGACTGTGAAGAAATAAGAAAAAAAAAAATGAATCCTTAGTAACAGCTGAAATGATAGCCTGGCTACTTGAAGAAGGTCCCACTGCTTTTCTATCCCAAAACCAATAGGAAAATATTAATATTCTGAACTTTGGGCCTTCTGCCAAGTCTCTATACCAAGTCTACTGCATTAACTACTTACATGTCAGTCACACATACAAAAATTACTTGTCTGAAAATCCTTCACTACATGACCAAGATTGAAAGGAATTCTAAGAGAAATAGAAAAAACAGGCAGCCTCTACTCCAGGCAGCTTCTTCCTTTATGTTACCCATACATCTCATCCCTTGCTAAAAGTGCCAGGAAATAAGGCATTGATGTAGTTCAGTCTGGGAGGGAGAAGTTTTCTTTCTTTCTTTTTTTTTTTTTTAAAAAGGAGGAGGTTGAAAGAGAATGAGTGTTTTTTAACTGAATTGCAGACAGTCCAAGGAAAGAAGAGATAAGATATCAGGCACTCCCAGGGCACTTCAAATGTAAGCCCAACAAAAGAAAAATGAATATAGAAATCAGTGATAAGACCTGGGTTTTTTAAAAGGTAAACTGTGACTGTGAAATACTTGTCAATCGGTGAGTGCCAGGGGCCACTCAGATGTAAAGGAAGCCCTGGGCTAGAAAAAAAAAATTTTTGATTGTATTAAATTGGTGACGTGTGCATATAAACAGAGTGAACAAAATTACTCAATTCTGTCCTTTAAATCAGTCAAGAGTTTCCTGAAATCAAGTGAATTATTTCTTAGTATTCAGTAAAATAATTTAATGAATTCAGTTTCCCATTGTCCATCGGATTGTGTGACATTTCCCATCAACGGCCATTTAGAAGAGGAGTTTTGGGAAGCAAATTAATAGTTTAGGAAATCTAAAACCATTACATCTGCCATTATTCTAGTTTGGATTCACTGATAAAACACACACTCCCATAGTTCAATTGGTGATGTGATACCATATGGGAGGGTGGTATAAATAGTTTTAATCATCTCTATACTAGGGTAAAGGATCATTTGCAAAAGTTTTTTCATAAAATGCATTCTTTGGCCTCACCCTTGATACTTAAATATTTTGCAAGTTGGATACGTATTGAAAAGCAAATCTTATATTTGAGCGTATCACATGAACAAATTCTTAAAGATAAGATAACACACCCTGTTCATATACATTTTGTTTTTTCAAGAATTTTCAAGAAGTAGTCAGTGTCTCTGGCTTTTATAAATCAACTCTTCAAAATGCATACAAGTGTCCATTTAGAAAGACTTGCATAGCCTTGCAAAGTTCAGTGGGGCTATTCTTTCTTTGGAGAATTCATCTCTGTTCTAAGTGCAGAAGCTTACAAAAACCTTTCAGAAAACAATGAAAAAATTCAATTTGAAGAAGAAATGTGTCATTGAAAATACAAATTAAGATATTCAAACTTTGGTTTCACACTTAGGGAGAAATAAAAATGTATTTTTCATTTGTATTTCTAAAGGCTTTGGTTTAGTGAGATATTTTCCCTAAAGGCAATTAGCTAACCAAGATAATTACTTCATCTGACATGTATAAAGAATTATTGATTTGTCTAGTCCATAATTTTGAATTGTGCTCCATTTTAAAAATGAGCCTTTGTCCGTCACCTCTACCAAGTCAATGAATGCAAATTATTTTCAGTGTTCTGGCAGCTTTTATCTTACAGTATTTGTTTGCCAACAGGATTTTCTAGGAAATAGGCAACTTATGCTATTTACTTAAATAAAGTATAAAAAGGAATTTCAGGTCAGAAAATCAGTATCTAAATAGATTTAAGAAAGTGATCTTTTTTTTTCAAATATAGGTCAATGGAATATAAATTGTATTATGTATATGCTGCTATTATGTAAATTTTATTATTTATATGGCTACTATATAGCCATAGGAAGAATATAACCATGAAGAAGAAGAAAGTGAGGTATCAAAAAACTGTAATGAGAATAGAATCTTGGAGAAGTAAAAGTAAGGCCTCAAGGAAAGGGGATTAATAAACAGCAGTTTCTTCTACTAATGTGCTCTTGGAGATTGTAGGTGCAGAAACCAATATTAACACTTTTGATAGTGAATTTTGGAGAGCTTATAAAATCACTGCAATTTGTCTTCAGCCATAGGTCTGATTTCTTGGAAACTTATGGAAAATACATTGTACTGGGAAGATTAACTTTCAACAAACTAACATCTTGAGATGTCTAGATCCTCCTTCTTAGTCAATGTCTGCCAAAAATGATTTAGCCTTGGGAATCAAATCTAAAACCAACCAAATCTCTGAGATTCCTTTAGTAATCAAGAATATGGGTATTTTTTATGTGAATGCATCTTGACTTGGGTCTAGGTTTCTGTTTAAACCTGTGCTATAATCTCTGTCTGTAACACAGGTCAACAGCACTACATCCCAAATATAACGCTTGAAAATAATTAATCAGTTCATTTAATACTTATGTGGTACTTTTCTGTGCCAGAAATTTGCCAGAATTTCTGAAAATGAGATAGTACAGAGAACGAGATGCAACTTTCTTATTAAGATTTTTAAAAATAGGTAATATAATGACTTTCACACAGATATAAATTACTTCATAAAATATCTTATTTAATTTATTAATTACTGAAGAAACCAGTAATATTACAATTGGATCAAAATAGATTTCAAAATGCCACATATTTTTAGTGAGAGAACCAGTGCTGAAATGAATTTATAAATGAATAGAAAACCTAGTCAATATTCACAAGGTGATGATCAACTGCATTTTACCGGAAAATTTATGTTTTTAAGACACAATTTGTCTTTCCATGGGCAGGAATTTTTGTATTATATCAGCATTCTACAATTTTTTTTTCTATTTATGAAGCTGTAAAATGGTTAACAACAAGCAAAGGTAGAGACAATGAATGGCGAAGTTGGTCAGCACATTCATTACATTTCAAAGTCCCTCAGATTTTTCCTAAATTTACAACAAACTCATAGCTTACAATCTAATGTAGAATAGAAAGTAATCACTTGGAAGCACAAAAAAAGGATCTTCATTTGTAGACATGAGTAGGGTCGGGACTTCATAGTGAGGATGATAACTAATCTAAGGAAGGATGGAAAATAAATAGCCAGCCCAAATACTGTGGATGGATGGAGCAGGGATGGTGTTCTTAGAAGTAAGTAAACAGGGCAACAGAGAACTAATATATTCATAAGGTGACCCACTTCTATTCAAAAGACATAGAGATAAGCTACTTTTAAAATATTTATTTGTTCCAGGAAATTAAAATACAGAAAACATCCACATATTAAGGAATTGATCTCTGCCTTATTGGTAGATACTTACCCAGTGCTACTTGGCTTTGACAATACACAAAGTGAAGTGAAAAGATCATACAATTCCACAGGTTCAGTTCTGCTAAGTGTAAACACCTAGACCATCCATCTCTATATTGGAATACTAAGATAAAAGATCAGTGCAGTCACTGGCCAAAACTAAATTCCATTGCAGATAGAGTTGGGCATTCATTAGAATTGGTACAAAAGAAAAATTTATACTTTTAAATTTCTCCCTTATTTAACTTGTCCACTTGGTAACTGTGGCAAATTACTTAACTCCTCTGTCCCTCAGTTTTCTCTCTAATAAAGTGGACAGCAGTAGTGCCTGGATAATAAAATCATGAATTTTAAAAGAGATAGCATATGCAATATACTCAGGACAGTGCCTAGTATGTAGTAAATCCTTAATAAATGTTAACTATTTTATTGCCAGTTTGAGATCACCATTACAAAGAAGACTCCCTTCTTCAAATAAAGCCAGGCTTCAGTAAGCTCAGATAATAGGGTTTATGTTTTAATATATAACATTCAAGTGTTCAAAGTTACGCAAAATATGCAAACTCATTTAAGACAAAGAAAAGAGTTGACCACAGTCCAATATGGAGTCCTGTGACCTGGTTATAGATGTGGGCACGTGTTATGATTATCCGAAAGCTATACAATCATCGCACAAGATAACCAAATGAAAGAGGGTGCATATATTGAAGGATTAGTCCAAAATCATCACTCCAGAGAAGAGAGGGAGAGAAGAAACTGATCTGAAACCACAAATCATATATCAAAGATTTGAAAGTGTCTCCTAATAGGGGAGTTCTGCCAGGCCTCTGAGCCCAAGCTAAGCCATCATATCCCCTGCGACCTGCATGTACACATCCAGATGGCTGGTTCTTGCCTTAACTGATGACATTCTACCACAAAAGAAGTGAAAATGGCCTGTTCCTGCCTTAACTGATGACATTACCTTGTGAAATTCCTTCTCCTGGCTCATCCTGGCTCAAAAGCTCCCCCACTGAGCACCTTGTGACCCCCAACCCTGCCCCGCAGAGAACAACTCCTCTTTTTCCTTTACCTACCCAAATCTTATAAAACAACCCCTATCTCCCTTAGCTGACTCTTTTCGGACTCAGCCCGCCTGCACCCAGGTGAAATAAACAGCCTTGTTGTTCACACAAAGCCTGTTTAGTGGTCTCTTCACATAGACGCGCGTGAAATTTGGTGCTGTGACTCAGATCGGGGGACTTCCCTTGGGAGATCAATCCCCTGTCCTCCTGTTCTTTGCTCCATAAGAAAGATCCACCTATGACCTCGGGTCCTCAGACCGACCAGCCCAAGGAACATCTCACCAATTTTAAATCCGGTAAGCAGCCTCTCTTTACTCTCTTCTCTAACCTCTTTCACTATCCCTCAACCTCTTTCTCCTTTCAATCTTGGCGCCATCTTTCAATCTCTCCCTTCTCTTAATTTCAGTTCCTTTCCTTTTCTGGTAGAGACAACTCAGGAGACGCATTTTATCCGTGAACCCAAAACTCTGGCACCAGTCACGGACTCGGGAAGGCAGCCTTCCCTTGGTGTTTAATCATTGTGGGGATGCCTGCCTGATTATTCACCCATGTTTCAGAGGTGTCTGACCACATGGGGATGGCTGCCTTGGTCCTTCACCCTTAGCGGCAAGTACTGCTTTTCTTGGGGGCAAGAATCCCCCAACCCCTTCTCTCCATGTCTCTACCCCTTCTCCACTTTCCTGGGGGCAAGCACCCCCCACCCCTTCTCTCTGTGTCTCTACCCTCTCTTTTCTCTGGACTTGCCTCCTTCACTATAGGCAACCTTCCACCCTCTATTCCTCCTTCTCCCTTAGCTTGTGTTCTCAAAGGCTTAAAACCTCTTCAACTCACACCTGACCTAAAACCTAAATGTCTTATTTTCTTCTGAAAATGCCACTTGACCCCAGTACAAACTCAACAGTGGTTCCAAATAGCCAGAAAATGGCACTTTCGATTTTTCCATCCTACAAGATCTAAATAATTCTTGTCATAAAATGGGCAAATGGTCTGAGATGCCTGGCATCCAGGCATTCTTTTACACATCGGTCCCTCCCTAGTCTCTGTTCCCAATGCAACTCATCCCAAATCTTCCTTCTTTCCCTCCTGCCTGTCCCCTCAGTCCCAACTCCAAGCGTCGCTGAGTCTTTCCTCTTTCCAATCTTTCTTTTCTACAGACCCATCTGACCTCTCCCAGGCTGCTCCTTGCCAGGCCGAGCTAGATCCCAATTCTTTCTCAGCCTCTGCTCCTCTACCCGATAATCCTTTTATCACCTCCCCTCCTCACACCTGGTCTGGCTTACAGTTTCATTCCATGACTAGCCCTCCCCCACCTGCCCAGCAATTTCTTCTTAAAAAGGTGGCTGGAGCTAAAGGCATAGTCAAGGTTAATGCTCCTTTTTCTTTATCCTACGTCTCCCAAATCAGTTAGCATTTAGGCTCATTCATCAAATATAAAAACCCGGTCCAGTTCATGGCTCGTTTGGCAGCAACCCTGAGACACTTTACAGCCCTAGACTCTGAAAGGTCAGAAGGCCGGCTTATTCTCAATATGCATTTTATTTTATTACCCAATCTGCTCCCAACATTAAATAAGCTCCAAAAATTAAATTCGGACCCTCAAACCCCACAACAAGACTTGATTAACCTCGCCTTCAAGGTATACAATAATAGAGTACAGGCGGCCAAGTAGCAATGTATTTCTGAGTTGCAATTCCTTGCCTCCACCGTGAGACAAACCCCAGCCACATCTCCAGCACACAAGAACTTCCAAATGCCTAAACTGCAGTGGCCAGGGATTCTTCCAGGCCCACCTCCCCCAGGAGCTTGCTGTAAGTGCCAGAAATCTGGCCACTGGGCCAAGGAATGCCTGCAGCCTGGGATTCCTCCTAAGCCATGTCCCATCTCTGCAGGACCCCACTGAAAATTGGACTGTTCAACTCACCTGGCAGCCACTCCCAGAACGCCTGGAAATGTGGCCCAAGGCTCTCTGACTGACTCCTTCCCACATCTTCTCTGCTTAGTGGCTGAAGACTGATGCTGCCGATCGCCTCGGAAGCCCCCTACACCATCATGGATGCCGATCTTCAGTAACTCTCACAGTGGAGGGTAAGTCCGTCCCCTTCTTAATCAATACAGAGGCTACCCACTCCACATTACCTTCTTTTCAAGGGCCTGTTTCCCTTGCCTCCATAACTGTTGTAGGTATTGACAGCCAGGCTTCTAAACCTCCTAAAACTCCCCAACTCTGGGGCCAACTTAGACACTACTCTTTTAAGCACTCCTTTTTAGTTATCCCCACCTGCCCAGTTCCCTTATTAGGCCGAGATATTTTAACTAAATTATCTGCTTCCCTGACTATTCCTGGGCTACAGCCACACCTCATTGCCGCCTTTTCCCCCAGTTCAAAGCCTCCTTCACATTCTCCCCTCATATCTCCCCAACTTAACCCTCAAGTATGGGATACCTCCCTCTACTCCCTCCTTAGTGACCGATCATGCACCCCTTACCATCCCATTAAAACCTAATCACCCTTACCCTGCTCAATGTCAATATCCCATCCCGCAGCATGCTTTAAAGGGATTAAAGCCTGTTATCACTCACCTGTTACAGCATGTCCTTTTAAAGCCTATGAACTCTCCTTAAAATTCCCCCATTTTATCTGCCCAAAAACTGGACAAGTCTTACAGGTGAGTTCAGGATCTGCGCCTTATCAACCAAATTGTTTTGGCTATCCACCCCGTGGTGCCAAACCCATATACTCTCCTATCCTAAATACCTTCCTCCACAAACCTATTATTCTATTCTGGATCTCAAACATGCTTTCTTTACTATTCCTTTGCACTCTTCACCCCAGCCTCTCTTCGCTTTCACTTAGACTGACCCTGACACCCATCAGGCTCAGCAAATTACCTGGGCTGTACTGCCTCAAGGCTTCACAGACAGTCCCCATTACTTCAGTCAAGCCCAAATTTCTTCCTCATCTGTTACCTATCTTGACATAATTCTCATGAAAACACACCTGCTCTCCCTGCTGATCGTGTCCGGCTAACCTCCCAAACCCCAATCCCTTCTACAAAATAACAGCTCCTTTCCTTCCTAAGCATGATTAGTGTGGTCAGAATTCATACACAAGAGCAGGGACAGCACCCTGTAGCCTTTCTGTCCAAACAACTTGACCTTACTGTTTTAGCCTAGCCCTCATGTCTGCGTGCAGTGGCTGCCACTGCCTTAATACTTTTAGAGGCCCTCAAAATCACAAACTATGCTCAACTCACTCTCTACAGTTCTCATAACTTCCGAAATCTATTTTCTTCCTCACACCTGATGCATATACTTTCTGCCCGCCTCCACTACCTCTCAGCAAGCTGAACTCATTGCCTTAACTCGAGCCCTCACTCTTGCAAAAGGACTATGCATCAATATTTGTACTGACTCTAAATATGCCTTCCGTATCTTGCACCACCATGCTGTTATATGGGCTGAAAGAGATTTCCTCACTACACAAGGGTCCTCCATCATTAATGCCTCTTTAATAAAAATGCTTCTCAAAGCCTCTGTACTTTCAAAGGAAGCTGGAGTCATTCACTGCAAAGGCCATCAAAAGGCATCAGATTCCATCCCTCAGGACAATGCTTATGCTGATAAGATAGCTAAAAAAGCAGCTAGCGTTCCAGTTTACATCCCTCACTTTCAGTTTTTCTCCTCCTCATCTGGCCACTCCCACCTACTCCCTGGCTGAAACTTCCACCTATCAATGTCTTCCCACACAAGGCAAATGGTTCTTAGACCAAGGAAAATCTCTCCTTCCAGCCTCACAGGCCCATTCTATTCTGTCGTCATTTCATAACTTCTTCCATGTAGGTTACAAGCCACTAGCCTGCCTCTTACAACCTCTCATTTCCTTTCCATCGTGGAAATCTATCCTCAAGGAAATCACTTCTCAGTGTTCCATTCTATTACTCAGGAATTGCTCAGGCCCCATCTCTTCCCTACACATCAAGCCTGGGGATTTGCCCCTGCCCAGGACTGGCAAATTGACTTTACTCACATGCCTCACAGGAAACTAAAATACCTCTTGGTTTAGGTAGACACGTTCGCTGGATGGGTAGATGCCTTTCCCACAGGGTCTAAGAAGGCCACCGCAGTCATTTCTTCCCTTCTGTCAGACATAATTCCTCGGTTTGGCCTTCCCACCTCTATACAGTCCGATAACGGACCGGCCTTTATTAGTTAAATCACCCAAGCAGTTTTTCAGGGTCTCGGTATTCAGTGAAATCTTATATCCCTTACCGTCCTCAATCTTCAGGAAAGGTAGAACAGACTAATAGTCTTTTAAAAACACACCTCACCAAGCTCAGCCACCACCTTAAAAAGGACTGTACAATACTTTTACCACTTGCCCTTCTCAGAATTCGGGCCTGTCCTCGGAATGCTACAGGGTACAGCCCATTTAAGCTCCTGTATAGACGCTCCTTTTTATTAGGCCCCAGTCTCATTCCAGACACCAGACCAACTTGGACTGCACCCCAAAAAACTTGTCATCCCTACTATCTTCTGTCTAATCATACTCCTATTCACCGTTCTCAACTATTCATAAATGCCCTGCTCTTGTTTACACTGCTGGTTTACACTGTTTCTCCAAGCCATCACAGCTGATATCTCCTAGTGCTATCCCCAAACTGCCACTCTTAACTCTTAAAGTACATAAATAATCTTTGCTGGCAAGGCTATGCTGAACCTCCTTGGGCACTCTCTAATTAGATGTCCTAGGTCCTCCCAATTCTTAGTCCTTTAATACCTGTTTTTCTCCTTCTTTTATTCCATTTAGTTTTTCAATTCACACAAAACCATATCCAGGCCATCACCAATAATTCTACATGACAAATGTTTCTTCTCACAACCCCACAGTATCACCCCTTACCACAAAATCTTCCTTCAGCTTAATCTCTCCCACTCTAGGTTCCCATGCCAACCCTAATCCCGCCCGAAGCAGCCCCGAGAAACATCGCCCATTATCTCTCCATACCACCTCCAAAAATTTTTGTCTCCCCAACACTTTACCACTATTTTGTTTTATTTTTCTTATTAATATAAGAAGACAGGAATGTCAGGCCTTTGAGCCCAAGCTAAGCCATCATATCCCGTGACCTGCACATACACATCCAGGTGGCTGGTTCCTGCCTTAACTGGTGACATACCACAACAAAAGAAGTGAAAATGGTCTGTTCCTGCCTTAACTGATGACATTACCTTGTGAAATTCCTTCTCCTGGCTCATAAGCTCCCCCGCTGAGCACCTTGTGACCCCACCCCCACCCCTGCCCGCCAGAGAACAACCCCTCTTTTTCCTTCACCTACCCAAATCTTATGAAACGGCCCCATCTCTATCTCCCTTTGCTGACTCTCTTTTCAGACTCAGCCCGCCTGCACCCAGGTGAAATAAACAGCCTTGTTGCTCACACAAAGCCTGTTTAGTGGTCTCTTCGCACGGACGCGTGTGATCTTTTCGGACTCAGCCCACCTGCACCCAGGTGCAATAAACAGCCTTGTTGCTCACACAAAGCCTGTTTAGTGGTCTCTTCACAGGGACGCAAGCGAAAAGTTCCATGCTTGAACTTTTAGAAGGACACTTGGTTCCAAAATCTTAGTTAATTTCATGTATCTCCTTGCTCTCTTGTTTCAAATATAGTATTAAAAACATGGCATCTTGCTAAGATTCCTGAGCATTTCCTTTTTTCATCTTCTATTTTTATCTGGAACAATATTGTATCTGGGCTTTCTCTTTTATTCATCTCTTATTAGTACTTGTGCTTTTTTCTTTTTTTTTTTTTTTTTGAGACAGAGTCTCGTTCTGTCACCCAGGCTGGAGTGCTGTGGCATGATCTCAGCTCACTGCAAGCTCCGCCTCCCGGGTTCACACCATTCCATTCTCCTGCCTCAGCCTCCTGAGTAGCTGGGACTACAGACACCTGCCACCGTGCCCGGCTAATTTTTTGTATTTTTAGTAGAGACAGGGTTTCACCATTTTAGCCAGGATGGTCTTGATCCCCTGACCTCGTGATCCACCCGCCTCGGCCACCAAAAGTACTGGGATTACAGGTGTCAGCCACTGCGCCCTGCAGTTCCATTCCTGTGGGATCCTCTCCTGAAAGGAGGCTGTGGAGATCAGTTTGAAGAGTTCACAGAAGTCCTTTAGGGCTTTACCACCCACTACTTTTACTATCCTGCCAGTCAAGTGGGAAATGTTTCTTCTAGCTTCAACTGCCATTCTCAGGGGCAGGCATTCCTTACACCATCTAGTGAATACCTGCTGGCAAATGTGAGTTCATCAGAAACTCCATTGCTTCTCTCTACTTTCTCCCTTACAGGTGCCTACCAGATACAGATCTTGATGGCAGTGTATTTTGGGTTTGTGGTATTCCTTGCCACCTATTTAAGTTCGAAATACTTTACATATATTGTTATTTTTGCCATCTAGATGCTCTAATTTTATGTGAGAATTTTGGAAGAGACAAAATTTCACTGCCCCTTTTTCCTCTCTTTCCTCAATTGCACATACAGATATTCCCATATATTTACTGATAAAGTACTTATCTAATTAACAATGTTTAAACATGAATAGGTAAAAGATAAGTAAATTGATTATTTTTGTCCTGTAAGATGTGTTTTTAACCCTAACTGACACAGGAATCTCATAGAAAGCAAATAAGAATACTTTTGTTTTATTTTGAAAACCCCTATAAAAGGAAGTAGATCTGTAAATTTTTAGCAATGCCAAAGGAATGTGAAAGCTTCATATAGCACCATGAACTGATATTTTTGTTTTACAGTAATACATTATTTGAATTGATATTGAATAAAAGTATGATGTGTTTCATTATCTCTGAATATTTAGTAGTCACCAGCTAGAACAAAAGTAGTGTATAAGAACCCTCAGTAGTCACATGTTTATAGTATTCAACATAATTTTATTCAGAAGCAGGGTGACTTTTAAAATATGCAATTATATCACATATAACAAGTGATTAGATGTTAGGAAGAATATATTGTTTCTGGAAGGCTTTTCCCCATCTTCTAGATCATTGTAAATGCATTTACTATTCAATTATCTGGTATTTCCTTTTATGTAATCATACTGAGTTGGATAAAAATATTTCAAGTATACAGGCCAGGTGCAGTGGCTCACACCTATAATCCCAGCAATTTGGGTGGCCAAGGCAGGGGTATCACTTGAACCCAAGAGTTGGAGACCAGCGTGAGCAACATAGTAAGACCTTGTCTCTACAAAAAAAGAAAAAAATATATTAGCTGGACATGGTCGTGTGTGCCTGTATTCCCATCTACTGAGTGGGTGAGTTGAGGGAGGATCTCTTGAGCCTGAGAGGTCTAAGTGGATTGTGACACTGTACTCCAGCCTGTATGACAGAGGGAGACCCTGTCTCAAAAAAAAAAAAAAAAAAAAAAGTATACAAACCTCCCCCCTTTTAAAGGAAAATATATTATTGAAAAAACTTTGGAACTGGTATTAGTTTCTGGGAAAACAATCAAAACTAGGTGTATTTTTTTAATAGACAACATTTCCTCCTTTGACTTCTGTTATTGCATAGCTACATCAAATCAATCAATAAAATGGCATTGATTTGAGTTGTATCTTGACTACACTACAGTGAAGTGATTTGCTTACTAACACAGAGTGCATTTTAAAACCTTTTCCCCCCAGAAGGAAATCTTAATTCACATAAATTCTAACTGCTTTTATATAAGGGTAGTAAAAGTTAAAGAATGGACAGTAGTGACAGTTCCATAACATTATGAATGTAGTTAATACCACTAAATTATCTACTTAAAAATGGCTAAGATGATAAATTTTCTATTATGTGTATTTTACCACAATTTTGAAAAAGCTGGAAAAAATAGCTAAAGGATGCCTACCTACATTGAAATAGCACTTGTCCGGCAGATATTGATAGAGACTCATCCTCCTTGCAACTATAATTTATTTTATTTTATTTTAATTTTATTATTATTATACTTTAAGACACATGCACACGTATGTTTATTGTGGCACTATTCACAATAGCAAAGACTTGGAACCAACCCAGATGTCCAACAATGATAGAGTGGATTAAGAAAATGTGGCACATATACACCATGGAATACTATGCAGCCATAAAAAATGATGAGTTCATGTCCTTTGTAGGGACATGGATGAAACTGGAAACCATCATTCTCAGCAAACTATCGCAAGGACAAAAAACCAAACACCACAACTATAATGTTTTTTAAAGAAAGAAATGGCTGAATGACAAACACGTGGTTCTGAAAACAAAAAAATCCAAAGATAGCCTATAATCAGAGTGCAAAAAAACATTCCATGAAATATTAATCAATGCAACTAAATTGAGGGGAATAAACAACAACAAAGCTCTGGTGGTCTAGTAATACTTTATTTCATGAACTGGAAGAGTCCCACTACTGAGAAAGGTGACAGGAATCCCTTATGTTCTCCTTTACTTTCTACCTCCTGGATCAGGGCACAGGGTTGCCATCTTTTCAATAACAAGCAGCTTTTCTTTGAGTTTGCAGAGTTTCAGTAATGGCTTAAGAAAATGTGTGTGTGTGTGTGTGTGTGTGTGTGTGAGAAGTGTTGTATATATTGATTTGACACATTTTAGGAACTCAATCAATAGTACATATGTAACTATGATTTCTGTTTCCTCAGATAACAGCTGAGAAAGACTTTTATATACTATAATGTTTAACTGCTTTGTATGAAGTCCAGAGGTTAGTACCCTCCATTGGCTCCGTGGTGAACATTCTCTCATCATAGACATTTGCTCTTGGAAAAACGTAAGAAGTAGTACATAATTTAGCTTGGCTCAACAAGAAGATTTTCATATATTAAGAGGTCCTGATGCGTGAAGAACCCATTATTATAGTTAAATACAGGTTAATAATCAAAGTTTTAGTGTGGGGTTGATCTATTTAGTTATTAACTAACAACATCCTGTTTATGTGCATTAAGTTTCTATCATGCATAGAATATAAACTAATGTTTACAAAAAGTAAATAAACAAGTGAATAAATAAAGTCAGCTCTCTAAGTGGTCACACTAATCTCTTGAATGAATGTCTGTATTTAGCTCTTTAGCTGATATTTTTATCATTGTTTGCTTCATATTCAGTGTTCCTAACAAGCTACACAGCTTGGGAAATTTAAGGAGAAAGTACTTGAGAGAATCAGTAAGAAGAATAGTTGTAAATGTTTTAGAAAGCAAAGGCCAAAGCTCTAACTAATAGATTCTAGGTCTAAAGAGGTATTTGAATAAATGTAAGATATAGCATATAGCATGTCTGTAATTGTTAGTACACAAAATTATTGCATAACTATTGGCATTAAATCATTACATTTTAAAAATTACCTTGATATATTTTTATGTAAGAGCTCTAAATATTCACATTCAATTTTTCTACAGACTATCAATCATGTCTTCAGCTATCTACAACTTCTAGCTGCTATTAACTTCTTATGCTGGGAATGCAATGTCTAAAATCCATTGCTGTGTGGTAAATTAGAAAGAAAAGTGATGTCTTATTTGAGGAAATTATTGATATTTGCTTTTATATTACTTTTTGGCATGTTTACCGCAATTGTACATGGTATTCTTGTTAGGTTATCCAGATTTTGGAATTGTAAACGGTGTGATAAGCATCTTGGAACATCTCAATAATCTTACAAAAATAAGGACCTTGGTCTGGAAGCCCTAAAATATTTTATGCAAAAGAAGTATTATCAAACGCAATGACAAATAGCTACAGAAAGCCAAGTCTTGCATAAAAATAGGCATCATCCATCATTACAATAGAACTACTGAACACCCACCAAGTTCCTGATAATCAGTATTACAACACTTAAGTAACCTCAGTCATTCCAGGGCTTCCTTACATAGACGCTAATTACTAAATATTTGGTTAACTGGAAAATTGAGAAGTTCAATTCATGAATATTTACTGAGTGCCTACTATGTATCCAGCAGTGTGGTGCAGAAATCAAGATAAGAATTAAGCCTGTAACTCACAAGCAAAACGTGTACTCATGATCTAAAAAGCACATGTGTTCTTCCTCTCATTCACTTCTGGGAAATAAAACAGTGTTTAAAACTACTCTAGAAGTCCAGGGTAGTACATTAGGGAAATGTCCTAAATAATGTCTCCGTGGAATCCACTTCTTGCTCTGGATTTTCCTAAGAAGCAAGTAAGTTGGCCCACAGAATTAGATAGACTGTGGGCATTTTCACATGCTTAAGGAAACATCAAAGCTCCATAGAAAATGTGGGTGCTGACAAGAAATTAGGGAACATCTGTCTTATTCCTCTATAAGTATTTAACAAAAAAAGTGCCAAAAATAAATTTATAAATGTGGCCAGTTAATGGTAGACAAGAACAAGTCCAGGGCTCCAAATGTCCAGTTCAGAGCTCCTTCTGTAAGAAGTGTTCCAACAAGAGTGACTCCATCTTGAGTGAGGGCTAGGAAATTGAGGCTGCGACTTGCTAGGCTGCATTCCCAGAAAGTTAGGTATTCTTAACCTCTTAGATGTTTACGGCTAAGGGAACAGATTGATAATGTTTACTAAACATACCTGGACTTGGGAGTGTCCAGATATCCCAATATCTTGAGAACAAAGGCATTCCTAATTTTTCTTTAAAGATAATAATATTGATTCTTGCAAAATGTAGTAATTATGAAAATCAATCCTTTATCACAAGCCCTTGTAGCAAAGCACATCTCCTGTGATTTTTTTAAATTATATATATACAAGTACTGTACCTACAATGGACGCATTCCTTTTACTTTCAGGAATGCCCTACTCTGTCTGTGGAGTAGCTGTTCTTTCACCACTTTACTTTCTTAATAAACTTGCTTTTGCTTTACACTGTGGACGCGTCCTCAATTCTTTCTTGTGCAAGATCCAGACACCTCTCTTGGGGTTTGGATCCAGACCCCTTTCCTGTAACATTTATACCAAACTACATCAGCTTTTTCCCAGTCTCATACCTAAATTAGGCTAACATTGAAAGTAAGATCAAAACAGTTATAAGATGGCATTATGTGGTTGCCAATTAGTCAAACATGAATAGGTTCTAGAAGTAGCTCTTAAGTCCCAGAATACATTGAGCAAACATTTTGAATATTTCTTGAATTCATTAATGACCCTAGAACTGTTACCTCTCAATGACTATACTATTAAAGAATATACTTATGGCTGTAAAGAATCAAAATTACAGAACAATAGAAATATGGTTTTTAGGATGAGGCAGGCAGATCGCTTGAGCTCTGGAGTTTCAGACCAGCCTGGTCAACATGGCAAAACCCCATCTCTACAAAAAATACAAACATTAGCCAGGACTGATGGTGCATGCCTTTAGTCCCAGCTACTTGGGAGGCAGGCTGTAGTGAGCCGAGATTCACACCACTGCACTCCAACCTGGGTGACACAGTGAGACCCTGTCTCAAGAAAAAAGAGAAAGAAAAAAAAAAAGAAAGAAAGAAAAAAAAGAAATATGTTTTTTATAGGACAGACTTTTAACTGGTTATTTTTTCTTAATTTGTTTTCTCATGTTTCTGACAAAGATTTAAAATCAATCTACTGAATAGGTTACAGTGAAATATCAATGAGGGTTGTGTCTTCATCTGCCTCTGCTCTATTTCAGGGCAGACATTTCTGTTTTTCTGCTCTACCACTTTTCTTCAGTCTAAGAACAGGGAATTTGTGAGTGATTTTGCCATGTTATTCCTATATATGATATTAGGATTTACATTTTTGTAGTTATTCCTCAGATTACTATAGATTTCATTAATTGCTCTGAAGAACAATTCAAAACAGCATGGTTGACAAATGAGAATTTTCTCTACACCTAAAAAAAAAAAATTCATCATTATGAGAAGTCTTTGCAGACTATTCAACTACAAAGAGAGAAAAAATAATCCTTTGACTTCTCTCTTACCTTGATTTTTTAAAATAAAAATCTCAATATTTGCAAATCACAAAGTTTTAATTTCATGGAGAAAATGAGAAAATATTATTAACTTAGTTTGTATCCTCTATTTCCTAAGAAGAAATTGCAATTAATCTAGTTTTAGAAGTTTAGATACAACTCATTCATATAGATGCACTACAAATTTAAACTACAAAAAAGCAAATTTGCAGTGTAAGTCTTACGAAATTGTTAACAGCATCTCCATTTTCTACTTCATGTAATGCATCACAAAATGTAGACACAATGACTAAGTCAGTATTGTCAGAAAAATTTTCAAAGTTGATTGAAAATGCAAAAATTGAGAAAGGAAACCAAACATTGGGCAGAGAATGGAAATATCCAAGGAGACTCATTTTTCTCTTTGCACTGTTTTTGTCAGCCCTCATTAAGTTTTTCATTGTAAAAAAATTAGAATTTCAGTCAGTCATTCTGTAAAGAAGAAATATTTGGATTAGAGAGAATTCATTTTATATTTTTGCTTTTTGCATTAGCAATCTAATGAAAAATGGTAATTACTGAGTGGAGAGTGAAATTCACAAAATTATATAATCCCAAATTTACTAGTCAATTCCACGTTTGGTAAACTCTAACTGTATGAGTTATCATCACCACTTGTTTAACTTAGTGTGCATCTACTATGAGATAGGCATGATCTAGGTATTGCAGACATATCTGTTAATAACAGAGATGTGGTCTCTGTCCTCTTTCAGCCTACAGTGAAAATAGAGATTTAAACCAGTGATTCGAAATCTGATGATCATGCTGAAAGAGAAACACATCATGTTTAGAAGAGTGTCAAAAGCATTTGCTGAAGGATTTTTGTTAAGGTTTACAGAAGAAACAGGAATTCAAAAGTGTTTGAATAACTGGAAGCTCATATATATCTGTGCATGTTTGGTTAGTATTAGGAAGTCTCAGAGATCTGAAAAGAGCAAACAGAAACACAGGTGGCAGTATAATAAATAGAGGCATTGGAAAATTACTGGCCTTTCTTCTAATAATTTTGAGTTAGAGTTGAAAATAAAATGCTTTTCAAGACAAAGGTGAACAGAACAGTCTTAAAATGTAAGTTCATTATAGGATTTTCAAAGCATTGAGTTGGCTAAAATAATGTTGAATATTTCTGTAAGTAATGTAATTGAAAATTAATTAAGTAAATAGGTGTATTAGTCTGTTCTCATACTGCCAATAAAGACATACCTGAGACTGGGTAATTTATAAAGAAAAAGAGGTTTAATGGACTCACAGTTCCACATGGCTGGGGAGGCCTCACAATCATGACAGAAGGCAAAGGAGGAGCAAAGGCAAGTTTTGCAGGATGACAGGCAAGAGAGAGTTTGTGCAGGGGAACTCCCACTTATAAAACCATCAGATCTCATGAGCCTTATTCACTACCATAAGAACAGTATGGGGGAAACTACCCCATCATTCAATTACCTTCACCTGGCCCTGCCCTCGACATGTTGGCATTATTACAATTCAAGGTGAGATTTGGGTGGAGACACAGCCATATCATATAATTGTGTCCCTGGCCCCTCCCAAATCTCATGTTCTCACATTTCAAAACCAATCATGCCTTCCCAACAGTGCCCCAAAGTCTTAACTCATTTCAGCATTAACTCAGAAGTCCACAGTCCAAAGTTTCATCTGAGACAAGGCAAGTCCCTTCCACCTATGAGCTTGTACAATAAAAAGCAAGTTAGTTACTTCCTAGATAGAATGGGAATCCAGTCATTGGGTAAATACACTCTTTTCAAATAGGAGAAATTGGCCAAAACAAAGGGGCTACAGACCCCATGCAAGTCTAAAATCAAGTGGGGCAGCCAAATCTTAAAGCTCCAAAATGATCTCTTTTCACTCTGTGTCACAAATCCAGGTTACACTGATGCCAGAGGTGAGCTCCCATGGCCACAGGCAGCTCTGCCCCTGTGTCTTTGCAGGGTACAGCCCCCCTCTTCTGGTTGCTTTCATGAGCTGGCACTGATTGTCTGCAGCTTTTTTAGGTGCACAGTATAAGCTGTTGGTGGATCTACCGTTCTGGGGTCTGGAGGAGAATGGCCCTCTTCTCACAGCTCCACTAGGCAGTGCCTCATTGGGGACTCTGTGTGTGGGCTCCAACCCCACATTTTCCTTCTTCACTGCCCTAGCAGAAGTTCTCCATGAGGGTCCCACCCCTGCAGCAAACTTCTGCTTAGATATCCAGGGATTTCCATAAAGCCTCTGAAATCTAGGCAGAGGTTCCCAAACCTCAATTCTTGACTTCAGTGCACCAGAAGTCTCGATATCACATGGAAGCTGCAAAGGCTTGGGGCTTACACCCCTGAAGCCATGGCAGGAGCTGTACCTTGGTCCCTTTTTAGCTATGGCTGGAGAGGCTGGGACGCAGGACACCAAGTTCCTAGGTTGCACAGAGCAGGGCCTGACCTACTGATCCCTGGGACTGATCCACAAAACCATTTTTTCCTCCTGGGCGTCTGGGCCTATAATGGAAGGGGTTGGCATGAAGATCTCTGACATGCCCTGGAGACATTTTCCCCACTGTCTTGGGGATTAACATTTGGATCCTTGTTACTTATGCAAATTTCTGCAGCCTGCTTGAATTTTTCCACAGACAATGGGTTTTTCTTTTCTATCACATCATCAGGCTGCAAATTTTTCAAACTTCTATGCTCTGCTTTCCTTTTTAACATAAGTTCCAATTCAAAACCATATCTTTGTGAATACATGAAATGCTTTTAATAGCACCCTAGTCACCTCTTGAACACTTTGCTACTTAAAAATTTCTTCTGGCAGATGCCCTAAATCATCTCTCTCAAGTTCAAAGTTTCACAAATCTGTAGGGCAGGGGCAAAATGCCACCAGTCTCTTTGCTAAAATATAGCAAGAGGCATCTTTGCTCCAGGTCCCAACAAGTTACTCATCTCCATCTGAGACCATCTCAGCATTGATTGTATTGCCCATATCACTATCATCATTTTGGTCAAAGACCATTCAACAAGTCTCCAGGAAGTCCCAAACTTTTCCACATCTTCTTGTCTTCTTCTGAGTCCTCCTAACTGTTCCAACCTCTGCCTGTTACCCAGTTGCAAAGTTGCTTCCACATTTTCAGGTATCTTTACTGCAGCATCCCACTCTACCAGTACCAATCAGTCTGTTCTCATGCTGCTAATAAATAGATACCCAAGACTAGGTGATTTATAAAGAAAAAGAGGTTTAATGCACTCACAATTCCACATGATTGGGGAGACCTCACCATCATGGTGGAAGACAAAGGAGGAGCAAAGGCACATCTTACATCATGGCAGGCAAAAGACAGCTTGTGCTGCAGAATTCCCATTTATAAAACCATCAGATCAGGAGTGGTGAGAGAGGGCATCCTTGTGCCAGTTTTCAAAGGGAATGCTTCCAGTTTTTGCCCATTCAGTATGATATTGGCTGTGGGCTTGTCATAAAGAGCTCTTATTATTTTGAGATATGTTCCATCAATACGTAGTTAATTGAGAGTTTTTAGAGTGAAGGGCTGTTGAATTTTGTCAAAGGCCTTTTCTGCATCTATTGGGATAATCATGTGTTTTTTGTCATTGGTTCTGGAAGTTCTGGCCAGGGCAGTCAGGCAAGACAAAGAAATAAAGGGTATTCAATTAAGAAAAGAGGAAGTCAAATTGTCCCTGTTTGCAGATGACATGATAGTATATTTAGAAAACCCCATCGTCTCAGCCCAAAATCTCCTCAAGCTGATAAGCAACTTCAGCAAAGTCTCAGGATACAAAATCAATGTGCAAAAATCACAAGCATTCCTATACACCAGTAACGGACAAACAGAAAGCCAAGTCATGAGTGAACTCCTATTCACAACTGCTACAAAGAGAATAAAATACCTAAGAATCCAATTTACAAGGGATGTGGAGGACGTCTTCAAGGAGAACTACAAACCACTGCTCAACGAAATAAAAGAGGACACAAACAAATGGAAGAACATTCCATGCTATTAGATAGGAAGAATCAATATTGTGAAAATGGCCATACTGCCCAAGGTAATTTATAGATTCAATGCCACCCCCATCAAGCTACCAATGACTTTCTTCACAGAACTGGAAAAAACTACTTTAAAGTTCATATGGAACCAAAAAGAGCCCACATTGCCAAGACAATTCTAAGCAAAAAGAACAAAGCTGGAGGCATCATGCTACCTGATTTCAAACTATAGTACAAGGCTACAATAACAAAAACAGCATGGTACTGGTACCAAAACAGATATATAGACCAATGGAACAGAATAGAGGCCTCAGAAATAACACCACACATCTACAACCATCTGATATTTGACAAACCTGACTAAAAACAAGAAATGGGAAAAGGATTCCCTATTTAATAAATGGTGCTGGGAAAACCGGCTAGCCATTTATACAAAGCTGAAACTGGATCCCTTCCTTACACCTTATACAAAAATTAATTCAAGATGGATTAAAGACTTAAATGTTAGACCTAAAACCATAAAAACCCTAGAAGAAAACCTAGGCAATACCATTCAGGACATAGGCGTGAGCAATGACTTCATGACTAAAACACCAAAAGCAATGGAAACAAAAGCCAAAATAGACAAATGGGATCTAATTAAACTAAAGAGCTTCTGCATGGCAAAAGAAACTACCATCAGAGTGAACAGGCAACCTACAGAATGGGAGACAATTTTTGCAATCTACCCATATGACAAAGGGCTAATATCCAGAATCTACAAAGAACTTAAACAAATTTACAAGAAAAAAAAACAAACATCATCAAAGAGCGGGCAAAGGTTATGAACAGACACTTCTCAAAAGAAGACATTTATGCAGCCAACAGACACATGAAAAAATGTTCATCATCACTGGTCATCAGAGAAATGCAAATCAAAACCACAATGAGATACCATCTCACACCAGTTAGAATGGCCATCATTAAAAAGTCAGGAAACAACAGATGCTGGAGAGGATGTGGAGAAATAGGAACGCTTTTACACTGTTGATGGGAGTGTAAATTAGGTCAACCATTGTGGAAGGCAGTGTGGCAATTCCTCAAGGATCTAGAACCAGCAATCCCATTACTGGGTATACACCCAAAGGATTGTAAATCATTCTACTATAAAGACACATGCACATGTATGTTTATTGTGGCACTATTCACAATAGCAAAGACTTGGAACCAACCAAAATGTTCATCAATGAGAGACTGGATTAAGAAATTGTGGCACATATACACCATGGAACACTATGCAGCCATAAAAAAGGATGAGTTCATGTGCTTTGAGGGACATGGATAAAGCTGGAAACCATCATTCTCAGCGAACTATCACAAGGACAGAAAATCAAACACCGTATGTTCTCACTCATAGGTGGGAAATGAACAATGAGAACACTTGGACACAGGGCAGGGAACATCACGCACCAAGACCTGTCAGGGGGTGGGGGCTGGGGGAGGGATAGCATATTAGGACAAAAACCTAATGTCAATGATGAGTTAATGGGTGCAGCAAGCCAACATGGCAGATGTATACCTATGTAACAAACCTGCACGTTGTGCACGTGTACCCTAGAACTTAAAGTATAATAAAAAGTAAAAAATAAAACCATCAGCTGTCATGGGCCTTATTCACTGTCATAAGACTAGTATGGGGGAAACTGCCCCCATTATTCAGTTATCTCCACCTGGCCCCCCGCTTGACACATGAGGATTCTTACAATTCAAGGTGAGATTTGGGTGGGGACAGAGCCAAACCATATCAATAGAACAGATCTTGAATTTTTAAACATCTTTGTCATTAGATAGTTATGCTGTATCTTACATTTATATTTTCAGGCTTTTTGAAATAAAAATACTAATTTATGATTAGCAAATTTTATTGTTTTATTCTCTTATATTTAAGAAATTCCTTTCAGAGACATATGTTTAACATTGTCATTGAAAATCAATCAGCCTTTAAGAATTTCCAGGTTAGACAATAAGAAGTTTAATGTATTTGTTGATATAACAATAGTCTTAAATAAAAATATCTGCTTCTTAGCATCTAGTTCATGACAGTATACTTCTTGGGTTACAATCAAAATGTCTTGCTTGATGATGATAAATTATTTCTACATATGTAATTTTGTTATTATTAGGACTTATCAGATAATGAAGCTTAGAGAAAAATTAGCCACACCACTTGCAAAAGACACAGCTGTAATATATTTAATTTTTTTTAATTTAGGGTTTAACTGAAAAAAGTAGTTGCTATGTAGTAATACAATATATTGCATTAATATATGTTGACTCATTATATTTATTTCAATTTCTTTCTATTTTTCATAATGTATCTGTTTTATATTCTGATTCAAATACATATGCAGGCCAAATACTAGATTCAAAAAAAAAATTAGAATAAAATTGATGATAATCACAGAGTTCTCATTGGCAGAAAACTGCTACTATTTGTAGGTTATTCTAAAAACTATATTATAACTACATAGAAGAAGAAACTATAGTAAAAATAACACTTTATGTGACAGACCCATAACCTGTTCACAAGATAGAACAGGCAGCCGTACAGTGTACCGGGGTATAATAGGAAAAAATATTACTATAGCTGCATTAATTTAAAATGGAATTTGGTTGTTATAAATTGGAAAGAAAAAATAAAGTATGAAATAGATATCTTTCTTTTGCTCCACTCAAATAGAAATTACAGGGCAATTTCAGATAAGAGGATTTCCTGTTTTATTCAACTTGAGGTCATTCTATATAGTTTGTATTTCTTTTTTTCTTTTTTTCCCCTTCCGTATTTACTCAGACAAGGTCAACAGTCTATCTGGAGCTTTCTGCAATCACCCATTTATTTTAAAGAACCAGACTTCCCTAGTGTTAAAATCCTTCCTATGCCATTTGTGAGATATTATCTGGCCTTTCTTTTTGTTGCCTGTTGTGTCTATGCATCCAAATAACAGACAGTCTATTTCCTCTAACTCTTCCATGAGTCAGCAGGCTGTGATAGGCCAATTGATATAGTATTATTTTTGACTTTCAAAATATATGCTTAATCTTTTCATTATTAACTGGATGACTCAAGTATGAAAAGTATTTTTTGACCTAGACTCAAATAATTTACTGTATTATGTGGGTAATGCAAAATAGAATCTTTGGCCATTGCTAGTATTTTTCACTCCTAAGTAGTGAAACATTGCAGATAATATATTCTTACTGGAATTTAGCATCTAGACATAGTTTAATAAGAGAGTAAGAACTATAAAACTGATTTGTGAATGAGGGGAAAGGTGAAGGAATTAAAATTTTGTATAGAATAGAACACTTTACTTTTTTTATGAAACATGAAAAATGGAAATCTAATTGAAGTTTCCTCAAGTGATAAAACATTCCAGACATAAGTATGTTATTCAAAAGATAGCACCATGTGGCCTTTTGGCATTACCTACCAGTCTTGAATAAGGTATTTTTTTAAAAAACGAAGTATCTTCACAGCAATTTTGTCCCAGCCTCTCTCTTGATTCTAATTATTTTGAGGTCAGCAATTGCAACTTATTCTCCTTTGTGTCCTTTACGTGTTTAGCGCTATGCTATTGCTGAGGATAAGATGATGTATTCTGAGGTATTCTGTAGAACGCCCATGCTAGTTTCAATGACATGCAGCTCTTAGAGTTGTTTTCTCTTCAAAAACATGCATCTCCTCTGGGTCTGTTCAGGAGTCATGAAACCAAGAACTATATCAGATGTATAGTAGGAACTACAGTGTACTACTTTAGTAGCAAACACTGACTATTTGCTTATGGCATAATTTTAGAGTAGCCAAAGGAGAACATGTTCAAGAGCAACATGTATATTCAAAGATACAATTTCTGGATAAATATGTACTTAAACCAAAGAATGTAGAGATTTATTAATGACCAGTTTATTCTTATTCTTAGTCAATTATCTCAGCTACAGAGCGGCTTTTCAATCACGGAGCTCTGATCGTGTCATTTTTCTATTTAAAGCCTTTGATGACAAAAGATTTCCTTCAAGGTAAAGTCTAAATTCACAGTAAGTGTTGGTGCATTTCAATGTTCTGCCCTCAACAGTCTTTTCCACTACTCTTTATTTTTTCATAATGAAAAGTAGTAAAATTATATCTACTTCCATGACTTCGGTTAACACCCACTTATACCACCTACATACACTTCAATTTTGAGAAACTAACTCCATAAATCTGACAACTGCCAATGTAATCAGCTACATTTAATCTCTCAAGTCTATTCCTAACCTCATCATCTATCCCACAAATTCTGCTATTTTTAATTAAATTTTATTCCATCATCACTTTAGTATTATCAAGGTAAGGTTATAGTAGAAAACAATAATAACAAAAAAAATCTCAAAACAAACAAAAATTCAGTGGTTTAATAAGAGAGTAAGAACTATAAAACTGATTTGTGAATGAGGGGAAAGGTGAAGGAATTAAAATTTTGTATAGAGTAGAGCACTTTACTTTTTTTATGAAACATAAAAAATGAAAATCTAATTGAAGTTTCCTTAAGTGATAAAACATTCCAGACATAAGTATGTTATTCAAAAGATAGCATGGCTTGGGTGCTATGGCTGGGGATTTTGCTTTGTATAGTTTGTATTCAAGTACCCAGACTGTGGGAGCAGCCACTATTACATTATTAGGCATTGTGTGGCAAAGGGAAAGAGAGAGTGTGGACAATCAACTCTGGTTTCTAAAGCTTCCACTTGGAAGTTGACATGTCAATTCCTGAACGTCATTAGCTAAAGTAAGTCATGTGGCCACACCTTCCCACAAATGACAGCCTCCATGTTCTTGAAGGAGGACCATAGATACTATAACATAATAGCGGTAAAGAATGTTACATGTACCATCTAGCCTAAACTATAAACAAGATAATCTCTGCTCTTCTTCACCAGCTTTTATCTTTCATAGCCTATCACCAAATCTTACAAATGCTGGTTCTAAATGTCTTTCATATCTGTTTTCTCATCTCCAACCCAACTGCTACTACCATAGTTTCAGATCTCATCTTTTCCCTACACTATTGCTTCACTTTATTACTCTCTGCCTACCAATTTCCCATACTGCAACCCGTTCTCCATACGGTAACCAGAGAATATCCTAAAATGTGAATTTGATTTTATTCATCCTATTCTTAAAATTCTCAATACTATGGTTTCAATTTATAGTTTATAGTTCAATTTATAGTTTAAGATTCAAGCTTTCTAGCTTGAAACACAAAGGTGCTTCATGATGAGATCCCAGTCTACTTTTCTGTTCTCATCTCACACCTCTCTCCTCTGACACTTTTTTATGCTCCAGGCGTAATGCACTACTTGTCATTCTCCCCAAGCAAAACATTCTTTCTTATATTGCCAAAAGCTGCATATACTC
Source organism: Homo sapiens (assembly GCF_000001405.40). Lineage (NCBI taxonomy): Eukaryota > Metazoa > Chordata > Mammalia > Primates > Hominidae > Homo > Homo sapiens. The sequence continues at coordinate 10,906,654 of NC_000009.12, forward strand.
TTTTATTTCTAAAATGTTCTTACTTTCAAACCTCTATTTATCTTTCAAGATTAATTTCAAGCATAAACCCCTTAACATGACTTCTTTGGATCTTCCTTTCAAATGGCAGGATTAATGTTCTGAACCTCTGTTTTCACATGCTGGAGTACTTAACACACAGTTCTATTAATCCATTTCTAACATTGTAGCCAATTATGTATGTGTTTGTGCGTTTTTTCAGGGCCAAGACTATACCTTATACTTAGTCTATGGCGTGAAATTGGTACTCAATAAATATTTATGATATTTTAACTTTTTAATCTGTTGGAGCCATTTTATCAAGCACCACTTTAAAATGTTTAAATAATTTACCTTGGATTAAAATGAGGGCTGATGATCTTGGAAAGCCAATGTTTTCTATAATTTTATTGGAACTATTACCCAAATTACTCTTCAAAAACTGGCTTTAAGTAACATTGTTCCAAAAATACTGCTATGTAGGCAACATTCATAAACTTTACATTAAAGTTTTTCATGTATAAAATGAATTGGCCTAATAATGTAATTTACAATGTAAATGTTAATGTTTAAATTGTTAATTTGTATTTGACTTACAGTACTTTAGAGAGTATCTTGACCATCTGACTTTTTAGTTGATGGTCCATTGTTATGTAAAACAAGACTCATTTTTTTTTCTATTGGTTATTTATACCACAAAGAAATTACTACAGTCACTGTTGTACATATTTTACAGTAATGAGATAGATAACAGAATGTGAAGTAAAAAAAAGCTTCCTAGTAAATCTGATACACAATTGTAGGAAAATTGCAGCAAAAATACTGCATGTAGTCAAAAAAGTAAGAGTATGGTTGGTTTGACATCACCAACATTATAAATAATTAAGGCCTCTTACATTTATGGATGGCCCAAGATATTCTTGGAATGATTTTTGCTAGGAATATAGTGATGAAATACATAACGCTTATCCACAAGGAGCTTTCAATGTAGTAATGGAGACAAAAATACATATAAGTGATTTCCACTGAGTAAAATATGGGTGAATATAGAAACAATAGCTATTATTATGGGCTCTGTGTCAAGTACAGTAATCCTTTTAACGGCCATGGGAATTCAATGTTTTTATTCCATTTTACAGGTGAGAAAAATAAGAGAGGAATAGTAGCTTGTTTGCTGTGTCACACCTAGTCAATAAAGATTGTAGTTCGGGTCTGCACATCTTCAAAGGCCATGTTCAATGCTGTCCTAGCTTTCCATAAGAACAAGTGCATCAGAATCATCATTAACAATTACAATTTATACACTCTCTATTACTGGCATGCTACCTGCTTTCTTCACTAGAGTAACTTAAAATCAAAAGAAGAAGTCTTAATTAAATACTTCTATAATTAACTGTATTAATTATTATTTCATGACTTTTTAACATTTTCTTTGAGAGAAAACACTGCTTTGTTATAAATTTGCCAGTGATTTTTGGGAAGGAATGTTCTATACATTGGTTGCATAGATAGGTCATTGATTATGTGAACAAACTCAAAAAGATGACATGCCCAAATACTTGTGTCTCTGAAATTCGGCTAACTGCAACCTCTGCCTCCCAGGTTCAAGCTATTTTCCTGCCTCAGCCTCCTGAGTAGCTGGGATTACAGGCGCACACCACTACTGCCTGGCTAATTTTTGTATTTTTAGTAGACACCGGGTTTCACCATGTTGGCCAGGCTGGTCTCGAACTCCTGACTTCAAATGATCCACCCACCTTGGCCTCCTAAAGTGCTGGGATTACATGCATGAGCCACCAACATTTACCAATTCTTTTCTATTAGCTATTTTTTTCAATTTTTTTCTAATTTCAAAGTGCATATATTTCCACCTTGAGTATCCTATGAGACATTTCAAATCCTGGTGGAAATGACTGCCTTTAGGAGACACAAGGAAAGCACTGAGTAATCTACACAGAAAGTAGTTCTGAAATTGTTGGTGGAGCTATACATAAGTGGTCAGACTTAAAAATTGTGTACTTTAATACATAAATACTTATGTTTTAAGATAAACATATCTTGTGTATCTACATATTCACAAATGATTAAGAAACTTTAAATTCTGCACCAGAGCATATCTACTGTCATTAAAATGGAGTCACAGCCAGGCACGGTGGCTCATGCCTGTAATCCCAGCACTTTAGGAGGCCGAGGTGGGTGGATCATTTGAGGTCAGGAGTTCGAGACCAGCCTGGCCAATATAGTGAAACCCGTTGTCTATTAAAAATACAAAAATTAGCCAGGCAGTAGTGGTGCGCACCTGTAATGCCAGCTACTCAGGAGGCCGAGGCAGGAGAATTGCTTGAACCTGGGAGGCAGAGGTTGCAGTTAGCTGAAATCGTGCCACTACACTCCAGTCTGGGTGAGACAGTGAGACCCTGTCTCAAAAAACAAAACAAAACAAACAACAAAACTGGAGTCACATATGTGACTGTTGATTGAGATCAGTCTTGGGGTGTATCTGTGTAAGATGCACCACTGAGAGAAATCCTGGGTGTTTAGAATTAGTCACCTAAAGCAAGCAAGAAAGAGAACATCCAGATAAAGAAACCCTTCCACAAAGACAAGAGAGAATTCTAAAGCCACTCTGAAGTGTCAGGCCTCTGAGCCTAAGCCTGCATCCAGATGGCCTGAAGCAACTGAAGAATGACAAAAGAAGTGAAAATGGCCGGTTCCTGCCTTAACTGATGGCATTACCTTGTGAAATTCCTTCTCCTGGCCCAGAAGCTCCCCAAATGAGCACCTTGTGACCCCTGCCCCTGCCTGCAAGAGAACAACCCCCTTTGACTGCAATTTTCCACTGCTTACCCAAATCCTGTAAAACTGCCCCACCCCTAAACTCTCTTTGCTGACTCTCTTTTCAGACTTAGCCCGCCTGCACCCAGGTGATTAAAAAGCTTTATTGCTCACACAAAGCCTGTTTGGCGGTCTCTTCACACAGACGCACGTGACATGAAGGAGTAAGATGGATCCTTATCCACAATTTGGTTTGGATGGCAAGCCTGGTGATAGCACACATACATCAAAAGGGTATGAAGCATTTTATTACATAATGAGATTTTCTGGGGGAGAGCAGGATGATTCCAAGTAGGTCTGAAAATGACTGGAGAGAGCAAGGAAAAGAGATTGGCCTGGGGTTTTCCATTGTGATTAGGGGTGTGGCCATTTTTGCACATGGTTTAAACTTCTCTGCGGTGCCAACTGAGAGAGCAGCTGTAAGTTTGTATCAGTTTTGCCAGATGTGGGGTATAAGGGGAAGTGAAAAGGGTAGGTTTTTAGCAGACAAACATAAAAACTGGAGTCAGACCCTTTATAACAGATATATTTTCCACTTTACCCCAAAATGCCATCCATTTTACAATTTTAAAACAGCCTGCATTTCATCTGACATATCACAGACTTAGAATGCTCATATTCCAGACCAATAACCCACAGTTTTGCATCTTTACCATTTGCTGCCAAAAGTCGTGGGACTTTCCTATAATATTGTCAATTAATGAGGAAAATTAGATATAACAAAATTCCATCTGAGGCCCTGTGTAAGAAGAAATAGACAATAAATTGCTGAAGTTTATTAGTTTAAGGTTATAAAACAAGTAACTCATTGGCTCTGAGAGCCGTGAGCACCAGTATATGCTTATAATGTATCTTTTCTTTACCTGTCCCTAAAACCATCATGCTTAACTATAAGCATATTAAAATGTAAGTATTAATACTTATTTTCAATTTTTCCTTACATATATAATTATGCTGTTATTACACTATTTGTGCAGAGAAGTTTGTAATCTAAGATCTAGTGTGAAACACTTGAGCATGGCCACTGAAACGACTTCTCAGTAGGTTTGAAAATGGATATTTTTCCCTCTCATGGTGTCATTGGAGTGCTGCTTAAAGAAAGGAAATAAACTCAAATTTGGTAATTCTCTTTTGAAATTATATAAATATATTTTCATTTTCTCTTTTTTAAAGGGTTGACATTCTTCCTAATAGGGGGAAATCATAGCTGAAAGTGTAAATCAAATCATTGAAAATACATTCAATACATAGCCATATTTTGAAATTATATCAATTACCATATTGATGGGTTTGAGAGGTGACAACGTGCTAGCAGCCCTCGCTTGCTCTTGGCGCCTCCTCGGCCTCGGCCTCTGCTCTGGCTGCGCTCCAGGAGCCCTTCAGCCCGCCCTACGCTATGAGGGCCCCTCTCTGGGGCTGGCCAAGGCCAGAGCCCGCTCCCTCTGCTCTTGGGGAAGTGTGAAGAGAGAGGCGCAGGCACGGCACTCGCGGGCTGGCACCGGTTCCAGGTGAGCGCCAGCTCGGCAAGCCCTGCAACTGGCGCGGCTGGCCAGCGCCTGCTGGGCTTGATCGGAGGCTGAATCCCGTGAGTGGACTGCCCTTCCCTCTTCGCGGGATCGTTGGCCACCATAGCAGGTCTGCATCTCTTTCTCGCTTCCCCTCTTTTCCTCTTGATTGTCTGGGACAAGCTCCCTCTGGGCTGCTGGAGTGCCTCGGCAAGACCCCTGCCCAGTGCTAGTGAGAGGTGAAGCTGGCTGGGCTTCTGGGTGGGGTCAGGACTTGGAGAACTTTTCTGTCTAGCTAAAAGATTGTAAATGCACCAATCAGCACTCTGTGTCTAGCTAAAGGTTTGTAAACACACCAATCAACACTCTGTAAAAATGCACCAATCAGCACTCTCTGTCTAGCTAAAGGTTTGTAAATGCACTAATCAGAGCTCTGTGTCTAGCTAATTGGGTAGGGACTTGGAGAACTTTTCTGTCTAGCCAAAGGTTTATATATGCACCAATCAGCACTCTGTGTCTAGCTCATTGGGTGTGGACTTGGAGAACTTTTGTGCCATTCTAAACGTTTGTAAACGCACCAATCAGCACTCTGTCAAAACGGACCAATCAGCTCTCCGTAAAATGGACCAATCGGCTCTTTGTAAAATGGACCAATCAGCAGAATGTGGGTGGAGCCAGATAAGGGAATACAAGCAGGACACCCAACCCAGCAGCAATAACGTGCTCAGGTCTCCTTCCACTGTGTGGAAACTTTGTTCTTTCCCTCTTCATGCATGAAATCTTGCTGTTCCTCACTCTTTGGGTCTGTGCCACCTTTAAGATTTGTAACACTCACCATGAAGGTCTGCAGCTTCACTCCTGAAGCCAGCAAAAGACCACGAACTCAGCGGGGGGAACAAACAACTCTGGATGCGCTGCCTTTAAGAGCTGTTAACACTGACTGCGAAGGTCTGCGAGACCACGAACCTACCAGAAGGAAAAAACTCCGGACACCTCGGAACATCAGAAGGAACGAACTCCGGACACACCATCTTTAAGAACTGTAAAATCACTGCGAGGGTCTGCGGCTTCATTCTTGAAGTCAGCGAGACCAAAAACCCACCAATTCTGGACACAGCTTTAAATTGATAAAGAAAAATTTTTATTAGTATTACATTAGTTGTCATTCTAAGTAATTGCCAATATCAGACACATAATTGTAATTCATCTTTTATTGTCATTGCAACATTCGATGTACTTAAATTTAAAATAATTAATGTTTATTGTTCCAGGAAAAAGTCTGTTGGGTTTTATAGTGCCACAAATTATGTGATGTTATATCTAAGTATTTTGAATAATAGCTATTTTACATGAAAGTAAATAACATAAATGAGTTTTTGGCTAGAAAATAATTTTCTTATATCTTTGAAAAGATTATCTTCTTTTTTACATTTCTATTATATAGGGAACTAGAAATATATGAGTTATTTTAAAAGCTTTACTTTTTGGACCCAAATATGAATTTAAATAGAAGACAAATATGAAGATACATTAATTTAGGAAATATGTGCTCTGCCAAGAAGTTACATTGAGTTTAAGTTATTTAAGCCAGCAAATTGGCTTAACTCCTACATAAGAGGTAGGTGGAGCCTTTATCCCCAAGATGGCTAGATCTCTATCATTTTTTTATTTATTTATTCCCTGAGATATAGTATTTAAAACACTTTAAGAAACAACTTTAAAGTTTCTATGCCAGAATAGCTATTATATGTTTTATTAATAAATAGTTCATTGTTTATTAGAGGAATTGATTCACAAAATGAATAATTTCATAAGGGTTAGACTTACAATGATGATGAAACTTAGCAGTTACACTATAGACTGACATTTTAATTTTAATTTTTATTCTTTTGGCATAAACCTCCTATTTATAGAGAACTATAGGTACCACAGTTTTCAGAAGTAATAGTTACATGATGGGGCTAGTTGAAAAATTAATGAAAAATACTTTCTTATTAAAGTTTATTTTGCTGGTTCTACTAGGCTATACTGCAAAGTTTCTAACTTTACGGTTATTTAAAGCCTTGTAAAGGTGTCTATGATTACTTTATTAATTTTCCTTTCTGTGATTGATGATGTAGCTTTCATGAGAATATATATGAATTATCAGTGCTGTACTTATGATCTATCATTAATTAAATTATAATATTCTACCACTTCTTGATACTGAGAAAGAAAATCTTCTCAGATTATAATAATAAGAAAAAGTAGAAAACCCAGTGTAGTTAGTAAAGATTTGCCTTCAAAAGATTTTTATTTTCTCAGAAAACCACAATTATTCTTTGCAATTTTCAAGTACTTTCATATTCGTTGTATTATTTGATCATAATTAAATCTTAGTGGAGTAGATGTTGCCATAATTATACCAATTTTGCTAATGAGAAAACTGAAACTTAGATGGGTTAACTATCTTTTTGAACATACAGATTTAAATATTCATCATTGTAATGGATATTTATTGAAAACCCACCATATTCTGGGCATGCTCTGAGCACTAAGGATTAAGATGTAAACAAACATAAAGTCCCTGACCTGATTGAGTTTGCATTTTAGTAAGAAAGACAAACAGTAACCAAATGCATAAATAAGCGTATAATGTCAAGTATTGGCAAAGAAAGTGAAAAAGAAGGAATCTGGGAAAGAGAATAGAGAATGATTATGGGGAGGCTACTATCTGAGAAAAGATGAATAAGAAAAACCTCATGGAGAAAGTGGAATGTGAGCAAAGACATCTATTAGGTGTGGCAGAAAGCCATATAAACAGCTGGGAGAAAAGCAATCCTGGCAAAAGGAAAAATAAAAGCAAAAGGTTATGAATCAGAATCATGTTTAGCATGTTGTGGATGGATCCTGAAGGTCTTATAAGATATAGCAATGGGTCTAGAGTTTATTCCAAGTGACCTGGAAAGCCATTGGAAAAATTTTAGCAGTGAAAGCGTGCCATGTTGTTTATATTTTTAAAAATTCACCCTGGTTGATTGGAAGGAGGCCAAAATCTAAATAGCCTGGGTGCTGGCCAGGCGCAGTAGCTCACGCTCCTAAACCCAGCAGTTTGGGACGCCCAGGGGGGTGGATCATTTGAGGTCAGGAGTTCAAGACCAGCCTTGCCAACGTGGTGAAACCCCGTCTCTACTAAAAGTACAAAAATTAGCCACGCATAGTGGCGCGTGCCTGTAATCCCAGCTACTGGGGAGGCTGAGGCAGGAGAGCACTTGAACCCAGGAGGTGGAGGTTCCAGTGATCCCAGATTATGCCACTGCACTCCCTCCTGGGCAACACAGTGACACTCTGTCTCGAAAATAAATAAAAATAACAATAAAAACATAAGTAGCATGGGCCCTAACAAATCAGAATGGACAACTATAAACACCTGTTTATATAAGTAAAATCATGTCTTCAGGGTTTGTTGTACAGATTATTTCATCACTGAGGTAGTAAAACCTAATACCTATTAGTTATTTTTCCCGGTCCTTTCCCTCCTTCTATCCTCCACCCTCCTGTTGGCCCCTGTTTCTTTTGTTCCCCTCTTTGTGTCCATGTGTTCTCATTATTTAGCTTTTTAAACATTGTGCTGCTCCGTGATTTAAAATTTTCCATGCAACTTTAGAAATGATATGTGTTTTTTTTAAAAAGGGTCACATCTGATAAATGTAAATAAATGAATAAAACTGCAGAATAAAATGTAAATAAATTTCATACTTTTCTTTAAATCCAAAATCCATCAGCATTTGCCAATTCTTAATATATAATTCCAAAATAATTTGATAAATGAATGCAAATTTGCTTTTAACAGGTAAGTTTATTTCTGATAACTTTATTCTTTCATATTTCTGATGCTATAAAACAGATCATCATAAAGTACCCAAATTTTATAGTACAAATATCTTTATAATATAATAATTCTATGCAGAGTTAATAATGGATCAGCTACAGGGTCAACATAGTCTTAAAGGTATTTTTGAATAAAGTATTTATTAAAAGCAAGTTAGATCAAAATGAATTACTGCTTTTAAGTATGTGAGTCTACTTAGTTATTCTATTAAGTAATTTTATAAAATATAAATTATTTGATAGTTCTTAGAATTTCACATTGTGTATTTACATTTCTAAAGCTCCCAATATTTTGACATGCCCCCTCAAGGGAACTTTGATGGAATCCAAAGACTTAAAAGACACTGTATGTATATGAGATTTTGGAGAATAATAATGTTAAGAAAGCCTAGTATGAATATATCTTCACCTGAATTATTTCAGATAAATACATTTTCACTTTTTATATATTTTGCATCGTGAAGCCATGCAAATAACTGTACATTTGTAAACAGTCCAGGTTTATTATAGGACTATGTTGCAGAGGAAGACAGACAGAGGAAATTATAGGATATAACAGTATAGCAAAATGTGCTCTATGGAGAGCAATGAGAAAAAAGAATAGAAAAAGACAAAAATCCCATGAGAAAGCCAGAAATCCCAATAAAACAGATTAACTTCTTTTCACTTTCTCTCTCACTTGAGGAATCAGGAAGGGTCTGTCAACTATGCACTACAAGTTTTTAAGAAGCTGACTATCAGCCTGTGGCCATGCAGGAACCATGCCCATAGGGAGAGTCTGTGAAGGCAGGGCAGTCTCAAAGACTAGCTGGCAGCAGATTCTTATATAGACCTGATATTACTACTCTTCCTGTCTACTTAGCACATTTATTCCTGCCCACAACCCAACTTCTAGTAATGGAATCCTCCTTCTCGACCACGAGTGGGCATAGGACATGGTTTGAGCTAAGCATAGTCAGGGTGATTGTGTAACTTGAGCCAAATAGGGATAATCTGATTCCTGTCCCTGTGAAGCTGATAGGAAAACATTTTTTCCTCCTTTGGGTTAGCTATGCTGGAATGACTTGAGAGCTGCCAGTGACTCTTTTTGCCTAGAGAATAATCCATCCAGTAAGGGAGAAGGAAGCCAATCATAGAGAAACAGAAAAGATTTAAAAAGCGAGAAACATGATGCACCCGTCCTAAATTCCAGACTCTCAAATTCTGTTTCTTTCGGTTCATTTTTTTTTTTCTAAGCGATGTGTCCATGAACAGATATGAGCTGTTAATTGTTCCAAGACTTAACTATAACTGGCCTTGAAGTGGTGACAGCAATTAGCAGAAAATTTAAGAAACAATGTTTTGGTGTTATAAAACCTAATAGGTAAAAATCAGCTGACACTTAACAAATGAGAAGGGACACATGGAAACATTTAAGCATCGTCCTCCTTGATTTGTCCCTGATGTTTCACAGTATAATATTCATTATCTGAATATTCAATTTTAACATTATCAAGTCAGTGCAAGTAAACCTATGTTTAATATTCTATTTATGTTCTACCTGGTTACATTTACAGTACTTGTCATCCTTTACCAAAATATATTGTGCATTGGACACAGCTCTGCTTAGAATAGTTCATTTTAACCCTGATATAAAGGGAGATTTTTTTGAATAGTCACATGAAAGTCCAAAAATACTCCTATATTTTGATTAGCAAAAGCAGGGTACAAAGAGCACACATTATTTTTAAGAACTACTGAGAGGGATTCAGCAAAGATATTGTTACAGCTACTGTGGGAGAATGGATGAGGATATAAGGATGCCAATGACATCTTGCAGTGTCTAGGTCTAGGTTGGCAATTCCTAATAATTACATCCTTGTGAGAAAGACAATTAGAAAGATTCATACATAAGTTGTAAGATGCAATGAGGAATGCATATTAAAAACCTGAAAAAATGATTTAAAAATATTTTAAGTGCTACAATTTTTAGGGTATTATTGCAAAATCCACTATTTTATTACCAAAATGTCTAATTTACCCCATGAAAGGAGACACAATATCCTTATTAGTGGAAGCAAATGTGAAAGCAAAACAATCCTTTACCAGTAAGTTAGAGAAACTAGTAGCTAAACAAGTAGCTAAAAGGTAATAAATAAACAAGTAGCTAAAAGGTAATAAATAAAATCACGACAATAAAGAAGGCATCATTGCAGAAATAAAATCCCCAACATATGGTCTATTATTTTCCCTTTTAACACTGATCTTAGAGCTCTTTCAGCTACAGTGCTTGGAGCCATTTACTCTCTACACTTGTTCTAATTATATCTATCAAATGCGATGCATGTTTAATTGGATTTTAATAGGACTATAGCTCCTTGTTTAGCAGTAAGTTTAACAGGAGAGTAATTTATGGCTGATAAGGTATGGGGTCTTCTGTTCCTCCTACTAAATAAGAATTGGAAATGCATTTGGAAACCAATGTCTTGGATGAAGTTCCTGTTGTGAAAGCAAATTCCTATAAATCAAAGTGGGTGATTATTTTGCCCATGTTCTGAATGCGTTGAGAACAAATATTAAAACGTTTGATAGCCCTGCCTATGAAAAATGTGGCTCAAAAAAGTGCTGCCTAAAATTTTCTTCAAGTTAATTAGATACTGGTTGTACAGTTTTCATGATATTATAATAACAGGTACATTTCCTGCTGGAGGGAAGTATAAACCAGTAACAAATTAATTCTGTGAAAATGTGAACAAGCTAGCTGACCAAAAGTTGTAGCACTCATCAAAAGAAATAGCACTGACATGTAAAGAAAGTGTAGAATATTAAAATAGTAGTTACAAGGCAAATGAATCCATTACCATATGAAGTCTTTTTTCTATTATGTTCTAGAAGTTTCTTAGATATGATTTTTCATAAGAATATATTCAAAGGTATTTATACCAATGCAGCATGCTGCTTTATGTGGCTGAAACTTAATCATGATCTCTGCTCACATACTTATCAATCTCAAGTGAGTTGGTTTCCATTTTGAAAGTGACGACAGAACAATGAGTAGGTGTTAATCATTACATTGTAAGAACAGTCCTCTGAATGTTGAAATGGTACTTTGAGGTGTATTTGGAAAAGCAGAGACACTTCAGGAAACAAAGGGTAACAAGGCTTCCATAGTAACATGCCTTTATTATTATTAAACATATATGCCTTCCTCAACATATACTAATCAAGAATCATAATATTCATCCTTTCAAAATTCAGGATAATGGAAAGTGACTAAAATGAAGGCATATTTAGATGAGTTGATGAAATGAACTTTGAAAATTTCAATAGAATCACAACAGTGTTGTATTTGTCTATTTGTTCCGAACATCGTTTCTCAAACTATTTATTCCACAAAACATATAAAGCTACTTTAAAAATACCTCATTAATCCTTACTTATCAACTTCTGTGCTTAATTGTATGGAGGGAGGGAACAATGGCAAATTCACCTATGAAAACAAAATTCATTATATGAGGTGCAGGTGCAAGCAAACTAAGGAAAACCAGGACTCTTAAAAAATCAATGAAGATATTTAAGACTATATTTCCTAGAACTCATGATAAAAAAGCATCAGAATCGGTACACCGCTGTCCAGTTAAGTTTTAATTAAAAGCATAGGAATGGATTTTCTATATATAAAAGCTGCCTACACCATTGCTCATTGAATTCTTCCGTGATTCTGATTCTAGCAAAGCATGCATATCTGACATTCATTTTTTCTCATAGCTTCTACATCTAGGGCATGGCATGAACTAATTTCTCTGACCTCCTGTAGCAAGAGTGTAAATCGAGTAGCTACATAGTAGGATGCAAAGGGAAACAAATGACCCCTGACCTTAATTAGGGCAGTTATTTCTTGCAGAGATAGAAATATACATAAAACATAACTCTATAAGATAGCATATGAAAATGTCAGTTGAATTTAGATCTACCTTTAAGCTCTGCAGGAAACCAATTTCTAGCCAACTTCTATATTCTTAATCTTTATGCTGAAAAATTTTCACTCTGTCACCATTCACCTTCAGGTATTTATAAATTCCACACACTCCCAATATCTTCAATAAAGACTGTCTTTTCCCATCTGTTCACCAGACCAACCAGAGCTCATATGTTCTACAGAAGTATGTACGACATGGTCAACATAAGCATGACGTTTTAAGTCAGGAGCTCTGGATTTTGGCTCTAGCTCTGCTAGTTGCTAGCTCTGTGATTTTGAATAAGTTATTCAGTATTTACTTGCTATCTGTAACTGTAAGATATGGATTATTATAATGGTACTTACCTTAATGTTATTGTATGAAATGAGGCAAAGTATCCAAGGCACTTAGCATACTTCCCAAATAATAAAATGTATGGATATTTTTGGTAGGTGGTGGTGCTCACATAGTCAGATATCTAGAAGGTTTTGCTTTAACTCAATCTGGTAACAGTGCACACTTAACATCTGCATTATAACTCTGGGCTTTCTTGGGCAGACCCATTACTGCTCAATTGCTGATTGTGCTTTGAAGCTGGCATTGCTTCATAAGAGAAAGTAAAGACAACAATACATTTATGATATTCAGCATTTTTATCTTAGTAATTATTGTAAACAGTATAATTGTACTGAAAGACAACAGTACACATGCATTTATTTAGGATTATGGCTGATACTAATTTGGTTTAGTATGCAATGTGTTCTATGGCCCAGTGATATGTAATGCAAGTAATTTTGTTAATTATTGATGATAAACTAGGATCATTAGACTTTTACTTTTAACTTTACTGATTAACATATAAAATTTCTATGAAAAACAGTATTTAACAAAATTCCAAAAATCACATCAATGATTTTATGGTGTTTTGTTTGGCAATGATTTCTTGGCTATGACCCCAAAAGCACACGTAGTAAAAGCAAAATGGACAAGTGGAAACACATTAAACTAAAAAAACTTCTGCACAGCTAAGAAAATCAGAGAATAAAAAGTCAACTTATGGGATAAGAGAAACTATTTGCAAACCATATATCTGGACAAGGAATTAATTTCCGAAACTATAAGGAACTCCTACAACTCAATAACAGAAACAAAACAAAACAAAAACAAATAAACCAATTTAAAGAAATGGGCAAAGGACTTGAATAGAAATTTCTTTGAAGAAGACATACAAATGGCTAACAAGCTATATAAAAAAGTGCTGAATGTCACTAATCTTCAGATAAATGCATATAAAAACTATAATGAGATATGACCATACACCTGTTAAGATGGCTATTATCAAAAAAAAAACAAATAAAAGATAAGTGTTTACAAGGATGTGGCAAAACTGGAACCGTTGTACACTTTTGGTGGGAATGCAAAATGAGGCAACCATTCCAGAAAACATTATAGAGATTCCTCAAAAAATTAAAAATGGGACTACCATACGACCCAACAACCCTACTTCTGGGTACATATAAAAAATAATTAAAATCAGGATCCTGAAGAGTTATCTGTACTCCCATGGTCATTGCAGCATTATTTGTAATAGCCAATATGTACAAAAAACCTAATGCCCGCCAATGGATAAATGGATAGAGAAATGTGGTATGGCCGTGGCAGGTGGATCACCTGAGGTCAGGAGTTTGAGATGAGCCTGCCAAACATGGCGAAACCCCATTTCTACTAAACATACAAAAAATTAGCCAGGTGTGGAGGCAGTCACCTGTAATCCCAGCTACTAGGGAGGCTGAGGCAGGAGAATCGCTTAAACCTGGGAGGCGAAGTTTGCGGTGAGCCGAGATCTTGCCATTGCACTCCAGCCTGGGTGACCAAAAAAAAAAAAAAAAAAAAAGAAATGTGGTATATACATACAATGGAATATTATTTAGCCTTATAAAAGAAGAAAATCCTGCTTTCTGTGACGTTATGGTTGAACCTGGAGGATATTACAAAAGTAAAAGAAGCCAATCAGAGAAGTACAAATATTGCATGATGCCATATATATGAGATACCTAAAATAGTCAAACTCATGGAAGCAAAAAGTAAAATGGTGGTTGCCAGAGTCTGGGTAAAGAGAGAAATAGGAATTGTTCAATGAATATAAAGTTTCAGTTATGCAACATTAATACATTCTGGACATCTGCTGTACAACATAGTGCCTATAGTTAACAATAGTGTATTGTGGACCTAAAAAATTTAAGAGGGTAGATCTTATGTTAAGTTTTCTTACTACAAAACAAAAACAAAAATGAAAACGAAGAGATGGAAACTTTTGGAGGAGGTGATGGATATGTTTATCATCTTAATTTTAGTGATGGTTTCATGAGGGAATGAAATTCTAATTTCATCTAATTGTATACATTAAATAGGTGCCATTCTTTTGCATATCAATTATATCGCAATAAAGCTTTTGATTAAAAAAAAGTTAGTTTAAAATATGCATCATTGGGCACTTCAGTTTAGGGCTGATGAGGGTGTGCTCTGAAATAAAATGTCCTGAGTTTAAGTTATAACCTACAATTTACTCACCATAAAATCTTGCAGAAAATGGTTAATCTTTTTGGACCTCAGTTTATTCATCTTTAAAATGGAAATATTTACAGTACGTCTTTTATAGCATTCTTTTGTATTAACAGGAGATTGTGTTTTTGAAGCACTCAGCATTGTGCTTAGCACATTATAAGCACTCAATAACTGTTTGCTAATACCACTATCCACAAGACAAGTAGACTCTGTGTGATGAGTGCTGTGCAATGTGCAGGACAAGGAGAGAGTGTAGAATGGATATATAAAACAGGAGAGACAACTTTGTCTAGGCAGTTAGTAAGGCAAAGAAACCTGAAGAGGGGACACCAGCAATCCAGATTGAAGGACTGACATGCACAAATCCTTGCACAAGACAGGAAGAAAATAAAGTATACCTGTTGTTTCAAACCGTGTATAAAGTTGAAGTCATTAACCTATGTGTAGCAGGAGGTAACTAAAGGGCATTAAGCACAGGCATTACATACTTAGATATGCATTACAAAAGAAAGAAAGCCTTCCTGCTGCGATGTAGAGAAAAGAAGTGAGAGTAGGAACAATGAGACTTCTTAAGATGTTATTGCAATGACCTAATTATATGAGATTTACTGTTTACAATACTGTTAACCTTTGTATTAGTTTGCATTAAGATTTGGAAAGATAGGATAGAAAGAAATGAGTGAGTCAAAGCAGTGATTTTCAATAACATCAACATTTCTTAGAGTTTTAAAATTATTATTATTAATTCCGTGTCTGGGATTTACACCAGCCTAATTGAATCAGGATCTCTGGAGATGGGACTCAGAGAAGTATGTATTTTGTTAACCTCTCTATACTATTCTAATATTCAGGAGAAATGAAAACTACTAGATAAATACTTAGAAGGAAGAATAGATAAGACTTGATTGATTAAATGTGGAATTTAGAAAGAGGTAGGAATTAAAGATGAGTCCCAAGTTTCTAATTTTTTCTCTGGACAGATGGTAGGAACATTTAATGAGACAAAAATGCTTGAGAGAGAGCCCATTTTTGGTGAAAAGATGGATTCATCTTGGTCATGTTGAGTTTCAGGATCCTAATATACATCCAAATGCAGAGGTAGGGTAGAAAATTGGGTTTGAGATTTGGGACTCAAAAAAAATAATCTGGGTTAGAGGTGTCAAACTAGGGAACATTATGCATAGATGGATGGTACCTGATATTTGGGGAGTGTATATAGACTGCAGAAAATGTTAACAGTGAGAAGAATATCTTAGATTAAATAATGAGGAATTCCAACACTGAATATTTGGATAGAGTAGCAGGAGCCTGGAAGGAAAACTGAAAATGAATGTTGTGTGCTCAAAGCCAAGGGAACAGATTTCAGAAAAGAAGTCTGTGGTCAAATATGTTTACTTCTACTAAGAGACACAGTAATACAAGTACTGAATATGTCTACATGTTCATCTGGAAAAACCCAGGTCTAGTGCAACTCAGCCTCTACTTATCTCTAATCTATACTAAAACAGCAAAAAGTGCCTACAGAAATGTTTTTTAAAATAAAAATTAAAAAAGAACAATCCTACCAAATTTCCCTTGGAAATTTTATTTCTCATGCTCTCACATTTTCTCTTCAATTTCACATCTCTTCATCTTGTAGTCCTGCAGCCTTCATTTTCCACTTGTTATTCTCAACTGATGGACTGATTCTTTTTTATTAAGAAAATAGAAGCAAACAGAAGACAGCTATTTTATCCTCCCAATTCTTTGTCTATTTCCTATCTGCATCAGTACTCACAATCTTCTCTTTTCTTCTTGTTGCCATGGAGAAATGTCCTTATCCCTATCTTATGCCAACCCCTCCAGTTTTAAACTGAATCTTGTTTTATCAAATATTACTGTTGACCAAAGCTCCCTCAATCCTTTCATGAACATTTCTTCCTCTCTATTGTACTCTCTCCTCCATCCCTTTAATGTTCTTCTGTATTCAAATATGCAAACAAATCTTCTGCCTGAAAAAATCTCTTTTGACCTCCAACTGCCTTTATCTACCTCATCATTTCTTTTTCCTCTTTATTACAAAATGTTTTAAAAGAGTTATTATTTCTTCTATATCTGCTTGTCCAAACTCCCATTTTACCTGTTTTTGGAATGCAAATGCAGGTTGTGTTAATCCTATTCCCCAATTTGTGACACACCATCAACATGGATCCTTACAAAGGTCCTTTCTCATATTTCTTCTGCTTCTTCCTCATCACCTTTCACCAGCACCTCTTTAGCAACCATTTGTGATTAAAATTTAATTTGAATGTATTTACATAAAACTTTGAGTCATTAATTGTGCTGCAGTTTTAGCCCATATATGCAGTATGTTTTATAGACCACATTGTGTTTCTCAAATTTTCTATCTATGTACATCATTAACATTTATCCACATTGCTGTTACATATCCAAGCTTTAATTGAAATTGTTACGTGGAATTCCAGTGTTTCTTTTTTCTGTTACATGTTATCCGTGTTCCCCAATGATGCACATCTAGATCCAGAGATGTCCTCATATACAAAAACAATGCTGAGAACTGGAACTTCATATGCCTTCGTTTTTGAACCTGCATGAGAATTATTCTGCTCTACTCTGGAGGTTTACTCAGGGAAAAGTCTTTACAACTAACTAACCAACGAATCAGTTAACCAACTTACTAAAGTACATCTATCGGCACACAAACACATGCAAATGAATTATAAGTACTCTGCTTGCTTTGGCAGCACATGTAGGAATTATAAGTACTGCTAGATTTCTCTCCAAAATGACTACTACTTTACATTGTAAACACTAGTGCATGAGAGATTCTATGTTCCACACCCATGCTATTTTATGACTATTTTATTTAAAATATCTTTTGTCTGTTTTCCTTTTTAAATACTCTATCTAAAGTTTCTTTATTTGCCTCTTCTATCTGCTTTTGATGTTGGCCAATCTTTTATGGGTCTGAAATATATTTTACATTATTTTTCCCTGTCATTGATTTTTTTCCTTTTTTATTATATTGCCCCTTTTTGCTTTATTCAGTGAGACTTGTCCCCATCACTTCACTGATACTATCTGTGTCAGGGTCGCTAACACTTCATATCAAATCCAATATTGATACTGGTACTTATTTAAACTTCTTAGTTGCATAGGGCATGATTGCCTATGGCTACTTTTTTCAGGCACTTTCTGTACTCGGTTTGTAGCACATTACTCTCCCTAACTGTATTCATATCCCACAGTTCTGAGCCTCCATTTATGGTTACTCCTCCTTTGTTTCTAACCTTTGTCTAAAGATTCAAATATCCCTACCATTGTCCTTAATCCATATATTTTTGTTATTTATCTTCTGTCCCTTTGTTATCACACCTGTCTCATGGCTTTGCATTCCATCTATAGGCAGACAATTCCTCAGTTTATATCTCAGGGTCAGGTCTTTCCCCTGAGCATGAAATTTATATATTACAGTTCCATTTTGACATTTCTACTTGCGTATAATAGGTATTTCTAACCTAACAAGGCCACTGCAGAATTATGTATATAACCCCACCAATGCCAAACTGATCTTGCCCTTTAGTCTCCCAGCTCGATTAGCAGTATTGTCATTAACATAGTTTATTGGGTCAAATTTTCAAAGGCTTTCTTGATTGTTGTCTTTCTTGCAGCCTAAACTTGTATTGCTTCAGGGACTTTTATGCGCAAAGTTACATTATGAAAATGTAAACATAATGAGGATGAGGGCTTCGTTCGTGTAGTACAACGCTCTTGACTCATTACTTGGAGTAGCATGTACAGATCGGGGCTTATATATATTTGTGAAAAGGCTACATGTGTAAAGATAGATGGAAAATGATAAGGGCAGGGGAGATCTGAATATGTGTTAATGTTAACAGCAATAAAGCAGGTGAGAGAGAGAGAGAGAGAGAGAGAGACAGAGAGAGACAGACTAGTCATCTAAGATGGAATGATTCCCGCTGTGTATGGAGCTGTCCACCAAGGCTACAGATACCTCCACTGTGGATGTTAGGCACACACTTAGGCCAGGAACATCCCTGCTAGGCATTTTCAATTTATTTGGTAAGTTTGGTGCCTGATATTGAGAAGCAGAAATTTTAAGATTATAGACAATGAAGGAGAACAATTTGAAAAATATGTGTGTGTCATATATTTGTTGAGATATAAGACCTCTGGAGTCTGAATTATATTATGTAAATTTTAATGCTTAATTTTGTGTTGTAAACAACCCCAAGTGATCTAGTTAATTTACAAAAAAATAAGCTTAAGAAGCAATATATTGTGAAAAATAATGTATGGAGTTCAGAGTCATACATTTTACGTATAGATCCTCGCTCCCCTGACAACTGGCTGTATAACAAGACTCTGGCCTATTCATTAACCTCTGCCATCTAACGTTCCATATCTGAATAAATGGACATAATGATGTCAAGGTTGACTCGGAGATTGGTTCAGGTGATATGTACAAATATTAATTCTTCCTCCTCTCCATACCAATACTTTACCTGTAATTGTTCTTTACGGATATGGCTATATATTCTGAAAAATAGTATCATTGAAAAATAATTCTTTGTGTAAAAAATGATAGCATCAGAAAACATTTCAAAATAATTTTAACGGAGTTTGGATGGTTTTAGGTTTGCATGCCTCAGTGATTTTGAGGAGTGTATTCAGTAACAAGGCCAGATGCTATTTTGAAAAGGTATCTTCGTGTCACGTGATACTGATTATTATTTGTTCTTATTCAAGTATTGTCATATCAAGTGTGTACTCTTAATAGATAATAATATTGCATTTGCTGTCAAGTATGCTTGCTCTCTTTTTAAAATCTCCTTTTTTATAGATGTCTATATGAAGTTAATAGCTTCAGCAAAGCAAATTTGTTATGCAGATAGAGTTAGCAACATTAACGTAAATGGTAAATCCAAATATCTTTGTATTTTTTACAATAAATTAGATCATTTAATATATGCATCACACTGTTAGATGTTAGTTTAATAATTTGCAAATAATTGTAAACAGTGTCTTAGGGTATTTTACATGGGCTTGTGATTCATATTGAAGGCCAAATTAAATGGGGGCTTTTGAACTTTCAATTTTAGTTTGTCTCAGCAAGGCAGTTAAGCATCCAGGAGATGCATGTAGGAAATTTCAGGGTCAAATGCATGGTTTACTGTACTATGTTCACAAATTAGTAACTGTGTGACTTTGCCCAGGTTACTCAAACATTCTGAATCTCAAATTTCCTCATCTTTAAAATAAATATAATAGCCCCCTCATTTCATGAGAGAATGAAAGGAGACAGTGTATCTAAAGTTTAGAGTGCAGCTAGCACTTAATAATTATTCAATAGAAGTCACTTTTATTAGTGACTTCTATTTTATTAACAATTTAGTAGCAGTATTTTATTAACAATTTAGACTAACCTCTCTGTGAAATATTTACAGAAACGTATTCTTTTTAACCAGTCAGGTATGTACAATTCCCTGCAAAGCCATTGCACTTAGCAACTTGTTTCTCATTGTTTACGTGACCGTTTACTCCATGGGTCTTTAGTTCTGCAAGCACCATCAATTTGTTTCTTATTTGTGTTCCTTGCACCCAGCAAGTAGCTTGGCACAGAATATTCCTGTATCCCGTATTAGATGAGTAAGTTGGATTACTTCCCTTTATATAACATGTCATTATTTGAGAAAACTTACCTAAAAATTATATGAAAAAAATGCTTAATGGGGCAGCAATTTAAACAGTTTTCTTATTATTTCTAAATACAAGAATCCTTGTACTTAATATTAATAAAATATTCCTGTATGTCAAACCATTGTATGGTTTATACCGTATTAGGAAGTGGATAAATACTGGGGCAATTAAAATTCAGTTTCTGATATAATTTATATATGGACTAATGTGGAGAAAAATTGCAGAAATGATATCACATCTCATAATGCGTATCTATTGACTCTTTGTAATCTCCCTTCAAGTCAGTGCAATGACTTGTAAGAATAAATCTCAGTAACCCTTTAAAAACTCATCAGAGTAATTATATCACGCAGAAACTAAATATCCTATTACCATTTTCTAAAATTGAGCTTATCTTCTTTGTAGCAAAGACATAGAATACTGTTCTTCAACGTTTTTTTTTTTCTCCCCCAACATGATGCACGGTTAATTTCATTTTGAAAATTGATTAGACTACCTGATTGATTACGGTGATTGCTTTTCTTGTCTTGAACAAGGAGATAGCATTTGTAATTCTTATTAAAAGTTGATTAGTATTTAATACTGTTAGTCTTATTAAATGTTGAATAATAAATTTTAGAACCGAAACCCACATGGCCAATTACTAAACATGAAGTAAATCACATCTTCAAGTGGTATAAAAAATTCAAAGGCATAATCTTCAGTGTTAAACAAACTTGGAAAAAAAAATCTCATTAAAAGCAGTAGCTCTGTGATCTGAAATGTTTTGTTGTTTTCTTTGTGGATATGT
The DNA here is from genome assembly GCF_000001405.40 of Homo sapiens. Taxonomy (NCBI): domain Eukaryota; kingdom Metazoa; phylum Chordata; class Mammalia; order Primates; family Hominidae; genus Homo; species Homo sapiens. The sequence continues at coordinate 10,927,875 of NC_000009.12, forward strand.
TTATTATTTTAAGCTAGGAGTGAATACAGCTTGCCTTGTCACTAATGCATTTAGAATTTGCATGATGTAAAGCTGTACAGATATCCAATTGGTTTTATTTTCCTAAGGATTGGAGCTATGATTAAAGTACACCTTAAATTAAGATATGTATGCCTTCTATGTACAGACATAATTGACAAACTCGTACCCTTCTGATGCTTTGATAAACATATTTGACTGATTTTGAAATGGGTTCCCTAGTGAATGAAATCCAAATCGTTGAAACAAATGATACAAACTGCTCCCTTACTTGAAAAGACAGCTATTTCTTTCACCTGTTGAACATTTCTCAATAGAAATAAGATCTTGTATAGCTGCTGAATGAAAGGGCTCTAGATAGTGTGGCATGAAATAAAGAGTATTGTGACCTTGAGGAGGTGCTTATTTTGTGACATCTGTATTCAGCGAGATGAGGGCATTATTCCTTTTTGCTAGGCTTAGGGGGTATTGCTTTATGACCACTGGGGACCACAAACGTTGCATGCCTTTAAGTCTGATATAGAGGAAACAACTCCAAAATGTTTGCAAGGTACAATGAAGTCTGTGAGTATGTTCTGTTTAAGTTTTATGCAGTGTCGGCCTGCACCACCCACCATGAATCTCACAGCCCATTGTGCATAAAGTATTTCACTCTGTTGACTGCAGACAATTGAGATTAGTAGGAGTGACACACACATGTAGAGGAGTGCAGAGTAGGCAGAAAAAAATGAGCAAAAGGGAAATGAAGTGACATCCTTGCAGAAGATGAACATGACCCAATCAGCAATGGAAATCAATGAGCTGAAAGGAAGTGGCAGGGAAAATCAATGATGAAATAATGCACTGACCAATGAACTTTGTCCTTTTTTGTATTGTCTGGCTATAGCAACTTAAATATTCAAGTGCATCACTTTCAGATCATTCTAGCCTTTCCATCCCAATTTATAATATATTCTCAGTCACCTCTGGCTCCCATACTACTATACACAAGGCCCTCTGCACAATCTAAAGCATCCAAAGATGTTTCAAGTATCATTCCCTTCACCCCATGGGAAAGCAATTAGAGATAAGACTTCATCTGAGAACCTGACTATCCAAAACATGGCAAAGTGGAGATTAGCATAAAAAGTTTTCCAGGACATAAAAGGGTTTCCAGGGACTGCAAGTCAGTTTCAGTTTTGCCATTAAGTGGTTTCTTAGTGTCAGTTAAACTTTGAGCCTTAATTATAATGGACAGTACATGTGGACAGTTAAACAACTACAAGGTGTCAAACAACCTGCTTGAAATGCCATTATGTGTAGCAGTACACCGAAGTTTCTCAGTTATACATTACCTGTGGTGAATTAAGCAATGTTGTCATTGTGGGAGGGGGCATCACTTTGCTGCAAGGGCAAGTAAAGGTTGTGAAATTAATTAAGCATTTCATAACAAAGTTGGAGGGTTTATAATTGTAAACCTGGGGCAATGATGAACAACCCAGAAGAAGGAACAATACCACAAATTCCACTAATGAACATGAGGTTAAATTCTGAAAATCTGGAACTGTTCTAACCCTACACTGTGTGGCCTTCCCCAGTGACAATCACTCTGTATTTTTCCTTCCTAATATAAATCGTAGTTGCCTGCTATTTCCTAGGATCCTTGTGAGACTACAGTAAGAAAAATTTTATAAAAGAAGCATCTTAAAATCTATAAATTTAGAAATAAAATGTAAGGTACTTATGATGGAAAAATAGAAACAATCTGTACATACAGAGTTAATAGTGAAAACAAACAGAGCTGTTCCATTTCCCCTCAGCCTAAAAATAAAATAAAACAAATTTGTGGGCACAACAATACTCTGTCACATTTTGAGATATTAGTCAAGTTGTTTTTCTCTCATTAACAGCAGGAGTAATCTTTTTCCTGATGGATAATGCTGTGGTCATTGATTAAATATTTCAGTCTGTATATATTTCTCTTTCTGTCTCTAAGTCTCCAGTCTGCTCTCTGAATTCTCTCTCCAAATATATTGTACAAACCTGGAGGGCCTGACCATGTCTCAGGTTTCTTTGCAACTCCCATCACATCTAACAAAGTGGCTCCTTTGAGACTAAATGCTTAAAAAAATTTTTTTTGTGAATGTTCTTAATGAATTGCCTAATTTGCATTAAGTGTTTATCAATAACAATGTATCACATTTTCTATGTACATTAAATATTTTAATCTTTACTAAATCCTGTGAGTTGATTTTTCAGTTTTATATTTAAGACAGTCTGGATGCAGAGAAAGAAAGTAAATTGCCCTAGATTACACGGCTTCTAATTGAAAGTACCAGCCTTCCAACTTCTCTCTGTTGCTGCTTCTTGAGCCAAGGAAATCTTAAATATAGAGTTCCCATGGGAATAATGAATCCTTTTGATGAGGCTTTTCTGGGAGTCATTTCTTCTGCAGCCTGAGAAGCCTTCTGTTCAGTTTGAATGTCTTTCTTTAGAGAAGGGGACCCTCTCTTTTCTTATCATTGATGGAGTTCATTTTTTCGGTTTGATTTCAGCTGTAGCTGGATTATCTCAAAAGGAATTATTCCAGAACTCAACATCTATTCTCTATTTTATTGGTTTTCCAACTTATCAAACTGCTGTGGGTTTTGTTTATTTGATGGTAGAATATGAAATTTTTTTTTCAAATACCATGTTACATAAAATGTGAAATTACAAAACACTGTAGCTCCTCAATTTGAAGTGGTGGAATGAAGGGTCATGAGTCCCACCCTCCAAACTTTTAGAACTCAGGTCACTTTACCACTGGGTCCCAGCATTCTGCGAACTGCTCACCTGTGGGATTTGAAGGCTGATTTTTTTGTTCTGTGAAATGTAATTATAAAAACGTTTAAGTTTTAACTCCTTTATACAAATCAGAGAGCAAAATGGGGCCACTCAGAAGTCCAAACAAGGGTTACTTTTCTCTTTTGATAAGTATACTTCGGTATGCACTTTATTAAACATATTTTGCTCTATTTAGGGCATGCTGTAGTACATGCAAAGAGTATCAACTCTGGTTCTAGATACAATTTGGTTGAAATCTACTACTTAGTAAATTTATGATCTTGGAAAAGCCCTTTAGTTATATTATCAGTTTTTTTCTATGTGAAAAATACTAGAACAATTCATCTATAAAATGCCCAGCACAGTTAGTGGCTGCACATAGAAGGTATGCATAGTGGTTGATCGTGTTCTTTGTCCTAATAAATTGTGCAAGAGATAGAATGCTATTTAGAAAAATATACACATTACTCATCAAAAACAACTCTCAGCTGTATTAGCTTGGCATGATTTGTATTCACTAACTTCTTAATTCAATCAACATTTCTGAATCCTGATTATAGGACATGTAGCAGAGAAACAACGTAAGCCAAGGCAGAAGGAAATTGTACCCTCCTGAAGAAAACAGTCAAGTGAGAAGAAAGGGCCATGGATCAAATAATCACACAAATAAAGGTGAAATTACAACTGGGCCGGTGTTGTTGAGGTCAACAGAGATTGCTTGAGGAAATGACAGATCTGAAGAAGATGAGCAAAATTTAAACACTAAGGAGAAAAACAATTGTAGGTGGGATGAGATAAGACATGTTAAAGCAGGCGCAGAAGAAATAAAAATATAACCCTTCTAGGTAACGAGCACCTGAGCAGGCAATCCAGTCAGGACAAAATAACAAGCAATGAAATTGTATATCAGGAAATAGTAGCATCATGTAAGCAAAGTGATAGAAGACTAGATTACATGAAGGCTGTTGCCTTAGGAAAGAATAAAATTAGTTATTAGCACACAAGTATTTGAAATGTGTTGTTCTCTGGCTTAGTCTTAAAGGGGTAAGTGTGTAAAAATGAAAGGATACCTGTCAGACGGAACTAGAAGGGATACTTAATAAAGAGTCCTTGAGGATAGAATGGTGATGATTACTGACCTGGGGTTGTTGAACAGAATTAGATAAGGCAGTTGAAGAAGGAACACCCCTGGGAGCAAACACATCAGAACTGGGAGTTGACAGAACAAAAGTACATGGCTAACTGGCACTACATTTTTTAGGAAATGAAGTACTATTAAGGCATGATTGCATGAATTCAAAACTGAGACAACTTACTATCTACCATATAATGTAATCCAGCTTGCCTTGCCAGGGGATTTGGCTATTGGTTGGATGTGAGGATTTAAAAAAAAAAGGTTTTTATCTTTCTTTTGCTTAACTTTCTTGTGCATAGATTATGAATATTATCACAAAGAATATTATCATAAAATATAATATTTGTAGAAAGTTTAAATTAGGAGAAAGAAATAAGCAGATAATGCTCTAAGGTAGAATGTTGTCTTTTAAAATGTTAAAAGAACAAATAACATTGGTTTGTATTGTAATGTTAGCTTTTAACAATTTGAAATTATCTCTGCAAAATATATATACAAAAAAGATAAGGAGAAAATATTAACGACAGTTGTCTTTCAGTGGATGAATACACACACAGATATCTATACATACAAATGTACATAATTTTTAAAAACATATCGATATATATAGATATATAAACATATCTATATATATAGATGTATATAATTTTTAAAAACATTTTATATCTTAAATTTTTATACAACTGGTAGGTAATACTTTTATAACTACATGAGTAGTTTTATAACTACAGTAGTAGTTTGTAATACTTTTATAACTACATGAGTAATAAAAAACAAGAAAATATTAAGATTCTATTAAGGCATGTAGTTTTCTAGGAGAATGGAACAACATTCAGAAATCTGAAAGTATTTTGTTAAATTGACCTTGAGGCAGGAAAAGACCATGGGTCCCTCTGCCTCCCATAAAGATTTTTGGGGATTACATCTCTCAGGGGGGAGATGAGGCAGGAAAATAGGGTCTGGAGGCAGGGAACATAAAGCAAATTCACACTTCAACTATAACAAGAAATGTTCTCTCCATAGGGCATAAGCTGTAAATGACTGTATAACTTTACTTCATCCTCTCCTTTTACGTAGGGTGTACCCCAAGTAACCAATGGACTCTAGTGGATATTTAAACTCCCAGAAATTCTGTCACAAGGCCTTTTGAGCCTCTATGCTCAGGCCCACTCCCACACTGTGGAGTGTACTTTCATTTTCAATAAATCCCTTCATTCCTTCCTTGCTTTGTTTGTGTGTTTTGTCTAATTCTTTGTTCAAAACGCCAAGAAGCTGGACCATCCTCCACGATTAATAATCTTACCAAAATTTAATTAGGTTACTACTTTGGTAAAAGCTAGACAGACATTCATGACAATTTCAAAAATTTTAAATTAGTTCAAAAAAGCAATGACACTTGTGAGGATAGTAGCAGAATGCTGAATTCTTAGCTTACTCAATGAAAAAATGTTTTCAAATATCCCTAAAATTGTCTGAATATGTGTTAAGGCATTCGACAACATTTAAAATGTAGACAAAGATAATTGGCTTTCCACTTCTGCATTATGTCTTGTTGATAATCTTTATGTGTGAATACAGGCCAACATTTTCTAATTCACCTTTTCACTTGGACATCTGCTACACAAAACATATGGCTCTCTCTGAGAAAATCTGGAGTCCAGATTTTTGCAGGTAAGTTTAGGCTTAACTTTTTGTTTTGCTAAAAACTTTGCTAAGATAAATGCTGTTTAATAAAATAATCTGAAAAATAAAGTCATTATTCATTCTCTCCTCTATTTTATGTCCCATCTTTACATAAATTTGATCACCAGGATTTGGTTTACTTTCCTGTAGGAGTTCATTTGTTTGGGTTCCTGTAAAAATATTTTCACTGGATTAGGGTATAATGCTCCTGGCAGACAGAATTTTGGCTTCTGTGATCTTTGCCCCCCGATGTCTTGCCTGTAGACAGGTTAAATTACATGGCAAAAAGAACTTTACCAGTGGAATTAAGGTTATAGACCTTAAGACAGTGAGATTATCCAGGATTATCTGGAGAAAAAGTACTATTAAAGATACCAACATATGAAGCTTTCACTCTTCTTTCGTAGTTTTCTTCTCATCAGAGTGTCTTCTATTTGCTGTTCAGTGCTGTGCAAGGTAAAGAACAAATAAAATGTTCAGTTAATAAGATATCTACAGTTGATTCTTCTATTCTGAAATTTGTCTTAAATAGAAAAAGTAGAGCCACAACTAGCCCTGTCATGAAATGACGCTGTGTACATACCACACCCTGACACTTCCCAAGACTGTTCCAGCCACCAGCAGGAGTGGAGGGCAGTAACAGACTGGGTGGGAGCATGGCGGGAGGGGCTGGACAGGCTGGGTGCCAGAAAGCAGGGCAGAAAAGAGGGAACTAAGACATCGCTTAAGGAACTGAGACATGGTGGGAGGCATCCCAGTCACGGGCTATGGCTCTAGGCTCCTAGTGCATGTTTCATTGTCCAGTTGGTCTTCACAAATAAAACACTTAGAAACTTACAAAATTCAAATGTCATGTTATTGCAGATTTCCACATTATGACCTCAGAGTTTTAAACCCCAAGTACAAGAATGTTCTGACAGTGGGACTCAGAGCAACTGCTTTGGTCATATGCCCATGAATCTGACCCCGATAAGAACTGGCCTTAGCACACACATTTCCCTTCTTTTCATGATTATATTGTATATAAAATAATAATTAAGTAAACAAAGAATAAAATAGGAATAGCAAAGAGAATGGAAGGAGGGTCAGCAATAGATTACAAATTACAAGTTTTATAACACCTAGTATTACTTAGTGCTTTCTGTGTGCCAGGTATTTCACAGTTGAAATGTCAGGTCACTAATTCAAGTAAATAGATAGATTAATAAACTTATTTTATGAATAAGAAACAGGAATTAAGGCTACTTAACACTTCCAAGGACATAGAAGTTATAAGTTGAATCTGATCAATTTAACACAGAGACTGACCTCTTAAACACGAATTATAATGGCTCTCAAGATGAAATAAGGTGGATAACAGAATAATGAAACTAGCGCATTTTTCCACATTTAGGAGGAGGGTAAATTGTAACAAATTTCTTAAAGGACAATTTGGCTATAGCTAAAACTTAAACATTTCACATATATTTGCATCTTAAACAATATTTTTAGAAATTTATTATTTTAAAAAATCAAGGATGTCATTTGATTTTTCTGTGGCTGCATAATCACATCAAAATTTAGTGGCAACATGCAAGCATTTTGTTTTGTTTGGACTTGATGTACTTTTCTTTGTATTTTTGGAGTATGCGTTTTGTTGAGTTTTGAATCAGTGGATTTATAGTTTTCATCACATTTGAAAAAGGTTTGAAAAGTTGTTTCTTCAAACGTTTTTTCTGTCTTCCTCCATCCCCTCTTTGGAGAATCCAATTATATTTACATTAAGCTGCTTAAAGTTAGCTCCGAGCATACTGATGATATATTCATTTTTGTCTTTTTTTCTGTTCGTGTTGAATTTTGGATAGTTTTAATGGCTATGTCATAAAACTCACTCATCTTTTTCTTTTTTATTATGCATTGACTTAATATGCTGTTATTGACTTCCAAGTTGTTTTTCAACTCAAACACTGTGGTTTTCATCCTTATAATTTCAATTTCAATCATTTTATCATGTGTTATGATGTGTCATTTCTGGATCTGTCTCAATGGATTGATTTTTTTTTTCATTATAGATTATGCTTTCCTGCTTTATTGCATGTCTGGTAATTTTTCATTGGATGTCAAACATTGTGTATTTTACCTTGTTGGGAGCTAGATTTTTTTTGTAATTCTATATTCTTGAGCCTTGTTCTAGGATATGGTTACTTTCAAAACATTTTGACATTTTTTAATCTTACTATTAATGAAAATTAGGAGATATCTCATCAGGTTTTATTCTACAGCTATCTTTTCTTCCCTACAGAGGCAAAATGTTTCTGAATATTCTATCCAATATTTTGTGAATTATGAATTTTTCTACACTGGGGGGTAGATACTTGAACTACATTTGTTCCTGTGTGAACTCTAGATATTACTCCTTCTAATCATTCATGTGGTCCTCTCTCTAGCTGCAGATAATTTTCTCACATGTACATGTTGATCCTTAATCAGCAGATGATTCTAGGGGAATCTCTTGCAGATTTCCAGTGTTCTCCCTGTGTGTAGCTCTCTACTCTGGATTTTGCCCAGCAAAACGCAGCTCTTATGATCTCCTTAGACTCCCAGATTCATCTTCTCAGTTCAAGGAGGCTACTGGACTCCATCGGGTTTCTCTCTATGTCATATCCTGAAAATCTTTCTAGGATCTAAGTTAGAGTAATTATAAGACTCTTCTTGTTTGTTTCCTCTTTCTCAGGTATCATTTTCTAACATACAATGACTTCAAAATCATTGTTTTATATATATATAAAATATAATATATATAAAAAATATATACATATAACTAAATTTTTTCCAAGCACATGACTACATCTTGGCCAAAATTATTTCACTTTTTTGTTATTTGTGGATTAAGAATTCTGGAATAGCTCATCTAGACATTTTATCTTTTATCTACATGATGTTAGTGGGGATTGCTGAGCTGGAGATTCTAATTTCAACATGGTATCTCACTAACATGTGTGAATCCTTGATTTTCTTTGACCTATCTCTTCTTCCCTTCTTTCCTCTCTTCCTCTATCTGGCATCTCATATTTTAGTGCATCTTTGTATGGCTTGATTTTCTCACATCATGGTGGATTTGGGATTGTGGACTGCTTGCAAGGTAGCTCAAGCTCCAGGAGATCAAAGTGGAACCTGCAGAATTTCTTCTGACTAGACACAAAACACACAACAGCAAAATTAATTTCTGCCTTATTCTGTTTGTTACCAGTGAATTACAGAGCCTGCAAAAATTCAAGTGGATGAGATGACACAAGGACATGAATACTAAGAAATGTGTCCCATTGGGCTGTAGAAAATTATTTTACAGACTGATTATCACTGGTACAATAAGGGATACAACTACAAAAGTGTTTACTACTGTTTATATTAAGAGAAAACAGCAAAAAAGAAAGCAACCAGAGGAACCTGGCTGTTGTCTGAATTATGAGCTATTTACAAAATATTATTTTGCAATATTTCAATATGTTATTACAGATGTATATGTAGATTTAATATTTAAAATGTGGAGGATTGCTCATATACTCATTTCCAAATAAATGCTGGTAGAGTATCAAAACAGGGTTTGTTTATTTTTTTTTACATTTTTCTTCGTTCACTTTGAACATTTCTATGTTGAGCATGTAGTAAAATAAAAAGATGTATTTGAAAGTCTGTTATTCCTCTATCATTCAAAAATAACTGGTTAAAAGCCTCCAATTTACTACTTGTTTCATTTTGAAGAAATATTCCACAATTTAATACTTCTGTAAATTTTGCCTAATGCAATGCCTAGCACATCAATTAATACTTGATAAATGTATGAACAAGGCAGCGATAAAAGAATACATCATATTTTCCTTTTCACTTGGTTTCTGGATATTCAGAAATAAATTTGCCTTTGATTACAGTAGGATTAGTCTAGGTAGTCAAAATATTCCCTCTCTCACAGGTCTTTTTAAAAATTTATTTTAAAATTTACTTTAATTATCTAATTCTATATTGAATTGAAATCTGTTTCAATTATATTTTTTAATTTTATGAATAAGAGGAAGGTAGATAGCTAGTTAATTTATAAAAAATTAAGAAATACCCTAAGCAAGATGTTTGATTTTATTTTGAAGACGATTAATTACTTAGAAAATCCAAGGTATACATAAAACAATTTAGATAATCCCAAACCAAATAGTCATTGTTTATAAAATGCTGTTGATTTCCTAATATAAGTCCCATAAGTAAATTTTTCGTTTGACCTTGAATTCAGTCCCATGCTGCTTAAATTCTTTCAATTCCATTTTAGATTATGTATACATAAGAATAGCCTACATTTTGAGATAGTCATTCATTATGGTGATCACTCTCTCTTGTGCAATACATGATTTGAGGATCCTTCTACAGTACATGCATAAACAATATTTTCATAATCTACAGAGGTATGATTTACAAGGGTTCAATATTATGGGATCTGTGGAGATCTATATTCAGTATACAAAGAGACTCATATATATGTACTCGAATTCAACATAAGTCCTAGAAAGAAATGACCGACAGTCTCCTTGTGTTGCTGAAACTTTGCTGTCAACATCGAAATAGAATTTATTGGTTCGAATGGCAATCACCAAAGGGGATCATAATCAATTACACAGATGAAAAATGAACTGTGTCAATCTTTTAGAAAAAACATATTTCTTTTTGAAGTGAGGCAGGAGAGACAGGGTGTCACTCTGTCAAACCAGGCTGGAGTGCAGGAGTGCAATCTTTGCTCACCGCAGCCTTGACTGCCTGTGCTCGAGCAACCTTCCTGCCTCAGGCCCCCAAGTAGCTGGGACGATAGGCATATGTCACCATGCCCAGCTAATTTTTCTATTTTTTGTAGAGACGGGGTTTTGCCGTGTTGCCCAGGCTGGTCTCGAACTCCTGGGCTCAAGCAATCCTCCTGCCTCAGCCTCCCAGAGTTCTGAGATTACAAGGGTGAGCCACCGTGCCCGGCCAATATTTTATTTTACGATTAGCTTGATGAGTACAAATATACCAACACAAACACACACACACACACACACACACACATACACTCTGTCTCTCTCTCTCTCTGTATCTCTCAAACTAATTTTTATGTTATTTATTTATTTATTGAAATGAAGTCTCACTCTGTTGCCCAGGCTGGAGTGCAGCGGCAGGATCTTGGCTCACTACAACCTTCGCCTCTCAGGTTCAAGCGATTCTCCTGCCTCAGCCTCCCAAGTAGCTGGGATTACAGGAATGCACTACCACACCCCACACCCAGATAATAGTTGTAATTTTTTGGTAGAGACAGGGTTTCACCATGTCGGCCAGGCTGGTCTCGAACTCCTGACCTCAAGTGATTTGCCTGCTGTGGCCTCCCAAAGTGCTGAGATTACAGGCATGAGCCACCATGCCAGGCCCTCAAACTCATTTTAATTGGGTTTCAGTTATAAGTTTAGAGAGAATGACAAAGCAAGTTATGTCGTATTTATATAAATCTCTGAGCACAGCTATAAACTGTATATAATTTCTAGTATAAATGTGTAAATGTCATTATTCCCTGTTCCACATCTATGATGTCATGGGAACTTGGGCAAGTCACAAAAACTTTTGTCTTGGTTTAACTTTTCCATAAAAAAGAAGCTTGGAGTAGACAAACTGTAGAATCCTTGTTGAATCAAAAATTCCAAAATTTCTAGAACTAATTGTTTTAAGTAATCCTGCCATTCCTCATTTTTAATGCAATGTATTGTTACTTGAAAGCTAAGTAATAGCAGTGTCAAGAGGATATATTGCCCACAACCCATCAAATAAAACTTAAATGAGGGTTTCTCTGTAGAATCAATGTAGGAATTAGGAAATAAAGAAGGTAAAACAGATATAGAGACCCATGTTTTCATATTCCCTATACTGTTGATCTTGGAAAAGCCCTAGTAATTAATTAACATTCTCTAACATGTACATGTGTGCTTATATGTGTACATGTGTGTGTGTTTGTGGTGTGTGTGTGTGAGAGAGAGACAAAAAGTAAGGGGAGAGAATCTACTAAATGAAATAATATGTTGTAAAATTTGTTATTGATTTAATGATTATCTTCTTAAAAATTTTACTTTTCAGATGCAATGTTGGAATTAACATTTAGATAACAGTTCACCCAATTGAAAATGAACATAAAATTACATGCATTACACATGACATGCAAGTGTTTCTCTCTGACTTTTGTATAGTAAAATGTTTTCTGTAACTTGCATTTCATCTGTCAGTTCTTACTTATGAATGTATTTTTTTTTGGTATTGATGCCTTTCTTTACTTCTTTTTTTTACCTAGCAATAAGCTGCATGTTCACGTTTGATTGTCATTGACTACCCAACTAGTGTTCAAATGCCTGTTATATAGCCAGCAGAGCATACAATTATTAGAGTTTTTTGTCCCTTAATTGGCCAAAACTGCAACATCTGTCATTTTTGTGGGAATCAAATTTCAGCTTCAAAAGCAGCGTGAACAGTCTGGCACAGCCACATCAGTATGACTTCTGTTTAATCTACTTGCTCATCCTCCCACTCTTCACTATCACCATCTCTTCTTCAAAGCTCCCTTTCTTCACAAAGTTCCTTTTCACCTTATTGGACTCACTACTGAATCCTTTCTGGCTGTTGATTCTGCAGAGTGTGCTGGCTTACCATTTCAAGGTCATTCATAATTGTGTCTAGAATTTTTGTATCCTTAAAGGTAAAATGCTCTGCTAAATATCACATTGGCATCCTGAGAACTAAAATTTAACCAGTAATAAGTGGATCACTTAAAAAGAGGTGACCATAGGAACAGCATAGAACCTTTCTGGTGCCATGGGATTTTTTTGCATTTCAGCCTCTGAAGATTCATTCTTGGCTACTCCTTCTGGAATTGAATCTGCCCAAATGGATGAGGTCTGAGGTGAAATAAAAATGAAGGTAAGATATTACAGAAGCATGAACCTAAAATATCTTCCATGTTTGATAAAATCCCTTGAGAGAATTGTAATGTTAGTGCTACTTTTCTCCCCCTTTCTCTTATCAACTGGAAAGGCACTTTCACTTTCTGTTATTACAGTACCATACCCTCTAGTCACAATGACACAAATAACAAAAACAGCACCATGCCCTTTCTTTTGTCCCTATCCTTTGACAAAGTTCACAAATAAGCATACTTCCTAACTAAAAGAAAGCAGGAAAAATTGCCTAGTTCTTCATTTCTGCTTCCTCTGACATTGCACAGCAGCATGAACAAAATTCACTATACTTTTTTTCTTTTCTTTTTTCTTTTTTTTTTTGAGATGGAGTTTCTCTCTGTCGCCCAGGCTGGAGTGCAGTGGCATGATCTTGGCTCACTGCAAGCTCCGCCTCCCGGGTTCACGCCATTCTCCTGCCTCAGCCTCCCGGGTAGCTGGGACCACAGGCGCCCGCGACCACGTCCGGCTAATTTTTTGTATTTTTTAGTAGACATGGGGTTTCACCGTATTAGCCGGGATGCCCTCGGTCTCCTGACCTCATGATCCGCCTGCCTTGGCCTCCCAAAGTGCTGGGATTACAGGCGTGAGCCACCGCGCCCGGCAAAATTCACTGTACTTTTGAGCAAAATATAGTACAAAAATGTTACTCTTTAGTATTAGAGAATGAATAAAGTTTTCCCAAATAGATAGGGGATACAGCCAGGGAAACACAAAGAAAAGGTAATTTTGGATTAGTGTAAATAGATTCCCTCCCCCCAAATTATTCCCTTAATTTGACTTAAGGGTCAAGACAATTAATCATTCTGAGATGTGTTTTCCCTGTTTATGTACTGGAGATTCTAAATATAAAAATAAGGTAAAATAAGTAGAAGACTTTCTGCAATGTATATATGAAATTTAGTTGTAAAAGTGAAGCTGGGGACATGGAATTCAGTACATAAAATCAATGAATAAAAATAGTAAAAGAACTGGTAGAATAATGGCATACTTTTTCCATATCAGCTCATCATTGAGAATAACTGAAAAATACAAAAAGTATCTCCTTGAAGACATCAGAGGTACACCAAAACATCCGGGGCTTGAAGAGCAAAAATCACAAAGAAAAGAAAAGAATTTTGAAACAGATTTTAATTATTCAATATTTTCCCCCACAAGGCTCTCATCATTTTGAAAGGGATAATTTCCGAGGGATAAAATCCAAGGAGAAAGTGGTGGCAATAGCTGATAAGCAGATATTAACTTTCCACAATGCTGTGGGTCAGGAAAACAAAATTCGAGTTTCTGGGCCACCAACTCAGTGAAAACTAATATGTTAAAGTGAAACAAAGCACTTTGAAATGAGCCCAGGATTTGAAGGCACTTTTTAAAGTCCAGACATTTATTGGTTTCTAAGTGGTACTGAAACAACAAGCTTAACACCAAGAGAGTGATGGCTAATAGGCTAGGAAGCAGAGGAGAGCTTTCAGGAATTTTCTAGTGCCGAGTGGAAAAAAAAAATGTACATGAGAGCCGAGTATGTACTGGAAGTCTTGATAGATAGCACAAACAACACACACACACACACACACACGATCCTGCAGTGCTACAAATAAGAGTAAGAGTGGATTGGAAATAAACTAGTCATAACAAAATATCAAGTATGGAGTATAGCTGGGACCAAACTTAATCCCAAAATGAAATAAATTAATCTGCACAACTGACTACATCTAACAACGTGATATAACAATATTTTTCAAGAGAAAGAGAACTGTATTTATAGTCTCAGTTTCTTTTCATTTAAAATGACCAATAATATATATATTTTTAAGTACTGGGATGACAGAAGATAAAATCAAAGTAATAAAAAGTGAGAAAAGTAAACAAGCAAACACATGGAATCTAACTAAGAAGTGATCTAAAAATTGTACTTATCAGAGAAAAAGAAAAAAAAAAGATGATGATATGGTTTGGATTTGTGTCCCCATCCAAATCTCATGTCAGATGGGAGGAGTGGACTGGTGGGAGGTGATTGGATCATAGGGGTAGATTTCTCCCTTGCTGTTCTCATGATAGTGAGTGAGTTCTCATGAGGACTGATGGTTTAAAAGTGTGTGGCATTTTCTCCTCTCTCTCCTCCCATGGCGCAAGACATGCTTGCTTCCCCTTTGCCTTCCACCATGATTATAAGTTTACTGAGGCCTCCCAGCCGTGCTTCCTTACAGCTTGTGGAACTGTGAGTCAATTAAATCTCTTTTCTTCCTAAATCACCCAGTCTCAGCTATTTATAGCAATGTGAGAACAGACTTATACAGATGACATGAAGGATATTTTCATTTAATGTAGATACACTAGAAGACTTACCCACAGATTAGACATAAAAGAAGAGGGGATCACTGAATCAGGAGAAAATATCCAGAAGAAAAATATTCAAATGTAGAGAATAAAGGTTGTAATGTACTTACAAGAGCCTAATATGTATATAAAAATGGTGAAAGTCTTTCATAAGTGTAACTGGAGACACAGAGGGGAGAAAAAAATACAAAGCAGAAACATTTTTAGAAGATCTAAAGGCCAAAAATTTTCTAGATCTGAAGAAAGTAGAAGAACCCAAATTTAAGGGGCTCTTCAAACTCAAGGTAAGATAAATACAAAGAAAGTCACTGCCAGAACCATCAGAGTAAAAGTAAAACCAGTGACAAAAGAAAACCATAAAGTCATCAAGTGGGGAGCAAAAGACACATTACCTTCAAATGAGCAAAGGTTATTCTGACAGCTGAATTCACAGCAAAAATGATGGGATTCTGGAGGTAATAAAATAACATCATCCAAGTCCTGAAAGAAAATAACGATCAGGCTAGAATTCTAAAACTAATAAAATGTATCCTTCAAAATTAAAATGTAGTAAAAAAAGTAATAGATTATATGTTAATCAGATATGAACCTGAAGAAAGAGATGCTTATTGAGGTCTCCTGGGGAACTAATTGTAATCTAGGATATATACAAAAGAATTAAAAGCTATTAAAATATCAATATATTAGGAAACATAAATGAGAATTTGCTGTATTGAATAGCAGTAACATCTTGTCAAGTTTAAAATATGAGTAGAGTAAAAATATATGAAAACAGTGATACAACATGTGAAAGGAGATAAAAGAAATAGCGTTCTAAGCTTCTTATGTCATCCCAAAATTGGTAAAGGTCATATTTTATGTCGGTGTCAAATAAAAAAGAAATGAAACTTATAGTCTGTTGGGTAACCAATAAGCATGGAACTGTATACACACACACACACACACACACACACACACATATACATACATATATAAACAGACACACACACACCTCTAATAAGAAAACCAAGAATGATTCTTTTTGAAAAATCACTTATGGAGAGAGAAAAAGGACATAGAATAGGCAAGACAAGTAGATTATGGATTTTAACTAAAATAAGTTAGTAAATATATCAAATATAAATTTTCAAATATTCCAGTTTAGGGAAGATTTTTATTAGCATATATAGATAGAGAGATTATTATTATTATTATTATTTGAGACAGAATCTCACTCTGTTACCCAGACTGGAGTGCAGTGGTGCCATCCCGGCTCACTGCACCCTCTGCCTTATGGGATCAAGTGATTCTCCTGCCTCAGCCTCCTGAGTAGCTGGGATTAGAGGCACCTGCCATCACACCTGGCTAATTTTTGTATTTTTAGTAGAGGTGGGGTTTCACCATGTTGGCCGGGCTGATCTCAAACTCCTGACCCCAGGTGATCTGCCCAAATCAGCCTCCCAAAGTGCTGGGATTACAGGTGTGAGCCACCACACTTGGCTTTTATCAACTTACATTAAAACAAAGAATGTTGGTTATGTTTTTAAAACAGACATCTTAAAAAAGTAAGAATGGAGAAAATTAAAAAGTAGAAGTGTGAACAAGTCATACTACACATAAAATATCAAAAAATCTTATTAAAATATCTCAATATCAAGCAAATTAAATGTTAAGACAAATTTATTATAAGACATTATGAGATATATTTCATAGAGATAAAAAAAACATTTCACTGAGTATAAATAGCAATTGTACTATAGCCCTGTAAACATACTGCTAAATATAAAAAGCAACACTTTATAGGATGAGGAGAAATAGAAAAATCAACAACAGCAAATGAGATTTAACACATTTTTCTCAGTAACTTAGAGAAAATATATTAAGAATTCAGTAAGGATATAGAAGATTTTTTTAAAAAGTAAAAGTTTTTATTGAATTGCCATTTATAAAACACTGTGCATAGCAATTTCTTTTCATATTCATGTGAAACATATCTCCAAATAATCCTAGAACATATATAGGTTCTAGAACCTAAATCTAATCTCATCAAATTTCAAAGAATAAAAAGCTTACAGATAATTGTCTGTCTCTACTCCTGAAAGCACATAGAAATGGGTAAGAAAATAACAAGAAATCCGTAATTATTAGGAAAGTTAACAACACATTTATAAATAATCCATGGTCTAAAGAATCAATAACAATTAGAATTAGACAATATATTAATTGAAAGATAATGAAAAAATGTTATATCAATACCTATACAATGCTACAAATCAAGTGTTTAGAGGAAAATTTACATCCATAAACAAATTTGTGAAAATGAATGGCTGAAAACTAATATATTGAGGAGTGTATTGATCTCAAAAACTAAAGGTATTAGAAAATATTAAATAACAAAGAAAATAGCAAAACATACTAAATTGTACTCATGTAACCAAATACCACCTGTTTCCCACAAAACTATGGAAATAAGTATAAAAATAACAATAAACTATAATACAAATGTAAAATAAGTATCAACAAAGCCCAAAGTTGTTTTTTAAAAAAAGAATGAAATTAATAAACCAGTGGCAAATATGATAAGAAAGAGAAAGGCAGAAATTAATATCAGGAAAGAAAAAAAGAAAAAAGTATCACCATTATACATTTTTTAGGTATTAATCAGAAAGTTGTAGGATATTATGAAAAATTATTTTCAAATGAAATGAATTTTAAATGAAATGACAGTCTTTCTAGAAAACACCACAAAATCCATTCAAAAGAACTACAATGAAAATAGTTTTGTATTTATTAACTTAATTATACACTTAATAATAAATATTTACACACACTAAAAAAAATCTAGACACAGAAAACTGTATCATTGAGTTCCACTAATTATTTAAGGAAGGGATAACTAACACCAATTTACACAAACTCTTCTAGAAAATAAATAGGAAAAGGCTTTCCAGCTTATGAAGAAATATTTAAAGCTTACTCCTTGAAATGAGAAAAGAATATAAAGATGTTTAGTATCACCGTAATTAACACTGTACTGAAATACCTACAAAAAATAAAAAGCCACATAAATTGTATATATATGTATCATAACTTATACCTTCATAACCAGAAAAAAGTGGGTCAAAGCACGTTTAATAATATTCCTTGAATCCATCAAAAAACTGGAGTCACATGGCAAACAACTAACCTCAAATTCAGAATGGGACAGATACCTGAATAGAAACAAACTATTTACTTGGAACACAAGCTGCTGAATACCATATAAACTGATAAAAACATAAGCTTTTTTTTTTTAACAAAACTCACTCCAAATATAAAAACATAGGCTAAAAACTAAAGGCTGTAAAAGGAATATACCATACAAACACTAACTCCGAGAACAGATATAGTTATATTAGTATCAGAAAAAATAAATTTCAGAAAAAAAATATGATCAGGGATAAAGAGAGTCATTACATACTGATAAAAGGGATAGTTTTTCAAAAAGATATAGTAATTCTAAACGTAAGTGTATCTAACAATAGAATTTCAAAACACACGTGACAAAAATGGATTTGGAAAGGCAAATTGATAAATTTATGGTTGGCAACTGCAATACCTTTCCTCAGTATTTGACAGAACAAATGAGTATTAGGCCAATAAGAATGTAGATGACCTGAATAAAACTGTCAACCAACTTGAGCTAATTCATATTTTTAGAACACTCTACTCAATAACAGCTGAACACACATTCTTTCCCAGTGCTCAAAGAGCATATACACGACATTCCACTAAAATTTTGATCTGCTCCCAGAAATAAGCCCGATAAACAAACTTTCCCAAGTCAACAATATATTACACAAAATAGTTTTCAGTAAACTAACGTCCTCACAAAACTCTGCCAGATACATGGAAAATTATTTCAAAAATAGAAATGAGCAAAAGAAGTGAGTGATATACAATAATTGAAACGGGAAAGTTTCCCTTGTCCCTCTCGCAGGACGTGCGATGGGAGCTCGCTTCTTCAGTGCCCCACTGCTCAAACCTCTAGGGGAGCATACAGAAGGGCAGGCTGTGGGGCTCCGACCCCATGGCAGTGTCTAGGTGTGAATATTTAGAGCTGAAGCCCCAGTGGGCGCGTGTTACGGGGCGCTCTCTTAGTTTGCCATCTATAGGCGGCTTGTGTTAACCAGCTCAATTACAGCCCTTTCCTTATCACAAGCACAGAGGTACTTCTGTATCCCAGGGCTTTCGCTCTGGTGTACAGGAAGAATCGGATCATATGTGGGATGGGAGAATGAGTGCAAGGTTTTATTGAGTGCAAATAGCTCTCAGCAGAGCGGGGAGCCAGAAGGGAAATGGTTTTCACCTGGAGTCGGGCCGCTGGCGGCTCGGGCTCTCCTCCACTGCCCCGGCCCAACTTCGCGTTGTTCTGCTGGTCGATGGCTCGCTGGTGAGCAGGTGACTGCTGACATGCTCCTCTCCACATCCCCTTGCTTTTTCTTCTGCGGATGTGCTCCTCTGGATGTCTGGCCACCTCTGTGCCTGCCTGCTAGGATCTCGGGTTTTTATAGGCCCAGGATGGGGGTGTGGTGAGCCAGGGTGGTCTTGGGAAATGTAACATTTGAGTGGGAAGGCAGGAGTGTCTGTCTTCACTTAGGTCTGTGGGGGTGGAGCCTTAGCCAGGGACCACACTCTCCTCTACCCAGCACTTCCCTTCCTCCCTTCGGCATTATTTAAAGTGCTTCCCAGCACTTTTGTATTATAATGCCTACTGATAGATAACACTAGTTTTACTCAGACATAATTTTTAAAAATTAAGTCTCTACTGTAATCAGATCAACTAGGAAAGAAGATGTAAATAGAGTTTGATCAGGTTAGAGAGGAGGAAGCTCGAATATTGGAAATCTTGAAAAGAGGTTACGTTAATCAAAAGAGGGTTTTGGCCTCCATGTTTGCAATACGTTGAGAAATGAGTAAAAAGCTCATACTTTGGTGAAGTCAGACACAAAAGTTTGTAATAAGAAAGCAGGGGTTGTGGGGTAGGGGAGGGATAGCATTAGAAGAAATACCTAATGTAGATGACGGGTTGATGGGTGCAGCAAACCACCATGGCACATGTATACCTATGTAACAAACCAGCACGTTTTGCACATGTATCCCAGAACTCAAAGTATAACTGAAAAAAAAAAGAAGAAGAAAGAAAAGAAAAAGTGAGAATGATTAACATAAAAGTCAGATCATGATTACCTCCAGGAGAAAGGAGAGGAGTGTGATTAGCAAGAGAAATAAAGTGGACTTAAAAAAAAGAAAGAAAGAAAGAAATCAGGTGGGAGAAATCAAGAATGAAGTCAGACATAACAGCTGCAAGGTAGATGGCTGGCAAAGTAACGGAGGCAGAAGAGGCTTTATGAAAAAGTGAAAAAGTTCATGTACTTGTATCAGCCATCTAGACCATTTCAGTCAGAAGAATTTCTGCAAATCTTATAAGAACAGATTCTTTCATTTTCATTTCAGTTCCAAAATGAAATCTTGAAATGTACAAACTTCTCAAAAATGATTCACAGAAACGTAATTATCCAGATACAGAGGTTTTATTCAGGGACATTCAGTTTTCTCTTTGCCAATCTCACTTCATCTTCATAAATGTATTTTGATGGTAGAATGATGGCTTTCTTCATAGCAAACCTAAAGAAGAGAGGTATTTTACCAAAAATAATATATATATAAATGAACGTGCTGTTTGTTTTATCAATAGAAATGGTTATACAAGTGAATATCCATTTACAATACTCAGCATAGCAAACACAAGAAAAGTAATTTACTCTTTATTCTATAAAATATTTTTATCTTATAATTATTTGCCTTGATAAGTTATATCATTTACTTTTGGTGTTCAAGGACACATTTACAAACTGGTAAGAAGAGTGGCTTATTTGGTTATAAATATTATAATAGTATTTTTACTTTCAGCAAGTCTTATTGTTAAATATTATAGAATTCTATAGCAAGCAAATGGAAAACAAAAAAAGGCAGGGGTTGCAATCCTAGTCTCTGATAAAACAGACTTTAAACCAACAAAGATCAAAAGAGACAAAGAAGGCTATTACATAATGCTAAAGGGATCAATTCAACAAGAAGAGCTAACTATCCTAAATATATATGCACCCAATACAGGAGCACCCAGATTCATAAAGCAAGTCCTTAGAAACCTACAAAGAGACTTAGACTCCCACACAATAATAATGGGAGACTTTAACACCCCACTGTCAACATTAGACAGATCAACGAGACAGAAAGTTAACAAGGATATCCAGGAATTGAACTCAGCTCCGCACCAAGGGGAACTAATAGACATCTACAGAACTCTCCACCCCAAATCAACAGAATATACATTCTTCTCAGCACCGCACCGCACTTATTCCAAAATTGACCACATAGTTGGAAGTAAAGCACTCCTCAGCAAATTTAAAAGAACAGAAATTATAACAAATTGTCTCTCAGAGCACAGTGCAATCAAACTAGAACACAGGATTAAGAAACTCACTCAAAATGGCTCAACTACATGGAAACTGAACAACCTGCTCCTGAATGACTACTGGATACATAACGAAATGAAGGCAGAAATAAAGATGTTCTTTGAAACCAATGAGAACAAAGACACAACATACAAGAATCTCTGGGACACATTCAAAGCAGTGTGTAGAGGGAAATTTATAGCACTAAATGCCCACAAGAGAAAGCAGGAAAGATCCAAAATTGACACCCTAACATCACAATTAAAAGAACTAGAGAAGCAAGAGCAAACACATTCAAAAGCTAGCAGAAGGCAAGAAATAACTAAGATCAGAGCAGAACTGAAGGAAATAGAGACACAAAAAACCCTTCAAAAAATCAATGAATCCAGGAGCTGGTTTTTTGAAAAGATCAACAAAATTGATAGACCGCTAGTAAGACTAACAAAGAATAAAAGAGAGAAGAATCAAATAGACGCAATAAAAAATGATAAAGGGGATATCACCACCGATCCCTCAGAAATATAAACTACCATCAGAGAATACTATAAACACCTCTATGCAAATAAACTAGAAAATCTAGAAGAAATGGATAAATTTCTGGACACATACACCCTCCCAAGACTAAACCAGGAAGAAGTTGAATCTCTGAATAGACCAATAACAGGCTCTGAAATTGAGACAATAAATAATAGCTTACCAACCAGAAAAGGTCCAGGACCAGATGGATTCACAGCCGAATTCTACCAGAGGTACAAGGAGGAGCTGGTACCATTCCTTCTGAAACTATTCCAATCAATAGAAAAAGAGGGAATCCTCCCTAACTCATTTTATGAGGCCAGCATCATCCTGATACCAAAGCCTGTGGAGACCCAACAACAAAAAAGAGAATTTTAGACCAATATCCCTGACGAACATCGATGCAAAAATCCTCAATAAAATACTGGCAAACCGAATCCAGCAGCACATCAAAAAGCTTATCCACCATGATCAGTGGGCTTCATCCTTGGGTTGCAAGGTTGGTTCAACATACACAAATCAATAAACATAATCCAACATATAAACAGAACCAATGACAAAAACCACATGATTATCTCAATAGATGCAGAAATGGCCTTTGACAAAATTCAACAGCCCTTCATGCTGAAAACTCTCAATAAATTAGGTATTGATGGGACGTATCTCAAAATAATAAGAGTTATCTATGACAAACCCACAGCCAATATCATACTGAATGGGCAAAAACTGGAAGCATTCCCTTTGAAAACTGGCACAAGACAGGGATGCCCTCTCTCACCACTCCTATTCAACATAGTGCTGGAAGTTCTGGCCAGGGCAATCAAGCAGGAGAAGGGAATAAAGGGTATTCAATTAGGAAAAGAGGAAGTCAAATTGTCCCTGTTTGCAGATGACATGATTGTATATCTAGAAAACCCCATAGTCTCAGCCCAAAATCTCCTTAAGCTGATAGGCAACTTCAGCAAAGTCTCAGGATACAAAATCAATGTGCAAAAATCAGAAGCATTCTTATACACCAATAACAGGCAAACAGAGAGCCAAATCATGAGTGAACTCCCATTCACAGATGCTTCAAAGAGAATAAAATACCTAGGAATCCAACTTACAAGGGACGTGAAGGAACTCTTCAAGGAGAACTACAAACCACTGCTCAAGGAAATAAAAGAGGATACAAACAAATGGAAGAACATTCCATGCTCATGGGTAGGAAGAATCAATATCATGAAAATGGCCATACTGCCCAAGGTAATTTACAGATTCAATGCCGTCCCCATCAAGCTACCAATGACTTTCTTCAAAGAACTGGAAAAAGCTACTCTAAAGTTCATATGGAACCAAAGAAGAGCCCGCATTGCCAAGTCAATCCTAAGCCAAAAGAACAAAGCTGGAGGCAACACGCTACCTGACTTCAAACTATACTACCAGCCTACAGTAACCAAAACAGCATAGTACTGGTACCAAAACAGAGATATAGACCAATGGAACAGAACAGAGCCCTCAGAAATAATGCCGCATATCTACAACTATCTGATCTTTGACAAACCTGACAAAAACAAGAAATGGAGAAAGGATTCCCTATTTAATAAATGGTGCTGGGAAAACTGGCTAGCCATATGTAGAAAGCTGAAACTGGATCCCTTCCTTACACCTTATAAAAAATTAATTCAAGATGGATTAAAGACTTACATGTTAGACCTAAAACCCTAAAAACCCTAGAAGAAAACCTAGGCAATACCATTCAGGACATAGGCATGGGCAAGGACTTCATGCCTAAAACACCAAAAGCAATGGCAACAAAAGCCAAAATTGACAAATGGGATCTAATTAAACTAAAGAGCTTCTGCACAGCAAAAGAAACTACCAACAGAGTGAACAGACAACCTACAGAATGGGAGAAAAATTTTGCAATCTACTCATCTGACAAAGGACTAATATCCAGAATCTACAATGAACTCCAACAAATTTACAAGAGAAAAACAAACAACCCCATCAACAAGTGGGCAAAGGATATGAACAGACACTTCTCAAAAGAAGACATTTATGCAGCCAAAAGACATATGAAAAAGTGCTCATCATCACTGGCCATCAGAGAAATGCAAATCAAAACCACAATGAGATACCATCTCACACCAGTTAGAATGGCAATCATTAAAAAGTCAGGAAACAACAGGTGCTAGAGAGGATGTGGAGAAATAGGAAGACTTTTACACTGTTGGTGGGACTGTAAACTAGTTCAACCATTGTGGAAGTCAGTGTGGCGATTCCTCAGAGATCTAGAACTAGAAATACCATTTGACCCAGCCATCCCATTACTGGGTATATACCCAAAGGATTATAAATCATGCTGCTATAAAGACACATGCACATGTATGTGTATTGCAGCACTATTCACAAAAGCAAAGACTTGAAACCAACCCAAATGTCCAACAATGATAGACTGGATTAAGAAAATGTGGCACATATACACCATGGAATACTATGCAGCCATAAAAAATGATGAGCTCATGTCCTTTGTAGGGACATGGATGAAGCTGGAAACCATCATTCTCAGCAAACTATCACAAGGACAAAAAACCAAACACCGCATGTTCTCACTCATAGAAGGGAATTGAACAATGAGAACACATGGATGCAGGAAGGGGAACATCACACACTGCGGCCTGTTATGGGGTGGGGGGAAGGGGGCGGGGCGGGATAGCATTTGGAGATATACCTAATGTTAAATGACGAGTTACTGGGTGCAGCACATCAACATGGCACATGTGTACATATGTAACTAAACTGCACGTTGTGCACATGTACCCTCAAACTTAAAGTATAAAAAAAAAAAAGAATTCTATAGCATTGTGAAGGGGATAAATTTCAGGCATTAGAAGGACTGTCAAAATATTTCTTCTCTGCTAATTTATATCCATCTAGAAAACTGTTGAGCAATGAGCCCTGATTCTGTTTCTAGACAGTTATTTCTTGCTTTCTCTCTTGCTTCACAGTAAGAACTCTGGCTCCAGCAACATCATACATTTAGATATTTGCTCAATCCTATTATACTTCATAAAAAGTTTCAGAATTATTTTATACATACATCTATAATAACAAATCAGCTGGACTTCCATTTGTACTTAAGATGTAAAAAGCTTTAAATAATGTTGCTTTTACAGTAACAATGAGAAAAAGTCAGATTATAACTTTCTTTGAACCCATCGGAAAACTGAAGGCATGAGGCAACCAAGGAACATGAATTCCAAGCAGACAAAAGTATAAGGAGAGTCAGGGCACACAGATTGTATCTCCTGTGGTAGCACATTGGAGGAAGAGGCACAGGCCACCATTTAAGTGAATATAAATAAATCAGGTAAATTTTAATGAATGGCCAAAGGCCAAATAGAGGATAGCATGTCATTTTTGAACAGTTTGGGGCCACAGACCTAAGTGAAAATGATACTCTTTTAGCTTTTTCCTACATACCTTCACTGGGTGCTTACAAAAACCAAACAAACAAGCAAGCAAACAAACAACAAAAAAAGAAAAGAACAGAAGAGAGAGAGAGAAAGAGAGAGATTGGAAGAAGGAGAGAAGACTGAAAAAAAGCTCTATCAGTAATGACGAAATTTAGTACATGATCAGTGATTGTGGGGTCACAGGCGCATAATAACGCTCATTTCTCTGGACCCTTCTCTTATAGGAAGCAGAAGACTTAAGCTACAAATACAGAGACAGCATAGATGCTCTCAAGGTATAGGAAAAGGCATTTGTGGCTAGAGGAAGGGTAGAAAAAAACTAATAAACCCCTCTATTACTGAAGGGAGGTAGAAAACCATCTTGGGCCCAAGATACTCTGTTGCTACCAAGCACAGGACTCATTCCACTGAGGGAAGGAAAGGAAGCTCCTAAGACCAGCTACGAACATAAGCAAAGTTTGACTGCCATAGAAAAGGGCAAAAATACTGAGAAAGTTCACACAATTTTGTCTCAGATTCAAAGAGCCTGTTTAAGAGTGAGGCTGGACCAGAACAAAGAACATTCCTGACCCAACATGAGCCTAACAGAGAAGTCTAAGGATAAGAAAAGGCAGAAGCACAGGGTGAGAGATGGAGGATGGGGAGAAAATGCTAAAAGTTGTTGATGAAGAACTAACACTGAGAAAAAACCTCTAAGACTAAAGTCCCCACCTTAAGCATAAAACAGCAGGCCACCACTGGAGGAATTTGAAGACTGGGTCACTGACATTAACCATAGCCGAAGTAAAAACAAAACTTAAACCTCATTCCTTGCCTTGACTATCCCAACTCATACTTTAATGTCCTGAGAGAATAGGCATGTTCATTTCAAGATGTAAATACTATTTGCCTCAGCATTTACAGTTTTACACATAACATCCAGTATTTAATTTTTAAAATGATAACATATACTATTTTAATGTATGTAACAACATAAGGGGAAAAAATCCCCAACACATTGTCCAGAAACAACACAATCAAAAAGATCTGACTCAGAGATTACCCATAACCCACTCTCCAATAATGATATTAAAATATCTGTATTAATATTTTAAAGGATCTAATGAAAAACATAAGTAACATGCATACATAGATGGGAAATTTTAACAGAGAAATACAAACTATAAGAATCAAATGAAAGGCCAAGGTGAAAAAAGCTCTGATATTATAAAAGAGGAAAGCTTCATGGGCTTGGTAGTAGATCTGAAACAGTCCTCTGGCCTATATACTAAGGTCTCAGAGTTTGCTTGCCTTTTTTTTTTTTGGTCCATATTGGCTCAAAGCGAGATTGTTCCATGAGCCCGGGTTGAAGCTGCAGAAGTTCCTATTACGTAGTCTGCACTACATTCTAATAATCTAACAAGTCACTAAATGCATCCCAGATTCCAGAAGAGGGGAATTGGACTCCCATTTGCTACCCAAATAAGAGAAGAAGCAAAGAATTTTTAGATATCTTTAATCTCTCATCATGGATGTATTTCCCATTCCTTCTTCCACATGCAAACAGTCATCTGTTAAAACTGATTAGTGATATATCTATTAATATAAAATATTCAGATGCAAGTAACTTCAGAAGGTAAATTTGTGTAGATTTTACAAGGCTAAACAGAAAACAAAGAAAGTAGAAGGAAATCATATTTTATTGTCCTAAATCTTTAATTTATACTCTAATGGAACATCATATACCAGGCTAGGAATCTGTTGTACCTATAACCTACCTAAAGTTTTTAACTTATTTTTCTGATATTTATCTCTAAGTCACTTATATCATAATTCCTCAATTATATCTAGAATAATAATTATATATTTTAAAACATATGTTTTTCTCTTTTATATCCAAGTGTTTTCAAATTTAATCTTATATTCTATTGCCATTATGCTAAAAAAAACGTAAGATATTAAAGGTAAACTTAGGCAACAAGTTCTTTCTTTTTTTATGGTAAAAGCCTGATCTAACTAATTTTATTACCCACTGGATTTAATGAATTATCTGAATAAGTTGATACAGTAGGGTGGCCTTGTTGCAAGAAACATTAAGAGAAATGCATGTTTTAAACAGTTGAAGCAGTTATATTAGAATCCTCAAAAATAGGCCGATCTATAGTATTTCATGCTTTTATATTTAAACTTTCTTCTTTTATTGCCAATAAAGGCAGAAATGTTGAGAAGACAGAGGGTGAGTCCATAAGCCAAATGTTGACAAGAATTATATTTTTACTCTGAGTCTATTTTTTTACTTAAATGGTTTCTCCCAAAAGTTAAGAAAAAGCATTATGACTCATATTTATGACTGATTCTGAATCTACAGAAATGAAACAAATTTGCCATTTGTACCGATTTAAAAATGAAACAAAAATTTTGAATAACTTTTCAAGAATGATATGTAGAACTTTTTTTGCTACTTTAAAAATGTATTCTAATTTGACTAAAAATTTTTAAAGAACCTAGAGAATTAATTTGATCACTTTAAATGTTTTAATCAAAAATTCTGCATACTATTTCATTGCCATCTAAAGCAATTAGTCATATCATCTGTTTATTAAATTTCAGAATGCATGTGTTTTAATTTTGGCATTTTTCATATCAGATACACTTAAAACTTTATATATGACTTGAATTATAATTATAAGAAATAGTTAAGACCGACAAGGTTAATTTTATGCCTTTATTTATAATATTGCTTTTAGTCTTTGAGGAAAGAAATTGTCTTTGTTCTTTTAGTGAGCTTAATAAGTTGACATTTTAGGAAAATTTTGTTCATATCGCGTTGGTCTGATATACTGAACTTCTGATTAGCAACTCAATGATCAGCTATGCTTAGAAACTTTAATACCTTTTCTAGTGATAGGATATGATAACAGCCTGTAACCCATGTAGTTTTCCTATTTCAAAATATGTTTAGGCACTTTGATCAATACATTATCTTCTGAAGTGTGTAGAGGGTGCTTCCAGGTCATTGTATGGAAACATACTCTGCCCCGTCCACATCTATACTTTTGGGGGGAGCGTTATTTGCACTTTTCAACCTTAATTTACTTTACTTCAGAGTTTTACAAGTCTTGAACATACCCTGAAGGGTATTTTTGCTAGGGAAATTCTATTATCTTCAAAAAAGAAAGAATGATAAGAAGGTTTAAGGGAAAATTAACAAATGAATAGGTATATCCTTTGACTTCAGTTTAAATTACAAAATGCAGTCTTTGCTAATTTCCCTTTAAATTTAAATCAAAGTATTTATTTCACATAGAAAATTAGAATTTTTAATTACCAACACATTACATTTAAGAGAAATAAAATGTAATTATTTTTTACCCTGCTGCACAAAGATTTGTTAAATGAAAGACCTGTTAATTTAAAAGCTATTACAAGTTATGATTAATAGTCACAATACTTATTGGGAATAAATTGCTTGAACCTTTAATTAAAAGTTAAATAGTCGTTAAAACTATGTTATTTGGAAAGGAAAGGGTCTTAAGTTCAAATTTTTCTAATTTATTTTTAAATCTAGTTAAAAGTTAAACTGTAACATCTTTCAGTGTACCAGTTTTGAACTAATAGTTGGAGAGATACTGATATGGTATACTTTTCTCTACTTTGATACTAAAACACAGCACAACAAAAATTATCTTTATGTAAATGGTAACATCATTGACATCCATGAATTCTGCTTTTTTTTTTTTTTTTTAACAGCAATTGCCAAAGCGTATCCCCATTCGGATTCAATAAATTTCCTGATTCTTGATGGATTTTTTTGGCGCACTATCTTTGGACAGGATAAAAGTGAGGAAAAAACAATTATACATAAGTAAATTAACCCATGATAAATACCAGCAATTAAGACACCATAGCATACTAAAAATGAATACTGCATCAATTGAAACTTGAAAGCAAACACACTGGAATAAGTCTCTATATTTTATAATTTTTTAATGTCTTTGATCACCCTAAAGAAGAAAAAGAAAAATAAATAGTTTCCCCTTGAGCTATGGAGTCTGATTAAAAATGTAAAGAATAGGAGTGAGAAGAATGGGACTCATCTTTCACTGAGCATATAATAAAATATATTTACTAAGATGAATGACTATGACAAGCTGTGTTCTCTTTCAGAACATTTAAAAGTCTGCAAAATGTAGTCTGCTTCTTTGACTACAGAAATTTATGAAAAATTTCTTGTCGAGGTAGGAATTCAGTATTCAAATTGTGCATGAACCTTGAGATTATCAACATTTTCCATCTTAAAATATATAAAAATGATTTCCCAGAGAAAGCACAACTCTATCTGCAGCTTCCTAAATGTCCATTTTTAAAATAAAAAAATTACTTGATTATTCTTTTATTGTATTATTATATTATTATATAATCTTATATTATTATATTATATAGCTGTGGGGTTTCTCTCTTCCTGACCTCAAACACACTCTAACTTTGATAAATTATATTGATTTGAATTGTCTCCACATCTCACAAGATTAAGACCCAGAAAGTCTGATGAAGTGAGTTACAATGAACGCATTTTTCTAAAGCTAGGGTGAGTAAATTTATCTATTTTTTTCTTTTTTTTAATAGACTTCACAACATAGTATATGGCAACTGCAAGTTCTTTCTGTTTCTTAAAGTAAAGCTCAAACCCTTTTTAATGGAAAAAAAATTTATGGTTATTTAGCATTTTGAAACTTCAGTTTACATTTCAGAGTACAAAGATCAGAGGTGATTGTCAAGATTAAATGAGATAATGTATTGCACAATGTTTAGGTCCAAATCTTGGCTCAGGTCAGTAATCAGCTTATTGACTTGAGTGGGTTACTTAACCTCTCTGCCAGCCAACTTTCTTGTCAAAAACATGAGAATAAAAGCACTCTTTACTTATGAGACAATACATGAGATAATGTCTGTAGAGCACTCAACACCACCTCCTGTTCATATTAAATGCTTATTAAATATGAGTTGTTGCTGCTTTCACTGAGACTATATAAAGTATCTTGTTCTGGCTTTGGCAAAACATATACAAAACAATACAAAATGACCTAAAATCAAAATGCTAGGAACTACAAGGTTAGACCTCATTTCTTCTGAGGTATCTTTTACCTCCTTGCCATCAGCAGCTTCACCATCATTTATATCAGCATCCTCCAGGAATGAGTAGGCCTCCATTTTGAAAGTCGATAAACATACAGAAGAAATTAGGGATTGAATACTTCTATGCATTCTTCAATTTTATGTTATCCTTGCTGAATATTATAGAAAATTAAATCATCAATAATATTGAAAACATCCCCCAAACTCTTAAGTTACTTACCATGATCTGATTTAAATGATTGGTAGTCATACAGAAAGGCTTCATTTAAAATCTCTGATTTACCACAGACATTATTGAAAGGCTAATATTCCCATTATATTGAGTAGACAAGAAAGCCCACTCTCTTTCAATCAGGATTTCTCAGTTTTAATTTCAGGAATATATTTTTTCAGAAGAAATCAATCTGTGACCAAAAACAAAAGTATTAAGATCTTTGTTTCCTGACTAATCCTCCATTAAGACACAGAGAAGTTGTTGAAATGCGTATTTGATAAATAAACAGAGATTGAAACTTAACTTTCATTATGGTTAAGACAGTAAAATTAATTGTACATTGTCTTACCAAATATTTGCATATCAGTAATAAATTAGCAACATTAGAGTCAAATTTGAAACAACAAGATAGCATAAAACTTGAAGATTATTTAAAGAATGAAAGAATAAATTATTTAGTATATATGAATAATATGTAATGAAGCGTGATAATGCTTTCTTTTTTCCAAAAGCTTTCACAAATAATTCTAGGGAGAAAAATCAGCATATCAAAGATTTCAGAGTGCAGCCTATATGTAGAAGACCAGTTAGGTTCATGATTAGGTAATGGGCATATGTGGTGAATGGTAGGAGTCCTCAAGGAATGTGAGATGGATTTGAAGTTATTATGAGTGGAAACACACAAATACAGTGATATGGTTTGGCTGTGTCCCCACTCATATCTCACCTTGAATTGTAATAATCCCCATGTGTCAAGGGCGGGGACAGGTGGAGATAATTGAATCATAGAGGTGGTTTCTCCCATACTGTTCTCATGGTAGTGAATATGTCTCATGAGACCTGAGGGTTTTATAAATGGGAGTTCCCTTACACACACTCTCTTGCCTGCTGCCATGTAAGACAAGACTTTGCTCCTCATTTTCCTTCTTTCATTATTGTGAGGCCTTCCCAGCTATATGGAACTGTGAGTCAATTAAACCTTTTTCCTTTATAAATTACCCAGTCTTGGATATGTCTTTATTAGCAGGATGAGAACAGATTAATGGGCTTTGGTAGAAACTGAATGTTTGACTATGAGTCATCAAGTAACCATGTGACCCTGAACTGCCTATCATGAACTGGGTGTTTTCTGACCCATCTAGCCATGAAGTGGGGCATACACAGCAGCATTCCATCATCAAATGGAAGTGGTATATACCTGATCAGGATTGAGCAGTTCCTGAGAGCACAAGTAAGTTACATGAAGAAGTGGTTCAAATGCCCATGGTCCCCACTCCTGCTGTCCTGCCTTCTCTCCCCCAGACTGCACTGATGGCCTTATGGGGAGCTTTCTATGATAAGTTGACAGAGGAAGAGAAGACTAGGCCCTGGTTTATAGACAGCGTTGCACAATATGCAGGCACCACCCAAAAGTGGACAGCTGCCACTCTATAGTCCCTTTCTAGGACATCCCTGAAGGACAGTGGCAAAGGGAAATCTTTCCAGTCAGCAGAGTTTTGATCAGTGCATCTGATAGTGCACTTTGCTTAGAAGGAGAAATGGGCAGATGTTGTGATTATATACTGATTCATGGGCTGTTGTCAATGGTTTGGCTGGATGGTCAAGGACTTGGAAGAAGCATGACTGGAAAATTGGTGACAAAGAAATTTGAGGAAGAGGTATGTGGATGGAACTCTCTGAGTGGTCGAAAACTGTGAAGATATTTGTATCCCATGTGAGTGCCCACCAAAAGGTGTCCTCCGCAGAGGAGGATTTTAATAATCAAGTGGGTAGGATGGCTTGTTCTGTGAACACTACTCAGCCTCATTCCCCAGGCACCCCTGTCATTGCCCAATGGGCACATGAACAAAGTTGCCATGGTGGCAGGGATGGGCTCAGCAACATGGACTTTCACTCACCAAGGCTGCCCTGGCTATGGTGCCCAATTTGCCAGCAGCAGAGACCAACATTGAGCCCTTAATATAGCACCATTCCTCAGGGTGATCAGCCAGCAACATGGTGTCAGGTTGATTATATTGGAATTCTTCCATTATGGATAGGACAGCAGTTTGTCCTAACTGGAATAGACAGTCTGGATATGGGTTGCCTATCCTGCACACAATGTTTCTGCCAAGACTACCATCCCTGGACTCACGGAATGCCTTATCTACCATCATGGTATTCCACATAGCATTGCCTCTGACCAAGGCACTCACTTTATGGCTGAAAAAGTGCGGCAGGGCCAGGCGCGGTGGCTCACGCCTGGAATCCCAGCACTTTGGGAGGCCAAGGCGGGCGGATCACAAGGTCAGTAGATGGAGACCATCCTGGCTAACACAGTGAAACCCCGTCTCTACTAAAAATACAAAAAATTAGCTGGGTGGGGTGGCGGGCACCTGTAGTCCCAGCTACTTGGGAGGCTGAGGTGGGAGAATGGTGTGAAACCGGGAGGCAGAGCTTATAGAGAGCAGAGATAGTGCCACTGCAGTCCAGCCTGGGCGACAGAGCGAGATTCCATCTCAAAAAAAAAAAAAAAAAAAGTGCGGCAGTGGGATCATTATCATGAAATTCACTGGTTTTACCATGTTCCCCATCGTCCTGAAGTAGCTGGATTGATAGAATGATGAAATGGCCTTTCAAAGTCACAATTATAAGGCAAACTAGTTGAAAATACTTTGCAGGGCTAGGGCAAAGTTCAGCAGAAGGCTGTGTATGCTCTAAATGAGGATCCAATATATGGTACTGTTTCTCTCAAAGCCAGGATTCATGAGTCCAGGAATCAAGGGGTAGAAGTGGAAACGGAACTACTCACCATCACCTCTAGTGACCCACTAGCAAAATTTTTGCTTCCTGTTCCCATGACATTACATTCTGCTGGCCTAGAGGTCTTAGTTCCAGAAGGAGGAATGCTGCCACCAGGAGACACAACAATGATTCCATTAAACAAAGTAGATAGCAACCTGGCCACTTCGGGCTCCTCCTACCTTTAAGTCAACAGGGTAACAAGGAAGTTACAGTGTTGGCTGGGGGGATTGACCCAGACAATCAAGATGAAATCGGTTTACTACTCCACAATGGAGGTAAGGAAGAGTATGCATGGAATACAGGAGATCCCTTATGGCATCTCTTGGTATTATCATGCCCTGTGATTAAGGTCAATGGGAAACCACAGCAACCCAATTCAGGCAGGACTACAGATGGTCCAGACCCTTCAGGAATGAAGATTTGGGTTACTCCATCAGGTAAAAAACCATGACCTGCTGAGGTGCTTGCTGAAGGCAAAGGGAATACAGAATGGGTAGTAGAAGAAGCTAGTCATGAGTGCTAACTACTACCATGTGACTGGTTGTAGAAACGAGAACGGTAATTGTCCTGAATATTTCCTCCTTAATTTTTTTAAGAACATGTTTGTGCATGTATACACTTGTACTAAAAAAAAAAAAAAAATTATTTTATTTTCTTTCTTTTTCCTCTATCACGTGACATAAGGTTTATTGACTTTATGCTGGCATTTAAGTGTTGTTAACTTTATGTAATAGCATTTGGTTTGAGGATTGGTGTGCTTCTGCTTGTACGAAGGATAGCTGTATTATGTTAGGTGTAATTATGACCTTATTATTGTCTTTATTTGAAGATTATGTATGATTTCAGGAGATGTGTATGGGTTCAAATTGACAAGGAGTGGACTTGTGATGATTTTTGGCTTTCAGGTCTTGTGATTTAAGAAATAAATTTTGTAGGGCTATAGCAGTCATAGATAGTGATTTATCTGATGGATCTGGGCAAAGTTCATTGAAAACTTTCTGGAAAGGATTATTCGTTCTAGATGTCATTTAAGAACATTGGCAATTCATGGGAGGAGGTCTAAATATTAACATTAGTAGGAGTTTGGAGCAAGTTGATTTCACCTCTCATAGATGACTGTCAGGGGTTCCAGACTTCAATGGAGAAAGCCACTGCAGATGTTTTGGAATAGCAAGAGAACTAGAATTAGAATTGGAATAGCAAAAGAACTAGAATTAGAAGATGTGACTGACTTACATCAATCTTATGATAAAGACTTGAATGGAAGAGAAGTTGCTTTTTATGAATGATCAAAAACAATAGTTTCTGGAGACAAAACCTACTCCTGATGAAGATGCTGTGAACATTGTTGAAATGACGGCAAAGGATTTAGAGCATTGCATAAACTTAGTAGGTAAAACAGTAGCAAGGTTTGAGACGATTTATGCCAATTTTGAAAGATGTTCTACTGTGGGTATAATGTTATCAAAGAGTATCACATCATACCGATAATTATTTCTGAAAGAAAGAGTATATCAATGTGGCAATCTTCATTGCTTTCTTATTTAAGCTACCTCCACAGTCAACCCAATCGTCAGCAACCAGGGCCGAGATGAGTCACCCCTCTCTCCCCTCCTGGCTATTATGATCCACATCGCAGGGGTGTGAGGCACCCCCTCCGATATGAGGACTAATAGCACACTCCTCTCCCTGCCGGCTATTACGATCCACATTGCAGGGGCCTGAGGCACCCCCTGCAATAGGGGGAGTAATAGCACCCCCTCTCCCCCCCGGCTATTATGATCCATGGTGGATTCACAGTCTGTTTACTATATTGTGAGTAATATCATCTCCCCCTCTGGAAATTGTGAACTATTTCACAGACGGGTGTACACCCATCTGTATTGGGAGTAATAACATCCTCTTCCTCTCTGAATATTAAGAACAGTATCACAGGAGTGTTTCTACTCCCTGCGATATTGGGTGTCATATCCTCCTCTCCCACGTTGAAATTAGAAACAATATCACTGAGGGCGTGTACACCTTCTGTGATATTTAAAGCAATATCATCCTCTTCCCTCCAGGATCATGGGAACAATATCCCTGGAGGGTGTACACTTTCTGCGATATATGTAGTAATATCATCCCCTCTGCCTTCGAGTATTATTAAGGACCATCTCACACGGGAGTGTACAACCCCTGCGATATTGGGAATACTATTATCCTCTTTCCCCCCTGCATATTTGGGAAAATAGCAGAGTGAGTGTACACCTCCTGCGATATGGGAATTAATATCCTCTTCTCCCTTTCTGGATATTAGAAACAATGTCACACGGGGGTTTACACTTTCTTCGATATCTGGAGTAATGTCATCCTCTCCAGTTTTGAATGGCAAGAACAATATCTCAGGGGGGATGTACACCCCCTGCCATCTTGGGAGTAATATTTTGCTCTACCCCGCTTAATATTAGGACAAAATCCCAGCGTGGGGGTACACCTGTACTATATGGAAAGTAATACCGTCCTCTCCCTTCCTGGATTTTAGGGACAATATTACAGGGTGGGTGTACACAGCCGGCAATATTGAAAGTAATGTCATCCTCTCCTCCCCCGGATATTAGGAACAATATCACAGAAGGGTTGTACACTCTCTGCGATATTGGGAGTAATATCATTTTCGCCTCCTCTGAATACTAGGAGCAATATCCCCGGGCAGATGTACACCCACTGTTATATTGGGAGTCAGGTCATACTCTATCCCCTGGATATTAAGAGCAATATCACAAAGTGGGTGTACACCCACGGAGATACTGAGAGCAATATCATGCTCTCCCACCCTGGATATTAGGAACAATATCACAGGTGGGTGTACATCCCCTGCAGGGCAAAGAATAATATTATCTTCCCTTCCTTTAGCTATTGAGAACAATATCACATGCAGGGGGGCTACACCCCCTGCACTATTGTGAGTAATATCGTTCTCTCTTATTCTGGATAGTAGGAAAAATATCACAGGCAGAGTGTACAACCTCTGTGATATTGAGAGTAATATCATCCTCTCCCAACGTGGATTTTAGGAACCATATCACAAGAGGCGTGTACACTTCTTCGATATTGGTAGCAATATCATGCTCTCCTCCCTGGATATAAGAAACAATATGACGGGTGGGTGGACACCCCCGCGATATGGGGAGTAATATCCCTACCTGGATATTAGGATCCACGGTGGACACACAGCGTGATTACGATTTTGTGAGTAATATCATCTCCCCCTGTAGAAATTTCGAACAATATCAAAGACGGGTGTACACCCTCTGCAATATAGGGAGGAATATGATCCTCTCACCCCACGCCCTTGATATTAGGAACAATATCAAAGGAGCATTTATAAACCCTGCGATGATGGGAGTAATATCATCCTCTCCCACGTTGAAATTAGGAACAGTATCACTGGGAGCGTGTAGACCCCATGCGATATTGAAAGTAATATCATCCCCTTCCCTACTGGATCATGGGAACAATATCACTAGGGGGTGTACAGTTTCTGCTATATTGGGAGTAAAATCGTCTTCTCCGGCTTGGAATATTAAGAACAATTTGACGGGGGTGGAGGGGGGTACAATTTCTGCAATATTGGAAAAAATATTACCCTCTCTCCCACTGCATATTAGGAAAGCTATCACAGAGTGGGTGTTCACCTCCTGCAATATAGGGAGTGATATCATCTTCTCCCCTTCTGAATATCAGGAACAGTATCACATGGGGGTGTACACTTCCGGCGATATTGGGAGTAATATCAACCTCTCGGCCTCTGAATATTAGGAACAATATCACAGGGTGGGTGTACACCTCCTGCTCTATTATGGGGAGAAATATATATCTATTATGGGGAGTAATATCATCCTCTCCCTTTCAGGATATTAATAAGAATATCACACGGTGGGTGAACACAGCCTGCGATACTGGAATTATTATCATCCTCTCCCCCTCGGGATACTAGGAACAATATCACAGAAGAGGTGTACACTCCCTGCGATATTGGGAGTAATATCATACGCTTCTTCCGTGAATATTAGGAGCAATATCACCGGGTGGCTGTACATTCATTGCTATGTTGGGAGTCATGTCATACTCTACCCCCTGGATATTAGGATCAGTGTCACAGGGTGAGTGGACACCTACTGCGATATTAAAACTAGTAACATGCTCTCCATCCCTGGATATTGGGAACAATATCACAGGTAGGTTTACACCACCTGCGATATTAGGAGTAATAATATTATTAATTATTAAACATCACTCTTAATAATAATTATCAATGGTAATATTAATTAATAGTATAACGTTATTAATCATTAATTATTATTTTAAATATGATTATGCATGATTAAAATTAATTATTGCTTTAACGTCATTTTTCAATATTAGTTATTAATCTTAATCTTAATTATTGTTTAATAACCAACATCACTTATGACTGATTTAATTAACGTTAATTACTGACATGATTATTTTATTATTAATAGTGATA
The DNA here is from genome assembly GCF_000001405.40 of Homo sapiens. NCBI lineage: Eukaryota > Metazoa > Chordata > Mammalia > Primates > Hominidae > Homo > Homo sapiens. The sequence continues at coordinate 10,965,909 of NC_000009.12, forward strand.
TTGCTATTAATTATTAATAATTAATAATTAATATAACTGTTCCCGATCTCCGTGGGGGAGAGGATGTTACTCCCAATATCGCAGAAAGTGTGCACCCCTCTATGATGTTACTCCTCATAGCCAGGGCATAGAGGGTGACATTATCGAAATTATCGCCATGAGTTTACATCCGTTCGGTCATCTTCTTCCTAATATCCTGGGTGGGAGCGGATGATATGAATCCCAATATCGCAGGGGGCGTAGACTTCCCCCTTGATACTGTCCCTAACATCCAAAGGTGGAGAGGATGATATTTCTTCCAATTTCGCAGGGGGTGTACACCACCCCTGTGATATTGATCCTAATATCCAGGGGGCAAGAGGATGATCTTAGTCTCACTATTGCAGGAGGTGTACACTCCCTAGGGATATTGTTCCTAATATCCAGGGACGGAGAGGATGATCTCACTCCCAATATAGCAGGGGGTGGACACCCCTTCTGTGACATTGTTCCTAATAGCCAGCGGGGGAGAGGAAGATATTACCCCCAATATCATAGGGGGTGTGCACCCCCTTGTGACATTGTTCCTTATATCCTGGGAGGGAGAGGATGATACTAGTGGCAATATCGCAGGGGCTGTACACACCCACTGTGATATTGTTCCGAATATCCCGAGGGGTAGAAAATGATATTACTCCCAATATCGCAGGCGGTGTACATCCTCCTGTGATGTTGTTTCTTATATTCAGGGGGAGAGGATGATAGGGGTTGTACACACCTCCTGCGACATTGTTCCTAATATCCCGAAGGGGAGAGCATGATATTACTCTCAATATCGCCGGGGTGTACACCTCCTTGGTAATATTGCTCTTAATATCCATGATGGGAGAGGCTGGTATTACTCCCCATATCGCAGAAGGTGCACACACACCTGTGATATAGTTCCTAATATCCAGCGGGAAAGATGCTGATATTACTCTGGATCTCGCAGTGGGTGTACACCCCCAACCCCCCTGGGGTATTGTTCCTAATATCCAGGTGGGAAGACGATGATATTGCTGACAATATCGAAGGGGGTGTACAACTCTTCTGTGATATGGCTTCTGATATCCAGGGGGTGACTGGGTGATATTTCTCCCAATAACGTAGGAACTGTACACCATCCTGTGATTTTGTCCTTAATAACCACATGGGGAGTGGTGATATTACTCCCAATATTGCAAGGGGTGTACACCCCACCTGTGATATTGTTTCTTATATCCAGGAAAGGAGAAGATGATATTACTACCAATATCGAAGAGATGTACAGCCCCGTGGGATATTGGTCTTAATATACAGGTTGAAAGAGGATCATATGACTCCGAATATAACAAGGGGTGTACACCCCTCCTATGATATGAATCGTAAAATCTAGAAGAGTGAATAACATTGCTTCCAAAAATAGACGGGGTGTACACCCCCTCTCTGACATTGTTCCTATCATCTACAGGAAGAGATGATGATATTACTCCCAATACTGCAGAAGATATGCACCCGCCTGTGATATTGGGCATCACAACTAGTGGGGGAGAGAATGATATTACTTCAAATATGACAGTGGCTTTACACCCCATCTGTGATATTGCTCCTGATTTCCAGTAGCTAAAGTAGGATGTTCCTCCCAATAGAGCAGTGGGTGGACACCCGCCCTGTGATATTTCCCCGACTATTCAGGGAAACCCAGGAGGACATGACCCCAAATCCCGCAAAAAGTGAACACCCATTGTGTGATACGGTTGCTAATATGCGGAGGTGCAGAGGATGATATTAGTTTTCATACCGCAGGTTGTGGTACACACACCCTATGAAATTGTTCCTAATAGCAGGAAAAAAGAGAATGCTAATAAAGGACACAGATCGAAGGGGGTGAGGCCCCCCCCGCGATATGGGGAGTAAGAGCCAGCCCCTCTCCCCGCCTGGCTCTTAGGATCCACATTGCAGGGGGGTGAGGCACCCCCCACGATATAGGGAGTGATGGCCACCCCCTGTCCCCCCTGGCTATTACGATCTACATCGCAGGGGGCTGAGGTACCCCCTCCTTTTTGGGGTTATAGCACCCCTCTCTCCCCCACCCTGGCTATTATGATCCATAACGCAGGGGGGTGAGGCACCCCCGTTATATGGGAACTAATAGCAACACAGAGAGACATGACTGTACCCCAACAAAAACACTAAAAGTTGTGAAGGCTCAAATGATTGTTACCATTTTTTTTAATCAATAAACCATTTTAAATTAAGGTATGCACCTTTTTTACACATAATTCTATTGCACACTAAATAAACTATAGTAGAATTTAAACACAACTTCTATATGCACTTGAAAATGAAGAAGTGTGTGTGATTGACTTTATTGTGATATTTGCTTTCTTACGGTGGTCTAAAACCAAACCGACTATATCTCTTTACTATGCCTGCAATTGTAATATTTGACTTTCACGAAATAAACGTGAAATAGTGTGTGCATTCTATAATGGGGATGTCTATTCTCCTTAAGAAGGGCGGTTTTGAACAACTAAGCTCTTTTTAAGAAATGGTGTGAGATTGCTATTGAAATTTCTCAGTTTGCATGTTTGAAATATTCAAGATAAACAACTACACAAGTGTCCATGTGTGGATGCCTTTTCCACTTAACCATGTGTAAGCAATTTGAAATGTTGAATGATTCAATAACTGCCACTTCTTAGACCCAGAACTAAAAACAACATTCAATGTTGTTACTGAAAACATCGGTAAGCAACCAAGTAGAAGGCCCTGCATATACACAAACTTTTCCATCTCATGGGTTCGAATGGCTGTTTTTCCAGGTATGACTAGAATAATAGTTTAGCATTCTATTCCCCAATTTATTCTTGACGTCTGAAAATTCTCACTTAACTAATAATTTATGGAATTCTTACCTTAGACAACCTATGTGAAGAGTTTGCAGGCTGACAAAGGTTTTAGGGAGAAAACGTAGTCAAGTGAATAAAATATTGCCAAATTCAAACTTAAAAAAAAAACAACTTTAAGTTTTCAAATGTTGGTTTTAACTGATTTTATTATAATTTTGAATAAAGATATCTATTGAAGCAATTTATAAATGATAATTATATTACAATGTTAACCACAGGGGCCATTTTCACCTATAATATGATGGAAATAGTTACACTTATTCTCACGTGACTTTTATTCCTTAGTCTCAGTTCACCTTGTCTTGAAGGGCTTTCTCACTACCTGAGAGAGATAGGTAGTGAGGGAAAAAAAACAATAAAACAAAATATACAACCAAACAAACAAAGTGGGATGATGCACAGGGAGGGTTTCTGGGGACTTCCTGAAGTGGAGTGGGTTAGAAGGAAGATGTGGAAGCAGAGAATGGAGAGTGAGAAAAATAGATTCTGTATAAGTCTTGATGGCAGAGAAGACATTTATGAGCATATGGCTCTCAGGTAGTCCATAAACTTTGAAATTGAATGGGGGTATTGTTTAAAATTTCCTTGAAATTAATCTTTTATTAAGATAAACCAATGAGCAGATTGTATAATATTGAAAGTCCTCTGATATGAATATTGAAAGACATGATTTTGTAGGAACAGGTTCTGCCTCAGTGTTATTTACAAGTATTATGAAAAGCAAATATGTCATAAATTAACAGTGAGTTGTATAGAGAGTTTTATTTCATAGATGGATTTGTAATTGGCTAATACTAGTTTATTTGACAAGTGTTGATGATATAGACACTCTGTAAACATTATGGTGGGTTTATTCTGTGCTTAATTACCTAGATACATCTTTTATGACCAATTCTTAGATCTTTCTTCCAGAAAACTATTTCTCCTTTTGCTACCTTTTAAACTCAGCATGCTACATGTGAACTTTATAATATAGCTTCTGGATAGCCTTTCAGCCTAATTTCCTAGGATATCTACTATATACTCTTATTTTCAGCTATCTTTACCTCTCCCACTGTTTCCCAAATGCAGCACATTCACACACCCCTCCATGTCTTTGTTAAACTCTCCTGTCTCCTGGAATGCCTTTCTCTTTTCATTTTCACTCCTGTCATTAGCTTGTCAAATAGTCCCTCCACCAAGGTAACTTTTGATCAAGTCTGCTCAAGTGACATCTTTTTCTTTCTATAACTTAGCCTATTTTTTCATGGCTAGGTAGTGCTGCTTTATAAAATTTTCATGAAAAGTATTAGGCATCTTTATTTTAGCACTTAAACACTAAATTATTTAGTTCATTACCCCAAGACCAATAGCCTAGCTTTATAGCTGGACAAAATAGGGAGTCAATAATTATTTGTCAAATGAATAAATAAATCAACAAAATCCTCAGTAAGTGATATCAATGGATTCTCTCCATTTTGCAGCTATGTTCAAACTCTCTCCCTATGTTTTCACAATTATTACTGAAATGTCAAGTTCCACACTTTATAGTATTAAAAAAAATTAGATGTAGGCAAAATTTTTTTCTTTTCATTTCTGTAAGCTTCTTAAATATTCAATCAGACAGCTTTTTTTTTTTTTTTTTTTTTTTTTTTTGAGACGGAGTCTCGCTCTGTCGCCTAGGCTGGAGTGCAGTGGCGGGATCTCGGCTCACTGCAAGCTCCGCCTCCCGGGTTCACGCCATTCTCCTGCCTCAGCCTCCCGAGTAGCTGAGACTACAGGCGCCCGCCACTACGCCCAGCTAATTTTGTGTGTGTTTTTAGTAGAGACGAAGTTTCACCGTGTTAGCCAGGATGATCTCCATCTCCTGACCTCGTGATCCGCCCGTCTCGGCCTCCCAAATTGCTGGGATTACAGGCCAGCCGCGCCCGGCCTCAGACAGCTTTATACAATGTATGTGCATGTTGGGAGTAGGTTCTGTTACATGCATTGAATGTTTCATTTGTTATATGTCATTTGATCTAAGAGAGAAAATCATCCTTCTCCATCCCAGTGAAAATGATGATTATGTCACTAAGTCATTTGTGCCAAGAAAACTATTTCAAAGAATTCAAAGAACTTGAACACAGGATTTTCTGTGGGAAAAATAAGTAAAATATTGAGTAATGCTACATTAAAATTGAAAATAATATATTCTGCAGGTATGTTACTAGAGAAATTGACCTTCTACCTGTCTTCTACATGGGTACTTTCTCATGAGGCTCTGTTCATTGTTTCCATGAAGAACTTAGAGAGACTCAAAAGGAATAAATTAATAGTATTATATGTGTATATATATATATATACATATCTTCTTAATTTATGTATAAGTAACAAGAACACAACTTCTGGAAATAACAGAATCTATAAATGTAGTCAACAAAACTAATGTTACAGAAAAGACAGGTTTCTCCCAAACTGAACTGATTTTCTAAAATGATTGAATAAACTGACAGAGTTTAAAGATAGATGCAATATTTGCACAGGTAAAAACAATTCTAAATACCCTGTCCTTCAGTCCTTTGTAGTTCTTGAATTTAAAATTGCTTTATTTATTATTGTTTCCACTTCCTTTTTTTTTTTTCTTTCAGAGAAAGAATTCCTTCCTCTTTCAAAGACTCCTCGATATGGTTTGACTCTGTTTCCCCACCCAAATCTCACTTCAAATTGTAATTCCAATAATCCTCACATGTCAAGGGTGGGACCAGGCAGAAGTAATTTGGTCATGGGTGCAGTTTCCCCCATTCTGTTCTCATGATAGTGAGTGAATTCTCAAGATATCTATCTGATGGTTTTATAAGGGGCTCTTTCCTTTTCGCTTGGCATTTCTCTTTCCTGCTGCCTTGTGAAGAAGGTGCCTTGCTTCCCCTTCACCTTCTGACATGATTCTAAGTTTGCTTAGTTCTCCCCAGCCATGCTGAACTGTAAGTCAATTAAACCTCTTTCCTTTATAAATTATCCAGTCTCGGGCAGTTCTTTATAACAGTATGAAAATGTGCTAATACATTCCTTTTCTTATATTTTAATATTCTTCATATAATCACTTCCCATTATCGCACATCTTTAATTACTTAACAACTTTCTGTTTTATCAAAGTTATCTAAAGTCTTAGATCATCTTCTTGGAAACAACAACAATAACAAGTAACCAAACAGAGAACCACAACTTTATCATTTTGAGATGGTCTTTTACCATGCATTGGAAATTTATGACTTTTTTTTAACCTCAATTTTCTCACCATTCACTGGATTTTTATTCCCTGCCTATTCTGACCACAATCTCTCACAGGTTCAAAACCTTAAAGAAAATAAAAATTACCTTTCTGTGGAAACATCCTAATTAAGAGCAAATATGTTAATCAAAAAAATGTATGTAATATTTAGTAGCAATACTCATAAATATACACTATCCATTTATTCTTCTTCAGATTTTTGTCATTATCCTTCACTGTTGACCACCTCAACACTTTTGCAATGGAAGGCTGATCTTTTGCTCTATGTCATAATATCTTATTTTTCATTTTGACCTCTGAAGTCTTTCAATATGTTGTTGCCTGGCTCCATATGCACCTCTTACCTCTTACACATGGGTATACATCTTTGGTTATTCACTGTAGTAAGTCCAATTATAATGTAAGTTATTTCCAAACCTGACACTTTATTCCTAATTTCTTATTTTTTATTTCGGTCAGTGTCCAACTGCTACCCAGCACAAACAACTGTACTGCACTAATTTAATCAAATTCCCCAAACTAGTATCAACCATTTATATCCCCGCTTACCCACAGCAACCAATCTCTACTATGAATGTCGACAGTACTCCTAATGATTTCCCAACTTTCTGGGTAAAATTGAAGCAAACACTTGGAAATAAAAAACTACTTTGTTTTTTCTATTCTTTCTTCCCTTTGTTCCTCCATATTTCTCTATCCCTTCTGTCATCACATATCCTCATCACTTATGCCTAAACTACTACATTGTATTTCTGCAAATAGTCCTAACTATTCTTTAGTCATAAACTTTGCCATAAACTTTTAAGAATGGATTTACAAATTGTAAGATATTACTAGCAGTCACCCAGTTTGGTTCTTCCTTTGCACCTGAACATAGGGAAGAGTTTACTTGCCAGCACACATGAACAAAACCATATGCTTAATTTATATAAATAAAAATGTGAGGATAAGTCGTGTGTCACATCTAGTTTTAGGTAAAGAAAGATGGATTTTGATACTTCAGTCTCTTCCATTTTCAAAATGGTCACAGACTAGCTCTTGTGTTATAGATGATGCAAATAAATATGAGACTACACAGCATCTGTTAGTTTGTGTGACTTTGCAGCAGAGGCTCCCACTTACCCATACAGGATGATAGCCTAGTGAAAAATTAACTGTTTTGTCTACAATCACTGGAGTTTGGGGTTCATATTTTACTACAGTATAACTTAATCAGTCATTTCTATTACATTCTTTCTACACAGAGAAAGTACATACAAACTTAAGTACAAAATTTGGCACCAAATGTCTGAGTTCATGGATACAGTCTTCATTAAGATTTCATATTCTAACAGATTTCTTTGGTTACAAGTTTCTTTGTCTATCATTAAAATCTGATTAATAGGATTTGGAGAAATTGACTTAGAAAAGAGAGCTAAATATTTTATGCAATACCCAACACCTTCAATAATCTAATTTACAACTCTGACTTTGCTTCCACGAATTAATAATTTGGTCCACTTGCCACAACCTATCATGTACATTCTTATTGGCATGTATTTTGGGTAATGCTTTACATCCTTCTTCTCTACTCAAAGTGCAATTCTAGTCTCTCATTGTATCTAAGCCACTAATTATTATAACCCCCTCTGAATGATTATACTATGTATTATTTACTTTTCAAACTGTTGAAACATTATAATATAATCACTTAATGATTTGGGTTAAAGTTTATATTTTTAAACACTTCTCAGATGTCTGCAACATGCAATAAGTAGCTTATTGTTTTTCCCAGTTCAGTTGGGTAATATTCTAGCTGTGCTATTCATGCTGTTGTCATCATTGATTATACAATAAATATTATGCATATTTTAACTTGTTCTATCACATTATGTGAGCATGCAAGAGTAAATGAATCCCACCAATGGAGGCAAAAAAAAAAACCATGACTATCTCTTCAAAATGTTGTAAAGAAATTATTTTGACACGGAAGCATATTGGTTTATGTGACTTCTATGATCTTTTCAATATTAAAATTATATTCTGCTTGTTAATAATATGAAACTGAGAAGACCGTAACCTCATTTTTATAAGTCAGTACATTGCTCATCATGAACACTCAATATATATTTGCTAGTGCTTTCTTATTATCTAAATAAAATATATTAATAAAGAATATTTCCCTAGAACCATGCAGATTTTTTTTCAGGGAAGACTAAATACATTAAAAATTCAAAGTAATTCACTATGATTAAGATGATGGATAAGAGGCAGGATTAGCTTGCAGTTACCACTTGGATGGACAGAGCAGCATGTGGAGACTCACATCATGAACGTTTGCTCCAAGAACTAATGCAGGAACTTACCAGGAAAGCTGAGAGAATCCACAAACCCTTTGAAGGAATTGGATTGCCTCTGCAGGCTCCCTGGGATGAGGAAAAACTGTGAGTTGGCTTGCCTTCTCAACAGGGAGGCTCATGGCCTCCGGCAAGTTCTCAGCGCTGGTCACCAGCTGCCTGGGAATAGACTTGGAGCTGTTGTGGCTGCATGGTGGGAGTGAGACCAGCTTTTAGGACTGTGGGCTGCATAGGAGCGGGGTGAGGCCTGTGACTACCGGCTTTTCCCCACTTCCCTGGCAACCTGTATGACTCAGCACAGGCAGCCATAATCCCCCTTGGAATATAACTCTGTTGGACTGGGAACCATCCCCCATCACCACAGCAGCTGCAGTAAGCCCCACTCACGGAGAGGCTGAGCTCAGAAACACCTATCCCTGTCCCAACCTGGTGGTCTTTCTCTATCCTCCCTGGTAGTCAAAGACAAAGATCATAATCTCTTGGTAGGGCTACGGCCCTGCCCACTGCCTGAGAAACCTGAATATTTAACCCACAAGGATTGTCTGTAGGGCAAGTTTGCATCCTCCCTATAGGACCATAGCTGATGTGCTCTTGTAAGTGGCACCTCCTGGCTGGAGGTCAACCAATACAAAACCACTGCACTAAATAAAAACACAACCAAGGACTCTCATAGAGTCTACTTCACACCCCTGCTATCTCCACTGGAGTAGGTACTGGTAACCCTGGTTGGAAGACCTGAAGATGGATCATAGCACAGGATAGGATCACATATCACAGGACCCTTTGCAGATACTCCCCAGTACCAACCCAGAGCTCAGTAGCTCTGTTGGGTGTCTAGATCCAGAAGAGCAAAAACAATCACTACAGTTCAGCTCTCAAGAAGCCACATTCCTAGGGGAAGGGGATAATACCACATCAAGGGAGCACCCCATGGGACAATAGATTCTGAAGAGCAGCCCTTGAATCCCTGATCTTTCCTCTGACATAGTCTCCCCAAATGAGAAGGAACTAGAAAAACAATTCTGGTGATATGACTAAACAAGTTTCTTCAACATCCCCAAAAGATCATACCAGCTAACCATCAATGGATCTAAACCAAGATGAAATCCCTGAAGTGCCAGAAAAGGAGTTCAGAAGGTTAATTATTAAGCTAATCCAGGAGGCACCAGAAAAAGGTGAAGTCCAACCTAAAGACATAAAAACATGATACAGGATCTGAAAGGAAAATTATTTAGTGAAATAGATAGCATAAATAAAACATAATCACATCTTCTGGAAATCAAGGAGATACTTAGAATAATGCAAAATGCAGTGGAAAGTCTCAGCAATACAATTGAAGAAACAGAAGAAACAACTTCAGAACTCAAAGGCTAGGCTTTTGAATTAACTCAATTTGTCAAAGACAAATTAAAAAGAATTTTTTTTTTTTTTTGAGATGGAGTCTTGCTCTGTCGCCCAGGCTGGAGTGCAGTGGCACAGGATCTCTGTTCACTGCAACCTCTGCCTGCCGGGTTCATACCATTATCCTGCCTCAGCCTCCCGAGTAGCTGGGACTACAATTAAAAAGAATTTTTAAAAAATTAACAAAGCCTTTAAGAAGTTTGCGACTATGTTAAACATTCAAACCCAAGAATAATTGGTGTTCCTGAGGAAGAAGAGAAATCTAAAAGTTTGGAAAACATATTTGAGGGAGTAATCAAGGAAAACTTCCCAGACCTTGTTAGAGATGTAGACATCCAAATACAAGAAGCTCAAAGAACATCTGGGAATTTCACCACAGAAAGATTATTGCCTAGGCACATAGTCATCAGGATATCTAAAGTCAAGACAAAGGAAAGAATCCTAAGAGCTGTGAGGCAAAAGCATCAGGTAACCTAAAAAGAAAAACTTATCAGTAACATCAGATTTCTCAGCTTTAGAAACCCTGAAACTGCGGGGCGCAGTGGCTCACGCCTGTAATCCCAGCACTTTGGGAGGCCAAGGCGGGCGGATCAGGAGGTCAGGAGATCTAGACCATCCTGGCTAACACATGGTGAAACCCCGTCTCTACTAAAAATACAAAACATTAGCCAGGCACGGTGGTGGGCGCCTGTAGTCCCAGCTATTTGGAAGGCTGAGGCAGGAGAATGGCGTGAACCCAGGAGGCGAGATTTCAGTGAGCTAAGATCGTGCCACTGCGCTCCAGCCTGGGCGACAGAGTGAGACTCCATCTCAAAAAAAAAAAAAAAAAAAAAAAGAAACCATGAAATCTAGAAGGGATTGGAGTCCTGTTTTTAGCCTCCTTAAACAAAACAGTTATCAGCCAAGAATTTTGTATCCAGGGAAACTAAGCTTCATAAATGAAGGAAAGATAGTCTTTTCCAGACAAACAAATGCTGAGAGAATTCGCCACTACGAGTCCAGTACTACAAGAACTACTAAAAGGAGCTCTAAATCTTGAAATAAATCCTCAAATTACACCAAAATAGAATCTTCTTAAAGCACAAATATCACGGGACCTATATAGCAATAACATAATAAATTTAAAAAGGCATTTAGGCAACAAATAGCATGATGAATAGAATATTACCTCACATCTCAATACTAACATTGAATATAAATGGCCTAAGTGCTCCACTTAAAAGATACAGAATGACAGAATGGATAAGAATTCACCAACCAAGTTTCTGCTGTCTTCAGGAGATTCACCTAACACACAAGGACTCACATAAACTTAAGGTAAAGGAGTGGAAAAACATATTACATGCAAATGGACACCAAAGCGAGCAAAAGTAGCTATTTTTATACCAGACCAAACAAACTTCAGAGCAACAGCAGTTGAAAAAGACAAACAGGGACATTATATAATGAAAAAGGACTAGTCCAACAGGAAAATTTCACAGTTCTAAGTATATATGCACCTAACACTGAAGCTCCCCAATTTATAAAACAATTACTACTAGACCTAAGAAATTAGATAGATGGCAACACAGTAATAGTGGGGAATTCAATATATCACTGAAAACACTAGAAAGGTCATCAAGACAGAAAGTCAACAAAGAAATAATGGACTTTAACTATAACCTACAACAAATGGACTTGGCAAATATTTACAGAACATTCTATCCAACAACTGCAGAATATACATTCTATTCTTCAGCACATAGAACATTCCCCAAGACAGACAATAATAAATAACTAAAAGTAGATCTATCATTTGATCTAGCAATCCCATTACTAGGTATCTGTCCAGAGGAAAAGAAGTCATTATACAAAAAAGATACTTGCACATGCATGTTTATAACAGCACAATTCGCCATTGCAAATATATGGAACTAGCCCAAATGCCCATCAATCAATGAATGGATAAATAAAATGCGGTACAAAATAATGGCCTTTGCAGCAACCTGGATGGAATTGGAAACCATAATTCTAAGTGAACTTAGGAATGGAAAATAAAACATCGTATGTTCTCACTCATATGTGAGAGCTAAGCTATGAGGATGCAAAGGCATAAGAATGATACATTGGACTCTGAGGCCTGGGGGGAAAAGGTGGGGGGTAGTGAAGGATATAAGACTACACACTGGGTACAGTGTATACTGCTTAGGTGATGGGTGCACCAGAATCTCAGAAATCACCACTAAAGAACTTCTTTTTTTTATTATTTTTTTATTACACTTTAAGTTTTAGGGTACATGTGCACAACGTGCAGGTTTGAATTCAAGATGGATTAAAGACTTAAATGTTAGACCTAAAACCATAAAAACCCTAGAAGAAAACCTAGGCAATACCATTCAGGACATAGGCATGGGCAAGGACTTCATGTCTAAAACACCAAAAGCAATGGCAACAAAAGCCAAAATTGACAAATGGGATCTAATTAAACTAAAGAGCTTCTGCACAGCAAAAGAAACTACCATCAGAGTGAACAGGCTACCTACAGAATGGAAGAACTTCTTATTCTTGTAAGTAAACACCACCTGTTCTCCAAAAACCTATTGAAATAAATCAAATACAAAATTTTTAAAAAACAAATTAATTCACTATGTACATTGAACTTCAAATTGAATTTCATATGCAATTTTGAAGTGTGCTTGGTGCTTAGTGTGCAGTTATTGCTACCATATTATAGTCTATTTTTAATGTGAACATTGGTGACTGATGTATATACGCTATCAATCAATGTTTGATTAAGCAATAAATTATTCCTTAACACAGCATTACAAGAGAGATTTTATTGTGAATATTTTTATATGAGAATCAGCATGAATTTATTACTCTATAGGAAAGAAAATAGACTTAAACTTGTATTTGGAAGTATTTTTTTAAAAACTCCTTTCTGCTATGTTCCCAATGTACATTGTGTGAAGTTATTCTCCTTTCATACTCTTTACACTTGACACTACTGTACATTCCTCTACGATCCTGAAAATAGTATAAGAGCCTGAGTGGTGTTTCCAACCACAAATTGAAAAACAACATTAATCTTTTAATATTTGGCCCAATAGTGGCAAGAGTGCTATTGAATTATTCTAAGAAGATTTAGTGTATTTATACTCATTTCCAGAAATGTTTCAAAGGAAGTTTGAATTTTTTTTTTTTTTTTTTTGAGACGGAGTTTTGCTCCTGTTGCCCAGGCTGGAGTGCAATGGGCAACCTCAGCCTCCCAGGTTCAAGCGATTCTCCTGCCTCAGCTTCCTAAATAGCTGGGATTACAGGCGCCTGCCACCACGTCCAGCTAATTTTTGTGTTTTTAGTAGAGACTGGGTTTCACCGTGTTGGCCAGGCTGATTTCGAACTCCTGACCTCAGGTGATCCACCCACATTGGTCTCCCAAAGTGCTGGGATTAAAGGTGTGAGCCACCGTGTCCAGCCAGTTTGACTATTTTTTTAAAAAGCTCCTATTATTATTCAATTTCCCTCTACTCCAAATATAAATGTGTATCATTGAGCTGTACTAGGAAGAAAAGAGAAATGATGATCCTCAATGAAAATGTTTCACTATATGGTTAATGATGTAATTTTAATTCTCTGTTCTCTGTCAACTACCTCATAAACCTCACCTTGGTCCCTCACATCATTGAAATCTGCTAAATTTTGTTATCTTAATTTGGCCACTATTATAAGTGAGCAGACTAGTGTTCTGTGCATAAAATGTTTTATGTGTTGATAATTAACTCCCTTTCCTACATTTCCTCCTTTTTTATAAAGTCAGAAATGTAGAACGTTTTCAGACCTGTATTGCTTGTCATTACTTTAGCATCCTCTATCATATAGCTATTTAGAAGGCAATTTGGGTTTAAGCAAGATTTAAAGGCCTTTATTAATCTTTCTATCCAGGTTTACCAGAACTCTGAACGGATTATCAGAAACCGAATTAGCTTATAATATGGTAATAATTTGAGTCTCATTCTGCTATCGTCCATTGTTTATCTGGCTCACACATTTATCTGACAGCCTCTGTGTCTAGGAAACAGGGTCATAAGGTGCACATTGTACAGTTTTCTGAAACCTGAGATTATCATGCTATATAACAAACTGTGATTATTGCCTTTTACAAATCTACAAAAGAGAGGTTTGGTGATGAATGGCATCATTCGAGAAAAGTTTGGAAGCTTTTTAATATAACTAGCCATAAAATAATCACATCCAAAATTAAAATATATTCATTAATATAACTGAGAAAAGAGAGAAAACTTGCAGATTCACAGTAAAAAACAGTAAGTATTTTTATTAACTGAATTATTTTTCTCCATTTTCGATTCATAGAAGCTTTTTAAATAACTTGCTACAAGTCTTCTCATTAAAGGTAAAAGTCTCCTTTCTTACAATGTCTTTTCCTCTTGAATTTACTTGGTGTATTATTAACATAATCAATGGCAAAATATTTATAGATTCTCTACTCAATTCTGCTTATGCATTTATCCATCCTTATTCCAATATTACACTGTCATTATTACTGTTGCTTTTGATCTTTACATCAAAGATGTATGTCCTCTAAATTTGTCCTTAATTTCCAAAATTGTTTTAGCTTTGGTAAGTCTTTTCATTTTCATACTGTATTAGTATGTTCTCATGCTGCTAATGAAGACATACCTGAGACTGGGTAATTATAAAGGACAGATATTTAATTGACTCACAGTTCTACATGGTTGAGGCAGCCTCACAAATATGGCAGAGGATGAATGAGGTGCAAAGTCATGTCTTACATGGTGGCAGGCAAAGAGAGTGTGTGCAGGGGAAGGCCCCTTTATAAAACCAACAGATCTCATGAAACCTATTCACTATCATGAGAACACCATAGGAAAGACCTGCCCTCATGATTCAATTACCTCCCACTGAGTCCCTCCCATAACACATGGGAATTATGGGAGCTTCAATTCAAGGTGAGATTTGGGTGAGGACACAGCCATACCATATCATATACAAATTTGAGAGACAGATTAAAGCCTACTAGAAATTTGATTTTGATTACATTGAATCTATACATCAATTTAGATACAACTGATATCTGAAAGATATTGAGTCTTTCTACCCACACATGGTATATTTCTTCATGCATTTAGTTTTCTTTAATTTCTTTTAATAATGAGTGTGTGTATAAAAGTTATGTACTTGTTATGTTAAATTTATTCCTAATTATAAGTGTTTCATATTTTCATGATACTGTAAATATTTAAAAATTTTTTTATTATTATACTGTAGGTTTTAGAGTACACGTGCACAACGTGCAGGTTTGTTACATATGTACGCATGTGCCATGTTGGTGTGCTGCACCCATTAACTGGTCATTTAGCATTCGGTATATCTCATAATGCTATCCCTTCCCCCTCCCTGCCACCCCACAACAGTCCCCAGTGTGTGATGTTCCCCTTCCTGTGTCCATGTGTTCTCATTGTTCACTTCCCACCTATGAGTGAGAACATGCGGTGTTTGGTTTTTTGTCCTTGCAATAGTTTGCTGAGAATGATGGTTTACAGGTTTATCCATGTCCCTACAAAGGACATGAACTCATCCTTTTTCATGGCTGCATAGATTCCATGGTGTATGTTTGCCACATTTTCTTAATCCAGTCTATCATTGTTGGACATTTCAGTTGGTTCCAAGTCTTTGCTATTGTAAATAGTGCCGCAATAAACATACATGTGCATGTGTCTTTATAGCAGCAGGATTTATAATCCTTTGGGTATATACCCAGTAATGGGATGGCTGGGTCAAATGGTATTTCTAGTTCTACATCCTTGAGGAATCGCCACACTGACTTCCACAATGGTTGAACTAGTTTACAGTCCCACCAACAGTGTAAAAGCGTTCCTATTTCTCCACATCCTCTCCACACCTGTTGTTTCCTGACTTTTTAATGATTGCCATTCTAACTGGTGGGAGATGGTATCTCATTGTGGTTTTGATTTGCATTTCTCTGATGGCCAGTGATGATTAGCACTTTTTCATGTGTTCTTTGGCTGCATAAATGTCTTCTTTTGAGAAGTGTCTGTTCATATCCTTTGCCCACTTTTTGATGGGGTTGTTTGTTTTTTTCTTGTAAATTTGTTTGAGTTCATTGTAGATTCTGGATATTAGCCCTTTGTCAGATGAGTAGGTTGCAAAAATTTTCTCCCTTTCTGTAGGTTGCCTGTTCATTCTGATGGTGGTTTCTTTTGCTGTACAGAAGCTCTTTAGTTTAATTAGATCCCATTTGTCAATTTTGGCTTTTGTTACCATTGCTTTTGGCGTTTCAGACATGAAGTCCTTGCCCATGCCTATGTCCTGAATGGTATTGCCTACGTTTTCTTCTAGGGTTTTTATGGTTTTAATATCTAACATGTAAGTCTTTAATCCATCTTGAATTAATTTTTTATAAGGTGTAAGGAAGGGATCCAGTTTCAGCTTTCTACATATGGCTAGCTAGTTTTCCCAGCACCATTTATTAAATAGGGAATCCTTTCCCCATTTCTTCTTTTTGTCAGGTTTGTCAAAGATCAGATAGTTGTAGATATGCAGCATTATTTCTGAGGGCTCTGTTCTGTTCCATTGGTCTATATCTCTGTTTTGGTACCAGTACTACGCTGTTTTGGTTACTGTAGCCTGGTAGTATAGTTTGAAGTCAGGTAGCGTGTTGCCTCCAGCTTTGTTCTTTTGGCTTAGGATTGACTTGGCAATGCAGGCTCTTTTTTGGTTCCATATGAACTTTAAAGTAGTTTTTTCCAATTCTGTGAAGAAAGTCATTGGTAGCTTGATGGGGATGGCATTGAATCTATGAATTACCTTGGGCAGTATGGCCATTTTCACAATATTGATTCTTCCTACCCATGAGCATGGAATGTTCTTCCATTTGTTTGTATCCTCTTTTATTTCCTTGAGCAGTGGTTTGTAGTTCTCCTTGAATAATTCCTTCACATCCCTTGTAAGTTGTATTCCTAGGTATTTTATTCTCTTTGAAGCAATTGTGAATGGGAGTTCACTCATGATCTGGCTCTCTGTTTGTCTGTTATTGGTGTATAAGAAAGCTTGTGATTTTTGCACATTGATTTTGTATCCTGAGACTTTGCTGAAGTTGCTTATTAGCTTAAGGAGATTTTGGGCTGAGGGGATGATGGGGTTTTCTAGATATACAATCATGTCATCTGCAAACAGGGACAATTTGACTTCCTCTTTTCCTAATTGAATGCCCTTTATTCCCTTCTCCTGCCTGATTGCCCTGGGCAGAAACTCCAACACTATGTTGAATAGGAGTGGTGAGAGAGGGCATCCCTGTCTTGTGCCAGTTTTCAAAGGGAATGCTTCCAGTTTTTGTCCATTCAGTATGATATTGTCATAGATAGCTCTTATTATTTTGAGATACGTCCCATCAATACCTAATTTATTGAGAGTTTTTCGCATGAAGGGTTGTAAAATTTTTTTATTTATCTTTACTAGCATAAATTGATTTATATATTGACTTTGTATCTGGCAACCTTACTAAATTGGATAAGACCCTCTTGAGTCTAAAATAATTCCCCCTGAGTATTAATTAATTAATAATCATTAAATTATTTCTTAATAATTAAATATTAAAATAATTAAATCTTTTAAAAGCATCAATTTATTAATTAATAATTAATTAATAATTGATAATTAATTAATTAATTCTCAGGAGGAATTATTTGTAAATTCAAGACAGTCTTACCTGAACACAATCATGCCATCTGCAGCAAGTAAAAACAAATTAATTTTTTTCTTTCCAAAAGGCATTTTATTTATTTTTCTTGACCTCTTGGACAGGCTAGATATTTCAAAAGAATGTTGAATAGAAACGCTAGCCAGTTTTTCAGAACTTTAATATTTTCATCATTAAATACGATATTAAGACAAAGTTGTTATTTTCTGTTTGTGGGACTTTTTTTTGTTTCTTTTTTTTTGTTTTGTTTGTAAAACAATCAGATTGATTGTTTCTGTGTGTTCTTCAGAATCTACTCTTTTAGTGTCTTTATATGCCAGACCAGATGAGAGTGCAATTTCACAGGTCATCCATAATAGCAAATTTGAAGGCTTGGAAATAGGAAGCCCCCAACGTGGGTGATGAGTGATGAAAGTTTAAGATTATTTCTCATGATTTCTACTTGCTCCAGCTTTCCTCTTCTTTGTGATTATCTTTCAGTACAGACTACCTGGCTTCTGACTTCAGTCTCAGCATCAGACAGAGAAGAATTTCTGTGTGTCTTTACTGTATCCATGGGCCACTGATTTGTTTCAATGGCTTCTAGAAGTCCGTACAAAAATATAGTCATACTTACTTGCATGGGCCTAGCAAATTGTAAAACATCATTTGGTATCTCTTGAATAAATTAATTTTTAAGTTAAGATTCACAAAGACCACAGGATTTAAAGAAAACCATAGGATAACACAGCCATTATAAATGCTGAGTCCACAGAGAAAACTTTGCATAGATATGCTAAGTTAACTGGTAGCATGCAATGCTTTAGTTTCTTGGTAGCCTAGCTTTGTCCAAGTTATCTAGAGCCAATAACTTAGACTAAGTTATCTAGTAGATCTGGAGATGTTTATACAATCTTCTTAAATATGTTAAAATGTTTTAGATTTAAGTTACTAATAACTTTTACTAGTTGATGAAGATATTATTACCAAGTGCAATGTGAGATGCTTTATTTTTCTTGTTTATATTTTTAATTTGTATGGGTACATAGTAGATGTATGTATTTATGGGTTACATGAATTATTTTAATACAGGTATGCAATGTGTAATAATTACATCAGGGTAAATGGGGCATCCATCACCTCAAGCATTTGTACTTTGTATTACAAACAATCCAATTATACTTTTAGTTACTTTAAAATGTACAATTAAATTTGTGTTGACTGTACTCCTTTTGTTGTGTTAGCAAATAAAAGCTCTTATTCATTCTCTCTATGTAGTTTTTGCACCCAATAACCATCCCCATTTGCCTTCCACACCCTCAACTACCCTTATCAGCATCTAGTAATGAACATTCTAGTCTCTGTCTCCATAAGTTCAATAATTTCAATTTTTAGCTCCTACAAATAAGTGAGAACATGTGAATTTTGTCTTTCTGTGCCGGGTTTATTTCACATAATATGGTTACCTCCAGTTTCATCCACGTTGTTGCAAATAACAGAATCTCATTTTTTTAATGGCTGAATAATAGTCTATTGTGTCTATGTACCACATTTTCTTTGTCCATTCACCTGTTGATGGATGCTCGGGTTGCTTTCAAATCTTGGTTATCGAGAATAGTGCCGCAATAAACATGGGAGTGCAGATATCTCTTTGATATATCAGTTTCCTTTCTTTGGGGTATATACCTACGAGTAGGATTGCTAGATCATGTGGTAGCTCTATTTTTATATTTTGAGGTACTTCCCAACTGTTTTCCATAGTGGTTTTACTAATTTACATTTGCACCAACAATGTACTAGGGTTCCCTTTTCTCCATATCCATATTTTTAACTTTTAGATAAAAGCCATTTTAAATGGAATGAGATAATATCTCATTGTAGGTTTGATTTGCATTTCTCTGATGGTCAATTATTTTGAGTAGGTTCTCGGATACCTGATAGCCATTTGTATGTCTTCTTTTGAGAAATGTCTATTTGGGTCTTTTATCTATTTTTTAATAAGATTATTTTTTTTCCTGTGGAGTTGTTTGAACTTCTTATACATTCTAGTTTTTGGATGAGTAGATTGCAAATATTTTAGCCATTTTGTAGGTAGTCTCTTCACTTTGTTGATTGTTGACTTTGCTGTAAAGAAGCTTATTAAAGTGATATGAACCCATTTGTCCATTTTTGTTTTGATTTCTGTACTTTTAGGGTATTCTCAAGTAATCTTTGTTTAGTTCAATATCCTAAAGAGTTTCCCTGAAGTTTTTTTTTTTAGTAGTTTCATAGTTTGAGGTCTTAGATTTTAGTCTTCAATTAGTTTCAATTTGATTTTTGTATATTTTGAGAAATAAGTGTCTAGTTGTATTCTTTTGCATATGAATACCCAATTTTGCCAGCACCATTTATTGAAGAGATTGTCCTTTCCCCAAATTATGTTCTTAGCACTGTTGTCAAAAATGTGTTCACTGTATGTATTAGTCCATTTTCATACTGCTGTAAAAAACTACCTGAGATTGGGTAATTTATAAAGAAAAGAGGTTTAATTAACTCACAGTTCAGCATTGCTGGGGAGGCCTCAGGACACTTACAATCATGGTGAAAGGCAAAGGAGAAGCTAGGCATGTCATACATGGTGGCAGAAAGAGAGAGACAGAGTAAGGGGAGGAACTGCCAAACCCTTTAAAATGATCACATCTTGTGAGAACTCACTCACTAACCCAAGAACATCATGGGGGAAGCTGCTCTTAATGATCCAATCACCTCCCACTAGGTCCCTCCCTTGTAATGGAATTACAATTCAAGATAAGATATGGGTAGGGACATAGAACCAAACAATATCATTCCACCCCTGGGCTCTCTCAAATCTCATGTCCTTCTCACGTTTCAAAACAGAACCATGCCTTCCCAACAGTCCCCCAAGTATTAACGCATTCCAGCATAAAACCAAAAGTCCAAGTCCAAAGTCTTATCTGAGTCAAGGCAAGTCCCTTCCACCTATGAGCCTGTAAAAATCAAAAGCAAGTTAGTCACTTCCAAGATACAATGAAGGTACAGGCATTGGACAAATGTTTCCATTCCAAATGGGAGAAATTAGCTACAGGCCAATGCAAGTCCAAAATCTGATAAGGCAGTCATTCAACCTGAAAGCTCGAAAATAATCTCCTTTTACTACAGGTCTCATATTCAGGGCACACTGATGCAAGAGGTGGGCTCCCAAGGTTTTGGGCAGCTCTCTCCCTGTGGCTCTGCAGGGTACAGCTCCTGAGGCTGCTCTCACAGGCTAGTGTTGAGTGCCTGTGGCTTTTAAAAGTGCATGGGTGCAAACCGTCAGTGGATCTACCATTCTGGGATCTGGAATACAGTGTCTCTCCTCTCACAGCTCCACTAGGCAGTGTCTGTGTGGGGACTCTGTATGGGGGCTCCAACTCTACATTTTCCCTCTGCATTTCCTTAGCAAAGATTCTCCATGAGGGCTCCACCCCTGCAGCAGGCTCCTCTCTGAACATCCAGGTGTTTACATACCTCCCCTGAAATCTAGGCAGAGGTTCCCAAACCTCAACTCGTCTTCTGTCCACTTGCAGGTCCAACAACACATGGAGCTGCCAAAGCTTGGGGCTAGCAAGCTTCTGAAGCAATGGCCTGAGTTGTGTGTTGGCCCCATTTGGCCATGGCTGGAGGTAGAGTGGCTGAGACGCAAGGCATCAATGTCCCAAGGCTGTACAGAGTAGCAGGGCTCTGGGCCCAGCACACGTAATCACTTTTTCCTCCTGGGTCTCTGAGCCTTTGATGGGAGGCACTGTCATGAAGATTTCTGAAATGCCCAGGAGATATTTTCCTCTTTGTCCTGGCTATTAACATTCAACTCCGTCATAGCATTATCTAGTATATCTTTAAGTTTTTAGGAGATATATTTTATATACAAATTAAGTATTGTACAAGTTCAATTAAAATACGTGTATTTAAAATAACACATATTTACATATTTTAATTGAAATATCTTGGAACTAACATCCCACTGACTTCTACATTCTAAGACTATGATATTTTACTGAGAAATAAATAATCTAAAAACGTTAATATCTGAGTTTTTTTCAATCTCTGTAAATCATAGCATGCATTTAACAAAATCTGGGAAGTGAACCTTCCCCGCATTTTATCTTCTGAAAAAAATATATATTTCATGTTCCATACAGCAGCATAAAATTAATCTTGCACATTATAGCCTCTGGCCTAGGGAAAAAAGTGCTTAAGTGGAAGAGGAAATGTTCTCTGATTTCAACGCATATTTGCACAATGTCCCTGAGCTGTTTTTGATGTCTCCTGAATATCTTGATTAGTATGTCATCTATTCATTGGCAAAATGGAGTTTTAGTACTATTGCTGTTAATGAGGGTGGAAAGCTATTTAGATTCATTGGCATTAGGTTGCTTTTCATTGTAGAGATCTAAAGTATCAGATAATTATTTGAAGAGAGGCAGTTTTGAAGTTCAGAAAAATAGGTGTTATACACAATACACATGTACTCCATTCTTCCAAGGTACTTGCAGACAATGCCCACTAGACA
Organism: Homo sapiens; assembly: GCF_000001405.40. Lineage (NCBI taxonomy): Eukaryota > Metazoa > Chordata > Mammalia > Primates > Hominidae > Homo > Homo sapiens. Next base: position 10,988,071 of record NC_000009.12, read on the forward strand.
AAGATCTCTGAAGATACAACTAAATAGAAGAGTAAAGTATAGAAGTTTTATTTAATTTATTTGAATTTGTTTTTCTCACTTTTAGTCAACCACTGCCCCAGAGAGTCTGTGGAATGGAGTTCCTTCAAAGAAAGTTATGATTTTACAACAGTGCAACAAAGTTCTTATGGACATTCGTTGAAGTCCTTTTTTAAATGAGTTGTTCATTGATAAAAATCCAAATAAAGATGAAAGAATGTCATTTGAAATTTAGGAATTCAGAATAAAAGCAAACACAATTTCACGTATTGTTGAAGTGCAATATTTAAAGTATACATTTCATCAGTTTTGACATGTGTATGTACTTGAAAATTATTGCCATAAGCAAGATAAGAAATATTTCCATCACCTTTAGCAATTTTCTTATACCCTTTGTAATATGCTTCGTCCTTCACTCTCATTCATGGAAAACATTGACCTACTTTTAATATTTTTGTGACTTAGAATTATATTAATTGAAGTAGTAAGTACTTTTTGTTTTTATTTTTAACTGACTGTTCCTGCTGCCTACTGATTTTGAGATCCATCTATGTTATTATATGTATCATGTTATTAAATGTATTTTAGTGAGTAAAGGAAGATGAATAACTCTACAACTCACTTTAGCAGCCAAGAATAACCTTAACACTGAAACATGACAAGGACATTATGAAACAGGAAATGTGTGGAACAATACTTCTCATGAATATTGATGCAAAAATCTTTAACAAAATATCAGCAAACAAAGTGATTACCTCTGTAAAGAAAAAAAATTAAAAAAATTAGCAAACTGGTTGCAATATTATACAAAAGGGATAATACATCATGAACAAATAGGGATTTCTGTAGCCGAAACAACCCCATCAAAAAGTGAGCGAAGGATATGAACAGACACTTCTCAAAAGAAGACATTTATGCAGCTAAAAGACATATGAAAAAATGCTCATCATCACTGGCAATCAGAGAAATGGAAATCAAAACCACAATGAGATATCATCTCACACCAGTTAGAATGGCAATCATTAAAAAGTCAGGAAAAAACAGGTGCTGGAGAGGATGTGGAGAAATAGGAACGCTTTTACACTGTTGGTGGGACTGTAAACTAGTTCAACCATTGTGGAAGTCAGTGTGGCTATTCCTCAGGGATCTAGAACTAGAAATATCATTTGACCCAGCCATCCCATTACTGGGTATATACCCAAAGGATTATAAATCATGCTGCTATAAAGACACATGCACATGTATGTTTATTGCAGCACTATTTACAATAGCAAAGACTTGGAACCAACCCAAATGTCCAACAATGATAGACTGGATTAAGAAAATGTGGCACATATACACCATGGAATATTATGCAGCCATAAAAAAGGATGAGTTCATCCTTTGTAAGGACATGGATGAAGCTGGAAACCATCATTCTCAGCAAACTATCGCAAGGACAAAAAACCAAACACCGCATGTTCTCACTCATAGGTGGGAATTGAACAATGGGAACACATGGACACAGGAAGGGGAACATCACACACCGGGGCCTGTTGTGAGGTGAGGGGAGGGGGCAGGGATAGCATTAGGAGATATACCTAATGTTAAATGAAGAGTTAACGGGTGCAGCCCACCAACATCGCATATGTATACATATGTAACAAACCTGCATGTTGTGCACATGTACCCTAAAACTTAAAGTATAATTTTAAAAAATGCGAAAATACATCAATGTGCGTTAACATATTCACTGAACAAATGAGAAAAATCACAGGAACATTTGAAGAAATGCAGAAAAATTGAAAATATTTTATAATTGAAAGACATGAATTTTCATGTTGAAGTCACACAGTAAGTTTATAAAACAATGGAAAAAATTAGGTTCACCATAGTCCACATCACAGTAAAACGTCAGATCACTGGCTTTCAGCAAAATTCTAGGGAAATGAAATGTTTTAGGCCTCAAAATGGCTTTGGGCGTTTTGAATAGAATACTGAAAGCAGAAAGACAGTGGGCTAATAGCTATAAAATTCTGAAAAAAAAATCTGTTTTTTTCCCCATATAAAACATAAGCTCTATCTTGGCAGAAGTAAGAGAAGAAATGTTGAAGAGGCAGCAGTGGAAGCATGCCGAGGAGAAGGACATTATCAAATCTGCAAGTGAAGTTCAGGGCATGTGCAGAAGGAAGTGAAGAAATAGAGATGCGAATCCCATCTCTCTTTGAATTCAAATTCTTGAATCCTACAGCCGAGGAAAAAATGGACCTGATTAAAAATTCCTTAAGGAAAATTATTTTAACATAGAATTCTAAATCCATCCAAATGATCAATCAAATTTAGACTAGAATAAAGACACTCTTAGATATGCAAGAGCTTAAAATATTTATATCCTATTACCTGTACCAAAGAGGCCTTTGGAGAATACTTGCTGTCAAATGAGAAACTAGGACAAAGGAAGATTTGGAATATGGAAAATAAATAGATTGAACACAGAAGAGAATTACAGAGAATCAACATTATAATGGTAAAGAGAGATCCTAGGGTGAAATGTGTACCAGATATAGAAGTCAACCATTTTGGATTGAAACTGTGTGACACAAGATACAGATATTTTGAGGACTGACATCATATAACTTCTATGTTTTTACCAACCATTTATAGAACCAACAAAACTACTGTAAATTCTATTCCACAAAAATAAGGAATTAGCTCTTACATGGCTATAAACTTCAATCTTCATTTATGAAGGGGAAAAAAAACGAAAGTAGACTGGTAAAGGAGAAGTCTTGAGATTTAGGAATTAGGCAAACTTATCAGGGGAGCGAATGAGCATTACTATGTCCCCATATTTCCACATAATATACTGCATGCTTTCAAGGAGTAATTTTAGATAGTATTTGAATTATTACTTAAATAATAAAGGGCTTTCTAATTCTCCTCCCTAGAAGTAATCAATTTCTACTGTGGTAGCCACCAAAATTACCTTTAATATCATTTAATTTTGAAAATTGTAACCATGATTTAATTAAAATATATATTCATTTTAAAAAGAAATTTTAAATCTACCAGTCTGCATAAAAGTAGGGTTTTTTTCTAAATCACTTAAAAGCTGGACTTCAAGGCTTAAAAAGCCTCCTATAATTGTATTTCCTTCAGAATACCCATTCCTCCTCTAATTAAAAATCTTTAAGTATTGTTGAGACTAAAGTAATTCTTTCAGAAATTTTGCATTTTCAATTTTATGCTGCTATTTTGAGCCATAATACTCTTCTAAGTATTATCAAATTGTATTGGATAATCTGTGTTACTCCATGTGGTACTGGAATATGTATAGTCACACTTTAAATAAGGCACTTCCAAAAATTAATCCTACTATTTCTAGAATTGTTTTACCCTTGATAATGCTGTTTTTATATTTACTTTATTTTTCTGTTTTCTCTTCTCCATCTTTTTCTTTCTTCCTTTGCATCCTTTCCCTCAACTACATATTTCTTTTCTCTTGCTTTCTACTGCTTTTTTCCCCTTGTAATCTCTCATTCCTCTTCTCTTTGCCTTTTCTTCCTCTACTCTTGGGGTTTTTAACATGATCTCCGTGGGACCCCATGTATGGATGGGCTTCAGGCGATCCGAAGATATTCTGAAAGTGAGTGCAAGTTACTTATATTGAAAGTGGGTTACTTGTTGTGCTTGTTAAGTATCCCTAAAGTCCCAAAGAAGCAAGTGAATGACCAGAAAATTGTAAAGAAAACCCCAATCACCCCTCTCAAATTGCCCTTTTTGTTTGCCTCTAGTTTCCATCTACAGTCCTGTGCAAGGCAAACTACCAGGGAAGCGCTACGATGTTTCCTCTCATGTTCATTTCCAGACTTTCTTTTTCTACTTTCACTTGAAAAAGACGAAATGTTTTCCCTTAAGAAACTGCATTGTACTGGCAGGAAGGAATTAGTTCCCGTCAGTGCCATATCGGAGGAAAAAACAACAACCTGGGAACACAGTGCTGGAGAACCTGGCAGCTGATGATTCTCAGGAAGAGGAACTAGCAGGATGCTTCGCTTCTAAGCACCCCTTGCTGCATTCATGCATGAAAGATAAAACGTCTTCTGCTGTTTGCCAGTTGATTTTGAAGAAAAAAACAGATATCTTGCAACTTTTAACCCACTGCTGCAACGACAAATGCGAAAACCATTCTTCCACCACAAGTTTTCTGAAATAGACCAGAGTTATAAACATTTTTTTCCTCTCTCTCTTTGTTCATGGCATTTTCTATGCCTCAAGATTTTTCCTCAGCATATTCTGAATTTAATAGACTACTACTAATTCATTAAGAGACAACTTAAATGCAGCCTTTGGTATGAAACATTCCCTCATTTGAATGTACTCTAGCGTCACCTTTTTCTAGTCATATATACAATGAATTATCAAAGCTATGTGTGCCTTTTAGCAGAGGTGGTGTCTTATTCACCTTTATTTGTTCCAGTATCTATAAAAGCAGAAAGTTTGTAGGTAGGCAAATTATGTAGAATGATTGGATAAATGAATAAATGCATTTTAAGTTCAAAAGAGCAGTTATTTAAGTTGCAATACCCAAAATCAAAGCCAATTAATTCATTTTATAAGATGCTTATATGGTTTGGCTGTGTCCCCACCCAAATCTCAACTTGAATTGTATCTCTCAGAATTCCCATGTGTGGTGGGAGGTTACCAGGGGGAGGTAATTGAATCATGGGGGCCAGTCTTTCCTGTGCTATTCTTGTGATAGTAAGTCTCACCAGACCTGATGAGTTTATCAGGGGTTTTCGATTTTGCTTCTTGCTCATTTTCTCTTACCACCGCCATGTACAAAATGCCTTTCACCTCCTGCCATGTGAAACTGTAAGTCCAATTAAAACTATTTTGCTTCCCAGTCTCAGGTATGTCTTTATCAGCAGTGTGAAAATGGACTAATACAGTAAATTGGTAGTAGTAGAGTGGGGCATTGCTGAAAAGATACCCAAAAATATGGAAGCAACTTTGGAACTGGGTAACAGGCAGAGGTTGGAAAAATTTGTAGGGCTCAGAAGAAGACAGGAAAATGTGGGAAAGTTTGGAACTTCCTAGAGACTTGTTGAATGGCTTTGCCCAAAATGCTGACAGTGATATGGACAATAAGGTCCAGGATGAGGTGGTCTCAGATGAAGATGAGGAACTTGTTGGGAACTGGAGAAAAGGTGACTCTTATTATGTTTTCGCAAAGAGACTGGCAGCATTTTGTCCCTGCCGTAGAGATTTGTGGAACCTTGAACTTGAAAGAGGTGATTTAGGGTAAATGACAAAAGACATTTCTAAGCAGCAAAGCATTCAAGAAGTGACTTGGGTGCTGTTAAAGAGATTCAGTTTTATAAGAGAAACAGAGCATAAAAGTTTGGAAAATTTTCAGCCTGACTTGCAATAGAAAAGAAAAACCCATTTTCTGGGGAGAAATGCAAGCCACCTGAAGAAATTTGCATAAGCAGCAAGGAGCCTAGTGTTAATCCCAAAGACCGTGGGGAAAATGTCTCCAGGCCATGTCAGAGATATTCACAGCAGCCCCTCCCATCACAGGCCCAGAGGCCCAGGAAGAAAAAGTGGTTTCCTTGTCTGGGCCCAGGTTCCCTGTGCTGTGTGCAACCTAGGGACTTGGTGCCCTGTGCACCAGCTGCTCCAGCCATGGCTGAAAGGGGCCAACATACAGCTTGGGCTGTGGCTTCAGTGGCTGGAAGCCCCAAGCCTTGGCAGCTTCCATGTGATATTGAGCCTGCAACTTCACAGAAGTCAAGAATTGAGGTTTGGGAACCACTGCCTAGATTTCAGAAGATGTATGGAAATGTCTGGATGCCCAGGCAAAAGTTTGCTGCAGGAACAGGGCCCTGATGAAGAACCTCTGCTAGGGCAGTGTGGAAGGGAAACGGGGGGGGGGCGGGGGGGTGGAGCCCCTACACAGAGTCCCTACTGGGGCACTGTCTAGTGGAGCTGTAAGAAGAGGGCCATCGTCCAGCAAGCCCCAGAATGCTAAATCCACCAACAGCTTGCACTGTGAGCCTGGAAAAGCCACAGACACTCAATACCAGCTCGTGAAAGCAGCTGGAAGGGAGGCTGTACCTTGCAAAGTCACAGGGGTGGAGCAGCCGAAGAACATGGGAATCCACCTCTTGAATCAGCGTGATCTGGATGTGAGACCTGGAGTCAAAGGAGATAATTTGGGAGCTTTAAAATTTGACTGCCCCACTGGACTTCACACTTGCATGGGCCCTGTAACTCCTTTGTTTTGGCCAATTTCTCCCATTTGGAATGGCTGTATTTACCCAATACCTGTACCCCCATTGTATCTAGGAGGTAACTAACTTGCTTTTGATTTTACACGCCCATAGATGGAAGGAATTTGCCTTATCTCAGATGAGACACTGGACTGTGAACTTATGGGTTAATGCTGAAATGAGTTAAGACTTTGGGGGACTGTTGGAAAGGCATGATTGGTTTTGAAATGTGATGATTTGAGATTTGGAGAGGGCAGGGGTGGAATCATATGGTTTGGCTCTGTGTCCCCACCCAAATCTCAACTTGAATTGTATCTCCTAGAATTGCCATGTGTTGTATTGTGGAAGGGACCCAGGGGAAGGTAACTGAATCATGGGGGCCTGTCTTTCCCATGTTGATCTCATGATAGTGAATAAGTCTCACAGTATCTGATGGGTTTATCAGGGGTTTCTGCTTTTGCTTCTTGCTCATTTTCTCTTGCCATCATCCTGCAAGAAGTGCCTTTCCTCTCCCACCATATGGAACTGTAAGTCCAGTTAAATTTCTTTTTCTTCCCAGTCTCGGATATGTCTTTATCAGCAGTATGAAAACACATTAATACAGATGCATTATATGAATTGCCTGATATAGATCATAGATCAATCTATAAACATTGATTAGTGAAATGATATGCCAGATCACAGTAAGAGGTAGAAAACACACACACACACAGAGTATATTACATACTTCTAACAATCCTTCAATAAGGAAACTCATTTAACTTAATTTAGCATTTCCCACTATCATTTTTAGGACACCTACTATATTTTAATTTCCCCAAAAAAAAAATATTGTATAGAATCCATTAAGCCATTTTGGAAAATCATAGGCTAAATAATAAATATTTTATTTTGTTTTGCACTGTAGAGGCAAGATTGTGTGTGTGTGTGTGTGTGTGTGTGTGTGTGTAGAGAGGATCCTGAATATCACTTCATTATAATACCCATATTTTATTTAACAATGCAAAACACCACCTAGCCAACAATATATATTTTTAAAACTATAAAACCAAAAACCCACAACTATAAAACTCCACATGTAACTAAGACTTTCAGACAAATAAATGTATTATAAAGTTTTCCTGTAATTATTTGTATTTAAAATAGTTAATAGGGAGCAGCTGAGTCTTCTCTTCCATTCAAAATGTTTATTTTAACTCTAAGCAATTAAGTTGGAATGGTCAACAAATAAAGAGTAAAAGTAATTTAGAATAAGAGTGATATTTTTTCCATGATATTAGGGAAAATTAAATGTCCTTGAAACTACCATTAAACTGAATTTAATAACCTGATATACTAAACAGGAAAGGAGAAAAAAAGTGGTCTATATTAACATTACTAGACAGCTACAGAGTAATTCCACTGAAATTCACAATTGGTTGGGGGGAAATTGGAGAACTTTATCATAATATTTGAATTGGTTTTGTTAATTCAAAAAAGCAAAATACAAAGGTGAATTTTATTTGTAAGAATGCTGTGTAATGGAGTCAATCTGGAAAATATTAATAAATATATCACAAAATCACATACAGTAGAAAAAGGAGATGCTTTAACATTGGCCATTAGACTTTTCCCATCTATGTTTCACATTGCTTTCGGGGTTTGACCTTATGAGACTCTATCTGCTTTCTGCTGTGAGCTATGGGCAAACTGCTGGCAAGGCACTCTCCATGTTCATTTTGAAAAATCAACAATGACAATCTTTCCCCAGTCTGTCCCGTGCTCATTATCTATGTCTCCAAAACTAAACCGCTTAATACAATGTTCTCTCATGTTTAGACTTTTAGAAAGTATACATTAGCTATAGCCTAAGAATCATCCTTAGAAAAGATGTTTTTGCTTGCTGTATAGATGTTGCAGGCAAAAAATGTAATAGCCAATTGGGTAGTTCTGATTTCTGCATATTTTGAAAATGGGTATTGTAATACCATCTCTTTAGCCTGCAGTTTTTTAAAAAGAATAAAGGCTCTGAAATCTGACTTTGTTCACCTCTGAAGACTTTCATTTAAAAGCTGAGCACTTTAGAGAATTATTAAATTGTTCTGAGATGCAGTTGCCTCATTGCAAAAATCAAGCTCTTAATAACTTTTTCATAGTAGTACTCCTCAGGGAGTATACACATACATACATACGTACACATATATACAATACATACCATGGAATTGAGACTTAGAATGTGGTCATATGTTTCCATTCTCTTGCCTTTAAAAATCATTATAAGCTCATCTTTTTTGTAGGAGTCATTTGCTTTTCAATTCCCATAAACCAACTAGTCTACAGCCACAATTATTCTAAAAACATTCCACAGCCATTTAACCCTGCACACACACATAGAAACACATCTGAACTCACCAGGTGTGGTGGTTCATGACTGTAATCCCAGCACTTTGGAAGGCCGAGGCAGGTGGATCACAAGGTCAAGAGATCGCCACCATCCTGGCTAACATGGTGAAACCCCGTTTCTACTAAAAATACAAAAATTAGCCGGGCATGGTGGCGTGTGCCTGTAGTCCCAGCTACTTGAGAGGCTGAGGCAGGAGAATCAGTTGAACCTGGGAGACAGAGGTTGCAGTGAGCCGAGATCGTGCCACTGCACTCCAGTCTGGAGACAGAGCGAGACTCCATCTTAAAAAGCACACACACACACACACACCTGAACTCATACACATGCGTATTCATATAGTAATACAGAAAATACAAAGTTGTTTGTCTCATCTTCGGCAGTGTTAGATGTGGTTAGCAGTATGGACATTATAGACAGAAAAAATGACCATGTATTGTCACACGCTCTTAGCTAGAGCCTCAGGAAATGACTAAGAAATGACTGATCAATCAGAGAGGATGATGTTCAACCTAGAAAATCGCTAACACAGATCAGTGCAACCAGGAGGTAAGCAGTTTCTGGAAACTTGACACATTGAACTACTTAATTCAATGAAAACAAAGTAGAATTTGTTTAATAGAAACTTGGCTCATTCTACTGCCGTATGCTTCTAGACGAATGAATGATGTTCACTGAAATCTAGAAGATGACTATATTTTGGGCCACTTTTCTTTTCCCTAAGTAAAGTGACCTGTATAGAATAAGAAAATAAAAATTATAATTAAAATCACAATAATGCTATGACAGAGGTCCTAATTTCGGGGAAAGTTTAATAATTTTAGGAATATAAATTTGATGATTTCTTTTCCAGAAACATACCATTGAAAGACACATTAAATCTCTGAATATATATTTTCAGGATATGTAAGTATTTCATAATAGTAAAGCTTTTGTTATAGACAGCGCCCTGAGTAAAATGATACAGTCTGTTAATAATAATTTTTCAAAGAGGATTTTGTCATATACTGAGAATGCAAAGAACAAGTTAGGATTCATAATTCATTTTTGCATTTTTTATTAAATATATGCCGACACATTCAAGAAGTCTCATTTACTTAGATATTAAGAAGTATTTTAGAGTACATAAGTGGAAGAAAGACAATAGCACAATAATCTCATTCACTATGATGAAATATCAAGTGTACGTGGCATGGAAATTTTGTCTCGTAGGGGTAGAGAGGAATTAAAATTATCTTCATTTCTAGCCACAGCTGCAAAACAGAAGAGAATTTTATAAAGCAGAGCAAGCTTACAAATGCTTACATTGTTTATGCTTGCAAAATGTTGGAAAGAAAATAAATACAATTATATAATTTCAAAATTCATTATTCATCAAAGATTCTCATTTTTCACAAATCCAGAAAAAAATATCAGAATTAATGGAAGGGAAAATAATGCTTGAATACTATAAATACTGTTTTGTTTCTCAAATTCTGATACCTTTAGTAAAATACAATACCGAACTTTCAAAAAAATTATATATTTGACTACTTATGGCAAAGCTATTTCAAAGTTATTTTACATTTCAGACAAAATTTCATTTGTTTCTGCCTAAAACTGTACTGCTAAGGCCAATATTATAATGACTTGTCTGGGAAAACAAGATATTTGTAATAGACATTCAAGTATTTATTTTATGGTTATGCCATCAATATTTAAAATTGACAACAAGTAAATGTTGTATATCATTTACTTGTATATACAAGTAAATCTTGTATATCACCACTTTTAAGAGTGGTGATATTTTCATAATTATATAAATTAATTATGTTCTGTGCAACACTGAGTCAACACTATTCGTCTTAAATAAATCAGTTAATACCTCATGTAAAACTTTAAAGCACAGAATTATTTTATTTTTTATTTTTAAACAAATCTTATTTTAGACACAACATTGTTTTAATCTCATCGAGATTCTTAGTGTAGGTGCCATTAGCAAGTTTCCATCAGTTCAAATGTAGAACTTTTTATTGTGTTATTTTTTGTTGTTTGTGGTAGCACTCAAGAACTAGTAAGAGCATGAAGCTACAAAATATTGAGTATCATTGAAAATTTAATGTATGTAAACATTTATATATAAATTGTAATATACATGTAAGTTATGTGTATAAACATTTATCAAACTTATTTTAATGGTGTTTATTCAGAGTAAAAAGGTTGGGTAATGATAAAGTTGATTTTCACCTTTAAAAGAGTGAATGGAGATGTAAAGTGTGTGTATGTTTAGTGTCTACTTTTTTTAAAAAAGAGTAGAATGGAGATGACAACGTGTGTGTGTGTGCGCGTGTGTGTATGTTTTAGAAATCTTTGATGAAAGCAACATGATGTTATTATGATTAACTTAAGCACAAAATGAATGTTTTGAAAATCTGTGATATAGTCCCGAATAAAAAGAAAAAAGGGAAAACTGCTTTCTTAGAAACTGGAATTAGGGCTCCTCCAATGGACACTGTCACTAATGGGGACATACTTCAGACAACACTTGTTGAGGGTCTTCTATCATTTTTGTTTTTCTGGTGGTACTAAGCATCTGTTGCTTGCACATCTCCAAAAGAATTTTGGAGAAAAGTTTCAAGGATATTGTTTGATAATTAAAATGATTCCCTGTAAGTTTAATTGTGAAGGGTATAATTTTCAGCATATTATAAATACAGACTTTACAAAATATAACTTCTATATAATTGCTTTAAATGTAGTCAATAGGATCTAAATACCATGAAGATTTGATACCTACAACCTTCAGTCATGAACAGTCTATATTCCAAAAGAGGAGATATTTCCAAACTGTATCACCTACGAAATTATAACCTAATTAAAAATATATTTTGTTCTTGAAAGTCTTGTATTAAGGATGCCAACAGAATAGAAAGCTGGTTCAGTTCTTTCACCAGCACACAACTCTACTCCATTTGTTTATGTGTCCGCTAAACTTAGACTGTGCCATCTTCCCAATGAGAGTACCCTTTTCTTGAATCGAGCTTCATTCTCCGGAGAGCTGCTAAGTAGCAGGAAGTGGTGAAGACAGCAGGGCTGGCATTCAAAATGGTAAGGAAAGAGATAAGGAAGCTTCTTTATCTCTGATACAGAAGCAACAAGTAAAATGAGCACTCCAAGTTAAGTGTCAGCACTTTGCTGTGAGAGTGAATGCGTTCAAGTGCCTATGAAAGTCTTTTAAACAGCTGAGCTGGTTTATGTAATTCCATCAGTCAAAATTATTTGTGTTAAATTTTAACAACTAGTCACAGTTGAGAGACATCAAAGTTGGCTAATTGTTGAAAAGTGATGTTAAAAATCGGTCATCATGTCTATCAATGCTGATGACTTTATATATCCCTACCTTTGTCCTTGCTTTCATCTCCCTGTTCCTTTCTCTTAAGTAGTCAGTTTCCAATTTTCCTCTGATTGTTTACTCATACCTTGTTTCTCAGATGGTGTCTCTTAAAAAAAAATTTTAGGATCAAGATTTTCTTTGCATTCCCAACTAAACTTTAATCACCATGAATGCAAGTATAATGTCTATATTCACTCACTATTATATTCCCAGCACCCAGCAGAGGACATTCAATAACTATATAATAAGAGAATAAATAAAAAATATAAACATGTGGTGGCTGACACCTGTAATCCCAGCACTTTGGGAGACCAAGGTGAGTAGATCACTTGAGGTCAGGAGTTCGAGACAAGCCTGGCCAATATGGTGAAACCCTGTCTCTACCCAAAAATACAAAAAATTAGCATGGCATGGTGGCGTGTGCCTGTAGTCTCAGCTACTTGGGAGCCTGAGGTGGGAGAATTGCTTAAACCCTGGAGGTGGAGGTTGCAGTGAGCCGAGATCACACCACTGTACTCCAGCCTGGCAACAGAGTGAGACCCTGTCTCAAAAAAGAAAAAAAAAATTATGTATATATACACATGTAACCAAGAAGACCAGCATATGGTAATAGCTGGTGTAAAAAAAATGGCTAAACCCAATAGTGAAATAATAGCTTTGCCACTAATTCAAAGACTAAATTCAGAGATGTCATCCATCAAAGGAACACTATTTTCTGAAAATAGTGATAGGTATATTGAAAAGAGCTCTGCAGTTAAAGACATCTAGGAGATACTGAATACAATTTAATAAACAGAAAAAAGTAATGAACAAATGATGGATTAAATACAGAATATTGAATTTGCCCTATGTTTGATTCCTAGAAACCTGCTAATGAAAATGATTAAAATAATTCCAGATGAATTGTTAATGCCTGTTACATTTTCATATTATTTATCACCCCACATAATATATGCCTTCCAAATATGCTTATGGCAATTAACCCAAAGAATGAATAAAGTGGTAATCACATTTATCACAACAAGTTATGGGGGGAGAATTGTTTTTATACCATGCAGAACACTCCCTATCCACTGGTGATTGTCAAATATTGTGGTCTAAGAAGAGCACCATAGACAAAAATTCAAAAACACACAGAAGAAAAGGGAAAAAATACTTTGCTACTCTCTTGAATTATTCTTAGTGGGTCTTACTAACAAAACTACAAAAAGAAATGCAAACTTTACATATTATCTCAAAATGAATCTGTAAGGCAAAACTACAGCAATAACGGGAATGGTGCTAGGAAAGCTGGTGGAGTGTTTGTGAATGTGTGTGTGTGTTTGTGTGTTGTGCTTGTGTACCCAACTAAAACACAGCATCCTAAATATTTTCAAGTTTAAAATTCTAATTATTCATTATAAAAGCACAATACAATAAAAAAGAAGCCCTTCTTTAAACTCTGGCCAAGGTCCCTCTAGCAGAAGGATTCTAACAAGAATGAAGATAAAAAGATGTCTGTGAATTCTCAAAAATTCACTTGAAATTTATGTTGCATCCCCTCACCTTGCTCAGTAACCATGTTTTGTTAACACTGTTGAGCCTTGTTGACTCCTGGTGACTGGAATATGTTGTTAACTAAACTGCTGGAAGTTCTAGTGCTTGCAGCTAATGCATTCTCAGAACTGCACAGTATGAACACAGCAGGTGTAAAGTAAAAGCAATAATAAAAAATTGAACAGACTTTAAGTGCTATGATTATTACTGTAGGCCAGTTTTTATCTTCTATTTTAAAAGTATACTTCTTGGATTTCCTGTGTCTGAAAGTATTGATAGCCTCATATTTTCTTTCTTAGTGATGGGAATTAAATATCATATTTTTAAAAAGCAAGTAATATTTGAAAGGCTTGCCTATAGATGGTGAACTCCTAAATCTATGAATGAAATTATCTGAAGATTCTGAGAAAAATCCCTCAAATAATCTAACAACTGATTAAAAATTCAATACAGGAGTAGCTGTGACTTTTAACATCAGCTTTCCCCTAGGGAGCTTTTACCCATTGATCAATTTTGCATCTTTCTAAAGTCAAAGGAGGAAAAGAACTTGTTTTAGAGATAGAAACTCTGAGTAGCAGAAGCACTTTTCATTGGTAGTTGGAAAGTAGAATGATGAAAATCAAATTCTAATTTCAGCAATCCATTACCTATGCAAGATTGTGTTTTGAAATGAGGGTAAATGTATCTTTATTTCTACCTGTAGAGATATAGATATACTACCAGAAAACAAGATACACAGGTAGGCTTATCTGAATCTACCGTCAGATTATTTCATCTTACTTATTAAGAGCAAAAATACTATATTAATGGATTATTTTTGTCATCTTTTTCTCTTTAGTAACTTACAAGGTATGAAACATTCAAGAACTAGTAAGATATGCAAATCCTGTATGTACCTGAAGTGTTTTACAAGAGCATGTCCACACTGATGTTACACATTCATATTACTTTTAATAATTATTCATATTTTTCATAGTTTTACTTCCTGCATCTGATCCATCAGTGCACTCTGGCTGCTGTAACTCTAAAACATATTTAAAATTAAATCACTTCTCACCCTTCTATTGTTACTACTGTGGTCTGAGCTACCAGGCAACAGCCACCTAGCATGATCTGTCATTTCAATTACTGTCTCCTAATTGATCATTGTTCTTGCATAATTTTGGTGTGTTTTAACAGAGCATCCATAATGGTACCATTAGATCACATCAGCTCCATCCTCAAAATATTCCAGTGTTCCCTATCTGCTTTAGAGTAAAGGATAAGTCTTTACAATGATTTACAAGGCATTAAGCAGCCTCTCTCTTATGCCCCATTACATTTCTGATCTCATTTACTAAAATTATTTTTTTCAATCTCTGTGCTCCAGGCACACTCACCTCTTAGCTGTTTAAGCATGCCAGTCACACTCTTACCTCAAGACTTTCGCACTTGTTATTCATTCTGCCTAGAGTGTTCTTCCTCCTGATAACCATTTGGCTTTCTTTGGGTTGTCTCTCTCATATCATTTTCTAAGTTTAACCTCCCCTTCTTACTCTATTTGAAAACCCACCACTCCATTACTTTCTAATTCTCTTTATTTTTCTTGTTAGCACCTCTTAATATGTATTATTTATTTACCCAAATAGAACACAACTCCATGAGGGAAATTAGTTTCTTATGTTTTGTTCACTGTTTTATACCAGTGTTTAGTACAGTATATGAAACATAGAAAGTAGATGCTCAGTAAATATTCATTTAACATTTTTCCTAGATATGGGAAGCATTTTTTTTAAAATCATGGGATTTTAGAGATATGGAAATCTTAGATTTCCTGCTTCCAGCAATCTTATTTTACAGAGTGAATACTGAAGACCAAAGATGTCGTGTCCTTTCCAGAGTCAAGTAGTTAATTAAAGTCAGAATTTGGAGTAGAAGTTGGGATTTTTAAAATTATTATTGAAATGATTATATCCTTTACATCTCATTATTACCACTATGTGAATTATAAATTTGAGAGAGAAAATAAATTTAAGATATATAAGCATATAAAAGTAGTAGTCCTGAGAAATTATAAAATCTGAGTTATTGATACATAAAATTATTTATAATTACAATAGAAAAATAACTATAGCTCATAGAATATCACAAGTCAATTATAAATTAGAAACATCACAATGTGAGTGAAAAATATACAGCACAAGCACATATTATACTAAGAAACACTATAATTGAAAAACAAGGATCTCATTATACTCAACGCTGGTCAGGCCCTTATTAGAATAACATCTTCAATACTGAGCTCAGGAGCAAAATGGGGATGTGGTCACATTGAAGTGTGCTCAGTTGGGAGCTAGAAAGATAATTAAAGTGCTGGGAAATTGGGCCTTTGAGGATAGGTTAGAGTAACTCGGATTACTGAAACTGAATCAAAGGGGGTTGAGGGTAGATTGGATAATAGTTGCCAAGTGTAAAAATAGTCTTATTTTAAAGAAAGGAAGCCAGCTATCAGGTTCTCTATAGGGGAATAAGAAGGGGGTCAATGCTATTTCTCCGCAGGATAGTGAAATTAGGTCAAGTGTAACGAAACTTTTCCTTACATGGGAGAATTATTAAATGGGAAGACATTACTGAGAAAAGTATTTTCATATGGTAGTCTAAAATTTGCCATGGGTTCTCAATGTTTGAGATTGATTAAATCTCCCCCTTGATGAGGGCATGGATAAGGTAACAAAGCAAATTTTCTCCAGGTCATTACATGTCTGGTTCTCATTGATTGTTCCACTTCTTCTTGAAATAATGTTTGATTACAGTTTAATTGTAACCTCATTCTGTATAAGTATCTTCGTCCCTTTTTGCACTAATCAAATTTAATATTGCTGAATAATGTTGCAGGAAAATTTTTATGAGATTCTTACAATCACTAATACATCAAGGCCATTTATTAATAGCTAGACTCTTTCATGAAATATCTTCCTAAATTTCTTAACCCCCTCTTCTGACCCACATCCCTTTTGCTAAATTGCATTCTACATTCTTGCAGAAGAATTAATTCTTCCTAGCATAGATCTAGTCATGATAATTTTTCTTAAAAAAAAAGTTTGGTGTATATTAACTATTCGCATCTCTCTGTGGCCAGAGGAATAAAGGCCCTATGTATCTCTTGCACTTTAATCCTGGTGTAATGCATCATTTTATGTTGGACACCATTTTCCTGTGATAAACTGTCTTATACATTATACTGGCCTATTTTCTTTAATGAAATTTTATAGGCTGCATTTTAAAAAGACATAACTTAACCCACCTTATCATTGCTCATTCTTATTCCTTCTTTTATCAGTCACCTGCTCAACACTTAAAAATGCTGGCTTAGTCAATTCTTGCTGCTACAGCAAAATACCTAAGACTGGATAATTTATAAAGAACAGAACTTTATTTCTCACAGTTCTGGAGACTGGGAAGTTCAAGATCAAGACACTGGCAATTTATCTGGTGAGGACCTCTTTTCTGAGTTCTCATATAGCAGAAAACAAAAGGGCAAGCTAGCCTAAAATTGTGTGAAGTCTCTTTTCAACGGGCTTAATCCCATTAACAAGGGAGCAGCCCTTATAGGCCTAATCACTTCTTACAGGCCACACCTCTCAATACTATCACTTTGGCAATATCTAAATTTTGGAGGGGGCTACGTTTAAATCATAGCAAATGCCATACAGATGAGTATGCCCTCACAAAGACATCTCTGATTCTCTGGTTTGAGTGATTCCCACAGTTCTGTTGGAAGAAGTATGATTAACAGTATACTGTAACTTCTGGCTGCCAGTTGGCCTTAAGGGGGCAATTGCATATGTATTCTCTCATTTAGAATGAGAAATAATGCATCGTTAACAAATTTAAGATTTTTTTTTTCACAGGAACGATAGACCATTTTTTAAAAAGATTTTTCCATTTCCCCCTGTCCTAAATTTGTTTCATTTGTTTGACAGATTCCTAGCAAGGATTAATGGTAAATAGCATAATTTTGGTAGCAAAAATTCCCTTTTCAGTATTGATGTATTTAAATTTTTCATTATTTATTCATTATTTATGGTATATAGGTATATATACCATAAAATACACAAATATTCTAAAAAATGAGAAACAGTGGTTCAAAAATTATTAATTGTATTACTTAGAGATAAATCACTATAAAAATGTGAAATTTATATATATAAATAGAAAAATAGAGTGCATAATAATATTAACGCAACTTAAAATAAATGAGTTTTTACAACTTTGTTTTGACCAAAATGAGATGCTTTAGAAATGCTCTTTTGTAATCCTTTATCGCCAATGTTTATTGTATAGTGAACATCTTTACACAGCAAGTCCAAATTTATTCCAACAGCTGAATAGTATTCCACTGTTTAGGTGGAGGGCTGCCATGTATTATCATGCAGATTTTCCATTGATCAAGGGTCTGGGACTGAGTTTGTAGATAGAGACTAAAATCTAGCCCAAATTGCAGTCACCCAGCTCCATAACAATTTGTGCCTGACCAGAGGAACTGTCCGTTTCTAATTGACATGAATTTTCCATATGGGTTGTGGTGGTCCTGTAGTTTTAATTTACAAGTTTTATAAGCTCATAGTTTAAAATATCCAATAGCTCAACAAGGCTTATTTTCAAATATAGCAGTATCACTGCTCGAAACCCATCTCTAGTCCCCTTCCTCTTTTTATATTGAGACCTGTCTAGAGTTACATTAAAATTTTTTTCTAGCTATATTAAGGTATTTTTAACAAATAAAATATGTATACATTCAAGATGTACAATGTGATTATACGTATATATGTACACACACACACATTGTGAAATGGTAACCATAATCCAACTAACACATCCTTTACTACAGTTACCATTGTGTGGTGTGTGTATGTCTGTGTGTGTGTGTGTGTGTGTGTGTGTGTGTGATGAAAACACGTAAGATCTACTCTTTTACCAAATTTCAAGTAAACAGTATGGTAATGTACTGTACTGTAATATACAGTATAGTCACCAAGCTGTACATCACCGGAACTTATTTGTCTTATTACTGAAAGTCCTCCATAATTTTGGTACCTATTACCAATGTATTCAACTATTTTAGCTATTGCTTCTAAAATTTTCACAAAATTTATTAATAAGATATTTTTACTCCATATCTTAATTTTTCAGTTTCAGATATCATTCACTGAACTCCTGCTATGAGAAAAATGGGAATTTCCTTTCTTACAACCAACCACATCACTTCCAGCATGCCAAATGTATACAAACACAGTGCTCACAATAAAATTGGTAAAATATTTTTACTGAATTGGTATTTATTGTCCATGTGCTTATTATTGCATACATTGTATTCATTATCCAAATGATTGTATATATATATATGTATATGGGTATTATAATACTATTATTTTCTTTCAAATATTTTTATTTTTAATTTTTGTGGGTACACAGTATGTGTATATATTTATGTGACACGAGATATTTTGATACAGGCATACAATGGGTAATAATCACATCAGTGTAAATAGAATATCCATCACTTCAAACATTTATACTTTCTCTGTGTTACAAACAATCCAATTATACTCAGTTATTTTAAAATGTACAATATATTATTGTTGACTATACTCACTCTGCTGTGCTATTAAATAGTAGATCTTATTCATTCTATCTAATTATACTTTTGTACTCATTAAACATTCCTCATTCCCTCACCTCTCACTACCATTCACAGCCTCTGGTTACCATGATTGTACTCTCTATCTCCATGAGTACAATTGTTTTAAGGTTTAATTCCCACAATAAATGAGAGCATGTGAAGTTTGTCTTTCTGTGCAAGCTTATTTCACTTCACATAATGACCTCCAGTTCTATCCATGTTGTTGCAAATGACATTATCTCACTCTTTTTTATAGCTAAATGGTATTTTATTGTGTATATGTCCTGAAGGGTTTTGCCAATGTTTTCTTTAAGTAGTTTTATACTTTGAGATGTTAGATTTAAGTCTTTAATTCATTTTGATTAGATTTTCAAACAAGGCAAAAGATAGCTGCCTAGTTTTACTCTTCTGGATATGGATACTCAGTTTTCACAGCACCACCCATTGAAGAGACTATCTTTTGTCCTATGCATGTTCTTGTATCTTTGTCTAAATAAGTTCCTGTATATGTATGGATTTATATCTGAGTTCCCTGTCCTGCTTCTCTGATCTATGTGTTTGTTTTTATACCATGCTGTCTTGGTTACAATATCTCTGTAGTATAAAATCAGGTAATATGATTCCTAGTTTTGTTCTTTTGGCTCAGGATGGCTTTGACTATTGAGTCTTTTGTGCTTCCATATCTACTTTAGGGCTATTTTTTCTACTTCTGTGAAGAATGTTACTGGATTTTGATATGGATTGCATTGAATCTATAGATCTCTTTACATAGTATGGATATTTTAACAATATTGATTCTTCTAATCCATGAATATGGAATATCTTTACTCTTTTTGTGCCCTTTTAAATTTCTTGCATTAATGTTTTATAGTTTTTATTATAGAGATTTTTTACTTATTTGGTTGTTTATTCCTAAATATGTTGATTTTGTATCCTGCAACATTACTGAATTTGCTTATCAGATCAAACAGTTTTTTGGTCGAGTCTTAGGTTTTCCCAAATATAAGATTATATCTACACACAAAAATAATTTGAATTATCTCTTTTCCATTTGGATTCCCTTTATTTCTTTCTCTTGTCTGATTTCTCTAGCCAGGATTTCCAGTACCCTGTTGAATAACAGTCGTGAAAATGGGCAATCTTGTGTTCCATGTCTTAGAGGAAGAGCTTTCAGGTTTTCTCCATTCGGTATAATACTACATATGAGTCTGTCATATATGGCTTTTGTTGTGTTAAGGTATGTTCGTTCTATACCCAGCTTTTTAAGGGTTTTTATCATGAAGAAATGTTGAGTATTATCAAATGCTTTTTCTGCACCAGTTGAAAAGCTCATATATTTTTGTCTTTCTTTCTGTTGATATGATGCATCACATTGACTTGTGTATATTGAACCATCCTTGCATCCCTGGGTAAATCCACTTAGTCATGATGAACGATATTTTTAATGTGTTCTTGAATTTGGTTTGCTAGTATTTGTTGAAGATTTTTGCTCAATGTTCATTAGGAATTTTGGCCTGTGGTTTTCTTTTTTGATGTGTCTTTGTCTTGGTATCAGGGTAATTCTGGCCTCATAGAATGAGTTTGGAAGTATTCCCTCCTCCTCTATTTTTCAGAATAGTTTGATTAGGATTGATATTAATTCTCCTTTAAGTGTTTGATAAAATTCAGCAGTGAGGCTGCTGGGTCCAAGGCTTTTCTTTGCTGGGAGACTTTTTATTATGACTTTGATCTCATTACATGTTATTGGTCTGTTCAGGTTTTGGATTTCTTTGTGAGTCAATCTTGGTAGGTTGAATGTGTGTAGGAATTTATCTATTTCTTTTAGGTTTTCCAATTTCTTGTGTAGAGTTGCTCATAGTAGCCACTAATGATCTTTTCACTTTCTGCAGTATCAGTTGGAATGTCTCAATTTTCACCTCTGATTTTATTTATTTAGGTCTTCTCTCTTTTTTTCTTAGGTTAGACATTTGGCAATTTTGTTTGTCATTTCAAAAGACCAACTTTTTGTTTCATTGATCTTTTGTATTTTTTTATTTTAATTTTATTTCTCTCTGCTTTAATCTTTATTTCTTTTCCTACACTTATTTTGGATTTGGTTCACTCTTGCGCTTTTTTTATACATATTTTTAAAATTTTTAATTTCATTTTATTTTATTATTATTATTATTATTATTTTGAGATGGAGTCTTGCTCTGTCACCCAAGCTAGAGTGCAGTGGTGTGATCTTGGCTCACTGCAACCTCTGCCTCCTGGGTTCAAGCAATTCTCCTGTCTCAGCCTCCCGAGTAGCTTGGACTACAGGCACACACCACCATGCCCAGATAATTTTTGTATTTTTAGTAGAGACAAGGTTTCACTATGTTGGTCAGCCCGGTCTCAAACTCCTGACTTTAGGTAATCCACCCACTTCAGCCTCCCAAAGTGCTGGGATTACAGGCACGAGCCACCATGCCTGTCCTGCTTTCTGGTTTTTATGATGTATCATTAGGTTTCTTATTTGAAGTGTTTCTACCTTTTAGATTTAGGTGCTTATTGCTATAAACTTTCCTCTTAGTACTCCTTATGCTGTATCCAACAGGTTTTGGTATGCCATCATCTTTTTTTTTTTTTTTTTAGAGAAATTTTTCAACTTTTTTCTTAATTTTTTTATATCAACTCACTGGTCATTCAGGATCATATGATTTAATTTATTGTCTATGTATAGTTTCAATATTCATCTTGGTATTGATTTCCAGTTTTATTCCAGAATAAGTATCTTCTCTGTGTTCAGAGAAGATACTTGATATAATTTTAATTTTTTGAATATTTTAAGACTTGTTTTGTGGCCTTATATATGGTCTATCCCTGAGAATGATGCATGTGTTGAGGAGAAGAATGTGTATTCTGTAGCTGTTGGGTAAAATGTTCTGTATCTATTAGATCCATTTGGTCTATAGTGCAGATTATGTCTGATATTTTTTGTTAATTTTCTCTCTGGATAAACTCTCTAATGCTGAAAGTAGGATGTTGAAATCTCCAGCTCTTATTGTACTGAGGTCTATCTCTCGCTTTAGCTCTAACAACATTTGCTTTCTATATCTGGGTGCTCCAGTATTGGATACATGTATGTTTACAATTGTTATATCCTCTTGCTGAATTGACCCTTGTTCATTATATAATGACCTTCTTTGTGTCGTCTTATAGTTTTTGTCTTGAAATCCATTTTGTCTGGTATAAGAATAGCTACTCCTGCTTTTTTTTTTTTTTAATTTCCCTTGGCATGGAATATCTTTTACCATCCTTTTATTTTCAATCAAATGTGTCTTTCTAGGTGAAGTATATTTCTGGTAGGCAACAGATTGTTGGGACTTTTGTTTTTTATGTATTCAGCCACTCTATGTCTTTTGATGGGAAGAGTTTAGTTCATTTACATTCAAATTATTATTGATAAGTAAGGACTTACTCCTGCCTGTTTGTTTATTTGTTTTCAGATTGTTTTGTGGTCTTCTTTTCCTTCCTTCCTTCCTGTCCTCCTTTTAGTGAAAGTGATTTTCTTTGGTTGTCTTAATTTCTTTCTTTTTTTTGTATATATCTGTTATATGTTTTTAAATTTGAGGTTACCATGAGATTGCACATCACATTTTTAACCTATAATTATTTATTTTATTTTATTTCTAATTATCCAACTTTATTTTCCAACCACAGAGTCAAGAGATGCCACAGCCGCTAGGGCGAATGTACAACTTCTGCAGCTTTCAAAACCAGGCGGGAAGCTACATGACTGCACAAAAGACAAGACATGAGGTGCACAATTCAGGAAGAAATGGCTGGGTCTCTTCAACAATATTAGTTTAGAGCATTTTAAGGTAACACATACCCTAGTACTGCTTACAAGTCAAAGGAGAAAGGGCAAGGCATCCGTCATACATCACATCCCTTCGAACAGGGAAATGAGCATCAATTCTGTGCGAACAGCATCTTCGGATTACACATCAGCTTGTTTCACTTCGACTTCCATGGCAGCTGCAGCAGAAGCAGCCATGGTTCCACCACTTTCTGCCTCTGCTGCCTTTGTCTCAGCCCCACTTCCAGCCTCCACAGCCTCACTTCTGGCCTCGCGGCCCCCTACTCAGATGCTGTTACACAGAGCATCTGCTCTTCCAGCAGCTGTTCAGCTTGAGGATCACTACTGTTGTCGGCTGTATCCACGGGGCCTTCACAATCGCCTTGCTCTCCAGAGCAGTGCTCCTTTCCCATCTACAGCCCTCACTGCTGTTGTAATCTCCTGGGCCAAGATGTCTGCCGCCACCTCCTCAGGTGTCTCTTCTGTATCCTCACCTCCTAAATTGCCATCTCCTCCCATTTCTGTATCACCAGTTTCACTGGTGTAAGGGGCCTCACACCTGAGGTATCTGTCTGTTGTTCAAGAAACTCTTAGCCACATGGAGACTGGTTTTCTTGAACTGTTCAGCAGCTGGCCCAGTCTCATAGGAGGCCACCAAGGCAAGCAAAGGTGGCCTGGTGGCCAGGGCCACTTCCATGCACATGGCCTCTTATGGCCCAGAGCGGGGCACCTACAATTGCAACTCCCTCACTGCCAAGATCAACCAGCTTTTGGACATGATGTCCAAGGAAGAAGGCAGTGGGGGGAGCGGCCACGGTGGGGAGGGCATGCAGGACCAGGAGAGCTCCTTCCACTTGCAGACCTTGGAGTCCTGTGACTCCATGGCCTGCCTGCCAGAGCACAGCCCCTACTGCCCCAGCTACAGCTACGACTATGACTTCGACCTGGGGTTCCACCGCAATGGCAGCTTTCGGGGGCAGTACAGTGAATGTTGAGACCTGGCCCTGGAGTAGGGCTCCCTCAATGGCTTCATGCCGGGCGAGGCCAGGGCCATTTCCAGGACCAGAGCAATCCCGGCACCTTCATGTGCAACGACCCCTTCTAGCCACCCTCAGCCTCCCCTGATCCTCTATCTACGCCCTAGAAAGAGCTGAACTACGTGAGTGGATGGGGTCTGGAAAGGCCCTCTCCCCAGCCAATGGCCTCCTTGGCTCTTCTCCCCGTCCGTGGTTCCTGACTAAGGCTTGATGGGCATGCAGGAGGCGGGTGGCTATGACAGCGCTGGCCTTAAGGATGTGGTCACTCGCAGGGCCAGAAGCAGGATCAGGATCCACCCAGAAGGAGAGGGTTTGACCCGTTTGGGCTAGATGGCATGGGAAGGAAACAGAAGCAGTTCCAGAATTGTAAGGAGCCAGATGCCAAACTAGCCTGGGTTGACAGTGAAGTAGATTTCTCAGAAAATGATAACAAAGCTGGTGACTTCCACTCAGAAGATGAAGAATTCAAAGGTGAGGATGAATTCTGTGACTCTGGTAGGCAGAGAGAAGGACGACGAGGATGAGGAAGTGAAAAAGAGGAGGGAAAAATAAAGGAGGAGAGACAGGATGCAGTACTGAGCAGCCGGAAGGATTCAGTTGGCCTCTTCTGTGTGCAATTTCTGTAGATTTGAAGACGAAGAGATCCAGAAGCATCTGCAAAGCGAATTTCACAAAGAGACGCTGCAGTTTATAAGCACCAAGCTGCCCAACAAGACAATGGAATTCATCCGGGAATACATTATAAACAGGAATAAAAAAATTGAGAAGAAGCATCAGGAATTGATGGAGAAAGAAAGCACAAAACAAAAACCAGATCCTTTCAAAGAGATTGGCCAGGAGCACTTTAAGAAGATCCAGGCTGCTCACTGCCTGGCCTGCGCCGTGCTGATCCCAGCGCAGCCACAGCTTCTCCAGCCACACCTGCACTTCCTTGACCTCAATAACCTATTTTTTAAATTAATGGCAACTTAACATTGAATGCATAAACAAACAGGCAAAGTGAAAACTAATAAAAACTCTACACTGCAACTTCATCTCCCTGCTTTATAATTTTTTGTGGTTGTCTTATTATATGTCTTACTATACTATGTCTTGAAAATTTGTTGTATTTCTTACTTTTGATAGTTTCATCTATTAGTCTTTCTACTCAAGGTATGAGTAGTTTATGCACCAGAATTACAGTGTTATGATATTCTGTGTTTTTCTGTGTGCTCACTATTACAGGTGAATTTTGTGCAATATCTTCAGATGAGATGAATTATTATTGCTCATAAACATCATTTTATTTCAGATTGAAGAACTCCCTTGAGCATTTTTTGTAAAATAGGTCTGATGTTATAAAATCCCTCAGTTTTTCTTTGCCTGGGAAAGTCTTTATTGTTCCTTCATGTTTAAAGGATATTTTTATTGGATATTGCTGAGACCAGCTCTGTCGTGGAGACCCCAACCCAGTGACACTAGAGGAATTAAAGATACACACACAGAAATATTGCATGTGGAATGGGAAATCAGTGGTCTCACAGCCTTCAGAGCTGAGAGCCTTGAACAGAGATTTACCCACATATTTATCGACAGCAAGCCAGTGATAAGCATTGTTTTTATAGATTATAGATTAAATAAAAGTATTCCTTATGGGAAATAAAGGGATGGGCCAAAACAAAGGGATGGGTTTGGCTAGTTACCTGCAGCAGGAATATGTCCTTAAGGTGCAGATCACTCATGCTATTGTTTGTGGTTCAGGAATGCCTTTAAGCAGTTTTCTGCCCTGGGTGGGCCAGTTATTCCTTGCCCTCATTCTGGTAAACCCACAACCTTCCAGCATGGGCATCATGGCCATCATGAACATATCACAGTGCTGCAGAGATTTTGTTTATGGCCAGTTTTGGGGCCAGTTTATGGCCAGATTTGGGGGCCTGTTCCCAACAGATATACTATTCTAGGATAATTTTTTTCCAACGCTATGTGTATGTCATGCCATTCTCTACTGGCCTGTAAGCTTTCCACTGGGAAGTCTGCTGCCAGACATATTGAAGATCTTTGTATGTTACTTGTTTCTTTTATTTTGCTGCTTTTAGGATCATTTCTTTATCCTTGACCTTTGGAAATTTGATTATTGAATGTCTCAAGGTGGTCTTCTTTGGGTGAAATCCACTTGATGTTCTATAACTTTCGTGTGCTTGGATATTGATATATTTCTCCAGGTTTGAGAAGTTCTCTGTTATTATCCCTTTGAATAAACTTTCTACCCCAATCACTCTCTCTACCTTCTTTTTTCTTTTCTTTTTTTTTTTTTTTTTTTTTTTTTGATGGAGTTTTGCTCTTGTTGCCCTGGCTAGAGTGCAATGGCGTGATTTTGGCTCACTTCCACCTCCTCCTCCCAGGTTCAAGCAACTCTCCTGCCTCAGCCTCCTGAGTAGCTGGGATTACAGACATTTGTCACCATGGCCAGCTAATATTTTTGTATTTTTAGTAGAGATGGGGTTTCCTCATGTTGATCAGGCTGGTCTTGAACTCCTGATCTCAGGTAATCCACCTACCTCAGCTTCCCAAAGTGCTAGGATTACAGGCATGAGCCACCCTGCCTGGCCTACCTTCTCTTTAAGGTCAATAACTCTTAGATTTACCCCTTGGAGGCTATTTTCTGGATCTTGTAGATCTGGTTCATTCTTTTGTATTCTTTTTTCTTTTCTCTCCTTTGACTATGTGTTTTTAAATAGCCTGTCTTCAAACTCCTTAATTCTTTCTTACACCTGATCACTTTTACTGTTAAGAGACTCTAATGCATTTTTATGTATGCAGTTGCATTTCTCAGCTCCAGAGTTTCTTCTTGATTTCAAAAAGTATTTCAATCTCTGTTAAATTTCTGTAATAGGATTCTGAATTCCTTCTCTGTCTTATCTTGACTTTCACTGAGCTCTTCCATAGAGATATTTTTAATCTACTCTCTGCAAGGTTACATATTTCTGCCTCTCTGGGATTGGTCACTAGTGCCTTAGGTAGTTCATTTGGTGAGGTCACATTTTCCTTGATTGTCTTGATACTTATGGATATTTTTCAGTGTCTTGGAACTGAAGAGCTAGATATTTCTTGTAGTCTTCACAGTCTGGGCTTCTTTGTACCTGTTTCTATTGGGAAGGCTTTCCAAATATTCAAAGGTACTTGGTTGCTGTGATCTAAGTCTTTTGTCACTGCACTGTATCTGCATTAGAGGGCATCCCAAGCCCAGTAATACACTAGTTCTTGGAGGCTCATAGAGGTAGCACCGTGGTGCTCTTGGGTCAGATTTGGGATAATTCTCTGGATTACCAGTCAGAGATCCTTGTTCTCTTCCCTTACTTTCTCCCAAATGGAATCTTTATTACTGTGCTGAGCTGCCTGAGGGGTGACAATAGCACCCCTGTGAGCATCACCACTGGGACTGCACTGAGTCTGACCCAAAGCCAGCACAGTACTGAGTCTCACCCAGGGCCTGCAGTGACCACTACCTATTTACCACCTATGTTTTCTCAATGTCCAAGGGCTCCACAATCAGTAGGTGGCAAATCTGGTCAGGCTTCTCCTCTTCCATTCAGAGAGGTGAGTTATCCCAGTCCCTGGGTAGGTCTAGAAATGGTGCGCAGTAGTCAGGTCCTGGAGTTGGGAACCTAGGAATCTACTTGGTGCTCTAGCTAATGTGGCACCCAAGCTGCAAGATTTTTCCAACTTTTCCTCCCCTTTCCTCAAGTAGAGAAGACTCTCTCTGTGGCCATCACTGCCACAGGCCTGCAGCAAATACTGCCTGGCTAGTGCTGATGTTCAATCATGGCCCAAGGGTTCTTCAGTTCACTTGTGGTGAATACTGACAGGCCTGCGTCTCTTGCTTCAGGGCAGTGGGCTCCCTTCTGGCCTAGGGCAGGTCCAGAAATACCATGCAGGAGCCAAGGTCTGGAATCAGGGACAGCAGAATCCCACTTGTGGCTGAGCTGGCTCCCAAGCTGCAAGAAAAAGTCCCCTTTACTCTTCCCTCTCCTTTCCTCAAGCAGGAGTCTCTCCCCATAGCCACCACAGATGGAAATGTGCTGAGTCACACCTGAAGCCAGCATGGCTCTGAGTCTCGCCCAAGGCCCATGGTAATACTGCCTGGCTATCGCTGCTAGTTATTCATGACCCAAGGGCTCTTTACTCAGCAGGTGATGAATCCTGTCAGGAATGTATCCTTCCTTCCCTTCAAGGCAGCAGGTTCTCTTCTGGCTCAGGGTGTGTCTAGAGATGTCATCCAGGAGCTAGGGCCTGGAAAGGGGGCCTCAGAACTCTGCCTGGTGATTTCTTCTGTGGCTAAGCTAGTATTCCATTCACAAGACAATTCCTATTTACTCTTCTCTCTCCTCTCCTCATGTGGAAGGAAGGAGTCTCTCCTGGATCTGCAAGCTGTACTGTCTTGGGTTGGAGAAGGGGTGATGTAAGCACTCTTTTAGCCACCTCAGTTGATGTCTCACTAGATTGCATGCACCCCAAATTTACTGGCTCCAAGTTCAGCACAGCACCAGGACTTGCCCAGGAATGCTATTCTTTGTGGCTGAAACTGCCATCCAAGTTCATTTAGAACCCCAGAGCCCTTTAGCCTGTAGTGATGTGGCTTGCTGGAACTCAAATTCCTACTGCTGGGGCTGGCCTAAATAATCCCTCCATGGGCGCTGACTGAGTCCTGCCCCTTCTTGCTTTCTGCTGTGACAGGGCAGCACTGAGTTCCAATGCAATATTCCACAATCACTGTGCTCTCCCTCCTGCAAGCACACAGATTTTCTCTCCGCATCACGTGGCTGCTGCTGGGAGGTGGAGAGGGGTAGTGTAGGTGATTTAAGATTGTCTCTTTTTTAGCCTCTTTCCTTAATATGATGTTAAAACCAGGTACTGTGATTGCTTGCCTGATTTTTGGTTCTTACGAAGGTGCTTCTTTGTGTGGATAGTTGTTCAATCTGGTGTTCCTGTTTGGGGGAAGATTGCTGGAGTATTCTGTTCAGCCATCTTGTTTTGCCTCACTCTTCTCTGTTTTCTATTTTTATATATTTTTTGTTGTAAAGGCACTTAACAATTATTTTGTTTCCTTATTTTCTTATAGGGGATTAAATATTACTTCCCATTAATTCATCTCATACCTCTTCTCCAGAACTATAATTATAGTTTCATTATGTCCATACATTATGTAATTCATTGGTTTAATTTTGTTCTTCGATAAATACTTCTTGAGGCCCTCTCCTTTTCTTCTCTAATCTGAAGTTTATTCTCGAATTCTGTGGGATAGCTTATGTCTTGTCACTTTGGGATTGACATTTAACTTCATCCTAGCAATTCCTATCAACTCCTTCCTGCATTGAACCCCTCCCCCCTTTTTTGTTTTCATTTCTTCTTTACTCTTAATTTATGGCTTTAATTTTAATGGGCTATATCTTATAGTAGCACATTGGAAATTATTTGAAGAAAAGTAAATTTCTTGAGGATTTGTGTGCCTGTTAAAAAAATAATTGTGACAACAACTTTCTGAGAACTTCTTAGATGCCATACTCTACTCTTTGCATTTTATGTGTGTTTACTTATTTAATCCTCAAAACAACCCAGTAAGAGAATTAATTATTGATTTCCTGGGAAAAATAAAAACTTAAGAAATTGAAATTTAAGCCCCAACATATGTAGAAGCTTGCTGTTCCAGAATTAAAACCCCTGAAATCTGACTCTAAAGTTTGTGTTTTAGCCCTACAGTATGCAAACACCCAACAGCATTATTCTACCATCACATGTGATAAGTAATTATATTTGATGCAGAATTCTAGCTTCCAGTGTCACTGACATATTGTTTCTCTTTTTATTATTATTTCTTCTGAAATTCCTATTGTTTATGTATTGTGTGTGGGTCATCTGGTTTTGTCATCTCTTCACATGTTTTTTTCCATTTCTGTTCTGAGAAGTTTTGTAACTTTATTTTCCAACACTTTACTATTGAGTTTTTAATTTTTTCTAATATATTTTAAATTTCAAATATTTTTTCTTTTTCTTAATCCCTTTTTCTATATTTATAAACAGTATCTTTTTGTCTTTTATATATATATTAACTGCAGATGTTCTCTGTTTGATAATCTTGCTGAGCTTTTTCTTGGGGAAATTCAACTGTCAAACTCTCTCACTTTCTCTAGAGAGGAATTATTTATCATGCTGCCTGAAGACTGCAAACCCAGTAGCCAATGTTCTCACAGCTGAGTGGAGGAGGTGGTTTTACTACTCTCTATATAGATTTCCACAGATGCCCACCTTTCCACATAGTATTTTCATCCTCAGCTATGCTTGGGTCCCCAAGTCTAAAGCAATGTCTGACTTAACCTCTTTAGACAACTGACCTTCAGTTTAAAGCAGATGATTATTCCTTACACAGATTTCCAAACAATCCTCCTTTTTATCAGCCCAACATACACCCAACTATCAGAAGTGCCTCCAATTTATGCAGTTCTGTGATTCAAATGTGTTTTTGCTGGGTTCTACGCATGGTTGCATTAGAATGCACTTTCTTCTAGTTCTAATCAGTTATCATGTGTTCATTTATTTTTGGTTTTCTTTCTTTTTTCTTTCTTTCTTTCTTTTTTTTTTTTTTTAGAGACAGTCTCACTCTGTTGCCCAGGCTGGAGTGCAGTGGCATGATCTCGGCTCACTTCAAACTCTGCCTCCCAGGTTGAAGTGATTCTCCTGCCTCAGCTTCCAGAGTAGCTGGGATTACAGGTGCCTGCCACCACATCCAGCTAATTTTTGTTTTTTTAGGAGAGATGGGGTTTCACCATGTTGGTCAGGCTGGTCTTGAACTCCTGACCTCAGGTGATCCTCCCACCTCGGCCTCCCAAAGTGCTGGGATTACAGGCATGAGCCACTGCACCCAGCCTGTTTTCAGTTTTCTAAAATATATCGCTGTTTCTCCTATTCCATTTTTGATTTTATGGTGTATAAACTTTTATCTCTTTTCTGATATTTTAGTGTGATTTCAGCAGGAAGCAGATGTTTCTCAGAAGTTCTCAGAATAATCATTTGAAAGTGGAAAGTAGTATGTATGTAAAGGATCTGGCTAGCGAGGCCTTATTGCATCCATGTAGGCCCAAGATGTAAGAAAATAAAGATCATGAAGAAATTACTTGACTCCTAATTTTATGACCACTCTCCTCTCATTCCACAAATGTACTTCAATTTGAAGGACAGCCTTGTTCACAAACAAAGGTGAGTTATAGAATACTTCTGTTTACCCATTAATTATCTGTTTACATGAAATACTTCACTTGCAAAGTTCCAAAAGTACAGAAAATTCTTTCTTCCTTCAGTAGATTTTATATAGTATGTGTGTGTAATGTGTAACGTGAATTGTATATAACAGAGGTGGAGGATAAACTTCACCAATTAAACCATTTTTCACACTTCACCAACAATGTGTTGAGATGAAAAGCTTACAATGTAGAAAATGTTAAGACCAGCAATATTCTTCTCCATCTACAATTTCAATGGCAGGTGGTTGTTTTGACATTGTCTGTGTCATTTTCTTTCTTACGTGGTAGAATATGCCATCATTTTAAGTATCAATATATGTTATTGCTTATACAAAACAATCAGGGGATAGAAAATGATTCTAAAATAAGCATATTTTCAAGAAAAAGGCAATAAACTCAAAGGTAGCAGGAAAAATTTTAAAGGTGAGAGGAGAACAAGAGAGAAAAATAATCATCAAATTTTTTGAACTGTTAGAACACAAGTCAAGATATCTGGGCTGGCAGGAGGGGGACTTTGAGAAGAATGAATTGTTAATAGGAAACTTACATAAGCATATGATTTAGAAGGAAAAATTTTCAAATTTTGCACAAAGAGATGATTATGACAGTATTTCAAGCAAGCATTTGAGTTTATGAAAATGAGTTTTTAAATGTATAGTCGTATTATACAAAACATCATTGCTAATCTGTTTTGCTTAAGATAGTGCCATCGAATACCAACAAATTTTTAAATATTTTTGAAAACTGAAATTTGAGATTCCAAACTTTCAATATTACAGGAGATAAGTATAAGTGGGGGTTCATTGTTATCTCTAAACTTAGAAAGAATATATGGCTTCTATATTTTGATAGAATATTTGACTTACATGTACCCAGACCTGATTTCTTGAAAAGTTAGATATGGTTGATGCTCTGTCCTCCTAAAAGAAAAATAAGCTTTCCAATATTACTAATTGGAAACATGTATTTTGAAATCACTGAAAATAACAGCATTTGAAAACTTACCCATGCTATGGGTTAAATTTTTAAAAATGCTACAGCAGTAAATTAATTTGGAGAATTTTTTAAGTACATAAAAAGTGAAAAGAATTCACATCTTCCTCCATACTATGCCACATCTCCTGCACAAGAAGTAAATATATTCCTCTCACTCACTACAGTTCTTGGAGAATAACAAAGGCATAGAGAAAGTTATGACCATGTTTTTTAAGAATAGGATATAATAAACATTAATCATTAATTATAGATTCTTCTTCCATGTGAAATTTAGGGTGATACCTCACTTTTGAATTTCTTTCACGTTTATGTTTCAGTAGGAATGTCTTAGATTTAATACAGAGAGACTAGGCTTCAGGGTAGGAGCCATATCTTTCTCCTTAATTTCTTTGCCTCTGTATTTTAATTTAATATCTGTTTGTCTTACTCAGTACATGTTTATTGAATGATTTTAAGGATGAATGAAGAAATAAGTAAATGCAAAAAATATCCTCAGCCAAAACACGAATATTCTCACCAAAGTACAATTATTATTTTATATTATTTATTGAGTATGGCTCTACTCTCACTATATACAAATGGTGACTTAGCCTTCCTTCCTACTTTAATAATGTATTTGACATTTAAAGATTCTCATGAATTTCAAATACACTTTGTTATTTTAAAGACTATAACCAAAATAGTTATTTTCTTGAAGTGTTTAACCTTATTTGTACATATTTTAATTCTTGAAACATAAAATATTTGACAAACAATTTTATTAAATCATTACAACTCGATACCTTTTCGAATCAAAGACAGAAACTTACAAAATGCAATGACAGCTATTAGGCCAATGATTCTCAAATGTGAGGTAGCGCAGAAATCAACTGGGGAGCAGGTTAAAAGTCCAAATTACCAAGCTCTTCTGCCAGAGATTTTGGCTCGTCTGCCATCAAGTTTTATAGTTGACTTCTGATGCAGTTGGTATAGGATCTTATTTTGAAATACACTGTACTACAGTGTAATTTACATGATTGCAGGTATTGTGCCATGGTTTGGTTCTTCCAAGAGCTGATCTGATAGGATTCTAGTGATAGAACTTTATTTGTGGAGTGCACTTTATATGAATAAACAAAAAAGAGAGGGATGCAATAGAGGAAAGGGTTAGACCTAATAAAAGGTGGACTATTAAGATATTTTCCACAGTGGCCAACTGAAGCCTAAACCCTGAGGAGTTTCTGATAAATGTCACCATACACATGCCTCAATATTATTTCACCAACAGGGAAAGAGAACTTGGGTATTTATATCCCAACTCCTAAGACTCATTGGTAAAGGCAAAACCCAAGTTAAATGTAAAATCCAAGAGATATTAATTTCTCATCATTTTCAATCTGCTTGGGGAGTTTAGCAGGGCTATCTGCAGTTTGTGCACAATCGATCTTCATCACAAGTGCAGACTGGCAAGGGGAAGTCACATAGAGTACATAGTAATAATGTCCATAATACCTGAACAACATGGATCAGATACTGACATTGTCTACCAGAGATTGGGTCTGTATATTTATATCTCCCTCTTTTGTGCCTAGAATACAGTAGGCAATAAATATTTTTAATATATAATGAACGAATGAAAGAAAAATCAAACCACTAGTAAGTGAAGGATTCACATTCTGTTCAAATAAAATGGGAACAGTGATTAAGGCAAAATGAAAAGCTCTGATAGCCAGGGAGCTGACAGTCATGCACCTTAAAATACTTTTTTCTCTTATGTGATTTGTCATCATCTTAGTAGGCACTATAGAATTCTCTGTTTTGGGTTGGCACCTTCTCCTCTCACTCATCACCTTCAGAGATATTTTCTCTAGAACTACTCCCAATAGGATGATGCAACAGACTTTAATGGAAAGCTTCATGTTACTACACAAATGTTGGCTCCTAGTGAATATCCTTCTGCCCTCCTCATTAAATATTAATTTATTTCATCTGTTTTGTCTAATCTTAATGTTTCTATAACAGCATTATTTTAAATAATCAAAAGAGCAAATAGGAAATACATCTGAAAATTTCACACTTAGAAAACAGCGCAAATAAATCTGTATCTAATTTTTTCAGTCACATGTGCATACTTTAAGACACACACTCACACAAATGTATGTATCCTTGAGTAGGGCACGTGACATGAAATCCCTTGAAATTGTTGATGCAGATAGAAAGTGGGATGGCCTTACAGAATCTCTGTCTTATCACCATGTCTCATATTTCTCATCATATCTAAAGGAATCAAGGGCACACTCTTGGAAGCTGAAAAAACTCAATATTCCAAATATCTGACTCATATTCTGCTTGGGACTTACAGGGCTTGGGGATGTATAAGCAAATAATCATGTACTCCTAAATTAAAATTCTTTCACAAGAATGTGGGAAATATTCATTTCCACACTCATACCAGTTACTTAGTTAAATGCAAGGGTTATGACTGGAAGGCTTAAAAATATCAATGAGGTAACACAGAGGTGTCAATTAGTCTAGGTGCATATTGGTGCATGGCAAATGAAAAAAAGAAGGGAGAAGTAAAGTCTTCGAATGGGACAGTATACATCTTGCATAAAGTTATTCAAATAAAGGAAATATAAAGTATGTATAAACACACAAACACACACACGCGCGCGCACACACACACACACACACACACACACACGTCTTTTGAAGGCCAAATAAAACTTTTCAAAAACAAAGTTGCAATATTTAATTTAGGGCAAAGAGTTTTCTTCCTTAAATGAAGTAGTTTTCTAATTTTAATTTCAGATGATGTCCTTAAAGTGTAGTAATTCACAGCCATTTTAAATTTTCTATTCTGTCATATAATTCTTCCTGCCATTTGTTGGAATGTTTTAAAGAATGTTTGTGCATTTGGACAAAATCCAGAGCTGTAAAGTTGCCTAAATGAATTACTTGTTATCTAAATATTAAGCAGCGAAACAGAAACTGCTTAATAGGACCTTACATTCCAGTGAGCAGGGTAAGGAAAAGTCATAACGGATTCTCCAGTTTGTGGTCAGGCTTATTTGGAATGTAGCATAGGTGAGAGTGGACATCCAAAGGGCATTCCTTAGGTGTCTTTTGGAATAAGTATTATGCATGGATCTAATCAAATTCTAGCACCCCTTTCTTGGCAATATGATCTTTGCAAATTACTTAAACTGCTTTAGTAAGTTGCTTAAATTGCTTTGGTCAAGTATTGTGGAGATCAGTGGATATTATTTAAAGTACTTGGCACAATGCACAACACATAGTAAGCACTAAATAAACTTTGCTTTCTGTTATTTTATTATTAACATTATTATTATGCCTGCCCCAAGACCAGTGGCACAGAATACACAGGCAACATTTAAAGAACACTTGGGAAAAGATAGAAATAATAGTAGTAGCTGACATCTATTCAAAGATCACAATGTCTCAAGAACTGTCCAAAATGCATGAACTCATCTAATTCTTTTATCTATCCTATTTCATTTCCAATTGTACAGAAGAATCTGAGCCTCTGAGAAATGAAGCCTCTTGCTCTAGGTCAGGTAGGTAGGAATGGCAGGGCTGGCATTTAAACCCACAGAGTCTAGGGTTAGAGTCAGGCTCTTAACTAATATCCTATACTATCTCTTGATAACAAGAAAACAGTCATTCCAGATAGGAACCACGTGGATTAAAACGCCATTTAGGGCACATAGAAAAGGAATAGCAAAAATGAATGAAAACAGAGGAGAACAGATTTATTTTCCTTAGCTACATCTGGCTCACAGTTTACACCTATAAAGAATGAAACAGGAACCAGAAATTAAATACTAGAACTGTGCTATATCAAAAGCATAAGTGTTATATCAAAAGCATAATGCTATGTTAATGAGGGTATACTTTGTTTATGACTAAATAACCTGTATAGTTAGCTGCATAAAGCATGTTATTGGGTATGTTCTGCCACTATCGATTTGTCTTTTTTTGTTTCGTTTTCCTTTATTTCTATAATGTCCTAAGTTAAAAATTTTCCTAAGTTAAAAAATTATTCCTATATTGATTTAATAACATACTATATTGAACAGCACCTGACAATTACAGTCATTATTCTGATGTTCCACTAGAGGAATAATATTTCTTATTTATAGTATGTAACATTATATTACTCAGCGTGGGGTTTATTTACATTCATGTGTATGTATTTCCCCAAGGTTATTCTGCCCTTCTTTGTCCTACGTATCATTTTCTTCAAGAGAAAACAATTTTATACACGCAGTTGTATGTACACACACACACACACACACACACAGAGAGAGAGAGAGAGGTCAAGCACACATAAAACCCAAGAGAGAAGTCAAGCACACATAAAACCCAATCTAAAACAAAACACATTTAGGGAGTATTTTTTGTTTCTCTTATTAGTAGCGTTCAGTTGTACTTTGTATCCACAAAGTTAAATTATTAGCCTAATATTGTGAATTCTTTTCTTATAAAAAAACCACAGCAAAACTTACATTATATAATAACATTTAACCAATTTCTTTATATTTACTAACAACCACTTTGAATACATTGTGAAAAAATATATAGATTCCATCGAATATGGAAATTTGGTCCCAGAACATTTAGTGACTTGACCAATGGCACTGAGGAAATCGGGCTAAAACAGGATGCAGTCCAAGTCCTCAGATGCCTGGCCTACTTCTTCTCGTCTTCCCAGGACAACAGACACAGAAGGAGCAAAGCCGTGCATTGCCAGACCAGTCCATGAATGCTTGAAGCAAAACATGCTTTTGTGGCACCACAAACGTTCTTAAAGCAGTTTTACCCACACTAAAATGAAAAACAAAAGGAACATGGGCTCTAGTCCCAAGAGAGCCATGTTTTCTAATGTTTCCATTAGAAATAAACTCTGCATTTGACTCCCTAAAGCAACATTATTATGAACATGATTTTATGTGGATAAATTACTACTGTATTTCAGCTGCACTGTGGGTTAAATAGGCTTTTGTGGGCTACACTATAGATATTATAACCTCATATACAGCTGCTACTATAGAAAAATGAATTCTGAGTCCAAGCTAAATTTTTTTAAAATCATTAACATTGAAAATATGCCCTAGTAAAATTGTTTTACTTTCACAAGACTGAAGATTTAACTGTTACTGCTTTGGGGCAGAAATGATATTTTATTCCCATATGCGTTCCATAGGGGTATTTATTCCCACAATTTACCTATTGAAGTATCTTCCCAATAAGTAGCTTGAAATACATAAAAACTCCAATATTTGACCATTTTGAGCTGTAAAAGTAGCAATTCCATATAGTATAATCTAATACATAAATATACAGTAGCTTAACTCTCTATTGCTGACATTTCAAGTCTTTTCTCTATTTCCCATTACACAACGGCAACACCTAACCATACGCACTCATATTATCCCATTGTGAACATTTTGACTAATTGTATTTATATTTAAACACTATTTATTTAGCATCTCCTATATTCCAGCCACATTCTATGTGTTTTGTGTGATAAAAGTAATACAAATTTATTGTTGACATTGCACAAAATGTAGAAAGATAGCAATAATAAATGTCATGAGTAATTGCAAAAATACACTAAGAATTTTGGAATCAGTTACTTGTTTTAAAAATATATAAAAATAGGATCACTATATGTATGCAGTTATAATTTTTAGATGTCTATATTGTGTACATTTAACTGACACACTGTCTTTCCTATGTCATAAAGTGTTTTTGGTGTACAGACATTCCAATGCCTGATAGCACTGCATGGTATGGCTCTACCCACATCATCTGTATTAGGCCACTCTTGCCTTGCTATAAATAAATGCCTGAGACTGGGTAATTTGTTTTTAAAGAGGTTTATTTGGCTCACAGTCCTGCCAGCTATATAGCAAGCATAGTGCCAGCATCTGCTTCTGGAGATGCCTCAGGAAGCTGTTTCTCATGGTGGAAGTCAGAGCAGGAGCAAAACAGGAGCTCACATGGCAAAGCAGGAGCAAGAGTCGGGGGGAGTTGCCACACACTTTAAATGATCAGATGTCAGGTGAACTCAGAGCAAGAGCTCACTTATCACCAAGGTGATGGCCCCTGTGATCTGCCCCCATGATCCAAATACTTAGCCACCAGGCCCTACCTCCAAAACAGGGATTACCTTTCAACATGAGATTTGGGTAGAGACAAATATCCAAACCACATCATTTTGCCCTCCGCCCTTGCTCCCACCCAAATCTCCTGTCCTTCTCACAATGCAAAATACAATTATAACTT
Source organism: Homo sapiens (assembly GCF_000001405.40). Lineage (NCBI taxonomy): Eukaryota > Metazoa > Chordata > Mammalia > Primates > Hominidae > Homo > Homo sapiens. The sequence goes on from NC_000009.12 coordinate 11,026,715, forward strand.
CCCAATAGTCTCCCAAAATCTTAACTCCTTTCAACATTAACTGAAAAGTCCAAAGTCCAAAGTCTTATTTGAGACAAGGCAAGTCCCTTCAACCTATGAGCCTGTAAAATCGAAAACAGATTATTTACTCCCCAGATACAATGAGGGCATAGGCATTGGGTGAGCATTTCTGTTTCAAAAGAAAGAAATCAGCCAAAAGAAAGGAGGCGGGGGCAGTCGTTAAGTGTTAAAGCTCTGAAATAACCTCCTCTGACTCCATGTCTCACATTCAGGGCACACTGTTAGAAGGGGTGGACTCCCAAAGCCTTGGGCAGCTCCACCCCTGTGGCTTTGCAAGGTTCAGCCTCTGTGGCTGCTCCCACAAGTTGTTGAGTGCCTGTGGCTTTTCCAGGCACAGGGTCCAAGCTACCAGTGAATCTACCATTCGCAGGTCTGGAGGGCAGTTTCCCCCTTCTCACAGTTCCATTAGGTGGTACCTGACTGGGGACTCTGAGTGGGGGTTCCACCCCCCATGGTCTCCCTTGGCATTGCCCCAGTAGTTCTCTGTGGGGGCTCTGCCCATGCAGCAGGCTTCTGCCTGGGTACCCAGGTTTTCCATACATCCTCTGAAATATAGGGGGAGGGTGCCAAGTCTCCTTCACTCTTCCACTCTGTGTGCCCACAGGCTTAATGCTACATGGAAGCCACCAAAGTTTATGGCTTGCACTCTCTGAAGCAGTGGCCTGAGCTATATTTGGGGTCCTCTGAGCCAAGGCTGGAGCTGGAGTGGCCTGGATGTGGGGAGCAGTGTGTTGAGATTGAGCAGGGCAGTGGGGCCTTTGGTCAGGCCCCTGAAACCATTCTTCCCTTATAGGTCTCAAGGCCTGTGATGGAGGGGCTGCCATGATGGTCTACGAAATGCTTTCACGGCCTGTTCCCCATTGTCCTGACTTTCAGCACTGGGCTCCCTATTAGTTATGTAAATTTCTCTAGCAAATGGTTGTTCCACAGCCTACTCGAATTCCTCTCCTGAAAAGGCTTTTACTTTCTCTGCCACATGGCCAGGCTGCACATTTTTCCAACGTTTATTCTCTGCTTACCTTTTAAATAGAAGTTACAACTTTAAGTCATTCCCTTGTTCCCGCATATGAGTATAGGTTGTTAGAAGTAGCTAGGCCACATTGTGAATGTTTTGATGCTTAGAAATTTGTTCTAGCAAATACCTGAAATCATTACTATGAGGTTCAAAGTTCCACAGATCTCTAGGGCATGAAAAAGTTATTTGCTAAGGTATAACATGTGACCTCTGATCCAGTCCTCAGTAAGTTCCTCATTTTCATCTGAGACCATGTCATCCTTGACTCCATTATCTGTATCACTACCAGCATTTTTGTCACAACTATTTGACCAGTCTCTAAGAAGTTCTGAACTTTCCCTCATCTTCCTATCTTCTTTTCAGCCCTCCAAATGCTTTCAAACTCTGTGTGTTACCCAGTTCCAAAGTCGTTTCCACATAGTCAGGTATCTTTATAGCAATGCCCCACCAATCAGTACCAATTTTCTGCATTAGGCTATTCTTGCATTGCTATAGATAAACACCTGAGATAGGGTAATTTATAAATGATAGAGGTTTAATGGGCTCATCGTCCTGCAGGGTTCACAGGATGCATAGTGCCAACATCTGCTTCTGGGGAAGCCTCAGGAAGCATTAACACATGGCAGAAGCTGAATGTGGAACAAGTACTTCACATGACTAAAACAGGAGCAAGAGAACTGGGGGTGATGAGGAAGTGTCACACACTTTTAAAGAACCAGATCTCATGTGAACTCAGAGCAAGAGCTTACTTATGACCAAGGGTATTGTCCCAAGCCATTAATAGGGCTCTGCCCCCAGGATCCAAACACCTCCCACCAGGCCCCACCTCCAAGATTGGGGATTACATTTCAACATGATATTTGAATGGAGACAAATATAAAAACTGTATTACCATCTCATTTCTACTCCAACTTTTGGATTGTTAGGCTAAACCTAATTTCTTACTTTCTGAAACATGATGGAATGAGTACTCTTTCTTATAAAATTTGCATGCATCTCTGATTCCTACCATAGGAAAATATTTTCTTAGAAATGGACTTTCTGGATTAAAAAGTAGGTTCATTTTATTTTGTTACTAGTAATATCTTCTATATTATTTTAAAGGACATATTCACTGAAAACAACCCAAGCATTACAGAAGCCAATCGAACCAAAATGAACATTATACATCCACTTCCTGGGAAAAACCACTGTTGATATTTTGGCATATACATGCCCAAATATATAAGGCCCAAAGCTTGATAGCTACTGGGATGCCTGGGATGCAAGGCTGGTTCAACATATGCAAATCAATAAATGTAATCCAGCATATAAACAGAAACAATCACAAAAACCACATGATTATCTCAATAGATGCAGAAAAGGCCTTTGACAAAATTCAACAATGCTTCATGCTAAAAACTCTCAATAAATTAGGTATTGACGGGATGTATCTCAAAATAATAAGAGCTATCTATGACAAACCCACAGCCAATATCATACTGAATGGACAAAAACTGGAAGCATTCCCTTTGAAAACTGGCACAAGACAGGGATGCCCTCTCTCACCACTCCTATTCAACATAGTGTTGGAAGTTCTGGCCAGGGAAATCAGGCAGGAGAAGGAAATAAAGGGCATTCAATTAGGAAAAGAGGAAGTCAAATTGTCCCTGTTTGTAGATGACATGATTGTATATCTAGAAAACCCCATCGTCTCAGCCCCAAATCTCCTTAAGCTGATAGGCAAATTCAGCAAAGTCTCAGGATACAAAATCAACGTGCAAAAATCACAAGCATTCTTATACACCAATAACAGACAAACAGAGAGCCAAATCATGAGTGAACTCCCATTCACAATTGCTTCAAACAGAATAAAATACTTAGGAATCCAACTTACAAGGGACGTGAAGGACCTCTTCAAGGAGAACTACAAACCACTGCTCAATGAAATAAAAGAGGATACAAACAAATGGAAGAACATTCCATGCTCATGGGTAAGAAGAATCAATATTGTGAAAATGGCCATACTACCAAAGGTCATTTATAGATTCAATGCCATCCCCATCAAGCTACCAATGACTTTCTTCACAGAATTGGAAAAAACTACTTTAAAGTTCATATGGAACCAAAAAAGAGCTTGCATTGCCAAGTCAATCCTCAGCTGAAAGAACAAAGCTGGAGGCATCACGTTACCTGACTTCAAACTATACTACAAGGCTACAGTAACCAAAACAACATGGTACTGGTACCAAAACAGACATATAGACCAATGGAACAGAACAGAGCCCTCAGAAATAATGCCACATATCTACAACTATCTGATCTTTGACAAATCTGACAAAAAGAAGAAATGGGGAAAGGATTCCCTATTTAATAAACAGTGCTGGGAAAACTGGCTAGCCATATGTAGAAAGCTGAAACTGGATCCCTTCCTTACACCTTATACAAAAATTAATTCAAGATGGATTAAAGACTTACATGTTAGACCTAAAACCATGAAAAACCTGGAAGAAAACCTAGGCAATACCATTCAGGACATAGGCATGTGCAAGGACTTCATGTTTAAAACACCAAAAGCAATGGCAACAAAAGCCAAACTTGACAAATGGGATCTAATTAAGCTAAAGATCTTCTGCACGGCTGAGTGTTTTTATAGTGGGAGGGTGCTGGATTTCTTTCAAATACTTATTCTGTATTTACTGATATGATTATGTGTTTTTCCTCCTTTGCTCTACTAATATGGTGACTTACATTGTTTGATTTCAAATGTACAACAAACTTTTCATTCTTGGGATAAAATCTACTTAGTCATTGTATATGATGATCCTTTTTATGTGATGCTATATATGGTTTCTAGCATTTTCTTGAAGACATTTGTGTCTAGAGTCACTAGACACGTAGTTTTTCTTTCTTATGATGTATTTGTCTAGTGATAGTATGATGGCAACCCTAGCCTCATTAGATGAGTTGGTAAGTATTTTCTCCTCTTCTATTTCTTACGAAAGGGTGTAACTAATTGGTATTCATTCTTTTCTAAATGTTTGGTGGAATTCAGCAGTGATGCCAAAGGAATCTGGCTTTTCTCTATGGAAAGTTTCTTATAAATTCAATCTCCTTACTCCTCTTAGGTCTAGTCAGATTTGTGGCATTTTCTTGACTCAGTTTTGGTAGTTTATGTTAGTCTGGGATTTCGTCCATTTTATCTAAGCTATCTAGTTTGTTGAAGTATAATTGTTCATATTACTCCCTTAAAATTCTTTTTATTTCTGTAATAATAGTAGCAATGTCCTCTCTTTCATGCCTAACTTTAGTGATTTGAGTCTTTTCTCCTTTATATTAGTATGATTAAAGCATTATCAATTTTGTTTATCATTTCAGAGAACTTGTGGTTTTGTTTATTTTCTCCATTGTTTTTCTTTCTCTCTCTCTCTCTCTCCATTGTTTTTCTAATTTCCATTTCACTTGAGTCTACCCTATATTTAAAGCTCTTTCTTTCTTCTTGCTCTGGTTTTAGTTTCACCTTCTTTCTCAAGTTTAAGGTAAAAGGTAAGTTTGCTGATTTGAGATCTTTATTCTTTTGTAATATAAGTGTTGAGTGTTTAATTCTATAAATGTCCCTCTAATTTCTGTTCTATTTGTATCTTATGGGTTTTGTATGTTCCATGTTCACTTTTATTCATCTCACAGTATTTTCTAATTTTCTTTTCTTTTTTTTTTTGATCCATTGGTTATTTAGATGTGTGTTGAATTTCTCACTGTTCCTTCTGTTATTGATTTCTGATTTAATTCCACTGTGTTTGGAGAACAGATTTTTGTCTGATTTCAATCATTTAAAATATGTTGAGTCTTATTTTGTGAACTAGCATAAGGTCTCTTCTAGAAAATGCTCCAAGTGCTCTTGAGAAAAATGTGTACTGTCTTGCTTTTGAGTGCAATTAGCTATATAGAGATCTGTTAATGTTGCTAAGTCTCCTATATCTTGTTGATCTTCTTTTTAAATGTTTTATGCACTATTGAAAACAGGGTATTAAAGGCTACAACTATTATTGTTGAATTGTCTATTTTTCCCTGCATTCTAGCAGTTTTGCATCATGTATTTTGGGAGTCCTCTTTTTAGGTTCATGCATTTTTACAATTGTTACACATTTCTAGTAGATTGACCCTTATATTATCCTAAAATCTCCTTCTTCACTTTTAGTAACACTTTGTTGTTGTTTTACTCTCCATTTTGTGTTATTTCAGCATAGCTGCTCCAACTTTGAAATGGTTGCATTTGCATGAGTATTTTTTCCATCCTTTTGCTCTCAAAATATTTGTCTTTAAACCTAAAGTGCGTCTCCAGTAGAGAAAATATAGGTGTACCTTGTGTTTTTAATCCAGTCTGTCAATTGCCTTAGAACATAAAATGTTTATCTTATCAGGACACATTTCAAATTTATACTATATTAATTCCAATGAGCATAGAAATGTGACTTCTGTATAAATTGATTTCTTCCCTTTTTTTGTGCTCTATTTGTTACATATATTCAATCTATGTTACAAACCCAATGATATAATGCTAAATTATTGTCTTCTGTAATTTTATGTCTTTCAAAGAAGCTGAGAGAAAAATAGCAGGTATATATTGCAGATATGGTTATACTAACCTTTTTATTACCCTCTCTGATTCTCTCCATATATTCCTATGTATTTCAGTTAACCATTGTGTGTCATTTCCTTACTCTAATGAAGCTTTGTTCCCATCCACCTACTTTGTGCTGTTATATAATTACATACACATTGTTTTAACAATTGCTTTTTAATCAGTTGAGAAGAAAGGAAAAGAAATATGCAATTATAATGTCTTTGTAAATGACTTACTAATTACCTTTACCACTGTTTTTATTTTTTTCATGTGGATTCAAATTACTTTCGGGTATCACATGTTTTCTTCCTGAAAAAAAGTTCCTACAATATGTCTTGTAAAGCAGTTTTGATAGAAACGAAATCTCTTTTTCCAACAATGCAGGGATGTCTTTATTTTGCCTTCATTTTTCTTAGTTAGATATTTTATTTTCATTTATTGCAGATTCATATGAAGTTATAAGAAATGATACAGAGAGACTGTGTTTCCTTTTCCCAGTTTTCTAATGGTAGTATCTTGCAAAACTAGTATGATATCAAAATTAGGTGTTGACATTGATACAGTCAAGACACAGAATTTTTTTTATCATGTTGTTCTTTTATAGCCACTCACCCCTACTTGCTCCTTAAGCCCTGACAGACACTAATCTGTGATTCAGTTCTATTATTTTGTCATTTTAAGCATGTTATGTAAATGAAACCACAAAGTATGTAACCTTTTGAGAAGAGCTTTGACATTGTTCTTTTCTTCTCAGCAAAGTTCTCTGGCACTTATTTCAGGTTGCTGTCTATATCAATAGTCATTGCTTTTACTTTATACTTTGAATTGTATTCCGTGGTATGACTGGACCGCAGTTTGTTTAACCATTTGCAGTTGAAGAACACGTGGGTTTTTTCCAGTTTTTGCCTATCACAAATAAAGCTTCTATAAACATTTGCATACACAGTTTTGTGTGAAGATGTCAGCATTTCTTTGGGATAAATGCTCTAAAGTCCAATTGCTGAATTATATGAGAGTTTTTTATATAGCTTATTAAGAAATGTTCAGAGTGGTGGTATCAATTTATATTCTTACCAGTAAAGTGTGAATCATCTAATTTCTCTTAATTTCTTCAATCTTACCAGCATTTAGTGATGTCATTGCTTGTGCCTCGAATTCCATTGTTCACATATTTTGTGAGAATATTTCTTAGTATTAGGCTATTTAATATTTCATTATAAGTATCTTAATTTATTAATTTTGTGTATTTACTGATACTTCAAAATTATGTATTCAGTTGGATGTATTAGACACAAACAATTTTCAGTTACATTTTTTTCTTAATTGTAAAAATTGGGTGACATATTAATTTTTGCCAGAATTGTTTTTTTTTTTTCAATTCAACTTTGATCAATTTGAACATTGTGATATCCTGGTTTCTTTTTGTTTGGATTTGCATAATTTTTTAAAATTTAAGTTATCATAATTTTTAAACTGTGTTATTATATAAATGTCTCTTGTAGACAGAACTTAATTTAGGTTTCCTTTTTGACACAGAGCTGTCTTTGTTCTTTGTCTTATTTTTATTTATTTTTGCTGTCCTATTGTTGTATTTTCGACTATGATTTTCATGTGTTTTCTCATCTACATGTGAGTTGACTGGATTTATATAATCTGTTTTAAAATGTGTTTATAGTGTTAAATAATGTGTTGGAATTCTTATTTTTATTTTTATTTATTTATTTTTTGAGACGGAGTCTAGCTGTCGCTAGGCTGGAGTGCAGTGGCCCGATCTCGGGTCACTACCATCTCCACCTCCTGGGTTCAAGTGATTCTCCTGCCTCAGCATGAGTAGCTGGGATTACAGGCACGTGCCACTGTGCCTGGCTAATTTTTGTATTTTCAGTAGAGACAGGGTTTCACCATGTTGGCCATGATGGTCTCGATCTCCTGACCTCATGATCTGCCCTCCTCGGCCTCCCAAAGTGCTGGGATTACAGGTGTGAGCCACTGTGCCTGGCCTGAATTTTTATTTTTTAATGTATTGATCTAAAGTAATAATGGCATTTAAGATTACTTCTGTTAAATATAAATGCATTAGCATGTTTATCCAACCTTTTTCCCTCCTGAAACTTTCACCATTTCTAAACACCAGTAATTATACTTATTTTGTAATGTTGTTGATATAGTCTTGAGTTTTTTAATTTAATAATTTTATTTCTTATGTTTACACCTAGTGTTTTGATTCAAATAAATTAACAATCACTTTTTTCCTAACCATTGTACACATAGTAGTTTAAAGCTAATTCTGCATTTGAGTTAATTTAATTTGAATTAATTTAGCCATCATCATTATCCTTTTTAATAATTTTCCACATATTTGCTTCCTTATTGTGATTCATTTTTATTGAAGCTACAATCACAGTAAATTCAACAAAAGAAATTTACATATTTGAGAAGATACATCTTTTACATTTACACTGGAATGGTTACTTCATTAAAGAAATCTTGGGTCAAATAATTTTTTCTCCAAGTTTTGTAGAAATTGTGTTTTGCTTTTTAGTAGCTATAATGGCCCAGATAAAATTGAAGGAAAAAGGATTATTTGTTTACTGTCTTAGTGATGTGCTTTTATCAATCTAGAGTTCACAAACTGATAATTAACATGAAAAATATCATAAAAATTAATTTCTGCCAAAAATGGAATAAAAATTTCCTATTCTCAAATTTTAAGAAAAGGAAAGACTGATTTTTTTTTCATAACAACCTAGCCATCATCCAGTAAACACTTAAATTGACTTTAAACTTTCCCAATTAATCAGTGACAGCTTCACGTTAGTGCCTGAAGCATTTCAAAATCAGCCAATTAGTGACTTTTCCATGCTTCTGAAAGTTATCCAATCATCAGTAGCCTCTGTCTAGTGACCACATGCCCGTGCCTGAAAATCAGGCAACCCCTAAACACTAAAAAAATCTGTGAACATGAAGCTTTCCCAAAATCTATGCAAAATCACATCCTTGTTTGGAGAACTGGGCTTTGAGGTCATATCAAGCTCTTGCTTAACAAGAAATAACTACGTCTTTTTATTTTTACTTTTTGGTGGTAGTGGGCCATTCTGATGCATGTTTCCAGATCTGCATTTTTCATTAATATACATTAGATTACATGAAGCTGAAGAAAGAGAAGAAAGTCATGAGAGGGGAACCTACAATGGGAGAGGAACATATGGATCAAAGCACAATCTTCCAAGTGAGTTACTTAGTCTATTTGTGCTGCTAAAACAGAATATCTAAGACTGAATAATTTATAAAGAACAGAAATCTGTTTCTCACAGCTCCAAGGCTGAGAAGTCCAAGATCAAGTTGCCCCAACTTTGGGTGTCTGATGAGAACCTTCTTCTCGTATCCTCACATAGCAAAAGGGCAAGCTAGCCAAATGCTGTCCTTAACCTCGTTGACAAAGAAGAGCCTTCATGGTCTAATCACCATTTAAAGGCCTCACCTGTTAACACAATCATGTTGGCCATACTTAATTTTTTTTTTCTCACCAGAAATCATTTTATTTATTTTTTCTTTTCTCCAGTTTTATTTTATGTTCATGGGGTACCTATGCAGGTTTACCATTTGAGTAAATTGCATGTTGCTGGGATTTGTTGTACAAATGATTTCATCACACAGATAGTGAGCACAGCACCTGATAGGTAGTTTTTCAACCTTCACCCTCCTCCTAACCTCTCCCCTCAAGTAGGCCTCTGTGTCTATGGTTTCTTTTTGCCCATGTGTACTTAATGTTTAGCTCCCACTTGTAAGCAAGAACATGCAGTATTTGGTTTTCTGTTCCTGCATTAATTCACTTAGGGTAATGGCCTCCAGCTGCATCTATGTTGCTGCAAAGGACATGATTACAGTTTTTTGTTGTTGTTGTTGTTTCATGGCTGCATAGTATGTCATGGGTGTATATGTACTACATTTTATTTATTCAGTCCACCATTGATGGGCTAGGTTTATTCCATGTCTTTGCTATTGTTAATAGTACGTTTATGAACATACAGGTACATGTGTCTTTTTGGTAGAAAAATTTCTATTGCTTTGGTTATATAACCAGTAATGGAATCATTGGGTTGAATGGTAGTTCTGTTTTAAGTTCTTTGAGAAATCTCCAAACTGCTTTCCACAGTGGCTGAACTAATTTACATTCCCACCAGCAGTGTATAAGCATCCTTTTTCTCTGCAATGTCACCAGCATCTGTTATTTTTTGACTTTTCAATAATAGCCATTTTGACTGGTATGAGATGATATCTCATTATGGTTTTGATTTGCATTTCTCTAATGATGTTTTGTTGAGCATTTTTTCACGTGCTTGATGGCTGCATGTATGTCTTTTGAGAAGTATCTGTTGATGCCTTTTGCCCATTTTTTAATGGTTTGCTTTTTGTTTTGGTGGGGGATTTTTTGTTTTGTTTTTTGTTTGTTTTGCTTGATTTGTTTAAATCCCTTATGGATTCTGGATATTAAACCTTTGTCAGATGCACGGTTGCAAATATTTTCTTCCTTTATGTAGGCTGTCTGTTTAATCTGTTGAAATTTTCTTTTGCTGTTTAAAAGCTCTTTAGTTAGGTCCCACTTTTCTATTTCTGTTTCCATTGCAATTGCTTTTGGAGATTTTATCATGAAATGTTTGCCAAGGCCTAGGTCCAGAATGGTATTTCCAAGGTATTTTGCTAGAGTTTTTATAGTGATAGGTCTTACGTTTAAGTCTTTAATCCATTTTGAGTTGATTTTTGAATACAGTATAAAAAAGGGGTCCAGTTTCAATTCTCTGCATATGGCTAGCCAGTTATCCCAGAACCATTTATTGAATAGAGAGTTCTTCCCCATTGTTTGCTTTCATCAACTTTGTTGAAGATCAGATGTTGTAGGTATGAAAATTTATTTCTGGTTTCTCTAACCTGTTCCATTGGTCTATTACACCTGATTCTCGAAGTGGACACTTTCAAACCACAGTAGTGAGTACGGAATTAAACACATTCCATTTAGTCAGACAAAAAACAGACTAGAAAGGACAAATCGCAAAACACGGAGCTCTTCTGGAGTATTGGTACCCCTGGTAACCATTGCCTAACAACAACTTACCAGCTAGAAAGTCCAAGGCCCTTAAAAGCCTCTAGAAAAGAAAAGGAGAGAGGAGTTGAAGTGTGAGAACTAAAGTGTGAAAATAATGCCTTCACTTGTGATAAAATGAAAAACAAGTGGGAATTTTTCTATGAGCTTAGGTAATGGTGGACTCATTACTTCTTACATATTACAAGGTGAATATAAATCAAACAGTATGCCTTTGAATTTCAAGAAGCCCATAAAAGTCAGATGATTTTATAATAGTTTTCCTGGTACATTAAGCAAGCCACACCTAAGTGAGTGGGCATAAGGATATCATTGAAGACAAGGTATGTGTCATCTGCCAGCCTTGAGGGGAAATTGTTGAATCTCAGAAGAAATAAATAATATGCTATATTGGGGCTCTTGCCAGATACAGTTCAGCTTGGTCATGCAGGGTGAAAATAGAACATATAAGAAGTAGCACCCTCTCTGTGTTCATTTTTACATTTCTTATGCTTCATGTCAAAGCTCATTTGACTCCAAAAAAAGAAGAAAGAAAAATCCCAAAGAGAAACATTTTATCCACAAGGAACACCAAGAAAAATGCAGCTTAACAAAGAAGTGACAAATCCCTTTGGTCCTCTAACGAGTGTCTTCAACAAAACAAATAAAGCAAACAGTCAAAGCGGAGCTTGACCCAAGTTATAATGACTACCTGGAGAGCTGTTTTGTTTTACATATCCCAATTCAATTTCACATTATTCCAAGGCACATAACAGACTTGGATACAATCATGAAACGTTCACACCTGAAAAATAATCTCTGTAGAACTTGTTTTCAATGATTTTCAGGTCAGAGACCCCTTTGAAAATCTGCAAAACTATGGAAGTTTATTTCAGAAAACAAAACAAAAAAAAAAAAAAAAAACCTTAACATTTTAGGGATTTCAGGTTCTAAAGAAGATTTTTATAGCAAATGTCACAGGCGTTTGAATGACAGTAACTCCATTTTGAATAGGGGCTGGATAAAACGAGGCTAAGATCTGCTGGGTTGCATTCCCAGGAAGTTAGGCATTCTTAGCCACAGTATGAGATAGGAGGTTGGCACAAGATACAGGTCGCAAAGACCGTGCTGATAAAACAGGATGTGATAAAGAAGCCAGCCAAAATCAAGATGGCGAAGAAAGTAACCTCTGGTTGTCCTTGTCAGGCCTCTGAGCCTAAGCTAAGTCATCATATCCCCTGTGACCTGCACGTACACATCCAGATGGCCCGTTTCTGCCTTAACTGGTGACATTCCACCACAAAAGAAGTGAAAATGCCCTGTTCCTGCCTTAATTGATGACGTTGTCTTGTGAAATTCCTTCTCCTGGCTCATCCTGGCTCAAAAGCTCCCCTACTGAGCACCTTGTGACTCCCACTCCTGCCCACCAGAGAACAACCCCTCTTTGACTGTAATTTTCCTTTACCTACCCAAATCTTATAAAACGGCCCCACCCTTATCTCCCTTTGCTGACTCTTTTTTCGGACTCGGCCCACCTGCACCCAGGTGAAATAAACAGCCTTGTTGCTCACACAAAGCCTGTTTGGTGGTCTCTTCACACGGACTCGAGTGGAAGTCCTCACTGTTCTTTATATGCTAACTATAATGCATTAGCATGCTAAAAGACACTCCCATCAGCGCCACTGCAGTTTACAGATACTTTTGGCAATGTCGGGATATTACCCTATATGGACTAAATAGGGAAGAAGCTCCGGGTTCCATGAACTCTCCACCCCCTTCCTGCAAAACTCATGAATAATCCACCACTTATTTAGCATATGACTAACAAGTAACCATAAAAACAGCCAACCAGCAATCCTTAGGGCTATTCTGCCTGTACATAGCCATTCTTTTGTTTCTTTATTTCTCACATAAACTTGATTTCACTTTCCTCTGTGGACTCCCCCGCCCTCTGCAAATTCTTTCTTGCACAAGATCCTAGAACCCTCTCTTAGAGTCTGGATCAGGACCCCTTTCTGGTAACACAAACAATAAAGAAATTTGTTGTTCTCTATGTTCTCATAGCAGTGTTTTCTGTGTTTTTTTTAATGGGTAAACAAAACACAAAGATTTTTCACTGAGGTTACAGATTATTTAACAATGATGCCTAGGTTATATTTGTTGTCATTGTTTTGTAAATCTAGGCCATCTTATAGTCTCCCCAGAGATTGCATCAGCAAGCATTCTACTCACTTGGTTCATGTTTACTGTATTTAAATCCTGACTGTACCATAAATTAGAAAAGAAAAGAGAATATTAAAAATTAGATCTAAATTAATTCCCACACTCCAGTTCAACATTCCTCATCCTAATAACATGAGATGTTTTAAAGACTTCAAATTGAGAGAATAGTTTGTATCTTAGATTTGATTCATGAGGAGATGAGCTTCTATCATCAATTTGAGTCTAATCACCCTGTGCCTTCTTCCTCCCAAAGACTGGGACTGAATTACATGGCTTCAAGTTGTAGAAGAACATTACATGGATCTCATTTAAGGCTATCACAAGAATTCACAGACCTAAACCAAATATACTATTTTCTTTAATTGTATTTTTCATTTCTACCAAATACTTGTTTCATCTTCACTCTTATTACCATACTACTGTCTATGATTATCTCAAACCTGCTAAGTAGCTTGCAGATTAAGCTCAAACATGTCAACATGAAAGTTAAAGCCTTTTAAAACATTTTAACTTCTCAATTTTCAGGTTCCTGTTTCCCTGCTAAAACACAAGTAAGAGACATAGGACTGTCCCATGTCCTAATCTACTAAGAAAGTGAAAATACCAATGATGTCAATTCAGTCATGGTGCTGGTATACTCATTTCAATACAAGACTCTTTATATAACTTGTATGACGTATATTAACCTTGCTCTTGCAGAAAGAGGTACCACTTTATTTTTTTATTTTTATTTATTTATTTATTTATTTTTGATATGGAGTCTCGCTCTGTCACCAGGCTGGAGGAGATAACACTTTCATGTAGAACAGGGGTCGTCCCCAAACCTTGGGCCACAGACTGGCATCACAGGAACCGGATTCACAGCAGGAAGTGAGTGGCTGGTGAGGGAGCATTACCGCCTGAGCTCCCCCTCCTGTCAGATCAGAAAGGGCCTTAGATTCTCATAGGAGCGCAAACCCTATTATGAACTGGGCATGCGAGGGATCCAGGTTGTGTGCTCCTTATGAGAATCTAATAATGCTTGATGAGCTGAGGTGAAACAGTTTCATCCCAAAACTATCCCCCTCCACATCCCCTCCATGGAAAAATTGTCTTCCATGAAACGGTTGCTAGTGCCAAAAATGTTGGGGACCACTGATGTAGAATCAAAAGGTAGGAGATGGGGAGAAAATTCCCTACTTTGGCTATAGGTCTTATATCAATTATGATGTGAACTCTCTGAGAGTGGCCTAAAATTGAAGTCAGTCAGATGAAATTCTACAACTGAACAACAGGTAGCAAATATTCAGCTATTATTTTTTATATTAACAATTGGTCTGGGTCACTAAAATCCACCTAATTTTTTTCTTATGCTAAACACAAAGAAAAGGGTGTACAATATTTATTCATAAAAAGCCCATGTCTATATTCCCATCAAAACAAGGGAGATTATTATATAAATAATATTCATTTACATATTTATTACTCCAAACTATTTTACATAAAAGTGACAAATGTAAAATGGCTTTGGCAAAGCATAAATAAACATATAAACAAATAAAAGGAAAACGTAAAGATTTTGGCTCTCAACATATGAGAGCAATTTTAGACTTCTATGACCAGGTATACGGGCACAAACAGTGTCATGATGTCTCAGTCTTTCGCCGTCCACCTTTGGCCAATGGGTCTGCTCTATTTTCAGGTGAGCTTTTCTTTGTTGCGACAATATGTCCCCTAGTATTTCCAGGCTAAATTCAATCCTTCCAGAAATAGCCCGCAGAAAAAACGAAACTATAATCTCAAAGGATGCAAACACACACACACACACACACACACACACACACTCACACTCCCTGCACACAAAAATCAACAACCTGGAATTGATTTTCATTGGCCAGATTTAGTCACATTCTTATCTTTGGAGTTACAGAAAAAGAAGAAAGTCCAATACAATAGCATGCACTGAAAATGCTAACTGGTAATTACCCAAGGAAAATTAACGTTATGTTAATAAAATAAAATTATGAATATCTATTGTTGATTCCAAATAGATGCAGAGAAAATAATAGATATCCACAATTGTTTTACTCCTCCCAGGTGTTTACTGCTCCTACATTATTCACTTCTTAAACTATAAGCTTAGACATACGAATTAAACTAAGCTCCTTAAATGTGTCATGTTCTCTTATCTCTGGAACATTAAGCATTTAATTTTCATCACCTGAAATGCATTCTCCTTCCCTTTTTCTTTGGCTAAATCTTAATTCTCTTTTGTATATTAGTTTAGAAATATTTTTCTTGATCCCACTTACATTGTGTACTTAGCCTCATTTTCTATCTTCCACACTTCCACAATGGTTGTACAATTTTTACACTCACACTAGTAATGAATGACCCTTCCTATTGCTCCACATCCTCTCCAGCATTTGGTGTTTTCCGTGTTCTGCATTTTGGCCATTCTAGTCTTTTATCGCTAGACTATAAGCTGTATAAAGGAAGAGATGTGGCCTTCCTTAACCACTAGTATCTCTAATCTCAACCGAGTGCCCAATGCAATAGCAGATAATAAATATTTTAACAAATGAATGAATCATCTGAGTAACTTTTAAGTCACCAGAAAAATTGACTTCCTCTTAATAATTTCTGCAAACAAGAACAGAGAGCTGACTGCATATGGACTTCACAATTGAAGTTAATTTTAGTCCAGTAATCCCATAAAGAAGTGACAAAAATAACAAAAGCAAACAAAAAACCCTAAAACACAGTTGCAGAATTGCCTAATGAGGAATTTATATTATTTTGTTTATTTTATCTTTTTCCAATCCTGGCTCTCTCCTAAAAGTCATATGAAGCATCCCTAAAATCATACATTCAGCAACGCCACACCAGATGTATGATTTATGATGACTGGAAGAGTAGATAGGTAATTTAAGCCACCCCTTGAAATGGATCCAAAGCCATAACTCTTATTCTTAAGCTATAGGCTTTTTCTTGTCATATCTATCCCAAAAGGATGTTCAGGCTACCATGGTGACTAAGATTAAAGGTATATGTCTTCTGCTCTTTTTTTTTGCTTTTCTTGCAATTTTTCAAAGGAAATTAATTACGTACATTTCAGACACATGCTTGCATCTCTCCTCAATATCAACAAGGAATAATAGCACATCACAATAAAAATAGACTATGTTAATTTTGGTCAACTTCTAATTTTTTAAAAATAGATGTATAAGTAAAACTCCTGGAGTTCATTTTCATGTTTCCTATTGATCTCCACCTGCCACAGATTCTTGTCTACTATATGATAGCATTTCATTAAAAAAGAAGATATTTCAATTACTCTTGCCAATATTTTTTGTTTGTCTCAACCCAATTAGTAATATGTCAATTACATGGAAATCCAGAAATGTTGCGGAATTTCAGGTTTCTGTATTCCCAGTTGCTCTGATCCTCTTAATCGATACACAGTAATTAATCAAGATAGCTTGTTGATTTGCTGCTGTTTGTGTGGGAATACCTTTAGTGGCTATAGGACATTTCCTCTAACTCTGCTAAGCAGAGGTCACTAAATGAACCCAGAGCCATTAAAATAGTATCTCCCTGCTATGTTGGCATACTATGGGTACAGCTCTCCCTTCTACTGAGCTTTTAGATTCTCTTTTAAATTCTAAGACACATTTTTCTACAACAGAAGACAAGGTTAAAACTATGGCTAATAAAACATTGTGATTCTAGTTTATGTTGGACAAGAGAGAGCTTTGATAAATTCCTCTTATTGATTACTTAGGTGTACAGTCTTAGTAAAAACACTTTCAGGTTTTCCTCTTACGTTCCTCATTCAACTTGTGTTGCTTTTACTTCCATAGTCATTGATGTCTACTTGGGAAGTGTCACATTATGGTAAAATAAGCGATGAATGAGGTAGTCTAAAGTGTGTTTAAAAACTATCTCTTTACCAACCAGCCGTCCACCCTCTTCAGATATGTTTCTTAGTTTGGTAAGTCACTGGTTTGTAAATTTTTATTATTTTTCTAACTACCATTCATCGTAGAAATACTCATATTATATGTTGATCTCTGCTCCATGTATATTTGCCTTCTTCCTCTAATCATCATATGAAATATAGTCTGTTTTGGTTAACAAAGTACATGATATCTAACATTCTGTTAAAACATAATTGGTAAGAATATATTTACCATTTTAAATTTTAAGTAGGCTCTGGGTATTTATTTCTGAAGTCCTTACATTACATGTTAAAATGGTCTTTTAAAATAATGTTTGCTTTTAAAAATAATTTACCAATTTTATCCTTGTGATTTTAGTTTTATTTCTGAACTAAATAAGTTGAATTCTTGTTGGCTAGTTACTATAATACTGTTTAATAATCATCTAATTAAACATTTATTGGTGTTCATTATTAAATATTAATTTTATTTTTAGAGCCATGCATTTTTTTCTGATGCCAAATATCATCTCAGGTCATGCAAATCTCATAGACCCTACCTAGTATGTCCAAATAATACAATATCCCTAATTTTTAAGGTGAATTTTTCCCACCCTCCTTAGAGTTATGCAGTTTTCAATAAATTACATTGAATTAAAATTTTTAATAAGTAATTTGAAGGGTTGATTTTTTTAAAGGTGTACAGTGAAAAAAGGCATAATGTCTATCACATTTTGGGTGTTCAGTAGATCAGTAGATAGTGAATAAATAATGGAATAAATTACATTACTTGCAGAGAAAACTTCATTTTTGCTATTCCTAAATCTCTGCTTTTGGGTAATCTCCTTCGCCAGGATTACATTTTTTCTTAGTGTGTTTCTGCAATATTCCTTCTAGCATGGGTATATAAAGAAAAGACATTTCTTCAACTTATTAGCCTGCTGATATATAACCTATGATTATGTCGGTGTACTTCATATTATTTTTAGGGTTTATTTAATATAAAAACAACAGATGATTTCTAATACTACAAGAATTTTTGGCCTATTAAATTATAAGTTCCTTTCCTAGTGCAAATGCGGGTCATTCATTTGTGCCACCTCTAAACATAATGTGAAAACTTGTAATGCTTTCTAATGTGTTTCTTTAGAGTCACCTTCACTTGATTTGTTAAATAAATTTATTTGTTTGATCATTAAAATACCTGTGATGTTGCTATACATTGTACAGAATAAAGAAGATGCTTTAGGTGAAAGGTTTATGACGTACATATTTTTACACTAATTGATCTAAAAGAATTAACTGCAGTTACACCCTAATTTGTTTTCAAAATTATTTTTTAAAAGCTGTCATGGACTAAAATACCCACATCTAAACCTACTCAGATTTTTCTTATTAAATTTTAAAGAACATATTTTAGAAGTATATTTTTATGTTTTCAAAGACTTAAATATCAATAAAGTAAAAATGAACATGCCAGTCCAACTCCAATGGGAACCTGTCTTATGAAGGAGATCAATGACGATTCTAACTAAGCTTCTAAGAAAAGAAAAATCATCTGTGAGCTAGAAGATCTGCATTTCAACAGGCTGTTTATATATTTACTTACATTGAAAAGGAGCCAAATGCTGTGGTTTTTACTTCTTAGCTTTTCCAAATAGGATTTTTTTTAATCCTTCATAAAAATGCACTTTAAAAATAGTTAAATTGTGTGCATTTTTTTGCCTTTTCATATTTAAGGAAAATAGGGCATATATAATATGGAGCAAACACAAAATCATAAACAGTACATTAAATTGAAGTAAATGATGCATTGCATTTAACATTTTACTTTCAAAGTTGTGTAGAAATAGAATATGACCTAAGAAATGGGAAACTAGGCCAATTGGGGTTTTGTGTGATGATAGTTTCCCAGTGCTTATGTGATAACAGGAAGATATCAAAATACATTGTCAGAAATTCTTCCCTCCACTGCTATCATCCACAGTATCAAAAAAATAAGTGGTGAAAGAATGGCAGCAAAATACTTTTCCAGGGCACTCAATGATGCAGTGACTTGGAGGGAATCAATAAGACAGAAAGATGAGAGAGCCAAATGTATTCTAGCTACGGAGTAAAACTTCTTAATCTTCCTTAAAAGTCTCTTGTGGTCAGCTAGTAGAACTACAAAACCTGGAAGCCTTTACTGGGATGCCATGAGGGAAGGATGCATGAAAGTGTAAGCTAATTCTGACAAAAACCTCTTGACTGGGAGCACAGAACTGTTTAGAAAGAACACTGGAGTCTCAGAATTTGTAATTGCAGTACGGTCTTTTTCAAAGACTTGTCTTTATGTTTTGGGGGAAACTACATATTTTGAGACTCTTTTCTCATCTATGAAATGAAGCTGATAATATGTATACCACAGGACATATTTTTGGAAGTGCATAATACAGTGTTTTAAAATTACCGTATAATTCAATTATGGTAGAGGTTTCTACCATTTTTAAGAATAATCTCTAAAGCATGTGAATTTTAATGGTTTTCAACTAATAATTTAAAAAATAGACTTTTAAACAAGTTCTTACCTTATGATGATACACTTATGGATAAATTATCAAGCCTTGAAGTACATAAAATAATTCACAACTTCAGAAAAAAAATCTCACTTTTGTCAGATTTTCTTTTTAGGGGGATAGTAATAAGGGTAGCGTACTCCTTAGGTTGAGTTAACCAATTTCTGACAAGTTATGTAGCAAACAAGCATGATTTAAAAAGAATTACTGGCCTGGCACAGTGACTCACGCCTGTAATCCTAGCACTTTGGGAGGCTGAGGCAGGCGGATCACGAGGTCAGGAGTTTGAGACCAGCCTGGCCAACATGGTAAAACACTGTCTCTACTAAATCTACAAAAAATTAGCTGGGCGTGGTGGTGTGCACCTGTAATTCCAGGTACTCGGGAGGCTGAGGAAGGAGAATTCCTTGAACCCGGGAGGCGGAGGTTGCAGTGAGCCGAGATCACACCATTGAACTCCAGCCTGGGCGATAGGACAAGACTCCATCTCAAAAACAAAAAAATAAAAAGAATTACTATAAGTTTAATCACAAGAGCTTGATTGATAGTGTGTACACTTGTAAACATATTTTTACTTCTGAATTATTATAGAGATCATTGAAATTAATTTTGTTTTTCACTATGCCTTTTAATCTGCCCATGGATTTTATTTTTTTCTTTTTTATAAATAGCATCTCCCCTACTAATATAATAGATGACATAAAAGGATAATGCCTTTTAATCACAGTTACAAAATACAGATGTGCTTCCAGTTAAAACGTTTTCTTTGTAAACTCCCACCCCCATTATGTTCATAATGTAATATAAACACATTAAAAATGCCTTCCCAGCCAAAGATTTGATATCTTAATTCTGTAATGAAAATCCAGAAGTCATTTCAGATGACTAGATTTTAGCCACCAGTCCCATATACCTATCTACCTTTCAACATCTATGTTTCTCAACTGCTTTCACTCCTCTTAATAGGAGTAGACTGTTTCTAGCTGAGGACAACCTTCCACTTGTACAGTAAGTCCTCTCACCCAATAAGAGCTGTTGCTTCAATAACATCCCCTCTCAACTTCTTCTGAATTATCATTTTTTTGCCATGTCTCTACTGGATCATTATCATCAGCACATGAACATTCTCTTACATATTCTCTTAATACTATTCCAAATGGGCTTTTACTGTTCCTCCACCATCACACTTCTCTTGTCAGTCAGCCCTAAGCTACACAATGTTAAATCCAATGGTTAATTCTTATCCCCTACCTTACTTCATTCATCACCAGTATTTTTTAAAACCACTTAATTGTGGTGTGACTGACATGTAAAAACTGTACCTATTTTTGTATACAAACCAATACCTCGGGGATGAGTATATACCTATGAAATCATTACTACCATCAAGGCCATACATATAGTCATCATCTACCAGATTTCCTCCCCCAACCCAAACACTTAACATAAGATGTACCCCCTTAGCAAATTTAAAAAAAAAAATAAGTTCCGAATGTCTACTATAGAGCATACTGCCTGTAGCTAACATCAAGAGTATTTTAAGCAGCCAATTACTTCCTTCTGGAAGCATTGGCTACATTTTGTATTCATGACAGGTTCAACTCTGTTTTAGTCTTCTTAACGGTTTCTTTTCATCTTAACCCTCTTCTTTACTCACTTTCCAGGAACCTAAGCAAGTTGCATAGCTTTAAGCACAATCTTTATGCTGTAGACTTCCAACTTCATGTCTCTAGCCTAGAAATCTATTCTGAATTTCAGACACAAATCAAATTTCCTCTACCACATTGTCACTTGGATGGATAAGTGTCATCTTAATATGTCCCAAATGTAGCTCCCCAAGTAGTACATGATAATTACATTCTTCTAGTTCCTTTCTGTCTTAAAAAGAAATTACTGATATCTCTGCATTTCCTTCTCTCTCTCTCTTTTTCTCTCTCAACCGCTATTAGTAAATTCTGTGCGTCTACTTTCAAAATATAATCAGGGAGGTATCAATTTTCACCTTGATTACAGTTGCCATAATAATCTGATCCTCAAAATCTCTTGCCTTATTACTCAATATCATCCTAACTATTCTTCATTTTTCCATTGTACTTCATTTCCATCTGTTCACAAAACAGAAGCCATAATAAAAATATCCACTTTAAAAATCTTACATCAGATTATACAACTGTTTCTTCAAATTCTACAGTATTTTCTCATTTTATGTACAATCACAGGAAATATATTTTGTAAATAATTACATATTATGTACATAATTTTGTTGAAGAATGACTATGGTAAGTGATTAAAAAAACTTGTCAGCATAAAAAAATTACAGTAAAGTGAAATTCAGCGGTCAGAGTATAACAAAAACATATTTATAAGAGAATAGGTATTAAATAAAAGCTTTTTTACGGCAGTATTTAAAGAGTTGATATTGGGCAGTGTATTGCAAAATATTTAGTTTCCATTGGATAAAACAAAATGGGTGATATGATTATTTATTTTAAAATACCAATACATAGAATACACAATAAATTATACCCTTTCAATTATATTAGAATTTATGGTGAAAAATGTTAAATTTCATCTCAAAATGTATAAGGGAGAAAATTCTTGAAATTCATTTATGGTAGGTACAAACATGTGCTTGGAGATTATTGCTGTAGAGCACCTTCTAATTGTTAGAATTGTCAGGGCCATTTGCAAACACCAATTGCTTTGATAAACTCTCTCAGCTTAGGCAATTTTAACACATCAATCACATGTTTTGCTCTTTTAAAAAAAAACATTAAAGTCTTCAATAAGGGAAAACTACAAATTTTGCGTTCATTTGAAAACACTTTCAATGAAAACCAAACGTAAGTGGGGTACCAGGAAGGTTCTATGAGTAAAGTGCAACCTTGGAGCCTGGCTGTCTTTGCTTAAGTTTCATGAATACGTTTTTCAAGCTAAGTCTTGAGAATTTAAATATAACTTGCTTTTGCCTTTTTTAACCTATTTTTAATTATTTAACTAATTCAATTTTGTGAGTACACTTTTCAATAAATTATCATGCTTGGAACAGAATCATATATGAACTGTGTTACTGTTACATAAGACAGTATATCTCAAAGTATAGTTTCTCTGAAGGGAGAATTCCTACTAAAGACTCAGATTCTAAGGTGTTATCCTAAATGAAATGAGAGTTTGATGCTGGGAAAAGAAGTTCCACAGTTAATTGTGATAAACACTATTTCAGAACTACAATGAGAGATTATATAAATCTGTAAAGTATAAATTTTTTAATACATTTAAGTGTATGTCATTTTTCTAAAGAGTAGGGAATGTTAGAGAAAAATATGCAGAAGAGAAGATACTGAAGCAGTCTTGAAGAAAGAGCATGAATTTAGTAGGAAAGCAGAATATTCCAGGAATAGGAAGCACCATATGCAAGAGCACAGAGCACTCTGTGAGATGATCCTCTAAAGGGAAAACCACATCTCATCCTTCACCGGCAGAGTCAGAGACCAAGTTAAGCTGTATTTTATGGCTATTAATAAAGTAAAATAGCCATCAAACTGAGTGGCTGCCAAGTGATTTTTTCTGTCTCAGAATTTAAGAAGGTATCTCCAAGAGATAGGAAAGTGAATAAAATATATGAGGCCCAAGTGTAATTTATTTTATAAAATACACATTTTGGGGGAGTGATTTTAGATTTACAGAAAAGTTTAACAATAAAACATAGTTTCTTTATACCATTCATCCATCTTTCTTAACAACCTAACAATAATATATTTGTCCATCTTCTAAAGTTAACATATTGCATAACATTTTCTAAAGTTAACATGTTATATAACATAACATCTTCTAAAGTTAACATATTACATTTATGATATGTTTCTTTTATATAACTATAAAGCATCCATCAAAAATTAAATGGTAACATTGAAACAATAAGCTAAACTACAGATTTTATTTGGATTTCCTCACTTTTTCCACTTTTTCTGCTCAGGATCAACTCCAGGGTACCATACCGCACAGATCATTTCCCATAAGTCATATGCTTTATGGATACGATACGTTTAAAGTAAAGACTGAATCTGAACAAGTTTTTAAATAGACCAGTTACCGTACAAAGTCTGTATAAATAGTGTACCAGAAAGCCATATTAAATATTTTAAAGACAGGCTGGGACACCTGGTAAGTCCCTGTATCACTGCTAAGTATTGAAACTTAATAAGTTTAAAAAAAAGTTCTACTTTTCTGTTTATTCGCCAGTCCATATGAAACAAATCAAGACCATATTACATTTTAACGATAAATTTAGTCTATTGTTTTCATTCATTTATACTCTGATATGAGAGCCATGCTAAACGCTGCTAATTTTAATATGGGTAATCAGAGCTATGACATTTAGTAGTAATTTGAAAATTAAATTCAAACTCTAGAATTGTGAAGAAAAATGTCTTTAGCTAAAATCTGAATGAGTTTGCTTGAGAAAAACAACTAGATTTAATCATTTTACAGGAGCATGGTAGGACATTTGTGATACATGTTGTGAAATTTATGACAAAGTCTTCTGTGAGAATTTTAAAAGAACATTTTTCTTCTTGTTTAGTTTTACTGTCAAATTTAATATTTAAGTCTTTCATTACCTTTATCATGATTGTTCTAACATTAAAAAATCAGATATATTTCTTCTGTGAGTTTTACCTGCATTTTTTTCTGATATATTTGAATGTATATTGTCAGAGATAAGGTCTTACCCATTGCATTCTTTTCTTTAACATGGTAAAAATGAACAGAACTGCCTTTAAATTAATTTTCTTTGAAAAGCATAATGCAAATTTCAGGGAATTGACTATATTGCTAGTGTCTAAACTATGTGAAACCATAAAAACACCAACTTAACTAACTACCAATCGTCCATCCAAGTACTCATCTATTAAGCACTTTCTGATTTTTATTATTGTTATAAAATACCAATTTATCATTACTTTACATCTTAAAATTATATTGTTATAAAATACCAATTTATCATTACTTTACATCTTAAAATTATAAAGTAGTAGGGAAAGTTGAGTTTAGAATGAAAAAGATGGTATATCCTTATTAGATCAGTCTTTCTAGTTACAAGAGTCAGAAACAGACATCATAAGTGCTTTTGCATAAATGAAAAGTCTAGGATGAGTTTTCAGATATGACCTGATCCATCAGCCTCCAATGATTTTTTAAGATTCACCTCTTTCTTATCTCTGAGTTATGCTTACTTCTGTATAGCCTTTACCCTCAGAGTCCTCTTTATGTAGTGGCCTCTAGCAGAACCCTCTGATATTTTTTTTTCCTCCTCAATTCACTAAGACTGTAGGCTTTTTGTGTTTGGAGTTTTCCCTTTCTTCCTCCATAGTGAGAAAATCTCCTCCTGGAAAAACACTGGAATAGTTGTAGGATTTACCTCATTCTTTTTTTTCTTGCTGAAATCACAGTCCTGTCTTGACTACCGTACAATGTCTTAAAACAATTGTTGCAAATCTTGTGCATTATTTTCTAGTTATTTATAATGGCATGTGAGTCATGGAGGAGTTATACTTTCAAATTTAAAAGCAGAAGTCTGTTTACCCATTTTTAATTGCAATATATTGACATAATAGTTAAACCTGATGAAAAACACCAGAAGTACTGAGACATGCGTACTTAAAATGTTTAGGCAATGAAGGCCCCTATGCAGGAATTTGCAGGAAAGACAATGGCTTTATTGGTTTATCTTATTAAATGTTAATTACACCTTTGAAAAATCTCTAATCTAACCTTTTATTTATTACCACCACAGAACCTCCAGTACCACTGCTCAACTCAGATGCACTACGAACAAGTTCTTTGTGATATTTCAGTGTTCTGTCTTCCTTCAGGCCTTTTCTGTGTAGCTATTGAGTCTTTTTTCCTATTTAAACTAAATTCCCAGGAATCCTTCTAATTAACTCCCATTAACTGAGGTAAAATGAGAGCCTGTCTCTCTCTCTTATTTAGCTAAAAGGAGCTCATAAGCAATAGTTTATGTTAACATGGTGACTAGACTCATACTTAGAATATGCATTTGGCGGTGACACTGGGTCAAGGGAAAATTTATGAAAACCCTATTTGCATCTTTGTTTGCATGCAGTGGCCAGTGGCATTTTGGGTCTTATATAGTTAGGTAAGAGAAGAAGTTGCCCTGAAGATGAGAGTTTGGGTATTTATTCATCACTAATATATAGCATTATTAGATTTTTTTAGTGCGCAGGTAGAAATTTGTATCTTCTATTCTTAGAAACCTATAGCAGGAAAGAAACCCATTATAGAAACATCTCTCCTATTCTGAGTGGTTAAAAAAATCCATTGTTGAATATAATGGCCGTAAACTCACAGCTCAACTAATAGAATATCAGGACAGAGCAAATTCCAAAATAATATATTTTATATAAATATAAAATTTGTAAAAATTAAAGCCCGGATTGGTAATGATTTAGAGTTGCATATTTGAATAAATATTTTTAAAACGATATGGATTGGCTCACGTACATGGAAAATGCTACCTAAAAATCCTTTGCATCTAAGCATTGTGTGAAAATAGCAATATTCTTGTCTTGTAGAACATCCTATGACAATATTTAAAATAGTCTGGACTGTGGAGTGATCTGTAAAACTGTCTTAGGAAAGAAATAAATTATATTAAATTGAACTACAGAAAATTTTAAGGGACTACATCCAATTTGTGGGAAAACATATAACAGTTTAGAGCATTATTAGATCTTGTATTAAAGCAATATGATCAAGGAACAGGTAAAATATTGAAATATAAATTATTTTGGCTGGAATGGAGGTAACAGAGGTATTTAGTTAAAAAATAATCTAACTTGTGCAAATGTAAGCTTTATGTTTAACAGCTGCCATTGGTTCCCAGTTGATAAAGTATATTTAATAAGGCCTACTGTGTGTCAGGACAAATTTCAGATATCTCTCAATTATTTTTCTTGTTTTAAACTTCCACATAACACTATGAAGACTTTATTATTATGCTTACTTTTTTACACGTGAAATTTAAGGCTAAGAAAAATAACTAATGTCACTCTTATTAAACAAACACGTATTGTACAACTCTGGGAAATGTAGTGAAAGAGTTCAGTATATGTCACTCCGAAATATACCTCTGTATTAGCCTGTTCTTGTACTACTATAAAAAAATACATGAGACTGGGTAATTTATGAAGAAAAGAGGTTTAACTGGCTCACGGTTCTGCAGACTATACAGAAAGCATACTGGCTCCTGATTCTGGGAAGTCCTCAGGAAGTTTCCAATCATGGCAAAAGGCAAAGGGAGAGCCAGGCACTTCACATGGCCAGAGCAGCAGAAACACGGAGCGGGAAGGTGCTACACACTTTTCAACAACCAGGTCTCTTGAGAATTCACTCACTATCATGAGTGACAACACCAAAGGGGATGGTGTTAAGCCATGAGAACTGCCCCCATGATCCAATTACCTCCCACCAGGCCCCACCTCCAACATTGGGGATTACAATTTGGCATGAGATTTGCGCCGGGACATGGAGCCAAGCCATATCAATCTCTATGGCATATGACTATTTTGAAGTAAATGCACTTTAAAAATGGCAGGTGCAAAAATAATGCTGATGTTCTTTCCTCTTAAAAGCAGGAGATAAAATTCTCACATAAAAAATGCCCTCTCTATACCACAAGGAAAACATCATTCTTATCATCAAGGGCAAAAAGTTGAGACTAAGGGACATCTGTAAACACAAACTTTGTTAAACTTACCCTTACCTTTCTAGTCACTTTTCCACCCAATTAACTCTCTTAACCTAAATCCCTTTGCCTTTTCACATTTTCACAATTGACCACTCTTTGTCAAAACCATTACATAAGCATTCAACGCTAACTGCTTCTTTGGGTCTTCATTTGTTTAGGGGATCTTCATTTCTTTATGAAAGCTCTTGTGTCATGTAAAACTCATGTTAAACAAATGTGCATGCATGTTCCTTGTTAATCTGTCTTATGTCAATTTAATTCTCAAGGCCAGCACAAAACCTTAAAATAATAAAGCTAAAAATATGCCTCTACTACACTGGCATAGTAAAATGAGAACAGGCTTTGAGCAGGGATACAGGACTAGAAAGACATATCCTACTGGCTATGTGTCCTTTGTTCAGTTACTTAAATTCTCTGTGCTTATTCAACTTTAAAATGGTTATGAATATAATACTTACCTTCTGTGTTAATGTAAATGTTAGCCGTGATCTCTCTCTCTCTTCCCTCTCTTTCTCTCTCTCTCTCATCTAATCAAGCAAAGTATTTGGCCCATTCTAGTTATTCTAAAGGTTATAGTGGACATAGCTGTTCTTATTATGGTATATTGGCAGGCACTGTATGAAATACATTCCATTTATTATTTAAACAAACCTATCTATTTTTGATGATCTGGAAAGACTAAAATGACGAGGAACCAAAGCTCAGACAGTACCTTATTTTACTGTCTATTTGGGTAAATAGATAACCTAAATAATATGGTTTGGTTCTGTGTCCCCACCCAAATCTCATCTTGAATTATACTCCCACAATTCCCACATGTAAGAGATAATTTGAATCATCGGGGCGGTTTCCCCCATACTGTTCTCATGGTAGTGAATAAGACTCACGAGATCTGATAGGATAAGGGGTTTCTGCTTTTGCATCTTCCTCATTTTTCTCTCGCTGCTGCCATGTAAAAAGTGCCTTTCCCATCCCGACATGATTCTGAGGCTTCCCTAGCCACGTGGAACTGTAAGTCTCATTAAATCTCTTTCCCTTCCCAGCCTTGGGTATGTCTTTATCAGCGGTGTGAAAAAGGACTAATACGGTAAATTAGTACCAGGAGTTGCTTGTTGCCAAAAAAGATACCCAGAAATGTGGAAACGACTTTGGACCTGGGTATCAGGCCAAGGTTGGAGCAGTGTGGAGGGCTCAGAAGACAGAAAAAAAATGTGGGAAAGTTTGGAACCTCCTGGAGAGTTGTTGAATGCCTTTGACAAAAATGTTGATAATGATATGAACAAGTCTAGGCTGAGGTGGTCTCAGATGGAGATTAGGAACTTGTTGAGAACTGGAACAAAGGTGACTCTTGTTATGCTTTAGCAAAGAGTCTGGCGGCATTTTGCCCCTGTCCTAAAAATGTGTGGAACTTTCAACTTGAGAGAGATGATTTAGGGTATCTGGCAAAAGAAATTTCTAAGCAGCGGAGCATTCATAAAAAGGTGACTTGGGTGCTGTTAAAAGCATTCCATTTTAAAAGGGAAACAGAGCATAAAAATTCAGAAAATCTGCAGCTTGATAATGCATTAGAAAAGAGAAACACATTTTTTGAGGAGAAATTCAAGCTGATTGCAGAAATTTGCATAAGTAAAAAGGAGCCAATGTTAATCCCCAAGAGGATGGATAAATGTCTCCAGGGCATGTCATAGGTCTTCATGGCAGCCTCTCCCATCACAGATCAGGAAACCCAGAAGGAAAAAATGGTTTCCTGTGCCAGGACCAGGGTTCCCATGCTGTTTGCAGCCTAGGGACTTAGTGCCCTGCATCTCAGCTGCTCCAGCCATTGCTAAAAGGGGCCAAGGTACAGCGTGGCCCATTGTTTCAGAGGGTGTAAGCCCCAAACCTTGGCAGCTTCCATGTGGTGTTGAGCCTTCAGGTGCACAGAAGTCAAGAACTGAGGTTTGGGATCCTCCACCTAGATTTCAGAAGATGCCTGGTGAAACGCCTGGATGCCAAGACAAGTTTGTTGCAGGGGCAGAGCCCTCATGGAGAACCTCTGCTAGGGCAGTGCTGAAGGGAAATGTGGAGTCAGAGCCCCCCTACAGAGTGCTTACTGGGGCACCGTCTAGTGGAGCTCTGAGAAGAAGGCCACCATCCTCCAGACTCCTGAATGGTAGATCCACCAACAGCTTGCACCATGCACCTGGAAAAGCAGCAGACACTCAATGCCAGCCTGGGAAAGCAGCCAGGAATGGGGGCTATACCTTGCAAAGCCACAGGGGCGGAGCTGCCAAAGACTATGGGAACGTACCTCTTGCATCAGTGTGACCTGGATGCAAGAGGTGGAGACAAAGGAGATCATTCTGGAGTTTTAGAATTTGACTGCCCCGCCGGATTTCAGACTTGCATGGACCCTGTCACTCCTTTGTTTTGGCCAATTTCTCCCATTTGGAACAGCTCCCATTTGGTACAGGTATTTACCCAATACCTGTACCTCCATTGTATCTAGAAAGTAAGTAGCTTGCTTTTGATTTTACAGGATCATAGGTGGAAGGGACTTGCCTTGTTTTAGATGAGACTTTGGACTGTGAACTTTTTGGTGAATGCTGAAATGAGTTAAGACTTTAGGGGACTGTTGAGAATGCATGATTGGTTTTGAAATGTGAGGACATGAGATTTGGAGGGGCCAGGGGCAGAATCATATGGTTTGGCTCTGTGTCCCCACCCAAATCTCATCTTGAATTGTATTACCATAATTCCCACGTATTGTCGGGGGGACCTGGTGGGAGATAATTTGAATCATGAGCGTGGTTTCCCCCATACTGTTGTTGTGGTAGTGAATAAGTCTCACGAGATCTGATGGTTTTATCAGGGGTTTCCACTTTTGCATCTTCCTCATTTTCTCTTGCCACTTCCATGTAAGAAGTGCCTTTTGCCTCCCACTATGATTCTGGGGGCCTTCCCAGCCATGTGGAACTGTAAGTCCAATTAAACCTATTTTTCTTCTCAGCCTCAGGTATGTCTTTATCAGCAGTGTGAAAATGGACTACTACACTAAACCAATGCAATTATTTTTACACTGGTTTAGATTAAGAGATATCTTAGGTTAAGGGACAATACTATAAAGATACATCTACAGAGATATATTTTGGGGTGATATATTCCAAACTCTTTCACCACATTTCCTGGAGTTGTGCATTGTTTGTTTTAATGAGAGTGTGACATTAGTAATTTTTCTTAGCCTTAACTTTCATGTATAAAAAAATAAACAATAATAGGATCTTTTAGTATCATGTGGAAGTTTAAAACAAGAACAAAAATTGAAAGCTATCAGAGAGCATTATTTTTGCACCTGCCATTTTTAACATGCATTTTCTTCAAAATACTCAATATGCCATAAAGGTTAATATGGTGTGGTTCTGTGTCCCAGCTCAAAACTCACATCAAATTGTATTCTCCAATGTTGGAGGCAGGGCCTAGTGGGAGGTAATTAGATCATGGGGGTGGTTTCTCATGGTTTAACACCATCCCCCTTGGTGTTGTCACATCTATTATCTTATTTTACACTGTTAGACAAATAAAGTAGGGTTATTAATTCAAAATCATACAGAAACTGATGTTTCTAGTAGTGTGTGGCTTTAAACTAGAGATCAATGTTATCATACATTCTGGGAATAGACAAAAAAATTGCCAGGAGAATGGGCAGAACAGATGTTCTGCATGAAACAATGTTAATTAGCTATAACATTCCCTCTGTCTCTCTTATCAGCAGTTGGCCCCCATTCTATACCTTACAGATTCCGACCCAAATCAGGTTTTGTCAACTTTGTAAAAAAAAAAAGCAAAAAGATGAGATATTTATGACATATTTTAATTTGTGAAAACAAAAATAGTTCTTGTTCAATGCTTAATTTTGTTAGATAACATTGATTTGTAGTTATTGCTTTAATATTTTATTATGAAAATTACTTTTCAATAGTAAAAGAATCAAGTTAAAACCAATGATAAAATGCAGATATAAATGTGTGTTTTAATCAAAACAAATATCTTAGGACTCTGATAATTAAACACACTATTTTATATACATTCATTTTCACTTGTATTCATTTTTTTAACATATGAACAAAAGTATCTTAAAATGTTTTGTGTTAGTCTGAGACAAAGTGTAAATGTCTATCTAGATATTCACACTTTTGCTGCAATTGCATTCTGTAATGGCTTTAAACTTTATTCTTTAGAAATGTAATAGTGTTTCAAATTTAATCACTTTTGTTCTGCTGTTCTGCAGAATTACACAGAAATATGCTTATGCTTAAGCTAAAGATCACATTTTCTTATGAATGTTTTTAACATTTTTATTTACTGAGAGATAAATAGGTTCAAATGTATCTTCTGTATACAGTTTTGGTTTGGTCTTTTAAAAATATTTTATTTAGAAAAACAACTATTTTAAGTAAATAAATTAACTGGTTATTATGTCTTCAATGTTTTTATTTATGTCATATTATAATTAAATATCTTGCTTGTGAGAAATGTCCTTACTAAAATATCTACTAATAGTGCAACATTTTAGAGCTCAGAAGGTACTTTCAATTTAATCTAGTCTAGTCTTAAAGTAATTATATGAAAATAGTAACATTCAAGAAAACCATATGACATGGGCTTCTGGAATAGCTGGATTATGATTTAGACTAGGGGTGGCAAGCTCAAATTCTTCAGTGGTCAGAAAGGAAATATAAACCTGTGAGACAAACAGCGAAAGCAATGGGGCTGTGGCTTGTCTTTAGGAAGTGAAGAGTGCATGCCAACTGAAATGCACTGAAATCTATTAGCAAACAAACAAAAAATATAGACTATCCAAGCAGGCAAGCAACATAAACTGAGGCAGTCATTCTTAATAATGCTGCTGGCCTGATTTGGCTATGAGTTTGAGAGCTGTGACTTAGATCTTCCACTGACCACTCCAAGTCTCTTTCCAATATAACCCAGTTTCTAATGTTAGATAAGGAAATGTACTAGTTTTACTTAAAAGACTAGACCTAAAAAAACTTGCCAAATAGGTTTTGGAGACACCATATACACAGAGTACCGTTTACTTACTTTCGAATTTTGATAATGTTAAACTTAACCTGAGACCTGTGGTTTCTAAAGAGTGATGGTTAAAGAAATCCCCAACCTGTGTATTCCTGACAAGGCTACTGCAAAGAATCACCCTTCTTCAAATGATTTGCAGATGACACCTTTGTTCCCTATGACAAGGCCAGACATATCCTCCAAATTCTCATTCTTTACCTGAATGATGAATAGCTTTGCTGTTTTTACCCACAAAGAAATCTGGACTAAATACCTGGCTTATCTGACTTTAGTGAAACTTCTCTCCTTTCCTTAGGCCCCTGAACTTTGACTCATCCTCATTTTGATCCAGAAACACATTTATTCTCTAAGGGACCCTTCTGAGAAGCTGCTTAACTCAGGGAAACACACATTCCCTGTGGTCCCATCATACCACTCACCTCTTTCCACTCGCCCATACTGCATTTTTTTCTAGCCTTGTCTGCTCCTCCCTATTAAAAGAAGAGCCTTTTTCTGCCTGACCTTGAAGACTTTTACAGATCTTATGGTAGGAACTTTCTCCCATTGCCATCAAGAGTTCCCTTCACCTTATTTTAATAATCTTTTCAAACTGGTTTCTTCTTATCTAATTCCAGATTTGTATGACAATGTAAACAAACCATTATGCTTTTAGAACTCAGATTTAAACATTTTTGATGTTTACAGAAATACATGATTGAATATAATTTTATTTCATTTTTTATGTTTATGTATTTATTTTTGAGACAGAGTCTTTCTCTGTTGCCCAGGCTGAAGTACAGTGGCACCATCTCGGCTCACTGCAGCTTCTGCCTCCTGGGTTCAAGCGATTTTCCTGACTCTGCCTCCCAAGCAGCTGGGATTACAGGTGCACACCATCACACTTGGCTACTTTTTGTATTTTTAGTAGAAACGGGGTTCACTATGTTGGCCAGGCTGGTCTCAAACTCCTAATTTCAGGTGATCCACCCACCTCAGCCTCCCAAAGTGTTGGGTTTACAGGCGTGAGCCACCGTGCCTGGCCAATTTTATTTTTTAACATTGTTTTTTATTTTAAATTGTTTAAAAATATACATAAAATGATAACATTCATGTACCATGATTAGCTTTCTCAGACATAAACATTCCAGGATATTTATGTCAGTATATATATTTTTTAAGTAAATATATTAAGAATAACAATTTAAAAGCTTCTATATATTCCTATTGTTGCATAGAGGTAAATACCATCCTAAATTTTGAGTTTATCATTTCCATGCCTGCTTTTTTATTTTCACTGCATACATATATGTCCAAATATAATAATAGAATTGTTCAGAATGTTTTTAAACTTTACATGAATTTGTCATAATTTATGTAACTCTCTGAAATATTAATTTTTAATTTAATTTTATATATAACAATGTTGCTGTAAACAGCTCTAGTCAATTATTTTCACTTTTTTCCATCATACAAATGTTTATTTCTTTATTCCCTATTAAATAGCATGTAGGTTTCCCCTCAATATTCAGAGTATCTTACAAACCATATGACAATGAGTCATCTAGTATGTTTCATTATACATATTTATGTGTAAATGTGCTTTTAGAGAAAAATACTTCAGGTGGAATAGCTGAAGAGTAAGAACTGGAATTCCATAGGCAGGTCTGCAATGTTATTAACTATTGTCTAATATCTCCCCAAAAGGCACTCATTATATAAATTTTACTTGACTATGATGCATTTTTAATACACTGAAGAATTCAGCTTCGTAATATTTTACTTAGTGCTTAATGTCTATATTCATATTGATTTTTTAATGTTATTTTCTGCTCTCACTTCTGTTCTCACTTCTTTCATTGTATCCTCATAAAATGAGTTTGGTAACATTTCCTTTTTATGTTTAATTTGAATTCTCTAAAATGTGTTGGATAACACAGGAACTAACTGCAAGTTGGAGACTTGATAGAATATGATCATAGAATAATACATATCCAGTGCGATTTGCAGGGATATAGGGACCTCAAAAAAAATTAAATTTTAAAAATTGTGATCTTAAAAATGATCCTATGTTTTTCCCAAGTAAATTTGATAATGAATATTTTTACATAAAAGTGCCAGTTTTCCTCCATTTTAAATTTTTAAGCAAGAATTTGTTCATAGCATTTTCTCATATTTAACTCTTCTTCAATCTTTTAACAATGTTTCTATTTCTCCCTTTTAATTGTATGGTTTTAATGTATGATAAATCAGGTAAAGTTACCTTTTATATGGAATTTTGAAGAATTAATACCATTTAGACTGATAAATGTCTATTTCTTTTTAAGTAAGCGGATTTTTTACTGTCTATTTGCTTGACTGTTAGTTTTCTATTTGTCCATTTATACACATATTTTTCTTCAATATATTTCTTTGTTTATCGCCTATTCCTTTATTTAACATAAGTGTATCACATATTTGAAACTTCATTATTACACATAAATTCACTGAAAACCTAAAATTATATTTATTATTTTAGCTACACCCTGACATTTTTTACAAATGACACATTCATCATTGTTTTATTCAAAAAGATGTTATATTTTCTACTCTGATTTCTTCTTTAATCTGTGAGTTATTAAGAAATGTATTTTAAATTTTTCAATAAGTGATTATAATATAAAAATATATTTCCCTTTATCATTGAGCAAACACACAGAATTAGACTATCAAATCAGATGCACACAAGCCAGACATCTAACCCAGTATCACTCTTCTAAGTAATTTTAAGGATACAGGCAAACAAAAGGCTCAAAGAGAGAGGTCCAGGACTGGGTTGTTACTTGTGTCTGTCTTTCCCAGTCAGACATGCTTTTCTGGCCTAGAATAAATGATCTTAATGTGAGGGTCGTGCAGTTTCTCATATAGCTAGATCATTTAAATTATGAAACCTCTGTATTTTATACTTCAAACAGTTGTATAGCTTCATAGATCCTAGGTTCTGCCCTTAGCGAGTGATGTCCTGGTAAGGACATTTCAGAGGCAAGGCCTCCTCTTTGTAAAAAATATTGCTAGCCTATTTACTTTAGAGATAGAGTTGAAAAGATGAGGTCACTATGCTATGTAGGTTATAGGCTTTTTGTTGTTTTGTTATTTTTTAATAAGACAACTCTTCCACTTCAAGTAAAGGAGGTGAATGGCTTCCAGGGCACTTCCCTCCTCTCATTTTGAATCGAATTGCAGTGTGCACTGCATTGTTTTCTTAAACTATTATGAGTTGTCTTTGAGTTTCAATTACTTTCAATAAAAATTGTTGAAATTTTTGAAACAATAAATATATATGTATGTATGTATCTATATAAATAAGTTATACATGTATAAAACTGGATTTTCAAATTGTACTAATTCTTACTAATCCTTCATCAAGATTGTATGTCCCTAACAACTGTAAATTGTTCAATGTTTGCCTTCAAAAATTTTACATGTGGTTTGTATATATTTTGAAGATACATTTTTAGAAGCATAGAAGTTTATAGTAGATTATTCCTTTTGTCATTTTGTAATATTCTCTTTTTACTTATTAGTTTTTATATGTGAGTAATTTTGGATTATTGATTGCTGCCTATAAAATGGCTTATCCTTTTGTTTTCATTTTTCTGTAGGTTTTACATGTGCTTTGCTATATTTTTCAGCCGAACTTAACACCTTTGTTTTTTTAAATAGGTAATTTAATATTCTTTCATTTATTGTAATTACTGATATAATTAATATTAGTTTAATCTCATTTTGTGCTATTTACCATCCTTTTCTGTTTTTCCCTCCGTTTCGGCCTTGAATTGCTAATTTTTTTCATATTATTCTATTTTAGTTTGAAATATAATTTTTAGAAATTGGTATTAAAGCTTTATCATGCAAAACTATTTAATGCTATTTTTTCTTGCATTTTAGTTATTAATATTTTAATCCACTGCCTGAACTTAGTAAGAACTTACTCTAGCTGCTTATTAAACTTTCTTCATCCTTCATCTTATTATTGTTCAGAATTTTAGATTTTCTTATTTTAATTCAAAATAATTATTTTTGAAATATGTACAGTTAAATTTATTATTTTTCATTGATTAACAATGTTGCTTGTAACTGATTATTTCTGTCCTCTCATATATTTATCTTTCAATGTTGTAGTAAAGTTTAAACCTTTTCTCTGAAGGGTTGATGATTGAGTCATCCTGTCAAAATATACTTATAATGGACAGATTAACAGGAGAAAAGGCATGTAAATCGATTAATCTGCACATAGATAAAGGGGTTTTCCAAATATGAGACTCCAGGAAGAGTCAGATGGTTGAGGTTTAAAGAGCACACTCCTCACAGGAGAGAGGAAGATAGGGAATGTAAGTATTATGAGGGGTAGTTAAGTGATTTTCAGGAGAGATATGTGAGCCCAAACAACAGGCAATAGCCAGGGACAAAGTTCCTCTGAGCTCTGGCAGGAGAAGGTGGTGGGAAGGTGAGGGGTGGAACTTAGCCATGAACAAAAGTTACCTTATTATGCAAGTAAAGTATCCCAGGTAACCTCTAGAGCTGTCTCAAAGAATAGCTGGAAAGGCTATCTTAGCATGGTGGCAAAGTTTAGTATTTCCTCTTCTCTGGTGGTTAATCTTTTCTGATAATTTGATAAGAATTCTAGGGAGAAGGTCTTAAGGCAATTGCATTTTTTTGAAAGAAGTTTTTCTCAGACAGATAACTTCCAGAGACAGACACTCCCTGAACTTGGGAGAAAGAAAAAAGAGAAAGCTAGCAAGTCCTTGATTCTCAGGTAGCTTCTAGGCCTTCTAATTGCCTTTAATTTAAAAGTGCTTAGCATGCCAAAGCACCAATTTTGGGTTATTTTTCTCTGTGCCCCAATAATGTTCACTTTGATGAACTGATTTTTGGTGTTAAATACTAATTTTTATGTAAATACCAAAATGTTATTATTTTCCCATGCATGACAGGTAAATTGCATGTTATAAGAGTGTAAGCTGACAACAGTTTTCCCTATATTAAGTTGAAAAGATCTATTTTTTTGTAAGTCAATTTATTTAGGTACATAATTTACATATGAAATTTGACCAATTTTAAATATAAAATTTGATGAATTTGATAAATGTCAAGTAACCATTATCTCAATGATGTGGAATTCCTTTCACTAACTAAAATATTTCCCCTTGTACTCTTTTCAATCAATTGCCAACCCTTACCCTGAGCCTCTAGCAACAGCTGATTTGTTTTCTGTTGCTATAATTTTATGTATTCTATAATTTATCTAAATGAAATTATACACAGGGTAGCCATTTGTGTCTTCCTTCTTTCACTTAGCAGGATGGATTTTTTCCTATCAGTTGTCTATCAGTTATTTGTTTCTTTGTATTGCTGATCAGTGCTCCATTGTAAAATGTAACCACAATTTGGTCATCCATTCACCAGTTGATGACATTTAGGTTGGTTCCAATTTTGGCATTCAATTAATTTTGATATATATGAGGAAAGAAGCAAGGTTTATTTTTGTGCACAGGAATAGTCACTTGTTCTGGTATCATTAAATGAAAAAAAACTTCCTAAATT
Organism: Homo sapiens; assembly: GCF_000001405.40. Lineage (NCBI taxonomy): Eukaryota > Metazoa > Chordata > Mammalia > Primates > Hominidae > Homo > Homo sapiens. Next base: position 11,064,570 of record NC_000009.12, read on the forward strand.
TAATTACTTCGCCCCTAGATCCAATATTAATTTTCTATATACGTGTGGGTTTATTTCTGAACTCCGTTTTGTTTCACTTATCCATATGTTTGTTCTTATGTTCATCTCACACATTTAATTTACTCTAGCTTTAAAGCAGTCTTAAAATCAGGTAATATAATATTCCAAATTTACAATATTAAAAAATGCTTTTGATACAGGAGCTAGAAAGAAATTATTTAGGCAGATAGTAAGGAGAACAGAGTCCTCGGCAGAATTTCCCTTTTAACAAAAAGCAGCCCCCAAATCATTTATTTTCTAACAAAGAGCAGCCTGAAATATCGAGCTGCAAACACCGATAAGCAAGCTGGAAGCTTGCACAGGTGAATGCCAGCAGTTGTTTCAACAGAAAAGGGTTACCTGAGGGCCAGGCATGTTCAACATGGAGGCTCCATCTTCCCTTTTCTTCGTCAGCACATGTACAGTAAAGAAACAGGCAACATGGCGCAGGTCAGGAAGCGAACACGTCTGCGTGATAAAAGATTAGGGTGGGGGCAGCCCCGTTCCCGTGCACTATGCAAATGTACACCTAGTCCTAACAAGTTTTTTGCGCCTTATGCAAATGACACACTTGGTCTGACCAATCTTTTGTGCCCTATGTAAATCAGACACCACTTCCTCAAGCCCATATATAAAACCCTTTGCATTCCACCAGGGAACCAGCAACCCGTTTCTCCAGCACCCCTCTCTGCAGCAGAGAAAGATTTTCTCTTTCTTTTTCTTTTCTATTTATTTATTTATTTATTTTTTTTAGACATTCTTGCTCTTGTCACCCAGGCTGGGTTTCAGTGGCAAGATCTTGGCTCACCGCAACCTCCACCTCCCAGGTTCAAGCAATTCTCCTGCCTCAGCCTCCCGAGTAGCTGAGTTTACAGGTGCGTGCCACCACACCCTGCTGATTTTTGTATTGGCCAGGCTGGTCTCAAACTCCTGATCTCAAGTGATCCCCCTGCCTCAGTCTCCCAAAGTGCTGGGATTACAGGCATGTCATGCCCGGCATGAGATTTTCTCTTTCTTTTGCCCTTTAAACTTCCTCTCTGAACCTCACTCTTTGTGTTCTTCTCCTAGTTTTACGTGGCTGTGAGACAAGAAATTTCATGTATTTATCCCAGACAGTGATGCCACTTCACTTTGACTACTTTAGTTATAAATTTTAGATTCAGCTTTTGTACTTCTATAACAAGAGCTTGTTGGAATTTTGATAGGTATTTTATTGAGCCTATAAATCAATTTGGGAAGAATTGACATCTTAATAATATTGAGTCTTTAAGAACATTGAGTCTGTGTTCATTCATTAAGATCTTCTTAAAATCTTTCAGCAATATTTTATAAATATTAGTGAAAGGTTGTGAATATTTTAAATGTACTACTTTGTATAGAATATTTTTGATGTCTTTTAAATGGTGTTTTAAAAAATATGTTTACTATTACCTGTTTTAGCATCAGAATTTTTACATATTTTTGAAAAATTTTATACAAGGTCAATTGGCTGGCCCATTCTTTGTGTTTGTTTATAGTTTTCTTTCTCTCTGTCTTATTCTTTCTTTCAGTATTTCTTATGTAGCTTTTTTTTTTTTTTTGGCAACTTATCACCCAGGGTCCCCAATGTACAACCCCATTTTGTAATGTTGCTTTGGGTTCTTGTCTTCTTTTGATATTACAGATATAGTTAACTACTGAATGGGGAGATGAGTTCATACTCTCGAGGCAAGCCTGCTTCTTTCCATGTCTTATTGCCTCCTGATACATAGAACTTTCTGTAAATGATAACCAAGCCTATGATTGGACTGGGAATTTTATTTATTCTCCATTGTAGAGCATGGGCCAGCTCCACCCTAAACTCAGATTTCAAGCTTTGAACTTTACTCTTGCACCTCCTATGGAGCATCTTTAGTTTCTGTTGCCTCTAGAATGTCAATATCCCAGCCACTATTGCCTCTCCTTCACAAGGAGCCCAGCGTATCTATAAGTAGCAAAATTCAATTCGTTCTTTGTTTGTTTAGTTGTTGGTCCTCTTTTTCTCTTCTTTGCTCAATTAGGTCTTTTTTGCTTTAGCCATATTTAAAATTACCTGTCATTGGTATGTATTTCTAGCCGAACACTTGTATCAAAGCATGAACTTCTGGCATTGTGCTATCTGTAAGTTCTACTATATAAAATTTCAAAGTTTCTATATCAGATAATTATAGACTATCATTTCTTGAGTTTTAGTAAAGAATTTCTGGTTCAAGTAAAGACATCCAAAATCAAATTAGCCTTGCTTCTGACATCTAATGTTACTTTGAATCCCAGACTCTAAGAAATTATACTCTTATTATTCTGTCTTTTCAGTTGCAACTGTTGAGGCTTAGATAGGCAAGTGATATTCTTTTAAATATCACACAGCTCTTGCTTTATAGAGGAAAGACTAAATGGAATCTTGAGGTTTCCTAGGTGGGTCTGCATGCTATCCAATCAACCCATATCCAGTGACATTCGAGACAGAGCCGTGCCTACTGCAGGACAAAAGAATATAACATCTGGCAATTAATGTCCCCATAATTCTTGAGTATAAGGCAAGAAGATCCATATTTTCCTGTGGAAATCTCGATTATGAGAGACAAATAAATATAAAATATTGAATATTAAAAACAATTTGAATCCCATAATTTTTATGGCCAGATACAAAAAAAGAATATGTATTTTCTAGTTGTATGCAGAATTTGAAATGTGAAAAAAATTCAAACAAAAAGTTATTTGTTTTATAAAACATCTCTAGAGCAATTGGAATGAATGCTTATCCTTGCATTGATTAAGCTCACTTTTTTGGGGTCTTTGTAAAGTCGTAGTTGAAGTTTTAAATTCATCTGAGTTTTCTTTCTTGTTCCATTACTAAAGATGAGCCTTCTTAGTATGCTGCCTTAAATTATCTCTTAAATTGTAATACTTCTTTGGAAATTCTACAATTCTGCATATACAGAGAGAAATGTATTCTGAGAATATAAAATTTCAGAAATATGCTTAAAAAGTAAACATAATTTTGAAAGCTCAAATGTATTAAATAAAAGTAATTGTCTTTAAAATTGACTCCAGTATATTCTATAGAGCACTTTAGTATTATTTGGGTTTTCTCTATTCCATGAAAATGAAGGCTCATGTGTTGCAAATAAAACAAATGACTTACCCAAAATAACTTAGTTGCCATGTCTACACAGTGCATAGAGACTGGCAATTTTTGGTGGAATGTAGGTGGTATGCACAGGCAATCCAGAATATGCTAGCCAACATTTTTTTTTAATATTGTCTCTTTTATTTGGGTAAAAATGGAAACAGAAGGGCAAAACGCTATAGTGGTAATGATTAGAACTTATTAAGTATTTAGTAATTATACATACCTTTATAGTATGACTTAGAATCTTTTTAAAAAATTGAAAGCACATTACTATCTGTTCTTCTTGAGTTTACTATTGATATTCATTGTCACCCTAAGAAAATTTCAGTAGGAAAATTTAAAAAAAAACATTATTTTTGTGTTGATTTAGGGAACACTAATACTTTGACAATGCTTTATGTAACTTTTCCATTATCCAAGCAGCAGAGTAAGCCTGAGTGGGTGCTTAATAGACATGATTAATTGGATGTGTAAGTATCTGTATTGTCATTTATGTTGCTCCCTCTGATTAAAATTCCTTTCTCATTCTAGCCAGCTTAGAAAATGTCTAATTAACTTTTGACACTCAGATACTATTATTAATCTCTCCCTCATACAAATCTGACCACACCTTCCTTTTTGTGCCCAGTTAATCATAAGTGTCTACTGGTGAAAACATTATTTGAAGACAAAAAACATTTCCTTCACTACTATATCCATTGCATGGTTATTGGTACTGTAGATATTAATAGTAGGGAGATACGTCATAAAAAATATCCTTTCTCCTTTACTGTAATTTTATGATCAATAGACACAGACATCTTGGTTGTACATATTGAGTTGATTACACAGTAATTTAAAAAATGGTGTGCTGTTGGTTGAAGTCAAAACATATATTGATTTTGAATGGTTTCATATGTAAAATATATCAACATAATCATAAATTAGATAATCGTGAATGAAATACAATATTCATCAAAATCTCATATAGAAAAAAGTTTTAACAATAATGGGATAAACTATATTCCCACAGGATGTGCAAGATAAGTATACACTTAAATATCTATGAAATAAATTTTATGCAAATGTGACCATGGGACTTCAAAAAATATGCAATTCTTAATTACTTATTATTACTTTATAAATATGCTATATCTATAAAAAATTGGTAAAAGAAAACATTCTAAATAGGTTATCATGTAAGTGCAAATATTTCTTTTTTTCTAAATGTTTGAAGGACCATAGCTTAAGAAATTATGTTAGAAGCCTCAGTAGAATCTTAACTATTTAGTAATTATACATTGTTGTAGAAGTCACAGAACCCTCTGAGTTTCTCTTCCTCATTCTATAAATTTCCAGGGCACTTTTAAGATTAAATGTATGTAGGCACTATTTGTAAAATGTTATATTATTATTATTTTTAAATTCATATCATAGAAAATCATAAATGAATAATTAAGATAAATTTAGTTTAAGCATATTTTATTGTATTTTATGAGGATGACAGATGTTTTATAAATGCCAATAAAATTACATGTTTTAGCCAAGTATGTTTCTAATAATGATAGTAATTTTTCAGTTATGTTTTGCAATTTTTCTTTAGAATGAAAATACTGCTCATTACCTATATTCATCTCAGAAATACAATTTCTAAAGCAATTTTTTGCCATTTTCTTTATTTTTCAGATTGCACCTTACAAATTATATTTTCATGCTCTCTACTAGATAACGATATAACCATAAAAATTTGCAAGGGGAAATTAATAAGTGAATTTATATTCTGTATTAATTCAAGATAAACTTGAAGTCAGTTTTTTTGTGTGCTTTTTGGAGGGGTTTGCCTTATTTTTAAATGTTGAAATCAGTTTGAAAATAATTATGTTCATATACATATTTATAGTTTTGTTACCATATTTATTAAAGGTGAAAAGGGGGCTTTTAACACATCATTTAAAATATAGGATTAGAATTTACATATGTAGTTTTGAAGTGACAATGACTTACTGTATTTTATATCATCCCTTTATAATATCTGACTACATTATTTTTCAGCTAAGATAAAACCATTTGAGATGGACTTTCTATTACAATCATTGATGGTTTATCCATATGTCATCATACTTTTAGGCCATTTCAAACTTGTTAGGCCAGTGTTATTTTAAAATTACAGTGGTAGGCTATATTATTCAGGCATTTTATTCACTACATTTTTATAGGATTGCATTGATTACTTAGACTGCTTTTGTCAATAGTTACAGAAAACTTAAAATGACTTAAAAATAAGAAACTTGATTAGCTCATACAATTGGAATTCAGATGTATAAGAGGCTTTATTTGGATTTAATTCAGCCAGTGTGGTCTCATTTCTCTAATTGTTTGGGTATCTCCCTCCTCTGGGGTATCTCTGTTTTTTTGTTTTGTTTTGTGGTTTTGTGTTTGTGTGTGTGTTTTAGATGAAGTCTCACTCTTTTGCCCAGGCTGGAGTGTAGTGGCATGGTTTTGGCTCATTGCAACCTCCGCCTCCTGAGTTCGAGTGATTCTCGTGCCTCAGCATCTAGAGTAGCTGGGACTATAGGCACATGCCACCAGCCTGGGTAATTTTTGTATTGCCAGTAGAGTAGGGGTTTCATCATGTTGGCCAGGCTGGTGTCAAACTCCTGACCTCATGTGGTCTGCCTGCCTCAGCCTCCCAAAGTGCTGGGATTACAGGCATGGGTCACTACTCTGGGCCCTCTGGGGTACCTCTTAATCATTCATGTTCGTAGAAAAATGGCTCTAGCTTTCCTAAGCCTTTCATTTGCATATCTAGCAAATTAAGACCAATTTATTCTTCCTAACTTTCTTTTAACAGTAAGGACTTTCATCCATAATCTCCAGTATGCTTCCCCTTGGCTGTCCATGACCCCAGCTGGGTCATATGCCCATTCATGAACTAACCTTTAGACTTCAGTCTGGGTATCTGACAGATCATCAACAAAGGAGATGACTGATCATAATTATGTGAGTTTTAATCATGACCTACTGTGTGAGATTGGAACAAAATATAAGCTGTCTTCAAAATATAAAACAGCTGAACAAAAAAGAGAGGCCTACAATGTTATTGGAAAATAACAATACTCTCTACAAGTATTAACTGTTTACAAAATACTTTTACATCCATTATCTCACACTAAATTTAAATGACAGTTCTAAATGCTGCTCCTTTCGCAGTTGCCCTGAGAATACATATGTTAACCCTTCCAACTCTATAATCCTTATCAGCATTATATCCCGTGTAACAGTCTCCTAAATATCTTTGGAGTCCCAGAAAATAGTCATGTGTTTCATCAAATGCCAGGCATCAATATACAACTTGTTTCTGTATTTACTGAAAAATAGTTAAAGAATAAAAGTTAATCTTTCTTTAAAAATTATTTTCATTATTGAAAAAAACAGTAATTCATATAATATTATCCATTAAAAAAATACACTGTTTCAGTATCCTAAGGCTAGGACTTTGCATACCAAACAACCAGACTGAAGCAGAGCTTATTTAATGATTAGAGTCATGTGAAAATCTGGACAGATTTCTACAGCATTCTTTTGGTTGCTAGATATATTTAAATTGGCACAATAGTGGCAAGATCACCTGTGTAGTTTTCTTGATTTATGGATGTACGTAGATTAATATTTTTCCATGGAATCTCACTTTGCTATTTAGTCATTAGAATACATGCCTCTTATTTTATTTTTATACTCCAAACAAATACTCTGAATCACCACCAGAAACAAATGTCTTCTTTATATTATAGGTTTTGCTTTATTTATTTTCTCAAAATAGTAGATTTAGTAAAAGATGCAAACTCAGCTCTTACAATGTGGCACAAAAATAATCCAACTTTGGCCTTAGGGAGACCATATATGCACTAATGTCTGATGATTAAAAACAGCAACAAAATCAACAAACAATTTAGCAATTTTAAGCCTCTTACATTTGTTCAAAATGATTTAACTATCTTATTGAAACAAAATCACTCCAATATTTAAGCCAAAAATTCATATTATTTCTGTATAGAAGAGAAGAACCCAGGGATTGGAGAAACGTTAAATTAATAATAACTCAGTAAAGAATTCTTTTTAAAGAATGAGTATAATAGCCTTCTTCTGTCGCTTACCTAACGAACAACACACAACTGCCCAATCAAAGTCTTGCATATTGAAGATTAAAAAAGAGAAACAAAATTTTCAAACTTGGTAAGGCACGAGTATTTTCTTAATAATAGTTTTCACATAAGAAGGTTATGGTGTATTAGCAAACATCTAACAGTATTTATACTGCTGCTTATTTGAAAAGCAGTGCTACTTTTAAGGAATCAGGTTAACTCTGCTTTTGACTCCTCGTGGTATTGAACTGTCTGTTGGAGATGAAAATTAGTAGTACGTATGCCAAACCATATCTTTCTGTTCCCTGTTATTGGAGGGAAGGACAAGAGCTTCAGAGTGGACTAATTCCTTCTGTTTATCTCAGACTATACTAGGATATGGTTGTAATTTTGACTAATTTGGAGAGGTGGCTGCATCTCCAACTGTTCATTCTGGCATTTATTAAACATTTTACAGTAGTGGCTGCTTCTGTTAGCTGCCTGCCTTGTAGTCTCATCTGTCAGCTCCCATGAAAAATGAATGGCTTGATTTCACACAATGTGTGACTGTCATCACCCTGCCCAAACGTTTTTGTTGTAATCTATGTGATTTCATAGCTGAATTGTTTTTGTTCTTTAAGTGATGTGGGTGTCTGCATGCCAGTGATTTCTAGTTTCAATATTTATTTCATTGGAAGTGGTCACCTATGGTGTTTTCAAACACTTTGACTAGAGATGGGTCAAATACAATTGCAATAATTTAAACCTACATGCAGACAATTATATAGTTTCCAATACAAATGAAAGCATAACTATTTTATTGACATAGTTAATGAATATCCACACTGTAACTTAATTATGGGAAAATCTACATATCCATATGCAAATTTATAATATGTTTTTGAGCAATATAAAGACACATTTGGCCCTCTTTCCCTAGTTGGTGGGTACATAAGAAGAGAGATGTACTGTCCTTAATATAAATGCCTTTAAGGTTTTCCTATATATAAGAGGATTTATTTTTTATATTATATACATATATATTTAATTTTGATGTTTATTGTTTTGCCAAACAACTTTTATTCCACTTCTTTATATTAGTCATCTCCTAGTTTTTTATTACCGGTGTGTTTAGGATTCAGTAATATGCATCTTTGCTTATTATCTTTGTGTTTATTGGTAAAACAATGAGTCGACTTTGTTTTCGAATTTTGTTTTCTATTTTTATTCATCCATTATAGTTTTTTTCTTTTCTTTTTTTTTTTTTTTTTTTTTTGAGACAGAGTCTCATTCTGTCGCCCAGGCTGGAGTGCAGTGGCACAATCTCAGCTCACTGCAAGTTCCGCCTCCCGGGGTCCCGCCGTTCTCCTGCCTCAGCCTCCCGAGTAGCTGGGACTACAGGCGCCCGTCACCACTCCTGGCTAATTTTTGTATTTTCAGTAGAGACAGGGTTTCACCGTGTCAGCCAGGATGGTCTCGGTCTCCTGACCTCGTGATCCACCTGCCTCGGCCTCCCAAAGTGCTGGCATTACAGGCGTGAGCCAACGCGCCCAGCCAAGTTTTTTTCTTTAGTTTCATTAAATATCCAAGTTTTAAAAAAGTTAAATAGTGTTGTAAATCCCTGAACTTATGCATTTTGAGTGTGAAGCCTCTGTGTTCCTGACCTACTTTGCCACGCAGAGACCTGTAGCCAACAGGTGCTAGGCATCTGTGCCTCAACTATTCACAGGCGCTGCTAAATATGTTTTTGACTTTCAATATGTGAAACACTGTTAAATTATGGAAAGACATGGTGATGACGGAATTTTCATTCCCATCGAATTTTCCATTCAAATTTCCCATCAATATTTCAAACAGTATTTTTACTTCTTTTGTAGTTTCACCAGACAGAGCAAGAATCCTGATAAATAGCATCTCCCACTAATGTAGATTGGCTACTGAGTATATCACGTCTTGAAGAAGGTATAAACACAACTCTTGAGGGAGGGAGAACAACTTCCAGTCTAGTTAAGCTAATGTCCATTACAGACATATGATATTTCACAATAAGAGACAGTCTTTATGATGATTGTCCTAATGTCTCCTTTAGGAAAAAAGTGAGACCCATCAAACAAGAAATTGAATGGATAAGATTATGAGATTTTGAATCAATAAATAGACTGCATGTTTAAAAGAAAAAAAAGTCTTTTAGACTCATTATCTAATTATTATCTAATATGTTTTGTAACACAAAATTTATTGCTATAACCAATTACATTGATATACCCAGGCAGGTAAAATGAACTGAAACCACAAGGAAAGGGGATACTTACATCCACATTATGTTGTATGTTTAATGTAAGTGTAGATCCTGGATAGTAGACAGAAATGCCTTTAAGTAAGTCGCTAATATCCTACCTCCCAAAAGCTCATGTTATTTTTTATAGTATCTTCAGATTATGAAATAATTCTGAGAAGGTTGATTTTGTTTGACCTCCCAGCATCTGATGAGTTTTGCAACTGCTGTTTTAAATTAGAATTAAATACATAAACATGGTAAGACATGATGGCAGCCTCTGCATATTCTGCAGAGAATGGTTTAATATGAAGCAAAAAAGAAAACATCAATTTGATTATGAAATAATCATCATTATCACATTTTCTTTACAGGTTACAAAAAAAAGACAAACATAAAATTACATACAATGATTACACTGTCACCACCCTAACCCCCCAACCCTCTCATACAAAGATAAAAAATAAATAAATTTCTTTAGTTGTTTCAATTGCTGTGGAATCATGAAATTTTGTCAAAGCCCAAATGATTTGCCCAAACCCTACATATTGTTTCAAGACCTTGTTTATATTGTACTGGGTTTTGTTGTTGTTGTTGTTGTTGTTTAGGGTCGACAACATGCTATTGGGGACACATAATAGTTGTACATATTTATCAGGTACATATGACATTTTGATATGTATATAGTGTGTAATGATCAAGTCAAGGTGATTGGGAAACCACCCAATTTATCATTCCTTTGTGTTATGAGCATTCCATTTCCAATTTTCTAGTTATGTTGAAATATACAGTAAAGTATTGTTAACTTTAGTCACCCTGTTATGCTACTGAACACTAGATCTTATTCTATGTAACTGTATTTTGTACCCATTAACCACCTCTTCTTTATTCTCTTCCCAGCTTCTGATATCCATCATTCTAGTTTCTATCTCTACGAGTTCAATATTTTTTTGCTCCCACATATGAGTAAGAACATGTAATATTTGTCTTTCTGTGCTTGACTTATTTCACTTAACCTAACTGTCCTCCAGGTCCATCCACATTGTTTCAGAAGACAGAATTTCATTCTTTATTACGGATGAATAATATTCCATTGTGTATTTGTACCACATTTTCTTTATCTATTTAAACATTGATGGACACTGCTTAGGTTAATTTCATATCTTGGCTATTGTGAATGGTGCCACAGTAAACAAGGGAGTGTGGATATATCTTCGATATACTGATTTCTTTTTTGAGGGGTATATACCCCACAGTGAGATTGCTAGATCATGTGGTAGTTCTATTTTTAGTTTTTTTTAGGGACGTCTACAGTATTCTTTATAGTGGTTGTACTAATTTACATTGTCATGAACAGTCTGCAAGAGTTCACATTCTTGCCAGCATCTGTTACTGCCTGTCTTTTTGATAAAAGCCATTTTAACTGGGGTGAGATGATATCTCATTGTAGTTTTGCATTCTCATGAGAGAAATGCAAATGCAAATGAGTGATGTTGAGCATTTTTCCATGTTGGCCATTTTTACGTCTTCCTTCGAAAAATGTCTCTTCAGGTATTTTGCCCATTTTTAAACTAGATTATTATTATGTTTTCATATTGAGCAGTTTGAGCTCCTTATACATTCTGATTATTAATCCTATTAGATGGGTAATTTGCAAATATTATCTCTCACTCTGTGGGCTGTCTCTTCACTTTACTGATTGTTTTCTTTGCTTGATGTGATCCTTTTTGTCCATTTTTTTTTTCATTGCTTGTGCTTTTGAGGTCTTACTCAAGAAACTTTTACCCAGACCAATGTCCTTGAGTGTCACACCAATGCTTTCTTCTAGTAGTTTCATGTCCTAGGTTTAGGTCATTAATTCATTTTAACTTGACTTTTGTATATAGCAAGGTCTAGTTTCATTCTTCTGCATATGGACATCCACATTTTCCTGCACCATTCACTAAAGAAACTGTTCTTTCACCAATGTATGTTCCTAGAAGCTTTGTCAAAAATGAGTTGACCATAAATGTATGGATTTATTTCTGGGTTCTCTATTATGTTCCATTGGCATATGTGTCTGTTTTCATGTTGGTATCATGCTGTTTGGGTTGATATAGCACTGAAGTATAATTTTGAGTCAGGTAATGTGGTGCCCCCAGCTTCGCTCTTTTTGCTCAGAATGACTTTGGTTATTCTGGGTCTTTGATGGTTCCATAAAATGATATAATTTTTTTTTCTATTTCCATGAAAATGTCATTGGTATTTTGAAAGATATTGCATTGAATCGGTAGATTGCTTTACATACTAGGGATATTTTAACAACATTGATTCTTTCAATCCATAAGCCTGGAAACTTTTTCTATTTTTTTTTTTTTTTGCCTTCTTCAAAGTTTTTAATTCATGTTTTATAGTTTTTATTATTTTTATCTTCCACATCTTTGGTCATGTTTATTTTTATGTATTTTATTTTATTTGTAGCTATTGCAAATGGGAATATTTTCTTGGTTTCTTTTTCAGATTGCTCACCATTGTCATGTAGAAATACTACTGAATTTTCTATGTTGATACTATGTCCTACAACTTTATTGAATTTATCAGTCCTAATGTTTTTGGTGAAGTCTTTAGGTTTTTCTAAATATAAGATTATATCATTTGCAGACAAGAATAATCTGACTTGTTTCTTTCCAATTTGGATGCCTTTATTTCTTTCTCATGTCTAATTGCTCTGGCTAGGACTACCAGTACCTGTTGGATAACAGTGGTGAAAATGGCCATCCTTGTCTTGTTCCAGATCTTAGAAGAAAGTCTTCTAGTCTTTTCCTATTCAGTGTGATGCTAGCTGTGTGTTTCTCATATATGGCTTTTATCATGTTGAGGTATGTTCCTTCTATACCCTGTTTGTTGAGAGTTTTTATCATGAAGGAAGGTTGAATTTTATTGACTATTGTTCGGCGTCTATTGAAATGTTCATATAGTGTGTCCTTCATTCTGTTGATGCCAGTATCACATTTATTGATTTGGATATGTTGAACTATCCTTCCATCTCAGGGATGAATCTCTTCTGGTCCATGGTGGGTCTAGAAACATCGGCCAGGGGCTAAGGCCTGGAATTAGGGGCTTTAGGAATCTACTTGGTGCTTTATTTTACTGCAGCTGAGCTGGTACCAAGTTGCAAGACAAAGTCCTCTGTATTCTTCCCTATCCTTTCCCCAAGTGAAAGGAGTCTCTCATAGAGTGGCCCTGCTAGAGTTGGGGGAGGGGTTATGCAGGCACTCAATATCCCCTATAGCTGGTGTTGAACTGGACTGCACTCAAGTCCCATTGCCTCCAAGACCAGTGTGGCCCCAGGACTTTCCCAAGGACTGGAGTCCTTGTAGCTTAACTTCCATTCAAATGCATTCAGGGCCCCAGACCACTTTACTTAGCTGGTGGTGAAGTCATCCAAGGCTTGAGTTCCTCCTGCTTAGGCAGAAGATTCCCCTCTGGCCCATGGCTGGTCTAAATGCTCATTCTGTGGGCACTGGCAGAATTCTGTCTTGTGTTGTGTTCTGCTGTGAAAGGGCAGCCCTGAATTACAATGCAAAGTTCCACAGTACTTTGCTCTTGAAGCACACAGATTCTCTCCATACAGGGCTTCCTGAGACTGGGGGAGGGGTGGTTTAAGCAGTGCCAGGTTAACTTTCCTACTCTCTTCAATGTGCCTTTCTTTGTTACTATGTTAAAAGCAGGTACTATGATCATTCACCTAATTGTTTGGTTCTTATGAAGCTGCTTTCTTGCGTGAATCGTTGTTCAGTTTGGTGTTCTTGCAGGGGGATGATACCTAGAGAGTTGTATTTGGCCATCTTGCTTCCCATATTCTACTTTTTGATGAATCTCCCTTTACTAGGGCAACTTTTCTAGCTCTCTTGTACCTCTGATTATTCTTTCAATTTCCCTCCTAATCATAGGATATTGCCTTTACATATGTGTAGTCTTAGTATTTACCATGTCATTCCCAAATAGACACTAACTTTTGTAGGGGAATGAGCTATGTCACATATGTCTTTTGTCTTTCCACACTGCCTCATAGAGTGGCAACCACATAGAAAATAGAAAGTTAAGAAAATATTTGAATGATTTGCTGATTGCTTGATAAAAATTTATGTACACATATTTCATATGTTAACCAGTTATGTTAACAGTATGCTTATAACTTACATTTGACCATGAAGTCTCAAGTAATATCACACTCTATCATAAAGTGTAAATGGGAAGATCCTCTGGCAAAATTATAAACATCTCTATTGTCATCACATAAGAGACCCTAAAATCCTGTGGCTAACTTCTTATTAATAAACTTGATGACAATGAGCTTCACTTCTACCTTCAAATGGAGAAAATATAAAGGAAAAAAGGCTTCCTTCTTTTCTCTGGTTTCTATATTAACTGTTGTATATTTTCCCAGGAAAGTTTTTCAAAGCCTCTAACTTTGTGGATAGTATTAGACTAGAATATGTGAATTATTGATCCCATGGATAACAACCTTAATGTTCTAATTAAAAGTTTATGGCTTGAGATTATGTCCTTTGCAGGGACATGGTTGGAGCTGGAAGTCCTTATCCTCAGCAAACTAACGCAGGAAGAGAGAACCAAACACCACATGTTCTCACTCATAAATGGGAGCTAAACAATGAGAACACATGGACACAGGGAAGAGAACAACACACACTGGGGCCTGTAGGGGTGCAGGGGGAAGGAGAGCATCAGGATAATTAGCTAATGCACTTGGGGCTTAGTACTTAGGTGATGGGTTTATAGGTGCAGCAAACCACTGTGGCACACATTTACCTATGTAACAAACCTGTACGTGCTGCACATGTATCCTGGAACTTAAAGTAAAATAAATAAATAAAAGTTTATGACTAATTCTTGCACACTTAATACCTTTCTTCATTTACATATAGTTTATAACTTGTATCTTAACATACTGTCTCCCTCAGCGTTGTTATACCAATGTGGTATCAAAATAAATATTTATTCAGCTATTCCCTTCCATATACCTTTAAATGCTTACCTCTACTATTTTCTTTTTCCACCATTTTTATCCTTTTTTCTTTACTTTTTGTTTCTCTTTTTTGCTCTTTTACCTTCTTTATTTTTTTCTTTTACCATATGTTATAAACCTATTTAGTGCAAATCCTGTCTGGTCTTCCCATGAAGTAGCCATTCTTTTATTTCTTTACTTTCTTTAAAAACAAAAACAAACAAACAAAAACCATTTAGTGCAAATCCTGATGTTAAATTTCGAAATGGTTCAATGTCAATTGTGTGGATTCTGCCCTTGAGGTGCTGTCTGGTAGAACAGATGGGGCATACATATAAATTAAATAATAATACAAATTATCAGTAATGAATGCCATGAGAAATTGCTGATAAAGAATTTCCCACATACAAACCACCCTTTTACAATCTTTCTAATCATAACTTCCTGTTTACTAAACTACATGATTTATTTTGCTTTTGCATATTTTCACAAAGATTCCTTTCCTTTATTGTTAACTGAAAATTTCTCAACAGTTAGAATAAGACATGAGAATCTGTGAAATATTTAAGACTGAGGTCTTGAAATATCCACATTTTATCTGAGATGGTAATGGTATCTGTGTTTAAAAAGGTTTCAATCAGAAGGAGGCATCCCTGTCCAAAGGCTATTGCATTGGTGCAGCAGAAGAAAATAAGCAACTCAGCTAAAGTATATAGTAAGGAGAGAAAATAATATATTATAATATATTGGGGCTAATTTGAATAATAAATGTAAAATAGAGTAATTTTTCTCCTTTCTTCCTATATAGTTTTCTCATCCAAAGGCAAAACTCCTTAGAAGGAAGGAGTGGATGTGACATATCTGAAAAGAAAGCCAAGACTTAAATATGTTCAAGACTAACGGACTAGTGCTGATGAGCAGAATGGTGGAAACATAAAAAAATGTCTGCTAGCAATCTTCTGTTCAGTATAGCTTCTCTCCCACTCGATCCACGTGATCATTGTGGAGCTATTATCTCTGAGCAATGCCGCTCTGCCCATACAACCACACTCAATCTGTTCAAAGATGGGACGCTCAACCAAGTGTGCCGAGGTCCTCCCTGATGATTAGCATATGGATATAGAACCATTTTCCACCTTTGGGTATCTATACTAAAAGATGAAACCTGTTTTTGCCAATGGGTTTATGAGAATGAAGAAAGTAAGGCACATAAAAAAAATAGAACAATTACTGCTGGTAATAGGATCCCATGCTATGCCAAATGGGGTCATAAAAAAGGGAGGGAGAGGTGGAGGAGGCAAGGGCAGCTTGGATATAGGAATAAATTATATCTCACAGTTTCTTCAAGATACATTTATTTATTTATTTATTTTTGAGACAGAGTCTTGCTCTTGTCACCCAGGCTGGACTGCACTGGCACAATCTCAGCTCACTGCAACCACCGCCTCCCAGGTTCAAGCGATTCTCCTGCCTCAGCCTCCTGAGTAGCTGGGATTACAGGCATCCACCACCAAGCCTGGCTAATTTTTGTATTTTGAGTAGAGACAGAGTTTCACCATGTTGGCCAGGCTGGTCTCAAACTCCTAACCTTAAGTGATATGCCGGCATCAGTCTCCCAAAGTGCTGGGATTACAGGCATGAGCCACCATGCCTGGCAACATCTGTATACTTATGATAAATTCCTCTTACTTCCTTAGACAAAATCAAGATGTTTATTTGTGGCCGGGCGTGGTGGCTCACCCCTGTAATCCCAGCACTTTGGGAGGCCGAGGTGGGCAGATCACGAGGTCAGGAGATCGAGACCATCTTGGCTAACACGGTGAAACTCCATCTCTACTAAAAGTAAAAAAAATTAGCCGGGCATGGTGGAGGGCGCCTGTAGTCCCAGCTACTCAGGAGGCTGAGGCAGGAGAATGGCGTGAACCTGGGAGGCAGATCTTGCAGTGAGCCGAGATCACGCCACTGCACTCCAGCCTGGGTGACAGAGATGTTTATTTGTGTTTTAATTATCTCCCTACTCTGTATAGGCTGTGAAATTATTTTGAGCAGGCATAGTGTGTACTGAACATACCTGATTACATTGAAGAAAAGGTCCTGTTAAATAAATTTTTTATAATTAAATAATATCTATTTGGATGACATATAGAAAAGAAAAACACAGCTGCCATATTCAAATACAACAAATATAACTTATTTTTAATATAAATTAGAGCCAGAAAATTAGCCCATGATGAACTTAGAAAGGTGTTGCAAAATGTGGCATAATTTGTCTTTTTTTTCTGTTATAACCATGCCTAATCATAATAAGCTAGAGGCTTTAGTAAAGTTTTTTAATATAAATTGAATTAATATGGTTTTAGTTATAAAAGAACATTTCATAGTTTTCCTGAGTCTGTACATATTCCATATTCTCATATATTATCTATCGCCATTGATCTTTTAAAATTTTAAATAATTTAATTCTGGAACATTTCAAAATTGTCAAATCTCACAGATTATTTTAACTAGTAAATTTTCCAGTAAATTAACTAGTAAATTTTCTAGTAAATTAACTAGTAAATTTTCTAGTAAATTAACTAGTAAATTTAACTAGTAAATTTTCATCAAAACTGTCAAATTATAATCTTATAAAATATTATAGTTCTCTTTGGAAGATTTATTTTCATGAAGTAATCATGTTGATTTTTATACAAAATATGTTTATTTTTTTCTTTGTTTAGCAATAATCATTGTGTTACTAATAACTTTCATTCAACCTGTTTGCTGTTCTCTGGGTTTGTTTATATAGTGAAATGAATATATTTCTATAAAATATTATATATTAATATGGGTTGGGGGGATTTACTTCTCACTCACAGGAGTTGGGTCCATAAATGTTTGAGGAACATATGATGACGAGGAGCAAAAATTAGGACCTAAGCCCTAACTCTAAAGACAAGCCTAACCCCTAACTCTCAAGACAACTTAAAGATTCTCAAAGTCAGAAAGTGAAAGTGGAGATATCATGAGGAAGAAGTTGATGGGGGACACAAATAGTTTTTTTTTTAAGTGGACTGGAGTTGAGTCAGTAGCCATAGATTCACAGGTTATCCTCTTGTGGATTCTATCACCAGTACCCAGTTCCTGCACAACACATCAACTGGAATCCAGAAACCATTAAGCCCTCACCTGAATGGTCATATGGTGTGTGTGTCAAAGAACCATTAGTTTTCTTTCTAGGTGGCCTCATGAAGATCCTCTTGGTAACAGCCAAAAAGTCACATGATGTTATTGCCTTGTTAGAGTGATGCTTATTGGTAGCTTTAGGTCTAACTAGGCCCTGTTGTAGGCTAAAAAAAAGTTCCCAAAGCTATACCCACCTTCCAATCCCTCAAACTTGTGATACCCTTATTGTGGAAAAGAGTCTTTGCCAATGTAATTAGTTAAAACTCTTAAGTGAGAGAATAATCCTGGATTATTCTGGTGGGCCCTAAATAACATGACAAGTCAAAGAGAAAGATAGAGAGAGACAACACAGACACACAGAGCAGAAGGCATTGTGAGGATGAAGGCAGGGATTGAAGGGATATAACCATGGGCCCAGGAATGCCAGCATCCCTCAGAAGATGGAAAAAGCAAGGAACACATTCTCCTTTAGAGCCTTCAGAGGAAATGTGGCCTTGTGGACACTTTTTTGGACTTCTGACCTACAGAACTTAAGAAAATAAAGTTCTATTGTTTCAAGCCATTGAGTTTGTGGCTTTTATCTCAGGATATTACCTTTCCAATATCATATATATATATAATCGCCTACTTTATATGTAACCTATTACAGTATCTATAGGTAACTAATATAGCTACCATGTCTGTCTATTCTGGCATTCCTTTAGATAGTCACCTGAGACTGTGTAATTTATAAAGAAAAGAAGCTTAATTTGGCTCATGGTTCTGCAGGCTGTACAGGCAAGGCGCCAACATCTGCTCAGCTTCTGGTGAGGCCTCAGGGAGATTTCAATAGTGGCGGAAGTTAAAGTGTAGCCAGTGTATCACATGGTGGGAGGAGGAACAAGAGAGAGAAAGGATAAGATAGGCTCTTCAAACAACCAGATCTCACTTAAATTCAGAGAAAATACTTACTCATTAGCCTGGGAGTGGCACTAAGCCAGGGATCTGCACGTATGATCCAATACCTCTCAGTAGGCCCCACCTCCAACATTGGGGATTACATGTCAACATAAGATTTGGAGAGGACAACACATTCAAACCATATCAGCCCCCATCCTACTTTTGCCCATGTTGATAGCTTGAGATAAAAGGTGGAGTCCTGGACATCTAGTGGAATGGTTGTATAAAACACAAATTGCCAAACACCTGAACATATATGAAAATGAATGTCACCAACTCAGGATCTTTCTCTGAGCTAGAATAGTGGTCAAATGCACTTCTTGGATAAATATATAAATATATAACAGATGTGTATGTACATATATATGAATATAAGTATTGCATGTTTGTTTAGAGGGAGCAAAAGAGCACATTTACTTTTCATTCTCAAGGTTAAAGATATGAACAATTTCTGTTTAGTACATTCTAATTTCTCTGTAACTGTATTGCTCTTTACCCATTTGAAGGGAAGTTAGGAAAGTATGCTAAAAAACTGAAAAACTGAAACTTTTTTTTTCCTCTTCATTTCTGGATGTATTTAGATTGAAAAGACAGTGCAGTAAAGAGTAGAAAAAATAATCTACCCTTGGCACCTAAACACTCACAATTTAAGACAATTATATACCCCAGGATGTTTTTAAAGAAAGACTCACCTGAAATGGATATTCCCAAAAAGAGGTTACTGATAGTATAGTTAATTATCCAGTCTAAAATGTAATAGTTTCACATCCATGTTATGTATGTCATGTATTACCAGAGAACATTTCAAAACACTCAAGACTGTAGCATGCTTTCTATTTAGGTGCCATATGCACAATCTACAATCTTTGTTGAGAGCCGCTTGCTTTCATATAGTTAAAAGAAACACAGAAAGTGCATGTCTTTCATCCAAAGCGAGGTTCAGGGCTCGATTTCACCAGTCACCTACCAGTGAAACCACTTGGTGGCATGCCTTTCCCTAAATTTATACAGAATTCCAAGCATAGATTAAAAATTTTGCATCTTGATTTCATGAATGTGAATAGTTAAAGAGTCAGGGCATATGAACACATTATAAGAAAAACCTAAAGAAATGTAGCAAAGTCTTTTATTTTTTATTTCAACATTAAAGCAAATACCACCTGTGCAGTAAAAAATGCCCACATTCTTAACATACTGAGAACTGTGAGAAGTCAAGCAGGTGCTGAGAAGAAAATAGTAAAGAAAAAAAATATGTTTCTTAAAATAAAACATTTACCTTCAAGTTTTTAACATCCTGTTTATTTCTCTTCATGTTAAGTTATAACAAGTATCACGTATATTGTTGAGAAATATTTTTCAAAAGAAGGACTAGAAGACCACAGAATTATGACCTATAGAAAATGACAAGAAATAGATGGAAGTTTGGTTTTTTTTTTTAGAGGCCATTATGTAAGGAAGAAAAAATTGTGAGGTGGTTATTATCTTGGAACCAAGGCGATTGCAGAAATTAGCCAGTGGAAGAATCAGAAGTTTATAATGATTGTGAAATATTGTAGTTCAAGAAACCAGGTGTAAACATACAGTGAAACGTGTGCTGCAGTTGCACCGACAGTTTGTCTCCTTAAAGAGAACCTCTTAAGGGACCTCTAGCTAAAATAAGAATTGTCTTTTAGGAAGGATACCAGGGGAAGAGTTGTCAAAATGCAGGATGACCCATAGTTATTTCAAATAAACAACAAATAATTTTCTACCATAACTTGTCCCAAATCTTGCACTATTATGCTATATTTATGCTAAACACTCGATTGATTGTTTATCTAAATTTCAAATGTAACTGGATGCCCTGTACTTACATTTGCTAAATCTGTCAACCCTAACAAGGTGTCTTAGATACTTCAAGGTAACAGGAAAAATGAGAAACAGGATTTGGAAATATCACAGGAAACAATAAGTTTACATTGACTCTCTCAGTGATTCTCTCTCTCTATTTAATCTCTGTCTCCTCGCCTCTCTCTTTCATCCAGAACTTATTTATTCATTTTTTCTCTCTAGTTTATTCATTTTTTCTCAATGTAGAACAATTTTATCTTTTTTTTTACATTTATTTTTATGCATGCTATAAAGAAGCAAGTTGTAGCCTAGGCAAAATAGTGAGAGATCGTCTGTACAAAATGTTTTTAAAAAATTAGGTGGGTGTGCTGGCATGTGCCTGTAGTCCCAGCTACTGGGGAGGCTGAGAAGGGAGGATTCATTAAGCCCAGGAATTAGAGATAACAATGAGCTGTAGTCATGCCACTGCACTCCAGCCTGGGTGAAAGAGTGAGACTGTTTCAAAAGAGAAAAAAAAAAAAAGGAAGGGAGGAGGGAGGGAAGGAGGAAGGAAGGAAGGAAGGAAAGAAGGAAGGAAGGAAGGAAGGAAGGAAGGAAGGAAGGAAGGAAGGAAATTGGCCCACTTTTGCAGTTTTGGTTATTATCTACTTTCAGTTCAAATCAATAGCCACCAGGGTTTCTAGGTGACTTCATCCGGTGTCTTCTCAATAGATGCTATAGAAGCAGCCTTAGAAAAGAAATACAAATGGAGGAGGGAAACTGAGTAACATGGCTATTTAAGCCACAGTTATAAATCATGTCTTCAAGGATTATTAGCTTAAATATCACAAATTTACAAGATTAATTGAAAATATGAGTACACAAAATAATCTACACTGCAAAACTCCAGTTTGCACATATACAAACACAACTACATTCACACAAATTTAAAAAATTCGAAAATATTTCCAAGCACGGTTGTGGCGATGATGAAAATTTTATCTTCTTTGTATATTTTTATATTTGCCAAATTTTCTTCAAAAAGCCCTATTTACCTAAAGAACTCATGGCATCAAAAATTGATAAGTGGAAGGAACACATGTCTTCTAAGAATTATGAGTGCAAGAAGGTTGTTTAGTAACCCAGGAGATTACAAATATTTCCCTTAATATGAACTGCAAGCTCTTCAGTCTGGAAAGTTCTGAAAATTTGCTCCAGAACACAATGTTTTAAAGGGAGAGAAATTAGAAAGGACAATACTTAAGATATTTTGAGAAAAAGTAATATATAAGGGAAAAGTGAGATATTTAAGCAAAATTACAGTATTTTAAATTATCTTTTAATTTAATTCAATTTCTATATCCTATACACATATAAACAGGGCCTGAAATTGGGAGGCATGTACCTAACCTTAAATGCAAAAATTAAAGAGCTAGATAAATACTTAAGGCCATATAAGGTAATGAGTCTTATAAAGCTTTTGTTATGTGTTCACCAATATTATCAAGTCTTTTTTGTTATCATTTTTGGAAACATCTACAGCTTTAATCTTCTGACAACCTTTTCACTATTTGTTAAAAATTTATTTTCTAACAAGCTGTCTTGTCCATATATTTTTCACTTTAACCTTCTGTCTTCTGTTAAAATAACAATTTGCCTAGGCATTTAGGCTAAAACTTGCAGCCCACAGTGAATGAGTCACCAAGTTCTTCCAATTCTTTAAATTGCAACTTGAATCACTGTGTTGATCTCTGTTTCTGCTGTCACTTTGTATGTCATCATTATATCATCATGGTTTTATGTTTAGATTATTTAATTATTTAAAAAGTAGTCCGACTCTCAGCTTGCTTTTAAATTTTGAAATTATTTTGAACATCGTTTCCTGATTATCTTCTTAAAACACTACTTTGTGTATGTATTAGTCCATTCTCATGCTGATAATAAAAACATACCCTAGACTGGGTCATTTATAAAGGAAAGAAGTTTAATTGACTCAGTTCCACAGGGCTGGGGAGGCCTCAGGAAACTTACAATCATGACAGAGGTGGAAGCAAACATGCCCTTCTTCACATGGCGGCAGCAAGGAAAAGTGCAGAGTGAAGTGGGGGAAAGCCCCTTATAAAACCATCAGATCTCATGAGAACTTACTATCACAAGAACAGCATGGAGGTGACAGCCCCAATGATTCAATTACCTCCCATCGGGACCCTCCTATGACAAGTAGGAATTATGAGAACTACAGTTCAAAATGAGATTTGGGTGGGAACACAGCCAAATCACACCAGTGTATAAGTAACTATGACCCCAAATTGTTCAAGTCAAAAATAATGTGAGAATCTGCCCTTTACTTAGTACTTGATGAAAAAAATAGTTCACAAAGAGAGTTTTAAGAAATCTAACACATTGTTCGTTACCATTTTTTTCTGCTTGAAACACTTTTTGTTTTATCTTTATTTCTTACAGCCCATCATTTCTTCAAGGTCCAATTAAATTTTTGGGTGTTCCATGACACCTTACCTTAGTCCCAAATGATGATGGTTCTGTGACCATCTGTGATATAACACATGAACTCTTTACAACAGAGTGATAACTCCTTACTCAATGTATAAAGTGCAGATTTTGATCAACATTTCCAAGACGGCAATGTAAAGAAAAATAGGTAGTTCAATGTTTCTTGCAGTTTATGAGCTAAAGTTACCCATTGTTCAGAAGTGAGCCATCCAATTCATCTTCTGGGAAACAGATGAAATCAACACCTTAATGTTAAAAAGGCTCTCACTTTTGTATGGAAAACTAATAATTTTCTCTTATATGCTTTGTTTCTAAGGCAATGTCAAAAAGTTTTATGTCAAAAAGTTTCTAAACTCTATGAAATGTATAGTTGCAAAAGCCTAGAAACTTCGTTCAGAAATATAGGTTAATTTAAAAATAGAAACTAATATTATCTCTTTTAAGAAAAAAAGCCAGAGATAATCTACAAATCTACATATATCATAATTAACTACAACTATACTCAAGCACTATAAATCTTATTCACACAAAAGATATAATAGCATCTAATTCCTTGGAGTTACCTGTGAGTCATTAAGTTGCACAAAGAACTCCTCAAATATGAGGCTTGTAAAAAGTTCCTTTAAGTAAAACACACACACACAGGCAGACTAAAACACACACACATACACACACACACACACAATTTTCTTCCAGAAGTTTTTTATTTCTTCATTGGAAACAAATTTTTTTCTTATAATATTTTGTACTTAAGCTTACCATGACTGAGAAATAATTTTTTTCAGCTAGTTAGCGCTGATGATGTCATCTGGGGGAATAATTGAACCAAAATACTTGAACACCTATTATATGAGAGTTTCATATCAAACAACTACAAATGATTGAGGGAAGAAAATCATAAACATTATTAGAACTTTAATTTCAAAAAATAGAAATTCATGAAATTAAGAATACATTGAATTTTAATTTCCAAGAATGCATATTTGGAAATCATATTTTTGAAAGAATAACTTCAATGTTATAAGAGAAATCTAGTGATAAGTAGCTACTTTTGAAATATGAGTTTTATATATATTATAGAGCCTTGATTTTATACAGGACTGAAATATTCTTGTGCTGTCAATTTTCAGATTCTGCTAGTTAAAATGAGGAAAGTGCAGCTGGTCATAGTCATTCTCTTATTAGGTAAGAAAATTATTTTTCCACAATAATCTTACTTAGTCTAATCCAGATTTGAGCTAAGAAATGGAGCTGAGAGTGTGCATTTTAGATTAAGGTTTGGCACAGTGTTATTCAACTATGCTTTGGGTTTACAGATTGGCAGCTATTCCCATTATCACTGTAGGAACAAGCAATGGATAAAGAAGTTAGGGCTGAGTGTGGAGAAAAAGAAGTCTAGGTCTTAAAGGAATATGAATGGTATGCTAAAAAGCTAGCACTTTACTCTGAAGTCATTCAAGGTTTCTGAGCAGGATGATGTGACCTAACATTGCTGTCCTATGATGCACTGCTCTATGCCTAGTCAAAGAGAAATTTTAAAGATAATTCTCGTAACAGGAAAGCTTTCTTCTCCTGTTTACTAAGCATCAATGATGAAGCTTCATTATTTGTCAATTCCACAGGAAAAACTGTCAAATTTACTGTCACCTTCAGCCTTGTCATTCTATAAATATTTTCTTTTGACAAGGAGATACATATGTAAAGAAGAGCAGTGCTTTTCTGCTGGGCTCTGCAAATATACTAATACACCATAATATTTAATTTGACAGTATAAAATACAATTGAAGCTTTATATTTAACATCAGTAAGAAAAATATTATATCCAGGAAGAAAAAAGAATAGCTTTGTTTGTGAAAATATGTTTTCTAGGGATCTCCTTTTTTTGAAAGATAGGAGAAAAACGTGATCAGCCAACCATTCATCAGGGACTTATTTTGTTGGAGGATACTCTAGGTGTTTTGTTTCTACTTCCTCTTCCTCCTCCTACAAACATTTAGCTATTTACTCAATGTACTTGTAGTAAAAAGAAACAACACACCAATGAGTCCACTTATTCTACTTTTTCCCTACTCTGGCTAAAGTATCGTAGAAGAGAAGTATGAATCATTTAGAGTGAACATCTGGGGCTTTGTTTTTCCAGGTTTTTGCTGTCCCCCATTACTGGGGAAAAGAGAATTGGCTTCAAGTATCCCTGGGCATCAGGTATTTCCAAAGAAAAAGAAACTAGATATGCAGCTCCTAGATATTAGAAGCTAGTAAATAACAGGGAAGATTTTATTATAGGACAAAAAACAATGCAGGATATATGTGGTAAATATGTAATTGGCAAATAAAATCGTTCATTTTAAAATAGTCATGCAATCAGTAAGCAACTAAAATTTTATGTCAAACTTGAAATTCTTGCACCAGTTCTCAGAATCAAATATTAATGATTTACGCGACCATCAGTATTCTGACTAGTCCGCTCTCTAATTAAAGATAAAGCTTAGCATCTACTAATGTCTTTCATAATTAGAAAAACTATTTAAAGGGAACTTATCTCTTGCATCTAAAATCTTACTACCTAAATTCAAAAAAAATCATGGACAAAATATAGGCAGTGGTTTAATCCACATGTAAAGTAAAATGTTCTCACCAGTTAGTGAATTTAAAATATTGCTTGACACTAACAGAGAAAAGCGATAATTTGAAACTGAGTTTGAAATTCAGACTAACTTGATTTTAACTCTTTCTTACAAATTATGTAATCTTGAGTAAATTATTTAACCTCTGTGACCAATTGTTTCTCCTCAGTGGGAATAATATAGCGTAAGGTTTTTGTGATCCTTACATGCCACAATGTACATAAATAACACTATATTATATACATTGGTTTATTTCCTTCCTGTTAAAATACAGATTTTATAACTGCATACTGCAGGGTAAAATTTATGCTTTGTGTGGAAAAAAGTACTCTTATGAAACTTGATTCATATTTTCTATTACTTCTTTCTTTACACGTAGAATATTTTGCTGGAACATATAAAGGAATCTGCTGACATCCATTCCATTCACTTTCTATTATAACTTTTGTATTCTCAGAGTACACACTCATGGGAGAAGTATACTCCCCAGGAGGCTATCTATTTGTGAGCAGATGCAACATCTTATTTCTCACTAAATGAAAATCATGTAAATATAAAGATGAAATACATGTTGTTCAAGGTTAGCTACCTGAAAAGGTCATGGACACTCACTGTACTCCTTTTTCTTTTATGTATATACCTTACTAGTTCTGACTTCAGCTTCTGACTTTGGAATTTACTGCATTAAAAAAAAGAAACTTGATGTCTTCCTCTTAAAACCACACTGTTTGCATTACTGCTGTTAGTATTAACTAACTGTTTTAGCAAGCACCTCCTGATCTCAGTGACTTAATATGATTGTTGCTTATTTTTACTGATATTACAGTGTGTGTCAGAAAGCTTTCTTCCAACTGGAGACTCGGGAATCCAGTATGCTTCCATCTGATACATCTGGCATCTTCATCGTAAGACTTTCAAAATCTATGTGGACAAGATAATAGAATGTCAAGTATCAAGCATGGTTTTCAAGGATGTGCTTGTACATGATAGGCATTAATTTGGCCAACATAACTTTGGCCAGAACTTCATCACATGACCCCAACATAACTACAAAGGATGTAGGCAAATGTAGCCTTTATGTATGCCAGTAGGGAGATCACATATTTGGTGAAAACACAGTATTGTCTCTGCTATGCTATCTAAATTGATGTCTGTGCTCCTTTAGGTATGTGTGCTCCATGAAGTTTATTTATTTATTTTTTTCTGAGATGGAATCTCACTCACTCACAATCTCGGCTCACTGCATACTGGGTTCAAGTGATTCTCCTGCCTCAGCCTCCCGAGTAGCCGGGATTACAGGTGCGTGCCACCATGCCCGGCTAATTTTTGTATTTTTAGTAGAGACAGAGTTTCCCCATGTTGGCCAGGCTGGTCTCAAGCTACTGACTTCAAGTGATTTGCCCACCTTGGCCTCCCAAAGCGCTGGGATTACAGGCGTGAGCCACTGCGCCCAGCCAAATGTGCATCACTAGTGTCTAGAACAGGGCTGTAATATGTATGTGGTATATGTAAAATAATGAAATACAAGCTACAAGTAAAACAAAAGATAATTGTGTGGCAATCAAAGGAAACACATATTGTTGTGTCCAGTAATATAATTATATAAATGCTAGAGTTTAAAAATTCTCATCTAAAAAAAAAATGCACTACTTTTTTTTTTTTTTTTTTTTTTTTTTTGAGACGGAGTCTTGCTCTGTCGCCCAGACTGGAGTGCAGTGGTACGATCTCGGCTCACTGCAAGCTTCGCCTCCCGGATTTATGCCAGGCTTCTGCCTCAGCCTCCCGAGTAGCTGGGACTACAGGCGCCCGCCACCACGCCCGGCTAATTTTCTGTATTTTTAGTAGAGACAGGGTTTCATGGTGATAGCCAGGATGGTCTCGATCTCCTGACCTCGTGATCTGCCCGCCTCGGCCTCCCAAAGTGCTGGGATTACAGGCATGAGCCACCACACCAGGCCAATATGCACTATTATAATATTGTCTACATGAGATGGATGAACAGTGTAATCTTGGATGTTATGGTCAAAGAGAAGTGTTTAGAAGCCTTACATAGTATTATTGAGATGTATTACTTTTTATTGTGAAGAAATTTACAACAACAAATCTAGAATTCTGTTTTCCATTGGAAAATAAAAACTGAATTGCTTTGATTTTATATGTATTTACTTATACATGCTTACATTAGTTTAAACAGAGACAAAATAACTTACAGACATATGTACACATGTATGTATACACACACACACACACAGAGGCACAAACGAGATATAAAAGCACAAGCCAGGCATGATGGTGTGCACCTGAAGCACCAGCAACTCAGGAAGCTGAGGCAGAAAGATCCCTGAGGTCAGTAGTTCCGGACTACAGTGCACTATAATCATGCCTGTGAATATCTACTGCACTCCATCCTGAGCAACATAACAAGACCCAGTCTCTAAAATCCAGGCTATATAAAATTTTTAAAAACTTAAAAATAAAAACATGTCGGGTTAGAATTGGTGTCTATTGATTTTTAGAGCAACTATTTTCAATATGCAGAATCATTCACCATCAAAGTATTTTCCCTAGTCCCTAAAAATGGTTTTTAGTTATAAACGTCATAAAATTGCTTATAAACAGATGTTAAATTCACCATTCCCAGTCAAACCTAGATGAATATTTGGATTCAGAAGAAATGGTTATATTTAGTGTCTAGAGTTTAATAAGAATTGCATAAATTGATAGCTATTTGATGACAGAAGATACATTGTAAATGGATAGATGGATTAATGGTTAGATGGAAGGATAGCTAGCTTGGTTGATAGATATAGATAGATGCTTGGTAAAATGAAGAAGTAAGCCATTTTGAAATAAATTTTGATTGACTGCAAAAAAGAAAATTAAATATAAAAGTGCTGCAACTGTTGAGACCACAGTGAGTGATCATACGGTATTGTGTAAAGTATTCCCTGACCAGGTCATAGACCTAGCCTCCTAGTGGTGCTATGTGATTATTTGTAAGATGTAAAATCAAATGCTATAAATCTATTAACCAATATTTTCTAGAACTCAAAGCCCAAATTATAACTTTGCTAGACATGTATTTCTGCTTCTTTTGTAAGAACAGATGGTTTTCCTTTTTAAGTATATTCTTAGATATTCTTTTAATTGGCTGTTTAAAGGTAATGAGGACTCACAACTTGATATGCTGAGTTAGCAAGGAAATGCAGCTGGTCTTTCTCATACAGACAAATAGCAGGGGCTCCAGTGGTGATATGCAGAAGCATTGTTTCCTTCACAGTGCCATCTTTTATATCCCACATTTTAGTAGTCTCACATATAATTTTGATGTTAGTTAAGATTTTTAACCAAAGTGTGCAACTTTTAAAAATTATGAGTAAAGAAAAAACTTAAAGAGCAACAAATCTTTTGCTTTATCTTAGTAAATTTTACTTATGTGTCTTTAAGTTCTACCTGAGCAATTTCTCCTAGTGGTTCTTAAAAATCTCTTTCAACTCATTATAAACTTACGGACTATCACTAATACTATTTTACAAAATAACCCTGTGTGTCATTTCAATTAAAAGGTCTGGAGTATATGGGATAAACTTTAAAATGTCCCTCTTACCCACTCTGTAATATTATATCTCCTTTTGTTCTTGTCTTGTAGGAATCAAGGGCATAAAATTACCTAAATGGCCACAAGATAAAATGCTACTTCCTTTGTAGTCTTTCACTTCTTTTATTTGTCTCTGGCTTGTGCTATTGTACTTTTTCCAACAACAACTATAGCAAATCTTCATGTGACATCTTGAATTCTCATTTTACCCTTGATTATCTTTCTTTCTGCTTCACAGAGAAAATACAGTATATTGGGCAGGATAAATTCAACACAATATGCTGCTCAAATGCACTCTTTTCCTACATCTTGCATTAGACCTTATTAGAATCATTTATTGCTGTTGTCCAACCCATTTCGTTTTTCACTCTCTCCCATGTATACCCATATGTTGATGATTCCCACAATGCATTCCTAAACTAAATTTATTTTATGTATGCAACACATATTTCCAACTCACTGTAAGACTTGTTTACCTGGATGCTTTATGGTCTACAAAAATTCAGCAAGTCCAAATCAATATATTTTCCCAGAATTATCGCTACTAATCTAAGTTAATGTAAACATTATTTAATCAAGTCACACAAGGAGGAGAAAAAAACTACAACAAACAATTCAGCATCAAACTGTTAATTCTCTCACCTCCCAACATGAAATTCATCATAAATATTTCTCAGACTTACCTTTTCCCTTCTAATGCCATCTTAATTCAAGCCCTCGTTACTGTTAATATAATTTTTTCAACAGTTATCTCACTGTTTTTTTCTGTTTTTGTTATTATCCACTCTCAATACAACTTCCTGCACAGACTCACTGATCTTTCTAAATATGCAAAACATTGTAGAATCTCTCTAATTATAATCTTTCAATGATGGGGCTTAGTCTGTGAAATAATTTCAAAATACTTTGTAGACCCTGCTTAATTTACCAAACTCTATCCTAATATTGGGAGACTTGGGACTTCTCAAATAGCTATACTCCATTGTAACTCCCAGCCATTGCAGAAGCTCCTCTCTCTATTTAGATTACCTCTACTCTTGCCTCTAAGTCATGAATATCTCTTTATTTATTCTTTAAGATTTAGCTCAACTGCAGCCTCATCTGGAATCCTTTCTCGTTCACTCCCCTCTTTACAACAGGCAGACTTAGAGACAGTTTCCTATACATATTTATAACTTGTATATGTGTCTTCAAAATAACACATCATATTATACTATAATTATTTCTTTTGTTTCTGTCTTACCTGGTATATGTACTCAGTATAGATTTGTACATTCAGTATCTAGCACAGTCCTGGAAACATAATAGGTACTCAGTGAATTCCTGTAGAATAATTCATGATTGAATTATTTCTTCTCCTAGAACTGATTATATAAATTTTTATTGCTTGTTCTTACATTATTATTGTGTGTGTGTGTGTATATATATATATAAATATATATTTATGTATATATATCCTATATTATTATGCTATTGTAGTTTCCTACCGGCTGGAGATTTCCTCTATATTTAGACTAGAATTACATTTCTACTACCTTGAACTACCATATTTCTGAAAATAAGAGTCTATCATTACTGAGTCTTCTGCCTTACTCCTCACTCAATCATTAGTCCTTGAAATAGATTTTTACCTTATCATTTAGCTGGTATTTCTATTCTGAAAGTCACTAATGACTCCCTAATTGCCAAATATTTTCCCATTTCTCACCTTGCTTGAAGTTAATGTGACATTTGATAATGTTAACTGTTTTCTATTCTTGGACTTTTTATTTTTTGTCTTTGAGGCTTTATACTATTCTTGTTCTTTATTTCTCTAACTTCCTAGTTCCTCTCTGCTCCTCTATCACCAAGAAAATATTTTGCAGTTTGTGCCTTCTTTCTGTTTGTCTCAACATTCACGACATCTGATATCATTTAGTTTCCTATATAACATGAGTGGCATAAAATATGTCTTTATACTGTATTTGTTGTTTATGCCTTTTTGGGTATCATGTTGGTATCAGAACGTCAACATTTCTGAAACAAGGATGTTATCTTATCTCATAAATACCACGTTTTTTCTTCCTTATTTCAATTAATGATGCTGCATTACCCTTCCTACTGTGACATGAACCTGGAACACAGACATATCTTGACATGACTATTTCATATGACACTGATGCAATTAATTTCTCACTCCTATAAGGTTCCCCTCAGTATGCATATTTTTCACACTTGAGAACAGAAAATTTCCAATTTTCCCTCATTTTGCTATCTATTTCAGACTCCTTTTCACTCTAGCTTTCCTCTATATGTAATTTATATCTCCTATTTAATGTAACACTTCTAATTTCTGTCTGCCATAAATTTATATAAGATCACTTTATAAATAAACTTACAAAGTTTTATAACTCTTTATATTTACTCATTTTTATCAGTCTGAAATACTCTTCATTCATTCTTTATCTGTTAAAATTCTTCCAAATTTGAAAGGTCTAGCTGAGAGCCCATCATCTCAGATTCCTTCAGGTAGAATTTCTCCAGGATTTCAGTCCCAGCAATAGCTCCTGTTAAACTCTATTTATCACTTAAGTCATTTGATTTGTCTTACTAAAAATCACTGATGTGCCTTTCTGTAATTTAATACCAGTAATATTTGAGACCTGTTTTGTTCATCTCACCCTCACTTACTAGACTTACTGGAGGTAAGAAACTGTGTTTTATTTCTCCTATGATTGGGATTAGCACAAAATAAACATTTCCTGAATATTCACTGAATGAATGAATTAATTATAATCTCTGGAAACTAGCTCAGTACTTTGGAAATAAGATATAAGTATGTTGATTTGAAATTTAGAGTATTACATAGATAACACCAAACCAAAAGTGTTGCATGTTTTTGTGTAAAAGAACAGCCTGATACATTAAAGATAATATTAAAGATACATTGATCTTTAATATTGCAGTGGATTTAAAGACATTTTGAAATAACTAAGATCAATATCATTCTTATTGTATTATTTTACATTGTTGCCATTTATTGAGTGCTAACATGTCAGGCACTATGTTAAACACGAAACACGTGATATTATTTCATTCATATAGAAACTACAGAATATTAGTAGACACAAAGTTTTGTTAATATTTTTACCAATGAAGACTCCGTAGTTACACAATGAGTAAATGTTGTAGTAGGAATTCAAAGGATTCTGTCTGCTTCAAAATTCTAAGCTCTTAGCCAGTGCATGCTATTGTCTCCCACTTTGCATGTAAACTCCAAATGTGCTTTAGTTTTTTCTGACACAAAATAAATGGAAATGTTCTTTGTGAGTCATTCATTCAAGTACCATCGCTTGCCCTTTTCCTGATAATGGCATGATTCAGAACTTTTAATAATGATTATAATTAAGCAATGATATCATTGCCCCTCTGTTTTATGAGACAATAATCCAATTCCTAAATGGCTAAACTAGAAGGCCAAAGGCAGAGCAGTTTATCACAGCTAGAGAATCAGATTACTGCTGAGCAAAAAAGAGAGCCTTGATATTATTACTATATAAAGCATGTGTGAGGGTTAATAGCCCTCTATCCAAATTTTTAAAAATATTATACAGACAATATTTAAAACAGAAAGGAAGGACACTGTTTCCATTGGATATATCTGCTAAATGCTCTTTGTATGATGGAGAAAAATTACTTCCCTCAAATAGAGCAGTTGACTTAGAGTCAAGATAATTCAGACCTTTCTTACCTGCTATATTCATTAAGTCATTTAACTTCACTGAAATTCAGTTTCCATGTTAAAGCAACAGACTCCTTGTTCTACTATTCTATAATTAAATAAGTCAAAAAGATTATTTAATTCATGTTTGATAATGGAAAGAAATATGTGCATTTATTTGATCACTCTCAGTTTTCCTATATATATGAACAAACGAAGTATTCCACTACATTGGTACATAGTACATGTTAGAAAAGAGACATTTCCATTTTCTACTCTAAAAAGGTACAACTTAATGCTTCTCACTTTCTTACCTCCTACACAGTCAAGTTAAAAAGAACTTCCATACATAGGTTTCTTCCTAAGAATTTGTCACACAGTGGCTGATTGGCATGTCAGACTTTCAAAAATATTAGACATTCTCACTTATTTTAACCACTGGTTTATGAATTTATATTAAAACTGTCTTTACTTCCTAAAACATCTAAAATCTACAAGACTGACCACAGCTATTTGAAACATATTATAGCAAAAATGCCTACGTGCACCTATCTAAAACTTGTTTTTAAAACTGGAGTCCAATTTCCAATATGTATACCTGAAATCAATAATTAAAACACTGTATTTAAAACTGCAGGGAACTATGTGCATGGCTATAACAACTAATATATTGTCTTAAGGGAAAAACCATGATTGTGTATAATACAGTGAATTTGACTTTTTAAATAACAGTGGCATGAAGAGCAGAGAGTAAACATCACTGCCATGAGATTAAAATTTCCCTTTATTTTATAAATTACTGCAAAATATCTAGGAATTGTTTTGATATTTCATTTGAAAATTCAACTAAGTAATTCTAGATGATATAACTAGAAATAAAAATCAACTAGCTTCAAACTAATGTAAAAAGTTAAACAAGGCTTTTGACCGATTTTTATTAGTTAACTATTTTGCAACTATTGATGCTCCTCGATTTCCTTTGGGATTACATCCTGATAAACTCTTCTTAAATGTAAAATAACGTAAGTCAAAATGCACTGGATACACCTAACCTACAGAACATTATAGCTTAGCCTAGCTTTCATTAGCCTACAGTTGGAAAAAAACGCATTCAATACAAAGCCTATTTTATAATAAAGCAGTCAATATCACATGTAATCTATTGAATACTGTACTGAAAGTGAATATCAGAATGGTTGTATGGGCACTTGAAGTACAGTTTCTCCTGACTGTGTATTGCTTTTGCATAATCCTCAAGTAAAAAAAAAAACATAAACAATCATAAGTTGGGGATCATCTATACATAGATATAATCTTAAAAAATTATACTTTTTATCATTTACATGGCTTTAGAAAATAAAATATCTTTCTTATATCCCTTATTTTCAACCATGTGCTACTACCAAAGTACGATCCACAACGCCATCCAGATTTCCAGATTCCGTGCATGTCTTCTTGAAATACATCAACATTTTTAGAATGACAATGGGGTTCAGCACATGCTATCTTCAAAAATGGCACATTGGCATTTGAGACAGCAGCAGAAACAAGAAGGTCTCTCTGACTTTCTCCTACTCTTCTCCCCTAAGCAAGCCATAAAGAATTATCTGCCCTTTCTCTAAAGTAGGTCATAAATGTTTCATTTGAATGGTGCCCTCTCTATACACTGAGGAAAGGAAAGTCCTTATCTCTGCAGATACAGGGACACAGAAGATAATCTGAACAAATCCGCCTTCCTAAATTCCCCCAGTTTATTACCATTAGATTGTATCCCCTTTGTCCAATCATACTTCTGCATGGCTGTTCACTCTTCAATCTAAGCACAAAAATACACAGATGTCCCTATTTCTTGGGGTCTTCATTTCCTCATGTAGTTTCCCATCTCGTATAAAAATTATATAATAAATTTGTATGCTTTGTCATGTTAGTCTCTTCTCACAGGTGCCTCAGTCAGGAACCTTGTAATGGGTGAGAAAAAAAAATTACATTTTTTTTCCTACAATGGCATGCAACTCCCTCGTATGGTCTATGCCAAGAGTCAGGAAAGTATGCCACATGGGCCAAATAAATAAATAAATCTTTATTGAAATGAATCTCCATTCATTAGGTTATGTTAATCTATGACTGCTTCACTACTATTGATGGGGCACAGAAAATGATATCCCAAAATATGGCACTTTGTCATGCTAAATGCTTTGAATTAAAGAACATTGAAAAGCCTCAGAACTAAGCCTCAGAACTAAGGTCTCTCTCTGACTGTCTCCCACCCATCCGCCCTAGCCTCACTGATCCATCTTTTTTTTTTTTTTCCTGAGCACCAGGAAGAACTCTTTCTGGAATTCTTTTATATTATCAAGAAAGCTTCTTTCCAAAAAGAAATGCAATTATCTTAACACCTCTTACCTAGGAATCGCATGAAATAACCAGGAAAGTTTAACCACTGGAGAAGAGAGGGGATTGGGAGTCACCACTATGCCCAGACTTTTCATCTATTTTCCTGAGGGCAGCTTCAAGAGGTAACCTGGGGTACTGTACCTGCATAATAAGACAAGCTTCGTTCACAATGCAGTCCTGCATCTCATCCCCCTATACCTTGTCCACAAGTTACTGTTTGTCCTAGAGTCCCATTCAGCCTCCAAAGTGAATCATTTAAAAACCACTTTCTAGTCTTCAAGCTCATTCATTTTCAGCACCAACAAATTCCTCTGCCCAGTGAAAAGTACTTAAGCTTCAACTATCTGACCCTTCTATGAGTTTTATTCATTATTTGTATGGCCCCTGTGCTTATGATGCAGGATTTTTGCTCCTTAGCTCAGTCGATCCAGGTTCTGGTCTCACAACCAGGAAGAATTGGGCACTCAGACACATTAAAGGGTGAGGAAGGTGGAATTTATTTATTTATTTATTTGAGAAGGAGTTTCGCTCTCGTCATCCAGGCTGGAGTGCAGTGGCACGATCTGGGCTTACTGCAATCTCTGCCTCACGGGTTCAAGCGATTCTCCTGCCTCAGCCTCCCGAGCAGCTGGGACTATAGGCACGTGCCATCATGCCTGGCTAATTTTTGTATTCGTGGTAGAAGCAGGGTATCACCATGTTGCCCAAGATGTTCTCAATCTCCTGACCTTGTGATCCGCCCACCTCGGCCTCCCAAAGTCCTGGGATTACACGCGTGAGCCACTGCGCGCGGCTGAAGGCGGAATTTATTAAGAGAAAATAAAGCTCTCGGCAAAGAGTGGGGCCCTGCAAGCAGGTTTCCATCTCCCAAATTGAATACCAGGGCCACCACACACAAGCTGAAGAGGCCAGGCCCCTCCCCTGCATAAGGTGTGAATTCCTGGTGGCTCCACCCGGTTCCTCCATTGCATGAGGGCCTTCAGTTCTCTGCGGGCATGCCCAGGCAAGCCCCCTGTGCAAGTTCCCGTATCTGCACCAAACTTCTGGTGTAAACACTTGTAGGGCGGGATGGAGATTCTCCGGGAACCTTTCCCTATCTGGCTAGGCCTTGGTCTACCTCCTGCCCCTATCACTTATGCATGTTAATAAATTTGTATGTTTTTCTCTTGTTAACTTGTCTTTTGTTATAGAGGTATAGGTGGTGAAATTTATGATACGAAGGATCACCCTCTTTCCACCCCATACTATAATGGCAGAGTTATGTAGCTGTGGGACAGACTGCGTAACCCTCTAAATCTAAATATTTATTTCTTTGGTCCTTTACAAAACTGTTGGCTAGACTCTGTTCTAGGCCAAAACTCCTATTTCAATTTGATATTTTGTCTCCTATTTCTTAAAATCTTATCAAAATCACTTGTAGTAGTCTAAAATTATGCCATTTCCTTTTTCTTTTCTACACTTTAGCATAGGCAAATAGCTTTAACAACAGTGGACCTCTTCCATTCCTCAACATCAAAAATCATCCTCCTTTTAAAGGCGTAAGTCAAATTTCACCCCAATCTCTGTTCAAATTGAGCTCTCCTTCTTCTGAGCCCTCATAGCATTTACTTTAGCAAATTTTGATACTTGTAGCATTTTCATAAATATTAGAATTATTTTTAGCCAGGCATGGTAGCTCATGCCTATAATCCCAGAGCTTTGGGAGGTTGAGATTGGCAGAATATTTGAGCCCAGGAGTTTGAGACCAGCCCGGGCAACATGGCAAAACCCCATCTCCACAAAAACATACCAAAAAAATCGCCTAGCATGGGAGCATGTGTCTGGAATCCCAGCTACCTGGGAGGCTGAGGTGGGATGATCACCTAAGCCTGGGAGATCAAGGCTGCAGTGAGCCATAATTGCACCACTGCACTCCAGTCTGGGCAACAGGAGTTAGATCTAGTATCAAAAAGGAAGAAAAAAAGGAATTGTTTTTGCATGTGTCTCATATCCCTTACATATTCATTAACTATTAAATAGTCTTTGTTGGAAATTACTAATATAATTATCACTATGAGATCCTTGTACATAAGAGCTAATTTTTAGAGGTGATAGGTATTTTAGGGTTCACAGTATTTACAGTTGAAGAAGCATAGAAAATGCACATAGATTGCATGATATATAAAACAATTGAAGGAAGGGGGAAAGAACTGTGGAGGGAGCTATAGGAGGTATGCACAATATATATGTCTCACGTATCTGTGTGAAGAGACCACCAGACAGGCTTGGGCTGGTTGGTCTGAGGACCCGAGGTCATAGGTGGATCTCTTCACGGAGTGAGGGTGAGGACAGGGGACAGGTCTCCCGAAGGAGTCCCGCTGACCCGGGTCGTCGGCACCAAATGTCTCACGTGTCCGTGTGAAGAGACCACCAAACAGGCTTTGTGTGAGCAACAAGGCTGTTTATTTCACCTGGGTGCAGGCGGGCTGAGTCCGAAAAAGGAGTCAGCAAAGGGTGGTGGGATTATCATTAGTTCTCATAGGTTTAGGATAGGTGTACAAAGTACCTTCTTAAGGGCGTAGGGGGGAGGCAGGGGAGGGGAAGAATATTACAAAGTACCTTCTTAAGGGTGGGGGAGAATATATGTATCAGTTAAGGTAGGGCAGGAACAAATCACAATGGTGGAATGTCATCAGTCAAGGCTATTTTCACTTCTTTTGTGGATCTTCAGTTGCTTCAGGCCATCTGGATGTATACATGCAGGTCACAGGAGATATGATGGCTTAGCTTGGGCTCAGAGGCTTGACAATATAATTATTTACAGTGCAAGTAGAGTAAAATCAAAAGGGCTTGTCTGCTTCTAATGATCAAACACTCGTTAATGCCTTTCAGGGTGGCCCAAACATCTACTATGAGAAATAATGTTTTCGAATGTATCAGGTTATTTTACTAATTATTTAGAGCCTTTTTGTTTCCAAAGAGAAAGTGAAATATTTGGCTCAGGCAGCATTGCTACAAAAATTTAGGTATAAAATTTTAACAAGAAATTAATGAAAAAGATAGTGGCCAATCAAAAGCTGGGAATAATGTCTGTTTGTCCTGGCTGAAATCTGATACAATATCTGAATATTTTTTTTTTTAAGAGCTCTATGGGGCTGGACGCAGTGGCTCACGTCTGTAATCCCAGCACTTTGGGAGACCGAGGCAGGCGGACTTTCTCTCTTTTAGACCCTGTTTTGGAAAAGGTTTTTCAGTTGACTGAATACCCTTTGCAGTTATGTTTGGTCCCTCTGTCTGCTTCTTTACTTGGCATAATTTTTGCTGAGAAAAATGTAAAACGTTATTTACATTTTGGACAGCTTATAATCGCACCAAAATGCCTTATCTAAGACTGACTCTCCCATTTCCTTCTACTTTTGCTTTTTTTTTTTTTTTTTGCCATCTTTGATAAAACAAATAAATCTAGCAGATTTCTAGAAACTGCGAGATCCCTTGAGGACTAAGAAAAAGGCACTGCACACCCTTTCTGGGGAGTTTTCTGTCTTCTCCATAGAATCCCAAAAGTCATGGGCAGGTTCCTTTTAAGTGTAAAGCTCTTCACTTTTATACCGAGTTTCCTGATCATTTGGCCTTTTTGGGTACCAGGGATTACACTGTACTGTGAGAGAACACCTGGCCTTTGTGTTTTCAATGACTGGAAATTCCCTGGCGAAGGCTGCAGTTTTGGAGATGACTGGCAGCAGTGGCAGTGAGTGGTTATTACTGCAAGGGGATACTCTTTATGTGATTAGATAAGACAGATGCAGTTTGAACACTCAGAGGCTGTGGAAAACCTCAACACTGAAGGATATAACTCCCATGGGGAATGGGCTTAACAAAGAGTGAGCTGATTGGTGTTTGGTCACCAAGCAGCATTACAGAAATATCCTTGAAGCAAGGTGTACTGTGGAAGCATCACACAGCCCAGTCCTGTGATGTTTCCTTCTTTTGATGGCTCCAGATTTAGTATAAAAATGAGATCCGTTTTTATTGATCTAGGTGTTCTACCTTCCAGTATGCCTGTTTTTCAAATGAGTGTTAGGCTCTGGAAACTGAAAATGTTTCTTTTTGGCCTTAGTTGTTGTCTCCATCCTGAGCTCAGTGTCTCAACTGGAAAACAGAGATTAAAGTAAAAGCTACCTATCTAAATAAAACTGGTGTCCTTATACAATTCTACGGTAAATTCCTATCATTTTGTGTTACCTTGGCATCCGTTTTTAATCTTCCTCTAACGAACACGCTCAAACTCCTTTAAAAAGCTTAAATTCTCTTTCTGTGCTTTGAAATGTAAATTTGCTACACTGTTTTCTCTAAAACTTGGTGAGGGTTTTGGCATGTGGGACAGATAAATTTATCTTGTTCCATTTACAGGGACACAACTAAATCTAACCGTTCTTTTAAACTAGTGACTTAAGATTTAAAAATTTAAATTAAAGCTATAAAGTCTTTATGCTCCTTTCCATTTTTTATGGTACTTGTCTACATGTCTGTTTATATATTGTCTACATGATATCAAATTGGTTTATAAATAAATGAGTGCTGATAAACAAATAAGCCTAAATGTTTTTCAAGTTCATGTGACTTTATCAACCATTTATAAATAAAACCAGTTTTAAAATTGCTAAGAAAGTAAAATAGAAACATCTTCAGAATTTACTTTAGACATTTTTTCCTGGGTCTACTGGTCAGATCAATTTGTACTATCTCTCATAGATGTTTCAAGGTCATAACCTGTTGTTTCTGCAATATTTTTGATACTTGCTTAACTGTTTGTGAGCTTATGTCTTTGGATTTTAGACTTTTATTTCTGGTGTCTAGATTAGTGGTCATGATGAGCCCAGGGATACATGTATCCACAGTAACTGGCCCACCAGCTAGAGAGCAGAACCAAGCCCAATATGATCCCATATTCCCTGGCCCAGGTGTGCCTCCTGGCCGTGTTGGGAAGTGTTGGATCCTTCAGGAATTCTCTCTACAGCTCTGTTCTCTGTCCTAGGCTAAGCTCCTGATACATAACAATTAAAATTGCTTAATTCCTAGCTTTTCAATGTAGATTAGGGTTGCTAAGAGTTAACATTTCAATTAATATATTTAATTAAAAGTGACATGTAAATACGATTGTGTATGAGGAAAGTAGGATACATTTTTTATATGGAAAGTTGTAAGAAAGGCACGAGAACATGGTTTTTGTTAAAGAAAAAGTAATTTTGCTTAGTTGAAAGCTTATTTAAAAGTTTTTTTATTTATTCATTGATTCATTTATTTTTACCTAGATGGGGTCAAACTATGTTGCTCAGGCTGGCCCCAAACTCCTGGGCTCAAACACTCCTCCTGCCTTAGCCCCCCAAAGTGTTGGGATTACAGGCATGAACCACCACACCTGGCCGAGGTTGTTTTAAATTGAAGAAATAAAACAAAAAATGACAGATAAAACTGAATGGATACAGAAAGCTAGAGGAAAAAAGAGGATAGGAAAAATTATAAAGACTACAAATGTTTACGGAAATCTTATCTTGTCTGATCAAAGCTGATTGAGATTGGATCGATGTGATTTTAAGGTCTTATTAAAATTAGGCTTGATATTAATAGTACACTAAATTAAGAGTATAGTTTGTTTTTCTCCTTTGAGCAAGATTTTCATATGGTATTAATAAGAGACACCAAAAGACTTTTGTTTGCCTTTTGAGTAAACTGCCAAAAAATTGAAAAGGTGTGGGGAGAAAGGGTGAGAAAGAGATAGATTTTTTTTCATGCTGTCTTTATTCATTTTTTTTTTAACTGAGTCGCTTCCCTATTAAAGAGCAAACATTTTTGCATTTTGATTATTATTATTATTATTTGAGACAGAGTCTTCCTCTGTCACCCAGGCTGGAGTGCAGTGGCGCC
The DNA here is from genome assembly GCF_000001405.40 of Homo sapiens. Classification (NCBI taxonomy): domain Eukaryota; kingdom Metazoa; phylum Chordata; class Mammalia; order Primates; family Hominidae; genus Homo; species Homo sapiens. The sequence continues at coordinate 11,105,787 of NC_000009.12, forward strand.
ATCTTGACTCACTGCAACCTCTTCCTCTCGGGTTCAAGTGATTCTCATGCCTCATCCTCCTGAGTAGCTGGGATTACAGACATGCACCACCACACCCAGCTACTTTTTTGTATTTTTAGTAGACACGGGGTTTCACCATGTTGGCCAGGCTGATCTTGAACTCCTGACCTCAAGTGATTTGACTGCCTCAGCCTGCCAAAGTGCTGGGATTATAGGCATGAGCCACGGAGCCCAGCCAGCAACTTTGAAATCTTTAAATTATTACTTTGGCTAAGTGAATGACTATTATTTTACAGTAAGCTGTGATTCTAATTTGCTCAAGTGCCTTAAATCTTTTATATTTGACAACCTTTTCATAATTAAAATTGTAAAGTTAAGTCTTTTGACCTCAAACTAACTTTTGGACCTTCCAAAATGGTCCCCTGGAAGCCCGAGAGAGACATATTAGGCTTATTTGTTGCTATGCCTTATTTACAATGCTTACAAGAAGCATTGTAAAATTAGAAATGTTTAAAATTGAGTTATATTTGCTTGAATATGCTATTATATGGGTTTCCAAAATTGTATGAGATTTCTGAAAATTTGCTATGTCTTCGTATATTCACTAATTTGCTTTATTCTAATGCTTATTTCCTAAAAGCTCTTTGCAAATTCTAAAGTGTTGCTTCTTCAAGGAGGTTTATGGAAAGAATAAAAAGACTCTGACAGGTGCTCTGAAATATAAATCTCTGCTTATGACTTTAAGAACATAAAATTAGATTGGGTGGGTAAGAATTTCAAAAACTCCAAGGGAAAAATAATTGTACTCAAAACTGTCCAACATTAAACAAAACAAGTGTTAATGACATGGGCCTTAACTGAAGGAAGACCGTGTTGAGCTAAAGGAAGAAACTGAAGCAAAGTTGATATAAATAGAGTTTTACTGGGGCCAAGGTTGAGGACTGCAGCCTGAAAGTCATAGATTCAAGTTGTCCTAAATATATGCTCAGATTAGTAGCAGTTACAAGCAAATTTTTAAAGGAAATAAAAAAAAGGAAGTTGGGAGCAGTTAAGTGTTTTACCAAGAATTTACATTGTTTGATTAAAATAATATAAACTATGGATTGGCTACACATTGTTCTTTGTATCACACATTTCAAGAACATGATGATAATGAGTGAGGGTCATACTGTGTGTGCAACTTGTGTCAACACTTTAGGTAGACTTTTGAGAGGAGGTGGAGCAAGATGGCAAAGTAGAATGTTCCACCAATCATCCCTCCAATAAGGACACCAAGTTAACAACTCTCTACATAGAAAAAAACATCTTCTTAAGAACCAAAATCTGGTAAGCACTCATAGTACCTGGTTTTAACTTCCTATCACTGAAAGAGACACTTAAGAGATTAAAACAAAACAGTACTGAATTGCCGACTCCAACCCTTCCCAACCACCAGCAGCCGTGGCATAGCGCAGAGAGCATATCTGCAACCTGCATGCTAGGAGAGGGAGAATACAACAATTCTGAGGCACTGAACTCAGTGTTGTACTATTAAAGCAGAAAGGAAACCCGGACCAAACTCAGCTGACACCCATCCACAAAGGGAGCATTTAAACCAGACCTAGCCAGAGGGGAATCGCCAATGCCAGCGGTCTGAACCTGAGTGCCTGCAAACCACAGCACTGAGGGCTATAGCACTCTGTCTCCAAGTAAACTTGAAAGGCAGTCTAGCCCATAATGACTGCGCCTTTTAGATGAGTCCCAGGGCTGGATTAGGCCTTCAGATGGTGGACGTGAGTGCCTGCAACATACTGAAACACCAGTTGGGCCAGCCAAGGGAGTGTTGACATCACCTCTCCCCTAACTCCAGGCTGCACAGCTCACGGCTCCAAAAGAGAACCCATTCTTCTGCTTGACAGGATGAGAGAGAACAGTGAGGAAGTCTTTGTGTTGTATCCAGGATACAAGCTCATTCACAGCAGGATAGGGAATTGGTCAGAGCCGTGAGGCCCCCATTCTAGGCCCTTTCTCCTAGAGGATATTTCTAGACACACTCTGGACCAGAAGGCAACCCACTGCCTTGAAGGAGAGGACTCAATCTTGGCAGCACTTATTACCTGCTAACTGATGAGCCTTTGGGCTCTGAATAAGTAGCAGTAATACCCAAGTACAACATCAAGGGCCTCAGGTGATCCTCTGAGACTTGCTGGCTTCAGGTGAGACTTAGCACATTACCAGCTGTGGTGGCTACAGGGCAAAACTCTTGCTTCAGAAAAGTAGAGGGAAAAGTAAAAGGGACTTCGTACCTGAAGTACCAGGCCAGCCACATGAAGATAAAGCAACAACCATGCTCCTGGGGTCCCCAATTCTAAGACTTGGCTTTTGGACAGCATTTTTGGACCTATCCCAGGTCAGAGGGAAGCCAACTGCCTTAAAGGGTGATTCCCAGACAGGCAGCATTCACAACAAGCTGACTTAAGAGACCTTGGGCCATAAGGGAACATTGGCAGTAGTCTGGCAGTACTCCTCATGGCCTGGGGTGGTGGTGGTTATGGGGTGCGACTCCTCTACCTTTGGAAAGGGAAAGGAAGAGTGGGAAGGACTTTGTCTTATGGTTTGAGTGCCAGCCCAGTCACAATACAATAGAACACCAGGTAAAGTTCTGAGGTTTTTGACTCTAGTTCATGACTCCTGTACAGCACATATGGACCCACCCAGGGCCTGGGGGACATCACCACTCTAAAGAAAAGGATACAAGCCTGGATGGCTTTGCCACTTGCTGATTGTAGAGTCCAAGGACCTTGAGAGAACACAGATAGTCGCCAGGGAGTTTTTACAGCAGGCCTTAGGCAAAACAGCACTGTGATGGCTTCGGGTCTGACCCAGTGTAGTCATAGTAGTGGTGGCCATAGAGGTGCTTGTGTCACTCCACCCCCAGCATCAGCTGGCTCAGAACAGAGAGAGAGTCTCTGTATGTTTGGGAGAAAGTAAGGAAAGAGAGCAAGAGTCTCCCTGGTAATCCTGATAAGAACTCTCCTGGATTTTGCCCAAGACCATCAATGTGGTGTCTCTATAAGTCTTCAAGAACCATGGGCGTGGGGTGCCCCATAAAGAAGATATAGTTTACATGACAACACCCAAGTCCTTCCAAATATCTGGAAAGCTTTTCCAAGAAGGAAAACTACAAATAAGCCCAGTCAGTGAAGACTACAATAAATACCTAACTCATCAATGTTCAGACACCAAAGAACATCTAGCATCAACACCATCCAGGACAACATGACTTCACTAAATAAACTAAACCAGGTTCCAGGGATGAATCCTGGAGAAACAGAGATATATGACCTTTTATATAGAGAATTAAAAATAGCTGTATTGAAGAAAATCAAAGAAATTCAAGATAACACTGAGAAGAAATTTGGAATTTTATCAGAGAAATTTAACTAAGGGATTGGAATAATTTAAAAAGAATTAGGCAGAAATTCTGGAGTTGAGAAATACAATTGGCATACGGAAGAATGCATTAGTTCTTTAATAGCAGAACTGACAAAGCAGAAATAATAATTAGTGAGCTCAAAACAAGCTATTTGAAAATACAAAGTCAGAGGAGACGAAAAAAGAATAATAAAAAGAAGTATGCCTACAAGATCTATTATATAGCTTCAAAAGGTCAAATCTAAAAGTTATTGGATTTCAAGAGGAGGTAGAGAAAAAGATAGGGGTAGAAAGTTTATTCAAAGGAATAATAACAGAGAACTTCCCAAACCTAGAAAAAGATATCAATATCGAAGAACAAGAAGGCTGTAGAACACCAAGCAGGGTTAACCCAAAGAAGACTACCTCAAGGCATTTAATAATCACGCTCCCAAAGGTCAAAGATAAAGACATGATACTAAAAGCAGCAAGAGGAAAGAAACAAATAACAACAATGGAGTCCAATATGTCTTGCAGCAGACTTTTCAAGGGAAATCTTATAGGCAAGGAGAGAGCGGCAAGACATATTTAAAGTGCTGAAGGAAAAAAAATTTACCCTGGAATAGTGTATCTGGTGAAAATATTCTTTAAACATGAAGATGGAATAAGGACTTTCCCAGACAAGCAAAATCTGAGGGATTTCATTAACACCAGACCCATCCTATGATAAATGCTAAGGAGAGTACTTCAATTAGAGAGAAAAGAACATTAATGAGCAATAAATAATTACCTGAAGGTACAAAACTCACCAGTAATAGTAAGTACATAGAAAAATACAGAATATTATAAGACTGTAACTGTGGTTTGTAAACTACTCTTATATAAGTACAAAGAATAAATTATGAACCAATTAAAAAAATATCTGTAACAGCTTTTCAAGAAATAGTCAATACAGTAAGATATAAATAGAAACAAAAGAAAAAGAGGGGGGACAGAGTTAAAGCATAAAGTTTTTATTAGTTTTCTTTTTGCTTGTTTGTTTATGCAAATAGTGTTATTAGGTTAAAATAATGTGTTATAGTGGGGAACAACACACACTGGGGCCTATCTGAGGGTGGAGGCTGGGAGGAGATAGAGAATCAGGAAAAATAAATAAAGGGTAATAGGCTTAATACCTGGATGATAAAATAATCTGCACAACAAACCCCCATGACACAATGCAACAAACCTATACATGTACCATTTAACTTAAAACAAAAGTTAAATAAATAATAATGTGCTATAAGATAAAATTTGCAAGCCTCAAAGTAACCTCAAGCCAAAAAAACATGCAATAAATACAGAAAAAATAAAAAGCAAGAAACTAAATCATATCACCCAGAGAAAACCAACTTCACTAGAGGAAAACAGGAAGGGAGGGAGGGAGGGAAGGAAGGAAGGAAGGAAGGAAGGAAGGAAGGAAGGAAGGAAGGAAGGAAAGAAGGAAGGAAGTACTATAAAACAACCAGAAAACAAATAACAAAATGGAAAGAGAAAGTCCTGACTTATCAATAAAAACATTAAATGTAAATAGACTAAACTCTCCAATCAAAAGACATAGACTGGCTGAATGGATGCAAAAACAAGTCTCATTGATCTGTTGCTTACAAGAAAAACACTTAACCTATAAAGACACACAGAAACTAAAAATAAAAGGATGGAAAAAGATATTCCATGCCAATGAAAAGCAAAAAAGTGCAGGAGTTGCTATACTTATTTTAAACAAAATAGATTTCAAGACAAAAACTATAAGAGGAGACAAGGAAGGTCACTATTTAACAATAAAGGGGTCAATCAGCAAGAGGATATAACAATTTTAAATATGTATGCACCTAACACTAGAGCACCCAGATATGTATATATATAAATAGTATTAGAGCTAAAGAGAGTGATGGGCTCCCAACCATTAATAGCTGGAGACTTAACACTCCACTATCAGCATTGGACAGATCTTTCTGACAGAAAATAGACAAAGAAACATCAGACTTAATCTGCAATATAGACGAAATTGATCTAAAAATAATGCAAAACATTTCACCTAAGAGCTGCAGAATACACATTCTTTTCTTTAGCACATGGATCATTCTCAACAATAGACCCTACGTGAGGTTATAAAACAAGTCTTAAAACATTTTTTAAAAATCGAAGTAGTTTTTCAATTATTTCAAGCATCTTCTCTGACCCAGTGGAATAAAACTAGAAATTAATAACAAGAGAAACTTTGGAAACAACACAAGTACATAGAAATTAAACAATCTGCTCTTGAATGACTAGAGTAAATGAAGAAATTAACAAGAAAATTAAAGAATTTCTTGAAACAAATGATAATGGAAACACAACATACCAAAATCTGTAGGATACAGCAAAAGCAGTACTAAGAGGGAAGTTTATCTAAGTGCCTACATCAAAAAAGAGGAAAAACATCGAATGAACAAGCTAATGATGCATCTTAAAGAATGAGAGAAAAACAAGATAAAACAAACCTAAAATTGGTAGAAAAAAATGAATAATAAAGATCAAAGCAAAAATAAATGAAATTGAAATAAAAACAACTAAAGATCAATACAATTTAATTTTTTTTTTTTTTTTGAGACTTAGTTTTGCTCTATCACCCAGGCTGGAGTGCAATGGTGCAATCTCGACTCACCAAAACCTCTGCCTCCCAGATTCAAGAGATTCTCCCACCTCAGCCTCCCAAGTAGTGGGGATTATAGACACCTGCCACCATGTCCACCTAATTTTTGTATTTTCTTAGAGACAGGGTTTCACCATGTTGGCCAGGCTGGTCTCGAACTCCTGACCTCAGGTGATCCATCCTCCTTGGCCTGCCAAAGTGCTGGAATTACAGGTGTGCGCCACCATGCCCAGCCAAAAAAGTTAATTTTTAAAAAACTTAAACAAAACTGACAATCCTGTAGCCAGACTAAGAAAAAAAAAAGAGAAGATCTAAATAAATACAAACAGAAATGAAAAAGGAGGCATTACAACTGATACTGCAGAAATTCAAAGGATCATTCAAAGCTACTCTGAACAACTATATGCCAAAAAATTGGAAAATGTAGAAGAAATGGACAAATTCCTAGATACCTGCAACCTACCAGGATTGAACCAGGGAGAAATCCAAAACCTGAACTGACCAATAACAAGTAAGGAGATCAAAGCCATAATAAAAAGTCTCCCAGTAAAGAAAAGCCCAGGACCTGACGGCTTCATTGCTGAATTCTACCAAATATTCATTTATTTTGAGAAGGAGTCTCATTCTGCCACCCAGACTGGAGTACAGTAGCACTATCGCAGCTCACTGCAACTTCCACCTTCTGTGTTCAAGCAATTCTCCTGCCTCAGCTTCCTGAGAAGCTATGACTACAGGCATGCACCACCTCGCCTGGCTACTTTTTAGTAGAGATAGGGTAAATAGAATTAATGTCTATCCTACTCAAAATATTCCAAAAAATAAAGCAAGAGGGAATACTTCCAAACTTATTTTACAAGGCCAGAATAAGCCAAAAAACCACTGCAGACCAATATCTCCAATGAATATATAAGGAACTCAAATAACTCTACAAGAAAATAATCTAAATCTGATCAAAAGATGGGCAAAATATTTCAATAAACATTTCTAAAAAGAAGATATACAAATGACAAACAGACCTACGAAAATGTGCTCGACATCGTTAATCATAAGAGAAATGCAAATCACAACTACAATAAGATTTTATCTCACACCAGTTAAAGGGCTTATATCCAAAAGACAGGCAATAGCATATGCTAAGGATGTGGAGAAAAGCGAACTTTGGTACGCATGTACTATGGTGGTGAACCATAGTACAACCACTATAGACCACAGTTTGGCAGTTCCTCAAAAAACTAAAAATAGAGCTACCATATAATCTAGCGATCCCACTTCTGTTTACATATCCAAAAGAAAGAAAATCGGTATACTGAAGAGATATTTGCACTCTTGTATTTGTTGCAGCACTGTTTACAATAGCTAAGATTTGGAAGCAATCTAAGTGTCCATCAACAGATTATTGGATAAAAAAAATGTGGCACATACACGCAATGGAATATTATTCAGCCACAATAAAGAATGAGATCCAGTCATTTGCAACAACATGGAAGGAACTAAAGATCATTATGTTAAGTGAAGTAAGCCAGACACAGAAAGACAAACATTGCATGTTCTTACTTAACTGTGGGATCTAAAAATCAAAACAATTGAATTCATGAACATAGAGAGTAGAAGGATGGTTACCAGAGTCTGGGAAGGATAGTTAGGGATTGGGAAGGAGGTGGGGATATTTAATAGATACAAAAAATATAGAAAGAATGAATAAGATCTACTATTTGATAGCACAGTAGGGTGGTTATCATCAATAATAGGTTGTACATTTTAAAATAACTTAAAAGAGTGCAGTTAGAGTGCAATTCAAAGGATAAAAGCTTGAGGGGATGGATAACCCACTCTCCATGATGTGCTTTTTTCACATTGCATGCTTGTATCAAAACATCTCATGTACCCCGTAAATATATGCATTTAATATGTTCCCACAAAAAATTTAAAAAATTGAAAATAATTTCTGTTAAAAAATTAGTAATTTATTAGCTAGTCTGAAACTACAGAAAATGGAAAATAATACCTTGAAACAATTACCCCCAGGCATGTGTGTTCAGGGTGTGACTGAAGTCTCATGCTCATGTCTTCTTGGCCCTGATAAATTTTGCATACGTCGCATTCCTCACTCGGCTCTTCACTTTTCTTTCTCATCTGAAATGACTTTTTATGACTTTCTGTTTGAAACATTGCTGATTGTTTTTATGTTTTGTTTTCCAGAGTTAAGAAAACTTTTTCTTTTGAGCTACTTATAACTCACAAAAAGTGGCTAAAATATATATTTATGAGCAAAATTGAAACATTTTTGTTTCTGCCTACCTGATTTATTCAGAATTTGAAAACTATTCATAAACATTTCTCTATTTTATGGTCATATAGTTATTTGCATAAGTTCAATAGGAATCTCTTTTGTTTAGTAACAGAACACATTGGAAATATCAGTTATTTTACCAAGGCTTTCACTGCAATGTCATACTTTCAAATGTTACTAGACTGCTTTGAGATATTGAGACAGATTTTATAAAGGCAATAGACTTAGAAAAAGACTGGCCTGGTACCTTGTCTACATGGTTCTCTTACAAGGTTTCTGAACTAGAAATAAGTAAAATATGTGTTTAAAGAAAACCCTTAGACAAATTAAATTTAACAGACTTTAATTGAGCAAAAAAGCAATTCACAGATCAAGAAGCCTCATAAGCCCAAGTAGGTTCAGAGAGACTCCAACATAGCCACATTGTAGAAGAAGATTTATGGATACAAAAGGGGAAATGACACACATAAAATGGAAATGAGGTACAGAAATAGCCAGATTGGTGTTTGCCTTATTTGAACCTGATTTCAGCAGTTGACCACCTTTGATTTGCCAAAAATTCAGTTATTGGTACAAGAGTAGGTTACAGCCTCTTTACATGTCCAGTTTGACCATAGTCCTCTGTGCACAGAGAAACTTTTAGGCCAACTTAAAATATATAAGGAGGCAGCTGTAGGCTAAACTTAATTTAACAAACATCACTTTCTGAGAGCCCGAGGAACCTCAAAATATTTAGGGAACTTTGAAAAGACAGGAACTCACCCAATTTGTACAAGTACTACAAGCACAGTCTGATGGTAAATTCTGGCTTGGTTTCCTTGTCTTAGGAGGTTTTTAAAGTCGAATCTGAAATTTATGAAAAAATTTAGCAAAGTCAACTTAAAAATATCCTATATGGCCAATCACTATGCTTGCTGAACTTTATACAAATAATCAGGCCCAAGTATAATAAGACTAAAACTTATTTTGCCAATAAATTAGTTCTGCTATGATTTATCTTTGGTAAAAAAAAATGGTTGGCTGGAAAGGAAAAAAATATATTTCAGAAGATAACTAAGCACACTTGCTATTAGACTCTAGCCCTGTCCATTGTTTTGTGAGATTTTATGATTTTCCTACAATAATTGGACTGAAACCTGAATTCTTTCCTGGCTACAAGCTCCAAACTAATGTTTCCATTTTTTTTTTTCATTTTTCTTATTTGGACTTAATGAAGCCTTTTTCCTGAGACTCTGCAAGCTGAAGTTCATGTAAAAACCATCTTCTGACATACAAACTTACAGACCCGAAAAGTCTGTCAAGATTGCCACTGTCTACTTCAACTTTAACTGAAGATGCCTTTAGTCTAACATCAAGACACCTCAAATGATTGCCCTCCATACTCTAAGGAAACTGGTTTATAGACTGTTCCAAACATTAATCTTTGTTATTGAGAGACTGTCTACAACATAATCTCTTATAATAAATACAAATTTTCCATTGTAATGGCCTATTCCCAGAAATCCTTTGCCACTCATGTATTAACTTGATTATACTCTCCACAGACACAACTCAGCTTTTAATTTGTGAAACTTCTATGAAAGTTTCAGACAGGAGAATGTTGGGGTAGAAAAAATGATTTCCAAAGTATAATACTCGGTCATGCTGAGTGATTTTGAAGATTGAAAGTCCTCAAAAAATAAGCCTCAGAATCAAAGTCCTTCTAAACTTGTCTTATTTCTCTTCTTACTCCACTCAAACTCAGAGAGGGACTCTCTCTGGAATGTCCTTATCTAACCAAGAAAGCTTCTTACCAAAAGAAACACAACACAGTTCATTTATCTGTTAGAGTAGGTAGTTAGGCAGATATGAGCAGGGCAGAAGAGTGCTTCCTCCAGAAATGTCAGGCAACCATCAGGTGATGGTCAGGCAGTTGTTAAACTGTGTCTCTAAAATCATTGGTTGCAGCTGACTCCAAGGAAAGGCAGTCTCCCAAAAGACAGAAAACACTAGCAGGTTCCTGATAAGATCACAGGAGTTGGGTAAGTGGTTTCAAGCATGTGCACTGAAAGGCAAAATGGCAGAATTTAACTGGTATATGACCTTTCTCTAGGAACCCTTGACTGGTAAGGGAAAAACACCTCAAATGAGCATGCACATAACTGCAGTAAACACACTGTGCATGTGGCCCCTCTTAAATGCTGGCAGGCCACTGCGCAGGCAGACAGCTTGACCTAGGGAAAAATCAAGGGAGAAGAAACGTCAACTTTAGAACCACGCCAAGGTATGAAAACCCTAAGTCAAGGGTAGGACAAAGCACTTGGATCTCTCAAGTCACGGGCTTAGCCCTCTTCCAAGTATACTTTCCTGCCTTTCATTCCTGCTCTAAAACTTAATAAATTTGACTCCTGCTTTAAAACTTGCCTCAGTCTCTCACTCTGCCTTATGACCCCTTGGCCAAATTGCTTCCTCTGAGGAGGCAAGAATCAAGTTTGCTGCAGACGGATCAAATTCCCCGCTGCCAACATACTTATTAACCTATTGCAGAATATCTCGGTTGTCTCCAGGTTTTGGCAGTTGTGAATATATTTCTATAAACGTTTATGTGAAGATTTTTGTGTGGACATAAGTTTTGAATTCATCTGGTTAAATACCAAGGAACATGAATGCTGGAGTGAATAACACTCAATTTAACTTTGGAAGAAAATGCCAGACTGTCTTTCAAATTGATTGTAGCATATTGCATTCTGCCAGCAATGAATGGAAATTCTTGTTGTTCTGCTTGCTGTCCACTATTTAGAATTGTCAGTATTTTGAATATTAGCCATTCTAATAGGTGGATAGTGGTTTCTCATGGTTGTTTTTATTTGGAATTCCATAATGACATAAATGTTGAGCATTTTTTTCATGCCATTTTTTTGCCATCTGTATATCTTTTGGTGAGGTATATGTTCAAATTTTAAAATTCTATTAAATTTTTTTTAAACTGTGAAGTGTGAAGAGTTCTTTGTATATTTTGCAAATAAATTATCATACATATGTCTTGCAACTATTTTGCCTGTATCTTTTCTCTTAAATCGCCTAAAAGTTTCTTTCACAGAGCAGAAGTTTATAATTTTAATAAAATTCAACACATCATTTTCATTTTATTACTTTTCTCAAGACTGAAAAACTGCTATTTATTTGACAAAAAACTTTTGCATTTAATAAAGGTCAATAATTTGTATATACATTAATTAAAAATATTTTCGCTAAGCACAAAATAGAATAATTCCCATTCTTTTCACCAAGAACCCCTTTGAAAGAATGCCTAAAACTTAATCAGTTTATTTAGGTTTTTAACCAAGAAATCTAAAGCTGCTAATGAGAGTTTCTAATTAATGTGAGATGACCCAGGTAACAACCTTGAGGTCAGATAATGTAAGGTCATATAATGTGAGCTTTAAAAAGCTTTGTTTAATCTATACATTCTAACTGAGGGGATTCGTTGGCCTCTGGCTGGTAAGCACACATCCATGTGCCAGATACCACACACACAAACAAGATTGAGTAGTAAGTATCATGTGTAGAAGATAAATAACATATGATCTTTGTATAATTGAGGAGAATAATGTCTAATTTTCTTTGGTGTATGTATTGGTTTATTCTCACATTACTACAAAGAACTGAGACTGGATATTTTATAAATAAAAGAGGTTTAAGTGACTCATGGTTCCACAGGCTGTACAGGAGCATGGCTGGGGAGGCCTCAGAAAACTTACTATCTTGGCAAAAGGCAAAGGGAAGGAAGCACATCTTTACATGGTAACATAAGGAAGAGAGTGCAGGGGGAAGTGCTATACACTTTATTTATTTATTTACTTATTTATTTATTTATTTATTTTTGAGATGGAGTCTCGCTCTGTCACCCCAGGCTGGAGTGCAATGGCTCGATCTCGGCTCACTGCAGCCTCTGCCTCCCGGGTTCAAGCGATTCTCCTGCCTCAGCCTCCTAAGTAACTGGGATTATAGGCACGTGCTACCACACCCAGCTAATTTTTGTATTTTTAGTAGAGACAGGGTTTCACCATGTTGGTCAGGCTGGTCCCGAACTCCTGACCTCATGATCCACCCACCTCGGCCTCCCAAAGTGGTGGGATTTCAGGAGTAAGCCACCACAACCAGCCCAGTGCTACACACTTTTAGACAGCCAGATCTCATGGTAACTCTATCAGGAGACAGCACTATGGGGATGATACTAAACCACTGGAAACCACCTTCGAGATCCAATCACATCCCACCAGTACCCACCTTCAACACTAGGGATTACAATTTGACATAATATTTGGGTGGGTACACAGAGCCCAACCCTATTAGTGAGGAGCAGAGAGACATACAAACTGTGAACCCACAAGGAAGAACCAAGCAAGGGCAGTAGAAGAGATAGAAGTCCTTTGCCCTGGGGATACAGTGAAGGGACTAGGAGGCTTCAGGGAACAAGTGGCATCCAGGCCAGACCAGGAACATGAGTATATATCAGTATATGTGGGGAGGGATCTTCAATGTTGGAGAAAACAAAATGATCTGAGACACCAAGCTGCAGGAGTACAGCCTGTTCAGAAGACAGTGAAACACTTGTTCTGGGTAAAAGAATGGCATCTAATAAGAGACTATATAAAATTCAGAAAACCTTATCAAATAAGAGCCAAGAACAACACTGGTCTGTATTTTTTTAACATCAATTAAATACAGAATCAGCAATGGCCTGTAAAACTAAGAAGAGAGCAAAATATCTTCAGAAAGGTGGAGGCACCACGTGGTTAAGTAGCCAAGAATCACCCCATAGCCCACCTCTGCTTTGACCCCAAGATGCCAGTATCTTGGAATCAAAGCCACTAGCAATAACCTTCATTAATGAAAAATGCCTGCTGAAAATGTAAAATAAAAATGGTACAGGTAAACAAACTTCAAAACAAAAAGAGATAAACAGAGCAAACTTTCATCTCTCACACCCCACCTATGCCCTAACTGTCATGCTACTGAAAACAGGGTCAGCCTTGTTACTTAAACTGATTCATTACTGCAAAACATGACAGAATTTAGCATATTGACTCTCCAACTTCATCCCTCCCCATCAAAAAAAAGTAAGCACCACACAAAATATAAACTTACCCCAGATAAAACGAAGTATCAACCTAAGGATCCTATTGTAATATTACTATAATCCTGGATATTTGAATTCTGTTACAACCTATTTACAAAAAAATCCTCATTCTGAGAGCTCTGAAAGCGCTGAAAACATTGCTGCATTTTATTCTTCCTCTTGAAGTAGTTCAAAGTCTTGAAACACAGCAAATTTACATATTTTTCTATACTACCACTGAGGGAGTGATTATTATAAAACACCAACAACTGAAATCTTCATCCCATGATTGTCTGGCTATTTTAATTTGTTCCCTCAGATTAAACACTAATCTAAAAATGGGAAACACACACAAAAAGATGAAAAATCACACAAAAATTTTAAGATGCAAAAAATAAAAATCTCTATCATCACACTAACAATCTACACTTTCCCAAAAACAAAAATTAAATTTATTTGATTTACCCCAGCTATTGGCATTTTTAAAAGTATTCAAGAAACTAACACCTTATGAAAACAGTGGAAAATTTAAGTAGGAGCATAAAACTCAAATCAACTCATTTTCTGGCAAAGAGTTCTTCCAAAATGCCAACTTCACAAGAATGGATGTTTGGCAAACTGTTAAATTTTAGGTATTATGCTTTTTGTTGTTATATCTTAAATCTCATTGCCAAACCCAAAGTCACTTAGATTTTTTTCCTACATTTTATTTTATAAGTTTTATAGCTTTGAACTTTACATTTATGTCTATGATTCATACTGACTAAATTTTTGTGAAAAGTAAAAGGTTGTGACTACATACATTTCTTTTTGCATGTAGATGTCCAGTTGCTCCAGTACCATTTGTTGAAAACACTATAATTTCTTCACTGGATTGCTTTTGCTCCTTTGTCAAAGATCAGTGGGATATATTGCTGTGGATCTCTTACTGGCCTCTATTATATTTCATTGATCTAGCCTCCTTTTCTTTCACCAATATCACACTATTTTGATTTCTGTAGCTTTATAGTAAGTCTTGAAGTCAGGTGGTGTCAGTGCTCCATCTTTGTCCTTGTTCTTCAAATTTAAGTTGCTTATTCTGTATCTTTTGTCTTTTCACATAAACTTGAATAAATTTATGTTTAAAAACAACTTTTTAGAATTTTTATTAGAATTTTATTGAATATATTGATCAAGTTGGGAAAATTTGATTATATTAACTATACTGAAAATTTCTATCCATGAATATGGAATACCTCTCCATTTATTTAGGACTTTTTTGATTTTTTTATCACTGTTTTGTCATTTTCCTGATATAGATGTTTTACATAATTTGTCAGACATATGTAGGTATTTCAATTTTTTTTTGGTGCTCATGTAAATAGTGTCATGGTCTTAATTTCAAATTTCTTTTCTTATCGGTGATGTGTAAAAAACTATTTGACTTTTGTATATTAACTTTGTACCCTGCAACCTTAATATAAGCACTTATTCCAGAAATTTTTGTTGTTGTTAATGATAATGATTCTTTGAGATTTTCTTTTTTTTTTCTTGATTATATTTTAAGTTCTAGTGTACACGTTCACAACGTACAGGTTTGTTACATATGTATACATGTGCCATGTTGGTTTGCTGCATCCATTAACTCATCATTTACATTAGGTATTTCTCCTAATGCTATCCCTCCCCTAACCCCCCACCCCACTACAGGCCCTGGTGTGTGATGTTCCCTGCCCCATGTCCAAGTGTTCTCATTGTTCAATTCCCACCTACAAGTGAGAACATGTGGTGTTTGGTTTTCTGTCCTTATGATCGTTTGCTCAGAATGATGGTTTCCAGCTTCTTCCATGTCCCTACAAAGACATGAACTCATCCTTTTTTATGGCTACGTAATATTCCGTGGTGTACATGTGTCACATTTTCTTAATCCAGTCTATCATTGATGGATATTTGGGTTGGTTCTAAATAGGCAATATTATGATATGGAAATATTTTAATCTGTTCTCACACTGCTAAGAAAGCCATACCACAGAGTGGGTAATTTATAAAGAAAAGAGGTTTATGAAATACTATGCAGCCATAAGAAAGATTGAGTTTATGTTCTTTGCAGGGACATGGATGAGGCCGGAAATCATCAGTTTCAGCAAACTAACACAGGAACAGAAAATCAAACACCACATGTTCTCACTCATAAGTGGAAGTTGAACAATGAGAATGCATGGAGGGGAACATCACACACTGGGTCCTGTCAGGGGGTTGGGGGCAAGGTGAGGGAGAGCACTAGGACAAATACCTAATGCATGGGGGGCTTAAAACCTAGATGATGGGTTGATAGGTGCAGCAAACCACCATGGCACATGTATACCTATGTAACAACCCTGCATGTTCTGCACATGTATCCCAGAACTTAAAGTAAAATAAATAGAAAGGAAAAGAAAGAGGTTTAATGAACGCACAGTTTGACATGGATGGGGAGACCTCACAATCATGCCGGAGGGTGAATGAGGAGCAAAGTCATGTCTTACACGGCAGCAGGCAAGAGAGCTTGTGCAGGGGAACTATCATTTATAAAAACATCAGATCTCATGAGATTTATTCACTATAACAAGAACAGCATGGGAAAGACTCAGCCCATGATTCAATTGATTCAATTACCTACCACTCAGTCCCTCTCACGACATGTGGAAATTATGGGAGCTACAATTCAAAATGAGTTTTTGGTAGGGGCACAGCCAAACCATATCATTCCAACCCTGGCCCCTCCCAAGTCTCGTCCTCACAATTAAAAATAAATCATACCTTCCCAACAGTCACCCAAAGTCTTAATTCATTTCAGCATTAACTCAAAAGTCCACAGTCCAAAGTCTCATCTGAGAGAAAGCAACTTCCTTCCAAGTTTTTGTACAATCGAAAGCAAGTTAGCTACTTCCTGGGGTACAGGCTTTGGGTAAATATAGCCATCCCAAATGTAAGAAATTGGCCAAAACGAAGGGGTTACAAGCCTCATGCAAGTCTGAAATCCAGTGGGGCAGTCAAATTTTAAAAAGTGATCCAAAGTGATCTGCTTTAACTCCATGTCTCACATCCAGGTCACACTGATGCAAGAGGTGGGTTCCCATGGTTTTGGGCAGCTCCATGGCTTTGCAGGTACAGCCCCTCTCCCAGCTGCCTTTATGGGCTGGCACTGAGTGTCTGTGGCTTTTCTAGGTGCAGAGTGCATGCTGTTGGTGGATCTACCATTCTGGGTTCTGGAGGCCACTGGCCCTCTTCTCACAGCTCCACTAGGTAGTATCCCAGGTGGGACTCTGTGTGAGGGCTCCAACCCCACATCTCCCTTCCTCACTGTCCCAGCAGAGGTTCTCCATGAGGGCTCTGCCCATGCAGCAAACTTTCCTGGACATCCAGGCGTTTCCATACATCCTTTGAAATCTAGGCAAAGGTTCCCAAACCTCAATTCTTAACTTCTGTGTACCTACAGGCTCAACACCATGTGGAAGCTGCCAAGGTTTGGGATTTGCACCCTCCAAAGCCATGACCTGAATTGTACCTTAGCCCCTTTTAGCCATGGCTGGGATGACAGGGATGCAGGGCACCAAGACACTAGGCTACACACAGAAGGGGGGGCCTGGGTCTGGTCCACAAAACCATTTTTTCCTCCTACTCCTCTAGGGAGAGGGGCTGCAGCAAAGATCTCTGACATTCCTTGGAGATATTTTCCCCATTGTCTTGATGATTAACATTTGGCCTTTTGTTATTTGTGCAAATTTCTGCAGCAGGCTTGAATTTCTCCCCAGAAAATGAGTTTTCTTTTCTATTGCATCTTCAGGCTGCAAATTTCCCAAACTTTTATGCTCTGCTTCCCCTTGAACACTTTGTCACTTACAAATTTCTTCTACCAGATGCCCTAAATAATCTCTTTCAAATTCAAAATTCCACAGACCTCTATGGCAGGGGCAAAATGCTGCCAGTCTCCTTGCTAAAGCATAACATGAGTCACCTTTGTTCCAGTTCCCAGCAAGTTCCTCATTTCCATCTGAGACCACCACAGCCTGGACCTTATTGTCCATGTCACTATCAGCATTTTGGTCAAAGCCATTAAATAAGTCTCTAGGAAGTTCCAAACTATCTCACATCTTCCTGTCTTCTGAGCCCTCCAAGTCTCTAGGAAGTTCCAAACTTTCCCACATTTTCCTGTATTCTTCTGAGCCCTCCAGATTGTTCCAATCTCTGCCTGTTACCCAGTTCCAAAGTTGCTTCCACATTTTTGGTATCTTTATAGCAGTGCACCACTACCTGGTACCAATTTACTGTATTAGTCTGTTCTCATGCTACTAATAAAGAGATACCCAAGACTGGGTAATTCATAAAGGAAAGAGTTTTAATGGATTCAATTCCACATGGCTGGGGAGGCTTCACAATCATGGCAGAAGGCGAATGAGAAGTAAAGTCACATCTTACTTGGTGGCAAGCAAGAGAGCTTGTGCAGGAGAACTCTCATTTATAAAACCATCAGATCTTGTGAGATTTATTCACTATCACGAGAACAGCATGGAAAAGACCTGCTTCCATGACTCAATTACCTCCCACTGGGTCCCTCTTACAATACATGAGAATTATGGAAGCTACAGTTCAAGATGAGAATTGGGTGGGGACATAGGCAAACCATATCAGCAAACAAAGAGAGTGTTATTTCTTACTTTCCAACCTGCATGCCTTTTATTTTCTCGTTTTAATGCATTAACTAGGAATTCCAGTATAGTGTTGAATAGAAGTGTAAAGGGGGTATCTTCCCTTGTTCCTGATCTTAGGAGAAAATTTCAGGCACTCTTTGATGGTTAGAAAAAATGGGAATAATCTTAAATGCAGTAAAGGCAGAAAAGTCCTATATTTGGGGCTTAGCGTAGAGAGGAATAACCATAGTGAAAGTCAGAAGCTGAAATTCACATTATAAATCAAGAGCAATCGATCAGTGTTGGCAGTGTTGTAGGGAGTACTTATCAATGAATAAATCTGAATTTTCTACCAGCTTTGTATAGAGGGCAGAATGGCATCTCATCTCACCGCTACCCTGTGTTCCAGACTATAGCTCAAGACTGCTCAAGGCTTTAGTTCATAGGGACTGCCAGCTATGTTCTCTGAGCACCTTAGAATGGGCCTCAAGAATTTTTATTAGTTCAATAATCAGTCATTATGAGGAATCAAAAACAAGTCATTAAGGAATCAAGAATGTTTACCTACCACCTAACATATACTACTGTATGTAGGCAGGGCTTCAGAAGTAACTAAATCTGTTATCAAAATAGCCTGTGTATTGAAACTTCCCTTCAGCTCACTTTACTTAAGTGTTAACAGAACTATTTTAAAACATTTGACTTAGGATTTGATTTGTTTGTCAGAGTTCGTTGGAGAGCCTGATCAGGAGGTATTTGGTTTGAGATGGGAAAAAAGTATTCATGAATCAGTGACTAGATATATAAATTTCCTATTGTTGCTGTAACAAATTACCACTTCAGTGACATGAAACACCATAAATTTATTATCTTATAGTTCTCTAGGTCAGAAGGATGATACAGGTCACTGGTTTCACCAGGATAAAATCAAGGAGTCAGTAAGAATATGTTTCTTATTGGAGACTGTAGGAAAAAAAAATCATTTCTTTGTGGTTGTGGAACTGAAGCCCCAGTTTTCTTGATGGTTGTCAGCTGATTATTATACCCAGTTTCTACATAGTATATGCATTTTTTTTTTGGCTTATGGTCCCCCTCCTCTATTTCCAAAGCCAGCAACAGTGGGTTGAATTCTTCTCATGGCTCATGGCTCTGACCCACTCTTCTGTCTCCCTCTTCTACTGTTAAGGATTTATTTGATTGCATTTGGCCCACCTGAATAATTCAGGATAATCTCCCATTTTCAAGGTTTTTAATCTTAAGTTCCTTTTTCCATGTAGGGTAATATATTCACAGGTTCCAGAGATCAGATCAAGGGTATCTTTGGGACAAGGGTGTATTATTCTGCCTGCCACACTCAGTATTAAAGAGAACAAAATAATTAAAGTCAAGTAACAAAATATTTAAGTGAAGGTCAAGGAAAATTACTCATTTTTTTTTGTATAACAAAGACTGTGGTTCAAATAAGAAAATAATTTATCATAATGGTGGGCATTTGATATATATATTTTCAAGTTCATAGAAGATGGTTGTCTCAACATTCATTGCTCTTTGCAGTTTTTTCTTAAAAGATATTCCCCTGATGCATCTATTACCTTAAACTCTTTTGAGATATAAGGAAGTATATAGATTTTTAGCCTTTAGATATTCATTTTTTCCAAAGGTTGGAGAAATACTTGTTTCACTGAAGTATCTGGAGTGCTTGAATAATATAAAAATTTTTATATGATCACTTATTACTACAATGACTATTAATGGGAAAGCAAAGGATGAAGGGGAAATGGACACAGTTTCTAGGATGTTCAGGTTTCAGTTGAATGAAAGTATCATAGTTTGCTTTTCATTCCTACAATACTTTTCTTACCTTAATTTATTTAAGATTATGTTCTTAAATTAAATGATTTAGGTTATTTTTAGACCGATTCTTCTCCAATGTGCTGTTTTAGCGCAAGTCTGTCTTATTTCTTCTTGGTATTTTTCGGTGACATTGCACATGCTTTGGCATATAGTGAATACTCATATCTTGCTCATTTGAGTTGAATTTAAAGACACAGCAAAGCCAATTTTTTTTTGACTTGAGTTTTAATTTGTTCCCACAGAAACTATTATATTGACCCAGCTAAATACCTGTTAGTATGTTTTATATAAAATGGAATAAACTCAAGGAGGCAGTTTAACTTTCATTAAACTAGTTTTATGACTTTCTAGTGTGTAGTGGTAACACTTTAGGATAAAAGGTAACGTTTTGATTGCAGATTTTGAATTGCCAAGTATATTAACAAACTAATGTCATAAATATGTGGTAAAGTATACGTAATAAAATTAACCTACACATTTAACGTGGTATTAAGTAAATTTTATTTTTAATCTACTAAATTCAGACATAGTAATTCCTAGCAGAAACAGAAATTTGATAGCAAACATAACAGTGTATATTATTGAAGCTCTTACTGATAATCTCCTTCGATTTTAATAAAAATCCCCAAGACAGATAAATAGCATAAACTTGCATAGTGAATTGTAGGTCTAACAGTCTAATGTAAATATGTAATATTTCTTCCTATAAAGAGAAGTGGTGGTCTTCTGTGAAATCATACTTCATAGCTTCATTTTTAAAGGGGCTTATTTTCAACAGCAGTATTGAGTGTTCTTTAAGCCCTTCTTGGGAATTCTCATGCTGCTTTATCTGGCAACCAGAATGTGGACAATGTCACCAAATTGTTTAAAGTCTATTGCTAGGTGTATTGCTTCCACTTCGAGTCATCAGCTATGCTGTTCTTCCGGAATTGATTGTGAATTTTTCAGTTGCACATAAGCAAAATCTGACTTCAAGTGTTTTTTTTTAAAGGGGAATTTGCTGAGATGGTAATAGTCTGTCTTACAGAAACCAAAGATAAAAACCAAAGCTGGCCATCAGAAGCAAATGGAGCTAAGGACTATGCATCTCCAGATTCTGATGCCACTGCTCATCCCTGCTCCTAAGTATGCCCCATTCCCTCCACTCTTCTTCCTACCTTCCCTTTTATTTCCCTCATATTACTTCCTCTCCTGTCTCCTTCGCATTTTCTCCAGACATTTATTTTGCTCTTACGTGGTAAATACAATAATTTATATTAAGGGTTAGTACTATCAAATACCATCACCAGGTAGAATATTTATCTCCATTTTCCCAAGTATAGAAAATGCATTTGTATTTAAAAGCATTTTTACTGGTTGGTAGGTTAGCATTGGCCTAGTAAACATTTTCTGTTAAAGGACACATAGTAAATGTTTTATGCTTTGTGAGCCATGTTGTCACTGTAGTTTTACTCAACTTTGCCATGATTGTGCAAAAACAGTCATAGAAAATACGTAAATAAATGAGTGTGGCTGTGTTCCAATAAACTATATTGACAAAAACAGAAAAGAACTGGGTTTAACTCACAGGCCGTAGGTTGCCAGTTTTAAGTTAGGCTATATCACATGCATTTTCTCTTCTACTGCTCTTTATTCACGGCAGACTCAAGTATTTGAAGTGGCTCATCAAGGTTACTTGTTGCCAGACAGTTTTAAATATTAGTTTAAGTTGCACAGACACCTCTAACCCTCCAAATTTTTCTGGGTTATATACCACTTTGCTCTTTATAACCAGCCTATTCTCAAACAACAGAGTTGAAGAGCTATGGATTCTTTTTCTTCTGCCTTGTTGTATGGTAATGCCAGATCCCTGTGATAGCTTACTTTTTGTCATAGTTGGCTTATAAGCAACAAAGAAGCATTTGATCTCCATTAAAAGCTTCATCTAGTATCAAAATTAATTTTGACTGCTTCAGACATTGGTACTGGGTGATGTTTCCTGCAAGCAAACTTCAGACATAGCTACTGGGTGATGCTTCAGACATAGCTACTGGGTGATTCTTCCTGCAAACAAACTTTTCTGGTTGCTTCAGAAATTCCTGACGTGCTGCCTTTTACCAACATGAAGACCTACTCAGTCTGTAACTTCTTTGTTCCTTTTCTGAATGCCAATTTACTACTGTCTGATTGGTTAGTTTGCTGATGTGTTCACTGTTCTCATATATTATCTTCTATTTCTAGGCTATTCCTGGAAACTGAGACTACCCAGTAAATTTATTCATTCATTTATTTATTTTGGTTCCTATTCCTGCTCTGTTTTGTATCCATGATGATTATTAATAAATATAATTTTCTACTCTAAAAGTAGCCATTAGCCAGGTGAACACTGAGAAGACATTTAACTACATAATTATTTCCTTATCTTCTTTGTCTAAAATGCAATAAGGTAGATTTAGATAGGTCAATCATAATGCCTACATTCTCCTCTTTCCTTTTCTGAGGGGAACAGCTATATTCGCTAATTCCTTCTCAGAAAATAATCCTGTTCACTATTAGAGATTACCTATTTCCTACCAAGTGAAACTGGTTATATCCTCAGGGCCAGGTTGGCACTTGACTCAGTCAAGCCAAAACATGCCTGGAGCGTCATTCAGTTAGTAGTAGTGACGGAGCACAAGGGGATTCAAAGAAAAACAGAGATAATTGTTAAATCATGTTAATATAGCACACTAAATAGAAACTCAAGGATTTCTGTTCTGATTAGGAAACCCCCACAGATAGTGGCTCCACCCAAACTGCCTTGGATCCTGAACCATCTTCAAAGCCATAAACTATGTTCCCATGTTGGTGAGGCCTGAGTCTCTGCCCATCTTTGGTTCCTGTGATTTTCATTTTTTTACTGATGTGCTGCTTTATAATAAACCCATTGTTAAAGATAATCTGAGTCTCTAATTCATGTGTTCTGAACGAAATAATGAACACATAGACCCAAACACAAACACAAATAATAGAGAAAAACAATTTTGTTCTTGTGTAACCAAATAGAACACCAACAGAATATTACATTGTAAAAATAATAGGTTTCCTGAGTCCTATTTTATTTTCTACCTACGTACTTATGTTCGTATCATAAATAAGGAGATATTGAAAAAAGTTAATAATATCACATTACAGCTATATAATGTTGGAACACTCTGCCCTTATGAGGCTAATCAAAAAGTGTTATTAGGAATAAACAGAAAAGTGAGGGTAATTAGTTCAGGACTACCTTTAATAGATAATAATTTCATTTAGATCTGTTAAGTGTGGGTAATTTGGTGGGTGCTGTGAATGATAATAGAAAACATGGAGAAGTTGGATGTAAGCAAAAGACGTAATTTTAATGAACAAAAGACATTGAATTATAATGAAATTGGAAAGACTGGTTAATTTCGTGGAAAACTAATGCAATCTTTTAACATATTCTTGCATTGCATATGTGAAGTTCATAAAGATATGTGATGTTTCCAATTAACTTGATTGACATACTAGAGTTTTATATCTTTAATAGGTGGTATATTTGTTGTGTTGAGATGAAAATAAAATTTATTCTTGAAGTACTAAAATAAAGCATTTGTTTTACAATTAGTTTAGACTTCATGTCAAGCTATGATGTATAATACACATGATGTTGGGGTAGAAATTTTTGAACAGTTACTCAAAAGTAGTCTGACTTTTTATAGTAATAAGAAGACAGCATCAATTATAGTTTTCTTGATTTGAAAGCACAGCACTAGGCAAACTTTTCTAAAAACATGATCAATATTTATTTTGCACATGTTAGTCATTAACATTTTATTTATGAAGCTGATTTCAACACTATCAGATTATTTTTATTAAATCATGAAGATGTTGAATGATTTATTTAGTGAGTGTTCACGTACTACTAAGCACTTTTCCTATTTTGTCAATAAAACAATAGCTATCTTTCGTTGATTTTTAAATATGCATCAGGCAGTGTGTTGAGCCCTTATATATATTATCTTATTTAATCCCTGTGACAACGCATATAGACAAAAGTAACCAGGTTTCAGACGGTGAAAAAACTTTTCCAAAGGTAGCTAAGATGGTAATAGAATTGGAATTCAAAGCCCTGTCTTCCTATAATCACTCCAAACATTTTACAATTTTCTAAAGTCAGTACTGGTTCAGAGACATGCTGTTTTTAACATGCTCTAAATTGTAAACAATTCTCGTATGAGCAAATGCATAGTTTTCTAGTTATAAGAGATTTGTCATTAGCAGTTCTCAGATGCAAATGAATTTGCAACAGCATCAATAACAAATTATCAATATCATTACTAATACAGCCAGGTAAAGTGGAGCAACAAAAACTGAAGGATATTATTTGTCTGAGAAATTTACCCTTTCTCAGAGACTCCACACTGCATTATTTGCTGTTAAAAAGGAAGAGAGCACATCCCTCCACATTTAGATGTGTCACTTGCTGACATCATTTTACATAATTAATTGCCAAGACTCCTCTGTTGTAAGTCAGTTAAAGGCAAAAATTGTCTTTAGTATTGGCATATGGAGTATTTGTTATATTAACATTTTTCTCCATGCAGTCATCCAAAATGAGAGATATAATTATCTTTTTTTTTCCCTAAGTTTATGCCTTCATCTCCTGCAGTGGGTGGTCCATCGGACTTAAGTTTAATTTGAAAATTAAATTGCTATAGAAAGGCTTTCTAGTTTCAAATTATGTTGTATAACTCAGAAAAACAGAAAAGTAAGCATTTTCACAACTATTAATATATTATAGATATTAACATCCTAATCCATTAACAAATTATACAGCAGCAGCACTAATTGATGAATTATCATTTCTAAGCTGCTACTGGAAAAGTGAATTTTTTGGTCTAATTTTTTTTTTTTTTTTTTTTTTTAGTGTTGCTTTTCCTTTCTTAGAGAAAACATCCAGCCTAAGAAAGCATGTGGTGAGCATTTTAAGATGACAAATGGGAGGCCAACCAGTGAAAAGAACAAAGGGTGATTTATGGTTCTTTAGTAAATAACAATAATAAATAGCAAAAATCTTACTCATAACATCTTTTATAATTGTGAAATTCTTATAGTGTGGTATCCGTAATATTTTATCATCACATATTTGCTTTCATAAAGTATTATTTATTCAACTTTTTTTTCTGATACTGTATGATAATGATGGTCTGAGGAGACTGCTTTTCTAAATCATATGCTAAATCATGCAAGAGATTAAACTAGTCAACCTTAATATATATTACACAGATTGTTGCATTTTAAGTCCTAAAAATTGGTGTTCCAAATATGGAGGATATGATGTGTTTCTAGGATTAGCTTTTAAGCATCTCCACATTCTTCTAGTAATGGCCAAAGATTGTCAATTTCCTGAATTGCCATTTGTTTTTTGGTTGTTTTATCTTCCCAGTCTAGTTTTCTGCATTGCTTGCACTTGGATAGATTTAGGTTTAATTATAACATGTTAAATCTACATCTCAGATCCTGTGTGTTGGCAATGTTTTTACAGACTGGTCTACTACATTTACTGATTTAATATATTTGCATGCTGAAGTTAAAGGGACAGTACCTCTGCCAAAGGTAAAACAAATGGAGGACCAGGCATAAGATACTTTTGATAAAATAGCAATATATGGTAACTTAATATGTGTTATTATTATCATTAATTTTAGTGTTTCGGGAAGTAATTTTCATCTTCCTAATATTGTTTTTCATGCCTTGCTTACGTTTAAATTTGAGATTTTACCCCCTCGAGTTTATGTGATAACAGAACTGTTTGTCTATGTGAGACTGGGAAAAAGTAATTGAAGGATTCTTAGAAACAATTAAGGAAGGCTTTATATATGCAATCTTTCCAAAAGTTACATTTACTAAAAAAACAAAAACAAAAACAAAAAAATGTCTGACATTTGCTCCATTTTCTTGGCCAGATTAAAACTAGAGGCTATAGTAATAGTATTTTGAAGATGATGTGAGCAACCACAATTTGGTGATTTTGATATTCTAGTTTTCAAAAAGGATATTTTATTTTGCTTGAGTGTTTTCTTTTGACAATATAAAATATACTGACAAAGTGAGAGGCTGGAGAGACTGTAGCTGCTGTCTTTTTGCAGATGAAGTGTCATACCTCTTGGCAGCCTCAAGTGCTGAAATCAGTTGCTTATTTTCCAAAGGATATTAGCTGTTGGATCAGACAACATCTGGACTCTGAAATGTGTTCAGGTTGAAATTGGTCCTAAATGTTAAATTTAAGCGTTGACTTTGATCTTTGAGTATCACTATGCTTTTACTGTTGTCTGCATCAAATCATCTTTCTACATATAAACATTTTTACATGCTGTTGAAAGCATCACTGGATCAAGCATAGCGGGTAGACTACAATTAATAATGATTATATATGTGTAAACTAATCCTGCTATGATTTTGGTATTCTTTTCCATAGCAGTGGTTCTCAAGACTTAGCAGTTATGATTACTTTGAGAATACGATAACCATAAAACCATGCTGTAGAAATATAAAGTAAATTACCTCTTACTATTAAATTTTCTAGCATCTCTATTATGAAATTAAAAAAAAACAGGTAAAATGAAATGTAATAATATGTTTTATTTTATATATAAAATGTTAGTATTTTAAAATGTAACCAATCTAAAAATAATTTATGAGATGCTTTGCTTTGCATGCTTTTTATATTAATTCTTTAAAATATACTATTATTTTATAATTGCAGCAAATCACAATTCAGATACTAAATTTTTATTGGATATTCTTGATCTGAATTTAGATCTGATATAGTTGGGCTCTGTGTCTCCATCCAAATATGATGTCGAATTGTAATCCCCAATATTGGAGGAGGGGCCAGGTGGGAGGTGATTGAATCATGGGAGTGGACTTCCAACCCTTGCTGTTCTCATGATAGTGAGTGAGTTCTCACAAGATCTGTTTGTGTAAAAGTGTGTAGCACCTCCCCCTTTGCTCCCTCTTCCTCCTGCTCCAGCCACGTAGAATGTGCCTCCTTCTTTTTCATCTTCCACCATGACTGTAAGTTTCCTGAGGCCTCCCCTGCCATCCTTTCTGCACAGCCTGTAGAACTTTGAGCCAATTAAACAACTTTTCTTCATAAATTACCCAGTCTCAGGTAGTTCTTTAAAGCAATGTGAGAATGGACTAACACAAGATCTCATAAAATTTACAGTTGAAAAGTGTCTTCACATAATCAAGTTGTTCCAAACATACTACTAAAGGGCTTTCCAATAACTCAGTAACTTAACTGAGTCAAAAAATTATTTTCTTAGGCTGGGTGCGGTGGTGGCTCACGCCTGTAATCCCAGAACTTTGGGAGGCCGAGGCTTGCAGATCACCTGAGGTTGGGAGTTCGAGACCAGCCTAACCAACATGGAGAAACCCCCTGTCTACTAAAACTACAAAATTAGCTGGGCTTGGTGGTGCATGCCTGTAATCCCAGCTACTCAGGAGGCTGAGGCAGGAGAATCACTTGAACCCAGGAGGTGAGGTTGCAGTGAGCCGAGATCGTGCCATTGCACTCCAGCCTGGGCAACAAGAGTGAAACTCTGTCTCAAAAAAAAAAAAAGTTAAAAAATTATTTTCTTTTATATTTACATTCATGTTGACAAAATGGCTTCATGTTTTTTAGAATAATTGATTTATCTTTGAAGCAAAAACACATTACTTTCAAGACTACTTCTGTCCAAGTTAAGTAAATTCACTAACTCTCGTTTTGCTTACCACAGAATTCAAAGGATTATTGCATATGTTGAAAAACAACTCTAAATTTATCAATATCGAAAAAGGATTCTTCAAAGTTTTCTTGTATGTTTTGTAATTTGAATTATGTTATCAGTTATGACTAAAAATTCATATTCATAGAAAAATGTGACAATTAGTATTATTGATTTCTATGACAAAAAGTTTCCATTTCAACATATGTTATTTTACCTTTTTAGCTAAGACACAAATAAGCTTTACTTTCTTGGAGATTCAAATTGTCTCATTCATATGCAGTGTGATATTGAAGAGGAAACATATATCACATAGCCATTTTTGGCTTTGATATTGCATTGCCTTTGTTTCAAGAAAACCTAGAATTAAAATTAACACTACAGTAAATCTCTGAAAAACTTTTCCATGATACACACAGTGATTATTAGCAAAGAATCATTAAAGATCATTAAATTCATCGTCTTCAATTCTGTCAACAGTTCCATAAACTGACAATGATTCATAGCATCTGGATGTATATAATAAATGTTTAGCAACTCTATCCATAATTGACATGGTTTGGATATTTTGTCCCCTCAAATGTTTTTTTTCTCATAATTTTCTAAAAAAATATATGACTAAAGTAATTATTTTGTTTTAACATCTTTCTGTGTAATAATGGTTTTCGTTTTGAGCAAGAAACTAAGCCATCTGATACCTTGCCAAAATTATCAGCTCAGTTGAATTTAAAATCATTGAAAATTGTTTTGTTAGACATTAAACTCTGATTTTAGGAAACAAATCTCTTTGATTTTTCTTTTGACTGTTGAGAGAACATTTCTTATATTCATTATATAATTGTTGAAGATGTCCATTACTATTTTCTACTTTACTAGCATTAATACAATTTTCACAAAGATCGGGGTTTTTAAAATTTTGCTTTCCTGTAGCAAATTGCATTTATATTTATCCTAAAATGTGTACCTTCCTCCAGTGTCTTCTTTGTACTCTTCTAATGATTGTACTGGCTTCTGCAACTCCGCTTAATTTTTCATTAGTATCATGTCTTTGTTTCAGTTTTTACATTTTATTTTTCTCATTTTTAAACTGGAAAAATCATTTTAGCATATTATAATGAAAATAATACATATTTTATTTTAGTCACCAATTACAATTTACATAGATGTCACTGCAACTCATGTCGTCTACCTAGAATATCTAAATAAATACATTACAAGGTTATACCTGTGAAGAAAAAAAAATATGAACTGAATCATACAGTCGATACTAACTAGATCAATGGTATGTTCACATGTACTTTTGAAAGGACCTACATATTCCAAACAAATCCTAAAATGTGATTCATTGGTTAAAATGAAACACAGTCCCATTAAAACAATAACATTTTGTTTAATGAGAAATATTTCTCCCTGCTTCAATTTAAACTACTTACAATTAAATTAAATTAATTTTTCCCCTCAGCTACAACTATTCATACTTCAAGTACTCAATATACATATGTGCACAGGGGGCTACTTTTATTGAAAAATGTAGCTATAGAAACATTTCACAAAATTATGCAATACATACAAGATTGAACAAATATCCCTCGGGTGGAGAATACAAATAAAGCATAGACAGACATTGCAAAGCATCTCATTATTCTTTGTTACATAAATTATTATTTATGATTTATTTTTTTCAAAAATGATTCTTTTTACAGTTCTCTAATTTTGGAATAGAATCAACCATCAATGTTTGTCAATTCAATGAATGAACAAATTGTGTTGAAATATATGTTAGATGTATATGTTTTAGAATACAGGGAAAGACTTATTTTCCTTTTAAGTATATATGTTTTGTCTCTGAGATGTCAGTGTGGTGATTTTATTAATATTTTAAAATTTTATTATTTATTTGCTCTTAAAATAGACTGCACTTTATGTTTCCCAGAAGGGATTTTATTATTTGACTATTTTGGATGCCCAGTTTCTACATATTACATAGCCCAGACTACACAATAATAATGCATATCTTGAGCCTCCTCACAGTTTTGACACTTTGCATTTCTGGGGTAATGTTGGGGAAGATGAAAATTAGTCCAATTTGCAAAGTTTTTTTTAATATCACCACAACATGAAAGTAAGGTTAAAAGCAATGATCAGCGTTGCTCAGAAGTAAATCTAGACTTAGGTTTATGTAAACTAAAACCTTTTTTTTTTCTAAACAAGACTCTTTCCATTAGAGAGGCAGCACACCTAGAACATGCTTTGAATAACATGTTAATAATAATAAATGTTATTTTACAGCAGAACCTTTTCTCATGTATTGTGATACGGGATGTCAAGAGAAGAATCTAATGAATTGATAGCTTTGGAATTATGCCAACCTCAAAATGTGTTTTAAAACTTGCTTTTTCCTCTCTTGCTCTTGCTTTCAGCCTTGAAACACTTTAAAACTCTGCTTCTCCCTTTCCCACCAGGCACTTCTGTAAACAGTGCTTTCTTATCTAATTATGTGCTTGCTTAGAAATTCCAAGGGCCAATTTTGAAACAAACCAGACAGAATTACCCAGCTATGGAATGCTCCCACGTAGGTGGTGTTAGGGACAGTTAGCCCACCACTACTGGGCGGAAGAAAGGATGATGCAGATGGTACCTCCAGACAGGCAATTACTCAAGATAACCATTGGAGCAAGACATGCAGACCTGTACCCTCCTGCACCACTTCACATGTTTGCCACACCTTTCTCCTTAAACCCCTTCGCCCAGCCCAAAAAGTTGGTATGATCTGATAAAGGCATGAGGCTGGCCATTCCCCAACTGCTGGCATTTGAATAAAGTTGCTTTCCTTTCACTACACCTTGCTTCTGATTTTTGCCACTGAGCATCCAGCAGCCAAACTTGAGCCAGATACATGTTTACAAATTCAAATGTTTAGAACTAATGAACAATTTTACTTTAGAGAGGATATTATTAATATGGATCATGTGGTGTTCTTGAAAGAAATCTTGACAAAATACCAATTATCAATACTTATATTTATTTTTTCCTCAAAACCACACAATGGCTTAAATACGTAGGGCAAAAGAAACATTTATTAGAAAGAACAAATGTTTTTTATATCATTTTTCAAACTGAATTGCATTATAATAATCACAAGTAAAAATAAACATTTTAGCCTTAAAAAGATGGCAAAATTATTAACCCAATGTTTTATTCTTGAACATTAGAGCAATATAAACTCTAATGCTATTCCAACTCTATTTTTGACTTCTTTGTAACATGAAATGATGCCAGATAAATATATAAAATATAATTGCAAAGTCATTGTTTTGAAGTTTAAGTCTGAAATGCATAACAACAAAACTCCAGAAAAGTCAATTGCATGTATGTGTGTGTGTGGGCACGCAAGGGTGTAGGTGTGTGCATGTGTGTATGTGTGTGTCTGTTAGTGCGTGTGTTTAGACTCCTAGCACTGTAAGGGACATTTTGAGAAACAATTCAAAGAACAACTCTTTGTCATAAACACTTTTAGCCAGTAATTAACCAGGAGGTTGTCCTCATTTCGCCAAAACCAAAAGAAACTTGAAAGCCTTTCAACACATTGCATTTTGTCAAGAGACTGAATGAAGAACCGCTTCCACAGTGTCTGCAAAAATCTGAGCAAAATTGACTAATACAAATGGAGGTAAAGAGCGGTGTTACAAAGCAAGATTATCAAAAACTTAAAAATGCTGCAATTAGTGTATCGTCGTATAAAAAGAACTAATTAGTCTGATTTGGACCAGTGTGAATCAATGTGGACCACAAAATTAGCTCATTAGTGTTATTTATTAAATAAGCATTTTATAAGTGCCTGTTGTGGGTCTAGTACTTCATTTAACATGATTAATGTTGAGATCGACAAAAGATACACTTTCTCTTTTGCAAGGAGTTTTCAACAATGAGCAAGGTTCCCCTTCTTTTTTCCCTCAATGAGAAGTGATGTTCACACATGTTAGCCTATGATAATGAGCATAACCAATTGGTTATAATCCAACATAGCTGGGTTAGAGATGTATTATTGACAGAACTGTGCTCCCCCAAAATTCATATGCTGAAGCCCTAAGCCCCACTGGAACTGTATTTGGAGATTAGGCCCTTAAGGAATTAATTAAGAAAAGTAAGAGACATCAGAAGTAAGAGACACCAGAGATCTCTTTTTCTGTCACACATGTACAGAGCAAAGGCTGTGGGAGGGCATAGACAGAAGGTGGCCATCTACAAGCCAGGAAGAAAGCTCTTGTCACACAGCAGCCCTAACAGTAACTTGATTTTGGACATCTAGCTTCCAGAATGTGAGGAAATTAATTTCTGTTGTTTAGGCCAAACCGTCTGTGGTATTTTGCTACGACAGCCCAAGCACACTAATTTGTACTACAGCTCCTCAATAATTATCATTGCTGTGACTATGAATATTAAATCATTGAGAGTTGCTCCCTACTAGATATATGATCTGTTACTTCTTGTATACAATTTCCAGCAGACTCGCTGTAACCTCACCCCACTTTTCTACAATCAGAAAACCACATCTGAAAGATGAGGACAGTCTTATTGGAAAATGATGTTAATTTGTTGAATTGTATCAATTTGACATTGAATTGTATTAATTTGTTGATAGTAACAAAAACAAATTTTAAGATACCGCAGACAGATCAAGTCAGTAATGTGCCTTCGTTACTGTGAATAAATAATCTGGTAGATAGAGAACTGGGTAAAACAAAGTGAATACAGAGAGAAATATAGCAACATATATGCTAAAGATATCCAAACATATAAAAAAATTGGTACCAAAAAATCACATTTTAATTAAGCCTACATATTGTTTTATCATGTAATTTTAGGCAAAAGGTATCTCTTTAGTCAATGATACACAGAGAATTATATAATGTGAAGTCAGCTTTTTAAATAAGTGTTTTGTTGTTGCATATAAAATCTCTAGTTAATGTCTCTTTCAAGGTAGCTAGAGAGAAAATCTGAACTAGACACTGAGAAAAAAAAAAGCTGTTTATATTTTAGTGTCAAGAGGAGTTTTGGCTTTATGATTTGAGTGCCAAAATTTGTGCACACAGGTAAACAATAACCAGTACAAAATTGCATTTAAAGCGCTAATTCTTCTCATTGATACATAACATTTCAGTTGTGCTGCCAGGCTAGGTTGTGGAACAATTTCACTAACTATTCCCATATAGTGGTCCTTCCACAGGAAACAATATTTAACAACACACTCTGCCTTAACAAGTCCTAGTACTCTCTGTTTAAGAAAACTGTAATTGAGTATTATTTACCTGTTTTGCATCATGTTTTCTTGGAGCTACAACAATAATCCTGTGGCAATTTTTTGAGTCATTGGCAAAATTATTAGTACCAGGGGAACTCATGATATTTTTAGGATAAGAAAAATTGTAAAAATGCACACAGTATTGTTGTTACATTAAAAACTAAATAGTAAATACATTTTTTAATTTAATATAATTAATATAAAATCTGTGCATTCAATATTTCTGACTAGAGAATATAAGCGCAAGCACTGATGAATAATAATATAGAAGACTCAACATAATAGACAATTACTACAAAAAAGTTCAAAATGTTTTATTATTTTAAAATAAATAAGTGTTCTGTTTAAAACATAAGATTCTTCCTCATGGTTCATGTACTTATTTGTAATTTATAAGACATTGTGAACCTCTTTACAGAAAACTTCAAAGAAAGCAACAAAATTCAACTGAAACAAATATAAAATTAGTAATTTTGGTATCTGAAGCATTATTTCCTTTAATGTCAAATGCATTAAAATTATATCAGGTTCCTATATGACCCCTAATCAATTTAACATTTGATTTCAAGGAACACATGTACTGAACAGGTCAAGTACTATGCATTGCGGGAACAAAGAAAAGTAAGATGCAATTTCTGCCTTCAAAGAGCTTAGCATCCAAGAGGACAATCTTGTAACAAAAAACAATTCCAATAGTGTATTGGGTTAATGGAATGATTCCATGAATAAAAAATGGGAAGAGTGCTTCTCTTGGCTATGATTCAGTTTTCCTTAAGGAAATGTTTGAATCGAACCAAATAAGTAAAAGAAGGGTCTATAGATCCAGAGGTGCCCTAGATTTTTAAAAAATTTTTATTTTTTACAATTGGCAAAAAGTAGTTGTATATATTTATGGGGTACAATATGAAGTTTTGATACATGCATACATTGTGGAATGGTCAAATTATGTTAATAGACATATCTATCACTTCATGTATTTGTCATTTTTTTATAATGAGAACATTTAAAATTTATTCTTTTAGCAATTTTGAAATACACATTATTATTAGCTATAGTCCCTGTGCTGTGCATTAGATCATCAGAACTAATTTCCCGTGTTTAACTAAAACATGGTATCTTTTGAACAACATCTCCTCTTTCCCTTTAGCCATACCTTACCCTGCCCTGCCCCCTCAGCCTTTGGTAAACACCCTTCTACTCTCTACTTGTATAAGGTCCACTTTTTAAAATTCTACATATAAGTAAGATTATGCAGGATTTGAATTTCTGTGCCTGGCTTGACACTGCCTCATGCCACACTTTCACTGCACTTAGGAGTAAACTGTAAGTTAACATTTAAGATCTGATTTGAGTTGGTACTGAGTGGAAAACTGAAGTTCTGGATACACACAATATGAACTTTTCCTTTAACAATAGAACATATTACGAAAGACATAATCATTATATTACTGGTATTATTAGTCATTTATACATTAATATATGTTTGTTTAAACTTATACTAAGAGCAGGCAAGATTTTAAGAAAGTAATACTAAAAAATATATCTTGTAAATAATAAATTGCTTTGAACTTCCAAGTGGAATATAGAAATTTGCAAAAAGAATGCCTGAGGAGTTTTACAGGTTGCTTAAGTAATTTACCTTATTTAAACCTGGGTAATCTTAGAGTAGAAGCCAAGGTCTACATTATAAGGAAGCCCAGTTTCTCTCTGACAACTCAGAACTATTACTACAAAGCACTATTTTATTTTGAAACACTTGCAAAAAAGACATGAATAGAATGGCAACAAGTAATTCATTGTATTATACACTGAATAATAAGTAGGGATGTGGCTTATAACACACAAATGTAAGCTCTGGTGAGTAGTGGCCCTTTCCTATGCAATTTTTTAAAATAAGTAAAATATGACTTTCCATGTTCTAGCCTCTTTATTCTGTACTGTTTTGGTACTTTGCTGCACTCTTTTATGATCCACTAGTAAAAACATAAACTTTAGATTTTGATAGCCTCATTTTATGGTCTGTAAACTTGTTATAAGCACCTCACAAAACTGGTGGGAAAATTCAACACCTAAAACAATTCCAGACAATCACTCAAAATGGTAAGTTTCCTTTCTTTCCTATTATCACCCTTCAACCTTCTTAGAAGCCCAGAAGCCTAATGATATCTTGTTCCTCTTCACTTACATTCGTGTAAAACTCACTTCAAAATAGAATAGGTAATAGGGATGGGCAACAGGGAATTATTGTTTAATGAGTACAGAGTTTCTGTTTTATCAGATGAAAGCAGTTACGGAGGTGGATGATGGTGATGGCGGCATGACATTATGAATACATTTAATGCCACTGAATTGTATATTTACAAATGGTTAAGATGTTACATGTATTTTATCATAAGAAAAAAATTGGAAAAGCCCTCATTCATACTATGGTGTAAGTGACTAAATTACACTTTCAACTATTATGAAATAAGATGAAGATTTTGTTTCAGCAAAACTCTTATCTTGCCACACTAAATATGTAGCAGCTGAATGGGAATTTCTAACATTGGTGTACTGATAGTGTAGGGTGAAGTGAAAAGAAGCCGAGTAGATGCCTTGATCTGTTTGTAACATACATGCAATGTGCTTCTCAATATTTAGATCTCGTTCAAGGAAATTTGGATGCTATTCTTAACAACAAAGAGTTGCCTGTACACTAAGATCTAGGCTCATTTTGGAAAGTGATCTCTCATTTCCCTTGCTTAAGTTAGTGCCAAGTGATTCATCAGTGCCCTATTCTGCACTGTATACTTCCCTTTCAATTGAGGTCATTTTCTCTTACACCTCTGTCTTTTCTGACTTCTCTGATATTTGTTTATTTCTATCTATATGTGGTCATCAGCAGGTAACGCAGACCCTAAAAACACTAAGTTTTTATAAGGAAACTACCAAATGCAACCTAAAATATTCACAACTTCCTTTTATTCTTGTGTCCACTTGCAAGTAATACACATGTAGACACACATTCATACATGCACACATATGTACACACACACACGAGTTATTTTAGCTTCAAAGCTTTGCCATCTGGCTCATATTTAACAATTTGGTAAACCTCTTATTCAATCTTATTACATCTGGTGTCAATATTTCCAAAATAGTTGTGTTTGTCTTGAGAAATTGTAGAACAAGGTAACAAAACAAGGACTTTCACTGGAGGTTAGATTTAATCACTCTTTAGCTGCTTTATAAAAAGTACTATTCAGGCTTCAAGCCCCTGCCTCAAGAATTTACAGAATTTCAAAATTATATAAATTTTCATTATACAAATTATTCTAACATTAGTAAGCCAATATGATATAGGCAAACCTATTACTATTTTATTAAAATTAAAGTGGTTAAAAACATGAAGCCATCAAAATAATTGTTCTATCAGCTTCGTATTTCACTCTCAAATAGGAACCGACCTTAGGCAAAATGATGAAGCCGGTCCTCAGAGATGCCCTCCACACCCTTGGGCTTCTCATTGCCAGCTTTGTTATCTGATTCCTGCAAGCAATCCTCTGGCAAAGACTCAGCTTGGGCCTATGATCCTCAGTACCCTATTTTATGTCTTGACATTTCCCTGGGTCATCTCCAGATCAGAAGTTACCTGCCCAGTGTCAAGTCTTCCACCTACTTTCCCAAAGTTAATACACACACACACACACACAAACATATATATGCTAAAAACCAGTGTCTGCCTCTTTTTCACAATATCCAGTATTCATTTGAACAGATGTGATAATAACAGTAGACATTTTAAAACCTGTTTTTTTTGTTGTTGTTGTTGTTTTGTTTTGTTTTTGTTTTTTGAGACAGGGTCTCGCTCTGTTGCCCAGGCTGGAGTTCAGTTGTGGTACAATTATGGCTCACTGCAGCTTCAACCTCCTTGGCTCAAGCTATCCTCCCACCTCAGCCTCCCAAGTAGTTGGGTTTACAGGCTTGTGACACCATGCCCAGCTAATGTTTTAAATGTTTTTGTAGAGTTGGGGTCTCACCATGTTGCTCAGGATGGTCTTGAATTCCTGGGCTCAAGAAATCCTCTTTAGCCTCCCAAAGTGCTAAAATTACAGGCATAAGTCGCCACCCAGCACAGTGAATACTTTAAAACATTTTGAGGGTTCATCATTTATATCAAGCTTGTCCAACCACGGCCTGCAGGTCACATGTGTCTCAAGATGGCTTTGAATGTGGCCCAACACAAATTTGTGAACTTTTTTAAAACATTATGAGATTATATTGTGATATATTTTTTTCCCATCAGCTATTGTTAGTGGTAGTGTATTTTATGTGTGGCCCGGGGAAGCCAAAGATTGGACACCCCTGATTCATATATTATTCATCAACCACATCACAGGTTTTCTATTCCTTCTATGATATAGGCAGTTCTGTGATCTCAATGGCCACAGAGGTATATGGTGGTCAAATATATCAATGTGACAAGTGAAATAAATTAGGGCTCCAGAACAAGAAGTCCTGGTGTAGTGATTACCTGAATCTTAAAATCAGTTGGATCTGAAGCTACCAGTTGAAGAAAGCATGTATAAACTTAAGGGATTTAATAACCTTCTTTAGATTCAGAAAAATAGAAAAAAAAAGACAGCATACACAGGATGGCTCTGAAGATTAAGGCAATGAATTACAAGCCCCTCAATACATAGTAGCTAACAATATAATTATCATAATAATTACAATTATTGTGCAATAGGAACTTGAAGGAAAAGGCAGCTATTTCTAGAGTGCATCCTATACACCAGACATTCTGTTGGGCAATTAATTTGTAAATATAGTGTCATCATGTTACAACTATTAGGCTTTTCCTTTTTGAACATATTCTTTTCTATCTTATCTATTATTATTTTAAAAGTACCGCTTCTTTAAATAAAAAATATACAAAGACTCAAATAAATAGCTAAATATCAGGATAAATAATTTAATACATACATTTTACCAGTATTTTTTTCATTCTTTGAAATTATGTTAGACTAGAGTAGTAAAAAAAAAAAAAAAAAAAAAAGGTAAATGGACCTAGAGAAGTTGGTATGGTGGGAACAAATTTTCTGACTTAGGAAGAGGAAGAACGGCCACCTGTGTTGAGGTCTGTGGAATATAATGGAAATCAGCATCAAACTCATCTTGAGTGTGCAACCCTTGCTGATGTGCCACCTGGGAATAGCTCATTATTTAACCATGCTCTACCTGCTGGAAGTCAGAAAAAGAAGAGTCAGATTTCGGATAGCTTTTTGTGGGAATTATGGCTCAAAGAATAAACTTCAATCTCTAATCAAGATAGAATTAAACATATCAGCTTTGGTTATCCCATTCGCTGGTGCATCAGTGTACACACATTACTAGAGTGCACATTATCTGATTTTATTTTCAGTACAACATTGAATGGTATATATTATCCACCTGCTTGCATAGGTGAATAACAGACTTAGTTTTCTCCATTTTAAGTGCCTTACTCAATGTCACATATAGCAGTACAGATGGAATAAAGGTATGTGTCTAAACATGCTTTGATCTACTCAGAATTAATCCTGCAGTACTGTTATTGTTTTGCCCAGAGAAGTAATGTTGACAGAGCCCTTGGCATAAGAGAGGAAAAGACAAAAGGGAACAATTTTGACATTCAGTAAGATAATGGTACAAATTCATATTTTAAAACACATCCCATGTATGAAATACATGAATATTTTAAAATAATATTTAAGTATTATTATTAAAACATAAAAAGACAAGGCAAAGAGAATGAGAAAAGAGACTACAGGAAAAAACAAGCAAGGATTAGAAAGCAGATATGAGAAAGGTGAATTGTGAGACAACTATTTGATGGTGGGAAGCCACCCAGTTTACTCAGCAGAAATCTCAAGGGACTCAGTAATTGGTGACACAGATATGTCCTGAGTGATGCAGGGGTAAGATGACAATGAAATCAGAAGGGTTGTGCTACATCATTTTAAGAAGAAATACACTCCCTAACGATCTCGTCTTCCACTTTGTACAAACAGCTGACTTGCTCTTTCTTTGATTCTGACATAAGATTTGGGAAACTATAAGGAGATTAGATCCAGTTTAATGTGGAAGCTTAAGTAGAAGTTTACATATTAAGCATTTTGATGACCAGGCATATTTTCTCAAAAACCATGAATTGCTGGAAGGCAAGTGGAAAGTTAAAGGATTCTTCTCTGAAGAATCTAATTTGCTCAAGAGAAAAGACATTATATGCTAACATTGGAAATCCCCTAAAAACACACCTACAGCTTACTAGCCAAACTTACATGCATAAAGCTTTTAATGAGATTTTCAGGCTCATTTCTAAATATTAACAACTATTCTACAATCACTGAGGATAACTTTCAATAGGAGAGACAGATTATAGAGGAATGTAATTTGAAGGAAATAGAGACTTTATCAAGAGAAAATAGAGAAAAATGAAGAGGCAACATGAAAACTTGTCAGCAGTATTTACGGATATTTAAACATGACTCAATTATATAACACAGTAATGATACTCCTGAATTTATAGATAAGATAAATGAAAACCTATAGACATACATCAACTAGAACACAAATATTCATAGCAACAAATTGTGATATATATATATAATAGAATATAATGCAGCAATTAAAAGGAAAAGACTATTGATATGAGCAAAAAAAGAATAAATCTCAATATTACAATGCTTAGTGAAAAAATCAGACAAAAAGATACATACTGCATAATATAATTGACTTAACATAGTTTAAAAAGCAACTTAATATACAGTTACAGAAAACAGATCTATAGTTGCCTGAGGATCAGGATGGGGATGGCAGAGAGGAATGTGAAAGAAAGATTACGAAAAAAGAAAGATTTTTTGTTGTGTGGATAAGTTCCTTATGTTGATTGTGATGTGCCATTTAATGCATGTTAATTATACTTCAATAATTCTCATAATAAGAAAGTATATGAATTTTGATGTGGCAAACTTTCAAACACATAGATTTTTAATAAAAGTGCCAACTAGAAGGATAAGGTATACTTCAGAAATAGGCTGGTGTTATGGGTTACACTGTGTTCCCCCAAAATGCATATGTTGAAACCCTAACTTTCAGTGTGATTGCGTTAAAAGATAGGCCTTTTAAGGAGGTAATTAAGGTTAAATGAGGTCATAAAGGTGGAGGTTCTAATCCAATAGTCCTCATAAGAAGATGAAGAGACACCAGGGATGTGTGCAGAAGAGAAAAGGCCATGGGAGGACACAGCAAGAAGGCAGCCATCTGTAAAGCAAAGAGAGAGCTCCAGGAGAAATGAAGCCTTCTGACACCTTTATCTTGGGTTTCTGACCTTCAGACTGGGAGAAAATGAATCTACATTGCAAAAATTTTGTTTTTGCAGCCTTAGCAGAGGAATAAAGATAGTGAAGGAGTGGTGAGGGAGAAAGGAAGGGAAAATTGGTATCTTTCAAGACAAGGAGGGATAAAAAAATTTCAAAAAATATAAGATATATATATAGAGAATATATACATGCTCAGTATATATATATTCAGTAAGTTACTGTATCTGGATTCTGCTATATGACAGGAGGATACCATGAAGTTAGAGAGATTGCAATCCATTCCAATATACAAATCGTCAGGAAAAGCAAACTTATACTGATATATTAACAAAGAAAACAAAGAAAAAAGACACATTAAATCAGCCCTCCCCAATATAACAATTAAGCAAAAGAGAACTGTAAGATAAAACTCCAAACTGAATATACACTTGGCCCTTGAACAACACAGGGTTTAGGGCTGCTGACCTCCTACGCAGCTGAAAATTTCCATATAAATTTTGACTCCCTCAAACCTAACACTAATAGGCTACTTGGTGACTGGAAGCCTGATAACACAACAAATTAAGATATATTTTTTGTGTCATATGTTTATGTACTGTATTCTTAGAATAAAATAAGCAAGAGAAAAGAAAAATGTTATTAAAAAATCATAAGGAAAATAAACTATATCAATAATTGTACATTTTAAAATAACTTATAGATTATAATTGAATATTTGTAACTCAAAGTATAAATGTTTGAAGGGATGGATAACTCATTCTCCATGATGTGCTTATTTCAAATTGCATGCATGTATCAAAACATCTCATGTACCCCATAAATATACAGGTGTGCTATGTACCCAGAAGAACTTAAAGAAAAATAAAATAATATTTTTATTTTTAATAAATTAATATTGAATTTTAATGTCCTATAAACCTAAAAGTATAAAAAATACACATGACAAAGAAAGAAACATAGTAAATAAACATGACATAATTATAACATATTATTACAGAGTTGGCATCAATCATTTCACCTTATCAATAAATATAAAGGGACTTAACTCTGTCTTCTTTTCGTTAAAACTAAATTTTAGTTTGGCAGGCAAAGCAAAATTCATGCTGTCCACAAGTAAAAACCTGAAAGCAGTGTTATTATGAAGAGCTAAAAATAAAGACATGAGTAACAGTTTACCATGCAAATAAAAACAATAAATAAGAGGTAGTGATACTGATATTATACATATAATTCAAGCTATAAAGGACAATTGTGAAAAAGAAGGGTATATTCTAATGCTAAAAGCCACAGTCACAAGAAAGGTATAACACTTACGAATATCTATGTACCAATTCACATAGTAACCATTTTTTTGAAGCAGGAATTTTATGATATATAGAGGCATAACCAGAAACATCTAGTAATAAGAGACATTAATACGCTATTCTAAGTACGAAAGAGATTGACAAGACAAAAAATATTTAAGGAAATAGAAGATTTAAATAACATGAATGTTGACCTTGTGGACATTTATCAAACTGTATAAACTGAGAAGAGAAAATACAGCTTCTCAAGTGTCGGTTGAAAAAACTTGAAATTATTAAACCGCACCATGACCACAAAATGACGCTTCCTCCTGGAAATCAAGAAATATTTTCCTTACTCCTGATTTGCCCTGATCTATTTTTATGATTTCTGAATCAATAAAGTAGATCAAGTCTCAACATGGCTCACGTCACTTTGCAGGAAAAAAAAAAAAAAAAAAGCTGTAGGCCATTGCTGATGTATACCAAGAGAAACTGGGAAAACATTCCTGGGAATGTATCTTGAAGGTGTTGAACCGGGGAAAATACAGATTATTAATCTGGATAAGGAAGAGTTTATTTATGGGGATACTTTCCCTTGACTTAGGAGTTAACATACTATACAGACATCTGGAATTAGCCCCAATATGCTGCTAGCCTAGCTCCTTGAAACATAAAGTGACAGCTTATTATAAAAGTGCTAGGAGCCAGAATTCTAAGGTATTGAAAAGGGATCAAAAAGCTAAAAAGTTAGACATGCTCGAATAGATTAGTTACATAAGGGCAGGTTATTAGAAGACACACCATTCATCAGTTCAAAAAAAAATTTGCTCATTGGGGGACCACTGATAACTGTGGTGGTTGCAGTCCTTGTAGGCAATGGTTAGCAGACGAAGAGGATTCCATGGAATTGTGCTGTTTTGTTAATGGAAATGGTAGGCGTCTGGAAACGCGGAGGCCAAATGGCAGCACTTAAGCATATGAGGTGAAGTGAACATGATTACTGTAGGAAACAGCAAATCCCTAATGGCAACAAAATGGCCCCAGCCTGAAGACATTTGTGAAACTGTTAGTAGGTCAAGGTGTTTCTGGAGGAAAATATAGATGAGTAATCAACAAAGATATTGCTTGAATTATACAAACAAAAATGATCAAGAGTGTTTGAAATAAAGACTGATGTGAACAAAAGGTATCAACCAAATGGTTAGATAAATAATTGTAATATACACATGAATTGGGATATCATTCAATAGTGAAAATATATTAACTCTATACAAGAAAGAAACTTAAAATATTATGTTGACATATATCACACAAATGTGCATTGTGTATTATTTAAAGGCAGCCAAAGGTGGATAATACATTGTTTAGGTATACTTATATAGGAATATAGAGTTTAAAATTATAAGAAAAGCGAGGGCATGTTTATGCAATGATGATCTTATAATAATTACCTTTGGTGACTAAGAGGATATTTTCAGAAAAGGGTAGACAAGAGGCTTTAAAGTTACCTGCAATGATCTGTTTATTAACCTGTGGTTATGGTTCAAATGAATTTCTTTCATTAACATTCTAATTAAAGAAACTTATTTTAGGCTGGGCTCGAGCTCACACCTGTAATCCTAGCACTTTGGGAGGCTGAGGCAGGCAGATTGCCTGAGCTCAGGAGTTTAAGACCAGCCAGGGCAACACAATGAAACCCCGTCTCTATTAAAACACAAAAAATTAACCAAGAGTGGTGGCCCGTGCCTGTAATCCCAGTACTCGGGAGGCTGAGACAGCAGAGTCGCTTGGACCGGGGAGAAGGAGCTTGTAGTGAGCCTAGATGGCGCCACTGCACTC
The DNA here is from genome assembly GCF_000001405.40 of Homo sapiens. Lineage (NCBI taxonomy): Eukaryota > Metazoa > Chordata > Mammalia > Primates > Hominidae > Homo > Homo sapiens. The sequence goes on from NC_000009.12 coordinate 11,149,275, forward strand.
CAGCCTGGTCTAACCTGGGTGACAGAGCAAGACCCTGTCCAAACAAACAAACAAACAAACAAACAAAAAACCAAACCAAAACGAAAGGCTTATTTTAAAAATAATAAGAAAATGAATGTTGTAAGTGTATGTGCTTGGCAGACACAACAAAAATTAGAAAGTTGGTGTGCAAATGGTTGCAGATTTGACTAATGTAAGAATGTTCTATAACTACCTAATCTATGATCCTTCCCTTCATCGGAGTTGCAGAGATTTTATTTTAAAGAGTGAAATATGGAGTCTTGTTTTTCATGAGCTCCCAGAATCTAGCAGGCATTTGGAAAGGTTTGCTTCTATTTTTGCTTTTCACTTTAGGGGCTTTCCTCAATGAACCCCTTAAATCAAGTGCATCATTACACTACTGCATGCTTGAAAAGTGCTTTATATAGTGATTTTTATATATAAAGAGTATCATATATGATTTCATGTATGCCTCTTAATAATCCTAAGAGGCAAAGAGAGGCTCATTTTACAGCTGGTGTCTGATTCCCAGAGAGCGAACTGCTTTAAGGCCAAGATTAATCAGCGGATTGGAATTTAAACCCAGGCTTTCTAACTCAGCCATCTTTCACCTCATGATATAACCTTATATTTTATATTCTGACCCCATCCTATTATGTTTTCTCTTCCATACCAGCTAAGGGATCTTAGCTAGATTCTTTTTTTTTTTTTTTTTTGAGACGGAGTCTCACTCTGTCGCCCAGGCTGGAGTGCCATGGCGCGATCTCCGCTCACTGCAAGCTCCGCCTCTCGGGTTCACGCCATTTTCCCGCCTCAGCCTCCCGAGTAGCTGGGACTACAGGAGCCCACCACCACACCCGGCTAATTTTTTTTTTTTTTTTTTGTATTTTTAGTAGAGACGGGGTTTCACCATGTTAGCCTGGATGATCTCGATCTCCTGACCTAGTGATCTGCCCACCTCGGCCTCCCAAAGTGCTGGGATTACAGGCGTGAGCCACCGTGCCCGGCCAGCCAGATTCTTTAATGTCTTTTAGTAATTTATATTGTCTATGAGTGATTAGCTACATGGATAATATTTATGTGGATAGTAGCGTAACTCCTAAGTCCTATTTTGAAGATTACCTGAGAAAATAATTTTGGATTATGTATAAAATATAGTAAGAACAATATAAATGTTAACTTTTAGTAATAATGATCTTTTTTGCCATTTTTAATGCTGTTTATATTTTTTCTATTGCTGTTTTATTTTAGATTGTAATGTTCTAGAAAAAAGAGCCTAGGTTCTTTAACATATATTAACAGTATTCATCTCACAATTTTCCTATTGAGAAATTAACAAGAATTCCATGCCAATCATCCAGTGAGTATCATACTTCCCCTTCTTCTAGCTAAGCCATATAGGTCTAAATGAAATTAAAACTTTCCCAAACTTTTAGTTAACTGTTCAGTTTGCAACAATTATGAGAGTAAAACTCAGTATCACTTTTACTTCAATTATGAGTAGAAAATACAGATATTGCTGAACTCATTCCACATTTTATTGTAGCCATAGCCAACTGATAGTAATCTGACAGAAAAAAATGATATAGTAGTTATTTAATAATGCCAAGAAACCTAGATTCTATTCTTGACTAAACTTGCCTTTGGATAAGTCATTTTCAATCTCTAGATAAGGTTTCTCATCTACAAAAATAGGTAGGTAGTTATATGCTAACTGATGTCACTTTTAGAAATAAAATTTTAGAGCTCTTTCAGTGTAATGCAGTAATGAATGAATTAACTAGAGCTGAAAGCACATACACACAGAGAGACACAGTTTATACACAGTTTAAACACATAAAGATGTGATTTACTGAGTATCAACATTCTTTGCTTCAAACATATATATTGGTAAAAACTTAAAACTAGAAAAATACAGCTGCCACAAATTGTTCTATAGGTTATTTTGAGAAATCCTTAGGTTAAACTGCTAAATGCTAGCAACAGACATATTTCTAGGAATGATTTTCTGAGCGTGTTCTTAGAATAGTTACAGACAAAGCAACATTTGCAGACTAGCCAAGAATCAAGGGATTGTGATTTTTGCGTGCTTTAATATTTTAAGTAATGTATTGATTTCATGGTAATGTTCTGATTTTATATTAGGTACAGTTAAATTTTATTTGTCTATTACTACGTTAGGCATATTTTTGAATTACATTGACCTTGCCCCCAACTCATTTTCTAGATGTTTGCATCCACTGGCATCTGTCAAAATAATATGAATATTTCTGTATCTTCTCTTTTCCATTTTTTTGTTGTTCTTGTTGTTATATCTCATAATTGAGGAATAATTTACATATGTACTATGTATATCACAAAATTTATCTATTTTTAAGTAGGTATTAAGTTTTTGCTGTTGTATTATCATTCAAACAACCCACTTTTGATACACAGCTACTATTCTCTTTCTCATTTTCCTCATGCCCTTTGGAGCAAATTTTCTCTCCAATAGACAGCCCAAGGAAACAATTAATCTGTAATCTGTGATTACAACTTTACTTTATCAAGTATGTAGTTTTTTTCTGTAGGACTTTAATTGAGCCCAATATATTTGAAGTTCAATCATGTTGTTGCATATATCACTAGTTTGTTCATTTTATTGTTGAGAAGTAATATAACGTATGAATGTAGATTGTATTTTTTGCATTCTCCGGGTGAAGGTTATATGGATTGTTCCTGGTACTGGCTTTTGTAATAATGTTGAGAGGACATTCATTACAAGTATTTGTGGTGACAAATGTTTTTATTTCTCATGGTTAGATAACTAGTAGTCAAAGTACTGTTTCACCTTCTAAAAATTAGTAAATTCTTGTCCAAAATATCTGAATCATTTTACATCCCTACCAACAATACACGAGAATACTAGTTTCTCCATACCATCACCAATGTTGAATATTGTCAATAATTTTTAATATAAACGTGTTTGTTTAGTGGTAACTCATTGTGATATTGACTTGAATTTCCCTAATAAGTAAACATCTTTTCATGTGCTTATTAGCAATTCTATTATCTTCTTGTGTAATACACCTACTCTGTGTATATATAATCTAGGTGTTTGCATCCACTGGTTTTTCTCATAATAATATGAATATTATATGTTATATATTATTATATATTATATATATTTTATATATTTTTATATTATATATTAATATGTATATATGTAAAGCCGTGTTAGGTTAAAATATTTAAGTACTTGTATGCTTACAGAAAAACTGAGTGGACAGAATAGAGTTTGCATATAGCCACCCACACTTTTAGCTAGATGAACCAAGAAAAAACAGAGAAGATTCAAATCACTAAAACCTGTAGTAAAGTTGGGTCATTGTTACTGACTGGAAAAGAACAAAAAAGGTTATAAGGGAATATTATGAACAAATGTATGGCAATAAATTAGATAACTTAGGTAAAAGAGACAAAATCATAGAAAAACACAAACTACTGAAAGTGACTTAAGAAGAAACAGAAAATCTGAATAAAAATATAACAAATAAAGAGATTGACTTAGTAATTTGGAAACTTCCCACAACCAAAGGCCCGGCTCAGATGGCTTTTTGGTGAATTCTAATGAACATATAAAATATTAATAATTATTATTCACAAGCTCTTCCAAAAAAAATGGAAAAAGGGAGCAGTTCCTTAATCATTTTCTGAGTACAATATTACCCTGATAATAAAAGCAGACAAAAACCTTACCAGAAAAGTAACTACAGACCAACATAACCAATATATAATTAATAGAGAAATCTGAAAAAAATACGAGCAAACCAAATCCAGTAACATATAAAAAAATTATATACTATAAGTGGCATTTATCTCATAAGTGCAACATTAGTTCAGTATCCAAAAATCAGTTAATGTAGTACCACCAGTAAGGTATAAGGTTTCCTTTTCTCTGCAGCCTCACGAGCATCTGTTGTTTTTGTTTGTTTGTTTGTTTTTACTTTTTAGTAATAGCCACTCTGACTTCTGTGAGATGGTATCTTATTGTGGTTTTGATTTGCATTTCTCTAATAATTAGCGATGATGAGGATTTTTTTCATATTTTTGTTGGCTATTTGTATGTCTTTTTCTGAGAAGTCTCTGCACATGTCCTTTGACCATTTTTTAATGGACTTATTTGTCTTTTAATACATGTTTTTACATTCTGGATATTAGATCTTTGTGAGATGCATAGTTTGTAAACATTTTCTCCCATTCTGTAAGTTGTCTATTTTGTTGATGATTTCTTTTGTTGTGGAGAAGCTCTTTAGGTTAATTAGGTTCTACTTGTCAATTTTTTGTTTTATTGCAATTGCTTTTGAGAACTTAGTCACAACTTCTTTGGCAAGGTCAATATCAAGAAAAGTATTTCCTACGTTTTCTTCTAGGATTATTATACTTTGGGGTCTTACACTAAATATTTAATTCATCTTGAGTTGATGTTTGTGTATGGGGAAAGGAAAGATTCCAATTTCATTCTTCTGCTTATGGCTAACCTGTTATCTCAGCATCATTTATTGAATAGGGAGTCCTTTTTCCATTGCTTGTTTTGTTGGCTTTGTCAAAGATCAGATAGCTGTAGGTTTGCAGCTTTATTTCTGAGTTTTCTATTTAGTTTCATTGGTTTGTATGTCTGTTATTGTACCAGCACCATGCTATTTTGGGTACTGTAGCCTTATAGTATAGTTTGAAGTCAGGTAATGTAATGCTTTCAGCTTTGTTCTTTTTGCTTAGGCTCTTTCTTTGATACTATATGGATTTTAGGATAGTTATTTCTAATGCAAATATATGGAAATTAAACAACATCTTTCTCTGAAGAATGACATTGGTAGCTTGATAGGACTAGCATTGATTCTGTAAATTGCTTTGGGCAATGTGACCATTTTAATGGTATCTTTTTTTCCAATCCATGATCATCAAATGTTTTCCATTTAATTATGTTGTCTCTAATTTCTTTCAGCAGGATTTTATAGTTCTCCTTATAGAGATTGTTCACCTTCTAGGTTAGCTGTATTCCTAGGTATTTCATTTTTTGTGGCTGTTTTAAATGAAATTGTTCTTGATTTTACTTGAATTCTTAAGTTGTTCTTGATTTGACTCTCAGCCTGGATGATATTGGTGTATTAAAATGCTACTTATTTTTGTACATTGATTTTGAATCCTGAAGCTTTACTAAAATCATTTATCAGTTCTAGTAGCATTTTGACAGTCTTTAGGGTTTTCTATGTGTAGAATCATATTATTAACGAAGAAAAGTACTTGGATTCCTTTTTTTTTTCTCTATTTGGATGCCATTTATTTCTCTTGCCTGATTGCTGTGACTAGGACTTCCAGTACTACATTGAATAGGAGTGGGGAGATTGGGTTACACTGTCTTCTTCCAGTTCATAGGGCAATGCTTCCAGGTTTTGCCATTCTGTATGTTATTGGTCGTGGGTTTGTCTAAGAATTGCTCTTAATATGGTGAGGTGTGTTCCTCCAATGCCTAGTCTATTGCGGGTTTTTATTATGAAGGTATGCTGGATTCTATGGAAAGATTTTTCTGAGTCTATTGAGATGATCACATTGTTTTTGCTTTTAATTCTGTTTATGTGGTGAATCACACGCATTGATTTGTGTATGTTGAACCAGCCTTGCATCCCAGGAATAAAGCCCATTTGATTGTGATGTATGAATTTTTCAATGTGCTGTTGAATTCGGTTTGCTAGTGTTCTGTTGAGGGTTCTTGCATCTATGGTCATCAGAGATATTGGCCGGAAATTTTCTTTTATCATTGTGTCTCTGCCATATTTTGATATTATGCTGATACTGCCTTCACGGAATAAGTTAGGGAGGAGCCTTTCTTCCTTTTGGTGGAAATCATTTTAGTAGGATTGGTACCAGTTCTTTTTTGTACATCTGGTAGAATTCAGCTGTGAATCTATCTAGTCAAGGCCTTTGTTTTTGTTGCTGTTGTTGTTGTTGTTGGTAGTGGTGGTAGGTTTTTTATTACTGATTTAATTTCAGAGCGCTGTTGGTCTATTGTGGATTTCAATCTCTTCCTGATTCAAACTTCCTGAATCCTAATTCAATATTGTGTGTTTCCAGAAATTTCCTCTAAATTTCTAATTTTTTGAATAGATTTGTTCACAGTATTCTCTGAGAATCTTTTGTATATCTGTGGGGCCAGTTGTAACATTATCTTTGTCATTTTGGATTCTAATTATTTAGATCTTCTCTTTTTTAAATTAATCTAGCTAGTGGTCATTTGATCTCATTTATGTTTTTGAAGAAAAAACCCTTGGTTTTATTGATCTTTTATATGGATATTTGCATCACAATTTAATTCAGTTCCTCTCGATTTTAGTTATTTCTTTTCTTCTGCTAGCTTTGGGATTGGCTTGTTGTTTATTTTCTAGTTCCTTTAATTAGAAAGTTAGATCATTAATATGAAATCTTTCTAATTTCTGAATGAAGATGTTTAGCATTATAAACTTTTCTCTTGACACTGCTTTAGCTTCATGCCAAAGGTTTTGGTAAGTTACGTTATTACGTTCATTACTAGCAAATAATTTTAAAATTTCTGCTTTAATTTTCATGTTAACCCAGGAGTTATTCAAGAGCAAGTTATATAATTTCCATGTATTCATGCAGGTTTGAGACATATTCTTGATACTAATTTCTATTTTTTTCACTGAGGTCTGGGAGTGTGCTTGGTATAATTTTAATTTTTCTGAACTTATTGAGACATGCTGTATGACCAAGCATATGGTCAATCTTATATTATGATCAGTGTGCAGATGAGAAGAATGCATATTCTGTAGTTTTTGGGTGGAGTGTTCTGTAGATGTTTGTTAGTTCCAATTGGTCAAGTATGAAGTTCAGAGGCAATTTGTTAGTTTTCTGTCTCAGTGATCTAATGCTGTCAGTGGGCTGTTGAAGTCTCCCACTATAATTCTGTGGTCATCTAAGTCTTCTTGTAGGCCAAGAATAACTTGTTTTATGAACCTGGGTGCTTCAGTGTTGAGTGTGTATACATTTACAATAGTTAAACCTTCTTGGTGGATTATATCCTTTATCATTACCTAATGCCCTTTTTTGTCCTTCTTAATTTTTATGGGTTTAAGGTCTGTTTCTGTTTTATCTGATATAAGAACAGCTACTCCTGCTCTGTTTCATTTTCCATTTGCATGACAGATTGTTTCTCCATTCCTTAAGTTTGAGCCTGTGGGTGTCATTACATATGAGATGGGTCTCATAAAGAGAGCAGATGGTTGGGTCTTGTCTTTTTATCCACATTGCCACTCTATGTCTTTAAGTAGGTTGTTTAGTCTCTATACATTCCGGGTTCATATTAATATGTGAAATTTTGGTATTGTCATCATGTTATTAGCTTATTATTATGTAGGCTTGATTGTGTAGTTGTTTCATAGTGCCTATAGTGTTTAAATGTGTTTTGTGGTAGCAGGTGTGGTTCTCATGATTTCATGTTTAGCACTACTTTAAGGACCCTTTTTAAGTCTGGTCTAGTTGAAATGAATTCCCTCAGCATTTGCTTGTCTGTGACAGGTTTTATTTCTCCTTCATGTATAAAGCTTAGTTTGGCAGGGTATATTATAGAATTCTTGGTTATAATTTCTTTTTCTTATCTTCATCTCTTTCCATAATCCCATATTTCTTGGAGGTTTATTTCATTGTTTAAATTCTTTTTCCAAAAAAAAAAAACTCTGTCTGACTGAGTTGATTCAAAGAACTGGTCTTCAAGCTCTGAGATTCTTTCCTCAGCTCAGTCTATTCTGCTGTTAATAATTCTGATCATATTATGAAATTATTGTAAATTTTTTAGCTGTAGAAATTCACTTTGGTTCTTTCCTAAAATGGCTTTCATCTTTCAACTCTTGGATCATTTTAGTAGATACTTGGATTCCCTGTATTGGATTTCATCTTTTTCCTGAATCTCAGTGAGCTTCCTTGCCATCCAGATTTTGAATTCTATGTCTGTCATTTCAGACTAGTTAAGAACCATTACTGGGGAGCTAGCTGACACACTTGGATGTAATGGAACACTGGCCTTTTAAATTGCCAGAGTTCTTGCACTGATTCTTTCTCATCTGGGAGGGTTGGTGTTCCTTTAACTGTGGTGTAACTTGATTATATTCAGCTGGCTTCATTTCTGGATGCTTTTGGAGGGCCTGGGCTCTGTACAAGATCTTTATGTGTGAGTGATTCTTGCGTTTAGTTTCACAGATTTATTCATATATACTAGCAGGAAATGTTTGGTGTTGTAGTTTTGGCTGTGATTCAGTAGACAGCCCTTAAGAGTAATAGGCCATAGCTGGGCTGTGTAGCCCTTTTGCAGTTTCTTGCATTCACAGGCACTCTCAGTGATTGGGGATGAAGAAAGATTATCCTCTCACCAGGCAGGCCCTTTGACCTCGGAGGAGCCCTCTCCAAACACTGGTGTCATACCTGCGTTTCTTTGTTAGATGTTCTGGGCCAAGGGGCTCCCTCAGGAATAGGCTGCAGAAGACAAATAGGCCACACCCTTTCTGCAGGGCCTCTAGAGAGAAGCAGGCTCTGCTTTAGCTCTAGTTCCAGAAACCCATGTCTCACCTCTCTCAATACCCTGAGAATAAGGGCTTATCTCCTGCCTGAGTGGTGGCCACAGATCTCAGCTCAATACTCCTGAGCTGTATGCCACAATCCTAGGGGCAATGGGACATCCCATGGCTCAGGGTCATGCTCTAGCTGTACGGGAGGACCAGGTGTGGTCCCAGATCACTAGGGAAGTACTCAGGTGGAGCAATGCACTCATGCTGGGCTGCAGAAACTGTGCCATGCACCTGCTCCTGAAAGCTGTCTAGGCATGGGCCCTCAGAGGGATGGCTGGCAGGAGGGCTTGCAAAACAGATGGGCCCCAGTCCTGTGGGGAAGCTAGCCCTGCTCTCTCCCTACTCAGTGGTCCCCTGGGGCCAGAGCTTCCTACGGCAGGAGGTGGGGGAGACCCCTGAGGGATGAGCATATATGGCCACTCCTTTGCAGGAGCTGTTAATTGCACAAGAGCTTCTAGGCTCCATGCCCTCTGGAGGCCTGTGTCTGCTTACTGCTCAGGCACTTCACCCTGCCAGCTCACATGTCTATGGGGAATGCAGGGTCCTCTGTAGCTAGGATCCTGAGGCTTGTAGGAGAGTGAGCCTTCCCTGAATTCATTCACTCACCCCTTTCCCAGGAGCCAGTTTGGGACCAGAAGTTAGTGTTTGGGTTCCCTGTGCAAGGTTTCCTACTTCCTCCCTCTTCAAGCTCAGCTTCATCATCCTTCTCTATTCACTCTCAGCATTTTCTTTCCAAAGATCTGCCCAAATTATGTTGGTGTACTCAGTAGTTTGGTCTCTCTCATTGGGAGCAGTGCTTCCTGGTCATGTCTAGTCAGCTATTTTGTCCCCTCCTCCCTAATTCTCTATTTAGTGTATGAAAAATTAATATGCAAAATACATGTGGTTATGATAATAAGAAATTATTTACATTCTCACTAATCATGAAACAAAATATTGTGTAATAGAATATTACCAGAAACTTTGGTATGAGGCCCTCTCTAAACTTTTCCTTCCCACTAATCCTCAACATGAGTCACTACCCTCAATACTATCTTATTCATTTTCTTGTGGGTTTAAAATATTGGTATTTATCTCTAACCTATCTAAGTTTCTTTTTATCTTTGTATAACTAGAATCATAATTTTTAAATGACTTCATATTTGTTCAACATTATATTCTTTACAGTCATAAATTGATGTGGATAGTTGTAGCTAATTTATTTTTATTGGAGTATAGTACTTCATAAAATAAATATTTTAATTCATTTGTACACTGTCCTATATTATCCTTTTAAATTATTTTACTTTCAAGTTTATACATCATAAAATTTAAGATAAATCATGTCTATGTTGCACAAAGATGAATATTATTTTTCTATTTCTTAATAGACTTTATATTTAGAGAGGTATTATGATTACAGAAAGACAGAGCAAAAAGTACAGAGAACTCATACACTCCCTCATTCCTTATCCTCCTTTTCACCAATTACTGAGATCTTGCATTGGTGTGGTAAAGCTTTCACAATTGATGAACCATTATTGATACATGAGTATTAACTAAAGTTCATAGTTTACGTTGGGGTTTACTCTTAGCACTTTACAGCCCTATGAGCTGTGCCAAATGCATTATATCATGTATCCACCATCACAGTACACTCATACCTTGGAGATATTGAAGATTCAGTTCCAGATCACCTGCAATAAAGCAAATATTGCAATAAAGTGAGTCATACAAATTTATTCATTTCCCAGTAAATGTAAAAGTTATACTTACACTACACTTTAGTCATCCATGAGGCCTGGAATCAGTTTCTTTCAGACTCCTGTTAATGTTGATATTTTTACCTCCTCCCATGAATCATGAACACTTTTATTAGCATCTGAATTGGTGAATCATTTCCAGATTTTCAACTGACTGCTCAGATCTATCCAAGGAATTACCATCTATGACAGCTAACTCCTTACCAAATGTATTTATTAAATAATATTACTTGAAAGTCAAAATTACTCCTTGATCCATGGAATGCAGAATGGATATTGTGTTCACAGGCACAAGAATGACCTTAATATCTTTGTACATTTGCATCAGAGCTCTTGGGTGAAAGCTATGATGTACCAGCAGGTGCATTGTCAATGAGCAAGCAGTACTATTATGAAAGGAATTTTTTTCTCAGTAGTAGGTCTCAAGAGTGGTCTTAAAGTATTCAGTAAACTATGCAGTAAACAGATGTGCTGTCATCCGGGATTTGTTGTATCATTTATGAAGCACAGATAAAGTAGATTTCACATAATTCATAAGGACCCTAGAATTTTCAGAAAAATGAATAAACATTGGCTTCATTAAAATTAGCAGTTGTAATAACACCTAACAAGAGAGTCAGCCTGTTTTTTGAAGCTCTGGAGCCAGGTATTAACTTCCCCTCTCTAGCTATGAAAGTCTTAGATAGCATCTTCCACTAAAGTATGAGCCCATTTCATTTACACTAAAAATCTGTTGTTTAGTGTAGCCACCTTTATCAATTATCTTAGCTGGATCTTCTGGATAGGTTGCTGCAGCTTCTACATTAGCTGTTTTACCTTGTGCTTCTATGTTATAGAGATGGTGTCTTTCCTTAAACCTCATGAACCAACCTCTGCTAGCTTTCAATTTTTCTTCTGCAGCTTCCTCACCTCTCTCAGCTTTCCTAGAATTGGAGAGAGTTATGGTTTCACTCTGGATCAGGCTTTGTCTTAAGGGAATGTTGTATCTAGTTTGATCTCCTATCCATACCACTAAAACTTTATATAAGTAGAAAACTGTTTTAATTTCCTATTGTTATGGTTTGAATGTAATTTGTCTCTACCAAAACTGACATTAACATTTGATTTCCAAGTTGGCAGTGTTGGGAGGTATTTGGGTCGTGAAGGAGGATCCTGTATTAGAAGATTGATATCCTCTTGTGGGAATAGATTAGTTACTGAAAGTACAGGTTGTTAAAATGCATCTGGCTTCAATGGTTTCTTCTCTTGCTTCCTCTCTCATCATGGAATCTCTACACACAACCACCTTTTGCTTTCCAGCATGAGTCAAAGCAGCCTGAAGCCCTCACTAGATGCAGCTGCACAATCTTGAACTTTTTAGCCACAAGGATTGTGAGCCAAATAAGCTCATCTTCTTTATAAATTACTTCTGGTATTCTGTTATAGTAACACAAAACTAACTAAGACAGAAAATTGGTACTATAAAATTCTCTGATATGGTTAAAGTGGCTTTGGAACTGGGTAATGAGCAGAGGTTGGAAGAGTTTAAATTTGCAGGCAAGAGAAACATTGTATAGCAGTAAATGGAACATTAATGGTGATTCTGGCGAGGGCTGAGAAGAATACAAAAAGACCAGGAAAAGTTTGAAACTTCTTAGAGATTGGTTAAGTGTTCATGAACAAAATGCTGATAGAAATATAGACAGTAAATGCCATATGATGAGCTCTCATATGGGAAGGAGGAACAAGGTATTGGAAATTAAACAAAAGGTGATTTGTATTATGCCATAGCAAAGAAATTGGCTGCATTGTGTTCATACCCTAGAACTTTGTGGAGGGCCAAACTTAAGAGTGATAACCTAGGGTATCAAGCAGAAGACATTTCTAAACAGTAAAGTATTCAGGCTACTGCATGGTTACTTCTAACTGCCTACAGTGAACTGCTGGGGAAAAAAAAAAGAGCAGGGTGGGAAAACCTGAAAAATTTGTGGCCTGGCCATGTGGTAGGGAAGAAGAACAAGCTGTTTTCAGGAAAGAAATTAAAGAGTGCAGCTGAGAGAGTCTTTTAAAAAAAAGATTAGCATGGCTAAAAGGGAGCCAGGTGTTAATAGAACAATGAGAAAAAAGGCCTCAAGGACATTTCACAGATCCTCAAGGCTGTCCTTCTCATCACAGGCCAGGAGACCTAGAGGTACAGAGTGGTTTCAGGGAATAGGCTTGGGACACCAGTTTTCTGCATCACCTTAGTTACCCTGCTCCATGTATCGCAGCTACTCTGGCTACAGCATCCATGGCTCAAACAGCCCCAGATGTGGCTTGGGCCACTTTTCTGGAGGGCCCAATGGGTAAACCTTAGTGGCATCCATGTCAATGTGGTGCTAATTTTGTAAGCTGGCAGAATGCAAGAGAAATAACAGCATCAAGGCCTCCATGTAGATTTCAGAGGATGTATTGGAAAGCTTGGGAGCCCATTGGAAAACTTGTCCCAGGGACAAAATCACTGTAGAGATTCACTGCTATAACAATGCAGAGTGAAGTTTGGGTCAGAACTGCCACAAAGAGCTCACACTGGAGCAATGCCTAATGGTATGAGGCTGCCACTGGGACCCCAGAAATGTAAAGCCATTGGCAGCATGCAACCTCAGTCCAGAAAAGCTACAGACATTCAGTTGCAATCCATGACAGCAGCTATGTGTATTGCACCCAGCAAAGCCATTTAGGCAGGTCCACCCCAGTCTTTGGTGACCCAAAACCGTCACTGTGCCCAGGACGCATGGAGGGAAAGATTATGCTGGAGCCCTAAGATTTCATGTATGCTCTGCTGTGTTTCAAACTTGTGTACGGCCTTTAATTCCATTCTTTTGGCCTATTTAACTCCCAACCCTCCTTTCTTTTTTCTTTTTCTTTTCTTTTTTTTTTTTTTACAGGCTGGAAGGAATTTGCCTTGAGTTTCAGAAGATACTTTGGAGTTTGGGCTTTTGAGTTGACGTTAAAATGAGTTAAGATTTGGGGAATATTGGGATGTAATGATTGTATTTTGCATATGAAAATGAAACTACCTTTGCAAAAATTGTAGCAGTGAGAGAAATCTAACCTAACTAACTCTGTCTTGCTTCTAACCTCACAAGCTAACCACTTTTGTTAACTTAAGACAGTTCTTTTTTCAAAACTAACCCACTCCTTGTTTGGGGATGGAAATTCCCTTTATAAGACTAATGAAGGGGCATGAGTTTAGGATTATAGGAGGGGCCTGTATTCTGATGAGATAGAGGCATGGTTAAACAATAGCTAGCCATTGTTCCAGAAGTCACAAAATTTGTATCTTCCCCAATTGCTCCTGTAGATAACATCACTATTGTCAAAACCTAAGATTATCCTTTGAGACTTTTTTTTAGACTTTTGCATTCTGGTGACCAACTGACTCCACCCAGACCCATGACTCATACCAAGGAACTGACTCCTACCCAGAAATTGATCCAGAACATGAAAACAGTTTGAATACTCCTGTGATTTCATCCCCAACCAATCAGTAGCACTCATTCCCTAGCTCCTGGCCACTAAGTTATCTTAGAAAATCTTAGTCAAATGCTTTTGGGGCAGCAGGTTTCAGAAATGTCTCCCATCCTGCTGCTTGGCTGGACCTTCAATAATTAAACCCTTTCTTTGATGCAATACCTGCTGTTCTCAGTGCATTGGCTTTTCTGGGCAGCAGGCAAGATGAACCTGTTGGGCTGTTACAAATTAGACATGAGTTTTGAGAGCCAAGCATGGAATTCTGTGATTTAGATGTTGAAATTTGATCTCCAATGTGGCAGTTTGTATCAAAAGACATAATTACAACAAATTTAATTTAAACTTGGCTTTATTAGCAATTCTAGAATCAGACAATACTTAATTCCATAAAATAGAATATGTGTTCCAGTGAGTTGAGCATAAGAATTTTTGGTTTAATAGAAAATAATGGGCTGAATTAAACAGAAGCAAAGAATCATCAATCTGTTAGTTACTTTTCAAAGTTACTTTTCCTTCTAAGGCAGGGCCAGGGAGAAAAAAAAAATAGCTGACTAATTAACATCATGTTACCTCAGCCTACTTTTATTTGTGTATGGATTAATGTAGAGAGTTCATGCTCACTGAAAATTTAAACTGGCTTATTTGGGAAATAACTGATCTCTCTCTTCTGAATTCTGAGAAGGTCTGATGACAATTTAGTTTAGGTTTGGTGATGTGGAACTTTAGCATGGGTTACTCTATTTTGATTTTTAGTGTGGTCTGTTGGGGCTTAGTGAAAAACAATGACTTCCCATGATTTTTACTTAACAATTCCCCACTTTGGTTAGGCTGTCGCCTAAGTGAGATTGTCACCAAAACCTTGGGTATCAGTGCTACTCTCAGCATCATTTCAGGTTTCTAGTCTCAGAATGACATTTAACCATTATGACATCATCATCATTATCATACATTTCTTTGAGTTTTTGTTGTTTTAGCTGGAGAAAGACCATCTGACAGATGGCCATATGGAAATATTTAAAATGTTTTGAGAGAACACAGCGCACCAGCAAGACTACTATTCTGACTATCAAGATGATAATACAAAGAGTTTGGAGTACACTACTTAGCCAGGATCCCCATGATCAAACCAACTAAAATCTAATAGCCAGGCAAAGACCCGATCCATTTTAACCAAGTAATTGGATCTAAAAACCAACGTATTTATCTATGTGCATCAGGAAGTATCATCAACTGCACAGATTCCTCCCTCTTTAATTAGTAGGTAATCTAGCATCCCAAGACTGGGTCAACTTAATGCAGGCAGTGCAAGTTATCCTCTGAAGCTTTTGTAAAAACTTAACTACAGTACTATCCTGCCAAGCAAAAGAGGTAGGCACAAGTAAGGAAAAAGAAAGAGGGGTAAGAATCTTATTATGGTAGGGAGTTTTATTCTGAGAATCTTGGAAATAGCTTTTCACAGTATGAAGTTGGCAACTTCTTGTCCTAGTTTGCAGTTTGAATGTCTCTAGTTGTGGCATGGGGTGTTCTGGTAAACTCTATGTAGCTCACACATCAGAACTGAGACTTGTCCCTTGAAATTTATATTGAGTTGTTCAGCTTCGGCTTATAGGGCTTCAAGAACAGAGCAGTTCTTGTTTTTAGCTGGACAGCTGTAGCCAGATATTAGAAAAAAAAATAGAATTCAGAATCTGGTCCAGTCTGTAGGCAGACAATAAAAAGTCAAAAACAATGAACAGGGCTACAATTTAATAATAGCCACACTATAGTTTTCTTTTGAAATTAAATTTTTCTCTCTACAGTAACTCCCATTTCTATCAAAAATAGTTATAGTAAGACCAATTTGACTGATATTTTTATAAATGTAGTAAGTATAAACATATACACTTCTTTTAAATTTGCTCTGCTGGAAATTTTGTCAAGGAATCCCAGATCAGACTTTTGAAAATATCTCTTAATGCTAGGAAGGCAAAGCAAGGCAGACATTAAACTTTGCCTGCTCTATTTAATATCTTGAGGTTCCTAGGCCTTCTAAAAAGTCACAACTTTTTAATTACCCAGTATAAAGCTGAGAAACATTGAAACCAGACATTCTATGAACATTTTCAAATGTGACATTCCAGTCAAAGCCTTGGTAATATAACCACTGTTCCCAAATGTATCCTGTTAAAGAGAACAGATTATTATTGAATTTATGCATATAACTATATTGCTATAAAAAGTAAAAATACTCAAATTCTGGAGGGATCAGAGAGAGAGGAAAAGCAAATGTTCCTATTTTTGTTTAGAAATGTATGCTTTACCAAATTTTTGTAAACTATATATAGCTTAAAGGAAAAATAATGTTTTCTTAAATCTGGAAATCAAAACATTGAGAAAACCAGCAATGTCTCAAGTAAAGTTTGAAATAAAGTTTCAAATGTTTCAAGTAAAGTTTGAAATGTTTCAAATAAAGTGGTGAAATAAAGAAATGTTTCAAATAAAGTTGTGAAGAACCTCATAATTATTTTTCACTTGTTCATTCAGTCTCAAGTAAGTAATTCTTGCTCTCATCTTGGTTAGCAGTTTTACAAACACATCAGTTTCATATGAGTTTTGGAAATTTAGTCCAATGTTATAAACTCAAAGTTATTAGAAACCTGTCCTTGTCAGAGTTATTTTATTCTTTCCATGAACCTCCCTGAAGACATAACACTTTAGGCTTATAAATTTCTTGCCAGAAGGCTTCAGAAAGGCATCAAAATAAAGCAACTAACTGGAGAACAAGACCTAAAATGACCATGCTTAAATATTGTTATAGAACTAAGCTGAGGTCCACTCACCTGGTGCACATCCACACCAAGGTTTTGCAGAGGTAGAAAGGAAGGCATTTATTTGCAGAGCAGCAAGCAAGGAGGACCAGGAAGCTAATGCTCAAATCCTGACCTCCCTGATTTACAGGTAAGGGTTTTAAAGACAGGGGTAAATTTTGTGAAAGCAGAAGTTACAGACAAAATTATGTCAATACGTGGAGTTTACACTTGGCTTTGGCTAAAAATGGGTGGATACCTTGAAGTGATGGCTTACAGGTCATAAGCAGATTCAAAGATTTTCTGATTAGCAATTGGTTAAGAAAGGGAACGTTTATTTAAAAATTTAGAATCAGCAGAAAACAATATTGCCTCTGGCTTGTGGATGTGACTCCCCCGGGGTCCCTCAGGAAGAAATTTAGGACAAAGAATGGTGGTCAGAATTCAGCCTTCACATGCCCCTCATCTGAGATCTTTGTGCCAGCAGATCCTTTCAGGAGGGGTCTGGATTTCTGAATCTATTCAGGGACATATTTTTGGATGTTATCTTTGCCTCTACAGAGAACCAAACATCTCCTAACTCTAACTTCCTTGGCTATTGTTTTACACTACTATTACCTTCTTCTTTATCGAGTTGTTAATTTACTTCTCAGGGATAGCTAGGTACCTGGAATTTCCCTTGAAGGAACTGAAGAGTTTTATTCATTCCTATGCTTGGGGACTTGCAGGTCTCTAAGAGGGAGTCCCTGATCTGTCACAAGAGCTGACAAGTTCATAATAATGATTCAACTGACAAAGAAATTTGTTTATTTTTGGTGGCCTCCAACAATTTTACATAATAGCCATTATTATTACTGATAATGTATACTAAGACATAATAGATTTTTAGGAATCTTACAAAATTTTGGAACATATGTTAATAACATATTAATACAAACATAATTCACAGAAGATTAAACATGTTTTACTTGACAATGCTTCCCATAAAATTTATCATATTAAATAAGGCTAATATTTCTTTCCTGGACTTCCAGGAACTTATCTTCGATGTTCAAAGGTTAGTTTCACGTACAAAAGACTTAATTTTGATTTTGAGAAATCTGTCAGGAATGAAAGATTTAAAACACCTGATCAAAATAGACTCACAGGTCACAATGAAATAAAACTGAAGTGCCAAAAGGTTTCAAAAGCAAAAAACTCAAGAAATTATCTTGATGAAGCATAGAATCTCTGTTTTGTAGGCCAGTTACCTAAAAAGTAAAGAAAATCCTGCACAATTTTATATTTAAGAGCAGATGAAGGCTCTCAAAAAACCTTGTTGTTCCAACACAGGCGTCCAAACTCTAACCTTACTTACATCAGTGTATTTATGAAATTAATGTTCAATTTTTAGAAAAACTTAACAAATATTTCTCTTTAAATTTTAGTCTTCTTGATCATGCATAAATTTTTTTCAGGTGATATATTTTTCATAAACATTCAGTTTTGTCTTTTACTTCCTGTTTTTTTTTAAATATTGGCATTCCAGCTTAGGATAAAAATTTACTTTCCTTTTCCCCTTATCATTTTGACCACACAAAGTTCTATCTCATGCAAAAATAAAACAAAATAAAATTTAAAAATTGCTCTTTTTTATTTTTTATTACCAAAAATACAGCCTCATACTTTTAATTTTTAAATTTTTACATCTCTTCTACTTACTGGTTCCTTTCTGCCTTGTTTCTGTTACCTTCATAATCTGTATTTTTGAAACAACATTTAAATAACCTTCAAATTAGATGAAATTGCTTTTTTTTTTTTAAAGAAGAAGATAGCCTGATATCTTTTTATAATTTTCTCGTCAAAAACACATCTTACTTTCCTTGTATACTTTACATACAGAATTGTTTTCCTTAGAAAGTTGCATTTTGAGGAACATTTAGTTTGGTAGGTAGTCTTTCACCTTTGCCTGTTTCATAATTGTATTACCATCTTCAGAAAAGAGCCCTTTAAGGAATAGGGCAAAAAATAATTTGTAAAAACTTGTGATAACTTCCCCTGGGAGGCCTATTAGTCTTAATAATTAATATGGACATTATTATCAGAGGGTGAACAGCCTCTTTTTTAGATGTTGTCTTCAAATCTTTGGGGGAAATCCCTTTCTCGATGTCCTGGTTATTTCCACAAACAGCAACCAATTTTTGGAAACTGCTGTTTCCGGGGTCACTTATTGGAGAGCTGCCCTGGAGCAAGCCTAAAGGTCATTCTAGATTTTTGGTAGCCATGAAGCTGAAACACTTTGGGAATGATTTTCAAAAGGTCATTTGCAATCTTTTGGGCTCTTCCTGGCAATAAAAGTAGACCAGGTGAATCTTGTTGGATTGTTGATACCATTCTCAAGGGAATATCATTCTGCCTCTTTTATGCATTTAACCCCAGGTCCTACCAACATGTGTATTACTTCATAGAAGCCAGATATTCTGAGGTCATAAGTTATAATTAAGAAATAAATTCCAAGACCCCCAAGCAACTGAACAGATTCCCGTTTGGTCAACAGGACCCCAGGGACACCCTGGAAGCTGAGTTCCTGGCCATGATGGGATCAGAGGTATGACATGCCTTGTTATAGCCCCTCCCTCACTAACCACCATTAGGCTTCTTCCTAAAGAGCTAAACAGAAACTATTCCTTTCAAAAGACTTCGGTGCTGACTTCAGCCAAGAGCCTGACTGTGGCCCCTCCCTTTAGTCATTCACAACAACTGAGGAGCATTTCTTCATGATAAGAGACCACCAACCACTAAGTGGTTCTGGCCATTCTATGGAGGATGCTTAGTGAGGGTTTTTATACTCTCTGCTTTACCTTTTGACATCAAAGCATCCCCAGACTAAACCAGGGGTTGAGCTGCTTATTCTCGCAGCCCAATAACAAGATGCAGATGAACTGGGAAAGAGGAGAGTTTGTTTCTGTAACCGGGTACAGGGAGAAGGCAGGGAAAATATTGCCAGGCCAACTCAAATTTGCAAAGTTTACCAGAGCTTATATATGTTCTAAGCTATACATCTATGTGTAAGTGTGGATTCATCTAAAGACATAAATGATTAACTTCTAATCTATATCTAAGGCCTGAGACCTGAAGAACTTTTTCTGGAACCTCAGTAAATTTACCTAATCTAGATGGGTCCAGCTGCTAGCAGTGATTACCCTTATCTTGTCTCCTGCTAAATCATGAAACTTTGGGGAGTTCCTTCAGACCCCTAGTAAAACATGTTTATGGAGGTCTGGGGAGTACCTCAATTGGTCTATGATGCTTACTGATATAGTTAGGATCTGTTCCGGATATGATAGTTACTGACAATTACTGATAGAAGAGTATTAAAGTCTCCAACTCTAATAGCAGTTTTTCCATTTCTCCTTGCAATTCTATCAGTTTTTGTCTCACTTGTTTAGGTGCTCAACTTTTAAGTGCATACATATGAATATTTGCTGAGTATCGGAGTATTGACCTTCTATTATGTAATTCTATCCCTTGTCCCTGACAGTGAGGAGACATTTAGGCATTCTTCATTTTCCCCAATATTATGAAAATTACAGAATTAGAGTTCCTTCAAGATGCTCTTTGGAATTTTAATTAATGTTGATAACTCAGGGATCCACTCTGCCATGAGGGAACTTGACCTCTGTTTCAGATCAGAATTAATGTTGTTTGTCATAGAGTCATATTAAATAAGAGAAAGAAGAACCCAAGGGTGTGGAACAGTTTTCAGTGGGTGAATAAATTGCTCAGCAAGTATAACTGAGATGTAGACTAAAGTGATCATTGCAACCTTGATGTAATCACTCTATTGATAAGATAATTAAACAATAACTTTGAAAGGAGATATGAACTATCTGAAAGAACTCATCTACTCTGTTTTTACATAATTATTGAGTTGATGTTTATGGGCAAGCATTCTGGCATTACATAGGAATATCTTGTCCTCTCATAAAGGTTTTATGTGATGTGATGGAGAAACTATAAAATTTGGAAGAAATATTAATTAAAAACCAATGCTAAGTTTATTATTATAAGTTACAAAATGGTTCATGACCTTAAGCCTAACATTTGTTACTCAAAGAGTCAAATGTGCAACAAATAATGTTAACACCATGATAGATGCTACAATGAAATAATAAACTTATCTTTGCTTCCAGAAAACAGTAATAAGGAACCTCTCCCTGTGGACACTAGGCCAGGTTTTACAATAGGAGAGATAAATGAGCTGATTCTTGAATGCCCAAATGAGAAAGAACATTCTAAGAACAAAGAAAATAGCAAACAATCATTTGTATATGACTCATAGACTTTTAAATCAATTAATTGAAATTGAGAATTTATAAGGTTTATCAAACCAAAGTTATTTTTGATTATCTTTTGAGGATAGGAATTCCATATGGCCTGAGTTTATATGTACATTATACAAATATGTAAATATTAGCCAATTTAAAAGTATGTGTGTCTTATAGGTGCTATACACACCGTGGGTTGGTTGTTTACCTATACTTTAAGATTCACTTGTGGTTACTGATAATCCACTTATTACAATAGCTCAGATTCAAAGCACATGGTTAAATATATATACACATATGTTTATTAATATATTACTATATTAATATATTTAATTTATATTTTAATTATATGTAATAATATTAATTATTCAGTATAATATTGATATGTTATTGTAATTATAAATATATATAAATGTATACATGTGCAATATATTGAGAGAATATTTTATGTTTGTAAATAGCCATCTTTTAGTAAGAGGTGTGGTTTTGGCTTACATTTGGGTGAAAAACAATTTTCTTTTTGTTGATAGTCTTCATAAATAATTTTGACTCTAAAAGAATTAGAAAATATTTTGAACACCATTAAAATGTTCTAATTTTTTCTTTTTTTTAATGCATATCACTCTTTATCTAGTGCAGATTTGTTGGCAAATGTCTTAATCTTGATGTGTTTTATTCCAAGAGTCAGCAAACTTCTCTTGACTATTTGAGGCCTTGAAGAATGTATAAACTCTGTAGAAACCACTAAACTCTGCTTCTGTAGCACAAAATTAGCCATAGATAATACACAAATGAGTGGCTGGCTGTGTCCCAACGAAACTTTATTTACTAAAATAGATGACTGCAGGCAGGCTATAGTTTGCCAGCCTTTGCTTTAGTCTATTTAATTTTTTTCCTCCCTAAATGTGACAAGTGCTAATGTATAATGTAGAAAAAAATGTGAAGCTTAATCAATCCTTCAGGCAGGGAACATTATTAAAAATATTTGAAACTGTGTAAGACAAATACGATATGTTTGAATGTGCATTCAGGATGATGTATTTTAGACTTTAAGTACTAAAAAAGCTGAAAATATATCTTTTGTAATTCTAAATGTCTGAAGGTATTACACAGGAATGCAAGATACTTTCAACTAAAGTCATAAAATAGTGTTATTTACCAAATATAACATTTAGAAGCAATATTAATTGAAAATCAATGCTGAGTTTATTATAAACAGAGTTCATCCAAAACCTATAACTTTCCCTTTTAACTTACTTTATCAGAACCTTACATTTCTACTTTTAATATTTGACTATGTATATTCTTTGTGGATGCTGAAAGAGGGAAAAAAAGAGAAAAAGGAAAAAGAAATCATCTTGGCTTCAATAACAGTAGCTCACATCAATTCTAAGAAGTTGTTACATCAACTTTTCGGGCAAGACTCCACTGGTGGTGTTTATTTTTCATTAAATTCTGATTCTTGACAGAAGAGCTTACTGGCAGTAAAAGTAAAAAAATAATAAAATGTAATACAAAAACAAAATAACCTTGAGTCTTCCTAGGTAGAACCATTTCTGTTAGATTAAAAACATACTTTCAAATCTTTTTTCTAGTATTAAATAGTTACTATCTAACAATGAAAATCATATAGAATGCAAAAATTTTGAATGTGAATCAACATTTTTAATGCTTAGGTCACTGCCACATTAAATTTAAATTACTAAAATTTGAACCAAGATGACAATAACAATGATAAAATATTTGAAGGTGAAAACAAAAGAAAAAGTAACGAACAATGAAATATTTACTCTAATAATAGGTATGATAGAGATTAAGTTGATTGTGAATATTTCCATGTCAACTCTACATCTGTATAGACAGATATTGATAAAGACAGATAGTGTGGTGAGTTCAAATTGTTAATGTAAAATATGTGATATGGAGTGAAGTAGTTGAAATAATTCATCTGGAGCAGATCAAGATAATAATAACACATATATTACACCCTGTCAGGAATAAGAGTCATTTATTTCTTTCTTCTCTAAAATAAGGCATACTTACAAACATCCTTTTTGTGTTGAGCTGTCTTCCCCAAGAAGTAGTTGATGTCAGTTTCAAGTCAGCCATTCACACTGCAATCAAAGCCTATAATATCTGAGAGGTTTTCTTATGTACTGTGAAGTAGATGAAGAATAAAAATATCAGTGAAGGAAGAGAGGAATGAGAAAGTAAAAAAAGGAGAGAAAAAAACATAATTAAAAAGAAAGAAAGGAAGCTCTACCCCCATTCTTTTGGTTTTTTCCCCCTTAGAAGCTGGAGAACTAAATTCAGAAGTTTCTAAAAGTAGTAGGAAATATATTTGCTGATTGTGGTTGGGTAATATATTTTAAGATTTTTTTGGCCAAATTCAGATGCTATGTTGAGAGGCATAGCAATGACACTTGTGAAGACTTTATATATATGTAGTTTTTCACACCTATCAGGAGATTGCCCATCTATTTCAGGAACAAGACATAAAACAGTCTTCAGTTAGCCTAAGTAAGATTATATCCTCGCAGATTATCTTCTCGATATGGCAAAAGTAATGAACTGAAATGTCGTTAGCAATTCAGGCAATTATTTTCCATGGGATAAGGATGTCTGGTATTCTTCTATTTAGACTCTGAAAACTTTTTGTTCTCATACAGGCTAAGAGAAAAACATGACAATGAGTATTGGCATTAGAGAATCTTTTGTTCCATGATGGATGTGCTCCTTCTAGGAAGAGGAGGACGCTATTGGACCTCATTCATTAAATTGATGTAATGATGGCATGAACTATCACCCACAGAGATTTTCAATTGAATGTTATGCCACCAGTTACTTTCTCACAGCCTAACGGAGTGCCCATGACATTAGAGACTGATAAATTGTCCAGTGCCAATTAAAAAAAGACACTTTCCCTCTAAGCCATTTAGCTACAATATTCTCCCTTACTAGATTAGGTTCTATAAATCTGACAAGTATGATGGAAGTTTGTTTGTAAAATTCTTCAATTGAATTTTTGAAACTATATACCATAGGCTTCTGGGTTTCCACCCTGGGTCCAATGTCAGGTAGGACACTTATTGATGTCATTGAAAGACATTCTAAGTAGATATTGCAACAGAAATATGGAACGATTCAAATGTTTTGAGTAAAAATAAACTAATTGTGAAGAAAAATGCACCCATTCATTTATCAATCATGTATTGAAAACTTCAAAACTTCTTATGGACCTGCTTAGTACATGATAAGGCAGTATAAACTCTAAAGTTATATATTGTCCTCTGCCTTATACCTGCCACCTCTTTCAACTCATCTCAAATTGTTGGGTTTTGCAAAACTAACTCTTTTACCTAGAGAAATATTTTCTACTTTAGTAAGCAGATTTAAATCATAATGCAGTCTCTGAATGCACATCAGCCTCTGCTTCTGTTAGGTTGTTTGCCAAGCTAATGAATAACAGATTTTAATGTTCTTTTTTTTACCCCCATTAAAATCTCCTTAGGATTTTAGCATCCAACACATAAGAAGTAATATTTTTGTGACTTTTATCATGGGAATTATGTGATGAATATAGCCAGTTTTCTTGCTTGAGAAGTAGCGTGTCAATACTTTTTAAAAGCCTGGTGCCCAAGTTTGAATCTCATTTTCACTGTTCACTAGTCATATGATCTTGGGCAAGTCATTTACTGTTCTATGTTTCTGTGCCCTTCTAATAATATTATTATAAGTTTTAAATATAAATTAAATTAAGAATTTAGAAACGTGACAAGCACATTATTAGCATTCAATGTATACACTTACATCAAATACCAAAAAACCCCCACCTCTTTTGAAACAAAGTAAATTTAAATTTAATCATTATTTCACTTAAAAAGCATTTGGTATACCCAGCCAAAGGTTAGGTATTAGAGATATATAGATGAATAAATAATGCAAATGCTTGCCACGAATTTAGGGATGGCTCAGAAGACAGATGCATATATGTAATAAAGTAAGTCAATCATAAAAAATATTAATGGGTACTAACATTATAAGGTTAAAATAAATCCAGAATTGTATTGTTTACTCCTTAGAAATTTTAGATTAAATACACAGCTCTCTATAATCTATATGTCTTTCTGTAGATTCTATTGCCCAGGTCACTGATACCTTTGCTCAAGTGGATCTAACTAAAGAAAACACATGGAGAAAGCATTTATTACCTTTGCCTAGGGAGCAAGTTTCAGTGTAGGACACTGTGTTCTCTTCAGCTTCTTAATGATGGAGCATCAGTTAAAGCCCTTTTTGGGACACATGGTTTTATTTCAGCATTGAGAAATTCTTTCTCATTTTTGTCTTGTACAAAAATAAAATCAAATTGGCAGTGTTTCAGGAGCTTTAATGGACTTTGATATGAGCCAAAATGAGTATTTGACTTAACTGCATATCCATAAACAATTAAAAATTGCATAAACTATGTGAAGAACTAATTTTCAGGTATTAGACTATAGCTAACACAAGGCTGTGATTCTTGAGAGATGGGAAAAACAGCGGAAGAGATCCATAGTCTCTCTCTCTTTTGTTTGTTTTTGCCTTAGGACACTTTATAAACAACTGTAATTTCACTGGGCAGAGGAGAATGAAATGACAGTTTCGGGCTCCTGAGGTAGCAGCCTTGTAATGTTTTTAAGGTAACAGACAGGAGAGAACTGAATAAAGAAAACACTCTAAAAATCTATATAGGGATCCTCTTTAGTCTTCAACCACATTTGTATGTGTGCTCAGAGCCATGAGACCTGGACGAAATCAGGTGCTGGAGAAGGAGAGAGGTTTGTGAGCTGACAATGGAGTCTAGCGTTCACATGGTATAGGGAGAAATGAAAGAGTAGCTAAAGTCAACAGACTTTGACAAAGAATATATCAGGCATTTAATCAAGACCTCCCTGCATCCTCCCCTCCAAGAAAAAAAGCTACACTTTAGGAATGGGACTACTCTAGAACTACCATAATCCAACCTAAAAACAAGCCCTGACAGGATAAAGCTGATCCTTCAGGAAACTGACTGCCATCAAGAAAAAATGAACACTGGAAAAAATCAACAAAAACACATCAAAACATTAAAAATAATATTCACAGTGCCTAGTATACAAAAAAAATGTTACCAAACATGGGGATCAGCAGGAAAAGGTGACTGATAACCAAAGTAATAAGCAATCAATAGAAGCAGAGGCAGAGATGACAAGGACATTAGATTTAGAGGATAAGGAATTCAAAGCAGCTATGAAACACTAAAAATGTGTTCAATTATCTAAAGGAAAAATATAAAAAACATAATGGGAAAACAATTAGGATCCCAATAGACAGATGGAAAACATGAGAATGAACCTAGTATAAATGCAAAATCTGGAAAATACAAAATCTAAAATGATAAATGCAGGGATGGGATTAACAGTAATTAATTATTAATAATTTAAACACTATAGAAGAGGAAGTCAATGAACTTAAAGAAAAGGCAATATACATTCTCCAAACTGAAGTAAAAAAAGAACATTAAAATACTGAAAATAAGGCAAAGTGACTAGTGACCTGTGGGGTGGTATTTGGAGGTCTGATTTAAGAGCCCATCTCTAAACTGTTATGTCTACGTTAGCTTAATGATAATAATTTTCATAAATAACCTGCTATCTCTGGGTAGTTATAGAGTGCCTGGTTCTAAATATGAAAATATAACAAAAAATTTACCTTCATTTCAAGTGATTGGAAAGCAGTTTCAAAAATTCTACCTAGTTTTGAGGCAAAAGGAAGAATTCACTATAGTCATTGGGTAAATAGTTATTTAGGAAGATGAACTATACTGTGCTAGGGTTTTCAAACTAAGAATATATCATTTCATAAGAACTTATCTCTTGTGTATCTCAACCTATAAATTAATTATTTTTCTACAGCAGATGGTAATTCTGCCTCTACATGTAAGTTTAGTCTACTCAAGATTTTTTATTTTTAAAAAATTCAGTTATTGAATTTAAATTTTTCCATTGCTTTTTAAACAACAAAAATACATAGAATAATAAATATACAATAAAAATACATTGAATACATAGATACCTCTAGTAATCCCATTACATTTTGGAAGCATCTCTATCTTCTTACATTTTAAAACAAATTATATTTTTTGAAACAGCTATCTTTTTTGTCAGCTGTCTAAACATTACTGTTTTAAATTTTATAGACGTTAAAAAATTTTCCTTTACAATTTATTTTGCTTAGCTAAAGGTCATCAGAGAAATGTTATGGTTTTTATATATTGGCCTTCAACATATATTGATATAATTTGATATTTCATGACTTGATTGAAAATTTGTAACCAGTATAATGCTGAAATTCTAAACATCTCAAGGAAAGAAAGCAACTGTCATTTTTTAAAGCCTATGCTGTGTCAGACACTGTATTGACCCTGGAAGACTGATATTATCAGGATCTTGTGCAAGAGAAATTTCAGGCTAGAATAGATTAACAGAGTTAAACAACTAATAAGTGACAAAATTAGAATATAAACTCTAAGGATCATACTCTTACCTCTAGGATTCTTTTCAATAGGGAAGAGGAAAGCCGTAGGTGACTTTGCCTCAGGTTTTATAGTGCAGTTACTAAATCATGTTATTTTTGTTACATTCAATAAAACCTTTTTATTGGTTTATTTTTGTTTACATCATTACCTGGGAGATTGATGTGACTTTATTTTTTTCCTCAAACTAATTTTTAGATAAATATAAATACTGCATTTTTGTTATTCACTTTCTCTACAATGGCTTTTAAAATCTTTAAGCTCAAAGTCATACAGGGCACAGAACCATATAACACTAGATAGTTGCAAACACAGATTTAGTTCAAGCTGATCAAGTCAGTGTTAATTTAGAATTGATACTTAGGTCCAAAATTGTAAAGATATGTTTGCAAAGTGACAGAGTATTTTAGATTAAAGCTATATAAATTATTCAGAAAATTTTCCTGCATATTTCTGTCCCTTTTTTCTTTTTTTCTTATAATATCTCTTGTCTCAAACTAAACTTCAAAGGTGCATTTAACAATAATTGTTCTCTATTTGTAGCAATATTAAAAGATGTTATGTGAAAAGTAAGTTTAAAGGTCAAAAAATTGAGGGTAAATTCTAGCTTTGACAAAATAGAATAGATTTACTTACTTAGGGAACACCACAACTCTGAAAATATTTCTGTGCATAGTGATTCTCTGAACCGTATACAGAAAGCAGGTTTCCTAATTTTATTTGATAAATCACTCCTCATAGCAGTTGGTCTTTTAAACTATTATTTCAGGCAACAAACTTTGTAAAGTGTTTTCTGAATGGGTCTATTGATTTTAACCGCAAAGTCAAGGTCAATTTTCCTTTTAGGAAAGACACTTAAACTATCAGAGAAATTCTACGTATTATTCTTATTTTACATACATTATTTGTATTTAATCTGCACATTTGATTATATAGTATTAGTTTCAATTTTATGGATGTGACATCAGAATAACAGACACTTGTATTTGCTGAAGGTAAGTTTGTGATGTGGCAAAATGTACTACTGCCTCACTGCCCTTTCCCTGCCATCCCAAAGATAGCATGGACAAGTTCTAAAGCAAAACTAAGTGAAAAGGTATTCAAGCAAAGCCAGAGTGTGAGCTGTGGGTATAAACTATTTGCAGGTTCAATACCTATGCTATACCAGCTTCTGCTGAGAAGAACTTAAGAGAAACAGTGAAATATTTACTGCAACCCAGGAAGAGGTCCCACTAGCAATACACAAGTTTCAGTTCATCCGTATCCTTAGCAACACTTAGTAAAATTAGTCCTTTTAATTTTAGACATTGCAGAATATATAATACCTCTGTGATTTCAATTTGTATCTCCCTAATTACAATGATGCTAAGCATCTTTTCTTATACTTTTTCATGTTTCATGCTTTTCATGTTTTATTGCCATTTATGGATCTTCTTTGGTAAAGTGTGTTTAAATATTTGGTACATTTTTAAGTTAATTTGCTTGTTTTCTTATTGAGCCTTGAGAGTTGTTACAATCTGAATACAAATTTACTTTTGGATATATGGTTTCTGATCATTTTCTCCCAGTGTGTGGCCTATATTTTCATTCTCTTACAGTTACTCTCAAGGAGCAGAAGATCTTAGTTCAGATAAATCCCAATTTATATACGTTATTGTCTTGTGGATTGTGCTCACAATTTCTACCTTTTATGTGCAGTGTTTTGACCTTTTACATTTAGCATAATTATTGATATTATATTATAACAAATCCTTAGTTTTTAAAGTCTGATTGATTTTCCTCTTTTTCTCACTCTTTTGAATATTTATTTATGAACCCATTTTATCTTCTATGTTGGCTTTTAGCTATGTGTGTGTGAAAAACGTTTTTATTTTGTCTTTGCTTTTGAAAGATATTTTCAGGAATTATGATATTCTAGTTCAACAGATTTCTCAAGACACACCTTGCATGGTCTTTAAAAATAAGCCTGCTGTTGTTATTTTCCCCCCCCACTATACATTATGTCTTTTTATTTTCTGGCAGCTTTTAAGATTTTTTTTTCTTTATGACTCATTTTAGTAATTTAATTATAAGGTAGCTTGGTATATTCTTTTTCATGCTTATTGTGTTGATGTTTATTGAGTTTGTGGGTTTGGCAGTTAATAATTACTGTCAAATTTATTTTAAAAATTCAACTATTATTTCTCCATACTTATTGTGCACTATCCCACATTCTCCCTTCTCCTGTAGGGTCTTCGATTACATATATTATTAATCTGCTTAAAGTTTCACACAGCTCACTGATGGTTCTCTCATTTTCTTCAGTTTCTTCTTTGTTTTTCTCTATGTGTTTCATTGTGAATACTTTCTTTGGCTGTGACTTCAAGTTCACTTATCTCTTCTTCTCCAATGTTTAATATCCTGTTAATGTTTCATCACATGAATTGTATTTTCAACTCTAGAAATTTGATTTGAGTCTTTCTAAAATTATCCCATTTCTATTTAGCATGTTTTGTCTTCCCTGTACTTTCCCAGACACAGGAGAAATAACAGAGTTATAATAACCTTTTAATCTCCTTGTCTGCTAATTCAATCAGGTGTGTCATTTTACAATGTTTCCCTGGATTAAATCTTACTTTCATTATAAATCACATTTTTCTGCTTCTTTGCATTACTGGTAGTTTTTGACTAGAGCTACTCATCGTATATTTCACCTTATTTGTTTAAATAATAAAAAATTATTTCTATTCATATTCTTGAGTTTTGTTCTGGTACATAGTTAAGTTACTTGGAAACAGTTTTTTCCTTTTGAGTCTTGTTTTTTGGCTTTGTTGGGTGGCCAGGGTAACTTGTAGTCTAGGGGAATTTTTTTTTTCACTAAATAAGGTATAAGAGTCTGAAGACTTATACCAATGTTCCACGTGTTAAGAGATGTTCTACCCTGGCTGGTGGCATAAATCCCCAGGCCTGTGTGAGCTCCCAGCAATTGATCTCTCTGCCCTTTTTTGTAGATTCATTTACTGTCTCAGTTAGTTTCCTCATGTACATTTGCTAATCGGTACTCATCTAATTATCATAAGATGCACATTCTGTAGATCTCTGGAATTTTCTTTTTCTATAACTTCTCTTTTTTTTTTTTTCAACATTCTGCCTAGTAAACTGTAGCTACCTTGGTTTCTCTAGACACCCAGGTTTGTTCTCCACAACCAGACACTCCCTAGGCAGTAAGTTGGGACAACTGTTTCACTCACTTTCTTTGTTTCCCTTCTCTTAGTTATCACTGCCCTCCATTGCCTATTGTTAAAATCCTTAAAATTATTGTTTTACTATGTTTAGTTCATGTTTCCAGCTGAGGATTGTTCCAGGTTCTATTACTTTGTCTTAGCTGGAAATGGAAGTTCTATCAATGTGTATTTGTTTTTTCACTGAAGTTGTTTTGTGTATTTTGATGGAAGAAAATTGAGAGATACGGGAACTATTTTACAAACATGCTCTTCCCAGAATTTACTCTTATTTCCCCTTTTCTACCCAAAGGTAGAAAAGCCTTTGCGTACCCTTGTAATCTGTGTACTAGCTTCTTATTTCAGTAAACCATCACAAAGTTCAAAGTTTGACTTGCTTTTCTCTTCCGTAATCACTTGTAGGATGTCTAGATCTTTACATGGCCCCTCATGAATTCCTTCCAAGTCTTATCCTTACATTTCCCTATGCCTAATTTATGGGGTTATCCCTGATGATGGAGAATTTGCAATCACAAAACCTGTGATTCAGAAAAATGCTATTTATTCAGGAATTAGCTAGAGCTTGACACCATTTTCCACACTTTCCACTCTGAAACATACTCTTTGAGTAAATTTTCTTTGTTCATTTTTTTTCTCACTTTCTGCATTATTATTGGCTTGATAACCCTTAAATGCACTGACGTATGTAATAGCAAACAACATTTTATGGTCCGTCTCTCTCACCTTTGCTTTTAACTAAGAAGGCTACATAAGCTTTATATATATATGAGTATATATAATCTACATATATACATTATTTACATGTATATAATATACATGTAATTTACACAATTATAATGTAATTACATAATTATATATAACAATGTAAATTATATATATAAAGCTCATGTGGCATTCTTAATTATATATATACATAGATACATGTAATCTACACATATATATTTTTAAAATTTTATGCGTATATATATAACATACACACACACACACACACACACACACACATATATATATATACACACACACACACACACACACAAAATTTAAAAAATTAGAATCAGTGAATTTTTGTTTTCTACCCATTGGGGAAATATCTTCTGAAAAGCAACAGAGCAACAGCAGTTTTGAATATATAAGGTAAAAACTAATGCCTTCATATGATCAGGATGACTTTCCAAAATAGTTCACCTTCTCTACTGCACAGTTAATTTCAAAGCCATCTCAATTTAGAAATTTATGAGAAGAGTTTCTAAATCAGATTAGCAAAGTCTTGTCACAACTCAAATTGCTAAATGAAGAAAGTATTTGCAGTAGAGACTGTGCTTTTCTGCTGTGATGACTAAAATTAGCTTCACTTCATAAAATAGCATACTAGAGATTATTATATCCATAATGTGTCCAAAAGCATTTAGATAACTAAAATAAACTAAATATGGAAACTCTTATATTATTCCCATTAGATGAGCTTATGTTCTTATTTAAACAGACTAGCAACACAATAATCTTTATATGCAGGGCATACACATTTAAACCATTTAAATTATGTGTTCTTTTACATTTAACAAAAGCTGTTTATATAAATGCCTAATTTTCTATATTTCTTAAGAACCAGAGTTCAGTTCTCACATTCTAGTAAACCACTATAAGTTATTTAAACAAAAGAATATATAACATACTATCATAATAAAACAGCTAATTAAGAAGAAAAATCTTAGCTTAAATTAATTTGATGCATATTAAAAATTTTCATGTTAAGTTTGAAAGTGTTTTTTACATTGGGTTCATACTCCACTTATAAATGCTGGGACATACACAAACACATATATGCACACATTTACACACACATAAACTCCTAAAATAGGGAGCTAAAATCATAAGTTAAAGTGGCCAGACAGGAACATGTAAACAGCAACAAGATGAATTTAATAATTACGAAGAATGGAAGCCATTAAAAGCTACCTACAGGGTAGTTAACTGCATTAAATCAGTCTTGGGGAATGTTTACCAATTTAGAATTTACTCAATCACTTCTCTCTAAGGCGCATAGTAATTTCATTTCCCTTGATCTGTATAATCCTCCAAAATACAAAATATAAAGAAGGAAACAATTAAAACCTAAATAATGTAACCACATTAAAGGGCCAACAGATCTATATCCACTCTTCATGTTGCATTCAGGCATACATAAGTCATAAGGATTCTTTCAGCCATTCAGTATGTGTTAGTCACTACACCAAGCACTTTGAATAAAGCGATTGTCAAAGAAAAGACTTTTGCTTTCTTGTACCATCAAATCTAATGGAAGTAAGAAGACAGTGAATAAGTAAACATGTAAATTAAAGTGATATTTTCAGATATAATATGTGCTACAATTGGATATGGGGAATTAATAACAGCTTCAAACAAGAATTGTTTATTGAATATATAAAGTATGTAAGTCTTTATATTCTTGTAATGGTTCTTTCATTATATCCTGAATGACTCAGCTCTTCATGACAAATTCTTGTTATTGAAAATATTTCAGTGCAAGTTATTAACATGCTATTTTCAAATGAATTAAATGTAAAATAAATGTATATACCCCTTTACCTCACAATATTTTTCACTGTGAAAGGAAAACAAACTATGACAGAAGAGTTAAACATTTCTCATTATTTTTTTTTTCTGAAGGTACAGAAAGGATAGTTGGATAAAATATAGTATCTTTCAGATAGAAAGGACCCCTCTCTGGACTGACTTGCAATTTTTGTGAAGTATTAATATGGCTATATATGAGTGTATATGGAAGCCTCTGAATCACCTTTTTTTATGTTGAATATTTAAGTTACTCTTAAGCCCTTCGTTTTACTGATTCACACCTTTGGTTATGGGGCTGGGAATGGGGTTTGGTTTCACTGACTATTGGGTTTGAAGGCCCCTTTTTCCACTCTACTCGGCATTATAAATTATGCTATTGGGAATCACTTAATGTACGTGTTTAGTATGTGGTATTAGTGAGGTGAAATGATGGGATTAATACTGTTTTATTCAGTTAGATTTGCTTAAGAAAAATAAAATAACTTGGCCATATTCTCTGGATTTCCTTATCCAGAGTATGTTCTAAGAATGTTGGTGTTAACTAACCTCAAGGGAGGAATGCATAATGCAAATATGTGATACTGGCCAGACTACAGTAAGTGTATGTCCTTCTGCCATTGACTACAGTGTAAAATCCTACAAGAGTTATTTCACAGAGTTTCTGAAAAGCACACCTTTCATTTTGCCAATGCAGGGAGAATAAGGTTCCTTTTAAGCATTAAAGAGTTAATATTGTACCTAGGAATTTCCTCTTCCTTTTAGGTAGAGAAATTATGCTAGACCACCAAGAAAAATATGACCCTAGAACATTTTCTTATATCAATAACAACCTACTGATACTGGTCTTCCATACTCAGAAAAAAAACAATATTCCTACTGGCTACTGAAATATACCTTCAGACAATCAGCTTTTAATCTTTGTTCCTTTACATTTTTTATTACCTTTCCCCCTCACCTACTGAGTACATAGTTATATATGTGAAAATGCTTGTAAGCATACATACATACATATATTTTTCTCTTTATATACATCTTTGATTTGTGGTCTGTATTACGGAAGCCTGCTTCATGTGGTTTTTCAAACATTAAAATAGTTATTTTTCTTATTTCTCTTGGGTTATTTTTATTAATAGTCAAGTTAATTTGGGGAGCTATTTATATTGACTATCTCAAAAGTATAAATTTTAAAATTAATTCTTGTTTCAAATAGACTTCATTTTTAGAAAGTTTGAGCAACACTGATCAAAAGGTACAGAGTTTCTCATGTTACCCCTGCCCCCAGACATGTGTAAGCTACACCATTGTCAACATCCCCAGTCAGAGTGGTACATTTGCCACAATTTATAAACCTACATTGACACATCATTATCACCCAAAGTCCATAGTTTCCAATGAGGTTCACTCTTGGTGTTGTACATTCTATGGATTTAGACAAATATATAATAATATCTATCCACTATTATAGTGTCATACAGAGTAGTTTCACTGCCCTAAAACTCAACCGTGCTCTTTTTACTATCTGCATAGTTTTGCCTTTTCCAGACGTCATATAACTGGAATCATACGGTATTCAGCCTTTTAAGATTGGCTTCTTTCATATAATAAAGTGCAATTAAGTTTCCTCTATGCTTTTTCATAGCTTTATAGCTCATTTCTTTTTAGCCTGGAACAATATTCCAATACCTAGTTGTATTGCAGTTTACTTACTCATTCAGCTACTAAAGGACATCTTGGTTGCTTCCAAGTTTTGTCAATTATCAATAAAGCTGTTGAACACATCTGCATTTTGATTTTTTCACGTACATAATTCTTAAGTTCATTTGGGCAAATACCAATGAGTGATATTGTTGGATCATATGGTAAGAATATGTTTTATTTTATTTTATTTTTATTTTTATTTATTTTTTATATTTTTGAGATGGAGTCTTGCTCTGTCTCCCAGGCTGGAGTGCAGTGGTGGGATCTCGGCTCACTGCAAGCTCCGCCTCCCGAGTTCACGCCATTCTCCTGCCTCAGCCTCCCCAGTAGCTGGGACTACAGGCGCCCGCCACCACGCCCAGCAAATTTTTTGTATTTTTTTAAGTAGAGACGGGATTTCACCGTGTTAACCAGGATGGTGTGGATCTCCTGACCTCGTGATCCACCCGCCTCGGCCTCCCAAAGTGCTGGGATTACAGGCGTGAGCCACCACGCCCCGCCGAATATTTTTTATTTTATACAAAACTACTAAACTGTCTTCCAAAGCGTCGGTAACATTTTTCATTTCCACCAGCAATAAATGAGAGTTGCAGTTGCTCCCCATTCTCATCAGCATTTGATCTTTTCAGTTTTCTGGATTCAGGGCATCCTAATGGGTGTGTAGTGATGTCTCATTGCTATTTTAATTTACAGTTCCCTAAGGATATGTGAGGTGAAGCAACTTTTCATATGCTTATTTGCCACCTGTATATATTCTTTTTTTAAAAATGTCGATTCCTGTATTTTTGAGATGTTTAAAATAGACAAATAATTGTACATATTCATGGAGTACACATTGATGTTTCTATACATATAATGTACAGTGATCAGATAGGGTAATTAGCATAGCTATCATCTCAAACATTTATCATTTCTTTGTGCTTGGAACATTCAATATCCTCCCAGTAGCTATGTTAAATAATATATCTATTGCTGTTAACTATAGTCATCCTACAGTGTTAACTAACACTCGAACTTATTCTTACTATCTAGCTGTAATTTTGTATTATTTAGCAAATCTCTCCCTGTCTATTCTTTCCTTCAATGGATCTAATAGCCTCTGTTCTACTTTGAATGATATTGAGATTTTTGAGCTTCCACATATGAGTGAGAATATACAGTGTTTAACTTTTTGTTTCTAGCTTATTATACCTAACATGTCTTCCTGTTCTTTCCAGGTTGCTGAAATGGCAAGACTTGATTCTTTTTTATAGTGAATAGCATCCCATTGTGTGTGTCTGTGTATATATATATAATCACATTTTCTTTTTCCATTCATCTGCTGTTCAGCACCTTGGCTGTTTCCACATCTTGGTATGGTGAACGGTGTTACAATAAACATGGGGCCACTAGTCCTATTGCCTTGCTGATTGTCACCAGAACTAATCTTACTGCTCATTTATTTCTAGTATTTCTGGGTTTTATGGGGTTGTAGACAGTGATCCCCTGAGTGGCAATGGTGGTCAACGTGCATTCACTCCTGTTCCAAGTTTTTGATATACAAGGGAAAGCTACTCCTAAAAGAATAGGTGGCTCCCTAGGAAGTTGGGAGTGGTTACAGGATGGGACTTCTTCCCATTCATGACAGAGATAACCCCAGTTGGCACACAAATTGAGGCCTTATGGGGGTGTAATGTCTATTATTTGCTGCCAAGTTGGGTCTATAGAGATACTTTTTTCTTGTTCCAATGGGGGTGGTTGAAAGGCTCTTGTTTTCCAGAAGTGGGCAGTACTCCTACCTTCCCAGATCAATCACTATGTATGGTTTCCTCACTTACAAGTGGGATTTCATTTACCTCACTGTGGCCTTGGGAACTTGGCTACTAGGGTTTGATTAGAGCATTGTAAGGAAACTTCTACTTTTGTGTCATTAGCACAACAATGGATGAAAAACGGGGGAGAATACCTAACAAGTAAAGGTCTGGATACTAAGGGATCACTGTGGCTAATTGAGAGATCCATAGAGATGGCTGTGAGATTTTCCAGATGTGCCGGAAGAGGGAACTCTATCCTGGGGATATTGATGACAAATCCAGCAACCATTAAGATGATTTCCTGCTGCTATAATTTTTGAAACATTTACTATAGAGTTTTGTTTCCACTCACACTGGATTAGGTTAATTGGGAGAGCAAACGGAATTAACAGAGGCAGCCTGGTGTCTGGTCAAAGAAACTACAGTTAACTGGTGAGTCTGGGGTCCCACTGCTGCTTTTTGTAGCTCCCTCCTAATATCAGGAGCAGATTGAATAATAAAATGCATGCCCAGGAGAGCTTGGCCTTACAGGGAGTCAGGGTCTGCATTAGTATATTTTCCGAGGGCCTCATCCGGGTGACCCTGAAATAGAGTGGGATTTTCATCTTCTCCCCGAATTACTTCTCTAATCTTGCTATAATTAACTGGCTTAACCATGCACTTTTTAATACCTTCTATTAAAGAAGTTGGCATGTGGTTTCTGAGTTCAAGGTCCTGGGAACCTCTCTGGTAGTTTCACTGAGGGTCCAGATCTGAAACTGCACCTCCCCCTACACAATAAATGGCCTTGGTAACAAGCAGCACTCCAACTGCATATTCATGGACAATATCTAAAATCTTTTCTTTCTCCTCTATGGTACAGCAAGTAGATAATAATATTTGCAAGTCATGCCAAGTTAAATCAAAGGACATGGTCAACAAATTCCTCTATAAACTTCCCTGGATCCTCTGAAAACTGGCTAAATTTCTTCTCGCATAAAGCTAAATTGTACATTAAAAAAATGAGATATACTCTGATTGTTCCCCCATCTCTGTCTGCTTCCCACAATGGGGACAGATTTAATTTTGGGAGCTGATGTGGGGCCCCACTCTTGGTGGTATTGGTTAGGCTTATTTCTGTAGGCTGCAAAGGTATAGACTAGGCTTAGTTGGATAAGGGAGACGGGTGCCTAATGACCTTGGAAAGAAATCCTGCACTGGAGAACTGGCAGGACTTCCCTCAGAATTCAGGAAATGCAGAGGCTCCAAAGGGGGGCATGAAACTCCTAGCGGGTGCAGCTAAAAGGGGGTCATCTAAGATATCTAGTGCTGTCTTTTGGTCCCTGAAAGTGACATGGACTAGACACATTCTACAGCATTCTCTTAGGTTCAGATCCTGGTAGAGGCTATAAAAGCTGCACATAAGAAACTTCTCCTCATTTTCGTTCCCTCTTTTTTACAGAATAAGTCTAGTTGTTAAATAGCATTATAAGGTAAAGAACCATGTTTAGGTGAAATCTTTTGGTTCCCCAATTTGTATTGGACCTAAATGGTGTTGCAATAGAAAATGATTTTTTTTCCTCTATATTATCTAACTTGAATTTGCTCCAGTTGCCTAAATGACATCCTAGTGGCCAGTCCTCTGGGATACTGTCATGTTCACTTTCCAGTAAGGATTCTTACAGAAATTTTTTTTTTCAGTTTGCCCTAAGTCTAGTGAAAGCTTAGTTACTTTTCCTTTCAAATTCCCACATACTGCAGAGAAGGTGTAGGTAGAGGTAGTAAAGCTTTACAAATGTGGATTATGAGATATGAGTGGTGGGCAGTAGAATGCTTAGGGTCTGAATTCCAAAGAGATTGAAGTAAACATTTTAGTTTGAACAAAGAGGGATTAAAAAAACAAGGTCATTGTAGAAAGGAGGAAGGGTAAGGGTAAATAGTGTTGCTGAAAGGAGACCTTACAGGCCCCAAGCCAACAGAGAATCCACCCAGTAAGAGAGACATCGAAGAAAGTATTCAAGCATCCACTTGTCTGCAACTGTGGGTAGTTATCCAACAGGTCAGGGGGCCAAGAATCCCCATTCTCTTCATCCAACAGTCCAAGATGGGCTTGAGCAAGGCAGTTTATTGGACAGAAAGGAAGACAGCACATAGAGAGGGGTCCACAACTGGCTCTTACAGAAAATGATAATTTCCAACTTCAGGGCAGAAAAAAATGACACCAAGAGACCAAGATTCCCCCATGGGTGGGGCTATCACCCACAATCCTAGAGGGAATGTCAACGCTAAAAACCCCTGAGCATCTAGGGGGTGGCCAACTGTGACCTCCAAAGGCCAAATTGGAATCACAGAACAACATGACTATGGTGGTCGTGAATCAACACAATTGGGGACCTGTCACAACCAAGTGTCCTGACTTAAATAATTGCCCAAGTACAGTTAGCAGGAAGCCAAAGCAAAAAACAAAAACAACTATAAACGAAGCATTCATTTCAGTGTGGAAAATAAATGACTGGCAGAAAAAAAATAGGACAATACAGAGGAAAGGACTAAGAGAAAGGGTGACAAGAACATAGGCGGCCAGGCAAGCTTTTTTCATGACACCAAAATGACAGGGAACTTTGAATTGACCACCTAGCCAGAGGTCTTACTTCCTGGTTCACCCAATATTAAAAGGGGCCAGAGAGGATGCTCATCCATGTACAGGAGCCAAAATGGTCCCAACTGAACTCCAGCATGGAGTGAGCTGGGTGAAGTCACCCCAGGTTACCCTGGCTTGGGTGGACTTGGCTGCCACAGATGAAGTGGTGTTCGGATTTGTGACCTGACATTTGGAGTGGTGGGTCCCACATGAGGCAGCAGCTCTGCAGTTGCTCGCCCATCCACTCAGCTTCACTGCCTCCACCTGTCCAGAAAGATGATGGCTCTGAAAAGAATCTTTGGCTACTGTTACAGCTCTGTGGTGTTAGCAGCTCTTTAGTGTTACAGACTTAATGTTGCAGCTCTGCAGTTTGATCACCAATTGCCCTGCTGCTTCACCACCTCTCACCATCTCACTTCTTCACTGCCATCTCTTTCACCATCAGTTCCTCTCTGCTTCTTGCCATCTAGCTGCCTCTCCAAGCACTGACTTCTCTTGTCCCACGTTGGGCGCTATAATGCAGGGCACGTTCTTGGCTTTGCTCAGGAAATAATTTAAGAACAAGCTGGCAGTGGAAGAAAGGAGCTTTATTGAAGTGGCAGTGTTACAGATCAGTGACAGCCCGTTGCAGAGCAGCACTCACCCATAGGCAGTGCAGCAACACTAGTAGCATATGGGCTGTGACTATAGTAGCATGTTGGTTGTTGACTAAAAGTGAGAATTTATAATCACTTTTAATTACATGCAAATTATTGGGGGGTTATTCAGAAATCTCTAGAAAATGGGTGGTAACTTCTGGGTGTTGCTATAGAAAGGGCCAGCAACTTTCGTGTTTTGCCATGGAATTTGTAAACTGTCATAGTGCTGGTGTAAGTGTCTTATGCTGAGTGCAGGGAGGGCAACTAGAGGTTGTTTTTGAAGCCACTTGCTAGTCCTGGCTATTTTTTCATCTGGTTCTAGAAGCAAGTTCTATAGGTGTCTTACCTCAAAATGATACCTCATTGTGGTTTTGATTTGCATTTCTCTAATGATTTATGTTGTTGAATATTTTTAAAATACATTTGATGGAAAATTCTATATCTTTTGAGGGATATCTGTTCAAATCATTTGCCCATTTTTTAATCACATTGTGTTTTTGCTGCTGAGATGTTTAAGCTCCTTGTATATTCTGCATATTAATCCCATTGGATGAGAAGTTTGCAAATAATTCTTTTTTTCATTCTGTAGGTTGCCTTTTCACTCTATTGATTATTTTCTCTGCTGTGCAGATTTCTGATTTGATACAATCTCATTTGTTTATTTTTGCTGTTGTTACCTGTTCTTTTAAGGGTTTTAAAACAAAACCTTTTCCCCAAATTCCCAATATTCTGAAGCATTTCCCCTGTGTTTTCTTTTAGTCGTTTTAAAGTTTGAGGTCTTACATTTAAGTCTTTGATGGAGCTTAAGCTGATTTTTGCATAGGATGAAGGGTGGCGGTCTATTTCATTCTTCTGCATATGGCTATCTAGTCTCTTGTATATATTCTTTGGTGAGGTGTCTGTTAAGGTCTTTGGCCCAGTTTTAAACCAGACTTTTTTGTTGTTGACTTTTAAGAGTTATTTATATATTTATACATTTTACCTTTTTATTAAATAAGGTAATGGAGGTAAAAGGAGTATGTAATTTGCAGAATGCTATATGAATGTAAGAAGTTAAATGGAAAATTAAATTAACACAGAAGGCAATTAAGAGGTTATTACATTCTTCATAAAAGAGTTCTTAGCATTGTAAGACATGATTTATTATAAGATTCTTATAAATGGTGATCACCTAGATAGGTCTGGGAAAATGATTATATTTTCCATGTTTAATTTGTTCTTTTTGAAGAGAAACTTTATAACATAAAATTATGCAGAAACTTATTTTTAACTAATCAAACATGGCTAAGATATTCTTCCTCACATGATCTGAATAGAATTGTTGCTATATGTTTTAAAATGTTGTATAGTAAAACTACTTTTATAATCTATTAACTTGAATTTTCTGACTAAGGACACTGGTTCGTTCTAAAGATATTAGTACATATTTTATAAATGATGGCCTTGTTTTTACACAATCTGTTTAATTAGGTCACAGTTTCAATGTCAAGAAGTTTGATCGTTTTTCCCCCTGATATTTTAATGATCTACCCTTACATAATGAACCAGACTGAATTTTCAGTTGATCTAGTTCTGTCATAACTTTGCCAAAATCACTGACTAAGCCATTTTTCATTTCAGTGCTTTTGGTCACATATTCACAGTTTTAGAGTGCTTCAATTTTTCCAACCATCAGGTTATAGAGAAGGCCTATTACTGTCTCTAGTCATAACCTAATTCTTCCTGTTCATGACAGGGTCTGTTACCTGTTTTAGACCTTGTCTTTTCATCTGGTCATGTAGGTGTTTCTTATTTGGGAGCTATTTCTGACACTTCTTTTTCCTTTAGGGTATGGTTTTTTAATGAGTGATGATTTTTCAAACTTGCCTAAGTGATGCTTGTTATGTACATGCATAGTGCCGTCTAGTTTGTGGTTTATGACATTTCTAGGGAAAAAATTGTGATTTGTACAATTCATAAGTTAGCATTTTTCCAGTGCTTTGTACTGGTGGTACAACATAAACTTTAGAGATGGTAAAGACAATGGGAAAGGACATTAATATCTATTGAGGACCAAATAATATGCTAGGTGTTATGTAAAGCATTTACATACATTATCACAGGTAAATTCTAAGCTAGAACTTTCAGACAGTAATATTTTCCCATTTAATAGGTGAGGAAACAAAGGCTGTAATTTTTCATGACTGTATGGCTAATAAATGCTGGAGCTCACATTAACCCCAGGTTTATCTGACTCCCTTCTAACAAATTCTATTGCCTTTCTTCATCAAAGAAAAATCCAATCACTTTCTAACAGCTTTCCTTGTAATTAACCTACAAATACACTGGACATATTTAAAGTGTACAATTTAATAAGATTTATAATAGGAATAAACCTATGAAATCAGTAACAAAGTCAAGAAAATGAACATGTCCATCCCCCCTAAAATTTCCTCATGCCTCTTCTTACTTCTTCCCTCTATATCTCCTTCCACACTTCAGATAACTTGTTTTCTATTACTATGTATCCTTTTGTATTTTCAATAACCTATGTAAATGAAATCTGAAAGTACGTGCTGTTTTTTATGACTTATTTTATATAGCATAATTCTTTTAAGACTCATTTCATTCATATTGATGTAGATACCAACAATTCATTTCATTACAAAAATATACAACAGATAATTATAAATTCACCTGTTAATGGATATATTGGTTGTTTTCAGATATTGGGTGTTACTGAGAGAATTGCTTAGTGAGAAGCAATTGCTATGAACATTCATGTAACAAGTGTTTGTAAGTATGTGTGCTTTCATTGGTCAGGTATAAATATCTGGAAATAATATTGCTAAATAATATGATAGATGTATGCTAATTTTTATAACTATAAAACATATTTCTGAAATGATTGTTTATTTGACATTTCTCCTTGAAATGTTTGAGACTTCCAGTCATTCCTCATCCTTGCCAACACTTCATATGGTTCGTTTCTTTAATTTTATCCAGTCGAATGTGAGTAGTACTAATTTATTGTGGCATTAATTTCTGTTTCCCTAATAACTAATGATTTTGAAAATCTTTTTATATGCTTTTAAAAATTCCTGTATCTTTTTGGTAAAGTGTCTGTTCAAATCAATTTCCCACTTATTTATTGGATTATTTTCTTATTGATTTTGAGGGTTGTCTATAAGTTTTGGATATAAATCCAATATAAGATGTACGATCTGAAAATATTTTCTCCCTATCTGTGGCTTCACTTGTCATTTTTTATCAGTGTTTTTGATAAGCAGAAATTTTTCATTTTGATTAAATCCAGTTTATTGTTTGATCTATTGTCTATCTTTACATTAATACCAAATTATAGTAACAAAATACCTCTCATAATAGTAATGAAATGTCTTGTTTTGTGTATAGTCTTGACTGTCATAGCTTTGCTTTACAGTAAGCCATGAAACCAGATAATGACAGTCTTTCAAAGTTGTTCTTCTTTTTCAAATATGTTTTGAAATATGAGGTGATAATCAGGGTAAGTCTGAAGAGCTAGCACAGGATAGGAGTCATCTAGAGAAACTTTGTGGATTTTAGAGGGTTTTGATTTATTTTTGGACTTTTTTAAAAGCTCAAGTCTAACTAAATTATCTTGTAATTCCAAATCTTGGAGAGGTAAATTTCTGTAAAATCCATTCATTCAGAAAAAAAGCACATAAATCTAAAAATTTCCCTTAGGTTCTCTAATAGTAGCTAGATTTAATCTAAATTCCCAGATGGCTCAAACAAAAACAAAAATAAAACAATAACAAATGGCTCAGCATTAGTTAAGTGACTCTCAAACTGTACCAGGCCAGCCACCCAAGCAAATGCAAGGCTGACATTTTAAACAAATAAATGTGTCATGATCTACAGTATTCAATGATAGACAGGTTACCTGTGAGTCAGGAGACATTTATGCAGTTTACATGAACTCTTTGTTTTACAATCTCCTGAAATAAACTGGTCAAGGTTCTGCCACGTGAAATTAAGTGAATCCTGGTGAAGCATCTTTAAGGAACTAATGTAAATTTATAATGGTCCCAAATGAAGCAGAGGATAATTTAATTCTTAGGTGTTATAAAGAGGTATCAGATGCATAATTATTAAATAATCCTAATTTCTACTCCAAATGGGAAGAAAAATAAATGAATTGCTCAGTTATTAATACTTTTGTTTTAAGAATATAGTCAAACACTTGGGTGCACATTTTATGTTGCATCTGACAAGAGCCATGTGATTACAATTAAGAATAAAATAAGTCATATGGCGAAATCTCTTTATTTCACAATGAAAATAGCCTCTTTAATATTACTTTAATGAAGATTATATTAAAAGTAAATTATTCCAGTGTAGCTAAGTAGCTATTATCATTCACTGCTTTTAGTAATTACCTATAGCATAAATGTTCTCTAATAAAGTATTTCACACACCAATGTCTGCCATATTATTTTGCGGCCATAGTAATCTAAAATAATTTTTTATGAGAAGCAGAATTTCAGAAGAGACAATCAAACTAAAATCTTACTGGATCTTCCAGTGGCTACATTTTTCACAAATTTAGATTTATTTTTTTCCTTCAACAATATGTACAGAGACTATGAACTTTATTTTCGCTTCTCAAATATCTGCTCAATATTTTCTTGAGAGTGCCTCTAAATTTATTTTATATTTATTGCTTATAATTCACATACCAGTTGTACTGCTATCCTTTCAAGGCTAAACAGGAAGCGTGAACAGGAAGCATAAACAGGAAGCATAAACAGGAAGCATAGGGTCTTGATTCAATCTCAAAGCCTAGATTAACTACTATGGATGCAATTCCAAGCCTTGCTCAAATGCCTGGAAATACACAGGTCAAGTTG
The DNA here is from genome assembly GCF_000001405.40 of Homo sapiens. Taxonomy (NCBI): domain Eukaryota; kingdom Metazoa; phylum Chordata; class Mammalia; order Primates; family Hominidae; genus Homo; species Homo sapiens. Next base: position 11,194,185 of record NC_000009.12, read on the forward strand.
TAGACATTGTTTCTGACTACTGTTTCATCTCCCCACTGAAAAAGAACTTCATAGGAAAAATTGATTTTATAATATTGACGTTGCTGCTTACCTTAATATTTGTCCCTGAAATTATAATAACTTGAGAGCTTTTACATGAGGACTTCTATAACTCTGAAAATAAACCTGCTAATACACAGAAATAAGCTATAGTTGCCAGCCTTCAATTTTGTTTACCATTTGACACAAATCTGGTGACTATAGCAACATCTTGGCAAGGCCATACATATGGCAGAGTGCCTGTACTACTGATTATAATTTTCTGTTGACTGACTTTGAATTGGGAAGGCTGGTGACTCTAGGTCAAATTCAAGAGAAAAAAGTGCTTAGGAGAAAAATTTTAGCATCATTTGAGTTAAGCAATGGAAGAATTACAACCATAAGCATGCCCATTTTTACCAACTTTATTATCCACATCTATAAATTCATAATAATTATGCTCATATAGTAGCTTATGTAATACATATTTCATTATATGTGCCCATAAAATGTACTGTCAATAAAGTAAATGGGTAAGCATATCTTACACATATGCCACACATGACTTTTATATAAATCAAAGCATTCACATTTAAGATCATATAGGTTTTTTACATTGGTAAAAAAAATACTACCTCATGCAAATTATAGACTTCACAATTTGCTACAATATAGAAGTTTTTAAGAGAATGTCCCCTAAAGGCACTGGCAATTTGGCGTATATATTTAAGACAACTAACATGTTCTTATTAACACTGTACAGTATAAGAAACACATCTCATCTCTCTCTAACAAAAATTTTTGTTCATTTGTTATAGCTGGTGACAATAATGAACAGATGCCAATAGGAATGAATGATAATTTAGTTCACTTTAAATAAGGCTTACTAAAGTACAGAAATATTTTAAAAGATGATTACTTAGATTCAATGAATTTGTAATTGAAATAGATGCTGCAATTTTTTGGAAGAAAATGATCATTTAAAATAATTTGTTTCACCCATTTCATCTTGAATTACCAAATCAAGGGTATAATACAACTCAATACTAAAACTAGTAAAGCCCACGTTACCTTTTTGTGTCCACCTGTAAATTAGGTTGCTTTTTCCAAGACATTCTAATTATAAAATCCATGTTTCAGTTATTCAAGTCAACTGTAAATAAATGAACCTGCTTTAAGTCTGACTTCACCAGCTGTATTAATTTCAGACCACGTGTCTCCTTTCTTTGGTTTCCTCTATTGATTCTGGAAAAAGAGAATGGTATTTGATTAGAATGAAAGTGTATACTCCAGCCAATTTTGATATTTCATTTGCAAGTTACTTCCTGTAATGTCCTTCTCCTTTGATCTAATAATGAAAATGTGTCAGTATATTCTCATTACAACAGCAAGGTAAAGCAGCCCAAGCCTCCTGGGGCCAGAAGGACTATAATTTGCGAATTTAAAATGAGAAAACTATACTCTCAGTGCTTGCCAAGGAGTGTGCTGCAGACCCCTAATTTCTCCCTTCAGCAACTGAACCAACTGGGAATTTAAAAATGGGTGATACAAAAGGGTTCTAATATTGAGTGAGAGATGGGGGTGGGGAAGAAAAAGGAGAATGAGACTACAAGTAGATAGTAACTGTTGTGTTGACATTTTCTGCTCACTGGAGAATTATGATTAAAAAAATTAAAACAAAAACCAAAATATGTTGTTGTACACCCATTTCAACTTACACATCTTGATTCTTTATGGTGTTAATAGTATTTTGAATAGTAAAGCTTGATATGGATTTGAACTCACGTTTGAAAAAACAGCTTAAAACATTTCCCTCTAAGTTCACATAAAAATAAATTCAAGTTATATTCACTTCTAAAAGGCTAACAGCAAATAAATATATCTAGATAGTAACAAAATGTAGTGTAATGGGTGACTGAGTTTGATAATTAGATATATCTAACAGAAAAATGCACATGCTAAATTTATTTTAATTTAAAAACTCCAGCTGAATTTGTAATTCATGCACGTATCACATATGGATGTGAGGTAGTTAATATCCTTAAGATTAGAGGAACATTTTAACTCTTTCAAAAAAACATAAAATCAATATAATATTTTGTTTTACCTTTACCTTAAAAAGAAGACTTGAAAAATATGTGTAATATATATAATTAACATTGTTGTACACCTATATTAAATAATACATACATATTATTCCTTAGATACATATATTTACAGTTCAGTAATTTTAGTGGGTTGAACACTGTCTCTCCAAAAGATATATCTGAACCCTAATCCCCCCTACCTGTGGAAATACTCTTACTTGGATGTTGGGATGAGGTCATCCTGGATTTAGGGTGGACTCTAAATCCGATGACTGATGTCTTTATAAGAGAAAGAAGAGGGATATCTGAAATGCAAGAGGAAAACCATGTGAAGACAGAGGTACATATTGGAGTGATATGTCTACAAGGCAAGGAACTCCAAACATTGCCACAGCCCCTAGAAGCTAGTGAGAGGTGACAGCGTGCTAGCAGTCCTCACAGCTCTCGCTCACTCTCGGCGCCTCCTCTGTCTGGGCTCCCACTTTGGCGGCACTTGAGGAGCCCTTCGGCCCTCCGCTGCACTGTGGGAGCCCCTTTCTGGGCTGGCCAAGGCTGGAGCCCACTCCCTCAGCTTGCAGGGAGGTGTGGAGGGAGAGGCGTGAGCGGGAACCAGGGCTGCATGCGGCACTTGCGGGCCAGCTGGAGTTCCAGGTGCGCGTGGGCTTGGCGGCCTGGCACTTGGAGCAGCTGGCCCCGGGCAATGAGGGACTTAGCACCAGGGCCAGTGGCTGCAGAGGGTGTACTGGGTCCCCCAGAAGTGCTGGCCCACCGGCCCTGCGCTCGATTTCTCACCTAGCCTTAGCTGCGTTCCCGCAGGGCAGGGCTCGGGACCTGCAGCCCGCCATGCCTGAGCCTCCCACCCACTCCATGGGCTCCTGTGTGGCCCCAGCCTCCCCGACGAGCACCACCCCCTGCTGCATGGTGCCCAGTCCCATCGACCACCCAAGGGCTGAGGAATGCGAGAGCACGGCGGGGGACTGGCAGGCAGCTCCACCTGCAGCCCCAGTGCAGGATCCACTAGGTGAAGCCAGCTGGGCTCCTGAGTCTGGTGGGGACGTGGAGAGTCTTTATGTCTAGCTCAGGGATTGTAAATACACCAATCAGCACCCTGTGTTTAGCTCAAGGTTTGTGAGTGCACCAATCGGCACTCTGTATCTAGCTGCTCTGGTGGGGCCTTGGAGAACCTTTATGTCTAGCTCAGGGATTGTAAAGAAACCAATTGGCACTCTGTATCTAGCTCAGGGATTGTAAATACACCAATCGGCAGTCTGTATCTAGCTGAAGGTTTGTAAACACACCAATCAGCACCCTGTGTTTAGCTCAAGGTTTGTGAATGCACCAATTGACACTCTGTATCTAGCTGCTCTGGTGGGGCCTTGGAGAACCTGTGTGTCGAAACTCTGTATCTAACTAATCTGATGGGGACGTGGAGAACCTTTGTATCTAGCTCAGGGATTGTAAACGCACCAATCAGGGCCCTGACAAAACAGGCCACTCGGCTCTACCAATCAGCAGGATGTGGGTGGGGCCAGATTAGAGAATAAAAGCAGACTGCCCCAGCCAGCATTGGCAACCTGCTTGGGTCCCCTTCCACACTGTGGAAGCTTTGTTCTTTCGCTCTTTGCAATAAATCTTGCTAGTGCTCACTCTTTGGGTCCACGCTGCTTTTATGAGTTGTAACACTCACCGCGAAGATCTGCAGCTTCACTCCTGAGCCCAGCGAGACCACAAGGCCACCGGGAGGAATGAACAACTCCAGACATGCTGCCTTAAGAGCTGTAACACTCACTGTGAAGGTCTGCATCTTCACTCCTGAGCCCAGCGAGACCACGAACCCACCAGAAGGAATAAACTCCGAACACATATGAATATCAGAAGGGACAGACTCCAGACGTGCCACCTTAAGACCTGTAACACTCACCGCGAGGGTCTGCGGCTTCATTCTTGAAGTAAGTGAGACCAAGAGTCCACCAATTCCGGACACACTAGGAATAAGTAATCGAACAGATTCTCCCCCAGAGCCTCCCTAAGGAACCAGTCCTGCTGACACCTTGATTTCAGATTTCTGGCCTATGGAATTGTGGGAGAATAAATTTCTGTTGTGTAAGTCACAAGTTTGTGGTAACTTGTTAGGCCAGCTCTAAGAAATATAATAGAGTGATCTAGCAATAAATGCAAGCATACCTGATCACAATTTTAATTGGCCACCTATCATCTCAAAGATCAAGGACAATTGCATATAGCAGTAAAATAATCCAACAAGAACCATCTCTCAAAATATGAAATTTTGACTGCAGAAGTGACCACAGAGAATCTTTACTGAGAAAACTCATTTAGACATTTTAGACATTTAGACATAAAACTGCATTTTAGACATCTCAAAAAAAAAGTAGACATCAAGTTAGGTGGGGACAAAGACAATTCTATAGGCATTCAATGTTCAGAAGGCAAGTTGGTAATTTAATGGATGGTGTTATAAATCTGCCTTTGATCCTTTAGGAGGAAAGAATAGAGAAATTGCTTCTAAAATGAACCCAAGTCTTCAAAGGAGAAATTCTTAGTACTTTCAAATAATTTGGAATTCACCCTTTGACCAGATTTTAACTTTTTATTCACCTGCCTTTCTGAAACTTGAGTCTAACACTCCTCACTTAAAAATAAATTCCTGGATTCGACCCAAAATATTCTCATTCAGTAGGGCTAGGGAGATGTGAGTTTATTGTATTATTAATAATTATTTGAGTAATTGTGACAAAGGAGGTAGTGGGCAACATTTTGAAGTACACTGCTTAGAAAATGTGTTGTATCCTTATACCTCATAAAATATACCATGACACTTACTAAAAATACAGCTTCTCCAATTCTTATTCCTGACCCATTGAATTAGAATCTGCAGTTTGTAAGGCCCGCTGTGATTATTATGACTAGGCAATTCACAAGACAGTGGCTTAGAACCAAAAAATCTGACCTTGATTGATTTTGATACACACATTGACATCAATATAAGAAAGCAGGGACTTTAAGAAGAATATAAACCCATTACTTACCATTGTATATCACAGTATATATAAGTTTTGGAAAACACAGCAACTTGACCTGGTAGAAAAATTCAAGTTTTGTTCAAAAGTACCTTTGAGGTCAATGTTCATCCTAGTGTCTTTCTCAGCATCTGCAGATTCCCTCAGCCTGCTGCTTGAACAGTTGCGAATGAATGAAGATCACCGCAGCCTTCCCCCCTGCTGTTGCTCATTTGCCCATTAGCATCTGCTTAAGCAGCAGGCTGGGGGAAGCTCTGGTGCCCAATCAATGTAGCTGATGAGGGCTGGGGTAGGGAGGCCTCTGTTGCCAACAGAGCCAGAGCATAAATCAACTCCAATCTTGGCAAAGGTTATTAATCTTTGAAAGGGTGACTTATATATCACAGTGCTGGGATGGAGAAAGCTATGCTTGACATTTATGGGAAACAAGGTAAAGCTGAAACATTATTTGTATGCTAACTTGGGCAAATCCATTGAATGTCCTAAGTCACAGGTTCCTTAACCTGGAAAGTGATTTACAATAAGGTTCAAACCTTATCTGATGCTAAATATAAACCCAGAGATACAAAAACACCCCAAGAAAGAAAACCACCCTAAGACTTTTCTGGAGTAAATTATCCTATTTTTATTTAAAATGCAAGATCACCTTATTATCAAATTTCTCAGAAAAAGACTAATTCTACTCTCTCAAACTAAATATTTGTTATTTCCAAATTTTACAGTTTGGAAATTTGAAGACTTAGAGAGGTTAGATATAGATAATAAAAGAAGTTGGCTGGAAACTGAAAAGTAAAGATCCACTCCATCCTGAGCATGGGTACTAGCTTTATCGCCACATAAAATGGCCTACTTTAAGTATTCTGAACATAGGCAGAATGCCTGTGAAAAAGGTTGGATGTAGCACTGTAGGGAGAAGAGAAAGGCTGGCACAGATTAGGGTGAGGCTAGGGTGGTATATTGCCATCAAAACAGACAGGGTTTAAGTTACACAGAACATATGGAGTATTAAACAATGACACAGCATCTGAAAGTACTTTGCACATTGAGAAATGCTAAATGTAAACAGGTTAGTCTGTGAATTAGATGTTATTTTTCTCTGGTGTGAGGGATTTTTAAGTGACGTAAAAAGAAGTATTCAAACAGACCCACTGAGGACTGAGTGTTAAGTAGTTTGCAAATACAAGGCAGTTCATACAAGAATTGCTACATTTTCTACATCTATAATGGACCAAGTACAGTGCTTGGAAATCCCCTTTGAGTGTATTAGAAAAATATTAAACAAGATTCCTCTCTCAACAAGATTTCTGGCTACTAAGCAGATGCCAGCCATATATGAAAAATAAAATCACTACATAATCATATAGCTATATTATTCTATGATATATTGAAATAATAATATAAAAATGTGACAAAATTACTGACACAAATAGTTTGAATGCAATCACTTTCGACATCTCAATAGTCTCTTTCTAAATTGGAATGTAATGATTTACTTAATTTCTCCCTCTAATATATCATCCTTTGCTTCAAAAACTTTGCTTTCAGATGCAAGATCTTATAAATGAGCATTAATCTATATGATATTTAATGGAAAAATGGCGATGGTACTATTAATAGTAAAGTAATAATATTAATAATGTGCTGTGTAATAATATACAGTGGATGACAGTTTATCTCATCATCAGCCTAATAAAATGCAAACTCTCCCAAAGCATCCAGGATTGTAAGAATTGTAGCATCTGGACATCAGTGTTTGCATTTGTCCAATTGTTCAGCAGAAAAATTGGCACAAACTATCACTATCATTTTCAATTACTTTTGGGAATAACTTTCATGAATAGCAATTTTGATTAAAAAACAAGGTATATGAGTACTCTGAGTACTATTCTTTAGAATATTTCATTGCTTTTCTTTTTGAATTGAGTATAATCTAACTAATCTGTCATTAAGAGTAAAATCATGTACAATTTCAGAAATATGTATAGTATCCATATATATCAAAAGACACAGCTCAACAAAATAAAAAAAATAATGCTTCAAATGTTCTTAAGAGTATGGATAAATGCATTTAAAAGTGTCTTAGAAAGCCACATCAACCAATAAATATAGTCAACTCAAGTGAAGGGTCCTAGGTTTGAGCAAGGTCAAAGCTGAATTTCTAATTGCTATTGTATTTTAATTTTAGGTATGTATGTATGTATGTATGTATGTATGTATGTATGTATGTATTTAGAGACAGGGTCTCACTATGTTGCCTAGGCTAGAGTGAAGTTGCTATTTACTGGCACGATTGTAGCACACTACAGCTTCAAACTGCTGGCATCAAGCAATCCTCCTGCCTCAGCCTCTTGAGGAGCTGGAACTACAGGCATGTGCCACTGTGCCCAGCTCTCCTGATCTTTTGAACAACAATACTTTCTCTATGTATTCATTGTGTAATGAGGTAAATATAATTAAATGTGTGGAGCATTGAAAGATAATGTCCATTAACCAAACTAAACTGTCCAATAACCAAATAAGAATCCTATTATATTCACCAGTATCAAAATAATATTTCCACTTCTAGGCTGGATCTGGATGTCCTAAAGCCAAATATCTGAAGCTGGTATTTTAACTACCTCACCTGATTCTGAGGCATGCCAACATGGAGAACCCAAGATCTATATAACACATGGATAGGGCAGCCAGGCCAGGGCTGCTAAAGACCATTGATGAATCCAGGAACATGTGAGCCACTCCCTGTCCCATGAGTTCTCTCAGGATCAACCCAGATGGTTCCTTTTCTTTGGCCACCAATTTGCAGATTAGCTATTCTTGATCTGAGAGACTCCAACAGAAAGTCCTTAACTGGTCCTTATATTGGGGAGCTGGCCAGGGTGGGAGTAAGAGATGACCACTACCCATCGTGGGTAAAGTTTGAAAAAGATGAGGTTCTGGTTAGTCCAGACCTGAGATTTACATAGAGAGGCCTGAATCTGGGACACACTTGCTTGGAACTGAGAATCCTCAGGCTTCCACATGAAGGTAAAGGCTATGAAAACCTCATCTTTTTGTTTGTTTTAGCCAGGATGGTACCAAGTGAGGAGCTGTGTACGTGAGGATTAACCTCTTAGTTCAAAAGGGAATTTAGTCTTAAAAACTTCATCTAAGAGGAAGTGCTTCCTCTTGGTCCAGCCCTTTACCACTAATCAGTGAGTTTATAACCTCTGGAATAGTCCTGGCTTCACTCATTCACTTGATTGACTCTAGAGTCGATGACTCCTTTTCTAGGCCACATCTGGCATTGGTTATCCCATCACTTCCAGGAGATCTGCTTTAAAACCCTATGAATCCCTGTTAACTAGTAATCCATTTTCCTATGTCTTATGTCCCTACAGCTAAAGAGCTTCTACCTCCAGCTCTCACCTTAATTCTCTCTGCAATGAAAAATCTGCTCTACTTTACTCCCATTCCAGGGATCATCTCCCAATATGCAGCAGTAATATCCACCCTCAGCCCTGATACCCTCCCTTCCAAAACAGACATCTGTTCCTTGATATCTATCCATAATTACAATGGGTATGGTGAGATTTTCAATAGCATTTAATGAGCCTCTGCATGTTCTCTCTTGTAGAAATTTGAGAACTCTCTTAATTACACAAGGAACGGAACATAGATCTTTATTTATTTATTCATTAATTCATGTATATTATATAATTGTTGAATGAAATGCTTGACCTTGTCTAAAGGACAGAGCTCACTTTGGAAATTGAAGTGTTATTCTTTGAGTCAAAAACCTTAGCTGATAATATCCTTGAGTTATGGGTGGAACTGGGCTTCCCATCCCTCAAATTAATATGTTGAAGTCCTAACGCCTGTATCTAAGAACTAAGAGCACGATCTTACTTGGAAATAGGATCGTTGCAGATGTAAATAGTTAAGATGAGGTCATACTGGAGTAGAGTGGGACACTAATCCAATATGATGATTGTTCTTATATACAAACAAAATTTGGTTATGGATACACACACCAGAAGCACACCATGTGAAGATGAAGACAGAGATCAGGGTGATGCAGCAGAAGCCAAGGAATGCCAAAGATTCCAGCAAACTAACAGAAGCTGGGAGTGAGGCATGGAACAGATTCTTCCTCATGGCCCTCAGAAGGAACCAACCCTGCTGACATCTTGATCTCAGATCTCTCCCGAAATGCAAGGCAATAAATTTCTGTTGTTTAATACTCCCAGTTTGTGGTACTTTCTTATGACAGCATAACAAATTAATAACACCTTGATTTTTAATTTTAAGAATTCATTGTGAAATAACAACAAAGCAAACTTTTATTTCATGTACCAGATAGAAAATTTAGCTTATATTACATTTTGCAAACTGTCCACATTTTATCCAAAGCCCCAAACCATAACAAATGTAAAGAGATTTCTAAACAGAAAAACACTTCTCCATTCTTTGAACACTGTAGGAGAGAATAGAAACTAGGGGTTCACAGACTAAATTTGTTCTCTTACGTATTGTAGCTTCCCTGACACAACGCTTTCAAACATTGGATACATATCAATGGCTTTAGATGGGAAGTGTATATTTCCCATCTAAAGTTGTATACAGAACACACTTCTCTCTGTGGCCTTATGCTCTCCAATTTTACACATTTATACAGGCTTCTTGGCACATACAAGTAACTATACTTACTGTCTTGGCTCTGAATGGTTTAATCCAAGGATACTTCCTATGAAGTACCAATTAATAGCTTTTATTAAACTGTGCTTCCATCTCTGTCCTATGATTATGCTGAGGGACACTGCTTAATCATCAGCTGTTTCAAGGACATTGCCCATTCTTTCATTCAGTAACAATGGTCAAAAAAGTATTATTTCTTTATAGATGCTAGTGAAAAATGACAATCTTATAAATTATCATGGGCTCCCTTTTAAAAACTCATTTCATTACACAATGTACACATATATCAGATTGTCACTTTGTATAACTTATAAATATACAATCTTTATTTGTCAACCGTATATTCCAAAATAAAAAAAAAGTTACATATTTTTTCTCATTTTTTGTGTTATACATGTGAAAATCTTTTGCATATCAATGTACAGGTACATATGAAACAGATAAAGAAAAATGTGGGAATAATAGTATAATTTAATGCAAATATATTCAAATGGCAATATTTCAGGAGTATTTTTCTATGCTGGACTAAATTGTGTTTTCCCCAAACTCATAAGTCTAATGCCCAATGTCTCTGTATTTGGAGTTAGGTGTATAAGATATTAATTAAGGTCATAAACTTGGGTCCCTAATCCAATGTATCTGGTGTCCTTATAAAAAACAGAGACTCCAGGAGTGCACCTAGCGGTCACAGAGAAGAAACCTTGTGAGAACACAGCTAGAAGGCGACTGTCTGTAAGCAGGAAGAATGACCTCACCAGAAACCAGTTCTACCAAAAAACCTTGATCTTGAATGTCCAGGCTCCAGAACTGTGAGAAAATTAACGTATGCTCTTGAAGCTGCCCAACCTGTGGTATTCTGTTATGACTATCCTAGAAGACTAATACAATTACTTATCAACATAGGCTGCCTTTCAGTAATTAAGTGTAAGAGAGATAAAATATAATCGTGTAAAAATTTAAATACTGTTAATTTCTTCAGTAGAAATTCTCAGTCTTAGATATCTTTTCTGCTTAGATATAGGTCAAAAGTAGTCTTAAAAGCTTATCTGGGGGAGGATTTGTTTCGAAGTGATCCAGTTGATCAGTGGTATGGAATTGTGTTTCTTATTCTGTTCAGGCTACTAGTTCCCAGTAGCTTTAGAATTAAGATCATACAGGTGGACTATAGAGGGACTGGTGATTGAGACACAGGTGGTGGTGTTAGAAGGCTAAATAAATATAGGAAGACGGGTTTTCCAAGGAACAAGACTCAAAAGCCCCTTAAATTTTAAGATAGTAAAGAATAGGAAAATATAGGGCATTTTAGAGTTGGTTGCGCTTGGACTCTTTTAATTATTTTGGAGGATGATTGTAAAGATTAGAGTTCCACTTTGGAATGCTCTTCTTTGAATCGGGCAATAATCTATGATTAAATTAGATGGACTGGTTTTTACTAAGATTTCTCTTGGATTTCAGAAAAAAATTATTTGCATTTTAAAGCATATTTCAAAGAATCTGACTTTTACTAGGGGAATTGAAGGTTATAGAAAACAATGCTAGACTCGTAAAATTATAACTAAAACTAAATGAGATTCGTATAAACTAATTTTTGACACAAGGCAGGTGCTCAGGTTATTTTAGCTCTGGATCATAGGAAATACACTACTGTGGGCCTCTCTGGTAGTCATTCACTGACAACATCGGAATAGGTGGGTTACTACAATACTTTCAAATAAAAGTATTAAGACTTTCAAATAAATAATGCATAATAAATAAATACATACATAATGAATAAAAATCAAAGGAATATAGTAGGTGCTTAAGACAAATGTGTTGAACAGAACAGACTTCAGTGAGGGAAAGGTGAGGTAGACATAACTGCGGTGTTATTTATTTGACATTATATAAAGTCACTTAATGTAAAAATGTTTTATAAAATACAATGAAATGAGGATCTTTCTTAATAGCTTAAGATGGCAATAGACTGTAAATATGTAAAATTGGGATCCCTAATAGCATAAGTTAAGTACTTTAGATGGTTCAAAATTAAATACTTTAAAAGGCCATTCTTGGTCTTGTAGTAACTCACTCTAAAAAGTACTACTGAATGCCATGGAATAGGGGAGAGATTTGCAAACATATTTTGTTTACAACATAAGTCCCAAATTGCTTTTTCAATATATTCTCACACTTGTTTTGGGCTGATTCTATCACTCCATCTATTTATAATTAGGATTTTTGATTCCACTTCACAACAATTTTGATTAAATATCTCAAGACTTTTGCCTCCAGGAACCTACAGTAAATATGCTTCCTGGGGCCTCCTGTCACCATAGTGGACTATCCTTTCTCTAGACCACATGTCTCCTCACCCTGTATTCCAGAAGCAGTGCTTCTATGGCCTATGCAACAATCCTGCAAAGAAGAGAAGAGAAATAAATTCTTAAGTTTTATCTACCACACGATTTTGAATACGTTTTCTAATTTCAGTTAGAAATGACATTTATTAAAAGGGAGGGATTTTTGACTATTGAAAAAAAGACACTTTTCAGCTTCAAAATGAGTTGGAAAAAAATCTCAAAAGGTGGGTTTATTTGATACAAATTTAAGAGAATAAGAGGGAGAGAGCAGAGATCTTTTGTCTCCACCTTTAGCATTACAGGTAGTTGATATGGGAGTAATCTATTCAATCATCAAACTGACCAAATGAGAGATGGAATAAAAGTTATCATGTCTACTGTTTTTGTACCTTACTATGCTTGTGAATATACATATTAATATATATAATATAATTAACAATGTTCCATTATTTTATCTAGAAAAATAAAGGTTAAAGACTTTTTCAGTTTCTGTAATTGTCTCAATATTATCTAAAAATAACAATTATATTTTCCAATTAAAGTGATCATCAAATGAAAGGTAAACAAACTGGACTATGTGTCCTGCTTGAAAATCAAGCTATTGAAATGCCAGGCTAGCTCTGTCAAGTGTAGATTGGTCTACTATGAACTCAAACTGAGCTAATGATAGATAAGGAAGACAGGTATATTTGCTGGGTCTGCTGCTGTCATGAAGGATTCTTGGATAAGGTACTCTGAGTTATTATCTGTCTTTTTGAGAAAAGACAAATGGATTATGTACCATGTCAGGAACTTGTCATTTGCATAGGTGTAAAGTATGACAATTACTAATTTAAAATGTCTCAGAGCTTGAGACAGATATAATCTTTCCATAAACTTTCCACATATAATTTGAAAGGAAGACATGAGTCACATTCTTCATGTGTCTGATATTTTCTTAGATGGGATAAACTCCAAGGTTTACATGATGCAGAGAGACATATCTTGAATGTGATATTTTGAGATTTAAGTAAAGTAGTGATACATTTCTTGATTTTTTAAAGATTGCATTGTGAAAATAGAATCTAACAATGTGTACCCAAGGGCATTTTATAATCTAGAGCTAGCATGTATTTCAACTTTATCTTATTTCTTGATACCTAGTGTATTTTGTATTTTTAGTCCTGAGTCTAAATTAATTTTATCTAAAATTATTGAATTTACTTCAACAGCTTTATTGGTCTACTTTTAGCCAGGGTAAAAAGATTTGATATTTTAAAAATCTATCTATTCTATACTTGGGCTTTTTCTGAATATAATTTTGTAATCATAAAATTAGAAAGATTATGGCGATTTTAGTCTAACTAGTTCACCTAGTTTAGCTTCCCAATTAGAATCTTTTTTGCAACATCCCTGAGAGATGGCAACTTATTCTCTGCTTAAATGCTGCCCATAGAAGGCAATCTATCTCTTTTGACAGTGCTAATAACTAAAAATTCCCATTTATATGCTTGTCCTATAATTGACAAGTACTCTTTCTACTACTGCACATTGGATCACAGCAAAACAATCTTATTTTTCTTCTGCATGATAGTTCTTCAAACATATTCTTCACTCATTCCTTCATTTGCAAACATACATTGAGTACATACTAGGTAGCATAGGAAGAATTAGTTGAATAAAACACACTTCCTACATTCAGGAATTTACATCCTGGAGGAAGTACGTATGTATGACAATGTTTTAAGTGTTCAATTTATGTGAATTACCCAATGGGAACAAAGTGATCTATCATTAAGTTGCGATTTTTCTCTCTCATCTTTAGGTAGTATACAAATTATTGATCTTGAATGTCTACTGCTGAAATTTTTTGAGTTTGCACCCCAATAAATGTTACTTCTTTATATCTATTATATATTATGAAAGCACAGTAATTTATAACTATAATATGAATTATAAGTTATGCACAAATAGCCATTATAAAATAATAAATATAATATATATAGAAATTCTGACATTATCTTTCCAAATCCCAAAGCATCATCTGGCAGAAGCAGAAAATGACATTTCCTAAGTTCTCATGCAAAACTGAAATATTTTCATTTGGTTATTTTTTACATATTTGCATGGCAGGAGAGGGGGAGGGCATACTTCTGTCATTTTCGGCTGGGAAGTATCATTGCGGTCATGTCTGGTTTGCTGTGGTGGCTTCCTAATCATGACTATTAGCTGATTATGGTAATTTTATGAAATGGTTAGTTGAACACAGCAACATAGCTTTTTTTTGTGACTCAGTCCTGCAGTATTTCCTGAACGACTAACATAAAGTCAGTTTCTTCATTCCTGCCATTGATTTTGTAAGCCATTTAGTACCCAATAGGATACACTTTAATGTTACAACTAGCTAGAATAGATTTTATTCCATATGACCATAAAAATACATTAATGTGTTGATATTATTCTTCTCAAATGTGATACGTCTTAAATTTATTAAGTCATTCAAGTAAAAATATGTTTAAAATATATAAATTATTTCATTTAACCATGATTTATGGCGCACCTGCCAAGTACTTGCTGCTGTTGTTGGCACTGGGAATGTATCTATTGACAAACGTAAGACTGTGTAGGATATGATTTCACAACTTACCTGCATAGTTATACAACTTAAAACTTTACAACTTTAAACACTGTTTTACCTATTTGTAATTGCTTATAAATAAATAGTTCCTCCAAATATCTTACTTAGGCTCTATTATTTTGAGACTTATCCTTACCTGTTAGCCCCATTTTGAGACTAATCTCCCAAAATTATTAATTTGAAGAGACAAAATATAGCTTCTATGACAAACAATGAAAATATATATTCTAATTACATAGCAGTTATTAAATAACTCACTAATTACATTTTAGGTAAATAAAATGACTTTTTGAATTAAGACAGTATGTAATGTAACATTCTGACTAAAAGTGCTTAAACCCTTAAAAGTGTATTGAAAATCTAGTGTTGGTCAAAGACATATACAACGATTAGCACTTCTGGTGCTTATTTTCCTTGGTTTTACTAATTCTGTATATTTGTAAATGCTTTCTTATAACTGCATGCCCATTTTATAAGGAAGAGTAAGATAAAATGATCAAGAGTTGAGAAATATTTTCTTCTCAGAAAATGGCATAGCAAAACAGGACTCAATTCCCAAACTGAGATTTAGAAAACTCAATTTGAAAATATATGAAATATGAGAAAAATACAAAAATAACATGAATGTTTAAGGATTTCATAGAGCATAAACATTTTTAGATATACACGCCATCAATTTGAAGTAAAGCCACATTCATTTGACTCAAAAATCAAGTTTCTATGTAATTTAGAGTTAAGTCATGTGGTTTAGTTTCAAGAATCTCCTTTTGTCCCCAGCTCTATTTTTCTGTTTAGCTTTTTGTAGATTTTCTGTTGGCCAATAAGATAATTAAAATCATGCTCATTCTTATCCAAAGTATTTGGATTAGAAGAGTTTCTAGTGGAAAAAGCCTTGGTAATACATTCTGAAAACATTAAAATTTTAGTGTTTAATCAGTGCCCTCATTAGTTGGAGTTAGTGTGTGATGCATAAAATGCCTTTTTACAAATAGTTTGTTGATACATGAGATAAAGGCACATATAAGTCTACTTAATAGTTCTTTCTATCTGTTTAATAGTATTAATATTTTCTCCATATGAGCTTAATGTGTTTATATTTCATTAACTACCATGTAAGCAATAACTTTGATTCTAGAAATCCTGGAAATTTATAGATGGTTTGAGTTGAGAACTTCAGTATTTTTATTCTTTTTGAAAAATAATTTCATTGACTATTTAAGGTACTTTTCCCCAGTTGTATTGATTACTTTTCAGTATCTATTCACATAGCATCAGTCTGAATCCTGGTATGTGTCAGAAGTGCATGAAACCATACTGTTAAATTTGTATTTCAAAAATTGAAATATTCTACATTGGTAAATTAGTAGGTACAATTATTGTTAATGTTATAATTTAACAACTTCAACTGCTATCAAATGATCTAAGAAAATCTCAGAAAATACTAAATAACTCTATGTTCATATCAACAAAAGATTATAATTTTACAAGTACAATAATATTCAGTAGTTTTCATGAGTTAGATAGTTGAAGTTCAGTATTATAAATTGGCTTGAAAACTTTTGCCACTGCTGATCATGCTTAAAACTAAATGACCAAATGTAAGTTGAATCCTAACTATGAATTTCACTAATAGATTTTAGTGCTGGGCAGCCACATATGCTAAAATTATAATATAATTACAGCTGGATTCTAAAGGTCAAAGATATAAAATATTAAAGTTTGAATGAGAAATATTATATGGGTTTTAATATTCAGGTTTCAAAAGTAAATTATAAGAACTGGAATATCAAAATTAGCATTGTCAGTTATACATACCTGCAAATATTTGAATTTATTACACATGTCTTAGTTTCTTTTTGTTCCCTATAGAACATTTGTTCTTAAAAGAAATCAATACAATTTTCAGCTTGATATCCCCTTCTGTTTAATAAATAGTTTTATTAGGTAAACTATTACATTTTAAAAATCCTTACATCATCTCCATCTGTATCACCAACAAGAGTTAAATTTATAACCGGGACAACTTTCCATAAATAGTCATAGTTTCATTTTTTTTCTTTTGCTTATTTTGTTTTATTTGTTGTCAATTCTCCAAAGTTAGTGTTACATGATATCTATAAGAAAATGGTAACACAGGCCAATGTGTCGATGGTGTAAAAATACTCCAATACACCAACTCGGCAGTAAACACATTGAATACGTTTTAGTAAAGTTGAAAGCAGTATCTCTAGATGTTTATAATCTCTGTAAATTGTGTGTCTTATCTTCCTCATGAGGCATTAAGTTTGGAATCTGTTCGCCTGGTGATGTACTTTTATAGTTTCTTTAAGCTTGTTTATTTTTTCTCGTTTAAAGGATGAACTAATATGATTATTTTCTTGTCAAAAGTAATATCAGATAATAATAAACAAAAATACATGGCTAATAACAATCACTTAAAAATACTGTTATTGTTTGTGGGGTTTTTTTTTTTGCTATTATTGCTTTCCAAAAAGTATTATTTCTAAAAATTATTATTATTATTGTTGTAAATTAACTTTTGGTTGTGTTTCCAAAAGTTTCTAAGCAAGTATTACTCAGGAAACCATTAACTATCCTTAAAGAAATTTTGATTTCTTCTTATCCTGAAGCACATTCTATTAATATATAGTTGCCCAGATTCAGGTAGACTGAAAAATCAACATGCACAATTTGAAACTTCCATGTTTCTGACATTTGATTTATAATTTATGTTTGCAAACTCTGTTTCCTGACTCTGGTCATAGTATCTTCATATTGCTTGCCTGTCTCTTCTGATGTGTGGCCACAGGAGCCAGGATTACACCATAAGAATTATGAGAGCATTCCTTTTTCCCGTAATCTCAAATTAAATCAAACATCCAATTTTATCAAAACATAATGGTATCAACATCTAATTTGTATCTATATCTATCTATATTATTTATTCTTATTAGAGATTTCATTTTGGAAATTGTATAGAAATGATAGGTTGAGTAGAATCTCTGCTCCCAGTTCCAAATCTCTTAAAGTCATAGAAAACATATGCGATGATATTCATATGGAAACGAGAAGCATCATTGCAAACTACGATCTGTGAGAAATCTCTAGAAAGTATAATTTGATGGAAACATATCAACAAAATCGAAGTAAATCACAACCAAGAGCACACACATATATATGTTCTCTAATTGGTTCAGGGAAATTGAATCTAGAACAAGCATATATGAAATTACGGAAAAAATTATCGGGTAATTTATTAAGAAACTTCATTTTTAAGAATTCAGCCAATTTGTTCTTCATCTAATCCTGTTGATGAAGCCAAGAACATGAATGATCCAAATCATGAAGAATACTCTAAGATAAAATGAACTTTCAGCCTAATGAAAGGCTCCTAGTGAAAGCAGTATAGGACCCTAACAGCCAAGCAAAACTGGCGACTGCATTTCCCCACCTTATTGAGGAACTGCAGAGAATGAACCAAGGGAAATAGGGGGCTGAAGGAAATTTATTAAGAGAAGAGAATCACATTAAAGTATTCTTTACTGGAGCACAGAATATCAGTCTCTTCTCTCACTGCTAATAAAGACATGCCCGAGACTGGGTAATTTATAAAGGAAAGAGGTTTAATTGACTCGTAGTCACATGGCTGAGGAGGCCCCACCATCATGGCAGAAGGTGAAGGAGGAGTAAAGTCATGTCTTACATGGTGGCAGGCTAAGAGATAATGTGCAGGGGAACTCCCCTTTATAAAAGAATCAGATCTCA
The DNA here is from genome assembly GCF_000001405.40 of Homo sapiens. Lineage (NCBI taxonomy): Eukaryota > Metazoa > Chordata > Mammalia > Primates > Hominidae > Homo > Homo sapiens. The sequence goes on from NC_000009.12 coordinate 11,212,723, forward strand.
AGAGACGTATTCACTATTATGAGAACAGCATGGGAAAAACCCACCCCCATGATTCAATTACCTCCCACCAGGTCCCTCCCATGACATGTGGGAATTATGGGAGCTACAGTTCAATTCGTGATTTGGGTGGGGACATAGCCAAGCCATATCACATACCCGTGACTATTTTGTCAATTTATGGACTAGGAGCTACAAATTAGCAATAAATACATTTATATATAATAAACATGACATGATAAATGCATCAAATAAATTATTGATAAAATATTTTTCACTCATCAGATTGGCCATAATTGTGAAGATGGAGAACAAAATCATAGAGTAACTTGATATTCTTTTGAGGAAAAATGCCCAAAACTGACAGAGCAGTTTGGCTTCTGGTTATCTGTTCTTGAGAAATGTTTTCATAGGCTTATAAATGACATGCACATGATTACTAATTGTATTATTGCTTATAATAACAAAATAATTAGAAAAAAACTTTAAATGAATCCATAAGGTTAAGTAATATGTGTTACATTTCCACATATCCATTAAAAATACTGAGGCAGGGCGGGTGCGGTGGCTCACACCTGTACTCCCAGCACTTTGGGAGGCCAAGGCAGGTGGATCATCTGAGGTCAGGAGTTCAAGACCAGCCTGGCCAACATGGCGAAACCCTGTCTCTACTAAAAATACAAAAAAAATTAGCCAGGCGTGATAGCGGTTGCCTGTAATCCCAGCTGCTGAGGAGACTGAGGCAAAAGAATTGCTTGAACCCAGGAGTTGGAGGTTGCCATGAGCCAAGATTGCGCCACTGCACTCCAGCCTAGGGGACATAGTGGGACGCCGTCTCAAAAATAAATAAATAAATAAAAATAAAAAAATACTGAGTCAGAGATATGTACATACATAGAAAACATTCAAAACATTGTTAAGTAAAATAAAATAGTATCATAACAATATGCATTGTAAGGTAGAATATACCATTTATTAAGAGGCTTTACTTTTTTCTAATATATATTACTGTACTTTGACTAGCTTATAATGGAGGTGTATATTATTTCTATTAAAAATAATTTCTTAATTTTTATTAACATTTCCTATGAAGTAATAAAATCATTGCATTCTTCTAGAATTTTTAAAAGGAGCAGTATTTAATTATTTAAATAAAATGTTGAATTATAATAAAGTCTCTGATATACACCATCAGTTCTATTTTAATATGTGATGACTTCATAAAAGTAAATACTTCTTTCAAAATTTTTTAAATTTATATTTCTATGGGCACACTGTAGGTGTGTATCTATTTATAGGATACAAGAGATATTTTGATACAGACATACAATGTATAATAATCACATCAGGATAAATGTATCAGGTATTCATCACCTCATGAATTCATCATTTCCTTGTGATAGTTTGCTGAAAATGATGGTTTTCAGCTTCATCCTTGTCCCTAAAAAGGACATGAACTCATCCTTTTTTATGGCTGCATAGTATTCCATGGTGTATATGTGCCACATTTTGTTAATCCTGTCTATCATTGATGAACATTTGGGTTGGTTCCAAGTCTTTGCTATTGTGAATAGTGCCTCAATGAACATACGTGTGCATGTGTCTTTATAGCAGCATGATTTATAATCCTTTGGGTATATACCCAGTAATGGGATGGCTGGGTCAAATGGTATTTCTAGTTCTAGATCCCTGTGGAATCGCTACACTGTTTTCCACAATGGTTGAACCAGTTTACAGTCCCACCAACAGTGTAAAAGTGTTCCTATTTCTCCACATCCTCTCCAGCACCTGTTGTTTCCTGACTTTTTAATGATCGCCGTTCCAACTGGTGTGAGATGGTATCTCATTGTGATTTTGATTTGCATTTCTCTGATGGCCAGTGATGATGAGCATTTTTTTCATGTGTCTTTTGGCTGCATAAATGTCTTCTTTTGATAAGTGTCTGTTCATATCCTTCACCCACTTTTTGATGGGGTTGTTTGTTTTTTTCTTGTAAATTCATTTGAGTTCTTTGTAGATTCTGGATATTAGCCCTTTGTCAGATGAGTAGATTGCAAAAATTTTCTCCCATTCTGTAGGTTGCCTGTTCACTCTGATGGTAGTTTCTTTTGCTGTGCAGAAGCTCTTTAGTTTAATTAGATCCCATTTGTCACTTTTGGCTTCTGTTGCCATTGCTTTTAGTGTTTTAGACATGAAGTCCTTGCTCATGCCTATGTCCCGAATGGTATTGCCTAGGTTTTCTTCTAGGGCTTTTATGGTTTTAGGTCTAACATTTAAGTCTTTAATCCATCTTGAATTAATTTTTGTATAAGGTGTAAGGAAGGGATCCAGTTTCAGCTTTCTACATATGGCTAGCCAGTTTTCCCAGCACCATTTATTAAATAGGGAATCCTTTCTCCATTGCTTGTTTTTGTCAGGTTTGTCAAAGATCAAATGGTTGTAGATGTGTGGTATTATTTCTGAGGGCTCTGTTCTGTTCCATTGGTCTATATCTCTGTTTTTTTTTTTTACCAGTACCATGCTGTTTTGGTTACTGTAGCCTTGTAGTATAGTTTGAAGTCAGGTAGCGTGATGCCTCCAGCTTTGTTCTTTTGGCTTAGGATTGCCTTGGCAATGTGGGCTCTTTTTTGGTTCCATATGGACTTCAAAGTAGTTTTTTCAAATTCTCTGAAGAAAGTCATTGGTAGCTTGATGGGGATGGCATTGAATCTATAAATTACCTTGGGCAGTATGGCCATTTTCACGATATTGATTCTTCCTATCCATGAGCATGGAATGTTCTTCCATTTGTTTGTGTCCTCTTTTATTTTGTTGAGCAGTGGTTTGTAGTTCTCCTTGAAGAGGTCCTTCACATCTCTTGTAAGTTGGATTCCTAGGTATTTTATTCTCTCTGAAGCAATTGTGAATGGGAGTTCACTCATGATTTGGCTCTTTGTTTGTCTGTTATTTGTGTATAAGAATGCTTGTGATTTTTGCACATTGATTTTGTATCCTGAGACTTTGCTGAAGTTGTTTATCAGCTTAAGGAGATTTTGGGCTGAGATGATGGGGTTTTCTAAATATACAATCACGTCATCTGCAAACATCGCATGTTCTCACTCATAGGTGGGAACTGAACAATGAGAATACTTGGACACAGGAAGGGTAACATCACACACCGGGGCCTGTCATGGGGTCGGGGGAGGGGGGAGGGATAGCATTAGGAGACATACCTAATGTAAATGATGAATTAATGGGTGCAGCCCATCAACATGGCATATGTATACATATATAACAAACCTGCATGTTGTGCACATGTACCCTGGAACTTAAAGTATAATAAAAAAAATATTCAGAGATCGGGGCAACAATTTGTTGCCGTAAAAGATATCCAAACTGATGGATTTTGAAAGCAGACTCTTCCAATTTTATTTGTGCAGTGGAACTAAAATAAATCTCATTTAAAAAATACAAAACATAAAACTTTATTTTCAATAAATACCTCTGTAATAGTGAAAAAAAAGAATTCATCATTTCTTTGTGTTATGAACATTCCAATTTTACTCCCTCAGTTACTCAAAAATGTACAACAAATTGTTGTTACCCTGTTGTGCTACCAAATCATAGATCTTATTTATTATATCTAACTGCATACAAAGCATAGTTAATATTAACAAATGCAATACAAATACAAAACATTAACCATCTTTATTTTCCCCTTCCTCCCCACTACCCTTCCCAGACCTTGGTAACCATCATTCTATTTTCTATCTCTGTAAGTTCAATTGTTTTAATTTTTAGTTCCCACAAATGAGGGAGAACATAAGTTTGTCTTTCTGTATCTGGTTATTTCATTTAACATAATGTTTTCCAGTTCCATCCAGTTATTGCAAATGATGGGACTTCATTTTTTATGTCCGAATAGTACTCCATCATGTATAGATACCACAATTTCTTTGCCTATCCATCTGTTAATGAACACTTAGGTGGCTTTCAAACCTTGACTATTGTCAATAGTGCTGCAATAAGCATGGGAGTTCAGATATCCCTTTGATATATTGATTTATTTTCTTTTGTATATATGCTTGGCAGTGAGATTGCTGGATTATCTGGTAGTTCTATTTTTAGTATTTTGAGGAGCTTTCATACTATTATTCATAGTAGCTCTACTAACTTACATTCCCATCAACAGTGTATGAAGCTTCCTTTTTCTCCATATCCTCACTAGCATTCATTATTGGCTGTCATTTGGATAAAACCTATTTTAATTGGGGTGGAATTATATTAATATTTCATTGTAGTTTCTATTTGCACTGCTCTGATGATCAGTGATGTTGAGCACCTTTTTATATACCTGTTTGCCCTTTGAATGTCTTCTTTTGAGAAATATCTTTTCAGATCCTTGCCTATTTTTAAATTGAATTATTAGGGTTTTTTTTTTCCTGTAGAGTTGTTTGAGCTCCTTACATATTCTGGTTACCAATTCCTTGTTAGACAAGTAGGTTGCAAATATTTTTTTCCCATTCTATGGATTTTCTCTTCAGTTTGTTGATTGTTTCTTTTGCTGTGCAGAAGCTTTTACATTGATGTAATCCCATTTGTCCATTTTCAGTTTGGTTGCCTGTGCTTGTGGGGTATTACTCAAGAAAACTTTGCCTAGTTTCATATCCTAGAGAGTTTTCCTAGTGTTATTTTTTAGTAGTTTCATAGTTTCACATTCGTCAAAGAAATAGAAAATTAGTCCTAAAATTTATATGGATCTACAAAAGACCCAGAATAGCCAAAGCCATCCTGAGCAAAAAGAACAAAATTGGAAAAATCACATTAACTGACTTCAAATTTTACTACAGAGCTGTGGTAACTAAAACAGCATAGTACTGGCATAAAAACATGCGGACCAAAGGATCAGAATATTCAGAACTAAATCTATATACCTCTAGTGAACTTATTTTTGACAAATGTGCCAACAACATACATTAGGGAAAGAACAGTCTCTTCAATAAATGGTGCTGGGAAAACTGGATATCCATATGCAGAAGAAGGAATTTAGATCCCTATCTCTCATCACATACAAAAATCAAATCAAAAGGCATTAAACACTTAAATCTGACCTGAAAGTGAATACTCTTATGAATACTTTCTTCATTGTATTTACATTCAGCAAATATTTAGCATCTGTTCTGTATCAGACACTGCAATAGGTCTGAATACAGCAATGAAGAAAACCAAATCTTATGTATCTTATAATGCAGTGTGAGGAGAAGTGTTTATCTGATAATACTCCAGCCAACATATTTCTCACCTTATCCTATTGGTGAACTTGGTAGTGGGAATTGGGAATGTCTGGCTTAGTTCTAACCCCCAATCCTTCCCATCATACTTTCATCTGTGAGACATTACTTTCTGGTGAGTAAGTAGTAAGCTTAGCTTTGCAGGCCAGAGCTTATGGGATTAACCTGCTATTTTGTGGAATAATTCTAATTCAAGCCAAAGGCAAGAAATAAGCAAGCCCCTTCGTAAACATGTAGCCACATCAGTTATAAAAATAACATTCTGATATCTATGTCTTGTTATTCTTTTCATTCATCATTTGCTACTAAATGTAGATGGAAAACAAAGGTGCATTTATTGATCATCCTTGGAAAAAGTGATTATATTTGCCAGCAAAACCTTCCTTCCCACACTTTCAGTCCACAAATTACTGCATAAACGTCTATGCCTGACCACCCTCTGGATTATCTAACCAGTTCTATAGCCTCATAGAAAGTCAGAAAAACAACTGTCGATCCACAAATTACTGCATTAATGTTTATGCCTGACTGCCCTCAAGATTGTCTGACCAGTTCTATAGAGCGTCATAGAAAGTCAGAAAAACAACTAAGAATAGAATAGGGGAAAAGATGCACTATTTTCCCACAACTTCTATGAATGGAGAGTATAGGAAAACAAACATCATAAATCGGCTGGCTTAGTTTACTTACTAGGCAATTTATTGACTTAAAAAAAGGAATTTGGTTGTGAATAAGTAAATGAAGAAAGTATAGGTATTACTAATTTGTGAAAAATGAATTATGATTGATTTAATTTCTGTAGCAAATTAGAACATGGAAATAAGACAAAAGTAGAATTCTCATTAGGGCTTAACTAATATTACAAATTAAATCTTTATGGAAAGAAGACATTAATTTAAACCATTTATATTGTAGGTAAGAAATCTGGGAAATCAATTTATATGAAAGGTCACGTTATTTACTCTACATAACAGCATAATAACCTCTAATTACAAATGATCAACACAAGCATATATTCTGTCTGGTATGAAGAAACAAATATGAATGTACATATTTTTCTGTTTGCACACATAAAAAGCTAGATTTAGATTAGGTGATAAAGGATTTGCCTCATAGTATTGCCAAAAGTAAAAATCTTCCTGAAAAATATTCAGTGATGGATTTCATTGCCCAATGTGCAGGAGACTGGTGACATTGCAGATTCGCAATACATGCTTGGTAAATTGAATTTTCTCCCTAAACATTTAAAAATAAACAGTAGGTGTTTAACAGAGATTCGATAAAGGCTGACTCAATAATTTTGTTTCTGTGAATGTTTTAGTGGGAAAGTGCAGGCTTTGAAGTATAGAAGACGAAAACGAATCCTACCTCTGCTCTCTTTATCACATGCAATCTTGTGTTTCAGCGTCCTTATCTAAACAAGGATGTCAATAATGGGACCCAGTTACACATTTGGTTCTTCACCAATATGTTTGTTAAAATTAGAACTAGGCATATACAATATCTAACTATACACTGTGTGATAGTGTACGTTTAATAAAATTCCATTTTGTGGTTATTGTTATTTTCTATCCCTCAGCATGCTTGAGAAACAGAGAGAAATAGCAAATGCCTATTGTAGAGATCTAGCCAGTATGACCTGGCAGTGATTTTTCTTGATGCTATTTCCAAATGAAGGTTTAATCACTAGTAATGAATTTAATATGCAAATCACTGCCTCATCACAGCCGAATAATTTCCCAAAATTTACCAAAAGAAAGAGCATAGGAAAAAGATAAAATAGGAAATAGCGAACATAAGAAATAAAGGACTAACTCCTTTTCACTCTCCTAAGAGTTTGTCAGGTGCTATACAGAGAAAAGTGACATTGTAAAGGATGCAAAGACACAGAACACTGGACAATACTCTGTGAAGTCCTTTGCTGCTCCACACCCTCCACAGTGTGACACTTACTTGGCTATTCGAAGGATAAAAGCAAAGGCATTTAATAGAAGAACATTGAAACAATGGCTCCATCTTTGACTTCCAAGGACCACGAATTGTTGTGCCTTGTAAAAATGGCTAACTCACCTGCCACTAGGAATTTCTAATTTCTTATGCTAGAATTGAGCTGGCATTAACAATAATGATGTTATGATGGAACAACGTTTTTTGTGAATAACTATCTGTATTGTCTAAAAGAGCCTCCAATATGTGGCAAAGGATTTTGCAAATTTTATTTTAAGTGGCTAGCTGCTTTTCTGAGTTTTTTATGGAGGCTGAAATTTATTTAAAAATAGATTTGTATGTTCTTTTATCATTTTGAGCCAAAATCTCACTTCTAAATATCGACAAGCATAGCTTCCATGACACAACCGAGGAGGAGCAGACTTAGCACTATGGGGTGCCCTGAAGGGGCTTGGCTTCTTGGCCCCTCTGCTATGTAATCCAAATTACTCCAGTAACCCACGGAGTGATAATGGAAAAATCACTTATCTCCTTAGCTTAGTGTCTTCATTTCTAAAGTAAAAAAGTAAAATTCTATCATCTTTATGGTCTCCTTCATACCTGTCTCTAGTGGATAAACACAAATTGCTGAGACATATATTTGCTATCTAGGGAAAGTTAAAAAAGACTCTGTTAAAAAAAAATGCTACCTGTGTTCATTATCCCTTCTGGTTTGAAATATTTCTTCAGGATTTTTGCTATGCTATACAGCTAAATATCATTAGAATATTTTCAGTTTTAAAATATACAATATTTAGTGTAATGCTTTGTTTCTTCTCTTTTGTATACAAACTGTCACAAGAAGTATAATAAAGCTAAACCCCTTAAAGCTTTGAGAAATTATTTATGCAAAGCATATGTCACAATAGAGACAACACTGTCAAAGAGCAACTGTTATACATGGTAAATATTTCAATTCTTAGTGTTTTTTGGATTTATTTCATTCATAATTTTAAAAAGTTTTGGAGATTTTTATTCTGGAATATAATCCAAAAGGGAAAAATATCATACATACTGAGATCTTTAATTTATACAGTTTCTTGCATTTTCCAGTTTATTTATTTATTTATTTAAATTAGATTTTGTGAGGTAGGCAGGAAAAGTACTGATGTTTTCATATTAAAAATAAATAAATTTGAAATTTAGAGTCACACAGCTGAAAAGTGACAGGATTGAGACTTTAACCAAAGTGTTCTAAGACCACAAAGTACCTATACATTAAATAAATACTGCAAATCAATTTCAAAAATAAAGTTGATTGTCAAGATTCACTTTTTGTGCCTATAAAGATACATTTTATTCTCTTGTGAGTTTACGTCTCTTTTACTCTTTTTCTTTTTCTGAAAAGAGAAATTTTGAATTAACAATGTGAATAAATTTTAATCAAGGGGTCCAAAAGAGGATGAAAATATGGAAAAAGAGGTAAGCAGCGAGGCATCTTTCTTTTCAGTTTGTTTTACATATTGTTACGTAATTATCCAGTAGACATACAAACAAGGACCAACAAAAAGAAAGATAATGTATTTCCTTAACTCGAAAACATTCATTTCCATCTAAAGAAGATGCCAAGTTTTAACTAACCATTTCTATATTGTGGGATATATAGATTTTTTCCATCAACATAAAACGTATCCCTTGTTTTTAAATTACATTCATTTCTATGTAGGTTGAGATGACATTTCTCAAAATGGTGCCGGAACACTATGAAATCTCAACATTATACCGTAAATTCATTTTTGATAAAGTATTATTCTAAATTGCAATAAAGCATTACACTAAATTTTGTTTTTTAGACAAAATTATGTGGAAAAAAACCTCAAAACTGATTTTTATGCATTAACTCAACTTTATCAACTAATTGCCAAAAGACAGACTCCATTCCTTTATTTTTCGTAGCCTGTACCTAATTTCTTCCACCTGTAGAAGAGATTACCAAAGGATAATCAATGTCTGTCCCTGTTGAAGTTAAAGATAGAAAACTAAGGTTATTAGGCAGAGTAGGGTGGGAAAGAGGTAAAAAAAGAAAACAAAGATAATACCAAAATTCTATACTGAATGTTAAGTCATATCCGCTGTCTCCTCTTTACAATTTCATGAGTCTCAATTTTAACATGCAGGTAAACTATTTGAGGATAATTCTTGAAGAAATGAGTCACTGATATTTGGAGATCATGTACACATTATTTGGAATCTCAATAGTACTGGATAATAAGAATAAATTGAAACAAAGGGCCCAAAATGCTGAAACGAGTTGTCCTAGAATATACTTTCGTTGCATTATATACAAAGTTAAACTAGCCATCAATTGTACAGAGGCAGTAAAGATATTTTCGGGCTTTTACGACTAGACCAATTTACTTTTCAGTCTCATGTTCTTAGAATTAACTATAATAAATGCTTCAGCAAACAAGAAAGAGGACAACATAAGATTTAGGAACCAGGAACTTCAATTGAGGAGAAGAGTGATGGGAAGTTCCTGGTTAACAGCTGTACACTTTGCCTAAAGAACAATACATCTAGATTTTAGCAGAGGACAAAGATGAAATCTCTTCAAGAGAAAACTAAAAATATAATTGAGAGCAAATTTGGAAAACTTTCCATTTGGAAACATTATTTATAAATATGCCGCAGTTCTGTTTATACTTTTGAATAATAGAGAACTAGATGTATAAAAAACTTAAATGAAAAAAGCAGTTAAATAATTTTTAACTCTAGGAAATAGAAAAATTTCTACAAGAGAGGAAATGTAATTGAACTATACTACCAGTCTCAAAAGTGAGGTTATTTTGTATTAATTGTTTCACGTTTCACAAAAATTTTAATGTTAATGGCATTAAGAGGTACGGATTTGAATAATCCAATGTAGCGAAGGGAACAAAGTAAACTCATTGACTATGATAAGAGATCACAAGATATGGCAATGCGATACTTGTATTGGGTAATAAGTTTTATTCTAGCATTAATATCACTAGATTTCAATAGAAGTTCTTGAAACATCTAAAACAAATTAATAAAAGGTTTTCAATGGAATACATCACTTAAAGATTACAGAATCTTTGCTAACGCCATCTTGAATGTTTCTTGGGTTCTACCCTGAGGCAAGTCAATGAACATAAAAAGTAACCAAGAATTGAGCTGAACACTTCCTTCATCCTCTAATTAGAATGAGGATGTTTTTCTAATCTTTCATCCAACCAATCATTGCATCTGAATTTCCACCTGCAGTAGAAAAGCATTATTTTATTATAAAAATAGTTTAAAGTTGCATGCTACTCTCTTTTACATTATTTTATATATATTTATACAAATGTAGAAAATCACCGGGCATGGTGGCTCATACTTGTAATCCCAGAACTTTGGGAGGCCGAGGCAGGTGGATCACTTGAGGTCAGGAGTTTGAGAACAGCCTGAACAATATGGTGAAACCTCCCCTCTACTGAAAATACAAAAATTAGCTGAGCATGGTGGTGGGCACCTGTAATCTCAGATACTTGGTAGGCTGAAGCAGGAGAATTGCTTGAATCCTGGAGGTGGAGGTTGCAGGGAGCCAATATTGCGCCGCCATTGCACTCCAGCCTGGGCAACAAAGTGAGACTTCATCTCAAAAAAAAAATAAATATATAAAGACACATGCACACGTATGTTTATCGCGGCACTATTCACAATAGCAAAGACTTGGAACCAACCCAAATGTCCAACAATGATAGACTGGATTAAGAAAATGTGGCACATATACACCATGGAATACTATGCAGCCATAAAAAATGATGAGTTCATGTCCTTTGTAGGGACATGGATGAAATTGGAAATCATCATTCTCAGTAAACTATCGCAAGGACAAAAAACCAAACACCGCATGCTCTCACTCATAGATGGGAATTGAACAATGAGAACACATGGACCCAGGAAGAGGAACATCACACTCTGGGGACTGTTGTGGGGTGGGGGGAGGGGGCAGGGATAACATTAGGAGATATACCTAATGCTAAATGATGAGTTAATGGGTGCAGCACACCAGCATGGCACATGTATACATATGAAACTACCCTGCACATTGTGCACATGTACCCTAAAACTTAAAGTATAATAATAATAAAAAAATAAAATAAATAAATAAATGAATAAATAAAAATTTAAAAAACAAACGTAGTAAACATAATCAGATTTTTTGGAGCAAGAAAGTACTTTATAGTTGGTAAGTAACAAGAAAAATGTTAATAAATATATGAATAAAATTGTAATTATAGAAGTAGAAATAATGACTATAAAAGAAACATTTTGGTTTATTACACAAAACAGTGGGAAGGAAAGCCTTGCTTTTAAAAAGTTACTTTATAAAACAGTTAAGCTTCTTATAATTAATAAAATATAATTAATAGAAAGCATAAAATATATGTTGTGGATATGCATACCAAAATATTACAAAGTAGTTCCTTATAATGATAGCTGTATATTTAGTAAAATTTCATTAGTCTGTATATGTGTCAGCTAAATAATTTGCATACTTAGAAGTCCCTGAGTACTCATAAACATGATCAACTATAATGCCTGAAATGATTCTAAAAGCAAAACCATATTAAAAGAATATTGTGAACCTGGCCCAAAACTCACAAGAGGGACTCTATCCTATACTGTTGCTGAGTCTCATCCTTCAAAGAGTTTGCAACCTCACATTACAAATGAAAACAATGTTTATTTGAAACTGGGCTAATTAAATATGGATTTCAACTTTGCAGAGACAGTGTGTTTCCCACATGTTAACACCATTCCATGTGTTACAGAGAGTAAGACAGAGGAGGAAGGAGGGAAACAGAGAGAAAGTGTCAAAAATGTCTCATAAAATTTTAATAGAAAGATTTCTTTATCCTTCTATAGGTTCAGCTTAATATGCATTTTATATTTGGATGAATTCCCAGTACTTGAAATTAGAATAGTGAAGCTTAAGCACATGTGTGCTTCTTTAGAACAGAAAACTAAAGGAAATCACCTAATCAAGACTGTTCTCAACAATTTGATGCTTAACATTTCCCCAAATTGTGAGAAATTTATTAGCAATGCATTGCTGTAAATAGAGAACTTGAAATTGAATGGATAATCAGAGTTAAAAATAAAATATTCAAGCTTAGTTGGATGATTGCTTCCACATTTACATATTTATTAAGCATTTATTATGTACTAGGAGTGGTATTGGCCCTTTGGTAAGGGTAGTGAGCAAAATCAGAACAATTCCTGACCTCATAGAACCTGTAGTCAATCAGGCAACTAGTCCACAGTATAAAAGCAGTAGCAGCTAAATTACCTACGAATGGTAATCACTGACAAATATTTTGAAACTAAATCAGTAAACCTCAGACAAATGCAGGTTGACCATTCTAAGGTAAAATTATTAAATCTGTATTTGTTACCTGAACCAACTAGTAAGATAGGAACTGTTAATATCTCATCTTACATGAATTTTAATCTTAACTATGCAATACATAATCAACTACTTAAAAATTAGTGAGGAAATTGTAAATATCCTTTTTATTCCTTTAGTGAGATTTAGGTAATTAAGCATAATCATATTTTTTTCTTTCTTTGTCATCAAAAAATATTAATAAATTTAGTTTCAGAAAACATAATAGTCAAGATTCTGAATGCAATTCTCTTCCTACTAACAATTTTGTTAATTATTAATACTAAATTGGACAAGGAGAGCAAAAGAAAATATAACAAATCAATAGAAAAAATATTACTTCTAACTGTATTTAAATGTTTTCAAAAGTGAATTAAAAGAATTGCTGTGTTTTCAGACAATATTTTTTTAGTCACAAGAAAAGCTTCTTAAATAATACCACCAAGGTAGTGGTTCTTAGGGGAGGGGACATTTGACTCCCAGGATAAATTTGAAAACATCTAGAGACTTTTTAGTTGTCACACCAGGAATGGGACGGGAGACACTTCTATAGTCCAGTGGGTAGAGGCCAGAGATCCTGCTAAACTTCCTACAGTGAACAGGACAGTTCACCAAGGAATTACCTGGTCCAAAATGTTAGTAGTGCTAAGGTTGAGAAACTGTGTATTAAGGTCATAAAAAGTTTTAAATTGGACAAATAATTATAAGTGCATATGTGAACTTTAACATCTTAATGATATAAAATATAAAGAGATTAGCATTTTATCACATTCTTATACTCCTCAATTTTAAATTATATAATTTTCTTATTTTATATAATAGTTAATTTTAGTATGTGATTAAATTTTAATTAAAATATTCATATTGTAATGTCCCCGAAATTGTTCGATCATGGTTCTCTATCTAACTAGATTGAATGTTTACTCTCTATCTCTGTAATATGATGTAGTCTTATTGAGTTATTTAACTTGATCCTTTTTAATTGGCTGGATTGTATAATCAATTTTTTTTCCCAGTCACCATGAGAACCTCAAGAATATTTTTCTGGACATTTCAATCACTTTTATTCTGATAGAAGATTTTATCCCAGTATAATCTTGGAGCAAAATTTTCCTGAGATATGAAATAATGTTTTTTCATCTTAAATTAAATGTTGCCTGAGCAAAGCAAACTATCAGTCAGTTATCTTCTGTCTGCATGCTTGAAAAATTATTTCTTGTCCTATAAATTTTAATGATACAATCAGGCTTAAGATCTTTGCTTTTATTGCCCTGTAATCAATTGTTTTCAGTGGTTTTTCCTTCTATCTACAAAATCGGCTGTTCTCTTATGACAAAGAACCTTTTCTCTATTAAATATTTGAATAAACTATTTCTCCTTCTGTTGAATTTTCTACTTTCAGAACAGAAGTTATTGTTTTTATTCGATAATCTGTCTTCTACTCCTTTAATTGCTCTCTAATTTCTTAGCTATGTTTGCGCTTTTCTCTTGTATCTAGTCTTTCCTATTAGCAAGTTAATTTTCGGTCTTATCAATCTTTTCCTTGTGGCTCACAAATTATTGTGTAAAAATGCTAGTTTGATTTTCATTTATTTAGCTCTATAATTTATCATTTACTGTCATTTGGTATTTTTATTATTTGGCTTTTAATTTATTTATATTAAATACATGAACATATATATTTTAATACGTGGAATACGTTCTTTCTACTACTTATTTCCCCCCATTGCATATCCTGCCCAATGTTTGGTACTCCGTATCTCCATTGATATAATATTACTCTTTTTTAGAGTAGAGTTCTATAATAGTGAAGCCATTTAAAGTATTTTTTTATTATAAATACTCTAACCTCATTAGGTCTAGGAAGGCCAATGCTTATCAAGCTAGCTATGTTAGTATATCTTTTTTACTTTTTGTTTGTAATCCATTGTGAGCTAATACCTGGTACTTCTGTGCATAACTTGCTAACAGACCATGCCCCAAGTGATAAACTATTCATATTTGACATCAGTTGAACTGGTCTATATCTTACTAAATGGCATGAGTCTGCTAACAAAGACTTTGGATACCTCAATAATGTCAAATTTCTACCAAAGTTTCTAAATACTTCCTCTGAATTTTTGTACCTTTCTCACAGTGGGCCAGTGACAGATATTTCATGGACTACACTTTGAGTAATACTATATAGATAATACCTAGACTTTTTCTAATTCTATGTTAGATTGGTTTATTTTTATTGCTGGGCCACATGAAGTTTGAAGTCTACATATATCATGTTCTTTCCACTTTTATGTAGCCTGTAGTTAAACTGTAAAGAGGTTTCAGGAGGGTTCATATGACTCTAGGCATATTCCTAGTTAGTTCTATGTTTTGAGATTGTCTTATTAGTTTATATGAGACTTTATTCAATTTATTACCAGAGTAGCTGTCCAATGGGACTATTAGTAGCATGTATTTACTGGATTGTTGATATTCTCTCCAATTTAATACAGAAGAAATCTTCATATCCATTTGAGAGCAACAGTCTTCAGTTTTAAATGTCTCTCCCAGTCAGCCATTCTACTATTGCCTGGCAATTCAGAGAAAATACAAGGATTTCTCGTGGATTCATATTTTTCTGTATTTTTGAAGGTATGGTGACAATTATCAGGTCTTCTATCTCTTAATGTAGTTTCTGTGAGATACAGTTTGTAAACCCTGAAACTTTGAGGCAAGTCTCAGTTAATTCTGGGGAGTGTTATGGGGTGGGGGGAAGGGGGAGGGATAGCATTAGGAGATATACCTAATGCTAAATGACGAATTAATGGGTGCAGCACACCAGCATGGCACATGTATACATATGTAACTAACCTGCACATTGTGCACATGTACCCTAAAACTTAAAGTATAATAATAATAATAAAAAAAAAAGAAAGTTTATTTTGCCAAGGTTGAGGACACACATCCGTGACACAGTTTCAGGAAGTCCTAACAACATGTGCCCAAGGTGGTCAAGGCAGAGCTTAGTTTTATATATTTTAGGGAGACATAAGACATCAATCGGTATATGTAAGATGCACATTTGTTTGGTCTGGAAAGGTGGGACAACTTGAAGCAAAGGCAGGAAAACTTGAAGCAGGGAGGGGCTTTCCAGGCCACAGATAGGTAAGACACAAATGATTACATTCTTTTGAGTTTCTGATTAGCCCTTCCAAAGGAGGTAATCAGCTATGTATCTATCTCAGTGAGTAGAAGGATAACTTTGAACAGAATGGGAGGCAGATTTGCCCTGAGCAGTTTCCAACTTGAAGGGGCCAAGATATTTTTCTTTCACAGGTTGATATCAGGAGCCTGTCTCAATATATACCTGGATTTTCTAATTTTGCCTTTAGCTACCATTTTTTGAAGTTTATACCATTTGAAGTCTTTGCTTGTATTTTTATTATTTGTTGTTCTTATTTTTAAACTTATTTTCTATTATGTAAGTATTGAGGAAAACATTATCTTTAAAAAAACTTTAAAAAAAATTTCAACTTTTATTTTAGATTTAGAGAGTGCATGTGCAGGTTGGTTACCTGGTTATATTGCATAATGCTGAGGCTGGGGAATGAATGATCCCATCATCCAGGGAGTAAGCATAATATTAATAGTTTTTCAACCCATACCCTCCTTTCTCTCTCTCCTCTCTAGAAGTCCTCAGTTTCTACTGTTGCCATCTTTATGTTTAGTGCCTGGTCACTCATGAAATGGGAAGAAAGGTGGTAGACAGTGTAATAGTTAAAGAAAGAAGAAAGAAATACAAAAAGTGGCTCAACAATCAAAGACAGGTTTATTTTGTAGAATAAACCTGAGAGGGGATTCTGGCTGATTTCAGTCAGGAGCACTCTCTCTTACAGACTAAGGGTATTTTAGGGTTCAGGAAGAGAGAACTTATTACAGGCTTGGAATGTTTCTGTGTGGAGAAGCCTATTGGGGATTGGAACGTCTCTGGTCAGAGGGGAGGTTATCTTGGAGCTGACATCTCTCCGTCCAGAAGGGAGGTTATCTCGGGGCTGGCATGTCTCTGGTTGGGGAGGGGTTTACCTTAGGGTTGGAATATTTCTGGTCAGAGATGTCATTGTGGTTTATGATCATGCTGACCTTAGCCATTAGGCTGAAGCCCTTTGGATTTAGGTGGCTTTTGATCAAGGGGAACTTTAAAATAGCGATGCTTGTCCAAGATGGCAATGTTCCTGCTCTGTCAATGCAGACCTTATAGTTATAAAAAGGATGAGGGGCAGTGTGTTCTTTCTGGCTACTTCCTGCTGACGAGGCGATGGAGAGTTTTCTGGTCTCAGATTGACTGTAAGAGTAATGCCTTCTGTAGATGTTTTGGGGTAGTTGTCTGTGAAATGGCCATGATTCTGACAGTTAATAATCTTTGAGAAAGGTTAATTAGGAAGGGTAAGAACATTAGCCCTAGGCATATTATTAGGAGAGGGCCCAGGAATGGGATGACCCACGCTATGATTTTGTTCCCAAACAAATAATCTATTTCATTGTTTTGGTATTCCCTTAGCTTCATAGCCCTTTCAAGTCTTTCAGCAGTGTCTCTAACTAGGCCTGATTGGTTGAGATAGAAACAATATTCCTTACCCGATGAGAGGCAGATACACATGTTTGGAAAGGCCCATGTGTTATTTTCTGTTAGTAACCATTATTCTTGCTATGAAGATAATAATTAAGCAAAATACTACAGTAATTGAGATTCTCTGTCCAATATTCCACCCTGAGGGTGCTACAGTACATAGTCCTACTGCAAATAGTAGAGTGAGTAAAGCAATTCCCACAAGGTTGGCTTAGTAAATAATCTCCATTAAAAAGTTTTAATATTTAGCTTAAAAGGAGAGGTACAAATGACAAAACGTATTTGGTGAGGTAGGGGTGAGACTGAGTAAGATGAGTATTTCTCTCTTAGTTACTTATTTTTTATGATTTTCAGCTTCATTATATTGATATTTAGGATGTTCCTTTGGGCTGTCAGGGGTTGCTTCCTCAGCTTTCCAGGCTTTGACTCCAGTGTAATGTATCCAGGAGTTGATACGTGTAACAGGTACCGTCTCAATTACCCTGGGTTCCGTAGACTCACTAGATGTGGGGGCAAAGGACTCTGGACACCCTCAGTTATTAGTTGTCCGTGAAGAGATTTCCTCCCGTGATGGTTGGGGGGCTTGGAGGCAGCACTTGCTGAAACATCTAGTTTTCAGTTCATAGGGCTTTAAGAAAGCAAAGCTTATTTTGGAAAAGTATAGCCAGAAGAATTAGAATTTAATTTAAACTGTAGAAAATAATAAAAATTGAAAAACATTAGGCAAGACTAGAATTTAACAACAGGTGTGCTACAGTTTTTGAAACATAATTTTCTCTCTCCAGTTTCCCATTTTTATTAAAAGACAAATCATGGTAGGTCTGGTTTGCTTTATTATACTTGGCTTAATTATTTTCATATAGTGCAGCAAAAATAATTATTTGTTATGTAGGCCTTTTAAATTGGCATCGATGGAACTTTGTTCCTCAGAAGGAATCTGAGATAAGACTTTTTAAAGCTGAGCCCAGCCATGGAATTGTACTATTAAATACCTACGAGTTTCCTCTTGAGGTTCCAAGATAACTTGGGGTGTCTGCCCTCTTAGAAAGTGACATTCTTTACTTGCCACAGATCAGAAACACTGTACACGGACTGTTTGCACAAAATATGAGGCCAGCTTTCCAAGTGCTTTAATCTCTCTGTAAGTCAGGTTTGATTCCTTAAAGGAGAGCACACCATTCCGGTCAAAGCGTTGGTAAGATAACCAGTTTTTCCAATTGTGTACTGTTACAAAAGAACACAGATTATTATTGCACTTATTCAAATAACTATATTGCCATAACTTAAGAATACTCATAGTTTCTAAACTCTGGAGAAAATCAGGTAGAGAGAAACAAGTATGCTTCAAATTTTGTTTATGGGAGTATACTAAATTGTTAAAAGCTGTCAATAGCTCAAAAGAAAAGTTTCTTTGACTTTGAAAAGCAAAACAAAGGATCAGCAATATTTTAAGCAAAATGTCAAAAGGATCACTCCAGTCTCCTATCAGTTCAGCCCATGCAGTTAATTCCTGTCCCACATAATATTAATGAAGATTTTAGCTCTTCAAGAGTCCTGAATGTTTTTCCTCTATTCTGATGTCAACAATCTCCAAAGTTAACAGAAATCTGCATTAAAGAGTACCTGTTAGAGCTTTATAGCTGATTATAAAACTACCTTCTAAAGAGGACCAAAACAAGACAACAATTGTTTCTGGATGACAAAAAGTTTTAGGGTAGCCATAGTTAAAGTCACAATTGACAAGGATATATGTTACCTTTGTGGCACACAATAATTTTAACATAACAATTATAATTATTACTGATAATGTACACTAAGCTATATCAGGATTACAGGAGTCTCCCATAACTCTGGAACACATACCATTAACCTATTTATGCAAATATAGCCCAAAGAAAGCCAAACACCATTTTATATTTGACAAGGCTTTCTATATGACTTTATACCAAATAAGCCAAATTTTACCTTTATATGAGTGTGCTATTAATGTTCAACTAAATTTTTAATAAAACCTTGTTGACACATTTACCAAATTTTAGTGTTTGACCATAAGGTAAGATTTTTATAGACCCTTTTTAACTCTTTATAATTTTTGTTAAAGAGCAGGTTAGTGCTTTAAGAGAAACCTGTTGTGCTTTTATTTTAATGGGCAATTTACAGAAAAATTGGATAACACCCCTTCAATTTTAGCTAATATGTTTACCCACAGAATTTCCTTTACAATGAAGCTTCCCAAACTTGCTTAAACCTTCATTTTTATTTTATTTAACTTAAAAACAGTTCTTTAACCTTTTAATCTAGGTAAAAATCCACATTCTCATGCCTCCTTATAATCTTTTTACCAAGAATATATATAAACTGTTTATTCAATAGTCCTAAATAGATATTAAACTGTTAACTTTTAGCAACCTTTACTGTGGTTGGTATGTTTGGGATTTTAATTATCTACTAGGTGTAAAGCCTAGGACCTAGACAGAAGTGCAGATAAGGTTTGACTTATTCCAATATTAACTCCATGTTTCCTAGGTGTTACCTAGCTGCAAAGCAGGCAAATTGTACAGCTAAGAGTTAAAGTGGCATTTTATAAAGCATTCAGGAGCCTAATCACTTTTAAATTGTATAAATTCCCTTTATAAAATTTTTCATGACTTTCACAGACAATCTCTGACATGCCTCAACTTTCTGACTTGTTGTAAACATTCCTCTCTTTAAACAACCAGTTGCTCTACTTTAAGACAAGAATTTACCATGTAAAATTATTTCTATATAAATTATATTTTCTTTAATATCAAAGATGATAAACAGTCCTTTCCCAAAACAAACTTCCTTCATGCCTGTGGACTAGACTGCCTAAGGCCACAAGATTAAAAGTTAGGGTATTTCACTAAATAGTTCAAGATGTAGCTATCTTTATTAAACCAATATTAATGTTTCATTTATTAAAACATTACACAAGCGAAGATTATTCTGTTTGGGCTGGGTTATAGTTTCATAGCTGCTATGCCAAATTTTGACACCTTACAGTATTTGACAGAGATAAGTATGAAATTTCTTGATAAATAAATACAAACAAAAATGTATACTGGCAAGTCTTAAGACATTTCTAATCTTACTGTAACAGTAAATTTTAAAGACTAAAGTCACGTGAACTGAAAGGTCCCACAGCTTTTACTTTTCCCTTAAAAATATTTGATTCAAGTGCTTATTTTTCTTTGGCCAATTTAATAGAGCTTTTTAAAAGACATTGCACATGTAACACATACATAGCCACACAGACAACAAGAAGAAGATCCAGTAGTTATACGATTTTTTATTTTCTAATTTCCCAGTTGGATTATTGGCCTTCAGGTGAGGCCCTTTAAGAACAGGGCTAGGTAAACAACTTCCAAGGCCTAATAAACAAGCATAGCTGGAAGACAAAAACAGATTTTAAGAGGTACTTATTCACCTCTAATTCCAGGGGTTCCATAAGGAAAACAGATATTTTCCCCAATATGGGATTTGTGGCAACTTTTCTGTTTTCCCAAGGAGTCCTAAGCCACCAGAAGTCATTTTAGGGTGTTTCATACATGCACCAAGAGTGGCAAGACAGAATGGAGGAAAGTAATTCAGTTGACTGAGGGAAAACAAGATTTATGAAGAGAAAAACATAAAGGCCTTTTGAATATACTCATAGCTTATATATCCATTTTAATTAAGCTGAGCACTTTTTTTTAATCAGGGGTGAGGGTGGAGATTAGAATTATATAAATATTATTCCACTTAAAACTACAGAATTGAGTTATTGCAGGAATTCCCTGCAACAATGAGAAGGATTTTCAGAGAAAGATCCCATATGCGACAAATCAGACATGGAGAAAGGGACATGAACACAAGCAATGCCTTCAGTACCAGCCACTTAATGGAGAGGGAGAATGGCAGAAGTGGTTTGACTGGTTGGAGCAGTTTTTGAACAGATTAACAAGTGGAGAAGGAGGAGGAGTGGGGTTTGGGGCTGAAGAATTGGGGGCAAAAGGAGCCACTGGGCTGGAGGGTTTGGAAGGGTAAGGAGCAGATGCAGGGGGATGAGAATACAGAGAGGTTTTATCTGCAGGGTCAAAAAGGGTTTCAGAGGAAGGAGTTTCAGAGGGAGGAAAGACCCAGGGAAGGTTTTAATTAAGAAGGATTTCATGAGGGGTGCAGGCTTGACACAGGGAGGGTTGGGGTCTAAGTTAGAAGAAAACCTGAATATAGAGAATCTCTTGTCATTTGCCATTCCTGGTTATAAAGTTGTCACACTTCCTGAGAATTTGAAAGTCAAAGGTACCATTTTTGGGCCATCGGCTGTCATTGTCTAATTTGTATTGGGGCCAGGCTGTGTTGCAATAAAAAACCCAAATGCTTTGGCTTTATGCTTCCCATAAGCTGAGTTTGGTGAGGTTGTGAAGGAGACAGCCCAGTGGAGAGGATGTAGGAATGTAGGATTGTTTGGCACTCATGTGGACTGGTGAGAAGAGGCTGAGGGTGTCTGTTTTTGTTCTAGGCATCCCCAGACAAAAGACAGAGACCCGAAATCCTCTTTATAAAGAGGATGTTCAAGCTGAGAAGAAACTGAGTGTCCCCAAGATGTCTTCCATCTTAGTCCCACTGGTCATCTGAGGACCGGGATAGTAGACCTGACTTTGCTGGGTTCTGCAAGAAAGCCAGAGGAGGGCATATCTCACCAGTCAGCTGGATTAGTGTCCAATGTTGGATGTTCCTATTCGAATTGGCAAAGGACTTCTTGGACTGGAGTTGCACAAGGAAGACAGAGAGAGAGAGAGAAAAGAAGATGGAGGAGGAGGAGCGGAGAGAGTGAAATACCCATTGCAAGCAGTCGGAGGTGGATTCCTGAGACCTAAGGGTTTTGAGCACCCACTGGGGAGTAGCCCCTGAGCCTTGCAGTCCCCTTCAGGTTAGTTGTCCTCCTCACACAAATCACTCAAAAAGTGAAGTGAGAGACAAGACTGGGTGGGTGGCCAGAGACTCTCAGGATCCAGCGTGATGAGTTGCCACTGCCTACTGCTTCCTGGATTGCAAGAGAGCCTCTACCCCCAACACCCATCCCGGCTTTTGGCACCAAAATGTAAGAGTTAAAGAAACACAAAAAGCAGTTCAGCAGTCAAAGACAGATTTATTTTGGCGAATAAACCTGAGAGGGCTTCTGGCTGATTTCAGCCAGGAGCACTCTCTCTTACAGATTAAGAGTGTTTAAGGTTTCAGGGCAAGAGAACTTATCACAGGCTTGGAATGTTTTGTGTGGAGAAGTTTATTGTGGGGCTGGCATGTCTCTGGTCAGGGAGGGGTTTATCTTAGGGTTGGAATGTTTCTGGTGGAGATGTCATTTGTGGTTTATGGTCATGCTGACCTTAGCCATTAGGCTGATGCCCTTTGGATTTAGGTGGTTTTTGATCAAGGAGAACTTTAAAATGGAGGTGCTTGTCCAAGATGGCAATGCTACTGCTCTGTCAGATGGGGCTAGGAGCAGGAGATTGTGAGAGAAACTCTCTCTGCTATGAAACCCAGACCATGTCCCGGGTTTTGGCACCAAATTATATGAAAACATAAAGGAAAAGAGTGAGAGACAGGAGGCATCATCTCAATGGCCAAAAAGGTTTATTCACAGGAATAAGCCTGCAAGGGGTCCCAGTCAGTAGTCTGACTTACAAGCTGAGGTTTTTATCATAAAGTTTCTATAGGGGAGGGGTTGGGGAAGTGCTGGTTGGTTGGGACTGTTGGAGAGTTTCCAGCTGGGGATGGATGCACTTAGGGCTGCTAAGTTCTGATGCAGTTAGGGCGCTTATGCTCTGTTGAGGCTATGGGTGGGATTGATGTTTGCTTTGTTCCTGAGAAGACAATCATCAAGGTTGTGAAACGACATCACTATTGTTAGTCCTCACAATTTGTTTTTCTGTTCCTGTGTTAATTAAGTTAGGATAATGGCCTCCAGCTGCACCCATGTTACTGCAAAGGACATAATTTCACTCTTTTTGTGGCTGTATAGTGATGCATGGTGTACCAAATTTTCTTTATCCCCTCCATTGTTGATGGACACCTAGGTTAATTCTATGTTTTTGCTATTGTGAATGGCGCTGGGATCAACATGAAACTGCATGCATGTGTCTCTTTGGTAGAGCAATTAATTTTTTTGATATATATCCATTAATAAGATTGCTGGGCCAAACTGTAATTTTAAGTTATTTAAGAAATTTCAAAGGTGGCTGAACTACTTTACATTTCCACCAAAATAAAGGTTCCCTTTTCTCCACAGCCTCACCAGCATCTGATATTTGTTAAATTTTAGTAATAGCTATTCTTACTGGTGTGAGATGGTATCTCATCATGTTCTGGATTTGCATTTCTCTGATAATTAGTAATGTAGAACATTTTTTTCATATGTTTCTTGGCTGCTTATATGTCTTCTTTTGAGGAATGTCTGTTTATGTCTTTTGCTCCTTTTTAGCAGGGTTGTTTTTAGCTTGTTCAATTGTTTAAGTTCCTTATAGATTCTGGATGTTAGACCTTTGCTGGATATAGAGTTTGCAAATATTTTCTCTCTTTCTGTAGGTTGTCTGTTTACTTTATTAGAATTTTCTTTTGCTGTGCAGAAGCTCTTTAGTTTAAATGGCTTTCACTTGTCAATTTTTCTTTTTGCAATTGCTTTTAGGGATGTGGTCAAAAATTCTTTGCCAAGGCCAATGTTAAGAAAAGTATTTCCTAGAGTTTCTTCTAGAATTTTTATAGTTTGAGATCTTACATGTAAATCTTTAATCTGTCTTAAGTTCATTTCTGTCCATGGTAAAAAGTAAAAGTCTAGTTTCATTCTTCTGTGTCTGGCTAGGCAGTTATTCCAGCACCATTTGTTGTATAGGGAATCCTTTCCCCATTGCTTGTTTTTGTTGGTCTTGTTGAAGATAAGATGGTTGTAGTTGTGTGGCTTTATTTACTAGTTTTCTATTCTGTTTTATTGTTCTATATGTCTGTCTTTAAAAATTACTTTACTGTTTTGGTTACTGTAGCCTTATATTATAGTTTGAAGTCAAGTAATGTGATGCCTCCAGCTTATTATTTTTGCTTAAGATTACTTTTGCTATGCAGGCATATAAATTTTGGAATTTTTAAAATATCTGTTATGAATGATGTTGGTAGTATGACAGGAATAACTTTGATTCTGTACATTGCTTTGGGCTGTAGAACATTTCAACAATATTGATTCTTCCAATTCATGAGAATGGAATGTTTTTCCATTTACTTGTGTTGTGTGTGATTTCTTTCAGCTATATTGTAGTTTTCCTTCTAGAAATCTATCACTTTCTTAGTTAACTGTATCCCTAGGTATTTCATTGATTTAATACCTATTGTAAATGGGATTGTGTTCTTGATTAGACTCTCATCCTGGACATTATTGGTGTATAGAAATGCTACTAGTTTTTGTACATTGATTTTGTATTCTGAAACCTTTCTAAAATAGTTAATCAGTTCTAGTAGACTTTCGTTGGAGTCATTAGGGGTTTCTAAGCAGATAATTCTACTGTCAGCAAAGAAAGAAAGTTTGAATTCTTATTTTCCTATTTGAATACCTATCATTTCTTTCTTTTTCCTGATTTCTCTGACTAGAAATTCCAGTACTATATTGAACTGGAGAGGAAAGAGTCGACATACTTTTTCTGTTCTAGTCCTCTAGGGGAATGCTTCCAGCTTTTGCCCATGCAGTATGATGTTGGCTGTGGGCTTGTCATATATGGCTATTATTATTTTCAGATATGTTCATTCAATGTCTAGTCTGTTGAGAACTTTTATCATGAAGGGATAATGGATTTTAATGAAAGCTTTTTCTGCATCTATTGAGATGGTCATATGGTTTTTGCTTTTAATTCTGTTTATGCAGTAGATCACATTGATTTGCATGTGCTGAACCAATCTTGAATCTGAGAAATGAAGCCCACTTGGTCATGGTGAATTAACTCTTTATTATGCTACTGATTCACGTTGCAAGTGAATATTTTACTGAGGATTTTTACATCTATGTTCATCAGGGATATTGGCCTGAAGTTTCCTTTTTGGATCATGTCTCTGCCAGATTTTGGTATCAGGGTGACGCCGGCTTTGTGGAATGATTTAAGAAGGAACACCTACTCTCAATTTCTTGGACTAGTCTCAGTAGGACTGGTTCTTCTTTGTAAATCTGGTTCAATTTGTCTGTGAATCCATCTAGTGCAGGGCTTTTTTTTTTTTTCTTGGTTGTTGGTAGGCTTTGTATTACTGATTCAGTTTCAGAGTTTGTTATTGGTCTATTCAGATTTTCGCGGTCTTCCTGAATTAATCTTGGAAGGTGTTGTGTTCCCAGGTACTTACTCATTTTCTCTAGATTCTCTATTTGCAAAGAAGTGTTAATTTCATAATAGCTTATTGGAATCTTCTATGTTTTTCTGGGATTGGTTGTATTATCTTTGTCAGTTCTAATTACACTTATTTGGTTATTCTTTTTTTTGTTCTCTTTTTAAATCTAGCTAGCAGTCTATTAATCATTCTTATTCTCTTTAAGAACACTTTTGGTTTTATTGATCTTTTGTTTGGACTTGTGTGTCCTAAATTCATTCAGTTTTACTCTGATTTTAGTTATCAATTTTCTTCTGCTAGATTTGGGGCTGTTTTTATCTTTTTCTAGTTCCTCTAGGTGCAATGTTACATTGTTATTTGTAATTTTTCTAAGTTCTTGATATAGGTGTTCAGCACTATAAACTTTCCTCTTAACACTCCTTTAACTGCATACCAGATATTTTGGTAAGTTGTGTTCCTATATTCATTAATTTCAAATAATTTTATATTTCTGCCTTAATTTCATTGCTCACTCAAGAGTTATTCAGAAGCAAGTTGTTCAATTTCCATTTTCGTGTGTGTGTGTGTAGTTCAAGAGATCTTAATAATGATTTGTGTTTATTTCCACTGTGGTCTAAGAGCGTGTTTGGAATGACTCTTATTTTTTTTTAACTTAGACTTGCTTTATGAATGAGCACATGGTTGATCTTAGAATATATTCCATATGTGGATGAGAGGAATGTATATTCTGTAGTTGTTGGATGGATTATTCTGTAAATCTTTATTAGATCCAGTTGGTCAAGTGTTGGATTTAAGTCCAGAATTTCTTTGTAAGTTTTCTGCCTTGATGATCTTTCCAACAGTGTCAGTGAGGATTGAAGTCTCCCACTATTATTGTGTGGCTATCCAAGTCTTTTTGTGGCTCTCTAAGAACTTGTTTTATGAATCTGGGTGCTCCAATGTTGGCTGAGTATATATTTAGAATAGTTAAGTCTTCTTGTTGTAATGAACACTTTATCATTATGTAATGGTCTTCTTCGTTCTTTCTGATTGTTTTTGGTCTAAATCTGTTTTTATCTGATATAAGATTCATGACTCCTTCTATTTTTTTTTTTTTTGTTCTCCATTTGCATGGTAGATCTTTTTCCATCCCTTTACTTTGAGCCTGTGGCTGCCATTACATATGAGCTGTGTCTCTTGAAGACAACAGACAATTGTTTCTTGACTTTTTATCAAGCTTTTCACTCTATGCCTTTAAATTGGGCATTTAGACCAGGGGTCCCCAATGCCCAGGCTGTGGACATGTATCAATCTGTGGCCTATTAGGAACCAGGCCACACAGCAGAAGGTGAGTGGCAGGTAAGTGAGCATTACTGCCTGAGCTCTGCCTCCTGTCAGATAAGTGGAGGCATTAGATTCTCACTGGAGTACAAACCCTATTGTGAACTGTGCATGTGAGGGATCTAGGTTGCACACTCCTTATGAGAAAGTAACTGATAATCTGATGCAGAACAGTTTTATCCAGAAACCACCCCTCCATCCTACCATCTGTGGAACAACTATCTTCCATGAAACTGCTTGCTGGTGTGTCTGGAATTTATTCATTCCAGTGGGTTCTTGGTCTCGCTGACTTCAAGAATGAAGCCGCGGACCTTCATGGTGAGTGTTACAGCTCTTAAAGATGGTATGTGTGGAGTTTGTTCCTTCAGATGTTCAGATGTGTCCAGAGTTTCTTCCTTCTGGTGGATTCATGGTCTCACTGACTTCAGGAGTGAAGCCACAGACCTTCGCAGTGAGTGTTACAGTTTTTAAAGGTGGCACGTCCAGAGTTGTTTGTTCCTCCCAGTGGGTTCGTGGTCTCGCTGACTTCAGGAATGAAGCCGCAGACCCTCGCGGTGAGTGTTACAGCTCATAAAGGTAGTGCAGACCCAAAGAGTGAGCAGCAGCAATATTTATTGTGAAGAGTGGAAGAACAAAGCTTCCACAGTGTGGAAGGGGACCTGAGAGGGTTGCTGCTGCTGGCTGGGGTGGCCAGCTTTTATTCCTTTATTTGTCCCCGCCCATATCCTGCTGATTGGTCCATTTTACAGAGTGCTGATTGGTGCATTTACAATTCTTTATCCAGACACAGAGTGTTGATTGGTGTGTTTTTACAGAGTGCTGATTGGTGCATTTACAATCCTTTAGCTAGACACAGAGTGCTGATTGGTGCGTTTACAATCCTCTAGCCAGACAGAAATGTTCTCCAAGTCCTCACTCAACCCAGAAAGTCCAGCTGGCTTCACCTCTCACTGGTACCAAAAAGAATGGGGACCACTGGTTTAGACCATTTACATTCAAAGTTAGTATTAATGTGCAAGATTTTGAACCAGTCACCATCTTGTTAGCTGGTTGTTTTATAGACTTGATTGTGCAGTCTCTTTATATTTTTTCTGTACTATGTGCTTAAGGATGCTTCTGGGGTAGCAGGTATCAGTTCTTTGTGTCCATATTTAATATTCCCTTAAGGACTTCTTGTTTGGAATTTCTTTCCTTTGAGGATGTTGAATATAGGCACTGTATACTGGCAGAATATTTGTTGTAATGTAATTTGGGCTGCAGTCTAGTAGATGGTGCTTAAGAGTGATGGCCAGCAGATAGGCTCATTCTCAGGCATGCAACTCTTGGCTGAGAATTTCAGAATATTCACAGTAGTATTCTGTAATGGGAGGGAGAGAGATGATCCCCCTCACCAGGTCTACTCCACGACCTAGGGGAAGCCCCCTCCAATCACTGGTGCTGTGGCTGCATTTCCTTTGTTAGGTGCTCTGGGCCATAGGACCCTCTCAGACAGAAACTGCAGCTGGCAGACAGGGCACACCTTTCCCAGACCAGCCCTTCAGCATGAGTGCCAACGAACTTGGATGTCTCACTCTTCTCAGTGTTCTGGGAGTTGGAGCTCCTCTCTTGCTTGGGTGCTGCCCAAGCCAGTGAGCCTTGCCTAGCTAGGAGTAGTGAGGGTGAGTGGAGCGGCACTAACTGCTCTCCTGGTGTTTCCTGGGAGAATACAGAACTTTGCCAACCCACAGAGTTTAGGCAGGGATAGGGCTGCTCCACTGGATGCCCAAGCCAATGAGTGTCTCCTGGCTAGGAGCAGTGAAGGTAGGTAGAGTTGTATGGTCTGTCATCCAAGTGTTTCCCAGGGGAACATAGAGCTGTGTCCCTCAGCAGAGTCCAGGTGGGGCCAGGGCCAGTGCCCTGAAGTCCAAGACAGCAAGTCTGAACTGTTAAGCAGCATCAAGCATGGTCCAACATCTGGATGTTTCCCAGGGGAACACAGAGCTGTGTCCCCCAGCAGAATTCAGGAAGGGGTGAGGCTGCTGTTCTGGAAGCCAAAGTCTATGGGTCCCACCCAGCTAGCAGCAGCAAGATTAGGTGGAGTTGACCAGTCTGCTGCCTGGGTGTTTCCCAAGGACAGAGTTGTGATTGCTGGCAGAGTTCAGAGGCTGGAGCCACTGCTCTGGAAGTAGAGGCTGGAGCCACTGCTCTGGAAGTAGAAGCTGAGCCTTGTCTGGCAAGGAGGAGTGGAGTAGTCTGACTGCTTCCCCAACACCACAACTATGGCCTCTATTGGTGCCTTGGCAGCTAGTGCAAGGCTGCTTCAGGGTAATAGAAACTGTGGGGCTCCCTGGGGGCCCTGAGTAATACTTCTGCAAAAACTCCCAGTGGCTCTCACTATCAGTCTAGAGGCCTCTTGGGGGTTGTGGGGGTCAGAGGTGGTTCTCTCCCATTCTGAGGATTGCACAGGTCTTTGTGGGAAGTGTAGATTCCACAGGGCTCTTACTCTCTCACCCTTCCTTCACGTTAGAGAGGTTCTTCTGGCTCTGCACCAGGCCCATGCAGACAGCTGACTAGATTTGCTATTCTATGTTCTCCATGTGTCTTCTTTCTCCCTTGATAAAATCTAATGTGGTTCCTTAAACAATACACTTGAAGAGTCAGTATTCTCTTGCCATTTTATTTCCTCTTTATGACTGTGGCACCCACTAGCTTGTTCTATTCAGCCATCTTGAACTCAACCGAGATTTGTGTATGTTGAACCAACTTTGCATTCCATGAATAAAGCTTACCTTATCATGACAAACATTTTGATATGCTGTTGGATTTGGTTTACTAGTATTGTGTTGATAATTTTTGTATCTATTTTCATCAGAAATATTGACCCGTAGTTTTCATTTTTCACCAGAATTTTTTTATTTTTCACCAGTGTCTTTACTAGATTTTAGTATCAGGGTAATGCTGAATTTATAGATAGAGTTAGGGAAGAGTCCTTCCTTCTTGATTTTTTGTAATAATTTCAGTAGAAATTGTACCAGCTCATCTTCGTATGTCTGTTAGAATTTGGCTGTGAATCCATCTGGTCCTGGGCTTTTTTGTTGGTAGATTTTATATTACTAATTCAATATCAGAACATGATATTGGTCTGTTCAGGGTTTCAATTTCTTCCTGATTCAATCTCGGGAGATTGTATGTTTCCAGGAATTTATCTATTTCCTGTGTATTTTCTAGTTCTTAGCATAGAAATGTTCATAACAGTCTCTGAGGATCTTTTATATTTAATGGGATTGGTTGTAATGTCAACTTTGTCATTTCTTATTGTGATTTTTTGGATCTTCTCTCTTTTTCTTTGTTAATCTAGCTAGTGTTCCGTTGATCTTGTTTATCTTTTCAAATAACCAACTTTTGGTTTTGTTGATTCTTTATATGGATTTTGGGGTCTCAATTCATTCCATTCAGCTCTGATTTTAGTTATTTTTTTTTTCTGCTGGCTTTGGGGTTAGTTTTTTCTTGTTTTTCTAGTTCCTCTAGTTGTGGTATTAGATTGTTAATTTGAGATCATTGTAACATTCTGAGGTAGGCATTTAGCAACATTTTAAACTTTCCTCTAACACTACTTTGCTGATTCCCAGAAATTTTCGTATCTTCTGTCTTCATTTTCATTTTTTTCAAATAATTTTTAAATTTCTGACTTTATTTCATTGTTTACCCAAAAGTCTTTCAGGAGCAAGTTGTTTAATTTCTATGTAATTGATGAGTTTTAAGAGATCTTCTTGATATAAATTTCTAGTTTAAGTTTTGTCTGAGAGTGGGGCTGCTATAATTTAAATCTTTGTATTTATTGAGACTTGCTTCATGTCTGAGCATGTAGTTGATCTTGAAGTATGTTTTACATACAGATAAAAAGAATGTATATTCTGTGGTTGATGAATGGAGTATTCTGTAGGTATTAGGTTTAATTGTTCAAGTATCAAATTTAAGTCCAGAATTTGTCAGTTTTCTGCCTCTGACTTACATTTTAACTTATACATTTTCTGTGGCTTTGTGATTTTCACTGGTATTTTATCAAAGTATTTTTTGGTATAAATGAATTTTGTATTTTCTAAAATTATATATGGAAGCAGGTATGTGAAAAATTCAAATATATAAATCATAGTTATTATGCAAACACTTTATTCTTAACAAAATATAACTGCCAGAGAGGAGATACAAAGTAATTATTGTGGAAAACAGTGACTATGTTTGTTGAACATTTAAAATAGCCTTTTATCGTAAGAAAATAAATCTGTGAAAGATCCTAAACATAGAATAAACTAACATAATCTGAAGTTTTATGAGGATATCAGGGGGCTACTGCAAATATCCTTTAAAAGCATATATACTTATGGATGGGTTACTAACAGTATTTTAAGTTCTAGCACATATGCATGGTCATGAGTATGTATATCTGTGTGTGTTCATGTGTGTATGTTAAAGCCAAAGGAAAATACATTTGTAGCAAGAACTTTTACTTTTACCTTAAGAATATTCAAAAGAGTTACTTAAATACTTGTGAAAATTAGGGGCACTGATTCCTTGACCAAATTGATTAGAAATAGTGAATTATTTGGGAATAAAATTATGCTTTTTCTCTTTATTTTTTCTTTATTTTTCTATTTAAATGGTACTAATGTCTTGAATTTCCTAGGTTTGATGAAACAGTTGCTATTGTTGCATCCATTTGTAACATATAATTTGATATTTTATTACGTTAGATGTCATTGTAATTATTTGTGACATTTTATAAATTAGTCATTTTTAAAAAAATTAAACAGGCTATTTTAAAATTATTTTTAAACAAAAAGTGTTTTATTATTTGAAGTCAGAGGAATTTCTGAAGCCAAAATGGCTATAGGTAATATTTGATTTCTATTTTAATACACCATTTATATACATAAGGC
This sequence comes from Homo sapiens, assembly GCF_000001405.40. NCBI lineage: Eukaryota > Metazoa > Chordata > Mammalia > Primates > Hominidae > Homo > Homo sapiens. The sequence continues at coordinate 11,244,571 of NC_000009.12, forward strand.
AAAAATTAGAGACCACTTGATTCTCAAATTAAGCAATAATAATATAATCCTGCTGTTTAACGAGGCAATAATCTAATTTCAAGCAAGACAAATTATAAAGTAAAATGCAAATAAACCCATGGTGCAAATAAAATACCATGAAAACATTTTCCCTATTATGTTATGAGTAATTTAAATAAAACCACCCTATTCAAATAATGAAAAACATCATGTTTTCCTTTTTTGCTATTATTATTATTATTATTATTTTCTTTAACTTTTATTTAAGTTCAGGAGTACATGTACAGGATGTGCAGTTTTATTACATAGGTAAACATATGCCATGGTGGTTTGCTGCACAGATCATCCCATTACCTAAGTATTAAGCCCAGTATCCATTCGCTATTCCTCTTTATGCTCTCCCTCCCACCATGACCCCACTCTGACAAGCTCCAGTGTATGTTGTTCTCCCCCATGCGTCCATATGTTCTCATCATTCAGCTTCCACTTACAGGTGAGAACATGTGGTGTTTGGTTTTCTGTTCCTGTGTTAGTTTGCTGAAGATAATGAATTCCAACTCCATCCATGTCCCTCAAAAGGACATGATCTCATTCATTTTAATGGCCACATAGTATTTCATCATGTATATGTACCACATTTTCTTTATCCAGTCTATTCTTGATGGACATTGAGGTCGATTCCATGTCTTTGCTATTGTGAATACTGCTGCAATAAACATACGTGTGCATGTGTCTTTATAATAAAATAATTTATATTCTTTTGGGTTTATACCCAGTAATGTGATTGCTGGATCAAATGGTATTTCTGCTTCTTGGTCTTTCAGAAATCATAACACTGTCTTCCAAAATAGTTGAACTAATTTACACTCCCACCAATGGTATAAATGAGTTCCTTTTTCTCCACAACCTCACTAGCATCTGGGTTTTTTTGACTTTTTATTAATAATGATAGCCATTCTGACTGGCATGAGATGGTATCTCATTGTAGTTTTGATTTGAATTTATCTAATGATCAGTGAGGTTGAGCTTTTTTTCCTTTTAAGCTTCAAGTAAAGTAAGTTCTTGTTGGCCACATACATGTTTTCTTTTGAGAAGCGTCTGTTGATATCCTTTGCCCACTTTTTATTGGGGTATTTTGTGAAAAACACTATATTTTCCAAGAGCAAAAAATCAGCTAATATTTTCAAGTGCATATTTATCAATAAAAATATAATAAAGAAAATAAATAGAAAGAACTTCTAGTTACATGTGTCATTTTTATCAATAGTTTAAGTTGCTATGAACTTCAGCTACGATACCCTTAATTCTGCAGCATTCCCTAATATGTGTGAGATCTAAGCCACTATGACCTTAAACAACTAATCCTTTTAGAAATCTTTACTAAATTATTTCTATGGTAACAGGAATTGTTAGTACGATAGTTAGCTTTGGAAGGTGGGATCTGAGTGAAAAGGGGCAGGAGAGAACTTTGGGTTGGGTTGGAAATTTTCAATATCTTGACTAGAGTGATGGTTACATAGATAAATGCATTTGTGGAAACTGCATTTCACCATATGTCAGTTTGATCTTAATATAAAAAAAAAAGTGAAGAAAAAAATACACTCCCTTCACACATGCTTCCCCTCCACTCTGCCCAGTCCCATGAGCGCCACTGCTCCTTATAATTCACATGACTTTATAGGTTTATTTTTCCCAAAGCCTCAAACATCTTTCAGGAAATAACTCACATAATATCTAGTGTAAAAATATTTCTGAAAAAGGGCTCAAAATCAATCTGCCATGCAGAGTTTGGGCACAAATTTCACGCTACACTTTCCATTGTTTATATATATTTTTTAATTGTGGTAAAAAAGGCATAAGGTTAAATTTATGGTCAAGCATTTTTATGTGTACATTTGAGCAGTGCTAAGTATATTCACATTGCTGTGAATCTTCTAGAACTCTTTTATCTTGCAAAACTAAAATTCTATACTTATTAAGCACTAATTTTTATCTCCTTTACACTTACTGTTTTTGCTAACAATAAAAGTAAATTTGATTATTTTAGAGAAAATGTATAATAAAAGCCTAAAATCCCTACCCATGTCTTAATTTTTAGTATAGCTCATAAGAATATCAGCAATCTAATATTTTTACATCAAAAAATTTATTTAATTTTATTATTAAAACACATTTCCCATGTTGTTATTTTTATATTTTTTCTTACCTTTTTTCTTTTTTTTAAAGACTGAGATGCTAAGTTTGCCTTAATCCATATGACTCTTTAGAGTATTGTAAGTTCTATTAACATACATATCTAAAATCTCAACATTTACATTATCTTTAGAAGTCCACACAGACAACCCCTGAAAATTTCCTAGTTCTTAGCAACTTGGCTGATAAACTGTGGTTGATTTTGTTCAACTTTAGCTGTTAGCACAGTAGCAGCTACCCATCTGCTATCCCTCAGCCCTGTGGTAGGCAGCTACGCATGTGTTTCTGGAAAAGTTTGTACACAGCTTGTGAGAGGTAAGATGGGCTAAAAAGACTGTCTTCAAATATTACAGATTTATTCTCTGATCACTAATTGCTTCTTCTGATCACAGAAGCGCAGAAAAAGAGTTGACAGTAATTGTTGTTGCACTTTACTCCATTGTTCTAAACCCTTTTCCATCTGGTTAAAGTTATTTCCCAAGGATTTAAATGGCTGGCACCTTTTCTTCCCATTTTTATGTTTTCCTTCTTCCTCATTTGGGAACTAGATATCGAAGACTATAATATTTAACAGCAATCATACATACAAGGGAAGGGGGATAGGAAAGTCACTGTGCATGCCAGAGAGAAGTCACAGACTCAGAAAAGACCTAAGAAGACTTTAAAGGTGTAACTCAGGCTGAACCTTGGCATAGAGGCAGTCTGTAATTAAAAAACAAAAAAACAAAAAACAAGAAAGATGGCAAACCCCAATGAAGGGGAGAATCTGATTTTCAATGTTACATCTTTTTATTTGAATGTATAGTTTCAAGAAAATAAAAACACAAAGAAAGTATGGCCCATTCAAAAGAAAAAATAAGCCAACAGAAACTAAGAAAAAATTCTGATGTCTGGAATGCAAGGCTGGTTCAACATACAAAAATCAAAAAATGTAATCCAGCATATAAACAGAACCAACGACAAAAACCACATGATTATCTCAATAGAAGCAGAAAAGGACTTGGACAAAATTCAACAACTCTTCATGCTATAAACTCTCAATAAATTAAGTATTAATAGGACGTATTTCAAAATAATAAGAGCCATCTATGACAAACCCACAGCCAATATCATACTGAATGGGCAAAAACTGGAAGCATTCTCTTTGAAAACTGGCACAAGACAGGGATGCCCTCTCTCACCATGCCTGTTCAACATAGTGTTGGAAGTTCTGGACAGGGAAATCAGGCAGGAGAAGGAAATAAAGGGCATTCAATTAGGAAAAGAGGAAGTCAAATTGTCCCTGTTTGCAGATGACATGATTGTATATCTAGAAAACCCCATCGTCTCAGCCCAAAATCTCCTTAAGCTAATAGGCAATTTCAGCAAAGTCTCAGGATACAAAATCAATGTGCAAAAATCACAAGCATTCTTATACACCAATAACAGACAAACAGAGAGCCAAATCATGAGTGAACTCCCATTCACAGTTGCTTCAAAGATAATAAAATACCTAGGAATCCAACTTACAAGGGACGTGACGGACCTCTTCAAGGAGAACTACAAACCACTGCTCAATGAAATAAAAGAAGATACAAACAAATGGAAGAACATTCCATGCTCATGGGTAGGAAGAATCAATATTGTGAAAATGGCCATACTACCAAAGGTCATTTATAGATTCAATGCCATCCCCATCAAGCTACCAATGACTTTCTTCACAGAATTGGAAAAAACTACTTTAAAGTTCATATGGAGCCAAAAAAGAGCCCGCATTGCCAAGTCAATCCTCAGCCAAAAGAACAAAGCTGGAGGCATCACGCTACCTGACTTCAAACTATACTACGAGGCTACAGTAACCAAAACAGCATGGTACTGGTAAAAAAAAAAAAAAACAGGGATATAGACCAATGGAACAGAACAGAGCCTGCAGAAATAATGCCGTATATCTACAACTATTTGATCTTTGACAAAGCTGACAAAAACAAGCAATGGGGAAAGGATTCCCTATTTAATAAATGGTGCTGGGAAAACTGGCTAGCCATATATAGAAAGCTGAAACTGGATCCCTTCCTTACACCTTATACAAAAATTAATTCAAGATGGATTAAAGACTTAAATGTTAGACCTAAAACCATAAAAACCCTAGAAGAAAACCTAGGCAATACCATTCAGGACGTAGGCATGGGCAAGGACTTCATGTCTAAAACACCAAAAGCAACGGCAACAAAAGCTAAAATTGACAAATGGGATCTAATTAAACTAAAGAGCTTCTGCACAGCAAAAGAAACCACCATCAGAGTGAACAGGCAACCTACAGAATGGGAAAAAAATTTTGCAATCTACTCATCTGACAAAAGGCTAATATCCAGAATCTACAATGAACTCAAACAAATTCACAAGAAAAAAACAAACAACCCCATCAAAAAGTGGGTGAAGGATATGAACAGACACTTCTGAAAAGAAGACATTTATGCAGCCAAAAGACACATGAAAAAATGCTCATCATCACTGGCCATCAGAGAAATGGAAATCAAAACCACAATGAGATGCCATCTCACACCAGTTAGAATGGCAATCATTAAAAAGTCAGGAAACAACAGGTGCTGGAGAGGATGTGGAGAAATAGGAACACTTTTACACTGTTGGTGGGACTGTAAACTACTTCAACCATTGTGGAAGTCGGTGTGGTGATTCCTCAGGAATCTAGAACTAGAAATACTATTTGACCCAGCCATCCCATTACTGGGTATACACCCAAAGGATTATAAATCATGCTCCTATAAAGACACATGCACACATATGTTTATTGCGGCACTATTCAGAATAGCAAAGACTTGGAACCAACCCAAATGTCCAACAATGATAGACTGGATTAAGAAAATGTGGCACATATACACCATGGAATACTATGCAGCCATAAAAAAGGATGAGTTCATGTCCTTTGTAGGGACATGGATGAAGCTGGAAACCATCATCCTCAGCAAACTATCACAAGGACAAAAAACCAAACACTGCATGTTCTCACTCATAAGTGGGAATTGAACAATGAGAACACATGGACACAGGAAGGGGAACATCACACACAGGGGCCTGTTGTGGGATGGGGGGAGGGGGCAGGGATAGCATTAGGAGATATACCTAATGTTAAATGACGAGTTACTGGGTGCAGCACACCAATATGGCACATGTATACATATGTAACAAACCTGCACATTGTGCACATGTACCCTAAAACTTAAAGTATAATTTAAAAAAATCAAAAAAAACTTCTGATGGCAGATCTACTAGCCAAGGTGTATAAAGCAACTGTCTTACAAAGGCTTAAAAACTAAAGAAAAACATTGAGAAGTCAAGCAAACAATGCATGAGATCAATGGAAATACAAAAAGATATGGGAAACCCCAGAAAACAACATAAATCAGTTCTGAAGCTTAAGAGTGCATTAACTGATAAGAAAACATTTCTTAAAGGGATTCAAAGGCCAATTTAAGCAGGCAGAAGTAAGAATTAATAACCTGAACATAAGACAATGAAAAGCAATGAATCTGAGCAACGGAAAGGGAAAGGACTAAAGAAAAATAAACAGAACTGAAAAGATCGTGGAACACTCTCAATCATATCAACATACACATTGTGAGAGTACCAAAAAAAAGAAGAGAAAGAGAAGGGGAAAGATAATATTTGAATAAATAATAGACACAAACACTTCCCAAGTTTAATGAAAGACATGAATATAAACACCAAGAAGCTCAAGGAACTCTAACTAGGATGACCTCTAAAAGACCCAAACTGAGACACATTATAATCAAACTGTCCAAAGCCAAAGACAAAGAAAGTAGTTTTAAAACACCAAGACAGAAAAAAATTTACAAAAAATTCCCATAAGATTATCAACAGATCACTTACTGGAAATTTAAAAGGTGAGAGGCAGTGTGCTAATAAAGTCATCCCTCCATATATGCAGGGGATTTGTTCTGGAATCCTCACATCTACCAAAATTCAAACATACTAAAGTCTCACTGTTGTTCCTGCAAAATCTGCATATAAAAAATATGGCCCTTCATATATGCAGGAGTTGCATCATGAGAATACTGTATTTTTCAACCCATGTTTGGTTGATAAAAATTTGCGTATTAAGCAGACTTGTGCAGTTGAACCCATGTTCTTCATGGGTCAACTGTATATTCAAAGTGCAAAAAGGAAAAATAAAACGTGTTAACCAGGTATCTTATATCTGGTAAAACTCTTTTTCAAAAGAGACAGAGAAATTAAGACATTTCGAGATAAACAAAAGCTCTAGGAGTTTGTTACCATTAGACCCATCCTGTAAGAAATGCTAGAAGTCCTGCAGGTTGGAATGACACCAGACAGAAGTTCAAGGCCAGCCATGTGAAGAAATAAAGATCTCAGTAATTGTAAATACATGAGTAATCAATTATAAAGCCAGTATTACTGTAACAAAGATAATATTAGCAAACTAGGTTATGTGTAACCTAACTTTTTGTCTTCTACATAATTTAAGAGACTAAAATCAACTAATCACCCAAAGTAAAGAGAAAAGGAGGAAATGAGGGACAGAAAACTATAAGACACATGGAAAAATCTATAAAATTACAGAAAAATGTATTGCATTATTAGTAATTACCTATATGTAAATGTACAAAACTTTCCAATCCAAAGAGAAAAATTGGCAGAATGGGTAATATCCATGATCCAACAATATGCTCTCTATTAGAGACAAACTTTAGATTCATGTATTTGTCAGCTTAACACTGCAGATAAAAACATACCCAAGACTGGGCAATTTACAAAAGAAAGAGGTTTAATGGACACACAGTTCCATGTGGCTGGGTAGGCCTCACAATCATGATGGAAGGTAAAAGGCACATCTCACATGGTGGCAGACAAGAGAAGAGAACTTGTGGAGGGAAATTTCCCTTTATAAAACCATCAGGTCTTGTGAGACTTATTACCTATCACAAGAATAGCATGGGAAAGACCCAGCCCATAATTCAATTATCTCCCACCAGGTCCTTTCCCACGTGGAAAATATGGGAGCCACAATTCAAGGTGAGATTTAGTTGGAGACACAGCCAAACCATATCAACTCAAATACATGAATAACTTAAAAGTGAAGTAATAGAAAATCGCATTTCATGAAAATTATATTAAAAGAAAGCAGGGGTATCTATACTATATTAGAAAAAATAGATATTGAATCAAAAAACCTTACAAAACACAAAGAAGATCATTATATATTATTAAATGGTTCAATACAGTAAGAAATATAATATATATAACATATAAGTGTTATAAATATTTACACACTTAATAACAGAATATCAAAACATATCTAGCCTAAATGAAAGGAATTTAAGAGAGAGAGATAGTTCTACAATAACAGTTGGCAAACTCAATACACCACTCTCACAAATGAATAGAATAACCAGAAGAAGATAAGCATGAAAATAGAAGAACTTGAATGGCACAATAAACCAACTAGATCTAGCAGACATATACAAAACACTCTACCTAACAGTAAAAGAATACACATTTTTCTCAAATGCACATGGGGCATTTTCCAGGATAGACCACATTTTAAGCCACATACTAAGTCTCAATAGATTTTAAGTATCACTAGATTTAAAAGATAAATGTCATACAGAGTATCTTCTGTGATCACATAGATGAAATTAGAAATCAGTAACAGAAGAAAAAAAACTTTAAAAATATAAATTTATAGAAATTAAACAATACACTTTTTAAACAGTCTATAGATCAAAGAAAATAGCCACAAAGGAAATTAGAAAACACTTAGATATGATTGAAAATGAAGACACAATATAGCAAAATTTATATGATGCAAGGAAAGCAGTGCTAAGGAAAAAAATGTGAGCTTAAATGCTTATGTTATAAAATAAGAAAGATCCTAAGTTAACAATCTAATTTTACAAATTAAGAAACTAGAAAATGAAGAACAAACTAAACTAAACTCAAAGCCAGTGGAAGAAAAAAATAATACAGATTAGAGTAGAGATAAATAAAATAGAAAAGTAATAGAAAAGGTTGTTGAAACCCAAATTTGGTTCTTTGAAAAGTTCTAAAAAACTGTCAAATATTTAGCAAGATGGACCAAGTTTCTAAAATCAGAAATGAAAGTGAGGACATTACTACCAATTCTACAGAAGTGAAAATAACTATAGGATAGCACAATAAGCAGGTGCACTTGAAGAAATTAAACAATCTAAATAAAATGAACAACTTCTAGAAACACAAAATCTAAGTGAAATAACCTGTGAATAAATATAAAATCTGACTAGACCTGGAGCTAGTAAAACCACTGAATCAGAAAACAAGAATCTCCCAACAAAGAAAATCCCTGGACCTGATTGCTTCACTGGTGAATTCTGCCAATTATTTGGATAAAAATGAATACAAATCCTTAAAATTTTCAGAAATTAAATAGAAGAAAACACTCCTTAATTAATTTTCTAAGGCCAATGTTATTCTGATAACAAAGCCAGACAAAGACACAAGTAAAGAAATCTGCAGAAAAATACCTCATAAATGTTGATGCAAAAATCTTCAAAAAATGCCAGTAAACCAAATTCAATATCAAAAGTGTTATATATAATGACCGAGAGGGATTTATTCTTCTAATGCAAGAATGGTTCAACCTACAAAAATTAATGAATATACACCATGTTAACAGGATGAATGGGGGAAAACATTATTATTGCAACTGATTCAGAAAAAGCATTTGACAAAATTCAATATAATTTAATGATAAAATACTCAGTAAAGGAGGAATGGAAGAAACTACCTTAGCTTAATAAAAGCCACAAGTAAAAGTGCTATGGTTAACTTCATAAACAATGGTGAAAAAATAAAAGCTTCTCCTCTAAAATCAGGGATAAAGTGAGGATGCCCACTTTCACCACCTGTATTCAATAGAGTACTGGAAATTCTAGCAAGAGCCTTTAGAAAAGAAAAAGGAAGCAAATGCCATTAAAATTTGAAAGGAAGAAGTAAAATGATCTCTGTTTACAGATGATATGATCTTACATATGATTAATCCACAAAGAAATATATGTAGAGATTCCACAAAAGAGGAAAAAAAACCTTGTAGAATTAATAAATGAATTCAGCAAAATAGCAGCATACAAAGTCAACACACATAAATCAGTTGCATTTCTATACACTAATAATGAACAGTTCAAAAATAAAATTAACAAAACAATTTTATTTACAATAACCTCTCAAGCAATAACATATTTAGGAATTAACTAACCATGTGAAAGGCTACAATGAAAACTACACAATGTTGCTGAAAGAAATTCACAAAGACATATATAAATAGAAATACACTCTCTTTTCATAAATTGGAAGACCTAATATTGTTAAGTTGGCAATACTACTCAAAGCAATCTGTAGATTAAATACAATCCCTATCAAACTCTCAATGTTATATTTTGCAGAAATAGAAAATTCCACCTTAAAATTAATATAGAATATTCAGGCACTGTGAACAGTCAAAACAATTCCGAAAAACGGGAACAAAGTTGTAGAACTCATACATTCCTAATTCAGAACTCACTATAAACCTATCATAATCAAGAGTGTGGTGCTGGCATAAAGATATGCCAGGTCTGACCCACAGACCCTGACTGAGCGATGGATGAAAAAATGTACTGAGACACAGTATCCAAGTGAAAGAGCAGACTAGGGAACTGGGCTGATAACAGAAAGAGTTGTAGCAGCCACGGCCTTGACAAACTGGCACTGCAGGAATTTATTTAGTACAGATTTAATGACAAAGCCTTGAGTCAACACACTTGTGGGTAAAATTAACATAGTCTACCTCCCCACTGCACACGGAGAGAGCAATCCTGTGCATGGACTATCAAAGTTTGGTCTTAGGACAACATGAGTAAAAAAGCTATTTAGATAAACTCCCTGACATTCCCTTGTTATTTGCTTTTTGCTATTAGCTCAGGTAAGAGGATTAGGCTGCCTTCAGCCATAACCCTTTCCCAAAGCTTTAGCAAAACCTTCCTGCCTTCCAAGAATGTTTGCGTCTTCCTATAATTTTTCTTACAACTTTTCCCAACACACTGACTGAACTCCTACATCTCCCTCTTTTCTATTTTTAGCATCATGTTTTGTTGATTGAAGAGTATAGATGTGTACAGCAACAGGTTTTTCAGGCATGGCGCTCATTGCTTGTATTCCTGCTTTGCATCCTAGAATTAGTAAATAACATAAGACAAACATGAGTATAATTAGTAACATTCTTTTCCAATCAAGGGGTGGCCCCCAGGAGTGGGGGGTCTATCCAGGAGAGATGATCTGGCATACCCTTCCATAAGGCTGTTTGTTGGGTGTATAGATCTATGGCATTTAGGGATTCTATAATTGTAGTTTTAAGTTGCTTTACATCTGCTGTTAAATTGTCATGAAAGGTTCCCCAGAGGTGTTGTTTCACCTCATTCCAACTATATATTGATTGATTCCATGGTAAAGAAGTGACACAGATATGTTTATGCTCCCACTCGCAGTTTAATTGCTGTTGGAATGCCAGTGCATCTTGTCGCTCCCCCACATATTTCAAGGTAGCCTCGAGGGCTTACAGACGTGCAATAATCTTTTGATCTATACCCTGCTGTAAGAGAAGTTAATTAGACACATTTCTGGCCAAATTGTCTACAAAAGTAGATGTTTGTACTGATTTAGTAATAGATGCTACAACAATACTAGCAGTTGCTAGGATGGCTATGGTTGAGACTATAAAGGCTATAAGTGTAACTATGAATCTTTTTTATCTGACCTGGGACAGGGCACGTTCTAATGTGGCAAGGGCAGAGGAACCTTGCCAATCGCCTGTTAAATTGACTGGTAGGAAAGCCTCAGATTGTGTCTTCAATACCACGACATTAGTAATATTTAAGTTAGATATATTATAATTAGAGATACAAGAGGCAAACCAAGCCTGTCCCTGCACTCTGGTCACAAACGTGGAGTTTTGGGGTGTAATAGAAATATTGGTTCCCATAAGGAAAAAATATGGATGGGTAGTGCAAATCAGACACTCATTAGTGTGATTATGAAAAAAGGTCATAGTATAATTGTGACTGGAATTATGATATGCCCCATGCCACATGTTAAGGGGGATGCTAAGATGTCCCAGGCACCATAAAGTGTCTTGCGGTGGCATGGACTCTAGTTGGGGTCTGGGATATCCCATCCCCCATTGGCCCAAATTATAGGGGAATGGGACCTGGCTACAAAACTGTCATTGATGCCACGATAGACATGGACATCAGTATGATCACCCTGCAAATGGCTTGGGGGCTCCAGTCTAAGATGTTATAATTGCCTAAGTGGAGGCTACAGGCCTGTCTCCTCTGACAGACCTCCCAGCTAAAGTGGAATCCATTACTTTCCCAGCTTTGTTCTTTAGCACAGGGAGGAATGTTTGGGAAAGTGACATTGATGGCATTGTCCGGTTTGAGGCTACCTGCAACTAAGACTGTTAAGGCATTTCCTTTGCCATGATGTAGCCATAATTGTGTTTGGGCAGGTATACAGTAATGGTTAAAAGTTTTATAACTTACACACAGTGGGAGGATAGTGGAGTGATACGTAGTGTTACCTGGCACCTTAGTCCAATGTGTGCCATTAACGAGGGACCCCACAGAGGGTAAATCTATCCCTCCCAGCCAACCAGTTATGTTATTAGAGGCTGGGAAGGTGGTGTCTGCCCAGGTGGCAGGGTGAAAGAAAGGTGGATATAAGATAAGAACCCAATGGAGTATAGCAGGGACAGGTTGCAGACAAAGCAAGAGCATAAAAAGGATTAATACCCTACATGAGTTGCAATGCAAAACAGAGAGGATAGCAAGGAACAAATTATCTGGAGTGAATGGTGTCTGTGTCCGGAGCAGGATTTGCTCAGCCTCCTGAGTTGTCCTCTTCAGCATCCCCCAGATAACGTCCGTGGATTGTGTCATCCGAGGAAGCCGCATTGTCCAGGGCTGCTGGTCCTGTAGGGTCATTTTCTTCATTTCTGGTACTGGGTTGGGTTCTAGCCACAGCATGGTATGTTTTGCCGCATTGTGCTGGAATCCAAAGAGGACCTGAGGGGTTGTGAACACAAGCCTATCCTCTTCCCCATGTTAACAGTTCATTTGGACCACACCATACATTACTGTTTACATCTTTCCATAAAACTGTGGGTTTTATGTCTTGAGAGGTTTTAGCAAAGTGCTTTTATACAGCTGATTGAAATTTATCATCTAAATTTTAAAAATTAAGGTAAATGAGGCTTGTGCCAATAGTGTTGCAGGGTCCTTACTCATATTCCCCTTTTTTGTGTTTTGAGCATATTTTTAAGGGTGGAGTGGGTATGTTCTACTATGGCCTGCCCGCCCTTTGGGGTTATACGGGATGCCTGTGGAATGTTGGATATTCCACGTGTGACAATGTTGTTGAAATTGTGAGCTGGCATAAGCCAAACCATTATCAGTTTTAATTTTTGTGGGCCGCCCCACAAATGCAAAAGTTAAAGGAAGATATTTAATGACATATCAAGTGGACTCTCCAAGGAGAGCATGAGTGCTAATTAAATGAGAATTGGCATGAATGGATACATGTACATGTCTAAGTTTTCCAAATTCAAGGATGTGTGTAACATCCATTTACCGTAACTGATTAGGCTCTAGTCCTCTAGGGTTAACACCTGTTGAAGGAAAGGACGTGCCTGTGAGGTGGCAATCTGGGCATTGTAGGATAATTTGTTAACTAGCCTTTGGGTAACTTGAAATTGTTTAAATAAGTTTCTCCAGTTTTGGTGAAAAAATTGATGCAATTGAGTGGCTTGGTCAAGCAGTGATGTCATAACCTGTAGGTCTGCTTGATCATTGTCATAAGCCAATGGGCCAGGCACTGAGCTGTGGGCCCAAATGTGTGTAATAAAAATGGGATGTGTACATTGATGTAGCAATTGCTGAAGTCAGAGAAAAAGTACACACAGGGTGGGCTCCAGAGTGGACTTAATCAGGGCTGTCTCAAGGTTCTGCAATAAATAAACAGAGTAAGCAGAGTCACTAATAAGATTGATAGGCTGAGTGGAAAATATTTCCAAGGCCAATATTAAGGCTCCACCTTCAACTCTCTGAGTGCTAGTAAATCCAAAACGAGTGAGGGAATTATGCAGTCTCCACCAAACAGCCAATATTCCACATTTACCAGAGCCATCAGTAAACAGTTTTAAAGTGTTTGGTATGGGGGATTGAACTATTTTAGTAGGCAAAAACCACAGAAGTATGAGATAAGGACTGAAGGAGTTTGTCAGCAGAAAGGGCATTCTCTATATGGCCTGTGTAACTGGAGAGTGCTATTTGCAGTTCCATAGATAAGGGCAATACTGCTTCGAGTTGCTTTTTACTTAAAGGAATTCTGATAATATCAGGGTCACAACCTAGCAACTGATTGCATCATCTGCAGTCTGAATAGATGACTTTATTGACTAACTGGATATAGGGAGAGAGTGTTTTAGTCCTAGCATGTGAGCAAAAAACCATTCTAGGAAGTGCAGACCTAGGGTCATCTGTCCTATTAACCCTTTAGGGGAGTGTTTAGTGGGAAAAAGAAACAACTGAACTGAATACCATGGATCTATGCAATCTAGTTGCCTCTGAGGAATAGTTTGCTCTATCTCTTCAATTTTCCTTTGTGCTGCGGGAGTTAAATATCTGGGAGAGTCTAGTGAAGCATTGCCTTTTAAGATAGAAAACAGGTTCTGTAAATTATCAGTAGTTATGCCTAAGGTGGGATGAAGCTAGTTAATATTGTCTAGCAATTTCTGATAATCATTTAAGGTATGTAAGTTGCTAGTACTTAATTTAACCTTTTGAGGTCTTACTGACCAAGAAGTTGGTATGTACCCAAGATATTTCCAAGGAGAGGACATTTGTACTTTTTCAGGTGCTATGATTAAACCTCTTAACTATGTATTCCTTATGACAGAGGCATATAACCTTAAAAGTACTGGCTCTGTTGGGGCTGTTAGTAAAATATCATCCATAAAATGAAATAATCTTGCAATTAGGAAATTCTTTTCTACTGGGGAGCAAAGTCTGATTTATGTAATACTGACACATGGTACGACTGTTCAGCATTCCTTGGGGAAGCACTTTCCAATGAAATCGGCAAGCTGGCCTTTCATTATTGATAGCTGGTATTGTAGACGCAAATTTTTCTCTGTTCTGTTCTGCTAGGGGAATAGTATAAAAGCAGTCTTTTAAGTCAATAAAGATTATAGGCCAATCTCGAGGAATTATCGCAGGGGAGGGGAGCCCCTCCTGAAGGGGCCACATAGGTTGCAAATTAGCACTGATAGCACATAAGTTATGCAAAAGTCTCCATTTACCAGACTTTTTGGGAATGATGAAAATGGGTGAATTCCAAGGGTTCTATATCGCAGGCTTTTAATTGCTCCACAACTAACTCATGAGGTCTTTGCAATTTCTCTCCCTTTACAGGCTACTGTTCTACTCAAATAGGATTTTGAGAGAGCTATATCAAGGGTCGGGGAGGAATAACAATGGCCATTATTAGAAAGAGGTCTGCAGAGTGACCTCAGTTAACCCTTTTGTAAATGGGCTAGTGGCTCCGTTTTCTCAAATGCCTTTTTTAAATCTGTTTGCCTTGTTGATCTTGCATTACCAGGCAGGCTAAGAGCTGCCCTTCTAATGCCGCTTGCCTAAGACAGGGTCCCATAGCTGTAGTGTATACCTTGTCTTTTTTCCAATTGATTGGAGGAGAGGGCTCAGGCAAAACCTCCGTTTCCTCTTTGTTATTTTGGCCTGGTGATAGCAGGGATGAGGGATAAGGAGGCGGTAAGGTAAGTGATGGGTCCTCCTCCCTCTCCTTTTTAGGCTCTTCTGTGTATAACAGGGCCAGAGCTGCCCTAAGTAAGCCTGTAACATTAGAGATATTACTGGGACCCGTTGCCCTTGCATATGACATTGTTTATGATTTCTCCCCACTTGTTCCCAGAGCTCTAGGTCCATGGTGCCTTCTGCTGGGAACCATGGGTTATGAAAAACAACAGTTTGTATTAGGTTCCTTAATTGAGCCTGTGAAACCGAGGCTCTGCTAGCTTTAAGCATCTGTTTCAATACTTTTATATACTGCTTCTGTTGTGCTGATATCTGTTATCACAAGATAAAACCCTAGCCTGAACAATTCCCTCGAACTGGAAATCCCAAGCAGGCACCAATGACTTATTGACTCACTAACCGCACAGTCTTTTCACCTTTGTTTTCAAGGGTTGTGTCATGATCTGTTGCAGTGTTCCTCACGCAGGGAACCACCTGCCAGGTCCAATCCACAGACCCTGACCAAGTGATGGCTGAAAAAATGCACTCAGACACAGGTATCCAATGAAAGAGTGGGCTAGGGGACTGGGCTGCTCACAGAAAGAGTTGTAGCAGCCACAGCCTTGACGAGCTGGTGCTGTGGGAATTTATTAGTAAAGATTTAATGACAAAGGCTTTGAGTCAACACATCTGTGGGCAATTAACATGGTTGCCCCACCCCCCAGAGAGAGCAGTCCTGCACGCAGATGATCAAAGTTTGGTCTTATGACAACATGAGTAAACAAGCTATTTAGATAAACTCCCCTATGTTCCCTTGTTATTTGCTTTTTGCTATTAGCTCAAGGTAAGAGGATTAGGCTGCCTTCAGCCATAACCCTTTCCCAAAGCTTTTGCAAAACCTTCCAGCCTTCCAAGAAGGTTTGCGTCTTTCCTATAATTTTTCTTACATCTTATCCCACCACCCTGACCGAACTCCTACAAAGATAGACAGGTAGGCAAATGGAATAGAGTCCAGAAATAAACCTTGGCATATATGATCAAATGACTTTCACAATGTCCCAAGATCACTTAGTGAAATAAAGTCAGTCTCTTCAATAAATGCTACCTGGAAAATTGAATGTTCACATGCAAGATAATAATATTAGTTCTGTGTATAACACCATAAACAAAATTCAACTAAAAATGGATCTGTTACCTAAAGACAAGGTTTAAAACTATAAAACATTGGAAAAAAGCTTCATGAGAGCAGATTTGGCATACTCTATTGGATAAAACACCAATGCCATAGGTAACAAAAAAAAACTAGACAGAGTGGAATTTATGAAAAATGTTAAATTAATTCATCAAAAGATACTATCAGTAGAGTAAAAAGGCAACCTAAAGAATGAAGAATGTATTTGCAAATTACGTATTTAAAAAGGGACTGATATCCAGAATATGTAAAGAATGCCTCAAACATGTAAAGGATTTAGAGATGTCTCCAAAGAAGACATATACATGATGAAGAAGAATATGAAAAGATGTTCAGCATAACCAGTCATTAGAGAATCAACCACATTAAAAATGGGCAATGGATATGAACAGACACTTCTCAAAAAAAGGCATACATGCAGCCAACAAACATGTAAAAAAAGTTCAACATCATTGATTATTAGAGAAATACAAATCAAAACCACAATGAGATACCATCTCATGCCAGTCTGAAGGGTGATTATCAAAAAAAAAAAAAAAAAAAAGAAACAGCAGATGCTGGCAAGGTTGTGGAGAAATAGAAATGCATTTACACAGTTGGCGGGAATGTAAATTAGTTCAACCACTGCAGAAGACAGTGTGGCGATTTTTTAAAAATTTAGAACTGGAAATACCATTTGATCCAGCAATCCCATTACTGGGTATATTAACAAAGGAATATAAATCATTCTATTATAAAGACACAAGCACTCATATGTTCATTGCAGCACTATTCACAATAGCAAAGACATGGAATCAACCCAAATGCCCATAGTGATAGATTAGATAAAGAAAATATGGTGCATATACACCATGGAATACCATGGAGCCATAAAAAGGAATGAGATCATGTCCTTTGTAGGGAAATGGATAAAGCTGGAAGCCATTATCCTGAGCAAACTAACACAGGAACAAAAAAACAAATACTGCATATTCTCACTTATAAGTGGGAGATCAACAATGAGAACACATGGAAACTGGGAGGGGAACAATACTGGGGCCTGTTGTGGGGAGGGTGGGGGTGGGGAGAGCACTAGGAAAGAGAGTTAATTCATGCTGGGCTTTATACCTTGATGATGGGTTGTTAGGTTCAGCAAACTGCCATGACACATGTTTACCTATGTAACAAACCTGCATATCCTGCGCATGTACCCAAGAACTTTAAAAAATGGAATAATTAAAACAAAAATAAAAAAGCGGGGACTTCAAGGGATATTTGTAGACCTGGATTCATAGAAACATTATTTGAAAAAGCTAAAACATAGAAGCAACCCAAGTATCCGTCATCAGATGAATTGATAAGCAAAATGTGGCATATACATACAATGGAATGTTTTTCATCCTTAAAAAGGAAGGAGATTATGTTATATTTTACATCATAAATGAATCTTGAATACATTTTGCTGAAAGAAATAAGCCAATCCCACAAAGACAATACTGTATGATTCCACTTCTTTGAGGTAGATAGAGAATACAAAATTATAGAGTCAGTAGAAAGTAAAATTATGGTTACCAAGAGCATGGAGGAAGATGGAAGGAGGAGTTGTTATTTAATGGATGTAAAGTTTCAGTTTTGCAAGATGAAAAGTGTTCTGGAAGTGGACAGTGGTGATGAATGCATGACAATATAAATGTACTCAATATCACTGTACTCTACAGTTAAAATGGTTACGATAGTAAGTTTAATGACACGTGTTTATCACAATTTTAAAAAGAAGAAAAATGTAACTTGTTTTTCCCAAAGATCCAGCAAACTATTTTGTAGGTATTGACAAATTGGCTCTACAGTTTATATAGAATGGTAAAAAGCCTAAATTAGCCAACATAACACTGAAGAATAAGGGCAAAGTTGGAGTGAATACACACACATACACACATATGGCTTCCATGTATGTATGTTTATGTTTATAGTTTATATTATATGGCAGCACTATGCCAAGTGATAGGAATAAAACAATTTGTAAGACATGCTCTAAATTTGAAGAATTCAAGTCTTTTCCATGTAATGTTTTAGTTATGTGAAATATTGGTGAGATATTTATACACCCATGTGATCAATGGCATGCTGGATTTCATTGAATCACTAACTAACCAATAGGAATTGGTTAGAGTTATCTGCATGTCCCTCACTTTAAGTCTTTTTTTAGCAAGATTTCCTGCAGAAAAGTAAAAAGACTGACACATATAAGGCAGGGGAAAGAAAACAAGGAAACAAAACTTTTATTTCTATTACTTATCTTCCAATTTAGAACCTAGGTATATGAAATCATGATATTTGAAGCTATTAAGCAATGTGCCTGATACAGGCATATTTTAGTATATAAAAGGACTTGAACTGCCACAGTCCTACTAAGAAAATAAGGATTCAAAAATAAAGGGAGAAGAGACTAGGAGCAGTGGCTCACTCCTGTAATCCCGGCACTTCGGGAGGCTGAGGAGGGCTGATCACTTGAGGTCAGGAGTTCGAGACCAGCCTGGCCAACATGGTGAAACCCTGTCTCTACTAAAAATACAAAAATTAGCCAGACATGGTAGCAGGCACCTGTAATCACAGCTACTCAGGAGGCTGAGGCAGGAGAATAGCCTGAACCCAGGAGGCGGAAGTTGCAGTGAGCTCAGATTGCGCCACTGCACTCTGTCCTGGGCGACAAAGCTGGACTCTGTCTCAAAAAAAAAAAAAAAAAAAAGAATAAAGGAAGAAGAGAACCATCCATAGAACCATATGAACCATTAGTTCCAGACAGTTTTATGCAGTGGTTAGTTTTTCCATCTCTTATTGACAATGAAAGCTATCTAACTTGAGTCAAAGACAAATAATTTAATTAATCGAAGGACTCATACCTCTTTATTGGTGTTGGAGCTCATAATCAAATTATCGTAATTAAAGTAGGACACAGCACATAATTTTACATAACAGTATGATGTGAAACAAAAGTAGCTAATGTTGATGAACCCATTAATGAAAATAAGACTAATTGTGAGCTACAGGGACTAAATGGCCAGAATTTATAGAACTTATTTCCTGTAATAATGAGTGGAACGTGTGTGTTGGGTTTGTTTCTTTGAATGCCCCCTTTTCCCTTTTTATCTGTTTTTCTGACCGGACATCCATGACATTATTAGTACAGCAGTGAGGCTGAGTATCACCTCGCTATGCAATATTAAAATGACCTAGTGATTTGCAAATTAAGCATCCTATGGAAATTTTTAGTAGCTCTCAGAACAGCATGAGTGTGATTTAAGCCTCCTTTAGTCAAAACATCTGAAATCAGGATTCATTTACAGCTTAATCATTTATATATTGCCAACATGTTCACATTAAGCATATTGTTTTAGTACCAAAATAATTAGACAGAAAATACTAATTTGGCCATGCATATCATTTCAATTTATATGCAATGTACATGCCAAATGATGATTTGGAAGTTATTTTCATGTTTTAACCTCTTTGAATAGCCCTACTCATGACTGGGGATGTATAATATCAGGCATGCTTGACAATGGGAGGCCTGGTTGCCAAGTAAGGAATCTATTTTCCAAATTGATGCCAATGCATTGTGTGCCACATATATTCACAATTGCCAAGCAGCCTTTCTAAATGACTTGTAATCCCTCTGCAGATTGTGTTTCTAATTTATAAGAATTTTGCTTAATAGCTATGGATCTCCCTCAAACTTTCATTTGTCAAGCATGAAATTAATTTAGAGATTATTTTATGTTGTTCTGAGAGCATCCCCTTATTATTCACCATATCCTGAGAACCAATGTGCTCATTTCCTAATCCCTGTTAATCTTTCATTTGGTAATGTAGAAGTAAAGCAGCAGTTGACACTGCCAAAAGCAGTATTAAAATGTTCATTTTTATATATCCTGTGTCTCTTCTCAGCTTGTTAGTCATGGACTAAATAACATTATTTTCAAGCATTGCATATAAAACAGGGTTTAAATCTTTTGTTGTTATATGTAGTTAAAATCTTCCAAGGATTTACACAAATACCTTAAATGATAGGAAGGCAGAGATTGCAACAGGAATAGGTTGGTATACTTTGTTCTCCTTTGATCCCAAATTAACATTAAAGGAAAAAGTTTTGATTATGTCTGGATATGTAATCTGAGGGTAAGGACGACTAAATTGATTGTCTAATTTAAAATGTTCCTAAAGGAAATGTACATATTTTTGAAATTTAAAACCTGAACATGAAAACCAGATAAAATTTGCTATCTTGTACATGGTTAAAGGACAGCAAGGACCTCTTTGCTAAGCGTTGGTATAAAGGATTCCGTATACATGAAATTTATGTCAATTTACACTGTATATATGACTTGGGAACATTATTTCCAACTATTCAATTTTTATAAAGTTCCATTTATCTATTATATTTTTGTTGTTGCCTGTGCTATTGGGGTCATATTTAATAAAAAAATAGTGTAAAACCCAAGGTTGTAAACATCTGCTCCTGTTTTCTTCTAAGAATTGTATATTATTAGCTCTTAAATATAGTAGCTGTCATCATTCTCTTATTTGCAGTTTTATGTTCTGTGGTTTCCGTTACCCCTAGTCAACTGTGGTCTGAAAATATTATGCATGAATATAGTACAATAAAACATTTTGAGAGAGAGACAGACCACATTCACATAACTTTTATTACAGTGTATTGTTACAATTGTACTATTTTATTATTATTTATTGTTGTTAATTTCTTCCTAACTTATGTATTAAACATATATATAAGTATATATACACACACACACATATATATACACACACACACACACACACACATTATATATACAGTTACAGGGTTTGATACTGTCCACAGTTTCAACCATTGGGTGAGGTCGTGAAACATAGCTTCTACAGATAAGGGGAAATGACTCTATTTGAATCAATTTGAATTAATTTTTGAATATGGTATAATGGTCTCAACTTCATATTTTGCATGTGCATATTCAGTTTTTCTAGTACTACTTGTTGCAGAAACTTTTCTTTTTCCATTAAATTATCTTGGTACCCTTGCGAAATTCAACTGATCTTTAATTTTTTTTAATTTAAATTGTAGCGATAGAGTCTCGCTCTGTTATCCAGGCTGGAGTACAGTGGCACAATCCATGGCTCACTGCAGTCTTGACCTCCCAGGCTCAGGTGATCCTCCTGCCTTAGCCTCCTGAGTAACTGGGACTACAGGCATGCACCACGATGCCTGGCAAATTTTAAATTTTTTGTAGAGATAGGGTCTCACCACGTTGACCAGGCTGGTCTTAAACTTCTGGGTTCAAGTGATGCTCCTACCATGGCCTCCCAAAGTGCTGGGATTGCAAGTGTGAGCCACCATGTCTGGGTTATTCAATTGACTGCTTATGTAAGAGTTTATTATTGGGTTCTCAATTCAATTTCATTAACCTATATTTCTATCCTTATGCCAGAGCCATACTGTTTGATTACTATAGATTTATAGTACATTTTAAAAGAAAAAATGTGAATTCTCCAACATTTTTCCCTAATGCTGTTTTGCTTATTCAGGATTCATTGAAATAGCATATAAATTTCATAATGGGTTTTTACATTTCTAAAAAAAGACCATTGAGATTTTGATAGGGATTGCATTGACACTATATTGTTTTGAGTGGAAGCATCATTTTAACAGTATTAAGTCTTCTAATCCATGGACGTGAGATATTTTCCCACATTCATTCATCTATATTCAGAAAATCTATTGGTCTATTATCTTGTTTTCTCGTCGTGTCTTTGTAGCTGGCCTCATACAATGATTTCAAAAGCATTTTTTCACTTTCCATTTCTTTTGAAAGAGTTTGAGAAGAGTGGTGTTAATTCTTTAAATGTTTGATATGACTTACTGGTGAAGCTATCTGATCCTGAGTTTGTCTATGTTGGAAGTTTTTTGTTTTGTTTTGTTTTGTTTTAGAGCACCAAATACTTGTCTCTTCCTCCTCTTCTCTTGAGGGTTACAATTGCAGAACTAGTTGGGAAGCAAAATAGTATAAATATTACCACTGGCTTTGGAGTCCAACAAGCCCAGGTTCAAAACTTTGTGACCTAATATTTACAGTTTTTTTTCCATTGACAAACAATAATGGTAAATATTTATAAGGTAAAATGTGATGTTTTAACATATATACATATTATGGAATGATTAAATCAAACATATTCATCACCTCACATACTTACTTTTTGTCATATGAACATTTAAAATACAGGCTTTTAGCAATTTTGAAATTTATTATTATTAGCTAAACATTATTATTGACCATATTAACCATGTTGTGCAATAGATCTCAAATGCTTATTCCTCCTGTCTAACTGAAACTTTGTGCCTTCAACCAACATATCCCTATCTGCTCATCCCCTACTCTCTGGTAACATCATTCTACCCTCAACTTCTATGAGTTTGACTATTTTTTACTACTGATTCAACTCCCTTACTTGTTATAGTTCTTTTGAGATTTTCTACTTTTTCTTGAGTTAGTTTGGTAATTTATGTGTTTCTAGAAATTTGTTTATTTTATCTAGGTTATCCAATCTGTTGGTATACAGTTGTTCATAGTATTCTTTTATAATTTTTTACATCTGTAAAGTCAGTAGTAAATGACATTACATCTGTAAAGTCATTTTTCATTTCTGATTTTTATAACTTGAGACTTCACTTTCCTTGGGAGGAGAGTGGCTGGGTTTAAGCAATGACAGGTTTTTAACTGGACTTCAGATCCCTCTAATGGCAGAGACTGATATTTGAGAAGGTGATTATCTGTTAGCCAGAGACTTCACTTAGAGGACAACAGTCCTGCCACATTTTGTGGGGTATATAAAGTTAAATTATTTCCCATGGTTACTTGGTGGCCAGTGGCACCAGCAAAGCCACTGCTGCAACTGTTGGGAAGCAGGCTGGTGATCCTTTAACAACCAAATCAAGCTCCATGCTTAGGTAACCTACTAGCTGTTGAGCTTGACCTAGTGCTTGAGTTAAAATTCCCAGAGCCATTTCCTTCCTTCTTGACAGATAGTGACTGAATGCCTTCTCTATGGGAAGAGTAAGGCCTGGTGACTTAAGCAAGGCTTATTTTAACTGGTTAAAGGTTTTTTAAGCCTCAGGTTCCCAAGTCAAATTGTGAGTTTAGCTGCTTGAGTTTATTTTATGAGTTGATATAAAGGGTGATCTATCTCACACTACCCAGGTACTTATAGTCTGCAAAGTCTAGTAATGCCTAAGAATCCCTTCAGCTGTTTAAGGTTTTTGGTAAGGGAAAAG
Organism: Homo sapiens; assembly: GCF_000001405.40. Taxonomy (NCBI): domain Eukaryota; kingdom Metazoa; phylum Chordata; class Mammalia; order Primates; family Hominidae; genus Homo; species Homo sapiens. Next base: position 11,268,122 of record NC_000009.12, read on the forward strand.
GAGGAAATAGGCCTAATATTTTTCTCACCTAGTGATCTGGTCTCTTCTGATAAGGCTAGACCTAGATACTTTACTGAAGTCTGGCAGAGCTGAGCCTTAGATTTTGAAACCCCACATCTCCTTTCAGCTAAGAAATTGAGGAAAGCCTCAGTGCCTTCCTGAGTCTTCCTCAGTTGGGGTACACAGGAGAATGTTATCTACATACTGCAAAGCTTCAACATGAGGGTGAGAAAAATCAGAGAGGAGGAATAAGCATGTCCAAAAGAACAGGGCCTCTCTTTGCAACTTTCTTCTGATATCAGGGGCTGCCTGAGTAATAAACTTGTCCTTTAAGATTAGATGTCATTCAGATGAATTGGAAGACAAGGCAGTTTGTTTCACTAAGGCTTCTCTCAGACTTTCTGAAAAGGCTGAGGGATTTTTATCTAGTTTTTGATCTATCATGGAAATCTTGGAGTAGTTAATAGGCTTGGCTCCAGTCTTTTGCAAGCCTTCCAATGTATACATTTAAAAGAGTTTTCTCCATTCTCCAATGCTATCATCATGGTCACATTTAGGGTCCTCCAAGGACACAGCTACTCTCCCAGTTGGATAAGGCTCTTTCCCTTCCCTGGCACTTTGTATAAGACACAAAGTTCAAAGCTCTTTCCCTTCGCTGGCACTTTGTATGAGACACAAAGTTCATCTCCAATGCTCTCCATTGTTTGCAGGGATGCCTGTTTCTCAGCAGCAGTTAGGGTTTGATTTAAGAGTAACATAACATCCTTCCAGGACAGTTTAAATACTTGTGTTAAATCCTGGAAGTCCACTATATGTGAGTGAAGATGGGGTTTGCTCAAAGAAAACTTCAGGGTCTGAGGATTAATGGAGATCCAGCCTGCACTTGAAGAGAATGCAAATTCAAAAATATGTTGTTACCCATCTGGAAAAGGATGAGAGAAAAAGCACCCCTTAGTCTCTTTTATCCTTTCAGAGTTACCCAGGGTGGAGGAAAACATAGAAAGGTTTACCCTTTCTCCTTTTTCCTCTGGTCTCCTCTGAGTTCCAGCAACTGTCATAAGTGCTGTCCACGGATGCAAGCATCACCTTCACCCATGGATCTAGAAGAGCTAGTTAGCAGTAGTAGTCATGCTTACCTGGGCAATGCCCTAGCGCTCCACTTGTCTCTGGGTCTCTCAGATCTACTCGACCCAAAAGACTTCCAGGTTAGCCAAGAGGCCCAAGAGAAATTGTTCAGCAATTGGATTTGGTGAAGAAAATCCAATTTAATGAAGAAAGTGTCCTGACTCTATCCCTGGCTTCTCTTACTATGACCCTAGTGAAGCACTGAATTCCCAGAGAATGAGATGAATTGACTTCTAAGCATAAAATCCCCCTTTTGTTTAAATGCCAATGTAGCTGGATGCAGAGGAGGTGTCTCAAAAGTACATAAGGATTAAACGTCTATCCTCCTTCCAATGGGGACAGTACTGGGCTAGAATTTGCCTCTCAAGGGAAGCTTCCTCCTGACTGTTGAAAGTGGAGTTTTTCTGTTTACAAATAGGGCATGGGGTCTGACCAGAGGGAATGGAGTTGAGGAAATAGAGGTTTGGGGCAAAGGACCAATAGGACCACCCACAGAGAAAAATCTCATTTCACTAGAAAGTGTGGGAGGGACTAAAATGTTAGGTAAAAACTCTGACTCCAAATTATTTTCAGGCAGAGGTTAAAAAAAGAGGTGTGGGGCTTGGTGGGCTGTCCTCACAGTAAGCCTTTTAGCAGGAAAGAAATGATTTGTCTCATAGAGGAACAGTTTTAATTCATTTGGCAGTGCTGTACTCTTACATGGAGGAAAACACAACCCAAATGGACAGTAGGATATTTACTTGGGATCAAATACTCTTCTATTCAGTGCCATGAATGACTATCACTGGGAGATTAAAAAAAGCCCTTACTAGGTGAAAGTTTAGGCTAAAACTTTTAAATACCCCTATCTCAAGAAAATCATAGAAGCAGCAATTATTTGAGTTACATTCCTGGTTACTAAGAAACTTTCTAAATGATCCCAAAAAGATTATCTCCACAGGCTGCAAAAACTCCCCCAACATAGCATAAAGAAGGGATAAGAGACATGATAGCCACAAAAAAGAAAAACAGAGAATGTGATAGGAAAGTCTGGAAATCCTGGTGCTGACACCTGATGGCTGTTGGAGACCCGAATTAGTCCAGGGGCCTTCAGGTAACACTGAGGTGTGACCTCAGACAGATGCCTTCAGTTTCCCCAGGACCTCCTTCTAACCCCACGTGAAGGACCTGTCTTAACTTCTGTTGTTTTCTTTCTCCTGTCTCAATAGAGCATACAATTTACATCATCAAACCTATTTTACATATTTTTCTTTATAAAGTAGAACTAGTAATAAGACTATATACATGAGAAGCTGCAAATCCCATTGTAAACTATTTAAGCTCAAAACCTAAGTCTGAAATACATTTTCTGTCATGTTCTTCAATGCACTTTTTAAATTTAATTTTTATTTAGAGAAAGTAAAAGTAGCTTATATCAGTGTATATTTCTGCGAGTTTTTATAAACACCTACAATTGTCTAATCACCACATACTCAAGATGAAAAAAAGAAAACCTACACCACATCAAAGAAATTTAGTCTTGAAGCCACTTTATACAGTCAGCTCTTCCCACTTTTCCACATACACAACCAACTTTGGGAATGACTCATCTATTTCTTTTCATAAAAATTTGCCTTTTACAAAATGTCATATAAATGGAACGCTGCCTTTTGAATCCTGCTTTCTTTACTTCACATAATACATTTGAGATTAATCCACATGTTGCATCTATTAGTAGTATTTTTTTACTGCTAAGCAGCATTCATTGTATAATGAACATATCATTGATTGCACACTCATTTACCAGCTAAACAACATTTACATTCTGATTATTGGTTATTAAAAAATAAAGCCAGTATAAATATTTACATATAGATATTTGTGGTTGCATAAGTTTTCATTTATCTAAACACCCAAGAGTGGATTACTTGGTCATAACATAAACATGAATGTTTGAATATCTAAGACATTCTTAATACGTTTTCCAAAGTGGTTGTAGCATCATATAAGAATACCAGTTACTTTGAATCCTTACCAGCATTTGAAGTTTTCACTGTAGTCATAAGTAACATTGTTCTGATGACTAATTATGTTAAACATGTTTACATGTGCTTAGTAGCCATATATATTTACTTTAGTAAAGTATCTGTTCAATTTCTTGCCCTTTTATAATGAACTTGCTATTTTGCTATTATTGAGTTTTAAGAATTTTTATATACACACACACACACACACACACACGTAAACCAAAAAGAAAATATACATATTTATTCTTTTTCTTCTTTTTCTGGATTAAAGTCCTTGGTTATAATAATAATTTGGAAACATTTTCTCCAGTATTTGCTTCCATGATCTTTATAGTGCCTTTCACAGAGCAGGAGAATTTAAATTTCATGAAGTCAAATTTATTAATATATTATTTTATAAAAATTATTATTTTCTAAGATACTCCATTATGCTTTTGGTGTAGTATATAATAAATATTTCCTGGTACAATATCATAAAAATATTTCTTTAACTTTTTTTCTATAAGTTAGTTTTAACTTCTTTATTTAGATTATTCATTTCATGTTAACTTTTATGTAAAAGATATGACTTAAGTTTAATTTATTTACAGGTGTGTTCAATTATTCCAGGAAAATTTCTTTTTAAGACTATAATTACTTTATAGAATAGCCAAAATTTAATTAACCATTTAAGTATTAGTATAATTCTATAGTCTCTATTCTGTTCTACTTATCCAAGTATCAGTCTTTTCTCTAATATCAAACTCTGTTGATTGCTCTAGATTAGTATTGAGTCTTGAAATCAGATATTGCAAGTCCTTGTATTTCCTAATACACTTGTATTTCCTAATTTTTTTTGTTTTCCTAATTTTTAATTTTTGGGGGTACATAATAGGTATATATATTTATGCGATACATGAGATATTTTTATGCAGGCATACAATGTGTAATGGCCATATCCTGTTAAATGGGATATCCAGTACCTCAAGCTTTTATCATTTATTTATGTAATGAACATTCCAATTATAATCTTATTTTTTAAAATGTTGTACTATAAATTATTGTTCACTGTGTTAACCCTTTTATGCTATCAAATACTAGATCTCATTCACTTTATCTAACTATATTTTTATACCCATTACCTATCCCTTCTTCCAACACCCACTACTCTTCCTAGCCTTTAGTAACTGTCATTCTATATCTCCATGAGTTAAATTGTTTTAATTTTTAGCTCCCACAAATGAGTAAGAACATATGAAATGTATCTTGATTTTACTTAAAACAATGTCCTCTAGTTCCATCCACATTGTTGTGGATGACAGCATCTTGTTTGTTTTCATGGCTGAATAGTACAGCACTGTGTATATATATCACATTATTTTTATCCATTAATCTGTTGATGGACACTTAGGTTGTTTTCAAATCTTGAATATTTTGAATAGTGCTACCAAAAAACATGAGAGTGTAAATATCCCATTGATATATCGATTTTTCATCTTTTGAGTATATACCTAGCAATAGGATTGCTGAAATATATGGTAGTTCTATTTTCAGTTTTTCAATGAGCATCCATGCTACTCTCCATGGTGATTGTACTGATTCACATTCCCACCAACAGTGTATAAGGGTTCCCTTTTCTCCACATCATCAGCAGCATTTGTTGTTGCTTGTCTTTGAATAAAAGCCATTTTAACTGGATGAGGTAATGAAACGCCTTTGCAAAAATTATAAGTGAGGAAATTACGACAGTGAACATAATCAGACTTAACTGACTCCATCTTGCTTCTAATCTTTAAGGTGTCCTTGTTTATTCCTGGGCATAGACCAAACTAACCTTGGGAAGAAATTTAGTTTATGGTTTGACTCTGAAACAATATTGATTAATAACCCTTTCCAGAAAAGACCTTCTGCCTTGGGACCAGTCTGCCTTTGTAGGACTAACAAATTAGCTACAAGAGTAGAAATTATGGTAAAGGGGTTATGTAGCCTCTGGATGCAAGAGTCTGAAGCTCCCCAAACTGCTCCTGGGGATAATATCATTATTGTAAAACCTAGAATCAATGCTTAAGATATTTTGCAAACACTGCACTCGGTGCATCAGCTGACTCCACCTAGACCCATAATCTGGCTCAAACCAGTTCTGCAATTCCACCCAGGAACAGAAGACGGCAAGAAAAGCTCACTCTGGCCCTGCTATGATTCCATCTCCAACCTGACCAATCAGCATTCCTCGCTTCCCAAGCCCCTACCCACCAAATTATCTTTTAAAAACTTCAATCCCCAAATGCTCCAGAAGACTGATTTGAGTAATAGTAAAACTCCAGTCTGCTACACAGCTGGCTCTGTGAATTACTCTTTCTCCATTGCAATTCCCCTGTCCCGATAAACTGGTTCTGTCTAGGCAGCAGGCAAGGTGAACCCATGGGGCAATTATAGTGATACCTCATTGTAGTTTTGATTTGCATTTCTTTGATAATCAATAATGTTGAGCATACTTTCATATATCTGTTTACCCTATGCATATCTTCTTTTGAGACATGTCTATAGAGAAATGCTCATTTCTTAGGTTAGATTATTAGTTATTTTTGTATTGAGCTGTCTGAGCTTCCTATATATTCCGGTTATTAATCCCTTTTAAGATGAGTAGTTTTCAAATATTTTTTACATTCTGTTGGTTGACTCTTCACTTTGTTGATTGTTTCCTTTGCTGTGCAGGAGCTTTTTCAACTTAGGGTGATCCCATTTGTCTATTATTGCTTTCGCTGTCTGTGTTTTTAAGGTATTACTCAAAAAACATTTGTCCAAATAAATGTCTTAGAGAGTTTCTCCAATGATTTCTTTTAGTAGTTTCATAGTTTGAAGTCTTAGATTTAAGTCTTTAATATATTTTGATTAGAGTTTTGATTAGGGGTATAGTTTCATTCATATATATATGGATGTCCAGTTTTTCCAGCACCATTTTTTGAAGAGACTACTATTTCCCAAATGTATGTTTGTGGTACCTTTGTTGAAAATTAGTTCATTGTAGATGTATGGATATGTTTCTGTGTTTCTGGCCTCGTACCTCATCTACCCAGTCCCTGTACAGTGTCCCTGACCTGTGTTGAGTAAAAAATGTCACTTTCTAACAGGCCCAGGATCCTCATGTTTTTAGGACCTCAAGAAGAGAGGAATTTACCCAACTCATAGGTGTTTGAGGGTACAAACTCATGGCTGGGCTCGACTTTAAAAAGGTCTGTTATAAGATTCCTTGTGGAACAGAGTTCCTTCAAAGACAATTTGAAAATCATATGAAAAATAATTATTTTTGCTGAACTTTATTTTGCAAACAACTCAGTCTTATAATTTGTTTTTAACAAAAATGAGGACTAAAGAGGGAAAAATTATATTTCAAAACATGTTATTAAATTCTGTTCTCATTAGTTATTTTTAAGTTTTTTTCCTACATTTTAGACTATTCCTGCTTATTCCTTTGAATCAACTAGTGATTTCCTCCTGCTGCTCAGAAGAAACAAAAAAGGATGTGTAGTGAAAACAACAACGACAACAATAAAACTGGATCAATATTCTAGTACTGGTTAATTATCTTGCAAATCGTGCCAGGTAATAGGAGTAAATATGATACCCATAACCCAGACGTTTTTTGGGGGGAAAATAAAACCAATGGAGATAACCAAAGCCAAGCCCATGCACCCAAATCTTAACAGACATAACTACAATCATCAGTTATCCAACTGTGTCAGCAGCCTCGGAATTTTTAAAACGTCATTAACCCCAGTCTTGTTTTAACACATGTTCTCTTATAACCTAAATTGTTTCTTTTTGCCTAGAGCCTATCATGCTCCAAATAGTGATACAAATAGAACCACGCATGGATGTGCTCTTCTTAAGAGGACCCTTAGATTGATCACAGGAGAAATCCCAGCTGCTGTCCCCCATATGATGCCCTCTCCAGCATGAAGTAGTCTGAACGATCAATGCACAATGTCCCTACTCGCACTTAGGGTTTTCATTCCTGGGAAATGGGGAATGGCGGAGGGTGGAGGCGGGGAACAAAACAGTTGACAGACAGTTAAGACAGGTTCTTGGTAGAATTCTTTTAAACATAGAAACAGCCTGAAAAATCAAGCTGCAGCTGCACAGATAAGGGAGCAAAACCAAACATAGAAATACCTTTGTTCTTTGTGTAATCAGCCGGCTCCCGGAAAAAAATTTCCTCCTCTTCTACAGACACGTACAGACACGTACATGGTGGGCTTCCTGGGAACTTCCATGAGAGGGAGGCATGCTGAGACGTGCCTGAAGCTGCACAGATAAGGGCAGTTACACAGATAGGAAAAATTTCTTATAAAAACCTTTGCATTCGACTGTAAAAACGGAAACCTTCTGGGGCCTCCTCTCCACTGCAGAGAGTTTTGTTCTTTTGCTTATAAAACTTTCACTCTAACCTCACCCTTGGTGTCCATGCTTCTTAATTTTCTTGCTCATGAGACAAAGAGCACAAATAACACCTCAGACAATGAGACTGCTTCATTGATCCTAGACGGCTTCAATATCAAAAAGATAATAAAATAAAACAGGCCAGGTGCGATGGCTTATGCCTGTAATCCCAGAAATTTGGGAGGTTGAGGCGGGCAGACCACTTGAGGCCAGGAGTTTGAAATCAGCCTGGCCAACATGGTGAAACCCTATCTCTACTAAAAATACAAAAATAAATAAATAAATAAATAAATAAATAAATAAATAACCGGGTGTGATGGTGTGCACCTGTAACCCCATTGACTCAGGAGGCTGAGGCAGAAGAATTGCTTGAACCCAGGAGGTGGAGGTTACAGTGAGCTGATATCACACCACTGCACTTCAGCCTGGGCACAGAATAAGACTCCATCTCAAAAATTAAAAATAAGAAAACAAACAAAAATAAACAAACAAAAATTCTCATCCCTAACTCATGCTGCCTTGAACATGAATCCTTTAGTGTAAAGTAGCTTTCTTTTTCCTTCTACTTGCCCAAACTTTACTTGTTCTTAAAGGCCAAGTTCAAGCCTCAACTTCCAAAGCTTCTTCAAAATGCAGAGTTCTGTCTTTAATATATTACTTCTGTTATATTCTGCAGCACTCTTTTGGAATGAACCCAGTTTAATTCTACTTTGTAAATTTTTTTTAGCTCTCCACCTTCTCTTCTGTCAATCCAGTTTGTATCATTTGTTATAGAACAGTGTCTGTCATGCATAGATGCTCAATAAATATGTTAAATAAGGGAATAAAACATTAATGAATGATATGTTTTTAATTCCCAAGTTAATGCTAACTTGCATGAGGCTAATTAAATTAAGCATGCCTAGTATCTGGCTTTAAAAAGACATGTGATGATCCGAGTAGAAAATTGGTTAAGCCCTCATCATCATCTCTCATCTCTCCATCTTCTTTGGTCTAAAGCATAGTTAAAATGGATTACTATGAAAACAGTGGGATTGACCCCTTCCCCACAGTTATTCCTTTGGATTCACCATAAAGAGTACTTTGTGATAATCAGAAATTCTACATCACAATGGCTCAGAATTTTGTCATAGGATGTTTGCTTTTGGTTACCTGACATGGGGAACAATTTCACAATGCCTAATTGTATCCTTTTTCAATGACTACCTTTGCCCTTTTACTTTGTAAAAGTTTGTTATTTCAATTGCATGTAAATAATTTGAATTCTATGTTCTATTGAACCTCACTCATTATATGGTCAGATTCCTTCTTTCCAATTACTTTATTTGTATAATAGAGTTGCATTTCTTTTGTAGGCACGTTTCAGTAATGTTCTTGAAGAGCCAAACAATTCAGAAAATATTGAGCTTTTAGTTTAATAAAACATTTAAACATTAGTGATTTAAAATCAAAATATCAGGTTCCAAAATCAGAGCTAGCACCAATGTAGTGAAATAGGAAGCCATTTAAACTTGCTAAGATTCAGTTCCTTCTATATAATGTGGACAAGACTAAGAACTGCTTGTTAGGTTAACTTTCAAGATTATGATCAATAATGAAAACTCTTGCTAGTAGTTAGTATTAGAAGTAATCACAACAGTTTTATTCATATCATTATAATAATTATCATGTTTACAAATATTAATATAATTTAATATTTAATATTATGAAATCCCAAAAAATAGTTGTGTCACCTTCCTGTTGTAGGAGAATGGATGTAGAGGCTTGCAGTCTAGGAAGAATACTTCTTACAAATAGGTCTAATAGTTATTAGATAATGAAGGATTCATTGTCTTAAGTATTTAATTCTTGATACCAGTCTCTATTTTATACCTAGTTGACTCAAAAAATTAATATAAGATGACAATAGTGGCAGATAAATTGGATAATATATGTGTTTATCTGAAGAATGGGTTTTTCCAGTAAACTCTTTGAAAGATCTCAGGTAAATTTCTCACTTTTCTATTAGTGACTGAGCTCCCCATATATTTGCTAAATTAACAGCACCCTAATAGAGTTTCTGATTTTTCCAAGTTGAATGCTGATAACTTACATTGCAATGTCTCTGTTTTTACCCTCAGCTGAAGGCAACACAGATCTTATTAAGATCAGAACTACAAAAAGAGAAAAAATAATCAAGCTCTGGAACAAAATATATATATATATCCCTATCTAATCTCTTCTGTTTTGTTTTGGCTTCATACATTCAACCTCATTCTGCCACTGGCATTGACTTGTATTCTGAGTTTTGTTATAGTAGTGACCTCCAACTAAAATATGTTTGGTAAAGATAATTTTATTTTTGTTGATTTTCTTTAATACATCTATTTGGCTATACAGAATATCTTACAATTTCCTTTGGAAAAATAAAATATTTACTTACATAACAACAACATTAAATATACTTTTTATGCTTATATTTTGAATAATTTATTTATTCATCCATTTGGTAAATGTCTCCAGAAATAATACATCACTTTGGTCAATGGTTTCAACTTTCATATGTTGAAAAAGAAAAAAAGGCAGGCATTCAGTATGGATGCCTGTATTATGGGATTTTTCAATATATTCTTTACGTATGAAGTTCAAATGAATTTATTTCAAATATAGCAACAGCATGTGATGCTAAGACACACCTCATTTTATTATGCTCTAAGTGTACACCATTGGAAATACAAATACAGTTAAAACTTTCACTATTAGGAAAACATGTCTCCATCAAGATAATTATATTAAAAAATATTTTGAGTTTGAGTGGTAAATTAGTAATTTCTTGCTTTTTTCCAAAAAATTCAACTGATGTGTAGATGTGTAGGAAGAAGCCACTTATGTACATGCTTATGGGTTTGCATTACACACACACACACACACACACACAAACAACACACACACACACACACAGACAAAACTTCTAGTCGCTGTTTGCTGCATAACAAACCACCCTAAAACACAGGGCCTTAAAACAATGACCTTTTATTTGCTATTGATTCCATTGGTTAATCATTTGGACTGGGCTCAGTTCAGTCATTCTGCTGATCTCACTTGTGCTCACTCCCAATTCTGGGTGATCCAAAATGACCTCACCTTCAAACTTATTAATTGTGCTACCTGTAGGCTGGAATTCTCTTGCCATAAGGTCTCTCATCTTCATAGAATCTAGTCTGAGTTTCTTTACATTTCAATTTCAGAATATCAAGATTGGTAAGAAGAAGCTGCAATACCTCTTAGACATTGCACATATCACATCTGCTATATTACTCAAAGCAGTCAAACCACGAGACCAACCTAGATTCATTGGGAAGGGGAAATGTACTCTATCTCTTGTAGTCTAGTAACATTACAAATGGCAATTCTGATTTCCAGTGTAGTATTATATTTAAGATACCATGGGAATAGTTATCCATTCTTGTCCATGTATGATGTGTCATACACTCAGCTTTACTTTTTTGTTTTGTTTTGTTTTGTTTGAGATAGGGTCTACTTTCGTCACCCAGGCTGGAGTGCAGAGGTGTGAACATGGCTCATATGGCTCCTACAGTCTCAACCTCCCAGACTCCAGCCACCCTCCTGCCTCAGCCTCCTAAGTAGCTGGGACTACAGGAATGCATCTCCACATCCAGCTAATTTTTGTATTTTTTGTAGAGACGGAATTTTGCCATGTTGCCTAGGCTGGTCTCAAACTCCTGGGCTGAAGCAGTGTGCTTGCCTTGGCCTCCCAAAGTGTTGGGATTACAGCTGATGTCTTATATTTAGCATTTTATTTTACTATATAATTGCACCCAATGGTTGAATAACATTATTTTGATCATACAGATAAGAAAGGTTAGATTCAATGAAGTTATTTAACAAAGTTAATATAAGACAGCTTTGGAATGAAAATACAAATTTTTCCAATGCCAAAGTTCAAGCCCATAACTTCTAGACTATACTGCCTGAAGGGCCACTTTGCTTGATTTTCCAAAAGAGAGAAAAAGAAGCAATAAAAGGTAGTTTAAGATGCAGCCATCACAAAACTGAAAATTTCTCCTCTCCTCCCCAACAGATACCCTGTTTACGGTAAGACTGATTTAGGAATATCTGCTGTAGCACTTAAGGGCTCACTATTACATTTTTTACTCATTTAGTTTTATTTTCTGAAATGTTTACCATACACCTTAGCTCTCATAATGCTGACCAATATTCTCCCTGACATATAAATAAATATAAATCTATGGTTATAATTTAGATTATGACTAGAATTTGATTCCCACTTTTGGTTTGCCAACATAAATTTCACATTTCACTGTAAATTTCAAGATTTCCTTTTTATAAGCTTAGTATCTTCCCTTTAATGTAGTATATAGGTATCTTTTAAAAGATGTTTTGCCTTAAAATTCTTCTTCATTTTAAAGAATTAAAATCTTATTTTACTAGTTGCATTGCAGAATGATGCAGTTTTTATATAAGAGGATTTACATTTTTAAATATGACTTATATAAGTCTATAATTGGTTTTTAATGCCAACCTATTACTGGATAAATATGCTTTTTTCTTTGTAATGTAAATGCTATAAACAGTGTGAGATGGTGAGAGATAGCTGTGTCTCACTTCAGAGGTCAGGTCAGACAGGGTAGAAACTGCCCCCAGAAGCAATCTATTATAATGGCTGTCTTTGGGTTTGGAGTATTTTTCACAGTCATTTTTCTCAGGGTACTCCAAAAAATAGGTACAACTAAGGAGACTGAATGAATGTGCACACCAAATGGAAGCTGCTACCCCACAACCTCTTTTGAAAAAAATTGAATACTATATCTTATTTGGTCACAGATGACTGGAACAAGATTTGGTTCTTTAGTCATTAGCAGTTCTCTGTAACATGCCCAGAGGATTTTAATGTAACCTGGAATGGAAGTACTACCTATTTAAATCTCTTGAAACTGGTTAATGAAAAACTAAATGAACGAAACATTGTTTAGGAGTAGTTTGAACAAGAAATGAGAGCGAGTCAGTAATTGGTAGTGGGAGCAGAGGATAAATGTCACCCATAGACAGGACAGAATCCAGAACTCCTGTGTGAGCAGAAATTTGAAGTTGATGGCAGACATCATAGAAAATCTCAGAATAGCTAAATCATCAACATTTCCCATTAAAATGGGGAACAAAGTGTGTTTACTGCTGGACTGGCAAATAGAGTATATCACTAGAGCTGTTTTAGATTTTACATTCCTCCTTTCCCACAAGCCTGACCTTCAGGCAATTGCAACTATTTTCTTTCCTGTCTAGATTTTTCAATTCACAAAACCTCTACAATGAATCCTAGTAATTACCATCTGTGCAAACTAAAAGTGCTTGCCTAGCATCAGAGCCAATAGAGACTAGATTGCGTGTCAGGGGAAAGGGATGGATATTAACCCTGCAAGGTCTATGGTTAAATAGAGTTTGAGAGAGGGCATTTAAGCACAAGTTTTAAAACACGTTATATAAATGATCAGTTCAATAGCACTAATTACACAATATTAATTTTTTGCCAAGCCTACTGCAGCTTCTGAAGTAAAGAGGTAGGATAGCTTCTAAAAGGCATTACAAAACTCTAGACAACTATTAGCTTGAACATTGATCTAAACTCACTTTAAGCTTTCCTATCAAATGTAACTCTAGTAAAAATGTAATTTACTTTCTAATTTACTAATATTCATTTTACTAACAGGAAATGTTCTTTTTCAAAAGATAACTACTTTAATATGTCTGATGTGTGTTAAAAATTTAACCACAAAATAGTACATTTAAAATTCAGAGGCTAGGCACAGTGGCTCACACCTATAATCCCAGCCCTTTGGGAGGCTGAGGCAGGCAGATCGCTTAACTCAAGAGTTTGAGACCTGTCTGACCAATACAGCGAGACCCAATTTCTACCAAAAATAAAAACATTAGCCGGACATGGTAGCATGTGTCTGTCGTCCTAGCTACTCGGGAGGCTGAAGTGGGAGGATCACTAGAGCCTGGGAAGATCACTAGAGCCTGGGAAGTCCATTTCTACCAAAAATAAAAACATTAGCCGGACATGGTAGCATGTGTCTGTCGTCCTAGCTACTCAGGAGGCTGAAGTGGGAGGATCACTAGAGCCTGGGAAGATCACTAGAGCCTGGGAAGTCAAGGTTGCAGTAAGCCAAGACTGCGCCACTGCACTGCAGCCTGGGTGACACAGAGAGACCCTGTCACAAAAAATAAGACGAATAAATAAAAAATTTAAAAAGAAATAAAATTCAGAAATATCCAATAGTACACATTAAATTCAGTGTGTAAAATGCAATGCTGTTTACTCTAATAATTAGAAAATGTTCTTGATTATATTTAGTTTTTAAGATGAAAATGTGTGATAAATTGTTAAATTAAGAAGCAGAGTAAATGAATTAAGGCAGTTTTATATTACTATTTTAACTACCATGTAAAGTTTTTGAAATTATATTTTCTCCTATATGATTTGTCAGAAAAAAGTTACATTTTCAGAAAGGTCTTCATATTATTCATTATGTGAAAACCTATGTAAAAACTGGCAGTTCAACATGTGAATTTCAATGTTATCCTTATGTGAGTTGTTGTAAAATGAGGAATAAATGTGATTGAAGCACTGCTGAAACAGCTGCATAAATCATCTTCTTTGTCTTGATTGTTGTTGCTTTACAGGTTTATCAGAGAAGCTAGTTTTCAATGCAGTGTAGAAATTGGTAAATAATAGCCTGTTCTTCCTTTCCTTTCTCTTTCATTTGTATGTACTCATAGTTCCATGATTTTACTAATAATTCCAAAGAGTGTGTCTCTATAGGTCACTGAATGAATACACATTTTAAATTGATGTTCAAAAAAGTAAGAATGATGGGACAAATAAACTCTAGCTTTTTTATTGGTTAAAACTCACTTGACAAAAATATCTCAAAGACTAAACTTTAGTTCTATTCTATATATTTCACAAGTATCTTTAGTTAATATCAGCACAACAGATAATAAACATTTACTTTAGTAATGAATACTTTTAAAATGTGCTTTATTCTGAACAAAATGGCAGAAGATAATTCCTCTTATTGGTAAAAATTATGTTTATTTCTATTCTGATAATGCTCATCTAATAAATATGAATAGATCCTTATTGAGAGTCAGTTGAAAGCATGGCAATGTAACACATCTGCCCCTATGATTTCTCCAAATACACCTTCTCCTGGGAATGAGATAAAAACATGGGGTGTCATTACAATGTATTTGTTTAACAATTATGGAGCATTATTTGTGCATACATCACTAAATACCAGAAATTAGAGTTAAATACATTGTCCCTGCCATCATAAAACAGAGCTAGTGGTGGAAACTGTTCACCTCCCCTAAGGCACTTTCATTAGCCTTAAGCCATGAACATGAAGAAAGCTGCCCCTGATTCCAGAAAAGCAGATGCTGTATTTTTCTAGAACATTTCTTAGTTTAACTGTTTTTCAAACTAGGAGGAATTTCTCTCTCTCAGTTCAAGGCTATCTAGATGAGTACAGAGCTTAAAGTTCAGAAAAAAGCAGATAAGATTCTTCTAATAAGAGGGAGAGATATATTAAAAATCATTTTGATGCAGAAAATACCTTTAAAATATGTGATTGCACACAATCCATTTGGAGAAAAAAAGACTTGATATATCTATTTATGGAAATCTATAGATAGAGAGATAGAAGCAGAGGCACTCATTAAATTCTACTTTAAATATTTGAGAGTTGAAGGGTAAAGATAATGGAAATTATTTTGGAGAATAGAGAACAGATTTCAGATACATTTGTAAGCAGACTGTAATATATTGGTAACCTACTGGATGCTAAGCATTTATGTAGAGAAGACTGACTCATAGATAATTTTGATATGTCTATCTTGAAAAAGTTGCAGTTGGTAGTGTCAATTACTTTGGTAAGAAATTGATCAGAAAAAATGAAATGTACATACTTATGAAAGGAAAGGGAAAATAAGAAAAAGCTATAGAAAAATATGAGATAGCTTGATATGCGGATATAGATAGGAATTTTTTATTACTTTTGAGGTATTCATAGGCCAACTAGCTTGAGGTAACAGTAACAATAAGCCATATGAAGTAATAAAAGAATCTGAAAATCATGGTTTGGTTTGGAGGTACTGATTTTTAAATTCATTACGACAAAGGTAGTAGTTGAAGCCATACACACTGATATCATTTATCAGGAAGAATAAATGCAGTGCAGAGAGCAAAGATCTTGGGTTGCAAATTGAGGGACACTAACATAAGCAAGATTAATCTATAAATATTGAGCACTCCAAGTGGGTAAAATAATCCCCAAGTAGAACAGCATTGCAATGCCAAAAAAGAAAAGTGCTTCAAAGAGTAGTCAACAGTGTCATATGCTGGAGAAAGATTAGACAGCATGACCATAAAAAATAGTGTTAAAATGACATGTAGAAGTCAATTGTGACTTCAGATATACACAAGTTATTCTAGCTTGACAAGTAAGGGGACATGGAGAAAAATCTATTCTTGTAATATATATTTACCAATCAGTGAATACAAAAAGAAGAGAGACAATTGGAATTGAAGCAAACAAACAACAACAACAAATAGAAAAACAAAAACCTTCAAGGAAGAATAATGCAAACTCTAAAATACATAGCAGACTTACGTGCTCTTAATTTATGAAATGATCCTGGTTTAGGATTCTGGGAACAGCCTTTTTAGCTGAAAGAATAATGAATTATGGCCAGTGACTAGGCTATAACCCCAAAAGTGACAAGACCAAGTGTGCCTTTCTGCCACTATATTGTCAATGACTAATATAATTCCATATTATGCATTTAGCAGTGGCTGAATAAATTAATGTTTCTAACCTTCCTGGTGACTTCTCTTCAGTCTTTTCCCTGAAGAGAAGTCACTGGGTGGGTTAGGTTAATTGGTACAGTTAGTAAGAAACAGGCCTTACAAACTGTACTAATTACCTTGAATGAGATATGACCTGTGTTCAGCTTCTGGTAACAGAGACCCAGATTCATGGTAGCCCTAGTATTTTTCAATTGTTTTATTTTTCTGTCATATGTGAATTGTATTAGAAAGGCAGACCAGGTTTGTCGTGGAAGTTCAAAGACATTACTAGAATTTCAGACTCCTATGTTCTGCTCTGTACATCTTATTTAGTAATTTCCATGCTCAAGGTTACATCATTACTATAAGATAGTCTGCTTCAGTTATTACATTTATATTCCAGGCAGGAAGGAAGAAAGAAGGGCACCATGGCAATTGCCTGCTGAGTGAACCCCACCCAAGGACTTTGGCTTAAATGTAATTATCCAGCCCTATCTGTAAGACAGCGTTAAGAATACACTTTTTAAATTGCATATTTTTATTTTCTACATCATCATAATGAAGAATTGCAAAATATTATTGGGTAGACAACAGTTTCTCACATATACTGTAATGTCAATAAATACAACTACCCACTATGCCAGTCTTTCTTCTGGAAACACTTTCTTTATGTAGATACTTCCCTGAGTAAGTCCACTGTTGCTCTGCCTGGGCTGTAATTTCTTGCTTCATGTTCTTTCCTACTGTGATCTTGACTTTTCAATAACTTCCAAATGTATAATTACAGCCCATATTTCACTTCTAAAAAACCTATATATCCAACTGCCTTTTCAACTTTTCCACTCTGATTTTTCACAGGAGTTACTATGTACCCAGCAAACGGAAGATTAAACTTATCATTATACTCCCAAAACTTGTATATTAATAATTAACTCAATCTAAAAAAATAGGTATCCCGATGCACCTATTTTCTCAATCTAGAAAATTCAGAGTAATGCCAGGTTGAGTCAGGACTCTAATTCCTATCTATAAGACCAAATAGCCCATTTTGCTTATTATTATGCCTTATAGCTACCCAACATTAAGCCCACAAAAACATCTAAAAAAGAAGAAAGAAACATGGAAAAAATAGGAAGATAAGAAAATAAGTATGAGATATTATAGTAGTAACAAATAAATTCGGGCTCTTTTTGAGTCATAACAACGTTTGATAAAAATGCATGATATAGTACATAGGAGTAAATTATACATAAGTCAAGGTATTGTTTGAAATTCTGGCAACACGGTCCTGGTGATATGGCACCAAATCTACCCAGTAGACTTGAGAGATTTGTAGAGGGAAATTTATAGCACTAAATGCCCACAAGAGAAAGCATGAAAGATCTAAAATTGACACCCTAACATCACAATTAAAAGAACTAGAGAAGCAAGAGCAAACACATTCAAAAGCTACCAGAAGGCAAGAAATAACTAAGATCAGAGCAGAACTGAAGGAAACAGAGACACAAAAAACCCTTCAAAAAATTAATGAATCTAGCAGCTGGTTTTTTGAAAAGATCAACAAAATTGATAGACTGCGAGCAAGACTAATAAAGAAGAAAAGAGAGAAGAATCAAATAGATGCAATAAAAAATGATAAAGGGGATATCACCAGCGATCCCACAGAAATACAAACTACCATCAGAGAATACTATAAACACCTCTACACAAATAAACTAGAAAATCTAGAAGAAATGGATAAATTCCTTGACACATACACTCTCCCAAGACCAAACCAGGAAGAAGTTGAATCTCTGAATAGACCAAAAACAGGCTCTGAAATTGAGGCAATAATTAATAGCTTACCAACCAAAAAAAGTCCAAGACCAGATGGATTCACAGTCAAATGCTACCAGAGGTACAAGGAGGAGCTGGTACCATTCCTTCTGAAACTATTCCAATCAATAGGAAAAGAGGGAATCCTCCCTAACTCATTTTATGAGGCCAGCATCATCCTGATACCAAAGCTGGGCAGAGACACAACAAAAAAAGAGAATTTTAGACCAATATCCTTGATGAACATTGATGCAAAAATCCTCAATAAAATACTGGCAAACTGAATCCAGCAGCAAATCAAAAAGCTTATCCACCATGATCAAGTGGGCTTCATCCCTGGGATGCAAGGCTAGTTCAACATACAAAAATCAATAAACGTAATCCAGCATATAAACAGAACCAAAGACAAAAACCACATGATTATCTCAGTAGATCCAGGAAAGGGCTTTGACAAAATTCAACAATGCTTCATGCTAAAAACTCAATAAATTAGGTATTGATGGGATGTATCTCAAAATAATAAGAGCTATCTATCACAAACCCACAGCCAATATCATACTGAATGGGCAAAAACTGGAAGCATTCCCTTTGAAAACTGGCACAAGACAGGGATGCCCTCTCTCACCACTCCTATTCGACATAGTGTTGGAAGTTCTGGCCAGGGAAATCAGGCAGGAGAAGGAAATAAAGGGTATTCAATTAGGAAAAGAGGAAGTCAAATTGTCCCTGTTTGCAGATGACATGATTGTATATTTAGAAAACCCCATCGTCTCAGCCCAAAATCTCCTTAAGCTGATAAGCAACTTCAGCAAAGTCTCAGGATACAAAATCAATGTGCAAAAATCACAAGCATTCTTATACACCAATAACAGACAAACAGAGACCCAAATCATGAGTGAACTCCCATTCGCAATTGCTTCAAAGAGAATAAAATACTTAGGAATCCAACTTACAAGGGATGTGAAGGACCTCTTCAAGGAGAACTACAAACGACTGCTCAATGAAATAAAAGAGGATACAAACAAATGGAAGAACATTCCATGCTCACGGATAGGAAGAATCAATATCGTGAAAACGGCCATACTGCCCAAGGTAATTTATAGATTCAATGCCATCCCCATCAAGCTACCAATGACTTTCTTCACAGAATTGGAAAAAACTACTTTAAAGTTCATATGGAGCCAAAAAAGAGCCCGCATTGCCAAGTCAATCCTCAGCCAAAAGAACAAAGCTGGAGGCATCACGCTACCTGACTTCAAACTATACTACAAGGCTACAGTAACCAAAACAGCATGGTACTGGTAAAAAAAAAAAAAAAAAACAGGGATATAGACCAATGGAACAGAACAGAGCCTGCAGAAATAATGCCGCATATCTACAACTATTTGATCTTTGACAAAGCTGACAAAAACAAGAAATGGGGAAAGGATTCCCTATTTAATAAATGGTGCTGGGAAAACTGGCTAGCCATATATAGAAAGCTGAAACTGGATCCCTTCCTTACACCTTATACAAAAATTAATTCAAGATGGATTAAAGACTTAAACGTTAGACCTAAAACCATAAAAACCCTAGAAGAAAACCTAGGCAATACCATTCAGGACGTAGGCATGGGCAAGGACTTCATGTCTAAAACACCAAAAGCAACGGCAACAAAAGCTAAAATTGACAAATGGGATCTAATTAAACTAAAGAGCTTCTGCACAGCAAAAGAAACCACCATCAGAGTGAACAGGCAACCTACAGAATGGGAGAAAATTTTTGCAATCTACTCATCTGATAAAGGGCTAATATCCAGAATCTACAATGAACTCAAACAAATTTACAAGAAAAAAACAAACAACCCCATCAAAAAATGGGCAAAGGATATGAACAGACACTTCTCAAAAGAAGACATTTATGCAGCCAAAAAACACGTGAAAAAATGTTCATCATCACTGGCCATCAGAGAAATGCAAATCAAAACCACAATGAGATACCATCTCACACCAGTTAGAATGGCGATCATTAAAAAGTCAGGAAACAACAGGTGCTGGAGAGGATGTGGAGAAATAGGAACACTTTTACACTGTTGGTGGAACTGTAAACTAGTTCAACCATTGTGGAAGTTGGTGTGGCGATTCCTCAGGGATCTAGAACTAGAAATACTATTTGACCCAGCCATCCCATTACTGGGTATACACCCAAAGGATTATAAATCATGCTGCTATAAAGACACATGCACACATATGTTTATTGTGGCACTATTCAGAATAGTAAAGACTTGGAACCAACCCAAACGTCCAACAATGATAGACTGGATTAAGAAAATGTGGCACATATACACCATGAAATACTATGCAGCCATAAAAAAGGATGAGTTCATGTCCTTTGTAGGGACATGGATGAAGCTGGAAACCATCATTCTCAGTAAACTATCACAAGGACAAAAAACCAAACACCGCATGTTCTCACTCATAGGTGGGAATTGAACAATGAGAACACATGGACACAGGAAGGGGAACATCACACACCAGAGACTGTTGTGGGGTGGGGGGAGGAGGGAGGGATAGCATTAGGAGATATACCTAATGCTAAATGACGAGTTACTGGGTGCAGCACACCAACATGGCACATGTATACGTATGTAACAAACCTGCACGTTGTGCACATGTACCCTAAAACTTAAAGTATAATAATAATAAAAAAAGACACACCAAAATATAGTCAAAAAAAAAAAAAGAAATAAAAGGCACTCAAGCACTTCTGCTTAAGACACTCAGAATTCAACTTGATGTTTTTCTTTGCAAGACCCTCATTATAACGCCTTAGTATGAAACAATGGAGAATCCCTGATCAGCATTTAAGGGTATTATGTTTCTAAGTCATTAAATGCATATTAATTGTTGTTCTTCCTCTGCCTGACTATTTACAAGTGAAGAGATGCCCAATATTTGGAGAATATGTACTCTTCCTTGACAGAGGAGCCTTGGATGGGATATAAACTATAAGAAAAAAGACAAAGAGACAAAGAAAAGTGCAGATCTTTATGTGATACAACTCTAAATATATTCAATTATTTATTTTTTATCTGCTGTAGTTACCATATTACTATGATGGGAAGAGGAGTAAATTGTATAACTTAAGATCTAATTATATAATTTATTTGTAATTATTAAATGTTTATTTTGTACTTATTATATGAGAGGAGCTATATGAGGTAGAGAGGAAGGAAGGAAGGAAAGAAGGAAGGAAGGGAGGGAATGGAGGGAGGGAAGGAAGGAGGGAGAAAGAAAGAAAAAAAGGAAGGAGCAAAGGAAGGAAGGAAGGGAGGAGAAAGAAAGAAAAGAAAGAAAGAAAGAAGAAAGAAAGGAAGAACAAGAAAGGGAGAAAGAGAGAGAAAGAAAAAAGAAAGAAAAGAAAGAGAAAGAAAGAAAAAGGGAATGTGTTTGTGTCTATAAACATTGCCCCTAAATATTTGTTAATACAACAAAGTTTTTTGAAGCACATGCAACATGAGAATCTAAATGCAAAATTTAAATACTTGATCGAGTATTTCTAGGCTGCTAGCAGTAGTTTTCCTCAATATGGTCCCCATTGACTCATTTTCGTAAGCAATTCATTCAGTGGACAAAATTAGTTAGGACCACAGTTTAGTGGTGGTCTGAATAATTCAAACATAATATGTAATATAGGTGAAATCATATACAAATAATAGGGAAGTTATTGTATTTCTGCTAAAACATAACACATAATGTTTTATTTCATAAAATATGTGCCATAACTACAACCCTTTCAGAGTTAAAAACCGAATAAAACAAGAAAAAATGATGTGTTAGCTGCCTCATTGTCAAAAGACGAGACATCTGATTTTTAAAACCTTAGGGTCATTTTAAAAATGTTGCCTGATGGTGCTTAGCATTAGGCTCAAAGGAGTATTTACCCTTAATACTTTATGCTTTCCTCCCATTACCTTTTCTTTTAATTTACTTTCTTTTGCTTCACAGATATTTGACCACTATAATAAGTGAAAAGAGGTGCTATGAATTGACATAATTGATTACCTCTTGAGGCAGTTACATAATCTCCATATTCCCAAGAATATTTCCATAATGTTAGTACTTAATACTTAATACGTAATACTTTATATTTTTATCTCATCCACAATTTGTAGGACAAAAGAAAAACTGTAATCCTTTTGAAAGCCATTTGCTGAAAAAGGGTATTGCTGTAATCATTGTGAGAAGTAGAAAGAGGAAGACTAAAGTAGAGAATAACAGATTAAAAGATAGATAGAGGGGGAATTCACTAAAATATCTGTGCGTGATAGTAGTTTGAGTGAAAATAAATGATGAATTATACAAACACTGCTATGAGAAAGATTCTGCCCCTTAAAAAGATCCAGGGAGAAAAAAAACTTTATTTTTGTTTTATATTTTTAATAATATTTAATGTATATTTTAAATTTATCTTGAGTTTTTTAAGTAAGATCAGGAACAAAGATGCAGACTTTCCAAGAGCGTAGTACCCAATAGGTAGTTTTCCAATCCTTATCCTCCTCCCACTCTCTACCCTCAAGCAGGCTCTGGTGCTTATTGTTCCCTTCTTTGTCTCTATGTCTATTCATTGTTTAGCTCCTACTTATAAATGAGAAGGCGTGATATTTGGTTTTCTGTTTCTGCATTAGTTTGCTTAGGATAATGACCTCCAGCTCCATCCATGTAGCTGCAACGGACGTGATCTCACTCTTTTTTACAGCTGCATGTATTACATGGGGTATATGTGCCATATTTTCTTTATCCAGTCTGTTGTTGATGGGCATTTAGATTGCTATTGCAAATAGTGCTGTGATGAACATACACATGCATGTGCCTTTGTAGTAGAATGATTTATATTCCTTTGGCATATACCCAATAATGGAATTGCTGGGTGAATTGGTAGTTATGTTTTAAATTCTTTGAGAAATCTCTGAAGTGTTTTCTACAGTGGCTGAACTAATTTATATTCCCACCAGAAGTGTATAAGCATTCCCTTTTCTCCACAACCTTGCCAGCATCTTATTTTTTTACATTTTAATAATAGCCATTCTGATTGGTGTGAGATGGTAACTCATTGTGGTTTTGACTTGCATTTCTCTAAACGTTAGTTATGTTGGGAATTTTTTTCATGTGCTTGTTGGCTGCATGTATGTCTTCTCTTGAAAAGCATCTTGTTTATCCCCACTTTTTAACAGGATTGTTTGTTTTTTCCCTGAATCCAGAATCTATAAACTTAAATAAATTAACAGATGCATAATTTGCAAATATTTTTCTCCCATTCTGTGGCTTGTCTGTTTACTCTGTTGATAGTTTATTTTGCTGTGCAGAAGCTCCTTAATTTAATTAGGTCCCACTTGTCATTTTTTTTTTTTGTATTTCTGTTGCAGTTGCTTTTGGTATCTTCATCATGAAATCTTTGCCAGGTCCTACTCCAGAATGGTATTTCCTAATTTGTCTTCAAGGGATTTTATAGTTGTAGGTTTCAAATTTAAGTTTTAATCCATCTTGAGTTGATTTTTATATATAGTGTAAGGAAGGGGTATAGTTTCAGTTTTCTGCATATGGCTAGCCAGTTATCTTGGCACCATATATTGAATAGAAGTTATTTCCCCAGTGCTTGCTTTTTTCAATTTTGTTGAAAATCAGATAGCTGTGGGTGTACAGCTTTACTTCTGGGTTCTCTAACCTGTTCCATTGGTCTATGTGTTTGTCTTTGTGCTGTTACCATGGTGTTTTAGTTACTGTAGCTTTGTAGCATAATTTGAAGTCAGGTAATGTGATGCCTCCAGCTTTGTTATTTTTGCTTATGATTGCTTTGGCTATTCAGGCTCTTTATGGTTCCATATAACCTTTAGAGTAGTTTTTTTTCTAATTATGTGAAGAATGTTATTGATAGTTTAATAGAAAGAGCAAATTAAATCTGTACATTGCTTTGGGCAGTATGACAGTGCTAACAATATTGACTATTTCCATCCATGAGCATCAAATAAGTTTTTTCATTTGTTTGTGCCATCATCTCTGATTTCTTTGAAAAGTGTTTTGTAATTCTCATTGCAGAGATCTTTCACCTCCCTGGTTAGCTGTCTTCCTAGGTATTTTATTTTTTATGTGTGGCTATTGTGAATGGGATTGCATTCTTGATTTGGCACTCAGCTTGAACACTGTTGTTGGATAAAAATGCTACTGAATTTTGTGTGTATTCATTTTTATCCTGAAACTTGCTGAAGTTGTGTTTTAGATCAAGAAGCTTTGGGGCAGAGACTATAGGGTTTTCTATGTATAGAATCAGATCATCTGCAAACAGAGAGAGTTTGATCTTCTCTGTTTTTATTAATATTTGGATACCTTTTATTTCTTTCTCTTGCCTGATTGCTCTGGCTAGGATTTGCAGTACTGGGTTGGATAGGAGTGGTGAGAGTGGACATCCTTTTCTTGGTCTGATTCTCAAGGGGAATGCAGCCAACTTTTGCTTGTTCAGTAGGATGTTGGCTGTGGGTCTGTTATAGATGGCTCTTATTATTTTGAGGTACGTTCCTTCAATACCTAGTTTATTGTGTCTTTTAACATGAAGAGATACTGGATTTTATCAAAAGACTTTTCTGCATCTATTGAGAGATTGTGTGGATTTTGTTTTTAGTTATGTTTATGCAATGAAACACATTTGTTGAGTTGTGTATGTTGAACCAATCTTGCATCCCAATGACAAAACCTAGTTGATCATGGTGGATTAGGTTTTTGATGTGTTGCCAGATTCAATGTTCTAGTATTTTATTGAGAATTTTTGCATCTATGTTCATCAAGTGTATTGGCCTCAAGTTCCTTTTTTGGTGGGTCTCTGCGAGGTTTTGGTACCAGAATAATGCTGGCCTCATGTAATGAGTTAGGGAGGAATCTCTTCTCTTCAAATTTTTGGAACAGTTTCAGTAGGAATAGTACTAGTTCTTCTTTATATGTCTGGTAGAATTCAGCTGTAAATCCATCTGACCCCTGGGCTTTTTCTGCCTGGTAGACTTTTTGTTATTGATTCAATTTCAAAACTCATTGTTCTGTTCAGGGTTTCAAATTCTTCCTAATTCAGTATTAAGAGGTTGTATGTTTCTAGGAATTTACCCATTTCTTGTAGATTTTCAAGTTTGTATGCATAGACGTATTTGTAATAATCTCTAATGCTTTTTGTATTTCTATGGCGCTGGTCATAATGTCATCTTTGTCATTTCTTATTGTATTTACTTAGATCTTCTCTCTTTATTTTTTTATCAGTCTAGGTAGTGGCTTATTAGTCTTATTTATTCTTTTAAAGAAATAACTTATGGTTTTGTTGATGTTTTGTAATATTTTGCATCTCAATTTCATTTATTTTAGCTCTGATTTTGGTTACTTCTTGTCTTCTGCTAGCTTTGTGTTTGGTTTGCTCTTATTGTTCTAGTTCCTCTAGGTGTGATGTTAGATTGTTAATTTGAGATCATTCTAACTTTTTCATGTGGGTGTTTAGCATTGTAAACATTCCTCTCAATACTGCTTTAGCTGTATCAAAAAGATTCTGCTATGATGTATCATTGTTCTCATTAGTTTCAAAGAATGTCTTGATTCTTACCTTAATTTCATCATTTGTTCAGAAGTCTTTCAGGAGCAGGTTGTTTAATTTTTACGTAACTGTATGGTTTTAAGCAATCTTCTCAGTATTGATTTCTTTTGTGTGTGTGTGTGCTGTGGTCTGAGAATGTGGTTGATATGATTTCAGTTTTTTAAAATTTCCTGAGAATTATTTTATGGCCAATTGTGTGGCTGATTTTAGAGTATATGCCATGTGCAAATGAAAAGAATGTATATTCTTCTTTTTCCTTTTTTCATTTTTTGTATATTTTTTGGTAGAGAGTTCCTTAGATGTCTATGTTATGTTCATTTGGTTTAGTGTTGGGTTCAGGTCCTAAATATCTTTGTTAGTTTTCTGCCTCAATGATCTGTCTAATACTTTCAGTGGGGTGTTGAAGTCTACCACTATTATTATATTATTGTGTGGTTATCAAATCTCTGTGTAGGTCTCTAAGAATTTGTTTTATAAATCTGGGTGCTACTGTGTCGTATGAATATATATTTAAGATAGTTAAGGCTTCTTGTTAAATTGAATCCTTAACCATTACGTAATGTCCTTATTTGTCTTTTTTTTATTGTTGTTGGTTTAAAGTCTGTTTCATCTGAAATAGGAATAGCAATCCCTGCATTTCTTTGATTTTTTGTTAACTTTGTAGATATTTCTCCTTCCCTTTATTTTTAGCCTATGTGTGTCATTGCATGTGAGTTGGAGCTTTTGAAGACAACATAAAGTTTGGTCTTGCTTCTACAACCAAATTACTACTCTATGCCTTTTAAGTGGGTTTTTAGCCTATATAAATTTAAATTTCATTTTGATATGTGCAGCTTTGATCCTTTCATCAAGTTGATAGCATTTATTACATAGACTTTATTGTGTAGTTGGTTTATAGTATTAATAGTCTATGTACTTAACTATATTTTTGTGGTAGTTAGTAATGGTCTTTCACTTCCATATTTAACACTTCCTAAGGACCTTCTGTAAGGCAGGTCTGATAGTAACAAATTCCCTTAGCATTTGCTTTTCTGAAGATAATCTTATTTCTCCCTTGCTTACAAAGCTTAGTTTGGCTCGATCTGAAATTCTTGGTTAGAGTTTCTTTACTTTAAGCATGCTAAATATAGGCCCCCAGTCTCTTCTGGCTTGCATGGTTTTGGTTGAATGTTCTGCTGTTAGCCTGATTGGGTTCCCTTGGCAGATGACCCATCCCTTCTCTCTAGCTTCATTTAACATTTTTTCTTTCATGCTGACATTGAATGACTATGTGTCTTGGGGATGGTCATCTTGTACAGTATCTTGAAGAGGTCCTCTGCATTTCCTGAATTTGAATGTTGGCCTCTCTGGAAAGGTTGGAAAATATTTGTGTATAATATCCTCAAATATGTTTTTACAAGTTGCTTGCTTTCTCTCCCTCTCTTTCAGGAACATGAATGAGTTGTAAATTTAGTCTCTTTACATAATTCAATATTTCTCAGAGGTTTCATTAATTCTCTTGTATTCTTTTCTATTTATTTTTGTCTGACTGAGTTAATTTTGAGAACCAATCATTGAGCTCTGAAGTTCTTTTCTTAGTTGTTCTATTCTACTATTAATACTTGCACTTATATTCTGAAGTTCTTGCAGTATATTTTTCAGGTCTATCAGATCAGTTTTATTCTGTCTTAAAGTGACTATTTTGTTTTTCAGCTCCTGTATGGTTTTATTGTATTCTTTGAATTCCTTTCTAAGGATTGGGATTTGACTTTCTACTGAATCTTGATGATTTTCATTTTTATCTATATGCTGAATTCTGTATCTGTCATTTCAGCCATTTCAGCCTGCTTAAGAAACATTGCTGGAGCATTAATGTTTTTGACTAGAAGTAAGAGACGCTCTGACTTTTCAAGTTGCTGGAGTGCTTGCTCTGATTCTTTCTCATCTGTATGGGCTGATGTTCCTTTAATCTTTGCAGTTGCTGTCCTGTAGATGGAGTTTTTGCTTTTATTGTCTTTGATGCCCTTGGGGAATTTTATTGTGGTATAAGGTAGGTTCAGTTGACTGGCTTCAATTCTGGAAAATTTCAAGGGGCCAAGGCTCACTTTAGCACTCCTGGGCTGAGCATGTTCTCTGCTCCCTAAAGGTTAGAAATATCTTTTGCTAGAGGGGCCAAGGTGTGACCAGTCCACTAGCCCCAACACTCTCACGGGACAGGGGGAGGGGTGCTGTTAAAAGCACTTCATAGAGATGGCAGCAGCGGGAACCATGATCACTCACATGTGCCAGCAGTTGTAGAGGTTTGACAGGGTACACACATGTTGGTTGGGGCGGGACAACAGTGGGAGTGGGGCAGTGACATCCAGGAATGCATTTGTGCTGGTGGCAGCAGCACAGCAGAGTGCCTGTGCATTGTCAGGGGCAGGGCAATGGCAGGGTGGTGGTATCTTTGCTTGTGTTTACACTGGCAGTGGCTGCAGTGCAGCAGGGCAGGGGTTCCAGTGTTTGTGCATGCACTCATGCTAGCAGCAGCAACAGCAGCACGGTGGGCTGCCTGTTCCTGAGCAGGAGTGGAATGCTGGTGGGTGTGGGCAGGGCAGTCAGGTGCAATTGTGCTGGCAGTGGTGGGTTATGTGCATACATGCATATCATTAGAGGAGATGCAATATCTGCCAACACCCTGACACAGAAAAGTGGTGAGTGAGGGCCATGCGGAAGTGTAAACCAGCAAAACAGCAGGGGAAAGCTGTGGTGAGGGGAGGCTCTGGGTGGGTTGGTCATGTTGGCAGGCACCAGTCTGCTTGAGCTTTCCAATGCTAAGGTGAAGTCAGCCAGCAAAATTGCTATGATGAGAATCCCGGAAAGAATGGTGGTTGGGAGCCGGGCGCGGTGGCTACCTTCCGTAATTCTCAGCACTTTGGGAGGCCGAGGCGGGCAGATCACAAGGTCAAGAGATGAGACCATCCTGGCCAACATGGTGAAACCCCGTCCCTACTAAAAATACAAACATTAGCTGGACGTGGTCGCGCATGCCTGTAGTCCCAGCTACTCAGAGGCTGAGGCAGGAGAATTGCTTGAACCTGGGAGGCGGAAGTTGCAGTGAGCCGAGATCGCGCCACTGCACTCCAGCCTGGCAACAGAACAAAACTCCGTCAAAAAAAAAAAAGGTGGCTGGGCATCTGAGGCTGTGCTGCAAGCAGATATGGCCAGGCTGGAGCCCCAGAAGAGGTCAGATCAAACTTTCTTTGTCCCATGGGCAAGACCACCCTGTTCTGTTGATGCCCGGCAGTCATTCAAAGGCTAAAGCCACCTAGACGAGCCTGGTAAGCCTGGGGATATGGGCATTCTTGGCCGTGCTCCACTTCAGCAATTCCTACACCAAACTCTCTGGGCTTCACACATACGGGAGTCCTACCTATGCCAACTCTCTAAGCATCTGTCTGTGCTAGCTGAAGTGTCCATGGGGATTGTGGATTCTCCTGCAGCTAGGATTCTGGGGGTCCATGCTGAGCGCAGGCCACTCCTCATCTGAGCAGTCCAAGAGTGGGTTATGGTGGTCAACAGCCCCAGCCAGGATTCCCAGCTTCCTCCCCTTTCCGTACAGTGACTGTGTCTTACCTCTGTCCACTCTCAATGCCTTCCCCACAAAGATCTGCTCAGAATGTGCCAGTCTTCCTGAAGTCTCATCCTTTTGGTAAGAAATGATCCACCTGGCTGTGCCTGGTTAGCCATCTTGACTTCCCCCTATATTTTGAATGAGAAAAGGTTTCTAATAATTCAGAAAATTTTCCAGGGAAATACAATTTTTCCTGATACTGATGAGAATCAAGCACAAGTCTTTAGGCTTCAAATTCTACTCCTCTCCACTAATTTACATATCATCTAAAAGTGTGACCACAGGTAGTCCTGCAAAATGACTGTTTAGAAATAACCTCAGTTAGGTTATTTCTAACTGAGTGTCACAGAAAATGACAGAGTAGGAATTTCCAGGACTTGGTCCTGCCACCAAAATAACCATTTAACAGGAAAAAAAAAAAAAAAAGAAGACTATCATAATAAACTACTTGAGAACTCCGGAATCTAATTAGACACAGCAAGTGGGGAGTCCCTCATGAAAGAAAGCAGAGGCTGTTAAACTTTCATAAGGGAGCAGCTTGCTTGAATCAGGTATTTCCCCCTATTCTTTATCCTCCTAGCAAACATGGGATAGTTATCCTACTATGTCATCTGGTGTAAGGGTGGACAAGTAACCTTCTTTACTTCCAATAATTTAGAATTGTAAATTTTGGTCAGTCTGGTGTCCCTTAGGGGAAACAATGGAGACACTTGCCTACTTGCCTTTGTTTGAAACCCCTTAGGCCGCATTGAATTCCCAAGAGGCATCTATCCTAAGATTTAAAATGGCAAATATACCTTGTTTCGAAATCCAGATATTTAAGAAAATCTACTTCATATCACAGGCTGACTACTGAGATAATAGAACAAAAATTTCAGTGACCACATACAAGAAATTCAAACTTTGCGAAAATATTTTGAAAAAGTCACTATATCAGTGTATGAGTAAAGTCCTCAAAAAATAACAATGGCAATCTCTAAGGAGTGAGAGCATTGTGGCAGAAATGAAAAAAATGTAGAAAAATAAACAGTGTCTACGGGAACTGTGGGACACCGTCAAGCATACCAATATATGCATTAGAAGAGTCCCAGAGAAGACAGAGAGAAAGGGAAAAAATATTTTAGGAAGTAATAACCAAAAATTTTCCAAATCTGATAAAAACCATGAATATCCTTATAAGAAGCTCAGTAAATGCCAAACAGGATAAATTCAGAGATTTACATTACCATCAAATTACCAAAACCCTAAAACGAAGAGCTAGAGACCACACGGCAAAAAGAAATGACTCATCAGGTACAAAGTATGCTCCATAAAGTTAACAACTGATATTTTATCATAATCTCTGAGAATAGAAGCCTGTGGGATGGACTGTTTCAGCACTGGAAAAGAGCAAAAAACTGTCAACAAATAATTCAATATCTGGCCATATGATTCTTCAAGAATAAAAGGGAAATTAAGACATTCCAGATAAACAAGCTAAAGGAGTCTCTTAAACAAATTCTAAAGGAAGGTGTTCAGTATAAAATGAAACATGTTAGACAATAAATAAAAGACGTGAAGAAACAAAGAACACAGGTAAAGTTAATTATATAAGTAAATATAAAGCCAATATTATCATATGTTGGCTTGTGAATCCTCTTTTTTTATACAATTTAAAAGGAAAATATCCTAAACAATCATTATAAGTCTATGGTAATGTCCACTCACTGGAAAAATATGTACTCTGTGACAATAACAATATAAAACTGGAGGGACAGAGATGTGAAGGAAAAGAGTACTTGTATGCTATTAAAATGAAATTTGTATTATTCAAATGTGATTTTATTTATACGTTTAACATGTTGATTGTGCCTGTCAAGATAGCCACTAAGAAAATAAATTTTAGGCCAGGCGTGGTGGCTTATGCCTGTAATCCCAGCACTTTGGGAGGCCGAGGCAGGTGGATCACGAGGTCAGGAGTTGAACACCAGCCTGGCCAACATGGTGAAACCCCGTCTCTATGAAAAATACAAAAATTAGCCAGGTAAGGTGGCAGGTGCCTGTAATCCCAGCTACTCAGGAGGCTGAGGTAGGAGAATCGCTTCAACCAAGGGGACAGAGGTTGCAGTGAGCCGAGATTGTGCCACTGCACTCCAGCCTGGGCGACAGAGTGAAACTCTGTCTCAAAAAAAATGAATAAATAAAAATAAATTTTAAAGTACACATTTTTTTTTTTTTTGCTTCCCTGGGCCACATTGGAAGAAGAAAAATTGTCTTGGGACACATGTAAAATATACTAACCCTAATAGCTGATGAGCAAAAATGGAAAATCACAGAACATCTCATAATGGTTTAAGAAAGCTTATGAATTTGTGTTGGGCCACATTCAAAGCTCTCCTGGGCCACATGTGGCATATGGGCCCTTGGTTGGACAAGCCTGATGTACAGTAAAAGAAAGAAGAATGTGATGCAGGATTTTTGCTCCTTGAAGCTAGGTATGGGTTCTTGTCTCACAACCAGGACTAGTTAACTAAGATACTTGAGACCACCGAATGCAACACAGTGTCATTAAAAAAAAAAAAAGAAAAAAAAGAAAAAAAAAAAACAAAAAAACCCCAGCTTGGATGGCATCAACAACAGAAATTTATTTTCTCACAGTTCTAGAGGCTATAAGTCCAAGATCAAGGTGTCCTCAAGTTTGGCTTCTGAGACCTCTCTCCTTGGCTTTCAAATAGTCGCTTGCTTATTGTGTCCTCACATGGTGTTTTCTCTTTGTGGCTGTGCCCTTGGTGTCTCTCTATGCACCTCAGTCTCTTCTTATATGGTTACCAGTAAGGCTGGATTAGGACCTATCCTAAGGTAGGGTCCCTTTCACAGCACATGGGAATTCTGGGAGATGAAATTTGGGTGGGGAGACAGGCAAACAATATCATTCTGTCCTTGGCACCTCTGAATCTCATGTCCTCACATTTCAAAACCAATCATGCCTTCCCAACAGCCCCCCAAAGTCTTAACTCATTCAGCATTAACCCAAAAGTCCACATTCCAAAGTCTTATCTGAGACAAGGCAAGCACCTTCCACCTATGAGCCTGTAAAATCAAAAACAAGCTAGTTACTTCCTAGATACAAAAGGGGTACAGGTATTGGGTAAATACGGCCATTCCAAATCGGATAAATTGGCCATGACAAAGGGGTTACAGGGCCCATGCAAGTCTGAAATCTAGTGGGGCAGTCAAATTTTAAAGCTTCAAAGTGATCTCCTTTGACTCTAGGTCTCATATCCAGGTCACACTGTTCCAAGAGGTGGTTTCCCATGGTCTTGGGCAGCTCTGCCCCTGTGGCTTAGCAGGGTAAACCCTCCCTCCTGGCTGCTTTCACAGGCTGGTGTTGAGTGTCTGTGGCTTTTCCAAGTGCATGGTCCAAGCTGTTGGTGGGTCTACCATTCTGGGGTTTGGAGGATGGTGGCCCTCTTCTCACAGCTCTATTAGGCAATGCACCAGTAGGGGCTCTGTATAGGAACTCTGATCCCACATTTCCTTTCTTCACCCTAGCAGAGGTTCTCCATGAGGGCCCCATCCCTGCAGCAAACATTTGCCAAGGCACCCAGGCATTTCCATACATCTTCTGAAATCTAGATGGAGGTTCCCAAACCTCAATTCTTGACTTCTGTGCACCTGCAAGCTTAACACCATGTGGAAGCTCCCAAGACTTGGGACTTCCACCCTCTGAAGCCACAGCCCAAACTCTATGTTGACCCCTTTCAGCCACAGCTGGAGCAGCTGGGACACAGGGCACCAAGTCCCTAGACTGCGCTCAGCATAGGGACCATGTGCCCCACCCACAAAACCATTTTTTCCTCCTGGGCCTGTGATTTGAGGGGCTGCCATGAAGGTGTCTGACATGGCCTGGGGACATTTTCCCCATGGTCTTGGGAATTAATATTAGGCTCCTTGTTACTTATGCCAATTTCTGCAGCTGGCTTGAATTTCTCCCCAGAAAATGAGTTTTTCTTTTCTATCTCATAGTCAGGCTGCAAATTTTCTGAACTTTATGCTCTGTTTCCCTTTTAAAACTGAATGCCTTTAATAGTACCCAAACTACCTTTTCAATGCTTTGCTGCTTAGAAATTTCTTCTGCCAGATACCCTAAATCATTTCTTTCAAGTTCAAAGTTTCATTAATCTCTAGGGCAGAAGCAAAATGCCGCTATCTAGTCTCTTTGCCAAAACATAACAAGAGTCACATTTGCTCTAGTTCCCAACAAGTTCTTATCTCCATCTGAGATCACCTCAGCCTCGACCTTATTGTTCACATCACTATCAGCAATTTTGTTGAAGCCATTCAACAAGTCTCTAGGAGGTTCCAAACTTTCCCACATTTTCCTGTCTTCTTCGGAGCTCTCTCAAGTGTTCCAACATCTGCCTGTTATCCAGTTGCAAAGCTGCTTCCACATTTTCGGGTATCTTTTCAGCAATGCCCCACTCTTCTGGTACCAATTTACTGTATTACTCTGTTTCCACATTGCTGATAAAGACATATCCAAGACTGGGAAGAAAAATAGGTTTAATTGGACTTAGAGTTCCACGTGGCTGGGTAGACCTCAGAACCATGGTGGGAGGCAAAGGCACTTCTTACGTGGTGGTGGCAAGAGAAAATGAGAAGGAAGCAAAGGTGGAAACCCTTGATAAACCCATCAGATCTCATGAGACTTATTCACTATAACAAGAATAGCACAGGAAAGACTGGCCCCCATGATTCCATTACCTCCCCCTGGATGCCTCCCACAACATGTAGGAATTCTGGGAGATACAATTCAAATTGAGGTTTGGATGGAGATACAGTCAAACCATATCCATACCATAGTGTTTTTGTCACGATAGCGCTGTAGTGTAAATTGAAGTCAGGTAATGTGATTCCTCTACTTTTGTTGTTTTTTCTCAGGATGGCTTTGGCTATTCTTGTTATTTATGGTTACATATAAATTTTAGAATTTTTTTCTATTTGTGTAAAGAATGTCGTTGGTATTTTGATAGGGATTGCATTAAATCTGTAGATTGCTTTGAGTAGTAGGGACATTTAAAAAATATTGATTCTTTTAGTTTATGAACAAGGAACATCTTTTCGTTTTTTAATGTCCTCTTCAATCTCTTACATCAATGTTTTTTAGTTGTCATTATAGCTATCTCTCACTTCTTTGGTTAAGTTTATTCCTATTTTATTTCACTTATGGTTATTGTAAATGTGATTTTTTAAATTTTGTTTTCACATTGTTCACTGCTGACATGTAAAAATGTTACTGATTTTTCTATGTTGATTTTGTCTCCTACAACTGACTGAATTTGTTTATTAGTTCCAAGTTTTAGTTTTTGTGGTGGAGTCTTTAGGTTTTTCCAATATAAGATTGTATTGATAGATGCAGAAGGCAGATAAGAGGGAGAGTTCCCCAGAGAATCTTCAACTCACCTGCACACTGGAAAAATTGGGTGGAGCCAGAAGAATTTTGTGCCTTGTGCAGTGGGGATGGGCCTGGTCTCTTCAGCTTGGGTGTAGTGGCCTGGAATTCAATCTGTGAGGTGGGAGCCCATTGGCAATAACCCCTTTCACTTTCCTGAGAGTTTTTTATTTGTTTTCTTTTTTCCTAATAAATTCCACTCTACTCACCCTTCAATGTGTTCCCATTCCTAATCCTTCCTGGTTGTATGACAAGAATCGAGTTTTAGCTGAACTAAGGAGCAAATATTCTGCAACATTTTGGTGGCTTATGCAGGGGTATGAGAAAGAGTGAGTAAGATGCAAACCAAAAAAGCTTTTTCCCTTTCGCGTCTAAGACTTTTTGTCCTCAGACTTCTGAGGGTAAAGGAAATTGTGCCTCACTGCTCCCCTCCCTGTCAGTCCAGGGGTCAAGAATGTCAGCCTTTTTCTTTTCTTTTGGGACAGACAAGCAAATGGCTCCTCACCCCCAACCCCTTTTAGGCAAGGCTGGGGCACATGGCCCAAAGGCGCTGCATGGCAGACTGGCCAGCATTTCAAGCCATGCATCCACAGAGTCTTCCTCTCCCTCAGCTAAAGGGTCCAGCTCAGTCAGGCAGCGATTAAGTTTATCACTCTGTTGAAACAATCCGTTTATATAAGAATAAGACCTGTAACCACCTGGCAATGCTTTGGTTTAGCCTTTGTCATTTTACAGTGGCAGCTAGGGTTCACTTCTGGCTTAAGAAATTAGTCCTTTCTGGTTTGATATCTGCATGACCTTTTGCCATTTGTTGTTTATCTTCTCCTCCAAAAACTGCCTTGGTTTTTCCTTTCTCTGAGCCTTTAGTCATGTTTGAAAACCAGAAATATTGCAGCTAAAGTTGGATAACAAGGAATTTAAAAGGATTTCCTTAAAGAGCACACATCTTAATTAAAAGTGGATATCCAAGTTACAGGTATATTTAAAAGGCCTTTATGTTTTTTCTCTTCTTGGATCTTGTTTTGCTGGAAAAGTTTTTTTTCTCAGTTGACTTAATTATTTTTCTCCATTTTGACTTGACACTCTTAATGCACACATGAGAGGCTCTAAGATAACTTCTGTGGTCATGGGACTCTTTGGAATAAATAGAGAAGGTGCCACTGGTCCCGTTTTGGGAAGAAATCTGTTTTCTTCATGGAATCCCAGGAATTAAAATTGGATAGATCCATTTCAAAATCTGTTTTTGTCTCACAGTTATGCCTGTTTATTAGGCCCTAGAAACTACATGTTTTCCTCGGCCTGCCTCTTAAAGGGTTCCTCATGGAGGCCAATAATCCAATTAGGAGATTGGCCCATGAAAAATCATATAGCTACTGGGTCTTCTCTTGCCTGTGTAGTTATATGTGTGTTGTGTGATGATGTCTATAAAAAAAGGAGCTCTAATTAACTAGCCTAAAGGAAGATAAGTGATTGGATCAAATATTTTTTAAAACAGAGACAAAAGCTGTGGTACCTTTTAGCTCCTGTGACTTTAATATTTGAGAAATAAAAACAGCCTTAAATATTATTGGTGAAATGCAGATGTTGTCAAAATGTAAATAGGTAAACTAAATTATGCATGTCAGATAATAGGTTTGCAAAATGTTATAAGGTTATAAATTGCTTTTTATGTTTTTGAGAAATGTTTGACTTGCCTGCTTCACAATTGGAAAGGCTTGGGACATATGGAATTAACAGCACCCTTAATTATGCACCCTTAATTATGAGTCAAACCTTGGCTGCAATGCGCACATAATTTAAACAACTTACCAAGTTTGACATTAAAGTTAAAAATTGCTAGGAGTTACCACATAACATGTAATTGGGACTACTAAAAATAGATTTACATGTGAGGTATGTAAGAACATTAAAATGTGTTTTTAATTAAAGATTATAAGTAGGCATAGAAATGTAAATTGTTGCATAGGGTTAAAAATCATTTTGAAATAGATAGGATAAAGCTAAAAGTTCAAACAAGTTGTGGAAGGATTGTAAAAGTTAATCTAGCAAAGGAAATTCCATGTGTTAATATTCTGACTAAATTCAAAAAGGTATAATATGGTTTTTCTGTAAAGTGAGCACTGAAATAAAAACACAAGGTACTCTTTTGTTTTTTTTTTTTTTGAGGTGGAGTCTCGCTCTGTTGCCCAAGCTGGAGTGCAGTGGCGCCATCACGGCTCACTGCAAGCTCCGCCTCCCGGGTTCACGCCATTCTCCTGCCTCAGCCTTCCGAGTAGCTGGGACTACAGGTGCCAGCCACCATGCACAGCTAATTTTTTGTATCTTTAGTAGAGACGGGGTTTCACCGTGTTAGCCAGGATGGTCTGGATCTCCTGA
Organism: Homo sapiens; assembly: GCF_000001405.40. Taxonomy (NCBI): domain Eukaryota; kingdom Metazoa; phylum Chordata; class Mammalia; order Primates; family Hominidae; genus Homo; species Homo sapiens. Next base: position 11,305,360 of record NC_000009.12, read on the forward strand.
CCTCGTGATCCGCTGTCATCAGCCTCCCAAAGTGCTGGGATTACAGGCGTGAGCCACCAACAACAAGGTACTCTTAAGACAGTAATTTTCTCTTTAGCAAAATGTGTAAAGGTAAAAAGATTTATGTTTTTTAAAAATTTCTGAGTCATCATTTTGGCAAAATAAATAACTTATGGTAATCTGGAATTCTATCTTATAATATACAGTGTTTTAAATCTCGGACATTTAACAGGCTTCCCAAAATCAAACTTCAGTTTCAAAATTGTTTTTCTTTATGCCTGATGTTTGGATGCTACAGAGGGCCCCTGGAGCATCCATAAAAAATGTAAACAGGATTATTTGACATATTGATTATTTGACATACATGATATTGCCAAAGTGATGTTTAATCTTCTTCAGGTTATATTTTAGGAAATAATATTAATATATGCTCCAAAATTGTATGGAATTTCTGTAATTCTAATGCCTGAGTTTATGTTTCCAATCATAATTAAGGTTATTATGTTAAGTTATTATAAACCACAGAGATAACCAAATATCTTTGTCAATCATATTTTTGAGTGTAACTACCCTGAATATTTTGTTATTCACATACAATTGTCTTGTCTACATCTTCTTCAAAAGATGTTTTATAATCAGGTATAGAACTTTGACAGGTGCTCTCAAATGCAGGTTTCTGATAACTTTGGACATTGTAACATTGGAATAAAGGGAAAATGTACAGGACTCATGAAGAGCTGAAATGTTTATGAACATCAAGCAAAACAAGAGTTGGGCTGGGCGCGGTGACTCACACCTGTAATCCCAGCACTTTGGGAGGCTGAGGTGGGAGGATTACCTGAGATCAGGAGTTCGAGACTAGCCTGACCAACATGGAGAAACTCCATCTCTACTAAAACTATAAAAAAAATTAGCCAGGTGTGGTGGCCCATGCTTGTAATCCCAGCTACTTGGGAGGCTGAGGCAGGAGAGTCGCTGGAACCCAGGAGGCGGAGGTTGTGGTGAGCCGAGATCGCACCATTGCACTCCAGCCTGGGCAACAAGAGCAAAACTCTGTCTCAAAATAAAATAAATAAATAAATAAATAAATAAATAAGAGTTATCTGAATGGACTGAACAAATAGAAAACTGAAGCAATCTTTTCACTTTTGCTTAGAACATTGCTGATCCTTGTTTTGTTTTCCAGAGTCAAGGAAACTTATTTTGAGCTATTTATGGCCTTTAATATTTGAGTGAGTATACTCCCATGAACAACATTTGGAGCATAGTTGTCTCTCTCTCTCTGCTGGGCTTCTCTGGAATTTGGAAACTAGTTGTGAGTGCTATTAACTTATGGCAACAGGATGCAATTGGAGAAATAGATTATTTTACTAAAGTTTTGATTAGAAGGTTATGCTTCCCTTTAAGAAGACAAGCTTGACTTGCAGAGCCAATAAAAACCCCTTGGGAAGACTGGCCTCATACCTTGTCTACACAGTCCCTGTACAGGGTTCTTAACTTGTAGTGAGTAAATAATGTCACTTTCAAACAGGCCCAGGAACCTTATGGTCTTTGGACCTCAAGAAGAGAGAACTTTAGCCAACTCACAGGTATTTGAGGGTACAAACCCATAACTGGGCTCAGCTTTAAAAGGTCTTATCTGAGATTCTTTGTGGAACAGACTTCCATCAAAGCCAATCTAAAAGGCCCATGTAGAGATAATTATTTGTCCTGCAATTTATGCAAATAATCAGGCGAAGTGTAAGACTAAAGTCTATTTTTCCAATAACTCAATACTATGATGATTTGTTTTTAACAGAAATGAAGACTGGAGAGAGAGAAATTATGCTACAAATCTTATACATTTGTCATTAAATTCTAGACTCATTGGTTGTTTTTAAGTTCTTGCCTACAGTTTAAACTAACTCTGCTTATCCCTGTGAACCATCCAGTGATCTCCAACAGCAGCTTATAAGGAATAAAAAATGATGGGTAATGTAAAAATTGAGATCAATATTCTAGTTCTGAGCAATTATCTGCAAATCCTGTCTAGTGATGGGTCTAAATAGGATGCCCATCACCTGGAGGTTTCCTTTTTAGGAAAGTAAGACCAAGGGAGCTAGTCAAAGCCAAGCCCCATGCACCCAAATCTTAGCAAGCATAATTATAGTCACCAGTCATCTGCACATGTCACAGGACATCCTTTTCTCTCCCTTGTTGGAGGAGAACTGAATTCCCCAGCTTCATCTTAGCATTCAGCTTATAATAAAGAGTCCATGCAACCCCCTCCCTGAGACATGTTTTTGGTCCCAAACTCAATTCCAAGTTTCAGGTGGAAGCCCTAGGAAAGAGAACTGGATCAGAGGGATCCATAGGCAGATGATAATGGAAGTTAAAAGGCATAGTGCAGGTGAGCATGACTAATTTTTGCTCATTAAGCCAAGCTTCCCATTTCATGGATAAAGGTCATGCTAATATCCATGGCATAAATGAGGTCTAGGGAATTCAAAGGCTACTGACTGCAGGGGAGTTAGGGGATATGTTGGCATATCTGAGTATGGCCCTTCTGTTAACATGGGTGAAAGCCACTTTAACACCCATGGGCTGCACCCTATTATTGTCGCTTAGACTCGAGTATATAAGAATGAAAGAAAGAAAGAGGAATGCCTCACTTTCTCTCCATACATACCCCAGGTATTTGCTAGAAAAATAAGGAAACCTGGAAAGCATTACTTCCCTTTTTCTAGATTAGTAGCCATTCATATTCAGTTTGTACTTCTTTCAAATGCATCCTGAACCCCTCAGACTCCTTTGAAAAAAATGCCTCCTTTCTCCTTCTTCCTCCTCTGTCCTTTCCTCACTGATATGCTATTGTGTCTCTGTACTGTGGGACACTCCCCTCCAAACTGGAAAAAGTTAATTTCTCGGTTGGCTTAGGATTGGGCTCAGGGAAAGAAAACCCAGAAGCCCAACATGCCAACAAAAGGGTTAAAGTTTTTGTTTGTTTGTTTTATTTTTTTGCTCTGTTTTTTTTTTTTTTTTCTTTGCCAGTTAGGCTTTTGGCCTCCTTCTCCCTGTGAAAACTGGTGAAAGTCCTTGGGATTTTTGGGCTGTCTTTACTCCTCCTCCACTCATTTCATTTTTATACATGTCTTCAAATAACCCAGTTTGTCTCTCCTTGCATTCAGGCTTTTGAACTCCAAATGATCATGCAACAGGGCCTCAGATGAGGGCCCCTTTTGCCATGGACATTTGGATAGGCCACTGAGGGAGATCTGACTGCCTTTTTCCCAAAACAGCAGCCACTATTGGCAGGAAGCAGTTAAGATCAGTCTTTGCCCTTATCCTTATTTTTATTCTAATGGCAGTTAGATGTACTTTTTTAGGTGGAGGGATGATAAATGCAGGAGGCAGATAAGGGGGAGGGTGCTTGGAAAATCTCCAACCCTCCTGCACACTGGCAAAATGGGGTAAAACCATGGAAATTTCATGCCTTGTGCGTGGGGAAGAGCCTGGCCTCTTCAGCTCACGTGTTGTGGTCTGGAATTCGTGGAGTGGGAGCCCATTGGCAGGAACCCTTCTCGCTTTGCTGAGAGGTTTTCTTTTTTTCTCAATAAATTTTGCTCCACTCACCCTTCAATGTTTCCTCATTCCTAATCCTTCCTGGTCATGTGACAAGAACCCGTTTTTAGCTTAACTAAGAAGCAAACATTCTGCAAAAGTATCATCTGCAAGCAAGAATAATTTGACTTTTTTTCTTTCCAATTCATATGCCTTTTTTTTCTCTTATCTGATTTCTCTAGCTAGGAATTCCAGTAGTATGTTTAATCATGATGGAAGTGAGAATCCTTGTCATAGTCCAGACTCTAGAGAAAAGGCTTTAAGAGTTTATTTATTCAGTATAATACTACCAGTGAGTCTGTCATATATGGCTTTTATTGTGTAGAGGTATGTTCCTTCTATATCCGGTTTTTTGATGATTTTTATCATGAATAAATGCTGTTGAATTTTATCAAATGCTATTACAGCCTCAATTGAAATGACATATGAGGTTTGTCCTTCATTCTGTTGATAAAATGTATCACATTCACTGATTTACATATGTTGAGCCATCCTTGCATCCCTGAGATAAATCACACTTGGTCACGATGAATTATCTTTGTAATGTGTTGTTGAATTTGGTTTGCTAGAATTTTGTTGAGAATTTTTGCATCAATGTTCATCAGACATTTTGACCTGTAGATTCCTTTTTTTGACATGTCTGTCTGGTTTTTGTATTAAGGTAAAACTGGCCTCAAAGAATGAGTGAAATATTTCCTCCTTCTGTATTTTTTGGAATAATTTGAGTAGAATCAGTATTGGTTCTTTAGATGTTTGGTAAGATTCAGCAGTGAAGCCATTGGGTTCACTTTTCTTTCCTGGGAGACTCTTTAGTACTGTTTCAATCTTATTATTTGTTATTGGCCTATCCATGTTTTGGATTTCTTCATGATTCAATACTGGTACGCTTTATATGTCTAGAAACTCATCTGTTTCTTCTAGTATTTCCAATTTATTGGCATATAGTTGTTTACAGTACTCTCTAATGTTGCTTTTAATTTCTTTGGTGTCTGCTGTAATATTTTTTTACTTCATATTCTGTTTATTTTCTCTTTTATTTTTAGTCTGGTTGTAAGTCTGTTGATTTTATGTATCTTTTTAAATACTTGGCATCATTAATTTTCAGAGAAATGTAAGTCAAAACTACAATGAGATATCATCTTAGACCAATCAGCATGGGTATTTGCAGAAAGTCAAAAGACAACAGATCCTGGCATGGCTGTGGAGAAAACAGAAGGCTTAGGCCCTGTTGATGAGCATGTAAATTAGTTCAACTACTGTGGAAAGGAGTTTAAAGATTTTTCAAAGAATTTATAGCAGAGCTACCATTTGACCCAGCAATCTCATAACTGGGTATATATCCAAATGAAAATAAATAGTTCTACCAAAAAGACACATGCACTTGTTTGTTCTTTACAGTACTATTCACAAGAGCAAAGATATGGAATCAACCTAGGTGCCCATCAGTGGTGGATGGATAAAATAAATGGTACATATATACCATGAAATATACCATGGAATACTACACAGCCATGTAAAAATTATCATATCATGTCCTTTGCAGCAACATGGATGCAGCTGAAGGACATTCTAAGAAAACTAATGCAGGAACAGAAAACCAAAACTGCATATTCCCATTTATAAATGAGAGATATGCCAGGCACAGTGGCTCACACCTGTAATCCCAGCGCTTTGGGAGGCCGAGGCAAGTGGATCATCTTAGGTCTGGAGGTCAAGACCAGCCTGGCCAACATGGTGAAACCCTGTCTCTACTAAAAGTACAAAATTAGCCTGGTTTGGTGGCAGGCGCCTTTAATCCCAGCTGCTCAGGAGGCTGAGGTAGGAGAATCACTTGAACCCGGGAGGCGGAGGTTGTAGTGAGCTGAGATTGCACCATTGCACTCCAGCCTGGGTGACACAGCAAGACTCCATCTCAAAAAAATAAATAAATAAATAAAAATAAGAAACAAAATAAATAAAAGTGAGCTAAACACTGGGGACTCATGGGCATAAACCTGGCAAATACAGATAGTGGGGATTACCAGAGCAGGGAGGAATAGAGCGGGGCAAGTGTTGAAAAACTATTGGCTCTTATGCTCAGTATCTGCTTGACAGGATCAGTTGTACTCCAAACCTCAGCATTATGCAACATACTCAGCTAACAAATCTGCGTGTGTACCCCCCAACTCTTAAATTTGCTTTTATGAAGCTGTTTTCTAGATCCTGTAGGTGTTGTTTATTTTTTTAAATTATTTGTTCTCTAGATTCTTCTGCCCATGTATTTTCGGATAGCCTCTTTTCAAGCTTATTATTTTTTTCTTCTGCTTGAAAGTATCGTTGTGCTGCTGAGAGACTCTGATGCATTATTCAATACATGAATTGAGTGTTTTAGCTCCAGAATTTCTGCTCTATTTCTTAAAAAATCATTTAAAAATCTGTTAAATTTATTTGATAGGATTATTAAATTTTGTCCCTGTTTTACCTCAAATTTCATTTAGCTTTCTCAGAAACAGCTATTTTTTATTCTCCCTCTGAAAGGTCACATATCTCTGTCACTCCAGAATTGGGTACTGGTGTCTTACTTAGTTTGTTTTGTGATGCTGTAATTTCCTGAATGGTCTTCGTGCTTTTGGATGTCTTTCAATATCTGGGCATTAAAAAATTAAGCATTTATTCTCATTCTTGCAGTTTGGACTTATTTGCATTTATCCTCCTTAAGAAGGCTTTCCAAGTATTCAAAAGGAATTGAGTGTTGTGGTCTAAGTCTTTGGTCACTACAGCCATATCTGCATACAGGGTACCCCAAACCCAGTAATGCTGTAACTCTTGCAGAAGCAGCACTTTGGTGCTCCTGAGTAAGATTCAGGAGAATTCCCTGGATTACCAGGCAGAGTCTTTTTTTCTTTTCCCTTACTTTCCCTCAAACAAACAGAGTCTGTCTCTCCATGCTGAACTGCCTGCTGTTGGGGAAAGGTGATACAGGCACTCCCATTGCCACCACCACTGGGACAGTGCTGGATCACAACTGAAGCCAACATGGTATTAAGTCTCTCACAAGGCCCATAGCAGCTAATACCTGGGTGCCACCAATGTCCAGGCCCAAGAGCTCTTTGGCAGCAGGTGATGCATCCTGCCAGAGCTGTATCTCTCTATTCAGGGCAAGCAGGTTCTCTTTTGGCCCAGGGTGTATTTAGAAATGTTGTCTGGGAACTGTGTCCTGGAATTGGGAACTTTAGGAATATACTTGGTGCTTTACTTTACTATGACTGAGCTGGTACCCAAATTGTAAGACAAATACTTTTTTTTTTTTTAACTCTTTTCTTTCTTTTCCTCAAACAGAAGGAGTTCCTCCCAATGGAGAACTCCAGTGTTATCCAGGTAGTAGTTGCCAACTCTCAGTGGTAGCCAGGGAGTAGTTGTAGTAGTTGCTAACTCCCAGTGGCAGCCAGGGAGTAGCAGTAGTTTAGAAACTCCCCAGGCCTGCCAGTGGCAACTACTACCTGGCTACCACTGATGTTTATTCAGGGCCCAAGGACTCTTGAATCAGCAGGTGGTGAATCCTGTGAGGGCTGGTCTCTGCGTTCATGGCAATGGGTTCCCTTCTGGCCTAAGCTATGTCTGGAAATTCTATTCAGAAGTTAAGGTCTGGAATTAGGGACTTTAGGAGCCTGCTCAGTGTTTTATTTTCCTGTGTCTAAGTTGGCACCCAAGTTGCAAGACAAAGTCCTTTATATTCTTCTCTCTTCTTTCTTCAAAAAGAAGGAGTTTCACCCTGTGGCCACCACAGCTGAGAATGTGCTGGGTCAAACCTAAAGCCCGCACAGTACTGAGTCTCACACAAGGCCCATGGCAACTACTACCTGGCTGTTAACTGATGTTTATTCAAGGCCCAATAGCTCTTCTGTCAGCAAGTGATGAATCCTGCCAGAACTGAATCTTTCCCTTCATGTCATCGGGTTCCTTTCTGGCCCAGCATGAGTCTAGAAATATTATTCAGGAGCTAAGGCCTAGAATAGAGGCTTTAAGACTCTTCTTGGTGCTTCATTTTACTGTGGATGAGCTTTTATCCACGTTCCAAGACAAAGTCCTTTTTACAATTCCCTCTCCTTTCTTCTAGTAGAGGGAAAGTGTCTCTCCTGGAGTTGTGAGTTTCACTGTCCAGAACTGGGGGAGGGGTGGCACAGCACTTCCTTGGACATCTCAGCTGTTGTCTTACTAGGTCATGTGCTCCCCAAGTCCACTGGCTCTGAGCCAAGGACAGCACCAGGACTTGTCCAGGAATTGCAGTCCTTGTGGCCTAGACTGCCTTTTAAGATTATTTAGAATCACAGAGCACTTTAGCCCACAGTGGTGAAGCTAGCTGGAATTCAAGTTCTGCCCACTGGGAAGGACGATTCCTCTCTGTGTAGGCCTGGTGTAAATGTTCCCTCCTTGGGCACTGGATGAATTCTGCTCTATGCTGCTTTTTACTGTGACAGTGCAACACTGAATTCCAATGCAAAGTCACACAGTGATTTTTCTTTTCATTCCCCAAGTATTCAGATTCTCTCTTCATGCCATGTGGTGGCTGCCAGAGAGAAAAGTGGTGTCAGCAATTCAAGACTGTGTTTCCTTACTCTCTTCAGTGTCTCCTTCCTTGATATGATGCTAAAACCAGGTACTATAATTACTCACCTGATTTTTGGTTCTTATGAAGGTGCTTTCTTGTGTGTATAGTTGTTAAATTTAGTGTTCTGGGGCAGGAGGGTAATTCCTAAAGAGTTCTATTTGGGTATCTTGCTCCACCCCCTCTCTCTCTGAAATTTTTATAGCTATTATATTTCTTTTGCTTTTTTAATACAATTTTTTAAATGAACTTGTCAGTATCTACCAAAATAAAACCCTCGTGTATTTTGATTGGATTATACTGAATCTATATTATAAATATTCAGAGAGTTGATATTTTAAATATAATATATCTTCTAATTCCAACATATGGCATAAATTCATTTATTTAGGAACATTTTGATTTTCTTCATTAGTATTTGTTAGTTTTGAGCAGTATCTTGCATGTATTTTCTTAGCTTAAAATCTACATATTTCAAGTTTTTTTTGTACCATTTTAAGTAGTACTGTCTTTATAAATTGAAAAAAAAGTTCAACTAGTCGTTGCTAGTATATATAAATGCTATTTATTTTATTATACTGAACTTTTATCCTCCTACATTTATAAACTGACTTATTTGTTTTAAGATTTTTTTTATTTCTTTGGATTTACTATGTGTACAATTGCTTAGTCTATGTATACTGAAAATTTACACATTATAAACTGACTTATTTGTTTTAAGATATTTTTTGATTCCTTCGGATTTACTGTGTGTACAATTGCTTAGTCTATGTATATTGAAAATTTTATATCTTCCTTCCAAAGCAGAATGTCTTTTATTTCTGCTCTATGTCAAATTGGACTAGCCATGACTTCCAGTATAATTCTGAATAAGAGTTATAATCAGAAAAATCCTTTCCTTATTTCTGATTTTAGGGGGAAAACATTCAGTATTTACCATTATATATAGTATTTTCTGTAAGTTTTGTATAGATAGCATTTATAAGGTTTAGGAATAATCTTTCAAGTATTAGTATATTAAGTTTTTCATCAGGAATGGATGTTAAATTTTGTTGAATACTGTTTCTGCATCTGTTCAGAGGCACATGCAATTTTTATTCTTAGAGTCTTTAGATTTTTGAATGTTAAATCATTTCAATTGTATTTATCCTTGCTTTCCCAGGATAAATACCATTTGGTAATGACGCAGTAATATTTTCATATGTTCCTTCTTTGGGGTTGCTAATATTTTCTTTAAAAATTGTTTCTATATTAATTAGAAATATTGGTCTAAATCTTCGTTTTCCTATAATATGTTCTCTAGTTTTATTGTGTGGATTGTATTGGTCTTATAAAAAGTTTCAGAAAGCTCCCTTCCTCCTCTATTTTGTGAGATTATGTAAATGAATATTATTTCTTCTGTACATACTTTCCAAAATTTTTCTGTGAATCTACCTAGGCCTGAAGATTTTTTGTTGTTATTGCAATGTTTTAATTGCAAATTTAATTTCTTTTGTGGATATATTATTGGTGTGCTTAATTATTTATAAATTTTGATAAATAGCATCTTTCAAACAATGTGTTCAATCATAAGTTGTCATATTTATGGACAGAGATTTACTTGAGAAATGCCATTATTTTATTTTTTATTTATATTGGGCCAGCAGTGATATTTTTCTTTCATTACCTTGGTACTTTCTGTTCTCTTCTTTTCTCTCTCTCTATATATATTTGTTCTTGGTCATTTGGGAAAAAGCTGTCAATTTTATTGATTCTTTTACTGTAAACCAGATTTTTCTTTAGCTGGTTTTCTCTGTTGTTTTTCTTTTGTTCAATTTCATTTATATTTTTTATCTTGATACTTTTTTCCTTATTAATTTTGTTTTAATTTTCCATATTTTTTATTGTCTTAAGATAGAAGATTAGATTCTTGATTTAAGACATTTCTTTTTTTCTAATATAATAATGTAATGCTGCTATGGGCTGAATGTGTCTCCCCCAGAATTCATTTATTGAAACTGTAAACCCCAATTTAATGGTATTTGGATATGCAGCCCCTGGGAAATAATTAGGTCATGAAGGTTGGGCCCTCATGACAAGTTTAATGTGTTTAGATAAATAAACACTAGAGAGCTGAAGTTTTCTCTCTCTACTCTTTGCTATATGAAGATACAACAAGAAGATGGCTATTTGACAAGCAGAAAGATGATTCTCATCCAAACTCCACCACACTGCTACCCTGATCTCTTGACTTCCCAGCCTCTACCATTATGACAAATAAATTTCTGTTAAGTAACCCAAGCTATGGTTTTTTTACTGTAGCATCTAGTACTGACTTACACAAATGGTATAGAGTTTCTTCCTAGCACTGCCTTGGTAACATACCACAAATTTTTATACGATGTGCTTTCATTGTGTCCAGCTCAAAATATTTTCTAACTTCTAAATTAAGTTAGAAATTTTGACCAATGCATTATTTGACCAATGTATTATTCAAAGATCTGTTGTATTTTTTCCAAATAATTTGTGATTTTCTAGATGTCATTATTTACTGATTTCTAGTTTAATTCAATTATGCTCAGACAATAGACTTTATATGATTTCAATATTTTAAGCTAGATTTATAGGATTTTTTCAGATATGTATATATATTATGACAAACTGTTTTTGATGTTCACAAGGCAGCATAGATCAGCAGCTGATAAAGTGAACTTGGAACTCAAGAGAGAGGTTATAGAGACATGTTCAACTTTGGGACAAGAAGAAAGAGTTAATAACAGGTTTAAAATGCATTCAGAGGAGAATCTAATGTGGAATCAAGAAAAGCTTAAGAAATCCTACCTTTGACCATATTGGAATAAGAGAACTGGATGTATCTATCTACTTGAAACAAATAGAGAATAATAAAAACATAATTAGTTTTTAAAAGCTGGGAATTATTAAACAAAACATAATGACCCTGACAGATGCAACATATATGAGCTGAAACCTATAACTGCAACAATTTCATTCCCTGAGAGATTTTTCAAGCCACAATGCAATGAAAGGGAGCTTGGGCAAGTGAAGCAGATAAACTGAAAAAGGGTTAGACATCTAAGAGACAATGAAAGAGAAAGTAGCTAGAGTTTATAGATCAGGGTAGAAGAAAGGAGGGCTGCAGAGACAGAACTCAGGAGATAAACAAAGGATGTCCCTAGAATATTCATAAAAATATTAATAAGCACATGCATGTGGTGACAAAAGTATCTATGGCCAAGAAGAAAATCACACAAAATAAGAGGAAATGGTACCTGATTACTGACACAGAATTTCTAAAAATATATTTATTATTATTTTAAAATTTTTATTCCTGTTTGCTTCTTTCTACCAAACATTCTGGAAAACCTATAATTCACAGGCTATTGGGAAGAATATTTAAAAGAGAACAGTTAGCTCCAGACTAAACAATAACTATTGTCCTGTCTGAAAAATATGTTAAGCAAAACCTTATTGGATAAAAGTGTTCTAGAACAAAAGTGTTCAAAGATAAGTCCAGAAATACAAAATCATCCCACACTCAACAAGGTAAAAAACACAATGTTGGGCATCCAATCAAACAGTGCTAGGTTTGCAGAGAAGCAAGATTGTATGACCCATTGTTGCAAGAAAAATCAATCAGTTGACACAGATTCACAACTGACACAGTTACTAGACTTAGCCAACAAGGATATTTAGAAAGAGTTATTATAACTTGAGAATACATATATTCAAACATCTAAGGATGAAAATCACAACGACTGAGGAAAAAAAACTGGATGAGTTGATAAGAGATTAGACATTACAAAATAAAATATTAGTAAATGCAAAATTATAGAAATATCAGCTAAGACAAAATAAAGTTAAAAATATACATCTTTATATATAACATAAATATATATTTCTGTATATTATATAACTCCTATAATATGTAATAAAAACTATATGTACACAAAACATTAGTGAACCACGGAACAACTTTATGCATCCTTGTAACTGAAGTCTCCAAACTGGAGTGAAAGAGTAGGGAGAAATACTTAAAGAAATGACAACTGAATTTTTCTGGATCCAAGAAACTCAAAGAATCCAAAGCACAAAAATCATGAAGAAACTGCACGAAGAAATACTTCAATCTAATCATCCCATTGAGTATAGCTGACTTTAGAGACTCACTTCTAACAGACAATGAAAATAGAAACAAATAGTAAGTTTACAGTAGAGAAACGTAACAGATATTACCTTACTCAATGATTAAGGTAAACATTATCATTGATGAATCATTTTCCCAGTATTCTCTGATATGATATGATAAGAAAGGCACATAATCTCTGGAGTATACCTCCCTAAAATTCATAACCTTATTCTATTCATAAAAAAAACAGACACACTCATATTCAGCAAAGGAACTTAGCAGTATTCTTCAAAATGTCAGTCATGAAAGAGAAAGAAAGACTTTGAAACTGTTGAGAGGTTGAGGAGACAGGTGATATGACCACTATAGGAAAGTGATGTCCTACATTGTATCTTGGGAGGAAAAAAGGACATTAGTAGAAACACTAGGGAAGTATGAATAAAGTCTGTGGTTTAGCTAATTGTATTGCACCATTGTTAATATCTTAGGTTTGATAAATATACCATGATTATGTAACTGTTAAAATTAGGAGAAACTGGGTGAAGGGTATATGAATAGCACCTGTACTATCTTTGCAACTCTTCTTTAAAGAAATTCAAATTCATTTCAAAATATAAACTTAAATAGATACTATTTGCAAAGAAATCATTCAAGTATATTTAAAACCAGAATAACTATGACTTCAGAATGCTCTGTGACCCAAAAGATATCACCGATAATGTTTGCTTGAAAAAACAATCTTAAATTATGATTTGAAAATATTTCAGTTTGTGGTTGCTTATATTCATTCTAAAAATAAAATAGCAGTTCAAATAGATTATCTTGATATTTTCAAGTTAGAAATATGTCTTCAAACAATATGGCACCGTTACCCCATATATTGCAAAAGTGTACACCTTGTGTGCAAGGCTGGCAGGTGTACCTGTTATTTAAAACATTCCACATAGAACTTTTCAGATTCTGACATTTTAAAAGGGATTATTCAATATTTTCTTTTATACAAATATGAATATAAACATAAATAATCCCATGTCTTTACTATTCCTGGTCCTACTTTGATGCAGCAGAGAAGAGAAATGGGTCATAATTTTGAAAAAAGAAAAGAAAAGAAAAATGCTAGTAGTGGGAATGAGGAATTACCATTTTCCTGTTACTTTTAAAACTGTTTATAGCATAGAAGTCAGAGCAATAAGGTCATAATCTACCAAGACAGCCTCTCACTCAGCAAATACAATGAGAACATCCTTAATGTCAAGGCACCACATTAAATTGCTCTGTGGGAGACAGATGAATTTTCTAATAACCAATTTTGCATTCTTAGGAGGCTTTCTCACCATTTACCATTGCCAGGTTTTCTGCTGTTTTGTAGTTTACCATTCTGTTGTATTTCCAGAAGGATTGCCTAGGGCAATTAGCAGTCAAGTGAAGAGAGAGATGATATGCACCTCATCTCAAGTTGCAGTTGACACTGAATAAATATTTCTGGTACTGTGTAATAATCATATTGCTGTGTTTAAAAAAATCTGTAACAAAATCTTCACAATCGTTCAGTGGGCCCTGTTTCAAATACTGCTGCACTTCTGAGGCTCATTCTCAAAAATGGAGGAGAAATTTAACTATATTTACACCTAAAATATAATCCTTACAGACAAGAAGGAATTGGAATAGCCCTGCAATACCTGTGATTCAGATGAACTTAACTCTGCCTTTTGCTCTTACCAGAAAGGCACAGTGTCATATTTTGGCCACCACACAAATTCGGAAACTAGGAATCATCCACAAGAAGAAACTATTTTGTTGCCTTTTTTTTCTACAAAATAATTCTGCGTTGATAGTTTGAGAAAATAATATAAATCAAAAGCCATAAGGCAATTAAAGACATTATAGTGATTTTTGCCTAGTGAAATTATCAGTTAGAGGATGATCGTTAAAATTGCACACTGCATACACTTCAGTCTTGAAAGATTGGCAGCTCCCTCTACTGTTTCTCTGGGTGAGGTGCGAGAAATCAAGTCTCACCCCTTTGTGTAATTTCCTTTCCTGTGATGCTGGACTTTCACAGCTTGTCAATTAATGGCCTTCAAACTGGCAAGCTTTCAAACACTGGCTGACTTTCAGTAGTCTGATGGCACCTTTAGGACACCTGCTTCGAAGACCGATCTACTTCAAAAGAAAGCTTGATACTTCTATTAAAGCAAGACATGTGAATCACACTCTTTCTTTGAAGCTTTCTATTTCTGGGTATATCCGTCTGGTCTGTTTACAACAGATGCAGGCTTCTTCTGAAAAGCAGTCCTCCTGGCAATAAAAATTTGTGGCTTCAGAATCTGATTTCTTTTGCATTTTTTGCGGAAACATTCATTATTTTTTATAAAGCTCAGATTGGTTTGCATCTATTCTTCTAGACCTCATTCATATCACATGTAAAACCAACTTTTTCATGTTTTGTCCTGCTAGATACATTTCTCATAATGCAGTCTTCATTTCTTTTAACCATGCTTTTGTTATTGTGACTACAGAGAAAAGGGGAAAGAAACAGGTGCTATCGTCTCTCTAAATAGAATATTCCAGGAACTTGTCTGCATTTGTAATTCCTTTTCTATACACTGAGAAGATCTTTTAAATAGCCTGGAAGAAAAGTATTCATTATACTATAGTGGCTCAACTATTGCAGCTTAAGACACAAGGATAAAATAACCTGCTTCATTTGTTAAAACATGTAGAAGCATAATTACTTTCTTTTCTCCTTAAAATAAAATTTAGCACAACAGTACAGATTCTCTATTAGAAGTTCATTTAAAACATATAAGAAAATGAATAAAAGAAGTAAACTTCACTTCATCCCAGTATCTGTTCTTAGAAATAATACCATTTATTTAAAAGAAAATACACACATTTTTGATAGAGTTTTCTATACTAAACTAACCATGGTTACTATTACTTTTCAAATGAATTGACAGTATTTTTTCCAAAAAATATCTTTTAAAGATAACAAGGGTAGGCCAAATATAAAGGACAAAGTAAAACATACTTTTATTAGAAAATAATGACTTTGTTATTTGTGTAACTATGAATTACTCTGTGTATAATGGCAATAGTATTGTGTATCTCTTGATGTCAGGTAGTTGTTCCTTATTACAATGAGACTAAATGTAGAGACAATTTCATGGACTGACAAATGTATAAGAAAATATTTCTCCCTCTTCTCTTTCCTTCTTCAAGGTGCTGTAAGGCAGTGTTGAGTTTACAATAATAAAACAGATACAGATGCTATATGTGAAATGCTTTCAATTTTGAAAGGAAGATGTTATATACATAAATAAACATGAGTTAAAATGCTAAGAGCCTTACAAAAGTAGAGAGTTAGTATTTAAGGAATTTGAAGCAAATATTATTTAAGTAGATAGGGAAAAATCAAATTCCTGAACAGTATACCTTGAGAAAATACATCTGTTTCTACATAGCAATGAAGCAATCATGTCAATTAAGATAAAAAATGTCAATTTTAACACATAACCAGATTGCAGAATATCTCACACTGATGTTCCTTGACAGCTAGATGTTTCACTATTTATGGCAAATTCTTCATGGACTTTACAGCCTAGAGCCTTGAAGATGTAATGAATAATGATACTCACACTCTTATCATTTGATCACTCAACATTTTTTTACTCATTCAACAAAATTATGAATACAAAATATTTCTTGGCACATGAAAAGAAAATATTGAAATGCATAAAACTAAATGAATTGAAATGGAAATAAAAGAATCATAATTCAAATTTTAGTAGAAATTTAAATTAGTCCTCCTTAGTCAAAGAGCATGAAAAACATCAAGTTGGTATGAACTAATTTTGTTATGAGTTTACCTGGATAACCAGTAAGAACCAGTTGTAGGGTTCTATATGAAAACTATCTCCAGTGCCTGTAATATCCTCTGTCTCATTCTCTAAAATTTTATTGGAATAACTTAGCCTCGCTGTAATATGCTGCAGCATTACATCTAACATCTCATGTTATTGCAGCATTCACTGGTGCATTGTCCAAAGCCACTTAGGACAGC
This sequence comes from Homo sapiens, assembly GCF_000001405.40. Classification (NCBI taxonomy): domain Eukaryota; kingdom Metazoa; phylum Chordata; class Mammalia; order Primates; family Hominidae; genus Homo; species Homo sapiens. Next base: position 11,321,734 of record NC_000009.12, read on the forward strand.
AGCTGAACTGCAATGGAACATTTAAATATTTTCTTGTCAGATATCTAGCTGCTAGCTTGCTATGTTGAGATCTAATAACTCCACATTTTCATTTCCTTTTTTTATTATTGTACTTTAAGTTCTGGGTTACATGTGCAGAACGTGCAGTTTTGTTACATAGGTATACACGTGCCATGGTGGTTTGCTGCACGCATCAACCCGTCTCCTACATTAGATATTTCTCCTAATGTTATCCCTCCCCTAGCCCCCCACCTCCTGACAGGCCCCAGTGTGTGATATTCCCCTCCCTGTGTCCATGTGTTCTCATTGTCCATTTCAACCACAAACATATGCCATGGAAAAACAGGGCATACCTGTAGCTCCTGAGTCTGTGTATACAAAAAATTCTGACTCTAATTATGATCAGATAGCTAACTACGTTCCACTGAAATATTTTAGTTGTATAAGCAAACGCAAAGTGTGGTGTAAATACTATTCTTAAGCCTGGATATTTCTGATTCAGGTAATAAGTTAGAAGTGTCTGACATCTGTTGTTTGTAGACAAATAGTTGCTTTCATATATATTTTCTTGCCTATCTCTCTGCAAAATATCTTTACAATAATAAAGTTATCTCTTTTCTGAAGTATAATATCTACTAAGTCACTGAAAGATTAGACATTTGGCTTTGTCAAATGTGAAAGAAAAATTACACATTTATCACTCAATATTATAAAGGATTTCTGATAGAAATACATTGTTTTTTAGAAGTTCAGATGTTGTTACTAACATAGGGATGCTAGGTGCATTATTATCAACAGTGTAAATTAAGACTTTCTTTCTTCATTTTACAAATGTTAAAAAAACACATTCTTTTTAACCTGTATTTCCCAAAGATCAATAAACAGACTTGCTATTATTCAGGCATTGTTGGTTTCATAAAGCATACTTCTTTGTAGAAAGCTTTGCCATGAAATCTCATACACTCATGTGCTTGGACACAGTCACTTCTATGTTCCTATCACTAGAATTTCATAAATTGTCTTTCATGTTTCCATATTTTGCAGATGTTACAATGTAGAGAAATATGAGGATGATACCAATCTGTGTGTTGGTTCATCATAGAACAAACTGGTGATCTAATTAAAATAACATGTTACATTTCTAAAGAAACTGATCATAAATATTGTCAGAACTGTCTAGTACATCTACTACTCTAAGGATATCTGTCTTCCAATTGCAAATTATAATGCAATAAATTTTTACTACACATCAACATATCCTGAGTTGATTTTTCATGTTTCATCTTGGTGTCAAGATTTTGAACTGCCTTTCTTTTCCGTGTGAAAGTGTGATCACATGAATTTCGTACTATTTGACTCAAATGTTGGCAAAGCTTTTGTATCACATCTCCCAGGATCAAAAATGACACCTTTATATTATACTAAAAAAACAGATTTGCTATGAGCAACTCTTAGATATACTTAGCAAGAATACAATAATAATGATCATAGAATAACATGAAACAGACATGCCTGCCACTGTATTTGTATTCACAAATTTAAAATCTTTTACAGAAATGTTGAGGGTAATTTTAAGAGTTTTTTCCTTCACTATAGTTTAGCTGCATTTAAACTTCTTTCTTAAAGAGTTTATTTCTACTTAATGTGTTTTATTAGTAACATGTTCTATAGCTTAGCTTTGCTCAAACAGCAAAGAACATTGTAAATGCCTTGAACAAACTCTACCAGTTAAAGCTTTAAAATGGATAGAATCGACTTCTTGCTTCATTAACATGGTCATTCACATAATGTAATTCTAAAACCACATGGGTGGGTCTTATGTCTAGATAAGGTAAAGACAACTAAAAACTGGTATGGCTCATGGACATTTTTCATGTTGAATTGAAGATGTAGCTCTTAATAATTGGTGTGAAAATTGGGCATGCTAAGATAAACTATAATATGACTATGGTACCTTTGGGACTTTAAATATGATTAAATTGAGGTTTTGCTTTTTGAAGTGATTGTACCAGCAAGAAAAATTGATAATAAATCAGTAAATGACAAATAACCCTGGATGCTAGAACTGTCAACTCATAGTTAATTATCCAATGGAGAGTAATTTTTCAAGAAGATAGTGTTTGATTCCTTTTATTAAGCATATTTTTGAAGGAGTGAAACCAAATTTGTGTGATTCATCACCTTCCCAGATTATCATTGTTTATGTCCTTTTTGGAAAACAGTCCTTGTTTCTAGTCTACATTAAATCACTGTTAAGGCTTGGGGTCAGGAGAGCAAACATACAGTAACCATATACTTAAGAGACTCAAATAGTCTGAATTATTCTTATATAATACAAATATATTTATAGTTATATACAATATATAACATGTAATATGAATATAATTATATTGAAGATAAAATAATTATTTTTAAATATGATTATGTTTTATAAACATTAAGGAGTGTGTTGTACATATGAGTATGATTATTTCATGCTTTCTGGACTGTTTCTTAAGTAGCATTATGTTTTAACTTTCTCCAGACAGTGTAATGTGGTGGTAGCTCTTTTTACCAAACAACTGCATAATGTTCTTTTTCCCCCCGCTGAAAAAAAAATGTACTGTAGGAAGCCTTCAGACAGATACACTCCCTTTACCTCCTAACTCCATGATAAGCACTTTGTTTAACTCCAGCCCAATAGCTCTGGCTATGTATTTGCCAATAGCAATGTGCTTCTGCTGTGAGAAATCAGTGTGTAACATTGATAGTATTGGAGGTTATGGTCCCAGAACTGATGAATCCCTGAATTGTACAGAAGAATCATGTTTGCCACTTATTTTTAGGAGGAGATTAAATATGTATAGGGACAAATGCAAAAGGGAACAAGATATATCATTTTGATTTAGTTACTAAAAAAAAAAAAAAAAAAAAAAAGAATGGTGAAGCCCATGGACACTGGTAGATTGCATGGAACCTAAGACCAAAAGGGCTGAGACTTAAAGGACTTCTGCCTACCATGTTTGACCAAGAAAGAAGGAACCTGTGTGGAAAAAAAATAAGAATTTGTGAGTGCAAATGTCCAGGCCTACTCCCATGTGGCAATAAGCAATAATGATTTATTTTGTTAAAGCACATACTTTGTGCCAATAGTATAATAAGAGTTTTTATGAATTATCTTCTTTCATCTTCATGTTATCATATAAGTTTTTATCTGCATTGTCCTCAATTGCATATGAGGACATTGATTTGTTTTTATTAGTGTTTTTTTACTTATTCATATTTTCTATATCCTCTTGAATACATTTTTAATTTTGTCTACAAAAATGTTTTGCTTTGTTTTTGAAATTTATTAAAATAATGTAATTTATTTTAATCTTATAAAACCAGAGACCTTTGTTCACATGTTTATCTGCTGACCTTCTCTCCACTATTATCCTATGACGCTGCCACATCCCCCTCTCCGAGAAACACCCAAGAATGATCAATAAACACTAAAAAAAAAAAATAAAAAGAAAGAAAGAAACACTGTCAATTAAATTCTGACATGCTACCTGTTGTGGGATGCAACTCGATTTCAGAGATATTAAAATTTGGGGGAAAAGTGTATCTTAAAATCACTGAAATGTATTTTGTATCTCATTGCTTTCTATATAACCATTATAACATGATTAGATTGTTGTAATTAGGCAAAAATGAATCTCCTTATAATTAAAAAAGATAAAATATCAATATTCTCTAAAACTATTGCTTTTTCTCCTTAATATTTTTGTACTTTTCTCTTTTTACATTACATGTTTTGCTAGTGACTTAACACTTTCTGAAAATCCGCTTTGAGTTTATTGAAGCTGTTTTCTTGGGGGTTTCAAATTTTCTGTTTATTGTTGTTGTACAGTTTAACAGCTTTGTAAAAATAGCCTGTGAACTCTGATTATTTAACACTTGCTGATTTCTATATGTCTCCATAAATGGCCGAGTTATAAAAATACCGCCTCAAAGTTCAAAATTTGTCTGATGTTATGTTTTATAGGTTCCATTAAGTCCAGTTTGATAACTGCAGTATTCAAAACTTCCTTGTCTTTGCTATGTTTTCATCAGAGAGAGGTAAGTTAATCTATTACTATGCATTTCAGAGAGAGGTAAGCTCATCTATGGCTATATTGGAAGTTATGGAAAATTGAATGATTGCCTAACCATTATTTGCCCTTTTCATTTCCATGAGTTTGTAACTTTGTAGGTCTTCCTGTAGACCTACAAAGTAAAATTTTTTTGTGACACTTTACCTACTTGACTTGCTTTAAACCATGTGATGTTAGCAGACATTGTATAAGTAGGAGCTTGTAATAGGTTTGTACACTGAGGCTTGCCCCTTAATTATTCTCCTTTTGAAGAACAGTGCTTCTCCCAGGTAGCTGCTGTTACTAGAATGATCACTTGTGGAGAACACTACTAGACTTGATTATCTGTATAATGCAAGCTGAGCTGTAATTGCAGCTTCAAACAGAGCTGCCAAACTGAATCTGTAATGGGTTACCACAGTTTTTAAAAATATACTCTAATCATCCACTTACTTTTTCTTCCTTCCACTTTCACCTCTTCATTCCTTCCTTTAGACACTTCTTTCTTTATGGCAATGCATGCTTATCTAATTATGATCTTGCTTAAGAAATCCAAGAGGATAGTCATGAAACAAACCAGAATCCTCCTGCTTAGGGGCTGCTGTAAACAATTAGTTCACCATCATGGATAACATCAACCAGATCTCTGGATGTGGGATTACCCAAGAGAGCCATAGGAACAAGACACATAACATAACCCCTGTACTCCACACATCTCCAGCATGTCTCCCATACCAAGTTTCTCTTTATAAACACTATGATAAATTTCAGAATTTAAAATGGCACTTTAGAACACTAGTTGGCCATCTTCTCAGTTTGCTGGCTCTCGGATTAAAACTGCTTTTCCTCTTAACAAACCTCATCTCTTATGTTTGGCTTCTGCAACCAAACCTTGGTCTGGTTACAAATTCACCCTGAATTAGCTGATCTCCAGCCAACCCACACCTGTGAGAGGAACAGATTCTTGTTATATGCCACTGTAGTTCCATTGTTGGATTTTATGAAGTATTACTATGGAAGTATCTAACTGATTTAGGGTTTTGTTATTTTCTCATTTTAATTTGTCAGCATTATACTCATTTTTATAGTTCATGCTGCCTACAATTATATAAACATTTAGGTGATTGTGTGTGTGTGTGTGTGTGTGTGTGTGTGTGTGTATGCTACTCTATTTCATACCTATTAATTACTTACCTTTATATTTTCCATATCTGACATAATTATTTTTACATTAATGGTATTTAGCTAGTTTTTGTATGACACATGACTGACAAAATTTCTTCCTTGTTTTATCTTGGGTATTTACCTCATATGCCATGTATGTATATAAACATTTTATTTTGAAATAGTTTAGATTTTTATAAAAGTTGCAGAGATAACATGACACAGAGTTCATATACACCCAAGTTTTCACTATAGTTATTATCTAACATTAATATGAAATATTTGTCACAACTAATGAACTAATACTGATACATTATTAAGTAAAGCCCATACTTTATGAGGAGTTTTTCTAAGTTTTTATCTAATGTTATTTTCCTGTTACAGGATCAAATTTAGGATACCACACCACATTGTTTTGTCAATTATCTTTAGTCTCCTCTTTGCTGGGACAGTTTCTCTGACATTTCTGGCTTTTGATGACCTTAAGATTTTTGAGGGACACTGGTTAATACTTTGTATAATTTCCTAAAATTTGGGCTTGTCTCATAATTGTTTTCATAATTAGATTGGAAATACAGGCTCTGGAGAAGAAACCACAGAGGCTACATGCTGTTATTATTATATCATACTAAGGGTGCATGCTATCAACATGACTTATTGTTATTGATCTTGTTAAGCTTGGTCACAAGCAGAGGGAATGTTTGTCTGATTTCTTCACTGCGAAGTTATTCCCACGCCCTCCACCCCCACCCCCATAATTCCTTACTGTACTCTTTGGAAGTAAATCACAATGCCTAGCCCATATTTAATGGGTGGGGAGTTAAAATGCCTCAGTTTCTTATTGCTGCTATAACAAATTACCATAAACTTTAGTGGTCTAAAACAACATAAATTTATTATCTTATAGGTCTGAAGGTCAGAAGTCTGAATAGGTCTAAGGTTTTCATGGAGTTGAATTTCTTCTGGAGGCTATAAGGAAGAATCTCTATTCAAATCCTTCTTCCATCTTCAAAGCCATAGCACAGTATCATTACATCTCTGTCTTTCTCTCTGACCCCCGGTTTCCAGTGTCACATCTCCTTCTCTTACCTTTCTGATTCCTTCTTTCTTATAAAGACCCTTGGAATTTCATTAGGTCAACCAGATAATTCAGAAATATCTCTCACTTTAAGATCCTTAATTTAATTACATCTGCAAAGTCCCTTTTGCCTTAATTGCAGGAACATATTCAAAGGTTCCTACAAAGTTAGGGGAAGAAAGGGAGGCATTACCTACTTACCACACATACTGGGTACCACACATACATTCATATATTTGCATAGATTTAATTTTTTGTTCAAAAATGTTTCATCTTTCAACATTTATTTTTTAAATGAATTTTACTATGTATACTTACGGTATACACTATGATGTTATGGCAGGAGTCCAAAACCTGGACCAGTACCAGTCTAAGGCCTGTTATGAACTAGGCTGCACAGCAGGAGGTGAGCGGCGAGTAAGCCAGGAAGTTTCATCTGTATTTACAGCTGCTCCCTATCACTCAAATTACTGCCTGAGCTCCGCCTCCTGTCAGATCAGTGAAGGCATTAGACTCTCATAGGAGCATGAACCCTATTGTGAACTATGCATGTGAGGGATCTAGGTTGCACACTCCTCGTGAGAATCTAATCTAATAAGGAAACTAATCTAATAACCATTGTTTCATTCTCTATCTCAGTATATCGTACTTTTTTAGAAAACTGAGATTATGTAATATTTTTCTTTTCGTGTCTGGCTAATTTCACTTAGCATCGTGTCCTCCAGGTTTATTCATATTGTGGCAAACGGCAGGATCTTCTTTTTTAACGCTGGATAATATATCATTATATATATGTGTAAATATATATTCCGCAGTCTCTTTATTTCTTCATTCATTTGTCTATGAATTGACACTAAGGTTGTTTTCATGTCACATCTTCCAAACATAGCTTGCTTTAATTACTCAGTAAATATCTCCCAATTTCTCATATTATTGTTAGAGTTTTAATTATGCTATCTTCCTGAAGACAAAACAAATTAGTTATTATTTTTACATTCAATAGGTGACAATTTTTTGAAATAACATGTCAACTTCTGAAGCTTTGATTCTATTTTATTTCTTCTGTTTTGTGGTTCATTTTCATACCTGCAAAAAATATTTTAGACTTCTTTTGCTATGCTTAGTGAATTTTTGAGGCTATCTAAATGACTCATGATATTTAGATCTTTGCTATGGATTATATTTTTGTCACTATTATGTGTCTTTTTGTTTTAATTATTTCACTTTTAATTCAATGTTGTCAGATATTAATTTCTTAATCACTGCTTTCTCATTTTGCATTTGCCTTTCTCTCTTCTCCATTTTCTTGTTAGAGTAAATTCCTCATGAAGCCATAAATGTAGCTTGAAAGAAAGGGAGTGAAGTAGGAGAAATGACTAGGAAGCTTCAGCCAACTGCTTATGTGCTTCGCTTCACCTTCTGGACCTTATTAGACCTGGTCTCACTTATTCCATTCTGTTACATGAAAAAAAAAAAAACTGCTATCAATGTCTAATTTTGTGATTTATTTGATCAGATAACATATAGCTCCTGATAGGTACCGTGATGTCCTGTGATTGTATATTTAGTGTCTGCTAGTGCCCAGTATTGGGCAGAAACTACTTTTTTTAAAAAACTACTTCTATTTTAGATACGGGGGTATATGTGTAGATGTGCTACATAGGAATATTGTGTGATACTGAGGTCTGGAATGTGACTCTTGTCACCCTGATAGTGAGTATAGTACCCAATAGGTAAATTTTCTAGGTTAGAAAGTCATAATAAATTAGCATGATCTTTCTCAAAAAATTACAGTTGCAAAATTTTGGACTTCTCTATTGGAGTGTGGCAAAGGCTTTCTCTGGCATTTATATTTGACAACAATGCTACCGAGATCACTGCGTGTGCTTTGCCACGTTGCCCAAATGGGAAAAGAACAACTGCTTTGCCATGTTGCCCAAATGGGAAAAGAGCTATTCTACCTACTATAGAGCCTTTTGTTTGCTTTTGTTTTGCCTCAGATATTACTGAAAATAGACAGACTTCTAGGATACATAATAAGTGAATCTGAACAATATGCCTGCATATGGTACATATTGCCTTCAAATATCAGAGGCATAACCACAAACATTTGGCCTTTTTGCATCATGTAGTAAAGCTCAGAATATTCTGTTTAGAAAAATACTCCAATATGCCCAAAACCACTGGATTCCTAGAACTTCTGCTAATATGGGAAGCCAGGAACTTTTCAGGATATATCTTCCTCTCTGTGACATGCAATCATTTACCAAGTTATATCTACATTTTTACCAAGGTATCTAGATTGCTTACTACTTTCAGTTCACCAGGAAAATTAGTGAAATATGATTATTGTAATATTCAACTTTGTACTTTTTGAGATATTAAGATGATCAAAGATACCCCACATAACATTATAACAAAGAGAAGAGTTACCTTAACCCTTAATTAAGACAATGGAGGTATTGTGCTGCTCTTGCCATGTAGAAATGAAATGGGATTTTTCTTGGCCCTGCTTTTGCTAGCCAGAATTCCACTTCTGTGGCTGGCCAGGCCTCTGCTTATTTGTTCCCATCACACTGCTCTGACCCATGGCTCCAGGGCTAGCCCAGCTCCACCCCTGCCTGGTGCCAGCAAAGGATGAGAGGGTTACAGCTTACAGCTCCTTTCACCCCAGCTCTTTGGCACGTCCCAGGTTCTTGTCCTGTGTCCAAGAAGAATGAGACTACTCTAACAATGGAATGGTGAGGAGAGTGGAGAATAATTTTATTGAGCGGTGAAACAGCTCTCAGCAGAGAAGGGACATGAGGATGGTCCCCTCCATCCCCACCAGACACATTGGGTGATTTCTCTCCCAGTGTGGCTGGGTCTGGGCTTTTATGGGCTCAGAATGGGGGAGTGTGTGCTGATTGGTTTGTGGGTATGCAAAAAAGCTAAAACAAAGACACCACTCAAAGGTGGGCAGAACAGTAAAAAAAAAAAAAAACAATTAGGGAAGAGTAGGTACATGTAAAATAGGTGAAGTATGAGGGTCAATCACAGGAAAGTGTGCCAAACAGGAAGAGAGGTTCTCGGTCTGATCAGTGGATTTGACTTGTAGCTTGGCTTTCAGGCTTTAAATTGTCTTTGGCTTGAAGGTGAGGTTTCACTGGGGACCTGCCCCTATCTGACTAGGCATTTGACTGCCTTCTGTCACTATTAAACCAAACTGCTTCTGATTATTATTCTGATATAAATAGGAATTAAAGCATAATTTAGGTCAATAACTGCATATATTTGTGTATTAAGTATCAGATATTGCATTAATTTGTTAGAATAAGAATACTTCATCTGGAAACACAGCTGAGATTGGCATATGAATGTGTCTACATTTCCAATAACTAATCATTATTATCCATGTGCTATTTGCACTGGGCAAAATATAATTCTCATAGGGATATGGTAAGAATCATCATCTCCTGTAACCCTCTTTAATCTCTGCAATTATCCTAGAGATGTGATATTGCTCTTGTCTTACTTTCCTGGCAAAAGTCAGTAGTTTGAAGGGTTTTCACTTGCCCTATGTTTTATAGTAGCCCTGATTCCATAGATCGAGAAACCAATTAGGAATCTTCTCATCTTCTAGATATAACTAATTATTCCCACAACACATTGAGAGGACCAGATAAGTAACCACAGGATGAGTCTATAATCACATTTGATTCATTGTGAGGCATACTGGTGTAAGGCTTCTGATATAGACTGAGATGTGTAAGCCTCATTATGACTAATAAAACACTGTGACATTTTGATTTCAAGGAATTAATGTCAAACCTAAGCCAGTTTTTGCTATTGTGAATATGCTTCTAAGAATATCATGTGCAAGTCTTTGTGTAAATATAGGTTTTCATTTCTCTCAAATAAATACCTCATAGTAGAATTGTTGCATTATACAGTAAAATTATGTTAAACATTTTAAGAAACTGCCAAATCGTTTACAAAGTGATACATTATTTTATATTCTCACCACAAACATTTCAAATATTCCAATTTCTTTATATCCTTGCCATCATTTATGTTTCATTTTATTAAAAAAACAAAAGCCATCCTAGACAGTGTGAAGTAGTATCTCATTGTAGTTTTGATTTACATTTCATTAATGGTTAATGATGTTGAATCATTAAATATGCTTATTGGTCATTAAATATGTTTATATCTTTTTTTGAGAATATCTATTCAACTTATTTGCCCATTTGTCAATTGAATTGTTTGTTTTTGAGTTGTTAGCACTCATCATAATATTTTCAATTTGCAGGAAAGCAATGGTAAGAAATGAGGTATTTATAATAGAATATTTTATTACAACATAATTTTTATGAAAATTAAAATTAAAAGAGAAGCCATAATGAAAATAAGGTTTCAAGTGGCTCATTTGCTAGCCATACAATAAAAAGTATTTATTAATAGGAAGTTAGTGAACTACTGTGTGATTACAGCATCCTAAGAAATATGTCCAAAGAAATAAATTTGTGTAAGAATATAAGACTCTTAGTAAGAATAGTTCTTTAAAGGGTTTATAACACTTGGAGCAATGCCAATAGTCAATCAAAAAGCAAAGCAATTGCTTTTCTAGTTGTTTGCATTGAGTTTTAAAGAATAGAAAGTGATACTGCCCATTTATTCAGACTCAATAAATGATTAAAAGATGAAGTGATTAAACAATTAGAGAGTCAGCCTCTGTTAATAGTGTATGTAGAACAATTACAGGGCAAAATGTTTTAGGAAAAGTTGAGAAAATACTGATTTAGTATAACCTGAAGAGGAATCTGCTAAGAAGTGTTAAAATTCATGATAGTAAAAATATATGTGGGGCAGAAGAAAGGCTTAACTGGACAAATTTACAAAGATTGTGAAATTTTAAGGTGTTTAAATCCTATGGTGTTCATTGTATTATGTATCAGCAGGTATTTGGAAGAGGAAAATATTTAACATAGCATATGTTGTTAAATTAGTAGAGTCAAGGGACAATGTCATTAAGAATTGTGAACTCAACCATGATTAGCTATGTAAGTTTTTGTCATAATAGACTTAATGTACTGAGTAGCCCTACATCACAGCAGTTTCATGTCTTACCTTATAAACTTTTGTTTTAAGCTTTTGAACTTAAGGCTAAGATTGATATTTTTCTACCTATGGAGATTCATTCTCAACTACTATTATTGAACACTGAATATTTTTGGAAATTAGCTTTGCCACATGTTGATAACATTTCTTAGTGAATTTAATCTAAAATCACAAGGTAAAACAGTGTTCATGTATGAAACTTATATTGTGACAGTGTTATTTTGACAGAGATTACTGCTGTTTGAATTACAAATAATGTCTAAGTCCTTAATACACTTTTCATGCTGTCAAAGTTAAAACAAGATGCAAAATCTCCACTCCCACAAAAAATTCAGCAAATATGTTTTCAAAGTTTAAATTACATTCCAGCAACATTTTTCAGACATCAATGCAAGTGCAAATACAATTTCCATATTTCTCAATCCACTTAACTGTGTAATTGAGGAGCTTCTACTAATATTCATTTGGAAGTGATTGATCTGCAATGTGATGGTATGCTAAATGACGTACATAACAATAGAAGAGTTTAATATGTCTGTAAATGTCCTCTAAATGGAAAATATTCTCAATTAAAACCATATGCTCATAGATTGATAGCAGAATTTATCTATGAGCAAAGGCATGTTCAAAGATGACCTATGTAAAATGCGATTACAGATCAGAAGTAACACATGAAGTTTTGCAATTTATTTAATAGAAACGCTAACTTGGAACCTTAATTGAAAAACATCTGTCCAAACAATACCATTCTTCTACTTAGCAGACATGTATTGCAAAAAAATTGTATGCAAGTTTAATATATAATAAAATTATATATGTATTTATAATTTTATCAATTACAATTTTTGCATTTCTTTCTCTCTTGTTACATAAGCATCTACATACCACTGATTTGCTTCTTAGCCTAATGAGCCTAAATTGCTTCTTATCTGGCTTTTTACAGAAAACGTTTGCTTACCCCTAATATATTGCTTCCTACTTTTTGTGTAAGAAAAAAGGAGAAATAAGAACATGCCTATATATATCTGCAATTTTGAACCAAAGAAACTCCCACAATAGGTAACATAGAGATTAATGAAACTGGTTACCTTTAGGGTATAGGTAGAAGTGGGATGGAAAGGATCTGGGGAATCAGGGAAGATAATACTTCTTTGAATATATCTTTTTACACAGTCCTGCATTTTCAAACAATTTTAAGTTTTCATATTCTCACAAATAAATGAATACAAAGATATATAGATAAATAAATAAATACTATCAGCAAGGATGGAAAGAAAATCCCCCAAATTTAATACAGACTCAAAACGAACAAACCTAGATATCAAATGAATAACAAAACCACATTTTTATAGGATTAAAAACAACATTAACTCAAGTAACTTTTGAACACAGTATTAGAATTACATATCTTTATGAAAAAGACAACAAAGAACTCAGATAAGAAGCTCTAATTAGTACATTTTTCTGAAAATACTTTTTGTACATTCAAAATTTGAGCAAATAAGTAAATGTTTTTTGGATAATGGTTGCTGACTGTTAGAGTAGGGAAAGGACAAAGGATAGCAACACCTTTGGGGTTTTGCTAGATTGGGATTGGAGTTATCAGTATAACCTGATGATTCGTCTGTGTATTTTTAGATAGTATGATATAGAACCGAATATAGATTTATTTAGGTTAATATACATTGCAAAGATTACACATATTGGATAGTTGAAAGGAATCACAAGACTCCACAGAGCATAAATATGCAGGACTTTCGCAGAGGTAAAGGATATGGTACAGCAAGAAAAGAAAATCAATCACAGGCAAGCTTTGGGGTACATAGAGACTTCCACTTACAGCTACTGAGGATCCTTTATTAGTTTCATAAGACAAGCTTTATTTCCAGGTTATGAACCACCAAGTATTGCATAATCTTTATTTTAGTAGAGCTCAGGTAGATAGCTTTAATATTTTTTTAATGCTCCATTTGTTATTTAGTCAGAATAGGCTGTCTACAAGTTTGACTAGGTATAAGCTGTCAATTTACAAATCCCTAAACAATGTAAACTTGTTGGCCCTGAGTGTTCCTATATGTCTGGGCATGCACACATCTATGGACATGTGAATGTGAGTATACATTTTACTTCCTAATTCTGTTCCTTGAGAGGGTCTGGATGCAATGAACCTCAGTAAGAGTGAACCCAATTAGCACTCACATTTTACTTATTGAATACTGTTCTCCCTAGAGGAGCCAGGGTTCCTTAGATAAATGGCTTATTACCCACCTGAGGCAAAAAAAAAAAAAAAAAAAGCATAACATTAGCCTGGGGCATTTTCTTGTTCCAAAGAGGTGAGCTGCTGGAAGAATGGCAACGCATATCAAAAAGAAACAAGTTAGCTTGAAGATGTCAAGTCTGGGAAAATTTGACCTATTGGACAAATCTGGGAAAATCTGAGCAGGAAAAAACATGTAAAACTAAAAAAAAAAATAAACAATTGAATAAAATAAGAATCAATAAATCCATAGTAATGCAAAAAAGTAAATGAATGAGTGAAACAAAGAAAGGAAGGAGGGGAAACTGATTTCTTCCAGTACATTGCCAACTAATCAAGGAGAAAAAATGATGGAAAGAGGAAAGCATAATTTGGCAACAATAATAATTGATTCAGTCAAGAATATTAATGAATAGTAAAATTGGTGAGTAAATATTTGGAGAGTAACAAAATACATACGTCTTAAAAGTGTCTGCCCACAAGATATTTACTATTTACAAAGTGTGAAATAGTGATGTAACCACAGTGAGGAAACCTGGCACTCATTACCTAGACCAAATGATTAAGGTTAAACATTGTCAATAATGAGAGTAATCAACAGAGTGTAGCTCCTGATGTGATACACTGAGGCAAACTCAGCATCCCTTCTTTGGTATTCCTGCCAAAAATGTACAACTGGTATTTACTCATGAGGAAATATCAGACAAACCAAACTGAAGGAAGTCTTATAAAATGTGTAGTTTGTCCTGTTCAAAAATGGCAAATTCAAAAAATTTATAGGAAAAATTTAGGAACATTTCTGTACTAAACGTGTCTAAAGAGACATGCCAAAAAACTGAATGCAATTCATGATCAGATTTTCTATTACTATAAAAGAAATTACTTGACCAACTGGCAAAACCTGAGTACAGTTTACAAATTAGATAATGGTTTTGTTCAATGCTAATTTTCTAGTTTTGATAGATACCTTGTAAGGGAATCTCTTCAAGTGATTCTCAGAAGAAAATTATGAATTTTGATGGTTATAAGATGAAAACACAAAAATTAACACTTGTACTTGATGACAAAAAAAGAAAAATTAAAAAGATAAATGTATTAACAAATTATATGTATGCATATATTTTTGAAGACAGCATCTTGCTCTGTTGCCCAGGTTGGAGTGTAGTGGTGCAATCACAGCTCACTGAAGCCTCAACTACCCAGGTTCAAGTGATCCTCCCACCTCAGCCTCCTGAGTAGTTGGAACTACAGTCTTGGGCTGCCATGCCCAGCTAATTGTTTTATTTTTGTAGAGATGGGGGTCTCACTATGTTGCCTGGGTTGGTCTCAAATTCCTGGGCTCAAGCGATCCTCCTACCTTGGCCTGTCAAAGTGCACAGTGCTGAGATTAGAGGTGTGAAACACTGTGCTTGGCCAACAAATTATATTTTTAATAATTTAACAAATGAAGTACAAGATTTTTATTGAAAAACAATATAAAAATTTGGGCAATCCTTAATAATACATAAAATAATTACATATATGTTACATTTATGGATACAAAATACAATTTATTATTGCTGAAAGTTTTTCCTAAATTATATAAATATAACGCAATTTCACTCAAAATCCCAGTAGCATGTTTTATAGACACAAAGAAGCCACACCACAAAAATAGCCTCATACCCTAGATGCTGTCATGAGTCTGAGTTATTTTTTGGAAGGCCAATCTCACCAATTGATGGATCTAATTGGGCAGTCCTGAATTGTGATATCACACCCTATCTTCTACATTTCAGCTATGGTAGTAAGTACCTGTATCTTCCCCTCAAAAATATCCATACATAAAAATGAGGATTCCTCCAAAGGTCAGAGAATGCCTAAACCACGCTTGTTTTTTAAACTACCTCTAAAATTGTAGGCTAATTTTATAATCAAAAAAGTATTTGAGTAGTTAGCCAATTATTCACAAAATATAAATTATGCATATATTACTTAGTTTTGGGTATTTATGGAAACAAATAAAATGCATATTCCTGATCTTGAGATGTTTGCAAAAAATGAGGCAATTAAAATATATTAAAACATTTTTGATTCTAGAAGTTAAGGACTTCAATCTAAACATTTATACAGAGCAGTAGAACCAAGGAGAAGTAGTATTAGATCTGTTGGGAACCACTGGATTATTTGTTTTTTATAAGGTAGCATCAAAGGTAATAGTTGATGGATAAATGAAAATTTGCCAGACAGAAAACAAATGTGAGAACTGAAAGCTGACGTAATATATCCCAGTACATCAAGTCACAAGCTTTTTTTTTTTTTTTGAATTTTTCCTATTAGCTTCTCAGCTAGAAATATTGCTGCAAAGTATTCAGCTCCAAGACATTTGGAGATCAGCTTTATAATTCATTATGTGAGTGCTATTAACAATGTAGGCCATCCTGCAGCTTTCAGTTTTAGCTATATGCCTTTGCAACCTAGGTTCTAAACTCATTGCTTCTCTATAGCTACAAGAGGGCATGTGCTATAAATATGTGAGTTAACATTAAATGATGTGAGTTAAAATTGCATGATTTAAAAAAAATTAATCTTATTAAGTTTAGGTGTCTCTACATTTTCCTGTTGTTAGGCAAAATCTGGCCTTCTGGATCTAATTAATCTCACATTCAGGTTTTCTCTCATCTTTATTGGTCTTAAATATTTTTGTAGATATGTAAATATATTTCAGGGATTACATACATTGTAATAAGGACCCCTTATAGGCCCTAAACCTAGTTTAAAGTACACTACTATTTATAACTATTAGTTATTTGGTTTTAGGTAAAACTTTTAAGTAAGGATATCAGGATCTCCCTAGAGTTACACTGATTACAGTCCTCTTAATTTAGTAGGTACAATGGTTTTGCTTTTCACAGTTTCAGTTCCTGTGGTTAACCACAGTCTGAAAATATGCAAGTATGGTGTAAGATAGTTTAACAGAGAGAGAGAAAAAAAAAGACCGCATTTACATAACCTTTATTATAGTACAATTATTATATTATTAGTTATTGTTAATCTCTTACTGTGACTCATTTATACATTAAACTTTATCATAGGTAGGTATGTATAGAAAAAAAATAGTGTGTACAGTGTTCCACACTACCCTCAATCTCAGGCATCCACTGGGTGTCTTGGAAAATATCTCCTGCCAATACGAGGGGACTACTGTATAGTGGCTTTAATATTAATAATGAACATTTAAATTCAGAAATTAAATATACACCGATCTCTCTGTCTTAAATATTTTCTCCCTTTTTCTATCTCACCCATCTGGTTAATGACTCTATTTTTAAGATTTCAGTTTAAACATCATTATCCTAAGGGATACTTCACTCACCATCACCACTAATTTCCCTCCCACCTCCAGGACTGGCAGATCCTCTTCTTATATGCCTGCTTGTTTACTTTGTATTATTTATTAGCACTTATCATGGCTGACAGGTAAAACTGACTCAAGCAAGTACTTGCTTACCATGTATCTCCAATTTGGACTCTAAGTCTCATGAGAGAAGAAGCCAATTCTCTTTTTTATCTTATTCAGTACCTCACACAGTATTTGATTCTCAGTAAATGATTTTTGAATAAAAAATGAATAAACTGAACAAAATTCTTTTAGAAGACCTAGCAAGACCATTGGTGAACTACTTGAGGAATTGTCAGGTCAATAACAGGTGTAGATATAACTAATTAGTTTCATGTAAAACTAATTACTGTGAAGATAATAATGTACATCTTTCTTTGATCATTAATCCATCATCATAATGTGACCAACACAATTTCTAGCCACTAGCAGGTGAATGAGGGTCTCAGTCCTGTTTCTACTGTCTCTTTTTTTTTTTTTATCCTGCATTACATGTTTTATTGTCTCACAACTATTTTTTTCTATTTGACTCAAGGGATTCTCTAACTCACTTTAGATTTACACAGTTTAAAAATTTTTTTATTAAGATTGCATATTGGGGCCCAGGTATGGTGACTCATGCCTATAATCCCAGCACTTTGAGAGTCTGAGGCAGGGGCATTGCTTGATCCCAGGAGTTTGAGACCAGCCTGGGCAACATGGCAAAACCCCATCTCTACAAAAAACAGGAAAAAAATAAGAAAATAAAAGATTAATGGAGCATGGAGGTGTGTACCTGTAATCCCAGCTATCAGGAGGCTGAGGCAGAGAATCGAGTGAACCTGGGAGGCAGAGATTGCAGTGAGCTGAGATCATGGCACTGCACTCTAGCCTGGGCAAAAGAGTGAGACCCTGTCTCAAAAAAATGTGTATTAAGGATGCAGAAAATATAATATTTTTTAAAATTTAATTTTTTATGTAATTTATCTACATTTGTTTTGAACCCTATTATTTTAGGTGGCAGAAACATTGACTTAGCCAACATGGCAATTCAGCACATCTCTGTTGCTCCAAATTGGAAACAAGTTGTTGGTGTGTGGAGTGAGGGCAAGGGGAGGGGTTCTTATAAATGCATGTGTAAACACACTTATATGTGATCATCATCAGTCCATGTTGGTTTCCACTGCTCACCTTCTCTGACATTCCAGTTTTGGTCCCTATGGACGTTATTGTAGCATCTCTTTCCTTTCTAAAAGGCTGCTTTTAATCTCATTTCACACTACATCTTCTGGAGCAACCTACATGGCACAAGCAATATTCAACTGCTTCTTTGCTATGCTAGCTTTAGAGGAGCTCAGTAAAGCCAGGTATAATCTAATTTCTCTCAGATGCCAACACCTAATAATTCCTTGCATCCTTCTTGTCTAATTATCCCACTGTGATTCTATCTTGTTGCAAGAGTGGTTGGTCTGTTTTAGAGGTTTCAGGTATTTTTTTTCTTTTGTACTGAGTAATATTGTGAACTAAACTTTGGAAATTCAAGGTTTTTCTTTCTTGTTGTTGTTATTGTTTTAACTGCTCGCTTACCATAATCCCTCTTTCTAGTGGCAATGAATATCTTGGAGAATAACTGACATATTTGGGAGAAAAGTCAACAGGTAAAGAAGAAATCAGGGGATAATTGCTTAACATTTCCAAATATTAAGCTGTTATTAATAATTGTAACATAATTGTCTAGTAACTTTAGAATAATTTTATGCCTCATACTGAGGCTGGTATTGCTACCGCACTCTTTGCTTCACGCTGGCAATTATAGCATGTTATTTTATGCTGAGTTTAGTCTCCTATATGTGCCATTCTTGCTAATTTACCCTGCATCTGCTTTATATAATATTGATTTACTTTGGCCACTTTTTCTAAGAGCAGCTTAGACTTCCAGTCAGGCTGTCGGTAGATGGGCCACTATTATCTTTCTGATCTCACAAACACCACTAGAATTACTCATTTTATCCTTGAATTCCTTTTACACAGGCCAGGATAGCTCAGGACAAGGACTGACCTCATACTCCTCAAGATTTCTAGTTTCAATGACTCCCATTAGTCCTGAAACATCAGTGACCTTGAGAGCTCTGATTTCATCATCCAGTAGCACAGAAGGACCTATTTGTGCTGCTCCTAGATTTAGTAAAGAAAGAAAACCTTGGGAACAGATTGCTTTCAGGAAAATTATACTCTGTATGAAAAAAATCCTTTATTGAAAGGATTTTGGTGTTTCCCCTTTTAAAAACTCCCCTCATTTTTCTCTTCCTGTTGACTTTACTTGCAAATGTATCATATATTCTTCAAGATATTCATTTCCACTAGAAATAGATATTATGGTTAGTGAGCAGTTAAAAAACAAAACAAAAACAAAAACAAAAATTCCCATTTATTAGAGCTCACTAGTAGTAAACGTCCATCTTAAACATATCAAACGCTATTTGCAGATAGAAATAAAAAAGAAAACAATGGAGCTTCACAATACTTTGAATCCCTAAATTTCTCCTAGCAAACTACAAAGATTATCCTGGAAAATGGAAACTCTAACACCTGTGAACCTCCCCTTCTTCTCTTCCTTGTGTGCTCATTTTTTATACTTCAGCTAAAACATACCTGCCTTCTTGCACTCCCTCATTGACATACATATAGGAGGATTAAGTTACCAGCATTTCCTTCACCTTATCATTTCATTGGTAGACAGATGACTGAATTTTTCACTATTTGTATTGATAGGGTACAAATTGCTGATTATTGAATATTATAATTACTTTTCCTGTGTACAAAGTGATCATTCATAGAATCACTACTAGTTATAATTGAAATTAAAATATGTTTCTGAAAAATTAAAATTTAAAAACTAAGACATAAAAAATGTGGTCAAGAAAATTTGGAGATGTATTTTGCATTAGATAAATGCCCCAAGGTTTTCCAGATTTTGTATGTATTCAACATTAATATAGCTCTAGGTAGTGATTTTCCAACACATAGGGAGTTTCTCTCTCCACCCTCAGCAGTTTTCAGGTTCAATTTGAATCCTTGAGTTAAGAAAAAACTCAGGAGTGTATAAAATACAAAACTAAAGCCTTTGTTAAAAAGTGCAAATGTATTTACAAAAAATTTGAAAATATCTATACAGCAAACATTCAACAAAGTTAAGAAATATAAACAACATATAAGTAGGCAAAGAATTTCTTTGACTTTCCAAGTGTTTTTAAAAATCATTTTTAAAGAGACAAGAGAAAATGGAAAAATGGACACGATATTGCCCAGGCAGTTCTAAGGAAACTGTAAAGGGAAATCAACATGAAATATTCAATCTCACTGTGAAGTAATAAATAATGATAAGATCAGAAACCATTTTTACATACCTGGCAATTATTTTCGAGTGTAATTTGGCAAGATCCGTCAAAATTAAAATGCATGAAAACTTGGGCTCTATAATTCTAGGACTGGGCAATTACAACAGGTATATTTGTATGGTATGCAAAGATAAATCTTGTACTTTCTGAAAGTATAAAGATTAGAAACATCCTATAGTTTCATCTGTGAAGGTCTACTTAGTAAATAATGAATCGCATTATGGGGCTGTAGGTTACTTGAGGATAATATCAGATTCTTATGCATTGTTGACTTCCTGTAGGAATTTGATGTGGGCACTTGATAAACTGTTTCTTGTAGTATTAAATGATTGGATTGCAAAAATTGATTTAAAATACTTGTGTAAGTTTCATGAATTATTGAGCGACTAGGAGATATATCAGGATATATATCAGGCATATGAGCAGTAAACAATAATGGTAGATGCAGTATGTGCTCTTACTGACCTTAAAAAGCAAGATTGAGAGATTGTAATGTTAATTTACATAATAATTTTCAAAGTCATTAGTACTTTATCATCTATCTTTCATGGGATTAATTAGGACAAAAGGTAGAAAGCAGGTATTACATTGTAAATATATTTTTGATAAACATCTATCTATTAGTGAGTAATCTGCTTAGTTTTCTTTTCCTGAGTAACAAATTAACACAAGCTTAGCTACATAACAACACAAATTTATAGTCTGTCCTATGCTTAGGTTCTCAAAACACCATAGTCAGTGTCATCTGCTGGGCTTTTACATGGAGGCTCAGAAAACAAATCTGTTTCCAGTTTCACTGGGTTTTTGTAGAATTCGGTTGTTGGCATTTGGAGGACTAAAACCCCATTTCCTTGCTGGAGGTCAGTCAGGATCTCTCTGCCTCTACAGGCCACTCACCTCCATATTCAAACTAAGGAGGACAGGTTGAGTCTTTCCTTTGCTTCTAATCTCTTCGACCTCCACTTCAGCAGTATCACTGCTGTTAAAAGGTTTATGTGAATAGATTAGGTTTACCCAAATAATCTTTCTTTTGATTAAGTCAAAGTTAACTGATTAGTGACTTTAAAATCATCTGCAAAAAGTTCATTTTGCCATGTTACCTGGCATAATCAGAAGATGATCTCTCATGATACTCCCAGTCCTCTGGATTCTAGTGAGAAATCTAGAGGAGACATTTTAAGTTTTTACCACAGTCATATACAGTAGTCTCTCCTTATCTAAGAGGGATTTGTCCCAAGAACTCCAGTGGATGCCAAACTGTGGATAGTACCGAAGCCTAAATATATTATTTTTTAAATACATACATACCGTTGTTAAAATTTAGTTTTAAATTAAAGACAGTAAGAGATTAAAAAAATAACTAATAATAAAATGGAGCAATTATAATAATATGCTGTAATAAAAGTTATGTAAATGTGGTACTGTACTTACCTATTTTCAGACCACAGTTGACCATGGGTAACTGAAACCATGGAAAGAGGAACTGTGGATAAAATGAATAGACTGTATTTGAATTAGGTGATTATGATTGACCATCCAGCTAGATCTTGGTGTTGCTATTGGTAAAAAAAAACAAAAAGTCTACTAGATTTTATTTGCATAGATATTCATCTGTATCTTTTAGTGGGCACCATAAGATAGATAGATAGATAGATAGATAGATAGATAGATAGATAGATGATAGATAGATAGATAGAATATATAATCTATGTATCTATAGATACAATATATAATCTATCTATCTATCTATATATATATAATATAATCTCAAGAAAATACATTTTAAAGACAACATTAAGCATTTTACCCTATAGGTCTACACTAATGCTGGCTTACCTTGAAACTTTGTATTAGGAAGAGAACTGTAGATCAGCAGGAAAAAACAAAATGTTCTTTCGATTATGATAAATAATCAAACAATTTGTTTTGGACATCCTTGCATATTCATTTAAAAGAAAAACCCAGAAGTAAAAAATAAATTATTTAACTTTTAATTTATAATAATGTAATTAATCTTTTCAAATTATATTAAAAGCACATTGGTTATATCGTATATAGTTTCATCTTTTATGTTTTTAGTTAATAATATATTGCTTGTAAAGAATGAATACTATAAAATTCCAATGTACTATGAATATTCATTATTCTTTAGCTAAATCAACATTAATTATGAAGTATCTTTAAAATTTTACAGATTTCTCAATAACTATAATTTCCATAATATGAGAAATCTTTTCTCATTGTTACTGTTAATTAAATGTAACTAGTAGCATTTTCTAAGTGCTTGGTCAATATTCTCATCATTCTTTTTGGAGGTGGGAGAAGGAGTTCACACAGGACAATAATCCTGTTTTACAAAAGGTAAAGTAGAAAAAGTGAAATGTAAATTTTCACTGCAGTTATTATTGTAAAGATGGAAAATCGAACCCAGACTGGTTGAATAATTTCCTAATAATCTCAACTTTATTTTATTGTTGAATCTATACATACTGGTAAAAACTTTGTGATTCAAAAACATTTGTTATACATTTATACTATATCTTAATTGAGACCAGGTTCTATAAAGGTATGGGGAAAAGTTCCATGAGGGTTTTACAATTTTTATTTACTCATACATTTAATAATTTTTTGAACATCTACTACTTATCATGATTTATGTTAATAAAATGGGTCAAAGAATTGGGAAAATCATTTCCAACTCTCCCTGTCTTTTATTTGGGGTTTTTGTCTGTAAAGTAACTGGTTCTTTGAACTTGGGAGTACATAATGACTTGTGAGTAAAATAAAACTTCTAAGCTCTACTTCTTTTTTTTTACTTTACCAATATTATTTACAAGCTACTGTTAGAATTTGAATATCAGTTGTTTGAAAATGGCAGTTGGAGAGTCAGTGTACATGGTTTAAGATTCAGAGTCATACAACTTAGACTTGCTTTTGACATTATCACTATATGACTTTGGCACGGTAATTTGTCTTTCCATGTTTCAGCTTCTTCACATCGAAAATGGGGCTAATGGATGTCATCTCATAGGATAGTTAAGAGACTTAAAATGTGCTAAGCACATAGAAAGTGGTCATTAAATGCTAGCTTTATTATTATTTTTATTAACTATTTTAGTCTGATAAAGGGTGAGATTCAAAAAGAATACAGTAAATTATAGTAGTTTCTGACATGATAATAATATTTTTTGGAAATCATAAAAATGACTGCAATATCTTAGAACAACTCTTGCTTTTTACCAAAAGTACAGTAAATGGTGAAGTTCAAAATTATTGTTATCACATTTACTAGACACATTTATTGGCTTCTGTGAAACACTGTTTTAAGCACTTTAAAATTATTTTTACTTATTTATTTATTTTGAGATGGAGTCTCGCTCTGTTGCCCAGGCTGGAGTGCAGTGGCGTGATCTTGGCTCGCTGCAACCTCCCACCACCCGGGTACAAGCGACTCTCCCGCCTCAGCCTCCTGAGTAGCTGGGATTACAGGCAGGCACCACGAAAACCTGCTAATTTTTGTATTTTTAGTAGAGACGGGGTTTCACCATGTTGGCCAGGCTGGTCTCGAACTCCTCTCCTCAGGTGATCCACCTGCCTTGGCCTCCCAAAGTGCTGGAATTACAGGTGTGAGCAACTGCGCCCAGTCGCATGTTAAAATTATTAACTCATTTAGTTTTCATAGCAATGCTTTGAAGTAGTTAGGGAAATAGAGAAACGATATATAATAATATTATCTATGTTTACATTCCTAGTGAAAAAGACAAGATTTAATTCCAGGCTTTCTCTCTCAGGAATCCAAAATTCTGAATGAAAAGCTATCTACTTCTTAATTTTGAGTATTATAAAATGATCAAAACCCTAAAGGCATTAGGTATATCTTAATAATTAGAAGTCATAGGTGGAGTTCAGAAATTCTGCATTACCTTCGGCATTTGCTATTTCAAATAATATGGTATTCCCAATAAACAGCAAGTATGAAGGGAAAAATCCCAAATATAATTGTGAAAATTTCTATCTTCAACATCATTAACATATTATTTTCCTACAAAAATACATAATTTCAAAGTAATAGATAAATATTCACAGCCTAATTCTATAATAAATAGTATGAAATATCATTTTATATAATTGATGCCAACTATTTAAGAACAAGATAAACAAGGGGAATTACAAACTTATTTATATAATCTCCACATTCATATTGCCAATTTTCTACTTTATATTTTCCTAGGTTGTCCCGAATGTCCTTAAAAACAATCATGTTACAAATTGGATTTGTGATCTTTACCTTTCCAGATCTTACTCTTTCAGTGTTGTTTTGTCTATCACCTTCCACTCTAATCACCCATCACCAATTTTTAAACATTTTAAAATGTTTAGCTCCTATGCACCAGTAACAAGAATGCGTCTAATAAAATGTTTGTAACTTCTAAAATCATTAATAATTCAAAACTGAATCACTTATGACAATGCATGAACACTAAGTGTTCATAAGAGTAGAAACCAGAACTTATGCTATGCATTGAAAAAAAGAAATTATTTCAAACAAATATAGTTCCAATGGGAGGCAATCATACCCAATGGAGTGCTAAATTTAAGAAGACTGATAATGTCCCTTGTCAGTGAGAATCTGGGATAACCGAAACTCTCATCCTTTGCTGGTGAATGGTAAAATAACAAACACTTTGGAAATCAGTACACATTTTGTTTTCATAAAACCAAATAAATTCCTCCACTGTGACTCAGAAATTCTACACTTTTCGTATTTATAGCCAAGAGAAGAAATGTCCAAGAAAAAAACTTGCATGTAAATGTTCTCAAAAGTTTTATTGATAATAGAATAAAACTGAAAATAACCCAAATGCCCTTGAAAAAGATAATAGATAAACAAATTGTGGTTTATCCATAGAATAGAATACTGCTCGGCAACTGAAAACAAAAACATCCAACGAACAAACAAACAAAAAACCCACTACTGATGCAACACAACTATGAAACTCTAATAATTTTTTAACTCTCCTGAGAGAAAGAAGCCAGGCACAAATGTGTACATACAGTATAATTCTATTTATATAAATTTGTGAAACCAGCAAAACTAATAGATGTTGAAGAAAATCAGAAGAGTTATTACTGGAAAGGAGTCATGATCCAGACCCCATGAGAGGGCTCTTAGATCTCGTGCAAGAAAGAATTCGAGGTGGATCCACAGGGAAAAGTGAAAGAAAGTTTATTAGAGAAGTTAAAACAAAAAAATGTGGCTACTCCTTAGACACAGCAGCAGCATGGGCTGCTCAGTTGCTTATATTTATTACTTGTTGATTATATGGGAAACAATGTATGAATTATTCATGAGTTTTCTAGGAAAGGGGTGGGCAATTCCTGGAACTGAGGGTTACTCCCCTTTTTAGACCATATAGGGTAACTTCCTGACATTGCCATGGCATTTGTAAACTGTCATGGTGCTGGTGTAAACTGTCATGGTGCTGGTGGGAGTGTCCCTTAGCATGCTAATGCATTATAATTAGTGTATAATGAGCAGTGAGGGTGACCAGATGTCATTTTCATCACCATCTTGGCTTGGGTGGGATTTGGCCAGATTCTTTACCACATGCTGTTTTATCAGCAAGGTCTTTGTGACCTGAATCTTGTGCTGACCCCTTATAGCATCCTGTGACTAAAGATGCCTTAACCTCCTGGGAATACAGCCTAGCAGGTCTCAGCCTTATTTTACCCAGCCCCTATTCAAGATGGAGTCACTCTGGTTCATACACCTCTGACACAGTGATTGCTTCTTGGGATTAAATGAGAAGAATGATTACAGAATGTTCTGGAGGTGAGTTTCATGAGTGCATATATTTCTCAAAACCCAGATCTGCACATTTAACTTTAAATTATACCTTAATATAAAGATGAGATGCCAAAAATAAATATGACAGATTAAAATAACTCAGATGAAAGCTTGTATATATGACACTACAGTTATATCCTACAGCCACAGCATCTGCATAATGGGATTGAGAGAAAAAAAACTTTTATATGAGGAAGACCAGCTCTCTTTAGTCATCAGGCTCAGAGAGACATTGAAATGCAGCAGTCCACATCACACTCCCCTCTTGAGCTCAATAATCACCTCTTGAAGCCACTTGCTTTTTGGCTTCTAGACTAACTGACACTAAGTAGCCATAAAATGCCATACACCAGACACCATAAGCTTGTACTCCATGGTTCAACAATGTGCAGCCAATCACTGACCGATGTTATTTCTGTGCCCAGTTAGAATTCCTGTCAAACAACTTTGCATCAGCCCATTCGTTGTCCCCTTTTTTCCTTTAAAAACATGCCTGTAAGAAAGGCCTGACGGAGCGCTCCCAAAGCAACATGAAACATTTCCCAGGCTGCATTTGCCAACCTTGGCTCAAATAAATGCTCTATAATAGTGCTGCCACGCTTTCTTCCTTCTGGTTGACAGGTCACATTTATTTGCCAAAAATAGTTACTTTACTTTTAGACAAGTACAAAGGCAGTTTTGGGAAGACAGAAGTAGGTATATTTTAAAAATTTCCCCACATTAAGTCCATGTGTAGCTCCACTGGGATGAATATCAGACAGTCCCTTCTTCCTCAACTTGCTCCTTTTGTTCTATTGTCATTTAAATAGAAATCTCTTTTGTCCTGTGTTCTGATTTCCTCTCCTACCAGTTCTTACTGTATTCTGGTAGTTGGCTATAATGTCTTTACTTTCATGGTGCTGTTTCTTTCCTGACTTGAGCCTGAAGAGTATTCAGAGATTTCTTTATGGTAATATAAATGATGCAGGATTTTTCTCGGCCCCTTTGCCAGGCTTGCAGCAGGAGGTGCCCTGTCTACCCGGCCCACCAGGCCATGTCCGGCTTGTGCTCCAGCCCCTGGCTCCTACAGCTACTGCAACTGTGTGCTCAGCCCCTGGTAGGTGGTGGGGTGTGAAAGAGCAAGTGCAGGGTCCAGTCAGCTGTTCAAAATGCCAGCACAGTGATGGATTCCATGCAGGACTTGCTGCTGGACCAGGCATGTTTCCCCAAAAGGAATGTGGTGGCACCCAGGCAGGGGTGCACATGACCCCGAAGAGACTGGAGGGGTGTTGCAACATGCTAATTAGCTCTTTTAGTCCTGCCATCCACAGCCTGACAGACAGTGGCATGTTAACAGCACAGTCGGCCTCTTGCCCTGCTCTGGACCATAGCTCCAAGGCTGGCTCAGCCCTGCCATTGCTTCCCATGGTGTAGAGTGGCTGCCCTCCTCTGGCAAAGAACAGATGACCAAAATGTTATAGCTGTCTGAGTACCCACGTTTGGTGGGTCCTGAATTCTCGTCCCCCATCTAAGAAGAATGAGGATACGCTGACAACCAAAGAGTGAGGGAGGTGGAGATGAATTTTACTGAGTAATGGAATAGCTCTTAGTGGAGAAGGGATGTGGGGTTGGTCCCTCACCCAAAGTCGGGTGGTTTCTCTTCCAGTGTGGCTGGGTCCGGGGCTTTTATGGGCTCAGAATAGGGGAGTGCATGATGATTGGCTTGTGAGTATGCAAAAAATAGTTAAAGGCACCACTCAAAGGTAAGCATAACAGTGTAAAAAATCAATTAGAGAAGGGTAAGTATATGTAAAATAGGTGAAGGGTGGGGATCAATGAGAGGAAAATGCACCAAATGGGAAGAGAGGTTCTCAATCTAGTCCTTGGATTTACCTGGGACTTGCAGCTAGGCTTTAAACTCTCTTTGGCTTGAAGGTGTTATTTCATTGGTCGCTCACCCCTGTCCGCCTAGGATTTGTCTATCTCCTGCCACTATCATAAACACCATTCCAAAGTATTTTAAATTCCTTACAATGGAGTATCAACCAGGCTTTTCTCCTAATAGGGCCCTTCCTTCATAACAAACTATGAATAATTATCTGTCACTGTCTTACCAAACACCAGTTCCCTCTACGGGTGAACAGAAGTAAAGAAGGTGACAAAAATAGGTTGGGGTGACAAAACAAAATGCTTTCCTGCTGTACTTACTTCTGCTATCTGAGGAATAATTCTTAAGAGAGCAAGGTATTATAGAGCTCAAGCTGGCTCCGAGAAAATGATGCAGTAGGTTTCTCAGTCTTTGGCATGTCTCCAGACTCAGCCTCGTTTGTCTCTCCTAACATCTCACCTTTTCTTTCCTGTGCTCCCAAGGGCAGGCTGCACATGTCTACCAGTCCCTATGAAAGTGTTAGCTGATAATTAAGATGATAGCTAAAGCCTAAGGTGTTAGCTGACACAGTTTAAGGTATAAGCCTCCTGATGAATTTACACTTTAATCAGGGACTTTGAAAGGTGAAATCCTAATTTTGTTCTTTTCATTTTCAATGCTCCGTCTTTAATATTTTTTATTATGAATATTCATGAAGAATATTCAACTCATGTAATTAGGGTGAAATAAACATATTTATAACTAGATCTATCAGTTCCCATAATCTGATCCTCTTTCCATCTGCACTATTTATGAACAACATTCAAAACAAAACAGTGGCCAAAAAATAGATATATGGACCACATCATGCAGAGCTACTTATAATTGCCTTTATTTCCTTCAGCCAACTCTTTCAAAAGTCAAAATGACTATTAGTAACCTTAATTGATATTTAAAATTGAAGCATGGCCAGCATAGGATTCTTAGCTCCTACTAATATGAATAAAATTGGTGTGATTTCTTAACCAAAGAAAAATGGCACAAACTTGCCAGACAAGTATTTTATTGACCTTGTTCGTATTTATTCTAATTGATTACTTTCAGGGAAGAAAATGTCATAACTTTGGAGGGTGACAATATCTTTGATTATTTTAAAAGTTTTACTTCATTTCACAAATCATTCTTCTGTAATTTCTATGGTTTTCTTAGTATTATATCTGGATAGTACACTTTCACTAACTGTATGCTTTCTTACAGTCTGTATTTTATATACAGTTGTTGGTATACCACTTATGACCTTTTCTATCTAGGTAAAGCATTGCCAAGATCTTCACATAAGATGATTTTCTAACCAAGTCATCCTTCTCCTTTTCATCTGAAATAATTTTATGTTTTTTCATTTAACCTATTTCCAGTTATCAATATATATATTTTTTGAGACGAGTTCTAGTTCTATTGCATAAGCTAGAGTGCAGTGGCACGACCATAGCTTACTGCAGTCTCAAACCCCTGGGCTCAAGCAATCCTCCCACCTCAGCCTCCTGAGTAGCTGGCCCTATGGGTGCATTTCACCAGGCCCAGCTAATTTATTTTATTTATTTATTTATTTATTTATTTATTTATTTATTTATTTATGTCTTTTGTAGGAATGGAGTCTTGCCATGGTGCCCCAGCTGGTCTTGAACTTCTGGGCTCAAACAATCCTCTTGCCTGTGCCTCCCACAGTTATCAATATTGAAAGCCAGTTACTGATGATAAGATAGGTAAGACTGAACAATGGCTGAACTTATGCATTAATTAATGATTGGGAAACCCCTGAATCTTTGTGCTGTGAGTTGAGAAGTTTGATCTGGCATCAATGCAAAAAGATGTATAAGAGGCTGAAAGTTATTAAGGGCCTCAGCGTTAGCAAGGCAGAGTGGAAACAGAAGGATGTACATGGGGTTGGACTAAATGCAATATTCCTGCTGTTAGGCAAATGATTACCTGTGGGAGGACGGTGCAACAGATCCAAAAGTTTGAATGACTGTGAGTATAAAAGTAACACTGAAATCTGAGGATAGTTAGAAGAGGTTTAGGAAGCAAGAGTGAATTCAAATGGAATATACTGAGGTCGAGTTACCAGAAAGATATTTAGAAATATCTTGAAGATAATATGACATTTTAGAGGTGACGCTAAGAGAATACATATGTCTAGAGAATTATATTTCAGAATTTAAATTAGTAGAATTGAGAAGTAAGTTTTTGTTCCCAGAAAGAGGATAAGATGAACCAGGAGTGCCAGTGAACAAAAAAAATCTTTGAGAAATATGCAAAAATAAGAAATGGGAGGAAGGAATGATGACCAAAGAGACTAAAAAGGAGTAATCTGGGAGGTGGAGTGAGAACTGGTGTCATATATTTCACAGAAAATGAGGGTTCAGAAATATTAAAAAGAGATGTCATGTCTAGTATTAATAGCTGTCATTAATATGCACTAGACCCTTTACTAAGTACTTTAAGTACCTTATCTCATTTAGAGTTCAGAACATCTCTTTAAAATAGAAGCATTAGTTGCACAAAGTAATAAGTCTCAGAGTTTCCTAAGGGCAACTATTCAGAAATTAACAAAGCTATATTTTGAATCTCAGGCTGTATGAATGCGATGTAACCACCTACCTACATTATCTTAAAAAATGACTGTATCCTAAGATTGAGAATGAAAAAGGGTCAAAGTGTTTGTTAACTAAAGAGTGATCTCTGAAAGAGTAGTTTGGGATATGTATCAGGATAGAAGCTTAGTGATAAATAATTGAGATGTGAATGCACAGTAGACATTGTAGAGAGTGACAAGAAATTTGGCCCTGAAAACAGACAGCTTAGTTTGATGGGTTAGCTGAGTAGAACGAAGGAAATACATTAAATGCTCTCTCTCTCTCTTTTTAATGATTAAGGAAACTAGAAAATCACTATGTGTTAACAGAATCGTTTTACATTTGTAATATGGTAGTTCTGTGGGTCATTGACTCAGAGATGAAAGCTGACACAATTGAATAGCAATTTATGCTCACTGATGCATCACTGGGAAATGACCTAAATTAGATAGCCCTTTTTAAAAGTAATTACATACATGACATTAAAGAAAGTGAAATGCTAAAATACTAGGCAGAAATAAAAAAGAATTACATTAATCTTGTAGAAAATAATGCTTGTTTTGTTGAAGAAATATTAGTATCCATAAACTTTAGACTCTATCACTTCCTGGCACAGATATATAAGTTACAAAAATCTGAAAATATATACATATTCATAAGCCTGGGATGGTGCTTTTCAAAGTTAAAAGAAAGTGACCAGAGCCTTAATTTTATTTTTTGTCTTCCAAGACATGAGTAATTTTATAATTGTATGATATATTATAGTAACATAATGCAAAGCATGTCTGGCTGAGAGCCACTATTGTGGCTCTTGTGAGAAGATTTGTGTAACTGATATTTTGATTGAAGGTTCTAATTAATTCGACAACATTATCCAAACTTTGAAGAAACTAAACATATTAGAGTATGAGATAGAACATTGGTGTATTTTGTAAAATTTCATTTGATATGGCCCACAAAGGTGGAAGAAAATTCATTATTTATTAATATTTATAATATCATTTTTCTAAGGGACAGAAGACATGTACTTTTTCATGCTGGGGCAGCTGGCACTTAATTCAAATGCACTGTTCTTCACTCTAACACATTAAAAGACATTTTGACACAAATAATGCACATTTTTAATACCTTCAAATATAAGCATACACGTAAAACACATTAAATGATTGTCTATGGGCAGTATATAGGCCAGGATACGAACACACACACACAGACACCTACAGACACACACACATACACACTTCTTTTGTCTAGGTGTGGCCATGTGACCAAGTTATCACTAAGTAAATGAGAGTAGAAACAAAATATGCACTCACTAGAGGGCCTCTTCTATCTATAGGAAATGTCTCTTTGGGCTTTCTCTCCTTCATGCGGATATGCAGTCACCCAGTTCTGACTATATAGAAGACACAATTACCTTGGAAAGAGCAGCCCAACAGTATGGAAAAAATATTCCTTGAATGACCTCAGGAAAAAATGTTTTCTTCATAGCCTAGACTTTACTGACTGTTATAGAAAGGAAAGAGATAATAATAGTAATACATTGTATTGAAGCAAGCTTTATTCTCAGTTGAATCAGAATTCCAAGGGAAGAGACTAAGATGTGTTTGCCTTGTCATTGACCACCAATAACAATGACATTCACATGCAAGGCTGAAAGTTTTGTACCACTAACTGTCCCCAAGAAAGCCTGATTGGAAAGTATTATTAATTGTAAGTTAGAACAAAATAATCTTTTTGGAAAGGGCTGTAAATTATCTAAAATCTTCCATTTTTCTTCTTAATTATACAATTTTTCCTAATTTACACAAATTAGGAAAAGAAAATTCCTATCTTTATTGCTCAAGATTCTCATTCTACACTCATCCCACAGGTAGCCTTGCCCGGCTCACAGAAGTACATTTTATTTTATAAATACATATACTTGCCCATGCAATTTTCCATAATAAAATCATGTAAGCCATAATATTTAAATAACTTTTTTTCATTCACAAAAATATTATGGACAGATTCCATGTTCAGCACATATAGTTCTACCTCTATTTTTTCTGGAAATGCTGCTTAGTATTTGATTCTATTCCTCTGCAAATAGTGGAATAGTCATTTATCATGGTTATTTAGATTGCTATCAGTATTTTTCTATTACAATATATGTTTTAATAAGTTGTTCACAGGTGTGTATATAGATTAATATGTATTTATGTACTCAAGCTACTATTTCTCTAGCTAGATTCATAGAAGTATTGTTATTCTGAATACAGCAAGCATAATTCATCCTAAAATCTTTCCCCCAAAATGTTGGCCCCACAAATAATATATTAGAATATCCATTCTCTACACTCTCACCACCAGATGTTAGGTTTTCATCTTCAGAATATGATTAATTAAAGTTTTTGTAAGTGGCCAATATCAGTTATAGAGACACATGACATCTCTAAGTAAAATGTGTGAGGAGAATTATTTAAATATCGAAGTTCACTCAGATAACATAAAGTAGGGTAATGGCTACTAACAGTTGGTGTGTGTTATATATGGTTAACTTTCTGTTAGGAAGCATAGTAATTACATTGCCCCTTTTTAACCTTTCAAAATATATGTAATGTAAATGTTCTCTTTTTGTTCATATTGTTCCCTCTAGAAGCATCAGATGGTGTAATCTGGATTTACACCATCACGGTAATTGAAACATGAATATATTTGAATTGCTTTCACAATTGTGAAGCCTGAATTTAATTATTTTTCTTAAGATGGGTAGTAGGATACAATCACAAAAATAAACAATATATTCCCTGCTGTTCATGGCACTGTGTCAAGTACTATACAGCATGAAGCTAATACAGAGGACATTACGTTAATTCTCAAAGATTTGCATTTGAAATTCTTTAGGATAAAAATTAACATGGAATGAAGTTGATTGTGATTTAAAATAATCTCATATTCTTTTATTCATTTCTATTTTTCTTTGCTACTTTCCATCTTTTTGTATGCAAGGATGAGGGAAATAATTGACTATTTTCAGAAAGAGTAAAAGAGAAATGACTAGAAAACACGATGTAGTAGAGTAACTGAGAAACTTCAAGCAATGTAAAGCAAATGGGGCTTTAAAAGATGACACCTAGAAAATCTGATTTTCCCAGAGTCTGAATTACTAGAATGGGAAAAACTATACAGAAAACAGAATAGTGAAAACGTGTGCAATAAAAATGAAATACACCATTTTATCACCTCAGAAATCAGACCAATAATAAATAAATATTCTGTGAAATGCAGGCTTTGCCATTAAGATATCAAAAGCCTTTATACCAAAGTGGCAAGTTCTTTAAAAGAAATGAAAGCAAATTCCAAATTGAGGGTATTGTTCAATTTAAAAATTTATAAGATCCTGTGATTCCTCACACAAATGTAATACGGTGCAGAACAACACCAAATTACCATTCTGCCCTCATCCTACGCCTGAGGAGTACATTACTGGGAGGAAGACAGGTTTCAAATAATATCAGAGAAACATATAGAGTAAATGTGTGTGCAAAATTCCCAGTTGTGCTTGTTTAATTAGATGCTGGTAACAGCAGCAAACAATAGTAAAGAAGGCATGGAAATAGAGTGTTAATGAGATTCAAATAAATCAGATATCACTGTTGGAATACAGATAAAAGACAAGCTCCAGTATATCTGCATTTTAATCAGCCTGATCACAGTTTTGATGAATGTGCCAAAGGGACTGTTCTTTGCTCTGTTTTCATAGTGAGTGAAAGGCAACAAAAGGAGCAGTTTTGATTTTTACACTTCCTGACAGATGAGTCATATGGGATTAATGTTGGAATTCATTAAAGCTAGAATTCTACCTAAGGATCATATTTCACAGGATATATACATTACCATTTTATAAAGGTGACATTTAAGAGCCTGGTTAGCTATTTAACAGATTTTGGCAATTGGACAGGACCTAAGTATATACACATGATATTACTAAATATATATGCATACATAAACACACAACACAAAGTGTGCTACATTGCTTAGGAAAATATTCTGAGCCATACACAAAAAAATTAATTTTGCTGGTATTAAATAAAAGCAAGAACTCCCAAATACAGAGTCATTCTCATTATCTAACCATGCATTAACCAAGTTTCTAGAACTGCAAGATATTTTAAGAAGAAAAATTATTTTATTAGGTAAATATTTACTAATAAATTAACTGCTAAAGATCAGCCGCCAACTAGGTACTCACCACTTAACATTAGAGTTTATTCCACTTGGGTCAGGCACAGTGGCTCATGTCTATCCTCCCAGCACTTTGGGAGGTCAAGGATCACTTGAAGCCAGGAGATCAAGAACAGCTTGGGAAAGATAGCAAGACCGGGTATCTATAAAAACTGAAAAAAAAAAAAAATTGGCTAGGGTTGCTGACACACACCCGTAGTTCAGGCTATAGACCTAGTTACTCCCTTGTCCCAAAAAAAGAAAACAAAAGAATTCATTGCACATGGATAAGTCAGTCTTATACTGAATCTCAGGTGTATAGAACATTGACATTATAGTGCAAATATAATAGAAAATAAGATCCAATGAAAATTACAGATCTTGAAAAGATGCAAGATTTTATGAAGTTGATGAAATTGCTGGAGAACTGCTCAAATAATCTACAAGAACTTGACAAAGGAGATTTTTTGATAATTAAAATGGATAACGGTCAAGTTAATTTTCAAACAATGTTTAATACTTCCAAAGAGGATGTCTTGAAGATCAAAAGACCTAGGATCATTGAAGAATGGTAACACTCCTGAATATTTTTCCTAAATACCAATTTTGAGAACACATTATGGAAGCCAAAGATGAAGCAAGATATACTATATCACACCACCAAATAATACTTTTAGAAACAAAATTTGATTAATAATCATTTATTAATATTTAATTTGTCCTAAATTTCAGATCATATATGTAATTATGAATCAGAATTTTTCTCAATACACAAAAATATTTTTAAAAATAACATTTTAAACATTTTTTCTTCATTTACTATTAATTTAGACACTCCCATCTGTGCCTGCAATATAAGTTTGAATCACTGAACTTATCTGATTGACTTCTTTAGGCTAAAATATCTATCATTCTGCTAGGCCGGGCATGAATAAGACATAGCTCCTCTACAGAAGCTCACAGTTTACTGTAAAGAACATTCATGTAAACAATAACAGTATTCCACTGTGATAACCAGAATAAAAGTTGTAAATTAAAATGTGAAATTTAAATGCAAAATTTGGTATCTTGGGTCACAGAAAAAAACACATAGATTCTATTTGGTAGAGAAACAAATGAAGTCATATTTTTTGTACCTGTCTATACTTTTCTTAATTATGAAGATTCATTTGATATTGTTATGAATATATGTGTTTGTATTAGTTTATATTTTCTATATTTGCCACATTTTATGTTAATCTTTTCTCTCCTAGCATGCATAATTTATCTCTGACAGTATTTCACAACATTAAATCAGCTTGGGGAATATAAAAGGACATCATAACTGTAATTCTGAAAGATTCCAGGAAAAGAAAGATGGCTGTGTGAAAACATGTACTTGGTCTGAGAATGACAAAGGGTAAACATATAAAAAATTAGAAATCTTTAGAAATAAGTGCTACAAATTGATTTACTGAAGTGGTAGTCTAATTTTGCTCTTTTGCAAGAAAAATATCTAACAAATATCAAGTCTATATAGCTTGTCAGTTGCTTTTTCAGATACAGTCATGTAACATACAACCATAATTTGGTCAAGAATTGACCACATATACTATGGTGGTTTCATAAAATTACAATGGAGCTGAAAAATATCTGTTGCCTAATGATTACTTGATGAAAAGTATATAGAAAAGGAATACAAAAAAGAAAATATTTTTCTATAGCCATAGAACCGTGCTTTTTAAGGTGTTACTGTAAAAGAGTCAAAAGTTTTAAAACTTTAAAATTTATAAACCTAAAAATGTTACAGTAAGCTAAGGTTAATTTATTATTAAAGAAAGAAAATTATAAAATAACTTCAGTGAAGTCTAAGCTTACAGTGTTTGTAAAGCCTACAGTAGTTAGTGTACAGTAATATCCCAGGTCCTCACATTCACTCACCACTCACTCAGAGCTTTAGTCCCGTAAGCTTCATTCATGCTAAGTACCCTATACAAGTGTAGCATTTTTAATCTTGTATATCATATTTTTAGTGTACCTTTTCCATGTTTAGTCTTGTTTAGATGTACAAACACTTACCATAGTGTTACAATTGCCTACAATATTCAGTTCAGTAACATGCTAAACAGGTTTGTAGCTTAGGAGCAATAGGCTATACTATATAGCCTAGGTGCATAGTAGAATTTTCCATCTAGCTTTGTTTAAGCACACTCTATAATATTCACACAATGATGAAATTGCCTAATTTGGGGGACGTATGCTATGTCCTCTGGATAAATAATTTTCTATTTCTAAATTAAAACCCTAGAGAGTGACCATACATCTTAGTTTGCCTGTGATATAACTTGTTCATATCACATGTATTAAGCCACCTTAATGTTTATAAAGACTTTTTTATTCTTAGTGTCCTGGTATAGAAAATGAATTATCTGCTTATCGTCCATGGTAGACTGTATTTATGTGAGTAAAAATGTAATATAAAATACATACTCTGCAGCAGAGATACTAGAGACTGCCTGCCATAAAGTAATTGCTCTTTACTGAATAAAATGTGTGTGTTTCCAAATAAAAATTTATGTGGATTAGACCACAGTCTGAGCATGTGTTGTAACAGTGGATGCAAATCACTATATGGCTATTGCATAAACTTCATTTTCTGAAAATTTGTGTGTGTATTTTACAATTCTTTGGAAACTGAATAAATTTTGCAAATAAATATTTTTTAAAATAACAGAATTCATCATTTTAAGATAAGCTTCTATTCTTTATATTTTTAAGGAAAATATTACCAATTAATTCACGACCTGCCATTGATTTTCAGACATATCTGATTTTCAGACATGTTAACAGGTAGATTAAAAATTGAAAAAAAGCAGTACAATATTTCTACTCTGTGTAATAACAAATTAATAAAATGGTATTACTGGTTATCACATTATTTACTCTTTATAAATATATTTGTGTTAAGTAGACATCAGTGCATCAATTTTCCTGTGGAGGTCATCATATTCTGTTCTGTGGGATCATAATTTAACAAGTCAGGAGGCTGTGCAATATATCTTTCAAATGTTTAATATTTCTAGATATCTCACTTATGTTATATGTGAATTCAACATTGCACTTATTTATATTGAACATGTTATGGTGCCAGAATCTTTCCTAATGATAATATTCACCCATTTTGACTTATGAATATTTGTTTAATAACCCATTTAGGTCAGGCACAAAATCAAAATAACTCTATAATAGTGCATTTGGGGAAGGTTCATTTTAACAATTCAGTGTATTTTCTTATTTGCAATCACATAGAATAGGGTTGGCTCTCAAGCCTGAAGTTAAGCTGGAGTTTAACACATATATGGAGAAAAGACATTTGTTGGCAACTACCATTCTGCTTTCTGTATCTATGAGTTTAATTTTTTTTAGAGTTCACATATAACGTAAGTGAGATCATACAGTATTTCTCTTTCTTTGTCTGACTTATTTCACTTAGTAAAAGGTCCTCAGTTTCATCCATGTTGTTGCAAATGGACTTCCTTCTTTTTTAATGTCAGAAATATACCACCATCCCTGCCCCGACCCATACACATTTAACTTCTTCCTTTCTGATTTGAATGCCTTAATCCCTCTTTTTGTTTTTGTTTTCTGTTTTTGAGACGGAGTCTCACTCTGTCACCCCGGCTGGAGTGCAGAGGCATGACCTCAGCTCACTGTAACCTCCTCCTCCCGGGTTCAAGTGATTCTCCTGCTTCACCCTCCTGCATAGATGAGATTACAGGTGCATGCCACCACACCTGGCTAATTTTTGTATTTTTAGTAGAGACAGGGTTTCACTGTATCGGCTAGGCTGGTCTCCAACTCCTGACCTCAGGTGATCTACCACCTTGGCCTCCCAAAGTGCTGGGATTACAGGCGTGAGCCACCATGCCTGGCCTGAATGCCTTTATTTCTTTTTTAACCTAATCACTCTGACAAGTACTTCTATTACTATGTTGAATAGAAGTGGGAATCCTTGTGTTGTTCCTGATCTTAGAGGAAAAGCTTTTAACTTTTTTCACCATTGAGTATGATGTTACTTGTAGGTTTGTACTATATGGCCTTTAATATGTTGAGGTATGTTTATTCTATAAGTAATTTGCTGAGAGTTTTCATGATGAAAGAATGTTGAATTTTATCAAATTCTTTGTGCATGTGTGTATTTATTGAGATGATCATATGATTTTTGTTCCTCCATTCTGTAAATGTGGTGCATCACATTTACCAGCTTGTGTATGTGTAAGCATCCTTACATTCCTGTGATAAATCCCATTTAATCATGTAAATGACTCTTAATGCACTGCTGAATTTGGTTTGCTAGCATCTTATTAAAAATTTTTACAATTATGCTGTGATGATTGACTGTCGATTTTATTGGATTGAAGGATGCAAACTATTGTTCCTGAGTGTGTCTGTGAGGTTGTTGCAAAAGGAGATTAACAGTTGAGTTAGTGGACTGGGAGAGGCAGACCCACCCTCAATCTGGGTGGGTACCATCTAATCAGTTGCCAGCATGGCTAGAATAAAGAAGGCAGAAGAGGGTGGAAAGAGTAGACTTGCTGAGTCTTCTGGCCTTCATCTTTCTCTTGTGCTGGATGCTTCCTGCCCTCAAACATCAGATTCCAAGTTCTTCAGCTTTTTGACTCTTGGTCTTACACCAGTGGTCTTGCACTTACACCAATGCAGACTGAAGGCTGCACTGTTGGCTTCCTTACTTTTGAGGTTTTAGGACTTGCACTGGTTTCCTTGCTCTCAGAAGCAAGAATGCAAGCAAAAAGATAACGGAATAAGATTTCTAAAATATTTTTGAAAACTAAATATCATCTTTGCTGCAGCATGGTTGGAGCTGGAGGCCATTATCCTAAGCAAACAAACACAAGAAAAGCAAACCAAATGCTGCGTGTTCTCACTAGTAAGTGGGAGCTGAACACTGAGTATATATGAACACAAAGAAAGGAACAACAGACACTGGAGCCTACTTGAAAGTGAAGGGTGGGTGGAGAGTGAAGATCGAAAACTACCTATCAAGTACTATGCTTATTACCTCCGTGATGAAATAATCTGTACACAAAACCCCTATGACACACAATTTACTTAAATAGCAAACCTGCACATATACCCTAAATTTAAAATAAATAGACAAATATCAACCCAAAATTTTATGCCCAAAGCAAATATCTTTCCAAATTGGAGACAAACTAAACTTTTTCCGAAACTCAAAGTAATTTATCTCCAGAAGACCCAACAAATGTTTAAAGAAGTCCTTCATAAAGGAAAATGATAGCAGGGAGAAATATGAATCAACATGAAGGAACGAAAAAATGCTGGAATTAGTGTCTATAAGGCAAAATACAAGAGAGTGTTTTTCTTGTTACTTAAATATCTCTGGAAGATAACTGTTTAAATAAAAATGATAAAAATGTAATGTGACATATGAAGTAACAGATGATAAATAAAATGTATACCAATTATATATAAAGGGCAAGAGGGGAAAAAGGAAGTATATACTTGTATGGTTATTGTGCTATATGCGAAGTGGTATCACTTCTGAGAGGGGACTAGGAAAATTTCAAAGTAGTTGTTATAAATTTTAGACTAGTCACTATTGTAACAAAAAATAGTTATCACTAATAGGCCAATAAAGAAGATAAAGTTCTATTATAATTACTCAATTAATCTAAAGGAATGCAAAATAAGAAGGTAAAGGAGAAAGAAGTAAAGAAAAATAAAAAACAAATATCATGATTATAGATTAATTCTAAGCATATCAATAATCATAGTAAATGTAACTGGTACAAATGATACAATTAAAAAGCAGAGATTGTCAATTAAATAACAAACAATAAACAGCTACCTGCTACTTAAATATGTTTCAAACATAAAGACTCACAGATGTTAAAATTAAATTATGCAGAAAGATATGTCAAGTAGCACTAACAAAAGGTAACTTGGAGTGTGTCTATTGCTATCAGATAAGGTCGTTTTCCGAGTAAAGCATATTACCAGGAATAAGGAAAGGCATTTTATAATGATAAAGGAGTTTACTTATCAAGACAGTATAACAATCATAAACAATTATGCACTTTATAACAAAGTTTAAAAATACCTAAAAAAATACTTATAGAAGTTAGGAAAAATAGAAATTTCAGAGTTATAATCAGAGATGACATTTACAGAACGCTCTATCCAACAACAGCAGAATAAACATTCTTTTTAAGTGCACATGAAACATTTAATAAGATAGGCTTACTCTGGACAACAAGACAAGTCTAAATACATTCAAAATAATTCAGCTCATACAAAGTATGTTCTCAGACCAGTATGGAATTTAAGTAGTAATCAATACCAGAAAAAAATGTTCAAATGCTTGAAACATAACTAATAGACTTCTAAAAAAAATTATACCTTAAAAAAAGAATCAAATTGGAGAGTATTTTACCCTTATTGCAAAGACACATCATTTCAAAATTTGCATAAAGCCATTCAAGAAGCATTGAGGTCAGGGAGGTGGCCTATCATCCCAGCACTTTGGGAGGCCAAGGCAAACGGATTACTTGAGCCCAGGAATTGGAGACCAGCCTGGGCAACATGGTGAAATCCTGTCTCTACAAAAAATACAAAAATTAAAAAAGGAACATTGGGTAAATGTATAGTATGAAACACCTACATTAGAAAAGGAAAGGTCTCAAATTAATAACATCAGCAAATTCCCTAATAAAATTAGAAAACTAAGAGAAAATAAAGTTCAAAATAAATAAAATAAATAATAATAATGTGGGTGCAAATCAATGATTAGAATGCATAAAACAATAAAGAAAATCAATGAAACAAAAGGCATCCCTTTGAAAAGATCAATAAAAATGATACATTTCTAATCTAACAGATTAAGAAAAAAGAGAGAAGATCACACCTTACTAATAGCAGTAAGAAGAGAGGTGACACCACCACAGATTATGTATGTATATTAAAAGACAGACATGGTAACATTATGAACAACTCATTGTCAATAATCTCAGCAATTTATGAGAAGTGGACAAATATCCTGAAAGATGCATACTACCAAAGCTCATTCAAAAAGTAGATAACCTAAATAGCTACTTACAATTAAAAAACCTAAATTGGTGATATAAAATATTGTAACAAAATAACCTCTAAACTTAGATACAGTCACAGGGAATTTTATAGTACATTAAAAATATTAATTATTTATTAACTTTTCCCAAAAATGAAGAGGAGGAATTAATTTTCAGCTTATTCTTTGAGGCTAGAAAATAGGTAGCAAAATAAAGCAAAAGTATAAAAAGAAAAGTACAGATACATATTCTTTGTGAATACAGATATAAGAATTCTAAACAAAATATTAGCAAATCATATTCAACAATATGTTAAAAGGATAATGAAAAATGACCATGGACAGTTAAGTCACCAATTTAAGACTGTTTTAATATATAAGCATCAATCAATGTAATTCACTCCATTAACAGATTAAAGAAGAAACTATTGATCATCTCTTATAGACACATAGAAAGCATTTGGAAAAATACAAATTTCATTTCTGATAGAAACTTTAAGCAAAGTAGAAACAGAAAATATCTCAAACTGATCAAGGGCATCTATGAAATCCTGACAAAAAATATTATATTTAATGGTGAAACACTGAATACTTTCTTCCACATATCAGGACAACAATGGAGATGTGAGGTCTCACCACTTCTATTCAGTATTGAACTGGAAGTTCTAATCATGCAATTAGCCAATAATAATAATAATAATAAGGGGCATCCAGTTTAGAGATGAAAAACTAAAATTTAATTCTCATATGAATTTATTCTTTTTTTCAAAAAAATTCTGTGGAGATTACAAAAAACAAATCAAAGTAAATAAACAGAAGCAGCTTCTAAAATAAACAGTTTAGATATTGCAGGTTCTAAAATAAATACAGTACAATCTACTGAGTTTTTGTACACTAACAATCAGAAATTCAAACAAAAACACCTATACAATTTAAAATAGTATAAAATACACCTTCAAAGGGATTGATCCAACAAAAGATCCACGAATCCAATACAACCAAAGATACACACTGAAAACCATAAAGACTCCTGAGAGAAATGAAACATTAAATAAAAAACCTTGTTCATGTGTTTAAAGTCTTCGCATTGTTA
The DNA here is from genome assembly GCF_000001405.40 of Homo sapiens. Taxonomy (NCBI): domain Eukaryota; kingdom Metazoa; phylum Chordata; class Mammalia; order Primates; family Hominidae; genus Homo; species Homo sapiens. The sequence goes on from NC_000009.12 coordinate 11,364,899, forward strand.
AGATGTAGAATTGATATCTTGATATACTGATATATATCTCAAATTGATATATAGCTTCAACAAAATCTAATATAATTTTTACCAGCTTTTTTTAATATAATTGACAAGCTGATTCTAAAATTCACATGGAAATGCAAAAGACATACAATGGTTAAAACACTGAAAAAGAAGAACATTGGAAGACTAACACCGTATGATATAAGACTACAACAATCAAGATAATGTGGTAGTGTCATAAAAACACACTAGCAAATCAATAGAACCTAATAGGCCAGAAATAGACCAAATCATGTATATGTAAACTGATTTTACATCAAAATGCAAAGAGAATTCAGAGGAGAAAGGATATTTTTAATAAATGGTATTAGGAAAGTTGGAGATACGTATAAATAATACACTATTGATTCCTATCTCACATATTATATAATAATTAACTAAAAATGAATCAGTAATTTACTTAAATGTAAAGCCTAAACCAGTAAAAATTCTAAAAGAAAATCTTTACAGCTATTGGTTTAAAAAAGTAGCTTAGTTTGAACATCAAAAACACAATTTATAAAAGAAGAAAAAAGATTAATTAAATTTCATCAAAATGTAAAATGTCTGCTCTCCATAATACACTCTTAAAAGAAGGAAAACACAAACCATAGAGTGGAGAAAATGGAATTGTGTCCATAATGTATAATGAATTCTCAAAATGCAATAATAAAACAATCTACCTAATAAATATGAGGATGAGAAAATAAAACAGACACAAGATGAATATATCAATAGCACAGATTTGTAAACAAGCTGAACATCATTAGTGTTTAGGGAAATGCAAATTTAAAAAATAATATATGCCTACCCATTTATTATAATGGTTAAGATTTAAAAGTTTGGCCATATTAAATCACCATGGAGGAAATGTAGGAACTAGAATTCTTATACACTCCTGGTAGGAATATAAAATGATACAATCACATTGAAATTCAATTTGGGAGATATATCTAATGCTAGATGAGGAGTTAGTGGGTGCAGTGCACCAGCATGGCACATGTATACATATGTAACTAACCTGCACATTGTGCACATGTACCCTAAAACTTAAAGTATAATAATAAACAAAAAAGAAAATTAAAAAAAAAAGAAATTCAGTTTGGCAATTTTTTAAAAATTTTGGCAAATTTATCACATATGATCCAGTCATTCTTCTAGGTATCCTTAAAAGAAAAAAAAATTATATATATATATATATATATGTTGTTAAAAAGACTTGCATACCCATAGTCATTGCAGCTTTTCTAGTAATAGCTAATAAGTTGGAAAACAAACAATGAATGCTCATCAACAGGTCAGGTATATAAATCCAATAGAACACTGCTCAGCAGTAATAAAGAATAAACGATAAGTACAACATCATGGATGAAACTCAAAATAATTATGCTGAGTGGAAGAAGCCAGACCTAAAAGAATATGTCCTATAAAATCAATGCATATGAAATTCTAGAAAATGCAATTCACTGTCGATAGAGAAACAGGCAATTGCTGGGAGAAGGGAGGAAGAAGGGATTACACTTGATCTTAGCCAAAAGGCCGACAAGCGATAAGAAGGGATTACAAAGGGAAATGCAGAGTTGGCCTCATGGAACGACAACCATTATGGATGCACAGAACCCGTGCTCAGACCTGCCCTGTGCTTGGGGTTTAATGCGATGCTGTAACCCTCTTGAAATTCTTATTTTATCTTTGAGTTTTTGTTTTATAAATGGAATCACAAAACGGAACATGTGTGACAACTGAACATGTGGTAGGAGTTTGGAGCCTTGGCTCACACGGGGCCTCCTGATACCACCCTCTACTGCGACGAGGACAGGTTCTTGGCTGCCCTCTCACGAACTCTGGCACCTTGGGACCCTACCCCAGGACCATTGCCACCTTTAATCAGGAGTGGAGACCAGGTTGCTTGGGCGGGGAGGTGTATGCAGTGCAGCTGCATCCCTCTGCCCCTGTGGGAGCCTGCGTGCGTGGGCAGAGAGGGGAGAGGGAGGGCCGGTGTGGCCCAGAGGCGTCTTAGGGAAGGGTAAAGAGAAGACCACTCTGCTTTTGGTTGGCACCACCTCAGCACATTTGACAGGCGATCCACAGGGGAGCTCTTAGCTATCCAGATCCAGGAATAGAGCATGTTGCAGGATAGAGGTCGCATTCCTTGGAGGTGTCCGGACCACAGAGATGGGACTAAGGGACTATGAACCCGTAGAAAGAGGAGATTGACTTCCCTGCACCCCGCAGGGATCCCACATTTTTGCTATGCACTGGTTACTGCAAATTGTATACCTTGCCCTGGGAATTTGTGCTCACTTTTCACATGTTCACTATCTTGATTGTGGCAAGGTTTTCACAGGTATATTCCTTCATCAAAACTTACCAAGTTATAACTCTTTACATATGTGCAGTTCATTGTATGTCAGATATGCCTTAACAAAGCTGTGGCAGAAAATCCAAGAGCAATGAAAAAATGGGTCAGTTTATTACCCACTGATATGTTTGTATATAAACACCTAGTTCTATATATAATTTGGATAGAAGAAGAATATTGTTTTCATACCCATGGAAGGCAAATAATTAGTAGTACTTTTATCACGAATGACAGGCTATGCAGCTATCAAACACATAGCTGAGGAAACAACTGCTTTCCATATTATGTAATACAAAATAGCAAATTTACAAAACTAGTTTGTGCTTGAATCAGGTAACACTATAAGGCCACACTGAAGATTTTTCAAATCATTGCAAGGGATTTTGACTGAAATCCTAGTTAGGTTAAATGGAGGAAACTAAGTATAAAGGATCTGGAGTTTCTTTTAAACAAATAATTCCAAGGCTATATTTCAAAAAATTAAAACATGGGAGTCCTGTCATTTCTCCCACTGATCTATTTGCCAGTCAGAATAAAGAAAGTATTAGCAGAATTTTTTTTTCCACCAATTCTATTTCCTGATGTGAGAAATTTTATTTAGTCTAGGAGGCCAGGAAATTCACTCCCTAGCATAGCTTTCAAATTAACCTAGCATAGCTGTGGCTGATCATGGCAGAATCTTCTTGTCTTCAAGACACTCTCTTGCTTCCTGTGGCTACCAAAGAAGGGTGAGATTATCCAATTGAAAGACTGAAAAGGACAACTGTTAATGTGTACTAAAGAGTATTATACATCTGTTTAAGAGAATATGAATTCGGTATCTCCAAGGCAGAATAATTGTTATAAATATATAAGTAAATATACATATATATGCATACATATATATGAGCATTCATGAACCCGAAAAGCCAAAATATAGCTATAAGCTAACACTGTTTAGATAATCAATAATAGGTCTTTAAAAAATAAGCAATATATAATGACAACTACCTTTATAGATGTTCATTATGTATGTAAATGCATACAAATATTCACTCAAAATTGATAAAAGGATTATCCTTTTAGAAGTATCTTGAATTGTGGAAGCAGCCGAGTGGAATTGTAATGTTATTTAAGTTTGAATTATTTTACAATGTGAATGTTAACATTTGCTGTGTATACCTAAAAATGATTTTCAAAATTACACATGAATGTGCTTTGTAAAAAGTGAACAAAACATATGAAAAACAAATGACAAAACAAGTGACAAACAAATATCAGAATCATTCACCACAATTAGAGTTATTACTGTCAGTACAGGGATCTGCAAGAGCAAACATGCCAAAACTGGAATGAGGGTAAGCTAATGAAAGATTTATTAGTAATCCTGGTTATGTATCCTAACCAAAAAGAGAAATAAATGTGTCATTAATGCAGAGCCACTTATAGTAAAGGAGCAGTGTGTGTTCTAAAGAGGAGATTTGTGCTCAGAGACCTCCAACACTTCCACAATGAGAGTGCATTTAAAAGAAATCTGCTTTTAATATCTTCTTCTATGGCAGAGAATTTATTGACTCATAGAAACTAACATTTGTAGAATGCATCCATTTCCCAGGTATTGTGCTAGGCAGAGAAATTCAAAATATATGATGTATCTCTAATTGCCATGAAAAAATAACAAGATGCTTTGATTGAATTACTCTGGTTTCCTCATTATTATAAAAGCCACACTGATATGATTGCCTAAAAGTTATTGTCCCGTACATTTTTCAGGAATGCTTCATTGATATTTGAATGCAAACTACACATAAAATAAGAAAAAAATGGAGTTGCTATTAGCTATGATACATTCCTGGCCTTTTAAAATATGTGTTTGATATTCCATCCATTTAAGACAATGTTTTTCAAATAATGAATGACATATATTCTTTCTCTCCTTCTTTCTTCCTCAAACAGGGGGTAATGTGGAACTGTTCTAGAACTCTGACTGGACTGAGGCAAAATCTTTAGGCAAAATTATTTTAGCTCTGTGCTTGGTGCTTTTCCTTAATATTTCACTGGGTTTGAAAATAGAAGATCAAAGTGAAAATCAGTGAAGCTCACCCAAATGTCACAATTGGTTGTACTCATAGTTTACAAGATAAAATGAACAGACTTGCATGATGTTATCACCAGGACAGTAATTGAAATGCTGATTATGACTGCATACATAGTCAAAAGAAAATGAATGATATTAAAAATCATACATAGTCGGAACACCTCTAATACTTTAAGTCCACACAAAGACATCACATATTTACTACGTTTCAGAAATATCATCATTTTTGTCTACACGTAAATTAAATGTGCATTTTATGGCATATAAGATAGCAACTCACTTGACATCCTACTCAAATTGAAATTTAAAACATGTTAAATTTATGTTGAATAGTGGCCTCTACAGGGATAAGAGAGCAGCAGGACTGATTTTTACTGTGGTGTAAGAAAATCTAAATTGTATGTTTAACTTTTTGTATGTCAACTAAATCACATAGTCCATTATGAAGGGAATAAAATACACAGCATTAGTTTCAGAAAGTACTCTTTTGATCATTTATTAACAAAACTAAAACAACAAACAGTTTTTTCCTCCAAATGAGGCGACTGCAGGCCTATTTACTTTGCTTAACAAGAATTCTCTTAATTTTGGATTATTATAGTTTGTCATAATCCAGAATTGGGATGGGATTTGAAGAACAATACAATTAAAATGAGAATTAAAGTGGTATCCAGGTTATTTTTAAACAAATAACTTCTACTAAAAGCAAATAAATACATAATACTTAGTCAATGTGTTCCAATCAGGATACTAGAATGTATTTAAGACAAATGAACAAGAAGGTATCTTTCTGAGTCTTACTGATTCTCACAAAAAGAGTAATCTTATGATATTCTATAGCTATATAAATAATTTCTTCATTAGTGTGTGTGTATGTGTATAATGTATGTGTGTGTGTACATGTACACACACATATATATACACAAATAGATTTAAATAAGAACATGAACATGAAACATTTTATGTTTAAATAAAAAAATGAACCTGGAAGTCAGAGGTGAAAAATAATGTGATTGAATTTTTAAAAGCCTTGGATATTTTGGAAGAGAAATCTTAAAGATGGAGAAATGTATATTAAAACTACATTTGATAATACCAATAATTCATCGTTGCTTCAGAAAAAATAAAAGTGCCGCCAAATGGAGGGAATTCAGAAATTCCTGAGCAAAGTGCTTGTTGAGATAAATTCCTGAAAGGAAAATTAAACAAACACGCCATTAAAATAGGAAGCTTTTTTCTACAAGCATTACACTTAGAGCAGTAAAATAGAGCATGAGATTCAAAGTCTTATTTTTAAAAAAAGAGAGTTTCAAATAAAAGTTGACGATGGATGAGTCATGTCCTATTCTTGATTTGGATAAAAGAAATGGCCAAACAAACTGTTAACAGAAATTTAAAGACTACAATACAAGTTCAATAAAGTTGTGAGTTCAACAGACTGAAAGTCTTGGAAATCCAGTCAGGTAAAGTAACTGGAGAAACTACTGGGGTTCCATATAATGAGTGTTCCAATGGCTGAGAAGGAAATCAGTGCACATATTGTTAAATTCATTATTGGTTTTGATCATTAGAGCATCTTTCTCCAATTAACCTTTTCTCAGCAAAGTAAATGAGACCCTGATTGTCTGCCATCATTAATGTATCTTTAGAAAGTTAGCAATTCTCTTCTTTCTCAACAATGACATTTTGAAACTTACTGCTTTTTGTATGGAAAGCACTTTACTTATATTAGGCCATTAATAAAACTATCCTTTTGGAAAAAAATAGAAATTTATTTTAAAATTAATATGTTGGTTCTTTTCTTACAAACTTGTACACCTACAAAATAGCAAGATGGACACCCATTATAATTTTTTTTCAAATGTTATTGTTATTACTAATTTATTTATTAGAAGAGTTGGAGTAGTGTTCCTGTCTAGAGATTACTCTAATGAAGTCAAATACATCTTTTTATTCAAAGCTCAATTTGGAAACAAAAGCAGCTCAGCTGGGATTTATGTAGCTAGAGTTCTAATTAAGAGCATGACCCAAACATGCAGTTATTATATTTTAATTGGAAAAGTCCAATCATATAGATTTTGTAAAGGCTTAAAGTGTCTTTACTGAAAAAATCTGTGTTCATATTTTCTATAGGTTCTTTCATATATGTGTCAAAGTTTGATAAAAACATAATTGAGAAATTACTTACTCTTTATAGCAGGCATTCTTTGACCCTGTTATGGGCAATAAGGGCAGTGAGATCTGAGGATTGCACTGAACAATTTTATAGTAGCAGACAAAGTAGTTTCATTATCACAGGCTCAGTTTTCTCTTGTGAGTCTTAGGCAATTCTTTCACTGTCCTTATTGCAGTCAATTCGTTATTTGAACCGTTTTCCTCTGAAGTCATGTTGTTTCATGGAGTACCTTGGTCTGTCCTGATTCCCAAGGCTCCCTTTAACCTAAAAGTTATTCTGATGGGTCTAAGACAGGGATTCCTCTCAAAATCAATTTGAAGGCTGCAAAGATATTTAGTGTAGTATTTGGAATAAATATTACTTTGAGTTGAAACACATCCCTGAAGGGCAAAAACTAATATAGTCCAAGCAATATGCTGTTGGCAGATCTTAAATAAGCTCTATCCTCTCACGGTTTGAGAGGCAGATTGCTTATGCTTCATGAGAGCCAAGCTTCTTGTCTCAGGAACATAAAGAATGAGATTCTGTCCTGAAGGACCATTTCACAAATATTGGAATTTTTATAGTGTGTCTAGTTTATTTGTTATAATACAAAATATGTTTTTCCAGTGTTTCACAAGTTCAGCACGGGCATCAGATTTTCTCTTGCTCAAGCATATTGCCCAAGGCAAATATTAGCATTTCTGGTGACATCTTATTTTGGATTATGAAGTGCATCCAAAGTGTGAAAAGGTTCACAGTGAGCAGTCTAACTACAGACTCTTTCTTGAAGATGAGTTACCCCTAAAGTCATTTTTCCCCTTTCAGTAATTTATGCATTGTGACCTGGTATTATTTTTAGATTTCAATTATTTTGTGTATGAATTTCAACAAAATGTTTTTTACTCCACAACAGAACCCAAATCCAAACCCAAACTCAACTTTATTTGGTAGAAATGTTTTAAGAAATTGACTTTGGATTTGGAAAATACTATGAAAAAATTATATGCATATCTCTTCAATATACAACTTATATGTGGATGACTAGATATGCATTTCATAAGCAATGTATAAGATTGCATAATGTGTTTTGATTTTTGTTACAAATTGCATTATTCTGTTTGAATTAATCTGCATCTTCTCTTCACCAAACTTGTTTTGCATATCTATCCACATTGATATATAAAGATCTACTTCATTCTTTTAAATCCCTACATGATACTCTTTTGTTTGAAAATTATCATTGATAGATATTTAGATTGTTTTCTAGCTTTTAGAGTTAAAAAAAGAAAACAAAAGCAAAGCAAAACCTTGTAACAAACAACTTTGTAATCGTCCCTTTGCAAGGGACACTGGCAAGAGGTTTGTTTTAGGTTAAATTTTCAATTTTACTACCATCAATTTCAATTTATTTGCAATTTTGTATTTTAAAAAATAATATCAAATTAAAAATTGCTTTTATTTAAATAAGTCTATTATAGTTAACTGCCCCTTCAATTTCTTAAACATCTTAAGGCTACTCAACATAATTTTTTTCTAAAAGGATTATATATACATATTTCATATTTAAATATATACAAATATTTTATATACTTATATACATATTATATTTGTATATACATTTTACATATGTATTTATATATATTTCATATTTAAAAATGTAGTAGAATCTCTTAATGTTTTTCCAATGTTTCATTTACTTTTAATGACTGTTTAAACTGTTAAACTCTGCACAATTCAATTACTGATTTACAACCAGACTCAAAACAAAATCTAACAATAACAAAGTGCTCACTAAATTTCCACTACTGTAGATTAAAAAAAATCTTAATGATACTCTAAGCAAATACAATGACATAAAATCTTATTTATTCATATTAAATATCATTAATAACTTGAGGGATCATTTTAATAAATGAACTAAGCAAACGTTTCTTAGGAACAATTCAAAAATAACATCTTTGCCTTACAAGATGATTTTTATACCTCTTATGTAAGTTGCAAATATATTTGTCTACACCTCAAGCACTGACATATTAACTTTTTACAACCTCAAATATATTTCCATAATATCAAAAACATTATTAATAGCAATATGACTTTTCTGTAAAATACAATAAAGATTTACTTAATCTAAGCTGTTATTAAAAAGAAAATGCACTGTGACATCAGCCAACTTGGGAAAGGAAAATAAACAGAGATAATGTAAATTTAAATTTAATATTATTTTATATAAAAAGGAAAAAGTCACTGGAGTTTAAACCCAAAATTTATTAGTTCTGTAAACCAGTCTGGTTTTAAAAAGTCTTTAAGCCTTGTCTGAATCACATGAAGTGGTATCTACTGTATTATTCTGCATTTTCTTGGTTGCACATGACCACATCCATTGGCCTATAGTAGGCATTACTTGTTTTATATTAATAATATGTTAATAAATCCAAGTATCTGAGTGACTTCAAAGGACTTACAATTTGATTGAAAAATTCTAGCTAGCTTCACAGTGGATTGAAAGTTAAAAAAAGAGAAAATTTCCCTTTACAATTAGTTTGAGTACACTAGTTTGAAAGGGATTATATGCATTTACACACACATAGATACTAATAACATGGCAAAAATCCATTGTATAACTAATAATAGCAGTATATTATAATAAAAAGAATAGGAAATTGACCAGTATTATAAAAATTGAGTAGGGCCAGCTGGGTGCAGTGGCTCACACCTGTAATCCCAGCACATTGGGAGGCTGAGGCAGGCGGATCACTTGAGGTCAGGAGAGCGAGACTGGCCTGGCCAACATGGACAAATCCTGTCTCTACCAAAAATACAAAAATTAGTCAGGCATTGTGGGGGGCACCTGTAATCCCAGCTACTCGGGAGGCCGAGGCAAGAGAATCACTTGAATCCTGGAGGCTGAGGTTGCAGTGAGCTGAGATTGTGCCACTGTACTCCAGTGTGGTTAACAGAGTGAGACTCTGTCTCAAAAAAAAAAAAAAAAAAGATTAGGAATTACATACAAAGGCCTTTTCATAGCCTAGACATCTGGGCAAAAAATATGAGCCTCCCAATAATTACTAATTAATGAAATTTTATTTGTTGTTTTCCTTAACATTTCTCTTTTGAAGAGAACATTGATATAATTCCTGAACTACTGATAATTTTGAATTGTTGGCCTGTATTTACTGAATTGAGAAAACAAAAGCAAATGATCAAAAAAGCTGTTTATTTATAAATTATAAATGGAGTATCACTGATGTGCCAAAATTATATCTTTGCCCCGAAGAAGATCACAAAATAGATTTGGAAACAATTACATGAAAATAATTACAAAGAATTATACAATACTTGTATGTATATAATTTATTTTACACACACACACAAACACAGAGAGAGAGAGAGAGAGAAGAGCTACCTCCTTTGAAGTGCAAAACATAGCCAGCAAGGATGAATAGAGACTTTAGGCGAAGGTGTAAATTTATAAGGGAATGAATGTGTGCGTATGCATGTTTCTGTTTTTATGTATGTGCATGTTGGTGGAAGAGGTTGCTGAAGAATGCATGAGGAGGGCAGGGCAAGAGAGACAAAGAAAGAGCAAATACAAGGCAAAATCACAGCACTCATGGTGCTAAGGAATTCCATGGAGAATAGTACTGATGAAAAGTAGAATACTGGTCGGGCATGGTGACTCACGCCTGTAATCCCAGCACTTTGGGCGGCTAAGGTGTACGGATCCCTTGAGCCCAGGAGTTTTAGACCAGCCTGCGCTACATGTTGAAAACTCTACAGATTAAAAAAGAAAAAGAAGAGGAAGAGGAAGAAGAAGAAGAAAAGGAAGAAGAAGAAGGAGGAGGAGGAGGAGGAAGAGGAGGAGGAGAAGAAGGAGGTGGTAGGATGACAGAAAAATTTGTGGTTGAATTAAACTTAGGGGCCATATACCAAGTTTGATTAAACAGGAGCATAAGTCAGAACTGCTAATCTACACTAGGTTGTTTTCTATTTTTTTTACTCTTTTACTACTGTTTTATTTTAAAATTTTATCTCTACTTTTAATATTGGATGTGTACCACAGCTGTCTAAAAAAGTTCTGCCATTCTCTAAATATTTTGTCTTAGTTTATTTATGAAAATGAGAAAAATTATTTATATTTCAAAAGTTTCTGGAACAGAATTAATGAGTTTATACATGCAGAGAATGTATAATTGTCTATGGTACATGTTCAGCACTCAATTAGTAAATAGAATATGAATAGAATTAGAGACACTGGAAGGACATAAAATTAAATATTAGCAGTGCTTATCTCTGTATGGTAGTATTACATTTTATTGTCATTCCCACTTCATACACTTTGGTATTTTATATTTCCCAATTTTGTCTATAATGAATATTAAGTTACTTTCATCAGAAAGATGTTTCTGAATTTATAGTAATGTTTTTACCATTAAGCCTTTTTGCCCTTTAATAGGATTTATAAAAGTTACAGCAGGAGCTCGAGTCCAGGAGAGCTGTTGGGTTGAACTGACAATTTTTCCTTCTTTTATGTTACTGCACAGTTGAGATTATATGTCAACACTTGTTAATGTATTTTATTCTTCATACTTTTCCAGAAATCAAGCAAATGACTATTAAAAAAATGTTGTCTGAGTTTTTTTCCATCATTCCTTCCCCTACCTCCAACTTTGTAGTTTTGTTTTGTTATTGTTACTGTTTTCATTGTTGTTTGAGCTCATTTGTGTTCATATTGTTTTCATTTGTTTGTTTATCTGTAGGTCAGGAATCTGATCAAACTTTAGTGATATTTATGAAAGAGAAACAGGTGATGCATTCAGTCAGAGTTCTGGTGTATTTTCTAAACAACTCTAATGATGGTGGTTGAGAAATGGCAGAATTATAGGATATCCTCCAAATTATTTAGCCCCAGGGGCAATGATCAGAATACTGATAGAAAAACCGAGTTGACTGGTGACCAGAAAGAATATTAAGAATAGTTTAAAGTCTGTGTCCTCACATAGTCATCATTTCCTCCTTAGGATTCTTTATGACAATTCTATCTTGTTCCCATCTCCTCTTTCTTTTGCTAGGTTTGAAAGTAGGTGAAATATTTTAAAAATTTGAAACCCCAACCTACTCACTTTTGAACTCTTCTATCCACTTCCAAAATATTAAAACACAGCCCTTTGACTTGCTTTTACTTATTCAGGATGCTAGTGGAATGAGTAATCCGATTTAAATTTCAATCCTATCAACACACACACACACTGTCTACCCCCAAGAACTGTCTCTAGAAAGAAACTTTATATCCAATACTAGCCATATGTATTTCTTAGAATCATCCAGGGAAAAACCTTGATTTTTCCAGAAACTGAAGTTTTCATATGTAGTATCGGATGGATTTCAATTATTTATTTATTGCAGATGAAAAAGAGAGAGGGAGAAGGATTAAACCTTTTGGGAGAGAGTTGGCTGTACATTGTCACTTTGAAATTGAAAATTCTACTAAATTCAGGTTGTTATTCTTAGAGTTTTAAATCAAAAGCTACTTTCAACAAAATTGTTTTCCTCTTTCAACTGTGTATGGTTTAGATAAAAATTGAATGACTGTTTTTGAGTGACTATTGATGAAGTTAACAAAAGATTTTATTAAAATGTTGAGATTCTACATAAATCAAACAGAATCAGAATAAGAAATTAAAGGTAAAAGAATTATTTACATACCAAAAAAGTGGAACTAGCAATGTCTAACCTTGCCTTCTTTTAAGAAAACTCTGTGTCTGTGTTGCATAAAAGTTCATAAAACAGGCCAGGTGCAGTGGCTCATGCCTGTATTCCCAGTACTCTGGGAGGCCGAGGTTGGCAGATCACAAGGTCAGGAGTTTGGGACCAGCCTGGCCATCATGGTGAAACTCTGTCTCTACTAAAAATACAAAAATGAGCTGGGCGTGGTGTGCACGCCTGTAGTCCCAGCTACTTGGAAGGCTGATGCAGGAGGATCACTTAAACCTGGGAGGCTGAGGTTGCAGTGAGTCGAGATTGGGCCATTGCAGTCAGCCTGAGTGACAGAGCAAGACTCTGTCTCAAAAAAAAAAAAAAATTCATAAAACCATTTTCAAAAGCAATTTATTACTTTTATAAAACATCCTTAATGATATTATTTCATGTTCTTTTGTACAATATACTTTTTTTGTATTTGCCAGTTATTTATCGGCCATTTTTTGTTAGTCCACAGAAATTTTAGCCTAGAAAACCCTATAAGGAATGTTCAGTGGATAACCCAATCTAATCAAACTATATATTTATTCTTTTTCCTTGACTCTCATTCACTTACTATATCTGATTTCAGTAATTATTTTCACCTATTTTGTAACTTCTTGGTTCTCTTCACCATATGTGTACTCTATCCGCAGTGTTCAAAAATGCAGTGATAAGAAAAACAGATGAAAATGTGAACAATGTTTTAGTGTAAGCAGAGACACAATGGACTCCATAGACTATTCCTACTCTCTCTCAAAAATACCGGTCCTGACATGCATATGTTCATGCATGATCAAATACACACACACACACACACACACACACACACATACATACACACACACACACACACAGAACAAGGGCAGGTAGAAACTAATTGAAAACAGATGAATTGGAATTCTTTTGTTTTTGAAAGTATGGTTATATAAAATTTGCACAAGAAATGTACTAGGACACAAATCTGAAAATCAAGTAAAGTTGAAGGGTTCATTCAATGGTAATCTCGTTCCATTCAGAATTAGAGAGACAGAAAGAAACAAATTGCCTGCTTCAGTGGTTGTCTTATGCTCCAGACAGCCTGCTTAATAAGTTAGTTTTTTTCTCTATGGAAAGTAGATCTATAGATCTTGTCCGAAGCTTTTGGGTAAGAATTCCTCCTGGATTATTAACTAATGGAGGGTAATAAAACAATTAATTAGCTTAAAGAATAAGCAGACTCATAAAAGTCAGAAAAGCTATGAATATATCCTGAATATCATGGGAAAAACTAATATTCAAAGAACGTTAAGACAGTTCTGCAAATAGACTTAAATCAAGAGGCGATACCAAGTTTTATAATATATTTAGTCTGTTCTCAGCAAGAAAATATTGCTTCATTGCTGTCAAACAAACAAGGATGAACAAATAGACAATCTGCACATTAAATCTCCTGGTATGGTGTTGATTTGGTTGGAATCTACAAAACTACAAAAGAATAAAAGGAATTCTCTTGTATAATTATATTTTTTGAGAAATGTTTTGACACTGAAACATGATGAAGTTGACCATTGGTTCCCTTGAGTTCTGTGTCTGTGGATTTCACCGACTATGAATCAAAAATATTTGGAAACACATTTGTGTTTGTACTGAACATGTACAGACTTTCCCTCTTGTCTTTATTTTCTAAAAAATACAGTATAACAAATATTATCATAGCATTTACATTGTATTAGGTATTATAAGTAATCTGGAGAAGATTTAAAGTATGATTTAAAGGATGTACATAAGTTTTATGGAAATTATACCCCATTTTATATCAGGGATTTCAGCATCTACAGATTTTGGTATCAGCAAGAGTTCCTGGAAACAATCCTGCATGGATATGGATACTGAGAGATGACTGTTCACGGTGAGATAAAGCTGTTAATAAAACTAATAAAAAAGCATTCTCAGATATCTAGTCAAAAAGAAATATATATGTAGGATTCTTCCTAATGAAAACAAAAACAAAAAAGTAAAGACTTATTTTAGAGCACGGGAGTATCAAAAACTGAAATTGTGGATCTAAAAGAAAACTGGTGAAAAAGAAAAAGATGAAAATTCAACCACATTTTTATTAAAATAATATTCATATAAGATTTTCAAACAAAATCGTTTTGTATTTTACCACTGACTGGGTGTCTTAAACAACCAAAATTTATTTTCTCGTAATTTTGGAACCTAGAATCCCAAGATCAAGGTGTTGGTAAGCTGGGTTTCTCGTGAGCCACCTCTCCTTGGCTTGCAGATGACCACCGTCTTAGTCTTTCCTCACTCATGGCCTCTTCTCTGTGCATGAGCATCGCTGGTGTCTTTCTTTGCATGTTCTAATCTCCTCCTAGTCAGGACACCAGTCAGATTTGATCACAGCCCATCCTAATGGCCTCATTTTAACTTAATTATCTTTGTAAAAGCCCTGTCTCCTTAGAACTTATATTCTAAGGTAATAGGGCTTAGTGCTTCAACATATGAATTTTGAGGGGAACATAATTCAGTCAATAGTTATGAAATGGGAGAATTCCCTGACCCCCCTTACAGGAAGTACAACAGAGGTGTGTCACCTATTTGGTCACAGCTGCTGCTCAAACCCCTTGTAGGAGGGGGAGCACGTAGATGGGCAGTTGCAGAGGCTGGGGCAACTGCTTTGGACTCTGGTCGTTGGTAGTGTGTAGGGCTGGGTGCCTGCAACCCCAATGTTACAATGCTCTATAAGCCTTGCCGTACGCAGATAGCTTTAAGTGTTAACCAGCTCAATGGACCCTCTGTGTTTTCCCAAGGGCAGAGGGCCAGTGTGACATCTTTCTGTATCCTGAGCTATTGCCCAGCGTCCCGGAAGAATCAGGTCTCACACGGGCCTAAAGAATGAATGCAAGGTTTTATTGAGTGGTGGCAGGGCTCTCAGCAGAATGGATGGGGAGCAAGAATGGGAGAGAGAGGGGGAAGATGTTCTTCCCCTGAAGTTGGGCTGTACTGCAGCTGAACTCCTCTCAGCGATCAATCTGTTCCTCCTCTTCTCTCTTTCTCTGCCACGTCATTTTGCCCGTTCATCTGCTTGTCTTGTTTCCTCCTCTGCTGGTCTGCTCTTTAGCCTGGGATTTGGGGTTTATATGGGTACAGAATAGGGGACGTAGCAGGTCAAAAGGCAACTTTTGGGCATGAAAACTGGAATGCTTGTTTTCGTTTAGGGCTGCAGGTATCCAGGCGTGAGGGTGGGGCCTTTGCCGGGGAACCACCTTCTTCTACCCAGTATTTCCCTTTCTCCGGTCCATATCAATAATATTGGCTTACATAAGATTGAAAAACAAAAACATTTAAGCTCTTTTAAAAAACAAGATTTTCTAATAAGAGTTTATGAATCAAGACATTAAGGAATAAACATAAGAATGTCAATTTCTATTTGGAAAGTTGAAAGCTTACATATGAGTTCTTTAATACAATAAGAAAAGTACAACCCATGAAATAAAAACATTGACAAGTTTCATGTCACTAAAATTAAAATATACTTTCTGAAAGACACTGTCAAGAGAGTTACAAAACAAGCCACAGACTGGGAGAGAATATTTGTAAAATATATCTAATTAAGAAATTATATCGAAAATATACAAAGAACTTTTCCAACTCAATAAGAAAGCAAAAAAAAAACTCAAGTAAAAATAAAGATAGCTCAGCAAAAAAGACAAATGTGAAAAAATGCTCAATATCATTTATAATGGGAGAATTGCAAATAAAAGTAATACTACACAGTAATAGTTCCTTGTTGTGTAACCAAGTTAGTTAAAAAGCTATGTCTCCACAAAAACCTGCATGTAAGTGTTTATAGCTGCTAAAGTCACAATTTCCCAAACAACCAGAAGGTTTATACATATGTAAATGTATTAACACATTGTAGCAAATCCACGTGATGGAATATTACATAGCAATAAAAAGAAATGAACTATCAAGTCATGAAAAGACATGGAGAAAATTTAAATGCATATAGCCAAGTGAAAAATACTAGTCTGAGAAGGCTACATACAGTGTGATTATAATTATTTGACACTTCAGATATAGAGTTAGCTACAGTATCAGTAGTTGCTAGAGGTTTGGAATAAGGTGTGAAACACAAGGGATATGTATGCAATGACAGGTTGAGCACAGAGGATTTTAGAGTGGTGAAAATGATTCTCCATGATACTATATTGTGGATATATAGCATTATTCATTTTTCAAAACCCATAGAACTTTATGACACAGAGTTAACCCTAATGAATGCAAATTTTTAAAATCCTTTAGGAGTTAAGGGGTTCACAGGAAAGAATTCAAACCGTGACCCGTGACAAGAGATTCTAGCTATATTAAAACTGCATGAATCAACCTCACTGAAGGGGTTGGGGGAAAAGCAGTGAAAAAATGAATGCAATATATACAAATAAAGACTAAAAAATTGCACAGTTATGTTGTCATAATTTTGACTAAATATAAATGATACAAAATTTAAAAACCAAATTTAATAACATTAATTAAGCATAGATAAAACAGTATAAATTGCCTTACTTGTGTGGGAGAATTTATTATGCAACATACAAATAAAGATGGCATCAATTATAAGAATATTAATACTATATAGGGAAAATGTGAGGCATAATTTGCTTAATACTGTACTGTAAATTTATGTAAATAAAATAAATTTAGAATTAAACACGTGGTCATAAACCACAGTTGTGCTAGCAGTTTTTTTAAAAAGAGGCAAAACAAAATTGTAAAATGGAACAAATAATAGAAGATTTTGCATGATTATATGCACAGGCATACTTCTGAAGTATTGTGGGTTCAGTTCTGGATAAGTGCAATAAAGCAATAATGCAATAAAAGTCAA
This sequence comes from Homo sapiens, assembly GCF_000001405.40. NCBI lineage: Eukaryota > Metazoa > Chordata > Mammalia > Primates > Hominidae > Homo > Homo sapiens. The sequence continues at coordinate 11,382,147 of NC_000009.12, forward strand.
TCACATGAATTCTATGGTTTCCCAGTGCATAAAAAAGTTATGTTTACACTATGCTATAATCCATTAAATGTGCAGTAGCATTATATCTGAAAAAACAATGCACATATCTTAATTTAAAAATACTTCATAGCTAAAAATGCAAATAACTCCCTGAGACTTCAACAAGTCCTACCCTTTTTGCTGGTAAAGGGTCTTGCCTCAGTGTTGATGGCTGCTGACTGATTAGAGTGGTGATTGCTGAAGAATGGAATGGTTGTGGAAGTTTCTTAAAATATGACAAAAATAAAATTTGCCACATCAATCAACTCTTCCTTTCATGAAAGATCTCTCTGTAGCATGCAATGCTATATGATAGCGTTTTACCCACGGTAGCATTATTTCAAAATTGGATTCAATTCTCTCCAACCCTGCCACTATTTTAGCATAAAAATGACAAACAGGTATATGAAAAGGTGCTCAATATCATTGATCATCAGATAAATGAAAATCAAAACTACAATGAGTCATTATCCTACTCCAGTAAAGATGGCTTATATCCAAAAGTGTGGTCATAACAAATGGTGGTGAGGATGTGGAGAAAAGGGAAAACTACTACACTCTTGGTAGGAATGTGATTTAGTACACCACTATGGAAAACACTATGGAGGTTCTTCAAAATAATAAAAATAGAGGTACTGTACAATCCAGTGATTCCACTCCAAAGTATGTTCCCCAAAGTTGGGAAATCAGTATATTGAAGAGATATCTGCACTCTCGTATTTTTTGTAGTACTATTCACAATAGCCAAGATTTGGAAGCAACATAAGTGTCCATCAACAGAAAAACAGATAAAGTAATTGTGGTATATATACGAAATGGAGTAGTATTAAGCCATAAAAAGAATGAAATCCTGTCACTTGCAACAAACATGGATGGAATTGAAAGGCATTATGTTAAATGAAATAAGCCAGGGACAGAAAGACACACTTTTTATCTTTCCACACATTTTGGAAAACTAAAACTTAAAGCAAGTAAACTCATTGAGATGGAGAGTAGAATGATAGTTACTAGAGGCTGGGACTGGTAGTGAGGGGGTGTGGGCATGGTTAGTAAGTACAAAAATATAGTTAGAATGAATAAGATCTAGCAGTAGATCAAGGACAAAAGAACAATGTATGAACAATATAAAAGTTCCTGAAAAGAATACACACAGGAATCATAGAGTTGAAAAATCCAATAACTAAATTGAAAAAGGAACTAGGAAAGGAAGAACAAACTAAGCCCAAAGCTTGTAGAAGAAAGGAAATAATAAAGGTCAAAACAGAAATAAATGAAATAGAGACTATAAAAACAATAGAAAAGATCATTGAAATGAAGAATTGGTTTCTTAAAAGATAAAAAATAGAAAAATCTTTAGCTAAAATAACTAAGAAAAAATAAAAATGTTTAAAATAATTAATGTAAAAAATAAAGGAGGAGACATTGTTACTGATATCACAAGGGATCATAAAAAACTACAATGATCAATTATATGCCAACAAATTTGATAACATAGAAGAAACAAAAACATTCACAGAAACAAAACTTACCAATACTGGACCATGAAGTAATATAAAATCTGAACAGACCAACAATGAGTAATAAATTAATTCAGTAATAAAGAGGCTTCCATCAAAGAACAGCATAAATTGATGGGTTCACTGGTAGATTCAATCAAACATTTAAATTAGAACTAATACCAATTTTTCTCAAACTCTTCCAAAACTTACAAAGGATAAAATGGTTTAAAAATACTTTAAAACTTATTTTGTGAAGCCTGTATTAGCCAGAAAAAGACACTATAAAAAAATAAGATTATGAACCACTATCCCTGATGAACATAGAAGCAAAAATCCTTAACCAAATATTAGCCAACTGAATTCAACAGTACATTGAAAGTGTCACTCGTTAAGAGCAACTAGGATGTATCTCTGGGATACAAGTATGGTTTAACATAGACTAATCAATAATGTAATTCATCACATTAACAGACTGAAAGATAAAAATCATCTCAATAGATGCATGAAAAGCATTTGATGAAATTCAACATCATTTCATTATAAAAATTTCTCATCAAAGTAGGTATAGAAGGATTTACTTCAACACAATAAATATGATACACTACTAGCCCACAGCAAACATCATACACTATTGTAAAGTGTTGAAAGCTTTTCTTCTAAGATAAGGAACAGGTAAAGGATGCTTACTCTCCACATCTGTATAGCATACTAGTGAAAGTCCTAGCCATAGCAACTAGGCAAGAAAAGAAATGAAAAGCATCTAAATCAGAAAGGAAGAAATAAAATGGTCTCTATTTGTAGACGGCATGATTTTGCATATAGAGAAACCAAAAGACACCACCAAATAACTATTCAAATTAAGACATAAATTTATTTATGTTGCAGGAGATAAAATCAACATATAGAAATAAGTAGCATTTCTATACATCAACAACAAACTACTGTAAAAGAAATTATAAGAGCAATCTCATTTGTAATAGTGTCAAAATATAAAATACAAATAAATTTAACCATGATGGTGTAAGTCTTGTACTTTGAAAACTGTAAAACTTTGGTGAAAATAACTGAAGATATAAGAAATCTCCTATATTTATGGATGAGAAAAAATCATAATGTTAAAATATCTATACTACTTAAAGTGGCAAAAAAATTAAATAAAATTCTGATCAAAACTGTAATAACATTTTTTCACAGAAATAAATAAAAAATTCAAATATTTGTTCAGAGCCACAAAAAAACCCATAACACCCAAAGCAATTTTGAGAAAACAGAACAAAGCTGAAGGCCTTAAACTACCTTACCTCAAAATTTACTACAAACCTATGGTAATCAAAACAGCATGGCACCAATACACACACACAAAGACCAGTGGATGAAAATTAAGAGCTCAAGAATAAATTCAAATGTCCAAGGTAAAATGATTTTGAAAAAGTTTCCAAGAACACAATGGAGAAAGGATAATCTCGTCAATAATTGATGCTTGGAAAAATGTATTTTCACATGTAGAATGAAATTAGACCCTTATCACAACCCATAGAAAGTAAACTCAAAATGAAGTAAACACTTAAATGTAAGACCTGAAATTGTAAAACTACTAGAAAAAAAATCATAGGAAAGAAGTTCTTGACATTGGTCCTGACCATTTCTTTTGCTATAACTCCAAAAGCATATACAAAAAAGCTTAAATAGACAAATATAATTGCACAAAACTAAACAGCTTCTGCCCAGCAAAGAAAACAATCAACAGAATGAAAAGATAACCTTCAGAATAGGAGAACATATTTGCAAGGCATACATATGATGATATGTTTTGGATCTATGTCCCCACCCAAATCTCACAGTGAATTGCATTTCCCAATGTTGGAGGTGGGGCCTGGTGGGAGGGGATTGGATCATGGGGGCAGATTTCCCCCTTGGTACTGTACTACAATGGTAAGTGAGTTCTCATGAGATCTGGTTGTTTAGAAGTGTGTGGCACCTTCCCCCTCCTTCCTCCTGCTCATGCCATATAAGACATGCCTGCCTCCCCCTTTGCCTTCCACAGGATTGTAAGTTCCCCAGAAGCTGAGGAGATGTCAGCATCATGCTTCCTGTACAATCTTCAGAATCCTGAGCCAAATAAACATTATATATATATATATATAAATTACTGAGTCTCAAGTCTTTCTTTCTTTTTTTGTTTTTTGAAATGGATTCTAGCTCTGTCACCCAGGCTGGAGTGCAGTGGCACAATCTCAGCTCACTGCAACCTCTGCCTCCCAGGTTCAAGAAATTCTCACACCTCAGCCTCCTGAGTAGCTGGGATTACAGGTGTGCACCACCATGCCAGGTTGATTTTTGTATTTTTAGTAAAGATGGGGTTTCACCATGTTGGCCAGGCTGATCTTGAACTCCTGACTTCAAATTATTTCCCTGCCTCTGCCCCCAAAGTGCTGGGATTACAGGTGTGAGCCACCATGCCTGGCCTCAGGTATTTCTTTATAGCAGTGTGACAATGGACTAATACATAAAATTGGTACTGAGGAGTGGGGCATTTCTATAAAGATACCTGAAAATTTGAAAGTGACTTTGTAACTGAGTAATGAACAGTTTAGAAGAGTGTGGAGAGCTCAGAATAAAACAGGAAAACGAGGGAAAGTTTGGAACTTCCTCATTGAACGGTTGTGACCAAATACTGAGAGTTATATGGACAGAGATGAACAGGCTGATGAGGTCTCAGATGGAGATAAGGAACTTATTGGACACTGGAGCAAAGGTCACTTTTGTTACACATTTGCAAAGAGCTTGGTTGACTGTGCCCCTGTCCTAGAGATCTGTGGAACTTTGAACTGGAGATACGTGATTTAGGATATCTGGTAGAAGAAATTTCTAAGCAGAAAAGCATTCAGGAAGTCACCTGACTGTTTCTAAAAGCCAAGTGTATATGCATGAATAAAGAAATGATGTGAAACTGAAACTTATTTTTAAAGCAGAAGCGGAGCAGAAATTTTGGAAAATTTGCAGTCTGGTCATGTGATAGAAAAGAAAAGCCCATTTTCACAGGAGGAATTCAAGCAGGCTGCAGAAATTTGCACAACTGAAAAACAAAAAGGCAAATACCCATAGCCCAGAAAACAGAGAAAAAGACTTGAAGGCATTTCAGAGACCTTTGTCACAGCTCCTCCCATCACAGGTCCAGCTAGTTGTCCAGGAGGACTAAAAGGTTTCATGGACCAGGCCCAGGGCCCTGCTGCCCTGAGCAGCCTCGGGACACTGCTTACTGCATTTCAACCACCCCAGTTCCAGCTGTGGCTCAAAAGGGCTCAGGTACAGCTTGGGCCACTGCTTCAGAAGTGCCAATCCATAACCTTGGTGGTTTTCAAGTGATGTTAAGCCTGCAAGTGCACTGAATGCAAGAGTTGAGGCTTGGGAGCCTCTGCCTAGATCTCAGAGGATGTATGGGAAAGCCTCGATTTCCAGGCAGAAAACTGCTGCGGGGGTGGAGCCTTTATGGAGAACCTCTACTAGGGCAGTGTGAAAGGGAAGTGTGTGGTTGGAGCCCCCACACAGAGTCCCCACTGGGGCATTGCCTAGTGGAGCTGTGAGAAGAGGGCTGCTATTCTCCAGACCCTCAGATGGGAGATCCACCAGCAGCTTTCACCCTGCACCTGAAAAAGCCACAAGCACTCAACACTAGCCCATGAGAACAGCTGTGGGATCTGAACCCTGCAAAGCCACAGGGGAAGAGTTGCTCAAAACCTTGGGAGACCAATCCTTGCATCAGTGTGCCCTGCATGTGAAACATAGAGTCAAAGGAGGTTATTTTGGAGCTTTAAGAATTAATAACTGCCCTGCTAGGTTTTGGATTTGTGTAGAGCCTGTAGCCCCCTTTTTTTGGCCAATTTCTCCCTTTTGGAACAGGAGTATTTACCCAATGCCTGTACCCCCTGTACCCCCATTGTATTTTGGAAATAACTAATTTTTTTAAAAAAAACTCATAGGCAAAAGGGATTTGGCCTTGTCTCAGATGAGACTTTGGACTTTTGAGTTGATGTTTGAATGAGTTAAGACTTTAGGGGACTGTTGAGAAGGCAAGATTGTATTTTGCAACGTGAGGAGGACATGAGATTTGGGGGGGATCAGGGCAGAATTATATAATTTGAATCTTTGTCCCCACCCAAATCTCATGTTGAGCTGTAACCCCCAATGTTGGAGGTGGGGCCTGGTGGGAGGTGATTGGTAGGAGCAGAGTTCCCTTTTGGTACTGTATTGTGATAGTGAGTGAGTTCTCATGAGATCTGGTTGTTTAAAAATATGTGGCACCTCCTTCGCCCTCTCTTCTTCCTGCTCCAGCCATGTAATATGTGCCTACTTCCCATTCACCTTTCACCATGATTGTAAGTTTCCTGAGATTTCCCAAGAAGTTGAGCAGATGCCAGCTGCATGCTTTTTGTATAGCCTGGGGAATCATATGCCAATTACACCTCTTTTCTTTATAAATTACCTAGATTCATTCATCCAGACCCCAAAATGTTAGATTCATGGACAGTTTGCACTGTGCATCTGGAAAGGCTGCAGACACTCAATGCCTATTTCTTCATAGCAGTGTGAGAACAGAGTAATACATATTATAAGAAGATAATATTCAAAATATATCAGGAAGTTAAAAATCTCAATAATAAGAAAGCCAATTAAACCAATCAAAAAATGGGCATAGTACTTAAATGTACATTTCTCAGAAGATATACTAGGCTGGGCGCGGTGGCTCACGCCTGTAATCCCAGCACTTTGGGAGGCCGAAGCTGGCGGATCACGAGGTCAGGAGATCGAGACCATCCTGGCTAACATGATGAAACCCCGTCTCTACTAAAAATACAAAAAATTAGCCGGGCGTGGTGGCGGGCGCCTGTAGTCCCAGCTACTCAGGAGGCTGAGGCAGGAGAATGACATGAACCTGGGAGGTGGAACTTGCAGTGAGCCAAGATTGCACCAGTGCACTCCAGCCTGGGCGACAGAGTGAGACTCCGTCTCAAAAAAAAAAAGAAAAGAAAATATACAAATGGCCAACAAGTATATGAAAAAAAAAATTGCTTAATGTCACTAATTAGTGGAGAAATGCAAATTAAATCCCCAATGAGATAGCATCTTAAACCTGTTGGAATGGCTTTTATCAAAAGCCATTATCAAAAGAACAAAAGATATGTGTTGGTGAGGATGTAGAAAAATGGGAAGGAACCCTTGCATGCTGTACAGGGGTATATAAATTCATGAAGCCATTATTAAAAATAGCATAGAACTTTCTCAAAAAATTAAAAATAGAAATACTGATGATCTGGCAACTTCCACTTCTGGGTATACATTCAAAGGAAATGAAATCAGTATGTCAAAGAGATACCTGCATCCCAATATTCTTTGCAGCATCACTCACAATAGCCACAATATGGAATCAACCTAAGTGTCTATCAATGAATAAATGGATAAAGAAAATAGGGTTTATACATAAAATAAAATATTATTCATCTTTAACAAAAAAAGAAGTCCTACAATATGCCACAACATGGATGAAATGTGTGGTTCTTATCCTAAGTGAAGGATAAATGCTATATGATTTCACTTACGTGAGGTATCTAAATTAGCCAAATTCATAGAAGCAAAAAGCAGAATGGTGGTTACCAGGGACTGGAGAAGCAGGGTGAAAAGGCATAAGAGAGAACACAGAGTTGTTCAATAAGTAAAACGTTTTAGTTATGCAAGTTAGACATGTTTTAGAAATTTTTGTAGTATCTTTCCTGTACAGTAGGTTCTTGAATAAAATGGGATTTAGGGTTGCTAATCTCTTCTCTCAGCCAAAAATCCACATATAACTTTTGACTTTCCCAAAGATTAACTACTGATAGCCTACTTTGACTGGAAACCTTACTGATAATATAAACATATACATATTTTGTATATGTATTACATACAACATTCTTACAATAAAGTAAGCTAGAGAAAAGAAAATTGTATTTAAAAAATCATGAGGAAGAGAAAATGTATTTACTATTAATTAAGCAAAAGTGGATCATCATTAAGATGTTCATCTTCATTATCTTCATGTTGAGTAGGCTGAGGAGGAGGAGGAAGTATAGGGGTTGGCCCTGCTATCTCAGGGGTGATAGAGGTGGAAGAAAATCTGTGTATAAGTGGACCTAGGCAGTTCAAACCATGTTGTTCAAGGGCCAAGTGTAGTTATAAAGACTGTACTGTACACTTCAGATTTTGTTAAAAGTGTAGACACCCTATTAAATATTTCCACCACAATAAAACAATTAATAGGTGGCATTTTGTGTTTATGAACATCAGAAGCAATAAAGGATCAACAATTTTTGCTAGTTTGAGGGTCTCCAAATTAAAGGTAAAGTTAAGACAACTAAAGTTATCTTTGCTGGTAAAACATCAAAATAACTCTTCTGTGCAAATCCAATAGATAAACACAAATGGGAAACTGTGTTTGGAGAGGTATTTTTCAGGCACTCCATAATGACAAAAAGGGAAACTGAAGGGATTTAAAATCCTACCTTATCATTTTCTCCCCTTAATCCCTCTGACACCCTAAGAAAATAGTTTTCCTGAAGATAATGTTGAACCTGAAGAGTGCCCAGGTGTACAATTTAAAATCACTTAATGAGATCATCACTCTTAATTTACAAAAGAGGAAAGTAAATAGTGGAGAGGTTAGGTGGCTTGGCAATAATAAATGCTTATTAACTAATAAATGAAGTGGTAAAAAATATGTATCAGGTGTTTGCTTCTTAAGATGTGAAGCAAAATATATTCCAAAATCATATATCAAAGTGGGTGACATAAAAAATGTCATGGTTATCTGTGATTCCTACAAAAATTGATATAATTTCTTGATGTAATCATATAACTTTAGTTACTTGGGAACCGTCAAACAAATACAATAATCACAAATGGCCTTAAAACAAAAGGTAAGCATCAGACATGAAAGTGTGATATAATACAGGTCACTTTATCTTGGGAAAAGCAGGAGACAGAAAATAGTTCTTTTTCTTTTGCTTATTTAAAGTAAATTGCATTTATACCATTTTAGTGGACTGTTGACTTTATAGCTCAGTGAAGCACACTGAAGTATAACACATACAAGTTCATCCAGTTTAAATTAAATCAATATTCTTAGTCAAGTAAAATGAAAGTGTGAATAAATGACCATCAGTGCTTAGCACACCAAAAACTGGACATCTTCCCAGCAGTCTGGCTAGTTTCATTTCTCAGATCAGATTTTAAATACATTGGGATAGCACTTTGAAAAATAATAATCTCACTATCAAATTCTAGCAGCATGGACAACGTTGTTTTACTCACACTTTGTCACTTCTTTTTTTTTTAACAAGTTGCTATCTGTATATTAATCAGGTCACAGCTTAGCACTTCCTTTGGGAAATTTTGTCTGACCACAGAAGAGTGTTTTAAAGTGACTCCTGAAAAGAGTTTAAAGATTAAACATGTATCTCTGTCTTTCTCTTCTCAAGATTCTCTACAAATAATAGTAAAATTAATAAGATTTATTCACACAAGGAAAAGGAGAATAAAAGTAGGTAACTAGTAGGGTATTTAAAAACATGATTGAAATAAAAGCTAACTATTCATTCAACAAATACATATTATTCTATATATTAGGTAATGTTCTAATTACTGAGAAAATTTCAGTTAACATAAAGCTTGCATTCTTGTGAATAAGTAGATAGTAAGCAAACAATCTTTATATTAAACATAATAAATTATTTGTAAATGCATGTTTATATGATATATGTAATATACACATATTTGATGCAACACAATTTAAATATACATTAATATTTTACATTTTAAATCAGAGGGTGGTATGGTTCGGCTGTGTCCCCCATCCAAATCTCATCTTGAATTGTAATAATCAACATATGTCAAGGGTGGGGCCAGGTGGAGATAATTGAATCATGGGGCCAGTTTCCCCCATACTGTTCTCCTGGTAGTGAATAAGTATCACAAGATCTGATGGTTTTATAAATGGGAGTTCCCCTGCACAAGATCTCTTGCCCACCAGTATGTAAGACGTTCCTATGCTCTTCCTTCTTCTTCTGCCATGATTGTGAGGCCTCCCAAGCCAGGTGGAACTGTGAGTCCATTAAACCTTTCTTTCTTTAGAAATTACCCAGTCTTAGGTATGTCTTTATTAGGACGGTGAGAACAGAATAACACAGTAAATTGGTACCAGGTAGTGGGGCACTGTTGTAAAGGTACCCAAAAATGTGGAAGTGACTTTAGAACTGGGTAACAGGCAGAGATTGGAACAGTTTGGAGGGCTCGGAAAAAGGAAGATGTGGGAGAGTGTGGAACTTCTTAGAGACTTGTTAGATGGCTTTGAACAAAATGCTTTAATAGTGATATGGACAGTAAAGTCCAGGTTGAGGTAATCTCAGATGGAGATTAAAAACTTTTTGGGAACTAGAATAAAGGTGACTCCTCTTATATTTTAGCAAAGACACTGGTGGCATTTTGCCCTTGCCCTAAAGATTTGTGGAACTTTGAACTTGAGAGAGATGATTTATGGAATGTGGTGGAAGAAATTTCTAAGGAGCAAAGCATTGAAGAGGTGACTTGGGTGCTGTTAAAAGCACTCAGTTTTACGTATCACAAAGATTTGGATTGGAATTGGAACTTACGCTTTAAAAGGGAAGCAAGAGCATAAAAATTCAAAAATTTGTAGCTTGATGATGTGACAGAATAGAAAAACCCATTTTCTACAGAGAAATTCAAGCTAGTCACAGAAATTTGCATAAGTCATGAGGAGACAAATGTTAGTCACCAAGACAATGGGGAAAATGTCTCCAGGGTATGTCAAAGGTCTTCAAGGCAGCCCCTCCCATCACAGGCCCAGAGGCCTAAAAGGAAAAAAATGGTTTTGTGGGCCAGTCCCAGAGCTTTGCTGTTTTGCTGTTTTGTGCAGTCTTGAGACTTGGTGCCCTATGATCCAGCTGTGGCTAAAAGGGCCCAATGTAGAGCTCAGGCCTTAGCCTCAGATGGTGCAAGTCCCAAGCCTTGGTGGCTTCCAAGTGGTGTTTAGCCTGCAGATGCACAGAAATCAAGAACCAAGGTTTGAGAACCTCTCCCTAGATTCCAGACGATGTATGGAAATGCCTGGATGGTCCATGCAGACGTTTGCTGCAGGGGCAGAGGCCTCATGCAGAACCCCTGCTAGGACAGTGAGGAAGGAAAATGTGGGTTGGGAGCCCCTACACAGTGTCCCCACTGGGGCACTGCCTAGTGGAGTTGTGAGAAGAGCGCCACTGTCCTCCAGATCCCAGAATGTTAGATACCTGGACAGTTTGCACTGTGCATCTGGAAAGGCTACAGACACTCAGTGCCAGCCCATGACAGCAGCCAGGAGGGGTGCTGCACTGTGCAAAGCCACAGGGGTCAGCATGACCTGGATGTGAGACACAGAGTCAAAGAAGATAATTTTAGAGCTTTAAGATTTGACTGCCCTGCTGGATTTCAGAGTTTCATGGGGACTGTAGCCACTTCATTTTGGCCAATTTCTCCCATTTGAAACATGTGTATTTATCCATTGCCTGTACCTCCATTGTATTTAGGAAGTAACTGACTTGCTTTGATTTTACAGGCTCATAGGCAGAAGGTACTTGCCTTGTCTCAGATGAGACATTGGACTGTGGACTTTTAAGTTAATGATGAAATGAGTTTAGATTTTGGAGGACTGTTGGGAAGGCATGACTGGTTTTGAAATGTGAGGACATGAAATTTGGGAGGGGCCAGGGCTGAAATGATACGATTTAGCTGTGTCCCCACCCAAACCATACCTTGAATTTTAATAATCCCCACGTGTCAAGGGCAGAGCTAAGTGGAGATAATTGAATCATGGGGTGGTTTCCCCCATACTATTTTCCTGGTAGTGAATATATCTCAAGAGATCTGATGGTTTTATAAATGGGAGTTCCCCTGCACAAGCTTTCTTGCCTGTCACCATTTAAGACATCCCTTTGTTCTTCCTTCATCTTCTGCCGTGATTATGAGGCTTCCCCAGCTATGTGGAACTGTGAATCCATTAAACCTTCTTTTCTTTATAAATTACCCAGTCTCAGTATGTCTTTATTAGCAGCATAAGAACAAAATAAAACAGATGGAGATGAATCCTATGAAGGCTAACTACAAGATAAGAGGTTAGAGAGTAAATGAGGAGGGGTAGAGTGGCTACATAATAGAAAATGGTCCATAAATGCCTCTAGCATTAGGTGATAATTAACTAAAACCTGGATGAGTTGTGGAGGCAAGCCGTGCAGATATCTAGGAGATAATAATTTCCTGAAGGGTAATCAGGAAGTGTGAGCATTCTGAGGTAGAGTATGCCTAACAAATGTCTTATAAGACAGCATAAGAAGGCTAGTGGGTCTGGAGTTCAGTGAATGAGGAGACAATGTTGAATTCCCTGTGTCCTGGAAGTGATCTTTCTTTCCAGAATCCTTCTTCAAGGAAACTCAACTTCCACTTCTTTTTGGAAAAAGGGTGCAAAGGAAGGTAACTTTTTGAGTCCTTTAACGTCCGAATGTCTTAATACTGTTCTCATACTTGCTTGAAAATGTAACTAGATACAGAACTCTAGATTAAAAATAATTTCTTCAGAATTGTAAAGAAAACTTTTTTTTTAGCATTCAGGAAAGCTGTTAGAAATATGATTTCAGTCTCATTCTTTTTCTTTTGTTTGTGTCCCTTTTTACCTATTCTTCCATAAAAATGTATTTTTGCTACATATTTGTAGATATTTTAAGAACCTTTGAGTTTCTTTCTTATCAACATTTTAATTTATGTACAATAATCATAAAATATGTGTATGTATAATAAAATATATATACATCAATAAAAATCTATAATAAATAATAAAAATAAACATAAAATAATATAAATCTTAAGTATTTATACATGGGTTTTGAAAACTATGTATAACTGCATAATAACTACACAAAAAATATGTTATTTTAACCATCTCAAAGTGCTTTCTTTTGATCAATTCTACCATGTCAATATCTACAACTACCTCTGCCCAAGGCAATGACTGATCTTATTTCTATGATTATAGATTAGTTTTACCTATACCAGCATTTAATATAGATGACAATATAAAATGTATTATCTTTGCTTCTGGATTCTTAATTCAACATCTTATTTTGAGATTTGTCCATGTTGTTGTATGTATCAATACCTCCTTTTTTTATTGTTGTATGGTATTGTAGCATAAATATGCCACAATTTGTTTATTCATTCTGTTACATATTGTGGTTTTTACTATTTGGCTATTTGGATAAAGCTGCTATACACACCTTTGCACAAGTGTTTTATGAATGTGTATATTAACTTATCCTTCTTTTAAAATTCATTTATATTTCTAAGAGTGCAAATACCTTATAATTGGGTAGATGTGTAATTGACTTTACAAGTAACTAACAATGGCTTTTCAAAGATATTTTATAACACCCACTAACAATCATATGTGAGTTCCATTTGCTCCAAATACTTAACAGTACATATAAGTGTCCGTCTTTTTAATATAATTCATTCCACTGATTTGGAGATGAGATAGAGGATATAAAGAAGCTATTCTGCCATCCATAGGTTCACTTTACCAGGTGGAAACCTCTGTGGGAAAGGAGACAGATGACTTGGTCTAATACCTTTATCTAAATGAGTTTCTTCTTTTGAAAGAGTGAATAATATCTACACATATTATTTATATTTATTCATTTTGTTGATTTATTCATCTATAGATGGACACAATTTGATTTCATAGCTCAGCTACTGTGAATACGCTGCAATAAATATGGGAGTGCAGATATCTTTGGATATTCATTCCTTTTGGATATATACGCAGAAGTGAGATTGCTGGATCACATGGTATTTCTATTTTTAATTTTTTTGAAAAGTCTCCATACTTTTTTCCATAATGGCTGGACTAACTTACATTTCCATGAACAGTGTAAAAGAGTGCACTTTTTTCCACATCCTCACCAACACTGGTTATCTTTTGTCTTTTTGTTAGCTATCCAAGCAGTAGTCAAGTGATATTTAATTGCTGGATACTTTGTCTCTTAAGTGTCCTTAGTATAATGTTCATGGCAAAAAGAATTACTTATACTAACCTACACACAGTAATTTATGAATCAGAACTTCCTAGAGAATATGTGAGTTATGTAGTCCTCTGAAATATAACATTGAAATCATTCATAACTTAAAGAATCTCTTTAACTGAAGTGTCCCACAAAAGCTCACTTGGAGAGATCATTGTTTATTCCAGGGCTAAGGGAGCATGTTTTCTCCCTTTTGCCCTTTTTTTTTAAATTATGGTATTTCATATACATTGCAAATTTTCTCCATAGGGCTGGTAGTCTCTGGTTTTCTTTTCACACTTAAGAGAAAGGGACTATATTGCTATTTATTAGAATGTCTATGACTATAGTTGGACCTCTGAGCTTAGCTGCCTTCACTTTTGAGTGAATGAAATGGCAAACATACATTTTATTTGTGGGAACTACTTAGAAAAATGCAGATCCTTTCCTTGAAAGCACTTCATTTTCTAGGAAAAAAAATTCTAAATTTCTAAATTTCTAAAATTCTAAATTTCTAAATTTCTCTCCAGGAGGTTGAAATGGACAGTTGTAATTCTGCAAGAAGTGTAAATTTGGGACTATGTTTCTGACTTTTTGATATTCAGACTTTGAGATACTTCTCGATTTTGAGATTCTTACATAAACCTTTCTTTTTCGTGTGCCTCATATTCCCAAGACTTAAGCTTGACTCATTAGATTATCCATAGAAAAACTTTATATTTTGTACCTGGGAGAGAAAACCAAAGCAGCAATGTTAGAGAGTGTGACAGTGATCCAGGAGATAAAATATTCAGGTAAAGGTTGGAAGAATGTCTAAGGAAGTAAAAACAGTGGGTGAAGTGGTTGAAGATGAATTTAAGGCCAGGATGTTCTAAGTAGAAGGAAGGGAAAATGGTCTAGAAGCTCCATAAACACACAAAACAGGCTGTAATGTGCTGTAAGATGCTAACATGCTGTAGAAGATTTAGTGCTTTTAATGGTGAGACATTTTTAATAAAAATAAGAAGTGGAGATTATTTATTGAAGTTTATTGGATATGTTATATAGGAGGTACTGTCTCAGCAAAGAATGTGTTTAGTAGAACGTAACAGAAAATTGAGTTATAGAGGCTGAAATGATCAAGGCTTTATTTTTCTCACCTAACAGTCTAAGAAGGCATTTTCTGATTTCAGTCAACTTATTTAGTGGTTTCCTAAGGAACTAAAACTCTTTCTGTTTTTGTTTCTCTATTCTAGCCGCTAACTTTTTATGCCTACACTTTATCCCTAATAAATGTAATTACTAATGTTGGATGTAAATGGCTTAAATGCTCCACTTAAAAGATACAGAATGACAGAATGGATAAAAATTCAACAACCAAGTTTGTGCTCTCTTCAGAAGACTCACCTAACACATAAGAACTCACATAAACTTAAGGTTAAGGGGTGGAAAAAATATTCCATGCAAATAGACACCAAAAGTGAGCAGGAATAGAGAAATCTTAATTTGCATAGGGATATTTAATTACTGCATATTAAGTCACATTTTTCTTTCTATCATTATTTACTTATTTTTTTCTAAATATACTTTTGGATTTCATTTTATTTATGTTTGAGACACTGTCTCATTCTCTCACCCAAGCTGTAGTGCTGTGGCCCAACCATAGCTCACTGCAGCCTCGAACTCTCAGGCTCAAATGATCCTCTCACCACAGCCTTCAGAGTGGCTGGGACTACAGACTCACCACCTCAAAACAGATGATGAAGCAAGAGCAAATAAAAATTTCTTTGGCTTCCAAAAATCTCCTGAAAAAAGAGAGTTTTTATCAAGCTCCGAAAGCCACTCAGGTAAAGCTAGCACTTTTGTCAAGGAAGGAGCAGAGGAAAGGAAAATTAGCGAGGCATGTTGTCGTGCGCCTGTATCCCAGCTACTCAGGAAGCTGAGACGGGAGGATTGCTTGAACCGAGAGGCAGAGGTTGCAGTCAGCTGAGATTGTGCCACTACATTCTAGCCTGGGTGACAGGGCAACACTCCATCTCAAAAAAAAAAAAAAAGTACTTAATTTTTTACCAGAAAAAATACTCCAAAGAAAAAGTTATTTTGATAGTGTTTCACCTGTAACTTTCAGAGAAAATAAAATACCCTCAACATTCCAATGGGTTGGCAAGATTGCACTTCAGATGTGTGTGCATAGGTGTGCCTGTCTAGTATATGTAATAATGATATATATTGATTCTATAACAAATATTTAAATTTATTTTTATAAATATAATTTTTAATTATACAAGTTATTTGCAAAAATTTATTTTTTAACTTCCTATTCTACTTTTGTAAGCCCTGAAAAATATCCTAAATTTAATACAAGTCTGAAACATTTATTTAGTTGCCTCTCCAAGGTATTTCCTAGGTTCCAAAGGTACAAAGATAATTAGAGTAACAACTTTGCCTCTAGCAGATAAAAATTTAGAGAAACTTAGTAGCTACTGGTTAAACCAAGCAAACAAACAAAAACCCTCAACTAGAGAACTTCATAGATTTTTAAATGAAAAAAACTTACTTGTATTGGGATATGCATATTGCAAACAAGCTAACTTGAGATTTGAGAAAAAGACAGCATGTTTTGTATGAGTGACAGGGCCTCCCAAAAGCATTTTGCACGGCATAAAAATTAGAAAGTTCTAGAGAGTTATGAAAAAAATACATGAAAAAGAAAGGTAATAAATTGGTCTTAATTTAAATATCAGAATTACAGAAATCATTTTTCTACAGTCTAATTTAGCTAGTTTTTAACAAATTCTTATAGATCTTTTTTTCTTCTCTCCCATCATACAGCCATCCTTGATCAAATATTATTTACTCTATCTTCCAAACATATTGCTACTTCTTCCTTACCACCCCTACTGGTAGTACTCTTGTCTAAGCTATCATTGCTCCTCTGATGTTGTGGCCAGAAAAATATGCCGCCTCAAATTCTTACTTCATATATGAGTGAGAACATCCAAAATATATCCTTCTGTGCCTGGCTTATTTCACTTAACATAATGTTCTTCATTACACATTTTATAACTGTATTAAAATATGACATATATACCATAATTACATACAAAAATTATATGCTCATAAAAATTGAAAATTAAAATTGAAAGAATTCCTGCTTCAAGAGGCTTGCTGTATTAACAGATCCATCTTCAGCACTTTGGAATCCAAAGCTGCTTTGTGCTGAAGCCAAACTTTCCATGGGCTGCTCCCCACCAATGACTGAGCACGGCAAAGATCTAAGTCACATGCATTCCTCAGAGATGTGGGATCCACGTGACAAGATGTTCTTGACTCTAGAATTCTGTCAGCCTTGCCAAACTTCCTTAGATATGTACCAAAATCGAAGACTGACCTTTCTTCCCTCCCTCCCTTCCTTCCTTCCTTTCTTCCTTCTCTCCTTCCTTCCTTCCTTCCTTCTTCCATTCCTTCCTTTTTCAGAATAGTCAGACCTTAACCTAGGTCTTTTGGCTCTCCCAGCCTCCTCTAGTCCCATCTCCATTTTCCCTCCCAGACATTTCCCTCAATAGATCTCTTGTACATGGAATCCTGTCTTGGAATCTGCTTGCTTCCCACAAGATCCAGAATAACACACCATTGTTACTGAAGTAATATTCCAAGTGATCTTGCTCTTTTATTCCCCAACAGACAATCCTCATTAACCAAACAGCTAGAATTCTCTTTTAAAAATGTAATTCAGAATATTACTTCTATATCATATCCCCCTACAGCTTTTCTGCATATTCTGATTAAATACCAAAGTCCTTAAATTTTATAAGACTGAGGTCCTTGTATTAACACGTGCTGTTCTATCATCTGGGAATTCTCTTTACCAAATAATCACATGACTTACTCCTTCACCTACTTTAAATTTTTAAACTTTGACATTTAAATGAAGCTTCCCTGAGCACCCTTTTCAAAATAGCAACCTTTTGCAGCCTTCAGATATATTCTATCTCCTTTTCCTACTTTCCACTGAATGGCTGCAGCAGTTCTCTCTGGTTGCCTAACAACACATGGCAGAGACTAAAGGGACTATAAAGTTCCCTCATACCACTCCCACTCCGTTATTTCTAGCCTCAATTCCATGAAGGTCTCTAGGTTATCAATACAGACATGCAACTCCCATGGGCATCTGATTATTTCAGCCGAAGGTTGTTTGACCTCTCTGGCAAAGCATCTTAATGATTATAAAATCCAGAAGCCACATGTTTGGATTCTACCTGTCTCCTAGAGTCCTTACAAAATGTGGAACAGTAATGAAGAGCAATCACTCTTTTGGAAACAATCCAAACTGCATAATTGCAAGCCTGGCCCCTGCATACCTTTCTATAGCACGAGAGTCTTTAGAAATCTATTTTTTATTTCACTGCTAACCCTTAGCCTGTGAATTCTAGTCTACACCATGTTTGCTGATTCCCTCAACCCTTTATTAGATAGCATTTCAAAATACCATGTATTTTATTTGTGTCACATAATATTTGCCTCCCTAATTTAGAAGGTAAAATCCACGAGGGTGGATTATTTTGCACCTTTTCTTTTTTACTTATATATTTGCAGTACCTATAATACAATAGACACTGAAAAAATATTTTTGAATGAATGAACATACACATGGATCAATTGCATATGCATAAAAGTTGTGGATAAAATCATCAATCTTATGAATTTTGCTAAATAAATAAAAGAAAACATTATGAAAACCATTCCACAAAAACAAAAATGTTAATATTCTACATGCACAGAGTTCAATTTTATGAAAAAATATTAATATATAATAAATAAGTGGAGTAGAAAATGAATGAACAATATTTCTCAAAAAACAAATGTAAGAGGAAATAGAAAAATAAAGTTTTAATAAAAATATTAAAATAGGCCAGTGCTGATGGCTCACTCCTGTAATCCCAGGACTCTGGGAGGCCGAGGCAGGTGGAACAACTGAGGTCAGGAGTTTGAGACCAGCCTGGCCAACATGGTGAAACCATCTCTACTAAAAATACAAAAATTAGCCTGGCGTGGTGGTGGGCACCTATAATCCCAGCTACTCAGGAGGCTGAGACAGGAGAATCACTTGAATCTGGGAGGCGGAGTTTACAGTGAGCCAAGATTGCCCCACTGCACTCTAGCCTGGGCAACAGAGCAAGACTCAAACAGTGTATATACTAAAATAAAACAACAATGTATTCGCCTATCTACTTTGCAAGAATCAAATAATAATGATAATATTCAATGTAACCAAGACTTCAGAAAGCTAATTAACTGTTTTCTACATTGGTTTATATATATTTTCTGGAGGGCAATTGAGAAAGCAATTTCAAAATTTTAAAATACTAATTTTCTTTGAAGAAAAACTGCAATTCCACACAATTGCTAATGTGTGAAAGTTAATATAAAACATGATATAATTGTATTTTTTAACTAACAGACTTTAATCTTTAGAGCAGTTTTAGGTTCACAGCAAAACAGAAAAGAAAGTACATGGAGTTCACAAACCCTCCCCTATACTCTCACCAAACATCTGCAACATGCAGTCTTCCCCAACACCAACATGCTGTATCATTATGGTACATTTGTCATAACCAGTGAACCAACATTAACACATTATCCACCAAAGTTCATAGTGCTCATTAGGGCTCACTCTTGGTTTTGTATGTTCTATGGGTTTTGACAGATATGTAATGGTATGTGTTCACCATTACAGCATTACACAAAATAATTATTCATTTCTTTTTTCATCCGATTTTTCCTCTCATCACCACTCCGCTGTAAGTCCTGGGTACTGTCTCCATGGTTTTGCCTTTTTCAGAATGTCATATTTTAAACCATATATAGCCTTTTCTGATTGGCTTTTTTCACTTATCAATAGGCTTTTAAGATTTCTCCACATACTAATATTTTTCCAGCTCTAAATAATATTCCGTTGTATGATTACACCACAGTTTATTTATCCATTTACCTCATTAGAGACAGCTTGGTTGCTTCCAAGTTTTAGTCATTATGAATAAAGCTGCTGTATACGATTGTATATTGTTTTTGTTTGGACATATTTTCAATTCATTTGGATAAATAAGAAGGAATGAGTTTGCCAGTACAGGTATGTTTAGTTTTGTAAGAAACTGCCAAACTTTCTTCCAAAGTTGCTGTACCATTTTGCATTCCCATCATCAATTAATATGAGTTCTTATTGGTCCATCCTCTTCAGTGTTTGGTGTCAATGTTTTGGATTTTGGCCTTTCTGGTAGGTGTGTAGTGGTCTGTTACTGTTGTTTTAATTTTTAATTCACTAATGACATATGCAGATAAATATATTTTCATATGCTTATTTACCATCGTACATTTTTTATGAAGTGTCTCATTTTTAACCATTTCTTAATTGGTTTGCTTTTTATTGATGAGTTTTAAGAGTTTTCTGTGTATTTTTCATTTCAGTCTTTTACCAGATATGCATTTTACAATACTTTCTATTTTCTTCTGGTCAGTGGCTTGTCTTTCATTCTCTTAACAGTGTCTTTTGCAGGGCAGAAAATTTTAATTTTAATAAAGTCCAACATCAATATTTTTTATGGATCATGCTTTTTGCATTGCATCTAAAAGGTTGTTACCAAAACCAAGGTTATCTAGATCTTCTCCTATGCCATAATATCTTCTAGGTCTTTTACAGTTTTAAATTTAACATTTAGTTCTATTGTTAATTTTATGTTCTTTTTGCAAAAAACATATGATGTTTTTCTAGATTTTCTTTTGGTATGTGGATGTCTGGTTATTTTAGCACCATTTGTTAAAAACTCTATCCTTTAACATTTGAATTGTCATTGCTCTTTGTTAAAGAGTATCTGACTATGTTTGTGTGGGGTTGTTTTACAAGTTTTCTATTCTGTTTGTCTATCCTTTCATCAATACCACAGTATCTATTACTATAACTTTGTGGTAAGTATCACAATTGAGCAGTATGAGTCCTCTGATTT
Organism: Homo sapiens; assembly: GCF_000001405.40. Lineage (NCBI taxonomy): Eukaryota > Metazoa > Chordata > Mammalia > Primates > Hominidae > Homo > Homo sapiens. Next base: position 11,402,799 of record NC_000009.12, read on the forward strand.
TGTTTTTCTCCTTCAAAGGCATTTTTACTAGCTGAGTCTTTTGACTTCTATTGTAAACTTCAAAATCAGTTTGCTGATATCTACCATATAACTTACTGGGATTTTGGTTAAGAATGCAAGGAATTTATATAGATCAAGTTAGGAAAAACAGACATTTTAACAATATTGAATCTTCTATCCTTCAAGACAGGTTATCTCCTCATTTTTATTTAGATCTTATTTAATTTCTTTCTTCAGAGTTTTATAGTCACCCTCATATAGATCTCATAACATATTTTATTAGGTTTATACCTAAATATTTCATTGTGAGAGTCCTAATGTAAATGGTATTGTGTTTTTTAATTTCATATTCCAATTGTCTATTGGTGATATATGGAAAAGGAATTGATTTTTTTATAATATTTATAACTTGAAAACTTGCCATAATTGTTTAGTAGTCTCAAGAGGTTTTTATTGTTGTTGTTGTTGAAGATTCTTTTGTATTTTATACATAAACAATCCTGTCACCTATGTACAACAACTATTTTATTTCTTCTTTCCCAATTTGTACACTTTTTACTTCCTTGTCTTTTTGCTTTAGATAGGACTTCCAGTGTGATGTTGAAAATCAGTGGCAAGAACATGACATAATTGCTCCGTTCTTGATCTTAGAGGAAAAGAGTTTTTTATCATAAATATGTTATCTGTCTGTTTTTGTGTAGATTTTTCTAATTTGAGGAAGTTCCTCTCTATTTCTGGTTTGCTAAGAGCTTTTATCATGAGTGAATATTATTTTTATCAAATGATTTTTCTTCATTTATTGAAATGTTCATGTGATTTTTTAAATTGATGAACCAGATTATATTAATTGATTTTCCAATGTTAAACCAGCCTTGTATGCCTGGAATAACATGATGTTTATCATGCTTAGTACTCTCTGAGATTTCTAGATCTGTGTTTTGTTTGCTTGGTTTTGTTTTGTCATTAATTTTGGAAAATCTCAGTCTTTGGTATTTCAAATATATTTTCTGATTCTTCCTTTCTTTCTTTGAATTCTTGTATTTCCATTATGTGTATGTTACATATTTTGTAACTGTCCTCTGTCCTTGGATATCCTGATGTGTCTTTTTCACTTTTTTTCCTCTTTGCATTTTACTTTTGTAAGTTTCTATTGATATTTCTCTAAGTTCACTGATTCATTCCTCAGTCACGTCAAGTCGGCGGATGAGCACATCAAAGGCATTTTTAAATTTCCATTCTAGTGTTTTTGATTTCTACCATTTCCTTTTGATTCTTTCTCAGAATTTTTTTCTCTGTGTTTATGTAACCTGACTGTTCTTTTGGTTGTCCAATTTTTATATTAGCACATTTAGCATATTAATTACAATTATCAATAACTCCTAATATGATTCCACAACCTCTCCCATATCTGAGTCTGGTTCTTATGCTTAAGTCTCTTCAAAGTATGTTGAGGTTTTTGTTTATTTGTTTGTTTGTATGTCTTCTCAATTTTTATTGAAAGCTAGACATGATACACTGAGTAAGAAGAATGACAGTAAATAGAACTTTACTATGACGTTTTATGGTTATTTCACAAGGAGTTAGCCTATGTTTATTGTTTGCTATAACTTTAAGTGTCTGAAGCTTCATTTTTCCTGTTTTTGTCTCCCCTATTGGCTTTGGATTTCCCTAGAGATTTATTCTTAAGTAAGGTATGATAAATATATTTCTTACAATTGTATTCTCCTGTTACGATATTCCTGTTATGATACAGGAACCCAATTTATGTTGTGGTAAGATGTTGGGAAAGAGAAAGTGTTCTATATTCCTTTCATTATGCCTCAGTCTTTTGGTGAGTCTGTGCCGCTGGGTTTTGACCTTCATAATTACTTCTCTGTTTCTACTCCCTCCTCCTCCTTTGAGGCTAGGTAGAAAAGCAGAAGAATATTGGAATTTGATACTTCCCTTCCCCCGTGTGAATGCTGGAGGTGGCTAGGGTTGAGTATTTCTCTTTAACCAGGTTAATTAACTTCTGCTAAAAGCCAAGGTAAATTAGGTTCAGGTAAAATTGCTTCCCTGGTAGTCAGTTTATTTCCCTCCAACTCAGTAAGGAGCACTAGAGGATTTTCCTCTGAATGACACCATAAAATCTTTGTGGGGCTACTGGAGATAAAATTCATGAAAATATGCTCCCTCTCTAAGACTGTGCCTCTCGGGAGTCTTAACTCTCAAGCTTGTTCATACTGAGCCTCTAGAAATGTATAAACTACATTTTAAGCTTTTCTACTCTGGTACTGGTTTCAGAGGAGAATATTGCTCCTAGGCTCCTGCTCCAGCAAGTTTTGATTCTTTGGGTCACCCATCTTTCCATCTTAAGGAGCAGCAATTTACTGTTGACCTCATATACTGATGGATCTAAGAAGAGTAGTTAATTTTCAGTTGGTTCATCTCTTTTCTTATTGTAAGGATGGGAGTGATGACTTCCAGGCTTCTTACATGAAAAAATGAAAACAAGAATTTCATAGTTGTATTTTATTCATTTGTTTCATATTATTACCTATGGATGACATATATATTTTATATATATATGAAAGATATTCAAAAGACATTGGAGTTAATTATTTTGAGAAATGTGAAGGTGTAATATTAATATCAAAAGTAAACTGCATTTCAATATTTGAGCAAAAACAGTGAGTAAAATTTCTAAATAATTGCATTTAAAATTGTAGATGCAATAGAATAAATAAGAATAAATTCAAACCCTATAAGCAGATCCCTTTAACTGGAAGAATGAGCAAAAATCTGATATGCAATGGAAAGATACTTTAATTTTAAAGTGGGCAATATTTTTGAGCCTGTTAAAGAAAATAAAGTACTATAGATAAGATGCCGCAACTACTTCTATGAAGGAATAAAGCACAGCTTTCAGAAAAATAGTCATGTTTATGAAAGTGTATCATTAAGTCATCTTTCATCACCATTAATGATATCGACTTTTTTACTCTAAGGATGGATAAAACTGATTATTATAAGTACACAGATAAATTAGAACTTAAAAAGAGCAAAATAAAATGCATGTGGTGACTCTCAGCAAGCCTGGTAAAATAATAAAATTATTATTGTACATGTTTTAATATTTTAAAAAATATTATTTTAAAGAAAAAAGTACACACTATTAAAATATTAAAATATTGTTTAAAATCTAAACTATATATAAACATTAGAGAATTTACTCAGGCAATCAGGACTGGTACAAGTAGATAAACAGTATATAATCATTCTTTTTAACAGCAAGACATAAAATATACTATTTTTTTAATGCTGACAATTATACTAATGAAGATTATTAAATTTTTTTTTTAGCCAGGTGCTGTGGCTCACGCCTGTAATCCCAGCACTTTGGGAGGCCAAGGTGGGCGGATCACCTGAGGTCGGGAGTTCGAGACTAGCCTGACCAACATGGAGAAACACTGTCTCTACTAAAAATACAAAATTAGCCCGGCATGGTGGTGCATGTCTGCAATCCCAGCTACTCGGGAGGCTGAGGCAGGAGAATTGCTTGAACCCGGGAGGCGGAGGTTGTGGTGAGCCGAGATTGCACCATTGTACTCCAGCCTGGGCAATAAGAGTGAAACTCCATCTCAAAAAAAAAAAAATTTTTTTTTAAATCATGAAGATTGTAAAAACAAAGTAGTAAGCCTTTCTTGATTCTAATAAACAATAAAACACAGGGCATAAAGCATATATATGGGAATAAAGCCTTTAATAAAATAAAGATGTTAAGGTTTGATAAATTGTTACAAATTGGAATTATTTTTCAATTTTACACATATTACGACAGGCCTACTTAGTGATTTTAAATTATTTCATTTTTTCCTATGGACTCAAATAAGAATATACATTATATATTGCTCATATACACACAATATATACACATAAACAGAGACACAGAAATACAGAAAAGAAGAAAACGTAAGAGAAAAATATTTATATTGGTAAATTAAATTAACAGCAAAGCTATATCTTTTGTGAATATGTATGCACTAAAATGATATGTAAAATGTATACAATAGAAACAATTAAAATAAATTGACAGCCAGAAAATAATAATGAGTTGTCTGCATAATGTTTTCAGTCATTGACAAAGGAATAAAGTGAAAAACACCCATACACACACATATATATACACACATATTTAAATACACACTTGTAAATATATAACTAATATAATCATTACATTCATTTCAAAAGAGCTCATAAAATTTCATGAATTAACCACTAAAATATTGAATCTGGCACAATAATATAATCAAAGCAAAAGTATCCAATAAAGTTAAAGCAAAATGAATACATTTGAAAGTAGCCAAAACCTTAGAACTGACTAATATAATAGAAAATTTTCAGGTATATCTCAAAAACAATTAAACGAGAGCAAAACAAGAGGCAACATTAACAACATATGATTTTATCACAGTTACTCAGAATTAGCACCACTAATATTCTTAACAGACTCCAAAATGCCCTAATGTATGGCAAATTTTTAGAAATATACATTTATCTAAATTCGTCAGGAGGTGCAAAACATAAAGATAGCTATACATTAATTAAGACATTAGCCATATTTATTTGTCAAAATATGCTGATGGCTCAACTGGTTTAAGTGTAAGACATAACATATTTCAGGGAGGACAAATAGTATCTGAGGGATTCAACTGTAGAAAACAGAATTTATGCCAGCTATTTGCAGTGAAAAATAAATTGCAATGTATTAAAAAAATTTTAGTTGATTTATAAAAATATAGATTTGTTGAAAAACTAAAAAATGGAAGCTTGGCTGAGCTTTTAAGAGAACTCTCAGAGCCACACTGGATATCCCAGAATTTTCTGCCTTTGTATATCAAGATAGTGTTTAATGAACTACTATGCAGTATTGGCTCTAATATTGTCACTCTTTCACCATGATCTGAACTATGAAATGGGTATTCTGCATTTTTCCCACACCCTTAAGAAGCTAGGAGGTTTTACCAAAGCATCTCTGATATAGCAGCAACAAGAAAATCTAAGGTCTTTTGGACCATACTAGCTAGCGGAATTGTCAGCCATCAAATGATTGGTCTCCTTCTCATGTTGCTTTATTTCTATGTTCAAAATTCCTTTTATATTCTTCTTATTGGTGCAACTTGTACCACATATGAAACTCTAAATCCAAGGCAGTCTAGGATATGTATTCTTCCATACAAAAGAAAGATTTCACAATACAAAAAAAAATGTTGACGTAGCTAATGAGCTAGCAAAATGATGATCAAACATTTAGATCCAAAGAACCCTGCATATGCTAAACACAGTTTTGACAATTCCAACAGACTGTTATTTATGTGAGTTTTATTTATCAACAGTTGTCACATGATAAAACTGTATTTCAGAGGTTATGTATTTATTATTTTATTTTAAAAAACATTAAATAATTTATTAAATGTTAAGATAGCACTTTTTCCCATGGAAAAACGTTTATATTTTCCAAAGGAGAAAAATCATAGTATGAATTTTGGTATGCTTTTACATTTTTCAAAATTTCTTTCATCTGTATTCGAATAGAAGCAGTTGGGTTCCTCATATTTTCCTCTGTATTCAACCTATTATTCTCTTATTTTACTTTGTTTTAATATACCAAAAAAAAAAAAAATTTGGCCTTGCCTAGATAATGTCATTGGAAAGGAAGAACTTTGTGTACTCCTGAAAAGTTCTCAGAGATACTGGGGCTCCTCAGGCCATACTTTCCTCAGAATATATATATTTCTTTCTATCTCTCTCTCTACATATGTATATGGTTACATATACATATCTACATATGTGTATGTATATGGTTACATATACATATCTACATATGTGTATGTATATGGTTACATATACATATCTACATATGTGTATGTATATGGTTACATATACATATCTACATATGTGTATGTATATGGTTACATATACATATCTACATATGTGTATGTATATGGTTACATATACATATCTACATATGTGTATGTATATGGTTACATATACATATCTACATATGTGTATGTATATGGTTACATATACATATCTACATATGTGTATGTATATGTAGAAAGAGATAAATAAATATATATAAGAATGTATATCTGTAAGAATTAATATTCTTAATTTATATATATTTACAAATTAAGCTATTTAAACTCTACTACATTTAAGTTGAAGATGAAATAATCTCAAAACATTTTTACGGAGGAAAAAAATTAACAAATAACAACAAAACCTTTCTGATATAAAGCCTAGAAATAAATACCACATTAATTAAAGAAAGACCGGCCTGGCGCGGTGGCTCACGCATGTAATCCCAGCACTTTGGGAGGCCGAGGCAGGTGGATCATGAGTTCAGGAGATCGAGACCATCCTGGCTAACAGGGTGAAACCCCTTCTCTACTAAAAAAATACAAAAAATTAGCTGGGTGTGGTGGCGGGCACCTGTAGTCCCAGCTAATCAGGAGGCTGAGGCAGGAGAATGGCATGAACCCGGGAGGCGGAGCTTGCAGTGAGCCGAGAACGCACCACTGCACTCCAGCCTGGGTGACAGAGTGAGACTCCATCTCAAAAAAAAAAAAAAAAAAAGAAAGACCAATCTCAGTAATGAACAACACACATGCATAAGTCCCAAATACATTTTACCAAGTTGATATAGTGATGTCAAATAATTATATCTAATTAAACATGTAGATTTTAATCCAAAAGCATAAAATATATTTAGCAGTAGGCAGTGTATTAATTAAATCCATTGCACTTATATTTCAAAAGTATAAAATATAATCAGAAACAAATCACTGACATTGACATCAAAATGTATTGATAAAATTAAGAATATAACATTATAACAAAAAACACAAACCCTAATAATTGACTATAATGCTTTGTATTTATTTACTAGTGAAATATTACAGGCATTCTCATTAATGTCAGAGCAGTGCTAAAATGATTTTACTTTTGACATAATGAGCAATAAGGATATATACATAAGACATCTGAAAGAATATGGCATATATAAACAGTGTTACTCTCTGGTGTGAGATAATTATAGAGATTCCTTTTTTGCATATTCCATTTATCTAAAATTAATGTGTCTTATTTACATAGTAAAACATTTTTAAAGAAATTTAAGTAAAGGCTGCTTACCCAAGAGACTTAACAAAATCAAGACTTAACCAAACCAGAAAGTTTAGATATAATTGATGGGGATTAATACAGCAGGGAGATTTAGAAAAAGAGAATAAAGACGGCAAAATTATTTTCAGGCAAAATATATTTTAAGAAAAAAATAGTACAGAGAGCCAAATGGTATATTTCATATAACTAAATCTCATGAACAACAACATTAGGTCTATATCAGACATTAACTTTTGTGGGACAGTGGCATAGACTGAAAACAGATGTTCAGTGAAAATCATTTTCAAATGGGAGTAAAAATGACAAAAACACAAAGATAAGACTGAGAAATTATAAGACTAGCCATGAAGAAACCATGAGACTGGTGGCCATTGCAGCTCTTGTAATTCCTCTACTAGACCTCTGACTATTCCAGAGCTGGGTTAACACAATGGATAAAGACACAATAGTAATAAGAAACTTTACCACACTCTTAACAGCCTTTAAAAATCTGAAGTTGCTGTAAAACAGACATAGACATTTTGAATCATATTAAAATATTGAATACATATTTTATATGCTAATTTTTATCATATGTTATAGATAATATAAAATCAATGCCGCATAACTATTATTTCCAAAATAAAGAAAATAAATGATCACATTGTAAATCCTTAAGATGAAAGTATTAGAATAGTCTTTAAAATTTGCATAATTTAAGAAGTATGTATAAGAATATAATTCTCATCTTATAACTCAACCTTATTATTTTGGACCTCCATTCTAACAATATGGTTAAAATCTAATCTTTTCATTATTTAATGACCACCTAGTATGCATTTTACAGTATGGGTTGTTGCCCATTTAAAATATGGACATATTTAATCTCCAAAGACACAAATCATGCAAATAATAAATCTTATGCTATAGTATTACCATATTGTGAATTTCAAAATACCATGGAACATAAATCTGTAAATAACAAACTTATACTATTCACCCAAACCCTAATAGTGATCCTTCATAATCATATTTCAAGTTTTATCTACTTTACACTACCATGTGATTTCTTTTTGCTGTAATACATTAATTTATTTTTTTAAGTTAGATTACTGAATAGAACTATACTATGTTAATTTTCCATAATCAAACAATTCACATCACGAATATTAGATAATTTACTGATTGTGCCTTTTCATTGCATGTAATTGAAATTTACACTGTGGTTTTCATTTGCATTTCCCTGATGACTGGTGATGTTGAACGTTCTTTCCTAAAACACAACATTTATACACTGTTGGTGCGAATGTAAATTAGTACGACCTCTATGGAAAACAGCATGGAGATTTCTCAAATAAATAAAAGTAGATCTACTATTGGATCCAGAAATCTTTCTACTAGGTATCTAATCAAAGGAAAATAAGTCATTAATTATATCAAAAGACACCTGCACTCATGTTTATTGCAGTAAAATTCACAACTGCAAGATATGGAGTCAACCTAAGTGCCCATCAACTGAAGAATGGATAAAGAATACGTGATAGAGATCACATTTTCATATGTATAATCTCCCATGGAATACCACTCAACCAATAACAAAGAATGAAATAATGTCTCTTGCAGCAGCTTCGATGAAACCAGAGGCCATTATTCTAAGTGAAGTAACTCAGGAATAAAAAATCAAATACCACAAAGGCAAAGATACTAAGTGGTATAATGGACATTGGAGGATCAGAAGTGGGGAAGGTAGGGAATCAAAAATTAGCTATTGGGCAAAATGTACACTATTTGGGTGATGGGTACACTTTTAGTGGGGTTTTAGCCCCAAATTCACCACTATACCATTTAACCATGTAACCAAAAACCACTTGTACCTCTAAAGCTATTGAAATCTAAAAAAAAAATTTACAAATAGATACAAAGTGACATTTTTAAAGAGATGGTAATTTTTGCACAATGTTTATTGGGATCAGATACTTAAGTCTTTATTTAATATGGAATGTTATTTATCTATTAAAAATGAAATAGTCCCTTGTTTGTAAATATGGGAGAATAGCAATGAAAGAATTTAAATAAAAAGTCCAATTACAAAGTAATGTATAAAAGATGAACTTACCTTTATGAAATATATAGGTGAACAACCTGTGTGTAAGTTTATATTAAAGGAAGTTATGTAATGATTCACACCAATCTTAAGGTGAAGTATCTCTTTATCCTTCCACTGCTGAATCACAGGAGATTAACTTTTTCTCCAGGTCTCTAACTATGTGCTGAGTAAGGTTATAGAAAATTATTTCTCTTTAAATAATATATTCCATAAAATTATTCAAGGATTATCATTATACTCCAGGAAGGCTTGCAGATAAGCAGGTCATCAATCTAGACCAACTGAGATTAAATTCATGCTATGCAGCCTATGCTATGCATAAACCTGGGTCAAAATATTTATAATGAATATTTTTATATACTTATTTTACAGCAGCTATATAGTATGAAAATCACTAACATAAAAATAATTAAACTGAATATTTGTAATAACCAGGGAGGAATTAAATTGATCTAAGACAACTATGTTCTAATTACTGCATAAGTTTTCTCATGTTGTTGCACCATGTTAATAATTCTCTTACACATTTTGTCTAGTATAATTGGTACTTATAAATAAATTTGAACTGAGTGATTTACAACCATATTAAATTTTTAATTTCTTCAGAAAGAGTGTGAAGATTATGGAAATGTATTTATGATCACAAACTGAGTGACAAGACCAGAGCACACACTTTTACAGGTATTATAAAAAGGCCTTTATTAAGAGACTATATACATAGACTTCTTTACCCACTTATGATGTAGAAAGCTGCAAAGAAGATTGCTTTTATCCTAACATTGACAAAAAACTGTATAAACTACAAAACCATGACTTTGTCAAGTATAAACTACAAAATCCTAACTTTGTCAGTTAAGAGTAGCCAATCAAACTCATTATACTCCTTAGTCAAACTAACTGCACTGGGGAATGTTGGGGAAGAAAAGGGTAAATTTAGGGCTTGAAATTCACATCTCAAGTGCTAAATAAATGACCTGAAAGTTTATATGTGTGGCCTGAAAGAAATCCTTACCTTCTATAGCCATAGTACGAAGATTTCTGAAAACCAGACCCCAGTCTCATCCTAATAGTGGCTGAATTACAGCATAAATTGAATTCCCAACATTATAGGGTGTTGATAGAAGCAGTGGCCAGTATGGAGTCACTGCCATGAAGCCGGCTGCAGTGGGGGAGGCATGGCTGGGACTGCACACTCCATGGAGCTGATGCAAGCCAGAAACAGGTGAAAGCCTCACCCCCTTCCATGGTGGAGGGTTGGGAGCCCTGCCCTCCTGGGTGCAGCTGCAGTGGCCTGGGCGCAGCTGCAGTTGCCTAGCCACAGCTGCAGACCTGGGCACTCTCAGGGACCCTCCTGCCACCACAGGATCAGAAGTGCCTATTCCCACTGCCTGGCCTCTTCCTGCTTCCGGCACTTGCTCTGGTTTCAGAGAAAAGTTATGGCTGAGCCTGGGTGCTGTCACAAGCTGGCCGGTATGCAAATGCTTGGAGCAACACTGACACATAAGCTCCCTGCCACCTCAGTCCCGTCTGGACTTTGGGCACTGATGAGCAAGAAGGGAGGTCAAGCAGAGGCTAAGAATGGTGTGGTGCAGGCCTGCAGTTGCCTCTTGGCATGAACAGCCTGGGTACTCTGGGCACCGTGGATGGCAGTATAATGGCTGCAGGAGGCAGACAGGCACCTGGGCAGAAGGAGTTGGTTCCCAGTAAAACCCCACCTTCAGGCCGAGTACAGCCTAAGGCCTGGGGCTGTGCTGCCAATTCTGTGGACCAGAATGAGAATTTATGGTGCTTTCTCTGGGCCTACAGATGGACACCCATGGACCAATCAACATGTACTTCCTCCCCTCTGAAGCCCATAAAAACCCCAGACTCAGCTAGGGGATGGGATGACCTGCCTGCAAAAAGCAGCTACCCACTGTGGATCTCCTCTGAGCTGTTCTGTCACTCAATAAAGCATCTCTTTGCCTTGCTTACTCTCCACTTGTTCACATACCTCATTCTTCCTGGATGTGGGAAAAGAACTCAGTACCTGCCAAATGATGGGGCTGAAAGAGCTGTAACACAAACAGGGCTGAAACATGCACCTTGCTCACCATGTTACAGGCAACAAGAAAAGATAGAAGAGAGATGGAAAGAAGATCTGAGGCCCTTTGGGGAGCTCAGACCTAGGAGCTCCCCAAACCAGGACTGTGACACCCTCTTTGGGGCTCTGCAGTTCCTGGTGTCTTCAAATTTCTGAGCATCACTGTGTTCACCAGTGCCAGCTGTGGAAGGTGCTTGAGAGGTGCCTGGTCTGGCCTCAGCCTCGCAGGAAGCTGGGACCCCCTGTTGGCGCTTGTAGCTGCCCACCCTGCACAGCCAGCATGCCTGGCTACACGCTTGCTCACTTACACACCCCTCACTTCACCGTTCCATGCCTGGCTCTCCACTGGTATGCATGGGATCCAAGTCAGTAGCATAAGCTGAGTGCAGCCTGCCAGGCTGAGTGGGTGGAATGAGCCCAGTAGGCCCAAGCAAAACTTTGGCAAAGGTGCAACCAGCCACAGACCTTTCCAGCCTGAAAAGTGACATCCTAAGAATCCTGTGACAGTGTGTTTTATTAAAGAAATTCATTAATTGGTAAGGAATGGGATCCTGATAACTGGAATGGACACACGTGGGAAAATGTCAATGAAACTGACGACACTGAACCTTTAAATTCTATTCAGTCTTATTTTTACTAGTAGAAGTAGCTCTTCTACTTCTCTCAGAAAGGGTAACACTATTTTGCCTGTAGTAACCTTCTCTGAAATAATTACCTTGCAAAACAATGCTGATTCTACTTGCTGTGAAATATGACAATAGGTCTATGTCCAAGGAATTCACTTGTATTATCATGTTTCTTCTTATCCTGAAACAGCTAGCTTGATAAAATTGTGCAATGCTAATACCTTGCAAGGCTCAAGCAGTATACTCCAGATGTGTGTATATGCTCTAAATTTGTGTCCAATACATGGTTTTGTTTCTCTCATTACCAGGATTCTCTGGTCCAGGAGTCAAGGGGTGAATGCAGTACAGTTATCTGGGTATCCTTGGACTGACTCAGTTCTATCTCTTTTCTATCTTATCTTTATCAAGAATAACGGTGGAATGTGCTGGGAATGCAACACCCTGAGATAAGGGTTGGCTGACAGAAACAACATGGGCTCTGTTGCAGCCCTCATAAAAAGATGTCCTTCAAAGCTTTTGCCTAGTGCATCAGGTTGCCCTGAGGTATAAACCCTACAGTGGGCTGCTTTCCTTGGTCTCTCAGCTGAGGTGCAAATAAGACATGCATAGTCAGGACTCTATCTGCCCCGAGCAGCTTTCCTGAGCCTTGAGTCACCTGTTCACAATGAATTCTAGGTTTCTGCTGTACTTTGCTGCCTATCTGTGAGTAATACATCTGCTTCAAGTAACCTGTTGCTTATGATTTTATTCTGTCTCAGCAGACCCAAACAAGTTTGTAACCAATGCACAGTGAACCTGCTTCACAGTGAAAATGAAAGTGGCATCACTTACTATTATTTCTAGTGATCCACTAGCGAAATTTTTACCTCCATTCCTCATTACCACATACCTTATTGGTCTGGATGGTTTAGACCATCTAGCATTCCAAAGGAAGGAATGCTTCCTCTATGAGACATAATAATTTAATTAACCTGTAAGTTAAGACTGCCACATGGTCACTTGGAGCTTTTCATGCCCTTCAATTAATTGGCACAGAAAAGAGTTACTCTACTGGCTGGGATGGTGGATTCTGATTACCAAAGGGAATTAGCATGCTACTATACAAAGGAGATAAGGAAGATTATGTCTGAAATATAGGACATTCCTTAGAGTATCTCAGTACTACCATGTCCTGTGATTGAAGTCAATGAAGAACTACAACCCAATTTAAGCAGGACTGCTAATGATTCAGACCCTTCGAAATTCAAAGTTTGAGTGATCCTACCAGGCAAAGGGCCATGACCCACTGAGGTGCTTGGTGAGGGCAAAGAAAATATAGAACGGGTAGTAGATTAAGATTTTTATGAAAAACAACAGGTGACCAGTTAAAGAAATTAGGAATATAATTGCTATCAGTATTACTTTCCTATTTTTTATAAATATGTTTGAATATCTGCATTAAGTATTTTTTCTTCCCTTTGTTATTTCCTTCTTATAACATAAAATGTATCAATAAGTCCCAACTTTACATCACAGTATTTCAGTTATAGGATGTCCACAAGAAGAGTAAGCAACACTCAAGTCTTTTGTATCTTTTACTAACAAAGGGCATATCTTGGTTTCAAGAAATAATTGAAGAATTATAAGTGTAACTTGGAACTTCATGTTATCAGTTACATTTACCCATAAACCTGAAGTAAAAATACAGCAGCAATCATGTATACAATAAAAGGAGATAAATTATATATTTATGTAAATATTTCACAGATTATATAATTAAAAAGTTAATATGGTAACTGTTATCATAATACAGATTTAGAAAGTGACTAAGGACCAAGTTTCAGAAAGTGGGTACTACAATTATCTTGGCATGGTTTTGAAGGCTCATTGTGCTAAATGCAATGCATTCATTAAATGAATAAAATTGCATGTGAATGCTTTCAAAAGGAGAAAAGTAAAGAATTTGATGAGTAAAGAATGCAATTGTTATTTTGACCTTAATTAAAAGAAATAAAAAACATCAGAATTTGAGGACAAAATAACCATTCCATTTGGAATGTAGACAGTAAAGAAATAAAAAATTAGGAAAACCCACCAATATATCTAGCTTTGATAAAGGCAGATACTTCTGATGAAAATTCTTGTATTATTTAAATACCCAGATCATAGCTATGGGGCTGTTTTGTGAATCGTAATGTCACAAAGCTCTTCTTTGAAATATATTTGTGCCATTTTTAAAGCAAACAAATACGCCAAAACATCTGTTTATCCTGGAAAGAATAAACATGCTTCTGGCTGCATTGAGATTAAAAAGGAATATTCTTTTCAGGTATTCTATCCAGTAATGTTCTTTTCTATTTCATAAAACCTGGTTCAGAATATACCCCCAATGAATGAAGAATTTTTATTCCTAGCAATGATTTTCTTTAACAGTTGTTTAGTATGACAATTTCAAACACATACCTTGTTGAATATATACAGAAGAAAGAATTTAAACCCTTGCAGTTAATGGACTGCACTTGTAATTATAGTTCAGTTGGTTAAGTGACTGAGGGAAATCAATTTACTCCACGTTACCAGTGGATGTCATTATTATATTCAATGAAGTCCCCATTTAAAATGCATGTTCAAGAAATAAACCCACTGAAAGAACAATTTTATTTTATATCATATTGCTGTGTTTCAGGTAATTTTCTTATGATTCCAGTTATCAAGCAGTAAAGACAATGGTTTCTCTAAGTTCTCGGAGAATTAATTACCGTTTCAAATGAAGGTAAAATTACCTGTTTGGAATTATGTCAATTTCACACACACAAAAAAAGGCAAGAGAAACAATTTAAGAAACAACTAATCAATTTAAATTTTTATGGTTCTTTTTAAAAAAGTTTATGGAAACACTGAAAACATTCTTCACACTAAGGAAAATATTTACATATGTATTGTAATAAATTATTTGGGCATCGTTGCCAGCATTTTTCCCCCCATGTGAGTTGATTAGAACATGTTGATTATTAATTGTTTTCAGAAATGTTTAGGCATGACAGCCTCTTTTTGCCTTATTTTTTAAATTCTATTCAGTTCATTTATTAGTTTGATCACCTGACATTTCTCTTTTTTCTCATGGTAAGTGTAGAAAGATTTGTACTACTCCTTTCTGAGGAACTGAAATGCTCTCGAGAGCCTTGCTTAAGAGACAGGCACTTAATGTGAGAGGAGGTTTGTTCTGTGACACTTGAACCTTGGCCTTTCCGCTAGAGTATTTGACAAGAGTGCTAAATCTGGTGGTAGCCTTCTATTTATCCTATTATGGACATTTGTGTCCCTTAAGCATTGACCTGAAACCTCTAATCCTTTGCTAAGAGACTGTGTACACCAAGCAGATGGTAGTTCTTTCAGTTAAAATAAAACTGAGTTTGACCTTGCATCTAAATGTGAACTATTGTATAATATACTTTCTTATTACATATGGTTTTTTATATTTTCTCAATGTAATGCCCAAAGAAAACCTATAGCTATAAAAGTTCTAGTTTAGAAATAAACACAATATTAATATTGATGACAGGATAGTCATCATTGCTTAGACATTCCCTATAAATTATTTCTTGAGATTCAGTTATACTTTGTCTACTATGTGCTAGGCACTTTACACTCATCATCATATTTAATGCTCAGAGTAACCTGCTGAATTATTAATTCATTATTATCATCATTCTATTTTTATTTATTTTATTTATTTATTTATTTTTGAGACAGAGTCTCACTCACTCTCTTGTCCAGGCTGGAGTGCAGTGGTGCTGTCTCGGCTCACTGCAACCTCTGCCTCTCAGGTTCAAGTGATTCTTGTGCCTTAGACTCCCGAGTTGCTGGGATTACAGGTGCATGCCACCACGCCCAGCTATTATCATTTTATAAATAAAGGAACTAAAATTCAGAAAGGTAAATTATCTTATAATTAGTGAGAAATAGATCCTTGATCATAACAAAATCTGGGTACTTTCAAAGCCCTTACTTATTCCACTAAATTTCAAAGCTCTTTACAATCTTCCTCCAAAGTACCCCAATCATAGAACAATGTCAAAGTTTAGCTCAGATAGCTCCCTGCAAGTTTGAAATTTTATGAAAATTTCATTTTTCACTTTGAAAATGATTCACACTTTGTGTGTATTATATTATGCATCTGAAGTTGTTTATAAATATTTAAAATTATTTACATGCTAAATTATTCTTTTTTATTCAAATATTGGGCATAAATTGATATTCTAAGATGTAACTTTATGTTTATCCTGCCACTTCATTAAATAACTACACTCCATTTTGTACTTCCAAATTGCAGGAATATGCACACCAGTTTGAGAAGCACAAAATAATACATGAAGTAAATGGTATAAACAAGGCCATGGGACTTCAGAGGGCTTGGCAAAGTAAAAGGACTTCAGTGTATGGGTGAAGAATAGGGTATGCATGAACATGTGGCAGGTTCATTAGGGGGGAAATATGGAAAGCATGAATTGTAGTCATTGTTTTTAATTAATTGCTTGGCACTCTATTTGGAAAAGAAAAGAAAACAACTGACCTATAAAAGCAATGATGTGCAAGCCAATACACCCTTTATTAAGTGATTGGTAAATTGACAAGCATCATTCCAGATGCTTGAATGGTGTAAACGTTTCTAAAACATGATTCTTGCCCTCAAGATACTATTATAACAACCTGAGACACATATAACCAATATTAAAATGTAATGTGATAAGTATCATAATAGAAGTATGTAGAGGATACACAGAAACCACAAAAGTGGGTATTATACTTGAGACACCACCTTCCTTAGATTTTTAAGAATCTTGTACAGCGGAGGATCAAGAATGGGGAATATGACACAAGTATATGTCTAGTAAATGTTAAGTAAATGTGTTTACTAAATGTTAAGTAGTTTAGTATGCCTAACTTCAAAGGAATGCTCATAGGAGGAAAAAATACAAGGAGAGGAATAGTACGTAAAGCAAAATAAGGTAAATAAGGCCCCCTTTAAATGGTCACATGACTTGCTGCAGTTTTCTTTTCTAAAATTCAGTGTCCTTGTAATTACTTGTTCAGTGGCTGTCTTCTCTAATAGAGTGTAAAATCAAAAATTGCAGGGGCTGTGTCTTGTTCCCCCTTCCTTAGCACGGTTCCTGACACATAGCATACATGAGGCTTCAGAAAATCTCCAAAGAAAGAAAAGAAAATACGTACTTGATGTAGTGTACCAGAAACAACCAGTGATTAAAACTCATGGTTAGGGAGTACCACCTGAAAACCAATGTCTTCAGAGGACTTGGCTGGAAATAATATTAGGAATGGCTTGTGGAAGCCATCCAAAAGTGGATGAGATAGTAGTCCACCCTCAGAACTCACAGCTGGGATGATGAAAGACATGGTTCAAGTAGTGGCAGATCATGTAGGAAAGAAAAGAATAAATGAGAGATGTTTGCTCAAGATAAAATTGTCCAGAATTTTGCATAGTGGTATAAAAAGACTGAAGGAAAAACATAAGATAGAAAGAAGACAATTTCCAATATGAAGGACAGGGGATTAAAAGGTGACTTTGAGAGAAACGAAGCCTGTTTTGGGGAAGAAATTAATAAGACTTGATTAGAAATGTGGTTTGAAACTACTAAGATTTGTGATTGAAGAAATTTATCTGCCAAGGATCTTTTATCTATAAGTTTTATTGTTGAGGTGTTAAAATATCATCGTTTAAGAGTAAGGATAATGCTATAATTCCTTAAACTTGTTTTACTGCCTAATACATCTTTTTTTCTTCAAGTCGCATTCTGAAAAGTCCTTTTACAAACGTGATTACTGTTTTAAAATTTAACATAATTTTTCTTGGAAAAGTGAATTTGCAGATTCAGACTCTCGTTCTTCACACTGATTCCAATCAGCAGGGATTTATATCCTTTGTGAATGGCTTATATCTTCATTAGAGTCTTATGGGGTGTGCCCTTGAAAAATCTTCTCTTTCTAAAGGTAACAACGAAAAGTAATAAAGAAACTTTGAACTTCTCCATAACAGTATCTACTTTTAATTTTTCTTTAGGGAAATATTTCAAAGCCTTTCCTTTTTATTTTAGTTTTAGGTTTTATTATTTTTTAGAAGAAAAAAAATCTGTCTTGTACATCATATTTGAAAAGCCTCTGTTTTTCTCAGATAATGAGGTCCTGGGGCCTATAGGTCTGAATTAATACTGCAATCACATCAGGTTTCCTTTAAGCTTTAGATGAAATGCAGGGGAAAGACCAATTCAATGACTCAATTTTCCTCAAATATTTTGCCTCCCAGTGATCAAAAGGGGATTATAATAGTGTTTACTTTGTTCTCTCCTCTGATCAGAACTCTCTAAGATGATTTTTAGAGTATAGTAAAACAGGTTTCATCTCCATTTACAATATTTATCACTAGCAAGAGAAGGAGGTAGGTATTTCTAAAGGTGTTAGAAGAATCATAAGTGAAGTCAGGGAAAATAAAGAAAAATATTGTAAACTTTTGGCAATAAGATAAAAATAACAAGTAAACCTAGAAGATATGTTTTCTTTTTTTTTTTTCTTTTTGAGGCGGAGTTTCACTCTGTTGCCAGGCTGGAGTGCAGTGGCATGATCTCAGCTCACTGCCACCTCTGCCTCCCAGGTTCAAGCGATTCTCCTGCCTCAGCCTCCTGAGTAGCTGGGAATAGAGGCACGTGCCACCACACCCAGCTAATTTTTGTATTTTTAGTGGAGATGGGGTTTCACCACGTTGGCCAGGATGGTCTCGATCTCTTGACCTAGTGGTCTGCCCACCTCGGCCTCCCAAAGTGCTGGGATTACAGGTGTGAGCCACCGCACCCGGCCGAAGATATGTTTTAAAAACATTTCTTATTTTAAGAAAAAAGCTAAAATATTATGAGTGGTAAGTATGTTTGAGACTGTGATGGAACGATGACAAAAAAAGAAAGCAATAAAACAGACATTTGATTCTAAAAGCTCAAGTAAAGTAATACACATGAAATGAATTTAGATAATGGTATAAAAGCCCAGAAAAAGGGCACCAGGGAAACTTTAATTATTTCATTTGTTTGCATAAGAAATGAATAGAAAGTAGATATTTGGATGCTGAAGAAGAAACAAATAAGTATACTGAAATCACATTTCTCTGTATGATATGGGACATGAGTCCCTGGTATTATGAATTTTAAAAAATACAAACTTCAATATGTCTAAGTGTAGACAAGCTAATATTTATAATGCATAATGTTTATAGTACATTACACTACTTATAAATACTTATTATATTTATAATACATTATAATGTTGGTACAACTCAATGTTATAGTAGGTTATAAATGCTCAGTTATTTATAATATCGAGGAAATTATTCTTTCAAATTCTAAATTTAGATGAATGTACAGCCAAACCTAGTTCTGTTACACTCAAAATAAATGTATCTATATATATTTTATGAGTAGCTTTAGATATTGTAAGACTTTTCAAAATACTTTTTGGCACATTAATAAACAATGGTGAGTAATGCTTCTAAGACTGAATGCACCTGTTTTAATCAAATTCTTCTCTGCCCTAACTTAAATTAAGGCAGCTAGGATGAATTAAATATATAAAAGCAAGATGCTATGTAATATTTGTGGGTGGTGAACAGGAAACTATGTTGTAACCCTACTTTCAATGCACTCAGAATTGAAGCAAATTTTCCACTGGGGAAATACACAGTTTCCTAGTAGTCAGAAAACCTGAGTTCAAGATCCAATAAAGTTGTGAAACAGTTTATTTTTGCCAGAATTTTTTTTTCAGTTTTGACATGAGAGCATTAACTCTCTAAATTCACTGTGATAAGATTAAAGAAGACAGAGAAAATGAAAGTAAAATAGACCACTATGATATCATTATACATAATAATGTCTATTCTGTTCTTTGCCTCTGTACTGACTGCATGGCCTTTCTACGAGAAAGAAAAATAATAATGGTAGACAAGTTTCATTTTATTTTATGCATGTATACCTAGTCTTCCCCTTAAAATGGCTCGTTGACAATTAAAGTTGCTTCTGTTGGTTTTTAATAATAACAACACTGATCTGCCTGTTGTATTTCTTTAGATGAGTGCCTGGATATTTGCCTTGAATCACAGCCTGGCAATCATAACCTTGCTAGGATAGAGTCAGTCCTCCCATTAATTCCTGTCTTCCTAAGCTCATCCTGTAGTGCCAGCTAAACCTTTTTAATCTCCTTCTTCTGACAAAGAGCCTCTTATTCAAAATTTCAGTTCATGGAACCAAAGAGGAAGTATCAACATGTTTATTTGTTAATTTTTCAGTTGAGAGTTAATACTATATTCAAGAGATATCCTGATGGACCAGGGAAGGCAAGAAAAAGAGAGAGTAGTTTTGAATAGGTAATAGACTATTTGATCTCTAAAGACAACAAAATCATCTAACACACCAGTTTTGTTTCATATATGCTTCCTTTTAAGAGCCAGGACAGAATAGATTCTGTCTCCAGATGATTACTATGCTGGGACTTAGGTTTATGTATCCCTGTCCCAAGGCTCTGGTGTGCTCTGTTACTTTCCTAAAGTGATATATATAGTCTAATGGTTGCTCTCCTGATTCATATTCCTCTCAGGTACTTTGGAATGATATCATCACAGGAGGAACATGGAAGTTCTACAGCACATGTAAGATATGTGTTCTTAGTCACTGGGTAAGTTACAGGTGGTAAGGGGTTTCAACATAGAATGGATATGACAAAAATATGCGGTTAGAAAAAATGCACATAGAGAAAGGTGGGCTTGGAGTTATAGGAAGTGGAGATATAGAGTAAATCTCTAATTTTTGGGGATTAATTTTTTGGGTGTCTAATTTTTTGGGATTTCCTGGGCCACATTGGAAGAAAAAGAATTGTCTTGGGCCACACATAAAATACACTAACAATTACAATAATTGATGAGCTAAAAAGAAAAAAACCAAAATCACACAAAAAAAACCTCGTAACACGTTTTAAGAAAGTTTACAAATTTGTGATGGGTTGCATTCAAAACCCTGCTGGGCTGCATGTGGTCCATGGGCCGTGGGTTGAACCAACTTGCTAGGAGGAAAAAAAAAATCATTGGGTTGACTATGCCATTACCTTGAAGGAGGTCAGGCCTTAATTCCCTAATTTCTCAGCATTGGCAGATAATTTACGGAAAGTAACTGTATTAGTTTGTTCTCACACTGCTGATAGAGACAAACCCAAGACTGGGTAATTTATAAAGGAAAGAGGTTTAATGAACTCTCAGTTCCATGTGGCTGGGGAACCCTCACAATCATGGTGGAAGACAAAGGAAGAACAAAGGGACATCTTACCTGGTGGCAGGCAAGAGAGTTTGTGTAGGGGAACTCCCATATATAAAACAATCAGATCTCATGAAACTTATTCTGTACCACAAGAACAGTATGGGGGAAACTGCCCTCATGATTCAATTTTCTCCACCTGGCCTTGCTCTTGACACATGGAGATAATTAAAATTCAAGGTGAGATTTGGGTGGGGACATAACCAAACCATATCATTCTGCCCCTCACTCCTCCCAAATCTCATGTCCTCACATTTCAAAACCAATCATGCCTCCCCAGTATTCCCCCAAAGTCTTAATTCACTTCAGCATTAACTCAAAAGTCCACAACCCAAAGTCTCATCTGAGGCAAGGCAAGTCCCTTCTGCCTACGAGCCTGTAAAATGAAAAGCAAGTTAGTTACTTCCTATATATAATGGGGACACAGGCATTCAGTAAATACAGCCATTCCAAATGGTAGAAATTGACCAAAATGAAGGGGCTAAATGCCCCATGCAAGTCTGAAATCCAGCAGGGGAGTCAAATCCTAAAACTCCAAAATGATCTTTGCCTTCATGTGTCACATCCAGCTAATGCTGATGCAAGAGGTGGGTTCCCATGGTCTTGGGCAGCTCCACCCCTGTGGCTTTGTAGGGTACAGCCCCACTTTTGGCTGCTTTTGTGGGCTGGTGTTGAATGTCTGCAGTTTTTCTAAGCACACGGTGCAAGCTGTCAGTGAATCTATCATTCTGGGGTCTGGAGGATGGTGGCCTTTTTTTCACAGCTCCACTAGGCAGTGCCCCAGTGGAGACTCTGCATGGGGGCTTCAAACCCACATTTATCTTCTGCACTGCCCTCACAGGTAGGTTCTCCATGAGGGCTCTGCCTCTGAAGCACACCTCTGCCTGGACATGCAGGCATTTTCACACATCCTCTGAAATCTAGGTGAAGGCTCCCAAACCTCAATTGTTGACTCCTGTGCACCCACAGGCCCAACATCACATGTAAGCCTCCAAGGCTTGGGGCTTACACCCTCTGAAGCTAAGGCCTGAACTCTCTGTTGGCTACTATTAGCCACAGCTAGGACACAGGACACCAACTCCTGAGACTGCACAAAGCAGCAAGGCCCTGGGCCCAGCCCTGGAAACGATTTTTCTCTCCTAGGCTTCCTGGCTTGTGATGGGAGGGCTGCCGTAAAGACCTCTGAGACATGCCCTGGAGACATTTTTCCCATTCTCTTGGCAATTAACATTTGGCTCCTGGTTACTTGTGCAAATTTCTGCAGCTGGCTTGAATTTCTCCTCAGAAGATGGGTTTTTCTTTTCTATCACAATGTCAGGCTGCAAATTTTCTGAACTTTTAGGCGCTGCTTCCCTTTTAAACATGTTTTAATTTCAAATCATGTATTTTTGAATACATAAAACTGAATGCTTTTAACAGTACCAAAGACCTTTTGAATACTTCGCTGCTTAGAACTTTTTTCCACCAGATGCTCAAAATCATCTCAAGTTCAAAGTCCCACAGATCTCTAGGGCAGAGGCAACATGCCACCAGTCTCTTTGTTAAAACATAGCAAGTGTCACCTTTGCTCCAGTTCCCAACAAGTTTCTCATGTCCATCTGAGACCACCTCAGCCTGGACTTCATTGTCCATATCACTATACGCATTTTGGTAAAAGACATTCAACAAGTCTCTAGGAAGTTCCTAACTTTCCCTTATCTTCCTGTCCTTTTCTGAGCTTTCCAAACTGTTTCAACCTCTGCCTCTTACCCAGTTCCAAAATCACTTCCACATTCTTGGGTATCTTTACAGCAGCACCCCACTCTACCAGTACCAATTTACTGTATCAGTCTTTTCACATGCTGCTGATAAAGACATGCCCAAGACTGGGTAATTGATAAAGGAAACAGGTTTAAAAAACTCTCCATTCCACATGGCTGGGGAGGCCTCACAATCATAGCAGAAGACGAAGGCAGAGCAAAGGGACGTCTTACATGGCAGCAGGCAAGAGAGCTTTTGCAGGGAAACTCCCATTTATAAAACCATCAGATCTCATGGAACTTATTCACTACCACGAGAACAGTATGGGGGAAACTGCCCTCATGATTCAATTATCTCCACGTGGCCCCACCCTTGACACTTGGAGATTATTACAATTCAAGATGAGATATGGGTGGAGATACAGCCAAACCACATCAGTGACTATGTCTTTCTGTTGTTCTTGACATTAGCTATAATCTTTCTTGCATTGCTGATAAATATATGAAGCAGTATCCTTGAAATTTTATCAGAGGTTCTTTAAGTCTTTAGATTACTGGGTGATTGTCAGAACCAGCTGGTAGCAGCATAGAGAATTTAAAACTTTGGTTAATAAACAGCAGTTTTTCTGACAGTGAGACAAGTGTTTTGAGTGGATAAGCATAGAGAATTCTTACAAAGAAGTTATCACAAGAGGTATTGTAGCAAATATATTTCCCTACTACAAAACTAATACTTTTTTTTAGGTACTGAAGTGATAGGAAGTAAATAGAGATGTCCAGGTCTTTTACACACTAATTGAAAGTGTGGTTGGTAGACTCAAAGAGTAAAAAAACTGTTTAACTTATCACATAGCTGTAACTGGTGTTAGTTGTAGGTTGATTCTGTGAAAGAAAAGTACTATTTTCCTATGTACATCTTCTAGCCATAAAATCAATTATTAGCCTTGGAAAAAAGTTATTGCCACTTTGATGACTTTTTTTTTTTTTTTTGAGACATAGTCTTGCTCTGTTGCCCAGGCTGGAGTGCAACTGCGTGATCTTGGCTCACTGCAACCTCTGTCTCCCAGGTTCAAGCGATTCTCCTGCCTCAGCCTCCCAAGTGGCTGGGATTGCAGGCTCCTGCCACCATGCTCAGCTAATTTTTGTATTTTTATTAAAGACGGGGTTTCACCATGTTGGCCAGGCTGGTCTCAAACTCCTGACCTCAGGTGATCCACCCGCTTTGGCCTCCCAAAGTGCTGGGATTACAGGAGTGAGCCACCGCGCCCAGCCCCATTTTGATGACATTTAAGAGATGGTCGGGGAGTGAAGTTTAACCAAGTAAAGAAAGCCCTGTCCAAACTTTCAGATCTATCCTTAATTTTAGTGTATTTTCAACTCTCAGAAAAGTTCTGTGTTTAAAATATGATCACTATCCATACTTCTGGGCAATATTTGCAAACATGAACAGACTGTCATGGTTACCAGGTAAAATAATGGTCTGGTTATAGCACTTGGACTAGGTGCCCTGGCAAGAATACACAACTTCCACCCTTATAAAAATATCTGAATATTCAAGGACAACCTCTGCATCACCCTATATATCAATGTTGATTTTTTAATCCTCTGGTTTGTGTGTTTTGTCACACCAAACCACCCTTTTGGCTGGAGGATTAGATAAGTAGCTATGAAAATATCCTGAAGTGAAGTGACCTTTTACTTCAGAAAAATAGATACAGAGTCATGCATGTCCAAAGTGGAAAGCTAAAAGAAGGGAGATATGAATTTAGCTATGAGTACTATGTGAGAAGCTAAATGGGGATGGAAGATCGAGGGAAGACAAAATGAGAAACAATTGATGTAAAGAAAGAGATTGAAAACAAATTCTGGAGGCAGATGATATTCTGGGTTTGAAGCTAGATTAGCCACTCACTGGCTGGAAAAGCTAAAACAGTCTTTAGCTTCTTTGTGCCTTAGTTTCCTCAGTTGTAAAATGGGATGATGAGTGTCTATTTCTTAGGGTTTCTATGAGGATTAAATGTGATAATATTTGCAAAGTACTTAGAAAAGTTTTTTGCACATAATTGTATGTGTGTGTTTAATGAAACAATATGCATAAAAGTTGAGCATGAGCATGAGATACCCTGGATAAAAGACGAAGTAGGAGAAATTATTTCTGCCTAGATGGTAATAGATAACCTTTATAAAATGCTTTATCTGTGTACTGAAGACATGCATTGTCACAGGATACAAGGTTCTGCAGGTATGGATCACTTCAGGGAATTCATCCCCTTGAAGTCCATTCTGCATTCAAGCCTTAGTGGTCTCATTGCCCCCAGTCAGGGGTCAATGTAGGTTAAGTTACCACAAATGTGATTGCCACTGAATATATTTAATATGATGTGGGTGCAATTTGACTACACTGTGTTTACACAGAAATCTTCTTATCTCCCAGGGGCAGTGTCAGCTGAGCACATTCAACTCTTGGATGCAGCTCCATATGAGCAGGCATGAGGCTTACCATAAATGGCCTTTCTAAGGTTCCAGGGGAAAGTCGCCAGCAATGGTATTTTCTAACCATACCATGCTTGGACATGATTCTGATCCTGTGAATGCCTGCTTATAGAACATTCCATTCACAATATTATCTGCTGTAGTCAAAAGAGCAACAGTGACTTCTGCAGATACGGGTGTCATGTAGCCTTTGCACCCAAGATATTGCCTCAAAAGAACTTTATATGCTTGAAAGCACTCAATGTATCAGTTGCTGGCTGCCGCTCAGTAGCATATCCTGTATAGATAAAAACTGAGATTTTTCTCAAGGGTATAAAAGAACTAATATGGCAAACATAACCAGCATACCATAATTTGAAGTTGCAAGTTAGTATTATGCAATCAACTCATCAAGGGATGCTGTTTATGATTGTTTCTCTTTTCTCCAAAACATCCAGATAAAAAATGCTCTGGTAAAATTTGTGTGTTAACTATAATCCAATTTACTTCCTTGAGGGTCAGAAAATCTGAATGATTCCCGATTGTTGACACTCCATTTGAGAGAAAGAGTGGAGTGTTACTCTCTTGAATTCAAATGCTCTTTGGAAACAGAATGATGATATACTTCCCTGTGTCATTATTATTCATTTATCTGTCTTCCCCTATTTGCCACATTTGCCTTTTGCTCCCTGTATTACTCCTGTTAACTCAGACTTTGCTTCCCTGGCAGGAGTTTCTGATTTAACCGCACTGTCCATGCACAGAATTGGTAGGAGGAAAACACATTGATTTTCTCCTATTTGCATTCTCAGGAAGAAAGACAAAGATAAAGGAAAATGGAGAAATTACTTCTAGCCAGTACAGCAATACTACTAATTGGTCAGTTTATTCACAAGCTACGTTGTCATCACTTTCCAATCCAACATTCCACTAGGAATATGTCCAATCAACACTTTCCAATCCAACATTCCATTAAAAATATGTCCAATCAAATTCAGAGTAATTGAAATAATGTTCTGAGTGGTAATGCCATTCTCATTGGATATGCAAGTATTAGGCACAGGCAAGAAATTCACAAGAAGACACTAAACACATAATTTCAGGCTCTGTAGAAGCGGCATAGAAATGTAAATTCATGAATCATTTCTTTTTAAACACATCATAGTGGTAACTATTTTTATTGATAACACTATAATTAGTCAACTATTTATTAGTGGTAAAAATATAAATTGTTATATTTCTGACAAAATTTCTTGATGCAAAGAATCTTTATGTTGATACAATAATTTCCCTTATACTAATCTCTCTTAAAGAAGTAATTGAAGATTTTTGTCATTTTTATGTGTTGATAAAATTATTTTGCTTTACCTAGGTTGTAAAAATATGTTCTTAAATAGCTGACACTGGCTATTTCTGCCTTCTTAATAGTAACATAATTAATCTGTATGGTAGAATAAGTAGTTATTTCAATAAAACAGCACAAAATACAATTCTTTAATAGATTTTGATGGACTTTTTGGTGGAGAAAGATGGGACTCCTGGGTGCAAATAACATATAGGCAGTACTAAATCGTTCTGTGTAATAAAATGTGAGGTTTTGAGTGTCAAGAGTACCCATGAGAAAAAGAAAAAAAGATGAAAGGGAAGGTTGGAAAAACAAAGGGGTGAAAATCAAGAGATGGAGAGAGAGATACTATATATCTGGTCCCATGGGGGGATCCTGGGATGCCAGGGAGCCTGGGGAAGACTGTTGACAAGTGAGAAAGTCCCTGTTGTGGGAGTTCTTGAGAAAATTTTTTGCAACAATACATAACATTTAGTTTTAAACAATTTTATCTGCCATTATGTAATCCTCATCTCTGTCTCTACTCTCTGAACAGAAATCACCAACATAGAATAATATTGTGCTGCTAATGCTCTGGAGAATGAGATTGCTTTCTTCAGGTTTGGGGAAATATGTGGAAAGTAAAAGATTGGTTACTGAGGGCAAGGGATCAATGAAATTCAGAGAATAGACGGAAAAAGAAATGACATGACATGAGAAAACATGTCAATGTAAGACCCAAGAACAAACCTATATCTTGAGAAGTATGTTGTAGTTCCCACATTATTTGACATAGAGACTTAGGAAGCTTATATTTTTTGTTATTTGTTCATTTGATTCTACTATTAATGAGAAATAAGAGCCATCTATGTCACATTATGCTAATAATTTGAAAAACACCAAAATATTTAAACACTTGAAAAATGTAAAATTGATTATGTGGCTTTTATAGGATTCAATAATAGACATTCATATATTTGTATCTAGTTAATAACATGAAAAAAGCTCAAAAATCACTAGTGTGGGAAAAGGCAAAAATAAAAATATGTATTTTATCCAGCGAGAAACTGCACAACCTGCACATTATTTTTTTCTGAAAGACTATGGGAAAATGTGCAAAAATGTTAGTCAGTACATATCTATGGGTAGAGGCATTAAGAGAGGAATTGTTTTAATGCCTTCCTGAATATACCTATTTTTCTATACAATAGATGTATTCTTGCAATAATCAGAAAAGTATCATTAAGAAACTCAAATTTATCAGTTTGTTCTCATCCCATGCCAAAAGGAAAACTATCTTTTTTTTTGGTAACTGATGCTATTTGTATATTTAAGTCATACTTAACCTGTATAAGACTTTAAAAGGAAAAAAGTAGGGGAGGAATAGCTGAATTTGGGTTGAAAAGAAAAAATTCCTTTGGTTTATCAGACATGGTAAAAAGCCAGAGTCAGGCTTAAAACTGTCAGCCGCAGAGAATGGGATACTGAAATATTGGAAAGTAATGGAAATTTTGCAAAATTACTATGGGTATTACAGCATCAAACTATCTATAAAAGCTGGGTCATTTTGAGATGTTTCTAATTTGCTCTATGGGGTATTTCTTTTCAACGGGAAATCAACTTGGCATTTAAAATTGAAGTCAATGAGAAACTAGGTTAATTTCATGCAATTCAACTCTTGAGCCAATTTTTCTGACTCACATTGAGTCCATAAATATGTATTATTAACATTCTGTTAATACAATACAACTTGTTATAGTAAAATTATCGAAGCTCAGATTTGCAAAACTGTTTCTATTATCCACCTTAAAAACCTACAGTGAGAAATAACTTCACTTTTCATGTAAAATACATGAAAAGTGGAGAAGAATGCCATCTATCCAATTTTCAAGTTTCCTTGCTGTAAAGATAATGCTTTTGTTTTCCAATCACTGCCTCTCCAACTGGTAGGTAGTAGAAACAGAAAACACGCAAACTTGAAATTGACATGCTTTGCAGAATCTAAGATGGAATGTTTCTCTGCCTATCAGTTCAGGCAGAACATATAATTATTTTCACATCTCACAGGAGTAGTCCTTTCAGCGTTAGATTTTCTTAATGCTCTGAGTCGGCAATGACAGGGAGAAAAAGAAAAAGAAGGGAAAAACACATTTGGGGACTGTCATTTGCAGCCAGTTCTTTGAAACTAATTTTGGAATGACTTTTAAATTCTGCAAAACATTTATCAGGCAATTCTCTTGATGTAGAAAACAGTTATTTCTCAGTTAAATTTGCCATAAAGTTTTCCCAACTCTTTGTCTTCTTTTTGACAGGCTATTTTCAGGAATGTCATCACTGCAGGGAAGGTAGAAGTGTGACTGCTGTTGTAGGCAGACTTTTGTTAATGCATTCTTGTCCAATTCCACATTGTGAAGTATTTAGGTATGGCTGTGGCATAGATACTTATATGGATAGAAATGACATAATTATTGCAATCTTTAGGACTCAATTTGCAAACTGGAAAACGACTGCCATTTGGATCTCATGAAAACTCTTCTATCTTTTAGCAATACAGTTCATGATTTGATTCTGTAGATAATTCAGTATAAAATATCTTGTTAACAGGAGGTACAGGAGTTAATATCATGGAACTGAAACTACTCTAAGGCATTAGGATATATAATAAAACTTAGGTAAACTAAATGGAGCTCTAGTAAAACCCATTGTCTGATCACACCTCTGACTCTATTCCATTCATCAAATACTTGCTGCAAATTAAAAACTTACAAAAAATTTCTACTGTAGGTCACCCAGCAGGGAAATAGCAGGGTTATTTCTTTTGTGTCCTGAAGGGAGATACATACTGAATAGGCTCTAGAAATGTAAAGGAAAGTCTTACTGATAATGATGTAAGCTCTTAATATCCTATATCCCTGAGACTTTCCATGGAGTCTCATAGATGATAAACAAAAAATGAAGCACACTGATAAAACTCTTGGCATAATTCTCTCTGAGGATGAGCCCTGAAAGCTTATTTTGAAACAAATTCTGTCAGCTCTGAGAACCACTGCATACTAAGCTAAAATAGTAATTATTCTACAAACATTGCTAAGGATTAAATTAGATGCAATCACGGAAGACCTCAAATATATCATTTTTTATAACATCATCTTTCCGTGCTGTTTTCACTGAAATTAGAAAGAATAAACTTAACAATTACTGAGTGCTCACCACTATGTCAATAGTTTAGTCCTAAAAATTTAGCATTAGACACAGTGTAATTCATAATCTGCAGCCAGTCTATTACTTGAATTGATTTCCTACCACCTTTCTTCTCTTCTCTTGCAACCTCTTCCCATGGCTTCTATTCAAAATGAGACAACTCTATGCCCTACCGTAATTCCATGTATTCGTGTACATGTTATCTCTACTTGTACAATCCTTTTTAACCTTAAAAATGATGGATTGCTGCTATTTCTTTAGGATTCAGTTCTGCAAAATCTTCCCTGACACCACAAGATAGCCATCTCTTCCTTGTTTGCACTACAGCATTTTACACAGTATTCTACTGAGATGGGAATCATCCTAAATACTCTTTTTATGGGAAATGACATGTTCCTATCAGAGACGAATATAAGATAATAAATTCCTGCTGTTAAGGTAGTCACCCACTTCACTTGCACTTCTAAGCTGTTGACATAACTTTGTCCTATTATCTTCTACACCCCCTTGATAACACAATACAGGAAAAGAGGAGTTAAGGTAAATTATATTACATATCTTTTGTCATTTTTTTCCTATAGACCCTGCCCATCCTAGGTCATCTGCACCCCCATGCCCCTCACTAGCAAGAAAAAAGTTTCAATGACAGGACATACCATACGATACAACTGGAGATGAACATGGCACAGGGAAGCTTACATTATAAAATTCAAGTTTTGGGAATAGGACACCTAGTCTGGCAGCTTGGGTGCAGCCGCAAGCCTTCTAGAAAGAAAATGAAATACAGGAGTAAGAACCTATGCATAAAATTAAAACCTGGACCAGAAGACTACATGACCCTTCTCACATAGCTAAAGAATTCTGTGATAGGAGTAAGTATCAAATAGCAGAACACCAAAAATAGCTGCAGTTCAGCTACAGCATTTTGATGAGAGAAAGCAGCCTCGAGACTGCGAACTTTTCAAATCCTCTGTTGACATATATTGTGCTACAATGTAACTATTTCTTGATAAACCTTCCATAAACAATTCTGAATTTTTAGAATTATGAATACAATGTAATTTTTAAAATTCTATATCACCAACATATCAAACAGTAACTGACATGAAATATTTTAGTGGACTTTGTTTGGAATAATTAAAACAGGAACAAAGTAGGATTTTACAATTAGATATCCAGCAGTGATCTACTGAGCAATTCATAGCAATTCAGACTTCTTTTCATCATAAAGTGGTGGGAAAATGGAAATAAAAATAAAATTTCTAACCCCAACTTTAGAAAAATTATTTTGAAGTAATATTGAAAAAATAAAGGTTAGAATGAAATTTCCACAGTAGCAGAGCTTATGAAATTAATACAGAAAACCAACCAAAAGTTCATCATACATGCATTTATTGTTTTGATATGTATTTATTGAGAATTATTTTTATTGAGAAAAATCAAGCTTTAAATAAATATTTTATATTTCTCAAATGAGTACCACATTTAATCAATTAGTTATTTCTACACTTCTTACAGAAAATGATAAATGTTGTTAATTTAAAAACTGCAAGATACACATTATAATCTTACTTTACAAATACCTAGTTCTCAATATATACAACATATTATAGATGATCCTATTTTATAAATCTACTTAAAAAATATACAGTAGACTGTGTGTGTGGCTCACGCTTGTAATCTTAGCACTTTGGAAGGTCAAGGTGGGAGGAATGCTTGAAGCCAGAAGTTAGAATAAAATATATAGCATGTGATATATAATTTTACAAATATACATATTTTAAATATACACAAAAAATTCTGAAATATAAATAAATACCTCCTATTTTTCTTCTTAGCCATTTTCCCTTTTTTTGTATTGCTGTTTTCATCCCCTCAACAGAATGATATCACAGAGTACAAAGAAGAACCAAAGTCATTTTCATGATTTCAGTCTCTAAAGTGAAACATCACAGGGCTCATTTATTTAGTCAAAAGAGTTGATGTTTTAAAGGGGGAGAGATTTCATTCCACTTCCTGTTCCTCAAATTTAGGTTTCGAGAAGAGAGAGAATTGCTAGAACGTAGCAATTCTGAAACAATTCTCTCTTCTCTAAACCTGTTTTAGAATTGCTAGAATGTAGATCTGTACGAATATATCCTAAAGTTCCTGTGTTTTTTATTTTTTTCCCAGCTCTTTGGAGAGTATCTAGGCATGGAGATTTTAATGACCCAGAGCAGTAGAAGACAGAGTTGAATTATTTCATTGTCCTCAAACATCATGCATAGGTGTCTACTGGAGACATCACATACCAAGTGGCTTTGCTTGATCAATGCCTGAAACCAGGACATGCCAACCAGTATTGCTCAACACTTGCAGGCATGGAAATGAGATGATGAGAGATGGATAACACCCACACACAGACTTTGGTTCTATATAAAACTTCAAGTGTTTAGATTTGACTTCAGAGAAAAGAGTGTTGGGTTAAATTAAGTCTCAGCCACTCCAGCAGCAAAGAGTTTTAAATTTATGGTAAGCCCTCTTCTACCTTATCTAGCAGGTATGAAGTCAATGTAACTAAAATTGTCACTTATTTGTCTTGCTTCTCTTAGTCATAGTGGGTAAGCAATCACTTTCTTCCATATTTTTCTTCGATACCTATAGTAGCTAAAAAAAGGTAAGTTACTTTTGATGGTTCAGTAAATGACACTCAAATTTACCCTGCCCACATCTATTCTGAATGTCCCTGATTCTGCTTCTCAAGAGAGTATGGACTTGGCTGAGAATCCGTATTGATGCTGCTTAGATTCATTAAATTCACAGTAATCTCTTCTCCAACCTTCAGAAGATGCTCAAAAACCTGGCTGATGAGGTCCTCCAATTTCTAACATTGTTAATAGTCTACTCTAAACTACTTAAGAATTCAACCATAGCCAATAATTTTCCTTTATTTGAGAGAAATAATAGCCCCAAAGGCTGGGTCTTTAAGAAGTTTTAAATTACATTTCTTCCTCTGAATCTCTTGCAAGCTCTTGTGGCTGTACTCTGGCCCCAGGGGCTTTCAAAGATTTTGCTTGTGACTCCACAGTAAGGTATATTCAATAGATACCAAAAATAATAAAATTATAAAACAGCATCTTTACTATGAGTGGTACACTCTAACATTTTTCTTTTCTATTCTATTCCATTCTAATGATTTTTATATCATTTAAAAATATTGGTTATGACTAGACTGACAATAATGAGTGTCTCCAGGAAAATCCTGGCTTATCTTTGTTAATTCCACATAATTATTTGTACCATTTATGTTTCTCTGTAAAATGTTTCATGTTGTATAATAAATTATTTGGTTATCCCAGTTAAAATTCACTAAATTGATTTCTCAGCATACTAACAGTTGTAATTCAAATATTTAGGTATTTGTCTTCTGAATTAGACATTTGTTTCTCTGAAAACATCTCCAACTTTTCATAATTTGTCATCCTCTCCCATAGACTGAATTTGTTTTGTAATTTTCTGAAATCTTAACCTGTTTCTTGGTGATGTGCACAGGACTGGGCTCTAAGCATTTTGTTGATACCCTATGATTCTTACAAACTCAGATACAAGTGTCATTGAATTGTCAGAACGTATACAAATTTTACTTTTTCATTTTTAAAATAATTAAGTGATTTAGGAATGTGGTATTAAAAATCACCTTACACATCTTATAATTTCTTTGCTTTACTTTTGAAATGTCTTTGAAATTCATCTCTTTCATAAAATTATAAAATTTGAAATTTCTTTCCTTAGGTAAATGCTATACAAGTGCCAGCTAGAAAAATCCCCATTCACAAACTTACAGTACTTTCTACTCATTTGCCTTTATTGTTGGGTCTAATTTGGGTGATTTTTGGCCTTTGCTGTACAGGCAGAAGTTGTTACGAATAAAAGTTGTCTTTTTCTAACTATTCTTTCTTTATTACTCTGCTCTTTTGGTTTCACTCAGTTTTCTCCTTTCTCTGATAAATAAGAGAAAAGTTGCAAAAGGCATTGCTTCCCTTTTGTGATTCTAGTATGGCAAACATCAAGAGGAAGATCTACATGCTAGAAGTGAGTGACCAGAAGATGAAATGACTGTTATTTTCTGGTAAGATGTGGACTATCCAAATATTTGAAATATCCAG
This sequence comes from Homo sapiens, assembly GCF_000001405.40. Classification (NCBI taxonomy): domain Eukaryota; kingdom Metazoa; phylum Chordata; class Mammalia; order Primates; family Hominidae; genus Homo; species Homo sapiens. The sequence continues at coordinate 11,436,983 of NC_000009.12, forward strand.
CATAACCCTAGATAACTTACTATATAAAATAAATAATTATACATTATTTATTTTAATATAAATAGTAAATAAATATACTTAATGTTTTAATATAAATATTAAATCAATATTATGAAAACATATTATTTATTATTTATTTTAAATATCCAGTATACTCTTAGATAACTTACTATCTAAAATAGCTATTTAACTATTGCTTGAAGCCACTATTGCAGGACTTAATGTTATTTGCAGGATATAAAATCCTGATAGATATTTTGATACCAGAAGTGACTGTTGCAAGTAACAGAACCTACAATGTTATTTATTTGATTGGTTAGGTAAGGAACTTTATAGTGAGTATCCTAAATCATCAGGCTGAGAGATAAGAGACCCGTTTGTAGAAGTGACAAAATATTTGGTAAAATATCTGATTGCTATACCCTGTAAACAGAACACTTTTCTTCTGTGATGTTAGGGGAAATTGGTGTGTATCTTATTCTGGTAAAATCCTTATGAGAGAACAATGAATTCAAGCCAGAGCCAGATATATATATATATATATATATATATATATATATATATATATATATATATATATATACATATGTGTATATTATACACTATATAGCCACTTTAAATATACATATGTGTATATATGTGTAAAAAGTACATTAGCCACTTTATATATACATATGTGTCTTCCCTCATTAAATAATAATTTGTAAATATTCTAAGATCAGAATAATTGTCCACTGGTGTTCTTCAAATCAACAGAGACTATTACACTGGAATCAATTGACATGAATTGAGGTAGTTCTTAATGAGCATGTACAATGTAAAATGACGAAAATCTTGAAAAGTCACTCCAAATGTGATTTGTACAACCTAAAAGTACACTTCTTTTTTATTCATATTCTCTGTACTTCTGTTTGTGGTTTTGCTCCAGAAAGTCACAGAACAAAAGTTTCACAACAGGGAGAGGAATGCTGATAAGGCTCATAAGGCTAATTTTCAGAAAATATTTCCCAGAACCACTCCTAATAAAGACATTTTGGGGAAAGCTTTAATCTTACTAATATGGTATGACTCTATGTCCCAACTCAAATCTCATGTTGAATTATGATTTTGAGTGTTGGTGGAGGGACCTTGTGGGAGGTAATTACATCTTGGGAGTGGATTTCTCCCTTGCTGTTGTCATGACAATGAGTGAGTTCTCATGAGATCTGGTTGTTTTTAAGTGTGTAGCACTTTTCTTTCTCTTTCTCTCTCTCTCTCTCTCTCTGCCACCATGTGAAGATATGCTTGCTTCCCCTTTGCCTTCCACCATGATTATCAGGTTACTAAGGCCTCCCCAGTCATGCCTCCTGTACAGCCTGCGGAACTGTGAATCAATTCAACCTCCTTTCTTTATTAATTACACAGTCTCAGGTAGTTCTTTAAAGTAATATGAGGATGGACTAATACAGAAAATTGGTACCAGAGAAGTGAGGCATTGCTATAATGATATCTGAAAATGTGGAAGCAGCTTTGGAACTGGATAACAGGCAGAGGTTAGAACAGTTGGAGGGCTCAAAAGAAGACAGGAAGATAAGGGAAAGTTTGGACCCTCCTAGAGACTTGTTGAATGGTTGTGATCAAAGTGCCGTTAGTGATATGGACAGCGAAGTCAGGCTGTGGTGGTCTCAGATGGAGATGTGGAACTTATTGGGAACTGGAACAAAGGTCACTCTTAGTAGAGAGACTGGAGGCATGGTGCCTATTCTCTAGAGATCTGTGAAGCTTTGAACTTGGGAGAGATAACTTAAGGTATCTGCAGGAAGAAATTTCTTTCTTTTCTTTTTTTTTTTTTTTTTTTTTTGAGACGGAGTTTCATTCTTGTTGCCCAGGCCAGAGAGAGAGAAATGGCGTGATCTTGGCTCACCACAACCTGCACCTCCCAGGTTCAAGTGATTCTCCTGCCTCAGACTCCCAAGTAGCTGGGATTACAGGCATGTGCCACCACGCCCAGCTAATTTTGTACTTTTAGTAGAGACAGGGTTTCTCCATGTTGGTCAGGCTGGCCTCGAATTCCTGACCTCAGGTGATCCACCTGCCTTGGCCTTCCAAATTGTCGATATTAGAGGCGTGAGCAACCGTGCCCAGCCTGGAGGAAAAAATTTCTAAGCAACAAAGTATTAAAGATGCAAAATGGCTGCTTCTAATTGTGTATGCTCATATGTGTAACCAAAGAGATTATCTTAAACTGGAACTTATATTTGAAAGGGAAGCGAAACATGAAAGTTTGGAATATTTGCAGCCTCACCATGTGGTAGAAAAGAAAAACTTGTTTTCCAGGGAGATACTCAAGCCAGCTACAGAAATTTGCATAAGGGGACCTGAATGTTAACAGTGGATAATGCCTCCAGGGCAAGTCAGTGACCTTCATGGTAGCCCCTCCTAGCAGAAGCCTAGAAGCCTAAGGAGAAAAAATAATTTCATGGGCCAGGCCCAGGGTCCCACTGCTTTTTGGAGCCTTGGGACATGGTACCTTGCTTCCCAGCCACTCCAGCTCCAGCCACGGCTAAAAGGGGCCACGGTACATTTTGGACCATTGTTTCAGAGGGTGCAAGCCCCAAGCCATGGCAGCTTCCACATGGTGTTGCTTCTGTGGGTGCACAGAAGTCAGGAATTGAGGTTTGGGAGACTCTGCCTAGATTTCAGAGGATGTACGGAAATGCCTGGATGTTTAGGCAGAATTCTTCTGCAGGAGTGGAATCCAAATGGAGAACCTCTACTAGGGCAGTGCAAAGGGGAAATGTGGGGTTGGGTCCCCCACACAGAGTTCCCACTGGGGCACTGCCTAATGGTGCTGTGAGAGGAGGGCCACTGTCCTCCAGACCCCAGAATGGGAGATCCACCGACAGCTTGCACCATACGCCTGGAAAAGCTGCAGGCACTCAATGCCAGCATGGGAAAGTGGCCATGGGGGTGCTGTACCCTGTAGAGCCATAGGAGTGCAGCTGCCCAAAGCCTTGGGAGCCCATCCCTTGCATCAGCGTGCCCTGAATGTGAGACATGAATTAAAGGACATTATTTTGGAGTTTGGAGCTTTAAGATTTAATGACTGCCCTGCTAGGTTTCAGACTTGCATAAGACCTGTAGCCCCTTTGTTTTGGCTGACTTCTCCCATCTGGGGTTGGGGCATTTACCTAATGCGTGTACCTCCATTGTATCTTGGAAGCAACTACCTTGTTTTTGATTTCACAGGCTCAGAGGCGGAAGGGAGTTTCCATGAGACTTTTGACTTCGACTTTTGAATGGTGATATGAGTTAAGACTTTGGGAGACATTTTTGGAAGGCATAATCATGTTTTGAAATGTGAGAAGGACATGGGGTTTGGGAAGGGCTAGAAGTGTAATGATATAGATTGGCTCTGTGATCCCACCTAATGTTGAATTGTGATCCCGAGTATTGGAGCTGGGGCTTGGTGAGAGGTGATGGATCACGGATACAGATTTTCTCTTTGCTGTTCTCATGAGATTGAGTGATGTCTCATGAAATCTGATTGTTTAAAAGTGTATAGCACTTCTCTCTTTACTCTCTCTCTTCTGCCATGATGTGAATATGTTCTTGCTTCCCCTTCATCCTTCTGTCATAATAAGTTTCTGGAGGCCTCCCCAGCCATGCTTCCTTTATAGCCTGTAGAACTGTGAGTCAATTAAACTTTTCTTCTTTATAAATTACCCAGTCTCAGGTAGGTTTTTATAGCAATGTGAGAACAGACTAATATACTTACCAAACAGCACTGATTTTCTGTGTTACTGTAAAGCAGCTCTAAGAACAGAAACTCCAGTTCTTGATGGGGGGTGGGGTGAGTATTACTTTAAGGAGAATACTAAGATTTATGATTTGGCCATAGAAGATACAGAGCCCTTTCCTTGAGAGAATATCTAAAGTTCCTAAGACTAGATCAAATGATGTCCCACTGAGAGGTAAAGTGATATATATGCATATTCTTTAAAAGTAGTACTCTGGAAATGTGAGAAAGATTGAGAAAAGAGCTATCCTGGTTATGTAGATAGAGAAGTTTAGTTAATAATGGATACTCTTCTAAGGAACTATATCAGAGACCTAGAAATATAAGGAGAAAGGAGCAGAATCAGCGTACACAGATTACAGGAGATGACAAGGGGAGAAAGTAAAGTAGAGACTTTCATTTTTGGTCCTGTAGAATGAAGCTGTGTATGCCATGGCTTTTTTACTATATCCAAAAATGAAATATTACAGGAGTTTTAAAAAAACTCTCCTATAGCAGGAAACCAATGTCATGGAGAAGACATCCTAAGGATGCAGAGTGCATGACTGGAGACTAAGATGGAAGAACAAACCTTGATTGTGTGGAAAATATATCCGGCATTCTTCAGTAATGAAAAATGCAGTGAAATCATCACCAGTACTCTTTCTGGGACTCCTAATGAAGATGTACTCATCTTGCATGCCCACTCTGCTCTGAGCCCAGGAGATTGACCCACATTTTTAACTTTTGGTTGGTTTACCGGGTGCAGTCATCGCCAGGAGACTGGAAAGCTAGCTACAGGACAGAGTGGTTAGGGTGCTACACTCTCTTGCTTTCTCCCTGTAAAGTCACAATAGGTTGGCTTCTTTCTTGCTCAAAGACCACAAATTTTATTGGGTTGTTTTCTTCAACAGCCATCATCTCTGGGAATCATACTGTTCTTCCTCACCTAGAGATAGGATGAGCTTTCCACAACCTTAAATATTAGAGATGCTACACATACTGTGTTATTTGTTAAATGTGCAGGAATAAATATTCTGGAGACCTAGAATGAATAAAAAATTCTGGTAACCCCAGTGGAAAATCACCAGTGTCTAAGAAATTTTGGAGATATGTAGAATGTACTTGAATGATTAGAATTAGATTACCATGATTTAGTCCAAGAAAACATCTGTATCAATGGTTCTTTGAAGATATTGGAATGTAATGGGAAGAACATGCAGTTTTGACAGAATGGCTACATAAGAATTAGAGAAGAACAGAGATGGTATTTAAGAGGTGCATCTGCAAAACAGCGTTTGATTTGTGAATAAAATGAAATTTACTGTGTGAAATTTGTGACCAGAGGAAATAACCTTCCACGGATTGAATTGCTTATTTTTAGCAGTACTGAGTGAAGCCAACTTTGGGATTAAATGAACCAGTCTCCTGAATTATTTGAATTACCTTGGGTTACAAGTGGTTGTTGAAGCAACGGATTTCTCTCCTCAACTCTTGGCACTATTAGACTGGTTACTTATTCAGAATACTCAGAATGTAGGATCACAAATCAATAATATCCAGTCTTGTCAGTTGGGAGGAGATATGGGTAATTTGTGTAAGAAAGCTAGAAAATTTAGGAGGAAAAACAAAACAAAGGAAATTCATTATGAAAGACTTCAACATAAAGATGAAAAATGTCAAGTGATAAAGCAAAGTAATTAAGTTCTTAAATAATATTGATTCAAGTAAAGACGGCATTTAATCACTGAGAACCACATCTATGGCTGACAATGTAGAATACGGCTGAATCTGGTTTGCCTGTTCCATACAGATCTCAAAGCCTCCAGAGACCTAAACCCACTGACACCATAATTGCTTTGAAGAACAATGGAGAAATCTGAATGGGAATAAAAGTGACATAGTCTTATAACCTAAGCATGGGTTTTCAATGAGTTTCTGCATGGATTTGGGTTCTGACCATCTGATATCATCTGTAGAGAGAAAGTATCTTCTGACTGCATAGGGTTAAGCATAAATAGTAAACCGAAGTGACTTCAAGGAAAAACAGTGGCAGCATAAACTGAACGTACTCCAGTTTCTTCTACTGCTGTCTTCAGAAGTTGACTGAACCACTAATCTTTAGAATTGAGAGAGCTATGAGTTCTTAGCCATTTTGTAAGGAGTTGAACAGCTTCATTAAATACTGATAGCGATCAGAGGCAGCCAAATCCCTAGCCAGATAGGGGCAAGTAGCCTGTAAAACCCCACCTCCAAGCTGAAGACAGTTTGAAGCCTGTAAGCCAAGCTACAAATTAAATCCTTGGACCAGACTGAGAAGTTGTCTTCCTTTTTGGCATGCATCCCTCTGATTTTTACCCCCTGCTTCACTCTATTTTACATATACCTACCATTTCCTAATTGGATTTCTACACTGTTGTGCCGACTTTTGAGTGGTGTCTTTGCTTTAACCTTTTTTGCATACTAACAAACCAATCAGAATGCACTCCCCATCCTGTGCCTATATAGACCTCAGACTCAGGTGGTGGAGGAGGAGATGGCCTGACTTCGGGGAAGAGACAGCATAACTTTGGGGAAGATGACCTGCCTTTCCCATCCTCTCTCCAGCTCCCCTCTCTGCTGACAGCCATTTTCATGGCTCAGTAAAATTCTCTGCCTTCACCATCCTTCAATCATCCATGTGACCTCATTATTCTTGGACACTAGACAAGAGCTCGGGAACCACCAAGTGCACGTACCCAAGAAAGGCTGTCAAACTAGCCCTTTTCTCTAACTGGTGGATGACAGCCACCCTATGTGACAAGGCAAGAGGCCAACTGAGCTGCTAACATGCCACTGTCCATTGGACTGTGACACTAAATAAGCACTGTAACACCCACTCTGGGGCTTCAGGGTCATGGGCACCCTCACCTGGGCACCACCACATTCCCCTCAAGGCTATGCACCTGGTCTGGCTACAGGCCCCACACAGAGCTTTCTTTCTCCTGTGTCAGCACTGAGAGGCTGGCTGGATCCCACACTTGCTTGCTCACATGCTTCCTCCCACAAGCAGTTGAGCACAGTGGGCTGAGTGGATGAGAAGCATCTGCTGTGAGTCTGGTGAAGGGTCTGACAAAAATCCTGCATCAATACCACACTTCATGCTAATATGATGGATGGGAGCTACAAAGGCAAAGGATGCATCATTCAGTTTTTAATCATATTTTGTGGAATTTTGGAATGTAGTAGCAAGTATCCAAACAGATGTAAAAAGAAGGGGAAAAAGAGTATGGCCCAAGAACATGTTGGGAGACTGGAGCCTGTATAGAAAAGGAAGCAAGTTTTAATGCTAGAAGCAGAAATGATGAGGAAACTTTTAAAAACAGAGTGTCAGAGTGTCTCATTTTAAGATTAAAGTTTGGTGAAGCAATGCCATATCCTTCTTATTCTGAAATACTCAAAGTTCCTTTTTATTTGAGTCATACTTGAGGAGAAAAGGGGTCATAGTGGTCTTCAACAGGCTGTCATAACACAAAAAGAGATAAAATATTTCTTAAGAAAAAAGAAAGTGAATATTTATAATCTCATGGACTTTGGGACAAAACTTCTTAAAATAATTATTGTTTTGTATCCATTGCCCAGAGTATCCCCTGGCGATATTGAGAGGACTCCTGTGTTTTCCACGATATGAAAGATAAAGGACAAACCAGTTTTAATTAAATCTTAAAGTACTGAATAGCTTTAAGTAGCTGGAGGGTTTAGGGTCATTGAGGAGAAAGACACGTCAGTTACATTTGTATTAGTACACCTTAGAGGTATTTTCCAGTAAAGATTTTTTTAGTGGTAAGAGTGAAATCATATTTCACAAGTTGAGTAGGTGAAAATTGCAGAATGAAAATTTATTCGCTACTCTCTAAGGAGATTCTAAATAGGCTATAAATGGCTTAAAAAGGTGAAGTTTAACTACAGAAAGGTGCAGCTCAATCAAATTAAACATTTACATTAAAGATAATTTAAGTGATTAATTTATAGGTCATTCTTTTTTTTAAATAGGCATTGCTAATTTATCTTTTCAATATACTTTGGCAATAGAGATGAATGTGGAATGGTTTCTTTTGAGCAATACATTGTACAGAATAAGAAATAGATACATAAGCGAGTGCTTACATAAAAAAAAAAAAGGTCTCAATGTCCTAGTAATTATGCAGATGCAGAGCATGGTAGTACTGGGGGAAGAGCAACTAATGCTGCATTGAGATGTGAATAAGCCACTCCCATTAGAGTAGAGTCTTGACAGGAGAAGAAGTGGAAATTCACTGAGCAAGTAGAAAGGAAGACATTTCACGCAGAGGGAACCCACTATGCCAAGAGGAAGGAAGCCTGTAGAACTCTGACACTTACAGGAAGAAGAAAATAATTTAGTATCAAGAGGGAGTAGTGGTGAAAATGATGTAGGAAAGTTAGGCTGAGACATTTCTATAGGACTTTGCGGACTGGGCTGGCAAGTTTGAACTTTACTTTTGGACCACTGAAGTTTGAAGAGGCAAGATGGTAGTGATACATTACAGAACTATGCTTTAGCCAAAAGTGGGTTTGAACATTGTTTTGATCAGCTCATTTAAAAAAATAAAGGGCCAGGTGTGGTGGCTTATGCCTGTAATCCCAGCACTTTGGGAGGCTGAGGTGGGTGGATCACCTGAGGTCAGGAGTTCAAGACCAACCTGGCCAACATGGTGAAATCCGTGTCTCTACTAAAAATACACGAAAGAAAAAATTAGCCTGGCATGGTGGTGGGTGCCTGTAATCCTAGCTACTCGGGAGGCTGAGGCAAGAGTATTGCTTGAACCTGGGAGGCAAAGGTTGCAGGGAGGTCGAGGTTGTAGTGAGCCAAGATTGTGCCATTGCACTCCAGCCTGGGCAACAAGAGCAAAACTCCTTTATATTATAATAATATAAATAATATTTATTCTTATTATTATCAATTAAAAAAATAAAATAGCCTTCAAAGATTCAGTGGATTAGAGCTCTAGAATTTTATTTATTGCTCATGTAACATGTCTAGATGGGCATTCAGGTCAGCAGGGCAGCTCACCTCCAAACTATCATGGAGAGCCTCCTTCTATCTTGAGCCTCTGCCATCTTCAGAGGCTGGGTATATTCTGAACCTAGCTGGTAGAAGCAGAAAGAGAACATGAAGGAGACATACTCCCTCTCCTAAAATGTCCAGTCAAGAATTGGCACATATTACTCTCACTGATTTGTCTATAGTAATGATGCCATACCTAATTGCAAAGTAAATTAAAGAATGTATTGTTGTTTTATGTTCAGAGTAAAAAGACTTAGAGCATGCAGATAAAATTCAAATATATTACATACACTTAAATAAATATATATGATTTCTGACTAAAGATATCTCATGATTAATGCACTCATTGGTAAGAAAACTAAAATACGGAATATTGAAGATAGATATTTGAAATTGGTGGCAATAAACTGGAAAAGGTTGGACATCCCTAGCCTTGCTGTACTTAGATAAAGGAGTATTTTCAGTCAAATATTTGCTTAAAATGCAGTATATAGATCCTTTCAAACATTTCTCTGAAGGGCCCTTTCATCCAGTGACCTCTGAAAAGGCTTTTGGGCCCTAGCACAAACTTAAAATGAATATGACACACTTATAGACTGGGGATGACTCAGGCAAAGGTAAGAGAGCATATGAGTTCACAAGCAGTGAACAGAATGGGCATCTCTTATTTGTGAAAATCAGTGTTTTTTAGGTGAACTTGAAAACTGCTAAAAAAAAAAAAAAAAGGAACCATCTTACTTTCTGCCGACAGTATGTGAAATGATGAGAAGATTTTTTAAAAAATAAGAAAGTAATCTTTTGAAAGAATTTTAAAGTACTGTGGATGGCAGAGTATACAAAAATCCTCTTGACCTGAATAGACACTGAGAAGAAAGCAGTTTCCCCATGGAGTCTTTTAGCTATGGAAAATATTTACGAAACAACTCAGTAGTTATATTCTATACGGGTGACAGACCTGACACTAGTCACCTGAGCAAAACCAACTCCTTTCATCTCCCCATCTTCATTCACCACACTTCACAATACTACCAGCTACCTGTGGTTATCATCTGTAGCAAACTTACCTGATGCATTAGTATCTTTGGGATATGCATAGATCTCATATTATATACAATTTAATCTTAAAGAACTGTTTAGCACAATTTGACTTCATAGTAAAAATAGTTATTGCTTTAATTTAAGTCTCCATTTTCTCTCACTTGTCTTACTAGAGTAACTTAGTACTTGGCTCACTTTATTCCAATTCATTATACACATTACTTCCAGAGTAAATATCCTAACGTATGATTTTGATCATTTCACTGCCCAGAATAAAACTTTTCTGTGTCTTTCTATTGCCTACAGGCTATACTCTTCTACACACCATATATATTTCTTTATTATCCAAACCCTGACTACCTTTTCTGTTTTACCTCTTCTGCTTTTCCCATTGGTATGTTATGCTACAATTATGCTGAAATATTTTCTCAAATAGACCAGATTCTTTTCTACTTCTATATGATTATGGATTCTTTTGATTACTCAATTCTTATCCACATTATTAATATAATAGTATCTACATCAACATTTATTTGAAATATCCATTTCCAGAAAACTTTCTCTGTTCTTTACAGTCTGAATGGGATTCCCCTTCTAGATACTGCCACATTACCAAGTACCTATTTTTCATTGATCTTTTAGGTGCTGCTATAACTACTGGTTTAACTATCAATCTTCCACTTTAACTTTTAAGCTCTTTGGAGGTGGGGCCTATCCCAGTTTTCTTCCTCTTTTTATGTAGCCCCAGTATCTGGTACAGTATATGATATGTAGTACACATTTGATATATATTTGTTGAATGATTTGTGTTCAATGTAGTAGATACAGAGATTTGCCTTCATATAAGAATTGTTGCCCAGATGTCATCAAACAGCCTCTGGCTGTTTCCTTCAGGATGCACCTTTACCACAGAGAGCTTCCTAAGGACATATCTTTCCTAGTGTGATCTACATCCAATGACTCATGAAGCGGTTGTTATAAAGTCCTGGCAAATTGATCTAGGGAGGAATATCCTGATGGACCATGAATCTTCCTTCATGGTGATCACTGAAGCTTGTTAGGCCTGCAGAGCTGAAGGATTTTTTCCTGCTACTCCATACTGCTTCCATCTCTTTCTTTACACAGATTTTTAGCTCTAATTACTAGTCTGCCCATGAAACTACATCTTATCCTTTGTATTTGGATAGCACAGCTACAACAGTTGATACCAGGAGTGGTCTCAGAAAGCAGGCAGCGAGATAGAGTTTGCAAGGTGGATAACTTCACTTGTTCCTGGTTGGAAATGAGGACCTTATCACTACTAGTTGATTGAACTTAGAAAGCCCTTGGCATAAATTCTAATTGTGAAAATCTTTACCCGTGGTAAATTGTGATGTTGTATAGGTAGAAGGCCTGTACTAGCTGGTTCTAATTATTAGGAATATCAGAATTACAAGGAAATTATAATGATAAGGGCAATGGAATTGGATGGCTAAACACCATTGATACAAAAGAAAAAAAATGCTTCTGGTTATTGGTAGACAGGTAAATGTCAATTTTGAAAGTCAAAAGATATCCTTGGTAGAATAGAAAGAGGCTTTGAAAGCTGAGGATGAGGATAAGGATTTAAAAGAGAGAGCAAACGCTGGAGAAAGGTGAATGCCTAACCAATGCTAGGACAATTATAGCATATCAGGGCCTTAGTTATGACAAATAGGGACTGTGTTATTTAATAAAGATATATTTAGGGGATTCCTCACAACATTTTGAATTACCTGAACACTTTGATCCTGTTTATCAAGCACTATCACTCTAACTTATTGAAGACAATAAGGAAGGCTCTCCCCCGTAAGAAAACACATATCTCCTTAGGATCTGCCGCCACCTCTGCTTCTGGCTACTAGACCTAATACTATGATTAAGTTTATCATAGCCCTGTTGAGAACATGCTGAGACTGATAAAGAAAGAACGAGCCTGTACCCCAATGAAGGTGTAGGTCCTAATTAGCATGTACCAGCATAGAGTGGAGGAGTATGTACAGATTGGGTTCTGAGGAAGTTTGATCGAGGGAGATGGGGCAAATAAATCAGCATAAGGGAGAGATTATTGATTAAAATCACTATCTTAAGTTGTAGGATTTAACTGCCTGCTAAGGACTCCCCAAATTCTCTTAGAAATATGGACAAAAGTCTAGACCATTTATGTGCAGCGAAAATGCCAGAAGTTCCATGGTTGATGGGTTAGCAAAGGACTAAAAGACACAGTGGGAGATACATCACAGCATTACATCCATGATATGGCCTAGATAATGCATGATTTATTGAAACCCCAAGAAACATGCTGGTGAGAAGGGTGTTAATCATAACTCAGAAGTCAATGGTGACTCTCATTCCTCAGTGGAAGTAACCATTACAGAATTAGATTAGCTGACAAGAATGGGGATAATAGGATCCCAAAACAATAATGGCAAAATGCAATGTTTACCTGTCAGAAGATAGATGGACTGAAATTTAATATTAGCAGCATGTTTAAATTGCAGATAAGGACTATAATTTTCTCTATGGAAAGTTATAGAGATGGGATAATAAACTTAATGCCCCTAGGGGAAAAAGTAAATGGGCAGCCAATAAGGACACTATCAAAACAAAATCAGGGATGAAATATGAGGTAGCTAGGGAAGTTAATCCCCCAAAAGCAAAAACAAAAGTCCCCCAAATCTTGCCAGTTTTCATACCTAGAACCTATTGACTGAAGATTTTGCTGGGTCTCCTGGAGGAAGAATTCTGCAATACCGGGGAAAAGACTTCAATAGTAATAATTCTACAAATGTGTCCCCAAAGTTTCCTATAGTTATTTATTTAGATGAATGTACGCTGGTGAATGAAGGAATATCCAAACTTATTGAAGAATGTTAGTTAAAACATTGACGTTGATACATGTTGACTTGATGCATCATTATGTCTGTCTCCCTCTTTTCTTCTAGTAAGGGCATCAATTCCCTTAAGAGGGCTTCATCTTCATGACCTAATTACATCCCAAAGGCCTTTCTTCCTAATACCGTCATATTTGCAAGCTAGAATTGTAACACAGGAATTTGAGGATGGGAAGGCCAAAACATTAAGCTTATAGCAGCATCCATTGGCACTACCCCTTATTTCAGCCAAAGTAATAATTTAAAAGTAATAATTTAAAAGTAATATTATACTCCAAGGGAATGAAAAAAAATAGCTCTGTTCTCAAGGATCTAAAATATGCAGAAGTGGTAATCTTCATTTCATTCAACAGACTAATTGGGTCAGATGAGCAAACAAGTGGCTAGTTCACTGTAGGTTTTGCTAAGATACATGCATTGCAATAAATGATAGATCCCACAAAGATTCAGGAGCCTTCAACATCCGTACATTTTTTAGGAATTTAGTGATCATTAGCATGCTAGAACATCCATCCCAAAGTAAAGGACAAACAATGGCAGGTTGTAGCTCCAGTCGTGATTAAGAAAATGTATTAACTGTTAGGCCTCTTCAGGTTTGAGAGCAGAAACTTCTACACTGGGTAATACTGTCCAGGGTAGTACACTATGTGACACAAAACTCTACTAGTGTGAAGTGGGCCCAAAATAGGAAAGAGCTCTGCAGCATATCCATATATGTTCTCATAGACCCTGTGATATTAGAGGTAGCAGTACTGCCAGGATTAAATATCTTGTGGAACTCATGGAAAGTGCTTGTGAAATAATCACAACAAAGGCTTCTGGGGTTTTAGAGTAAGGCCATGCTACCTGCAACAAAGTATTATAGGCCTTTTGAGAAACAATTTCTAGCATGCTCTGCTGGAGACATAGTTGCCTGATATGGTTTAGCTGTGTCCGCACCCAAATCTCATATTGAATATAGTTCCCATAATCCCCACTTGTTGTGGGAAGGACCTGGTGGGAGATAATTGAATCATGGGGGAGATTACCCTCATGCTGCTGTTCTCATTATAGTGAGTGAGTTCTGATGAGATCTGATGGTTTTATAAGGGGCTTTTTCCCCTTTTGCTTGGCACTTCTCTTTTCTACAATTATGTGAAAAAGGACATGTTTGCTTTCCCTTCTGCCATAATTGTGAGTTTCCTGAGGCCGCCCCAGCCATGTGGAACTTTGAGTTAATTAAACTTCTTTCCTTTATAATTTACTAGGTCTTGGGTACTCCTTTATAGCAGTGTGAGAATGGACTAATGCAGTAAATTGGTACTGGGTATTGGGGCACTGCTGTAAAGATATTAAACAATGTGGAAGCAACTTTGGACCTGGGTAACAGGCAGGGGTTGGAACAGTTGGAGGGCTCAGAAGAAGACAGGAAAATTGGGGAATGTTTGGACATTCCTGGAGACTTGTTGAATGGCTTTGAACAAAATGCTGATAGTTATATGGACTCTGAAATCCAGGCTGAGGCGGTCTCAGATGGAGATGAGGAACTTGTTGGGAACTGAAATAAAGATGACTTGCCATGTTTTAGCAAAGAGAGTGGTGGCATTTTGCCCCTGCCCCAGAGATCTGTGGAACTTTGTACATGAGAGACATGATTTAGTGCATCTGACAGAAGACATTTCTAAGCAGCAAAGCATTCAAGATGTGACTTGGGTGCTGTTAAAAGCATTCAGTTTTATGTATTCACAAAGATATAGTTTGGAATTTGAACTTGTGTTTAAAAGGGATACAGGGCATAAAAGTTTAGAAAATTTGCAGCCTGATGATGTTATAGAAAAGAAAAACCCATTTTCTGTGGCGAAATTTAAGCCAGTTGTAGAAATCTGCATGAATAATGAGAAGCCAAATGTTAATTGCCAAGACAATGTAAAAAATGTTTCCAGGCCATGTCACAGGTCTTCATGGCAGCACCTCCCACAACAGGCCCAGAGGCCTAGCAGGGAAAAATGGTTGCATGGGCCAGACCCAGGGCCTTGCTTCCTTGTGCAGTCTTGAGACTTGGTGGCCTGCATCCAGCCAGTGGCTAGAAGGGGCCTAGGTACACTTTGGGCTGTGGCTTCAGAGAGTGCAAGCCCCAAGCCTTGGCAGTGTCCATGTGGTGCTGAGCATGCGGGTACAGAGAAGTCAAGAATTGAAGTTTGGGAACCTCTGCCTAAATTTCAGAGGATGTATGGAACTGTCCAGGCAGAAGTTTGCTGCAGGGGCAGAGCCCTCATGGAGAACCTCTGCAAGGGCAGTGCATAAGGGAAATGTGGAGTTGAAGCCCCAACACAGAGTTCACAGTTGGGCACTGACTAGTGGAGCTGTGAGAAAAGGGCCACCATCCTTCAGACCCCAAAATGGTAGATCTAGCTAGAGCTTGCACTATGCACCTGGAAAAGCCACAGACACTCAATGCCAGTCCATGAAGGCAGCTGGGAAGGAGGCTGTACCCTGCAAAGCCACAGGGGTGGAGCTACCTAAAACCATGGGAACCACCTCTTGCATCAGCATGACCTGGATGTGAGACAGGGAGTCAAGGGAAATCATTTTAGAGTTTTAAGATTTGACTGCCCTGCTGGATTGTGGACTTGTGTGGGGCCTGCAGCACTTTCATTTTGACCAATTTCTCCCATTTGGAGCATGTGTATTTGCCCAATGCCTGTATCCCCATTGTAGCTAGGAAGTAATTAACTTGCTTTTGATTTTACAGGCTCATAGGCAGAAGGGACTTGCCTTGTTTGAGATGAGATCCTAGACTTGGACTTTTGGGTTAATGCTGGAATTAGTTAAGACTTTGGGGGACCGTTGGGAAGGAAAAATTTTCTTTTGAAATGTGATGACATGAGATTTGGGTGGGGCCAGGATTGGAATGATATGGTTTCTCTGTGTTCCCACCAAAATCTCATCTTGAATTATAGTTCCCATAACCCCATGTGTCATGGGGGGGACCCAGCGGGAAGTAATTAAATCATGGGAGTGGTTACTGCCATGCTGCTATTCTCATGACAGTGAGTGAGTTCTCTCAAGATCTGATGGTTTTATAAGCGGCTTTTCCCTCTTTGGCTCAACACTTCTCTTTCCTGTCATTATGTGAAGAAGTTACGTGTTTACTTCCCCTCCTGCCATGATTGTAGCTTTCCTGAGAAACCTACATGCAGACATGCAGAGCTGTGAGACAGTAAAACCTCTTTCCTTTATAAATTACCCAATCTCAGGCAGTCCTTTATAAAAGAATGAGAATGGCCTAATACAGTGCCTAGTCATGAGATAGCAAGAGACCACTCCACTGAAAGAGTCCCAAGATCCCAAGAAGATATTGTCAGGTGTGTAAATTTTTATGATTTTTCAGGCATATTCAGCAGCAACTCAGCACAATATGAAAGTCATACCTCTGGAATCAGATATGAATAGAACCAGAGCTCACAAGCAAGTTGCATAAGCATGTAGGCCAGATCCACATGTTATCCACCACTGTTGCACTAGTACTCCTCTCTCAGCTCCCACCTCTGGCATAGGAAGGACTATTTGACCAGTGATGGAGGAGGTAAAATCTGAAGCTTTCTTGAAGGATGTGCCAACAATGGATGGCAATTTCACCATAGCCTTACTCAGGAATGGCCTTTAAAATCAATGGTGAAATAAAATTCTTCAAATGAACTGCTTTATGCTCTCCATCTGCCAACCTAGTTTGCAAAAAAAGAAAGGTGGCCTGAGGTTAAAATATATATGATGTCATGGGCAGTGGCAAGTGGCCTGTGTGACTTTTCATAACTCTGGGAAAAGAAAGTTTGGAATCTGTCCACACTATGTGCATAGGGCAGACAAGGGAGTGGACACAAAGTGTGATGATCTTTTTATCAATGCACAGCATAAAGCATTCAACAAAGATATAATATGCTAATTGGTTTCAGGGAGCCTCAGTCATTAGCCCTTCAAGTATTGGCACATTAGCAACATAAGCTGAGTGGACACACTGAGAGAGATGGAGGCTACTTATGGGACCAGTAACATGAGCTCCAACTTACTGACGGTCATTTAAATACATCTGATACTGAATAACCCATCTCGCAGCAACAGAGACTAATATTTAATGCCCAATATGGCATTATTCCACAAGGAGACCAACTGTCCATTTCATGGAGACTTATACAGTTGAACCCTTTGATCCTGGTAGGGCCAAATATTTGTTCTGGTAGGAAATGACAGAAGGCTTGGGTTTCCACAACTTCTGGGCCTCAGCCAGCACCATGGTCTGAGAGCTTATGGCTAATCCACTGGAATGGAATTCTATGCAATTCCATTGCATAGGAATAGTGCAGGGAGCATATATTGTTTGAATAAGCTGGACAAAGAGATGATCCAAGAAGGGATGGTGCAAAATTTCATTATGTTACTCAGAACAGTGCACAATTTAAAACTTATGAATTATTTATTTCTGGAATTTTCCATTTATTATTTACAGTCCATAGTTGGCTATAGGTAACTTAAAGTGAACAAGCAAAAGAGGTATGAGAGTGAGTCAAGTTACATGGGACCTACTGGTTGCATGAAATACCATACAACCCATTTGTATTGGCCTGATAGCTTATGAGTATGATCTCCTGAATTTGCAGTTGAAGTGTCAGCTTTGAGATGATACCATACAAATTAGAGGCACCATCTTTTGGATGTAGTATATACACTGACTCAAAATCCTCATATGTTGCTGTGTATTAAAAAATATATGGATCCCTATAATTCTGTCTCTGCAGTGCTATGGGTCCGGGTCTGCACATTTGACATACTTCTGCTAGGAAATTCAGCAAAATTCACATTGGACTTAAAAATTAAGGTGGCCCCCTGAGCACTGCAAGTTCCTTTTCTAAGGACAAAAAGTCAAACAAAGGAACCATCACTTTGGCAGTGGTAACTGATAATAATCACCAGGTTGTAAGACTACTGTTACTCAATGAGGACAGAGAAAAGTATATGTACATTCAATTGATGTACTACGTTCTCTTGACCAATAATTATAGCACAAAATGGGTAAGTACTTGAGAAAGGCATGGCAATCAGAGACTCAAGCCCCTCAGGGATAAAAATCTGATTTCTACCACTAGTAATGTCACTAAGACTAGCAGAGGTGATAGCTGAGGATAAAGAAAATCTAGAATTGATGGCAATTGATTAAGGCAATAATTATTGGTTGTGATTCTGAGACCAGTGAAATGCTGCAATGACTAGGGCTGTAGGTTATTCAACTGACTTACTATTTCCTTGTTTCCCCCACATAGAGGTCCACTGGAATCCTAGAGAAGCTGCACCCTGAATGGATATAAAGAAGTAGACCCAAGCTAAAAGGGTGGACTGTATTGGACATTGATATTAGTAGTAAGACCCCTCTTTGAGGGAGGAATTACCGCTCTAACAGCATATATCCTCAAATTGTTAACAACATCAGCCTTTACTTCAGCTCTAGAAAGCCAATTTGCCCGCGGGTGCTCATTTCCTGGAGTAGCCCATTTTATGACTGATTATGGTGGTTATATAAATACAGAGAAATGAAGGTTTGGACATTTCAGTCCAACATATAACACTCTGATGAACTATAAAGCTCCAGAACTCTTGCAGGATTACCCTGCAATATAGTTGCAGGCTAGACATGTTTATCTCTAATAAATATCCTGCACGCCAAATTTCATCTCAGCCTCTGCTCCTGGAAAACCTAAATAGCAACAAGCAGTATTAACATATAATTGCTATATCAGATATGAAAAACATACTAAAACTTCATTTAGAGACAAATTTTTTGAGCATATCTCAGTTAGTGTCAACTTTAACTTTTATTCTAACTCCATACTTCAATATGATATTTATGTGCATATGCTGAAAAAAATAAACAACAAACATAGATGTAGATATAGATATGGAGTTAATAGTTAAAGGTCATGCCAACTGTGATATGCTTGTATTTGAAGCTTTCCTGAGAAGAAAGAAGGCAAGTGACAGTTTTATCCATTTAAACAAAAAAGTAACACAAATATGTCACATCTCTAAAGATAATACACGATTACTTCTACTCAGTTGTCATTTGCCTATCCCTGAAAAGTAGGAACCTCATTTCTGCTATTCATGTATTACTACTTATCAGGAAAGTAGAAAATGATGAAACATAATTACATCAAAATTGCCAAGACATACACTGCCAAAGATTATTTAGGGGCTGTGCTTAATATTTGTTTTATGATAGCAGAAAAAAGAAGGAGGAGGAGGAGGAGAAGGAGAAGAAAACCTGTGAAAATATATTTGAATGAAAAATCAGATATCCATGCCCTTTGCTGTGTCATATTATTGTTTACTACATTTTGCACTTCTGCAGATAGAAATCCAAGAAGAACCTAGAGGTTGCTAAAGAAAATTAGTATTTCTTATGCTCCAATTTTTGCTTAATTTTAATTACTTACTTAATTAAAGGCATTTGCCATTTTCTATTTATCAAAGCAAAGCAATGAACAATGCAAATCTAGAACTTACTAACAAAATCAAGTTTTTCAAAAACTCTTAACTGATATTATTTCATCCACAAACTCTATAATAAAGATGATACAATATAGAGTTTAGAACTTGAGGATTATAAACACTAGCATGGATAAAAAGTGTTTGATTTTCTTATGGTATCATCCTGTGAAGATATAGACTCATGTGCAGGAACACATGAGCACTAAGCAGTAAAATAGCAAAATGTCAATGAGGCAGCTGTCTCTCTGACCCCAGCTGCTGCATTAGAGGCATTATCTTAACACTAGGAAAGTAACAACTACAACTGCTAAAATTACCATCTGAATGATTGTCCCATGTACCACTTGAATATTATTTATCTCAATTTATCATTTAAAATGATCTCTACTTAAAGGATTAGAGAACTGAGGCTTAGAGAATTCAAGTAGCTTCCTCAAATTCACAACACTAAACAGTAGAAGAGTGGGTAGTAACCTGAGCATTTGGATCTGCCTAACCAGCTTAATATATGAAATATTCATATATGACAGGAATTCTCCAAAAATGATAAAGAATAGAGAGAAAGAAGCAAGTCATCTAACAGACAAATAGTACAAGTATGGAATATCTATATCTCTGTTTATGTGTATGTCTATGTCTACTTGTACATCTATGTCTGTGTCTCACATCTATGTCTACTTCTACATTAGTATCTTTATCTATGCTTGCTGGTTTTTTCCACCATACAGACACAAATATCATTGTATTGATTCTCAGGGAGGGATTTTATTTGAGGCAGTTTTTAGAAAAGATTTTCAGAGAAAAATTTGTGTTACTGAGAATAACGACTTCTAACAATAGAGCATATACTTGGGTTTTCTAGCAGTAAGTAGAAAGAGAAAAAGCTAGGATATATGAGATAGAGTTTGAAATCCACATGACTAAAAGAGACTTAACTTGGATCAGTTGACAAGGTTGTGAGCCTTCCTCAATTAGTACAGTGGCCACAATATCAGGAGAGTGACTACTTGGCACCGTTGTTGAATGTTGAATGAGGCACTGCACTGCAGAGGTCAAACAGAGTGGTCAACAGGAGGATAAAATCTGGATAGATTAAGACAATCCATTCTCTGGCCATTTCATCTATGTACTTATGCAAGAGGAATGCTTGTAATTATCAGAGCCATGCAGTAAAATCCCAGAAACTTTGAAAATTTGCTAAGTATGTGTTCTTATCCTAGTAAACTGAGATTAATAAAGGAGAATACTGATTTCCCTTTTTTCTTTTTAATTCTTGTGTTTATTTAGTTATATAGTCTGGTATTACAAGAATCTCTTCCATGTTAATAGCTAAGAAATAACCAAAAACCTGGAAGAAACCAAAATTTATGAGTCACTTCCTTAGGAAATATCAGATAAATATAAATGACACTTAAAACAAAATAATGTCTAAATTTGCCTTTGCTATTGCTGTTATTAGTTTGGAAGTGCTCTTATAAAATACCTGAAAAAACAAATGACTAAGCTACTGATGATGATTATAACAATGACAATAGATAACATTTTATCAATTACAAATACTTTTATTTATGTTTCAAATCTCTCTTAAAATTATTTTGTAAAGTTACATGATATCACTTCATGTATAAAGGTGAGGAAATAGATTCAGAAAAGACAAGTGATTTTCTGAGAACATACACGTGACTAATGGCAGGCCGTCTGGTTTTAGTTCTTACATAGTCTATTGCATCATACTGCATTTCTGTCTTTGAAGAAAAAGAAAACTAGCAGAAAATATACTCTTTTCATCACAGCACAAAAATCCAGAAAAAAAAAGCCTATCACATTACAAGACTCATTTCTGAGTGAAAGAGAATTATTTTTGATAGCAAAAATAATCTTCAGTTCACAGTAGTAGAGCAACTTTGGAGACAGCTGGTGTAAGTGAAACAGCCACATGGTAAATGTATTCAGCCCTGAAATAGCCTCTGACACTACTCAACGAACTTGTAATGTGTCTTGCAGCTCGGGCTGCTCTTTGGAAACCACTGAGGGTGCAATCCTGCTGCCCTTGCATTTCTTTTATGCTCACATAACTCCCATTAACATTGCTCAAAGTTCAGGGTACTAGGAAGTAAGGGCAGTTTTCTCTCCTTCTTCAATTCTCAATAGCTTTGCAGTCACAGACATTTAGTGGCATTTTCTCAATAAGAAAGAGGTGTTTTGCACAGAAACAAGAAAGCTGCAGGGAAGCCCTGCTTACTGCAGGGAATCTCTGTATGTTGAGCCATGTGACACATGGCTCTGGTAGGGCACCAGATGCTTGGAACCACCTCAGGGCTCTAGACGGTGGGGAGGGAACTCCCATTGGCTCTGTGTACACCTGATTGGCTGTTTGACAGCAATGCCTTCTAGCCCAGCAGTTTTTGTTCCAGTACTCACCAGATGTAATTAGCAGAGTCAGAAGGAAGCAACTTAAAATCTGCCAAACTAGGTCTGTAACCTCATTGTTCGCTCATTAGTAATGCAGGATATATGTTTAGAGCAACAAAATTCCTATAAAAATACACAAAAGATTTCTTCACTCCTAAATTTTGTCATAGTTCCTCACTTTGTAAATGTCCTTTTATAAAATTGTCTCACAAAATGAGGAGTCATTTTCAATTGAGACCTGCTTTGGTTTACAATTTACAAAACTCATAAGGACATTCAGCAAAATAATAATTGGAGAAGCCCAGGGTATTGATGTAAACTTCTTATAGGTTAAGATTCTGCAAATTGCTTTCATATCTACTCAATTTCCATATGAATAATTATCTATACACTGATTTATTCATATATTACATTACATATTAAATGCACTGAGTGTTGGTATTTTAAAAAATGCAAAGTGAACATTATCCCTCAAAAACAGAAACAAAACTTCATCCCTAAACAAAATATTCCTCTTTAAATTATTATTTTTTGATGAATGTGCTGTCTTTGAGATTTGAACTAATTCCTGAACACAATATCTTTATTTTTTCCTGAATTTTTTGCTAAAAATTTTGGCATGCATATGTCAAAATTGTACTAGGTAAAACATGAGTTCTGTTTTGAAGCAGATGCAATTGAAGCTGTTTTCAAACCTTTTCAGCATTCTCAAATTACAAAATAGGTAAGAGTCTGGAGTAAAAGAGACAAATGAAGATAATACACGTGTGTTTTTTTTCAAATCTACAGAACAATTTTAATTTTTCTTCCACTGATCCTTCCTTTGTTTTGATTTTTTAAAGCAGTGCAACATATGTTATGGCTAATCATATATGAGCCACTGGGAGAATAAATGCTGTCACTATAATTAATGGTTTAACTCACTCTGAGTATTTTCAGTATTAATAACCAAAATAGGAATTTTGTTTTAGTGTGAACAGGAACATATGTTGCTTTTTCCATTTTGTCTTTAAGAAATGAAAATGGTGAACCTGCTCATTCTTTTTAGTTTTTGGTGGCTGTGTTGATTAACAGCAGATCAGAGGAGTATGGTCAATGCCCTGTGTGCCAATGTGGCACAATTTGTTGGCATTCCATTAGCCCTCAAGCCTCACTTTTTGCCTCTATTCTCAAGATAGTACAGGGCAGTGTAAGGGATTTCAGAGGTAATGAGTTAGTGCTCTGGATCGAACAAACAAAATTATAAGCAAGGAAGCAAGTGAAAATTTAATAACAGTGAAAACAACCTTTGCCTGTATTTCTAGGTTTGTATCAGGAACCCTCTTTAAAAGGATTCAACATTAAATAGTAACATTCTTGTCTGGCAGTAAAGAAATTTCTTATAGTTAAATCTGCTTTCTGTTTAAAGGTCTTATAGAGTGTTCACTTAACAGTATAAAAATTATGATCTCAATACATATGTAACTATAGTTTTTCCATGATAATTTTTGTTCCATTTGTTTGTTTTATTTTATTTTTTTCTATACTAAATTAGGGCCCGAAAATTTTAAAGTACCCTCATGAATATATGGATATTTTATGACCACATTAATTACCATGACAGGAAAAGGCATATGAAAAAAACTTCTCTGCTCTAGCAGTCATTTTTAGTATCCTTTTTAGAAAACCAAATAGTTCATGAAAAGACTGCCTATATGTTCTGGTTTCAAGGCAGACTTACTTTGTTTGTTTGTTTTAATTTATAATATGGTACTTTGAAGGGCAAAGTAGCATCACATGTTTACCTATACACTTTCAATTAAAAATTTAGATATTTTCAGTATCTTCACCTCAACATTGGCACCATGTTGATTCCAAGGCTATCTAACCTATGAATAATATTGAGAATTTACTTCTAAAACTTACTAATAGATAGTTGTATACTTAGAAACAGAGCCAGCTTCATTTTCCTCAATCCCTTCTAATAGACACTAACACATTCTAAAGTGATATATAAGAAAACTGCTTTCTTATCTATTAGCTTTTTACCTAAATAAATGGTAAAAGTATTTCTTCAATTAGAATTGTCATTTAGAACTACAGTTTAGTTATACCATTATTATTATCAATCATTGTTGAATTTTTCACAAATTATCATCAACATCATCAGCAAACAAAACTAACAAAGAGACCAAAATAAATAAATGGACTTTTGTATGTGTGTGTAATCGATACTTGATGTACAACAATATATAATTTTCATACACAGAGACCCTATGTGGCTACTCAATCCCAGTCTTTTGCTTCATGTACATTTGCTACCTTACTCAACCCATTCCATAAAGGTGTTTATTATGATCCCTATTTAGGGATGAGACAACTGGGACTTATATATGTAAAATGACTTGCTCAAGGCCACTCACTTAACTATATAGGCTGGAATTGTTATCCTTACCTCAGTATCTTTGCAATCTTTTATACCTTGTATCCTACTGCTTTTAAACAACATTTAAATTTTATTTTAAAGAAAGAAGAAATATTTTTAAAAATTTGAGACATTTCAACGGGAAGTTCAGGGCATAGGATTGTAACTTCTGTACATATTTATGAAAGGTGCTATTTTGTCAATAATAGGTGTTCATTATCTTTAGTCAATGAAATGGCAGAGGGTGGGAGAAAAAAGATTTTGGTTGAAAGAAAACAATGAACAAAAAGCATGTTTGATCTACCATCGTATAGGATTTATCCAACAAGATAAAATTAGTCCCACCTAAAAAGTAATACAAAGTTTATAAAAATGTTTCTTGGCCGGGCGCAGTGGCTCACGCCTGTAATCCCAGTATTTTGGGAGGCTGAAGCGGGCTGATCTCGACGTCAGGAGATCGAGACCATCCTAGCTAACACGGTGAAACCCCGTCTCTACTAAAAATACAAAAAAATTAGCCGGGCATGGCGGCGGGCGCCTGTAGTCCCAGCTACTCGGGAGGCTGAGGCAGGAGAATGGCGTGAACTCGGGAGGCGGAGCTTGCAGTGACCCGAGATCGCACCACTGCACTCCAGCCTGGGCGACAGAGCAGGACTCCATCTCAAAAAAAAAAAAAAAAAAAAAGTCTCCCAATGCAGGAATAGGTCCAGAGCAAAGCAATGGGCAATAAACTTTGGTTAAGTGTTACTGTTATTATTATTAGTAGTAGTAGCAGTAATAAGGGAATAGCAAAAATAAAATGAAAGCAGTAAAAAATAAAATAAAATAAATCGATATTCTAGGAAGAAAATATTGAGGAATGAAAGAGTGAGTAACTGAGTTATCAGTGCAATTAGTATAACAACATTGAACTCATGCCTGTCATCCCAATTCTTTGGGAGGCCTAGGTGGGTGGATTGCTTGAGCCTACCAGCTGCAGACCAGTCAAGACAACATGATGAAACCCCATCTCTACAAAAATTAGCTAGGCATGGTGGTGTGTGCCTGTAGTCCCAGCTACTTGGGAGGCTAAGGTGGGAGGATCACTTGGGACTGGGAGATAAAGGCTGCAGTGAGCCCTGACTGCGCCATTGCACTCCACCATGTGTGACTGAGTGAAAACCTATCTCAAAAAAAAAAAAAAAAAAAAAAAGAAAGTGATTTGTTTAGAATAATTCCATGTGGACTATGACTTATGTTCACACTGAATGGCTGAAATGTAGTTGAGTCCTAAGAAATAGCATTAAAAACAAAATTATCTACTTTGTAACAATATAAATAGTATGCTAAATGAGTAAATAGATTGTATGTGAAAATAGATATAATTCTACTACATCAAATGTTACAGGCAAAATATTTATATTCTGTTAGTGAGTTTAGTTTTTCCAAAGTAATCCTTTATTATATTTATAGATTTGATGTAAAAGTTCCCCTTCAGTTAATGCTGCCAAATACAGGTATTAAAGCTATCACAAGTGCCTCAACAGGGAAAGCACTGAAGTCAGTCATTTAAGAATCTCCTACAAAATGGCACCTCAACTTGAAATATTCCTACTTGTATAAATAAAACTTCAGATTTTTTTATTTGTCTTTTAGAAAACAACATCATCTTGATTATTTACCTTTGCATAGTTATCTGTTTTTATGTTTTATAACTTTTTAAAATTAGAAATTCATTTTGCATAATTTTGTTAGTAGACATGCTAATTTGTCTGTAAGCCTCATTGATACAAGCAGAGTCACATGGCCATCTGAACCTCAAATGAGGCTTAAATATTTGTTACTTATTCTTTCTGACTCCTGAGGCATACATGGGCAAAGGAGAAAGGGGTTCGACACATCCTTTGGACATTTCAGTTTTTTTTAACATCAAACGAGACTCAAAAATTAAAAATTATCACATTCACAATTTATATATGAGTTAATTTCCTAATTATAATTTGAAGATTATACAACTGTTGTTTCATTAATTTTTCTAATCATTCAATAAGATGAAGGTGTGTTTGCTGTTCTTTTACTACAAACAGGGAGGAGGTTGTTACTTTAGACATAGTCATATAATGACACATTTATACTATCAAGGTTTATTAACAGTATACTTTGTCAGAGTTTAGAATAAATATTTTAATTGAAAAGTAGATTAATAGATGGAATTGTGTGCTTAAACTTTTTTGGAACAACCAGAGGATTGGAAGTAAGTGCAGCTAAAACTTGACAGTAGATTTCAAGAACTAACACTAACTACCATTGAGAGATAAGAAAGTTACTCTTGCTTTTTCTATAGCAAGAATTCCTCCAGTTATATTTCACACACAAAAAAGGGGTGGCTAATAAAAATAAAAATAACAAACATCATTTTGTATTTAAAATATATAATTTAAAAATAAAAATTGCATGTATTCAAGGTGTACAATAAAATGATTTGATGTATGTATACATTTTGTAAAGATTGCCACAATCGAAGTAATTACAAATTTATCACCACTTACAGTTATTTTATGTGTGTGAGAGTGGGGTAAAAGCACTTAAAAATCTGTTCTTTTATCAAATTCCAAATGAACAATACAGTATTATTAAATATATTAACTATGCTATACATTAAATCTCTAGAACTTATTCATCTCTTAACTGAACATTTGTACCCTTTGACCAAGATCTCTGCTCTTCATTTTCCCTACTCCAAAATCCCTGGCAACCATCATTTTACTCTCTGCTTCTATGGGTCAACTTCTTTGGTTTTCATTCCATGTGTAAGTGAGATGATAAAGTACCTGTCTTTCCATATTTGGCTTGTTTCCCTTAGTATAATGTCCTCTAGGCTCATCTATTTTGTTGCAAATGGTAGGATTTCCTTCTTTTTATGTGTGAATAATATTCATATGTGTGTGTGTGTTTTTGTGTGTGTGTTTGTGAGTACGTACGCACTATATTATCTTCATACATTCATCCATGGATTAACATTTAGGTTGTTTCCATATCTTGGTTATTGAGAATAATGCTGCAATAAACATGAG
This sequence comes from Homo sapiens, assembly GCF_000001405.40. Classification (NCBI taxonomy): domain Eukaryota; kingdom Metazoa; phylum Chordata; class Mammalia; order Primates; family Hominidae; genus Homo; species Homo sapiens. The sequence continues at coordinate 11,464,143 of NC_000009.12, forward strand.
GGTGCAAATATCTCTCTGACATACTGATTTCATTTCCTTTAAATATATATCCAGAAGCGAGATTGCTGGATTATATGGTAGTTCTATTTTTATTTTTTTGAGTAGTCTCCATGCTGTTTTCCATAATGGTTGTACCAATTTACATTTCCATTAACAGTGTACAAGGGTTCCCTTTCCTTTACACTCTCGCTAACATTCATCATATTTTGATAATAGCCATCCTAATGGAAGTGAAGGGATAATTTACTGAGGCTTTGATTTGCATTTCTCTCATGATTATATTAAGTACTTTTTCATAGACTTGTTGGCCATTCATATGTCTTCACTGAAAAATGTCTATTTAGGTCCTTTGTCTATTTTTAAATCAGTTTATTTCTTTATTTGTTACTGAGTTGTGAGTACCTTATACATTTTGGATATTAGCCCCTCAGACCTATGATTTGCGATAGTTTCTCTCATTCCATAGGCTGTCTTTTTATTTTGTTATTTGTTTCCTTTGCTGTGCAGAAATCTTTTGAATTGATATAGTCTCATTTGTTTATTTTTGCTTATGTTGCCAGTGATTTGGGGTTATATTTTAAAAAATCATTGCAAAGACTCTTGTCAAGGAGCTTTTCTCTTATGTTTTCTTCTATGAGTTTTACAGTTTCAGTTCTCACATGTAAGCCTTTAAACCATTTGGAGTTATTGTCCGTATATGGTGAAGACAGGGGTCTGATTCCATTCTTTTGCATGTGGATATTCAGTTTCCTCAACAAAATTTATTAAAGAAACTATCCTTCCCCCATTGTGTATTCTTGCTGATTTCTATTCTGTTCCATTGGCCTATGTGTTCGTTTTTATATCAAGACCATACTGTTTTGATTACTGTAGCTTTGTAAAATAGCTTCAAATCAGGGACTCCAATGACTTCAGCTTTGTTCTACTTTCTTAAGATTGCTATGGCTCTTTGAGGTATTTTGTTGTTCTATAGGAATTTGGAGATTTTTTTTTCTATTTATCTGAATAATGGGATTGGAATTTTGATAATGGTTTTATTGAATCTGTAGATTGCTTTGGGTAATATGGACATTTTAACAATAATAATTATTTTAATCTATGAATTCAGGATATCTTTTTATTTACTTGTTTTTAACCAGTATGATGCTCTGTTGTTTGAACACTGGACTGTAGAATCTAGCTACATATACATCTCTATTACTTTACTCATTATCAGCAAGAGCAGCAAAAAGATGCCATATATGCTAATATCTCAAAATGTCAATATCTCAATATGTCAAAATGATTTTCATTGTTGAATCAGTATGCTAGTTGCAAGGTATCCTGAGAAATTCACCTTTTTTTCTGCTTTCTTACACCTGAGATACTGATAGTTGTGTTTAAGTGTTGGGTTGATGGTCATAACCTCGATTAAGCAAGGTCAGTTTCAAGATCTAGAAAAGTATTATTGATTTGGAAGTAAAAATGAATAAATGTTTTGTATACTTCCCAAGGAAACTCAAAATATATGACCAGGCCAAACCAAATTGGTAGTAAAATTATTTCTTAGTCATGTCTGGTTTCAATGGGAAGATAATAAAAAGGAAATCAGTATTCATTTTACCATAATACAAACAATTTATTAATGGTGGTTTTGTATTTATCTCTTTGGGATATCAAAGTATTATAAGCTTTTATTAAAATAACCTATCATTTAGGAAACTGATATTTTCCACACCCAAAATTTCCATTGCTAGAAAAATAAATGTCATACATTTTCAACTTAACTATTACAATGCATGCCTATTAATTCCTATAAATGATGTGGAAAGATCTCTTCAACTTTATCTGGTTGGATGACAAATGTTTGTTCTTCTGCCTTGATGTTTCAGCATTACTTTTGAATTATTAAAGAGAGATTCAGAACTCTCTAGACAACTAATGTAAAGCACCTCTCTAAAATCAGATAAAAATATAAAATTCTAAACATTACCCAAGCTTTTAGAAAATTTGATTAAAGGATTAGATCTGTCAGAATGCACTGTTGTACATTTTTCCTTTCAAGAAGTGAAAGAGAATAGATACATACAAAAGAAAATGTGATTAAAAGAGAAAGACAGAAATGCATTAATAGAAATGACTGATATCATTTCCCTATATAATTTTGAGAAATACAATTCTATTAGTCATGACTTTTTAATATTTTTTAAAGATTCTTATGTCCTTTGAGTATATGAAAGTTTCTAGGTATAATAATAATTAGCATCTACCTACATTCTTCAAAAAATCTTTAGGCATTCATCTAAAATTAAGTTATGTAAGAGTGTTATTAGGTAATGTTTATAAGTGCATGATGCTAAGGATATTGTGTCATTAATAGAGAATTAATGGTGTGTTATTAACAGAGAATTAACAAAGTCTGTGGAATCTAAATTCCAGATTTTTTTCCTTTTTATTATATCCTGAAGTGGTATAGATCCAGAATTGGTAATAAGTTCTGTTACACAAGACTTAGTGATTCCACTTAACATTTTCTTGATGTACATTGAGTAACTTCCCTCTAAATTATAAAAGAGAATTAATAAACTTTTATAAATATCATTGAAAATCTTGTTTTAATGTAGCTTTGAAGAAATTAATATTTTTATTATTAAAAATCATACTGTATTAGAAAGAAATATGCACAATTTTATGAAATAATACCTTCAGGCTAATATGTATATTTATATATCACCAAATGATTAATATATTTCTATACATATGTTTATACACACACATGGCTGATGATTCTAAGTCTGTGATAACTGAAGAACAGTTTGGATAATTTTCAGATACAATTGACTTTGAATACTTGTGATAACTTTAAAATGTTTCTATTATTACAATCAAATTTTAAAAATGTGTAAATACCCCAATTGTTTAAAATGTCTATTTTATATTTAAATAGCAAAGAGAAAGTGTAAGGAAAGCTTCTTGAGCTTTCACTTTGGTTGTGCTGCTCTGAAAGCTGTGGAGAATTCACTAAAAATTTTTGGGCATTAATATAATCTATAAAATCTATAAAATGAATGAATTTATGTAACTATTTGTAATGACTTTTTCCCTCAAAGATAAAGGAAAATCCATCTAGGTTTGGAAATCTCTAAGTCAAAAAAATTACTCTAATTAAGCTGTTTCTTGGTGTCATATCTGAAATAATCTTTCATGTAGTTAAGAAATTATTTAAAGATTGTGGCATAGTGTAGGTGGTTCTTCAAATTCAAGATTGTGGTTAGAATCTGTGCTTTGATACTATTAAAAACATAAACAAAACCCAAATCATTAACATTACTTCCCTTAGTTACTAAATATAATGATGTTATTTGGAAAGTCTCTAAAATTTTTCTGTTTTCTGTATTAACTTCTCACTGTACATAGGGGTGATTTATCATCACTCCTGAGAGATAATTGAGAAAACATTTAAGCTAATAAAATTTTTATTTTAACAGTGTACATTAAAACTCCATGTCGTATTGAATATCTAAGAATATTTTAACATTAAGTCAGTTTTTTATTGACTCCTGAACGTTTAAGCATTGTAGACTTTTACATCCAACTTCATAAAATTTATCTGTATTGAGTCCATAATCAACAAGTCAAGAATGCTTTTGGGTTAAAAGCCAAACATGCCCCTATTATGCCTCATGTTTTATTATTGTACCAATAATTAATGAATAAACAAAATGAATAAACTTTTTGTTTTAGAAATGTGTAAAACAGTTCAGATTAAGAGTACTATTCTTTTCCATATTGGTGTTTATTTCAGCCATCCAAAAAAGCCTACATTGATGTAATTCTTAGTTCAAAGGGTCAGGCATTATCTTAAATCAGTCTTTTAAGTTGATTTTTTATGTTGGAAGATGATTTTGGCAGAGTAGAGGCAATTGCTTTCCTCCTTCTATTTTCAAGTGTATTTTCTACCTAGTATATATTCACTTTAAAAAATGTGCTTAGGCCGAGCGTGGTAGCTCACACCTGTAATGCCAGCACTTTGGGAGGCTGAAGCGGGTAGATTACCTGAGGTCAGGAGTTCGAGGCCAGCCTGGCCAACATGGCGAAACAACGTCTCTACTAAAAATACAAAAAAAGTTAGCTGGGCATGGTGGTGGCCACCTGTAATCCCAGCTACTCAGGAGGCTGAGGCAGGAGAATCACTTGAACCCAGGAGGTGGAGGTGGCAGTGAGCTGAGATCACACCATTGCACTCCAGCCTGGGCGACAAGACCAAAACTACATCTTAAAAAAAAAAAAATGCTTAGCCAAATTCTGATTATTATACGAGAAGGCATTACTGATTAAACTTAACCTCTTGATGCCTGGTGTTGTATTACTTATTAGAGTAAATCATTTGCACAAGGTGTTCTCTGTCTCATTTAGAGCCACATTTACTATTTTTTTTCTTTTCCAACAAAGTGTTTAAAGGTTAGCCCTTAATAATTTTGCAATACAAAGCCATCAAATATTTTGGTTTTTCTTCTCACAAATAAAAAACAATTTGAGCAACAACATAAATTAAGTAGTGTTGGATTATAACCCAATGCATAAAATAAATAACTATGAATCCACACTGATATAAAAATGATAAGATTGATTTAAAAATGTAGGATAATAAACAAATATTCCATGGAGGATTTTAAATAATTCATGCAGATGTACTATACTCAAGAAGAGTAATCATAATTCACTGCTTCTTAAATGCAGGTTGTTCATGGTGATTTCCTTCAAAAGACTACATTATAGAAAGTGGAAAAAAAGGGAGCTTTTACAATGGAGAAATCTGAAAAGTACTATCTCAAGCCAAGTAATCAAAGTCAGTATCAATGATAAATTATGTTGATAGCATGTGACTTTAATATAATGTAATAAAATGGCGTTTTACTTCTATAATCTTCCTCCCCCAAATACATAATACCAGTTTATTCATGAGAAAAAAAATCAGATACAATTCAATAATGAGTTATTCTACAATACAACTGCCCAACATGTTTCAAAATTGTCAAGGTCATCAAAGACAAGGAAATCTGTGAAATTGTTACAGCCATGGGGTACCAAAGGAAATATAACTAATGAAGTGTAATATTGTAGATAAGATCTTGGGGAAAAAAAGGACATTAGGTAAAAACTAAGGAAATCTGGATAAAGTATAGACTTAAGCTAAAAATAATGTATCAATATTGGTTCATTAATTTTAGCAAATGTGCCATACTAAGGTAAGAGGGTAATAAGATGGGAAACCATGTTCCAGAGTATTTAGGAACCCTCTGTACTATCTACTCCATTTCTTTTTATCTTTCTCTATATATAGCTATTCTAAAATAAAGTCTATTAAAAACACATAAATGGCCCGAACCCACTGTATGAATTCGATTTGTAACTATGCAACTTCCCAGTAAGAAGTGTCCAGGTTCTGATGGCTTTACTGCTGAATTATGTCAAACTTATAAGAAAAAAAATACATAATTCACACAAAAACTATTTCAGGAAATAGAGAATGCATGAATAATTGCCACCTTATTTTATGAGACTAGTATACCTCTTGGCACCAAAAAAAAAAAAAAAGGACAAAAACATTATATAGGAAGAGAATTACAGATAATTATCCCTTCTGAACATAGATGCAAGAACCTATTGCAATATGTTAATCAAGTGCAGGAACATCAAATAAAATATATAAATATAATATCAAAGAGAATATATTGTGATTACGTTGAATTTATCACAGTAATGCAAGGTGTGTTAGCATGTGAAAATGAATACATATATTTCAGTGAATTAGCTGAGTGAGCAAAATACCATGCTGTATTTATTTCAAGAGATATTTTAAAAATCATTTTAACAAATGCAATTCCTGTTTATGACTTCAAAAGAACCTCAGCAACTTAGGAATGGAAGGAAACTTTCTCAAACTGATAAAGTGCATCTATGAAAACTATACATCTAATATCATATCTAATAATACAATGTTGAGTGCTTTTCACCACACATTGGGAATAAAATAAATATGCCCATTTTTCCATTTCTAGTTATTAATGTACTGGAAGTTTCAGTACAATCGGGAATGAAAAGTAAATAACACTATTCACAACAGTGAAGACACATAATCAACACAAATGCCCATCAATTATAGACTGGATAAAGAAAATGTGGTACCTATACACCATGGAATACTATGCAGCCATAAAAAAGAATGAGATCATGTCCTTTGCAGGAACATGGATGGAGCTGGAAGCCATTATCCTCAGCAAAGTTACCCAGGAACAGAAAACCAAACACAACGTCTTCTCACTTGTAAGTGGGAGCTGAATGATGAGAACACATGGGTACTTGGTGGCAAACTACACACACTGGGGCCTGCAGAGGAGGGGTTAGGGGAGGGACAGGATCAGGAAAAGTAGCTAATGCATGCTGAGCTTAATACCTAAATGATGGGATGACCTATGCAGCAAACCACCATGTCGTATGTTTACTTATGTAACAAACCTGCGCATCCTGCACATGTATCCCTGAACTTAGAAGTTGAAGAAAAAAAAAAAAAAGAAAAGTAATAATAGTCACATACTTTAGAAAGGAAAAGGCAAAACTATCTTTATTTATAGCGCCATAATTTTGTATGCAGAAAATCATAAAGGATCTTCAAACAACTAGTAAAGTTAATATTAAATTTAGAAATGTTGCAGGGTATAAAGTCATTAAAATTAATTTCATATATAACATCAACAAAATATTTAAAAATCTATAAGAATCCCTTTCAATAGAATTACAAAATATCAAATCCTTAGCAGTGTATGCCACATAAAATGTTCAAGATTTCTAACCTAAAAGCAACAAAACATTACAAAGAAAAATTAAACAAAAGTTGAATAAGTGGGGAGATGCATCACTGCTGGCGGTAGCAGCCTATCTGGAGTGGCAGCTGCAAAGATGCTGGCTGCAGCAGGGAGGTGTGATTGTGGCTGTACGCTCTGCAGGGCGGCAGAAGCCAGGAAAAGATGAAAGCTCCACCCCCTACTTAATAACTGGGGCAGGAGCCCCAAGGTTCTGTGCACAGCTGCAGCTGCCAGGGCAACTGGAACTGGGCATCCCTGCACTCTCAGGGGCCCAGGAATTCCCCTTTCGCTGCAGATTTGGAAGTGCTTGCTACTGCTGCCTGGCCTCTCCTAGCTCCCAGCGCCCACTCCAGGGCAGAGCAAAGCTGTGGCTGAGCTCACTTGCTGTTGTGAACCAGCCAGGTGTGCGCATGCTCAGGGGGGTATTGACTTACCAGCCCCCTGCCACCTTGACCCCTTCCGGACTTTGGGGACAAACAAGCATTGGAGGGAGGTTGAAGTGGGGCTGAGGGTGGTGCGGGATGGGCCTGCAGGTGCCCGTTGGCACAAACAGCCTGGGTGCTATGGACGACTTGGTGATGGTGGCAGGAGGCAGACAGACTCTTGTGCACAAAGGGTCAGGTCGCCAGTGAAACCGCACCTTCAAGCCAGGGAAGACACGAAGCCTGGGAACCAGCCTGCCAGTTCTGGGTGGAGTCTGTGGCCCAGAGTGAGAACATATGGTGCTTTCTCCAGGCGCACCCATGGCCCCCGTGGACTAATCAGAACGTACTTCCTCCCTTCTGAGCCCGTAAAAACCTGGGCTCAGCCAGACACACAGACTTTGGGACTACCAGCTTCAGGAAGAAGCTACTAATTTCAGGTCTCCTTGACTCGTGGGGACAATCTGCCTGCAGAAAGAAGCTACCCCCTGGTGGTCTCCTCTCAGCGGAGGGCTGGATGCTCACTGGGACAACCTGACTGTGGAAAGTAGCTACCCACTTCGTGCCTCTTGGGAGCTCCTCTGTGTCTCAAAGAAGCGCCTCTCCGCCTTGATCACCCTCCAGTCGTCCACATACCTCATTCTTCCTTGATACAGGGCAAGAACTCAGGACCTGCCGAATGGTGGTCCTGTATCACAGGCAAAGAGCTGTATCGCAAGCAAAGCTGAAACATCCCCCACCCCCCACTTACCATGATGACCATGTTGTGGGCAATGAGAAGGACAGAAGAACTGTGGCCCTTCAGGAAGCCCAGACCTAGGGGCTCCCCGATCCAGGGCTATGACACCCTCTTTGGGGCTCTGCGGTTCCTGGTGTCCCCAAGCTTCTAGGTGCCACTGCATTCCCCTGGTTGAAACACAGGCGCCCACAATGGAAGTTGCATGCAGTACATCTAGTCCAGCCACAGCCTTGCAAGGATCTGGCACATATACTGGCACCTGGAGCTGCCTACCCCATCCACAGCAGGTGGTGTGCCTAGCTGTGCACAGTGGCTGGACAGCATGCTCACTTGCCCATACAAACCTTGCCTCTCTGCACTTGGTTCGCTCCTGGCAGGTGTGGGATCTGGGCTGGTAGCACTTCTGAGTGCAGCCTGCTGGGCCAGGTGAGTGGAATGAGTCCAGTATGAGTGACCAATACTCAGACAGAAGGCACTGCCAGCCACAGAGGTTTCCAGCTGGCAAAGTGACACCCCAAGGATCTCATGACACCATATTGATGGACTAGATAATTCAATAGTTCTAATGGGTAAGTTTTTTCAAATTAACAAATAAAGTCAGTAGAATCTTATCATTGTTTTTTATAAAAATGTACAAATGTTAAAATTTATTTGAAAGGGCAAAGGACCATGAATTACCTAAGTAATCTTGCAAAAGAAAAAAATAAAGTTTGAGAACTAACCCTGCTTGACATAAAACACACTATAGTAATTAAGACAGACAGTGTAGTATTGGCAACATAATTGGTAAATAGCTCAATGTAAATGAATAGACTTTAGATACTAACCTGTATATGGATAAATAATTTTTGACAATTGTAGCAAAGCAATCAAATAGACAAAAAATTTTAATCAGTTTTTAAAATAAATTTTAGTGCTAGATTAGAAAGAAGGAGAAGGAAGAGGAGAAGGAGGAGGAGGAGGAGAAGCAGAAGCAAAAGCAGAAGCAGAAGCAGAAGAAGCAGAAGAAAGAAGAAGGAAAAGAGGAAGAAGGAGAAGAAGAAGAAGAAGAAAGTAGAAGGAGGAGGAGAAGGAGGGAAGGAGAAGAAGATGAAGGAGAAGTGGAGAGGCAGGAGCAGGGGAAGAAGATGTAGAGGAAGAGGAAGAGGAAAGGGAAGGGAAAGAAAATGAAGCAGCAGCAGCAGCAACTTGCTCTTGGCTCATATCTAACAACTCACACAAAAATCAATTTGAGGTGGATCATAGGCCTACACTTCAAATCAAAATTAGTAAAATAATAGAAGAAAACAGGACTGTCTTTTCACAATTTTAAGTTAGGCCAAGATTTTTTAGAGGACACAGAATGTATGAAGCATAAGATATAGCATTGATAAACTATAATTTATAAAAGGAAAAACTCATGCTCATCCAAAAACATGACCAATAATATAACTAGTAGAAAATATGTCTAAGTCCTCTATATGACTGAGAAGAAATTGTAGTAGCCAAGTGTATGTTTAAAAAAATAAAAACAAGGACCCTAGTAATAAACAGGCAAATAAACCAATAAAAATGTGCAAAAGTATCAAATGGATACTTCTCCAAAGAAAATATAGAAAAATTCAATATATGCATGAAAAAGTTTTTAGCATCCTTAGTCAGCAGATAAATAAAAATACATATAAAAATTAGATACAGCTACATAAAATGACTAAAATAAAAAATTAAAACAACAAACTTTCTAGATCATGTGGAGCAAATAGAAGTCTTGAACTTTTTCTGTTTCACTGTAAAATTGTACACTCACTTTGAAATCTTACTTGTTCTCCATCTCAGTTATCCATCTGGCATTTTTTTTCCTGGGGGACAAACACCCAATAATACCTCATAGTACTTCTTGCAGTTATGAATTGCTGTTTTTTTTTAATTTTCTGAGAATTTCAGGGTTTTATTTCAAGTGTAGTTTATCTTAAAGTGGGATAAATTACCTTACAGAATTATGGCTTGGAGCTCATTTACTAATAATAACTTGAAGATATAATTAGCTTTAATTACTATTATTTACATGTCAGATATTTTGAGATTCCAATTAAATATGTTAACCGGTTTCATTATTTACTTTGTGCCTCTTCCATTCTTGTCTCTTTGATATATATATATATATATATATATATATTATATACATATATAATACATTGTCTCTCTATGCTTTATTCTGAACTTACAATGCAATTTATCTTCAAGTATACTAATTCTTTCTTTAGTGCTGCCTAATCTCCTGCTAAATTCACCTATTGATTTTTTTATTTGTACATTGTGTTTTGAATTATATAATATTTAGTTTCTTGTGGAAGTTTTCAGCTTTTTTATTTACATGCTTGGACATGTTTGAAGTCTTTCTATTATTAGCAAGAGTAATTTTTACCTTTGTATGTCTCTACAACCTTTTGCCTCTGTTGATTTGATGTTTTCATTTCTTTTCACAACCATGTTTGTTCTTTATTTTGTGCCACATCATGTATTTACAAAATTAACTGTGGATGTTTTATGAGGATAGGGATATTACTATTTTCTTCCAAAGATGACTTACATATATTTCTACTAGGTGACTGGTATAGCTAGAAATATGAGACCACCTTGTTCAAGTTTCAACAAGTGAGATGATTTGCCCCTGCACTGCAATTCTCTGCAAGTGGACTCCTCCATGGCTCCCTACATGTTACCTTATATTGCTCTTGGAATAATAATGATATGACAATTATATTAGGCTCTTGTTTAGTTCTTATACCTCAGACACTCTTCTTAGTGTTTTAGAAATAAAAACTTATTTACCACTAACAACAACCCTATGAAGTAGGTAAAATGTTTATCTGGATTGTCTTGGTCTTGGCTAGATGGGCTCTTTTTTGGTTCCATATGAAATTTAATGTGGTTTTTTCCTAATTCTGTGAAGAAAGTCAATGGGACTTTCTTGATGGGAATAGCATTGAATCTATATTACTATGGGCAGTATGGCCATTTTCACAATATTGATTCTTCCCATCCATGAGCATGAAATGTTTTTCCATTTGTTTGTGTTCTCTCTTATTTCCTTGAGCAGTGGTTTGTAGTTCTTGAAGAGGTCCTTCACGTCCCTTGTATGTTGTATTCGTAGGTATTTTATTATCTTTGTATCAATTGGGAATAGGAGATCACTCATGATTTGACTCTCTGCTTGTCTATTATTGGTGTATATTAATGCTTGTTTTATTTAATTATTTATTTATTTTTTGAGATGGTGTCTTGACCTTGTTGCCCAAGCTGGAGTGCCATGGTGTGATCTCAGCTCACTGCAACCTCTGCCTCCTGGGTTCAAGCGATTCTCCTGCCTCAGCCTCCCAAGTAGCTGGCATTACAGGTGTGCACCACCATGCCTGACTAATTTGTATTTTTAGTAGAGACAGGGTTTCAACATGTTGGTCAGGCTGGTCTCAAACTCCTGACCTCAGGTGATCCACCCACTCTGGCCTCCCAAAGTGCTGGGATTACAGGTGCAAGCCACCATGCCTGGCCAATGCTTGTTATTTTTGCACACTGATTTTGTATCCTGACAAACCTTAGCAAAAAGAGCAAAGCTGGAGGCATCATGCTACCTGACTGCAAACTATACTGTAAGGCTTCAGTAACCAAAACAGCATGGTACTGGTACCAAAACAGATATATAGACCAATGGAACAGAACAGAGGCCTCAGAAATAAAACCACACATTTATAACCATATGATCTTTGACAAACCTGACAAAAACAAGCAATGGGGAAAGGATTCCCTATTTAATAAAGATGCTGGGAAAACTGGCTAGCCATATGCAGAAAACAGAAACTGGACCCCTTCCTTATACCTTATACAAAAATTAACTCAAGTTGCATAAAAGACTTAAATGTAAAATTCAAAATTATATAAACCCTAGAAGAAAATCTGGGCAATACCATTCAGGAAATAGGCATGGACGAAGATTTTTTAATTAAATCACCAGAAACAATTGCAACAAAAGCAAAAATTGACAAAGGAGATCTAATTAAACTACAGAGCTTCTGCACAGCAAAAGAAACTATCATCAGAAGGAACAGGAAACCTACAGAATGGGAGAAAATTTTTGCAATCTATTTATCTTACAAAGGTCTAATATCCAGAATCTACAAGGAACTTAAACACATTTACAAGGAAAACAAACAAACAAACAAACAACCCCACCAAAAAGTGGGCAAAGGATATGAACAGACACTTGTCAAAACAAGACATTTATGAGGCCAACAAACATATGAAAAAAAGCTCATCATCACTGGTCACTAGAAAAATGCAAATAAAAACCACAATGGGATACCATCTCACGCCAGTTCAAATGGCAATTATTGGAAAGTCAGGAAACAACAGATGCTGGTGAGGCTGTGGAGAAATAGGAACACTTTCACACTGTTGGTGGGAGTGTAAATTAGTTCAACCATTGTGGAAGACAGTGTGGCAATTCCTCAAGGATCTAGAACCAGAAATACCATTTGATCCAGCAATCTCATTCTGGGTATATACCCAGAAGATTATAAATCATTCTACTATAAAGACACACACACACGTGTGTTTATTGCAGTACTATTTACAATAGCAAAGACTTGGAACCAACCTAAATGCCCATCAATGATAGACTGAATAAAGAAATTGTGGCACATATACACCATGGAACACTATGTAGCCATAAAAAAGAATGAGTTCATGTCCTTTGCAGGGACATGGATGAAGCTGGAAGCCATCATTCTCAGCAAACTAACAGGAACAGAAAACCAAAGACTGCATGTCCTCACTCATAAGTGGGAGTTGAACAATGAGAACACATAGACAACACTGGGGCCTGTCTGGGGTTGGGGGGCAAGGAGTGAGAGAGCATGAGGACAAATACCTAATGCATGTAGGACTTAAGACCTAGATGATGGTTTGATAGGTGTAGCAAACCACCATGTCACATGTATACCTGTGTAACAAACCTGCACTTTCTGCACCTGTATCCCAGAACTTAAAGTAAAATAAGGAAAAAAAAATGTTTATTTGCATTTTACAAAGAGGTAACTGAAGTAAGGGAAAATAAAATAATTTGCCTATGATTACTAGTAATTATTAGAACCACAATTTACCTTCAGGTTTCATGTTCTTAACTACTGTGCAAATGTGCCCCTCTCTGGAAAGATGGTTGTCCTCATTAGCAACTAATCACTTTGTGAAAATCAGTTCAAGAAATTACTCTTCCCTGCAAGATTTATACTTTAGCAAAGGATCACAAGCTATGTTAGGAAAGCTTTACAATATGTAAGTCAAGCAGTGCCTATCTGTCCTGTGGTGTTCCTTGCAATTAATAAACTTCTATTATGATTGTGAAATTTAAGACACGTGAATAGAAATGATAATTTGGCAAAAGATTTTACAAGTACATGCCAATCATGTACTATATAGCTGATACTTATTATGGAGTTTATTATGTGACAGCAAGTCTGATGAGTCATTTACATATAATATTGCATTTAATCATTAAAGCAAATATTTAATAAATATTATTATTCCTATTTAGGCAAGTGAGAAACCTGAGAATTAAACTTGTGTGAAGACAAATGGAGACACATAGCATTACATTTCAATCCTCACCATTTTGCCTCCAGAAACTGCATTTTAGCTCCAATACTGTATTATTTACATGATATAGACATAGAGGTCTGCACATATTCTAACTACATGGTTAACAATTACTGACAACAGCATCTTGCTGAGTAATTGGTCTTAATTCAATATTTTCATTTTGACAGATTGTTTTTCGTTTTAGTTTTACTGACAAAATAAAATAAATCAGTACTTTATTTTGGCAACTAAAATTAGAACACAGGGGCCAGGCACAGTGGCTCATGCCTGTGATCCCAGCACTTTGTGAGTTTGAGGCAGATGGATCTCCTGAGGACAGGAGTTTGAGGCCAGCCTGGCCAACATGGTGAAACCCTATCTCTACTAAAAATACAAAAATTTTCCTGGTGTGGTAGTGCATGCCTGTAATCCCAGTTACTTGGGAGGCTGAGGCACTAGAATCGCTTGAACCCTGGAGGTGGAGGTTGCAGTGAGCTGGGATCTCATCACTAAACTTCAGCCTGGGCAACAGAGTGAGACTCGGTCTCAAAAAGAATAATAATAAATATAATAAAATAAAATAAGAATATCGGTTAAAATTATGATGTCTTTCTTTACCCAGTGATACAGCTCAGCATCAAAATTCAATAATTATTCATGCTTATTTGAAATGAACAGCCAATTTTCTTTAATTATCTGATACCATCTTGATTTCCCCTTCTATCAGAAACTTTTAGAATAACGAGTACAGTTGTTTCCAATAAAGTCATAAATATATATATGTGTAAATTTAATAGTTCAATTTTGTCATGCCATTAGTGAGAATGAAGACCTATCACCACATATACTGTGATTTATTTTTCATGTGTATACAGTTGTTTACTAATATTAAACCCTGGAGTGAACTAAAATATTCATAAACAATATTAACAATGGACAAAAAATAGAAATTCTGTATTGTAACTCCTTTAGTGGCTATACAAAATAATTATTTTCCAGTAAGAGGTAAATTAATAAAAATAAAATTTCCATAAACAATATTTTAATGTGTCTATTCATGTCTGAATGGGGTAGAGTTATTTGTGTCTTTTCACTAAATGCTTTCCACTAGATCCTTAGTTATAATGCATTGCATCTATTTGATAATTGTTAATTATTTTTTGAAAATAATTTCTAGCAATCTCAAAGAGACAATAGTGAATGTTACACAAGATGATACCTGTCACCAAAAAAGTAACTGAGAAGTAGAATGTTTGTGAGCTTGAGAGAGAGAGAGAAAGAGGGGGAAAAGGCAAGAGGAGAAACTCACCAAATTTTAGAATTGAATATCCCCAAAATAAATTCCATTAAAGACTCGCCATCTTAGTATTTGCACTGTAAACAATTCAGTGGAAATTATAGCCATTTAACTGCTCCTTTTCAAAATCCATGTATTAGAGTATGGGACAATGAATTCAAGAGCAGCTACTTCTAAAAATCATATTTAACCTAAATCACTGAATTGCTCTTAACAAGTGACCTTCGAACATCTCTTAGAAAACTTAGAAAACGTTTTCTAAAAGAAGGATCTCAATGAAACATCAATAAATGTTCAATGCTCAGTTAAAAGGAAACATTTATTTACTAAAGAATTACTTTTTCTGATGAAGAGCTAAATTTGCACTAGTAAAAATTATCTTTAAATTATCAAAAAATAGTTGACTTGAATTTGAAAATGTGTCTTGCAAAGAAGCTATCATAATACTGCCACTGTAATATTGCTGTTAATTATTTTCATCACAAACTTTGGTAATTTGATTTTCTTTATCAATTTTTCAAATAGTTATAATAAGAACCACTTTGAAACAATTGAAATAATTAATTTTTGTTTTATTTAGAGAAAAGTAAGTCAAGTTGTACTTCCTTTCAAATGTTTTCCTTATGTCAGTATTAAACTTCTAATACAAATTCCCTTTAATAATGAAAGAAAAATGAACTACTTAAAGTAGAACATGAGGTTTTTAAAATTATACTTTAAGTTCTGGGGTACATGTGCAGAAAGTGCAGGTTTGTTACATAGGTATACATGTGCCATAGTGGTTTGCTGCACCCATCAACCCATCATCTACATTAGGTATTTCTCCTAATGCTATCCCTCTACCAGCCCCCTACTCTCTGACAGGCCCCTGTGTGTGATGTTCCTCTCCCTGGGTCCATGTGTTATCATTGTTCAACTCCCACTTATGAGTGAGAACATGTGTTGTTTGGGTTTCTGTTCCTGTGTTAGTTTGCTGACAATGATGGTTTCCAGCTTCATGCATGTCCCTGCAAAGAACATGAACTAATCCTTTTTTATGGCTGCATAGTATTCCATGGTGAATATGTGCCACATTTTCTTTATCCAGTCTATCATTGATGGGCATTTGGATTGGTTCCAAGTCTTTGCTATTCTGAATACTACTGCAATAAACATACATGTCCATGTGTCTTTATAGAATAATTTATACTCCTTTGAGTATACACAGTAATGAGACTGCTGGATCAAATGGTATTTCTGATTCTAGATCTTTGAGGAATCACCACACTGTCTTCTACAATGGTTGAACTAATTTTCACTCCCACCAACAGTGTAAAAGTGTTCCTATTTCTGCACATCCTCTCCAGCATCGGTTGTTTCCTGACTCTCTAATGATCACCATTCGAACTGGCCTGAGATGGTATCTCGTTGTGGTCTTGAATTGCATTTCTGTAATGATCACTGATGATGAGCTATTTTTCATGTTTGTTAGACGCATAAATGTCTTGTTTTGAGAAGTGTCTGTTCATATCCTTTGCCTACTGTTTGATGGGGTTGTTTATCTTTTTCTTGTAAATGTGTTTAAGTTCCTTGTAGATTCTGGATATTAGCCTTTTGTCAGATGGATAGATTGCAAAAATTTTCTCCCATTCTGTAGGTTTCCTGTTCACTCTGATGATAGTTTCTTTTGCTGCGCAGAAGCTCTTTAGTTTAATTAGATCTCCTTTGTCAATTTTGGCTTTGGTTGCAGTTGCTTTTGGTGTTTTAGTCATGAAGTCATTGTCCATACCTATGTCCTGAATGGTATTGCGTAGGTTTTTTTCTAGGGTTTTTATGGTTTTACGTCTTATGTTTAAGTCTTTTAACCATCTTGAGTTAATTTTTGTATAAGATGTAAGAAAGTGTTCCAGTTTCTGTTTTCTGCATATGACTAGCCAGTTTTCCCAACACCATTTATTAAATTAGGGAATCCTTTCCCCATTGCTTGTTTTTGTCAGGTTTGTCAAAGATCAGATGGTTGCAGATGTTACGTAGGCATTATTTCTGAGGCCTCTGTTCTGTTCCATTGGTCTATATATCTGTGTTGGTACCAGTACCATGCTGTTTTGGTTACTGCAGCCACGTAGTATAGTTTGAAGTCAGGTAGCATGATGCCTCCAGCTTTGTTCTTATTGCTTAGGATTGTCTTGGCTACGCGGGCTCTTTTTTTATTACATATGAAATTTAAAGTAGTTTTTTCTAGTGCTGTGAAGAAAGTCAATGGTAGCTTGATGGGAATAGCATTGAATCTATAAATTACTTTGGGCAGTATGGCCATTTTCATGATACTGATTCTTCCTATCCATGAGCATGGAATGTTTTTCCATTTGTTTGTGCCCTCTCTTATTTCCTTGAGCAGTGGTTTGTAGTTCTCCTTGAAGAGGTCCTTCATGTCCCTTGTAAGTTGTATTCCTAGGTATTTTATTTTTGTAGCAATTGTGATTGGGAGTTCACTCATGATTTGACTCTCTATTTGTCTATTATTGGTGTATAGGAATGCTTGTGATTTTTGCACATTGATTTTGTATTCTGAGACTTTTCTGAAGTTGCTTATCAGCTTAAGGAGATTTTGGGCTGAGACAATGGAGTTTTCTAAATATACAATCATGTCATCTGCAAACAGAGTCAATTTGACTTCCTCTCTTCCTATTTGAATACCCTTTATTTCTTTCTCTTGCCTGATTGCCCTGGCCAGAACTTCCAATACTATTTGAATAGGAGTGGTGAGAGAGGGCATCTTTGTCTTGTGCTGGTTTTCAAAGAGAATGCTTCCAGCTTTTGCTCATTCAGTATGATATTGGCTGTGGGTATGTCATAAATAGCTTATTGTTTTGAGATACATTCCATCAATACCTAGTTTATTGAGAGTTGTTAGCATGAAGGGTGTTGAATTTTATTGAAGGCTTTTTCTGCATCTATTGAGATAATCATGTGGTTTTTGTCATTGGTTCTGTTTATGTGATGGATTACGTTTATTGATCTGTGTATGTTGAATCGGCCTTGCATCCCAGGGATGAAGCCAACTTGATTGTGGTGGATAAACTTTTTGATGTGCTGCTGGTTTCAGTTTGCCAGTATTATATTGAGGATTTTTGCATCAGTGTTCATCAAGGATATTGACCTGAAATGTTCTTTTTTGTTGTTGTGTGTCTCTGCCAGGTTTTGTTACCAGAATGATGCTGGCCTCATAATATGAGTTAGGGAGGAGTCCCTCTTTTTCTATTGTTTAGAATAGTTCCAGAAGGAATGGTACCAGATCCTCTTTGTACTTCTGGTAGAATTTGGCTGTGAATCCCTCTGGTCCTGGGGTGTTTTTTTTGTTTTTGTTTTTGTTTTTTTTTGTTTTTTTTTTTGGTTGGTAGGCTATTAATGCTTCAGTTTCAGAAATTGTTATTGGTCTATTCAGGGATTCGACTTCTTCCTTGTTTAGTCTTGGGAGGGTGTATGTGTCCAGGAATGTATCCATTTCTTCCAGATTTTCTAGTTTATTTGAGTAGAGATGTTTCTACTATCCTCTGATGGTAGTTTGTATTTCTGTGGGATCAGTGGTGATCTCCCCTTTATCATTTTTTATTAGGTCTGTTTCATTATTCTCTTTTTTCTTCTCTATTAGTCTGGCTAACAGTCTATCTATTTTGTTAATCTTTTCAATTCTTTGATTTTTTTGAACTTTTTTTGTGTCTCTATCTCCTTTAGTTCTGCTCTGATCTTAGTTATTTCTTAGCTTCTGCTAGTTTTCGAATTTGTTTGTTCTTGCTTCTTTAGTTCTTTTCATTGTGATGTTAGGGTATCAATTTTAGATCTTTCCTGCTTTCTCCTGTGGGCACTTAGTGCTATAAATTTCCCTCTATACACTGCTTTATTTGTGTCCCAGAGGTTCTGGTATGTTGTGTCTTTGTTCTCACGGTTTCAAATAACTTATTTATTTCTGCCTTAATTTGTTATTTACCCAGTAGTCATTCGGGAGCAAGTTGTTCAGTTTCCATGTATTTGTGCAGTTTTGAGTGAGTTTCTTAATTCTGAGTTCTAATGTGATTACACTGTGGTCTGAGAGACTCTTTGTTATCATTTCCATTCTTTTGCATTTGCTGAGTAGTGTTTTACTTCCAATTATGTGGTCAATTTTAGAATAAGTGCGATGTGGTGCTGAGAAGAATGTATATTCTGTTGACTTCCAGTGGACAGTTCTGTAGATGTCTATTAGGTCCACTTGGTCCAGAGTTGAGTTCCAGTCCTGAATATCCTTGTTAATATTTTGTCTCCTTGATCTGTCTAATATTGACAGTGGGGTGTTAAAGTCTCCCATGATTATTGCGTAGGAGTCTAAGTCTCTTTATAGGTCTCCAAGAATTTGCCTTATGAATTTGTGTTCTCCTGTATTGGGTACATATATATTTAGGATAGTTAGCTCTTCTTGTATTGCTCCTTTACCATTATGTAATGCCCGTCTTTGTCTTTTTTCATCTTTGTTGGTTTAAAGTCTGTTTTATCAGAAACTAGGATTACAACCCTTGCTTTTTTTTTTCTTTTTTTGCTTTCCATATGCTTGGTAAATATTTATCCATCCCTGTATTTTGAGCCTATATGTGTCTTTGCATGTGAGATGAGTCTCTTGAATACAACACAGTGATGGGTCTTGAATCTTTATCCAATTTGCCAGTCTGTGTCTTTTAATTGTGGGTTTTAGCCTGTTTATATTTATGGTCAATATTGTTATGTGTGAATTTGATCCTGTCATTATGATGCTAGCTGGTTATTTTGCCTGTTAGTTGATTCAGTTTCTTCATAGTGTTGATGGTCTTTACAATTTGGTATGTTTTTGCAGTGGCTGGTACCAATTTTTCCTTTCCATATTTAGTGCTTCCTTCAGGAGCTCTTGTGAGGCAGGCCTGGTGGTGAGAAAATCTCTTAGCATTTGCTTGTCTGTAAAGGATTTAATTTCTCCTTCACTTATGAAGCTTAGTTTGGCTGGATATGAATTCTGGGTCAAAAATTGTTTTCTTTAGGAATGTTGAATATTGGCCCCCACTCTTCTGGCTGGTAGGGTTTCTGCAGAGAGATCCGCTGTTAGTCTGATGGGCTTCCCTTTGTGGGTAATTTGACTTTTCTCCCTGGCTGCCGGTAACATGTTTTTTCTTTTTCAACCTTGGTGAATCTGACAGTTATGTGTCTTGGGGTTGCTATTCTCGAGGAGTATCTTTGTGGTATTATCTGTATTTCCTGAATCTGAATGTTGACCCTAGGGTGGGGAAGTTCTTGAGTGTTTTCCAACTTGGTTGCATTCTCCCCACCACTTTCAGGTACACCAATCAAACATGGGCTTGGTCTTTTCACATAGTCCCATATTTCTTGAAGGCCTTGTTCATTCCTTTTTATTCTTTTTTCTCTAATCTTGTCTTCACACTTCATTTCATTAAGTTAATCTTCAATCTCTGATATCATTGTTCCACTTGACTGATTCTGCTATCGATACTTGTATGTGCTTCACGAAGTTCTTGTGCTGTGTTTTTCACCTCCTTCAGGTCATTTATGTTCTTCTCTAAACTGCTTATTCTAGTTAGCAATTAGTCTAACCTTTTTTCAAGTTTCTTAACTTCTTTGCATTGGGTTAGAACATGCTCCTTTAGCTCAGAGTAGTGTGCTATTACCCACCTTCTGAAGCCTACTTCTGTCAATTTGTCAAACTCATACTCCATCCAGTTTTGTTCCCTTGCTGGCAAGGAGTTGTGAGCCTTTGGAGGAGAAGAGGCATTCTGGTTTTTGCAATTTTTATCCTTTTTGCCCTGTTTTTTCCTCATCTTCATGGATTTATCTGCCTTTGGTCTTTGATGTTGATGACCTTTGGATAAAGTTTTTTTTGTGGGCATCCTTTTCGTTGACGGTGATGCTATTCCTTTCTTTTTGTTAGTTTTCATTCTGAGAGTCAGGCCCCTCTGCTACATGTCTGCTGGAGTTTGCTGGAGGTCCACTCCAGACCCTGTTTGCCTGGGTATCACCAGTGGAGGCTGCAGAACAGCAAAGATCGCTGCCTGTTCTTTCCTCTAGAATCTTTGTCCCAGAGGGGCACCTGCCAAATGCCAGCCAGAGCTCTCCTGTATGAGATGTCTGTTGACTCCTGCTGGGAGGTGTCTCCCAGTCAGGAGGCACAGGGGTCAGGGACGCACTTGAGGAGTCAGTCTGTCCCTTAGCAGGGCTCAAGTGCTGTGCTGGGAGATCTGCTGCTCTCTTCAGAGCGGGGAAGCAGGAACGTTTAAGTCTGTTGAAGCTGTGCCCACAGCCACCCCTTCCCCCATGTGCTCTGTCTTGGGGAGATAGGAGTTTTATCTATAAGCCCCTGACTGGGGCTGCTGCCTTTCTTTCAGAGATGCTCTGCGCAGAGAGAAGGAATCTAGCAGGCAGTCTGGTTACAGAGGCTTTGTTGAGCTGCAGTGGGCTCTGCCCTGTTTGAACTTCCTGGTGGCTTTCTTCACACTGTGAGGGCAAAACTGCCTACTCAAGCCTCAGTAATGGTGGATGCCGCTCGCCCCACCAAGCTCGAGCATCCCAGGTCAGCTTCAGACTGCTGTGCTTACAGTGAGAATTTCAAGCCAGTGGATCTTAGCTTCCTGGGCTCCGTGGCAGGTGGAGGGACAGAGGGATTCTGCTGAACTAGACCACTTGGCTCCCTGCTTCAGCCCCCTTTCCATGGGAGTGTACAGTTCTGTCTTGCTGGCATTCCAGGCACCACTGGGGTACGAAAAATGACTCCCGCAGCTAGCTCGGTGGCTGCCCAAATAGCCGCCCAGTTTTGTGTTGAAACCCAGGACTCTGGTGGTGTAGGCACCTAAGGGAGTCCACTGGCCTGTGGGTTGGGAAGACCGTGGGAAAAGTGTAGTATCTGGGATGGAATGCACCGTTCCTCACGGCGCAGTCTCTCTTGTCTAGGGGAGGGGATTTCCCAACCCCTTGCATTTCCTGGGTGAGGCAATGCCCCCACGCTGTTTTGGCTCGCCCTCTGTGGGCTGATTCTATTCAATTTCAAGGGTGATCAGATATTGAGGGTAGGTTATTGACTAAACAAATTCAGCAGGATTCTTGTGAAAATTGGATTTATAACAACATCCCCCAAAATGGACTAGCCAGTCCCAATGAGATGAGCTGGGCACCTCAGTTGGAAATGCAGAAATCACCTGCCTTCTGTGTTGATCTCACTGGGAGCTGCTGAACAGAGCTGTTTGTATTCGGCTGTCTTGCCAGCCACCCAGAACATGAGTTTTTGAAGGTGAATCTGAGTTACAATACTTTTAATTCTTTTAAGTATGATCACATTACATTTTTTTTATTAACTCAGAATGCCTCATGGTTATATCTAATTTTCTGTAATAACATTAATTTTAAAAATGTAAATAAAAAAATAAAAAATTTAGAACCCAGATAAAAGGCAAACAATGTTTGCCCTGTTCTTTTATAGGTCAAATTTAAGGGAAGAACTTCAACTGACATAACAATGATCACATTGTGGAACACAGATGAGAATCAGAACTTAAATTATCAAGGAACCATTATTTGAATTATATATTTTACTTAGGGCTTTATTGTATCATAAATTTCCTATAGCAAAACATAAAAATCATTAGGATATGAAGAACTTATTGATATGACTGGATGTTAATTGTATGTGCTTGATATGAAAAAATGTGCAAATATTATACTCCTAGCTATATCTAAGAATTATCTCTGAATGGTATTGGATTTAAGTGTATACAAGTGCCTTCAAGGGATAATATTCTTATTTATCTATACAGTTTCTTCTGATCTTGCATAGTACTTTTATATGGTATTCACACAATTATGTCTATTTGTAAAGACTCAAAAAATATTTAGTGCCAAAGCAACTTGACAGGATTCTTGCTGAAGGCAAGTGTGGGTAATCAGATGCCTAGGGTGGGACTGGGATCCTATTCGATTTCAAGGGTGATCAGATATTGAGGGTGGGATATTGAATAACAAAATCAGCAGGATTCTTGTGAAAACTGGATTTATAACAACATCCCCCAAAATGGAGCCTACTTGAAAAATATCTCAGAGGGACCTGACTAAAGTTTGGTCAAGGAGAGAATCTTTGTCATTCCCTCCTCTTGTTCAAAAATAACAACAAAAACAAACAAACAAATGGACAAACAAAAGAGGCAATTTTCTTTCCTCTGAACATTAAGTCAATTTCTTGTGTTGTTGCCTTTTGTTCTTTTTTAATCAGCTGACCTATCTGTTAGGACTTGGTGACAATTGCTAATTTCTGTACAGTGCAACCTATGAGACTTTTAATGAGAGGGAAATCTATTAAGATAAACAGAATGACAAAGATTAGAATTTGGTCAGTCTATAAGCCAAGCTTTGAAGACCTTCAGGGATCCATCAGCAAAAGTCTCAGGGCCCACTGTCTTTTCTCAGTGTTGTCAGTGTGATGGCAGTGATGCCATGAATTTTTTTTCTTCTACCGTGCAAACCTTCTTAGTTATGGCAGTGATGTCAGATAGACGGCTGAGCATGGTAAAGACAGTAAAGGCAGTGAAGTCTTAGATTAATGTATGTTACTTTTCGATGTTCTGTATGATTTTCCCAATGAAATGTGATTACATCTCTGTCACTAGAGATGGTAGAGAAGGTACCCCAAGTAGGGAAGATTTGTTCTAGGGAATCTTTGGCAACTGATGTTGCTGAAGCATTTAGTCAGGGGAAAGTCTCCAATCATCTAGAAAATACACAGATTAGCTTGAGTACATATTGGTAGCATTGTGCTTTTAGCATTTGTCAGCCAAGGAAGGATCCTGGGTGTGCTGTTTCCCTGCCTTGCCTCACCTTTACATTTTTTCCAGGGTAGATGAGGAAAGTAATAATTCCTTGGTTCACATAAAAACTAAAGTGTCCAAACTACATTTGTTTAATATATTTTGTGTTTTGTTCTCTCCTGGATGAGTCATGTTTTCTAAATCACACACGATGGCTTGAGAGATAGACTTGGGAGTACCAAGCAGCTGTCTTGAGGTTTATAAAGTTCATGTGGAGATTATACATCTGACTTTTTCCTTTCCAGTCTTTCAGAGTCTGAACTCATTATTTGGTCCACGTGAATATCTTTTTACGATTTACTTAGAAGTCATGCTAAAGAAGTTATCTTCTTCAAGGAAGAATGCATAGTCCCATCAGTGTTCCAGGGCCATGGAGTGAGACCCTGGGGCGTAGTTGCATAGCTTGGAAATCGCTTGGATTTCTTGGATGGTTGGGGAAGGGGCTGTTAATTTATTGTATTTTTTTAGCTAATTTATTTCCCTGTGCCCCATCTGAGCTTTTTCTGTACTATGTCCCTAAGTTTTAATTATAGCAGTGTTCTGGGGATACAACAGTGCCTCTAGAAGTTCTGCTATTTGTGGCAAATATTTTTACTGGAGTACCAATTGCTGTCATTAATTCTCTCTGTTTCCATAACATCCTCAAATTATGAATTGCACCCAAAACATAACACTTATTAGTATATATGCTAACCTCCCTTATTTTCACTCTTTTGCCAACTCCAGTAAGAGAGATTAACTCAGTCACTTGGCAAAACTTGATGTTCTAGAGGTTTATGTTGATCAGTGACAGCATATTGAACCTAGAAGATCCTATCTCCCCTCTGGAGATAGGAACAATCCTGGAGATAGGAACCATCAACATAAATAGTGAGGTCAACTTGGACAAGGGTGTTTTCTGATAAATCTAGCCTAGGACAAGATAATTATCTACTGTTAACAATACAATCATGGGGTGTCTCATCAGTGGGCAAAGGAAGCAAGGTGGCAAGGTTAAGGTTTTGACAGAAATGTGTTGCGATATGAGGGGGTGAGAATAGCAAAATCACAAAGGATAAGTTGGGACTTAGGAAAATGTTGTGTGTTTTTATTAAGGAAGAGGGTCTGCATAGATGAAAAACCACATATGTCATGTAGATGATCTAATATTAAATCAGAGATAGCTTAGAAATATTTGGTGGTCGCAACCATATAGCTTGAAGGCAAGCGTATATGCCTTAGCTACTGGGTCTAAAGCCAAACTGTATCATCCCAGAGGTTTCTGGTGCCCATTATGCCTCTGGCATAACACTCTAGGGCTATGACCCTCTTGTAATGCACAAATAAGGACAAAAGCAAGGAGTGATTGTAAAGTCCAAGTGTAGAAAGTGAAAGTAGAAATCCCCTAAGGTCATGGAAAGCATCTTTGGATAAGTGTTCCCAGAGTACCAGATCTGCAGATGATTCTCTAGTTAAGGCATAGAAGGTGAAGGTGAGGCATTCACAGAGAAATTAAGAATCCACATTTTACCATATCCCACAAGACCCCAAAATTCTCTCAGTTGTTTGGTTTCAGGGAGAGAAAAATGCTGAAGAGTAGAGCCTCATCTAGAGATAGTTTTATCTGTGGCTGAAATATTATGACTCAGCTATTAAATATATTGTGAGCATATTTGAATTTCATCTCTAGCCCTCTTGTGCCCCTTTCTTGCTAATGCCTTAAGGAGGTATTCAGGGTTTAAAAGGCAGTTGTCATAACTGTCAGAACATAGAAGGAGACCATTTACATATTGGATTAAGGTAGTCTCCTGGGAATTTTATGTTTTCCAAATTGACATTTAGGGTGTCCGAAAAATGAAAAATATGTTGGTGTCTCAGCAGATCCTTAGGGTATAGCAGTCCAGGTACACTGTTGGTTTTCCCAGGTGCAGGCAAACAAGTTTTGGGATTTCTTATAAAAGGGGATACTAAAAATGGCAGAACGCAAATCAATGGCCATGAAAAATTGGGTATTGGAAGTGATAGCAGACAGGATAGTATTAAGAACTAAGGGAAAAAATCTAGATTTGACAATTTTATCGATATATCTCAGATCTTAATGGCCAAAAATTGTGATTATTATGTGACTAGAAACATAACGGCCAAAAATTTTGAGTACTACATGACTAGAAATAAAGACAAGAAATTTTTGGTCAAATAACATGGATTATCAGGCAGAGTTCCTCGAGTCCTGCTGGATTTAAATGATCTTGGGAAATCCTGCGGCAGGGTATGAGAGAATTTATTTCTACCTTAAGCATTTCTGCAGCTCAAATGCATCCAGTATTGGTAAAGGAGAAGAAATTCTGTCTAACAGTTCATTTAAATCATTAAATAGGTGTTAGATTGAAGGGGGCAAAGGAACTTAGGGAGGATGGACAAAGCTGTTAGAGGATATAGACATGAAAGGAAGTAGCTGGGGACCTGCAGAAGGAGTTCTTCCAGGGCACAAAAAAATTTATACCCAAATTCATGATAAGACTGAATCCTAACAAATGTACCGGGGTAGTAGAGCTGAGAAGGAATTTATGTAGAACTTTAAAAGATCCCATAGAAATATTAAGAGTTTGAAACAGAGGTAAATCATGAGGCGAATTATAAAAACTCACAACTAGTTAAATATGATGATTCCAAGAAAGTAGGGGAAATAAAACGAAGCAGTGTTAAGGGTAAATTGTGCTGCCCTGGTAATGAGAAACATGTTGGAGTGCCCTTCAATGAATAGATATTTTTCCCCCTTGTGAGTTTAGTGATAGTTGAGGGCATTGGTTATTTACCTCCCCAGAGCAGAGTTAATAATTTTATGATGAGGAGGAGGCTCAGGCTGCCACCCTCCTCTTGTTGTCCTGGCAAATATTTTCATTAAAATTTTGGCAAGTGTCCTAATTAATGAAAGCCTGATATTTTGGGGTTGCCATAGATTAAATTTCTTATGTTTTTTTTTCTAACTGTTTCAATTATAATGTTACAAGTTTGGATAGTGTGCTTTTAAATTTTTTTGGAAAATACTGTCTTGATACAATTAGGCTAATGTTTGGTACTTAGACATGTTTGCATTTTGCTAGTTAAGATTATTTAAGAGCATTGACCTGAGGCCATTTGCAAAACTTGTGACCACAGCAGAATCTTGTTAAGGCAGTTTCAGCCCTGAATACTCTTTTCATGTTGTCTCTAATTGATGGTGAAAGTTTCATCCCTCTGTTATTTACCATTTTAAATACATGACCAAGCATCTTTGACTAGATAAATTTGAGGAATGGTTCCTAGCAGTTATTCTCTTCCCTTAGTTTCTGATGGGAATCATGGGTGGTTTGAAACTCTTGAAAGTTTTCAGGAATGGTGGTCCATTTGGGTTTTTCAAACCAACCTATACCCCAAACGGGGTATTCAAACCCCAATGGGTTTTCCAGGCCTATCTAATAAGAGGATAAATTGATATAAATTTCCTTAGCTTTCTTATAGAGTCCAATGGGAGAGCAAGTTTTTCCATTTGAAACACTTTTGTCTATATGGCTTTATTTTTATCTGAAGTGACAAAAATGGAAATAATTTAATAGATTTAAATAATAAAATTGCGCTATTGTTACATAGAAAGATGTCACTGTCAAAAAGACCAAACTAGAAAACTTGGCAGGGGCATAAGAAATAATCAAGTACTTCAAGTAATTCCACTGTGAGGTGATATTTATAGATGTAGGACAACACTTCTTACTGTATGAACTATTGGATTCCTGGAGATTCAAGAGACACACCCCAGGGGACGGTGAAGTGAAAGCAATTTTTATCATAATTGAATCAGTTATTTTTTATTGCTGCCATAAGAAAATACTACAAATTTAGTAGCTTAAGACAGCATGAATATATTATCTAACAGTTCTGTAGATCAGAAGTCTGACACAGGTCTCACCATACTAAAATCAAAAAGATCAGCAGGTCTGTGATCCTTTCTAGAAGTGCTGGGAGAAAACATGCGACCTTCTTCATTCAAGTTATGCACAAATCTAAGGAAGCTTAAACTATCTTGGATTGTGTTGCTTGCATACTACTCAATTACTAAACATGTCAGCATTCATTAAATTAATAAATATCTAAATGTCCTGCCAATAGTGAAGATAAAACATAGGCTCAGAAACATACTTTTCAGTTCCAGGAAAGCCTACTTTAGTTTAGATGTCTTGACATCAGAAAAAAATCAATCTTATCAACAAACTATAAACCATTAGACTTTTATTATATTTAAGTTTTTTCTAATACCATATGGATGGATATACTGTTGAAAAGTTGTAACAATAATTCTGAAAAATGATTGTATTTATGACTGCAGAGAAATAAACAAAAATTGATATTTTTCTTGGAAAAATTAATTTCCAATTAATATAGATTTTTTATTTCAGTATATAAGGATTTCTTTAAAGCAAAAGACAACAGACCCACAACAAATAAGCTGTTATCAATTCATTAATGGCTTTCCAAAACATGGTATTAAGAATATACAAAAATAAATCTATATTTAGATAAAATATTTAGCATTGAACCACACAAAATATATTCCTCAAAATTAAAACTGACAGCCTTGCTCATATATTCTTTTGTAAGAAAAATGTAAATATCATAGACAAATAGACTGAATATTTAAAAGGCAGTAGGGTTACCCATGAAGCTAATGACATAGCTACAAAGCATCTTAAAACTTTATACTCATCCTACTGAACAATCTTCTAGGTCTTTGCTGAGTTCTTTCTCATTCTTCAGGATTCAGTTAAAGTGTCACATTCTCAAGGAGCCTTTTCCTAATAACCTCTGGCCCCTGTAGCAATCCTTATCTGCATATGATCCCTTATTGCATTATGTAATTACTTGTTTAGTCTTAGCATCTCCACTTTGATAAAAACGGTTTTCTCTTCCTTCTTCAGCATTATTTTCCAGTGCCTAGAACTGTCTCTGGCAGGTAGGAAGTACTATACAAATACTTGTTGAAAGAATGAATGGATAGACAATGTTAAGCTCACTTAGAAAACCTGAGGCCAGGTTTCAGGCGTGCCTAATATAGTAGAGGGGCTTACAGTGGGGTTAGGGAAGTGTGAAGTAGCAGCCTACGAAGAAGACTACTACAGACAATTAGAAGTAGTATCCAGTCCAATAAAAGCAAAATGACATAAAAACAACGACAACAACAACAACAGAAACCTCTAAAACATTTTCAAACATAGAGTAAAAACCATATATGATAAAGCTCTATATTTACTTGAGAGCTATTAAAAGTCAGTGTAGTAAGAGTTCCACAAAGGTGCACTTTTTGTGCCAACCACAGAAATTTGAACAGAGCCCATGTAGGCTGCTGGGCTATACAATCACTTGAGTGCACCTTGGCCAAACATATTGGAGAAAATTGGAGGCACAAAAGCAACCTCTTGAACTCAAAATTAACAAATGAGCTGACAGGAGAAGAAATGGGAAGAATTTTAATTTGTTAATTCCTGCTATATTACCAGCATCTTACTAGGGAATGAGTGCTTGCCCCATCTTGTAAAACAATATGAAATCACCATTTTACAGATAAGGACCCTGTAGGTCATCATTAAGTAACTTGCCAAAGTACCCAGTTAGCAAAATAAAAATTAGAGTATGAAGCCAGAACTTGTCAGCTACACAGTCCATTCTGTTTCTACCATAGCATGTTAACAAGAAACCTTTCTGATACTTGAGAAATTTAAAGTGACATTCATTCACTCAGTATTGCAGAGAAGAAATTTCATCTTATTCCAGGTACAGGTGATTGTATAATCATCTTACCTAGCATCAAGCAATTTTGTGCCAAATAATAAAATAACTAATTAATAAAATAGAAATTTGAACATAGTGCAAGTCTACACTAATTTATGGCTTAAAACATGTTTAACCTATTGAGAAGGTATTCTTGAGCATCTCATTGAGAAAATATTAGCTGATTTGCAAATGATTGTGTTGACATCAGTGATAAAAAGAGGGTCAACAGCAGTCAGTTTTACACTCCAGAGGCAGTATCAGAAGAAGAGATGAGGCTGGGTGCAGTGGCTCATGCCTGTAATTCCAACACTTTTGGGAAGCCGAGGTGGGTGGATCGCTTGAGTCCAGGTGTTTGAGACTAGCCTGAACAACATGGCGAAACCCTGCCTCTACAAAAAATTAAAATAATTAGCTGGGCATCGTGGCACACACCTGTAGACTCAGCACATGTTTTTCCTCTCAATAAATGTTTCATCTGCACTGATTTACCTCCTCAGGGTCAGCTCTCTTATGGTTGTGAGTGCTGTTTGAGGACATGGATGAGGGTGACTTGGGCTTTATTAGTGAAAGCACATGCTGTCAATGTGGATCTGCAGTTAGTTTGTCTCCCCAATATTCTAGTGATGTGAAGAACACAATATTGCCATAATCAATGAGTTTCTTCAGTGACATTTCAATAAAACGTCATAGCTAGGAGGAAAAAGCTAAGCCAATGGTTCTTGATCTATTTATAATATAACATTTTCAAACATAATTATATTTTCATCCCCAATACACACAACAAATCAGAATGGAATTTTTTTTTATTGGTGTTAGTGATGTCAGGGGACATGAGGCCAGCATTTGTGTCCTTCATCTGACACCTCAATGGCTCCTAAGGACCTGTAAATATAACAAGATGAATGCTAGTTTAATTAAATCTTCCAGTTTACACAAGGAAATTCTGAGATCCAGAGAGATTAAGTTCCTTGTCCAGGGCCACACAGATGATTGGTATTGAGCTGGGGTCCTGGCCACATGGTCTTTCTCTGGCAATGGTTTCCCATCCTCAAATCCAGAGCTCCCTGTCAGAACTTTCTCCTGTAGACTTGGTTTCCATTTCCATTTCCACCAATTACAGGAGTAATTCTGAACTCCTGAGTAAATGCAGAAAGTTTAAGGAATGCAGAGGCCTTAACTGCAGTTTTAACAGTGTATTAGTTAGGGTGCTTCAGAGACAGAACTAATAGGATGTATGTATATACGAAAGGGAGTTTATAAAGGATAATTGGCTCACATGATCACAAAGCAAAGTCCAATGATAGTCTGTCTGCAAGCTGAGGGAGAAATAAACCAGTAGTGACTCAGTCAGAGTCCCAAAGCCTCAAA
The DNA here is from genome assembly GCF_000001405.40 of Homo sapiens. Lineage (NCBI taxonomy): Eukaryota > Metazoa > Chordata > Mammalia > Primates > Hominidae > Homo > Homo sapiens. The sequence goes on from NC_000009.12 coordinate 11,495,057, forward strand.
AGCAGAGAAGCTAACAGTGCAGCCTTCAGTCTGTGGTCAAAGGCCAGAAAGCCCCCAGCAAATCACTGCTGTAAGTCCAAGAGTCCAAAGGCTGAAGAAACTGGAGTCTGATGTCCAAGGGCAGGAGGAATGAATGGAAGCATCCAGTACAGAGGGAAGATGAAAGCCAGAAGACTCAAGTCACCTTATGTCACTTCTTCTGCCTACTTTGTTCTAGCCACTCTGGCAGCCAGTCGGATGGTGCCCACCCACATTGAGGGTAGGTATTCCTCTTTGAGTTCACTGACTCAAACTTAACCTCCTCTGGCAACACCCTCACAAACACACCAAGAAACCTACTATACCACCTATGTAGGCATACTTCAATCCAATCAAGTTGACACCTAATATTGATCACCACAAACAGCCATAATTTGCCATTCTTATCACAAACACACTGAATTCAGAAGTGATTTTCTTCAAACCTTTAATACAGGCTCAGATCCATAAATTCCTTTCTGTTGTTATTTAAATATTTCAGGGGTGTGTGTGTTGTCTCCAAAACCAGTGAGCCAGTGAGAATGCCCCTAGAGGACAGGAACACATATTAGAGTCATATGAAGAAAAACAAAGGGAAACAATTATATCTGGGTCATTGCTTACCTAATTACTTTTGAGGGCAAGATAATTACAGAGTAAGGAACTTTCATTGTCTGTCAGCAAACCTGTAGACCTATCCCATAAAAAAGATGGCTGCTTAGGTTTTGCTATGTTTTTATTCCAAAGGAATTTTCTTGAAATAGAGTTGCTTTCTGTTATTTTTGTATGTTATTGCCATATCTGTGATCTTTACTTTTCCTCTATTGTTTGCTTGTGAAAGCTGTAGTTATAGATAGTTGTAATCTCTTTTAAGTAGATATTAATATATATTCTAATATTTATTTTGTTTACTACATTAAACACATTTTGCTGACTTCCAGATAAATATAGGAATATGTATACTTGACTTCCTAGAAGATCACTTCATATCAGAATCAACAAGCACAAACCTCTGTATTTTGGGGGAAAATATAAGGCTTCTGATGTTCACATTTTGTGTAAGCAATTTTGAGGATTTGTCATCATTTTTGCTCCTTAACACTTAGTCACAATATTATGTGTAGTACGGTATTTCGATACAATTGCAATCAGTACTTTATACATGCATGCAAATATCAGCTATTACAAGACAATACAAATGATTTCTACTTTGTTTATTCGTGTGCATGATCTTGAACTATTATTGCCAGGGAAACAAAATATTTGTTACCTGTTGGAAAAAGTTACAAGTGATTGAGTCCTTTGACTTCAATGGTTGGTAGAACAGAAACAAATTAACTGTGCAGGAGACACAAAGATAATGTTTAAGTTTACTTTTACAGAGAGAAAGGGATCTTTTGGAATTTGATATTTTTGACATACAATTTCCCTTTTGTTTTTCCTTCATTATTAATAGTGGTGCTATGAATAACAGAGTATCTGAGTTTAAGAAATTAAAGGACTGGGGAAATTTCCTGAAATTTTTGCTTTGGGTGTAAAATTTAAGTAGCTGTCATTGGCTAAGTCTTGAAAGAATACCAAAAATCTATGAAGGGGAGAGCATACAAGATTGACATAAATTTCAAATACAGTGCTGGAAGACTGATTTAATACCAGCATGAAGAAGCTTTAAACTGTGGTGAATTTCATTTTGGCATTAAGGATTGGAATAGTATATGGGAATGTTTTCCAATCCCTTATACCTCTGATGATTCAGAGAAAAAAAGAGCCTACACATTTATGCATCACAGAATTGAGAAAACTAAGTGAAACTATCGCGTGTGTGTGTGTGTATATATACATATACATCATATAAACTAACAACTGATACAGATAAAAGACAAATAAGATAAGTAATAAAATACTTTGAGATAATCGTGTTGCATATCAACAAACATTTTAAGTTACTTTGTGGGAAACATCTTTATTACATTTTAAATTGGAGCAAATGCTGTTGACAGTAATATAAGAAAGAAACTATCAGTGGCAGATCTAAATTACCTCTGAGGCTTTGGGTTTTTATAGTTCTAATTTATATGATTCTGCTGGTCTACAGAAATTATTTTTATAACATATACATTCTCCATAGTTAAAAATCCTGACTAGAAACATTTATCATCTTAAATATGGCTAAAAAATTCTGATCTTAAGGGATACTAGGGACAATTTATCACCTTGAAAATGGATAAAAATTTTTCTAATCTTAAGGGATCTCACCTCATAATGTAAAGGCAACAGCTAGATTTATGGAGTTAAAATATTGTTTAGTTTAGCTCAGAAGTGTTTACGTATACACATTGTAGTAGTAGCTGTAGCTAATTGTATAATAGGCTTACGACCCTAATATTTATTTCAAATTTAGCTTTATTTGGTTGGTATTCTTCTGGTTTTGTGTTTGTATATGAGAATTAACTCTTCAAACATCCAAAAATAGCCTTCTTTCTTTTAAATTAAAACATTTAAAAAGAGGTTTACATAAATAGACTGTTGGCAGAAAGAGTCAAACCCTGTAAAATATTTGAAGAGATTTATTCTGTGTCAAATATGAGTGACTGTGGCCCGTGACACAGCCCTCATGAGATCCTCAGAACATGTGCCCAAGGTGATTGTGGTGCAGCTTGCTTTTATATGTTTTAGGAAGACTTGAGACTTCAATAGAATACATTTAAGAAATACATTGGTAAGGTCCAGAAAGGTGAGACAACTTGAAAAGGATGGGGAGGGGTGTTTGGGGGTCGGGTGGGGTGGCGTGGGGTGGCTTCCAGGTTACAGATAGATTTAAAAATTTTTTGGTGGACAATTGGTTGAGTTTATCTAAAGACCTGGGATCAATAGAAAGGAAATGCCTGGGTTGCCATAAGAGGTTGTGGAAACCAAAGTTTTATGCAGATGAAGCCTTCAGGTTTTAGGCTTCAGAAAGAATAGATTGTAAATGTTTCTTATCAGACTTAAGATCTGTGTTGATGTTAATGCCTGAGAGGTAGAATGAAGCATGTCCGACCCCTACTTCCCATCATGGCCTGAACCAGTCTTTCCAGTTAAAGCACCCTGGCTGAGGAGGAAGTCCATTTAGATGGTTGGGGAGCATTAGAATTTTATTTTTAGTTTATAATAAGAAACAAAAATTAGGGCTTAGTTGCAAAACTGATCTTTTTTTTTTTTAATTTTGAGATGGGGTCTCCCTCTGTTTCCCAGGCTGACTTCGAATACCACCTTAAGTGATCCTTCAGCCCCAGCCTCCCAAGTAGCTGGGATTAGAGTCACATTAAACTCATGTTTTAAGCCTGAATTGGGTCCCCATAAAATTCATATGTTGAAGTCTTAACCTTAGAATGTGACTATATTTGGGGATAGGTCCTTTAGATGTAATTGAGGTAAAATAAGTTCAGATAAGTGGGTCCTAATCCAATTATGACTGTGGTCCTTATAAGAAAAGAAGAGTTGGGAGTCCCAGGCGGGTGTATCACCTGAGGTCAGGAGTTTGAGACCAGCTTGACCAAAATGGTGAAACCTTATCTCTACTAAAAATACAAAAAATTGGCCAGGCGTGGTGGCAGGTGCCTATAATCCCAGCTGCTTGGAGGCTGAGGCAGGCAAATCCCTTGAACCTGGGAGGCAGATGTTGCAGTGAGCTGAGGTCACGCCATTGCACTTCAGCCTGGGCCATGAGAGCAAAACTCCGTCTAAAAAAAGCAAAGAAAGTAAAGAAGAGTAGGGCACAGACACAAACCAAAGGAAGACCATGTGAGGAGGTCACAGATTGAGAAGGCAGCAAACCAAGGAGAGAGGCCTCAGAAGAAACCACATTTGCCAACAACTTCATCTTGAAACTCAAGCTTCCAGGACTGTGAGAATATAAATTTATATTGTTTAAGCTACCCAGTCTATAGCATTGATAGGAAGAGGAGGCAAGAAATTCTGGGCAGAAGAGGACAGGTCCTTGGTGAGGACCAAAGTGAGAACTTACATCCCTGTTTTCCCGCTTGACTACTGCCTTTTCTAAAACCACCCATGCCCACCCTGCCTCCGATCCTGTGCCCATTAGAAACCTCAGGCTTAACCAGCAGAGAGAGGAGAGGCAGCTGAACATCAGAGGCTAGGGTTAGATGTGAGAGAGAAGTGGCTTGACTTCAGAGGGACAGCTTGACAGCATAGCTTTGGAGAGGAGTGCAGTCATCCCTACAAGATTATCTTCCTGCTCCATCCCTTTTCAGTTCCCCTTCCCACTGACAGCCACTATCACTGGCAATAAAATCCTCCACATTTACTATCTTCAATTCATTCATGCGACATTGTTCCTCCTGGTCGCCGGACAGGTACTCATGTGCCACAAGTGTGGATTCAAATGCTGTCACACTGACTCTTCACTGAGCTATTAACACTTAAGCCATCTGCAGATGGCAAAGCTAAAACGGCACTGCAACACTTCCTCTGGGGCTTCAGGGATCATGGCCATCCTGCCCTAGACATTGCCACAGGACCGGTACGGAATTTACTCTTGCCAGCACCCAAAAGTGCTCGCCCTGGCTCCTGCACCCACTCACCTGTGCTCCCCCTCCCACAATGGGTGGAGCAGCAAGTGAGTGGAGTTCACCCATGTCAGTGCCCATGCACTCCAGTTCCTGCCTGCGAAGAGGGTCAGGGAAATATCCTGCTTCAGTATTTTGTTATGGCAGCCTTTGCAAAGTAATTCAAATACTAAAGACAAAAGGTAAGCATGTTAGGCGCTTTTACAATTATTTCTTGTTTTTTAACACCATTCTTAACCTTCATTCCCACAAAAAAAAAATGCTAAAAATAACTTTAGCATAAGCTTTAGATAAGATGAAGAAAACTGGATGGTATCCTTCCTGCAAACTTACTACACAAATGCAAAATCACAATTTTTCTTGAATTTTTCATAGTTGAAGTCTCACAGCAATCAACTAAGTTGAAATATTCACAGATCCAGGCACCCACATGAAAGAATGTGGCGCAAGCAATTGAAACTGCATTTGCAAAAATTATATCAGTAAGAAAATGATGGCATTTGGGGAGATCTGATCTAGCCAAAACCTCTCCTGCTTTTAGCCTTCAAGCTGTCTTAATTACTCCTAGGCATAGCTAACTTTAGTAGACATTTAGTTTATCCTTTGAATGTTAATAGCCCTTCACCCAAACTCAACTGCCTTTGTAAAGCTACTGAGAGACCACCAGGCTAGGGAGAAGAGAGAAGCCTGAATTCTTCAAAGTATAGACATAAAAGATTGCCAGCCATTTATTTTGAAGGTCACAAGACATGCAACTTCCCCAATTACTTCTGCAGATAACATCACTGTTATAGAACCTAAGGTTGGCCTTTTGAGATATCTTTCTGAAATGGGAAAAGTTCCCTTGTCCCCCTAGCAGGCTGTGCAATGGGGGTGTGACTCGCTTCTTCAGTGCCCTGCTGCTCAAACCTCTAGGGGAGCATACAGATGGGCAGGCTGTGGGGCTCTGACCCCACTGCAGTGTTTAGCGGGTGAATGTTTACAGCTGAAGCCCCCGTGGGCATGTGTTACAGAGTGCTGTTTTCGTTTAGCTGTCCATAGGCGGCTTGTGTTAGTCAGCTCAATTAGACCCCTGACTTATCACAAGGACAGGGGGCTTTCTGTATCCTGGGGTTCTCGCCTTGGTGTACTGGAAGAATCGGATCACACGTGGGCTTGGAGAATGAGTGCAAGGTTTTATTGAGTAGAAGTAGCTCTCAGTAGATGAGGAAGCCAGAAGGGAGACTGGTTTTCCCCTGGAGTTGGGCCACTCAGTGTTCCAGGCTCTCCTCCAATTGCCCCAGCCAAACTCTGCGTTGTTCTGCCGGTCAGTGGCCTCCCCGCTGCCGGTGCCTGTTGGTGCATTCCTCTCCATGTCCAGCAACCCGTGTGTTCCTCCACTGATGTGCTCCTCTCGATGTCCAGCCACCTGTGTGCCTACCTGTTAGGGTCCTGAGGTTTTCATATGCACAGGATGGGGGCATGGCAGGCCAGGACAGAAATGCAACATTTGGGCAGGAAAACAAAAATGCCTGTCCTCACCTAGGTCCGTGAGCACAGGGCCGGGGGTGGAGCCCTAGCCAGGGACCATGCCATTCCCCCCTTCCGAATCATTTTCAGGTTTTTTGCACTTCTGACACCCATGGCTCCACATGGACCCACCAGCCCATGGCTCCTGTACCCACCCCAAAGTGACTCAGCACAAGAGAACAGCTTCCACTGCCTATGATTTTATCTCCAGCCCAATTGGTCAACAGCAAGCACCCACTGTTGCCACACTACTACTTCCCGCAAACTACCTTTGAAAAACTCCTAACTTATGAGCCCTTGATGATACTTGATTTGAGTAATAACTCCATCTCTGGCATGGCATGGGTGGCCTTTTATCAATTAAACTCTCTTTACTGCAGTTTCCTGAACTGACTTTTTTTTGTGCAGCAGGCAGTAAGAAAACCCAGTTACACAATTGCTTTTCTAAGAGAGAGACCAGACCTCTTGTAAACCATAATTTTGTTACAAATTTTAGCAAATGGCCAAAGGCCTGGTTTGAGGGGATTACAGAACCGGTTGTAGCACCAGACATGGAGAATTCAAAACTGCTTTCAGTCTTTTTTCCTCTTTTTCTCATTAAGCACATGCAAGCAGGATTGGCAACAGAGGAGTGGGGAGACAGGGAAAACCCTGTCTTGTGCTGGAGGCCTGGAGGGGAGGGAAAGAAGGAAACAATGAAGAAAAGACAAAACAGAGGCAAAGGGGGGCAATAATCCCTAAAAGATAGGAAAAACAAACAAACAAACAAACAAACAAACAAAAAAACAAAATAAAACAGCTGGGCTCTGGATTACCTTGGGTGAGCTTCTAGCCTACAGTGTAGGGAGAGGGAGAGGAAACTTAGGCAGAGCCCAGACAACTGTTTGATTTGAGGAGATGGAGCTAAGAATATGGGAAGATAAAAGTGGCTAGAGTTTGTAGAACAGAATATCATAGAGCAAAGAGCTGCACAGAGAAAGAACTACAGAGATCTGTAGACTCCACCTAGAATATTTAGCAAAATGATTATGAGCACATGCATGTAAGAAAATTACTTGAGAATAGGAAGAGAAACACCCGAAGTCATACAAGAGAATAATGCCTGGCACTCACTCAGAGCCAGGAGTAGTACCTCTTCCCATCAAACAGATTGAAAAACTCAGGACAACTGGGTCATTAGATAAGATACAGTAATCAGAATGGTTTTGCCTCAGAAATGTAGAATACCTAACGATAGACTAAATACTGCTTTAATAATGCCTAACAGTTGTTAACAACAAAAACTGAAATGATCACACTGTTTCTACATAGCCTGTGTGATTCAAAACAAATGTCAAAAACAATTTATAAGAGTATAAACATATTCATCACTCACCAAGGTGAAATTCACAATGTAGATATCAAGTTAAAAATTATCAGGCGTGCAAAGAAGCAGAGAAATATGACCTGTTAAGAAAGAAATATTAATCCATCAAAATCCAATTAAAGCATTTATTGGAATTACCAATAATGTTAAATTGTTATTATAACTGCATTCAATATATTTAAAATTTTAAGAAGAACATATAACAGAAGAAAATGATTAATCAATTCCAAAATTTTCTAGCCATTATTTTGTCAAATATTTGCTCTTTAATCACATCTCTCTATTCTTTTCTTGGGACTTCACTAACACTTATATGTAGCCACCTGAGGTCACATAGCTCAGGTATATTATTGTTTGTGTGTTTTATTTTGGAAAGTTCCTATTGCTATTATTGAGTTTACTAGCTTTTTTCCTTTGTAATATCTACTGTGCCTTTAATCTCATCCAATGTGCCTATTTAGCTTTTATCTCTAAATTTAGATGTCATTTTTTAATGGAGTTTGTCTTCATCTACTTAAATTTTTAACATATTAAAGTTATTACAATTGTTTAATGTATTTGATAATTTAAAGATATCAGAAATTTCCCACATATCTGTAAATAAAACAACACCTTTTATACAATGTATTGGGCCAAAATAGAAGCCTCCAAATTTTGGAAAATACGGTGAATTGAATAAAAATGAATACTACAGATATTGAAGTTTGAGGCAAGTAGTTAAAGCAGTGCTTTCTGGAGTTTTAAGGCATGAGTGTTTTAAGCTTTCATACTAGGAACTACAAACAAACAAAATAAAAAACTAATTACAACTAATTGCTCTCCTTCCCCTGCAAAAATCAAAGGAAGTTAAACATAAAAACAAAATCAATGGGATTGAGAACAGAAAAACAATAGAGAAAATAGTGAAAATGTATGATTATTTATAAAAATCTATTAAAAGAAAATTATCAAGTTAGATTGACCAGGAAAAAGAAGTGAGTCATAGTGTACACACAAATTGCAAATATCAGGAAAGAAAGGGGGAACATTGCTACATACCATGAAAGTATTTAAATACTAATAGGGGAAAATTGCAAAGAATTTTTTTTAAATGGTACACTTTTTAAACGGTACACTTTTTTTAAACGGTACACTCAAGAGGAAACAGATAACATGAATAGTCATGAATCAAGTCCTGGATAAGAAATAGTCTTAGATTAAGAAAATTAAATTTGTGAGAAAAATATTCAGGAGAAAAAATGTTCTATTGGTTCAGAAGATTTCTGCAAATTTTACCCAACATTTAGGAGAAATACTGAGGATGATTTCAGCAATGGTAGAGTAAAAACCTTCAAAAACCTGCTGTTCTGTAAAAACACAGGAAACTGGCAAAATTGCCAAAATTAATGTTTAAGAGAAATATATATCTAAGAAAAATGGCTGAATTTTGGTAAGAATGGTGAGATTCATGGCATTTAAATTTTCCCTATTTCATCCCCCAATAATGTAATCACCAGATGGGTTCTTCATGCCCACTGCACAATGACCACAGCATTGCCGTAAAGAAACAGTTTAATTGACATGAGGCCGGTCAAGCTACACAGGAGACAGAGTTAGTACTCAAATCCATCTTATTGTAGGCTAACAGGATAGGGGCTTTTCAAAGGTTGTTTGGGGGAATGGGTGGATGTGACTAGCCAATGGGTGCTTGCTGCTGATTAGTTATGTTGGAGAGGAAATCATAGGAAGTGGAAGCTGTTCTCTTGTGCTGAGTCACTTCGGGGTGGGGCACAAGAGCCATGGTTTGGTGGGTCTATATGGATCCATGGGTGTCAGACATGCAAAAAATGAAAAGATATCTCAAAAGGCCAATCTTAAGTTCTACAATAGTGATGTATCTGCAGAAGTAATTCGGAAATTTGCATATATTTTGACCTCCAGAATAATGGCTGGCAACTGTTTATGTCTACATCATAGCAGAACTCAGGCTTCTCTCCTCCTTCTAGTCTAATGGTCTCCCATTAACTTTATAAATGGGGGTTGAGCTTCGGGGAAGGGCCATTATCATTTAAACTATAAACTAAATGCTCCCACAGCTAGCCCAGCCTAAGCCCAAGAATAATTAAAGCAGGTTGAAGGCTAAAGACACAACGAGTAATGCTAGGTCAGATCTCCCCCATAGCTGTAATTTTCCCACCGCTGTACTTTTTGCAAAGGCGGTTTCAAAAACGAACAGCTTCACCATCATTGTAGCCATAAAAACTAGAAAAGTAGCAGGAACCAGAGGGGAATAATGTGTTTCAATCTCCCCCAAAAGTTACCAAACCCAAAAATATTCATTATTTGACCTGTCTTGCAGCTTTATGGAAAAAAGCCCAGGCATGGGTTTGACCTGACTCAGAGCTTACTCAATATGAACAGCCTTTGCCTAAAACCCTTATCAGAAACAATCAGAGCCAATCATTTATGCCACTCATTTATTATTGCATCTGTTTGAGACAACGGTAACAGTTTGGGCAAACAAGAACCTGACCAAAATATTGAAAGAAAAGCTGAGCTAAACCAGCTAAAACATGTAGAGATTCCTGACACGGAGAAAGTATAAACTAATAATTGCTTTAAGCCACTAAATTTTGAGTAATTTTAAAAAATGTAGCAGTAGATAACTAAGAGGGATCACATGGCTAGAATTTGAGGAAATATCATCTTAAAATAATGCAGTCTAGCTTCATTTCTGATAAACAGTCTTTTGTCACTATGCTCAAAGTTGACCTTTTATAATTTTATGAACTATACAACTTCTAAAAAGAAACACATGAGAAAATCTTTGTGACTTCTAAATGGAAATCCATAAAAGAAGTTTTGTGACTTCTACGGATATGACACAAGAGCACAAGAGCTTCGGTTTTCCAAAAAATATTGTTAAGAGAATAAAAAGAATTCACAAATTACGCGACAATGTGTGCCAGTCTCACATCTGATAAAATATTTATAATTAGTATATATAGTTTACTTCCAAAACACAGTAATTGGAAAAAAAATTCCATTTTTAGAATAGGAAACAATTCATAAAAAGAGAGATGCAAATTAAAAGTACAATGAAGTACCACTATAAACTATTAAAAGGAATAATTTTTAAAATTAACAATTTCTGATAAGGCTGCTGAGCAATGGGACTCTCATATTATCCAGTGAGAGTGCAAAATAGAATATCACTTTGAAAAATAGTTTTTCAGTGTCTTATAAATTTAAACATACACTTGCCACGTGAACCTGTAATCTCTCACCTAGGTATTTGCCAAGTGAAATAACAAACTTTGTTTTTACAAAAACCCTTATGCAAATGCTTATCACAGTTTTATTTAAAGAAAACGTTGAAGCGTTTCAGTGGTTTCAAATGGGGAAAGGATAAACAAAATGTGCATGTAAATGAAGAAATGCTATCTAATAATACAAAGGTACACACTACTGATAAATATTAACGGGGATAAATCTCTGGCTTTAGTTCATACACCTCAGAAACATGACATAATCATATATTCAACCACTATACAAACTAGTGTTTTTAGTACCATGCACCGGGAATACCTTCACTTCCTTTCATCCTCTAGAGCAGAACTGCTCCACATGCCAAGCAAGTCTTATTTTTGGTCCCTGACTCCCAAGGTTACCTTTTCCAAGGATGCTAATAGAGTGTGGTAATGAAGCACTCTAGTTTTGTAGTTCAACTATTCAACCATGGCAGAAGTCTCTAACTCATTTATTTAAAAAATGTGAATTTAATGATAGCTTCTAGTCTTCCTTTTAGAATCAAATGAAATAATATATCAAAAGCACTTAGCACAGTTTTTGGTCCAGTTTAAATGGTAACTATTCTTATTATAATTAATAATCACATGCTGCATTTATCCATATAAAATTTCCTGATATAAATAGTTCACAAAAAGGCAAAAATAAGCACTTCAGATAAAGATAGCTATTAATGAAATCTATCCTGTCATCTCTATATGAATATATAAGTGTATCAATATATAAATATATGAATCAATAACATTCAAGATATTATCTCAAGAGTATGCACATTACACATGGAGGTTGAACTGCAGCTTCTCAGAAGAGCTTATTATTAAGTGCCTCAGTTTTCGTAATATCTAACGGATAATGCAGGTGATTCTTGGGTATATCACCCTAGGACAGTAAGAGAAAATGATTATATATATATAGAGAGATAGATATAGATATAGATAGATAGATAGATATTAGAAACAGTTACAAGCTAAACACAAATCAAACTAAAACAATAACTTTTATCACATCCTTAATGTGATGAATAGCTAGTGAAAACTAAATTATAAATTGTGAGTTAGCTGTACAAATGTGTTTTGTGTTTTGTATTTATATTTAACTTGTCATTGGTTTAAATTTTTTTATTTTTGAGCATAATGGGTCACTATTGATGTTACTGTCCTTATATTTCTTCTTTTTTTCTTTAATAGAAATGGGGTATCATCATGTTGCCCAGGCTGGTTTCAAACTCCTGGACTTAATCCTTCTGTCTCAGCCTACCAATGTGCTGGGATTACAGGCATAAGCCACTGCATTCGGCCCAATACAATTATATAGCCTTTATAATTGCTTTTTAGTCTCCTTTTTAAAAAAATATTATTCAATATATTCAAATATTATTCAAATATAATTGACAGATAAATAATTGCACATATTTAATGTATATAATTTGATGAACTAGGACATATGCAAACATCCATGATACTACTACCGCAATCAAGGTAATTCATATGTCTGCCACCTCCCAATATCTTCTTGTGTCTCTTTGTTTTTTGTTGTTTTTGTTTGTGTTTTTTACTTTTGCTTGCTTGTTTGTTTGTCTGTGGTAAGAACACAACATGAGCGATCAATCATCTTAAAAATGTTTGAAGGGCACAACACTGTATTTTTAACTACAGCACAATGTTGTACAGCATATTTCTGAAATGTATTTATCTAGCACAACTGAAATTTATACACATTGAAAAATAACTCCCCATTTACCCCATCCTCCCACCTCTAGCAACCACTATTGTATTTTCTGCTTCTATTACTTTGACTGTAATAGATGTCTCTTATTATTGGAATTACACCGCATTTGCCATTTGATGACTGGCTTATTCCACTTAGTATAACCTTCTCTGCATTCATCACCTTGTTGTGGATGACACGATTTCCTTCTTTTTAAAGACTGAATAATATACCATTGTATTTATGCCACATTTTCTTTATATGTTCATCTACTGATGGATACTTGAGTTGTTTCCATATCATGACTATTGTGAATAATGTTGCAAATAACATAAGAGTGCAGCTATCTTGTCTATTTCAATTATTTTGAATATGTATCCAGAAGTGGGATTGCTGGATCATATGGTAGTTCTATTTTTAATTTTTTAGAAAATTCCTTATTGTCTTCCATAGCTGCTGCAACATTTTACATTCCCACTCAACAGTGTAGAAGAGCTCCAATTTTTTCACATTGTTTTCAACATGTGCTACCTCATTTAAACTGATAGTTGAACTAACTGGTGTGAGATGATATCTCATTTTAGTTTTGATTTGTGTTTCTCTGATAATAATGTTGATTTTTTTCATATGCATGCTGGCTATTTGTATATATTGTTTTGAAAAATATCTACTTAAGCCCTTTGCCCATTTTAAAATTGAATTATCATTATTATTATTTGCTATTTAGTTGTAAGAGTTCCTTACATATTTTGAAAATTAACTCCATATTGAATACATAATTCTGAAATATTTTCTCCCAGTCCATCGGTTACCATTTTATTATTTTGATTGCTTCCTATATTAAGTGGAGCTTTTTAATTCATTGCAGTTCCACTTATCTATTTTTGCTTTTGTTGTCTGTGCTTTTAGTGTCATATTCAAAAAAGACTTATACACTGAAAACAGCAAAACACTGATGAAATAAATTAAAAGAGACTCACTTAAATGCAAAGATATCCATAGTCATGGCATGGAAGACTTTAATATTATTAAAATGTTCATACTACACTATGTGATCTATAGATTTAATATTATTAACATAAAAATTCCAAATATGCTACATTTTGTATAGAAAATTTTAAAAATATCTAAAATTCATATGGAACCACAAAAGACCCAGAAGAGCAAAAGTAATTTTGAGAAAGCAGAACAAAACTGATTCTGATTTCAAAATATATATGTGATAAAGCTACAGTAATTAAAACACGATGGTACTATAAAAAATACAGACCTATACATCATGGAACAGAATAGAGGGCCCAGAAATAAACCTACACAAATACAGACAACTGATCTTATACAAGGGTGCCGAGAATACACATTGAGGAGTGAATAGTCTCTTCGACAAATATTGTTGGAAAAACAGACTATCCACACGCAAAATAATGAAATTGGACCAGAATTACCTTACATCATACACAAAAATGAACTCAAACTGTAACAAAAACTTAAAGACATGAAACTTTAAAACTTCTAGAAGAGAACATAGGAAAAACTCTTTTTGACATTGATAATTTGCTGCCTTGTTAATGATGACTTTAAAAAGCAATCATCCATTATTTCTAATGGGGTAATCAAATTTGTATCTCAAGACACAGTAATGGTAAGAATCAAAGTCACTGTCAACTGTACATAAGCAACTTGAGGCTTGCACATGGATTTATATGATTGGTAAAAACAGAAGTAAAGTGATTCAACTTGCATAGTACCTCTATAAGAAAAATAAACTGGCTGGGTGCAGTGGCTCATGCCTGTAATCCCAGCACTTTGGGAGGCTGAGGTGGGCAGATCACGAGGTCAGGACATCAAGACCATCCTGGCAAACATGGTGAAACCCTGTCTCTACTAAAAATACAAAAAAATTAGCCAGGCATGGTGGTGGGTGCCTGTAGTCCCAGCTACTCAGGAGGCTGAGGCAGGAGAATGGCATGAACCTGGGGGGTGGAGATCGCGCCACTGCACTCCAACCTGGGTGACAGAGCGAGACTCCATCTCAAAATAAATAAATAAATAAATAAATTATGACTCTAGGTTTATGTTGAGGAACAACTCTTGAATTGTACCCATATTGATGCAACAACACTGTTGCTACAGCACTAAATGGGTTTTGATTTAAAAAAATATGTGTATGCAGAAATAATGACTAAGGCATGGGGATATAATAAAATAAATGAATAAAAATAAACAAAACCATATACCAAAGCCTAAGGCACTGTTATCTATTAAAAGTTTCTGTTACTACGGTGATATGGTTTGGCTGTGTCCCCACTCAAATCTCATTTTAAGTTATAGCTACCATAATTCTCACCTGTCGTAGGAGGGACCAGGTGGGAGGTAATTGAATCATGTGGTCAAATCTTTCCCATGCTGTTCTTACAGTAGTGAATAAGTCTTACAAGTCTGATGGTTTTATAGAGGGGAGTTCCCTGAATACATTCTCTTGCCTGCTGCCATGTAAGACCTGCCTTGCTTCCCCTTCACCCTCTGCCATGATTGTGAAGCCTCCACAGCCATGGGGAACATGAGTCCACTAAACCTCTTTTTCTTTGTAAATCACCCAGTCTCAGGAATGCCTTCATTAGCAGCATGAGAACAGACTAATACATTAAATTGGTACTGAGGTAGTGGGGCATTGCTGTAAAGATACCCCAAAATGTGGAAGTGACTTTGGAACTGGGTAACAGGCAGAGTTGGGAAGAGTTCGGAGAGCTCAGAAGAAGACAGAAAAATGTGGGAAAGTTTGGAACTTCCTAGAGGCTTGTGGAATAGCTTTGACCAAAATGCTGACAGTGATATGAACAAAAAAGTCCAGGCTGAAGTGGTCTCAGATGGAGATGAGGAACTTGTTGGGAACTGGAGTAAAGTCATTCTTGCTATGCAAAGAGACTGTTGGCATTTTTCCCATGACCTAGAGATCTGTGGGAGTTTGAACTTGAGAGAGATGACTTATGGTACCTGATGGAAGAAATTTTTAAGCAGCAAAGCATTCAAGAGGAAGCAGAGCAAAACTATTTGGAAAAGTTGTAGCCTGATAATGTGAATATAAAAGAAAATCTCATTTTCTAGGGAGAAATTTAAGCCAGTGCAAAAATTTGCATAAGTAATGATGGGCCAAATGTTAATCACCAAGACAATGAGGAAAATGTCTGCAAGGTATGTCAGAGACCTTCATGGAAGCCCCTCCCATCACAGACCCAGAGGCCTGTGAGGAAAAAATGGTTTTGTGGGCCTGGCCCAGGTACCCTCTGCTGTGTGCAGCCTAGGGACTTTGCGCTCTGTGTCCCAGCTGCTCCAGCTGTGGCTAAAAGGGACCACAGTACAGCTGAGGCCAAGGCTTCAGAGGGTGCAAGCCCCAAGCCTTGGCAGTTTCCACATGGTGTTGAGCCTGTGGGTGCACAGAAGTCAGGAATTGAGGTTTGGGAACCTCTGCCTAGATTTCAGAGGATGTATGGAATTGCCTGGATCTCCAGGTAGAAGTTTGCTACAGAGGCAGAGCCCTCATGGAGAACCTCTCTTAGGGCAATGTGGAAGGGAAATGTGGAGTTGAAGAACCCACACAGAGTCTGCAGCAGGGCATTGCCTAGTGAAGATGTGAGAAGGGGGCTACCATCTTTCCTACCCCAGAATGGCAGATCCACCAACAGCTTGCACCATGCACCTGGAAAAGCTGCAGACACTCAACACCAGCCTTTGAAAGCATCCAGGGGGGTTGCTGTACCCTGCAAAGCCACAGAGGCAGAGCTGCCCAAGGCCATGGGAGCCCACCTCTTCCATCAGCATGACTTAGATGTAAGACATGGAATCAAAGGCGATCATTTGGTAACTTTAAGGTTTAATGACTGCACTATTGGATTTTGGACTTGTATGGGGCCTGCAGTCCCTGTGTTTTGGCCAATTTCTCCCATTTTGAATGGGTCTATTTACCCAATACCTGTACCCCCATTGTATCTAGGAAGTAACTAACTTGCTTTTGATTTTACAGGCTCATAGGCAAAAGGGACTTGCCTTGTTTCAGATGAAACTTTAGACTGTGAACTTTTGAGTTAATGCTGAAATCTTTGGGGGACTATTGGGAAGGCATGATTGGTTTTGAAATGTGAGGACTTGAGGTTTCGGAGAGGCCAGGAGTGGAATGATATAGTTTGGCTGTTTCCCCACCCAAATCTCATCTTGAATTGTAGCTCCCATAATTTCCACCTGTCAGTTACCAGGTGGGAGGTAACTGAATCATTGGGTGGGTCTTTCCATTGCTATTCTAGTAGTAGTGTATCAGTCTCACAATATTTGATGGCTTCATAAAGGGGAGTTTCACCTGCTGAACTCATTCTCTTGCCTGCCACCATGTAAGACATGTGTTACTTCTCCTTTACCCTCTGCCATGATTGTGAGGCCTCCCTAGTCCATGTGGAGCCCTCATGGAGAACCTCTGTTAGGGCAATGTGGAAGGGAAATGTGGAGTTGAAGAATCCACACAGAGTCCACAGCAGGGCATTGCCTAATGAAGATGTGAGAAGGGGGCCACCATCTTTCCTATCCCAGAATGGCAGATCCACCAACAGCTTGCACCATGTACCTGGAAAAGCTGCAGACACTCAACACCAGCCTGTGAAAGCATCCAGGAGTGAAAATTGAGTGAAATTTCAGTGGGTTTACTTTCTCCCATTTGGATATCTTTTTTTTTTTCTAATAATGACAGAAGACTAAGTTACTTTATTATGTAATAGTAGTTTAGGTAATGGCCAGTAGTTACAATGAATGAAGCTAAAGTAATATTATATAGTTATTAGCTTGAGGCCGGTAGTGTTATCTTTGCATATTGGAGACAACATAAGGAGAGGGAGTAAGACAGAGTCCATATTCATATATTACAAATGAAATACTGAAACAATCCAACCTAGAACAATGGCAGTATAAACTTTTGGGGTCTAATTTCACTATTAAAAAGTATAAAAACTGCTGCTGCAAAGTTTGGCACATTAAGGTAGTTTTATTATTTTTTTAAGTGTTCCAGAAAAGCTTTAATACATGTTGTCAAGACTGAAAGACTCTTCTTTAAATTATCACTTGAAACCAGAGATACCCTATACTACTGAGTTGTATGTTGGCTGAGAGTTGTAGGATAAAGCTGTTTATGATGACACAACCTTTAAAAGGGTTTATCTTTGTCAAACAGAATATGTCTATTGAAATATATAAATTTGAATGACTCACTATCTTACAGTTCACATATTCTAAGATGTACTTTCCATATATAAAGAGTACTAAGTGCTCTTCTACCAAAGAGAATTAAAAAACAAACAAGCACCCCTCTCTATTGCCCCAGTGTCTTTCTTTGTCCTCTTGATAAGTGTTTCTTCTGTTTTTTCACTCTCTCCTAAAGAACTATCAAAGTTTTCTTGTTAAAAGCACCATTTTGTTGTATTATGTTCTTTTTTAGGGACTTTCACTGAATTGCTGTTTTTACAGATAAATCAACCCTTTACAGTGAGATGAAAGATCATTCACACAACACCTCAATCTTTCTTTTCTTTGACATTTCCCAACATTGTTTTTTCAACACGAGCTATCCTATGTGCCAGACATTGTCATTGGTTTACACATTTGTTTGCACCTTTTCCTCCCCATTTAATGTTCTTGGAAGTTAGGATATTTTGATTCAATGAAAAAGAAGTAGCTTAAATTTCTGCTTTTGTCAGGTCCTTTCTCATTCTTTTAGAAATAATGGGTATTTTGCTTTAAATTCACAACTTATTCTTAATATCTCTGTTATGACACTAAGCATATTGGATTGGATTGCCATCACTAATTTACCCATCTGTGTTCTTCATTATACTGTGAGTTTCTTGAAGATGAAAAATTTTATTATCTAATTGTATTTCCAGATCTAGCACAATTCTTTGAACATACTAGGTGTTTATTCAATATTTATTAAATTTTAAATTTGTGTTAAATGTTTAGGTATGTAGGAGGGGAGGGAAAATGGTTAGGAATATAACCCTAGATAAATATCTATTGTTTTATTAATAATCTATTAAAGATACATGTACATGATTAAAAGATGAACGTATTTGTAGTATTACGTATAAAGATTATTTGATTAACAAAATCTGAATGAAAGAAGAACATGATTAATTTTACCTTATGATTGTTTATTCAAATATTTCCCATTATTCTAATGCTTCATAAACAAGTGTTTGCCATGGTTTTATCAAGTGCTATTTTATATATTCTCGTTAAAAATCTTAGATATTTGCTATTGATACAAAGCCCTATGATTTAAATTTGTGATAATGAATGTTACTGCCTAAAAGGTAAAGATTTGTATTGTAATAGCTTCCTCATATGATAATTTAGAAAATATTAATATATTGTTTCCTGTAGAACAAGCAAAAGTATTAATTTTTTGGTCCATCTAGTAATCACTTGTCTACAGCTATACACCAGTTGTTACTAAAAAGAAGGCAGATTACTTTTCACAGCAAGTTGACAATGAATAATTTGATATTAAATTTGAAGTGAATTTGCAAAGGTATCAGATGAAATAAGTTGGCCATATGCACCATATGGTCTTGGAAAGGTTGCTGGTGCACAGGTACTAAGGAGGAAGTCCTGAAAGTCTTATCTTTCACTGGAAGAACTATATCAGCTACTGCTGCAAGAGATTCAACTATGAAGAAGATAAGTATCTTAAATAATTGGAATCAGATCATGGTTGTAAGACATCTTACAAAAATCTCACTTAAGGCTGGAGGCATAATTATCTGTTTATGGCAAATCAGAGAAAATGAAAGGACAAATGCCATAGTAGAAAGGTTTCAAGCCAAGATACATAAAATAAACCATACATATCATATTATAGACAGTGACCATAGAAATGAGTTAATATCAAAATTGTGAGATAGCTGCTGTTTAAAAAGAAAAAATAAAGGAAAAGGAAAGAAAGAATGAAGGAAAGAAGGAAGGAAGGAAGGAAAGAAGGAAGGAAATAAGTTTGATTCAAAGCTTGACCCAAGTGCAATTTGGGGAAGATTATCTGTTTTATTCAAATCTGGCATAAGCAGCAACATTTTACATTCTGCTGAAAACAAAGGGCGTTGTTACTTGCTCCTGAGGTAAGGTTTCTTTATCTAACTTTATTGTATTAGCAACTATAAGAGAATGTGAAAGTTCAAATATTTTACCTTTTTATTCCTTCAGTGATTTTAGGTTTGTTTCATTGTTCCTATCCTGTGGGTTGGGTCACTATATAAAGATAGATTATACTCAGTAATTTCTTAAAAATTTTGTATGAGTTTGTTTACATAATAGATCTTATTGGTGTTAACTTCCTTTTCTCTAGAGAGCAAACTAGACAAATGGTTCAGATATAATATAGATCAAAGCAAATATATTGTTTGCTGTTGGCTAGAGGCCAATAATTTAAAGGCTAATATGTCAGAAACTATGCTAGTACAAGTAGATTTCATCAGTATATGGCCTAAAATGTAAATATTCATTATGTATTAAACAGTATAATCTTATCCAAATAGGTTCTTCATACTCATATTTTACCTTGTTCCCTGACACAAATATCTAGGGCTTCCATTAATAAGGGTCTGATAGGATTTGCCTCTGTGTTCCTGCTCAAATATCATGTCAAATTGTAATCCCTTATGTTGGAGGTGGGGGGCCTAGTGGGAGGTGATTGGATCATGGGGGAAAATTTCCCCTTTGGTGCTGTTCTTGTGATAGTGAGTGAGTGATTGCAAGATCTGGTTCTTTAAAAGTGTGTGTCACCTCTCACCCCTTCCACTTCCTTCTGCTCCAGGCATGTAAGATGTGACTGCTTCCCTTTTGCCTTCCATCATGATTGTTAAGTTTCCTGAGGCCTTTCCAGAAGCAGAAGCCTGCATAGCCTTCAGGACTGTGATCAAATTAAAACTCTTCCCTTCATCAATTACCCAGTTTCAGGTATTTCTTTATAGCAGTGTGAGAATGGACTAATATAGGGTCTCTTTCCATCAGCCATCAACTTTTAACTACATTTTATATTTAGAAGTGTAAATACTCAGCTTCTTTGGAGAATAACTAATTATGGGCTCCTATAAGTCATGCAAATTGAAGACAAGTAGACATACCTTGTTTTATAGGGAAGAAAGGTGTCAGAGATTGTTTTATATACTTTTTCCAAGGCTGTCTCTCCCAAAACTCTTTTCCATGCTGTGCTCCATATTGGTAAACTAGCATAACAGTAGGAAGCGTCCTGGGAGAAAAGCCATTTACCGATCCTCTTTTGGAATTTGGTCTTACAACATTTCAAATGAATGGATATGATACTGACAGAACTTTGGGCAATAAAATATAACAAGTGTCTCAAAGAAAAACAAACATGAGTAAGATATTTGGATTGGTGACCTTGGCTACAGAGTAACAAACGGACTTGGGGCCGCTAATTTTCTGAAACAATTAGGTGGAGGTCAAAAGCTCACAAATATTCAGGAAACTCCACTTGAGAGTATGAATATAAAGTAGGATCCTGTAGGCTTAGAAGCCTAAATGTGGAAGACAGTGGCAATACAAAGCTGAGAGAATAAGATTAATTTAAAAAGAAAACCCAATGTAATTAAATGAGTAGAAGCAGGAGGTGTACCAGTGGGCCTGCATCCACCTTTCTTAGATATAAATACGTCCTTAGTGGTAACAGTAGCAGTGAACAAAGAGAACTCCTCCAAAGCTATTCATGGCTGTTTAAACAGCATTTACCCAGAACGTCACATCCCAATGTTTCAGATTTCTAGTAACAATTTTGTCATTTTTCAGCTTCAAATCATCTAAGTCTGTGTACTGATTTCAGGGCAAGTGACAGGAAATAATGGAACTTGCCCTTTGCATAAAAATTAGCTTCAGGATTCTCTTAACACTCAAGAGATCTGGCAAGAACTTCAACAGGTATATGCTGGACTTCATCCAAATCTATACATGTTCATTACTATGCATAGAATCTCAAAACAATATAGCACTTCAAAAGTGTAATACTGTGCATTGCATTTAATGAGAATAAAAAAGAGAGAAGTCAATAAGATAGATATTATCAAATAAATGTTTGAAACAATACACTTAATGAAAGATTTGGGCAGACAGTGAAATATTCATGAAGAAGCCTGAATCTTAGATGGGTCCTGATTTAGAAAATATGATTGAGAAAAGTTGCAGAAATGTGGATCAACACTACTTATTTAGGAGAGAAAAAACAGACCAACTGGCTAAATCAGATGGCTTGTAAAATAATAAAATAAAAGTGACAGAAGTTACCTAGGCATCCAAATATATTTGAACCTTATATGGATGGGTTTAAAAGGTAGCATTCAATATGGTCCACAGAATAAATACGTATAAATGAATTACCAAAGTTGCGGGTGTTTTTCCCCCACACTGTTGGGAATTGACTCTAAGTACATTAGAAATTGATGGCATATGTCATCCAGTCTAGGCTTACAGTATTAATGAAATTAGTTGATGTGCTCAATGTGCATAAAAATGGTATTAAACACATACTCCCTCCCAGAAATACAGAATATCAATTTCATTGAACTTGGCATAATTCCATAAAAATCTAATTTAATATTTAAGGCTATCTAAAAGTCAGAAATATAACACCCTATGTAAACAATGACCTCCAAAATTTGTATGTATAATTCCAGGTATGTATATATTGCTATAATTTTCATCACATCTAAGTATTTTTTCATGAACATCTTCTTTATATATCAAAATATATCTATGTCATCTAGTAATAAAATCATCTAAATGTAAATAACCATTTCTCTATCAGATTTTTGTTCTCTCAGACTTAATTTTTTTATTCAGTTACTATTTTTGCCCTTAAAATGATATGTAAGGCAGAAGTTTCTCATAAAACATGTGCTCAAATATTTTTCCCCTTAGAAAAGTTTTAATAATGAGTAAAGTTGTATATTTTAAGAATTTTAAAGAATCATGGTATTAATATTATAGGCCCTTGCATATAGATACATGTAGTATGCACTCATTTTATTTCATTAAAGGTGTGTGCTTCCAAAACAGTTACTAAGTTTTATTATATCCTACTGGAAATCCCTTTGTGTTATTTAATTTGTTTAATGGCATAATCATGTATTATAAGAACATGGGTCTAGAGCTACAGATATTTTTTAATTAACAGAATCTCTTCAGTCTTATTTCCACTCTTTCTATTCTACTCTAATTTTGAACCAGACTCTCATCTCCCACCTAAACACTAAGATTTGCGTGGTTTTCTTGCTTTCAGGCATCTTTCACTTTGAAAATACAATGATCCTCTTTAATTATACTGTCTCAAGTCCTTTCATTGACTGAAGTATTTTAGTTATTCTGCAACAAGTGCAGGCATGTGTCTACCAATGTACTTAAACTTATATCTATGTCCTCAGTTGCCAAGGAAATGCTTATGAAACAATTTTTATTACAGACATCACTAATTTTGTTGATTCAACATATCACAGAAAAAATCTTCATGAAATACAGTAAAAAGGAATTACTAGACAGTAAAATGTAGAAACAAAGATTTAAAAATACAAAGTCATTTAAATTATTGCGTTCCACAGATAAGAAGTAAGTCCAACAAATTTCCATAAAAATCAATAAACTCATACTCTCAATTTCTGCACTCATTTTGTCACAGAGCAGCAGTTAAAAGTTTTCAGAGTGGCTCTGATCATTGGACCACATTTTGAGTAGCAATACATTGAAAGATATGCAAAGCCACAGAACTATCTCCCTGAATAATGGCCATTAGTAAAAAAACTTTTTGAATAATTGTCACTGATTTTCACACTTCAAAGTATTGCCACTTAGCATCTAAACTATATTATAAAATATCTATGGTTTTTCTCTGTGTGGGTATAGTAAACTAGAAGAGAAGGCATTTTTAGAGTTAGTGAGTAAATAGTAAAGTTTTATTTTTATTTATTTAGGAACCTAATATCAGATACAGCGGGGTTAGGTATGGTATGATGGGACCAAGGCCACATTACAGCCTGGTCTTTATAAGCAAAATTGGTCAACTGCAAAAGTAGGGCAGGTAGCCAATACGTGCCAGAAAAATGAGCAAAATTAGAATCATGGAACCATTAATACCCACTGAACAAAATATGTATGCTATTCAGTCTCAGTTTAGATAATACAGGCAAAAATCTATAGGTTCTAAGATCATATTGATCTGAATATGGTTCAGTTTTATCTATATTTAATTTCAAATTTTTCCCTCTTCAAAACCAAAAGATTTCTGAGACCTATGTAGCAGCATTATATAATGAAGTGGAGCACTCTTTGGAATTCCGGCAGATAGAACTGGAAGACAAAACAGAGCTTTCTCTTTCGTTACCTATGAACATGTCAGGAGAACAGCATTAGAGTTTAGTGTTGAGGAGAGGTTGATTTTTAGAGCTCTATGACTACTGAAATTACTGTATAAATTAGTTCCTATGTACTCATTGACAGTGAGGTAGAAGACATTCTGATTCTCCAAAGCAAAAATAAGCTATATGCATAAGCTGTGCCTTACCTGTCTCTAAAAGTACAAGGAGGGTAGAAAGCAAACAGCCTTATAAGGGGTTCCACAGTAAGCCTGTCACAGTATGCCAAGTCAAGAGAAGAAGAGATCTGCTAGCCTCTTCCCACCTGTGGATTTCTCACTACAAAATTCTTCAAACAACTGCTTTTAAATTCCAGTTAGCGAAGTGCAGTTTGAATGCAACAAAATTAACTGTTTGTTATAACATTAAGCCGATACTCTTCAGAGGCATATAAAAGAGTACAGTCTCTGCAACATAACTTTTACAGAATCCATATTACAATCCAAAATGACTTCATATATGGAACACAAGGAAAATGTGAATTATTCTCAAAAGAAAAGGCCATCTGAGATAACACAGACATTGGAATTAAACAATATTTTAAGGTGGCGATTATAAATATGCTCAAAAATGTGTAATAAAACATACTCACAGTGAAAGAAGATAGAAAATACTTTCCAGATATATTAATTATGAAAAAAACTTAGAAACTTTAAATGGAAACATTTAAATTGAATAATGCAATATCTGAAATAAATAGTTCATGGATATGCTAAAGAACAGAATGGGGAAGGCAGAGAAAAGCATCAGTTAACCTGGATATACATTAATCGAACTCATCCTATTTCAAGAACAGTAAAAAAACTGGAAAAATAAATAAACAGTCTCACTGTGGGATAATATCAGAAACTATAATATGCATGTAATTGGAGTCTCAGAAGAAGAAGAGTAAGAGAATAGGGCAGAAAAAGCATTTGAAGAAATAATCTCCATATTTTCTCCATTTATTTAAAGATATAAACTTGTGGCTTCAATAAGGCCAGTGAACTCCAAGCAACACATATATGAAGAAAACCACACCTAGGCACATCATAGTCCAATTGATGAGATCCAAAGATAAAGAGAAAATCTTGAAGGCAAAAAAAAAAATGAAAAAATACCAATATATTACATAAGAGGCGACTGCAACTTGGCTGACCACTTGCTCCTTATCAGAGACTATAGAGGCCATAAGACTATGAAACAATAGCTTTAAAGTGCTAAAAGATACAAAAGTAATTATATAAACCAACATCATAACCAAGAATTTTATATTCCACAGAAATATTCTTCTAGAATGAAAGATAAATAAAGACGTTTCTGGTAAAAGAAATCTAAGAAATGCTTCACTAGCAGACCTGCACTACCAGATATATTAAGGAATGTTCCTGAGGCTGCACAGAAATAATAATATATGAAAATTAGGCTCTTCAGCAAAGAAAGGACATAAGAGAAAATGATGCTGATATTTGTCGCAAAAATTAAAATTTTTGTTGGACAGGTAATATAACATCCTGGTCCTTCTTCAAGGAAAAACTATTTCTAAGTTCCCCCAAAGCTGGCAGTGTTGTACAGAAATGGCCTTTAGTTGACAGCAACTTCTGGGGTCACTTCAGGTAGATATTCTTTACATGTAATTACTATTCAAGGTGGAGACATAAGTGTCTAGTCAGTTGTGAACACACAATAACCCTGATGGGCCATTTCAGCTTCAGAGCTCCTGATAGGGTAGGTTGGCCCTTCTGGGTCTGTGTTGCAGGTAGACTACTCCCTCTACGCAATTGTTTTGCCTCACCCTCCTTCTACAGGTGTTATTCCAAGGAACAATACCTGAGAAATGTAATGTACACTAAAATGTAATTAAAATAAAAGAAAATATGCCCTTTAAGGTAAAAATCATTGGACAGGATAAAAGGACATTGGGTCATGATAAAGTATATAATTTATGAAGAAAACATAGTAGTTAAAAATCTGTATGCAAACATCAAAGCAGCTAAAGACTTTTTTTTAAAGTTTAGAACCGTAAGGAGATCTTTATAAAATTTCAATTTTTTTTAGTAGGCTTCTATAAGTATCATTCATAATTGTATGGATATATTAGAAAAAATGTTAAGATAAATTTAAAATTTGGTTATATATTTAGAAATTACATACACACAAACTCATATATATATATACAGTCATGCATCACTTAATGATGGGGAAACTTTCTAAAAAATGTGTTGTTGTGTAAATATAGTAGGATGTACCTCTACAAACCTAGATGGTATAGCCTACTACACGCCTAGGCTATAAGGTATAGCCTATTGCTCCTTGACTACAAACCTGTACAGCACGTTACTGTATTGGCTTCTTTAGGCAATTGTAATACAATGGTAAATATCTGTGTTCTAAACCTGTCTAAACATAGAAGAGGTAAAGTAAAAATGCAGTATTTTAATTTTATGGGACCACTGTCTTATTCATGATCTGTTTTTGACCCAAACATTGTCATGTAGAGTATGACTGTGTATATATATATACATATATATATGTGCATATATATATATGTATATATATATATATATATAGTGTGTGTGTATATACATATATATACATATATGTATCCCTTTTATTACATATGCCTATATATGCTTTACTGGGAAAAAGAAGTAATGATTAAATAGAAAATTTAACACTTGTAAGCTTTAAAACTTACAAGTAAAAATTTAAAACTTCTAATCAAGGAAGATTTAGAAAAATTGTAAGTAATGATGAATTGTGACTGATTAACATTTCCCCTGAAGCTGTACAAATTGACCTTGACTTTTAAAACATGCAAGAAAGCAAAACTAAGAGCAATCAATCCAATACAAAATGTAGCTTGTATTTAGATATTTATTTAACTACAACTGTATAGTTAACTAAATGTACATGAGACTAAACTGACAGTCTGCCAGATAGGTCCTTCTTGTCTTCAACATCATTCAGTCCCAGTATTGCATTTCCTTCAGTGATAACAAATTAAATGTGCTGCTTCCTCCTGCGCTGCAAGAAGTCTCCTGCCTGGTGTGAACATCATTTGGCATTAACTAAGACTACCTATCTCACCAGAGATCTAGCAGTTCTATAAAAACTTTAGTTCACAGCTGTCATGTGGAATAAGCTACCAGTTGAAATTTCTGCTTCTACTTAAAAATATCACTAACTTTAAATTTGTTCAGATATAATCAGCAAATAAATAAATCTGATTTCATTTAGTGAATGTAAACAGGTGCATCATCAAAAACTAACAATGGGTAATAGTTTCAAATAATTGATACAATAGGAAGATATGGGAAGATTATGATAGAAGAACAAGATTTTATTCCAAAAAAGTAATGAAACTGTTGAAATCATAACATATAAATAAGGTAACTTAAAGAGAAAAGCTAAAGATTGTTTTGCTTACTTATGTTTTTAATTTTTAACTTAAGTTAAAGAACTGTATCAACATGCTGTATTTATGCTACTTTCCTAACTTGCGGCTATTATACCTAATAATGTATTCTGTGTAAAGTACTAGGGATACAAATAATAGAAATATATTGTCCTGATCTTTAAGATTCCACTGTTCAAATAAACCAGTGGTTTTAATTCTGTCTGGTACTGTAATCATCTAGGATAGAGTGGTGGCCTATAAAAATATAGATGCTCAGGTTACAACCTAGACCAATTAAATAAGAATTTCTTAAGATAGAGCTGAGAGAATGCTATGATCTAAAATATTTAAAGATTATTTCAATGTATGCAGCCCACAAAAAACACACCTTTTAGAAAAACATTTTAAGTGTAAAATAAATTTTAAGATATTTTCTAATAAAACTTTAGGTTAAATATTTAGAAATTCCTAAAATATCTAGCTTTTATTTGATCTTAATGTAAAACAATCAGTATACTCTAAGGCTACAAAATTCATCCCTTACTAAATTTGACAGAAACAAAAAAAATAGTGAAAAAAGATCTGTGATTTAGCAATAAGAACACATTATTATTCTTGTTATTGTGTCATTGAATATAACATATATAGTATGACATATAAAACATGCACTGATACTAAGAACGACTTGATTTTTTTTACAGTATGTTTACATGTGTATAACTACAAATCAGATAAAAAATATGGAATATTTCCAGAACTTGGAGAGTTTCACTTCTGCACTTTCCAGGCTATATCTCCCTCTACAGAAGTAATCACTAATATGACATCTATATTTATTAATTTGACTTTTATATAACAATATGTAATGAAATCATATAAATAGAATTGTACAGTATTCAGTATATAATTTTATATCTTGTTCTTTGTAACATCTTGTTTTTGATAGAATTTAAAAAATGTAGATAATTTTCAAATTGTCAAAAATAAAATTTAAATATCAGTATTAATTTTTTTAAACTTAATATTCATTATTAAAAAAACTATTCTTTGAGCAGTTAAATGTTATTGGCTGTGGAATTTTTCTTTGCATAAGCAATAAAAGTACATAAGGCAATAAAAGTGAATAATAGATCTTGACAAATTTATGCTGTGGTGATAGATAAGCATGAATAAAGCTGCCAATTATGCCTTCTGTCCCTCCAAGAGCAGATCATTTCTCTCTGAATCCGGGCTAGTTTTGCTACTTCTTTTGTTTATTGGAATGCAATAGAAAGGATGTTGTGCCAGTTCTGGCCTAAGTTCTTAAGGTCTTGCAGCTTTCCTCTTTACTAGTTTGTGCACTCTCTCTTGAATACTGGTCATTATATTGCAAGGAAGTCCAGGTAACTTGCTGAAAACAGAAGACTCATGGAAAGGCCCTGAAGAATGAGCCACACCACGGAGAGATGCCCCATAGAAGAAAACTGAAGTGTGCTGGCTCAGCTCACAGTTGAGTGCAAACACATGCATTATCACTGTTAACTAATATGAAGCAGAAGAACCATGTATTCAACCCACAGAATTATGAAAAATAATACATTTGTGTTGTTTGGCTCCAATACATTTTAGAGTGGTTTGTTACACAAACAACAAATACCCATAGATGGCTGAAAAAGAAAAAATGCACTTGGAACTCACATGAAAGCAGTCATTCGCATTGTATTTAAGAAGAACATGGAATACTTTAAAATGCAGTAGAAACTTAAATTTCTGCAATAATTATTAAAATTTCACAAATAATAATATTTAGAAGAATGGGTCGGTATAATTTTTTAAGCAATTAAATAGCACATTTTTCTTCATTTGCTATTGATAAAAATTTATTGTATGTCAGCTTGCAACAGTGTTCCCAGTTCTTTGCATCCTTCTATTATTAGAATAATATATATCCATGCCCTTTGTACGTCCCATTAAAATGGAATTACTGCCTTTGTCCCTCTCTGGTTGTGTGGGTTTGATCATGGGATTTGCACTTGGTAATAGAATTTGAGTAGAATTAACATTAAGCCAGTTTCTAACTGAGGCTTTGAGATATATCATATTTCTACACACTTTTCTGGCACTTCTATGGTTTGATATAAGGAAAACATACTCTACATAGCCACAGATCAATAGCTGCTGTAAACCAAACCCAGATTTTCCCTGCTGAGTACCGTAGTGCCTTAATCAAAATACCCAGGGAGCAAGAAAAATAATATCTGACTATATAAATTACTGAGGCTTTGAGGTTGTTTTTTGAGGGGAATGTAGGAGAGTTGGTAACTGACTAATACAAATTTAATCATGTCCTATGTGTTATTGCAATCCCTTCATAAAATAATACTAGTTTACAATCTTTAGAAATATCATAGCCTAATTCAGAACATTATGAGAATGATCTTGATAACACAAGTTATACAATATATACATTTTGTATATATTGTATAAGCCAATATCGACAAATGGGATCTAATTAAACTAAAGAGCTTTTGCACAAATTACCTTTAAGGACACACGCAGTCTGAAACTGAAGGAACATAAAAATATATTCCATGTGAAAGTAAATCAAAAGACAGCAAGAATAGCTATACTTATCAGATAAAATAGACTTTAAGTAAAAAACTGTAAACAGAGACAAAAGAGATCATTATACAATGATACAGGAGTCAATTCATCAAGAGAATATAACCACTATAAATATATATGCGCCCAACATTCAAACACCTAAATAGATAAAGCAAATATTAATAGATCTTAAAGGAGAGATAAACTGCAATATAATAATAATATGGGACTTCAGTACCCTACTTTTCAAAATGGACAGATCATCCAAACAGACATTCAATAAAGAAATGATGGACTTGAACAACACTATATAGAAAAGTGACCTAACTGACACATACAGATTTTTCTACCCGACAACAGCAAAATTCACATTCTTCTCAAGTGCACACAAAACATTTTCCAGAATAGATCATTTGTTAGGACAAAAAATCCTAATAAATTTAATATGATTGAAATGACATCAAGTATCTCTTTTTACCATGATGGTATAAAACAAGAAAACAATAACAGAAGGGAATTTAGAAAATTCACAGATATGTCCTGGAGAATCTCAACCTATTTCTCCAGGGATCACGTGCCCATTTTACTGGGATTGTCATTTAAGATCTTTAAAATGCCTTGACAGTTACTCAATCTTCAGTGTACTATAGAACTCTTCAGAAAAAAAAATAGAAATAACAAATGGAATTATAAACTAAAAATATAAAACCCTCAAACTTTCATGTCTAAAATATACTATTGAGGGCTTTATGAAAAATACACTCAACCACTTCTGTTTATTTTTTTTCTTTCCCTTACAAATTACTAACAAGCCAAATCATTTATGTAAGAATACCATCTTTAACACT
Source organism: Homo sapiens (assembly GCF_000001405.40). NCBI lineage: Eukaryota > Metazoa > Chordata > Mammalia > Primates > Hominidae > Homo > Homo sapiens. The sequence goes on from NC_000009.12 coordinate 11,525,773, forward strand.
AAAGACCTTATTGCAAGCAGACATGACAAAATAATATGTGGGGCTTATGAAATTCACATGCTGTTATTATCAATTGATAGTGGCCCACTTTCTTCAACATCCTTCTAAGTCATCCTTGTATTACCTAAAATCCAGAGACTGTCTTCTAGAAGATTCAGAGAAAGGTAGCCCTTGATCCCTAGTAATGGATGTTACCAGGTATTATCAAGAATAAGCACAGCAATAAAATTGCAAGGCAATAATTATTAGATGTATAATTTCCATGAATTCATAGATTACTGAAAACTGTTCTACCCTGAGACTTCAAACTTAAGAATAAAATGATTTTCATGAAGAAGCAGTATCCACCTAAGATGTTTCTGATTTAGAAGATTGCTGTGTGAAGTATTTAGCTTCTTCCTAAATCCAATGGAACAAAACCCAGGTTTAATTTTCATGTACTTACTTATTTCCCTCACTGTCTAATACTCCTATATTTAGTTCTGAGGAATTTTCATCTTGGAAATAAGAACTATACTCCAGCTTTTTTTTTTTTTTTTTTTTTTTTTTTTTAGCACAGTGTGATCTGGTGTAGAAGTGAACTATCAACTCTGATCATCTATCTGTTAATACTTGTCTGTGTTGCAGTTCTCATATATATAATGTTCAGAGTCTCAAAGTTTGCTGTATATTTTTAATCACATCATACTATTTGAGAAATGACCATTTGACAAATGTTCAAACACATCTGACACATATGCAGGTTAAAACTCATCACAGGCCGGGCATGGTGGCTCACGCCTATAATCCCAGCACTTTGGGAGGCCCAGGTGGGGGATCACCTGAGGTCAGAAGTTCAAGACCAGCCTGGTCCACATGGTGAAACCCCATCTCTACTAAGTATACAAAAATTAGCTGGGTGTGGTGGCAGTCACCTGTAATCCCAGCTACTCGGGAGGCTGAGGCAGGAGAATTGCTTGAACTCGGGAGGCGGATGTTGCAGTGAGTTGAGATAGCACCATTGTGCTCCAGCCTGGGCAACAAGAGCAAAAACTTCGTCTCAAAACAAACAAACAAACAAAAAACTCATCAGAAACTCAATATGCTAGAACAATATGTCAGAGGTATATATCTGGAACGAATATGTTCCCAGATTATTTTCTTAGTCTAGGCTGAAAAATGACTTAAAAAGAACACCAAGAACAGAAACAAACATTTTACATATTACTCTGAGTGTAAAATAGTTATAAACACTTGGTTTTAAAATTTAGCATCATCTTTAAAGGCAGAATTTTCTCCTATCCTATGATTAAAAGGTTTTCCTTCTAAAATCTGAAAAAAATTACACTGGCCCATGTAGATCTGGAGATATAAACAGGAGGATAAATAGCATCTTTGTTAATAGCACAAACAATGTAAATGGTCATTGACAGGGGAATGAAAAAAATGTATCATTTACAGAGTACAGTTATATTTATCAGTAACAATGAGTGTACCGCATGTAATAGACTATAAGAAAATTAGTGACACAATGTCATAGAATAAAAGCAAGTGATAGATATATGATGACTTCTTCATAAAATGCCTAAATGAGCAGAATTTTTTTTAATTGTTACTACCAGAGCAGGGCAAGGAGCATTGAGAGATCTACAAAACTACTATTTTAAATAGGTTGACCAAAAAGACTTACTGCAGTAAAATTCACATAAAAACTTCAAGACTGTAAAGAAGTCAACCATTTGTCCATTTAAGAGGTGAGAGCTTCAGATAGAGGGAACAGGTGAAGTGAAAGCCCTTAAAGGCATGCCCAACTACTGTCCAATTCAGATTTTCCATTGGAAATATTTTAGTCACACCATCACTTTCTCTGTGCTCTGGAGTCTCTCTCAAATTAGGCAATTACTACTTAAAATGTAATACATCATTTCCTGTGAAAAGCCTAACTTGAAATATAGAAACTCATATAGATTCTTCCCTTTTTTGCTTACTTCTAACAGAATGATTAGTATACTATTTACAAGTTTTGTTTTCTACTGTCTCTTCACATTTGAATCTGAGTACCTTTCAAGTGTTGAGTTAATATCAATAACTGAATTTCTGTTATGCAGCACCATCCCAGCACATAGTAGGCAGTCGGTATAAGTTATCAAGAGAATGAATAAAAAACTATGTAAATGATGAAAGAGAAATAAAATATTCTCAGGACATAATTATTGGATTAGGCTAGGATATATTAAATTACAAAGTACTCAACTTTAGTATAAGAAAAACCATAAAACACACACACACATATATATATACACACACATATATGTATATATACACAAATTCAAATATATCACTGCACAGCCTCTACCATTATGCAGCCTACACAAAAGTAATAGAGGTAAGTATTAAGAAGTAATCATGCTACAAGAATAAATGTGTGAGCTATGAGGGAATAACAGGTGGCCTAATATGGACTAGGTTCAAGGAGAGGCTGTTATTAAAATGAAAAACTGAGAACTTAACAGTGAATAGGACTTAGATGATGAATAGGAGAAAATGTGTTCCAAGGAATGAAAATAGCTGGTACAAATGCCCTAAGATCAAGTTTTACAAAATATAATAGGCAGAACAAATTCATAAAATGTACAAACATGCTAAATCATTGAACAGGTAAATATATGTTTTATACAATAAGGAAAGTTTAGCTTAAAACTGCATTTTTTATTCTTCATATATTTTTAATATTCTGTATTTTGTGGCTAAATGAGTAATGTCTCTAAGGTTAACCAGAGCGAATTAAACAAACCAGCTCTGGCTCTTTATTTTTAATTTTGCCTTAAACAAAACTTATTAAAATTGCAATTGGGACATATCAACTGTATTTCAAGAAATATGCATGCTAAAATGGGAAATAATTATTCAAAATACAAATCTTTTAAAAATAGCAAGTAATATTCAGATTTATTATTAAAATAAAAATAATATCTTTATAATTCATATTTATTTTTAAAAATGTGTCATTTTTCAGCATAAAAATGACCTCCAGTTGTTGACAAATAGTGATAAAATGAAACATGAACTCCACAGGGTTAACGCTTCTGACTTAAGAAGCATAAATTTCTTATATTCAATGTGCGGAATGGAAATTGTCAGTGATGCACATTACCTTTGTGGGAAAAGAATTTTTTTAAAAGCTCACTTCTAGCTTAAAGAAAAAGCAGGCACTGTATCATCAAATAATAACTGGCATAATAAAAATTCACAATAACTTTCCTGGAAAAGTACCTCTCAGTGATATAATGTCTGTCAGATATGTCAGTCATATGAAATGTTTAACTTACCAAGGTAAGTAAAGATTCTAAAAAAGAAAACAATCTATCTTGAATTATCTCACAGAAAGGATTAAAGATTACTTAAAAAAGCTGTAAGAGTTTCCTTCTTATGCAGTTTGGTAAAATGTTAGAAAAGGAGGAAGCAAATCATTACACATTTTTAGCCACATTTTCTTTTCTGGCTCTATTTCCAATTAGATCATGTTAATTAAAAGGAATCATTTGTTCTAATATTTAGCTGCAAGTTATTAGGACATTTTTCAGGACCCACTAGACTTTCCTTTTTTTTAGAATAAGTCTTTATTTTTTTTTTATTATAATTTAAGCTGTGGGATACATGTGCAGAACGTGCGGGTTTGTTACATAGGTATACACGTGCCATGGTGGTTTGCTGTACCCATCAACCTGTCATCTACGTTAGGTATTTCTCCTAATGCTATGCCTCCGCTAGTCCTCCCCCTCCTGACAGGCCCCCATGTGTGATGTTCCCCTCCCTGTGTCCATGTGTTCTCACTGTTCAACTCCCACTTATGACTGAGGACACGTGATATTTGGTTTTCTATTCCTGTGTTAGTTTCCTGAGAATGATGGTTTCCAGCTTCATCCATGTCTCTGCAAAGGACATGAACTCATCCTTTTTTATGGCTGCATAGTATTCTATGGTGTATATATGCCACATTTTCTTTATCCAGTCTATCATTGATAGGCATTTGGATTTGTTCCAAGTGTTTGTTATTGTGAATAGTGCTGCAATAAACATACGTGTGCATGTATCTTTATAGTAGAATGATTTATACTCCTTTGGGCATATACCCAGTAATGGGATCGCTTTTAAAACAAGAAATGTATCATAATTTAAATCATCACCCTTCATATCCCCATTTGTCTCAGCCCAGTAATCACCATACTCAGAGTACAATCATCACCATATTAGTCCACTCACCTTAAAAACTTAATTCCTTGCACCTTTCCTCCCCTCAAACTCTTTCACTGGGTCTTCTGTACTTTAGACATGTGATTTAAACAAATCTTCTCCAAACTCAAGACCTTTGCTTGATGTTTCCTTCATCTTTTCAGTCTTGGTGAGAACTGGTGTTCTCTTTATTGATGAAACAATTGTCTCTGTAGGCTTCTCTAGCAGGAGACTTTTTCTTTATTTCATTCCTTATAACTAGGCACCAGGAGGTAGTGTAGGTATTTTTTTCTATATTCCACTCTAAAATGCAAATCAATTCTCTTAGCTACTCCTTCAAAATGTCAGCTTCTTTGAACTTCATGTCATCTAACCAACTAAAATGAAAACATTACCCCTCCTTCTAATTTATCATTGGCCAATCGCTTAGGTATCTATAACACACGTTTCAATCACTGAATAATATTTTGCCTTCTACTTCACTTTGTCTTCTCTATTTCTACATTGGTCACCACCTCAGTGACTTCAGTATCCATATGGGTAATCCACAACATAAAACTGTTCACTTTCCTGTGTCCTGTATCTCATAATTGAGTGCTAGTGAAATACCACAAGATGACAATATGGTCACATATTGGAAATGATCATATCTATTAATTTTCATAAATTCCGAGTTACAGGTATTTTCCATTTCATCACATAATAATTAAGAATTAATAAAATTACTAATTTTTACTGTACCATCAAGGATAATCTTAAGTTAAACCTACTTATCTTTATTCTTCCTTTTAATCATGGTAATGACAGAAAATAACTACTAGTATTGTTTGGTGCTGCTTCCAAAACTCATGAAATGGCAACAGAAATTTCTTTTGTACTATTGTTGCAAAATGTTAATGCAGTAAAAGGAAATAACACCTTAGTATTATTTTTCAATTATTTTGCTATTACAAATCTTCTGAAAGTGTCTGGGAAATGCTCATGGGTCAGAACGAAAATGAAAACAACTGTTCTAGAATATTCATTTGAAAGTGAAGAAAACTTCATCTGAAGCATATATTTTAAATTAGATGCAGAATTTCTGATGTTCTGATATTTCTAGGATACTGAAATAGACAGAAGATGGGTGTTTAATGTGGTTTTTACAACAGAGCAAGAAATAGCATACACCATCTTTTGATTCTTAAGAATGGTGAGGATTTTGAAAAATAGAGGAAAGGAGGTTTAAAAGAAAGGTCTACAGTTAAGCATTCAAAGGTTTGAATACTATGTTCAAGGGAATGATTGAAGGAACAGGGGGTGATTAATAATTAATAGAAAATAGAGATACAGTAGAAATATTTAATTATTTAATGAGTTATATCATTAAATTGTAAGACTTCTTTCCATGTTGTTTAGGGGGCAAACCAAAAACCATTAGGTAGAGATACAAGGAAGCAGAATTTAGCTTAAAGATAATTTCTAATTATTATGCCAATCTTGTGAAGTTCTCACTGAAAATATTAATGTTAAAGTAGATTCGCATTTGTTCGATCATGCTCCAAGGATAAATGATGCTTAGAAGAAAAGCACTCTGACTTCTGAGGTGCCTTGCCAAACTAAAATTTTATTTTTTGCTTTAATACACTGTAGTGCTCAAATATATTATTTAAGGCCTAAAGTATATTACAGTTTAGATATTCAACCAAATGTTTTTTCCTCTAATGCAACCCACATAAGGAAACTTGACTTTATCTAGGCTTGGGATATCCTTACATCACACGGAAGCTCTCTCCCCAACAGATCACCTCATGGTTTAATCTTTAAAACATGTTCTTGTCTAACCTACTTTACCTATTAAATATAAAAATTATTTAAAAGTGACTCCAACAGTGTCCAATAACTGGACCCTAAAAGACATTTAAGAAATCAACTTTCTTTTACAGTTAAAATGTATACTACTTGGTTAGAATCTTTTGCACTTCAAAGGCAGGAAAGAGGAAGAGATTGCCATCTTTAAAAGTTTGAGGGCCAGAGTAGCTAATCAAAGTCTACTGCCAGAGGACATTTTTAAAAATTAACTTTATTTCACATTTCTATGATACAGTTATTTTGGGATTTAGCAGTTTTTAGATATGTATATACTGCCTCTGAATTTTAGATAGTCTCCTCATAGCCTAAATTGGCTCTTTGGTAGGTAATAATTCTCGAATGTGGTGGAGAGGTCTGCATATTCAGATACACAATCTAACATGTTCTGATTATGGGATTTCAATGAGACCTCTGATTACTAGATACCTGTAATGTGTAGAAGAGCTAAACATTAGGCTCCGAAGTTCCTCTACTTAGCTTCCCAGAACAATAAATTTCATATAGAAACAAGATTGATAGAAAAAAATAGATTCACCTTTGCATGGTACATTCCCAAACTGCCCAATATATTTAATTAGTAATTCTCTGAATCTGAGTAATAAGAACCAAGAAAGAAAAAAATAAATAAAATGACTATTGGTGCTATAACTTAAAGCTTATATAACTTGAAAAGTTTTGCTTGAATCTAACTATCTAATTGTTAAAGACAAACATCAATCAAATTTTAATATGAGTAAAAAATAATTAGTCATGGCTGTTCTATACAATATTTTTTTTTTAATTTGGATACACTTAACAATATACTTTTGCACTTTTAAACTTAAACTGCTTATTATAAAAGCAGTATGTGCACATTTAAAAATATTCCAAAAATAAAGACTTCTTTCTTGTTGCCTTGTTTCTCTTTCCAGGGTAAAATATTTTGCTCATGCTCTCTCAGAAATTCTTTGCGTATATATGCCAGTTTTAAAATAGAATTATATTTTATATATTGCACATATTTTTAATTCCTTTCATTTTTTACTATATCTTTGAGATTCTTACATGTCAATACATACCAATTTTTCACTTTCTTAACAGTTTAATAGTATATTACTGTATAGACACACTATAATTTGCATGAGCAGTCCTAGATGAACATATTAATTCCAGTGTTACTTGAAAAATCAAGTTACAATAAATAGTATTATCCATATATTTTAGCATACCTATAATATTTTATTTTGTGACATTTTTTATAATCGGGCTTGCTGAATTAAATGCCAAATGTGTGTAACAGTTTTGTAAATATAGCCAGATCCTAATATTCAGTTTCTGTTATCCTATGATAACTTTAGCCTCATTTTAGGTTTCTAGTAAATATAAATTTGTAAACTGAGAATGAGGTCTATAGTGTAGAACAATGATCAAATGAAGGCATATAGCTTCTCAGTGATATATGATGCTTTTTGTTCCATATCTGTTAAGTACAAATGAAAATTGATCTGCTGTTTTATTCAGAGTTGGTTCAATATGACTTACAAATGAGGTTCAGTTTGATAGATCTTATTTGTTAAACACAAAGTATCATAGTTTATTGATTCTATGATATTTTAAAAATATTTATATAAATAATATTTATATTTATTTGTATTTTGCTCCCCAAAAGCTATTTTTTAAAAGACCTGGTTATACAAATAATGGTATTTTACAGTTGAGGGAATAGATAATTAAAATATTAATGTTACCACATTAACAGACCTAAAGAAAAATGTGATTATTTTCATAGATGCTGAAAAGAGTTTCATAAAATTTTAATAAACATTTCTGATGAAAACACACATTTTATATTAATACATAGACTCTTACCATTGCAAAGCACATATATCTCATTATGGACTTACATTTCTTCCTAATGGGAATAACTTTGAAGTATTCCCAGTAAGGATAGAAAAAGGGCAGTGTTGTTCACAGAATAGCCCTTTGCTATTTAACATTTTATTCAAAATATCAGACAATGCAATTAGACAGGAAATAAAAAACTGGAGACAAAAAAATTCCAAAGAAGTAATAAAGTTTTTATCTTTATGAATGATTTGTTTGGATAACTGGAATAGTCATGAATAATTAATAAACATAAATGAATTGAAGATGTAGCAGGGAAGAAATATACAATAAGTGGCTCATATTCTCAAGAAATAACCACTTAGAAAATATAATAAAGCAAAACTTATTATAGCAAGAAAAAACTATAAAATAGAAACACATTTTAAAAGTTTTAAAAACAAATGTGAAGAGATATTTAAAACATTAATAAAAGACACAAAAGTCTATTTGGAAAAAGGAACAGATATTTGTTTTGAGATAAGAGAATTTAACATTGCAAAGATGACAATTCTACCGAAATAAGCTTATATATTTAGCACAATCCTAGTAAAAATGCCAAGATATGTCCCTGACTGAGCCAGACCAGCCGTATCTATCATGCGTATGAAAAATGCATATGAAAAATTTCCATTTTTTATCTATGAGGCAATGTCTAATATTAGACTCACCATCTCGAGGTAAACATTAAAAACACTATACAAAAGATGAAAATAACAGTTTTTTTGATAACAGACAATAAGCAAAGAGGACTTTGTTCTCTGATAGAAATATTCAAATAAGACAAAACCTAGCATTGGCCTGCTTTTCTGCCCACAGCACTATCTGGACCTTGGCATAGAGAGAGTAGTTTAAGAAACACAAATTTGTCTTTGGTTTCCTTTGGTTGAGAAGAGGGAAATAAAAATTTGGAAGGATCAAGACAGTGAAAATAGAGCTGAAAACTAGAGAGAAGGAAGCTACACAGAAAAGGAAACAAATCTGCATAGAGGTTTTATGTATTTCAGGCTGAATATTAAGCTGTGAATGTGAGTGAAGCTTTACAAACTGTAACTTAAACAATTTGAAGAGTGTGTGTACACACACTACCATCACCACCGCCAAAACCACCACCACCACCGAACAACAATCAAACAGAAAACATGATGTAAGCTTAACAATTACAAGACCTCCTACAATGATGAGAAACATTTGAGTTTTAACCAGCCCTAGTAGGAAAAATATGGAACATTTAATAGAGAACCCAGAGGGTTATGCCTTACTAGTAGGGCTCTCAGGTTAGATGTACTAATTACTAACTACTGCTATAGTTATTGGTACCAATTACCTCAATTAGTACTGGTAAAGTCTACTCTAGACCTGCCCTAATAAAACCTTCAAACAAGACTTGAATGCACCAAGGTGACCTGAAAACTACTTAATCATTTACCTAAATGAGTTTCAACACTTATAAAGGAAGACAATAAAATCCTAACACTCTACACATTATTTTTTAATATAGCACTCTGATGTAAATCATTAATGCAATATAATCCAAAAGAAAAAACACAAAATAATAAACTTTCCTCATATGTATGACTAGTAAGTATACTTTAATATTATTCTATATTATGGTAATATAGTAATATAATAATAATATTACTATAATATATATTATAACATGGATTATATATTACCCATTAAATAGTAATATATAGTGTGTATATAGTAGTAATATTACTATATTATAGTATCATGTATTATTAGAATATATATTATGATATAGCAAAATACTATAATGTAATATAGCATATAGTACATTATAGTAACATACTATATTATATTACTATAATATGTTACTATAACCTTATAGTATTAGAGTAATGTTACTAATAATTTTGAAACTGTGTCATTTTTATTATACTGTAAGCAGATACATAAAATCTATACCAATGTTAAGAAAAATATTTAAAATTTGTAAATATTTTAAATATTTTTTAAATTAATATTTTAAACTTAGAAGTACAAAATAATATAAGAAAAATATAATCTTAAATTTAAATTTGGCATGTCTACACAAATTAATTTTAAAATTTCATTCCTTAGCTCTGTATACTGAAAGACCATTCATTAGCAGTGATCATCCCTAGATTCCCAACCTTGGTTTCTAAGTATAATTCCTCAGTAACAGGAAGAGAGTCTGTTAGAGAAGCAGGTATTTCTATTTGTAAGGCTGGAAAAGTACACAAAAAATATGGTATATTGTGTCTTACCAAAGGCAAAATAGCTTTCCAAGACTAATTTGAAGCATGTCAAAAGACACTGGGAAGGAAGCAGGGATGGGGAGATGGAGAGAAGTTGGTCAATGGGTATTATCTTACAGTTAGATAGAAGGAATGAGTTACAATTACCTATTGAACACTACGGTAAATACAGTTAACAGTAATGTATTGCATTTTTCAAAAACAGCTAGAAGATGAATTCTTTGTGTGTTCTTACCACAAAGAAATGATAAATATTTGAGATAAGAGACATGCTAATTACCCTCATCTGGTCATTACACATTGTTTACGTATATTGAAACATCACACTGTACTCCATAAATACGTGTAATTATTATGTGGCACTTAAAAATAAAACTAAATTAAAAAAAAGAAGACATAGAAGGTAAATTAAAGATACTCCCTAGCCACATTTGGCAATTAAGCACTTAAACATTACAAAGAATGTAACTGTAATTGATTGTTATACACTAAATATATAGATACATGTCCATATTGATCCTCATGACGCAATTAAATGAAAACATATGATTCATACAAATCCTTAATAAATAAAAGATTAAAGAATCAAAAAGAAAATAATCAAGATTATATATTGCTTTTTGTAGAATTATAGTTCATCGTAGTTCTTTTTAAAGAACATCTAAAAATTTATGTTAAGAATCTAAAGAGGTGTAAGATGTAAGAACCAAATATAATGTGTGACTTGGGTGAATGATGATTTAATAAAAGTAACTATAAGAGGTATTTTCAGAATAATTAACAAAATTTGAGTATACACTATGTATTATTTAATATTTGAAAATTATTGTAAATTTTCTTTAGTGTGAGAATAATATGATGATGATATAAAGAGAGACCCTGTTAGTAGATCTAAGGTGAAACATTTATGGTTGAAGTGTCATGGCCTCTGCAACTTTCTTGCAAATGGTTCAGTAAAACAAAAAAGGTGAAGATAGATGCATAGAAAAATATATAGATAGAAAAATGGATAGATAATAGATAAATAGAGCAAATTTGAAAATATTAATTGATAAATCTAGGTGATCATTTTATTATTTTAACCTGTTCTATATTTTTGGAAATTTTTATAAGAAAAAAATACACAATATAAATAATATACACTTCAATTAGTGTTATTTCATCATATTTAATCTGAATAAGATAAAAAAATGAAAATATGTAAACTTTCCTTCCAGGTACCAAAAAAGCAGGTGTCTTACTCTATAAACAGTTCTTTGGAATTAAAGTTCAAGTCCATACAATAAATAGAGTCTTATTCACTATTGTTATTCTATTCACTATGTGCCTGACACATAGAAAGTGCTCAATAAATAGCCTAGTTGAATGGAAGTGACATAACTCTCACTTCTGACCATTTGGCTGGTCATATCTTACATGTTAGTTTGTTTTAAAAGTCATTTTTCTCAAAGCAATTAAATGGGGATTTTAGATCCAACTTGAAGAAAAAGTTACTTTCTAGTACATTGAAGTGAAAATATATCGGAACAAAAGTTACTATCAGATTTTTATTTGGAAAATAGCTTATTCAGGAGCAAGAACTGACCGAGTGTCACGCTTACAACTCACAGTATCATATATCTTAGAAAACCTCAAAATGAAATCTTCATTGATGTTAATCAGATTTTCTAGAAAAAATTCACAATTATCTTGATGAAATAAATGCATCACAGTTTTGCTTTCCTAAAACTATCATGTATATTCAAGAAAATGTTAAGTCTAATTGGTTGGTATTCTAGCAGAGTAGATGCAGTTTCTAAATTCAAGTACTTTGTCATGCCAAAGTTTCTTGGAGAAGACCCAGCTTTTGTGCTGATTTTTGTGGTTTTTAGTAATTTTGCTTTCTTGTGCTAAGAGTCCTTGGCCTCTCTTAAAACATGTTTTAATATTGCTTTAATTGAGCCTCTGACCCACAATTCAAAAAGGGGCTCTATGTTTTTTAAAATGAAAAACATTTATAAATTTGCTAGGTCTTTTTGTTTACATTCAGAGCTATTTTTCCCCTTTAATCTTTAGTAATTTCAAGTAGTCAGTTTCAGTATCTGCTGGTTTTATTATGCCTGTTGTTTCTTTGCTGTATTTTTACTATGCTGTGACAGCACAAGAAAAATATCTGGTTTGTCTTCAGTAACAGTACAGTAAATATTCATCTAATGACAATGCTAATTGCCTGCCAACACTGCTCCTTCGAACCAATCTCTGTCTCTGTCCAACTTACTCTTCTGCAAACACACACAAACATATTAAACATATTATTATAGCTTATTTCTCTTTTTCTGAGACAGCTTTAGTTACTATACTTTCATTGTCTATTAAGGCATGTTCACTGAGGTTTTGTTACACACTGTTAGGCATAGTGGATCACATGTGAAAAAGACTTTTTTCTCACCACCTAACTGAGGTCTAGGTTTCCAAAGCCTAGGAGAGAAAATGCAGTGGGGGCCAGAAATGCTTCAGATGCAGCACAGATTGATGCAAATACATCTACATTCTGCAAATAAGCAGGTCACTTATCAACATCAAACTCTGATCTTATATACAGTACCTGACATCATTAGCATGCCGTAAAATAATTGCATTGTATTAAAAGTCTGGTAGATGAAATGAAAGAAAAAAATATATTATTGTTTTAAAGACAACTTTCTAAAGACAACAACAAATTAAATTTATCTGCTACAGGACTCTCCAACATAACTTAGTAGACAAGCCTGAATTTGTCAAGAATGGATTTTACATGCAGTCTTGGAGATATATTTTGCATCTGTCCATACTGTCTAGTGTCCTGGTGTTCCATAACCACTTTGTTGGAAATTTCCATCAAAATCTGACTGTATAAATAAGTCATTACTTGAAGCTATATTAAACCTCCATATATCAACTTTTAATTCACTTTCTCCACAATATAAATCATATTTTCATTAATTTTTGAGGCTATATTTTTAGGTTTTCATTTATGAACATTTGGCACCTATGTTGATGACCTTCCAATCTACCTTCTTTATCTTAAATTTGTGTCTCTGATACTGATCCTGCACTGGGAGTCAAAATTTGTATTTTCTTATATTAATCATACTCATTATCTTTCAAGAAAACCTGCTTCTATTTGGTTTTATCTAACTGAGTTAATGTTATCCTTATCATTCTAATTATCCAGTAGAGAGACTTCTGACTCAGGTTTATCCCACCATCTTTCTTTATGGTACTCCATCTAGTAGAACATAGATTTCTTTCGTGCATCCTAAAATAATCTTACTTTCTTTTTATTACATATTTACTTATTTACAAAGACATTATGACTCCTTAGAAAAATTAAAATGACATTTTAAAGGATTATGTATACTTATATGTGGGAAAAGTAATTTTGTTTGCTTGTTTGTTCATTTAATACTGCTTAGATATTTAAACTTCTTTTAGGAATGGAGCCATGAGACTGTCATTTTAATTGTAATCTTGATGGTATTCAGAAGATTGAGTGTGACTAGAAATACAGTCACCCCCTCAGTTTGAGCAGGGGATTGGCTCCAGGACCATCACCCCTAGGAATACTGAAATCTTTAGATGATTAAGTTCAGTTCCTTATATAAAATGGCCTTTTATTTGCCTATAGCTTGTGCACATCCTCCCATATACTTTAAATCATCTTGATTACTTATAATACCTAATAAAATGTAAATGATATATAAATAATTATTATACTGTGATTCTTTTATTTGTAGTATTTTTATTGTTGCATTGTTATATTTATTGTTTTATTTAATACTTCTGATGTGCAGTTGGTTGAATCTGCAAATGTAGAGCCTGCAGATATGGAGGGCTGACTGTATTTTATATCTTGGTTGTGTTAAATGAGAACACTGACTATTTTGGAATACCCTAGAGATAATAACCTTGTCTATATTTCTTCAGGCTAATTTTTTCTACTCGGAAATTAAATAGTAACAAAAAAGAACATTTTCTATATGGAAAATGGTAAGCTTGTATTGATTTAGACTGAATAATAGTTAATTCACATAAAATTTCTCCCATTATATGCAGGAAGCATAGTCTTTACTTCTAAGAAATTTTTTAAAATTTATATTTTTTGAACAACTTTTTATTACTATTAGGTATACCGTATTTTAGATATTAGTTATAAATTTGTTACTATGGAAAAGTAAATAGCAGTCTACATTTCTGAACTCTCATGTTCAGATATTTAAATCAAGATGCAAACTACTTACTGAAACATAACTTAAGAATAGACAGTCAACACTTTATTGTTATTCTCTAAGTTGGACATTTTAAGAAAGATTGGTGGTTTTGAAGTGGCCTAAAATTTTATTTTGAGCTATTAGTTTCTTTTTCTTATTAACGTAAAAAGTCATCACTGAACAAATCCATTATATTCTCCAGCTAATTCATATCTATAACCTATGTGGAAATTACCAGGTAGATGTGCCCATTTTCTTCTACTATTAGTGTTGTGAATAGGAGCATCAATTTGATCTCTTTAGAAAATGGTCCTTTATACTATGTAGCACATTAGCATTAAAAATATGGCATTGATGAATTCAGCTTCTATCAAAATGCACTTTGGTGTCAATGTGACCATGGTCACATACCTATAAAAAGCTCCACTTGATTTTATTATCTCTAATTGATTTTGAGAATTTAATATCTCCAATATTTTTAAAATGTTTTCTTTCTTTTTAAAATTACTTCAACATAAAAAGAAGCATTATGTCTCAAACATTGGAATACAAAGTTAATTTAATTTTCTTAATGAATTCCCCACATCTTCTTGTAATAACAGAAGAAAGAAACCCTAAGCCTTAGTTTAGTAATATTTTCAGAAGAGTCTATATTTCTTAACAATACACGCGAAGAATTATAAACCATTCTATTGGTGAGTTTTATTTAATTAAATCTCAACATTTATTCATGTTTTTAGAAAAGAGGCATTTAAAATATTAGCAATGATTAGGCTTTTTAAAATCATTGAAAATTAATTCTTTAGGTTTAATATAATGACAGTCAAAGCATTAAAATAATATTCAAAATGATGAGATGTATAAATCAGAAAAGTGTTATGATAAACATTGGTATACTAGTAGAAAGTTCCATAGAAATCATATTAAACTATTATAATGGTATAGATTTTAGATCATTTTGAGTCTTTTTTTAATGCAGTCTATTTGGAGGATTGTTCCTTGTTCTATATTTTAAGTAATATAACTTAGCCTTTGGAGAGAAAGTACAGGAAGTTAGAAGAAATAAATAAGCATAGAAGAGAAAAAAGGTAGCCAAGAGGAAATGGAGAAAGGATAGAAGGGACTAATAATTTAAAATAATAGGCCGCGCATGGTGGTTCACACCTGTAATCCCAGCACTTTGGGAGGCCAAGGCAGATGGATCACCTGCAGTCAGGAGTTCAAGAACAGCCTGACCAACGTGGAGAAACCATGTCTCTACTAAAAATACAAAATTAGCTGGGAGTAGTGGCACATGCCTGTAATCCCAGCTACTCAGGAGGCTGAGGCAGCAAAATTGCTTGAATCTGGCGGGTGGGGGTTGTGGTGAGCCGAGATCCTGCCATTGCACTCCAGCCTGGGCAACAACGGTGAAACTCCGTCTCAAAAGAAAAAATAAATAAATAAAATAATAAAATGGGAAAATAAATTGGGCTTTTCTATGAAAGTTAATTTTTTTTAGTTCACATATTCAAATGAATATCTTATTTGGAATCAGTTGTATAAATACACACACGTACGCACACATATACATTCACAATTTATCTAACATGTTTTCTTTACTAGTATGAATTTCAATGGCTAGGTTTTGTAAATTATAGCTAGTTAAAATGGAATAAATTTTGTGTTAACTATCTGAATTGTTATAATTCATATATAGAAATAAGATATTTATGGCCAGTTAATGTCATTGATTTTATTTCCATATTAAGCTTAGTGTCTACCAAATGGAATTAGTGATAGAAGACCAAGCTAAAAGTTATTTATAGTAAATATTAAAACTGTCCCAATAGAATAATGTCAAATAGTGTAAATTTTTAATAGTTGAAATTTTGATACAATTGTTATAGATGATATTTTGTGAATTCTTAATACAATTTTTAATGATACCATGCTATATTATAGAAAATAAACATAACACTCCACTAAGAGCCTGGATATGTCTACCTGGGTTTAGATGACAGATCCTCACTGATGAAGTGTTATAGTCATTCTTTATGTATTTGCTCCTCTGCTTGAAGGGATGGTGTCTATTTGCTGTGTTTATCTTATAAAAGATGGTATGCTATGAATGTTTGTGTTTCTCCAAAATTCTGTGTTGAAACCTAACTTCCAAAATGATAGTATTTTGGGAGGTGATTAGGTCATGAGAGCTCCTCTGTCATGAAAGTGATTAGTACCTTTATAAAAGAGTTTTCAGGGAGGGTGTTCACCCCTTCTGCCATGTGAGGACACTTAGAAGTCTCCATCTATGAGGAATGAGTCCTCACAAGACACCAAATCTTCTGTTACTTTGATCCTGGACTACTCCGCCTCCAGAGTTGTGAGCAATAAATTTTGTTGTTTATACTTTACCTGGTCTAATGTATTTTGTTAGAGCATCCCAAGTGGACTAAGAAAGAAGGCAATTGGGGTAATTTCACATGAATCATTACTTTAAAAGTTACTTTATTCTTCCTCTTGGCTACTCTTCTTCTTAGCCAGTTAAAAAGTAAATTAAGAAAGCTGCACATTTAAATAAAACTCATGTATGGAATGTTACATTTTCTTATTTATTTATTTTTATTTTACATTTTAGTTTAGTATTCTAACCTGGAGATGTTACATACACTCAGTTAAAAGTTCCCAATTTTAACACTATTTACTGTAGGAACTAAGTAAATTTTAGATCATTTGGAATTTTGTGAAGTTAAATTTACTTCCTCTAAGAAAGTACATATGTTTAGTTTTTCTGGAATTAAAAAAATCCAGTCTTTTGGGCAGATTTTACTTAGCATAACATGTTCCCTAGACTGCTTTGAAACTTGGAAGATATTCCTGAACATCTCATTAGAGACAAAGTGATTCCTAGCTTTACTTGTGGGAAATACAACAACAAAAACAGAAAATTAGATGTTTAATCCTATAGAAAGGGTATATTGGTGTTTTAGATGTAAGTATTGAAAATTTGGCAGATCTTCCAATAATTCAAAATGTACATTTTGCCAATTTGCTTTGATATTTTGGCAGTAAGCCACTGTTTTTACCTTTGTTTTCATGTGGGCGATGTACTGAATACCATCTCTTTACAGAACATGTTACAATTAATTCATTTCAATACAATGTAAAGAAAAAAAGACATGCTCTCAGTCCTTCATAATATTTTATGTCACAGGTTGTAGTCACAGTTAAATGTTGTGAGACAATTATTGAATCCATGACTAAAATATTTGGATATGATTGAGCAGAAAGTTTCAGCAGTAAGTGAATTTGATGTGGTTTTCACATCAGTAAAGGTTTTCTGAATACCTCCTGTGTATCTTGTTTTGTATATGTTGGGTGAGATAACAATCAATGTATTTAAATCACAAGCATTCTTATACACTAATAACAGACAAATAGAGAGCCAAATCATGAGTGAACTCCCATTCACAATTGCTTCAAAGAGAATAAAGTATCTAGGAATCCAGCTTACAAGGGATGTGAAGGACCTCTTCAAGGAGAACTACAAACCACTGCTCAACGAAATAAAAGAGGACACAAACAAATGGAAGAACATTTCATGCTCATGGGTAGGAAGAATCAATATCGTGAAAATGGCCATACTGCCCTAAGGTAATTTATAGATTCAATGCCATCCCCATCAAGCTACCAACGACTTTCTTCACATTTTGGAAAAAACTACTTTAAAGTTCATATGGAACCAAAAAAGAGCCCACATTGTCAAGTCAATCCTAAGCCAAAAGAACAAAGCTGGAGCCATCATGCTATCTGACTTCAAACTATACTACAACACTACAGTAACCAAAACAGCATGGTACTGGTACCCAAACAGAGATATAGACCAATGGAACACAACAGAGCCCTCAGAAATAATACCACACATCTACAACCATCTGATCTTTGACAAATCTGACAAAAACAAGAAATGGGGAAAGGATTCCCTATTTAATAAATGGTGCTGGGAAAACTGGCTAGCCATACATAGAAAGCTGAAACTGGATTCCTTCCTTACACCTTATACAAAAATTAATTCAAGATGGATTAAAGACTTAAATGTTAGACCTAAAACCATAAAAACTCTAGAAGAAAACCTAGGCAATACCATTCAGGACATAGGCATGGGCAAGGACTTCATGTCTAAAACACCAAAAGCAATGGCAACAAAAGCCAAAATTGACAAATGGGATCTAATTAAACTAAAGAGCTTCTGCACAGCAAAAGAAACTACCATCAGAGTGAACAGGCAACCTACAGAATGGGAGAAAATTTTCGCAATCTACTCATCTGACAAAGGGCTAATATCCAGAATCTACAAAGAACTTAAACAACTTTAGAAGAAAAAAACAAACAACCCCATCAACAAGTGGGCGAAGGATATGAACAGACATTTCTCAAAAGAAGACATTTATGCAGCCAACAGACACATGAAAAAATGCTCATCATCACTGGCCATCACAGAAATGCAAATCAAAACCACAATGAGATACCATCTCACACCAGTTAGAATGGTGATCATTAAAAAGTCAGGAAACAACAGGTGTTGGAGAGGATGTGGAGAAATAGGAACACTTTTACACTGTTGGTGGGACTGTAAACTAGTTCAACCATTGTGGAAGTCAGTGTGGTGATTCCTCAGGGATCTAGAACTAGAAATACCATTTGACCCAGCCATCCCATTACTGGGTATACACCCAAAGGATTATAAATCATGCTGCTATAAAGACACATGCACACGTATGTTTATTGTGGCACTATTCACAATAGCAAAGACTTGGAACCAACCCAAATGTGCATCATCAATGATAGACTGGATTAAGAAAATGTGGCACATATACACCATGGAATACTATGCAGCCATAAGAAAGGATGAGTTCATGTCGTTTTGTAGGGACATGGATGAAGCTGGAAATCATCATTCTGAGCAAACTATCAGAGGGACAAAAAACCAAACACCACATGTTCTCACTCATAGGTGGGAACTGAACAATGAGAACACTTGGACACAGGAAGGGGAACATCACACACTGGGGCCTGTTGTGGGGTCGAGGGATGGGGGAGGGATAGCATTAGGAGATATACCTAATGTAAATGACAAGTTAATGGGTGCAGCACACCAACATGGCACATGTATACATATGTAACAAACCTGCACCTTGTGCACATGTACCCTAGAACTTAAAGTATAAATAAAAGAATCAATGTATTTAGCAGAGTACTGTGCACATAGAAGATAATTTAATTGGCAAATATTAACTAAAATCAATCTTAGTTAACTTAGAATTTGTGGATCATTGTACTAAACACATTTTCAATTAGATTAAATATTCTTGCACGTTAGGTGGATTTACTAAATATTTGAGGGAAAACTGTCTACATGCTTTTCTTCTGTTGTTATTTTATAACCATTCATCTTTCTTTTTTCCTCTATTCATTCTATAACATTCCCAGAAGCAGATATTAGTGTTTTCTGTTCTTGGATACTGGTTCCAGTAAAACTCTTATCTAATTAAATCATATGATCACATATCTAAAAATGTGTTATAATTTGGCCCTTATATCCTAATACTGCCTCTTAATTAAGTAATAACAAGATGATCTTGTTTACTGTTGAAAATCAATATCTCAAAAGCATACAGTAGCCTTCCTAATTTGAGCCCTTATTCCATGTGGTAGTTTAGAATATTATGACTCTTAAAGTGTGCAGCTACACACTGACTAATTTGTGTTACTTGAAGCGATTGTCATGTACAAGACAGTAAAATTGTTAGGCTACCAAAGTAATTAGCCACTATATTAGGTCTTACTAGGCAATGGTGCATAGCAGATTAAAAAGAATTGGTGAACAGAATTGAATCTGCAGCTGCTCCCTAGCATCGCATAAAAAATTCACTTAGTATCTTGAAATATTAGGATGGGGTACATGTCTCCAGGGTGAATCTTTTGAAATATAATTCCCATTCACTGCTCTCCCCAAATCCAGGGACCCTGATTTCTCACAATGATCTTTTGAATGGCAGTACTTGAACTTCACATTCTAATACTAATGATTAATGTATAAGAGTTTTGCAGTTTAGTATCATTTTTTCCCTCCCTGAAGCTTCTTGGATTCTGATTTCAGTAACTGATTTAACATATAAATTGGCCCAAACTTGGCAAAAATCAAGAATATTTAACAGGGCACAGATGGTGCAGCAGAAAGCAATATCCAGAGATTTGGGTGACTCGAGTGCTCTCTAGCCCTTCACCAGCTGCTTTAGCTCAAGTGTGAATAAAGACCTTTTAGGAATCAATGAAAACGTCTCATGTTGTGCCTAAGTATTGCCCACCCAACCAAATTGACACCAAAAACAGAAACAACCATATGGTTATAAGTGTATTAGAGAAAAGTAGGTTGCAGCTTGATACTTAAGATTAACTATGTTAACGTATTACTGCTGATGGCTTGCACATTGCATACTTCTAAAAAGCATATTAAAAAAATACTCAGCTCTGCCACACTTTGCTGTCTGTTAGATTTTTGCCTTAAATATAAAAGAAAGTAAAACAGACAACTATTGCCAAAGGCCAGAGGATAATGGAGAAGACATCCCACAGTTTCCTTCAACAATTGAAAGGAAATCACTATCAAAAATTTTATATTTTAGCCTTGATACAATATGAACTGAAGTGAACAATTAATTTTTTTCAGTGACTAGAGGTGATGTGTATGTCTTGTCAGCTTGGAGGAAATGATCAGTGATTATACACACTGATTACACTTAACATGTGAACTTTGATACCTTTTCATGTAGCTAAAGACCTCCAGCAACTGCTTCCATTTTCAGTAGGTAAAGTTAAATAAATGGATCATTTTTCTCTACATATACATTAAAAACTTAAGCGGGCATGTTCATATAGAATATACTTCTAGCCTAGAATCTACAAATATTTTATTTTAGCCAGGTTTTATATTTTAATTTCTTATTAATCACAAGTGAGGATGTAAAAAGAACTTACTAAATAGAAAATAAAAGAAGCACTATTAAAATGCAGCAAAGGAATTGAACAAATGCGACCCTGATAGGTAAAAAGAATGACTCAAACATTTATACCACATGTATTTTACTAAATGATAAATTTACCTTAAGAATTAAGTGTTTTAAGTTACCTATTTGTCATTATAACTGATTTATCATAATTATGTATTTATAATGATTAATCATTCGGGTATACTTATGAAAAAATAATTATATCTAAATTTCCCCACTTCTGAATTGGATTATTCTACATGTTATCTACAAGAGTACAACATGGACATGTTTTATGTTTATTTGCTCTTCCAAATGAAATTTTATATAGAAGATTATATAGAAGATTCGAAAGCATTTGCGAATGGAACTGAGACTGCAGCTGCTTGCTAGCATCCCATAAAAAATTGCTTAGTATCTTGAAAGATTAGGATGGGGTGCATTTTTAGTTGAATGCTTTATGTTGAATGTTTTATTTGAATATCATTAGGGGGCAATAGCATGAGCCTTATCTTTAAGGATAATAAGGCAAGATAAAACTGCAAAAAGTTGGAAGCAGGTAAAAGATGCCAATAATGAGTCTGTTGTGTGTTTATTTGGGACCTTTAACTCAATCTTTTTACAAGTAAGAAAAAAGATCATATGAGGAAAAATTTTGCGCTAGAATGTGTAAGAGAATTGAAGAGATAAAATAGAGTTCAATCTTACATTTTGATTGGAAATGCATGGGTTAATTAGGAAAATAAAGAAAAGAAATAATAGAACTGAGGATGAAGTAGACTGTAATTTAGGATGTCACTTAATTTGTGTGATTAAAAACATTAAAAATAGATCTGATGAAAATACACCACAATGGAAAAGTTATAATCACTCATCCACTTGTTAGATCTGATCTTGTTATCAGATCCAAAACACACTGACTCAGGTGCAGACTAGGTTCCTTGAGGAAGAACACTGCAATGCCTCCCAGTCTTTCAACAAAGGACATCAATGGTATATTAGAAAAAAGCAGAATATTGAGACATTTTGAATTCTGTTATATGCAGAATTTGAAATGGCACTGATACCAGATATCCTAAAGTGCTATTCTGGCTTCTTGGTTATAGGGGGCCTATGAAGGCCAGGTAGTACACACAATTTTGGCACAAACATCTCACATTGGATCCAATAGTTCCACAGACCAATTTGTGCTATTTACTTGGTACTATGATCCATAAGTAGGATGAATGCACTTAGATGGTAGCAGAATCCTCACAGTGTTTTTCTGACCTAAGATGTTAGAAAAGGCTGAGGTGAAGCTCCCCCAAAGTATTTCTCCTCTCCCCACACCAAGTTAGTTAATCATAAGTTGTACCTCCCACCTGTGAGAAACTGTTAAAATTTTCAATGTAACATGTGACATTAAATGATGCAGAGGTTTGTGGGTCCCACTATATCCCTTTTATTTCACGTTTGCCATCAGTGCCCCCCCTATATAAAATGTGACCTAAATGAAATACCACTTAGTCAAGTGGTATTTCCAGTTGCAGCGGCTTTGGCAAGTATGATATCTTTACTGGAGTAGAATTGCACAGCCTCTGGCTCTTGGCATGCATTGTTTTCAATTCTCATCAATTAAAATGATCAAAGTCCATTTTATGTGAGAGGTATAGCGATACACATTAATAGTCTTGCTGCAGAGTTATGTTAGCTCTGTTGACCTCCTGTCATAATATGGTCCTTAGAAACCTTCATAGTCTTTATGGATAGAACATCATCCTGGTACATTATATTGATGACATAATTTTAATATTGCAAGTATTCTTGATTATGATGCATGCATGCTGAAGGGTGGAAAGTGAACTCTAAATGATTAAAAAACTCATCGTATTGGTAAGGTGCCTCTAGAGACTTTAAATGACTCTATGGTTAACTCTGTCCGTCATGAACTACCTAAACAATACTGCCACAAATAATAGGGTTTGACTGGTACAGAAGATATACTTATTGTATGATGAAACATAAATATTCAGGATCAGTACTGATGGCAGTGGCAGCCTGTCCAGAGTGGCCAGTGCAAAGGCATAGGCTCCAGTGAGGGAGGCATGGCTGGGGCTGCACGCTCCATGGAGCTGGCAGCACAGGAGCCCCACCCACGTAGGCACAGCTGCAGCTGCCAAGCCATGGCTGTAGACCCAGGCATCCATGCACTCTCGGTAGCTTGGTAATCCCACCTACCCCAGCAGGCTCAGAAGTGCCTGCTCTTGCTGCCTGGATTCTCCCAGCTCCCAGTGCCCATTCCGATTTTGGAGCAAAGTTGTAGCTGAGCCTGGGCACTGTCACAACCTGGCTGAGTGTGCACACATTCATGGTGGCACTGACATGCCAGCCCTCTGCTGCCTTTGCCCCATCCAGACTTTGGGCATCAACAAGAATGGGAGGGAGGCCAAGGGAGTGATGAGGGTAGCTTGGTGCAGGCCTGAAGTTGCCGCTCGGCAGGAGCAGCCTGGGCGCGATGAATGCCATGTGGATGGCAGCAGGAGGCAGAAAGCCTCCTGTGTGGAAAGGGGCAGATTCCAAGTGAAGCCCCACCTTCAAGCCAGGGATGGCCTGAAGCATGGGGGCTAAGCTGTCAGTTCTGGTTAGTCTGTGGTTGGGAGTGAGAACTTATGGTGATTTTTCCAAGCCCCACTATGGCTGCCCACTGACCAATCAGCATGTACTTTCTCCCTTTTGAAGCCCATAAAAATCCCAACTCAGCCAGACTCACAAAGATATCCCTGACAAACTGCCTGTGGATAGGAGCTATCCACTCTGGATTTCCTCTCTGCTGAAGACTGCAGACATCGAGATGACCCATCTGTGGATAGGAGCAGCCCGCTCTGGGTTTCTTCTCCACTGAAGGCTGTAGACGCTGGGATGACCTGTGTACACAAAGGAGCTACCCACTTTGGATCTCCTGAGTGCTATACTGTTGCTCAATAAAGCACCTCTTTACTTTGTTCACCCTCCAGTTGTCCAAATACCTCATTCTTCCTGGATTTGGGACAAGAACTTGGGACCTGCCAAATGGTGGGACTGAAAGATCTGTAACACAAACAGGGCTGAAACACACCCTCCCATCCCCTGCTTGCCATGTTGCAGGCGACAAGAAGGAGAGAACAGCTGTGGCTCTTCTGGAAGCCCAGATCTAGGGGCTCCCCAAGCCAGGGCTATGACATCCTCTTTGGAGCTCAGTGGTTTCTGACATCTCCAAGCTTCTGGGTACCACTGCATTCCCCTTGTCCAGAAAAGGGTGCCTACAGCAGAAGCTGCTTGCAGTGCATCTGATCCAGCTACAGGCTTGCACAGAGCCAGCATGTCTGGTTGTGCATCTTGGCCAGACCCCATACTCTCTGGCTCATGCACCCCTCACCACTCCGTGCTTGGCTCAGCCTTGAACAGATGTGGCATCTGGGCCAGTAGCATGAGCTAAGTGCAGCCTGCCAGGCCGACTGTGTGGAATGAGCCCACAGGCCTGAACAAAACTTGACAAAGGCATTACCAGCTAAAGGGGCTTCCAGCTGGGAAGGTGACACCCTAAGGATCCTGTGGCACTAACAAGTGGTTCCAGGAGGCACAGAAAAGAATGCAGTAGTGTCCCTTTATCCATGGTGGGCATATTTCAACACTCCCAGTGGATGCCTGAAATCTTCGGTAGTGCTGAACCTGAATGCTGTCAATCAAAGCATATTTCAGTTCATGTCTTCCACACACAAATTGTTTTCATCTTAACTAAGCACTTATGTGCTGTGGCAGCAACTTTTGCAGTTTGAGGTGCAAAAGCAAAATCAGCATAAATTTCTTTACCCTTCTTCACAATTTCATAGAAAGAAGATTTGTTCTTATCACAGATCTTAGGAAGCTCATCATACAATACTTTTTCATTTTTTAAGTTCAGAAACTTTCACATTCTGACTTAAAGGAAGCACTTTACAGCTTCTCTTTGGTATATTCAAATTGCCAGCATCACTACTCTTGTGCCTTGAGGGTCATTATTAAGTTAAATAAGGGTTACTTTATGACAAGAAGTGTCATATGGTCTATGTGATAATGGAGATGCCTACTGACTAACAGGGTGGTAGTTGAACAAAGGGGTGATTCATGACTCAGTCAGGGCAAAGCAGGAAGTCATGAGATTTCTTCCCACTACTCATAAGGGTCCACTATTTAAAACTTATGAATGGTTTACTTCTGGAAATTTTCACTTAACATTTTTGGACTGTAGCTGACTACAGGTAAATGAAACCCTAGGAAATGGAATCTCATAGTAGCTCCTTGTATTGGTACAATGACTTTGCCCCAACAAAGCTATGGACTTATAAGGTGTTTTCTATTTCCAAATAATAGAGAAGAAATAAAATTCGGGTACATTTCGTGGATGGATCACCTCAATGTATGGTGTGAGCTGAAAGTAGAGAACCACTGTACTATATCCCTACTTAGTGATAAAGTTCATAAGAAATAGGGACAAGAAATTTTCTGAGTGGACAGTTTTGAGAATTATAATTGTTTCTTTCCTTGTATGGTGGGTAAAACACTCTAAGAAAAACATTACAGAAACTATTGGGCAATGGCCAACAGCTTTTTCTCAAAGTAAAAAACGGTCTGAAAAACAGAAACAAACATGATGAGCTCTATTTTATTTTAATACCCATCAGTGAACATTCACTACAGAAGAGACACTCAGAAACCAGGTAGACAGAATGAAACATTCAATGGACAGCATCCAGTCTCTGTTCTGGCCAGCTTACGGCTTGTTAAATGGGCACATTCTATTGTAGAAGGAATGGAGACCATTCACGGCTTTAACAGCATCAATTCTTTCTTGCCAAGACTGACTGATAATTCTTGTGCTCTGCCTTAATGTGTCAGCCTTAACTGATTTTTGCTGCACCATGTATGATTGTGTATGGAGAGTTCAATATAGTACCAGCAAAAAAAAAAAAAAAAAAAAAAGAAAACATACAGATAAAATAGAGGCTAATTTACTATCAATAGTGATGCAAAAATTTTAAGTAAATTACTTGAAACCTATTATAAAAATAGCTACATTATCAAACAGAATTAATTCATTAAACTTAATGTTGGATCAAAAATAGAAAATATCGAGTAAAAATATTGCGGTGCAAAAGACACAGGAAACATAATCTTCCTCTCCCACATACTGACTCTCAAATAAATGCTTCCCATCCTTAGTGCTCCTAAATTCTAATGGATAATAGATACCATTACCCACGCAGATAGTTTCCTCCAAGGGATACAGTAAAGATTATACTAAACCTAAAGTAATGACTTTTTTTCCTGGCCACTTTGAGTATTGTAAGCTGGTATATATGTAAGAGGAGAAATGAGTTATACTACTAGCATGAGCAAAGCCCGTATTATAATGAGGAGCTGATGCCGAGTGTTACAGTAAAGTAGCTATAAGTATGTTTTGAACTCAATTTCCCCTGAGAAACATCTTGGTGTTTTCAAGCTCAGTGATAACTCTCAAATGTGTCCTTGATGGAAGGACTATCTGACAAAGATCAAGAAAAACAAAATCTCAGACCCCTCTGGGATAAAAGTCTGAATCACTCAATCAGGCAAGCACACCAAACTAGCTGAAGAACTGACCAACAGTGAGGGAAATCTAGAAAGGTTTGTGGAAAAAGAGATGATAAAAATAAATTGTGGAATAAGGACCAGGTGCAGCAGCACATTGAAAATTTAATCACAGACACATATGTGTGTGTGTGTGTGTGTGTGTCTATATATATATATATATTACAAAATAAATAGAATCAATGATAGTTAAAGGAAATCTGAATTTCCCTAAAGATTAGTGATGTTGAGCCATCTGTATGTATTTGCTGATGAAATGTCTATTCAAATCCTTTGCCCATTTTTAATGGGGTCATTTGCTTTTGTCTCTGTTCAGTTGAAGTTTTTCATACATTTTGAAAATTAACCTTCTTTCAAACGTATGGTTTGCAAATGTTTTCTCCCATTTTCGGTTATCTTTTCACTCTGTTGATTGTTTTCTTTGTTATGCAGAAACTTTCTAAATTGATGTAGTTACACTTTCTATTTTTGGTTTTGTTGCTTGTTTTTGGTGTCTTGTCTAAGAACTAATTGCCAAGACCAATGTCATGAAGCTTTCCCCCTATTTTCTCCTAGGAGTTTCACACTTCAGGTATCACATTTAAGTCTTTAATCCATTTTGAGTTGATTTATGTTTAAGAGTCCAACTACGTTTTGTATGTGGATAACCAGTTTTCCCAGCACCATTTGTTGAAGAAACAAAGTAGCCTTTCTCTATTCTTTGCATCTTTGTTGAAGATCAGTTGATTGTATTTGATTGGGTTAATTTCTTGAGTCTCTGTTCATTCGTTTTATATGTTTGTCTTTCTGCTAGTATCATACACTCTTTTAATTATGATAGCTTTCTAATATATTCTGAAATCAGAAAGTGTAATTCCTCAATCTTTGTTCTTTCTCAAGACTGTTTTGGCTATTTTGGATCTTTTGTGTTTTCATATAAATTTAATTTTTTTTCTATTTCTGTAAAAAATATTATTAGGATTACTGATTCAATGCATATAAATTGTATTGCATCTGTAAATAACTTTGGTAGTACGTCCATTTTAACAATGTAGTCTTACAATCCATGAACACAAAGTATCTATTCATTTGTGTTTTGCTTAAATTTTATTATTCAATGTTTTGTGGTTTTCCGTTTACATGCCTTTCTCATCCTTAGTTAAGTTTATTTATAAGTACTTATTTTTGATTGTACTGTAAATGATAATTTTTCTTAATTTTCTCTTCAGATAGTTTGTACTTACTATATAGAAATGTTGCAAGTTGACTTTGCACAATTTTTTTTCTTTTTTTTGTATATTGATTTTGTATTTTGATTTTGCATCGTAATTTTACTGAAATTGTTTATTAGTTCTAACAGTTTTATTGTGGAATCTTTAGAGTTTCTACATACAAGATTATATCAGTTGTAAAAAGAGATGATATTACTTCTTTCTCTCTGATTTGGATGCCTTTTATTATTATTTTTTCTTTACCAATTGGTCTGGTTAAAATTTCCAGCACTATGGGGAATAGAAGAGGGATAACTGTCTTGTTCCTGATGTTAGAGAAAACGCGTTTTAGTCTTTCACTATTGAATATAATGTTAGATGTGAACTTTACATATATGGCCTTTATTATTTTAAAGTAATTTCTTTCTATTCCTAGTTTTTAGAGAGTTTGTTTTGTTTAATCATGAAATGATGTTGAATTTTTTCAAAGGCATTTTCTGCATCTATTGAGATGATCATGGTTTTATACTTCATTTGTTAATGTGGTGGATCACATTTATTGATTTGTGCATGTTAAAACACTCTTGAATGTCATGGGTAAATCTGGCATGATTATGGTGTATGATCCTTATAGTGTGTTGTTAAATTCAATTTACTAATGTTTTCTTGGGGACATTTGCATCTGTGTTTATCAGGGATGTTTCAGGGTAATTTTGGCCTCATAAAATTATTTTCACTTTATTTTTTGGAATAGTTTGAGAAGAATTGACATTAATTTTTCTTTAAATGTTTGATCGAATTCACTCATGAAGCCATATGGTCCTGGGCTTTCCTTTTTTGAGAAGTTTTAAATTACTGATTCAATCTCCTTACCAGTTATAGGACTGCCCAGATTTTCTCTTTCTTTTGGACCTAGTCTTGGTAGGTTGTATATTACTAAAAATTAATCCTTTTTTTCTAGGTTATCTAATTAGTTGGTGTAAAATTGTTCATAGTGGTCTTGAATATTTATTTTGTATCTCTACTATCAGTTGTAACGTCTTTCTCTCATTTTGATTTTTTTTTCTATTTGAGTCATGTTGCTTCTTTTTATTAGCTAATGGTTTGTCAATTTTATCTTTTCAAGAAATCCAGTTTTGTTGATTTTTCTCTATTGCCTTTCTGTTTTCTAATCCTTTTGTTTCTGTTCTAATCTTTATATTTCTTTCCATCTGTTATCTTTGGTCTTAGTTTG
The DNA here is from genome assembly GCF_000001405.40 of Homo sapiens. Lineage (NCBI taxonomy): Eukaryota > Metazoa > Chordata > Mammalia > Primates > Hominidae > Homo > Homo sapiens. The sequence continues at coordinate 11,555,248 of NC_000009.12, forward strand.
TTCAGCTTTTTCCAGTTATTTAATGTATAAAGTTAGGTTTTTTATTTGAAATCTTTTTTTTCTTAATGTCATCATTTATCACTATTAATATCCTTCTTAGTACTATTTTGTTGCATTCCATACGGTATGACATATTGTATTTTCATTTTCATTTGTTTCAAGATAGTTTAAATTTGTCTATTGATTTCTTATTTGACTCATACATAGTCTGTTGTTTATGTTTCACATATTTATGATTTTTTCAGTTCTCCTTCTGTTATTGGTTTCTGGTTTAATTTCACTATGGTTGGAAAGTATACTTAGTATGATTTTATTCTTCTTAAATTTGTTAAAACTTGTTTTATGACCGAACATGTTTACTATTCTGGAGAATTATCAGTGTGTACTTGAGAAGAATATATATTTTGTTACTGTTGGGTGGAGTGTTGTGTATATGTCTGTTAGGTCTACTTGGTCTTTATGGCTGTTCCAGTCCATTGTTTCCATATTGCTGATCTGTCTAAATGGCTGAATGGGCTATCCATTATTGAAAGTGGGGGTATCGAAGTCTTTTACTATTATTATATTGCTATCTATTACCCTCTTCAATTCTGTCAATGTTTGCTTATATATTTAGGTGCTTTGATTTGGAGTATATATATATAAATAATATATATTAAAAAAATATATAGATAGATATAAAATATACTAGGTCTTATCAAAGTTCTGAGACAGGAGGAACAGAATCTATTGCTTTGGACGCCTTTAAAAATGCAAGAGCATTGGACGTACTGCCTACTACTTTTCTTCCCTCCCTGATAAAAAGCTAGGAGCTGTTTCTTTTTCCCCTAAGCACTCTGCACTGTGCTAGTGTATGCCACTGTAGCATGCGTTAGCCTGCTAGCTATAACAAATATATATATATATTTTCCTGGAAAACTGACCTTTCATTATTGCATAATTTTTTCTCTTATGACAGTTTTTCACTTAAAATTTGTGTCTTCTCATAAAAGTATAGATGATTCTGCTTGTTTTTATATATTGCGTGCATGGGATATCTTTTTTCTTGCCTTCATTTTTAGCCTTTCTGTGCCCTTAAATCTAAATGGAATTCCTTTTGGACAGCATGTAATTGAATCTTGGTTATTTTTAATCAATTCAGTTACTCAGTAGTTTCTTATTGAGAAATTTAATCATTTATATCTGAAGTAACAGTTGATAGAAAAAGAATTACTGTCTTGCAAATTATTTTCTGTTTTGTTTCTCTTTTCCTCTCTTGCTGTCTTCATTGTGTTTTTACTTTTTATAATAATATGCCTTTGATTCTTTTCTCACTATTTTTGAGTTTGTCTTCTATAGATATTTTATTCATAGTTGTCATTGGACTTAGGTAAATCAACTTATAATAGTCTATTTTAAGCTGATAAGAACTTGACTTCAATCCATATAAAAACTTATACTTTTATTCACTCACATACTTTATGTTATTGATGTCATAATTTACATATCTTTAGACTGTCAATATGCATATTTTATACTTATGGTTACTTTTAATGTTTGCTTTTTAACTTTTATACTTTAATTGAAAATGATTTACCTAACATTATTACACTACTACAGTATTCTGTATTTGTATATATATTTACTTTTAATAGTGAGTTTTATAATTTTTTGTGCTTCTGCATTTCTCTTTCATATTATTTCATTCCAATGTTCAAAATTCCCTTTAGAATTTCTTGTAAGACAGTTATCATGGTTAAATTTCCCTCAGTTTTTGCTGGTCTAGGGATGTTTCTTTTCTCTCTTTCAGTTTTGAATGACAGTTTTTCCAAGTAGAGTATTCTTAGTTGACAGTTTTATTTCTTGCAGAACTTCAAATATGTCACCTCACTCTCTTCTGTCTTGCAATGTTTTTGCTGAGAAATTCAATGATAGTTTTATAGAGGTTTTCTTGTACCTTAAATGTCACTTTTCTCTGTCCACTTTGAAAGTTCTCTCTTTGTCTTTCACTTTTTACAATGTGATTACTATGTATCTCAGTGTGAATGATTTTTGGATTTATCTCTTCTTCAAGTCTGTTGGCCTTTTTGAACATGGACGTAAATGTCCTTCCTCAGATTTGGGAAGATTGGGTCACTATTTCTTTAAATAAGCTTTCTGTCTCTTTCTCTTTAGTCTTATTCTTTTCTCCCATATTGCATAAGTTAATCTGCTTTATGGTGTCAGGAACTTCTTAAGCTCTCTTGACTCTATTTTATTATTTTTTTTGTTTCTCCAATTGAATAATTTCCAATGACATGTCTTCTAGCTTGCTAATCCTTTTTTCTGCTTCACCTAGTCTCTTATAGAACCCCTATTGTACATTTTTTACTTAAATTATAATACTCTTCAGCTCCATGATTCCCTTTTGGTCATTTAAAATATATTTTCAATCAGTTTATTAGAATTCTCACTTAGTTCATAAATTACTCACCTAACCTCACTCATCAACTCCATAATTGTCATTTGAATTATCAGTCACTAAATCATATCTCTATTTCATTATCATGTTTTTCTTGAGATTTATTTTACTCATTTGTTTGCAACATATTTCCCTGTGTCTTCATTTCCCCTAACTCTTTGAACTGGTGTCTGCATATTAGACAAAACGGCCACCTCTTTCAGTCTTTGTGGACTGGTCTTATACAAGAGAAGACCCTTGCTAATAAGTCTGGTGAGAGATTCTGAGGACCTCTCAAATCTTTGTGGTAGTTCAAATTGCTATCTTTGTGGTTGGTGGCCTCTAGTTTTATAAAATATGCTAGGTCTTATCAAAGTTCTGAGACAGGAGGAACAGAATCTATTGCTTTGGACGCCTCTAAAAATGTAAGAACATTGGACGTACTCTCTACTACTTTTCTTCCCTCCCTGATGAAAAGCTGGGAGCTCTTTCTTTTTCCCCTAATCACTCTGCACTGAGCTAGGGTATTCCACTGTGGCATGTGTTAGCTTGCTAGTTCAAAGTGGGTTTTTAATCTTAGTGGCCCCTAGGTGGCTAGAGTATGCTGGGTCCCATTAGCTCTTAGGGGTAGGTAAGACAGAAACCAGCACCATGGTCAGGCCCCAGAAATATCAGTCTTGAATATATAATCAAGTCCTTTTCCTACTTCCATATGGGTGAGATGGGTATTTCCTTTTCATCACTGGGCATCATGTCAGAAGTACAGCTTATGGTGAGACACAGTTGGAATACTTCTACTGGTTTCTGGCTAGTTTCATGCTTGTCTGGGAATATAGGAGTCTCCCATTTAGTTTCTGTATTTCACACAAAGGAAATTATTTTGTGCTTTGTTTTGAATCAGTGTGTTCATGGTGGGGGGGGAAGATTCAATTCTTTTTATTCCATCATCTTTCTGATGTACCAAATTGTACTTTATGTCTTGGATATTTTAAAGATCCCAGTAGGACACAGATGATATACACAAATATGGATAATTCAAGAAAGGTTTAATAAAGGGACTGTTTACAAAGCTATAGGTAGTTGAAACTGTATGGGATAGTGCTGAACCACAGGGTTAATGAAAAGTAGCTTCTATCTCCCTGTGGAGTTGAAGGGATTTGGGAATGGCATGATACTATGAGGTGGGAAAAGTATAGGGTTAAGAAGGGTGGAGAGTATGGTAGGCCAGTCTTAATCCCTGAAATCTGTGGATGTTATATGGCAAAAATATGTAATCCAGTTAAATATCTTTAAATGGCAGTATTATTCTGAATGATCAAGGCAGACCCTAAATGCAATTACTTATATCCTTAAAAGAGGGAGGTAAAGACAGAGTTGACACAGACAGAAGATGATAAAGCAGTGCTACTACAGATGTAGATATTGGAATTAAACAATTAAATTCAGAGAATGCTGGCTGCCCCCCAAAGCGGAGATGACAAAGAACAGATTTTCCCCTAGAGCTTCTAAAGTGAGTGCAGCCCTGCCAACCCTCCGATTTATGCCCACTGATAATGATTTCAGACTTCTGGCCTTCAAAACTGTGAGAGATTAAATTTCTTTTATTTTAAGCTCCCAAGTGCGTGGTAATTTGTTAAAACAACTTCAGGAAATCAACAGAGTGAAGGGAATTGAAAATAGAGGATAAAAAGCATAAAGTTAGAAATATAGTAGAAATACAAGTAACTTTGGAGCAAGAAAGATTTGATTTGAATTTCAGATTCCAAACCTATTATTTCTGTAACTTAGTGTTTTGAAAAACAGTGACAATTCTCAATTAAGCAATATTTCTTATAATCTACAATGTGCCATGTGTGTTATATGAAGGTGTTGATGGCACTTTAGTAGTTGCTAAATAGTAACATCTATCATGCAAAGTAATTGACAGAAAAAGATATTGGCATTATCATTATGGAAAGAGGACTTGGAAATGTCATATGAAAAAGAATGGAAAGAACTGAGACCATATGTTACTAGGATCAATGAATAGAAGCAACAGAACCATAGTAAATATAGACTACCTAAATTATCTTTTGAATAATAAGAAGGAATTGTATAGGAAAGTATGCCTGAAATGCAGGAATATGTGTCCAGAATGTCAGAACTAACACAAATTTTAAAAAGTCCACCTGAGTGTTAGAACAAATATTGTTGATGTTGAAAATATCTCAGTGGAGATGAGAATTAGTTCCTCAGCCCAGTGTAAGACTGGATTAAAAATCGTGCATGGATGTGCAGGGCAGGAGGCTGAAGGTGAGCTGCCATGGAGATTTGGTGGCTTTCTTAGTCTGGATAATATGTATGAGGAGGCAGACAGTGAGTACATATCTATATCTAGCTTGATAGACTTCTTGACACCAATAAATGCTTTTTATATAAAGTATAGACCTTCTTTTCTAACTCTTGCCAGACTTCTGAGTTTTATATATTTAATCCATCTTTATCTTATATTGTTTTTTTTTTAAACCACAGGCAAAACCACAAGCAGCCTGTATTTAAACAAGATAATATATTTAACTTCAAACTAAAATAATAACATTACATGTCAGGTGAAGAGAACATCTTAGCTTTGATCTCAGTGTATCATCAGTGTATAAGGACTCTCTATTCCCTTGCCACTGCCTAGCCCATTGCGGGGCAACAATCAAACACAGAGATATATCAATGGAAGGGAAAGGCCAGACTTAATTCCAGCTGGTAGGGTAACATAAATTTAGATTGCATTGATTCATTAAGTTTTTTAGCTTTTATAGAAACAGGAGGCTCCTATGAAAATAACTTATGACATTGGCTTATGAACCAGGTCACAACTAATATTCTGAAATTTAGCAAATAGGTGTGACAAAATAAACCATTGTTTAAGCTTCATGGAGAAGAATGTACCTGGGCCAACATATTCCAACCTCACTCTTGGTTGAAACCAGCAGCATCATGGAAAGTTGAGATTAAAATTATCTAAGTGCAGAGTATCTGTGGGATCAGTAATATCATTCTTGCATATATATCTTCTTAAATTCTTTTGGTTTTAATGCCAGGGTTATTTGTGTTGTCATCAAAGTGTACTTACAAGGAGGGCAGAGAGAACACAGTGGTTATGCTATAGGAGGAATTCAAAATGACCTGTTCTAAGTTTTTAGAATATATGTGTATGACTAGAATTAACTATTTGAAACCCACCCTATAACTTATTATAGTCCTCCTAGTTTTCTTCTTTTAATTTCAGTATCTAGAAGAGTGATAAAAAAACAATATTTTAGGTTTAATTTATAATATAAAATGTGAATAATTATTATGAATAACAGCATGGCTAATAATAACCTAAATGAAATTTTTTCACTGATTATAAATTATTTGATTTGATATATTTCTTTTCTTATGAAGAATAGTAATCATAATGATTCATTTCTTCATTCAGGAAACTAGTACCTCTTTGTGGACTACCATGGAAACTGTGTACGTGGTTTATTTAATATGCCTTCTGCCTTTCTTCCTCCTGAATAATTTTCTCCTATATAGTCACACAATCCCACTCTCTAATCTCTTTCAAATTCCTCCAAAATCACCTTCTATGCGAGACTTTTCCTTTACCGTCTCTAAAATTTAATCTTTCCTCCATGATAATGCCTATTCCATGTCCCTGTGTCATTTTTACTCTTGGTGCTTGTCGCCTTTCAACATACTATATATCTCATTTGTTTTCCTTGTGTATTAACCATTTCCCACATTAAAATACAAACTTCATGAATCATGGATTTTGCAGGCTTTGTTCCATCCCTGGCATGTGAATGACTGCTTGGTCCAGAATAGGTGGTTAAGTAAATGTTTGTGGATTGAATGGGTTAATAAATTAGATAGCCTAGGACGATATTATAGTTAGAAATACAACAAAATGTGGTCTTGAATAACTGAAAAGTGTAAGGGCTGTGTGGATGAGTAACAGTTTGCAAAAAAGAGATACAAAAACTTGAGATGTGGGTTGAAAATTCACAGAAGGGTTTAGTTAAGGAAGCAAAGGTAGAGATACTTTAAGAAGACAGTGCTCTGCAGGATCAAGAGGTAAAAGCTCTTAAGAAAGAAGATTCATGAACTGTCATAGATATCACCCATAAACTCAGTGATACAGTGATGCTATGGCATTACAGTGAGTATTAAACCTGATTGAATTGGGCTTGTGAATAAATGAGAGCCAAAGAAATGGAGACTCAGGTTCAACAACCCTTTCAGGAGTGTTGGCTGCAACTGGAGGCAACAGATGTAGCTTCAGAATAATAAGCACTTGAGCACTTGAAGATAGGATTTATTTTTTACAAAAGGCACACGTGTGACAGTATTTAAAATGCAAAGGGAAGACTTAGAGAGTAGAGTATGTCTAAGAAAAAAAGGCTATTAGTATAAATTTTTAGAGATGGAAAAATACATGGTGTGGCAGACTCTGTTAGTTGCCTATCGAATTACATTATCTGCTCTACTACAAGATTCTTGATTTTTTTCAACATGAAAATGTACCTATTTAAAAATGCTCATCTCATGGTTTTATTGTTGTTAGATGTGGCCATGTGATCCATTTTAAATGAACACATGTAAAGAGAAGTCATTGTTGAGGATTCCAGCAATGCTTATTTGAAAATCCAAACATCTTTTTTAACTTGATAAAGGTTTTCTTTCTTTTCTTTCTTTGTTTCTTTCTTTGTTTCTTTGTTTCTTTGTCTGTTTGTTCGTTTCTTTCTTTCTTTCTTTCTTTCTTTCTTTCTTTCTTTCTTTCTTTCTTTCCTTCCTTCCTTCCTTCCTTCCTCCTTCCTTCCTTTCTCCCTTCCTTCCTTCTTTCCTTCCTTCCTTCCTTCCTTCCCTCCCTTCTCCCTTCTTTCCTTCCTTCTTTCCTTCTTTCTTCCTTTATTTTATTTTATTTTTTTTTTGAGACAGAGTCTTGCTCTGCCACCAGGCCCAGGATGGAGTGCAGTGGCGTGATCTCGGCTCACTGCAACCTCCACTTCCTGGGTTCAAGCGAGTCTCTGGCCTCAGCCTCCCGAGCAGCTGGAACCACAGGTGTGCGCCACCATGCCCGGCTAATTTTTGTATTTTTAGTAGAGATGGGGTTTCACCATCCATGTTGGCCAGGACGGTCTCAATATCTTGACCTTGTGATCTGCCCACCTCGGCCTCCCAAAGTGCTGGGATTACAGGTGTGAGCCACCGCGCCCAGCATTTTTTTTTTTTTTTTAACTAAGAAGATAAACAAACCAACAGGCAGAATATCAGAGTCATCCACATGTATACTGAGCTCATACAGGATGAAAACATGGCTTGAATTGAGGAAAACAGAGTCAACAGCAAATAAATACAAAGCATTACATGAATGATATGTCAGATGATAATTAGGGATTGGTAGTCTTCTATTCACACATTTTTAATGTTTTAACCAAGATTTAAAAAAGGTAAATATGATAGAGTTCTGGATGGAATTTCTTCCCATTTATGTTCGTATATTTCTTTTATGTTAGGCAGCAGTGTGAATAAATGAACAAAAACAGAAGATTGAGCCCTTGTTATTTTACCTTATTTTAGTTTCTTTTTTTGAAAACTTCCCTATAATGTCTGCTTTACTGTTTTTTAATTATTATTATTTTTTAATTTTTTATTTCCATGGGTAGATACTAGGGTATATATTTATGGTTTCATGAGATATTTTCATACAGGCATGCAATGAATAATAATCACATCAGGGTAAATAGGGTATCCATCACCTCAAGTATTTATCCTATGTATTAGATACAATTCATTAAAAATATTTTAAAATGTACAATTAAATTGTTTTTTACTATAGTCATCCTGTTGTGCTAGGTAATACTAACTACATCTTATTCTTTCTTTCTAACTATATTTTGCACCCATTAAACATCCCCACTTCTACCCACAGCCTTCCCCCATGCCCCCATTACCCTTGCCAGCTTCTGGTAACCATCCTTCTACTCTCTATCTCTGTGAAATCAATTGTTTTAATATTTAGATTCCACAAATAAGTGAGAACATGTGAAGCTGGTCTTTCTATGCTTGGCTTATTTCACTTAGGATAATGGCCTCCACTTCCATCCATGTTGTTGCACCTTTTCATATACCTGTTTGCCATATGTATGTCTCCTTTTGAGAAATGTCTCTGAAGGTCTCTTGTCCATTTTAAAGCCAGAGTATAGATGTACATTCTTGGCATCTTTGTAAAAAATGAGTTCACCCTAGATGTATGGATTTATTTCTGGGAACTCTATTCTGTTCCATTTTTCTGTGTATCTGCTTTTATGCCAGTACAAGGTTGTTTTGATTATTATAGCTCTGTAGTATAATTTGAAGTCAGGTAATATGAATCCTTCAGTTTTGTTCTTATTGCTTAGGACAACTTTAGCTATTCTGAGTGTTTTCTAATTGCATAAAAATCTTAGGATTTTTTTGTATGTCTGCAAAGAATGTATTTGTTATGTTGATAGGAATTATAATGAAACTGTAGATGGCTTTTGGTAGTATAGACATTAAAAATATCATTTTTTTGCTTTCTAATTTCTTGCATCAATGTTTTATAGTTTTCATTGTACAGATCTTTCACTTATTTGATTCACTTAATTTCTAAGTATTTTATTATTCTGTAGCTATTATAAATGGAATTACTTGCTTGATTTCTTTTTCCAATTGTTCACTGTCAGAATATAGAAATGCTACTCCTGTTGTAAGTTTAATTTTGTATACTCTGACTTCACTGAATTTATCAGTTCTAACAGTTTTTTTTTATGTGGAGTCTTCAGGTTTCTCAAAATATAAGACAATATATTCTGCAAAAAAATCATAATTTTACTTCTTCCTTTCCAATTTGGGTATCCTTTATTTCTTTCTCTCGTCTGACTGCTCTACCTAGGATTTCCAACAATATTTTGAATAACAGTGTTAAAAGTGGGCATCCTTGTCTTGTTCCAGATCTTAGAGAAAAGATTTGTAGTTTTTCCCCATTCAGTATGATGCTAGCTGTGAGTTGGTCATATATGGTTTTTATTTTGTTGAGGTATGTTCCTTCCATATCAAGTTGTTTGAGGGTTTGTATCATGAAGGGATGTTGAATTTTATCAAATACTTTTTCAGCATCAATTGAAATGATCATATGGTTTTTGTCCTTTATTCTACTAATATGATGTGTCACACTGATTGATTGATTTGCATATGTTGAACCATCTTGCATTCCTGGAATAAACCACAATTGGTCATGATAAATGATCTTTTCAATGTGTTGTTGAAATCAATTTTTAATATTTTTTGAAGATTTTTGCATCAATATTCATCAGTAATATTGGCCTATAGATTTTTTTTTGATAGGTCTTTGTCTGGTTTTGGTATCAGCCCTTTAATATGTCATGGCACTCTCTCCTGGCCTATAAGATTTCCACTGAAATGTCTGCTGCCAAATGTATTAGAGCTCTATTGTGTATTATTTCTTTCTTTTCTCTTGCTGCTTTTTGGATTCTTTCTTTATCCTTGATCTTAGGGAGTTTAAGTGCCTTGAGATAGTATTATTTGGGTTAAATCTTCTGGGTGGTCTATAAACTTTCTGTATTTGCTATTGACATCTTTCTCTAGGTTTGAGAAGTAATCTACTATCTTTTTGAATAAATTTTCTACCCTATCTTTCTCTCTGCCTCTTCTTGAAGGCCAGTAACTTGTATAATTGCTTTTTGCAGGCTATTTTCTAGATCATGTAGGTGTACTTTATTCTTTTTTATTATTATTTTTTGTTGCTGTTGGCTGCATATTTTCAAGTACCCTGTCTTCAAGCTCACAAATTCTTGCTTCTGCTTGATTAATTTTGCTATTGATTCTGATGCATTCTTTAACATGTCAATTGCATTTTTCAACTCTAGAATTTCTGCTTGATTCTTTTTAATTATTTCAATTTTTTGTTAAATTTATGCAATAGAATTCTGAATTTCTTTTCTGTATTATCTTGAATTTCTTTGAGTTTTCTAAACAAAATTGTTTTGAATTCTCTGTCTGAAAGGTCTCATGTCTTTGCTTCTCCAAGACTGGTCCCTAGTGCCTTTTTTAGTTCATTTAGTTAGAACATGTTTTCCTGGATGGTCTTGATGTTTTCTGATGTTTGTCAGTGTCTGGAGTCTGAAGACTTAGGTGTTTATTGTAGTCTACACATTCTGGGCTTGTTTGTACCTATCCTTCTTGGGAAGGCTTTCCAGGTATTTGAAAGGACTTGAGTGTTGTGACCTAAGCTCTACCTGCATTAGGGGGCACTTGAGCCTAAGTAATGCTGTGGTTCTTGCAGACTTGTAGAGGTACCACCTTGGATAAGATCTCAGATAATCCTATGGATTACTAAGCAGAGACTCTTGTTCTTTTCCCTTACTTTCTCTCAAACAAATGGAGTCTCTCTCTGTGTGCTGAGCTGCCTGTGACTGTGGGTGGTGTGACACAAGCACCTCTGTAGCCACCACCGCTGGGACTGTGATGGGTCAGACCTGAAGCCAGCACAATACTGGGTCTTGCCCAAGGTCCAGGGTTACCACTACCTTGCTATTGCCTATGTTCACTCAAGGCCCTCGGGCTCTACTATAGGCAGATGGTGAAACAAGCCAGGCTTGTGTCCTTCCCTTCAGGATAGTAAGTTCCCCCAGGCCCTGGGTAGATTCAGAGATGCCATCAGGAGTTAGGGACTGGAGTAAAAAAATTAGTACATCTACTTTCTATTTTTCTATTATACTATTAATATAATAGTTATTAATATAATAACAATATAGTTTTCTATTATACTATTAACATGTTTGAACTTGTCCTCAGACTTCAAGAAGCAATTATTTCCTCTCTTCCCACTCCTTTCCGTGGAAGAGGAGCCTCACTCTGGCTACCACCATGACCAGAGGCCCACAGGAGTACTGCCAGGCTACCACCAATATTTACTTCAGGCCTAAGGCCTCTTTGGTTAGCTTGTGGTGAATTTTGTCAGGCCTGGGACTCACTCTTCAGGGCAGTGTGCTCTCCTCTTGCCCAGGGCAGGTCCATTAATGCCATCCAGGAGTCCAGGCCTGGAATCAGGCCCCCAAGAGCCCCCATGGTGCTCTATGCTACTGTGGTCAAGCTAGTATCTAAGATGCAATATAAAGTTCCCTTTAATTTTCCCTTTGCATTTCTCAAGCCACAGCCACCATAGCAGAGAATATGCTGCATCTCATTTGAAGCTAGCACTTCTTAGAGTCTTACCCAAGGTCCCTGGCATACTACCTGGTTATCACTGCTGGCTATTCAGGGCCCAGGGGCTCTTTAGTCAGCAGGTGATGGGTTCTACCAGGACTGAGTCTTTCCGTTCAAAGCAACAGCTTCTCTTCTGGCCTAGGTTGTGTCTAGAAATGTTTCTCAGGAGCTAGGTCCTGGAATGGGGCCTCATGACTCTGACTAGTGCCATATTCTAATGTGGCTGAACTGGTATCCAAGATGCAAGACAAATGCCCTCTTTAATCTTTCCTCTCCTCTCTTCAAGTGGAAGAAAGGGATCTCTTTGGGAGCTGTAAGATGTGCTTCCTGGGGATAGGAGAATGGTGGCACAGCACTCCCCTAGCTGACTTGCCTTGTGTCTCGGTAGGTCATGTATCCCCCAAGACTGCTGGCTTTGAGCCTAGCCTAGCACTAGGACTTGCAGTCCTTATGGTTTAGACTGCACTTCAAGTTTATTTAGGGCCCCATAGCACTTTCGCCCATGGTGGTGAGGTTTGCCAGAACTCAAGTTCTAACCACTGGGATGGGTGATTCCCCTCTGGCTAGGGCTGGTCTAAATGCTCCCTCTGTGGGAGAGTATCAGCTGAGTTTAATCCAATTTTGCTTTCCACTGTGACCAGGCAGCACTGAGTTCATTGCAACATATCACAATTGCTGTGCTCTTCCTCCCCCAAGCTCCCCCATTTCTCTGTGCCATGTGGTTGCCATTGGGAAATGGGAGCAAGGTGGAATCAGTAATTCAAAACTATCCTCGTTATCTGTTTCAGTGCCTCTTTCAGTGATACAAAATTAAAACCAGGTACTTTGAAGGCTCATCTGATTTTTGGTTATTATGAATTTGATTTTTGTTTGTAGATAGTTGTTAAATTTGGTGTTTCTTCAGAAAGGGAGACTATTGGTGGGAACCTCTATTCCACCATCTTGTTCCACTCCTTCTCATTTCAATTTCTATCAATGTATATTACACTAAAAATAATGTATTATATATTTTGGGCTTTCCATCTTATTTGTGCCTGTGATCTTATTTCATCTTTACCTCTTTACCTGTAGTTTTCATATATTCATTTGTCAACCTAACTACTAGGCACCTCCCTTGTCATGTTCCACTATGAACTTCCTTCCAGTGTTATTTTTTCCCTGCAATCTTTACTAATAATTTCACTGCTTCTTTTTGATCCAAATGGAAATTACGTTATTTCCTTTGGTCTCTTCTGAACTCTATTTTTAAAAAGTGATTTATCTTAATTTTTCAAGCTTTTAATGTTAACTGGAATCCATCCACTAGAAACACAATTTTAGTTAAAATTTTCATTCTCCCATTTAGTTTCTTTCTTTACACATTGAAAGGTTCTATTTAATTTATCTCATTGAAAAAGTACTAACATATAATTCAGTTGATCTGCCTTGACTATAACTACCGTGCATATTCGGTGCATTCTGACATTGATCAATAACTAATCATATAAATATTTTGGGGCTTGTTACTAAGAAAGACAAAAGTGAACAATCCCTACCTAATCTTCATTATCTTAGGCAATGGGCTCATATATGTATACAAGTAATCATAACATAAGGCATACAGTTATTGGCAGCATATGAAAAATAAAAACATAACCTTAGATTTTCACATAGAAGTGCAGAATAATTTATAATGAGGTAATCTGTAAAGAAACTAATTAGATATTCAAAAAATTAATAACTGCAGGGATGAAGAAGGGTGAGGAGAAAGATAAAGAGGAGAAAGAGTAAATGAATAAAGGAGAGCAGTAGAAAGATGAGTTAGGAAAGGAGGAAGAGATAAGAGCTCAAAATACAAAAGAAGGCAATCCAGGAAGTGGTAAACCAAATCACCAAATTTATATTCATGAGAAAAGATGGCACTTTCAGAAAATGAGTAGTAGCTGTAAATAGCATACAGGGGTATGACATACAAACAATTATAGAGACAAACTGGGAAACATCTTGAATGTTCTCCTACAGCATTTGATGGATGTCAAGAATGGATTGTCTTAGGTTTGCAAAAATCAAGTAAGTCATTGTTAAAAACACAATTTATAAAGAAAGTTCCAAATATAATATACCATTCTTTTGGCCTACTTTCTATATCTTTATTTAATCATTGGATGGTAATTTCATTTTTGAAATACATTCAAGCATTGGGATCTATGAGAACATCATTATTATAGGCAATATATTACAAATAAATAGGAAATAATATAATTCATATATATTTTCCTCATTTCTTATAAAACTAAATATTTAAAAATTAAAAAATGATTCTTGAATTTGATGTTTAAAATATTATTGTTTTTATTAGTAGATGAACAGAGACAAATGAAATGCATTCATTTAGATAACACTCATTATTCACCTGCTTAGTGCTGTTGCCATCATATTAGGTATGGTAGTTTATACAATTACTCTTATATAATTGGTTTAAATACCTTGTGTAATAGGGTAGCATTTTAGTTCCTTGATGGAATAAATGAAGAAATCTCAAATCTGAAGTATTTACTTAAAAATGTGTTATTATCACAATCTAAATTTTCCTTTGGTTTTCTTTGTTTTTCTTTACCACAGTTGAGTTATAATTTAAAGAAAAAATATCCTAATGTATTGTTCAGAATCCCCAAAATGACTTTTACTTTTGCCTGGTTAGGTTTATAGTTCTTATTATTCAAGAAGAGCAAGTAATAAAAAAATCATTATTCAAAGTAAAAAACTGGTTTATTTCAACCTTCTCAATTAAAGCCAAAAATTTCAATCAAATAAGCTTTCAGGCAAAGAAGGATAATAAATGCAATAGTAAAGCAGTATATATTTGTGCATTAAAATTAGGGGACCATATGCAATTTTTGTGCTTCATTGCTCAACACATGCTGATAGAGAGAAAAAGGGCTGGTGAAAGGCATTAGCCAGGTAATAAGCTCTGGAAAAACTGGCCTTGTGACAGGCTACTAGATCAATCAACTCAGCACAATAAAAGCATTGTGTTTTAAAATAAAGCCAAGGGAATAAACATGGGCAAATTAAAATATAATTTATGATTTGAGCCCCAAATTTTTATCAAATAATCTCATAGGTAGTAGAGTCTCCACATATGCAGAGCTGAACTCATTATCTGATTTCCAAAAAAACAAAAAATTAATCATTTCTATTTTGTTCCACCCTCCCAGAAGAGCTGCTGTACAGGAAAAGTTTTTACCTGGAAATTTTGGAATCACAGTCAAATTTTCACTCTGGCTCATTTCTACATTTACTTATCAATTGCTATTATTATGTTATATTAAATTACTTCACATTATGTTTGTTCTATTCTCTTCTATTTCACATACATGATTTAATCTGTCATTGTTTCTTTTTCATTTTCATGCCTCTGTTTTTCATCTGCCTTAAAATTTAACTAATAATTATAACATAGCCAAAAACATCTCCACTGAAGTGTGACTGAAGATTCTTCTTCCTCTTTTTCTATCAATTCCAACAGTTACTTGTGTGATTTTCTTAAATAGAACATCCTGAAATTGCCTTGAAAGTGTTCTGAAAGTTATTACTTATACATTGTTGTCTCATCGACATTTAGGCATAGAGATGTTACCTTATCTTGACTATAAAACTTGAAACAAAATATCTAAATCCTCCATTAATCTTACAACTTTTTTCAACTATTACATTATTTTCTTCATCTATCTTAAGTAGCTCCAATCCTTTATATTCCAACTTCTCAACAAAGAGACATAAGTCCATGTTCTCAACTTCTACTCATTTTTAAACTTACTCCAGGGACCCACTTGACGAGGCAGTCTGTCCATTCGCAGATCTCAAACTCTGTGCTGGGAGAACCACTACTCTCTTCAAAGCTGTCAGACAGGGACGTATAAGTCTGCAGAAGTTTCTGCAGCCCTTCATCCTAAAAACTGTCAATAAATTAGGTATTGACGGGATGTATCTCAAAATAGTAAGAGCTATTTATGACAAACCCACAGCCAATATCATACTGAATGGGCAAAAACTGGAAGCATTCCCTTTGAAAACTGGCACAAGACAGGGATGCCCTCTCTCACCACTCCTATTCAACATAGTGTTGGAAGTTCTGGTCAGGGAAATCAGGCAGGAGAAATAAATAAAGGGTATTCAATTAGGAAAAGAGGAAGTCAAATAGTACCTGTTTGCAGATGACATGATTGTATATTTAGAAAACCCCATCATCTCAGCCCAAAATCTCCATAAGCTGATAAGCAACTTCAGCAAAGTCTCAGGATACAAAATCAATGTGCAAAAATCACAAGCATTCCTATACACCAATAACAGAGACAGAGTCAAATCATGAGTGAACTCCCATTCACAATTGCTTAAAAGAGAATAAAGTATCTAGGAATCCAACTTACAAAGGATGTGAAAAACCTCTTCAAGGAGAACTACAAACCACTGCTCAATTAAATAAAAGAGGACACAAACAAATGGAAGAACATTCCATGCTCATGGATAGGAAGAATCAATACTGTGAAAATGGCCATACTGCCCAAGGTAATTTATAGATTCAATGCCATTCCCATCAAGCTACCAACGACTTTCTTCACAGAATTGGAAAAAAAAACTACTTTAAAGTTCATATGGAACCAAAAAAGAGCTCGCATTGCCAAGACAATCCTAAGCCAAAAGAACAAAGCTGGAGGCATCACGCTATCTGACTTCAAACTATACTACAAGACTACAGTAACCAAAACAGCATAGTACCGGTACCAAAACAGAGATATAGACCAATGGAACAGAACAGAGCCCTCAGAAATAATACCACACATCTACAATTGTCTGATCTTTGACAAATCTGACAAAAACAAGAAATGGGGAAAGGATTTCCTATTTAATAAATGGTGATGGGAAAACTGGCTAGCCATATGTAGAAAGCTGAAGCTGGATCCCTTCTTTACACCTTATACAAAAATTAATTCAAGATGGATTAAAGACTGAAATGTTAGACCTAAAACCATAAAAACTCTAGAAGAAAATCTAGGCAATACCATTCAGGCCACAGGCATGGGCAAGGACTTCATGACTGAAACACAAAAAGCAATGGCAACACAAGCCAAAATTGACAAATGAGATCTAATTAAACTAAAGAGCTGCTGCACAGCAAAAGAAACCACCATCAGAGTGAACAGGCAACCTACAGAATGGGAGAAAATTTTTACAATCTACCCATCTGACAAAGGGCTAATATCCAGAATCTACAAAGAACTCCAACAAATTTACAAAAAAAAATCAAACAACCCCATCAAAGAGTGGGCAAAGGATATGAACAGACACTTCTCAAAAGAAGACATTTATGCAGCCAACAGACACGTGAAAAAATGCTCAACATCACTGGCCATCAGAGAAATGCAAATCAAAAACCACAATGATATATCATCTCATTGAATGGCAATCATTAAAAAGTCAGGAAACAACAGGTACTGGAGAGGATGTGGAGAAATAGGAACACTTTTACACTGTTGGGGGACTATAAACTGGTTCAACCATTGTGGAAGACAGTGTGGCGATTCCTCAGGGATCTAGAACTAGAAATACCATTTGACCCAGCCATCCCATTACTGGGTATATACCCAAAGGATTATAAATCATGTTGCTATAAAGACACATTTACACGTATGTTCATTGTGGCACTATTCACAATAGCAAAGACTTGGAACCAACCCAAATGTCCATCAGTGATAGACTGGATTAAGAAAATGTGGCACATATACACCACGGAATACTATGCAGCCATAAAAAATGATGAGTTCATGTCCTTTGTAGGGACATGGATGAAGCTGGAAACCATCATTCTCAGCAAACTATCACAAGGACAAAAAACCAAACACCGCATGTTCTCACTCATAGGTGGGAATTGAAGAATGAGAACACTTCGACACAGGGTGGGGAACATCACACAATGCGGCCTGTTGTGGGGTGGGGGGAGGGGGGAGGGATAGCATTAGGAGATATACCTAATGTAAATGATGAGTTAATGAGCACAGCACACCAACATGGCACATGCATACATATGTAACAAACCTGCACATTGTGCACATGTACTCTACAACTTAAAGTATAAAAATAAAAAATAAATAAATAAAATAAACTCACTCCAATCTAGATCTCATTTGCACATCCTCCTCTGTTCTGACCTAAGTGATTGAGCCTATCACCTCTGCTTATATTTCACTGGTGAAAATAAGATCAAGTCTCTATCTAACTTCAAGGGGATGAAAAGGAACAAACCACCAGTGAACAGTGAAGGACCAGAAAAACTAGTGAATAGACTAATGATGATAACATCATCCTGTCAATAATGTTCCCTGCCTCAATGAACTATCAAGCCAAAGTCTGATGTGTTTTTAAGGACATTTAAATGTCTCTCCATTTATCAACCTTCTCTCACTTGCAGATTGAGGGTCAAAAATAAGTTAGTAATTTGCTAGACTATTGAATGTCTCAGTATGACTTGTCCCTTTCCTCTCCCACTGAATACCTGAAACACCCAGTATTATCAAATAAGTATGCCGTGAAATATATAGTACCAATTTTTTTAGTACCAATTTTGATGCAGAATTTTATGACTATATAAGGAAAGACTGCCATGATTTCCCCTGTCACAGATGAGCCTAGAGGTAACCCATCAGAAAAGAAGATTCTGTCTGGCTTTAGTATAAACACATGACTTCATTCTCTCTGACTCAATATATCCAAAACTAGATATTTGTGTATGTGTGTAAACTTTTTCTTTTGGAATTTATATTAAAAGTCTATTCCAAAAGAAAAAGTTTACACACACACACAGACACACAAACATATCCATTGCAGTGTGGTACGGTGTAGAAAAAATCTGAAATCAAACTAAGTGTCCGAAATCAGAGGTTTAACTACATAAATATTTACACATCAACTTAGAGGAATATTTTTAGCCATATATAATAAATGGGCATTATGAAGATTCATGTGAACATAGATAATTATTTGTGATATGTCCAGTAAAAGAGCTGTATGCAGTAATCCACCACACCAATTAAAATAGGTGTCTGGAAATTAACACTAATATGCTGGGCATTTAATGTCTTATAGTTTTGTATAGTTTAGGGAATTAAATCACCATTGCAATTGTTACATTGAAGAGTTATACAATAGAAAATAAATACTGTATATTAGGAATATGGCTATGAATAAGGAAGCTAAAGTTCTGCCAGTGGGAACTTCTTTCATGAGATTACGCATTTGTTTATGATAAAACTCAAAGAGGAAATAAATCAGAAAGGAATGGTTTATAAAGAAGCTACCTACACACTGAAGGTAAAAACATGAGATTTTACAGTCAGAAATGGTTGGAGGTAAGAATATTATTTTCTGTTAGAGTATTCAGATATGAAGCTAAAAAAGACTAACTGAGTCAGAAGCAATGACAATGTCTCATTTCCTTCTTAGGCCTGATTACTGCTTTTATGCGTTTGGTAGCCGACAGCTAATTAGTAATGAATGGAGTGAGAACATGAGCCCTTAGGGAGAAAAACCCATTCTTTGGAAATATATAGTGATATTAATCCTACAGAAAGTGTCTGTATGTCAATTATTTAGGAAAATGACTTAATGTAAAGAATTGCTAAGTAGATATGACAGTGTTAAATAGGTAACTGGAAATGCACAAAGAGAATTCTGAGATAATGTGGAGGTAATATTTGCAGGAAACACCTGATAGTTCTAAGGCTGAGGGAATGCAATAAATGGCTTGGATTATAATACTTTAGGAGCTTTAAGAAAGAGCCCTGCCAACTGAAATTCAGATCTCTGAGGAGGTTGGTCCTGACCGGCTGAGCCTAGAAGTCTGAAGAGAAGAGTCTCAGCCCAAGGTGCTGATGTCTCTGAAGAGGAAAAAATGATGTTCTAACATTTAGAAAACCTGCAAACTAGATTCGACTGCTGCTATTGGAAGTTACTGCTGTTTCTATGGTGAAGAAGCAAGGTTGATAAAAGAATAAGAGACAAACAGAAAGCAAGGCCTTTCTCCCACCTCAACCTTTTCAGTCTCTCTCAAGGGTCCATTACCAGCAGAACCTAAAAAGGAACAAGATGGCAAAACAAAAATGTGGAGTGCAGCACACCATTCCCAGGATAGTAAAGCAAATTACTGATAGACAGAAACTTATTAACTAGCGCCACAGGAGTCACCAGAGGTCACTGGCCTGAGTATATATGTATTGGGTCTTTTACTTAAGGTTTCATTTGTACATACGGGTGCCATGAACATTACTAAACATTGATTACATGTGAAGCAAATTGCCAGACACTTTATATATAAGTATATATATTATATATGATCCACAGATTCCACATGATTGTTATTTATTAGCGGGTTTGAATGTAGGTTCCAAGTTAGTATCTGGGTTTATATCAGTTAGCCTGACATTATTACTAATAGCAGCACCTTTTACTCTCAGAACTGTTTCAATTTGCATTATAAATTATAACTGAACATATAACTTAAACATATACAAACAATTCAATCCACATTAATTTGTGTTTGACTAACAACATATATAAGAAACCTTAGTGATGAAATGGAGGAAACACAGAATTATATAGCTGTGGAGAGTACAGAGAAATTTGAAAGGAAATATTTTGGAAGAATGAAATGTTTGAGTTAGGTATTCGATCAGTGAAAGTTCACCATTGTGTTGAGGCAAATAAAGTCACTCCAGATAGCATAGACAACTTGGGACCCATGGGAAAAGCATAAAGTTTTAACCAATACATGAAATAATTTTGCAAGTTTATACATAGACATAAGCAACAAATAAAAAGTATCTCTTGCTGCCTCTGAATCTATCCTAACACTTCAGTTAAGACTCTATAATATTGATGGTGCTAGGAGCATTGCAGATATTATCTCATTTAAAATTAAGGGAAATACAATCTGGTAATTACTTTATTATTATTATTATTTCCTTGTTATGAATGAAAAAATAAAAATATGATATACAAAATATTGTCTTTCTTTTACTTCAGAATCTGAACATGTGACCTTAATATAAGTAAAATAAAATCAGAGATACATACTCAACGTTTATTTTCTTACAATCTTTGTTTCCAAGATTACTTCCACCTTTTATCCACCCGGTGTCACAAGCCTTGTCTAATATCCATCTCACCATCAACATCTTATATTTGGTTTCTATGTCGAATTGCTTATACTTACCAAACACCTTCAAAAATAGTAACACTAACAGGTTACAGAAGACATATAAACTCACAGCTGCCTTTTAAACGCATGTTTTAGAGAAAAAGCCAATCTCAGTCAATGTAATGGTAAGAAATGCTAAGAAATGTATTTCTTTGATTACTTTATCTACGTAGTTAAGCTATATCATTTTAAAAACTATTTTTCATGTGGAGATAACTATAGATTTACATGCAGTTGAAAGAAATAATATAGAGATCAATAATATAGAGGGATCAAGTTATCATTTTTTCCCATCTCGGAAAACCATAGTGTAATAACAAAACCAGGATATTAATACTGATACAATCAAGATACAGAACATTTCCATCACTACAAGGATTTACCTTATCACCCTTTTATAGCAGCATCCAGGGCCCTCTTGCTCTCACTATCTCCTTAACCTCTGGAAATCACTACTTTGTTCTCTATTTCTATAATTTTGTAATTTAAAGAATATTATATAAATTGAAGCATACAGAATGTAATCTTTTGAGCTTGGCTTTTTTTAACTCACCATAATTTTTTGGAGAGTCATCAGTTGTTATATCAATAATTTGTTCTTTTTTATTGCTAAATACTACTTCACTGTATAGATCCACTATGATTTGTTTAACCTTTACCTATGGAAGGACATAGGGATGTTTCCAATTTTTGTCTGTTGTGAATAAAGCTGCTATAAATATCTGTGTACATGTTTTTCTGTGAATATATATCTTCATTACTCTGGGAAAAATTCCCAGAAATATAAATGTTGGGTTGAAGATGCAGTGTTTTTAATAAAATATTTAATTATTCTACACACACACACACACACACACACACACTCTCTCTCTCTCTCTCTCTATATATATATATATTTTAATGTTTTGAAATTAGTTAAAACTTTTTTAAAAATTTTTTTATTATTATACTTTAAGTTTTAGGGTACATGTGCACAATGTGCAGGTTTGTTACATATGTATACATGTGCCATGTTGGCACACACACACTATATATATATGTATATACATATGTATATACATTAATATATAATATATATGTATTTTCTCTCTTTTACACTTTAATAACTGACATAATCATATACTTTCTGTTGGTTGGGTATGCAAATTGTCAGTGTGTGTGTGTGTGTGTGTGTGTGTGTCTGTGTGTGTGTGCATGTGTCTGTTTCTATGTGGGGGTCTACCTCATGGAAAAAGTACTTGGTTGGAGAGATTACAGTTCCAAAAGAAAAAAAGAGATACAACTTCCAAAACATGATTGTGAGATATTTTCAGGTCTAAACAGAAATAGATAAACAGCTATTAATAGGAAATGTGCT
Source organism: Homo sapiens (assembly GCF_000001405.40). Taxonomy (NCBI): domain Eukaryota; kingdom Metazoa; phylum Chordata; class Mammalia; order Primates; family Hominidae; genus Homo; species Homo sapiens. The sequence goes on from NC_000009.12 coordinate 11,577,526, forward strand.
ATTGAATAAAACATATGGAAGGAAAGCACTATACTTCTTTCATGGATTTAAGATACTGTCTATCTTCCCTTATTTAGAGAAGCATTTACTTCCTTTACACCAGTGTAAATAAGTACAAAGGTTTTAGACACATAGTAGATACCCATCTGGGTATGTTTTCTGGGAGAAATGCACCTGGGAACTGAACAATGTTACACATCACTGAGCTGGAACATCTAATTATCACTGGTGAGGAAAGCCCTGAATCGGTCCGCTTTCAGATAACATTACTGTATTTGTTTGTGCTGTCAAGATATCTACTTGTCATTTAAGTAGCTACTGATGAATGTCTCCATTCATCAGATATTGGAAAGCAATGTGTCATTGGAGGACAGTCATTAGTATCCAGGTTTGAAAGTACAGTATCTAGTGAAATAAGGTAAAAGAGAACTCTAATTCACGATTCTTTTGTAGGACGTAAAACACATGGTAAACTGAGTCCTGTGTAATAATCTAATGGATACTGTCAAAGGAAGTTCTGCATAAACTCTGATACTAGCTTCAATCTCCCCAATGATACTTAAAAATAAAAATTAAAAAATCTAAAAAAAATTAGCTGATGACAGATTATTTCTCTTGTCCAGCTGACAAATTTTTCAGGTTTATTCTTTTTAAGGCCTTCTCTCATGTAATCATCTAGTTGAAGGTTTCACGTTAAGCTTTCTAGAGAAAATATTTTCATTATACTATTAATTAAATACCTGCCAGTCGCTTAGAACAACAAAAATAGCCACTTTAGAGAAACAATCATTTTATTAAACTTTTACTCACGTATAGTACAAGCAGATAAGATATCTTACTGGCTAAATTAAACAAATACATTGATGAAACATTATTGTGGGAAAATTTTTCAGGCTGCATAGTTAATAGAAATAATTTTGCTCTATTCTGAAATGCTTGGCATAAATATAAACTCATATACTCATATACTCTTTGGTATAAGAATACTATTCATTTTAAAAGTATATACTTGAGCACTGTAATTTTGGTATATTTATATATTTATACTATTATGCATAAGCAATTTCCATTTCAAAATAATTTTCCAAAACAATTGATATTTTCCAAATCTATTTAATTTTTAAGAAATGACTCAATATAACAATTTTAAAAATGCAATTTAGGAAGAATATACTAAAGTTCTATGTTTATTTGGATTTTCAAGTTAAATTTGGTCTTAGGAGCTTTTATTCAGCTCTTCCTTTACTGACACTTCTTTCAAAGAGCCAGTTTCATGTCTCCTAACACAATATCTATTACTGAGAGCAGCATCCTGTAGAAAACGCTGTAATGACCATTTCCTGTGTTGAGCATAACTTCTCTCCTAGACAGTTACAACTTCATCCTCTCATCTTCTATTCAAGAGAGTATATGATGGTTCAAACGAGTAATGAGGCAATTATTTGCAAAAGCAAATTATTGGATTTTAGTGTTGCCATTATTATTTATTAATTTGTAACATAGCTCTGAATTGATCTTGACATTCCAGCATCATAACACACCAGTTGAAAAACACTATTTTACAAAAAGTATAGACATACACATAAAACATTGTGGTAAATATAAAAGCTTGCTTTAGACATGTAAAAGTGCATTGGGGCAAAGTTTATCATAAGCCCCTTGTTAAAATTTTAAGTTATATATTCCTACTTCCTTAACTGATTTTAAATTATAATTGATAGGAAATGGACATAAAATATCTGAATTTTTCAGTATCAATCAACGTTATGTTTAATTAGAGAGAAGATAACTGAGGAAGAAAAGATTCAAAGGATTGAGAAGTTATTTTGCTGAAAGATTCAACTTTACAAATAAACAGGTTTCTTTTCAGAAGAAACAGGAAGTCAAAAATTTAAAAAGAATATAGATTAGAGATTGAAATATTTAAATTTGGATGCAAGGCTCACAATTGTACTTCACACTAGATGACTTGGTATTAAATCTACTAAAATTCTCCCTCCTCTGTGAAGTTTTTCTCTTTCTATATGTTGTTATCATTTCCTCTTCTGAGCTTCTGCACATCCTACTGTCTTCGTCATCTACTAAATTTTTAATCTTGCACTGTTTATAGTATCTTGTATATGGTTATCATAAGCTACAATGCATTCTTTTTTTTTTCAGTTTACTAAAGCCATTTCCATAAACTCCTTCAGATCAGAAGCCATTTGCTATACTCCTTTTCGCTGAGTACACAATGATGTAATGGGCTACATTCAAAAGTTGTGGTGTTTAATGGTATTAAATTACAGACACGTAGGACCTCATAGAAATGCCAGTGCTATTATGGATTATGGTGCTAATCCAGAGGTGTACAATAATTGTGTGTTATTGTAAACACACACACACACACAGACATTTCCACTGTAATTGGAAATTATTAAAGACTAAACATATGTATTTGTTTGTGTTACTCAGAATATTTTATTGTTCCAAGCATCACAAATGATTTACAAATATTAATCCAACAATTAAAATGGGAGAATCCCGAAATAAATAGTTTTGGACTTTATCCAATAGTGCATATTTATCTGTGTCTATGGAAATATTACCCAAATATCTCTATGTATACTAGAGTAAACTTCTCTCCTTGTCTATCTTTAATTGCTTTGTTACAATAGAAGTATAAGTTCTGTTCTGTTTTTCCTTATTTTGTGCTCTTATCAACCATTCAATGTTCTAAACCACTGAAGTCAGTGCAATGCCATTTCACTCAAATATATTATTTGTCAGATCAAAAACTGATTGCTTTATTTCAGAAGTATTTCACAAGGTTGTTTGTGTGACTAGAAAGCATTTCATACAATGAAAATATGCTTTGTTTGAAGGAGAGCATAACAAAATAAAATGATACTTTTAAACTATTGGAAAGTAGGTACAATAGAAAAAAATATTTTCTACTAAGCGATGTTAAAGCCTGGGATATTTTTCTAATACTATCCCCTAGTAATCCATATTTGACCTATTTCAATTTCACTTCTCATTGATTAGTACCCTCATTTGTCCTGTAAACATTATACCAAAGTGGAAACTGAGGCTAAAAGAAATAAATTACATCATATTTATGTAACTGTATTAAGTGCATTTTTGCTTTGCTCATCCTTGTTACAGTTAAGCAAACGTATATTTTTTAAGACAAGCCTTCAACATTCTCATAGAAATAAAACAATTATTCCACCTGAAAGCTATTTGAGACCTAGTAAAGCTTTTATTACAGAAATTATTTGTTATGCTTGCCCTCATTAATTTAGTTATTTAATATCATTTTCCATGACTTATTTAGTGGAAACCAAAGTTAATATATAGATACATACATTCATATATAATTAGTTAACAACTATAATAAACAGTAGAAGTTGTTATTTTTTCTTTTTCTAAAAGAAACATAAAACACTATAAATGACTACTTTTTAATTTACATGGATACGAAGTTTGTGTGTGTGTATGTGTGTGTGTGTGCGCGCGTGTATAATACCTCATTAGAATTAACCTTAACTACACATATGAGTGACAACCTGGTAAAATAAAAGAAAAAACTTATATTTTTTGAACTCATGGTAGTATAAATTCTTTGCCTTTAAAATTTTGAGTTATTTCTAGATTTAGAGGCAGTTGTAAAAAGCAATACTGACAGGTCCATACTGGATGGCTTATGAACAACATAAGTTTATATCTCACAGTTCTAGAGGATGGAAGCCCAAGATCAACGTGCCAGTATGGCTGGGTTCTGATAAGGGCCTTCTCCAGGCTGCAGGCTGCCAACTTCTTATTGTAATGTCACCTGGTGGAAAGACAGCTAGCTAGGTTTCTTGCCTCTTATAAAGGGTACTAATCCCGTTCATAAGAGCTTCACCTTCATGATCCAATTATCTCTCAAAGGTCCTATCTCCTAATACCATCAAATTGAGTTTAGGGTTTTAACATATAAATTCTGAGAGAATACAAACATTCAGTCCCTAACAGTATATTAACAATCACTGCATACTGACATTTGTACTGTCAAGATATAGAACATTTCCATCACCACAAAGATCTCTTGTGTTTCAGTTTTTATAGCTGTATCAACTACCCTCTTATACCCACCCTCTCCTTAACTCTGGTAAACACAACTCTGTTCTTCATTGCTTCTATTTTAAGAATGCTATATATTATGACATAAATAAAAATAATAGTGTAGAGGCCTTCGAAATATATTCTTTTTCATAAAAGCAACAAGAAAAATGTCTAAAGTTGTTGAATCAACTTTTCAGAAATCCGAAAATTAACTAAAGCCTTGAAGCAAGTGGGTGAGTGTTTATTCAAGAAAAATAGGGGACCTTTGGTAAGAAAAGTAAGCTTTGTTATGTTTCAGTTTACTTAGCTTCAGCCCCCACTCCCCAGCTCAGTAGTAGCTTTGAAAATGACATCCATATTACTGATACTGGAGGAAACAGAGTGGAGCTGGAGCTCTTTACAAGACTCATCCTCAAAACCATCATTATTTGACTTCTCTGTTGTTTTCCTAGAAGACCCTAGTATAGAGGCTTATCTTTATTTGACCTGGTTCAGAGTCAACCCAGTGCTAAAAGGGAGAAGAGAGATGATGGAATGGGGAGGTTAAGTTTATTAAAACATTTCCAAGAAAGTATTTTAACATTGCACCTGCATGAAGCAATGGATAACAGTTTGAAAAAATAATAGTTTAACTAAAAATCTTTAAAATATGGCTAAGGAATGAGACACCTATATGGACTTTCAACAGCTTTTATTTATTCCAGGGAATCTGGAAGACAATATGCACGTGTAGGGTTGTGTGCATGCATAGAAAAGACAGGAGGAGCCCTAAGCTCTAACCTTATACTCATCTTAAGTCTCTGCTTATGCAGAAATTGAAAGAAACTTTATGTTTCCTGGCTGAGTATTAAAATGAAGCCTAAATACGTCCACAGAACCCTTTAGCAAATACCTGAACATGTGTTGGTTCCAGGCATTTATGGAAATCTGTGTCTTATTAGCTAATTGTTAAACTAACCAAGAAAATAATTCAATAGGCTTATATGGCAAAGAAAACTTAAATAATAAATTTGAAAAAGTCACCAACAAATAAACAATGACTATAATAAGCAGCAAAATCAAAAAACTGTAGAGAAATGAAAGAATCTAAATTTCAGAGTAGCCACACTGTATTATTGTTTAAAATATCTAGTTTCAAAGCAAAAATATAACTGTTCAAGGAAACAAGAAAGTATGGCCCATAAAAAGGAAAAATAAACAAACTGTTCCTGAGAAAGCCAGTGCATTAAATCATCTATTTTAAACATGTTCAAAGAGGCAAAGGAAACACTGTGTAAGAAAAGAAAGTATGTAAATAATATTTCATCAAATACAGAGTATTAATAAAAAGATACAAGTTATAAAAGAGAACCAACTAGAAGTTCTGGAATTTAAAGTGCAATAGTTAAATACAAAATTTACTACAAGGGGCTCAGCAGCAGATTTAAGCAGGCAGAAGAAAAAATCAGTGAACCTGAACATAGGTTCATTGAGATTATTCAGCCTGAAGAACAGAAAGAAAAAAAAAAAAAAGAAAACCAAAGCCTCAGAGGCCTGTGGAAAACTATCAAGTATACTAAAATTCTCATGATATGAATCTCAGAAGGAGAGGAAAGAAAACGAAACAGAAGAAATGTTTGAAAACATAATGGCCAAAAAAAATCTCCTTTGGTGAAAAAATATTAATCACCATTAATTTACCAAGAAACCCATTGAATTACATGTTCAACAAAATAAAAGAGATCCATAGGCATTCACATCAATATCATATATTTGAATGCCAAATGCAAAAAGAGAATCTTCAAAACAGCAAGAGAGAAATAATAACATATTCAGGTGATCTTCAATAAAATTAACTGATTTCTCCTTAGGCCTCATGAAAGTCAGAAGGCACTGATATGAATTAATCAAAGTGCTAAAAGAAAAAAAAAAGTAAAGAAAAGTTCCAAATCTAGCAAAGTCATCCTTCAAAAATGAAGTATTTATTAAGACTTTCCAGATAAACAAAAATTGAGCCTATTTGCCAATAGCAGAACTACCCTGCAAGAAATTCTAAAGAAAGTGGTTTAGGACAAAATTCAAGAATAATAGAGAGTAATCTGAATACACATGAGAAAAAAAAATAACACTGTTAAGGGTAACTCTATAGGTAAATTTAAAAGAGATCAGCTTCAGGCATCAAAGTGTGAAAAGTACCACTGACCTACTCTCCACCCACTCTCCACTGAGACTGGTGAAACTACGTGTGTGCATGCGTGTGTGTGTGTGCTCAAGGCCTTTGGCAATGGTCCTGAGTGCAGTATCAAATAAAAAATATATATTCTAGAAAATACATAAACATTTAATAAGACTACTTTTTTCTCTTTGTCCTTTATGCACAGAAAGATGCACTTTACTCCAGATCGCTGTAGCCAGGAAGACAAGGCTCCTTCCAATGTCCAATTGGAGAGCTTTGTCATCAGGAGAAGCAGGATGTCAGCACTGCTCACTCTACCCCAATTACCTATTGCTCAACTTAAGAGTGGTTGAGAGATTAGGGTCCCTTTTGTTACCCAACCCTCACTTGTGGAAAGGAGACTTTACATTGGGCATGATGTTCTGAGAAGACTGAGGTCCTAATCACCCTTAACACAGCTTGTCAGGTGGTGGTTCCATAAATGGAGAGGCAAGTTGAGAGGGCTCTGGGCTGTTCCCTCCCCACCCCCAACCAAGTATGTAGACCCTAGAGCAGAGTCTTAGAGAGAACCTGACTATTGTCTCCACCCTTAGATACATATTCCTAGCTCGAATATTTTACCTGGGAGGAGCACAGGCCATAAAACCAAAAACTCTTCATCCGTTTACAAAGGAACTAACTTTATTTCCAGCAACGTTTGGAGAAGTTGGGTCCTAGGTGTGCTCTCAAGAACAGTGGAAGTTGTGGTGAAAGAAAACGTGGAGATTCAAGATACAGATAAAACTATAGTCCACTTAGTTTGCAGAAAAGGACCCAGGAAAAACGCATTTGAGAAAAGCGCTTCTAAGGTCAAGACAAAAATCAAACACTGACCACAGAAACTATTCCTTAAAAGGAGCTAGGATTTTATAGGGTTAAATTTAGAGCAGTTTATCACCCCATGATATTATTACAAATAATTGAGCAATCCTTTGACAATTCGTGGGATTTAACAGTTGAGCGTGATCAGAGAAATAAAGAGCCCTACGGTACCACTATCCCATGGATGCTTTTTTTTTTTTAACTTCCATAAGTTTTGGAGAAATAGGTGGTATTTGATTACATGAGTAAGTTCTTTGGTGGTGATTTGTGAGATTTTGGTGCACCTATCACCTGAGCAGTATACACTGAATCCAATTTGTAGTCTTTAATCCCTTACCCCTCTCCCACTCTTTCCCTGAGTCCCCAAGGTCCATTGTATCATTTTTATGCCTTTGCATACACATAGCTTAGCTGCCATTTATGAGTGAGAACACAGGATGTTTTGCTTTCCACTTCCGAGCAATTTCCCTCAGAATAATAGTATGTAGTTTCATGCAGGTTGCTGTGGATGCCATTAATTCATTCTTTTTTTTATGGCTGAGTAGAATTTTATCATATATATACCACAATTTATCTACTCATTGATTGATGGGCATTTGGGCTGGTTCTATAGTCTTACAATTGCGAACTGTGCTTCTACAAACATGCGTGTGTAAGTATCTTTTTGGTATAATTACTTCTTTTCCTTTGGGTAGTTACCCAGTAGTGGGATTTCTGGATCAAATGGTAGTTTTACTTTTAGTTCTTTAAGGAATCTCCACACTGTTTTCCACAGAGGTTGTACTAGTTTACATTCCCACCAGCAGTGTACAAGTGTTCTCTTTTCACCACATCCATGCCAACATATATTATTTTTTAATTTTTTGATTATGGTCATTATTGCAGGAGTAAAGTGGTATTGCATTGTGGTTTTGATTTCCATTTCCCTAATCATTAGTGATGTTGAGCATTTTTTCATATGTTAGTTGGTTATTTGTATATCTTCTTTTGAGAACTGTCTATTCATGTCCTTAGCCTAGTTTTTAATGGGATGTTTTTGCTTTTACTTGTTAATTTGTTTGAGTTTCTTGTAGATTCTGGATATTAGTCCTTTGTCAGATGTATAAATTGTGAAGATTTTAGCATACCCAAAGCTGTACCTCCCCAAGGAGAACCTCAGAGGTTAATACTATGAGAAAAGAAATAGACATTCAGAAAAATCATTCAAGCAGTCACTAAACAATTCAAGAAGATAACAATAACTAGGTGCAGAGGTGGGGAAGGAAAAAAAGAAGTACCCAGAGTTGCTATAATATGTTATATGTAATGTCCAGTTTTCAACAAAACCAAAATTTGAGGTATACAAAGAAACATGACAGTATGACCTACACCCTAGAAAAAACTCAGACAACAGAAATTGCCTGTAAGAGTGAACAAATGCCATTTTTATCGGAAAAAAATCATAATAGACATTTAATACATTCACAGAATTATAATAAAACATGATTAAAGCAGGCTATATGATGACAATGTCATCTCAAATAGAGCATTCGAATAGAGAAAAAATATTTTTAAAAAAGCAAGTAAAAATTCTGAGTTGAAAATACAGTAAGTAAAATATTTAAAAAATGCACTAGAGGGGTTCATCAGTGGATTTTAACTAGTGGAATAATGAATTAGTGAGAATGAAGATAGATGGGTATTCTGCAAGCCAAATAACCCAAAGAAAAAAGAACTTGAGAAAGAGCCAAGATCCTAAGAAAGTGTATCAACATATGTGAAACAGAATGCCAGAGAATGGGAGAAAAAGAAAGGCGATATATTTGAAGAAATAGTAACTAAAAATGTCCCAAAATTATTAGAAAACAATAGCCTGCATTTTCAGGAGCTCAATAAACTCAAATGGAATAAACACAAAGAGATTTTTTTTAAAAAAAAACAGACCACACAGTCAAAATGCTGAAAGTCAAACATAAGGAAAAAATATTGAAAGCAGCAAGAGAAAAAGTAATCATTTCTTTTATAGAAATCCGATAAAATTAATAGCTGACTTTTATGTAGAAACCATGGATGCCAGAAAGTAGCAGAATAACGCATTCAGTGTTCTCATTGAGCAACCAAAACAAACCAAAAAAAGCCTATCACTCAAGACAACCTGTATCCAGCAAAGCTATCTTTCAAAAATTAAGGCAAAATAGGAAGTTTCCCAAATAAGGAAAAACTGAAAGTATTTTTGATAGCAGGTCACCTTACAGGAAATATTCAAGAAAGTTTTTTCAGGCTGAAAGCAAGGCATCCTGACAGTATTCTGAATCTAAATAAAAGGAAGATGCACCAGTAAAGGCAAATACATAACTCTAAAAGACAGTTTTAATTTTTCTTCTTTCTTTTCTTAACTGGTTTAAAGAGAAATTGTATAAGAATTACATATGTAATATATTGTGGGTCTTTAACATAAAGAAATGTGACACATGTGTAGCATATTAGCCAACATGAGCACAGAGGAGGTGGATGTGAGCAAGTGAGTATTTGACTAAGTAAATAACTACCAATTGTAAAGTAAGAATTATTGCAATATATTTTTGGGTTTTTGATGTTAATGGATGTAATATGGGTAATAATAATACCATAAAAGGAGGAAAAGGAAATACAGCAACACAGAAGTAACATTTCTGCATATAATTGGAATTAAACCAGTATAAAACTGAAGCTGACTGCATAAATGTCTTCTTTTGAGAAGTGTCTGTTCATGTCCTTCGCCCACTTTTTGATGGGGTTGTTTGTTTTTTTCTTGTAAATTTGTCTGAGTTCATTGTAGATTCTGGATATTAGCCCTTTGTCAGATAAGTAGGTTGCGAAAATTTTCTCCCATTTTGTAGGTCGCCTGTTCACTCTCATGGTAGTTTCTTTTGCTGTGCAGAAGCTCTTTAGTTTAATTATATCCCATTAGTCAATTTTGGCTTTTGTTGCCATTGCTTTTGGTGTTTTAGACATGAAGTCCTTGCCCATGCCTATGTCCTGAATGGTAATGCCTAGGTTTTCTTCTAAGGTTTTTATGGTTTTATGTCTAACGTTTAAGTCTTTAATCCATCTTGAATTAATTTTTGTATAAGGTGTAAGGAAGGGATCCAGTTTCAGCTTTCTACATATGGCTAGCCAGTTTTCCCAGCACCATTTATTAAATAGGGAATCCTTTCCCCATTGCTTGTTTTTCTCAGGTTTGTCAAAGATCAGATAGTGGGTGCAGCACACCAGCATGGCACATGTATGCATATGTAACTAATCTGCACATTGTGCACATGTACCCTAAAACTTGAAGTATAATAATAGTAAAATTAAAAAAAAACTGAAGCTGATTCTAAGTTAATGAATATGATAAATCCTAAAGAAAGTGTTGAAAAAATCAAACAATAGTATAAAAAGCATTAACTATATTAAATAAATTAAAATAGTACATTATAAAATACTCAATGCAAAAGAAAGCAGTAAAAGGGGAATACAGCAACAAAAAGACATGAGATATGTAAAACAAAATAAAAGGGTAGAAAAATCGTCTATGTTTATAGTAAAATTAAATGTAAGTGGACTAAAAATCGAATTGAAAGTCAGAGATTATCAGACTGAATAAAAATGATTGAACATTGTGCTTTTTGCATGAGACAAGTTTTAGATTCAAAGGTAAGTATAGATTGAAAGCTAAAGAATAGAAACAAATATGTCATGCAATCAGCAATTACAAAAAAATACTAGAGAAGCTATACAACTATCAGGAATAATAGATTTTAAAACCAAAAGTATTACTAGACATAAAAAATAACATTTTATGGGACTCCTATGCCCCATTTTCAAAAATGGACAGAACAACTACAAAGAAAATCAAGAAGGAAATAGAAGACTGACAATATAAACCAAATAGACCTGAAGGACATCTACAGAACACTCAACCTATATAAGGAAAATGAAAGATATAAAATCAATTGCCTGCCATTATATGTTAAAACACTGAAAAAAGAGTATACCAAACCTAAAGCAAGCACAGGGCAGTACATAATAAAGATACATCAAAAATTAATAAAATAGAAGATAAAAATCCAACAGGGAATAACAACAAAACCCAAAGCTACTTCTTTGAACATTTCCTCAAAATGGACAAAACTTTTTTAAAAATTTTGTTCATTTTATTTATCCTTTTTCAAAATATTAGTTTTGGGAGCGTATTTACCTAGACTAACCAAAATAAAAATAGAGAGGATATAAGTAATTAGAATCAGAAATGAAAGAGGTGACATTACAATTTACATCAGTGAAATGAAAATTATTGTAGACCTAATTATACTATGAATAATTGCACACCAAAAATTTAATAACCTAGTGGAAACAAATTCTTAGAAACATACTAACTATTGAAACAGGCATAAAAAGTGGACAATCAAATTTATAACAAATGTAGAGATCAAATTGGTAGTCAAAAACTACTTAGAAAAGTCAACATCGAGATGGTTTTGCCACTTGATTCCACCAAATATTTTAGAAGAATTAATATAAATTTTTCACACTCTTCCAAAAAATATAAGAATAGAAAATATTCTACTTCATTAATGAGGCCAGTATTATCCTAATACCAAACCAGAAAAATACATCACAAGGAAAGAAAACTACTGACAACTAGCTCTTATAAATGTGGATACAAAAATTATCTGTAGTTATTAGGACTAGTAAACATGGTTAGTAAGATTATTGGATACAAGATAAATATACAAAATCAATCATATCACTGTATTCTTGAAGTGAACCATTAGGAAATGAAATTTGGGAAACAATTTTATTATAATAGTGTCAAAGATTAAAATATTTAGAAAGAAGTTTTTAAAATTTCAAAATTTGTACTCCAAAATTACAAAATATTCTTTAAATACATTTCAAAACCTAAATAATTGAAGAAAAATCTTATTTATGGATTGAAAGACTTATCTTTATTATGATGGCAATATTTCCCAAACTGATCTACAGACTTGACATAATTCCTATCAAATCCCCTGACTTGTATGTATGTAGAAATTAATGAGTTGATTCAAGAATTCATAAAGTGGGGAAAGGACACTCTATTCAACAAATGGTTCTGGGATAATTGGCAAGCCACATGTAGGAGAATGAAATTGGACTTATCTCTCACCTTATACAAAAATCAACTCAAGATGGAATAAGGACTGAAATCTAAGACCTGAAACTATAAAAATTCTAGAACATAACATTGGAAAAACCCTTCTAGACATTGGCTTAGGTAAAGACTTCATGACCATGAACTCAAAAGCAAATGCAAAAAATAAACAAAGATGGAAAGATGGGACTTAATTAAACTAAAGAGCTTCTGCACAGCAAAACGAATAGTCAGCAGAGTAAACATACGACCCACAGGGTAGAAACAAATCTTCACAATCTATACAATTGACAAAGGACTAATATCCAGAATCTACAAGAAACGTAAACAAATTAGCAAGCAAAAACAAAAATCCCATTAAAAAGTGGGCTAAGGACATGAACAGATAATTCTGTAAAGAAGATATACAAATGGCCAACAAACATATGAAAAAAAGATCAACATTACTAATGATAATCAAACAATCAAAAAATACTAGATGTTGGTGTGGATGGGTGAAAAGGAAACGCTTCCACACTACTGGTGGGAATGTAAACTAGTACAACCACTATGGAAAACAGTGTGGAGATTCCTTAAAGTACTAAAAGTAGAACTAGCATTTGATCCAGCTATGGGTATCTACCCAGAGGAAAAATGAATTCATGGCACTGGCAGCAACCTGTATGGGATTAAAGGCTATTATTCTAAGTGAAGTAACTCATGAATGGAAAACCAAACTTCATATGTTCTCATTCATAAGTGGGAGCTAAGCTATAAGGATGCAAAGGCATAAGAATGATACAATGGACTTTGGGAACTTGGGGGAAAGGGTGAGACAAGTGTGAAAGTTCAGACTACAAATTGGGTTCAGTGTATACTGCTCAGGTGATGGGTGCACCAAAATCTCACAAATTACCACTAAATAAATTACTCATGTAACCAAATACCACCTGGTCCCCAAAAACGTACAGAAATAAAAAAACATTTATAAAAATAATTCACATGAGATTGCCAGGAACCTAGAATGGTCAAACAATCTTGAAAAAAAAAAAAAAAAAGAAGCACAAAGCAGGAAAGCTCACAGTTTCCAACTGCAACACTTGCTCTTGAGGAATTTCAATTACAACATGGTTCTGGTACACAAATAGACAACATAGATCAATGGAATAGAATTTAGAGTCCAGATTGACTCATACATCTGTAATCAACTGATTTTCAACCAGCACATTGAGATTATTCAATAAGAGAAAGCATTGTCATTTCAAGAAATCATGCTGGAGCAACTGGATAACCATAGGCAAAAGGATGAAGTTGGATTCTTATCCCATATAAATAATAAATTAATTCAAAATTGATTAAAAAGCTAAATGTAAGAGCTAGGATTATAAAACTAATAGAAGAAAACATAGGAATGAATATTTGTGATCTTGGATTTGAGAAAGAATTTTTAGTTATGACACCAAAAGCACACACAGTAGAAGAATAAATAAATTGTATTTTATCAAAATATAATATGTTGTGCTTCAAAGGACATCAAGTAAATGAAAACACATAGGCCGCGCGCAGTGGCTCATACCTGTAATCCCAGCACTTTGGGAGGCTGAGTCGGGTGGAGCACGAGGTCAGGAGATCGAGACCATCCTGGCTAACATGGTGAAACCCTGTCTCTACTGAAAATACAAAAAAAAACATTAGCCGGGCGTGGTGTCCGGCGCCTTTAGTCCCAGCTACTCGGGAGGCTGAGGCAGGAGAATGGCATGAGCCTGCGAGGCGGAGCTTGCAGTGAGCCCAGATCACACCACTGCACTCCAGCCTGGGTGACAGAGCGAGACTCTGCCTCAAAAAAAAAAAAAAAAAAAGAAAAAGAAAAAGAAAACACATAAAGATTTCTTTCACAGAATGGGAGAAAATATTTGCAAACCATGCATTTGATAACAAATTTGAAGCCAAAATATGTAAAGAACACTGACATCTTTGTGATAAACACAAACACACACACACACACACACAATCTATGGGCAAAGGATCTGCATATTTAAAAATGGGCAAAGGATGTGAATATTTTTTCTAAGGAAGACATACAGGTGTCCAATGAACACATGACATGATGTCTAATTACTATTAGTTGTTATAGAAACATAAATCAATATGACAATGAGATGCCACTTTCTTCCCCACTAGGACAGCTATAGTCTGTCCTAAAGTCAGAAGCTAAAAGTCAAAAGCTAAAGTCAGAAGGCAAGTATTGGCAATGATGGAAAAAAGAAAACTCTTATAAACTATTGATAGATGTGTAGATAATGTAGAGATAATGTAGTTACATTCAAAAACAGTTTGCAAGTCCTGAAATTAATTAAGCATAGAGTTACCATATGATCTAGTAGTTCCACTCCTGTTCATATACAAAGAGAAATAAAATATATGCCATTACTTTGTACATTAATGTTTATAGCAGCATTATTCACAAGAGGTAAAAACTGGAAACAATCACTAACTGATGAACTGATAAAGAAAATGTCATACATCCATACAAGAGAATATTATTTGGCCATTAAAAAGGAATTATACGTTCAACAATATGGATGAATATTGAAAACATTAGGCTAAGAGAAAAAAGCCGGTAATTAAAGACCATATATATATTATATGACTGTATTCTTATAATACGTCCAGAACAAAAACAAAAATCTATTACAATAGAAAGTACAATAAATCAGAGGTTCTCTAGAGCTGGGAGCTGGGAGGGGAGCTTAGAGGAGAAGAGTGGTGCTAGCTAAAGTTTTTTTTTTTTTTTGGAAAGGTTATTTTGTGTGTGTGGAAATAATGTTCCACAATTAATTGGGATGATAGCTTCACATGTCTGTGAATATATTGAAACCATTAAATTCATCACTTTACATGGATTAATTATATGGTATGTGAACAATATCTCAATAATACTATCTTTAAAAAACAGTATAAATGTATTTTTCTTTGAAATTCCTTTTTATAAAAAGGCAACTGCATAAAGCAATACTAATAAATGTTTGTTGAGAAAAACACAATGTGTAAGGACATAATTTGTAACAATAATAATATGAAGGAAAGGTAAAACTTAGTACATAGGATCAAAGGTTTTGTATACTGTTGAAATTAAGTTGGTGTTATTCTAAACTATAATGTCATAAATTAAGATATTAATGTTACTCCCCAGGGCAGCCATTTATAATAAAACTCAAAATATATAGAAAAATAAATAATAAGGGAATTAAAATTGTGCATTATAAAATATTTAACACAAAAGAACACAGTAATGGAGGAATGAAAAAACAAATAATATAGAAAAGACAAACTGCATAAAGTAAAAAAATTGTATACTACATTGTTGAATTTGTTACATATATAAATTATGTACAAATAGTACAAAAAAGGCAGTGAGAAAACAGAGCTATATAGGAGTAACAGTCACACATTTTACTAAAATTAAGTTAGATTAAAACTGAAGTCGATTCTGATAAAATAAGTTGTCTCTTGTAATCCCTAAATACTAAGAAATTAAATAAAAATATCTAATGTAAATAATTTTTAAAGTAACGATGATGCTAACCTAGAAATAGTAAAAGAGAAACAAAAGAATAAGAAATGAGACATATAACAAAACAGAAACTAATGTGGTAGATGTGTACCACATCATAATTGTTAACTCAGTTGGGAAACAATCTTAATAACTAGTTTTCAGTGTTGATGTGTACTTTCTTTTGCCTTAATTATACAAACTCTACACATTTCCAAAGTTACTCATGTCTCCATTTCCTTCCAAACTCCCAAAGAGAGGTTGATTTATACATTTGTAGGACAATTAGACTCTTTTGTTTGCATTTCTTCCTTAGATTATCTGGTCTCCTCAATTATTATAATTATTATTTTAAATTTGCAAACATTAAGGTTCACTCATTCAAGATCAATGGGTTTTAATCAATCCAAAATACAAAGGGGCTTCAAAAGGTTTATGAAAAATAGAACTAAAAGCCAAAATAATAAATATAAACTGTTTTTACAGTTTTGCCTTTTCCAGAACGTCATAAAATTAGAATCATACAGTATGTAGCATTTTTAGACTTATTTCACTTCGACATGCACTTAAGCTTTCTTGGTATGTTTTTATAGTTCTTTTTTAAAACTCACAGAATAATATTTAGTTGTATTAGTTAATGCAGTTTGTTTATTCATTCACCTATTAAAGGACATTTTGGTTGCTTTCAGTTCTTAATGATTATGCAAAAGTTGCTGAAATACTTGCACCATAATCTTTTTTGGACATACGGATTCAAACAGTTGGGTAAATACCTAGTAGTATGTTTAATGCACTGTATGGTCAGAATCTGCTTAATTATGCAACAAACTGTCAGACATTCTCCTAAAATGTCTGTGTCATTTTAATTAGCTCCAACAATGAATGAGAGTTCTTTCTACTTCGCATTCTTTCCGGAAGTGGGTATTGGCAACATTTTAAGTTTACCCATCCTAATAGGTGTGTAGTAATATTGTTTTATTTGATTTTGCAATTTTCTAGCGACAAATAATGTTGAGAATCTATTGATATATTTTTAGTTTTATGTCCTTTTTGGGGATGTGTTTCTTTGGATTTTTATGCATTTTAAATTAGACATTTTGTTTTCTTACAGTTGAGTTTTAATTTTTCTTCGCATATTTTGGATACACATTCTTTATAAGAAAAGTCTTTAACATATATTTTCTCTCGGTCTGCAGCTTCTCTTTTCATTGCCTTAACAGTGTATTTTACGTCACAAAAGCATTTCATTTCCTAAACTTCAATTTGCGTTTCCTTTTTCTCTTATTTTATGAATGATGCTTTTGGTTTTGTATCTAAAACTCATTGCCAAATCCAAGGTCATAAAGATATTCCTTTATATTTTCTTCTAGTCCTATAGTTTTGTTTTCCATTTAGGCCTATGGTCAACTTTGAGTCAATTGTTTGAAAGGCATGGGTCTACATTCACTTTTAAAATCTTTCACATTTAACAGTTCAATTCTTTCATAACCATTTGTTAAAGAGTATTTTCCCCCACTAAATTGCCTCTGCTCTTTTGTCAAATAACAGTTGACTTGTGTATAGGTGTATCTCTAGGATCTTCATTATTTTCTATTTAACTTCATGTCCATTTTCTTGCCAATGCCATTCTGTCTTAATTACTGCAACTTTATAAGAATACATATAGTTAGGTTGTATGATTTCTCTGCTTTTTGTGTACACTTTAACTTTGTGTTGGCTACTCTGAGTTTTGCCTTTCCATATAAACTTGAGAATTATAGATATCTACAAAACAGCACGCAAAGATTGTTATTGAGATTTCATTGAATCTACAGATCAATTTGAGAAGATCTGTCTCTTTTAGACTATCGAGTATTCCAATACATGGGTAAAGAATATCTCTACATTTATTTATAAGTTGTTTTATTTCTTTATTCAGAGTTCTGTCATTTTCTAAAAATATATCTTGCACATATTTTATTGTATTTGTACTTAGGTACTATATTTTAGGTGCTATATTAAATGGTATTTTGTTTTTGATTTTAAACTGCAATTGTTGATTCAGTAATCATATAGAAAATAATTAACTTTTGTACATTAATCTTGTGTCCTGCAATCTTTCTATCATTGCTTATTACAGTTTTTTTTAATTGATACTGTGGAATTTCCTGTGTAGACCATCATGTCATCTGTGAACACAGATTGTTTTATTTCCCTTCCAAATGTTTATCTTCTATTTCATTTTCTTGTTTTATTACATTACCTAACATTTCCAACATTATGTTGAAGTTGTGAGAGGAGACATTCTTGTCCTATTCCTGATACTAGTTCCAAAGTATCTATTTTCTCACCAGCAAGTTTGTTGTTAACGGTGGCTTACTTGGAGATGTTCTCTCTCGAGTTAAACTTTTTCTCTATTCCTAGTTTGCTGAGAGTTTTTGTTATGAATGAGTAATGACTTTGTCTAATTTTTTCTGAATCTACTGATATGACAGTATGGTTTTTCTTCTTTAGCCTGTTGATGTGATGAATCACATTAATTCATTTCCAAATGTTGAATCAGCCTTGTATTCCTGGAATAAATCTAACTTGGTCATGTTGTATAATTCTCCTTGTACATTGTTGGATTTGATTTGCTAATATTTTGCCAGTCATTTTCCATTCTTATAATATATTTGTATAGTTTTGTTATGAGGGTTTTAGCTGGCATGTGCTGACATTGCTTTGGCAGTGAATGACCACTGTCTCACTATTGTTTGGTTGAAGTAGAATTTCAGGCTTCCCAACTGGCTTCCAATGATACCCAAGGGAGTTTCTTCTCATCACTGTTTGGAAGATGTTGTAGTTCTCACTCCCCTCAAGTCCTCAATTGATAACTCCCTGGCTTTGAAGAGTAGCAGTGACTATTTTACTTTCCCCACATGTTCTCCACTCATGTAGAGATGGAGGAGGGGATGTTTTACCTCTTTACTGCTCAGCAAAGGTGAGAGTCCTGACTCTCCTCTAGGTCTCCTCTGACACCACTCCATGGAAAGTGGTAAGAGGAACTCATTATTGCCTAGCAAGGCAGGAAACCCTAGGTCTTGGTTCAGATTTTGCTGTTCTGGAGAGTGGAGTGTGTCCCTAGTTTTTATGTATGTATGTGTGAACATCTGTTTCTGTGTGTGTGTGTATGTGTGTTTGTGTGTGTTGTTTGGCTTCAACTATCTAGTTATTATCTAGAGCTTTTTTTGTCTAGGCTGCCTTTCTGGTCCCTTGGCTAGATAAAGTAGGCTTTTAGTGCTTTCTTTTTGTTGGGTGCTTTTTATTTTGTTGAGAGAACACCCACCAGTGATTTCACATTAGTAACAAATGCTTGGAGCACTGTGAAATAAGACTTACTAGAGACTTCTATACGATGAAGAGTAAAATAAAAGAAGAAAGATGTCATTTAATAATTGCAACTGATCACACACACACATAGCACATGCACGAAAATTATTACGATTGAACTGTATGTACTTGTGCACTTGACAAAATAAAAATTAAAACAAAAAGAAGTTTTCTGCATAATGATATATTTTAAATTATTCAAGCTATTATAGTCAACATTGTATCTTATTGGTTTTTAATAGTTTAAGCATTTTTTCCACACTGAGCATTATTCTAACATAAAAAGTTACTTATTTTTTCATTGCCACAAGTTATTTCATCTGGTGCTTAACTAAAAAATGATTTCAATATTAATGAAAAAAATGGCTATAGTTAGAGCTGTTAAGAGAAAGAATGTGTCTCCACTTTGATGAATTATTGAGAGAATTTCAAAGATAATTGTGATTATAACTGCTTTTCACTAGGTTTTCTGATTTTGAAACCTAACTATTGCTTCTCTCCCTCATGATTTAAATAGTTCTGTAATCCTTTAATGGCTAGTCTTATATTAACATACTTCATATTTATGGAAAAATGAATTATCTGCTATATATCTATCTAAGAACCAAAAAGTAGCAAGCTTATTTGAAAGGCCTCTAAGCTGCAATAGTTTTTCAAAAGCACTTTCGTTTTGTTCTCATATTTGCAAAACAGCTTCATCCTTAGAAGGCCACTGGATAATTATAAACACACACACCCACACACACACGCATACACACTCACAAACCAAAAGAAAAGAATACAGAATATCTGTAGTAAAAATGGATCGTTATTATGTAATTTATCCCAGAGTCAAAAAATTTTAAAGGTGTCAGAGCTCTTTGAAGATGTCATTAGACAAAAACATATTAATATTGTTAATGCCAATGTTATAACCCTCATTCACAAAGATATATTTAAACAATGTTCAGTATAATTTTGTTAATAAATGACAGTACTTTAAATTGGAACAAGGAGTTAAACCTATGTTAATATTTTAATAATGTATGTGTTTTTGTATTCAGTTTTAGTAAAGAAAAGATTTTAAGTAAATAATTTTAGTATATAAAATTCAAGACACATAATTTAAAGTAAGGAAAATTATTTTAAAATGAAGATAGCTGACAATAAAACTGAATGTAGAAATTAACTTCCACGTCAACTAACTAAATATCAAGTATGACCTCTACTCCTAATATGTATTCCTAATTATTCATTTATTTTTATTTATATTTTTATGTATGCATTTGTGTATTTATGTCTTGCTTATTTGTTTTTAGTTTTGCATTTTAACAGGATACATTTTTTAAAAAGTTGTTGTACAGTCCCTTACATAAGAAATTATTAGATCTTTGATTATACTAATGTAAATTTTACTACTGCACTTAGATTACAAGTTTTTTTAGAGCATAGATTATGTCTAAACATCTGTATCTATATTGCCTAATAACGTTCTTCTATGTATACATTATTGTTGGAATTCCATAAATCATTTTCAAAGAAACCATTCTCTTCATATATTTCAATTATGAAACATAGTAGAATTTTATCTCAGTTCTGCAAATATATCCAAATTGCTATGATGCAATAAAAATTTATAAGTGAATAGATATCATAATTTATTTTAAAAGTAAATTCATTTTTCCTATTCTTTAATGATACAGGATTTTTTCTTATCTACATTTAAATGATTAGATTTAGTTTTGAATTCTGAGTGGATCTTTATTCCTCCAATTTCCTTGTGTAAATTTTGGCATACTTATAAAAATAAAAAGCAATATCCACACTTCTTTTTTATAACCTGTGCTTACCCAATTTGACAGATGAGGTTGAATGCTGAAGACTTGTACTGAATCAAGAGAAAAAGTTGTTGAGAGAAAGGCTAGTAGATTATGTTCCCTGTTTGATTTCAAAAAGATGAGCCAAATAGCTAGAAAACAGAACTCTTGAGAGTTTAGAGAACACCAAATTCATCATCTAGTGTACAATAAATCTCTTCCTTGGATAGATTTATTTATTTTATCAAACAGGGCTTCATATAATGGATAACACTGGTGTAAAATGGTGACTATTTGTAACAGATGTTGCTAAATGCAGGCATTATTCCAGTGGGAAGAGAGGTGAGGTCCAGGATAGAGCAAGTGCGCAAGACAGACTTTAAAGAGATCATTTCCATTCAAGTTTAAGAATGATGTGCACCTCTATAAAAGTACATTCTTTTTGTGATGTAAGCTTGAGGAAGGGTAAATAGATGTTAAGAAATCTTCCATAAGAACATCAGCACGAGCCCTACACTGAGACTTTAAAATGTTTTTTATTCAGGTCTATGTACATTTTTCCAGAGTAAAAGGTTCCAGATACACTGCTATTCTTAGTTTATATGCATGTGGTTCTTACAGTGTAAAAAAGAAAAAATGAAAAAATTCAGATAAGGGTGAATTCAGCCTAATTTAGTGACATGATGTCACTTTGTCTTTGATTTCTGTCTCTGCTTTGGCCTTAAGCTTCATTAACAGTAGTTATAGTTAAGCCTCTAAACATTTAAAATTTCAACTTCTTTTTTCTTTTTTTTTAAAGAAAAAGGAAAAGAAGAGTCAGTGCTGACCTTCAGTGATTTGGGGTAATGAATTTTCAGACATAAAATCTCATAGGCTCTCTCACAAGAGATCAGTTGCTAGAGTTTTGGTCAGGTCAGTGTTATCAGAGTAAAAAAAAAAAAAAAAAAAAAAAGGTCTTTCTAATGATAAATGTAGTTCAGGATATCTGCTCGCATGGCAAGTTCAAATATGAGAGAAAGAGGCACAGTTCCCCTTCCTATTGACTCATTGGCTTCTCCAGAGTCATGCACTGTCTTTTTCTACCTTTTTTTTTCCTTTTTATTTTCTTTTTTATTTTCTTTTTTTGAGATGGAGTCTCACTCTGTCGCCCGGGCTGGAGTGCAGTGGTGTGATCTCGGCTTATTGCAACCTCTGCCTCCCGGGTTCACGCCATTCTCCTGCTCAGCCTCCCGAGTAGCTGGGAATACAGGCGCCTACCACCACGCCCGGCTAAATTTTTTTTTTTTTTGTATTTTTAGTAGAGACGGGGTTTCACCATGTTAGCCAGGATGGTCTCGATCTCCTGACCTCGTGATCCACCCACCTCAGCCTCCCAAAGTACTGGGATTACAGGTGTGAGCCACCGTGCCCGGCCAAGTCTTGCACTTTCTAAAGCAAGAGAAACGTGTCAAGATGATCCATGGTCTATACTCACTATTAAGGTATATTAGAAACAAGAAAATTACTCTCTGCCCAGAGACAGGCAGGGATCAATACCCAATAATGTAAATCAAGCCCACAAAATATTGAAAGAAAACTAATGTTTTGGCTCAGTGATTTTACAGAAAAGTGGTTATTTCCGTGTTTGCCAACTTAGAATAACTAGGGCCATTTTTAGGAGTCACGCAAAATAATATGTAGAATACACACACATACACACACACATACACACAACAGATCAGTCTTTTCACCAAAAAAAGAGAAAGAAAAAAGAAAAAATACCCTGACACTCATGGCTATACTTTCCTGTTAGAGGTATGATTTAGATATATTATTACTGAGTGATAAAAGAAAATCCCCTTTAAGTCATGTTTACCTGGGGAGAAAAATGTTATAATATTTTCACATGTGCTTACTTACTAACATTATTTTAGTTGTCCAGACTATGATAAACAAGCTATTTTGAAGACAGTATATAAGGTATATATGGGTACAGCTTATGAATTTCTGTGAAATACTTTCTAAGTTAATGCAATGACTGCAGGTGTGTAAATGGTTACTGAAAATATTTGTCTAATGGATTTAAAAGCTAAAACAACTGACTAGTGTGGGGGTACTTAACATATTTTAAAAAGAGCAAACTCAGTAAATCAAGGTGAAGAAATGGTCCTTACATGATAAGGCAATTGACAATGTCCCAAAGCCCCCCAAAAAATAACTGCCCTGCTCCAGGATGAGAGAGGGGAGTCAAATCTACAGAAGCTAATATTATAGACACAATAATCTATATTGCTTGATACCAGCAGTGGGGGCAACAGCTCCCAGACCAGAGTCTCTAAAAAGTAGAACCACCTTACTACCTGAAGTTGCAGAGAGTAAAATTGTGATTTATCACAAATTATGCTAAATCCTGCATGTCTCCCAGAGTGCAGAATTTAAGACTGAGGGGGGCCTTTAGTGTATACAACCTAGAATGTATTTTTTTTCTCCTGTGATACATTACATTTTTGGGTTTTGGAATGAGAAGCATGGCCTTGGAGATTAACATAGAAAAGAGCAGTGTCTCAACCATTCTATATCATTCATGAATAGCGATCCTCCTTCCATTTTGACACAATTGTTATAAAATCTCTACATATTAAAAGGAAAAGAAAATGGAATAGAGTACATAGTTATAAAAATCTAGGCCTGGCGCGGTGGCTCACGCCTGTAATCCCAGCACTTTGGGAGGCCAAGGCAGGCGGATCACGAGGTCAGGAGATTGAGACCATCCTGGCTAACATGGTGAAACCCCGTTTCTACTAAAAATACAAAAAATTAGCCAGGCTTGGTGGCGGGCGCCTGTAGTCCCAGCTACTCGGGAGGCTGAGGCAGGAGAACGGCATGAACCCGGGAGGCAGAGCTTGCAGGGAGCCGAGATTGCACCACTGTACTCCAGCCTGGGCAACAGAGCGAGACTCCGTCTCAAAAATAAATAAAAATAGATAAATAAATAAATAAATAAATAAATAAATAAAAATTATCTTAGATATGTAGGAAACCCAAAATTAATCCAATTAGTAATAAATGTACTTACATGTGTTACAAATGAATAATGTAACAATGATAAAGGGTATGCAAAAGAAAAGAACCTAACCTAAGTGATTTTGGCAAACACTATATTTTGACATAATTTAAGGCTAAAGATGAACAATATTGTACATAAATATTGGACTCCATTTAGTAAATTTGTTTTTCAGAAGGGTATAAGAAAATAGGGAACTATATCATGGATTTTGAGAGCCAGATGAATCAGTCTGAGAATGGGGTTGTGAATACGAAATTGAGGAAGGATACAATAAACCCTCTGGTGTTAGGCTGAAATCTGAAATACCAGTATAAACTAATGGTTTTCAACCTACACACACACACACACACACACACACACACAAATGGAGATAAACAGAAATAGGTGCAGATTGTGCATGTGTGTGTTGAAGGATGGGCGAATATGCCCCCAAAACATGCCACTTTGGCATAAGGATTATTTTGTCTATAGGCACTTGAAATACAGTATGTGCAGAAGAGATGCTCATGCCTCTCCTTTTCTTCCTGAAAACTCCCAAGTGAAAGCTTCCTCCCTTATACCTGGAAGAAAGAATTGTTCTTATCACCAGAGATGAGAGGTCGAAGCTGAACAAATTCTGTAAAAATAGATCTTGTTAAAATAACTCTTATCATCTTATTTTCTTTTTCTCTCTCTATTTTAGTTACTTTCTCAATGCTGCCCCGTTTTTCAAGCTAGTATACAAGCACTTAGGTTTTGCCACTTGTGTCTTCATTTTCCTATGAGGGCTCCCATGTGTGTAAAAAAACTTTGTATGCTTTTTTCCTATTAATATGTCTTATGTCAAATTAATTATCAGGCCCAGCCAGAGACCCTAAAAGAGGAAAGGTAAAATTTTGCACCCCCTACAGTGTGTGTGTGTGTGTGTGTGTGTGTGTGTTTGTATGTATTTATATGCAACCCAGGAACAATAAATACACTTAGTACCTAGATGTTGCCCTAAATATCATTCTTCCAGAAAGAAATAAAGGGTATGAAAATTGGAAAAGAAAAAGTCAAACTATTGCTGTTCATCCATGATATGATTGTATATGATATGATTGTATAGTTTGAAAGCCCTAGGCTCTTCC
Source organism: Homo sapiens (assembly GCF_000001405.40). Lineage (NCBI taxonomy): Eukaryota > Metazoa > Chordata > Mammalia > Primates > Hominidae > Homo > Homo sapiens. Next base: position 11,602,602 of record NC_000009.12, read on the forward strand.
AAAACAATCCTAGATTTGAAAACAAATGCAGTTAGTCTCAGGTTACAAAATCAATGCACACAAATCAGTAGCACTGCTACACACCAACAATAACCAAGCTGAGAATCAAATCAAGAACTCAATCCCCTTCACAATAGTGTCAAAAACATAAAAGAAAATGCCTTAGAATATACTTAACCAGGAAGGTGAAAGATCTCTACAAGGAGAACTACAAAACACTGCTGAAAGAAATCATAGTTAACACACACAAATGGAAACACATTCCAGGCTCATGGGTTGAAAGAATCAGTATCGTGAAAATGACAACGCTACTAAGAGCCATCCACAGATTCAATGCAATTCCTATCAAAATATCAACATAATTTTTCACAGAATTAGAAAAAGCAATCCTAAAATTCATATGGAGCCAAAAAAAGAGCCTGAATAGCCAAAGCAATCCAAAGCCAAAAGAACAAATGTGCAGGCATCTCATTATCTGACTTCAAGTTATACTGCAAGCTATAGTAACCAAAACAGCATGGTACTCGCAAAGAAGTAGACACATAAACCAACGAAACAGAATAGAGAACACAGAAATAAAGCCAAATAGTTACAACTAACTGATCTTCGACAAAGCATACAAAAACATAAACTGGGGAAAGGAAATTCCATTTAATAAATGGTACTGAGGAAACTAGATAGCCATATGCAGAAGAACGAAACTGAATTTTTCTATCTTATCTTATACAAAACTCAACTCTAGATGGATCAAAGACTAAGACCTGAAACCATAAAAATTATGGAAGATAACCTAGAAAAAACTCTTCTGAACTTTGGCGTAGGCAAAGAATTTATCACTAAGACCTCAAAAGCAAATGAAACAAACAAACAAAAATATCATTCTTGCAATGAAATGAAATAGAGCTCTTAAAAAAATGTTGATGCCAGAGCTAGAGCAAGAAAGCATAAGACACACCTGGAACACGTGTAGTGTCAGAAAGTAAGGCATTCCATATTCAAAAAATGATGTTGGCTGATCTAAAAGATGCAGAATTCAACTTGAAAGATCTCCCATTGGCTAAATATAGAAAAGTTTTAGCAACAACAATAATGAAGAATTAACTAGACAATAAAATAAATACATTATTTCATAACAATATAATTAACAATTGAGTAAATGAGTACATTGGGTAGAAGAGATCACTTTTTATTACAGTAGAATTCCAATTAAAAATGTAGAAAAATAGAGAAAATAGAAAATTATCTTCGTCAATCACTGCAGTAATAACTTCCATGGGCAAGAAGCATAGAAGATGCTAATATTAATTAAAATTATTGAGAAAGTTTGATTAGATATGATATTTTCAGAGCCTTAAACTATTTTCACACAAAGTATTTACTGAATGCAAAAACAAAAGTAATTACTTTACAGTGACGTGACCTGGCAGAACCTACCTGAACAAAGTTATCTAGGTTAACATTACACAATATTGGGACAAATAGATGTCATATAACTTCTGATATGATATACTGGGAAGGCATTAAATTACTTCTGTAGTAAAATTACCAAAAATTTACAACTTCAGTTTAATTACAAAAATATAAGGCAAATACAAACTGGAATAAATTCTATAAAATAATTGACCAGTAGTATTTCAATACAGCAGTCATTTAAAAAAAAAGAACAGCTCTCTTGTATTGAAGATTGGAAAAACATGACAATTAAATAGGAGCTGGGATCCTGAATTGGACTTACATAACAAAAAAGGCATTGGTGGGATAATTAGTAAAAACTGAATAGGGCCTATAGATTAATTAATACTATGATACATAGCAAAATTACTTTCCTGGTTTTGCTAATTGTACTACCCTGTAACTATGTTTGATGTAAACATTTGGAGAATTTGGGTGAAGGGCATACAGAAAGTTTTTGTGTTATTTTTGCAACTATTTTATGTCAAATTATTTCAATTTATAAAATAAAAGAAAAAATCAAAATGTTAAAAACAGTGGTATAGACAACAGTGTTATAACAGTTCTCAATAATAAATAAAATTGGGAAGGAAAGAAATAGAGTGAAAAGAACTAGATTTGCAGAAACAGATATATTATAAATGTTTACTTTTTGCTAGGCATTTTACTTCTTTATTTATTATACTCCCACAATATCCATTGAGAAAACACACTTTTTATTATCGGCAGGTGAAAAAATAGTATATTATTTAATATGTTTGTTGGATATAATCAGATTCACGTATCTCTATCTATCTATCTATCTATCTATCTATCTATCTATCTATCTATCTATTGCAATACAAACAGGGATTCGCAATACTTTTAGACTACAACTGTGTCCACAGAACCCAAATATAACAAGGTGCTAGTGACCCAGAAAGGAGCATAAGAAAAATGAGAGAGCCATCAATGTTTTCTGGATCTTACATTTTTTTCTCTATTTGCATATTTTTTAGTCTTTATTTCTCCATTTTTAAACTTTCTTTTAGTACTTCTTAGTCATCATGGTAGATTACTGAAGCCCCAGTTGTAGGGGTACAATTACTGTACCCCCAATTGTAGGGTTACAATTATGTTTTATAGCCATACACAGATTAACTGGATTAACCCAAATTGCAATTTGAAACTTTACTGTAGTACAAATATGGCTGCTTCAAGTTAAATTGTGTGTGAGTTGGAGGAAGAGAGGGAGTGAGATTAGATGGAGGCAGCAGTGTTTCCAGAACCAGTAAAAATATAGGTACTATACTTTGCTCTTCTTACCATCTTATCTCTGCTTCTGCTTTTGTATCAGCCTTACTTTCTTTGTTTAGACCAGCTCTCCATGGTTTTTCATATACATCGTGAATGCCTACACACGCACACAGGCTTCCTTTAACCAGTACAGAAAATCGTTTTGTGCACAGGTTTATTCAACTTTGACTTGAGAGTTTGATCTTATAAAGTGCAACCATGGCTGTTGGAGGCCACATTCATAGTTGAGCTTAGAACATTCTGGGAGAAAATGAAAGAACAGGTAAGAAAGGTAGACACACAAAAGCAGCCACACTGAATAGGTTTGGATTTCAGCTTCATTAATGTAAAGCAAATGACCTTAAGAGGTTGCTTAACCCCTCAGTAACTTTTCTCATTTGTAATAATAATAATAATAATAATAATAATCTTCTAGACTTAGGATTAATGAATTGATACATCTAAACATCTAAAATCACTTAGAAAAGTTCCCGGCAAATATAAAGTACAGGGTAAATATTAGTTATCTATTTTTATCAACAGAAAGTAGACCTGCTTGGTAAAAGTACAAGAGGTGAAGATAAAAGTAATGCAATAATACCAGTAAAAATATGTTTGAATATAAAGAAAATAAAATTATATTTGATTGGAGTTGCAAAAGAAAATAGAATGAGGCCAAAACTACAGGAATAGAAGATTATTAAAAGTCTGGAAAATGTCATAAAGAAGGCTTTTCATCCTACCTTTAGCGTCCGACATCACTTTGGATATAAAATACATGAATAAGCTTCAGTAAAAATGCTGTTCCAATGTAATCTATATAAAGAGTCTATATATTTGTCAAGAATTACTGGTTGTGAAAGAGAAGTGAGTGTCAGCTTCAGCCTTTTGGAAGAAGAGAGCTATTTATTTATTTTTTATTGGTATTGTAGATACTAGATCATGTTGTTTGTCTTATCTGCAAAGTCCTTTTTGGCCTTGCATTTCAGGTGAATGTAAATCAAAAGCCTTTAAAGTTATGGATCCTGATGATTCACAAGGTAATCTTGCAAACACAGCAGGGAAATATACGACTTGCAAATTGCTTAACTGACATCTCTGGTATTATCCTAAAATATTGTTGCAGTAGAACTCATTTTATAATATCTCAGCTTGATGATATTTTAAAACTTTACCTTTCTCAAGATAGATATATTGCCATCCATTTGCATACTTTTATTTTTTAAATTGTATGTGGATTGAAGGGCAGGGTGCTTTATTTCAGAATAACTAAAATATACCCTTTTCATATGAGCCATTCTTAAATGTGTTAAACTTCTTATATTGAATTTTTAAAAATTTCTTAACATTTGAATTTCTTATCATTATAAGTTATGATTGAACTTGCCTATAAATTAACACAACGTTGCTAAAGATTTTCAATTTTGGATTACCTTATTCCATGAAAAAAATGCCTATTAAATGTAGAATTAATCGTTGGTGCTTTCAAATGATGATAATACCTTTAATGCAATTTTTCATCAATGTAATATACATTTCCCACAATCAGCATTATAACGTACTTAGCGATTTTACACATGGCTCTTTTCACTCAAGTAGCTCATGCTGCAGAAATGTAAGTGTAGAGCTATATTCTCACAGATTGTTATTAATTAAACCTAGGTTTCATAATGACATTGTCATTGTGATTTCAATGCAGACGTATGCTTTCATACACATTTAAAGAACAACATTGAAATTATTTTCATATATTAGAAAATATTCTTACTATCCATACCTTGACAAGTAGATATTGCAAGGTGTAATTGGAGAGATGCTGTTCAACTCAAGGAGTATTAAGACTAAAGTTGATTTGATGGGAAATCACATAATCTCTTATAGATAAGAAAAAAGGGGGACTGAGGCATATTATGACTGAAAATGCTGCCAGTTTTAACGATTAACAATGACACTTTAGGCCTGGCGCGGTAGCTCACACCTGTAATTCTAGCACTTTGGGAGGCCAAGGTGGGTGGATCACCTGAGGTCAGGAGTTCTAGACCAGCCTGGCCAACATGGTGAAACCCTGTCTTTACTAAAAATACAAAAATTAGCCAGCCATGGTGGTGGGTGCCTGTAATCCCAGCTACTCGGGAGGCTGAGGCATGAGAATCGTTTGAACCCAGGAAGCGGAGGTTGGTGTGAGCCGAGATCGTGCTACTGCACTCCAGCCTGGGTAACAGAGCGAGACTGCATCTCAATAAAAAAAAAAAAAAAGGGGAGAGACTTTAACTTCAATTATGGGTGAATAAGCAAGATTATGAGATATTTTATATATGTGTAAACTAACACATATATATGTATATATAAAATGTGGATAAATACGTGTGTGTGTGTGTGTGTGTACACATATACTTTTATTAAAGTGGATCTTCTATCTTTAGATATACATTTTTAAATGAAATAAGAAAAAATAAGAATGTAAATGGAAAGAAGAGAAATGTTTCTTTTAACGTAAAGGAAATATTTGCATTGAGGAACAAGATTGATTTAAAATATGGAATTCTTATCTGCAGACATTCAATCCAATTTGATTCAAATTGTGTCAGTGTAACTAAAGATACCCATTTTGATCCACTCAACACCGAGAAGGGGAGGGCAAGCAAGTTAATTCCCTCATGAAATAAAATATTCTTTGCAGTTTTGGAGCTATTTTTGCTCCCTCTGTTTTGCCTCTTATTACTTTTATGTAGCAATTGCAAAACTTGCCAAGGTGAAATGTTTTGAAACAAGAATGCATCATTGGCACTACTCATCATGCTTTTAGTTGAGGCTTTATAGGAAACTGAAATAGGAATATATGGAGGAAGTTTAATATAATAAATATGAAAGAAACTGAATGAAAGAGGAATAACATTAGGTTTACTGAAGATAGGAAGGACATCTTGAATACAAGCACAAACAATGGAACAGGTGGACAAGAATTTAAATTTGTTTCCATATAGGCTATTGGGTTTTACCATGTGTATTAATAATGGTGACATTAATTTGGAACAGGAGTTAATTTTCTCTATGCCTGACCAGTGGGAACAAACAAGGTCTCAGTAGACATGAGAGATATTTTCAATATATTTCCAGATTATTCAAGTGAATGCCTGGTATTTTTCTTAATAACTTTATTAATTAGTATTTTCAATATTGCCAATGCATCTCTAAGGTAGCTAAATTTTATCCCAAAAATAGTTAATTACTAATTAACAAAATTTAATTAACATTTTAATGAATACATTTTCTTTATGAGATGGCATTGGGTGAAGTTTCTAGTTCTCAGATTTAATAGTCAATTATGTATCAAACACTGACAAAATTACATCATCATCATTAAAGCACTGTATTTACACACACTTATTTTCCCTTATTTATGGCTGAAAAAACAAAGTTGTAAAGGTATAAATGTTGGTGAGGATATACACATATATAAAACAGAGAAAATAGATGATAGATTCTCAACTGATGTGTAAAGTTCTTTTGATCAGTTTTGGATGCATTTTGTATGGTGTGGAAATTAAGTACGAATTAACAATTATATACCCTTTCCCTTCCAATATAAAATATTAGCTTCAACAACCATACTACTCTCTGTGACGTTCTGCTTGACTAATGTCCTCCTTTGTCATATTTGAAGGTGTTTAGGTGGGTGCTCCTTAAAGAATGCATGGTTTTCATAACTTTCTACTTGCCTAAAGTATATTTTAAGTCTTGCTGGATAATCAAATGCTTTTTAGTCTGGGCTTGTGGTTTCTCTAGAAATCAATTGCTTCACTATCTTTTATATTCATCTGTTTCGCTTCCCTGTGACATCAACTCCATCTGAAGATCTTTATTAGATATTCGGCAAAATTATGCTATTTCTTTGACCTCTCGTTCCCTTACTTCTCTCTCAATTTAATGGCAAGCTAGAACAGTATCTATTGTCTGAAGCCAGGTGGAATAAAGGGTGGAAAAGCCATATATTTGATCTGTTTTGTGCCAAAAAGTGGAATCATTTTGATCAGCTGAAAAATATTATGAGGGCTATATAGCTGAGAGCCTTTTCCATCTTGTCTTTTACAGGGATCTAGAAACATTTGTCTCATTCAATTTTTGGACATTGAAAACTTCTGGACCCTTTTCATTTGCTTCATTTCTACTTGCAGAACTCACCAATTCTCTCTGGAGCTTGTACATTTCGGATTTAACATTGTCAAATGTGATCAATAAAAAACAGCACACATTACTAAAATTCTGTTTTCCAAATTATTTCCTTAGAAATACAACTGTAGTAGTCATGTATTCTAACTTCCATGTTAATCATAGATGGGTTTTCTCCCATCTATGGGAGAGTATAGATGGATTTGGCAGTGTATAGATGGATTTTCAGCAATGAAGCCTGCTTTATGTTTTAATGAGTTGCCTTTTGTAAGAATCCTATGCCAGTGTTATCTGTTTTAGATTTACTTTTTATCACTGTAAACTAAGTAGTCTAATGAACAATTTTAAAATCTCGCTGGATTTCTTGCTCCTGCTACAGCCCAAAGCAGTTCAGTTTCTCCTTTCCAAGGGATGACTGAGGAACCTAGGTTCCATCATATTAAACATTTTGATTAAAAAAAAAGGGCACTGTTGTCTTTCAGTCAACAGAAATGTGAGAGAGAGATATAAGTGAGGTTGGTGGGGCTTGAAGAGACATATCATGTTTATCATTTAGCTCACTATTAAGGTTAAAAATCAACTATATGACTCTATTAAGAAGCAAGAAAAAATGAGAACTGAGGGAAAAATGAGGGAACTATAATTTAGCTATTTTCTAGGCATAGAAAATCGATTCAGTCATCACATATCATGTCTGTATATCTGTGTCCTGGCTACCTGGCTACTTCACACTTTCCCAAGCAAGACTAAGACAAAGTCTCATTGAGTTACTCTGTCCTACCAAAATACAGGATCTCCATGTGTCCTGGAATCCTTCCCATGTAGTTTGTGATTCAGATATAATTCCTCTGGGTCTTGTAACCTACAGACCAAAGAGAAATGTTACCTCCTCGCATGCCCCTCACGTATATTACATACTATTTAAGTTTTTAAAAACTCATGTGAAAAGAAAAGAATGTAAGACACAACTAAATGGTCCACGGCAATGTAAAATTCTCTCAGCATCAGACATTATGAATATTTCCAATGCATATTGAGAGAATAAGAAATTCAGTGACTCATAATTATAGAAGTTGAGGACTTGAACTCTTTAGGCTGGAGTGTTAGTTTTTATTGACAACATAATTATTTTAAAAGCAATTTACTAGGCTTCCAATCTATTTACTACCACCTAGTGCAACTTGGTAGTTATTAGGTCTTTCTTAATACAGTCTTCAAATTCCTTTTACTCTTTGCTTTGATCTCTTTTCTCCTCTCTCCTTCTCTTTCCCCTCTCCTCCCTTCCCCTATTTTTTAACTTAATGGTGGCTTTCTTGAGGGTCTCAGGCTTTTTTAAAAAATGGCTGATATTAGGATGGTGGAAAAGTAATTGAAGTTTTAGATCATGAATTTTAAATAATTATAACTAGGCTCAAACACATTTTTATTAATCAAAATAGGAACCATTACAATCAACACATCTTTGCCAATTAGAAATAGGTTTCCTTATTCCTGTAGCATAAAAATCCATGCTTCAGGATTTGACGCACTCTTGGAAAGCATTTTCTGCATTCTGCTCGTTGTGGAAGCATTTTCCCTGCAAAAAGTTGTCGAGATGCTTAAAAAAGTGGTAGTCAGTTGGAGAGAGGTCAGGTGAATATGTCGAATGAAGCAAAACTTTGTAGCCCAATTCATTCACCTTTTGAAGTGTTGGTTGTGCAAGGTGTGGTTGAGCACTGGTATGGAGAAGAATTAGGCCCTTTCTGTTGACCAATGCCAGCTGCAGGCATTGCAGTTTTTGGTGCATCTCATCAATTTGCTGACTGTGCTTCTCAAATGTAATGGTTTAGCCGGGATTCGGAAAGCTGTAGTGGATCAGACTGGCAGCAGACCACCAAACAGTGACCATGACTTTTTTTGGTGCAAGTTTAGCTTTGGAAAGTGCTTTGGAGCTTCTTCTCAGTCCACCGACTGAGCTAGTCATCGCTGACTGTTGTATAAAGTTCACTTTTTGTCACATGTCACAATCCGATCAAGAAATGGTTCATTGTTGCATAGAATAAGATGACACTTCAAAACACCTATTTTTTTTTCATTTTCGCTCAGCTCATGAGGCACTCACTTATCAAGCTTCTTCACCTTTCCAATTTGCTTCAAATGCCAAATGACCACAGAATGTTCGACGTTGAGTTCTTCAGCCCCTTCTCATGTAGTTGTAAGAGAATCAGCTTTGATAATTGCTCTCAGTTGGTCATTGTTAATGGCCAGCCACTGTGCTCCTTATCTTCAAGGCTCTTGTCACCTTTGCAAAACTTTTTGAACCACCACTGCACTGCACATTCGTTAGCAGTTTCTGGGCCAAGGGCATTGTTAATGTCGTGAGTTGTCCAAGCTGCTTTACTGCCCGTTTTGAACGCAAATAAGAAAATCGCTCGAATTTGCTTTTTGTCTAACGTCATTTGCATAGTCTAAAATAAATATAAAATAAACAGCAAGTAATGTCACTAACAACAACAGCAACAACAACAACAACAACAAAAACTAAAGGAGAAATGCACATTAAAATGATTTATAACATAACCGCATTTATTTAAGAATGTATTCCAATACCAAATGGCAAATTTCAACAATGCAAAAATTACAATTACTTTTGAACCAACCCATAATTACCATTTCAATTACTGGTTCTCAATGTACCTTTTTGCTTGAAGAATTTCTCAATCTACCCTCTACCTACTCTTTAAGGTATAAAAGAAGTTAGTTTCCCTATTCTCTCAAGGTGGTAACTTCTGGGCTTCATCTATTCCCTTGCAACTGGTCAATTCTCTCCTGAACACATCTCTATCTTGTATTATTTTGCAAAATGCAGTTTATAGTAGCCAGTAGCTCACATTTTGATTCTGTGCTACCAGTTCTCCTAGCTAGATCTGCCAATTATTTGACAGGTACATGGCATGCCTTTAATATTTCAAAAGGAAAATATCAAATGTATTTCCACTGCATTACATTCCTGTCTCTGGTAAAATTCCCTGGCCATTCAACTGCTAATCCAATGATATTCATAACCTTTCCTTATTTTTGCTACCACCCTCTATACTGCACTGATCAGGGTAATTAATTCCACCTATTGCATCAAATAGAACAAAAAATGCTTTAATTTAACAAAATAAATATGCTCTTAATTAAAGTTAGGGTGGTAAGTGCTCTCTGTTCTAGGCCTATTTGAGGACATAGGCCTACAAGTGGTTCTGCCATTTACTGGAGCTTTTATCTACTGGATCTTCTACATCTATAGCTGAGAAGGACAAAGACAGATTTTGAGACTCATAGGAGAAGTTTTAGAGGCCAGAACTAAAATTAGAAAACACTGCTATCAGCAACATTTCATCTGGTAGCTCTGGTGACATGTCTCCTGCTTGGCTACAAAATGCAAACTTCCTGTATGCTGAAAAGCATATTGAAATATTGAGATAAATGCATAGTATTATCTCTGTCTCATGATAGGGTCTAGAACAAGATATGCAGGGTGTCTTTAAAATTTGAGATTTCTGGTTTGGGGTTTAACTTTTTTTTTTTTTTTTTTTAGCTTTATCCTCTAGCAAAAGCCACTGCTGTCTACAAAACAAAACAAAACAAAACAAAAAACATGGTATGAAGTACCTCTATTGTTACCTTTGTATGTAATTCTAAGTCCTAAGTCTGTCACCCAGACTGTGTCTAGCTTCTAAGCAGCCTTCCTGTGAACATGTGTTGGGTTATGATTTACTCTTGTTGTGTTTTACAGTCATCTGAATTCACCTATTTTCTATCTATAATAGTAATTTTGTGTGTTAACTTGACGTGGGGGGGGGGGGCATGGTATGCCCAGATATTTGGTCAAGCATTATTCTGGATGTTTCTGTGAGGGAGTTTTGAATTTGTATAACATTTAAATAGACTGAGGAAAGCAGGTTACCCTTTCTAGTGCAGGTGGGCCTCATTCAATCAATTGACAGCATGACTAGAGCAAAAGGATGACCCTCATCTGAAGAAGAGGGAATTTCCCCTAAGTGATTGCGTTTGAATTGAGACATATTTCTTTCCTGTCTTTAAACTTGAACTGAAACATCAGCTCTTTCTAAATCTCTGGCTGCTGGCCTACAGAGTAAAATTTACATAATCAACACTGGACGCTGGAAGACAGAAATAAATGGATAAAAACCAAAAGACACATTAATGAAATGTTTACAACAACAAAAACAAAAGTAGTGATGGAATATTAACATACATAACTAGTAGTATTTTTTATCATGTTCCCTAGAAGCACATCGCATTATCACATTAATTTATTCTTTCTCTCTTTCTGTCTCTCTTTTTCTGTCTTTCTTCGCCTGTCTGCATGTAGTAAACACTCTGTCCGCATGGGAGAGCCAAGTAATTTATCCAAAATTGCCAGTAACTTGGTGACTAACAATGTTTATTTCAAAGGTGCAATCTTACTAGTCTCACCTGGCTGGAAACTCAAAATCCATGCTCCAGACAGCTGTATCAGTAAGGTATGGGCTACTTTGATCTTTATTTCCCTGATAATTTTAACCAATAGGCAAAAGATTCCCAACTTGGGAAGAGAAAGGATTAATACAATTATGCTTAAAAGTTTTGGTGAATAGTTTATGAATCTGGAAAGGTAACTGAGAAATAATGAGTAGAAAGTGCAGCTTTTCATGCAGACTTGACCTGAAAATCATATGGGTATTGCTCTTCAGCATTGTACCCTATGGTGGCCAAATTGCACAATCATGAGCTCTGTAATTCCTTACCATCGGGATACAAAAATTGTGATGATAGAATCACTTTGGCCTGTTTTTCTCTTTTCAAATAGAATTTCTTTTTACTCTTGCATTTCAAAGTCAGTTATGTTTCTTTTCCCCCATTACTATAGCATTATTGTACATGTTAGAAACATATCTGAGTTTGTTGGAGACCTAGTGGAAAAATTTAAAATACATAGAAAGATGGTGAGGGAATGGGGGTGAGTGAATTCTACATACTAATATTAATAAAGGGAAGATAGTGTGAATGGATGATGAATAATCAAAGAGGTGAACTATACTAGGTGTTAGAGGTTAGTTTATTTATTATTCAGTCCCAGTAATTTCTCACATGATTCCTCGACTATGGAGATTGGAACACTAGAAATTCAATTGCCAAGTTTGTTATGCTGCTGGACGTATGTACATGACACCTTTTGGAAAAATGAAACAGAAGTCAAAATATGGTGGAATTTCTTGGGAAATATTGCTTGCTATCACATGGAACACTCCTGTCTTTCTTCTCCTTGTTCTGGCCTATAATGTGAACATGAAGTTAGACATGTGGAAACTATGCTGTACTCATGAATCCTAAAGCATGAAGAAACCTGTTGACACTGTGGGATAGATATTAATAAATACAGCCTGTTTCCTGATGACATTCTTGATTGTTTAATTAGGCCTGGGCTTCTCATTCTTGAAGTTCTTTTTATGAGATGTTGTTTAATTCATATTTAAACATTTTAAATTTTTTTAAAAACTAAGACACAAACACACACCTTAGGACATGCCTAAACAAGGTAAGGATCATCAGTATAAATGCCTTCCACCTCCTAGAAGGTCTTCAGAGACAGTATAAGGAACGAAGCTCTCATCTCCTATTATAACAGTACCTTCTTCTGGAATACCTCCTGAAGGATCTGCCTGGTGCTATTTTATAATTAACTGTTTTTAATATAAGTAATATATTTAAAGTAATATAATATTACTTTAAAGTAATGATAAAAAGTATCATGTCATAGAAGCATAAACCAGTAACATAGCCATTTGCTATCAAGTATTATATATGATACATAATTGTATGTGTTATACTTTTATACAACTGGCAGCACAATAGGTCTATTTACTTCAGCATCACAACAAACACATGAATAATGCATTGTGCTATGACTTTATGACAGCTACGATGCAACTAGGCCATAGGAATTTTTCAGCTCCATTATAATCTTATGGGGCTACCATCATATATGTGGTATGTCACTGACTGAAATGCCATTATGCAGTTTGACTGAAAATAAATTAATTGACATTATGGTATAGTTTGAGATGAAAATAAGTAATAAAGGAAAATTTAGAATGTAAACCAAACATAAAATTCTAAGCCCTCCCAACCACCTGAATGGACCCCTCCTCTTAGCCCAGTGCATTCCAAAGTTAACCTGAAAAACTAGCTCAGGCTATGATGGAAAGGAGGGGTTGGACATGCCTCATTATACCCTCCTCTTTTGGAATTTAGGCACAACTCACCAACATTAACATTAAAACAGAGACTTTAAGACTGAACTGACAAAACAGACTCTTTGTAGCAATAAGATACCAACATGACAGATAGCAGGCCCTGAAAGAAACTGAAGTATTTTACCCATGTCGACAAAAAGAGTCACATTCTGTAAAATATTTGAAGATACTTATTCTGAGCCAAATATGAGTGATCATGTCCCATGACACAGCGCTCAGGAGTGTGTCCTAAGAACCTGTGCCCAAGGTGGTCTGGGTGCAGCTTGGTTTCATACATTTTAGGAAGGCATGAGACATTAATCAAATACATTTAAGAAATACATTGGTTTGGTCCTGAAAGGTGGGAAAACTCAAAGCCGGGGGACTTCCAGGCTATAGGTAAATTTAAACATTTTCTGGTTGACAGTTGGTTGAGTTTATCTAAATTCATCTGATCCATAGAAAGGTAATTTCAGGTTAAGATAAAAGATTGTGGAGACCAAGGTTATTCTGAACTCTTACAGTGGTTGCTCTTAGAGACAATTGATGACAAATGTTTTCTACTCAGATCTTTAACAGGTGCTAGATTTTAGTTAATCTCTTTAGTATTGGGAAGGCCTAGAAGAAAAAGATTTACCTATTTAATAGAGATTCTTTACAGATGCGAATTTTCCCCCACAAGGGACTGCTTTTCAGGGCCATTTCAAGATATGGCAAAGAAACATGTTTTGGGGTAAAATATTTTTATTTTCTTCCTTGTAATAGTATGCCAGAGTCAGGTTGGAAAGTAAATCATGATACATAGAGTTAAATAAAACCCATCTGATGAGAATTTATGGTTTGTAGGGCATGACTACCCAGACCACTTAGACAGGAATTTGGGCAAAAAACAAATAAACAAACAACAACCAAAAAACAGAGCTTAATCCTCCCCCTCAAATATATTTGACATATTTTGAAATGGTCCTACAAAGAAAACAATAAAACAAAAATAAAATCCAGAAAAACAAGTGCCCTAATTTTTCAGAAATTTGTACTCCGATATTTTCTGACAAGATAAGAGAATTTCAATATTTATTTGTGCCACATCTTTCAAAGAATTTTAAAGAGAATATTGTCCATAAGTGTAATCTTCCTTTACAATAATTTATTTCCTTCCTTCCTTTCTTCCCTCCTTCCTCCCTCCCTCCTTCCGTCTTTTCCTCTCATTCACTTTCCTTCTTTCTTCTTTTCTTTCCTTCCTTCCTCTTTCCCTCTATCTCTCTTTCTTCTTTATAAATACTTTTTAATCCTCTGTAGCCTCTTCAGAAAAATTTACTAGAGAAAACATTTAAACATTCTAATTTGTAGCCTTCCAGATTTTTCATAACTTCTTCCAACATTTCTATTTAGAAGCTATTTTTCTTTTCAATATTTAGACACAGTTAATCTGACTTTAAAAACGGTTATGAGTCTCTCCACTTGCTGTATTCCCCAAAACAAAGGATATCATGAGATTTATGCAACAAACGAGAATTCTTGTACTATTCCAAAGACTCTGATGCTGTTTCTCCTCCGCTGCTCCCATTTTGCATTATAAAAAACTCAGGCAAAATAACCCTGATCACAATTCAAGTATCATCTCCACACAGATTTCTATATGGTAATCTTTGATAATATGAGTTCAATTTGTTTACGCTTTGATCTCCTTATTGCTTTTATCCTCCTGCCTAGTACTAATTCATGAGGACAGAAAACACCTTAGAATTTGTGTGAATAGTAGCAATTTGGACTCAAATTTATCTATCTTTACCGAACAATTCCATATGTCCTTCTCTAAGCTCACCACCTTTCGCTATTCCAACTCCACAACTGCCATGACTGCAGACTTGCTCTGGCAACAACTGTCCCACTGTTTACACCTCCATACACTCCCAGTACCTATAAGGCCTTTTGTGTTGTACCTATAAGACCATGTTAGAAATTTCTCTCCTCATAATGCCTACCCCATTAAATCATACACGTCTTATAAGTGACCATATCCTACCCAAATAATGTATGAAACATCCTTGTATATCAGAACTCACACAGTACATTGCTACATGTATACATATTAGTTGGGCAAAAAGAAAAACATATTTATCAAGATTTGTACAGGAAAGTGAATTCCAATAAAACAGAACTGACCACAAGAGGTACAATTTAGGCTACTGTTAAAAGATATAACTTTTACCATGAAACATTATATTTCCTTTATTTAGTTTTAAAATTAATTATAAAAAGCTAAATATTATTTTAAAGATATTATTTTTTAAGAAATCATTTTTCTTCTGTTTTCCGGTTCCAACCTTCGCACCCTGGGACTTCGACCGGCCCAGGATTTCCACCATTTTATCGAAAATGCTAAATATTGGCAGTGCCAAGGACGTCTGAAGATGGTAAACCATTCCTCCACAAAACCACAGCTCCCCTGCGACCCAGGTGCTGGTAAAGGGTAACAACGTAGGAGGCCCAATCCCCTCGCGCTTCTCAGGGTCCCCGGCTTTCCGCCCCTGTGCCAGACGACGGCGTCCTAACGGCCACCCTCTCCCAGGAACCTCCAACGACGGCGCCAAAGCCACAGGAGCCGCCTCCCACCTGAGGCCCGCACGCCATGTTCTCCCTTTTCCCGACCCGTAGGGGCGCCCCACTTTGGCCATGCGCTTCCCGCCCGCACTCGCCGCGCAGCCATGAGGGGCGGGCCTCAACTCACCGTGGCCAATACGGACCGCTGGCGCGGGGTCTCTGAGGGAGCGAAGCGGCGAGCGGGCTGCAGGCCGAGCAGGGCCATGCGGCGGTAGTGGCGGCAGACAGGACAGAGCCCTGGCAGGAGAGGCACAGCACGTCAGGTGAGACAAAGACAGACGTGGCCAGGGGGACAGCACACGTGAGGTGAGGCCACGTGGTGCGAGCTCCAGGGCTGGTGAGGCAGCTGGTTTGCGCAGGCACCCCAGCCACGAGGTGGCGCCCTGCCCTCGCCCTGCCCCGACCCTTCCGCCCAGCACCCTCTGCTCTGCTCTGCCCCTTCTGCTCAGCACCCCCTGCTTTAACCTGCTTTTTCCATTCAGCGTCCCCTGCGGCCTCCCAGCCCTCATTCACCTCACTTTCCACCCGCAATGTCCTACCCACTAAAAAACTCTCTTGCCACCCTACCCTGGGCCCGAACCCCACCCCACACTAATTATCTCTTTTCTCCCGGGTAAGGTGAGGGACTTGGCACCCCTGCCCCCTCCCTTTGTCTTCCTCTTTACCTATGCTTCATATGCCTCTCAACATGCCCTGGCATTGGCAGAGTTTATAGCACACTGTTCGCTAATGAGAATTAAATCTTCCGTAAAATGTCTATATGTTAATTCTTAACACTGAAAACCAAGAACAAGTTTTTGTAGTCTGCTGATGATGTAAAAAATATTCATGGTAGGGTCAAATAGTGTTTGGACCCAGTAGAGAAGGTGATGTAGTTATCTGTCACTAAAGCTAATTTTCTTATCATTTATTTATTTATTTTTGTAAAGACGGGTCTCACTGTCACCCAGGCTGATCTCAAACTCCTGGGATCAAGCCATCCTCTTGCCTCGGCCTCCCAAAGTTCTGGGATTACCGGCATGAGGCACTGTGCCTAGCCTCTCTTGAGGGAAAAGTAAATATGTTGTGATTTTTAAATTTAGTACTGTAATAAACCTTTATCCACTACAAAAAAAAGTCAGTAATATTTCATGTGTGGACTAACAAGTATACTTGTCAAACAATGCTATACCTCCAAGTTCACAGTTCACCTGTTTTAAACTTTAAATACACAAAAAAATCCTGATTGGTCACATAGAAAAAAATAAATAAGTAAATTACTGTCTAAAGTCACTTGCAAAAAAAATTGTTTTGTATGTACTGTGTTCTCTTCAAAGAGTTTTACATGCATCAACTAATTTAATCTTTATAATAATCCTATAAGATAGAATTTTTTCTCACCATTTTACACAAGGAAAGTAAGACTAAGAAAGTTCCAAGTTAGTGCAGCATTTATGGGCAGAGCTGGGAGAGAAATCAGGACAGTGCAGTGACAGAGTCTATAAACTACTCAGCCTTTGGGCTTCAGGGACAAGTCTTGGATTTCTTCTTTTTTTTTTAACTTACAATAATATCAATATAAAAAACAAACATTACCAAGTGTTTGTTATGAGAAATGTGCGGCTAAGATGCTCCAAAAAGGTTGAGAATGATAAAATAAGTCAAAGTAAAGAAGTCCAAGTAGTGTTTTTGAAAAGAATATGTATAATAAATTACCTAGAAGTAAAAATTTTAATTAACTTTTTTATGTGTACTAAAAAATTTGGTATTTTTTTATAAATATCTGCCACATTCAATTATTTTCTGTATTTTCTCTGCAAAAGGATTTGCTTGCTGTATTTAGGTACTAAATTGAATTATTAATCGTTACATTTTCCACAGAAATTTCAGGGAGGCTTGATCTAATCTTGTTGGTCGCCCTATCTCTTATAATCATTTCTTATTTCGTTTCTAACTATTTTACTTAGGAACTACAAATGAAAATTACTTTCTCAGCTAATTACAATTAATTTGGGACTCTCTTTCCAGCTAAAAATTCAATATTGATTTATTTTCCTTTGTCATGCACAATTGCTCTGAAATGACAGGTATTCTGAAATTACTTTTCAAAGGCTGTATGTTCTGGTGGTTTAAAAGCATGGGCTTTGGGGTTAGAGAGCTCTGCCAACTTCTAGCCAAGTGCGTGCCTCATTTTCTACATCTACCCTTCTTAAAAAATTTTAAATATATTAAACATTACTAAATTGTACCTCTTAGTGTATCAACATATTTCAATAGTATGTACATGTCTAGTATACATTCAGTTTAATCATGTCTTGTATACATTCAGTTTAATACTTACAAATCTATACATCTTTTTGCTCATTTTCAAAATAAGTTTGTTTTAATTGAAGAATACTATTATTCATCATGTGCATGTTGTTTTGAAATATGTATACCTTGTGGAATGGCTAAATCAAGCAAATTAAAATTTGCATTTCTCCATATACTTATCATTTTTTTTTGTTGAGAACACTTAAAGTTTACACTCCTAGAAATTTTCAAAAATGCAATACATTATTAACTGTAATTCTAGATTACTAAAATAATTATCTCTGCTCTTTAATTTTCTTTGAAGCTATGATTATGGAAGGTATCAATGCATGGATCAGGTGCTATTATTTTAGTGAAAGAGAAATTACTATCCTCATGCATAAAATAGCTACGTGTACTGAAATAAAACTCAAAGTGGGGATGGATGTTAAACTTGAACAATTACTTTTGGCAAGACAGTTGGCATAGTTACAGTGTTACACTTTTTGCATTTCCATCCTTCCACCTACTGCCTATTTCCATTAACTCTTGTACCACCCAACGCATTAGATAAGCCGAACTTGGTGTAAATAGAAGGAAACATTAATAATTAAATAAATTTGAAATCACTTCAATTTTTACAGAATGTTTTTCTTGCCTTTTGCCTCCAAAACTGATATGTGAGCTCTCTTGGAAAATGAAGACAATATTGTTCCTCTTAAAAAATACATTATTAATTATAATCACCGTATTGTACAATAGTTTTTGAACTTATTCCTCCTATCTAACCGAAACTTTCTATCCTTTGACCAACATCTCCCCAATTCTCCTGCCCACCTCCTGGTAACCACTATTCTACTCTGTACATCTATGAATTCAACTTTCTAGATTCTGTATCTAAAAAAGTGAGATCATGCAGTAATTGCCTTTCCGTGCCTGGCTTGCTTCATTTAGGATTATGTCATTCAGGTTCATCTATGCTGTCACAAATAACAAGATTTTTTTTCTTTTTAAAGGATAAATAGTATTCTATTGTCTATACATGCTTACCCTAGATATATTATGGGTTTAGTTCCAGACAACTGCAGTAGTAATGCAAATATTGCAATAAAGTGATTCACATGATTTTTTTCCAGTGCATATAAAAGTTATGTTTACACTGTAGTCTATTAAATGTGTAATAACATTGTTACAAAATACATATACCTTAACTAGAAATCCAGCATGTATTATTAAATTTTATTTAATGTGTACAGCTGGAACCACTGGTCGACTTTTAAGCAAGGTGATCTTTTATAACTTGTGTATAGCATTTCACTATTTATATTAATATCTTTCCTTTTAAAAGTAAATATATCCATTAAACATTCTTAATGTTGGTTGAAGATGATCCTATTCAATCAGCAATTATATGAACATTGAAGCAAAGCCTCTGGGTATTGCATAATTGAAAATAGAACCATAGATTGCCAATTTGAAAAATCAGAGGATGAAACAGCAGTAATTTTAAAAGTTTTATGTATTTGTGTATAATAACCATTAAAAGTTACATTTTTATTTAAAATAAATTTCATCTGTCATTTCATCTTAGTATAATTAAGATAGTCCTATTTCTGGCCAAAGGAAATAAAGGGAAACTTTAGATTTTTATGCAGATAGAGAGTGAATTGGTGGAGAAAAATAACAGGTTATAGTAATAATTTCCAATATAATTATAGGAAGATAGTGGTGGTTAGTACCTCCACCAACATCAAACTATATATTTAATCTTCTGATTTTTGTTTAATCAGCTTTAGCAATATGTTCATGCTTAGACAGAACCTTAATGAGTAACTTCTAATTTCACCCTATCTATTCTGTTCTAATTTATCTAATACTCTCCATTTTACTAATTTTGAGTTGTACACATCAATGCATATCATAAGGAAAATATTTTCCCATTTTACAACATAAAAAATTATTACAAACCTTTTCCAAAACAAGACAGGTACTATTTACTGGGTTACTTACACAATCAGGATTACCTAGTATCAGGTTGCATTATTATTATTATTATTTTGAGATGGAGTTTCATTCACTCTTGTTGCCCAGGCTGGACAAGCTGGAGTGCAATGGTACAATCTTGGCTCACTGCAACCTCCGCCTCCTGAGTTCAAGAGATTCTCCTGCCTCAGCCTCCTGAGTAGCTGGGATTACCAACATGCACCACCACAGCCAGCTAATTTTTGTATTTTTAGTAGAGATGGGGTTTCACAATGTTGGCCAGGATGGTCTCGAACTCCTTACCTCAGGTGATCTGCCCGCCTCGGCCTCAAAAGTGCTGGGATTGCAAGCATGAGCCACAGCACCTGGCTGGTTGCATTATTTTTATAGTGACATATTTATAGTGAACGAAGATGACAGATTTGAACAACACAGAATCTATTGGACAGTACATATAGGACACATAGAGGACAGAAAAAGCATAAAAATCTTTTAATGTGTAATGCTTATAAGAAAACAACATGGAATGAAAACTCAGGTATGAGATGAAAACTGAAATACAGAAGCATGGTTGTAACATGGTAGGCATCTTTCTTTCCCTTGGCCTCAGTTTCTTCATTTCTAAAATGGAGAGGGGGGAGAAAATGACTAGTTTTTCTCAAACAGAAGTTGCATGCTAAAATAGTCTGTGAGATACACAGACACAATGTAATCACATAATGTCAGCTGAGGAAATAGCAATTTTGTGAGCTTTCAGATCAAAATGAAGCTAATACAATCAAATGATGGTACAATCAGAAGGATTTCTGAACATGTACTGGTTAAGCAGCCTTCTGACGCTTGGCTGTCCATAGGAATCCTAAGGTGCTGTCATAAACAAATATTACAGTAAGAAATAAAGAAACAATAAAAACTGTATAATCACAGATTTTAAGATTAGTCAGCGTTCACTACCACAACTAGAAGGACTTTCTAGTCTGGAATACTGCCATATTTTAGGAGCCCTGAGAATTAGTCTCTGAGATGGAGATTAAGTTGGTTAAGAAGTACGCTTGGGATCAATAACTGGCAAGGAAATGGGAAAGAAGCAGGAAGGAGGAAGAAAAGTCAAGCTATTATGCAGACCCAACAAAAGTCTCAACTAACTTGGTGAGAAGTTCAGTAGCTTGAATAGCCCAGTAGCTCTTCAGGGTCATCCTAAAATTGGATTGGATGGCCCAAAACTTCTGTTTCAACATCAACCAATTATTAAGTATGGGCTTCTGCAAAAAAACAAAATACACAGTCATAGGCCAGGCAGCTCTCTAATAGCTGAGGCAATCCCTGAAGAGAGGTTTGTCTTCTGACAGCATTCTTGGCAGAAGGGTAGTAAGTCCTTCACTGAATGGAAAACTGGAAAACTGGGGAGCCCATAATAGTAACTGCTATAGTCTATCTTTTGCAGCATTCTGCTTGACTTCTTCCTGCACATCCTGGGAACAGCTTTTCCAGAATTAGAGTTGAACCTCTACTTTTGAGGAAATTTAAAAAGGAAGATTCAAGGAGTACTCTATACTCCCCAAATGCAGCAGCTGGTGTGAGGATGCAAATGATTCTCATTGTTTCTCACTACTATTGTGTATTTTATATTTTCAATCTCCTCTAGCACCCCTGCTAATCATGGTGATTTATCTGGTCTCTGGCTCATGGAATCCCAAACCTACTCATCATGACTCCCATTGACAAGAGTTTCTTCTCTTGTGTTTATTGTCACAAGTGAACAAAACAATTGCAATAAATGGTCTCTCAAACATATAATTAACAGCACAGTTAATTACCAGTGCCATTTTTTTCTCTAGGTTATCTTAAATCAACACCACTGATAGTGTTAACAATTGGTTTGCTACTTTACAGTGGGTGCTATATGTGCTCCCCTACTCCTCAATGATAACCAAAAGCTAAGTGATCAAGGTCCACAACATGATCTTAGTGCTTTATCAAACAAGTGTTGTAGTCTATGATCTGCAAGAAGGTGACTCTCAAGTAGAGTTGGACATACAAGTTGCTTACTAGTAAGGGCATTTGAGATCAATATCTATGGAAGGGAAAAGAAAGAAGAAAACTAGGCAGAAGCTGAACTATGCTACAAGCTCAACAGCACCTTTACTAATCCAGTCAAAATGGCTGTTAAGGGTTTGTCCTGTATTTGGTTCATTATAGTCAGTATTTTTTATTTGAGATGAGGTCTCGCTCTGTTGCCAAGCTGGAGTACAGTGGTGCGACCTCAGCTCACTGCAATCTCCGCCTCCTGGATTGAAGTGATTCTCCTGCCTCAGCCTCCCAAGTAGCTGGGACTACAGGTGCCCACCACCATGGCTGGCTAATTTTTTTTTTCTTTTTGTATTTTTAGGAGAGACGAGATTTCACCATATTGGCCAGGCTGGTATTGAACTCGTTATAGTCAGTACTTTATACTTCCATTTAGTAGTTGTTAGAGGTGAGCCAGCCTGGGAGACAGCACTACCTTGAGCCAGGCTGAGGCAATCTTTGAAGATCCTTCAGAGATTAAGGTTTTCTGCTATCAGTATTATTTAATAGTTGGTGTCACAGGTCCTTCATTGAAGAGGAACCTATGTGGTACATTGCAGAATCCAACAGTTGTCATTAATAATAATAGCCCCATATTCAGACATATGATATTAAAATTTTAAATCCTTGGTTCATTAATTAAGAAGTTTCAGGTAATATACAAGTTTATCTGAGTTTGGAAACAGTCTTAACCCTGGAAGTTTAAAAGCTTCCATGATTAGAAAATAAAATAAAAAATATTTAAATTACCCCATTCACATATAGTTGACATTTAGCAGGTATCAGATTAATGGTAGATTAACAAGATGATTAAGTAGTTAGTTAACATAATTAATAGGTTTGGGTGCCCTTCATTAGATATAGGAGTCAATAAAATGGAGTACCTGTCACGGAATTTGCTTAGAGAGGAGGAAGAGACTTTTAAAATGTGTGAACCAATGCATGGGGTGTAGTTATAAGTTCTATGGAGAAAAGAATAACACCAGAAGATAAACAAATGAGTAAACATTTGATGGACTCCTCATAAATATGTTCTAACTTTATACAAATGTTTTAAGAGTTACAGTAATTTTCATTTTATTGGTGAGAAACATAAGACCAAAAAAGTAAATAAATTGCTTGAAAATCACACATTTAAGTGGTAAAGCCATCATTCAAAGCAAGGTAACATAGGCTTTAACAGCCCAGCTCTTATATCTGTATTCCCATGTATGTCGCAGCACTATTCACAATATCCAAGGCATGGGATCAGACTAAGTGGCCATCAGCTGATGAATGATGAAATAAAATGTGATATAAATACATAAGGAAATACTATTTAGCCCTAAAAGGAAGAAAATTATGTCATTTGCTGCAACATGGATGAACCTGGAGGACACCATGCTAAGTGAAAGAAGCCAAGCAAAGGCAGATAAATATTGCATGATCTCATATGTTCTAATATGGTTTGTCTCTGTTCCACAAGCAAATCTCTTCTCAAATTGTAATCCCCATGTGTTGAAGGAGGGACATGGTGGGAGATGATTGGATCGTGGGGGCGGTTACCCCCATGCTGTGCTGGTGATAATGAGTTTTCATGAGACCTGGTGGTTTTGAAGTGTGGCATTTCTTCCGTCACACACTCTCTCTCTCCTGCTACCATGTGAAGAATGGCCTTGTTTCCCCTCACCTTCTGCCATGATTGTAAGTGTCCGGAAGCCTCCCCAGCCATGCAGAATGTGAGTCAAGTAAACCTTTTTTTTTTTTTTTCGTAAATTATCCAGTCTCAAGTTGTTTTTTATAGCAATGTGAAAACAAACTAATACCAAAAAAAAAAATGGTATCAGAAGTTGTGTATTGCTTTAAAGATACCTAAAAATGTGGAAGTGACTTTGGAAATGGGTAATGGGCAGAAGTTGGAAAGGTTTGAAAGTCTCAGAAGAAGACAGATGAGGAAAAATTGGAAACTCCCTAGAGACTTGTTGAATGTATTTGACCAAAATGCTGATAGTGATATAGACAATGAACTCCAGGTTGGGATGGTCTTGGATGGGGTTGAGGAACTTATTGGGAACTAGAGCAAAGGTCACTCTTGATTTGCTTTAGCAAAGAGAGTGACAGCATTTTTCCCCTGCCATAGGGATGTATGGAACTTTGAACTTGAGAGAGATGATTTAAGGTATCTGGCAGAAGAAACTTTTAAGCAGCAAAACATTCAAGATGTAACCTGGCTTTTTCTGAAAATATATAGTCATATGCATTCACAAAAAGATGACCTGAAATTGGAACTTATGTTTAAAAGGGAAGCAGAGCATAAAAGTTTGGAAAATTTGCAGCGTGACCATGCAGTAGAAAAGAAAAACCCATTTTCTGGGAAGAAATTCAAGCTACCTGCAGAAATGTGCATAAGTAATGAGGAGCCAAATGTAAATATCCAAGACAATAGGGAAAATGTTTCCAGGGCATTTCGGAGTTCTTGACAGTAGCCCCTCTCATCACAGGCCCGGAGGCTTGGGAGGCAAATATAGTTTTGTGGGCCAGGCCAAGGGCCCTGCCATTCTGTGCAGCCTTGGGACATGGTACCCTGCATCCCAGCTGCTGCAGCTGCACCCACGGCTAAAAGGGGCCAAGGTACAGCTCAAGCCATTACTTCAGAGGGTACAAGCCCCAAGACTTGGTGGCTTCCATGTGGTGTTGGTCCTGCAGGTGTAAAGAAGACAAGAGTTGAGCTTTGAAAGCCTCTGTCTAGATTTCAGAGGTGTATGGAAATGCCTGGATATCCAGGCAGAAGTCTGCTGCAGGGGTGGAGCACTCATGGAGAATATCTATCAGGTAACACAGGGAAAATGTGGGATTGGAGTCCCCACACAAAGTTCCTACTGGGGTACTGCCTAGTGCAGCTATGAGAACTGGGCTACCATCCTCCTGCTCTAGCATGATAGATCCACTGACAGCTTGCACTGTGCACCTGGAAAAACCACAGATACTCAATGCCAGCCCATGAAGGAGCTGCCCAAAGTCTTGGGAATCCACCCCTTGCATCAGTGTGCTCTGCATGTGAGACATGGAGTCAAAAGAGATCATTTTGAAGCTTTAAGATTTAATGGTTGCCCTGTCAGCTTTCAGAGTTGCGTGTGGTCCCTGACCCCTTTGTTTAGGACAATTTTTCCCATTTCGAATGGACACATTTACCCATTGCCCTTACCCCCATTGTATTTTGGAAGTAACTAACTTGATTTTGGTTTTACAGGCTCATAGGTGGAAGGGACTTGCCTTGTTCAGATGAGACTTTGGACATGAACTTTTTTATTTTATTTTATTTTATTATTATTATACTTTAAGTTTTAGGGTACATGTGCACAATGTGCAGGTTAGTTACATATGTATACATGTGCCATGCTGGTATGCTGCACCCATTAACTCATCATTTAGCATTAGGTATTTCTCCTAATGCTATCCCTCCCCCCTCTCCCCACCCCACAACAGTCCCCAAAGTGTGATGTTCCCCTTCCTGTGTCCATGTGTTCTCATTGTTCAATTCCCACCTATGAGTGAGAACATGCCGTGTTTGGTTTTTTGTCCTTGCAATAGTTTACTGAGAATGATGGTTTCCAATTTCATCCATGTCCCTACAAAGCACATGATCTCATCATTTTTTATGGCTGCATAGTATTCCATGGTGTATATGTGCCACATTTTCTTAATCCAGTCTATCATTGTTGGACATTTGGGTTGGTTCCAAGTCTTTGCTATTGTGAATAGTGCCGCAATAAACATACGTGTGCATGTGTCTTTATAGCAGCATGATTTATAATCCTTTAGGTATATACCCAGTAATGGGATGGCTGGGTCAAATGGTATTTCTAGTTCTAGATCCCTGAGGAATTGCCACACTGACTTCCACAATGTTTGAACTAGTTTAAAGTCCCACCAACAGTGTAAAAGTGTTCCTATTTCTCCACATCCTCTCCAGCACCTGTTGTTTCCTGACTTTTTAATGATCGCCATTCTAACTGGTGTGAGATGGTATCTCATTGTGGTTTTGATTTGCATTTCTCTGATGTGCAGTGATGATGAGCATTTTTCATGTGTTTTTTGGCTGCATAAATGTCTTCTTTTGAGAAGTGTCTGTTCATTTCCTTTGCCCACTTTTTGATGGGGTTGTTTGTTTTTTTCTTGTAAATTTGTTTGAGTTCAATGTAGATTCTGGATATTAGCCCTTTGTCAGATGAGTAGGTTGCGAAAATTTTCTCCCATTTTGTAGGTTGCCTGTTCACTCTGATGGTAGTTTCTTTTGCTGTGCAGAAGCTCTTTAGTTGAATTAGATCCCATTTGTCAATTTTGGCTTTTGTTGCCATTGCTTTTGGTGTTTTAGACATGAAGTCCTTGCCCATGCCTATGTCCTGAATGGTATTGCCTAGGTTTTCTTCTAGGGTTTTTATGGTTTTAGGTCTAACATTTAAGTCTTCAATCCATCTTGAATTAATTTTTGTATAAGGTGTAAGGAAGGAATCCAGTTTCAGCTTTCTACATATGGCTAGCCAGTTTTCCCAGCACCATTTATTAAATAGGGAATCCTTTCCCCATTGCTTGTTTTTGTCAGGTTTGTCACAGATCAGATAGTTGTAGATATGTGGCATTATTTCTGAGGGCTGTGTTCTGTTCCATTGATCTATATCTCTTTTTTGGTACCAGTACCATGCTGTTTTGGTTATTGTAGCCTTGTAGTATAGTTTGAAGTCAGGTAGCATGATGCCTCCAGCTTTGTTCTTTTGGCTTAGGATTGACTTGGCAATGCAGGCTCTTTTTTGGTTCCATATGAACTTTAAAGTAGTTTTTTTCCAATTCTGTGAAGAAAGTCATTGGTAGCTTGATGGGGATGGCATTGAATCTATAAATTACCTTGGGAAGTATGGACATGAACTTTTGAGTTAATGCTGAAATGAGTTAAGACTTTGGGGGATGGTTGGGAGGACATAATTGATTTTACTTTTTCTTTTTCTTTTTTTTGGGGGGAGACAGAGTCTCGCCCTGTCACCCAGGCTGGAATGCAGCGGTGTGATCTCGGCTCACTGCAACCTCAGCCTCCCAGGTTCAAGTGATTCTCCTTCCTCAGCCTCCCAAGTAGCTGGGATTACAGATGCCTGCCACTGTGCCCGGCTAATTTTTGTATTTTTAATAGAGACAGGATTTCACCATGTTGGCCAGTCTGGTCTCGATGACATAACTTATTTTGAAATGTGAAAAGAACATTAGATTTGGGAGAGGGTGGGGTGGAATTATATGGTTTGGCTCTGCACCCAAATCTCATCTTGAATTGTAATTCCCACATTGTGAGGGAGGGACCTGTTGGGAGGTGACTGGATCATGGGGGCAGTTTCCCCCATGCTGTTCTTTTGATAGTGAGTGAGCTCTCACAAGAGCTGGTGGTTTTATGATGTGACACTTTCCTCCTTGCACCCTCTCTCCTGTCACCATGTGAAGAAGGTGGTTGTTTCCCCTTCACCTTCTACCATGACTAAGTATCCTGAGGCTTCCCTAGCCATATGGAACTATGAGTCAATTAAATCTCTTTTCTTTATAAATTACCCAGTCTCACATAGTTCTTCTTAGCATTGTGAAATTGGACTAATCCATATGTATAATTTAAAAAGTTGAACTCATAGAAGTAGAGAGTGAAATGGCATTTACCAAAGCCAAGAGAAGGGAACAAATGAGGCGATGTTCATCAAAGGGAAAAATGTTTCAGTTAGGCAGGAAGAATAAATTTTTGACAACCTTTGCGAGCAGGGTGATTGTATTTTGTCATAATATATTGTACATTTCAAAATTGCTGATAATAAATTTTATATATATTACCACAAAAAGATGGGTGAGGTCGTGAATATGTTAATTAGCTTGAATTTCATTCCATATTGTATACATATATCAAAATATCACATTGTACCCCATAAATATATACAACTATAAGTTCTCAATTAAAAATAATATTGATTAACAAATACTAGAGTTAACAACTACAAATATTAGACGTAGTGGATTTGGAATAATCACAAAAGTTCATAAATGCTGTTTCAGTTATAATATACATTAACATTTGAGTTTCCTGTGCTGTTGAGGTTTGATTAACGCTACTGAGGCCGAGCACAGTGGCTCACATCTGTAATCCCAGCACTTTTGGAGGACGAGGCAGGTGGATCACCTGACGTCAGGAGTTCGAGACCAGCCTGACCAATATGATGAAACCCTATGTCTAATAAAAATACGAAAATTAGCCAGGCATGGTGGCATGTGCCTGTAATCCTAGCTACTCAGGAGGCTGAGACAGGAGAATCACTTGAACCTGGGAGGTGGAGGTAGCAGTGAGCCGAGATCATGCCATTGCACTCCAGCTTGGGCAACAAGAGCAAAACTCCATGTCAAAAAAAAAAAAAAAGCTACAGTTTAATACCAGTAAAATGACAACTCTTTTACTGCTTTGTATAAAAAATATACCTGTCTATTATCATATGATAAGATATATATGTGTTGTATAAGATATATAGATATAATAGCATGGGAACATTAAGGTATGTATTAATGTGTAGCAAATATACATGTATGAATGTGTTGTTGGCTCTGTGTGTTTGTGTGTATGTGACGGGTTAGGAGAGAGAAATATGAAATCCTGGAATGCACAATATCAGGATATCATTAATGCTATTTTGGCACTATATGAGGAGGCATGGGTTACTTATTAAAATATCAGTTCAACTATTAGAGATAAAGAGACTATGATTACTGATAAATTTTCACATTATAGCAATTATTTCAAATAACCTATTGAAACTGGTTTCTTAAATTCCATTGCTATTTATAAGGAATCACAGCTTGTATCAGTTAGAGTTAGCTCTTTTGTGTGGGAGAAGAGCAAGTAAAAGTCAAATTATTCACAAAAAGAAGGTCTCATGAGGATTTTTTAAATGATAGAATTTACAGAATTTTTCTTATAGTCATAAAGTATTGACTAAAGAAAAAACTGTTGCTAAGCAACACCTCCACTGCCCCTACCCACTGCCTTATTTAGTTTCATGTGCAAATTCACTGAATAAGTGTCTTTGCCAAATTTTTTTAACAAAATATGCCCAAATAAAAATGAAACCCACCATCTAGCCAAACAGAAAGCTCAGGAAAACGTATTACTATCTACTGTCGTTATTACCTGAAAACTCAGCTTGCAAATTTGTCATACAGAATACACAAATTTGGTTAATTATTTTTTTTGGGCAGTTTTCCAGTTCATGGATTTCAGTCAGTAATTTAACCTTCTCTAGCTCCAAATACTGTGTCCCTTTGTTTCTACCTAAAAAACGAGAAAAACATCCGGGGCACAGTGGCTCAAGCCTGTAATCCCAGCACTTTGGGAGGCCAAGGCGAGTGAATCACGAGATCAGGAGTTCGAGAACAGCCTGGCCAACATGGTGAAACCCCAACTCTACTAAAGATACAAAAAATTAGCTGGGCGTGGTGGCAGGCCCCTGTAATCCCAGCTACTAGGGAGGCTGAGGCAGGAGAATCATTTGAATCCAGGAGGCAGAGGTGGCAGCAAACTGAGATCATGCCACTGCACTCCAGCCCGGGTGACAGTGCAAGACTCTGTCTCAAAAAAAAAAAAAAAAAAAAAAAAAAAGAGAGAAACTTTTCTTTCAGTGCTCTTTCATTAAATAAAGTGTCATTTTGATTTTGAAGTAGAATGAGTGATACCTTATAGTCTGTGCCAAATGTTTGATTGCATTGAACATAATTTGATCAACATATTTGGTGCTTTGTTATTACAAATGACTTGTCTAACAAAAATGATAGAAATTAATGCATAATGATGGTTTTGAGAGTAGAGTTTTCAAGTCTGACTATCCTTAGATAAAACTTAGAGAATGCCTGATAAATTGAAAAAAATAACATAACATAGAAAATTAAATAAACCAAAATTCACCAGTAGTAATTTTTCTCCACTATTTATCATATAAGTATTAACATTCAAAATAGCCATGTGGTTATGTTAAACTTTCAGGAAATGGCAAAAAAAATCTTATTGGCAGATTATATTAGTTTATGTTCATTCAGTAAAGTTCACAAATCTTAACTACACAGCTGATATGTATTTGCAAAGGAAGACACTCATCACCGCTGAGATCAATCTGTAACTTACAATATGTTCCCCTCCCTGTCTATTCTTCCAGAAAAATAAGCATAATTTTTATTTCAGTTGCCATCTGTCAGTTTTTTTTTTCTGTTTTCAACTTGGAATAATTCAGCAAGTTATATTTTGAGTCAGCATTCAATCTATGATATTCATCTAAGTATTCCATGTTTTTGGACTGTAACAGTAGTCAGACCTCTTTTTCAATTCTGTGTAATATTTTCTCCTTTGGAGTATACCATAGTTTACACATTTTTGCAGTGGCAGAAATTGGATGATTTCTAGTTGCGTAATTTGCTATATTAATTGCTGTAATGACCCTAGTTTTTCACACCTGTCTGTATTCATGTTCTTTCATACTGTCCCTCCAATACAGATATTCTTGGTAGAGAGACCTGCTCTGGCCAATTGGAGAGTAGCAAGTGTAATACACTTAAGAAAACTGAAAAAGTACCTGTGCATTTCATCTTTCGTGGATCTCTACCCTCTAACATGTCACAAGAACATACCTAGCTTGGATGGTTGATAAATGTGAAAAGTATATGGAAAATGGCTGAGGCCATCCTAAACTAGCCAAGAGTATGTGAACACTTATATGCCAGACAGCCGAGTCTGGAAACTGAGCTGTCCACCTGATGTACAATTAAACTGTTGATGTTGAGTGAGCTCAGACAAGGCCATAAGTGAGGGTACTAAGTTTTGGAGTGGTTTGTTACAGCCCCAATACTAACTAATACAGACTGCATTGTAACAGCCACAGACATTGTAGCATGTCTTTTTAGTCTACATATTTACTCACATTGAATAAATACCTAAGAGTAGAATTTTTAGAATGTACATATATGCAGTTCTGCCACATACTATTAAGCAATTTCCTCAAGTGTTTGTACTCATTTACATTCTCATCAACAGTGATGGAGAGTATTGGTTACATCATTCCATTAAAAAAAATTTTAGCTATTTTGGTAGGTTTATTGTGGTAATTCATTGTAATTTTAATTTGCATATCTCTGTGAATAATTATTTAAAATACCTTTACTTTAGAATTTTGGTCATTTGATCATCCTCTTTTGTGAAGTGTCTGTAAAAGTTTTTTGTCCTTTTCTTAAAATAATTATTCTTTAAGTTCTAGGGTACATTTGCACAACGTGCAGGTTTGTTACATATGTATACATGTGCCATGTTGGTGTGCTGCACCCGTTAACTCATCATTTACATTAGGTATATCTCCTAATGCTGTCCCTCCCCCCTCCCCCCACCCCATGACAGGCCCCAGTGTGTGATGTTCCCCTTCCTGTGTCCAAGTGTTCTTATTGTTCAATTCCCACCTATGAGTGAGAACATGTGGTGTTTGGTTTTTTGTCCTTGCCATAGTTTGCTGAGAATGATGGTTTCCAGCTTCATCCATGTCCCTATAAAGGACAAGAACTCATCATTTTTTATGGCTGCATAGTATTCCATGGTGTATATGTGCCACATTTTCTTAATCCAGTCTATCATTGTTGCACATTTGGGTTGGTTCCAAGTCTTTGCTATTGTGAGTAGTGCTGCAATAAACATACATGTGCATATGTCTTTATAGCAGCATGATTTATATTCCTTTGGGTATATACCCAGTAATGGGATGGCTGGGGCAAATGGTATTTCTAGTTCTAGATCCCTGAGGAATTGCCACACTGACTTCCACAATGTTTGAACTAGTTTAAAGTCCCACCAACAGTGTAAAAGTGTTCCTATTTCTCCACATCCTCTCCAGCACCTGTTGTTTCCTGACTTTTTAATGATCACCATTCTAACTGGTGTGAGATGATATCTCATTGTGGTTTTGATTTGCATTTCCCTGATGGCCAGTGATGATGAGCATTTTTTCATGTGTCTGTTGGCTGCATAAATGTCTTCTTTTGAGAAGTGTCTGTTCATATCCTGTGCCCACTTTTTGATGGGTTGTTTGTTTTTTTCTTGTAAATTTGTTTGAGTTGTTTGTAGATTCTGGATATTAGCCCTTTGTCAGATGAGTAGATTTCAAAAATTTTCTCCCATTCTGTAGGTTACCTGTTCACTCTGATGGTAGTTTCTTTTGCTGTGCAGAAGCTCTTTAGTTTAATTAGATCCCATTTGTCAATTTTGGCATTTGTTGCCATTGCTTTTGGTGTTTTAGACGTGAAGTACTTGCCCATGCCTATGGCCTCAATGGTATTGCCTAGGTTTTCTTCTAGGGTTTTTATGGTATTAAGTCTAACATTTAAGTCTTTAATCCATCTTGAATTAATTTTTGTATAAGGTATAAGGAAGGGATCCAGTTTCAGCTTTCTGCATGTTGCTAGCCAGTTTTCCTAGCACCATTTGTTAAATAGGGCATCCTTTCCCCATTTCTTGTTTTTGTCAGGTTTGTCAAAGATCAGATGGTTGTAGATGTGTGGTATTATTTCTGAGGGCTCTGTTCTGTTCCATTGATCTATATCTCTGTTTTGGTACCAGTACTATGATGCTTGGTTACTGCAGCCTTGTAGTATAGTTTGAAGTCAGGTAGCGTGATGCCTCCAGCTTTGTTCTTTTGACTTAGGATTGACTTGGCAATGGAAGCTCTTTTTTGGTTCCATATGAACTTTAAAGCAGTTTTTTTCCAATTCTGTGAAGAAAGTCATTGGTAGCTTGATGGGGATGGCATTGAATCTATAAATGACCTTGGGCAGTATGGCCATTTTCACGATATTGATTCTTCCTATCCATGAGCATGGAATGTTCTTCCATTTGTTTGTGTCCTCTTTTATTTCGTTGAGCAGTGGTCTGTAGTTCTCCTTGAAGAGGTCCTTCACATCCCTTGTAAGTTGGATTCCTAGGTACTTTATTATCTTTGAAGCAATTGTGAATGGGAATTCACTCATAATTTGAGTCTCTGTTTGTCTGTTATTTGTGTATAGGAATGCTTGTGATTTTTGCACATCAATTTTGTATCCTGAGACTTTGCTGAAGTTGCTTATCAGCTTAAGGAGATTTGGGGCTGAGATAATGGGGTTTTCTAAATAAACAATCATGACATCTGAAAACAGGGAGAATTTGACTTCCTCTTTTTCCAGTTGAATACCCTTTATTTCTTTCTCCTGCCTGATTGCCCTGGCCAGAACTTCCAACACTGTGTTGAATAGGCGTGGTGAGAGAGGACATCCCTGTCTTGTGCCAGTTTTCAAAGGGAATGCTTCCAATTTTTGCCCATTCAGTATGATATTGGCTATGGGTTTGTCATAAATAGCTCTTATTATTTTGAGATACATCCCATCAATACCAAATTTATTGCGAGTTTTTAGCATGAAGGGCTGTTGAATTTTGTCAAAGGCTTTTTTGCATCTTTTGAAATAGTCATGTGGTTTTTTTAATTGTTTCTGTTTATAAGCTGGATTACATTTATTGATTTGTGTATGTTGAACCATCCTTGCATCCCAGGGATGAAGCCCGCTTGATCATGGTGGATAAGCTTTTTGATGTGCTGGTGGATTCGGTTTGCTAGTATTTTATTTAGGATTTTTGCATCGATGTGCATCAGGGATATTGGTCTATAATTCTCTTTTTTTGTTGTGTCTCTGCCAGGCTTTGGTATCAGGATGATGCTGGCCTCATAAAATGAGTTAGTGAGCATTCCCTCTTTTTCTATTGATTGGAATAGTTTCAGAAGGAATGGTACCAGCTCCTTCTTGTACCTCTGGTAGAATTTGGCTGTGAATCCCATCTGGTCCTGGAATTTTTTTTTGTTGGTAAGCTATTAATTGTTGCCCACATCACAATTAAAAGAACTAGAGAAGCAAGAGGAAACACATTCAAAAGCTACCAGAAGACAAGAAATAACTAAGATCAGAGCAGAGCTGAAGGAGATAGAGACACCAAAAACCCTTCAAAAAATCAATGAATCCAGGAGTTGGTTTTTTGAAAAGATCAGCAAAATTGATAGACCGCTAACAAGACTAATAAAGAAGAAAAGAGAGAAGAATCAAATAAATGCAATAAAAAATGTTAAAGGGGATATCACCACCAGTCCCACAGAAATACAAACTACCATCAGAGAATACTATAAACACCTCTATGCAAATAAACTAGAAAATCTAGAAGAAATGAATAAATTCCTGGACACATGCACCCTCCCAAGAACTCATCTTTTTTTTAATGGCTGCATAGTATTCCATGGTGTATATGTGCCACATGTTCTTAATCCAGTCTATCATTGATGGACACTTGGGTTGATTCCAAGTCTGATTCCAAGTCTTTGCTATTTTGAATAGTGCCACAACAAACATATGTGTGCATGTATCATAGCAGCATGATTTATAATCCTTTGGGTGTATGCCCAGTAATGGGACGACTGGGTCAAATGGTATTTCTATTTCTAGATCCTTGAGGAACCGCCACCCTGTCTTCCACAATGGTTGAACTAGTTAACAGTTCCATCAACAGTGTAAAAGTGTTCCTATTTCTCCACATCCTCTTCAGCACCTGTTGTTTCCTGACTTTTTAATGATCACCATTCTAACTGGTGTGAGATGGTATCTCATTATGGTTTTGATTTGCATTTCTCTGATGGCCAGTGATGATGAGCATTTTTTCATGTGTCTTTTGGCTGCATAAATGTCTTCTTTTGAGAAGTGTCTGTTCATATTCTTTGTGCACTTTTTGATGGGGTTGTTTGATTTTTTTCTCATAAATTTGTTAAAGTTCTTTGTAGATTCTGGATATTAGCCCTTTGTCAGATGGGTAGATTGTAAAAATTTTCTCCCATTTTTTCGGTTGCCTGTTCACTCTGATGGTAGTTTCTTTTGCTGTGCAGAAGTTCTTTAGTTTAATTAGATCCCATTTGTCAATTTTGGCTTTTGTTGCCATTGCTTTTGGTGTTTTAGATATGATGTCCTTGCCCATGCCTATGTCCTGAATGGTACTGCCTAGGTTTTCTTCTAGAGTCTTTATGGTTTTAGGTCTAATATTTAAGTCTTTAATCCATCTTGAATTAATTTTTGTATAAGGTGTAATGAAGGGATCCAGTTTCAGCTTCCTACTTATGGCTAGCCAGTTTTCCCAGCACCATTTATTAAATAGGGAATCCTTTCCCCATTTCTTGTTTTTGTCAGGTTTGTCAAAATCAGATGGCTGTAGATGTGTGGTATCATTTCTGAGGGCTCTATTCTGTTCCATTGGTCTATATCTCTGTGTTGGTACCAGTACTATGCTGTTTTGGTAACTGTAGTCTTGTAGTATAGTTTGAAGTCAGGTAGCATAATGCCTCCAGCTTTGTTCTTTTGGCTTAGGATTGTCTTGGAAATGCGGGCTCTTTTTTGGTTCCATATGAACTTTAAAGTAGTTTTTTTCCAATTCTGTGAAGAAAGTCATTGGTAGCTTGATGGGGATGGCATTGAATCTATAAATGACCTTGGTCAATATGGCCATTTTCACTATATTGATTGTTCGTATCCATGAGCATGGAATGTTCTTCCATTTGCTTGTGTCCTCTTTTATTTCGTTGAGCAGTGGTTAGTAGTTCTCCCTGAAGAAGTCCTTCACATGCCTTCTAACTTGGATTCCTAGATATTTTATTCTCTTTGAAGCAATTGTGAATGGGAGTTCACTCATGATTTGGCTCTCTGTTTGTCTGTTATTGGTGTATAGGAATGCTTGTGATTTTTGCACATCAATTTTGTATCCTGAGACTTTGCTGAAGTTGCTTATCAGCTTAAGGAGATTTGGGGCTGAGATAATGGGGTTTTCTAAATAAACAATCATGACATCTGAAAACAGGGAGAATTTGACTTCCTGTTTTTCCAGTTGAATACCCTTTATTTCTTTCTCTTGCCTGATTGCCCCTGCCAGAACTTCCAACACTATGTTGAATAGGAGTGGTGAGAGAGGGCATCCCTGTCTTGTGCCAGTTTTCAAAGGGAATGCTTCCAGTTTTTTCCCATTCAGTATGATATTGGCTATGGGTTTGTCATAAATAGCTCTTATTATTTTGAGATACGTCCCATCAGTACCTAATTTGTTGAGTGTTTTTAGCATGAAGGGCAGTTGAATTTTTTCAAAGGCCTTTTTGGCATCTATTGAGAGAACCATGTGGTTTTTGACTTTGGTTCTCTTTATATGATGGATTACATTTATTGATTTGTGTCTTTTGAACAAGCCTTGCGTCCCAGGGATGAAGCCAAATTGATCGTGGTAGATAAGCTTTTTGATGTGCTGCTGGATTCAGTTTGCCAGTATTTTATGAAGGAATTTTGCATCAGTGTTCATCAGGGATATTGGTCTAAAATTATCTTTTTTAGTTGTGTCTCTGCCAGGCTTTGGAATCTGGATA
Source organism: Homo sapiens (assembly GCF_000001405.40). Classification (NCBI taxonomy): domain Eukaryota; kingdom Metazoa; phylum Chordata; class Mammalia; order Primates; family Hominidae; genus Homo; species Homo sapiens. Next base: position 11,639,176 of record NC_000009.12, read on the forward strand.
ATGTTGGCCTCATAAAATGAATTATGGAGGATTACCTCTTTTTCTATTGATTCGAATAGTTTCAGAAGGAATGGTACCAGCTCCTCTTTGTACATCTGGTAGAATTTGTCTGGTCCTGGACTTTTTTTGGTTGGTAGCCTCTTAATTATTGCCTCAATTTCAGAACCTGTTACGGGTCTATTCAGGGATTCAACTTCTTGATTTAGTCTTGGGAGGGTGTATATGTCCAGGAATTTATCCATTTCTTCTAGGTTTTCTAGTTTATTTGCATAGAGGTGTTTATAATATTCTCTGATGGTATTTTGTATTTCTGTGGGATCAGTGGTGATATTCCCTTTATCATTTTTATTGCATCTATTTGATTCTTCTCTCTTTTCTTCTTTATTAGTCTTGCTAGCGGTCTATCAATTTTGTTGATGTTTTGAAAAACCAGCTCCTGGATTCATTGATTTTTTGAAAGGTTTTTTGTGCTTCTATCTCCTTCAGTTCTGCTCTGATCTTAGTTATTTCTTGCCTTCTGCTAGCTTTTGAATTTGTTTCCTCTTGCTTCTCTAGTTCTTTCAATTCTGATGTTAGGGTGTCAATTTTAGATCTTTCCTTCTTTCTCTTGTGGGCATTTAGTGCTATAAATTTCCCTCTACACACTGCTTTATATGTGTCCCAGAGATTCTGGTATGTTGTGTCTTTGTTCTCATTGGTTTCAAAGAACATCTTTATTTCTGCCTTCATTTCGTTATGTACCCAGTAGTCATTCAGGAGCAGGTTGTTAAATTTCCATGTAGTTGAGCTGTTTTGAGTGAGTTTCTTAGTCCTGAGTTCTAGTTTGATTGCACTGTGGTCTGAGAGACAGTTTGTTATAATTTCTGTTCTTTTACATTTGCTGAGGAGTGCTTTACTTCCAACTATGTGGTCCATTTTGGAATAAGTGTGATGTGCTGAGAAGAATGTATATTCTGTTGGTTTGGGGTGGAGAGTTCTGTAGTTGTCTATTAGGTCCACTTGGTGCAGAGCTGAGTTCAGTTCCTGCATATGCTTGTTAACTTTCTGTCTCGTTGATCTGTCTAATGTTGACAGTGGGGTATTAAGATCTCCCATTATTACTGTGTGGGAGTCTTAAGTCTTTTTGTAGTTCTCTAAGGACTTGCTTTATGAAGTAATTGTCCTTATATTATTGTTTTGTAGGAAGTTTATATATGTTGGTTATAAGACCCGTGTTCAATGTCTTCTCTCGTCTGTGGTTTGACTTTCAAACTTGCAATTGTGCCTTTAATTTTATGTATTTATTGTTAAGAAAGTTACATGTATAAATATTTCTTATCATAGTTAGTTTTTTTGTGTGTTTCGTGTAATACATTTCTGCCTATTACCAAATCAGAAGGATAACCTCATTTTAAGAACTTTTTTTAGCTTTTCTATTTAAATCTATGAATTAACAGAAATTGTTTTTGTAAATCATGTGACATATTTAAACTTTCATTCTTGTTACATGGGAGGAATCCCATTGATTCATACCCTCTATTGGTATAAATTTTTGTTTTTGTTTTCGTATTGAGACAGGGTCTGGCTCTGTCATATAGGCTGGAGTGCAGTGGCACGATCTTGGCTCATTGCAACCTTCACCTGCCGGATTGAAGTGATTCTCCCATCTCAGCTTCCCAGGTAGGTGGGACCACAGGTGTGTGCCACCACGTTTGGCTGTTTTTTTGTAGAGACAGAGTATCACCATATAGCCCAGGCTTGTCTCAAACTCTTGAGCTCAAGCAATACACCCGCCTCAGCCTCCCAAAGTGCTGGGATTACAGGCGTGAGCCACCAAGCCCAACTTTCCAATTGTTTAATAAACCTTAGCAATGATTACAATTACACACTAAATTTTCTACTGAATCTCTGAGCATGAGGGTATTATTGAAAATCCTTGACAAAGCCATCATTTCTCACTGCATTGCCATTGCTACTTCGACATACATTGGGTGATTGTTTATGATTATGCTTTTAAAATCATTATTAGATTTCGTTGATCCATTTTTCTATCACAGAAATAGTTTTCATTTTATTTGTAGTTGTATATTAAAATGTAGCTTCGTGGTAGGTCCCAATTTCATATAGTCTTATAATAAAAACTTGATATCTGTTACTGTAAGGACTCCAGCTTTGTTCTTGGCCTTTCTACCTCAGATTTGTTTGACCCTTCATCATGTGATTTTATAAAATCCATTTATTAAGTCTAGTAATTTATATGTATGTATTAAAAATTATCTGGGATTAAAATTATGCTACTAGAAGTAATGACAGTTGTATTTCTTCTATTCCAATATTAGTACATTTTTTTTTCCTTGATTGACTAGTTCCTTCAGTACAATGTTGAATACATATAGTTATGGTAGACATTATTGTTTTGTTCCAGATCTTGAAAGAACACGTACCACGTTTCACCATGTTAGTAATTTTCATTGTACATTGAAGAATATACCTTCTATTTCTGACTGAGATATTTTATAAACTATTTTTTTTATTTATTTAAAATGCATTTACTTCACCTATTGAAAAAATTAGATGACATTTTATTCTTTTGCTGGTTAAGGGGGGGAATTACACTGATTATATTCAAATATTAAATCACACTTTCATTCCATGAATTAATCATATTTATATTGATGTATCCCTTTTATGTATTTCTGCTGGCATTTTACTAATATTTGGTAAGAATTATTGTATTCCCTTTGTTGTTGTGAAAGATACTAGTTTCTGGTTCTTATCTCTTGTAAATTTTTAAGATTTTTTTCATCAAGGTAATGCTGGAATTATAAAATGTGAGAAAGAAATTCTGCTTTTTAATTTTGCAATGTTAATGTTATTTCTTTCTTAAATATCTGAGAAAACCTCAGCCATGAAGACATCTTGAACTGGAATTTGTGGGAAGAATTTAAATTATGGGTGAAATTTCTTAGTGAATATAAAACTATATTTTTAAATGTCTTCTCATCTCAGTTTTGCTAGCTAACTTTAAAAATAAATTTGTATATTGTATTCAAATTTTAAAATTTATTGCAAACTGGTTATTAATATTATATTTTCATTGTGTTCTTAATATCTGTAGTATTTACAATGAGTTCTCCTCTTTCAGCCGTTAGTTGATTTTTTATATTCACTCATTTTTGCTGATTATTACTAGGTATCCCTCACTATTAAAAATTATTTTCATACAACCAATGTTTTCATCGATAATTTTCTCTTTTATACCCACTTCAGCTTGCTTTTGATTAGTGCTACAATGGAAATTTTTTTCTAGTCTTTTATTAAAACTTATTTTTATCTTTATATTTTAAGTGTGTTTTTGTTGGCAAAATATGGGTTAGTCTTGCTTCCTTCTTTTTAATCCAATGTGCCAATTTCTGCCTTTTAACTTGGTGTTTAAACATGTGTATTTAATATGATTATAGACATGGTTAGGTTTAGGTCTATAATCTTGCTGTTTAATTCCTAAATTTACTTTTTTCTCCTTCTTTTTCTTTCTGAGATTTTTTCATTTTAATAACCCCACCTTATTATTTGTTAGATTTGTAGCTGTTTGTTCCATCACTTTAATAGTTATTTTAGGATTTATAGTTATATAACTAGCATAGTAGGATTTATAGGAATATTACTGTAAATTATTGCTATCTTTAAGTGGTATCTTATCAGTTCACACGTAATGTAAGACCCTTATAGTATTATATTTTCATTTATCTTCCCCATCTTTTCTTTCATTGTTGCCATACATTTCACTTTTACATATTATAAATCCCGCACTACAATGTTAATTCATTTACACATATATTTATATTTTAAACAGCTCTAAATAATTAGCCAAAATCTTATAAATTTAGTTGTGTGATGATTATTTCCAATGTCCTTTATTCCTTTGTGTAGATCACATTTCTGTATGTTATTTTGCTTTTCTGCCTGAAGAACTTTCTTTAACATTTATTGTAGTGTGTGTTAGCAAGTGATTGGTTTGTCCCTTGTATGCCTCAAAACTCTTTATTTACTCCTTAAAAAAAACGCACTTTGGGGATAGCATTCTAGGTTGGATGTTATATTTTTCTTTTCAGTACTTTGCAGATGCTATTCCATTGTCACCTTTCTTGTGTTGTTCTAACAAGTAATAACCGATCATCCATTACTTCCTTCTGCATATAAATTTTTCTTCTGTTGATTCTTTAAAAATTGTTCTCTTTATCACTGGTTTTGAGCAGTTATGATATGAACCCTAGTATTTTTGTTTCTTTGTTTTGATTCTTTGGTTGGAATTTTTGTTGGGGTTCTTTGTTGTATGGAGTTGTAGTTTTCATCAAATTTTGAATATTCTTGGTCATTTTTTTCTTTCAAATAGATATCGTTAGCTTCAAGTTTCTACTCTTCTCTCTTTTCTAGGACATGGATTACTTTAAGTGTAGTAGGGCCCTTAATCTTGTCTCACCATTAACTAATACACTGTTCATTCTCTGTCGTCTTTCTGCTTCATTTTGAGTAGGTTCTATTATTATAACTTCAAATTTTCTTCTTCTGAAATGCCTAATGTGTTTCTGACCCCATCCAGTAACTTTTTTGTCTTAACATATGGTAGTTTTTATTTTTATAAGTTAAATTATTCTTTTAAAATGTATTGTAAGTTTCTACTTAATTTTTTGAAAGTTAGAATAACTTTTGCTAATAACTTTTGATGTAATTCTAATATTTATGTAATATCTAGTTCAGTTTTAATTGATTTAATTGATTTATCTCAGCATGGGTTGGATGTTCCTATTCCTTTTCTTAAATGATCAGATTTTTTGGTTTGCAGACGTGAATTTTACATTTTTGATGAATGAATGTTTTTGTATTATTACAAATGTTATTGATTTTAATTATTGGATACAGCTTACTTTTAAATAGGCTGATCATTTTAGATTTTACTATTATGATACGTTAGTCAACGAAGACAGCAAAGCTCTGTCTGGGGCTAATTATTCTTCATTACTAGAAGACTTTCTTGAATATTCTACCAAATGTCCTTTGAATCTTGAAGTTTTCCAGTATGGCTATGGGAACAGTCAGTATCCCTGTATGGATGCTGTTCATTGTACTCTATATTATTTGGGAGTTTTCTTTTTTCAGGCCTCACGTATGTACTGTTAATACTGTGCTTAATGTTTGAGGGGTCTCATTGCAGATCTGTGGAGTTCTCTCTCAGTGTAGCTCTCTCTTACTCATTTCTGCCAAGTCTATCCACCTTGGTCTTCTTACATCTCAGCACTGTATTCTTAACTCAAGGAGCTCTCTTGGATCTCCCTGGATTCCGCAGCCTGCATTGATGCCTGGCTACTCTTTTCAGGCAGTGTCCTTAGTTAAAATATGGCTCACATTGATTTTGTTTGTTTCTTATTTCTTAGCAATCACTGTTTTTCACTGCTGGAAATCTGTAACTGGAAAAAATCAGTGTTTTAAATATTTTGTCTGTTTTTCTTTTTTTTTATTATTATACTTTAAGTTCTAGGGTACCTGTGCACAGCGTGCAAGTTTGTTACATATGTATACATGTGCCATGTTGGTGTGCTACACCCAACAACTCGTCATTTACATTAGGTATATCTCCTAATGCTATCCCTCCCCCCCTCCCCACCCCACAACAGGCCCCAGTGTGTGATGTTCCCCTTCCTGTGTCTAAGTGTTCTCATTGTTCAATTCCCACCTATGAGTGAGAACATGCGGTGTTTCGTTTTTTGTCCTTGCCATAGTTTGCTGAGAATGATGGTTTCCAGCTTCATCCATGTCCCTACCAAGGACATGAACTCATCATTTTTTATGGCTGCGTAGTATTCCATGGTGTATATGTGCCACATTTTCTTAATCCAGTCTATCATTGATGGACATTTGGGTTGGTTCCAAGTCTTTGCTATTGTGAATAGTGCCACAATAAACATACATGTGCATGTGTCTTTATAGCAGCATGATTTATATTCCTTTGGGTGTATACCCAGTAATGGGATGGCTGGGACAAATGGTATTTCTAGTTCCTGATCCTTGAGGAATCGCCACACTGTCTTCATTTTGTCCAGAAGGTAAACCTAATCACCATCACTCTGTCTTATCTGGAAGCTGAAATCTCATGTATAGTATTATAGTCTTTAGTCTCATTAAATTTATAATTGGGAATGTGGACCTTATTTACATGCCTGGAGCAGGAAATCAAATTGTTATATATTTATGAAAGACTAATTAACTCTCTTTCCTACTGTGGTTATTATTTGAGTCTTCTGAAACCTTCTTTAGAGATTTGATTTATTAAGAGGAATAACCAGTGAGAGGTAACAGGAAATGTTTACTGCCTTTCATGCCCTGGGCTATAAAATTATAGATTCGACACCAAGTAAAGATATATACAACCTATGACACAAGATCTGATCACAAATAATGTTTTTAATGTTTATTGAGAGATACATCTTTTCAACAGTGATTTGTGTGAACATTGAGCACTGTTACCTCAAATATTTTTGCATAGTTCTTTGTCAGCTCGAAATAATCTCTTCACATGCATGAACTAATCAGTATGCAGCTGAAAAATACATAGAGACCCTCTACAGAGTTATGCATATTCTTTCTGGGCATGCCTCTCTTCTGTAATATGCTGCACTGTGAACTCTAGATGCTTCGTCTCCCTACATTTCAACTCAGAGTGTCCACTCACCTTTGCCAAGATTTCCCCTTCCCATGTATTGACCTTAAGAAAATAAACTGGAGTAATTATGGAGCTCATTTCATTTGTTTCCTGTTGCTCAAGAGTAACTACCCTTCATAGCTAAATGGTCAATTTATTGTATATTATTTTTATATCCAATATGAAAATATTTTATATGCAATATAAAAATAATATGCAATAAATTGACCATCCAGCAATGAATGTATATGTATTTATTTGGTTGTTTCATCAGGCAGATGAAGGTAAATCTAGCCTCTATTACTTCATCATTCTGTAAAGAGGAAATCCCAGCACAGGATTTAATTATAATATCTTTATTATCATTTAGTTACTTTTTTCTAAATCCTATTTTGATAACTTGCATTTGGGCTATTTAGAAGGCTGTTTTGCTATTTTAAAATAGTTAAGAATTTTATTTTACATTTGCTTATTGATTTATATGTCAAGTACACTATGCCATGTAGGATTTTAAGATTTTAACTTGAAATTTATTGGTAATTGCATTATGGAAAAGCATATTATTTTATTTTGGTAAACAGGCCCTGTGCACTTCAAGAGAATGTGTAATTTGCACTTCCTGAGTGTCAACTAATTAATATCAATTAAATAAACTTTACTTTTTTTTAATATCATCTATACACTAGCAATTGTTTAATTGCTTTATCAATTAATGGGAGAATTGTATTAACGTGTGGATCTGTGTTTATAACTTGGTAAACTCTTGGTTTATATGTTTAAGTCTTGTTATTCAATGTACAATAACATTTTAGGATTAATATCTTAGGATTCATTTATATATTTAGTATATAAATTAGTTTTTTATCATTATGAAATATCTGGTGGTATTTTATCCTTCCTTTTTTACAGTAAATTTTTATTCTTCGTATTTTTACCCTTTATGCACACATATATTTAAAGTATGTCACTTTCAAGAGGGATGTAATTTTACTTTTTAACCAGTCTAACAATCACAAGCTTTTAACGGAAGGATTTCATTCATTCATATTTACTGTAACTATTAACATATAGAGATGAAATTCTACCATTTTATTAAATGATTTATATTTGTACCACCTTGTTTTCACATTTTTAAATTTTTTAGATTAAAAAAGCATTTTAATATTTTTAATATTAAATTTTAATGTTTTTTTATTTTAATATTTCTTCCATTTCTCCATTATCATTTGCATATTTATTTCTTATTGTTATGTCACTTTCATATATTTTTGACTTGTAAGAGTCTATCTTGAATATGTAGTTTAGTTACCTCAGAAAATGCAAGGATTTTCCTAAGCAATACTGCTTAACATCTTTTTCAGAGGTAAAGCCATTTATTGATAGATAAAACAAGATAGAGACATAATTGTACAATACCGAATTGTTTCCATGTTGGAGTTTCCAACTTTACGCATGTACAGTCACGCCACATTTTTTTATCTCAACAGATGATACCCCAATTTTTTCTGCTTTACTGCTTTTAGAGATAAATAATTTTATGTTATTTCCAAAATTAAAGTGTCCCAAATTTATACAAAGTTCCAACCCTGAAGGAGGTGCCACATTATCAATGAAAAGATCTGTGATTACTGTGTTGTAGAGATGAATCTTGTCTGGATTTTAAATAATAATAGATAAGTTTTTGCAAAAAGAAATACTAGTAAGTAAAAGTGATAGTAACAATAACCACAATATGAGCTTGCAAATATTTTTGAAGTAGAAAGTAAGAATTATTTGGAGAATAGAAAATGTTACTGAAAAGTTGTTATATAGGTGAATTGTTAGAGGCTTCAAATAATATATAAAAATGCAATTTATGGAACATTTAGTAGGTACTCATGTAAGAATTATGAACAAAAATGTGTGCACACATTTATTTTTTAATAGACAGTAATCTAGGAATTTACTACTATACTTTAAAGTCAAGTAATGAAAGATTAAACTAAAGAAGTAAAATGAAAAGCAAGACTTGTCATTTGAAAGAATGATGAACATTTATTTATTGGAAGGATAAAACGTAGCCCAATGGAGTAGTCTGTTGTGATTTCAAAGTTTTACACTCAAGTTAATGGTAATTAGACAAGAAGCATAAAAGAAAAAGTCAATTTGTGGGGAGAGGAAACTAAATTTTAATTTGCACATGTATAATTTTAAATTTCAATCATTGATGTAAATGATGGTTTCAAGCAAGTTTTTGGATAAACAAGTCTGAAGAGATTATAAAAGGAACCAGTTGTGATGAATTCACCACTGAAGCTATGAATGGTTATATGGAATTACTGTGGGTGGAAAAACTAGATAAATTTTTTTTTAGAATTTAGGAAGAAGTACCAGAAAAGATGACTCAAAACTATCAGAAAAGAAAAGCAGCAAGAATAGTGGCTTCCAGAAAAATGCATTTTTGATCATTTCATTAGCATTCTGTCTCTTAGAATGTTAATGTTGTCATATAAATTATTTTGGCATATGTGGTTAGTGCTAATTTGAAAAAATCTGTGATGCTACTTATAAAAGCATAATTTGATTAGATTAAGAAATAATGTTTTTGTTGCATAGTATTTCCACTTGTTTGATCAGATTATCATTACCTATTAAGCAAACTGTAATATAGAAAACTACACCATGGGAACGTTTGAGTAATGCATGAATGTTTTTTTTTTTTTGGAGACAGAGTCTCACTCAGTCCCCAGTCTGGAGTGCAGTGGCGGGATCTCAGCTCACTGCAACCACCGCCTCCCAGGTTCAAGCGATTCTTCTGTCTCAACCTCCTGATTAGCTGGGACTACACACGCCAACATGCCCAGCTAATTTTTGTATTTTTAGTAGAGACGGGGTTTCACAATGTTGGCCAGTATGGGCTCGATCTCTTGACCTCCTAATCCGTCTGCCTTGGCCTCCCAAAGTGCTGGGATTACAGGCATGAGCCACCGTGCTTGGCCATGAATATTTTTACATGCCTATTTTATCCTTTCCATATGTAGCTGTATCTGCTTTATGAAAGGGCTATTGTGATGTTATATGATATATAATTTTTCTAACAGATTATCATCATTCAGTGTATGTCATCTTCTTTATTTTGTGAAACTTTAAATTAATTTTCTATCACTGAAAACATTTTATTCATGATTTTCCTGTAGGAGATTTTGGTGGTGGTTTCAAAAATTCAAGCTGTAATTTCTTCAAGATTTAGTGAATTGAACTAAGAATTTTATTATTTGTGAATGCTACATTGTAGGCTGTACACTTGAGGTTACTAACTTTTGACAATTCCTGTGCCTATTTTTTTTCCAAACTGTAACTCAAAGAATTCTGCATTTATCACTCAGATCCACTTATTTCACAGGCTGGATTAAAGATGATAAATCAATGGCCAAAACTGCATTCTCTAAGTTTTCAACAATCTGGATTTGAAAGTATAATTCTATTTTCTTCAAATATATTGAAAGTTAAAATTCCTGTTAAAAAATATTCCTAGACTATTGTACGGGTATCCATGCTGACTTTCTTTGACCTTTGCATGTATCTTGGGATGCGTATAATGCTTTTTGAGGTTTTGTTTTTTGAGGTAATATGGAAACCAATTCTGTACTTAGTAATGTGTACAGTTATTTCTTAATCAAGTCCATAAATGGCTTTCCCTTTTTAAAATAATGTTAAGGAGTTGCTGAAGAAATATTTGTTCTTACATGTATTTATTAGTTTGGTGGAGTTTTTTTTTTCTCACAATATCTACCATATCCAAACCATTCCATAGTTTTTATAAATCTTTTTATATGCATATTATACTGATATACATACAGTTTATTAATGCTATGTAAGTAAAGTATTATGTTAAACTAGTTTGAGCTCAAACTCTATAAACTTTTGGTCAGAAAGCAACAAGTTCAGATGAAATAAAGAGTAGTCTACTAGTATATGCACTAGTCAGTATGTTTTACAAGTTGAATTGAGGCTATTGATTGAATGAAATTAGTTTGGTTGAGGTCACTTATTTCTGATTTTATTAGTGGTGATAAAAATTGGTAGCTTCAAGCTCCTCAGTGAAAGCAACAAGATAACACTATGTAGGTAACGTGGTGTGTTAGATAAAGAATAGAGTAAGAAAAAGAATTACCGATATCATAGGTAGTCATAGTGGTAATGATCAAATTAATGACCCTTACAATTCTGTGGTGGAGGATTCCAGTTTCCTGTAGAGTGATAAGTACAGGTTGCAGTGAACAGAGGAAATGAAAGGGAGCTGTTAATGAGGGGACATCTGCTTCCTTAAAAACTTGGCTCAGATAGTGCTTAGTGCATCCTCACTAGGGAAATAAACCATTGCTTGAATGATAAATATCTGTATGTATTTGGAGGAGGCAGGTGGGTCATCGTTCAGCAATTCCAGTTGCTACACCGATGAATATGGGAGGAGAGTATAAGTAAAAATGTTTAATTTTTGCATTGTTGATGATACCTTGCCAGTCATCTTCTGGTAACAACAGAGAAGCAAGCTCATTATTTCTTGCATGCCAAATGTAAAGAAAATTTTTCTGACTCCTTTTTCATCCTTGTTTTGCTTCATTTGGATAGGCCAGTGGCTGGTTGGATAATGTACACTCTTACAACAGCACCTTGTCGTTCATCTTGAGATAAATGCTTTCTGTAAATTTTCGCGTTTAAATGAATGCAGCTGCCTTCCTGTTGCTTTTGTTCTCAGGGAATTGACTGTTTGTTTATTTTATTCTCCTAGCAGAGGTATAATGTAACCTTTTAAATACTGGAACCTCCCTACTGTCAGAGAATAGAAATAGTCACCCACTCTTTTAAGGAAACAACTTCTTTTAAAAATGTATTTTAAAACTCTTTTCGGTGCAATTTTATTAAAAATCTCTGTGCCATTCCTGAGTAAAAAATACCTCATCTTTTGATTCAAAAGAGGGGCTGGTTTCAGAATATGAAGAAATTGAAATCAAAATTGTTCTCTTTACGTGGATCTGACATTTTAAAATAAGTATATGTACAAATCATTATACAGTTTCAATGTATGAAGTATATTTACCCATTAGTAGTTAATGAGCTAACCCTTGATCTAATTCATGATGCAAGCACATATTTTAAAAGGAGTATAAATATTTTAAATTTATATATTTTTATGTGTTGTTATGTATAACAAAAAGAACTTCAGTAGATATTAACTTTTAACAATGATGTTCTTAGATAAAAGGTATAAAGTTTCAAGAAAGCAGCTGACTTTATCTGAACTGTATCTCAATTACAGTCAGTATATTGATATTATATTCATAAATAATACATATAATATATCAATATACATATTCATATCAGGCTTTACCTTTGCATCTTGACCTTAGAAAAGGTTCCGTTGGACTGAAATGAAACCAAGAGAATGTTAAGGGTTCTTGAATTATAGAGATTAATATACTATAGGTTGGGACCGCCCAGGGCTTCAAATAATTCTCATGTGGTACATATCATCAAGGGGAACTAATCAGAAATCCTAGACTTGTTGCCTACATAGTTTGGGTTAATGGTGTCAACCCTATAGCCAAGGTTAGCACATGTTTTCTCCAAAATGGTTAATTAACAACAATTGTTAAAGTTAATATTTGGGGTCTTTGAGCCAGATACAGTGTCTGTTGCATAGTCTTTTTTTTTTGTACAACATTTTTAAATCTAAAAACCACTATTAGATATTGGACCATAAACTATAGGCCATGGGCAGAATTTGGCCATCTGTAGAGTTAAAACTCACTCCTGGTTTGTAGGAACACTGATGAGAAAAATACAGATGAATTCTGAAACAGCAAAAGTGGTTTAGGAAATACAACAAAATTGGGTATGGAAAAATAATTTAAACCTCAGTGCTGATAATTATCAGAAGGATAGAAGGAGAATGCTTCCTTGTTTGAGAATGTTGACAGGATCAAGAACTCTTGAAGAACACCTTGAAAAGTGTGGGTAGATATGAGGGGTGACACATGAAAGATACTATTAAAAAGTCATTATCTTTGATTTGGTGTTATAAAGAGAACAAAACCACTTATTAGGGGAAAAAACAAATCATTTTTTTGGTATGATCAGTTCAGGTATTGGTGTCTTGGCCGGTTGTAGACTTATCACATATAAAATTCTTAACTGCTATTTTATAGGCATATTATAAACTAAAAGGCGGGGAAATTTCAATGAAGAAAGAGTTATGTATGGTTGAATTTTTAAAGGAATTATTTTTCAAAAGGGAGATAGAGATGAACATTGAAAGATTATACTACTTAAAACTGCAGCTTCTAGAATAAAGCCTGCTAACAATTAGACATTTCAGATAGCCTGTACCTATATTAATTGGTTTCCTTATGAATAGAATGTAGCAGCAAGAGGTAAAGGTATGGTAATCCAAGCAAAAGGGTAGCATGGGTATAAGCACAAAATGGAATTCACAAAAAGTGGAGATGGTCTTTAATACCTTTGGGGAAGTAGGAGGAGTGTTGGGGCAACACTGGGTCTAGTTAGGTTCACAAGCAGATAGAAGACTAAGGAAAGGAGTGGGAAGAGCTCTCCCTTTCCTTTCACACTGACAGTCCTCCTGTGCGGTCAGGGCCTCACCTGTATTGTTAAAAGGGGAGATGTCCAGACATTTTACGTCACACAAAATAAATTTATTTATGCAACTCTTGGTGGGCTATTGACTGCCAATATTTGGACTACTGTAGCTGAGGTATTATCCCTATTTGAGAGTAAAAAAGACAGATAATATTACAGTATGCACAGGAAGATATCTTCCTACTTTTAATGTCAACTAGTGAAAACTTTATTTGCATTTCGGTTGCTTAATGACAAGAAAACACAGTGCTTATTCTTCTTGGAGCCATACTGTGGTCAACTAGTCCCTCCAGACACAATTCTCTAATCCTAGTTAACCCCTCCTCCTGCATCATGGGTCATGTATTCTTCATTCCCCCCACTTCTTAGCCCCAGGATTTCTTATTTGTCCTTGTAGGGAGAGAGGAATCTGGATTTTCCTCTCTTTCACTGAAAATTTACCGCTAATCGTGTAAACTTTGGCTGTAGATTCCCAGGCTCTTCTGATCCCCAAATCTTTATTTTTTCTCCCAGACTAATGGTCTTTAGGTCCTTAAAACTGAAAGTTTAACAAAAATTCAAAGTGGAACTAGACTTTTTTTTTGTTCACATGTGTCTATAATAACAAACTTTTATTGAAGACAATGTATGTAGAAAGCCTTTACTGTTCCTTATGTGAAAATAGTGGGGCAGGAAACAAAGAGTAAAGACCTGAAAAATTATGTTGGGAAACAACACAAACAATTTAATATAAAATATGTCCCCAATACATAAATTAAATAACAGCGAGTCATCTGGCTTGATCCTCTTGTTAAGCACATGTAGAGAAATAGTAACAACTGAACCTGAAATGAGTAATTGAGGCTATAAAGTTAAAAGTGTCATACAAAGGAATCTCTGCTCCTCTTATTTTGACGGGTTAGAAATAATTGTTAAACGTTTTCAAAAATAAGCAAGATTTGGTAAGTTTCTTAAAAATTTGATTAACTAAGCACAAATAAACTCAGAAAATAAGGTGGGTTGGAATGACAGAAGAGGAAAGGTAGAATGTGATATTGAACATGCTCACTGACCTCATTCAATTTCAGCTGGTGCCAGGTATCCCAGCAAAATTATTTACTTTTACCCTAAAAACATACACCAGTTATTAATGATAAGTTTTTTCTATCCTAATTTTTAAACTATTTAAATGGTTGTCATATTATAGAGCGCTGGAGTTAAAAATGCAATGACAAGAACAGATGGATAAAATTTATTAAGCTATTTGATTTTCTTAACAGCAAGGTGAATCTTATGGATTAATGCTTCCCTATTTAATTCATAGGATATGGAGTAGCAGAACAGTGTGTGTGTGTGTGTGTGTGTGTGTGTGTTTTCCAATAACTTGTGCTTCACTTATTGATATGGTGGTACAATAAATTAAAGTCGAATTTCTGTTCTAGCATTTATTCTTCAATGTTCATTCTAATTGGAATAAATATTTCTTCCATGTTCATGAGATGAAGCAATTATTCCTCAAAAATAAATCAAAAAGATTTCTCTAGAGAAGCCATCCTTGACCTCTGCAAATAAATTTCAGAGCTCCTTCGTCCTGTGATCTCTGTACCAAATACATTCTTTGATCATTAAGCTTCTGACATTGTTCTATAATTTATTCCTTTTTTCTATTTCTGCACCTTAATACATAGTAAGTTCCTGAAACGGACTGCTTTTCTTTTCATCCCAGGATTCCTGGTGCCTGACAATGTGTCTGACCCACACATTTTTTGAAATAATTTCTATCAGTTTAACTGAATGTATTTGAGAATTTTCATAGCAAGTAGCCAACTAATTGGAAAATAAAACCTGACTAATTTTGAGTACATCCACTTGCAATACTTTATGATTTGCAATAAGGCGCTTTTCTAAATTGATTCATTAAATTAGCTATCAGAATGTGTGGACTTTTATATTACCCCAATATATTATTAACTATGTTTAAAAGTTTATTTTAAGCATTCTTAAAAAATTTAATCAATCATATTTACAATCCATTTGCAAAAAACCTTTTGTTTGAGAAAATAAATATTTTTATGAAAAATTGCCTAATTCTAGATGCAGCATATGCTTGTATAGATTAACATTAAATTAATGGTAACAATACTTAACATGAGTTCTATCCTTTTAACAAAATTTTAAGTGCACAGTATAGTATTGTTAATTATAGGGATGATGTTGTACAGCAGCATTTATAGAATTTGTTAATCTTCATAACTAAATTTACTCTGTTGAACAGCAACTGCCCATTTTCTCTCCTCAACAGTCCCTAGCAAACATTGTTATACTTTCTGTTTCCAAGAGGTTGACTACTTTAAATATCTCATTTTAGTGATATTATGTACTATTTTTCCCTCTGTTACTGGCTTATTTCACTTAATGTTCTACAAGTTCATTCATGTTGTCACCTATGGGAATATTTCTTCCTTCTTTTTAAAGACTAAATAATATTGCATTGTATGTGTATACTACATTTTCTTTAACTATATATCTTTCAGACATTTAGATTGTTTTCGTATCTTGGCTATTGTGGATAATGCTGTAATAAACATGGGGGTTCAAATATCTCTTTAATATTTTGATTTCAAATCCTTTGGAGTATACCCAGAAGAGTGGGATTGTTGGATCATATGGTAGTTCTATTTTAAATTATTGGAGGAACTTCCATACTGTTTTTAATAGTAGCTGCACCATTCTTCATTCTCCTTAAAAGTGGATACCAATTTCTTCACATCTTTGATAACACTAATTGTCATATATATGTGTGTGTATATATATATGTGAAAGTTCTTCAAAAATTAATTCATTATTTTTTCTTTTTAATTACTTAACAATTATAAAGACATAGAAGTTTCCCGACCTTTTAGGTAATATTTTTAGTACAATTCTTAGGGGAAAATGGTTTGTAAGATGCTATCCTTCATTTTTATTCTGAAAAGATGAATTCATATCTCTTTTCCTTATACTTCTAACAT
This sequence comes from Homo sapiens, assembly GCF_000001405.40. Lineage (NCBI taxonomy): Eukaryota > Metazoa > Chordata > Mammalia > Primates > Hominidae > Homo > Homo sapiens. The sequence continues at coordinate 11,655,478 of NC_000009.12, forward strand.
TTTTATTTATAAGGTATCTCATTTACTAAGATGTTATTTGGTTTCTTTTTTGTTTTGCATTTACACATTTCTTAGCATGCCCTGCATAGAATAGATGCTCGTAATTTAATATTTTCTCAAAGATCAGATGTTAATATCTATTGTGGGTGATTTGTTTCTTCAACTACATATGACTTAAAGGAGAAAAATATGGCTGAATGTTTAAAATATATCTTTAGAAATTAGCATTGAGAAAAGTTTGTTACTATTTTATAGAAACATTGATAGTAGTTTTTCCAAAGGATAAAAAAGTTAATAAAATTTATAATTTTTTCATAAATTAAACCAAATTAATATAACACTTTTAACTTTTATTAATATTACAAATTGCAATTTTATTTTTGTAATATACCACTCAATAGAGAAATCAACAAACAAGCTCACAGATTTTCTGGACATGATGTTTGTCAGAGTAATGAGTAAATGGTTAGCATCATAATATATAGAAATTCCCCCCACATTTACAAAAATTAATTTGTTGTCAAAATGTCATCAAAATATGAATGAAGCCTTTAATTTACAAGCTCAGGGACAAGTGGTAGCAAGATATGAAATTAATCTGTGAAATATTACAGGTTGCAAACAGATACAGTCTGAAATATAAGCAGATACAATCTGGAATAAACATTTTTTAAAAAGCATAAGAGTTTTTCCCTGCATTGAGAAAGCAAAAGAAAATGGTCTACCTAATTGAATAATTAGCATATTAAAAAGTGCCAAAATGTATTATGGAATTTTTTGAGTCAAATATACTATGTATTACTAAATAAATACTCTCAAGGAATCATTCATTGTACATAACACGTTGTCTGTATGTAAGTTATCTATGCAGACAAAAGAAGCCTTGTGCTTTGTGCATATTCCAAAAATATAGTATATGGTATGATTTTGTTCAAGTAAGCAGAAGAAGACAAACAGAAAGAGGATTGAAATTGTTACTGTTATTAACAGGCTTGCTCTCTCAATTAGTACAGTACGAAGCCTTAACTTGTGTCAAGATCACATATTGTTGCTGTTAATCTTCTTGTTTTCACCACCTAATTCTGTGGTCAAATAGGTTCCATTTTTATTTACATTGTGCAGACTTATAAATTCCTCATGATGATGTCTCAGAACCAGATTCTACAGATTCAGCTTGGATTTTTCATCACTTATTGCAGTAGATCTCCATTAATGGAGTGAACCAAACTGCAGTCAAACTAACAGAGGGACATAAAGCATATGTACAACAACATTTAATGACAGGCCCAGAAATGATTGTGGGGAGGCAGTCTTCTTTAATATACATTTTACTGCCACAAATTGATCTGGATGACAAGTTCAATTTAAAACCAATGTTTTTTCAGAATCTTTATGACTTTTTCATAGGCCAGCCATTTCAAATGATTGACAATAAGTTTTCAAAGTGGTTGGTGCCCTGGCTTTAGTGAAAACCGTGATGTAATGAGACAGCAGTGATATCTCAAGCTCTAATCTTTCCTTAGACGCTTTCTGGCTTTTCCACAGTACGTTATATAGTGTCTCAATGAGAAAGTCAAGAGTCTAAGAATATGCTTTGATTTATTTCCTGTAACTGTGATTCTAAAGACTAAAAGAAAAAGATCAGAGAGAGAGAAAGTAAATATATGTCACACAGCAAATACCTAAGAAGCAGTGTTCTCAGAACTTCTTGGAAGACTCATAGTCTAATTGTCAGACTCTATTTGCTAGAACTTCATTGAGTAGCATGTGTGGCAGTTGGGAAGGCTTGGGATGAGAGCAGATATTCCAGTCCTATTGATGCAAAACAACCCAAAGATAGTGAAATAAAATAACAACCAGTTTATTATGCACAGAGATTCTGTGGCTTAGGAATTCAGACAGGGCAAAATGGAATGCCTGGACCCTTCTATACATGTTTTAGACTGCAGTTAAGAGAATTGAATTAGTTGAGGATGACGTGAACATTTGTGGCGTAGAGTTATCTGAACATTTTTATACTCGTGTGTCTAGTAAATTTGTCCTGATGATATGAAGGCCATTCTTAGCTGGGTCTGTCACCCAAGGGTTCACAATGGGGTTGAAGATGGTTGAAAAAGAAATAATTAGGTAGTGGTTAAAACAAAAACCTGATTAAAACCTGGTGTCTATATTAAGACTGTCATAGAATAGCAAGTGCTAAACCCATAAGGATTATTAATTATCAGTGTACAGGAAGAACCTTGGTATGGCTGGGTAGATGCCTAACATGAATATAATGCAAAATAAAAATAAAAAAAGTAGAGCGAGTTAAAAAGTAAGACATGCAAATTTAAACTTAGAGATAAAGCACGTGAATAATTACTGAATAAACAAAATAGAAAATAATGCACAGATGGTCAGAACAAATGTATTTAGGAACCAAGGACCAGATAAATTATTCTAGAAATGAATTTGTGTTCGTCTTATATATACATACTTAGTGTTCTCATAGTTATACCTTAAAGACAATTGGCAATTGATGACATTGATAACACTTCTGTGAAGACATATATTTATAGAAATCTTCAGTGCAGAATCAGGGACACAATTGCTAGGTTTTTGGAAGGAAATGTGTTGCAGAAATGGGAGTACACTCTTCCAACATTAAATACCAAAGGTAAATATATAGAAGAGCATTAATTATTCATTTATGGAAAATATTATTTATATAGCAGGTCTCAGATATTAGATGATGCTGGCAAATCTATTTCATTCAGAAATAATATTGAGTGCCTGTTAAATACAAGGCATTATGAAAAAACTCAGCAAAAATAACAAGATGATATCCAGCCACATCCAGTCATACACACTCAGCTTATGCACACACACACACACACACACACAACTTGCAATTTAGTAATGTTAATTTAAAAAGTGTACACACATTTAAAATTTTCAATAAATATGTAATACATTATTGTGATTAGGAGATATGCTATTTTTTAAACACATACATCTTCATATATTGTGTGTATATATAGGCCTATGTGTATATATGTAGTATATAGTGCATATAGTATATATGTATATAGGTGTATATGCAATATACCTGTATAGACTTATATATGTATATACCATATGCACAATATACTATATAGTATATACATATATGTGTATATCTGCACTATATTACATATGTGTATATATGTTACATATATATGTGTATAGTACATTACATATAAGCATAAATATATTTCAATAGAGATGCCTAGGTAGGTAGAAAGATTTAAATAGCATGTATTGCCTGAGTGTGGTGTCTCATGCCTGGTAATCTCAGCATTTTGGGAGGACGAGGTGGGCAGATCACTTGAAGACAGGAGTTCAAACCAGCATGGCCAACATGGTGAAACCCCATTTTTACTAAAAATACAAGAATTAGCCAGGCATGGTGACGCATGCCTATGGTCCCAGCTACTCAAGAGGCTCATGCTGGAGAATTACTTGAACCTGGGAGTTGGAGGTTGCAGTGAGCCAAGTTCACGTCACTGCATTCCAGCCTGGACGACAGAGTGTGCCTCTATCTCAAAAAAATAAATAAAAATAAATTTAAAAAAATAATAAAATAGCATGTATCTTAATCATGATGAAGCATTAGGTATTGATAGTAAAATCATGGGAGATGGAGAACAAAGATAGGGAACAAAGTTGTTCCCTGTTAACAACTTTACATCCCTTTAAAAACGAACTTTTTATATGAAATTCAGCATTATTTAAGATTCAGCAAGTTTATTTTTGAGTGATTGTATGTCATTCTAAAATAACAACATAATTTAATAGAAAAACCAAATAACAAATGTCTCTTTCTACCTTTCACATCATTTACCTAACAAGCAAGTGGATAAGTATTAAAATATGTAAGTTTTAAAAATTCTAGTCATAAAATCATAATGGATGGGGAAAGCACTTCCAGAATTTTAGACTAAATTCTCCAAAATTCTGATCCTCATTCCTAAAAGTAACAAGAACACTAGCAAAAATTGCCAAAAATAACTTCCAAACTCTGGAAATCAACCAGATTTGTAAAGGAGTGTTTGTTCAGTGAAACAGGTAAATCTCAACAAGAATAGTGAGCTTCGTGACATTTTATCTTGTCCTATTCCCATCACGTTTTTTTTTTTTTTACAGTCCTTGAGTAGATTTAAAAATCAGCATCCTCAGCTGGGCGCTGTGGCTCACGCCTGTAATCCCATCACTTTGGGAGACCAAGGCGGGCAGATCACCTGAGGTCAGGAGTTCCAAACCAGCCTGGCCAACATGGTAAAACCCTGTCTCTACCAAAAAAAATACAAAAATTAGGTGGGTGTGGTGGCAGACGCCTGTAAGCACAGCTACTCAGGAGGCTGAGGCAGGAGAATTGCTTGAACTTGGGAGGGGGAAGTTGTTGTGAGCTGAGATAGTGCCATTGCACTCCAGCCTGGGCGACAAGAGTGAGATTCTGTCTCCAAAAACATAAAAAATAAAAAAAAATCAGCACCCTCAAAAACCAGCAGCTTTGCAGGCACTGGGAAAAAAGAAGAGAATCAATTTGGAGCGGTGCAAAATGCCTCATTCTCAAATAATTGTTACTCTTTTACATGTCTGAAGGCCTTCTGAACAACCTTCATTCACAGAGCTTGAATTTATTTTACCTAGACCTGAAATTTTTCAGTGGAAAAAGATATTTGCATATTTGTCAAAAAGTCAGCAACAATTATTTAGCATCACTACTGCCTGAGGTTGCGATACTAATTGGAGCAAACAAGAGACTAGCTGCTGATTGAAAGCATGGAAAAAAAACCTGAGGAAATGGATATTAATAAATGTCTTTGAAAAATCTGCAACATATTCCTGGAAATTTAAAAGGCCAACCAAACGTGTAGGGCTGTGCAAAAGCCCAGAAAATGTATAAGAATATCATAATTGTTCCACTGTGTCCGACCATGAGACATTGTGCAATTGAGAAGTGAATGCTAAGGCAGAGTTATAAATTGGAAGAATGTCGAGTGTGTTCCTCATACAAAGACCTTCAACAAAGTGTAGAGAAAATAACATCCAAACATTAGCTGACCACTAAGCTAACCAATCAAAAACACAACTAGCCACATACATCAAAGAAAACGTATTTTAGGGCATTAGTTCAGGAAAGTCACTAAACAAACAAAAATCAGTCATGACAACTAGCTGCAACAACAGAGCAACAACAAACCCTAGAAAGGAGGAGTATCTAATATCCAGAGTTGACACACTGTAATATTTTAAATGTCTGGTATACAACAAAAATTATTAGAGATGCAAAGAAACAGGAAAGTATTATCCTGTATGTATGCAGAAAAAAACCCAAGCAGTAGGAATTGTCCCTGAGAGGACCAAGAATTTGAACTTAGAAGAAAAGTATTTTAAATAATATATATACACACATGTGTGTGTGTGTGTGTGTGTATGGTATGTAATGTTTATATATGTATGTAGTATATATATGTGGTATGTATCTGTGGTGATGTATATTATATGTGGTATATAATAGGGTATATATATGAGGTATATATATGTTGTATATAATGTGTATAAATGTATATATATATGTGGTTATGTGGTATTTATAAGTTATATATGGTATATAATGTATATGTACTATATATGTGGTAATGTATATATATGAGATATATAATGTATATATATGTGATGTATCTATATATGTGGTAGTGTGGTATATATATGTGGCATATGCTGGGGTAATGTGGTGTGCCTGTGTATATATGTGGTATATATTATAGTATTTATACACACTTTTTTTTTACCCATTGGTTCATTAATGGACACAAGTTGTTTCTATGTATTGGCTATTGTGTATAATGCTGCAATTAGATGGGAGTGCAGGTATTTTTATGAGATGGTGAGTTCATCTTTGGGTTTAAACTAAGAAAAAGGATTGTAGTGTTATACAGTAGTTCTATTTTTAATTTCTTTAGAAATCTCCATACGTTTTCTGTAAAGACTCTACTCATCTACATTTCAATAAACAGTATACTAGGATTTACTCTCCTTCACACACCCACCAACATTTAACACTTGTCTTTTTGAGAATAGCCATAATAATCTATGTCAGGTGTTATCCCCTAGTAGTTTTAACCTGTATTTTCCTGATGATTAGTGAAGTTGGGTACCTTTTTATATATCTGTTGGCCATTTTTATGTCTTCTTTTCAGAAATGTCTGTTCAGGTAATTCTCCCATTTTTAAATCAGGTTATTTGCTTTTCTGCTATTGAGTTGTAAGACATCTTCATACATTTTGGATATCTATTACTTATCAAATATGTGCTTTGCAAATATTTTTTACCAGCCAGTAGGTTGCCTTTTCATTTTGTTGGTTGTTTCCTTGGCAGTACAAAGTGTTTAACATTTGACGTAGTCCTATTTATTTATTTATTCTACTTTTGTTTCTTGAGCTTTTGGTGTAACATCCACAAAACCTTGCCAAAGACAATGTCGAGAAGCTTTTCACCTGTTCTCGTTTAGATGTTTTAGCATTTCAACTTTTACATTTAGGTCTTTTAACCATTTTGAGTTGATACTTGTGTTGGTCCTATAAAGATAAAATAAAGGTCAAATTTTATTCTTTTGTATGTGGAAATCCAGTTTTATCACTACCACTTATTGAAGAGACTATCCATTTCTTATTGTATCCCCTTAATGTCTTTGCTAAACACTAGTGGATCATTTATGTTTGGATTTATTGAAGGATTCTCTATTCCATTCACCTGTTTCCATTTTTATGCCAAAAAACTGTTTTTATTATTATAGGCTTGTAATATTAATATTAAATCAGGAAGTGTGATGCTTCCAACTTTGTTTTTATTTCTCAGTATTGCTTTGGCTATTTAGCTATTTGGCTTTTTATGGTTCCATACAATTTGGAATTATTTTCATTTTTCTATTAAGAATGCCATTAGAATTTGGAGAAGAATTGCATTTAGTCTGTATATTGCTTAGGGTAATTTGGTTATTTTACCAATATTAATTATTCTGATTTATGAACATGAGCTATCTTTCCATTTATTTGTGACTTTAATTTCTTTTATTAATAATTTATTATTTTCAGCATGCCAATGTTTTTACCTGTTTGTTTACATTTATTCCTTTTTTTTGGACGCTATCATCAATCATTTTCTTGATTTCCTATTTTAACTAGTTGTTATCTGTGCATATAAATATGACTGATTTTTATATGTTGATTTTGTATTCTGCAATTGTAGTGAATTTATTTATTAATTCAAATAATTTCTTGTGGATTATGGGGGTTTCCTGCATATAGGACTACATGATCTGCAAACAGGGATAATTTTACTTTACAATTTCCTATTTGGATGTCTTTTATTTATTTATTTTGTCTGATGCTAGTACTTTTCAGTACTGTATTTACTAGAAGTGGCAAGAGTGGGCATTCCTGCCTTCTACTGATTCAGTGGAAAAGCTTTCAGGTTTTCTGTTGATTATTATATTACCTGTTGGTTTTTCATAAATGGCTTTTATTATGTGGGGGATCTTTCCTTCTGTTCGTAAACTGTTCAGAATTTTTGCCAAGAAAGGAGCTGAACTTAGTCAAATGCTTTTTTGTGTGTCAATTTAGATAATCATGTGGTTTTAATCTTTCATTCTGTTAATACAGCACATTGATTGATTTGCATATGATAAACCAGACTTGAATGCTAGGGATAAATGCCACTTGGTCATAACATATAATCTTTTTAACATGTTGTTGAGTTTGGTTTGCTAATATTTTATTGACAATTTTTGCATCAATATTTATCAGAGATTAGGCCTATAGTTTTTGTTTTTGCTTTTTTGTTTTTTTTCTTACAGTATCTTTTGCTTAGGTATCAAGGTGATATGGTCTTCTAAAATGTGTTTGGGAATATTTCCTCTAGCTCATGTGGAAGGGTTTAAGATTGGTAATAATTCTTCTTTGAATGTTTGGTAGAATTCATTCATAAAGCCATCAGTCCTAGGCTTTTCTTTTTTGGAAGGTTTTTAATTACTTTTTAAATCACTTTATTTGTTATTGTTCTGTTTATAGTTTCTATTTCTATTCAATATTGGTAGGTTATATTTTTCTAGGGATTTACTTATTTCCTCTAGGTTATCCAATTCTTGGCAATTAATTCATAATAGTACCTTATGATTTTTTTTTAATTTTGAAGGCATCTGTTGTAATATCTCACATTCATTTTAATTTATTTAAGTCTTCCCTCATTTTATCTTAGATATTCTAGTGAGAAGTTTTTCAATTTTATTTTTTAAAATAAACAACTCAGTTTTATTGATATTTCTATGTCATTTTCTGTCTTTATTTGATATTTGTTCTAATTTTTAATGTTTCCTTTCTTCTGCTAACTTTGGGTTTAGTTTTTCTTTCTCTTTTCTAACTTTTCTAGAAGCATAATGTTAAGCTTTTTCTTTGAAATATTTCTTCTTTTTAAGGTAGTCATTTATTGCTGAAAACTGCACTCTTAGAACTGCTTTTGTTATATCCTATAGATTTTGGTATGTTGTGTTTCCATTGTTATTTGTCTCAATTTACATTTATTTGCCATTTTGATGTTTTCTTTGATCCATTGGTTGCGCAAGAGCATGTAGTTTAATTTTCATATATGTGGTAATTTTCCAAAATTTCTCCTGCTACTGACTTCTAGTTTCACACAATTTTAGTTAAAAAAATGCTAGATTTCATTTCAGATTTCTTGAATTTGTTAATACTTGTTTTGTGGCCTAACATAAGGTCTAACATGGAAAATTTTCATGTATGCTAGAGGAGAATATATATTCTGCTGTTGTTAGATGGACAGTTTTATATATGTCTGGTCCATTTGGTCTAAAGTGCAATTAAATCGAATATTTTCTTGTTAATTTTATGTCTTGTTATTCTATCCATTGCTAAAAGTGGAGCATTTAAGTTCCCTATTATTATTGTATTGCTATCTGTTTCTTCCTTTATATTTACTAATATTTACTTGATATATTTCGGTGCTCTGATGTTGGGTGTGTAAATATTTACTCTTGATATGTCCTCTTGATGAATGGACACATTTGTCATTAAATAATGAACTTCTTTGATTTAGTAATAGTTTAAAATTTGAATTCTATTATATCTGCTATAATTATAGTCATCCCTTCTTTTTTTGGTTACTATTTGCATGGAATATTCTCCTCCATCCCTTTACTTTCAGCCTATGTGTGTCCTTAAACTAAGATGGTTCTGTTGTAGGCAGCATACAGTACAATCATATTTTCTTTAAATCCATTCAACTACTCTGTGTCTTTTGATTGGAAAGTTTAATCCATTTGCATTAAAAAGGATTATTGATAGGTAAGGAATTATTCCTGCCATTTTGATAATTGTCTCTGATTGTTTTTACTTTTTCTTTATTCCTCTATGTTGTATACCTATGTAATTTAGTGATTTTCTGTAGTGCTAAGCTTTGCTTTCTTTCTCTTTCTTATTTGTGCATTTGCTGTAGTTCTACTTGCTTTGGGGCTAACATAAGACTTACATAAAATACAGTTATAAAAGATTATTTTAAGCTGATAACAAATTAACTTTGATCACATGCAAATACTTTAGACTTTTACCCAGTCCTTCACAATTTTTATTTTTGTTGTCTGTCAGAATTCACAACTGTTTGAATTGTGTATTCCTTTTTTTTTTTTTTTTTCAAATTTTAGGGTTTTTATTTTACTTTTTAATAGTTCATTATATTATCTATATTTTATTCTTTTTTTATTATACTTTAAGTTTTAGGGTACATGTGCACAATGTGCAGGTTAGTTACATATGTATACATGTGCCATGCTGGTGTGCTGCACCCATTAACTCATCGTTTAGCATTAGGTGTATCTCCTAATGCTATCCCTCCCCCTTCCTGCCACCCTACAACAGTCCCCTGAGTGTGATGTTCCCCTTCCTGTGTCCACGTGTTCTCATTGTTCAATTCCCACCTATGAGTGAGAATATGCGGTGTTTGGTTTTTTGTTCTTGTGATAGTTTACTGAGAATGATGATTTCCAATTTCATCCATGTCCCTACAAAGGACATGAACTCATCATTTTTTTATGGCTGCATAGTATTCCATGGTGTATATGTGCCACATTTTCTTAATCCAGTCTATCATTGTTGGACATTTGGGTTGGTTCCAAGTTTTTGCTGTTGTGAATAGTGCCACAATAAACATATGTGTGCCTGTGTCTTTATAACAGCATGATGTATAGTCCTTTGGGTATATACCCAGTAATGGGATAGCTGGGTCAAATGGTATTTCTAGTTCTAGATCCCAGAGGAACCGCTACACTGATTTCCACAATGGTTGAACTAGTTTACAGTCCCACCAACAGTGTAAAAGTGTTCCTGTTTCTCCACATCCTCTCCAGCACCTGTTGTTTCCTGACTTTTTAATGATTGCCATCTAACTGGTGTGAGATGGTATCTCATTGTAGTTTTGATTTGCATTTCTCTGATGTGCAGTGATGGTGAGCATTTTTCATGTGTTTTTTGGCTGCATAAATGTCTTCTTTTGAGAAGTGTCTGTTCATTTCCTTTGCCCACTTTTTGATGGGGTTGTTTGTTTTTTTCTTGTAAATTTGTTTGAGTTCATTGTAGATTCTGGATATTAGCCCTTTGTCAGTTAAGTAGGTTGCGAAAATTTTCTCCCATTTTGTAGGTTGCCTGTTCACTCTGATGGTAGTTTCTTTTGCTGTGCAGAAGCTCTTTAGTTGAATTAGATCCCATTTGTCAATTTTGGCTTTTGTTGCTATTGCTTTTGGTGTTTTAGACATGAAGTCCTTGCCCATGCCTATGTCCTGAATGGTAATGCCTAGGTTTTCTTCTAAGGTTTTTATGGTTTTATGTCTAACGTTTACGTCTTTAATCCATCTTGAATTAATTTTTGTATAAGGTGTAAGGAAGGGATCTAGTTTCAGCTTTCTACATACGTCTAGCCAGTTTTCCCAGCACCATTCATTAAATAGGGATCCTTTCCCCATTGCTTGTTTTTCTCAGGTTTGTCAAAGATCAGATAGTTGTAGATATGCGACGTTATTTCTGAGGGCTCTGTTCTGTTCCATTGATCTATATCTCTGTTTTGGTACCAGTACCATGCTGTTTTGGTTACTGTAGGCTTGTAGTATAGTTTGAAGTCAGGTAGCGTGATGCCTCCAGCTTTGTTCTTTTGGCTTAGGATTGACTTGGCAATGCAGGCTCTTTTTTGGTTCCATATGAACTTTAAAGCAGTTTTTTCCAATTCTGTGAAGAAAGTCATTGGTAGCTTGATGGGTATGGCATTGAATCTATAAATGACCTTGGGCAGTATGGCCATTTTCATGATATTGATTCTTCCTACCCATGAGCGTGGAATGTTCTTCCGTTTGTTTGTATCGTCTTTTATTTCCTTGAGCAGTGGTTTGTAGTTCTCCTTGAAGAGGTCCTTCACATCCCTTGTGAGTTGGATTCCTAGGTATTTTATTCTCTTTGAAGCAATTGTGAATGGGAATTGACTCATGATTTGGCTCTCTGTTTGTCTGTTATTGATGTGTAAAATGCTTGTGATTTTTGTACATTGATTTTGTATCCTGAGACTTTGCTGAAGTTGCTTATCAGCTTAAGGAGAATTTGGGCTGAGACAGTGGGGTTTTGTAGATATACAATCATGTCATCTGCAAACAGGGACAATTTGACTTCCTCTTTTCCCAATTGAATACCCTTTATTTCCTTCTCCTGCCTGATTTCCCTGGACAGAACTTCCCACACTATGTTGAATAGGAGTGGTGAGAGAGGGCATCCCTGTCTTGTGCCAGTTTTCAAAGGGAATGCTTCCAGTTTTTGCCCATTCAGTATGATATTGGCTGTAGGTTTGTCATAGATAGCTCTTACTATTTTGAGATACGTCCCATCAATACGTAATTTAATGAGAGTTTTTAGCATGAAGGACTGTTGAATTTTGTCAAAGGCCTTTTCTGCATCTATTGAGATAATCATGTGGTTTTTGTTGTTGGTTCTCTTTATGTGCTGAATTACGTTTACTGATTTGTATATGTTGAACCAGCCTTGCATCCCAGGGATGAAGCCCACTTGATCATGGTGGATAAGCTTTTTGATGTACTGGTGGATTCGGTTTGCCAGTATTTTATTGAGGATTTTTGCATTGATGTTCATCAGGGATATTGGTCTACAATTCTCTTTTTTTGTTGTGTTTCCACCAGGCTTTGGTATCAGGATCATGCTGGCCTCATAAAATGAGTTAGGGTGGGTTCCCTCTTTTTCTATTGATTGGAATAGTTTCAGAAGGAATGGTACCAGCTCCTCCTTGTACCTCTGGTAGAATTCGGCTGTGAATCCATCTGGTCCTGGACTTTTTTTGATTGGTAAGCTATTAAGTATTGCCTGAATTTCAGAGCCTGTTATTGGTCTATTCAGGGATTCAACTTCTTCCTGGTTTAGTCTTGGGAGGGTGTATGTGTCGAGGAATTTATCCATTTCTTCTAGATTTTCTAGTTTATTTGCGTAGAGGTGTTTGTAGTATTCTCTGATGGTAGTTTGTATTTCTGTGGTATCGGTGGTGATATCCCCTTTATCATTTTTTATTGCGTTTTTTTTATTCTTCTCTCTTTTCTTCTTTATTAGTCTTGTTAGCGGTCTATCAATTTTGTTGATCCTTTCAAAAAACCAGCTCCTGGATTCACTGATTTTTGAAGGGTATTTTGTGTCTCTATTACCTTCAGTTCTGCTCTGATTTTAGTTATTTCTTGCCTTCTGCTAGCTTTTGAATGTGTTTGCTCTTGCTTTTCTAGTTCTTTTAATTGTGATGTTAGGGTGTCAATTTTGGATCTTTCCTACTTTCTCTTGTGAGCATTTAGTATTATAAATTTCCCCAAACACTGCTTTGAATGTGTCCCAGAGATTCTGGTATGTTGTGTCTTTGTTCTCGTTGGTTTCTAAGATCATCTTTATTTCTGCCTTCATTTTGTTATGTACCCAGTAGTCATTCAGGAGCAGGTTGTTCAGTTTCCATGTAGTTGAGCGGTTTTGAGTGAGTTTCTTAATCCTGAGTTCTAGTTTGGTTGCACTGTGGTGTGAGAGACAAGTTTGTTACAATTTCTTTTCTTTTACATTTGCTGAGGAGAGCTTTACTTCCAACTATGTGGTCAATTTTGGAATAGGTGTGGTGTGGTGCTGAAAAAAATGTATATTCTATTGATTTGGGGTGGAGAGTTCTGTAGACGTCCATTAGGTCCGCTTGGTGCAGAGCTGAGTTCAATTCCTGGGTATCCTTTTTAACTTTCTGTCTCTTTTATCTGCTCAATGTTGACAGTGGGGTGTTAAAGTCTCCCATTATTATTGTGTGGGAGTCTGAGTCTCTTTGTAGGTCACTCGGGACTTTCTTTATGAATCTGGGTGCTCCTGTAGTGGGTGCATATATATTTAGGATAGTTAGCTCTTCTTGTTGCATTGATCCCTTTACCATTATGTAATGGCCTTCTTTGTCTCTTTTGATCTTTGTTGGTCTAAAGTCTGTTTTATCAGACTAGGATTGCAACCCCTGCCTTTTTTTGTTTTCCATTTGCTTGGTAGATCTTCCTCCATCCTTTTATTTTGAGCCTGTGTGTGTCTCTGCACGTGAGATGGGTTTCCTGAATACAGCATACTGATGGGTCTTGACTCTTTATCCAATTTGCCAGTCTGTGTCTTTTAATTGGAGCATTTAGTCCATTTACATTTGAAGTTATATGTTATGTGTGAATTTGATCCTGTCATTATGATGTTAGCTGGTTATTTTGCTCATTAGTTGATGCAGTTTCTTCCTAGCCTCGATGGTCTTTACAATTTGGCATGATTTTGTAGTGGCTGGTACCGGTTGTTCCTTTCCATGTTTAGTGCTTCCTTCAGGACCTCTTTTAGGGCAGGCCTGGTGGTGACAGAATCTCTCAGCATTTGCTTGTCTGTAAAGTATTTTATTTCTCCTTCACTTATGAAGTTTAGTTTGGCTGGATATGAAATTCTGGGTTGAAAATTCTTTTCTTTATGAGTGTTGAATATTTCTTTTGAACTTACTGTAGCTGTAGTTATTTATGACCATTTTGACTTTTGACCTTACACTAGATATTTGAAAGATTTACACACCACCCTTACAGTAATGAAGTATTCCAAATTTGATTATAAGTTTACCTCTGCCAGTGAATTTTTCACCTTTTTTAATGTTTTCTTGACAATAATTATTATCTTTTCATTTTCCATTGAAGCACTCCCTTTAGCATTTCTTATAAGGCGAAACTTGTGGTGATAAATTTTCACAGCTTTTGCTTGCTGGAAAATATTTTTTTTTTCAGTTGTGAAAGGCAGATTTGCTGGGTAAAGTTAGAATTTTTGACTGGGAGTTTTTTTGTACTTTTTATCAGCACCTTGAATATATCATCTTATTTTCTCCTGGCCTTCATGGTTTCCACTATGAAATCTGCTGATAGTTTTAAAGAGATTTTCTTGTATGTCACTTGACACTTTCTATTTCTGCTTTTATTTATTAATGAAAATTTTATGTTTAATCGAAATGTAATATGGGTATATATTTATGAGATACACTATGTTGTTTTGATATATGTATAAATTTTATAATGATCAAGTCAGTGTAATTAACAAATCCATCACCTCAAACACATTATTTTTGTTGTGAGAATATTCAGAATGCTCTCTTCTATGTATTTTGATAAATATACTAAATTATTGTTAAATACAGTTATTCTACTGTGCACCCGAACTTATTCCTTCTATGTAAGAGTAAATTTGAACACATTGACCAACCTCTAACCTCCACCCCCACCATTCCCAGCCTCTAAGTAACCACTTTTCTAATTTCTATTTTAATAAAACATTTTTTTTTAGATTCCACATATGAGCGAGTTCATGTGGTTGACTTATTTTACTTAACATGTTGTCCTCTGGGTTCCTCCATGTTGTCACTTATGACAGGATTTATTTTATAACTTAATTTATCCATTCACCCATTGATGGACTTAGGTTGACTCAGTATCTTGGCTATGATGAATAATATTGCAATAGAAATAGAAGGGCAGATAAGCTCTATGATACATCAATTTCATTATATATATATATATATATATATATATAAAGAATAGTGAGACTGTTGAATTATATGGTAATTCTATTTTTAATTTTTTGAGGAATCTTCATACTGTTTTCAGTAATCGCCATACTAATTTACATTTTCACCAACAGTAAGTACCCAAGTTATATTTCATTTTTGTCCAAATCCTCATCACATGTTATCTTTTTTTCTCTTTGGTAATAGCCATTCTAACTATAATTATGTGTATCTCATTGTGGTTTTGATATAAGTTTTTCTGATGATTAGAGGCTGAGCATTTTTTAATATAACTGTTTGCCACTTGTATATCTTCAGTTGCAAATGTCCATTTAGATCATTTGCCCTATTTTTAATCAAACTTTTTGATTTTTTTTGCTAATGAGTTTTTATTTTATCATATAGCCTGCATATTAACCCTATTTCTGATGTAAAGTCTGCAAATATTTTCTTCTATTCTGTAAGTGGCCTCTTCCCTCTGTTGATTGTTTCCTTTTGTATTCAGAGCTTATAAGTTTCATATAACCCCATTTGTCTATTTTTGCTTTTGTTCTTTGTGCTTTTGAAGTCTTTTCAAAATAATTTTTGCAGGGACCAATGTCATGAAGTGTTTTTCCCTGTTTTCTTCTGGTATTTTCATAGTGTTGGGTTTTATATTTAAGTATTTAATTTATTTTGAGTTGATTTTTTTTAACTGGGCAAGAGATAGAATCTAATTTGATTCTTCTGCATGTGGATACCAATTTTCCCAGCACCACTTATTGAAAAAACTGTATTTCCTCAATCTGCATTTTTGTTCCCTTTGCCAAAAGTCTATTGGCTGTATATATTTGTATTTATTTCTGGAATCTTTATTCTTTTCCATTGGTCTTTGTGTCTGTTTTTATGCCAGTACCATGATGTTTTCATTAGTATAGCTTTTTAATATATTTTTAATTGAGATGGCATTATGGCTCCAGCTTTGTTTTGTATTATTTTTGCTCAATATGGCTTCAACTGTTTATGGTCTTTTGTGATTCCCAACAACTTTAGGACCGTTTTTTAGTTTTCTATTTCTGAGAATAATATCATTGAGATTTTTGTAGAGATTACACTGAATATGTAGATTGCTTTGGATAGTATGGACATTTTAACAATATTAATTATTCCAATTCATGAACACAGGATATCTTTCCGTTTATTTGTGGTTTTTTCTATTTCTTTCTTTTGCATTTTATAGTTTTCAGTGTAGAGATCTTTCACCTCATTGGTTAAATTTATTCTTTGATATCTTAAATATTTTTAGCTATTGTAAATGTAATTGTTTTCTTGATTTTTTTATCATAGTTTATTATTTGCGTGTAGATATGCTTCTGATTTGTGTGTGTTGATTGTGTATTCTGTAACTTTACTGAATTTACTGTTAGTTCTTACAGTTTTTGGTAGAGTCTTTAGGGTTTTCTACATATAATAATATGCTCTGCAAATAAGGACAATTTGACTTTCTCATTTCATATTTGAAAGCCTTTTATTTATTTGTCTTTGTTAAATGATCTAGCTAAGACTTCCAGTACTAGATTGAATAGAAGCGATGATAGTGCACATTTTTAATTTTTTTTTCCAGATCTCACCAAATAATATTTCAACTTTTTTCTGTTATAGTATGAGGTTAGTTGTGGGTTTGTCATATATGGGATTTATTCTGTTGAGGTATGTACTTTCTATGTCTAATTTGTTTAGAGTTCTACCATAAAGGAATTTTTATCAATTGTGTTTTCTGCACCTATTGACATAATCATAAGGTTTTATTAATGCATGGATTACATTTATTGATTTGTGTATATTGCACTATACTTGCATCCCTGGGATAAATCCCACTAGAGCATAGCGAATGAGATTTTAAATGTGTGTTGAATTTGTTTGCTAGTATTTTGTTGAGGATTATTTAACCTATTTTTATTAGTGATAGTGACATATAGTTTTATTTTATTGTGTGTCTTTTTCTAGTTTTGGTGTGAGGATAATGCTTGCATAATAGAATGAATTTGAAAAATTTCCTTCTTCCTAAATTTTTTGGAATATTTTGAAAGAAATTAAGTGTTTGGTAACATTTAGCAGTGAAGTAATCAGGTCCTGGGCTTTTTTTTCATAGGATACTTTTTATTATTGATTCCATCTCATTACTCATTATTGGTCTGATATAATTTGGTTATTTTTCTCCTCGAAATCTCATGTTGATATGTGATTCCTAATGTTGGAAGTGGGGCCTGGTAGAATGCTTTTTTTTACATGGGGAAGATTCCTCAAGGATGGATTGGTGCCCTTTAATTGTAATGAGTCAGTCTCACTCTATTAGCTCCCATGAGATCAGATGTTTAAAAGAGTCTGACACCTCTTTCTTTCTCTCACTTGCTACCTGTCTTCCCATGAGTAAAAGCTTCCAGAGGCCCACACCAGAAGCAGACACTGTTGCCATGCATCTTGTACAATTTGCAGAACTGCGAGCCAAATAAACTTCTCTTTACAAATTACCCAGCCTCAGGTTTTTCTTTATAACAATGCAAAACTAACTAAAACTTGCTCTGTTCAGATTTTCTGTTTTTCCATGATTCAATATGCATTGGTTGTACATTTCAAAAAAAAATGTATTCTAAGTTTTCTAATTTATTGACATACAGTTGATTGTATCTTTATGATCTGTTGTATTTCTGTTATCAGTTATCATGTCTGTTTTTTGTTTCTAATTCTATTCATTTGAGCCTTCTTTCTTTTATCTTATTTGACTGATTAAAGTTTTATCAGTTTTATCTTTTTTTAAAAAAAACTTTTATCAATCTTTTGTAATTTTATAGTCTCTATTTTGTTTACTTCTATTGGCTTTTACTATTTATTTTCGTATAATTTCAGATTTAATTTGTTTTCACTTATCTGGTTCCTTGAAGTATAGTATTATGTTGTTTATATGAAATATTTTCTCTTTATTGAGACAGGGGTTTATTGCTATAAATTTCCCTCTGAGTAGTGTCTTTGTTGTATCCCATAGATTTTGATATGTTATGCTTCCATTTTAATTTGTTTCTGTTTTTTTAAATTTCCCTTTCAATGTGTTCGCTAACTCAGTCATTGCCTAAGAGCATATTATTTAACTTCTGTGTATTTGAATAGTTTCGGAGCATCCTTCTGTTTTTAAGTTCTACTTTTATAACATTTTGGTTGGAAATAAAATTCGATATGCTTTTAATTTAAAAAATTTATTAAGACTTATTGTGTGGCGTATCCTGGAGAATGTTTTGTATGCACTAGAGAAGAGTGTGCATTCTGCTGCTGTTGGATTGACAGCATCTGTCTATATATATATATGTGTATATATATATATGCACATATACATACAGAGATATATGTTTATATATAAACATATGTGTGTGTATTCTATTATATATAATGTTCCTTCTGTACTAGAGAAGAATGCATATTCTGCTGCTGTTGAATAGACAGCATCTGTCTTGATAGATAGATACAGATATACAGATGTAAATATATCTGTTAGGTCCATTTGGCTTAACATTCAGTTCTGTTCCACTTCTTCCTTATCCATTTTCTGTCTGGTTTATCTATTATTGAAAGTGGTATATGAAGTTCTCTAATTGTATTGCTATCTATTTTTCTCTTCATGTTCATTAATATTTGCTTTATATACTCAGGTGCTTCAGTGTTGGGTGCAATATATATTTACAATTGATATGACTTCTCATTGAATTGTGCCCTTTATCATAAAATAATACTCTTCTGTGTCACTTTTGACAGTTTCTAACTTGAAGTCTATTTGACTTTTCGTATAAGTATAGACACTTCTGCTCTCTTTTGGTTACCATTTGAATGAAATACCTTCCTTTGCTTTTTAACTTTCAGTTTATGTGTGTGTTTAAAGTGGATCTCTTCTAAGCAGCATAGCTGGATCTTATTTTCTTTTTAATCTTTATCTACTCTCTTTTTTGATTGGAGAATTTAATGTATTTTCAATCAAAGTAATTATTTATAGGCAAGAAATTGCTACATTTTGTTAGTTGTGTTTATTTTGGTTTATTTTGTAGCTCATCTATTCTTTCCTCTTTTATTGTATATCTTTGATTTGGTGATTTTCTTTAGCATGATTTTTTGTATTTCTTTTTCTTTATAATTTGTATATCTACTACAGTTTGGCTTTGTGTTTACCGTGAAGATTACATAAAACATCTTATAGTTGTAATAGACTATAGACTGCTAACAACTTCAGTCACATTAAAAATGTCTGTACTTTTACCCTACCCACCAATAATTTACATTTTTGATGTCACAATTTACATCTATTTAAATTATGTATTTCTTAACAACTTATTGTAACTACTATTATTCTTGACTATTTTGACTTTTAAACTTTATAATAGAGAAATATATTATTTACAGAGCACCATAACAGTCTTGGGATATTTTAAGTTTGACTATATATTTACCAGCAAATTTTATGTTTACATGTGTTTTCATGTTAATCATTAGCATTCTTTGTTTCTACTTGAAAAACTTCTTTAAGCATTTTTTGCAGGGTAGGGTCTGTTGGCAATGTATTACCTAAACTTTTGCTTGTGTGAGACAGACTTTACTTCACATTCATTTTTGAAGAACAGCTTTTCTGGGTATAGTATTTTAGACTGATAGTTAGCTTTTATTTTCTTTCAGCACTTTGAATATGTTATCTCATTTTCCTCTGGCATGCAGGGTTTCTGCTGAGAAATCTGCTGATAGTCTTATGGGGATTTCCGTATTTGTAACTTGATGCTTTTTTCTTGCTGTTTTTAAAATTCTCTGTAATTGACTTTCGACAGTGTATTATAATGTGCCTCATTAAGATCATTTTTGATTTCAACGTGTTTGGGGACCTTTAAGCTTCAAAGATCTGGATGTCTCTATGCCTCCTAAGACTTGAAAAGTTTTCTGTAATTATTTCATTAAATAAGCTTCTTATGCCATTCTGCATATTTTCTTCCTCTTGAAATTTCTTAATGTAAAAATTTGTTTGCTTAACAGTATTAAATAATTTTTATAGGCTTTCTTTACCATTTTAAACCTTTTGGATTTTAAATGATGTGAATTAGTGTTTTTTTTAAAATTGTTGGTAATCTCTACATTTCTATGCAGGCTAAAATATTTTAATAATTGGCTTTCTACCTTGTAATAGTGAATTCTATTATTCATTTTGGCTAACTGACTTAAGAACTGTCTGTGGAAACCATGGGACTGTTTATTGCTGTCGCCTGTTCTGTGTCAGGTCAGGTTCAAGGAAGCATAAACTTAGTTCAGGTCAAGGTTACAAAGGTAAGGGGAGAGGATGGAATAACACTGCAGTGAGAAGCATGGTTAAAAAAGATTTTACCTTTCTTAGAGAAGAGAAGAGTTTAATTTTTATTTAATTTTTATTAGGTCCTCATTTTATAGTTGAGGAAACTGAAGTTCATAGACCATATTTGATGACTCCAGATCACTCAGCTTCCTATGTAAAAGAAATACCCTAGGAATCTGGAGCTTCCATCTTTCATATCCAGCCTATTGCACTGTGGGGTTGGGTTCATTTTAAATGATTTTATAACTCAATAGGTGTATAAGCCTGATTAGAATCATGTGTGTATGATGATTTACCCTTGCAATATGTTTCGCTTAGTAGTTTTAGCTAGTCCTCAACTTCCAAATACAGTCGTTAAAATTGCCTTGGTCTTCCTTATATTAACATTAATATTTTCTAGATGAAGGCACTAGTTTCAAAAAGATTCAGTGAATTGCTCAGAGGATAACTTAGGACCTAAAATTAGCTCACTTGAATTCTAAGCCTATAACTGGGCCACTATACAAAATTACATAATCCTTGTTACAATCATATTGTTAGAAATGTCTTTCTGCATTTTATAAGCTTCTCTGGAAATCATGTTATTATTCTTTCACCATTACAGGAGTACAATTGTCAAAGCAGTATAATTTATGATTATTATTATTTCTGTAGTGTCTGCAAAAGTATATTTAATCCATGAAGACCTAAATCTTGATGCTATAAATTTGGAGAGGATGTAAAGCGAGGCTGATATTTATCTTTGATTGTGATTGTGCACTTTCGTTAATTTGAATTTCACCAATTCACACTTCAGAGTAATTTAGTTAGGGTATTTGCTATACTATAATAAAATCGCCTGAGCTTTGACTTATATGTAATTAAATGGTAGGAAAATTAATACTTGCTTTTAATATACTGAAATTGCTAAAAGAACATAAGGGATGCTTTCAGGTGTCCAAGCACTCTAGAAATCATTTACATACAAGCAATTGACGTGCTAATTTCAACTCATTCTTATCTATTCATTGAAGCTAGTAAGGTTCAGAACATGAGTGCTTTCTTAGGCTAATTCCAATTACAGTACATAACAGAGAGTATTGAAAATGTGTCTTGTTAAAATAGTTGTATAATTTGGACCTTTGACTAAGGGAAACTAATCCAGATTAATGAATTTTCTATAGTAATGAAAAACTTTATGCTCTCTGATAAATAAAAGAGAAACTATCCTGGTTTTAGTTTCTATTCTCAGGACTAATTGCTTATTTAATCAAGAATTTTTGCCTTGGTTATAATTTTAATTATTCAATGAATATAGATTTGCATTTTTAGAAGTATATAGAAAATTAACAATTTTTAATTTTAAAACGCGAGGGCCAGGCAAAGAATATATGCAATAACAGCCAATTCAGGATGTCTGGTTAAGAATTCAAATAATCTAAGAAAAAAATGAGTAAATATTAGTACAAGTCAAATCATGAATTTGAAATTATATCTGGTAAACTATTGATATGCAAGTATGTTAGAAGTCATCAGAGAAAGGGCCAATGAATCAAGTATTTGCAAGTTGGAGGGAGACTAGAGGATGCGTGAGTTACTAAAAAGCTATTATGAAAAAATATGGTATTGAGTCAAGAAAAAGACCTAGGGTTCAAGTTTTAACACTGCCACTTAACAATTATGTGGTTTTCTGCAAATTAACTTTGTGGCACTTCTATTTCCTTCTCTGCAGAAACGCTGAGTATAATACCTGCATTCTCCACTCCTGTGAGTTTACTATGAATATTAAAAAATACCAATGCATTCTTAAAATTTTCTATAAATATAAGGTCTGTAATAGTTTAAAAGATAGCCTATTAAATGACTAATTTGACCTAGAAAAATTCTGGGTTTGGTGATTTTAAAGAAGTTAGGAAAGACCACTTTGTTCTCCCCATGCTAGCTGAGAGCTCTCCATTCTTCACTAACAGAAAATCTGTCAAATAAGAGATTCTGACCAAGAGTGCTAGAAAAATGTGTGATGGAATGGCACTGAAAATAGTGGAGCCCAAGGCAAAAGCATGATCGCATTAATTGGCAGCCCGCTGGCCCCTAAAAATGTACTGCAGCACTGGAGAGGCAATTGTCAATACAAAGGCTGCAAGAACAAGTATTTTCTCTTCATTATGGTATTAGAGTTTATACATAAAGTCATCTGAAAATTAACATTGATTTTATCATTGAGCTTCAATCCTCTGTCACTTAAAGTATATTCATTTGATCCCTTTTGTTCTAGACCGACTTGATTGTCTAAGCCCCAAGGAAAAGAAACATTGGTTTGTTCCTTTTAGGTTTTTTTTTTTTTTTCAGTAGACACTAGTCAAGTTTCAGAAATAACACTAAGATAAATTATTTAAAAATTACTACTGGAAGCCGGGCGTGGTGGCTTACGCCTGTAATCCCAGCACTTTGAGAGGCCGAGGCGGGCGGATCACAAGGTCAGGAGATCAAGACCATCCTGGCTAACACGGTGAAACCCCATCTCTATTAAAAGTACAAAAAATTAGCTGGGCGTGGTGGCAGGTGCCTGTAGTCCCAGCTACTGGGGAGGCTGAGGCAGGTGAATGGCGTGAACCCGGGAGGTGGAGGTTGCAGTGAGCCGAGATCGCAGTGAAGCATTGGTTCCTGGGATTTTCTTTACTTGAATACTTTTTATTATGGCTTTTATCTTGTTATTTGTTATTAGTCTATTCAGGTTTTGGATTTCTTCATGGTTCAATCTTGGTAGATTTTATGTGTCTAAGACTTTATCCGTTTCTTTGGAGTTTTTCAATTTATTGGCATATAGATGTTCGTAGTAGTCTCTAATGATCCTTTGGGTTTTTGTTGTATCGCTTGTAATTCCCATTTTTCATCACTGATTTTATTTATTTGGGTCTTCTTTCTTTTTTACTAAAGTAGCCTTGCTAAAGACTTGTCATTTTTGTTTACCTTTTCAATAAAACAGCTTTTCACTTTATTAATCTTTAATTTCATTTATTTGTGCTCTGATCTTTATTATTATTTTTTCTACTAATTTTGGGTTTGGTTGGCTCTTGTTTTTCTAGTTCTTTAAAATACATCATTCGGGTGTTTCTAGTTTTTCTACTTTTTTGATGTAGGCATTCATTGTTATAAACTTTCCTCTAGGTACTGCTTTTGCTGTATTTTCTAGGTTTGGTATACCAGTGTGTCTTGGTTCTTTATCCAGCTTCTCCCTCTATGTCTTCTAATTGGGGCATTTAGCCCATTTCCATTTGACTTTAACTAGAAATAGAAATTTAGGAAAAAAATTATGGTAGAATTTTTTCTTGATTTGTAGTTTTTGTCATGATTCCTATTAATGTTCAGCAAGATAATATAACAATTGTAAATATACATGAACCCAACACTGGAGCACAGAGATATCTGAAGCAAATATTACTAGAGCTAAAGAGAAATAATGATAACAATATAATAAAAGCTGCAGATTTCAACATGCCACTTTTAAGATTAGAAAGATAATCCAGTCAGAAAATCAACAAAGAAACATCATGCTTATCACTATGCACAAATAGATCTAATAGATATTTGCAGAACATTTTATTCAATGGCTACAGAATATACATTCTCAAAGATAAACCATTTGTTAGGCTATAAAATAAGCCTTTAAAAAATTAAATTATATCAGGTATCTTCTCTGACCACAATTGAATAAAACTAGAATTAATAAAAAGAGGAACTCTGGAAACTATACAAACACACAGAAATACATACGTTTGCAGATGACGATTCTATATCTAGAAAACCCGCACATGCTCATAGATAGGATGAATCAATATCATAAAAATGGCCATATTGCCTAAAGCAATTTATGGATTCAGTTATATAGCTATTTAAACTAATATTGAGATTCTTCACAGAACTAGAAAAAACTATTTTAAAATTCATGTGGAACCAAAAAAGAGCCTGAGTAGCCAACGCAATTCTAACCAAAAAGAACAAACCTGGAGGCATCATGCTACCTGACATCAAACTTTATTACAGGACTGCAGTAATCAAAACAGCATGGCACTTGTAGAAAAACAGACACATAGATCAATGGAACAGAATAGAAAATCCAGAAATAAGACTGCACACCTGCCTACAACTATCTGATCTTTGGTAAGCCTAACAAACCTAACAAAAATAAGCAATAGGGAAAGGATTCCCTGTTGAATAAGTGGTGCTGGGATGACTGGCTAGTAACATGCTGAAGACTGAAACTGGACCCCTTCCTTATGCCATATATGGATTAAAGACTTAAATGTAAATCCCCAAACTGGAAGACAACCTAGGAAATGCCATTCAGAACGTAGGCACGGGCAAAGATTTTATGACGAAGACACCAAAAGCAATTGCAACAAAAGCAAATATTGACAAATGGAATCTAATTAAATTAAAGAACTTCTGCTCAGCAAAATAAACTATAAACAGAGTGAACAGGCCATACGGAATGGGAAAAAAATTCTTGCAAACTATGCAGCCAATAAAGTCTAATATCCAGAATCTATAAGGAACTTAAACAAATTTACAAGAAAAAAATGAACAACCCCATCAAAGTGTGGGCAAAAGACATGAATAGACACTTTCCAAAAGTGTACATACATGTGGCCAACAAGCCTATAAAAAAATCAACATCGCTAATAATTAAAGAGATGCAAATCAAAACCACAATGAGATACCATCTCACAGTATGAGATACCATCTCACACCAGTCAGAATGGTAATTCTCAAAAAGTCAAAAAGTAACAAATGCTGGCAAGGTTGTGGAGAAGAAGGAACGCTTACACACTGTTAGTGGGAGCACAAATTAGTTTAGCCATTGTAGAACACAGCGTGATGATTTCTTGCAGACCTAAAGGTAGAAATACCATTCGACCCAGCAATGTCATTACTGGGTATATACCCAAAGAAACATAAATTATGCTATTATAAAGACAACATGTATGCATATGTTCATTGAAGCACTATTTGCAATAGCAAAGACATGGAATCATCCTAAATGTCCATCAATGATAGACTGGATAAAGAAGATATGGTATATATACACCATAGAATACTATGCAGCCATTAAAAAGAACAATAGTATGTCTTGTCTTTTGTGGGAATATGGATGGAGTTGGTGGCCATTATCTGTATCAAGCTAACACAGGAACAGAAAACCAAATACCACATGTTCTCACTGATAAATGAGAGCAAAATGATCAGAATACATGGACACATAGAAGGGAACAACACACACTGGGACGCCTATTGGAGGGCAAAGGGTGTGAGGAGGGAGAAGATCAGGAAAAATAGCTAATGGGTACTAGGCTTAATATCAGGGTGATTAAATAATCTGTAAAAAAAAAAAAACAAAACCATGACACATGTTTACCTATGTAGCAAACCTGCACGTGTATCCCTGAACTTAAAAGTTATAAAAAAGTATAACAATAATTTACTTTTGAAGAGAATGGACTGATAGTACTTTATCATTAAAGACTACATTTAATGATAAAGTCATTGGTTGCCAAAATTGGCGAAGTTATATAGGTGGTAGCTCTAAAACTTGGTGGAGGCTGGGCACGGTGACTCACAGTTGTAATCCCAGCATTTTGGAAGGTTGAGGTGGGAGGATCACTTGAGGCCAGATGTTTGAGAGTAGCCTGAGCAACATCATGAGATCCTGTCTCTAAAAATCATAAAAAAATATTAGCTGAGTGTCGTGACAGACACCAGTAGTCCCAGCTACTTGGAAGGCTGAAGTGGGAGGATCACTTGAGCCCACAAGTTTGAGGCTGCAGTTAGCTCTGAACATGCCATTCATTGCACTCCAGCCTGGGTGATAGAGACCATGTCTGTAAATAAATCAAAAAAATAAAATAAAACTTGGTGGGTATATTAGGGTAGCTGCAAAAATAGATCTCAGCTCAATGTTTTAAAATGTATTACACATTATATGGCACTTGGGAAAGAAGGGACTGCAGATGGTAGATGTGCCTCCACTTCAGGAAATATATCTCAATATAAATTGCAGGCTATCTGTGGAGGAAGGAAGATTCCAGGGTTGGGAGAACTAGGGGCCAAATGGAAACCAGATCATTTCTTTCCATAGGAGAATGAGACGTGCAGTCATTTTCCTGGGGTGAGAAAGAAGATGCTTAATAGTATCTCAGGGCTAGAGGGTAATTGGGTGGCCTCATTGCTGTAGAATGACACAATCACCCTTTTAGAGAAGTCACAGGAACATTTAGATTGGTTAGAGGTAACTCTCTTGTCTAAGTCTTTCAGTGACCAGGGCCACAAAAATAAAACAAAAACAAAATAAAACAACAAAGCAAACCAAACCACGCCAGCAACAATGCCTAGGAATGAAAGAGGATGTGCAGTTTGATTTTGGGTCATTTCCAAGAATAGTCCAAAAAATGAAGAAAAAAAGGAAGACTGAGGGAAAGAAAAAAGAAGGAAGGAGGGAGAGAAAGAAAGAAGGACATTTATAATATTAAATATCTCTGCAATGACAGGTCAAGGAAATATGTGAGCTACATTTCCTTATTTCACTGAAATAAGAATATGAGGAGCTAGAGGAGGCATCACATGGTTTTACTAATAAAAATACAGTGGTGGAAAATATAGAGAAAAATGATACTAATGATAATAAGAAGTAATAAGTAATTATTCTGGCCATTTGATGTGGCTTTCCCTAATTTTTTGCATCCAGTCTTTAAAAAAGCTGTAAGACAGAGATACATATTATATCCATTTTAAAGCTGAACTTTCAATCACAATACAATAAAACACATTATTATCAGGATCTGTTCTGTCCCCTCACTCTAACCTTTTTTTTAG
Source organism: Homo sapiens (assembly GCF_000001405.40). NCBI lineage: Eukaryota > Metazoa > Chordata > Mammalia > Primates > Hominidae > Homo > Homo sapiens. Next base: position 11,682,842 of record NC_000009.12, read on the forward strand.
GAGGTTGTAGCAAGGGAAACATAAGATATGATATATGTAATAGATATGACTGTGGTACAGCTAAATCATCATTTTAATATTTTAAAATAAAGAGACTGCTATCTAAATACATCTGATATAATTTTCTGTAGTGTATATTGAATAACTTTTGTTAAAGTACATCTAACCCTTGAACAACACAGGTTTGAACTGTGCAGGTCTACTTATATGTGGATTTTTTTCAACAGTCAGTGTGCCTGCCTCTTCCGTCTCCCCTTCTACCTCCTCCATGTCTGCCACCCTTGAGACAGCAAGACCAATCCCCTGTCTTGCTCCCCTCTCTTCAGCATACTGAACGTGAAGACTACAAGAAGAAAGATCTTTATGATTTTCCACTTCAACTTAATGACTAGTAAATCTATTTCCTTTTCCTTATAATTTTCTTAATTACATTTTTTTATCTAGCTTACTTCATTTTAAGAATACAGTGTATAATATATATAACATACAATATGCGTTAATAACTGTTTATATTACTAGTAAGGCTGGTCAACAGTAGGTTAGTAGTAGTTAAGTTTGGGAGTCAAAAGTTATATATGGATGTTCTACCGTGCAGGGAGTTCATTGCTCCTCATCCCTGTGTTGTTCAGGGGCCAACTGTGTATAATTACATCGTAATTTTGTAATCAGAGACACAGATACTTCAACTATTTTATCATTTTCTAAATGCATAAAATCCTGTGTATTTTCTAGGTGTCACAGTCAGAATCCCAATAATTTCCTTATGCCCATAGCACAGCTCTCTGGTATGCTAATGTAAGTAAATATGTGGTGTGTGTGTGGCGGGGGGCGGTGTAGGGAGGTGGCGTAAAGACTTTTCAATCATTTTGATCTTTTGAAAGAATCTCTACCTTTTTACTAGAATCAGTGAAATCTAATTGGAAGCATTTTCAAAATTTTTAAGTGAAACAATTCAAATTATTGTCCTCCACATTAAATTATTAGTAGTCATTTCTCATAAATGTATGAATAAGTTTTGCTATAAACCCCCATTCTCTTTATCCAACAGCATGTCTGCCTCACTCAGTAGAATAGAGATTAATTTATTAGTAAATGTTCTTGAATGGGGAGTAGTGTCTCCATAAAAATGTTAGTGAATTGAATTTATGTGACATTGCTGTTTACTAGTTTTCAACTGCTGGAATGTTCATTTTGATGTTGTTTATTTTTAAGAAAATCCAGTGATGCAGACAATAATCATGCAGCTTGTTATTTCACTATGGAATCCCTTAAAAGATAATCTCCCTGCAGAAAATCAATGTAAGTTGTTACATAAAGTTTTTAAGAAGTTCTAACTCGGTGGCATAAAGAAAACATTTAACTTTATTTTCACTTCCTTAACTCCAAGGGAATCTTAACTTACCTTTGCTAAGAGGCCAAGTTCTTGTTCAAAACATTTTAACTTTAAGAAGAGATACTAATCAATTTTTAGCACCTTCCCCAGAAAGGAAGAGTAAAAAAATCCATACACAAATTATTTTCACATTAGGAGAAGTTCTTCCTGTTGCTAGCATATTGAACAGTAGTTGATAATGTTTAGTCAAAATGAATTAACCCTAGCAATTTTTCAAGGAATTTTAAAAAATTAGATGTTCCCTCAAAGATGAGATTCACAATCTGAGGTACTTCCAACTCTATCTGTGGAAAGAAGGACAGAAGAGAAGCATGGTACAAGAATTATATGGAGAGTAAGAAACTCAGGCAGGAAATAACAATACATCTTGGGAATCTCTGGAGGATTGAAGGGATTTTTAAAATGTTGATAAATACATTAAGCAACTCTAGTGATTTCTCATTCTCCCTTTTTTAGACATTTACAGTCCTGTGCTTTAAAACAATCTACTGAAAACATTTTGAAACATTCAATATCAATTTTATATCATCTTTTCTTTCGATAAGCCGACTAGATAAATTATTTATTCATGATGACCCACTTTTCACCTTCTATAATCTGAAGGACATGCTTGTCAGTGTTTGAGAAAATAAATTTTTAAAATCTTGAGGAGAGAGCTCATTGTTAAATGTAGCACACACTTTAGCACCTATCTGTAATCTTGAAACAAAATGAAAATTTCTTGCAACAGAAAAACTTACATCTAACAAAAAGATATGAACATGTAACTGGCTTCAAGTACTGGAGTTTCAAGATGAATAAGAACTCTGATTGTTCTTGAGCGGCCTGGAGGTGTATAATAATATTGTAATAACAAGGATATTAATGATAAAAAAGAAGGAGATATGGAAGTTGTTAAAAGACTGCTTAAGGTAGCATGTATTACTTACCATAAATGAAGATGCAAAAAATAAAACAGAAAACTCTAGGCCAGTGGACTTATCACAGAAAACAAGTAGAGAAGACATACTTTCTAATGCTTATGGTAGGAATATGTTAGAATGGGGAGATATTTCACAAAAGGTGATAAAAACATCTGTTTTATATTTGCTAGATCTCCCAGAAATAAGAGATCAGGGAGATAGTATTAAAACTGAGGATAAATTAATAATATTCATGAATCAAACATTTTCTATAACTAGAGACCATGAAGTCTTGTAACCTTAAAATTAATTTAAAAATACAGCTTTATGACAAAAAATTATCAGGGCATCATTTAACACTTAAAGTGGGGACTGTGCATTTAAATTTTTTCTCTTCTGTAATATACTGAAATGATGTTAATTATGTATAAATTATATATGTTTATGTATATACACACACACACACACACACACACACACATATATGTAGATAGATAGATAACTTATTACCAAAAGGAAGTGGGGTTCTTGGGCACCATCAGATATATTTCTTAAGAACATGGTAGGGGAAATAGAAAAGAAAAGGGGATAATCCAAAATAGAGAATACTGAAGCTAAAATATGCACCAAAGAAAAAGGCAACCTCAAAAGAAAGTATTTTCTTATTGACAAATGCCTGAAAATGACAAGAGCTTAAATCGGATACTATAGACAGCAGAAGTAGGTTGTGGTTTAATAACAAGTTTAAATCGTTTGTAATATATATATGCATAAGTGGATGTGAGGTCCAGGTTAGTTCTTTCACTTCTGTGCACATAGAGAAATTATAATAGAAAACCCTACTCAAAACTGATATCTGGTCTCTAAGATATTGAATATTTTTCCAAGGAAATACAAAAGATTCCTTGGAAATTAAAAATCAGATTTTCCAATAATTGAATCAAAATATTGCCTGGGATGTAAATTTAAAATAAATTTCTAAAGTGTAGAGAAAAGAAAAAAGATGCAGAGATGGGAATAATCAGAGAAGAGTTAAGTGGCATTGATAATTGTTTGTTTTTTGTTTTGTTTTGTTTTCTTTTCTTTTGAGATGGAGTTTCGCTCTGTTGCCCAGGCTGGAGTGTAATGGTGCGGTCTTGGCTCACTGCAACCTCTGCCTCCCGGGTTCAAGCGATTCTCCTGCCTCAGCCTCCTGAGTAGCTGGGATTACAGTTGCACACCACTACACTTGGCTAATTTTTGTATTTTTATTAGAGACAGGGTTTCACCACGTTGGTCAGGCTGGTCTCAAACTCCTGACCTCGTAACCTGCTTGCCTTGGCCTCCTAAAGTGCTTGGATTACAGGTGTGAGCCACTGCGTCCGGCCCAGATTCTGTATTCTGTCTGTCATTTCAGTCATTTCATTCTGGTTAAGAATCATGTATGGGGAGCTAGTACAGTCATTTGGAGGTAAGAAAACACTTTATCCTTTAGAGTTGTCAGAGTTCTTGTGCTTGTTCTTTCTCATCGGTGTTGGCTGATGCTTCTTTAACTGTGGTGTAATTTTAGTATAGTTAGTTGTTGGTGTTTCTGGATGTTTTCAGAGAGCCAAGGCTTTGTGCAGGGTCTTTATTTGTGACTGAATTCTTGTCCTTGGTTTCACAGGGGGGCATATTAGCAAAGTATTGTTGGTATTGGAGTGAAGATAGCCTAGCCAATTCTCTGTAGGGCAGCTGTGATGTGCCAGAGGTGTAAGTAAAGCACTCAGGTCTTTGTTCTATCCCCAGCCTGGTGGCTGTGACAGATGGACTGTCAGTTGCCTCTGGGAACACTACCCAGAGAGACTCAGAGCTGCTGCTAATAGAAATGTTTAGCTGGGGGTTGGGAGTGGCTGCACTGTGGGTCTAAGCTTGGGCCCTACCTGGTGAAGAATGAGATCAGGGATCACAGGGAAGAGAGACTGGGCTCCTCTTTATAAGGCAGTTGTGGTGTCTGGAGGGTACTGCCACAGTGGCAATGGCAGAGAGCCTGTGGGCCATCTCTGGGATTCCCTCCCCAGACAAACACAGAGCCACATCAACTGAAGTGATCAGCTAGGGGTAGGGCAGCTGTCCTCAGGGCCCAGGTCAGGAGCCCCTGCCCAAGGAGGAGTAGCAGGGGAGGGACCCATGTGGAAAGCAGTCTGGCCACTTTTTTCTGTGTGGCAGCTGTGGTGTGCTGGAGGCGCATGTTAGTTGTTGGGCTCTTTGCTCCTTCCCCAGCTTGAAGATAATAGAGGCAGGAGCTGTGGCAGTGGCAAAAGCTGCAGGCCTATTGTTTACTTCTGGGAGTTCTATCCAAGAGAACTGCAGAGCTGTGAGCAGCCCGAATGCTCAGATGGGGATGGAGTGGCTGTGCTGGGGTCCCATGCCAGTGGGCTTTACCTGGTGATCTGTAATGGAAGCAAGGCCTGCAGTTCACCCACTCAGTACCATGGGTGTGGCCTCTATCCTGGGAGCACGGGAGAGAGCCTGTCCTCCCTTTTGGTGAAGCTATGCAGCTGGTGCCTGGGTGCTCCAGGGTCCAAGGCTCCATGTGGTCCTGAACAGCAGCTCTGCCCAGACTATACACAGCTCTCTATCATGTCAGTCTACAGGCCCTGGGGTGGGGTTGGGGGTGTTAAGGAGAATCTCCTGTGCCCAGGATTGCAAAGGTCTGTGTCAGAAATGTGGGTTCCTGGTGCTGTAGCCCACTCACCCTTTCCATGACGTGGGGCACTTCCCTTGGCTCTGCACCAATCCACAGTGGGCGGCTGTCCTGCCTCATCCCTCTCTCTTCTCCATGGGTCACGTTGCTTCTGTGATGAATCCCGACGTGCCCTCGTGGATGATATAGTTAAAAAGCTGGTGTTTACTCGCAGCTCTGTCTCCTCTCCATGAGAGCAGGACACACTAGTTGCTTATAGTCAGCCATCTTGGAACAAGATTAGTGCCTCCTAAGAGTGAAGAAGAATGGAAAATGTCCTCATCTAGAAGCATTCTTGTGGAATTTCCTTACAATAAAAGTGGAGCTACAATCCTAAATGTTTTCAGAAGGAAAGACCCATGTCCCTAAAGAGAAACATAAATTCAACATGTATCAGATTTCATCATTTCATCGGTAGAAATAAATGCTAGGGAAAGCATAGAACAGCCAGATTCTGAAAAAAAAATTTTCAGGTTGTGTGTCCCAAAACAAGCTATTTACCCTCTCTGTGTTTTAGGAGAGCTGTATCTATTTGCCCTTTGATTTTAGAGTGACAAAATTTTCCCTTACAGTAACAATGATTTAGTGGCAAGGATTTTATTTTCTACCCTAAGATCTATTCATACTATGATATTTTATTTTGAGATTAATAACATAATCTCTATATCACATTTTAGTTAGATTTTATAGTGTTTTAAAAGCATTTGAACAAAAATTGAATGTAACTCAAGAGAAAACAATTTCTAAAAAGAAGCAGAACCAATTATTCAGGAATGAAAAAAAAATTAAAGGTGACTAGGTCAACAACCAGCAAAATATAATGTAAAGGAATCTGAAAATTCCCCTTATTATGAGATAGTTTTCTAAAAAGTTACATTAAGTGTTATTTACAATTCTGTGTAATATTGAAGACTTAGTAAGAGCTCCTTAGAAAGGATTGAGCAGGAGACAAAGTGGGTTAGAGAGGGAATAGAGAAAGAAATTTTGGTGTTATGTAAAACTGTACATTTAAGCCAACATGTTTGAAAATTTCTCAGATACAGCAAGTCTGCCAAGCACATAGAATAAAAAAAAATGATCTATATGCTTCATTCGTTACATCTTGCTTTATTTGATACATCTTGCTTCTTAAAGAAATCACTGTCTGGTAAAAATGGAATGAAAAATTACTCTCCTCCTACCCTGGGTAAATTGGTCAGTAGTGGAAGTGGTCTAGTCTATTCAAATAATTTTCTGGCCAGGCGTGGTGGCTCACACCTATAATTCTATCACTTTGGGAGGCCAAGGCAGGTGGATGGCTTAAACCCAGGAGTTCAAGACTAGCTTGGGCAACCTGGAGAAACCCTGTCTCTATAAAAAATACAAAAATTAGCTAGGCATGGTGATGTGCACCTGTAGTCTACTTGAGAGGCTGAGGTGGGAGGATTTCTTGGGATCTCTTGAGTCCCGGAGGCGGAAGTTGCAGTGAGAGGAGAATATGCCACTGTTCTTTAGCTTGGTTAACAGAGACGCTTTATCAATAATAATAATAATAATAATGTAATAAAATAAATGATTTTCCTGATTTTATAACAGCTCATGGAAGTTTTGCATGAAAAAAGTTGAGAGTTTAACAGGCAGTCAACAATTATATTAACATAATAACAATCTTATGAGCAAAATTTATTTATTTTATGCTTTCAGAGTCACTTTAAGCACCAACAACAAATGGCTCATTTGCTCTTATAAAGCTTAATTGTTCCATACCTTGACATTATAAATATGATATAACAAGTAAACGTTAAATGGTGAGATAAAGAAGGTAGGGTCTGGTACAGAAGCATGCATTTACTAGTCTTGCATAAAGAAAAAGGTGTGACCTATGTCTGATACCTAAAGAAATATAAATTTAAATAAATTTATAGAATTACAATTAACCAATAGAATAACTAAAAATACATATCTAATTTTAAAAAATTGAAAGAATCATAAAGGAGGAAATTTTGGATGCTATGTGAGAGTTAAGGATTATATATGTAGGCTTGGAGATAGAAAATATTCTTTGAAAAAACTGGTGAATAAGAAGTGACAAACAGGATGTGTGTGGTGGCTCATGCTTGTAATTCCAGCACTTTGGGAGGCTGAGATGGGTGGATTGCCTGAAATCAGGAGTTCGAGAGCAGCCTGACCAGCATGGTGAAACCATGTCCTACTAAAAATACAAAAATTAGCTGGGTGTGGTTGCATGTGCCTGCAATCGTAGCTACTCAGGAGGCTGAGGCATAAGAATCACTTCAACCCAGGAGGCGGAGGTTGCAGTGAGCCTAGATTGCACCATTGCACTCCAGCCTGGTGTTTGGATCAAACTCCCTTTTACTTTGAGTACATAAGAAAAGGAACATGGGAAAGAACATAAGAAAAAGAACATCATCTATATCCCTAAACATACGCAGTAGAAAAAGTTTATGTTTAGGGATATAGATCATATAGTGACAGCATTAAATGCTGGATCTGTAGGCTCCGAACTTTTCATGTTTTCTTTACTGAACATGATTTTGTGAATGTTTGCAATTTGCATGTTCTCTAAATTGCTGGGTCCCCACCCATTGTTCCTCTTGCTCAGGTGAAAGGGCTATGCTTTATTTGGAATACAATATTGAGGGAAAAAGAAAGAGTGACTCTTACTGATCTTTGTCTACATTTTTACACTCACACTTGCATTTTTATACTATGTGCATTCAGTACTAATTTAAAATAAGCAGAAGAAAAAGAAAGAATGATGAGAAAAACTTTACACCACTTTCCAACATGCTATAATAATTAATGGTGGCAATGTTATCCAAAGCAGTAATTTACCAGAAGAAATGTTATTTTTGTATTTGTGTTTCTTTTTTAAGTTTATGCTCTCTTTTAATAATTAACTGACAATTTTTATGAACAAAATAACAATTCACTGATACCAAGGGGAATCGATTAATTATTTTGAAGGAATAATTCTTATTCCACTCTCATAGCAAGAGGTAAGAATATATGTGGCAAATTTCATTTTTCTCTTTGTGTTTGGAAGTAAAAAATTCCTACGCTCATGTAAAACAAATATACTGGTATAGAAATAAGGAAATTAAGTGGAAGTTCACTACTTCTCTGATAAAAGCATGATAATATCAAAACGAGGGTTTCTTTTTAATATTTAATGTTTATGATTATTTTTTAACCATTGTTTCTAAAGAAGACAGGTTGTAATAAACATGTAGTGCCTATTAATTATGAATATTGCTATTGATAAATTCTCCTGGTTAAATTGACCACATTTCATTTTCTGCTATAGTTTTTTTTTCCACTATGTTGAACTCATATTGATCTTATTTATCATGAATGATGTAGTTCATTTTTGGGAATAAAATGTATTTCTACAATGGACACACATATGAGTATGTACACACACCCTACCACAAAATGTTAGAATGAGAAGAGACGTAATATAATCTCTATTCTTTTCTGCTCCTTTAAAAACTAAGGCTCAAATAATATAAATTCCTAGAGGGAGGGCCCAGATTTCTGACTACTCTGTCTAATGTTCTCTCTACATTATTACAAAGTATATTTTATTCATACTATGTCTTCATATGTATCCACAATGGTGCTGTTATTTCTATGTGCATTTTTTTATACTTGAGTGCAAAAACACTTTTCTTATTGGCATACTTATACATAGTTATTTGTTTATAATCCTTTTTTTGTTTTTTTGAGACAGAGTCTTGCTCTGTCACCCAGGCTGGAGCACAGTGGCGTGATCTCGGATCATTGCAAGCTCTGCCTCCCGGTTTCACGCCATTCTCCTGCCTCAGCCTCCCGAGTAGCTGGGACTACACGTGCCCACCACCATGCCCGGCTAATTTTTTTGTATTTTGAGTAGAGATGGGTTTTCACTGTGTTAGCCAGGATGGTCTCGATCTCATGACCTCATGATCCGCCCACCTCGGGCTCCCAAAGTGCTGGAATTACAGGCGTGAGCCACTGTGCCCGGCCTATAATCCTTTTATATAATCCTACTATGGAAGAAAATTAAACTATTTTTCACTTTATGTTTCTCAGAAACCTTGTGTTTGTTTATTCTGACAATGAATAATCTTAAAATGTTACATTCAGTAAATAGCAAAAATTAATTTTAATAATATAGTATTTGTATTTATTTTTCTTAAATAAAAGTATATAATAAGTTAGTTTGTTAAAAATATACAATAATTCATATACTGGGGAAAATTGAAGCAAACTTATTAACCAAGAAATCTAAGTCAATTTTAGCTAGTATAAAACATGAAATTATACTTAGAATTGGGTTCATTGAACACAATGTTACTTCAGAAGAGGTTGTTTTCAGTGAATAGATGATTATTATAGAGTTCTGATATTGTTACTCTCAGATCATGAAGAATGTGTGAAAAAGAAGATATTTGTGGTGGAATCTCAGAATACAGATAAAATACATTTAAAAGTATTTGGTATTCCATCTTTTAATATTTTAAACATTTCACTATTACTATATGATGCTTTACATCATATAATAATAATTTAGAATGAAATTTGGAATAATTTGTCATAAAAATGACCAGAATTCAATGATCATATTTGAGTATTACAAAGTAAATAATGCTTTTTTTCACAAGCTCTTGAGTTAGGCTGTATTTTCAGAAGACCATGGTTGAAAGAAAGAGCAGTACCTTGGGAATTTGGAGACCTAGTGTCCTCCTGGTTTTCTTGTTATCTACTTCTATGATCTTAAACAAGTCATTGTGTCCAAGACAGCCAGTAGGTACATGCTTGTACACAGGAGACACATGTATTTGTTGGAAATATATTAGAATTGCCAAAAATGGATCAAATCACCTACATAACTTCCATGACAAAAGTCATTATTTTGTTTGTTCTGCATCAGGAAAAAATAGCATATTTGTCATCAGGAAAAATAAATAATCACAAAATGCCAGTATAATTAGTAGTCTTCCCAACCAGTCCACAGATTTTTCTTCCCCTCTCCCTGCCTCCATGCCCTCAATCACATGAAGCCTTTAGACTTAAGGCCACATCTAGGTATGTATTTCTAAAACATTGTAGCGCATTTAAAGATCTTCCAAGTCTCAAGAGACAGGCTATCATAATTTGTCTTTCAAATCTATTATACAAGTGTATATTTTACTGATTTTTCTTTACAAAAAGGTTAGAAACATATTCTTCCATGTAGTTTCTTGAATCTTTCTCTGATATACTCTCACTGGTTATGGTTTCCTTTAAAATCTTTATCAAAAGCATGGAAATGTCCTTTACAAAGAGATTGGATATAAATTTAGTAAATTAAGTATTGAAAAGCTGCAGCCCTCAGAGGATTTTAAAATAATCAGATATGTCACAAAAGTGAGAAATTAATGAATGAATGGTTAGAATAGATTTGACTGAAGCAATAACAGGTATATAAGTTCTGCAGGTCTTTCATTAGGCCTAGAATTCAGTATATTTCACACTAGAGACTCTCTGCTATAAATGTGTTTCAATGACATTAGTTTATGAGTGCAAAAAAAAATGGCTTGAATCACAAATGTTCAAAAAAGGGGATTTTTTTTGCCCATTAAAGACATTCAAATTGACAAGGAGTTATTCACATCTTTATTGGTTTGATGGCAATAAAACAGTGATGTTTATTACTCTTTAAGCCCAGTATGTCAGCATTATTTTCACTTGTCCTTTCACACTGAGATTATTGCCTTAAGAGGTGCATTAATTCTGTCAGGCTACTTCCACAGAAGTCAGCACAATATGCAATTATCTGCAAAAGGAAGAATGCTTCTTAGGGCCCTTCTATAAAAAAGCAACTTAAATGCTTAAAGAACATTTACATTACCACATCAGAAAGAATATTGCTTATCATGAATTTAGATATTCTGGGATATATGTCATTCCTTTTTTTTTAGGTGGAGTCTCACTGCAACCTCCACCTCCCAGGTTCAAGTGATTCTCATACCTCAGCCTCAGAAGTAGGTGGGATTACAGGTGCCCACCACCATGCCTGGCTAATTTTGGTATTTTTATAGAGACAGGGTTCAGCATATTGGCCAAGTTAGTCTCGAACTTCTGACCTGAAGTGATCCGCCCACATCGGCCTCCCAAAGTTCTGGAATTACAGGCATGAGCCACTGCACCCAAACTATAAGTCATTCTTGACTGTTTTTTTAATAAAGTCTAAAATTTAGATATTGTACTCTTGTGAGTTTTATATTGGTGATTTTGAGACATCTGTTGATTTTTTGGTCTACATTAGTTTAATATATATTGCATTTTTTCCCAAATGACAATCATGCCAACCTGCCAACTACAGATAGCATCTCAGTTTCAGCCTCTTCTTCAGGTAAAATACTTCCTTTTCCTTTGAGTTGCACTCCCAACTCTGAAAGATGTCAAAATGAATATTGATTGTGTCGTATAAAATGTATTTTAAATATGCCCATTCTTAAGAATTCACTACGAAATGGTGGGAATTTCTTCAGCTTTTTTTGCATGCCACGATAAATATTGGATATTGTAAAGAATCTGCTGCACAACTTCCTTAAGTTATGCACATTATATTCATTTACCCATTTAAACCTTAACTATAAACTCTGTATTAGTTCATTTTCACACTGCTATGATGAACTGCCCAAGACTGGGTACTTTATAAAGAAAGGAGGTTTAATTGACTCATAGTTCTGCATGGCTGGGGAAGCCTCAGGAAACTTGCAGTCACAGCGGAAAGGGAAGCAGACACCTTCTTCACAAGGTGGCAGGAGAGAGAGAGTGAGAGAGGAAGTGCCAAACTTTTAAAATCAACAGATCTTGTGAGAACTCCCTCACTATTGCGAGAACAGCATGGGAGAAACCACCCCCATGATCCAATCACCTCCCTTCCTCCACATGCGGGGAAAGCAGATTCCTCCCTTGACACATGGGGATTACAATTTTAGATGAAATTTGGGTGGGGACACGGAGCCAAACCATATCAAACCCTAAGGTGTTACTCTTCATACCTTGTATAGGAAGAATAAGTGACACAAAGAAGTTAAGCATTAAATATCTTACCTAAGTTTTTGCACCTAAAAAGTTGCATAAAAGGCATATGAATAAAGTTTTGTGCTTTTCCCACTATGCTTCATGGTGTTATGTTTGTTTATTTAATGAAAGTATATAACCAGAAATACTTCATCCATACACCGTAAGTTCTTTGATGGAGCAAGGACACAGTATATTTTATCCCCACACCAAATCAATCAAACAAACAAACAAAAAACCATTAGTGAATGTCATCTTACTCAGTGTATATGAGCAGTATGAACAGAACAGACTTGCAGCATGTTTTACTGACAGTGGTCATTGCTTGAAGGTGTTTTGTAACTTAAACTGTCACTTTCTAAGACTAAACAGAATTTTCCCACATATGGTCCAAATGAAATGCATAAGATTGGCTAGGTGCAGTGGCTCACGCCTGTAATCCCATCACTTTGGGAGGCTGAGGTGGGTGGATCAGGTCAGGAGATCGAGACCATCCTGGCTAACATGGTGAGACCCTGTCTCTACTAAAAATGTAAAAAATTAGCCAGGCATGGTGGTGGGTGCCTGTAGTCCCAGCTACTTGGGAGGCTGAGGCAGGAGAATGGCATGAACCTGGGAGGCGGAGCTTGCAGTGAGCTGAGATTGTGCCACTGCACTCCAGTCTGGGAGACAGAGCGAGACTCCATCTCAAAAAAACAAAAAACAAAAACAAACAAACAAAAAACACAAAATATTATGAACTAACATTCTCCATTTACATGTGACTATAGGATATCTCCAAATAGATATCTCACTAGTACCTCAAACTCAAAGAGTCCTATACTATTACTACATCTTGTTCCCTTTCAAATGTCCTGTTTCCTCTGTGTTATGTGCAGAGCTGGTACCTAACAGTATAGCCCACACCCAGTGCTCATTCTTGATCAGTATTCATATTATAGCAGTTATAGAATATTTTAATATTACCTTTAGTGGTTTTCCTATTAATGAAAGCACCACAACATTCTAAGGAACAAGTTTCAAAATTTAAATTTTATTTATGCATTTTCAAATGAGTTGATAATTATTCCAATATTCCTTGTAAGTAATTCAGGATTCTGATCTTTTCTTTTCACTTCCATTGTTTTCCCTCAAAACTCACTACCTGATACTTGATCTATGACAATAGACTTCTAATTAGTGTTCCCTTCTTTCTTCTTTTGTTCCATGTTCTATTTTGTGAAGCATGTTCTATACCTGAGAATTTTTTTCATGATTGTGTATGATTACTCAAATATACTATCTAATATTATTATCTTAGCCTTTATTTCTCTATAATCTAGTCCCTAGTTGTATTTTCAATATTATTTTTCCATGTTACTCTTTCATCTCACTACATTGATTAAACATCCCCTTTACTGTAAGCCTTCCTTGCCTATCAATGCTTTGTGTCTTTGCTCATGATGTTCCTCCACATATACTGTATTTTTTAAAATATGAATTTATTCAAATCCTACCTAACCTTGAACCAACAGCTCAAATGCCACTGGACTAGTGATATCCTTCTTTGTTCCCTCTACTCGTAGTAGTCTGACTATCTCTCTAAATTTCTATGGCCCCTGTATTTACATGTTTTGTGGCAATTATTCTCTTTGCAATTAGAGTGCCATTTTGGTTTTCCATCTACAGCATAGATAGAACAATGGAGAAGATCATCCATTAGAATTTTAAGCACAAGGTCCTTTTTAATTTAATTTTGTGTCACTTCCAATGCCCAACACATTGCCTGCCTCAGAGTAAGCATTAAAATAATATTGGAGAAGTTAATATCATCCTATAAACCAGTGAACAGCATAGTTATCATACTGAGTTATTTAAGCTCAAAATACATGGTCAGATTAAAACTCATAAAATAATATAAAGATTAACATGATGCACTATGGGTTTTCTAATCTAATCACCTTGTAGATGTTATGCTTTCAAATTGCTTTTTCCCATGTAATATCTCACTGCCAATTAGGATATATGTATTAATAACTTTCAATCTATCTATTGCATTTTTTCTTAGGACACACTGACTGTATTTACAACAGTTATCTCAAATTTACCAAATAATGAATCAAATTTATTCTTTTCCTTACCTACTGATATAAATATTCTCTGATAATTCCTGCTTGGTTTAATAGTGTCACCATATAATTAGTCTACCAAGTCAGACATCTAAGAATTATCTTTGTATTTTTCCTCTTCCTTATCTACCCTGTAACTAGTGAAATACCAAGTCCATAAACTCTTTCTTATTTAATATGTGCATTTTGCTTTCATAGTTAAAGTCTGTGCTACATACCAATTGGCTACAGGATAAATGTTAAGCACTTAAGGAGAATTCAAAGTCCTAACAGTCTGTTCCTAATCTCTTTCCAGCCTCATTTCTTGTCATCATCTCCTTTTTTAATCTTCTCTGAATCCTATTCACATTTAAATGCTAACTATAGCACAATCACATCTTGATGTTGCATACTTCTGTGGTGCACATCTCTTTTTTCCTAAATTGCTTTTCCATTTCTTTGTCACCCATCCCTGTGGCAATGCTTTTCATTCAACATTTCCATTTTTTTTCTCTGTAGATAAGTGACCTTACCATTTACTCTATGTTAATTTCTTAATATGATACTTGACACCTGATAGGTCTTCAGTAAATATTTTCAAACAATAAAATATTTTTCTGTACACTACTTACGAATTTTCGTGTGATCCACGACAATGCAAAATGTAACTTGTGTGGCTTTCCATTGCTTTTCTTAGGATCAAAAATACGTGATTTTAAATTATTCAGTAGAAGAATGCTACTCTTAAGCTTATGCATATGAATGCATTTTCATGTAGCAGAATTTCACATCTTCAGTCATTGAGTAAGCCAATAAGTGGCTACAAGTGCAATATTTAATTCTGGAAATTTCAAAATTAAATCAAGTTTTATCACATTTGATTGCATTAAGTTGTGCTAAAGCTGGCATGACAGTGTTATCTAATAATGAGCTGGCCTTAATTGTGTCAAAAATTATGATTTATTGTGAATAAATAAAAATACCAGTCTGTTTCTTTATAGCTTTTCATAACTGCAATAAATGCATGTTTTATAATTTCTGCATAACCTCATTTTAATTAATATTATCAATTATTTCAGCAGATAGTTACCCTGACCATTAACTAAAATTTTTCAATTATTGTTTTAATCTGGTTTGAAAAAATCATTTCAGATTTTTCAGCTATGTCAATAAGAAGTGTTACGTTTCTTTGTTGTTGTTTAAAAAACACAGATTTTTTTTTTTTGAAACTCATAAACATTGCGGGTCTTTCCAAAGAAAAAGAGTTTTTAAACATTTTAATCTTACGACAGACATTAGCCCAATATTTAATAAGACCCACATCATGACTCATTTTAAAATTCTGACCTGTAGGCCATCAACCTGTTTTCCCTGACAATAACAATATCTAGTTATTGGTTCTGTCTTTCATTTTGGACACAGTGTGTGTAGTATATATGGGGGAAGGGGAAATTCTTTTCCTGAGATCTACAGTTATGTGATAATTTCTTCACTGTGGGAATTTGACATCCATTATCTCAGATTTTTCTTTTCATAGGAAACAAACAAACAAAAGTATATTTTTGTTTTGTATCATGGTTTTCTGAATATATGGTGGAGGTGGAAAAGATGATTAGCTAGGAAGGATATTAGACTTCATGTAAATAAAATTGAGTCACCTATATATGGGATTAATACAGGAACATATCTTGGGTATTCAAGGAAATATATATTTCAAAGCCAACTAGCCAAAAATTTTATGATTTTTTTCTCAGTTGTGTTTGCCAATTGTTATTCTATTAATACATACCTCCCATGTCGACAGCATTAAATCTGCAGAAGTACAGAATTAACTAACAAGCTCTAAGAGATTGTGAAAGAAATAATGTTTATTGCCCTTCTTGTTTATTATAATATAAAATTACTAAACAAATGTCACTATGCACCACTCACTATATGCCACTCAATTAGGCATTTGCATACACATGCATACAGATATACAATGTATACTCAGAGTAATGCGGATAAATCAACCACATGAAATTACTAAAAGACAGATAATCAAGTTATTCTCCATTGAATAAGCATGATTTTTATTAATAAAGATTAGTGTACAACTCTCTCATTTCTAGGAATGACAAAATTACATTGTAACTGTATAATGAAAAGGTCCGTACATATGTATACTAAAACATGAGATTACCTCACAGATGATATTGCTTAATTAATTTTTATGAGTGCAAACTCATAAAAATACTCATAAAAACAACTCAGCCTCAGTCATTTATATGAAGTCCACTTTTTTCGCAGATCTCAGTATGCTGTAAAAGAAAAATAAAACAATATTTTGGGGAATTGCAATAGTCCAGACATGATCTAACAAAAGCCTAAGAAATCATGCATCTTAGAAAAGAGAAGAAAGAAAATATACAGAAAAAATAAGTGGCCAAGAAATTCATAATTTTCTAAATCTCAACCCAGATATTCCCTAAGGTTGGATTCAAAATAAAATAATTAAACCACTACAAGGAAGGCACTGATATGTTGCTCATAAACACAGACATTCTGATCACTCATTCCCTTAAACTCTTTGCAAACGTCTTTTTTCAAATAATAAACTATTCTTGATATGTTTATAGAGGCTAGAATTCTCATACAAAACGCTTTGACCTCTTATAAATATCTTATATATATATATATATATAAAACTCTTGTAAATGACAGATATATGGTAGATTTTATTTTCAACGTATCATCTAAACAATTATGATATTAATATAGCCATATTGCTAGGGGAAAGAAGCAACCCTATAGCTGATGGTTTCTAATCTTTCTGGAAGGTACCCTCATGGCTAACAGCTAACATGATCTCTTGGACTGCTCTCTGTCTGACACCTTCTCAATCACATAGCTTTCCTCTTATTTGGCACAGTTTTTTCCTCACTGGAACTTGAGGATAGAGTGGTTGAAGTAATGATAGTGAAGTATGTTAATACCCTGTAGGTATTTGAAGCCATACAAAACTGATTTTCCCATGGAAATACACACACACACACACACACACACACACACACACAGAAGCATATATATATATATATATATATATATATATATATATATTTATCCTCCTACCTAGGTATTGGTTACAGACTATCATATGACAATTCAGGAAAAGCTTTATACATTAGCATCTGCCTTTTTAGTAAGTCAAGCAATTTATAGGTTTTCTAATGTTTTACATTTCATTAGTTTATTGATTTTTCTTGCAAATTCTGATTATCAAATATTAATACATAAAGTATTTTAATAATTCCCTCTTATAATTACTCCAGTCGTATCCCTCTTTATTCAGATTATTCTGTCTAAATTTGGAGAAAGCAGCTATACTTTTTATTCTGCCAAGGAATCTAAAAATCTGAGACTCAAATGAAATTTTAGAGCTGAACCATCTGCTGAAATTTCAGCCCTGCTATTTCCCTGAATTGATTATTTAAAAATCTAAGTAGAAGGAAAGTGGTTGACAAGAGATGCCCAAACAGTACAAAATAGGGGAAACATATTTCACGTATAGGAACATAAATCACAATTTTGGTTGTAGATTTTAAAAAGGTAGTGTCAAATTTATTTTCATGGAGTAAGTTGCCACAATTTTGGAGATAGTTAAAGGGAACCATTACCTACAATAGCACTGAACACCAGACAACAGGCTTTTCCTGGCAAAAATCTCAACACATATCTCTAAGCACTCACATAGGCTATCATGCTCAATTCTCCATAGAATGATGAATTCTGATCTTGTAGATGAAGGAACCGTAGCTCCAAGTGAGAAGAGGATGTGTCCAGGTTCTCACAAGCGTTACATGGCAGAGCTGGAAATAAAACCTTGATTTTTTTAAAAATACAATCCATGACCTTCGAGTTTTTTTCCAAGATTTCTTTTCAAAAAAGGAAAAGCAAGAATATGGGGTATCATGAGAGCTTTGAAACTCTCCCCTGAATAAGCTGATTGATTATAACCCCACCTTATCGAGCATTTAAATGGTGTTGCAAAATTATATCTACAGTGAAGTGTCATTAATATGAAAATATCAGCAATAGCCTTAAATTACATATAAAGAACATAATATGAAAATGAGATCACTATTAATACTGTAATATGTATGTAACAGTCCCTAAATATTACAGTCCATCTCTTAAATGACTATGGTTATACATAGTATAATCTTAGAATGAGTGTATTCTCTTGTTTCAAGAATTAGTGAACTGCCTAGAAATTCTCCCCATACATGTATTTGAAATTGTTTCTGAAAATGTTTCTCATTTTCCCTACTTGCTTCTTTCCTGGTCTTTCTTTAGCTTCATGCTATGTGCATCTGAATGGTAGATTAAAGGCTTGGAAGCAATAGTTTTCCCTCAATACTATTCAAATTTCTTCCTACGTGTTTTTATGCTGATAACCCTGCCAAGAAACATCCTTGATAGATAACTTCCAAAATTAGATAGCAAATAACTAATTTAAACTTGACATTTGATTACTATTTTACTATAGATACATATTTGTCCACAAGTATACAAGAATAAGTTGAAAACATGGGACATTATTTCAAAAATAACATAAGGGAAAATGCACACTCAAGAGTAATACATGAAAGAGAAGCAACATACTCAGAATTTACAGGAATGTGATACCGTAATAGGCTTAAATTTCAGCCATATATAATTTCATAAAAGTTCTTTCATATGCTCGGTAAATTACCAAGTAGGCTGACTTCTAGTAAAGACCTGGACCTTCCTATGGTCAGCTCTTAGAGGTCGCTTTTTATTCACACACATGTTGCAAAATGCCCTTAGGTAGGAGATTTCCAATATGTACAATTTTATCCCTGTTTTATTTATACATAAGCATTAGAATAGGAACAATGAGATTTGATTCCCAGATAAAAGATTTATTCTCTGAAATGCTATCTGTTTGTTCACTCACTGTTCTTGTGTCACTCCTTTGTCCTTTGTGAACAGCTACAGCAACTGCAAAATGAATGTCCAGTGCCAATTTGCGAAACCATTTCTTTACAAATTACTATATCTTGTTTGGAAAGCTGAGAGCACCAGTATATTACATCTGATCTTTTAAAAAGTAGCAAAGATAAATGGGAAAGAAAGAAGTAAAATCAAGCAAATACAAAAAAAAAGGAGAAAGATTTTTCACTTAAAAAAATCCAGTGTCTTAAAATGGAAACTTTATTCATTATTTTATGCTACTGGAGTGCCGTCTGTCTTTTAATGTTATTACGTGCATTTAATTGGACCCTAGGGATTTACGACTTATGTTCCCACTTACGTTCCTTAATAAAGAAAGGACAGAACCTTGTTTTTATTTTAAAGTGGATTTTTTAAAATTTTAAAGCAGCTTTGCTTTCTCTATTATTTCAAATATTAGATTGTTTTAAAACTAGTTGAATAAAGCAGTAATTATTAGTGCAAAGATAATATATTTTTCTCAGTAGAGATAAGACAGCTCATATCTTAATGTTTTCCAGGAATGTAAATCAAGGCTTAATAATATTTTCAATAATCAGTTTGAGGATAATCCACTACAGTAGTCAATGTGTGATGCTACTAATTAGCACTGAATAATTAATGCCGATGTACCATCATTTCCAGAGGGCTCTCTATTGTTTCATACACTTCAAGAAAATGCCTGTCATATAGACCTTTTATTACGCTTCCATCAGAAAAATAATGGTGCTATGACTTTTACATTACAGAAACAGTATTGTGTAATGGGACACATAATGGCTTGAAAATCAAAGTGTCATATTTCAAGTCTGGCTCACTGATCAGCTCCATGTTCTTAGGTTAGATGATGTAATCTCCATTTCTCATCTGCAAAAGGTAGGTATTTTAGATCCAGTATCTCCCAGTCTGTGTCCACTTAATAACTAATCTAAAACATTTGTATTATCTATGTCCTAGTTCTGTTGCAGCATGTTCCCTTGCAGGAGTCAGGCTGATCTGGAATTCAATTCTGACATTTTCCTTAGTAATTCTTATGCATCTTAAAATATGAAGAACCCAGACTACATTAGTTTGAAGGTTCCTTTAAGCTCTGGCATTCTATGATTTTAAATTTCAATAAAATAATTACATATGCAAAGTGTCAAATAACAAATCTGCTCTTAGGTGAAGAGAGACTTTATTAGAAAGAATTATTGTCATAAGGACAAAGGGTGAATTTTAACGGATAGAAAGAGACTATTGCAATAGATCTACGAACACCTTAAAGGTTAGGCAAAAAGGGGCTTTTATTATTTAGGAAGGGGTAAACAAAGGTAGAAGGAATGGAGTGTGGGAGGGTGAGAAGAGACAGTGACATGATTGGATAGTTGATCAGGAATGTCTTTCCTTCAGGTCAGCAGATTCTCAGGAGAGACCCAGGAGGGGTATGCTGTCTCAGGCTGAGGGTGGGTCAAAATTCAAGAGTTCAAGGGAGGGAAGAAGTCTAACTTAGTCAATCCTTTAACAAGCTGATATGGTTAGGCTTTGTGTCCCCACCGAAATCTCATCTTGAATTATAATTCCCGTAATCCCCATGTGTTGAGGGAAGGACCCACTGGGAGGTGATTGGATCATGTGGGTAGTTTCCCCCAAGCTGTTCTCTTATTAGTGAGTGAGTTTGTGTGAGATCTGATGATTTTATAAATGGTAGTATTTCCTGCACTCTCACACGTGCTCTCACCTGCTGCCATGTAAGGTTTATTTACCTCCCGGTCTGCCATGATTGTAAGTTTACTGAGGCCTCCCCAGCCATGCAGAACTGTGAGTTGATTAAACTCCTTTTTCATTATAAAATACTCAGTCTTAAACAGTTCTTTATAGCAGTGTGAAAACAAGTTAATACACAAGCCTTTTTTCTCTTTGGTAAGTGGGGACAAGCAGTTCAGGTAATCTTTATGAAGCAAAGAACGGGAAATTTGAATGGCCTGTGTCTGGCTTTGTCATAAGTAAACAAGGAGGCCATTTATGAATCTTATGTCAGTCATATGGAGAAAAGGGAAAGGTTCCCTGCACTAAGCTACTTCTAGAACACAAAAGTTTGGGGGTTGGGGGGAGCAGTACTTAATATTACTGTTTGCCAGGACCCAAGTAAAATTCAACATTGTCAGAAACAACTTCTGTATTAGGTGAAAAAATTAATCCTTTAAAACTATTATAGAAAAGAATCACTCAGTTTCAAAACTCCACAAGAGAAGGCATTGTTAAATTTAGGATGCACATCTCTAGCAAAAATAGTGAAGTTTTGCAAAGGCAGAACACAGACCTCAGTTTAGTATGGGACTTTATTCTCTCAGGGTGCTAGTTTGTGAAATCACCAGCTACATTTTTATTTCACAATGGTGAACCACTTCCTCATGACCATGGATAACATGCTTGGCCTTTTTTGGATAGAAATTGTGTGTGTGTGTGTGTGTGTGTGTGTGTGTATGTGTGTGTGTGTGTGTATCCCTGATAACATGCTTGGCCTTTTTTGGATAGAAATTGTGTGTGTGTGTGTGTGTGTGTGTGTGTGTGTATGTGTGTATTCCTGTCAGCTTACTGTCCCCAGCACAAAAGAGCTCTGCAAATTTAGGACGAAGGCAGCAAATCTGGGGCACCCTGCCCCCAGACTACTCCAAGTAGAGGCTGAGCTACCATTCATAGCAATGAAAAGCATTAAACATTTAAACAGCTTCTTGTTATCAAAATTGCTTATCTTGTCCCTTTTAATAATCAGTCCTTTGATTTTCCTGCCAAGTGTATCATCCCACTTAGCAGGAAAAATGTTATTTATTTCTTCTGGTTACTATAGCCTGCTTTTCCTACCCCACCCAACACACATACACACACTCACTTACACATATGTACACACAAAAGCGATTTTGGTGATGAATTACTCAAACAGAAAGATATAGAGCAGTTTGAGGAGAGAGTCAATGTGCTGCTCTCTTATAGAGCAGATTATTGTTTATAGGCATGGCTTGACAATTCATGTAGTACATGTTTTGTCTATGAAAAAGATTTATTTGTTACAGTGGGTAAATAATTTCTTCAGAGATGCATCTGTGTTGTTGCCTACAGAGTATTTAGAGAGTCTGTATTTAGACTCTCTAAAAGATATTTTTTTTTCTTAAGGAATGCGTGAGACAATAGGAAATTATTCTCAGCCTTGAAGCTTACTAGTTGATTATTCAATGCTCATTTTTATAAAAAGAGTGGGATGATGTGGAGGATCCGTTCTTACTGAAAATGAAGTGTAATTTTTTAATACTCTTTAAAATTTACTGGCATTAAAAAAAATCATGTAACTCCTGGCCTTGACTTAGTTTGGGGTAAGTATTGAGTGATTCTTTCTAGAAAGGAACCTCTTGAATACATTGTTTACAAACAGGTTTTATAATTTACCATCATTAAAATATATTAGCAATATATTTTAGTATTATTAATTATTTAATATTAATTTAAAAATAGTAATAATGATAGCTAAAGAGGTCATTCTGTTGACCAGCACTTGACAGTGTTTCATTTACTTCTTACAAAACCCTGGTTATAAACATATTATTATACCTATTTTTCAGATAAAGAAAATGAAGTTAGAATGGCAGTATGATGTATTTGTCAGAGGCATTAGAACCACAGCTATTCCATCTTGAATAGGGGCTTGGGAAAATGAGGCTGAGACCTACCGGGCTGCATTCCCAGGTGGTTAGGCCTTCTTAGTCAGGGGATGAGATAGGAGGTTGGCACAAAATACGGGTTACAAAGATATTGCTGATGAAACAGTTTGTGGTAAAAAAGCCGGACAAATCCCACCAAAACGAAGATGGTTAGGAAAATGCCTTCTGGCCATCATCACTACTGATTATATGCTAATTATATTGCATTAGCATGCAAAAAGACACTCCTACCAGTGCCATGACAGTTTACAAATGCCATAGCATGTCGAGAAGTTACCCTATATGGTCTAAAAGGGGGAGGAACCCTCAGTTATAGGAAGTGCCCCTTGTTAGTGTGTAATAATCCACCCCTTGTTTAGCAAGTAATCAAGAAATAACCATAAAAATAGCCAACCAGCAGCCCTTTGGTCTACTCTGCCTATGGAGTAGCCATTCTTTATTTTTTTACTTTCTTAATAAACTTGCTTTCACTTTACTCTATGGATTCACCTCAAATTCTTTCTTTTGTGAGATACAAGAACCTGCTCTTGGGGTCTAGATCAGAACCCCTTTCTGGTAATATAATCGGAGGCATATACTCTAGAGTTTCACTGTCTGGATTAGAATCTGAGTTCTAATAACAAGTTTTGTGACAACTTTTAAATTAATAAAAATATTAGGAATAGGTTGGGAGCAGTGGCTCGCGCCTGTAATCCCAGCTTTGGAGGCCGAGGAGGGCGTATCACCTGAGATCAGAAGTTCCAGATCAACCTGACGAACATGGTGAAAACCTGTCTCTATTAAAAATACAAAAATTAGCTGAGCATGGTGGTGCACACCTGCAGTCCAAGCTACACAGAAGGCTGAGGCAGGAGAATCGCTTGAACCCTTGAACCCGGGAGGTGGAGGTTGCAGTGAGTTGAGATTGTGTCACTGCACTCCAGCCTGGACAACAGAGTGAGACTTCGTCTCAAAAGAAAAAAAAAAAAAAAGGAATAATAAACCATACGTAGGACACATCTGACAGAATTGCTTTGAGCCCCTAAATAAGATTTTACATCTAAAACATTATCAAATCAAAAACTACATCTGACAAAGTTGAACAGGCAAGTAAGATATTATTTAGGGCTATTGCAATAGGGGAATGTGGAGACCACATCCCTTGGCTCCCTGGAAATTCACTGAAAATCACTGACATGAGCAGATTGATTAATAGAAGAAAAGGCATACAAATTTATTTAACGTGTATACATAGGAGCCTTCAGAATGAAGACTCAAAGATATACAGGAAATTGTCCATTTTTGTGCCTAGGTTTAACAAAGTATAGACAGCTGTGTAGAAATATGATAGGACAAACAGGGTATGATCTAATGTTAATAGACTGAGTGGGAAAATTCAGCAATCCCTGCCTGTCTAGATTCTTCTGTGCCTTTCTGAGCATGCATTCTTCTCCTTTTGGGTTTGGGGCAATTGAAATGGGGATCTTACGGCCTACAGTCAAACAAGATAAGTCAGATAATTTCTTTATGGCCAGCTTTTACACAGAAAGGTGGAGAAAAAATTAGAGTAATATTTTTAGATTTTATGGCTGGCATTGGGAAAAGGGGCTTCTGGTTTCTATGACCCACTGTAGGAAGAGGGATTCTAGTTTCTATGACCAGCCTTGGGAGAAAATAGGACTGAGTGATAGGAGGGCAGGAGAAGGTCAGTAAAAAGCTTTTACTTCTGAGGCTGCTTCTGCGGCTTTTATTCTGAGGTATTGTTGTCTGTGTCCCATCAGAATAGAGACTGGAATGCAGTCTGAACTTTAACTTCATTGAAACAAACCTTGGGAGAATTTTTAAGAACTAGGATGAGAGGGAGAATTAGGCCATCTGTGTTTGCCAATTAGTTTTACCCAGAAGGAAGTTAAACTTTCTTCTCTCATCATAAGAGTATGTAATTTTACAACTTGGAGCAAGAAGTCCATCTAAGTCGGTCTCCAACCTGGGAGATAGGAATGCCATCTTCTTTGATGTTTGTATTTCAAAGGGATGGCTCCCAGGTCCTTAAGAAAAACAGTCCTGGGTTGGAAAACTGGCAGGAGAACTTTTTTAAAAATTGGTATTTCAAAGGAATAGAAAAAAAGTACAATTACAAGTTTTTCTTAAGTAAATTATCTAAGAAAAGAAAAGTCAGGGATCTAGAGTTAGGAAGAAGCTTGTCAAGTTTAGTCAAACTGAGAGAAACTTCAAGGCCCTCTTGGTCAAGGCTTAGAAGGCCATTTGACCCTTATGAGGATATCCTTATTATTAGGCTGTTATAAGAGGAGGCAGATAATTTTCCCATCATCACTTATTTGGATATCTTTGGTAAGGATTGTAAACCAATGTCTGCTTGATTTTAATATCTATGGTCTTAGCCCCTGTGCTAACCTACATTTCCAAATTAGGAGATCGCTGTTTTACACATCTTCCCTAAGGCATCTAGACCAGTGATTTGCACCTAGTAAGTGCTTCCTTTTTTAAAAAGTAATTTTTACACTATAATATGGGCTGCCTCTACAGAAGTGAAAAATATAGGGTGTCAATTGACCCTATGTTTTTGAAACATTTCCAAAAAGAGTTCTATAAACAGCAGCTGTTTTGAGCAGGGTATTCCAAAAAGCTTTCCTTAATATTCCCTTCCTCTTCTATGAAATAATCTCAAGGCAATAATCGTATTTCACACTTAATATTATTTCTAAAACCAGGGAAATATTAGTCAATAAAAATCAGGCCTTCAAGAAGATATTAAGATTAGGCATGCAAATAAAGCACTTAATTAACACAGTCCTTGTTTCTGTTTCTTTTGAAACCAATGGTGAGATGAAATTTTTAATTTCTATAGTGTTTAAAATTCTGGAGTTATGTAAAATGCAGAAAAACTTGATGGAAGCCTCACTGCTGGACTGGCACCTTAGGGCAAGCTGAAGATAAGTGGATTTTTAAAACGTGAAATGTAGCATGTATTTTTAAAAAATCTCACTTCATACATGTACAATGTAATGAATAGTTACAAAGTTGAACACTCCTGAAATCACACCTGAGGGAAGCCAGGCTGACAGTCTCAAGGGGTTTCACCTTGTTTTTCACCTCTGAGGAGATTGAAAGGTTCATAAGAGAACTCAAACTCTGGTCATAATCTGAATGAACATTTCTGTCTGTCTTTTTCTAAAGCTTTCCTCCTCATTACTTCAACTACTCTGTCTAGGAAAACTGAAATTTAAATTTTCTTCCACTGGTTATTTCTGTATTCATAAAGCTTCAGAACTATCCTTGACGGTTCTGTTACAATCAATGTTCTTTTCCCTCTATCAGCAGAATCAAGTTGTTATTTGGAAATTAATTTACATCATCTTTTTTTCAACTATTCACTAGATCATTTTGTCACCCACATTTCACAGTGTGACATCTTGTCAAAACCATTTTGCTGCAAGCCTTTTGAAACCAATTTCACAAGTCAAATGACTGGTCTATATACCAAGAGTAAATATCTTTGTAGTCAGCTAAAATGTTTCTGTCGTCATTTTTAATGTGGTTGTCCTGTAAGAGCAAAACACTCAATTTTGACAGACTCACATACCCAGATACAGGTATAAGACAGGTTTAAATGAATGTAGCTTTAAATAAAAATTAGAATTGATTGCATATTTAGATGAAGCTAATTTAATAAAGCAATAAATATAACTCCATATGATACAAATCATACCTCCGTAATTGTTTGCTGTTGTCATGTCTGACACTTGATAAATTAGGAGGAAGGCTGCCTACTAGAATGTTAGAGAAGATCAGCGAATTGTCATCTTAGACATAGTGCAAAGATGGTAGTCTCTCCATTGCCACCAATCAGAAGGAAAATTCATTTCCCTTCCATCAGTCTTCCTGTATAAAATTATGTGAATATTATTTTTTAAATAGTCAAATTTCTCAGATTAAAGGACAGCTGTTTACTTTCCCAAAAAATTTAAATAAATATTCTGCTTTTAAAATATATTCTTGGAAACGTAAAACATTGACAAATGAAAAACAGTCATTGAGTACTTAACCTAGATAGAGCAAAAATGTAAATGGAATGTCTTAAGAACACTTTCAGCAAATGAGCTCAATTGAGGCTATTTGCTTCTCTCCATGTAAAAGGAAAAGGCATTTTAAGTAGTTCACTTGAAGTTTTATTCTTGGACAGAAACACAACTTTATTGTACATTTAGGAAGGGATTTAAAGTTTTACTATATTTTTGGGTAGTACTTTACTATTTTCAAAATGCTCAAAGATTATAATCAATGTATAGAGAACGAGTAACAGTGAATATTATGTGGGACAAAATGAGAAGATTATCTTTCCAGAATTGTGACAGGTAAAAATTAGTGTAATATAGTAAGGTTGGTTTTCTACAGAAATAATCCTCAATTACAGATGATTTGTTAAGGAGCTGTCTTTGAAAATAAGATACTTTTATAATCTCATTGAATGACTTAAAGTGGTATACAATAGCTCAATAAGGAACTAGACTGCAAGAGCGTTATTACAAGATTCACTATGACATACTAATTTAAAGTGTTTACTGTCAAACCAACAATGTACAAGTCTGTATGGGATCAAGAAAATAAAAAGAAATATAGAGAAGAATAGTTTGTGTAACAAGTGATGCCTGCAGCAGAGTAGCAATATCATTGAGTCATATTCTTTGTGTCCTTAGTTTGATCAAGCAGTGTCAGATTGCTCTTCACAACACCTGTACCAGTCTACACTCTCACCAACAGTGCATTCGAATTCTCACATCCCCACATTCCTGACATTTCTCCCAATAATCTAACATTTCAATTGTTATCACATTGAGATTTTTTTTTTGTTTTGCTTTTGTCTAATTGGCAGTAAGATTGAACAATTAGTTATAATAACTTCTTTCCTTTATTGTAAATTGTCAGTTAAATGCTATTTCTATGTTTTTAAATAGGGATTTCTGGTTTTCCTTTTACTTTTTTTTTCTTGATTTATAAGACTTCTGTTTTTTACTAAATATTATCCACATCTCAAATTTATATGGCTTCTCTGACACTGTCAAGTGTCACAAACATTGTTCATTATATCCAGTATTTTAAGTTATCGTACATAAAGGAATCTGTCTCTGATCTCTCTTTGTCATTGATCAAATTCATTGTATGAACTTGGACAATATCACACTATTTTGTTACTGTGAATTGGAGTATCTTTTTATTTGGTAGGACAAAGCTCACTTCTTTTCTCTTCATTGTTATGTTTGACTTAATTTTCATGGAAAACTTCATGTAAATTTTAAAATAAGTTCATATTTCTTAAAAAGTATTTATACAGAAATAGGGAGATTTTACAATTTCTGTTTTTCTAAGGACATGAAATGTTATTTGAATAAATTTGAGTCTTATTTTAGTCTGAAAATCTCTGTCTTCAAATTGGAGTATTTAGATCATTTACATTTAATATATATTTATATATATTTAATGTTGGTATTTAAGTCTACCATTGTACTGTTTGTTTTCTGTTTGTTTTTGTTTCTTATTCTTCTATTTCTCTGTTCTTGTCTTTCTGTAGATTATTTGCGAGTTTATTTTTATGATTCTATATTGACTTCTTTACAGTAGTATGTGAATACCACTTTGTATGGGTTTTTCTATGGTTGCTATTAATATTAAAACATGTACATAACAACTTATCACAGTCTACTGGCATACATATTTTACAATTTTAATCAAAGTATAAACAACATTTGACTTCCATTTAGGTCCTTTTTTCCTCTCCATATTTTCCGTGTGATTTCCATAAACACATCAAATTCTGTAGTATTTTTTTCTTCTAATCATCAAATATTATTTAAAAATCTTATGGGTGAGGATAGTCTATTTTATTTTATATTTTCCTTAATTTTATCTATTTATTGTTATTTTTTTCTCTGTCCTTGCCTTCCTCTAATTTTTTTTCCTAATTGGGAAAAATTTAGGCATTTTATGAGGGCAAATATGCCCATGACAAATTATCTTAATTTTCATTTGCTTGAGAATGTTTTATTTCTCCTTCACTTTTTAAAGGATATTTTCACTGGATATAGAATGGAGAATTGACATTTATTATCTTTCAGAACTTTTAAATAGTAATGGCCGTTATTTCTGGTCTCCATAGTTTTAGATTTACAAATATATTCTGTTATTCAATTTGTTTTTCTCCTGTAAATAACCAACTATCTTTTTGACATGCTATCATTTCCAATGTGTGACAGAAAACTTTAGCTTACCCTAGCATCTTTTACTTAACCTATAACCCAATTTATAAAAGTAGACTCCACAAAGTTCTTCACCCTTATCAGAGTACTTTTCTTCAAAATACTTTTATTTGAAGGAGGACAAATTCAGAAGTGTAACTTGTATACTTGAGCACTTTTCTTGTACATGGCCCTCAGGGACACTTGTTTAGAGGGTGCCAGTCTCTGTGTATGACATCTGACCAACCAGCAGCAGCCACGTGCACCAGCCTTGAAACCATCTGTGTGTCTTGGCCTCACCTCTAGAGAGCTGATCCCTTATACCCTGCTCTATCTTTGCACTCGTTCAGTTAGTTTTGTAAGCCACGTATACTGGTGGATTTCTTTTCAGTTCTGAAAAAGCCTGCTCTGGAACAAAGAATCTGGACCTTGACTGTTTTTAAAACAAAAGTATTAGCTTATTGATTAAGGTCTATTCTTTGAACTGGCTGGGCCTCAGCCTCTAAAGCCGAAAGTATCTTCATTCCCTGACCTATGTGTATCTTCTTTCCAAGGTTAGATTTATAATCTTTTTTTTAGTAACTTCTACCTTTTTTTGCATTTCAATGATGCATATATATACATATATATATATATATATATATATATATAGTAAAACAAAATATATATATACACACACACACGGATATTGTTTTAAGCCATTAATTTTGGGGTTGTTTGTTTTACTATATATATAGTAACATATATATATGTATGTTTTACTGTATACATATATATACAGTAGATTATATATATACAGTAAAACAACAAATATATATATAGAGAGTAAAACAAACTACCCCAAAATTAATGACTTAAAACAATATCCATGTATATATCTCACAATTCTATCAGTTGCAAATTTGGATAGGACTCAGATAAGAGTTTTTCTGCTCTCTTCTGGGCATATAAAATCAAATGATGGTATGGCTGCCTGGCTAATATGTTGAATGGTTTATCTCTGCCCCATGTGGTTTCTCATTATCTAGCCAACTAGTCCACAACTTTCCACATGTCAGTATCATGGTCTCAAGATCAAGAACAGAAACATACAAAACCTCCTGAGGTCTTGGGCAGGACTGGCACATCATTTCCGCCACATTCTGTAGGCCAAAATGAATCAATAGAATGATACAATCCAATGAAGTAGGGAGATAGGCTCCATTTCTTGATGAGATTTATAGTCATATTATAGACACACGTACTGGCAGGGGATAAATTCTGGCCAACTTTGCAATCCAGCACATAGATTACTTTTGCATATTTTTGTTCCTTCATTTTAACTTCTATTTATTTTATTTTAAATATAATTTTTATAATCTTTTTTCAAATTATTCTATTTACATTTTTGTATTATTTTATTATTAATTATATTTTATTCTTTTCCAGTGATGATTATTTTGTAGCATAATTGGTGGATTTCATTGTCAGATCAGTAGAAATAGTGTGTGTGCGTCCATGTGTGGGTAGTAGTGAGGAAAGAACTCTTATTTCCCCTGCAAGTTTTGCTAAAGAGTGAGGACTTTTGTATTTTCTTTTTTCTAATTGTCTGTAGAATTCTATTAGTTCAAGGATGTTTTTGGAAGACCCCCACATAACACAAGTGCTGACAAATTTTACTCTAGTCTATACCCACACAGTAAAACTTTTTTTCTTCTCAAAATATTAAGCAGAGATAATTATTTCTGTTCTATCTCTGTGCCAATAGTAAACTTTTTCCTAATCCGCATTCACTACTATGAAGACTTTTAGACTCAGCTGGTTAGGCCTCTAAGCTTCAGCTTCCCAGTTTGGGCATGGGATGATAAAATACTGGCCTGAAATTTCTTTGTATTGTTTATATCCCTAGTGTTTGGCGTATTTTCATATTATAAGCTTGTAGATTTATGTCTCTTTCCTGAAACCACTGGCATAATTTTTTTTCCTTTATATTTAAATTTTTAATTGTTGCATTTATACCATATGTAAAACAATCTATATGTTCAGAGCAAATGGCTATTCTATATTAGTTCTGTCTAAAACTATTCCTAAACTGTTAAGACATTTTTCTCCTTTTGTCTGAACTTATCAGGACTATAGTACACACTGTGATCAGTAGTAGCAGCCCAGTATGAAAATTTACCTTAGTGTTTTTGTAAACCATACATGGCTATCTTAAACATTAGGTCGTGCTTCCATTTTATTTGAATCATGAGGTTTTTATTAACAAATATTTGTTTTAAGGAAACATATTATCTCCTGTTATACGCGGCTTTCAAAGTCACTGCAACATCACAACTCAGGCGTGCTGTACCTAGCTAATGTCACTGCTAAAGCTCTGAGTTTTTCTATTGTCATGCTCCTTATATCCTGTCTCAATATGATACATGGTTTTACTAACCAGTAGAACTCTCATGTTTATGTGAGCACCTTGCATAGTTTGGTAGTTTTCAGAAAAAGTCATTGATCCTTTCCTCAGCACACTGTAATTTTAGGGCCAGGAATGTCTATTTCAATTATACCTAATATATTCTTTTCATAGTAGAGTAGAAAACTATTACCCAAACTGAATTCCAATGAATATAATTTCCTAGGAGTGACTGAGTGAAAAAAAATAAACTAAACTAAAATGATGCAGGTTATCAAACACACACTGTCCCATTTGGGAGTATTTACAATGCATATTCTTCTAATGCCCCTGAAAATCCTATCAGAAAAAAAACTTGGTTTCATCTTCTTAATACTTTATTTTATAAGTTAGTTTTTCCAGAAAAAAAGAAAAAAAATCTTTTGTTTTTCTCCCTGAAACATCTTTTCATACCCAAGAGAAAGAATGATCTTGTAATTTAAGGGAGGCATTTTGTTCAATGTTTGAGTGTGTTTTCAACAAAACTTTAAGTTACACGCAAGCTATTTGTATCTTAAGTTTTGTAGATTCACGACTATAGAGGAACTCAAATTTATGATGGAATCTTTATCTTTTCTGAGTAAACTTTTCTTGATACTTTCTCCTCCATATGTCTGTGGAGATAACTACTTATATGTTGTTGGTCTGTACTACCTAAATGAGAATAAAACATCTATCACTACATCTTTGTCTATTAGTATATCCATATCCACCTATATACATGTTTATCTTATGGATTCTTTTTATTTTTCCTTTGCAATAAATTATACCATTGTATTGACTTAAAAAGCTTTCAAATGCTGGGTATAGTGATGCACCTGTAGTTCCAGCAACTTGGTAGGCTAAGACAGGAGGATCACTTGAGGCCAGGAGTTTGAGGCTGTAGTCCACTATGGTCATGCTTGTGAACAGACATTGCACCTCCAGCCTGAGCTATATAGTGAGTAAAAAAAAAAAAAAAAAGGTCTGAGAGAATTTAGATTCTGAGATCCAGCATCATCTTATTTTGCTCGTCCTTCAATGACTAGCTTAAATTCAGCTTACTCCGTAATCACTCCAAAGTTGTTCTGTCTTGAACCATCTTTATTAACATAATGGTGGTTTTATAAGGGTATTCTTCCTGCTTCCTAGTCTTTTTTATGTATCTTGAAAAGTCCAACTCTATATGTCTTATTAAATTTTTATCCTATCTTGGATTAATTAGTCACCCCAACTCCAGTGAATTCTCACAAATATTCCGGTGCTTTATTTTTGCCAAATTTTTATTGTTTGTGATAATAAATATAGGAAAAATATAATACCATTATAAAGATAAAAGTGATTAAAAATACCTATGTCACTTTGCCAAGAAAAATTAATTGTATTCCAAACATTAAAATAATCATTTTTAAATAAAATGCTTATATAACTGACAAATTTCTGTGTCCTTTCCACTATCGTTAGAAACATGGCACAAAACAATAACAGAAAAGGGAAGAACACATCGTCGTAAGAATAGATTGGGTTGGATGAGGCCTGTTCTGCTTCCTGCATGGCTCTAGAAGAGAGGAGGTCACTTAATGATTATTCTGTCAGATATTTTGCATTGCTATTTTGCTCGTCTTGCAAGAGAAGGGGATGGGGAGATTTTGTATCCCTTACACATATGCTGAGTCTGCATCAGGGAACTAAATTATCATTCCAAACTAGTCAAAAAAAAAAAAATAACTGAAGGAGAAAAATCTAAAACAATAGGAAGGGTTAATTCATGACATGTTCCTGAACTTTTACTAAACTGTTCCATGTTCTACTCACTGGGCTCAGTATTATTGATACAAATGGAGAAACAGAGTTTGTGATTCTCTCTGGTCTTCTATATATTATCTAAAATTATACTCTTATGCTGAATTATCTTTGATTTTCTTCAACCAATACACTATGCTACATCTCTCTTGTATCTGAATCTTTTCAACCTTCTAGGATTAACTCCTCACACCATCCAGGAAGTAAGTGTTTTATGATTTTTACACATTGGCCATGACTTAGTCTTTTTATGTTTCAGAAGCACCCTAATATAACACCAGCTGGAAATCTTTACATGTTTACCTATTTTTCAACCACTCACGCGGAATTCTAATCTCCCAGTATCTACCCTATACCCTTGAAGCAGAATTGGCAATATTTCTTAAGGTACCATGTGGAGAAATGTAATCCTAAAGTGAACATGAAAAATGATGCATGCACTACAAATTTAAATGCTGCACTTCATGAGTTCAGTTTGAAGGAAAAAAATATATATTGTTGCATAAACTCTGAATCTTTTTGGAAGAAGAAAAGATATTGTACAGAAATTAATAAGTTATTTCAAAGAGCATAAAAGGCAGTGAATTTATTGGCACTTATGATTAAATGTGATATAAAAATGGACTATGTTAGGGAATTGTACTTTAATTTTATTGTGAATTTAGGTGTTGCATTTTAGCATACATAATTTCAAGTAATTCATAATACACAATTTGTTTTTGCTATAAGATTCTGAAAAGAGAAGAAGCAGTACTGCATATACTCATCAAAAAAGTACTGAATTTATTTATTCACTCATGAATTTATCTAGTATTTGCTAAGCCTCTCCTGTCTCTCTCAGGAACTCTGCAAGGTTACTGTGATTACAGAATGCTATAAATGGGCTTAGTTGCTCTGTACCTGCTTTTAAAGGGGCTTTCATGAAATTGTTATTTGTTTGAAAATCAACAATTCCCATTTTTCTCAGCATGGAAAAATGATCTAAATAATAATAAAGGAAACTCTGGTAACTTTACCTTGGTACCACTTATATCATTCTCTATTCTGATGATTGGGCAAATTAGCTAAGCTTCCTTAACCAGGGCTCCTCTTTTGTTTATGCTTCTTGAAACCATTTTAAATATCTGAAATATGCCAGGCACAAGGTTAAGCACAAGTTTATATGAATTATCTCATGTCATATTCTTATTGACAATAAGAATAAATATTTATTTCTCATTTGCAAGCGAGGAAATTACAAAACAGAAGTTAAATTCATTGTCCAGAATTACTTAGGCTAGTAGAAATTAGAACCAGTATTTAAAACAGGCTTACATGGCTAAAGTAGAGCTCTAACTCTTACTATGAAGCTACCTGCTTCCTCTGGTGATGTTGGGCCTTCCACATAGAGGTGTTTTGAGGATTCATCAGTAATTAAGAAAATATCTATAAGTTCTAATGAACATTACAAATGCAAGGCATGTATTTACAATTTACTTGAACTGATTGTTTCTCTAAAAAGCATTATTAATTTGTATGTAAATCAACATCTATTATAAGAAATTCCCTCTTTATTTTATATTTTGATTTATTCTTAAATAATTTTATGTACATAACTATGTATTTACAGTTACACAAAATAAAGCAGAGATACATAAATATAAATTGAGCCAATCAAAAATAAATAAAAATGAATTAAAGAAAAAAAATTTAACTTTCCATTCTTAAAATAATATGAAAAGAAAGGAAAAGTTTGCAGATATTTAAAAACATAATCAACTATGATATTTATTTATTTATTTGAGTTATAAATTATAAACTTATTGTCAAAATCCATGTGGCAGGAATCCAGATTGTCTTTTCTTAAGCTGACAAAATGTTATTCCCCTTCATTTCTGAAGGATAGCTTTACAAGCTGTAGATTTCATTACTAACATTTGTTTTCTAGCTATATTTCCTTCTGGCTTCCATAGCATCATGGACTGTTTTAATAACAAGAATAAATCTATTGTTATTCAAATTGATATACCCATTATAATTAAGACATCATTTCTCTCTGGCTGCTTTCAATATTTTAAAAGCGTTTATTTTCAAAAGTTGTTTATGATGCGTATTGGAGTGAATTTCTTTGGATTTCTTTCTGATTATCATATTTGGGTTCAAGAAATAGTCACTTATATCTGTAGGTTTGTGTCTTTTCCTAATTTTGGGAAGTTTCCAGCCATCATGTATTCAAATACTCTTTCAAAAACACACTTTTCCTCTCCTTCTAAGACTCTGATAGTATAAATGCTGGATGTTTTGCATTGTTCCACAGGTCTCTGAGGCTTTGATCATTTTATCTTTTCAGTCTATTTTCTCTATGTTTCAGACTGAATGTATTCTACTGTTCTTTCTTTAAGTTCACTGATTCTATCTTCTGTTTGCACTCTAGCCCATCCTATGAGTATTTTTTAATGTTGTCATTGTATTTTGTAATTCTGTAACTTTGATTTGTATGTTTCTTATTTTGCTAAGATTTTCTTTTTACATTTTTTTGAAGATAATACGTATTTGATTGTTGAAGCATTTTTAATGAGAGCTGATTTTTTTTTTTTTAAATTATACTTTAAGTTTTAGGGTACATGGGCACAATGTGCAGGTTTGTAACATATGTATACAGGTGCCATGTTGGTGTGCTGCACTGATTAACTTGTCATTTAACATTAGGTATATCTCCTAATGCTATCCTTCCCCCCTGCCCCCACCCCACAACACTCCCTGGTGTGTGATGTTCCCCTTCCTGTGTCCATGTGTTCTCATTGTTCAATTCCCACCTATGAGTGAGAACATGCGGTGTTTGGTTTTTTGTCCTTCCCATAGTTTGCTGAGAGTGATGGTTTCCAGCTTCATCCATGTCCCTACAAAGGACATGAACTCATCCTTTTTTATGGCTGCATAGTATTCCATGGTGTATATGTGCCACATTTTCTTAATCCAGTCTATCATTGTTGGACATTTGGGTTGGTTCCAAGTCTTTGCTATTGTGAATAGTGTGCCACAATAAACATACATGTGCATGTGTCTTTATAGCAGCATGATTTATAATCCTTTGGGTATGTACCCAGTAATGGGATGGCTGGGTCAAATGGTATTTCTAGTTCTAGATCCTTGAGGAATTGCCACACTGACTTCCACAATGTTTGAACTAGTTTACAGTCCCACCAACAGTGTAAAAGTGTTCCTATTTCTCCACATCCTCTCCAGCACCTATTGTTTCCTGACTTTTAATGATCGCTATTCTAGTTGGTGTGAGATGGTATCTCATTGTGGTTTTGATTTGCATTTCTCTGATGGCCAGTGATGATGAACATTTTTTCATGTGTCTTTTGGCTACATAAATGTCTTCTTTTGAGAAGTGTCTGTTCATCTGCTTCGCCCACTTTTTGATGGGGTTGTTTCTTTTTTTCTTGTAAATTTGTTTGAGTTTATTGTAGATTCTGGGTATTAGCCCTTTGTCAGATGAGTAGATTGCAAAAATTTTCTCCCATTCTGTAGGTTGCCTGTTCACTCTGATGGTGGTTTCTTTTGCTGTGCAGAAGCTCTTTAGTTTAATTAGATCCCATTTGTCAATGTTGGCTTTTGTTGCCATTGCTTTTGGTGTTTTAGACATGAAGTCCTTGCCCATGCCTATGTCCTGAATGGTATTGCCTAGGTTTTCTTCTAGAGTTTTTATGGTTTTAGGTCTAACATTTAAGTCTTTACTCCATCTTGAATTAATTTTTGTATAAGATGTAAGGAAGGGATCCAGTTTCAGCTTTCTAAATATGGCTAGCCAGTTTTCCCAGCACCATTTATTAAATAGGGAATCCTTTCCCCATTTCTTGTTTTTGTCAGGTTTGTCAAAGATCAGATGGTTATAGATATGTGGCATTATTTATGAGATCTCTGTTCTGTTCCATTGGTCCGTATCTCTGTTTTGGTACCAGTACTATGCTGTTTTGGTTACTGTAGGCTTGTAGTGGTTTGAAGTCAGGTAGTGTGATGCCTCCAGCTTTGTTCTTTTGTCTTAGGATTGACTTGGCAATGCAAGCTCTTTTTTGGTTCCATATGAACTTTAAAGTAGTTTTTTCCAGTTCTGTGAAGAAAGTCATTGGTAGCTTGATGGGGATGGCATTGAATCTGTAAATTACCTTGGGCAGTATGGCCATTTTCATGATATTGATTCTTCTTACCCATGAGCATGGAATGTTCTTCCATTTGTTTGTATCCTCTTTTATTTCATTGAGCAGTGGTTTGTAGTTCTCCTTGAAGAGGTCCTTCACATCCCATGTAAGTTGGATTCCTAGGTATTTTATTCTCTTTGTAGCAATTGTGAATGGGAGTTCACTCATGATTTGGCTCTCTGTTTGTTATTGGTGTATAAGAATGCTGTGATTTTTGCACATTGATTTTGTATCCTGAGACTTTGCTGAAGTTGCCTATCAGCTTAAGGAGATTTTGGGCTGAGACAATGGGGTTTTCTAGATACACAATCACGTCATCTGCAAACAGGGGCAATTTGACTTCCTCTTTTCCTAATTGAATACCCTTTATTTCCTTCTCCTGCCTGATTACCCTGGCCAGAACTTCCCACACTATGTTGAATAGGAGTGGTGAGAGAGGGCATCCCTGTCTTGTGCCAGTTTTCAAAGGAATGCTTCCAGTTTTTGCCCATTCAGTATGATATTGGCTGTAGGTTTGTCATAGATAGCTCTTACTATTTTGAGATACGTCCCATCAATACCTAATTTAATGAGAGTTTTTAGCATGAAGGACTGTTGAATTTTGTCAAAGGCCTTTTCTGCATCTATTGAGATAATCATGTGGTTTTTGTTGTTGGTTCTCTTTATGTGCTGAATTACGTTTACTGATTTGTATATGTTGAACCAGCCTTGCATCCCAGGGATGAAGCCCACTTGATCATGGTGGATAAGCTTTTTGATGTGCTGGTCGATTCGGTTTGCCAGTATTTTATTGTGGATTTTTGCATTGATGTTCATCAGGGATATTGGTCTACAATTCTCTTTTTTTGTTGTGTCTCCACCAGGCTTTTGGTATCAGGATGATGCTGGCCTCATAAAATGAGTTAGGGTGGGTTCCCTCTTTTTCTATTGATTGGAATAGTTTCAGAAGGAATGGTACCAGCTCCTCCTTGTACCTCTGGTAGAATTCGGCTGTGAATCCATCTGGTCCTGGACTTTTTTTGATTGGTAAGCTATTAAGTATTGCCTGAATTTCAGAGCCTGTTATTGGTCTATTCAGGGATTCAACTTCTTCCTGGTTTAGTCTTGGGAGGGTGTATGTGTCGAGGAGTTTATCCATTTCTTCTAGATTTTCTAGTTTATTTGCATAGAGGTGTTTATAGTATTCTCTGATGGTAGTTTGTATTTCTGTGGGATCGGTGGTGATATCCCCTTTATCATTTTTTATTGCATCTATTTGATTCTTCTCTCTTTTCTTTTTTATTAGTCTTGCTAGTGGTCTATCAATTTTGTTGATCTTTTCAAAAAAGCAGCTCCTGTATTCATGGATTTTTTGAAGGGTTTTTGTGTCTCTGTTTCCTTCAGTTCTGCTCTGATCTTAGTTATTTCTTGCCTTCTGCAAGCTTTTGAATGTGTTTGCTCTTACTTCTCTGGTTCTTTCAATTGTGATGTTAGGGTGTCAATTTTAGATCTTTCCTGCTTTCTGTTGTGGGAATTTAGTGGTATAAATTTCCCTCTACACACTGCTTTGAATGTGTCCCAGAGATTCTGGTATGTTGTGTCTTTGTTCTCCTTGGTTTCAAAGAACATCTTTATTTCTGCCTTCATTTCATTATGTACCCAGTAGTCATTCAGGAGCAGGTTGTTCAGTTTCCATGTAGTTGAGCACTTTTGAGTGAGTTTCTGAATCCTGAGTTCTAGTTTGATTGCACTGTGGTCTGAGAGACAGTTTGTTATAATTTCTGTTCTTTTACATTTGCTGCGGAGTGCTTTACTTCCAACTATATGGTCAGTTTTGGAATAGGTGTGGTGTGGTGCTGAAAAGATTGTATATTCTGTTGATTTGGGGTGGAGAGTTCTGTAGATGTCTGTTAGGTCCACTTGGTGCAGAGCTGAGTTCAGTTCCTGGGTATCCTTGTTAACTTTTCTGTCTCATTGATCTGTCTAATGTTGACAGTGGGGTGTTAAAGCCTGCCATTATTATTGTGTGGGAGTCTAAGTCTCTTTGTAGGTCTCTAAGGACTTGCTTTATGAATCTGGGTGCTCCTGTAGTGGGTGCATATATATTTAGGATAGTTAGCTCTTCTTGTTGCATTGATCCCTTTACCATTATGTAATGGCCTTCTTTGTCTCTGTTGATATTTTTTGGTTTAAAGTCTGTTTTATCAGAGACTAGGATTGCAACCCCTGCCTTTTTTTGTTTTCCATTTGCTTGATAGATCTTCCTCCATCCCTTTATTTTGAGCCTATGTGTGTCTCTGCACGTGAGATGGATTTCCTGAATACAGCCCACTGATGGGTCTTGACTCTTTATCCAATTTGCCAGTCTGTGTCTTTTAATTGGAACATTTAGCCCATTTACATTTAAGGTTAATATTGTTATGTGTGAATTTGATCCTGTCATTATGATGTTAGCTGGTTATTTTGCTCGTTAGTTGATTCAGTTTCTTCCTAGCTTCGATGGTCTTTACAACTTGGCAGGTTTTTGTAGTGGCTGGTACCGGTTGTTCCTTTCCATGTTTAATGCTTCCTGCAGGAGCTCTTTTAGGGCAGGCCTGGTAATGACAAAATCTCTCAGCATTTGCTTGTTTGTAAAGTATTTTATTTCTCTTTCACTTATGAAGCTTAGTTTGGCTGGATATGAAATTCTGGGTTCAAAATTCTTTTCTTTATGAGTGTTGAATATTGGCCCCCACTGTCTTCTGGCTTGTAGAGTTTCTGCCGAGAGATCAGCTGTTAGTCTGATGGGCTTCCCTTTATGAGTAACCCGACCTTTCTCTGTGGCTGCCCTTAACATTTTAATCTTTGTCAGATAACCCCACCACCTCTGCCTGCAAAGGATCATATCTTTCAGTTTCATTATCTCTTGTGTCCTTACCAAGTTTATAGTTTTGCTTAGCAGGCCGGAGGAAAAAGGTAAGAGGTCTGTGATATCTTGTTTGGTCAGGATGTCCCATATTAACTTCACTAATCATCAGAGATATAAATCCAGGATGATGTGCAATAGAACAATTGCTAATTATCTTTCAATGAATTTTCAGGGTACTTGATAATTATTGTCATCTTATTGAGAATAAGTAGAGAAAATAAATGGACCATTCAAATTACTTAATAATCTACCAGTTCTTTTCCTGAAATGTATTATTTAGCTTTTTCCATGTCGGGAAAGTCTGGTTTCACTTTTGCATAAATTGCATATTACAACAGATTTCTTGTAAAAATTAAATGACTTAAGCTGTGTAAAAACCTGGAAACTTAACAGCAGAAATTTAATTATAGCTAAATCCACTGGATGTGACCTCCTAACAGTGATCAGGTTTATGAATTGAGGAAGGATATTTATAGTAACATTGATAAGTCTTTGAAGATAGATCTGGTTTTGATGTTCAGGTTTCAATCTTTTAAAATATATTTACTGTTAATTTACTGTGTTCTGGTCACTATATTAAGTACTAAGATGCAAAGATGAAAAGATAGACACAGTTCTGCCCCCCAGAACCCACATTATATTTGGGGGAAATATAATTTTAAAATGATTTTATGAAGTATATAATTTCCATAATAGGTAAAGTAAAATCAATGAAGAAACATTTAGGCAAGGTTTAGTCTAAACTGGATATGTTCATTTTAGAAGTCACAGTTAAAAGACAACATGTATTTTTGGAGTAAGAGGGAAAAAAACAAATGTAGTGTACAAAATGGAGTAGTAAGCAATAAACTACCGAGAAATTTATCTTTTACAGTTGTATAATTTTAAGTAATTAATTTAACTCCTGTTAAATTCAATTTCCTACTCTGATGAAAGGAAAAAAGTGATGTTCACGCCTTCTCCAAAAGATGAAAATTGCTAGGATGATATTTATAATGCGCTTAACACATTACAGTGTATAAAATATCTGTTCAATAAGTATTTACTGTTACCGTTATAATTATTTAGAAAGTATTTTAATTAGGTAAAACAGAGGATGGAATTTGAAGATTAAATGAAAACAAGGTACTCACATTTTGGTTTTATATTGTTCCAAATAAGACGATGGTGAGCAAACCTCTATTTTGTGAGGGAAGCTTCAATGGGAGAAAAGGAAAAGGGCTTTGGCCTCATCTCCCATGATCAGCAAAATTTGACATTTTGAGCATCCTTTCTTCCTTAAAATGTATTCTACACTTGGCTTCCAGGATACTACATTGCCCCTATCATAACTGCTTCGATCATTGGCCAACTTTTCAGACTCCTTTGCTGGTTGTTTCTAATTTCCCTCATTTGGCAATTCCTTTGACTTTTCCCTGCCCTCCTTTTAAATCTATTTCATTCTATTCATGATTTCATTCAGCAAGTAGGCTTTAAGTAGTATGTGTATTGATGTTTCTCAAAATTATACCTTTATTTCAGAAGCTCTTCTCTGCCTTTTTAACTTACATTTCTAACTATATACTCAATATGTCTTTTTGCATGTCATATAGGCATCACATATGCAGTGTACCAAATATTGAGCTCATGAACTTTTTCCCATATTTGCTGTTTCCAAAATCATTTTCATCTAAATTAGTGAGAAATTAATTATTCCTATTCTTTAGCAGAACAAACAAAACCCCAAAGCTTTAAAATTGGCTTCAATTCCTTTCTCTTACTGTACTCACTTAATAAGACAATAACTTCTTTAGGGTTTAAAATTTATCCAGAACTCTCATTGCTTCCACTGCAATTGTCATGGGTCAAGCCAACATTATCTTTCACCTGGATTATGACAGGAGCCTAACTTCACCTGTTTTCCTAACATAGCAGTGTTAAACTTAAGTTAGAACAAGTCACATCTCTGCCCAACACTAACAGCTGCCATCCCTCTAAGTATAAGCCAGGGTCAGTAAAAAAGTCAACAAGTCCTTTTATGGTCTTTGCCTCCCCTCCACCTCACCTCTTCTCACTGTCCCTGTCAGTCACTCAAGTCCAGTGAAACTGATCTCCATGTTCTTCACACCCCACAAGCATACTTTCTGCTGAGAGAAGTGGGTTGGATTTGCTGCTCCCTTTACCTCTACTTGCTCTGAGATTGGTGCAGCTCCCTTATCACCTACTCTTTGATCTTCTTTGGGAGAACTTTGTTAACTGTCCTGTTTAATTTCTTAATCTCCTTGTTACTCTGAAGAGATGCTCTCTGCTTTATAATTTTCGGTACCACTTTTCATCATAACAAAATAGCATTGTTAATATATTTATAGATTTATTACCTGTCTCCTGACATGAAAATCCAATTTCCATGAAGGCAAGAATTGTGTTTTCTTTGTCTTTATTCACTAGTACCTAGATCATATGCCTAGCAAATACTCAGTAAATATTTATTACATGTTTAAAATAGTGTCTTCTGGATATACACAATATTATTTGTTGTCATTAACTGATAAATTATCTGGTTAACATTTTTTAACATGTTGCTGTATCTACCTATAGCTTTTGGGAACATGAGCAATTTTCTGGACTCTGAAGACCATTCACTTTCTGGTCTCACCTGGCCACCTGGCTCCTTTTATTATTTCCTCCATCCGTACACAAATTTACTGGTAATTTCCTCCAACTAAATACTGTTATTTCACACTTTCTTTCCATATATATATATATTTT
Source organism: Homo sapiens (assembly GCF_000001405.40). Taxonomy (NCBI): domain Eukaryota; kingdom Metazoa; phylum Chordata; class Mammalia; order Primates; family Hominidae; genus Homo; species Homo sapiens. The sequence goes on from NC_000009.12 coordinate 11,725,933, forward strand.
TTATATATATTTATATATTTTTAATATATTATATGTATATTTATATATATTTTATATATATTTATATATATAATATATTTGCTTATTTTCCTTTGGGGAGCTAATTCTTTCTAATGTTTGTAATAATTGTTATAAAAGACATATAAAAATAATTATTAGGATATATGATAATTTTAAAAGATTATAATGAAATGAACTTAAACACAATACAACTCAGATCAAGAAATACAATATTTCCATTAGTTTGAAAGTACCTTCTTGTCCTGCTCAGGTCACAGTCAAGAATGTAGTCAATTTCTCGTCTGCCTTACCCTTCCTCAGTGATAAGCATAATTTTGTATTCTTTGTTAAACATTCTCTTTATTTATTTACTTATTGGTTTATTTATTTTTTGAGATAAGTTCTTGCTCTGTCACCCAGGCTGGAGTGCAGTGACACAATCAGTACTAAGTGCAGCCTCAACCTCGTGGGCTCAAGTGATCCTCCTACCTCCAGAGTAGCTGGGACTAAAGGTGGCATGTATTATAGTCCCAGCTACTAAAATTAGCTTGGCCAATTAAAAAAAATCTTTTGTAGAGATGGGGTTTCACCCTGTTGCCCAGGCTTGCTTTATTTTTAGATAGGTTTGCAAGATAGATTTTAGGCTAATAAAGTATATTACTTAGGTTTTCTTTTTTTAAAACTTTTAAAATGTGAGATTACATTATTTATCAAAGTGGTCTGTAAATTTGAGGGAGAAATGGAGATGGTTTAAGAGAAGATAGAAATGAGTAGTGTATTGAGGGTGGTATAAAAAGATAGGATTACTCTAAAGAAACATGGTCATTTGCAAAGGACAGGAAGACATAATATGAAAATATCAATGGATAACGGTCAGACTGGTTTGGAGTCATTCATCATTACCTTCTCACAACAACTTTTGCAGTCACTTCCTCTTTTCTTTTCAGTATACATATTTCTAAGCTTGGACCCAGCCTTGTTCTGTCTTTCCTGTTTTCTTTTTCTGGCCATTTGCTCTGGACTTCATTCTTGCTTTCTGTATCATAGTGCACAGTGAATTGGATGTCCCTTTGTTTCTCACACCATACCCAAAGCTTGGTCAGCAGTCACACTTTGCTCCATGCTCAAGTGATATGGGCTAACCTTACCCACCTCCAGCCCAACTATTTCCAAAAGGTTCAGCTTGTGCCAGAATCCCGAAACTTTCCACTACGCTGTAGACTTTTAGCTATACTATGATAATTTGCATCCTTTCTTTTCGCTAACCAATTTATTGTTAAAAAATTTATTGTGGAGATGTCAGTAAGATGGCAAGTTAGCTGTTGTCGCTGTCCGGTCTCACTTACAGAAATGCAATTAGCAACTATCCACGGAAAGAATAACTCTGAAAATACCCCAAAACACAAGATAAGACTCATACATCCCCTTGAGGTCTACCTCAAGTGCTGTAGTACTACAGAACTGAGAAAACCAGAATGAGTAAAATCTTACACCTGTTAACATGGATTTTATGAAAAAGATGAACGATGTGGAGGAAAGGGTACTCTTTAACTTGTTAGTGAAAATATAAAGTAGTACAGCCATTATGGAAAATGGCACGTAATTTTCTCAAAACAATAAAAATAGAGCTACTACATGATCCAGAAATTCCACTTTGGGCACATATCCAAAGGAATTAATACTAATATGTTAAAAAGATAATCTGCACTCCCATGTTCACTGTGGCTTTATTCATAGTAGCCAAGATATGGAATCATCCTAAGTGTACATTATTCAATAAATAAAATGTGCTATATATAAAAAAAGGGGGGGATGATATTCAGCCTTAAGAAAGTAGGAAATTCTGTCATTTTGAACAACATGGATTAACCTAGAGGACATTATGCTCAGTGAAGCGAACCAGGAATAGAAAGACAACTACTGCATGATCTCACTTATAGGTAGACTAAAACAGTTGAACTTATAAAAATAGATTGGAGAATGATAATTTTCAGAAGTGTACATTGCAAAGGAGGATGGAATAGGGAGTTGTCAAAAATTATAAAGTTTTAGATTCAGAGAGAAATACGTTTTGAGATCTATTACACAACAGAGTGAATATAGTCAATAATAGTGTATTGTATATTTCAGAATAACTGAGTACATTTCAAATGTTTCATCATACAAATGACAGGTAATGACAGTTGTGGTGGCTCACACCTGTAATCCCAGCACTTTGGGACACCAAGCTGGGAAGATCACTTAAGTCCAGGAGTTCCAGACCAGCCTGGGCAATATAGTGAGCTCTTCTCTACAGGAAATTAAAAAAAAAAAAAACCATAGCCTGGCATGGTGTCATGTGCCTGTAGTCCCAGCTACTCAGGAGGCTGATATGGGAGGATCGCTTGACGATGGGAACTTAAGGCTGCAGTGATCCGTGATCATGCCACTGCATTCCAGCCTGGGTGACAGACTGAGACCCTGTCTCAAAAATAAATAAATAAAATAAATAAGTTACGGTCATGGATATGTTGATTAAATGGAGTTAAACATTCCACATTGTGTACATATATCAAAATACATCACATTCGACCCCATAAATGTATACAGTATGATTTGTCAATTAAACATCAGATTAATTTCAAAAGAAAATTTTTAAATGGATTGTAATTTTTGACTGAAATATGCATCCTCCTTTCAAGAGTGTAAACTCTTTGTTTTCTATCTTCCCATTCCTAGCTCATTCCTAGTTTATTGCTTGGCACGTAGCTTTGCTCAGTAAATGCTTGCTAAATGAAAACAAGAATGAATGAATGCCAATGGTAAAGTATTACAACCCAAACAGATTTTTCCAGTGACTGACAATGTAGAGCAACTCTTCAAAGATTTAAAATTTTATTTCTGAATTCATTTCACACCTCCTGTATTTTCTGGCTGTGTGACCCTGGACAAGTGACTTACTGTCTCTGACTCTCAAACCATTCATCAATAAAATGAAAGAAAATAACAACTTACCTCATTGAATTGTTACGAAAATTAGATGAGTACAGTGCCTGGTACCAAATTAGCATTTAAAAAGCTATTATAAGAAGCTATTACAGTGAATGGCACCTAAGTAAATCTGCTAGGTGTTTCTATTTTTAAATGCCATCCTTTTAAAACTAATTTGCTCGCACTCATTTGTTTTCCTTGAGTGCAAAGAAATGTTTCATCTGTCTGGATTCTTAACACACTCTACCAAGTTAATTAGAAGAGATGTACCCTTCACTATATTAATAATAGCAAGTCACACTATGGAAACTTGAGATATTGCCTTACCCGTTTTTCTTGAAATAGGCAGTGGAGTGTGTCTATTATACATAGAAAGAGTTCCCTTTAAAACATAACTGTGGAAGCATTTTTCTTATTTTGTATTTGCAAGAGACATCTATTTTTTCTTGAACACCACTTTTCATGTAGGAATCAGAAAAAGGGTTACTGAAGTAATGTATTTAAGCTTTTGGTCTGGTTATGCGTAATCTAATTTTTATACAGTCTGCACAAATTGTAGCCACTTTGTCAATGTCTTATTATTTTTTTCTCTTAACAATGCAGTGACAGTGATTAATTTCTAAACAGTGGTAAACAAAAAAACCTTACCTTGGAAGTGATTAAAACAGAGTTGCAAACCATATGAGGGCTGACACATATATAAATTATGGACATAATAATACACTACACACACCCTATGAATGGAATGAATGGTACATCTAAATATTCCCATAGAAATAATAGAAAATAGGATAATTTGCCCCAGTACATTTTGGTAAATATATTGCCTAGACCTAGTTACCTTTTAGTTGTTAAAACAGTGGCTATTAGTAGCCACATGTGAGAAAGTTAATGAATTTTAAAGTATGGATTGCAGTATAAATAAAAACAGAAATGACTTACTTTTTATAAAACATTCTCATATAATGGTAATTTATTTTTTACTTTATGATTATGCTGATTCTATTATATTATGAATTCAGGCTTGGGCTATTTTATCCCAAGCAAATTATATCATGAACAAAGTGACAAAATTTATCTTGGCTAAGGACATTTTTCTTAGTTATTTTAGGGTAAAACAATTAATTGTTATAATAAGCATCTCTTGATTAGAGCTTTGAAATAAGCAATGAAAATTAAACCTACAAATTTATTTTCTCCTATCTGGTATGTTTTTGATATATGTATATATTTATTCCATCATGTAGTAAATAACCAAAGGAGCATTCTGAGATGCTAGGTTGTTGCCAGGGGATGTGTAATGGTATAACCAAGAGTATTGGTGCTGCACAAAAAGAAGGATTCACTTTCAGTTTAAAGTCCATCCAATAAAAATAGAAAGACAAGAGAGTATATGGGGGTGGAGTGTCGCCAGAGGAGACCATGATCTCTATAAAAGATATAGACTAAAAAAAAGTTATTTACAAAAACTGAACAATACTGTTAAATCTTCTCTAGTATATCAAATTGAAACCATTAAAATAGAAGTATGCCACTGCTCCTGATCAAGTGGAGATGAAGAAGCAAGGTCTATGACCAGAAAAACAAACAAAAAAAAGATTCTCAAAGAATATATAGTGCAACATTTCATGCAGAAGAGCATTGACATTTACAGATAGCGGCAAACAAAAATGCTGTTTTTTAGAAATTAAGTTATTTTTCAGAGCAGTCAGGTTTACAGAAAAATAAAACTGAGTGAAAAGTACAGTGAGTTTCTGTATACCTTCTCTCCCCCAACTTCATTTTCCCTTACCATTAACATTTTACATTAGTGTAGTACATTTGTTATAATTGATGAGTAGATATTGATAGATTAATATTAACCAAAGGCCATAGTTTACATTAGAGTTTATTCTTTGTATTTGACATCATAGGGGTTTTGGTCAATGTATTATATCATGGTTTCACCATTATAGTATCATGCTTAATTTTGTCCCACCTATTTATTTCTCTGTCACTCTTGCTGAACCCCGGCAACCACTACTATTTTTACCGTTTCCAGAATTTTGCCTTTTCCACAATGTCATGTAGTTGGCTTCTTGCACTTAGAAATACGCATTTAAGATTCTTCTGTGTCCTTTGGTGGATTGATAGCTCATCTCTTTTTATCACAATATTTCATCACGTGGATGTTCACAGCTTGTTTATTAATTCACTGATTGAAGGACATCTTGATTATTTCTAACTCTGGCAGTCATGAATAAAGCTACTATAAACATTCATGTGAAGGTTTTTGTGTGAACAGTTTTCAGTTTATTTGGGTAAATTCTAAGGAGAATGATTGCTGGATCATGTGGTAAGAGTATGTTTAATTTTATAAGAAATTGTCAAACTATTCTAACGTTGCTGTACCATTTTGCATTTCCACTAGCAAAGAATAAGGGTTCCTTTTGCTTCACATTGGGTGATGTCAGTGTTTTCGATTTTGGCCATTCTGATAGATGTGTACTGGCTCACATTGTTTCTTTAAATTCCATTTCTCTAAAGACATGATTTTGAGCATCATTTCATATGCTTATTTGCGATCTTTATTTTTTTTCAACTTATAATTTTGTACTTTTGGTGTTGATTTTACAAAGTCACTGACAAAGCCAGTGTGTGTGTTTTTGCCTTTATATATAAACCTTACGATCAGTTTGTAGATAGCCACAAAATAACTAGCAGTGATTTTTGATTGGAATTCTATTGAATCTATAGGATCAGTTGGTAAGAACTAGTATCTTAATATCAAGTCTTCCTATCCATGTACATAGAATATCTCATCATTTATTTGAATATTTAAAAAATTTAAAATCAAAGTTTTGTAGTGTTCTCTATGTATTTTGTTAGATTTATACATGATAATTTTTTGGGGGTTGCTAATATAAATGGTTTTTTTATTTTAAATTTTAATTATTCATTGGTGACACAATACTAAAGCAACCAACTTTTGTGTGTTAAGCTTGCATCCCGTGGCTTTGCTATAGTCACTTTTAGTTTCAAGAGGTTTTTCTTGTGTAAAGAAAAAGTAATATTTTATTTTTCCCAATCTGTATAACTTTTAATTCCCTTTCTAATCTTTTTGCACTAGCTAAAACTTCCATTGCAATATACTAGATTGGTGAGAATGGAACTTTTTGCCCTGCTCCTGATCTTAGTAGGATACCATCTAGTTTCACCATTAAGACAATTTTTTTTAGATGTTTTTCATCAAGTTGAGTCATTTCCCATTATTTCCTGTTCTGTTGAGAGGGAAATAATGGGTATCATTAATGGGTATTGGATTTTGTCAAATTTTGTTCTGCATTTATTTATATAATCATGTAATTTTCTTCTTTAGCCCTGTTGATATAATGGATTACACTAATAGATTTTTCAATGTTTAACCACCCTTACACATGTGGTATACATCCCACTTGACTGTGATGTATAATACTTTTTTAAACATTGTCACATTAATTTGCTAATGTCTTCCAGGACTGGCATCTATGTTCGTGAGAGGTACTGGTCTGTAGTTCTGTAGTTTTTATTTATTTTAATGTCATTGGTTTTGGTATGAGGGTAATGTTGGCTTTACAGAATTAATTAAAATGTATTCCCTCTGCTTCTATATTCTGGAAGAGATTATAGAGAATTGGTATAATTTCTTCCTTACATGCTTCATAAAATTACATGTGGGCACATCCTGTTAAATTTTGATTTGGGAGTTTATTAATATAGTTCTAATCAGATTTTATATTTCTCCTAGTGTGAGTTTTGGAGACATTGCGTCTTTTAAGAAATTTGTTCAATTCATCTACGTTTATCAAACTTGTGAGCACAGAAGTGTTATTAGTATCCCTTTATTATGCTTTAAATGTCTATAGGATCAGTAGTGATTGCCCCAGTTTAAATTCTGAAATTAGTAATATATTTTTGTCTCTTCTTTTTGTTATGTTTTCTAGAGATTTATCAATTGTATTGTTCTTTTTAAAGAAACAGCTTTTTGTTTTGCTGATCTGCTTTATTAGTTTGTTATTAATTTTACTGATTTCTGCTTTAATTTTCATTATTTTTTCTGCCTAGTTTGCATTTAATTTATTGATCTTTTTCTAGTCATCTAAGGAGGAACCTTCAGATATTAATTTTTGATATCTCTTCTTTCTCACATATGCATTTAATGCTATACATTTCCCCCATGCACAGCTTTGTCTGTATCCTAAAATATTTTAATGTTTTGTTATTTTTGTCATTTAGTTTGAAATATATTTTAATTTATTTTAAGACTCTATATGCTATTTAGAAGTGTGTTGTTTAATCTTCATTTATTGAGGTTTTCTACTTTCTATTTGATTACTAATTTTAATTTCATTGCGGTCTGAGAAGACAAAATATGATGTCAATTACCTTGAATTTGTTAAGATATGTTCTGTTTCTCCAGATATTTTCTATATTGGTAAATATCACATGAGAGCTTGAGAAAAATATGTATTTTGCTATTTTTGGATAAATTATTCTACAGATGCCAATTTGGTATAATTGATGGTGTTTATTAGTACAATTATGACTTTTATCTTTTAATTAATAAACTGGATGAGTGATACCAGAGAGAATGGCAGAATAGGAAATTGTATAAATTTTCTCCATCATAAAAGCAACAACAAAACTGATAAAAAAACATGTCAGAATCAACTTTTTCACAATCCTGGAAGTTAACAAAATAATCAACAATCTGCAAAGCATTTATTCAAGTGAAATGGCTGAATCTTGGTAAACAGTAAGCTTTGTGCCATTTTAACATTCCCTATTTCATCCTTCCTACTTCAGCTCCAAGGTAGACTTAAAAATCAGCAGACCATCCCAGCACTTTGGGAGGCCGAGGCGGGCGGATCACGAGGTCAGGAGATCGAGACCATCCCGGCTAAAACGGTGAAACCCCGTCTCTACTAAAAATACAAAAAATTAGCCGGGCGTAGTGGCGGGCGCCTGTAGTCCCAGCTACTTGGGAGGCTGAGGCAGGAGAATGGCGTGAACCCGGGAGGCGGAGCTTGCAGTGAGCCGAGATCCCGCCACTGCACTCCAGCCTGGGTGACAGAGCGAGACTCCGTCTCAAAAAAAAAAAAAAAAAAAAAAAATCAACAGACCATAATTAGGTTAAAAAAAAAGACTCAACATATTTCTGGAGCTGCTGAAAGGAGAAAAATAAGGTTAGAGCTTCTTTAAAGTCACATTTCCAGAGAACTGTGATTAATTATTCATGTTGGCAGTTCTGTATAAGATGCCACATTCAAAGCTGTCTTTATTGGAGCTAATCCAGTGATCACTCAGTGTGTAAAAACTTTTCTCAGAGGAGCATTTGCTATAAGCAATTAGAGTCCGTTGTTTAGCTGTATTTGTGGCTACCTGAGGTGGTGGATGACAGATGGAAAAATAATGTTGTAACCAAAAACCTATTTTTTCAAAAGCTAGTAAATGATATATACATACAGGCTTTAAAAAGTGCTGCAATATTTCTTGAAATCTAGAAAATCACGCATATAGTTTAGAGCTCTGTGTATGCCCAGAACTGCCTGCATCTCTACAAAGATATGAGAAGACCTTAATCTCTGAACTCGAAGATCTGTCCTAATAAAAAGTGAAGGCTAGGACAGTGGTATCATCCCCCTTCCTGAGAGTTCAAGATGTGCTCCAATATACATGCATGCATACATAACTTCTCAGAAAAGCTTGTCAGAGTTATTGGTTCCAAGTGTTTAAGAAAATGTATGTAATACCACTGTTAGACTACTAACACATAAAAGTACAGACTTTAGTGGTCATGCATGACAGAAGATTTAAAACATTAATTAGAAAATTCACTAGACAGTCTGCCATCAACAACAATAAAAATAAACACTAACAAAAACAAATCCTGTGGAGGGAATCTGATTTCCTGAGTTGCCACATTATATTAATTAAATGTCCAGTTGACAACAAAATAATACGTGCAAAACAACAAGAAAACATGACCCATACACAAGAAAAAGCAAGCAATTAAATGACTGAGAAGGCACAGACATTGGACTAACTATACAAAGAGTTTAAATCAGCTTTTTAAAATATTTCCAAAGAACTATAGGAAAATATGTTAAAGAACTAAAAGAAATTATAATAATGAAGCCTCATCAAATAAAGTATATCAATGAAGATGCAGAAATTATAAGACACAGACAATAAGTAGAAATTCTTGAGTTCAAAAACACAATAATTGAACTAAAAAATTTACCGAAGGAATCATAGAAGACCTAGGCAGGCAGAAAAGAAGAATTAGCAAAATTGAAGACAAAACAAGTGAGATTTATTTTGTGTTTCAGGAACTAAAAGAAGAAAGAGTAAAGAAGAATAAAAAGATTTTTAGAGATATACCAACATTTACATAATGAGAATTCCTAAAAAGGAGAGAAAGAAAGCGAGAGAGAGAGAGAGAAAGGGGAAGAGAAATATCTAAAGAATGAATGCCCATAAGCTTCCCTAATTTAATGAAAACGCTAAACAACACAATCCAAAAGCTCACTGAACTCTAAATAAGACACAAAGACATTCACTCCTAGATATATTATAACTAAACTGTTGAATTACAAAGATGGAGAAAATAATAAAAACAGAAGAAGCAACTTATTGCATTAACAAGATTCTCTCAATAAGCTTAACAGCTGACATCTCTGCAAAAATTATGAAAGCCAGAAGACAGTAGTGTCATATATTCAAAGTTCTGAAAGTAAAGGACCTTCAAGAAAAAATTCTATATCCAGATATGGAATCTAGATATTGTTCAAAAATTAAGAAGAAATTAAGGCATTCCCAGGTAATCAAAAATTGAGAGGGTATGTCAGTAACTTCATTGATTACAAGAAATATAAAAGAGAGTCCCCAAGGGTGATATGAAAGCACACTAGAAATAAATCAAATCTGTACAAAGAGAATCAGTAACTGTAACCACAGAAGTAAATACAAAAGACTATACAAATGTATTTTTGTTTGTAGCTTTCTAAAAATCAACTATAGTATTTAAATGACAATTTAAATACTTTTTAGGTTTAAAGGACAATGAATGCTTATAATCTTTGTTGAGTACACAGTGAATAAATATAGATTTTCATGGCAATAACAGCATAAAGTAGGAGAGAATTAAGTTAAATAGGAGAAAAGTTATTGTATATTATTAAAATTAAGTTGGTATTAATTAAATACAGATTATTAGAAAGTAACATGTTAATTGTATTCCCCAGGGAAATAGCTAAAAATAGATTTAAAAAATCTATTAAAAACAAGTAAATTAAAATGGTATTGCAGAAGCTGTTTAATATAAAAATGTCACAATAATATATGAATAGGGGAACACAGAAGACTAAGGCGTATAGAAAACACATAATAAAAATCAGACACAAATCTATTAGTGATAACACTAAATGTTAATGGAATAAATGCTGTAACTAAAAGACAGTGATAAGCAGGATTAATCAAACTCCATGGCCTGATTGTATAGTCTACAGGAAACCTGCTTTGGATTCAAAGACCTAATAATTTGAAAATAAAAGGATAGGAAAAGATATACCTTGGAAAAAGTGGCTTTACACATATTAGACTAAATAGACTATATGGAAAAAATGTTACTAGAGACAAAGGTGGACATTGCATTATGACAAAGTCGATGTATTATAAAATACAACAATTTTAAATATATATGCAAACAAATAGCAGAGCCCCAAGATACATGAAGGAAAGGCTGACGTAATTGAAGAGGAAACAGACAATTCAACAATAATATTTGGAAACTTCAATACCACAATTTCAGTAATGGATAGAAAAACTAAATAGCAGATCAACAAGAAAGTAGAAGACTTTAACACTGCAAACTAAACTAATGTAACAGAAATGTATTGAACAGTCCTACCAACAATTTGAAAATCTCCATTCAGCCATAGATTTCTCAATAAATATTTAGCATGGTGCATGGAGCACAGAGTCGTGAGATATTTGCTCCCACATATTTGTTTGTATTCTGAAATAAACTGGCAATGATCTTGTTCAACTAGTAGAAAATGACAACTATATTGGTTTTCGAAAAGTAAATGAAGAATAAATACCAAAGTCAACATAATATATGATAAAGCAAATATGGAACATATTTATTCTCATGTAGATAAGAGTTGAAGAGAAATATAAAGCTAAGTGAAATCTTCTTACTGAACACTGGGGTTCAAAATATAAGAAAATTCTGAAGCAAAGGGATTATCTGGAAGATGTGATGTGCATGAAGAGGCTGAAACGCAGTGAAGTGTCAGCTCCATGGGGTAAGGTGCTATTTCTGCTATATGATGAAAAAGAAAGATGGCAAGGCAGGTTTGAGTTTAAATGAGAGGCAGATGAGTCTTTTAAAGCTCATTTTTTATGTAAGACTTTGAGGGTGCCTGTTTAATAAAAAGTTAGGGTGCTTAGCAGACTTAGGGTGCTCAAACCCTGCATGTTTCAAAGAAATGACAAGTCTTTGGCTCCTAGAATATTAACTTTGAGCCTTGGACAATTTCAGTCTGGTAAAGAATGTCTTCATATTAGTGAGGGCTCTTTAGAGAAACAAAACAAATAGAATATATGTATATATACAGAAAGAGCTTTCTTCACCTTTATTATTATTTAGAATTGACACATAATAATTTTACTTGTGTATGGGGTAATATTTTGATACATGTATATAATGTATAATGATCTAATCAGGATACTTAGCATATCCATCACCTCAAACATTGATCTTTTTTTTTGTGTTGAGAACATTGAAATTCCACTTTTCTATTTATTTAAAATGTATAATGAATTATTTGTAATTATAGTTACCCTATAGTGCTATATAGAACACTACAATTTATTCTTCTTGTATCACTGTACTTTTGCATCTGTTAATCAACCTTTGACTGTCTCTATTCCCAAATACCCTTCCCTGCCTCTAGTAATGACTATTCTACCCTCTACCTTTATGAGATCAAATTTTAAGCTTCCATGTATAAATGAGAACATACAGCATTTATCTTAGAAAAAGATTTATTATGAGGAATTGGCTCATATGATAATGGAGGCTGGGAATCCCAACATCTGCCTTCTGCAAGCTGGAGGCTCAGGAAAGATGGTATTAATGGCAAAGAGTGTAATTACTTTTGCACCAACCTAAATAGTTCTAGTCCAAGCCTACAGGCCTCAGAACCAGAGGATCTAATGTCCAAGTGCAGGAGAAGATGGATGTTTAAGTGCAAGCACAGGAAGGCAGAGAGAATTTGCCCTTCTTTCACGTTTTTGCTCTATTCCTGTCCTCACCATATTGGATGATGCCCCTCACATTGGTGAGGATCATCTTCTTTACTTAATTTAAAAAGTAAAATGCTAATCTCTTTTGAAAACACCCCAAAAAACATACCCAGAAAGAATGTTTTATCATGTATCTGGGCATTCTAGTCAAATTGACACATAAAACTAACCATTAAAGGCTTTGCATACCTGAGACTTTGGCTGATGCCAGACAGTGTTTACTAAATAATGGGATTTACAGCCAATATCTGTTTTTGTCCACCTGAGGCCCTGGTCCACACTGTATCAGTTTGACCTCTGCAGAGTGGAGAACTGAAGACTGAATAGTCATTTGACTCTCCCATGATTGTATAATTGACCCTCCCCTAAAAATCCTGGACCCAAGGCTCAGATGATCTTCCTTAGTTGGAAATACTTTTGTAAATTTTGCCTCACATCATTCTTGGGAGAATTAAGCACTGTGCTTGAGACTCCACTTGGAGAACACAACCTCGTGCCTAGTTTTTCCCAGACTCCACTCTATGAACCTTGTTCTTTTATTTTAATCTGTACACATTTGCTATACTAAAGCATACCTGTGAGATTGACAGCTTTTCTTTTCCAAGTTCTGTGAGCCATTGTAGCAAGTCAAAGAACCTGAGGGTGGTCTTGGGAAGCTCCTGACACACTACATCAAGGGTATTACAATATTCTTAATATGCAAAAATGAATGAAGCATTCTTCCTTGCTAGGAAGAACTGATTTACAGGCTTATAGAAGAATTATCCATGGATTTTTGGGCCAAGACCTGTGCCAGTTGCACCCAGAAAAATTAGGATTTTCTAGATATTACTACAAAGTGGTGCAGGCCATCAAAAACTAGAATTTAGCTATATCCAAATAAAAAAATGTCAGGTCCAGTAAAGCTCTTCTTGATTCCATTGCCATCCTTAATCATAGCCACCATTTATAGAGTACCTATTAGGGACCAAGGTTTTATTACATATATTGTAATCACTGGGGATTTAAATCTCCATGTTCCAGATTTAAAAACACAGAAGAATGAAGAGGAAAAATGACTTACTCTTAATTATTCATAAAGCTGGTATGTGAGAGAGCAATGGTTTGAAATCATGTCATACTTGTGATTTTTAAATATTTTTCATGTTGTGTGTTCGTGACATGAAAATGAAAAATTCCGTTTTTCTTTTTTATTCCTTTTCTCTTTTTATATTTTGTAAAATCTTTGTGAAAGTCGTGGAAACTCAGTTATCTTCTCAGTTTTTGGCTGTATCAGAGCTTGCTAAAATTGTTTTCACGTGGAAGAGCACCCTTCTAGGGGCTGGGTGAGATGGTGACAGCTTGAGAAACCAAAGTCAGAGAATTGCAAAGGGGAGTAAACCATGTGTACCCCTAAAGCTATCAAAAAAATAAACTCAGTGGGACAAAGTCAATGGACCTAATCCGTTGTAGATGTCAATCTGTAAAAGTCTGTTTTTACTATGTGGGTTATACAAAAACATCAGGCTGAATTTGGTAGATTGGTCACAGTTTTTCAATCCATGCTCTGAGGAAACATGAAGCATAGGCAAGGGTTAGAGTAAGGACTAAAGCTTTTATTCAAAGTTCACAGATTCACCTGGGTGTGGTAGAAAGATGCAGGGTAAAATTTCAAACACAGAGATTCAGTGGCCGTATAATAGATTATTAAGAGGTAGGGTACCTGCAGGAGAAAAAAGTCCCTCCTGTCATGCTCATCAGTTTTCTCCCCATCTTAGCTGTCCCTAGGACAATCTAGTCCTGTTTTTATGGCTTATCTACAGAGAAGTACTAAGTTTCTAAAAGGCTCTGGTTGTATCCTAAAGATTCATCCATGACCTGAAGAAACAGAATCCAATATGCCTGATGAGGCATATTGCTGCTTGTAATCTGAGATTGTGAGCCCTTCTTCAACAAAGGATTACTGACTTAAATATCAATTGAGGATCACTTGTAGAAAAACCTTCTTTATTTGAGTTTTTTCAACGATGGAAAATAGAAAATATTTCTATCCACTATAAAATAAATAATAACATGAGATTGGGTTTCAGTTAATTCAATGTAGAAAGCAATATTTTTTCATGAAAAATGAATGATAGCTTTCCTAGTGACAGAAGATAAAGAATTATATCCCAGACTGTAAGTTATTCCTGTCTTTTAGCATCAACACAGAATCAAGAAGGGGAAAAAGGGTGAAATATTAAAAGATAAGACTCTGCTTATTTAACCTTGAGCAGTCCCAGAGTTAAACTCTCTTTTCAGTGATGTTCCTGGTCTATATTTCATAAAAACATACATATCTAAAGGCAGTCTTCATCAGAAAAGAGGAATCTCAGAGCAGTATCTCACAGGAGGGAAATCAGATATAAGAAAGTTCTAGGATCCTTGTTCATCCATGAGAATTAAACAGTAATGGGTTTTGCACATTGGTTGGTGATACGAATATTGGAAGGACTGGCTATTGGTCAGCCCTAGAGGAAGGAATTCTGAGTTTTCATTTATACAAGAAGTTAACTTTTCTGAGTTTCAGACTAGAGGACAGGAGGCACTACTCCAATCTCTTAGCCTTATTAAAAATATACAGAAGTGTAGCACTGAGTCCTTTTTAAAAAATTTTATTCCCTAGGAAAGTAGCAAACATGAAACTTCTATATGTGTGTAGGTGGGAATTTTTCAGAGAAACTTTTGTGCGCCTAGGTCACCTCTTTGCCTCAAATAAAAAGTACTTGGTTCTCAATGATCCTACATGGTCAAATAGACATCAAATATTGCTTTTTACACATTGCTAGTGGGATAGTAAAATGGAGTAACTGCTTTGGAAAACAGGCAGTTCTTCAAAAAGTATTATCTTATGACCCAGCAATTCCACTCCTAAGTGTATGCACAGGAAACCTAAAAAGATATAATTACGCAAAAAAAACTTCCATATGAATATTCATAGCAGTATTTTTCATAATAGCCAGAAACTGGAAACAATTCTTATGTCCACAAATGAATAAATAAACACACAAAATGGCATGTCCATAAAATAGAATATTGTCTAGCCATAAGGATGAAGTACTGATACGTGCTACAGCACAGATAAACTTTGAAAATATTAAAGCAAGTGAAAGAAGTCAGACTCAAAGCCATATGCAGCTTGATTTATTTATACAAAATGCCCATTCACAATAGGCAAATCTAGGGTCAAAAAAAATAGATTAATGTTTATCAGAAGGTAGAAGGAGAAGGGTATGTCTGCTAATGGTTATGGAGCTTCTTTTGGGGACAATAAAAATATTCTGGAATTAGGTAAGATGATTGTTGCAAAACTTTTTGAATATGCCAAATATAACTGCATATTATGATTTAAAATGTTAAGAATTTAAAATGTTAAAAATGTACACCAAAATTATAGTAGGAGCTGCTTTGAGGTGGAGAAGAGGGAAATAGTTATTAAATAGAATGAAACTTCCAAAAACTATCCAAAGACATAAGACAAAATATTAATCATTGCTAATTATAGGCTTTAAAAATTACCTTTATTTTATATTTAAAAATTTCAAGAAATATTTTCCATTTTATTTCTACTGTATTTCCAGTAAAATTTATAATAATTGTATTTTAACTGTATGACACACATTAAAAATAAAGCCCTCTGGCATAGTTTTGCTTAAAGTTACAAGAAATTTCTTGCATATTTTGCCCTTTATGGTTCTGACAATTTGTTAGTCATTAAATAAGATGTCCAATAAGTTGAAAGAGAAAACAGCAGGAAACCACTCAAGGTACAATATAACCCTTTGATTAGAAGCAGTTATTTCTAAAATTAATCACATATGACACCAACTGTTGGCTTATTTATTATCTTACTCTATAACTTACACTTCATATTCAGAAAGAGTGGGGGTTCTCTTCTGGAAATTAGGCAACAAATTGAGGTGTCCTTTTCATTTTAATTTAAACTGTTAGTTGAAATAAAATGTAAAGAGCTGATAGTATAAAGGAAAGGGAAAAATGAAAGATGGGACTATAGATTGAAATTCCCATGATTTGTAGCCTTGAGAAAATTTGTCTCTTCAATGTATTGAAAATTCTAAAAGGAAGTCAACAGTCACTTCTCTTGAAAAATACAAAGAAGGAAAGAAATATAACCAAGTTGAAAATAAACAGTCTTCCTCTGCCTCAAAAGTAAGTGAACGAGGGCTGATGTGTTAGTCTACCCAATTTGATCTGCTAGACAGAGCAGTCCCGAAAGTAACCTTGGACATATTTAAGATATATTTGTAACTACAATGTTATAAATCCATGCATTTATAGTCAATTGCTTTTTGACAAAGGTGCCAAGAACACAATGGGGAAAGGACAGTCTTTTTCATAAATGGTGTTGGGAATACTGGCTATTCACATGCAGAATAAATTGGATCTTTATCTGACATCATATACAAAAGTCAATTCAAAAGAGATTAAAGACTTAAATTTAAAACCTGAAACTTAAAACCACTAGAGTAAAAGCTTCATGATATTGGTCTGGGCTCTGGACAATGATTTTCTGGATATGACCTCAAAGGCACAAGCAACTAAAGCAAAAATAGACAAACAAGATGGCCTCAAACTGAAAAGCTTATCCACAGCAAAGGAACAGTTAACAAAGTGAAGACAGTTCACAGAATGGAAGAAAATATTTGCAAACCATACATCAGATAATGGATTAATATCCCAAATAGAAAGGCTTGCAAACAACTCAATAGCAAGAAAACAAACTGATTAACAAATGGGCAAAGGACCTGAACAAACTTTTCTCAAAAGAAAACAAAGAAATAGCCAACAGGAACTTGAAAAAATACTCGACATCCAGTAATCATTAGGGAAATGCAAATTGAAACCACACTGAGATATCACCCCACACCTGTTAGAATAGCTTTTATCGAAAGAAAAGAAAATTGTTGGCAAAAATGTGGAGGAAAGTGAACTCTTGTACATTGTTGTTGGGAATGTAAACTACTACAGATATGATTGAAAACAGTATGGAGGTTCCTCAAAATAATAAATAAATAAATAAATAAATAAAACTACCATATGATCCAGTAACCCCACTTCTGGGTATATATTCACAGGAATGAATATCAAATGGATATCTGTACTCTCATGTTCATTTCAGTATATTTTTTATCAATATCCAAGATATATAAACAGCTTAAGTGTCCATCAATGAATGAATACATAAAGAAAATGTGGTATATACACAACAAAGACTATTCAGCCTTAGAAAAGAAGGAAATACTGTCATTTTTGACAACACGGATGAACCCCGAGGGCATTATGCTAAGTGAAATAAGCCAGGCACAGAAAGATAAATACTTCATGTCTCAATTATGAGTAGAATCTAAAAAAGTTGAATTCATTCAAGAAGAGAGTAGAATGATGTTTACCAGTGACTAGGTATGGAGGGCAGGGGGAAAGAAAAGGGCAGTTATTTATCAAAGAGTAAAATTTCAGATTTAGAAGGGGATTGTTTTGAGATTTATTGTACAGCAGGGTAACTATAATCAATAGTAATGTGTTATATATTTCAAAATAAGTAAGGTTGTACATTTCAAATGTTGCATCATACAAGGCAAGAGGAGTGATAAATATATTAATTAATTTTGTTTAAATATTCCACATTTTATACATATACCAAAACATCACATTGTACCCCATAAATGTATGCAATTATGAATTGTCAATTAAAATCATATTTTTTAATTATTTTTTATTTTATTTTATTTTTTTGAGACAGAGTTTCACTGTGTTACCCAGGCTGGAGTGTAGTGGTCACTGCAACCTCTGCCTCCACAAACGTGCGCCACCATGTCCAGTTAATTTTTATTTTTGTTTTTGTTTTTGAGATGGAGTCTCACTCTGTCGCCAGGATGGAGTGCATTGGCGCAATCTCATCTCACTGCAACCTCCGCCTCCCAGGTTCCAACAATTCTCCTGCCTCAGCCTCCAGAGTAGCTGGGCCTACAGGTGCACGCAACCATGCCCAGCTAAATTTTGCATTTTTAGTAGAGACCATGTCTGGCTAATTTTTGTATTTTTTGTAGAAACAGAGTTTCACCATGTTGCCCAGGCTGGTCTCAAACTTCTGAGCTCAAGGAATCTGCCTGCCTCTGCCTCCCAAAGTACTACAATTACAGGCCTGAGCCACTCTCCTGGCTGCCAATTAAAATTATATTAATAAAATATATTAAAACTAAAGACAAAATAAGATGAAATAGTAGTGATGGGATATTCTTTATTTATAAATTATTTATATGTAAGTATTTACTAAGATTGAGAGAAGAAAATATCTGAGACTCCACCACTAGCAACCTATACCACAAAATATTTCTTTAGTGGATTGTCATAACACTTGATTAAAATTCAATTCTTAATAACAATAGCAGTGATCTTTATATTGCCTTATCAGATCAATGTTTGAATACTGATTTAAACGTGGATCCAGCCTAGAAGGTTAGTGTGTTGCAATGGAGATGAAGAAAAAGCATAGACATTAAGTTTGAAATACTTAGCTTTATGTACTCATTTACATTCTGGTTCCTAGTTGCTATTAGGTGAGAATAATGACAATATCATAAAGTATTAGTGATGTTATTTTCATAAGCATTATTTTTCTTTCTGCAAAAACCACTTCTCTGTTATAGTTCTGATTATAAATCTCAACATTTCAGGGTCCCTTGAAACTTTTATATTTTCGAAACTCAAATTCTTCACACTATTCTCACAGCCATCACGCTTGCTTTAGGAATTTCCTACCACAGTGATATCTCAGTTATTTTTTTTCTTGCAATTATCTAATACATATTTTTTCTTTTTTTTTCTTTTTTTTAAATTATACTTTAAGTTTTAGGGTACATGTGCACAATGTGCAGGTTAGTTACATATGTATACATGTGCCATGCTGGTGCGCTGCACCCACTAACTCGTCATCTAGCATTAGGTTTATCTCCCAATGCTATCCCTCCCCCTCCCCCCACCCCACAACAGTCCCCAGAGTGTGATGTTCCCCTTCCTGTGTCCATGTGTTCTCATTGTTCAATTCCCACCTATGAGTGAGAATATGCGGTGTTTGGTTTTTTGTTCTATTTTAAGTTATTTAAAATATCTGATGTGATTTATGTTTTACTGATCCCTAACCATTAAGATGTCTACAAAGATTTAAATAGAATAATTTAACAATGAGGGTTCTTGTAATTTAGTAAAAATAGTGAAAAACAGCTATCTACTCACTCACATAACAAAAACAGGATTGCATTAAATTAAGATCATGAACTCTGGATCTCAGATGCCTTGGCTGTAATCCTTGCTCTGACAATTACTATGTGGTCATAGGAAAATCCCGACATTTAGCATATTTTTTATTTACTCTATAATTGTTTCTTAAATTTGTATATTAAATTAGTTGCAGACCTTATTATGAATATTAAAAAATTGAGATAAAGCCTCTTTCAGCTTGTGATTTACAGCCTACTAGAGAAATGCATGTAATTCAACAATAATAATGCTAAATTTTAGAGAAGTCTTAAAGAAAATTTTCAGAGCAATTAATTTCTCATCTTATTATAAATTCAGAGTAGCCCTGGTAGTTAGTAAAGTACAATGATTAAAATAAGGTTCTCATTATTAATGTATACATGTAATGCAAGTACTATGAGACCACCACCAGAAATCATCCCATTTTAACGTTTGCCTTATTTCAAACCTACTTTGTCCCCACCCCAACTAGAAATAAAAATCGAATATAATAAAAGCATTTGTATACACTGTTCCTTTTGTTTATCTTGATTTCTCAGAGATAATCATTATATATCTGATAGGGTACATATCCAGCTGTACAGTAAGAAATGTGAATTTGCACCATTTTTATATGTTTTCAAATTGTCCTCCAAGATGTTTTCCTCCTACTATGGTAGAGTACATTCAGTACTAATCTTTATAGAGTTTGACCAACAGAATATTAGCAGGTATAATAAAAGCTGAAGCTTTAGCTATCCTGGCTCAGTTTTTTTGTGCCTAACGTGCGCTCAGATGACCTGCCATGGGAAGATCATGCCATATATAACTGCTGCCCTTTCTGCTAAGATTGAAAGTATACTCCAGCTACTGTCCCTCTTAATTTATTCCAGGATAGTCAATGCTCCTCACCAGAGTCCCAGTAATTGTCTCAACAAGTTATGCTTAAGGATAGATTACCTTGCAGTATTATGGCAAAATTTTGCACAAGAATTCCTCAATGCTATAACCATCAACTTTTTATATCTATTTACATGGGCAGTAGCCCAATTACAGTTATCCATTGGTATCCATAGGGCATTAGTTCCAGGACCTCCATGTATACCAAAATTTGTGGATGCTCAAGTCCGCATTATAAAATGATGTAGTATTTGCACATAACGTATGCACATCCTCCTGTATACTTAAAATCACTTCCAGATTACTTACAATACTTAACACAATATAAATTCTATGTAAATAGTTGTTATACTGTATTGCTTATGGAATAATATAAGAAAAGTCTGTACATATTCAGTACAGACATTATTTTTCTGAATATTTTGAGTCCACGGTTGACTGAATCTGAATGCAAAATGCACAGATTCGCAGGGCCAACCGCACTTGGTTCTGCCAATGTCTTTCGTATCTCCTGCCTTTTCTTTGAAAGGGAGTTCAAATCTCATTATGCCACAGAAAATTGCCCCAAACACGACTTTGTTCCCCTTTTACTTTAATTGTTTTATTCCAGAAAGCGTATCTCCTTAAATTCATTATTTCTTTCCTGTAATATGGACATTAAAAAGGCATAGCCACTCTAAAATTCGGTATAACACTGATGTCCTCCATTATCAACATATGGAGGATTCATTCTGAGACCGGACAGTAATGGGCAGAGCTGTCTGTGGTCACTGTCTACCATTCTGTGAGAGTGCTATTGGAACTGACTTGTCTACCGCAGTACAAAATGACAAAAAAATAAATCAGATCTAAGAGTATAAATCTTTGCTCAAGTTCACAGTTTGCTAGCATCTCTAGGCTTATGGCTGAGATGGAGGCAACTAGGGTTAAGACCTTACTTAAGCTCTATTATAATATTCCAAGCATCATTTAGCTTTCATAGACACAAAACTGGAGCATTGAAGGCTACAGACACGATGTACTGATGTACTGGCTATAAAGTTTACAATATTTTTACTGCATGTGAAGATGTAAGATACTATTTACATTTTGATGGGAAACCTGGGAGCTCCAAAGAAAGAATTGAGCCACATTCTAAGTATCCTGAATTTAGGATCCATAGTTTTATATTTTATCTAAAATTTAATCTGGCTTCCAAGAAGCCTTAACTGACATTACACAATCCATGTGTTTTATCTGATTTCTACCAATTGCTAGCCTTGCTATTCCATCAGGCAGAAGTCTGATCACACTTAATGATCGAATATCTTATACCTATTGAAATAAAATAGTCATTACAAATCCAGCCAATGCTTTGCTTCCAGGAACTGGATTTTCTTTCATGCTCCCTATGAATGGACAACCGTCCACGCTTTCTTTTTCACAAAAAGTTTGTACAGCCATGCTACATTGTAAACAGATATCAATAATTAAGTTCTATGCACCCTGGTTTTCTGCCATTTTCTGTAGTATAGACTGGGTACTTGGACTTGAAAACTTCTAGAACCAAGAGACCTGGGAATGTTTCATCTTGGGAACTCCCATTCTTCAGCGTGTTAATTGTGTAGTTTCTTTAATCAGGTTTTAACTTACTTAGTCTTAAGTTTAATCAATTTCACAACTTTTTATTTCTCCTAAGTGAGACACCGCTTATTCATATTAGGACATCTGAATAAAAACATTCATGGATTTAAAATTGTACACATTGTCTTTACAAATGATTGTATATTGTCATGCCTACTTTCCTGGAACCCCTACACTTAAATGAGTCCTTATACCTTCATTGTTCTCCCTAAAAAAAAGTTTTGGGATCTTTCTGTTCTATATGTCTGTTCACCATTCAGAACGTTGGACATGTATCCATCATTAATTTCTCTCCTTGTACAGTACTATACACCTGTCATTCTAACATATTTCTTCCAATTTCATCTAGAGAAGTAATCTGTGTTAGGAGATATAAATTCCATCAGTTCTGGATCTGGCAGAAACATCAGTTATGCAAATAGATGGTTCTTGCCTTCTCCATTTTTAGTAGTGTAATTCCATCTAGAAGAGTGTTTTTTAACCTTTTTATTCCAAGAACTTGTTTGGCAGTCTGGTGAAGCTGATCCCTTCTCAAAACAATGTTTTAAACAAAAAAGCTTAAGAATACAATATATATTTTATTGGAATAGATACCAAAGTATTAGAAATTGTGATATAGTAATACCTGTGTCTTTATTAAATGATTATGTATCATACCTTGCTCTCTGTCTAAAAACTGTCATACTTTTTAGAATGATAAACATAAAGGATAGTTCAAAATATTTACAGTTGTAAATATGATACAAAATACCTGTAAATTCTGTTAGTGACAAGCCATGATATTGCTAATATTTGTTGCCTATACTCATAATTGAAAGCAACAGTACATTTCAATTAGACCTTAGTGAGAATGAAAATGTAACATATTCTCATTCAAGTTTATGAATCCCTAAACTCTATTCAAGTGTCCCTTTGTGCTCATGTACTCCTGGTTAAGAAAATATGATCCACAGAGGCAAAAGTACCTAAGGTTCAGGAACGACATAATGTGGAATTACAGGCTTACCTGGGATTGAAAGATTTCCCATATATAACATTTTCAGTGCTGAAACAGAGACAGTCACAGGCAAACTTGAATAGTTGGTCTCTCTAGGGAGCTCCCACCACTGAAAGACACCTTGTGAAAGTCATTTTTTTTTTTTTTTTGGAAAATCAAGAAATCCAAGGGAGAAGAGGGTGGAAATGAATGCTGAGTACAAAAACTATATTTTACATCATTCATACTCAACATTCACACAATCACCTTCTCATGATACACTTTTGAAATAACAACTACACTAAAAAGACATAATTCCTAAATCTTACCAATTAACTGTACTGCAGACAGTTCTATATTAATTTCTAATTGCTGCTATAAAATGACTATAAATTTATCTATTTAAAATCACAAATATATTCTCTTAAGTTCTGACAGGAAGGGTCTAAAATGGGTCTTCAGGGCTGCATTTCTTCTGGATACTCTAGGGAGAACCTTTATGTGCCTTTCCGGCTGCTAGATACTGCCTACATCCTGTGGCTCAAGGACCCTTCCTCCATCTTCAAAGTCGGCAGCACAGCATTATCTGTCTTGTCTGACTTCCTGGCTTTTTCTTGTAAGTGCTACTGTGATTATATTGAGCCTACCTAGATAATACAGGATAATCTTCTTATCATAGGGTTCTTAACTTAATCACATCTGCAAAGTTTCTTTGAATGTAAGGTCACATATTCACAGGCTTCTGGAATTAGGATATGGGCAGTTTGGGGAGAATTATTCAGCCTACCTCAAAACCCAAGTCTAGAATTCCAGGGTCATAGATGTATTAATCCTGTGTAACAAAGCCAATATATTAATACGTGATCAAAGACACAACTTTATGAAAGCAGAGCCAGGGGCTATCACATTGGCTAACTGAGAGATTTGCTCCATTATTACTCCTGGCCTCTCTGTCAATTTGAGTATCTCCTGATTTATTCTCAAGCTTAGATTTCAGTTTTAATCAGTGTCTAATCTGATGTTAAACTTGTCTTCTGAGTCCTTCATATCTGCTATTGTCTGAATATTTGTGTCCCTCTCCTCACAAATTTATATGTTGAAATCTAATCACCAACATGATAGCATTAGGAGGTAGAGTCTTTGGGAGATGATTAGGTAATGCGGTAGAGCTCTCATAAATGATTATTGCTCTTTTAAAAGAAGCCCCAGAGAAGTGCCTTCTCCTCTTGCATCATGTGAAGACTCAGCTAGAAGCTCGATCTGTGAACCAGTAAGCAGGTCCTTACAAGACAAGAATTTGCCTTGATCTTAACCTTTCCTGACTCTAGAACTGTGAGAAGTAAACTTCTTCCTTTTTAAAATAAGCTATAATACTATAACTATAATAATACTATAAATCAGATGTATAGTGTTTTGTTATAACAGGCCAAAAATGTAGTATATTTAGATTTAAATATTTTCTTGTGATTCTTGCTTATAGCCTGTGATTCTTGCTTATAGCCATTATATTTTCTTTATGTTTTAAACATATCTTGAAAGTGTACCAAATGAATATTCAAAATATTGCACAGTTTTTTCTGAATTTTAACACTAAACATAACTTTATGAAAATTATATATTTTTTTTTATTTATTTTTGAGACAGCGTCTCACTCTGTTGCCCAGGCAGGAGTGTAGTAGCACAGTCACAGCTCGCTGCAACCTCTCAGGCTCAAGCCATCTTCTCACCTCAGCCTCCTGGGTAGCTGGGACTGCAGTTGCACTGCCATATCTGGCTAATTTTTGTGTGTGTATATTTTTTGTAGAGACGGAGTTTCACCATGTTACCCAGGCTGGTCCCGAATTCCCAGGCTCGAGTGATCTGCCTGCCTCAGCCTCCCATAATGTCTGGATTGCCAGCATGAGCCAGCATGCCTAGTCGAAAATTGTATTTTCTAGGCTCCCTGTGATAGTCACAGAGTTTCTTCAAGAGCTAAGTGTTTGGGGCATCTCATTAAAGTATTTGTTCTAGAAGCTAACCATTGAGGTCAAAGAGACTAAAGTATTTACTGAAGTAAATATTCCAAAATATGTGATGCATTATTGTTTAAAATACGTGAAAAACATATTATGAATGCATTATAACTTTTTCCAGCTATTGTTATATGAGGAAAAATCTACAATACTAACATTTCCTGCAAACCAAAATTAAATGATGATGTTTATTTACCATATCATACATTCTTTATCATAGAAACTTTAAGTAAATCCACTTAGACTAAGTGTGATTGAAATCACTTAGGCCCTGCACCGGTGGCTCGCGCCTGTAATCGCAGCACTTTGGGAGGCTGAGGCAGGCGGATTACGAGGTCAGGAGTTCAAGAGCAGCCTGACCAACATGGTGAAACCTCGTCTCTACTAAAAATACAAAAATTAGCCAGGAATGGTGGCATGTGCCTGTAATCCCAGCTACTCAGGAGGCAAGGTAGGAGAATTCCTTGAACCCGGGAGGCAGAGGTTGCAGTGAGCCGAGAGCCTGGGCAACAGAGCAAGACTCCATGTAAAAAAAAAAATCACTTACAGTATTATTTCTGGTATTTAAAGTTTTAAGTTAATGTTTCTAATGGACTATATTTTTCTTAGCTTTCAAAATGACATTTCTAAGAGAACTTAAAAAGTTAGCTAAGACATCCTCCTTGTATGCATGCGTTTTGATTTAGACCCAGGCTCTTAAGAATTACACATAGAACCGTTTAGAATTGAATCCTCGCGTATTGCTATGGATTAATCTCTTGATACCCCTTTTCAAACTATTGTACTTCAGCCCTATCGAGACTACTGCTGTGCCTAGCACCTCATGCTGTTTGCTGCCTCCTGTCAAATAACTGATTCTTGAAAGTACCATAAAGACAACTTGATGATAAACAAAAACACCAAAGCTGTTTTTGTTCCTACCATAGTAAGGGAGATTAACTTGACAGATTCTTAGCAGTGTCTCATAGGAAAATAACAGTCTGGATATATAAGTCTTTGCAGTATGACTTAAGGGAAGTCTTTCAATGTGAGGGCTTGACTAGAAGTAGGTAACTATTATGACATAATAGATTAGGACTGGTGGACAAGGATGTAGGCAAGACAAGAATTGTGAGGAGGTTTGGAAGCATCATGGAGTTAAACAATCATTTGATTCTATCCATTGAAAAGTCGAAAGTCTGACATCAATTTAAATGTGTGTGTGTGTGTGTGTGTGTGTGTGTGTGTGTGTTTTCTAACAAGTTCCTGAAACAGAATAAGGATACTGAAGTTTATATTTTCCTACAAAATGTTTCTAGGTATATTATATTAAATTTATCTTGATGAAGGCCTTGGATTAGTAAAGTCATATTAATGAAGACAGATAAAGTCAGGTCAATATAGTTAGTAAGCTGTGTGGCTATACTATAGTTGGCTTCTGTTTGTCAATCCTTACCTTTGAACATATCTATCTTTTTTTTCTTTTTTTTTTAAGAATGGTCTCTTTCCCCTTATAATATTGGAAACTTTTGCTAATTTTTCTACAATGCTTTTCTTGCAGACGTCCCTCATGATTCATTGGTTATACTCTTGTTTATATTATTATTATTTTCTTTATTACTAATCTTATGAATCAGTTATGAGATTGTATTGTATTTTTTCTTCTTAACTTAAACAGTTACCATTTTATAGTCAAACCGCCTGTAAATTTTCTTCTATTCAGCATTATCACACTAACTTAACTTTTCTTCTTTATCGTATACTAATTCCCACCTGTGGTCTTCCCCAGACCCTTACTCCCAGTCATTCCCACTCACAGGATTTGGAAGAAATGCTCTAGCACAAGACTTTTGTGTATTCGCCTGCTTAAGGGGTCTGTGGGAAGGGGATTGTTGCAGAATGAGTACGTACAAGCAGATTTCTCTTTTGTGGGAAAGGAAAGGAAACAAACCTGATAATTCTTTCTTTCTCATTGCACTTGAATCTGTGTGTTAAAATTACTGACTTGCAAGTCTGTCTCTGCTAATAATCAATGAAAACCTTGACAGAAGGGAACAGATCATATTCATTATTGATATTATAAACAAATGCCATTGTATGGTTTTAATGTTTACATAAATGCTATAAGATTTTGAAAATCGCCTTTTTTCACTTTTTGTGAAAATTTTCCTAGTAAACAAAGTATTTTGTTGCTTTCTGTTTCCTTTTTTGAAACTTAAAAATGCTTAAGTTCTCATCCCTTCACATGTCTCTCTAAGCATACAAACCTCCATTTTCAGTTTTTAACGAACATTGCCAAATTGTTCTCCAAGGTGATTGTGCTAATTTTCATTCCCTGGAGCTATACACTGGTTGATGAAAGTTTTAGAATTTTTTCATTTTTGTCAACCTAAACTGTGTAAAATGGTTCATTTTTTAATTATGCCTCTTGCTGATTGAAAGTCCTCTCAATATGTATTTTGTCTTTTAATTTTGTTTATAGTGCTATTAATTATAGTTATTTTGGTAGTATAATCAAATTCATCCATATTTTCATTTGAGATTTTTATGAATTTAATCTAACTTTTTTATATGTAATGAGAAAGAGTGTATAAAGTGAGATAATGAATTGATTTTGTTTTCCAGTTGAAACCAATTGCTGATGCTTTCTCCACTAAATTCTAGCACCACATTGATCATACACCAGAGCCCAACGTGTGGCTATGTCAGTTCCAAGTTATTTATTCCAATATTATCTCTGTGCATGGAGATCAAAATATTTAAATTCTTGTAGCTTTATAATAAGATTTATTTTTAGTAGAAACTCCCCAATTCCTGCCCTTATTTTCCTGTTTAATACTGGCTCATGTACGCTTTAACTTTATTCTGCTATATAGGTTTTTGAGTTATCTTTGATTAATACCATAGAACATCCTTTAACAATTTTAATTGGAATACATTTATGAGTAAATTTGGAAAGAATGGATATCTTTCCATTCATAAATATTGTATACATATTATATATGTTGATATATATTCTGGTAATATTTTAAAAGCTTATTCATAAAAGTGCATACTTTGAATACATATTTCTTAATATATTTTATCATTATCAATAATATATATTTGCTAAAGTTAGTAATGCTATTGATTTTTGCAAGGGGGTTGTGTATTTAGTAGCAGAATATTTTTCAATGCCATGAAATTATGCATTTTTGGGGCAAGGCTGGGATTTTCTATTAAGATACCTTTATCACCAACAATAAAGAAAATGTCCCTGCCTTCATATAGGCATGGCAATCTCTTTCTTCTTGCCTTATTAAATTAGTTAGGGCCTCCTATAATGCATTTAATACGTATGCTTTGAGAAACCATGTACTTTTTCCAAATTTTATAGAAATACTTCCTAAATTTTGCTTTTGAATATTAATTTTCTTTAGAGTTTTGATGAGATCATTTGTCTTGTTTGAAGTTCATTTTTCTTTGGTCCTATATTCCAAGTTGGATTATATTAAAAGTAGTATAAATTATAAGTAGGAAGCAATATAACAAAGTTGTTAACCATGCAAATTATGGAACCATATTGCCAGGGTTCAACTCTTGTCCCTACTAGACTTGTAACTGTTGGCATGTTACTAACTGCTCTGTATCTCAAGTACCTCATCTGTACAATGGAAATAATTATACTACCCACCTCACAGATCAATAAATTTGTAAATGGTTTTTGAAATGATTAGAACTCTACTTGGCACTAGGTACTAAATGTCAGTAAAATAGAAAATGGTACATTTTCACTCTATTTGTGGAGATCATATTTTCTTGCTTGTCTAATAATATGTGGAATGATGTTACTAATTTTTCAATGTAAAAACTTTCTTATGCTTTAGAAAATAAACTCTATATGCAAACTTTCATTATCCATTTTTCTTAATATGATAAAATTACCCTTTGTATATCTAATATTCATTTGAATTTTCCAAAAATTATTAAACCATTTTTATGTAAACATTGCTCCTTCCATGCCAATATTTTCTTCTGCGTTAAGTTCTTCTTGGGAAAGTATGTATGTCAACAGTTCTTTCAAAGATTATAATCATAAGCTCTCTCAATGTTTCTTTCACAGTAGTCTAACTGAATAGAATTTTGGATTAACTACCAACCACTTTATATTTTGAAAAGATTCATTGTCTTCAGACACCTTTTGTTATTGATGAGGAGACTAGTCTCAGTTGGGTCCTTCCCTTTTATCCTTTAATATTTTTCTTTCTTTCATTTATAATTTAACTTTAATATAACTCAGTGAAGATTGATGTTGTTGGTTTATCCTTCATGGAACTAATGTCCTTTAATCTGAACTCTCATGTTCTTCCTCAATCTTAACACTTACTGACATTATTTTTCTCCAATACTCTCCTGTTGGAATTCTTAGTGGATATACTCTGGTAGTTCTTACATCTTCATCTCTTTTATGTTGTCTGTGTCTTTTCCATGCCTTTTTCTACACGTACTGCGTTCTAATTGCTTTCTTTAGACTTATATTTATATTCATCTTTCAGTTATTTCTACAGCTGTATCTAATACTTTTCCAAATATTTAATAGAAGTATGGCTATATGTGTTTTAATTTCATTAGTTATATTTTAATATAAGTCACTTGGCTTTTTTAAAGAATATGTGAGATGTTCTTATTTTTCTTGATTTTTATCGCTTTATTGTGTTGGACATTTTAAACGTGACTTTTAAACATATTAAATTTAATCTGTATTTTTTTGATGCTTACTCATTCTGAAAAATTAGTCTTTATATAAGGGCTGTAGTGTCCAGTTCTCCCTTCATATGAGTGTGTGTGTGTTTATGTGTGTGTCTGAGTGCATGGTGACTGCACTTCATGAAGCTTGTTTTCTTAAATACATTGTTATTCAAAGGTTAAGCCCTGCTCAGTGGGGTTGTATTATTTAGTAATATGGCATGTGTTGGGTTGTGGGACTATTTCTTTAAAGCAGATTAGTGTTTCTCACTTCTGAGACCATAAGAGTTTTCCTAGTTCTGAACTTATTTTGAAGTTAATTTCTGAATCTGTGTTCCTATGAACCACATTATACTAATTATATTCTTATACCCAAGTATGGTGTATTACTCATTCCTAAGTCCTCATGGGAGGCTCTGGTTCTAGTCAAGATTCCACTTTGGCCACAGACTTCCTTTACACTTTCTTTATTTGACACTTAACAGATATTTTCACTTATGGGTCAGTCATTCAAGACTCTCAACTATTTACAGTTATTTCAGTTGTTGCTTTTATTTACAGGTATTAGAATCCAAACCCCCCACTCAATACTTCTGATGTACAAGTTCTGACAGTGTGATGTGGTGTGGGGATTTCTGGGGGACATTAGACCCTTGTAAAAGATCTGTGAGATCGAAACTATATTCATTCATTCTCTTGTGAGTTTCTAAAAAATTTTTCTTCATGACATGTGATATCAAAACAGATTTAATACCAAAAATGATATGGGACTCTGGCTATCATCTATTAATCTAGAAATGAAATAAATTTGAAAATTCTCTGAAGCAATATAACTCATCTAATCATATTATTATTATTTTGTGAAATATTGTTACTATTCATAAAAATTTATGTCAGCATAGTACACATTTATTACTACTATTTAAGTGATTTCAGAAGTAATTTTTAAATTCTCTATCTTAATTTCTAATAGAGTAAATATTAATCTATCATTTTAAGGTAATAGTAACAAAACTGCCCTTTTGGATCTCTATCAATATTTAGTGTGTAAGTGTTTCCTAAGACCAAAGAATAGGATAGCCACTTCTCTGGAGCATCAAACCTCAAACCCTAGTTATTATGAATTATATCTTGTTTAAATTTTGGTTTTTAGTTCCTTCAAAATTCTGATTTTGAGTTTCCTCTTTTATGTCTTTCATTGAGGATTTTTCTTCCTTGACTTTGAGCTCTAGAATGTATTGATCGTTTTTCTTCTAATAATTTTTATGTGAGAAATTGGAAAGGGAAATTCACTTATCAGTTTAGTTGGGCAAATTAGTTGATAGCGGCCACAGTAATTAATCTTAATTTCCACCATCCAATCCAGTGACATTTTTGTTTTCCTCAATTTTGACATTTTTGGGTAGCAATGCCATGTGGGTAACTATAAACAAATACTAAAGTAAATGGAATTACAGTTATAAAGGTGCTTTCATTACTAATTTTTTTCACAATATCAAGAAAAGACTTTACTCAAAGTTTTATAACTGTTTATTCACATGAATATAATAATTACATTTTAGGACTGCGTCAAAAAGACCAAATTGGGTTTCAGAGACAAAAGAAATTAAACACATAGACACTACAAGGACTATTTTCTCATTCCTTTTGAGAAACAGTAGGAATTATTACTGTGTTTGATAATGCATAAAGCTGAAATAATTGGTATGTGTGTGAGTTCCACTTACATGGCTCTCTGGCAGGGTAGAAGAACCTCATCCACTTAGCCATTTGCTTGACACTTATGAGCCTGCCACATTCTCCACTGTTTGGAATATCAAAAGTGATATACAAATGATAAACCAGAGACAGAATAGCTTCTCAAAGCTCTACTTCTGTTTCCAGTGCACTCTAGGTGATGGCGATGGTCAGTACTTCTCGTGGAGTGAGAAACTGGGACTAGAGTGACAAACATCCGTGTCTGACAGGGTGTGTTGCAGTTTTAGAATTGACAGGTGTAAGCCTTGGAAAACTCCACAGTCAAGAGAAACCAAAATAATTAGTCAATGAGATTACAATAATCAGGGACTACAATAAATGACAATAATCACACTATTAAGCTAGTAATAATATTCAGGACTAATGTCAGGATGTTGACCCTGAATTCATTTGAGCCCTGTATGGCAGGTAGAATTCTTAGATGTCCCTCAAGATTTCTGCCCCCCAGAATACTAACCAATGTAATTCCTTCTGTGTGAGTATGGGTGGGCTCTGTGAATATGATGGAATATCACTCCCAATTTTATGTTACCATATATGACAATATTTTTGAAATATGCAGTTAAGGTCTCTAATCGCAGACTTTGAGTCTAACTTAATGTAGTGAACCCCTAATAGAGAGATTAAGCAACCTCGAATACTCTGCTGCTGGCCTTAAAGAAAGTCAACAGTCATGTTGAGAACTTCCCATGAGGGCCATGTGGTAAGGAGCTGCAGGTGGCCTCTAAGAGTAGAGAGTCTTCCCTGGTCAACAGCCAAGAAAAAAATCTGGGCTTCAGCCATACAGCAAGGAAATAAATTCTGCCAACAATTTGTGAGCCTGGAAGAGGATCGCAAAACTGAGGTGAAGATTGCAGCCACAGCTGCAGCTCTTGATATTAGTATCTGGTTAGAAAACCCAGTTAACCTGTACCTAAACTCCTGACCCATGGAAACTTTGAGATACTAAATTTGGTTTGTTTTCAGTTGTTGAATGTGTGGTGTTTTGTTATGTAGGATTAGAAAAAGTATGCATTTTGGTTATATAATTTTTGAAGCATCTGCACTGCTTGTTATGTACCCTGCCTTTGTCAATAATTGCATTACTGGTACTAGGAGTTGTTTACTTGTATCTTCTTAAGTACCTGCTGTTGAAAGTTAGCAGAAATTGCAAGCTAATTTTTGGAAAGGTGTGGTAAATTAGAGAAGTTATAATATGTATTTAACATCTGAAGTAGAAAGAGAAAAGATAAACTGAAATTGGCCATTAGAACCCAAAAATATGTTAAGAATTATTATCGGCCAGGCACAGTGGCTCATGCCTGTAATCCCAGCACTTTGGGAGGCCGAGACGGGTGGATCATGAAGTCAGGAGTTCGAGACCAGCCTGACCAACATGGTGAAACCCGGACTCTACTAAAATTACAAAAAGTAGCCGGGTGTGGTGGCATGCACCTGTAATCCCAACTACTCAGGAAGCTGAGGCAGGATAATCACTTGACCAGGGAGGAGGAGGTTGCAGTGAGCCAAGATTGCACCACTGCACTCCAGCCTGGGTGACAGAGCGAGACTCTGTCTCAAAAGAAAAGCAAACAAAACACACACACACACACACACACACACACACACACACACACACGAGAATTATTATCAAAATCTTTCAGTCAGTCTTCTAATAAAAAAAAAGAAAAAATTGTGGGAGCTATTTGTGGGAAAGACAAAAATGACAGTCACTAGCCTTCATGTGTCATCCAGGAGAAAATAATATGAATTACAAAAATAAGGCACTTTACAATAAGAAATTTAAAACTCGAAAGATGTTTCAAACCTTAGAGAATGAGATCGATTTTAAGCACACTTTGAAAGAGAGGTTTAACTTATTTGTTGAGGAATAGACAAAGCATGGGTATATATTAGCATCATCTAATAGATAGATGATGGCTCATGAAGTAGTTGTCAGTGGCTGTGGTCTCAGGAAGGGACATTTGAAGCTATAAAAAAAGAAGGCTTGTACAAAGCAGTAGTTTTGAATAATTATGACCAGAGCATCAAATTTTTTGTTTTTCACAGACTGTATATGTATTTTTTTTTCATGGACCTCTCACTTCATTCCATTTTCTGCCATATGTTTTTCAATATTATGTGCTTTAATATTTACTTATTTCTTTTTTTAATTCATCCAGTGATACATAGAACTCGTTCTATGAATTACTATGTGACCTTATTAAGCCACAATTTTTTGTCTGTAAAAACTAGCAATAGTGCTTAGATTTTTAAGTAAGAATTAAAGGAAAAATAAATGCATGTTACAAAAGGAACAGAATTAACAATGACTGGTATACATACTACATTAGAGAAAAATGACACAGATAATCCATAAAATAAGCAGTTGGCACCTAAATAAACCAGAAGTTACTGTATTATTTTATCAGATCCTGTTGTAATAATAATAGTGCATCTTATATAAGTGAGGTAGTGTTTTTATTCAATTATTATACTGTCCAAGGTAAATATAAATCAAAATAGTAGAAGACACAATGAAAACTTTCTTTAGATATCAGGTGTATCTTCTGAAACTTTTTATTTATTTAGTTGTTTTGTGCCCCACCATAAGAAACTTAAATCCTTTATCAATTTAGAAAAAGGAAACAGTTTCATACCTCTGACTACTTCAACTAAAACTGTAATCTGTATCATCTCATGGGTAAAATGCGAATGAGTGGTCTAAGAATCAGTCAGCATTCAGCACTAGAAAAATAAGCTTTTCTAAGAAAGAATGAGCTTAGCTTTTGTGAAGAAATATAATTGCTTTGAAATAATGCCGCCACATATAAAGTTGGGTAACTTTTGGTATAATAACTATCCAGAAATCACCTGGGTTTCAAGATGCTTAAAAATGCTCTTGTAAGAAAAAGCAATGATAAAACTTGCAGGTCATTTAAGATGAAAATCAAGGTTTTACGTGTTGAGTGAGTTTTAAAATAACAGTGGAGGATATTAAACTGGGGCAAGGGACTCTGAATGAATTACTATGTGACCTTATTAAGCCACAAGTTTTCATCTGCAAAATTTAGTAATGCTACTTGGATTTTTAAGTAAGATTAAAATGAAAAATAAATGTATGTTACATTTTATGTCCTTTGTGAATAATCATTTTCATTATGAAATGTAATTTAGAAATCATTTTATCTAAACTAAATTACAATAATAAGCACCATGAAAATTCAGGTAGGCATATTAGCTGTAGAATCCTTAAAAGTGGATGTTTGAATATTGATTCAATAACCATATTAACAAAGGATGATATGCCAGAGGGTAAAATTTTAAAGAATTTTAAATTTGTAGGTAATTAATGGAGAATATTTCATTCAAAATACACAGAAATCTGTGATGACTCTTTGAGCATACAAAAGCTAAAAACAATTTCTAAAGCATGTTAAAATCTGAAAAAAAAGTTAACACTTCAATGATTACAGTTAAAAGGTGAATAAAATTCCAAATTGAAATTTTTTTACCTTCAAACTTTTTAAAATATTGTTTTTAAAAATTGCAGATAGTGTTGCTTTTGAGAATTGGAACCACCTTCGTGGTGTCCAGAAATGTGCATAAGGCATATTATCATTCTTTGTAATATGGCTAGAAATTCATACTTGAGGAAAAGAGGTGAAAGGATCCCTCTTAAGAAATTAAAAGGAGACCAAAGATATTAGACTATATTTCGAATAGTGTAGTAGTCCAGAACAACAACAGCAAAAACAAGAAAACGTAATGTCAATAATTCTGAAGCTAAGGAAGTCATGAAACTCACATAGGAGGAAGCTGACTTCCTGTTCTCCTAAAAATGCTTAAATAAGCACTTGAAATGCTCTCCTCCTGCTTGAAACTCTGAAGATACTTATTGCTTATATATTGCCACATAGATAATGCTACCTCCACTCTAATTCAGAATAAGCCAAAATTTTACATCAAAACAGATTTATCAGTATATTTATTAAATTCCCCAACTGGGATACATTGTTTTATTTTGAACATAAATAAAATGCAACCCTAATTTATTTAATAATTATGTAGCTAGAATTTATTGAAATAATATATATAAAAGTTTTTTAAGTTTTCTGTAGCATCATTTCAATTTGAATTTTGAATATCTTACACATATGATGAATTAATAAAGAGTTTATTTTCTATTGTAATGAGGAGAACTGACGTTAGAGCCAACATGCAATTAATAGCAGATTTACTTGAAAATAATACATATTTTGTAGTAGATTCTCTTACTTGGGCTTAATGCTTCGCTATCTTGCGAAAAAGTTAAGCAGAAGTAGCATTGGGTCCAATGACTGAATCTTCCAAGTCTTATTTGGCACTTGAAGATAGTTCTCAAAGCACAGTATTAACTATAGTATTTTGTTTTCTATACATAATTATACGGATAGAAAAAAAAAGGCTTAAGTGCTTAAGATTATTATTTATTTTTAAAAATCCTAATTTCTCAAGTATTTTAAAAGATGTGTTTCCAAATTAGGCTATGCCATTTGACATACTGTTAAAAGAAAAAATGTAAGAGGTAGTTGCTGATGCTCACTTTAAAAACCTATAGTTTGAAGCAGCGTTGTTTAAATACACAAGTATAATTCCATCCTGGCTAGTATAATTATGATATCTGGTAATGCAGTTTATATATATTTGATATTTTTAATATTGAAATGAAACAACATACTAAGAATTTATTCTTATATTCCTCATACTTCTAGCAAAATTTCCTTGACAAAAAGAAAACAGAATAATTGAAAAGGATGTGGAAAAACAATATTGTTAACAAATTAGTTGCTCTTAAATAAAACTTGTTGAAATTTTATCCTTTTTAGCTTTTATTAATTTTTGTTTGTTTGTTTGTTTTTGACAGAGTCTCGCTCTGCTATTGCTGAGGCTGGAGTGCAGTGGCGCAATCTTGGCTCACTGCAACCTCCGCCTCCCGGGTTCAAGTGATTCTTCTGCCTCAGCCTCCTGAGTAGCTGGGATTGCAGGTGCGCGCCACCACACCCAGCTAATTTTTGTATTTTTAGTTGAGACGGGGTCTCACCATGTTGGTAAGGCTGGTCTCCAACTCCTGACCTCATGAACCGCCTACCTCAGCCTCCCGAAGTGCTGGGATTACAGGTGTGAGCCACCGCGCTCGGCCAGCTTTTATTAATTCTTATACACAACTGTAGCAAATGATCTGAACAAGCAACATAGTAAAATTCTAATTTTCATTTATAGAATAGCTAACTTAAAACAATTATAAAAAGATAATTCATTAGATGCAATATCCAACTTCCAGCAAAGTTATCATTCAAAATCTATTATATTGTCATTTTCTGCTAGGGTGTAAACTCTTGCTTCAGCCTATGAAGAAATAAAAAGCACAATGTCATACTATTTATTCTATCCCAGCACATTGTGTGATAGATTGAAACATTCAGTAAAAATCCAATAAATTCCCTATTTCTTTTTCCTTGTCTTCTCACAACAAAAAGGAAAAAAAAACATCAGAATATACTGTTCCCTAATTATCCAGATTATATTTAATACCTAAAAAATGAACAAAATAAAGGTTGGAGAATGACAACTGAGGTAAATTAGAATATGTCTTTGCAACCTTTGTAACCTTGGGAGAGATAAAGGATAGATTTATTATGATTAGCATAAATTATCTCAGGCTACATAACAATATGTATTAGGAAAAGTATTCACCACTTTGTTGTGTTTAATTAATTTTGTAAAATTATCTAAAGCTTATATTTCCTCATTATCCAAATTACTTTGTGTCTCCAAAGCCAGAGCATAATTATTAGAAGGTTCTGTTTAACTGAAATTAAGAAGTCTCATGTATCCAAACATATATTCAGTAAACATATCAAATATCTACTCTATATGGGCACTGTGCTGGGAAATAAAAGTATAGAAATGAAAGTGCATTTTTTACCCTCAAAAATCTCTCAATTTAAGCTATGAAACGCCAACTTTTGAGAAGAATGGATTTTGTTTTTTAAATGTGTATAAGGAGTCACATGTGTGAGGGCAATATGCTTTATGAGCACCAAGAAACACCATTCATTGGTTTCTTGAACACATCTTATTCTCACACTAAATAGAGATTTGAACCAAGAGAAATAGGTAAAACAGGATCATGCAGGTAACAGTGTCCCAGTGTTATCTTGAGGAATCTGCCTCCTGAGACAGGCCACTAGTACTAAATGCCAAAATATAATGAATTTTGTAAGAGTTCAAACTTTGTCTCTGTATCTTCACCCATATGCATAATTTTCATAGCCTTGACTCTGATCCTGAATGAAGTCTTCAAAACTACTATATAAAATGTTCATAGTAACTATTCAGTTTATAAATTTTATGTTACCAAGCACTAAAATGCGAGACTGATGATAAACAAGTTTCAACTTGTAATTACTTATTGATACATGTTATAAATTAATATTGTTAAAATAAGAGAATTAAAATTGTGACATATGCTATAAACAATGAATATATCCATCTACACTTACATTTCTTAGCTAGCACTGAATCATTATGCAAATAAAATATTGTAATATTTATACCTAATAGGAATATAAAAAAGAGTTCAAAGGTTAAGAATACACAAAGTCAACCAAGTGAACAGACAACCCACAGAATCGAGAAAACATTGCAAACTACCCATCTGACAAATAATTAATAACCAGGATATAAAAGCAGCTCAAACAGCTCTAAAGGAAAAAAAAATCAATAATCTGATTAGAAAATGGACAAAATATTTGAATAGATATTTCTCAAGGAAAGACATTTAAATGTCAAACAGGCATATGAAAAAGTGCTCAACATCGTCGGTCATCTTAGAAATGCAAATCAAAACTACAATAAGATAACATTTCACCCCAGTTAAAATGGCTTATCTCCAAAAGATAGTTGATAAATGCTGGCAAGTATGTAGAGAAAAGGGAACCCTTGTACACTGTTGGTGGGAGTGTAAAATAGTACAGTCACTATGAAGAAGAGTTTGGAGGTTCCTCAAAACAGTAAAATTAGAGCTACCATATGCTCCAGCAATTCCACTGCTAGGTATATACCCCCCAAAAGAAAATCAGTGTATCTAAGATAGATGTGCACTCTCATGTTTTTGCAGCACTGTTCACAATAGCCAAGATGTGGAAGCAACCTAAGTGTCCATCAACAGATGAATGGATAAAGAAAATGTGGTACTTATACACAGTGAAGTACTATTCAGCCAAAATAATAATAACAATAATGTGATCCTGTCATTTGCAACAACATGAATGGAACTGGAGGTCATTATGCTAAGTGAAATGTGAAATAAACCAGGCACAGAGAGACAAACATCACATGGTCTCAATTATTTGAGAAATATAAAAATAAAAGCAATCAAACTCATGAAAATAGAGAGCAGAAGGATGGAGGTGGAGAGAGTTAATGGCTACAAAAACAATAATTAGAAAAAATAAATAAGACCTAGTATTTGCTAGCACAACAGGGTGACTATAGTCAAGAATTTAATTGTATATTTTAAAATAACTAAAAGAGTATAATTAGGTTGTTTGTGACACAAAGGATAAATACTTGAAGGAATGGACACTCTGTTTTTCATGATGTGATTATTATGTATTGCATGCCTATTTCAAAACATTTCATGTACCCATAAATATATAAACTTACTATTTGCCCCCAAAATTAAAAATTAAAAAAAAGTAAAATCTCATGCAGTGGTTCAATTTAAATACAATGGCACTATTAAAAGTCTTATTTACAGAGACCAAGGCAAGATGGCCAAATAGCAACAGCTCTGGTCTGCAGCTCCCAGTGAGACCAATGGAGAAGGCAGGTATTTTGTACATTTCCAATTAAGGTACCTGGTTTATCTCATTAGGAGTGGTTAGATAGTGCATGCAGCCCATGGAGGGCGAGCAGAAGCAGGGTGGGGTGTCCCCTCAGCGGGGGACTGCAAGCGTCCAGGGACCTCTCTCCCCCAGCCAAGGGAAGCTGTGAGGGACTGTGTTATCCAGCCGAGATACTACGCATTTCCCACAGTTTTTGCAACCTGAATACCAGGAAATTCCTTCGTGTGCTTATACCACCAAGGCCCTGGTTTTCAAGCACAAAACTGGGCGGCTGTTGGGCAGACACAGAGCTAGCTGCAGGAGTGTTTTGTCTTTTTTTTCCATACTCCAGTGGCACCTGGAACCCCAGTGAGACAGAACCATTCACTACCCTGGAAAGGGGGCTGAAGCCAAGGAGCCAAGTGGTCTAGTTCTGTGGATACCACCCCCACAGAGCTGAGCAAGCCAAGAACCACTGACTTGAACTTCTCACTGCCAGCACAGCATTCTGAAGTCAACCTGGGATGCTTGAGCTTGGTGGGGGGAGGGACGTCCACCATTACTGAAGCTTAAGTAGGTGGTTTTCCCCTCACAGTATTAAAGAAGCTGCTGGGAAATTCAGACAGGGAGGAACCCACCAAAGCACTGCAATGACTGTGGCCAAACTGCCTCTCTAGAGTCCCCCTCACTAAGCAGGGCATCTCTGAAAGAGAGGCAGCAGCCGCAGTCAGGGGCTTATAGATAAAACCATCTCCCTGGACAGAGCACCTAGGCGAAGGGGCAGCTGTAGGCGCAGCTTCAGCAAACTTAAATGTTCCTGCCTGTTGGCTCTGAAGAGAGCAGCGGATGTCCCAACACAGCTCTCGAGCTCTGCTAAGGGACAGACTGCCTACTCAAGTGGGTCCCTAACCCCTGTGCCTCCTGACTGGGAGACACCTCCCAGCAGGTGTCGATAGACACCTCATACAGGAGAGTTCCAGCTGGCATCTGGCAGGTGTCCCTCTGTGATGAAACTTCCAGAGGAAGGAGCAGGCAGCAACTTTTGCTGTTCTGCAACCTCTGCTGGTAATAGCCAGGCAAACAGGGTCTGGAGTGGACCTCTAGCAAACTCTTGCAGACCTGCGGAACAGGAGCCTGACTGTTAGAAGGAAAACTAACAAACAGAAAACAATAACATCAACGTCAATAAAAAGGATGCCCATGCAAAAACCCTATCCAAAGGTCATCAGCATCAAAGATCAAAGGTAGAGAAATCCACAAAGATGAGGAAAAACAAGCGCAAAAATGCTGACAATTCTGAAAACCAGAAGGCCTCTTCTCCTCCAAATGATTGCAACGCCTCTCTAGCAGGGATAAAACTGGATGGAGAACAAGTTTGATGAATTGACAGAAGGAGGCTTCAGAAGGTGGATAATAACAAACTCCTCTGAGCTAAAGGAGCAAGTTCAAACCCAGTGCAAGGAAACTAAGAGCCTTTATGATAAAAGGTTACAGGAACTGCTAACTAGAATAACCAGTTTAGAGAAGAAGAGAAATGACCTGATGGAGCTGCAAAACACAGCAGGAGAACTTTGTGATGCACACACAAGTATTAATAGCTAACCTGATCAAGCAGAGAAAGGATATCAGACATTGAAGATCAACTTTATGAAACAAAGTGTGAAGACAAGATTAGAGAAAAAAGAATGAAAAGGAACAAACAAAGCCTTCAAGAAATATAGAACTATGTGAAAAGAACAAACCTATGATTGATTGGTGTACCTGAAAGTGATGGGGAGAATGGAACCAACTTGGAAAACACACTTCAGGATATTATCCAGAACTTCCCCAACCTAGCAAGACAGGGCAACATTCAAATTCAGGAAATACAGAAAACATCACAAGAATACTCCTCGAGAAGAGCAAACCCAAGACACATAATCATCAGATTCACCAAGATTGAAACGATGGAAAAGATGTTATGGGCAGCCAGAGAGAAAGGTCAGGTTACCTACAAAGGAAAGCCCATCAGACTAACAGTGGATCTCTCTGTAGAAATGCTACAAGCCAGAGTGGGGGCCAGTATTCAACATTCTTAAAGAAAAGAATTTTCAACCCAAATTTCATATCCAGCCATACGAGGCTTCATAAGCGAAGGAGGAGTAAAATCCTTTACAGACAAGCAAATGCTAAGAGATTTTTGTCACCCCCAGGCCTGCCTTAGAAAAGCTCGTAAAAGAAGCACTACAAAAGCTCGTAAAAGAAGCACTAATTATCGAAAGGAAGAACTGGTACCAGCCACTGCGAAAACATGCCAAAATATAAAGACCAATGGCACTATGAAGAAATTGCATCAACTACTGTGCCAAATAACCAGCTAGCATCATGATGACAGGATCAAATTCACACATAACAATATTTTTTTTTTTGAGATGGAGTCTAGCTCTGTCGCCCAGGCTGGAGTGCAGTGGCACGATCTTGGCTGGGCTCACTGCAAGCTCCGCCTCCTGGGTTCACGCCATTCTCCTGCTTCAGCCTCCCAAGTAGCTGGGACTACAGGCACCCGCCACCGTGCCTGGCTAATTTTTTTGTATTTTTTAGTAGAGACGGGGTTTCACCGTGGTCTCAATCTCCTGACCTCGTGATCTGCCCGCCTCGGCCTCCTAAAGTGCTGGGATTACAGGCATGAGCCACTGCGCCCGGCCTCACACATAACAATATTAACCTTAAATGTAAATGGGCTAAATGCACCAAATAAAAGACACAGACTGGCAAATTGGATAAAGAGTCAAGACCCATCAGTGTGCTGTATTCAGGAGAGCCATCTGATGTTCAAAGACACACATAGACTCAAGCAAATGGAAAGCAAAAACAAAAGCTGAGGTTGTTATCCTAGTCTCTGATAAAGCAGATTTTAAACCAACAAAAATAGAAAAAGACAAACAAAGCCATTACATAATGGTAAAAGGATAAAGGCAAGAAGAAGAGCTAACTATCCTAAATATAAATGCATCACATACAGGAACACCCAGATTCATAAAGCAAGTTATTAGAGACCTACAAAGAGACTTAGACTCCCACACAATAATAGTGGGAGACTTTAAAACTCCACTTTCGGTATTAGACCGATCAACGAGAGAGAAGTTAACAAGGATATTCAGGACTTGAAATCAGCTCTGGACCAAGCAGAGCTAATAAATAGACATCTACAGAACTCTCCACCCCAGTTCAACAGATTATACATTATTCTCAGCATCACATAGCCCTTATTCTAAAATCGACCACATAATTGGAAGTAAATACTCCTCAGCACGTGCAAAAGAACAGAAATCATAACAAAGTCTCTCAGACCACAGTGCAATGAAATTACAACTCAGGATTAAGAGTCTCACTCAAAACCGCACAACTACATGGAAACTGAACAACCTGCTCCTGAATGACTACTGGGTAAATAAGAAAATTAAGGCAGAAATAAATAAGTTCTTTGAAACCATTGAGAACAAAGACACAATGTACCAGAACACAGCTAAAGCAGTGTTCAGAGGGAAATTCATAGCACTAAATACCCACATCAGAAATTGGGAAATACCTAAAATCAACGTGCTAACATCACAATTAAAAGAACTAGAGAAGCGAGAGCAAACACATTCAAAACAAGAAATAACTAAGATCATAGCAGAACTGAAGGAGATAGAGACACAAAAAGCCCTTCAAAAAATCAGTGATTCCAGGAGCTGGTTTTTTGAAAAGATTAACAAAACAGATAGACTGCTAGCCAGAATAATAAAGAAGAAAAGAGAGAAGAATCAGATAGACACAATAAAAAATGATAAAGGGGATATCACCACTAACCCCACAGAAATACAAACTGCCATCAGAGAATGCTATCAACACCTCTACATAAATAAACTAGAAAATCTAGAAGAAATTGGCCGGGCGCTGTGGCTCACACCTGTAATCCCAGCATGTAGGGAGGCCGAGGTGGGCAGATCACAAAGTCAAGAGATCAAGACCATCCTGGCCAACATGGTGAAACTTCATCTCTACTAAAAAAATTACAAAAATTAGCCGGGTGTGGTGGCAGGCACCTGTAATCCCAGCTACTTGGGAGGCTGAGGCAGAAGAATCGCTTGAACCCGGGAGTCAGAGGTTGCAGTGAGTCGAGATCACACCATTGCACTC
Source organism: Homo sapiens (assembly GCF_000001405.40). Classification (NCBI taxonomy): domain Eukaryota; kingdom Metazoa; phylum Chordata; class Mammalia; order Primates; family Hominidae; genus Homo; species Homo sapiens. The sequence continues at coordinate 11,769,495 of NC_000009.12, forward strand.
CAGCCTGGGCAAAATGAGTGAAGTGAAACTCCATCAAAAAAAAAAAAAAAAAAAAAAAGAAAGAGAGAGGGAGAGAGAAAGAAAGAAAGAGAGAAAGAAAGAGAAAATCTAGAAGAAATTGATAAATTCCTGGGCACATACACCCTCCCAAGACTAAACCAGAAAGAAGTTGAATCACTGAATAGACCAATAACAAGTTCTGAAATAGAGGCAGTAATTATAGCCTACCAACCAAAAAAAAGGACCAGATGGATTCACAGCCGACTTCTACCAGAGGTACGAAGATGAGCTGGTGCCATTCCTTCTGAAAATATTCCAAACAATAAAAAAGAGAGACTTATGCCTAACTCATTTTGTGAGGCCAGCATCATCCTGATAACAAAACCTAGCAGAAACACAACAAAAAAAGAAAATTTCAGGCCAGTATTCATGATGAATAGCAATGCAAAAAAAAAAAAAAATTCCTCAATAAAATACAGGCAAACTAAATCCAGCAGCACATCAAAAAGCTTATATACCACGATCAACTCGGCTTCATCCCTGGGATGCAAGACTGGTTCAACATACACAAATCAATTAATGTAATCCATCACGTAAACAGAACCAATGACAAAAACCACATGATTATCTCAATAGATGCAATAAAATTCAACACCTCTTTTTGGTAAAAACACTCAATAAACTAGATATTGATGGAACATATCTCACAATAATAAGATATATTTGTGAGAAATCCATAGCCAATATCATACTGAATAGGCAAAAGCTGGAAGCATTCTCTTGAAAACCAGCACAAGACAAGGATGCTCTCTCACTACTCCTATTTAACATAATATTGGAAGTTCTGCCCAGCACAATCAGGCAAGAGAAAGAAATAAAGGGTATTCAAATAGGAAGCGAGGAAGTCAAATTGTCTTTTTTTGCAGATGACATGATTGCATATTTAGAAAACTCCACTGTCTCAGCCCAAAAACTCCTTAAACTGATAAGCAACTTCAGGAAAGTCTCAGGATACAAAATTGATGTGCAAAAATCACAAGCATTCTTATACACCAATAACAGACAAACAGAGGGCCAAATCATGAGGGAACTCCCATTCGCAATATACAAAGAGAATAAAATACCTACGAATACAACTTACAAGGGATGTGAAGAAACTCTTCAAGCAAAACTACAAACCACTGCTGAAGGAAATAGGAGCGGACACAAACAAATTGAAAAACATTCCATGCTCATGGATAGGAAGAATCAATATCGTGAAAATGGCCATATTGCCCAAAGCAATTTATAGATTCAGTGCTATTCCCATCAAACTACCATTGACTTTCTCCACAGAATTAGACAAAACTACTTTAAATTTCATATGGAACCAAAAAAGAGCCCATAGAGCCAAAGCAATCCTAAGTAAAAAGAACAAAGCTGGAGGCATCATGCTACCTAACTTCAAACTATACTATAAGGCTACAGTAACCAAAACAGCATGGTACTGGTACCAAAACCAATATATAGACCACTGGAACAGAACAGAGGCCTCAGAAATACCACCACATATCTACAACAATCTGATCTTTGACAAACCTGACTAAAACAAGCAATGGGGAAAGGATTCCCTATTTAATAAACAGTGCTGGGAAAAAATGGCTAGCCGTATGCAGAAAACGGAACCTGGACCTCCTCCTTACACCTTGTACAAAAATTAACTCAAGATGAATTAAAGACTTAAACAAAAGACGTAAAATCATGAAAACCCTAGAAGAAAACCTAACCTATACCATTCAGGACATAAGCATGGCAAAGACTTCATGACTGAAACACCAAAAGCAATGGCAACAAAAGCCAAAATTTACATATGAGATCTAATTAAACTAAAGAGCTTCTGCACAGCAAAAAAAAAAAAAAAAAAAAAAAAATCATCAAAGTGAAAAGGCAACCAGCAGAATGGGAAAAAAATTTGCAATCTGTCTATTTTACAAAGGTCTAATAACCAGAATCTCCAAGGAACATAAACAAATTCACAAGAAATAAACCCCATCAAAAAGTGAGCAAAGGATATGAAAGACACTTCTCAAAAGGAGACATTTGTACATCCAACAAACATGAAAAAAACCTCATCATCACTGGTTATTAGAGAAATGCAAATCAAAACCACAATGAAACACCGTCTCACACCAGTTAGAATGGCGATCACTAAAAAGTCAGGAAACAACAGATGCTGGCGGGGATGTGGAGAAATAACACTTTTACACTGTTGGTGGGAGTGTAAATTGTTTCAACCCTTGTGTAAGACAGTGTGGCTATTCCTCAAGGATCTAGAACCAGAAATACCATTTGACCCAGCAATCCCATTACTGGGTATATACTCAAAGGGTTATAAGTCATTTTACTATAAAGACATATGCACACATATGTTTATTGCAGCACTATTTCCAGTAGAAAAGACTTGGAGCCAACCCAATTGCCCATCAATGATGGACTGGTTAAAGAAAATGTGGCACATATACACCATGGAATACTATGCAGCCATAAAAAAGAATGAGTTCATGTCCTTTGTGGGGACATGGATGAAGCTGGAATCCATCATTCTCAGCAAACTATCACAGGAACAGAAAACCAAACACTACATGTTCTCACTCATAAATGGGAGTTGAACAATGAGAATATATGGACATGGGGGAACATCACACACCGGGGCCTGTAGGGGGGTGGGGGGAAAGGGGAGGGAAAGCATTAGGATAAATCCCTAATGCATGTGGGGCTTAAAACCTAAATGACACGTTGATGGGTGCAGCAAATCACCATGGCATATGTATACCTATGTAACAAACCTGCACTTTATGCACATGTATCCCAGAACTTAGAGTATAATTTTTTAAAAGTCTTGTTTACATAGAAAAAAAGAATTTACAAAGCTGTACTACATGATATCTCTTATAATCTGTTTTAACATCATTGTGCACCATTTTTGTGAGTATTAATAAATATATGCACCCATGAAACCACAATAAAATCAACATACAGAACATTTCCATAATACACAAATACTCCTTTTGCACTATTGTACTCAGTCACTTTCTACATGTTTAGCTTCAAATAATCAACAATGTGCTTTCTGTTTCAGTAATTCAATTTCATTTTGTAGAAATTTAATGCTGAGTAGCACTCTATTGCATGGGTATAACACATTTGTTTATTCCCTTTTTGAGGGGCATTTGAGTTATTTATACTTTTTGGCTATTGGATGTAAAGCTACTATGGACATTCTTGCTAATTCTCTCTGTGGCCTTATGCTTTTACATCTCTTGGTAAAGACCAACCTCCTATGAATGGAGCATACTGAACTTGGTAAGAAAATACCAGTTTTATCTAAAGTGCTTGTCCCATTTTAACTCTCTTCTAGAAATGTAACAGAGGTCCAATTGCTCTACTTCCTATTTAACATCTTTTTATGTATTTATATAAATAGTTTAGCAATTTGTCTATTTTTACTGTTTTTGGTGTTATTAAGTTTAAGAGTTTGTTATGTTTTGTATATAATAATGGTTGTCAATATATACATAGATTAAAAACATTTCTCTGATTTTGTGGACAATTTTTTTTTATTTTTATACCAGTGCTTCAAAAAGCTAATTGATTATCAATATTTACTTAAAATTGTTTGTGTGACTGTGTACTATTTGAGAAATATTTTGTCCACATGTAAGATAGAGTTTTCATTGTTTTCTTCTACAAGTGTTACAATTATAAATTTTGTATCAAGTCTTAAGATTCATGTGAGATCAATGTTTATATATGGTGTGAGACATGTGTCCTTCATTGCATTAATCTGGCATTTTTATTGAAGTCATTGTGTCACTTATTGGTCTTCAATAAAATTGAAGGTCTATGGGTATATCTATTGATTTTATATATCTCTCCTTTTACAAATAATAATAATGGTCTTGCATTATTTATATAGTCTAATTCATTCATTTTTTTATTTTAAAAATTGCTTTAGATTTCCTAAGTAATTGGCATTTACACTGTATTTTAGAATGAGCTTTTGCATTTATATTAAAAAGGCTGGTTTAAAAGTTTTAATATAATTTTTTTATTGTCACAAGGAAGTGTATGTTTAACTGTATAAGAAACTAGTAGCTGTTTTCCAAAGGATTGTACCATATTATTGAATAAATTTATTTAGCATGTTGGTGTTTTAGAAATAAAATTAACCTGGCTCAGAGTTGATAGAATTTCATTTGGAGGGTCAAATTATTTTATATACATATATGCAGTAATAACTGAAAAGAGGCTTGCTTGATAGCAGTAATTAATAATCACCAGGTGAACACAATATGATTCATGAAGGTGTGCAGAAAAAGAGGCATTTAAAGGAAGGTACCATATCTAATAAAGAGTTTTTCTGAGCTAGAAAGAGTCAGAAATAACCTAAAGTCTACTAAATTGCATTTTAAATAAAAAATTTTTTGGTATTTATACATAATATTTAGCTTGATAGATTTCATATTATGTTTTGTGAGATAATATTTTAGACATACCTTTAGCCTTAAGTTTTACAAATGAATAAAATACAATGTGTGTGTGTTTGTGTGTTATACACACATGAGTTCACTTGCACTGAAGTATTTTTTCATTTTAGTGGCAAACTGAGGTGTCTTTAAAATTCCAGAGTGAAAATCATGTGAATGTCCTTAGTATAATCTGTAGAAAATAATAAAGGGAATTCTAATGATGGGATACATTTGCCCTATGATTGTTTGTGAATGCCTTTCATCAAATGAAAAATTCTTTTGTTCCAGGAATGAGAACTAAAGTGGATAACACTTAAATTGCACTTGAACTGATAAGCACAGCAAAATAAAATATTTCTGAAAACTATTAATTTTATGTTTATACATTGTCACTTGTATACATTCAGTTTGGAAATTCTTTTGGCTTAATAATGTTATTTCATTTACACATAACCTATGACTATCAGAAGTTATAAGAGAAAGCAAAGCAAATAACCTTAACATTAAAAATGAAGTCTACATCACTATTGCTTCTTCCAAGGGGCTTCACTTTAAATCCTAGTTTAAAATTGAGTTGCCAATAGTATGATTAATAATTCTGAGAGGTCTGTAAGTCAACCTCAAGCAAGATCATCTTACAGTCATTTCTGAACTGAATAGTACAGTCTTTCATGCATGATGAGCCTGTCCATAAATTATAAATTAAATGAATTATAGGGATTCCTATTACATAGCATGTTTTCCTTTTTGGTTTCCTGTATTTGACCTACTTTTCATTACCATTTCAGCAGTATTGCTTCCTTGCAACTCTTAAGTAGTCATGACATTTTTAAACACTCACAGCATTTCTTATATTTCTTCATTTAATGACATTTTAGGTTTAAGTGGAAATAAACTATGATTTCCAGATCGTGCATATTTGAAAGCCATGAAACCCATTTTAGTATGATTATGTCAGCTTTATTTAGGTCCATCTACTTTTGTATTTTGAGCATTTCACCCAAATTAGGGTATACGTGTGTGTGTGTGTGTGTGTGTGTGTGTGTGTGTGTGTAATGGGCATACACTATTATGAACATTTCTATTTGAACACAGGAATTTTGATATTTTATATGTTTTTTTCTGAAATTGTGTCTTAGTGATTAATTATTGCATTATGTTTTAGCCCAATACCCTGCTTAGCAATTGTAAGTATATTCATCAGAATTGTGGGATATGATTTGGAAAGACAGATGGATATATTACCAGTCAATATGCATAGGTTTTATTTACCTCAATTGGTTTGTCTTCAGATCCTCATGTCTGCTCTCAGCTCAATCTTGTTTCTCTTCGTTCAGATCTTTTCAGCTTCCATATTTACAGACAGTAATTCTCCAGTCTTCTGCTGGGGCAATAACCCTGATAGCACCGCTGCAGAGGGTTTTCCAAGTGTACCTATATGTGTTTTAACAATCCTTCTGTTTACAGTCTCACATTGTACTGTTTCTTTCAGAAACAACCAAGGCCTGTAGTTCCTGAGGCTCTGGAGTTCCTCAAACAAAATTATGATTTCCCTCGTTTCATTAAATACAATCCAGCTTCATCTGCTTTCATAACTTGGTTACCATTTGTCCATCACTTTACCATCTTCCAAACTTTGTTGACACTTTCTCTGTTCTCTTTGCATTGCAGATGCACCCATTCTTTTTTCTTTTACTTCCTTTTACTGGGGAGCAGAAGTATACATGTGTGTCTAAAAAGATTGTTTTCGTGTGTGTGTGTGTGTGTGTGTGTGGTAAAAACAGTTAAGTGGGAGCTATCCTCAACAAACTTTTAGTGCACCACACAATATTGTTAAATATAGACACAATGCTGTACTGAGAATCTCTAGCACTTATTTATCTTGTTAACTGAAACATTATGCCAGTTGAGGAGCAACTCCCCATTTCTTCTGTTTTCTAGCTCCTGGCAACCAGAATTCTACTCTTATATCAGTTTGACTGCTTTAAATGCCTTGTAAAAAGGAAATCATGCAGTATTTGTCCTTCTGTTACTGACTTAGTTCACTTAGCTTAATGTTTTCCAGGTTCATTCATATTGCCTTTTATAGCATGATTCTCATCTTTTTAAAAGCTGGAATATCATTCCCTTGTAGCATACACTGCATTTTATTTATCCATTCAACCGTCATTGGACATTTGGATTGTTTCTACCTATTGGCTATGGTGAATAATGCTTCAATGAACATGGGAGTGCCAATATCTCTCCAATATCCTGATTTTAATTCTTATGGATGTATACCCACCATTGGAACTACTGGATCAACTGATAGTTCAATTTTTAATTTTTTGAACTAATGATTAGGTTTCTAATGATTAGTTATGTTGAGCATATTTCATATGCTTATTGGCCATTTATATGTCTTCTTTGGAGAAATGTCTATACAGATAATGCTTAGTAGCAGCTCAAATTAAGACAGTTCAACATCTAGAATCCCATTTATCTGTACCAAACATTTCAGCAGAGCTTATTGGCCACACAACAAGAGTCCCAATTCAATTGAAATTACTTATTTCAGTTAACAGACAATAAAAAACAAATACTTCAGTTTAGCACTCAGTATCATTGGACAATTTATTTTAATTTTATTTAAATATATTTTAATATAACCTAGTCATATGAACTAATTATTATATTTAAATATGCAAAATATGATTATTATTCTAATTAAATGCTAGTAACTCCCTCGTGCTGTGATTTACACTGCATAAATTATATCTCTTGAATCATATTTGTGCTTAAAAAAGTCTTCCATACATTTCACTTTTTTCACATATCTTCTCTCCAAACCATATCCTAAAGCCCTGCCATACAGCTCGTAATTTTAAGTCAGAGAAACTGCTTATAACAAACCTATTGTAACAAACTCGTTTCTTTATGTTTTTTTCCTGGAAAACAGACTCTGTATATACTTTTTACTCTCAGAACATCTTATGTTAATACATAAGTTAATTTTAATTTATATCTACAGACTTACTGGCATTCTATTTTCATTTGAATTGAAGATCATTTGTAATGTGTACCATCTCTCAAAGAAAAAAAAAGTCCAGGCATAGGACATAGGACATGATCCACAAACATATGCCAGTAGAAATATATATATATATATACAGTCAAGTTTCAAAAAAAATTCACTGTTCAAATGATTTTATTTACCAGAAATCTTATATTGATTGGCACCTTCAATTTAATAAACACATAATTAAATATATCTACTCTTTGTTAAGGGAAATAAATGGAACTTATCAGTGTGAAATATTCATTTCTTTTGGTTTTTACAAAATATACCATTTTAAAAAGTAAATCTTTAAGCATCTAAATTTACTTTAAATATTTCATTATTTATAAGTTTAGTAAAGTTTAACAATCATACTTAAGAGGACTATGTAGTTAAACTTCACTAAATATTATAAAGTACATTTATACATGTTCTTTTTCCGTACTTCAGCTGTCTAACAACAAATGTTCCTTAAGTATTTTAGAAATGAATATAATTGTTTCCCTAAATATTATAAAATGCATATGTGTATTTTATTTTTAGCAATCTAACAAACATATCCTTCCCAAACTGCTATACAGACTTATTAAAAATTCCACAAGTTAAATTTATAAATGTAGTTATTTATAAGTTTTTCCAAACACTAATTGTTTGCAAAGTTTGCTAAATTTTGTTTTGTCTTAAAAACACTTGCTTAAAATAAAGTATTTAATTAGTATTTTACATTGGAATAAAAATATATGTCACCATTTATTGTCAGATTATCTTAAATAGTATATTTTAAATACCAAATAGTTAAAATTACTCAACTTATAAAAAATATATTAAAGATGTAGATTTGATTAAAGCTATTATTCTAGGCTAGGTGTGGTGGCTCAAACCTGTAATCCCAACACTTTGGGAGGCCAAGGCGGGCGGATCCTTTGTGGTCAGGAGTTCAAGACCAGCTTGGCCAACATGGTGAAACACTGTCTCCCCTAAAAATACTAAAAATTAGCCAGGCGTGGTGGTCCGTGCCTATAGTCCCAGCCAGTCAGGAGGCTGAGGCAGGAGAATCACTTAAATCCGGGAGTTTGAGGTTGTAGTGAGCCAAGATCACACCACTGCACTCCAGCATGGATGACACAGACTCCATCCCAAAAAAAAAAAAAAAAAAAAGTTACCATTCTTTATTTACTTGTATGCTTTTTCAGGCTGTTAAATCCTTATGTATTATACATCAGGTTAATTTGGGGTTAGAATTACAGACCAGAGAGTTTTAGTGTGAGTTTCTCAGTGTGTGTGGGTTGCCCAGAAATGAGATTTTTGATCAGTCAATGGGATCCAGAGCTGCAGGGATTTCCCTGTAATCATAATTAACAGTTTGATCCCTGCTATAATCTCTGAGCCAATACAGAATTAAAATGCAATGTCTAAAAACCAGAATCCTTACACAGCCTGAATCTTTTCACTTCAAGATATATTATTTTTAACTACTTTGGACTTTATCACCTAATTAAGGTAGATGAAATATGGCAAACCTAGCTCACGTGCTTTACCATTTGATAAGATCTCACTAAATTATTTACCACTGATTTAATTTTTTAATAATTTGGATCCTCTCTCTGGTCTTCCACATTTATTTTTTAACACATATAGGCAGAAATCTAGCTTCGAGAAAAGTACAGATTGTGCCTGGTTAAATCTCAGTTATTAATTTGGCCATTTTCACATAGCATGTTAAAATTCTTAATAAATATTTATTGTTTAATAAAACATTATAAGGATTATAGCTTCATGAATAATTCTATGGCTATATCATGCCTATTGTGAACTAATTATTAAAATGTGGTTATGCATGCCTCAGTGTTTTCAAGCACCCTCTCCCTCAAAAACACATACACCTTCCATGCAACTGAAATGAATGTTAAAAAGATAGCTAATACTTGTTAAATATTATACAGACTTTTCAGTCATTAACTGGTGTATATGCTCCTGGTCACATTCTCCTTCTTGAAATATTTCATATCCTTGATTTCAGCCTCTCCTCCTTTAAAACTTCATGGTATTTTCCACAAGTCTTTTAAATTGTATCTTCTCTTAAAATTTCTTAAATGCTAGTATTTCTAAAAATTCTGGTTTAGCACTCCTTCAATCCTCAACTACAATCTCCCCAGTTATGACACATACTGAGAAAGATAAATTGGTTCCTGGAGTTGACTTGTTACTAACATTCAGGTCCTGCTATTGCTATATGCTAGCCTGGTACTTGACTATGCAGCTGATTAAACTTCACTAAATATTATGAAGCACATTTATATGTGTTCTTTTTCTGTACTTCAGCTGTCTAACAACAGCTAGGTCTTGGTGTTCCCTTGATGAGCAGAAACAATTCAGTAACAGAACAAAACATCAACATCAGACAAGGCCAATCTGACCATAAAGAATCAAGATAAAAGTAAGACCACTCATAATGATGTCTGAATACAGAGAAAACTAAAAGACTTTCCAGGCCACAATGTACCAAAGATATCCCTATCATGGCTAAAATGAGTGACCACCTGCTCCTTTATTAATTATAGCTTTAGCTTCACTCTCATTTCCACTCCTTATAAATAATATTTTTAAAGATACTGAACCATAGTTTTAACTATACTTTGTAACAGCATCCCATCTAGAGCAAAGCCCTGCTATTATTAACGCTTCCCAAATTCACCTAACAAGACTAAAATCTTTTTTACCACCCAAGTATTGAGGTAGCTCCACATGGGGTATGTTCTCCTTTGCCCCAGTGAGTAAAACACTCAACTATTCAACAACAGGTGTGTCCCTAGTGGTCTTGGTGGGAATCCATTGACAATATTCATTAAAAATCCATGCTTTGGCATACCACCTATGGACTTAAAACTGTCCAAGTAGAGACTTCTATTCTAGATCAAAACTCACCTAATCCTTCTTTGCTAAACTTGTTCACTTACATGATCCACAGGCACACCGATTTCAACATACTTAAATTGAACAGATTGTTAGCTTCTCCAAAAAAGCCCTTGCTCTTACGTTTCATATCCTGTTGAAGAAATGGCTTCTATATCCAGAAATCCAAGAGGCAGCTTTGACAGCTTCCTAACTCACCACATGCAACTTTCATTTCCTGATTTCTAAATATCTCCCTTTGTTTTACATTGCCACTGCTGCTTCTCAAGTCAAGATCCTCATTATTTCCTATCCAAGTAGCCAACTGACAGCGTTATTGTTTGTCTGGTAGCATTTTGTTCCTACTATGTCAGATGCCCAAGTGATCTTTTTAAAAGGCAAAACTGATCAGGTCAATTTTTTACGTACCTTCAATTACTTCCCAAACTTACAGGATTGGAGAATTTGCAAGCCAAATCATCAGTCTTTTCCTATTTCTCACCTTTTATCTCTAGCGATTTCCAAAAGACAGTTTCAGAACAATGTTATTGTACTTTACTTCTTTATATTTCTGCCATTTTGAGCCTGTTTTCTAATTAATTTTCATTGAATATAGGGTAAAATTCTAAGATCTTAAGTGATCAGTTATATGAATTATGAAATTTTTCTATACCTGTGTACCACAATATAAAATATGCCTTTTTTCAGTCAATTTTGCTGTTACCCAACAACCAATTTCTAGTTACTGCCCCATTAAGTTAATTTGCATTCTTCTTGGACTCATATAAGTAGAGTATGGGCTTTTAAATTTTAGCTTTCATCTAATAAAACTTTATGGGTTCTTTTCTTAGTTACTTAGAAAATCTTAGTTACTTAGTTGAAAATCAATTCAGTGTTTATGTAGAGATCTACTTTTGGCCAATCTATGCCATTCTACTAGTTTGCTTTTCTATTTTTATATGATATTACACTGCCTTAATGAAACTTTATAGTAAGACTTGAAATGAAATATTTTAGCCCTCTAATTTCATTTTTGGCCACATAATTGTACGGCCTATTCTAGGTCCTTTGTGTTTCTTATCAAATTTATAATGAACTTGTTAATTTCTTCAAAAAAAATTGGGTAGACTATGTTAGAGATCTCTAAGTTTCTTTGGAATAACAGAACCCATAGGATATGTGAGAGGATTTTTTTATGGGAATTGATTCACATGATCACAGAAGTGGAGAAGTCCCATGATAGGCTGTCTGCAAGATGAAGAACCAGAGAAGGTGGTAATGTGGCTTGTCTGGAGCCTCAGAACCAGGGAAGCCAATAGTATAGCCCCCAATCTGAAGCCAAAAGGCTGAGAGTCCTCAGAAGGCCACTGGTGCGAGTCCTGAAGTCCGAATGCTAAAAAACCTAGAGTCTGATATCCAAGGACAGGAGATAAAAAGGTGTCCTGCTTTGGAATGGGGACAGACGAGAGTCATATTCCCTTCTTTTACCTGTATTTCTCAGCCCGGCCCCCAGCTCATTGGATGTTTCTCATCCACAGTGAAAGTGGGTCTTCCTCTCTCAGTCCACTGACTGATGTTAATCTTCTCTAAAACCACCTCATGAACACACCCAGAAACAATACTTCATCAGCCATTTAGGCACCCTTCAGTCCATTCAGGTTGACACCTAAAATTAGCCATTATAGTAAGTATGTTGAATCTATAAATCAATATTAGAAAGATGAATATCTTTTTTAAAATTTCATCTCTTTTGTATTTTGTATTTTTGTTAACATATAACAGATGTAAATATTTTGGGGGTACATGTGATATTATGATGCATTCATATAATGAAACAGGGTAATTGGGATATCCATCACATTAAATATTTATCATTTTTAATGTTAGGAATATTTGAGTTTTTTTCTTCTAGCTATTTTTGCATGTGAAATTGATTAATGTTAACTGTAGTCACCATGCCGATCTATGAAACACCAGGTGGATGTCTTAACAATATCGAATTCTTCAATCAATAAACATAATATATATCTTCACACATTTAGGATTTTCAAAATTTTGTCATTAACATTTTGTAAATTTTAAGAGAGGGAGTTTGACTAAAATTTGGAACATTTATTGCTAATCATTTGATAATTTTTGAGGCTACTATAAATGATAGTCTTTTCTTATTTCTATTGTTTGTTACTAACATAGATATTACATCCTGTTCTTTTATATCTTGACTTTGTGTATTGTATGTTTTTCTCGTATGTCTTGATATTGATAAATTTGTTTATTTTCGATTGTTGTTGATTCTACAGAGTTATCTATATCTATAGTCATGTCATTTATGAATGATGGCGATTTTACCTCTTCCTTTCACATGTTTATTTTGTTTATTGTCACTTGCCTTTTTGAACTGCCTAGGCTTCCCGGTATAATGTTAAACAGAAGTGATGATTTTTGTCTTGTCCCCTGTCTTGTAAAACACTCAATGTCTCACCATTAAGTTTGATGGAGCTATATAGATTTTACTAAGATTCTTTTCATCAAGCTAAGAATGCTTCCTTCTATTTGTGTTGGCTAAATGTTATCATTAAGGGGTTTGAATTTTTTTTGGTATGCTTTGTAAAAATCTGTTTATATATCTTGCATATTTTTCTATTTTATTTTATTTATATGATGAATTATCTGTATTACTTTGCTTTTATACTGCTATAAAGAAATACCTGAGATGGGATAATTTATAAAATAAAGAGGTTTAATTGACTCACTGTACCACATGACTGGAGAGGCTTCAGGAAACTTAGAATCATGAAGGAAGGGGAAGCAGGCACCTCTTATATAGCAGCAGGCAAGAGAGAGGGCAGGGAAACCCATCACTTATAAAACCATCAGATCTCGTGAGAACTCACTCACTATCATAAGAACAGCATAGGGAAACTGCCCCCGTAATCCCATCACCTCCCACCAGGTCCCTCCTGCAACACCTGGGGATTACAGTTCAAGGTGAGATTTGAGTGGGGACACAGAGCCAAGCCATATTAATTACATTAATTTTCCAATGTTAAACACAGCTTGCTTTCTTGTGATAAATACTGTGTCATAATATATTCTCTTTATTATAAACGCCAGATTATATTTGCTCATATTTTGTTACTGTTGGTTAAATCTATATTTAGGGGAAAATTGAGTTTTGTTTCCTGTCCCTATACCAAATTTCTTTCGGATTTTATATTATGATTTTTCTAATATTAGAATATAGGTTAAAAACTGTTCAATTTTCTGGATTTTCTGAAATTGTTTGTATAAAATTATCACTTAATTCTTGAAAAGCTTAACATTTAGTATAAAATTGTTCTGGCTGCTAGTGTCATACCAGAGGCGTGGTAAAAATAGATACACGCAAAAGTTTTTCACTGGGATACACTTGAAAAGCAGTTGAAAGTAATACTAAAGACTAAGTGTCTCAACATATACGGAACTTATGAATGAGAGTATAAGCAAGAAATTACGCCATCAGAAATACATTTTCCAGTATATAATCGGGAAGTATTGTAACCAGCAAAAATGAAACATAGATTGAAAAAATAAAGAATGGAAGTTTTGATAAAGGAAGTTATAATAAGAGTGTACCTAAAAATTCTGAGGCAAATGTGAAAATGAACAAATTCTTCCGCCTGACTATATACTTGGACATTTACAGGAATATTGTTTATAATAGTCTGAGACTAGTAATAACCTCAATATACATTAACAGAAGTGTTAAATAATGATTTTTATGATAAAAATCATACAAAATAATAATAAATGAACTACGACCTGGTTAAAAATTGGAAAATGTATACAGTAGAATTCTATTTTTATAAAGACAAAATACAAAATAAAAAAGATATACAATTAACAGAAATAATAGTGATCTCATGCCTAATGAAGATAAATGCAATGCACAAGGGCAAAATGGGACTTTCAAAGTATAAGCAATATTTTCTTAACGTGTCACATAGTTTGACTGTTTGTCCCCTCCAGATTTCATGTTGAAATGTAGTCCCCAAACACCTCTGTTGAGAGGTGCTTGGTAATTGGGACGGAACCCTTGTGAATGGCTTGGTATAATGAGTGAATTCTCCTTCCCTTAGCATGAGAACTGGTTGTTTAAAAGAGCCTGGCATCTCTCTTGCTCCCTCTCTCTCCATGTGGCACGCCTGCTCTTGCTTCACCTTCTGCCAGGAATAAAAGCCTCTGAGGTCTCACCAGAAGCTGAGCAGATGCTGGTACCATGCTTGTACAGCCTGCAGAACCATGAGTCAAAAAAATCTCTTTTCTTCATAAATTACCCAGTCTCAGGTATTAGTTTATAGCAATGCAAAATGGACTAACACAATATGGTTGTTGGGAACATGAATATTCATACCTTTTGTATTCTGTATATTTAGTTTACAGATTGTTTTTCGTATGAGATTGAGACAGAGTTTCGTTTTGTCTCCCAGGCTGGAGTGCAGTAGCCTGATCTCAGCTCACTGCAACCTCCGCCTTCTGAGTTCAAGCAATTCTCTTGCCTCAGTCTCCTGAGTAGGTGGGACTACAGGCACGTACCACCATGCTCGACTAATTTTTTTTTTTTGTATTTTTTTAGTAGAGACGGGATTTCACCGTGTTAGTCAGGATGGTCTCGATCTCCTGATCTCGTGATCCGCCCACCGTGGACTCCCGAAGTGATGGGATTACAGGCATAAGCCACCGCACCTGGTCTGTATGGTATATTTTAGTAAGTGCAATTAGAGATTATGTTAATGTATTCAATTTTTGAACAAGGCATTAAAAGCTCAGATAGGTTACAAGACATGCTCAAGAGTCAGAAGTAGGTTTCGTAGCTGAAGTTTGTTAACCTTGATATTTCTTAACATTTCATTTGTTTCAGGCTAAAGGAGTAGTCTAGCAGTCTTAGGGATTATAAAGTGT
Source organism: Homo sapiens (assembly GCF_000001405.40). NCBI lineage: Eukaryota > Metazoa > Chordata > Mammalia > Primates > Hominidae > Homo > Homo sapiens. The sequence continues at coordinate 11,784,873 of NC_000009.12, forward strand.
CAAATCAATTATTTGGGGTAATATTTAGCTTTTTATTTATATGATTGTTGTTCTTTTGATGGTACTTAAGATGTTTTAACTTAAAACATATAAGATGTTTTCAAATAATGTCATACTGTTCATGTATTTGCCAGTATAGGTTTTTGGCAACATGGATAAAATAACTACAAACTGAACTGAATTTGCTTATCTCACTACATTAACTTGAAAGAATGCAGTTGATAAAGGCTTAGTGGTACTTTCCTCAGCATTAGGGCTGGCTTGATGCTAGAAAAGAGACATTTTCATTTCTCACAAAATGACGAAGTACCCTTATTCTCCAACTACCCAGCACCTTGTTTCTTATAAATTCCGTGTGATTAATTACATGATAGTACCAATCTCCCAGGCTATGGATGTCCATATATTGCACCACCACAGCCTGTACTCTAGGGAAAAAAAATAAATTGTATAAACTGTATTCCCACTTGGGGGATTGTATTAGCAGCAGTCTTTCATCAGTGTAGCTGTAGAAAATCTAATTCTCCTCTGACGTGACCCCCAGGAGGCGGAGCTTGCAGTGAGCCGAGATCACGCCACTGCACTCCAGCCTGGGCGACACTGCAAGACTCCGTCTCAAAAAAATAAAATCCAATTATCCTCTTTATCTGTCTCTTTCTCAACATAATATATAAATGTATATATATACACACACACACATATTTTTCTATGCTGTGTGTATGCATATATATGTTATATGTGTGTATATGTATATTATATATATAACATAGAGAAAGATGTTTTAATATCTCAAATCTTGATCAGTCTTACATGAAAGAGACTATATAGCATGTCCAATTCTCTTACCATTTATGATAACTCTCTACTGATTTTGATGTGATCATATATTCCTGCATCTTCCTTATGATATTGCTAAAGCTAAGAGTGCTCCATTCTCTAGGAAAATGCGTTGTCATATTCCTAAATGTTGACTAATACTCTATATATCATTTATGAAGAGGTTATTATGCCAAAGTAGGAAATAAAGTGAATTTTCATATGTCATATATTGGTAGTCTTAAGGCATCATTACTACAGTCAAAAAAAGTTTACACTGTGCTATGTGCATAAATTTAGTAAACATTTATAAAATGTGCTGTGAATTTTAAAGTATTTTTAAAGAATATTTTATTTGATATATTCATGCGTTTGAATCAGTGTTCTCTACATAATAACTGAGAAGACGTAGAAAAATAGTTACTGAAAATATTTTACTTTCTTAGTTTAAAAATGGAATACATGTAGTATACGTGGCTTTTTTTCCTCCTATTTTTTCAAGATACATGTCCTTTCCACATTGGCTAGCTCAAGTACAGGTTTGCCTAAAGAAAATTTCACTGAATGAGAACCGCGCAATTTATAATATTAACTCCTTGAGCTGTATCCTGTCAATGTCACAAGCCCATTAAAATTAATAATAAGTAATTAATTAAATAAATAAATTTATTATTTTTATTAATAGCCTATATTTTCAATCTTCACAACTTATTTTTACTTAAACAGTGTAAAGATCTTGTACTCAATGAAACATGGTAATAAAACATAACCAAAGATTAGAAGTGCTCTAATCCTTTAAAGTAGATTTAACTTAATCTAACCTAAATCTAAAATATAAAACCACTTTTAATTATATAATTATAAGTCAAGTATTGGCTCTCATTAGATGATGAAAATTAGCCAAAACTGCTTTCCACACTTCAGCTGATGATCACAGCACCATATTATTTCTACTTCTCCAGTTAATTTCTACTTTCCTACCAATGTAATGGGCAATAATATACATTATATATAAATATACATTAAAAGTAACTATGTTTCAATTATACATGTAATTAAATTTGAGCACCGCTTTCTTATATATTAGAATAGGTGACTTCAAGTTTAGCCAAGTGGTGGTCAAATTCAGCTGCGTTTTGCCAGCATTTCTAAATGACAAGGGACATGTATGTACATATAGCCAGAGAATCTCTTTGAAAAATAGTCCTTCAAAAGTGGAATTGTTTTGAAGACAATAAAAGTTTAGGTCTGGATTGTTGCTTGCATACCAAAGATAGAAATACAGACATAATACATTGGTTAATGTTTAAGCTTGTAGAATAAAAAGGTACATTGAAAAAATAAGTAAGGAAATAAACCTCATAAGATTTATTTAAAGCAGGGACAGCAGGAAGGAGACAAGTAATCCAGGGAGACAAAGAAAGGGCTATAGAGTAATATGAGAAATACCAGCATAAATAAAAGTATAGAAAACATTTATTCAGTTTTGATCTCTGCCCAAGGATTTTCATACATTTTATTTTCTATTTACTTATTTTTTTAATGTACACAGTGTTTATTGGTTTTTTAGATTTTTAGAATCAACTGGTGAACAAAGCATGAAAGCCTTATGTTTATAAGACAGTATATAAAAATGATCAACTCTGACAGTATAAAATTTAAGGTATGGCTGAGAGAAACTAATCTATTATCTGAAAACAATAGACCAAGAAATGGATAGATAAGAGATTGCAAGTTAGAGAGGCAAACAACAGAAAACTAAAAATAACAATGTAACTGTGAAAATTTAGCTGATGATATAGTGTCAGTCAGCTAAAGCCTTGTGTTTCATGGCAAGCAGTCAATAGAGCCTCAGTTGAATATCAACATAGAGATGTAAGGACGCCATGTAGAATGAGGGTGCTAGCCACCAGAAGAACAAAATGCAGAAATGCTGAAAGGTGGTGGCCTCTGGGACTATGGGTAGGACAAGGGAATGGAGTGGATGATTTTTGTTTTAATAGTATGCCCTTCTCGACCATGCGTATTCTGAGAAACAGTTTTAATGCTTTAAATGAATAAATTAAAATGTTGAATTGTGAATACATTCATGTTCTGAAAACCAGATATGAAAACATGCTGATAGTGAAAAGCAGTTTTTTAAGCAATCAAGACAGGAGGGTATTCAGCATCTGTCATGCATTTGTCATCAGGTTCCAGAATGGTGGTCTCGCCAGAGGGTGGGAACAGTTGCTTCCTCATTAGTACTTCCAGCCCCAAAATTAAACATAAGCTTACCGTGGATATGAAGTATTAGTTTGATGGCTGTGTGTGTGTGTGTGTGTGTGTGTGCGCGCGCGTGTGTGTGCAGGAAAATTACAGGAAAAAATAAAGCATCTGAATTTTGAATCAAAATTGCCATGCTGTTTTTGTAAAATGTGATTCAGAAGACCTAAAAAAGATTAGATATAAGATAAGTTCCACTATTATGACTTTTAGCAATAGAGCCAACTGGCAGGTGCGAGCCTCCATTTTGGCAGGATTCTACGGAAGCCTCTGGTCAAGAGAGGCCCTGGTGTGCTGTGCTGGGCTTATGAGACAGTCATGTGATCTGTCCCAGTTTCGTGGAAGAGACTGCATGTCCTTTTTGTTTCTCCTTTACATAACCAGTCTGCCACCTCTGGGTTCCAACAGACAGACCCTCTGTGGAGTTGTCCACCTGCTTTCCACCTGGAAGGTGCCAGTGACCTCTTGTTCTCCCAGTTCTCCCTGCCCTCCCTTGTGAGAGAATGATCCTATTTTGTATTACTTCTTATAAACATTGTGAGCAAAACGTTCCATGGACCACCCAAGCGGTTCAGACCACAGGCAGTGTCCCAGAGACCCTGAAGCAGCAGGCACGTGGGTGCAAACACCCAGGGTGAGTCTACCCCATGCCTTTACACCCAGGGTGAGCCTCCCATGCCTTCACACCGGCTACCCTGCCAGTCATATTGCAAGGATGATGAGGGCAGCCTGGGGAGTCCCCCAAATTTCAGCATCAGTGAGTGCTCTGACCTCACTGATGACAAGGTCCTGTAGGTCTCTTATACAGGTCACATAGAAAATGTTCTCCCGTGACCAAAAATGCAGGCCATCTGACAGTTTCTGGCTATTTTCAGTATCATTATCTTCTCCACCAACACTGACAATTTTACCATGGTTGTGGTTTTCTTCGTTTTAACAACAATTTTATTATTTGATCGTGACAGAAACGTATATGAGAAATATATCTCAACTTTGTAGATATTTTTAAAAATATGATGTAAATTTAATTAATGCATTTAAACTTAAATAATTTGTACAGAAACAGCAATCTCACCCACTCCATGGCACTGCTTTGATAGTACTACCAGAAACAATACAGGAGATTTTAAGAGAAGAAACAAAGTGTATCACATAATGTAGAATTATCAAGAAAAAATAATTAGAGGAAGTTGTTTGTTTAGACTGGTAGGCAAAGGAACATTTTAATTATTGGGATGAAGTGTAACAATGAATGATGGGGAAAGGCAGCTTCACAATAAAGACCTTCCAGTGAAGTCTTAGTTAGGAAATCATGGTTGTCAACAATAGAGGGTTTTTGTTTTTTCATTTCTTCATTTATAATTGTTTAAAATGTAACATAAGTTAATAGAAGTAGGAATTAAAGAAAGTATTAATAAATATAATATCAAGTTCCCATAGGAAGAAGTATAAAATTTAAGTCTAGGGAACATCATTTTTTGAGACAGGATAAAATATAAAATACATGCAATTTTGTAAAGAACACATGTTAAAATTCTAATTTGGGGAGATAACGGTTCTCTTCTAAATACCTAAATTCAGTGGTCATATTCATAATTTTTTTATTTCCACTTACAAACGACGGCAGTGAAGTTCCTGGGAAGAGTACACACAACAATACCTTAAATTAACATTGGCTATCACAAGTGCTTATAAACATTGACAGAAACAAATTAGTTGTTACTTATTTCATCAAATCTATACAAAACAAATCTATACTAACTAAATTTGTTAATGAATATTTATTTAAAACTGGAATAATTCCAAAGAGGAATTCTTATCCCAGGAATATGGGTTTTGTTAGCACCTGAGTTAAACACAACATTTTGAGATAAAAGGACTGTATCTGTCAGTATGCTTTCACAGTTATTTGATCTCCCTGTGGAACATGCTCTAAAGTTAATATGCCTTACTGCAAATTTCTCTTTAGACTGTCTCACAGGTTATTTTAAGACAGTGAATAATTTCTTTTATCATTCAAGAAGTTTTGTCATATCTTATGCACATCTTCATATATGGAAATGTATCAAACCCAGTGATATTCAGGGTTCTGAACCTCACTAAGAGTGGCTATATTTCTCCATTTTCAGAAGTTATGTTGAATGTCCACCTCATTAAAAGATATATTACCATGAAAATACTTTTAATGTGCTAACACAGAAATATTTTTTACAAAATTCAAAAATGCAAATTATAAAGAATAATTTAAAATATGCAAAATAATACCATCCAGACATAACACCACGAACAAATTCTCTAGCCCATCAGTATTTGCTCTTGAGGCACAGTTACCATTGTTAAATAGGTAAACCTGCTGCTACTTGTGGTAGAGCACTTCCCACAAGTGGCCATGTGCAAAGTGACTGCCTTGTACATCAAAGCCTACAATTGAGTTTACCTACCCTAGTGGTTCCAGGACTCAGATGAGGAAGTACAGACTTAGTTTTCAATATTTGTGGTCTTAATTTATATGACATTCATTTCTAAATGAGCAGCCATATAGTCTCGTGCTTGCTTTAATTTGCTTGGAGAATGAGTGCCTAATTCACCAAGACACACTCGCAACACAGATCAACATCTCTGAATGAGAACTTCATTCATAGGCAACATGGCTTACGAAAGTTGAATTACCAAAACCATGAATTTACAAATTTTAAATTTAGCAAAAGTCACATAATTCACTAAAACAAATAAAAGTTTGACTGTGTTTTATTCGTATCTATTTCATATATTAATTACACATGCTAATAAACTATGTAACCTGCCTTTTTTCTTAAAAAAGCACATCACCATATGCTAATTAATATGTCTTACTAGATTTCATCATCTTTAAGAAATGCATAGCAATATAATATTTGCTATTGTCAATCCATTATATAATCTAATTCATTGTATGCCTTAATGCCAATCCATTATATAATCCAATCTATTATATAACTTAATACTAGATTTTATTAGTCTCTATTTCTTTCACTTTATTTTTACTCTCTTAAATAATCCCGTGATAATCTATTTTTGCAAATGCATTTTCATGCCCTTGTCCAATTATCTTCTCAAATGAATTTCTAGAAATAAAATATCTGTTTAGGAATATACATATTTTAAATTTTATACACATTTTTGAAGCTGCATGCCTAAAAGGGAGTTTCCATTCACACTACCAGGAGACTGCTCTTTTCCCACATTTCAGTCCACACAAATATTATTCATTTTGTTTTAATTTTTCAACTATGATATGTTAATAAAAACTGTATACAGTTAGTTTTATTTGCACTTGCATGATTCCTATTAAGGCTGAATATCTCTTTGTAGGTTTGTCACTTTTCATACTGCTTCACTTTTCTCTTGAATCTGTGCTAATTAATATTTTTCTTTTCCCTTGTAAACTATTTATATTTTATCTAATTTATTTGTATATTAGAGATTTTTCTCTTATGCAGAATTAAATATTCTAAATATAGTTTGCTTACTAATTCCAGGTTTTTATGGGGCTTTCCATTATATGCATTGTTTCATCTGTCAATTTCTGAACCAATATCACACTTTTTAGTTAATAATACTACAATATATTTTTAGATCTGATTGAGCTGTTTTCCTGTTGCTCAATTTAAATACCTTCAATTCATTTATTTTTCAAAAAATAATGTTTCAAAAGAAAATGTTCTAAGAACAAATTATTTTTTATTAATTTAAAACTTTTATTCTGTCATTTAATAGACTTTTAGAGGTCACTTATATTTTCTGCCTTTTTTTAAGCTTAATCTTAATCTTTTTATATATTTGTATTTCTGATGTGATAAATTGTTCCAATTGCATTTACAGCTATTGTGGAATAGAACTATTGATCCTTCTTCACAAATTAATATTTTTCATAAAACATAGGGAATATTCTTATGTCAAATGATTTTAACTTTATTCTGTTAGATATTTAAGACATAAAGTCATGTTATTTGCAAATAATATAATTAATATATTTTTCATTTTTTTAATAATTGCATATATCATTTCATTTTCTTTTGGCAATGCAGAGTCTGGCGCTGGTGTAATAGTACTTTTTAATATTATGGTTTATTCATTATTTTTATTTTTTATACATATTATTTTTTTTTCTAAATATACAGTCTAGCACTAATGAAACAGTGCTAAATAGTAAAGATGATCTGGACCTTCTTATATTCCTGGTTTTCATGTAAATCATCTTAATAACAACTCTTTAGTAACATTTTTAGATACAATATTTATGAAACATGTTAAGAATATCTATTTCTATATTTTAATACATTTTAAATTGAGTAATAAATGTTGAAGATGAGATGCTTTTTCAACATGTATGCATTCATCAAATATTTTTGGTGTATGCAAGACATTGTGCTGTCAGTAAGACTACAACCATGAGTTGAAACAAATGAGGCTTCCAGAAGCCCTATGGAGATTAAATTTCAATTGGAGAAAATATTTAACATATAAGCTTAGAAACAAATATAAAATTAAAACTTTGATAAGTGTCCCTGAATATAAAGATATTCTTATGAATACGCAGGAGAACCTGACATTATGGTTGGAGTTAGAAATGGAGATGGTTATTCAGTAAAGTTATCCTAAGGAAAGAAATATGGCAGTTGTTTTCTGACTATAGGATTTCTGGAAATTTATTACTTAATATAGAGAATGAATCACAGTAGTTCAGGTAGACATCCCAACAGGTACATAGCTTCCTAACCAGAGAAAGCATGAAACGTGTGGAATGAAAAGAAAGCCTGTATGTCTGGAAGATTGAAAGCCACAAGAAGCATGATGCAAGATGAGGCTGAGAGAGGTCATTAGGATAAGATCATAAAGAGGAATGTCAGAGGAGGTGTGTGGAGCTCAGGGCAAGTGGGGAAGTTGTCTACTGGATCAACTTGTGTTATATTGAAAGTAAAAATATAAAGGTTTTGTGAATTGAATGGAGGTTAGTGGAGGTACAAACCTGAATGAATTCAAGAAATAAAATAAATTAAACTCAGTGAAGGACTTAACAGAAGAAAAAGACAAGGATCATTTCTAAGTTTGGGCACTGGTGAATGAGAAGGTTGATGACGTCATTCCCTAAGTAAAGAAACACTTGAGAAAGAACCATGGAGAGAAAATTGTGATTTAAATTTTAATCTTTGTGAGATTGAATTTTTTTAAGAAGTCAATATTGATTTGTGAAATAATTATGGAAACCATGCAGCAGTTTTAGGGAGAAGGCTAGCAGTTGGTTAATTTTGATTTTATCATAAGAAACAAAATGGTATAAATGTGACACTCTAAATATACAATACAGTATAGAATGAATAGAAAATAAAGACTAGGATGCAACATTGAGGAATTCTAGCTTTTGAAGTCTAAATGAGGGAAGATTAATCTTAAAAAAGACTAATAAATAATTGCTTGATGTGCAAAGTAAACCAAAAGAAAATGGCATTTCAGAAACCATGTGTGTAGAATGTTTGATGAGAAATAGTTGAGTAATGAAGCTCATTGCATATTTTCTAGTAATGTAAATGTATCTAGCAAATAATATTAATAGACTATATTCATCTTCAAATTATTTGCGTAAACTACAGTTGGTGGCAATATATTATTCTTTCAATATGCTACTTAATTATATTCCAATAGTGTGGTGTTAATTTTTACTTTTGATGTATATAAATAGATAGCAATCAATATTTATGCAACAAAATATAATATTGATGGATAAGACAAAATATACTTTATTTAATTTTTCTTTTAGCTTTGTGGTTATGTCATTATTATGTATATTTTTAATATAATCAAATTTACATATTCAAATTTTCTTGGAACAATATTCACAAAACAAAAGCAATAATAAATAGTAGGATACTTAAGTAAAACTCAATGACATTTTTGGGTCTGCAGAAAAATTTAAAAACATCTAGAACCCCTTAGTTAGAATTTCAGAAATTGAAATGACAGTCGTGAAATAAGTTTCGAGCAAACACCAGAGCCACTTATAACACAATCTTATATGCAAATTAATATCATGTGTCTGTCAACATGTTATTTACATAAATTTACATATACGTCTATAGAAAGAAATTAATGTTAGTGTGATGTTTCTCTTATTGTCATTAAAAAAAATTTTTAACTTCTCTTTTTGAAATGAATCTAGAATTTCAAGAAGAACACCATTAGATATATAGGAAGTTAGATTTTGCCTTGTCATTTGTTTGCTTTGGTTGTGCTGTGGGGTGTGCCTAGTCTCAGGGTCATAGATCAGTTGGATGATGGATGAGGCCCTCTTTGTTCTGTGCCTGAGCATAGTGTTACTTAGCCAAAGTCATCAAGCTTCCTCAATAACTGTTCAATCTGCTATTTGTTAGACTTGGTTGTTATTACAAACTAGTTGATTGTCTTGAATTTTCATGGCCAAGCACACAACAGGGGGATCTTGATAATAGCCATTGGTAAGTCAATTTATATTTGGTTTTTAAAAGCAGATATTATCAACAATCATTTTAAATGTAAGTAGCCTAGATACACCAATTAAAAAATACAAATTTTCAGATCAAAAAACAAGATTCAACTGTACGTTGTGTGTAAAAAATTCACTTTTAATATAAAGATACGTATATCTAAAAGGTAAGTATATGAAGAAAGATATACCATGCTAATACAATCAAAATGAAAGCTGAACTAAGTGTATTAATTTCAGACATAGCAGACTTTAGAGAAAAAAGATTATAAGAGATAAAAAGGCATTAAATAAAAATAAAGGAGTAAATTCTCAGTTGCTCTGCTACTTTCTCATCTGTGTCAGCTGATGTTACTTTAATCTTTGAAGTTGCTATTCTTTGAATGGGGCGTTTTGATTTTATATTATTTCATGCCTTTCTGGGTTTGACTGTGGTATAAGTCAAGTTTAGTCAAATGGCTTTGTTTCTGGATGATTTTAAGGTGCCAAAGCTGAACTCAGCACTCCTGAGCTTCATGCTCTAACCCTGAGAGGCTAGAACCAGGCCCACAGCATTTTTCTCTGGCCCCTCAAGGTTAAGCGTCTGCTGTGCTAAAGGGTCAGAGGTGTTCCCAGTCCATTGGCAACAACACTCTAATGAAAGGTGACAGCAAAATCACTTCAGGAAGGAAGTAGGTGGCATTGGTTCCTGCGTGTGCCCATGTGCCAGTAGTGCAAGGTGACAGTGGATCCTGCGCAGGCCAGCAAAGCAGAGTGTGGAGGCTGCGAGTGAGTGAATGGCAGCAGGAGAGGGTTGTAAGTGGTTCTTGTCAGTAGGCGCCTACCTGTAGAAGCTGTCTAACTGTTATGTGGGGTCTCCTAGTGAAAGAGCTATGGCATTGGCCACTGGCATGTACCTTGCCTTGTCACCTGAGGCTACACTGCAAGTGGGTGCAGCAAGACAGGAACCCTGGGATAGGCTGGAAGGCCAAGGGGTGCTCATATCAGTCTGGTCCCATTTCACAGGCAAAATAGTCTAGCTCTGTTCAAGTCTAGCAGCCAACAAAGGCTAAAGCTACCTAGAGAATCATAGCAAGTCTTGAAGAATGGGCACCCATGGTCATGTTCTATTGCAGCCATTCCTGTGCCAAACCCTCTGGGCTCCATACAGACTGGAATTCTGCCTCTGTCAACTCTCTAGGCAGATCCCCCTCCAAAGTTCTAATGTCCATGGGGGCCATGGGGTCTCCTGCAGTTAGGATTGTGTAATTCTGTGGTGAGTGTCGGCCACTTCACACCTATTTCACTCACTTTTTCCCCAGAAGCTACTTGGGGCCAGAAATGAGGCCTGGTGCTTGAAAACCCCATGCAGTATTCCGAGCTTCCTTGCTTTTCTGCCTGGGGTCTGTAGCCTTCCTCCTTCCACTCTAAATGCCTCTTTCTGAAGATCTGTTCAGAGCATGCTTGTCTATTTGATGATCTGATCTGTCTTGGAGGGAGACGCTCTTCCTGGCTGTGTCTAGTTGACCATCTTGGCTCCCTCCTCTCAACTGATTTTTGACGAAGGCCAATCACCATACACACAAAAATAAGTAGATAAAGTGACAGATATATAAAATATTTTTACTGAATGTTTCTACATTGTATATATAGATCAAAATATAATATTGTACTGCATAAATATGCACAATATTCTGTCAATAAAAATAAGTTAGTTTTAAAAAGACCACAGGCTTTAATATGAAAAAATATGGTCACTGTTTTTAATAAATGGTCTGTAACAATTGGATAACCGCATACAAAAAAAATCTGGATATAGGCCTTTCATCAAACACCAAAAAACATGAAAACTCAGCATGTTTCATAATCCTAAATGTAAAATGTGAAACTATAAACTCCAAGAAGCTAACATAAGAGACCCTCTAGATGACCTTGAGTTTGATGATGGCTTTTTTGATACAACACCAAAGTCACAATCTGTGAAGGTAATAATTGACAGGCTATACTTCATTGAAATTAAGAACTTCTACTCTGCACAAACAAATGTCAAGAGGGTGGATACACCGGCCACAGAATGGAAGAAAATATTTTCAAAAGATAAATATAATAAAAGATTTTCATCTAAAATATACAAAGAATTTTTCAAGCTCCGCAATAAGGAAATAACAAACCCAATTTAAAAAATGGGCAAAAAAATCGAAATAGATATCTCAGAGAAGACATATGCCTGGCCAATATGCATATGAAGAGGTGATTACATCATATGACATTAGGGAATATCAAATTAAGATAACAGTCTGACCTAGCGTTAGACAGATCAGCAAGGTGACTATAATTTACAATAATCTGTTGTATATTTCCAGTTAGAAGAAGGCCAGGCATGGTGTCTCATGCCTGTAATCCCAGCACTTTGGGAGGCCAAGGCAGGCGGATTACCTGAAGTCAGGAGTTTGAGACCAGCCTGCACCAACATGGTAAAACCCCATCTCTACTAAAAATACAAAAATTAGCTGGGTGTGGTGGCACACATATGTAATCCCAGCTGGGAGGCTGATGCACGAGATCACTTACACCCTGGAGGCAGAGGTTGCAGTGAGTTGAGATCGCGCCATTGCATTCCAGCCTGAGTGGCAGAGCGAGACTCTGTCTCAAAAGAAAAAAAAAAAAAAAAAACGAAAGAAAAGAAGACAAATATTTAAGATGATGGATATATGAATTATACTGATTCTTTATAAATTATATGAATGTATTAAATTATCACATATACTCCCAAAATATGTACATCTATTATGCATTTTTTTAATACTTAAGAAGAGAATTTGTTAACACCACACATCTATTAGAAACAGATACCATTACATACCTATTAGAATCAAATACCCCTACACACCTGTTTGAGCAAAATCCCGAATAATACCCAAAGCCGGCAAGGATGTGGAGCAACATGAACTCTCATTCACTGCTGTTAAGAATATAAAATAATTTTGGAATATACTTTGGCAGTTAGTTACTAAACTAAAGAACATCTTATCAACCCAGCAGTTGTTCTCCTGGTATTTACACAAATCAGTTGAAAAGTTATGTGCACATAAAAACCAGCACATAGATGTTTATAATAACTTTATGGATAATTACCAAAACTTGGTCAGGTGTGGTGGCTCACGCCTGTAATCCCAACATTTTGGGAGGCCAAAGTGGGTGGATAACTTGAGGTCAGGAGTTCAAGACCGGCCTGGCCAACATGGTGAAACCTTGTCTCTACTAAAAATTCAAAAATTAGCCAGGTGTGATGGCACACACCTGTTGTCTCATCTACTCAGGAGGCTGAAGCAGGAGAATCACTTGAACCTTGGAGGCAGAGGTTGCAGTGAGCTGAGATTTCACCACTGCATTCTAGCCTGGGCGACAGAGCCAGACTCTGTCCGAAGAAGAAAACGTCAAAATTGCCAAAATTGGGAGTAACCATAACCAAGGTGTCCTTTAGTAGGTGAATTGATAAATAAATTGTTACATCATTTGCATGAAATATTATTCAACACTCTAAAGAAATGAGCTTTCAAGTCATGAAAAGACACAGAGAAAACTGAAATGCATATTATTAAGTGAAAGCAACTAATCTGAAAAGTTTAACACTGTATGATTCCTTATATGACTTTCTGGAAAAGGCGACACTATGGAGAGAGCAGAAAGATCAGTGCTTACAAAGGATTAAGGTGAAGGAGGAATAAATAGGCAGAGAAGATAAAATTTTTAGGGTGGTGAAACTGTTCTGTAAACTTTACTAGGGGATACATGTCAATATACATTTGATCTGACCCAAGGAATGGACAACACCAAGAATGAATCCTAATGTAAAAACAGAGGACTTAAGGACTTTAGGTGATAGTGATGTGTCAATGTATGATCATGGATTCTAACTAATGTACCACTCTCATGAGGAATGTTGACAGGTGGGCATGTTGATATGCATGTATATGGACAGGGTAAATTGAGCTCTGTTCTTTCCACTCAACTTTTCTGTGAACCTAAACCTGCTCTAAGAAATAAATGTATTTTTAGAAAAGGGAGGTACTATTAAAATGTAATGAATAACATTTAAATACTCATATATATTTAATATAATTAATGGCAAATCCATTTAATGGTATCTAAGAGAAAATAATTATTAGCATTGCTATAAACTGAAAATCAATTATCATTGAAATAAGCAATTGAGACATGCTTTCCATGTAGTTTTCTAGTTTTTTTATGCCTACACTTTGAAAAACTAAAAGGTTAAATGATTGAATATATTTTTCTTAAAAAATGGTATATAACTATTCCTCTCACCTTTTTCAGATAAAGTAAGTTAAACCAGACTATTGCCTAATATCCAAATAAATTAGATACTGATCTATATGGAAAAGTTTCTTCCTTACTTTACTCCAGAGACGACAATGTTCTCACAGTAATGACCAAGTTCTCTTTTCAAGGAAGTAATCTTAGCATATTTGGGAGACCAACATTGTAAGCACGCCAGTTCAAACGAGATGACTTTGTAGATCACGTTTCTTTGAGTAAATAAAAGTTGTGTAAAATGCAAGTTTCACAAAATTAGGAGATCTGAATGAGATAAAATTATTCTTGATATATTTTAACTATTTGATTTTTCCTTTCTTAATACCTAAAAAAATGTTAAGGCAATATATTGTATGGCAATCATTAAAAAATATTCTCAGTGAGCATACTTTAGTTGATGCTAAAGTATAATGTATTCAGAGTTCTTATTTTCAGAATTAAAATGTTCTTAACAAAAGAAAATTTTATAGAATTGGAGGGTGTGTCATATTGGTGCTTGTTATAGTGTTTTCTTTAATTTATGTAAATATCTTGCCCTTCTAATCACCTCCTTAATGCAATAAAAGTGTATCTAAATGCATAAAGCTCCAAGACTTCCTCACTCATAAATATTTACTCACCTTACTGTACCATATGTGTGGTTAGGAAATATGATGGTCTTCTTAATCACAAAACCTCCTTAAAAAGATAGCACTATCAAAGTATCTGGCAAAAATGTCTGATTCCAAGGAAGGAACAAACGTTAGGCAAAAATGTAGGCTTAGATTTAATTACACAGCAGAAGGTAACATGCTGGTTTTAGGTATATGGAGCAGAACTATTCCAGTAGATGTTCACTTTAGTCTGTGATGGCCATTTTTGGTATGAACTCGCTGATTTGTACTTAAAAACCACACAGCAGCAGCATGGACGATAAAATAAAATGAATCTAATATATCAAAAAATAACATTTCCATAGTCCCTATAAAATCTGGAAAGATTTATCTGGAATATTTCATAGTAGTTTCTCAGGAGCAAACAGAATCCTTTGCCTATATTTATTGTGAAATGAACAGAAAACATCAACCACATCTATAATAGATAAAAGCTCTAAGGAGTTGAGTAATTATGTTGAAAACCAGTTCGATCTTGGAATTAATAAAGAGTCTGAGATATCTTCATTATTTTTATAAAATATCATGTGCTGTGCTAAACTTTAGGGTAGTTAAGAAAATAGGAACCAGGGTCACAAAGAAACCTGATTTGAATCCTGGCTTAAGCCTTATAAGCTATAGGCAAGTAATTAATTTGAGTCTCCTTGGACTTTCTGTTTCTGAGTCTCATTTTTCTAATTTATAAAATAGATATAACAATATCACCTACCTCATAAGGATACAGTGAATATATTGAATATTAATTGAGATATTCCCGGCAACCTACCTAACAGAGTAACTGGCAAGTAGTGAGTGCTCAATAAATGTTTATTTAAAATGACTTGAGGAATCATGAAACAACAGAAACTAAAATAATATTTCCTAACAGTCTCCTCCTTCTCTGAGGCTTCTAGTCTGAGGCAAACTTCAGGCTATTAAGGAATTCGAAATACAGCTTCTGGAGAGATTAGATCCACCAGTCTTTCTCCACTTTGAGTCAATTCTATTAAATAAAGAAATTATATTTTCAAACAGCTCCAGCTGGTTGCAGGTATTTCACATTTACAACATATGTTCTAACTTATTTTCATCATCTACAATAAAAAACTGGTATGTTTAATCATATATTTCAAATAAGTTATCTGCATTACTGACAACACTAGCATACATATTTTCTTTTTAAAAAATTTATCTTTTAAATTGACAAATAATAATTATATATATGTATGTACAATGTGATGTTATGATACATGAATAAATTGTGGAATGCTTGCATCAGGCTAACATACCATTACCACAGAAAAATTCATTGCTTTGTGGTGAGAACATTTAAATCTACTCTTTTTGTCATCATGCTACACAATATATCATTAGAATTTACTCCTTTTGTCTAATTCAAATGTACCATTTGATTAACATCACCCCTTTCCCCATCCACAAGTGTATTGAATCTGTAGAATAATATTAAATAATATCAAAAGGGTAGCTATTTTAATGATATTGAGTCTTGTAATCCACTAATGTGATATACTTCCTCATATATTTAGGCTTTTAAAAATCACTTTCATTGTATTTTTTAAATTGAAAAGTAAAAGCTATATATATTTATGGTGTATAACGTGACATATTTATATGTTATGGAAGGGCTAAATCAAGCTAAATAAGATATGGATTATCTTACAGAATTTTGGTAGATAAACACCAAAAATCTACCATCAGAAATTTTAAGTGTAGAATACCTTCTTATTAACCATAGTCATCACATTATACAATAGAGCTCATAAACTTATTTCTAACTGAAAGTGTGTACCCTTATACAGACTTCTTCCTGACACCACAACCCCTGAGCTCCTGATAACCACTATTCTGCCCTCTGTTCTTTAAGTTTGTCTTTTTTAGATTCCACATAAAAGTGATATCATGAAGTATTTTTCTTTATGTATCTGGCTTATGTCACTTAACATAGTGTCATTCAGCATCATTCGTGTTATCACCAATGACAAGATTTTCTTTTATTTTTAAAGACTAGTATTCCATTGTACAAATATACCAGATTTTCCTTGTCCATTCACTACCGATTGTTGAATATATAAGTTAATTTTATATCTTGGCTATTGTGAGTAATTCTGCAATAAACATGAGAGTGCAGACATCCCTTTGATATATTTATTTTATTTTATTTGAATGTATACATAGCAGTGGGATTACTGGATCATACGGCAGTTCTATTTTTAATTTTTTGAGGAATCTCCATATTGCTTTCCACAATGGCTGCATTAATTTACATTCCCACAAAGAAAGTATAAGGATTTCCTTTTCTCCATGTTCTGGCTAATACTTGTTGTCTTTGTCTTTTTAATACTAGCCATATTAGCCTATATGATATCTTATTGTGGTTTTTATTTGCATTTCTCCGATGATGAGTGATGTTGAGTACTTTTTCATACACCTGTTGGCCATTTGTATGTAGTTTTTTTCTGAGAAATATCTATTCACATCCTTTGCTCATTTTTAGTATGGTTATTTGTTTTCTTATTATTGAGTAGTTTGAGTTTGTTATATATATTGACTATTAGCCTCTTAGCAGATATGTGATTTAGAAATATTTTCTCCCAATCTCTAGGTTCTCTCTTCACTCTATGAATTTTTTCTTTGTGGCAACAGGAGATTGTAAGTTTGATTTCATTACATTTGCCTATGTTTGCTTTTCTTGCTGGTGCTTTTAGAGTCATATCCAAGAAAGTATTGCCAATACTGGTGCTGTGGAATTTACTCTCATGTTTTCTTCTAGTGGTTTTACATTGTCAGGTCTTACACTTACTTCTTTAATCTATTTTGAGTTGATTTTTGTGTAAGGCATAAGATAAGGGTCCAACCTCATATTTTTGCAGGGGGATATCCAGTTTTGCAAGCAGCACTTATTGAAGAGACTATGTTTTTCCTATTGTGTGTTCTTCGTACCTTTGTAAAAAATCAACTTAATATAAATGCGTGGATGTGTTTCTGGGCTCTCTATCCCATATTATTGGTTGATGTGTCTATTTTTATGCCAGTGTCATTTGTTTTGATTATTACAGCTTTGCATTATATTTTGAAATTAGGTAGTGTGGTGCCTTCAGTTTTGTTCTTTTTATTCAAGATTGCCTTGGCTATTCACGGTCTTTGTGGTTCCATCTGGATTTCAGAATAGTTTAAGTTTCCTATTTCTATAATAAATGACATTGGAATTTTGATAGAAATTATGCTAAATATGTAGATCACTGTGAGAACTAAGGACATTTAAACATTAGTTCTTCCACTCCACTAATATGAGAAATCTTTCTCTTTATTTGTGTCATCTAAAATTTCTTTCATCAATGTTTTATAATAGTTTTTGGTGTACAGCTCTTTCATTTCTTTGATTAAATTACTCCTAGGTGTTTTATTTTTTGACACGACTATAAATGTTATTATTTTCTTAATTTCTTAATTTCTTTTTCAGATACTTTACTGTTAGATATAATACTGATTTTTTTTTTTTTTTTTTTTTTTGAGACAGAGCCTTGCTCTGTCACCTAGGCTGGAGTGCAGTGGTGTGATCTCAGCTCACTGCAACCTCTGCCTCCCAGGTTGAAGAGATTCTCCTGCCTCACCCTCCTAAGTAGCTGGGATTACATGTAGGTACCACCACATCCCGCTAATTTTTGCATTTTTAGTAGAGACGGGGTTTCACCATTTTAGCTAGGATGGTCTCCAACTCCTTCAAGTGATTCTCCCACCTTGGCCTCCCAAAGTGCTGAGATTACAGGCATGAGCCACTGCACCTGGCCAACACTGATTTTTTTTTTATTATACTTTAAGTTTTAGGGTACATGTGCACATTGTGCAGGTTAGTTACATATGTATACATGTGCCATGCTGGTGCGCTGCATCCACTAACTCGTCATCTAGCATTAGGTATATCTCCCAATGCTATCCCTCCCCCCTCCCCCCACCCCACAACAGTCCCCAGAGTGTGATGTTCCCCTTCCTGTGTCCATGTGATCTCATTGTTCAATTCCCACCTATGAGTGAGAATATGCGGTGTTTGGTTTTTTGTTCTTGCGATAGTTTACTGAGAATGATGATTTCCAATTTCATCCATGTCCCTACAAAGGACATGAACCCATCATTTTTTATGGCTGCATAGTATTCCATGGTGTATGTGTGCCACATTTTCTTAATCCAGTCTATCATTGTTGGACATTTGGGTTGGTTCCAAGTCTTTGCTATTGTGAATAATGCCGCAATAAACATACATGTGCATGTGTCTTTATAGCAGCATGATTTATAGTCCTTTGGGTATATACCCAGTAATGGGATGGCTGGGTCAAATGGTATTTCTAGTTCTAGATCCCTGAGGAATCGCCACACTGACTTCCACAATGGTTGAACTAGTTTAAAGTCCCACCAACAGTGTAAAAGTGTTCCTATTTCTCCACATCCTCTCCAGCACCTGTTGTTTCCTGACTTTGTAATGATTGCCATTCTAACTGGTGTGAGATGGTAACTCATTGTGGTTTTGATTTGCATTTCTCTGATGGCCAGTGATGATGAACATTTTTTCATGTGTTTTTTGGCTGCATAAATGTCTTCTTTTGAGAAGTGTCTGTTCATGTCCTTTGCCCATTTTTTGATGGGGTTGTTTGTTTTTTTCTTGTAAATTTGTTTGAGTTCATTGTAGATTCTGGATATTAGCCCTTTGTCAGACAAGTAGGTTGCAAAAATTTTCTCCCATTTTGTAGGTTGCCTGATCACTCTGATGATAGTTTCTTTTGCTGTGCAGAAGCTCTTTAGTTTACTTAGATCCCATTTGTCAATTTTGTCTTTTGTTGCCATTGCTTTTGGTGTTTTAGACATGAAGTCCTTGCCCATGCCTATGTCCTGAATTTATGTTGATTTTTGTTTCCTGCAACTTTACTGAGCTTAATCACTGAAGGTGTTTATCGGACCAATAGTTTTTTGGTGGAGTCTTTAGGGTTTTTTGCATTTAAGATTACATTGTGAGTAAGAAGAAATACTTTCTTTGTTTGTTTGTTTTTGTCTATTTTGATGCCTTTTCTTTTTCTTACCTAATTACTCAGGCTAAGACTTCCGGCACTACATTGAATCAAAGTGGTGAGAGTGTGCATTCTTGTCTTTCTCCTAATCTTAAAATGAACAGGCTTCAACTTTCATTTTGAGTATGATGTTAGCTGCAGGCTTGCCATATGTGTTTTTATTTTGTTGAGAAACGTTTTATCAATGCTTAATTTGTTGAGTGTTTTTATTGTAAAAGGAGGATAAATGTTGTCGAAAGCTTTTTATGCAGTTATTAAGATGATTATATGTTTTTCGGCCTTTATTCTGTTAATATGGTGAATTACATTTATTGATTTGCATATATTGAAACATACCTTTATCCCAGGAATAAATCCCACTTAATTATGGTGAATGACCCTTTTAATTTACTGTTAAATATGCATTGGTAGTATTTTATTAAGGATTTTTGCAAGTATGTTCATCAAGGATATGGCTTGTAGTTTTTATTTCTTGTAGTGCCTTTGTCTGGCTTCAGTATCAGGATGATGCTGGCTTCATAAAATGAGTTTGGAAGTAATAATCCCTTTTCTTCTATTTTTTGGAAGAGTTTGAAAGGATTGATGTTAGCTTTTTCAATGTTTGGAAAATTCAACTCTGAAGCCATCTGGTCCTGGCTTTACAAGGACCAGAGTATATTGATGGGAGACTTCATTTTTAATTTTATCTCCTTACTCAGTATTATCTGCTCAGATGTTTTATTTAATTATGATTCAGTCTTAGTATGTTATGTGAGTCTCTAAATTTATCCATTTTCTCAAAGTTACTCAATTTTTGGACACATAATCGTTCACAGTATTCTTTTGTAATCCCTTGTACTTTTGTGGTATCAGTAGTAATGTATCTTCCTATATTTCTGATTTTATTTATTAGAGTCCTCACTCTCTCTCTCTCTTTTAAGTTAGTCTACTAAAAATTTGTCAATTTTGTGTAAGCTTTTCTAAAAAACAACTCTTAGTTACATTTCTATTGTTTTTATAGTCTGTTTTATTTATTTCTGTTCTGATTGTTTTTATTTTCTTCCTTCTGCTGACTTTTGGCTTAGTTTTTGTTTTTTTCTAGTTCCTTGAGATGTAATATTAGGCTGTTTATTTAAGATCTTTCCTTTTTTTATATGTAGATATTTAATGCCATAAAATTCCCTCTTAGAACTACTTTTACTGCATCCCATAAGTTTTGGTATGTTGTTTTTCCATTTTTATTGTCTCAAGATATTTTTAAATTTTACTTTAATTTCTTCTTTGATGTAATTATTGTTCAAGAGTATATTGTTTAATTTCTACATATTCATAAATTTTCTATGATTTATTCTGTTATTCAGTTCTTGTTTCATACCATTGTGGTTAGGAAAGATATTTGATATTATTTCAATCATTTTAATTTTTAAGGCTTATTTTATGTCCTAACATAAAATATATTTTGAAGAATGCCTATTGTATTTGAGAAGAATGTGTATTCTTTTGCTATTGGGTGGAATATTCCTGGTATTTTACGGTGCCTTTTAAATGTTGTGTTTGCCCGAACTACGTTTCCATTTCTGGTGTCTCCCCAGAAGTTTAGGATGTATCAAGTTCTATCAGTACCCTGAGACAGATATGGATGCAGCTGGAAGGGCTGAGGTGTTAACTGAGTGTTCCAGTGTATTTTATCCTCAGGATGAAACTGAGAGGGAGTTTATCTCCCACTGTCTCTGGACTAAGCTGTGAAAAGAATCTGTGGCAAATGCCAGCACTCTCATTCAGACCGCACCCTGTGATACTGGTGGATAGCTGCTGGAAATGGGCCCGTATTATGTCTTTCTTTGTCCTGATATTGGGGAATAAAGCCCCTGGAAGTGCTTGTGCACTCATACAAAACTACTACTATGTTCTGTGGTGGAGGAAGAGTTCTGTATGCCTAATCCCTTCTCCTCCCAGACATAAGTGCCATTAGGAGCCAATGCATGGGGAACCATAAACTTAAGGTGCTGTATGTGAGATCCAAAATGAACACAGACAAAGTTATTTTATCTGACCCATAAATTAATGGAAAAACCAACAAGAAGATAAAAATCACCTCAGATGGGAATCATAATAGCAGACATACATATAGAAAAAAATAAAAAATATTAATAGAAAATAGCTTATTATGAGTAAGATGGTTTGCATCCTCACCTAAAATTTTGACTTGCCTTGGTATAGACAATCATTTATATAACCAGCAGTTTTCTACAATTTGAAGAGTTGCTAAATAGCTCAAAGACAATAAAAAATGTGGACTTCTATAAAATCACATAAGGAAGGAAAAGGAAGTGTGCACTAGGCAACATTTAGCTCTCTATTTCAAACATTTTCATATTTTTTTCTGAAAGAATTTAGAAGCAGTGTGACATGAGTAAGTTAAAGAACATTATATTGATTATATTGCATTTTCACACTTATTCACATGCTACACAGAGGAAGAAGTGGGAAAGTGAGATTAACATTGAGTGCCCACCATGTATAGGCTCTTTGCCAATCTGTTTAAGTATTCTATTTTACTTTAATTTTTTAAACAGCTTTTTGATGGGTATTTTGGTAGTTGAATTGTGTCATCTCCCCTCCCCAAAACAATATATATTGAAGTCCTAACCCCTAATACCTATAAATTTTATCTTATTTGGAAATAGGGTTATTGCAGCTGTAGTTAAGACATGAGTTATGATGAGGTCATTTGGGAGTAGGGTGGACTCTTATAAAAAATATAATACATAGAGACAGACACACATGGGAGCACCGTGTGATGATGGAGGCAGCGATGGAAATGCAATGAGTACAGGCCAAGGAACTCTGAATTTTGCCAGGACACCAAAAGCTAAGAGAAGGGCATTAAACTGATTATCCCATAACACTTTTAGAAAGAGCGTGGCCCTGCCAACACCTTCATTTTGGACATGTGGCCTCCAGAACTGTGAGAGAGTAAATTTCTGTTGCCTTAAGCCATCCACTTTGTGCTAATTTGTTAAAGCATCCCTACAAAGTAAATACAGTATCTTACACATATTTTATAATTTCGGATAAATGTATCAAAAAGAACGAAGTAATTTTGGCAAACTGCACAGATTTTACTTGTCAGAGTAGAAAATTGCCTCAGGTATATTCAATCCAGATTTCACTTTTCATTCATGATGCCCTGAAACAGTTTTTGATTGAGAGAAGTTTTAGGTGGTATCAGTATTTTAGTTTTCATTAAATAATAATATTTTTTATTTGTAAATCTTTTCCAAACAGCTGATAATTATATTTCGTTATAAAAAACCACATTACTAGTTTTTCCTTTCTTTTATTGTATAACATAAGAAAATCCCCACTTAAATTGGGCTATATTTTGTTTTCGATATAATTTTGAATAATTAGAAAACATCCAAAATGAAAAAAAAAAATTAAGTCCAGGAATTATGATTGGGCCTAACTCATATTTATTTACTTTTGCTTCTTTTTATAATGTGATAACAATTTATCTGATAAGCCAAAATAATTATACATTACTACTGAGAAAATTAGACATAAATGTAGTTATAAAGTTTAAATGATTTTTAGTATTTTAGGGATTTGCTACGGTAAGACGTTTTCAATGTCACATCTGTGAGCTTTGGTTTTATAGTTCAAATAGGTAACTGAACAGAAATATAAATTTTTGTTTCAGGCTTGTGAAAACTAGCCATAAAAATGATCACAAATGAAACAGTAAAATATTAAAACCATACATAGTTTCACCAACCAGACATATTTTGGCATATTTGGCATATTTTGGAACATAAAGTTTTGCTATATTTTCTAATATGCTTGAAATCACTACACATATACATATACACAAACTTTTTCTTTTCAAGACATCATACAATTTAAATTCTATGATTAGAAAATACGTACATTTTTTTGAAAGCACAATATTTCAGTTTGGGGTTTATATGATTTAACGGGAGAGTACATTTTATTTTAAGTATAGATCTTATAATAATCTGTACTATATATCTATATCACAGCATATTTATTTCTTAGGAGTTATAATATTTTAAAAGTTTTCTAAGAGTCATGAAAATAAAAGTTATTTAAATATATTCATTTTTAAAAATTTTCTTAATGACAATATTAAAAATGCTATATTTATGTTTTTACTACTTTAGTGTTAGGTGCTATCTCAGTAGTTATACAGTAATAATAAAGCCACAGCTTTGTTAAGAATGCCAAAGCCATAAGTAAAGAGTAATGTTTATTTTTCACTTAAACTGTTACTGATTTTATTCTTATAGGTGCTAATAACTGAGTCTATATGAGTCAAGTGTTTTTTGTTCACTAATTTCTTATCTGTCACAGTGTATTATTTTGGGATCTATCTAGTCTCTATTACTGCCATGCAAACAATACAGAATTACAAGTTAATTTTAAAAACTATCAGAGAGAAGCTCAAACATAAACATTTCCCCTTGATCTTAAAGCCCATTAGATATTCCTACCCATAAAATCAGGCAAGAAAATGCTGATGTTTCAGCACAATACAACATACTCCTATATACTAATCTCATTGAAAGAATGTAAAATGTATCTGGCTGAAAATGAATTCAGAGAACTACAAAAATCTTTATTAATAGAACATCAGAAAATAAACACACTAGTTTTTTTTCAGTTATATTACTGATTGTTGACTCAGAAAAGAGTTAGATAAGGGGAGAACAAAATGTCTTTCTTCTTTCAACCCATTAATTTGCTATGAATATCAAAGGAAGAACATACACATGTATAGGAGCCCACAACATTTTCTAAAGTAATAAAGTTATTCCCTTTGTCCCTGTGAATTTTTTTTCTCCTGCTTTCAATAAATTTGTAATAGCAAAATAAATCAAGACAAGTGCACCTATACATGATGACAATATAACTTTAGGGCAAAATATTGTTTTAATCATTTAGGTTGAGAAGCACATGTGGAAGTTTGTTATATAGGTAAATTGCATGTCATGGGGGTTTGGTGTACAGATTACTTAGTCACCCAGGTAATAAGCATAGTACCTGACAGGTAGTTTTTTGATCCTCTGCCTCCTCCCACTCTTCTCCTTCAAGTAGACCCAGGTGTATTTGTTCCCTCCTTTGTGTTCACATGCACTCAATGTTTAGCTACCACTTATAAGTGAGAACATGTGGTATTTGGTTTTATTTATTTTATGTATTTATTTATTTTGAGACAGATTCTTGCTCTGTCGCCCAGGCTGGAGTGCAGTGGCGCAATCTCGGCTCACTGCAACCTCCTCCTCCTGGGTTCAAGCGATTCTACTGCCTTAGCCTCCTGAGTAGCTGGAACTACAGGCACCCGCCCCAAGCCCGGCTAACTTTTGTATTTTTAGTAGAGATAGGGTTTCACCATATTGGGCAGGCTGGTCTCGAACTCCTGACCTTTTGATCCATCCGCTTTGGCCTCCCAAAGTGCTGGGATTACGAGCATGAGCCACTGCGCTCAGCCAGTATTTGGTTTTATGTTCCTGCACTAGTTTGCTTAGAATTGTGCCCTTCAGTTCCATCCATGTTGCTGCAAATAACATGATATTATACTTTTTTGTGGCTGCATAATATTCAATAGTGTATACACACCATGTTTTTTTTTCTATCCAGTCTATCATTGATGGGCATTTAGATTGAGTTCATGACTTTAGTTTTGTGAGTAGTGCTGCGATGAACATAGGCATGCGTCTGTGTTTATGGTGGAATGATTTGTATTCCTTTGGGTGTATACCGAGTAATGGCATTGGTGGATTAAATGGTACTTCTGTTTTTAGTTATTATGAATATCTGGTTGTATAGTTGCTTTACAGCATCAATGATCTATGTACTTAAGTGTATTTTTCTGGTGGCCAGTAACAGTCTTTCCTTTCCATATTTAGCGTTCCCTTGAGGACCTCTTGTAAGGCAGGTCTGGTGGTAATGAATTCCCTTAGGATTTGCTTCTCTGAAAAGTATCTTATTTTTCTTTTGCTTATTAAGCTTAGTTTGGCTGGATATTAAATTCTTGGTTGGAATTTTTTTTTAAGAATGCTGAATAGAGGCCCCCAATCTCTTCTGTCTTACAGTGTTTCTGCTGAAAAAGGTCTGCTGTTAACCTGATGGGTTTCCCTTTGTAGGTGACCTTTCCCTTCTATCTAGCTACATTTAATATTTTTTCTTTCATTTTGGACTTGGAGAAACTCATGACTATGTGTCTTGGGGAAGGTCACCTTACATAGTGTCTTGCAGGTTTTCTCTGCATTTCCTGGATTTGAATGTTGGCCTCTCTAGTGAGGTTGGGGAAATTCTCATGAATGAAATCTTCAAATACGTTTTCCAAGTTGCTTGTTTTATCTCCTCTTTCAGGGACGCCAATGTGTCATAGATTTGGTTTGTTTGCATAGTCCCATGTTTCTCAAAGGTTTTGTTCATACTTCTTTATTGGTTTTTCTTTGTTTTTATCTGGCTGTGTTATGTTGGGGAACTGGTCTTTAAGCTCTGAAATTATTTGTTCAGCATGGTCAATTCTGCTGTTAAAACTTGCGACTGTATTATGATATTCTTGAAGTGAGTTTTTCACCATGATCAGTTCATCAGTTCAGTTTGGTTCTTTCTTAAAATGGCCATTTCGTCCTTTGTCTCTTGTATCTTTTTTTTTTTTTTTTTGTATTTTTTAGATTCCTTCAATTGGTTTTCAACTTCCTCTTGAATGTTGATAATTATATTCCTATTCATCATAGGATTTCATTACTATCCAATCAGTACCTATTCTGAATTCTATGTCTGACACTTCAGCTATTTCAGCCTGGTTAAGAACCATTGCTGGTGAACTAGTGTGATCATTTGGAGATAAGAAGACATTTTGGCTTTCTGAGTTGCTAGAGTTCTTATACTGGTATTTTCTCATCTATGTGGGCTGATATTCCTTCAGTCTTAGAAGTTGCTGTCTTTCCGATTTCCTTGAGGGTTTGATTGTGGTGTAAGGTGGGTTTAGTAGACTGGTTTCTATTAATATTCCACCCTTAGGACTTGGAAGCACCCCTGTCGATTACTGTCTCTGTGCCCACATATCTTTTATTGGGTATTCTGCTCCATGAGGTTCCCTTTGGCAAGGACCACAGTTGACAAACAGGGCTTATCCTTGCTGGTTCAGCCCTAATTTCCTCTCTGAGTGTTTCTTGGGGGAACACAGGGTTGCACCTGACTGCAGATGTCAGGCAGAAGTGGGACCATTAGGCTGGAAGCTCTATTAGGGATTACATTTCAACATGAGATTTGGGCACGATATAGATCCGAACCATACCATATGGAATAAAAATAGCTCTGATATTCAATACATTCCTATAATGAAACCAAAATATTAGAAGAGGGCTGTGATCAAAAACTATGTGTTAGAAGTTTTTATTAGTTAAGCTCAAAGAATGTTTACAAATCTGCAAATTTTATCTAAAAGCTTGTTTTCCAAATTCCTTTGTAAGTTATCTTTTATATTCCAAAAAGAAAAAAAATAAATAAGACAAGAAAATTATGGGAACAAAAGTAGTTTTTTTATGTTTTGATTTTCATGAAGACAGTAGACAAAATACAATTACTTACACATTAATTGAAATGACTCATTAGAAAGAAAAACAATGATATAAAAAATAAAATTGCTAGCGTAAGTGCAAGACAGTAGATTTGTTCTCATGAACAGTGGTGGGGAATTAATTTTATATTAATAGTTTCGCTGTCATAACATATGAGGAAACAGAGTGTGGATTCACTTATACATATATGTAAGACATAGAGAAAGAAAATAACACGGAGGAATATAAACTGTAGAAGCTAATTCTTTATATAGATTTTTAATTTTTATTAACTGACATTAATAATTAGAAATATCTGTGGAGTACTGTGATGTTTTAATACATGTGTACAATGGGTAATAATCAAATCAGGGTGATTAGCGACACTACCACTGCAAAAAATTTTCATTTTCTTGTATTGGAAACGTTCCAAATTCTTTCTTCCAGTTATTTGAAAATATGCAGTAAATTATTAACTATGATCATGCTACAGTGCTATAGAACGTTAGAAATTATTCCTTCTATTTAGCTGCAGTTTTGTATCAGTTAACAAACCTCTTTATATCCCTCCTTCCCTCTACCTTTCTCAGTCTCTGATAATCTCTATTCTACTTTCTACTTTTTATTTGCATCGGAGTCTCACTCTGTCACCCACGCTGGAGTGCAATGGCGCGAACTCGGCTCACTGCAACCTCCGCCTCTTGGGTTCAAAGGATTCTCCTGCCTCAGCCTCCTGACTAGCTGGGATTACAGGTGCCCGCCACCACGCCTAGCTAATTGTTGTATTTTTTAGTAGAGATGAGGATTCACCATGTTGGCCAGACTGGTCTCTTAACTCCTGACCTCAGATGATCCACCTGCCTCAGCCTTCCAAAGCGCTGGGATTACAGGCGTGAGCCACCGCGCCTGGCCTCTACTTTCTACTTTTATGAGATCAACATTTTTAGCTTCCACATATGAATGAGAACATACAGTATTTATTTTCCTGTGCCTGGCTTATTTCACTTAATGTAATGCCCTCCAGGCTCATTCATGCTGCTGCAAATGACAAATTTTTATTCTTTTTTTATAGCTGAGAAGTATTTCATTGTGCATATATATCATATTACCTTATCCATTCATCTGTTGATAGGCTTTTAGGTTGATTAAATATCTCAGAGACTGTGAATGGTGCTGCGATAAACAGGAGTGAACATATCTCTTTGACATATTGGTACCATTCCTTTGGCTATATACCCACAAAGCAACAGCATTACTGGAAGATATGTTAATTCTATTTTTAGTTTTCTTGAGAAAGCTCCATGCTGTTTTTCATAATGCCTGTACTCGTTTACATACCTACCAACAATTTATCAAAATTCCTTTTTCTCCATATCCTCACCAGCATTTATTATATTGTTCTTTTTGATAATAGCCATTCTAACTGGAGTAACATGATATCTCATTGTGGTTCTGATTTGCATTACCCTGAAGATTAGTGCTTTTGAGCATTTTCAAATATACTCGTTGGCCATTTGTATGTTGTCTTTTGAGATATGTCTCTAGTTTATTTGCTTGTTTTTTAAATTTGGATTATTTATTTTATTTTCGTTGTTGTTGAGTTGAGTTCCTTATATATTTTTATATCAATCCCTTGTCCAATGAATAGTTTAGAAATAATTTATCCTATTCTAAAGGATTTCTCCTTATTCCGTTGATTATTTGCTTTGTTGTACAGAGACATTTTAGTTTAAAATTTCCCATTTGTCTAATTTTGCTTATGTTGCCTGTGTTTTGAGGTCTTATTTGTAAAATCTTTGAAAAGGCCAGTGTCCAAAGTGTTTCCCCTGGGTTTTCTTTTATTAGTTTTATAGTTTTAGGTCTTACATTTACATCTTTACCAATTTTGAATTTATTTGTGTCTATGGTGAGAGATAGGAGCCTAATTCTTTTTCCATATATAGATATTCAGTTTTCCCAGTACCATTTATTGAAGGTACTATCCTTTCCTCAATGAATGTTATTGGTGACTTTGTAGAAAATCAATTGGCTGCCAACACATGGGCTTATTTATAGGTTTTCTACTCTTTTCCATTGGTTTATGTATTTGTTTTTATGTCAGTATCATACTGTTTTGTTTACTGTAGCTTCATAGCATATTTTGATGTCTGGTAATGTGATGCCTTTAGCTTCATCCTTTTACACAAAATTTCCCTGGCTATTCAGGATCTTTTGTGGATCAATACACATTTAGGAATTTTTTTGTCTTTTTGTGAGGAATGTCGTTGATATTTTGACAGGAATTGCATTGAATCTGAAGATCACTGTAGGTAGTGTGGCTATTTAACAATATTAATTCTTCCAATTCATTATTGGATGTCTTTCCATTTTTTTGTCCTGTTTAATTTTTTTGTAAGTATTACATAGTTTCACTTGCAGCAGTGTTTTACCACCTTCATTAAATTTCTTGGATTTTGTGGGTAGCTATTTTAAATGGAATTACTTTTTATTTCTTCTTCAACTAGTTCATTGTTGGTATATAAAAACACAATTTTTCTCTGCTGATTTTATATCCTGCAAATTTATGAGTTTGTTAGTTTTAAGAGTTTTTTTTGGGGAGTCTTTAGGTTTTTCTGTATAAAAGATATTACTGTTCGCAAACGGGCAATTTGACTTCCTTCTTGCCAGTCTGAATGTCCTTTCTTTTTTTCTCTTGCCTTATTGCTCTGTCTAGGGCTTCCAATGTTATTTTAAGTAAGAGTGTTGAGAATGAGCATCCTTTTCTTGTTTCAGCTCTAAGAGAAAAAATTGTCAGCTTTTCCACATTTGGAATGGTGTTAGCTATGGGTTTGTCATATATCATCTTTAATGTGATGAGATACCTTCCTTCTATACCTAACTTGTTGAGCATTTTTAGCATAAAGGGTTATTGTATTTTATCAAGGGCTTTTTATATGTCTGTTGAGATGATCATCTGGTTCTTGTCCTTTATTCTGTTGGTATGATGTATTGTGTTTATTGATTTACATGTGTTGAGCCATACTTGTATTCCTGGAATAAGTCCCACTTGGTTATGGTGTATAGTCTTGTTGGTGTACTGTTGGATTCTGTTTGCTAGTATTTTATTGATAATTTTTGTATCTATGCTTATCAGCAAAGGTACTGCTCTGTACCTTTCTTTTTGTGTTGTATCTTTGTCTGCTTTTGGTATTAGGGTAAAGCTAATCTTGTAAAATGATATTGAAATAATTTCTTCTTCGTATTTTGGAATAGCTTGAGAAGAATTGGTATTATTTCTTCTTTAAAAGCTTTGTGGAAATGAGCAGTGAAGCCATCTAGTCCTGGATTTTTCTCTGTTTGGAGACATTTTATTGACTCAATTTTATTACTTGTTATTGGTATGCTCCCGTTTTCTGTTTCTTCTTGGTTCAATATATGTAAGCTGTATGTTTCCAGGAATTTACCCATTTTCTCTTGTTTCCAATTTGTTGGTATATAGTTGTTCATAATAGTCCCTAATTATCCTTTATGTATGTAGTATCTTTTGGAATATCTCCTTTTCTGCTTCTGAATTTATTTATATGAGTCTTTTCTCTTTTTTTCCTCTTAGTCTATCTGATGGTTTGTCAATTCTGTTTATCTTTATAAAGAAAAACTCTTTCATTTTCCTTGATCTTTTTGATTTGTAGTCTTAATTATATTTCTGCTCTGATTTTTATTATTTATTCTACTATTTATAGGATTTTTGTCTTGCTTTTCTAGCTCCTTAAGGTGCATTGTTTAGTTGTTTATTTAAAACCTTTAAACTATTTTTTAGAGACGGGGTTATACTCTAAATACCAGGCTGGAGTACCATAACACAATCATGGTTCATTTCAGCTGTCGGGCTCAAGTGATTCTTGTGCTACATAGCAAGGACTACAGCTAGATTCCACCAAAACTGGCTAATTTATTTTAATTTTTTAATTTTTCTTTTTTAGAGATGGAGTCTTGCTATGTTGCCCAGGTTTTTCCCAAACTCCTGGACTCAGGTGATACTCCTGCCTCAGCCTCCCAATAACTTTTTGTGAGGTAGGCATTTATTGCTATATAGTTTTCTCTTAATACTACTTTTGCTGTATTACATAGGTTTTGGAATGCTGGGTTTCTATTTTAATTTGTTTTAAGAAAATTTTAATTTTTTTCATTAATTTCCTTATTGACTCATTGGTCATTTAGGAACATGTTGTTTGATTTCCATGTATTTGTGCAGTTTCAAAAATTCCTTTGGTGGTTGATTTTTAGTTTTACTTCATTGAAGTTAGGAAAGATACTTGATATGATTTCAGTTTTTTGTACATTTTGTTGAGAATTTTTTGTGGCCTAACATAGAGTAAATTCTGAATGATGTCCATGCACTGATGAAAAGAATGAGTATTCTGCAGGTGTAAATATCTGTTAAGTCAATTTGGTCTATAGTGTAGTTTAAATTGGATGTTTCTTTGTTGATTTTCTGGCAAGATGATCTGTCTAACACTAAAAGTTGGGGGTTGAATTTCCTAATTATTATTGTATTGGAATCTATCTCTCTCTTTAGTTCTATTAATATTTGGCTTGTAAATCTGAGTGTTCCAGTTAAGTACTATAGTTCTGTACCATGAAAAGCTTTTGGTTCACATGTTGCATGACAACTATAGTATATATGTTATATTAAGTAGCTAACAACACCATACAAATACATACACAGCTGTGTTCTTCAAGGCATATCTGTAATGCTAGGATGTTAGGTTCCAGTTGCTAGATGAGCCCAGAGGCAGCCCTCACCTATTATATCTATTCAACCTTTAAAAACAAAGTCGTTCATCTATCAGTACCAATAAAAATAACAAGATATTGGTTTTCCTTTACAGGATATATCTGTACCTTTGCTACACATACTTTCTTATTCATGGTTAATTTTAATATCTTAGAGATGTTAAGTGTTTTCCAGGAAAGAAAAAAATATTGGTTAAACGATAATCCTTCTGTTGAGAAACTACAATTCACCAATATTCTAAAAGCACTTAAAATATTTCTTCTTATTTACAATTGTAGACAGCATGAGCTCAATAATAATAAGAATAAAAGGAAAACAAAACAAAAAAAACCCAGATTCCAATATTCCTATAGGATTAGAAGATAATTTTATCCTTCGGCCAATATGGTGAAACCATATTTGTAAAAATGCAAAATACAAAAATTAGCTCGGTGTGTTGGCAGGCGCCTGTAATCCCAGCTACTCAGGAGGCTGAGGTAGAAGAATCGCTTGAGTCTGGGAGGTGGAGGTTGCAGTGAGCCAAGATCACGCCACTGCACTCCAGCCTGGGAAACAGAGCGAGACTCCATCTCAAAAAAAAAAGGAAGGTAATTTTATTCTGGTGTCTTAAATCCTTTTCTACTCCAGTGGCAACCTGATTGTAGTGCCTTCTCCATTCCTGGAGCTTTTCCAAAAGCAGATCGAGACATCCCTAAGCAAATTCTCGTCTGCACGAAGGCTATTATTTCTGCTACTACTTGTCATGAATCATGTTTGTTGTGCTTTGATCTGGATTCCTATTTGATGTTGGCTATAAGAAGGCTGAAGTACCATCTCTAAGTTTATCAAGACCTAGGTCATAGTTTCTATTATCTCTCAGAAGCCGATATGAAACTTGTAAAAGGTGGCTTCTTGGAATTATCATGCCGTATTTAGAGGCATTAATGATTCAGTGCCAAAGCATAGCTGTTTCTGCTTGATTTTTTAAAGTCTCATAGGTTTTTCTTCAGAACAGAGGACTTCATTCACTTACTATACTTCTGGTATTGCACTCTGCTATCTCACATATAATTTAATTTATAAAGTGGCTTTTACTCACATATCAATGCCATCTTCTCTCCCTATATCTCAAGTGTATGTCTACATGTCATAGGACAATCTAAAATTGGTTGTGTACTATAGTCAGAAGAATCTTTCTTTTCCTACACTGAAGCATTGTCTTAAGCCAGTGTTCACATATGTTAAAACTTACTTTGATATAAGTCTTTTCCACATGTTTCCACAGTCCTAATGAGAAGTGGTAGCTGTATCCTCAACACAAGCCCAAGTATGTTTATTCCTGGGGAAAATATACCTCAGATTTCCAAACCAAGATCTGTGCTCACTTGTGGTTATTATATGAAATTTTATTTGTAATATACAGAGTTGGGAGATGGATGATAGAAATGTTCCTGATCCTATCATCCATCTTATCATCTCCAATAGAACATGTCCAAATCCATGTCAAAGTCTTATGACTGAAAAATGCCTTTTAATTCCTGGAAAGCAGACATACACATAATTTCATGTCTTAATCCACTTTCTACTTCCTTATAAATTACTTCTAATTGTAACTCATTTCTCAAATAAGGAACTCAGATTTTTATTATTTCTTGTAAGTTAGCAACTCCTAATATAAGACAAAACAGTCTTATGAATGTGTAATTAACATAGGTATTTTTACTCAAGAGATAGTGATGGGAGCTATGATTTAATCCATTAAATAATATTGTAAAAATGGTTTTACAAGAGGCTTTTAGAACTTCTTGCATCTTAAAAATTCTCTCAATATACCTCACTGAAGTGATATCATCTTCCAGCCATGATTTATGCACACACTCTCTTTTTCACTAATATTAAATATTTTGTCTGTATTCCTTAAACTTCATTTTCTTTCACCTGGATTGCCTAGGGAAATCCAATTTGTCTACAATACTATGAAGGCAAATTGATTTACTCTACTTCATGAATTGGCATCAGCCATCATCCAGTTTCTTAGTACCTTCCATTTATCTTGATTACTCTCAAGTTACTTATATAAACAAAAATTGTTTCATTTTTTATTTCACTTCCAGTAGTAACTCTTTTGGACATACTTAGCCTAATTTTGTTTAATATACTCTAACATTGTGTATTGTAGCTATATAAAAAGAGAACCGTAGATATTAAAGAGATCATTGGTGCCCAGAAATGTTAGGAAATTACACACACACACACACATGCACACACAGACACACACACACACACACACACACACACATCTTTTTCTCACAGAGATTTTATTTATTTTGAGACGGAGTCTCACTCTGTCACCCAGGCTAGAGTGCAACGGCACTAACTGGGCTCACTGCAACCTCCGCTTCCTGAGTTCAAGCGATTCTCCTACTTCCACCTCCTGAGTAGCTGGGATTACAGGCACTTGCCACCACTCCCAGCTAATTTTTGTATTTTTAGTAGAGACGGGGTTTCACCATGTTGGTCAGGCTGGTCTCGAACTCCTGACCTCGTGATCTGCCCACCTCAGCCTCCCAAAGTGCTGATATTACAGGTGTAACCCACCATGCCCAGCCTATTTTTGTAAATGTTTAAGCTTTAGAAAGACATATTATATATTATCTTTTTCCTCTGACCATGCAAACACTCTAGATGGTTGGTTACAGAATATCAGAAGATATTGAAAAGTGAGGTTAAGAGAAAATTGTGAATCTTATAGCAAAATGATAAGAAACCAGTTGACTTATCCTTTTATAACCAGTCAAAACTGGTTGCCATGGTGTTCTTTTCTTCTTAAAAAAAAAAAGACTGTAAAATAATAAAAGATACTAGGATATTTGGAAATACGTCATCAACTTTTTAATTATGCACGAGCACTATTTTTTCTTCCTCTTAAGAACATTTGTAAGTGACTTTTAGCACTTGCATTTTTTTCTCCTGTAAAGTTTCTAATTCCTAATAACAAATAATAACTGCACTTTTCTTTGTAAGAAGATAGGCCCAACTTTATTGACACAAGATGCTTTCAGAGATATGTTGGCTTTGCCTAACTGAAGTAGTTAGTAATATGATTTCACATGCATTTTTCTAAAGAAGTTTTTTTAAATTTCAAATAATCTATAATAGGTAGAATATGAATCTTTTTTGGACTAAGCTGTGTAGATAGTTGGGAAGAAAAACCTGGTTATACGGCTGAGAATGAGAGGGAATTCAAGTAATAGGCACATGGTTTCATAAGGTTAGATAAATCTGAAAAGCCAGATCCATATGGAAGTAGGAGAATCGCTTGAACTCGGGAAGCGGAGGTTGCAGTGAGCCCAGTTAGTGCCGTTGCACTCTAGCCTGGGTGACAGAGTGAGACTCCGTCTCAAAATAAATAAAATCTCTGTGAGAAAATGTGTGTGTGTGTGTGTGTCTGTGTGTGCGTGTGTGTGTGTGTGTGTGTGTGTGTAATTTCCTAACATTTCTGGGCACCAATGATCTCTTTAATATCTACGGTTCTCTTTTTATATAGCTACAATACACAATGTTAGAGTATATTAAACAAAATTAGGCTAAGTATCTCCAAAAGAGTTACTACTGGAAGTGAAATAAAAAATGAAACAATTTTTGTTTATATTAGGTTTTTTATATAAAAATCCCAGTTGACATTGAATCCTGTATACCAAGATTCATAGAAATTTTAAAAATCAGTAATGATGAAAAGATATTATTTGGATTCAAATGCATTCTTAAAAGATACATCTTTCCAAAAAATGATGAAGCATGAATGAAATCGAGTTCACATATAAAAGGTGAAGATGAAGCAAAGTTTCGAAGCAATCTCTTTCCATGAGATTACAATTCCTAAGGAGATACTAGGAGCACCATGCATATCTGTCTTCACATTTTCAGTACCATAAAACTGCTATGAAAGAATGAACAGCAGAGTCTATGTGATAGGAGAAAGCCTGTTTCCACTGGCCATTCTGAATATGGGGATTCCAAAAGTTCACCTTAGCTAAATAAACAATTCTCTCCCCAGTTGTTCCTCAGCAAGTATTTAGTTATAAGGAACAGAATCCACCCAAGCTGAGGTAAGTATAATAAGAGAATGTGTTTGAAAACTACAAGAGGATTGTCATACAGAAGCAAAGTAAGTACAAGTTCTTAAGAAGAACTGGAGCCAACTCCAGCCCATTCTTTGCTGAACTTGAATAAAGGAGAAATACAGCCATTTCAGCCTAGTATTTAAATTAATTCCTAGGTTTTAATAGTTAGAAACAAACTGAATTTTATAGGTTGAAAATCTAAATTTCTGAGGAGGCAATCTTATTTGATCCGATTGAACCAGAGGTCTATCCCTAGTCCAGTCATTTGTGTACTAAGGGTTCAGAAAGGTGAACATTTCTGAAAGGCAGGCAGACAGCAAAGCTGGGTGTGGTAAGAATTTTTCAGAGAAGTTAGTAAAAGAATCTCGGGCATTACCAATCAGAGTGTAGAAGAAAATCTGTTTTCTTTATAATAAGCGTTTATAAGGTAGGGGATACTGATGGGACCTGAGATGATTTGATAAAAATCCCAACACAGAGAAACTCTGTATCTGTTCGGCAATGAACACAGAGGTCTCTTTAAGAACAAAGGCACACAGAGTGTGTTGGTGCCTGTTTGTGAGGGGAAGACAGGCACCTTGTTCTGTCCTAGTGGTCTGGTTCTCAGAACTTAGCATCTTCCACATATTTTTGTTTAACAGAACCATAAGTCTATGCTAGCACACAAAAATGCAAAACAACGACCTGCCGCCCTTAACATCTTTCAAATTACTGCTGGCTTCCCGGCAGCACTGACAGCTCTGGCTGCCTCAGAGAACGTAGTTAGGGACTCAAACCT
Organism: Homo sapiens; assembly: GCF_000001405.40. Lineage (NCBI taxonomy): Eukaryota > Metazoa > Chordata > Mammalia > Primates > Hominidae > Homo > Homo sapiens. The sequence goes on from NC_000009.12 coordinate 11,821,709, forward strand.
TGAGAACTACAGCACATTGCGGTGACATTTGACCTTGTTCCCATCACTTGGAGATTGCTAAAAGGAATTCCCCAACCATTTGTCCTACATGCTGAATAGTGTTGTTAGAATGGTATTCATGGACTTTGGAGAGGATAACTAAATGTAGGTTCCATATGCCAAATATAGCCTGGCACCAGCTGGTTATAAATCTGTTCTCATCTCTCTGAGTAAGTTCTTTTTAAAATTCATGACTTAAAATAATCCCTTTTATAGTGTGCATGTGTGTGGATTCATTTACATTTTCACTAAAAATCTCAGTATTTATTTCCCTAATATAAACTATATTATTTAAAAAATAAAAAGTAGCATAAAATATATATACTGCAGAGGGTATTTCTGATATTCAGTCCTGAGCTGTCATTGTATTGCTTAAACTCAGACCCAATTCCAGGAGAGACTGGGCAGGTGGTATGCAAAATAAAAAGGGTCATGCTTTTCCCAGAAATTTTTCTTTTCTGAGTCCAAGATAACTGGTCTAAGCTTATTTGAGCAATCTTCTTTTAGTTGAGTTTTCTCCTAGGAAATTTATTGGGTTATAGATAAAATATGAAGGAAGCATCATGTTAAAAGAAAATCTGTTAAATATTGATACATAAACAATGCTGCTTTGAAAACTACCCAAAAGAATGTAACCCACAAGGGAGGATACAATCTTTTGTTTCTCACTTCAGAACACGGGGAGTCTATATTCCTTTTTTCCAGAAAAAAATGACCACAGACCATCAGTGATGGTACAGGCCCTGAGGATGAAGAGGTGCCCAGTCCCATTAGCAACAATGCCTGTTGTGGCAGCACATTTATTAGTAGGAAAAAGGGGCTCAAAAGAAAGAACAGAGATTCAAGAATTTAATATCACACAGCTAATAGAGAGCAAAGTTAAGCTTCGAAACATATTCTGTTGACTCCATAAGCCATCCCAACATTAACAAAACTTGACAAGTCTTCACAAAATTTCTGAAAAAAGTAGGAAGAACATTAATTTTGTCACAGGAGATTAGTTTTAGCTCTAATGTTTCCTTTTGGGTAACCTCAGGCAAGTTTCTAAGCCATCTATTGGTTTTATTGTTTTCTAGTTCATTTCCCAATAGCTATGAAAATAATGTAAGACTAACACAGTTCATCCATGTTAAATACTACAAATATATTAAGTTGTGAACCTAAGTAGTACTGGTTAAAATAATAAGCTAAACAAGAAATGCCAAAATAGGAAGAAAATGGGGACAGAGATGGTAAATGCTATCTCCTCGTTTGGGGACTTTATGTTAGCCATGAATTTGCCTTCTCACTCTGTTATTTTTGATGCTGAGGACATTTGACTCATTATGGACAAGTCTGAGGCTACATGTGATGCTGTGTTTCTGTGGCATAGTCATTAAAACATTTCTGACCAAAAGAAAAAATAATGATTTTTTAATGAGTCTTCAGAAAGAAGTAAAGGCATGTTTATTTTTTTCAGAATACATTTAATAGCAGTGTATAATAAGCACCAAGGATTTAAATTTGGGCTTATGCTTACAAGGAGCAAGAACTCGTAACAGTTAAAGGCACAGGATTTGGAATAAGCAGACACAGTTCAAACCCTAGCTATGCCACTCAATGACAACCTGACTTTCATTAAATTAATAGGCATTTTTTCACGGATGAATTGGAGATAATAACTCTTGTAACAATTAAATTAGCTAGAATATATAAATCAGTTATCACAGTGCTTAATTACTGTGTAGCAAAGATTCAGTAAGTGACTTTACCATTCCTGTTTTTATTTTAAATTTCCATATAATTGGAATAATATTTAAATGATAATATTTAGAACCAATACATTTAAATAACAGTATTTAAAACAAAAATAAAAGCCTTGGTGACTGAGAAAAATAAACATCTGCTAGGCTTTATTGTTTTTTTTTTTTTTAAGTCATTTAAAAACTCAAGGCCTAACTCTAAAAAAGAGAGTAAACACATCTTCACAGAGCTTAAATTAGTAACAGTATTCTCTATGAAGTTTTATTTCTCTTTTGTAATAAATTTTATAATAAATTTTAATATTCAGTGTAGAACCAAATGCTATTGGAAAATGCTTACAGAATCTTCCAATGTAGTAATTAAACAAGGCCAGTTGATAGAGTGACTATTACCCTTAATCCCTGGTTGTATACTTACAGAATTAATTTGCTGAGAAAAGTGGCTTAAAAGCACAACTCTAGTTTTCTTAAAGCAACAAACATTTTCATTTCTTAAAATCCTGTGACTTAAATAAGCAATTCTCTTTCCTAAATTTTGTGTGGTTGGGTGATTCAGGATAGCCTCACTCACCTATCTAGCTGCAGACAGCCTGCTTGGTCTAGTGGGATTCAGAAGGGAGGGCTCGCATCTGCTCCATGTTATCTCTTTAGATCCAAAAGACTATACTAGTATTTTCTATACACAATGTCAAGATTTGAAATAGCAGAGAGAATGTAAGTGCGAATGCACAAGCACTTTTTACGTCTATAATTACATCACAATTACTAATGTCCCATTGAATAAAGTAAGCCAACTGGTAAAGCCTAGATTCAACTAGCAGAGAATTTGACTTTACTTCTTGTTGAAAGGAATAGCAAAGAGATATTAGAGAATTGTAATGACTGTGTGAAAGAGTGTGTGGCCATTTTTGTGCTCTAACATGCTGACTATTTGAGATTGCTCAAGTTATTTACTTAAATTATGCTGCATAAATGATCAATTATGAGGTTTTGATTTAAGGGCAAATACAGGCTTATATTGAAGAAAATATGTCAGCTAGACTTTCATAGCTACAGAGAAGGCGATATCTGGCTTCAAAACTTCAAAGGGAAGGCCGAGTCTTTAATTAGGAGCTAATGCAGCTGGTGACTTTAAGTTGAAGCCAATGCTTATTTACCATTCTGAAAATTCTAGGGCCCTTAAGAATTATGCTAAGTCTACTCTGCCTTTTCTCTATAAATGGAACAACAAAGCCTGGATGACAATATATCTGTTTATATCATGGTTTACTGAGTATTTTAAACCCACTGTTGAGAACTACTATTTAGAAAAAGCTTTTCCTTTCAACGTATTACTGCTCATTGACAATGCAATGGCTCACCCAGTAGATCTGATAGAAATGTGTAAGGAGATTAATTTCATTTTCATGCCTGCTAACACAACATTCATTCTGCAGTTCATGGATCAAGGAGTGATTTTGACCCTTAAGTCTTATTCTTTAAGTAATGCATTGTGTAATGTGTTCCCTGCCATATATATTGATTCCTCCAATAGAACTGGGAAAAGTAAATTGAAAACCTTCTGGAAAGAAGTTTCTAGACGCCATTGAGATCATTAGTGATTTATTGCAAGTGGTAAAAATATGAACGTTAACAGAAATTTAGAAAAAGTTGATTCCAGCCTTCATGGATGACTTTGAGGGATTCAAGACTTCAGTGGAGTAAGTTACTGAGATGTGACAGCAATATCAACAGAACTACAATTAAAATTGAAGCCTGAAGATGTGACTGAGTATGGCAATCTCATGATAAAACTTGAACTAATGAAGAGATACTTCTTATGAATGAGCAAAGGAAATGATTTCTTGAGATGAAATCTACTTCTGGTGAAAATGCTATGAACATTGTTGAAATGACAACAAAAGATTTATAATACTATGTATACTTAGTTGATAAAGCAGTGGTAGGATTTGAGAGGATTGACTAATTTTGAAATTTTATAGTGGGCAAAATGGTATCAATCAGTGTTGCATGCTACAACAAAAGCTTTTGTGAAAGGATGAGACAATCATTGTGGCAGACTTCGTTTTTACCCTATTTTAAGAAATTGCCACAGCCACTCCAACCTTCAGCAATCACCACCCTCATTGGCCAGTAGCCGTCAACATTAAGTCAAGAGCCTCCACCAGCAGACAAATTGCAACTTGCTTAAGGCTCAGATGATTTTTAACATTTTCTAGCAGTGAAGTATTTTTATATTAAAGTATGTACATTGTTTTCTTAGACATATTGCTACTGTGCACTTAATAGACTTCAGTATAGTATAAACATGACTTTTATACACACTTGGAAACAAAAAAATTGTACAATTTGCTTTATGGTGATATTTACTTCATTATGGTGTTTGAAACTGAACCTGCAATATCCCCAGGTATGCCTGTTATTAGAATCTAGGAACAGAGAACAATGAAGTGTATACTAATTGATAAAATTTATTATTATAAAGTACTAAGTTATTAAAATTTGTATTTTCTCAATCATTTGGCCTTCATTATTTTACCTTACATATTACTAAACCCCTCATATGCTTATTTCTTTCTTAGCATACTTCTCATAGAAAACATGCTTTTGAATAGATAACTCCGAGTATATCTAGAGTATTATGATAAATGTCACACTTGTGCTTTAGAAATTAATTATGCACTAAGCCTTTATTTCAGATGACCTCTGTGGAACGTTTGCTTGGTACTGCAAATTAAAGGAAATAAAAGACTCCTAGACTTGAGGAGCTTATAGTCATGGTAAATTCGGATATGAAAACAGGTAGTTGTAGTAAACTCTGACACATTTATCCATCTCAATGGAAAGATTGATTGACCAATAGAAAATTAATTCAGGTTTATAGAATTATTGGATGCAGTACGGATGGAGAAGGGTTATTCCTTTTAGAGAAACTGAGTAAACCGTTGCCTCATCACTTTGTCACATCATGACTTTTGTGAGAGCAGCATGGTTAGGTACATCTGATAGAACATCTGGAGGGATGCCAGCTAAGTTCTTGAGATAGTCATTTTCAAGGTATTAACTTCAACAAAGAGGAACTTCGCTTCCAACAGCAATGATTCTTGCACCTCTGGGAAATAATAAAATAATATTATTACAAATGAAAATTGTGAAGGTAAATATTGACCTCGAATGAAGTGGCACTAATAAAATTCAAGAAAAAATGCGTAGAAGAACACATTACCAAACCTGAAAACACAAGGCAACAACAATAACAACAAATAATATAATTCATGTAAATTAGTAAAGCCACTGTGGAGAACAATAGAGGTCCCTCAAAAAACTAAAAATAGAACTACTGTGTGACCCAGCAATTCCACTGCTGGGTATATATTCAAAAAATTAAAAGAAAATTAGTATATTGAAAAGGTGTCCACACTCCCATGTTTATCGTAACACGATTCACAATAGCCAAGACAGAGAATTAACTTAAGTGTTCATCACATTATAAATGGATAAAGAAAATGGGTATATACGCATACACTGGAATAATATTCAGCCATAAAAAGTGAAGTTTTTTCATTTGCAGCAAGATGGGTGGAACTGGAGCACATTGTGTTAAGTGAAATAAGCCAGGCACAAAAAGACATACATTACATATTCTCACTCATATGTGGAAGCTAAAAAAGTTGATTATCATGAAAGCAGACAATAAAATGTTGGTTGTCAGAGGCTGGGAAAGGTAGGGAGAGGTGGGGATAAAATGGGATTGTTTAATAAGTACAAAAATACAATTAGTAGAAGTAATGAGTTCCAATGTTCAATAGTACAGTAGAACTACTATAGTTAATAATAACATATTGTGTATTTCAAAATAGACAGAAGAGAAGATTTGGACTTTTCCCAACACAAATAATACTTTTTTAAGGTGATGAATATCACAATTATTTTGATTTGATCGATTTGATCATTAGACATTATTTGCTTGTATCAAAATCACACATGTACAGCATAACAGGTGCAACTCATGTATCAGTTTTAAAAAGCTAAAAAGAGAATAGAATCAATTCCATAAGTTGTAGAAGTTATGGGGTCCCCAAAAAAAGAGAACAAAAGGAAATGATGATCAAGTCCTACTTAATATTTTAGTATTTGCAAATATAAACTACAAATGAGATTGGAGATTTAACTAAACAATATTTAGTTAGAATCTGTAATTTTTATTCTGTAGTTAAAATGTGTTATTCACTTAAATTTGTTGCATAGATGGATTACAAGGATTAAGATTGAAAGAAGTGTATTAGGCAGAAGAAGGAATATTATTAGAAATTTGGAAAGGAAATGTTCGCAATTGCCATTTTGAACTCTTATTCTGAGAATTTAATTTAAAAGTGAACCATGATTTAGAAAATCCAGCAATGTGTTGGGCACCTATCTTGGTAATTTCCTCATTTGAAGTAATGCAGAGATGTTTTTGGTTTAATTGGGTTTAAATAAACTGCAATACGCCGCAAAGGGCATCCACTTTTGTTTAAAGGGGGACTAAAAATAAGTATATTTTTAACTAAAAACAAACTGTTATTTCTAGTAATTTTGGACATATTCAACTTTTTAAAATAGTTCCCTGATAGGAGAGTCAATGCTTTATGTTTTCCCTACAAAATATTGTGTGAGACAGTGATTTTCTCTGATACACAATTTGTTTCTTAGATATATTTATCAATAACTTTTGAAAGTACCCTGAGATTTGTATTCTGTTTACTGCTTTAGAGCACTAACAAAATTGTTTCCTTTGGAGTAATTCTGTTTTATTGATGTATTAAAAATGTGGTGCAGGCTAATGTGGAGAATTTGGTCTGCCACTTTAAATCAATAGTGATCTATAGAACTATATGAGGTCAAGCACTGTTCAGCCTACCCTTGCAACAAATCATAATGTCACATTAAGTACTTACAGAGTGTTATTAACCAAAGAAAACCTCCTGCGGAAAGAAGATGTTTATTGAAGGTAGCATACGGAAAGCTCTATAGGAAGATATTCAAAAATATTGCATCAGAACAGAGATCTAATGCAGCGGGAGACAGAAAACTGGAATAATAAATAATACCAGGTGGTATTGGTTATCATGATAATGTTTGTATTTTTTAGAAAGACATTTATTTTTAGAGAGAAAAAGGAAAAATATCATCTTCTTACTCAGAGAAGTTCACGAATCTGAATAAGTAAATGTGTCTTTTGTTCCCTAGTCGACTATCAGAATCACTTCTCTCATTTAGAATTTTTTAAAATAAAGGGAAAAATAGGTGTGTGTGTGTGTGTGTGTGTGTGTGTGTGTGTGTGTCTGCATGGAGTCAAAATGAGATTGGACTGATAATTTATCAAAATATTTCTTTGTGTAAATGTAATTTACTATGTCTGTTATTTTAATTTCACTCCTTCATTCATTGTCATGTATTTCAGCCAACTATGAGCCAGGTTCTGTGCCAAACTGAATACATGGTGCAGAATAAAACAGATACAGCCTTGGTCTCTGCTCTTATAAAACTTAGTAACAGCTTATACTCTGGTAAGGGGGAACATCGTAAGGCGATATGCTTGAATCTGAGGAAGCAAACACATTCATTTGGGGGGAACACAAAGTTCCAATAAAGTAATGAAACAGTAGATGAATCCTTGGATAAGAAGATACAACAAAAGCAGTTGTGGAAAGTTACAGAAGCTCATGTGATCTGGTTGTCTTGGTTATACCTCAGAAGTCTGTATCCTCTGCTCTTTTCTCTGGTGATCTATCTCATCTTTCTCCACTTCTGTCCACTTCTATTTCCATTCATTATCCAGCTTTGCTTCTGATTCTGTTTTTCTTCTGTCTCCGTGTCGTATTCTCAAGTCTATAAAAGAGAGGCTCAGGATAGTTATGTACCAGCTATATCAATCAGAATTCTTATTTATGAGCAACACTATATACTTCAATTATTTTAATTTTTAAAAACTATTGGGCAACTCACAGAATATACAAAAGAGAGCAGATGATCCGGTGTAGGGCAATGAAGACAGAAACAATGTCCAAATTACCTGCAGAGGTCTCGTTTAGCATAGGATATCAGCACTTCAGGAGTCTGCACGATCTGAACACTGGATGATGCTCTTACACAGCTACCTTAGGAAGTGGATATATCTGCTAATCTCCTTAACAGAATGAATTATCTGCTGTATATTCTTCATGAAATATCCTAAGCATAAGAAGGGGATTCAAATATGGTTTGGTAGCCAAAGATCTGCTATAATTTTCCAAATGGAAGTCTCCTATTGTGCATGATTTTGGTGTCTTACAACTTAAAGTTTCCTGAACTCCATGAAATCTATAGAGTGTTTTGTGGTTATTTAGCTCCCATTCCTTTATCAAATTACTAGAGGTAATGGTAACAGTCTCAAATGACCCAAATGAACTTACATAGACTGTGTGTGTGTATGTGTGTATGTGTGTGTCTGTGTATATACATATATATGTGTGTATATGTATATGTGTGTGTATATATGTATATATATACATATATACACACATATACATATATACATATATATGTATATGTGTGTGTATATATACACACATATATACACACACATATACATATACACAGACATACACATATATATATATATATATTTATCTGTTGGCTATATCTCAGGGGAAAACATGGCTTTAAATGGTTAGGGTTTCATGAATTTATCTTAAATAAAATAGGCTTAGTAATTTCTCATCTTACACTTTGATTGTGAATAATAAGCATAATGCTTTTAAAAATATATATTCTATCATATTCCAAAAAGTTTTTATAGAAAAATATGAAATATATGTAACACAGTGGTAGAAAGTAATATAAAATTGAAATATACTTTTGAAAATAATATTAAGTAATATAAAGGTGGAAAACAATTGTTTTGATATCTTGTCTACATGCTATGTGTGACCTCCAATTCTCAAAATTAGATTCTGAACATTTCAAAAGACAATCCAAACAAGGAAGTCTAAGAAGTTACATTATCAATGATGTTCATGATTCAAAACAAACAATACAGATTACTCAATATAAGTATAACAATTACCTTTTAAAACTCAAAAGAAATAGTTCAGTGATTGTATTCCTCATAAAAAACTACTATGAAATAAACTGTAGTAGCAACAAAGTTATGAAGCTAATAACCGTTTCCTATAAACAATTCTTACAATGTTTCTCACAGTAAGTTGATAGAATGTGCTAAAGCCTAATTTTATTTTTAATAATTCTAAGAGATTTAAAATATTATATATATTAGATTATTATAAAAATAAAATCTATACAAAGTAAATATTGATAGATTTTTTTTTTTTTACTGGTAGATCTGTGCAGATTAGAGCCTGAGGAAACGTTGTAGGGAATTCAAGAAAAACTGATGTAGAGGAAATGTTAGACTGCATATTCTCTAGGTCAAAGTCTATTAATATGAATCTTTTCAACTATTTTGCAAATACTAATCAGATGTGATTTTTGGATTACACTCTGGCAATTATTTGGAGCACACATTTTCTATTTTGCTAAATGCTTTAACAGACAACTAAGCTTGATATAGGTTTGCTAGGCTAAGTAACATAAAAACTCTGAAAATGATTTTTACATTAATGCATCATAATATGTAAAACTATTACTATCCTTTACCTTATCTCAAGATTAAGAGTGAACTCTTCTTATCTCAGTTCTAGCTTATGGAAAAAGATAATAGGCATTATATTTCACAGGTTCATCATGAAGATGTTTCAAAATAGGTTACTGAAAAGAAGCTAGTTGATTCCAAAGTTAACACCCTGGAGGGAATATAAAGTCAAGAGTGTGAATACCTTAGAGAATAAATAGCAAGTAAGTATCAAGAGAGCAGGGAGAGTTACCTTTTTTTAAATCTCAGCCTGGAGTTTGAAACTTAGAACCAATGGAGGTGTTGGGGGTGGGGGGTGCAGAGTGGGGAAGAGTGGATTTGTGTCTTCAAACTAAAAAATTCAAAAATTATAATATAGGTGAGCCAGATGTACACAGATCTACTGAAGACTATTTGGGGGACAAAGCTATATTATGAATATATTCACATATTCACATATATTGTGAATTATATGTGGTCAAGAGTGAGGATAGCTAGCTCACTTGTAATTGCTCTCTTTGGTCCTGTAGTATAGGCCCACCTATAGGAAGGAAACAGGCTCAAAAGAGGGAAGTAATAGTATCTCTGGCCTCCTGCATTAAGCAAAGGAAGTCAGGAAACAGCAGAAGGAGCAATTCACCAATATCATCAAATACATTACCAGTAAAAATTTCTAATAATGGGGGTTAATTCTCAAAAACAAACAAACAAAAAAAGAAACAGAAGAAATTGCAAAATACTTATTAAAAGAATGAGTTAGTTTAGTTGCATGTCAAGCCTAACGATGGTAAAGCCGAGTTCCAATAGTGCTAGCAAAATTAGAATGATTTTGATGAGATTAAATTCTTATCACATTCTGATTCTTAATAGGTGTGGAGAAAGAGATATGGTGTCAAAGAAAAAGTCAATAGCGATCTCTAGCATGCTGTAAGATGTCTTTCTTCCTGACTACAGATCTCTGAAAACAGATGGGAAAAAACTGTATCTTTGAATTTTAAAAAGAAAATGTATATTATATTGGTCTGAACACTTTTAATTTTCTATCTGAGACAGTATTTTAAGACTTAAAATATTATAGGGCTTTTAAACAACCTAACTGTGAACAAAAAAAAAAAAAATCACTGAAACTACAAGAACTTTCATCTAGGGTCAGGGAAAGAAGTCTACTAAATAATTGTTAAAGGGGCAGCAGTTGAAATCCAAACTATAGTTTTATTTGACCGTGTCCTAAAAGTTATGCTTGCTTAGAAATCTGGTGTGTGTGTGTGTGTGTGTGTGTGTGTGTGTGTGTGTGTCTGTGTGTGTGAGAGAGAGAGAGAGGAAGGAAGGAAGGAAGGGCACGAGAGAGATTGAGAGAGAGAGGGGAAGGAAGGAAGGAAGGAAGGAAATAAGGAAATAAGGACATTTTCAAAAGAATCTGTAATCAAAACTTTACAGCATCAAGGTCAATTAGATGTTGATATCATCTCGCCGTGAAATAATTTTAAAAATCAGCTTCATTCATGTTTAAAACACATTAGCAAATCACTAAAGAAAATAAATCCTGATGGAGGATGTATATAATGATCTTATCAACATTTAACACTTGCAATACTTATGAATGAGAAATAAAGGAAGCTATATTAATATCTGTTTACCACATAGAGTGTAATAGCAGTTTACTGTCATGAAATCTTGGATATTTGTACTTGTTTCAGAATATCATACATATAACACACAGATGGGTGTACTTACATATTTTTAAGTGTCTTAAAACAGTTGGTGTCATACCTAAGGTCAGGGCAAGTGTTCAAAAGATTAAATTTAGAATAACTGGAGCATAACTAAAAAGGGAAAACACATTTCTCTTTTAATATATGTTTCTACACTGCTCTGTTCCTAGACATCACACCTAAACCCAATATAGCATTCATAAATATCTACCTCAGCCAAACGGAGCACAATTTACAAGCAAAATAGATTTTGTTTTCTTCATTCTGTTTCCAAATAACGAATTCTCTTTTATTTCTTCCACTGCTTATAGTTCCAATGGAACAAGCTATGGAATGAAGCTTGTTATAAAAGTGGACTTCAGGGTGCATTAAAAATGATTGTGTATAGACAATAGAACATTAAAACATGTTTTCTTAGGAACAGATGCCAGCTGGCAGGGAATAGAGCACTTAATTTAATTTTTTAACCAAGACAGCTTATGTGTACTCCTCAAATACACTATTACATATAGGACAATTTATTGCCACCATTGCAATGGAAACAACTCAAAACTGTTTGGGTAGACATATTATTTTGTATTTCTATTTTGTTTATAGTAAAGATAAACTGTTTCATGCAGTTTATAGTAAAACAGCAATTATTAGTAGAATCTGGAGGTTGAAAGCAGGTGAACTATCCTTCTGGATACTGGAGTAGCCATTTCTGTTCTCCTATTCAATCCGGCCTCCCCTCGTTCCTTAGCATGATCATGAAGGACATCTTAGGAAAGTGTTTTACTCGATATTTTCCCCCTCAGCTGTAAATAGGAAAGCCTCTTGTTTAATTCATGCCTTATTAATCATACATAAAAGTCCAAATCCTCTGCTAGACAGGAATTCTCTAGTTCATATGGGTTCCATGGTTCCTGGACAAACCCTCTGCCTTGCTCTGGTGGAGACTGATGCTGATCTGGAGGTTTAGAACACGAGGCTCGCCTAGCCAACAGCCTGAAATCAGGCCAGGAACTAGCAAACAGCCTTAAATCAGGTCAGGAAATAAGATGGTTAGTTATATCTTTCCAGGGTCAAGCCTGTAATACCTGAGGCCCGAGACCTGCAACCTGAGGCTCCCATCAGCTACTACAATAGCAAACCTGTGGAAGACCTAAAATACCTGTTTTTTAAACAGCCAAGAGATAAGTAATTACTTACAGGCTTCCTTTGGTAACTTTATTACATAGTTACTGTAGACTATAGTAACCATTTTATATTGTACAGTTTCATTGCTTCCTTCCAAGCAACTGAACTCACTTCTTTTGTAATAATTAAGTAAATGTTTTAATTTGTTTCTATAACAAACAGTTTTAATAGCATAGGTATCCACCCCCTGAGTTTCCCATTCTATAAAACAAAATAACAGATATTTTTGGGTCCCATGTGGTTAACCATGGTCTGTGTATACTGGGGCTATGCATACTGGGAATCAGTTTAATTTTACAGCAGAGTTTATCTTGTGGAGAGCTTGGATGACTTTTCCCATAGTATCATTACCATACAAAATTAAATAGACTCCTTGGCAGTGGTCACTTTACAAAAGAGAAGAAATCTAGATCTTCTAACAGCTGAAAAGGGCAGCGTATGTCTTTTTCTAGAGGAAAAATGCAGTTTTATGTCAATCAGTCAGGAATATTGAGGGATATTGCCCAAAAACTAGCCGATTGAGCCTCTAGGAGATGACTACAGCTTTCTGAGTCATGGAACTTTTGGTAAAAAAAAAAAATGTGGAGTTGGGGTTCATGGCTCCTTCCCCTAGCCAGCCCCCTATTAATAATTACACTTTACCTGGTTTTTGGACCATGTGTGTTACATCTTTTAGCCAAATTTGTTTCTTCTTGCATAGAGGCCATCAAACTCCAGATCATGATGCAGATGGAACCCTGTGTGAAAGAACCCTTCCTCTCAGGCCCATTAGACCATCCTCTGGAGGATCCCTTACTGCCACAGTAACAATGCCCTCTCACAGCTTGAAGAAGCCTGAGCGGTCATCTACCCTCTCCCTCTAATGGCAATTAGGGTCACCACTGGAATGAGAGAGGAGGCAGGTAGAGGCTGGTTAGGCAGATAGATAGGAGGGGTCTCAGAAGAGGAACATTGCCTGTGGGACCACACCACCACTGCCTTTGTTATGTAGCTAGCAGGAGGAAATGTGCTTTATGAGCAAGATTCTTGCTCATAAAGGGACTTTCCAGCTGCAAGTGCAGGTGCAGACAAAGACTGAGGACATTCTAAAATGACCTTGAACTCATTATGATGCCATTAGTATTATTGTGGTTTTAGACTCACCCCCCACCCCATGGATTTCGCTTAGGCACTAATGGGTAACAACCAAGATGGAGTCACTATGGCCAACACCAGGCATGTGCAGATGCGACGACCCCAGGGGGAAGCTTTACCCTTCCCAATAAGGTAAAACCCACAGAAGACGTTCTTGTTTCTGCCACATGAAAGACCCAGAACTCAACCCCATTTTTGGCAACCCTCTCTGGTTCCTCTCTCACTGCTGAGAGCTTTCTTTCACTTAATAAATCCTACTCTGCCTTACTCATTCCCCAGTTTTCTCATGCCTTATTCATCTTGGTTGTGGGACAAAACTTGGACCTTACTAAACTAAGGAGACTGCACACACAAGAATTGAGTTATACTAGATTTATGAATTAATGACCACGGGTAGGTGCTCAATTATAAATTATTTCCAGAAACACACATTATGTACCTATTTTGTAAGATTTAAAAATTCTTTTGATGGTGGGATACAATAGTGACACTTGAATTGATAAAAGGCAGACTTTTTGTTACTGACAGCTCCAAGACAGAGGGCTGCTAAGCAGGATCACATGGAAAGTTGGATTTGCGGACAGGGTGTCAGAAAGTTACAGTAGTAGGGGGCAGTCTATGTATGACAAGTGGGGTGAAGTTAAATTTTTCAGGCTTCTTGTGAATTGGCTAGTTTGAATGAATTCTGGGGGATGTAAGGGCTGTATTTAGTTATCTGGTGACTGGCCCTGGGGCAATTAAGGCTTGTACACACTGACCTGAAGTGTTACAGACCTGACTGAATGTAATGTTAGAGAGTTGATTTAATCAACAGATCAAGAAAGAAAATTAACCAGCCTTTAATCGTGCCTCAGTACTAGGTTAAAATAGCATTAAAAAGAAAAACACCTCTATTTTGGTACCTACAATGTACTAAACACTTGGAGAAGCAAAGAAAATTGGAGAAGAATTTATACAGTATTATAATAAAGTATGAAATAAAAATTATAATTATTTGTAATCTTTTGAATGACTTTGTCAGAGTACACTGATAGATTAAAAACTATGTCAGGAACTCCATAATATGACGACACAGGGTCCTTACTTTTACTCATTTAAGAGCAGTGGAAGCCACAGGGGCCAGTCATAGAACATTTTGCAATCACGTAACTGAACTGACAATTTTGTGTGTATGTCACCCTTCCAGCACCTGATCTTTGATCGCCTTTGATTTCACTTCTATTTCTCATAATCAGTTTCAGCAACTTCTCCTCTAAGTCTATATGTATCAGCTTTGTGCTTTGTAAATCATCCCATATAAAATCTTTGGCTTCTATAATCCCAGGTCTATATAGAAAGTTTGAGGAGATCCTACTCTGCAGCCAGTAAAACATTTAGCTCACGGTGCTAAATAATGACAGTGATCATGATGTAAAATATTTTGTGTTATTTTATTGATACCAAAATTTTGTGTTCATAACTTAATTATTGGCATGCAAAAGAAATAATCTTGATTTTTTAAAATATTGATATAATGTCTTTATTTAATATATATTACATGGAAGTAAGATTTTAAAATAAAATGCTGTTTTATCTTTAGGATATAATAATAGTAAATATATCAATATGTAGGGAAGTTCATAGATACTACCTTTTCCATTTTTCTTTGTTGATTCTTTTTATTTATTCTATAAATCTGCTTTGATTGATATAATCTGTTTGGTAATGAAATAAAATATATTTTCTAGGAAGGTTGAATTTGCTAGTCTAAAAATACTATAGTTCTGAACAAAAAGATAAATAAACAAGAAAAACAAATATGCTGCAAAGTTTTAAAAAGAGCAGATAATTCTAAGGTACAATGGAATTTAAAGCTGTGATGAACAGCATGATAATCTGTTTCTGCTTGGCCGCTGTATTAGTGTTTTCACACTGCTATCAAAAACTACCTGAGACTGGGTAATTTATAAAGAAAAGAGGTTTAATTGACTCACAGTTCCATGTGGCTGGGGAGGCCTCAAGAAATTTACATTCATGGCCAAAGGTGAAGGGAAAGCAAGGCACATCTTACATGGTGGCAGGAGAGAAAGAGAGAGAGAGAGAGAAAGTGCCACACATTTTCAAACCATCAGATCCTCGTGAGAATGCTATCATGAGAACAGCAAGGGAGAAGTCTTGCCCCCATGACTGAATCATCTCCCACCAGGCCCCTTCCCCAACACATGGGGGTTAAAATTCAAGATGAGATTTGGGTGGGGACACAGAGCCAAACCATATCAGTGACAAACATGTAATCTGAGGGACAAATTAAACATTGATTCAGTGTTATGTTACCAAATGTAATATTTGGGCTTTGGAAATATGCTTGATTTGTCTAAGGGACCAACGGATATCTCAAACCACTAGACTTGTGGGGGTATTTAACAAACCTATTACCAAACTCACAGCTTCAAGGAAAGATTGCATTATCTGGCAAGGTAGATTCTTTGACTACAGTGTCATTTTGCCTTTTTCTGCATTGCTCCTTATTTCCACATATCTCTTTCCATTCTCTTTAGCTTATACAAACTTCTCTCTCCTGGGAGTTTAAAGGCACCTCATTCATCACCACACTCTCATTAATATCCTTTGAACTTAAAGAATACTTTTCAAGAATGATTGACTTCATCATAAAATTTGACCTTAATTTTTCACTAAACCTCTACTCTGATCAGCTTTCCCAGTGCCTTCTTTTGTCCTGGAATATATATATATATATATATATATATATATATATATATATATATATATATATATATATTTACTTTCATATACAAGCATGTTACTTGAAATATATCACACATTTAACACTGGGTAGTCACAGAAGTCATAGTCAGGAATGATGCATGACATAATAGGAAATAGGTTAAACAGGCAGGCTGGGAATAGGCCACTTGTTCTTGCCTTTGAAGGCATTAAATTATACTATTAAGAAACATAATAGAAATAATTTTTCTACCTATGGTTCAGAGTGCCCAGTAAAACCTAGATCCTTAATTTTGATCCAGTTTCAAGGGCCAAGCTGTAATCCCTTCCTAAAAATGGAATTGATGCTGTGCATTTGTTCCTCAGAGAAACTTACTTTTTCACTTTATTTTCACTCTTCTCAAATGCTTCAAATCTTTCTTGTGTGGATTGGTTTGCCTCTTTGCCTCGGACCCATTTTTCCCCCTTTTCTTGGCCCCGTTGGATAGATAGGTTCTCTGAACTATGTCATGGATCCCTGTGTTTACCTATTCCCAGGAGGCTTTTTACAATTTCTACTTTTCTACACTACCTACTGAAAACAAGAACCAACTTAAACAAGTCTCATGACCAATTCTACCTCCTGAAATTACAACCAGATTTAGATTCTTGTTCTGTTTCCCGCCCCCTGCCTCCAGTGACATAAAAGAGTAGTTTATGTACTATTAAGGTTTATCTGAATTTTAGTTAGAAATCTTCCTGTGAAGGAAATTGAGCATAATTTAATCGTTTTCTACAATCATATACACATATAGTCCACCCATTATGTTAGGCAGTGGAGATGCTGCAGTAAAAAAGATAAACGAAGTCCTTGAATTCACATTTTAGAGAGAAATGCAAGAAAACACAGAAAAATACATGCATAGCACCCAACTAATTAAAATTTTTAATAAATGAAGTAAAAAAATACATACGGTAGTCTAATAAAGATGAACTGACATGGAAAGTACTTCTTGAGAAGAAAGGTTGTAAACTGGTATCTAAATAATTTTAAAAATGGCCTAGGGATGAGCATAAAAGAAAGGGCCATTTTACAAAAGATAATGGCCTTTTTGAGCAAAGAAAATGATGCCCAAGTGATCTGGTATGTTGTGTAAGAGGAAGGCTATGTAAGATGATGGTAGATATGTGAATTTATGGTTATAGTAAGTGACACATTTGTAAGTTAGGGACTGGCATAATCTCATTTATGATTTTGATCTACTACTCTTCTTAGAGAATGAAGAATGGGTTATTGTAAGCTACGGACTGGCATACTCTCATTTGTGATTTTGATCTACTATTCTTGGTAAATGAAGAATGGGTTATAGAGATGAAAAAATGGGAGGGAAGCCATTACAAGTTATTGCAGAAATTGATGTATGAAGTGAAGTGATATAAATGTAGTATTGGGTAGTGGTAGGTGAGGTTTAGATAAGAAAAAAAAATTCTAAATATTTTGTAGAATTTGTTGATGAAACCAGCTGCAGTTTATGAGAAAAGCAATTATTTTTACAACTTGTTAAAACAGAGGCTACCTACTGAATTAAAATGGCTTAGGAAGAACAGGTTTGTGGAGTGTGATAGGATGGGACTCAAAGTCCCATTTTGTATACATTCAAATCTTATGAATAATTTTTGAAACAGTGTAATATAGGCAGTTTAATATACATGTTTGAAATTCAGTTGTAGGGTTTTTAATGATGATATAAAGTTAAAGGTATAATATAAGAGATATTTAAAATCACAAAATGATATTATCATATACTGTAATAGTATAAATAAAGCAAAGAAAGCAGACTGGCAAGACTGGAATACTCTAATTTTAAATAAAAGGGGGTGGCATTTAGCAATAGAGACTAAGAATATGCAGCTAAAGAGGTAGAAGAAAACTGCACAGAATGTTCCAGAAGGACGCAGTTCACAACTATCGACTACCCTTTAAGGTTTAGAAAGATGCCAGGAAGAAGAAATGACAGGATATGGCAAGAAAAAAAGTTGTTAGTGACCATAAAAGTGGTGTCAGAGCAATGAGGGCATAAGAGTCGATCATTGATTCTGCATCAATAGCTGCAGGAAAGGCCTTAGATAAAATTCAGCATCCTTCATGTTAAAAACATCTCAGAGGCTGAGTGCGGTGGCTCATGCCTGTAATCCCAGCACTTTGGGAGGCTGAGTTGGGTGGATCACAAGGTCAGGAGTTTGAGACCAGCCTGACCAACATGGTGAAACCCAGTCTCAACTAAAAATACAAAAATTAGCTGGGCATGGTGGCACATGCCTGTAATCCTAGCTACTCAGGAGGCTGAGGCAAGAGAATCGCTTGAACCCGGGAGGCAGAGGTTGCAGTGAGCTAAGATCACACCACTGCACTCCAGCCTGGGCGAGAGAGTGAGACTGCATCTCAAAAAATAAAATTAAAAAAAAATCTCAGAAAATTATGTTTTGTTGAAACATACCTCAAAATAATGAAAGCCATTTATGACAATCCTGCAGCCAATATCATACTGAATAGGCAAAAGCTGGAAGCATTCCCCTTGAAAACTGGCACTAGACAAGGATGCCCTCTCTCACCACCCCTATTCAAATTAGTATTGGAAATTCTGGCCAGGGCAATCAGTCAAGAGAAATAAATACAGCGTATTGAAATAGGAAGAGAGGAAGTCAAATTGTCTTTGCAGATGACATGATCCAATATCTAGAAAACCCCATTGACTCAGCCCAAAAACTTCTTAAGCAATGTCAGCAATGTCTCTACAAAATCAATATGCAGAAATCACAAGTGTTCCTATACACCTTGTCTAAGCAGGGAGCCAAATCATGAATGAACTCCCATTCACAATTGCTACAAAGACAATAAAATACCTAAAAATACAGCTAACGAGGGAAGTGAAGGACCTCTTCAAGGAGAACTACAAACCACTGCTGAAGGAAATGAGAGGACACAAGCAGACAGAAAAACATTCCATGCACATGGATAGGAATAATTAATATTGTGAAAATGGCCATACTGTCCAAAGAAATTTATATTTTCAATGCTATTCCCATTAAACTACCATTGACATTCTTCACAGAGTTAGAAAAAAACTATTATAAAATTCATGTGAAACCAAGAAAGAGCTTGTATAGTCAGGACAATTCCAAGCAAAAAGAACAAAGCTGGAGGCATCATGCTACTCAATTTCAAACTATACTGCAAGGCTACAGTAACCAGAACAGCATGATGCCATATGAAAAGAGACACATAGACCAATGGAACAAAAGAGAGAACCCAGAAATAAGGCCACGCATCTACAACTATCTGATCTTTGACAAATGTCAAAAACAAGCAATGGGGAAAGGATTCCCTATTTAATAAACGGTGCTGGGACAACTGGCTAGACATATATGCAGAAAATTGAAACTGAACCCCTTCCTTACACATTATACAAAAATTAACTCAAATGGATTAAAGGCTTAAATGTAAAACCCAAAACTATATAAACCCTAGAAGAAAATCTAGGCAATACCATTCAGGAAATAGGCATAGACAAAGATTTTATGATGAAATCACCAAAAGCAATTGCAACAAAAGCTAAAATTGACAAATGAGATCTAATTAAACTAAAGAGCTTCTGCACAGGAAAAGAAACTATCATCAGAGCGAATAGACAGCCTACAGAATGGGAGAAAATTTTTACAATCTATCCATCTGACAAAAGTCTAATATCCAGAATCTACAAGGAACTTAGTCAAATTAACAAGAAAACCACAAACAGCCCCATTAAAAAGTGTGCAAAGGATATGAACAGACACTTCTCAAAAAAAAAGCATACATGCAGCCAAAAAATGTATGAAAAAAAGCTCAACATCACTGATCATTAGAGAAATGCAAATTAACACCACAATAAAATACCATCTCATGCCAGTAAGAATGACAATTATTAAAAAGTCAAAAAACAACAGATGCTGGTGAGGTTGCAGAGAAATAGGAATGCTTTCTACACTATTGGTAGGAATGTAAATTAGTTCAACCATTGTAGAAGACAATGTGGCTATTTCTCAAAGATTTAGAACCGGAAATACCATTTGACCCAGCAATCCCATTGCTGAGTGTATACCCAAAGGAATATAAAACATTCTACTATAAAGATACATTCACATATATGTTTATTGAAGCACTATTTACAATAGCAAAGACGAGGAATCAACCAAAATGCCCATCAATGATAGACTGGATAAAGAAAATGTGGTACATATATCACATATATGGTACATACATATGTGGTACATATACCACTTATACCATGGAATACTATGCAACCATAAAAAGGAAAAAGATCATGTCCTTTGCAGGAACATGGATGAAGCTGGGAGCCATTATCCTCAGCAAATTAATGCAGAAACAGAAAACCAAACATTGCATGTTCTCACTTGTAAGTGCGAGCTGAACATTGAGGACAGATAGACACAGGGAGGGGAGTAGCACACACTGGGGCCTATTGGGGGAAGATCGGGTCAGGGAGAGCGGTAGGGAAAAGAGCTAACGAATGCTGGGCTTAATACGTAGGTGTGGGGTTAATAGGTGCAGCAAACCAGCATGGCACATGTTTACCTATGTAACAAACTTGCACATCTTGCACATGTACCCAGAACTTTAAAAAATAAAATAATTTTTAAAATTCTGTTTCTTTCAGCCAGCTCAGCCTGGTTAAGACCTCTTGTTGAATAACTGACCAAATAAACTAGATGGCTATCCCTTTATGAAGATCTGATAAAGGCTGTATGAAAATAGACAAGCTATTTAAACATATAAACATTTTTCAGTATAGATGAGGTATTCTAAGTAAAATATTTTCAAGTAGAAAATAGCAAAATATGAAAGTAATAATATAATCTCATCAATTAGTTCTTTCTCTAGAAATGCATGGATGATTCAATATTAGGAACTTTTCATAAAATTAACTAAAGTAATAAATGGGAAGAAATGCACTTGAAGTTTTCACTAGTAGGAGTCAGAAGGTGGTCTCTGCTTTTTAGTTGGGCCACCCATCTTTTAGCCTAGAGACTTCCATCAGCAGGAGTCGAGAGGGAGACCTAAATACTGCATGATCTGTCAAGATATCGACCCCTCCATTGCCTCATAAACATGACCTGCCTTAGGGGCATTAAGGATTCCCACTTAAAATATTCCACACAGAAGCCCAGTTGTCTCAGGTTATACCTCATTAGACTACCACTCCCATAACCCCTACCATATGCCCATGAAATCTAATCCCATTTGCCTCTATACATACTGTATTCTAATACTTTTAACTTAACATTTTTCAAATCCTGGCATCCTGTCAATCTCTTTTCTAGGATTTACAATCAATCATCAGGAAATTCCCCATACTCTCAACCTTTTTCTGATATTTTGTTCCCATTCATGTTCTAGCAATAACCACTTCTTGGAAAACACTGTGTCCTCTCTAGCACACACCCTTCCAGTACTAAATTTTTCATTTTAAATCCCGTAGTTTCATAGGCTTGATGTTGAACTTGGTACCCTTTTATTTATTGGTTCTCCTCCCAGACTATATATCATCCGACCTCCACTTAAAAACACATCTTGAATATCATACTGAACGATGAACCACATATTATTGTTTCTTATTGTACTAATATATGGAAACACAGGTCTCTTAATCTTGAATATTTTAGCTCATGGCTCAGTTTAATTCTGCAACATTGCTCTTTCATAGTTTGAATGATTTCATTTTTCTCATATATGAACATTTAATAGGCTAGTGTGGCAAAGAGTGGGTATTTTGTTATGAAAACAATTTCTCTTTCTTTTTGACAAAGAGCTAGACAATATTTACAAGTCACCTTTATGTGGACATGTGGATGAATTATGGCTAACAGAATATTAGCCGTAATGTGAAAGACATTTGGTGTCACATTGTATTTCAAAAAATAAGTATACTTTCACATTATATTTCAAAAAGTAAGTGTACTTTTGTAACTTGACTACGCCTAATAATTTATTTCAAGGGATGAATGAAAGGTGAGAATTTCGAGACAAGGCTGATAATTTCCTTTAGGACACACAAAGGAATAGGGTAAATGGAAGCAAATACGAAGTCAAGTAGAGTTGCTTTGTTGATGTGTCTTTGATTTCTTTTATGATTTTATTTATTTTTCTATATAAAAGTAGATTTTAGAATAGGTTTTTCTGTGAGTAAAAATGACCCTTTAGAGACAGAGAGATTGAAGATACAGATGTGAAGAAATAAATAAATGTCAGAGATAGGAGTAAAGTTAAAAGGCCACTGATGCAGGCTGTTTTGATTTGGTAAGGGGAAAAAGAGTAAATTCCCTCAGATAGGTTTCCTACTCCCACTGAATTATGAGGCTAAGCCACTAGTTGAGATTGTGATTAGGAAATGAGGTGAAGACAGGTTGAAGAGAAAAGAGAAAGGAAAAGCAGCAAGTTCTAGAGGCCAAAGCCTAGGGCCTCCATTTCATGTAACTTTTTAATTTGCATTTCTCTGATGGCCAGTGATGGTGAGCATTTTTTCATGTGTTTTTTGGCTGCATCAATGTCTTCTTTTGAGAAGTGTCTGTTCATGTCCTTCGCCTACTTTTTGATGGGGTTGTTTGTTTTTTTCTTGTAAATTTGTTTGAGTTCATTGTAGATTCTGGATATTAGCCCTTTGTCGGATGAGTAGGTTGTGAAAATTTTCTCCCATTTTGTAGGTCGCCTGTTCACTCTGATGGTAGTTTCTTTTGCTGTGCAGAAGTTCTTTAGTTTACTTAGATCCCATTTGTCAATTTTGGCTTTTGTTGTCGTTGCTTTTGGTGTTTTAGACATGAAGTCCTTGCCCATGCCTATGTCCTGAATGGTATTGCCTAGGTTTTCTTCTAGGGTTTTATGGTTTTAGGTCTAACGTTTAAGTCTTCAATCCATCTTGAATTAATTTTTGTATAAGGTGTAAGGAAGGGATCCAGTTTCAGCTTTCTACATATGGCTAGCCAGTTTTCCCAGCACCATTTATTAAATAGGGAATCCTTTCCCCATTGCTTGTTTTTCTCAGGTTTGTCAATGAGTTCATGTTCTTTTTTAGGGACATGGATGAAATTGGAAATCATCATTCTCAGTAAACTATCGCAAGAACAAAAAAACAAACACCACATATTCTCACTCATAGGTGGGAATTGAACAATGAGAACACATGGACACAGGAAGGGGAACATCACACTCTGGGGACTGTTGTGGGGTGGGGGGAGAGGGGAGGGATAGCATTAGGAGATATACCTAATGCTAAATGACGAGTTCATGGGTGCAGCACACCAGCATGGCACATGTATACATATGTAACCAACCTGCACATTGTGCACATGTACCCTAACACTTAAAGTATAATAATAATAATAATAATAATAACTTTTTAAAAAGACAACTTATTTAGAAAAGGGATTTTCTGAAACACATTCTACCAGACGGATAAAAATCTGTTTAGAAATTATTTTTTTCAAAATCCATTCTACCGCGGTCTACTGTTCTACCATTTCTAATAGAAATCTGTTCTGTCACATATATTAGGAACATGTATTTCTTAAATACATTTCACCATTCAGAACACAATAAAAATTCTGAAATCTGTTCATTGAGAGTGACTGAAAGAACAGTACTATAAAACTCATGCTTTGTTTTGATCACTTCACTGGCCTGTGTGTCAAGAAGGAAAAACTTCTTGAAGAAAGTTTTATACTTTCAAGGGCTGTGAAGTACTAGATAATTTTAGTTACAGGAAAAAAATCAGATGCTTGAAATTTAAAAGAGTTTTAAATCATTTCACTAAAGCTAGCTAAATTTTCTTGAGCACTGGCTACATGTCAGAAAGTTTGAAACATCACACCATTTTCACTAACAATAAGGGAATGAGATATTCAGTGAAGAGGGACCATGATTGTTAATATCACAGTCATTTTGAAGGTTAAAAATAGGCCAAAAATGGTTACATTTTTTCAAGGTCGTGTGTACAGTTAGAGAAGAGGTGGAATTTGTTCTAGAAAGTCTTATTTCAAAGCACAGCCTTAATTTCTATGCATAAAGCCTTCTACTTTATACATTATTTCATTTATCAAATTTTATCAATTTAACAAGATGTTTGTTTTTTTTGCCAAATAAATTATTACACAAGGCCTTTCTTATGCATTGATTATAAAAGGCATCTTGATTTCATAGATGTTAAACTATGAAGAAATTAAACTATGTGCCTTAGAATTAATAAAATATAGTAATTGATACCAAATATTTTGAGTTAAGTAATGTCAATTTTATGGATTAGGGAGGAGAGTACAGAAGATATTTAATCAACTTGCTTTGGTGACAAAGTTTCCTTCCTTCCTTCCTTCCTTCCTTCCTTCCTTCCTTCCTTCATTCCCTCCCTCCCTCCTTCCCCATCTTTCTTTCCCTCTTTTTCTTTCCTTCCTTCCTTCCCTCCCTCCCCCCTTCTCTCTTTCTCTCTCTCTTTTCTTTTCTTTCCTTCCTTCCTTCTCTCCTTCCCCCTCCCTCCCCCCTCTCTCTTTCTCTCTCTTTTCTTTCCCTTCCTTCCTTCCTTGCTTCCTTCCATCCCCCTCCCTCCCCCCCTCTCTTTCTCTCTTTTCCCTTCCTTCCTTCCTTCCTTCCTTCCTTCCTTCCTTCCTTCCTTCCTTCCTTCCTTCCTTCCTTCCTTTCTTCTTGACAGAGCCTCATTCTGTTGCCCAGGTAGTAGTGCAGTGGCGGTATCTCGGCTCACTGCAACTCCAACCTCCTGGACTCAAGCAATCCTCTCAACTTAGCCTACGGAGTAGCTGGGACAACAGGTGTGCACCAATATGCCCAACTAATTTTTGTATTTTTTCTGGAGATGGGGCTTGATTACGTTGCCTAGGCTGGTCTCAAATCCCTGAGCTCAAGCCATCTGCCTGCCTCGGCTTCCCAAAGTGCTGGAGTTAAAGGCCTAAGCCACTGTGCCAGGCGTAAGCTATTTCTTAATAACGATATACCTGAAGCTATGATTTGTAGATATTTGCAAAATTACTTCTATTTTGAAATAGTTTTATTAAAACTAATTTTGTATCTATTCTCATTGTGTTAAAAATTAAAATCCTTAAAATGAAAAGTCCCTGCATTATACATAAATAGAATGGTTTACTGAAAAATAAACAAGAACTTGTGTCCCCTGCCTCCTTCACCTTAGGGACACTAAAAAAAAACTTCATTTGGGAGCCATTATAGAAATTAAAGATGCCTATCTTCAGAAAGGGCATTTCAGATTTTAAGACAGCCACCTTTAGAAGTGAAGTACTATACCTATGATTTAGGGAAACTAGTGGTTCAATTATTTGTGTTTTAAGGTTTAAAAATATGGCTTCTTGTTCAAGCTACTCGGGAGGGTGAGGCAGGATTTCTGGAGCCCAGGAGTCAGAGGCCAGCCAGCGGGGGCAATACAGTGAGACGACACCTCTTACAAAAAATGGTCTTGATTTCTAGTTTAATACCCAAGATAAAGATTCTAACTCCCGTAAGGTGGGATGCTGTAGTGAAGTATCAGGGTAAGAAATACCTGAGGTGCTTTCTATAACAGCATGTGGCAGAGTAGAGCTATCTGGACACAGGCCCAGTAGAATAACATGCACCAGGGCTGTTGCAATTTGATGCTAGAGTTCACAAACCTTTGTGAACTGTATAAACCTGTATATTTTGATGAACTTTTTAATGTTATTGCTATTTTTGTTTGTTTGTTTAAAATATATAGGATAAGATCTGACCTACCAGGATGTGATACCGAACCCTGTCTCTGGGATTTAGATATTTCATGTGATTGTAATTTGGAAAAGGAAGAGAGATAATGTGATCATGATAGCACTGGGGGTAGTGTAAAAGCGTGACATTCTAGTTAACCTTGCCTCATTGGCAGAAAGTAGCAGCTGAGGAGGGTAGTAGAGAGAAAGCTTCCTGCATCACAGTGGGTCCTGGTGGGGAGGCACTCCAATGTATAAAATTGAAGGTGACAGTAATAAAGAGGAAAGAACAGTAATAGAGAAAAAAGGAAGCACAGCAAATCCCATGGGCATGGAATAAGATAGAAAGAGGAACACAAATGTCAACCAGGGGCAAAGAAGCTGATCCAGGTATTTAATAATAGAAGGTCCCTTTGAGGTCCTTAGAGCAGGGAGCTCAAGAAACTCTATTTGGTTACGTTTTACAGTAAATATATAAAGCTCAAAATAGACACAGAGAAATCATACTGTCCAGGCATTTGATTTTTATTTCCCTAGATTTAAAATTGATTTAATAAAAAAGAGCATACTTGCTAGATATCACTCATTTACTGTTGAAAGGATTTGTTTCTCCTTTTCTTACAGACTGTATATTATGCTTTGAATTTTCAGAGCAACTCTGATACATTTTATTTATAAATATGAATATATGTGAACTAACTAGCAGTCAAAAACTAACGATGCAATGCATTGTCAAAATGTTAAACTAGACAATATAAAAAAGTTGCCAGCTACATTAAAATATTCATTTACTTCTATATTGAGGAATTAAACCCTGAGTTCAAAAATGACTGAAAATGCTAAGGTCAAATTTAAAGCACAAAAAATATAGTGTTCCACTTTTTACACATTGCTACTACATATAGTAGTCAATTAAAGCTAGCTGAATTTCTGGTTGCATGCAAGGAGATAATATGGGCTCTTAAATCATAGTTGTCATTGTTTATTTCCTCATTTTATGATGATAATATGAAAACCCCTGGATATATTCACAGTCAGCAAGTTCTGAAATCAGAATACAGTCAATGCTAGCACATTGATGAGGAAATAATCTACGTGGGTTTTTAGAAACTTCATGATCCTAAACAATCCACTCAATTCAATTCACAGTCTTTTAACTGGCTGGGAATAATGTAAAAAAAAAAAAAATTTAAATCATGACCTGTATGTAATATTAGTTTGGGGACTTGGGAGACAAAATCTATTGTACAGCTTCGGTAAACTATTACAGAAAGTTAATTAAGCCAATAGAAACCTTACATAATTCAATGTCTACTTGTAAGAAAAGGAATACGTGAATGTGCCCATTGTTGCATGAATTCTGCTGGGGATGGCAACATTGCAGTTTTGAAGGTTTAGGATTTAACTGAGCTACTTGTTTTTTCAGTGGAAACTGCTAAATAAATGATAAAAATAAGTACACTTTTTAAAAAGCGATTGCATTGTTCTAAAACTTCCATATATTATTCAATAAGGCATCATTTAACAATATTATCTGGTCAATTATTATTCATTCATATATTATTATGAAACGGTAAAAAATCCATGTTCGCAGTATTGATAATGATGTTACTTATGATGATGAGGATGGAGATGCTGAAATGACATTGATGATGATAGCTAACATTTATGGAGTATCTACTCTGTTTCAAAGAAGGCCTATGCAATGGAGGCTAGAATTTCCACATTTTTCTCAAGAAGAAAAAAGGTTGAGATAAAGTAAATAAATTGCTCAGTTACACATGAATTTGTTGACCAGAGCTGGAATTTGCACATCTAATGTAACTCTAAAGCCTTTGTGCTTCGTAAAACCAATGAAAATTTCTGCAAGAGAAATTACATCTTTTTTTCTCTAGGGATACATAAAGAAAATTGAGTCTAATAATTCTAGCATCCAGTTTTTAACATTAATTCAATAGCATAGGATTGATATGAAGTCAAAATTTACAGTTAGGTGTATATCAAATGAAAAACATAAACCTTTGTTTTCACATTAATTAATTATGACCCATGGCACTAAATTTGTATGTATGTGAGTATTAAAATCTTGTTTGCTTTCTAATAACACAACAAAATTTTAATTCATTACACATTTGATGTAGGAATCTAGTTCTTACTATTAACTGCTACTCTTTCTGTGTACCCATATGACCTGGCATTGCCTTGGAGGCTTTAAAAATATTATCACTAAAACTCAACAGTCTCCATCATAGAGAAGAAGAAATTAAAGGCCTGCTAGCTTTTTTTAAAACAACTACTCAAGATCCCAGCACTGGAAAATGGCAGCAGTAGGATTAAAGACACTTAACTACAAAATGTCTGATCTTTAACATATGCTCCAATGTTTTCCTTTAACTATATAACATGGATCTTGAAACCCAGAATAAGTTTTGATAGAACAGACAGCATTAATTCATATCATTCAAATTTCAGTACCACCATGAGGAGTTAAAAACAAATAAGCAAAAAATCTTAGAGAGGACACCAAATCTTGGAATGAGTATTGAGTTTAGCAAAAAGTATAAGTTAACACATTCTAACTGGTTGAAATCAATATTAGGATAACCATGAAATCAAAGAAATATGAGAGAACCCAGTAAGTACATTTCTGTGGAGCTACAAAAAGGCTTCTTACAGAAAAAAATGACATTACTGAGTTGTATGATCTTAGATTTAGTGATATGACCTCAGAGTTGACCTTGAAAGAACTGAGTTTCCTCATCTCAGAAAGGAGGTGGATTATGTCTTCTGATGCTTTCCCAAAATGATGTAGGATAATGATATAGTGTCTAAGATCAGTTCATACAGGTGGTAAGGGTCACAAAATGTATTTTTGTTCAGTCCCATATCCAGCGGTGGATTGCTTATGACACCTCCCTGTCATGTGCTAGAGAGCATTAACTGTTGTAAATAAAAGCCTTAGATTCCAACCTCAGTGTGTCCTAGTTATATGACTTTTGGGAAAACATTTAATATTTATGAATTTCAATTTTCTTAATTGTAAAAATGGAAAGGGTAATAACACTGACTACATAGGATACACTTCAAGGCTTAGCACTTTCCCTGAACCACAGTAAGCTCTGAAAAATTGTACCAATAATAATGATAACGATGACCATGAATGTGAGTTATTTGTGAACTTTTTACTTACCTGACTTTTCAGTATATTTCTTGCTGATTCTTTTGCTGTAAATTTCTTTTTTCAGATAAACTTAAACTACGTAGTATTCTTTATATTTTAATCTCTCCTGGCTAGCTCTTTCCCTTCTAAAGAATATATAATTATATTATTTACCCCATCATTCTATTCATGAGTTACTATCCACCAGTCATTGCTAGCCTTCACAGATTTCAGCATTTACAGAAGGCCTTCCACAATTACTTTAAATAAAATGACTAATTTTTCCAACATTTAATTCCAGGGAAGCCTTTTTTCTCGATTACTGTGCTCATAATTTGTACATAATTTCATCCTTTACTAAATGCATACTTTATTTTATATCTCTCGTAGTATCACATATCATATTCTAATAATGCTGTTCTTAACTAACATTCACTGAATATTGCCTCATTTATGTTATTTTGTATGTGATGATATAATGGACTAAACATAGAAAGGAGTAGTTAGCTTTTTTGAGTGAATTTGAGTTAAGAAAGCAAGGCAAAAGTTCTAGACGTTCAAGCAGTAGTGCTGGAAAGGGTACATTGAAAAGCAAAATCTCACCCGTCTTACTCCACTGAAGATATAAATGATTATTTTTTTCCTAAGAAGATTTATGAGAAAATCAAATTGACCTGAATTTTATTTACATCTGAACAAGCCATACTAACAGCACCTTTAATTACATGAAAATAATTGAAAGGTATTTATATAATATCTGACAAATATCCAGTGTGCAGATAGTTTGTCTAACCACCTAACATATTTTTGTCTTCACAGTTGCCTCTCCTAGCACAGTTATTAAAGAACTGTAAATGATAAATGATCATATCAGAATGACTGATTGAAATAAATTGTTATGTTGAAAATAGTACCAATTCCAGAAAACTTGAAGTAGTTTGGGACTGATGACATTTGTATTTACTAGTTAAATTACTATAGAAACGAAGAAGAAATGATACAATTAATAGATATAAACATTTATTTTACTGTACTTATTCTCCCGTTTAAATGGTTAAAAAATAATAAGACATAATAAAAATAATAAGACATAAAATAAATGACCTCTCAAAAATATCTTGTAATTAGTCTGTTAGTTGGTCCTAGTTACTCTTTTCTCATGAATAGCTCAAATGATGTCATATAAACTTAGAAAAACACACACAAAATAAGCTACCTATATTAAATTTAATGCTCAACAAATTGAAGTCAATAGAAATTTATCAAATTACAGCATAAAATCAAGATTGAGTGAATCAATTAATATCTTCATGCCCCAAAAGTAATCAAAACAACAAAGCTGTGTAGATTTAAATCATTAAATAAACAATAAAAATACTTGTATTCATGTTGAACTTACAAAAATTTATTTCCAAAGTTTATGATTTTCATTGTTTCTTTTTATAGTGTATATATATATATATAAAACACACACACCTATATAGTGTGAACTCTGTATAAATATGTACTATTTGTGTACATACATTTATATAAAATGCATACTTATATATAATACACGTGAAATTGATATATAAAACTATATAAATATTTATATATGTATTTGAATTATACTAAATTATACCAAATATATAATGATGTATGTAATCTTACTATGGTTGGCTTTAGTCATTTATTGAGTGTTTAGTTGAAGAATCTTTTTTTTTTTTAATTGGGGAAATAAAATGGAAGAAATTGGGGCAATTTTAATTGGAGGAAATGTGAAGGATTGAAAACAGACATAAAGTTGTGTAACGTAGTTTTCTATAATTAATATCTTGTCTTAATTATATTTGTGTCTATGTAAAATCCTCTATTTGAGATGGGATTCAATAGATATTTATTGAGCATCTATTGTGTGTCCAGTACTATTCTAGAATATTTTAATGTATTATCATAATATTTTTAAAAAATATTAATGTATGAAATCTTTGAAGTACAGTTCAAGCGATCCTCCTGCCTCAGCTTCCCGAGTAGTTGGGATTACAGGCGCCTGCCACCATGCCCGGCTAATTTTTGTACTTTTAGTAGAGACAGGGTTTCACCAGGTTGGCGAGGCTGGTCTTGACCTCCTGATCTCAGGTGATCCACCTGCCTCTACCTCCCACTGCAACTGGCCAGAACTTTTATTTCCTGAGCCATTTGAGAACTAAGTTTCTGACAGGATGCCTCATTACCTCCAAATACTTAGTCTGTATTTCAAAAAAACAAGGAAATTTTCCAACATAACACAATACAGAAAATCAGAACATTAACTGGATCACTATCTAATTTTCAGGCCCCATTCCATTTTTGCCAGTTATACCAATAGTGTTCTTTTATTTTATTTTATTTTATTTTATTTTATTTTATTTTGTTATACTTTAAGTTTTAGGGTACATGTGCACAATGTGCAGGTTAGTTACATATGTATACATGTGCCATGCTGGTGTGCTGCACCCATTAACTCGTCATTTAGCATTAGGTATATCTCCTAAAGCTATCCCTCCCTCCTCCCCCCACCCCACAACAGTCCCCAGAGTGTGATGTGATGTATCCCTTCCTGTGTCCACGTGTTCTCATCGTTCAGTTCCCACCTATGAATGAGAATATGCAGTGTTTGTTTTTTTGTTCTTGCGATAGATAACTGAGAATGATGATTTCCAATTTCATCCATGTCCCTACAAAGGACATGAACTCATCATTTTTTATGGCTGCATAGTATTCCATGGTGTATATGTGCCACATTTTCTTAATCCAGTCTATCATTGTTGGACATCTGGGTTGGTTCCAAGTCTTTGCTTTGGTGAATAGTGCCACGATAAACATACGTGTGCATGTGTCTTTATAGCAGCATGATTTATAGTCCTTCGGGTATATACCCAGTAATGGATGGCTGGGTCAAATGGTATTTCTAGTTCCAGATCCCTGAGGAATCGCCACACTGACTTCCACAATGGTTGAACTAGTTTACAGTCCCACCAACAGTGTAAAAGTGTTCCTATTTCTTCACATCCTCTCCAGCACCTGTTGTTTCCTGACTTTTTAATGATTGCCATTCTAACTGGTGTGAGATGGTATCTCATTGTGGTTTTGATTTGCATTTCTCTGATGGCCAGTGATGGTGAGCATTTTTTCATGTGTTTTTTGGCTGCATCAATGTCTTCTTTTGAGAAGTGTCTGTTCATGTCCTTTGCCCACTTTTGGATGGGGTTGTTTGTTTTTTTCTTGTAAATTTGTTTGAGTTCATTGTAGATTCTGGATATTAGCCCTTTGTCAGATGAGTAGGTTGCGAAAATTTTCTCCCATTTTGTAGGTTGCTTGTTCACTCTGATGGTAGTTTCTTTTGCTGTGCAGAAGCTCTTTAGTTTACTTAGATTCCATTTGTCAATTTTGTCTTTTGTTGCCATTGCTTTTGGTGTTTTAGACATGAAGTCCTTGTCCATGCCTATGTCCTGAATGGTATTGCCTAGGTTTTCTTCTAGGGTTTTTATGGTTTTAGGTCTAACATTTAAGTCTTCAATCCATCTTGAATTAATTTTTGTATAAGGTGTAAGGATGGGATCCAGTTTCAGCTTTCTACATGTGGCTAGCCAGTTTTCCCAGCACCATTTATTAAATAGGGAATCCTTTCCCCATTTCTTGTTTTTGTCAGGTTTGTCAAAGTTCAGATAGTTGTAGATAGTGGCATTATTTCTGAGGGCTCTGTTCTGTTCCATTGATCTATATCTCTGTTTTGGTACCAGTACCATGCTGTTTTGGTTACTGTAGCCTTGTAGTATAGTTTGAAGTCAGGTAGCGTGATGCCTCCAGCTTTGTTCTTTTGGCTTAGGATTGACTTGGCGATGTGGGCTCTTTTTTGGTTCCATATGAACTTTAAAGTAGTTTTTTCCAATTCTGTGAAGAAAGTCATTGGTAGCTTTATGGGGATGGCATTGAATCTATAAATTACCTTGGGCAGTATGGCCATTTTCATGATATTGATTCTTCCTATCCATGAGCATGGAGTGTTCTTCCATTTGTTTGTATCCAATTTTATTTCATTGAGCAGTGGTTTGTAGTTCTCCTTGAAGAGGTCCTTCACATCCCTTGTAAGTTGGATTCCTAGATATTTTATTCTCTTTGAAGCAATTGTGAATGGGAGTTCACTCGTGATTTGGCTCTTAGTTTCTCTGTTAGTGGTGTATAAGAATGCTTGTGATTTTTGTACATTGATTTTGTATCCTGAGACTTTGCTGAAGTTGCTTATCAGCTTAAGGAGATTTTGGGCTGAGACAATGGGGTTTTCTAGATATACAATCATGTCGTCTGCAAACAGGGACAATTTGACTTTCTCTTTTCCTAATTGAATACCCTTTATTTCCTTCTCCTGCCTGATTGCCCTGGCCAGAACTTCCAACACTATGTTGAATAGGAGTGGTGAGAGAGGGCATCCCTGTCTTGTGCCAGTTTTCAAAGGGAATGCTTCCAGTTTTTTCCCATTCAGTATGATATTGGCTGTGGGTTTGTCATAGATAGCTCTTAATATTGTGAGATACGTCCCATCAATACCTAATTTATTGACAGTTTTTAGCATGAAGAGTTGTTGAATTTTGTCGAAGGCCTTTTGTGCATCTTTTGAGATAATCATGTGGTTTTTGTCTTTGGTTCTGTTTATATGCTGGATTACATTTATTGATTTGTGTATATTGAACCAGCCTTGCATCCCAGGGATGAAGCCCACTTGATCATGTGGATAAGCTTTTTGATGTGCTGCTGGATTCGGTTTGCCAGTATTTTATTGAGGATTTTTGCATCAATCTTCATCAAGGATATTGGTCTAAAATTCTCTTTTTTTATTGTGTCTCTGCCCGGCTTTGGTATCAGGATGATGCTGGCCTCATAAAATGAGTTAGGGAAGATTCCCTCTTTTTCTCTTGATTGGAATAGTTTCAGAAGGAATGGTACCAATTCCTCCTGGTACCTCTAGTAGAATTAGGCTGTGAATCCATCAGGTGAACACTCTTGGTATAACTGGCAAAAATAGAATGGGGCCTGAAAATTAGATAGTGATCCAGTTAATGTTCTGATTCTCTGTATTGTGTTATGTTGGAAAATTTCCTTTTTTTTTTTTTTTTTGAAATACAGACTAAGTATTTGGAGGTGATGACGCATCCTGTCAGAAACTTAGGTCTCATATGGCTCAGGTAATAAAAGTTCTGGCCAGTTGCAGTGGGAGGTAGAGGCAGGTGGATCACCTGAGATCACCACACCGCACCACACCTATTCCAAAATTGACCGCATAGTTGGAAGTAAAGGTGTCCTCAGCAAATGTAAAAGATCAGAAATTATAACAAACTGTCTCTCAGACCACAGTGCAATTAAACTAGAACTCAGGATTAAGAAACTCACTCAAAACCGCTCAACTACATGGAAACTGAACAACCTGCTCCTGAATGACTACTGGGTACATAATGAAATGAAGGCAGAAATAAAGATGTTCTTTGAAACCAATGAGAACAAGGACACAACATACCAGAATCTCTGGGACACATTCAACGCAGTGTGTAGAGGGACATTTATAGCACTAAATGCCCACAATAATGTTCTTTATAGGAAATGTTCTAATCCAGAATCACAGGTTGCATTTAGTTATCCTATCTCCTTCAATCTGGAACAGCTTTGCAGGCTTCCTTGGACTTTTATGGCCTTAATATTTTAACAGGCCCGTTTTTTGTTTGTTTGTTTGTTTTTAGAATATTCTTTATTCAAGATTTCTCAGATTTTTTTTAATGATGACTTTAAGATTAGTTTAAGTTGGAACACCACAGAAATGTTGAGTTTTAAAAATTATTACTTTTGATGCAAAATAATTGTACATTTTTATAGGGTGTTGTGTGATATTTTGCTATATTTATGCGATGTGTAATGACCAAATTTGGATAAGACCTCAAAAGTACAGGCAAAAAAGCCAAAATAGATTAATCAGTTGTATCAAACTAAAAGGTTTCTGCACAACGAAGGAAACAATCTACAGATTGAAGAGACAACCTGCAGAATAGGAAAAAATATTTGAAAAATATCGATTTGATAAGAGATTAATGTTCAGAATATACAAGGAACTCAACTCAACAGCAGAAGGAATAATCTGTTTTTAAAATAGGCAAATGATCTGAATAGACATTTCTCAAAGGAGGACATACAAATTACCAAGTATGTGTAGAAATGGTCAGTATCTCTAATTATCAGGAAAATGCAAATCAAAACCACAATGAGGTATCACTTCAGCCCAATTAGAAGTGGTATTATCAAAAAGATAAACAAATAATAAATACCAGTGTAATAATCATAAACTATTGGTGGGCATAGAAATTAGTAGCGAGCGCTATTACAAAAAGCATTATGGAAGTTTCTTAGAAAACTAAAGGAAAAATAAATAAAATCTAAAAACTTATTAAATCTTTATAGAAACTCTATTTATTATATTTTATTTCTTCACCCTATTTTAAGATGAGAAAATTAAGAGAGGTGCAGAATTTAAGTAACTTCCCCAAGGTCACAGATATATTAATTGTTAGGAGTAACAAAAACTGCTTGAATCTATTGTACAGAATCATATTTGCTAAGCTGTACTGCTTCCCTAAATCTTCTTGCTGAATGATTAAAAGCCACATTAATGGAAACGTGGTGGTTCTGAAGCTAGTAATAAATTATTTGGCTAAAGTTTTTGAATAACACTACTCAGGAGTGGAAATATGATATCTTTATAAATACCATAGAATTCTAGTTTTATGAATTTCTAACAAACATAACCTGTAAAGAAGAATCTTTGAGCAGAAATGGTTGTAAATCTTAGGTTAATTAATCAAACTAATTGCTTTTAATTGCCAAATTTCCAAACACAATTAAAATGCTAATACTCATTGAGAATCTCCACAAATACAGTGTTTTTCAAACTTGAAAAACATTTTGTTAATTTTTCTCATGAGTGTTAAATTCTGTGGAACATTTAAGAAAACATTGTTTTAGGGGACATTTTAATGATCCTGCATAGGTTATGCCATTTGGTGCTGAACTATATACTCAGGTAACGGACAAAAATTAACGTTTGTTAGGCCATAGCTAAAACAGTAGATCTAGGGAAGTGTACTGATTCAAATGCATTTCTAAGGAAAGAAAAATGCTGAAAAAGCAGAGTGAACTGAGAACATGGAAACAGAGCAAAAAGAGCAAGCCAAAAGAATCAATAAAATGTTGCAGAATTCTATTAAATTAGGACAAAATACAAAAGTAGAAAGTAGAATTTATGTTAAAATGTACTTCTTAAGGACTTAAAAACATAGAATTTGGAAATGCTGATTTACTAGAAAAAAAGAAACAGACTATGCAAATAAAATACACAATAAAAGACAAATAAGAGAATTTAGATGTATAACATATGCTTTTAAATGTTAGTTTATAGATTTCAGGTTCTAGGTAGAATATAGGATAATATAGCAGCCTTTTGGTCCCTCTCCAAGAAGTAAAGATAAGTTACAAAGATCATAGCTTTAAAATCATCAGAGATCAATGGGAGCACTGAAAACAAGATAATTAGAATTTCAGAAAGGCAGGAGTTGTTCTGAGATGGGCAAATAATTATTGGTAGTTTTCTGCCTTTAGGAAGTTGTTGATTCTAGGTGTAGACAGAGGATTTGGCTTGCACATTCACAGAGACTCTCTGAAGAAATAAAAGTCAGCAAGAATTTTGGTAGTTGCATGGAATTTGCCTGAAAGTTTTGGAAATTTGAGTGGCCACAGACGCATTTGTTTCTCCTTGTAGGAGCCAAGGGAGAACTTTCCTTTCACTCTCTGAGATTTGCTGAAAATCACTGAAGAGAGGCAGATTAATAGAAGAAAATGCATACAAATTTATTATTAATGTGTGCAAGGGAGCCTTCAAAATGAAAACTCAAAGATAGCTTAGGTTCAAGAAAGTAAGAACATCCTTATAGAAATATGACTGGACTAATGTTTATAATCTAGTGCTAATAGACTGAATGGGGAAACCCA
The DNA here is from genome assembly GCF_000001405.40 of Homo sapiens. Classification (NCBI taxonomy): domain Eukaryota; kingdom Metazoa; phylum Chordata; class Mammalia; order Primates; family Hominidae; genus Homo; species Homo sapiens. The sequence continues at coordinate 11,858,867 of NC_000009.12, forward strand.
ACAAGGCCTACCTGTCTAGCGTCTTCTTAGCCTTCCTGAGCATGCCTTCCTTCCCTTTGGGTATGGGGCAGGACACTCTCTGGAATGAGAGTCCTATGGCCTATAGTCAAACAAGGTAGGTCAGATCATTTCTTTATGTCCAGCTTTTACACAGAAAGGTGGAGGAAATTTGGAGTCATATTTTTTTGGTTTTATGGCTGGCTTTGGGGAAAAGGACTTCTGATTTCTGTGACCTGCATTGGGAAACAGGGATTCTAATTTCTGTTGCTAGAATCTGGCAGAATAGGACTGAGAGACAGAAGGGCAGGAGAAGGTTGGAGAAAAACTTTTGCTTCTGAGGCCTTTATCTGGGGGTATTGCTTTCTGAGTCCCAACTTCCTCATCAGGTATTTGCTTAGAATGGGAGATATATATGGGTGTATGGGAAACTAGATTGAAGACTTTTAAAAGTTAAACCCAAATTTGCCAAAATTCTATAATACTTAGGAGACAATGTACTGATGAAAGGAAAGAGCTTCCTTAAACATACAATTGATATCCCTCCTGCCAATTTATTTACCAAACCTTGAATCTTTGAAAGCCAGAAACTTAAAGAGCTTGTGTTAAATTTTTCAACACACAGAATGAAATATTTCACAGTCTTTTTGGTTGAAAATAAACAGAACACCAGACTCTCAATTAAGAGACCAGAAATAAACATTAATAAGACAGGGATGGATAGATTAAAACTTCAACCAAGCCCAAACCAGCTCAATCCTTGAGGGCCTTAGTTCTTACCTATCTCTGCCTAACAGAGAAAAAAAATAATATTTTCTGGTAGATATTATCTGGACCACTTAAAGATATTAAGTGAAAGAAAAATAACCAGTTTAAAAATCAAGCATTATTGCATATACTTGAACATATTTTATTTTAAAACATATTCTAGTTTAAATGTTTTAAACATATTGAACATATTTTCAAACATATTGAACATATTCTATTTTAAAAATAAAATAGAAAATTAAGAAAAAATAAGAAAATTATTTGACATATATTTTATATGGCTGACAAGGATTTAAAATAACTGTTAATGCAATAAAGGAAATAAAACCATCAACAAAATAGGTGAAATAATGGTAAATTTCAACAGAAATTGGAATCTGTAAGAAAGAATGAAATGATCACTTTTGAACTTAAAAAATTGGAGAGTAAAAATTTACTGAATGAATGTACAAGTTTTGTCACAGTAGTACACAGGACTATTGAACTCAAAGGCCAGTCAACAGAATATATTACAAGTGAAACAAAGAGTAGATCAGAAAAACAAAGGCATAAATATCAAGCCCCAATTAAGTCCAGTGTGTGGAACTGGATCCCAGGAGGACAAGAAAGAGTATGGGAAAGATGAGAGGATATTATGTGAACCCATAATAACTGAGAAATTTCTAATATTACAAAATATGTCAGCTCACAGATTCAAGAAACTTAGTGAATCACAAACTGAGTAAATACAAATTTTTTTTTAAAGTCCACACACCTAAGCACATCATCATCAGATAAAAGCACAGGAGAGACAGAAAGAGAAAATCACAAAAGCAGAGAAACAAACAAAGAAAAAAAAGACAGTTTTGGAAAAGAAAACACAAGACCAATTGCCAGTTTTCTAAAAAAAAAAAAAAAAAAAAAAAAATCTGGAGTAACATATTTTAAAATGCTAAAAGGAAAAAAAAAAACATCAGTGTGTATTCTATACCCTAAAAACCTATTTTTAGGAAACAAACACAATCAGAAAATGTTTTAAGGCAATTTGTTCCTGCAAACACTCAGTAGAAGAATTACCAGTGTTGCTGGGTGTGGTGGCTTACACCTTTAATCCCAGCACTCTGGGAGGCTGAGGCGGGTGGATTGCTTGAGGCCAGAAGTTTGACACCAACCTGGCCAACCCAGGCTGAAACCCCATCTCTACTAAAAATACAAAAATTAGCCAGGCGTGGTGGTGCCTGCCTGTAATCTCAGATACTTGGGAGGCTGAGGCAGTATAATTGCTTGAACCCAGGAGGTGGAGGTTGCAGGGAGCTGAGATCACACCACTGCACTCTAGCCTGGGTGACAGAGAGAGACTCTGTCTCACACACAAAATAATAATAATAATAATAATAATAATAATAATAATTACTAGTGTTTTTGAAGGTGAAGGAAAGTAATCACAGAAGAAAACATCAATCTGAAGAAAGAAAAAACAATGAAGAAGGATAAATATGGTGGTAAATACAAAATTACATTGACTGTTTACAACAAAAATAACAATTATTATTACTAATTTATAACACATCCAGAAGTAAAATATAAAATCATAATTGTAAAAAGTTAGAGATGAATGAGATAAACTGCTGTGAAATCCTGTCCTTTTCAAGAGAGAGGATTGGTGGTGGACAATATAGTGAAAGAGGATATAGGATATAATCCTTAGGTTAAACACCAAAGCAATCATGTAAGAATATATAACTAAATATTAATAGAGGGCAAAACAGAATAAAAGCTATGTTAATTAAGAAGATAGCAGGAGAGGAGAAATAAAAGAAAAAAGAACAAATGAACAAACAAAACCACAAACAATGAGATGATAGAATTAAATTCAATTATATCAGCAACTTCAGTAAATATAGTATGAATAATATAATTAAAAGATGGAAAAGCTTTAAAGTCTACAATAATTAACTTTAACTTAATTTTAAATTAATGAAAGCCCCCCAAATCTCTATTAAAAATTAACATGTTTAATACTCAAAGTATGGAGAAATAGCTAGATATACTCTGCATATTCATTATACACACACACACACACACACACGGAGTATTTGAATAAAGTAAAAGACATTCCTTGCTTTTGGATACAATGATTTATCTTAAAAGAGATTTATTCTCTTCAAATTGTCTCATAATTCAATGAATTCATATCGTCAAGAATATATTTTAAAGGAAAAGCTAAGTTGACCTTAAAAAAAAAAAAAAGAATAAAGAAGTTATACTTGCTCTGGCCTGCTTTAAGACACACCTCAAAGCCACATTATCAAATAATCGCTCACCAAATATACAAATAAACTTAGGAAGCTAAATAAATATGATAACAATCAATGACGGAAAGTTAGATTTTTGTTTTTAGATGTTAGGAAAGTGGCATACTATATGGAGAAAAAAAAACCCTAAATCTCCACCTATGCTAGAAGCAACACAGATTCTAAGTGATTAAAACATAAATATTTAGGATTAACTATAAAATGCATAGAAGCAAATGGAACATACATTATTAATTGGCAAAGGATTTCTCTTTTAAAGCCTCAACCATGAGGTATCTTAGACTGCATGGCCAAAAATTACTAACTTTAGTTTATCAAAATACAAGATTTCTGACCCACGAGATAACAGATAAAAAGAAAGAGAAAGGGTTTAACATTCAGTATACAGAAATAACTTTTGGTTAACAAGAGTACAATATAATACAACTCCAATGTAAAAGTGTAAATCATAAACTGGCAATTCAAAACCCCCAAAGTTACTACATATTTGACTAAATGTTCAAAATCATTGGTAATTGGATGAATTAAATGAAAATGGAAATTAGATATTTTAGAACTAGTACACGAGAAAAATAAAATCTGTGCACTGAGGTAGATATGGGAACATGAGGCCTTTTATATACCCCGGTAGTAGAATAAACTAAAGCAGCTACTCTAGAGAACTATTTGGCATTCCAGGATCCAATTAAGGAGGCACATACTCTGTGGCCTATCAATTTCACTTCTGTGTCTATATCCCAGAGAAATTATCACACAGATTCACAAGGGAACATATATGAGAATGTTTATTGCAGTGGAATTCACAGTGGCACAAAATTGGAGGCTGCCTTATTGTTTTCTCCTAGGAGAATAAACAGGTAAACTGTTGGGAATGATCAAAAGAAAATGCATTGCAGCAACAGGAGCAACATATAAAAACTAATCATAACAATATGGATGATTTTAAAGACATAATGTTTAGTAAAAAGTCATAAAGAATGATGAACAATGTAATATTATATGCATAAGTATATGTACACCAAACAACCATATGCATAATGCAGGAACTCACCTTTGTCCCCATCTAAAAAAAAAAGATGCTTATTAAATATATTATAATGGCTTCCTATGGAGAAGTGTGAGAGAATTGGGGGGAAATTGCAGTGAGTTGTGAGTATAAAATAAAAGCGAAACAGGCAGAGAATGGAACCTGGTGGGGTCAGGGGAAGAAATGGAACAATGAAAGGAAAGAAGAAAGGATAAAAGAAAAAATGGACCAGGCTGGGTGACATAACAAAACTAATCTCTACTAAAAATACAAAAATTAGCTGGGCATTGTGTGCATCTGTAGTCCCAGCTACTGGGGAGGTTGAGGTGGGAGGATCTCTTGAGCCCAGGAAGCTGAGGTTGCAGTGACCTAAGATAGCGTCATTGCACTCCAGCCTAGTCGACAGAGTGAGATCCCATCTCAAAAAAGAAAAAACAAGTGTGTATGTATATATATACATACACACACACACGTGTGTATGTGTATATATATACACACACGTGTGTATGTGTATATATATACACATACATATACATATATACGTATATACACACGTGTGTATATACGTATATATGTATATATATGTATGTGTATATATATGTGTATATACATATATATACACACACACATTGAAAGAAAAGAAAAGATGGGAGGACAGAAAGAAGAAAGGAAAGAAGGAAAAAATAGTCTCTGAGTTGTGTTCTATTAATGGAATATGACTGTACATGACATATACTTTATTAGTAAGACTAATAAAAATCAGGAAAAGAAAACGGTTTAAATACCATATTCCGTGTTTTAAATGCACAGATGATAGATATTAAACAACTATTATTCAGTCATGTCCCTTGATTAATTTTTAAAGTGAGAAGGTGCAGCATGCTAAAACTGTTCTCTGAAGTAAATTACTCTAGTACATTCATGAACAGATACCTAAATGAGATTTTTAAAAAAGAACATATTTATTAAAATGAATACAACAGAAGCATTTTATTGCAGTGTCATTTTACCTTCATAACATAAACACATTATATATTGTAAAATCTTAAACATGCTTTTATTTGCCCTCTCTTAAAGACTCCCTCACCCATATTATCAGTCCAGTTTAACCTTTTTTTTTCTAATGCTTCAAAGTACTTTGAAAATTGATTATACATATGGGATCATTTATGTCATACCCAACTAAATCAGAGTCCAGGGGTCAGGGGAAAAAGTAGTCAGGGCAGATAGCACCTGTTCCAATAATTAAATGCTTCACAAGCCCAGCTGCTGAAACAGTCTGCCGTAACTCTAAGACCAGTTTTACCTAGTAGCTGCTGAAACAACCTGCCATGACTCTGAGACTGGTTTTATCTACCATCATCACTCACCAATCAGAGCTTGTTTGTTCCCCAAAGCTTCTCTAGTGCCAATAAGCTTTCATTTAAAACAATATGTAACATCTTTCTTTCTATTAAAGCCCCAACCTTCTCTTTGTTTTAGGGACATATTGAAGACCATCTGGTCTGTGTGTATGCCCTGAATTTAAATTATTTCTTCCTAAATAAAACATCAAATGTAGAGGCTTGTCTCTATATTTTATTTTGACTTTGATAATATACAACATTGTTTTTCAAATTTATTTTTAAGTTGTTTCTTTACAAGTTAGAATATATATATATATTTCTAATATGTTTCTATATATTCTATATATATGTTACTTCTTTTAATGTAAGAATGATTTACTGAGTGGTGGTTAAAATACCCGACCAGTTCACTGAAATATAACTGAGAGTGTGGAGACATGTTTTGTCACAAATAAATAAATAAGGAGGACGCAGTCTCCCCTCTACTTTTGCCCAGAGCCTGTTATTTTCGAGGGCCCTCTTAATGAGGCTAAGTGTAGCTACATAATAGGAACTGCGCTAATATTTGCTAACACTTTTGAGGGGAAATTCTGTTTCTACACACAGACATCACTTGCTACCAAGAATGAAAACATTTTTCTCAAAACAGTATCAGAGGCTTAATAACCTGTCACATCCTTAGGTGTGTTTACATATTCAGAATTGCTTACAATATTATTATGATAAGAAAACAGATTGTTTATTTAAAAAATAAAAGATTATGCTTTGATTATTCTGAGTTTCATTTGTTCTAAATGTCTATATATAATATGTAGTACACATGTAAATTATCTATATATTGAATGACAGTAGTTAACTAAAATCTGGCTGTGGTAAAAAAAAAGTAAAATGATTAATTAAACTTCATAGTAGATGTATGTAAATTTTTTAACAGTCAGAATAACCTGAGCTATTATAAAGTAATTAAAGAGATTTATACATGTATTTCGACTTGAATACATAGAGAGTGATTATTCTGTGTGTGTGTTTTTGAGTAATGCTCATTCATTCATTGATTTATTCATCTCTAATTTTTTTCTCCTGAAGAAACATAATTTCTGGGATTACATATGACATGAAATATTGAGTCATCTTCATGAATCATCCACACTACACTACCTGAAATGCATATTGTGTTTGTGCAAATGGTAATATCAAAAGTACCTATACCTAAGGTACTCAAGAAAACATACTTACAAATTTCTGAATCCATAAAATACCTTTTTGGTGAGATTTTCATATACGTATCCAAATATGAAAAGCCATAGATCATGACATTGCTGTTTATATTTACTATTAAGATATTTAGGTGAATAATTTATAACAAATAGGCTTACAAAAATGGCCATTTTTATGTCATTGGTCATTAAATAGAACATAATGCAACACCAAGCAAAATATGAATATGTTTTTATTTATGAGATTTCTAAAACTTAGAATTGACCTCTAAGCCTTTATAGGTTTTACTAAAGCTTTAGAAAGTGTAAATATATTAATTGGGGTCAGGTGCCATGGATCATGCCTGTAATCCCATCACTTTGGGAGGCCAAGTCCGGCCTCCCAAAATTTGTGTGTATATATATATATATATATATATATTTGTGTGTATATATATATATGTATATATATATTTGTATATATATACATACATTGTATATATATACATACAAACATATATTTGTATATATATATATTTGTATATATACATATATACAAATATATATTTTTGTGTATATACATATATACAAATATATATTTTTGTGTATATACATATATACAAATATATAATTTTGTGTATATACATATATACAAATATATAATTTTGTGTATATACATATATACAAATATATATTTTTGTATATATACAAATTTATACAAATATATAAAGAATATATATATTAAAAATAAATATATTTAATAGAGTTATGTTTCTTCATCTTTTAGCCAAATATGTATATATATTTGGCTAAAAGATGAAGAAACATAACTCTATTAAATAAGCTTTTTGAAAGATTATCACAACCTGTTCAGTATTGTAGTTGGAGGGCCTCTGGTATAATAGTACAAAAACCACATCTCTTAGATTACAAGAAGTTGATTTATTCTCTCTGCATTGTTGAACCAATTCAGCAAGAATGATTTTGGTCAATGGACAGAATAAATAATGACCTCTGAATTTGAATTTATACCCAACAAACAAACAATAATCAAAATATTCACAAACATTTCTGTTACATCCCACAGAGTCTAAAATTTTGTTCTTCAGATGCAATATATTGGATTAGAATTGTAGCTTAAGAAATCTTGTGAAAATAAAAATGCTGATGGGGAAGATAATGAATTCAATCTGGCTTTAAGGCTCCTTGGGGCCTATTTTGCTCACTATCGAATTGATCACGCATAGCACAGGCCAATCCAGGTATTAATCATTAATTAAAAGTTAGCTGAATAAATGCATAAATAAGCATATTTTTGTTAAAAAACAGATTCCAGAGGCAGAAAAATTTAGAGTTAATTGATAAGCTATTTAGTCTTATTTGGCTATGGGAACTTTTTTTAATTTCCCTCAACCCTAATTTTTTAAGCTATAAAATGGGTAGAATAATGTAGAATTCAATTGATTGTCCCAAAGATGAAGGGGAAAAGAGTTATAGCAAGATCTGCTAGGCTGTCAATCAATGACAGTAGTCTAATGTCATTCATTTTGCCTTGTTAATAGAAACATCATTATCAGTATGTTGGGTACCCAGGATTAACAGAGAGGAAATGTGTGAGGTAAACCTACAATGAGGGACAACATCAAAACAAAATTTGCCTCTGTTTCAAGAATTTCTAAGTTAGTAAAAAATTAAGGTAATATTTGGGATAGTCCTACTCACTTTAATTCACTATTTTGACACAGCTTTTGTTCTTATATCACGGGAACTAGAAGAATTTATTTATTTAGGTTTTCTGCTAAAGGATTCAAGTGTTAAATACATAATAAGAAGCAATGAAAAGTTCTTAATAGAACCTAGAACCTCACAATATTCTATATTTGCAGAAAACTATTAGACCAGAACAAGTTCTTTTATTTTTTGGCCATTGTATGGAAACCATTACCCTGTAGTTTTTCTCCTCACATGTATCAGTTGTTTTCCCTTGGTCACCTTCAGAATTGTGTGATTTGGAAACTGCAATTAAACTAGTAACAGTCATGACTTGGTAGTATTTAAAATATCCTCCCACTGCAGTACATGCATAAAGCTTTGTTTGAAGTTTGTGTCTGTCAGGAGAAGAAGGCATTTCAAAGAAAGATATTTACATTTCAAATTGATGTTCTCAATGCTTGTACTTCCTTCAGTCGTTTATAATTCAATCAGTTGGATATGAAGTGCTGATGCTGAAATGCAGAAGTAGAAAGTTCCCATTCTCTCAACTTTAAAAGTATCTAAATTAAATCTGGCTCCGGTCAGTAATGGATGTGCCAACACTCTGAATACTGCCCTGACTTAAAAAGGAGTTGTTTTAAAATGGCTTGAAGGTTATAAAAAAAACATTTCCACTAACACAAAAGGAAACAACCTCACTTCTAAAATGTTATGTACTAGGAATATAATCCACTTACTATAAAAATATGGAGGGATATATAGAAAGTGAATATAAATAATCTGGCTGCCATAGCATGCACACTTTTGAGAGTCTGTGTGTAGGAGTTTGAGGAGGTAGTTTCTGTTTTGTGAGTTAAAATTAAGTATCAAATTCTACATTTGGAATTGTAGCCATTATATATAATGCTTCTATCTATATAATATAGATATAGTTAATGTATAATATATGCTATAATTTATATGTAATATATTATATATAATATATTATATAAAATATTTATATATATATATTTGCGATAAAAATAGAGGACGGAATCTTTCTATTTTGGCAGTCTAGGAGTGATTTTTTTTTCCAATTCTCTTTAACTCCCTCTTTACTGGCAAGTAGATGTTCCATAAGTGTTCATCGAATGAATGCTTGATGCCCTTCTTAAGTGATTATGAAATGGTGGGGCAATTATCTTTGATGATAGGTTATTTGCTATTCCTACCCACCAACATAAGTAAATTGGAGTAGATGGCCAAAGAAACAGAAATAGAATGGTGCATACGGAAAAAACAATAAATTGGCTGCATTAAAAAAATCAACAAAAAGGACAAAATATCCCAAAGATGAACAATTTCTCAAGGACTCATTTCTTCCTAGTGACTATCCGAAAAACCAGTGCTGTGGTAGGAAGAAATGAGGCAGTTCAGGTTCTGTGAGAACTGTCATCAGTCCTGCAGTATAAAACAAGCCAATAAAACTAATCTACAAGGGGCTTTTAGATTTTGATTAGATTGTAGATTGCGAGCATTTTGTGAAGTTTTTTTAAAAATAGCAGTTGATTTTCCCCTCTAACCAAGCAATTTAATCTATGGTACAAGTCTCAAAGCCAGCTGTGGGATAGTGGGTTTTCCTGCAGGATCAGTGAGCTAGCAGCAATACACCTGCCACTTGGCTTCTAAAATAATCATTTGGCAAAGATAATTTTACTGGGCAGGAATAAAGGTTAACAACCTTTGTTAAGGCTCTTTAGAGCCAGAATAAGTCAAGGACCACATTCATCTCACCATTCCTTCCTCTTTCAGTTTTGTTGCTTTTTGTGATGAACCGAAATTGAGACTAACATGTTTTAGTTGCACAATTCATCATACTTATTCAAATATGCATGTATTTATGTAAAATGTATTAAATATATGACATGCTCTTAGCACTATGCCAGAAAATGGGAGGTAAATATGAGAGAAGCAGAGGATCTTGTACAAACAGGGAAAAGAAATTTAAAGAAAAAGCTGAATCTGATTGAGTAGCCAGGCAGTTAAATTTACAGATCTTACTTTTTCTCTGGGAAAAGGAAACAGTGAATGCTCAGGAATTGCACTAGGCTTGACTTTGTAGATATTACTTCTAATGTACAACTATTTCCCAGCCATTGCCATGAAGTCCCTGCCTGAGTCCAGAGTGTTTTATAAGGAAGACATTTAGTAATAGGTCCCAGTGACTGTGCAGAGAGAGGAGAAAATGGACTGGGGAAGAACTACTGAAGTAATAATTAGGGAATGGGAGTGACAGGAGGAGGCGGCAGTATGAGCAGTGAGTGGTACCTAAGGATCGATAGCCAAGACAAAGTGTATTGCCAACATTGCTTCTTGAGAAGATATGTAAACTCATATTCCCTGGTCCTTACTGGTAACTGTCCCCACTTTGTGCCAGAAAGGTTCTCAGTGGCTTAGCAAAGCCATAGCTACAGGATGCTAGAAACAAGCCTGCCATAAACTGCAGTTAACTCTCATCAATTCTTGATATTAACTGAAGTGTCACTTTGAGCAACACATAACTATATGAGCTCTTGTTTTCTTATTTTGGAACACAAAAATAATGACTCCTGCCTAGAATGTTTTATAGAGACATTATGAGGAATAACATGTTACTTTATAATAGTAAATAAATTGTCACTATTATTGTTTTATTAACCTATCATTTATTGTGCACGTGAAATGTTTCAGACACTGTTTCAAACATGTTATATATATATATATATATATATATATATATATATATATAATCTTAATATGTCATAACAAAATAATACCTTTAAGGTAAAATGTAAAGAAAAATGACAAGAGATTTAACTTATAAAATTATTTCTCCCTTTGTGTGTGTGTATGAGAGTCTCTCTCTAGCACATTATTTTCTCTATTATTAAACCAAACAAATATTCATATGAAGTTTGAAGAATATAGAAAATAGAAAAGAGGAAAACATTGCACATTCCCATCTTCCAGACACAATTCTTAATATTTGGATATGGAAGTTTGCCTTTGTTCTTCCCTTTTAATAAAGCTCCGAGATTTGCTATTGAGTAGTGTGGATTATTGCTTTTAGTAAAGTTATCTCATCCTGCCATTTTTACAGAATTGAATATTTTTTGACTCTCTAATAACCATTTATATAATAGGGTGATGTAGTGTCTTGAGCATTCAGATAATTTTAGTAATTCCATTTTGGATAGCTTGAATACAATGTAAAGGGCATAGCCAAGTAGAGAAATGTAATCCATTGTGTATTAAGATTATTGCCCACAACCAGCTTTATTTTGTATTCCTTTATGTTTATTAAAGACATAGAGCTCCTCACTTTTATGTAAGTTTCTTTGGTAATCCTATTTAAGTACTTTGCAAATTTTTGGTAAAACCAGTTTATCTTATCTGAACTAAGTCTAGTAAAAATGTATCTGTTAGATTTGCTTTATGTAAATTATTTATAAAAATCTAACACATGAAATTTTAAAATATAAATTATCTAATATGTAATTTAATCAGAGATTAATGACCCAAAGTAATTTCAGATATTCTGTTTATTAACACAATATAAATTCACTTCAGTTTTTCTTTCATCATTTAAAATTATTCATTCTACAGAGAATTCTCAATGTTTTGCAATAAATTATTTTATTAACACAGAATAACCCTCCAAATTTATTTTATTTTATTTTATTTTATTTTATTTTATTTTATTTTATTTTATTTTATTTTCCTTCAGGCAGGGTCTTGCAGTCACACAATCTTGGCTTGCTGCAGTCTCAACCTCCTGGGCTCCTGTGATCCCCCTGCTTCAGTCTCCCAAGTAGCTGGGACTACAGGTGTGCATCACCATACCTCGGTAGATTTTTTATTTTTTTGTAGAGATGAGGTCTCACTATGTTGCCCAGGTTGGTCTCAAACTCCTGAGCTCAAGCGATCTTCCTGCCTTGCCTTCCCAAAGTTCTGGGATTACAGAAATGAGCCATTGCACCTTGCCTCCCAAAATTTGATGATTAACAAACTAGTCTAAGTTGTTCCATGGCATTCTTGAAAGTGAACCTCATTTTTCCTGTCCTAGTTAGTCATTTATAATTTAATAAAGGCCTTGGTCTTTTAAAAAATTATACCTCAAATTATCACTTGACAATACATGTTTCAAACCATCTTTCTTTGACATTGATTGGCAAAGAGTGTTGGATTTATAAGTCATGATGAAGTCATTCTTTGGCATGCCCTGGAATTAATTAGAAGCCAAGTAATAATAAAATGCAATTAGAAGCCAAGTAATAATAACTCAATGTGTACAAATTTTAAAAATAATCAATGAAAAAGAAAAACAGCATAAAATCACATGGAGAAATAATTTCTATTCCAGGAAGTAATGTAACAGAAAATCCGCTGCCTCTTTTAGTCCATCAATTCTTATCTTCTTCAGCCATTTTAATTAACATGTTAATAAATTTCCTAATAGGTTTAATACCAGCTGACAATTGCAAAGTGCTTGCTAAAGTAAAATCTAACACAGCAAATTTGTTACTTGCAAAAAATGTCATTATTGCCTAGTCAACCATAACTTGCTTTTTTTTTCCTCTCTCTCTTAAGGGAAAGGTTGCAATTTGGGAGAAGATTTAAGCTTTAGCCCCCACATATTAGGCAGAATTAATGATCTATTTGCTTAGAAACCATATATCAGCTCCAGTTTATCCATCCACTGGGTAAACGATAGACATTACTTGGTCACTATGATAGATTTGAATGCAGGCAAAAGCATCAATCAGTGTCGGCAGCTGATTAGTTGTTGGTGTCTTTGACAGGCTCTTCCATCTCACTGAATGAAAGCCAGCTGATTGCTTTCACTTCGCTCCACATCCATTGCCCTCCACTGCCAGTATATTACCTAGCTAATGCTGAGGGTAGAAATTTCTCTGTGTCAGCTAACAGTGAATTTCTCCACTTCGCTTATGATTACATCCACGTTGGTCTCCTTCAAATTACAGAATGAGGCTGGTCAACAGTGTGTGTAAATGTGAACCTTTAAAGCAGCAAGTAGAAATGGGTGAAAAACAGTTGTGTTTTAATAATAACATCTGTTCTCCTTAAGGCAGAAAAGTGACATACAATGTGCTTTCTTAAAATGTACTTCTTTAGATGACATGATAAAAAATGGATATGTCGAGATTAAAAGCTGCTAGTTGAGAAATAAATGACTGTAATAGGAGGAAAACATTACCCTTGAGATGAATTCAGGTTCTGAAAGTACAATAGCAATTAGCACTAAAATGATCATTAAATTGATGTTCATTTGCTCTTAAAGTTTGCTCAGGACAATCTTTTATTACTGGGATATATATTCAAACTCCATTATAAACACTTAGCTTATCTGTGAGCCTGGAGAACAGATGGAGTTAATTTATTTGCAGAAATACTTGAGCAAGTGGAAAGATATGAATTTTGACTTTTTTGACACCCAGACTTGTCTGGCATATGTGCAACTGTTGTTGCTAAACACGTAGAAGAAACAGAACATCCATAAGCAGAATGAATTGCTTAATTAATTTAACTTTCATTTATATACTGAGGTTGGGGTGATAGTATCAAGTACTAAGAAGTCATTTATATATGTTTCAAATGATACTAAATCATAGATTCAACAGCAATGCAATTCCATGTTCTTCCTTTTTTTTTTGTTTTGTTTTGTTTTGCTATATCTACCAGATTTTATGTTCAATGCTGGAGGCTATTCAACAAATAAACATTAATACCTTCAATTTTTCAATTAGCAATAATGTATATTCCAAATTTTACTCTATAGCCCATAATTAACAAATGTGGAAATTGAATACAATTATAGAGTTATGAATTTCTAAATTTCATGTAAATTTTTTAAGAAATTAAAAAAATTAAATATAATTGTAAATAGTATTTATAAACATAATCACATAACTGGATTTAGTTTTAAATTTTGCTTTGAATTATCTAAACATGTCATTTGACAATTTTTATTGAGAAGGGATAGGGAAGTAATATTTATGCATAAACATAAAGCAATTTTATTAGAAATGTGAAGACAGAATTCAAAGTCCATGAAGAGAGTGGTGCCTGTGGTGGCCCCTGGCTAACTGAGATAACATCTTCCCAGACTGAGTTGTTCAGACATGATGTGTGATGTAGAGAAAAACTCATAATTAACAGGTATCATGTATTAAAGTAACGAGTAACTAATTTCTATATCCTAACTGATCTTGTGAAAAATATATATATTTATGATTGACAATTATATTTAGTTCAATTTATCTTATTTAGCTCAATTTATTTGTTTTAAATATTATAGTCAGAAGAGAGACTATTTTAAAATACAAGAATCTAGGGCAAAGTGAGTGTTAGAATATTTGTAAAGATGTTACTATGTTAGAATAAAATGTGTACCTGTAAACATTTTATGCATATAGTAAGCTGCTAGTCAAAGAATAACTACATAAGTAACATATATGTTTAACTAGACACATAGTTTTATAGGACGGATTTCCCTAGGCCTCAGCCAGTCTAATAAAATGTTCCCCGTTACGACCCAAGCAAAAAAGAAAACTTGCCTCCAAAGTGAATTTAGTCATTTAACTTATGATACATGAGGTAATTAGTCAGAGTCATAACCAGAAATCACTGGTTATCCTAGAAAAATTGTTCTAACTAAAGATTTCTTTGGACCATGGTATAACACTCCTCTCCTTCCTGGTTGGAAATGCAACAAAGCATCTGCTTTCAACAAAATGAAAATGTATGAAATCAGATATGGAGACACTAAAAAAGATCATGTAAAGACCCAATGTCTGGATTTTCTAACCAAAAACATCATTATTAATTAAAGTTATTATTCTGGAAAATACTTATCCACAGTCAATTCAGAGTCAAGAACCTGCTCCCTCATTAAACTAAGGACATTTCCAAAATAGAGAAAATGGCTTTAGCCCAAATTGTTTCCTGCTTTACTACCTATAGCAGAGAAAATTGAAAATAGCCTAAATAGCAAATAATAGAGGAATCGTTACGTATGCAGTATTACATCCACTTATCATAGTATTATCGCAGAGGTGGCCTCAGGCACCTCAGACATGGGCCTGTAGAAGGAAAATCCTTGGAAATAATCTTTAACATCACCATATCTCACACTGAACATTCATGGGGGTACCAGGATTTTTCAGCATTAGATATTTGCTCCTTATGAGCAAGCAGCGTTGCATATCTGGACCAGTCAGGGAGCCCCATTGAAATATTAAAGAGAACATGTCATGCCTTGAAGAATCTTCACTTTGACTAGCGTCAGTCATAGTTTCAGGTTTCTATGGGCACCTTGTGTGAAGTTGGAAGCTGCTGCTTATCTGGGAATATGCTGTTTCAGCACCTGCATTATGTAACCAAATACCTAGGCTCTGTATCCTTTGTTATTAAAGAATCTTTACAATGTCTGTTTCTAGAGTCTTTCAGTTCAACCACATTGTAATTCATTTTGGTAACAGCACAATTAAGATGTAATTAGAATTATATTTATACAGAGAAATTAAGATAATATTAAATTCTTATTCTACAATGCTAAGTAGAAAATGGTAGGATACAAATTTGAATATATGCTTTTAGAAAACAATTGATCCTTAAAAAAAGATTTAAAAATACTTCTATATGCTAATAATTACTATAAAATAAGTGAGTTTTCTTTCCTCTTATTTAACATTTATAATGGACATATAATACTTTAAATAGAAATAACAAATTTATTTTCAATTAATCTTCCTCAATTATGTCTGCCTTATAAATAAAAGAATCTGTAAAATTTGTATCCTGTTCAAACTGAGCAAATAAATGGGGCCATATTAAACATTGATAGATTTATGTCAGAAATTGAAGGTGAAAATAAGGCTATAGCTAGTTCTTTCTATTTTTTATCATCCTCAGTCCCTTGAAGATATCTACATGCTACCTACAGTGTAAATACTTCTTTATTCCTAAGCCAAATTTCCAAGATCAGAACATACAGAAAGGTTGTCAACAACACCATTCTGTAAGGCTTTAGATTTAATAATAACTCAGTTATGATCATGGACCATAAGGTGTGTCAGAAACAAATTCTGGGTTATGCATAGTCACATAGACTAAATGCCTGGGAGTTTAAAAGAGAACTGAGGCCTGTTAAAATAGATAGGTGGGATTTTTCTAGTGGGAAAAGGATATCCTTTTTATTTATGTTTATTTATGTCAAATACAAATAATAGGGGATATATATATTGCTACTTTTGACATCGAAATTAAAAAAATTATTTGTCATTGTTAAATTCAAGCAACAAAGTGTATTGATATGAAAACAATAATACGATAAACTTGTTATCTAGCACATTAATCCACAAACTCAAGAATAAACAACCAATCATATACAAATTAAACAAAAGCAATGAGCAGATAATTCACTGAAGAGGAACAATATTAAATCTATAACAAAAGAGTCAGTCAATTTCAATTATTTATGGGTAAAGTAAAACTTAAGACACGACTCTGTCCTTATATTACCAAATACTAAAGTCTAACATAGTTGCATCCTGCTGAGCAAGTCTTAAAAACACTTACACACACACACACACACACACGTGTATATAGTGAGGGTGTCAATTATTACTTAAAAATAATTTTTCAGTACTCAGAAATATATAAATATATAAATTTTTTTATTAGTAATTACCTAGCAATATCACTGCCAGGTATGCACGTACATTTTTGTTTTCTTTTTTTGAGACAGAGACTTGCTCTGTTGCCCAGGCTGGAATGCAGTGTTGCGATCTCGGCTCACTGCAACCTCTGCCTCCTGGGTTCAAGTGATTCTCCTGCCTCAGCTTCCCAAGTAGCTGGGATTGCGGACGCATGGCCATGCCCAGCTAATTTTTGTATTTTTAGTAGAGACGGGATTTCACCATGTACCGTGTTGGCCGGGCTGGTCTTGAACTCCTGACCTCATGACCCGCCCGCCTTGGCCTCCCAAAGTGCTAGGATTATAGGTGTGAACCTTCATTTTTACAAGGAGAACTGAGAAGTACTGACTTTTATCAACAATCCAGAGTTTCAAAATCATTCTCATTTCAGCTACATTTTTACAAAGGGAACTGAGAATGATTTTGAAACTCTGGATTGTTAATAAAAGTAAATATTTGTAAAAAACCTATTACTTCTGAAGATAAAATATGGTATAATCATGTGAGAGAATGCTTTGTAGCACATAAATAATAAGTTAAGTTTATGTATGAGCCTGAATAAATCTCAAAGCATGATATTGAGTGAAAACAGCAAGTTTCAGAATTTTAAGTGCAGTAAGTCTTTCTGTTAATTTTAAAAAATGTATAAACACGCAAAATGGTTAAACATGCAGTCTATTTTATTACAACGGTGATTCTGTAATGGGAATTAGCTTATATCCAATTAGTAAGCATGAGAATGATGTCATTACAACAGGAAAGCAGTATTAGTTTATGCATATTTTTTGTCAGCCTAATATTTTCCACCAGCAAGTAATAGTATCTGCATATACAAGATACAGAGGTACACAGCACTGAACATGATGTGAATTCACCAGTGGTTCTCTGAAATGGGTCATGGGAAACCCTTGGGGTTCTCAAGAGCCTTCTTGCAAGTCCATAGGTTAAAATTATTCTCTTAATTAATCACATTAAGATATTATTTACTTTTTTTATTCTCATGTTCTCAGAAAATACAGAAGAGTTTTTCAGAGGCTATGTGGTGTGTAATTTTGTGACAGATTGAAAACAGAAACAGGTATAAAGATCAATGGGTTTTTTATTAAACACAACATTACAAAGATTTATAAAAATGTAAGACACTGTAACTGTTCTTACTTTGTGTTCGAAAAATATTACTATTTCTCATAAAATTTTATGTTTATATAATAGTTTTACTATCACTTTTTAAAATAGAAATTTAGATTATTATAGTTAAATGGTTAATTATTCTGCATAAATAAAAG
The DNA here is from genome assembly GCF_000001405.40 of Homo sapiens. Lineage (NCBI taxonomy): Eukaryota > Metazoa > Chordata > Mammalia > Primates > Hominidae > Homo > Homo sapiens. Next base: position 11,877,232 of record NC_000009.12, read on the forward strand.
CTCTTCGGAACACTCAGTAACTTTAGAGTGTAGGGAATTTTGAGAACAATCGTTTTGAGAACACTTGTGCTATATATTTTTGTATTTTAACTCACTTGTTTTGTCTAGGGAGTCATTGATACATAATGCTTAATAATATTTGTGTGTTTACTATTGTCTACATAATTTAGCATACTGAATCCTTCCTTGTAGTTCCTTCTGTCAAATTATCTTTATCATTTTAAAGTATGTTCTGAGTTTTCTGGAGTATTTTTATGTAAAGGAAATTTAATGCCTTTTAAATTACTGTTATAGTTTTGAGAATTTTTGTTGTTGTCATTTCATTGTTTTATTCTGCTGGTTACAAAGTTGTATAGGTTATGAATAGTCTACCACATTCTGGTTTTCTTATGGCTATTTTAGTGAGTCATTTTGCAGAAAGTGACATTTTCAAAAATGTTTATACTGTATTTTTGTAGAAACCCTTACAGTATGATACCATTTTAATAAATTTAACCACACATAAGCATACCAGATATCAAAATATAGTTAGATATTTAAGTGGGTACAAAATGTTAAAAAGGAACAAACAGAGGCCACAGTGTAAAGGTATGTTAGCGGTGCCAGTGCTTGATGAGCTGAACATGACCCAGGAAGCTGGATAAAATTAAACTTTTATTTAAAATATACTTAATATGAGAATGTATTAAGTTACAAAATATAATAATTGGTACATTGTTCTTTTTTATTTTTGAAGTTTCCTGTATATTTAACTTTTTTCAAATAAAATTTTAATTAAAAATTACAGGTTATAATTAGCTTAATCCATGGCCCCATTTTAGAAGGAAACAAAAACATAAAAAGTAAGTAGTTACACAAGTAAACCAGAAAGTAGTTTATATTCTTTAAAATCTTGACATGCTAAACTCAATTTACAGCGTTTGCTGTTTTGCAATTAGTCACATATTGTCAAGTTTACTTGTTGATAGTTGTGTGGCGTTTTTAAGAGACAGGCAAGGAAATATGCTGTCAAAATACGTGGAAAGAAAATGTTACATTTATCCTAGAGATGGTTGGTACACTTACAAACTTTTTTTAAAGAGCTGCATAGTCAATATTTAGATTTTGCTAGCAACAGAAAATCTCTGCCACATATCTTTTTAAGTAACTTTTAGAAAATTTAAACATTGGTCTTAGCTTGGGTATGTATAAAAACAGGGCCAAGGGCAGGATTTAGTTTGCAGGCCGTAGTTTGCAGACCCCTGCTTGGATCACATAATTTCCCTGGAAAGTGTATCTAGATTAAAAAAGTTAAAAAAAAAAAAAAAGAACAGGACAAATACAGTACACATTTAATTACAAAATTGATATTAATGTTTTAAAATTAATAAAAAAGAACTTAATTTTCACAACCACAGAAAGAGTATTTCTTCTAATATTGCTTATACACAATATAATGTTCTGTTTAATAATAAAATTCTAAAAATTACCTTCTAGAGACTGATTTTTAAGTAACATAAAATTTTTTAAAAATCGATGGTAGGGAATATTTTTCTCCTTTACTCTTTAATATCAAACAAATCTAATTAGCCCAAACTAGATAGTGAGAAAAGAAGAAAGAGAAGGAAGTGAAGAAAAAGAGGAAGAGGAATAAAAAGTAGAAGAAGGAGAAAAGGGGGAGTGGTGTTCAACAAAATTCAAAAAACAGGCACAAGTTCATACTCCCAAATATTACAGTCTTCTACCAATTTGCATGATGTTTTGAACACATGAGGACGAAAGCAGAAAGGGAACAGTTATCTCTTAGGGTGCAAATTCTCCACATTAAATGGCATGAACCTATGGCTCAACCAAAATGTCCTGTTTTGTAATGGAAGGATCTGGTTGTATGGACAGACTTCATGAGCACAGCTTGAGTTTATTTTGTGCTACAGAATTTAAAATAAGACTTAAACTGAAGGAGAAATAATGCTAAAGACCATGTTAATAGAAGATGATATGACAGGGTAAAAAAAGACATCTGGACAACAATCAGCCAAGCAGTTAAAGAATTGTAACTTTCCATTGAAACAAAATAATGATGGAATAAATCTATGACATGTAGGCCTTCCTTGTTAGCCAAGTAGGCATGCTGCTCTCCACAAAGTGGGAGATGGTCAGAATGAAGTTCTGAAAGCAGTAATATCAAACGTGTTGTGATAAAGATTAATCTATAGCTTTGAAACTAAAATGTTAAAACAGCATGACTGAATTTAAAGTTTCCTATTTTCCAATCCCTTCATAAATTATTTTCATAAAATGTACAAATTAGAAACAACCTGCATTCTCAGCAATAGAGACATGTTTACTTATATTCTGGTACATTCATCTGATTAAAATACGGACTTTAGTTAAAAATAAAGTATTAATTTTAGTCCATTAATAGTGACAAGTATATCATCCTAATGGAAGATGTTAATTGTAGAGGAAACTGGGTATAGGCTATATATAGGAATGTTCTAGTATCATCACAATTGTTTTATGAATATAAAGCTATTAATGTTATCTAAAAAATACAGTATGGGTGATGATTTTATATTTGTAGCTAGTTGTAAAATTAAGATCTAGTCCAATGGGAACATCTTCTCATACAAAGAAGATGACAGCATATTGTGGAGCATGGCCCAGATGAGCTGACTGTGGAGAGGATGTATAAAAGTTATGTTGACAGTGGTCAGGAAGGAGTAAGGATAGGTAAGAGAACAGAGTAACATGATTTTGTGTTACTTTATATAGCTGCTGTAAAGTTTCAATATCATCATCTTACTTTTTTCAGTGAAGTATGAAGTGGTGTAGAACTCATACTAAAAAAGCGAAGTTGAGCGTGTTGGTTAAAGGGCTGGAAAAGAATGGGACATTTCAGAACTGCTGGGCAGGGAATGGGAGAGCTTGATAAGCAAAGATAAGTTAGAGGGCTCATGGGCATTATGGTTTATACTGACAAATTTCTCCCTAAAGGAGCCTGCTGTCACCCCCAGGTTCCGTTAAGCTAGTTACCAAAAGATTGCTTGAGCACTAAATGCCTTTTTAAGAGAAAACGTCTTAACAAGTCTTGACTCTTTGTTTTCCAGCTCACTAAAATGTTTAGGTGATCTCTACTCTTTCAAACGTGCCTCTACATTTATGCCCTATATCACCTATGGTACCTAATAGACTACGATTTTCCTGTTTAGACCCTTGGAACCACCTTGGTTATCGCTTAATTATAATAGCAAATATGTACATAGTGCTTGCTATGTGTCAGACAATGCTCTAACAGCTTTGATGATGCCGTGTAATGTTCACCACAATCTTCCGAGTTGAACCCTGTTGTTATCTCCATATTATAGACAGAAAAGTTAAGTAACTTCCTCCAGGTTACAGAGTTAGTAAGTCGCACACTTGGGGGATGTAACAGGTCTTTTAACTAATATATTCATACTAATACCCTCTACCTAAAAGCGAAAATGATGTTCCCAGTCACGTGGTTCTATGTTTCCTGTTTTTTGAGGAGACAATTGGTTCTAAGCCATAAGAGGGTATGTTGTTCAAAATCCATCAAACTTGTGATCCATATGACAACACGTAATAATAAAGAAGAAAAGCATATAACCAGATGCAACTTTAGTTTAGTTGTTGAATTCTAACCATATTTTAAACCAGATTTCTGCAGAGAGTAGAAAATATAAGGACATTTTCATAAATTCAAGAGAAATATGAGAAATGCATCTTATGTATTTTTAGATATTGCCAGGAAATGTACTTTTCAAAGCCTTAAGTAAATCCCCAATCTAATAAGAATATTTCAGTACAGAGGCTATGCACATTTTCAAGGCATGAGTCCAGAGTCCTATTGCTATGTTATTATAACTATTTTATCTTCTGTCTATGTGTGTACATGTGTCAGATACTAAAAAAAAAAATAAAAAAAATAAAAAAAAATCCCTCAGAAAGGGAACTCAAACATTGTTATAGACCTATTGCCCGGAGGATTTCATATTGTTAACTAATTGCACACTCCTAACTTTATTTCCCACTTTTAAATTTCTATTTCTGAAATTTAATGGATTTATTTCTAAGAGCATTTCTGAAATGATCAAAGGAAGTAGCAGACCTTGTGGAAACATTCAAATGATTGTTTCCCTCACATTCTCACAAATATGTGGGACTTTAAAGAGGAAAACTTATTCATATGGGAGAAAAAGCTGGAAAAAATCATTGTATAAATTATTCAAAGCTTTTTAGAACTTGATTAGCAGCTGAAAAATGCATAGCAAATGTATTTTACATAAACAGTGGTTATGGTAAAAGAGGCCATAGAGATTATGAACACCATCTTCTTTTTGGTGTGGAAGGAAATAATTTCAAAATATAAAAGTAATTCTCTAATATCAAACAAAATATGTCACAAAGCTTGTAACAAATACTGTAGACTGTCAGTCCATCAGTCAATTTCAACAAAAGCTGCAGAATTCGAAGAATGAAAATAATCCTTGTTAAATGTTTAAAATTTTATAATGACAAGATGAAATCCGTGATTTTGTGTCCAAATGAACACACAATATTCACAGAATATGAAACTTACAAAATAAGTGATTAATGTTATTTTTTTTTCACTTTTGTCCCATGTGAGTATAGCAAAATGATATTAGTAAAGACAAATTGATAATATTGACACAAATTAAAGTACTGTATCGCCAATGATAAAAATGTCATGATTTCTGATGTTGGGCTGCAAATCAAATAATCTACAAATAGAAAATTGAATCTTCTGTATATATTAATTGTGTTATTCCATTATTCCTTCCAGTGAAAAGTAAGTTTCTTTGACTTAAAGGCCAGTATAATCGGGGTGGGGAATTGGGTGCGGGTAAGGGTTAGTACTCAGTATATCAGAAAACATAATTAGTAATATTTTGACCAAATCATTTGGTCCTATGTAAAAAATTATGAATCATCTATCATAAGTCAAAAAAAGTAATCAAAATTTACAGTTGTTCCACTAGAATTGCAGCAGAATGCCCCATTCAAATTAAATGAAATCATTCCTTTAGAGTTAGACTTTTCCACTGACCACACATGCACAGGGTGACTTCAAATAAAGGAAACTCATTGTTTTTAGCCTTTATCAATAAGGCCACTTCCTGATTAAACTGAAAACAAAGCAGGCATCATAGCCTAGATATACTAATGTCTGTACTACCAAACAAGGCTCAAGTATTGACATCATTTATTAAGGCCACTATTTGGTCCAGGAAAGCACAGACAATATTGTTGTATCAATATTGTAATATTATTAGTCCAATAAGTACTAAAATGTAAACAGAGATGGTTAGAAAAGATGCTTAAAAATACACAATAAGTCATGTTTTGAGGGTTCACTTACAATCATTACAGACACAAGAATATCTCTATAAAATATGAATCTCTGTTCCAATTTCTGCTTGGTCACTGAGACATTTTGTTTCAAGCAGTATTTCCTGTATTCTCTCTGGAACACATTGATTGCTTTCTTCCAATCTAGCACATTGGTTCTTCTTGTTTTCTTGTATTTAAATACTGAAACCTAAAACAACGGGTAGCAACTCAGTATCTATCCTCTCTTCCCCTCCCCTGCCCTGCCCTCTCTCTCTGTCTCTCTTTCTATCTCTCTCCCTCTCTGTCTATTTGTGTGTGGAGGGGGGAGTTATGTTTGTGTGTCACAAATCTAGATAATTAATCTAGTTACTAGATCAATATTGTAGTATAGGAGTTAACTTCAACGTCCTCTGGGAGTTAAACTCAAATGGCCTCTGGGTACTTAAACAACAGAGATTTTACAAATATGATATAATTTTTTTCTCCACTCTTATAAGCAAATGTAAATAATACATTTTACTATTGGCTGGATTTTAGATAGCAAGCAAAACCACATATTAGATACTGCTGCTGTCTCTTTGTTTGGCATCACTGGAAAGATGTAAATAGAGGGATAAGGGAAGATAACTATATATGTGAAAATAAGTAACAATATATAAAAACAAATAATAATATGTTTGTCTTTTATTATAGTGAGCCGCTATTCATTATGTGTTACATGGAAAACAGCAATTTTCTTTGTAACAAAACCCAGATGACTAGGAAAAAATGGCAAGAGTTATATAAAATTGTAAGTGTATGTGAGGGTAGGGTGAGGAAAAAGGGAGAGGCTTAAAATAAACCTACAAAGGAAAACACCATAGCTGGTGAATTTGTAAATTGTATCTTCTATATAAGCACTGGTATATTTTTAAATTTCAGTACGTGTTATGATCTTGTTAGTGTTCCCTTAAAATTTATACGTTCAAAATGTTTTTTGTTCTTTTTTTTTTTTTTTTTTTTTTTTTTTTTTTGAGACAGAGTCTTGCTCTGTCACCCAGGCTGCAGTGCAGTGGCACAATCTGGGCTCACTGCAACCTCTGCTGCCTCAGAGTTTCAAGCGATTCTACTGCTTCAGCCTCCCGAGTAGCTGGGACTACAGACGCCTGCCACCATGCCCAAAATCTTAACTCACAAGATGATACTAATAGGAGGTGAGGCCTTTGAGAGGTGATTAGATCATGGAGGTAGAGCCCTCATGAATGAGATTAGTGCCCTTATAAAAGAGGTCCAAGAGAGCATGTTGGCCCCTTTTGCTCTTCTGCAATGTCAGATCACAGAATGTGCCATCTATGAGGAGCAGACCCTTATTAAAAACCGAATCTGCTGGTGCCTTAATCTTGGACTTCCCAGCCTCCAGACCTATGAGCAATACAGTGCTTTTTATAAGCCACCTAGCCTACAGTATTTTGTTATAGCAGCTCCAAGAGACTGAGACAGTACATACCATTAAAGGAATAAAAGGAAAGGTAAACTATCTCACCATAAACTGTGAGTTTTAATTCCGGGGTGTTTGAAAGTAAGGTGCAGGAGCACATTAATATAGAAAGTGGTTTCAGGTATTTGAAAAAATAGTGTTTCTAAAGACAATGATGTAGAAATAATAACTTCAACAAATAACTTAGGATATTCTGTGGAATGCAATAAAATAGCCATATTATACAAAAGAGAGGAACCATTTTTCCCAGTCAAATTAGCACAGTGACTGTAATAGTCAACTTTGCATAAGGTGAACAGATTAATGGTGAGGAGGTGAAAAGATAAAAAGCAGGAAAATAAAATACATGAGCAAAAATGCAATAATAATCCATATATACTTATATATGCATATAAAGGATACAAAGCCCTTTTTTAAACTATTGCAAATGCTGAACAATTCTCAAAGTAAGGGAGTAAACCTCTACCAGCAAATTACTGAATCATGCTTTAGAATACCATGATTTCCTTGCGACAACAGACTGTGCTCCAAGAAGAACATATAAAAGTCATCAAAACAGATTTAGGAAACATACTCCTATAAATGAGTATACTGTGAGTGAAATCTAGGTAGAAAGGAGAGAACAGACTCCTTCAAGTTCTGACAAAGGCAGAGAGTGTCCACTTAGAAGAGCTGTTAAAGAAAATCCAAGGTAGATACAGGTAGAATAAATATGAGAAAGTAAAGAAAAAATCACAAAAAAATAGAAAATTTGCAATGAGTGAAAATTAAGGCAACTACACTAAAAGACATGGGAACTAAAGTTGTGCTGAGAGGAAAATTTGTAGTAGTGAACTTGTAGATTAAAAAGAAGAGTAGACAGAAAAATGAGCACCACTTGGCAAAATCCAACATAAAAACACTCAACAAATTAGAAATAGAAGACAACTTTCTCAACTTGAAAAATGTCATTGATTGAAAAAAAACACAGCTAACATCTTATGGTTAAAAATTGAATGTTTCCCCTTTTAAGATCAGGAATAAGACAAAGTAGCACGTTGCCACTCAAATTAAACAAAGTAGTGGTGGAGCTAACTAGGGAAACTTGAGAAGAAAGAGAAGTAAAAGGAATCCATATAGAAAAGAGAAGTAAAATTATCTCTATTTGTAGATGGCCATGATCTTGTATATTGAAAATCCTAAAAAATATACATACACTCACACACAAGCAAGTCATTCGAACTAGAGCTAATAATCAATTTCAACAAGGTTGCAGATACAAAATCAATATCAATATTTTACTCTTCTTGATGCCATTGTAAATAAAGAATAAAATACTTCAGAATAAATTTAAACAAGATCTGAAATAATACTCTAAAAACTACAATACATGGTTGAAAAAAATAAGAAGGAAACATAAATGAAAAGACATAACATATTCATGGAATACTTAAAGTTGTTAATATAGCATTACTCTTCAGATTGATCTACAGACTGAATACAATCCATATCAAAATTGCACTGGCCTCTTCAGAAACACTGATAAGCTACTTCTGAAATTTATATGGAAATGCAAGGGGCATAGAATAGCCAAAACAATCCTGGAAAAGAAGAATTTATTTGGAGATCTCACACTTCTCAATTTCAAAACTTAGTTCAAGGTTACAGTAATTAAGACTGTGCAGTACTGGCATAAGAATAGACATAAAGATGGAACTAATTTAGAGTCCAGAAATAAACCTTTCCATTTACAATCAGTTGATTTTCTAAAAAGGGTGCCAAGACAAGGTAATGAAGAAAGCCTAGTCTCTTCAACCAATGTTGCTGGCCTGCCTGGCTATCCACCTAGAAAGGATGAAGTTGGACTACTTCTGCATACCATATACAAAATTTACTTCATAGACATTAGCACAAGAGCACAAGAAACTATAAAATTCTCAGAAGAAACTATAGTAGTAAATTTTTGTAACCTTGTGTTGGGCAAAGCCTTCCTGGATGTAAACCAATGGTACAAACAGCAAAAGAAAAATATATTAATTTAATTTATCCAAGTTTAAAAACTTCCGTACTTCAATTAATACCACCAAGAAACTAAAATAGCAATGTACAGAATGGGAGAAATATTTGCAAATTATATATCTGATAACAAACTTTTATCACAAATACATCAAACATTGAAAAGTCAATAATAAAAAGAGCACAAAACCGAGCAGATAATCTTAATAGACTGTCTCCAAAAAATATATACAAATGGCTAATAACATATGAAAAGATGTTCAATATTATTAGTCATTGAGAAACGAAAATCAAAACCAAAATGAGATGCCATTGAATTCCACACTAGGATGGTTATTATAAAAAAGATAGATAATAGTAAGTGTTGGTGGGGATGTGAAAAAATTTGAACCCACTTACTCTGTGGATGAGAATGTAAAATGGGGTAGCTACTTTGCAAAACATCTGGGCAGTTCCTCAAAATGCTAAACATAGAATTATACTTTGAGCCAGCAGTTCTACAATTACTCTCAAAATACACAAAATCCTGTGTCTAAACAAAAATTGTTCACAAATATTAATAGTATCTTTATTCATAATCAAAAACCAGACACAATCCAAGTTTCCATAAACTGAATTGGTAAATAAAATTTGATACACTAATACATTGGAATATTATTCAGCAATAAAAATGAATTTAAAAAGTTCTGAGTCAAGCTACGGTAAGAAAGAATCTTGAAAACTTTAAGCTAAGTGCAAGAAGCCAGTCACAAAAAAGTAAATGTTGTATAATTGTTTTTATATAAAATATGTTAATCTTTAAAATCAGAAACTGCATTAGTGGATGTCTTGAGTTGATTGGGGATAAACAGAAACTACGGTAGTGGATATCTTGGGTTGACTGGGTATTGAAGGAAGAAAATGGAAAGTGACCTAATATCTTCAGATTTCTTTTGGGCGTGATAAAAATATTTTAAGCACAGATTTCAGAGATGCCTACACCAGTCTATGAATATATTATAAACCATTAAATTCTATTCTAAATGTGTTAATTGTATGGTATGTGGATTATATTTCAATTAATGTGTTACATATTTTAAAAGAGTAGTCCTAAATTGCTACTAAAACACGTGTTCATTGTTCCCACTTGCATTAAAAAATAATTTGATTATTTTAGATGTATGAATTAAAAGGGAAAGAAAAATCCCAAATAATATTTTTTTACATAAATATATTGCAATGGAGAAAAATTTTAGCTGCATATTATATATAATCCCATTTTAGTGTTGGAAAGATTCTTAATAGCATGTGTTCTGTTTGAAGCATACGGTCAGATAGCCATTAATTATTCAAGTAATCAATAAATAACAAGCATACACATAGCACTTACTCTGTGCCAGGAATTCTTTAGCTACTTTTTATATATTAATTGATTTAATTGCTATAACCTTCTGTGGTGAATACCAATATTTTTCTCTTTCTATAGCTGAGGAAACTAAGGTCAAATGATTAGGAAGTTGTAAAACCACTATTTTAATTCATCAATCTAGTTCCAAAATCTATGCTGTTAACATGATACTAACAACATTGTAGCCTTGATGTATTTAAGCAATAATCTTTAGTTTTCCTTGCCAAGGACAGTGTTAAAAAGAATGAGCAGGCAATTTCTTGGCATCAACAGAATTCATGTGTCCCTTGACTCCCAGACTGATTGTGCCTCCCATACCCAAAAGAAGCTGTAGTTGCCTTCCCATTCACCACAGCAGCAGAAGTTAATCGGTGTTGATTTTGTTGTATGGACATAACACTAAATACAATAGCTATGAACTACTTTAATTATAAATAGAAGCATTTTCAGGTTAAAATGTTAAAAGGAAATGACAAAATATTGACAGGTAACTTTTTTGTAAGAGAAAAGATAACTTCAGAAAATTAACTAATCTAGACTTGAAACAAACTGATTAATTTCATTGGCAAATTATGAGAATAATTGTAATTTATAATGATAAGTACTTTTCTACTGTGCTCTAGGTATTTGCTTTGTGCTGCAGGATAGTATATATCATGAGCATAGCCAAGGTTGAAGGTTTAAGTACCATCTAGTGAGGGGACCAGTGCATGATTTGAGGTCACTGATAATAAACAACATGTACACCAGGTTCCAGTGGTACACCACTAACTGACAGCAAGAAGAGAGAGTGTGCACAAGATCCAGTCCCTTGGAATGCATCAGTCCCCCATGGCCAGCAGATCTCAGCAAAGGTGGTCAGTGTGACTACATGGACCTCACTTTTTCTGCAGTAGAAAGACATTTCCCCCTGTGTCATGGAGTCTGAAATACAGAAAGTTGGGAGTGTGCCTAAAGGCCATAGACAAATGTACTTAAGCAGAGTACAGAACTACTTATTAATTCCAGAAAAGGGAACAATATTCTCTCACAAACCAAGAAGCCCAACACCAGCTATAAGGGCACTTTAACTCCAAGTAAGGAATTGTTCCAGCCCCAAATCCATTCATATGAAGGCAAATGAGATCCACAGACTGCTTCTAGCCGCCTTTCTCAGCAACTACAGAGCAAAAAAATGAACAGTTCTAGCATATATTTGCACGAGCAAGAACAACACAAGAGGATTTTCCTAGCACTCTTAGATTTAAGTATTTGATTCATGTTGAGATTATTTTTGTATAAGGTAAGAGATGAGGATCCAGTTTCATTCTCCTGCCTGTGGCTTGCCAATTATCCTAGCACCATATGTTGAACAGGGTGTGCTTTCCCCACTTTATGTTTTTGTTTGCTTTGTCAAAGATCAGTTGGCTGTATTTGGCTTTATTTCTTCATTCTCTATTCTGTACCATTGTTTAATGTGCCTATTTTTATGCCAGTACCATGCTGTTTTGGTGAATATAGCCTTGCAGTATAGTGTGAAGTCAGGTTATGTGATGCCTCCAGATTTCTTCTTTTTGCTTAGTCTTGCTTTGGCTATGCAGGCTCTTTTTTTGGGGGGTGGGGGTGGGGGTTCCATGTGAATTTTAGGATGTTTCTTTCTAGCTTTGTAAAGAATGATGATGATGGGAATTGCACTAAATTTATAGATTGTTTTTGGCAGTATATGGTCATTTTCACAATATTGATTCTACCCATCCACGAGCATGGGATGTGTTTCTATTTGTTTATGTCATCCATGATTTATTTCAGCGGTGTTTTATAGTTTTCCTTGTAGAGATCTTTCATGTATTTGGTTAGGTATATTCTTAAGTATTTTATTGTATTTTTTTCAGCTATTGTGAAAGGGGTTAAGTTTTTGATTTAACTGTCAACTTACTCATTGTTGGTATATAACAGAGCTACTGAATTGTGTGCGTTAATTTTGTATCCTAAAACTTTGCTGAATTTATTTCCCAGTTGTCGGAGCTTTTTGGATGAGTCTTTAGGGTTTTCTAGGTATATGATCATATTATGAGCAAAGAGCAAAAGTTTGACTTCCTCTTTACCAATTTGGATGCCCTTGATTTCTTTCTCTCATCTGATTGCTCTGGCTAGGTCTTCCAGCACTGTGTTGAATAGAAGCATCTTTGTCTTGTTCCAGTTGTCAGGGGGAATGCTTTCAACTTTTCCCCATTCAGTATAATGTTGGCTCTGGGTTTGTCATCGATGGTTTTTATTACCTTAAGGTATGTCCCTTTTATGCTGATTTTGTTGAAGGTTTTAATCATAAAGCAATGCTAGATTTTCACAAATGTTTTTTCTTCATCTTTTGAGATTATTATGTGTATTTTGTTTTAAATTCTGTTTATGTGGTGTATCACACTTATTGACTTGTGGATATTAATCTCTGAATCCCTGGTTTGAAACCCATTTGATCATGGTTGATTATTGTTTTGATATGCTGTTGGATTCAGTTTGCTAGTATTTTGTCAAGGATCTGTGCATTTATTTTCATCAAGGATATTGGTTGTAGTTTTCTTTCTTTTCTTTTCTTTTCTTTTTTTTGTTTGTTTGTCATGTCATTCCCTGGTTTTGGTACTGGCTTTATAGAATGATGGTGATACTGGCTTTATAGAATGATGGAGGGAGGATTCCCTCTTTTTCTATCCTGTGCAATGAATAGGATTGGTACCAATTCTTTGAATGTCTGATAGAACTTGGCTGTGAATTGGTCCGATTTAGAACTTTTTTTGTTGGCAGTTTTATAATTACCATTTCAATCTTGCCGCTTGTTGTTCGTCTGTTAAGAGTTTCTATATCTTCCTGGTTTAATCTAGGAGGGCTATACATTTCCAGGAATTTACCTATCTTCTCTAGGTTTTCCAGTTTATTCATAGTAGCCTTGAATACTCTTTTGTATTTTTGTGTTATCAGTAGCAATATCTCCCAATTCATTTCTAATTGAGTTTATTTTGATCTTTCTCTTATTGGCTAATCTCACTAATGGTCTATCAATTTTATTTATCTTTTTAAAGAGCCAGCTTTTTGTTGGATTTATCTTTTGTGTTGCTTTTTGTTTCAATTTCATTTAGTTCCTCTGATCTTAGTTATGTCTTTTCTTCGGCTGAGTTTGGGTTTGGATTGTTCTTGTTTGTCCAGTTCCATGATGTTTGAGCTTAGATTGTTTATTTGTGCTCTTTCAGCCTTTTCGAGGTAGGCATTTAGTGCTGTGAACTTTCCTCTTAACACCACTTTTGCTGTATCCCAGAGGTTTTCATAGGTTTTGTTACTGTTATCATTCTGTTCAAATAATTTTTTAATTTCCATCTTTATTTTATTGTTGACCCAATGATCATTCAGGAGCAGGTTATTTAATTTTCATGTATTTGCATGGTTTTGAGGATTCCTTTTGGAGTTGATTTCCAATTTTATTCCACTGTGGTCTGAGAGAGTACTTGATATTATTTCAATTTTTTTTTTAATTTACTGAGACTTGTTTTGTATTATATGCTCTATCTTGGAGAATGCTCCATGTGTAGGTGAATAGAATGTATATTCTGCATTTGTTGGGTAGAATGTTCTGTAAATATCTGTTGAGTCCATTTGTTGTACAACGTTTAAGTATGTTGTTTCTTTGTTGACTGTCTGTCTTGATGCCCTGTCTAGTGCTGTCAGGGGAGTATTAAAGTCCCCCACTGTCATTGTCGTGAAGTCTGTCTCATTTCTTAGGTATAGTAGTAATTGTTTTATAAATTTGAAAGCTCCAGTGTTAGGTGAGTATATATTTAGGATTATTATATTTTCCTGTTGGTGTGTCCTTTTATCATTGTATAGTGTCCATCTTCATCTTTTGTAACTGCTGTTGCTTCAAAGTTTGTTTTGTCTGTTATAAAAACAGCTGTTCCTGTGTGTTTTTGGTGCCCATGTGCATAGACTATATTTTTCCACCCATTTATCTTAAGTTTATGTGAGTCCTTATGTGTCAGGTGAGTCTCCTGAAGACAGCAGATACGTGGTTGTTGATTTCTTATCCATTCTGCCATTCTGTAACTTTTAACTAGAGCATTTAGGTCATTTACATTCAACATTAGTATTGCGATGTCAGGTATTATTCAATTCATTATGCTATTTGTTGCCTGAATGCCTTTTTTCATTGTGTTTTTGTTACCGTTATACAGCTCCTATGATACTTATGCTTTAAGGAAGTTATATTTTGGTCATTTCAAGGATTTGGTTCAAGATTTGGAGCACCTTTTAGCAGTTTTTCTAGTGCTCACTTGGTAGTGGCAAATTCTCTCAGCATTTGTGTGTCTGGAAAAGGCTATCTTTTCTTCATTTATGAAGCTTAGTTTCCTTGGATACAAAATTCTTGGCTGATAACTGTTTTGCTTAAGGAGGCTAAAAACAGTACTCCAATCCCTTCTAGTTTGTAGGGTTTCTGCTGAGAAATTTGCTGTTACTGATAGGTTTTCCTTGTTAGCTTACCTGATGCCTTTGCCTCACAGTTCTTAAGATTCTTTCCTCAGTCTTGACTTTGGATAACCTGATGACTATGTACCTAGATAATGATCTTTTCCAGTGAATTTTGCAGGTGTTCTTCGCGCTTCTTATATTTGGGTGTCTAGATCTCTAGAAAGGCCTGGGAAGTTTTCCTCTATTATTCTCTCAAACATATTTTTCCAGACTTTGAGATTTGTATGCTTTCTTGGGAATACCAATTATTCTAGGTTCGTAAGCTTAACATAGTCCCAAACTTCTTGGAGGCTTTGCTCATTTTTTAAAATTCTTTTTTCTTGGTCTTTGATGGATTGGTTTAATTCAAAAGCATTCTCTTCATGCACTGAAGTTCTTTCTTCTGCTTATTCGATTCTGTTGCTGAGAAATGCATTTTGCATTTCTTCACATGTGTCCTTGATTTCTAGAATTTGTGATTGTTTTCTGTTTATGCCATCTATTTCACTGAATAATTTTTCTTTTATATCCTGTATCATGTTTTTGATTCTTTTAAGTTGGAGTTCACCTTTCTCTGGTGCCTCCTTGATTAGCTTAATAATCGACCTTCTGAATTCTTTTTCTTGCAATTCAGAGATTTTATCTTGGTTTGGATCCATTCCTGGTGAGATGGTGTAATCTTTTGGGAGAGTTAAAAAAAACCTTGTTTTGTCATACTGCCAGAATTGTTTTTCTGGTATCTTCTCCTTTTGGTAGTCCATGTCAGAGGGAAGATCTGGGATTCAAGGGCTGCCATTCAGGTTCTTTTGTCCCATGGGGTGGTGTGATGTTCTCCCATTTCCCCTAAGAATGGGGCTTCCTGAGAGCCTAACTACAGTGATTGTTTTTGCTCTTCTGGGTCTGTCCACCTAGAAGAGCTACCAGGCTCCGGGCCTACTGGAGAGTGTCTGCAAAAAGTCCCATGGTGTGATCTGTCTTCAGGTCTTTCAGTCATGGATATGTGCACCTCAGGGAATTGAAGGGGACTCTGTGAGGGTCCTTGGTTGTCTTTTTGTTTAGTGTCCTTGTTTTGTGTTGGTTGGCCTCCAACCAGGAGGTGGCACTTTCAAGAGTGCATGAACTGTGTTACCTTACTGAGGAAGTAAACTTACCCTAGGGTCACACGGTTAAGTATTCAGTTTTCTCAGAGCCATAGAGCTCCCAAAAGATTGTGTCCTTTCTCTTTGGCAATCAGGGCAGGTAGAGAAAGACCACTAAGTGGGGACAGGGATTAGGATTAGGTGTGTCTAAGGTTAAACTCTCCTTAGGCAAGGCTTGCTGGGGCTGCTGTGCGGGGTGGGGGTGTGGTTCTCAGGCCAATGGATTTATGTTTCCAGGGAGATTATGGCTCCCTTGGCTGACTCATACAGGTCACCAAGGAAATGGGGGAAAGTGGGCAATCACAGACCTCACCCTGCTTCCATGCAGCCCTCTGTCCTGAAGGCCAGTCCCACCCCCACCATGTTCCCCCAGCAGCACTGAGTCTATTTCCAGTCAGCCAGTGACAAGAGCTAAGAACTTGTCCCCACACCACCAGCCTCCCTGATGAGAAAGCAAGCAGACTCAGTTTTCTGGCATCTCAGGGAGCATGCAGTGGTGATTCACTTTCTTCAAAGGGTCTCTGGATTCTCTCAGCTTGCCTGGTATGTTGCTGTGGTAGTTCTTGAAGCAAAAGTTCATGATATGTGTCTCCACACACTTCTCTGTCTGTCTGAGTGGGAGCTACAAGCTAGTCCTGCTTCCTGTCCACCATCTTAATGTCCCCCATATAAATTGTAAAATAGTTTTTGCTGATTCTGTGAAAAATGTTCTTGGAAGTATGATATTATAGGAATAACACTGAATCTATAAAATACTTTGGGTAGTATGACCATTTTAACAATATTGATTCTTCCTATCCATGGGCATGGAATGTATTTCCATGTTTTGGTGTTATCTCTAATTTCTTTCAGCAATATTTTGTAATTCTCATTGTAAAGATCTATCACCTTCTTATCTAGCTGTATTTCCAAGTATTTTATTATTTCTGTGGCTATTCTGAATCGGATTGGATTTTAATGTGGCTCTCAGCTTGGACATTATCGATATATAGAAATGCTACTGATTTTTTTACATTGATTTTATATCCTGAAACCTTGCTAAAGTTATTAATCAGATGTAGGAGGCTTTGGGCAGAGACTATAAGGTTTTCCTGGTATAGAATCATATCATCTGCAAAGAGAGATAGTTTGGCTTCCTATTTGGATGCTGTTTATTTTTTTCTCTTGCCTGACGTGCTGCTGGATTTGGTTTGCTAGTATTTTGTTGAAGTATTTTTGTATCTATATTCAGCAAGAATATTGGCCTGAAGTCTTCTTTATGTTATGTCTCTGCCAGATTTCAGTATCAAAATGAAGCTGGCCTCATAAAATGATTTAGGGAAGAGTCTCTCCTCAATTTCTGGGAAAAGTTTCAATGGGATTGGTACAAGCTCTTCATACTGGTAGAATTCTGTTTGGTAGAATACAGCTGTGAATCCATCTGTTCCAAGGCTTTCTTTTTTTTTTTTTTTCTTTTTTTAATTTATGAAGGGGTGGCCTGCCCCTCCACACCTGTGGGTGTTTCTCGTCAGGTGGAACGAGAGACTTGAGAAAAGAAAGAGTCACAGAGACAAAGTATAGAAAAAGAAAAGCGGGCCCAGGGGACCAGCGCTCAGCATATGGAGGACCCGCGCTGGCACCAGTCTCTGAGTTCCCTCAGTATTTATTGATCATTATCGGGTGTTTCTCAGAGAGGGGGCTGTGGCAGGACAATAGGGTAATAGTGGAGAGAGGTTCAGCAGGAAAACATGTGAACAAATGTCTCTGCATCATAAACAAGGTAAAGAAAAAAGTGCTGTGCTTTTTATGTGCATATACATAAACATCTCAATGCCTTAAAGAGCAGTATTGCCCCCAGCATGTCTCACCTCCAGCCCTAAGGTGGTTTTCTCCTATCTCAGCAGATGGAATATACATTCGGGTTTTACCTGGAGATATTCCATTGCCCAGGGACGAGCAGGAGACAGATGCCTTCCTCTTATCTCAACTGCAAAGAGGCCTTCCTCTTTTACTAATCCTCTTCAGCACAGACCCTTTACCGGTGTCGGGCTGGGGGACGGTCAGGTCTTTCCCTTCCCAGGAGGCCATATTTTAGACTTTCACATGGGGAGAAAGCTTGGACAATACCTGGCTTTCCAGGACCGAGGTCCCTGCGGCCTTCCACCGTGTTTTGTGTCTCTGAGTACTTGAGAGTAGGGAGTGGTGATGACTTTTAATAAGCATGCTGCCTTCAAGCATTTGTTTAACAAAGCACATCCTGCATAGCCCTAAATCCATTTAACCTTGAGTTGACACAGCACATGTCTCTGCGAGCACAGGGTTGGGGGTAAGGTTACGGATTAACAGCATCTCAAGGCAAAATAATTTTTCTTAGTACAGAACAAAATGGAGTCTCTTATGTCTACTTCCTTCTACATAGAACGGTAACAGTCTGATCTCTCTTTATTTTCCCCACAGTTTATTTATTTATTTATTTATTTTGATGGAGTCTTGCTCTGTCACCCAGGCTAGAGTGCAGTGGTACGATCTAGGCTCACTGCAACCCCAACCCCCCGGTTCAAGCAATACTCCTGCCTCAGCCTCCCGAGTAGCTGGGATTACAGGTACCAGCCACTGTGCCCAGTGAATTTTTGTATTTTTAGTAGAGAGGGGGTTTCTCCATATTGGCCAGGCTGGTCTCAAACTCCTGATCTCGTAATCTGCCCACCTTGGCCTCCCACAGTGCTGGGGTTACAGGTGTGAGCCACCACGTCCAGACGTTTTGTTTTTATTACTGATTCAATTTCAGAACTTGTTATTGGTCTTCTCAGGGTTTCAATTTATTCCTGGGTTATGGAGCTTGTATGTTTCCAGGAATTTATCCATTTCCTGTAGGTTTTCTAGTTTGTGTGCATACAGGTGTTCATACTAGTCTCTGATTTTTTTTTTTTCTTGTGGAATCAGTGGTAATGCCCCCTTTGTCATTTCTGATCGTGTTTATTTGGATCATTTCTCTTTTCTTCTTTATTAGTATAGCTACTGGTCTATCAATCTTAGTTATTCTTTGTAAGAACCAACTTTTGGTTTTATTGATCTTCTGTACTTTTTTTAGTCTTCTCAATTTCAATCAGTTTTCACTCTGATTTTTTGATACTGAAATCTCAATTTCAATGTGATTTTGATTATTTTATGCTGCTAGCTTTGGGGTTGGTTTGCTTTTGTTTTTCTAGTTCCTCTAGATGTGATGTTGGGTTGATAATTTGAGATTTTTCTAACTTTTGGATGTGGAAATTTAGTACTATGAACTTTTCTCTTAGACTGCTTTAGCTGTGTCTCAAAGATTCTGTTGTATTTTTTTTTTTATTTTCTCATTAGTGTCAAAGAATTTCTTGATTTCTGCATTAGTTGCATTCTTTACCCAATATTCATTCAGAAGCAGATTGTTTAATTTCCATGTAAATTGTGGTTTTTAGAGATCTTCTTGGTATTGAGTTCTATTTTTATTGTGCTGTGGTTTGAGAGTGTAGTTGGTATGATTTTGGGGTTTTTTAATTGAATTTGTTGATCTAATTAAACTAAAGAGCTTCTGTATAGCAAAAGAAACTATCATCAGTGTAAACAGGCAACCTACAGAATAGGAGAAAATTTTTGCAATCTAGTCACCTGACAAAGGGCTAATATCCAGAATCTACAAGGAACTTAGTCAAATTTACAAGAAAAATACAAACAACCCCATCAAAATGGGCGAAGGATGTGAACAGTCACTTTTCAAAAGAAGACATTTATGCAGCCAACAAACATGAAAAAAAAGCTCATCATCACTAGTTATTAGAGAAATGCATATCAAAACCACAATGAGATACCATCTCACACCATTTAGAATGGCGATCACTAAAAAGTCAGGAAACAACAGATGGTGGACAGGATGTGGAGAAATAGGAATGCTTTTTCTTTGTTGGTGGGAGTGTAAATTAGTTCAAAGATTGTGGAAGACAGTGTGGCAATTCCTCAAGGATCTAGAACTAGAAATACTATTAGACCCAGCACTCTCATTACTGGGTATATGCCCAAAGGATTATAAATCATTCTACTATACAGACACATGCACACATATGTTTATTGAAGCACTGTTCACAATAGCAAAGTTTTGTAACCAATCAAAATACCCATCAATGTTAGACTGGATAAAGAAAATGTGGCACATATACACCATGGAATACTATGCAGCCATAAAAAAGGATGAGTTTGAGGCCAAGGTGGGTGGATCACAAGGTCAGGAGATCGAGACCATCCTGGCTAACATGGTTAAACCCCATCTCTACTAAAAATACAAAAAAAAAAATTAGCTGGGCTTGGTGGCAGTTGCCTGTAGTCCCAGCTACTCAGGAGGCTGGGGCAGGAGAATGGCATGAACCCGGGAGGTGGAGCTTGCAGTGAGTCGAGATTGCACCACTGCACTCCAGCCTGGGGACAGAGCGAGACTCCATTTCAAAAAAAAAAAATAAAATAAATAAATAAAGATACAAAAAATTAGCCAGGCGTGGTGGTGGGCACCTGTAGTCCCAGCTACTCAGGAGGCTGAGGCAGGAGAATGCCATGAACCTGGGAGGCGAAGCTTGTAGTGAGCTGAGATCGCGCCACTGCACTCCAGCCTGGGTGACAGAGAGAGACTCCTTCTCAGAAAAAAAAAAAAAAAATAAGAGATCATGTCCTTTGCAGGGACATAGATGAAGCTGGAAACCATCATTCTCAGCAAACTAACACAGGAACAGAAAACCAAACACCACTTGTTCTCAAGCATAAGTGGGAGTTGGACAACGAATGAGACCATATGGGCACAGGGAAGGGAACATCACACACTGGGGCCTGTCAGGGGTGGGGGCCAAGGGGAGGGATAGCATTAGGAGAAATACCTAATGTAGATGATGGGTTAATGTGTGCAGCAAACCACCATGTCACATGTATACCTATGTAACAAACCTGTACATTAAGCACATGTATCCCAGAACTTAAAGTATAATAAATAAAAAAAAAATCTCCTTTGCAAAATTAGAAAAACAAAAAAATTAAAAAAAATTGCAGGTTTCTTCCCATTTGCAAAGGAAAATGTAATTATACTTCCATTTAGCTTCATTCTATGTTTATTGGGAGCCACTCTTTTACAATGTATATTTTAACATATTACTCACTAAAAGTTTGATTAATTGAAATTAGCATGTATTCTAAAGCTTTTCTGTATCTACATTTTTTCTCCTTTTCTGAACTCCAAAGGTCAGAATGATTTTTATTTATTTTCTATCCTTGCCATCAGGTAAGAACTATAGAGTAAGGGGTAGGAGTAACTAAGGACTACTAACTAATGAAATTGTGACTCACCTTTCAAAGTTGGTTTAGGGTATATTATTTGCAGTGTCAAACTTTTCATAGTAATACTATATATAAAGTTAGAAAAAAACACAATATTAAAACTATATAGTTCTTGTCTTTTCACTTTGGTGTCAAAGAATGAATTCCTTTTCCATAGAGGTTCAGATAACTTTTTCAAAATCTAATCTACCTGAGGCTATTTTTTGTTTTCCTCCAGAAAATAAGTAAAATCTCTGCATTCTCTTTTCTTATTTTTTTATTCTTGTTTTTCCAAGACTATTTTAATGTTTTTATATTTAATGGCGACTTACTAATTTTGTGGCATTCTTCTTCGGTCAACTCAAATATTATCCATAACTTATCATTCTAGCAACTAAGGATTTATTTTTTTCTATAATTGATTTTTAAGTCTTGTTATATGATCCCAAATAGAAAACATTCTAACTGTAATAATGTAGTATGAAGAACATAGGAAAAGATAGAGATAAATACCTTGGTTCGATACCATTAGAACTATATAAACTTCATCCTGAAATTCATTCTTCTGTGTTAATATATCACCTTTCAAACTATAAATATGTATCTTTTTAATGCTCAGTATTTTGATTATCTGACCTGCCATCATTAATGCAAATATTTACACTTTTAAACACATAGTGGAGATAAATATTTTAACACATAAATAATATTCTTATTTTTAATATGTAGCTGAAATTATCAGAATTGGAGAAATAAATTATTCTGCAAATAGAGAATCCATGAAAAACTCAGAATTGAGTAACAAGATATTAACATGTTTTGCTCAGGTTCTTATATTTTTAAACATGGATGATCATTCCATTTTTATATATATCTAAAGACTTAGTTTTCATTAAACAGGCTTCAATGAATTCCAACTTAATCAAACCTAACACATTGTTTGAAACTTTAAAGATAAAGATACTAAGAAAAGTTATTGTGTATATATGCTGACTATTTCATTACACTCTCATTTAGTCTTCACAAAGTTTCTGTTGGGGGTGTTTGTATTATTGTGTAAGTTTACTCTGGTGTTGTGACAAAGCACCACAAAATGTATGGCTTATGCAACATAATTTTTTTGTCTCACTGTTCTGGAGTCTAGAAATCTGAAATCAAGGTTGTCAGCAGGGTTAGCTCCTTCCAACCACCAGGGTAAATAATGTGTCCCATATCTGTACAGTGGCTTCTGGTGGTTTTCTGTAATAATAAAGAGATCTCAGGCCATCAGTGTTTGCTAATTGGCTTTACCCAAAAGTAAAGTAAGGCTTCTAGTGTTTTAATGACAGAAGATAGTTTTACAACATGGGGCAAGGTGCCCACTGAAGTTAGGTTCATACCTTCCCAGAAACTGGGAGATGGGACACTATTCTCCTTGGTGATTACATTTCAAAGGGAAAGAGGTTCCTTGAGAATGACAGTGGTAAAGCTGGCAAATGGCTTTAAAAAAAGATTTACATCTCACAGGGACAGAGAAAGGATTACAATTACAGGAGACCCTTGAACAATGTGGGGTTTAAGGGTAGGGACCCCTGTGCAGTGTGAGTATATCTTTTCACTCTCCCAAAACTACTAATAGCCTACTGTAGAGTGGAAGCCTTACCAATAACATAAACAGTCCATAAACACATATTTTTTATGTTATGTATAGTATATTCTTTATCCTTACAATAAGCTAGAGAAATAATGTTACAAGAAAATCATATTGAAGACAAAATATATTTACTATTCATTAAGTGGAAGTGGATCATCATAAGGTTCTTCATTCTCATGGTCTTCATGTTAAGTAGGCTGAAGAGGTGGAGGAAGATGAGGGCTTGGTCTTACTGTCTCAGGGGTGGCAGAAGTGAATGAAAATTCACATATAAGTGGACCCAGTTCAAACTCGTGTTGTTTAAGGGTCAACTGCATATGTTTTCCAAGTAAATGCTCTAAGAAAAGGGAAGTCATGGCCTTAATGGCAAGAAGAAGCCTACCTAAGATGTAATCAACATGTGGGAAACTATAAGTTTGTCTTGGTCATTTGTTTATGATTATTAGTAGTGAAACCCCCAACACAAAGGTAAGCTCCTTAAAAGAAACAATTTTTTCTGTCTTGTATATGATTTTATTTGGAAGACATAGCACAGTATCTGGCTCAAAAAATTACTATTAGAAATATCATATATATATATATATATTTTTTTTTTTTTTTTTTTTTTTTTGAGACAGAGTCTCGCTTTGTCACCCCGGCTGGAGTGCAGTGACGTGATCTTGGCTCACTGCAACCTCTGCCTACTGGGTTCAGGCAATTCTCCTGCCTCAGTCTCCCAGGTAGATGGGACTACAGGTACACACCACCTCACCTGGCTAAGTTTTGTATTTTTAGTAGAGATAGTGTTTCACCATGGTCAGGCTCGCCTTGAACTCTTGACCTCATGTGATCCACCCATCTTGGGCTCCCAAAGTGCTGGGATTACAGGTGTGAGCCACTGTGCCAGGAGAGAAACATATATTTAAGAGCATTTCTGGAATAAGCATCTTGTTGAAATTTATAAAATAATCGAACGATATCTTCCCTAGATATTTAGGGAAGAGAGCAGTCATTGCTCTTGTTTAGCTTGTATTTCTCCTATTTCAGTGCTATTCAAGTTCTACTGTACCTCCATCAAGTCTCTTTTGAAGTGTTGTTTTCTGGCAACCTCTGCCTATGTATTTAAATTAAAAGGTTTAAATGCACTTTGTAAGTTTATTCTATTGGTTATGTTCCACACAATATCCTATGCTAAGTCATTGCCTGGGAATGTTTTCTTATTTGATTTACTCTCTTTACTGGATACAAATAGTATTGATAAACTAAGCATCTTGTACACTTTATGATCAATGTTTTACCCACTTTGCATTCTTCTTGGTATTCACTGAAGAAAAGAGCTGTGTTCCATTTATTTTAGGTCTCAGTTGAAAATGGATTTTTCTATTTAAAAGTAAATATACAACCAAATCTTCCTGAATTGGCATCTAGATGTGCTTCCAGTAGTGTTTTCTCTATGCTTACTTTATATCCATGTCACATGGGTTGCATGTACATCTGCACTAATTAAATGTATAATTATTTTTAATCAAGTTCTTGATGTACAGTATGTAAGAGAAATTAGGATATTTATCCTGTGAAATAACTGTGGTGTCATATATTTTGTTTGCAAAATACTGTGGTATTTAAAGAAAATCTTCAATATCAATTAAATCTCTTGTTTGTAGTGGTTTTGTCACTAGTTGTGCCATCAGGTTATCCAACCTGATATTTTTCCCTCTTCCATCCATTCCCTTCCCCACCCAGAAACAGATGACACTCTAAGTAATGAGTACCTGATGTGGAGGATCTGAAATTTGCAAGCCAGGAAATCAGAAATTATTTTTTCTAGTTGATTGTAGTGATTGTTGACTTTTCTTTTAAACTTGTGCTTTGCATCCTATGGATCTCAATATTTGGTTAACTTTTGGAACTAAGTCTTATTGCTACTTTCTTTGTTATGCTATCAGACATACGGTTATCATGTGTAATGTCAGGGGAGATGTGTGTCATGAGAGGGAAAGCAATGATTCCACTCTGGTAAAACAGCAGTTATGGGAAAAGTACAAAAAGGGAAATAGAAAATAGCTACTTACAATTTCAATCTCTGCTGTTCAACCAAGCAGACCGAAGGTAACTGCTGGCTGTGTAAGCAGCTTCTAGCTATCTCACTTTGAGCCACCAAGAGAGAATCATCCTTTAAAAAAAAAAAGGAAATGAGAGAAATTGCTTTGAGGGCTTAGGAAGGAGAAACAATAATACAAGTATCAGTTGCTATATATAAAAAAGAAATATGGTACAATAAAACGTACTTTTAAAGATACTATAGCTGGTCATAATGTTTTTTGAAACTGACTTTAGATTTGTTAAGTGAAAACACAGTAATAAAATAAATGTAAGTCAAAAATTTCATAAATATCTAATACCATTTCTATATCATTATTCTATAGGACTTAAATGAGATATCAAATAAAATAATAAAAAATAGAATGAATACATCTCTATCTCTCCTTCCCTGAGTTTTGACAAATCCTTTGCTATATAGTTTTCATTCCTAATATTATTCATTACCTTTTCTATGTTGGCTTTTCTAAAAAAGGCAAAATTTCAATAGACCTTGATAGGTTTTCACTTTCATTTAAGAGGGATAAATGCTTCAGCATGCACACTGATGGAAATTAATTTCATCTAAATGCTCTTAGGCTAGCTATCTGGAAATGTAAATACTCCTACTGTAAATTTTGTTGTGAAAGGTTTTTCATTACTAGCAAGAGCTCTGACCAGATTGTGAGAAAGCAGCAAAGCACTAATGAAAAAAAAAAAAAGGTAATCTGCTTTCTTTATTACATTCTCCATGAGTATCAGCTGCATCATTGCATTAACAGGGAAATCTATCCACTTTCCATAAAGGTTTCCTCTGTAGCTTTAAACTAACGTCAAGTAATGGAAAGATGATCACATTTGATGAATAAGATTAAGCCCCAGAATGATGTCTGTGAATGATGATGAGTATTGTGCATCCAGCAAGGAATTCACAACTGCAAAATTAAACTTGAGACATCTTTTCAGTTCCTTGTCAAGAAACAGACAAAACAAAACAAAAGCTACAATTTTTTAATATGTGAGATTTCATGACTGACTCTGCATAATCTTATGAAACTTCAAGTCTATATCATAATATTTAGCAATTTATTTTCATTTTTATGTCTACTTCACTGCCACGCAAATTACATGACATTACGCACAATTCTCTGTGCAATTTGACAGATTTTGGCAATTGTTTACACTCATGTAGCCACCACCTCTGTCAATTAATAGACCATGTCCATAAGTCAAAAAAGTTCCATTGTGTCACAATGTAGTCAATCAAATTCTCTGCCAGCCCCAACGACCACTGACCAGTTTTCTGCCACTGTTGCTTTGTTTTCACTTTTTTTTTGTAACATTTTATATAAATGGAAACATACCATATGAGTTCTTTTGCTTCTGGTTTGTTACACCTAGCACTATGTTTTGAAAATTCAACAAAATATTTCACTGAATAATGCACTTACTTTGTTGATGATTCATTCCATCCTGTCAATACATCATGATATGTTTACTCATTCACCTGTTGATGGACATTTGTACTCTCTCCACTTTGCAGTTAATATGAATAAAACTGTTATGAATATTTCTGTATGTATTCTTGAGTAGACATAGGTTTTTATTTTTATTGGGTAAATATCTGGGAATGGAATCAGAGGGTTGCACAGCAAAAGTAATTTAACTTTACAAGATATTGTAAAACTATTTTCCAAAGAGAAAATGAGCAATGAATGATAATTTTTTTTCCATCACACCCACACCAATAATACTTAGAATTCTTAGACATTTAAAAAATCATATTCATGAGTGTGTAGTCAGTGTTTACTGGTAGCTCATTAAATTTTTTTATGATAAATGATGCTGAGCATCTTTTCATGTGGTTATTTGACATTTTAAATATTTTCCTTCATGTCGTGTCTGTCCTTACCTTTAAAAAATTTTAAAAATTGTCATCTTTTTATTTGTAAGAATTCTTTACATATTCTGGATATGAGATCTCTCACACATATTTATCCTAAATATATGTTATTGGGCTGTGGTTTGCCTCTTTATTGTATTTTTTAAAAAATATAACAATTTTAATCATTTAAATAATCTCAAACTTACAATAAAATTGCAAGTAGAATTTTAAAAGCTTTCTGCTTCAAAATCTATTCTGAACAATTTGCTAACCTGATGGACTGCCACACCTAAACGTGTTACCTTACGTTTTTTTCCAAAACGACATCTTCTTACATAAACACAATAGGGTCATAGAAAAAAAGACATCAGGAGTTACACTCTACTCATGTATATATAAGTAATACATATTACATTTTGTGCATATAATTATGTAATTCCTTTCCAGTTTTTCCAGTAGTTCCAAAATGTTATTTCTAGTAAAATATTCAGGAAATAATCCTCATTGGATTCAGGTGTCATACCTCCTTAATCTACTTCCATTGGGACATGTTTCTCTGACTTTCCTTGACTTTCATGACTTTGACATTTTTTGAAGATTACAGGCCAATTATTATAGAATGGCATTCTTTTGGTTTATTTCTGTTTGTTTGTTAATGTTTCTTCATTATCAGATTCAGATTAGTTATAAATCTTTGAGTGGGATATCATATCAGAGAAGTAATACTGTGGTCTTCTCATTGCGTCCTATAAGGTGGCCCATGAGTTTAATTTGCACCAATACAGGTGGCATTTACCATGATTACTTAAGGTACTGTCTGTCAGGATTTTCCACTGCATAGCTACTCTTTCACTCTCTGTAAATAATGTATTTTGGGAAAGAAGTATTTGAAAATATGTATACATCTTATCCCTCATTAATCTTCCAATTTATTGATTTATTTACTTATATCAGCTATGGACTAATTATATTTCACTTTATTTAATGAACGTAAAAACATTAGTCACAGTATCTATTTTGAAGTGGGTTATCTCAGATTTGTCCTGTGGAGCCTTGCCTTTCAAGCTTGTTTCTGTGTGATTCTGATGTGCACCAATCGCCTTTTAATACAGTCTTTCTCTTTGAAAAAAAAATATGTTCTAACCTTATCTTCTGTTTCCCCACCTCAACCTCTGAATCAGCTAATTGTGCAAGGGGCTCTGGTTCCTTATAACATGGAATAATACTTAGAAATCAACCTAAATTCTGCCCACCAAGATGGTCTGGGAGCACAGACACTCTGCTAGCAATGGGCACCTGCTCAGTGTAAGTTTTCTATTTCTGTGCAAGATATTACTTCAGAACGTTGACTTAAACAAACCCAAATATATTATCTCACCGTTTCCATGGGTCATATGTCTGGGTATGTGTTAGCTGGATCTTCTGCTCAGAAATTCACCAGACTGAAATAAAGGTGTCAGCTGTGGTTTCAATCCTCATCTGAGGCTCAAGATCCTCTCCTAGTTCACTGATTTTTGGTAGATTTCATTTCCTTGTAGATATAAAATGTAGATTTCTGGTTTTCCTGGCTATCTTTCTTTCAGCCAGAGACTAATCTCAGGTTCTAGAGACTGCTTACAGCCCCTTACAGTGTGGACCCGAGAGGGAGTTCACAGTGTGGTATTTTGCCTTTTTTTTCAGGCCACCAAGAGCTCCTCTCTCTCACTCTTCACTTTCCTTTGAGGCTTCTCTTGTTAGTCCAGACCCACTCAGGATAACCTGCTTTTGATTAACTGAAGCTCAAGACTTATAGAAAAAAAAAAAGTTGAGATTTTATAATTTCATTTATATTGTGTACAGAACAGAGAAGACTAAACCCTTGGTGGGCAATTCAGTCTCATGAAATGTGGTTTTCTTGAGACCCTGTGGATCTGTAACTTGGTGAGTGCCTTGTCCTACAAGCCAGAGTGGTATTCTGAAAGTGCAATTCTTTCACAGAACTGCATGATATTGGACAGTTAGAATATCTCTGACATGCTAATTTAGGGTAATTCAATTTTTATACAGAAAGGTGCCCCCAAATAATAACTCCTGTGGTTTCATACATCTAGGCTGGCTGTCTGAGTTACACAGTTCTCCACATTTGTCAAATCTCAGTGAATGTATACTTAATATTCAAACTTTTTTAAATATTTTGACTTTACGGCAAGAGAAAAAAACATGAACAAATATTGCACTCTAATTATTGCTATGCTTGCTAATGTATTTAGAGTGAAGTGTACTGATATCTGCAAATTTCTCCAAGATACATAGAAACTTAAGATGGATTATTGGATTAAAAAAGGAATAGATAGATGGATACACATGTTTATCTATCGAATATAATAAAGTGTTAATAGTAGAATCAAAGTAGTGAATATAAGAGTGTTCATGGTAAAATTCATTCAACTGTACTCATACGTTAGAATAGCACTCACCAATTTTAAAAATTGCAGTTTTAAATATGACAATGTATGAATATGCCATATTTCCCTTTTAAATATTTTTTTATTATACTTTAAGTTCTAGGGTACATGTGCACAACGTGCAGGTTTGTTACATATGTATACATGTGCCATGTTGGTGTGCTGCACCCATTAACTCATCATTTACATTTGGTATATCTCCTAATGCTATCCCTCCCCTTCCCCCCACCCCACAACAGGCCCCAGTGTGATGTTCCCCTTCCTGTGTCCAAGTGTTCTCATTGTTCAATTCCCACCTATGAGTGAGAACATGTGGTGTTTGGTTTTGTGTCCTTGAGATAATTTGCTGAGAATGATGGTTTCCAGCTTCATCCATGTCCCTACAAAGGACATGAACTCATCCTTTTTTATGGCTGCATAGTATTCCATGGTGTATATGTGCCACATTTTCTTAATCCAGTCTATCATTGTTGGACATTTGGGTTGGTTCCAAGTCTTTGCTAATGTGAATAGTGCCGCAATAAACATACGCGTGCACGTGTCTTTATAGCAGCATGATTTATAATCCTTTGGGTATATACCCAGTAATGGGGTGGCTGGGTCAAATGGTATTTCTAGTTCTAAATCCCTGAGGAATCACCACACTGTCTTCCACAATAGTTGAACTAGTTTACAGTCCCACCAACAGTGTAAAAGTGTTCTTATTTCTCCACATCCTCTCCAGCACCTGTTGTTTCCTGACTTTTTAATGATCGCCATTCTAACTGGTGTGAGATGGTATCTCATTGTGGTTTTGATTTGCATTTCTCTGATGGCATTTTGTGATGATGAGCATTTTTTCATGTATCTGTTGGCTGCATAAATGTCTTCTTTTGAGAAGTGTCTGTTCATATCCTTCGCCCACTTGTTGATGTGGTTGTTTTTTTCTTGTAAATTTTTTTGAGATCTTTGTAGATTCTGGATATTAGCCCTTTGTCAGATGAGTAGATTGCAAACATTTTCTCCCATTCTCTAGGTTGCCTATTCACTCTGATGGTAGTTTCTTTTGCTGTGCAGAAGCTCTTTAGTTTAATTAGACCCCCTTTGTCAATTTTGGCTTTCATCGCAATTGCTTTTCATGTTTTGGTCATGAAGTCTTTGCTTGTGCCTATGTCCTGAATGGTATTGCCTAGGTTTTTTTCTAGGAGTTTTTGGTTTTAGGTCTTACGTTTAAGTCTTTAATCCATCTGGAGTTAATTTTTGTATAAGGTGTAACGAAGGGGTCCAGTTTCAGTTTTCTGCATATAGCTAGCCAGTTTTCCCAACACCATTTATTAAATAGGGAATCCTTTCCGGAATGCTTGTTTTTGTCAGGTTTGTCAAAGGTCAGATGGTTGTAGACATGTGGTGCTATTTCTGAGGCCTCTGTTCTCTTCCATTGGCCTATATCTCTGTTTTGGTACCAGTACCATGCTGTTTTGGTTACTGTAGCCTTGTAGTACAGAAGTCATGGCTACTATGCGGGCTCTTTTTTGGTTCCATATGAAATATAAAATAGTTTTTTCTAATTCTATGAAGAAAATCAATGGTAACTTGATGGGAATATCACTGAATCTATAAATTACTTTGTGCAGTATGACTGTTTCCATGATATTGATTCTTCCCATCCATGAGCATGGTATGTTTTTCCATTTGTTTGTGTCTTCTCTTATTTCCTTGAGCAGTGATGTGTAGTTCTCCTTGAAGAGGTCCTTCACATCACTTGTAAGTTGTATTCCTAGGTATTTTTTCTCTTTGTAGCAATTGTGAATGGGAGTTTGCTCATGATTTGGCTCTCTGTTTGTCTATTATTGATGTATAGGAATGCTTGCGATTTTTGCACGTTGATTTTTTATCCTGAGACTTTGCTGAAGTTGCTTATCAGCTTAAGGACTTTTTGGGATGAGACAGTGGGGTTTTCTAAATATACAATCATGTAATCTGCAAACAAAAAATTTGATTTCCTCTCTTCCTATTTGAATACCCTTTACTTCTTTCTCTTGCCTGATTGCTCTGGCCATAACTTCCAACACTAGTTTGAATAGGAGTTAGAAGAGAGGACATCCTTATCTTGTGTGGGTTTTCAAAGGGAATGAGTCCTGATTTGTCCATTCAGTATGATATGGGCTGCAAGTTTGTTATAAATAGCTCTTTTTATTTTGAGGTTTGGTCCATCAATACCTAGTTTATTGAATGTTTTTAACATTAAAGGGTCCATCAATACCTAGTTTATTGAATGTTTTTAGCATTAAAGGGTGTTGAATTTTATTGAAGGCCTTTTCTGCATCTATTAAAATAATCATGTGGTTTTTGTCATTGGTTCTGTTTATGTGATGGATTACGTTTATTGATTTGCTTATGTTGAGCCAGTCTTGCATTCAAGGGATGAAGCCAACTTGATCATGCTGGATAAGCTTTTTGTGTGCTGCTGGATTTGGTTTGCCAGTATTTCATTGAGAAATTTTCCATGTCGATTTCCATCTGAGATATTGGCTTGAAATTTACTTTTTTTGTTGTGTCTCTGCCAGGTTTTGGTATTAGGGTGGTGCTGGTCCCATAAAATTAAGTAGACAGGAGTCCCTCTTTTTCTATTATTTGGAATAGTTTCAGAAGGAATGCTACCAGCTCCTTTTGTACCTATGGTAGAATTCAGCTGTGAATTTGTCTGGTCCTGGGCTTTTATCGGTTGGTAGGCTATTAATTTCTGCATCAATTTCAGAAGTTATTACTGGTCTATTCAGGGATTCGACTTCTTCCTGGTTTAGACTTGGGAGGGTGTATGTGTCCAGGAAGTGTCCAGGAATTTATCCATTTCTTCTAGATTTTCTAGTTTATTTGCATAGATGTGTATGTAGTATACTCTGATGGTAGTTTGTATTTCTGTGGAATCAGTGGTGATCTCCCCTTTATCATTTTTTATTGTGTTTATTTGATTCTTCTCTCTTTCCTTCTTTATTAGTCCGGCTAGTGGTCTGTTTTGTTAATCTTTTTTAAAAACCAGCTCCTGGATTCATTGATTTTTGAAGGCTTTTTCTTGTCTCTGTCTCCTTCAATTCTGCTCTGATCTTAGTTATTTCTTGTCTTCTGCTACATTTTAAATTTGTTTCCTCTTGCTTCTCTAGTTCTTTTTAATTGTGATGTTAGGGTGTCAATCTCAGATCTTTCTTGCTTTCTCTTGTGGGCATTTAGTACAATGAATTTCCCCCTTAACACTGCTTTAGCTGTGTCCCAGAGATTCTGTATGTTGTGCCTTGTTCTCATTGGTTTCAAATAACTTATTTATTTCTGCCTTAATTTCATTATTTACTGAGTAGTAATTCAGGAGCAGGTTGTTCAGTTTCTATGCAGTTGTGTGGTTTTGAGTGAATTTCTTAATCCTGAGTTCTAATTTGATTGCACTGTGGTCTAAGATACTGTTTGTTATGATTTCCATTCTTTTGCATTTGCTGAGGAGTGTTTTACTTCCATTATGTGGTTGATTTTAGAATAAGTGCCAAGTGGTGCTGAGAAAAATGTATATTCTGTTGATTTGGGGTAGAGAGTTCTGTAGATGTCTGTTAGGTCCACTTGGTCCAGAGCTGAGTTCAAGTCCTGAGTATCCTTGTTAATTTTCTGTCTCATTGATCTGTTAAAGTCTCCCACTATTATTGCATAGGAGTGTGAGTTTCTTTGTAGGTTTCTAAGAACTTGCTTTTTGAATCTAAGTGCTCCCGTATTGGGTGCATATAAATTTAGAATAGTTATCTCTTCTTGTTGCATTGATCCCTTTAACATTATTTAATGCTCTTCTTTGTCTTTTTTGATCTTTGTCAGTTTAGAGACTAGGATTGCAACCCCTGCTTTTTTTTGCTTTCCATTTGCTTGGTAAATCTCGCCCCATCCCTTTATTTTGAGCCTATGTGTGTCTTTGCATGTGAGATCTGTCTCCTGAATACAGCACCCTGATGGGTCTTCACTCTTTATCCAATTTGTGAGTCTGTGCCTTTTTAATTGGGGCATTTAGCCCATTTACATTTAAGTTTAATATTGTTATGTGTGAGTTTGATTCTGTCATCATGATGCTAGCTGGTTATTTTGCCCATTAGTTGTTGCAGTTTCTTCATAGTGTCAGTGGTTTTATATTTGGTATGTTTTTGCAGTGGCTGGTGCTGGTTTTTCCTTTCCATATTTAGTACTTCCTTCAGGAGCTCTTGTAGGGCAGGCCTGGTGGTGACAAAATCCTGCAGCATTTGCTTTTCTGTAAAGAATTTTATTTCTCCTTCGCTTATGAAGCTTAGTTTGGCTGGATATGAAATTCTGGTTTGAAAGTTCTTTTCTAAGAATGTTGTATGTTGGCACCTACTCTCTTCTGGCTTGTAAGATATCTGCAGAGAGATCTGCTGTTAGTCTTATGGGCTTCCTTTTGTGGGTAACCTGACCTTTCTCTCTGGCTGCCCTTAACATTTTTTCCTTCATTTTAACCTTGGCAAATCTGACAATTATGTGTCTTGGGTTTACTCTTCTCAAGGAGTATGTTTGTGGTGTTCTCTGTATTTCCTAAATTTGAATGTTGGCCTGTCTTGCTAGGTTGGGGAAGTGCTCCTGGACAATATCCTAAAGTGTGTTTTCCAACTTGGTTCCATTCTCCCCGTCACTTTCAGGTACACCAATCAAACATAGGCTTGGTCTTTTCACAAAGTCCCATATTTCTTGGAGGCTTGTTTGTTCCTTATTATTCTTTTTTCTCTAATCTTGTCTTCATGCTTTATTTCATTAAGTTGATCTTCAATCTCTGATATCCTTTGTTCTGCTTGATTGATTCGGCTACTGATACTTGTGTATGCTTCGTGAAGTTCTCATACTGTGTTTTTCAGCTCCATCGGGTCATTCATGTTCTTCTCTAAAGTGGTTATTCTAGTTAGCAATTCCTCTAACCTTTTATCAAGTTTCTTGCCTTCCTTGCATTGGGCTAGTACATGCTCCTTTAGCTCAGAAGAGTTTATTATTACCCACCTTCTGAAGCTTACTTCTGTCAATTTCTTAAACTCATTCTCCATCCAGTTTTGTTCCCTTGCTGGTGAGGAGTTGTAATCCTTTGGAGGAGAAGAGGTATTCTGGTTTTTGGAATTTTTACCCTTTTGCCCTGTTTTTTTCTCATCTTCATGGATTCATCTACCTTTGGTCTTTGCTGTTGGTGACCTTCAGATGGAGTATTTGCATGGTAGTCCATTTTGTTGATGTTTATATATTGCTTTCTGTTTGTTAGTTTTCCTTCTAATAGTCAGGCCCCTCTTCTGCAGGTCTGCTGGAGTTTGCTTGAGTTCCCATTCCAGACCCTGTTTGCTTGGGTATCACCTGTGGAGGCTGAAGAACAGCAAAGATTGCTGCCTGCTCCTTCCCCTGGAAGCTTCATCCCAGAGGGGCACCCACCAGATGCCAGCCAGAGCTCTCCTGTATGAGGTGTCTGTCCACCCCTGCTGGGAGGTGTCTCCCAGTCAGGAGGCATGGGGTTCAAGGACCCACTTGAGGAGGCAGTCTGCCCCTTAGCAGAGTTCAAGCGCTATGCTGGGTGATCTGCCGCTCTCTTCAGAGCCGGCAGGCAGGAACTTTTAAGTCTGCTGAAGCTGCACCTACAGCCGCCCCTTCCCCCAGGTGCTCTGTCCAAGGGAGATGGGAGTTTTATCTATAAGCCCCTGACTGGGACTTCTGCCTCTCTTTCAGAGATGGCCTGCCCAGAGGGGAGGAATCTAGAGAGGCAGTCTGGCTACAGTGACTTTGTGGAGCTGTGGTGGGCTCAGCTCAGTCTGAACTTTCTGGTGGCTGTGTTTACACTGTGAGGGGCAAACTGCCTACTCATGCCTCAGTAATGGTGGACTCACCTCCCCTCATCAAGCTTGAGCGTCCCAAGTCAACTTCAGACTGCTGTGTTGGCAGCGAGAATTTCAAGCCAGTGGATCTTAGATTGCTGGGCTCTGTGGGGGTGGGATCCACTGAGCAAGACCTCTTAGCTCCCTGGCTTCAGTCCCCTTTCCAGGGGAGTGAAAAGTTTTGTCTTGCTGGTGTTCCAGGCTCCACTGGGGTACAAAAACAAAACAAAACAAAACAAAACAAAACTCCTGCAGCTAGCTCGGTGTCTACCCAAATGGCTGCACTGTTGTGTGCTTGAAACTCAGGGCCCTTGTGGTGTAGGCACCTGAAGGATTCTCCTGGTTGTGGGTTCCAAAGACCATGGGAAAAGCGTAGTACCTTGGCCACATAGCACGATCTCTCATGGCATAGTCCCTCATGGCTTCCCTTGGTTGGGTAGGGAGTTCCCTGACCCTTTGCACTTCCTGGGTGAGATGACGCCCCACCTGCTTCTGCTCACACTGCATGGCTTGCACCCACTGTCTAACCTGTCCCAATGAGATGAACTGGGTACCTCATTTGGAAATGCAGAAATCACCCGCCTCTGCATTGGTCTCATTGGGAGCTATAGACTGGAGCTGTTCCTATTTGGCCATCTTGCCTGGGAATCAATCATATTGTTTTTACAAGAAGTACATTTCCAGTCACTTTTTCTTCATTGCATTTTGTTCTTTGCAAAATCAAAGCTCAAACATGTTAAAAAGTATATTAAAGTTGAATATAGTGCGCAAAAGGATTACTTAGAATGTAAGTACAGGCAATGTAAGAATTTATTCTCTATGACCACTGAAAAGAAGTCATGTTGTACTGTGTAAAATTACAAGCCTCATGAATAGAAGTAATATAATGCTTCAGAAAACCAGACCTTCGGTGTTTTGCTAAAGGTAAATTAAAATCAATATTAAGGCATACATTCACAGAAACATGAACAGCAAACTTCTGTAAATGTGTTTAAAACACTTTAGAGCCTGATTACTCTGTGGTAATGTTATGGCATGTCTTTTGATAACTTATGTTACCTAGAAAATTTGAAAGGTAATGTATTTTATTCATGCTTAAAAGTAAAGACAATATAAGAAAAGTATTGTGATGTTTATGTTCTGTAGACTGAATTAGAACATTGAGTTTCACATACTAATTAATATGCTATATAATGCAAAAGCCCACAAATTTATCAGTTATTTTTAATGTCAAATTCTAATATGACAGTGCTTTGTTATATGTTAATTAATCTTTTTTTTTTTCAAGATGTGAAAACAACCAAAAATAGAGTTGAGGTCCAGAAATTTTGTATGTTCTAAATAATTTGTAAGTCTTTTCACTGCTCTACAGAATTATAGTATGTGTTTTTTTCACTATTATTAGCAAATCATCTGCAGCAAAAGGCTCAGTTCATTTTGGAAGTTTCAAATAATTGGCTATATATTCTGAAAGTTATATTGTTTTATTCCTACAGTATTCAGACATCAGATCAATGACATGAACTTTATTTTCTGAGTCTGCCTGTAGATTTTTAGAAGTGGGGAAACACCTTTAATCTTAAGCTTTTAAGATGTATAAACTGTTCTTTTGAAGGCAATATAATTATTTTAGACTTTCAAATAATACACTTTAAATCAGATCTCAGAATAAATATTTGAAGATTTGATTGTTTTTAAGAGAGTATAAAAAGAAAAACAAATATAATTTGTTTCTAGAGTGTGAAATCAAATATTACCATAATATTTTTACCCTTTTAAAATGATTTTTTAAAGCAATATAGACTTTGTTAGTTCTTTCTCATGATGCTATGAAGAAATACCTGAGACTGGGTAATCTATAATGAAAAGAGATTTAATTGACTCACAGTTCCACATGGCTGGGGAGGCCTCAGGAAACTTACAATCATAGTGGGAAGTGGAAGTTACCTCTTCACAGGGTGGCAAGAGAGAGAATGTGTGCAAGCAGGAGAAATGCCAGATGCTTATAAAACCAGCAGATTTCATGAGAACTCACTCGCTATCATGAGAACAGCATGGAGGAAACCACTCCCATGATTCAGTTACCTCCCACTGGGTCCCTTTCACAACACATTAGGATTATGGGAACTACAATTCAAGATGAGATTTGGGTAGGGACACAGACAAACCATATAATACACTATACAAAGAAAATGTTTTTCTTTCTGAAAAGTGGGACTTTTTTAAAAAAAGAAAAAGTATAAAAGAAATTAATCGGATACCAAATTGAAAAGGCAAGAATTATTTAATTTTAATATTGTATTTTATTCTAACTTTATATATAGTATCACTATGCAAAGTTTGACACTGCAAATAACATATCCTCATCCAACGTTGAAAGGTAAATGTTTAAAATCTTAAAATGTTAAAAAGTATAGATATATATTTAATAGAATTTCTAATTATTGCTTTTCATGTCTTTAGCCCACCACCCACCATGTAATATATTTCCAGGTAAACTACCTTATTGTTTACCTGCCTTATTATTATTGTTAAGAGCCTTAAAAGAGACTTCATGTCTGTTTTACCTTATATC
This sequence comes from Homo sapiens, assembly GCF_000001405.40. Lineage (NCBI taxonomy): Eukaryota > Metazoa > Chordata > Mammalia > Primates > Hominidae > Homo > Homo sapiens. Next base: position 11,914,818 of record NC_000009.12, read on the forward strand.
TGCATATTAACTGAGAAAAACTGGTAATTGTACAGAAACTAACCTTGATTTTTTAAGCTATAGAAGTCCAAGTAGAGCTGTCAATTAACATGATTTCCTTGGATATTAAGAATGTGTTACTCATTGCACAAGCTAAGCATTGGACTATGGGCTTCCCATTCCTCAGTGTTATGCCATTTCAAAAATTCTCCCAAGAAAACACACCAAAATGCATCAGATTAAAGTACTTTTTAATTTATTCACACAGAGTAGAGAAGTTCTCAACCACACTATGCAAGCCTAAGATAATTGAAAGAAATCGCTTTATTCTTTCCTAGCTCATAGGCACTATGCTGAAATGACTCAGGCTTTCTCCAATGAGACCTGTTAATACTTAAATGTCATTTTCTGGTAGGAATACTATTTATAGCTATGTGGTTTGTGAATGATAGAGTTCCAGGTGATAACATTTACATAACAAATGATGGAAATGGCACCCACTGGATTTGTTCAATGTGGAAGACACATTTTCTATGTGAATATAATGAAGAAAGATGAGATGATGGGATTCCCATCTTGAGTAATGTGTACAAAATCACAACAGAATGGTGCTGTATCCCTATCACAAGACATTTGGGCAAAACATTTTTAAAGACATCAAAGAGTTAAAGATACAAAAAAAATTCCAAGTAAACTAAATTCCAGAAAGCATTAATCTCTTCACAGGAGGAAAGAAATTCATGGTTGATTTCATGCCTGATAGTGTCAAAATGAGGAAGAACTCGTCATATATGGAATAAGGAGAAACAAGTTAATTTGAAAGAGTTTTTCTACCTCAGTGGTAGACAGGATTCAGATTAAGTGAAAGGCGACATCCTCTAAGGTGGGGCACATGGTGGGGCAGGGCACAATATTACTCAACAGAACGTGGCTGTTCCCCAAATGAAAGGTAGTGTCCTGAGACAGAGCACTGTGCCTTGACTGCACAGTGTGGCAAGGCCCTGGGCCTGGCCCATGAAACTATTCTGTCTTCCAAAACCTCTGGGGCTGTTATGGAAAGGGCTGCTGCAAAGGTCTCTGAAATGCTTTTCAGGCCTTTTCTCCATTGTGTTGGATATTAGAACTTGGCTCCACTTTTGTAATGCAGATATCTCTATCAAGTGGTTGTTCCACGGCCTGCTTTGATTATTCTACTGAAAACAGGTTTTTTTTTTTCTATCTTATTGCCAGGCTGCACATTTTCCAAACTTATACACTGTGCTTCTCTTTTAAATATGAGTTACATCTTTAAGTCATTTTTTTTTTTGCTGCTGCATCTGCGTATATGCTGTTAGAAGCAGCCAAGTCACATCCTGAATGCTTTGCTGCATAAAACTTTCTTTCTCCAGGTACCCTAAATCTTAATGGTCAAGTTCAAACTTACATAGATCCCTAGGTCAAGGGCACAATACAGCCAAGTTCTTTGGTAAGGAAAAACAAGGTTAATCTTTGGTACAGTTTCCAATAAGTTCCTGATTTCCATCAAAGACCTTGTCAGCCTTTATTTCACTGTCCATATAATTATCAACATTTTGGTCACAACCATTTAACCAGTCTCTATGAAGATACAACATTTCTCTCATCTTGTTGTTTTCTTCTTAGCCCTCCAAATTCATCCAACCTCTGACTGTTACCCACTTCCAAACCTGCTTTCACGGTATCTTTGTAGTAATGCCCCAGTCTCAGTAACAATTTTCTGTGTTAGGTCATTCTTACATTGGTATAAAGAAACACCTGAGACTGGGTAATTTATAAAGAAAAAAGATTTAATGGTATCATAGTTCTGCAGGTTGTACAGGAAGCATAGTGCCAGCATCTGATTCTGAGGAGACCTCAGGAAATTTCAACTCATGGCAAAAGGTGAAGCAGGAACAGGCACTTCATATGACAAAAACAGAAGCAAGAGACAGTGGTGGTGGTGTGGGGGCACATTTTACAACAACCAGATCTTGTGAGAAGTCACTCATTATCACAAGGATACCACCAAGCCATGAAAGATCCACTCCAATGACTCAAACACCTCTCACCAGGTGCCCACCTCTAACATTGGAGATTATAGTTCAACATGAGATTTGGGTGGGGACAAATATCCAAAGTATATCAATGGTGTTACATAAAGATCCAAATTTATTATTTGCCTGTGGATATCTAGGTTTCCCCAGCACCATTTGTTGAAAAGACTGCCCTTTCCTTATTGAACATTCTTGGCACTCTTGTCAAAATCGTTTGACCATATGTGTCAAGGTTATTTCTGGGCTGTCTATTCTATTCCATTTGGACTGTGTGTTTGTTGTTATGCCAATGCCATGATATTGTGATTACTGTAGCTTTGTAGTAAGTTTTGAGATGAGGAAATTTGAGTCTTCCAACATTGTTCTTTTTAAAGATTGTTTTGGGGAGTGGGGTTTCTTTGAGATTGTATATGAATTTTAGGATGGGCTTTTCTAATTCTGCAAAAAAAAATCATGAGGATTTTGATAGGGATTACAGTAAATTGATGGATTGCTTTGGGCAGTGTGGACATCTTAATAATATTAAGTCTTCCAATTTATGATCATGGGATGTGTTTCCATTTATGTCTTTTTTAGTTTCTTTCAGCAATTTTTATTGTTTTCATTGTACAGGTTTTTGAGCTCCTTGGTTAATTTCTAAATATTTTATTATTTTTTAGGCTTTTATAAATAGACTTGTTTTCATAATTTCTTTTCATATTGTTCATTGTTGCTCTATGGAAATTGACTAATCTTTGCCTGTTGATGTGGTATCCTTCTCTTTGCTGAATTCATTTCTTTTTAGTTCAAACAGTCAAGTTTTGTAAAGTCTTTAAGGTGTTCTATATCATATCGTGTAAATAGTGATCATGTTGCTTCTTTCTTTCCAATGTAGATGCCTTTTATTTCTTTTTCTTGCCAAATTCATCTGGCTAGAGCTTGCAAAATGGGCAAAGGACTTTAATGGACATTTTTCCAAAGAGTTATACAAATGGCCAATAAGCGTATGAAAATATGTTCAACATCACTAATCATTAAAGAAATACAAATTGAAGCTACAATGCGATACCACCTTACACTCATTAGGATAGCTGCTATTTAAAAAATCCATAAAGTAACAATTATTGGTGAGAAGGTGTAGAATTTGGACACCTTGTGCACTGCTGGTGTGAATTTAAAATGGTACAGTTGCTGCAGGAAACAGTATGGCAGTCCCTAAAAAATTAAAAATAGAATTATCATATTTTGCAGACAATTCAATTTCTGAAGACATACTGAAAAGAATTGAAAGCTGTGTCCAAGAGGTATTAGTACACTGATGTTCATAGCAGCATTATTCACAATAGCTAAAATGTGGAAGAAATTCATGTTCATCAACAAATGAATGAGTAAGATAAATGTGGTATATACAGTAGAATATTATCTAGCCTTAAAAAGGAAAAAAAAATCTGACATATGCTGCAACATGGATCTAATTTGAGGATATTATGCTTAGTAAAACAAGCCAGTCACACAAACACAAATACTGTATGATTCTACTTATATGAGGTAGAGTAGTCAAAGTTACAGAGGAAGTCGAATAATGTTTGCCAGGAGTTTGTGGGAGGTGAGATGGCAAATGTATAATGAGAACAGAGTGTAACAAGATAAAAAGAATTATGGAGATGGATGGTGGTGGTGGCTGCACAACATTAAACTGCACATTTAAAAATGATTAAGAAGGTAAATTTTATGTTATGTGTATTTCACTATAATGAAATTAAAAATTAAAAATAGCAATATTAATGAACTAATGACTAAATATAAAACATACTTAAAATTAATGTGCGGCCCTTAGATGAGAGCTGAACAAACCAATTGGAAAAACAAAAGAAAAAGAAAAATTTAGAACAATCAGAAATATGTGCACAATAATTGGACATTTGATATTGTAATAAATAATTTTTGCTAATATTTTGGAAAGTAGTGATATTAAAGTTTTGTTAAGTGTTAAAAACACAAATACTTACATTGAACTGATATGCTTTAAAAAATGTGGGAGGAGCAGGTAGATAAATGTATAAATGAAACATGACCAGCTATACGTTGATAACCATTGAAGCTGGGTGTTGGGTATGTGTGGGTTTATTATATCACTCTTTTGATTTATATACATGCTCAAACTTTTACATTAAAAAGTGGTTTTCATGGAAAAAATAGATATCAATTATTGCGAGTTTGAGAGGATGGAGGAATGAATAGGCATAGTATACAGAATTTTCAGGGCACTGAAAGTATTTTATTTGATACCATAGTGGTAGCTACATGTCATTATACATCTGTTGAGGCCCACAGAAAGTACAACATTAAGAGTGAAGCCTAATGTAAACTATTAACCTTGGCTAATAATGTTGTAGCATTGTAGTTTTATGGATTGTAATAAATGTACCAGTTTGGTGTGGGATGTTGATATTGAGAGAGGCTGTGCATGTATGAGAACATGAGGTGTATGGAAAAAATCTGTACTTTTCACATAATTTTGCTCTGAACCTAAAACTACTCTAACTAATAAAGTCTATTTTTTAAAATGTAGTTACCAGCCAAAAGATGAGGATAGAGCAAGAGTGCTCAAAGAAACTCCTCCACTTCTCTGCAGATTTTTAATGCATACCTTGTAGCAACCCTCCAAGAAAGAGTGCATGACAAGAAAGTTCAATATTATGGTGAACGTTGTGTCCTCCTCCTCTCTGATAATTCATATATTGAAGTCCTAACCCCAGCACCTCACAATGTAACCTTATTTAGAAATACAGTAATTGCAGATGTAATTAAGATGAGATTATACTAGAGTGGAGTGAGCCCCAATTCAATAAGACTAGTGTCTTTGTAAAAAGGGAAAATTTGGATACATATGCATACACATAGATGTACATACACAAAGTATATGAACATGAAGGTAGAGATTGGGTTGATATGTCTACCAACCCAAGGAATGTCAAAGATTGTCAGAAATCTGTCAGATCTAGGAAAGTGGTATGGAACACATTCTTCTTCACAGCCTTCAAGAGGAACCACCCCTGCTGACATGTTGATCTTGGACTTCTAGCCTCCAGAGCTGTGAGACAATGAATTTCTGTTGTTTAAGTAACCCCTGCCAACACATTGATCTTAGACCTCTAGCATCCAGAACCATGAGACAATAAATTTCTGTTGTTTTACCCACTCAGTATACTGTTGCACTAGTTTGTTATAGTAGCCCTAGCAAATGAATACACTGAGATATATAGTATTGAGGGACATTGGTTTTCAGTCATTATATTGCAGCTGTCCGTCAAAGTAGAAGACACATTTCCTAAAGTGCAGAAAGCTGGGGGAAAAAAGTAAAACCTCAATAGCTCAAAATTTGGATGGTTAGACTGTAAGAGAGAAAGAAGAAAAGAGAGAGCTTCCATTGTTTAGAAAACTGGTGTCGGGACTGTAAAGCAAAAGGACAGGTCTAGCATCTTGCTCTTTCCAGATAACAAGATATATTGGAGGCATTCCTTCTGTTCTGTTTCCCTGAATATTTGAAGTTGTTGTTGAACTAAATATTATGCATTGAAACTAAGTGCAACTTCCTCAATTACAGATTTCATTAACTCAGATTCCCAAATAGGTAGCTGGACAGAATAAGGAGAATAATAATTTCTCAGGACAGTTATGTTTACATTTGGATTCCACTGTTATTTTTAATACATTTTCTAATGTACAATTCTAAAAATACACAAGACCATTGCAGATGGGTGATTATGTATGACCAATAGTCAGAAAAGAAAACATTGAATGGAAGGAAACCCTAAAACCTAGTATCAGAATTACTCAAAAAAACCTTTAAAATAACTATAAAAACAGACTGGGTGTGGTGGCTCACTCCTGTAATCCCAGCACTTTGGGAAGCCAAATCGGGCAGATCACTTGAGGTCAGGAGTTCGAGACCAGCCTGACCAACATGTTGAAACCCTGTCTCTACTAAAAATACAAAAATTAGCTGAGCATGGTGGCACATGCCTGTAATCCCAGCTACTTGGGAGGCTGAGGCAGGAGGATTGCTTGAACCCAGGAGGCGGAGGTTGCAGTGAGCCGAGATCACACCATTGTACTTCAGTCTGGGCGACAAAAGCGAAGCTCCATCTAAAAAACAAACAAAAACAAAAAATAAAAATAAAACAGTTTACTGAAATATCCACTAGGAAAGCTGTACAGCATATATAAAGAGATGTTGTCTCAGCAGAGAGATTAAAATGATTACAAATCGAATAAAAATGCTATGAATTTAAAAATTCCCTGAAAGATCTTTAGATGGTTTGGGAAGGAAATTAGCAAGCTAATTCCAAAATTTTTATGTGAACATACAGAATCCAAAAGAGATACAAACAACCTTGAAAAATAATAAAAAAGTATAAAACCTTATTATCAGTGATTTCAAGTTATAAATCCACAGTAATTAACACAGTGTGTTACTGGCATTAACATAGGCCAAGCTTGTCCAACCTTTGGCCCATGGGTTGCATGCAGCCCAGGACAGCTTTGAATGTGGCCCAACAAAAATTTGTAAACTTTCTTAAAACATTAAGAGATATATTGTGATTTTTTTTTTTTTTTTTTAGCACATCAGCTATCATTAGTGTTAGTGTATTTTATGTGTGACCCTAGACAATTCTTCTTCCAGTGTGGCCCAGGGAAGCCAGGACACCTCTGGCATAGGCAATTAAATCAATGGAACAAATTGAGATTCCAGAACTAGACCAAAAATCTATTGAGACTTTAAAAAAAAGCAGGTCAGTTTAACTGAGCAAGAAACAATTCTACATTTTTTTAAGTGGGGCTGAAAAACTGAACAACTTCATGAAAAATATAACTCACTTTACATATGAAAATTAATTGGACATGAATTGTAAGCCTGATTATAACAGGTAGAACATAACAATTCTAGAAGTAAGTCTAGATTGCCTTCAAAATCTTGCAGTATAAGAAGATTTTTTATTCAGGATGCAAAAATAATTAAACATAATTGAAATTGCTAAATTGAACTTAATGAAAACAGACAATGTTTTATTATTGAAAAATTCAGTTAAGATCATCATGCAAAAATTTTTTTAATTTTTAATTTTTTGTGTAGATAGTAGATATAAATATTTATGAGTTAGATGGGGTATTTTGAATACAGACGTGCAATGTGTAATAATTACATCAGGGTAAATATCGTATCCATTACCTCAAGCGTTTATCATTTGTGTTACAAACAATCCAGTTATATTCTTTTAGTTATTTTAAATTGTACAACTAAATTATATTGACTACAATCACCCTGTTGTGCTATCTAATACTAGATCTTATTCATTTTTTTCTAACTATTTTTTGTACCCATTAACCATCCTCACTTTATTCCCCTTCTGCCCAACTAAATTCCCAGCCTCTGGGAACTTTCTTTCTACTCTCTATATCTCAATGAGTTCAATTGTTTTACTTTTTGGCTTCCACAAATAAATGAGAACATGCAAAGTTTATCTTCCTGTGCCTGGCTTATTTCACTGAACATAACGTCCCCCAGTCCATCCATGTTGTTGCAAATGACAGTATCACATTTTTTTTAATGGCTGAATAGTACTCCACTGTGTCTATGTACCACATTTTCTTTAGCAAGGAACAATGTGAACCAAAAATGTTAACAATACATATATGTTTCTTAGAGGACATATTCAATATGTTGAATATATTAAATTTAATATACTAAAAATCTTATGAATCAATAGGAAAAAAATAAAATGAATGTACAAAATAATAAATGTGCAAAGTAATTCTATGGTCTGAATGTATGTGTCCCCCCAAATTCACATGTTAAAATCTAACCCCCAATGTGATGATATTAAGTGGGGTTTTTTGTGAAGTTATTATGTGATGAAGGCAAAGCCATAATTAATAGGATTAGTGTTCTTATAGTAAAGGTCTGAGGGAGCATGTTAGCCTTCTTTGACTCTCTCCATGAGAGTCACAGAAGGCACCAATTATGAGAAATGGGCCTTAGCCAGCACCAAATCTGCTAGAACCTTGATCTTAAATTTCCCAGCCTTCAGAACTGTAAGCAATAAATTTATTTTTTAAATAAATTACCCAGGTTAAATTATTTTATTGTAGCAGCAGGAATAGACTAAGATAGTACTTGACAAAATTAGATATAGATTGAGTAACATGCTCATGAAAACAGTTCAACAACATTAGTTATCCAGAATTGCAAATTAATATACCAAATAATTTTCAACAAACCAAATGGTCATTAATAGGACAATGGATAGAGACATTGTGGCACATTAATATAATGGAATACCTCTTGTAAAACAAAAAGAAGATTGAACTACATATGCATGCAGCAACATGGATGAATAAAAAATATTATGAGTTTTGAAACAAAACAAACCAGATATAGAAGAACACAAAATATATGGTTTTATTTATAAAGTCAAAGAAGTTGAAAAGTCCTCTTTAGAGACAGAATTAGCTTGCAGAAAACAACTGAAAAGAAACACAAGAGGATTTCCTATGGTAATTATAGTAGTACGTAGAGTTTTTATATAGTGGGCCAATAGTATACAATTGTCAAAAGTCACAGAGCTAAATATTTAAGATCAGTTCAATTTACTCTGTAGAAACTATATATAAAATACAGTTCAAAAAATGCCATACACATATAGTTGATTCTCTTATTCACAGTAATAATATTATATGAAGTTGCCATAAACACAGAATTAGCAAATAATGAGCCATTAATACTAGGGAAAATACATAACTAGGTTCTTGTGAGCTCTGGTCACAGCATTTTTCTTAACAGATTATTTTATACGTGTTTATGCTTAAATGTATCTTATTTCATATATATTATTGATTTATTGACGTTGAACTCATGGCCAACAGTATTGTACCCCATTCATATAGTACTCATATAGTACTCATACAGAAGCTCATATAGTAGTCATGTTTGTTCCATAAGGCACATCACAGCCTGCTTGCATTTATGAACACTAGGTAGCCTACAGCACTATACTTGAGGGCCATTTTAACAGTAAAATAACCAACAAAAAACACAAAAATGTGAAAAAGGTGCCACTAAGTAGACCATTAAAAAGATGCCAGCTATCCCAGCACCATTTATTGAACTGAGTCTTTTCCTCATTGTTTCTGTCAGCTTTGTCAAAGTTCAGATAATTGTAGATGTGCAGCCTTATTTCTGTGCTCTCTATTCTGTTCCATTGGTCTATGCGCCTGTTTTTGTACCAGTACCATGCTGTTTTGGTTACTATAGCCTTGTAGTATAGTAACAAGTCGGGTATCATGATGCCTTTAGCTTTGTTCTTTTTGCTAAGGATTGCCTTGGCTATCCGGGGTCTTTTTTGGTTCCATATGCATTTTAAAATATTTTTTTCTGATTCTGTGAAGAATATTGTTAGTAGTGTGATAGGAATAGCATTGAATCTGTAAGTTGCTTTGGCCAACGTAGCCGTTTAGTGATATTGATTCTTCCTGTCCAGGAGCATGGAAAGTTTTTCCGTGTCTTTGTCTTCTCTGATTTCTTTGAGGAGTGTTTTATAGTTCTCATTGAAAATATCTTTCCCCTCCTTGGTTAGCCATATTCCTAGGTATTTTATTCTTTTTGTGGCAGTTGCAAATGGGATTGTTTTTCTCATTTGGGTCTCAGTTTGGCTGTTGATGTATAGGAATGCTGGTGATTTTTTCTTTCTTTTTTTTTTTTTTTTGAGATGGAGTTTTGCTCTTGTTGCCCAGGCTGGAGTGCAATGGTGCGATCTTGGCTCACTGTAACCCCTGTCTCCCAGGTTCAAGCGATTCTCCTGCCTCAGCCTCCCGAGTAGCTGGGATTCCAGGCATGCGCCACCACGCTCGGCTAATTTTGTATTTTTAGTAGAGATAGAGCTTCTCCACGTTGATCAGGCTGGTTTCAAACTCCCAACCTCAGGTGATCCGCCCGCCTCTGCCTCCCAAATTGTTGGGATTACAGGCGTGAGTCACCGTGCCCGGCCTGCTGGTGATTTTTGTACATTGTTTATATATACTGCAACTTTGCTATAGTTGTTTATCAGCTGGAAGAGCTCTTGGGCTGAGACTATGGGGTTTTCTAGATATAAAATCATGTCATCTGCAAAAAGAGATCATTTGATTTCCTCTCTTCCTATTCAGATGCCTTTATTTTTTCTCTTGCCTGATTTCCTGGCTAGGACTTCCAATACTATGCTGAATATAAATGGTGAGAGAGGCATCTTTGTCTTGTGCTGGTTTTCAATGGGAATGCTACCAGCTTTTGACTATTCAGTATAATGTTGCCTGTGAGTTTGTCATAGATGGCTTTTATTATTTTGAGGTATGTCCCTTCAATAGCTAGTTTATTGAGAGTTTTTAACATGAAGGGGTACTGAATTTTATTGAAAGCCTTTTCTGTGTCTATTGAGATAATCGTGTGACTAGCCATGTGCAGAAGATTGAAGCTATATCCCTTGCTTACACCATATACAAAAATCAATTTAAGATGGATTAAAGACATAGATGTAAAACCCAAACCTATATAAACCCTGGAAGATAACCTAGGCAATATCATCCTGGACATAGGAATTGGCAGATTTAATGACAAAGACACCAAAAGCAATTGCAACAATAGTAAAAACTAACAAGTAAAATCTAATTAATCTTAAAAGCTTCTACACAGCAAAAAAACAAAACAAAACAAAGAAACAAAAAAAAAAAAAAAGAAAAGAAAAAAGAAAAAAAAAAACTATAAAAAAACCTATCTCCAGAGTAAAAAGATAATCTACAGAATGGGGGAAAATATTGGCAAACTATTCATTTGACAAAGGTCTAATATCCAACACCTATAAGAAACTTAAAAAAATTTACAAGAGAAAAACCAAACAACCCCATTATAAAGTGGGCAAAGCAGATGAACAGACATACATGCAGCCAACAAGCATATGAAAAAAATCTCCATTTCTGTCATAATTAGAGAAATGCAAATCAAAAGCACAGTAAGATAACATCTCACATCAGTCAGAATGGCTATTATTAAAATGTCAAAAAATAATTAAAACAATAAAAATTTAAAAATAAAGTTAAAAAATATAAAATAAAAATGCTGATGAGGTTGCAGAGAAAAGGGAACATTATACACTGTTGGTGGGAGTGTAAATTATTTCAACCATTGTGGAAATCAGTATGACAATTCCTCTAAGAGCTAAAAGCAGAACTATAATTCAACCCAGCAATACATTACTAGGTATATACCCAGGGCAATATAAATCATTCTACTATAAAGACCCATGCATGTGAATGTGCATTGCCAGCACTATTCACAATAGCAAAGACATGGAATCAACCTAAATGACCACAAATTACAGATTGGATAAAGAAAATGTGGTACATATACACCATGCAATATTATGCAGCTATAAAAAAGAAAAAGACCATGTTTTTGGGGGGAACATGGATGGAGCTGGAGGCTATTATCCTTGGCAAACTAATGCAGGAACAGAAATTCAAATACTCCATGTTATCTCTTATAAGTGAGAGCCAAATGATAAGAACTTATGAACACAAAGAAACAACCGACAAGACAGTGGGGTCTACTTGAGCAGGGAAGGTGGGAGGAGGGAGAGGAGTAGAAAATATAACTATTGGGTACTAGGCTTAATACCTGGGTGATGAAACAATCTGTGCAACAAACCCTGTGACATGTGTTCACCTATGTAACAAAACTTCACATACATCCCCAAACCTAACTAAAAGTTAGAAAAAAAAAAATACACAAACTGAAGATCTTGTGTCTATTAGTATATGGGACAGTAAGACCTAACTATGCTCTAAGTTACATAAATATTTTTGTATTCTTTAACTGTGAAATGGGGGTAATATTACCCATCTGATTCATTGACAATGTTTCTAAACTGATCAAATATGACAATAGATGTGAAAGCAGTTTATAAAATATAAAGAATACTTGTGCTTATTATATTAGTAACCTCATAAAGAAAAAATGGGATTTATCAAACAAATTGAACATTGGAAGATATTTCTGGTGCTTCTGAATATAACAACATATAAAAATTGAAAGTATCCAATACCCCTGACCATTAGGTTGTATCAATGTGTATTGAATTTAAGGAATAAACAATAATAACATCCAAAAAAAAAAAAAAAAGGAAAGAAAGAAAAACAAGATAAGGATGCCTGTTTAGAGTTTGAGCACTGAAACAAGATGGATTTTATTCAACCTCAGCTGGAACATGCATATTAGGGAACTCAAATTTTTGGCAATCTACATGCCCATGACGGATTGCAAACGTGCCCATGAATATTAATTTGAGAGTTACCAATAAATATTATTGAGTAGGTGAATTAGCACATTTGATATCCATGAATAATGAGGATCGACTGTGCATTTATATATACGAATGAAAGAAGTGACTACTGTATCTTTCCAACAGAATATAGGAGGATGCTCAGGTGATGGCTCAGTTTTGATTTCTTCTCTTCTTATGCACAAGACAGAAAAAGAATTGTTGCTTATGTTGCTGACACTACCTAAAATATGGGTATTTGGAAGCAGAAGCATAGTCCTCCATCAAGAGTCTATCCATAGAATTTGGAAAAGAAACCTTTCTATCATGGTTCTTTGGTGACTACTTTCCTCACCATATCTTGCACATTCTACATCCCATTCTCATTAATAATTAGTTTAAAATTCCTTATAAATCATCTGATTCTTTTATTATCTATACACTGCATATTGAGATAAAGTATAAACTCAGGCTATTGAATAAGGCCTGTTTTAAAATTAAAACAAGAGACCAGTATTGCAATATTTTCCTCCTTTTGATTAGATAATACGACAGTTTTGGATTTGTTGTTTTGTTTTGAGAATTTGGTTTGATTTTCCTGATCTTCTTCTTCTTAAAAAAAAAATCGATCTGATTATGTACCTTCTCCCAGAACAACCTGAGTTAATTCAATATATTTTGCCTTCCTAGATGATATTGTGTCCGGAATTGGTGGGCTCCTGGTCTCACTGACTTCAAGAATGAAGCCGCGGACCCTCACAGTGAGTGTTACAGTTCTTAAAGGCGGCGTGTCCGTAGTTTGTTCCTTCTGATGTTCGGATGTGTTCGGAGTTTCTTCCTTCTGGCGGGTTCTTGGTCTTGCTGGCTCAGTAGTGAAGCTGCAGACCGTGGTGAGTGTTACAGCTCTTAAGGCAGCGCATCTGGAGTTGTTTGTTCCTCGCGGTGGGTTCGGGGTCTCTCTGGCTTCAGGAGTGAAGCTGCAGACCTTCGCGGTGAGTGTTACAGCTCTTTAGGTGGCATATCTGGAGTTGTTCGTTCCTCCCAGTGGGTTTGTGGTCTCGCTGGCTTCCGGAGTGAAGCTGCAGACCTTCATGTTGAGTGTTACAGCTCATAAAGGCAGGGTGGACCCAAAGAGTGAACAGCAGCAAGATTTATTGCAAAGAGCAAAAGAACAAAGCTTCCACAGTGTGGAAAGGGACCCGAGCAGGTTGCCACTGCTGGCTCAGGCAGCCTGCTTTTATTCTCTTCTCTGGCCCCACCCACATCCTGCTGATTGGTCCATTTTACAGAGAGCTGATTTGTCTGTTTTACGGAAAGCTGATTGGTCCATTTTGACAGGGTGCTGATTGGTGCGTTTACAATCCGTGAGCTAGACACAAAAGTTCTCCAGGTCCCCACTAGATAACCTAGATACAGTGTTGATTGGTGCATTAACAAACCCTGAGCTAGACACAGGGTGCTGATTGGTGTGTTGACAAACCTTGAGCTAGATCCAGAGTGCCGATTGGTGTATTTACAATCCCTTAGGTAGACATAAAAGTTCTCCAAATCCCCACCAGAGTAGCTAGATACAGAGTGTCGATTGGTGCACTCACAATCCCTTAGCTAGACATAAAGGTTCTCCAAGTCTCCACCAGACTCAGGAGCCCAGCGGGCTTCACCCAGTGAATCCCACACCGGGGCCACAGGTGGAGCTGCCCGCCAGTCCTGCGCCGTGCGCCTGCATGCCTCAGCCCTTGGGTGGTCGATGGGACTGGGTGCGTGGAGAAGGGGGCAGAGCTCGTTGGGGAGGCTTGGGCAGTGCAGGAGCCCATGGAGGGGGGAGGCTCAGGCATGGTGGGCTGCAGGTCCCAAGCCCTGCCCCATGAGGAGGCAGCTAATGCTGGGTGAGAAGTTGAGCACAGCAGCTGCTGGCCCAGGTACTAAGTCCCTCACTGCCCGGGCCGGTGGGGCTGGCCAGCTGCTCTGAGTGCAGGACCCGCCGAGCCCACGCCCACCCAGAACTCACACTGGCCCGCAAGCACCGCGTGCAGCCCCAGTTCCCGCCCGTGCCTCTCCCTCCACACCTCTCTGCAAGCTGAGGGAGCCAGCTCTGGGCTTGGCCAGCCCAGAAAGGGGCTCCCACAGTGCAGTGGAGGGCTGAAGGGCTCCTCAAGCGCGGCCAGAGTGGGTGCCAAGGCCGAGGAGGCGCCGAGAGCGAGTGAGGGCTGTGAGGGCTGCCAGCACACTGTCACCTCTCCATATTGTCCTTTATAATTGCAAAATGATCTTTCAAAGATAAATTGAATATTCAAAAAAAGTTTGGAATTTCCAATGTACATTCTTGTTCTAAGGGAAATTTCTCTCAATGATATTGACACTTGTAATACAAGGATTTTACTTTCTAAAATTTTTAAAAATTATATTTAATCTCTAATGTGATGTTCTTTGTGTGTGGCACTTTATTACATTTATAAAACTATTCAAACTATGAAAAATAAACTTTATTTTTGATATCACCATTATATTAGAAGCTTCTCTCCATACATATATGTATATATATATATATATTAATATACACATGTACACACACACGCACGTGTGCAGACACACACACATACACACACACAGTTGGCCTTAGAACAACATGAATTTGAACAACGTGGGTCCACTTATGCATAGGTTTTCTGCTTCTGCCACCTCTGAGACCAACTCCCTCTTCTTCCAACATACGCAACAAGCCTTCTCAGCTTACTCAACATGGAAAAAATAAGGACAAAGACCTTTATGATAATCCACTACCACTTAATAACTAGCAAATATATTTTCTCTTTCTTATAATTTTCCTAATAACATTTTCTTTTCTCTTATTTTATTGTTAGATCACAGTATATGGTAGTATAAATACAAAATGTGGGTGAATTGACTGTTACCTTATTGGTAAGGCTTCCAGTCAACAGTATGCTATTTATTAGTAGTTAAATGTAGGGGGAATCAAAATTTATACATATTTATTTATTTATTTATTTATTTTGTGGAACAGAGCGAGACTCCATCTGAAAAAAAAATTGTCATACAATAGTAATATAATATTTGTAATTATCATTTTTATGGTTGCAGTATGAATCATATAAACATAAATGCTGTGATTTTGGCTTCCTAAAATTTTAAAATAAAAAAATTGAAACTATTTTTTACATCAAGAAAGTGAAAGCATTTGAATAATAATTATTATTATTTTTTGCTTAGGTAAGCCCTAATGTTGGTTTTCTTATTGGCCAGTCACTGAAATAGATTATAGTTTGGCAAGGTCCATTGAGGTCTGTGGGTGAAATTGATTAGGAAAAGACTATTGCAAATTCCACACCAGAAAGTCTTTTAAGGAATTTTATGGTGATAAGTACTAAAGCTTAAGTACTTTCAGGATTTTCCATGGAGTTCAATGACAGAACTCTGAGAACTGAGATGAATGAAGCAAGTATTTTTAATTTGTGGCAAATGCTACATTCTCTCAGAAATATTCCCTTGTTAATGACCTCTTCTGCTTGTCAATAGGTTTGTGCATTCTACCTTTCCTTTAAAGTAAACATAATCTTTTTATCAGTGATAATGTGTGTGCCATTTCTTCAGAACTATCTCAATTTTCTTCCATAATGAGTTTCATACTACTAAATCTCTTGTATGTTTCACATTAATTAAAAACAATAACAGCAACAACAAAACAATATATAAAACAAAGCAAAACAAAACAACATCCTCATGGTTCTTTCTGTTTATTGTATATAGATGAAAGAATATTTATTATCTGATTGATATTTTTATAAGGGATATTATTATTAGCTTAAAATATTCAATATTATATAAAATGTTTTGCAAATCTTTGTAAGCTCTACACCATAGAGACGACTACAATTTTAAAACAGTGTTCCAGAAAGTAGCTGTCTTAGGATAACTTACGAAACAAGTAAGCAAGTGCTAAGAATTTGAAGATGAGTAAATTGCTAAATGTCTTACTTAAAATCAGTGCCTTAAAGAGGTATAGCTAAATATCAAAATCTGTAGGCCTTAGGATAAGATAATATATGGATTCAACATCTTTTTGGGTTAGATAGTTCTGACTAAACAGGAAATAGTGGAGTAGAAGCGGCAGCAGTGACAAACCTTTGACTCATTTATTCTCTGGGAAACAATACTGAGTAACAACTCATGAAACACATATCACGAGTAATCACTAAATTAGCAAATTTGTGTGATGCTCAGGTTTTTAAAATGCTTTTCTTTCAGAAAAGTGGGATTTTTTTAAAAAAGAAAAAGTATAAAATAAATTAATTGGATACCAAATTCAAAAGGCAAGAATTATGTAATTTTAATTTTGTGTTTTATTTTCTAACTTTATATATAGTATCACTATGCGAAGTTTGACACTGCAAATAATATATCCTGATCCAATGTTGAAAGGTAAATGTTTAAAATCATAAAATGTTAAAAAGTATAGATATATATTTAATAGAATTTCTAATTATTGCTTTTCACGTCTTTAGCCCACCATGTAATTTATTTCCAGGTACACTACCTTATTGTTTACCTGCCTTAAAAGAGCAGGTTAAAAGCCTTAAAAGAGAATTCATGTCTATTTTAGCTTGTATCTGTATATTAATTGAGAAAAACTGGTAATTGTACTAAAACCAACCTTGATTTTTTAATCGGTTGAAGTCCAAGTAAAGCTGTCAACTACCGTGATTTCCTTGGATATTAAGAATGTGTTACTCATTGCACAAGCTAAGCATTGGACTGTAGGCTTCCCATTCCTCAGTGTGATGCCATTTCAAAAATTCTCCCAAGAAAACACACGAAAATGCATCAGATTAAAGTACTTTTTAATTTATTCACACAGAGTAGAGAAGTTCTCAACCAGACTATGGAAGCCTAAGATAATTGAAATAAGTCACTTTATTCTTTCCTAGCTCATAGGCACTATGCTGCAATGACTAAGGCTTTCTCCAATGAGACCTGTTAATACTTAAATGTCATTTTCTGGTAGGAACACTATGTATAGCTATGTGGTTTGTGAGGTAGAGTTCCAGGTGATAACATTTACATAGCAAATGATGGAAATGGCACCCGCTGGATTTGTTTAATGTGGAAGACATATTTTCTATGTGAATATAATGAAGAAAGATGAGATGATGGGATTCTCATCTTGAGTAATAAGTATAAAATCAGAACAGAATGTTGCTGTATCCCTATCACAAGACATTTGAGCAAAACATCACTTTTAAAGACATCAAAGAGTTAAAGATACAAAAAAATTCTAAGTAAACTAAATTCCGGAAAGCATTAATCTCTTCATAGGAGGAAAGAAATTCATGGTTGATTTCATGCCTGATAGTGTCAAAATGAGGAAGAACTCGTCATATATGGAATAAGGAGAAACAAGTTAATTTGAAAGAGTTTTTCTACCTCAGTAGTAGACAGGATTCAGATCAAGTGAAAGGCAGTATCCTCTAAGGTGGGGCACATGATGGGGCAGGGCACAATGTCACTCAAGAGAACATGACTCTTCCCCAAATGAAAGGCAGTGTCCTGAGACAGAGCACTGTCTCGACTGCACAATGTGGCAAGGCCCTGGGTCAGTCAGAATGGCTATTAATACAAAATTGAAAAATAATAGATGCTGGTGAGTTTGCAGAGAAAAGAGAACACATACACTGCTGGTGGGAATTTAAATAAGCTATTGTGGAAAGCAGTTTGGCAATTTCACAAAGAAGTTAAAACAGAGGTACCATTTGACCCAGCAATCTTATTATTAGGTATATAACCCAAAGGAATATAAATTGCTCTACTGTAAAGATGGATGGACTTGTATATTCATTGTAGCCCTATTTGCAATATCAAAAACATGGAATTAGTCTAAACGCCCAGCAACATTAGACTGGATAAAAATGTGATATACATATATATATATACACACACATATATATACACACACACACACACATATATACACACATATATATATACACACACACACATATATTACATTTAGAGATTCCACATTCCACTTTTAGAGAATATATATATATATATATATATATACACACATACCATGGAATACTACATAATCATAAAAGAAATGAGAATATGTTTTTTTGCAACAATATGGATGGAGCTGGGGGCCGTAATCCTAAGTGAACTAACAAAGGAACAGAAAACAAAATACTGCATGTTCTCACTAAACATTCAGTGTATGTGGACACCATGGCCTACTTGAAAGTAGAAGGTGGGAGGAGGGTGAGTATCAAAAAACTATCAGGTGCTATGCTTATTACCTGGGTGACAAAATAATCTGTGCACCAAACCTCAGTGACATGTATTTTACCTATATAATAAACCTGCACATGTACCCCTGAACCTAACATAAAAGTTTTAAAAAGTATTGCACAGTTACATACAATACATAATAATTGCTAATGATGTAATAAATGACTACTATTAAAAAAAACCTTAACACTACAAATTATAATCATAGCCTTCCTTACAGTTTGGCATATAAATAAATTAGAGAATGAATAATAAAAACATTCTGTAAAATTTTTGATATATGATATATATTTTTTAATAATCAGTGCTGCAATTTTTGTGAAGGTTGTTGTAAACTTTCTAAATTCAGGAATTTGTACTTGAATTTAGTGGGAGAAATTTGCTTCTATATATTCTCATAAGAATTTCCAAGGGCCTCCTGAGTGAGGTTCTAACTGAAATTTTAAGCAGTCATACAGCTATGACACAGAAATGTTTTATAAAATTGTGCAGAAATCAATATGGTACTCACTGAATAGTAACCACCAAAAGCACAAGTAAAGTGACTTTCATCATCTTTATTCTTTGTTAGACAAAGCCACACCTCATTAGGGACTAGGTTTATTTGTAATGAATTTGTTTGACCCAGATGGTGCAATCTAAATGTAATTGCAATATTAGCCCAGATTACCTCATGCTGCTGTGGGTGACTCACATGTGCTGTACTATACACAGTTAACAAGAATAAGCATTACTGAGTTCAAACATTTTCTAAAGATGTGAGCACATGGGGCACAATTTGGATCTGGATTCACAAAGAATGTCCATTAGAACCACTGAACATTTTGTACAAGTTAAGAATTTTGGTGCCGGGCCTGTGGTGTTCATGTTACTATAGCAGTACTATTGTCAGTAATCATAACCAATGCATGTCTGACCTATAGTATTTAATTATACTCACCCATCTAAAAGAGATTTAATCAAGATTTATCAGTTCATTTTTGTAAGACACTTTCAAGTTAAAATTGAAATGTAAGGTTCAATTATTAATATATCTTTTCTCAGTGTACTTTAAAAATATCTGTGTGACAAAAGTTCATATATCCCAGAGAATCACTTAAAATGTGGCATCTTTGATACTAATGCTTTTTTGGTTTCCCTTTCAAGCAAATATCTTCAAAAGAAGAGTTCTGTATTTTCTTGCCCTACAATTTATTTCAACTTTGCTCTCAATGCCTTTTTATCCTGCTTTTCTTTATTAGAAGAAATATAAAAATACACTTTTGAAAAAGATAGTGTCTGATTCCACTTTTAGAGAACAAATAGAAAATTTTAAATGCTTGCCATTAAATGTAAGATTTGATTGAAACTATAAGTGTAGTCCTTTATTCCTAGAAAAAGTACATCCTCTTAGTAAATTACTGGTGACACTGATAACTTCTATAGTAAAAAAATCTGTAACTTAAATGAAATGGCATTTTATTTACCTAATGGGAAGGGAGTTAAAGAAAAATTGTTTCAAAATCTAGCATTTAAATTTTTAATTGCTCTGTAATGTTTAATGTACTAATATTTGTCCTTGAAACTTGTATACAACTTCTGAGCATATGGCTATAGATTATCTAAATTAGCAATAATATTAAAAGTTTTCTTCATTGTCGGTTGATACACATAAAAAAATAAATCAATTGGCATCATTAAGATAACCAACTAAACTTGTCTGGTGCTCATCCCCTGCTCCCCACGAAAAAGTGACTAAAACAATAAATAAACAGCTACATTTCAAGTGGCTTAATTGAGGAACCATGCTGGAGAGTATGAGGGAGCAGCAACATCTCTGAGGATCATGGAAGCCCAGGGTAGTTTCATAGAGAAAGGAGTGAGATATTTTGCCTCACTCAATCTCCCCTGCTGGGATCAGCCTGGAGTGGGAGGGGAGGGTGCAGGGAAGGAACATTTTCTTATGGGAAAAAGATAGGTGGAAATCCCATTTGCCTTTACAAATGCCAACAATTCTTGCTACAGAAAAGCCGTAGTCCTCAAAGGCCCTGAATCCAGTTTGAAAAGTTCATGCAGCTGCATTGCCCAGAGTAAGAACCCACCTTGAGCAAACACATCTCTGCAAACTAAGCTGCTACAGCACAGTGCATATGGGAAACCAAACCCACTGCTAAACTGTGTTCTGCCCTGGAGACCAGTACAACTGACTGTCTGTCTGCCCCAGTCTCAGCCAAGATTCTACCATTTTCACACAGGTATCTGCAGCACCACTACCTCAACTATTATAAATTGCATTTTTATTTGATGTGCTTTTAAAATTCTTCATTAATAGTGTATAGTAATGCTACTAATTTTTGTATGTTGATTTTGTATCCTGCAACATTACTGACTTTATTTATTAATTCTAACTGGTTTTGGTGGCATCTTTAGGGTTTTCTATATATAATATCATGTAATCTGCAAACAGAGAATTTGATTTCCTCCTTTCCAATTTGGATGCCTTTTATTTTTTATTTTCTTTTGACTAATTGCTCTGGCTAGGCCTTCCAACACTATGTTAAATGAAAGTGGTCAAAGTGTTATCCTTGCCTTGTTGACAGAATGCAAATCAGACCATCTTAAAGATTAACATTAGCTACATGTCCAGCTGTATTAGTCAGGGTTCTCCAGAGGGACAGAACTAATAGGACATATGTGTATATCAAAGGGAGTTTATTAAGAAGAATTGGCTCACGTGGTCACTAGGTGAAATCCCATGATAGGCTGTCTGCAAGCTGAGGAGCAAGGAAACCAGCAGTGGCTCAACCAGTAGTGGCTCAGAATGAGTCCAAAAGCCTCAAAATTAGAGAAGCTTGACAGCGCAGGCTTTAGTTTGTGGCCAGTGGCCCAAGAGTCCCTGGCGAACCACTGGTGTTAAGTCCAAGAGTGCAAAGGCTGAAGGACCTGGAGTCTGATGTTCAAGGGCGGGAAGCACCCAGCACAGGAGAGTGATAAAAGCAGAAGACTCAGCAAGCCAGCTTATCCCACCTTCTTCCACCTGCTTTGTTCTAGCCTAGCTGGCAGCTGATTGAATGGTGCCTACCCAGATTGGAAGTGGGTCTTTCTTTCCCAGTTCACTGACTCAAGTGTTAATCTCCTCTGGCAACACCCTCACAGACACACCCGGAAACAATACCTTATCAGCTATCTAGGCATCCTTCAATCCAATCAAGTTGATAGCTAATATTCACCATTGCATCTGCCAACATCATGCCTTGGGAGAAGTCGTTTGGGATGTGTTTCCATGATAGTACAATGAAGTTTATCTTAGAAGGGACTAAATTGTACCTTATAGTCTTAAATACATGGGTTTCAACTTATAATATAAACTAAGAAAATGGGAAACCCAGATATAGAAAGATAAACAATGGACCTAGCACAGTGGCTCACTCTTGTAATTCCAGCACTTTGGGGGGCTGAGGCGGGTGGATCAGGAGGTCAGGAGATTGAGACCATCCTGGCTAACACGGTGAAACCCCGTCTCTACTAAAAATACAAAGAATTGGCCGGGCGTAGTGACACGTGCCTGTAGTCCCAGTTACTCAGGAGGCTGAGGCAGGAAAATAACTTGAACCCAGGAGGTGGAGGTTGCAGTGAGCTGAGATAGCGCTACTGCACTCCAGCCTGGAGGACAGAGTGAGACTCCGTCTCAAAAAAAAAAAAAAAAAGAAAGAAAAAAGAAAGAGAGATAGAACATGGAAGAAAGAGTACAAGCACAAAGTAACATTCACACTTGACTATATCCTCTAGTCATCAAATAATTTGTAAGTGCAGTTGGGAATGTTATTTCATCTGTGTGAGAGTCTAAGAATACTATTCCTGTAGATGTTCTACATCTCACGGGATGTTAAGAGTAGATAGCTAAGACTCCTTTCAGTGGCATAAAAATAATCTGTTGGAGAGTTGGAGGTGATTGGTAGCCTTCATAAAAAAAGTAAATTTGGTCATCTGACTATTCTGCAGCTGTAGTTTTTGCACACTGTAATTTTATATTTAGATATAAATTATTTAAATTATCTGATTTTCTTGTTTTTAGTGAGTTCAAGTTTTATATCACTTACCTTAAATAAAAGAATGGTGACTATATAATGGTTTTATAAATGATGTACTTTATGCTGTTTTATATGTACATATGTATATATATATTTGTGTGTGTGCATATATATATCTCCATTTTATACACACACACACATACACACACACACAAACGCACACGGCTGACCCTTGAACAACACAGGTTTGAACTCTTCAGGTCCACTTATATGTGGATTTTTTTCACACAAATGCAGATAAAAATTACAATATCTGCAGGAAGCAAAACCCACATATATGTAGGCCTGCAGACATTTTGTATACCTGCGTTCTGCAGGGCCTACTGGGAAACTTGAGTGCAGGGAGATTTTGCTATTCAGGGGTTCTATGGTATATATTTATATATGTATGTATATAAAATATAATCTTCAAACTCATAAACCTGTGTTCTTAAGTGATGACTAACCTGAAAAGCTTAGTTTCTTAAAAATACTTCTTAATGTGAAAGTGAAACAAGAGTGTATTTAAATAAAAAATAATATATTTGTCCGGGAGCAGTGGCTCACGCTTGTAATTCCCGCACTTTGGGAGGCCGAGGCGGGTAGATCACCTGCGGTCAGGAGTTTAAAACCAGCCTGGCCAACATGGTGAAACCTCGCCTCCACTAAAAATACAAAAATTAGCTGGGCACGGTGGCAGGTTCTGGTAGTCCCAGCTACCCAGGAGGTTGAGGCAGGAGAATCCCTTGAACCCGGGAGGCAGAGGTTGCAGTGAGCCGAGATCACACCATTGCACTCCGCCTGGGCAACAGAGCAAGACTCTGTCTCTCTCTGTATAGATAGAGATAGAGATAGAGATAGAGATAGAGATAGAGATAGAGATAGAGATAGAGATATAGAGATACAGATAGATACAGGTAAACATAAATATATATATATATATTTCAGTTAGTGTTGGTTAGACAACATAATAGCTAGCTTTATTCAATGAGTTACATATACTTAAATACATTACAAAATTATTTTATTTAGGAAAACAACATCATTTATGTCAAGAAATCTGGAAAGTTTTTGAAGTGTCCGTATTGTAGAATTTCAAAAACTGTCTATATCTATCTGTCTATCTATCTATCATCTATCTATCTATCTATCTATCTATCTATCTATCTATCTATCTATCTATTTATCTATCTATACATTTATCCATACAAACACCTATTCATTCAACTATCCAAACAGTCATCCAAAGTTGTGCTGGTGGATGTTTAACAAAGAGTCCTCAGTTTGATAGGAGAGGTTTTTTTTTTTTATTTTTTGCAGCATTTACCAATTTTTATGGTAAGTCTATGTACTTACCCATCTATCACCTATCACTGTATCTACAAATCTATCCATCCGTTTATCTTCTAATTATTTACTATCTAGATATACATAGATAAAATGTTATAACCACATTTTATAATAAATAATCATTAATTTTCTACAACAGTTTAATTTTGAAAATCACAATGTTTTAAAAATATTACTACTTACAACTGATGCATTTACTGATTTTATATTTAAATTTCCTCCCTTGTTTTACATTGACTAGGATTTTGCTATAATGACCAATAGAAGTAGAAATGGCAGGTGCCCATCTCTTGTTTCAAGTCTTTAAGGAAAAATTTCAATAAGTCATAAATGAGTATGATTTTTATGGTAGATATTTTTAGAAATGCTTTATTTTAAATTAACTCCATGCAAGTTTACAATACATATGGTAAAGCATATGAATTTCAGGTGTATATTTAATGAATTTTTACAAGGCAAACAACATTTGTATAGCAACCTAATAATTCAAGACATAGAATATTTTCAGATAACCAAAAGCTTCCTTCATGTTACTTTTCTATTTTTATGCCTTCCTAAATTTAGTAAATTTCCAGAATTCTATTACCATATATTTATTTTATCTGTTTTTGATATTTATATACCTGGATTTATATACTATATGCTAAGTTAGTTTGGGCTGCTTTGCTCACTATTATGTCTCTCTGAGTCATACATGTTGTCATATGAAGTCATATTTTATCCTCTTACATTTTGGTATAGTATTTCATAATAGAAATATGGCATACTTTATCCATTTTACCATTAACTGTAATTGCAGTTAAGGTTGTTTTAAGTTTGCACTATGGCAGAAACAAACTAAAATACTACTAAAGGACTGTCACTTTTGGGAAGATGGAGATTACATACTTTTTCTATGTCTCTTGCTAAGTACAACTAAAATCTCTGGATATTATATTTAAAACAAACTTAAGAAGGCTCTGAAAGATAAAGAGAGGAAGAAAGCTAGATAACCATGGAACCCAAGGAACAGCACAGTGGTGAGTTCTCTGGGACATTTTTTGCCTCATGTATCCTAAAGTTGGAAACAGGCAACCCAGAAAATTTGGCAACCCAGAAAACCCTACTACAGACATAAAAAGCACCAACAAAAGTATGCTCTTTCTAGCTAAAAGTTGAAGAAAGGCACAGCCTAGAAGGATAGAAAACTTTTTGACAAAAATTGCTCTACTTCAGCATACTATAAAACATTTTAAACAGGAATTACCCAATATTTAACACAATAAGTTTATTAGTGACTACGTTTGTTTGCAGTACACAATGATGTGGTAGACCAGGGGTGTCCAATCTTTTGACTTCCCTGGGCCACATTGGAAGGAACATAATTTTCTTGGGCCACACATAAAATACACTAACACTAACTATAGCTCATCAGCTAAAATGAACTCACAAAAACTCATAATGTTTTAAGAAAGTTTATGAATTTGTGTTGGGCCACATTCAAAGTTGTTCTGGGCTGGATGCAGCCTGCAGGCAATGGGTTGGACAAGCTTGTGGTAGACAATAAAATACAAATTGTTATTTCTGTTTGCACATCAATGATCATGTATTGTAATGAAAATTTTAAAAAATGTAATAATGTTGACCAATACTGGGTTCATTGGGACCAGATTGGTAGTAATATAATCAAATGCATTTATATTTCTGAGACCTTAATGTTTAGTCTCTGGATTAATGTTTGATTGACTTGGTGGCTCAAATTCTAATTAGTAGATATACTAAACAGTGCAAAATGCTTGTAGTATAATTTAAAGAATTCTGAATCTAGATTAAGAAAAATAGGACTCATTTTGTAACACAAGAAACCTAAATTTGAAAAGTCTTCATTTTTTGGAGCTTTTGTCTCTTTCATATTGGCAAAGTCATTTCTGGATCTCACAGACCTTTCATGGTGGTGAAATGAAATGAAGTATAAGTGTATTTTACACTAGAAAATGCTGGATAAATATAGCATACTAATTAGAATAAAGGGAAAGCATTTCCAGTTATATACAAGGTTAGAACTTAATATTTTCTTGTTTTTCTATTTTTATTTTTCATATTAACTCCAAATATTCACAAGCATGAGATATTCTTTGATTGAAATGAATACTAACAATGTTTAAACTAGGACTTAATCATCTATTGAGACATGTAAAATTTTCATAAAGAGATGGAAAGCATTCTATATAATATTTTATTTATACTTTACTCAATATTCTTTTTATGTGTTTTCTTTTTTTAAATTTTATTAATATTATACTTTAAGTTTTAGGGTACATGTGCACAACGTGCAGGTTTGTTACATATGTATACATGTGCCATGATGGTGTGCTGCAGACATTAACTCGTCATATAGCATTAGGTATATCTCCTAATGCTGTCCCTCCCCTCTCCCCCGACCCCACAACAGTCCCCAATGTGTGATATTCCCCTTCCTGTGTCCATGTATTCTCATTGTTCAGTTCCCACCTATGAGTGAGAGCATGTGGTGTTTGGTTTTTTGTCCTTGCGATAGTCTGCTGAGAATAATGGTTTCCAGCTTCATCAATGTCCCTATAAAGGACATGAACTCATCCTTTTTTATGGCTGCATACTATTCCATGGTGTATGTCTGCCACATTTTCTTAATCCAGTCTATCATTGTTGGACATTTGGCTTGGTTCCAAGTCTTTGCTATTGTGAATAGTGCCGCAATAAACATACGTGTGCATGTGTCTTTATAGCAGCATGATTTATAATCCTTTCGGTATATACCCAGTAATGGGATGGCTGGGTCAAATGGTATTTCTAGTTCTAGATCCCTGAGGAATCGCCACACTGACTTCCACAATGTTTGAACTAGTTTACAGTCCCACCAACAGTGTAAAAGTGTTCCTATTTCTCCACATCGTCTCCAGCACCTGTTGTTTCCTGACTTTTTAATGATCCCATTCTAACTGGTGTGAGATGGTATCTCATTGTGGTTTTGATTTGCATTTCTGTGATGGCCAGTGATGATGAGCATTTTGTCATGTGTTTTTGACTGCATAAATTAAATGTCTTCTTTTGAGAAGTGTCTGTTCATATCCTTCGCCCACTTGTTGATGGGGTTGTTTGTTTTTTCTTGTAAATTTGTTTGAGTTCATTGTGGATTCTGGATATTAGCCCTTTGTCAGATGAGTAGGTTGCAAAAATTTTCTCCCATTCTGTAGGTTGCCTGTTCACTCTGATGGTAGTTTCTTTTGCTGTGCAGAAGCTGTTTAGTTTAATTAGATCCCATTTGTCAATTTTGGCTTTTGTTGCTATTACTTTTGGTGTTTTAGACATGAAGTCCTTGCCCATGCCTATGTCCTGAATGGTAATGCCTAGGTTTTCTTCTAGGGTTTTTATGGTTTTAGGTCTAACATGTAAGTCTTTATTCCATCTTGAATTAATTTTTGTATAAGGTGTAAGGAAGTGATCCAGTTTCAGCTTTCTACATATGGCTAGCCAGTTTTCCCAGCACCATTTATTAAATAGGGAGTCCTTCACCCAGTTCTTGTTTTTGTCAGGTTTGTGAAAGATCAGATGGTTGTAGATATGTGGCATTATTTCTGAGGGCTCTGTTCTGTTCCATTGGTCTATATCTCTGTATTGGTACCAGTACCATGCTGTTTTGGTTACTGTAGCCTTGTAGTATAGTTTGAAGTCAGGTAGCATGATGCCTCCAGCTTTGTTCTTTTGGCTTAGGAGTGACTTGGCAATGTGAGCTCTTTTTTGGTTCCACATGAACTTTACAGTAGTTTTTTCCAATTCTGTGAAGAAAGTCATTTGTAGCTTGATGGGGATGGCATTGAATCTATAAATGACCTTGGGCAGTATGGCCATTTTCACGATATTGATTCTTCCTACCCATGAGCATGGAATGTTCTTCCATTTGTTTGTATCCTCTTTTATTTCATTGAGCAGTGGTTTGTAGTTGTCCTTGAAGAGATCCTTTACATCCCTTGTAAGTGAAATGAAGCGAGAAGAGAAGTTTAGAGAAAAAAGAATAAAAAGAAACGAAGAAAGCCTCCAAGAAATATAGGACTGTGTGAAAAGACCAAATCTACTTCTGACTGGTGTACCTGAAGGTGACGGGGAGATTGGAACCAAGTGGGAAAACACTGTGCAGGATATTATCCAGGAGAACTTCCCCAATATAGCAAGGCAGACCAACATTCAAATTCAGGAAATACAGAGAACACCAAAAAACCCTCCTCGAGAACAGCAACTCCAAGAGACATAATTGTCAGATTCACCAAAGTGGAAATGAAGGAAAAAATGTTAAGGGCAGCCAGAGAGAAAGGTTGGGTTACCCACAAAGGGAAGCCCATCAGACTAACAGCTGATCTCTCGGCAGAAACTCTACAAGCCAGAAGAGAGTGGGGGCCAATATTCAACATTCTTCAGAAAAGAATTTTCAACCCAGAATTTCATATCCAGCCAAACTAAGCTTCATAAGTGAAGGAGAAATAAAATCCTTTACAGACAAGCAAATGCTGAGAGATTTTGTCACCACCAGGCATGCCCTAAAAGAGCTCCTGAAGGAAGCACTAAACGTGGAAAGGAACAACCGGTACCAGCCACTGCAAAAACATGCCAAATTGTAAAGACCATCAAGGCTAGGAAGAAACTGCATCAACTAACGAGCAAAATCACCAGCTAACATCATAATGACAGGATCAAATTCACACATAACAATATTAACCTTAAATTTAAATGAGCTAAATGCTCCAATTAAAAGACAGACTGGCAAATTGGATAAAGAGTCAAGACCCATCAGTATGCTGTATTCAGGAAACCCATCTCACGTGCAGAGACACACATAGGCTCAAAATAAAGGGATGGAGGAAGATCTACTACCAAGCAAATGGAAAACAAAAAAAGGCAGGGGTTGCAATCCTAGTCTCTGATAAAACAGACTTTAAACCAACAAAGATCAACAGAGACAAAGAAGGCCATTACATAATGGTAGAGGGATCAATGCAACAAGAAGAGCTAACTATCCTAAATATATATGCACCCAATACAGGAACACCCAGATTCATAAAGCAAGTCCTTAGTGACCTGCAAAGAGACTTAGACTCCCACACAATAATAATGGGAGACTTTAACACCCCACTGTCAACATTAGACAGATCAACGATACAGAAAGTTAACAAGGATATCCAGGAATTGAACTCAGCTCTGCACCAAGCGGAACTAATAGACATCTACAGAGCTCTCCAGCCCAAATCAACAGAATATACATTCTTTTCAGCACCACACCACACCTATTCCAAAACTGACCACATAGTTGGAAGTAAAGCACTCCTCAGCAAATGTAAAAGAACAGAAATGATAACAAACTGTCTCTCAGACCACAGTGCAATCAAACTAGAACTCAAGATTCAGAAACTCACTCAAAACCGCTCAACTACATGGAAACTGAACAACCTGCACCTGAGTGACTACTGGGTACATAAAAAAATGAAGGCAGAAATAAAGATGTTCTTTGAAACCAACGAGAACAAAGATACAACATACCAGAATCTCTGGGACACATTAAAAACGGTGTGTAGAGGGACATTTATAGCACTAAATGCCCACAAGAGAAAGCAAGAAAGATCTAAAATTGACACCCTAACATCACAATTAAAAGAACTAGAGAAGCAAGAGCAAACACATTCAAAAGCTAACAGAAGGCAAGAAATAACTAAGATCAGAGAGCAGAACTGAAGGAAATAGAGACACAAAAACCCTTCAAAAAATCAATGAATCCAGGAGCTGGTTTTTTGAAAAGATCCACAAAATTGATAGACTGCTAGCAAGACTAATAAAGAAGAAAAGAGAGAAGAATCAAACAGACACAATAAAAAATGACAAGGGGGATATCACCACCGATCCCACAGAAATACAAACTACCATCAGAGAATACTGTAAACACCTCTATGCAAATAAACTAGAAAATCTAGAAGAAATAGATAAATTCCTGGACACATACACCCTCCCAAGACTAAACCAGGAAGAAGTTGAATCTCTGAATAGACCAATAACAGGCTCTGAAATTGAGGCAATAATTAATAGCTTACCAACCAAAAAAAGTCCAGGACCAGATGGATTCACAGCCGAATTCTACCAGAGGTACAAGGAGGAGCTGGTTCCATTCCTCTGAAACTATTCCAATCAATAGAAAAAGAGGGAATCCTCCCTAACTCATTTTATGAGGCCAGCATCATTCTGATATCAAAGCCTGGCAGAGACACAACCAAAAAAGAGAATTTTAGACCAATATCCTTGATGAACCTTGATACAAAAATCCTCAATAAAATCCTGGCAAACCGAATCCAGCAGCACATCAATAAGTTTATCCACCATGATCATGTGGGCTTCATCCCTGGGATGCAAGGCTGGTTCAACATACAAAAATCAATAAACTTAATCCAGCATGTAAACAGAACCAAAGACAAAACCCACGTGATTATCTCAATAGATGCAGAAAAGGCCTCTGACAAATTTCAACAACGCTTCATGCTAAAAACTCTCAATAAATTAGGTATTGATGGGACATATCTCAAAATAATAAGAGCTATATCATACTGAATGGACAAAAACTGGACGCATTCCCTTTGAAAACTGGCACAAGACAGGGATGCCCTCTCTCACCACTCCTATTCAACATATCGTTGGAAGTTCTGGCCAGGGCAATCAGGCAGGAGAAGGAAATAAAGGGCATTCAATTAGGAAAAGAGGAAGTCAAATTGTCCCTGTTTGCAGATGACATGATTGTATATCTAGAAAACCCCATTGTCTCAGCCCAAAATCTCCTTAAGCTGATAAGCAACTTCAGCAAAGTCTCAGGATACAAAATCGATGTGCAAAAATCACAAGCATTCTTATACACCAGTAACAGTCAAACAGAGAGCCAAATCATGAGTGAACTCCCATTCACAGTTGCTTTATGTATTTTCTTAAAAAGAAAATGAATTTTCACTTTTTTATGTTATACACATACTCAAAAAAATCTTATGGAAATTACAGGCAGTCAACTGTAATAGATATGACTTGTCATAGCTCTGAAATTTCTCCTAAAATTTGTCCTGAGGTAGCAAGGTGAAGATTATGTTTCAGTACATGCATCTGACTTTAGAAGCCCATTCTTCCCTGGCTTTGTGTCTCATGAGTGATATATCGAATCACATATTTCAGATATGACTTTACGAATGACATCAAAAGAAAGGCTATTAAATCCATCTTCCTAACATGTTCGCCCTTAATTGAAAAGTATATTTCACCTTACATTGGAATTCATAAGTTTCATTATTTCTCCTCATTCAACAGTCATAGTAATACACTGTACTGGAGTGTCCTCTATTTCATCCAGAGCCATTCACTGTGCGTTATGTCCCATACAAAATCTCCATAATTTAAAACCGATTGATAATTCCATACATGAGAAACTAACCCAGAAATACTTTAATGCATACTTTCTATTGTAATGGGTTGTTATAGTCTGATTTAGATTTTTGAATTCAGGGTATAATGGCTATAGTTTATATTTTGTGTAGTGCTGATTTTGGCACCAGTAAAGTAATCTATTTTATTGTTTCACAATACTTAGTGATGGTTAGGTATTGATAAAAAATACATTTATTGTATTTTACTCATTTGGCAGAAAGTGTCAGGAGAAAAGAAAAAAATAAAGTTATTATCTTGGTAATGATAAATATTTTTGTTAGCTATTTTTTAGTATTGCCTTCCTCCTAGTCATAGAGTCAGTTTCTTTCATCAGCCCCCTTACATTTGGCTAGAGTTAAAGGTATGCTTGAGCTCATGATTTGTGAGTCGAAGTGATATGAGTCATTTCAGGCTGGAGACTTTAATTTCCAGTGTGAGAAACACCAGAACTATCTTTTCTTTTGACATCATACTTGCTCAAAGGGCTTACTTCCAGAGTAAGAAGATGTGTATCAGAGTCTCCAGAAAATCCAAAATAGACATGTAATGTTATCAAGAAAGTAAACTTTGTTTTAAGCCAATACAATTTTTAAGATTATTATCTCAGCATAACCTAGCCTATCTACTGATTTGTACTGAAATTGTCACTGTCATAACAAAAACACCCTAAAAGATACAGCATTGGCTGAAAGATTGGCAAGGAGCAGAAAAGGATATCCTTGCAAAAACAAAAGAATAGTCATATATGTTATACAGTTAAGGAATATTTGGTCACTTGTCATAACAGGGAAGACCATTAATAAAGTCAGTAAACTGCTACCTCCATGGGAAGAGCTTGAAAACCAGAAAGTTAATTTTAGGTATTCATTGCTAATTGAACCTGTAAAGAAATTACAAGCTTTAGATGAGTTATCTATAGCTCAATGAAATGTCAATGAAAGTCTCACTTTCAGAAATATGGTGGTAATAGGAGAAGTCCAGAAATTATGAGACTTTTCAAGTTGGAAAAGAGAACAGCTTCCAATTTTACAAAATAAAATTAAAAAGTATTTTAAATGTCAAAGGCTCACGTCCAATCATTGGCATTCACCAAATCAAGGATATACCAGTCACTCCTATTTTTAAAAAGTCAGAATATTTTAAGGATAAATATATATGGCCAAATATGAGTAAGATGGCCTTAATGTTTTCCTTGGATTAACTAAGTTTTAGACAGAATTTTGTTTTTGTTTTTTTTCTGACTGTGGGTCCCTGACATTTCTTAGAGCACTTATTTTAGAAAACTTCCAAATATAAATTCTTTCTCTACACCTTTGAGATGTGTATCTTCTCCAAACCTCTTGCTGGTCTTGTTACCCAGGAACACATTCCTCAAAGACATGGGAACTATCCCATGTCATCATCAATAAATATAGGGGCCCTATCTCCTATTCTTGAGGGTAGGAGCCTAAATATGTTAAGCACCAATCAGTAAACACTGATGGTCTAATCACATTTAATATCCTCCCCCTACCATCCTCCAGTACTTTTCTGGCAGCTCAACCCAGTGCTTAAAGACTCTCTTGCTCTTTATCTCAACAGAGTTGAGTTCAGTCTCTGTCTCCTAGTATAATAATCTTGAATAAAATCTTCCTTACCTTTTAACTTGTCTGGTACAATTTTTCATTGAAACTAGGAAAACTCATTGAGAGAAAAAAATCTGAGAAATTCAAGTAGGATGATTATGTTTAAATAACAGAAAGATATCAAAGAACTTTTCAAAATCTACACTTGAGTTAATAAACACTAATTGTATCTAGCTTGACATACAGTGCCAACATTATAAAAACAGTGATGATATAGACTATAACGTGTAGCTTATTAATTATATGGATAGCTCTAGTTTAAGCAAAGTTATGTGTAGTACATAGTCAATGACATCAAGAATAATCAAATGTATCTCTACCATGATGGAAAGCTTTTGCTTGAAAATAGCCTGATATCTCTTATAGGTCCATAAAAGTTTTACAAATTTAAACAACAGAAATGTAAGCAAACTCCATTTCATTTGTTAGGAAGATTTCTTTAGAAGAATTCCATTGAATCCTAGGATTCCAGGATATGTCCCTAGTGATTATACATGACCCTGAGGTCAAAAGATAAATCACATTTGAACTTTAACTGCTACATGACGCTAGTATTTACAATGATAGATAGTGACTAAGCTACCCTACTCACAGATTTGTTAGAGGTCTTTCATACACATATGTTAGTACACAATAGACCATGATTTTGTGCTTGAGTTTATTTTTAACTTTGGATGTGAAAAAGGTAGGCCATTGGTAATTGGGAAGTAATGAATTTTATCAAGAAAATGGTATGGTGATGTCTCAGCTTCCCCATTCTAAATTAACTTCTTCAATGACCTCTTATAAGCTACTGAGTGCATTGCAACTTGGCTTTTCCCCATTACAATGTTGTTGGGTAAGTTAGAAATTGCAATTAATGTTTTTACATTTTTTTCATTTTATCTTTCAGTAATTTATTTTGCAATTTTATTATATTTTTTGAGATTACAGTTTGGTACTACCCAAGACTGGGTAATTTATAAAGGAAAGAGGTTTAATTGACTCACAGTTCCACATGGCTGAAAAGGCCTCAGGAAACTTACAATTATGGCAGAAAGAGAGAAGCGTGTGAAGGAGAAACTGTCAAACACTTATAAAACCATCAGATCTCATGAGAACTCACTCACTAGTACAAGAACAGCAATAGGAAATCCACTCTCATGATCAATCACCTCTCGCCAGGCCCCTCTTCCAACACTGGGGATGAAAATTTGACATGAGAGTTGGATGGGGAAACAGAACCAAACCATATCTTTCTGCTACTGGACCCTCCCAAATCTTGTGTCTTTTTACATTTCAAAACCAATCACGCCTTCCCATAGTCCCCCAAAGTCTTAACTCATTTAAGCACTAACTCAAAAATCCACAGTCCAAAGTCTTATCTGAGACAAGGCAAGTTTACTGAAGTTGGGCTGGTGTTGAGTATTTGTGGCTTTTCCAGGCACACAGTGCCAGCTGTCCATGGATCTACCATTCTGGGGTCTGGAGGATGATTGTCTTCTTCTCAAAGCTCCACTAGGCAGTGCCCCAGTGTGTGCTCTGTTGGGGGCTCCGACCCCACATTTCCATTCTGTACTGCCCTAGCCGAGCTTCTCGATGAGGACTCTGCCCTTGTAGCAGATTTCTGCCTGGACAAGCAGGCGTTTCCATACATCCTCAGAAATCTAGGTCGAGGTTCCCAAATTTAAATTCTTGACATCTGTACACTTGCAGGCCTAACATCACATGGAAGCCTTCAAGACTTGAGGCTTGCAACCTCTGAAGCCATGACCCAATCTGTACCTTGGCCCCTTTTAGCCATGGCTGAAGCTGGAGTGGCTGGGTTGCAGGGTTCCATGTCCTGAGGCTGCACAGAGCAGCAGGACCCTGGGTCTGGCCAAGAAAACCATTTTTCCCTCTTAGGCCTATTGGCCTTTGATGGGAGGGGCTGCCACCAAGATCTCTGGCATGTCCTGGAGATACTTTCCCAATTGTCTTGGTTATTAACATTTGACTCCTCATTAGTTATGCAAATTTCAGCAGCCAGCTTAAATGTCTCCCCAGAAAATGGGTATTTCTCTTCTATCTCACCATCAGGTTGGAAACTTTCCAAGCTTTTATGCTCTGCTTCCCTGTAAATATGAGTTCCAGTTTCAGATCATCTATCTCATGTTCAAAGTCCCACAGATCTCTAAGGCAGTGGCAAAATGCTGCCAGTCTTTGTGCTAAAGCATAGCAAGAATGACTTTGCTCCAGTTCCCAATAAGTTCCCCATCTCCATCTGAGACTACCTCAGCCTGGACTTCATTGTTCATACCACTATTAGCATTTTGGTCAAACCCATTCAACAAGTCTCTAAGAAGCTCCAAACTTTCCCAAATCTTCCTGCCTTCTTCTAAGCCCTCCAAACTGTTCCAACCACTGCCTGTTACCAGTTCCAAAGTTGCTTCCACATTTTCAAGCCTCTTTATAGCAGTGCCCCACCACCTCAGTACCAATTTACTGTATTAATTAAATATCTGAGACTGGTTAATTTATCAAGGAAAGACGTTTAATTGACTCACAGTTTCACTTGGCTGGGGAGGTGTCAGGAAACTTACAATCATGGTGGAAAGGGAAGCAGTCATCTTCTTTGCAAGGCGGCAGAAGAGAGAATCCTGTGAAGGAGGAAGTGTCAAATACTTATAAAACCATCAGATTTTGTAAGAACTCACTCACTATCATGAGAACAGCGTGGGAGAAACTGACAACATGATCCAATCACCTCCCTCCCTTGACATGTGATGATTACAATTCAAGATGAGATTTGGGTGGGGACACAGAGCCAAATCATATTACCATCCAATGTGGATATTTCTGATGTGAGGTAGACAGGATAATTCTAATCTTAGGATCTGGAAAATTCTGGTGAAGTGAGTAATAGCTCACTAAAATTAAAACTAGGCTTCATAGATGGTGATATAAGTAAAGAAATTCAGAGGCATTTCCAAGTTTCTTGTTTACCTGAATATAGATATAGTTGAGAAGATGTGTCTCTAATCCAACATATTGAAGGATTGGTAGTACAACGATCTCTCGCTAATTTTTTCTTTGCCTGTATCAAAATTCCCTTCTTGATTTTTAGGAATGCTCAATTTCCTGACTATCTGCCTTTGAAAATTAAATAAAAGAAGTCATAATAGAAACCTTTTATCTACATCTCTGGATATTGGAACATGGGGACTTTACTTAGACTTGACCAAGTGGATGCCCAGCTGGGACTTTGTTAAGCAAGTGATGCAAAGGTACAAAGCAGAAAGGCGGTGGGTGGTCATATTTGATTCTCACTGGTGATGGTATTACCAGGCAATAATGGTGTGGTGCTCGCCAAACTTTCTTGGTGCTATTCCTACTTTGGTTTCTATCCGGTGGTGGCATCTGTCCAGTTGATCAGTCAGTTCTGTTGCCAGCAACTAAGAAACTCTAATGATATCGTACATATTAAAAGGAAATTTAGAAAGTACATAACAAAAAGAAATTTAGAAAGACATACAAGAGTAGTTGTGAACATTGTCACACAATCTGGATTCCTTAACTTTACAAACAGCTCTAAAACATCTATGATAACTAATCTATAGAAGTTCAGTAAAAGCTCATGTCTTACTATGTGACAACTATAATTGCATACTAAGTCACATCCAGTTGTTTAAAAACCTGAGGATCTACTGTACAAATACCATTCAAAGACTGATAAATCTTTTACTTGTTTCAGGATGTCAGCACATAATGGAGTTGGATTTTAGCTTGATTTTGTTTCATTTTAGGTAGTTTGCTATTTCTGGTAGTAAATTTTAAATTACAGATACTTTTTAGGATAAGGCTAGCTTCTGTAACAAAATCACATGTGGTTGAAGTAAGATAGAAGTTTATTTTTCATTCACATAAATTCCAAAATTTGTGTTCCTGATGAGAGTAGGTCTACCTTCCAAAGAGTGATTCAGGGACCCTGAATATTTTCTTCTTGGGACTCTCTGTTTTTCAACACCCATCCAGGTTAAGGAAAAATAATTGTAAGTCATAACATATGGAAAGCTTTTATACTTAAGACCTGGACACAATACAAGCTAATATTCTACCGGCCATATTTTAGGCTTATGACCCCGTCTAACTACAAAATAGTTGAGAAATATAATTTAGTTGTGTTCTCAGAAAGAAAAGAAGACTGATTTGAAGAAGAGCCTACCAGTATACATCACGTGTTGATTCTATGATAGTCACTTACTTATCCTATAGTCAGAATGAGCAATTAAAAATGCAGATACACACATGTAACTCTCTAAACCTAAAGTCTTTTCTTTTATTCCATTGCCTTCCACATAAATTCTGAGCTCAATAACATTATATAAAATTCACTAAGGTCAAGATTATTCTAATTTCTTTAACCTTGCTTCGTGAGTGTATACATAGTAAATTTCAGCCATACAAAACTAATTCTACAAATTTGCAACCTATATTCTCAAACCTCGCCTACTGTGTATAATATTACTTCTATCTGAAATGACTTGATATTCCATGTTATCTGATTAACTTCAATTTGTTCTTCATATCTTAATTCAGAATCATGTAATCTAGCAAACATACCTTCCTTTTTTATTGCACCCATACAACTTATACCACTGCCCCTGTGATGAGATAAAATGATTACTTTATAAATATACCTGAGCTTTCTCTTCTTCCTATCAACTAAAGAGGATTCTCAGTTTTTGCTAATTTCCCTTGTTCCTCTCTGAGATAGAATGATACCAATCAAGAATAGGTCTGTAGGCTTTTATCAATAAAGTCAGAAATATGTGGGAGAGTTGGGCAGGAAAAATGCCAAATGGATAGATTCTTCCGAAATTATCAGAGAGAAAGGAAGATAATCTCATCACTCAAATGCCAACAGATGATAGATAGAAGACATGGCATGTAATAAAATCAGCAAATGTGAAAGGGTAGGGAAGATGTGGAGGAGTGAGAATACTTATGAACTTGATACATGAGGAAAGAGAAACCTTGAAGAGATGAGGGCTTTAGAAGGAAAGATATTGGTGTTCCCCACGTTTTTGGAGGTTTCTTCAAGAACATGGAAGGGAAGTAAGTATGAGAATCAGGTTAGTATACTGTTCCTTTTAAAGAGAAACCATTCTGCAACTGATCTACACATAGAATGCTACTTTGCCTGGGGGCATTAAGGAGAGCTATAAGAAAGATTGAAAGAAGATTCTCCAAACTAGCTTTAATGTAATATTGCTGATCTTTGGCTAATTCTAATGTATATTTTTCATTTGGATTAGAAATAATGGGGTGCAATTTTTGATTAAGCATCATCTTCAAACCCAAACAGATTTTGTAAGTAAAAACTCAGAATCTTAAATAATTAATTACAACTATGGAAAGACTTTCTGTTTCCTTCTAACTCTAAAGCCTTCCTTTATTTCTAAAATCAAATGCAGTTAATTTTATAATACATCTCTTGTTGCCTCACAGCTTTCATCTAAGGAACTCAAAATTTGTATGGAGATAAGGTCTCTCCATAATGTTAGTCTGAGAAAATTGGACATGGCCTACTAGACTGAGAGAAGAGTATGGCCGAATAATAAACCTTGTTCTTGCAGGCCTTGTTTCTCTCTCTCATGTTTATAGAATCTCTTATAGTAACTATTATTTGCAATGCTTTGTTGTAATGTATTCGGCCATGTTAATTCTAATTCCCAGTAAATATTATTATAATGCAAGGTTAAATTTTTATGAGAGTGATGAAAAATGTTTTTTTTTAAATTAGCATGACAATACTTTCTAGTTAAGAAAGAAGATGGTTCATTTCCCTTCTTGCCTTGGACATAGCCAAAGCTTCAAATCTAAAGTATGAAATGCATAGCTTCCATCTTATATATCACAAGAAATGAAAAATTTGTCTGGCTATTCCTCACTTTCCAATTTCTGATTTTTCCATCTAAGAATTTGAACATCTTGTGTGTGAATTGAAATAAAATTGAAAAAGGAACAAGAGCCTTCTTTTCCTATACAGAGCCTCTGATTTTGTATATAATATAATCTTAAGTTATTTCTAGTTAGCA
Source organism: Homo sapiens (assembly GCF_000001405.40). Lineage (NCBI taxonomy): Eukaryota > Metazoa > Chordata > Mammalia > Primates > Hominidae > Homo > Homo sapiens. The sequence continues at coordinate 11,954,020 of NC_000009.12, forward strand.
TAAAGCCAATAATCAAAACCTTATTTATTGAGATAACTTACTAGTTTATATGATTAGCTAAAAAAGAAACAAAAAATATGAGAAAATTCATTTTATTAACTACTGACTTTTTTGAAAATAATTATGAGAAAATTATAGAAAATCACTACCTTGTCATCGATCACCTGACAGAGTTTGATCTGAGACTATAATGATGACATTATTTCGTGCTATAAGCTAATAAAAGAAGTTTATATATACATATGTATATAAATATGTTTATATGTATATATGCATATTTATTTTAAGAACCTCTCCAGCAAGTTTTTGACATTCTTATATTATCTGTTTAAGTATTATATAACTGTACAATGTATAATTAATAAAATATTTCTTTTCTATTAAATATGTTAAAAGCTTTATAGTGTCTCACTGTAGTTCTCACACATTATAAAAACGTTTACAACATAGGTTGGAATAACTACATCTTCCTTTGACTATTTCCTATTTGTTTTAAGTTGTTAAATAAATTCTATGTATATCCATTATTATAATATGCCTTATCACAAAAAATAACAAAAATAATTATTATATATTTGATGGTTTTTAAAATTTATTTTGAAGAAAATTTAATAATATATATCAACCTACCCAAATACAATTACACTGTTAAAAAGAAGAATTGCAAAAGTTTTATATTAACATCAAAGAGAAAACTGAGAGCTAGTGGTATTAGAGTAGTAAGTAGTACAATAGTCAATAAAATCCAAAGGTTAATTTTTTTAAAAAGATAACATGAAAGTGTCTTTCTTTAGTAAACTTTAATAACACTGCTAATATACAATGAAGCTGCTAAATAGCAGAGCTGAGTACATCTTAGATTGATATTTGATGGAAAACAGATAATGTACTAAATGAGAAAGTTTATTATGTTCAGGCTTTAACATCAGACAACCTTGGTACGGAGCATTGGCTTTACCATCTCATTCAATTTTCATTAATTTAACAAATACTTCCTTCAGCACTGCTATATACATACCATAACCTATAACAGAGGTAATTGAAATGATTGTGAGCAAATCCCAACAAAATTCTTGTAATTTATGTTCTCTAGACATCAGTTTCTCATACAAATTTTAATTATAATAATTAAGTATAATATTTACATTATAAAGTAATAAAATTATTCCTTGCATGACTAATTTATTAACATATACACAATTCTGATGGTAAGAATAATGTTATAGAAAAGGATTTCACGCATCCTAGACATCAAATACTTGCAGAATTAAAGTTGAATTACATGTAAACGGTGACAGCCTCAGACCACTCTGCTAAAAATAAGCAATTAAAAATGATTTGCAGTAAAAATAAATGAATTTATTTCTCAAGTCTCACAGTGAATGGATAGCAGAAAAAATAGTAGCCTGATATATGTATAAGTGTATATGCATATATACATGTGTATTTGTATATATGTGTATACATTTATATATATGTTATATACAGATACATAACTTTTTTACTCCATTTTGGTTGTTTTGCATTACACATTTTTTATGCATGTAAGGTCAGTAGAAAACATCATCCTAAATTTCAGAGAAGTTAAGAAGTTTAACCAATATGTAATACATACCAAGTGAGTTGCCAGGAATTGAACCTAATTTTAATCTGATTCAAAAGTCCTTGCCTTTTATACTATTCCACTCAAACAATAATGACAGTTGTGGTATTAGTTGACTTTCAAACACTTGTTATCACATAGATGCCACATTTGGGAATGGTCTCAAATGGCTGTAAGTACAGTAAGCAACTGGAAATCAACAGGAGGTCATAGACAAATACAAAAAGTCAATATTATAAAGGTATGACAAACTGTTCCTATACCTTTATTTAGTTAACTCTTCCGCTGCCAAACATACCCATTACTAAGGAATTCTACCACTAGCTGACTGCCAAACTTTTCCTCATGGTGTCTTCTGTGTACCTCTCTGAGGTGCTTGTTACATCGTGTTTCCTTCTTATGATATGCTTTCCAATTCATGGCAAACAGACCAACAATACAAGGGTTTAAAAAGTGATAAAGGCATTTTAATTAATTCAAAAAGGGAGAAGCTTGTAAGAGAAAAAAGGCACTGTGATACAACAGAGAACCATAGTCCCTGTCCTCACAAAAGTGGCAATGTGGAAGATGTTATACACTAAACAAGTAATCAAAAATAAAGTGCTATGGGCAATAAAAGAAGAATAAATGTAATTAAATGAGGAGGTCATAAAAAGGGTACTTAATCTACACTAGGTAGAAAGGCTTCCCAGAATAAATATAAAAGGTTATGAACAATGGGAAGGGGCATGGTGGGGGGAAGGATGTCTGTAGATAAAAAGACATTATGTTCAAAGGCTCTCACAATGAGGAAACAGGACACTGTAGTCAAGATCTAACCCTCTGAGTCTGAGCACTGAGAAGGAAGACTTGTGTTTATAGTTGCAGAAGAAGCAAGAAGCTAGATTATGCAGGACCTTGAAACCATGTTAAAAATGTTGCCTTTACAGGCAAAGTAAATTTATTTCAGGGTTTTAATATTGTATTAATAAAATTTAAAATAAAAAAACCCTGCTGCTTTGGTAAATAGTTTGGAGAAATAAATGGTAAATGTTATGGCACCAAGTCAAAGAGTATTGCTTCTTAACCTTCTGTGGGAGAAATAGTTCTGTACCGTGAGAACATTTTTTAGGGTGAGAGAGCTTAGGAGATTCAAGATTTCCAGGTGTGTCAACATAGATATTATTTTCCCATAAGCGAAGGCCACATTTTTTTCATGCTAGGAACCCAGTGATGGCCTAGCATCCAACCATTAGTAAAAATACAAGTGAATAATTCTAGTTTAAGGTATATAAATACATTCTTACTATACAACCTAAAGTAGCGAGGTTGTTTTAGAAAAAAGGGTGAATATAATTTTCAGATGGGTGGGATAAAATTTTGCTGGACAATATAGAGGTTTTTTTGTAATATCTGTTATTGAAACATAATATTGTGTATATTATAACATATATATTTTACATGTAGAATTTTTGAACTTTTAAATTTTAAGATATAAAATATTGTAATCTATTTTATATACAAATATGTCTCAAAATTTTATTTTAAGATAATTGTAGATTCACATGCAATCGTATGGAATAATACAAAGATATCTGCTACAGTCCTCCTCTGATTTTCCCTAGTGGTAAAATCTTGCATAAGCATAATGCAATATCACACAAAACAAAATGACATTGACACAACCTATCTACCTATTCAGATTTCACCAGTTTCACTTGCTCTCATTTGTGTGTGCATGTACACACACTTAGTTCTAGGCAACACGTACATTCATGACACAAAATTTTTTACAAGTATGGGTGTAACAAGCTACATGTGTATTTGATATAAATGTAACTGTATGATAAAAAAGGATAATTTATAGTGTACGTGCCTAGGATAAAGGGAAAATCCCAAGTATAATATACAGAGATATTATTTCAAGATAAATGTCTTTAACTAATTATAAAATGTATATACAAAAATCTTATTTTAAAGAAAAGATATGAATCATTATTATCTATATTTTAGTATCATTATACTTTTTATTACCATTTTAGAAAATGCTAGCAGGTAAAGACCCACTGATACTTTTTGCTTTCTGTCTTAACATCACGTTTAGATGAGGTTCAATTATGAATTCATAGTGGATTGTTCACATAAGAGATTTACTTGTTTTGTTTTAGTTTTCTCAAACATTAAAACAATGTAAACTATATTTTGATAGTTAATAAACTTTATTTTTAGAGTAATTTCAGGCTCACAGCAAAATTGAATAGAGTGTACAGTGTTCGCCACATGTATGCAGTCTCCCCCAGTAAATACATCTGGAACCATAGTTGTACATTTGTTACAATAAAATAACTCACATTCATACATCCTTATCATCCAGAGCCAATAGTTTACATTAGGGTTCAGTCTTGATTTGTACATTCTATAGGTTTCAGCAAACATATCCATGTATTCATCATTATTACATTTTACAAAGCAGTTTCACTATCCTAAAAATCCTCAGTACCCTACCTATTTATCCCTCCTTCACCCAACAACCCTTGGCAACCCCTAAACTTTTTAATGTTTTCACAGTTTTGTCTTTTCTGTAATGTCATATACATGGAATCGTACAGTATGTAACTTTTTCAGATTTACTTCTTTGATTTAGTAATATTCATTTAAATTTCCTTTGTCTTTTTATGGCTAGACAGCTCATTTTTTAATGCTGAGTAATATTCCACTGCTTGGATATACCACAGTTTATTTATCCATTCACCTATTGAAGGACATCTTGTTTGGTGACAAATTTTGGCAATTATAAATAAAATTGCTATAAACATCTGTAGACAGATTTTTGTGAGAATGTAAGTTTTCAATTCATTTGGACAAATGCCAAGGAGTGTGATCATTGTATTATAGGGTAAGAGTATGTTTATATTTGGCAGATATGGCCAAAGGGTCTTCCAAAGTGGCTCTACTGTTTTGTATTTCCACCAGCAAATAAGAGTATCTGTTGCTCCATGTCCTCCCCAGCATTTGGTAGTGTCAGTTTTCTGGATTTTAGCTATTCTAATATGTATATATAGGTATCTTTACTTGTTTTAATTTATAATTACTTAATGATATATACTGTGGAACATCATTTTATATGCTTATTTGCCATCTGTATATCTTCTTTGTTGCAGTTTCAGTTCAGGTCTTGTGTCCATTTTTTAATTTAAACTTATTTATTTTCTTATTGTTGAGTTTTAAGAGTTATTTATATGTTTTAGAAAGCAGGGATTTTTTTCCTCCAATGTGTTTTTTGCAAATATTTTACCCCAGTCTGTGACTTGTTTTTCCATTCTTTTGACACTGTGTTTTACAGAGCAGTCATTTTTAATTTTAATAAAGTCCTTGTTATCAATTCTTCCTTTCATAGGTTGTATATTCGATGCTGTATCTAAAAAGTCATTGCTGTACCCAGAGTTATTTAGTTTTCTCCCTAAATGAGTATTCTGTAGGCAACATACAGTCGAGTCTTGTTTTTTGGTTCATTTTAACAATCTCTGGTCTATACAAGATATTTGTATCAAAATTTTTAACTATCTTTGTTTTGTAGACAATGTGTAGAAACCAAACACCCTTTGCGTTCATCTCACCTACCATCTTAAATCATAAGGCCAGGAAGTAGCAACAATTTGTGTAGATTAAGGATTTTCAGGACTTAAAATTTAAATTAACCAAGGAAGGGCATAGATCAACATCACTGATTTAAATTCTCCATAACTGATAAAAACTTGAAAGGTAAATATATTCGTCCATTCTCACATTGCTGTAAAGAACTACCTGAGACTAGGTAGTTTATAAAGAAAAGAGGTTTAATTTGCCCATGGTTCCACAGGCTGAACAGGAAACGTGGCTGGGGAGGCTTCAGGAAACTTACGATTATGGCAGAAGATAAAGGAGAAGCAGGTACATCTTACATGGCTGGAGAAGAAGGAAGAGAGCAAAGTGGGAGGTGATACACATTGTTAAACAACCAGATCTCATGAGAACTCACTTGATATTAGGAGAACAGCAAAAGGCAAATCCACCCCCATGATGCAATCACCTCCCACAGGTCCTTCTTCCAACATTCGGGATTACAATTCGATATGAGATTTGAGCAGGGACACAAACTCAAACCATATCAATAAACATTTTAAAATAACATATTTGACTGCATTATCTTTAGTTGATACACTTGGAAAATTCGTATTTATAATACTTTATATTCCAGTACTTACTATGGCATTGTATAATTTTGACACGGTAAATATTGTATCGTAATTTTGAGATGAGAAGGATAAGGAAAACCATCAGATGATGATTTTACCTTTCCTTTTGAACAGGCATTGATCAATATTATCATCATTGGAAAGCTAAAATCATTTCGTGTGCCAAAATTTTCAAGCAATATTAAGATATTGGTATCAGAAGACTGTGCATAACTTAATACCCAACTTACATGAGTTTGCACATTACTTAAAATAACCAACAGGATATTTGTTAATGTATTACATAGAATTCTTTATACATGTATGAATTGTCCGATTGATAATATATGTTTAAAGAGAATTTTGGTTGCTATTTATACTTACATCATCTCCTTTCCACATATTTGGGCTTTGTTAGCTGTCAATAAACTAAAGCCTTTTGCAGAAATATGACATCATAGCAACTAACTATACTGAATGTGATTTTCTGCATTATGGATATTGTGCTTGTTTATACATTGTTAGTAATTATGTGTTGCCTACAAAGTAGGTAATAGAGGTAACAGATACAGATTTTTATTCAAAATAGATGGATAAGAGCCATATAACTCTTAAGGTAAAGCCATCTAGATGTTACTAAGTTAAGAAACTGATTTATAGATAGACTTTTTTAGAACACAGAAATATAACTCAGGAGAAATACATTATTCATTTCTTCTTATAAGCCTACTTTGCATAACTGCTTATGAAATGCTTAAGTTTTCATTGTAACGGGAAAATATACTCTCTTTTTCAAAAATCATGCCATAAAAATGGGTCTATTGTCATCAATTTTTATACAGGAATAGATGTTTCTGCCAATGCTTAGCTGAGGTTAAAAGTAGATTTAAAATGGTACAATTTTTCACTTTTCAATAAAATGATGTCAGTGTTTTGATATTAACTCTAAGTTGATCAAAAAGTTATTGTGACAGTTTCTATAAATAGTATATTTTAAATTACACTTTAATTATTATGAGATCTGAATGACAGTGTAATACTAATAACTATATTTCTCCCCTTCACTGTTAATTCTACCACCTAATTTTTTCTTGATTTTTTTGCTATGGGGTGGAACCTGAATCCTCTAGTAGCTTAATAAAAACTGTTTGAATTCAATGGAGGCCTTATAAATAAATATATTTATCAGAAGAAGTCAGGTAGGAGGCAAACAGACTGAGATCTGGGGATCTTTGAGGGCTGAAAACATATATTATAAAAGTTATGTAAAAGTAACATGGTATGTGACATAAAATCAATGTTTAATAAATATTTATATAATTGGATATTAAGTGCTCAGGAAATTATTTAATAGAATTCTACAATTAAGGTCTATTGATACCATAATTTGACCTAGATAATTGTCACCAGAGGGATTATGAATCTAAAATCTCAGTAATATGTTTTATAGTTAACTCAAAAATTCTATAGTGCTGTGGCTGATACAGCCAGCAGCCGCAGCAAACAGTGCTTTGTAGTCCATGAAGATGGAGAAGACATACATTTCACTGGTCTCCTAATCCTCCTACTTCTGGTGCTTTAACAAAATTTTTAAATGCTGAAAATTTGAAGAAATTCTACACCTTTCTTCCCTAGTCCCTAGTGGAATGTCTACTTTCTCAACACAACAATATTAGTTGACCTAAATTGGTGATGACAAGGAAACAAGCAAGCAAACAAAAACACTAATGAGATGCTCCCAGAAAATAATACACTTATTGTTGATGAACATATTCTGTAAACTCAGAAAGAAATTCTCCTTAAAACTATGAGAAGTAGGATGGAGAATCTAAAAACGTTAATACCATAAAGCTGGATTGCAGTTAATATAGGGTTTTAAGAATTAAATATTTGAAAGCTCAATAATAACGTGATTACACAGGGGGTAAGATTAGGAATACACAGTGTTGGTCAAAGAAAATAACACATTATTTAAGGATTAACAGTTATGAACCTGATACTGTGTTAGCTGTTTAGATGCATATTAGTTCATCTCCATTGCTAATAGTAATATAATGACAGTTTATTGACAGCCTTATTCTAAATTGAAAAATAATATATGAAGACTATTTCTTGCTTACAGTTATTTGGTTAGTAAGTAGTAAAGCCATAATTTTAATATATATCCTCCCTTCAAATTACAAAATACATCCCTGCACCATGAATATAAAAATAGAACTTCATTATAGGTAAAACTTTATTATAGATAAATAAGAGAAGTAGAGAAAATGTGAATATGCTTCCAAGCTGCATGAGTTACACACATAATTACCATTTCTTGTGCTTCTTATTCTTGTGCAAACTTAAATTTTCATCTGGTATCATAGTTCTCATACCTGATGGACTTCCTTTAAGATTTCTTGTACTGAAATTCTGCTGGTAATGAATTCTTTCAGCTTTTTTTAATGTCTGAAAACATCTTCATTTCACCTTCTTTTCTTTGTCGTTTACACTCTTATTTCACTAAACGTGTTATTTTGAGATAATTGTAGATTCACATGCAGCTATAAAATGATATAAACAAATTCCATGTATTCTTTATCATGATAAAAGAAAAACTTCAGCCAAATTAAATTTTTTAAAGTTTGAGGAATGACTCATGAATTGGGCAACCTCTCCAGCCGTAGTAGGCTTTCTTATATCACTTTGTGTATGTTTACTAGCGTGTGCTATGGTGATTACAATAAATCTTCACTTAAATGTCACGAACAGGTTCTTGGAAACTGCAACTTTGAGAAAAACAACCTACAGCAGGTCCTTGAATAACATTGGTTCACCATAACATTGATGAGAAAAAAAAATTTGGTTTCGTTATACATCATTTCCATTAAAGTTGGAATTTCCAAGAATGTTGTTTAATGATGATAAGTGAGGGCTTTCTGTACATAAGCATATATCCTTTATCATAATGGACTGCTAACATTTTATCACTTCTAGTGAAGTATGAAAACCTTCCATTTTGGTTCCTTTACCTTATTAAACATCATTTTGGTGAGCATTGATTGTTGTTAGTTTTAATTATTTTCTGTTCAATTTAATTGTATTTATTGTTGTCATATTTATTACTTTTTACTTAGAAACCTGATTAAATAAAAGTCTATTCTATTTACTCATATTTATGCTTTTTCCACTGTTCTTTCTTTTTCCTTTTCTTTTCTTTCCTTTTTTTTTTTTTTTTTTTTTTAGAGAGTCTCGCTCTGTCACCCAGGATGGAGTGCAATGGCACCATCTCGGCTCACTGCAACCTTGGACTCCCAGGTTCAAGCGATTCTCCTGCCTCAGCCTCCTGAGTAGCTGGGATTACAGGCATGTGCCACCATACCTGGCTAAGTTTTGTATTTTTTTTTTTGGTAGCCACGAGGTTTCACTGTGTTGGCCAGATTGGTCTCGAACTCCTGACCTCAAGTGATCCTCCTGCCTTGGCCTCCGAAAGTGCTGGGATTACAGGCATGAACCACCGCGCCTGGCCCTTTCTTTTTTCTTAATGCTACAAAAGTTTCATCATTTTATTCTGTTCGAAGAACTTCCTTTAGCCATTCTTTGACAGTAGGTAGGCTAGAGACACATTCTTTTAACTTTCCTTCGTCTGAAAATATCTGTATTTCTCTTCACTGGGTATTCAAACAACAGCTAGACTTGAAACAGAACTCTAACTCACAGTCTGCAACAATCAGTCTGGAAGGCTAAACTACAACCTGCGGCAAATGGTGCAGGAAGCCCAACCACAACTTCTGTGGCACACAAATCTGAACAGTCAAAACTTTAACAGCAACTAACAGGTTTCCTAATTTCTCCCCTCACTTCTAACTTAGGAACAATTGGAGAAATCCAAATATACCTTCCTAACTAACCAAATAGGATGCCCTGCTCTAGTTATCCTACCTCCACCTTCCCCATCCCAGCTGCCTCCACTCAAGAGATGTCAGAAACCATCTTTTTTTCCTCCTATAAAGCTTTCCTCCTCTGCTTGGCTTTGAATTTCTGCCAAATCCAAATGAGCTTCTGACTCCTTTGCTATATAGCAAACTCTGAATAAATAGGCTTTGCTTATTCTCACTGGGCTGATCATTTATTCAAACTTCATTCTTGACGTGTAGTTCTCACAGATAAGAATTAGTAGTGGACAGTTGTGTTTTTTTATCCACACTTCAAAAATATTATGCCACTTCCTCCAAGTTTTCAGATGAGAAAATTAGCTGTCATTTGAATTAGCATACTCATGTAGGTAATGTGTTGTTCCTCTTTTGCCATTTTCAAACTTTTAAACTTTTCTATAATCTTCACATGTTTAATTTTGATGTGTCTACTGTGGATTTATGTGAGTTAATCCTATTGTGGTTTTCTCAGCTTCTTAAATCTGTAGGTTTATATATTTAACCACATTTTGGAAATTTCCAGCCAGTATTTTAGTCACTTTCTATTTCCTCTCCTTCTGAGACTTTGATGACACAAATGTTAATTTATAAAACATTATCCAATAGTCCTAGAGGCTCTAATATTTTTTAAGTCTATATCTTCTCTGATGTTCCAGTTGGGCAAATTCTATTGATCTGTTCTCAAGTTCACTGATTTTATTCTGTATCATTTTTATGCCATTACGGAGCTTACCTAGTGAGGGTTCTTACAGTATAGTGTTTTTCATCTTCACAATTTCCATTTTATAACTCCAGTGTCTTTGCTGAGATTTCCAGTTTTTAAAATTTGTTTCAAAAGAATCTGTAACTTCTCATTAAAATATTTTTTAGGATGGCAGTTTTAAATCCCTTGTTAGATTATTCCACCATTTAATTTTTCTCAATGTGGATATCAGTTATTTGTCTTTTCTCATTCCAGTTGTGATTTTTTTCTTGGAATAACATGTGATTTTGTATTTTGTCCTGGACATTTTATCTATTATGTTAAGAGACTCTGGGTCTTATTTAAATCTTTTATTTTTGCAGTCAATTAACCCGTGTAAGTTTAATACATGGGTCTTAGTCTATTTTTCTGGGCTCTGCTTTCAATGACATTTTTTAAAAGTTTTTTTAGTGTTATCTTAAAAGGTCTTGGTGTCAACAAATACTGTTCCCTAATGGTGCTGTGGCCAGAGGAGGTGAAAGGAGCTTCCCCAAGCCAGGCTTCTTTGTGCCTCTAGATGGAGAAAGGTGGTCTCTGACCTATGAAGATGAAGTCTGTTTTCTGGACTGAGCAGTTGTGACAGTATTTTCTGGCCAAACCAGAACCACTTTCCTGCTTCATGTCTCCCAGTGAGTAAAAAGGTACTTCAGCCCCGAGGGGTGAAGAGAACATTCTGGGTCAGATTGCGTATTGTGGTAAGATTTCCCTTCCTTGTGTCCCCTGGCCACTGGATGTATCTAAAGTAAGGAGAGGTGTGTCAGACCCATGGAAAGGAAAAGGCTTTCCAGTCTAGATATTTGTTCTGGTGTGATTCTCCTTGTCAGTTCCCCCAACTGCCTGATGTTTCAACATGAAGGAATAGATCCTTAGGCCCAGAGTGGAAACAAAGCCCTCTCTTTGGCTACTTAGTGGGACTCCCATTTGCCTATGCTTCTGCACACACTGGAGGCTGTTACTGGCACTGTTCTTTAATCCTGGGAGGAATAAGCCTACCTGGCCACCTTCTATTCGATTGGTGGTCAGGATATGCATTTCTTTTAGAAGCCTGCCCCTAGACTCTCTATAATTATTGAGTGGGGGCTCATAAAACTTCCTGCTATTACATAGTTTCTCCAGTCCTGGGATCCATTACCAATTGCCTTCTTCTGTCCAACTTTAAGAGCTCTCCTTGGTTGCCTTTTCATTATTTTCATGGCTTGTTGTATTTAGCAGGAAGGAGAAAGGAGGGAGAAATCTATGCCATTTTGTCCATTACTCTCTGTTTTTTTTTTTTTTTTTTGGAGTATATTTTCATTGTGTATAGAATTTTAGGTTAACTACTTTTTTTTTTCTTCAGATCTTTGTAGATGTTGGTCTTTGTTTCCTTTGTTTGTAATCATAAACCTGTTGTTAAATCTTATCCTTTTTTGTCATAATGCAATCTTTGCTGTTTTAACATTTTTATTTATTTTTTAAGGAAGCAATTTATTGTGAGATTTTGGTATAGTTTTTTTCATATTTCTTTTGTTTGTAGATTGTTGGTATTCTTAGATTTACGGCTTCAAAGTTTTATATTTGGAAATTTTTCACCTATAATTTTTTCAGATTTTTTTTGTGTTACCCTTGTCTTCTTCAGTTACTTCATTTACACTTAATTTAGGCTGCCTGAAGTTGTCCTATAGCTCATTCTTCAGTATTACTAGTTTATTATTTTCCTATTTTTACTCTCTATTTTTACTTTTGGATAGTTTCTTTGGGTATGTCTTTGACTTCACTAAGCATTTCATCTGAACTATTTACACTGCAGTTAATCCCATTCCATGAAATTTTCATTTTAGGCATTTCAGGCATTTCTGTTTGTTTCTTTCTTTCTCTGTTCTTTTTCTTTTATTTCTAGATTAGATTTCTTAACCAGTCTCAGATTATATCTTATACTGCTAACAAATCCAATTCTGCCTTAAATATGATATATTCGGTAGAGTTATTTGACATTTCCAGCAAAAATATGCCATCTAATATAATCTCTAAAAGTTAACACAAAAATCTGTACAGATTGCAACTGACAATAGCTTTGAAGGAAAAACAAACAATTGCCACTCTGGGAAATCAATCCTAGAGTTTGCTGCCTATATCTTTGCTTTCTAATGAAAAAGCTTCTATTTAAATAAAACAATTCTCTATCAACATTAATCTTCAAATGATGCGTTCATATAGAGAGCTTTCAGTGGCACATATTTGCACTGTGGTCATACTCCATTTAAATTTATGCTCTAAGCAGCCTTAGGGAAACACCATTTTCCAACATTCTAATTTGCAAGGTTTTCTGAGAGTATATTCATACATTAAACTGAACATCCCATTACACAGTTTTAAAGTGTTATTAAAAGATGCATGTCCTTAATAAATTTTTCTGGTTGCCAAACAAGAGCTTGGGTGCCATGGGTGCGGATGCTAAAGGCTGTCACACTGACCCTCTGCCCTCACTGGCAGACAGCAATTGACTCAGTTGAAAAGGCAGAGGGCCCACTGAGCTGTTTAACACTTAAGCAGTCTGCAGAAGGCAAAGCTTAAAAAAGCACTGTAACGCAAGCCCTCTAGAGCTTCAGGGGTCTCAGGTACTCGACCCTAGCTGCTGCCATGGGCAACAGGGAGTTTTGCTCCTGCTGTCACCCGAAAGTACTCACACTGTTTCTGCACCCTCTCATCTGCATGCTCCCTCCTGAGAGGGGTTGAGTGCAAAGGGTTCCAGTGAGTGGACTTGCCCCAGCCAGTGTCAAAGTGGCCGGCTAGCCCAAGCACCCACACTCCAGTTCTCCTTGGCAAAGGGGTCAGGGAAAATTTCCTGCTACAAAAACTCATCAGAAAGACATAGAGAGACAAAACATAATTTGGATAATGTAGTGAATTTTTAAAAAGATATTTTATTCAATAATATGATGCTTTATTTTATAGCATGCTAATTACTATTTGTAGTATTGTCAGGCAACCTGTGAAAATACTGTACACTTCTGCAAAATTTTTCCTATTGCACTAATTATTTACTAATTATATTTCAGAGCAGGAAATAATTTGTGTTCACTAAATGTCAAATTGATTATTGAATGTTATTCCAAAAAGTTAAATGTGTTCCATCTTGCACACCTATATTTGGGGAATCCTATTCCTTCCCATTGATATTACTACGTGCTGCCACTGTTATTATTGCAGATATCTTGTCACCACAGTTGGACAAAATTCTATGAGAATGTCTAATAAATATAACCAGGAATGAATCTGTCTTGTGGGACCTTATTCCAAATTCACAGAAAGACTAATGATGTAATTCAGAATGCCATCAATGCAGCTGCTAAATATTGTACATAAGAATGGTACTAAATATTGTGCATAGGAATAAACACATAAGAATCAGTTTGGCAAAAAGTACCACTTCTTTGAGTTTGTAATGCTTAAATTCGGAAAAAATATGGAGTAGTTTTAAAACTAGAAGAGCAAAACTATGTTTATATGGTATATAACAGTAAATTTTATCTATCTGTTTTCATGTGTCAAGCCTATATTTTTAAATTAATGGGGATGCATGTGAAAGCAAATAGTTTATGCATCTGTACCCTTCCATAATCTTGGATCTCAGTTATTTAGTTTTCCTGAGGAAACTTATCACGATATAACGAGCCAGAACTAATTCCATAAGCAAGATAAAATCTCTCCTTTAACCTGCACTGTGTATAACCATCAAAATTAACTTCAAGAGCTCATGAACTTCACAACTGTAATGTCTTCTTAAAAAGATATATACAGTATTCTAAACAGATGGTGCAATATACTGACCCTAATAAAATAAGTATTTTAATGTTAACAGTCAGTGGCTAATAAATATATTCTTGGAGGTACTTTGCTTAACTTCACCTTTGATACATATGTAACAAAATATGATTTCCTAATAGCTTCTAAAATTTTATGCATATTTTGATCGCTACTGGTTCTTAAGGTAGATAGGTTGTGCAATTTGTAAGTATATGTTTTATACGATAGATTTTTTATACTTCACTTTATTATAGCACATTGTGTGATGGTTAACTTTTATGTTTCAACTTGACTGAATTAAGGAATACCCAGATAGCTAGTAAAGCATTATTTTCAAATATATCTGTGATGGTGTTTCCAGAAGAGACTGACATTTGAATCAGTGTACTGGGTAAGCAATATATGCTCTCACCCAATGTGGGTGGGCACTGTGCAATCAGTTTAGGGCCTAGATAAGACAAAAAGGCAGAAGAAAGGTGATTCATACTCTCTTTTCTGAAGCTGAGACACCCTTCTTCTCCTGCCCTTGGATATCAGAATTCCAGCATCTATGACCTCTGGACTCTGGAGTTTGCACCAACCACTCCCCAGTTTCTCTGGCTTTGGTCTAGGACTGAGAGTTATGCCATCATCTTTCCTGGTTCTGAGGCCTTCACACCTTGTCTGAGCCATGCTACCAGCCTCCCTGGCTCTCCAGCTTGCAGATGGCCAATCATGGGACTTCTCAACCTTCATAATTGCATGAAGTAATTCGCCTAATAAATCTCCTCTCATATATCCATCTATAGCTGTATCATCTCTATCTATCTATCTATCTATCTATCTATCTATCTATCTATCTATCTATCTATCTATCATCTATCTATTACTTCTCTCTCTCTCTCTCACTGTCTCTCTCTTGCTCTGTCTGTCCTATTGTTCTGTGTCTCTGAAGGACCCTGACTAATAGGATCTGGATATTGATGTTCAAACTATTTTTAAGCAGTTTGTTCAAGCACTTTGGCAAACTAAATTACTTACTTACAAATTACTGTAAAGACAATTTAATAAAATTACTAAACTTTAAAAGTTAGTGAGCTGAGATCCAGGGAAGTTATGGGGCTTCCTCTGTTACACAGCTACCTGGAGGAGGGGCTGGGGAGTCCAGTATTAGATCACAGGTTTCCTGATGAATAGGCAAGTTTTCTTACACTTAAACAATTCTCACAAGTACCATTCCAGGTAAGGTAAAATTTATTTTTTAAAAATCTCCCATTATTTGCATTTTTAAAGTAATATTTTACTTATATTTAGTGAGATGGATTAATTAAAAAAAAAACCTTTGCCTTAATGGAGAAACTGTGCCTGCTAATACAAAAAAAGATTTTGAAAAGGCTATTTATGTTTTCCCTAAGTAAGTTTTAATAGATTTACTCTCAGTAATTTTTTTTCTATAACATAAAACCAATCTCATCTATTCTTGCAAGCCAAATTCTTAGCCTCTTAGTAAGCATAAAACCACTGGATGGGTATCTGCTTATTTTCCTTTCTTTCAAGCATCTTGGATAATGAGTTTTCCATTGGATTATAAAATATTGAAGATTTTCATTGTGCTTTGTCTAAAATTGTTCAACTTTTCTTTTTGGATTTCTCAGACACTTTTTTTCCTCTTTTTTTTTTCTCTCTTCTAACCTGTCACTTCATAGAGCTCTATTAACAAGTAGGTAAACAGCAATCTAAATACACTCCCAAATAGATCTGAATTTCATGTGTCAACTTCAATTTCACTCACACATATTTTCCCCAAAGCTGTCATGAAACCAGTTTTACTACATTACTTAACAGGAATAGGAGTAGGCGTAAAAACATCTTGAGAGGTATATTTTATTGTACATTATATGTTGATACACTGTATGCTGGGAATACTTTTATTTCTGAAAAAATAGTTTGTTTGTTTTTTTACTTTTCAAGCAGGGGTAAAGAACCTAATGTCTATTGAATCTCTAATGCATGCACATTTTATGTTATGATTTATACTATGATTTCATTAAATCCCCCCAAAAACATGGTGAGGTCATTTACATATAAGAAAACTGAAGTTCAGGTTTTTAAGAAACTTATTTAAGAATACAGTCTGGCAAATGACTTACTAAAATGGACAAGAGAGAAACTGTCAAAGGTAAATTGCACTGTGTGATGATCACAAGCTTAATAACCTGTGGAGAGTTTAATTTATCAAAGCTCAGCTTTAGATTGAGATTTATCATGAAGTCTGACAAAGACTTAACTAGAAATGAGAATCAATAGGTTGATAAAAGGTAGATCTCATTTGTCAAGAAACTATTACTTTCTGCATTTAAATGGAGAATCAGTTAGGTTAAATTTCTATCATTATTACCATAATGTAGGGATAGATACATTTAGATCAACTAGTAAAAACAACAAAGCATTGAGTCTTAGGAGAAAGGCAGATTTACCTACTGACAAAGAGAAAGGTTTTGAGGACCAAGGTGAGGCAGAAAGGGTAAATAGTAATCACTAGAACCTAGAATGAATTTCCTTAATAGATGTCATATTGTACTAACCACATATTGCTTACAAAGAATAAAAGGTGAAATAAATTCAACAGATGTGCATGATCGCTCATTGCAAATTGGTAAATAAATAGAAAAAATTAGTTTATTAAGAACATTTACATAATCTGATTCAGTTGAATAAATATAACTGGGGGTACTGACTAATAGACTATACTTAACTTTTCAGGGTAACTCTAATGGGAATTTCCATGACTGTATCTTTTGTCCTGCCTTTTTCAGGCTTATAAAATAAATTACATGGACAAAGAAATACATAACTCATTAAATCCGTAGAAGATATACAATTGGGAAGGCAAACAAGTATACTGGATAATAACATCCAAAATATATCATAGAGCCTATAAATAATCTATTCAATCAGTGAGAAAGCATAAGTAATTAGACTTAAAGTTTATTTCTGAACTTGTGCCCTAAGTACATTTATAGAAAAACAATTGAAGATTTGTAAATCTTCAGGCCACTCATATTTTTCTATTTCTGAAAAATATTATGGTAATTTGTTTCCTCCGTAGCATATTGGAAGCATTCAGGAGAAATTTTAAAATCGCATCTATGCAAATATAATTTCTTTAGCTGATACGGTCTCAACATTCTATTTATTCTCTTTAATTCTGATGTCTGTTTACCTGGTTATATCTTCTTATGTAAGTTGTCAGATTCATTCATAGCCAAAAGGTATTAATATCTTTTTAATGTCTGAAATATCTTTAGTAATGTCACCTTTTTTTTTCTTAATTCAGTTTTGGTAGATGTTTAGCAATTTTATTCATCAATATTTATTAAAGAAATTGAATTTATACATTAGCATCTTCACTCAGTTTCATTTTTGAATTTTATTTATTTCATATAAGATTATTTGCATTTGTTATTAGCAATTAAAATGTCAATTCACTTTTCTAAGGCTGCTGTATTTTTGTTGAAGACTCAACCATCAGTTTTTGGTTGATGCTGCGAAGAAAGTATGTCTTTGCCCTTATCCTGGTTACTCCTAAGATTTTAATATTTTTCATTGCTTTTCACAGTTCGATCATAGTTGTTTCTGTCTGTGTGTGTATATTTAATTTTCTCTAAAGAGTTCCTGTAGACATTCTCAAATCTTCTATGCTTCACAAAATTTGGGAAGTTCTCTGTTATTATTTGTTAAACAATTGTTTTGTATCATTCTGCAAATTTTTTCTAGCACACTGACTAGGCATACATTACGAAGGCATGTGTTATGTACACTTCTTATTTTTATTATATACTTTGGCCATATTTCACATGACATTTAGTCTTTGTTGTGTTATTTATTCTTATCTCTCATTATGCTTAAATTTTAATATTTCTGTCAATGAATCTTTAATCTAGTTCTTTTCTATACCTAAACTTTAAACCTGCTCAATAAGATCATAATTTCAGATGTGTTTTGCAATTCAACAATACCAATTTTATTCTTTTTATATTCTAATACTTTGTTACAATTCTTTATCTTTAGTAATTTAGTTTCCCCTGCATTTATAACAGTTATTTTAAATATCCTATATGTTATTTCTAAAACTTGAACTACTCAGGATTTTAGTTGTCTTAATTGTTGTTCCTTTTGGAGCATGGAAATTTAATTCTGATATTTAGCTTTGAAAGATGTTATTCTTTTCCTAAGAGATTTTTATTTCTGGTGTTTAATAAAATGACAATCACATTTTTTCTGTTGATAATTTTCATTATAAATTATAGATTTTTATTAATTACATATTTTTATTATAGGTTAATAATTATAAGTTTATATAAATTGTTAATAATAGATTTTCTCCTTATTCTTAGAGTGTATAACAACATTATTTTTGAACCACCCCATCTAATGTTCTAAAGTCTATTTCTTTCGGACAATGGACCTGTGTAAATATCTACTCAGCATTTTAACCATCCATCTCCTTCTTTCCAAGTGAGCTCATTGCCATCTCCCTCTGATGATGCTTAGGAGTTTGGGGAGCAACTGACTTATATGCATATTTTAAGGCATCCCCAATGTGTCACCCGGTACAGAGCACACTTCTCTAATTTCCAGCACCTATCTTTGGTCTTTCCTCATTCCAGTCAGTTTATGTTTTCTCTTTGATCTGTCTTTCATTTTATTTGTAATTGACGCATAGTAATTATATTTACTTTTGGGTCACAATGTATCTCTCAAAATTGCTATAAGCTCTACTTTTGAGGTTCAGGTGAACTGATTAAATAGTGCCTCAGAGCCAAAGCTTCCATTCTTTCAAGGTTAATATACCCTCTGCCTGCTCTTTTGTTCCCTGGTGCCCCCAAATATTTACTTTAAAAACATTTCAGCTTTTACTGTTGTTTCTGGCAGAAAAGTTATTTCAAGAGACACAGCTACACCATGACTGGAACTGGAATTCCCCAGCAAACCTCACACTTGTATCAATGCCTCCACCCACACTAGACAGAAAGAATTAAAAGTCCTCAAATATGATGGAATGTAAAGTATTTTAGTAAAGAAGACGGTTGCAAAAATTGTGAGGCACAGACCATGTTTCCATGATAAGAAACATTTCATGACAAGGTAAAAATATAATTTATAATTCTGAAAAACAATGCAGTTAAATGATAAATATTATTTAATGAAGAAAAATAAATCTTCACATAGTGTTCCTCTATTTCAATTCAGTAAAAATAATGTATTTGTTTTTCATTGAAATAAATATGACCATGTAAATTCATTTGTCCTACGTTGGTTGTCCAACCATAAACATTTTCACTACTGTTTGAGAATACCATAGAAAATACTTCAGCATTAGATGGCTGCTTTTTTATGGTGTTCTTTAAGTATTAGGTTCATGCAAAACTAATGGCAAAAACACTTACTTTTGCACCAACCTAATAAAAATTCAGAGATTTGCTGACTTTGTAAATAATAAGAAAAGAACATAATAATCCATACATTTGTTTTTTGTGCCTGGAAATCTTGAATGCCACTTTAAATTAGAGAGAAAAGAAAGGATAGGGTGGACAGGCTTCTTTATCCAAACTTTTTAAGGGTATTTTTGGAAGGACAAATAGTATGTATTTTAAAGATTAATTAAATTTATGACATCTGAGAATTTTCATATTCCCTTTTTTATAAATAACATTATATAAAAAGAAAATAAAAATGAGAGATGGCTTTACTTTTTGGCAAGTATAATTAGGCTATTAGGAAAGATGAAGTTTCTTACCATCAAAATATCACGTTTAACAATAGTTATTCCTCATGATGTTTCAAAATGTGCATGGAAAAATTGTTATAAATGACAGAGAATGATAGTCTTTGTCAAATTTCATGGAAAGTTCATGAGTAATAATGCTTTATCTTATTAAAAATAACCACAATACTTGTGCTATGAGCAAAGGCCTAAATTATATGTATGTTTGTGTGGTCGTGCATAGGTTAAGTAGAGAATACTATTGTTGTCAACTTATTATTTAGGGCTTTCGAACACACTGTGGAATAAAGTGGTACTAAATTAATTTAGAACGTATTTGAAGATACTCATTCTAGGAGATATTTAGTAGCTTACCAATGAAAAATAGCTAATAAATTGTTGAGCTTAAAATGTAAGTCAAGTTTGTCTTG
The DNA here is from genome assembly GCF_000001405.40 of Homo sapiens. Lineage (NCBI taxonomy): Eukaryota > Metazoa > Chordata > Mammalia > Primates > Hominidae > Homo > Homo sapiens. Next base: position 11,974,432 of record NC_000009.12, read on the forward strand.
CTTCAAAATCTTTCCTGCTTATATCAGTACTTCAGCACTATCCTTCTTGCTATAAACTTATCATGTAACCATGAAGAAATACCTTACTCAACTTCCCTGGTCCATAGTAAATATTTTATTCTTATAAACTGAATACATTCTCAAGTATATGCCAATCCACACTAAAATCAGAGGGATAAAAATATATTTTTCTGATCTACAAACAATAGAATTTGATAATTTTTCTTTGATTTAGAGTTGCAACTCTTTTAATAAAACTAAATGTCCCTCATTTGTCCTTGACACTCAACTTAAGAAAAATGTACATTGTTATGTGAAGCATTACATCTCTTCTGTAAAATGAGGGAACTAAAGAGTAGTTAACTATCTTATATAAATTTTATTTGTGATTGATTAGACAGGATTTTGATTTTGGTTTAAGTTGATTTGGAATATCTGGATTCTACTTGGACTATGTAAGAAACTGAGACTAAACAAAAAATAAGTATTGCGGAGAAAATGAGAGAAAAGTTTAGCTTAATGTGTTGAGAATATTGTCTTTTGATTGGAAGAAGTATACATCTCTTCATATGTTAAAAAATATTGCTGGAAGCATTAGCCCTTTATAGCAAGTCTCAAAGAGGCCAATTTTTATTAAAGTCTACAACTCTTTTGCAGAATTACTCCCAGAGCTCTGTATCGATATTATCTTTACTCTTCTCCTCATCCTCTATCTAAACCAAGCATCATCAATTTTATAGGTAAAGACAGAACACTTTTTCGTTGAATGGCATTATTTTAAAATTTTCATCTATATACAGATTATACGACTTGCCACATGCTGTATTGCACCATTTTAAAATGTACTTTCGATGTCTATAACTATGTTATAATGTCGCATAAAAATAAAAAAATTGTATTATCAACTAATTAAAATATATAATTTAGCACTATGAATATTTAAATTATTAGCTAGCATGAAAACCTGTCTCACTTTCTTCTATTGAAAAATATATGCAACATTACAAATGACAAATAAAAGAACTGCATCTGAATCTCTTTGAAAATTAAGGAATAATTTGTGTGAGTACATGTTTAGGTGTGTATATATTTATGTTTGTTCATCTATATGTACATGTATAAGCAAATAAAATGTCTGTGAGCAGATAAGTATTGATTTACATAATACAAGGTCTTATCAAGAATTTGCAAATATATGATATGAGGCTGCAAGATGCAAGGAGAAAAGTATAGATTTTGGAATTAGGTGAGTTAAATTTAAGAAGCAGTTTCATAATTTACCACTAATCAAATTCTGGTAAGTTTCCAATACATCACTGAGCCATATCTTTTTCACAGTATTATTGTGAATATTAAATGAAATATTACACGTGAATTGTATTGCATATAAGGTAAAATGCTTTGATTTAAATATTACCGATCCTGAATATTTGTAGTATCCAGTAATGTTTTCCTGCCATTATACTCTTTTGCCTGTTCGTTGATTTTGCAATTTTTTCTGTCTCACCTAACTATTTATTTTACACACAGCTAAGTTATTCTTTAGCCAGCAGGCAGAGAGAGTTGGTGGCAGGTGGTATCCAGGGCAGATTGTTGTATCCAGCATTTTAAATAAGAAGAATGTTAAATAGAAAGAATTCGCAGACGCTAAAGAAAGAATAAAGATTTTATTACATCCTTACTGCCAAAATAGCAGAATGTTTCTAAATTTATATGAATGCTTATCCCATGAGTCATTGATAAAATCTGAAGAAATAGCATATTAACGTTTTGACTGGATGACATGATAGACAACAGATAGGTAGATACATAGATAGATTGATATAGATAATAAGTAGACAGAATGTTCTGTCAGTATTTTTACTCTCATTACGATTTCTTCTTTAAGCATCTTTAAAGAGTGAGCTATTTGCAAGAACAATTCGTATTTTTCAGAGGGGAAAAATAAAAGCATCTAGAATTGTATGTAACATTCTCAGAACTTTACTAATAGTTGATAATAGAGCTAGAACAAATTTTCACAATTATGCAGAATATTATTTCTGCTCAAAATAAACATAATCAGTATTTATTTTTTTCTTTTGAGACGGAGTCTCGCTCTGTCACCCAAGCTGGAGTGCAGTGGCGCGATTTCGTCTCACTGCAACCTCCGCCTCCCAGGTGCAAGCAATTCTCCTGCCTCAGCCTCCCAAGTAGCTGAGACTACAGGTGCGTGCCACATATGATCAGTATTTTTAAAAGAATTCAGTCAGAGTCAATCCACAGCTTCCCTAAAGGAAGTCTAAAGAAAAAATATTGTATATTAAGATATAATGCCAACAAGTATAGAGAAAAAGACATAGTTTCTCTTGCTCATTCTTTGCTCACCAGGGAACATACCAAAGAGCCTCTTATAAAATAGGTGGTAACATTCACTCGCAAGACAAATCAGACTCCAACCTACAGACTCCACTAAAGATTGCCCATCTGGGTAAAAACCAAACACTGAGCAGAATAAGTCCATTGGAAAATGCTTCCTTTCTATAGTGCTAAAAAGACTACTTGATATATGTTCTCTGAAAATACCTCTTCAAACACACTGGCTAAGCTTAACGAAATAATGTCCAGGCCATGCTACTCCCATAATTATTGATAGCAGGATAAAGAAAAAAAAATAAATTATGTTTTCATTAGGAAAATAAAAGTATACTTTCCTGATCATCTCATCTTGCTGCCCATTCATGTGTCCTGTTCCTTTTTAATGGTTTCTCATTAAGAATGCAGAGTGTTCGCTTCCCAGAGCTTCCATTATTCTCTAGCTAACATAGATAACTTATATTCCTAAATAACAAGACTCATAACTCTCATATTCCATGTTCAAGTCATAGGAGCATAAAAATTCAATTGTATTAATGTTTTTAGAAGTACCTTAAACCACACTATGATTAGTTAACAAAGACAGTTACTGTATAATGAAGGGAAAATTGTTCTTATTGAATTAGTTGATGATGTTTTTTTCTAATTATAACACTGCAGGTGTTTATATCTACAGATTGCAGTGGTAGGATAATTAGGTCCAGGAAGTATGTGAATTATGTTAGGTTAAATTAGTTTATCACCAGACAGGAACTTAATGAAGTGGAAATATCTTTCTAGGCTGTGCCTGAGTCATCAGAGTTTGTAATGACTACTTAATATGATGTTAAGAAATAACAAGTTTAAATTAGGAGATAGAATTGCTTTAGGACAAATGTCATTCTTTAAAAGACTTATTTTTCTTCTGGGAACCATAAACCAAATGATGAATGGTGCAAAATTACTAATTCCCCTCCATCATCTAGTCACTTAATCTGATAATTTTTTTCTCAACACCATTTGATTGTACTGAGACACACACCATGCCTATATGCATTCAAGTAAAATATTCAAACCATTCTCTTCTCCATCGAGTTGGTTCAGCTACAGAGGAAATCTAATCAATCGCCCTGGAGGCCAAAACAAGATAGAAAAATACTTTGGTCAATGGTTTTGTGCCTAATATTTCCACAAATACATGACAATAAAACTCTAGTCTACAATTCCAACTTCTCTAACAATCAGTTCAATCTATCTATATGAAATAAAAATCAGATTGTTTTTCCCTTTCTTCCTGTAAAAGTGGTGCACATACCAACCATGTTTTTATTTTTCTCTGTCAGGAAAAACAGACATAAATCTAATGTTTATTTGAAGTTCCCTTATAATTATTTTTGCAACAAACATAGACCACACACCACGATCAGGGCTTGATAAGAATAGCTAAACTCAATACAAAACTGAATACGTAGACAATACATTCAAAGTCTAAATTTTCCAGTAGACATAGTATTTTCCTTCTTACCAACCAAAAACTTTCCTGATTTAGATTTTTGTTTTTTTATTCTTATTTGATTGGCTTTAAGATCTATTAAGTTTATGCATTTTACTATGTGGCTCCTTATAGTCTTTCTTCTGAGTAGGTGGGTTATAACTTTTTTCACGTGTTTTATTAAAAGATCCAAATCCTGAACCAATGAGGGAAAAATGAAATATCAATATCATTGTATTTGTTATTTCCTGTGCATGCTTTACAAACCTTTTGTCTGAACTGTAATGACTATACTAACTTGAATGTGTTTGTGTAAAGATGAACAATATAGGAAATCTACCAATTAAGTGATGCTAAACAAAGCAGCAGCAGTCTACACACTGTCAGACATCTTGTTAACTTTAGAGGAGTGTTAAGTCTCTTGTAAAATCAGAAAGGAAACATAACATTACAACTCATTACAACGCATAATTCTCACACTTGAAAAGCCTACATGAAGTGAATTTTCTCATATTTTTTAAGATGCTTAGAGGGATAGTTAAGAGAGGGATTTATTGTAAATAGTAAGATCAGTTAAAGATAGCCTGATGCAAAGTTAAAACTCAGAGCATGAGATATTTCTCTTTTTTTGCTAGTGTTTCATGAGGATTTATCTTGGTTTCTCGCCAACACTATAAACCTGAAAAAACAAATTATGGGCTTGAAGTTACCATTACAAAGACCTAATAATACTTTAAAATGTTCATGAGCTCATTTATCTATATGTTATCTATTTTATAAATTTTTTCACGATCATTGTCTCTTTTAATCTGCTCAGCAAGTCTTGGAGGTAAAAAGGATTATATTCTAATTTTAGAAATAGAGAAAAGTGCAGCAAACCAATTGAATGGAATTTCTAAGCTCATGAGATCATTGAGGATTGAACATCAATAAAAAACTCATTTGTTTTCATTTCTAAATCAATGAACATCTTTGCATAGACTGCACACATGCTAACAAGACCAAATAAAAAAATCTGTTTTCATAGGTTTTAAAAAGATCTCTTCCTCCCTATGCAAATGCTGAAAAACAAACAAACAAACAAACAAAACAAATCCCAAACTGGAATTCAGAGTCTAAGAAAAAATGGAATGTTGAATATTCCTATTGCTAATGGTCATATTGATCAATTTCTTTTTAAGTTTCTCTTTTTTATCTGCTTCATTTTTATTAAGAAATGAAAGAACAGCATATGACAGTATTACCTTACAGTATTAGATTGCTTTAAGTATGGGAAAAATGATCATTCACCTGTGCAAACAGGTCTTTTGAACATAGAACCAACTAGAGTAATTTTTTTTCCTGGTTTCTCACACTTGCCTTACCTTCTTATTGGTAAGAATTAATCAGCATTCATCTAGCCCCTAAGTACACACACTAAATGAACAAATATATCTTAAGTAATTCCCCTTATATTCCTTGTTCCAAGGCACATTCGAGCTAGTTTTATCAGCAGACATTTCCTGATCTTAGTATCAGGGATAGTGTAGAGCAATAGAGATAGAAGCCCTGTGCAAAGTTCTGAAAGAATCATGGTAATAATAGTACTAATAATGACAAGAGTTGAGTACTGAATATATACATCAGAAATAATGCTAGGTCACTTTAACAATTTATTCATAATTCTCACAGTGGGGCTGCAATTAATTTATAGTTAATGAAATTCTCCTGTTCTTCAAGTTATTCTGAGAAAAATAATGCCTTTGGAAGCATTGCATTGAAATAAACATTTTCACATGTAATGGAATAGCCAAATATAGACTACGGTTTGTGTTCTCTGTAGACTGATCTCAATGGGAGGGCCGACTATGGCAAACAGAATGTTATCTGTTTTTTACAGTTCTTAAAACATAATTCTGCATGTTGTTGCTACTGTAGTACTAGTTTCACAATGTTGCCTAATCTATACATACAAATAACCGCTTATTAGTAACCTCATTCATCATAAACTTTTTAAATTATAAAATTTTATAAATATATGTTATATGTAGTAATTAGAACCAAAGTACCCTCCAACTCAATCTTTTTTTTTTTCTTATTCGGTATTTTAATATATTTCAGAGTTACCTATGCTTTGAGAGTTGGGAAAGTGATTTGAAATAGCAGTTAGATATTATATCTTACTTCCCTTTTTTTTTTTTTTTTTCTCTGAGACGGAGTCTCGCTCTGTCGCCCAGGCTGGAGTGCAGGGGCGGGATCTCGGCTCACTGCAAGCTCCGCCTCCCGGGCTCACACCATTCTCCTGCCTCAGCCTTCTGAGCAGCTGGGACTACAGGCGCCCGCCAATACGCCCGGCTAATTTTTTGTATTTTTAGTAGAGACGGGGTTTCACCGTGTTAGCCAGGATGGTCTCGATCTCCTGACCTCGTGATCCGCCCGCCTCTGCCTCCCAAAGTGCTGGGATTACAGGCATGAGCCACCCCGCCCAGCCTTTACTTCCTTTTGTGTTTCAGATGTAACACAGTATAAAATCAGAGTTTTATAATTTCTGGAAAATGTTCATATATTAAAATGAGTCTCTTACAAGCACACACACATGAAATAAAGAAAATTTAATAGAAATGTAAACATTGTCAAAATCATATATTAAAAAGTAGAAAAGCCTTTGGATGTCTAAATTTTACATCTTTTCTTAGTAAAAATAATTGATGTTCTTAAAGACCAATGGAGATTGCTAAAGAGGCAGCAGAAGAGAGTTGAACCCTTGAGATAGCTTTGAATATATGTTTTGCTTTCCTAATACCAACTAAGATTTTTATGCAAGTAGTCCAGTAGTACAGAAATACTGGAAAAAGTGTGTTCAGAGTTGGAAGGACAATTGATGAATTCTCCCTGTCTTCCAGTCTTATACCACAAAAGAGGACATTTGTGCAACTCTCTACCTTGTTAATTAACCCTTGCTAAAGAAGAATGTCTAACCTGACTGGAGTTTGATCTCTTGTAAAATTTGATCAGTTTTTACTAAGTAGATTTAAAAAAAGGATGCACTTTCACTTTTTATCACCTCCTTCACTCAATATTCTCTTTATTTTGCTTTCCCCTCCTGGGCTGGGCACAATCTTCCTTCTGTTGATCACAGCATTCTAGAGGCACAGCCTGGCAGGACTGGTCCACTATTTTCTAAGGAGACTTGGTAATTTGAATACAAAATATATGGTGTGATTTCAGGCAAAATAAGAGGTTTAATCTGCCTCATCCCACTGATTTTCAAGCAAAGTGTTCTTCATGTAAGTTTACATAGTTTATAAATGGATTAATAAAGTTAATGATTGTTTTCCGTTTGAAATATATGCGCTTCATTAACAAATTTTTTGAGAAATCCGGGGGTAATTTCTTGGACTAGCTACTATTTATAATGGGAAAGATTCTATGAAAGAAAGAAAATGAGTATGTCAAATTTGCCTTTGTCTTACAAGAGAATAAAGGTATCTTTGTGACAGGTATTAGCATTAAATTTTATTTAAGGACAATATTGGGGATGTCAATGAGTACATCACACATACTTATTTTTCAATGCAAAATTAACATTAATTGTGGTAAAATAGAATAATTTTAATGCTTTGTTCAATTGAAAAAGTACACTTAAATTATTGTTTTATACATTTTTCCTCTAGGCTCGCAAGTTTCTTGATAATTCTGTTGAAACTTAAATAACACAAATTTGTTTATAAAATAGTATTTATCTTAGCACACACTACGCCCCCACTCATTGTAATTGCCTCTAAGTAGGATGCACTTAGAAAATGTTAAATATGTCTTAAGATAAATCCCCAAATATCTTCAATTCTTCTAAATTCTTGGAATGAAATTTTATTTCTGTTCTAACAGTTCAGGTTGTCTCAAAGAGCATAATTAAGGGACAAATATGTTTTCAATTTTAAAGTCATTACAGATCTGTAAAAATTGCTTATATTATTTCTTAACCCAGATACTCATGATGGCATGTCACTGATGTAAATATTATTACAGTCACAAGTTTTTTAAATTCCTAAAGAATGTTTATAATTAGAAAAAGTTAAAATTAAAAGTTAAATTGAAAAATTAAAATTAGAAAAGTCTACACACTAGACTTTATCAAACTAACGTAACTTACAGATAAGAAAATTTTAAAAATAGACCATAGATAGTTATGTGATATCCAAGACGTTTTGTAAGTTTCTGTGGTGTTACAAGAAAGAACAAACGTGAGGAGGAGGTTGGAAATAATTATGTCGACTAAAGTTAATTTAATTAAGCAAGAACATGTGCAACATCAAAAGTATGATGTAACTGTTCCTATGTTCTTTTCCTTCAAGGAATAATGAGCTTAGTTTTCCCTGAAACTGAGACACTTGAGCTGACAATTTTGTTTTCATTTTGAGTTTTATTCTAAATCATATGCAATGCTTTAAGAAATACTCACAGAAAGAGAGCAAGATTAAATTCATAAATAAAAATCCATTGAAATAAAGCTAGGCATAAGAACTTTTTAATGTTTATCTTTAAATTGAAAAATGATGTGAGATTTGTACTACAATGATGAAAGGTCACATCAATGTTGATAGCCAACTGAAAAAAAAAGAAGTGATTGTAAGATATTGATGGTCCTCGTTGGCTCAGATTTCAAAAATGTTTGCAGTGCTTGCATTCTGAGTATAAGAGGGATGCACTCCTAACATAGAAAAGGTGGACTTTCAAATTAGCGTGAACTAATGATAATTTTATTAAATATACTATACAAATATGGGGAGGATCTTCATCCAGAAAGAGTATTCGTGGGCCACTGAAGTGAAAGGGAGGTATGTCAGAACAAAAACTATGGGAGAAAAAGAACATTAGATGCTATTTCTGCAGAATTTACAGCTTTACTGCACATGTTTTGCTTATTTTGGAAGAGCAGAGCTCATAAATGGGGTAGGTATGTGCTATATAATGCTTTGATCTATCTTCACTGGTTTATATTAAATACTCATCAATTTTTTTTAGCTAACAAAAAGAACATCTCTCATGATCTTTTCAGCTTCAGTGCATAGACAAGAACAAACTGCTGACTCCTTTTATTAAAAAGAGGGTAACATTTGGAAACATGAAAACTCATTAAAAAAATCAAACTACTCATGGTAGCTGTTGTGGAAAACTAAAGTAATAGAAGAAAAGCTCTTCACAAGTGATTGCTCTTTGTATATAATTGTTAATACAAGAAAAATTGCATTCTCAGAAAACTAACACACATTTAATAATTGATGTACATATGTGTACCACCATGTTTCTTTAATTTGTATTTGCACCAAAATTACACAGACAAATTATTTCATATATCTTTCCTTTGTTCTTGTTTCCCTCCCATATGCAGCTGTGTCCCAGAGATACTTTAAGCCACTTCTTTTGTTGTCTCCTTGTCTCTATATAACATATTAATAAATTTACTACTTTATTTTTAAAATTCAGGCCCCATCTAGATACTTTCAACTGCTAAATATGAAAATATAACTCTATTCTTCAAATAAACCTCAACGCATATACACATGACTGTCATCCTCTTTAAATACTTATGAATGAAACCATAACTTGCAGAGCAGAGCCATGTGGTATACCACTTGGCATATCTAAAGGAAAGTGTGTGTGCATTTATATGATAGAAATAATAATTTTATCTTCTGAGATAAAATGCTAAACTCAAACTTAAAACCAAAAAAATAAAGAATTTCAAATATCCATTGAGAAAATTATAGATGTAGGTATGTTAAGGGAGTTTTTAGAAGTATGTAAGATAAAATTAATGAAGTATAAAAAACATTGCATAGTGTCTGGCTCTTAAAAAATTGTACTACAGTAAGAATTCTACCATTTTAATTACTCATTTCTTCAACACCCACGCAGATATAAAACTTAGACACTTTTGATACTATATATTTTTAGTAAAGCTTTGTAAATTTATTGATGAAGTTTCCTATGAAATAATACAATTTTGAATACTATTAATTTTTATATCTACCTCTTTGTAAACTATGTAATATTTTGAATAATATTTCAACTGATTTTGGTAAAACAAAATACAAAAAGTTCTGACTGTTGATAACCAAAACTTAAATCTATAAATCTATTTGTAGTAGAATTGGTCTACTTGTCAAGATAATTATCAGATCTTAGCCTCTCATACAGAAGTTTAACATTTTCTTTTTACAGGTTTTTCAAAGCTGCAACTTTTCTAATACATCTACGTAAGCTCCCTTGTTTCTTTCTTTAATGTGATGTAGGATATTTTTCATTTATAAAAATGCATTTATTTGCTGTTACTTTTTTCAACCTTTTGCCTCAGCAGCATTTAATCAATATTTAATGTTTCATGCAAGCATGATATTATTAATGGCATGCTAAAAGTTACTTGCATAATTATTTTTGAGTCTTTAACAAGCCAAGAATGACATGTACAACTTATAATTTAATGAAGTTAGTCAAATGAATTGGTTGTGCTCTTATTAATCTACAGTGGGTTTGGAGGTTTTATTAAGATAATTGTGTTGGTTTTATAATGAGTATAAAAGTTAATAGTTCTTCCTAGTTGTCAATCATTATAAGTGTGGAAAGTTTTTTTAAAAAAGTATCTTATTGGACAGTAGACACTCCATGTTACCAATTAGACACATTGTTCATTTACATGCACAGATATTTTAGAGTCTACTATTTAGCAGAATGCACATTTTAGAATAAGAGATGATATAATAATGAGCTTTTTGTGTCCTGGATGCCTTTTAATCTGAGGGGAAATATAAGCATTTTTTCTTTAGAGGAAAATGAAGTGATTAATACAGTCTCTCAGCATAAAGGATGTAAACTTGGATTATGTTTCTAGATGGCCAAAATCTATAGCCGATTAATGATGACATTGGACAGTTAGAAATCTGAGGAAGGAAGGAGTGGAGCTTGCTAAGATATGTGAGTTTGTAAAAGGAACTCATTGTCACACAATAGAATATTTTTTTCTGTCCTTTTTAAATTTTATATTTGACATTGAAATAACTTGGCTCTCAATGAGTTTTGATGTCGATTTCTAATCCAGGTTGCAAATTTTAACATATTCATTTGGATGAAATGGCAAGTCACTTGAACCTATAATTACAAAATTTAACCCACTTTAATAAGATAATGAAATTAATTCAATAATACCTAATCTATAAAAGCTTGGTAAATTGGTAGCCAATGGGTTATAATGTAAACATACTTTTTATTGATAGTGATTTTGGTATGAACATTTAAATAATATGTTGTTCATTTGAGAGTGTCCATTAATTATACATAACTACATTAGTAATATTTTAAGAAATAAGTAATATTGAATAATGTTCTTGTGATTTAAAGCAAAATATACTTATATATAATTAGTATTAATAAGAATTACCAGGAGATTATGTTTTATTTATATATATAACTTATTTTAATTAAATATAATTTTTTATTTTATTCGATAATCAGAGAGTTACAATTTAAAGAGTGGGAGGCCCATAATTTGGATGCTGTGTCTTCTAAAAAGATGCTTTGCAAGCATCTCTATTCTTTCTGGCCCATATACATCTACTCTTTCTAAGTAAGCAAAATCTGTACAATATCATTAGCCTCTTGTGATGGAACTTTGTTTTTTTTCACACTCTAATTTATTGGTTTTCTATTTCATTTTTTGTTGGTTTTAAACCATGTTCTCTTTTGCTATCTTTCACAGAATAAATTTACAGACTTTTCCTTTATATTTATGACTTTCACTGAGGAATAGTAGGTGACAGATTTTGTAAATATTCTACATTCATTTGAAGATGATGCTCCTGATTCTTTTTGCAGAGATTTTTGTAGACATATTTTTATTAAATAGCTTGGTAAAAAAGCAAAATACCTTTTTATTAAAATATTTAATATCGTGACAATTTATTTTTCAGTCAACAGGCTCTCTCATGTTCTAGTGTAAACATGTTAAAATCTTTCATGATGCCTACAGATTTGCTAGTTTCTTATTGTGATTTTGCCACTTCTTGATTGCCATGTTCAAAGACTATCATTGACAACATAAAAGAGCTAGTTTGTCATTTATTTTGCTTGGTAGCTGTTTTTATATGGTTACATTTATGATTATTTATACTTCTAGCATTTGATTCTATTCTGTCTAATATTAAATTTGCTACATTAGTCTCATTTTGATATTTATCTATTTTATTTTTAATGTATTTATTCTCAAGCTTTCTACATTGTTTTACATATTTTAAAAATATTTCAGCTTTTATTTTAGATTCTGGGAGTACATGACAAGTTTGTTCCTAAGTATATTGTGTGATGCTGAGGTTTGAGGTATGCATGATCCCATCACCTAGGTAGTGATAATAGTACCCAATAGATGATTTCCAACCCTTGTTCCCCTCCTCTCTCCCCCTTCGGTAGTCTCCAGTATTTATTGTTCCCATCTTTAACTGCATGTGTACCTAATATTTAGCTCCCAGTCACAACTGAGAATGTGTGCTTTTTGATTTTCTGTTCCTGCATTAATTCACTTAGGATAATAGCCTCCAGCTGCATCCACGTTGCTGCAAAGGGCATGATTTCATTCCTTTCTATGGCTGTGTGGTATTCTATGGTGTATATGTACAACACTTTCTTTACCAATCAACTGGTGAGGGGCACAAAGGTTGATTCCATGTTTTTGCTATTGTGAATAGTGCTGCAATGAACATACAAGTTCATGTGCCTTTTTGGTAGAACGATTTATTTTCCTTTGGGTAAATACCCAGTAATGGGATAACAGATCAAATGGGAGTACTGTTTTAACTTCTTTGGGAAATTTCCAAACTACTTTCCACAATGGCTGAACTAATTTACACTCCCACCTAGCATTGTATAAGCACTCCCTTTTCTCTGCAGACTTGCCAAATTCTGTTAGTTTTTGACTTTTTAGTAATACCCATTCTGACTGGCATGAGGTGGTATCTCATTGTGGTTTTAATTTGCATTTCTCTGATTAGTGACGTTGAACATTTATTCATGTGTTTGTTGGCCATGCGTATGTCTTATTTTGAGAATTGTCTATTCATGTCCTTGCCAACTTACTAATGGCATTATTGGTTTTTGCTTGTTGAACTGTTTAATTTCCTTATAGATTCTGGATGTTAAACGTTTGTTGGATACGTAGGTTGCAAATTTTTTTTCCCATTCTGTAGGTATCTGTTTACTTGATAGTTTCTTTTGCTCTGCAGAAGTTCTCTGGTTTAATTAGGTTCTGTTTGCCAATTTTTATTTTTGTTGCAATTGCTTTTGAGAACTTAGTCATAATTTTTTTGCCAAGGCTGATGTCTAGAGTGGTATTTCCTAGATTTTCTTATAGGAGGAAATGTATTGGGTTTATTTAGCAACAGTCTTGTATGCACCTTGTTTAAAAATAGTATGAGTTAGAATGTGTACATGCATTTCATCAAACAGCTGAAATAAGTTTTATAAACATTTTATTGAAAGAAATCACATATAGAAAATGCATACATTGTAATATAGGTATTGATGAATTTTTATTAAAAAATAACCTGTGCAATATGCTCCAATATTAGGACATGGGGTATTACTAGCTGCAGAAATAGTTCATATACCCACTATCCTAACTTCTAATGGTAGAAACTTTTCTTGCCTTACTTTACACTTTATGTTAATAGAATTATATAGTATATACTCTTTTGTGTTTCCTTTCTATTGTTCAATATTATGTTTTTAAGATGCATTCATGTTATAGACCAAATGTTTGTGTGCCCCTGAAGTTCATATGTTAAAGCCCTATCCTACAATATAACTGTATTTGGAAGCAGACTCTTTAGGAGGTACTTAAAGTTAAGTGTGGTCATAAAAAGGGGGCCCTAATTTGATAGTATTAGTGTCCATATACAGAAAGACACCAGAGCTCAAGAACTCACTTAACTAGCTCTCTCTCTCTCTCTGTTTCGGATATGAGAAGGCCATCATCTGCAAGCCAGGCAGGGATGCTTTTTCAGAAACAGAACCCTGCTGAATCTTGCTCTTGGACTTTCTAGCCCCCAGAAATGTGAGAAATAAATTTCTGTTGTTTATGCAACACAGCCTGTAATATATTGTTATGGCAGATTGACCAGAGTAAGACAATTGATGTTTGTGTTTAAATTTATAGATTATTATTGCTCTATGTTATTTCATTGCATGAATGTGCCATAATTTATTCACCCATTATCTTGTTAATGAATACTTTAGTTGTTTACAGGTTTTAGTCATTATAAATAATGCTTCCATGACCATTCTTGTACATATGTATTGATGAACGCATGTGCTCATTTATATTGCGTATATATCCAAGAATGGAAGCTGGTAATAAGGTATGCATAAATTCAGCTTTAGTAGGTAACGACAAAGCAGAGAATCTATTTGTCCATATCCTCACCAAACTTGGTAATGTCTCTTTTTCATTTTATCCTCATTGATTGAAATTTAGCAATTTTACAAACAAATTGGCATTTTCTTTTTTTTTATTTTTAATTTTTTTATTGTACTTTAAATTTTAGGGTACATGTGCACAACTTGCAGGTTTGTTACATAGGTACACATGTGCCATGTTGGTGTGCTGCACCCATTAACTCGTCATTTAACATTAGGTATATCTCCTAATGCTATCCCTCCCCTCTCCCCTCACCCCACAACAGGCCCCGGTGTGTGATGTTCCCCTTCCTGTGTCCATGTGTTCTCATTGTTCAGTTTCCACTTATGAGTGAGAACTTGCGGTGTTTGGTTTTTTGTCCTTGCGTTAGTTTGCTGAGAATGATGGTTTCCAGCTTCATCCATGTCCCTACGAAGGACATAAACTCATCCTTTTTTATGGCTGCATAGTATTCCATGGTGTATATGTGCCATATTTTCTTAATCCAGTCTATCATTGTTGAACATTTGGCTTGGTTCCAAGTCTTTGCTATTGTGAATAGTGCCGCAATAAACATACGTGTGCATGTGTCTTTATAGCAGCATGATTTATAATCCTTTGGGTATATACCCAGTAATGGGATGGCTGGGTCAAATGGTATTTCTAGTTCTAGATCCCTGAGGAATCGCCACACTGTCTTCCACAATGGTTAAACTAGTTTACAGTCCCACCAACAGTGTAAAAGTGTTCCTATTTCTCCACATCCTCTCCAGCACCTGTTGTTTCCTGAATTTTTAATGATCGCCATTCTAACTGGTGTGAGATGGTGTCTCATTGTGGTTTTGATTTGCATTTCTCTGATGGCCAGTGATGATGAGCATGTTTTCATGTGTCTGTTGGCTGCATAAATGTCTTCTTTTGAGAAGTGTCTCTTCATATCCTTCGCCCACTTGTTGATGGGGTTGTTTTTGTTTTTTTTTTCTTGTAAATTTGTTTGAGTTCATTGTAGATTCTGGATATTAGCCCTTTGTCAGATGAGTAGATTGCAAAAACTTTCTCCCTTTCTGTAGGTTGCCTGTTCACTCTGATGGTAGTTTCTTTTGCTGTGCAGAAGCTGTTTAGTTTAATTAGATCCCATTTGTCAATTTTGGCTTTTGTTGCCATTGCTTTTGGTGTTTTAGACATGAAGTCCTTGCCCATGCCTATGTCCTGAATGGTATTGCCTATGTTTTCTTCTAGGGTTTTTATGGTTTTAGGTCTAACATGTAAGTCTTTAATCCATCTTGAATTAATTTTTGTATAAGGTGTAAGGAAAGGATCCAGTTTCAGCTTTCTACATACGGCTAGCCAATTTTCCCAGCACCATTTATTAAATAGGGAATCCTTTCCCCATTTCTTGTTTTTGTCAGGTTTGTCAAGGATTGGATAGTTGTAGATATGTGGCATTATTTCTGAGGGAATTTTTAAATGCTTTTTTGATGATCATTCTATATTCTGGATATTAATATTTTGCCAATTATATTGTAAAAAATATCACCCCAATATGTGGCTTATGGTTTTGCTTCTTTTTTATTTTTTTTCAAGACTTTCTTAAAATATATAGGTAAATTTGCTACATTTTCTTCAAAGCATAGGGCTACCTCAGAGCAACAAATAAAATGTCTTACATTCTTTCTAACAATTTTATAGTACTGGTTTTACATATGCTTTTTTTATTGACTTGGTTTACATAAATGCACGTGTTTGTTTCTGTTTTGCCTCTTCTTATCCATGTTCTATACTTGTATGGCATGACATTTTAATTCCCATAGCTTTGAATACGTCACGATATCTAGACAAGTAGGTTCACCCTACTCACAATCTATAAAATTATAAAAACAAAAATAAAAATTAACTTAAGATTTTTATTGAAAGTGAATTGAATGTATTGCAAACAATTCCTATTGTTATGATGTTGTGTCTTAATCCAAGAACATGAGATTTATTTTTACATTCTTTAAAAAATTTTAGTTATCTGTAATAATTTCTACATAAGGTATTTATATAACAATTATTGGTTATTTGCTGTTAATTCCTTCTATGTTTTATAATTTTTACTTAATCTATTAATGGTGATAGTGATTTGTCAATACATTTTTCATTGTATGAAAGACTATATATTAGTAACACACTATTTTAAAATTGTATCTTTCCATTTCATAAAAACTTTTATTATTATATAGTGATCATCTTTATCATAATTTCAGGATGTTTCTTCACCTTAAAGCCTATTTGACTGACAACAGTATAACCAACAGATTTATATTGATTACTTTTTGCCTGGTATGTCTTTGCATATAATTTACCTTTTAAGCATTCTGGTTTTGTTTTTTTTTATGGTTTAGGTTGATCTCTTGTAATAGCACTGAGCAAAATTATTTAATGTCATAAGTAACTTTTAAATCCATGAGTTAAGTCCTTTTATATTTAGTATATTTCTTGGAATATTTGGACTTATTTCTAACTTGTGTTTATTTTGTATATTTTTCTATATAAAAATATTTTCCCTTTCTTGGCCGGGCTCGGTGGCTCACGCCTGTAATCCCAGCACTTTGGGAGACTGAGTCGGGCAGATCATGAGATCAGGAGATTGAGACCATACTGGCTAACACAGTGAAACCCCGTCTCTACTAAAAACACAAAAAATTAGCTGGGCTTTGTGGCGGGCACCTGTAGTCAGCTATTCGGGAGGCTGAGGCAGGAGAATGGTGTGAACCAGAGAGGCAAAGCTTGCAGTGAGCCGAGATCGTGCCACTGCACTCCAGACTGGGAGACAGCGAGACTCCGTCCAAAAAAAACAAAGTTTCTCTTTCTTTTTTGTGTGTCTTTTATTACATTTTTAAAATTCATTTTTTTCTCTCATTTTATATTGCCACCCTACTTACTTACTTGGAAATCACACATGTTATTAATTCACTTGTTATCAGAATTTATAAGGAATTCTACCAACTCAATTGGAAAAAAAAAATCTAATAATCTGATTTGAAAATTGGTAAGAGATCTGAATAGATAATTATCGAAAGAACACATACAAATAGCAAACAGATATATAAAAAAGTGCTCAACATCGTTGATTGTCAAAGAATTGTAAGTCAAAACTACAATGAGATATCATCTCACCCTGTTAAATCCCTTTTATTCAACTGACAGGCAATAATGAAAGCCGGTGAGGATACGTAGGAAAGGGAACCCTCATACACTGTTGGTGGCAATGCAAATTAGTACAGCCACTATGAAGAACAGTATGGAGGTTCCTGGAAAAACTAAAAATAGAGCCACCATGTGATCTAGTAATCCTGCTGCTAGTTACACGGCCAAAAGATAGGAAATCAGTACATTGAAGAGATATCTACACTCCCATATGTATTGCAGCACTACTTACAGTAACCAAGATTTGGAAGAAAAATCTAAGTGTCCTCAACAGATGAATGGGTAAAGAAAATATGGCATATATATGCAATTGAGTGCTCTTCATCTTCAGCCATAAGAAAGAATGAGATCTTGTTATTTGCAACAACATGGATAGAACTAGAGGACATTATGTTAAGTGAAGTAGGCCAGGCACAGAAAGACTAATTTCACATGTTCTCACTCATTTGTGGGAGCTAAAAACTAAAATAATGGAGCTTGTGGAGATAGAGAATAGAATAATCATTATCAGAGGCAGCAAAGAGTACTGGGTTGGGTGAGAAGTGGGATGGTTAATATTAATAAGTAAAAAATATAGTTAGAATGAATAAGATCCAGTATTTCATAGCACAATAAGGTGACTATAGTCAGCAATAATTTGTATATTTTGGAAGGACCGAAGAAGTAGAAATGGAATATTTATAACAAATAAATGATGAATGCTTCAGGTGAGGGACACCTCATTCACCTTGATGTGATTATTTCACATTGTGTGTCTGTATCAAAATATGTACTTCATAAATATATACACCTACTATGTACTCATAAAAATAAAAATTAAAATAAATAAAATACATGGACCTAAAAATATGTAAAGTTTCATTACTCCATTTCCAACTCACATGCTATTGATTTCCACTATTTTTCTAGCCAATTTCTACCCTATTTAGACATTTTAGTATCACTCTTTATAGGCAATCCTTAAAGCAATGTTTTTTTGGCAGCAGGGCATGAGCAAGGGAGAGTTTGTCCATTGTTCTAATTTTTGCTTTCTCCAAATTAGAGCCAGAACAAAGATGTGAGCTCCAGTAATTTATCTGAGTGGTAATCCCAGGAAGCATGAGTAAGGAAATGGGAAAATCAGATGTAAAAAGAGAAAGGATTAATAGGCTAGCTAACATTGTGGCCACAGGGGTCCAGTCATGCTGTTAACCCACTAAGGAGCCCTCTAGCATTATTCCTCCAGTGGTTATGGGATTGAGTCATTTGTCCACTTAAAACTGACACTCTTTAATTGAGAGAATTCCCCCGGGCATTAACTCTATTGCACATTCAGTTTGTCAATGAGTGTGAGGAAATGACTGCCTAAAGCTTTGGAGAAAACCCCAAGGCATCCAAACAAAGAGATACAAGGAAGATATTTGATATAGAAATCTAGCAAGTTACATGAAATTTTCCAGACATTGCAATGGGATCAGGTAGCTGCAGATTAAAAGGAGTATATCTCCAGCATCAGCTGCTTCCTCAAATTTACAATATTTTGCTCACCATTAGATGTTGTAATTCAAATTCCTTTCAGAGAGGATCCTCTGCTGGGCATTTTTTTTTCAATTTATTTAAATAAATTCTTATTTTGCCCTGAATTATATTTTTTATTTGAGACTCTATTTATTGTTTTTTATCTTACCCTTGAGGAAAATGAGTTTGGTCTGGAAATAATGTTTATCTCTTTAAATTTCCCCTGAAACAGATTCTCAGCTGAGGATTCTTTCATTTATCTGAAAGGTTTTTCCAATAAATGACTATAAGGGAGTGGAGAGATGAGGCAGCAAGGTAAAAAGCCAATACAGCAAGTTAGCTCATGGGCAACTAAGAGCTTAATCACACTGGATAATTCAGAGTAACGTGTACAAATGTGGCTTACAGTTACCTTACCTGAGTGATGCAGAAGCTGGTATATTTATTCCTCAGCTTCTATCAATCATTGGGAAATAAAGACCATTAATTTTGAGCTCTTTAGGCTACCCTTCAGGCAAGCATGGTGGACTTTGGCAGGCAGAGAAACGTCAGGAAAATAATCATGCATATGCTGTCATCTGAAATTTGGCCTCATACACATGAAAGGGGATATGGGTGGAACCCTTACATAGTTTACTATACTTATATATGTCTTACCTATGAGACTTAGGCTGCTACATCCCTTCTCCTTAGATAGAGATGTTTGACCAAAATTTTAGCGAATAAAATATTTCAAAATGCAAAACTGTGTATTCACACAGAAAGGTTAAAAACAAAAAATTTCAGCCACATAGATATATGAATACCAGAAAACAATATGGCTACAATGATCATATGTGGGTATTGTAGATATGAGAGGGGAAAGGAATATAAGAGTTAAAGAAAAAAATAGAGTTGAAAACATTTTTTTCTGTTCTTAACAAAGTGAAAGTCACCACATTGAGGGTAAGATTACAAATGGATTGTCTTGCATTTTGGATATGATAAATAAATATTTGCTGTACTATCAAAATCTAGAGTAATTATGTCCTCAAAACAGATTTACGTTGAATGTAATCTAGATTTGAGAATTTGCATAGCGGATATCTTGCATATGCAAAGATGCAAAGATCTTTTTCCCTTTTATTTGCTTCTATATAATTTATTGGTCTGAGAATTCTACTACTTGAAACTGAAAAAATTAATTTAAGAAAGTTAAAATTAAAGATTTTAAAATTCTCCAGTCTAGTTTTTAATTTCCCTTATTTTATCCTTGACATTTTAAACAACTTATCTGCATATATTGAAATTTATTCTGTTTAAAAATTTTAAAATAGAGAACTCCTTTGTAATATATGAAGTTTAAATAATTTATAACACATTTACTTGAAAAGAAAATTATTTTATTTGCTAAATCTATTATATATAGCTCTATATAGCATCTTTAAACCTATCATAACCAATTTTACAGAGTAGATTTTGGCATTTTGCAAATTGTTTAGTGTCAAATATAACTGATTACTAAAGCATTATGTTGATTTACATTTCCTGCAATAGATTCACACCGAAGTAAATACTCTGTAGCCAAATTATGTTTATAAATGCTATAACTGGATTCTCTTGGATTGATTCATCAATCAATATTTTGAAATGTTGCTTCAAATTTGTTTTTGCATTCTAGTTGTATATTCCAATGTAAAGAAATAATTTAACAATCTTTTTAGCTATCTATCTGCTTTACTTTTGCCCTGCAAATAAGGCAAAACTTAGAAATTCAAACTGTTAAATTATTATATTTATTTGATGCTTTGGTAAAAGCAGTGCCAGTGTTTTGTTTTTATTTAAACTTGCAAAAATTATCAAATACTTTTGCCATTTGATATATTTCCATGGCAAAATATGCTTGAAAAATAGATCATAGCTTCAAGACATAATTTAGCAAAAAGTATATGACCAGCACAATGCTAATCCATGACATTATGGTTTGCTATATATTTACATATCGTTATAGGATCAGAATCTGTTTACAAAGTTCATATGATCGTATAGTCAGGACTATTTTTTAACAATCACCTGGAGATGTTTTAATGCCACTCATCCTGGAACATGTCTCATAGAGTTGCCTATAGAAAAAGTAACTCAATATGCAATTTTATGTCTACAGTTGTGCCTTTTTATTTTCATTTTTATTTGAAACCTCAATCTAATTACTTTTGTTAATTGGGGTACTTTGGCTCTCATATTTTGATGTTGCCTACTCTGAAATATGGCTTGCTAACTATTTGATATTTCCCTCAAGTCAATTTTCTTTCTATAACTATATGTTTATTATTAGGTAAGCCCATTCAAAATATGTCTTCTAATTTGGTGAAAATTCTTCCTATTCCTCTTTTATTAGACATCAATAGACAATAGAAAAAGAGTAATGCTGTTTCATTTATAGTGATTAAAACATATTTTTTAGTGAAATCAGCTGTATGTTCATTGTTTGATATATGTAGTACTGAGTGATGTCAGCAAAATGGCTGACTAGAAATCTCTAGCACTAGTGTCCTTCACAAAGATAGCCAAAACAATAAATAATCGACTACATTTTAATGAAAATGGCTGATGATGAATGCTGGAGTACATCAAAGAAATTACAAAAAACCCTGGTGAGTCCTAAAACTCAGAATAGCCACATAATGAAAGAAAACGCCGGTCCTCCAACACCCTATCTTGCAACTGGGATTAGCTGGGAACCAGGAGAAATTTCTCCCTATAGTAAAAAGATAAGCAAAAGGGCTCCACTATCTTCCGTCAATACCCTAGACAACTGCAGACCTCGACACAGGATTCCCCTGTGTTCCTAACAGGCACTAAATCCAGGTAAGGAAGCTGCCTAGCATCCACATAACTGTGCTCCTCACAAAGAAAGAGCCAACGCTGTCCTCCCTCTGTGTGTACCTGCCCTCTGCACAGATACTGTGTTACACCATCTTGAAATTGGAAGTATGGCTGAACTGTGTCTTGCCCTGGGGGTGAGTAGGCATGGATGCTCATCATCTCTGAGGCTAAACTGCTGCCCAACCACCCCAGTCCAGCAGCCTGACATTCTCAAGCCAAGCTAAAAGCTGCTTATATCATTCCCTGTGTGGCCAACTAGAGATGGAGCTGCCTCACCTACCCTTCTCTACATTCCCTGTGCTGGAGCCGAAGTGGTATCCTGCCTCCCGGGGAAACAGTACCTTGGCTGCTCAGAACAGTCATGCCCCCCGCATTGCCTAAGTTGAAGCAGCACCCTGCATACCAGGGAAACAGTGCCTGGTTCTTCCAGAACAGTCATTCCCCAAGCCTAAGCTGAAGTGACACATCACTCCTCGGGGAAGCAGTGCCCTCAACCAGCAGAGCAGCTGCACATCCCAGGGCTGAATAGAAATAGTGCCCCACATCCTAGGGAAACAGAGCAGTGGCTAAGCTAAGAGACCTCACCAAACAAGACAAACAACCGACTTCACTGGAGCTGAACTAGCACCCTAGAGTCTCAGCTGCTGAGATAATACCTCCTTTTGCAATGGGATACTGGGGGAGGGGGTGAGAGGGCGGCAGGGTAGTAAGAATCATCTCTGTGCTGTTCCTGGCTCCCTGAGGGCCCAAACAACAATGGTGCTTTGCCATTTTAGGGTGCTTGCTGTCAGTGCACCTGGCCTCAGAGTCTGAGGTATTGCCAAATCCCACCATAACAGGATCTAGAGTCACTACAACAGGGTGCC
Organism: Homo sapiens; assembly: GCF_000001405.40. Taxonomy (NCBI): domain Eukaryota; kingdom Metazoa; phylum Chordata; class Mammalia; order Primates; family Hominidae; genus Homo; species Homo sapiens. The sequence continues at coordinate 11,997,098 of NC_000009.12, forward strand.
TCATAACCTAATATTAGAGTTGCCACTGAGCCCTATTGTCTCAGCTTCCTGAATTGCAACCATACCCTGCTCCCTGCTTTCAAACCAGCACAGCACCCCTTCTTCTCCAGAGTTGAGCCAGGGCTGTGTGCCCTGCCTCCAACGGAAGAACCAAAGCTACAAGCTAGACCCTTAGTTGAAGCCGCTAGGGGTGCTTCAGAGTCACAGATACTGGCTTTGTGGGCAGCCTACAACTCACTCTGCCACCCAGAGTGAACCTGTACCCCAAAGCCCACATGTCAAAAAGGTTCACGAGACTCTGAACCTAGAACCCTAATCCAATAGCAGCCTCAGACACCTGAACCTGGAACCCAGCTCCACTGTAGCTGTTTATAGGCATGTCAGACCTGACCTGACATCAAGAGGGATTTCCTTGGCTAAGTCTTCCCATAGTAGAAAAAGTGAGAATAGAAAGACCCCAAATCCCTTGACATAGAGTACATTTATAACCTACACAACCAACACTACTGCATTCACCAGCTTCTAAAGGCTGGGGCACGGAGGTAAACATGGATATCGCTGATATTTAACACAGATAAAGAAACTACAGAAAGACTATACCACTGCACCTATTTGAAAACAGAGTCATCACATCCCAACAAACATACTAAATCTCAAGTGTAGGTGAAAGTCATTCTCTGCAAGAGCTAATCTAGAAAGTTTAGAAGAGGTGATATTTCCATGAGCGGTATAGACACCACCACAAGGACACACACACACAAAGTAAAACTTAAAAAAAAAGACATCACTCCAACTTTCTAGCAACAAACCCCATTAAAAATAAAATCAACAAATTTGCAGAAAAAATAATTCAAAATAATTATTTCTAGGAATCTCAGTGAGACACAAGACAATACAGATAAGTAGGCAATTTAATGAAATCAGGAAAACAACTTATAATAGTAATGACAAATTTAATGAAGAGGTAGAATTTTTTTAGACAAAAAGAATCAAACAGAAATCCTGCATCTGAAGAATTCAGTGAATTGAATAAAAAATGCAATAGCTTCAACAGCAGACTTGATCAAGCAGAAGAATCTCTAAGCTTGAAGATACATTAATTGAAATTACCAAGAGGGAAAAAGAAAGAAATACAAAAAAAAAGTGATGAAAGCCTACAAGACATATGAAACATCATTAAATGAATAAATATTGAGATTGTGAAAGTTACAGGAGAAGATCAAGAAATTATATAGAAAGCTATCTAAAAGAATAATAGGGAAAATTTCTTCAAGATATGAGAGGGATATGAACAACCAGGTATGGTAAGCTTAACAGTCCCCAGGTAGATTCAACCCAAAATGGCCCTCTTCAAGGCACATTATAGTCAAATTATCAAGTCAAATAAAAGAGAAATTATAAAAGCAGTAAGAGTAAAATGTGAAGCCCCAGACAAGGAAGTCTCCATTAGAATAACAACAGATTTCTAAGCAGAAACCTTACAGGCCAGGAAAGAACATAATAATTTATTCAAAAGAAAAAAAAATTGCCAGAAAGAACAGTATTAGTATTATCAGCAAAAGTATCTATTAGAAATGAGGAAGAAATAAAGTCTTTCCCAGACAAGCAAAAACTGAGAGAATTCACCACCACTAGTCCAGCCTTACAAGAAATGCTCAAGTGAGTCCTACATTTGGAAGTGAAAAGGTAATAATCACTATCATAAAAACATGCAAAAGAATTATAAACCATATCACTACAAAAATTGACCAAACCACAATGATGAACAAAAAGAGTAAAGAAAGAAAAGATGATATACAAAACACCAGAAAACAATTAACAATATGGCAGAAATAAGTTCTAACCTATCAATAATAAGATTGAATGTAAATGAATTAAATTCCACAATTAAAAATTATCAACTGGATGAAAGAATTTTTTAAAGATACAGCAAACTGCTGTTTAGAAGAAACTCACTTCATCTGTAAAGACGAAGAATGAAAGTGAAGGGATAGAAAAAGTTATTCCATATGAACAAAAACAGTGAGGATGAGTAGCTCTGCTTATATGAGATGAAACAGACTTTAAGTCAAAAACTGTAAAATGAGACAAAGTGGATTATTATATATGATAAAGACATCAATTCAGCAAGAGGATATAACAATTTTAAATGTATATGCACACAACACCAGAGCACCCACATATATAAATATTATTAGAACTAAAGGGAGACATAGAGTCTAATACAATAATAGTTGGTAACTTCAACATTCAACTCTCAGGATTGGGCATATCATCTAGACCAAAAATCAACAAAGAAACATTAGATTAAAGGTGCATTTTACAGCAAATGAATCTAACAGAAATTTTACAGAACATTTCATTCAACAGCTTCAGAATACACATTTTTTTTCATGAACACATGGAATATTCCTAGGATAGACCACATGTTGGGCCACAAAACAAGTCTCAGCAAAGTTTAAAAGTTGAAATCATCTCAAGTGTCTTTTCTGACCACAATGGAATAAAACTAGAGGTCAATGGGAAGATGAACTTTCAAAATTGCCAAATAAATTAAAATTAAACTACATACTTTCAAATGACCAATGGTTCAATGAAGAATAAGAAATAAATTTTTGAAAATTTCTTAAATGAAAGTAGAAATGCAACATATGAAAACCTATGGAATGCAGCAAAACAGTATTAGGATGGAAGCGTATAGTAATAAAAGCCTACATCAAAAAAGTAAGAATATCTTAAATAAGTGATCAAATAGTGCATCTCAAGGAGCTAGAAAAGCAAAAACAAATCACACCCAATAGTAGTAGAAGGAAAGAAATAATAAAAAACGTGGCAGAAAGGTATAAAATTTAGAGGATAAAAAAAACAAAGATCAATAAAACAGAAAGATGGTGTTTTTAAAAGATAAACAAAATTGAAAAACCTTTAGCTAGACTAGTCAAGAAAAAAAAGAGAAAATATTCACATAAAATCAGAGACCAAAAAATAGAAGAAATGACAAATGGTACTACAGAGATACTAAGGATGGTTACAGGCTATTCTGGGCAACTATGTGAAAAAAAAGAGAGAGAGAGAGAGAGAGAGAGAGAGAGAGAGAAAACCTAGCAGGAATGAATAAATTCCTGGAAACATGCCAACCTACCAAAACTGAAGCAAGAAGAAACACAGAATCCTAATAGCCTAATTATGATATTGAATCTATAATTAAAAATATCCTTTAAAAAACCCCAGGACCTGGTGGCTTCAGTGCTGAATTCTTCTAACATTTAAAGAAGTACTAATATCAATTCTTCTCACACTTTTTCAGAAAATTGAAGAAGAGAGAATTCTTCCAAACTCATCCTATGAGAACAGTATTACTTAATCTGTTACCAAGACAGAAAAGGATACAAAAAAAAAAAAAGAAAACAAAAACTACTCAGGTCAATAACTGTGATGAACACAGTTGTGAAATTTTCCAGTGAAATACTAGTAAATAGAATCCAGTAACACATTGAAAAAAATCATTCACCATGATCAAGTGGTATTTATTCCAGTGCCACCAGAGTGGTTCTAAACACAAAAATAAACAAACATGACTTATCACATCAATAGAATGAAGAGCGATAGCCACACAGTCATCACAGGCATCTCAATATCAGATGCAAAAAAATGATAAATTTTAACATCCCTTCATTATAAAAATTTGCAGCCGGTTAGGTTTAGAAGGAATATACCTCAACACAAAAAGGGACATGTGTGACAAACTCATATCCAACAACAGGGATAATTAAAGATGTTTTTCTTTAACAACAGGAACAAGTCAAATACGTCCACTTTTACCATTGTTATTCACTATAGTACTGGAAGTCCTAGATAGAGCAATAAGGCAGGAGAAATAAATAAAGGCATTCAAATGGGAAGGGAGGCAGTCAAATTGTCTCTGTATGTATGTAACGTATCTTTATATATAGGAAACTCTAAAAATACCATAAAAACGTTCAAAACTGATAAACAATTTCAGTAAAGTTGAAGAACACAATATTAACATAGAAAAATCAGTAGTAGTTCTCTATATCAATAACAAGCTAGCAGAAAAAAAATGAAGTTGTGAAAATGACCATACCACCAAAAGTAATTTATAGATTCAATTAAATTTTTATCAACATAACATATTCTTCACAGAAATAGAAAAAAAAATCTAAAATCTGTATGGAACCAGAGAAGACCTGAAATAGCCAAAGGAATACTGAGCAAAATGAACAAAGCTAAAGGAATCACACTATCAGACTTCAAAATGTACTACAAAGCTATAATAACCCAAACAGTATGGTATTCACATAAAAACAGATGCATAAACCAATGAAACAGATGGATAACCCAGAAACAAATTCATGTATTTACAGTCAACTGATTTTAGACAATGGCTTCAAGAACATTCACTGGTAAAATAACAGTTTTTTTCAGTTTATGGTGCTGGGAAAACTAGATATCTATAAACAGAAAAATAAAAGTAGTTTCTTACCTCTCACCACATACAATAATCAACTGAAACTGGATAAAGATTTAAATGTAAGACCTTAAACTTTATTATAAAACTACTAGAAAAACACAGAGGAAAAAAGCTTTAGAACATTGTTCTGGGGAAAGATTTTATTGAGAATACCTCAAAAGCACAGACAAAAAAGGCAAAAATAGGCAAATGGGATTATATGAAACTAAAAAGTATTTGCACCTGAAAGGAAACAATCAACAGAGTAAAGAGACAACCTGCAAATTGGTGGAAAATATTTGCCAAGTATTCATCTAACAAGGGATTTATATCTAGATATGTAAAATATACGAGAAACACACAATTCAACAGCAAAAAAAAAATCAAATTATAAAATGGACAAATGAGCTGAATAGACAGTTCCCAAAAGAAGACATCATATGGCCAACAGTGTATGAAAATAATCAGAATGAGATATGATCTCACACCTTTTAGAATGACTATTATCAGAAAAACAAAAAAATAATAAATCTTTACAAGGATGTAGGGAAAGGGAAACTCATATGCCATTAGTAGAAATGTACATTAGTACAACCACTCTGAAAAATAGTATAGGGATTCCTCATAAAGCTGAAAATAGAACAACCATCTTACACTTCTTGGTATATATTCAAAGGAAATAAATTTAGATGTCAAAGTAAATCTATGCTCCCATGTTTATTGCAGCACTCTTCACAATAGGCAAGATATGGAATCAGCCTAAGTGTTCACTGGTAGATAAATGGTAGAAGAAAATATGATATATATACATAATGAAATACTATTTATTTATAAAAAAGAACAAAATTGTCATTTGCAGCAACATGGATGAGCTTGGAAATCATTATTAAGTGAAATAACCCAGTCACAGAGAGATAAATACCAATGTTCTCACTGATAGGTGGAAACAAAACTAGTTGATTGCCTGAAAATACAGAAGAATAGTGGTTACTGGATATCAGGAAAGGTTAGGGGGGATGGATAGCCAAATTTTGGTTAATCAGTACAAAACTAAATAGCTACATAGAAAGAATTAATTATTTTGCCTTGTAGCACTGTAGGGTGACAATAAGTAACAATGTATTGTATATTCTCAAATAGCTAGAAGAGTGGGCTTTGAATGTTCCCAACAGAAAGAAACAATAAATGTTTGAAATGATAGTTATGCTAATTACTCTGATTTGATCATTATACATTATATGCATATATCAAAATATTACACTACATAATTATCTGCAATTATTATATGTCAATTAAAAACAATAGTGAAAAAAGAAAAGCTAGAAAAAAGAAAAAAAAATCATCTTTAACATTTCTCATTTTGACCTCTCATCAGCATTTGCTACTGTTTACCAAGCTATCTTGAGAAAAAATATTCCTTCGATTTAGTTAAGTGGTTTTCTTAGTTTATATTTCTTCCATGTTTTGTCTCTATTTGGACTCACTCTCTCTGCCTACCACTGTCACTCAGTTATCTCACTTATTTTTTAAGCTATCTTGTTAGATTCATCTTTCTACCAATAGAATCCAGTTGTATATCTTCACTTGTCACATATTTCTTTATAATTCCTTAGGTTATTCATCATCTCACTCTGAGCCTCCAGGCTTGCATCTGCCTCCATAGTGGTCACTTGTTCTTGGATGCCCCATGCACATACATAAAATACCGTTCATCAGCTATCTGTAGGCCCATTACCTGCTTCTTCCCCATTGCTATTTGACTTCATGAATGACAGTGAAATATAATTATCCAAGTCAAAAACCAAATAGTTATGCTACGGGAATCTAGCAAACGCTGACTTTATACAAATTATTATTGTAACTTATGATTATCTTTGAAATCATTTTAACCCCTTAGAGCTTGGTTTCTTCATATTTTAATTTTTTTTAACATAAACTAAAGTCTAAAGAGGGGAGTAATAAAAAAAATGCCAATTCCTAGAATCACCTGGAGCTTGTGAAAATTAAATGTGTTTAGTCTATGCTCAGCACTTAGAATAGATCCTGGATTGAATCTCAGATTGACTCCTAGATGTATATGGAGATTGAAATACTTAGTTTTAAATATTATTATTATTACTGATACTGTTACTGAATTATAAGTGATTGTATTTTCTTTTTATTCGCTCAACTTATCCTGAAGTAGGAGACAAAATAATGTCAGGGAAAGTCAGTTTATACATATTTTACCTATCAAATGTCCGGACTTTTAAAAAACAAATAACATTTTGGTGCATTGTGTAAAAACAATGAGCAATGTTGCCACACACTCATATTCCTAATCTCTCTCACCACATTAGATGCCAATATTCAATACAAATGTGTTCTCTCTTGGGTTGGATGAAATTGGAGATAATGTTTCTTGTCTCTGGTTGCTATTTGACTACTATCAAGTCTAAGAGCTAAGAGTAACATTTTAACTAGTAGATTGTATGCCACAGTTTCCTTAGCTCAATTTTGTTTTCATTGATTTTATGATCAGTTGTATACATGTTCTTTATTGCTTCTTAAGGATTTTATATGCATAAAAATCTTAATCAAATTATTTCTGAATCCCATTCAGTAGTAGCAGCTGCATACTTACTGTGTGATTAAATTATTTTTCTTAGAAATGAAGTTACTTAAAAGACGTAAAAATTTCTGTGTCTCTACTTTCTCATAGTCTGTAATTACTAATATTATTTTATTTAAATTCATATATTAATAAGAAAACACTGCTTATTGCCTTCCATCGTTATCAAAGGCAGAATGTTTATTTAAATATTCTTAAACCCTGGAAGGAAATCCCCAAGGACATTTGTTATTGTAACTTACCATGGAGTATATATTGTGGCACTTTCAGAATATATGCAAAAGCAAATGGCATTTAGAGGTTTCTCAGTATTCATTAATCTTTTACAGAATAGAGTTTATTCTGTTATTCTGTGGCTATTCAGACATAAAATAAGTGAAAACAGCCATGGAATAACCATGACCATCCTAAAGCAATGTAACAGTGCTCAGCGATTGAAAGTTATGTTCGCGGCTGGGCGCAATGGCTCATGCCAGTAATCCCAGCACTTTGGAAGGCCGAGGCATGCAGATCACCTGAGGTCAGGAGTTTGAGACCAGCCTGGCCAACATGGTGAAACCCTGTCTCTACTAAAAATACAGAAAAATTAGCCGGGCATCATGGTGGGCAACTGTAGTCCCAGCTACTTAGGAGACTGAAGTGAGAGAATCACCTGAACCCCGGAGGCAGAGGTTGCAGTGAGCCAAGGTCCCGCCACTGCACTCCAGCCTGGGCAACAGGCAAGACTCCGTCAAAAAGAGAGAGAGAGAGAGAGAGAGAGAGAGAGAGTTATGTTTGGATATAGTTTAACAATTTACTTTGATCTGGATAGATAATAAAATGCCCTTCAAACAAAGTCTGTTGATTTAAAGAAGTAATCAGAAAAAAATACTTTATATTGAAATTAAACCGTTACACCAAGGACGTTTCACTGGAAAATCTCAAGGAGCCCAGGTCTACTTGCTTTGATATGAGGGATTTTGAGCATAGGATTTGTCAAGGTAACCAAAATTCCATCATTAAAAAATCTTATTTTATGTGGTACAGTGTGGTATTTTCATACATATGTACAATGTGTAATGATCAAATCAGGGTAACTAGAAAATTTATCACCTCAATTATTTATAATTTATTTGTGCTGAGAACATTCAAAATCTCTCCCAGCTATTTGAAAATGTACAATAAATTGTTAACTACAGTCACCCTTTCATCTAACTATAATTTTGTATCTGTTAACCAATCTCTCTTTATCCCTCCCTCCCTTTTCCCCTTCCCATCCTCTAGTAAACACTATTTTCTCTACTTCTATGACATCGTTTTCCTTCCACATATGCATGAGAACATGCAGTATTTATCTTTCTCTGCCTGGCTTCTTTCACTTAACATAATATCCGGCAGGCTCATTCACGTTGCTGCCAATGAGAGATTTTCATTATTTTTTATGGTTGAGTAGTATTCCATGCATGCTGTATTCCATAAATATGTGCAAAAATTATGGGACAATTAAAAATTATAAAAATTATTAAAATGTAAATAATACTATTTTAAATTTTAAGTTTTGCTTTAAATATTCTTCTCTTGTTTTAAATGTTCCTAATAAAATCAATAAATCATTTTATTAAATGTTCCTAATAAAATCAATAAATCATTTTAAATAGCTCAAAAATTCCTTTTTATATAATAGTGTTAATGTTTAATTTTTGTATAAAAAAAGTCTCGTTTCATTTCATGTACTTAGAGAAAACTATAAAGAGGGGAAAAAATCTACAGTTCCACTAAGGTTTACGTAATTTTATTTCTTTATATACATATGGAAAAATATATCTTTTATTTCTATATATACATATAGAAATATACTATATTTAAAAATACAATAAACACAATATATTCTATATAGAGAAATAAAATATGGTAAAATATATATGTGTGTATATATATAGGTATATAAATACACACATATATATGAGGTTTTACAGTAAATGACTCATCATCATAATATTTTTTCCAGAAGCAGACTTTCTTATAACACAAGTCAACTTCAGTAAACTTAAATTAAATTAACAATAATATATCAATTGAAATTCGACAATAATATATCAATTGAAAGGTAAATATCAGATCTTGTCTGTTGGTCATTTTGGCTAGTGACAGTGTTACAGTATAAAATTTTAGTTTTTTTCTGACAAATAGAGACAGAAATGAGATTGTGTTTTTGAATTATGTACTATTTAAATTATGGCATATACTGAGTTTTAAATTTAGACAATTTTAAAAATAAAAATAAGAATTGCTATGAACACTGTTCAGATAAAATTTACTGAGTTTCTTAGTAAACAAAAGTTATGCATGCATATCAAAGCAGAATAACCATGTATAAACTCTAGAGAAAAAAATTATTTCCTCTCTAATTCCAGGGTTCTCTCCTCAAAGGTTCAGTGTAAGTTTCTTGTATTCATCCTTTAAAAACTATCTCGTGTTTATATCAATGGTGTCATATAATAATATTATTTTCCACATCAAAATAGTTATATTGGACTCATATATTTTAAAATAAGTTTACTATATTTAATTATATGGATGCAGAGTAATTTTTTAACCACCTCACTATAAAACCAGGTTATTCCTATTATGAGTTTATGCATAAAACTGCAATTATGCACTTTACACAAAAAAAACCCAAGGTGAAAATTGTATTGCATTCTGCTTTTTGAACCTTATACTTTTTCTTAATAGAATAAATATTATTAGGTTATAATTTAGAGGTGCAGTTGGCCAATCACATGTTATATGAAAGTGTAACTATATTTTATTCTAATATTTTACCCTGATATTTATAATTAAGATATCTGATGGATTACAAGTACAGGTGTGTCTCACTTTATGAGTAAAAATGTCTCACTCCATGTTTCAGTTACAGAACTAACTATGAATATAAAGCAAGGTGGGCATTACTTTTGACAGACTCTCCACTATAACATCTAAGGTCTGGTCTTCTGCCACTCAAGGGAAGAAGTTCAAAGAGGTTATGACAGTGTTTCACCTTGGATACAAACTTTACCAGCAAATTGCAAATGATTACAATACAATGTCCATACAATTGTGGACATTTGTCAAAGGCTGGTAAACATGTTTTCCACATTACAGTTTAAATTTGCATACAAGGCATATGAGAATTGGTGAAACTTAATAACCTGATATTCCAGAGAGCAAAATTATGGGTATTAATGTAAGTAGGGAAATTATTCATTTAGCAAAGTATTTGAGACACCAGTGATGCAAATGATAAAGATGGGATATCAGCACACTCATTTCCAGAATTGTAATTTTGATAAAATGAATTCATAATTGCTTCAGCTTATTATTCTAAATAACATTTTAAGATTGTTCTTTCTTTTGCAACCAAGGGTAAAATTACCAAAGGGAAAAGTAAATTAGAACTTCATCAAGAAATGCTTTGATTCACTAATGCGTAGTTTCCTATGATGGGAAAAATGTAATACAGTAACTCAGAGTATTGAACTAGATGAACTAGGGCATGTGCGATACAATTTATGTCAATATAATTGAAATTAAATTTAGCATATGGAAGTAGCAAATTCAGAAATTAGAGCTAAGCACAGCCATCCTGAGACATTTTTATTTTCCAAATACCTATAAGCATATAAATAAATAATCTCTGTTCATTTTCTTAAATGGCAGAATTTTGATATTTATCTTTGCATTTTTGCATATATAATTAACAGAATTTTACTTTAAAACATCAATGAATTAACAAAGTTTTGAGAAGTGAAAAACATGAAGATATACTATAAATAATATTTCTTTAAGTTTGGAGTTTGTAATTAGGAACAAAAATTTTGAAGTTCATCTTTCATTTAATTTTCATATAAAATGACTAATTTGAAGTATTTATTATTGTTATATTTTGAAATGCATTACTTTACTTCTGTTTGCAATTTTACCAAAATTTTATATAATTTCTTATTTTTGTAACATGATATATATATTTTAAAAACAGCAAAGTTCTTGTTAATAGTTTTTTTTACTGGAGCTGCCATAGGTAAAATGAAACATTGCAAAGGCAGCAACTACTCTAATTTTTAAAGCTTCTTAAGTGAGATTTAGTTTAAAAGATACATAAGTTAGTACTTTAGGAAAATGAAAAATTTGAAAGAAGGCTCAAATTATCTGTTTTCTAAAATCTGCAAACTGTATTCCTGAGAACTTACTCAATATATTTTTGAATAAGAAATACTCATGTAAAATTTACTTAGACATGGAGTCCGAGGAAAATTCTGTTCATTTTATCATATATTTTATAGACTATTTTTCCACTAAAATTAACATCCTTACTTATATATATTCTTAATCTTTAATTACAAAAAAACCTAAGTATTTAGTCAAATTGGTATCATTAGAGCAGAATTTATCTTGTTCATGTTTTAGTTATGTACTGTACATGTAAGTTTAAGAAGTTGTCTAATTGTAATCCAACTGTATGATAACAGAGAAATGGGAACACAAGTTTCATCAACTAATTGAGAAAGAACTTACAGCCTCATATGCTCAGCTATGTTTAAGTAAACCAATTACAATTAAATCGAAAGCATTTTAAATGTGATATATGATATAATTTAGAAAGACTATGCAGAAGTAATGTTTATATTTAAATCTGGAATTTGTTCAGTATTCAAACTTAATGAACTGTAGAACTGCAAGGTGGAAGGAAAGCTGTACTTTCCCAAAATTTGCTTATGTCAAATTTATCTTCTTTTCCCATAGCTAGCTTTCATTGATATCACTTAAGCATGTACTGTAAATTCATTCTAAATTTCTGCAGCTGAATAAGAGAAATAATGTTATAAATATTTATTATTTTTCCTGTCCATTTGGTGCTTAACTGTATTTAGGCTGTTTACAGGTTTAATTCTTGCTTCTCTCACTACAAATGGGTATCTTTTCCACCCAATTGCAACTACACAGAATAATAATGACCCTGCTCAATCTATTTAATAGAGTTTATTCCTCAACTAAGCTTCAGTACACAGGGTAAAATCTTGTGAAACTCTTTGTAAAATGAACCTTTCTTGGAAACAAATAATAATTTTTATACAAGTGAATATATAGTATGTAAAACTAGTGGCAAAAAGTTAATTATTTCTCTAATGTCCACATTTTTTTCATATTTCACTTTGATAAAATCACTTTTCTTCAAAAACATAAAAAAGCTTCCTCCATTATCAAAATTTGTCAGTGTTAGTTCCAAGAGTCATTTTTTATCTTTCCCCATCCTGTAAGTTTCTCATTATTTTCATTATTTCCAAAATTTTGTGTGTAACTTTTCACTTTAGTGTCATATGACAATTACCATTTTTGTTACCTTTTTATGCTTTAAAACTTTAGATGTGCTCTAGAAATGTATTTGTGGAATTAGGATATAAATCAGTTTATTCAGATTTTTTAAATCAAAGAATAGTAAATTTATCGTAATTTTAGAAGGTCTCCAATTTGAGGCCAAACCTATTTATATAAAGAAAAAAATGGGCCAGGCACGGTGGCTCAAGACGCCTGTAATCCCAGCACTTTGGGAGGCCGAGGCGGGTGGATCACGAGGTCAGGAGATCGAGACCATCCTGGCTAACATGGTGAAACCCCCGTCTCCACTAAATACACACACACACACACACACACACACAATTAGCCAGGCGTGGTGGCGGTCACCTGCAGTCCCAGCTACTCGGGAGGCTGAGGTAGGAGAATGGCGTGAACCTGGTAGGCGGAGCTTGCAATGAGCAGAGATGGCGCCACTGCACTCCAGCCTGGGCAACAGAGCGAGACTCCGTCTCAAAAAAAAAAAAAAAAAACAAAAGAAAGAAAGAAAGAAAGAAAAAATGGCCAGAGTTTACTCTTACATATTAGTTAACATTCATTTAACACATGTTTATTTTGATAACAGTTCTAGGTTTGGAGGATATAAAGAATAATAAAATAGTCCCTGAAAAAAGACTCCAAAAAAGTAGAGTAATTTACAAAGTAAGGGGACAAAAAATTATTAAATATTATTATATACTTGAATGGAGTGCATTCCCTTAGATTATAGAAATAAAAACTAAGGCAAATTTAGTTTGGTTTTATACCAAACAATTAGGAGAAAATACGTTTCCATGCTATAGGAGCATAAAAAAGGCATGAATAAGAAAATCAATGTATCTCTTCAAGAAACTACATATATTCACTGCAGCTAGAGCAAATAGATCTATCTACGTATCCCTTTATGCATTAATCTATATGTGTATATATAAAGTAGATTATATAACCAAATGTTTAATCTGAATACATGTAATTCAATACCACTTAAAACGATGTAATGTGTCTGAGAATTTCAGTATTTTTCAAATGATAACTGTAGAACAGAACAGGAAGTAGACTAAAGGACTGCTTACATTTTATATTGCATATGCCTGTAACATTAAATGTATAATAAATAATAAAGAAATATGAATTATTAATATAGTTATAAACATACACACATAATTGAAAAACATTGGATATGAAAAACATTTTCAGAACAGTGATTACTGAGTGGTATGCTTAATATAAGTTAAATTTATTGTTATGATAGTGTAGATTATATGCATTTTTCAAAATTTATAATTTTATATACTTAAAATAGGATATGGTAATGTGTGATAAATTACATTTGATTATTGTTTAATATTGGAACAATCTTTAATTATAGAATAACTTTATAGTGTCAGTTATATGATTTTTACTATCATGCATAACTAAGAATATAGAGGATAGAAGGTGGTTTCTTTTGGGTGGGGAAATTGATTAGATGTGTTTTGAAGTAATGTTTATTAAATATGTTTGTGTTTAGTATTATTAAGTATTCTTCATGGACTGATCCTTTTAATATTATATACAATTACCCTTTTTATGTCTGTAACTATTTTTAGTAATTTTAGTTTGTCTATAATTAACATGACCTCACCAGCTGTCTCATGCTTAATACAAATAGAGGTTATACCTTTTTTCACTAATATTTTACATTTTAAAAATTGTGGAATTTTTAAATATATAAGATCTACCCTCTTAGCAAAATTAGAAATGTATAGTACAGTATTGTTAACTATAAGTATAATGTTGTATAGCAGATCTCTAGAAATTTTCATCTTGTATTACTGAAACTTTATGTCCATTGAAAAGCACATCCCCAGTACTTTTTCAGACCCTCTTCCTGCCCTCTGGAGACTACCATTTTACTTCTACTTAGCATTTCACTTAGCAGAATGTCACTGAGGTTCACCTAACTTCTATTATAAGACAAAATTTCTTTTCTTTTTTAAAGCTAAATAGTATTTTTATTATATGCATATGCGACATTATATCTATTCATTCATCCATCAATGGACATTAAGTTGTTTCTCCATAACTTGCCTATTATGAATAATTATGCAATGAACAAGGGAGTGCAAATATATCTTTGAGATCCCTGTTTCATTTATTTTGCATAAATACCCAGAAATGGGATTGTTGGATTATATGGTAGTTTTATTTTTAATTATTTGAGGAATGCTTATATGTGCATAGAAGTTCCAATATCTCCAGTCTTCACTAACACTTATTTTCCATCTGTTTTATAATGTCAGTCCTAACAGTTATGAGATTATATCATATTGTGGTTTTATTTGCATTTCCTGATTATTAGTAATGGTGAGCAACTTTTCATATACCTGTGAGCCATTTATATGTTTTCTTTGGAGAAATGTCTAAGTCTTTTGCCCATTTTTTAATCAAGCTATTTACTTTTTTTCTTTCTGAGTTATAGGAGTTTCTTATATGTTATTTATTTTGGATACTAACCATTTATCATATGTCAGGTTTGCAAATTTTTTCTCACATTCCATATATTGTCTTTTCAGTATCTTGATCATTTTCTTTGCTGTGCAGAGCTTTTTATTTTGATAGAGTCCTTTCATCTATTTCTGCTTTTGTTGTCTGTACTTTTGGTATACTCATGAAATCATAGCCAAGATCAATATCAAGTAGACTTTTTCCCTAAGTTTTCTTCCTATAGTTTTATAGTTTCAGGTTTTACATTTAAGTCTTTAATTTATGTTGAGTTTTTTTGTGTGTGTGTATGGTGTAAAAAAAAAAAGTTTCCAATCTCATTCTTCTGCGTGTAGAAATCCAGTTATTGCAACACCAACTGTTGAAAATATGAAGATATTCTCTTTTCTCCATTGTATATTCTTGGCACTGTTGTTAAACATCAGTTGATTCTATGTGCATTATTTTATTCCTGCCCTCTCTATTTTCTTCTGTTGGTCTATAAATCTTTTGTTATGCTTGTACCATATTGTTTTGATTACTATACCTTTGAAATATGTTTTGAAATCATATTTCAATTGATTAGATGTGTTTTGAAATATGATGAATTAGATGTGTTTTGAAGTGTGATGAATTAGATGTGTTTTGAAGTGTGATGCCTTCATCTTTGTTCTTTCTAAAGATTACTTTTACTATTTAGGGTCAATTGTGTTTTACATCAAGTTTAGAAGTTTGTTTCTATTTTTATAAAAAAAATACAATGGAATTTTGATACAGATAACATTGCATCTGTAGATTGTTTTTGGTAGTATTTTAACAATACGAACAATATGAACATGGACATGGGATGTCCATGAACATGGAATGTAGTTTGATTTATTTGTGTCTTCTTTAATTTCTGTCTGTGATGTTTTGTATTTTTCAATTCATAAGACTTATTCCAGGTTATTCAGTTTGTTAGTGTATAATTTCTTACAGTACTCTCGTAATCTTTTCTTTTCTTTTTTTTTCTTTTCTTTTTTTTTTTTTTTTGAGATGATGTCTCGTTGCCCAGGCTGGAGTGCAGTGGTGCAATCTCGGCTTATTGCAACCTCTGCCTCCTGGGTACAAGTGATTCACCTGCCTCAGCCTCCTGAATAGCTGAGATTACAGGCATGCACCACTACACCCAGCAAACTTTTGTATTTTTAGTAAAGGAGGCGTTTCTCCATGTTGGCCAGGCTGATCTGAAACTCCTGACCTCAGGTGATCCATCCAGCTCAGCCTCCCAAAGTGCTGGGATTACAGGTGTGAGCCACCCCGCCAAGCCTCATAATCCTTTTTTTAAAAAATGTTTCTGTTGTCTGTTGCAATGACTCCTATTTAATTTATGATTTTATTTATTTAAATCTTCTCTAAATTTTTCTTAGTTTTACTAAAAGCTTTTTGCTTTTGTTGATCTTTTAAAAAATCAATTCTTAGTTTCAATGATTTTATATACCTTTTCTTTTATTATGTTTCTCTATTTCTGTTCTTTTTTAAAATTATTTTCCTCTTCTGCTAATTTAGAGTTAAGTTTGTTCCTCTTTTGCTAGTTATTAGTGGTATAGTGTTAGGTTGATTATTTGAGTTTTTTTTTATTTAATGTAGGCATTTATTGCTATAAATTTCTCCCTTAGTAGTTTTTTTTCTGTATTCCATGAGTTTTGTTATATTGTGTTTTCTCTTTAGTTTGATACAATATATTTTCTAATTTTTCCTTCAGTTCTTCTTGGACTGTTTCATTGTTTAAGAGCAAATGGTTTAATTTCCATATACTTGTGAATTGTCCAGTTTTCCTTTTGCAGTTGATTTTTAGTTTCTTTTTATTTTCATATATTTTGAGAGATGGGGGGCTCGCTTTTTTGCCCAGACTGAAGTTCAGTGCCTATTCACAGGTGTAGTTATAGCACACTGCAGCCTCAAACTCCTGAACTCAAGCTATCCTCATGCCTCAGCCTCTCAAGTAATTGAGAGTAGAGGTACATGCCACCACACTTGGTCCTCTGTTATTTTTGGTTTAAAAAAATACTAGGTAGAATTTTAGTCTTCTTAAATTTGTTAAGACTTTTTTTTTTCTCTTTTTGGTGACCTAACTTGTGGTCCATCATTGAGAATGTCCTATGTGTGCTTGAGAAAAACAAGTATTCTGTAGCATTGGGGTGAAATACTCTGTTTATGCTGTTAGGTCCATTTGCTTTATAGTGTTGTTCAAGTCCCCTATTGCCTTATTGATCTTCTATTTGAATATTTTATCTATTATTGAAAGTGGGTTATTAAAATCTACTATTATTTTAGTTGCTATTTGTCACTTGAGTCTTGTCAATATTTGCTTCATATATTTAGATACTCCAATGTTTGGTATCTGTACTGTTATAATTGTTATATTTCCCTGGTGATATTTTATTATTATAGTATCTTTTTTTGTCTCTTGTGAGTTTTGTATCTAAAGTCTACTTTGTTTGATGTAAATATGTTCATCCTGCTCTCTTTCGGTTACTGTTTGAATGAAATATTTTTATCCATCCCTCACTGTCAGCTTATGTGTATCCTAAAACACAAAGACACTTAGTAATAAAATTGTCAAAAGTAAAAGAAAAAGAATTTTGAAAGCAATATTAAAAGGACTTGTCACATACAAGAGAAACATGCTAAGACTACCAGCAGATTTCTCAGCAAAAATCTTGGAGGCCAAAAGGAAGTGGGGTGTATATTTAAAGTGTCACAAGAAAGCAGCCAAACAACAGCAACAACAACAACAACAAAATACCAGAAAAAAAAAAAAAACCCAGTCAACCAATAATACCAAATTTGGCAAAATTGTCCTTTTAAAATGAAGAAGAGATAAGGACCTAGGATTTAAACAAAAGTTGAGGGAGTTCATCACCATTAGGCCTATTTTACTAAAAATTCTAAAATGAGATTCTGAAATGAAAAGATATTGAAAAGCAACACAAAAGTGTATTTGAGTATAAACCTCTCGTAAAGGTAAATATATAGACAAATACAAAATAATATAATACTGTAATAGTGGTGTGTAAGTAAATTTTAATTCAATTTATAGAAGTTAAAATACAAAAGCATAAAAGAACTTGAACTGTTAAGATGTGTTAATACGCATTAACACATTTTTATATAAAAATGTTCTTTTTGCTCTTGATTTCAAATATTCTAAAAATATACCTATAATAAACCTTCACAAATTAGGTTAAAATCTCATGTGGTGCATGTCTTCTGGCAAGAAATTATCTTTGCATACATCTGAAAAAATCTGTATTTCAACCTTATTATTTTAGAAAATTTTATTTTAGAACAGAGTTGAATTTACAGATAAGCTGCAAAGATACTACAGAACATTCTTATATACTCCACACTCAATTTCCCTTATTAAAATCTTACATTACTATGTCACATTTGTTTAAATTAATGTACAAATATTAACATGTTATTGTGATTAAATTTATATTTTATCCATAATTCCATTATTTTTACCTGATGTTCTTTTTCTATCCCAGTAGTTCACATTCAATTTATTTGCTATATTTCTTTAGGCTCCTCCAGATTGTAAGAGTTACCTAGAAATTTCTTGTTTTTGATGACCTTGAAAGTTCTAAGAAATGTTAGTTGGGCATTTTGTAGAAAGTAAATCCCTCAACTAGAATTTGTCTTGTATTTTTCTTATGATTAGACTGGAGGTATACGTTTTTGCAAGAAGGATGATATAGTAAAAGGCCATTTTCAGCACATGATACTACCAATATGACTTACAACTGATGTTGATCTTGATCACCTAGCTGGAGTGTTTGTCAAGTTTCTCCATGATAAGACTACTCCTTGTTCCCATTTTTATATTACCTAAACTATCTGAAAGAAATTTTCTGTGTACAGTCCACACCTATCTAAAGGATTTGTCCATCTAAAGTCCACACCTAAAGAGAAGGATTCACCTCTTTAATGGTGGAATACCTACTTAAATTGTTTGGAATTTTCTGCAAGGGAGATAAGTCTTTACCCCTCATTTATTTGTTCAATGATCCAAATGTATCAGTGTGGAGCCAGATATTTATTGTATGTTCGGGTTAAAGTCCAATAGTACTAAAGTGATTTTGTGGTTTAAAATATTCCAGCTTTTGTCATTTGGAGCTCTTTCAATTGGTGCCTGACTTCCTTTTAGCTTCCCCCATCATTAGTTCCATCCTTTTGGGTTTTGCTGTTGGTGGTGGTGGTGATGGTGGTGGTTGAGTACTTTATTACTTTCTGACACTATAAGATTCTCCAGGCTCACCTTCCAGATTTCTTGACCAATATTAGAATTAACCATTTCTCCAAAGAGTTCTGTTTCCTTGTACCAGAAAATGATAATACAAAGCAAGATATTATTGTTGTTTGTTGTATTATTGTTTGTTGTTTCTGAGGTACTATTGATTCTAGAGTATCTCAGCTCGCAGAGAAGGGAAATACATGTGTGTATGCTGTCTAGATGGATAACTAGATAGAAACATCATGTTAAACTAGGAATGAGTTTATACTGATATCTTCAGTTCTAATCCATTACTATGTAGATAGTTCTAGCCTCTTTACATTGCTGGTGTTGAAACTCCAATTTCAGCAGTGGTATAGCCTTAACCCATGTCATCATGGGCCAGAAAATTTTATCATCTAGAAGACAATACTTATGCAGTTTCTTTTATGTTTAGTCTTGCATATTCCAAGCATTTTTAAGGTTACTTAGCAAATTTCGTACCACACTCACTTACATGAAGTTTTTTCATGCATTTGTAACATAATTAGATTAATTTATAGCATTTCACATTTTATCATGAGATCTCCTAAGATCCTAAATATTTGTTTTAAGTTTGCATACATTAAATTTTACTCTGTGCTTTGTAAATCTTGTAGGTTTGGCAAGTTTCTCTTGTAGTGTTTGCACCACCACTGTAACATATAGAAAGGTTTGCCACCCTAAAAATTCTTCTTAAAGTCATCTATTCAGTTTCCATAACAGTGAGGCAAATGGTCACATTCTTGTGAGAATTTAGTTAGTTCATAGCAAATCTACATTTTACAAAGATAAGGTGAACATCTGAAGAAAAAGTAAGTACAGGAAGAAACAATTGTGTAAACTCCTCAGGGTGGATGAAGGAATGATTCATCTCATCTTGCCTTGTTCTGAAACTTAGAAGATGAGCTATAATAGATGTTATCAGTGTGGAATTGAACAGATTTTAGTTTCAGGAGCCATATTAAGATTGCAGATCTACAGTTACAATTGACATTTCCTTGGTTTAAGGAAGGATACATACATTTTGAAAATGTTGAAGACAGCAAATAATTAACTTACGATTGATTTTGTGGAGATAATCCTGAGGAAATTCCTAAGGTCTTTTCCTTTTCCATGAGAGTCTGGCTAATGTATAATGTTACTTCACAAAGTTGTAAAGGAACAGTTATTCATTGGGAAAGAAGATGGCTGTGTAGTGTCTCAGCTTCCAGGCTTAATTTTCCCTTTGTCATAAAGAGCTTGGAGGTCCTGATATTTTATTTTCCTTTACATATGCTTAGTTGTAGATTTGTCTTTTTCTTATCCTGCCGAAATGAAAGCATTCCTGAGCCCCCTCTCAGAACACATAACAGGGGTGTGGCTCACCTGTTTGTCTGTGGCACCTACTCAAACCCCTTATGAGAGGGGGAGCACACAGGTGGGCAGGTGCAGGAGCTGGGGCAAGTGCTTTGGGGCTCTGGCCCCACAGTGGTGTCTAGGGGTGGGTGCCTGTGACTCTCAAAGCCCAAGTGGGCATGTGTTACAGTGCATTCTTTTAGCTTTGCAGTCTGCAGTTGGCTTAAGTGTTAACCAGCTCAGTGCCCTCTTGGTACCCAGGTCTTTTTCCAGCATCCTGAAAGAGTCATGTCACACACGTACTTGAGGGATGAATGTGGGGGTTTTATTGAGTGGTGGAGGTGGCTGTCAGCAGGATGGATGGGAAGCTGGAAGGGGGATACATTGGGAAAGTGATCTTCCCCTGGAGTTTGGCTGTCCAGCAGTGGATCTCTTCTGCAACCACTCCCAGCAGAACTCCTCTCTGTGTTTAGAGACTCCTTCTCTTCTCTCTCCTGTGCTGTTCTGCCATTTTTTTCTGCTCTTCTGTTTGTCTCCTTGTGTCCTTCTGGAGCCTGAGGTCTGGGGTTTTTATATGTACAGGATGGGGGTTATGGCAGGCCAAAAGGTAACTTTTGGGTATGAAAACAGGAATGGCTGTTTCCATTTAGTGCCAGGGGTTTCCAGGTTTGAGGGTGGGGCCTTTGCCAGGGAACCGTCCTCTTCTACCCAGTATTTCCCTGTCTCCTGCCCATATCACTGCTTTGTATTTTTTGAGCTTTCTAGATCTGTAGTGTGATGTGTTTCATTTATTTCGGAAAATCCCTAGCCACTATTTCTTCCAGTATCTCTTCTGCCCTATTGTCTCTCTTTTCCTTTTAGTATTTCATTTGTGTATATGTTACAGCTTTTAAATTATACCTCAGGTTTGGGATGTTCTGTTAATAATTAATTTTTGTTTTCTCTCTTTGCATTTCAGTTTGAAATGTTTCTATTAACCTATATCCAAACATTCTTCATTTCCATTTAAGTAGGGTTTTTTTTAATTTGTAGTACTCTCTTTTGATTTTATTTTTGAGTTTTCATCTCTTTGACTAGATAACCTACCTATTCTTGCATGTTGTATATTTTAGAGCCTTTAACACTTAATTTATGATATTCATGATAACTCTACTATCACTAGCATATAAGAGTATGATTCTAATGTCCTGTTTCTT
The DNA here is from genome assembly GCF_000001405.40 of Homo sapiens. Classification (NCBI taxonomy): domain Eukaryota; kingdom Metazoa; phylum Chordata; class Mammalia; order Primates; family Hominidae; genus Homo; species Homo sapiens. Next base: position 12,018,823 of record NC_000009.12, read on the forward strand.
CAGACTGCATTTTAGTTGCCTTTTAGAATTGCTTGGAATTTGTTGTTGTTGTTGTTGTTGAAAGCTAGACCTGATGTACTAAGTAGTCAAAACTGAAGTTAAATAGGTCTATAGAGTGAGGTTTTATCTAAGTATGGCCAAAATTTGGGCGACTTTTTAAAAAATATTTTCTATAGTTGTTGGTGCAAGAGGGTTCAAATTCCTCTAGGTTCATTTTTTTTTGTCTTTCCTCTTGACAAAGCTTTCTGATGTAATCTTCTTCAAGTAACTCTATTTTGCAGCTCTTTTATTTTTAATTCACTGTGTTATAATGGAGTCATGTTGGTTTGGTGATAAGGTATGAAAGCAGGGATGCAATCTATAATCATTTAATTACATTTCAGTCTTTCCATGGGCCTATGTCTCAAGGCTGTTTCATAAGTGTTTTTTAGCTCCTCATCCACATAGGTAAGACACGAAGTTATATGTGAGCTAGAATGAAAGAAATACCCTTTCCCCTGGTGGGATAAGGCTTGGGAGCAATCTTTTCTCCTGAAGAGTAGTTCTTTGTTTGAAGGCCTTGAGGGTATTTCACAAGTGTTAATTTTTCCCTTGATGTAGGACAGCTATTAGAATATCTTTCTTGGCTTTTCATCATATGAACTCAATGGGGCTCCTAGAAATAAAACCCATGCAAATATGCAGACTTGCTCATTCCAAAAACTACCAGAAAATTTTCTCTCTTGCTATTTCATTCTTTCTTTGCCTACAGCAACTCGCCAAAATTACCACCTCAGTGTTCCTACAGGTTATTGGCTCCAGCAGCTTCTGCTCCAGTAAGCAGATCTTGCTTGTAACTCTGCATTCACCTGTTTCTTCCAACTTGGGGGCAGTGGTTTTCCCATTGAACGAAATTTTCTAAGGGGTTAAAGGAGAGTCCTTTATTTTCAATCTGTTCAGCTCTTTCTTGTTGTTAGGACAAGAGTGATAATTTCCAAACTCAACATGTTGAAGCTGAGACCAGAGGTCTGTTATATTATTATTATTGAAAACCAGATATTGTATGTAAAAGAATAGTGTAATCGGGCATAAATAATTTTTATGACAGTAAATTTACTTTTTTTTGTAAGGGCATTACTGTGAGGTTTGAGTCAATCTAGACTGTAGTTGACCTGGGTCTGGATATCCTTGTTGCTATAGTTAGCTTAAGTGCACAACATGCTTCAAATTCTTACAGTGATGAACAGCCACCGCTTTGCACTTAGTATAAAGCCAAGACCACCATATGGTTTATTTCAAATTTTTTGCTCCTGAGATTTCAGTATACCTGAATCACAGGAGTGGGTCACTCTGCATTCTTGCCCCTCTCTAAGAACACATTACAATTGCTTGTCACTGCCCTCAAGTCTTATAGTGGAAGCAAGGGAATCAAGATTTCTTTTTTATTTATTTATTTATTTTTATGTCTTATATTAGCTCTTTTTCCCTGTACCTTGGGGATAGGACTTTCTCATTATTTTATTTCCCATAATGTCAAATAATTTCTACTCCCCTATTCATTGCCAAAACTAGTGCTGGCAGACTTTCTGTCCCTCCCACAGAGGCAGCCTACATCTGCCTGCTGTCAGTAAAAATTCAGAAATACAGGCTTCTTTTCCACTTCTGTTCCCACAAAATATGCTCTTTGCTTTATGCCAGAGAAGGACCAGTGAACTAGTAAATATTCTGCCTAGTACAAGACAAATAACTTGAACTCACATAGGATCTAGAATGGTTCTAGAAATCTTCTGGTTCTTCTGCCCTTTTTCCAATCTAGGCAGGCCCTTCATACTTGTGCCATGGAGGGCAGATACTTTATGCAGTCTCCAGCCATGTACCCACTGTTTCTCATGAGCACTTCTTGGAGACCTTGGAAAAAAAATGAGAGATTGCAGACTTGCTTTGTATTCAGGGCTTCCAGTGATTCTAAAGTATCATGCTATTTCACTCCAGATTTTTTTTTCTAATCAGCTTTTTTTATTTCACTATCTTTTATGGTGGACCCCTCTTCTTTCCATACCTTGGCAAATGTGTAATAGTTTATGAATCCAATCTTCAATAGAGGACTTCCTCAACCTTTAGAATTCAGTAAATTATGGTTATCTAGAGACCTCAGATGCCTGTCGGACTCAGAAAGTTATGAATCTGTAGATTATCTGGCTTGTTCTCATTACTAAAGTGGAAGACATTCTCTTATACCATTTTACACCTGAGACAAACAGGTATTCCTGACTTTATATTTAAGTAATAAAGGTTTCCAATTTTCACTTTTTAATTTTTTTTGTGTGTTTCTAAACATAATCATTTCTAAAAGCGATGCATTTTGTGAACTTACATTATCAGTTTGAATACTCTGACTACATATACTAATCAGAAAATGCCCTTATTGTACCCCTTCTAGCTGTTCTCAATTACTTATAGAATGATAATTTTAGTGTTGCCTTTTTCACTCCCTTCAGAATTATTTTACCCTTTCCATGCCCATTGGTAGGTTCTAGATATTTTTATCTGTTACAGAGAAGCTTTTTTATCTGCCCAGTGGTCATTCTGTCCCAGATATTGTGCAAAGCGTTGTGAACATTTAACAAACCAGCACAAAATCTCTTTTCTCAAGGGCATCTCAGATAAGTATGGTAGATAGACAATTAAGCAGTTTCAAAACAATTTAACTTGATCTAAAAGAGTAGCATGGGAGCAAAGAGTCAGGATTCCTATTTTTGTTTGAGGGCCTAAGGGAGCCCTACACAGAAGCAATTATGCCCGAGATCAGCTATGCTGTTATCTCTCAGGGGTTAGTATATCAGGATTTTAAAGTTTTTAATTTATGCTATAATCAACATCTAAACTACAAGATACTTTTGTTTGAGAATTAGGCATTGGCCTATTTTATTAATCTTTACTCTATTATTAATCTTTACTAAGAAATTATCATCCCACATCTAAAAATGTGCATTATCCATGTTGAACACATATGCAAATACCTACTTTGATAATCACCATTTCAACCACCTGGGAATCATTAGACAGTCATAAAACAACACCAAAAAGCTATCAATGTCTGTAATTTTTCAGAAATTAATGAGCAGTTGTATGTTAAATGCCATTTTAGTTATAATTAATTTGATTAGACATAATACATGATTTACCATTCTATTAGCAAGTTCTGACTTTGACCTGTAGCCATGGTTTAATCCAAACTCCTTCGTTCTGCAGTATTACCTAATTTTGCTACAGTGGTGACAACTGTTACTTTTCACTTTATTGGGAGGGAAAACACCAGCCAAATAGGCTGTCACTTTTTATTATTCTAGGTTACCATAAAATGCCATACAAAGGCAACCACCATGTTATAGGATTCACAATGATCATGAATGGCTACATGGTAATAATCAATATAAATCTAGCATTTGATTCTAGAATCAATTACGATAAAATACATCTTAGACCCATACTTCCAGCAAAGGGATCTACTAAACTATTGTGAGTCATTTTAAATAAAGAATAATAAGTCTTCAAATAGAAGATGTTATATAATTCTATGTTTATGTGCCTCAGAGTTTAAGTCAATAAGACTTTTATAAAGTAGAAATGTCAGGAATATTCAAATTTAACCATGAATGACCAAAACGTAGTACCACCTCAAGGAAATCTAAAGCTCTTTCTTTGGGAGAAAATAAATAGCCCAATATGCTAAAACAAGGCTTTTGCTAGGTGTGTTTTGAGTGCATGTGTGTTTATGTGATTACAAATATTGTGCTTATGTACTTGGAAGAGTGGCTTTGAAAATATTAAAAATTAAAAGTCAGAAATAGAGCTTCTGATTTAAAAATATTTATACTATATTATAAATAAATGGAGGACTACAGAGAAACAAATATTAAGTATCGTTGTCCAGTCCAATTAATAGAAGATTTGGAAACTGATTTTTTTTAACTTCTTAATTTGAAATAATTTTAGATTCACAAGAAGCTGAAAAATAGTTCAGAGAGTTCTCAGTACCCCTTAGCCAACTTCTCCTAATAATACCAACTTGCATAACTGTAATATTTATCAAAATCAAGAAATTTATATTGACACAATACTATTTTAAAAACTGCATATGAATTAGATGTCACATTTTTAAATACACTCATTGTTTTAAAAAATTAGCTTACAGTGCTATAAAATTACATCACAGGTAGCCATCACCAAAATTAGGATGCAGTATTGGTCTGTCACCACAGAGAAACTTGCTCAAGTTATCTTCGTGAAGCTCACATTCTCCCCTCCTACCTAACTCTTGACAAATACTGATATTTTCTCCAACACTATAAATTTTGTCATTTTAAGAATGTTATATAAATACAGTATGTAACCTTTTGTGGATAATTTTTTTTCTTTACTTAACATAATGCTGTTAAAATCCATCCAACTTCTTGCATGTATCTATAGATTTTTAACTTTTATTGTTGAATAATCTATTCTGTTTGTGCCATCATTTAATCATTTGATATTTTTTCTAGTTTTTGCCTATTTAAATAACTCTTATGGAACAGACTTAAAACACAGAATTTTTTCTGTCATTTTAACATATTAGTTTTCTAAGAGAAATCTCAAGCAAATTATTTCTAGGTTACATGTTAAGTGTATTCTTTGTAAGAAAATACAAACTCATTTTCAGTATGGCTGAACAATATTACATTTATACCAGAAATATATGAGAAATTAATTTGCATTATATCCTCATCAGAAACCAGTATAGTCATTATTTTTATTTTTACCAATTCAATAGATATTTAGGAATATTTACTTGTGCCTCTAATTTGCATTTCTCTAATGGCTAATAGTATTAAATATCTTTATATGTGATTATTTGATAGCTGTATACTCCTCTCTGATAAAATGTGGATTTAAATTTTTCTCATTTTTATTTGCTCATTTATTTTATTTACTTGTTGAGTTTTGAGGGTTCTTTATACAATCTGGACACAAGTCTTTAATCACATATGTGATCTACAAATATTTTATCTGAGTCTGCACTAATATTTTCTTTCTTGTAATAGTATCTTTCTCAGAAAAAAACTTTAAATTTTATAAAATAAAATTTATTTATTTTATTATCTCTTTGAATAATACTTTAATTTTTTATCTAAGAAATATCTGCCTAATCCAAGGTCACAGAAATTTTCTACTGTTTTTTTTCTAGAACATTTATACTTTTGTCTTTAAATTTATGCTTGCAGTCTATTTTGATTTCCACTTTTTAAATTTGGCTCAAGGTATGGATTTCAGTATATATTATTTTTTTCTGTATGGATATACCATTTTTTTCTAGCCCTTTTTTGAAAGAAGAAATTCTCCAGTGACTTTTCTTTATACCGTGTCAAAAATTAATTAACATGAGTGGATGGAGGTCTACTTCTGAACTTGACATTTCTTTCTATTGATATAGGTGCCTCTTGATACCAAAGCCAAATTAACTTGATTATGGTAGCATTATAATAATGACATGAATCAACTAGTGTAAATTCCCCAACCTTGTTCTTTTACAAAGTTAATTTTGGAAATCAAGGTGTTTACACACCCTTGTTCTTATGATAGAAAGTTAATTTCGGAATTCAAGGTGCTTACACACACGCACACGCAAATAGATACATATGAATTTAAGAATCACCAGGTCAATTTATACAAAACCAAGCTGGAATCTGTAGACAAATCCAGAGAGAACTCACATGATAACAGTACTGGATTTTGATTTTTTTCTGGTCCATAAACGTTTAATTTATCTTAACAATGTTCTGTAGCTTTCAAGACACGAGTCTTGTATATTATCTGTTGTTTGTCACTAAGTATTTCACTTTTGATACCATTTTAAATGTTATTGTATTTATTTCAACTACTAATTGTTTTTAGTGTATAGAAAAATAATTGATGTTTATATATAGATCTTGTATTCTGTAAACTTGATAAACTCTACTATTTCTAGTAGAATTTTTTAGGATCCTTTTCTATACAGATAATCTTGTTATCTATGAATAACATTTTTGCTTCTTAGTTTATAATCTGGATTCCTCTTATTTATTTCATTTGCCCCATTGCAATGAATACAACCTCCGAGACAATGTTGAAGAGAAGTGATGAATGTGGACATCCTTGTCTTATACTTGATTTCAGAAGGAATGCCTTCAATTGTTTACCATCAAATACGATGCTAGCTGTACTATTTTTGTAAATGTACTGTTATGAGGTAGATAGGGTTCTTTTTCTAGTCCCAGGTTCTGAGATCTTATCAGAAATGGATGTTGAATTTCACCAAGTGCATTTTGCATCAATTGAATTGATTGCATGCTTTTTTTTTCATCAGTTACTATGGTGAAATGCATTGAATAGTATTGGAAAGTAAATTCAATCTTGTATTTTCAAGATAAAGAAAATTTAGTCATAATGCATTGTTTGGTTCAATTTGGTAATATTTTATTAATAATTTTGCTTATATGCTCCTGTTAATGTGGTATAGTCATTTGCATTTTTCTACTGTTATAATGTCCTTCTCTGTTTCATATATAAGAGTAATGCTAACTTCATAGAATTAGTTGGGAAGATTTACTTATATTTAATATTCAGGTAAATGTTAAGTAAATGTATTAGTGTTTCTCCCTTGAGTGTTTGATAGAAGTCTTCAGTGAAGCCATCTAGGCCAGAAGTTATTTTTCTTGAGAGCGTGTTTTGTTTGTTTTTTAAGTCAATGTATTCAGTATTATTGAGAAATACCAATTTCTTCTTCAGTGAGCTTAGTTGTTTTGTGTTTTTCAAGGAAATTATCCAGGGTATCTTTTTTTTGGCATAAAGTTTGCATAATATTCAATTATTCTAATTGTAAAATATGTAGATACTGTACTGATAGTACCTCTCTAATTCCTGATGTTGTGACTTATATCTCATCTCCTTTTCTAGACAATCAATTTAGTTTATCTTGTGAAAGAATTAGTTTTTGGTATAATTTTGTCTATTTTTTTTGTTTTCTCCTTCTTCACATTCTATGACTATCTTTTTTCTTTTTCTTTTTTTCTGTTTACATCCTGTTTCATTTGTTTTTACTTCATTTTTTTTCTCAAGGTAGAAACCGAGGGTATTGTTTGAAACCTTAGCTCCTTTCTAACATAGGGCTTACTTTTACACATATTCCTCTAACAATTGTCTTAGTAACATTACACAGACTTTGATATATTGTGTTTTTTTCTTGAAAGTAATTACTAATTTTCATTGTAATTTTTCCCTGACCCATATGTTACTTATAACTATGTTATTTAGTTTTCTTATATTTGGAAATTTTCCAGGTATTTTTCTATTATTTATTTCATTAATTAGAAAAATAGAATTTATATAATTTTAATCATTCTATATTTGAGACTCACTTTTTGCTATTATTGGTTTGAGGATTGAGTAATATATATCTATATATATACACATATATATCTATATATACACATATATCTATATATATACACATATATCTATATATATACACATATATATCTATATATACACATATATATCTATATATATACACATATATATCTATATATACCCATATATATCTATATATATACACATATATATCTATATATACACATATATATCTATATATATATACACATATATATCTATATATACACATATATATCTATATATATACACTATATATATCTGTATATATATACACATATATATCAATCAATTGTATGAAGTTGATTGAGCCTATCATTCAAATCTTCTATATCCATACTGATTTTGTTCCTTTCTATTAATGATTGATAAAATGTTTTTAAAATATCTTAATGTGCTTTGAAAATTGTCTATTTCTCTTTGCAGTTGTATCAATCTTGCTTCATTGATTCTGAATTTCTGTTATTATGTGTATACTAATTTTGGATATATATGCTTCGTTGATAAATTATCCCCTATATCAGTATGTAAATATTTTTTATTCTAGGTAATATTTTCTCTGAAATTTACTTTCCCTGATATGAATATAGCCATTCTAGCCATGGCAAACCTTCCTGTATATTTTAAATTTTAAATCTACTTGTGATTTTATATTTAATGTGGGTTTCTGTTAAAGAGTATGGAATTGGTCTTGCATTTATAATCATTATCAAAGTATTTGCCTTTCAAATGAGGTATTTTAATTCTTTATATTTAATGTAATCATTGAAATAATTGGATTTAAGTCTGTGTTCTTTTTGTTTTTCATCTCTCATCTATTCTGTTTTCTTTTCCTTCTTTTTCTGACTTCTGTTTATACAAAAGAATTTTTATGTTTTATGCCTAATTTTTATGTTTTTATTTGATTTCCTATTTTGACTTCTTAGTTTATATCTCTGTTTTTATTGTTATATTTTGTTGATTGCTTATCTCATATATTTTATCACAGTCTACCTTCATATGATATCATACCACTATATGTACAGTATAAGAATCTTAAAACAATGTATTTCCTAACTTTCAGCTATTATAGTCATTCATTATACTTCTACCTATGTGAAAAACCATGCAGTACATTGCCTTTTTTCCTTTAAATAATTATTTTTTTTAAAAAATTAAATAATGTGGAAAAAGTCTTTATATTTATCCCCACAGTTACTATTTGTGATGTTCTTCATTCCTTTATTTAGCTCGTATTTTATTTGGTATTATTTTTCTTCTGCGTAAAGACTGCCTTTATAATTTATTTTCGTTTGGTATGGCCACAGATGAATGCTTTCAGCTTTTGTGTGTCTAAATATTATTTTTTCCTCAGTATTATTGAATGATACTTCTTGCTTCATAGGGATTTCCAGGTTGACCTATTTTTTCAGTGCTTTAAATACATAGCTCCACTGTCTTCCAATCAGAAATCAGTTGTGCTTCTTAATATAACTCCTCTGTATAAATGTGTCTTTGTTTCTTTGGACTTCTTTTAATATTTTCTCTAAATCACCAATTTCAAGAAATTTGACTAATATGTTCCTTCATTTAGTTTTGTTCATTTATCTTCTGCTTGCAATTTATTTAGCTTTTGAGGTCTATAGATTTATACTTCTTATAAAATTTGGGAATTTTTTATTGTTGTTTATTTAAATAATTTGTGCAACTCCTCCACTTCTGATGCTCTTGTTTCTAAGTCTTTTTCTTCCTGTGTTTCATTTTAGATAGTTTATATTCCAATGTCTTTATTAATATTTTCTTCTGCAATATCTAACCAGCATTAACCCCATCTAGAATACTTTTCATCACAGACATTATAAATTCTATGATCAAAAGTGTGATTTGGGACCTTATACGTATTTTCCATACCTATATTTAACATGTACCACCTTTTCTCTAATTTTTAACATGGAAATGTATTTTTAATAACTGCTTAATATACATATCTTTTGTTTTCTTCTTATGAATTGATATTTCAGCTTTTATAAGGCCTTGAAATATTTTTTAGTCGTCAGGCATTTTGAATTTCACTTTCTTGGAGTTTGGGTATTGTGTTTATCTAAATATTTTTGAGCTTTGTTCTGGAACACCATGGAGTTATTTGAAAATATTCTAATGTCTTGGAGTTTTGCTTTTAAGCATTTTTAGGTGGGACCAGAGCAGCTTTTAGTCTAGTTCTAATTTTTCTCTACTACCAAGCTATACCCTTCTGAATATTTTACCCAATGTTAATGAATTATGAAGGTTCTACTTTGGCTAGTGAGAATAGCCATTAGTGGTGCCTTTGGTGAGCTCCAAGAGTTTCCTCTCTAATCCTCTTGGAGTTTTCTTTTCTGCAACCTTGGGTAGTTGCCTCACACACATGAGCTGATCAGTATTAAGCTGAATACTCAAAGAAGAACCTGTAAAGTTCTCTAGAGTTCTCTCCTATGTGGCGCTCCCCTTCCGTCCTCTACTGTATGACTAGCTGCCTTATCTTCCACAAAAGCCCAGCCTCATTCCAGCACTCATGAAGACTGCTAAGCTTGGCCTGGGTTTGTTCATCCTGTGCAATAATCACAAGACTCTATTCAGGCAGCAAGCTGCAAAAATTGATGACCTTACCTTTGTAGTTTACCTCTTAAGGATCATAGTGCTTTTCTGTCTGATATATACCTTATTGAGATCTATTACTACTTATATTTTATCCATTTTTTTAAGGCTTTTGCAAACTAAAATATACTGTCATTCTTCAGGTTCAGGATCTGTTACTCCATCTTGGTCTGTTATTGTCCCCTATCTCATTTTCCCTTTTCCTAGCCTCCTAAATTAACTTATTCCATATCTATTTTAAAAAATTAATGTGCTAAATTATCTAATGCTTTTCTTGCACTGACCAAACAAATATTAGTTTCTTAATTTTATAAGCTAAGACAGCCCTGTCATGTCACCTATCCAAAAGGGTATCAGTTCCTGAATATCTCATGTGGCTTTTCTCAGTATTGTACAAAGAAACATGAATATTTGTTATTTCATGGTAAAAATTGCTAGATGTGTCTATATTTAAAAATATTATATACATATTTGTGTGTGTGCATATATATATATATATTTAATGTATATGTGTGTGTCCATTTCAAAATGTTTGTACATCAATAGTAGCTGAGTGTTGTGGTTTGGGAAGACTTTTTTATAATTTGATCAGATATAAATTATTGGAAGAGTTTCAGCAGGGCTCAGCACATTTTTTTTCTTCTACATACCAGATAGTACTTCCACTGAAAATGTTTTTCAGGCTTTGGGGGTCCTATGATCTCTGTAGCAAGCACTCATCTTTTGATCATAGTGTGAAAGCAACCACAAACAATGCAAATAAATGGGCATGTCTGTAATCTAGTAGAATTTATTTATAAAAACAAGTAATGAACCATATTTGTTCTATGGGTCATAGTTTGCTGACAACTGAGTTAAAGAATGTCTTGAATATCTGTAGTGGACAATTTTCGTGGTCACTTTAGATCTTAAACTTCTGGGAAGTTTAAATACATATAGGGACATATTTTCTTAAAATGTCCTTCAAAATTTTATTTTCTGTAGTGAGGGCATGAAAAGTGTCCTATTTTGAGCCATATGAATGTAATATCTGGGACCTTTGGACAATACTAAGGACAATTGACCTTTGGACAATTCCTTTAAAAAACAAAGGCCATTTGAAATTTTGAATTAGTTTTTGGGCAATTTCTTGCTTATTCAGACAGATCCTTTGTGATGCTACTGCCAAAAACTGCCCCGATTCTTTCCTTACTTGCTGTACTTCAACTGGTTTTTGTTGGTTTGTTTGTTTGTTTTCCCAGAATGTAGACATAAGGCTTAGGAGACCTCTGATGAGGAATTTAATAAGAGTAAACCTACTTGTAAACTTTATTGCGACTTTTTGGAATATTTTGGTTATTTTCTTTAATACTACTTAAGTCTTGCTAGAGCCAGAATTAAAAACTGGCTTGTGTCAATTAGATAGAATATCAAAATAGATTTTTGAAGAATCTAACAAAATTGATGTGTCTTTATGTTTGTGAATATTCTTATTGACCTAAGTCTTTAGTTCACCAAGACAAGCAACTTTTCTACAATTTTTGATTGATCCTGTTCAGTGTGGTACTGTTTGTGATTAGGAGAATTAATGATAGTAAGACAAACACTGGAAGGCAATGCTATAGTACTCTTGGGAGGAATAGGACTCTTCCACCCCTCAACAAGAACACTTCCTAAGCATGATATCATCACAGGTCATATCACTATTGCTACCTGCTAGACCTCGTTTTTCATGAAAAAAAGAAAAAATGACTTCAAAACAGCAATGTATAAATATTAATAAATAATTATTGACTTACATCCCATAAAGAATATAAGAAAGTCTAAAATATAATTCTTACCCTCAAAGACCTTAGATTAAAATTGATGACTCTTGGATTCTATATCACTTGTATGCTCTGTCATCCCTTGCTGCCTATGATGCACCAGATTATTATGCACTCCAATAGAGAAATGCTCAGAATACTACTGAAGTACAGAAAAGGGAACAAGAAATTTAGTCTGAAGGTCAGGGAAAGCTTGAGTGGTGGCCTTGTCTGAATTTTGAAGTAAGATAATAATGTGCTATGCAAACCAAGATAAACTTGAGGCAGGATAGAAGTGCTTCATGTAAAACGGTCTAAACGTGACAGTGAGAATGATCCATCAGGAATACTAAAAGTGACAGAATATGGTTGTAGCATAGAATGCAAGAGGTATAATGATGAGAGGTGAGCCTGGAGAAATAGGAAAAAATATTGACCACTTTACTCAGAAGTTTAAAAGTACTTAGTAAATATATGCAGAATCACGAATGATTTTAGATACAGAAGTATTATGACTAATTTTGTTTTTTTAGAATGCTATTTTAATGGTATTTGAAGAACTGAATTGGTAAGGTTAGGAACCTATTAGAGGTCTATTTCAGCAATACTAGCAAGAAATTATAAGGACTTAGACTAAAGCAATGTTAGTGAGACTGACAAAATGGGATAGATTTCAAAGACATTTAGAGGGAAAATTAAACAGGATATAATTTGTTTAAAAATTATATTAACAACAATAACATATTTAAGCATTTCCTATATGCTGTCTGGTATGTACTTCTTTAATTTTCATAAAATTGCGACAGTATGAAGCAGTTATTATGGGATTATACTCATTAGTGGCAAAGCTAGAATTTAAATCTGGTGTGACTGATCATGAAGTTCATACACTTAACAACTTCACTATGAAAAATTTTAGTTTTTTTAACAAATATTTTTCTCTTATAGGTCCTTTTAAAATGTAAACTCAAGTATTAACATGTTGAGCTAGATATGTATATAAGGTAATGATGGTTAAGGACTAAGTTTGTGTATGTGTGTATATTTAAATACATAAATTTAATAGTCACCAGCCTATAGTTTTCACTTACAACTTTCAGCAAGTGTTAGGAAATGTGAAAAAAAAAATCACGATTTGCAGCTTTTCTGGATAAATTGGCTGGGGAATAAGAGCTCTGAACAAAGGTAAAGAGGGATGGTTCAAAATGCAATTTATTGGAAACCTTGTAAGGAGAAAGAGTAATGAATGTAAAACAGTATAACAGTCTCACCTCTGGCTAAGTTTAAGGAATATATGGGCCATATTTTTTGTTGGACTTAGGAAATAAGTTTATTGATGTCATTGTTGGGATTGTAGGAATAGAAGTCCATTTTCAGAGGTTTGAGGTAGAAATGATATTGTGCAGAGGTAGTAGTTTCATATGAAACTGGCTCTGCAAAGAGTGATATGAAATAAGAAAAAGAAGAGAAACCCTTCAAAATAGAAGTGGATTGGAAAGGTTCTTGGAAGAAGGAGGACTTGAGAATAGAATAGCAGGCATAGTGAAAAATACTCAAAATTTATAAGCTAAGCTTCAAAGACAAAAAGATTTCCAATGTATTTTGGGTACAGGATTCGGTTTGCCAGAATGGAGGTTACAATTAAGCATGCTTTCCCCAACAGACAATGCGGATTATCGGTTACTTAAAGAGCCACGTGTGATGAATTGTTCTGTATGTCCTTGAAATGGGACAAATGAGTCTCATGAATCAAGTATGGTAAGGTTTTCTAGTGTCTGAAAGAGGGGCATTTTGATTTTTCTAGAATTTCATTGCTTGCAAAATTTTAAAAGAATTTTTTAAATGAAAGAATGTAAATATTTACTTGTTTGTTTATGGGTGTGTAGTGAGGAGAAAATATATATTTAATTTTTAAAGTATAAGAATTAATTGATATATGAATATGAAGTAAAATTTACATAAAATATCTGTAGGGCCAGAAAGTACCAAAAGCTTATTTCATCAATCATAGTTCCTCTGTGTTTGAATGTAATTAGCAATGTGTTTTGTGCAGTTGGGTATAGCTAACTCCATTTCATAATTACACTCAAGTCCCCAATGTAGGTTTTTCCTGAGCAAAAAGGAAAAACTATAGGTTTTCTTTTCTATGTTTTTATATAACATGCATAAGGAAAAGAAAGACCAATAAATCACTAGAACCCGTGTATCTTCTCTATATATAGAAATATTCAGCCAGCTGTCAGAGCTTGTGCAGCCAAGAACCTCAAATGAGCTGACCTACTTTTAGTTTGGTTCAGTGTTACTTTTTCCATCTCAGTTAATTATACCTTTAGAGACAACTCACATTTGTTTACTGTTTTAAAAAAGAGAGTAAAAAAAGAAAATTCTCTTTTCTTCTTAGTAATTTTGATGACCCTATGTTTCTTAGGGTTCTTCTAATTTTTAAAATAAAACATTATTTCACTTTGAAGAAATATCCTTTTAAGTTTTTTTTTTTTTTTTCATTTGTAGCTACCTCATTTTCTGTGTCAGGAAGAAAAAGTCTTTCAAATTGCAGAAATGGCAGTCAAATCTCTGCCAAGTTTATCAATGTCATTTTGCTCCCACGGGAGACGATTTTCTCTCATTTCCAAGATATCAAATGTATACCAGAGAAAGAACATATACAAGTTGACAAATAGAAAGCGTGTGAGGATCAGAAATGGGGACTTAGATCCTCTTCAATCATCATCGTTAGACAATATTTTAATCTCTCTGTTCTTGGGTAGAACTATCTATAAAATGAGGATTATGATCCTGCCACTCCAACATTCATACTGAAGGAATTAGTAAATCATTTCTTTTGAAATTATATGAGGTTCCCATGACAAATGTCTTAGCTAATCATATGCGTAAAATACCTAATGCCACAGCACCAGGGCAATGTTATATTAGGTAATTACAAAAATGTGTAATTTCTGAGAGGTCAGTTTCTAATATGGTACATTGGTGCTTAGCACAATGTCATGCACGAAATAGAAAGTAAAGAGAAAAATATAGAATGTGTGAAATGACAAGTGTTAGATATATTTGTTACCAATCAACATATTTCTGTACTATATATTGCTTAAAAATCTGAAAGTATTTCTACTATAATCAGAAAAGAATAAGCTACCTTGTGGTATCAGGTAAATTTCTCAACTAGTAATGATTTAAGAATAAAAACTTTTATTGTTCTTTCATTTAAAGTCAAATTCAGGTTAAGCAGCCCTCCTCCCTTTTGAAACTGCCCTATATGAACAAATGGGTCTGTAACTTGTCATGAAAGGTAAAAACAATATGCAAATATCACTTTCATTTACTAAATGTAATTCAGATAAGAAATAATGCATCTTGCTTACCTTCTAATCTTGAGAATTAAAGACATTAGCCCACCAAGATGCAATGTGGTTCAAAACTACAGCTTAGTTCTATGTCTAGGAAAATGAAATGGTTTGGTAAACTCATAGCATTGTTTATGCCACAATTTCTCAAGGAAGTATAGTTCTCAAAAACAAAGCTTCACAAATAGAAGTTATTTAAAAGAAACTGATAAGCACACACACACGCACACACACACACACACTGTGTGTGTGCGTATATATATATATATATACACGCACACACACTGTCTATACTGATATTTTAAAAATTTGCAGCACGTTAACCACTTAACACCTGAAACATTTTATATTGCAAACATAACTGAAATAAATATCATTTATTAAATTTATAGTTTGAGGCTTGACTTATATTTCACATTAGTGATTTCAATTTATTTCAATTGCTAGGGATATGCTTTTTTTACAGTAATGAGTATTTATCTCTCTATTTTTCTATTCTTTCTCTCTCTCTCTTTTTATTTTTTAACACGGGTTGGAGGTTTTGAAACTACATTTCCCAGATTCACATTCACCTATGGTTCTATATGTACTTTCTGTCCTTGAGAAACACTAGCTTGAGATTAGAATGGTACCAAAATAATTTTTATCTTCTCCAAAAACAGTGATGGCAGATAACTGGGTTTCTTAGGGTCATGTTTTGAAGTACTCTTTATTTCTTTGCCATGTACACATTTTAGAGTGAAAGAAAATCTATGAAGTATGCAGAAGTTCCCTGGATGTTTCTGATTTATAAGCAGCAAAAACTATTTTCAAGAAATATAGTTTTTTAAGAAACGAAAAAAAGTTTTGATAGAACAGTGATTCCCCATTTAAATAAATAAATAAAATTTCCACACCCTAATCCCTGGAACCTATGAATATGTTCTCTACATGGCAAAAGGGACTCTGCAGAAGCATTTAAGATTAAGGAAATTAAGATGAGAGATAATCCCGGATTACCCAGGTGGCCACAATCACACTAGTGCTTAAAAATTGAGAGCCTTTCCTGGTTCTGGTCAGAGGGTATGTGACTGTGGGAGAAGAGTTAGAGGATGCAACGTTGCTGACCTTGAAGACTTAAGATGGGGGGACCATGAACCAAGGTATATAGGCAGACTCCAGAGACCAGAAAAGACAAGCAAATTGATTCTCCGCTAGAGTCTCCAGAAAGGAATGCAGCCCTGATGACATCTTAGCCTGGTGAGACTTGTTTTGAACTTCTGACCACAAGAACTATAAAACAACACATTCACATTTTTAAGCCACTAAATTTGTGGTGATTTGTTATAGCAGCAAGAAGAAGCTGATATAGGTAATTTCCTACATGCAAGGGAGAAAGAGATATTTTCTCTTTTTTTAATCAAAGAAAATCAGAAAATTCCATATTATTGTTTGAATATTTGTTTAAATTGTGCATAAAGTCTGAAGTCTGTCCAGATTTTAGTGGAGACTATTCTATTTGGAAGATTTGGAAGATTTTCAGATCTGAAAATTTCCCTACATCTGTCCATGAACCCAAATACATAGATGGGTAGTGAGGTTGAGGGTTTGTCAGGAGGTCTTCATAAAGGAAGAAGCTTGGGGATGGAGCCAAGATGGCTGACTAGAAGCAGCACCATTCAGAAGTTCCCACAGAATAAAAACATAATAAGCATGTGAATCCTTCACAGCAACCAAGGCGTCCAGGTTCTCTCATTAAAATTGACTACAGTCTGATGTGACCCATGGAGAGAAGGAAGAGCAGTGTGGTGCAGCAGCCCAACTGAGAGCCATACAGAGGAGAGCCCCTTACCCCCAGCCAACTCCCCAGGGGGAGAGGCAACCAGCACTGGCTGCGGTTGCCTGCTGTCTAAGCCTTTTGAGATCCTTGTGGGAGGAGCAGCAGCCAGCACTGGGAGTTGGAAGTGCTTTTTTGGAGGCTTTTTCATGTCTCTATCTCCTGTTCTTCTCAGGTCTTAGTTTTTCTTGTCTTCTGCTAGCTTTTGTATTATGCTAAGATCCCTGTATGAGGAAAGGGTGACACACATTTCTATAGCTCCAGGCTTTGCTTTTCTGCTGCTGGATGGCTTGGTCCCAAAACTTGTCCCCACAGCCCAACACACCAGCTGTGGCAGTCTGCAGCTGGAGTGCCTCTTCAGGTCTAGCCCTGACCCTTCCTTCCTCAGTAGGCAGGGCTTTCCTGCAGGGTCTCCAATAACTCCAGCCAGAGGCTCAGAGACAGAATTCGGATCTCCCTCGGCCTGAGCTCCTAGGGGAAGGGGTGGCTGCAGTCTCTGTGGATCAGCAGATTTAGCCTCTCCTTCTGGTAGTTCTGAGGAATCTGGGCAGTCTAGACAAGTGGGTTTGCCCCCAGCGAAACACACCCTCTCAACTAAGGGACAAAGTGTTTCATTAAACGGGTTCTGTTCCCTGTGCCACCCAACTGGGTGAGACCCTCCTACAGGGGTTGTCAGACAGCCTATACCGGAGCAATCCTACTGGCATTAGGTTGGTGGTCCTCGAGGTCAGAGGTCCTAGAAGAAGGAGTAGACATCCATCTTTGCTGCTGTCCAGCCTCCTTGAGTGACATCTCCAGGACTGGAGAGAATCAGATGAACAGGGCCTGAAGTGAACTCCCAGCAAACTGCAGCAGCCCTACAGAAGAGGGACCTGACTATTGAAAGAAAAACAAGCAGAAAGCAACAACAACAGCATCATCATCAACAACAACAACAACAACAACAACACAATAACAACAAAAAGGCCCCCAGGAAAACCCTGTCTAAGTGTTGACAACCTCAAAGACTGAAACCAGACAAACTCATAAAGATGAGAAAGAATCAACAAAAATATACTGAAAACCCAAAAGGTCAGAGTGCCTCTTCTCCAAATGATAGCAATGTCTCTCCATTAAGGGTGCAGAACTGGATAAGGGATCACATGGACCAATTGACAGAAGTAGGCTTCAGAAGATGGGTAATAAAAAACTACACTGAGCTAAAAGAGCATGTTCTAACCCAATGCCAAGAAACTAAGAACCTTGATAAAAGGTTAGAGGAATTTCTAACTAGTAAATCAGTTTTGAGAGGAACATAAATGACCTGATGGAGATGAAAATCACAGCTCGAGAACTTCGTGAAGCATACACAAGTATCAACAGCTGAATTGACTGAGTGGAAGTAAAGATATCAGAATCTGAAGACCTTACTGAAATAAGACTTGCAGACAAGAATAGAGAAAAAAGAATGAAAAGGAATGAACAAACTTCCACGAAATGTAGGACTTCATAAAAAGACTGAACCTATGATTGACTGGAGTACCAGAGGGAGACAGGGAGAATGGAAACAAGCTGGAAAACACACTTCAGGATATTACCCGGGAGAACATCCCCAGCCTAGCAAGACAGGCCAACATGCAAATTCAGGAAATACAGAGAACACCATTAAGATACTCCATGAGAAGATCAACCCCAAGACACATAATGATCAGATTCTCCAAGGTTGAAATGAGGGAAAAATTGTTCAGGGCAGCCAGAGAGAAAGGCCATTTCACATAAAAAGGGAAGTCCATTGGACTGTCAGCAGACCTCTCAGCAGAAACTCTACAAGCCAGAAAAGATTGGAGACCAATATTCAGCATTCTTAAAAACAATGTTTTCAACCCAGAATTTCATATCCAACTACACTAAGCTTCATAAGCAAAGGAGAAATAAAATCCTTTCCAGACAAGCAAATGCTGAGGGATTTCATTGCCACCATGTCTACCCTGCAAGAACTCCTGAAAGAAGCACTAAATATGGAAAGAGAAAACCAATACCAGCCACTGCAAAAACACACCAAAATATAAAGACCAATGTCACTATGAAGAAACTGTATCAACTAGTGTTCAAAATAACCAAATAGCATCATGATAACAGCATTAAATTCAAATGTAACAATACTAACCTCTAGTGTAAATGGGCAGAATACCCCAATTAAAAGACACAGACTGGCAAATTTGATAAAGAGTCAAGAACCATTGATGCGCTATATTCAGGACACTCATCTTACATGCAAACACAAATACAGGCTCAAAATAAAGAGATGGAGGAAAATTTCCAAGCAAATGGTAAGCAAAATAATAATAATAATAATAGAAAGCAGGGGTTGTAATCCTAGTCTCTGACAAAACCGATTTTAAACCAGCAAAGATCAAAAAAGACAAAAAAAAAAAAGGCATTAAATAATGGTAAAGGGAACAATTAAACAAGAAGAGCTAACTATTCTAAATATTTATGCACCCAATGTAGGAGCACCCAGATTCATCCAACAAGTTTTTGGAGACCTACAAAGAGACTTAGACTCCTAAACAATAACAGTGGGAGACTTTAACACTCCACTGTCAATATTAGACAGATCAATGAGACAGAAAATTAGCAAGGATATTCAGGACTTGAACTTGGCTCTGGATCAAGTGGACCTAGTAGATGTCTACAGAACTCTGTACCCCAAATCAATAGAATATTCCTCTCAGTGCCACATGGCACTTATTCCAAAATTGACCAGATAATTGAAAGTAAAACATGTCTCTGCAAATGCAAATGTACTGAAATCATAGCAAACTGTCTGTCAGACCACAGTGCAATCAAATTAGAAATCAGGATTAAGAAAGTCAATCAAAACCACACAATTTCATGGAAGTTAAACAACCTGCTCCTGAATAACTCCTGGGTAAATAACAAAATTAAGGCAGAAATCAAGAAGTTCTTTGAAATAATTGAGAACAAAGAGACAGCATATTAGAATATCTGGGACACACCTAAAGGAGTGTTAAGAGGGACATTTGTAGCAATAAATGCCCACATCAAAAAGCTCGAAAGATCTCAAATCGACACCCTAGCGTCATAATTAAAACACAGAGACAAGAGCAAACTAATACAAAAGCTAGCAGAAGTCAAGAAAAACTAAGACCTGAGAAGAACAGGAGATAGAGACACGAAAAAGCCTCCAAAAAATCAATGAATCCAAGAGATAGATTTTGAATAAATTAACAAAAATAGATAGACTGCTAGCTAGACTAATAAAGAAGAAGAGAGAGAAGAATCAAATAGACTCTATGAAAAATGATAAAGGGGATATCACCACTGACCACACAGAAATACAAACTATCATCGGAGAACACTATAAACACCTCTACACAAATGAAGTAGGAAATCTAGGAGAAATGAATAAATTCCTGGATGCATACACCCTACCAAGACTAAACCAGTAAGAAATTGAATCTCTGAATAGACCAATAACGAACTCTGAAATTGAGGCAGTAATTAATAGCCTACCAACCAAGAAAAAGCCCAGGACCAGACGGATTCACAGCTAAATTCTACCAGAAATACAATGATGAGCTGGTACCATTCCTTCTGAAACTATTCCAAACAATTGAAAAGGAAGGACTCCTCCCTAACTCATTTTATAAAGACAGCATCATCCTAATACCAAAACTGGGAAAAGACACAAGAAAAGAAAACTTCAGGCCAATATTACTGATGAACATCAATGTGAAAATCCTCAAGTAAATACTAGCAAACCAAATCCAGCAGCACATCAAAAAGCTTATCCACCATGATCAAGTCTACTTCATCCCTGGGATGCAAGGCTAGTTCAGCATATGCAAATCAATAAACTTAATCCATCACATAAACAGAACCAAATTTAAAAAACACATGATTATCTCAATAGATGCAGAAAAGGCCTTTGATAAAATTCAACATCTTTTCAAGTTAAAATGACTTAATAAACTTGGTATTGATGGAACATATCTCAAAATTATAAGAGCTATTTATGACAAACCCACACCCAAAATTTTATTGAATGGTCAAAAGCTGGAAGCATTCCTTTTGAAAACTGGTACAAGCATGTCATCTCTCACCACTCCTAATCAACATAGAATCAAAAATTCTGGCTAGGGCAATCAGGCAGGAGAAAGAAGTAAAGGGTATTTAAATAGGAAGAGAGGAAGTCAAATGTCTCTGTTTGCAGATGACATGATTGTATATTTAGAAAACCCCATCATCTCAGCCCAACAACTTCTTGAACTGATAAGCAACTTCAGCAAAATCTCAGGATACAAAAATCACTGTGCAAAAATCACAAGCATTCCTTTACACTAACAATAGGCAAGCAGAGAGCCAAATAATGAATGAACTCTCATTCACAATCGCTGCAAAGAGAATAAAATACCTAGGAAGACAGCTAACAAGGGAGGTGAAGGACCTCTTCAAGTAGAACTACAAACCACTGTTCAATGAAATAAGAGAGGACACAAACAAATGGAAAAGTATTCCATCCTCATGCATAGGAAGAATCAATATCGTGAAAATGGTCATGCTGCCCAGGGTAGTTTATAGATTCCATGCTATTCCCATCAAACTACCATTGACCTTCTTCACAGAATTAGAATAACTATTTTACGTTTTATATGGAATCAAAGAATACCCCGTATATCCAACACAATCCTAAGCAAAAAGAACAAAGCTGGAGGCATCATGCTGCATGACTTCTAACTACACTACAAGGCTACAGTAACAAAAATAGCATGGTGCTGGTACCAAATTGGATATATAGACCAATAGAGCAAACAGAGACCTCAGAAATAACACCAAATATCTACAACCATCTGATTTTTGACAAACTTGACAAAAACAAGCAATAGGGATAGGATCTCCTATTCAGTACATGGTGCTGGGAAAACTAGCTAGCCATATGCAGAAAACAGAAACTGGACCCCTTCATTACACCTTATACAAAAATTAACACAAAATGGATTAAATACTTAAATGTGAAACACCAAACCATAAAAACTCCAGAAGAAAACCTAGGCAGTACCATTCAGGACATAGGCATGGGCAAAACTTCATGCCAAAAATGCCAAAAGCAATTACAACAAAAGCCAAATTTGACAAACTTGATCTAATTAAACTAAAGAGCTTCTGCACAACAAAGAAACTAGCATCAGAATGAACAGGCAACCTACAGAATGGGAGAAAATTTTTGTAATCTACTCATCTGACAATGGTCTAATATCCAGAATTTACAAGGAACTTAAACATATTTATCAGAATAAAATAAACAACCCCATCAAAAAGTGGACAAAGGATATGAACAGACACTTCTCTAAAGAAGACATTTATGCGGCCAGCAAACATACGAAAAAAGCTCAACATCACTGATCATCAGAGAAAGGCAAAACCACAATTAGATATCTCTCATGCCAGTCAGAATGGCAATTATTAAAAAGTCAGGAAACAATAGATGCTGGCAAAGCTGTGGGGAAATAGGAACACTTTTACGCTGTTGGTGGGAATGTAAATTAGTTCAACCGTTGTGGAAGACAGAATAGTGATTCCTCAAGGATCTAGAACCAGAAATACCATTTGACCCAGCAATCTCATTACTGAGTATATACCCAAAGGAATGAAAATTATTCTACTATAAACACATGCACACGTATGTTTATGGCAGCACTATTTACAACAGCAAAGACATGGAACCAACCCGAATGCCCATCAATGATAGACTAGATAAAGAAAATGTGGCATATATGCAACACGAAATACAATGCAGCCATAAAAAGGAATGAGATGGTATCGTTTGCTGGGACGTGGATGAAGCTGGAAGCTATCATCCTCAGCAAACTAACACAGGAACAGAAAACCAAACACTGCATGTTCTCACTCATAAATGGGAGTTGAACATTAAGAACACATGAACACAGAGAGGGGAACAACACACACCAGGGCCTGTTGGGGGGTTGGGGGTGAAGGGAGGTAACCTAGAGAATGGGTCAATAGGTACAGCAAATCACAATGGCACACGTATACCTATGTAACAAACATGCACATTATGCACATGTATCCCTTTTTTTAAGAAATAAAAAAATAGAAATAAGACAATATAAAAGTCTTTTTTAATTTGAGCTTGTTCCAGTTGAATCAAGAGACTTCTGAAACCAGTCCAATTGTCCCACAGAAATAATATTTACAGATTTTTGAATGAACATAGAAATTGTTCCTCTGTCTTGAAACTTGAAACTCAAATTTGTCTCATTTCACTGCCTTCCTTAGGGAATCAACCCTCAGGCAAGGGACTGAAATTCACCAGATCACTGAGTCCAGGCAATGAGAAACCCAACCTCTCATCCATCATGATTGTTTCCTTACCCCTTCGTAATTTCCTGTTTTGCCACCTTCCCTACTATATAAAACCCATTAATTTAGTTGGTCAGGGAGACAGATTTGAGATTTTTACCTCTCATTCTCATGACTGCATCACCACATTAAAGCCTTTATCCCTGGCAGTACTTAGTAATTCAGTGATTGACACTCTGTGTAGTGAGCAGCAGGATGTAGATAGAACTCCTGGTGTTCCAGTAGTTCCAGTAACAGTTCCATCATCTATAGTGGCTATACTGTCCTCTCTTGTCTTAAGGAAGCAGGTGGATCCTTATTTCCCCAAACATTCGAAGCTAGGTAAGCCTCTAGTATTCTCCATTCACCAGTTACAATAGCTGAACATAAGGATGCTATTGCAAATATTGCAGCAGAATATTATAATTCTGTCAATTCAATCACCCATTTCATGTAAAAATTTCATAAATTGCTATCAGTCCAATTAGCATTTACTCATAGCTGTATTGTTCTTGAACACCCTTTTATTTCTAAGTCACTGGAAAAGACAAGATGTTTTTGTTAGTTAATGTCTAGTGCAATTAGTTTACTTTGAAATATTAATTTTACATTAAGGAAGATAAACGCTAAAGTATTGGCAACAGAATGTTGTTTTTATACAGACTGACATTTTACAGATAAAAAGACATTGTGCTGTCACTGCACTGTCAGTGATGTACAATTACTATATATTCATTATTTTCTAGATACAGCAGTATCTAGGACAGTGAGCCTGAACTTTTAATATCCTGGTTGAAGAGTCCAGATCAAAATCTTTATATCCAGAATAAATAAACACGTAGCTGTATATACTTATATATCAGGATATATCATATTTCCCTCCTTTCCCTTTTTCTCTTAAGAATATCTACTTTTGGAAAGCTTACAGGACTTTTTAATGCCTGATATGGTTTAGATTTGTGTCTCCACCCAAATCTTATGGTCAATTGTATCCTCAATGTTGGAAGTGGGGCCTGGTGGAAGGTGATTTGATCATGAGGGTGGATTTCTCATCAGTGGTTTAAAATTATCTCCTTAGTGCTGTCCTCAAGATAGTGAGTGACTTCTTGCAAGATCTGGTCATTGAAAAGTGGGTGGCATCTCCCCCATCTCTCTCTTGCTTCTCTTGGGGCCATGTGGTGTGCTTACTCCCCATGATAAGCATATGTGTAATAGACTAAGATGATGAGATAACACCTGCTGTGGCTCAGTGCCAGTTGAGACCCAGTGACTGAGATAACAGTGAGACAGTGAGCACACCTGCAGAGAATCATAAAAGAACAAGGGACAGGGAATTTCGGAGGAGATTTTGGAATCTTGGCCCATGAGAAATCTGAAAGCTTTCTCCTGACTGTGGGAAGGACTGCCCACAGAATAGCAGCTTTGCCTACCACTGATCAGCACCCAGGAGAGACTTCCATACTTGCTTGAGTTCCTCTCTAAGTGGACTGGTCTCCTGAGCCTCTGCTGTGGTTCATTACACCCTAACTATTGCCTTTAATAATTGTATTGTGAATGTTTGATTATGTGTGTGTAAATTTCTCACAATAAAGCATAAACTTGTGAATCGCTTATTGCCTATTGAGTCAAAAGCAAAAGTTAGCATACCTGCCGAAGGAACATTGTTAATGTTACTGAAACACCAGGAGTTCAGTCTAGGTCCTGCTGTTTCCTCACTTTATACATTTTGATGACTAATAGGGCACAACTCTTCTTGTTTAAAATGTATCTAGATATTCTTGACTCTATTTTATCAGATTAACATGAACATTTTAAAATTTCTTCCACTCTATCAGCACTTTCCTACTAGTTTGCCTGAAAATGTAAGAAAAATTATATCAAATCTATAAATTAATTTGGTAAAAAATAGATTTTTAAATAAATTTATCTTAAATTTATGACTTTTAGTCAAGTTTTGTCATAAGTATTCTCCATATTTCTTGTTTCTTACATATATGAGCATTTACAGTATATAAAATGTATTTTTATATTACATATGTATAATTAGAAAATTTCAGTCTCAGGTATTTCTTTTAAATAGCAACTATTGCGAAGTGAGTTGCGAAGTGAGTTGCAAAGCAAATTTCTACTAATTTAATCATATTTTACCATTAATTGACTTTATATCATGGGAGAAACACTGTACTGTGTAAAATATTTCTCTAGGTTAAAATGTTTATGTGATAAAATGATATTTTTAGAAAAGTAGTGACTAAATACATTGTGCTACAAAATATGATCACATCAAGCAAATTGATGCTATGTTTAGCAGTTGGCTGGAAATTATGATCCTAGGAGGAAAGAGAGGTTGGTTCCTGAGAATGAATGAAGATTCAAGTAAGCTGGATTTTGAGCCTGATAGTAAGAGTCATATTCTGCAAATAAGCATAGACTCAGTTGTAAATCAGTAGATTTAATAAATGGAGTTTCATGCTACACAATCTTCTATTGCATCTTCTGCTTATTTCTGTTCAGCAAGGCTAATGTTGCTACTCTTGAATAGCTACCCACTTTTCCTTTGAAGTTTACATTCTTTGTTTTAGTTATCACTCTTTCCAAATTTTTTCTAGTGAAGCATAATTTCTATATACATATACATATTCATACACATACATACACACGTGCATGCACACACACATATTTATAATCTTTGACAGTATATCGTGATGGTTAAAAGCATAATTTTAAATTGTTTTAAAACAATTTTGTGAAAGGGGGATATCAATACTAAACATGATAAATTATAAGATGAAACAAAAAGTAAGTACAATTATTTATAAGATGTAATAAGTATTATATCTTATAGCTATAATAACACTTATATCTTATAAATAATTGTACTAATTTTTGTACTTATTTTATCTTATAACTAAGATAAAGCATTCAACTACTGAGAATGTTCTACATTATTATAAGAAATACTTAATGATATTATTACATAGTTAAGTATGGAACTATATATTAGAATATACAGCACCTTAAAGTCATAGCAATAAGAAGCATTACCAACACTATTGTGAGTTTTATATCATAAAATCCTGTCACAAATAGTAAATATATTATCAAAATGTCAGCAAGTAAAATAGTTCTATTTTATAAAACAATTTGTATCTTTCATTTCTATCATGGTGGTCCTAGGCCTTTGCATTACAATAGGTGTATTAAAGAAAAGTTGAGAACCATTTTTCTAAAGCATTCTTTATGGTGGAATATTTGAAACAACATTATATTTGGAATCAGAAAGCCTGAATATAAAACCTGTCTTAGGTATCACCAGTTTTGTGGCAGTGTCTATCAGTTAAAACTTATTAAATATCTCTTGTATCATTTCTGAAATAAGAAGAATAATTATTGCTTATCTCACAGGTTTGTGTACTTATCAAATTAATTAGGAAAATACATTGTGTGTTTGATGTAAATGCTAACATTAATAAAATCAGTTTGGTGTGCTTAGATTAAAAAGAAGTTACAATAAAACTGGCTCGTGGTCTAATCTTGACTACAGTCACTTACCAGCTTTATCAGTGTAAGCATGTTATTCAACCTATTGATTTTATCTGTACAATGTGGTTAATAATGAAACCACCTTTGCAAAGTGTATGACCACAAAGAAGTCTAGCATGGCTGACTCCATCTTGCTTCTAGCCTCACAGGCTGGCTGTTCTCACTAATTCTTGGCCTAAACCAAGCTAACCATAGGAGGAATTGATTTTATCATTTAACTTTAAAGCAAGGGTGACAACAGTACCTCTCTAAAACTGACCACTCCTTGTTCAGGGACTGAAACTGCCTTTGTAAAACTAATGAAAAGCCACAAGGTTAGGATTATGGGAGGGGCCTGAATTCTGCTAAAATGTAGGCATATTTGAAAGATGATTAGCCATTGTTCCCTAGCTTGATTTTCTATAATTCCTTACAGTTGGGGAGTCTTGTGGCCAGAGGTCACAAAATTTGTGACTTCTCCAATTAATCCTATAGATACTTCACTATTGTAGAACATGAGATTGGTCTTTGGAGGTATTTTTTAGGCTTCTGCATTCTGGAGACTGACTGACTACACCCCCCAGACCTGTGACTCATGACTCAGCTGACCCTGTGGTCCCCATCCAGAGGCTAATTCGGGATATGAGGACCATTTTCCACACCCCTATGCCTTCATGCTCAACCAGTCAGCAGCACCCATTCCCTAGCCCCCTTGACCACCAAATTATCCATAAAACCCTGGCCTCTGAGTTCTCAGGGAGGCTGCTTTACCTAATAAACTCAGTCTAATGCTTGGCTAGCCTGTGTTAATTAAACTCTTTCTGTGCTGCACAAATCTGCTGTTCTTAGTGCATTGGCTTTTTTCTGGGCAGCAGGCAAGATGAACCCATTATGTGATGACAATAATATTGCTCTACAGTTACTCAGGTGATTAAATGAGATAGTTAATACTTAATGCCTGCCTCTCAATAGATATAGGCATTATTATTGCCTTTGTTTGCGATTATGGTTGCTGGTATTATTATTACTCACCCACAAACACTTTTTATTGTCTTGCACTTTTGAAAAATATTTAACTAATACTTATCAATTTACTAAGAATGACACTTCAATCATATGTTTCTGGACAAGTAGAAAAAGGCTAGACAATATCCACTATCTTGTGTGTTACTCCTTATTTCTCTGCTTCACTAATGCAAAATGGAAAGCTACACATTGCTTCAGTGTATTTAAGGACAAATAATTTTGTGTTCTCAACTTAAGAGGACCCCTTCCCATTGCTCTATTGTACTTATATTAACTAATGGTGGAAATAACTTTTTTGGAATTTATAGAATGTACTCCAGTTCATTATTTTTACTCTTTAAACATCCAGATCTTGAAAGCTAATCTGAAATATGTGTTACTATCTCCACTAGTGCTGTTTTATCTTGTATATTATTTATTTGGAATATTGGATACAGATATTAATAGCTTTATTCTTGAGGTTAAAATGGTTCTCTCTTCAGTCTTTTGTGAGAGCTTTCCACTTATGCAAACTTCAATAATGTATTTGTGATATCTATATCATGTTTTAAAAGTTAAATTTGGCAAAAGCATTGCAAGGATATCTGGAGACTCTTTTCTTGTCCTCTGTAGCAATATTTAGGTTTAAGATGATCAATTTTTGCCTTTCAAAACCAGAAGTACTAAAAAGTCCTTAAGGGCTCAGCTTGATTGATTTCACTTATAATAAAGAACATAATATCCATTATGATCACTTGCCTTGCTATTATTCCTTTAAAAATATAGGATGCAGAAAGAGGAACTTGATTAAAGGAAGTTTTTTAAAATGTGGAAAACAGCAGAATCTTGGTTTTTTTTGGAGAATAAGAATAAAAATTTTGCCCTTTTAATGTCTTGTTCTAAGGGCTTTTAGTTGTGAAACATATTAAATATACCAGAACACATTAGAGACAGCCACTTAGGTCCATTCTATTCTACCTGTTATCTGATGTTCACATTTAACTACTGGCCTTTCTTATACCCCAGTATAAGCAAGTTAAAAAATTTTAATTTTTTAAATTGCTTGGTATCCTGGTACAAAAGAAAATTAAATGCTGTCTCCTTGGGTTATCAATCCTCAATACTTGTGTGATTAGTGTCTTCTGAAGAGTAACTTCACTGTGCTCACAGATGTATTGCTAAAGTTTTAATTTTGTAGACAGAGACCTGAAAGTGCTGTACTCTGTGTAGGTCATAGATTATTTGCTCAAGAAAAGAAGGAACATTTAAGTAATGAAGATCTATAATAAAAGTACTCACGGTAATGTTACACTAAACCAATGACCATGTTAGATAGCCTGGTGAAATTTAAACTGGAGTGAGACTGTTAATAGATTTCAGAAGTGAGTAACTTAGCTTCACCCTGATTCTAAGAAAAGATGTTCCTGTTGAAATGCTATGCCATTTCTAAGGTTTCTGGCATTTATGGTGCTCATGAAACTGTAGAACCATAAAATATCAAAGAAGTTTTACAAAATTAGCCCCAAGGAGCAATTTAAAATCAGCTGGTTAAATGAAACTGCCTTGGCAATTTTTTTAAAGGCACGTGAGAGCCAGAAAGGAGGTTAAATGGAGGTTCACTCTCTTTCCTAACTCCCCAAATGTCATGATTTCATAAGTCATTCCTCCCTATTGGTGCTCAAGTTTTATTCTCCTCTGTATTAGTATTTGAGGGGAAGTAATTTATTTGAAAAATACATTCTAAAAGCTACATTTTTGCTTAAATCCTTTACAGTTGTTGATGTGCAGGTAGTGCTGACTTTATCCCTTTCAACCTGGGAAGCTTACAGGTAGAGGTCAGGAATTACAGAAAAAAAACCCCTCACTTATTACTTTGAAGACATTTCCAGTTCACACAATTCAGGAGTGCTTTTTTGCTTTTGTTTTTGCTATAATAGCTTTTTAAATTTGTATATAATATATTCCTGATCTGCATCTGCATTAAAAAAGATCTGAAAATATAAATTCCATATTTCTCATAAATACAATTTTATGAAGCATTAGACAATATCTTAACTTGAGCA
The DNA here is from genome assembly GCF_000001405.40 of Homo sapiens. Lineage (NCBI taxonomy): Eukaryota > Metazoa > Chordata > Mammalia > Primates > Hominidae > Homo > Homo sapiens. Next base: position 12,048,794 of record NC_000009.12, read on the forward strand.
CACATACTAGCACTATTTATGAAATAAAAAAAAAATTGCTGGGCTCGGTGGCTTAAGCCTGTAATCCCAGCACTTTGGGAGGCCAAGGCAGGGGGATCACCTCAGGTCAGGAGTTCAAGACCAGCCTGGCCAACATGGTGAAACCCTGTCTCTACTAAAAATACAAAAATAGCCAGGCATGGTGGTGGGCACCTGTAATCCCAGCTACTCAGGAGGCTGAGGCAGGAGAATCGCTCGAATCTGGGAGGCAGAGGTTGCAGTGAGCTGAAATCACGCCACTGCACTCCAGCCTGGGTGACAGAGCAAGAGTCGGTCTCAAAAAAAAAAGAAAGAAAAAAATTAAAATGTAATAAATGTCTTACAAATAAGTTAATAATTAAATACATTTGATATGTATATGCAAATTGATCTAGACAGTCATTACAAACTTTTTATAAAAAACTTTTATTAATTTTAGGAAAACACGTAATTAAATGCAAGATAAAATGTATGTTTTAGTCCATTCAGGCTGTTATAACAAAATACCATGAAGTGAATACCTTATAAACAACAGAAATTTATTTCTCACAGTTCTGGAGACTGTGAAGTCTAAGAACCACGAGAGGTCTGTCCTCATAACCTAATCACCTTCCGAAGGCCCACCTTCTAATACCATCACAGTAATTAGATTTCAAAATATGAATTTGGGAGGAATTTTGAAAAGCTACAGTAAGACCATAGTAATGATTTATTTAAATATAATGTCAAATTTGTTTAAATGGGTTTACCCCATAATTACCAAGGTATAATTTACAAAAATTGTATTTAAGGTGTACAACATGATATTTTGGTATACATATACATTGTGAAATGATCACCATAATCAATGTAATTAGCATATCCATTATCTCATATAGTAATTGTTCTTTACGTGAGTGGTAAGACTACTTAGGATGTACTCTTTTTGTAAATTTCAAGTGTACAATTCATTATTATTAAATATAATCATATTAGATCTCCAGAACTTACTCATAATTAAAATGTTGTGTGCTTTAACCAACATCTTCCCATTCCCCCAGCCCCAATCCCAGGTAGTCATTATTCTACTCTATTTCTATGATTTAACTTTTTTAGATTTCACCTGTGAGATTATGCTGTATTTCTCTTTCTGTTTTTGACTTGTTTTAATAGCATAATGTCTTCTAGGTTCATTCATGCTGTTACAAAGAACAGGATTACCTTTTCTTAAGGCTGAGAAATATTCAATTTATATATATCACATTTTCTTTCTCCATCCACTTGCAGATACTAGATTATTCCATATCTTAGCTATTGTAAATAATGCAGCAATGAACATAGAAGTGCAGCTATTTCTTTTGTGATAATGACTTTATTGCCTTTGTATATACACCCAAAAGAAGAATTGCTGGGTCATACAGTATTTTAATTCCTAATTTTTTGAAAAATCCCCATATTGTTTTTCTATATGGCCTTTTAGAATAAATGTACGAGTTCATTTTTGTATACATTCGCAACAACAATCGTTACCTCTTACTTTTTGATAATAGAAATAGTAAGATGTGTGAAATAATTACCTCATTGTGGTTTTGATTACATTTCTCTAATGATTCGTGATGTTGAGCACCTTTTTATAAATCTGTTGGCTACTCATATGTCTCCTTCGGAAAAACCTGTCTTCAGATCCCTTACTGTTAAGCAGGTTATTTATTTATTTTTCTATATAGTTATATGAATTTCTGGTATATTTTGGATATTAAACCCTTATCACATACACGGTTTAAAAATATATTTTTCACAGTCTGTAGGTTGCCTTTTTACTTTGCTAATTATTTCCTTTGCTGTGCAGAAATTTTTAGTTTGATGTAGTTCCACCTGCTCATTTTTGCTTTTTTTCTTGTGCTTTTGGGATCGTATTCAAAAGTCATGCCCAAACCAATGTCATGTAGCTTTTCCCCTATGTTTTCTTGTAAGAGTTTTATAGTTTCAGTGTTACATTTAAGTTTTTAATCCATTTTGAGCTGATTTTTTATTTGGTGTGTGATAAAGGTCTAATATCATTCTTCTTTCTGACAATATGGATATTCAGTTTTCCCAATGTAATTTATTCAAGATACTATGCTTTCTCCATTGTGTATTATTGGTGTCTTTGTCAAAGATTAATTGACTAAGTATTTGTAGGTTTATTTCCAGACTTTCTATTCTGTACATTTTCTACATGTCTATTTTTATGCCAGTACCATAATTGATTATTGTAGCTTCATAAAATAATTTGAAATCAGGAACTGTGAGACTTCCAACTTTGTTCTTCTTTCTTAAGGTCACTTAAGGTATTCAGGAACTTTTGTTGTTCCATGTGATTTTTTAGGGTTGTTTTCTCTATTTCTGTGAAATATGCCTTTACATTTTCTATAGAAAATGCATTGAATTTGTAAATCACTTTGGGTAATAGGTACATTTAAACAATATTAATTCAGATTCATCAACATGGATTTTTTTCATTTATGTTTGTTTTCTTCAATTTCTAATCAATATCTTATACTTTTTATTATACATATTTTTCACTTCAGTGTTTAAATTTACTGGTAAGGTTTGTTGATACTGTTGTAAATGGGGTAATTTTTAAATTTAATTTATGAATAGTTTATTATTAGTATCTAATAAACACAACTGATTTTTGTGTGTAAATTGTGTATCCTGGAATTTTACTAATTTTTTAATTAGTTATATCATTTTTTGGTTGACTCTTTAAGACCTTTCTATATATAAGATTATGTTATCTGCAAACAGAAAGTTTTACTTTTCCCTTTTTGATTTGGATGCCTTTTATTTATTGTATTTCCTGCCCAATCACTATAGCAGCATTTCCAGTAATGTGTTGAATAGAAGTGGCAACAGTAGTCAAGTTGCCCAATTTTCCCATGTTAGTGACTTCCAGTTTCATACCATTTTGGATATAAAGACGTTTTCAATCTTCTTAAATTTGTTAAGACTTGGTTTGCGGCCTAACATATGATCCATCCTGATCAACACTACATGTGCAGTTGAGAAAAATGTATATTCTGGTGCTATTGGATATAATGTTCTGTAAATGTATGCTGGGTCCATTAGGTCTAAATTGTCTTGTTTCTGTTCTTTAAGGAAAACCTGTTAGCTATTTACTATTAATATGATGTTAGCTATCGGCTTCTCATGTAAGTACTTTACCGTGTTGAGGTACATTCCTTCTATACCTTATTTCCTAACCTTTTCTTTTTTTATCATGAGAGGATATTGTACTTTCTAAAATGCTCTTTTTCCTGCGCATATTGAGGTGATTACACATTTTTCCTTTATCTTTTAAATGTGGTATATCACATTTACTGATTTTAGTAGGTTGGATCATCCTGGCCTCTCAGCATCTCATGGATACATTTCACTAGATCAAAGTATCATCTTTTAAATTTACTGTTTAAAACAGTTTGCTATTTATTTTTTTGAGGATTTTTGCATATATGTTCATCTGGGGTATTGGCTTGTAAATTTTTTTTGTACTGTCCTTGTCTGGCCTTGACATCAGGGGAATGGTAGCTTCATAAAAAGAGTTTGGAAAAGTCCCCTCTCTTCAGTTTTATGAATAATTCGAGAAAGATTGCTATCAATTATCAAATTGGTATAATTCACCAGAGAAGCCATGTGGTCCTAGACTTTTGCTTGATAGAAGATTTTTGGTTACTGACTCAATCCCAAGCCATGAGGTCCTAGACATTTTATCAATAGAAGATTTCTGGTTACTGATTCAATCTCCTCACTTGTTAGTGGTCAATTCATATTTTCTAATTCTTTATAATTCAGCTTGTGGGTCGTATTTTTGGTTTAGAAATTTATCAGTTTTCTCTTGGTTATCCAATTTGTTGGCGTCTTGTCTAGCTAAAGTTTTTCGAAAACTGACCCTTGGTATCAATGATCTTTTCTATTTTTTTCTGTGGACTATGTTTCATTTATTTATGCTACGATCTTTGACATTTCCTTTCCTCAACTAACTTTGGGCTTAATTTGCTCTTTTTTCTAGTTCATTAATGTGTAAAATTAGGTTTAAAATTTGAGATTTTCCTTATTTGTTTATGTAAGTAGTTACTGCTATGAAACCATCTTTTAGAGATGCTTTTGCTGTATCCCATACATTTTGGTATATTTTGTTTACATTTCCACCTTTCTTTAGATTTTTACCCGTTTGAATTCTTTTTTGACCTATGATGGTTCAGTAATATGTTCCACATATTTGTGAATTTTCCAGTTTTCCTACTGTTAGTGACTTCTAGTTTCATACCATTTTGGATACAAAGATGTTTTCAATCTTCTTAAATTTGTTAAGACTTGGTTTGCAGCCTAACGTATGATCTATCCTGATAAATATTCCATGTGTGCTTGAGAGAAATGTATATTCTGGTGCTATTGGATATAATGTTCTGTATAAGTATGTTGGGTCCATTAGGTCTAAATTGTTTTTCAAGTCTGATGTATCCCTATTGATTTTCTGTCTGGATGATGTATCCATTGTTGAAAGTGGAGTATTGAAGTCCTCTACTGTTATTGTATTGCTGATCATTTCTTCCTTCAGATTTGTTAATATTTGCTTTATATGGTATTCTAATGCTAGGTGTATGTATAGTTACAGCTGTTGTATACTCTTGATAAACTCACCCATTCATAATTATCTAATGACCTTCTTTGTCTTTTATGATAGTTTTTGACTTACCATCTATTTTGAATAATATAAGTATAGCTTCTCCTGCTCTCTTTTCATTAATATTTGCACACAGTATCCTTTTCCAACACTTTACTTTCAGTCTATGTGTGGCCTTAACCCTGAAGTAAGCATCTTACATGTAGCATACAGTTGAGGCTTATAAAAAGAAAAACATTCAGTCACCTTAGGTCTTCAGATTTAAAAATTTAATCCACTTAATTATTGATAAGTTATGACTTTCTGTTGCTATGTTATTGACTGTTGCTAAATGTTTTCCAGATTCTTTTTCTTTCTCTCTTGTCTTCTTTTGTGATTTCATGATTTTCTGTAATAATATGCTTTGATTCCTTTCTGTTTATCTTTTGTCTGTCTACTATAGATTTTTGCTTTGTGGTTACCATGAGGCACACATGAAATAGTTAAAGCAGTCTATTTTAAGCTGGTAAAAACTTAAATCGCATACAAAATTCTCCACTTTTACTTTCCCTCTCCACATTCTATTTTTGATGTCACAATTTACATGTTTGCATATTGTGGTTCCATTAACAAAAAAAAAATTATTGTAGCTATAGTTATTTTAATTTTTAAGTCTTTTACCCTTTATACCATAGCTCTAAATGATTTACACTCCATCTTCTTCAAAGATTTAGCTTGTTTAAATTTCCTTGTCCTTTGTTCCCTGCTTTCAAGGCCAGACTTTCTTACTTTCTGTGTCCCCCTGCCCTGGTAAACAACTTTCCTGCCAGTCGTTATCTGTAGAGCCCACATTCCACATCTGCTACCTACTCTGTAAATTACTCCTCCCATCCCAATGGCCCTTCCTGCTGAAACTGTCTTTCCTGCCAGTGTAACTGCATTCTTGTACTTTTCAAGTTAGCCAACCGGGTGCAGCTTAGATTGTGGAGTTCAACTCCAGCCAGTGGAGGCAGGGCACAGTAGCAGGGGCAAGCTACATTAGGGATAAAAACTCCTTGCGTCCTTTGTTAGGGGTGCTCTCGGGGCGACCAGACCTGTGAGAAGCACCCTTCTGCAGAAGTAAATTTGCCTTGCTGAGAAATCCTTTGTTCGAGTGTTTGCTCTCTTTGCAATTCCGAGCTTTTATTTACGACATCAGGGATTCTCTGAAGGGAGAGTAGCTCCTACCCTCACCCAACTGTCCTATTAATTTGAACTATAAAGATAGTTCAAGCTGGTACCAAGCATCAAAAAGAGATTCGTCAAAGGTCAGGGCCACCTCCATTCAGAGTCGGTTTGTGGTCACCAGTATGAAAACCAAAAATTATCTGAGACAAGTCTCAATCAATTTTGAAAGTTTATTATGCCAAGGTTAAGAATGTGCTCCTGATACAGCCTCAGGCAGTCCTGATGACATGTGCCCAAGGTGATCAGGACACAACTTGGTTTTATACATTTTAGGGAGACATGAGACATCAATCAGTATATGTAAGATGTACGTTGGTTCAATCTGGAAAGACAGGACAACTAAAAGTGGGGAGGGAGCTTCCAGGTTATGGGTAGATAAGAGACAAACAGTAACAGTGTTTTGGGTTTCTGATTAGCCTTTTACTGAATATACAATTTACCAGAATAAGGAATAGTCACTTATGCCTTAGTCTTATGCCTTAGAAACACTAGGGCAAGTGAAGCAATCAGATATGCATTTGTCTCACATGAGCAGAGGGATGACTTTGAATTCTGTCTGTTCTTTGTCCACAAGGACTTTCCTGTGGGCAAATCGTGAGGGACGTATGTACCTTTTAATTTTTTTCAATCTCTGTAGCTATCTTATTTAGGAATAGAATGGGAGGTAAGTTTGCTGGAGGCAGTTCTCAGCTTGACCTTTCCCTTTGGCTTAGTGATTTGGGAGGTCCTGAGATTTATTTTTCTTTCACAGTATTAAGAATGTATGTGAATAATTTTATCATAAAGTACTGAAAAAGAATAATTTGGTTAAGAGCCACTCATTAGTGGCCAGTGTAAAGGAAATAGACACTGATTAATTATCAATGGAAACCTAAAATATTTCAACACTCATTGGAAAGAAATTTGGCAGTATTTGACAATATTTTAAAATTATATAACTCTTGAGATAGTAAGTTTTCTTTTGTAAATTTGTTTTACACAAATATAGGCACATATAAGCAAATATGTGTGTATACACCACAAAAAGAACATTTACTCTCACTTTTAAAAATAAGAGTGAAAGGCAGAGACAATATACATGTTCATCAGTATGATTGAGGCTAAATCAATGGTGGTACAGCTATACAATAAAACACTTTATGAATGATTAAAATATGTGGCAGATCTATAGGTAATTAATAGAATAACCTTCAAAATATAATCTTAAGTGAGAAAAATGAGGTTCATGTAATTTAAGTGACTATAAATAAATCTATTATTTTCTATGCGTGTACAGTAAGTTTCTCATTCTGTGTAGGCAGCATTGGTGTCACTATGACTTATAAATGTTTATTTTACTTAGATTTCTCCAGGATTATGTTTTGAGCAACCTCCTGATAAGGCTGTGTACTTTTTTGCTTCTAGCCAATGTGTTGCTCAGTTTTTTCTGTTGCTGTTTTTGTTGTCATTTTATGGAACTGAGTAGAATAGTAGAATGACATATTTCTTTGAAAAATAAGCTTCTGAGTTGAGCAGCAAATAACATAATGCTCTTCTGGTTTTGCTTTCCTAGCTTGCAGTAAAGACCCTCTGAAGAATCATCTGAAAGGGCATTTGAAAGTCCGTAAACAAATGTACGAAATATTAAGAGAAATTTTATGGTCAACAAAGTTTTAAAGAATGTATTGCCAACTGAGTATGTGAGTGCTTTGATATTCATGGCAAACTTTGACCCGAGAGAATGAATGTAGTGCATTTCTAATTAGATGTTCTTGCATGGGAGAGAAGAATCATAATTTTAATCCCTGATATATAGCATTTTAGTATGCTGACCTTTTAGTAAAGGTGCATGCTTGATTAGAAAACATTTGAAACACACTTGCCATTGGAAGACAGAGTTGTAAATGCTAAAAGCAGTGAAATGAGCCCCCAACTCAATATAGACTCTCTGAAGGTCAAAAAGAAGCAGCCCATCTATTTAACTGCCCAAGTATATGAGGCATTCATCCCAGTACAAGGTAATTTCATGATAAAAAGCATTTAAAAAAAAGCAATGGCACTACATCAGGCCAGTTTATAGTCTGTATTAATAAAATTTCACATATTTGTATATATATATATATAGATGTTTTAGTAATAAAAATTTCAAATTTTAGAAACTATAATTTTTTCTTTTCCATCACATGATAGCAATTTTTATTCTAAAGTTGATCAGATTAAGAAGGCTGCCAGTGAAATAGAACAGGCTCATCAGCAAGAAAACAATTCCTAATTACTTTCTCAAAGAAAAATTCCCGTCACTAAAATTTGTTGTTGTTTCGCTTTTCTGAAGCAATTAATGGATTATGTTCTGCTCCACTGAATTTTTAAACTTCCTGATATTTTATGTAAGCCACTGTCTGTAAAGGCCACCTTTAGAATTGTTGCATCAGCACAAATGAATGAGTTTGAAAACAAAATAAGAAAGCAAAGCAAAACTGGTGACTTGAAAAATAAGATTTCAAAGAAAACAGAAAGGGAAATAATTTCATGTTTGGACTTTCAGTGTTTTATATTTTATATTCTTAAATAATATATCAGGGCCTACTAAGGTATTTCTTGGTACATAGAAGGAACTCATTAAATTTCTGAAATATTTTTATTCACTTCAGTTTTGTAAAGCAAGAAAAGCTAATAGGATTTTTAACACGTATTAAGTATTGCTATAAAATAGAGATGAGATGTAAGTTCCCAAAATCCTGAGAATTGCTATTTGAACTATTTAAATAAGGATTTGTCAGGTTTATATTACCCTTATACTAATTCAAACTGAATATGTAGCCTGATTGTTTCAATTCATATTCACCATTTAATCATAATATTAAACAAAAATTATAAAAAGCCATTTGCTACCATTCACAAATATTTTTATATTTCAACATGTGTTGCATAAATATTCTGCAGATATTGTATGTTTCTTATGTAGTGATAACTATCCTCAAGATGTAATCCACACTTTGGATTTCATGGAGTATACTGTTCTGCTTTTCTTACTCATACTTTTGACCTACGTGCAGGGCAATGGGGTTTATGTGAGATGTTCCTTTGTAATCTCTAAGTAGTATGCTCATTTTCTAACATGCATATGATATATTCTTTTTTTTTTTTTTTTGACACAGAGTCTCGGTCTGTCGCCCAGGCTGGAGTGCAGTGGTGCGATCTCGGCTCACTGCAAGCTCCACCTCCGGGTTCACGCCATTCTCCTGCCTCAGCCTCCCGAGTAGCTGGGACTACAGGCACCCACCACCACGCCCGGCTAATTTTTTGAATTTTTAGTAGAGACGGGGTTTCACCGTCTTAGCCAGGATGGTCTTAATCTCCTGACCTCGTGATCCAACCGCCTCAGCCTCCCAAAGTGAAGACATATTCTTAATATTTTTCAGGCCTCATTGCTTGCCACTAATGAGAACTGGGGGTCATAATCTAATACAAGAAAGAGTGAGAAGACTAGTGGTAACAAATTAAAATACCATGAGATATCTTCTGTGAAAAACAAATCATGAATTGTGTACATTTGTGAAACATAAAATAAATAAATAATTACCAACATTATAGGATCTTTAAAGGATCTAAACAATAGCAACATTGACTAGTGAAACTGAACAAGAGACTACTGAGGGAGAGAAAGTAAGGCTATTATTCCTATGTTAAAAACAAGTAAACAGAAAAATGAAGAAAAAGAGAAGAAGAGTAAATAACTTTCATTGGTCAGAAAAGCAATTTAGTAACTGAGGCAGTCATTTCACAATGGTACTAGGCCAAGAAGTTCAAAGCATCATTTTCCCTTTGTGCAAAATCCAAACTTTCCAACTACTAAAGTGTAAACAGTGTAACAATAGTATAGTCAACACAAGCTAATATAAAATAGACTGAAAGGAGGAGTAGGAATGTTCTGAGATAAGGGTAAGGAAAGGGATCAGTGTTGGAAAGAAATGGCCCAGGAGTGGTCTCACTCAGAAAAAGAAAACTATTGTCCTTAACTGTAGCTGTAGAAATTGCTGGAGTTGTTTTAGTTTTAGAGAGAGATCTACACACACATATAAAGATCCTAACCCCCTCCTTGACTCTTTACCAGTGTGTCAGTCAGCACATTGTTTAGTAATCAAGATTGCTCAGTCTTTGCTTTTACAATGAATCCGACCTAATCATAAAACCAGTGAGTAATTATAAGAGGGAATTTGGGCACTGTTAGCAAAGAATTTGAATTATTAACCACTGTTGAAGTCAAGATAGAAACACAATATTTCTGGAACGTAATTGAGAACATGAAAGAGCCAGGGAGCAAGTGGGTTGGGATAGCTTGGTGTGAGGGCAAGATCCTGGATATATGAAGCCTGATTAAACACTTGATATTTGGGAACATTGAATTAATAAGTGGAATTATAATTTTGATTTTCAGTGGTAAAAAATGTCTTTCAGTCTCTCTTGTATGCTCTAAACATGAATAATAAGGTCCTAATTATTCTTCAGTGATTTTCTTTTATTTAGACATATTAACTTAAAACTCATCTTGTCTTTTTAAAGGTAAAGTTTTAAGTCAATTCTTCTCTAAACTATTGTTTTTGCTGAATGTGTGTATTTTGTGGCTGTCCACAGAGTGTGACAGCATTCTCTACCTCATCCTAAATTAAACTGCATGTTGAGACTGATGACATCATACATGCACCAATAAGATGTGAAAGAATTTCTTACTCATGTATTGAGGATTTCTAAGGACAGGCAGGTAGTCAGCTAAGCTGATCTGAAGTGGCTTGATTGAAGAGAGTGACAAGTGTCTGGTTCTAATTTTTAATGGGGGAGGTACAGAGTGAAGGTTCAGAGGGCCGAAGTTTGCATGGTTTGAACTTCCTCCCTAGTTCAAGGGAGGGAGGAAAGGGGCAAGCAGGCATTCTTGTCTGTTTGTTCATATGCAGGGCAAGAGGACAAGGGGGAAGAGTGGGGCTGAAAAGGGGCCAGCATTCAAATCTCAAAAATGGAGTCAGCCTAAAAGGAAAAACAAAAGAGAATATAATTTTATTTGGAGACAGAAACGTCAGAAATTAAATAAAAAGTCAAACTCTACACTCCAGTTTTCTGTTTTAGTCATGAAGCCTAATAGAAACTTTCCTCTATAAAACGAGGCTTTTCTCATGATTCATTTGAGGTGTACCTACTCACCCTCAACATTCACTGCAAATGACAAATGTTTTCTATTCTTAAAAGACCTACCTTGAGTCTCCAGATGGAGTTAAATTTTCCTCCTCTATGTTTCCTTAGGGATTTATTTATATTTCTATTATAACATATCCCGTTGTGTGTATTTATTGGTTATATTGTCAAAATGTGTTTCCCCTGCTTTCCAGAATTTTGGATGAAAGCCTGAAGCTTAGAAAAGTGTGCTCATAAGGACCCTGTGCTGGATGCCTCCCATCTGCTCCCCCAACCTTCTCCATCTTCTTTATTCTCCTCTCTATCCTATGTAAAACATACTAGATTATCTCCCCCTCTGGCTTCTGTTTCGTTTTAGCCAGTGAGGGACACTAACAGATTCAGAGGAAACAGAGTGAGGTTAGGTGATTTATTCCTCTGGCTCCATCTCTATAGTTCACCTCGGAATGACTAAAGCCTTCATGGGAGATTCACAGCCTTCCTCAAGAGAGCCTCTCTATTCACTTTCTTTTCTGGTTTCTAATAGAGGCCCCTTCCTCTTGTTTGTCAGAGTCCTCAGGTTCTGGTTGGTTTATGAGCCTAAGATCATAAATTATATTTTATGATCCCCTTCACTCTGTCCACACCTTTGTCAGTTGTCTTATTATTAAACTCTTCCTGAAATAACATGAGTGCCATTAACTTGTTGGAGATATGATTTATAGATACTCTAAGATTATTGAAAACTCCTAGGCATACTTATACAGAAATTACCAGGGGATGAACTGAAATTGGAAACTTCATCTTTATCTTACCATAGAACTTCTTAAAAGGAAACCAGAAATTCAGGAAGTTCATTGATAATTTTTCAAGCATAGAGAACACTTTGACTTATTCCTTCTCCTTCCAAAAAGATAAATAGGTTGTCAGTAGTAAGAAAAGCCTGGCAATTTATTGTCATGTTACAGAATTTTTGGGTTACAAAAATTATAGAACTATCTCCATATAGTTTCTTCAATGAAGTGTGGCATATTTATTATCTGTTGCTGCCATAACACATTGCCACAAACATAATTGCTTGAGGCTATACACATTTATTATTTTAAGTTTTCGAGGTGAGTAATCTTAATTGAGTCATATAGGGCTAAAATCATAGTGTCTCAGAGCTGCTTTTCTTCAGGATGCTCTAGGGAAGAATCTGTTCCTTGTCTTTTTCTAAGAAAAGAGACTGGAACATTCCTTGGCTCATGTCCACATCACTCTGACCTCTGCTTCCAGCTCCTTCTTTTTCACTGACCCTTCTGCTTTTTTCTTATAAGGACCCTGTGATAACATTGGACCTACCAATATAATCCACTCATTTCAAGATTATTAATTTATTCACATCTGCTAAGTCCCTTCGTCATATAAAGTAGCACATTTACAGGGTCTGAAAATTAGGGCATAGATATATCTGTGGGGGGTGCATTTTCAGCCTACCACATGTAATGAGAGACTTTTGGGGTAAAGAGGGATATGTGTACCTTGGAAATTGAGACATTGTGAAAATAGACTCTGATTCATGATTACCAAGTGAAAATTTTGGAAACTAAAGACAAAGTGTTGCAGCTTGCAAAAATACAATAGAGATTAATTGTCATTTAGATAAATTGCATTTTCATCGTTTTAGCAGAACTAGAATATGTGGTCTTCTCTGGGCTAAGTGGACTCCTAGGAAGTAGATAGCTTGAGTCATTGTGGAGGGACTCAATTTAGAAGGGTTTTTCTAGGTGGAGAAACTTCAGCAGTAAGTAGTTGTGTGTGGCATACCACCAAGAGCATACTTTGAGAGTAAGTGTGGTATCACAAGATCAGTAGGAGAGGATCATGTCTCTTGTCAGAGAATAATGCAGTATGCCATTGCAGAGAGTCCCTAATGTAACCAACCACAAATGCAGTGGAGAAAACATGTGAATGTCTACAATAATAGCAGGCATGATGACCAGGGAAATATCATACAAAGAGATCATTAAAACAGCACCAAGTAAATAAGATGATCTTAGCACCTTTTCTTCTGTCCTCTACCAACCGTGACCCTTAAATAACAGGGAGAGGAGAGGGGATAAAAAAGGAACGTTAGATAATTGGCCAAGCTTCTCTTTGCTGCACATGATTCCTGAATCACAGGAAATAACTAAGATGAGGAGGGGAGAAATCATTGGCTTTATGTGATATTCTGCTTTGTATTAGACTGGACTGCACTTTTACTAAGTAAACAGATTTTTCTAATTATAGAAATTAGCTAATATATGCTCAGGAAAGGGATAAAAAATGAGAGAGAATACATTTAAGGGCAGTGAATATTAAAATATATACCATATTTATTTTTAACCTTTCTAATCCAGCCCATTAAAAAAAAAACTGGACAAGTTAGCAAGTCTTTCTCTTTTTCAACTTTTAGATTCTAAGTCCAAAGAAAGCAGGATTTTTTTCTAGTCATCTGACATCTGATAAAGCTGGGCCTCTGAATCCCTCTCTTCATCTGTCTACCCATGAAAGGGAGTCTTTCAGATTAATGCACCAAGTTATGCTGGAATCCATGAAATATAAAGAAAAAATATTTTCTTGTAAATGCTCTTTTCTGACAAATGTGAAAAACTTTAAAAATCTCTAAAGCACTGAAAGAATATTCCTCATTATTCTCATATGGAGCCTATAAAATTGTTTTTTTGTTTGTAGGGCATCAAAGTGGAATAAAGTTAACAAAAGCAGCAACAAAAAAAACAATAACACAAACACATGAAACAACAAACCCAACAAACAAGAGAGAAAAAATTATTTAAAGTTGGTGAGAAGATAAAGGAATAAAAATGTGAAAATGAAGGAAAACCAGAAGAATGCTCTTCATATTAACTCCATGAACCTTAGAGTAGAAAAGAAAAACTGCATTTTCCATCACTTTCTAGAAATCCAATGTGTTTATTATCTGCAAATATAGTAGGCACTGAATAGACATTTTCAGAATGTGCAGAAATTTTCATCACTAAGATAACATTTCATGGGTCTATGTCTTGCATTCTATGGTTATCCAACACTTAATTTCCTAAAATCTGTTTGGTTTACTAGCATATTTACTTTGAAAAACTTTCAAAAGAAAATTTAGGTTTTTGTTTTGTTTTGTTTTGTTTTGTTTGTTTTTTAGAGACAGAGTATTGCGCTGTCACCCAGGCTGGAGTACAGTAGTGTGGTCTTGGCTAACTACAACCTCTGCCTCCCAGGTTCGAGCAATTATCCTGCCTCAGACTCCCAAGTAGCTGGAATTACAGGTGTGCACCACCACAGCCAGCTAATTTTTGTATTTTTAGTAGAGATAGGGTTTCACCATGTTGGCCAGGCTGGTCTGGAACTCCTGACCTCGTGATCCACCCGCCTCAGCCTCCCAAAGTGCTGGGCTTACAGGTGTGAGCCACCGCGCCCCGCCCAAAATTTAGTTTCAATTAAAGCAAGGCATATAGCCACCATGTCAGAATTCTACAAGAATGAAAAGATAACTTTTTTCTTAATCTGCATAAACATTACTAATAAATATGTAACTACAGAATAATTAGAACTTACCATAATTGTTTGGATTAATATATTTTTGAATGTATTTACAATTTATTATGTTAGCCTGCTTTTTCTGTATAGGGTCCCCATACATGAATATAATAATAAGATATAGGCAGTTACCATGAACCAGTAGCTACTATTTCTCCATTTATCCTCAGATGTTAAATAAAATAAAATTATCATTATACCTAGTTATTGGTTTTTATTAAATTGAATTGATGTTTTTGTTTTGAAAAACCATGTCTATAATAGACCCCATATTCAGTGGTATGGATGTAATTATCCTAAGGTGTTTTTGAAGGGCTACACCATTACTTTATCAAAATATTATTTTAGATGTTTTTCAAATTAATGCTATGAATGGATTGTTTCAACTATAGAAAATATCTTTTTTATACTTCACCCTTAGTGTAGGAATTGTAGAGAATGAAATATGCAACATGTTTATAGCCATTGATGTATAAATCTAGTTCACTTGTTAGAGTCCTGATATTGCTGGAGGGCCTTTATAAAAGTTCCTGTGTATTAGGTCTTCATTAAATTGTAGCAGTTAATGTGTAACTACTTTAGGCTTTCTAATTCATTGGTTTAAGGTAGAAACTTCACAACGGTTGTGTAAACTTTTGGCAAAAACAAGGGGAAAGGCCCATGGTAGTAATAAACTTATTCATTTTAGAGATTTTGCTGACCATGTCATTGTTCAGTTTGAATTTCCATTTCTGCTAGCATTCACTAATAGATTAAATATTTGAATGTGAAAGATTCATTTATCATTAAAACTACTCAACACACCCGTTGACAAAAAGAGTCAAACTCTGTAAGATATTTGAAGAGATTTATTCTGAGCCAAATATGAGTGACCATGGCCTGTGACACAGCCCTCAGGAGGTCCTGAGAATGTGTGCCCAAGGTGGCTGGGGTACAACTTGGTTTTGTATATTTTAGGAAGGCATGAGACATCAATTACATACATTTAAGAAATACATTGTTTGGTTTAGAAAGGCGGCACAACTCAAAGTGGGGGCTTCCAGGCTACAGGTAAATTTAAACATTTTCTGGTTGACGGTTGAGTTTGTCTAAAGACCTTGAATCGCTAGAAAGGAATGTTCAGGCTAAAGATAATGAATTGTGGAAACCAAGCTTTATTGTACAGAGGAAGCTCTTATCTGACTTTAGAGAGAACATGTTGTAAATTGTTTTTTTATTGGACTTAAAAGGGTGCCTGATTCTTAGTTGATTATCTCCTGGATCTGAGAAGGAAGGAAAGAAAACAAAGGGGAGAAGGGATTCTCTACAGAATGTGGATTTTTCCCACAAGAGACTTTGCAGGGCAATTTCAAGGTATGGCAAGGAAATATATTTTGGGGTAAAACATTTTGATTTTCTTCCTTGTTATGCCAGAGTTAGATTGGAAAGTAAGTCACAATAGGGTTAAACAAAACCCATCTGATGAGAATTTGTACGGCATGACTCCTCAGACCTCTTAGATAGGAATTTGGGAAAGACAAAAAATCAGAGCTTAGTCCTCACATCCAAAAATTGTATTTTTCCTTCCCAATGTACCCACATAATAATTTTATAGATTTAAATTAAAAATAGAAAAGAATCCATAGGAAATTTCTTGGAAAATCCTAAGGATCATTAACAAATTGAAACCCCTATCTTTAATCTCAGGAATGAATGGTGAAATAAAGCAGGAAATACACATGCCTCACATGAGGTGACCGATTTTGGAGATAAATTACCTAATTTGGCCAAGTCATTTAATTTTATGGAAGAGATAAGTTACCGTGAAAAGTGCCTTGCCCTATTTCCGGAAAAAAGAACACTTTGTTCTTGTAGCCATAACCTGATGCTCACATCTGACAACAACTAAAAGAAATGGCACAACTTAGCCTCTTGAACTGCAGCAACCACAAGAGAGCAAAGAATTGGAGAAATAACTGTGAAATGATTGAGTACAAATGAACCATTGTATGAAGCAATTCAGATAAGTATTTTGAGTCCAGTATAAGAAATAATGTTTTCAGGGAACATTACTTTGACTAGTAATTATGTAACTTGTAACTTATGGTGCTACTGACTCTGACTTTTCAGATTTTGTGAGTAATTTTAACTTAGAAATATATTGTTGGGAAAACACACAGTTTTTAGTAAGTCAATTAGAAATAATGAGGAGGTTCTCCTAATAGAATTGCAACTTATCATGTCTTTTCTCAGTATTTTTGATTCAAGTAATATCTATTATAGGCTAGGCAAGCATTATCAGTGTTGAAATTTTTCTCAGCCCATTTTTTAACTCTAGAGAACTAATACTGCCGAAGATTTCTCAGAATATGTGTCTGCAATTCCCTTACATGACTCCTGGGTCACTGAGAAATTATTAACATTTAGTGAACTTTACACAATTAGCTCTGTCCTTTGGGTTTTCAAACACATTTCCCTTATCCTTACACTGTGTATGGGAAAGGAAAATTTACAGTGGAAATAGAGTCTTACAGCCTTCTTCATTAAAGTCTCCCATGGCACTTTACAATCATTAAAAGTTATAATTAGCACTGAAGTACATTCAACTCCTAAAAGGATCATTTTTTAAACTAATAACTTTTTTCAACATCTGTATTTTAAAGTCTCAGAACGGTTTAAGTGCTCCCGACTTAAACATCTAATGACTTCCTAAGCACAGAGAAGAAACCAAAGTGTTTTTAAATGCTCTGAAACGTATTTCTGGATACCCTCTAGACTCTGTTCATTGAAAACAGTCAACTATTTTTCTAATTGAAATAGGGTTTCCTTAATTGTTTTAAAAAAGTGTTAGGTAAAAAGATGAGTAAAGAGACTGTGATAAGAGTTATGAATTTTACTCTGTATCTTAATCATGTTACTAATTAAAGTTAGGCCTTTTTACTCATCTTCTCTGTTATGTATTTTAGGAGTTTAGCTTTTAATGGTAGACACTGTTGCTTGCGAAAATGAAGTATATACACAATACCTTCTCCCCAGTCATCATCCAGGTGTGGGTATATATGTAACACAAGTCAAGCCAATGTCATTCTCTGGAACTCTGAAAGATCTAACATTTTACAATACTTGCAAGCCAACAAATGTGAGTGCGACAGTTTCATGAATGCTAGCAGAAGAGACATCAAACTGTTCTTTTCTGCATCAAAGAACAGTTATTAGTCACAGCAACAGCAGTAGCCAGAGTATCATCATTTTCTTGTGCTGGTTCCTAGTCAAGGCAAAGCTGACAGATCTGGCCAGTAAAGAGAGGACAAGACCTTTTTAAATTAACATTGCTTATTATGTAGATAGATAGCGAAAAGCAAGAAAAACAAAGGTGCCTGCTTTCCATGTAATTTATCTTACAGAATGGCACATACACAAAAGGGGGCAGATGACATGGCAATATAACATGAGTGTTGGGAGTCTGTCACTGAAGAGATGAGGCCATGCTGTAGCTAAGCAATCTTAGAGCTTTCAGCTGTTACCCTGAAGAGGTGAAGCCAACAGACTCATACATGTTCAGAAACCAGGGGGCTGTGAAAAAATACCTCATGACAATCTCCTAGGAGAATAGGAAGGCAGGTAGAAAACTTCTATTGTAATTTCTATGCACAAGTTTCCCATGATCTCATGTTCCAGAAGAATCATGGGGCATTCTGTCTAAGACCTACATCAGCCACAGTTAAGACTTGGCTGTGTAGCGCATGCAGCGATGTGCAAGGTTACAAGGGTGCCATCGTGGAGTCAATTCTCCCAGGTCCCCAAACCTCAATTTCCACAGACAATACAGTGAAACCCAGACGAATCCTGCACAGACATTAGGTTGCACTACAGAAAAGGACTGAGTTAAGGAAACCTTTTTATGGTGTGCTCCAGCAAAGATGTCCACCCTTCATATGGTTTCGATGTTTGCCCCCTCCAAATCTCATGTTGAAATGTGATTCCCGATGTTGGATGTGGGAGGTATTGGATCATGGGGCCAGATCCTTCATGAATGGTTTAGTATTATCCCCTTGGTGATGAGTGCATTCTCAGTTAGTTTACGGGAGATCTGGTTGTTTAAAAGTCTGGGGTCAAGCCCCGTTCATTCTCTTGTTCCTATTCCGACTATAGGACATACTGTCTCCTTGTCACCTTCTGCCGTGATTATAAGCTTCCTGAGGCCTCACCGTACATGCATGTGCACATGAATGAGCTTGAGAGAGAGACAGGGACTGACACAGAAAAGAGAAAGAAGATGGTATTTGCTTAAGTAAAGATAAGCCAAATACTCTGTTGCTTGCATTTGAAAGCATACCTAATCAAAACAGCTTGAAATCAGAAGGAAATGTATAGGTTGATTCCTTGATACTTCATGCTTTCACAAATCTAACTTCTTGAATGGAGCTAGGTTTCCTTTTGATGTTGTTAGTCCTAAATTAATATTACTGCCCTCCACTTAGTTGTATGACTTTAGGAAATATATATAAATTCTCACTAGGCTGTTTATACTTCCATAGCATTTGGTATAACGTTATCTCATTGGCTTAGTGATAAGATTAAACTAAAACAAACATAACTATATCTCCTGAGTCCCATATACATGATTAATAATTTTCAGTTGGGCTTATAGCAAAATGCACCTACGAATCTTCTGTGAAGATAATGGTGTTGAAAACTTCCTTTAGGACCAGGCGGGTCACGCCTGTAATCCCAGCACTTTGGGAGGCCAAGGCATGTGGATCACTTAAGGTCAGGAGTTTGAGACCAGCCTGGACAACATGGTGAAACCCCATGTCTACTAAAAATACAAAAATTAGCTGGGTGTGGTGGCACATGCCTATAATTCCAGCTAGTCAAGAGCCTAAGGCACAGAATTGCTTGAAGCTGGGAGGTGGGGGTTGCAGTGAGCTGAGATTGTACCACTGCACTCCAGCCTGGGTGACAAGTGAGACTGTGTTTCAAAAGAAAAAAACAAAACAAAACAAACAAACAAAAAAGAAATCTTCCTTTATTCAGTATCTGCTTCAAAAAAGTTGCTAATTTTTAAGCACGCGATTAAAATCAGAAGTTTAACAATTTTTGTCTATATTTTATATTCCTGAATCGTATTTTGTGATAATGTATATTATGAATTTTTTTAAAAATTGCTGAATTGTTATGGAGCCAAATAGTACAGGATTAATTTAGTTGCCTTTTATTTTAGCGGCACATGAATTTACTTAATTTGTTTACAGAGTCTCAGTGAAAATTTGATATTTTAACTTATTCACAAACTAGGTAATATTTGTTATTTTTTGTTTTATTTGTCATCTTTATTGTGTTTTTCATTCCATAGCATTATTTTAGGTAAACATATGTTTACCTGCAGGGGAAAAAAACAGGAACTGCTTTTAAGACCAGGAGAAAATTTGGCCTTTAGATGGAGTAACATGTTTTTGAAATTTTATACACGTTTAGATTCAATTTGGTAATATTTTTGTGGATTTTTGAATCTAAGTTCATTAAGATACTGCTATGAAGCTTTTCTTTTTTGTAATGTGTATCTGGCTTTGTTCAGGGCAATGCTGGCCTCATAGAATGAATTGGGAAGTATTCATTCTGTTTGTAATTTCTAAAAATGATTGTGGAGAATTGATGTAATTTCTCCCTTAAATGATTGGTAGATGTATCATAAGAACTATTAAAAGCTATAGAAATATATGAAATCATTTGTGATAAGCATATAGAAAAAGTAGAGAAAAGATTAGGTCATTGTAGCCCTGAGTGGTTGTGTTAATGAGCTATAAATAGGTTAAACGTGATTATGATAATATTATATTAATTATAATAAGATAGAAGATGCTATTATTCTAGTACACCAATCAGAAAGAACGAAATAAGAATTTTTCCACAAAGTACTGATGTGGAAATAAGAATTCTAAGTGTGAGGGAGAGAGTAAATGTTACCAGCAATTGGCCTGAGTTCTAGCCAAATGGTAACATTGTGGCTTAAAGGAATTTGAACTTAGTGATTTTATATTTTTCTTCAACTGCAGCCCTAGTTATAACAATAGTCCTATCAAGTGGTAGAAACTTAAGTCCCCATGTTTCACAGATGATAGTAAGGTGCCCGACAAGGAAAAGAGCTAAGGAGTTTGAGTTTCTTTCCCTTCAGCCCCCTGCTGCTTTCATGACACCATGACATTTCCCTGGAGAGAGAACCCCCTAGAAAGGTATCAGGTGATAGCATTTAGGAACCTTCTGCTGATTTGTGATAAGCTTATTCCAGTGACTTAGCCTTAATACTAAGCTTATCCTAGTATTAATGATTAAAAGGTTGGATGAAGCCAGGCATGCTGGCTCACGCCTATAATCCCAGCACTTTGGGAGGCCGAGACGGGTGGATAACCTGAGGTCAGGAGTTCGAGACCAGCCTGACCAACATGGAGAAACCCCGTCTCTACTAAAAATACAAAATTAGCTGGGCATGGTGGCACATGCTTGTAATCCCAGATACTCGGGGGGCTGAGGCAGGAGAATCGCTTGAACTTGGGTCACGCATGTTGCAGTGAGCCGAGATCGCGCCATTGCACTCCAGCCTGGGCAACAAGAGTGAAACTCTGTCTCAAAAAAAAAAAAAAAGTTTGGATGAATGGATAGATGGATGGGTAGAATACTATCACAAACAGGAGGCTTTCAAGACTGTCAAAGAAAGTTGAATCTGTCTATCATTTTCTGTCATTGCTATGGCCATTAAACTTGATCCTCAATATCTTAAGTTTGAGTCAGGGAGAAAGGGCAATTCCATTAAAGGCAGTTCTCTGAGATGCTATGATTCTACGGAGTATGGCTTTGGATCTCCCTGTATAAATGAGGTTGCGGCTCAGGTTGGATGGAGGTATTCCCACTTCATAAGCATGAGAACCCTGCCAGTACTTACATGAGGGTGCCTGAACATTAATTTCTCAGGTTTTGGGAAGGTGCATCACCTTCACTTCTGCAGTGCATTAATGAAGGACCATTCAGAGCTATGTAGATGGTGGTAATGGCTTTGGAACGTGATTCACTGAAAAATGAAATATGTATATATTGCATCTAAAATATATGAAAAAAAACTATTTTTTATAACCAATTTGAGCTTCTGCAAGAGCCCCCACCATATTCTTAACATATGTCAGAAAAAAATTGGGAGAGCCACTGAAAAAGGCAAAAATGATTATGTCTCAGTTTGTATACCCGCAGGTTATCTCTGCCTTTTACTTCCTTTGACCATTTTTAAGACTATAAAAGTTGTAGAGTACAGGTGGTAATGGAAATGTTTCATGTTCATGAAAATACAAATAGTAAATTAGCCATGTGTGGTGACACCTGCCTGTAGTTCCAGTTACTCAGAAAGTTGAGGCAGGAGAATCACTTGAGCCCAGGAGCTTGAGACTACAGTGATTTATGACTACATCACTGCACTCTAGCTTTGGTGGCACAGGGATATTTCATCTCAGTAAAATACATTTTAAAAAAATACAAATTGTGTCTGGTAAAGATATAATTGAATATTGTTCTGTGGATATAGACCAAAGTTTTGTAAATTCATTTCATTCCTGACAGCATGTAAATGTATATTTTAGAATTATTTGAATTGGTTGTAACACCTTACTAGTGATGTCATTAATTGATAAGTCAATACAATCTTGGAAAATGAGAAAAATATTTTTAGCAGTTAAAATCATTTAGGCCTGGTGCTTTCTTTCAAGAAGCATTGTCAGTTATTGGTTTATTTGTTTAAATAAATATAGGCTGATTTAGAGTATTTATCCTTGTGTAATTCTGACAGTTTGTATCTTTTAATATATTTATCCATTTCACCTAAGTTATCAGATTTATGGGCATAGATTTGGCCATAGTATTGCTTTATCCTTTAATATCTATGAGGCCATAATAATTACCCTTCCTTTTTTCCTGATATTGGTGATTTGTGTCTTCCATTTTTTTCTCACTTAGCCTGGCTAGAAGTTTATCAATTTTACCGATCATAGACTGGATTGTGACTTCCATTTTTATGAAATTCTCCACTTTTTAATTTTTTAAAATATTTTTTCTATTATTCCTATTGTTTGTGTCTGTTGTTTTTGATTTCATTGCTTTCTGCTGTTTCTCTTTTTCTCCTGTTTTCTCTGACCTTAAATTCTTATTTTTCTAGTTCTCTAATGTGGAAGCTTTGGTTTTTTGATTTAGCTCTTTCCTTTTTTCTTGTATACACATTTGATATGGTTTGGCTGTGTCCCCCACCAAATCTCATGTTGAATTGTAACTCCCACAATCCCCACATGTCATGGGAGGAATCCAATGGGAAGTGATTAAATCATGGGGGCAAGTCTTTCCCATGCTGTTTTCATGATAATAAGTAAGCCTCATGAGATCTAATGGTTTTAAAAAGAAGGGTTTCCCTGCACACGTTCTCACTTTTTGCCTGCCGTCATCCACTTAAGATGCGACTTACTCCTCCCTGCCTTCTGCCATGATTGTGAGGCCTCCCCAGTCATGTGGAACTGTAAGTCCCATTAAACCTCTTTCTTTTGTAAATTTCCCAGTCTCCCGAGGAGCTGGGATTACAGGCCCACACCACCATGCCAAGCTAATTTTTGTATTTTTAGTAGAGACAGGGTTTTGTTATATTGGCCAGGCTGGTCTCGAACTCCTGACCTCAGGTGATCCACCTGCCTCGGCCTCCCAAAGTGCTGGGATTGCAGGTGCGAGCCACCGCACCTGGCCAGATCTGATGGTTGTAAAAAGAGGAATTCCCCTGCACAGGTTCTCTCTTTTTGCCTTCCGCCGTCCACTCAAGATGTGATTAAGTGAGGCCATGATTGTGAAGCTGCCATGATTGTGATGCCTCCCTAGCCATAAGGAACTGTAAGTCCCATTAAACTTCTTTCTTTTGTAAATTTCCCAGTCTCAGGTATGTATTTATCAGCAGCATGAAAACGAACTAATACAACCTTCAATGTTATAAATTTCTTTCTAGGAACTGTTTCACCGTGCCTGACAAATGTTGGTCAGTTGCACCTTCATTTTCATTTAATTCCAGATATTTAAAAACAATTTGTCTTGAGACATTTTCCTTGGCCCAAGTATTATTTAGAAATGTGACTTCATTTTCTCCTCCAGCTACCACCATATTTCTTTCTTTTTCAGCAAAATTGTTGAGTCATCTCTATTTGCTTCTTCTAAGTGTCCAATTTGTATTTTCTCCCAAATTAGTCAAACTGATAAATTATCTCTGACACTTTAAGGCCTTAATATAATGAGTTCGATGAAGAAATACAAAGAAAGCAGACACAGGCTTTAAAATAACTATTTTTATATAGTTATTTTTGTTTGTTTCGAGGCAGGTTCTCACACTGTAGTCTAGGCTGGAGTGGAGTGGCACAAACATGGCTTGCTGCAGGCTTGACCTCCCAGCCTCAAGTGATCTTCCTACCTCAGCATCCCAAATAACTGAGACCACAGGCGTGAGCCACCATGCCTGTCTATTTTTTTTATTATTATTTTTTGTAGAGACAGGGTCTCACCATGTTGTGCAGGCTGGTCTCATACTGCTGGTCTCATACAGTCATGAGCCACTGCATCCGGCCTATTTTCAAAAATTAAAAAAATACTGATTTTTGGCATAAAACTCTTAACTATTTTTAAAACAAGTAAATGAAATTATACAGTTGCAAATTTATTAAAATTACAATGCTATTGGGTTGCATTAATAGCAGATTAAATACCACTGTATAAAAAACTTAGTATATTTGAAAAATGGATCTGAAGAAAAAATCCCCAATTACACATACAAAGAAAAATGGATACACTTACATATACAAAGAAAAACATGGAAAAGAGCATCAAAGACCCATTGATAAAGTGGTAAAGTCTAACTGACAAGTACTTTGAGTTCCAAATGGAGAAGAGAGAGAGAATAAAGCAGAAACCATATTCAAAGATGATAATGGCTGAAAGTTTCCAAAAAGAGAAAATACCTTTCAGTCACAGAAACTAGAACTCTAACAACCTCAAACAGGATGAATATGAAAAAACTGCACCCAGGAATGTTACGTGACATTGCTGAAAATGAAACAAAAAGACAAAAATCTGAAAGAAAGGGATCCAGTGGGTGGGGTGCTCTGGAGACACCTGCAAAGGAACATCAATAAATTGAGAATTGGCTTCTCAAAGGAAATGATGGAAACCAGAGTATTATAAAATTATATTCAGAAGGTTTAAATAAAATAACTTTGAACATAATATCAATCCTAAAGAAAGTTATTTTCAGGCAAACAAAAATGGGGAAAATTCTCATACCTGCTGTAAAAGTAAGGTAAAAGAATATTCTTCATTCATAAGGAAACATAACCTGGAAGGTAGTTTGAATATAAAGAGCCAATGAGTAGTGAAGAGTTTTTATATAGTGGTAAGTTTAATAAAATATTGACCATATAAGGCAATAATAAAAGGCTCTATGAGGTTTCCAAAATACAGGTAATTACAATGCATAATAATCACATGTAAGTCAGAAAAAAGAGTGTTTTAAAGTCTCCTAAGTTTCCTGGTTATTGGGTAAGTGGTAAAAATCACTATTTTAAGTTCAAATTTAATCGAAATTGGAGTAACCATTAAAAGAAGAGTGAAAGGTTACATAAATGAAAGCAAAGAAGATAAGGGGAAGCAATATTTAAAATAATTAAAAAGAAGCTGAGTAAAGAAAGGTAAAAGTCATAAGGCAATTTAAATACATAACAATTAAACAGTAAGATGGTATATTTAAACTCATACCAGAATATATTGAGTAAAGCAACTAAAGGAATCTCGAACATATTATTCCAGGAGACCCTCCTACTAAAGAAAAATATTCATTTAATCAAAAGATGAATGAGGACACATCAATAAAAAGATACTAAAAATTTATATATATACTATACATGTAATATGATATATGTAAACATATACTATATATGTATATATATGTAATTTTAAGACTAAGCCAAAAATGAGAACAGTAAATATGAATTATTTAGACTCTGACAAAGTGGTTATAACATCAAAAAGAGAGAGAGAGAGAGAAGAAAAAGTAAATTAAACTCCTTGGCATCACTAGAAAACAAAGAAACATTCAAAACCAAAAAATAGAAAAATCACAAACCAAACAATGGAAGCCTGTGTAAGGAAAAGTAGATTTAAGTATCAAACAGCATAATTATAAAGGTAACCATTATGACAGAAAAAGTAAACATTTCAAATACCAAAATACATTTAGCATTTTTTTCTATTATTTTGTAAAAGGATTCAAGTTACATAGTAAAAATTACATGGTAAATATAACATATAGTATTTCTTACATAAAATAGTATAAGAGCTAAAAATAAGCACGATTTTTATCAACAAATGTAAATTGGGTTAACTCATCTTTCAAAAGAAGAAAACATTTCAAAATGGCTCACAAAGCAACATACAATTCTACATTCTACATAAAAATACACCATACCAAAATATGATAAATGGATACAAATTTAAAAATGGTCAAAATATATCAGACAAGTATTGAAAATGTCATATCTAATAAGGCAAATTAACATTAAAGATAAAGTGGGATATTTTATAATGCTAATAACCACAATTCACAATGAAAATATCTAGTTTTTGATAGATGTGCACTAAAAAATCCAGCAGACGCCTTCAAAGAACAGAGACTACAGTATACTGTAGAAAGAAGAAAGATATAAAAACTTCCCAGAAACTCTCTTCAGGACTCAAAGAATTTTCCCCCAGCTGCTGGAAGTATTACCAGTTGCCAATTTCCAGCTGTTTCCTTCTCTTATATTGTCTTGGCTAAAAAGAGTTGACTCTCCCAACGACAAGCCCCCTTTTTGGTGACTATATCCACAGACCAATCAATGCGGAAGGATAACTGCCTGCCCTTCTCCATGTTACATGAAACCACGCTTTAGGGCCATCCCAGGTTTAATGCTCCCCTTAGGTTTGCTGGCTGAAGCCTTTGTGAAGACTACATCACCTCCCAATTACTTCCTGTGTATGATTCTGACTCTTTCCATTTATTCAATAGGTATTGATCCTGAGAGCACTTCTTGATAAACTGCCAGCACACTATTTTTGTTTCAGATCTAATGGATACAATATTGAATAAAGATGAAGAGCACCTAAGTAGTAATCGATAAGGAAGCTTTTTTGATATATCCACTTTTGTACTCTGATATAAGAAAATACACCTACTTTTGACATGCTCATGAAAGAGTCTTTTATTTAAAATTCAGAAGTAATTTAAAAAGTGCAATAATACATTCTGCAGTCTAAAAATAAACATAAATAAAAACTGAATTGCATTAAAGGCAATAGCCAAAAGAGGGCCTGGAACAAAATGTTTTTCATTGATATCACAGACAAAGCTTTAAAATCCTCACCACATAGCATGCTCTGAAAAGTAGAGAGAGAGAGAGAAAAAAAGAATAAACTAACAACAAAAAAGGACAAAGTGCAGTGAATGGGGAAAAATGGAAAATAATCCTCATGGAAATGAATTATGTTTAACTCAGCAACTATAAAATCAACACCTAAAACTACTTAGTGATATCAAAGTATCTCTTATCAAATTGACAAATTCCGAAAGACTGACAATACACTCTGTTGTCTGGGTTGTAGAAAACCAGGAATTTATATATGCTGTGAAGGCTTGCAAAATATTACCTCTATGCAGAGGAATTTGATTCACTTCTATGAACACAAAACAACATAATGCAGAAGTGTATGGTTGTACTATGATTCATAACAACGATTGGAGACAGTCTCACTCTGTCGCCCAGGCTGAAGTGCAGTGATGCGATCTTGGCTCACTACAACCTCCGCCTCCTGGGTTCAAGCAATTCTCCTGCCTCAGCCTTCTGAGTATCTGGGACTACAGGTGTGTGCCGCCATGCCTGGCTAATTTTTTGTATCTTAGTAGAGGCAGGGTTTCACTGTGTTGTCCAGGCTGGTCTTGAACTCCTGAGTTCATGTAATCCACCCGTCTCGGCCTCCCAAAGTGCCAGGATTACAGGCGTGAGCCACCATGCCCGGCCTCTCCTCTCCTCTCCTCTCCTCTCCTCTCCTCTCCTCTCCTCTCCTCTCCTCCCCTCCACTCCTCTCTTCTCCCCTCCCCTCCTCTCCACTCCCCTCTCCTCTCTCCTCCCCTCTCCTCTCTCCTCCCCTCTCCACTCTCCTCTCCCCTCCCCTCCCCTCTCCCCTCCCCTCCGCTCTCCTCTCCTCTCCCCTCTCCCCTCTCCTTTCCTCTCTCCTCTCTCCTCTCCTCCCCTCCCCTCCCCCTCCTTCTCTCTCCTTTCTTTCTTTTCTTTTCTTTTTTCTTTTCTTTTCTTTTTCTTTTTCTTTTCGTCTTACCCTGTCATGCAGGCTGCAGTGCAGTGATGTGATGGTGTGATCTCTCCTCATTGCAACCTCCATCTCCGAGGCTCAAGTGATTCTCCTGCCTCAGCCTCAGTAGTAACTGGGACTACAGGCATGCACCACCATGACTGGATAATTTTTATTTTATTTTATTTTATTTTCTGTAGAGACAGGGTTTTGCCATGTTGCCCAGGCTGGTCTCAAACCACTGGGTTCAAGTGAGCCACCCACTTTGGCCTCCCACAGTGCTGGAATTACAGGCATAAGCTACAGCATTTGGCCTGTAGATTTATTTCTAAGGTATATTGTGAAGTTAGAAAATTACAGAAGTATTTTTAGTTTACCACAATTGTGTAAAATAGAAGGGGCAATAAGAAAAATATGTATTCTCTCAGACAATGGTTAAGGCAGAAAATATTGAAAACGATTTACTATATGAAAGACAGGCAGAAGAGTGGGAAGGAAATATAAGTGGAAGTAATATTTCTCCAAATATGCCAATTTTATAAGGTTTTCATTTTTTAACCATGTCAGTATTTTACACACAAAAAATAAAATGTAATTCTCAAGAAAAAAAGCAAACCTAAAATTTAATAAAATAATTTAGAAATGAACCTAATTATATATGAGATAGTAAACACAACTGTGAAGAGACAAGAAGTATTTTATAATAAATTTTAACTGAGGACTCTGAGTATACACCCCTTGTGGAACATATTCTAAGGACAAAAAGAATTATCAAGGAGTCTTAAGCTACAATATTAGTATTACAATTCAAAAAATCATTTAGGAATATGATATTTTAAGAGTTAACAAAAGAGGAAAGAAACACTAAAAGTGGCTCAACAGTCAAAGACAGGTTTATTTTGGAGAATAAAACAGAGGGGTTTATAAAAAATGAAAACTGAAAATACCATTGCTGGTGAATGTGTGGAGCAACAGTAATTCTCTTTCATTGCGGGTGTGAATGAAAATAGCATAACCCCTTTGAAAGACTTTGACACATTTTTACAAAGTTAAATATACTTTTACCATGTTCTTGGTATTTACAGAATCAACTTGAAAAGTTATGTCCACACGAAAACCTGCATGCAAATGTTTACAGCAGCTTTATTCATCATCAGAAATGGATGCCACCTAGATGCCCTTCATCTGGTCAATGGAGAAACAAACTGTGGTATATCCATGAAATAAAATATTATTCAGAGATAAAACATGAGCTATCGAGCCATGAAAATAGTCTCTGAATATTAAATGCATATTGATATGAGAAAGTAATCAGTCTGAAATGCTCCACACTGTATGATTTCAAAATGAAATTCTGTAAAAGGCAAAAATAGAAGAACCTTGAGGACATTATGCTAAGTGAAATATGCTAGGCAAGCCAGTCACAGAAGGACAAATACTGCATGATTCCATTTAATAGTCAAACTAATAGAAACAAAAACTAGCATGGTGGTTGTCAGAGGCTGGATAGAGGGGGAAATGGAAAATGGCTAATGAATGTATATAAATTTCAGTTATATAACATAATTAAGTTCTAGAGATCTGATGTACAACATTGTGCCTATAGATAACAATACAATGTATTGTATAGTTAAAAATATATTAAGAGGGTAGATGTCATGTTGTCTTCTTCTAATAATATTATTAATAGAAAGAAACTTGGTGGTTGCCAGGATTTTGGGGGTGGGAAGGTAGGGTTGAGCGAGTGAAACACAAGGTATTTTTTTCATATACTTTAAGTTCTAGGGTACATGTGCACAACGTGCAGGCTTGTTACATATGTACACATGTGCCATGTTGGTGTGCTGCACCCATTAACTCGTCATTTACATTAGGTATATCTCCTAATGCTACCCCTCCTCCTTCCCCCCACCCCCTTCCTCTGTCCAAGTGCTCTCATTGTTCAATTCCCACCTATGAGTGAGAATATGCAGTGTTTGATTTTCTGTCCTTGTGATAGTTTGCTGCGAATGATGGTTTCTAGCTTCATCCATGTCCCTACAAAGGTCATGAACTCATCATTTTTTATGGCTGCATAGTATTCCATGGTATATATGTGTCATATTTTCTTAATCTAGTCTATCATTGATGGACATTTGGGTTGGTTCCAAGTCTTTGCTATTGTGAATAGTGCCACAATGAACATACGTGTGCATGTGTCTTTATAGCAGCATGATTTATAGTCCTTTGGGTATATACCCAGTAATGGGATGGCTGGGTCAAATGGTATTTCTAGTTCTAGATCCTTGAGGAATCGCCAAACTGTCTTCCACAAAGGTTGAACTAGTTTACAGTCCCACCAACAGTGTAAAAGTGTTCCTATTTCTCCACATCCTCTCCAGCACCTGTTGTTTCCTGACTTTTTAATGATCACCATTCTAACTGGTGTGAGATGGTATCTCACTGTGGTTTTGATTTGCACTTCTCTGATGGCCAGTGATGATGAGCATCTTTTCATGTGTCTGTTGGCTGCATAAATGTCTTCTTTTGAGAAATGTCTGTTCATCTCCTTCGGCCACGTTTTGATGGGATTGTTTGTTTTTTTCTTGTAAATTTGTTTGAGTTCTTTGTAGATTCTGAATATTAGCCCTTTTTCAGATGAGTAGATTGCAAAAATTTTCTCCCATTCTGTAGGTTGCCTGTTCACTCTGATGGTAGTTTATTTTGCTGTGCAGAAGCTCTTTAGTTGAATTAGATCCCATTTGTCAATTTTGGCTTTTGTTGCCATTGCTTTTGGTGTTTTAGACATGAAGTCCTTGCCCATGCCTATGTCCTGAATGGTATTGTCTAGGTTTTCTTCGAAGGTTTTATGGTTTTACGTCTAATATATGAGTCTTTAATCCATCTTGAATTAATTTTTGTATAAGGTGTAAGGAAGGGATCCAGTTTCAGCTTTCTACATATGGCTAGCCAGTTTTCCCAGCACCATTTGTTAAATAGGGAATCCTTTCCCCATTGCTTGTTTTTGTCAGGTTTGTCAAAGATCAGATGGTTGTAGATGTGTGGTATTATTTCTGAGGGCTCTGTTCTGTTCCATTGGTCTATATCTCTGTTTTGGTACCAGTACCATGCTGTTTTGGTTACTGTAGCCTTATAATATAGTTTGAAGTCAGGTAGCATGATGCCTCCAGGTTTGTTCTTTTGGCTTAGGATTGACTTGGCAATGCAGGCTCATTTTGATTCCATGTGAACTTTAAAGTAGTTTTTTCCAATTCTGTGAAGAAAGTCATTGGTAGCTTGATGGGGATGGCATTGAATCTATAAATGACCTTGGGCAGTATGGCCATTTTCACGATATTGATTATTCCTATCCATGAGCATGGAATGTTCTTCCATTTGTTTGTATTCTCTTTTATTTCGTTGTGCAGTGGTTTGTAGTTCTCCTTGAAGAGGTCCTTCACATCCCTTGTAATTTGGATTCCTAAGTATTTTATTCCCTTTGAAGCTATTGTGAATGGGAGTTCACTCATGATTTGGCTCTCTATTTGTCTGTTATTGATGTATAAGAATGCTTGTGATTTTTGCACATTGATTTTGTATCCTGAGACTTTGCTGAAGTTGCCTATCAGCTTAAGGAGATTTTGGGCTGAGATGATGGGGTTTTCTAAATATACAATCATGTCGTCTGCAAACAGGGACAATCTGACTTCCTCTTTTCCTAATTGAATACCCTTTTTTTCTTTCTCCTGCTTGATTGCCCTGACCAAAACTTCCAACACTATGTTGAATAGGAGTGGTGAGAGATGGCATCCCTGTCTACACAAGGGATTTTTTTTTAAGGCTATGAATCTATTTTGGACACATGACATTATTTGTCAAAATCCTTTGTAAAATACAGTACAAAGTGTGAATCCTAACACTTAAAATTTTGAAAAGAAAAAATTTTAAAAACATAAATATTTACAGATATGTTTATATACATGGGTTGGTATACACACATATATTTCCATCTCTGCAGTGAAGAGCACCTAAAGGCAAAGACACCCCAGTAACTTTGAGGACACCACTTCCCCAGATCTTACTTTCTAATTGTAATCTCCTCCAACAGAAACAATTAGGGCTTTTTGGATAAACGGCTGATTCTAGGACTAAGACAGGAAATATACCAGATAAGCCTGGTATATCTTGTAGTGTCACAAAATAAGGGAGTTTAAAAAACAAAACAAAACCATAATGAGGAAGTTAAAGCACCCCAGAGCCAACTGAAAGAGCTCTCAAACAATAAATATGAAAAATAAAGTACTATATTTTAACCAAAAGTAGAATGTAAATATCCATGAGTTCAAACTAATTTAAATTATTGTGTAGAAAACAAATAGAGTAGAAAAGACAAATCTCCCATGCAGAAGAAATCCAAATAACTTACATAGATAATCTGCCCTCAAGGAAGTTGCATTTAATTCCACAATCCTTAAGTGTGCTCTGCATTGTGACTTCTCTCCCCAAAGTACAGTATAGAAAGAAGGGAAAAGAATAACTTGGCAGTGAAGAAATCTGACAAACCATTACCTCAGCCACGGATCCAAGTTAACAACAGTGATACCATGATTGTATATAATCTTGATGTGATGTTCTCAAAATGATACTTAACCCATCTAATTTCTTTCCAAAAAGCCATAACTCCAGTCTAATCATAAGGAAGAACATCAGACTTTTTAATTCAAATTGAGACCATTTTAATTGAAGAACTTTCTATAAAACATTTGAATTCTGGATACAAGGAATGTCTGGGAAACTTATAGCCAAGAGGAACTTAAACAGACATGATAATTAAATGCAATATGGTATCTTGGATGAGATCTTGGGACAAGGAAAGGCACATCAAGTGTAATATAAGAAAATATGATTAAGATACACATTTTAGTGACTAAAGCCTCAATAGTGGTTAATTACAACAAATATTCATAGTGATGAAAGATATTAATTATAAAGGAAACTGAGTGTAGAGTTTATGGAGACTACTAGTACTCTGTAATATTTCTGTAAATTCAAAACTGGTATAAAAATAAAGTTTATTAAAAATATCATATATCTGTCCACCGAAAAAGTCTAAAAGCAATGATACCCTGGAATTAATTAGCACACCTAGCGCCCAGGTTTTGGTTTCAGAATGCCATTAGCCACTAAATAGAATTAAGACTCCTTGAAGAGATACTAGAATATAATCTTTTGGCACACAAAATGCATGTAAGGCTTATATCTATCTAAATCTGTATCTGTATCTGTATCTGTATCTGTATCTGTATCTGTATCCGTACCTGTACCTGTATCTGTATCTATATCTAGACTTACCTTGGTGTAGGTACTGTTTTGCAAGAAACACTCAAAGACCAATAAAATCATGTAAACTCACACAGACACACAATTAAATTCAGCTTGAAAGAGCTGGTTATATGTGGTGTGATTTTAGCATCAAAATGAATAATTTCAATGACTATAATTTAAAGTAACCATTAAGTCAATATAAGGATGTGAATTCATAATATGTAAGGAAATGGGGGAATGAGAGAGAGAAGTGGAAGGAGGAAGGGATGAAGAGGACATTCTGTGCACATTTTGCTCACTTTAATTCCTGAACTCTTTAATACACTTAAGAAACTGACTTAAAGTCAAAAGTGACCCATTTAAGTCTCATCAGCATAAATGCAACCTTTTTTATAGGTGCACATTTGTGCACACACACAGAGATTTTAGAAACGACATAAAACATAATGTAATAAATTCTGCAGGCAAATGGCATATATTAGAAATGCTTACTCAGTAATAGGCATCTGGTAATATTATTAAGAGCATTTTTTAGTCATTCGAGCGTCTATTTAATTGTATTTAGTGAGGATGAAATTGGCTAATACATGTACTTAGAAACGTGCCTAGTACTTAATATACTCATATATAATTATTATAATTTAATAGTATGAACAAAATGAAAATAGTTTGAAAATCCATACATCTACATAGAGTGATTTTTTTCCTACCTATTCTCTAGGTCAATGGTTTTTAAACTATTTTTTTCCATAAAATTTATTGTACACAATACAAACTATATTATATGTTATAGGATATTTAAAGGACATACATATGTAATTTTTCATCTAAGTAATTTTCACCTTAATTTTGAACCCGAATTCCAAGAAAGATCTGATTTTCAGTCTACAGTATTTTTTTTAAATTTTGAGTTCTGGAGTACATGTGCAGGATGTGTGGGTTTGTTACATAGGTAAACATGTGCCATGGTGGTTTCCTACACCCAGCAATCCATCACCTAGGTATTAAGCCCAGCATGCTTTAGCTATTTTTCCTAATGCTCTCCCTCCCCCAACCCCATCTACCAAAAGGCTCCTGTGTGTGTTGTTCCCCTCCCTGTGTCAATGTGTTCACATTGTTCAGTTCCCACTTGTAAGTGAGAACATGTGGTGTTTGGTTTTCTGTTCCTGAGTTAGTTTGCTGAAGATAATGGCTTCCAGCTCTGTCCGTGTCCCTACAAAGGACATGCTCTCATTCCTTTTTATCAGCCTAGAGTATTTTTAAAGAACATTTCATTATTTTCATTTTGGTACATTATATTGCACAGGAATTATTGCTCATTCTTTAGGCTTGTTCCAGCAAGATGGTGTTTGAAAAATGTAATTCTCTTTTTTGTGGTATATAACATCACTGGATACGTACAATTATATACTCAGTGAAACATTTGCAGGCTCATTTTTATAAAAACATTTGTTCGATTTTTTTTAACTCTAGAGTAGAGCCAATGTGGAAAGAATTATTTAGGTAAATCACATACCAATAAACATACTCAACTGAATATTAAATCTCTAAAATATAAACTATGAATATCTGTGTTTTAATAAACCTTCTAGTTGAGCAGAAAAATGTTTTATTAAAATAAAAAATGGTACACAGTACGATGAAACATAAAATAATATATGTAGTCATAGGCAAATCAATATCCGTTTTGCGCTACACATTTTTAGTAGTTTCATACAGTTTTTATTACTGAAATCTTTTGGAAATTCAACTCACAAATAACCTAATGGGTTTAGGTCATAAAGCATGCATGTATATTTTTGAATACATTTAAATATAATGCCAATTATGAATATTTCTCTTGTACACCATAATGAAACATATTTTGATTATATCAGAATAGTGGACATACAAAGATAAGATCCTAGAAATCCCTCAGAGAAGCTTCAGTATCAATGAAGAATATTTATAGAATAGACCTGCAATCTATATAGACAATCTATTCAATTTATATAGACAATTTATTCAGCTAAGCTATTCCAATGTGTAACAGTAACATATTCACTAAATTCCCCACTCTCCGCTTTTTTTGGCTACACAGGTAGAAGGCAGGCCTAGTGCAGCAGCAAAAACTAAATGAAATGCAATAGTGGAAGAGAAATAGGAATCCGTGTGGTTAATGGACCACTGTGATGATCACCATGAACAAAAAGTAGATGTCAGTTATTTTTATGCGTTTGCTTTGGAATTCCCAGTAGTATGGACAAAGAGAAGACAAATTCCTTTCAAATATTTCTCCTAACTTCTCAATAAGTACTTTAATTATTTGAGAGCCCTGGCACTCTAGATCAGTGATTGTCCATATTGGCTACCAATAGAATCACTTTGAAGAAATTTAAATAAGAACCATGTTCCATTAACACCCCAGATTAATTCAACAAAATCACTTGAGGTTGATCTCAAGTGTAGGTATTTTTTAAAGCTCTCCGAATGATGATATTCTGTAGACATCCTTGAGAATCACTCCAGTGTTCAAATTGATTGTGTTGTCTTTGTGTGATACTATATTGATTCCAATGTGGAACTCACTTATTCAGTTTTCAAAACATATATTTAGTGTATATTACTGAATTTAATATATCTTACCAAACATTGTTTTCAGGAAGAGTCATTCACAGAAATACACAATATTTATTACCAAATTTGTTTCACTCCTCCTGTGGTCTCTGATTCTCTCTCTGTTTCTCTCATTGAAGTTGCTTCTTCTCTAATTTTCAAGATTTTGTACCAGAAAGCCATCAGACCAATCAGTGAGATGCAGAGGAGAGAGAATTTGTCTCCAACCCAGGCACTGACATAGTAGTTTGTTTTGCTTTACATCAAACATACCCTAAAAAGGGCAAGAGAGTCAAGCAGTATGATTTCTTGAGTGGATTTCTAATGCCAGTAATTAAGAAAATATAAATTATCCCATTTATTGCTCTATGAATGCTAGAGAAAGTAAAGAATAAACTGATTTAGGATCAATAAATAGTCAAATTAATTAAAAAGAATAATTAAAACAGCATACTCTGGTTACTTCTGCAGGGGAAGTTACTACCCCAAGACTTAGCAGCTAAAAATAATAACCATTTTATGATGTCATGATTTTGTGGGTGAGGGATTTGGCTAAGTTTGGCTAGGTTATTCTGCTTCATTTGGTGTTCATGGAGAATACTGCATGGTATTCAACTGATGTATGGGCTTCTCTGGAGGGTCCAAGAAGATTCCATTTACTTCCATTCATATGTATGGCTCCTTGGTGGGTATGGCTAGAAGGCTGGGCTAAGCTGGGACTGCTGCCATTCTATCTACACATGCCTCCTCTGCATGGGAGCATCAGGGGACTCAGACATCTACTATGGAGGCTCAAGTCACCAAGAGCAAGCATTCTAGTGAACAAGGTGGAAGATTCATGACCTTATTCTCTAGTTTCAATAATCACTTCTGCTGTACTCCTGGTCAAAGTAATCACAAACCTGTGAAGGTGTTAAGAATATGCCACCCCAAAATATGCTGTGTTGGCATATTGACTATTTTGAATTAAAGGTACTTTAAAAAACAGCAGATACAAAAAAATTCACTCTAACCTTCATTCTGTTGCTTAAAAACAGGAGAAAAAAGTCTAACAGAAAAAATGGACTGCCTATAAAAGTTTTATCATCAAGGACACAAAGTTTAAGCCAAAAGAAATATGCACAAACAAACCTTGTTAAACTAGCCCCTCCCTTCCTACTCACTTCTCTACCCAGTTAACTACCCTGGCCCAAGCGCTTTGCCTTATTATCTTTCACAACTTAACTATTTTTTTACCCAATTTTATATGTAAGTACTTGACTCAAACTGCTTTTTTTTTTTAAATCTTCATTTCCTATTAGGTCTTTTGTGTCATTTAAAACTTATATTAAATAATTCTGTGCCATCTTAATCCTAGAAATGCATGATCTTTTTCACAGACTGGTTTATTTTCTTTCGGATATATACCCAGTAATGGGATTGCTAGGTCGAATGGTAACTCTGTTTTTACTTCTTTGGGAAATCTCCAAACTGCTTTCCACAGTGGCTGAACTAATTTACATAACTACCAATAGTGTATCAGCATTCCCTTTTCTTTGAAGCCTTGCCAGCATCTCTTGGTTTTTGACTTTTTGATAATAGCCATTCAGACTGGTATGAGAAGGTATCTCATTTTGGTTTTGATTTGCATCTTTCTGATGATTAGTGATGTTGATCATTTTTTTCATGTTTATTAGGTGTTTGTATGTCTTCTTGTGAAAAGTGCCTGTTCATGTCATCTCATTTGCCCACTTTTCAATGAGGCTATTTGTTTTTTGCTTATTGAATTGTTTAAGTTCCTTACAGATTGTGGATATTAATCCTTTCTTAGATGAATAGCTTGTGATGATTTTCTTTCATTCCGTGGGTTGTATGTTGACTCTGACGTTTTGTTTTGTTTTGTTTCTGGTTTTTTTTTTTTTTTTTTTTTTTTTTTTTTTGCTGTGCAGAAGCTCTTTAGTATAATTAGGCTTACTTGTTAATTTTTGTTGCAATTGATTTTGAGGATTTAGTTATAAATTATTTGCTAAGGCTGATGCCAAGAATGGTATTTCCTAGGTTTAGTTCTAGAATTTTCTAGTTTGAGATACTATATTTAAGTTTTTAATCCATCTTGAGTTAATTTTTACATATGGTGAAATGTAGAGGTCCAGTTTAATTCTTCTGTATATGGCTAGCCAGTTATCCCAGCACCATTTATTGAATACAGAGTCCTACCCCCACAGCTTACTTTTGTCAAGTTTGTCAAAAATCAGATGGTTGTAGGTGTGTGGCTTTATGTCTAGGTACTCTATTCAGTTACATTGCTCTATGTGTTTTTTGTTTGTTTGTTTGTACCAGTACCATGCTGTTTTGATTACTTTAACCTTTGAGTACAGTTTGAAGTTGGGTAATGTTATGACTCTGGCTTTATTCTTTTTGCTTATGATTGCTTTGGCTATTCAGGCTCAATTTTGTTCCATATGAATACCATTCCTATGAAATTACCAACATCATTTTTCACAGAATTAGAAAAAAACTTCAAAAATGTCATAGGAATAATGTTGAATCTGTAGATTGCTTTGGGTAGAACGGCCATTATAACAATATTGATTCTTCTAATCTTTGAACGTGCAAAGTTTTTTCATTTGTTTGTGTCATCTGTGATTCCTTTCAGTAGTATTTTGTTGTTCTCCTTGTAGAAATCTTTCACCTCCTTGTTTAGCTGTATTGTTAGGTATCTGTGTGTGTGTGTGTGTGTGTGTGTGTTGTGTGTGTGTGTATGTGTGGCTATTTTAAACGGGATTGGGTTCTTGATTTGGCTCTCAGCTACAACATTATTGATGTATATAAATGCTAATAATTTTTGTACATTAATTTTGTATCATGAAACTTTACTGCAGTTATTTATCTGTTCTAGGAGCCTTTTGGCAGAGTCTTCACAATTTTCTAGGTATAGAATCATATCATCAGAAAGGACAGATAATTTGGGGCCAGGGGCTGTGGCTCACGCCTCTAATCCCAGCACTTTGGGAGGCCGAGGCAGGCGGATCACGAGGTCAGCAGATCGAGACCATCCTGGCTAACACGGTGAAACCCCCGCCTCTACTAAAAATACAAAAAATTAGCCAGGCATGAGGGCGGGCGCCTGTAGTCCCAGCTACTCGGGAGGCTGAGGCAGGAGAATGGCGTGAACCCGCAGGCGGAGCTTTAAGTGAGCCAAGATCGCGCCACTGCACACCAGCCTGGGCGACAAAGCGAGACTCCGTCTCAAAAAAAAAAAAAAAAAAAAAGAAAGAAAGGACAGGTAATTTGACTTCATTTTCTATGTGGATGCATTTTATGTCTTTCTCTTGCCTGATTGCTTGGGCTTAGACATCCAGTACTATGTGGAATAGGAGTAGTGAGAGTGGATATCCTTGTCTTGTTCCTGTTCACAAAAGGAATGCTTCCCGCTTTTACCCTGATGTTGGCTGTGCATTTCTCATCCACGGCATTTATTATTTTGAGGTGCATTCCTTCAATGCATTTTTGAGAGTTTTTGTCATGAAAGATTGTTGGGTTTTATCAAAAGTTTTTTCTGCGTATGTTGAGATGATCATATGGTTTTCATTTTTAGTTCTGTTTATGTATTGAATCATATATATTGATTTGTGTATATTGAAACTATTCTGCATCCCAGGAATAAAGCCTACTGTATGGTATTGAATTAACTTTTTGATACACTGCTGAATTTGGTTTCCTAGTATTTAGTTGAGGATTTTTGTATCTATTTATCAGAGATACTGCCCTGTGATTTTCCTTTTTCATTGTGTCTTTGCCAAATTTTAGTATTAGGATGATGCTGACTTCATAGAATGAGTTAGGGGGGAATCCCTTCTCCTGGATTTTTAGAAGAGTTTCAGTTGACTAAGTACCAGTTCTTTGTACGTCTAGTAGAATTTTGCTGTGAACCCATTTGGTCCAGGGCTTTTTTTTTTTTGGGGGGGGGGGGGGTTGGTAGGATTTTTATTACTGATTCAATTTCAGAACTCTATTAGTCTCTTCAGAGTTTCAATTTCTTTCTCATTCAATCTTGGGAGGTTGTGTGTTTCTAGGAATATATTCATTTCCTCTAAATTTTCCAGTTTGTGTGCATAGATATGTTTATAGTAGTCTCTGAGGATCTTTTATATTTCTGTAGGATAAGTTGTAATGCCATCTTTGTCATTTCGGATTGTGTTTATTTGGATCTTCTCTTCTTCTTTCTTTGGTAATCTGATTAGTGGTCTACAGATCTTATTTATTCTTTCAAAGCACCAAGTTTTGGGTTTGCTGATCCTTTGTATGGATTTGGGGATATCAAATTCATTCAGTTCTGCTTTGATTTTAGTAATTTCTTTTCTCTTATTTTTTGGATTATTTTGTTCTTGTTTTTCTAGTTCCTCAAAGCACAATCTTAGATTGTTAATTTGAGAACTTTCTATCTTCTCGATGCAGAATTTTTTATGTCTGCTTTGATTTTGTTGTTTCCCCAAAAGTTTTCAAGAACAAGTTGTTAATTTCCATGTAATTGTGATTTTGAGATATCTTCTTGGTATTGATTCCCATTTTTATTTCCCTGTGGCCTTAATGCGTGGTTAGTATGATTTATCATTTTGGGGGGAATTTTTTGATGCTTGCTTTATGGCCAAGTATGTAGTCAGTCTTAGATTTGTTCTGTGTGCAGATGAGTAAACTCTATTTTCTGTGGTTGATTAGTAGAATATTCTATAGTGTCTATTAGATCCAATAGATTGTGTTGAATTTAATACCAGAATTTATTTGCCAGTTTTCTGCCTTGATGATCTGTCTAATTCTGTCAGTGGGGTGTTGAAGTTTTTCAGTATTATTGTGTGACTAAGTCTTTTCCTAGGTCTACAAGTACTTGTTTTATGAATATGCATGCTTCTATGTTGGATATGTTGCCACTTTGTGCCTTTTAATTGGGTCATGTAGACCATTTATATTCACAGTTAATATTGATTTGTGAGATTGTTATCCTATCATGAAGTTGTTAGTAGCTCTGTGATTTCAACTGTGTAGTTGCTTTATAGGTTTGTGGACTATGTACTTAAGTGTGTTTTTGTGGTAGCAAGTTTCATCCTTTTGTTTCCTTGTTTAGAACTCCATGAAGGACCTCTTGTGAGGATGGTCTATTAATTAGGTAATTAATCTCTTTAGCATTTGCTTGTCTGAAAAATATTGTATTTCTTCACTTATGAAATTTATTTTGGCAGGATATGAAAATCTTGGTTGAATGTTCTTCTCTTTAAGAGTGTTGAAAATAGATGCCCAGTCCCTTTTGGCTTGTAAGGTTTCTGCTGAGAGGTTTCTGTTAGCCTGATAGGGTTCCCTTTGTGAACAACTTTTTCTCTAGCTGCGTTTAAGCATTTTTTTTTTTTTTTTTTTTTTTTTGCATTGGTCTTGGATAGTCTGGTGACTATATGCCTTGGTGATGTTCATTTTGTGTAGTATCTTGCAAGTGTTGTCTGGATTTTTTTATATCTTTATGTTTACCTCTTTAGTAAGATTAAGGAAATTTTCTTGAAATATCCCCTTAAATATGTTTTCTGGGTTGTTTACATTTGGCCTCTCTTAGGAATGCCAATAATTTGTAAGTTAGGCCACTTTACATAATCCCACATTTCTTAGACTTTATTCATTTCGTAATTTTTTTTTATTTTTGTCTGACTGGATTAACTCAAAAGGGCAGTCTTCAATTTCTGAAATTTTTTCTTCTACTTTATCGAAAGCTTTCCATTTTATTTTGAAATTTCTTACATGATTTTTTTTAATTCCAGAAGCTCTGATTAATTCTGTTTAAGATATTTATCCTTTCTTCATTTCCTGGATTACTTTAGAAGTTTCCTTGTGTTGATTTTCAAGCTTGTCTTGAGACTCTAGCTTTTAAAATCCTTGCTTTTAATTCTTTA
Source organism: Homo sapiens (assembly GCF_000001405.40). Lineage (NCBI taxonomy): Eukaryota > Metazoa > Chordata > Mammalia > Primates > Hominidae > Homo > Homo sapiens. Next base: position 12,090,575 of record NC_000009.12, read on the forward strand.
TGTCATTTCTGAGTTTCCATTTTTGTTAGGGCTCATTGTTAGAAAGGTGCTAGGATCCTTTGGTGGTGTGACAACATTCAGATTTTTTTACAATGCCAGAATTCTTAATGCTGATTTATTCTTGTCTGGACAGCCTGCCACTTTTAATCTTTTAACTATTTTCACATGGCAAGATATTTTTCTTTTTGTCTATATTTTTTCTTTCCCTGTCTTCCCCTCCCCAAATGGTGTGACTGTAGAGTAAGTTGAGTAGGGTCTTCTGGTTTTGCTTCTATAGCTCTATGTACTTCTGTTAGCGGGTTTTACATTGGGCTGTACCATTTGACCTACAGACCACTACATGTTACTTACGGTTAAGAGCCAGCTGTGGCACAGGCAAATGTGGATGTATCTGATCTTTGTTTACTCTGGAGTGCTCTCTGTTTCAAGTGATGGGCTAGCTGGACAGTGGAGTCCCCAGTCTCCTGAGTTTTCTGTGCCATGGCAGTGGGGGTCACAGCTGGGCAGAGCTGGAGCCCCTGGCTTCCCCATGAGGGATGTATGTTGACTGCAGGCACCAACCCTGATGAAGGTGGCTGGGAGGGGCTCCTGGAGAAATGTGCTGATGTCTCTTCCTACTGGAAATGATGAAGCTGTGGCATCTCCTCATCTTAGATAGGCAGTAATGTGCACTGTTACTCTATAACCCCCATATTTCGGGGGCTCATGACTTCTAGTTCAGATGAACACTGTAGTCTGTCTCTGAACCGTAATGTGGCTGATAGCCTCAGGAAATGCCTGTTTTGTGACTCTCCATGGGAGTGGTTTCGGGGTACAACTTCTTCATATTATGATAGCTTTATGGCTCATCTGTTCTCTGATGTGGTAGCACTGCAATTTCATGTAAAGGTGAGGGCTCCACCTTTGGACCCATGCTGGTGGGTGTTTGTTGTGGTGGTATAGGCCACTTGGATTAGCCCAACCTCAGGCCCTGGGGAAGTGGTCAGGTGCTAGCAGAGTTGGAATACAATAGATAGTTTCCCAGTTCCCTTGTCCTAGATGGCCAACTGAACATCATGTATGAGTCCTAATGGGGCTAATCTGGGGTTGGGCTAGCCCAAGGATCAAGTTCTGGTCGTAACTGGGGAGGGGCTGGCTAGTTCTCAGGTCATGGGCTGAACTCTCAGGCAGGGGCAGACAGAATACTTGGGCAGTGGGAGCCCAAGGAAAGTTCATAATCCACTGGAGGTAGGGTTTTCAGTAGGACTCTGGGCCACAGCTGAAATGCTAAGTCAGGTGTGTGCAGTCATGCTGTGTGCCCAAGCTGGTGTACCCTGTTTGGAGTGGAGCAGCACGGGCAAATTTTCCATGGTAAAAGTTCTGGTTGCCTCTCAGTGCAGCAGCAGCAGCATGCTGGAAATGCAGGAAAGCACTCAACTCCTTTGATCCCTCTGTAGCCTGAGGGAACCAGCAATTGCAGAGGGACTATCACATACCTCTGGGAGTTTCCTCCCAGAGAAATGCGGAGCTATGACTCTCCACCCTGACGGCAGGGTGGCTGTGCTAGGGACCAAAGCTGGTGAGTCCTGCCTGGTGAGAAGTGAGGGTGCGATCTGCAGTTAATTTACTCCTCAGCACTGCGTCTGTGGCATCTGTACTAGGAGTAAGTGAAAGAGCCTTTCCTCCCTTGTTGACAGGGCTATGGCAGCTGGCACTGAAGTGCTCAGGGATCCAAGACCTGTGGGACCCTATATGGGCTTGAGCAGTGCCTCTGCACAGACTCCAGGTGGCTCTCTGTGTTGCTCTGGAGGCTCATGGTGGGTGAGAGAGTCTGTCCTGTGCCCAGGATTACTAAAGTCCATGGCGGAAGTGTGGATCTTCTAGGGGCTCTCACTCACTCACCCTTTCCTTACATTAGGGAGATTCCTCCAGCTCCCCTGGTCCCAGGTGGGTGGCTGTGCAGCTTTACTCTTCTTTGTTCTCCATGAGTCCTGTTGCTTTCTTGGTGAATTACAACGGGATCTCTTAGGTGATCTGCCTGAATTGCTGGTATTCGCTCACCACTTTGTTTCCTTTTTGTGAAAGCAGCACACATTAGCTGCTTCTAGTCAGCCATCTTGAACTTAGTTATATTATTCTAACATGCAAAATATACTCATGCCTCCCAATACCTCTCAAAATTCTCATCTCATAGTAAAAGTCTGGGTCAGAGTATGGATGTCTTTAAGCCAAGTCAATTCTAAGTACAAATTAGGCTCTTCAAGTATGGTTTCTTAGGTACGATTCATCTGGATTCTAGGACCTATAAACTAAGAGTGAGTTAATTGCCTTTCATACATCCAATATTCGATGGTGAGAAAGGTATAGAAGTACCACTTTAGATCTCTTTATTGTAAAAGGGGAAATAGAAGAGGCTTATACCAATCACTGGTCCAGAGCTGTTCTGAAATCTAGCTAGATGTGTATTGCCAGTTTCTTTAATAGGACCTTTTTCTGTTCCCTGGGCATGTTTGTTCAGAGTCTTTAGCACTGCCTTCTGGGCTTTTGGTTTTAATATTTGAGCCACAATTTCTCTTTCATTAAAAACAGCTCATATTTGCCATAGTTCTCTCACCCTACTTTTTTCCTCTAAAATTTTTGGAGAACAACAGTCTATTATTTTTAAACATTTTTTTCCCTTTGGGTCCAACATGGCGTAATTTCTTTGTGATTTTCTTAGTTTTGGTTTAAAATTCACTCCATTAAACAAAAGACACACCCACAAATACCTTCTAGACAAGCTCTTATCTACCTTGCTGAGGAGCAGCATCCTTAAGATACTTAGAAACCTCTTTGTATTTAACAGAGAAACTGGGGAGCACACTTAAGATATTTTTAAAGGTTTGTGGTTGTTTTCTTTCTGAAATGTTTTATGAGAATGGGGAACTTTCTAAATTCTTTCTGAGGGTTTAGCAAAGGATTTCAAAGTGATATAATGGCTATATCTTTTCCTGTTAATGTGATTTACTGAAAGAGCCCTGGTTTTGTCCTTTGCTCCCACCCCTTTTTAAAAGTCAGTTTTGATGACATAAAATATACATACAATACATTTTAATGAATATGGTCATATAACCAGTACCCCAAACAAGATATATAATATTTCTGAATATTTCCCCATCCTAGAAACATTTCTTCTTCTTTGCAGATATTCCCTATTACTGACTGAGTTGTTCCCTCGAAATTAGTATGTTGAAACAATGCAACTGTATTTAGAAGTAGGGGCTTTAGAGAGCTAATGAACTTTAAATGAGATCAGCATGGTGATCTCATTTAAAGTTTGGATCAGCAAGGTGATCTCATTTAAATAAAAAGAGGAAGAGATTCTAGAGATCGTTCTCTCTCTATGGGTGCACAGAGGATAGGTCATGTGAAGACTCAATGAAAAGGTGGCCATCTACACACCAGGAAGAGGGATTTCACCAGAAACCAAACCTGATGACACCTTTATCTTAGAATTCTAGTCTCGACAATAAGAAAACAAATTTCTGTTGTTTAAGATACTCAGTATGTGCTATTCTATTGTGGCAGCCCAAGCAAACTAATACAATCTCCCTCTCTCACTATCAATTTCTACCTTCAGTTTTTGTCATGAGAACCTAATGATGACTCATGTAGAAGCATTTCTGAGTTATTGTGGACTCTCCTTGACTCTGAGTTTCACAGGGATCCTAAGCTAACCTGTTAGACCACATTTCTCTTCAAGAATTCATTAAAATTTTGCTATTTTTTTCTTACCTGTTTTTACAGTAGATATTACATCTTCCCAAGCTCTGCTAATGGTAAAACTATCAGGAAAAGCAATATATTATCTCTCCTCAGAGAAGTTTGTTATCATTTAGAATTCAGTTCACTTGGTGACCTTTCTGTTTTCAGCTCTCCGAGTTCAGGAAAAGTTATAAATGTCTATTATTCAGCTTTATCCTATTATAGAAATGGCATTATGTTGTAGCTTCTACATCTAACTGAAAGCAATACCCCTTTGCTCCTTTAAAAACTCCTTACCAGCTTGAAAAACTGCTCTGAGACCTCTATATTTTCTCTAAATTCCCACATGAGAATATTGAGAAGTTGCTTGATATACTTCTCCCTTATATTTTATCACAGGCATTCAGAAGAAGAAAGGTAACACCTTCCATATTCTTCATAGAAATTTCTACCCTCATCAGTTCATGTTGTACTTGTTTTATTTTTAACCTTACTGCAGCAAACAATTTTGCCAAACTTTCTTTCTCTTCAGAAATCACATTTTTCCTTATTTTTCACCTTAAACTTTTACTCACAGCTTCCTTGAGGCCAGATTGAGCCTGCTGCTCAATCCCAAAACCAAAGTGACTCATTTTAGTTTTTTGTTAAAGCAGAACCAGATTCCAGTGCTAAACTCTGTTTTAGTTGTCTATTGTTGCATGGCAAAATATTTCCAAACTCAATAACTTCAAACAATAATCATTTTTAATATCTCTCAAAATCTGTGGGTCAGGATTTCTAGCAGGTTTTTTGGCTGTTGAATGTCCCGCTCCATGGAGTATCAATGAAGGTCACTCAGCAGTGGGGTTGGTCTGGAGCATTCCAGTGAGCTTGTCTCCCAGGTATAACACCTTGAGGTTTATGAGTAGAAGGATTGGCTCATCTGGAAACAAGCATCAGATCACTTAGCCATGGCCCCTATATATAGCAGCTTCAGAGTAGCTGTAACTCTAAAATGGAGAGCTCAGGACTCCACGGGCCAGTGTTCGAACAAACATGGTGAAAGTTGCATGACATTTTAAGATATGACGTAAAAATTGCATAGTGTCTATTAGTAAAAGCAATCTGAAGCTCATCCACATTTAAGGGAATGGGACTTTAATGTTTTTTTATGGGAGAATTATAAAAAAAATAGTGGCCATGTTTAAAACACACACACACACACACACACACATATACATAAAGGGAAAAATTGTATTGCCCTCTCCCCAGAATTATTAGTAATGTATCCACACCTAGCTAATTTATTTGTTTATGTAGATATGTGAATTTAGGAAAACCTATATTGTAAGGCACACTATTGCTTTGTGGAATAGCACTTCACACAGACACCAGTTATATCTTATCCTCCCCCATCTCAGTGTATGGAACTGCCTTAGAGAGTCTCATATTTGCCAGGTTATAAGCATCAGCATGGGGTACTTCCTGAGAATACATTATTTACTGAAATTGAATTTTCAGAAAAACATCTAGGAAAAATGCCATTTTCTTTTCTTAAAAAGTATTTTTTTCTTTTGGTGACACATGAGTATAATTTAAAAAGTAAAATAGTACTAAAATATTATAAAATACAGTAGCTACACAGTACCTCCTCCTTCTTTTGAGTATTATACTCAAGAGATAAACACTGTGCAATATAATTTTTAAAAATGCTATCTTGACCTAGTTTTGAGGCACTGGCTAGAAGCTCATAAATTCTCCTTCTTGTGCAGCCAATTAAGTACACATTCCCAACCACCTTTCTTATCTGGCTGTCACACCCTGAGCCACTGTACTTCTGCCCTAAAAGCCCCAGGGTTAGCTACCAGATAACCAGGGGCAGCCTCTGTGCCCCGAAACCCACTAAAATTATTTAAATTAGCTAATCTGACACCTGCTTGCCCTGCTTTGCCCTCTCCTTCCCACAGAAATTACAATGAAGGCGCTAGCCCACAGTTGCCTCCCACTCCGCAACCCCCATGACCAACCCAGTGCTTCTCGAGTGACCCTGCATCCTGTGCTGTGTTCTCTCAAGGGGAACTGTGAGTGTAACAACACTGCTAAATTCTTTCTGATTTACCTCCCTTGATCTGAGTCTGGCTTCACCATACCTCACCCAAGGTAATATTGTTAAAACATACTCCCTTTAAACACTTTTTTATCCTGCTTCTAATATTTATTTTCATATTTCTCAAAAATATGTTTATGCTGCTTTCATCTGATTATTCTTCTTTATAATTATATATTTTCTTTCATTGTGGAAGTTGAAAATTTAGACTTAGACACACTTTCTGCTTTCCCTCTCTCCAGCCTCCCAGTATAGTTACATACATTTTTTCATTAATTCACTATTTAGCATTTATCACACATGTATAAATAATTTTAGTTGCTCAGTAAAGGACTAGAATATTATCGCATATACTTTTTTTTAAAATGATTTTTTTTCTTTCCCTTCAGTTTATTTACTTACTTCATTTTCAAGGTACTTATAACCTATTATTCCCAAATGTTCCAACAACAAATCTAAAAAACAAACAAACAAAACTTTTGAATACTCTTTTGCTCATGGGTATGTATGAGTTCTTTAAATTTGAGAAATTTACTTTGTTCTCTCTTATGTAGATTTCATATTTTCTCTTTCTTAGCCACTTCTCCTGTTCCAGTGGTTCGTATTCTCCTATACCTGTTTCAGAAGAAAAATGTATGGGACATTAAATTTTAGACTTTCAATCACTGAAAAGCTCTTCATTTTACTCTAAAACTTGTCTGACATTTTTCTGGGTCTAGAAGTCTAGAATGACAAGAAGTTTTTGTCAAAAAATTTAAAGTGTATATTTTTTATGTTCAGCTAAATATAAATATTTCAAATTATATTTTGGCATGACATTATTGTGTTAATATTTTCAAAATGTATAATAAAACATACACACACTCACACATACACATATATAGAGAGAAAGAGAAAGTGAGTGTCAAAAAAGAAAAGAACATTACTAAAATGAGCAATAATAAGCAGTACAAATAATAGCAAATATGTATTTGCTAATAACACATGCAAAGATGTATGTGCACACACTCAAAATCTCTAATTTATATATATTTGCTAGTAACACATGCAAAGCTGTATGCACACACTCTCAAAAATCTCTGATTTTGTGAGAGTAAATCTCACCCAAGAATTGTCTTACTGAAATATTCTGTGAACCTGTCAGTAGCTATTCCATTTCATTCCACAACATAACAAAAAGAGCAAAAGGAGAGAAGAAATATCACTTAACAATCAATAAAACATAAACTCTCTGTCTCCAGCATAAGCAGTAAGAGCTCTACAATAATCGCTCTTTCTGTGTGACATAGGAGGCAGTTCAAAGGAGATTGGTCAGTAATACTTATTTATCTTGTGGATCACACTGACATTGTAAATTCTTAAAATTAACTTTTGATGTGCTAATGATTAATTGATAAAGAGTCTACAATAAGCTTAATGTCTTAATATGTACAATTTTATTTCAGTGGATGACTCAATTAAATATTTGCAGATTGGAGAATTTTTAAACAGGTGACTTGGAACTGACAAAAGTATACCATCCACTTTCTGTATTCCTTTAGCAATTTGCTTGTGATTCCTAAAGAATGCACCATCTTTCATTGTAACGATTTGTATAACTGCAGGTCTGCTACCACGTACTGGGAACAATTTGCAGACAGAGATCTTTGTATAACTGGTTTGACTTTACTTCCAGAAATGCATAGTCCCTGGCATAAAAATATGCTTAGTACATGCTAGATGAATAAGAAAATGAATGAACATACTCTATTTTTGGGTGGATTTTACTTCCTTCCCAAATATTTTTTTCCTAGTATCTAAAATATGAATTCGAATGAGATCCTTGTTCAATAGTTGGATATCTATTGTAAGTGACAAAACCTCAATTCAAATAAATAAAGCAAGAGCCATCTCAAAAAGAAAAAAAAAAGATAAAACCAAGGACATAAAGACACTTTTTGTCACCTTATCTCTCTGGATGTGGGTTTCATTTTTCATATAGGCTATTGTCAAGATTCTAACTCACTACTACATTGTTACAAGCAGTTCTGAATTACATCTTTTCAATCAAAGCAAGAAGAAAACTTTTTTGTCATTACCAGTAAGAAAAGAAATAAAATAGTGAGAAATTTCTCTGATTGGTCTAGCTTTGTGAGTGAGCTTAGGCTGGGATCAAGAGTTCTTTCCAGAGTAATCTTTGGCCCATCCCAGGTCATATGTTTAGAGTTTGTTCAAAGAGGCTAATGATGAACAAAAACACACAGACATGGCCAGGAAGGAATGGCTAGGTACAGAGTCATTTTAAATTTTCTTTATTCTGTCTGATAACCTTTACATTCAAAGACTTCAAGGTCACAGATAAACTAAGAAGAAAACATGAGAGAAAAATTATGAGTGTTTTTCTTCACTTTTTTTTTTTTTTTTTACAACAACTCAGATTTAAACAAGTAAAGTAACTAACACGGTTGGCAGTAGGACTGAAGCTGTCAATAGTGAAAATAGTCATGGTCATCACTCAAATAAAAAATTACATGCTCAATGGAGAAATTACTAGAAATTGAATATTTCAGCAACACAAGATGCTGAAAATGTATCTCTCTCTTTATGTTTTCTTTTCCACATACGAAATGAGACTCGTTGGTGATTTGAAAACCTGTGGAAACAAAAAGTAAGCAGCTAAAATTTAAGAGTTTTGGAAAGGTCATCATTGGGATTTGGAAATTAAGGGTGATGAATACTAAGATATTGCTAGTGTAGGCACAGTTCACCAGTTCATGTAATCTTCCCATTCCCCAGGTTCCTGCCTGATAATGGAAATAATTATATACAGCCCACAAGTAGTGGCAGGGATGAGGAGGAACAGAACTGGCATTTAGTATCAGCTTCTAAGTTAAATTTCATGAATACTTGAATATAGTTTATTCTCATAACTACCTGGATATAGTAATATCCCATTCAAGAAGTGAGAAAACTTTTTCAAAGAAACTGTATCTTATTAAAAGGTCACACAGTAATTTGCAAAGACAGAACGTAAATGCTGCCATGTACACTTTTGAGAAAAGATATTTTAAAAACCACCTAGGTATATATAGAAGAGGACACCGTACCTTATTAACAATCTTGAACACAGGAAGAGAAATTTTGAATGGATATGTTCCTGAAACATACTGTTGTCAAATGCATGCCTCTTTATTTATAAGAGTAATATAATAAATTTAAAGCCAACACTGGAAGTAAATGCATGATTTTTTTGCAAATTTCACATAAGCATGATTACTGGAAAAACACTAGAGTGATAATGAGAAAATGTTTTCCAATGATAACTTCTTTGTCATCTTTACTGTTTACAAAATAAGAAAGCACATTTGTAAACAAATCTGTAAACAATTCAGTGAACAATTAACATAATTGTTTATCAGTCATATTTTGAAATTTTGAAGTAAACACTGATATTATTAGCTTGTTTTTATCTTCCAATAAGATAACCCTCCATGTTTTATCTAGGCACATGATTACCAATTTTCAGACTTTAATTCCTAGCTTGTCTTGCAGAAAAATACGGTCATTGTCATAGACACAACCTGTGGAATGTGCTAGAGGATATGTGTGTTCCTTTTAGGGAAACTTATCCTGAATTTCTTTCTTAATCTTTCCTGGGAGATGGAAGGTAGAGAAGGCAGTGGCTCACCTTCAATCCTTGGATGAGGACAATACCCTAGAAAATGGCATTGTAAGAAGAATAATATAACTATGTTATGATAACCTGGGTCCCTGACAATCTTTGTTGAAGAGAACTTCCCTGACAGCTCAAACTGCTCAAAAACAACCACCTGCTATATGAAAGAAAAATAAATAATCTGTGTAAATGACAGTTCCAGCAACTTTACCTGGCACCTCACTAATAAAATATCAATCATATTTTATTTTCTATTTCTTCTATTCCCCACTTGGCCCTCTTTCCACCACTTTTCTGGCAGCATATAAGTCATTCTCTGCTGACACCTAAGAAAAAAGATGTGCAAACTCAAATCAGGGAAAAGTAAATTTCTTCAGACTTTTACAAAGGCACCCTAGGAAGTTTATGAGAATAAGAATAGCTAACATTTGTATACTTATTATGTGCCAAACAAGATTCTGGTTATATTTGGACATATCAAATTCTGTGAGGTAGATGCTATAATCATTTCTATTTGTCAAGTAAGAAAGCAAGTTGCAGAGTAGTAAAATAACAAGTGCAAAGCTAGTAAGTGGGTATGTAGGTATTCAAGCCAGTCTGACTTTACAGTCTACGCTTTAGCTCATTCCTAAAAAAGAAATCTGAGTTTTAGGCAATAGACATGGGAGAATTCAGGTAAGAAACTAAAAATTCCTTCCCATGAGACTGGAAAAGAATTATTTTTATTGTAGAGAGTAATGAAATCTCAGACTTTAGTGGATCTGTAGAAACATTTCTGCTCAGTCTGTCATTCCACAGGCTTGTACATGTTAGCAAGGTGTGAGAACATCAGAATTATACTAAATTGTAGTATTGGTGAGAGAGCTTTAAAACATGGCAGAGTATCTAAGAATTAGTAGAACAGAGAAGGAGCACCCCAAACCCTGGACATGTAGGGGATTTTGGAATGAAATTGAGGGATGACTAGCAGTATCTACATAAACCAACAGAGGACTAAAAAAAGCCCCAATCCTCAATAGTTGTTAGCCTATATTATAGGATCCCCCCAAAATACTTATGAGTATTCTTTTCAACCAAGTTACTAACCATGCATGAGTTCCTAGAACTTAGACACAATCTTATAAAAAGGGAAAATATAAATAAAATGACAGACATAATGTTTCTAACAATCTTACAAGATAGGAATTAAAGGGAAATAATTTGAGTTTATAAAATGCGATTACTACTCACTACAGAAAACTTCCAATCATTTATATTTGTAATGGGCTTTAAAAGTTATAAACATCTTTCATACAAATTATGTAAATAAATATAAACAATAGGCTAATTTAACTGGGGGAAACTGAAACTCAAATTTGCCCAGGGTCTGATGGCTTGTATTACAAGAACTATGCTATGTTAGTCCATTTTCATATTACAAAACCAATCACACCTTCCCAACAGTCTCCCAAAGTCTTAACTGATTTTAGCATTAACTCAAAAGTCCGAATCCAAAGTCCCATCTGAGACAAGACAAGTCCCTGCCAACTATGAACCTGTAAAATCAAAAACAAGTTAGTTACTTCCAAGATATAATGGAGATACAGGCACTGGGCAAATGTTTCTGCTCAACATGGGAGTAACTGGCCAAGACAAGGGGGCTACAAGCCCATGCAAGCCTGAAAGCCAGGCAGAAAGTCATTAAATCTTAAAGCTCCAAAATCTCTTTTGATGCCCTGGGCTCAAATCCAAGGCATGCTGATGCAAGGGGTGGGCTCCCACAGCCTTGGGAAGCAGTGCCCCTGTGGCTCCACTGGGTACAGGCCCTGCAGCTGCTTTCTCAGGCTGGAATTAAGTACCTGCAGCTTTTCCAGGCACATGATGCAAGCTGTCAGTGGATCTGCCTTTCTGATGGTGGCCCTATTCTCACAGGTCCACTAGGCAGTGTCTCAATGGGGACTCTGTGTGGGGCCTCAAATCCCACATTTCCCTTCCACATTGCCCTAGTAGAAGTTCTTCATGAGGGCTCCATCCCTGCAGCAGACTTATGCCTGGACATCCAGGTATTTCCATACATTCTTTGAAATCTAGGCAGAGGCTCCCCAGCCTCAACTCTGGTATTCTATGCACCCATAGGTCCAACATCACATGGAAGCCACCAAGGCTTGGGACTTGCACCCAATGAAACAAGAGCATGAGCTGTACATTGGTACCTTTTAGACAGGGCTGGAGCTGGGGTGGCTGGGATGCAGGGCATGAAACCCCAGAGCTGCAGAGACTAGCAGGGCTCTGGGTCAAGCTCATGAAAATATTTTTCCCCTCCTACGCCTCTGAGTCTGTGATGGGAAGGGCTGCCTTGAAGATCTCTAACATGCCCTGGAGACATTTTTCCCCATTTTCTTGGCTATTAGCATTCAGCTCTTGGTTATTTATGCAAATTTCTGCAGGATTGAATTTCTGCCCAGAAAATGTTCTTTTTTTTTTTTTTCTATCACATGGTCAGACTGAAAATTTTCCAAACCTTTATGCTCTGCTTTCCTTGTAAACATAAGTTCAAATTCCAAACCAACACTTTCTAAATGCACATAACTGAATGCTTTGAGAAGAAGCCAGGTCTCACCTTCAGTGCTTTGCTGCCTAGAAATTTCTGCTGGCAGATACCCTAAATCATCTCCCTCAAGTTAAAAGTGCCGCAGATCTCTAGGAAAGGGGAAAAATGCCACCAGTCTCTTTGCAAAAGCATAGCAAGAGTGACCTTTGCTCCAGTTTCCAATAACTTTCTCATCTCCATCTAGACTACCTCAGTCTAGACTTCATTGTCCATATCACTATCAGCATTTTAATTAAAACCATTCAATAACTCTCTAGGAAGTTCCAAACTTTCCTAAATCTTTCTGTCTTCTTTTGCACCCTCTAAGCTGTTCAAACCTCCGCCTGTTACTCAGTTCCAAAGTCACTTCCACATTTTCAGGTATCTTTATAGAAGTACCCCACTATCCCAGCACCAATTGTCTGTATTAGTTCATTTACACACTGCTACAAAGACAATAAGTGAGACTTGGTAATTTACAAAGGAAAGAATTTTAATTAACTCACAGCTCCATATCCCTGGAATGGCCTCAGGAAACTTACAATAGTGGCAGAAGCCAAAGGGGAAGTAGTCTCCTTCTTCACAAGATGTCAGGAGAGAGGGAGAGCAAGCAAAGTGGAAATGATATTTTTAAATCATCAGATCTCATGAGAACTCACTATCATGAGTACATCATGGGGGAACCCACTTCCATTCACCTCCCACCAGATCCCTCCCTTGACTAATGGAGATTACAATTGGAGATGAGATTTGGGTGGGGACACAGAGCAAATCATATCATATGCCAAGAATCTAAATGTTCTAATTTTAAGGTTACTATACAAGTTAAACAAATATTAAACATTAGGACACACACCTAAGGAATGATTTGAAGTCTTTCATTTCTTAGATATTTTTAATTTATAAGTTTCATCTATCATTAATAATTTAATATAGTACTACATACTATCACAAAAATAGAATTTTTTGATCCCCTTTAAATATCTTGCAAATTATCATGCTAAAACAAGAATGGTGAAGAAAAAATGTTGTACAAAAATTCTGTGTCTGATTCAAATAGAGCTTTTAAATGCCATTAATCTTGGCTGTTATGTTTTGCTTTCTGTTTTTCTTATAATATGCCACATTTGCATATTGTACCTTTTAATATGTTATTTTTATTTTAGTTTTTACTCTCTGCAAAATTATTTCCAAAATTATAATGCAAAGAAAAAAATTGGTGGATAGGAGTCAGGACTAACTTGTAGCTCCCACTCGAATGAACAGAGCAATGTGTGGAGACTCACATTGTTAAATTTTGCTCCAAGAACTACCACAGGAACATAACAAGAAAGCCGAGACAATCCACAGACCCTTTGAAGGAGGTGGATTGCAGATGTAGACTCTGTGGAACAGCTGACGAAGTGCGACTCTGCTTGCTTTCTCATCGGGTGGCTTATAGCCTGGAGCTAGATCTCAGCTCTGCTCACCAGCTGCCTGGAAATATACTTGGTACTGTTGTGGGGGCGCAGTGAGAGTGAGACTGATCTTTTGGGCTGCGAGCTGCATGAGAGCTAGGTGAGGCCTGTGGCTGCCAGCTTTCCCCCATTTTTCTTGCAACCTGTGTGACACAGCAGAGGCAGCCATAATCTCCCTGGGAACATAACTCTATTGGCCTTGGAGACACACCTCCAACCCCATAGCAGCTGCAACAAGCCCTGCCCAAGGAGAGTCTGAGCTCACACATGCCTATACCTGCACCCACCTGATGGTCTTACTCTACCTGCCCTGGTAGCTGAAGACAAAGGACATAATCTCTTGGGAGCTCTATGACCCCACCCACTGCTTGATCCAGGGGCAAGCTTGTATCCTTCCTATACTACTGCAGCTGATGCAGTCTTGAAAGCACAACCTCCTGGCTGGAGTCCAACCAACACAAAACCAGCACACTTAACACAAATACAACCAAGGACCCTCACAGAGTTCACTTCACTCCCCTGCTATCTTCACTGGAGCAGTTGCTGATATCTATGGCTGAGAGACCTGAAGACAGATCACGTTACAGGACTCTTTGCAGACACTCCGCAGTGCCATCCCAGAGCCTGGTAGCTACATTGGGTGGCTAGATCCAGAAGAGAAATAACGATCACTTCAGTTTGGCTCTCAAGAAACCCTATCCCTAGGGAAAAGGGAAGAGCAACAAATCAAGGGAGCACCTTGTGGGACAAAAGAATCTAAACAGGAGGCCTTGAGTCCCAGATCTTTCCTCTGACATAGCCTACCCAAATGGGAAGGAACCAGAAAAACAATTCTGGCAATATGACAAAACAAGTTTTTTTAACATCTCCAAGAGATAACATTAGCTCACCAGCAATGGATTCAAAAAAAGATAAAAATCCCTGAATTGGCAGAAAAAGAATTCAGAAGGTCGATTATTAAGCTACTCAAGAAGGCACCAGAGAAAGGTGACTTCCAACTTAAAGAAATAAAAAAAAAGGTACAGAACACAAATAGAAAAAATCTCCAGTGAAATCGACAGCATAAATAAAAAGAAATAACAACTTCTGGAAATGAAGGACACACTGAGGAAAATGCAAAACGCACTGGAAAATCTCAGCAATAGAATCAAACAAGTAGAAGAAAGAACTTCAGAGCTCCATGACAAGACTTTCAAATTAACACAATCCAACAAAGACAAAGAAAGAAGAAAAAAAAAAAAAAAAACAAAACAAAAAATGAACAACGCTCCAGGAAGTTTTGGACTATGTTAAGTGTTCAAACCTAAGAATAATGTGTATTCCTGAAGGAAAAAGAGAGGTTTGAAAGTTTGGAAAATATATTTGAGAAAATAATTGAGGAAAACAAGACTAGCCTTGCTAGAAATCTAGACATCCATTTACAAGAAGCCCAAAGAACATCTGGGAAATTTATTGCAAAAAGATCATCACCTAGGCACATAGTCTTGAGGTTATTTAAAGTCAAGATGAAGAAAGGAATCTTAAGAGCTCTGAGGAAAAAGTATCAGGTTACCTATAAAGGAAAACCTATCAGATTAATGGCAGATTTCTCCACAGACACCCTAAAGCTAGAAGGGACAGGGGTCCCATCTTTAGTCTCTTTAAACAAAACAATTATTAGCCAAGAATTTTGTATCCAGTGAAACAAAGCTTCATAAATGAAGGCAAGATACAGACTTTTGGCCAGGCACGGTAGCTCACGCCTGTAATCTCAGCATTTTGGGAGGCCAAGGTGGGCAGATCATGAGGTCAGGAGATCGAGACCATCCTGGCTAACACGGTGAAACCCCGTCTCTACTAAAAATACAAAAAATTAGCCGGGTGTGGTGGCGCACACCTGTAGTCCCAGCTACTTGGGAGGCTGAGGCAGGAGAATGGCATGAATCTGGGAGGCGAAGCTTGCAGTGAGCCGAGATCGCACCACTGCACTCCAGCCTGGGTGACAGACTGAGACTCTGTCTCAAAAAAAAAAAAAAGATACAGACTTTTTCAGGCAAACGAATGTTGAGGTAATTTGCCACTACCAACCTAGCACTACAAGAACTACTAAAATGAGCTCTAAATCTTGAAACAAATAATTGAAATATACCAAGATAGAATCTCCTTAAAGTATAAATCTCACAGGACCTATAAAACAATAATACAATGAAAAAAAAAGACAAGGTATTTAGATAACAAATAGCATAATAAATAGAATAGTACTTCACATCTAAATACTAGTATTAAATGTAAATGGCATAAGTGCTCACTTAAAAGGTACAAAATAGCAGAATGGATGAGAATTCGACAACCAAGTGAATACTGTCTTCAGGAGACTCACCTGACACATAAGGAATCACATAAACTTAAGGTAAAGGGGTGAAAAATATATTTCATGCAAATGGACAGGAGTATCTAGTCTCAGACAAAACAAACTTTAAATCAACAGCAGTGAAAAAAGACAGACATTATATAATGATAAAAGAACTAGTCCATTAGGAAAATATCACAATTCTAAATCTATTTGCACCTAAGACTGGAGCTCCCAAATTTATAAATCAATCACTACTAGATCTAAGAAATGAGATACACAGTAACACAATAATAGTGGGTAACTTCAATACTCCACTGACAGCATTGGGCAGTCATCAAGACAGAAAGTCAACAAAGAAACAATGGACTTAAACTATACCCTGGAACAAATGGAGTTAACAGATATTTACAGAGCATTCTGCCCAACAACTGCAGAATATATATTCTATTCAACAGCACATGGAATATTTTGCAAGACAGACCATATGATAGGTCACAGAACAAGTCTCAACCAAGGTAAGAAAAACAAAATTATAGCAATTTCTCTCTCAGACCACAGTGGAATAAAATTGAAAATCAATTCCAAAAGAAAACCTCAACAACATGCAAATACATGGAAATTAAATAACCTGCTCCTGAATGATCAGTGAGTCAACAATCATATCAAGATGAAAATTTGGCCGGGCGCGGTGGCTCACGCCTGTAATCCCAGCACTTTGGGAGGCCGAGGCAGGCGGATCACGAGGTCAGGAGATCGAGACCATCCCGGCTAAAACGGTGAAACCCCGTCTCTACTAAAAATACAAAAAATTAGCCGGGCGTAGTGGCGGGCGCCTGTAGTCCCAGCTACTTGGGAGGCTGAGGCAGGAGAATGGCGTGAACCCGGGAGGCGGAGCTTGCAGTGAGCCGAGATCCCGCCACTGCACTCCAGCCTGGGTGACAGAGCGAGACTCCGTCTCAAAAAAAAAAAAAAAAAAAAAAAGATGAAAATTTAAAAATTCTTTGAACTGAACAATAATAGTGACATAGCCTATCAAAACCTCTGAGATACAGCAAAAGTGCTGAGAAGAACATCTGTAGCATTAACTGCCTAAATCAAAAAGTCTGAAAGAGCACAAATAGACAATCTAAGCTCATACCTCGAGGAACTGGAGAAACAGGAAAAAAACAAACCAAAATCCACCAAAAGAAAAATAATCAAGACCAGATCAGAGCTAAATGAAATTGAAACAACAAAAATAAACCAATACGAAAGATAAATGAAACAAAATCTTGTTCTTTGGAAATACATATACAATTGCTAGAGCATTAGTGAGATTAATCAAGAAGAGAAGAGAGAAGCTCTAAATACACTCAATTAGAAATGAAGTTGAAAATATTACAAGCAGCACCACGGAAATACAAAAGATCACTCTTAGCTACTATGAACACCTTTATGGCATAAACTAGAAAACCTACAGGAGATGGATGCATTCTTGGAAATAAAAACTATGCAGATCAAACCAGGACAAAATAGAAACTCTGAGCAGACCAATAACAAGCAGCAAGATTGAAATGATAATTAAAAAGTTACAACAAAAGGCCAGGAATAGATGGATTCACAGTTGAATTCTATCAGACATTCAAAGAAGAATTGGTACCAATACTATTGACACTATTCCACAAGAAGAGAAAGAAAGAATCCTACCTAAATTTTATCACCCCCATACCAAAACCAGGAAAGGACATAACAGCAATTAAAAAAAACTACAGACCAATATTCCTGATGAACATAGATGCAAAAATCCTCAGCAAAATACTAGCTAATGAAATCCAACAGCATATTAAAAAGATAATCTACCATAATTGAGAGAGTGTCATACTAGGGATGCAAGGATGGTTTAATATCTGCAAGTTAATAAATGTGATACACTACATAAACTAAATTAAAAACAAAAATCACACGATCATCTCAATAGACACAGAAAAACAACTTGACCAAAATCCAGCATCCCTTTATCATCAAAACCCTCAGCAAAATCGGCATAGAAGGGACATACCTTAATGTAATAAAAGCCATCTATGACCAACCCACAGGCAATCTCATACTGAATGAGGAAAAGTTGAACACATTCCCCCCCAATAACTGGAACAAAACAAAGATGACCACTGTTACTACTGCTATTCAATATAGTACTGGAAGTCCTAGCCAGAGCAATCAGACAAGAGAAAGAAATAAAGAGCAAATCAGTAAAGAGAAAGTCAAACTGTTGCTGTTTGAAAAGGACATGATCATACCTAGAAAACCCTAAAGATTCATTTAAGAAGCTCCTAAAAGTGATAAATGAATTCAGCAGTTTCAGGATACAAAATTAATGACCAAGCTGAGAATCAAATCAACAACTCAACCCCTTTTTACAATAACTGTAAAAATAAGAAATAAAATAGTTTGGAATATACCTAACCAAGGAGGTGAAATAGCACTACAAAGAAATCTATAAAACACTGCTGACAGAAATCACAGATGACAAATACAAATAAGAACACATCCCATGCTTGTTGATGGGTAGAATCAATATTGTGAAAATGACCATATACTGCCAAAAGCAGTCTACAAATTCAATGCAATCTCCATCAAAAGACCACCATCATTCTTCACAGAACTAGAAAAAAGATCCTAAAAATCATATGGAAACAAAAAAGAGCCTGCATAGCCAAAGCAAGACTAAGCAAAAAGAACAAATCTGGAGGCATCACATTATCCAACATCAAACTATGCTATAAAGCCATAGTCACCAAAACACCATGGTACTGACATAAAAATAGGTATATAGACCAATGGAACAGAATAGAGAACCCAGAATAAAGCCAAATACTTACAGCCAACTGATGTTGGACAAAGAAAACAAAAACATAAAGTGAAGAAAGGATATCCTGTTCAACAAAAGGTGCTGGGAAAATCGGCAAGCCACATGTAGAAGAATGAAACTGGGTCCTCTTTCCTCACCTTATACAAAATCAACTCAAAAGGGATCAAAGACTTAAATCTGAGTCCTGAAATCATAAAAGTTCTAGAAGATAGAATGGAAAAACCCTTCTAGACATTGGCTTAAGCAAAGACTCATTACTAACAACTTAAAAGCAAATGCAACAAAAAGGAAGATAAATAAATGTGACTTAATTAAGCTAAAAAGCTTATGCACAACAAAAAAAAAATCATCAAACAGACTAGCCGTAGAATGAGAGAAAATCTTCACAATCTATACATCCAACTAAGGACTAACATCCAGAATCTACAAGGAAATCATGCACATCAGCAAGAAAAAAAAAATCCCATTAAAAACTGGGCTAAGGACATAAATAGACAATTCTCAAAAGGAGATATACAAATGGCTAACAAACATGAAAAAAATGCTCAACATCACTAATTATCAAGGAAATGCAAGTCAAAACCACCATACAATGTCACCTTACTCCTGCAAGAATGGCCATAATCAAACAATTTAAAAAAAAAATTGATGTTGGCGTGGATGTGGTGAAAAGAGAACACTTTTACACTGTTGATGGGAATGTAAACTAGTAAAACCACTATGAAAAGCAGTGTGGAGATTCCTGAAAGAACTAAAAGTAGACCTACCATTTGATCCAGCAATCCCATTCCTGGGTATCAACCCAGAGGCAAAGAAGTGATTATACAAAAAAGATTCTTGCACACGCATGTTTATAGTAGAAGTATTTCCAGTTGCAAAAATGCAAAACCAGCCCAAATGCCCATCAGTTAATGGGTGGATAAGGAAAATGTGGTATATATAATATATACCAAGGAATACAACCCAGCCATAAAAAGGAACAAAATAATGGCATTCACAGTGATCTAGATGGATTTGGAGACCATTATTCTAAGTGAAGTAACTCAGAGAAATGGAAAACTGAACATTGTGTTTTCCCACTCATACATGGGAGCTAAGCTATGAGGATGCAAAGGCATAAGAATGATACAGTGGGGTTTGAGGTCTCAGGGAAAAGATTGGGAAGGCATTGAGGGATAAAAGACTATACATTGGATACAGTGTACACTGCTTGGGTACAGAAATCGCCACTGAAAACTTATTCTTATATAAATAAATAAAAAACAAAATTATGAAACAAAACTATAACTATTTAGTGAACAATGGAAAAGTTCTGGCTTTTACAGGGAATGATTTAAAGTTGTGTGGCTATCACCATTCTTTTTAATTTGACATTCTAACAAATATTTGGAAAAAAAGTAATCTTTTTCAGTATTACATTAATGACTCCTAATTGTACCTCATGAGTAAAAACTGAATATTTTGCCTATCTTCAGTATCTAGGAGAATAAAACAAATCAGTAAACCATAATACTTCTGCAACTGTATGATTGTTAATTTTTGAGATGTGTTTCATGTAAAATGTCAACCACTGTTATGCAAGTGAGCAAACATAAGTACCTTTAGAATAAATAGAAATAAACTGCTATTGATTGAAACTTGTATGCTTTTACAGAAATTTTCAAAACAGAAATAAAGTGCATATTATAATGAATCACTATGACCTCATTATCCAGTTTCAGCAAAACAACTTTCTGCCTTATTTCATTGCATTCCTCCTTTTTAACACGAAATATTTTAAAGTATATAATAGATAAAATTTAATCAAATCACAAATATTTTCATATATATGCTAACATATAAGGATATTTTCCCATCGTATCAAGATAACTAACACAAACAACAAAATTAAAGGTTATTTCATGTTATAAATTAATATAAAATTTCCATTTTTTGGTCCTAGTTTTATATATAAATTTTTGTTGTTGTTGTGGTTTAGAATTTCGTTCCAAATAAAATTCACTCCTTATGTTTGGCTTATATAATTTTAGTCTTTTTGCATGTTTCCTGCAGTATTAATTTATTAAAAAAATATGCCACTTGTCAGGAGGAATTTTCTAAATTCGGAATTCAGTTAATTATATTTTTACAGTGTCGCTAAGTATGCCTCTCACTTCCCATGTGTCTTGTACGTCAAGTTAAATGTATGATTCATGTTCAATGTTGCAAATAATGTGCTACAAGAAGTATTATCTAATTCATACTGTATTGTATCAAGAACCATATCATGTTTGTTTACCTATTATTTAACAATTTTAATACTGATTGGAGATTCAAGTGCACTAGCCTGATCCACATATTACAACATTTAACATCAGCATCCCACAATGGTTAGCAGCCATTGATGACTTATTAGCATTCGTTGACTGTAGTTCCAAGGTTGAACTTTCCCTCAGTATGTGTTTTGTTACCTTTAAGTATTATTTATATAAAAATGCAGGATAAATATTGATTTTATTTATAAATTAAACCAATATTATACAATATATAAAATAATATATTGTAGTATTACATATACTATTATACATCTGTATATTATAGTATTATGTATTACATATATAAGAGCAAGAAAATTTGATGAGGGATTCAGGAAATGTCATGGAGATAATGTTTATTAGTTTGTCATGTTTTTCTGATAGTTGAAGCCATGTGAGTGACTGAATAAAGACAGAGAAGAGACAAAAGTTAATAAAAGATCACAAAAATATTTCTACTATATTTTGAGTGGGCAATGCAGCAGAAGTTGAGATGTTTAAGGAAATAGCAATGATTTGGGCTTGAAAGACAATAGGAAAACCAGCAAATACTCACTATTTAGAAAGGTAAAGAAGATATTTGCATAAGGAGGAGATTAATAGCATTTCAAAATATAAAATAGGACTAAATTTGACATGAGATAAACATTGTTAATATTTGAAAAATGATGTCAGTACAATAGAGAAGACTACAGTCAAACTTTAAAAGATTGGAAATGTTCGCTGAGAAGTTAGAAGTATTGAATGTAGCTTATTGATTTTCAAAATTTTAAAATAAAAGTAATAAGAGAAACTGGGATAATACTTTCAAAGGGGGTTAGAAAATAAGAATTTAATCTAATTTGTATTATAAAGAAAAAATTTTAAAAAACCTAGAGAGGGAATACATGGTTCTGGAGGAATGAAGAAAAGAGTTAGTATAAATTGAGGTTGGCATGAAAATCAGAGGAATATAGATTAAGGAAAATGATGAACAACTAGAATATGCCACACTACATGTTAAATGTAGAAGAACATGAATTAGCCACAACTATGTATTCATTGAGCATAGAAGGTGTCCACAGTCTAGGTGATCAACAGAGTCAAATACAATTGTTTTATTTTATTTCTTCTCCTCAAACTCCTCCTTCTTTTCTTTTTTCACTATAACTAAGATTTGGAGGGGCTTAATTAAGCAACTATTAATCTCAGAAGCATACTAGGTCAGTGAGATCAAACTGTAAGTACTATAATATTAAAATTAATAGATTGTGTGTAGTGTCTACCAGTGTCAAATACATGAATGTTTATGGCTATATGTTTTTACCCACAGAACACTGACACTAAAACTGTGTTTTTTTCCCATACCAATACCCAGTTTTCTAACTTGCTGGACAGTGATTATAGGTTCAAGGATTTATTTCAATTCTGACACTAACTACCTGGAGTGAGTATTGGACCCCACAGATTATGAACTCACTCTTGCAAGATTGCCCCCATTTTAGAGACCAATCACCAGTCTCAGGCTTTGCTTACTTCTGACTGACCAAATATACATTGGGACTTCCCATGACCCCTTCTTTGGGTTTGAAAATTTGCTAAAAGAGTTCACAGAACTCAGGGAAAACCATTTGCTATTACCATTTTATTATAAAGGATACTGCTTAGGAACTGCCAAACGGAAGACATGCATAGGGCAAGGTATGGGGGAAGAGCAAGGGAGTTTACATGCCCTCTCTGGGAGCACCACCTTCACTAAACAAACTTTTATTTACTGATTGCTTGAAACTGAGCTAGGTAATATAGCCAATAGAGAGAAGAATAAAATATGCTCCATGCCTTAGAGAAGTTCACAGAGTGGTAGAGTGTACTAGGATACATTATTTTTGGAAGCTTTCATCCCCCAGGTGTACATGGCTACTTGTATAATTTATTTTCTGCGCCAGTGTTTTACAATTAATCATAAAAATATCATGTAGGGGACAACATTCGTGAGGCCATAGTATAATCAGTCATGGCTTAGAATCTCCTGGGCTGAGTAAATACATGTGAGAGTGACAAGGAAATTGCAAAGGTCGGGTTGAAAAATATAAGAAGGGCTAGAAAATTTTCAGATAACAGATTGCAGGCAAACTGATTCCCTTGCTCTGCAATGACCAGACAGGAGCTAAGTCACTGGAGGATATTATGTCTGTGACTTTCAGAAGCTAAATATTGAAGACATAACCAATTTGCCTAGTTAGGAGAGTTTGGTAGCTGCAATGGTGAGTCTCCAGTGACAAGCAACGAAGAGGCACATTCCAATTTATCTGTGATTGCTGTTTCACACTGTTTCTTGAAGGGGCCAAAATACTGGACACATCTGACTGGAGGAGTTTCCCATTCTTAAAATCAAGGAGTGGGGGTAGATATTAAGAGGTTCTATTATGAGACCTTTTTCAGCACTGCACCCCCATAACAGTTTTCTGCTTTAGGAAGCCAAGTGGCCAGAATATTCAATTTGATCAACTTCAAAAAATTACTGAGAAAAGAAAATATCAGAGGAAATAATAAGATTACTAACCTTTTTTATGGTGATGACAGAGGTGGTACAAATATTAAGTACTATTGTCTAAAGTGAATGGCACTGTATTATAAGATTATTTCCTGATTTATAAGAGGTGAAAGAAAGAATAATCAATGATGCCTTGGGATGACTATCCTGTTTCCCATTTCTTCCAATTTTTCCTCACTTCTGCTTAGTCAAAATTGTATACCAATACATCCATGAACGTTCTCCCAATGAGTTTACCTGGAAACATGCTATCACCTAAGTCTAAGTTTGTATATTTTGTACTTTCTTATTTAAAACATTAACCATATTTGACTGCATATTAGAGAAATGTTAATATTTTTATCAAAAAAAGAAGACAAAGAGCTAAAAACAACGGCCCTATAATTCCTTCATTATTAATTTTCCAATTGTGATTCACCATGGACCTTCATTTTGCTTACCTATGCAATGGACTTTTATTTCCCTTGGTGTGTTTCTTGAGGAAAATTACTAGCATTTATTCATCACAACCCAGACAGAAATATTTCACACATAATTCAAAATAGTCTGACACATATCAAGGTATAACAAATGTTAATTTTTCTCTCTGCCTTCAGACACCCAGCTAGTAAACTCATTCCTTCTAATATGATGATGATATGTTCACTAATAATGCCCAGAGAATGAATTCATACATAAATGTGGCATCCAGTTTCTTAAATGCAGTAATTTAAAAACTGACTTTTAGGGAAAGCTAAGGTTTGTTGTGCAGAAGTACATCAGAGATCACTGTGGAGGGCAGAGATGGATGAGGTTTGGTGTGGAAACAGAGAAATAAGCAGAATACTCTTCATGTTAACTTCAACCAGTGCAGCTCGACATTTGAAATGCTTTGATTTGGCCCTACCTAATGTTTCAGTAAAAAAAAAAAAAAACTCAGCTGATAAAAATAACAAAAGTAATATCTGATCGACCGCAGTTATAATCCTGGCTCTGTCACTTGGGAGTTGTTATGCTCTATCTTGTCTTGTGAGGGTCAGATGATTTAGGCTGTCTTTCTTCATGCATATCCCATGGATTACTCCTACTCTTTTCAAGAAAATTCCTGGTCCTAAGGTTGACCAATTGAAGATTAAAAATACTCATTTGCACTTTTGCATCATTATACTTGGTGGTGGTGTGGGCAAGAGAATAATCAGATGAAGCTAATTTCAGATTTTCTTGATGTCTTGTGGAACATCATTTTAACTGGTACACTAATGCTGAAGTTCATTTCATGAACTCCAAGTCTCATTTCCTCTATGATTTTTTTAGTTAACAGATTTTTTCCCTATGACACAACTATCAAATCAGGTTCTCAGAATCTCCCTACTCAAGGAATATTTTATTACTTATTTGACTACTAGAAGTAAAAGCTAGGTTCTGTATTCACAAACATAGGTTTTGGAAAAGCGCCATAACATCACTTTCATTGATGGTGCAGTGGTATGAAGCCATCTTTGTGTTAAGCACAGCAAATGTTTGATTTTATGTGAAAAGTGCTAAATTGAGACAAATTCATGATTTTGACATCGAACCAGAAAAAAATTTCCATTTTGTATAAGTGAGTTTCAACTTGTAAGCCTAATGGCATGTATATTTCTTTATGTCAGTTTGATTGTGTGTGTTAAATCTAAACCTAAACTTTCCATCTGAAATGCAGGCAAAAAATAAAATAAATAACCTTGTTTTTATTTAACTAATGGGAAAAATCTGAGCTTAAAGAAATATATAAATGACTATTTTTTATATTCAGAATTAATGCAATATTTACTATTTCAGCTTTAAAACATTTTGGTATTAAGTCCTATGCTTAACGTAGGCCATAGTAGTTCTTATGAATACTCTAAATGCAGAGGAAATAGTCATGGTGTTCAAATAATGCTATTACAACAAGAAGTTATAGTAAATCTGTTAAATGAAAACTCATCTCTATTGTACTGTGATAGAAATGGAATTATAATGAAATTCTATAAATTATAGATAGAAATATTATGACAGACCCATTAAGAAAGTTATTTTAAATATACAAAAATATAATAACAATGTTACAAGTTATATTTCTTCCAAGAATAAAGCAAAAATATCAATTATTTCTAATAGAAATAAGTCATATATCAGGTATATGTCATTATCAAATTCATGTTACTTGCTCATATGTTATTTCAACATTATCTTTCAATTATCCTAGTTCCTTTTCATAATAATCTTGAACTGAATTAACTAAATTGTAAAATGGTTTGAATTTCATAATGTCTTTTGGCAGACCTCATTGATTTTCCAAGTTACATGGTCATTAATTGCCAGTAATACCTTCCAATCCAGGTAAAATTGATTATAGTTTAAGCTATTTTCTGTATTGTTTAAGAAACCACTGGTTCCAGTCTAGAGGTGTGACATTATTAATTTTGTTCTGCTACTCTCCAGACAATTAATAATCAGTTTCACTGCTGCTTTTTCTAATTTTTGCTGTAAGAAAGACAAAAATGTTGCTTTGTGTGACAGAGAAATATACCGCAATTTAGACTTTTTAGTGTTAATGAAAAACTTTTGTTTATGACTTTGTGTTTTTAAAATTCAAAAATAAGGATCATGAAGTTTTAAATCTGTTTTAAAATCAATTATGTAGGATGTGCCAAGTGCCCTTTCATTCTGGGCACATGTTTATTACACCTTTATTGATTACATCTGTTAGAATTGTCTATAAACCAAGGATGTGCTACAGGCTTACCTTCACATTTGACCTGGTGGATCTGGTAAACGTAAAGTCAGTTTCCTGCAAGACAGAAAAGACAAAGCCTATTTATTCCTGTTCTCTGTTTCAATTGAATTGAGAATAACTTTAAGTTTGAACATGCTTAACTATGTCATGTTTTTTTAAGGCTTTAAAGACTTTATGAAAGCAAATGGTATATTGTCTTCATTTCACTTTGAAAGTCCACCCCGGCATTGCTGTTCAAAGTAATATTATTGATATTTATGAATTGCTAAATGATGAAAGAGCACAATAATACGTTATCCTTAATTTCACTCCTTCATTCTACCTTAATGACATAAACCATAACTTGTATAAAAGTAGGTAAAAATAAGAGAACCTCAAAGTTCATTTGAGAGAGAGAGAGAGAAAGAAAGAGAATATCATGCTGTCCCCTGCAGCTAGGACATAAATTCAAAACATATGCTTCCTCTGTTGCACCTAATGGATTTCATTATAATTCCCTTCAACAAATATTTATTGTCTGGTTTCTCAAATTCAATCAATTGATACTTAACACAGAGTTTAATTGTATTTTCCACCACCATGTACCTTAGAGAGAGGTATTATTAGACTGAAATATTAACTTTAATAACATAAGAAGCATATTATGAAACAGAAATCTGTGCCATGGAGTTAGTGGCATTTCTTTAAACATTTATTCAGCCAATTGGAAAGAAAGTTCTAAGAACCTCTTGACTAAGTATCATGAATATATAACAGCAATACCTAGTGATAGGAACAGTTATTAATGGGAATACAACACTATGAAGAGGTGAAAAGCAAAATAAATATGACTTTAACAGAATAGAATTTTGGGTGGGGTGTGTGTCAAAAATTATTAAACTTCCTCTCTCCAAATATTACTTTGATTCCATTCTTTCTCTCTCCCTCTCTCTCTCTCTCTCTCTCTCACACACACACACACACATACACACACATGCACACACACACCTCTCTGGGACTCAAAATCTCAGTATATTAGAAATTTCAAACTTGTCCCAATGTGTCTGATACTCTTTTCTCTTTTTTCTCTTTTGTTTTACTCTCCATGATTCAAACTACATGTTTCTATTTACCTCTCTTTTAGTGCAAAAGTACTCCTTTCTAATGGCTGCACATACTATGCTATATATACAATATTACTATATATTGAATTACTAATTGTTGTATTTGTATGTGTATTTTTAAGACACAGTCTTGTTCTGTTGCCCAGTATGGAGTGCAGTGGCACAATCATAGACGGGATTACAAGCATGAGCCACTATGCCAGGCCAATTTATAGGCTTTTATTTGATTGTCATTTAAATATATATTCCAGTTCTCTGCTGAAGTTCTCCATTTTGTTATGTCCTTTTTCAACATATTTATGACAGGTGCTTTAAATGTGTGACTAGTAAGTTCAATATTTTAGTCTTTTGTCAGTGTCATTGTCTATTGGTTCTGATTCATATTTTGCAGAGTATTTTTTGACAAAATGTCACACATTTTATCATCTTCTTTCAAGAAGGGTTGAGCTCTATCCTCAGTCCTCAATAGGAATAGGAATAGAACATCTTAATCTAATTAGAGACAGAGCTGACTGGTTGCTGGTTTGGATTTTTTATTAAGCTGTGTCTACCTATAATTAGCATAGACTTTTAGAGTGTAACACCCCAGGAGTTCTGTCTGTGAGTCTATGGAGTTTACTGGATTCTCTGCCTTAGAAGGTTATGAATTCCAGTTTTTGTCTTCTCGTCACTATGATACTGTGGTACACTACCATCTGTGTCAGAAGTATGCTGCTTAATTTTACAGAATTACAAAGTCTGTTAAAGCCTCATAAAGGAATATTGAACTGCCCAAGACTATTCTACCATGGTAGTACCTTTCATTTTTTATTTTTATTTTTATTTTTGCTTCTCTACCTCTATAAAATTGCCAAAAATCTACAGGATTGACAGCTACATAGTCTTGGCTACTACTATTCTCCATCTCTGCCCTGCCCCAAGAATAAATAATGCCCAGAAGGAAAAGCTGAATGCGGCATTTCAACTCATACTCTGAAATTCACTTCTTTTGGAATCTTGACCCATCAGCTCCTTGTTGCCTCACAGCTTTCTGGCAACTTTAAAAAGATGTTTTCTAGTTGTTCTTGACGGAAGCATAAGCCTGACGCAAGGTAGTCATCATGACTAGAAACAAAAGTCCTAGAAAATTCATCTGGATGTCATATGTTTATAGCATTGTAGAAGAGACTGAATAATAAAAGTAAGAAAAGCCCATTGTAATGGAGCTTGTAAGCCATATTCAAGCATATGATTTTTATAATGATAATCTATTGCAGAAATTTATGCAATAGGAGATATAATTGATTTTACATTTAAAAAGGACAAATTTATCACCAAGGAAGATTCACTAGATCAGTATGAGAGTAGGAACTATCTATAAAAATGATAGGCAAGAAGTAATATATTAATTTAATGACTAATAGTTTTCTTTTATATGCTAAACATCTAAAGGTGACACACATTTAAATACTTTATAGCACTTTAGGAGGGGGAGGCAGGCTGATCACCTGAGGTAAGGAGTTCAAGACCAGCCTGGCCATAGTGAAACCCTATCTCTACTAAAAATACAAAAAAATTAGCTGGGTGTGGTGGCAGGCGCCTGTAATCCCAGCTACTTGGGAGGCTGAGGCAGAAGAATTGCTTGAACTCATGAAGGCAGAGGTTTCAGTGAGCCGAAATCACACCATTGCACTCTAGCCTGGGCAACAAGAGTGAAACTCCGTCTCAAACAAAACAAAACAAACAAACAAAAAAACTACAAAACAACAACAAAAAAACTTTACAGTTTTCAAATTAATCAATTACTCTTATATGTAAGATAAAAACTGATTTCTGTTTCTGATACAATTTGTATTATTTACTCACAAAAGTGCTTTATTAAATATAGCATGATTTACTTTTATTAAATATAACATAATTTACTTTATTATTAAACTTTTATCCACACTATATTAATATAAATATTCAAACAAAAAATAAATTAAATAACCATACGTATTTGCATGTGTCTTTGTTAGTAGCAAGGAATTCCAGTTTCACAGTGAGAAAAACTGGATTTGATCCAAAATGCTGTAACTTCCAAATGATGTAAAATTAGGAAAGTCATTATTATCACTGAGTAAATTTGTTCAACTATAAAATGGGTAAAATATTCCCCTGTTGTAATTGTGTAATATGTGGGAAACATTTTGTGTGAGATAACAGTCAATGATAATCATTCAGAAGTGAATACAGGCAGAAGATAAATTTAATTTAGACATATAGATGTGAGATTTATGGTTAAAAATGACATCATTTGGAGCTTCTAAATTTAAAAAAAGATTTTTAAAATTAACATTAAACATATATATATATATATATATATATATATATATATATATATATATATATCAAAACACCAAAATACAGGAAACAAATCCAAGACCTTAAAACAGATAATAGAAATGGTTAAATTCTATACAGGTTGCCCAGACTGCAGTGCAGTGTTGTCATCTTGGCTCACTGCAACCTCCACCTACCAGGTTCAAGAGATTCTCATGCCTCAGCCTCCTGAGTAGCTGAGATTACAGGTGCTCACCACCACACCTGGGTAATTTTTGTATTTTTTATTAGAGACAGGGTTTTGCCATGTTGTCTAGGCTGGCCTTAAGTTCCTGGCCTCAAGTGATCTGTCTGCCTCAACCTCCCAAAGTGCTGGGATTATAGGTGTCAGCCACTGCACTGGATCCTGTCAAGGTTTTTAAGTTAACATCATTATCATCAAGAAAA
Source organism: Homo sapiens (assembly GCF_000001405.40). NCBI lineage: Eukaryota > Metazoa > Chordata > Mammalia > Primates > Hominidae > Homo > Homo sapiens. Next base: position 12,120,663 of record NC_000009.12, read on the forward strand.
TTTCAAATGTGAAATCTCACCAGAGACTTAGCATCAATTTTTCAAAAAGTAAAATATAATTATTATAACTTTAAAATATGCAGAGCTACTTGAAAAGAACATTTTATTGAAAAGAAAAACTATATCTTAAGATATACTTGATTTCGTATTGAAATTAATTTAGTATAAAATCTAAATTAAAATATGCTGGTATCATTTATATCAGGAGTCCCCAACCCCAGGCCCTAGAGTAGTACCTGTGTGTGGCTTGTTGGAAATCGGGTGGCACAGCAGGAGGTGAGTAGTGGGCAGTGAGCCTGAGCTCCACCTCCTGTCAGATCAGCCAGGACATTAGATCACCATAGGAGTGCAAACCCTATTGTGAACTGTGCATGTGAGGGATCTAGGTTGCACACTCTGTGTGAGAATCTAATACCTGATAATCTGAGATGAAACAGTTTTCTCCTGAAACCATCCCCACCCTTCCATACATGGAAAAATTGTCTTCTATGAAACCAGTCCCTGGTGCCAAAAGATTGAGTACCACTGATTTATATAATTATTCTTGAAAAATTTAGGTTGAGGTTTCTAATACTGCCCAATTATGTAATCTTTACTGAGGCAAAGTTATCATTGAAAGCAACTGTGATACTGTTTTGATAAGGTGCAGAACTAGTCAACTGAATTTGGGCATGAACTTTGCTAAGAAACCATAACTACACATTTAAAACATTTGTGTATAATATCTTTCCTTAAGTGGGTCACTTGTACTGACGACAAGACTTCTTGGAATTACAAACCTTTTTACAGCAACAATGGCTTCTCTGTGTCATAATGATTAGCAATTCAAACATCATTGTTATTTTGAAAAACACATTTTTTAAACTTAATGTACGTCTTTTCCCAAAACAGATAAATAAGATCGATTGAAAAACTACACTGAATCATTAGACCTTTCATTTTTTATACTTCTTCAAGTTTTTTAATTGATATGTAATAGTTTTACATATAAATGGGGTACATGTAATATTTTGATATAAGCGTAAAATGTATAATGATCAAGCCTAGGTAACTGGAATTTCATTACCTCAAATATTTATCATTTTTTAATGTGAGAACATTCCAATATTCTATTCTAGCTATTTTGAAATATACAATACACTTTTAACTATAGAAATCCTACTGTGCTATCAAACACTAGATCTTATACCTTCTATCTAACTGTATTTTTGCAGCCATTAACCAATCTCTCTTCACCCTTCATCCTCACTTTCCTTCTCAGCCTCTGGTAACCATTATCCCATTAACTACCTCCATGAGACAAATATTTTAACTCTCACATATGAGTAAGAATATGCAATATTTACATTTTTCTGCTTGGCCGATTTCACTTATCATTATAACCTCCAGTTTTATCCATGTTGCTGCGAATGACGGAATTTCTTTGTACTTTATGGCTGAATAATTTTCCGTTGTGCATATACACCACATTTTCCTTATCCACTGATGGACACTCAGGTTAATTTCATATCTTGGCTATTGTGAATACTGTGGCAATAAACATAGGAGTGCAGGCATCTCTTTGATATTCCTGATTTTCTTTCTTTACAATATATACTCACAAGTGGGATTGCTAGATCATACAGTAGAAAATATTTGAGCACCACTCATCCAACAATGATTAATGACCAGAAATATAAGGAACTCGAACTATTTAATAGCATAAAGCCAAATTATTGCATTTAAAAATGGGCAAAAGATCTGAATAGACATTTCTCAAAAGAAAAATACAAATAGCCACAGGTACATGAAAAAAAAAAAAGTTCAACATTTCTAATGATCAGAGAGATGCAAATGGAAACCACAATGAGATATCTCCTTACCCCAGTTCAAATGGCTACTTTCAAAAGACACAAAGTAAATGCTAGCAAGGATGTGGAGAAAGGAGAACTCTTCTTATATACTGTTGGTGAGAATGTATATTAGTATAGCTGCTATGGAAAACACTATGGAGATTCCCAAAAAAACTAAAAATAGAATTACCATATAATCCAGCAACCCCACACCTGGATAGATATCATTTTTTATATATTAACATTGATCTGTTAAAGTAACCTACATCTCAGTACTCATATGAAATGATAGTCATTATTAATCTTATATTTTATAGCTCTTTACAAATCAATGAAATACTTTTACGTAACTACAACTTATTGAATCTCTGTCAGATATAACCTTTAATAACATAGATTATTCTCATTTTTGCAATGAGAAAAGTGATGATTTTGGTACTTAGTAAGGTCACAAATATAGTATAAACATATAATAAGACTAAGATTTGGTTTCAATCTTTCTAATTCCAAGGTCTTCCTTCTTAAGCACCATAAAATACCATACCCCGTATTTTTTTGATGCTAACAACACTAGGAGATAGTTTAGGATTTTTCTACTTATTTCATAGGCATAAAACTGAGTCATAGACACATATGTAAATTAGATCATATTGCAGAAAAAATGCTTACCCAAGTCAATTGTTTTTTGTTTCCTGTAAATAATTATAGCTTTTAAAAATTGATTTTAATTAGCATTTACTGACTCTTAGTTATAGTAGGTCTTAATTATACACAGTGTAGTTTTTCTTGTTTGGATGTTTGTGGTTAGTCATAAACAAATGTAAAAATTACATTCAATACCAGAGTTGTGAAGGAGCACTTTTTCAAATTGTATCCCTGCAACTGAATTGCTCAAAGCATATCTTTAAGTAAAAATGGTCAACCTGAGAGAGACATTTTGCTTTGCTTACAAACTAAAAACTCAAACTCAAAGAGTAATGGACTCTAAAAATAAATGTATTTTCTATTATCAATGGCTAGAGGCACTTCAAAATGTTTGAAATGAGGAAAACATAAATAAACAAGTTAGTGTGGGGAAATTCAATTGAAAAATCAAGAGGAGCTTCCTGGATTTACATAAGAGATAAGAAAGTTAATTTTTTGCTATTTTAAGACAATCATAGTTAACTTTCTGCAATAATTTAATCATAGTTTTGTCAAAACTCTAAAGTATTGACCAGATGATTGTTCAATGTCATACTCAAGAGACTGAGGTGTCTGTAAATTCCTCTTAAAATAGATATATGAATAATTTTAGACCTTGGCATTTTCAGTAAGACTAAATCTGAATCCAGGGTTATGAGGAAGAGTCACCAGCCAAACATAAAGAAAAAATAGTTAATTTGTTTTGCAGAAATAAATGAATTTATGAGAATTTTTCTAAAATGCTTTGTCATTAGGATAAACCATGTTAAATTATTTTTAAAGTACTCAAAATCCATACTCAACATTCTACATTGAAATTAAGAAAGATAATACAACATGGTATATTTTACAAATATGATTTAATTTGGATTTTGTATATGGTAGCACCTGATTGACTAGTATTTCAATTCCAACAATTATTGGAGTAATACAAACCTGGATAATTTATTCATTGATTTAGATCAGCAGTCACCATTTAAAGGAAATCTGTTTGTTATCTTTTAGAAGCTGACTCATAAGAGTTTTATTGGCCTACATAGGATCGGGGTGGTGAGACAGAAATCACCTTATGCTTGGACTTGTGTCTTGAACCATGTTTCATGGATGAATACAGATGCTTTGAAGTGTTAACAGATGGTGCACTGTGTCTCACAACTAAGGAAAGGCTCAAGATAGGCCTCCTTCTGCTAAAGGATAAACAGATTGGAGACTTGCAGGCAAATTTTTATAGAAGTAATAACAATTTTCTAGTTCGAATTCCATATTAAGGTCTTGAGAATCACAAAAGACCAAGAAGTGAACAAAACATAGAATAAATACTATAACAAAAATGGGAAATAGAATAAAGAGGAAAATCACCTTATTTCTGATCCTTGGAGAATAAGAAAGACAAAATGAGTATCTCAAAATCTAGAATTAAGATAATAGAGATTATAGAAGTCAAGTTTTGTGATCAAAGGGGACAGAAGAGATATGGGAAGGAGGAAGTCAGCCAAGCTACAGTGGTCGCAAGCTGGCTGATGCAAGTCATTTGGGCGAAGGTAAGCCAATCTCACACAGCCTGGATGAAATCAGATGAGGTCCAAGTCCAGCAATGTACAAGATCAGTTAGGAAAAGGCATTTGGAATATATTTTAAGAGGAATGGGATATTACTGAAAAGTTAAATCATGGAATTGATGTGATATGATTTATGCTTGTAAAAGATCACTTTGGTTGCTTGGTGAAGATTGAGTTATAGGAATAAATCAGAGAAACCAGTTAGGAAGCTTACAGAAATGTTGGTGAAGATGAAAATTATTTGGTCTAGAATAGTGGCTATATGAAAGATAAGAATTGAAGTATTGAACAACTGTTTTTAAAGCTAGAGTCCAAAGAAAAAAAAACAAGAATGAGTCATAGGATTTTATCTTAAGCAAATGGATGGGTGGCATTTTTAAGTATTAAGATGGAAAATATTGCAGTATTTGTCAGAGTTAGGAGGAGTAGGGGGAAAAAGCAACAGTTTTGTTTTAAACATGGGTATCCAGCTGGAGAAGATGTCTAGTAGTAGGCAGTTGAATACATGGAGTTTTCAGTTTAGAAGTGTGTGTGTTTGTGTGTGTGTGTGTGTGTGTGTATCTTTGAAAAAAAATACTGTAAATATATGTATATACATCTGTATACAAATGTAACTACTTAAGAGTCCAAAGAACTCCAAAATCCTAGATTTTATATTTTACATCCAGTCACCCTGATCAACTCTCCACAACACACTACCTGGCATAATTATAAGAGAATATGTTCAGTTTAGCAGTGGGTCTGCTGTACCCTCCATGTTGTACTTTGTAAATACAAAGTGAAGGAAAGAACAATTTGAAACACTTTTAGTGACTTCTCTAGTCATGATATAAATTGAATTTAATGGGGGATTTTACATGCTTAGTTTAGTAATATTTTGAAATATAAAATTTAGCTAATCCCAAAGAAAAATTTGACTAATTGGACTGCAATGAAATATTATAAATATTATAAATATTTCCTCCTTCATGTAATATGTTACAATTTCATATCCTCTTGGTGAATTCAATTTCATAACTTTAGATGCTTTAGATAATTTCTAATACTAATGTCAAAACGGTTTAACTCATGTGATTTTTTCAATTGTTTTATATTATAAGCATAACTTTTCTGTGACTCTTTTTTTGGATCTTCTAATCAATTTCCATGACATTATTATTTAATTATAGTATTTATTTACAACATCTTCAAGGTTATTTATCATATTTAGATGATGTTAAATATCATGGAAAAATTTCTTCATATCAGCTTTCAGTTTTATATTTTGTGAAAAGTACACAAAAATAATACACCCATACAATGTGTTCAACACAAATGTTTTGGTAAATATTGCATAAGATTTCAATATTATGCATGACAAACATATAAATAAAATTTTATTATAGAATAACATGAAAACCACTGCACCTTGCATTGGTGTTGGTAATATATGGTAAAATAAATCATAGACGGTATTGGTGGTTCTTAGAGAAAATAATTGCATACACTCTGACCAATCCAAAAATTAAACATTTTATACATTTAATAATGTAACATGTAGACCAGAAATGATTGTTTTTCTATCTAAGCAAAGCACTCTCCTTTCTCAGTTCAGTCAGAAGAATATACATATAAATATAAATTTTAGGATGTGCTTTATTTTATTTTATTTTTAAATTTTCATTTATTCATTTATTTATTTATTTGAGATGGAGTCTCTCTCTGTCACCCAGGCTGGAGTGCAGTAGCATGATCTTGGCTCACTCCAACCTCTCTGTACTGGGTTCAAGTGATTCTCATTCCTCAGCCCCCCGAGTACCTGGGATTAGAGTGTGCCCCACCACACCCAGCTAATTTTCATATTTTTTAGTAAAGACAGGGTTTTGCCATGTTGGCCAGGCTAGTTTTGATCTCCTGGCCTAAAGTGATCCACCTGCCTTGGCTTCCCAAAGTGCTGGGATTACAGGCATGAGCCACCAAGTCCAGCAGTATGTGTTTTATATCACTGAGATAAATGTGTGCTTTAATAAATAGCTAGCCATTTTTTTTTTTGCAAAAATAAAATATCTATTAGGTCTACACTTTTTTAAATTCCAAATGAAATTAAATACTTAACTATTAAAATGAATATATAAAATGCTGTAAGTTCTTTCTTTTGAAATATATATGATGATGATGATGTTGTTCATAATAAACAGATGGATAGATGATAGACAAAAGAAATGAAAGAAAAACAAATTTCAATATACCCATAAAAATACTCTTTAGAGTTAAAATTACATATGTTTAAAAATACTCTACACACACACATTCACACACATACAATTATATGTATATGCTTGGTTGTTGTGGAATATAAATACAGTAAAAAGGTGTACAATGTGCATGCAATCCAGTGATACAAGTAGGCAAGAGTGAAGTTGTAAAATGATACGTAAGATAAAGTTTTGACATTAATCACATTACATTTGTGTATTCATAAAATTATCTGGAAGGATACAAGTGTAGGCTTAAGTATAGGAATATGAAAGTAACTTTTTACTTATCTTTACATGTAATTCTATATGATTCATTTCAATTTTTCAGCAACCATATACTACTTCACTTGAAAATGAAAATGATACAAGAACAGTTCATTAGTAGCCCACAGCCTTCATCCTGACTTGAATTTCGAGGGTATACAATAAGCTTTATGATATTCTCTTTCTTTCTAGTGTTTTAAAAAATGCTGATGTTTGAAGCAAATTCGAATTGAAATAGAGATTTTATATTTCCAGCTTTATTAATATATGATTAACAAACATTGAATATATATATAAGGTATATAATGGGATGTTTTGATATACATATATATTGTGAAATAATTATTAAAATCAACCTAAGTAACATATCATTCTCTTTATATGGTTATATTTTTTGTGTTAAAACATTTGAGATCTACTTTCTTCACCAATTTCAAGATACAATACAGTATTATTAACTATAGTCACCATGCTGTGTATTACATCTCCAGAAATTATTTATTCTGCCTAACGAAAACTTTGTACCCTAAGACCAACATCTCCTCACCCATGCCCCTGAACATTATCAACCGCCATTTTTCTATGCTTCTATAAGATGAATTTTTGTATATTTTGTATGTAAGTGAGATTATGCAGTATTTGTCTTAAAGTGCCTGTCTTATTTCAATCAAAATCTTCCAAGTTTATTTGTGTTGTCAGAAATGGCAGGATTTCCTTATTTTTAAAGGCTGAATGGTATTCTTCTTTGTGTGTGTGTGTGTGTATGTATGTGTGTTCTCTCTCTCTCTCTCTGAGACACACACATTCACACACACACACAAAGAGGAATTCCATTCATATATATAGACTCTCTCTTTCCCTCTCTCTGTATGTATACATATATATATATATATATATATCTGTTTATTCTCTCTATATATATGTATAGAGAGAAGAGATGGATGAATGAAAGAATAAATGAAAATTATCTATCTATCATCTATCTATCTCTCTATCTATCTATCTATCTCATAGATTGATTCCATACCTTGGAATCAGACGTATAGGTTGATTCTATACCTTGTTTATTGTAAACAATGCTGCAATGAATATGAGAATGCTGATATCTCTTCAACATAGTATTTCCATTTTCTTTGGATATACACCCACAAGTGGGATTGTTGGATCATATAGTAGTTCTATATTCAGTTTTTTGATGAACTTCTTTAGTTAGAAATATATTCTCCCATTATATAGGTTGTCTTTTTAGCCTGTTGATTGTTTCCTTTGCTGTGCAGAGGCATTTGATTTTGATGCAGTCACATTGGTGTGTTTTTGCTTTTGTTGCCTGTGTTTTTGGGTCGTATCCAGAAAATCACTGCCCAGACTAATTTCAGATTTTCTCCTATGCTTTCTTCTACTGGTTTTATAGTTTTAAGTATTTAATCCATTTTGGGTTAATTTTGGTATATGATGTGAGATTAGGGTCTGATTTCATTATTCTGCATGTGGATATTGAGTTTCTCCAACAACATTTATTGAGGATGCTGTCCTTTCCTCCCAAGTGTTTCATGTCATCTTAACCAAAAATTGATTGATGTAATACATAGATTCATTTCTAGGCTTTCCATTCTGTTCCATTTGTCTATGTGTATAGTATTATGTCCATATCATATTGTATTTATTACTATAGCTTTGTAGTATATTTTGAAATCGAATAGTATAATGTCTACAGTTTTTCTTTCTTGCTGAAGATATTTTTGAGTATTTGTGGTTATTTGTAACAATTCCATGTAAATTTTATAATTTTGTTTTTACTTCTGTAATAGTTAACATTGGAATTTTGATATGGATTAAATAAGGTATGTACATTGCCTTGTGTAGTATGGACTTTTTAATTTTTTTCTTACTGATTTAAGGGATACAAGTATAGTATTGTTATATGGCTATATTGTGTATTGGTCTGGGTTTTTTAGTGTATCCATCACCTGATGAGTATACATTACCTATTACCCAATAGGTAATTTCTCATTTCTCACCCTTCTCCCACTCTCCCACATTTTTGAGTCTCCAATGTGTATTATTCCACCCTGTATGTCTAAATGTGCATATTGTTTAGCTGCCATTGGTAACTAAGAGTATGTGGAATTTTAATTTCTATTTAATAGTTATTTCACTTAAGATAATTGCCTCCAGTTCCACCCATATTGCAGCAAAAGAAATAATTTCATTCTTTATATGGTGCATAGTATTCCATGGTATAACACATTTTATTTACCCAATTACCCATTGAAGGATATTTAGGTTGATTCCATGACTTTTCTATTGTGAATAGTGCTGTGATAAACATATGAGTGTAGGTGTATTTTTTATATACTGATTTCTTTGTTTAGATATCCAGTAATTGTCTAAATGATTGATGAAGCAAATGATAGTTTTATTTTTAGTTCTCTGAGAAATCGCCATAATGCTTTCCATAGTGATCGTACTAATGAAAATTTTCAACAACACTGTATAAGCATTAATTTTCTTCACATCCTTGCCAATATCTGTTATTTTTTGACTTTTTAAAAATAGCACTTCTGACTTGTGTAAATGGTAGCACGTTGTGGTTTTAATTTGCATTTCTCTTATGATTAGTGATGTTGAGCATTTTTTCAAATGTTTGTTGGCCATTTGTATGTCTTCTTGTGAGATATATCTATCATGTGTTTTGCCCACGAATTAATAGGATTATTTGGGTTTTTTTGTTGTTGTTGTTGAATTGTTTGGGGTCCTTGTAGATAGTGGATATTATTAGATTCTTGTTGAAGGCATAGTTTGTAAATATTTTCTCCCATTCTGTGCATTGTTTGTTTATTCTGTTGATTATTTCTTTTGCTGTACGGAAGGCTTTTGGTTTAATTAAGTTCCATTTGTTTATTTTTATTTTGTTGCATTTGTTTTAAAGTCTTAGTCATAAATTCTTTTCCTGAGCCAATGTTCAGAAACATTGTTTTCCTAGGTTTCCGTCTAGTACTTTTATAATTTCAGGTCCTACAATTGTCTTTAATCCATTTTGAGTTAACTTTTGTATATGATGAGAAATATGGTCTAGTTTGGCTCTTCTGCATGTGGCTAACCAGTTTTCCTAGCACCATTTATTGAATAAAGTATCCTTCCCCAGTATGTATATCTATATGTATGTGTTGTTGTTGTTGTTGTTGACACTGTCAAAGATCAAGTGGTTGTAGATATGTAAATGTATTCCTGAGTTTTCTATTTTGTTCCATTGTTCTATATGCCTATTTTAATACCACTATCATGATGTTTTGGTTAATATACGCTTGTAGTATAATTTAAAGTCAAGTAATGTGATACCTCCAGCTTTATTTTATGTAGTTATTATTATTTTTGTTTTGTTAGAAATGCTGTGGCTATTAAGGCTCTTCTTCCATTACATACAAATATGAGGATTGTGCTTCCTAATTATATGAAAAAAATGATATTGGTAATTCGATAAGGATCACATTGAATCTATAGATTATTTTGGAGAGTATGATCATTTTAGCAATATTTTTTCAATGGGAGTTTCTCATGAGAGCATGAGGTGTTTTTCCATTTGCTTGTGTAATCTATGTTTTCTTTAATCACTGTTTTATCATTTTCCTTGCAGATTGTTTATCTCCTTGGTTAAATATATTTCTAAGTATTTCATTTTTTGTAGCTATTGTAAATGAAATTAAGTTATTGATTTGTCCCACAGCTTGATCATTATTGGTGTATATATATGCTACTAATTTTTGTATGTTGACATTGTATCTTAACACTTTACTGAATTCATTTATCAAATCTAGGAGTCTTAGCAGGAATATTTAGGACTTTTTGGGCAGAAAATCATATTACCAACAAACGAAAGTCATTTGACTTGCTTTTTAAATAATCTAGATGACATTTATTTCTTTCTCTTTCTCTTTCCTGATTGCTCTGGCTAGGACTTCCAGTACCATGATGAATATGAATGGTGAAAGTGGGCATTCTTGTCTTGTTCCAGTTCTTAGGGGAATTGCTTTCAACTTTGCCCTGTTCAGTTTAATGTTGGTTGTGGATTTGTCATATATCATTTTTATTATTTTTAGATATATTCCTGCAGAGCGTAGTTTGTTGAGGGTTTTTATCATGAAAATGGCTCTATTTGATTGCTTTTCCTGCACATATAGAAATGATCATATCATTTTGGTTTTTAATTTGTTTTTAAATGTTTCTGTTTATGTGGTGAATGACATTTATTTATTAGTGTATGCTGAACCATTCTTTCTTCTCTAGAATAAAACACAGTTGATTATGTATTATCCTTTTGATGTGCTTTTCAATTTGGTTTCCTAGTATTTTGTTGAAGGTTTTTGCATCTATATTCATTAGGAATATTGGCGTGTAGTTTTCTTTTATGTTGTGGTCTTTCCTGCCTTAGCTATCAGTGTGATACTGGCTTCATAGAATGAGTTAAGAAGGATTACATTCACCTTGATTTCTTGGAATAGTTTCAGTAGGATTGCTACCAGTTTTTCTTTGCATATCTGGTAGATTTTCACTGTGAATTTGCCTGGTCCTCAGCACTTTTTTATTGGGAGAGTTTTTATTACCTATTCAATGTCACTACTTGTTATTGGTCTATTCAGGACTTCTGTTTCTTCCCAGTTCATTCTTAGGGGTTTCTATGTTTCCAAAAATTTACCAGTTTTCTCTACGTTTTCTAGTGTGTGAGCGTAAGGATGCTCATAGTAGTCTTTGATGATCTTTTGTATTTCAGTCGTATCATTTGTAATGTCTCCTTTTTCATTTCTGATTGTGCTTATTTGGATCTTCTCTCTTTTTTTCTTGGTTAATCTGGCTAGCCGTCAATCAATTTTGTTTATATTTTCAAGGAACTTTTCTTTCGTTGATCATTTGTATTATTTTAGGGGCTCAATCTCCTTTATTTCTTCTCTGCTCTTTGCTATTTTTTTTCTTCTGCTAGTTTTGGGTCTTCGTTGTTGCAGTTCTTTAAGGTTCAATATTAGGCCAATGTGTGATCTTTCTATTCCTTTGATGTGGACATTGAACGCTCTAAACTTCCCCTTACCACTTTTTTTTCTGCATCTCAGAGGTTTCGATATGTTGCATTTTGACATGTTTTCATTCCTTTTGAAATTAAAAAAAAAAAACTTAATTTCACCCTTGACAAAAATTATTCAGGAGTAGATTTAACCTTCATGTATTTGTGTATAATTTTGAGAGTTTTACTTGGCATTGATTTTTAATTTTATTTCACTCTGCTCTGAGAAGATACTTCATATAATTTGGATTTTTTAAAGTTTATTGAGACTTGTTTTGTGGTTTAACATATGCTCTACTTTGAAAAATGTTTATGCACTTATGGGAAAAATGTATATTCTGTGGTTGGGGGATTGCATTTTGTGTTAATGTCTGTTAGTTCTATTTGTTCTAGAGTCCATTTTAATTACACATTTTCTTTGTTTATTTTCTGCTTCAATGATCTGTCTAGTACTGTCAGTGGGATGTTGAATTCTCCCACTATTACTGTATTGCTGTGTATCTCTTTTCTTAGGTAAGGTAGTATTTTTTTTTAAATCTTTGTGGTCCAGTGTTGGGTGCAAGTATATATAGGATTATTATATCATCTTGTTGAATTGATTTATTTATCATTATATAATGACCTTTTTTGCCTATTTTTACTCTTGTTGATTTAAAGTTTGTTTTATCAAATATCAGTATAGCCTACTCCTGATTGCTTAGGTTTCTGTTTGCACAAAATATCTTTTTTCACCCCTTTACATTAAGTCTAAATGTTTTTGCCAGTTAAGTGGGTTTTTGTAAGTAGCACATGTTGGATCCAGGTCTTTTAATCTATTCTTTCAATCTATATCTTTTAAGTGAAGCAATTAACTCATTTATATTCAAAGTTAATATTGATATGTGAAGTTTTGTTCCCATCATAATATCGACTGTGACTTAGTTGCTTTGTATCCTCAAGTGGATGTTTTTTAGGACCTGTAAGTTTTATACTTTCTTCTGTTTTAATTGTTGCAAATATTAACCTTTCATAGCCATGTTTAGAAATCATTGAAGCATTTCTTGTAGGGCCAGTCTAGTGGTAACGAATTCCCTTAGAATGTTATTATCTAAGAAATATTGTATTTCTCCTTTATTTATGAAGCTTAGCTTATCAGGATACAAAAATATTGGCGGACAATTTTTTCTTTAAGAAACTGAAAATAGGGCCCCAATCTCTTCTGGCTTGTCAGGTTTCTACTAAGAAATCCAGTGTTAGTCAGATGTGATTTCCTTTTTAGTTGATTAGATGCTTTTCTTTTGCTTTTAGAATTTTTTTTCACATTAATTTCTGATGACTAATATGCACTGGGGGAAGTTTGTCTTGCAATGTGTCTCCCAGGAGCTCTCTGAGTGTCTTGTGTCTAAATGCTAAGTCTCTAGCAAGACCAAGGAAGATTTCCACAATTATTCTCTCTAATAGATTTTCCAACGTTTTACTTTTTCTGCTTCTTTCTCAGTAATACCTTGGACATAAATTTAGATACTCTTACATAATTTAATTTTTAAAATTCTTTATTTTTATCTGCTTTAGGTTATTTTGAAAGATCAATCTTCAAGCTCTGATATTCTTTCTTCTTCTGGGTCTAGTCAACTGTTAAAGCCTTGAAATGTATTTTGTAATTTCTTCAATAAGATTTTCTCTTTCAGTGTTTTGTTTGTTTGTTTTAATCTATCTTGTTAGCAAAGTTTTCCTTCACATCCTGGTTTTTTTTTTGTTTTTTTTTTTTTTTGGATGTTGGTGTTGCTTTTCAATTTTCCTTTAGATTTCACTGGGCTTCCTTACAAACCATAATTTGAAAGATACATCTGGCATTTCAGAATTTTCATTTTGTTTAGGATTCATTGCTAGAGAGCAAGTATGACACCCTATTTTTTCCATACTGCCAGACTTATTGCACTGATTCCTTTGCATTAGGAGCAAACATCACCTTTTATTTTTTATTTTTCTCTCATTTGGATGATACTATTTCCACCCCCTTTGAAGTTGTGATTGTTATATATATTTAGTGGAGTCATTTCACTTTGTTTCTGGGTGCTCTCACAGGGCCAAGGCTCTGTATGAATTCCTTGGTTATAGATAGCTTTAATGTGGTTATTATCTCAAATGTTTGTTGTAGTAGCAGTGTACCAGGGATGTGAGTAGGCTCTTGGCCTCCTGTAGAGATGGGGAGGTGGAAGTCTCAAGAAGCTTATCTTAGTCCCAAGGGCTGTGCACTTGAGTCAACAAATTTTGTAGTGGAGTGTGCACTGGGTAAGGTCAAGGATCTCTCCCATGGCCTGGGTTGCCTGGCTCCCCAGTGGGAATATACATCACGGAGTCAAACTCTCTCCCTTTTACTCTCTGAAGATGCATTTTCTGCCATACCGTTGGTGTGGGTTGCTGCCCGCTCCCTTTTACAAAGTATACAAAAACTCTTCCACATTTTCTGTTGGGCTCCCATGTTCCTTCTTGGATAAGAGTTCACAGTATGAACCTCCACACACTATTTTGCTCTTTCCAAGTGGGTGAGGTGCATAATGCTTCCAATCTGCCATCTTGGAAAAAAAAAGTATAGACATTTTAACAATAGTAATTCTTCCAATCTATGATCATGAGATATTTTACTTATTCATGGTGTTTTCAAATTCTGATTTTGCTTTAATGTTTCAAATGTACAGATTGTTCAACTTCTTAATTAAATTTATTCTTCAGGTTATTTTGTTTTGTTTGTTATTGAAAATTGGATCATTTGCTTAATTTCCTTTTTGGATAGTTCATTGTTAGTGTATATAAATACAATTGATTTTGTTTGTAGATTTTGTGTCCTGAAATGTTACTGAGTTATTTTATTAGTTCAAGTTTTATGGTGAGTCTTTAAGATATTCTTCATATAAAATCATGTCATCATAATCTCAATAGATGCAGAAAAGGCCTTCAATAAAATTCAACACCGCTTCATGCTAAAAACTCTCAGTAAACTAGGTATTGATGGAACATATCTCAAAATAATACGAGCTATTTATGACAAATCCATAGCCAATATCACAATGAATGGACAAAAGTTGGAAGCATTTTCTTTGAGAACTGGCACAAGACAAGGATGCCCTCTCTCACCACTCCTATTCAACATAGTATTGAAAGTTCTGGCCAAGGCAAATAGGTAAGAGAAAAAAATAAAAGGTATTCAAATAGAGAGAAAGTCACATTATCTCTGTTTGCAGGTGTCATGATTTTATATTTGGAAAACCCTGTTGTCTCATCTCCAAATCTCCTTAAGCTGATAAGCAACTTCAGCAAAGTCTCAGGATACAAAATCAATGTGCAAAAATCACAAGCATTTCTATACACCAAAAATAGACAAACAGAGAGCCAAATCATGAGCAAATTCCCATTTACAATTGCTACAAAGAGAATAAAATACCTAAGAATACAACTTACAAGGGATGTGAAGGACCTCTTCAAGGAGAACTTATTTCTGTTCTTTATAGTCAATGAAATATTGTATTATGCATAACTAGGGCAGGTGTAAAATATATTTTCTTCATTGTTATTTGTCGTCATAAAAGGGGATAAAAATCAAAAGGAAATGTAGAAAATCATTATAATTCACTCACCTTAGTTTCTTGGTTATTAATATGTTGTAAACGCGGAACTGTCATCACCTCCAGCTCAATCCTGCTTCACCTATCCATGAGGTTCACACTTGTAGTTTGTTAGAAATAAGTAGCGTGAAAGACATTCAGTCTCAATATGACTGAAACCTTGTCACCTCAATCATGAGGAAACTCTTTTCATCTATATTATTTAGATGGATTTTTCTTTCACCTGTAATTACCTTTTTTTATTTTGAATAAATGCTGCTTTACCAGACATTTAATTCTTTCAGGCACACTACAAATAAATACAGCATGAATCTAGGTCACATGCCAATATACAACAAAATAATTTTAAATTACATTTCTAATGGATTCGAGTTTCATTTAACACATAGAAAATGTTAGAAGACGTTATAAGACATACCAGAAATGTGAATATTGGCATTCTTACATCTACCTTAGGTAGTTATTTACTTTTATCCACAGTGCATAAAGAATTAGAGTTTTTACCATGCTTTGTAATGAAAAATATACTTTTGAGATTTCAATGGTTTTTTTTCAATATATGCCACAAACTCCTCTTTAAAAGCCTAAGATACAGAAGAATAGAAAAGGTTCTTATCAGCAAAAGTAACACTTGTGCTAAGTTATTCATAGAGAATCAAATACAGTAGAACATGTTATAAATCACCTTACAATCCACCAATCGAAGTCTGCAGTAAGTCAAATCAGAAACTCAAAAAAGTAGTCTGATATAGGTGTTACTATAATAATAATGACATTAAACAGAGATGATTTTCTTTACCAAGGCTTATTTGTGTTTCTCAGTATCTAAGAAAGTTTTAAAGAAGGCAATTTACAAGTAAAGAACCTCTCAGCTATGTGTTCTTACTATTATAGACAAAATATAAAATTCTAAGCCCTCCAACCAACTGAATGGACCCATCCTGTAGGCCAACGGGATTGCAAAGAAACCTGAAAAACTAGTTCAGACAGTGATGGGAAGAAAGGGCCCTGGGACATGCCTCTTTTAGCTTTGGAATTCAGGCACAAGTGACCAGCATTAACATTAAACAGACCTCTGAACACTGATAAAACACTGTAGCAATAAGATACTAAATTACAACCTGACTCTAGTATACCATCACATGACAGATAGCAGGCCTTGGAATAAATGAAGATATTTTACACCAAAATATGTTTCTTTAACACATTTTGAAATGGCCCTGCAAAGGACCATTTGAGTTTTCCTGCCTTTCTGTCTCTTGGGAAAATTTATATTCTGCAGAGGATCCCCTTGCTTCTCCAGGTCTTTTTCTGAACCTGAAGATATTAACTGAGAGTCCAGCACCTTTTAAATGTCTGAAGAGGAAACATGTGCATCTATTGCCTCCTAGGGCAGCCACTTTTGAGACTTCATCTACATAAGCACCTTAGTCTTTACAACCACATTTCTTAACCCAAATTCCTTTCTATTGATTCCATGTTTAGATAACTAAACTTTTTCAACCAATTGCCAATCAGAAAATGTTTGAATCCCGTTCTGACCTGTAAATCCCCATATTGAGTTGTCCTGCCTTTCCGGACAGAACCAATGTATAGCTCATACATATTGATTGATGTCTTATGTCTCCCTAAAATTTATAAAATCAAGCTGTTACCCAACATCTTGGCTCTCCTGAGGCTATGCCACGGGTCGTGGTCTTCACATTTGGCTCAGAATAAATCTTTTCAAATATTTTACAGAGTTAGGATTTTTTTTTTTTTTTTGTCCTGTGAAAGGGAAATATCTTGGGCCCCCCAAATCACTAAGCTAAAGGGAAAAGGCAACCTGGCAACTCCTTAGGACAAACCTGCTTCCTATTCTATTCAAAGTCACCCCTCTACTCACCAAAATAAATACATGTCTGATCGCCTCATTTGGGAAGGCTAATCAGAAACTCCAAAGAATGCAGCCATCTGTCTCTAACCAACTTGTGACCTAAAAGCTCCTTCCCCGTTTTGAGTTGTCCCACCTTTTGGGACTGAACCAATGTTCATATTACATATATTGATTTATGTCTTATGTCTCCATAAAATGTATAAATCCAAGCTGTGCTCTGACCACCTTGGGCACATGTCATCAGGATCTCTTGAGGATGTGTCATGGGTGTGCATCCTCAACCTTGGCAAAATAAACTTTCTAAATTAACTATGACCTGTCTCAGATTTTCAGGGTTCACATTTGGTAACCACAAAGAGATTCTGAGTGGAGATGCTCCTGATCTTTGGCAAATCTCCTATTGGTGCTTGCTACCAGCATGAGCTAACTTTATAGCTCAACCAAATAGGACAATTTGCTGAGGTCTGAGAACACCTCCTGCAGAGAATCCCTGATTTTCCAAAATTGGGTTGAGATCTAAAGTTTATTTTGCTGTACAATTCCTCTTCTTTTTGGAGTTTTACTTGCTTCTAAAACAAGAAAGGCAAGTTTTTCCTGCTTTCATGATGATGGAAGGCAGGTAACTCCTTTACGGAGTTTGAGCTCACTTCCAACAGGAAGATGAGGTTTTTTTGTTTTTGTTTTGTTTTGTTTTGTTTTCCTGCTTCTAGGAATGTGGAGAGAAGTCTTCAGCCTGAGACCCAACCTTAGGTAAATAAGTGAATTGGGGTTTGTCTTGGCTAAAGTTAAGGTTAACAACTAGCTGGTCTTAATTTCTCCTTGCCATTAGAGCGCTCAGGGGTCATATTGTTAGTTTGTTGTTGTTGTTGTTTGCACTGGTCTTTCCCCCATTGGATTTTACCAACTCTAGCTGACTTGGTCAAATCAAAGTGAATATTCCAAATTATGAGTAAAAAGGACTTTCTAATTTGGCTAAGATTCCTCACAGCCATAAAAATAAAATAAAATAAAATAAAATAAAATAAAATAAAATAAAATAAAATAAAATAAAAATGGAGAAAACAAACAAAAACTATGTGTTTGGTTTCTGTGTTTGCTTCCTGTCTTAAAAAAAATTATTTCATTTCATTTTCTTCCACCTTTCTTCCCCCTTTGCCATCTGCAGTGCCAAAAAATCTAGAGGAGCTTCTAATGACTTGAACCCCTTTAAGTAATTCAGAACAAAGGCTCTACTCACCCGCTTTTGGAGTGTTCTGTTTTCTTTGTGGAATTTCCAGAGTCATGGGCAGTTTCGTTGTATGACCTGACTTTTTGGCTTTGGGGTACCAGGGATGACTTTGCTCTGTGAGATGATTTGACCTTGGCATGTATAATGGCAGATGAGAGCTACAAAGTTACAAGTAGTGGAGCAGTTTACAGAAAGTAGTCTTGTCTGCTTTTTCTTTTCTTTTTTTTTTTTTTTTTCTCCTAGGAAGTTGTTGTTTAAGAATCCTAATTCTAGTTCACAGATGCATTCTAAAGGGTATTCTCTATTGCTTTTCCTCCCAAAATTAATCTTAATTTGGTTTTTCTGTGCACATTTGCATGAGGAAGAGAACTGTTGTTTTCATAGGTTAATGAGATACTGAGTTTTCTCAGCTTTTGAGGGAATTTGCTCCTTCCAGCTGAAAGCTGTCTCTTGGTTTTGGGAGCCTTATGGAAGTGTCTGGGAAGCTGACCCCCAGTGATGTGCAGTAGCTCTGTAGGGAAATCCCCAACAAAAAATAATTTTAAAAATGGCTCATCCAGAAAATAGATATAATGGCTGATTACATGATGTTTGAACCCTCTCAGAGGTCACAGACCTCTGGAGAGAGAAACTGAGACATGTAAGAGGGTGGAAACGACTCCGGGGTGATGCATTATGGAGTCTTTCCCACAGGCAGCACATAAAGATCCACCCCACAAAAACCCTAGGCCACAGCTCAGTTCCTCCTTTTAAGGAAAAAAATGAGGAGGTGGGGAGGCAAGTAATCTAAGAATGAGGAGAAAACAAGAAGAATGCCCCCCTTTTGAGCACTCTGTAGGTTTTATGGCACCACTACTTGCCAGAATACAATGGAACTAATACAGTCTTTGTGCACATTTACATTAAGGAAAAGGAGCCCTAAGGTTGACCTGCAAACTATAGCATTCCTAGGTCCACTTTTCCTCTATTTTATTTTCTGCCTGCTTTAAATCTGCCGTTCCTTTTCTACTGAGATAAAAACCACTGTTTGGGCCTAACAGGTTTTTTGTTGGTTTATTTTTTTGTTTGTTTTTTGCAAGGCAGCAAATTTGTATTTATCTTATGGATAAAGTACTGAAGTAGAAGCTATAGAACATTGTGTGCATGTGTGTATGTTACACGCTTATGTATATATTTGAAGACCTTTATAATACACTTCTATAATTTTATGTTCAATTGGCAATAAAATCAGTTTTAATTTCCCTCTAGCTTGCCATACTTTCTCTTTGTACCTTATGATGTATATTTTGCTGATTTTCACTTGAGTTGTTTCCTTTAATATGCAGACTTAGGGCTAGTTAGCTGACAACTGCCATGGTAATAAAACAGGTTATCAAGAGTTTGCAAGTCTAAAATAGGAAAAAAAAAGTCTTAGGAATCTATAAGATGTAATTCTATTGGCATGCCGAATATGTCTATGTATTTATGTGTTGTATACAAAAGGTTTCACTACTGAACATATATAAAGAACTCTAATTAATTGTCTTAAGAAAACAAAACTGCTGGAATCAAATACTTTAACAAGAAAAAATAAAAGACTAGTCAAATGCTTTTTCAACTTTATTTAACTTAAGTAAAATCTATAATAAATTAGCTAGCTTTAAAATTATTGGTAATGTAATATTAGAAATGTCTTAAGAATTGTCAGGAAGCATTTTTGTTTCCATTTATTAATCAAGCAATTTTATACTTATTCCTGCCAAATTCTATTAGGTGTCAAAATTTGAAATAAGGGTTACAAAACTATAAACCCAGCCCAAACAAAATGATTTTTTCTTATGTAATTTTAAATAAATAAGACATTGACATTGATTTAATGAAAATAGCCACATGTTGAATTTAGTAAGATTATCATAACTTCTATACCTGTGGCTTTAGGCAGTCTAGTCCACAGGCAGTAAGAAGGTTTGTTTGGGGAAAGAACTGTCATTGTCTTTGTTTCAAAACTAAACTATAAGCTAAGTTCCTCCCAAAGTTAGTTCAGCCTACACCCAGGAGTGAACAAGGACAGCTTGGAGGTTAAAAGCAAGATGCAGTCAGTTAGGTCAAATCTTTTTCACTGTCTCCATTATCATATTGCAGTGGTGGTTCTACAACTTTAAATGATGACTATTTCAGTTTTCATAAATAACTTAGGTAAAGAATTAAACTAAAATAATTAGGTAAATGTAATGGAATAAACACTCATAGACAAACATAATTTAGAATATAAATGTATATTAAATTAAATAGTAGATATATCATTATTTGGTTATTTCTCAATAAAAATATATTGTATGAAAACATTCTTGCTAAAAATAATTGCCTTTTTTTAAAAAAGTAAACAAGTTTAACCTAATTCAAAGCTTATTTAAAGCTGATGTATAAAACAAGGTAAAAGAACCAGGAAATAAGAGAGACATAAAGAAAATTATAAAAATAAAGAGTTTTTTGTGGTGAAAAAGTTTAAAGAGAGATAATTTTATATGAAAAATAATCTAGCACGGTAAATTTAGTCCTAAATTAAAATAACTGATTGTTTAAGGAAGAAGGATGTGGAGGACAAATCAGAAAGCCCAAGCATGTCATGAATAGTCTATGTAAGGCATAATAAGGGGATTTATTTAAAAAAAAAAAACGAACCTTCTTATATGATCAAATTGTTTATAATTAAAGGGAAATTATAAACACATATACTAAATTGTTGGTTAATACAAGGAAATTTTCTTAAGTGGTTGATTTAATAAATTATAAGAGATCTTAATTTTTTAACACAAATTTCAACTTTTACTGCATCTCACTCTTTTTCAACTTTCTCTCCCCTTTTAAAAGCCATGTTTTCTTAAAGATCTAAAGGAAATGTTTTCTTCTAACATAATATTCTGTGCACTGCAGAAGGCCTTTTCTTTTGCCTTTTGGTAACTGTCCTAACAGATTTTATGTTTTATCAAAATAATTCCTAAACTATTACTATTAAGTTTTGTTTTCTTAGTAAAAAATGAGATTTAATTTTTTAAATTAAGGTTATTACATCCGTGTGTCTTGAAGTATGTGCCTTTAAAGTTTTGTGGCATTGAGTTACAAGGCTCTGATTCCTGGGTCTAAAAAGGACACCAAGTCCTGCTAAATCTTAAACACTGACAGCAATTAAGGCCTCATCTTCAGGCCCTGTAAAAGATGCCAATTAAAATAAACTGCATTCCTGAGACACAGGGCCAGAAATTAAAGCCAGTCAACTCCTCAAGGCCCAAGGACTATTGTGGAAGAGGTGGGTGCATGAGACTGTAAGGGCCAATTTTGAAAGAAAAAATAAGTTCAGTTTCTCTATAAATTAAGTATTAATGTTGAAGCCACCCTGAAGAAAGACCAGCATATGGGCCCATGTATCAGATTAACAAGGTTTTTTGGAAGCATTAATTGACTCCTTAACAAGGGATATAAAGATTATAAAAGGCTTATGGAAGTTATATCTTGTGGTACAATTACAATTTGATAGATAGTTTATAAAATTCTGAAACACAAATTTAATTGGCTTTATGCTGTTTTTATTAAGGCTTATTGTTTGTAAAATTATGTCTCCTCTCTCAAAGAATGAAGGATTTTGCCTTTTTTTTTGAAATCCTTGAGTTATCACTTTGGTTAAATGAATGACTAATTTTATAATGACCTGTGATTCTGTTTTGTGTTATCAAGTGTTTTAAACCTTTGCTATTTGACAAATGTTTAAAACCAAATTAAAAATTATGTATTTTTCTGACCTAATTAAATTGTTAAGATATTAGATTCACTAAAGTCCAAAAATGACATAATTTTACATGAAGGATTGTCAAATATGAAATGATGTTCGGTTTTCTTTGGGCTGTATTTTTATAAATATATTATTAGTATGTGTTCCAAAATTATGGGAAGCTCCTATAATTCTGATATGACTTAGTGGACTTAGTGTACATTATCAATAATAATCATAATTCTTATGTTAAAATTATTGTGTGCCACAGAGGTAACAAATTTCCTTGTCAATTGTGCCTTTGACTATGGCTTCTCTAAAACTTATTGTCAACCACAGACAACTGTTGTGTTGTCTTGGTCCTCTTTAGAAGGTGGTTTTATAATCAGCTATAAAACTCTAATGGATGCTCTTGAACGTAGGTTTCTGAAAAATGTGGAGATTGTCACATCAAAATAGAGGAAAAACTTTCAGGACTCAGGGAGAGCTAAAATGTTCATGAATATCAAGCAGAACAGGAATTAATTGCATGGACTGAAATAATCTTTTTAAGTTTTTGCTTGAAACATTGCTTATCTTTTGTTTTTCCGTCTTTAAACTTTTCTTTTTAGATACTGACAGCTTTTAACAATTTTTAGTATACTCTTATGAACAAAATTTGGAGTGTATTTTTTCTCTCTACCTGATTTCTCCAGAATTTGGAAACTATTTGTGAGTATTGTTAACTTACGGCAATACAGTTATTTGCATAAGTGCAATAAGAATCTGTTTTCATTTGTAACAAAACACAATTGGAGAAACTGGTTATTTTACCAAGGCTTTGACTGGAATGGTGTGCTTTCCTTTAAGGAATCAAACTTAATTTATGGAGTCAATAAAAGCTCTTGGGAAAACTGGCCTCATCATTTACACAGTCCCTGTACAGGGTATTTGACCTGTGGTAAATAAAAAATGTCACTTTCTGACAGGTCCAGGAGACTCAGGTTTGTCTTGGAACCTCAAGAGGAGAAAAAATTTACCTAACTCATATATAGTTAGTGACAGAAATCCATGGCTGAGTTTGGCATTAAAAATAGTCTTATCTGAGATTTCTTCTATGGCACAAAGTTTCATCAAAGCCAATTTTATAAAGCTGATGTGAAAAATAATTATTCTTGCTGTACTTTATACAAAAAATCTGGCCAAGTTTAATAAAGAAAATTGGTCCTACCATGATTTGTCTTTAGTAAAAATGGGAAACTGGAGAGATTAAAATTATGTTTCCAAAACTATAGTACACCTGTTGTTAGATTCTAGTCTTGCTTAATGTTTTGAATTTTTTATATAGTTTGGACTGAATTCTATTTTGTTCTTGCTTTAAGTTTCCAAAATAATATTTTCTTTTTTTCTGCTTTATTTTCTTTTTCTACCACTTTCTCCTAAGTTGAAATCACTGAAAAATAAGCTGTGCTTTCATAAAGCCTATGAACTGAATCTAGACAACTTAAACTTCAGAAGAAAAAAACAGCAATGTATTCACATACATAAGACACTTTCATACCTGCCTACTAATGTATGGACTTCAGAGTAATGTGGCCTACGTTAATTTTCCAGGATTTTTCTTTTTTTGTTGTTATTGTTCTTCTCCCTTCCTCCCCCTATTTTCTCTTCAGAGGACATGAGACTTCACAAGCTGCTAAAAATGAGCTTTCCTAATAACTCGAGATCTACCTGTCTAGGAGTAAACCATCCTAGCCATGAGAGATTAGATGAAACCTGGGACCAAAGACTCATTTTTTTTTTTTCTAAAATGCTTTCTCCAAAAGATTTTTTTTAAAAACGGGGGTAAATGTGAAAGAAAATATCTTGTTGCCCCCAAAATCACCAAGCTAAAGGGAAAAGTCAAGTTAGGAACTGCTTAGGACAAACCTGCCTCCTATTCTATTCAAAGTCATCGTTCTACTCATTGAGATAAATACATGTCTTATTTTCTCTTTGGAAAGGCTAATCAGAAACTCAAAGGAATGCATCTGTCTATCTCTCACCTACCTATGACCTGGAATCCCCCTCCCCGCTTCGAGTCGTCCCACCTTTCCAGACCGAACCAGTGTTCATTTTACATATATTGATTGATGCCTCGTGTCTCCTTAAAATGTATAAAGCCACACTGTGCTCTAACCACCTAGGGAACATGTCATCAGGACCTCCTAAGGCTGTGTCAGTGGTGCACATCCTCAACCTTGGCATATTAAACTTTCTAAATTAACTGAGACTTGTCTCAAATTTTTTAGGTTCACAGGCAATAGTACAAATATAAAACAAAAGTGTATCAAAAAGCTACACTTGTTGTTTCTGAGATAGAGAATAGTACAATACAGAGAGGAACACTGTGTAATGGAGTTAGATAACTCTGACATATTAAGTAGGTACTTTAACTTTCAAGCCTCCTTTTACTTATATGTAGAGATAGGAGAAATAATAAACCTAACCTATGATACTTGTCAAGACAAAATGTTATAAAAACTAAAATATTAAGCACAGTTTCTGACACAAAGTATTCCATAAATGTTACTGTCAATATTACGTTAAAATTTGCTTGTGTAATATTTTCAGAATTAATTTTTGAATTTGTATTCATACTTCTATTCATCAAAACATCTCTTCTTCCTCTTTTTAAAACTCTAATATGTAAATTACCACTGTCATCTAATATATCCTGCTACTCATTCAAATTTCAATTATTTCATTTATTTGTATGTATGTTGACTTATAGGACTCCTATTTTGTTAAATGGGTTAAAATAATTACTGAAAGTTTTCTTTGATGCTCAAATTGTCCCAGATTTGTCCAGGGACAATGCATTCAAGTTGGTGCCAGTGTCATTTTGCCAAGTCCACATTATTCCTTCAGCACTCCTTTGATCTCTGGTACAAAAATATATCCTAGGTTCATCTTGTACTTGAGGAGAGCAAAAATCACCTGGTGACCATTGAACAGGCCCTCTAGATTAAAAAAAAAAAAAAAAAAACTCCTTATCTGAGGAATTTAGAAGGGACCAAAGGTTACCTGGTGACCATTTAATAGGCCATTCGGAGGCAAAACTCCTTATCTGGGGAATTTTAAAGTAATTTAACTTCTCTGGTAACTAAAGTCAGCATCTTGTTCCAGGCCTATTTCAGCTTCTATAAGTAACCAGAATTTCTATACATCTCTGGAATGCATGCATATCAAAACTCATTGTGCATTCCTTGCTGACATTAAGGCACCAAAATGTCTACAAATGTAATCATTTGTCTTGACCCAGGTGACTAATATGGCCCAAATTACCCTTAAGCTCTTGTCTTAAGGTTTATAAATGCTCTTAAGGAAAATCCACCATCTCATGCTTAGTCCTCTCTCTAAGGCACCCCACTGTACTTTTCCACAACATGCTTTCTGATAAAACTTTCCTCTTTTAAACCTATACTCTTGTTGGTAAATTCTTCTTACCAAGCCTCAAGTCAACCACTTCCCTATGCTGGAGCTCTGACACCTCTTCCATCAGTACTTACCTTTTCAGTCATAGGAAATCAGTCATTTCTCAGAAAAGTCCTTGTTCCTTTTAAGTCCTTGTGTTTTAGAAGTCATGATCTGGTTGTGAGATATGCTCCTTAGCACTGGAAAGTCACTGCTTCTGGGTCCTGTCAGTGGACAGAGATATACATGCATTCACAGATGTTTACATCTATATTTATTTCAATGTTTATCTATATATTTTTAAAACCACGAATTCATACAAATACCTCCAATTGCAGTCCAATATTATAATTTTTAGTCTAATTTTCTCTATTTTAATATTTGTAACATCTTGTTTTGAAAGCAATGTACTTAGATGTCATTATCTTTAACACATTTCCTTATTCGATCAATTTCCTGGTGAATTTTCCTTCTCGATTGCCACCAATTTCCATAAGTGCCATTATCATCCTGTATAGGCTATGACCCACCCATACCAGGCCACCACTCATTTGGATTCTCTCCTCAGTCTGCTTGGGGTGTGACACCTATTTTGGACCATTTCCTTGCTTGCTCTGACTAAGCTAAGAAGTTCCCTGAGTTGACTCAATCATCATCCTGTTTTAGCTCTAACTCCATGTTCTCAGCTGTCATATTCCTCTTCCTCACTTCTGGCACAGATGCCTGTCTTTATCTGCCTCGTCCAATGTCTTTAGGACTGAAATATTCGACAAGAGAAGATGAATAAATAAAAGAGAATGGAAAGAGGACAAAGAAAAAAAAATAAGTGATCACTACTATATTTTTTTTAAATGTTTGTGGGTATATAATAGGTGTATCTATTTATGAGTACATGAGATGTTTTGATACAGGCATGCAATGTGAAATAAGCACATCATGAAGAATGGGGTATCCATCTTCTCAAGCATTTATTTTTTTAGTTATAAATAATCCAATATATTATTTAAGTGATTTTAAACTATAAATTTAAGTTATTATTAACTAGAGTCATCCCACTGTGCTATCAAATAGTAGGTCTTTCTATTTTGACAATAAATAAAAAATAAAAAAATTCCAATGTAATATATATCCGTAAGTATTATTTCCATTAACTTATTTCATCACCAAACTCTTGTTAATTATCAAAATATGTCATCAACTACCATACATACTACACAAAATGTAATTTTTATGTCTCAGTCTAAAACCTTAAAATGTTATGTCTCATTAACTTGATTAGTACAGCTTTGAACCTCTGTTTGAATTAAAAATTAATAAATACTATTTGATATTAATGACCTTTTTGAGTATGTGTGGTTTCTCAGCCTCTTAGAAAATATATTGAACTAATTCTTAGTAGAGGACAGGAAGAATGTGGTTTAGAGTATGACAAAAGTTAAGAGACATCTTAACTTGACCAAGAGACATCTTGGTCAATGCAAAATTCAGAGATTCTGTCAGACATGTCAAACACTAGGAATAAAAGTATAGGGATCATTATTCAGAATCAATTTTAATAAGACTCCATGGTAGAATTTGGTATAGGAACTAATTACCATCCACCTAAAAAATCAAGGACATTTCCCTTTAGCCCAAAGCACAATGGTTGAATTACTGTATTATACTGTATAAAAGGTGGCTCATTTATTTCTGCATTGACATTTATCGTGAAAACCAAAAAAAAATTTAAAAGATGTCATTGATACGATATCAATTCTTTGTAGCTGACTGTCCTAGACTATGTATATACTTTAAAGAAAAATTATTTTTGCTTCTACCTTAGCCCAAGATCTATAATTATATAAAGTCCTCAAAATACAGTTTTTTCTGTACTTTGCAATATCCACTAAAAGTTTAAAAACTCTAACTATCTGTTTCTAATTATTTAAAGTAATTTTTGCTGATAATTTACAACTTAAGTTACATAGTGCATTTTTAAGAAAGTATGCAATTAATTCTTCATATCAAATAAAATTTTATTACAAAATAATGTGTTCTAGTAGTTTAAAGCATACAATGATGAAACAGAGGTACATCTTTTGCTAAAACATCAAAATGATCTCCTTAGTTAAAATAATTGTTGGAATACATTCACTACTTTTTCTTATGTAGTAGATATAAAATAAAAATATACAGCTTGACTACCATGACCACAGGCCAAGATTTTGAAATGTTTTATCACTTCTAGACTGTTGGGTTAGCATCTGACTGATGGCAACCTTGAATCATATCTGTTTACTATGGTCCTTTTGTACAAATCATTTGATTGGAAAGTCTCTAGAACTGACATGCTCAATAGAAAAATTTTAAAAAGACAGAAATCAGAGCAGTATATTCTATGTTATACAATAGATATATTGAATTTATTCCTTCTGTAATTAACAACAGTATATTATATTCTTGAAAACCATTAAGAGAGCAGATTTTAAGGGTTCCCACTACAAAGTATGATAGGTAATGCATATGTTAAGGATGTGAGGTAATGCACATGTTAATTTGCTTAGTGGTGCCATTACACAATGTATACATATTTCAAAGCATCATCTTGTACACAATAAATAAATATAATTTTTATTTGTCAATTAACAAGTAAGAGGTGCTTTTTTGTGTGTATATAGTGATCAACTGGAAGGAGGTAACATTTCCAGAGTGATGGAAATGGTCTATATCTTGATTGTAGTGGTGGTTCTGAAGCAGGAAATTCCCCTGACCCCTTCATGGGTGGGAACTGGAGTGCGAAGGTGCTAGCAGAGACTAACTCCACTCACGCAAACCTGCTGTGCTCAACCTCCTGTGGAAGGGAGCATGCAGGTAAGTGACCGCAGGGGCTGAGGTGAGTGCTTTTGGGCGCTGGCAGGAATGAACTCTGTAATGGCCCCATGGCATCACCTAAGGGTGTGCCTGTGATGTCTGAAGTCCCAGAAGGAGTGTTTCAGTCAGTCCTCTTTTACCTTTGCCATCCGTGATGCCTTAAGTGTTAAAAACTTAGTGGAGGGTCAGTGTGACAACCTTTTGCACCCACACCCAAGTTTTTGTCCAGCATCCAGGAGGAATGAGTCGCCTGAACAAATTGGAGATGGTAAATGAGGAGGATTTTACTGCCAATAAAAGCGTCTCTCAGTGGGAAGGGGAGCTGAAAAGGGGACTGAGTAGGAAGGTAATCTTCCCCCAGATTGTGGCTGGGTATGGTTGAACTCCTCTCCAAAGCTATGCTGGCAAGCTGTCCTTCTGAAGTCAAGCTGCTTCTCTCCAATGTTCAACCATATTCTCTGACGTCCAGCTGCTTCTCATCTCTGCAAGTTGAGTCTGGGGTTTTTATGCGCACAGGATGGGGGGCAAGGTAGGCCATGGTTGGTTTTGGGAGAGGCAACATTTGGGCAGGCAAACAGGAATGTATGTCCTCACTTTACTCACCTCAGGAAAACAGGGATGTATGTCTCAAGCCACAGTTCCAGGCTTGAGAATGGGGCCCTCACTTGTGGACCTACTCTCTTCTGCCCAGAATTTCCCTGCCTCCTATGCCTATCATTTCTGTAAGTATATATTTTTATTAAAACGAATAGAATTTCTACTCTATGTAAATTTTACCTTAACTTTAAAGTCACAAAAAGCCAGAAAATGTTGTAAATGACCATCATATCCAGTATATAAACTATGTTATTAAATTCATTTTATCTCTTTAAAAATATATAATTTATATTTTCAGCAAAAAGCAATTTTACTTTCAGTGTGAAATACATATTTGTAGACTCATTTCAATTTTAATTCTAGAACCAAATGCTAGGAAGATAACATAATAAATCCAATATCTCATTCTTCAAATAAAATATAAACTAAATATTTATTTATTTATTTATTTATTTGAGACAGGATCTCTCTCTGTCACCCAGGCTAGACTGCAGTGGTGGGATCTCAGCTCACTGCAGCCTTGACCTCCCAGTCTCATGCAATCCTCTCACCTCAGGCTCCTGAGTGCTGGGACTATAAGTGTGCACCACCACACCCAGCTAGTTTTATTTTTGTAGAGATGGGGTCTCACTATGTTTCCCAGGTTGTTCTCAAACTCCTGGGCTCAAGCAATTCTCCCACCTCGGCCTCCCAAAGAGCTGGGATTACAGACGTGAGCCACCACTTCTGACCTCAATACTTATTTTTATCATAATCAATAATCAGCAAACTTTCTTAAATTTCAGGTTCTGTGTGCCAGACTCTGTACCTACCTGGTACTTCACATTACTTTTTTTTTACTTTTACGATTATGTGAGGTGAATCCTTTTTAAAAAATTTTATAGAAGAGAAAACAAAGTTTCAGACTCATCGAATACTTTATGAATACAGAGCTCATAGATAATAGTGCCAGTATTGATGTAATATAATTACTTCTATTGTATATCAAAGTTGTTGTATTTCCCACTACCTGTTGCCAAGTGTCTAATGACAATTTATTAATTTATTCTGAGAAATTAGTTTTATGGATCATATATTTATGCCATATTAGCCTTTTCTTTTTCTTTCCATTTGTTTACTGCATTAAAAATGATTTTAAAAAGTGCTTAATGATCATACAATCTGAATCTAGAGTATTATCAACTTATAAGTAATTTATGTATCTTCCAGATAGCTAGGACTTGCTATGCTACCTCTTTTTCCTGACAGGGTGTAAGATACACTTGAAATAGTTAGAGGACGATTTACAATGAGTTATGTTCTGACTTGATACAGACCTTTGTATAAAACAGTAATTTTGTTATAAAATAGTCTAAAGTCAGAAGTAAAACACAAATTGTCAAAGACTTACACTGAAGTTTTGTGATCCTCTTCGTATATGCAGGGTATCTAGCTAATTGGATCTTCCTTTGTATTTTTCAGCAAAATAATACAAAGTAAGTTGTCTTAGTCAATTTGTGTGGCTACAACAAAATACTATAGACTAGGTAATTTATAAAGAGCAGAAATTTATCTCTCATAATTTTGGAGACTGGGAAATCAAAAATTTAAGGTACCAGCAGGTTTGTTGTTTCATAAGGGTTCAGTCTGTTCTTCCGAGATGGTGCCTCAAATGCAGCATCCTCTGGAGGAAGGAACACTTTTTCTTCACATGGAAGAAGGGAAAAGGGCAAAAAGAGAATGCTATGGCCTAAATGTGTCCCCTATAGCACATGTAATTCTCACCAGACAACTCAATCTGCCAATGCCTTGATCTTGAATTTCCTAGCCTTCAGAACTGTGAGAAAATAGATTTCTGTTATTTGTAGATTACCAGTCTGTGGTTTTCTATCACACAGCACAAAATGGATGCACACGTAAGTGTTCTGTGCTTTTGCAAACTTGATTCTGGTATACACATGGAGGATATTTGATGTTGTTACTGTGTGTGAACTATACACTATAGTAACCTTAAAGGTGCAAATTGAATATGAATAGGCTTGACAATTAAACTCAGTATTTCTCTGCAAGCTTCTGGGTATAATGACATGAGCAAGCCAGGAAGAGGTGACCAAGAACCAAATGATACTCCCAAACAAATTGTGTTAACTCACTTCTGATAAAGAAATAGATTTGACTTGACTATAATGTAAGGATAGTCGTCTTCCAATGCTAAAGTCAATAATATGTTCAAAATTATTTTGTTATATCATCATCTAACTAATAATAGTATGTTACATTATTCCTCAAGATTGATTTTTTTTAGTGTCTTGCATGGTTCTAAGTTCATACAATGTGCTCAATAGTTGTTGTGATGGTTAATATTGAGTGTCAACTTGATTGGATTGCAGGATTAAAAGTATTGTTCCTAGGTGTGTCTGCGAGGGTGTGGCCAAAGGAGATTAACATTTAATTCAGTAGACTGGGAGTAGCAGACCCACCATCAATCTGGGTGGGCACCATCTAATCAGCTGCCAATGCTGTTAGAATAAAGCAGGCAGAAGAAAGTGGTATGAGCAGACTAGCGGAGTCTTCTGGCCTTCATCTTTCTTCTGTGCTGGATGCTTCCTACCCTCACATATCAGACTCCAAGTTCTTCAGCTTTTCGACTCTTGGACTTACACCAGTGATTTGACAAGGGCTCTCTGGCCTTTGGTCACAGACTGAAAACTGCACTATTGGTTTCCCTACTTTAGAGGTTTTGAGACTCAGACTGGCTTCCTTGCTCCTCAGCTTGCAAATGACCTATTGTGGGACTTCCCCTTGAGATAATGTGAGCCGATACTCCTTAATAAACTCCCCTTTGTATACACATCTATCCTATAAGTTCTGTCTCTTTAGGGAACCCTGACTAATACAGTTATTTATCTGAAGTTTATGTATGTATGTATGTGATTTTAGGGAGCCTCCATTTAATCTGTAATAACTAACATGAATCTGGCATTATAATAAGCCAATTATGTTTTATTCTAGTTTTGCAGATTTTATTTTTAAATTTAATCCACAAAATATTAATACTATGATGTAGTTACAATCAAATACTTCCAAGAAAAAGAAATAAACATAAATAAGTTTTTCAAGTTTACACAGCTATAAAGTGTCAGGCCATGATTCAAACTCGGAAACTACAATGCCACAGCCTGACATCTCAGTCATTCTCCTACTTTAAGGATGAGAACCTTGCTCTCATTACAAGAGGATGACATAGAAAATTTGTCCCCCCAGGTCCTTTTAACCACACATTACACATATAATATTTAAAGACACCATGAAAAGGGAGCAAGTAGAAGCCCATCAAAGTTATTGGCCGAGGTGGAATGGGGATTGTGGTAGTATCTGATTCATAAAATTATCATATAGTAAAAACTGTTTAATATAAATTGAATGCAGTTTAGGTGTCAGGCACTGTTTGAAGTTATTGACGTGTCTTAATTTAATATGCAAAACAACCTTATAAAACCAGTTCCAATACACTACTTAGGTTATAGATGAGAAAGCCAACACACAAACAAATTAAGTACCATGTACATAAATAGAAAGGGATAGTGGTATGTATGCTGAGCACAATGAACTTAGTTGAAGCCTCCCTGATATTTTAGTTTGCTCTGCTTAGTTTGGAAGAAGGAGATCTCTGTTTGTGCCTTTGAGGATTTTCTCCGGAAATTAAGTCTACATGCTATTGACCATTGTCCCCTACAAGATTTCTATATATCATTAATTTTAGATTCGAGCTACAATAGTACAGGGAAGGTTGAAAACATTTACTTTTGAATCAAATAAGACTGACTTTTTTTGAAAATCTCATTTTTTTACTCTGCTTGAATAGCCTTTCAAGTGCCCTTTAGTCAGTTAGAAAGGCAAGATAAAAAGAAGGTACCAGATGATCTGGGTTTCAAATCCCTGCTCCACTTACTAATTGCATTACTTTGGGAAATTTCTTTAATACCATAGAGAGAATTAAAATCAAGCAATACCATTGTATTTGTAAAGCATAAAGAGCAGTGCCTGCCATATAGTAAGTGCCATAAAAGTTTCACTGTTATTAATCTAAGTGTACATTTTTCTCATATGCAATGGTGATAATATGTAGTATCTATCTCAAGGGTCATTATGAGACTAAATTGGATCACCTAATTTGTTTTCCCGATGCAGTAGCTATGAGACATGTGTGGCTATTGAGCACTTGAAATGTGACTAGTACAACTGAAGAACTAGATTTTTAAAATTGATGTAAGTAAAATCATCCAAGACTTTCTCAAAAATGTGACAAGAACTCAGATTAAGCTCATCATGAATAGGAGACAGAAAAGAAAATATCATGGGGATGATTACGGAAGGCATGTAGAGGCAAGGAAGGGAAGAGTACGTTTGATGAACTCTAGGGGATGAAAACACATATAGTAAAGTGAGAACATTGAAAGATGAGTCTAGGCTGCCATCCTCAACTGTTTTGGGAATTTTTGTACAATAGTGATAATGAGCAACACAAGGCTAAAAACCATTCTTTTTATTGCACACCCAGCTTCCCTTTTGCACAAAACATATGTTTGTGAAATGCTTAGCTTGGGTTGGAGCTGTAATTGGTAGTCTTGAATTAAGGTAAAGCTAAGACTTCAAAGTGAATTTAAACCCATGGCTTTGAAAACCAGCATTATAAGCAAACAGTTGTTGGGTTAAAATGAAAATAATTTCCCACCCCAATTTAATACTATTTTGAAAATGAACTGGCAATTTGAGAACAATTATATGTGATACCCTAGTGTGAAAAAAGAGATTTAATTGAAGTTAGGAATATTGTTGATCACATAATGTGAGAAGGGCACAATGACAGGCACTGTGTGGTGGACAAACGTAATTACTCAGGTGGACATATATTATTTCATTTGCCTGAGCAGTAGTATCCTTATTCTGGGATATTCGCTTTCTAATCATGTGGCTTTGGTGGAGAATTGCCCTCCATGATACATTTCTAACAATATTCATAACACATCATCTGTACCTGAAGGTGATAGTCCATTTACCTAATAGACTGGTCTAGGGGTGAGCAAATAACCCAAGTAGGGCTAATCAGAGTCTTTCTCAGAAATTTCAGTTTGGATTTGAAAATGAAAAATGCTGTCTTCACCTGAACATAGCTG
Source organism: Homo sapiens (assembly GCF_000001405.40). Taxonomy (NCBI): domain Eukaryota; kingdom Metazoa; phylum Chordata; class Mammalia; order Primates; family Hominidae; genus Homo; species Homo sapiens. The sequence goes on from NC_000009.12 coordinate 12,154,781, forward strand.
TTAGACGTGGGAAATGGCAATGGTAGTGTCACACAATCATATAGGGGAGTCAAACATGTACACGCAGCTTTAATAGATGTGATTTATAATGCTAACTATATTTAAATTGCAGATATTTGTTGGCTTTGTCAATATCTATTCACTCTTCATGTAGCTATATGTTGTTTTAACTCTGGTATCACCAATCCTTCACAACCCCCTATGCCAAATGTCTACTCTTTTTAGAGTTGATTTCACTCTAGTATGGAAAGAAATAAACTAGGCCTGAGAGGCACCACATTTTATTTTCTGTTGACATGATCCATTTAGAGGTAGGCATATGAAGCAACCCATGAAGCACACAGAGGCTTTTTTTGTTTGCGTTCCTGGGAGGGAAACAGAAATTTTCTCTGCCTGTCTTGGCTTTATAATGTAAGGCTGGATTGTTGTAACCAACTTGTGACTGTAAGAAAAACATTCATAATTTTTACAGACTTCCATGTGGAACCTAAAAATGAAACCAGGTTTGTAGAAGGCAGCCAGAAATGAACAGGAAACGAGCCTGAACGAGCCCTTAATATGTGGTGATGGGTAAAATTGAATATACCCATGAATTTTCAGGTTCCTAAGCTAGTGAGCTCCCGACTCACTGCCGACTCTCTTTCTCTCTCTCTTTCTTTTACTTTGAATGAAATTTTCTCTCACTAACAAAATAAAATTGTAAGAATCCTTACTGATATGGCAATAACTGTCCTGCATTCTTATATGAGTATTTCATAACATGGTAAGAGATACTCTAATATGTAGAGCAATCTGAAGAGAAGTGACATTGTAACAAAATATTTTGGGCTTGGCATACATGCTGGTCTCCTCAATCTGTCTTATCTGAAGTGTATTCTGTCAGCTTTTATTTCATAACTTGAATATAGCCTTAACTTGTCTTCAACCTAAAAACATATACCCTGCCCATGGCTTGCTGAACTTATTACAATTGATATCACTTCCTTTCTTCTTTTAAATTCTTTTCCCAATTTTCTTATCCACATAATACCTTGGACATATGGGCACCATCAAGTAGTCTGATTGACATTAACCATTGGCCCTCTAGGCATTCTGAAGCCTTTCATAGTTATAGAAAATAGTTGCTTGCATCCTAGAAGTGACAGGTAGAAGAATAAATCCTGGGTTGTTAGGGAAACTGTACAAAGGATTGAAAACACGTTGCTCTATATCCAGAGCAAGTGAATTATCTCCAGAGAAGTGTTCTTGACAGCGATGAATCAAATAAATGGTTTGCCTTCCTGAAGTCAGAGAAAAAAAAGATTCTTAAAAATAACATGAACCTACTATTTAGTTGGATAAATAACAAAAAATACTGTCTCTTCTCCCTTAATTCTGTTTTTAACAATGAGAATATGATTCAATTTATATAGCTCTTCGGACTTGAGTTTGTAAAATGCAGATAAATTCATGAAATTAGAATATAACATTAAAAGTATACTTTCATTTATAAATTGACTGTCTCAGACTAAAAACTAAAACCCTGACTGGATATGATATTAGGAATAGACTCTTACTCTCTCTTCTTAATTCATGCCACCCCCAATCTGCACCCCATTCTGTTTAGGACTTTGAGTTTTCTATTTCCATAATTACGTTGGAAGTTTGAGGCTTCAGAAACAAAAGTTGTTTTCAACCATTCCTCTGGAAAATTTACTGGAATGCCTATCAACAAAAATAATATAAAAATTTATTTAGAGAGGTACTGTATTATCTAGTGATTGCTCAAATTCAAAACTACATTTTATCATTTGATGCATGAAAATTGATTAAAGAGTTTCTTTGTTATGAGGTTATAATTCCTTCTGATAAAATCTACCAAAATATACAAGCATTGATCAATAAAAGGAAATTGATTAAAACAAGTCTTTGCATTATGCAAATACTTCCATCTTCAGAACTATATTTTCTGAGTATTGCATGAGAATTTGAGACAAATAGGATAAATTATGTCCTTGGGAAAAATAAATAAACTATAACTTTTTGTTTCTTGGGTTGAGACAATTATCAAATATATGATCCTCAATTTATAATGCAACACTCAAAATTCAAGTGAATAGTTCAGGGAATAGTACACGAGTTTCCAAAAAATAGCTTTATAAATGTTCTGATTAAAACTTAAAGAATGTGTTCCTGTTATTACTTTAAAATGTATAAAAGCATATCCAAATTATATTTACATATTTTTTATTTTAACAGGATTATTTTTTACCATTTAAAATTTTATGTAATTATTAAGCTTTCTATTTTTAATAAGACATAATCTTCAAAAAATGGAAGCACTTAAAAAAATGTGAACCCCTAACATACCTTTATGAAATGAAGATTGTCAGTATATTCTTCACAAATTATTCTAATCTAAATTAAATGTAAAACAATGAGTATAATTTCAGATTACATTATGTATGTAATATATATTATCTGACAGTTTTCTATTAGACATATACATATATTTCTCCTTTTACGTTTCATCACTATATAATAAATGTTCTGTCCTATCGGCACACAGACATATAAATCTTTGTTTTAATATACTGCATGTTTCATATAAAAGATGTATTAAATTATTTAGCTAGCGTTTTCCTTGATTTTTTTTCTTTGCTCAAATAAACATATACTTGTGCCTACCTATATCTGTAGGGGATTGATACCAGAGTCCTCTTTAATACCAAAAGTCACCCACACTCAAATTCTGCAGTTGGCCTGTGGAACTCAAGTATACAAAAATCAGCCATTGGTTTCTATGAGTTTTGCATCCCCAAATACTGTATTTTCCATTCGTGTTTAGTTGCAGATGGGAAACCCACAGATGCAAAACTGGGTGTATCTGCATATAAGTGGGTCTGCATATTTCAACCTGTGTTGTTCAAGAGTCAACTGTATTTGTAAATATAAACATTAATAATTCCATGTCTATTGAGTAGGCTCTTAAAAGGTGAATGTACATTCATTGAGTAGGCATTGAAAAAGTGTCTCCTGAAGGGCTACTCCAATACATATTCTCTTGAACTTGGGGTTAAATAGTCATATCATCGCCAAATCATAAATTTTCGTCTCTTTTTAAACATTTATTTATCTTAATCTATTTTTTTCTTACCATATTTGTTATGGTAAGGACATTTTAATGTTATACTAGTGATTTCAGTTTTTCATAATTTTAATGGTCATGTTTTTAAGAGTTTCTGTAAGTATCAATATCAAATATCCATATAAAACATCATGTTTAATATTAATTTCTAAAAGATATATTTTTATCATGATAAGTTTCCCTTTAATTTTATATTCATAAGTGTTTCATTATTTACTCAGGAATTGATATTGAATTTATCAAATATCTTTTCATATCTAAGGAGATTTCATTCATCTTTTAATGTAGTGAATCACATAAGTCATTTTCCACATCTTGATAATTTTTTCAATCTTATATTAACACTTTCTAAATCACACCACAAAATTCTTTTAATATAATTCTGTATTAAATTACCCATATTTTATTTAGAATATTATTTTATGGTTATATGTAAGTTTGGTGTAGAGTACCCTGTCATGTGTAATATTTTCCTAGATTGTATGTTAGAATTATAGTAATCTTATGTAATAAAGAAATGTTTTTTGTCTGCTCTAGACATTTAAAATCAGAGAAATCATCTCTAGTTTAAAGGTTTGGCAGAAGTCTCAGTACCATGTGAGCCTATTATTTAGAATCTTAAAATCTATTTCTATTTCAAGTTTTCTAAGCCTTCCTAATTAAATATTCTATATCTCTCTGGAATATTTTATTTAATCTGATTTTTCAAATTATTAGTATATAATACCATATAAATTTTTTCTGCTTTTAGGTTATACATGCACTTTGTTTAACCTAATGTTGACCTTGTTGGTTTCTCTATATTTTTTCTTGATAAGATTTGGCATAAGTTTGTCTATTTTTTCCAAAAACAGTTACCATGTACTTTTCAAACTAACTTATTTTACTATTTAATAGCTTCTATTTTTATTTATTTGTTTATTTATTTATTTGCATTCTTTTGAATTACTTGTTAACCAAAGTTTATAAGTGTTGAAATTCAGTTGATTTCTCCTGACATTCTTGTTATTTTAGGCCTAGAATGAAAGATTCACAAAAATATTTCCCACAGTATTGTTTTCTTCTCTCCTCTATGTAATTTAGAAACGACTATAGTTTCTAAAATATTATTTTAATACTCACACTTTGGAGTCAAGATAAAAAAGTTCTAGAGCGATTTGCGTGAAAGCTTTTCTTTTACCCTAATAGAGCACATGTGATTCACTTAACTTGTTAATTGCTATAGTTTGAGGCAGCTACTCCGGAATTCAGGTGTTGTCAATGTAACAGTATTTAGAGTTGGAGTTTCCAAGGTGGTTAGGTTCTGAAGGCTTCGCTCTCATTAAGGACCTTATAAAAGAGGCTTCATGCAGCGTAAAGCTAGCTTGCTCTTCTATGCTTGTGTCAGGTGATGGTGCAGCAAGAAGCTCCTCATTAAATGCTAGTGCTTTGATCTTGGACTTCCCAGCGTCCAGAAAGGTAAGAAAATAAAATTTTGTTCTTTATTATTTGCTCAATCTGTGATATCTTGTAATAGCAGCATAACATGGACTAAGACATAAGGCAACCCCACCAAAGGAATAACAACAAAGCCTTAGACATTAATGGCACCGTGGTTTATAACCAGTGCCTGAATAGAGGTATCCTGTTTAATGTCAAAACCTACAAAAGAAGGTTCAGAGGCAGAGAGAACTAAAACTAACGTAACAGTGTGTGTTTCTTCTTCACATACATTCTCCAATGTCTTTTGTTTTGTTGTTGTATTTTAGCATATCTACATCCTTCTTCTTTGGAAAGAATATTTAAGGTTGTTATTTCTTTAATCCTACTGACCACATTGCACAGTGTTTGTTTTCCTAATTTTATATGATTGGAAATTTAGACTCAAAATTGTTTCAGTAACTGACTCAAGTCAGTCACTACATATGAGAGGGCCAAGATTTACCACCAGGTGATTCTACAAGCCTTAATCTCCACATTAAAATATGTTAACTATTTTTAATTTTAAAAGTGCTCATTATATTGTATTATTTTTAATTGTCTTTCATGCTAGACTAAGACTAAAATTTTCTAAGGACAGGGCTATGCCTATTTTGTCTATATTATCGTTATAATCCTCAAGTTTTTCAAGTTACCAAAACAAAGTAGGCGCTAAAAATTATCTTAATTTGAAATACCTTTCTCCTCAAAAATAAGTTTACCTGTAATTCATCAAAATTATGCAAAGGTGGAATGATTCATTTCAGCAAATACTTACTCTATGAGCTTGGCATGCAGTATCAAAGTTGAACAAGACTTTTACCTTCAAATTATTCACAATCTAGTGACAGAGAGCTGTAACAGCCAACTCTACTAATTATTTTAAGTGCTAAATGATGGCACAAAGACTGTTCTATTATAGATAGAAATAGAGAGAAATTAATTTATAGGAGAATAACGTGCAAAGAAACTATTGTTTGATGTACTTCTCTTTTCCCATATTCTTAATCCTGCCTGTTTAATGCTCACCCTCAGGTAGGTTACAGGAAATCTTTTAAAAAATACGTAATAATAAAAACTACTTCCACAACCCCTGCAATAGCATCAGTAATAATTACTTTTCTGTGTATAATATTAACACTTTGATAAGGAAAATAGGTGAGTCTTCTTGATCTGAGAGAAGATATTTGAACTGTTTCACGTACAAGTAACTTTTGTTAATGGGAAGATCAAATAATTATCTCATGAATAGTTATCAAAAAAATAGGAAGAAACAACTCAGAGATGGCCAAGTAACAGTAATACTTAAGTCATTTTAACTTTTTCACTGTCTTGCCAAATAACCTGTGAAGACCTATGTTAAATAATGAGTTGTTAAGATAAACATTCTGAAGAAGAAAAAGCACATAATAATTTATAATAAGGCTAATTTGACCTTAATTTGTGAAAAATAGATTCCTAGAAAGCAAAGGGACATGTCAATCTAAAATTGCCTCCTATATTTCTAATTTATAATAAGTAGAAACTCACACCCAAGACTTTCTAATGATGTCATCTAATCTTCTGGGTTTTAAAAAAATCATAACATGAATAGATTGATCTATTCTCCAAAGTGTTTAAGTTTAATTCTTTAGACCTAACATGTTTTAACGTAAATAACTTTTTCATTTTGTAAAGAGTCAGCATCCTTAAGATAACTTGGGAGCATGATTGCCTGTATATACTACTAAACAGCTGTTAATAATTATTAAGTATTTTACATTACCTTATTTAAGAATTTGCACATACAAAGCATTTTTACATATACTTTCTCACTAAATTCTTTATTATTATTATTATTATTATTATTGTTATTATTATTTTAAGTGCAGGATATGCAGGTTTGTTACATAGGTAAATGTGTGCCATGGTTTAAATTCTTTAATGCTTTAAATTCTTAAGCAGTAAAGCTAAACAAATATTCAGACTTGTTTCATAGATAAAGAATTTAGATATATGTGTTAAGTGAATTGACCAACATCATCAGCTAAGCACTCAAAGTCACAGACAAGACCCAGAGTCTTCAGAATTCAGGATCAGTTAAAAACAAAAGCAAAGACAAACAACTCTGGCTCAAATGATTATTCTGATTTCTAATTATTCTTTCATCTTTGATATTATTCTCCATTATTGGATGCTGCTAAAAATTAATAAAAGTCACATTCTGATAATGATCTTCATTCACTAAAATAACTGCTCTTAAGGTGTACTTTATTTTAAAAGGGAGGGCAATTTTTCTACCTTTTTAGGAAGTGTCACAGGAAGTGTTAAAGCTGTCAAATTTAAGTCAGCTAAAATAGCCAACCTAGGAAACAGTACATTGCCTGTTAATTGGTACCAACATTGAAAAGTAAAATTAATTCAAAAGATGAGTATTTATTTGTTGTACAAGATTGGTAATACACGGATGTAATCTCATTGGATATTTTAGAGTAGGCAGGATTCTCTCTTCTTATTGATTGGTCTAAATGTTACATATTGAAAATACAAAGCAAGACTTTTTTTCTCAGTTGAAGTAAAGGAACTGTTGTTTCTAAATTGCTGTATTAGCAAGTATTAAGATACATGATTCGGTCAATTTTTAAATGTTTTCTCAGGGTGGTAATAGTGTCTACATAGGCATTATAATTATATATTTTTATAGTTGGGGTACATTAGCAATTAATCAGAGCACTCAGTTCGGTGAAATCTGATGCTGTTTTTCTCAGATATTAAAACACCTGAATTACTTTATTATAAACAAAAGAAATATTTTACATGTAACTTCACAGAAAGCAGATTAAGAATTTAAACTATTAATCTGTGTAACATCAAAGCCTCACTGAGTAGATGTAAGCCAGTGGCCAACTTGGCATAATTGACATTTGCTAATGAGTAGGATAGAATGCTACTGTGTGTCCAGATAATAAAGTGCCTTTCAGAACGTTCAACGGAACACGTCTCTTTATGCCCGCAGTGGCCTTTGTTCATTCAAAGAGCGTATGCTACTGCAGAAGATTTTAATCTAGTTTATTTTGTGAGCTCAGGCGGTGTGATTATTTTCAGAATTGAACTTCACACTTGCCATGAAATTTGCTTTAGTCAGAAAAAGCCAAAAACAAAGACAAGATGCTTCATGTTGCCTCTTATCTATAGCACAGTTCATTTTAGAAAACATAACTGACCAAATAGTTCACAGGGAAGAGATCTTTTGACCCAGCAAAAGCTATAATGGATCCCCTGCCTTTGTGCTTGACCTTGCAGTTGTTTGACAGAGGCGCTTGAGGTTGTGTGACACAAATCGATGAAAAACTGTACTTGGAAAACAGCATCACAAACCTAACACCGAAATTTTCAATCCACTCTGCTAGCTCGGTCATAAATTAGACCAAATTTATAAAGCATTATCACTATATTTTTAAAATGTCTGTCTAAATGTTTTCATTGGTAATTAAGTAGCAATAGAGCATACTAAACAAACACCAAACGTCTGAAAGGCTCTTTTTAGCAATTTAGTGGTAGCATTTCTAAAGTCTGCTCATGCCAATTGTAGTTATTTCTGACATATTTTAGAAAAAACACATTGATGACTTTGTGCCAAACTTGATGCAGTGGTATGAATGTCTGCACCAACTGAAATACACTCATTACTCCAGGGCTCTTGTTTCCCATCAGCAAATGTGAAACATTTCTAAAAATAAAAATACCAGGGAAAAACAGATTATCTAAACATACCTGTCTAAAAGTCAAATTAGTATTTGTCCTATACATTGTCAGATTACTTCTTTTTAAAATTTAAACAGCTCTCCCTTTTACACACTGCTTCTATTTAAGAATGTCATAATTCCTCCTCTTAATATTTACAGTTTCTTCCGTATTCCAGATCAAACTTCTCTTTTCATGCCATCTTTCACTGTTCCCCACATATCCCAGCTACCTACTCCAAACACACTTTGCCCTATCCCTTCACTGACCTTTTGTGTATGCTGATGTCTTTGTTAGAAATAGCCAAGTAAAAGGTACAACCTGATAATAATATCTTCACAAAAGACCTTCAGTACATCAAAGGGAAATGTATGTGGAGCCATTGTTTCTCTAGGTGTGCCCCACGCATTTATCTTGACCATCCCCATCCTCTTGGAGGAAATGAAAACCCATGTGTATTTTGGAATGAAGTAATTTTTTCATTGCTTTTCTCAGATTCATTAGGTTTTTAATACCAAAAGGAGATGAAAATAATTTTTAAAAATAAAAATAAATTACTAAATTCCCTGCAGGAAATACTGCCTATCTTTGCCATTTAATTTTTTATCACACGAAATGGAGGCACAACGCTATCATCTATACTTTGCAATCAAGTGCCAAGTACAGGGTTATGATTCCATTCTAGTTGGAATATTTTCCATTATTCAACTTATTTAATAAACTGTCACTTGAAAGGGGGTCTGATAGGCTTTTTCACAATGAATCAAAGAACTGCTCGCTTTCTTCCTTTATTATGCATGCTACATTTGAAGCTAATGAAGCGTAGCTTCTGAGCTGATACTTTTATAGATGAAAGAGACATCATGTCACATCTTCTGTTTATTTAATCAGCTACTCATAGCCAACACAAAACACTTTGATTGCCTTGAACTTTATTTTTGACAGATGATGGACGTTTCTGTTGCTATCTTGCCTAATAGTTTACTACCATATGCATATTTTAAGATGTTAACCATGAATAAAATTACTAGGAAAAAAATGTACAATAGCAATGGTACATTTAATTGAAGAAAGTGTAGTAGACATAATACTGCTTACAATATTTTGCAGATTTTATATACCCTCCCCCTAGAGCAAATACTGCCTTGAAATAGTTAAGTATGACATCATCTAATATTACTTTCATGAAGCTTTTATTATTTACTAAAATATCTTCATAATTCATTGAGCTGAAACAACACAATCTTCTATGAAAGTAGAACTTCTTCATTTATAAAAGGCATCAAAAGGAATAATTCATCACTAAAGAAATGCTTTCATTGCAATAATACTAGACAGTGTCACTAATTGGCTAACAGTAGTCAATGCAATGTGGGAATAAAATTTCAGGCATAAGCTACATTTAATCAATGTGGTATAGGAAATAATCTTTGCTATTTACAGAAGTGGTATATGTAATACAAAACATGCTTTTCTATATAATGTTTTGTGGCTTTTTAAAGTTTAAAAATATTAATGTAGACCATAACTTTTTAAAAATTGGCTTTGCAAATATAATCCCATGGGTATAAAATTATTTTCAAAATAGTGTGGCTTTAACGTTGTAATAAAAAATACCGCTTTTGCTCATAAGAATAGAAAATAAGTTTTACACACGTGCACTTATACATGTAACTGGACAAATATAGATCTTTCATTTTATAACATAATTTTTATATTTATAGTTGATTGCTTGTTTACTCAATAAAACTTACTTGTTGCAAAGTAAGTGTTATATTTGAAAGTGAGGAAAAATATTTGATGTAGGATTATAGCACACACTAAGGTACTACATACAAATTATTAAAGGGAAATTGCATCATGAGCTATTGCAAAGAAAGCTGATGTGTAAAACCTATGGTATGACTGGAGCAACTACTTGGAAAATTTCTCTCTGAGAATGCATAACAAAGTTATTGAAAACATACATAACAAAAGTTATTATAAGTCACTGACAACAAAATGAGCAGAGCACAAACATCCCCAATGTACAAAATCTATATATTGACTCTCTTATTCAAGACAACTATCAAGGTTTTTACAGTTAAAATGACTACATAAGGGCCTGGCGCGGTGGCTCACACCTGTAATCCCAACACTTTGGGAGGCCGAGGCAGGTGGAACACGTGGTCAGGAGATTGAGACCATCCTGGCTAACACAGTGAAACCCCGTCTCTACTAAAAATACAAAAAATTAGCCAGGCATGGTGGCGGGTACATGTAATCCCAGCTACTCAAGAGGCTGAGGCAGGAGAATAGTGTGAACCCGGGAGGCGGAGCTTGCAGTGAGCCAAGATCACACCACTGCACTCCAGCTTGGGCCACAGAGAGAAACTCCGTCTCCAAAAAAAAAAAAAAAAAAAAAAAAATGACTACACAAAAACAAAAGTGAGTGAAATGAAAATCTGAAATTTAAACAACAATTAAAAATTGGACTCCCACATATAAGGGAATTGGTGAAGTTCTTAAATTTGTTTTAAAGAAAATAAAATACAAAAAGTAAAGACTATTTTTCAACAATATGAATGTTATCCATTTCAAGGTTAAAATTAGCGTTCTGTTCTTTCATCTCTTCAGCTATGCTAATCAATCTAAGTTGTATAAATCACTGATTCAGGATTCATTGTGGCGAGCTCTGTAGTACACAATCAAATTAATTCTTGGCTTTTTTTGCATGACAAGCTAGAAAAGTCCTCAAGAGACCCCTTGGCTCTGGCTTTGCATTAAACTGGTCTGCTCCTAAACATAATGTTGTAAAGTGCACTACATTAGAAATCAGAAGCAGCCTATTTCATGCTTGACTCATCCACTCTGGTCCAGTTTCCTTATTTTAAAAATAGGAGCCACCTATTAAACCACTCTTACAGCTCCAAAATTTGGTAATTCCAAATCATTCAATGCCACTAATTTATGACTCATTTTTAAAAGTGATGTAAAAGAAGTCCAGAATATTCAATATACAAATGTATGTTTTCTCTATATAAGAGTATCATAACAAATAAAGCCTTTTTATCTATAAGCAAACTCTTTTATTGCTGAAACAAGTCCAGTTATTCTCAGTATGATATCATATAATTGAAAACATCTACATTTTTATGTTTTCCAAATTGAAAAAAGCTATTGCATGGTCATTCATTAATCTTCACTACAACAATAAATTTTTCTTAAAAGTTTGGATCAAGCCTCAATTCCAATGTCTTTGTAAAAATCCCTTTGATGCAGGGCAGGCAATAACCAAATTAGGGCTTAGCCATGAATGGTTCTTTGGTTCATCTAGGAAAAAAATTAAGGGTGAGTCGATGGTAGAAGAAAACAGCTTTATTGAAGCAACAGTGTTACTGTTCTGGTGGTGTTACGGCTCAGGCAGTGTTATAGCTCTGTGCCTGTTCCTTCAGAGCAGGGCTACCCCATAGGCAGTGTGCTGAGAGTAGCAGCTCAGGATAGTTCTGGAGTCATATTTATACCCACTTTTGATTACATGCAAAGTAAGGAGCAGGTTATGCAGAAATTTCTGGGGAAAGGGTAGTAACTTCTGGTTCATTGGGTCATTGCCATGGAAAGGGGAAGTAACTCCCTGCTGTTGCCATGGCAATGGTAAAATGACATGGCACACTGGTGGGTGTGTATTAGGAAAAGCTGCCCTGCCGTGGCCCTATTTTACCTTGTCCTCAATTTGGTACGGTGTCTGAGCCCTGTCTCCAGAGTCAAGTCCCACCTCCTACTCATCCTCCCCTCAGAGATTGGATATTCTTCTTTAATCTTAAGAAGGCTGCAGAAGAGCAGAGGTCCATCTTCTGTGACTGTGTCTTTCTGAGTTTATGAGCATAGGCCCTGCCTAGCAACAGAGAAGTAAAAATCTCTAGACACCTAATCCAGGAGGCCCCGAGGTAGGACATTTTTTATCCTCTGGATCAGAAGGCAGGATGGGTTGGAAGCCTTGTGCCAACATTGTCTTTACCTGGAACTGCTGTAATCTAGAAGACACAGACTTTTAAGAGGTTAAACAAGTAAAGGCAAAAAATTAGTAACAAGAGAGCTATCAGAGGTCCTAGAAGAGGTAAAAACCGGGGAGATTTGGAAAGACACTTTTAATAGTTGATCAGACATAGCTGGAGTCAGTGCCCTGGTTATATCTATGTAACCAGGTAGCTCTCTCATACATCTTTCGAATGTTAATCTCAACTTTTCCAGAGTTGTTAGTATATGTGCAGAGGTTTTTTGGTTTTTTTTTTTTTTTTTTTTTTTTCTGAGAGGGATTCTCACTCTGTCACCCAGGCTGGAGTGCAGTGGCCCGATCTCGGCTCACTGCAAGCTCTGCCTCCTGGGTTCACGCCATTCTCCGCCTCAGCCTCCCTCATAGCTGGGACTACAGGTGCCCGCCACCACGCCCGGCTAATTTTTTGTATTTTTAGTAGAGACAGGGTTTCACCGTGTCAGCCAGGATGGTCTCGATCTCCTGACCTCGTAATCCACCTGTCTCAGCCTCCCAAAGTGCTGGGATTACAGGCGTCAGCCACGGCACCCAGCCAGGTTTTATTAATAACTGTATACAGACTCCAACTTGTTCAGCTAGTAAATAATCCAACACTAGTCTGTTTTTGATAACTACATTTGCCAAAGAGTCTAAATATCTTTGAATTCCTTTTAGTGTCTGACCTGCGTTCGTGGCTAAGGATTCTAGAGTTTGAATTAAGTTATTTAGAATTTACTCATGGTAGGTGAAGTCACTCCAGGGTGCTGCTAGTCCTATCGCTTCACCAATTCCTGCCAGAATTTACCCTACTGCTTGCTCACTTCTGGTATCCTTGAGTCTTATGGGGCTATAGACAGTAACTCCTGGAGGAGCAAGTGTTGCTAATGTACATTCATCTCTGTTCCAAGTTTTTGGTATACAAAGGAAAGATACTCCTAAAAGAATAGGTGACTCCGTAGGGAGTTGGGAGCAGTTATGGGGTGCCACTTCTTCCCATTCATGGCCACAGACAAAAATGAGCCCAGTTTGGGTACAAACAAAGCCCCTATGGGGTGTGATGTTTATCCTTTGCTGGTAAGTTGGGTCTATAGAAATTTTCTTGTTCCAAAGGGAATAGCCAAACAATTTTTGTTTTTCAGAGAGGTGCAATACTCTCACTTCTCAGACTATGAAGTGTAAAGTTGTTTTTCCCCTATATGTTCTGATCCAGGAGAAAGCACCAAATATAATCTCCTCATTTATAAGCGCAGTCCCATTTACCTTGCTGTGACCTTGGGAACTTGACAACTTGCCAACTGAAGTTTAATCAGAGCATCACAAAGAAGCTTCCACTTCTGTGTCATTCACACAAGAGTGGGTGCAAAAGATAGAATCATTAGTGCCCTGGTGGTGTAGATACCCAAATTCCCAGGTCCAGGCAATAGTGGTACAGGGCATTTCAGGTGTAATCCATTAAGTGGGTGAGTGTTCCACTTAACTTGTAGGGGTTGGGGTATTTCAGATCGCTATGGCTAGTTAGGAGTCCTGGGGGATTATCATGAGCTATTCCAGATAAGCCAGAAGATAGAATTTTCTATCCTGGGAATGTCGATGAAAAATCCAGCAGCCATGAACATGATCTCCTGATGCTATAATTGTTGAAGTATTTACTAGTTATCTTCCCATCCACCCTGGATTAGGGTAATTGGGAGAGCAAATAGGATTAACAGTAACAGAATGGTGTCTAGTTTGGTCATAGTTGTTTCCTGGGAGGTTGGCTAAAGTATTATAATCAAGAAGAAGAAAAAAATTAAAGCTTCTATTCCCACCCAGAGCATCATGTTAACACTTCTGGCTGAGTGTTGATTCTTTTAAATAGGTAGAAGAGATGCTTGGAAGGTTCACGGATGTAGATCATGGTCTCCACCTTGTATGCCTGTGATGCATAAGAAACAGGTTTAATCCTGAACATTGTACACTAGTTATTTCCTGAAGTTTAACAGCATTGTGGGAACTCAAAAACACCTGATGGGGCCCTTCCCATTTTGGTTGTAATTGATCATCAGGGGATCCTTCTTTTCAAGTTCTTAGTAAAACCAAGTCTCCTGGTTGAATAGGAGAGTTAATTATCTCCCTTGTGGGAGGGGACAATATTTTATTTCCATAGGTTTAGAGGGCCTTTTGAACCTGGCCTAAGCTGATAATATGAGTGAGCATTGTATTTATCTCTTCATCAAACAGAAGGCCTGAAGTTAAAAAGGGCCGCCCATAAGTCATAATGTACTAAGCTTTACAATTCTATTTGGGACTATCCTTGTGCATAAAAGGGCTATGGATAGCAGAGAAACCCAGGCCTCTGAAGTCTCCTGACAGAGCTTTGCTAATATTCATTTTAAAACATGATTAGCTTTTTCTACCTTACCAGAGGATTAAGGTCTCCAGAAGGAGTGAAGGTAATAGGTAATGCCTAACTCTGGGGAAGCCTGCTGGGTCACTTTAGCTGTGAAAGAGGTTCTGTTGTCACTCTGCAGAATTTTAGGTAATCCCCAGTTGAAGATGATCTCTTTATGTAAAAACTTGAACACTTCTAATGCCTTCTCTGTCCTTGTGGGGAAGACCTCTATCCATCTGGTAAAAGTGTCTATAAATACCAGCAAATATTAAAGTCCCCTGTATGGTGGCATCTGAGCAGAATCTATTTGCCGGTCTTCCCCAGGGTTTTTTTTTTTTTTTTTTTTTTTTTTTGATGTTGTACAGGTTTGAGACAGGGTAGGGGTATGGGACGGCTTCCTGGGTCATTAGAGGCACAAAGTTCACAGGCCCTGGTTACTCTCTTTACAGTCTGGAATAGCTCCTTTCCTAAGAAGATTTAAGAAACTAATTTAAATAGGGAGCCCCATCCCAAGTGTGAGGAGTTACAGATCTACTTAACTATGTTTCCATTGCTCAGCCTCAGGGAGGAGGAGTTTGTTGCTTCCTAGTAACCATCCTGAGAGATCCTTTTGTAAGCCTTTCTGTTATATCCATTTAATTTCCTCGGGGGCATAGTATGGTGTTGCTGATGTGGATGTAGTACCTGGCATTGATGAAGCAGCCTGTAATACTGGTGTTTCTTTACCTGTGGCCTTAGCTCCTCTGTCTGCTAGAGCAATTCCTTTGATAATTAGAGGTGTCTCTCTTTGGTGTTCCCTACAGTGAATAACTGTTACCTCCTTTGGGAGCTGGACAGCTTCTAAAAGTTCCAAATTCTGAGTGATGTTATATATGGGGGATCCCTTCATTGTTAGTAGTCCATTTTCTTTTCATATAGCAGCATGAGCATAAAGCAATAGGAACCTATATTTGGAATCAGTAAATATATTGACTCTTAAGTCTTTTCCTAACTGGAGGGCCCTAATTAAAGTGATTAGTTCTGCTTTTTAAGTAGAAGTCTCAGAAGGCAAAATTTTTGCCTCAATAGCTTTTTATTGGCTAACTACCACATAACCTGCCTTTCTTACTCCTTCATGCATAAAGATACTCTAATCTATAAACCACTCAACATCAGGATTAGGCAAGGGCTCATCTTTGAGGTCAGGCCTGCTAGAGTAAGTCTGTTCTGTTTCCCACACAAGCATGAATGAGCTGGGGATTTGTTTCCTAGGACATGAAGTTCCACAATAGGGTAACAGGGTTTAAAATGTGACGTACTTTAAAAGTAACATAAGAGTATCAAGCAAAAGGGCCTGATATTTAAGTGACTGGCTCCCATTTAGCCATTGGTGTCCTTTTGCCTCTAGGACTCCCTGGTGGGGGGCCATGACATCAAATTGCTGTCCTGGGGTAAACTTACTAACTTCTATCAATAGAGTGCTGGCGACCACAGCTCACAAGCATCCTGGCTACCCATGTGCCACTTGGTCTAGCTGTTTAGAAAACTAAGCCACTAGTCCTACTAGTGGGATGGCCAAAGCCTTACCTTGTTTTTCAGCAGCATAACAGAGTGAAAGGTTTTTCTATGTTTGGAAGTCCCAAAGCAGGAGCTATTCCTAGCCTTTCTTTTATGGTTAAGAGTGTCTTTTGGCAGATTCCATCCCAATTCAAAGGCTTGTGATCACTCCCTTTTAGAGCTTCATAGAGTGACTCTGCTATAGACTCAAACCCATGAATCCAGATCCTGCAGAGGCCAGCCATTTCCTAAAAGGCTTTTAACTGTTTCTCACTTTGAGGGGCCTGCAGTGCCAAGATGGTCTCTTTTTGCTCCTGGGCCAAAGTCCTTGTCCCAGGGGTGAGCACATACCCCAAATATTTAACCTTTTGCACAGAGATCTGGGCACTGTGGTGAGATAAATGATACCGTTACTTTCCCAGAAAATTAAGGATCTGAATTATGTTCCTTTCAGAGTCTTCCCTAGTAGGGATAGAAATTAGTAGGTTATCTACGTATTTCAAGAGAGACCCATTAGTTAACTGTAGTTCCCTTAACTCCTTGGCCAATGCATTGCCAAAGAGATGGGGAATGTCCCTAAAACCTTGGGGAATAACTGACCAGGTAAGTTGAAATGCTGTATTAGTGTCTGGATCAGTCCATTCCAAAACAAAAATGTACTGGAAGTCTGGGTATAAATATAGATAAAAGAAAGCATCCTTTAAGTCTAACACTGTGAAATAACAAGCATCTTCAGGAATTTAAGTCGGTATTGCATAAGTATTAGGAACTATTGGTTGAACTGGGACCACTACCTTATTAACTTTCCTTAGATCCTGAACAAATTTATATTTCCCATTTGGTCTCTTTACAGGCAAAATGGGGTTGTTACGTGGAGACTGACAGGACTGTAATAATCCATACTTTAGGAACTTTATTATTAGGGGCTGGATGTCTATCAGAGCCTCAAGTCTCAAATGATATTTGTTTCTTTCTGGGTAATTAACATTAGGTTTCTAAAGAACCTGGACTAGGGGTATGTTAACAGCCCTACTGGGACCCTCCATGTCCCAAACAGAGGGGTCTACTTGAGAAGCAATATGTGGTGGAAAGGTCTTCTCCTTATCTGCTTTAAGGCAAGTACTCAGAGTTAGAAGAACCATCCCTTCCTAGCCTGTTACTTCCTCATGGAACATTGTAACCTGTAATTGGTTAAAAAAGAAAAAAAAAAAAAGAAAAAGAAAAGTATCTTCCTAATAGAGGGATATGACACTTAGGCGTAAGTAAAAACCCATGGGAAGACGTATGGTACCCCATGGTACAACCAAGAGGGTGGGTGAGTCTTCCAATTTTTGGATGGCCATCAATTCACATTACTGTGTAAGAGTGGGAAGACAGTGGCCCTGAGAAATGAGTTAAATCTGAGTAGGTTGCTCTTGCGTTCAATGAGAACTCAGTATTCTTTCCTGCTACATCAAGTATTACCCGAGGCTCCTCTGCAGAGGTGGTAAGGTGTCCAGTGAGAGCTGTAGCTGACCTCAGGCCCTGTCAGTCCTCTACTTTCTCAGCCATTATGAGTCTGGGTGGCTCAAACTCCCTCTTAAGCCTGGGGCAATCCTTTTTCAGTGGCCTTTCTTGCTTACAGAAGATATATTGATTCTGGCCTAAAGGCCAGTGAGTTGTGGGGGCTCTTGTCTGAGCATTTCAGATGCTGATCTCACCACATTTCCTCAAGGTGGGTAACCCTGAGGCAGCACGGTTTGGGGGGTGAGGGTGCAGGGTAAAGCAGCAGCCACCAGCAGTCATGCTTTTTGCTCAATTCTTTTGGATTTTGCCTCTTCCTCTTCCCTGTCCCTATTACTATAAACCCCAAAGGCAATGTGTAAGAGTTGTCTCATGGAGCTTTGGGGTCCCATTGCTACATTTTGTAGCTTCCTCCTTATGTCAGGGGTGGATTGAGTAACAACATGCATATCCAGCAGAGCTCACCCTTCTGGGAGTCTAGGTCTGTATTAGTATATTTCCTGAGTGCCTCAATCAGTTGACCTTGAAATGAGTGGAATTTTCATCTTTCTCCTGAGGGATTTCTCTCACTTTATCATAATTAACTGGCTTAACCGAACACTTTTTCATACCATCTATTAAACAAGGTAGTGTGTGATTTCTGCTTTCAAGATCTTGAGAACCTCTCTGGTAATTCCACTGAGGGTTGACATCTGGAAGTAAATCTCCCCCCACATGATAAATGAAATGCCCAGGGTTATGTGCAGCCACTCTATCTCCATGTTCATGAGCAGTACCTAGAATTCTTTGTTTTTCCTTTACAATACCACAAGTGGATAATAATACTTGCATGTCATGCCAAGTTAAATCAAAGGACATGGTCAACTTAACAAACTCCTTTACAAACTTCCCTGGATCTATCAAAAACCACCAAAATTTCTCCTTGCATAAAGGCAAATCAGACATGGAAAAATGCACATATTCTCTGATTGTCCCTCCATTCCCATAAGCTACCACCCACAACTGACATAAGTTATATTTTGGGGCTGATATGAGGCCCCACTCCTGGTGGTACTGGTTGGGCTTATTTCTTCAGGCAGTGGTGGATATGAGCCAGTGCTTGTTGGAGGAAACCCTGATGACCTTGGGGTGGAATCTTGCTTTAGAGAAGTGGTGAGGCCTCCTGTCAGAATTAGGGGACTGAGAAGGTTCTGAAGGTAGGGGAGGGTGCAGCACTGGGCCTCCTGGGGTACCTGGGAGAATTATGAGCCAGACATCATCTACAGCTAGCCCTTAATTTAGAATCCTGGTAGAGGGCCATAAAAGCCTGTACATAAAAAACTTCTTATTTTCCTTCCTTTTTATAAAGCAAATATAATTATACAATATCATTGTAATGTAAAGAACCATGCCTAGGCCAAATCTGTTGATTGTTCAATTTTTATTAAACCCAAACATTATTGCAATGATAAATTATTTATTTTCTTCTTCAATTTGTCTAATAATTTGAATTTACTCCAATAGTCTAAAAGACACCCTAGACGTGAATCTTTGGGGATTCTCACTGTTGTCTTCAGGTCTGGTAAGGATCTCCACAGGGGGTTTCTGTTAGCCTAAGTTTAGTGAGTGCCTAATTACTATTTTTTCCCTTTTTCCCTTTTAAGTGACCACTTTCTACAAAATGTAGATAGCAAGTTGTTACAAAAGCAGGTTATGAGCCAGAAATGGGCCGTAGGATGTTGAGCCTAAATTCCACAGTAAGGGTTGGGCACAGAGTGGGGTGCTAAATAAATGGTGACTGTGGATAGGAGGAAGAAAAGAGGTAAACAGCATTGCCCAAGGAGAGACTTCAGAGGCCCTAATTTGCCAGAGAATCTACCCAGTAGGGGAGAAACAAACAAACCTAAAAGTTTGGATGGCCACTTATCTACAACTGTAGGTAGTCTTTCATCAGGCGAGGGTCCTCAGAACTCCCAGTTCCTTTGACCAAGAAAGGCTTGAGCAAGGCTGTTGTAAGGCATCACGACAGCACACAGGAAGGGGCTTGCAACTGGCTAAGGAAAATAATAACTTCTCACTTCAAGGCAGAAAAGGATAAGACCAATATCCCCCCCAGAGGAGTGGCTATACCCCACAATTCTAGAGGAAGTGTCAATGCCAAAGAGCCCAGAGCATCCGGGAAGTGACCAATACCAATGCTGAAATACCAGAGTGCCCAAGATCCTGTGAACAAGGGTATCCACATCAAATGTTGACAACCCCAGGGCATTGGGGTGGGTGGCCAACAGTGAATTCAAGACCAACACGGTGTCACAGAACAATATGATTTTAGCATCCCAGAGTCAACACAACAGGGGACCTTTTACAACCAAGTGTTCTGTCTTAAACAATTGCCCAAATACAGTTAATAAGAAAGTCAAAAGCAAACATAAGACTGCCAAAAAAAAAATTAAGGATTGAAAATGAAATGACTGGTGGAAAAATAAAATGGAGGAAAAGGAGAAAGGAGCAGGGAGAAGGAATGACAAAGTCATTTTTAAGGGGAACTCAAACAAAGGTAGACTTCTAACCAACCACCTAGCCAAGGACTTTTATTTTATTTCCTAATTCTACTGACACTACAGGGGAACAGAGGAAAACACTCATTCATCCACAGAAGCCAAATAGCACTGACCAATTTTCCATGTAGGAACCAGGTGAAGGTCTCTCCAGCATTCCTCAGCTTAGGTGGGCTCAGCTGCCATGGAGGGTGGAACTGTTAAAGGGACCAGTAACCCATCGGCCTGCAGGACTGAGTGACAGGTCTCAAATGAGGCAGTGCAACATGGTCACTTGTTAGAACCTGGTGGGAGGTGACTGGATCATGAGGGCAGTGTTTTTGTGATAGTGAAGGAGTTCTCATGAGATCTGATGGTTTATGAGTGGCACTTTCACCTTCACTGTCTCTCGCCTGCACCGTGTAAGATGTGTCTTGCTTCTCCTTCAACTTCCACCATGACTGTAAGTTTCCTGAGGCCTCTCTAGCCATGTGGAACTGTGAGTCAATTAAACCTCCTTTCTTTATACATTACCCAGTCTCAGGTATTCTTTATCAGTGTGAAAATAGACTAATACAGTATCATAGCTCTTAGGTGTTAACAGCTCTTGCAGTTTCAATCACCAACTGCTTTGCTGCCTCTTGCCGTCTCTCCACTCATCATCTCACCGACTGCCATCTCTCACCATTGCCTGACTGAATGCTGCTTCTCTCGCCATCTCTCATGCCACTGTCTTTTCTCTGTGCCCTACATTGGGTGCTAGGGCAGGGCAGGCAATCCCCAAATTAGGGCTTAGCCAGGGAGAGTTCTTTGCTTCACCCAGGAAAGAATTTAAGAGTGAATCAGAGGTAGAAGAAAACAGCTTTGTTGAAACAGCAGTGCTACAGCTCTGGTGGTGTCACAGTTCAGGCAGTGTTAAAGCTCTGTGGCTGCTCCTGTAGAGGAAGGCTACCCCATAGGCGCTGTACTGAGAGTAGCAGCTCTAGGTATTTCTGCAGTTATATTTATACCCACTTTTAATTACATGCAGATTAAGGAGCAGTTTATGCAGAAATTTCTAGGGAAAGTGTAGTAACTTCCGGATCGTCAAGTCATGGCCATAGAAAGGGGAGGTAACTCCTGGGTGATGCCATGGCAACAGGAAACTGACATGGCACACTAGTGGGCATGTTTTATGGAAAACTGATTCCACCTCAGCCCTTTGTTAGCTAGTCCTCAATTTGTTCCTATGTCTGAGGCCCGTCTTCAGTATCTTACCTTTGCTAAGCCATCCTAACTCTGGTTTCTGAGAAACTAACATCCTAATTTCTGAGAACCTTTTTTTCTCATCAGGAGTATTATTTTTAAAATGTTTCATATCATATTTTACCTCAGTATTTTCAGCATCTTAATAACCATGAGTATGATTATACCCAGTAAAATCGGCTACCTAAAAAGACTATACTGTTGATTTCATGTTTATGGATTGTTTACTACCTACATTCAGCCTTTTGTAATTCTCTAACAGCATCCCTGACTGTCCCACTCTGAATCTCTAAAGACAGTATTTGCCTATGTCTTCTTAAAATATATTTCCAACGTATAGAATAATAAGAGAAGACTTGAAAGGCTAAGTAGAAAGATTCAAGGAAAAGAAAGCAAAAACTTGGTTGAACTGTGTACTTGCTCTTCTGTTGCCTTATTTCCTTGTGTAAAATGCATGATGATGCACATATCCCATATAGCTTTCATGAGAATTATATATCATAAAGCATATAAACTACCTAGAATAGTGTCTGAGTACATTATTATTGTTTAAGAAAATACTGTTACAATTTAATTACATAAATATTATAATATACAAATATATTTATAATGCAATATTAAATTATAATACAATTGTACATTAGATGTATTTTATTGATATTCCTTAATGATACGGTATGTAAAATCTTATTTGTATGAGTACCAATATATACATATTATTCTATATAATTGAAGGAAAATAATGCCTCCGAGACAAAACTCTTCATATTTAAAAGATTCTTTATGATATGTGGAAATGTGCTTGTCTTTATTTTGCATTCTAGATATTTATAAAGTGAAGTTTAAACTTTTTTTGAGGTTTTAATATGTATTTAATATATTTATATTAAAAATCTCATCTACTGAAAATACATATTTCCTCAAGTACAAGAGTACCTGAAAGGGTAAATGCATCCAATCTATTGTATATAGATAGATAGATACATAGATATAGATACATAGATATAGATCGATAGATATCTATATATATATAGTTTATTTGTAACTACTACCAACATATGTTCAAAATTTTGAATTACAAACAAGATTTTGCTTTTAGTTTGATTATCATAGAAATAGTTTATCAATAAACTACACTTCTGCTGTGGTATTTAAAAGCACATTTTATTGTGTCTGAGTGTTGTGCAGTTATAAATAACACAAGCAGAACTTGACATAAAGAAACATGTTCCAGTCCTACATGTGTAACAAATCAATGCAATATTTAATTCGACAAGCATTTATTAGATAACTTCTCTATATTATATACCTCCCAATGTGCCAGGGACAGAGATTTGACAAGGAACCCTTAGATTTCAAAGTCTAGTAATAAAAACCAGAGTAAAGAGTCTAGTATTGTTTATAGAATTGTTTATAGAATACAGTGATAAAAGGCCTTATTAATTATATCTATCTTAGGGTATATTTTGGACCTATAAGCAATTTTGTGTTGCTGAATGATAAAATATAACTAATAGCATTCATAACATTCTTTAAGGCGTCATAGAATTTGCAGAATCCATTGAAAGTGGTCTTCTGGCCAGAAGCGGTAGAATTAGAAGAAGATAAGCAATATGGAAATAGCCTAAGAAAAAAAATGTACTCGTTTTGGAGACAATGCTTTTATCTAATAAATAATATAAAAGGAAAGCAAAAGATATCATGTGAACTATGGCTTCATATAAATTTAGAGAAAATGATTAAGAAACTGACAAGATTTAATTATGATTCCAAAAAAAGAGCCAAGAAGATAACTGCATATGGGATGCAAAATCAAGACTCTAGTATATAAAATGTCATCCTGGGGAAAGCATTATTGATTTTGTGCTGAAATTTGTTTTTTGCAAAGAAGAATTCTCAGGAAATTTTAATATTTAAATGTTGGTTACATGATTTAATATTAGATAAATGTTTAGATAAATGTTTGGCATATTAGTTTCCACTAATACGTTAACTAAAACTTCTTAATATAATTTGCTTAATTTTGGAGTTTGGAATAATTTTGGATTTACGGAAAAATCAGAAAGATAGTAAAAAAAGCATTTATACCCCCCCACTGAACTTCCTCTAATATCAACATTTTGTATAGTCATGGTATGTTTGTTAAAGCTAAGAAATTAATATTGATACAATACTCTTAACTTCAGGCTTTGCTAGAATTTCAGTTATTCGACTAATATTCTATTTTTGTTACAGAATTCAGTCCAGGGTACAATATTGAATTTGTCATTATGTTTCTTGCGTCTCTTTTTATCTGTGAGTTTCTCCATCTTGCTTTGTATTTCATGAACTTAGCCGTTTTGAAGAGTACTAGACAGGTATTTTATAGAATGTCCCTTTATCTTTTTCTGATATTTTTTATGATTAGAAGGTGGTTATTGCATTTGAGGAAGAATTCCACAGAGATAAAGTATCCTTTATATCACATTAAATCAGGGGTACCTGATATCAACATGACCTTTCACTGGTGATACTGACCTCTGTCACTTGGATTGGGTGCCAGGTTTCTCTGCTATGAAGAAACTGCTTTCCTTTTCAGGCTCTATTAATTGGAAACAAGCCATTAAGTTCAAAGTACAATCAAGAAAAGAGGACTTAAGCTCCACCTCCTAGAGATGGGAGTAACTATATAATTTATTCCTAATAAAAATGTGATATGTTTTGGTCCAATATATCAGCTAGGCCCAGAGTTTCTGAGAAGGAGAAATATGCCGTATCTCACAGTGACATTCCTTGAAAACAGTCACATGAAATAACTTAATTTAAAAATATTTTTAAATGAATATGATAAAATATTTGTTTTAAAATAAGTATGATAAAATATTTGTTTCAAAATGAATATGACAAAAGAAAACTAAGGGTAAAATTAAGCTAGAAGTAATTTAATTACTTAGGAATGTTAAAGAATGAGAATGGTTTGAATTTTAACCCTTGCCACTTAGTAGCTGTGAGACGTGGATATTTTACTGTTTCAAGTTCTCAAGAAACAACAATAGAAACAATATAATATTATTATAAATATCAAATAAGTCAAACCCTTGGCCTGTTGTCTGGCACATGGTCAATGTTCAAAGTACAAAAACTCTTATTTTTTGACATTGGGAGACAAATGGCCCTTTCTGAGAATCTGTTCCCACCCTCTGAGGGTAATCTCTTCCTCACCTCTACTCGCAGATTTAATCCTTCCTTCGATTGTGCATTCTCTTTGGTCAAGGGCTGGATGTCACAGGTGCAATACATCTTGATCTAGCCTTCATTCCTTTGTCTGCTGATACATGATTCAACAATGAGTTTTTCATATGGTACCAAGATGTGTCAGTTTTAATGTTTCCTGTGAAAATATGCTATGTTCTGAACTTAACAAAACTCATAACAAAACATAACAAAACATAACATAACAAAACTCATTATGTTCTGAATTGGGACATAGGAGTCAGCTATGCATGATAAAGATTGCTTATATTTGGGGGAAAACGTTGTGATATATTATGCCTTTAAAAAGCACAGAGTAAAAGGTATTAAACAGAATAGCTGAACTATGAAGGTCAGCCTTGTATTTTATATGAGTAAAACATGTAACTTCTTGATAGTTTTTCTAAACTAATTGTAACACATGTACTTTCTTGCCAAGGTTTATTATACGTGTAAATCAATAGCCCAAACACACTGTTTTACTATTATCTGTTTGACAATTGCTACAAAAAGATAACAGTGAATTGTACTGTATATTATTTTTATAGAGATGCTTCCTAACCCACTGGCAATAAGAAATCAAAATAATCAGGATTTCAGCCAATAATAAAAATATGAATGCTGGCTGATTTGTTGATGTGGATAGTGCTAAAAACACAATAAAAAGGCTAATATTTCCAACAATTTTTTTCAGTGTAAATGAACATGTAAGAAGTGGAAAATAAAACCTCTAATTAATATAATTTACGTACTTTTTATTATGAAGATTTTCAAAGTTTTTAAAATCAGTACTTATTAATTTCATTTTTTCTTGTCCTTCTTCTCCAACCTTCTTAAACGAAGAGACTAAGGCATGGCAAAGTGCTGAGAACTTTTGACTTTCTCTTCCTTTCTAAATGTTTGAAAACATGCGTAAGTAGAAATGATCCAAAAGAAAAAATACAGCTGGCACTTGTTTTCTATCCCATTATAATAAGTCTTCCACACATAACTCACAGTGAAAACATTTCCAAACCTCACTGCTGGCCTCTCCAAATTGTTCTTAATTATTCTTTAGCATTTGCAATTGCTACATATTTGTGGCCTCTCAACTTCTGCTATAACAAAAAATCATGATTTCTTTTTGAAACCTTTTCCTATTACTTTATACTTCCATGTAATATTATTCAAGTTCATACTCTTTGCTCTATTATCAGAATCTCTGAGAGATTCTATTTTATGTTTTACAGTACTATTTTCATATTGGTGGTTCCCAATTCTATATTTTCATTCCTGTCTTGTGTCCTAAGCAAAAAAAAAAAAAAAAAAAAAATCCAAATAGAGATGGATTGCAACACATGTCCATCACCACTAGAAGCTAACCATGTTCAAACTGAACTTATACTGCTATTCTCCAGACTTACTTCTCCTTTAATTTTCCATCCACTTTTTTCCTGAACTGTCCACCTGAGTTGACATTTATTCATACAAGTCCTCTCTCCTTGATCTCCCATGAATTACTAAGTGCTGCCACTTTTCTGCTGACCTCTCTCACAGTTGTAGAACACTTTCCCTCTGATAGACATGGGTCTTCTTAGCCATTGCCTGAATTGTTGTCTCATTCTAAGTGCTCTTACTCTTCTCTCTCACCTCTATACATTCGTTTGATTTGTGCTGTCAGAATTATCTTTCTAAAATACAAATTTGAGTATATCTTATGGTTACACCTTATGACTTTCAAGGACTATGCAGGATGAAGCACAAACTCTAGCCTGATCTACATATTTCTCCAAAACCTACTTCTATCTACATTTTCAGCTCACTTTACCTTTACTTCTTTCCTCTCTTCCCTCCAAATACTCTCCTCTAATCCTTGATGTTCTTTGAATACTTTTTTCATAAAGTTATGTATGTACTTTAGAGCTGACAAAACTGATACTTAGAGTTTATATTGATACCCCTAAAGTTACATAATTAGAAGACAGAGAAATCAACATTCAGTTAAGTCTCCTGTTGCCAAATTGAAATAATTAATTTACCACCTAAAATAACTGAAGAAATTCAAGTACTACCAATATTTTTTTCAAGATTAAAAAAAGGGAATTTATATTCTGAAGATATTTAATCTCACATGTATGGTATCTGTATTAATCTATTTGCACACTGCTATAAAGAAATACCTGAGACTGGGTAATTTATTATATAAAAGAAGATTTCATTGACTCAGTTCCACATGGCTGGGCAGGCCTCAGAAAACTTATAATCATGGCAGAAGTTGAAAGTGGAAGGGAAAAAAGGGCGTTCTTCATATGGTAGCAGGAGAGAGAAGTGTGAGGAGCTAAGAGGGAAGAGCCCCTTATAAAACCATCAGATCTTGTGAGAACTCACTATCACGAGAACAGCATGGGGGAAACCGCCCCCATGATACCATCAACTCCCATCAGGTCTCTCCCTGGACATGTGGGGATTACAATTCAAGACGAGATCTGGGTGGGGACACAGCCAAACCATATCAGTATTTATATGCATTAGCTTTGGAATTGAAACTTGCGATAACTTTTACCTTTGCTCAATGCTGTTTCTCAGTCATTAAACAAATTCTCTAACCATTAAATCCCACTTGCCTCATAGCAAAAGAGGGATAGCAAAATATGACTCTAAGCATTACTAATATCTTTGAAATATATATATATATATATATATAGAGAGAGAGAGAGAGAGAGAGATAATTAAGTTTTAGTGTGAAGTATTTGGAACACATAAAGCAATTTTCATATGCATCCAAAATCCTTAAAAATAAACTGCTAAATACTACCAAGAGTCATTTAAAGACTTTTTGATATTTTGTGTTTGTCAGCATCATGTTATTAGAGCATGCACACAGCATTTATAATATTTTTTCACTAATAATAAGAGGTAACATTGCTTATCAATTGGTGAATTTTTTAAAGTGCACTTTTAACCCTTACAAAAATTAGGGATTATTTCCTTTTATTTTCTCTAAGAGGATATATACCAAGGGTCACACAGAGAATACGGGAGGGCACCATGAGTGAAATTCCGGTGTATCAACATAAAGTCCAGTGTGCTCCCTCAATGTTATTTTATTTAACTTTTAGGAGAATTACTGAAAACTCTTGCCTCATTTTCTCTGAAAGATTATTTCTTAGTAAGAAATATTTTAATTTAGAAATATTTAAAATATGTATTTTAAATACATTTTTAAATAACTTCATTTTACAATAATGTGTTCAAATTAATATAATTTTAGGCAGCACTTGAAACATTTGATCAATTTTCCTGTCTTAGATATTTCTTAGCCAAAAAGATTAAATACAAAAAGAAATATTTCAAATAACCACAGGCTGCCTACTCCAAATGCTAGGAAATGTAAATAAGTACATCAAAAGCCAAAACATGATTTTCACTAAACATTACTTGGTGTGAATGGTGCCCCACAGAGTTGTTTCAGGACAATTCATTTCATCTATAATGAGAACCAATGGGGTAAATTTGTAAGCACTGAAGAAGCATAAATGACATCGCCAATTACCCAGTGCCATCACCACATGCTTCTTCCTTCTGACAAAATAGTGAAATTATGATAAGCATAGTCCAGGGACACACAAAACTACCAAAGATGTAGTTTACTTAATCTTGGTAATTATGTCCTAAGTGCATTCTTTCCACATTTCCATTTGAATTTAGACATTTTTTTCTGTGTCTTTGAATACTGTGAATGGAAAATGTTACCTTTAAACCTAGAGATAATGTTTCATGGGCAGATGTCTGTTCTTCAAATATTTTAGAAACTTTGGGAATATTATATCACTCATGGTACATTCTAGGCAGGGAATCAAGCTGAATAGTCTTTTCCGGATCATGAACCTACATTGGTGAATTGTTTGAGTATGTTTGTGAGGTCAGTTGGTGGCTCATAAAGAGACATTCCTATGTCCAAAGATCCAAATAAAATATAATTCCACGGACTTAACCACATTAACACCATGTTTCTATGGGGGTGATGACACACTGTCTAGAAACAGATCAGTGGGAAAAATCCATGAACTGTGACTCATCAATACAGTTTGGACTTCTGAATAAACGTCATATATATTAGTTTTCTAGTGCAAATAGATATGGCTGTCAAGAGACTTACAATGTTGTCCAAACTGTAACAAGGACCAGCTATGTGACTGAAACCAGGTTATGTCATATCCCTGATATTGATATCCTTAATATGCAAAATGAATAAGCCTGAGGCTAGCACAAAGGAGATATAATTCTCTCCATGTAGACAGACATTTATTTTCAGAATACTCCCTCCTCCATTATAATGTATGATGATAGATTTGGGGAAACACTTTCCAACTGATTAATTGCTCTATTGTCTTATCGTGCTAAATAGATCTCTATTATGAAATTGATAGTATGTATACACAAAACTTTCTTTGAACGATCATTAAATAAATGCCACTAAGTGCCAATAGTGACACTATACTGGGTGCTGAGGGCAGAGGAAAAATGTAATGTAGACCTTTCACTAAAGATGTATGAAGTAAAACATGAAATAAAAATCCACTCTGTTGTGTGCTTATTTTTCACCAGGTTGCATAGTTGCACAGTTAATAGATAAAAAGAACAACTTGTATGCAAACGTAGATTTGACTGACTCCAAATTCTGTGTGTAGTCAACAATACTGTATTACCACAATAGGGAAAGGAATTCACAAATATTTATGTGAGCGATTCCCACTTCAAGCCCTGTTTAGCTGTGGTCTCTGATGTCTTTAACCCACAGACTAATCCCACCAAGATTCCTGTACCAATCCCATCAACCCAGACAGCTTATTCCAGTGCTTATTTCTTCCAGTTGGGGGATTCAGATGTTAGGGACACGGCCATACACTGCATGAAGTATCATAGGAAATCCTCATTTGTGTTCTCTCAATTCACTTACCTAATAAGAATCTTACCCCTGCCTTTCCTATGCCAATTTCCTTCCTCAAAAGAATGGAGTTAGCTCTATAGCCAGAGTCATCATCAAGAGTCTGGACCACTGCTTGAGACTGTAGTTATGTGAACACCAATACTGTCCATAAGCAGCCAGAAGATGTTATTTTCTTCAAACTTGGTGCCTGATTGTAAAACGACAAAAATTGTCCTGGCTTTTGGTCTAAAGATTATTTTGCAGCCAGTCATATAGCTGGGCTTTCTCTTGGCCTTAGCCCTGCCTAATTCTAAATTTCCTCAGTCATCCTCCATTCAGTTGAGGTCATCGGAAATTGTGAATTGTCAGCTTTGTTTTCCACTTTAAGTATCATTTCACTATTCAATTTACAGCAATTATATTAACCTTCCAAGCAGACCATCAATCCAGTATATCTTGCTTAAATAAAATATTGCTTATTTAAGTTAAATATAATAAAACTTTACAATGATTATACATTTATCCATAAACATTGGAATGCAAATGTCAACATTTTGTTTAATAACTTCTCTAGCACCTTCTACTAAAATCAATTCAGTGACTGTGATGACTATGGCTTAGGGATGCCAAACTCTTCTGGGGCAGATATATTTCTGCCTGCTTTGTGACATCCATGGGCAATGATGTCCATTACCTTAAAGTTAAATTGAAAATGTTTGGGTAACTAGGCAATTGAAAACGCCCTGTGCTATGTAGGATGTCATGTTCTAATGTTTTAATTAACCTTGATCTCTGGAAATATGTACATTTAAAATTGATGTTGTACAGATGCTACATTTGTAGGATCAGTGTGTCAAATTAATATACTGTGGTCTTCTATATGTCACATTTTGTAAACAGGAAGTGGCTTCTTAATGCAGGTAGCTTCATTATATAAAATGAAGTTATTCTTTGGAAAAAATATTGTAAAACAAAGTACTTTGTATTTATATACATTTCATTGTAATGCATATTATAATTTTGGTGGATATTCTTAGAATTGATACAAAATGTATTTTTTCTCATAGATTTTTTTAAAAAGGTGCATTTAAAATAATATCAGTTACACAATAACTATATTTATGATGTTCTATATTTAGGAGTAAAAACATTGATCATAATGATAAAGTTAGAATGATAATAGCTCACTTTGCTATCGTTTTAAAATCTGCACTGCTATTTAGAACACAGACCTTATTACACAAGGCACTTAGGTAGGAAGCTTATCTATTATATTTTTATGCGACCTTAAGATAATTGCAACTCAAACACTTTTCTATCTTCAAAATGAGAATAAAGGTATTTTATCAGGCAGCTTTAATATTTATTTGTGTTAATAAAGGTATAAACTTATTTTTGTTGACAAAAGACATTGAATATCAAATTTTATTTGAACAGATTTTATCCTCAAAGCAACTGTGAGATTACTAAGAATCTCACCTGGAAAAGGAAAGATTGTAGCCACAGATATATCATCACATTTCAATTAGTTCTGTGGTAATCAATTAGTTCTGTGATGTTTGCGAAGCACTGGTGATACGTACGTTGCTGGAATAGAGGTGATTCATGGGGATAATGAACAAAGGCATTTATGGAGACAGAGGATGCGAGTCATGCTCATTTTTCTGAAAGACAAATGTTTCCACAATGTAGAATAAACATTGTATAGGATTTGGTGGTGGGAAACTGAAAGCTTGAGACTGACGGCTTAGACCTTCCAAAAGGCCAGAAGAGAATAGAAATTTTATGATGAAAGATATAAATAAGGTACCATCTCACGGCTTTTTGTAGACTACTTTTTTCTTCTTCTTGTTTTAACCTTGCTCTTCTGAGGTGCCCCCACCTTTTTTTCAACTTTTAAATATGTCTCATTTTTCAGTGTGTTTTAAGAATAAAGTCTCATGAATTCACAATCATTTTATTCAATGATTTTATTTTGCCACTGTCCATTATTTTATCTCAGTTGTGCTAACTCTCTGAACCCATAACTACAACCACTGCCTTAATTTTTTTACAGTCTCTCAACATTTATCCCTGTGTGCTCCAGCTCCTTTTTCAACACTCAACTGAAAACTACCCTAATAAATTATCCAGGACGTCTTTCCGACAAAAGTCACTGGCTTGTCTCACTTTTGATCTAAATTTAATGCTGTGACTTTTATTCAACTGACCACTGGTTTAATTAATACTTCATGAATAGATATATT
The DNA here is from genome assembly GCF_000001405.40 of Homo sapiens. Classification (NCBI taxonomy): domain Eukaryota; kingdom Metazoa; phylum Chordata; class Mammalia; order Primates; family Hominidae; genus Homo; species Homo sapiens. The sequence continues at coordinate 12,186,658 of NC_000009.12, forward strand.
CATTTAAATATCAAAATGTTCAGAATGAACATCAAATCCAGTTGAATGTGATTCATTAATTAAACACGTCATGCATGAAAGAATAGATGATGAATAAATCCCTCATAGAAATTTACGGCTGATTTTTGCCACTCTCTTTTCAACATATTTATCTGACTGGTATTTTTCACTTTCTTATTACCTCTTCACCATCTTTTGCACCTTAACTCTAAACATCACTTTATCACTATACATTTTTTGTCCCTTGCACTACTGAATCAACTTGTTTTCCAACATTACCCATGTGCTGAAGACTCCCAAAGCTTCTCTCCATTCCTGATCTCAAATCCTTAATTATCTCCTAGGCAATCCCACTGAATATCCTCTCTTCCCTTCAAATATTACAAGACTAAAATGAGTTGATAGATTAAACTGCCTTTAACTTTTTATAAGCGTGATCTCAAGATAGCATCTGGCAAACTAAGAGCAACACTTTTTTTTTCTATGTACCCTGTCTTGCTTCTTTTGTGCTGCTATAATAAAATCCCACAGACTGGGTAATTATAAAGAACAGAAATTGTGTACACTTCTAGAATCTGGGAGGTCCAAGATCAAGACGCAGGCAGTTCAGTGCCTGGTGAAGGCCTGTTCCTCATAGATGATGCCATCTAGATGTCTTCAAGTGGTGGAAGAATGGAAGAGGCAAACATTCCAAAGGAAAGTCCACAAAGTATCATCCTCTGGGTCCCTTCCTATGACGGTATTCCAGCTCCACTTCTCTCTTGCTAGTAAGATAAAGATCTGTAATTTCTCCCTATCATATATACTAGTGCTTCTCAGGGCTGCCTACACAAAAGAATTAACTGGAGAGAGTTTGACAGACAGTGGTGTTTAGGCTGCATATCCAAATATTTTTATTTAAGTGGTAAGAAATAAGACTCGAGCATTTGAATTTGTTATAAGCTTCGTGGGCTACCTATCTGAAGACACAATGCAAAATTCGGTAAGTTTGGCCACCAACAGCTCAGGGGAATAATTCTTTTTTGACTCCATTGACCCTGATTTGTGTTAAATGCGTCCCACATTTTCCCATTTCTTGAGTTAAGAAGTAAAAAGAAATGGGCAGAGAAAAACTAGATCAATCCCACATTAGAATAGAGCTGGAGTATTAGAATAGAGCATCCGTTTATGTAAAGGCAAAAATAATGGAAGAAAAATTTCATGAGAAGAGAATTAAATCTTTAACAACAGCAACAGCTCTGTCACCTAAGATTAAGCTATTTAAAATCTTTACCTAATTATGTTTTACAGAATTTATTTCTCTATGTTTTTACATTCTGAGAGTTTTAGGAATACCATATTTTATTCTTTCTTATTCATTAATTGAAGCCTCAAATTGTATTTACTTGGTTTTACTATGCAGTAGAGAGTAATTCATTTAAAGTCAATAATTCCACAAGATAGGTGTGATTACTCCCATTTCACATATGAAGAAACTGACACTCAGAGGAGTGAGTGATATTTATGATAATAACTACAGCTAGTAAATAAAAGAATTTCATTTTAACTTACATGTAGCTTCACCATTTTTTCTAAAGAAAAAAAAACTCAAACATTCTCAAACTAGTTCGAGTAAATATGTCACAACAATTTGTTAAAACCTTATACTTGTGAGGCATATAAACATACTTGATAAGATTAAACAACACTAGAACAAAACAAAATGATAACAGCCAAAAAATGAGAAATAAAAATTAGCAAACACAGTGTAAGGGGATTAGCTGTGCACTGAGAAGAAAATAAGAAAAGGTAGAAAGTGATCAATAGGACAATATCTATTTATTGAGCACCTACAAGGATGTTGTGTGTGTACACACACATACATGCATATGTATACACAGTCATGTATATATATGAGCATACATATGTACATATATGATACAATACACACTGATATCTATGTGTGTATACACATACATTTATAAATACATGTATTGACATATTTCAGGAGCTCTGGAACAGGCGCCTTATGGAAGTCTGCACTAGAGACCATAAAGTCACCTAATTTTGAGGGGCTGCTTCTGAGAATGTTCCATAATTCCAGCAATATGTATAAACCCAACAAACTACCAAACATCTTAGATGTCAGGAATCTCAATCCACTCAATGTGGCCCTATTTCCTTGACAGTTTTCCAACAGCCTGTTGGGTAGAGATTGTTTTCTAGGTACTTGGAAATTTCTAATTTTGATCCTAAATTACAAAAGCTAATAAATGCTACCTGTATTTCCTCTGAATTCCATTATTAGTCCATGCAACGAACTAAAAGGACCAAAGTTTCTTAAAAGGCAAGACAAAAGTAGCAACTGAAGAAAGAATATAACACAAGTGTCCATTCTCATAATTTATTCTGATGTAGCATTTAGTTTTTGGTAGCTATGAAAATTGGGAGGAGGTATTCAAGGTAAGGGAGAAAACATTGCCAAAATATTAAGAGACAATAAGTTAGCAATTAAGATTGACTTGTGCTAAGACTTAACTATCTTTGACTTTTATTCACCTTTGTATATAATATTAAACATAATGGCCACCTGGATGATAGAATACAGAGTATGACATTTTTCCACCATATGGTCATTTTCATTACAGTTGTGCTACGTATGAAAGCAGAATGAGAGTTCATCATGAAAATAGTAAGGCTATAGATAGACATAAACAAATATAGTTGAAACCAAAGAGAATGTTACTGCTCACCAAGATCTTCTGGGATGCCATACCTACTAAAAACGTAATAATTTTATCACCAATCAAATTCAAAAAGATACTACTGATTCACAATAACAGGATTATTCAAACTATATTTAAATCTTCAAATGTCCCATAATTTCTTATATTAAAGGTAAGGTATAGTTTCATCATTTTAAAAAAATGTTCAAAACTTCAGTGATTTTTAAATCTAATTTTTACCTATATGGGCCATACACCCAATGCCTCTTATGTAGATAAGGAAGTAATAAGATGTTTCCAAATTTTTCCATATGGACCCTAAAGTAAAGCATTGCAGAGTGTAATGTGGAATAGTTTACCTGGAAAAAAAACAGAGCCCTGGTTTGGTTGTTTTTTTCCGTCTTTCTTTGTGCCAGAAGCCACTTGACAAGTCTGCAGGCAGACATGTTTAACCTTTATTCTCTCTCCCTAGAGTCTCTAGTAATAGAGCAAATGTGATGCTTCCTATCAAAGATGAGCAATGTGTCTATGGGCTAGGGGGTTTGCACTTTACCTTCAGCTTGATTAGTCTTGATTGCTTGGATCCACACTTTAGAAAACACATACTTGAACAATCCTAAATCTCTTCTTTCTGAAAGGCAGTAAAATAATGGAGGTGGATAGAGCATTAGTGTGCATGTGTGTGTGTACAATGAGCCAATAGCTGTTAGAAATTATTTTTATAATCTTATGTAATCATTCCAAAAACACAAGTGAGAGTTTAAGAAGATCCCTAGTGAATCTCTTGCTATTTCCAATATAACAAAAATCTTTATTTCACCTATTAAAAATTACTATAGCAATTTATTCTCCATTTTTCCCTTAAATCAGTTTTCTACCTTTCTTGGTCCTATAGTACCCATGAGAAGAATGTGTATAGACCACGTCACATATGATGACTTACCTATTGGCTTTAGCCAATTGGAAGCACTGCAGGAAATCAAAATAATGGAAGAGAAGGAGGCTGGGGTGTATGTTCCTCCTAACCCTTTCTCTTCTGAAGTGGTTCTGAAAGAGACTGTGTTACTCTATGAGAACAGATTCTGTCAGGAAGCTCCACTTACCTGATCCCAGACCTCAGCCAGGCTTCAATATCACCCTTACATTAAAACTTCAAGCCAAAATGTACTATTGTTAACACTATACTGCCCCAACAATTTTTGCTTATTCTCATAACCTAGCCCACACATCTATCAATAGTCTCTTTATTACTAAAGGCTCTTAAAAAATCCCAGCTCAATATACCGTTTTATTCTTCTGAGGAATAGACTGAAACACTATCACTACAAGGCTCTGAAGGTTTCCCTTTAAAAGATAATTTATCGGCAATAGAAGAAATAGGAACTACTCAAAAAAAAAAACAAATCGACTGGCCAACAATACAAAACAAAACACCACTTATATTTCTGGCTCCTCTATCCAAAGAAATTATATATATTGGCTATTTTGAGGTGTTTCCATCAGAAAACAGAGGAAGCTGTATTTCAATTACCCCCAACAAAGTAATGTAATTAGATGTTACCACTGTCAACTATCTACATTACCGTTTGTTAAATTGTAGGTTGTATTCTTTAGTCTATCATTAAGTCCAAGTTATCAAAACTAGTGATTTTTTAAAAGGTAGAATATATTATGAAAGACAGGGATTTAATTAAAATAGAATAGAAATCAAAATGAGTTGCATACAACAAGGCTCTTTTGTGTAAGCTTAGCTTATTTAAAAACATATGTGTTTATAAATTTGGGCATGAATTAAAATATAGTTCTTACTACAAATTATACTTTTAAAAGTTTAAAAATTTTTATTAAAAAATATAGGTCCACATTTCAGTTCATCTGATAGCTGCAGGAGGCAGACAAATGCCTAATGCAGTTAGCGGTGAGTCCCCAGTGAAACACCACCTACAAGCTGAAGACAGTTTAAAGCCTAGCTACAAGTCCTGGATAAATCCACAGACTGGACTGAGAACTTGTCTTCCCATTTGGCACGCTTTCCTATGATTGATCCCCACTGTTCCCCTATTTTACATATACCTACCCTTCCTTTTTTTTTTTTTACATTGTTGTGCGCACCTTTGAGTGGTGCCTTTGTTTTAACTTTTTTTGCATACTCACAAACCAATCAGCATTCACTCCCCTATTCTGAACCCATAAAAGCCCCATACCCAGCCACATTGGGGAAGAAACCACGCAACTTCAGGTGGGGAACCACACCTGTATCACCTCTCTGCTGAGAGCTGCTCCACCACTCAATAAAATTCTTCTCCGCCCTCCTCACTGTTCAATTGTCAGAATATCCTCATTCTTCTCAGATGCAGGACAAGAACTTGGGAACCACTGGATGTGGGTACAGCTATAACACAGGTGGGCTTGGGCACTCCCAGCCCAGCCATGAGCTGAGCCAGTGCACAAGCTAGGTGCATCCCAGGTGGGCCAAGTGGGCGGGCCACCTCCAGTGGCAGGTAGTGTGCCTGAGTGAGGCCCAGGCAGAAGATGTCACAGGCTGGAGCTCCCTGGCTGGTAAAGTGACTGAGAAAAATCCTGTGTCACCTCTTTTAGAAGCATTTATGAAGTTGTGCTCTGTATAGACCATATTGTGTCTATGGCTTCTAAAATTGAAGAAGTTACCATTCTTTAGGATTCTGATAGAAAAATAATTTTTAAAGCAGTTGATAGTTGGGAAAGTAGCACGATAAAGAGCTGATTTTTACTGATTAGATTTTGTGTAGAATATATATGAAGCATTGTTTAATCTCAAGGTTCCGAATCTCTAGCTCATTGTTTAATGAAAAAATGTATGCATATATATGTGTACATGTTTTCCCTGCAGAAATAGTGAGCTGGAGATTTAAGAGCTGGCAAATAAGTTCCTCAAACTACTGGCAAGGACTATATTTAGAAAGTAGAAATTATCCTTCATGCTTTAGAACAGATGATGGGATTTAGGGTCAGTGTAATAATCTGTACACCAAAACAAAGCCAACTTGAATGGTGTCCACCATTAAATGGAAGTATAACATAATGATATATAGGATAGACTCCAGGAACAGACTTTCTGGGTTTATAGGCTTGCTATGCCATGGTCTGATTATGTGATCTTGTGAAAGTTTTTCCTCAGTTTTCTTCTTAAAAAGGAGACCATAATAGTATCTTCTAGCACTGTATTTTAATGTATTAATTATATCAGGATATCCAGAATATTAGTGGTATTTCCTCCACATAAAAATTTTTAGTCTGACATATATTTTTCTATAAAAGTGATTGAACAATTTAAAATTATCTAAGTAATTTACTTGTAGGAAATATTGTACTCTCTGATACTGTATAATTTGGGTATTATAATTCTTTCATAGAAAGAACCTTTAAATTAGAAAGAAATGCAATACATATAATATATATATTTATGATTGTATATGTTATATATGTTTATATATATAAAATCTTGTAATTGCCCTTGTTGTTATGGAGATTATGTTTTGAATCTTCTTTTTTTTTTAAGATGGAGTCTCGCTCTGTCACCTAGGCTAGAGTGCAGTGGTGTGATCTCGGCTCACTGCAAGCTCCACCTCCCAGGTTCACACCATTCTCCTGCCTCAGCCTCCCTAGTAGCTAGGACTACAGGTGCCTGCCACCATGCCTGGCTACGTTTTTGTATTTTTAGTAGAGACAGGGTTTCACCGTGTTAGGATGGTCTCGATCTCCTGACCTCATGATCCACCTGCCTCAGCCTCCCAAAGTGCTGGGATTACAGGCGTGAGCCACCACGCCCAGCTGAATCTTCTTTAAATATACAAGAAATGACAGATTATATGTTTATAAAATAAGCATTTATATAAGCTTACCAAGAACTACAAAAAGGAAGGAATCAGGATATGGAGAATCTTAGTATAAAGAAATATAAATGTATGTTATTTAATCATGCTGGACCTCGATATATTCATTGGCAGAATGGAATTTTGGAACTGTGTAATATCTAAGTTACTTTTCAATGAATCTCTGATTCAGTATCTTATTAGTTATGTGACCTTAGAATAATTATTTGAACCTCTTAAGTCTTAGTTTTCTTAGATATATTCAAGAGATTAATAAAAGTAGTTAATTTTGTGATAAATAATATAATTTATTCATTTGACAAGTCATTGACTGAGCTCTTCCTATCTAGAAGTACTGTTCTTTGTGCTCCTAGGCTACAGCAGTGTGCATAGTACATTTGATATTCTCATGGGCCGTGCTTCTAGGGAGAATTCCAAACAACAAACAAACAGGCAAAAGGATGTAACATCAAAGGGCAATCACTAATGTGAAAAAATAAAGTAAGCAAAAATTATAAAGTGATGGACCAAATATAAGAATATGATGGAAGCTTTTTAAGATTGGTTAATTAACACTATCTGCTGGTGTAAGAAATACCCCAAAGTCTTGTCACTGTTTAAATGTACATCTTATTTATTTCTTAGTCTGATTTGGGTCAGTCTTTTCTCACAGCCAGTTCTGTGACTTGGACATTCCGATTCCTATCATATTGAGGCATTATTCTGCCTTGGTTTTGTAGTCAGAGAAGAAATGAGGGAAAGCATTTTCTGGCTGGGCTGGTAGTTGACTTGCATTTCTTATGTCCACAATGTATTTGTCAGAAGATACTCACATAGCCCCAACTTAATTATAAAAGAGATTGTGAAATATATCCTTCCTTTATACCCATGACAAAGAAAGGGAACCCTGATTTGATGGCTACTCAGGGATGGAGTCTCAGTCTACCCTAATGGAGTACATGGCACAGGCTTTTCACCAAAGGCATTGTGATAGAAACACTATGTTTCCAGTTTTGCTGTCACTGTAAGAATTTGGCCTCTTAATAAGGGAATATGACTTTATATATTTTTGAGGAAAAATGCAGAGTCAATGCTGACAAAATAAGCCAATAATTTGTTAGCTATCCTTACCACTGTGGTTTGACTCTTATAATTGAGACTTCATACTCAATAAACGAATTGTCTTTCATTGTTCTATGTATTAAAGTAAATTAACTAGTTTTGCAGTGATTCATATTTCTTGATCCCCAAGCCATGTTTCCTTTCCTTGTATTCTAAAATGATGTGCAGATCTATAATTAATCACCTATTCTTTAATTTCATTGGTTACATTATATTTTAATCAGATGTATACTTAAAAAATATTATTTAAATCAACAATTTTATATTATACTAATATCAGCACAAAAATTTACAATCCATAGAGTTAACATCAAATTCCATCTTAAAATAAGGAAAATAATTTCTCAGAATTTAAGAATACATATATATGTGGGCAGGTATGCATAGGCACACCCTTCACCATACACACACTACGTAAGTTTAAGTGTACTTAAGTTCAAGACTGTTTCTATAATTTTCTTCTCAATGAAATTACTCAACCAGAAAATATCCATTGGCTTTAAAGAAAGACATTTTGTAAGTAGAAGTCTATTGCCTGAAGTAATTCCCTACAGGGCTACTACCATCTGGCGAAGAAATATGCACATCAAAGTAAAGAGAAAATAGCACCTCCTAAAAGTAATTTTCTCTGAGGGTCTGCATCCTTCCTGGTGTCCTGCCAACAGCAATCTTTAAACTCTTAGCTTTTACACAGTGAGAAGCTCTCAGCACCATTCCTAGATTAGGGAAGCTCTGATTTCTGGAGATAGCTCTGAATAAAATAAATAATAATATTCAGGGGAACAAAAATAGGAACAAAGATTCTAAATTTACCTTATAGCTGACATGTCACTGGGCTATTTATTTCCCTACATTAATCACAGATTTTTTCTGAAATGAAATCACAAATTTCTTCTGAAAATGACTACTCTGGGATATTGAGGCAAATCTACATATTTACCAAGTAAGGAATTCATGCTGATGGTGCTAAGATAATGTGGAATGTGAATTAATCTATGCATAGAAGTGAAGTAAATGATAATGGTAAATAATAATAAAAAATAGTAATGAAAACTATACTAGCAACTCTCATTTTATATTTGTCGTATGCCAGAAACTATGCAAAACTGTGAGAAGAAACTATGCAAAACTCATGAGAGCAAACTATGCTCTCATGAGTTATATTTAAATGAGATGACAATTCTGAAGTAAGTCTTATAATGATCTCCATTTTAGAGCTATGAAAATTAAGAATGAGTTGTACATTTTTCCAAAGTTACAGAACAGCAGATATTTGATGTTGCAACATTTGCTCTTCACCACTAGGCTAACCTTCTTTCTTCAAATAGATTTATGATGCATTGAAACATCATCTCCCTCTACTTTGTATTTTTCTCCTCACTGTGTATCCTTTTTTCCCTTTATTTTGTCATATATATAATCACAAGATCATTCAGCTAAACCTTTACTATTGTTAATAAGTCTTCTTTGCATAAAATCAAGTTTTATTTCTCCCTAGGGACTATCAAAGGAAATTCAGCCACCCTAGGCATAATGTCCAAGTCTTCCACATATTAGTTTCAATCTGATACCTAAAACTCAAGCAGTATCATAGTTTGTTCTAATAGCAAGGGTTTTGTGTAAGATTCTCTTAAGCGTAACTCATACCTATACTATATACTGCAAGTTGCTTGAGCCTTCATAGTATCTATTTCTTTACTATCAAACTTTGTTTCAAATTTTACCCTTTAACTTTATGAGGAGTAAATGAGATGTAATATATATATACAGCAATAAATATTTATTAAAAAGTTTTTCTAGGTATCTACGTGCCTATCTTTATCCTATCCTCCAATTTTTCACATCTATATTTTGTCTTTTCTGCCTTCACACTTTGCTTCACCTCTTACTAATAAATAGACCTTTAATATATAATATAATATAAATATAATATAATATTGAATTATATTTTATCTAATATATATATTACACTACATAAAACAATACAGTAGTAGTTGTCAACCCTTTCTCTACTCCAATTCCAAAACCTAGTTTATCTTTTTGCAGTACTTTACCTTTTCAGTAAGTTGTTCAAGGAAATTAGCATATTGCTAGGTAAAAGCTTTGCGTGTCATTAATAGATGTTTAATTTTTAATGATACTTAAATCTATCTGAAATTACTATTGTGTTCTTAAAGCTATATTAAAGGCACAAGGTAAGGTAAGACAGAATTAGACAACATAATCCCTGTCACTGCGTCATTTTTCTAAAGCCTAGAACATTCAATTAACATGATGGCACACAAATAGATTCTTCAAAAGCTTAACTGTAGACTATTTTGATGAGCAAACACAGAGGAAATCAGATTAACTGGAAGGAAACTTAACAGCCCTCATTTCCACTGCACTAAGCAAAATTATCCAAAATTCTTTCAAATATATTCCCTCAAAGATAACACTTAAAAAAAGAAAACCCTTTTAATGTAGTTGCTGCACATAAGGTCACACTCTTGACTCCTATTTGCCTACTTTGATATGTTGTTTTTTTAACCTCAGCCAGCACTTCTGAGCTATAGATACTGGCTAGTGAGCAGCCTGATCTTATGTATCAGCAAGAAAATATTCAGGTACACTTTACTAATGATGACTATGTAAAGGGTAAAAATATAATAGTGTGAGTCTTACATTCCAGATTCAGTTTGTCACACAAAACTGTAAATATATATATTTGCAAATAGCACACATTTTTATGAAAGGTACTGATGGAGAACAAGCATAAAACACATGGTACTTAGAATTTCTTCTCTGGCTCTAGGACTAAACTAAAGCATAAAATGGTATAAAATGAAATAGAAAAGTAATAAAAATCAAAGACCTACTATTCAACATAGGCCTGAGGCATTTCTTTTTATTATTATTATTATTATACTTTTAAATTTTAGGGTACATGTGCACATTGTGCAGGTTAGTTACCAAGGCATTTCTTGATGCACTCCTCTGTAGTTTAGAGTTTTCAAAATTGTCTGTTTGTCCTAAAATCTGCTCTCTCTAAAACTGAATATTCTTCTAATCACTTATATCCATTAAATAAAAATCATGATAGAACTATATAGAATTTGTTCATTTTTTGAATATTTTCTAAATTAAAAAAAAAAAACCCTACTTTCAGAAGTGCATTTTTTAATAGCCTTAATTTGTTCTGGTTTTATGAAGTTTTAAATGAGAATTTGTCTTTATTTTATATAGATTTAAAAGATATAGTCTCAGCTATCATTTCTTTTCCATGGTTTTCAACTACTTGGCTCAAAATATTGGATATCATATTGATCTTAGCATTTTAACTTGTTTGGCTAATTTGCATGTAATTTAAATTAATATCATCTGAATTTAAACTAAGTTTCTCTATGTAGAGAATTTGGGAGGGATAAATTTTCCATTATACATTTCTTTATTTATATGTCTTTTATAAATAAATAATATATTATTCACTAAAGCATAAATTAAATTGTATCTAAAATGAGTGATAGAAAGCTATTAAGCCTGAAAGATATCAGCAAGGCAGTATAATATAGTAGAAGAGCCATGATACTTGGAGCCACAATAAAAGCAAGATCCATGGGAGCCATGATGTATATTAATATTGTAATTTTGCCCCAACTATTTGACTTCTTGATTTCATTTCACTCATGTGGAAAGCACACCAACAAACAGCTACTTCCCTCTGAAGACTGAGGCTCTAATGAGTGTATGAATGTGAAGACAATACTTTGTAGCCACAAATTATTGTTTCCTAGTTATAAAAATCAAAATTTTCTCATTTTAGTGCTTAACAATTGACATTTTTAGGTCTTTCAGCTTCATTTTGTAGGCCAAAGTAAGGGTGTTAATGCTAGTTTTATGCATTTGACATGTATAAAAGGCTAATAATATCCAAACTTTGTTTTTCTTATCCCCTTGTGGATCCTCCCACTCACTTCTGCTCACACTCCATACCCACGTATTTTGCTCATAGCAAACAATGAAGTATCCATGTAATTTCCGTGATTCTTAGAAAAAATATCTTGTCACAAATGCTATAGATTCTTTATGTGTATTTTAGGGTAGTTACATGATTTTCATATTAAACTGTAGAAGAATGCAAATGTTTTTGAAATTTTCAAAAAACTTGAATAAACATAGACTATGAACATGATGGTAATGTTCATGGTCTATAAAGTAGCAAACTCCTTTGACTCTACGTGTAACAATATTTAAGCTCATTACGTGAGGGTCACTCTAAGATTCATTTTAAATGGAAGGCTGTTGAGCAGTTGCAATATGTCTATAAGTCTAACTATAAAATTTTCATTTCAGTTTCTTGACCACTCTCATTTATCTTCCATGTGTTCTACGTATCTGCATTATCCTTGAGTTTTTCACTTCATAAAACTCTTAATGTTTTCTGAAACATAAATCTAAATTAAATGTAACAAAATATATCCCATTTACTAATTTTCATAAATAGATATCATATCTACTTCTGTGCTATAAAAAGATTCAGAGAGGGTAAGGCAGTTATTATAATATATTCAATTATTTTCTCATTACCATAGACTTTGATTTTATGTAGTTAATATGAAAAGTGTGATGTAGTAAGATTATATTGTATAGGATTCATTTTATATAAGTAGAAAATATGTGTGGGTGAAGGATTAAAATTTAAAATGTGATTTAGGTTTCTTCTCTTGTTAGTAATTTAGAATTACAGTTTTATAACATATTACATTCCAAGTGAGACATTGTGTTTAATGCAGATAAAGTTTGTAAGAGCTCTACCTTGTTTTCTAAAGTAGGTTCATGCCATCAAAAGAAAGCAAAGTGGGCAGAGAGAGAAATTACTAAACTGAAATTGTACTTTGCAAATGTCAATGAAATTAAGTAGCAAAGATACATGACCACATTACAGTTTGTCAATGAATATAGCAGACAAACTTTAGAGATAAAATATTTATATAATTAATGTTCATAAACAAAAGCATCATACAAATAATTCAATATATTATTTTTTTAATGATGACTTAAAGTAAGGCAAATTAACCAATGCCAAAGCATCTTTTAATTAAAATATTCTATATAATATATATTTATATTATAAACAATATAATTAAAATATTCTTTTAATATATAATATAATTCTATATTATTTTATATATATTATATATAAAAGATATATAATATATATCTTTTAATATATAATTATAATGTAAATAGATAATATAATTAAAATATTCTTTTAATATAAAATATTCCATAAGAATCCAGGCAGAAGATTCAAATTATATGAATCAAAAAAAGAAAATAAATGAGTTCAGGACAGACCTCTCCTGATCAACTTTTGAGGCAAAACCACCAAAGGATCATGGATTCTGAAGGTAGATGGTAAAAAACTATAGTTCAAGTCTTTTTTATGCCTTAACAATATTGTTGATGAGCACAAGACAAAAAATTTGCAAATGTGTTTAGTTTGGTTAACAAACACTTCAATAAGAAAACTCAATCCTGACTTTATTGTATCTAAAAGATTACAATGAAGCAGAGTGAACTATAACATTAAGAAGTGAAACAATAGGTAAAAGTATAACAAAAAATATATAGAAGAAGGAAGGAAATGGATAAATTTGGTGATAGCATACAAAGTCAAATACAGGGAAAGCAGCACTCAATAACATCACAAATATCAACTATATAAAAACAATAATAGTTGTTAATGAGGGAAGGAAAATTCATAATAGTATTCTAATATATAAAAATTAGGGAAATATGAATATAAACTGGCAGATATAGAACAGTAGTGTAAGAGATTAGCACGTTGATGCTAGGCTAATAAAAATGACAAAATATTTAAAGATATAGACTATCATCTATTTATACACCAGAATCTGTGCTATAAAAACAAAAATATTTTGCCTGTTTTTATTGGCAAAACAATTGTAAGAAGACATTAATTATTGGCAAAACAATTGCAAGAGGACATTTTCTTTTGCCATGAAAGAAACACCTTTCAAAAGAAGGCCTATGGTTCAGAAACTACTGTCCAGTAAGCCATGCTGTTATTGTAAGACATATTTTGAGGCTGTTAACACATTACTAACCTAGATAATTCTTATTAGGAAGGACTAGAAGTCTGAGCTGGGTGGGCTAAAGAAATTGCAGAGTAAGAATGTCTTTATAGACAGCTGTCATATAGTAAAGTGGAGGGATCTTTGAAGAAGACTGAAGATGTTTTCCTTCTACTTTAATTCCAATGAGGTTGATACCAAGAGAATTTGGTACACGTCTTTGGCATTTAAGGAATGCAAGGATTACTATTTGTTTACTCCTAAGAATCCAAGTGTAAGAAACTAGCTGACAGGACCAGAAAAGGGATTACCTTGAGAACTGCCTGCACATTTCAGGTTTGCTCAAGCAGACACTTGTATGACTTCTATGAACCGGTTCACAACACTGAAGAAAGAACCTGGACTTGAGTTATTTAAAAAAAAACTAAGGTAGAAGACTGGCAGGACCTGTTTTCTTTCACAATCCTGCTAACCAAAACAGAATCTGGTCCAGACAGAATAAAATGAAAAAACTGGAAGGAACCAGCAAATGGCCCAGAAAGCAGTCCCTAGCTGCCCTCATTGCTTATTGGCATAAGACACTCCCACCAGTGCCATGGCAGTTTACAAGGGCCATGGCAAAGACCTGAAAGTTACCTCTTTTCCATGGCAATGACGTTAACATTACCATCCCTTTCCTAGAAACTCTAATTACCTTTGCACCAACCTAATAAATCAAACTGCATTTTATATATTAATATGAGATGGATGGACATCTTTCTAAAGCTCAGTCTTAATAACCAAATATCCCTTTGTTAAAGTTTGTATTCAATTAGTTTTAACCCACCTTAGAAGTGGAAAGATTAAATTCAGTTACCCAAATGCATTTACTTAAAAATATTCAATATAAAAAGGCATAAAAAGCTGAAAAAAATGTGTTTCTAAACAAACAAACAAAAAAATTCAATACCAACCCCACAGATCTAAATAATTACTCTTGAGATTCAAATAAGTGTCCTGGAAGATCAAGTGCAAAGCATCTAAACCTTAAGACAAAAATTAAATGATTGAGAAACAAAGAATAATTATTCAATTTTTCCTGTGAATAAATTTGAGATTTGTTACTTTTTTATTTTTTCAATTCATAGGTTCTGTTCTTTTTCTAGCATGTAATCAGATATATGACTTTTTTATTGTAAGCAATATTTCAACTGTTTCCCGCAATAAGATGCATTATTCTGCTTCTATTACCTTCCAATTTATCTACTATTTCTTCTCTTCTATTTTTTTCAAAGGTTAAAACATTTAGAACATAGTTGCTTTTTCTTTCCCTTCCTGAACTTATATTTTCCTACCGCCAGTGAATCTGTGTCATTGAAAAAAAAAACAAATCACTTTTTGTATGTTCAAGAAAATCAAATTCAATGCAGGAAAATACATAAAAGGAAAAGGATAAGATAGAAATAGAGTGGTTTGAATCAGGACGCTATGCATGTTGCTGTCTTGTGGAACTGACTTAAGTGATTTTATCTTTGAATGATGAATCTAGCTGTTGTTACCTCTGAAAGTGTTCTCCTAATAGTCACACCTCCCCCACATTGCTGGAAAACATAAATAGACAAAGCTGTCCAAGCAAATCCTATTGCACAAAGTTGAGTAAATGAATCTATATGATGGAAACTTATTTGCACCCTTAAATATTGCAAAGGAGGATAACGTGGTTTTGTTTTGTTTTGTTTTACCTCTGCAGCCTCTTCTGTAAATAAAAATTTATTAGAAGGAAGTAGAAGTGGGTATCAAATATCAATTGTTTATATGCAACACAGTATAGGCTTTGTCTCCTCAACAGTTATAATACTTATCTACCCATCCCTAAATTTTAACACTAAAATAATAGCAACAAACACAACATAATGCATCCTTTGCCCAAAAAATAAAGCACTGCTCAATCTCTCCCCAAATTGGATGACTAAAGTCATATCAGTTTTTGTAGCTCTGTCTGCATAAGATGTATTCTTTTTCTGGTTCATTACAGTCCCCCAAAATATTCTATAACCTATGGGATAAATTATATAATTAACCACCAATAATAACCTTTATATTAAAAAGTTGGTACAAGAAATAGGAAAAAAATCACTAGTTTATATGCAAAATATATGCAGACCCAGCAAGGTAAAAAATATTTGAAGCTATAGCCTACTTTACTTTTGCAATTTGTGATGATCTTATTTGTAACAGTGTTCATTTACTGTTTATTTCATATTGTCTCAATTTTGAAACATTTCTTTCAGTCAGGGATTTTTACCTGGTGGGGTAACTCAAATGTTTATACTTGAAACATCTGAGTCGCAATGGTCCTGCCTGGATGAATTACTACAGTTATTTATTAATTTTTATCCCTGGACATGGTACCCAGAATCATTCAGAAAAATTTCCTAGATTCCATGTATATTCCTAATGTCCCAATCTCACTTCGCTCGATAGCACAACAACCTCTTTTTTTGTCCTGTTTGTCTAATGGCATAAGAAGGCTAGATTTTTCCAGGTAGGGAGCAGCCTAAATATTGAATTACTAGAACCATTGTTGTGTGTCTTCATCCTTTCATGTTGCTGTAAAGCAACACCTGAGGCTAGATAATTTAAGAGAAAGGGGGTTTATTTGACTCATTATTCTTCAGGCTACACAAAAAACTTGGCGCCAGCATCTGCTTTTGGTGAGTGTCTCAAGCTGCTTGCACTCATGGTGAAAGGTAAAAGGCAAAATGGAGCTGTCATGCAGAGATCACACAGTGAGAGAGTGAGCAAGCGAAAGAAAGAGGGAGAGGAGAAGGTGTTGGGTTCTTTTCAATAATCAGCTTTTATGGGAATTAATAGATCACAAACTCACTCATTTCTGTCAGGACAGTACCAAGGCATTCATCAAGGATTCATTCCCATGACCCAAACACCTCCCACTAGGCCACACTTCCAACAATGGAAATCAAATTTCAACTTGAGATTTGATATTTGGAGACAAATATTCAAACTTTATCAGTGTGTCTTATAAATAATGCCATCTATAATTTGCTAGTTTAGAACATATACTACAACATTTGAAAGAGTACTCAAACTTATGCGATATAGGTTTCTGGCTGGTATTTTACTTTTTTTTCTAAAATAGTATACCAATATTTTAGAAGGTCATCTACTTCTCAGTAAATCAACTGCATCAAAAATAAAGGAGAGGAAAAAATCATGTTATATCAGTAAATGCTGAAAAGGCAGTTGATAAAATTCAACAGAGCTGCCTGTTAAAAAGCTGTGAAGTATCATTGGACTAGAAGGCAATTAGATAAATATAATAAAGGCTATCTATCAATATCTAGTAGGAAATATTATATAAAATGGTGACAATGAATAATTTTGTTTTCAATCATTATCTAGACAAGGATGTCTACTATCGACATTGTTTAACATTTCCTTGGAAGATTTGACAAATGCATAAGAAATGAAAATGAAGTGACATGTATACATTTTAGAAGAGATAAAATTACCTTGTTTTTCTGAAAGAAAAGATGAAAACCTGAAATATTGCTAAGACTCTATTAAAGAAAGAAGAAAAAAGGCAAGGAAGATAGGAAGGAAAAAGGGAGGTAGGGAGAAAGGAAGAAAGGGAAAGACTGAATTTCTTAGCAAAGTTTTAGGGTTGCTTGAGTGAAGAAAATTTGTCATTTTAGCCCAACTAAGAGTAAAATGAATAAAAATATTCCATTGGTAACTGTGAAATTAAAACAATAAATACTTGAAAATACTTAAGAAATAATATCCAGAAAAGGCACAATATCTATCTGAAACAAAATAATAAAGCCATTAGCAGACATAAAACACCATCTAAACAAATGTAAAATTATATATAGCAAGTACTTGGATATCATTATAAAATTAACAATTCTGTCAAAATTAATATAGGCATTTAATGTAATGTTAATGAATTCCTAAAAGACATATTCACAGAATTAACTAAAATAATCTTCAAAATTGTTTTGGTTAGTATTCACTTGAACGAATATCCTAAATAAAGGTTTGAAGGCAAATGGTTTATTTAGATGATCTCAGAAGCTAACAGTGAAGGAATAGGGCAAATGAGAGCAGTAAACAGCACCCGTAAGAGATGCATGATCATGATTTCTGTTTATAGACACTAGACGCTCAATTCACTGGGCTACCTGAGAAGTGCAAAGAATGTCTCCCAGGAACTGTCCATCAGGTTCTGGAGGGCCACCAGCTTTCTTCCAGTGTTCTTTGAGCATAGCTCCAGGGTATATTCATTAACAGCTGCACTTCTACTCAGGCCAAACAGATACCAGTCTTGAAAACGTCCTGAAGCTGAAAGTGAAAAGATGCTAGATGAGACATTGACTTTGTCCAGGAAGCTGACAGTGACAGAAAGTCTGAGTTCTAAAGGAAGCATCCAGTGCAGATGCTGCTTAAATTAGAGCTGGACTAAGGGAAATAATTGAGCGTAGCAGAAGTATCTGCAACAGTAATCAAATGAGAATCAATGATAATACCCTAAAAAATTTTAGTGGAGCATTTATTCACAAATATATTAAAATATAGGAAGCAGACACTATAATCAAAATAATTTAGTAGTGGTATAGAAATACATAAAAACTAATGGAACAGAATGGAAAAAACATAATTAAATCCCTAAATATGACATGTTAATATATGAATATAAAAACATTGATGCAGTGGAAAATGGTGTACACTACTATAAATATTACTAGATACAACATATTCAGCATGAAAGGAACATAGGTATCCCCAGCTTCATCATATTCAAAATTAAAATCTAGACAGGTGACATAGTTAAATAATTTGAAAAAGAAATAAAGTTCCTGCAAGTAAATCTAGAAAACTAAATATTAATTATTTGAGTATAGAAAAGTCTTCTCTAACCAAGAATAAAATTGTAAAGCTATTGAAAAAAATAATGTCTATAGGAAAAGACAGCATAAATTCTATCAATGAACAATTAATAGAAACAAAAAGTATCACAATAGAAGGACAAAAATTAATTTCTATGCTGTCCAAATTACTTCTTAGAGATTAACAAGAAAAAATAATGTAATAAAAAATGGCACAACGTTTTGTAACCCCCTTCCCACCACTGGAGGACACTAGGCAAATACGTGAGCTAATTCTGCATGTGAATCTACATTTAACTCAAAATAAAATATTTACTTAAAAATGTCACACATGAATTGATGTTCTAAAAAGGAAAATTTTCAAAAGGCCAATGAAAAATGAAGAGATGCTCAAATTCAAGAGTAATCATATAGATGTAAATTATAAGTGCATTGAAATATCTCGGCCGGGCGCGGTGGCTCACGCCTGTAATCCCAGCACTTTGGGAGGCCGAGACGGGCGGATCACGAGGTCAGGAGATCGAGACCATCCTGGCTAACACGGTGAAATCCCGTCTCTACTAAAAATACAAAAATTAGCCGGGCATGGTGGCGCGTGCCTATAGTCCCAGCTACACGGGAGGCTGAGGCAGGAGAATGGCGTGAACCCGGGAGGCGGAGCTTGCAGTGAGTCGAGATCGCGCCACTGCACTCCAGCCTGGGCGACAGAGCGAAACTCCGTCTCAAAAAAAAAAAAAAAAAAAAAAGAGATAGCTCAAAACATAAAATATGTTTTAAAAAGTAAAGACCAGCCAATCCATTTTGTAAATTAACTAAGTACAAAGTATTTAAATGAAATCATATTTAGTGCTGCATTGTTCCAAGTAGAGAAACAAAGTGAAGGACAATAGGGTAATTTGGAAAAACTGCAAATAGAGCATATGTTATGATGAAAGTACGGTTAAAACTAAAGAGAATTCTTACCCAACTTAGAAAAGCAACATTTAAAAAAAGAGTGAAAAATTGTTAAACTTTTCTAAAACTTATGACTGCCAAATATGATAAAAATTTTGAGAAAAACATACTTGGTCATCACTATGGCTTACTTGTGTAAGGATGCAAAATTTTGCTGATGTGTGTTAGGAAGAGATGAGGATAGATGGGGTAAATATTTAAAGAAACAGCATTTTGACATGATTTTATTAACTAATGGTAAGATTGAAATTAATTTATATATGATTATAGGAATATAACTTTTTGCCTTGTGAAATTTTTCATGGTGAGGAATTATTCTTTTTTATCTAAATTTTTATATTTTTCACATAATTATGCCTAACTTAAAACATATATGCTAAAATATCTTACGATAATTGCTGTAATATTTTTATTTTTCTAATAATATAAGCAACATGTTATAAAAATTAAATAAAATGGCTCTTGAGAAATAGTTCTAAATTTTGTATGGGATAATATACTTAAGAATTGAGAAAATCTGAACCAAAAAATACATGGTAAGGAGTAAATTAAAGCCTCCTTGAAAATATTATACACTTATATTTAAAACTACATGATGTTTTTAAGTAATAGGAAGATCAATGAACCAGAATAGAAAGCACAAATGTAAGTTTATGGCATATAAGGTGTGTAAACCAAAAACTATCTGAGACAACTCTTAATCAATTTAGAAGTTTATTTTGCCAAGGTTAAGGACATTCCTGTGCCACAGTCTTAGGAGGTCTTGACAACATGTGCCCAAGGTGGTCAGGCTACAGTTTGGTTTTATACATTTTAGGGAAACATAAGACATTAATCAACGCATGTAAGACATACATTGGTCAGTCCAGAAAGGCAGGACAACTCTCAAAGTGGTTGGTGAGGTGGGGGTGAGGAGTATGTCCAGGTCATAAGTGGGTTCAAATATTTTCTAATTGGTAATTGGATGAATTGGCTGGGAGAGTCTAAAGACCTCAGTCAATAGAAAGGAGGGTCTAGGTTAAGATAAGGGGTTGTGGAGACTAATGTTCTTATTATGCAGAGGAAGCCTCCACGTAGTAGGTAGGCTTCAGAGAGAAGAGCTTGTAAATGTTTCTTATAAGACTTAAAAAGTCTGTTCTGTCAGTCTTAAGGTGTCTATTTTAATGTTAAAACTGATCAGCTGTGCCTGAATTCCAACGGGAGGAAGATATAATGAGGCATGTCCAACTACCCATTTTTATCATAGCCTGAACTAGTATTTCAAGTTTACTTTAGAATGCCCTTGGTCGACAGGATGGGTCCATTCCGTTGTTTGAGGGGTTTAGAATTTTATTTTTGGTTCACAGATGTAATATACAAAAAAGGTGATAGTTTAAATCATTTTAGGAAAGATAGCATATTATATGTAATACTGAGACTTTTTGCTGGCTGTTAGAAACATAAAGCTGTGCTTCTCTCTTGGCAATAAGGGAAGGAAAAAAAGGGGGTGTGAAAGAGGGGGGAATGAGAGATCGAGATGTAATATTAAAAGTGTTTAAGTAAATTATATTTTTATAATGGGGAATTTCTTTTATTATGTTACCAAAATGATATATCACAAAGGAAATTATTAATAGACTTGACTACCACTAATGTCAGAAATACGTAAATACATAAAGAACCAAAAAACATAGAAAAACATGCATAAAGCCAAGGAAACATTTTTAACAAAATACAATCTGGACAGGTAAATGTTATCACTAGCTCTGGATTTTGCAATTTTAGGTAACTTTAATTTTCTTTTAAATAATGTTTTATAGTTTTTGCTTCTGTAGTTTTGTTTTCCAGGGTTTCCACAACAAAGTACCACCAGTTGTGGCTGAAAACAATTGAAATCTATTCTCTCTCAGTTTTGGAAGCTAGCAGTCCAAAATCAAAGTGTCAGCTTTGAGAGAGAATCTGTTCCATGCCTCTCTCCTACCGTCTAGTAATTGTCGGCAATCCTTGGCCTTCCTTGGCTTTTAGACACATCACCCTAATCTCTATCTTCATACAACTTTCTCCTTGTGTTTGTGTATCTGTCTCCTTATTTAAGGATACCAGTGATTGGATTGAGGGCTTACGCTAATCCCTTATGACCTCATCTTAACTTGATTGCATCTGCAAATGTCCTATTTCCAAATAGTTTATTAATAGGCATGAGGGTTTAGGACTTCAGCATACCATTTTGGGGGACAAAAACACATGACATAAGGTAAATGTATACAATTGATATGGTAAAAATTTTTTTTCAAAAAGTAGTGTTAACCTTCTGATTTGTGCCAGCATAACACTCAAAGCTTAAAGTGCATCGTTCCCATGTAATTAATAAAGGGAAACACTGATACATGAATCCATTAAGCCATGTTTTGAAATCATTCATTTTTACTCTTGATCATTGGTTTATTATTGGTTACAGTTCTCAATGTATTAGGTAAAATAAAAGATAGATTATGTCACAGAGTCAAGAAATTGATGTATATTGTATGCATATGTGTTTACATGCAAGAAAAGAGTAAAAAATATCTAACATGTGTTTAATAATTGCTTTAGGTTATACATTGTTATACATGATGTTTTTCTTTCAAAAATAATTTAGATTTTTTGGAAACAAACTTACATCACATTGTGTAATCTTTAATGTTGTTAACAGTGCTCCCATCTCACACAGAGCACACTTCCACACATCTTCTGTTTCTCAAGTTGTCAGGAATAAATATGGTTAATTTATTCAACGTGCAACTTAAGGTGTTTTTCTCTGATACCACAATAAGTAAATGTCAATATGCCTTGTAAAACATTATATACACCCTGATAACCTTTTCAAACATTACTTGAGTTACTCATCCCATATTCTAAAGATTTCTTTCCCTAATATTTGCCATATAGGACCGTGGATATTAGAATGAATTGAGTCACTTATATGTTATTTTTTAAATATTTTCAGGCATATATATGTGTGAAAACTCTTTTTTTAAATTATACTTTAAGTTCTATGGTACATGTGCACATGTGCAGGTTTGTTACATATGTACACATGTGCCATATTGGTGTGCTACACCCATTAACTCGTCATTTACATTAGGTTTATCTCCAAATGCTATCCCTCCCCCTCTCCCCACTCCACAACAGGCCCCAGTGTGTGATGTTCCCCTTCCTGTGTCCCTGTGTTCTTATCGTTCAATTCCCACCTATGAGTGAGAACATGTGGTGTTTGGTTTTTTGTCCTTGCGATAGTTTGCTGAGAATGATGGCTTCCAGCTTCATCCATGTCCCTACAAAGGATATGAACTCATCCTTTTTTATGGCTGCATAGTATTCCATGGTATATATGTGCCACATTTTGTTAATCCAGTCTATCATTGATGAACATTTGGGTTGGTTCCAAGTCTTTGCTATTGTGAATAGTGCCGCCATGAACATACGTGTGCATGTGTCTTTATAGCAGCATGATTTATAATCCTTTGGGTATATACCCAGTAATGGGATGGCTGGGACAAATGGTATTTCTAGTTCTAGATCCTTGAGGAATCGCCACACTGTCCTCCACAATGGTTGAACTAGTTTACAGTCCCACCAACAGTGTAAAAGTGTTCCTATTTCTCCACATCCTCTCCAGGACCTGTTGTTTCCTTTTTAATGATCGCCATTCTAACTGGTGTGAGATGGTATGTCATTGTGGTTTTGATTTGCATTTCTCTGATGGCCAGTGATGATGAGCTTTTTTTCATATGTCTGTTGGTTGCATAAATGTCTTCTTTTGTGAAGTGTTTGTTCATATACTTTGCCCACTTGTTGATGGGGTTGTTTGTTTCTTTCTTGTAAGTTTGTTTGAGCTCTTTGTAGATTCTGGATATTAGCCTTTTGTCATATGAGTAGATTGCAAAAATTTTCTCCCATTCTGTAGGTTGCCGGTTCACTCTGATGGTAGTTTCTTTTGCTGTGCAGAAGCTCTTTAGTTTAATTAGACCTCATTTGTCAATTTTGGCTTTTGTTGCCATTGCTTTTGGTGTTTCAGACATGAAGTCCTTGCCCATGCCTATATCCTGAATGGAATTGCCTAGGTTTTCTTCTTGGGTTTTTATGGTTTTAGGTCTAACATTTAAGTCTTTAATCCATCTTGAATTAATTTTTGTGTAAGGTGTAAGGAAGGGATCCAGTTTCAGCTTTCTACATATGGCTAGCCAGTTTTCCCAGCACCATTTATTAAATAGGGAATCCTTTCCCCATTTCTTGTTTTTGTCAAGTTAGTCAAAGATCAGATAGTTGTAGATGTGTGGTATTATTTCTGAGGGCTTTTTTCTGTGCCACTGGTCTACATCTCTGTTTTGGTACCAGTACCATGCTGTTTTGGTTACTATAGCCTTGTAGTATAGTTTCAAGTCAGGTAGTGTGATGCCTCCAGCTTTGTTCTTTTGGCTTAGTATTGTCTTGGCAATGCAGGCTCTTTTTTGGTTCCATATGAACTTTAAAGTAGTTTTTTTTTTTTTTTCTTTCCAATTCTGTGAAGAAAGTCATTGGTAGCTTGATGGGGATGGCATTGAATCTATAAATTACCCTGGGCAGTATGGCCATTTTCACAATATTGATTATTCCTATCCATGAGTATGGAATGTTCTTCCATTTGTTTGTGTCTTCTTTTATTTGGTTGAGCAGAGGTTTGTAGTTCTCCTTGAAGAGGTCCTTCACATCCCTTGTAAGTTGGATTCCTAGGTATTTTATTCTCTTTGAAGCAATTGTGAATGGGAGTTCACTCATGATTTGGCTCTCCGTTTGTCTGTTATTGGTGTATAACTATGCTTGTGATTTTTGCACATTGATTTTGTATCCTGAGACTTTGCTGAAGTTACTTATCAGCTTAAGGAGATTTTGGGCTGAGACAATGGGGTTTTCTAAATATACAATCATGTCATCTGCAAACAGGGACAATTTGACTTCCTCTTTTCCTAATTGAATACCCTTTATTTCTTTCTCCTGCCTGATTACCCTGGCCAGAACTTCCAACACTATGTTGAATAGGAGTGGTGAGAGAGGGCATCCCTGTCTTGTGCCAGTTTTCAAAGGGAATGCTTCCAGTTTTTGCCCATTCAGTATGATATTGGCCGTGGGTCTGTCATAAATAGCTCTTATTAATTTGAGATATGTCCCATCAATACCTAGCTTATGGAGAGTTTTTAGCATGAAGCGCTGTTGAATTTTGTCAAAGGCCTTTTCTGCATCTATTGAGATAATCATGTGGTTTTTGTCTTTGGTTCTGTTTATATGCTGGATTATGTTTACTGATTTCTGTATGTTGAACCAGCCTTGCATCCCAGAGATGAAGTCCACTTGATCATGGTGGATAAGCTTTTTGATGTGCTGCTGGATTCGGTTTGCCAGTATTTTATTGAGGATTTTTGCATCAATGTTCATCAGGGATATTGGTCTAAAATTCTCTTTTTTTGTTGTGTCTCTGCCTGGCTTTGGTATCAGGATGATGCTGGCCTCATAAAATGAGTTAGGGAGAATTCCCTCTTTTTCTATTGACTGGAATACTTTCAGAGGGAATGGTACCAGCTCCTCCTTGTACCGCTGGTAGAATTCGGCTGTGAATCTGTCTGGTCCTGGACTTCTTTTGGTTGGTAGGCTATTAATTATTGCCCCAATTTCAGAGCCTGTTATTGGTCTATTCAGGGATTCAACTTCTTCCTGGTTTAGTCTTGGGAGGGTGCATGTGTCGAGGAATTTATCCATTTCTTCTAGATTTTCTAGTTTATTTGCGTAGAGGTGTTTATAGTATTCTCTGATGGTAGTTTGTATTTCTGTGGGATCAGTGGTGATATCCCCTTTATCATTTTTTATTGCATCTATTTGATTCTTTTCTCTTTTCTTCTTCATTAGTCTTGCTAGCAGTCTATCAATTTTGTTGATCTTTTCAAAAAAACAGCTCTTGGATTCATTGATTTTTTGAAGGGTTTTTTGTGTCTCTATCTCCTTCAGTTCAGCTCTGATCTTAGTTATTTCTTGCCTTCTGCTAGTTTTGAATGTGTTTGCTCTTGCTTCTCTAGTTCTTTTAATTGTGATGTTAGGATGTCAAGTTTAGATCTTTCCTGCTTTCTCTTGTGGGCGTTTAGTGCTATAAATCTCCCGCTACACACTGCTTTGAATGTGTCCCAGAGATTCTGATATGTTGTGTCTTTGTTCTCATTGGTTTCAAAGAACATCTTTATTTCTGCCTTCATTTCGTTATGTACCCAGTAGTCATTCAGGAGCAGGTTGTTCAATTTCCATGTAGTTGAGCGGTTTTGAGTGAGTTTCTTAATCCTGAGGTCTAGTTTGATTGCACTGTGGTCTGAGAGACAGTTTGTTATTGGAAAACACTCTGCAGGATATTATCCAGGAGAACTTCCCCAACCTAGCAAGGCAGGCCAACATTCAAATTCAAGAAATACAGAGAACGCCACAAAGAAAATTCTTAAAAGAAGCAGTGAAGATGAAGCCTAATCAAAATAATAGGTAGAAACTCTACATGAGATGATGCCTGGTTTTTGTTAATTTTCATAATATGGTTTCTATAGAATAATAAAGGAAAAATTTATTAGTAGTATCTTTTTTTAACCAATAATTTTAGTGTAGAGATCAAAGAGTGGTTCCACTGAAGTGTCCTAGAGGTGCTGAGAAATTGATGTTTATTTGAAATATCCGGACAGCCAACAAGGTACAGAGGACCTGCCTCTGTGTGTGCTGGATGCTGGGAGTCAGAGGAGAGGCAGAAACCCTAGTCAATCATCCTGGTGTCTGTGTTTGGGCTGAATAGAGAGCTCTGCTCACTGAAAGCTTGAGCGCCTTTGTCACTGGCAGGCATTATTTTACTGTCAAACGTTATGAAAGAGAGGAAAATGCAGGGAGGCCCCTTTTTAGAATTGGGTTTTCAGTGCAGCTGTGCTCATATTTAAAAATTATTCTATGATTTTTCAATTTACTCTCCTCTGTGGCTGAGAATGCTTGAGGGTTGTGCTGAAGAGAGATTAGAGTCAGGTAATACAAACTAAAAAAGAAGTTACACTTGTTTTCTGCTATGGTCGATATGAAAAATTATTCTACTTGGATGAATAGAAACCTAATGTTCTGAGAAACACAGGCATGATAAAATGTAAATTAGATGGCCCTATTATATTCAAAGGGAAATTCAAGTTATATTTAGAATTGGGCTCTTTCCAGATGCAACTGAATGACAAGCCCTGTGTGTCCCAAAAGAAACAATTCCTATAGACAGAAAAAAAGGAATAAGGCCTATATCTTTATTCCTCGTTTTATGGTGCATGGTGAAACTTTTGGAAGCTAATCATTTTTACGTATCATAACTACTGCAGTAGCATTTACCAAACACATTTCCCAAAAAAACTGTAATCTGAGAAACCCTTGTTTTCTGATAACTATTACTAGGATCCTGTAGCCAAAAATTGCCCCCAAAAAGCATTAATGTTGGTAACATACTTATTCTAGTAATTTGTTTTTGACATATATATAATTTATATACTTATTTACTTGCCTTTACTTGATGAACAACCCTCTGAGAGTTCCAGATGTTAGATGAGAGATGGAGAGACAGCCTGCTGCTTTGAGTCCCAATATCTCAATAGACAAATAATAAGAGCAACTGACACGTAACATGCAGTCACTGCCAGGCCCCTGATTTAAGCTGTTTACATATTAATTCCTTTAATCCTCACAATATGTGAGGTGGGTGATGTAACTACCCCCATACCAAAATGTGAAGCTATCCACCCCTTGGTGAAAGGACAGTAATTTAGATAAATGGATCAAAATAGAAAGATGTTCATACAAACATAGTCACCTGATTTTCAACAAAGGTGCAAAGTTGGTGCAATTCAATGGGAAAAGGTTATGTTTCTCAACAAATGGTGCTAAAACAATACAACCACTAAATGCAAAGATTGAACCTTGACATACAAAGTAATAAAACTTCAGGAATAGTACATTGGAGATAATATTTGTGACCTCAGACTCAGCAGAGTTTTTAGATACATCACCAAAAGCAGGACCCATAAAAGAAAAAAAAATGTAATTTGAACTTTATCAAAATTAGAAACTTGTATTGCTAGTTTTTAATTTTCTATTAAGAAAATGAAAGAAAAGGTGAAGACTTAGAAGAAGACATGTATAAATCATATTTATGGCTAAATACTTGAATCCAGAGTATATAAATAATGATAAAATCAATAATAGGATACAAATCAATAAATAACTGACAAAGACTTGAGACTTATTCACAAAGAGAACATATTTCATGGGTGGCAGATAGACTTATGAAAAGATGTTCAGCATCAATAATTACGGGGGAAATGCAAGTTGAAGTCACAATGACATACCACTGCGTACTTATTAGAATTGCTAAAAATAGCATAACATAAAATTGATATTAACAAGTGCTAAAAAGGAGGTGGAACAACTGAAACTCTTATGCATTACTGGTAGGACAATCAAACAGCATAGGCAATTTGTAAGACAAATTGGCAGTTTTGCAATTTATTTTTAAGTTTTGTTTTGAATTATAAAAAATGAAATTACATTTTGAAATTTTTGTTCAAGTTCAAATCATTTAAGCAACAAAATAAATAAAGAAGTATTGGGTTATAACCCAAAGTAAAAATAAACATTCATGAGTCCATACTGATATAAACAAATGATTGAATGAATAACAAAAGGCTTACTTCAGGGAGTAGAAAGGAGATGGGGGAAAGGGAGAGTTTGGTCAATGGGTGTAAAATTACAGATAGATAGAAAGAATAAGTTACAATTTTCTATTTCACCGTAGGGTGTATGTATTAGTCCATTTTCACATTGCTGATATACCCAAGACTGTAAAGAAAAAGAGGTTTAATTGGACTTACAGTTCCACATGGCTAGGGAGGTCCCAGAATCATGGCGGAAGTGAAAGGCACTTCTCACATGGCAGTGGGAAGAGAAAAATGAGGAAGATGCAAAACCATCAGATCTCGTGAGACTTATTCACTACAATGAGAACAGTGTGGGGGGAACCACCCCCATGATTCAAATTATCTCCCACAGGGTCCCTCCCAAAACATGTGGGAGTTATGGGAGTACAATTCAAGTATGAGAGTACCCCCAATTCAATCATGGGAGTAAAATGGAAGATGACACGGAGCCAAACCATGTCAGTAGTGCAAAATAGCTAGAAGAGAGGATTTTGAATGTTGTCAACACAAGGAAATGATAAATGTTTGAGGTGATAGATTTGCTAATTACCCTGATTTACTCATACAATCTATACATGTAGCAAAACATCACATGGAACACCATCAATATGTACAATCATGTGTCAATTAAAAAATAAAACTTAAAACATAACATAATTTGCAGATGTGCTTGAGGTTAAAGATCTTAAGATCGGGGGGTGGATTTTCCTGGATTATCTGTGTGTATCCAATTTATTCACATGAGTCCAATTTTTTTTCATTGTCTGCATTATTTATCTATAAATAAATGAGGTATATTAAATTTTTTTCATTATGACAGTTTTTGACACATTGTAATATAGTCCTGTAAATGTTTTACTTTATATGTTGGCTTAGAACCATACATGTTTAGAATTTTTGGTCTTCCTGGCAATTTGACATTTTCATCAATATGTAGAGATTTTGAATCTTCACTAATACTTTTTGTCTGAAATTCTATTTTTCAGTTATTAACATAACTTCACCCTTTTTTTTGTTGGTATTTACCTGTTATATCTTTTTCTTTCAGCTTTCTGACTGTTGGTTTTGGTGACTGTCTTGTACTTCACATATATCTGGATTTTTTAAAAAACACTAATAAATACTACCTTTAATTGGTGTGTTTAGTCTCCTTTTTTTTTTTTTTTTTTTTTTTTTTTTTTTTTTTTTTTTGAGAGGAGTCTCTCTCTGTGGCCCAGCCTGGAGTGCAGTGGCACAATCTCGGCTCACTGCAAGCTCTGCCTCCTGGGTTCATACCATTCTCCTGCTTCAGCCTCCCGAGTAGCTGGGACTACAGGGGCCCACCACCACGCCTGGCTAATTTTTTTGTATTTTTATTAGAGACGGGGTTTCACCATGTTAGCCAGGAAGGTCTCGATCTCCTGACCTTGTGATCCACCCGCCTCAGCCTCCCAAAGTGCTGGGATTACAGGCGTGAGCCACCGCGCCCGGCCATGTTTAGTTTACTTATTTCTTTTTGTACATAAAGGGCTGTGAGTTCATGCTCCTCATTACATTAAGTGGTAGGTTTACTAAATATGTTATAGTAATTGCTCATAAAAAGTTAACTGCGGCAATTTATATACTATTAATCATCAGATTTTGAGTACAATTTGATGGGCTTTGAAAGTGTATAATCTCATGAAACTAACAACCCAATCAAGACATAACAGCATTTCCACGATTCCCAGAAAGTTCCTTTATACCCCTTTCTAGTTAATTCTTCAGCATCAAGGCAATCACAATTCTGATTTCCATCACAGTGATAGCTGAAATTTTTTTTTAAGTATTTCATATAAATAGAGTAAATAAACTTCTCTATCTGGCTTTGTAACATGTTTGGTTTTGAATTTCATTCATGTTTTTATACTAATAATATGTTCATTTTTATAGCTTACTGTGCTAATAAACCACAGTTTATTTATCTACTCACCCCTTAATTGACATTGGAGTTGCTTCCGTATTTGGACTATTATGCATAAGCTGCTATGAACATTTTTACAAGGGCTTTTTTAGACATGTTTTCTTTTTGATGGGTAAACAAATATTTAATGTTATAAGAAACTGCCAAGTTGTTTTGAAAGGATGATACTAAAATCTCACCAGCAATAAATAAAATTTCTGCTCTGTACATCTTCACAAGGATTTATTGTTGTCAGATGTCTTAATTTTAGCCATTGTAGGGAATATATAATGTTATTTCACTATCGTTGTAATTGATACTTCCCTCATTACTAATGGTAGCGAGCACTTTTTCATGCAATTGCTTGCCACTTATATCTTCCTTTGTAAATCTATCTTTGAAGTTTTTTGCCTGATGGTAAATTCACATAGCATTTTCTGAAATGTTTATTATTTTATATTTTTGTCCCTGATAGATCAGTTCACTAGGTGTGCAATTCTAAATTGAGTTTTGTGGATTTTTGTCCTCTCGTGCTGAAAACATGGTTTAATTTAATTCTAGAGTCAACTGATCTTATTTGAGAAGTTGTCAGGTTGTCATTCATTAATAACTAATATTTCTTTTTTATTTGGCTTCTTTTGTTTCTAGGTATGGGTTTTTGTTTGTTTGTTTTGTTTTTTTGAGATGGAGTCTCGCTCTGTTGCCCAGGCTGGAGTGTAGTGGCATGCTCTCGGCTCCCTGCACCCTCTGCCTCCCGGGTTCGAGCGATTCTCCTGCCTCAGCCTCCTGAGTAGCTGGGATTACAGACATGCTCCACCATGCCCAGTTAATTTTTGTATTTTTAGTAGAGACGGGGTTTCACCGTGTTAAGTCAGGCTGGTATCCAACTCTTGACCTCATGATCTGCCTGCCTCAGCCTCCCAAAGTGCTGGAATTACAGGCACGAGCCACCACGCCTGGCCTAGGTACGGGTTTTTTACTTGCTTCAGATTCCCTAGTATCTCCAAATTGCGAAGTATGATTTAATCATTTAAAGACAATCTCTCCAATTTTAAGTCTCTTCAATAATTGCATTTTCATGGCCCTCTTTTTCTCTTTACTTAAATAAGTATCTTATAGTTTATATGATTATATTAATTGCAATCTGTGATTATTTGTTTGATTGTAGTAGAAGCTATTCATTTCCCTCCCCCCACTTCCTCATATTTCTCATATCTGTCAGATCCTACTATTTCTATGTGTTCTAGATACTTAATATCTATAAATCTATGTCTGAGTTGTTTATTTTGCTAAACAAAAACAACAAACAAATAAACAAAAACAGAGAAGAAAGACTATCTGTTCTGCTCACTTAATGGCAGGCCTAAGGTGGTGGAATTGGGACTATCTAGATACAACACGCAATAACTTTTAAACAGTAATTTTTCTTTAAATACCCCAAAGCGTCTCATCTCTCACATGGGATAATTCTTTGATGTGAGTTTTATTCTATTTTTAAAATTTTCCCATGGGATTAATTTTAATTTTGATTAAATTTTTATTTCCATAGGTTATTGGGGAACAGGTGGTGTTTGGTTACATGAGTAAGTTCTTTAGTGGTGATTTGTAAACCCATTGTGTCATTCTTATGCTTTCTCATCCTCATAGCTTAGCTCCCACTTACGAATGAGAACATACGATGTTTAGTTTCCCATTCCTGGGTTATTTCACTTAGAATAATAGTCTCGAATCTTATCCAGGTTTTTGTGACTCCCATTAATTCATTCCTTTTTATGGCTGAGTCATATTCCCTCATGTTCCCCAAACACTGCATGTTCTCACTCATAAGTGGGAATTGAACAATGAGAACACATGGACACAGGGAGGGGAACATCACACACTGGGGCCTGTCAGCGGGTGGGGGGCAAGGGGAGAGAGAACATTAGGACAAATACCTAAAGCATGCAGGGCTTAAAACCTAGATGACAGATTGATAGGTGCAGCAAACCACCATGGCACATGTATACCTATGTCACAAACCTGCACGTTCTGCATATGTATTCCAGAACTTAAAGTAAAATTAAAAAAAAAAAAAAAAAAGAAATCTCCACACTGTTTTTCGTAGTGGTTGTACTAGTTTACGTTCCCACCAGCAGTGTAGAAATGTTTCCCGACCACCGCATCCACGCCGACATCTATTTTTTTTTTTTTATGGCCATTCTTGCAGGAGTAAGGTGATATCACATTGTGGTTTTGATTTGCATTTCCCTCATTATTAGTGATATGGAGCCCTT
This sequence comes from Homo sapiens, assembly GCF_000001405.40. Taxonomy (NCBI): domain Eukaryota; kingdom Metazoa; phylum Chordata; class Mammalia; order Primates; family Hominidae; genus Homo; species Homo sapiens. The sequence continues at coordinate 12,219,188 of NC_000009.12, forward strand.
TTTAAAATATATATTATATATATATATAATTATACTTTAAGTTCTAGGGTACATGTGCACAACGTACAGGTTTGTTACATATGTATACATGTGCCATGTTGGTGTGCTGCACCCAGTAACACCCAGTAACTCGTCATTTACATTAGGTATATCTCCTAATACTATCCCTCCCCCCTCCCACACTCCACAACAGGCCCCAGTGTGTGATGTTCCCCTTCCTGTGTCCAAATGTTCTCATTGTTCAGTTCCCACCTATGAGTGAGAACATGCAGTGTTTGTTTTTTTGTCCTTGCGATAGTTTGCTGAGAATGATGGTTTCCAGCTTCATCCATGCCCCTACAAAGGACATGAACTCATCATTTTTATGGCTGCATAGTATTCCATGGTATGGGGCATTTTTTATATGTTTGTTGGCCATTTGTGTATCTTCTTTTGGGAATTGTCTATTCATGTCCTTAGCCCACTTTTTGATGGGATTGTTTGTTTTTTTCTTGACTATTTGTTTGAGTTTGTTGTAGATTCTGGATATTAGTCCTTTGTCAGATATATAGACTGTGAAGGTTTTCTCACTTCCTGTGTTTGTTGGCTGCCCCCCACCCCCCACTTTTCTGTAACAGTTTCTCCATGCCAATCAATATTCCCTGCACTTCACAAATCTGCTACTTGCTTTCCTGCAAATTCCCAGTTTCTGCTTCTGGGAGTATCTAAACTAACAAATTGAGTTCATGTTACCATGCTTAACACATCACATCTGATTTTCCAGATATGAATCAGGGCTTAGCTTCTGAGAAGTTAGTGTACATATAGTCTTCTGATACGTTTTGATTATGGAATAGACATTCCACTTTAGCATATGTTTTGGTGTAAAGTTCTGTTAATTCCCACATATTCATATTTTACTTGCCCTCTCCATGGCTATTCAGAACTCCCCAAGGTGTAGTGTTCTTTTTTTTCTCCTAAACTGCATTTATATAACTGATAATCATTGATCAAATTTGTGGAATTATTTGACTAGCCTACGATTTTCTGGTGGACGAATAAGATTTAAAAAAAAGAGGAGGCTTTCTACACAGCTTTATTTGTCCCCAAACTCTTCAATAAATAAGAGTTGAAAAATGATTAATAAATAGGTGTGTGTTTTTCTCAAACTGACTCTGAAACTTAATATTTTAGAATGATATTTTTGCGGTCACTTTGCATGTTTACACTATTTTCCCATCAGTACAGAAAAATAAAATATTTAAATATCTATTCAATTATATCTGGCCTTGTTTTCAAAGGCATTTTTGAAAATTTCTAAGGAAACAAAATAAAACAAGATATGGTAAACTACAAATAGGCCTTGAAAGAGGGAGTAAGATATGAAAGTGAATGAAAATAAAGACAAAATGTATACATTCGAGGCCCATGGCTCATTTATTTTCTGTGACTCAGAAATTTAGCTGTAATGTACCTTTAGCAAATTTAGAGATTACCCAGTTAAGTATTGTTATTCCTGATAAGCAAAACAGAATATTCAGAAAGAGAATATTTGTTAATATATGCAAAATTGCTTCTATAACATTTTATATACATAGCAATAATTTTCATAAATTCTTTCAGACAAATGATTGGAATTTTCTTAAAACACAGAGATTAAATAGTTTTTAATATAGTTTAGTTATATATTTCATTAGTATAATGACATAATTTAGCAAAAGATTTAGAACTTATTAAGGAACATATTCATTGCTTTTAATATCTTATATTAATTATCTTTAGATTTTTATCAAAAATTATTTCACCATGTTTGATTTTCAAATCCAAAAGTGATATAGAATACATAAACATACAATTGACAAACAAAAGTGTTTTATTGGCTTTGGATAAACGTATATTATTTTAATAGTCAGCAAGGGCCAGGCCCAGTGGCTCAGGTCTGTAATGCCAGCACGTTGGGAGGCCAAGACAGGAGGCTAACTTTAGTCCAGGAGTTTGAGATCAGCCTGGGAAACATAGCAGGACCTTGCTCCCCCAAAAATAAAAATTCAAAAACTAGCAGTCATGGTGATGTGTATCTGTAGTCTTAGTTATTCAGGAGGCTGAGGGGGAAGGATTACTTGAACCCAGCAGTTTAAGGTTGCAGTGAGCTAAAGCACTAGCATGCCACAGCACTTCAACCTGGGCAGCAGAGTGACCCTGACTCAAGGAAAAAAAAAAAAAAAAGAAACCAAATTATTTTGTAGATGTGGAATGTCAGCAGACTTTAAACATGTTCTCTGTGATTTATCTGCTTTGCAAATTGAAATGAAAATGATTATTTCATTATGACAGATTATGATAAATAAACAGGGAAGTGATTTTCTGCTAGGAAAAAGCCAGAATATAAAAATTCACACCAAAGTATTTTCTAAAATGTTGATTTTCAAGCACCCAGCATTACTGAGTCATCCCTATTCTGATTTCTGTTCTCTGTTGGGAATGTTTGAAACTGTCTGATTTTTTTTCCAGTAATGTAGCAGGGAGCCATTTATAACTCCTCAGTAAGTATGCTTTATGTACAATAGCTAATATGAGAGCCAAGGCAGCAAATAGCTGTTTGAAATGCCTTACAAAATCCTCAATTCTATTGTAAGAAATAAAATGAACCAAGAAGAAAACTCCCTGTGGTACGGATCAGCTACTCATTTGATTAGTGTAAACTGGCAGGAATGACATTATTTGATGGGAAGATTTTGTTTATATGTTTGAAAGAACAAAAAGGAATCAAACAACCTGAATAAAAAGGATTTCTTTATGCAATAGACTTATGAAATACACCCTGTATTCTCAGTCAGAAAAAAAAAAATCTCATTAATATATATTCATGGTATTTTATTTTTCTGTCTCTATATATTTCCTAAAAAGAAGTTTCAGCTTGATTATTCTAAATAGGTAATTATGGTAAGACATAAAGTCTTTTGGTTGCATTTCTTCACAAAGTATTTCGTACTTTATAGTTGATATACGAAGAGATAAAATAAAGGTCTTAATTATAATGTAATCCAGAAACCAAACAAAATGAAATTCAACAAGGAAAATCTCTTTAGCAGTATCTCACCTTTTAAAATGATAACTTTTTGTGTATAACATGTTATACATATTCATTTTAGAAGATCATTAAAAAGTATAAGGAAATTAAATTTACCCATAATGTTCCAAGACATTGTTTGCATTTAGATTTAGGTCTCTAGTCTCTTTACTCTAGTCTCATTAAATTGGATTTTTTTCAAAAATTTATCTCTACCCTCAGTCTCTCTCTCCATTTAAAAATTTCCTCACATTATCAAAATGCTTAGAAAACATGGCTTAAATAACCACATATTATTACTTCCAGGGGATTTATTCTAATTTAATCTATCTATTAAAAATATATGTGTTTCCAAATTTTCACTCTTAAGTGATACATAACATTTTGTTCATCACTTATTTTATAGAATAAAGTCCTAAAATTAAATTTGGGGCAAAAACATGTATGTTCTTATTATTTTAATATTGACAAAGTAAGCTCAAAACTGTATGCAAAATTATAATCACTACTGCCCAACAATAATTTAATGATATATGATTATAAATTAATGGGTGAAAGATAATCTTTGTTACCTCAGTAAAAAAATATAATTTCATAATTGCTTTAATTTTTAAGTAAAGCCTATTAATTTTGAATTTTAACATTTTTCTCCAAGGAATTTTAACAATTTTCCATGTTATTAGAAAAAATTAATATTATTCTAAGTGGTTTATGGATGCATTTTTTATTGGAATGCTTCTTTTTCCCTTTATGATTTGAAAGCACCATTTAATTTATAAACTGTCACTATTTTTGGTCATACATATTATAATTTTCTAAATAACCCATCATTTTAATTATACTTTATTATGCTTATTATGAGGTACATAAATGCATATGTGATTAATGAAATTGTCTTCTTTTTTCTATTTATTCATTCAATGCTTCAAAAGGTCTACTGTGTTTAGAAATGATGTAATCATAAATTATGGTTTACATGTATATATATATGTGTATATATATATACATATATATATACACATATATATATATATATAACCATTGTAATTCATTGAGATAGCTAGGGTTCTCATTATACTTACATTTTAATTGATATGTCAATTGAGTTTAGCTTTTACTTGGGTCCAGCATTTATTCATCTAATTTTACACCTTAATAATTTCTAGGTTTTTTGTGTGTGTGCTTGTCCAGAGATAAAACTTTTTTCAAAAGTAAATATTTTATTTGTTGTTAATCACATAATGTATATTCATATAACATTTGCAAAGCTGGCTCAGCTATTGTTATGCACATTATCTGCATTCTTATCTAACACATTTCTATTTGATCTCCCAAAGTCTCAGTCACATGTGTTGAAAACTCCTGTTAATATTTTGTTCTCTACAACTAAAGTATTTTTGACATAGTTTATAACTATTATAACACAATAGTAAGTTAATTATAACATTACAATAAAATCTTGTTTTACCTATGAGGATATCAAAAAATGTGGATAAATTATAAAGTAAGTTAACTGAATTTTACATGGAAGGGAAACAATTCTATAGAAATATGTTGTCTAATATTAGAAAATCCATCAGTAAAACACTGTAGAAGTAGACAAAAGATACTATATATATATATATATATATATATATATATATATGTAATTATTATTCCAATTGATGGAGAAATACAATTTGATGCATTTTAACACCTCCTGATTATAGGTATTTTTATTTGGGAGGTGATCCTAGGAAGGTAGAATGAGAGAGTGGAGGAAGTGAAACACCAAAAAGAAAAAACTAATAAAGAACGTGTGATGGAGCTGACTAACACCTTGTGCAACTGGGAATTTCAGACCATTTCTGAGGAATCTCATAAAGACAAGACCAGAATAGTTCCTCCAAATGATGAGGCACTTTGAAAGAAGATCAGCTATTTAAGCTTCTAATAATTGTACATGCTACTAACGTATGAAAAATATTCTGTTATCAAGTTGAAACTAATACAATTAAAAATGAAATCTATGGAATTACATGGCACATTATGGTACAGAAGAGCAACAATTTCAAGTGATCTCTGACTGTCTTACTCCACTTGTGTTACTATAAAAAATACCTGAGGCTGGATAATTTATAAACAAAAGATGTTTATTTGGCTCACACATTTGCAGGCTGTGCAAGAAGCATGATGTCAACATCTGCTTCTGGTGAAAGCTTCAGAGAATTTCCACTCTTGGAGGAAGGAAGGTGAAGTGGAGTAGTGTGTGCAGATCACATGGTGAGAGAAGAAGCAAGAAGGAGAGAGGAGGAAGTGCCAGGTTCTTTTCAATAATTAGTTCTCACAGCAACTAACAGCCAAAACTCACTCACTGCTGTGAAAATGGACCCAAACTATTCATGAAAGATCTGCTACCATGACCCAAACACCTCCCACCAGGCCCCACCTCCAACATTGGGAATCAGATTTCAGCATGAGACTTGGTGAGGACAAACAAACCATATCCAAATCAAAGCACTGACCGTGAGAAGAATCTTCTAATTGAAAACGGTCTTATATTTTCTCAAGAAAAAATAGGACCTTTTTATACCGTCGCATGGTTGTTTTAGACAGAACTAATTATGTAATTATATAAAGTACTAAAGTACTCTGATATTTCTAATGTCATACCAGCTAGATATCATCAATAGTTGAACTGAGATTATTTCTATGAAATTGATAGTTTATTAAAGAGAAAATATTGGCATAACTATCTACAAAAATAAACATCCTATTCTCAGTTAATTTTTGTTATGAAAGAAAAAAGATTACATAAATATGTCTATGAAATTTATGTAAAACATAGATTGTAAACAAGTACAATCATTTAGAAATATGATAAATATGCATACCTTTTTATAGGTTTTATTAATGCAGGCCCATGGCTTCTGAAAATTTGTTCATTTGAAATAAAGGGTTTTGGATAAACTGAAAGTATACATATTTTTTATTCTGAGAATAATTTTAACTTTTCCCTGTTCATTTTCATTTCTCTGTCCATGAACAGTCTTTTTTTTTTTTTTTTCTGGAACGTGTATCCACTTGCATATGTCCTTCTTTCTTTTAAGTCCAATCCTAGTCTGATCCTCCAATCTTTAAATCCACTTTAATGAATTAATAAATTTGAAAATATTCTCAGAGAATAATTTCCAAAGTAGTGTTTAGAAAAGGTACAGGAATTATACATACTACAGGAAATCCAAAAGGATCTACAGACAAACTCTTAGAATTAATAAGAAATTTTACCAAAGTTTCTGGAAATAAGATTGATTTTCAAAACTTAATTTTACCAAAAAATAGCAAATATAATTTTAAAATATAGTTTTATAACATAAAAAAATTTTATATCTTGAACTAAATGTAATAAAACAATATTCTTTACTATACATTTTTATTTTTATTGTGTGCTATAGATTTTTTGATATTCTATTATAGAATACATATGGGTGTATTCACTTTTCTGAAAATGTATCCACCTGTACCCTAATGAACTGTGTGCTTTTCAATAAAAGAGGTTTTATAAAAAATAATTTTTATTACAACTTTTTTCCAAAAGCTTAGATGGAATTGTAATTTGTGCTTATAATAAAATTGGCAAACATTTGTCATAAACGAAAAATTGTCATCTGTTTACTGTGAGGCTTAAGATAATGTGGAAGCACATTAAAAATAAAAATGTAAGGTCATATTTCTATTGATGCTGCTCTAAATATTTCTTGTTTTTATTTTTACAAATCAAAACGTATCTTAACCACTATTTTGCATTTTTCCAAAACTAAAATTGAATAATTGAATTACACATATGTATTCTATACTTACACATTTTGAGGCATCTTGATAGTAATTATTATTTTGATCAGTCACAAGTTTTACCTATATAGCTTCACTACCACCTGAATAAGTTAATTATTTTGCAATGTTTAGAATTTTAGATGTCTGTTTAAGAAAGCAGTTGGTTGCTTAACATAATACCAGAGGCTTTGTACTTTTGTGAGCAGAAAATTAAATTTAAAGAGACAAGTACTCCTTGTATTTACTTAATAGTACCTCAAGTTTATTATTTCAAGGCTATTCTTTGTGTCTGTTTGTGAGACATGTAACAGAAAGAAGATAGAGGTTCTGTTTCATTTGCCCTGCATAAAGATTTGCCAGCTGAAACTTAGTAATGAATTCTGTAATGTCTACCACTTTGATAGGCACTTTGAAAAACATCTTAGGTTTCTAGAATTTTTACATCTTTTTATACTAGTTCTCTGACAAAGTTTCTTTTTTAAAAAAAACCTAAATTCAGATTAGAAGCCAGTACAATTATTTAGGGGTGTTCTAATTATACTGCTTATCCTTATCTGTGACCTCAGTGGATTGTCACTGTATATGCCCATGCCAATTTATTTTCTATTCTCTCTCTATCTCTCCCATTATGGAAAATATAAACATACACAGTTCCCAGCGCTTCCATAATAAGATTCCACAAGCTAAGTGGCCTTAAACATTAGAAATGTATTCTCTCATGGTTTTTGATGTCATACTCTCCTCCAGTATGACATCATTTTTACTTAACTAATTACACTTGTAACAAATTCATTTCCAAATAAGGTCTCATTCTAAGAAACTAGGGGTTCAGGCTTTCATGTACTTTTTTTTGGCAGGGGGCCACAATTTATAACAACAATGTAATACATGTTAGAAAAAATATAATACTTAGACATCAAGATTGAAAATAAGTTGCACTATATTTCTGCAGAAAATCAGGGGGAGAATGCAGGATCTTTCCCCTCTACCTGAACTTCATAGGTTAGCATGCCTCAGGACTAGCTCTTAGCCCTCATTTCATTCCTATCTATGCTCTTTCCCCAGGTAATCTCATTCTTAAATACCATCTCTATGCTGTTGATGACTCCTGGTCTGACATCTTTCTGTTCCATATGTCTAATTGTGTATTCAACTTCATTTTCCACTTGGATATCTAATAAGTATCTTACACTAAAATTTTCAAAATAGTGATTTATTCTATCATTCTCAAAATAAAACAAACAGAAAAACAATAATAACAGCAAACACATGCACCTCTCCGGTATTTTTCTTTATTTAAGTTAATGGGCTCACTATTTCATCATTTTGTCCAACCAAAAAACTCAGAGTTATCATTGCTTCCTGTCTTTCCTTTCTACTTACATTAAATTCATTCGAAAGACCTCATGACACCAAATGAAATTAAAATCCCTAAACTTAATAATCCTCACCATTTCCACAGATCCACATTCTTGTTTGGTTTCTTGAAATAGATTCCAAAATTTTCTACTTGTTTCTACCTTTTATGTATACCTTATTTATATTTATTTTTATACATATATTTATTATTTATATATACTTTATATATACTTGTTTTACCCAAGTATAGACTCTACACTTAGCCAGTGAGATATATTTAAAGCACCACTGAAATAATATAATCCTATTTGCTATTTTTCTCTGACTCCACATTCAAATTAGGATAAACCCAAGCATCTTGCATTCTACAAGGTCTTATGTGATCTTGCAGGAAGTTACTTCTCCAACCTCATCTCCAGCTACTCTCACCCCAGTTCACTATACTCACTGCACACTGGCCTTGTGCTTCTTACTTTCCTGGGAACCTTGTACGTGCTGTTCCCTCTTTTCTGCAGATCATTTCTTGATTTGTTCCTCATGGTCATTCAAATTTCACCTCAGATGTACTCTTGAAAGTCTTACTCAACTGATATGACTAAATTAGAATCCTCAAATCCTTTAACAATGCCAATTATTTTTTATCCATTTCACTGTTTTACTTTTCTCTAAAATATTTAACATTATATGAAATTGTCTGAAGTGGATAAGGAATTACCTTATTTTTAAGGTTCCTTTCTCCAGAATCTAAGTGCTGTGGGGACAATGATTTGTTTCATTAATAATTATATTTCCAGCCATTATCCTTTGCCACTGGCTCTATTGTTTGAGGAAATTAATTTTCTGACTTCGCGATTATTTCACCTTAAGTACGTTATAAGAAAAATAAAATTACTTCTTCGACTATATACCACTTGTATATTATTAATATAATTTATCTTCTATTCTGAAAGACTTTTTATATTAATTTTATGTGTAAAATTTTGTTTCTGCTAAAAGTTTTTCTCCTATCTATGAACAGAAAACATTTATAAATTGCATTCATGCTAGTTTTGAATCTGGCTTTGCTCTTTTCTGAATATGTCACCTTAAGCAAGTCATTAAACCTGCTTGCATTTTAGTTTTCTCATCTAAAATCAGGACAAAAATAGTATTTACTTCTATAGACTATTTTTAAGGTTCAATGAGTGAATATCTGTGGAGCTTTTTGCTATAAGTACTAGATGAAGTTGGCTGATATTATTACTTTTTACTATGAAAATCATTAATTTATATGACATTTAAAAATAAAATTCAAAGAAACTTTTCTATGCATTCAGATTTAATTGGGGTTTCTCACGTTTTCATATCTTCTCTTCTAAATAAACTCAGTGTAAAAAAAGTTTTCTGTGAACTAGATGGGTGTCACTTGATGTGACAAAATAAACAACACTAACAGAAGTGATATTCACCAAAAAAAGCATAGCATGAGTCATCCATTTCAAGAGACAGAAAATTAGGGTACGTTAAGTATCAGTGCTTTATAAAAATAGTAATAGCTAAGAAGGAAAGAAAATCAAGTTTTCTGAGAAAATTCTTTAATGCCTTACAACTCATGAACTTTCTAATCAGTAATTCTGTTGGTAAGGGAAGAGTTTTTGTCTCTCCTTATGGTTGGATTTTTTTTTCCGCCAGTTAGCAACTAGGCTAGCATATAGTTTGAATTTTAGGTTGATCGTATACTCCCCACTCCCTCATATATACACAGTTTGACTTTGGAACTAATTGAACATTTGATATTTATATGAGTTTTGTTACTAAAAGTTGTGGAATGGAGAATTTTGAATAACAGGAGGTAAACCCTGGTTAGGAAAGAGCTCCTGAGGGAAAGTCTTACCTGCATAGTAAAACACTTAATGAAGGTCTTGTTTCATACTATAGGGGCAAAAGAGAGAGACAGCAAGGAAAGGGAAGTGCAAGAAAGTGAGAGGAATAATAGGTAGAGAGATACAGAGAGAGAGAGAGGAAGAGTGAAGAGAAATGTGAAACACGGTTTTGAATACATCAACTCCACCTTATTGTAATATGTGGTCAGCAACTTAAAGACTGATTTATATTTCCCAGTGTAGATAACTTAAATGCTTCACTCATTCTCCAGTGAGGTTATAGAGCAAAAATTTAAAATGCTATTGTTATTCTAATAAAATCTTCTTATGGGCGTATGAGGAAGTGAAATAAACTTCCTTCTTAATATATATTATCAAACATGTTAGACACAAATTTTGAGAATTGTCTTGTTTCAATTAAGAACAAAAAGATGAAGAAAAACAAACACAAAAAATTTCCGGCTACACCTGTCCTAATAATGATGCATAATATGCCAAATGTCTTCTAAAATTACCAGTTGTCTAATCAACTACAGCAAAAGTAAATGGACAAACTAACTTATAAATTGCAATGTATCTCTGCATTACCCTTTAAACAAAATAACTTTCCAGGTTACAAAACTGTTTAAACCGTTTATTCATAATTAGGAAGAAAATTCTTACAAAACATATTTATTTGTCTACCTTGTATATTTCACAGATAAATATGGCCATATAATACAAATACAAATTATATTGCTTGTAGTCTTACAGTTTATAAAGTTTATCCTTTTCAGATGCTTGTCTCACAGAATCCAGTAAAATAAAGATATTTCAATATTCTGATTTAAATATCAGGTAATTAGGTCTTAGTGAGTTTATGTAACTTAAAATCAGATAAAAATTTTTAGGTTCTAGAACATAATTGCAATTTTGTTTTTCCCAATTAACCAGAGTCTGTGTGTGTGTGTGTGTGTGTGTGTGTGTGTGTGTGTGAGAGAGAGAGAGAGAGAGAGAGAAAGAGAGAGAGAGAGAAAGAAAACCTGTTTTTGTGTGTATAAAAGAGAGAGAAATAAATTTTGGCTAACTTAAGAAGAGGTGAGAATGATGATTATGGGCCCAATGACGACAAGAAGTAGAGTATGCTGAAATATTATGTAAATCTAAGTGGATGCACCCACGCTGAATGAGCAATCTATTCTCAGGGAAGAAACTTATAATGTACTACCCATCCTAACAAAATGGAGAAAAAAAAATCTTCTCTGCAAAGCAACGTCAGTCAGAAAATATGCAGAAGACAAGGAGAATAACTTCAATCTTTGGAATACAAAGTACATAGATTAAGAATATAGGTATGTGTTGATATACAGATAGACAAAAACCATTCCTGGATTAGTGAGGAAGTGTTATCTTGCAGAGAATGTCAAGGCACATGCCAGGTAACAAGCTAGTAGCTACTCAAAGATATGTGTCCAGGTCATATTGCATTGCCCAGCCCATCAGAACCTCCAACTTAATAGTAACTTATAAAGATGTATCTTTTAATAAATTTATGTTGACCTATATTCATTGTTATCATCACTGATTATATAACAATATATAATAGAACACAGATGGTTCCTGCTCTGAGTTCATATGCTTACTAAAAATGAAACCAAAACCAAAAAACACTAAACTGAAATTTATGCTGATTGTATTAGTTTGTCTCACACTGCTATGAAGAACTACTTGAAACTGGGTAATTTATGAAGAAAAGAGTTTTAATTGACTCGCATTTCCACAAGCTTAACAGGAAGCATGTAGGAGACCTCAGGAAACTTAGAATCATTGTGGAAGGTGAATGGGAAGCAAGCACCTTCTTCACATGGTGGCAGGAGAGAAAGAGAGAGTGAAGGGGAAAGCTTCACACACTTTTAAGCCATCAGAATTCATGAGAACTTACTCACTATCATGACAACAGCATGAGGGGAATCCACCCCCATGATCCAATCACTTCTGATCAGGTCGCTACCCCAAAATTGGAGACTACAATTCAACATGCGATTTGGGTGGAAAAAAAGACCCAAACCATGTCATTCTGTCCCTGGACCCTCCGAAATCTCATGTCCTTTTCACATTTTAAACCCAGTTATAACTTCCCAACAGTACCCCAAAGTCTTACCTCATTCCAGTATTAATCCAAAAGTCCAAGTCTAAAGTCTAACCTAAGACAAGACAAGTCCCTTCTGACTATTAGCCTGTAAAATGAAAAACAAGTTAGTTACTTCCAAGATACAATGGCAGTACAGGCATTGGATAAATGCTCCAGTTTCAAAACAGAGAAATTGGCCAAAACAAAGAAGCTACAGGCCCCATGCAAGTCCAAAATCCAGCATGGCAGTCATTAAATCTTAAAGCTACAAAATAATCTCCTTTGACTCCATGTCTCACATCCAGGCCACAATGATGCAAGGGATAATCTCTTAAAGCCTTGGGCAGCTCTGTCCCTGTGGCTTTTCAGGGTACAGCATCTGCGGCTGCCTGAACTTACAGGCATTTCCATACTTCCTCTGAAATCTAGGCGGAGGTTCCCAAACCTCAACTCTTACCTTCTGTGCACCCACAGACTCAACACCACATGGAAGCTGCCAAAGCTTATGGCTTGTCCCCTCTGAAGGAACAGCTTAAGCTGTACTTTGGCCCCTTTCAGCCATGGCTGGAGCTGGAGCAGCTGGAACACAGGATGCCATGTCCTGTGGCTGCACAGAGCATCAGGGCCTTAGCCTTGACCTGTGAAACCATTTTTTCCTCCTAGGCCTCTAGGCCTATGATGGGAGGTGCTAACACAAAGGTCTCTGAAATGTCCTGGAGGCATTTTCCCCATTGTTTTTGCAGTTAACATTCAGCTCCTCTTTACTTATGCAAATTTCTGCAACCAGCTTGAGTCCCTCCCTAGAAAATGGGATTTACTTTTCTAGTGCATGGTCACAATGCAAATGTTTAAAACTTTTATGCCATGCTTCCTTTTTAAATACAAGTACCAGTTTCAGATTATTTATTTGTTCATGTATACGAGTATATACTTTTAGAAACAGCCAGGTCACCTCTTGAATGCTTTGCTGCTTAGAAATTTCTTCCACCAGATACACTAAATCATTTCTCTCAAGTTCAAAGTTCCACAGATTTCTAGGCCAGGGGCAAAATGCCACCAGTCTGCTTGTTACAAGCAAAGCAAGAGTGACATTTATTTCAGTTCCCAATAAGTTCCCCATCTCCATCTGAGATTTCTTCAGCCTGGACTTCATTGTTCATGTCATTATCAGCATTTTGATCACAGCCATTCAACAAGTCTCCAGGAAGTTTTAAACTTTCTCCCATCTTCCTGTCTTTTTCTTAGCATTCCAACTGTTCCAACCTCTGCCCATTACCCAGTTCCAAATTTGCTTCCATATTTTCAGGTATATTTATAGCAGTACCCCACTCCTGGTGCCAATTTTCTGTAGTAGTTTGCTCTCACACTGTTATAAAAAACTACCTGAGACTTGGTAATTTATGAAGAAAAGAGACTTAATTGACTCACAGTTCTGCAGGCTTAATAAGAAGCATAACTAGGAGGCCCAAGGAAACTTACAATCATGGCGTAGGGCAAAGGGGTATAAAGCACTTTCTTTACATGGTGGCAGGAGAGACAAAGTGACAGAGTGAAGGGGAAGGGCCATACATTTTTAAACTATCAGATTTTGTGAGAACTCACTCACTATCATAAGAACTACATAGGAGAAACCTGCCCCCATGATCAAATCACCTCCCACCAGGTCCTTCCTCCAACACTGGGGATTATGATTCAACATGAGACTTGGGTAGGAACAATGAGCCAACCCACATCACTTATATAAATAGAAGTTTTTGAACTAAGGTTTCTAAGAACAAAGAAATTAAAAAATAATATTTTAATCTATATTCTATCGCTAGATTTTGTTGTAAATAATTACGTTCAGTTAAATACTATGGTTAGGATGCTTTTGGTTTCAAGATAAAGAAGAATAAAAGCTTAAATAGTAAGACTTTTTAATTATCTTACTTAATGAGATGTCTGGATGTAGACAATTTCATGATGTGTTCAGCTATCTTTTACATGAGAATAGATACTTCTTTTTTTCTGTAGTCCTCACCACGTTGGCTTTTTCTACCCACACTCAGTGTTGTATGTTTTCAGATGACTCTATTGTATATCCTCCCACAAGCACACTTCAAGAGAGAAAATGTGGAACATAAATATGAGGGGTACTTTTCATGTGCTACACTCCTTTAATATAGGAGCAAAATTGCTTGCAGAACCCTCTGGCTGACTTATTCTGATGTATCTGTGAATGGAATGGAGGCAGGTAGCTACCTCTTAATTCAGAAGAATTGAAATACTAGCATCTGGCATTGAATCCTTTATGGTTAGAAGTAGGCAAAAACCAAAAGAGTTGAAAATATCTGTTTGGATGACAATTGTATTAATCATTATTGCAGTTCATCAATATTCGGGTACTCTTCCTTCCTGGACTTTATCCCCTGCAAGTTAGGCAATATGACTTACTTTATCAAATAAAATATTAGCCTAGTGATCTGTGGGTGTGCCTATAAATTGAAACAATAAGAATTGCTAGGAAATCCCCTATGTCCTTTTCCATTGGCTATAGGTATTCAGTGTTCCAATTGCATTTGAGATTGAGAGGAAATTGAGATATTAAGTTTGTTTCTTACTGTATCATAATCCAGCATACCTTGACTAATTCAGAAATTTCTCTAACAGCAATGATACTAGTAGCCTGGGGGAGGTTCCCAAATTGAGGTGGCACCTTGACCCCAGCTGGTATTCAGGGTCTTGACACCATCTCAAGAAGTAATTTAAGGATAGTCATAAAATAAAGTATAGATATTTATTGCAAAGTGAAAAGTATATACCTAACAAAGAGTATTGCAGACATACTCAAAAGAGAGTTGCACCCAAGGTGGTTTGAGGCTGCTACCTTTATGGGTTTCTTTAACCAAGGTGTGAAATATTCATGAAAATTCCTCGAGAAAGTAGAGATTTCTCAGAACTGTGGTGTTATTCACTTCTACACGAAATATGGTGTTTTTGGAGCAGTCATAGTGCTGGTGGGTGTGTGATTTAGTATGCTAATGAGTATATAATTAGGTCCTAGGTGAAACCCAGGTCAAATTCAGCACTATGTTGGGTCTAGTCAATCTTAGCCAGCTTGGTTCACACCCTGTTTTGGAGGGTCTTATTTGCCCATAGCCTCTGCAGCTATTTCAACAGCTTCCTTTTGTTTAGTCATGTGAAATTGCTGCCTGAAATTTTCTATTCTCTTGTGACCAGTCTGTATTATTTCTGTCTTAGCAAGAGGAAAAAATAAAAATACGTGGTTTTGCTTAAATGGCAGGCAGTGGGTAGTAAGGCAACTGTTAGAGGGTGGACAGATGGAGACCCATTTCATGAAGTGGCCAAATTCTGGTAAAACAGTAACTCAGAAGGCAGATCATATAATAATGGACACGAAGGCTCAGAGGAACAAGTCGGGAAAACAAATGTTAGCAGTTGTGTGTGGGTTTTTGTTGGCTGGTTTTGGTAAGGTATTTTCAGAAGGCAACAAGTTCAGAAAAGAAATGATAGTCTTGCAAACACAATTAAAAGGGCATTGAATTCAGAAATTCAGGGCCTTGAATGTTAGATAAGCTGTACACATTTCAGAACCAAACAATGGAAGATAGAAGTGAGAAGCCTTTGAGCAACAAAGGCGAATTTAAAATCAGCCATGTGGCATGTATAAAATTAAACATATAGGTGTCCCATCCATGGTTATCAATATATGAATGAATTGAGGGTATCAAAGACAAATCCAGACTTAATAAAGACAGACTTTACTCAAATAGACTATTGTAATAGAGAAAACTCTTTTATTTCAGAAATCTGCATAAGTTGCATAAGGAAACAGAAAAAGACTTTTCTTTCATAGGGAAAGGTCACCAGGGTCAGCAGAAACTTTTAAGGGGAAATTGGGCAAGAAAGTATGGATGAGCAGACAGCATAAGCAGAGTGATCTGATGGGAAGCATGCCTCCCAGTGTTCAGCTGACTATCAGCATACACTACTAAGAGGGGCATGTTCTGCATTTTAATGCTTGCTCAAGCTCAGGGGCAACCCCAAATTCAAAGGCCTGTGGGAAAGAGATAAGGCTTTCCAAATTTTAGTCAAGACATGGCAAAGGGTAAGAAATGAGCAATTGTGAGCATAGGTCAGTCCCTCCCTGCCCACCCTCACCCCACTCACCATAGTTTAAGACAAACTACATTTGTCTTTAAACACTACTAAGGATGGAATAGGAATCATGAACTGAGATGGGTCAAAGTAGTTTTTAGGGGTTGAGCCAGCCTTCACATTCTCGTTGGCATTAAAGGACTAACTGTATCATCTGCCAACATGTAGTTCAACTGTTGTCGAAGGATCTTAGAGATCAGGTTTTTAATGAGAGCTATGGCTAGCAATATCGTAGAAAAAAAACTATTAAACATGAAATAGAGGAGTAATGCCAAGATTTGTGGTTCAGATGGTGTCAGTTAAGAAGATTCTAGAACATTGAAAATATCCTTAAATAGTGGGTAGTTTGATGAATTTCCAAGTTTGTGGTCTCAATATTTTTAGTTACAGCATGTATATTAGAGAGGTTTCAGGAGCACATGCACAGCAGTTGAAAAGCCGGAATCATGCCGAAATGTACAGTCTTGTAGACAGTTATTCACTGGAGTTTCTGGTCTGAATATTTTTAGTTAGAGCATATATATTAGAGAGGTTTCAGGGAACATATGCACAACAGTTGAGAAGCCAGAATCATGCCCAAATCAAGACCATTGTAGAGAGCCATTCACCGGAGTTTCTGGAGTACTTTGGCAATGATGTTGGTGGCTTTGGTAAGACTTTCTGCAGTCTTGGTTATTTCAGAAGCAAACGATTGAATATGTACAAATTCCAGCAAACTTCCTGACCAGTCCACAACAATTGCAGGCAGAAAGTTTGCTCATATGTGATCTGCTGCAGTGGTCTTTTAAGTTTACTCTCAATCTCTTATCCTCTTGTTCTAAGGCTTCTTAAGAACCTAGAGAGAAAAAAAAGGTCGTAGCCTCCTTCTAGGATTGGGATTCTGTACCTAACCTTGCAGCTATAACATGGTTTACAGAACTTTTTGATTGCCCAGTGCCTAGGAAACTTGGATGTAATAGATTAGTTAAAGTGAGAAAAGAAAGCAATTTAGTTAAAAGTTTGATAATGGCTAGTAAAATTAGCCAGATAACAGGATCTAGTACAATTGTCAAGCAGACATCAATAAGCACCATTACTTAATACAGTGTGTCTCATTAGGGACTGAACAGGATTCACAGGTGTAATTGTCCCATGGATTTGCACCTTAAAGCTCACATGTGCCGTTTTGATAAGGATGTTATTATGTCCAAATGGGAAATTTTCAGATTGAGGAAAGTCATGTTTGTTGTTCACAAGACAGTACCAATCATACCAGGCAAAATTATGCTTAGGATCATCTTTAAGATTCATATAACAGGGCAATGTACTCTTATCCCCCATAATAATACTGTAGTATTTGTATCGATGGAAAAGTAGGGGCAATTGCAAATACTTAAGCCCACGAAAAGGCCTTTGGTGATGTGGTGGAAGCATAGATTGCCCTATTGAAAAGTATTGGTATTGAAGAAGGAAGAAGACTCCTTTTGAAGTGTAAAAGAAAAAGCTAAAGGGCTCCAAAGTGATAATACAAAAAATAAAGGATTATCTTGCTAGGATTTCTGTAACAAAATGCTGCATAATGAGTGCCTTAACCAACAGACATTTATTTTCTCACATGTCTAGAGGCTAGAAGTCTGAGATCAGAATGTTGGCAGGGTTGGTTTCTTCTCAGGACCATGAAAGAAATATCTGTTCCAGGCCTCTCTTCTAGGTTTATAGATGCCATCTTCTCCTTGTATCTTCACATAGTCTTTCCTCTGCACATATCCCTGTCCAACTTCCCTCTCTTACAAAGATACCAGTCACAGTGTATTTGGGTCCATTTTCACAACTTTATTTTCACTTAATTCTGTAAAAATTCTATAATATCTTCATGTACAATCATATTCTAAAATGCTGAGAGTTAGAACTTCAGCATGTGAATTTTTGGAACAGAATAAAATTCAACACATAACAAATGCCCATAAGCCTAATACTGGTATAGGAATTAGGAATAAACTAAAGGCTTCCAAAGGAAAAAAGAGTATATAATCAGCAATTAAAAGTAAGGTTTTCAAGTTGTGCTACACGTGGAGTGAAAGAATATCCATAGATTCTGGGGTTCCTATAGAGTACAGAGATGGAATAATTATTAAAGAAGCTTTCGTGAAGAGGAGAAGGAAATACTACAAGGATTCATTAGGAAAGTCTGCAGTTACAATGAGGAAAGTTATATGGACAGCAAAGGTGACAATGGAGGAACATAGGAGAAAGAAAATGGTAAAAATATATGTATAGGAACGAAAATCTCACAGTGTTTTGTTCCAACATTGTTGGTAAAGCTGACTATGTTGTGATGTCTGTCATCTGCTTGGTGGGAAGTTATGGGGAAAGCTGTCCAATTTGTTGTGCAGACATTGTATTCTAGCAGGCTGAAAAAACAGAGCATGGTTTTTATGGTTTCAGGTCTAACATTTAAGTCTTTAATCCATCTTGAATTAATTTTTGTATAAGGTATAAGGAAGGGATCCAGTTTCAGCTTTCTACATATGGCTAGCCAGTTTTCCCAGCACCATTTATTAAATAGGGAATTGTTTCCCCATTTCTTGTTTTTGTCAGGTTTCTCAAAGATCAGATGGTTGTAGATATGCGGCATTATTTCTGAGGGCTCTGTTCTGTTCCATTGGTCTATATGTCTGTTTTGGTACCAGTACCATGCTGCTTTGGTTACTGTAGCCTTGTAGTATAGTTTGAAGTCAGGTAGCATGATGCCTCCAGCTTTGTTCTTTTGGCTTAGGATTGACTTGGCAATGCAGGCTGTTTTTTGGTTCCATATGAACTTTAAAGTAGTTTTTTCCAATTCTGTGAAGAAAGTCATTGGTAGCTTGATGGGGATGGCATTGAATCTATAAATTACCTTGGGCAGTATGACCATTTTCCTAGAGGAAAACCTAGGCAATACCATTCAGAACATAGGCATGGGCAAGGACTTCATGTCTAAAACACCAAAAGCAATGGCAACAAAAGTCAAAATTGACAAATGGGATCTAAACTAAAGAGCTTCTGCACATCAAAAGAAACTACCATCAGAGTGAACAGGCAACCTACAGAATGGGAGAAAATTTTTGCAATCTACTCATCTGACAAAGGGCTAATATCCAGAATCTACAATGAACTCCAACAAATTTACAAGAAAAAAATGAAAAACCCCATCAAAAAGTGGGCAAAGGATATGAACAGACACTTCTCAAAAGAAGACATTTAGGCAGCCAAAAGACACATGAAAAAATGCTCATCATCACTGGCCATCAGAGAAATGCAAATCAAAACCACAATAAGATACCATCTCACACCAGTTGGAATGGCGATCATTAAAAAGTCAGGAAACAACAGGTGCTGGAGAGGATGTGGAGAAATAACATCACTTTTACACTGTTGGTGGGACGGTAAACTAGTTCAACCATTGTGGAAGTCAGTGTGGCCATTCCTCAGGGATGTAGAACTAGAAATGGATTAAGAAAATGTGGCACATATACACCATGGAATACTATGCAGCCATAAAAAATGATGAGTTCATGTCCTTTGTAGGGACATGGATGAAGCTTGAAACCATCATTCTCAGCAAACTATCACAAGGACAAAAAACCAAACACCGCATGTTCTCACTCATAGGTGGGAACTGAACAATGAGAACACATGGACACAGGAAGGGGAACATCACACACCAGGGCCTGTTGTGGGGTGGGGAGAGGGGAGAGGGATAGCATTAGGAGATATACCTAATGTTAAATGGCAAGTTAATGGGTGCAGCACACCAACATGGCACATGTATACATATGTAACTAACCTGCACATTGTGCACATGTACCCTAAAACTTAAAGTATAATTTTAAAAAAAAAGGGCATGGATTAGCTGAAGGTCTCAAATTGAGTTGAACTTCCATTCAGAGTAGCTTTTATATCCTTTTAGTTGAGAGCCATAAACTCAAGGTTGGAATTCCTGGAGTTTGCAAGAAGACTGTTTCAGATAGAAGTAAAACTTCATCAATGTTGACAGGAGAGATGATTTAGTTTCTTTCTCCCAGGTTGAATGATCTTGTAAAGGCCAGCGACTAAATTTCAAGTGAGAGAGCCGAGTGGCCATGTGGGTGTCTCCAAAGTAGGTCTGGGAAGGTAAAGCATCCAACTTGTTTCCAATTGTTCTTTCACGTTAGAGGGCTTTAAATGGGGAGATTCTAAGCTCTTTAGTTAGGGGCTCAGTTGGTAAGTGTAGTCATTTAAGATTTTTTCTGGTTGTGTTGAAACTGGAATAGATTTGTAAGCTGCCAGGTAAGCGTATTGTCAGGCAGTGACTTTTTTCTTTTTTTTTTTTTTTTTTTTTGCTTTGGGGTTTTGTTATCCATGTGAGCTTCTACTTTAAGTATGTGCAACTCCTTTGACCATCACAAAGCTGCTAAGGGGACAGACACTTGTGTCCATTTTTAGTTGGTGTCCTCAAAGTTGTTAAAAATCCTCTGGTTTTCCATACAATACTAAAATCATGTACTATCCCAAAAGCATGTTTACTCTCTGTGTAGATATTAACTCTTTTCTCTTTAGCCAAAAAGCAAGCTCTTAGGAGAGCTAAAAGTTTAGTGATCTGAGGTGCCTTGTGCCAGGTAGAAGCTAGAAGCCTATGTTCTATGGAGTTCTAAAAATTGTAATGGCATAACTTGCCTGAATTTTTTTTCTGAGGGGCAGAGATATGAACCATCAACACAGAAGTCAAAGTCTGGATTTTTAAGGTGGATCTCTGAGTGATCAATATTGCTGAGGATTGAGGCTTGAATTTCATAGTGCAACCATGTAATTGTTCTTCATTGGAAGAAGGAAGATAGTGGCAGGATTGAGATTTTGAGAGCAGTGGATGTTAATATAAGAAGAAGAGAGGAGAAGAATTTCATAAGAGGTGAAGCTAAAAAATGCTGGTGTTTTCCATTAGGATAAGGGCCGGAACTGCATAAAATAAATAGATGTTCAAGGTACGATCCAAACAAGGTCAGCTGTGGTTTGAACTAATTTCACAGTTGCTGCAACTGCTTTCAAGCAAGAAGGGAAACCTTGAGTTATAGTATCTGGAATGGGGTTAAAGTATCCCATTGGCCTCTGATTTTCATTATGTTTTTGAGATGTCTAAGGCATGTCCTTCTCTTTCATAAACACATAGGGAGAAAAGCAAAAGGAAGTTAGGAAGCTTTAAAGTGGGCATGGAGAATAGAAAGATTTTTAGAGATTCAAATTCTTTTAAAGAAGGTGAGTCCCCCTGAGGTCGGGAGTTCAAGACCAGCCAGACCAATATGGAGAAACCCCTTCTCTACTAAAAATACAAAATTAACAGGGCATGTTGGTGCATGCCTGTGGTCCCAGCTACTTGGGAGGCTGAGGCAGAAGAATCGCTTGAACTCAGGGCGAAGTTTGCGGTGAGCCGAGATGCTGAGATCGTGCCATTGCACTCCAGCCTGGGCAACAAGAGTGAAACTCTGTCTCCCCGCCACAAAAAAAAAAAAAAGTGAGCACCATTGTAAAGGTTCAGATACAATCTCTTTAGTCACACCATATAAAAGGAATGCTATAGCAGAAAAGCTAACAATTCACATTCTACAATTACTAAGCAGCCCCGCAAAGTCCCTAAACTATCTCTTGGTTTGGGGCAAGGTTTATTTAATAAATGTCTTGATAAGATACGGGGATAAGGATTTTTCCCTGAGGATAAATAATCATGGCTTAAATTGTACACTTGAGGGCACAGGAACAGAACTTTATCTCTTGAGACCTTATGTCCCTTCCTAGCCTAGACTTTAAATAAGTACTGGGTATCTTGCAAAGAATTATTGAGTGCCTTAGAACAAAGATGGAAAGTATCTACATGTTATATTGAGGACTAAAGTGCAAGGGGAGATCAAATTCTTTAAATTTGCAGTTAATGTCTGGGAAAATTAAGCGAGGGCTTCTATAAGTCCTGAGGCATAAATAACTAAGCATATTCTTGATTTTCTCATGTAAAAGAAAATAGGGAAATAGGTTAAAGGGACTGTGAGAAGCAGAGCACAGTGACAACAGTAAAATGAGTGGTGTTGGAAGGTATGGAAATAAGGATAGCAATAGTGGGTTTGAGATCAAAGGGAATCTTGATTTACATTCCTTTTTATGACTTGCAAGTCTTGGACCAACAAGTGACGTTTCCTGCTTTTTCGTTTGTTTTGTTTTGTTTTACAGAAAATTGGTGCATTGAGGGACTACAGGTGGGAATAATCAGTGCTTTGTCAGCTTGGATAATAGGTTTTGAGACCTTCAATTGCCTCAGGTTGTAGAGGATACCAGGGCAGTTTACAAAGGGTGCATACTAGGGCCTCTCCTCACCTTTAAGGTACCCTACAGTTGTGCCCTACATCTGGAAAACCATAGCAAAAGTGATCCAGGAAGGCATGTGGTGAGGAATTTTGAATGTGGGGATTTTTAATGGCTTGGAGAGTATTGAACTGGGCAAGAAAACTGGGGTGATCTATCAGAGATATCAGAGGCTAAAGACAAATTGAAGAAAAGTTCAGGACTTCAGGGTTAGTTCCTTAGGTGAACATAAAATATTAACATTCCAATGAGAGAGGAGATCTCTGCTTAACAGATTAACAAGGGTTATAGAACTTAATAAAATGCTGTGTTTGGCATTATAGGATCCAGAAGACACAGAAGGGAACTTGGAAAGGAGAAAATCTTATAGTAAGTTGTCTACCTTCATCTTGCAGATAGTTTGTATACTCTACTATTTAGAGAAAATTTTGAATTGTTAGATTCAAGGGCTCCTAAGAGATGAACATATTTGGGGAGATCTCAAGAAATTTAGAGAGGTGATTATAGTTTCAAATTATACTGTGTGAAAATGCCATTTTTGAAGAAATTAGACAACGAGTGCCATAGTGGCAGGGCATATCATCAGCAGGGGCAGAGAAGACAGAATGCCATGAAAGTGAGAATTACCCATGAGATTAGGCTTGTATTCAGATAACCAAAGAGATATCACAAAAGAGCCAGGAAGATCCTCACGTAGCAGAAAAAAGCTAAGAAGAGTCCTGCTCAACAAGAGCCAGGGATTAAATCTCCACTTGGAGGGAACCAAGAAGACCTCTACCTAGGAAAGGTCTTGCTCAACAGAAATGAACTGGGAAGAGCCTCATTTAACAGTATCAAAATAACTTCTTATCCCACTACAAAAGACAAATATCAGGAATACTGAATTAAGGTTTGCTACTCACCACCATGGATTCTGATTTGCCCAGCTAGGAAGGATGCACAGGGTCAGAGAAGCCAGCATCAAAACCTGGGTGAAGATGGTATAGATCAAGGCACAATCAGCAATCAACCTGACTCAGCACCAGAATCTGCCAAAGAAAAACTAATTCAGACTTAGATAAGAAAGACTTTATTCAAAATTATTGTAATATTGAGAGTGCTCCAATCTCAGAAATTTGCTAGCGTCTCAAAATCAAACAGAAAATGTCTTTTCTCTTATAGGAAAAGGTAACCAGGGAGAGCAAAAATTTTTAAGAGGAAATTGGGCAGGCAATGGGGAGTGAATAGAAGGCATGACAGAGGAGTCTGATAGGCCAATTCTCTTTTTAGCTGTTAAAGAGAGTAAAGTATGCATTTTAGTGCTTGCTCAGGACTGAGAACAGGACTAACACAAGGCCCTGTGGGGAGAAGAGAAGGCTAACCAAAGTTTAATACAAGGCAAAGGGGGAAAAATGTGCAATTTTGAACTCTTGGTCGGGGTCTTAGAGTAAAGGGGACTAAGGATGTGGTGGCTGTAATTCCTTTAAATTAAAAAAAGAAAGCTCGGGGAAAGGGGACAAAGGGAATAACTGTCCCACCTGAATAGAATTGGCTCAGACAGCTATAATTAAATCAAGAAAAGAGAAATGGGAGGAGGGATGAGAGACTAAGAAAAGATAGCAGTCTGGAAGGAAATTGTAGTTAGTGATTGTTAATTTATATATTTTATCCCTCACGATTTACCTATCAAAATTTCCATTTAGTATTTAAAACTCTGTGTATATTTTATCTTACCTGGAAACCCTTTCTTGAATTTAAGGATTAGCTCTTTTTCTTTCCATAGAACATTTATAACTGTGAATAATTCTGTCACAGCATTTAAAATAATATATTATATTTACTGGGTTCCTTGGAAGAGAATTCTTTATTTTCTCAACTTTAATCACCATTACATTGACATTCAATATATGCCAGTTTTTGTTAGTTTTTCTTTGTTTTGTTTTTTGTTTTTTGTTTTATGAGACAGAGTGTCTCACTGTTGCCCAAGCTGGAGTGCAGTGGCACGATCTCACTGCAAGCTCCACCTCCCGGATTCACGCCATTCTCCTGCCTCAGCCTCCCCAGTAGCTGTGACTACAGGCGTCTGCCACCACGCCCGGCTAACTTTTTTGTGTTTTTTTAGTAGAGGCATGGTTTCACTGTGTTAGCCAGGAGGGTCTCCATATCCTGACCTCGTGATCTGCCCACCTCGGCCTCCCAAAGTGCTGGGATTACAGGCGTGAGCCACCGTGCCTGGCCCAGTTTCTGTTAGTTTTTATTGACATCCTTATATTGTCTTTACAAAGTCTTTAGGAAATCATATTGTTATTGAGAAATATCTGTACAGGGTAATACTATAGGAAAACTTTTTTATATACAGTATCAGGTAAGAAATATACTTTTAGCGTATGATTTTAATAAGGAAGATTTCTATCAATATAACATCAGTGAATAGGTTTGGAAGTGCAGAAATGATTGCAACTTTACTACTTATACCTAAGAGTTAAATATATTCCCAAATATCTATACT
Organism: Homo sapiens; assembly: GCF_000001405.40. NCBI lineage: Eukaryota > Metazoa > Chordata > Mammalia > Primates > Hominidae > Homo > Homo sapiens. The sequence continues at coordinate 12,244,372 of NC_000009.12, forward strand.
TTACACAGGGCATAAATTACTATGATGAGGTTTTGTAAATTCAAGCCTAGTGGCCCATCAAGAACTGTATAGATTTTTCCTTTTATCCTTATATTATGCCTATATGACAGAGCTATAAATAATTATTAATAAATATTATTAATTTTAGGTAAAATAAAATATTTTATTTTATTCCATCTTGCATAAATGTAGTATATGGGACTATATTATTAGATGCTACTTTCCTTTTTGCCCATCACTGTAAGTTTTGCTTCTCTAGGCTTTTCCTTCTAATGCCTCTTCCTCAGGACACTTTGAAAATTAGTTGTATTTCTGTAAATACAATTTAGATTCCTTAGGGAGCAAGCACTAGGAAAATGAAAAGCGTAATATGTTTATTCAGTAAATTGTTACATTAAATCATAATATACACAGATGTTTATTGAGTTTGCAAAGTATAGAAACCACAAATATATCATCTTAAAATGGAATCTTATAAAAACGATTTAGGAGGAAATTGGCCACCATTAATATTACTTTTTTAAATCCTCTACTTTACCTTTAGCAGATGTCCATTTATGTTTGCAGTTCCAATAATATAACTTACATTCCATTTATTATACCTTAATTTTGTTATATTGGTTATTTCCCTTAATAAATATTATATAGGGAGTAGTAATTCTTTCCTTTCACAAACAATTATTACAATTTTTTAGCTTTATAGATACTTCCAATTTATGATATCTGACTAAATAGAATGGGTTCACTTACTCCTTAAATTGAAATTACAGAATAAATTTAAGTAGGCACTGTAGTATTAAAAAACTGTGAATATTATCATGAGCAAACCATAGACACGAGAATTTTTCTGTACATAAAACTCATAGAATCCGATAAAGTAGTAAACCCAATAGAGCTGATTAATTTATAGCCTCATGTTATCCAAAGACCTCAGAATAAAGTTGTGTGTATCCTGAGCAGTGGCCAGAATAACTCAGGGTCTGAGATGGGAAATGGGCACTGGAGTAGTAGTACAATTACTTGGCTAATTAATTAAATGGCTTTAAAGTAAACTGATTCAGACTCTCCTCTTAGAATTTCCAGTACCCAGTGTTTTCTACAGGGCTGAAGCCACAAGGGCTAATGCTACAAGCTACTGCCTAAAGAGACAATTTTTTTTTTGAGACACAGTTTCGCTCTGTCGCCCAGGCTGGAGTGCAGTGGCGCGATCTCGGCTCACTGCAAGCTCTGCCTCCCGGGTTCACGCCATTCTCCTGCCTCAGCCTCCCGAGTAGCTGGGACTACAGGCGCCTGCCACCACGCCCGGCTAATTTTTGTATTTTTAGTAGAGACGGGGTTTCACTATGTTAGCCAGGATGGTCTCGATCTCCTGACCTCGTGATCCACCTGCCTCGGCCTCCCAAAGTGTTGGGATTACAGACGTGAGCCACCGCGCCCGGCCAAGAGACAATTTTTAAATAGGATGTGTTGCTGTCAGAGAAGAAGTGCAATGCCTCAAGTGACATAAACCACTGTTAAAGTAAAGAAACTCCATGTCCAGAATGTCATCTCACTAACAGAAAATTTGCTTAGCCACACATATTTGTCCTCAGGGGGACACAAATTATCATCTACAAGGCCTGGCACAGTGACTCACGCCTGTAAACCCACTACTTTGGGAGGCCGAAGTGGTGGATCACGAGGTCAGGAGGAGTTCAAAAGCAGCCTGGCCAAGATGGTGAAACCCTGTCTCTACTAAAAATACAAAAATTAGCTGGACGTGGTGGGGGCTCCTGTAATCCCAGCTACTCCGGAGGCTCAGGCAGGGAATTGCTTGAACCTGGGAGGTGGAGGTTGCAGTAAGCCAATATCGTCCCACTGCACTCCAGCCTGGGCGACACAGTGAGACTCCGTCTCAAAAAATAAAAAAAAAAAAATTTATCATCTACAGATAAATAAACGTAATTAAATTAGCAGAGCTACATAAATTACATCATAAATAAAAGTAATGTAACCAGTGTAGCTTGGGAAAATATATAAAAATATATAAAATATAAATGTATATGCACATAACTATATTTATATCTGATCATTTAAATAAGATTAAACTACAAAATTGTTTATTTAATACAAAACGTACACAATCACAGTCTTATTGTTTTTATCTTTTCCATGGAAAGAAAATATGTTAATAATCTCCTGATTTTTTAAAAAACTTCATAATTGCTTAAACTTTTCAGAAAATAGAGATTTCAATTTAATTTTTAAAATATATTTATTTATTGTTGTTTTAGAGACTTTGTCATACTGTGTTGCCCGGGGCAGAATGAAGTGGCTATTCACAAGCACGATCATAGCTCATTGCAGCCTGGAACTACTGGACTCAAATGATCTTCCCGCCTCAGCCTTCAAACTAGCCAGGACTACAGGCATGTGCCACAGCACCTGGCTTCAACTTAGTTTTTAATAGGACAGCGTATTATGAAGATAACAAATACAAGTTGTAGACTTCTTATTAGAGCTTAAAAATTACTCCAGAAACAAATGGTGTCTATAATTTGTGTGTGGTTTCACAAGGTTCTGTCATTAGAAATAACTTTGGGAACAAAAGCTTTATAATGCTGAATAACATGTACCCTTCCTCAGCTGTTAAGGGAAGGAGCAATTTATCACTTTTGTCTTACTGAGATTCCCTTCACAAGGAGGTAAGAAGGTCTGTGGCTTTCAAAGCTGTAAAGTGCTGATATTCTATTAGTTGGCAATGAAAGTCAAATATACTATGACTAGGAAACTGAAAACCTAAAATATGGAGAGAGAAGGGGCAGAATCAGGATACAAACTAATGGATGACAGAGATGGAATGTTTTATATACATAGCCTTCAAAAGCCTACTAAGATTTAAGTAGGCACACTGTATTCTTATGAGGATTAACTTTAAGCTTCAGCCTAGTCATTGAATATTCAAATAGAGACTTTTAAAAAAATACTTTATTTTTTAGAGCAGTTTAACATTCACAGCAAAATTGAGAGGAAGGTACAGAAATATGTCATTTATCTTCTGCACCCACATGATAACCTTCACTATTATCAACATCCCCCACCAAAATGGTATATTTTTTTACAATTGATCAACCTACATTGACACATCATATTTAAACTTAAAATGTGATAGTAGGAGCTGGAGGAAACAGAGTTTCTATAGATAATATTTTGGGATACTATGTGGGGAGGGGTGGCTTTTGTTTTTACTCCTGAAAGGAAGGACTTGGAAATCAGAAATTGAGGAAGAGTCAGAGGAGGAAAGAATGGAAAGCTGAGAAATGAGAAATGAAACTTGAACTTGATTTTAGAAAATATCATTAGCAAACCATGACTTTCTAAACACTATTTAATGGTAAATGCTTATGGTAAAACTTAATGGTAAAATTCAGTTGTTTCTTGCCTAAAGATCTTTCTGGCTGGGCATAATGGCTTAAGCCTATAATCCCACCCCTTTGGGAGGCCCAGGCAGGAGGATCGCTTGAGGCCAGGAGTTCAAGATCAGCTTAGGCAACATAATGAGACCTCATCTGTACTTTTTAAAACATTAGCCAGGCGTAGTGGCGCACAACTGTAATTCTAACTACGTGGGAGGCTGAGGCAGAAGGATCGCTTGAGCCCAGGAGGTCAAGATTGCAATGAGCCATGATCACACCCACTGCACTCCAGCCTGGGTGACAGAGCAATACACTATCTCTTAAAAATAAAAATAAAAAAGATATTTCTGATGTTGAAGTGTCTGGTAATTGTGAAACCCTGGCTTCAAACTCAAGCTCTGTGACGTATTAGCTGTATGATCCTAGGAGAGCTCCTTAAGCTCTCTCTGTTTAATTTTTTTATATATAAAGTGGTAGTACTACTAGGACATACTTTCATAAGATTGTTGCATGAACTAATGGATCTAATAGATTTAAAAATCTAAAATCAACACCCCAAAACATTGAGAGGAAATGCATACTGCTTTTAATTCCATATATTCTCTTGAACTGAGCTTGCAGAGCAACCACTCTTTTAAACAGTTGAACTGGGGGATACTTTTCAGCGGGTTTGGGGAAAGCAGATTGACATCTTTTCTTCCCCTTGGCATCACTACTGGGAAAGGAGGATCCTAAGCCTCTGACTACTTTCAAAGGCTTGTGTAATGGCTCTTCTTCTTAGATTTATACATCTTCTGTAGCACTATGCTAAACTTTTCTTAAAATAACTTGGGTGGTTCCTCTTCCTAACGTGTAAAATGTCGTGACTACAACAGTTATCTTGTATGATAACTTGTGGCCATGATGCCTTCTCTCAAAAACCTAAGCCTGAAATATTAACTTACTGTGTGATAATTTTAGCAATTTGATATGGAAATATAGACAATTCATAAGTCTAACGAATTTTTCTGTGATGTTTCAATAGGAAGATGAGAAAATGTAAAATTTTGCAACACAGATATTCCAAGTATTCCTTTTCTGTTGATCGCTGTTTATGTACAGAAACAGAGCCCATCAGCAGATTTATATTGATCACTCTGGTTTCTGCTGACAAGGTCTGTGACTGAGCCAAAATGCAGCTAATACCAAGCTAATACATGCAATAGAAACAATTGATACCCATTTAGAAATGTGTTTTAAAAGACACGTTATTTAAGATTTTGCTTAACTGCTTTCTGTTCTTTAACTAGTTTTTCAAAAGTGAGGGATGGGCTAAATACAGAGTTGGTTGTAATATTAATAACCACACTACAGAATTTAGTTTTGGCACCAAAATATTAAGGTTTCTGACACACAAAGCCTAAGGAAACCAAATATTATTTCCTATCTGGTTTGAATAATAATTCTATGTACTGGTTAATATCCAAGTACTCCTGAGAAAATGAGATCAAATATTACATATATTATGCTGATTTTCATAGCCTGGAGAATTTGTATGTATCTAGCTGTGATGAATTTTAGGACAGATAAATAGCTAGGTAGATGGTAGGTAGGTAGGTAGGTATATAGGTAGGTAGTACAGAGAGAGAGAGAGAGATGATAGATGAACACAATTAAAAATAAATGAGATACTCAGAGTGAAAGGAAAAGAGAGAAGTTAAAGATAATGTGTTATGAGAAGATCTATGCATAAAAGGGAATTGAATCTCAAAGTTCAAAGTTTTACGTAACATTTCAAGGATCTTAGATGCTACTCCGCTCTGGCCTTTCCATGGATCACCTTGGAATAACCCCTATAATATTGAGCTTCCTGCATCTAAGTCTTTGAAAGTTACTTAATTGTGGATGTTATAAACCTGAAACATCTTCGTTCTAACGCTATGTTACCATTAAATACTAAGTATGATGTTGTATATATCAGCTGTGAACATTGGATGTTGTGAGTATCCTTTTTTCCTGTGAAAATGTGGAACCCCCTCAGGGAAAGAACCTGAATTAAAACTGGTTCATATGGGAGTAAATGGAGGGATTACAGATTCAAAGCAACACCAGTGGATAATTTTTGCTTCTCTTATTATGTACAATTGAATTGATGATCAAGCTTTATCTCAGTACACAACTAGAATCATATTAGCTTGGAAAATAATTGAAGCACATATGGCCCAATGACCTGAAGTAATTAATAAAGAGTCTCTGGGTGTCTAATCCCGGCCATTTTTACCATTTCAGATACAGTGACTGTAATGTGTGACTAGGTAAATAAAGATTTTGCTTTATAGAATTATAAGCTACAAACCAGTTAAAAATTGGGACACATGGCCATGCTGGAAAAGTTTGGTAACTTCTTGTAAGGTTAAATGTACACTTGGCATAAGATCTAGCAATTATACTGTTGAATATCTAATGAAAAATTATGCCCACACAAACACCTGTACATAAATTTTCACAGAAGTTTTATTTGTAATAATTAAAACCTGGAAACCACCCAAATGACTCCAAAGGGTGAACATATAAACAAGTATGAATGATACATCCCAAAATAGGATGCTCAGTAATTAAAAGGAACAAATTATAGTTACATGTAACAACTTGCATTGATCTCAAGGACTTTATGTTGAGTGAAAAAAAGGCAATCTGAAAAGGTTAGATACTATATGATTCCATTTGTATATTATTATCCAGCTGACAAAATTAATAATGATAGAGAACAAATCAGTGGTTGCCAGAAGTTAAGAGAAGGGAGATGTTTACAGAGTAGTAACGTGAGTGCTGAAGTCTCTATCCTGATTATGGTGATAGCTACATGAATTTTATATGTAATAAAATTTCATATAAGTATAAATTCTACTTAAAAAACGAGTTCTTATAAAACTAGTGAAATCCAGTTGAGTTAATAGCAGTATACTAATGTAAATTTCCTGGTTTTTATAATATGCTCTAGTAAGGTAAGATACTTGTCATTAGGGGAAGCTGAATGAGAAGTACAAATGAACTCTCTGTATGTGTTTTTTAAATCTCTTATGAGAATGTACTATTTTAAAATAAAAAGGAAAACAAAATGAGACCAAATATTACATATATTATGCTGATTATCATAGCCTGGAGAATTTGTATGTATCTAGCTGTATATTTTGAATATATCTTCCAAAAACAACTAAATTTTGAAATAATCGGTCTGAAAATTATTTTTTCTGACCATAACTAGATTTTGGTATTAGCTGGTAATGACACAATTACAATTTGAAGTTTACGGTAATAAAAACAGGTCATAAGTACATAAGCTTTTTTTTTTCATTTTGTTTTTCATAAATAGGTGGCAAAAGTAGGATGGAAGACATCAAATATTGTATAATGCTTATGTACTATCAAGTTGTTCAGATAATGAAATAAATACTTCCTGGGTGCTGGTGGGAATATACTATATCTAATATATTACAGCATAAAAGTGTTATAGGGAAAAATTTTGGCATCATCAAAATATTGATAGATATGGAAAAAAATGAATTTTTAGATAATTTCCGAAGATCATCCTGGTGTATCTCAAATTTTGTGTCTGATTGTTGATTTGATTTAAAATGGACTTTTCACTGAGTTTTGTTCAAGATTTCAAAGGTCGTACTTTCCAAATAAGAATTACCTGATCTTATTACCTGTACATCTTTATGGTTATAACAGTAGTCTTTGTCTAGAACGATATTATTTGTGTGTGTGTGTGTGTGTGTGTGTGTGTGTGTGTGTGTGTGTGTGTGAATGTTTCCAGATCTATCTAATCAACTACTATAGTAAGACAGAATGTAATTCTGCATCGATACTAGCTCCATGGAAATCATCAAAAAATTCGCATTGTATATGCTTATGAGAAGATATTTGTACCATTGTCCATTCTTTGTATGATAGAAAAGTACTTGAATGTGTTTCAGGAAATGTGTTCATAAGCTCTTCTTGCTTTTTCTCCTCCCATAAATAGCATCACATCACTGGCAAATCATTCTAGGTCTCATTCCTTTATCTGACTTAAGAAAGTTTTAGGCAACTTCTAATATCATTTTCAGCTCTAACATTACACATTTTGTAACTTTAATGCAAGACAGTAATATGCTTAAAAGTATGTGTTTTATTGACAAATAGTTCAGGTCTTAGCACTATTATTCACTATGTGACCTTCTTTAGGAAAGGTATTCAGCCTCTTTATATCTCTGCTCCTTTGTCTTTCTGACACAGGGAAAATAATGTTTATCTCATAGGTTTCTTGTGATAATTAAATGGCATTCTGTATTTAAAGTGTTTTGCAGCTGGGTGTGGTGGCTAACGCCTGTAATCCCAGCACTTTGGGAGGCTGAGGTGGGTGGATCACCTGAGGTCAGGAGTTTGAGACCAGCCTGGCCAACATGGTGAAACCCCGTCTCTAATTAAAAATACAAAAATTAGTCAGGCGTGGTGGTGGGTGCCTGTAGTCCTAGCTATTTGGGAGGCTGAGGCACGAGAATCTCTTGAAACTGCGAGGTGGAGGTTGCAGTGAGCCTAGATCTCACCACTGCACTCTGGCCTGGGCAGCAGAGTGAGACTTTGTCTCAAAATATAAGTAAATAAATAAATAAATAAATACTAAAAAATAAAGTGTTTTGCATATAGTAAATATTCTTTACGCATTATTATTATAAATTAAAAATAGATAGTTGGTACCAAAATAGTGCATAATAAGGCAAGTTTATTCCATTGAAATAGTTCACCTCTAGAAAATGGCAGATTCCAGAAAAAAACCTCATGTTGACTAAAGAGAAGCACCATTTAATTAGCCAGTTTTCTTCAAAGTTGATAGACTTCTCCTTTTATTTCATTTGTTTTGTAAAAAAACCTGAAAGCAGCACTCACTCAGTGAATCTTTGAGGAAAGAAGTAGAAAAATGAATGCAGCTGCCAGCAAAATAAAATCTGTTCTTCACTTAGGGGGAAAAGTGGGAGGAATTATAAGCTGTCCCTTCACTCATTCAACATATATTATTGAATTCCTAAAATTTACTAGCAACTGATCTAAACCCTGAAGTGATAACAGGAACTACTTCCCGCCTTCATGGGGCTTACACTCTAGTGGGGCATGCAAACAAAAAACTGAATCAGCAAGTAAAATACATGATATATTTGATAATGCTATGTGCTAAGGAGAAAAGCATGCAGGGGAAAGGAATAGGATAAGAAGTCAGGGCAGTGATTTTAAGTACGGGGTCAGGAAAGACTTCTCTGAGAATGCTACATTTGAGTAAAAATCTGAAGGAATTGAAGGTGGAATCCTGAAACACGAAAAAATCACACAGATAGCTAAGTACCCTGTTCATGTGCCATGGTTGTTGAATGATAAAAGCCACTTGAAAATGGCTAACGAGTGATTTTATTATGTTGAAAAGTATTGCTTAGGAAAAGCAAGTGAGGGAATACTAGAGCATAGTAATCATTGCCTGGACATGTAAGATGAAGATTAAAAAGTGTGTAAGCAAGGATTCCATAGCTTTGTCTCCAGGGGCCATAAATTGCCTCATAGAGAAAATAAAATTATCCAATCCACTAGCATTTTATTTTTATATTTGTGAATTCATATTCTATTATAGGATAACTGAAAATAAAAAATGAAGGGAGTTTTTATTTTTTCCATTGGGGTCTATAAAAACCTAAAAGCTCCATCGAAAATCATTTAGCACTGAAAAAACATTCAGTAAAATTGCAGGATATGAAATCAACATATAAAAATCAGTAGCATTTCAATACACCACCAACAAAGTAACAGAAAAAGAAATCAAGAAAGCAATCCTATTTACAACAGATTATCTGAAAAAGACAAAATGACTAGGAATACATTTAACCAAGAAGGCAAAAGAACTCTATCAGGAAAAGTATAAAACATGGAAAAGCAATTCATGTAAGAATTAATACTGTGAAAATGATTACATCACTCAAAGTGATCTGAAGATCTAATCAACTCCTACCACACAACAAATAACATTCTTCAGAGAAATAAGAAAAAAAAATTATGGTAAGGCATCTTGAAAAATAAAATAATAAGATGAAGAATATATAGTACTCCATGAATTAAATGACCAGATATAAGATATTTCTGATCTCTAAACTGTCACAGCTAGGATACTTCACAAAGCCTTTCATTATTTAGGGCCTATTTGGCCAAAAACATCGGTTCATTAGATTGAAAATTATTTTGAGTCATGAATCTTATCATATTTATCTTTGTATCCACAGTGATTTGCATTCCCCTGATAATGTAGTGATGTTGAACATTTTTCGTATACCTATTGCCATTTGTGTGTCTTATTTTTGAAAAATGTCTATTCAGCTAATTTGCCCATTTAATCAGATTATTGTTTGTTTGTAAATATTTGTTAGATCCATTTGGTCTATGGTGCCATTGAGAGCTAATGTTTCTTTACTGGTTTTCTGTCTAGATGATCTTTCCAATGCTGAAAATGGGGTGTTGAAGTCCTTAAATGTGATTTTATTGGAATCTCTTTCTCCCTTTAGATCTAATAATATTTTTTTCTTTGTATATCCAGATGCTCCAGTGTTGGGCACATATATATTTATAATTGTTATATCATTTTTACTGAATCAAGTTTTTTTATATAATAACTTTCTCTGTCTCTTTTTGCTGTTTTTTACTAAGTCTGTTTTATCTGAATAAGTATAGATACACCCATTCACTTTTGAATTCATTTGCATGGAATGTATTTTCTCATTTTTTAACTTTTGGTCTATGTGTGTCTTTATAGGTGAAGTGAAGTTCTTGTAGGCATTATATAGTTGGGACATAGTTTAACCATTTATCTACTCTGTGTTTTTTAAATGGGGGAGATTAATCTCTTTACAGACAAAGTTATTACTGATAGGCAAGGACTTACTCCTGTCATTTTGTTAATTGTTTTCTGGTTGTTGTGTATATCCACTGTCCTTTTATTTCTCTCATTGTTTATCAGTGCAGTTTGGTGGTTTTCTCTAGTGATATAGATTAATTCTTTTCTCGTTCTCATTTGTGTATCTGCTCTTCCAGTGAGTTTTCCGCTTTTGCATGTTTTTATGATGGTGATTATTATCTTTTCACTTTCAGATGTAGGTTTTCTTTGAACATTTCTTTTTAGGCTGATCTAGTGGCCAGGAATTCTCTCAGTGTTTGCTTGTATTGGAAAGACTTTATTTCTTCCTCATTCTGAAGAATAGCTTTACTGAATATAGTATTCATGGCTGGTAATTTTTTTCTTTCAGCACTTTGAATACATCTTCCCCTTTCTATCTTGGACTCTAAGGTTTCTGCTGTGAAGTCTGTTGTTAGTCTAATAAAAATTCCTTTATATCAGGAATAGACTTGATGCTGTTCTCTTGATGTTTTTAGAATTCTTTGTCGTTTAACGTTTGACAATTTGACTATAATATGCCTTACAGAGCACATTCTTGAGTTGAATGTATTTGCAGACCTTTCAGCTTTTTAGACCTGGATATTCATATCTCTTCCCAGACTTGGAAATTTTTCAGCTATTATTTCATTAAATGGGTTAATTTTGTATGCCTTTGCCTATCTTTTCACCTACTGAGGCTTTCATAATATGAATATTGTTTCACTTAAAGGTGGCTTGTAAGTCTTGTAAGCTTTATTCACTTCTTTTTATTATCTCTTTTTTTTTCTTTGACTGTGTAATTTCAAATGACCTATCTTTGTTCTGCTCAATCAAGTCTGCTGTTGAAGCTCTCTATTGTTATTTCATTCACTGAAGTTTTAGATGCCAGAATTCAGTTTTGTTCTTTTTTATGATATTTCTTTGTTCGTTTTCTCATTTACGTTGTGAATTGTTTTCCTGATTTTGTTGAATTGTCTACCTGCATTTTGTCTTGCTAAGTTTCCTTAGGATCATTATTTTGAATTTTTTTTTTCTGACAATTTGTCGTTTTCCTTTCCATTGGGGCCTTTTTCAGAGAGTTACTGTGTTACTTTGATGCTGTCATAATTCCATGATTTTTCATGTTTCTTGTGTTCCTGCTTTGGTATCTGTACCTCTGGTAGAACAATTGCCTCCTCTGAGCTGTGTAGTGTGGCTTTCATAGGGAGAGATCTTCACCTGCTGTTGAGTCTTGTTGTGTCAGATGAGGTGATTATTTCTAGGTAGATGCAATGCTATAGTCACTATACAGCTTCTTCACCTGCAATCAACATGAGCAATTAACTGCGGGTACCTCAGTAGCCTAGGCTGTTGAAGTTCATGGAAGTGGTGATGACAGCATAGGTTGTTAAAATCCTTGGTGCCAAGGGCTTTTGGGGTCCTCCTATTATTTTTCTCATAATGGGGAGACTTAGCTACAGGATGTTTTTTGGGGTCAGGTGTGATTATTGGTGTGTTTATTTTTTGGTGTCAGGTGTGTTTATTGGGAGGCAGAGTGTTGCTTTAACATAGGCAACAGGCCTATGTATTTTTGGAACAGCTCTGCCAAGGCATCATTTCAACAGGACTCAGCATGCAGCTTCAGCTCAGACTTTTAGGGGCAGGGTTCATCAGTGACTGGGAAGGGCCTATGGACAACTATGACAAGGCACCATTACCTCAGGAGGAAATGTATAGCTTTAGCTAAGGCCACAAGAGGCAGGATGCAGCAGTAGCAACGGTGAAAAGTAGATGGAGCAGCTCCACCAAGGCACACTTTCCCCAGGAGGTAGTGGGCAGCTTCAGTTCTGACACAAGGGTGCAGAGCACCATAATTGGTAGAGACAGATGAAACAGGTCTGCCAAAGCCTAGTTTCTCTAGGAGGAAGAATGCAGTTTCAGCTCAACCACACTTGGAAGGGGTAGATGGAGGAGTTCTGCCAAGACACTTTTTTCCCAGGTGGCAGCATTCGGCTTCAGCTTAGACCCTTAGAGGCTGGGCACAGTCACATCTAAGAGAGGTAGGTGAAACAGTTATGCCAAGCACACTTTCCCCAGAAGAGTATACATCTTCAGCCCCAACCTCAGGGGTCTGGGTACAGCTGTGCCTGGGGACTAAGAGGGGTAAATAGGTGTAGCAGCTCCACTGCCACTTGGCCCCATGTAACAGCAGGTTGCAGCTTAGTCTGGTGATATTGCACCATTGAATGGGGGTGGTTTGGCAGCAGCCTTGCCTCAAGGATGAAGGGGTGCTATGGGCTCTTGCCCCCTTAGCATAACACACTCCAGCAGTAGTTCTATTTCCTAGATGGCAGAGGACAGTAGCTGCACAGGCCACAGAGGGTGGGACCCAGGATTGGCTGCTTCTGTGTTGGGAGCACAGTTGTGTAGACCTCAGGCAGCTCCCTCAGCTGGGCTTAATACCTGTGAGGACTGCAGGTGACCTCAGTGGCATGGACTATAGTTGTCCATGGTATTGACGGGGGCAGCTGGGTTCCTCTTGCTTATCTTTTCTCTATAAAGATAATGCCTCCTGGTTCCCGGCTGATCCTGCTTGGGGAATGGGGTAGTGGAAGACAGATGTTTTCTTCTGTTCTCTATGTGGTTATCCTGAATTTCTGTGTAGACCAGGGTTTCTGTTACTCCTTTGACATACGCTCATGCTCTCTTTAATTATTTTTGTTAAAATGTAGTTGTTAATCAGCTGTTTTGGCTGTTTTTGTTGTCAGGAGAAGCACTAAAGTCTTCCAATAAAATATTTTGCTGATGTCACTTCTTTTCATAGCATTTTTATTCATCATTTCTCCAAATTGGAAATAATCGAGATATTCTTGACCCAAATGTCCTTAAACCAAATTGTGGTATATTCATTCCACAGAATACTGTTCAGCAATAAAAAGGAATGAACCAACTTGAATTAATACAACTTGACAACACAACTTGAACACAAATAAACACAATTTGAATGAATCTCAAGGTGTTATGCGGAATGAAAGAAGGCAGTTTTAAAGAATTACCTCTTTATGAGTTCAGTTATATGGCATTTGCTAAGCAATAAACTGTAGTGATGAAGGGCAGTGACAACCAGAGGTTAGGTATTGAGGAATGGTGTGACTATACAGGAGAGTAGGAGGGAATGTTTGGAGTGATGCGACTGCCCTGTATATGGTGGTGGCTGCCCAAATTTAGATGCATGTTAAAATATATAGAACTGTATACACAAAGAAAAAGGTCAAATTACTACACAATGATATAAAACATGTACATATATACAAGCATATACACACATACATGTAAATATCTGTAATTGTCTTTGATTTTTTGATGCTCTGTCCTCATTTAATCAACCTCTGAAGCCCAACTTTCATGTCAGAAATTATTTTTGAACAAATTCTATCTGCATGTAATGTGGACTGTATACATGATGAACCTGCAAAGAGAAGAAAAGTATGCCAAGGGTTATGCAATATACTGGCTTAGTACATAGGGATATTAATTTTGTCAGTAAGCTAAAAGGAAAAATCTGATAGAAACATGCAAGTAAGAAAATATAATGAAACATTGATCTATGTGCCTATTTTTCATACCAATACCATGCTGTTTTAGTGACGATGGCCTTACAGTATAGTTTAAAATCAAGTAGTGTGATGTCTCCAGATTTGTTCTTTTTGCTTAGTCTTCCTTTGTCTATGAGGGCTCTTTTTTATGATTCCGTATGAATTTTAAAATTGTTTTTTTCTAATTCTGTGAAGAAAGATGGTGGTATTTTGATGGGGATCACGTTGAATTTGTAGATTGCTTTTAGCGGTATGTTCATTTTCACATAGACCAATGGAACAGAATAGAGAACCCAGAAATAAACCCAAATGCTTACAGCCAACTGATCTTCAACAAAGCAAACAGAAGCATAAAGTGGGGAAAGGACACCCTCTTCAACAAATAGTGCAGAGATAATTGGTTAGCCACACGTAGGAGAATGAAACTTTATTCCCATCTCTCAACTTATAAAAATGTCAACACAAGATGGATTAAAAACTTAAACCTAAGACCTGAAACTATAAACATTCTAGAAGATAACATTGGAAAAATCCTTCTAGACATTGGCTTAGGCAAGGATTTCATGACCAAGAACACAAAAGGAAATGCAATAGAAACAAAGATAAATAGCTGGAACCCAGTTAAACTAAAGAGCTTTTGCATGGCAAAAGGAACAGTCAGCAGAGTAAACAGAGAACCCACAGAGTGGGAGAAAATCTTCACAATCTATCCATCTAACAAAGGATTAATATCCAGAATCTACAATGAACTCAAATCAGTAAAAGAAAAACAATCCCATCAAAAAGTGGGCTAAGGGCATGAATAGACAATTCTAAAAAGAAGATATACAAATGACCAACAAGTAGATGAAAAAATGCTCAACATCCCTAATGATCAGGAAAATGCAAATCAAAACCACAATGCGATGCCACCTCACTCCTGCAAGAATGGCTATAATAAAAAAAATCATAAAACAGTAGATGTTGGCGTGGATGTGGTGAACAGGGAATACTTCTACACTGCTGGTGGGAATGTAAACTATTCCAGCTGCTATGGAAAACAATGTGAAGATTCCTTAAAGAACTAAAAGTAGAACTACTATTTGATCCAGCAATCCCACTACTGGGTATCTACCCAGAGGAAAAGAAGTCATTATTCAAGAAAGACACTTGCACACACATGTTTATAGCAGCACAATTCACAATTGCAAAATTGTGGAACCAACCCAAATGCCCATCAATCAATGAGTGGATAAAGAAACTGTGATAACTGAAGAATGCAAAACCAAAAATCGTATGTTCTCGCTGATATGTGGGAGCTAAGCTATGAGGATGCAAAAACATAAGAATGATACAGTGGACTTTGGGGACTTGTAGGGAAGAGTGGGAAGGGGGTGAGGGATAAAGGACTACAAATGTGGTGCAATGTATACTGATCAAGTGATGGGTGCACCAAAATCTCACAAATCACCACTAAACTTACTTATGTAACCAAATACCACCTGTACCCAAATAACTTATGGAAAAACAAAAATAATAAAATAAAATAAAATAGAAAATATAATGAAACATTGAGGCAATAAATACAGCATTTTTCTTTTCTTTTTTTTTTTTTTTTTTTTTTTTTTTTTTGAGACAGAGTCTCGCTTTGTCGCCCAGGCCAGAGTGCAGCGGTGTGATCTCGGTTCACTGCAGCCTCCCCCTCCTGGGTTCAAGCGACTCTCCTGCCTCAGCCTCCTGAGTAGCTTGGATTACAGGCATGCACCACCATGCCCGGCTGATTTTTGTATGTTTTATTTTTTAGTAGAGACAGGGTTTCACCATATTGGCAAGGCTGGTCTCGAACTCCTGACCTCATGATCTGCCCTCGCTGGCCTCCCAAAGTGTTGGGATTAGAGGCGTGAGCCGCCGTGCCAACCATAAAGCATTCTTCATTTTTCTATTGGTTTCTTTCTCTACAGGAGCTAAATAAGATGGAGAGAAAGTGAAATATCTCAGGCATTACCATAAAAATTATATGAATCAGAATATGGTTTTATCTAAGCAGAAAACAACTCATAGTACCACTGTGATCAAAGAAGGTAGAAGGGTCAGAGAAAATTATAGTTAAAATTAATTATTAAAGTGTATGTTATAGAGCTATTTTGGTGTTGATGCTTTCTTATTATTTCCTTCAACTTCTCGTGGCCCCCATGAGTATTCTCGGTAACCAAATGTTTCCCGAAGAACTCTCCAACCATTTATAAAGTACAATGATTTTGAAAGAAGCAGTCTAAAGGCCATGAAATAAATTTCCCAAGGCTCTATTATTTTGTTCTCTATTAACATGACTTTAAGTGTGGCTCAGAATTTCACCTATGTGCAACATTAATGGGAAAATATCTATTCAAGACAGTCAATTGGATAAAAATGCTTGTTTAGGAAACCTGATTGTTAGGCTTCCCGCAGTTAATACAAAATTATACCTGGCTGTTGCAAGTCACTTAAATGTTCAGGAAAAAACTTATTTCTGATTCTACTGACATTTCCACTGCATTTTATCTTTATTCAAATCAAAAGACACTGTAGAATGAGAAAAAATGACAAGGATGTAGGCCCAGCCTTTGACCTTTAGCACAGTTTGTCTACAGTTGGATTTGCATTACAGCAGTAACATTAACTAACTATCAAGGTCATGTTAGGTGAGTGATTTAACAGCTTTGCATCTCAGTTTGCTTATCTCTACCAGAGGACATACATTATCAAATACCATTTCAGAACTTACTGTGTGCTGGCTGCCTGTTAAGCATTTTCATGGTATTCTGGTGAGGTAGGAATTATGTTCTGGCCTCCTCCACTCTCCCACAACACTTATCCTGTTTGTCAGAAAACCCTGTTGGCTCTTCCTTCCAAACATCAGAATCTCATCGTTTCTTACCTCTATCACTGCTGTCATCCTTGTCCAAACTAACATCATCTCTTACCTGGAGTCTCCTTGTCCTTGCCCCATTGGGTTTATTCTCAACATAACAGCCAAAATGATCCTGTTAAAAGATATCAGATTTTGTCACTCCCCTGCTCCAAATCCTCACATGATTTCTCAGATCACTTTGTGTAAAAGTCAAATATCTTGCACAAAAATTGTCAACCTAGATTCGTTTTGAGTAGATTTTATATATTCTAGGCCCTCTGTATCTGTGGTTTCTCTATCCCTGGATTCAACTAACAATGGATAGAAAACAAGGGAAAAAAAAAAAAAAAAAAAAAAAAAAAAAAAAAACTAAGTCAGTACTGAACATGTATAGACTTTTTTCTCTTTATTTCCTGAACAATACTGTATAGCAACTATGAATACCAAGGAATGATGTATATAAATTATATATGTGTGTCTCAAAAAGCAACTTGTAAAATTATAGACTTTTTAATTACATAAGAAATTCCTTACCCCAAATTCTTATAAGGAAAATGCATATATTATTTACATAACAAAAAATGTGCAACATTCTATAATTTGTCTTTAAAATCTTTCCAATGATGAATACCTTACTTATTCAAGCAAATTCTTCCTGTTACATTATGTCAGTTGGTTTCAGTATATTATGTGGTAAGAATAGGGCTCTAGAGTTCTCAGTTCTAGAGGTTGACAACGTCAGGAAAGAGTAAAATATTACATAAGAAATTTCTTACCAAAAATTATTATAGGAAAAGGAGTATATTATTTACACACACAAAAAAATGTGCAACATTTTCTAATTTGCCTCTAAATTCTAAAATGAGCCAAGTTACAGAGGCAAGGAGAGTTTGATGAGTGATTCATGGATATTTATGTACATAATATGTCTGCTATTTAATGACTTTCTCATCTTAGGCAAATCACAAGATCTTCCTAAATGACATTTATTTCCTTAATATAGGGGTAATAATAGTATTTCTTATCTCACAATGTTGTTAAGAGAATCAGAGATAATTAACAGGAAAGCCTTGGCAATTATAAATAAAATATATGTTTTACTTTTCCTTTTTTAAAAGAAACCTTATTGTTTAAAGAGATATGAACAGTGTATACAATCAAAAGCAATTCTGATTATAATACAATAATCAAGAACATACAAAAACAGACAATAATGGAGAATAAACTTTCATTGTTTATATTATATATAAATGCAGGTAATCTATATTAAGCAAAATGTTGTAATTAGGTAGTGCCTTAGATAAAATTGATTAACATTATAGAGTCTTCACTTAAATCTTCAAGGATTTCCAGCTAACAAGATCATCTGAAAGATAAAATGATAAAGTAACTTTCCTTTCAAAACTGACCCGAACGACTAGGATAGGAAGAAGGTATTCAAGAAAATTGTGATATTTCTCTCAGTATTTTATTAAATGCCAAGTAAACAAAGTAAAAATATTTTAGAAAGAGCTAATTTAACACATCTTCTGGCATTATTATTCACAAAAGCATTTAATATGTATTTTTTCTCTTAAATCCTATGTGGTAATGATTATGATTCAGTTTCTTGTCTTCATTTACTAAATAAAGATTCCAAATTCCCAACCAAACATAATTTTCCAGTTAAAAATGTTAATCAAATTAAATGCTTTGATTAATAGCAAAATGCAATCAACTAGTACTTATGGAGCATTCATATAAATGGTGAACTGGGTTTCCAGAGGATAAAATAAAAGGAACAAATAATAAATTATTGTCTCAAATCATAATATATGAGTGGGCTGTAATATGAAAATAAGCTCAGAAAGTTGCATAAAAGAAGGTTGCTAAACTTAGTCAATAGAAATAGGTAGGCCAAGAGTACAGTGAACACATTATCATCTTCAGTGAATAGTATAAACTTTTCTGCCTTTATCTCAAAGGCAGAAAAATATAACATTTACTGAGATGGGAGTTGAATAAATGAATTAGGCTAGCTTAATGGCTTTGAGAAAGGCAGTGATGAGAGGTAAATCACAGTAGGTTGCTTGGGACAACATTGTTTAGAATTTGGAGTATAAGGTTTACATGTTTTAACTTCATGCTGTTCTCAAAATGGAAAAAAAAAACATTCTGAGAAGGGTTAAAATTTTATTAGAGTCATGGTGAAAAAATTGAGACATAAATGTCACTTAAATGGATGTTTTTTTCTTTTTTAAGAATGTGAACAAAACATACCCAATCTATGTCATAACTATAGTGTATTAGCAGGAAGAAAAGAAAATATGCATGTGAAAAATCCTGAGGAAACGGACTCATTAGGATTTAGGAATATAGACATTAAGAGAGAAGACATAATTCGCCATTAATGAATGAAAGCTTTCAACTTCAGGCAGTTTTGAGAGTTATCAAAGAATATAAAGTCTTTGAGTATGTAATGGGTTCTAGGAGAGTATTTTACAAACTTGTTGGGTTTAAAGTAACAGAACATTTAAGTGGAAATATCCAGAGAGTCATTACACATACAGAAAATACAGACTAAATCTCCAGAAAGAAGCTAGACTAAAAAGAATAATTTAAGTGTCCTGGGCACAGAAGTGAGAGTTGAGGCTATGAACCTGACTGATTTCTAAAGGAAAGCCAACAAAGAAAATCTTCCCCAAGGAAAACGTGGAGAACATCTAATCATTGTCTATGGAAATTTGGAGAGAAATAGAACAGAGTTAAATATTTATTATAAATTGAGGGGAAGCAATATTATTAAAAAGAATGAAATGACCAGTTGTGTTAAACATTTCAAGGAGGTAAAAGAGGGTGGGACAAAGAAGAGAAAACTGGATTGACAATCAGAAAGACTCTGTTAATAGATTATGTCCAGAGACGACATCCAGAAGAAACCAGAAGAAAGCCAGATTATAAGGTGTTAAGGAATTGGTAACTGATGATCAAATGGAGGAAGAAAATAATGCATTATGCTTTCTAGAATGTTTGCAAATCAACCTTTTAATTAATCAGAAAATTATTAAATCACTTATATCCAACCAGAAATTGGAAATGTCACTGAAGCCTGGATTACAAACAGCCAACCATAACAGAGTTATGCTCTGGCTGCTGGAGTAGGGTTGAGGAGAGAGAATCCGAGTAACAGATGCCGTGAGACTCCATGTAAGGAGATCCAGCCTAGTATCTGAAGGTCAGGGTAGGCTTCTCAGAGGTAGTGACTGTCGAGAAATGGAGGTGGGTATAAGAAAAGAAGAAGAACTGGGGAAGACAGGCAGCTCAGGTAAGAGAAAAAGAATATCAAGTAGCTGGAAAATGGCCCACGTCAGGACCCTGGAAAGGAAAATATTGTGAGGGGGTTGGTGAGAAATCAGGAAAGTGATGAGAGGTAAGGCTTAAAAGGAAATCATGGCCTTGAAAGTGCTGCTAATAAATTATAACTTTCCCTTGAGTACACTGACTAATGGGGTTCTAAGTAGGGGGCTGATGTTTATCCTAATCACAAGAGTAGCCTTGCTATTCCCTTAGTTTATGAAAAACGGCAAAGGCAAAGAAAATGAACCAAATCAAATGGCAATCAAGGGGCAACAATTGATGTTAATTTCTTCTAGTTTTGAGATTTCTCATGCTTCCAAGCATGGAAATTATGAACCTCATAAATATGCTAAACTTTAGGTTCATGTTATTGCCTACCTTTAATGAATCAGAAAAAAAAAATCTGAGTGGTCTCTATAATTAAAATATGAACAACTTTAAAACTTCATGCAAAGGACTTTATTTGGATGCAGGGACTTACCCAGTATGACTCTGAGCAAGCCAATGGGAACAAAAAGGAGCTTTGCTCGAAAGAAAGATTAACAACTAATAGTAACTTCCAATCACATAGATGCTAAAGGTAACTCTTCTCTGCATTCGAAGATACCAAATAATTTCTCCACAGCAGTAGAAAAAATTCTATTGCTGGAATATATCACAAGTAAAAATTGACTACGGTGCAAAATAACCAATCACTTGGAAATCAATTGCCTATACAGCTAGCTAATAAAAACAGAAGAAATAACACATTTTCCATTTAATTATGTCATTGGTTTATGCTTCAGAGTTCTAAAAAGCATCTTTAAATCTTCTGTAACAAAAACAAACACATCAGTGTACCCATCCTATATTTTCTTGGTACATTCTAGACGTTGTACTAATACCCATAATTTTCAAAAATTACTGGCCGGGAATGGTGAAAGGGAGAGGGAAATCAGTGGTTAAAATAAAAACTTGAGCAAACAAAAAAACTATTTTAAAATTACTGAGAGCTGGTTATTAGGGACATGGTTTCTTGAACTGAATTATCACATTTAAAATTCGTGACCCAAAACTGTTGCTCTTCTCAGCTGCGCAATTGACACCCACCAGCATGGTGTGTGTTGGAAGTAGAGATGCCTTTTTTAAGATCTGTTAATTTAACTTATGTAAATTAATCAGCTGAAACAGAATTTTACCATTTGGATGTCTTTATTAACTGAAAAGTCAGGTGTTGAAATACTTTTAAATCCTATTATTCTGTTCTTCTGCTGGTGTAATGTGGGAAGAGTCTCACTTGTTAATTATATTGTGTATAAAAAATAAAAAAATAATTCAATTGAAAGAAATAAAATATCCTATATCAGTACTTCTTTGCATGTAAAGTTATGCCCACAGAGAAATACAGCATTTGCTATCACAAAACCAGCCTTGTCCTGGTCATAATCCTAGAGTCACAAGTTATGATGACAGAACTATTTTCTTTTGCAAGATACTGCTTTCTACTGTAAGTAAATAAAATATCTTGCTACTCTACCATCAGCACTCAACATTATGCAAATACTGCTTAAAGATATCTACACAGAAACTCTCTAGAAAATCATAAGAGACCTCAATTCTTGTCATTTTAGAGTAACTTTCCAAAATAATGTTCTGGTATCACTTAATGTGCAATTCAGAATTGCTGTTTTTTAGATGACACATCGTTGCAAATTATTTCTTCAGAAATATTCCCTCCCAACCCCTTAACTTACTGTAATAATGTTAAATTAAAAGACTTATTTTCAACTCACAAGTTATTCCTAAAATTTATAATGATATTTACTTGTGAGAAAATGTGATATCACAAATATTTCACAGACCTGAGTCTTCAAATATGTTAGAAATGGAGAACTCTACACTCTAGTTAAATACCCCATTTATGTATCTGTATCTTTGCTATGGATTTTAAACACCAAAAGGGCCTTCTACAATTTCTATTCTTATTTATATTTATCATACTAATGTTGAAAATCACTATATATATTTTTGCAAATTAGATGTATCATCTTATACTTTTTTATTTCTAGATTCTAATGTTCTTGAGAATCTTTTGGGCATTGTAAAATTGGATATGAATTTTGCTTGGAAGCACACTTTGTTGAAAGCTGAAATGAAGATATTAATTCTTATCTCATAAGCAACTGGAAAAATACAAATAATATTTATGAAGTAAATAATTATGATTCAGTAAGTGTCTTAATAAATAATGAGGGCAAAAAACCAACACTATAAAGAACATTCTGATTTAAACTGATTGAAGGTTCTTTAGAAAATATTTAAGGACTGAACAAAAACAAATTCAATAAAAATATAAGAAATAGCCATTTAGGAATTAAGCGAGGGAAGAATGGCACAAAAGGGAAAGCTCGTGATCAGTTTGCAGCTGAGCTGTCACTGCTGAGTGTTAGTGACTTGAGTCACAGTCATCAATAAGGCAGACTATTTGGTGCATGCCTGAGATAGAGGCAAGGTACAATCAAGACAAACAAGACATCCATCATGTTTTCAATACCCAGAGACTCTATGCTGTAAGTTACCTCTGTCTCAAACTGCAAGGATAAAAAGCTTAACAGCTCTAGGAGAAAATATTGCCACATGTGGAAATGGTTTAGGAAAAAGACTCCACTTGCTGGAGGCATTGGCAAAATGCTTGCAACTCATGCAGATGAGGAACAAGAAGAAGGTAGGGAAGTCTTAAAAATGGAAACTGTAGCAAGATGAAAAGAATTCAGGATAATGCATTGGAAAACAAAGAGGGTTTGTCTTTTGATGAAAACATGAACTCTGCACATATTAAAAAAAAAAAAAAAAGGCTTATGGGACCTTCAAAATGGACCCAGCGAGCCTAGTGCCTGGAAACCCTAACTTGCTAACACTGTCGTCCACCAAACACAGCTTTATGAGTAAGTGGATTAACTATATAGCCAATGAAGAGGAACATGAAGGAGAATTTGTCTGAGTTTTTTTATTCCTTCTAATATCATGCTAATATATTAGAAAGCTCCATAGATGGGGGTAGCATTGCAAGATAAGGGTAATTAACTGAATTATATTATATCTTATATATATTTATCTTTCTCTTAAATCTATATTCAAATTCCCGTGCAATTTTTTATCTCCCAGCACCCATTTTAGATGTTAAGTAATGTTACACAAAAGTTAATTAATTAATTTATTTAACCACTAGGGATTTCTCTGTGCCAGAGACTGTACCAGGACCCCAGGCAATGAGTAGTCACTCAAAGAAGCAGGAAGCCTTTTTTATTGAATTTAATGATCATGACAGATATTTGTCCAATAAATGCAGAATAGTGTAATTTGAAATTTCATTTTATTTGAAGAATAGATAGGAAGATGTAAGGGCTAAAGCAAAGGAATCTGATCAAGTATCAGGGCATATGGCATGCAAATGGAGAAGAGATGTGTGATGAGGAGTTAAATTGGTGAAGATATGAAGTGGAATGAAATTCTAGACAGGAGGCTGGGCAGGCCTAATACCCTGATATTGGGGGAAACATTCTAGGTAGAACCTAATGCAGATAGTACAGGTAGTAACAAGAAGAACATTTGCAGATGAGCCATCCTTCAGGGGCTTACAGGTCATGAGGTCTAAGTAAGGTGTTTGAGCATTAGCTAAATAACTGGCAAATGGTTTTAAGCAGAAAGGTAGCATGACTGGACTATAGCTGCACTTGATGAAGGTCGTTCTGACTTGACAGGCAAATGGATAAAGAAAGCTTGGGGTTGCGGTGGGGTCATCAGTAATATTGTCAGTAAGAATGCTTAGGAGATTCTTAGACTAGAGTGATGCTCATGGCTATGCACATCCTTTTCTTCATTTCCCCAAGCTTTGAACATTGAGTAACCCAGACATGCATCCAGTGCCCTCTTTTCTTCTTTTTGTATGCTTACTATATGGGCACTCCTCAAGTATCATGGTTTAAAAATCATCTAGAACCTGATTTTTCCAAATTCATGTCTCTGTCTTGAACCTAACACTTGAACTCCTGAAATTACCTCCATTTTAACTTCCAATATGCATTTAAAATTTAACATGTCCAATTCAATTCTTGATTTGGAAACCTCCATATTTGGTCTTCCTACACTTTTTCTACCTGAGTAACTGGGAACTTTATTTTCCAAGTTGCTCAGCCAATATTGTTAGTAGACTAATCTCTTTCTCACAACCTGTATCAAATTCATCAGCAAATCTCATTGTCAGTAAATGCACAATCCAATCTCATTTTGCCATCTTCACTTCCAACACCCTAGCAAAAGCCATTAAATTAATTATTTACACTTTGATTATTTTAATAGATTCTTTTTTTTTTTTTTTTTTTTTTTTTTTTTTAGACGGAGTCTTGCTCTGTCACCAGGCTGGAGGGCAGTGGCAGATCTCGGCTCACTGCAACTTCTGCCTCCCCGGGTTCAAGCGATTCTCCTGCCTCAGCCTCCTGAGTAGCTGAGACTACAGGCGTGTGCCACCACGCCCACCTAAGTTTTGTATTTTTAGTAGAAATGGGGTTTCACCATGTTGGCCAGAATGGTCTCGATCGCTTGACCTCATGATCTGCCTGCCTCAGCCTCCCAAAGTGCTGGGATTACAGCCGTGAGCTGCTGCGCCTGGCCGATAGCTTCTTAAAGTAATCTCAATTTTTCTCATTTGCGCCACTAAATTCTATCTCAACAAAAAGACTCTAAGTCATACAATATGATATCTTTTCTCTTCTCAAAACCCTCCAGTACCTTTATAATATATTCCTAATGGAATCCAATATTCTTATTGTGGCAACTTATATTTCCAAAATGTGTCTGCAACAGCACTTACCATTTCACATGCTCTTCAGTAATATGATCTTGCCTCTTCTCCATTAAGAGATTGAGTTTATCTCTACATTCCTTTGCTTCTGAGTGGCTTTGTGACTGCTTTGACAAATAGAATATGGCAGAAGTGTTGCTGTGTCAGTTCTAGACACAGCCTTAACTAAATTGGCAACTTCTCTTTCTTGCTGCTTGGAATGCTCAAATTTAAAATTTATTCTTGGGACGCTGTCTCTTAAAAACCCAGGCCCCATTTTATAATAAGCTCAAGACACATAAATAAGCCACATATGGGCTCTTTGTTTGACAGCCCTAAATAAGCATCTAACAGATAACCAACACCAACTCAGACAAGTGACGTGGACATAAAGCCCCATTGAATCCTCAGATGACTGCAGACCTAGCTGACATCTGACTGTATGTCCTAAGAAACTACAAGCAAGAACCTCACCCTCAGTTGACTCAGCTTACGGGATCAGAGGAGCTAATAATAAATTATTTTAGGTAATTTGTTGATAAATCATAACAGATAACAGAATATTTATCATGACCTACAAAACCTTACTTTATATGGCCCATCGATAACTCCACGATTTCATCTCATCATTTTTCTCCTTATTTACTCCATTCCAATCACACATCAGACTGCCCTCCTTAACATTCCTTAGACATGCCGAGCATCTGTTTTTACCTCAGGACCTTTGAATTTGCTCTTCTCTAATTATAAGCTTTCCTTCAGATAGTTATTTTTATGGCTGGCTTCTCTACCCTTTTCACTGATCTGTTCAGATGTCGCCTTATTTAAAAACTTTTCCGGCCTGGTGGGGTGGCTCATGCCTGTAATCCCAGGACTTTGGGAGGCTGAGGTTGGTGGATCACCAGAGGTCAGGAGTTTGAGACCAGCCTTGCCAATATGGTGAAACCCCATCTTTACTAAAAATACAAAAATTAGCCAGGCGTAGTGGCACGTGCCTGTAATCCCAGCTACTTGGGAGGCCAAGGCCTGAGAATCGCTTGAATGTTGGAGGCAGAGTTTGCAGTGAGCCAAGATCATGCCACTACACTGCAGCCTGGGTGATAGAGCGAGACTCCGTCTCAAACAAACAAACAAAAAATAAAAAAATAAAAAAAAACACTTTCCTTAACCAATCTTAAAAGAACAACAACAAAAAATAGGTCCATTTATCTCCAGCACTCCCTTTGCTTTTTGCTTCTTAATTTGTTTTAGCCTTCCTTTTCTCCCCAGCTTTATTGGAGTATACTTGACAAATAAAAATTGTTACGTTTTTAATGTGTGCAATGTGATGTTTTGCTTTTTGGTAGTGAAAACACTTAAGGTCTACTCTCTTAGCAGATTTCAAGTATATAATACGGTATTATTCACTGTAGTCACCATGATGCATATTAAATCTCCAGAAATTATTCATCTTGCAAAAATAAAACTTTTTACCCTTTGACCAACATCTCCCCATTTTCCCCACTGCCCAGGTTTATCCTTTTTATAGGGCTTATTTTTATATACCATGTTATATTTTCCTTTGCTTGTCGTTATTAATTCTTTATGCACTAAAATGCAAGTACTATGAAGGCAGAACCATTTTGTTTTACGTTTTTACTGCTGTAGCTCTAGCACCTGAAAAACTAAGCTGGCAGCTCAATACTAATTTTTTTGATGAGCAAATTAATATTAATTGAGGATGGTTGGATAAATGGAAAGATAAGTGGATGGATGATGAATGAATGGGTACATGGATAGATGGATGAATGAATGAATATGAAGTAGTGGTAAGAAAATGGTAAATTACATGATTTCATCTTAAAAAGCCATTAGACAAAATGATAGCATTTTACTGAATTCTAGTGGTTCTTACTCCATGCTTGATATTCTTTTTACATTCAGACAAGTATTTCTGTAGTTAAATAGATGACCACATTGAGATTTTATAAACTAATGTACTGACACTTGTAAAGAGCAAGGACTGACACAGCTTATCACTTAGAAGAGGTAAGTTTTAATAGGAGAGAGAGAGAGAAATGTGAGTACCCTGGGCATAGCTTCCCAGGAAACCTGCCTCAAATTATTCCATGACCAAAGGAAAAAGACTAGGTGACTATGATGCAAAATGAAATATTTGGTGGAAGATACCGGAAGGCTTTCAAACAGATTGGGAGCGGTGCCAAAAATGGCAAAAAATATCATATTTTGAACAGTGAAGCCATTATGTCCAGAAAGGTTGAATGAAACAGATTATTTTCATGTATAGAATCAAACTCAATATCTGGAACACAAAAGTCTTGATTTATCTTTTTGTGCCTCCAACGCCAGGCAATTAGTTGAAACAAAAATCAATTTGCTGAGAGCTGGGCTTTGACTCAAAGAAACCACAAGTTTTGGCTTGGTAGTTGTAGCTGTATTCACTCTGTTGCTAGGAAAATCAGGAGAAACAACAAGTGATGCAAAAGGCTTCCAAGGTTCTGTCCCTTGCATTTTCTTTACAAAAACAAATGGTCTTCATCTTTCTGTTGTTGTTGCTTGGTTTTGATTTGTTTTGTTTTTTGTTCAGTCAGCATTGTGTTCTTAAGCTACAGAACTCTTTTTTCTCTTGAGAAGCCAAAACAAACATCCTTGTAAGGTGTTATTTTAGATTTGTGTGTGTGTGTGTGTGTGTGTTTACATGATAGTGCTTTTTGACTTTTGGAATTCTGGGGATTTTAAGAAAAAAGCAAATGCAAAATATAAAATGACTTATACATTATTACCAAGAATAGTATTTATTGTCACATTTTATAAATATTTCATTGCCTGCCACAAGCTTTTAAGGTTGGCATGATTTCCGAGGACTTCAGTTCAAAATTTAGGTAGGGCTCCAAAATTCAGAGAAAATGTCTGTAATTATACAGCTCATGGTCATATTTCTTTCATAAAAAATAAAGTTAACTCTTACTTCTTTTTAGTGACACTTATCTGCAATTAGTACATAGACACTAAATAGTTTATGTTGCTTTATGTAGTAAGTAAGGTCTGTACAACAAAATACAGTGGCAATAACAGATTCGGTAACTAGGTAAACCTGAATTAGCAGCCCATATCTACCACTTACTAGCTGTATTCCCTTGGGAGTGTTACTTTTAGTTTTCTCATTTGTAAAATGGAGATAACATTGTATATCCTCTGGAATTATTAAGATTAATGACATGTCGAATGCTTAGCACAGTACATGCCACACAGTTCTCAGTTATTATTCTTAAAAGTCAATTCTGTTTCTGCATACTATTCATGCTTATGATTCCAAATAAATAATAGTTCATACGTGCATTCCACTGCAATTCTTTGTTTGTTTCTTAAGGCCTTCAAAGAATTGCTTTTATATACAAGGACATAGAAGTCTGCATTAAAATAAGAATCAGCAAGGCATGAGGTTTTTGCTAAGAGATGAAGGTCATGGGTTTTTCTTTTAGCACAGATTTAAGAGAAACAGCTCTGAGCCAGAAAAGAACTCCACTGCTTTCCCCTCTGCTTTGAGTTTAGAGGCAGGCAAGCTTGTAATACAGAACCCTGTGCACCACAGGGTTGGTTTGGCAGGCAAGCCATTTGCTATTTCTGAAGCATATATGTTGCTTTCTGTTTCTAACATGCCAGAGGCTCTTCTCATTGCCAAAATTTCTCCTTTGTCAGGCTCCATAGGAAACTGATGTAGTCCATGCTCAAAAGACATCCAATAAAAAGCTATGAAGCTGCCACTGATTCACATCTCCACTGGAGGGGGAAAAAAAAAAGTAGTTGCAGGATGTCAGGTCAGTCTTAAAAAGTTGTGCTTATGTTATTACAAAAGGCTAAGAATTCAGCTTTTAAAATATCCCTCTAGGGATGATAGCTCTGTGAAGGAATGGAAGATGCCATTGAAAAAAAGGCTACTATCTCTGTCTTGCTTTTTTAATCCCTTTATAGTTTTCCTGAAAGGTAATATCATGCCGTTGTGAGATCTTCTGGCAGAATGTGGGTTTCCGTTTGTGATTTATCATCAATCATTTTATCCCAATAAATAAGAGCAGATAGGGTTCCATTTCCCACCCCCACGAAAAGACCACAGACACATCCATTTTAACAACTCCACATGTAAAAGCCTGGAAAGCAACAGTACTCCAATAAATCATTATCTTTACTGTGAAAACATTTCAGTGCTCATGAGCCTGATCTTATCAAAGCAGTATGTAGAAGTTTACGAATTGTTCATGGCCATTTTTTCTTCATATTTGGGAGGAAAATGCAACCACACTTTCTAAATGTGTTTTGTGTTAGTTACTGTACAGGAAAATCTGCTACAATAAAAATATTTCAAAATGCTGAGGTTTAAATGAGATTGGAAAATATTTCTCTTTTATTAAGAGTCCATGGGTGAGAAGACTACAGTGGCAGGGGCCCACACCCTTCTGTCTTCCTCCCCTGCCATTGCCCAGGGTGTCAGACACACCTGTGCTGCTGAAGCTGGAAGCCCCCATGATTGGGTTCCAATAACATAGGGTAGGAAAAGGTACACCAGAGAAAACATTTATGTCCATAAAACTAGGAAGTTACCTCCATCGTTTTCACTCACACCCCTTCTTGCCCTAACTTATTCACATCTTCTCAGCAAGGTGCAGTGGAGTCTGGGAAATAAAATATCTGGTGGACAGCCACATTCTCAGCCAAATCCTGATCAGGAAATAAGAAATGAATGTTGGATTACTGAAAATAAAATATGAGAATGGGTATTGTTGGATATTCGACCGTCTCTACTGTGACTATGGTCTGGGAGACTATGCTAGAAATTTTCCCCTGGGAAATTTAGTTGCAGTCCTAGGAATATCTGCTTGCAGAATATCAAGTTGCCTTAGTCTGGAATGTTGAAGGTGGCAAACTCTTGGATTAATGAGCTGACAAACTATAGGGGTTTGATATGCTTCTTACCAAGTTTCCTCTTACACACACACACATACACACACGCACATGCACACGATGAGGATGGGGAGAAAAAAAAGGTTTGTGCTGATGTAACTAACTAAAGAAAAAAAAAAGAACATAGGTAAATTTTCAATCAGATTTTAAATAAATGCCATTGTTAGTGGAGATGGATTTAAAAGTATTAAAAGTATATCTATGAACCACGTCATATGCAACTGCAGTCATATGAAGGAGAATAGGTAACCAAAAACAAAACAGAAAGAATTACGTGCCCTTAACATACTACATTCAACTACAGTCTTAACAAACCAGAACAGATGCCAAAAAAAGAAAAAAGAAGAAAAGACTATAATAACCCATCTGACTTTGCCAAAGTGAGAACTAGATGCAAAAATGATGAGGGGGAAAAAAAAAAAGCAGCTCTCCCTCAAGTGCAGAGAAGTTACAATTTTATCCAGGCAGAGTGAAAAATTCTATCCCCAGCCTTTGACAACAGCTCTTTCTCACTTGCATTGAGAGACTCTGCCAGCCTGCGTCACTGCAGGGAATAGGCATGTGCAGTGCTTCCTCCCTCCCTGGAGTGCTTACACATCTTAGGAAAGCACTGAGAAAAGTGCCAAGACAAGGCTTACCATGCTAAGAATGGGGGTGTTCATGAACTATAGTGTTAAAAGGAGAACTTCAAACTGCACCGGACTCTATAGTTCAATAAAAAAATCCAAAGGGATAGGAGAAGATAAGACCTAATTTCAGGCCCATAAAACATCATCAAAGAACTTTGAACATAATTTGCAAGTTGACCGACGAGTAAGGATTTTATTTATCAACCTGACCCTCTTGAAATCTGGAAGGAGAGTTACTAGCGCCCACATGGATGGTGATAATTATGTATATGAACTAGTTTTGAACTGGACAGATCTTCTGAACTCAAACATAAAAACAGAAGCAACAACAAGCCTATTAATAGAAGCTATAGAAAAGGGTATGATGCCTTGATGATTTTGAAGATGTACATATCTTTAGAAAAAGTCTCTATTAATACCATTAGGGAGCTACAGAGAAAGAGCACCTTGAATTAAAAACAGAGATACACTGAGAATTGACAGGAAGGTGGGAAAGGAGGAAGGGAGGAAGAAACAGAAGAGAGAAAACTTAAAATACAAAATAAACATTAAAATCTTTGGAGGCTATGAAAGTTTGAGATAGATAAAATGACCACTTAGATAACACATTTAATATTTTTACTCAACATGCACAGGAAATTTTTTAAAGAGAAAAATAATAGATAAATAATTTTTAAAAGGTGACAGGCATTCAATCTAACAGGAAGATTACAGAAATTCTATCAAAGACTTACCAGTTTTCAGTGGAAGAAACCATGAATAATAGAAATAAAGCAATAATTACAAATAACTAACATATAATATTAATTATTTACCACTTACAAAGTGTCATAGTCCATTCTTGCTGCTCTAAAAAATATACCTGAGACTGCATAATTTATAAAAAACTAAAATTTATTTCATGTAGTTCTAGAGCTTAGGAAGTTTAAGATCAAGGCACTGGCACGTTTGGTGTCTGGTGGGGCCGCTCTATCAATGGTGTCCTTGTGGCAACTTCCCCACATGTGGAAGAGATGGAAGGGCAAAAGTGATGAACACCGTGTCCTAACATGGCAGAAGAGATAAAATGGGGCTAAACTCATCCCCTCAAACTCTTTTGTAAATCACTAATCCCATCCATGAGGACAGAGCCCTGGTCTCCTAATTACCTCCTGAAGACCCCACTTCTTAATACCGTTACATTGGACATTAAGTTTAACATGACTTTTGGAGACAACACAAACATTCAAACCACAGCACTAAGTATCTACCATTATCTCATTTAATCTCCAGGAAAATCTGATTAAATATATTCTTACCTCTATTTAATAATTGATGAGAAGAAGTTTGCACAGAATTTTAAATAACTGATCAGTCAGTAGGTGGCAGACCCTGCAAATCTCCTCTGTCCACTTCTAGGGGTGATGAACTTTATCTCTGCTTCACTTGACTTCATTATGGAAATGAAGAAAAATCTGAGTCTAACATTTGAAAGGGTTTTGTGCATTCCAGTGGAAAATAAAAATAAAAAGCAGATCTCTGTAGATATATCCTAGGGCTGGAAGATGTTTGAATTTCAACAAGCAGAAAAAAAATCCTGAAGGCATTTATAAAGAAAAAAAAAAATAGGTTAGCTACAAATAAAAAAAAAAAGACTGCTTTCAGAAGTCTGTTTCTTGACATGAAACACAAAGAAGACACTGGAATTTTGAGGGGTAAAGTTTAGGATCTAAGAGGTCCCTGCCTGAACAAGTTGTCATTCATATGTAAAAAACTCAGAAAAAAATGCTCAGTTACACAAGGACTCTGGAAATACTCTCCCCTTTGTAAGAAGATTATTGCAAGAGCTAATGTAACTGACAAAATGTCAAACAAAATAAAGTATCTGAGTGGGAAAGCTGTTGTGACAGAGTAGGCTTAAAACAATGGATTGAGAACATGAATTAATGTGAACTATCTCTCCATGTTTAAAGGGCAGTGACATGAAGTTAACCTGCTTTCGCTCTTAGACCTTTTCCTGGTTCTCCCAGATTAGTATTTTCATTGTTTTCTCCAGCTCTATGATGGTAGTTCGGCAACAAGCTCAAAATACATGATAGATAGATAGATAGACAGACAGATAGATAGATAAATTTAGTAAGGCATTGAATTTCCTTACCTGAGTACTAAACTAGGCTCTCAACTATGTGAATTCCCATTTTTACTTTGAATGTTTATAAGAAATTCTTCTTTGTATGCATCATATATTAACTATGGTTTCAAATCATCAGGATCCTTGAATTCATATAGGGGCTTTAAAACACTATTTATTTGATAGGTATCAAGTGCCAGGAAATCAATGGACCAGACCTCTAAAAACTGCCCTCCATGAAAACAATTATTTTTGACTTGGATTTGAAAGTTTTTGAAACTGTAGATGCTCTCCATTAGTCCTTCTTGATGATGTTAATCATGTCTGGAATGAGATGTATGTTGTTTGGTGAAGGCTGGTAGTTGGAGAGAGGAGGCTGACAGTGGGGAAGACCGAGCAATCTATATGCAGTACAAGGTGAAAATACATACACATGAATTGTACAATTTTGCTTCTTGCTATTGAGTGTGAGAACTGGAATGGTCCTATGTCATTGCCAGACATCATAAGAACAATGAATTTTCCTGAAGTTCTCTAGCCATACTGATCACTATTCTTCTGTCATTCACTAGAATGCAGAACACGTCACGACTATTAATGTAGCAGTGAATGGTCTGGCATTGGGTGAGGGAGGTAAAATAAGTAAATGGTATAAAATGACTGACAATGAGTACTAAAGGTGCATATTAAAATTACTGTATCGTTTATGTGCAAAATAATATTTACTTATTGATTATAAACTGAATGGAAAAATAATTTTAAAGATTTCATAGGGTATATAAAATTCTAGAATTCAAATTAATAAAATTCTCATAATCTAGGTCTATAATTGACTAGACCTGTGTTAACTTAGTCTTAGAAATAAGGAAGGTATTAGCAGAAGAAATAAGGCTAAGTACATTATTTTGAAAAGGATAACTTTACATTGTCTTTAATCATTAGCGATACATAGATATAAGTTTGTATTTAATATACTGAAAGACAGTTATGGCTAGTTTACAAAACATTTGTAACTTTCACGTAACCTACATGAAACACCAGAAAACAAAACATAGTTTCTCTGAAGAAAGTCAAAAGAGAAGGAAGTGGGAAAAATAGTATAAGATGAGAAAAATGATTGACAAACCACTTGTGACTATTAAAAATAAATGTAAAAGGGTTAACAATGTTGGAATTTTCCCCAGTCCTGTTCTCCAGGAAAATAGCACCAGTTAAGAAATCCCTGATCATTTTATAAAAATGGTTTATAGCAAAGATCCGCCTTTCCCCACATAACTTAGATAACAGTCTAAGTTATCTTTCCCCATACAATTTAGATAACAGTATGACCCCCTTGTAGTCCATGACAAGGCCAGATATAGACCCTTTAAATTCCCATTGTTTATCTCATAAATGATTAGCTGAACTATTTATCCTCAAAACTATCTAGACATGGATATAAATATGTACTGGTTGGTTAAAAACCACCTGTCACCTGTAAAAGCACACCACCTATAACTTCTCTGTTACCCTCTGTAAAGTCAAAGGCAAAACCAACTTGTGAGACACCCTCATCTTTGGATCAGGGGTTCTATTCCTGTTGCAGCAGCCTGAATAAGATCAAGCCCCCTTAGTTGTTTGTTTTTTGTCTTTGTATTGTACCGTAACCTGGATGGGACTGGAAGTCCACCTCTGGACCCCCATCTTCTCCCCTCAGTCACTGAGGCCTCTCCAGCTAGTTGTGCCCCACAATTTGGGCATCCCACAATGAAACCAGTGCCTGAGTCCTGTGCTCCGGACATTGTTCATGACAACATGGTAAGATTGGATGGTAATTCTTTGTTTTACTGCTCTTTTGGTTTGGTTGCCAGCTTTTGTTTAACCTTATTACTACAGGAAACTCCAATGCACACCTTGACCCCCTTCAAAATCCCTGTGAATTATGTGTTTTGCCATTATAGCAACAATTCAGTTCATTATCTCCATTTGGCATAGTTTTACTAAGGATTGTGTCTCTCACCACCAGTAAACTCCTCCTGCTCCTTCTTTATCTTCAGCAAACTCACACAATTTCCTCACTCGAAACCATCCTTGAATACCATCACTGCCATTTTTCTTACCAACTATTCCTCCTTATTCTGTATCTTTCTTTGTTCACTTTTGGACCTTACTCCTCCTCTTTACCCTACGCTGGTTCCATTAAATTCCCCTGCTTCCCAGTTTTCCATTCCAACCCATATTACTGGCTTTTCCCTACCTGTAATGAAAAAATCAATGACCTGAATACCCGTATGAACAAGTACACTTTAAGCCTTTGTCTCGCTTAGATTGACATAGTACTGTCAAAGACTTTAAAGACACCTGTAACAACAGGGAAGAATTTAGTGACAATTCAGTCTGGTCAACAGCACATGTTCTCCCAGGCTCCACTGATTTATATCCACTTGTGCAGCGCTTGTGGGCCTGGGAAATGGACTATCAAAAAAGTCAGAACAGTCCTGAGGCTTACATGCAGGCTAAAGCCATAGGAGGAACAACTTACTAGACAAAGATGCAAAATGTCATAAGATGGAGAGATGAATCCAGCGTTAATTACATATATAGATTAGAATATGTTTCAAAGGGCCGGGCGTGGTGGCTCACGCCTGTAATCCCAGCACTTTGGGAGGCCTAGGCGCGTGGATCACGAGGTCAGGAGATCAAGACCATCCTGGCTAATATGGTAAAGCCCCATTTCTCCTAAAAATACAAATATTGGCTGGGCGTGGTGGCGGGCGCCTGTAGTCCCAGCTACTCGGGAGGCTGAGGCGGGAGAATGGTGCGAACCTGGGAGGCGGAGCTTGCAGTGAGCCAAGTTCGCACCACTGCACTCCAGCCTAGAGACAGAGTGAGAGGACTGTCTCAAAAAAAAAAAAAAAAAAAAAAAAAGTTTGAAATAACTACTCTGTTGTTCTTGAGGGCTGAGTTACCTCTGCCATTGGTGTTAGGTTTCTTAAGATCTTACAACAAAAATTACAGTTATTATTTAAAAACGTAATGTAAAGTGGTGGAAGACTACTATCTCTGAAATACACACTAGCTCAGAACCCTAAGGGCTCCATTGCAGAAAAAGCCAAATCAACGCAATGCAAACTCATGGCTTTATAATTCAAACAATTAGAAGAAAAGGTGCTAGAACAATCTGCTCCCTAAAAAAATCATTTTATGTAGGGACACTTGCAGATGGTATAAAGAAACATAGAACCTGGCCTTAAGATGCAAAAGGGAGCAAGAGTCAAAAATTCATCTGTCCAGTGATATTCCTTCACACAACCATTACCCTTGTGCAAAAGGAGATGCAAAAATCATCCCATGAATGGATTCCCGTTCATCTTCCCAGTGAACACAAAAGCAAACTTTCCTCCTATTCTCCACCCACCCTCACTTGGAGCAGGCAAACCATACCTGTGGTGGGACTCGATCTACCTTATGACTTGAGTTTGTCTAAACAATCTTTTGTCTCAGTAGGACTTCTCATTAACCTGTAGAGTTTTATGCTTAATTTCACTCATCCAGTAAACCTAGGAAAATATATTATTTCCAATTGGAATATCAGTATTCTTTGTTTTCTTCAACTTCCCTGACTCTCTACCTATGCTCCTTTGCACTTGAATGATTCTTATTAGCCATGAGGCAATGCTTGCTCTTGTCAACACATTCTATCCATCCCTTTAGTGAAGCAGTCCTCAACCTTTTTGACACTAGGGACAGGTTTCATCAAAGACAATTTTTCCATGGGGGACATGATTTCGGGATGAAACTGTAACACCTTAAATCATCAGGCATTAGTTTCTCAAAAGGAGTGCACAACCTAGATCCCTCACATGCACAGTTCACAATAGGGTTCGTGCTCCTGTGGGAATCTAATGCCAATGCTGATCTGGCAGGAGGTGGAGCTCAGGCGGTAATGCTCACTAGCCTGCTGTTCACCTCCTGCTGTGTGGCCTGGTTCCTAACAGCCCACAGACTGGTACTGGTCCACAGCCTGGGGTTTGGGGACCCCTACTTTAGTGGAAACAAAGGGGGTTCAGGACAACTGCAGGAATATCCATAAAAAAGAAACCCACATCCCTACTCCATTAGGGTCTTTACTCAGGGAATTAGTAATTATCCCTCAAAGCTAATGAAACTCCTTGGCTGACAAATGTGTTAACATAGCTGCTTTCCAAGTATTCTTCCCCTTTTCAATCTCCTTTAGAGTCAGAAACTCACTTAAATTTAAGAGATAACAATTGCTAGCACCTGAGGCTGAAAAAACTAATTGGAAACAGGCTGAATTTTTTTTTTTAATTCAGATAGTCTTTGGAGACACCTAGACGGCTGCCTGATTCCTCCTCTGTCCTTCGTCTGCAATGCAGTCCAGTCTCCATAGTAATATGCTTTGGCACAGAAAAAAAGTCTCCTTCACAAGTATTGGTGTAGATGGTTCAGCAGTCATTCTAAGCAGGTAATCTCAACTTGCTCCATTTAACAGAAACATAATCCTGCCAAAAATATAAAGGTGGGGCAAGAACAAGAGCTCTTTTTTATGAATGAGTGAACCAAAATTTTAGAATGGAAGCTATAAGCTCTGAATTTCTATCTCTGTATGTTCACATGTGAGTGTATGTGTTCTGTGAAAGGGACATATATGCAAGTCAACCCCCAAATGCAGAAGAAACCAAGACATCAAAGAACAAGGCAGACAAATCCAGTTTATCAGTAAAGCGTGAGTTATTTAGGAACTAACAAAGGGAAGCATGGTCTTGGGTGGCAAGACAGGTAGATCTCCACAGCATTACTTTCCAAACTCAGGGCTTATATACCATGGGGAAAAGGGGAACAGGCTCTATAGAGTCTACTAAAGGTAACTCCAGAACAGGCAAGAATGCTATGTGCATCATATGCTATAATTTGTGCAATAACAGCAAGGTTGTATTGATTTAAAGGCAAGATTTATAGTGAGTACAATTCTTATACTAAGGACAGTAAATAAAGTAGGAATAAGGAGGCACTCATGGAACTAGGGTTACTGAGAAGTCTACATGGTGAATTAGCATCCAGAACGGAGTAACTTTTATCTCTATAGTGTGCATGAATGTATGTAGGTTATATATGTGTAATATTATCCAGCCTTCAAATGGTATTACCAAATTATATTATAAATCCCTAAAAGGAGATCTATTCTGACTAGTTTACAGATAAATAAGCACTTATATAAACTGAATATTCTTAAGATTCTCAGAAATTAAGGAAATTGAATTTATAATACTTTCAGTGTGGAAAAAAGTATTCTTATAGAAACTAGTAAACTCAATGTTTAGTAGTTTCTATAAACTCAAATGTTTCTAACTCAAGTGTTTCAAGAATTCAAGTTCACATAATTTAGGTAAGTCTTTGGCAGCAAGACTCATTTAATATTGTTCTTTTATCAAAAACAGGGGATGTCTTCTGAGTTATTTGTTAACACATGTTTTTATTCTACTTGGGCATGTTCACCCTAAACTTGTACAGGTTTACTCATCAAATAAGCTTGCATTACATATAATAGATGTCTAAGATGATTATGAACTGTTTAATCAAATTGAATCATTATTCTGACAAACTTTAATTCAACAGTTATTCTGTTTTGTAGCATGACAATTGGTTTGAAGATATTTTCCAAGATATTTAGTAACTTAAAACCTTAGACTTATGTTAAATTAAGTTACATAATGGGAAGCCATTAAATGTCTAGATT
This sequence comes from Homo sapiens, assembly GCF_000001405.40. Lineage (NCBI taxonomy): Eukaryota > Metazoa > Chordata > Mammalia > Primates > Hominidae > Homo > Homo sapiens. Next base: position 12,282,732 of record NC_000009.12, read on the forward strand.
ATTTCTAGTAAAAAAGGATACTGAAGCATAATTATGAGCTTATATACTTTCTTCTCTTATTTTGATGGTACAGAGAGACTGTATACTATCTGAAGGAAGTGTATGGCTATAAAAAGTTGTAATATGTAAGTTGTAAGACTAGCTCTGCTAGTCTGTTACAAAATGCTGGTATATAAAAAATAGTTCATAACTTATCCACCTCATAGATTTTCTGGGAAGTAGAAGCTACTGTGGTTAAAAATTATAACCAATGTAGGTACGAGAGACTTTATTAGGAGCAATTGTGGCCAAGAGGAGCAATTTTATATGCAATGCATGGAAAAATAGGACAACTTTGTTCTAAAGTAAAATGACTGGTTTGTCCAGAATAAGAAAGAGGAGAGTGTGTGAAAAAAACCAAATGGATATAGAAAGTTGTAGAAGGTTCATGGAAAAAGAATTTCATATGTCAGGCTAAGGCTTGATGGATTTATTTAAGGTTGTTTAAGAAGAGCTTTGTATTAAAATTATAGTGATACAAAATTAGATTTGATATTCTTTCTGTAAAAATGACAAAATTTACATGAATTATTGGTCTCCTTTTAAGAGTTTTGAAAAGGTTTTTCTTTACCTTCTGAGTAATCTGACAAAAATACAAAGATACTGTGTCTTATCAGAATAGTTAACTGTGTTGTGTGTTGACTTTATCATGTCCTTCATTAGTTAAAAGAACAAAGTCTTCCTACTTTTGATCAAATTTCATGATAATTTCTAACATTTTGCTGTCCACAAATCAAATTCTAAATGATATGTTTTGCATCTAAAACTGTCTTTAGGATTTCATGGGGTGCATGGAAAATCACAAAGAATTTATTTTTTCACTTTATTAAGGAGAAATGCTAAAAATACTTATGTTTATTTCACATTTTGAATTACATAGGAAGCATTGTAAAATCAGAAGGATGCTTAGCCTTCCCTAGGTTAAATCAATATGGGTAATATATTATTGGTATAAAAATTCCAGAAACTACATGCTGTGTGGTAAATTCCCAGGAAATCATCAATATCCTTACTGCATATATTTTTTTTCTATTTATGAGAGTCCCAGTACTGCTTTGCCTGATTTTAGACAAAAACAATATGGTATTTTTCAGTCATAATTTCAGTAAATTTTTTAAAATATTAACCTGATTGTAATTTTATTTGTTTAACAAATTAAAGAATTCAAAATCCAGTAAGTTCTAGGGCAGTGGTTCAATTGAGGATTCATATCATTTAACCTATAAAGTTTAATTCACATGTTTAGGACTTACTCCAGGCTTACAGAATCTTTTTTACTTTATAATCTTGATATATTCTAACTTGATATAATCTTGATACATTCTAATTTATAATCTTGATATAATCTTTATAATCTTGATATACCACATTTGGTATATTCATGGTACATTAAATTTAGGGAAATTTGATGCTATATCTGAATATTGTTTTTTCTATAAAGATATGGCCATCCATTTTCATATATTAGATTTGTATTCATTCTTTGAAAATAGGCTTTCTCATTGTGTTTGCAGATATTTTATCTAAAACTTTTTTGCATTGACTATTTTGTTTTCCATGCCATAGAAACAACCATATATCCTTATTAGTTGAATTTTTTTGTGTAATTAACTCACATCAGATCTTTCACTTCTAAAAATTATTAGTAATAACTTGACCACAGACGCTTTAATCTACAAGTTGTTTTATTTTACTCTGATCCCTCCTTGAAAGTCCTTGCAAATCTGTCTTAGAGATCCAGGACTCTATGTCAGGTATATGTTTCTTATGGCATTGCTTAAAATACACTGAAATCATACCAATGAATTGAATCAGGATTTCCAGCTCCAGTGAAGAAGCAGGTGTGTTCAGAAAACTGCTAATCTAAGATCAAGCAAATTAAAAATTAATTACATATGAATGAATGAATGAATGAAGAATAATTATGGGCTCTGCATGGGATATTGCTAATATGTTAATATTCTGTTTTCTGGATATTAATAATCCCTTTATATTTTCTCTTAATTGAACTATAATTCATACCAAGTTATTAAACTGTGCTTTTATAGACAAATGAAACATTCATTTTTTTCCTTCCTTCCTGACCCCTCTGGAATTCAGAAACTTATCAAGTAGTCTCATTTTCATGGCAATATAATTATTTTCATAGGATCAATAAGAATATACTCTTCTTATTAACAATATATAATTATAAAAATTGATTATGCAACCCAGGTATTTACTGGAATATTTTATTCGAGAATGATACTCATTTCATCAGATTGCCCAGACACTTGTATGGAGTGACCAAGTTGGCCGTAACATTTCTTTCCACTTGACTCAACTGTAGGCTGACGTTTTCCTGACTCTAGGCTCCTGGTTTCTATATTCTTAGAGCATTGTCTTTATAAAAACTTATGCTGAGATTCAAAAGATGATATCCAAAAGACTGGCACTTTGACATGCTGAGAAGCCTTAGAAGCTGCCTCAGCATCAAGGTCCCTCTAACCTAGTCTTATTCTCCTACTCCGAGAGCAGAAAGGGACTCTAAAATATTCTTATCTCCACCCACTGAGGAATGCTAACACACCTGGATGAACGTTTACAGAAGATAATGCCTGCCTCTTGGGGCTCATTCAAGTTCCAAAGACAATCCTTTGCAACTACCCTTCTGTCTCCTGAGTCCATATATTCTCCCTAATAATTATTTACTAGGTGGCCAGTCTGAAAGGGCTAAGAACACTGGAATACATAAGATATTAAGCAGCCCACTCTCACTTTGAATGAATCAAACTCTCAGGGAGTTTCTCTTAATAACTCCCATGCAAAAGGGGCTTTGCTTGTCTCAATCCTTGTTGCCTGGTTAGTTCTGGGAAAGTTTAATTCCAGGAGGGACTACCTGGTGTCACAGATTAACAGGGCTGACTGGTGGTCCCTCACAAACTTGTGGGATACTGGAGGCACTGTACCTGCAAATACCATCCTTACCCATCTGTGGCAACAAGAGTCTTGCTATCTCAGCCTATTTCTTGGAGTAAATTTTTGGGGGGATCAGAAGGGACTGCATATTCTGTACCCACTTTATAAATGACACTTAAATCCATGGTATTCTAAGCCTGGAATGAATACCACATCTGCGGCTTTCTATGAAAAAAGAAAAAAAAAAAAGCTTATTTTTGAGTTTCCTATGGAATAAACAAATTGGCTGTATTTAAAAGAAAAAAAAATACTTGGAGCACTCTCAGCTTAAACAACTGCTTATTGGACCTATGAAAAGAGACAAAAGAAAGATATAGCCTTAGAAATTCCCTTGGCAAACCAAAACCAAAACTAAAACTAAATGAAGAAAAATACCCAGAACTCAGATTTAAAACAGAATTAATTAAAATCCTGCCTGCTTTGGATGCTCTTTGGTGTTTACAAAGAAGACACTCCAGCCTGTACTCTAGTGGCTAAGATGGCCAAGATGTCCACACTTTCACTGATGTGGCCAGGGTTTGATTTCCAGTCTGAGAACTAGTCCCTTGAAAATGTAAATCTTCTAACTCAAAATGTTTTTAAGAAAATAAATATTCATTAAAAAATCGTGGTACTCATTTGTTTCGTAATCCTTTCTATGCTTGTAGATTTTATTTTGTGTTTTACTATTTTTTAAATCTTCCTCTGTGGGGCACTCAAGTTGTAGTAGGCCTTTGTGCGCAGGTGGTCAGCTGAGAAGCTGACACCTTAGGAAATACGGCAGATGAGAAAACATGAACACTGTGGGGAACAACACACACTGGGGCCTTTTGGAGGGTGGAGGGTGGGAGAAGGGAGAGTATCAGTAAAAATAAGTAATAGGTACTAGGCTTAATACCTGGGTGATGAAATAATCTGTACAACAAATCCCCATGACACAGTTAACCTATGTAACAAACCTGCACTTGTACCCCTGAACTTAAAATAAAAATATAAAAAAGAAAGAAAGAAATATGGGTTGTATTTCATTTGCAGCTAGTGAAACTTCCTAATTTATGAGCTGTCTTTGGGAGTGGTCTGGATCTTGAGAGTTTTGCAGCTTTTGCTCCCTCTTTGGAGGCATTGTTTAAAGCCATAAAGGGCTTCTTGGTTTTAGTTTTATGTGTGATTGTTTTTGTTTTCAGTCATCTGTTTAAGCATACCTTTGATTTAAAACTTTGGTATATATCTACAGCGTGATAGTTTTCACTTTGCCTTGTTTCTTCCACTGGGCCAGAGAAACAGCCTCGCTCCATCACTGGAAATTGACCCTGTGAGAGGAGGGGGAGGGCCCCTCACAGGTGACAAGGGGAGGCACAGTTCTGCAGCAGCCATTCTCTGGCCTTCAGTGAAAGGCCGACTGCTCCCAAGATGGAAAGCTTGCTACTTGTATATTTAAAAGGATTTTTAAAAAGCAGTTCTTTGATCTGCTTCATTAGAAGTAGATCTAATTAAGATCTAATCTAAAAAGTAGACTTAATTAGAAGCTGATATTCAGATGGCCTGAATGTCCAGATGCTGTGGCCAGTTGTGCTGATCACAGAGCTTCTTGGGGGAAACCTACAGGTGGCCAATGGCATGTCTTGGACTTTTTCATGGGAAGATCTTATTTAAAAATGGATCAACTGAAATATCTAGAGAATGTGACTTGTGCCAAAGAGGGACAGAGAACAAAAGCACAGAAATATTGTCAGCTTTGCATGGTGTCTCCAGAACTTCACAATTATCTCTACGTTGAATTTATTGCTACTCTTCCTCTTGTTTTACGTTGGTTCTTTATTTAATGGTAAATGGGGAAAAAAAAGTTCTAGTGTACTTTTTCAACACATCATTAGATTATTTGAATCCAGTATGGCAGCTGTTATCACCCTACTTGTGAGTAATGCAATTGGTGTTCTTTATATCTGTTCGTTCATGTCGAGTATTGACACTTTCAGATCGGTACACGATGCTTTGCAACCCAAGTCCAGATTGTGTTACCGCAGTGCGCAGTACTCAGGAAGCTGGCTACCCACTACATATCATTGTATTTATCTATTATGCATTCTGCTTGGTATTAATGATGCTGCTCCCAACTTTCTGGTGAAGAAGATTGCATGTGAGTTAGGGAAGTCTGATTTAAAAGTATTTATGCAGCACTTTACTGTTTCCTAATATTACCCATGCTTCAGGTGGTTGGTGGAGGCCTTTTATATTATGCCTTCCCATACATTATATTAGTGTCATCTTTGGTTACTCTAGATGTGTATGTATCGGCTTCTGAAATAGAGAACTACTATGATCTTCTGGTCAGAAAGAAAAGACTTATTCTCTTCAGCCACTGGTTACTTCATGCCCGTAGAAAAACAAAAATCTTCGTTTCCAGAGTGAATAAACTTGAGCAATGTTTGCCCCTTTGGACTTTGGCACCTACACTATCCATTTATTCCTTGTTCACTGAAAAATGTACTGAACTTTCACAGATACTCTCAGAAGGAGCCAGTAGACACTGATATGGTTTGACTCTGTGTCCCCATCCAAATCTCATGTTGAATTGTAATCCTCAACATTTGGGGAGGGACTTGGTGGAAGGTGATTAGATCATAGCAGCAGTTTTGCCCTTGCTATTCTCATGATAGTAAGTTCTCATGAGATCTCGTTGTTTAAAAGTGTGTAGCACTTCCCCCTTCACTCTTTCTCTCCTGCCACCATTAGAAGATGTGCTTGCTTCCCCTTCAGCCTTCCATCATGATTATAGGTTTCCTGAGGCCTCCCAGCCATACCTCCTGTACAGCCTGTGGAATTGTGAGTTAATTAAACCTTTTTTCTTTATAAATTTCCCAGTCTCAGGCAGTTCTTTATAGAAGTGTGAGAATGGGCCAATACAGACACTGCATGTAAAAATGCAAAATGCCAAAAAAACCTAAGAAGTGTTCCTAATTTAAAAAGTAAATAAACGTAAAAAAAGAATTAATGATATTCTGCCATACATAGGAACAAGATTGTCAATATATCTTAATGTTTGGAGTTTTTCTGTTTTTTTGTTTGTTTGTTTGTTTTGTTTTGTTTTTATTTTACTTAACAGACTTTATGGATGGACTTATAGACTTGAAAAATACAAAATACCATATTATTCTGTTAAACAGCATAATATTATCTATTACATTAGTAACCCATTAGGAATTACTTGCTTCCCTTAACTGTTCAGTTATTCTTTAGAGAAAAATTGATTCTACGTACCTAGCAATGTGTTGTTCCCATTTTATTAAGAAAAACTTTAACAAATATTATCTGATTTTGTTAGCAGTGGCATAATTGTGCATATCTTTTCTGTTTCTATTTGTTTTTCACCAATAATAAATTATAAAGATAGATATACTGTGGGGTCTGATTGCAAACATATACATGAAGTGTATTTTTTTGTTATCTGGTTATTTTCACCAATCCAGTATTTTAAAATATTATAAAAATTAAGCATATTTTACATATAAGTTTTCTGTTTATAGATAGTTTAATTTTATTGTTCCTACAAAGAAAATAAATAGTAGAAAGCTTAACTACAAAGAAAGCTGGTTTCCCTTTAATTAAAAAAAAAAAAGCTCCATTACAGATTTAATCTTATTACTCATAATTTGTCTGCTTTCTGTTTCTTCTTAATTCAGTTTCAGTAGGTTGTATATGTCCAGGAATTTATTTAATTTCACAAGGTTTTATAATTTGTTGGCACATAGTTGTTCATAATAGTCTCTAATGATCTTTTGTATTTCTGTAATATCAGTTGTAATGTCTCCTCTTTTATTTCTGGTTTTATTTACTTGAGTCTGTTTTTTTTCTTAGTTAATCTAGCTAAAGGATTGTCAATTTTGTTTATGTTTTCAAAAAACCAAACTTTGTTGATGTTTGCATTGATTTCTTAGTCTCAATTTTGTTTATTTCTGGTCTAATTTTTATTGTTTCTTTTCTTCCATTAATTTTGGTAGATGTAATTAACTTCCTCTCCCACTCTGAAGGTCAAGTTTTGTTACCTACCTACAAATTGAACTAGATCCTGTCATATTGCAAAAATGTAAACATTGTGGAAATAAAGATCACCACAATGAGAACAAAGGCTATTTATTTAGAGCTTGTTATATCAGAGTTTACTATAACAAAGGATAAAGACTGTCATTTGCATTTACCAGAGACTCAAAGGCAGGCAAATGAATAGGGAAGCTTTATAATGAAAGAAAGAAAAGCTTTTGGTATATCCTGATTGTAGGCTGTTAACATGGGGAAAATGTAGTGGGGGCTAACTAGAGGGACATCCTATATCATTCATGAGGAGTGCATATTTCCTTTCTCTGGTTGGTCCTAAATTAAAAGCAAGAACAGAAAATTGGGGAAACTTAAAATTATTAATCAAGTCCTTCTCTCTCTTTGGACCAGGTTTTATGAAAGTTATTGGTTTGGATTTCTGGAATGATTGTTAGAGATACTAGTCTGATTTCCATAAGTCTGATTTATCAATAGTAGGCTGGTTTTCTGGGCTGGTTACTGCAGAGAGCCTGTTTGCCACAGATTATGGGTCATATTGATGGCAGCAGCTGCTCCAGACAGCCTGCCACTGCCATTAAACCAGTGGCAGCAGTGGGGAGCAGCTGGGGATGCATGCTCCATGTAGCCTGTGGGAGCTGGGGACAAGTGGGAGCCCCACCCCTTCTGAATTGGGGTGGGAGCTCCCCAGATGCACTGCAGCTGCCCAAACCATGGCTGCAGACCTGGTCCTCCCAATCCACAGATCAGGCAGGAGCCCTGCCCCACTGGACACAACTGCAGCTGCCCAAACCATGGCTGTAGGCTCAGGCATCCCTGCACTATCTGGGGCCCGGGAAGGCCCCCACCCCTGCCCTTGCAGGTTCAGAAGTGCCTGCTCCCACTGTCTGGCCTTTCCTGGCTGTTGGCGCCTTCTCCAATTTTGAAGCAAAGTCGAGCCAAGCCTGGCACCATGAATGGCAGTAGGAGGCAGCCAGATTCCTGGGTGGAAGGGATGGGTCCCCAGTGATGCCCCACCTTCAGGCCAGAGAAGTCCCACCTGTCAGGCCCCAGGCTCAGCCAGAGCAGAGGAGAGAATGGAGAGATGATCAGCTGCAGAGAGGCACTACCCTCTAACTCTCCATTGCGTCCTCTCTCCTGAGAGCTGAACACTCGATGGGACAACCTGCCTACAGAGAGGAGCTACCCACTGTGGGTCTCCCCTAAGCTGTTGTAACACTCAATAAAGCTCTTCATCTTGCTCACGCTCCACTTGTCTGTGTACCTCATTCTTCCTCATTCTTCCTGGATTCAGGACAACAACTTGGGCAAAGGTGCCAGCAGCCACAGAGGTTTCTGGACAGAAAAGCAACATCCCAAAGATCCCATAACAATAGTTCTATTTTTATATATGGCATGGCCATTGTTTGTTTGTATATTCAGTCTTTCAACCCATACCAAATTTTCAAGTTTTTCAGTTTTCTTTAGTATCTTGTATCATTTTCCAAACTAACATTTCCTGGTTTTCTCGTTTCTAAACTTGACTACACTGAAATCTAAAATCTGATACCTAGATCCTTATGAGAACTCTACTTTGCCTTATAGCAGGCCTTTTCCCCCAGGATCTGAAGAAGACTGTAAACTAAAGCCAGATGACTTGATATTATAAGGTTAAATGTAATTCTTCCCTCATGCCAAAAGGAAAAGGGAACTCCCCAACTATAGCATTTTCTTTAGAAAATTTAAATTTTTAAATATGTTCACTATTGTTTTGAGATGTGTTTCTATATTTTAAAAGATCCATAAGTATTTATGCTGCTGTCTCCAAGTTATAATTTCCTGCTATTTGTAAAGATAGAAAAAACTTTGTATTTCTTTTGGGTAAAGAGAATTAGCATATATGTAATACATTGCATCTTTGTTGCTTATAAAAAGATGATATTTATTTATGTTTTTTACAATATCTTTAATAAGTTTTCTGTGATGTGTATCACAATATGTCTTGATGCTTATTCAATAGTAACACTGATTTGTTTTGTCTATTTGTTTAAGAAATTTGGTTAAAAGGAGATTTTATTTTATTTTACAAAGGAGAAAGAAAAATTTCTTTTCTTTCCCTTCTTAGGTTCTTTTGAGGCATAGTCCTGAAAACAAAAGAAATATTAGCAAAGGGAAACAAGCAGTTTTAGTTTATAATGCATACTGTACTCATCACATAGGACAGGCCCCTGTTCAAAAGTATTTCTCTCTCAAGGCAGTGGCTTAGGGCCTTTGCTGAAATAGTACTTTAACAAGGAGCCATAAATCCTACATAGTGACAAGATAAAGGAGAGAGCAGTTCTAGTCTTTTAAAAGGTGGGAAAATTGAGAAGATACTAAAAGTTGTTCCCAGATTGCTCTGATGCTGGCTGGTCCTTCTCTGGACTGATAAGCAAGTGCTGTCTCCAGTAAGAAAGGATTTGTGTCCTGGCATTAGGCAAAAAGAGGCTGAGGCTGACTGTTCCCTGAGTTTCCAGTGTCTTTACCTTAACAACCCTCAACATGTCAGGGGAAAATATTTTGGTTTTCTTCCATTTATTTCCCCAACAATATATACTGTGAAGGACTGATCACCTTAGCAGACCACACAAGGGCAAGATTTCTCCCTGAATGAGTCACTGGCTGGGACACTAAGAGATTATGGCAAAATCCTCAGATCGTAAATGTCCTTATACGAGTGTCAATCAAGACTGTGGATAATATCATCAAAAGCATAAACATCTTATCTTTAAGAAACTCAATGAGCAGTATTACAAAATAAAAATATGTTTATCCCTGACCTCTTAGAATCTGCTGAGCTGGATATCTTCAGGGTTTAACTCTCAGCTCTTTACTTGAATATAGCCGTTTATTTTAATATTGCTTTTTAAAATTGTATGCATCCCTCTTTTAAAATGCTTGGTCTGAAAGATCCTAAAACAACTGAATTTTATGGCTGGCCTTCAATAGATAGTTCAGCTGATTATTTTGCAGGAACAACATCGATAAGAGTCTTCAGAAGATGACTTCTTCTTCTTCTTTTCTTCTTCTTTTTCTTCTCTCTCTCTCTTTTTTTTTTTTTTTTTTTTTTTTTTTTGAGAAAGTCTCACTTTGAGACCCAGACTAGAGTGCAGTGGCCCAAACTCAGCTTACTGCAGCTTCAACCTTCTGGGCTCAAGCAATCCTCTTGCCTCAGCCCCTCAATTACCTGAAACTAAAGGCACACACCATTATACCTGGCTAATTTTTTAAATTTATTGTAGAAATGGGGTTTCCTTGTGTTGCCCAGGCTGGTCCTGAACTCCCGAAGTCAAGCGATCTGCCCACCTTAGCCTCCCAAAGTGCTAGGATTATAGGTATGAGCCACTGCGTCCAGCCAGACTGCTTCTTAAACCCTGACTTACCCCACTCAAAATATTAATGATTGCCTCTGAACTGATATTCATTCAACTTGAACAACAGAGGACACTGACAATGTTTAATTTTACCTGAGCCCTGCCCACCAAGAAAGCAGCAATAGTTAAGAAATCCCTCCACTCTTTTCTTTTCCAGGAAACACGTACTGAAAAGAACACCCATATGACTTAGATCAGACTCCCAGATGATCCTCTTTCTGTATCTATGACAAGGCCAGGCACAGCTGATCCAAATTCTAATTTTTTATCTCATAAATAATTACATACAGTGTTTGTTCCCCCAGAAGTAGCTAAATGAAAGGTTGACATTTTTGGCTGGGTGATTGACTGAGATTCCCTTAATTACAAAAATAAGATTAAAGAATTCTACCTATAACTTCTCTACAGCTCCCTATAAATGTTTAAGGTGCAACCACCTTACTGAGACACTCTGGTCTTCAGATATGAGGTGCTTTCTGTATTTTAATAGACTGGATAAAATGGTTGTTCCTACTTGTTTTTTTTGTCTTTGATAGGGTTAAACTCTATGATTAAAGATGAAGAGTTTCAGATTGACGGACTGATTCTTACCTAATCATATAGTGTCAAAAAACTTACTAACAAATTGAAAAAAATGGGCAGAACTATGAGATGACAAAGAAATATCAAATGTTGAAAAATAGAAAAACTATAATGTATAGTAAAAGTTAGACAATCAAAAAATTAACAGATGAATATCTTTCAAAATATTTTTCTATATTTTCATTAGAATATCATACTCAAAGCTTATATTAACTTATTATTTTCTAATTATGGACACTAGATTGATGAATATAAAAGTTCAAATCTTTGGGTACAATGTCTTAAGAAACATAATGAAACCAATATCCTGCAGTAGTTAAAAATTAAACACAAATGTTATCATGCTTAAATTATGAATATAATTAAATTATAGTAATTTAATTTGAAAATATGAGTAGTATTTGTGTTTAGATAATTGAGTCACTTTAAAAATTGCTACAATTGTGGCCAGTCTTTTCATAAAAGAAATCCTGTGAAGCAGCCTGAAACGAGAGGACGCTGACTTTGATCTAGGATCTTGTTATATTGCTAGAAAATGTTTACAGATGGGATGAACACTGTGATTTTGAATAGCCGTAGGTTTCTTGGGATAGCACATCATTAACTCAGCAATTGCTCCTCCAAATGCCCACAGAAATACGCCGGGAAACCCTTGTTCTCCCAGTGGCTATGGATCATCTTCTTATCTACTGTGTCTAGGAGTGACAAAAATATGAAAAAAATCTTACTTTATTTTATTTATGTATCTTAAGATTTTCTTCATGGTAAACTTAAGTTACAAGAAATAACCTAATCTTTAGTTTCACTTTCAAAAAAATGAAGACCATCAATAGAGTTAAATATGCAAGTAATTATAAAATACATTTTATTATTTTTTTGCTTCTTTTTTAAAAAACGTAAATAACTTTTTCATGATACAGTGACAAAATATTGAATAATTGATAGTATTTCTGGAATACAAATGTATAACCAAAGTAACACATAGAATGGGTGTGGTCAAATTTCCAGCTTCTGCATATGTCTGGTAATTTTATTCTATGGTGAATATTGGGGATGCTACTGTTATAATTTTGTTGTTGTCTGCCTTTCAAAAGTTTTAAGTTTGTCTTAGTTAGAAGGTGACAGTTTAATAAATTTAACTTTAAATAATGCTGTTTGAGACTTCTACCTCATGCTTCCTTTTTAAATTTGTATTAGATATCTTTCTCCTTTGGAAAGCAGAATATAATGACATAGGATTACCTGTGCACCTATACAAGTCCAAACTCACTATTTCATTTTTGGAGCAAATAATAATTAATAACCATAATGTTGGCTTTGAAAATATAAATCAACCTATAAACATATCTTGGGAGATTTGATTATATTTACCAGAGTACAAATTCTATGAATCTTGCAATATAGAATAAATAGTATACTGGGTAGATATGGGGAATAGGGAATGTTGAAATAATGTTTGGAGTGGATATGTTGCTCTCTTCATATTCAAAGATAGAAAGCTGGGACACAGTATAAAACTAGCAGTTTGTGAAAAACAGTGATAAGTATATCATGTAAGGCCGTAACAAGAACAGGAATGGAAGAGAGGGAAGTGTCGGTGACATAAATTCTTCAAGTCATAGTGGTAAATAGACTTTGTTTATAACCAACAAATAAAAAGCTACATATAAAATTATAGTATTTAAAATTGTACTGATAACCATCATCACAGAAGCAGAAATAAAAAATCCTTATTTCCACCACTACCCAAGGACTCATTCCTCAGAGGAGGTGATATCTATTATCTAAAGAAAATCTACAATTTTTGAATACCGCAGTGAATTAATATAAACAAATCTATGTAGAGATACATCCTGGTAAAATTTCAGAAGCCCCAGGATAAAAAGTTATAAACCTCTATAGAGTAAGAGAAAGAAAATGGAGAGAGAAAAAAGAAAAACATTAATTTACAAGAGTCAGGTTGATACCAGACTTTTAATCACCAAAATCCTGAAGACTAAAATAAAAAGGAGCAATGTTTCAATCTAATGAGTGAAAAATTAATGTCATAGTATTTAATCTTCTTGAGTTATCTAATTGAGTGATATTTTATTGGGAGATGTTTGTTTCTAAACTGCTAGTTTATTACAAATGAAAAATAGCTTTATACTAAAAAATAATTTTTCTTGTCACTCAAAGCAATTATTGAACAATTCCGTTGCTGAAGAATGAAACTTAGGGGGAGGTGGAAGAGAGCTGAAATATTTATAGTGCAACCAAGAAAATGAGTAAGATGTGAAACAAGAGGTATTTTAAAACAATACAACAGTATTGTGCTAGAGCAAGCATGCCAAGAAATAACTGTTAAAAGATTCTTGCATATATAAACATAAGAAACAGCATCCAGAATGTAGTCATTATAATTTATTCAGTGGTATCTCTGAGGCTCAAAAGTATTCGCTATTTCTCTAAATACCAGGATCCACAGTGAGCAATAGAAAAATAAAAATAATTCTATCAATAAGTACTTACACAAAAACTCCATTGGAATATATATGAAACATACAGGAACTTGGAGAATTTCCACAAAACAAGTGCACATTTAGCCATATACACTTTTAAGCTTAAAATGTATTTTCAATAAAGTTCTCTTTTTATCAAATTCTATTGTACTCTAAACATATATATATATATCTCATATCCCTCTACACGCTAAAACTTTTCTCTGTCAGTTAGTGACCTAGCTCAGAAAAGTAAATAAAAACAGTGAACTATGCAACTTAATATTTTGGTAATTACCCCCTGTATAACTTTCAAATGTTTGTGACTACATTTAGCATGCTTTCTTCTGAAATATATTAAATGCCAGAAATAGGTACCTGTAATATTATTTCTAATTAACTCTTCATAACTGCAAATGCTAAGAAATATTTTGAGATACATATTGTAGTTTATGCATTTTAATAGTGTTAATTGAAATTAATTTTCTACTAATATCAGTGAGAAAGACTGAATGCATATATAACTGATCTTGCTTGGGAACACAAATGTATAAATGTCTTTACTATGGAGCTGAAGATCCCAAAAAAGAACCTTGGAATGAAAATCTTTTATAGACTTTTATAATTAATTTTAACAGATTGCTTTATAACTAATTTCTCTGACAATACAAGAAATAGTCATAGTAAGAGAAACTGATCAATTTTAAGAATATGTTGGAAAAGTATTGCAGAGCCAAAAACAATCCCATTTTACTGAACTTTGGTTGCATACCTAAAACTTGGGCTAATGTTGTTAAAATTATTAAGAGGAAATTAAAAACAGGAATTTAAAAACAGTTTTGTTACCTATTTCTGCTACTATATATTTCACTGTCAACATTTTATTTTATTTTACTTTATTTTAGACTTTATTGTTTTTAGAGCATTTTTAGGTTCACAGCAAAATTTAGAGATTGCTATATATCTCCCACTTTTACACATGCACTTACAATATCCCCAATCCCCCATTATCAACATCCCTAAACAGAATGATATTTAGTTATAACTGGTGAACATTCATTGACATATCATTATCACCCAGAGACAATAATTTACTTTACGGTTTACTCTTGGTGGTGTACATTCTATGGATTTTGTCAAATGTATAATAGTGTGTATCTACAATTATAGTACCATAAATGGTATCATTACTGCCCTAAAACCCTCTGTGTTTCCACTATTTATCCATTCTTCATTCTTAACCTCCTCCAACCCTTGGCAAACACTAATTCTTTTACTGTCACCATGGTTTGGCCTTTTCCAAAATGTCATACTTGGAATCATACAGTATGTAGCCTGTGATGGCTGATACTGACTGTCAACTCCATTGGACTGAAGGATGCAAAGTATTGATCCTGGGTGTGTTTGTGAAGGTGTTGCCAAAGGAGATTAACATTTGAGTCAGTGGGCTGGGAAAGGTAGACCCATCCTTAATTTGGGTGGGCACCATCTAATCAGCTGTCAGGATGGCCAGGATATAAAGCACACAGAAAACCCTGAAAAGTCTACACTAGCTTAGCCTCCCAGCCTTCATCTTTCTCCTGTGCTGGATGCTTCCTGCCCTGGAATATTGGACTCCAAGTTCTACATCTTTGGAACTCAGACTGGCTTCCTTCCTTCTCAGCTTGCAGACAGCCTGTGTGGGACTTTGTGATCATGTGAGTTAATACTACTTAATAAATTCCATATGTAGATATAGATATAGATATAGATAGATACATAGATCCTATTAGTCCTGTCCCTCTAGAGAGCCCTGACTAATACATAACCTTTTCAAATTGGGTTATTTCACTTAGTAATATGCATTTAAGATTTCCCTTTGTCTTTCTATGGCTTGATAGCTCATTTCTTCATAGCACTAAATACTATTTTATTGTCTGGATGTACCAGAGTTTATTTATCCACTTACCTACTAAAAACATCTTGATTGCTTCCAAATTTTGGCAATAATAAATGAGGGTTTACCTCTGTGTGTGGGTTTTTGTGTAGACACATGTTTTCAACTTCTTTAGATAAATATCAAAAAGCACAAATATTAGATCATATGGTAAAAGTACGTTTAGTTTTGTAAAAAACTGCCAAACTGTCTTCTAAAGTGTCTGTACCATTTTTCATTCTCATCATCAATGAATGAGAGTTCCTATTGCTCTGCATCTTTACCAGCTTTTTGTTTTGTCAGTATTCTGGATTTTGGTGATTTTAATAGGAATGTAGTAGTATTCCTTCAGTTTGCAGTTCCCTGATGAGGAGCATCTCTTTAAGTGCTTACTTTCCATCTGCATATGCTTTTGGTGAGGTGTCTTGTTAAGGCCTTTGGCCTATTTTTAATCTTTTTTGAGTTTTTATTTTATTTTATTTTTATTTTTATTTTCTCTATTTTTAAGAAACGGTCTTGCTCTGTTGCCCAGGCTGGAATGTGATGGCACAATCATGGCTCACTTTAGCCTCAGCCTCCCGGGCTCAAGCGGTCGTCCCACCTCAGCCTTCTGAGTAGCTGAGACCACAGACATCTGCCACCGTGCCTGGATAAATTTTTGACCCGTTTTATAATTGAGATGTTTATTTTCTTATTGTTAAGTTTTAAAAGTTCTTTGTATATTTTGGATAATAGTCCTTTAACAGTTGTGTCTTTTTCAACTATTATCTCACAACCTGTGGCTTATCTTCTCATTTCCTTGACATTATCTTTTGCAGAACAGAAGTTTTTAACTTGAGTGAAGTCCAGCTTATTAATTATTTTTAAATGTATTTTGCCTTTGGTGTTACATCTAAGAAGTCATCACAGTGTCCAAGGTCATCTCAGTTTTTTTCTGTGTTATCTCTTAGGAGTTCTACAGTTTTGCATTTTACATTTGGGTCTATAATCCATTTTAATTTTTGTGAAGGATGTAAGTGCTGTGTCTAATTTAATTATTGCTGCATGCTATGTCCAGTTCTTTCAGCAACTTAGGTTGAAATGACTATCTTTCCCTCATTGTATTACCTCTTTTTTAATAATTTGACTATATTTATGTAGCACTATTTCTGAGTTCTCTTTTCTATTTATGACCAATTTGTCTACTTTTTTGCCTATCACACTGTCTTGTTTACTGTAGGTTTAAATTAAGTCTTGAAGTCAAGTAGTATCAGCACTCCAAATTCTTCTTCATATTTTTTGGCTATACTGAATTTTTTGCCTCTTCGTATAAAATTTAGAGTCACTTTATCAATATCCACAAAATAATTTTCTGGGATTTTTATTGGCATTCTATTAAATCTATAGATAAAGTTGGAAAAAACTGACATTTTGACAATATTTTTTCTTTAGTCTGTTGATGTGAGATTTGTCTACATTGTTCTTTCGTTTACATTTACTGCCTTCACAATGCATGAAGCTTAGAAATTAAGTAACAGAAGAGCAAAACATTAAGTTATTGAACTTTGGTTTGTATTATTAGCAGTGAAAATGTGTAATACATAGTGCATGGAAGACAAAAACTATATAGGACAATAGTATTGTTTTGTTGTTGTATAGATGTGCATGTATGTGTTATTGCAAAGGGTCAACCTAGAATTCTATATTTAACAGAAACAAGGTATTCTATAGCATCTAACCTCTATTATTTTCTTCTTTACTCAATCTCTTTCTGGTTGGAAGAAAAAAAAAGTCAGCATTTTGTTCCCAGAAGACAATAGTATGCCTGTTTACAAATGAAGGTGTTTTTGCCATTGGGTCAGAAACTATCAGATATTCACTGATGCCTGTTTCCTCTTTTCTCTGGGCATGTAGCATTTCCTACATTCCCTGTAGATAGAGAATCTGAGTTATAATTGTAGTGATATCATGTGAGTGGTAGTGATTGTTTTTTTCTTTTTGCTTCTTTGCCTAGATGTTTTCTTTCTCCTTTTCTTCTTTCTTTCTTTTCTTTCTTTCTTTTTTCTTTCTCTCTCTTTCTTTATTTCCTTCTTTCTTTCTCTCTCTCTCTTTCTTTCTTTTTTTCTTACTTTCTTTCTTTTCTTTTGTTCTCTGTCTCTCCCTCTGTCTCTTCCTGGCAGTACTGCAATGCCAAGTTAATGTATGGAGTAGACAAAACAAACTTATGTTCTATCTGCTATTTCCAACGATCCATTTAATATTTTCCTCGGAAAGAGAACATATAAGATATTTAGCTGATAAGAACAGATAGTATACTTGATCTTAGCCAAAAGGCTGAGAAGTGATTTCTTCCTTTTGCTAGATGCAATCTCTGATGACAAGTTTCTAAGAGGTGGTGGACCCTCAGAGGTAAATAGCCAAGGTCTTTGAGTTAGTACTTATAGGAGAGGGATAGATTGTCATCCAATCTGAACTGTAAATTAGGACCATTACATGGGAAAATTATACAATTATATTTTATTAAGCCACTACAATTTTGAAGTTTTTTAGATAATTCAGTCAAGACTCCTAGACAATACAACCACAATATGCTTGGCTACACAGAGTTGAACAATCATAGCTATACATATATCTAATCAAGATTGTAATATTAAGTATGATATTTGAACAAATGTGACAGAGGTGTCACCTATATTATAATTAGTATGTCTGGCCAGATATAGCTAATAAAACATTGTGATGATGCTGACATGACTATATTATCAGCCGTCAGCAACTATAATACATAGAAGAGAATAAATGATAACCCAGATGTTGATGATATAAGCACAATTCAGAGAAACACATTTTATAAGCCATTTATCATAAACCATTTAATGCATGTTTATGTGTATTAAGGCTCTAACTTAATTATTTTTTAAATGTTTGTAAGTTAAACATAGCATTTACTTATTCCTTGGTTTAGGAAAAAATAGTTTGTAGTAAAGTCATGCTAGCAGATACTCATATAGAGAAACAGAGACCTAAATAATTTGGACCAACCTCCCTGCTAAGAATAGCTAGAAAGACAGGAAATATTTTTGTTTTTTTGTTTTGTTTTGTTTTTTAAACTCATTAGATGGAAACAGGAAACTAATAAGGCAGTGAAGGAGCATAGAAATAAAAAAAAAAAAGTAGTACTGGTATTTTTGTCTACTTTTCCCCTAGAAGCATCTAGTAATTCCAGAAAAGGAAGCTGATATATAAAAAAGTTAAACAGATGCTTTGACAGCCTAGAGGAAATAGGGAATGAAAAAAAAAATGGAGTCCAGAAAAATGGCAAGTAGAAGAAGCTTTTAAACCCCCTATACTTTATATTAAGACCATAAAATGATAATTTATACTGGTGAGAATGAATCAGAAATATACTGGCATGTTCAAAAACAGCAGCCCTGCTTTAAATAATCTAAACTTTTCTGAACAGATGAAGGTTATCTTGGTTTGCTATTGCCCTTGACATACAATGAAAGTAAACAAGCACCCTCTTTACACGGATGTAAATTAATTCTACTCCTTGAAATATCTCTACAATTCTTATATATGCTGTTCACTATTACTTTACCCCTCACTTGGAAGGAAACAAAACTCATTATTATTACAAAGCAAAACACAATAAAAGATAAAAATAGACCTAGAAGAGGTCCAGAAAATGTAATTATGTAGATAATGCTTAACATGTTCAAAAAGATAGAAGATAAGATAGACAAATTTGGCAGAGAACTGAAAAGTATGTAAATCAATAAAATAAATGTGTTTAACAAAAGAATACCCTAAGCTGAAGAGAGAATAATGAGCTGGAAGATAGGCTTGAAGAAAATATCCAGAATGAATATATGAAGTAAAAACTGAATAACAACTAAGGGAGAGAGGATAATACTTAGTTACAGTTACGTGGTCTAATCTGGGTAACTGGAGACTGAAAAATAGGAGAGAGAAAATAAGGCTGAATCGTTGAAGAAACAATGCCTGAGGATTATCAAAACAGATGAAAGATAGCCAGCTAAAGCCTTAGAATCCAAATAAGAATGAGGGGAAAACAAACTAGTGTAGATTTATCATAATTCAGCTACCAAGTAAAGGCATAGAAGAGTATACAAGGCAGCCAGGAATTGAAAAATAAGGATATCAGAGAGAATAAGAATAGAGTAAGTGAGCTCAAGCTTCTCTGAAGATTTTTTCTTAAATTTATACCTAATTTTCAGTAGGCTGAGCAACTAAATAGAATTCTTGAACCAGAGTCTTTGGAAGATTCATGTGAATCGGAAAGTAAAGTCAAAGTTTAGCTATACTAAGACAGTCACAACTTGAGGGAAAAAGACTATGTAGAAAAAAGAACTTCAGAAAAATGAGGTCAAAATCTGGTCTGTGTCATCCCACTAAAGTATTTTTATTCTTAGACTGTGCATGAGGCTAAGAAGCAGTGAAACTAAGAACATTCACCAATCCCTTTGTGCTAGGAACACAAAGATTAGAGTTAAAAGACCACAAGGTCATTATTCAAGACCTCATATGGGACACATTTTAAGAGTAAGGGCAAACCACAAATAATAAACCTTAATAAAACTAAATGCAGCCCCTAATTATTACTATCTCTACTTCAAACAATGTAATCAGACTATATAGAACCTTTCATTGTAGGAAGATGAAATCAGTGAAACCCGCTAGAACAGCACTTTCCAGTGAAACTATGTATTATGGTAGAAGCTGTACTGTCAACAAGTGTAGCCACTAGCCATACAGATTATGGAGTTTTCAGGTACAAGTAACTTGATTTATTATGGAAGTTATCCAGAGAGACAGAGAAGAGCAGGGAAGAAGTAGGTTAAGAAAGAGAAAGGGGCCAAGCAAGGGTGTCATTTCAAGTAAAATTCCCATGTCAGCCTGATGCCACAGGAAACTTTGACACATAAATTGCACCAAGGAATTTGTTCTACTTCAAAGAAGACCCTACAATGTTCTATTTATTTTATTTTTATTTTTATTTTATTATTATGATTTTTTATTATTACACTTTAAGTTTGAGGGTACATGTGCACAACGTGCAGGTTAGTTACATATGTATACATGTGCCATGTTGGTGTGCTGCACCCAGTAACTGGTCATTTAACATTAGGTATATCTCCAAATGCTATCCCTCCCCCTCCCCCCACCCCACAACAGGCCCCAGAGTGTGATGTTCACCTTCCTGTGTCCCTGTGTTCTCATTGTTCAATTCCCACCTATGAGTGAGAACATGCGGTGTTTGGTTTTTTGTCCTTGCGATAGATTACTGAGAATGATGGTTTCCAGCTTCATCCATGTCCCTACAAAGGACATGAACTCATCATTTTTTATGGCTGCATAGTATTCCATGGTATATATGTGCCACATTTTCTTAATCCAGTCTATCATTGTTGGACATTTGGGTTGGTGGCAAGTCTTTGCTATTGCGAATAGTGCCACAATAAACATACGTGTGCATGCTACATACAGCAACATACAACAGCATGATTTATAATCCTTTGGGTATATACCCAGTAATGGGATGCCTGGGTCAAATGGTATTTCTAGTTCTAGATCCCTGAGGAATTGCCACACCGACTTCCACAATGGTTGAACTAGTTTACAGTCCCACCAACAGTGTAAAAGTGTACCTATTTCTCCACATCCTCTCCAGCACCTGTTGTTTCCTGACTTTTTAATGATCACCATTCTAACTGGTGTGAGATGGTATCTCATTGTGGTTTTGATTTGCATTTCTCTGATGGCCAGTGATGATGAGCATTTTTTCATGTGTTTTTTGGCTGCATAAATGTCTTCTTTTGAGAAGTGTCTGTTCATGTCCTTCGCCCACTTTTTGATGGGGTTGTTTGTTTTTTTCTTGTAAATTTGTTTGAGTTCATTGTAGATTCTGGATATTAGCCCTTTGTCAGATGAGTAGATTGCAAAAACTTTCTCCCATTCTGTAGGTTGCCTGTTCACTCTGATGGTAGTTTATTTTGCTGTGCAGAAGCTCTTTAGTTGAATTAGATCCCATTTGTCAATTTTGGCTTTTGTTGCCATTGCTTTTGGTGTTTTAGACATGAAGTCCTTGCCCATGCCTATGTCCTGAATGGTATTGCCTAGGTTTTCTTCTAGGGTTTTTATGGTTTTAGGTCTAACATTTAAGTCTTTAATCCATCGTGAATTAATTTTTGTATAAGATGTAAGGAAGGGATCCAGTTTCAGCTTTCTACATATGGCTAACCAGTTTTCCCAGCACCATTTATTAAATAGGGAATCCTTTCGCCATTTCTTGTTTTTGTCAGGTTTGTCAAAGATCAGATGGTTGTAGATATGCGGCATTATTTCTGAGGGCTCTGTACTGTTCCATTGGTCTATGTCTCTGTTTTGGTACCAGTACCATGCTGTTTTGGTTACTGTAGGCTTGTAGTATAGTTTGAAGTCAGGTAGCGTGATGCCTCCAGCTTTGTTCTTTTGGCTTAGGATTGACTTGGCAATGTGGGCTCTTTTTTGGTTCCTTATGAACTTTAAAGTAGTTTTTTCCAATTCTGTGAAGAAAGTCATTGGTAGCTTGATGGGGATGGCATTGAATCTATAAATTACCTTGGGCAGTATGGCCATTTTCACGATATTGATTCTTCCTACCCATGAGCATGGAATGTTCTTCCATTTGTTTGTGTCTTCTTTTATTTCATTGAGCAGTGATTTGCAGTTCTCCTTGAAGAGGTCCTTCACGTCCCTTGTAAGTTGGATTCCAAGGTATTTTATTCTCTTTGAAGCAATTGTGAATGGGAGTTCACTCATGATTTGGCTCTCTGTTTGTCTGTTATTGGTATATAAGAATGCCTGTGATGTTTGCACATTGATTTTGTATCCTGAGACTTTACTGAAGTTGCCTACCAGCTTAAGGAGAGTTTGGGCTGAGACGATGGGGTTTTCTAGATATACAATCATGTCATCTGCAAACAGGGACAATTTGACTTCCTCTTTTCCTAATTTAATACCTGACATCACATTATTTTGGTCCTTTCTGTCTTATTTAGGATTTTTCATTTATACATGAGCCATTCTATGTATTTCAGGGAAGAATTTGAATCTTACACTATAGTTATAATAGAAGAGCTGGGAGACCAAAGAATAGGGAGGGTGTGTCTGTTTTTTAGAAAATTGGAAAGTGCAAGAGTTTCAAGGGAGGCATCACAGGTGACAGCAGCTTCTGAAAAACAGAGTGTGTCATTCTCAGAGATATGTCTAAACAGTCCTGGCAAAACTCTATGTCTGTCATATACAAATGCCATATGCCTATTCTAAGCTTTCGCCAAAGAATAGTGCTTTTGCTCATTTTGCTTTCCATCTCATCCAAGTTCTTCTAATTAGCTAACCCTAACTAAAACTCTGCTGGAAAACAAGGAGGGAAAAGTAATTTCTAGTCTTTCAACCCTTTGACACAGAGGAAATTTTAGAAGTTGGAATAAAACTTCATATCAAATAAAGTTTCTGGACACATTTTCCAATTATATTGTTTACTTTTTTTGCTATCTGCCTGATGGATTTCTCTTTATCTTCTGAACCCTAACTGTGGGTTTGAAAATAAATAACACAGTGTCATTTTTTGTAGCATCTCCTAATAAATGTAAACCTTGGTTAAGGAGGACTCTGAAAGGAAAGGGATGCTGTGGAAATGTAGCATAGTTTAGAAATACCAATTTTGAAAAAAAAGTCCTAGCTCTTCAGGAATTATGTCACATAGAACAAGTTTTTAAATATCTTTAGCATGCTGCCATGCACAGAGATATTTCTTAATAAATGTTATGGTTATGTCTATTATCCTCTTCATCAATATCCAAGTTTAACTTCTCTGAAAAAGAGACCCTTGATTCAATATACAGATTTGAGTCATTGAGTTCAAATAGCTCAATTTAATATCACATGGATTCTTTCTTAAGTCAGAACTTTGTAAAGCTAACAGAGAGATTTCTTGAGAATAACTGAACCCATAATCTCTCTTAAAAGAGCTATAAATATTTTATTTTACCTCATCTTGGCCTTTAGATAAAAGAAAGTACTATCTCTATCTACACTGATACATTTTTCCTTACTCTTCTAGAAATAAGTCAGTAAAAATTTATTTTTCTTCAGTCCCAAAAAGAGTGCCTGTTATGGCTCATCAAGTAAAGGATATTTCACAAAGAAGGGATGGTTTTAATCGCTCCTGTTGTTCCAAATAATCTAAATTCCAGGTAGCATAATTTGCTTCCATGAAGCTAGATTTTTAATTGAAATTGGAAATCTTCCATATCCTTCTCCACCAAAATGTTTCATTTCTACAAAGCATAAGAGGTGACTTGGAAATTTCTTGACCCAGTCTTATTTTCAATCCATTATTAAATTAAAAAAAAATCAGTTAAGAGCTCAGTGAAAAAGATAAACACACATCTTCCTTGGCTTCTTTTTAGCTTTGGTTAAAGGACTTGTCCTCATGATCCATTTTATCTCATGGAATCTTACCCCAAGCTTTGGGGCCAACATTTATTAATACAAAATGTACTTTCAGAATGTATGGTTCTATTTTATATATTCCTCTCAGACCCTGAAAGAAAAAGGCACATTCGGAGCTATTCAAGTATTTCTGATGTCCTTTGGCCAAGTAACTTTGGTATTGGTTTCCTAGGGCTGCTCTAAGAACCATAACCGAGTGATTTAAAATAATATAAATTTATTCTCTCACAGTTTTGGATACTGAAAGTTCAACATCATGGTCCAACAGGGTTGCTTGCTTCTGAAGGCTGTGAGGGAGAATCTATTTCATTTTCCCTTTCTAGCTCCTGGTGGTTTGCTGGCAATTTTTGATGTTCCTTGGTTTGAAGATGCCTCTCTTCAATCTCTTCCTTCATAATCCATGACATTGCCCCTGTAATTGTTTGTCTCAGTGCTCGTTTCCCCTTTTTATAAGAACAGAGTCATAATGGATTAGGACACACCTTAATGACATCACGTTAATTTGATCATCTGCAACGACCAAAAGTTTAGGACAGATGTTTTGTTGAATATGATCCTACTACCCATCTTTCAGTTTATTCCTTTTGTCCTTCATATAGTAAAGGCTGGATCTTAAATATCCGGTTTAATTTCAAGATAGAAACAAAATGTCTACAAAGAAATACATAAATTATAATAATAATATATATTTATTTAACTATATCAAATAAATTAATAGCTTTATTTTAAAAAGAAAGGTACCTCCCCACACTGTAGCTGTCAACAAGAGTTCTAGCGGGGTGAGGGGAGGGGGGAGGGATAGCTTTAGGAGATATACCTAATGCTAAATGATGAGTTAATGGATGCAGCACACCAACATGGCACATGTATACATATGTAACAAATCTGCACGTTGTGCACATGTACCCTAAAATTTAAAGTATAAAAAAAAAATGAGTTCTAGCACCTCCATAGAGACAATAAATGTGGCACTGAGCCAGACTCCCATAGGGCACTACAGAAGAAATCCTTGCGGAATCCGAGGCATGGAAAGGGCTGCCTCTTCATTAGAGGAGTTTAGAAAATTTCTGTGCACCATTCTTATGCCCGTGCACAAAATTGTGTCTTCTTCCTAAGGTGCCAGGTATGAAAAACAATTGACATTTCCCTGGTACAAAAAACCTGACTGCAAATGAACATAGAATAATCACTATAGTAAAATTAAAAGTCAAATGAGGGGATCAATAATGGAGGAACACTATCAGACTCTCCCAAAAATAAAAGTTAAAAATCAAATGAGGGTATCAGTAATGGAAGAAAACTATCAGACTCTCCCAAAAAGAAAAGTAACTCCTCAAGAACTGAGGAGTTATTAGCAAATATGCCCACAATATTGAGAGGAGGAACTGAAACCATAATAAAATAAAACACACAAAGAGATAACTGGGGAGACAAACTGCCCAGGTTTAATTCCCAATTCCACCATTTGTGTGTTATTAGGAACTTTTTTTACCTGCTGTGTTTCTCAGTTTTCCCCATCTGTGAAGTAGGGATAATTATAGAACCTGTCTCATTAGGTTGTTATCAACAAGCACCAAAGATCTAATATACGGGTAATCATTTATGTTCATAAAAAAATAAACAGGAATAAATAACAAGAATAGAGCCAAAAATATTACATACATTTAAAAATGTTTTAAAATGCAAACTATTACATAATCTATAAGTAAAAGTGCAATTATTATAAAAATTAACAAACTTTTTTAACTGAGAAATAAGAAAATAAGAATATATCTAGATGTGTGTGATACAGCTATATTCATAGCCATATGAAAATGTATAGTTTTAGATATTTCTATTAGAAAAGAAAAAGATGAAAAGTAATGAGTTAAGATTCTGAATCCAAAAAATAGAAAAGAAATAACAAAATAAGTCCAAATAAAGTGGAAGGAAGGAAGGAATAGAATTAAAAGCAGAGATATGTGAAAACAAAGAAACAGTAGAAAACATCAAGAAGAACAAAAGCTGCATTTTTAAAAGAAAAAATGTATAAATTAGTAATATTAGACATTAGAAGACACAACTGAAAACAGGTGAATAATGTAACAACAATTTATAAGCAAATAGATAAATTTCTAACAAAATATACAGTTAGAATATGTTACTTAAAGTAGGGTAACTATAGCTCGCAAGAACGTATAGCATATTTAAAAGCAGCAGGAAAAGAAGATTTGGAAAGTTCCCTGGACAAAGAAATAATAAATGTTTAAGGTGACAAATATCCCAATTATCCTGATCCAATGTAGGCATGTATCAAAAAATGTACCTCATAAATATGTAAAACTATTATATATTAATTAATTAGTGAAATGAATTTAAAAGGAAATCTGATTCAAATGATTACTGTTTAAGGGTTTAAATGCATAGTCTAAAATTAAAGTAAAAATAACTATTATTAGGCTACATTTAATAAAGTTAATAAACTTCCAGAAGCAAAAAAAATTAATAAAGAAAAAGAAATGGATAAAGAAAAATTATTTCATATATAAACTTCCAGATACTGTTTAGATTCATTTTATGAAAATAATTTTTACTAGCTAAAAAACAGGACATTGAATGTATGGACAGAAATGTATGAATGTTTCCCAAGGATAAGAAAACATAAGAAAACTAAACTCGAAGTCATGTTTAAATAGAAGTAAGAAAATAAATAAATAAAAAATTGGAGACAGTATCATTCATAAATTAATAATACATTCTTATCCAATATGGGATTATTCAGGAAGTGCAAAGATCATTTACTATTAGAATGCTCTCTAATGCAATTTATCACATTAACTGTTAAAGCTATTGCATGTATTTTTTCCATTGAATATTTATTTATTTATTTATTTTATTTTAATTTATTTTATTTTATTTTATTTTACTTTAAGTTCTGGGATACAAGTGCAGAACATGTAGGTTTGTTACACAAGTATATGTGTGTCATGGTGATTTGCTGCACCTATCAACCCATCATCTACGTGTTAAGTCCCACATGCATTAGCTATTTGTCCTAATGCTCTCCCTCACCTTGCCCACCACATCCCCTGGCTGGTCCCGGTGTGTATTTTCCCCCTCCCTGTCTTCATGTGTTCTCATTGTTCAGCTCCCACTTTGGAGTGAGAACATGCAGTTTTTGGTTTTCTGTTCTTGTGTTAGTTTGCTGAGGATGATGGCTTCCAGCTTCATCCATGTCCCTGCAAAGGACATAATCTCATTCCTTTTTATGGCTACATAGTATTCCATGGTGTATCTGTACCATATTTTCTTTATCCAGTCTATCTATCCATTGATGTGCATTTGGGTTGGTTAAATGTCTTTGCTATTGTAAACAGTGCTGCAATAAGCATACATATGCATGTGTCTTTATGGTAGCATGATTTATATTTCTTTGGGTATATACCCAGTAATGGGATTGCTGGGTCAAATGGTATTTCTGGTTCTAGATCCTTGAGGAATTCCCACACTGTCTTCCACATTGGTTGAACTAATTTCCCTTCCCACCAACAGTGTAAAAGCATTCCTATTGCTCTGCAGCATCGTCAGCATCTATTGTTTCTTGACTTTTTAGTAATCACCATTTGCTCTGGAATGAGATGGTATCTCATTGTGGTTTTTATTTGCATTTCTCTAATGATTAGTAATGAGTTTTTTTTTTCATATGTTTGTTGGCCGTATAAACGTCTTCTTTTAAGAAGTGTCTGTTCATATCCTTTGCCATTTTTTAATGGGGTTGTTTTTTTCTTGCAAATTTGTTTAAGTTCCTTATAAATTTTGGATATTAAACCTTTGTCAGCTGGGTAGATTGCAAAAATTTTCTCCCATTCTGTAGGTTGCCTGTTCCCTCTGATGATAGTTTCTTTTGCTGCGCAGAAGGTCTTTAGGTTGAGTTAGATCCCATTTGTCAATTTTGGCTTTTGTTGCAATTGTTTTTGGTGTTTTTGTCATGAAGTCTTTGCCTGTGCCTATGTCCTGCATGGTATTGCCTAGGTTGTTTTTTTTTTTTTCTAGAGTTTTTATGGTTTTGGGTTTTATATTTAAGTCTTTAATCCATCTTGAGTTAATTTTTGTGTAAGGTTTAAGGAAGGGGTCCAGTTTCAGTTTTCTGCATATGGCTAGCCAGTTTTCCCAGCACCATGTACTGAATAGGAGATCATATCCCCATTGCTTGTTTTTATCAGGTTTATCAAAGACCAGATGGTTGTAGATGTGTGGTGTTATTTCTGAGGTCTCTGTTCTGTTCTATTTGTCTATATATTTGTTTGGTACCGATACCATGCTGTTTTGGTTACTGTAGCCTTGTAGTATAGTTTGAAGTCAGGTAGCATGATGCCTCCAGCTTTGTTCTTTTTTCTTGGGATTGTCTTGGCTATATGGGTTCTTTTTGGTTCTGTATGAAATTTAAAGTAGTTTTTCTCTAATTCTGTGAAGAAAGTCAATGGTAGTTTGATGGGAATAGCACAAATTACTTTTGGAAGTATGGCCATTTTCACGATTTCAATTCTTCCTGTCCATAAGAATAGAATGTTTTCCCATTTGTTTGTGTCCTCTCTTATTTCCTTGAGCAGTGGTTTGTAGTTCTCCTTGAAGAGGTCATTCATATCTCTTTTTAGCTGTATTCCTAGGTATTTTATTCTCTTTGTAGCAATTGTGAATGGGAGTTCATTCATGATTTGGCTCTCTGCTTGTCTATTGTTGGCATATAGGAATGCTTGTGATTTTTGCACATTGATTTTGTATCCTGAGACTTTGCTGAAGTTGCTTATCAGCTTAAGGTTTTTTGGGCTGAGATGATGGGGTTTTATAAATATAGAATCATGTCATCTGCCAACAGAGACAATTTGACTTCCTCTCTTTCTATTTGAATACCCTTATTTCTTTCTCTTGCCTGATTGCCCTGGCCAGAGCATTCAATACTATGTTGAATAGGAGTGGTGAGAAAGAGCATCTTTGTCTTATGCCAGTTTTCAAAGGGAATGCTTCCAGCTTTTGCCCATTCAGTATGATATTGGCTGTGGGTTTGTCATAAATAACTCTTATTATTTGGAGACATGTTCCATCAATACCTAGTTTATTGAGAATTTTTAACATGAAGGGATGTTGAATTTTATTGGAGGCCTTTTCTGCATCTATTGAGATAATCATGTGGTTTTTGTCATGTGATGGGTTACGTTTATAGATTTGCATATGTTGAACCAGCCTTGCATCCCAGGGATGAAGCTGATGTAATCATGGTGGATAAGCTTTTTGGTATGCTGCTGAATTCAGTTTGCCAGTATTTTACTGAGAACTTTCACATTGATGTTCATTTGGGATATTGGCATGAAGTTTTCATTTTTTGTGGTGTCTCTGCCAGGTTTTGTTATCAGGATGATGCTGACCTCACAAAATGAGTTAAGGAGGAGTCCCTCCTTTTCAATTGTTTGTCATATTTTCAGGAGAAATGGTACCAGATCCTCTTTGTACTTCTCATAGAATTCGGCTGTGAATCTTGTCTTGTCCTGGGCTGTCTTGTCCTGGGCTTTTTTTGGTTGATAGGCTATTAATTACTGCCTCAATTTCAGAAATTGTTATTGATCTATTCAGAGATTTGACTTCTTCCTGGTTTAGTCTTGGGAGGGTGTATATGTCCAGGTATTTATCCAATTCTTCTAGATTTTCTAGTTTATTTTTGTAGAGGTGTTTATAGTATTCTTTGATGGTAGTTTGTATTTCTGTGGGGTCAGTCGTAATATGCCCTTTTTTATTGTGTCTATTTGATTCTTCTCTTTTCTTCTTTATTAGTCTAGCTAGTGGTCTATCTATTTTGTTAACTTTTTTAAAAAACTGGCTCCTGGATTCATTTGATTTTTTTAAGAGATTTTCATGTCTCCACCTCCTTCAGTTCTGCTCTGATCTTAGCTATTTCTTGTCTTCTGCTAGCTTTTGGATTTGTTTGCTCTTGTTTCTCTGGCTCTTTTAATTGTGATGTTAGGGTGTGGATTTGAGGATTTTCTAATTTTCTGATGTGGGCATTTAGTGCTATAAATTTCCCTGTTAACGCTTCTTTAGCTGCATCCCAGAGATTCTGGTATGTTGTCTCTTTGTTTTCATTGGTTTCAAAAAACTTATTTATTTCTGCCTTAATTTCATTATTTACCCAGTAGTCATTCAGGACCAGGTTGTTCAATTTCCATGTCTGTGTGTGGTTTTGACGGAGTTTCTTAATCCTGAGTTCTAATTTGATTGCACAGTGGTCTGAGAGACTGCTTGTTATGACTTCAGTTATTTCGCATTTGCTGAGAAGTGTTTTACTTCCACTTAGGTGGTCAATTTTAGAATAAGTGCCATGTGGCACTGGGCAGAATGTATATTCTGTTGATTTGGGGTGGAGAGTTCTGTAGATGTCTATTAGGTCCACTTGATTCAGACCTGAGTTCAAGTCCTGAATATACTTGTGAATTTTCTGTCTCAATCTGTCTAACATTGACAATGGGGTGTTAAAGTCTCCCACTATTATTGTGTTGGAGTCTAAGCCTCTTTGTAGGTCTCTAAGAACTTGTTTTATGAATCTGAGTGCTCCTGTATTGGGTGTACATATATTTAGAATAGTTAGCACTTCTTGTTGAATTGATTTCTTTACCCTTATGTAATGCCCTTCTTTGTCTTTTTTGATCTTTGTTGGTTTAAAGTCTGTTTAGTCAGAGAATAGGATTGCAACCCCTGCTGGTTTTTTTTCTTTCTATTTACTTGGTAGATTTTCCTCCATCTCTTGATTTTGAGCCTATGTGTGTCTTTGCACATGACATGGGTCTCCTGAATACAGCACACCAATGGGTCTTGAATCTTTATCCAATTTGCCAGTCTGTGTCTGTTAATTGGGTTGTTTAGCCCATTTACATTTAAGGTTAATAGTGTTATGTGTGAATTGGATCCTCTCATTATAATGCTATCTGGTTATTTTGCACACTAGTTGATGAAGTTTCTTTGTTGTGTCATTGGTCTTAATATTTTGGTATGTTTTTATAGTGGCTGGTATCGGTTTTTCCTTTCCATATTAGTGCTTCCTTCAGGAGCTCTTGCAAGGAAGGCCTGGTGGTGACAAAATCCCTCAGCATTTGCTTGTCTGGAAAGGATTTTATTTCTCCTTTGCTTATGAAGCTTAGTTTGGCTGGATATGAAGTTCTGGGTTGAAAATTATTTTATTTAAGAATGTTGAATATTGTCTCCCACTCTCTTCTGGCTTGTAGGGTTTCTGCTGAGAGGTCTGCTGTTAGTCTGATGGGCTTCCCTTTGTAGGTGACCTGGCGTTTATCTCCGGCTGCCCTTAACACTTTTTCTTTCATTTTGACTTTGGAGAATCCGATGATTATGTGTCTTGGGGTTGATCTGCTTGTGGGGTGTCTTAGTGGTGTTCTTTGTATTTCCTGAATTTGCATGTTGGCCTGTCTTGCTAGGTTGGGGAAGTTCTCTTGGATACTATCCTGAAGTGTGTTTTCCAACTTGGTTTCATTCTCCGCATCGCTTTCAGGTACTCCAATCAATCATAGGTTCAGTCTTTTTACATAGTTCCATATTTCTCTGAGGTTTTGTTTGTTCCTTTTCATTCTTTTTACTCTAATCTTGTCTGCATGCCTTATTTCAGCAAGATAGTCTTCACACTCTGATATCCTCTCTTCTGCTCAGTCGATTTGGCTATTGATGCTTGTGTATGCATCACAAAGTTCCTGTGCTGTGTTTTTGAGCCCCATCAGGTCATTTACGTTCCTCTCTAAACTGGTTATTCTAGTTAGCAGCTCTTGTAGCCTTTTATCAAGGTTCTTAGCTTCTTTGCATTGGGTTAGAACATGTTCCTTTAGCTCAGTGGAGTTTGTTATTACCCACTTTCTGAAGCCTACTTCTGTCAGTTCATTCACTTCATCCTCCTTCCAGTTCTGTGCCCTTGCTAGAAATGTGTTGTAATCATTTGGAGGAGAAAAGGCACTCTGGACTTTCGGGTTTTTGCATTTTTTTGTTGTCTTTTTTCTCGTCTTCATGAGTTTGTCTACTTTCAATCTTTGAAGCTTTCAATCTTTGACCCTTGGATGGGGTTTTTGTAGGGACTTTTTTTCACTGATGCTGTTGTTGTTGCTTTCTGTTTGTTTTTCTTCCAACGGTCTGGTTCCTCTTCTTTAGAGCTGCTGTGGTTTGCTAGGGGTTCATGCCCTATTCATCTGGTTCACTCCTGTGCCCGGAGATGTCACTCAAGGAGTCTGGAGAATAGCAAAAATGGGTGCCTACTCTTTCCTTTGGGATCTCTGACCTTGAGGGACATCAACCTGATGCCAGTAGGAATGTTCCTGTATAGGTTGTCTGACAACCCCTATTGGAGGGTCTCCCCCAGTTGGGTGGCACAGGGAGCAGGACTCATCTAACGAAACAGTCTCACTGTCCCTTGGTGGAGGGGTGTGCTTCACTTTAGGGAAACCCATTTGTCTGGGCTCCCCAGATTCCTCAGAACTAGCAGGAGGAAAGACTAAGTCTGCTGGTCTGTGGAGACTGTGGCCGCCCCTCCCCCTAGGGACTCAGGCTCTGGGAGATCAGAGTATTGTCCCTGAGCCTTTGGCTGGAGTTACTGGAGTTCTTGCAGGGAGGACCTGGCCAGTGAAGAGGGATGAGTCAGGGTCAGGCCTGAGGAGGCACTCTAGCTACTGTCTGTCACAGCCAGTGTGTTGGGCTGAGGGGGATACATCTTGGGACCAAGCCGTCCAGCTTCCCTGGTTCCAGCAAGTGAAAAGCTCAGCCTGGAGCTATAGAGATGGCTGCCGCCCTTCCCCTGCCCTGGCAGCTTAGTGTGTTAGGCAGCTATCAGTCCCAGTGATGGCTGCTGCCTCTCCCTCAAGGAGCACAAATGGTTTAGACAGCAGGTAGCCACAGCTGTGGTACTGGCCACCCCTCCCTACAGGAGCTCAGCAGGCTTAAGCAGATTGTAGCTGAGTGGTTGTTGAGAATCTGCATGGCTCCATAGCTGGGACCCTAGGCCCCAGTGGCATGGGCTCACAAGTAAAACCTAATTCATGGGTTTCACAGTTCCATAGAAAAAGCACGGTTTCCCAGCCGAGGTGGCATGCTCACTCACCGCCTCCCTTGGCTGTGAGGTGGGAACTCTCCTGCCCCATGTAGCTCTCCAGTGGGCTGCTGCACCACACTGCTCTTCCTTCCTCTCCATGGCTCATGCCAGTTGCCTAGTCCGTTCCAATGACGGAACCTGGATACCTCGGTAGCCGGTGCAGGATTTGCACTCTGTTATGGTTCTTTTTGATGGGAACCTCTGATTGCTGCTGCTTTTAGTTGGCCATCTTCATAAATTTGTATTTGAATACAAAAACCATAATTGATATAATTAAAGATAAACTCATTATAAAACATAAACAGTCAGCAACGTAGTTATAGAAAGAAATTACCAAAACCAAATAAAAAAAATCTAGTGAAAATCTAAAACACACAATACCTAAAAGTGAAATATTAAAATACCCTTTTTAAAATCCATAACATTATATGATTATATGATACCAAAGTTCATAATCAATATTTACTTGAGATCCTACTGATTAGAATAAGACAATAAAGTACATACAAGTACAATATGAAGAAAAATATTTGTAGACAATGTTCTTGTCAATATTAAAAAACATTAAAATGTATAAAGACAATATTCAAAATAATAAAAAATTTCAAAAAAATTATTGGATACAATATCAATATGAAAATATCAAGAGCATGCCTACAAGCCATTTGGGATACATCAGTTGAAATAAAAAACAAAAGTATAGTTTGGGGGGACATTACATTCAGAAAACACAATTAGAAATGCCCAATAGCAGAGCACATAATGTACTGAATTATTTCAATTATTTGATAACCTCTAGTCATTTTTTGCCTTTTTAAATATATAATCCTCACATAATTCACCATAAAACTCAAGTGAACACTTCAGTGGCTTTTAGTGTATTCACGAGGTTGTGCAGCCATCACCACTATTTAATTCCAGAACATTTTTCTAGAGAAAAATGAGATTGCCATAAAGACCCCATCTCCATAGCAGTAAGACGTTATTGCCTTCATTTCTCAATACTTGGTAATCATTAATCTATTTTCTGTCTTTAAAATTGGTATATTCTGGACATTCGACTTAAATGGAATTATACAATACGTGACTGTATGTATGTATTCTTTCACTATGTGGATTCTTTCACTGAACATAATGTGTTGGCAAGGATGGATGTTAATTTGAACCTTGTACTTCGGAAATGTAAGATAGTACAGTCATTGGTGAAACAGCTTGAAAGTTTCTCAAAAAGTTATACACGAGTTGCCATGTGACCTAGCATCTCTGCCTTTTATGATCAATCTTCAAATAATCGACCTGGCCAATATTAGACAGCCACTCCCTCCCTCACTTGCAGTTATTCTATAGATTGAAAGAAGGCATGGTGATGTAGTGCTTCAATACCAAGACTCTGAAATCAGGAGTATCTACAATTGAGTTCTCGTTCACCACCTTACTTGGTATTGACTTTTGTAATGTCAATAACATTGCCATCTTTATTTATTCATTCACCAAATACTTTTGAACTTCAACTATACACTTTACACTATCAGAAGTGACAGAGATACAGTGATAAAGAGGGAAAGCAGTATTTTTCATTCTGTTGGAGAAAGCATAAAATATTTATTTTAAAGTTACTATGTTTATTTATATTAAATATATTAACATGCTAAATATGTTTATTATATAAATATAATGAAATCAGATATTGATAAAGTTCATTAAAAATAGAAACAAAGCAATAGAGACAATGTGATATATGTAAGTTTGTGCAATATTACAGTGTAGCTATAAGCAATAGTTGTGTTAAAGTGACATTCCTGCAGAGATGTGACTAAAGTGACACAGAGGGTCAAGCAGATATCTGCAGGCACAGCTTTAGAGCATTAGAGACCACAGTAAAGAAAAAATGCAAATACCCTAACAGTATTAGTTCCAGTGGTCCAGAAGCAGCATGGAGACCAGCATGGCATGAGCCGAATGACTGAGTTGTGGGATAAAAGGAAATGAGGTCACAAAAGTAGAATCCACCAAAGCAGTGGCCTGTGATTCAGGAAAAAGAATATGAATTTTGGGTTCCTTAAAGCAAGTTAAGAAAGCAGTTTAAAATGGAGGAGTTGACCGACTGTCCCATTTTACCCAAAACTTTCCTGGTTTCACTACTGGCACCCTGTGTCCAGAAAAACCATCACTCCCAGGTCAGCCAGGACATCTGTTCGCTCACTGATGAAGTCTTACAATTGCTTTAGAATTGGCAACATGGCAACATTTCCTGGCCTCGATAAGAACATAAGTAAAGTGGCAAATAACGGCTGATATTTTGTGCATTCAAGAAAAAATAGGAGTAACTGCCAGAATAAGGTTCATGAAAAATATATATACAAGTCTTTTGGACACTATCTATAAAAGAAAACTAAAAGTG
Source organism: Homo sapiens (assembly GCF_000001405.40). Classification (NCBI taxonomy): domain Eukaryota; kingdom Metazoa; phylum Chordata; class Mammalia; order Primates; family Hominidae; genus Homo; species Homo sapiens. The sequence continues at coordinate 12,318,136 of NC_000009.12, forward strand.
GAAAAGTAGATCAGTGGTTTGGAGGTTATTTATTTAATGTTTTTGTTTTTAAAAAAAATGGATTCCCTACCCTACTCTCTCCATCCAGTGGCTTTCTTGATTCAGCAGGTATGGCATGGGATATATACGTATCCATATATATATATATATTTCTCACTTTTTACATTCCCTCCAAGCAATTGTTGCTATTAGGGAGTTTTGGAAATTCCATTAATATTGGATAATCTCGGGAAAGTTCCCTTTTTCTCTTCTTTCTAATAATTTGGCTCCTACCTTTTCTTCAAGGCCTATTTAAAATTCTACATTTTACATAACACAGATTCTGGCATACTTTCTAATCTTTTGATTTCATGCTGCCTTTAATTGACATCACTGTACATCACATTCCTGGGTGCTTGGTATATTTTAAAGTTCCCCTGGTAATCAACACATTTCTATTTCTTCCTTCTTTGTGCTCAGCATATGATTATGTATATATTGTGTATTTGCTAACTGCTTGCTAGCTTGATTCAATTTGGGGATGCAATTCTAGTACATCCACAGTAGTTTGCCATGAGGTTTTGGAGACCAAGAAGGTCTCAGTTTTAATTGTAATTTATGAAGATACATTGTGCTCTGGGGCACTTAATAAATTTATAACATAAAATCATCTAAAGGGTATGTACAAATTCTCTCTACTCACTTCACTGACCAGGTACAGCATAAGAGTTCACTGCGCTGCTCTAACTGAGAGATGCCTCACTGCCAATACCCAATTCATTATTATTTATCTCAAAGCAGTAGGATTACATTCTTCTCTCATTTCTGCAGTGATGTCCAAATAGTCAAACCACAATTGCAATGCTCTCTTCTTCTCCCGGAGGTGTAATTTAAATTCCAAGATACTCAGAATGAGAAATTAGAATGCCTTTTGCTCCATTTATAAAACCTGACAGCTTAATTCCAAAGATGCTGGACATTTAATTAATGAGAAGTGAATCAACTCTTCAACATTAAAAAGAAAATCTATAATTTGGCCTCTTCTAGCAAGCAGAGTGAAATGTCAAATTATTTTAGGTCTTAGGACAGGATTTTTTAATAACTTTTATGATGTAAGTGTTTCATAATAATGTCAAAATTCTGCCCTATTAAGCCAGCATGCAACTGATCCAATACAAATTGCCTGTGACACTAAATTGTATTGATGCCTTACTATAGAGATAAACTTGGCTGTGGAAAGTAAGCCATGCCCTATCAGCAGCGAAAGAAAGATATCTTGGAAATGGCATGACCAAGCTACTTACCACTCCTGGGATTGCTCGCCTGTAGCAGCAGCTTTGAGGTGGACCTGCTTAACCCTGAGTAACCAGGAATAGAAGGATCTAAATTGGAACTGACAGTCTGGTTTTGTATGGTAATACTCTATTTGCTCCAGCTCCTCTTTTTACTCAGCCTTCAAGTATATACAGCATGTTCATTAAAGGCACTCTAAGCTGCAAATTCTGTAGGATCAAATGTCTGGCCAGGACAGCAAATGAAAATGTTGACAGATGTAATTTCCACAAGCTGGCACATTTGCAGTACTTTTCAAAATATGATTAAGAGCTACAAATAATTTGAAAATAATCTATATGATAATACTGTGACACGCATCTGCAATTATAGAAGATTCCTGTAGATATTAAAGAGCCTTTAGTTTGTAAATCATGATGGCTTTTTCTCCAATTATATATTTATAGATTCTAGGAAAAACGAAATTGTAGGAATACTGGATATGAGAATGTTTTATCCCTCTTAGTGGGCAAATGAAATACAAACACTTACCCAAGGTACGATGATGTTGAAAATAACTTCAAATAAATAAATAAATAAAACAGTAAAATGTAGGAGAATTAGGCACATTGTATAATGCTTAAGAGGGCGATATAAAATGGGATTGAAATGATAGAAAATTATATTTTAACTTAAGGAAAGCATAATGCTTATTTGGAATTTGTTCAACATTTAGTTGGTTGTAGGAAGACGTAGTGAATTTTTCATCTCTGGGGGTATTTAAGAAAAATATAGCATATTGGATTAAAAGCAATGATGTTCAAACTTGTTTTGAATATCGACATATTGTGGAAATTAACATTGATTTTTAATAAACACATATAGGCTTCCTAAAATAGTATTTTTATGATGTATTCTGATATTCCCTATACTACTTTATATTAAAATACTAGTTGTCGGCCGAACGTGGTTGCTCACGCCTGTAATCCCAGCACTTTGGGAGGCCGAGGCAGGTGGATCACTAGGTCAGGAGATCGAGACCATCCTGGCTAACACAGTGAAACCCCGTCTCTACTAAAAATACAAAAAAAAATTAGCTGGGCGGGGTGGTGGGCACCTGTAGTCCCAGCTACTTGGGAGGCTGAGGCGAGAGAGTGGCGTGAACCTGAGAGGCGGATCTTGCAGTGAGCCAAGATTACACCACTGCACTCCGGCCTGGGCGAAAGAGTGAAACTCCGTCTCAAAAAAATAAAAAATAAAAAGAAAATGGTAATAATCATTGATTGACCATCATTATAGGATATGAAGGACCAGTCATTATTTTGAAAACTGGAAAGAAGGGTAAGAATCAAAAATTTATTTTGCCTTTCCTATCTATAAAAAGTGTATCTGGGTAACTAAGTAATTGAGAAAGGAAATCTTTCTCTCTCTCTCTCTTTCTCTCTCTCTCTGTCTCAATCTCCCTCATCTAAGAGACAGGGTCTCACTATGTTACCAGTCTGGCCTCGAACTCCTGACCAAGGGATCTTTCCACCACAGCTTCCCAAGTAGGTGGCAATACAAGCATGTGGCTCTGACCCTGGCTGGGAATTTTTCTTTATAAGAGTATCTCAGTCTTAATGAAGAAGAAGGTATAGAATTAGAATATTGCAATTTACAGCCGCTAATTAAATTATGGATTTACATAATGATCACTAAAAGGAAGCAACTAGACCTAGAGGTCTTCTGATAAGAAAAATACAATAGCAACTACAGTATATTCTTGCCAAAATCATTCTTGAATTGATCAAACATCTGGATCCAACTGCCAATTTACAGAAAATACGTGGGACACAAGAAGATGTCAAATGCCATCTTAAGGATATAGTCAATAAAGTCCAGGCTATGGGCTACTGTTTTTAAAAAATTGATACGTTCAGCAGATAAACTGCAAGTAAAACATGAAAGAGAGCTGGAGGGTCAGGTATTTGATATTCACTTCCAATACTATAGCCATTATCCATATATGGCTATTTAAATTTAAATTAACAAAAATTAAATAAAAATAAAAATTTGGTTCTATAATTCACACTAGCACGCTCAAGGGCACAATAGCCACATACAGACAATATAGATACAGAACTTTTCTATCATCACAGGAAATGCTATTGGGAAGCAGGGTTATAAACTGAAAAAAAATTCAGAGCTGTCTCAAAACATAACATGTAGTTTTTATTTGCAGATTATTTTAACAAACTTAAAACACTCACATTTATGAGACAATCAAGAAAATTTTCACACATGATGTTTCATTATATTAAGGAATTCTTGTTATTTTTAATGTTTTATGATGGACAGTGGTATATTTTGAAACACTTTTTATCTTTTAAAGATAAATATACAAATATTTGCAGATAAAATAATATGATGTTTTCAGATTCCTTCAGAACTAACACAATTGGAAAGACCAGGTGGGGGTATATATGAGACATTTTTGTTCATGTGCTAATCATTATTAAAGCTGAATATTGTGAAATGTAGGTTCATTGCAATATTTTCTTTGATATTTATTTGAGATCATGCATAATAACATTTTTGAATACTATTACATTAGGATAAAATTATGCAGGGCAAGTAGATTATAAATGCAAGTTCACAAAGTAAAAAGAACGATTTATTTTCTTTTCCTTTTTTTTTTTTTTTTTTTGAGACGGAGCCTCGCTCTGTCGCCCAGGCTGGAGTCCAGTGGTGCGATCTCGGCTCACTGCAAGCTGCGCCTCCCGGGTTCATGCAATTCTCCTGCCTCAGCCTCCGGAGTAGCTGGGACTATAGGCGCCCGCCACCACGCCCGGCTAATTTTTTTGTATTTTTAGTAGAGACGGGGTTTCACCGTGTTAGCCAGGATGGTCTCGATCTAAAAGGAACAATTTCTGACTATAAGATAAAGCTTTTAAATGATGATAGTGAATATCAAATCACAAGTTAATTAGATGCCCAGGATATATTTATAAGAATGATATAGTTTTATTTAATATGTCAATATGAACAATTCAACAGAAATATAATTATTTGAATTTACTTAAACATGTTAAAGTTTTTGAAGAAAGTATTAAAATGTACAAGAATGTAGGTTTTTCAGATTTAAGAGTGAGGTGAGCAAAAGTTTGTTCACTTGATCGCATAACAATCATTGTTAAAACTGCAGATTAAGAATTCTGCAAACAGATATTGTAATTTTATGGCTCTGAGCTTGGAGTTCAGGCTTCTGCCCTCATAAGAAACTTCCAAGTGGACTCTGAACTAGTTTCTTTGAATAAAAAATTGAGAAATGATACTTCTCTAAGCATCTGCATTGCCCTGTCAAACCACCTCCTGTTGCAAATAGGATCTTTGTTCCAAGCCTGGAAAACCACACAACTCAGCAGTTGTCCCAACCTAGATATGTATTTTCCTTAGCCCTTTATATCCTGAGAACCATCCCCAGGACCTAAGATCTATTGGGATGCCAAAAATAGGATTTTTTCTCCCACATGAGCTAACTCCCCTTACTCTACATCACTTGCTTCTAAAAGCGGAGGACACAGATAAGTAAATGTTTTCTTTGTAATCTCTCTAGTATATTTCTCCCTAAGTGGTTAATAATTAGAGAAGCTTAACATATATCAATCCAAATATTATAGAAATATAGATTGATTGTATTATTTTAATCATTGTAAATGCATTGGCTTAAATCCCTACATCTTTATAATATACTGTAATGTAAATCACCAATTAACTATTTCTACACTAACATAGTATCTGGAAAATATTACATTTGTGTTATTTTTGTTGTGCTGATAAGTAGATAGTGGGAAAAACGATAGGGGAATTGGATTTATAACTCAAAAATTGTATTTTATATAGCATGAAATACAATGTTTGAGCCCAATCAAAATTTTCTGTTTAATTATTTTAATGAGACTCCTGGTTTTACTACTTTGAATGTATCTGCAATCTAATTATCCATCCTCTCATCTGTCTGAATGACAATGTTGGACTTAACAAAGGGTGATGATGATCATTATTAATCTTTGCTAAGCCACCTACATATTGATTGAAGAGTCAAAGAAACATGTCACTGTCTCATGCTCTATTGACTGGAGGATTAGAGGTCAGATCAGAAGGAAAGAGTGATGTACTGGCAAGAAGCAAGTGATATAGAAAATAAATTGTTGCTGAAGAAATCTCATGAAGCAGCTAATTTGTTTTTAGAACTGAGGGAAAAAAATGGGGTAGGTAACATGAAGAAAGAAAGCATAATCCTTTCTCAAAAAAGATAATAGTAAGTTTGATATTACAGATAGGATATATATGTCCTCCATTTCCACTTGCTCATATCTTGATTTTAATAACTTCCTCACTGGTCTTCCCACCACATTTTTTCTGTCATGTTACCATCATATGTATTGACAACAAAGACACATTCTGAAAACTATTTCTTTGTTAATGTTGTCACTATATGAAAATCTCCAGCATGTTTTCATTTAGCTATTAATTGAAACTTAAATTGTTTTTGTTAACAAGCAAGATCCTTCATGAAATGGGTCCTAACAAATTCATCAGCATCCTTTCCCTCCACTTTTCAACAGAAACTTTTTACTTTAGCCCAGCTTGGAAATGTTTTTCAAGCTTCACATCATTCACCATTCATAGAATGGTATGTCTTTTTATCATCAGTCATTCAAGACTCAGTTCTGTGCAATGTCTTCCCTGATGCTTTCTCAGGTCACACGATCCTAGAAAGAAGTATGCCTTTGATGATCTCTTAGGCTGCTTTGTGCAGCACAGATACGATACTTGTCACATAGTTTCTTTTACTTAGATTTTTGTGTGTGAATATATTGACACGTTCTCATGATATTTTGGAAATAACCCATGACAGTTCATCTTGTCCTTGAAAGGTGATTAATCATTTGAGAAAGGAAGAGGATATGTGGGAGCTCAAGAAAGGATGCAGAGACAGAAATGGCAAAGATATGTATATGCAGCAGTGTATACAGGCCCTTTTCATGAGGCAACTGGCAGTAGAAAGAAAACTAATTTAAATCAGGTGTCATCTCTGAGTTCGTGATTATTAAATATGAGACCACATTATAAAGAATGGAATATAGTTAGTTACTAACACACAGTACGTCATTAACTGCCAGTTTTATTCCTTTCCCTCCATCATCCTTTCCCCTAAATTTTGTTCCCCTAACTGAATCAAAGTGCATGATTTAGCATTCCTGAGATTGTTGATTATACTAGAGTGTTGTCTTTTTTCAAAAGTAGAAAAAATATTATACTGAAATTAAGTAAAACTGTATTCTAGTCTTCTTTTAGCTAGAATTGTCATCTTGAATATTTTAGTTCACTTCCCTATCGCTCTTTTTCAATTCTAAAGTGAGAATATTAGGTTAGAATGCCATTTAACTTTTCAGCCATAGCATTTCATGACATTCTCACAGGTATTTTCCATAACCAAGAGGATTTTATTATGAAACACATGTGACCTCTTGGAGGCCAGAGACATGGGCAAAGCAATTGCATCCTTCTGGGTTCACTCTATTTCATTCTACATAAGTACATGGAAGAAAATGATGAGCAACCCTAGGTACAGAAGTGTGGGTAGATTTTCTGTGAATCCAGGGAATCTCCAGCTTTGAGACCGCTCATTCTTGTGGGTCCCTTCCAACTTTCCAGGTATTTTTGATGCTTGTGGCCATCAACAGTCTAAATTTGTAATTCATTGTGCATGGTTTCTCTTAACTCTAGATAAATATTAACATTGTACCTAATTTTTCACTTCTAATGTCTTATTATTTTTCCTAAAAAATGCCATCCAAATTTTAAAACATCCAGGCCCACCAAAATTGGATCTTCCTTGACTGATTAGAGCCTTGATAACCTTGCTTTCTTTCTTGAAATGTACCACTAGGAGTAAAAATAAGTAGAGAAGATAAAATTTCATGACTTACTGAAATATGTATATTAATATTTAAAATACTAAATTTTAAAATAGTTAAAACCAAATGAACATTGGATACAAAAGCTAAAGCATTTATTTCTTAAGTAGCATGGTGTATTGTCAGGGTTATATAGAGGGATAGAACTAATGGGATAGATGTATATATAAAGGAGAGTTTATTAAGGAGCATTAACTCACACGATCACAAGGTCCCACAATAGGCCATCTGCAAGCTGAGGAGCAAGAAAGCCAGTCCGAGTCCCAAAGCCGAAGAACTTGGAGTCCAATGTCTGAAGGCAGCACGGGAGGAAGATGTAGACTGGGAGGCTAAGCCAGTCTAGTCCTTTCATGTTCTTCTGCCTGCTTTTTATTCTGGCTGCACTGGCAGGTAATTAGATGGTGCCCACCCAGATTGAGGGCGGGTCTGCCTTTCCCAGCCCACTGACTCAAATGTTAATCTCCTTTGGCAACACCTTCACAGACCCACCCAGGAACAATACTTGGCATCTTTCAATCCAATCAAGTTGGCACTAGGTATTAACCATCACAGATGGGGTGGGTTAAAATGTAGCTTGCTTGGTATCACTTTTTGTAAATACCTGTTTTGTCATGGTTTTGCAGTAATAGTTGTTAAGCATTGTTTATTTTCAATTCCTTAACAACAACAACAACAACAACAAACTTCTTAAATATATTTGAATGAAGAATAATGCTTAGGACTTCTTACTTCATTACTCTAAAACCATCTTTTTACACCCAATTTAACATTTCTTAACTGATGGTCAGTTGGCAGTCATAACATGGTTGTCTCTAACTGCACGTGTGAAAACTTGACTGGTAAAAATAATAATATGAATAATATGAAATTCAAATTAAGAAGAACATGTTTTGTCATAGTTTCATTGGCAGGGATTAACATTTTTAAAAAAATTCCATGCCTAGGCATATCATATTCAAAATGTAAGATACTGAAGACAAAGGAAAAAAATCTTGAAGAAAGAGCAAATCCCCTTATCAACAGAGGGAAAGGATAATAATCACAGCATACTTCTAATCAGAAACCATTTAAGCAAGAAGAGAATAGAATAAAACATTTAAAGTGTTGAAAGAAGAAAACACTAATCTTAAATTCTATATCCAGTGAAATTATCCCTCAAAAGTAAAGAAGAAATGAACGTTCTCGACAAAAAAAAAAAACTAAGGAGATTTATTGACTTTAGACGCACCCTTGAAAAAATGTTTTTATTACATTTAATTTTACTGTTATTTTTTACTGATACATAATAATTGTATTTATTTTGGTGGTATATATAATAATTTGATACCTGTATACAATGTGTAATGATCAAATCAGTGTAATTGGGATATCTATCATCTCAAACATTTGATTTTTCTTTGTTACAATTCTTCTAGCTATTTTGAAATATACATTATTGTTAACTATAATTTGCCTACTGTACTATCACATGCTTGAACTTATTTCGTCTAACTTACCTCTTCACTAACTTCTCCCCATCCCCTCATCCATCTGTCCTTCCCAGCCTCTGGAAACCACCATTTTACTCTTTAATTACATAAGATCCACTATTTTAGCTCCCACATATGAGTTGGAAATGTAATTATTTGTCTTTTTGTACCTGGCTTGTTTTACATGACATAATAACCTCTAGTTCCATCCACATTGCTGCAAATGACAGAATTTTATTTTTTTATGGCTGAATAATATTCCATTGTGTATAAATATCACATTTTGTTTCTTTATCCATTGATGAATTCTTAAGCGGACTCCATTTCTTGCCTATCGTGAATACTGCTACAATAAAAATGTGAGTTCATATATTTCCTTTATACGTTATCTCCTTTCTTTTGAATATGTACCAAGCAGTGGTAATTCTATTTTTAGTTTTTGAGGAACCTCCTTACTGTTTTCCTTATGGCTGTACGAATTTAGATTCCTACCAGCAGTGTACAAAGGTACCCTTTTCTCTGCACCCTCACCAGCATTTATTACTTTTCGTCTTTTTGATAGTAGCCATGCTAATGGGGATTAGATGATATTTCATTGTGGTTTTGATTTACATATCCTTGATAATGGAGATACTGAGCATTTTTTAAATATACCTCTTGGCCATTTGTATGTCTTTGAGAAAAGTCTATTCACGTCTTTTTCTCATTTTCAAATTTGATTTTCTTTTTTTGCCTTTTTTTAAGTTTCTTGTATATTCTTGTTATTAATCCCTTGTCAGATAGATTGTTTGCAAATATTTTCTCCCACTCTGTTAGTTGCTTCTTCACTTCATTGTTGTTGTTGTTTTTTCTTTTCCAATTCAGAACAATTTTAGCTTAACATAATTCAATTTGTCTACATTTGCTTTTCTTGCCTGTGCTTTTGAGGTCTTACCCAAACAATCTTTGCCCAGGCCAATATCCTGTGGCATTTCCCCAATGTTTCCTTTTATTAGTTTTATAGTTCAAGTCTTGCATATAAGTCTTTAATTTATTTTGAGTTGATTTATAGATACGCTGAGAGATAGGAATCTAGTTTTATTTTCCGCATATAGATATTAAGTTTTCTCAGCACCATTTATTAAAGAGACTGTCATTTTCCCAGTGAATGTTCTTGGTGTCTTTTTGGAAAATGAGTTGGCTTTAAGCGCATGGATTCTGGGTTCTCTATTCTCATTGGTCTATGTGTCTCTTTTTATGTCAATGCCATGTTGTTTTGGTTACTATAACTGTGTAGTATAATTTGAAATCAAGTAGTGTGATATCTCTGGCTTTGTTCTTTTGCTTAGGATTGCTTTAGCAGTTCCGAGTCTTTTTTAGTTCCACACAAATTTTAGTATTATTTTCCTATTTCTGTAAAAAAAGTCATTGGTATTTGACTGGGATTGCCTTGAATCTGCAGATCACTTTGAGACATATAGACATTTGACAGTATTAATTCTTTCAATGTATGGGCATGGGTTTTCGTGTGTGTGTGTGTGTGTGTGTGTCCTCTTCAGTTACTTTCATCAGTGTTTTATAGTTTTCCTTGTGCGTATCTTTCACTTCATTGGTTAAATTTATTTCTAGGTATTTTTATTTTAGTGTTGTAAATGAGATTGTTCTCTTGATTTCTTTTTCAGATTAAATGCTGTCAGCATGTAGACATGCTACTGGTTTTTATATGTTGATGTTTTATTCTGCAAATTCACTAAGTTTATTTATCAGTTCTAAGATTTTTGGAGGAATCTTCAGGTTTTTCTAGAGATAAGATCATATCAGCTTCAAACAAAGATAATTAGACTTCTTCCTTTCTAATTTGGACGCCCTTTATTTCTATCTCTTATCTAATTCCACTGGCTAGAACTCCTAGTACTGTGTTGGATAGAGGTGGAGAAAGTGGGCATCCTTGCCTTGTTCCAGATATTAATGAAAAGACTTTAATTTTTCCCCATTCAGAATGATATTAAGCTGTGTTTTTGTCATATATGACCTTAAATGTGTTGAGGCATGTTTCTTCTGTAGGGTCCAGCCCTACTGGGTCTGTGGGTTTTTCTCCTCGTGTGTGGAAATGAGAGATCATAGAAATAAAGACACAAGACAAAGAGACAGAAGAAAAGACAGCTGGGCTGGGGGAACCACTACCACCTAGACGCAGAAACCGGTAGTGGCCCTGAATGCCTGGCTGCGCTGTTATTTATTGGATGCAAGGCAAAAGGGGCAGGGTAAGGACTGTGAGTCAATGATTGATAAGGTCACGTGAGTCACGTGTCCGCCAGACAGGGGGCCTTTCCCTTTCAAGTAGTGGAGAGTGAGAGAGATACAGCTTAAGTCATTATTTCTTCTATGCTCTTCTCAGAAAAATCAAAGACTTTAATACTTTCACTAATTCTGCTACTGCTATCTATATGGCAGAGCCAGTTGTACAGAGTGGAACATGAGCCAGGTGTACAGAGTGGACCAGGACCGTGACCGCTGAAGCACAGCTTCACAGGGAGACGTCTGGTCAGGCCTCTGGATGGCTGCGGGCGGCCCTGACTGATGTCAGGCCTTCCACAAGAGGTGGTGGAGCGGAGTCTTCTTTAACTTCCCTGGGGGAAAGGGAGACAACCTTTCCCAGTCTGCTAAGTAACGGGTGCCTTCCCCAGGCACTAACGCTACCGCTAGACCAAGGTCCGCTAGGTAAGGGGTGCCTGCCCAGGCGCTGGAGTTACCGCTAGACCAGGGAGCCCTCTAGTGGCCCTGTGCGGGCATAACAGAGGGCTCACACTTGTCTTCTGGTCACTTCTCTCACCGTGTTCCTTCAGCTCCTATCTCTGTATGGCCTGGTTTTTCCTAGGTTACAATTGTAGAACAAAGATTATTATAATATTGGAATAAAGAGTAATGCTTCAAACTAATGATTAATGATATTCATATATAATCATATCTATAATCTATTTCTAATATAACTATTCTTATTCTATATATTTTCTTTATTATACTGGAACAGCTTGTGCCCTCGGTCTGTTACCTTGGCACCTGGGTGGCTTGCTGCCCACATCTTCTATGCCCAGTTTGTTAACAGATTTTATCATGAAGCGATGATGAATTTTACCAAATACTTGATCGACATCTAGTGAGACGATCATATGGTTTTTGTTCTTAATTCTGTTGATATGATCTATCATGTTTATTGATTTGTATATTTTGAACCATCCTTACATCCTTGAGATGAATCTCACCTGATCATGGTGAATGATCTTTTTAATGTGTTGTTGAATTCTGTTTGCTGATATTTTGCTGATAATTTTTTGCATAATGTTTATCAGGAATATTGGCCTGTAGTTTTCACTTTTTGTAATGTCCTTGTGTGTTTTGGTATCAAGATAATGCTGGCCTCAGAAATGAGTTTTGAAAAATACCCTCCTCTTCTATTTGTTGAAATCACTTTAGTAAACTTGGGATGAGTTCTTTACGAAATATTAAAAGAACTTCTTCAGGCAAGGAAAAAAAAGATGTTGGTCAGAAGCTTGAATCTATATGAAATAAGAAACAAGAGCACCAGGAAGGAATGAATGAAGGCAAAATAAAATATTTAATTTTTCTTGTTCTTAACTATATTAAAAATGAATATGTGTAAAATTCTTCACAATCTTTTTTCAGAAATTAGAAGAAACAGGTCAGGCATGGTGGCTCACACCTGTAATCCCAGCACATTGAGAGGCCGAGGAGGATGGATCACTTGAGGCCAGGAGTTTGAGACTCGCCTGGCCAAAGTGACAAAAACCCGTCTCTACTAAAAATACAAAAATTAGCCAGGTGTAGTGATGCCTGCGCCTGTAATCCCAGCTGCTCAGGAGGCTGAGGCACAAGAATCACTTGAACTGGGGAGGCAGAGGTTGCAGTGAGCTGAGATCATGCCATTGCACTCCAGCCTGGATAACAGAGCGAGACTCCATTTCAAAACAAACAAACAAACAAACAAACAACCACTTACTGACTCTTCAAAAGAAATACGAAGTAGCTACATTAAGTTCATACAAAGATGACTTCAGAACAAGGAAAGTAATCAGGAACAAAGGGCATTAAACATGATAAATACATACATTCTCCAAGAAGAAATTCTAGGGCAATATTATCCGAATACTGAAATCAAAATACATTGCAAGAAAAGAAACAACAGATCAATACATCTTGTGCACAATAAATTTAAAAATCCTCAAAAAAAACAACAAATCGAGTACAACAATGTATAGAAAAAGTTATATACCACAAGCAGTGTGATTTATTATAGATATGCAAGGCTGGTGTTACATTTAAAAATCACTTTATGTAAAACACCACATATACAGGATAAAGAAGAAAAATAATATCATCATATAAATTCTGACAACCGTTTTATAAAAGCTAACACCTACTTGAGATAAAAAACAATTCTTCAGCAAATATAAGAGAACTTCCTCAATTTAATAAAGGACATCTCCCAGAAAACCTACCTTATTCTTAATGGTGATAAACTGAATGTTTTTCCCTAAGATCAGAAAAAAGAAGCTATGTTGTAATCACTGTTAATTCAACAATGTCCTAGAAATTCTAGCTAGTACAATAAACAAGGAAAGGAAATAAAGTATATAGTTTGGAAATGGATAAATTGTACGGTGTTTATTTGCAAATGGCATGCTTTGTGTATGTAGAAAATCTCAAAGACACTATATTAAAAAAACAACTCCTGAAACTAATAATTGAATTTAGAAGGTGGCAGGACACAAAGTCAGTATACAAAAATCAATCATTTTTCAGCATAGCAGCAATGAAAAATTGAGATTTGAAAATTTTAAATTTTATTTATAGCAGCATAAAAGTAATGAAATGCTATGGTATCAATTTGACATACGTATGTACAGGATATGCATGCAGAGAAATACAAAACATTAAATCAAAAAATGACTTAAATGGAGAGACTGTCCATTTAATCCATATTAACAGATTGGTAGACTCACTGCTGTTAAAATGTCACTTATTCCCTACTTTATCCATAGATTCGACGTCATCCCAATTAAAGTGATTTATTCCAGTTCACAAAGAGATTTACATAACAAAATTACTCAATGTAATCCACACCAACAGGGTAAATAATAAACATCATACGATCATATCAATTGATAATTGTGATGATTAATACTGAGTGTCAACTTGTTTGGATTGAAGGACGCAAAGTATTGATCCTGGGTATGTTTGTGAGGGTGTTGCCAAAGAAGATTAACATTTGAGTCAGTGAGCTGGGAAAGGCCGACCCACCCTTAATCTGGGTGGGCACCATCTAATCAGCTGCCAACGCAGCTAGAATATAAAGCAGGCAGAAAAACGTGAAAGACTACACTGGCCTAGCTTCCTGGCCTTCATCTTTCTCCCATGTTGGATCCTTCTTGACTTCGAACATCAGGCTCAAGTTCTTCAGTTTTGGGACTCAGACTGGCTTTCCTTGTTCCTCAGCTTGGAGATGGCCTGTTGTGGGACTTTGTGATTGTGTGAGTAAATAATTAACAAACTTCTCTATATATGTATCCTATTAGTTCTGTCCTTCTAGAGAACCCTAATACAATAATTAAAAATAATTTGGCAAGCCCTAACACTCATTTGAGTTTATAAAAAATACCAAAGTGAAAATAAAATCTTCATTAAGCTATTTTGCACCTATCAAAAAAAAAAAAAAAAATTCTTAAATGGAAAGGCAAAAGACCTGAAAAGAAGAAGGGTGAAGAACTCACACTATGATTTTTAAACTTCTATAAGCTATAAGAACCAATAGAATGTGGTATTGATAAATAATATATATATATATATGGAAAAGACTAGACATTTCAGAAATGGACCCACTCAAATATAGTCTACTGATCTTCAACAATGGTGCCAAAGCAATTCAATAGGTAGTCTTTCAACAAATGGTACTGAAATAAATGAACATTCACATCGAAAAAGCGAACCTACACACACACCTTAAACTTTTCTAAAACATGAATTCAAGATGAATCATAAATATAAAATTAAGACTATAAAATTTCTAGAAGGAAAGAGGACAATATCTATGTAACCTTTAGTTTGATGATGAGATTTTAGAACACCAAAAACAAAATCAAGGAAAACAAAATTGGTGATTTGGACTTTAGTAAAATTAAAAATATCTGCTCTGTGAAACATACCGTTAAGAGAATGAAGTGATGAGCTAAGACTGAAATAAAATATTTGCAAAACTCCTACTTTATAAAAGACATGTATCAAAAATATATAAAAATGTAAAACTTAATAAGAAAAGAACTCAATTTATAAATGGGGAAAATATCTGAATTAACACCTCATCAAAGAAAATATTTGAAGATTCATCAAAATGGTGGACTAAAAGCAATTTTTTTCAACCTCTCCCACAGAAAACTACAACCAACCTTTGTTGCTAAGATTATCTTCACCAATATCCTAGAACTCAAAATTGAGGCTATGAGAAACCCTGGGGCCATAGAAAAGTGAAAAACTGCAAAAAAAAAGCAAGAAGAGATTTGTAATATTCCTAACAAAAAGAAATAAAAAATGTTGGAAATGATGGATATCTCAAGCATTCTTATTTGATTACTGCACATTGTATGCATGTATCACAGTATGACATGTGCCCTCCAAATATTATAAAATAATTATGTGTTAACTTAAAAAATACAAATGACAAATAAGAGTATGAACAAATGCTGAAGATCTTTCATCATTAGGAAAATCCAAATAGTTAAAACAATAAGATATCTCTGCACACTTGCGAGATGATCAGAAAAAATGAAAAGGAAAATAGCATAGGCTGAAATAAGCCCATCTGAAAGATTACATACTATATTGTTTATATCGTATTCTCAAAAAGACAAAACTATAGTGACAGAGAACAGTTCAATGGTTGCCCTTGAAATTGCTAAACAAAGAAAACATTTTCAATGTATCTAGGTAAAAAATAAATTCCAGAAAAAACAAAACTGTCTTTATCCTTTTACTCAATATAAAAAGCCAAATAAAGCAAAACAATGCTTATAGAGGGCTGAAGGATAGGGCAGAGATTTCTGATCCCAAACTTAACTTATGGCTTAACATCTCTATTATGTGTAAGGGAAGCAAAAAATGTAATATGAGATATGCAAGAGTGCAGGGAGGAGCCAAGATGGCCGAATAGGAACAGCTCCGGTCTACAGCTCCCAGCGTGAGCGACACAGAAGACGGGTGATTTCTGCATTTCCATCTGAGGTACCGGGTTCATCTCACTAAGGAGTGCCAGACAGTGGGCGCAGGTCAGTGGGTGCGCGCACCGTGCGGGAGCCTAAGCAGGGTGACGCATTGCCTCACTCGGGAAGCGCAAGGGGTCAGGGAGTTCCCTTTCCTAGTCAAAGAAAGGCGTGACTGACGGCACCTGGAAAATCCGGTCACTCCCACCGGAACACTGCGCTTTTCCGACAGGCTTAAAAAACGGCGCACCACGAGATTCTATCCCGCACGTGGCTCGGAGGGTCCTATGCCCATGGAGTCTCGGAGTCTCGCTGACTGCTAGCACAGCAGTCTGAGATCAAACTGCAAGGCGGCAGCCAGGCTGGGGGAGGGGCGCCCGCCATTGCCCAGGCTTGCTTAGGTAAACAAAGCAGCCGGGAAGCTCCAACTGGGTGGAGCCCACCACAGCTCAAGGAGGCCTGCCTGCCTCTGTAGGCTCCACCTCTGGGGGCAGGGCACAGACAAACAAAAAGACAGCAGTAACCTCTGCAGAGTTAAATGTCCCTGTCTGACAGCTTTGAAGAGAGCAGTGGTTCTCCCAGCACACAGCTGGAGATCTGAGAACGGGCAGACTGCCTCCTCAAGTGGGTCCCTGGCCCCTGACCCCCGAGCAGCCTAACTGGGAGGCACCCCCCAGCAGGAGCACACCGACACCTCACACGGCAGGGTACTCCAACAGACCTGCAGCTGAGGGTCCTGTCTGTTAGAAGGAAAACTAACAAACAGAAAGGACATCCACACCAAACACCCATCTGTAAATCACCATCATCAAAGACCAAAAGTAGATAAAACCACAAAGATGGGGAAAAAACAGAACAGAAAAACTGGAAACTCTGAAAAGCAGAGCGCCTCTCCTCCTCCAAAGGAACGCTGTTCCTCACCAGCAACGGAACAAAGCTGGATGGAGAACAACTTTGACAAGCTGAGAGAAGAAGTCTTCAGACAATCAAATTACTCTGAGCTACGGGAGGACATTCAAACCAAAGGCAAAGAAGTTGAAAACTTTGAAAAAAATTTAGAAGAATGTATAACTAGAATAACCAATATAGAGAAGTGCTTAAAGGAGCTGATGGAGCTGAAAACCAAGGCTCGAGAACTACGTGAAGAATGCAGAAGCCTCAGGAGCCGATGCAATCAACTGGAAGAAAGGGTATCAGCGATGGAAAATGAAATGAATGAAATGAAGCGAGAAGGGAAGTTTAGAGAAAAAAGAATAAAAAGTAATGAGCAAAGCCTCCAAGAAATATGGGACTATGTGAAAAGACCAAATCCACGTCTGATTGGTGTACCTAAAAGTGACGGGGAGAATGGAACCAAGTTGGAAAACACTCTGCAGGATATTATCCAGGAGAACTTCCCCAATCTAGCAAGGCAGGCCAACGTTCAGATTGAGGAAATACAGAGAACACCACAAAGATACTCCTCGAGAAGAGCAACTCCAAGACACATAATTGTCAGATTCACCAAAGTTGAAATGAAGGAAAAAATGTTAAGGGCAGCCAGAGAGAAAGGTCGGGTTACCCTCAAAGGGAAGACCATCAGACTAACAGTGGATCTCTTGGCAGAAACCCTACAAGCCAGAAGAGAGTGGGGGCCAATATTCAACATTCTTAAAGACAAGAATTTTCAACCCAGAATTTCATATCCAGCCAAACTAAGCTTCATAAGTGAAGGAGAAATAAAATCCTTTACAGACAAGCAAATGCTGAGAGATTTTGTCACCACCAGGCCTGCCCTAAAAGAGCTCCTGAAGAAGCGCTAAACATGGAAAGGAACAACGGGTACCAGCCGCTGCAAAATCATGCCAAAATGTAAAGACCATCGAGACTAGGAAGAAACTGCATCAACTAACGAGCAAAATAACCAGCTAACATCATAATGACAGGATCAAATTCACACATAACAATGTTAACTTTAAATGTAAATGGACTAAATGCTCCAATTAAAAGACACAGACTGGCAAATTGGATAAAGAGTCAAGACCCATCAGTGTGCTGTATTCAGGAAACCCATCTCATGTGCAGAGACACACATAGGCTCAAAATAAAAGGATGGAGGAAGATCTACCAAGCAAATGGAAAACAAAAAAAGGCAGGGGTTGCAATCCTAGTCTCTGATAAAACAGACTTTAAACCAATAAAGATCAAAAGAGACAAAGAAGGCCATTACATAATGGTAAAGGGATCAATTCAACAAGAAGAGCTAACTATCCTAAATATATATATGCACCCAATACAGGAGCACCCAGATTCAAAAAGCAAGTCCTGAGTGACCTACAAAGAGACTTAGACTCCCACACATTAATAATGGGAGACTTTAACACCCCACTGTCAACATTAGACAGATCAACAAGACAGAAAGTCAACAAGGATACCTAGGAATTGAACTCAGCTCTGCACCAAGCTGACCTAATAGACATCTACAGAACTCTCCACCCCAAATCAACAGAATATACATTTTTTTCAGCACCACACAACACCTATTCCAAAATTGACCACATACTTGGAAGTAAAGCTCTCCTCAGCAAATGTAAAAGAACAGAAATTACAACAAACTATCTCTCAGACCACAGTGCAATCAAACTAGAACTCAGGATTAAGAATCTCACTCAAAACCACTCAACTACATGGAAACCGAACAACCTGCCCCTGAATGACTACTGGGTACATAACGAAATGAAGGCAGAAATAAAAATGTTCTCTGAAACCGACGAGAACAAAGACACAACATACCAGAATCTCTGGGACGCATTCAAAGCAGCGTGTAGAGGGAAATTTATAGCACTAAATGCCCACAAGAGAAAGCAGGAAAGATCCAAAATTGACACCCTAACATCAGAATTAAAAGAACTAGAAAAGCAAGAGCAAACACATTCAAAAGCTAGCAGAAGGCAAGAAATAACTAAAATCAGAGCAGAACTGAAGGAAATAGAGACACAAACAACCCTTCAAAAAATTAATGAATCCAGGAGCTGGTTTTTTGAAAGGATCAACAAAATAGATATACCACTAGCAAGACTAATAAAGAAAAAAAGAGAGAAGAATCAAATAGACGCAATAAAAAATGATAAAGGGGATATCACCACCAATCCCAGAGAAATACAAACTACCATCAGAGAATACTACAAACACCTCTACGCAAATAAACTAGAAAATCTAGAAGAAATGGATAAATTCCTCGACACATACACTCTCCCAAGACAAAACCAGGAAGACGTTGAATCTCTGAATAGACCAATAACAGGATCTGATATTGTGGCAATAATCAATAGCTTACCAACCAAAAAGAGTCCAGGACCAGATGGATTCACAGCTGAATTCTACCAGAGGTACAAGGAGGAACTGGTACCATTCCTTCTGAAACTATTCCAATCAATAGAAAAAGAGGGAATCCTCCCTAACTCATTTTATGAGGCCAGCATCATTCTGATACCAAAGCCTGGCAGAGACACAACCAAAAAAGAGAATTTTAGACCAATATCCTTGATGAACATTGATGCAAAAATCCTCAATAAAATACTGGCAAACCAAATCCAGCAGCACATCAAAAAGCTTATCCACCATGATCAAGTGGGCTTCATCCCTGGGATGCAAGGCTGGTTCAATATACGCAAATCAATAAATGTAATCCAGCATATAAACAGAACCAAAGACAAAAACCACATGATTATCTCAATAGATGCAGAAAAGGCCTTTGACAAAATTCAACAACCCTTCATGCTAAAAACTCTCAGTAAATTAGGTATTGATGGGACGTATCTCAAAATAGTAAGAGCTATCTATGACAAACCCACAGCCAATATCATACTGAATGGGCAAAAACTGGAAGCATTCCCTTTGAAAACTGGCACAAGACAGGGATGCCCTCTCTCACCACTCCTATTCAACATAGTGTTGGAAGTTCTGTCCAGGGCAATTAGGCAGGAGAAGGAAATAAAGGGTATTCAATTAGGAAAAGAGGAAGTCAAATTGTCCCTGTTTGCAGACGACATGATTGTATATCTAGAGAACCCCATTGTCTCAGCCCAAAATCTCCTTAAGCTGATAAGCAACTTCAGCAAAGTCTCAGGATACAAAATCAATGTACAAAAATCACAAACATTCTTATACACCAACAACAAACAAACAGAGAGCCAAATCATGAGTGAACTCCCATTCACAATTGCTTCAAAGAGAATAAAATACCTAGGAATCCAACTTACAAGGGATGTGAAGGACCTCTTCAAGGAGAAGTACAATCCACTGCTCAATGAAATAAAAGAGGACACAAACAAATGGAAGAACATTCCATGCTCATGGGTAGGAAGAATCAATATCGTGAAAATGGCCATACTGCCCAAGGTAATTTACAGATTCAATGCCATCCCCATCAAGCTACCAATGACTTTCTTCACAGAATTGGAAAAAACCACTTTAAAGTTCATATGGAACCAAGAAAGAGCCCGCATCGCCAAGTCAATCCTAAGCCAAAAGAACAAAGCTGGAGGCATCACACTACCTGACTTCAAACTATACTACAAGCCTACAGTAACCAAAACAGCATGGTACTGGTACCAAAGCAGAGATATAGACCAATGGAACAGAACAGAGCCCTCAGAAATAACGCCGCATATCTACAACTATCTGATCTTTGACAAACCTGAGAAAAACAAGCAATGGGGAAAGGATTCCCTATTTAATAAATGGTGCTGGGAAAACTGGCTAGCCATATGTAGAAAGCTGAAACTGGATCCCTTCCTTACACCTTATACAAAAATCAATTCAAGATGGATTAAAGACTTAAACATTAGACCTAAAACCATAAAAACCCTAGAAGAAAACCTAGGCAATACCATTCAGGACATAGGCATGGGCAAGGACTTCATGTCTAAAACACCAAAAGCAAGGGCAACAAAAGACAAAATTGACAAATGGGATCTAATTAAACTAAAGAGCTTCTGTACAGCAAAAGAAACTACCATCAGTGTGAACAGGCAACCTACAAATGGGAGAAAATTTTTGCAACCTATTCATCTGACAAAGGGCTAATATCCAGAATCTACAATGAACTCAAACAAATTCACAAGAAAAAAACAAACAACCCCATCAAAAAGTGGGTGAAGGATATGAACAGACACTTCTCAAAAGAAGACATTTATGCAGCCAAAAAACACATGACAAAATGCTCATCATCACTGACCATCAGAGAAATGCAAATCAAAACCACAATGAGATACCATCTCACACCAGTTAGAATGGCAGTCACTAAAAAGTCAGGAAACAACAGGTGCTGGAGAGGATGTGGAGAAATAGGAACACTTTTACACTGTTGGTGGGACTGTAAACTAGTTCAACCATTGTGGAAGTCGGTGTGGCAGTTCCTCAGGGATCTAGAACTAGAAATACCATTTGACCCAGCCATCCCATTACTGGGTATATACCCAAAGGACTATAAATCATGCTGCTATAAAGACAGGTGCACAGGTATGTTTATTGCAGCACTATTCACAATAGCAAAGACTTGGAACCAACCCAAATGTCCAACAATGATAGACTGGATTAAGAAAATGTGGCACATATACACCATGGAATACTATGCAGCCATAAAAAATGATGAGTTCATGTCCTTTGTAGGGACATGGATGAAATTGGAAATCATCATTCTCAGTAAACTATCGCAAGAACAATAAACAAAACACCGCATATTCTCACTCATAGGTGGGAATTGAACAGTGAGATCACATGGACACAGGAAGGGGAACATCACACTCTGGGGACTGTTGTGGGGTGGGGGGAGGGGGGAGGGATAGCATTGGGAGATATACCTAATGCTAGATGACGAGTTAGTGGGTGCAGCGCACCAGCGTGGCACATGTATACATATGTAACTAACCTGCACAATGTGCACATGTATCATAAAACTTAAAGTATAATAATAAAAGAAAAAAAAAAAAGTAAAAGTCTAAATAAATATACTAAGGCGTCAATTCTTCTCAAATTGACTAATAAATGGATTCAATATAATCCCCTCCCAAAAAAAAAGAGATATGCAAGAGTGCAAAAAATATATTACCCCTGTAACTCCCCATGAAAAATAAGTAATTAAAAGCAATTAAACAAGTCTCAAGGAGCTAGAACATAGGCAAAGAAGATATTATAATTGGCAATGTTGCAGTTAAACACATGCATTAAACCTGAGTAGGTGTTAATATAGTTAAAATTTGAATCCAATATAAAAATTGAATCATTCTGGTGAAAAATACACTATATAATAACAATTTAGTAGTAATTAATAATAAATATTAATAAGCCATTTGTTAACAGTAAGAAATTATTGAATTTTCTGAAAAGATACTGAATAAAAACATAGTTTGAGTATATTTTTAAAATTTAAAGAATTTATTAGTAAAGTTTAAAATATCAAAGATATATTTTGAAATATTGGATTTCCCCTACATACTAAGCAAGTATACATAGATAGATAGATAGATAGATACATAGATAGATAGATAGATAGATAGATAGATAGATAGATAGATAGAGAGATAGACAGATAGATTGACTGATAGATAGATATCACATTTTCTGAAGTTTCTGTGTAGTAGAATGAATACTATTACTGCAAGGAAATATGACTCTTATTTCCAACTTACCTCTTTTCCCAGCCTATTTCTACTTCCCCATATTGATGGACCTTATTGTCTTGGAATAATATGCAATATGGCAGAAATTGTTTAACTGGAAGAATCTTGAGAGCAAGACCCTACCCAGTAAGAGGTATGAGAATTCTAATATGAAACCTTCTTTGAGATTTATTTGAGACAGAGAGACATGGAATAGAGAAATTCTGTTCTGTTCTGTTTTGTTTAGTTTATCCATGAAACAGTAGGTTAATCATTAATTTGACTGAGTTATTTTTATATTGGCTAGATTAAGTTTTCAGCTATTGCTCAGAAATAATTGCTTGAGTTTTTAAAAAGTTACTTGTTTCCAGAAAATAAATGTATATTGCTTTTCTGCCAACTTTGAGAATGCAGCTGTATAAAAATTATAAAGCATAGTTTTTTATTTTATCCAGGTAATATAATATTAATAATAATCAAAGTTTAATTGCTGGGTATGTAAGATTCTTTTTTCCTTTGAATATGGTTAAATACATATATGTTAGCAATTTTTGACAATCACTACATTAATCTATTTTTGAAAAGCATGGGTTTGAGATTTTATTATTCTGGTTGCTCTCTCTAGATATTTTCTGTTGTTCTCTAAACAGTGAGTTGCAATTTCCCTTAAGAAATGCCAGGCACAAATGTGCAGTTATGATCTTCAGTCTTTACAACAGTATTTTGTTTTGCTATGTTTTGTTTTGATGTAGCTTCAAAATATTTCTAGCTCATAAGAAATGCTATCCGGTTGAATCTTTCTACCTTGTGTTTGTGTTGCCTTAAAAATACCATGGTTAATCAAAACTACAATGAGACACAATCTCATGCCAGTCAGAATGGCAATTATTAAAAAGTCAGGAAACAACAGATGCTGGCGAGGCTGTGGAGAAATAGGAACACTTTTACACTGTTGGTGGGAGTGTAAATTAGTTCAACCATTGGGGAAGACATTGTGGTGATTCCTCAAGGATCTAGAACCAGAAATACCATTCGACCCAGCCATCCCATTAGTGGGTATATACCCAAAGGATTATAAATCATTCTACTATAAAGACACATGCACATGTATGTTTATTGCAGCGCTATTTACAATAGCAAACACTTGGAACCAACCCAAATGCCCATCAATGATAGACTGAATAAAGAAAATGTGGTACATATACACCATGGAATACTATGCAGGCATAAAAAAGAATGAGTTCACGTCCTTTGCTGGGACATGGATGAAGCTGGAAGCCATCATTCTCAGCAAACTAACATAGGGAAAGAAAACCAAACACCACATATTCTCACTCATAAGTGGGAGCTGAACAGTGAGAACACAAGGACACAGGGAGGGAAACATCACACACCAGGGCCTGTCGTGGGGTGGGGCCAAGGGGAGGGAGAGCATTAGAACAAATACCTAATGGATGCGAGGCTTACAACCTAGATGACAGGTTGGTAGGTGCATCAAACCACTATGGCACATGTATATCTATGTAACAAACCTGCATGTTCAGCACATGTATCCCAGAACTTAAAGTAAAATTAAAAAATACCATGCTTGGAATTAATTTATTAAATTATCTTATGTCTTTTGTAACTGAACAATGAAAACTGAATATTTTTCAAGCAGAAGTTTGTGATGGAGAAAAGCACATTAAGAAAACACTGGATAACTTTATTCCAGAATAAACATGGGGCAGACATTTGGTTCTTCTCCCAATCTTTCTCAGAGGAGGAACACCGACCTTTAGCAATCTGTAACTTTCTCTCAATAGACTGTTTAGCACCATAAGCATCTGTAATTGTTTAAATTTTCTTGTCAGAAGTGGTTTAGAATGCTCTTCTTCTCTTTAGACATAAAGTGTGCATTCATTAACTGTTTCCATTTCTAAACAAAATTCAACATTTGGTTAAAGCACTTCTAAGATTCATGCTACTAAATTACTGGAATTCAAAGTAGTATGAAAAAGTACACAGTTCTTTATGTTTTCTTTTCCTATAAATAGGCTTTAGTTTACTCTTTATAGAAATGTACTTTTAAAAATATAAGGTAAAAATAAATGTAGCAGGCAGTGGAGTTGAGGACATATTCAAGAAATTCCAAGTTTGAATTGTATTTTTTAAGTGTCATGAAATTTGCGATTACTTTTTTGATAATACATCTTAAAGTCTTTATGGAAATTCTTTATTTCACTTTGCTATATCCTTTTTATTGATATATGTTCAGAAATAAACATCTGACAAGTATACATAAAAATAGGTTATATAACAAGACAGAAAGTACAGAAACTGCCCAGAAGATGGTAAAGAAAGAAAAGCACAGTGCAAGACATCAAAGTTAACTCTAAACTCAATCCCAGAAAACCTGACTAAACTTTACGTGTCAAGTTTCTGTTTTAAAAGTTTACTTTGATATAAAGGGAAGCTAGAATTTTAGTCAAACTTAACTACTAGACATATTTCTGAAACAGAGAACTCTACTGTGAAACTGTGTGAATAAGGTGTAGAGAACATAATTCAGTGAGGAAACCAAAATGAATTCAATCTTTGTAAGTGAAAAGCTAGGTATTCACTGTTGAAAAAATGTGTGATGATTGCACTATTGCAAAAGAATTAAATTTGTTTATAAAATAATTAGCTTTAAAATCCCATAATATTGTATCAGTTTTTAAATATCAACTTGGAGTAAATATTATTATAACCAAATTAAATTAAGATTTTTAGAATTTTTGTTGTAATTCACACAATGGAAAGAAAAATAAAAGTATCCATGTAGCTGATTAGAGCAAGTGTGTAATTGTGCTAGTGTCCAACTCAAACTGAATGAGTGAATACTGTGATTTGAATGAGAAATAGGCTCATAGAAAAAAATTCAAAAATTCTACATTAGAAAATTATTCACTAAAACATGTAATGGAAGTGACAGGGGACTAGCATCTGGCAGAAGTGAAGAGATAATTAATTGGCAATTGACAAGTAAGATTTGGGTGACTGACAAAATTGGATGAAGATATTGAGTAGGCAACAAAGAAAGTAGTCTATACTAGACAGGGGCGTATTATATTCATGGATAAGAATAAGTGGGCCAAAGCAAGAGTAGAGGCTCAGAAATAGGACACTGGAAATGCAATATTAGAGTATTATATAGGAAATAACACCATATAAAGAACCAAAATAAATGGAACCCATAAGACAGGACAGAAATAAATCAATGCATTGACAGTCAATTGGTTTTTGACAAAGCTGCTCAAAAACACAATGAATAAAGGACATTATCTTTCATAAATGGTGCTGAGAAAACTTAATATCCCCTTGCAGAAAAATGAAATTAAACCCTTATCTCACACAATATGCAAAAATCAACTAAAAATGGACTAAAGTGTTAAACATGAGACTTGAAGCTATAAAAGTACTAGAAGAAAACATAGGGGAAAAGTTCCATGACATTGATCTGAACAACGATCTTTTAGATATGCACTAAAAAGCAAAAATAGATAAACAGGATTACATCAAACTAAAAGGCTCTGTACAGCAAAGGAAACAATCAACAGAGTGAAGAGACAACCTACAAAATGAGAATATATCTGCAAAACATCCATCTGATAAATGATTTCAAAAATATATAAGGAATATATATAAGTTGATATTGATAAGTTGATTTTAAAAATATATAAGGAATTCAAAAAGCTCCATAGTGAGAAAACATATAACAAGTTAAAAAATGGACAAAGGACCCCTGAATAGACATTCTTAAAAGAGGCCATGCAAATGACAAACAGGTATATGAAAAAATGCTCAGCCTCAGTAATCATCAAGGAAATGCAAATTCAAACCACAATGAGCTATTCCCTCACACCTCTCAGAATGGCTAGTATCAAAAAGATGAGCAATAACAAGTGTTCATGAGAATGTGGAGAAAACAGAGTCTTTGTAAACAGCTAGTGGGAATATAAATTCATATAACCATCATGGAAAACAATTTGGAGGGTCCTCAAAAAGTTTAAAGTAGAATTACTATATGAGCCAACAATCGCACTACTGGGTATATATCCAAAGGCTATAAAATCAGTATGTGTAAGAGATATCTGCACTTCCATGTTTATTTTAGCATTATTTACAATAGCCTAGATATGGAGTCAATGTGTCTATTAATAGATGAATGGTTAAAGGAAATGTGGTGTATATACACAGCCAAATAGAACTCAACCTTAAAAAGATGAAAAGCCTGTCATTTGCAACAACATGGATAAACTTAGAAGACCTCATGTTAAGTGAAAGAAGCCACAGGAAGACAAATACTGCATAATCTCACTTATATGTAAAAGATAAAAAGCCAAACTCATAGGAATAGAGATGAAAATGGTGGTTCTCAGAGGTTGGAGGTGGGGTAATTAGGGAGATGATGGTCAAAGGACCCAAAATTGTATTTTGGAGGAATAAGTTCAAGACATGCATTGTACATCATGATAACTATAGGTAACATATTGAACATTTGAAAATTGCTGAGAGTAGACTTTAAGGGTTGTCATCACAAAAATAAAAGTGAGGTAATGCCTATGTTAATTAGCTTGATTTATCCATTCCACAAAGTATTAGGTTGGTGCAAAAGTAATTGTGGTTTTTGCCATTGCAAAGACCGCAATTACTTTTGCACTAACCTATATACATATATCCAAACATCATATTGTACACCATAAATATATACAATTTATACCTGTTAAAAAAAATTAAATATAAATACATAGAAATAGGAAGACATGTTTTGAGAGATCAAGGGAGAAGAGAGATAATTTTAAGACCTTTTCTATAATGTTAAATACTTAAAAAGTAAGTGTAGATTGTATGCCATTAATGACTAAAACTTTGCCAATAGATCCTGTTTTTATGTGACTTCAGCAAGAGCAATTTCTTTGAAAAAGTAAAACACAAAATAAATTGATGAGGCATAATGGGAAGATGAGGACATAAGAGCAAGGGATAAAAAACAGATATTATTTTAAGAACACTGGTGATATGGTTTGGATTTGTGTCCCTGCCAAAACCTCATATTGAATTGTAATCCCCAGTGTTGGAGAAAGGGCCTGGTCGGGGGTGATTGGATCATAGGGGCGGAGTTCCCATTACTGGTTTAGCATCCCCCACTTGGTACTGTATGGCGAATGAGTTCTCATGAGATCTGGTTGTTTCAAAGTGTGTGGCACCACCCCCTTCTCTCTCTTCCTCCCGCTCTGGCTATGTAAGATGTTTGCTCCCCCTTTGCCTTCTGCCATGGTTGGAAGTTTCCTGAGGTCTCCCCAAAAGCAGAAACTGATATGCTTCCTGTACAGCCTGCAGAACTGGGAGCCAATTAAAGCTCTTTTCTTTATAAATTATCCAGTCTCAGGTATTTCTTTATAGCAGTGTAAGAACAAACTAATAAAATTGCCTATGAAAAAAAGAAGAGCGTGATGGATGAATCCAAGAGGGGATTTTTAAAAAATTGAATTGCAATAGTATCTTAATCTATTCACCCATGGTATTCTGCTTGTAAAATAAATTTAAATGTTTACATTTTTGACAAATATAATTTTTCCTAGTGTTTTCTTTTTCCCACTTTAATAGCAAAAATCAGCAAAATGTAGTAAGAGAGCAGCAAGCAGAAGGGGACTGAGGGCTAGAAATCATGCCACTCACAAAGATTTTTTCTTTATTAAGCATATCCATATGAGCTAATCTTCACTCACCATTGATTTAGACAACTCTAGGAAATCAAAAGGGAAAGAAAACATGAATTCAATCTTTCTCAAGGTATAGTCAACAGACCACAGGCATCAAAATCATTTGGGCACTTGTTACGAATACATCCCCCAAGGTCTCTACTAAAGGCATATACAAGAATTCTATTTATAATAGAAATCTTAAGTAATGTATATGGTGAGAGTAGTGAGTAAAGCAAGATACAATAAAATTGAAGCTTTGGGAAAAAGGACTAAAAAATATTTATTTGAATTAGCAAGATTGAAGAAGTTTGGGAGGCTTTGTTCCAAAATCTCAATTATTTTCTCACAATAGAGATTGATGAGGGAGAAGCGGTATGATATATCTTGAAGGTTCTTTATCTCTAACATTCTAAGGCCAGGGCAAGCAAAACAGATATTATTTAAATTGACAATAGTTACTATAGGAGTCATTATTTTAGGTGAGATCCAAAATATTCTGTTTCTGCTTTTATTTTTCTGTTTCTTGTTTTCTTTCTTGTAATCAAATTGTTATTATTTTAAAAACAGCAACTTTGCAAAACAAAAATTTTATTTTGTAGCCTTACCCAAAGTATGTTAAAATGTTAACTTTTTTTTTCAGACAGCAATATTGACTCTTTTACTTAACATCTTTCTTGAAATATTAGAAGTTTTTAAGTATTTCAATATTTCCCAAGTTTTGTGGGTATTCTTTCTGTTTATGAAATAACAGCACATAAAATTAAAAGAGTCTCTGGAAGTTTTTTTTCTAAATCCTCATTTTAGACCTCTGTTTCAGACCAAGACAAATAAACAAAAGCCAGATTTACCACACAGTCTGGAAAAAAATAATAACCAACACAAATATATGAAATAACGATTTTTAAGATGTCATCAGTCAACAATGGGTAGTGATTTATAAGATATGGGAAATAAACAAAATGACTCTTTCCATTGATCTAGCTTACTGCCTAAAGAGAGTTTCCACGCAAAGGATGGTGGTGGGGGGAAGAAAATAGGCTGAGCCCAGTAGTTCTCTGAATTGAGAAGATGGGAATAGCTTTCCAGGAAGGTCAATGAGTACAGAATTTACAGAACAGAGATCCAGATAGGAATAGTCTATGCAGGCAAAATTCCAAAGATCTGAAAAGGGCAGCCCTTATGTTTTCAGATGAGTGTTGATCAAATTGCGTATCAGAGGAAACTACCTACAGTCAGGAAAAGTATTATCATCATTATCCTCAGAACTCATACAGGCTCAGTAACAATGGCTGTTCCTACCAGCTATGAAGAAAAGTCTCATAATTCTCAGGGCACTTGGTAGAATATTAAGAAGGATTTTTCCTCACTATTTGGGCAGAGTTATCCCTAGATTAAATGGTGCTCTGATGCCACCTAATCAAGCTTAGAAGCAAAAACAGAAAGTATGAAACTATTTCCAAATAATTACAACCTACAACAAAGATCAAAAATATTTATAGAATGTACAAATACCTACCACACAAATCACAATGTCAGGCATCTGCTATAAAAATTACAAAGTGTTCAAAATAGCACAAAAATACAACCTATATGGAGAAGAAAAGTCAGCAAACAGAAGTGACCCAGAAAAGACACGTGTTAGCATTAGCAGAAAAGTACATTAAAACAATTGTCATCTCTGAATTCTCTATGTATCCATATGGTCCACAAGCTAGAAGAAAGGTTGAATATATTAAATAGGGACATGGAATGTAACACAGACCCACTTTAAATTTTTAGATCTAGAAAGAAATATGTCAGCGATTAGTGAATTGGAAAAAACAACGTTAGAAAATAGTCAAAGTAAAACTTGAAGGGGAAAAAGAAGACTGAAAAACAGAGAAGAGGACATCAGCACACTGTGGGAGAAATCAAGTAGCCTCATGTAAGTATAATTGGAGTGTGAAAGGAAGCTGAGAAACACTGAAGGAGGTAAGAAAAAAATTTGAAGGGATAATGGCTGACATTTCTGCAAATCTGAGGAAAACTATAGTCAGATCCAACTTCTTCTTTTAGAGGTTGGAGATACTGAGACTCATCTATTAATGTTCCTTAGATGGTCAGTGGTAGATTAAGTATAGTTATAACCATGTCTGCTAATCCAGGCAACTTCCATCACACCATATAATCGATTATCTTTTTTTGACCTTTTCTAAAATTGTATTTTAAGTTCTGGGATACATGTGCAGAAAGTGCAGGTTTGTTAACATAGGTATACACGTGCCATGGTGGTTTGCTGCACTTATCAACCCGTCATCTACATTAGGTATTTATCCTAATGCTATCCCTCCTGTAGCCCCCCACCCCCCAACAGGCCATGTTGTGTGATATTCCCCTCCCTGTGTCCATGTGTTCTCATTGTTCAGCTCCCACTTATGAGTGAGAACATGCGGTGTTTGGTCTTCTTTTCCTGTGGTAGTTTGCTGAAAATGATGGTTTCCAGCTTCATCCATGTCCTTGCAAAGGACATGAACTCATCTTCTTTTATGGCTGCATAGTATTCCATGGTGCATATGTGCCACATTTTCTTTATCCAGTTTATCATTGATTGGCATTTGGGTCGGTTCCAAGTGTATTATCTAATGTTGGTATCATGTCACAAGACATTATCTTTCATTATGAACCAGATTTAATCTGTATGTTTTACTCCATCTTTCTAATTTGAAAAGACATAAAAGAGTCTAGGTGGGAGAACAGTGGATTTTTATATGAAAAGTGATAATAAGGTAGAGAATTTCATAATTTTTTTCCTATAAAAGAGTTTAAGCAGCACATAAATATTATGACAGCAATATATGTTTTATGTTGATTGTTGGCATCATTCAAGAAAAAAAGCCTTTTAAGCCACCTAGAATAGTTTCTAAATATATGGACCCTGGACCCAGATTGCTTCAAATTCAAATCTCACCTCCTCCACTTACAACTGAGTGATGTTAGCGACGTCACTTACCCTTTCTCTTGAATTAGTTTCCTCATCAAGTTGATAATAATGTTGTCTACTTTATCGAGTTGATATGAGAATCAAATGAATCAATATTTGTAAAATGATGAATACATTTTCTCACTCATGGCAAGCACATATATAGGTTTGATAAATGACAAGTGGACGACTTGAAATCCTATTTAACGTTCCAAATTTTTTCCCTCTTCACTACATTTTTTATACATTGTGTCTTCTCTTTTTTTTTTCCATGTATCTTTCTGCTTTTAAAAATATTTTACTATAGAAATCATTATTATTTGGCCTAGCACGGTGGCTCACACCTGTAATCCCAGCACTTTGGGAGGTCGAGGCAGGAAGATCACTTGAGGTCAGGAGTTAAAGACCAGCCTGGCCAACATGGTGAAACCCCATCTTTACTAAAAATACAAAAAAAATTAACCAGGCATAGTGGCTGGCGCCTGTAATCCCAGCTACTTAGGAGGCTGAGTCAAGAGAATTGCTTGAACCCCAGAGGGGGAGGTTGCAGTGAGCTGAGATCACGCCGCTGCGAGGCAGAGTGAGACTGTCCCAAAAAAAAAAAGAAAAAGAGAAAGAAAGAAAGAAAGAAAGAAATCATTCTAGAAAATTAGATAACTATACCCTTATTTTTATATCTGTTCTATACAGAGTATGGTGTATCATGCCTTTTCACTTAGTCTTTTATTATCAGTATTTTATATATTATTTTTAATTTATTTGCAATAATTATTTAATATTAGCTTGTTTTGAGTATTTTACATCATGAACAATGCTGTAATAAGTGCTCTTATGATATATGTGTATACTTTCCCTTTTTGCTGAAAGGCCTTCCTGTCCTTTATCTGGCAACGCGTCCACTTCCAAACACATTCTACTGCCCTTTTTCCAAAGTCAACTTTCTCTCAACCATACTAGTCTTCTGGCTACTCTCTTTCTTCCCTACTTTTCACCTACTCTCTCAAAAAGTGTCCTATATGCTCTACTTGTTCTTTATCATCACTAATCTACTTCACATACTTTTTTATACACCAAGACCTTACTATATCTACTTACATTCTATTGAAATCGTGCTGTGAAACATCAAAAACACCACACTGGTGACATTTTCTACTCTGCAGTACATATAACTGATAACTAAAACTTCATCACCCCTCTATTGAAATGCTGTTCCCTTGGATTTTATGACTTTAAATTTTTTTTTCCATTGTGTGTGAAAAACTGAAAAACTCAAGATGATTTGACCACCTAGTGAAAAGTATCCGCTGACGTAATTTAAACGTATAGATTATACAGCTCCAGGTGCCAGTGAACATAGGGCTCAAGTGGTAATAAGGAATGATCCTCTCAATCTTTAGTTTGGCCTCGTTAAGTGGGATCTTCCTTTGTGGTGGTAAGTTATCTAACAGCAACTCCACACTTATGCCTTATACTCCTGGAAATTCCAGAACAAAAAGTTTATCTTTCCCTATCACTTCACCAAGTTTCCAGAAGAGTCTCATCAGCCACTTTCATTCACCATGTACAGCTCTAAAACAATTGTGATGCCTAAGAATGTGGAAAAACAGGTCCTAACACTACCTGATTCAAAGTGTCATAAGCCAAAATCAATATTTTCTCTATATTCTGTTATTCTTTCAACAAAATTCTCTTAGTCACAGGTTTTGTTGTCTCCTCTTTAACATACATGAAGACCCAACTGATTCACACATTTTGATGATTGTAAATAAATAGTTAGTGAGATGGATAGCATTAGAGATGGGTATGTATATTAAAAATATGTTAACTTTATTCCATTTAAATTTCCTTCTCACTGTTCCAGGTTCCATACCTCTCATCCAGAATACTACACTGTTCTCTTGATGAGTCTTCTTGACACTTTCTCCTACCGTGCATTTCTGCTGCAATGCTCCTCCTGACACACCATTTTAAACAAGTCACTTCCACTACTTGCAAATCTTCAAAGGCTTCTTATTGTCTTTCAGAGTCTAACCAACTTAGCCTGGCATTTAGGTCCTTAATAATGTAGCCTTAAGTAATTTTCCCGTATTCTGTCACAATCTCTAGGTTCCCACTTATGACTTTTCTGTGAAGTTGCCTTTCCCCTAATCCAAATCAAAACAAAGATCCTCCAAGTGACTTTTAACAAGCCACTTGACCTTTGAGTGCTTTCATTGTGAGGAAAAATAAAAATGTAGCTCCACTTATTGTTTGATAGGTTGCATTGTTGAATTGCTTAGTGCAAAGAACACTGGGCTTCTCAGATTAAATGTATTCTGTGAGTGCAGAGCTTTGTGTCTGCTGAGGCAAAAAGAGCCGAGGGTTAATAACTTCCAGAGATCCCTAATTGAAAAACCTGGGTCCCCTCTAGCAGACAGCATTCATTGTTATGTTTTAATTTATTACATGGAATTGAACTTTTATTCTTTACCTTTGAAGTGCCTTTACAAGTTTAGTGCCACCAGATTGTGCTATCCATTTAGATAGGTAGATTTTCATTAAAAATCATGTACAGTTTAATCAATCCACTTTAGCAAGCTCTGAATTGTCTTATGGTATTGATTGCAATATATCTAAACAAATCCCTTGGGAAGAGATAGAAAACCAACTGGGGCTTTTGTGTTATTCCTCTTGTAAAGGAGCTCTATTTTTCCAGCTTAGCTTTTTCAGTGAGGTTGGCAATCTTTCCCAGCTTACATCCTAAAATAAACTACAGCATGAACACAGAAACAGCATATTTTATTTATATACAGAAAACCTTCTTTATTTCATTATGCAGAGTTTTAAGCCATATTTTTCCTGGACCTGAGGAGGTGGGTTGTACCCTCCCAGGGGACAATTTTGCTCTGTACAGATAATGATTCTTAACTGACTACAAGGCCAACACCCCTGTTTGCACACTTCGTTGCCTTTGTAGTGCCACAGAAACTCACATTACTATAACCTCACCTTCCACAGCTCAGTATGATCTTGGCAACTGTCTATTGGAACAAGACTTCTGTGGACTTGTGACATTTTCTCAGATACCTGTGAATCATGTTCCAGGAGCCTTTCTTTGTACCTGTATTTCTCATATTTCCAGAGTGGAAATCCTATCTGATCAAGGCAGATTGGTCTCACCTTTCTAAGTACCCCTCCCACTTTACTTCCCACTTACTCGTAATGAACATTTACTGTGTTTCAAGAAATATAATTAGAATCAAATACAAGGGCCGGGCGCGGTGGCTCACGCCTGTAATCCCAGCACTTTGGGAGGCAGAGGTGGGCGGATCACGTGGTCAAGATGATCGAGACCGTCCTGGCTAACACGGTGAAACCCCGCCTCTACTAAAAATACAAAAAATTAGCCGGATGTGGTGGCGGGCGCCTGTAGTCCCAGCTACTCAGGAGGCTGAGGCAGGAGAATGGTGAGAGCCCTGGAGGCAGAGCTTGCAGTGAGCCGAGATCCTGCCACTGCACTCCACTCAAAAAAAAAAAAAAAAAAAAGAATCAAATACAAACCCCCGGGTCTGTCTCTAAAAAGACATTTCTCATGTGTTTTCTCCACATGCTACATCTTGCATTTTCTTTTCTGTTCAGTTTCTACCCATTCTTTGAGGTCCGCCAATGCAACAGAATCCTCCTCTGAGCTCATGGCGCTTTGGCACTTAATATAACCCTTTGCACCTTTACATATAGTACTTTAAATTTTGAGTTCTTTATTCATACAAGTATGTCTTATCTCTTAATAATAAACTCCTGGGGGAACTAAAGAGGCTTCTAATTACACCATTGATCACCAAGATTGATCTTATATATCCTACTGCTTTAACTCCAGTGATAAGGATTAATGTACAATATATTTCTCCCTCAGTACATGACCATCCAATCCATTTTTCTCTAAACTATTGTTTAGCAATGTATGGACATAGTATTTTAAAAATCAGGCTGGGTGCGGTGGCTCATGCCTGTAATCCCAGCACTTTGGGAGGCTGAGGCGGGCAGATCAAGAGGTCAGGAGATTGAGACCATCCTGGCTAACAGGGTGAAACCCCATTTCTACTAATAATACAAAAAATTAGCCAGGCGTGGTGGCGGGCACCTGTAGTTCCAACTACTTGGGAGGCTGAGGCACAAGAATCGCTTGAACCCAGGAGGCAGAGGTTGCAGTGAGCCAAGATTGTGCCACTGCACTCCAGCCTGGGCAACACAGCCAGACTCTGTCTCAAAAAAAAAAGAAAAGAAAAACAAATCAAATGAAAACTAAAGTATTACATTTTTAAGGATATTAGTTCAATATTTCACTGTTATATTGTGCTTTGTTTAATAATTAGAACACAGAAAGCCATTTTCTCTTTCCAGCTTTGCAATTGTTAACTTTTTATTCATAATAGTCTCTTGTAATTGAACTTTATTTATTCTTACATTTAATCAATTGAAAAATATGTATTTATCTCTGGCATCAGTATTAGTTCTTGCCTGGTCATTTATGCTTCATGAAGTTCATACCACTAGATGAGATTTTTTTTTTTTTTTCTCTCTCTCTCTCTCCCTCTCTGCAACATATAATCTGATTCTAAATATTTAACTTGGGTTATGAAAAGGCACACAATACAACAAGTAGACAAAATTCCTCATATTGTTTAAACTGGGAGCTGTTACTTTTTCAACTCTAAATAGAATTTCTTAATATAATTCTAGGCATGAATCAAAAGAGTGACTATTATGAAACCAGATCTTAAAATTGTATGGTTAGAGCATTTAAAATTAATGTTTTAAAAATGATTACTGTGACAATAAGTGTAAAATTTGTTATTATTTTTACTATTGTCAGGTAACACAGCATGGGTGTATTAGGATTCTCTAGGGAAACAGAACCAATAGGATGGAGAGAGAGAGAGATTTATTATGGAAATTGGTTCATGTCATTGTGAGACGTTCCCTGATACACCATGTGTAAGCTGGAAAACCAGGGAAGCCAGTGGAGTGGCTCAAACCTGAGATGGAGGGCAGCTGGGGGTAAGGAGAGCCATGCAAGTCTCGAATTCTGAAGGCCAGAGAACCTGGATTTCTGATGTTCAAGGACAGAGATATGTCCAGGCTCCGAGAGAGAGAGAGAGAGAGAGAGACAGAGACAGAGATAAAAAGAGAGAGAGAGAGAGAGAGAGAATTCACCTTTCCTCTGACTTTTTGTTCTGTTTGGGCCCTCAGTTGATTGATTGAGTGAGGGTGGGTCTTTCTTACTCAGCCCACTGAGATAAAAAGAGAGAGAGAGAGAGAGAGAGAGAGAGAGGGAGAGAGAGACAATTCACCTTTCCTCTGACTTTTTGTTCTATTTGGGCCCTCAGTTGATTGATTGGGTGAGGGTGGGTCTTTCTTACTCAGCCCACTGAGATAAAAAGAGAGAGAGAGAGAGAGAGAGGGAGAGAGAGAGAATTCACCTTTCCTCTGACTTTTTGTTCTATTTGGGCCCTCAGTTGATTGATTGGGTGAGGGTGGGTCTTTCTTACTCAGCCCACTGAGATAAAAAGAGAGAGAGAGAGAGAGAGAGAGGGAGAGAGAGAGAATTCACCTATCCTCTGACTTTTTGTTCTATTTGGGCCCTCAGTTGATTGATTGGGTGAGGGTGGGTCTTTCTCACTCAGCCCACTGAGATAAAAAGAGAGAGAGAGAGAGAGAGAGAGGGAGAGAGAGAGAATTCACCTTTCCTCTGACTTTTTGTTCTATTTGGGCCCTCAGTTGATTGTTTGGGTGAGAGTGGGTCTTTCTTACTCAGCCCACTGATTCAAATGCCAGTCTCTTTCAGAAATAGCCTTCCAGATATACCCCTAAATAATATTTTACCAGCTGTCTGGGAATCTTTTAGTGCCATCAAGTTGACACCTACAATTAACTGTCACAATGGAGAGTGGTTGACAGTACAGGCTATGACAACAAATTGCCTAGAATTGGAGGCTGGCTCCACTAGGTATTTGTTATATAACATTGATAATATTAAATTTTCCAATCTTCTGTTTTTTCATCTCTAAAATAAGAAAATTCACAGCATGGAATTATAATAATTAAATGAGGACACATATTAAGCATTCTGCAGAGTATCTTGTCAATTTTAAGAACACAGTAATTATTACTTCTTTACTTACCTCTCTTTACTCATTGAATTTATACAGTCCACTAGTACCTTCAGATTACTTGAAAGAAACTGTAACTTATTAAATGTAGATGGCTCACCCAGGGTATCATGGCCCAATCCAGACTTAATCCTGGGCATTGTAATTTCAAATTGTATGCTGTTTCTACATTGATTATATCCCCTCATGATTTATAATTGCTTTCCAAAAGGAGGATATAGATGGAGATAGACTATAAGCTTTAGGGCAAGTTCTTGGTTTCTCAGTTTCTATCTTCTTAATAAAGAGCAAGAGAAGAAAATATTTTACTTTCTTAGGAAATAATAAAAGACTCTAGAAATATCTGACGATTTGTATCTTCTATTTTGCTTTAACTTTGAATATATATAAAGCTAAGAGTGCAGTTTAAAGCAAACTATAAAGCTCTGTAAACTGTATACATGTGCAGTCACGTGTAACATGTCTAGCCTGTCTTGAGGCCGTTCTCTAAAGCAGTGGTTTTCAAAATTCCAGTAATATAATATGACCAGTTTTATTACATTAACATGATATATTATTGTTATCATACTTCTTGGGTTGCCATAACATAATGCCACAGACTTGGTAGTTTAAACACAGAAATTTATTTTCTCACAGTTCTGGAGGCTGGAAGTCCATGATCTAGGTGCCAGCCTTATTTTCTGCTAAAGCCTCTATTCCTGGCTTGCAGGTGGCCATCTACTCACTGTGTTCTCATCTGACCTTTCCTCTGTGTGGGTACACTCCTTTTGTACCTTCCTTTCACTATAAGAATACCAGTCCTGGGCCAGGCATGGTGGCTCACGCCTATAATCCCAGCACTTTGGGAGGCCAAGGCGGGCGGATCACGAGGTCAGGAGATCAAGATCATCCTGGCTAACACGGTGAAAGCCCATCTCTACTAAAAATACAAAAAAATTAGATGGGCGTGGTGGCAGGTACCTGTAGTCCCAGCTACTCGGGAGGCTGAGGCAGGAGAATGGCGTGAACCCAGGAGACAGAGCTTGCAGTGAGCCAAGATCACACCACTGCTCTCCAGCCTGGGCGACAGAGTGAAACTCCGTCTCCTCAAAAAAAAAAAAAAAAAAAAGAATACCACTCCTGTTAGATTTGAGATCCACACGTGTGATCTCACTTAAATTTAGTTAGCTCCTAAAATCACCTGTCTCAAATACAGTCACATTGAGAATTAGAGCTTCAACATATGAATTTTGGAGGGAACACAATTTGGTCCACAACATTGACATGTCCTATTGATTCAAATTAATGATCTCTTTTAAACAGTTGAAATTTCACTATAAAACACACAATTTTATATTTTAAGAAAAAAATAGGATTTATATATTTCCCATATGCATTTATTAAGCAATACACTTCAACAATGTGAAACTGACATTTGTTCACTATTATCCATATTAAATTTATACAAAATTGCAATTCCTATACAATTGCACCACTGTAAAATTTTGTGTAATGAATTCGATAGCCTAAAGTGAATCCATGAGTTGAAGCAACAGATTTTTTAATATATTTCAGTAGTACTTTTTACAAATATATAGCAGTGTCTGTATATCTAATCAATCAAACTACATTGGCTGCTGTGATACATGATCCTAATCTATGTTAATGACAGCGAGATGTATTCTACACACAGCTGATGGTGCTTCAAATTGACAGCTTCAGCTGTCAACCCTCGTAAGAAATAGCCCTTGATTTGAAACAGCTGCCTCATCCAATATTATCTCCCACTCTCCTAGGAAATCTTGCATCCAGTGACTTGCCCACCCTAGTATAAGAAGGCCCATTCTCACCACAATGCAGGACAGCTTGGAAGAGCCATTACAGCCACCTAGCTCCTTGTGGCTGACTGAGATCATTTTTGTGACTACATCTCACCCAACATCCCATTCTTCCTAATCCTGTTTCCTTCCTTCACCTTCCAAAGAGCATACCTGGGGAACTCAAGCTGCAACCACAACAGATAATCTTTGTAGCACTGTTAAAGGCATTAATAAGACACAATAGGTCAAAGACATATTTATATAGAAACTGAACCCCAATCTCTCATCATATACAAAAAATTACCTCAAGGTGGGTTAATCTAAATGTAACATTTGAGACTGTAAAAGTCATATAAGAAAATTTAGAAAAAACTATTCAAGACATTGGCCTAGGCAAAGAATTTATGCTTAGACCTCAAAAGTAAATGCAACAAAAACAAAGAAATTAATGGAATTTAATTAAACTAAAAAGCTTCTGTAAAGCAAAAGAATAATCAGCAGAGTAAACAGACAACATACAGAATGGGAAAAAATATTTGCAAGCTATGCATTCGATGAAAGACTAATATCCAGAATCTACAAGGAACTTGAAAACATTAACAAGAAAGAAACAAATAACGTCATTAAAAAGTGGGCAAAGGATATGAACAGACATTTCTCAAAAGGAGACACATAAATGGCCAAAAAACATATGAAAAAGATTCCTAGTATCACTAATCATCAGATAAATGCAACTTAAAACTACAGTGATTCTGGGCGTGGTTACTCATGCCTGCAATCTCGGCACTTTGGGAGGCAGAAGTGGGAGGATCGTTTGAGTCCAGGAGTTCGAGACCAGCCTGAGCAACATGAAGAAACCCTGTCTCTACAAAAAAATACAAAAATCAGCTGGGCATGGTGGCACATGCTTGCAATTGCAGCTACTTGGGAGGCTGAGGTGGGAGGATTGCCTGAGTCCGGAGGTGAAGATTACAGTGAGTTGAGATGCCACCATTTCACTCCAACTTGGGCAGCAGAATGAGACCCAGTCTCAAACAAGAACAAAAAACGAGATACCACCTTACACCAATCAGAATGGCTATTTAAAAGTAAAAAAAAAATAACAGATATTAGTGAGGATGTGGAGGAAAGGGAACTCTGATGCACTGTTGGTGGGAATGTAAATTAGTACATCCTCTATAGCAAATGTATGGAGATTCCTCAAAGGACTAAAAATAGAACCCTCATTTGATTCAGCAATCCCACTACTGGATATCTACCCAAAGTAAAAGCAGTCATTATACCAAAAAGACACCTGCATTCTTGTGCTTATTATAGCACTATTCACAACAGCAAAGTCATGGAGTCAACCTAGGTGTCCATCAGTGAATGACTGGATAAAAAAAAGTCGTATACACATACCATGGGATACCATGCAGCCAGAAGGAAGAATGAAATCATGCATTTTACAGCAATATGAATGGAGCTAGAGGCCATTATAGTAAGTGAAATAACTCAGAAATAGAAACTCATATACTACATGTCCTGATTTATAAGAGCTACCCAATGGGTAATATGTATGTATATACAGAGAGGAATAATAGACAGTGGGAAGTCATAAACTGGGAAGTTTTAGAAGGGGTGAGGGTTGAAAATTTACCTATTGAGTACAGTGTTCACTACTCAGGAGATGGTTGCACTGAAAGCCCAGACTTCACCACTATGCAGTATATTCATGTATCAAAACTGCACTTCTACCTCGTGAATCTATTAAAATTTTTAAAGTAAATTATTTTAAAAAGCAAGAAGATGAAGCATCAATATTTCTTACAAGTAGTAAGGAGAATAATTCTATTGTGATATTTTGTTAGTTACATAGATTATTTATGAAATTAAGAGAAATATAAAATCAGTTGTCTAAGCTTTGTTTAGTAAAATATGAATTAAGCAATTGCAGAACAATAATTGTAGCAATGAGCCATCTTATGCTTTATAACATTTTTGTAAATTGCAAATCTACTTGACTTGCATTAAAATGTATACCAAAGTTACTCTGAGGTTTTTTTTTTTTTAAAGGAGAGACTCATTTTTCCCCATGTTACAGAAGTTTATTTAGGCTCTGTCAAATGCTGGTCATCGTGTTTGGCACTACTGTTTATGACTGTAATCCCAACAGTTAGCATAGTGCCTGGGAAATCATACTCCCCTGATTACTTCTTCATGCATAAGTGAGTAATGGCAGTACTTGGGATCAGGACAGCTGAACTTAATTGCCAGTTCTCTCTTGCCTGGGTTATAGAATCTTTTCTTTTACTTTTCTGCTCTTAAAATGATTAGCTGTAAATTAATTCTGAAAATAATAATAGCTATACCAAAATGTAGACAATGAAGCTCCAATGAGTAGTTTATGCAAAAAAGTAATATAAATAATAAATAACAATACACATGTTGTGATTATCCTTATCTCATTCATACTAAACAGAATAAAATGCTACATTTCATATTATAAAATGCTGACAAAGAAGGCCTTAACTTTCCCTTCAGTTTGCTAAACTTCATACAGGCTTCTTTCAGACTCAAGGCCCCTTACCTCTTAGGTAATTTTCTGTAAAACTTTGTCGCTTAAATTCTCTTTTTTCTTTGAGCTGTAAATATTTTTGAAAAGCCTGTCATTAGTTTCACATCCCACAAATGCCTTTCTCAAAGACCAGGGAGTAATGTAATCATCAATGAGCCCTATCCCAGTCTTTATGGGAAGGTAGGAGCCTAACTTTGTCGTATATCATTTGTGCATATCTTGCTCCAAATTGTAAAACTGCCCCTTGCTCAAAAGACATGAGAAAGTTTATTTTCCTTTCAGTAAAGCCAATCAGCAAACACAGATTGCCCATCATCCTTCTTTCATACTAATGTTTAAAAAGCCTTGAACCCCTTTTTCAGCAGATTTGAGTTCAGGCTGAGTTCTGGCCTCTCTCTCCTATTGCAATATTCTTGAATAAAGTTTCCCTTTCCT
The DNA here is from genome assembly GCF_000001405.40 of Homo sapiens. Lineage (NCBI taxonomy): Eukaryota > Metazoa > Chordata > Mammalia > Primates > Hominidae > Homo > Homo sapiens. The sequence goes on from NC_000009.12 coordinate 12,360,338, forward strand.
GTTTAACTTATTCTAATACAATTTTTTGCTTTGATAATGCCAAGTAAAAATTTATTATCAAAAAGCTACCCTTTCTGAAACGTTTCAATATGTGTAAAGGAAAGAAACAAAAGGAGAAAAAATACAGTGGAAGAATCCAATGAGAACCTGTAGAAGCTGGTAGAAGCTAGTTGAAAAATATTTTCATTAAACACTGGCTGTTATCCATGAAGTTACAGAGGTGGAGGAGGTGAGGACACTCTGAAAAATTATGGTACCTCAGGATACCACAATTTCTTGCTAAGAAGCTCAGATCGAGGATGCACATGTTAAATGATCCAGTGGTCATATTTTTTCCAGACATATATAGAAAAATAAATAATAAAAAGAAAGTAGTATTCTCCCCAAATTGTACAAATGTCAAAAAATATAGCCACCCTCCTGAGTGTTATTGTGCCTTGCTGTCTAACCCAGGCAGAATCATCATTCCTTCTGTCAAAACACACTGAAAATAATGTGTAAAGAATTGGAGGTACTCTTTCATATTTCCCGTGATGAATTAACATCATGATAGTCCCCATACTCAGCTGCCTGCTCTCAGCAAAGTGAAGCAAATTGAAGGATAATATAGAAGATGCCAAGAATTAATAACCTCTGGAAAGGGTGGTCACTTTTAAGTCATGCTACAAAGTTACTACTGTTTCCAAGAAGGCTAAATAAGAAGAATCTCCTCCCTATAAATAGTCATGTGTATAATTATTTATTCCTTTCCAAACACTGGCACTCAGTGTCTCAGAAGCTGACATTAAGATGTTTATTGAGAATAAGTTTAAATATATTTATTACAAAAGTAAGGCTACATATTATAGAAAATGTTGAATGCATAAACAGGCAAAAGGAGTAGGAAGCTAAAATCACTTACAAAACCACAATCTAATTATAGCCACTGTTAACAGCTGTGAAATTTACTTCCAGGCATTTACAGATTAAGATTTTAGCTGGTACTATAAAGCAGGCATTGATCTAACTACTATATAAACAGCATTGCATTTAATTCTCACAATATGTTTTAAAATGGGGATTATTCTTATTTATATTTTACAATAAAAAATAAGCACAGTAAGGGTTAGTAACTTCCTAAGTTCACAGTTTTTAAGTGATCAAGCCAGATTTTACTTAGTCAATTTGGCTTCACAGCTCATGCTCTAATATAACGTAATGTCTATAAGAAAACCCTTATTTTGGGAAATTTGTCGAAATTTTTCACTATTATACACAAATAAATTTTGAGCTTCTTATAGTCAAATTTATGGGCATATTTTCCTACATATCTCCTTAGAATGAATTTCTATAAAGAGACTAATTAGTCAAAGAGCATGCCCATTTTAAAAACTTTGATGCCAATTGCCAAATTGCCCTCAGTATAGGTTTTACCAATTTTCTCTCCATTTACACTATAAGAAAGAGTCTCTTTATTTTTGCCCTCTCACTTTAGATTGTTTTCTATCCCACTTGCACCTCCACTGTATCTAAAAATTTAGGCCAACACAACATATATTGGAAATAAAAATTGTATTAGAATTTTTATTTATTTATTTGTCAGAAAGCACTATAGGGACACACTTGTACTAACTTCGTTTTCTAGTTATTTTGCGTTGCGCTTTTAATTCGTCTTAGTTTAATTTCACTAATTGTAATAGTTCAGGACATAGTAAGTGCAGGCTACTCTGTTAGGTACAGTAAATAACACAAAGAAAAATAATATTATTTCTGCTCTTAATTAGCTTAGGGAGAAGTTATCCATGTAAACAGCTTATGTGTAAGACAGAAAGAAGACCTTGTTAATTACAGATACAAATAGAGTATTATTGTTACAGAAGGGTGAATACAAACATTTCATTAATTCTGATTGAAGTGATCCAGGAGGCCTTTGTCATGGAGTTACTTTTACTGTTGAGACCTAAACAAGAAAGACTATTTGGGTGGGTGGAAGAAAGGTTGAAGGACACACATGAGCCAGGGAACATTAAAAAACAAGCAACAAAGACATAAAAGTGTATAATGTTTTCTGAAAATAATAAATTGAAATTGTAGGAAGATCTGTTTCCTTATTATGAGTTGAGGGCATTTGGTGGGAGATGCCTTGATTGTTCCAGTTATGAATATAAATTTTATTTATTTATACAAACAAGTTATTCTATCAGCTCTCTAATCAACACTGCCCCAAAGAGGGCCAGGTATCTACACTTACAAAATTTGCTGCATTAGCTAGTCATTAAGAAAAATGTGTAATAAGCACTTGTTTTGTGCCCTACACTGTTCTAGGCACTGGTGAGAGAGAAATATGCCTAGATCCCTCTTTCAGGCAACTTACATTTACATTAAAAAAATCTAAAAATAAGAAAAATAATTAGTAGTAACAGCTACTAATTATTAGTAGTAACAGCTACTAAAAATAAAACCAGAAGTTGAGATAGATAAGATGCAGCCAGTCAAGCAAATATCTGAGGAGCATGTTGCAAGCAGAATGAAAAGAACCTGCAGTCAGCAGCTACTTGTCACAGGGAGAAGGCTAAATGATTGTGACACTGACAATTGCTACCCTCAGTTTATATAAAAATTACCATCACCTTTAGCCTCCTTTCCAAAATTATTTGAAACCTATTCACTTTCTTTTTTGTCTATTCAGGGAGAATGTGAAGGAAATCTAAAAAGTATCACTTTATTTTTTATTTATATCTGTTGAGTTACTGGAACTTCTTTCCTAGTTACTAAATAGCCTCCTGCTTATCCCTAGATGTTTAGTAATCAACATCCGTTGTCCCTCTTAGTTCTGCCTTTCCCATCCAGCCTCACATGCCAGCCTCTTTGCTGTTTACCCAGATCATATAAAACTTCAAGAACTCTTTAAATATTACATTCAAAGAAAATTGATGTAACATCAGATGATGTTTTGATGAAGATTTGTGGACCTGAGAAATTACTGTAAAAGAGGCTTTCTATCAAAACCCACCTTTTATTCTGGTCCAAATTAGGCTTACTCCTTTCCACATAAGTCAATGTCAGTTTGATTACTACTGACATTGATCAGTAGTTCGATGCATTTTTTTTTTTAATTTTATTTTCTCTTTTTGCTGGGGTATCATACATTTTTTGAAATACACTTTGTAGAATAACACTATCAATATAAAACTATTTTCTTCCTTTCATTAAGTGCATTTTTATTTGTCTAAATATGATAATCGTAGTAGCTCTGCAAAGAAATTTATATATATTGTTATAATTATGAACCATTTTGACAAAAAGAGCAAATCAGCATTTTTTAACCCTAATGGGACCTAAACTATATAGTCATTCATCAGCATATATAATCATACAATACTTCTACTAATGAGAGTTTTAAAAATTGTGTGGGCTTATACACAATTTACAGGAGCATCACCCTAAAAAAAAAAACGGGAAAAAAAAAAGTAGCTAACTATTTATCAGATAGCTTATTGTACACCAGGCTTGGCCATTTAAAATCCTGTTTCTCAGATTTTTGAAATATTCCTACTATGGCTCTAAAATGACTACTAAGCTTTTGTATTTATCTGTCTTGGGGAAGGAACTTCTTTGGGGGTTTCAAGTTATCTAGAGATTGTCACTTGATGTATTACTTTAATCATTTTGTTGTTTTAATCAATGTGTACATGTGCTCAGAGAGATGTTAGGAGCATAATATAATGAATGCCAAAAATAACAAGCAGGAAAACCTCTGGGTCCTGTCGAATTCCAAAATATAATATAATCTCTGAACCAAATGAAAGTGTCCCTGCTCTAATTTGTTCAAAGGAACATGATCAATTTATCTCCTCCCAAAGAGAAATAAAGGGAAGGAAAATGTAAAGGCAGTTGGAGTCTCAAATATATTCAGAGATGCTCTGAACATGTCAAATAAATGTCACTTTCACCTGAGGAAAAGAACTTTAGAAATAAATGTTGCAAAGATACACAGTATGTCCTTTTAGTTAGTGTTCTAAAGAAAAATAAAGTATGTTCAGGCATCTGAAAATGAATAAACCCTAGCAGAATCTAGTTTTTAAGTTATTTTTTCTCGTTAAATGCAACTTTAATTTTTGGTAGGATTATACTTCACTGTAATCATTGCATTACATAAGACATCATTGTTGTATTATAATGTGCATACACTTTTTCCCTTTAGAAAATTTTGAATTACATATAGGCTCTCATTATATTTCTTTTTGTTTGTTTTTTTGTCAAATAATAATTATGTATATTTGTGGTGTACAATGTGACGTTTTGATCTATGTAGTCATTATAGAAACATTCAAGCAAACTAATTAAGATACCGATCACCTCATCAACTTATAAATTATGTTGTAATGAGAACATTAACAACTCTTTTAGCAATTTTGAAATACACAATACATTGTTATTAACTGGGGTCACCACATAGTGCAATGAAGCACTAAATCCTATTCCTCCAGTCTAATGGAAAGTTTGAACCTTTCGATCAACATCTTCCCTTTCCCCATACCTCCCCTCTTCCCCAAGTTCTTATTCAAATGATGTATATAATGAGTCTAACAGTTACGATACCAGTCATCATTTCTCATACTTTTACTAAATGCTAGGCAGTAAAGTAAGGACATTAAAACATTACCCCATTCTAATTTCCACAAGTATCTAAGAGGAAAGTTAGCTCTTTTTATCTTTTTTTTGTTTGTTTTTTAGCAAACTGAGGCTCTGAGATTTTAAGCAACAGAGATGAATGAAAACAAGCAAACAAAAAACAAGCTAAGCTTACATCAGAAATCCTTTCATGTTTATAACATTTTAGTTCTTCATATGTGTGCACGGTGTGTGTGTGTGTGTGTGTGTGTGTGTGTTTCATGATGTTTTAACAAGAGATGCAGATGTTTCAACTTTAGGCCTCCTGTGTTCCTTACCTTTCCCCCCTCTCTACGTTACATGATTAGCTCACTCTTTGCACATCCCAACTTGGCAGGTCCCAACTTCTATGGGTCTTTGGTTTCTCATTTGCTTGATTTATTTAATCATAATGGTATTCCTTCATTTCTCTTCCCCATCTTAATGTCTCTTCCTGTCCTTAAAAGTCAGCTCAGAAATCCTCTTTTCATTAAATTTTTCCTTGACCTTCTCAGTCTACCAGGGGATTCACTGGGTTGGAGTGATGTGTTATAACTGGGGTTATTACTGGTTTACTTTTCTATGCTTTCCCAGTGTCTTTAATTTTTTTTCTTTTATCTCCCTAATCCATCATCTACTTAATGCCAAATACATAAATAACAATTGTTTTGTTTCTTATTACTTTGCTGCATCTCTCAACAGAAAATACTTAGGACAAAACAGAGGATTAAAAAAATAAATTTCCAACCATTATGAATCAGAATGCATTATGCTTGCATTCTTTTAAAACACAAGTGTAGATAATAAGGCTTGCAGTATGTCTTAATGAAGTAAAATGTTATTTTGCTCTTGCTTTGAAATTACGTAAATAGAATGGTTAGATTATTTATGATGATTTAAAGACCCACTATTTTTCTTCCTGTCCTCAAAACTCATGCTGTTAATTTCAGTGAATTGATAAGACAATTTTCTGAAATAATTGTAAAATGAAAGATTATTTGCCATTTTTAAGGAGAGTATAAACAAATTCAGAGAAACAGTTCTAATTTAGGGGTAGAATCAACAATAAGAAAATAAAAAACCCAATTTTAAGGTGGGCAAAATAAATAAACAGGCATCTTACCAAAGAAGATACAAAAAGATGCTCCACATCATGTGTCATGAGGGAACTGCAAATTAAAATAGCAATGAGATATCCCTACCTACCTATTAGAATGACCAAAATCCAAAGTACTGACAACACCAAGTGCTGGCAAGGATGTGCAGCAATAGTAGCTGTCATTCATAGCTGATGGGAATGCAAAACGGTACAGCCACTTTGAAAGACAGTTTGGTAGTTTCTTACAAAACTAAACATGCAGTTACGATATGATCTAGCAATGCTCCTTAGTATTTACCAAAATTAATTGAAAACTTAATGTCCTCACAAAAACTTGCACATGGATGTTTAGAGCAGCTTGATTCATAATTGCGAAAATTCAAAGGCAGCCAAGATGCCCTTCAGGAAGTGAGTAAATAAATGAACTGTGGTACATTCAGACAATGGAATGTCATCCAGCCATAAAAAGGAATGAGCTATCAAGCCATGAAAATATGTGAATGAAACTTGAACGCATATTACCAAGTGATATAAGCCAATATGAAAAGGCTACATACTGTACGAGTCCAACAATATGACATTCTAGAAAAGGCAAAACTATGGAGACACTAAAATGATCAGTAGTTGCTATGGGTTAGGGAGAGGGAAGGATGAATTGGCTGAGCGCAGAAGATTTTGTGACAGTGAAACTATTGTGTATGATACCACAAGTGGTGGATAGATGTCAATACAATACACATGTGTTAAAATCCGTAGAATTTATAATACCAAGATTGAGCCCTAATGTAAACTATGTACTTTTAGTGCTAGTGATGTGTCAGTGTAGGTCCATTGAATGAAACAATGTACCACTCTGATAGGAATATTGATAGTGGAGGAGGCTCTACATGTGCGAGGGCAGAACATACTGGAACTCTGTACTTCGCATTTCTCTATGAACCTAAAACTGTCCTAAAAATTAAAGTCTATTAAAAATTTTTTAAAAGAGCCAACAAGATAGGAATGAATATGGCATTAAACATTAAGTTAATGTTAGCATTAGGAAATGTAAGTATTCAAGTGTTTCTCTCTTTGAATGGCTGGCTCACCTCCAGGTATGATCCAAGTGTTACTGTTTAAGATTTTTAATATTTAGCATTTATTAAAAGGAACTATTCCAGCCTGGGCAAAATGACAAAACTCTGTCTTTACAAAAAATACAAAAATTAGCCAGGCATGGTAGTGTATACCTGTAGTACCAGCTACTTGGGAGGCTGAGTGGGGAGGAGCACCTGAGCCTGGGGAGGTCGAGAGTGCAGTGAGCTGAGATCACACCACTGAACTTCAGCCTGGGCAACAGAGTGAGACCCTGTCTCACACACATGAAAAAGAGAACTATTACACAATTGTTCTGTATGATACTGTTCTGCAGGATACTACAATGGTGGATACATGTCATTATGCATTTATTAAAACTCAAAAATATTCAACACCAAGTTTGAGCCTTAATGTAAACTATGGACTTTGAGTGAAAAGGATGATAGGGACGTGTCAATCAATGTAGGTCCATTGAATGTAACAAGGTACCACTCTGATAATGGACACAAAAATGTTTGTTAGTAAAAAGATGTACATTGTTATTTTATTATAACATATATATATACAGGAAGATGATTTCAAAGTGGTCCGGGATCTTTTCCTATGATTTGACATAATCCATTAGACAGATTTAGAGTTCAATATCATTGAACTCAAAGGGCCCGGGGTTGGACTGGGGAAGGTAATGTGAGAAGGAGGGTGTAATCCCAGGGTCTTGCCAATTTTTCCCTCAACACTGTCTTCTGCTCCTTTGTAACAGCAAATCTGAGCATAGATACGTGGTGGGAGTAACACTACTTAAATGCATCAAACAACTGTACCCACCAATGGCATTTTAGCCTTAGACTTAATATAACACTTTACACCTGAAATCATCTTGTAATACTATTTTTCAGAATAAGATATTTTATGTTCTGAAGTTGATAATTCTTGCTAGTGATTTGGTAAATGTTAAATATTTTTCAATACTTTATAGGTATTAATAATAAAAAGTAAAAGTCATATTTTAACAACCATATTTTCTTTTAAAGTCTCTGAAATTGTTGCTTTCTCAAAAATGCAAGTTTTTTTTTAACTAGTAAGTAGTATGGTCTCTTTAATTTCCGCTATGTGTATGAATTCACATGGACATATACTAATAAGTGTACATAAAAATAGTTCTGTTGAAGTAGTGACGCTAATGAGAATTTATTATAGTTTCTTAAGATATCTTTTAATAATACTAAATTATGACATTATATAATGACTAGGTTGGCAAAATAAATTCCTATGAAATATGCAGCAAGTTTAGTTTTTTATAAATCACTGTATTACTTTTGAATATTATATTTCCTTAAAAAAGAATAATCATTATGGAGCATATACAAATTGAAGTAAAAAAATCACATAAAATAGGTAAAGCCACTACAGACCATCACTCCCACTGATTATAACAAAAATTCCTGACAAAGTACGAAAATATTAATTACTTGAACTCTGAAGAGTAGGCAAAATCAGGAAGACTGTGGAGGATAGTTAATACTTGGAGGATCAGTCAGATATGTTTCTTTTTCTTTTTCTTTCTCTTTCTCTTTTCTTTGAGACTTACCACGGTGGAGCCCTGCAGGGGCTACAGTACAAATGGCTGAAACATCAAGAGAAGCTTCCTGTCTTCCTAGCCAGAGGAACCAGGATAACTTGCCCCACTAAGCTGCAGAGTGTAAGGAGACTCCTAGACCAAAAACAGTCAGAGAAGGGGATCCTGTAACTCTGTGATGAGCCTGCACAATTTTCAGGCTCTCCCCTGAACTACTCTTATCTGGAACAAACCTAAATCAGCACAGCAAAAGTACTGAGAGCTGAACTGAGATTTGAAGCACTGCCTACATTTCAAACTGTCCTGTGAGCCATGGGAGCACAGAAAGTTTCCAACAAATGTGGCAAATACCTTAAAAAGTGGTATGATAATTGAACTGATGCCCACAAAAAGTGAGACAAAACTTACAGTCTGAAACTAACTGGGGTAACTGCCTGAAAAAAAAACAAAAAAAACAGATTTTTCGGAGGATTGTAACTGGACCTGGAGTCACACAGCATATTCAAAATGTCCAAGATGTAACCCTAAATTACTCAAGATATAATTACCCAGGAAAATGTAATGAATTCTCAAGCAAAAAGACAAGTAAGGGATGCCATTTCCAAAATAACCCAAATATTGAAATGATCAAATAAAGATTGTAAATCGGTTGTAACCCACCTATATGAAGCAAAAGAAGACTCACTTGAAATCAGTGCACTACTCAGCCCAGAAATAAAAACTATAAAGAACACCAAATGGAAATTTTAGAAATAAAAATTATATCTTAAATTAAATATATATATTTACATATATATGTTATGGTGACAATAGCAGAACACATAGCAGATTTAAAGATAGGTCAATAGAAATTGTAAAATCTGAAGAAATAAAAAAATTAACATAGCTGCAAGGACATGTAGTAAAATATTGTCAAAAGTTCTAACAAATGTGTTGAGTATCAAATGAAAAGGAGAAAGACAGCGGAGCAGAAAAAATATCCAGTGAAAATATCCTTCAAGAATGAAGGCTAACTAACAGCGTTTTCAGATGAAGAAAAACTGAGAGAATTCATCAACAGCATAACTGCTCGACAAGAAATGATAGGAAAGTTTTTCCAGCTGAAGATAAATAATATCAAATGCCAATACGGATCTTCAGTAATGAAGTAATAACAAGAGAAATGGTAAATACATGAGTAAATGTTTAAAAATCCTGTATTCTCTTGAGTTCTTTAAAATATGTGTGACTGTTTGCAACAACTATTTTAACATTTTCAGGTGTGATTCTAAATATAGGAGGATATAATATATATTATAGTTCTAGAATAGTTTTGGAGGGGGTGTTAAAGGGACTTGTAACAATTTTCCTACATTTTATATGAAGTCATATAATATTAGTTCGAAGTCAACTTTGAAAGTTTATATGTTATACTATAATCCCCAGAGCAAACACACACACACACACTCATAAAATATTTCCAAAAGTCAAGCTAAATTAAAATGAAATAACAACAAAAAAAATCCAACAATTCCAAAGAGTATATGCAAGGGGGAAAAGAGAATGAACAAAAAGCAAATAATACATCGATGAAACTATAGTGAACAAACAAAAAACAAATAATACGTTGGTGACATACTCTAACCATATGTCATTAATTAAATGGAAATACCCTGAAAACGTCAATTAAAAGGCAGATATTAATATTATCAATAAAAATCATGACCTACTATATGCTGCCTTTATGATAAAAATTGAAATAAGACATAGACAGATGGAAGAATGGAAAAATATACATCAGGAAAACAGTAAGCATAATACTGAGCTAACAATTTCAACCTCAGTCAACTTCAGGACCAAACATTGTCTGGGATAAAGATGAATTTAACATAATGACTAAATGGACAATTTATCAGGAGAACATAACATTTATAAATGTATAAACACATACCTAACAACTATGTCTCAAAATACATAAAGAAAATTGAGAAATTAAGAAGAGTAATACACAGTTCCAAAGATAGAGTATAAATTATTAAGACTCTTGAAATTATTAAGACTCTTGTCTCAGTAATTGATATAAAAACTAGACAAAATAGCTGCAAAACATAGAAGGTCTTAATAATCTTAATAACACTACCAACCAGCTAGAGGTAATTGACATTTATAAAACTATAACCAAGAACTGAAGAATACACATTCTTTGTAAGTATGCATGCTACAGTCACCAAGATAGACTACATACAGGCTCATAAAGTAAGTCTCAATAATGTAAATGCATTGGAAATAATTGACCAAAATAGAATTCACAGAAAATCCCAAATTCCTGGAAATTAAAAATTGTTAAATAATATATGGGTCAAATGGAAATATAAATTTGTTGTAAATGACAGTATTGTATTTTGATTGGATCATCTCCAGTGTTGCTTATTTGTATATTTTTTTTCTGCAAATTATATCTAATGTAGCCCAAGCTATCCGCTGAGCTGTACCCAACAGTGACCAGCAAAGGCGGCTAGTTTTAAAGAACCACCATAGTTTAAAGAACTACCATAAGTGAAGGATGATGCATATTTGCAACTTAGTTATTTGTTCTAAGTAGTCAAAATTTTGAACCTCAGGGTCAGTTTTTGGACCCAAGCTAGAGAGAGAGGAAAAAATTCTCCCTCAGAGCTTCACTAGATTTACTTTAGCCCTTGAGCCCATGACTGGCCTGTAAACAAAATCACAATTCTTTATACTACACCCTTTACACTTAAAAAAAATTAAAAATTTTAAAAACATAAGTTTTTGCTTTATTTAAGGTCTGATATCACTTTCTATAAAAATGATAATAGCTAGTGTGCATTGAGTGCTTAATATTGTATACTTAACTTGTTTCTAGTTTTTCGCTATTACGTACACTCTTTTCCACACCTGGGCAAAATTTGTTTTTATGAATTTTTAAAACACTTTATATATGAACTTACTTACATAAGGACTACGTTTAAAGCTTGTTATTATATGGTTTACTTTCAGTATTTCCTGCAAAGTCCTTGCTATTTTCTCTTTGCCATCCCTTTGTCCTGTTTGTCACTTCATGTACCCTTAAATAAATAAATTACTTATGCACAAGTTTATCCATGTGGTCTTCACTGAGGATCAATATATTACTATTTACACATTTTGTAATATATATTTTACAAAATAAAAGTAGAAGCTAAAATTTATTGGATATTCTCACAGCAAAAAATGCACTGGGCAATGTTAAACAGGCTAGAAAGATTTTATTCACAGCAATAGGGAAGAGAGACCAGATAGCAGACTGAGTTCAACCTCACTAAAACAAAAGATAGATGAGTTTTTAATACCGGGGGTGGGAGTGGGGTGAATTGTAGACTTTTTGGGTTTGCCAGCTGGCCTTACCTAAAGAAAAATAAACTTTTTCACATCTTCAGGAAAGTAGATACCCACAGAAGAAGTTAGGCTCCTACCCTACCAGAGAGACTCAGAGACAGAAGCACTATCTTTTTCGGTGATAACATTTCAAAGGAATGACTGGATTATAAAACTGGCCAGACACTTTTGCAAAGATTTATATCTCAAAGGGGCATAGAACAATTTCACGATTTTAAGATTTTTAAAGTAAATGTAAGAAAAGGAAAGAGAGGGATCTCTGTGGCTACCCAATCGAGATTCTGTAATGGCCAGGGTAAGAGGGGAGTCAAGGTCTAAGCGGTAAAAATGAGCCTAACATTTAGACAAACTGAGGAAAATATTGAGGCAGTCTTGTTCGATATCAATTGTTTAAACAATTTCAAATTCAATTATGAGTGATTGTAGCACTTCAGGACTGTTGGAGTTCAGATTTGATAACTGCTCTGGGTTAAACAAGAAAAATGTGTGGGATTTTCACTGATTTGCAGCACTCAACTGATGTAAATTATTATCTTTCTGTAAATTATCTGTAAATTTCAGTGAAATTTTTAAATTAATATAATTAATAATTTTTATATATAAAATTCAGAGAGGATGTCTTCAGCACATGCATTTTACAAATAAGAATGCTAACTGAAGTAACTAACACAAAGGTTGCAAAAATTTCATATGGTATTTGCACTCTGAAAGAATTTGATATAATTTGGTTAGCTATTTGAAAATATAAAAATCAAACTATTGGTAATATTGCTGCAAGACTTCTCTCCAACACTTTAACACTTTTTTCCTAAAAGGATGTTAATATTTTGAGAATACTCTTCCAATGTTTTCCCAGTAGTATTATATCAACAACATGACATGTGCATAGGTTATGGGGTCCTGTTTCTTTAAGCACCAACAATGCAAATGTTAAAAGAGGAAAAAGTTAGGCAAAGTGTTTGCAGATAGAAATTCAAAATGATAGCTTTCATTTACCTACTGTATTCAAAACAATCTATTTTAAGAATTAATATTATCGCATATGATCTCAATTTTTTAGATGAAAAACCTGAGGATCATGGAATTAAATAATTTGACCAAAGCTATGTAACTGATGTTTGAAGGAACTTAGATTTAATCTAAGTTTGGCTCACTCCAAATATTAAGCTATTTTCCTTATACTATACCCACCATGTGTGACAGACTGCTGCAGTGAATATAGTTTTATTTGTTTCTACTCTATACAAAGTGATTATTTTACTTTATAAGAACAAGCCTAATAAATTACTGACCAATTATGTAGTTTAGGTAATAGGAATGTCAACAAGATTAACACAACTCTCAACATTAAGATATTATCAATTGCTCTACAACAGTTATTTTTAACAGCTTTTCAAAACTAAAAAGAAACATTGTATTGTAAAATGATAGTTTCAGAAAGGCATGTGAAAAAATGCCTTTTGTATATACAAGAAAGAAACTGAAAAGAAGGAATAAATGGTTTACAGTCTGCTCACTGACCACCCCCTCAGGCTCCCATCAAGGAGAAGTAAACTGTAATTATACACACATCTCCCCTCAATGCACACACTCACATGCACATGTATTCCCATACAGATCAGCATTATTGCAGCCAAGATCATACATAGCCAGTCCCTGAAGGCCTCCAATTGAGAGTATTCAGGTTAGCAGAAAAGTCTAAATAAGCTTCTTGGGTTTTGTATTAAAGAATTCGGAGAATGAAATGTGTGAGATATTTCCAAACGCAAGTCTCCAGCTACACAAAGAGCACAATAGATCATTTCTCAGTGAAATAGAAATCTTTAGCTTTGTATTAATAACCTGTTTCTCCACTTGGTTTACTAAGTGATTTTCTAGTCAGACACAATCAAGAGGATGAAAATTAAGATTGTTTCTTTAAATGCATTAGCAAGGGATCAGTGCAGGGGAAATAAAAGAAAGTCATGATTTCAAGTTCTGGATGTCACCTGTGTATCCTCTCTGAACATGTGCAGAAACAGCTGCAGGCAGGCAGGGGAGGGAAACTTCATGCAATGCAGTCAAATACTCAACCCTTACCTCTTGGCCCTTCTCTCTATACTTTTGTTTTTAGTGCCTTTTATGCATTTTATTCACAGATATAATATTTTAGATGAAACACTTGTCTAATACTGCTCTCTGCAAAATATTTGGCCACATTATCTGTATGTATACTCATAAATACACACACGTATCTATATGCATGTCATGTGTGCATATTTTTGTATATATACATATAAATATATATGTACATATACATAGTTTAAAATTTTGTCAGCATATTAAATTTAAAAATATTCTGAACTTATAAGGGCCCATTATATATATTAAGTTTATCCCTTCAGACAGAATGTAGTGCAAAGGTTTAGAGATTTAAATGTTAACCCTTGAGAATAAAATGAGGTGTGTGTGTGTGTGTGTGTGTGTGTGTGTGTGTGTGGTGCCACAGGTACACATATATTGAAGCTAAGGTGTATTCCCAAGAATATTCCCAAGAAAGCTGTGTTTTTTTCAAGAGCATGTTAATCTTCTATTTATGTATCACAAATTGTTTTTCTCCAAGTGTTATAATTTTCTGTTCAAATGTATTGCACCTTTTACATGATTTTTGGCTTTGGCATTCAGAGGCCAACACAGAACTTTGGTAAGATTTAACAGCAGCAGCAGTAGCAGCAGCAACAACTACAACACATCTCTTCTTCATGAGTCTTTGTTGACCATTTATTAGCCAACACATGTTATTTGGTGAATTTAATATTTTGGGGAGTAAAATGATTAGTGGAATCTCAAAAGAGAAATTGTACAGACATTTCTGATATTCAAGTTTAATTGCTGGTTGTATAAATAAAGGACCTGGCTTGTGTATTCAGATATTCTGAGCAAACCTGGAGTCAAAAGCAAGAATCAGATTTAATATAATTTGTCAAATAAATAGTAAACACATGAGTATTTTCATGTAATCATATGGATTGAACTTGCAGTATATATGGTGAGATTTATTTTTTATGATGCTTTCATTACATATTTTAAATGTCAGTAGTATGTACATTCTCCCTCTTGATCTCTCACATTCTCTGTAACACGATAACAATTACAATAACACAGGTGAATATTTTCATTTTTTTCAATATAAAGCATGTGTTTCTTTTCAAAATTGCTCTGAAAAATATTAGTTATTTCAAGCAGCGTGAAAAACGACAGAGTGTAAGAAAGGCTTACATGACTACAGGTCCCCGAAGAAGGGCGAAAATACCTGGAACATCCTGCAATGGGTTTACCCACCTACAACCACAGAGGGGCCAATTATACCGATAGAGGATGGCTTGACAGAATCAAGAATGAGTTCAGGAGACCCTGAGAGAGAATCGAGGATAGATCAATATAGTTCTGGCATAAATGAAAAAAGAAGTAATTAATACTGGAGACCAACCAATAAATTAGGCCGTCGTTTTAAGGAAATTGAGTGGGACTTTTGCTGTCCTAAAATGTCTTCAGTAACCACATTTAAGGTTTAGGTTGGTCTGTATTTTTTCCATGAATAAAGGTTTCTGGCTTATTTACTAGCAGGTATTGGAAAGGAATTAAAATTGATATTAAGACTTCAAATATATAACAAGTATTTAGCACAGAAAACAAGGAAAAGTCACAATGCCAAGCCATGGCTGATGCCCATGTGTCAGAAATAAGTGACCAAAAATTTATGAACAAAAATTTCATTTGTAGATTATATTAATAATTTCTAAAAATGTGCATTTGTAATTCCATATACATAATTCCTCATAAAATCACAAACATATAATTAAATCAAATTTTATAGTAAAAAACTAAAAAAGTTTTAGAAAAACCAATTTTTCAAAATTGATATAAAGGTGTCATAACTTATGGGGACCGTTTTATAAATGTTGTTAATTGTACTTTTTATTACATATTTACTAATAGAGATGTGAAAGTCATTCATAAAATTTTGATAATATCTAAATAGTAGCCTATGAAGCTCTGAGAAGACTTTAGAAAATCTTGCGTCTACATTTTAAGGTTTTCCCTTTCCATGGCCGTGCTATTGTTTAGATATTGGTCCACTGAAAAGTGCATGTCTTTCTAAGTACAGCTTGTCGAAACATATAGAGTTGACTGTTGAATGGCATATTTTGCTCTTTTCTTTTTCAAACGATTACTACTTTATAAAATCAGCTTATATATCAATAAAATTATGTTACCCAAATAGTTAAAATAAGTAAGATAACAACAGAAAATACTGATTTTGCACACATACATTATCTAAAAATTTGGAACTACATTTTGAATTTAGCTGACAATGTTTAATCACATACTTGTTACATTAGTAAGAAGTTGCATGTTATATTTGCATTCTAACACTGTTCAAAAAATTACCACAGTCTTACAGATTGAAGCAATACTCATTTGTCATCTCACAGTTTCTATAGGTCAGAGTGCAGATGTGATGTAGTTGGAATCTATGTTCAGTGTCCGGTAAGGCTGAAATCAAAGTGATCACTGGACTGCATTCTAATCTGAAAAGTTGATTAAGTAAGTATCTGCATGCAAGCTCCTTCAGGTTGTCTGCAGAATTCAGTTCCTTATGGCTACAGATTCATGGCAACCTGCTCCTTCAAAGCTAGCAACAAAGAAAGAATCTGCTTCTTCATGTCTTTAACTTCTCTTGTAAAGAGATCACATGATTAGGTCAGACCTACTCGGGATAGTCTCCCCTTTGATTAATTTAAAATCAACAGATAGGGGCCTTAATTATATTTGCAAAATCCTTCACTTTTGCCATACAATGTAAACACATTCACAGTTTCCACCCACTATTGGAGAGGGCAGAACCCTTCCAAGTTTCAACTATTCTTCTGAAATTGGCCAAATCAATTCTTCCCTATGTTCCTGCTGACTGTTTTGAGGTTCTCTTGTTCTCAGCTCCTCAGATCCTCTTCCACTTGATCCTTCCTCTTCCCACAAAGAATCCATACCATGCAGGATTTGGACTACTGGTGGCCAAATTGCTTCTATTTTAGAGTTCATTAGGACTTACCACCTGGTTCTGTTGTAAATGTTGTTTACTGATTGTTGGTTTTGCTATCTTGTTCCTCTATAATTCCTTGTATTGACAATTTATGTTTTCTTTTTTGTTGTTGTTGATCTGTGTTACTAGAGGCTTATCAACTGTAATAATTTTAAAGACACCATTTGGTTTCACTGGTTATTTCTATTGTTTTCTGTTTCCTAATCCATTTATTTCTGCATCTGATTATATCCATCCTTGTACTTACTTTGAGTTTAACTTGCTCATCTTCTTATACTTAAAATGAAAGTTTAACCATTGATTACAAATATTTCTTCTTTTCCAATGTAAATATTAAGACTATGATTGTCCCTTTATAGTCTGTTTTAGCTTTATTCCAAAATGTTGATATGTTATGCTTTTCATTATCATTCAGTTTGAAATACTTTCTAATTTCTCTTTTGATTTATTTTTAAGTACACTATTAATGCTCAAATAATTAGGGATTTTTCCAGGTATGTTTTTAAATTGATTAATAATTTAATTCTGTTATGGCTAGAGAATATATTATGTATTATTTCAATCCTCTTTAAATGTGCTAAGTCTTGTTTTATGGCATAACATATGGTCTGTCTTTGTGAGCTTAAACAGAATGTGTATTCTTGTTTATAGTGTCCTGTTAATGTTGATTAAGTCCAATGGCTGGTAGTGTTTTAAAGTCTTCTACTGATTGTCTAATCGTTTTATCAATTGCACAGTGAGGAGTGTTGGCATCTCTAATTGTAGATTTATCTATTTTTAATCTTCATTTCTGTCCATTTTTACTTGATATAATTTAATATAGGCTGTTTACATAGCGTATCTCAGAAGAGTACATATCTCTTCTTTAAGAATCAATCTTATTATCTCTATATATCATGAAATGTCTCTATTGTTAGTAATACTCCATATCCTGATGTCTAATTTGCTACATGTTCCTAGAACTTCATTTTTTCTCATAATTAGTGTTGACATGGTATATTTTGGGAAAGAGCAAAGGAGCTCCTGACAACAAGGAACTAGCTGGATACAGAGAGGTGGGCACTGGTGTTCCTAAGAACTGCCCTGGCCCTCACAGCTGGGCTGTGCTGTTCTCTTTATCGAATGTAAAAAGTCTCAGAGACTACCAGCATTAGACAAGATTACTCTGGACCACAATGGAACAAGACACAAGCAAGACCTCTCATTAACTGTATATAAGCACAAATGTAAACAAGGTCATTAATCAAACCACAAAAATTATCAAACACCCTTCTCCTGGCTAATAAGAGTGAAAACCGCTTTCTTGCCAATATAACTTTAGCCGTATGCTGTTCTTTTCCCCTCTAGATAAGAGCCATTAATAGACCCAGTCATAAAAGTATCCCAATTTATTAACATCACTCAAACAAATGTAAATTCCACTTCATTGGATCTGCCTCAAATTCATCTAATACAAGCCAAAATTATACAATAAACCTCTTGAACACCGCCTTACTGAGATGCCCCTGGATCCCCCATGTTGTACTGTGTTGTTTCTTTCAGTAAGTCAATAAAACAATTTTATTTAATTAAAGATATGTTTTTTATGACATTAAATTCATGAGAATTACCAATATATTTCTATACTTTTAATCTATGTCCTTATATTTAATATCTGTCTATTGCAAACAATATATAATTGGGTCTTTTCTGTTTATGCATTCTGATGATTTTTACTTTTAAATTGAAAAGTTTACACTTAATATAAATAATTATGTGTATGAATTTAAGTATATCGTAATGCTAGTTGTTTTCTGCTTGTCTCAATTCTTTGTTGTCCTTTTTTCTTTTCCTGTATATTTGTGTTGATTGAATATATTTTCATACTCCATTTTATTGCGTGTATTTGTTTATTAGCTAATTCTATTTCTTTTATCCATTTTCTGAACTTGCTTTAGAATTTTCAGTATGTAGCTTTAAATCACCACTATCATCCTCAAAATACTATTATACAATTTTACCTATAATATATAATTGCCTTATAGCAGTATATTTGTTTCCCCTCTTTGTATTCTGTGTGCTATTAGTTTCATGCATTTTACTTCTATATATATTATAAAACTCAATTTTTACATTAAAAGTCATTTTTAGTTGAGATAAATAGAAAAAACTATATTTGCATACATTTACCATTTTTAAAAAAATCTTTTCTTTTCAACTCTTTTTTTTAGTTTGGAGAGCACATGTGCAGGTTTCTTACATAGCTAAATTGTGTGTCGCTGAGGTTTGGTGTACAAATGATTATGTCACTCAGGTATTGAGCATAGTATCCAAAAGGTGGTTTTCTCAACCCTCCTTTCCCCTCCTACCCACACCTCACTTGTAGTCTCCAATGTCTAAAATTCCCATCTTTATGTCCATGTGTACTCAACATTTAGCTCCTACATATGAGGGAGAACACATGGTATTTGGTTTTCTGTTATTGTGTAAATTTGCTTAGAATAATGGCCTCCAACTACATCCATGTTGCTACAAAGGACATAATTTGTTCTTTTTTATGGCTGCATAGTATTCCAAGGTGTATATGTACCAAATTTGATTTATCCAGTCCACCACTGATAGACATCTAAGTTGATTCTATGTCTTTGCTATTGTGAATAGTGCTGCAATAAACATATGAGTGCATGTGTTTTTAAAAAATTTTTTTCTGTGATCTGGGTTTACTTCTGTTATCATTTGATTTTATCTTGCAGAGATTCCGTAGATATTTCTTGTACTTTAGATCTGTTTGCAATACATTATCTCAGCTTTGTCTGAAAAACGTATTTATTTTTGCCTTTACATTTGAAAACATTTTTTCTGGATGAAAATTCTAGATTGAACTTTCTTCCTCCAGCACTATATTAATTCATTTCATTGTCTCCTGGTTTGCATTGTTTCTGATAAGAAGAGAAATGACTAATGCTTCTTATTATTGTTCCCAGTTTATAATATGCCTTTACCTACTTTGGCTGCTTTTAAAATTTTCTCATTACCATTTTTTTTAGTTAAAAATAAACTTTTTATTATAGAAACATTTGAATATATTCAAAAAAATAAAGACACCAGTATAATGAACTCCCACTTACCTATCACCCAGCAGTAATAATTACTGCTATTATATATATATATACATTTATTTTAAAATTCCATATATCAGGGTCTTCACAGTATGTAGCTCTAATTTGTAAGAGCATATTTTCAAAACATTACCTTCATGTCATTATTACAGATAAGTAATTAATGGTAATTTCTTAATATCACTTAACACCTAGTCCATATTCCATTTTCCCAATTTTATTAGTCAGGGTTCTCTAAAGGGACAGAACTAATAGTATACATTAATACGTATGTATGAAGGGGACTTTATTGGGAGAATTGACTCACAAAATCACAAGGAGAAGTCCCAAAATAGAGGCCGTCTACAAGCTGAGGAGAGAGGAAGCCAGTCTGAGTCCCAAAACCTCGAAAGTAGGGAAGCTGAAAGTGGAACCTTTAGTCTGTGGATGATGGCCCAAGAGCCCTTGGAAAATCAATGGTGTAAGTCCAAGAATCCAAAAGCTGAGGAACTTAGAGTCTGATGTTTGAGGGCAGGAAGCATCCAGGATGGGAGAAAGATGAAAGCCAGAAGACTCAGCAAGTCAGCTCCTTTCAGCTTCTTCTGCCTGCTTTTTTCTCTCCAGTAATAGCAGCTGATTGGACGGTGCCCACCCAGATTGAGGGTGGGTCTGCCTCTCCCAATCCATTGACTCAAACATCACCCTCACAGACACACCCAGAAACAATACTTTGCCTCCTTCAATCCAATCAAGTTGACACTCAATATTAACCATCACACCAATTGTCTCAAGGATTTTTTTTTTTAATATATATAGTTGGGTTGTTCACCTCAGGACTCAAACAAGGTCCTATATTGCATCACATTATTTTGTCTCTTAAGTTGGTTTTATGCTATAACAGTCTTTTTGCCTTTATAATTTTATTGCTTTTTGTTTGTTTGTTTGTTTGTTTGAGACAGAGTCTCTCTCTGTCGACCAGGCTTGGAGTGCAGTGGCGCGATATCCACTCACTGCAACCTCCGCCTTCCGGGTTCACGCCATTCTCCTACCTCAGCCTCCCAAGTAGCTGGTACTACAGGCATGTGCCACCACGCCCCACTAATTTTTTGTATTTTTAGTAAAGACCGGCTTTCACCATGTTAGCCAGGATGGTCTCGCTCTCCTGACCTCGTGATCTGTCCGGCTTGGCCTCCCAAAGTGTTGGGATTATAGGCGTGAGCCACTGCACCTGGCCCAGCTTTATAATTTTTAAAATGCCATTGATTTCTTGGGCCATTTGTTGCATAGAGTGTCCCAAATTCTTTATTTGGCCAATCACCTTCTTAAAGTGATTAACAGTTTACCACATTTTTGGTAAACTGGTAATTGCATCAAGGGGATTAATTAGATTTAGGTTAATTCCCCCCACACACACACCTGATTTTTAGCAAGAGTACTTTATAGGCAGTACTTTTCAACATGTTTAATTGGTAAACTCTCCCTCATCTTTGCATTCTCTTCCACCTGCCAATCTTCTTCCTCTCAATCCACAGTGGAACATCTCCAGAAAGTTGTTACCTTTGCTTTCATAATTTCTTCACCTTTCACTCATTTTTCAACCCATTCAGATCTGGCTTCTGTCCCTGTTATTCTCAGAAACAACAATGACATCCATACCTCCAAATCAAACAGAGATTTATTTTTTCAATTCCTATGTTTTTCCAATTAAAACATTTGGTAGCTTAAAATGGGAATTTATTTTATCTCTCATGGTTCTGTGGAATGACTGGATTTAGCTGCACAATTCTCATTTGGGGTCTTTCTATGGGTTGGATTCATCTGAAGGCTTGAAATCCAAGATGGCTTCTTCCTTCATATGGCTGGTATCCAGGTTGAATTACTGGAACTGGGGTCTGGCCAGGCATACATTTCTCTCTCTCTCTCTCTCTCTCTCTCTCTCTCTCTCTCCCCCCCGACCCCCAACTTCTTCTATATTGCATCTTCCATATCGAATCTTCACACTCTTAGTTTGGGCACCTTCACAGCATGGTAGTTTATGAGTCAACAGACATCTTGCACTATGGCTAGCTCTTGAAGTTTTCCCTCTGAGAAAGAATTTCAAGAGACAAAGATGGATGTTTCAAGGATTTGTATGACATCTAAAGTCACATAGTGTGCTTCAGTCTACTGGTAAAACAAGTGTAGCCCCATTCAACGTGGAAGACACTACACAAAGGTGTGAATTTCAGAAAGAATAGTTCACTGGAGGCTACCTATCACACTATATCTTTAGATATTCGACAATTATCAGCACCTCGGCAAACTTTACATTCTTTGAAACACTCTGTCCCCTTACTCCCATAACAAGCCAGTTTTCTTTTTACTTAATATTTTACATTGACATATAATATTTGTGCATATTTATGAGATACACAGTGAAGTTGCATTATCGACAATGTACAGTGATCAGATCAAGATAATTAGCACATTTATCATCTCAAACATTTAGCATTGCTTTGTGTTGGAAAAATTAAATGTCTTCCTTCTAACTATTTGAAGCTAAAATATATTATCGCTAACTCTAGTCATCCTACAGTGCTGTGGAATACCGCCAGTAAGTCATATCATAATCACGTATCATATTGTTTATGATATGTCTTCGTGGCAGTGGTGATAGTGTAGAGTGTATGTATGTGTGTGTATTCTATTTGGTTAGGTTTATGGAGCTCCTTAAATAGGTGGATAAAGGTTTTTCACATAATCTGAACATTTGCCAACACTACTTTTTAAACATTTCCACAAAATCTCTTCTGTAATACCAATAGCAATTATGTTAGATTGTTTAATTGTGCCTTAGGCTAATGAACTCTTTTCATTTTATTTTCCACTCTTGTTTTCTCCATGATTCACTTTAAATAGTTTCTATTGCTCTGTGATTGAGCTCGATGGTCTCTTCTTCCACAGTGTTTAATCTACTATAAAGCCATCAAACCAATTTTTAAAATTCCTTTATTTTAGAAACTGGGGTCCTACACACAGATTTGTTACATGGATATATTGCATCTAGGTAGTTGTCATACTACTCAATAGGTAGTTTTTCAACTCACATCCCTCTCCCTACCTCTTCTAGTAGTCCACAGTATATGTTATTCCCAAGTTTATCCATGTTCGCTCAATGATGACTCCTACTTACATGTGAGAATACACAGTATTTGGTTTTCTATTCCTGTGTGAATTTGAAAAGCAATTATTATTTCTACAATTTCTATTTGGTTATTTCATATAATTCTCACATCCCTACTGATATTATTTTTAAAAATTCTTTCATTATGTTCACAGTACTTTTTTCTTACATTCTTGACTATAATAGCTATGTTAAAGTTGTTTTTCTGCTTATCCCATTGTTTTGTCATTTTTCAATCTGTTTCTGTTGACTCATTTTGTTCCTATATATTGGTAATATTTTTTGGCCTTCTTCACATATATAGTAGTTTTTTGTTGTATTATTTTCATGTTAAGTTGCTGAATGTATGGATTTTTTGGTGCTTTTATAATAGAGAATAATTTCTCTGACAACTACATGCAGTTCCTTCCATGCAATCCTTATATCATAAGTGATGGTTTCAGAGCATGTCCTCGTATGGTGTGTTGAAGAAATATTCATAAATTTTGTGTGGTTAAATCTTGGGAATCATAGAATGTGCAATGCAAAGTGGTTGTTGTGGTGTGGTAAGAAGTCTTCATTATAGAAGCTAAAATAAGGAAACTTGTTGGGGCTAGATTATGAATCCTTCAAAGGTTGTTGTTTCTTTTATTGTTGGGAGTAAAAAGTCTGTGACTTTCCATCAGTTATTATTTATTTTTATTTTTATTTGTTTTTGTTTTTTTGAGACAGAGTCTCGCTCTGTCGCCCAGGCTGGAGTGCAGTGGCGTGATCTCGACTCACTACAGCTCCGCTTCCTGGGTTCATGCCATTCTCCTGCCTCACCCTCCCGAGTAGCTGGAGTAGCTGGGACTACAGGCGCCTGCCACCACGCCCGGCTAATTTTTTGTATTTTTTAGTAGAGATGGGGTTTCACCATGTTAGCCAGGATGGTCTCGGTCTCCTGATCTCGTGATCCGCCCACCTTGGCCTCCCAAAGTGCTAGGATTACAGTCATGAGCCACCGCGCCCGGCCACCATCAATTATTCTTTTAGCTAAAGTCAAAGATTTGTGACCGAGTTTGGAGCAAAATCTGGTTTTGTAAGGAATACCTGTGGACTTCCATTCATGAACCTAATCAACTTTCTTGGTGGTATTATTTCAATAGTCATACATAACAATATTTAACATACATGCACAGTCTCTAGAAAGAGGGCAAGACCCTACCCCTACGAATGCAAAAAAAAAAAAATGCTTAAAGACCTTTTATATTTACTTTATCACTTTGCCTCAATACTATTTCCCATGGACATGAATTATTTAGAGTAAACTGGTTACTTCGGAATATGACACGGTTATCCATCCAAATTTAATCACTTCCATTACTTCAGATAAATTCCATTTTCTTCTTTCACCAGAAAGGTTCTTCCATGTCAAGATGCGCTAAACCAAAGTCAAGACTAGGTCTTTGTATTTGACTGTTAGCTCCTCCTTCTCCTGGATGACTAACCTCACATCTAATTTTAATATTCTAAAGTTTCAAATTCCTCATTTTCCCTAATAACATAATTTGTGTCTAATTTATGCCATAATATTCTTATCAAAGTACTTTCAAAGGTATAAAAATATAATGAAATGTGATGGAATAACTCATAAAAAATAAAAGTAAATTTTAAATAGATAAAAATTAAATTAAGGCTTTTCTTAACAAGCTAACCCTTATAATAAAGTGTTATGTGAGGACAAAAATGAAGAGGAAACTCAAGTCATGACAGTATTATGTGAGTGTTTTGTAGCTATATTTAAGAGATATCACGGGTACTCAGAGCAGGTTTTTAGACCCAAATAGGGTTTAACACCACCTAAATGATGCAGTAAAGCATTGCTCTTGTAAAACTAGAGCATGGAAATACTGTATTATTTTCTATCTTCTGTAGAACTTGAAGAAATGTCAGAGCAAGGACATTAAATGTAGCCTTTGGTAAAAGCTAAAGCATTACTAAGTCCCCTCATTAAAACATAAAAATCCAAGCTCTCTTTTCAAGCCAGATGAAAATAAAAAATTGCTAATGTATTTTAGAGGGTTCAGAGTGATCAAAATGCATAAAAGAAACTTTTAAAACACAGGTATTAAAAAGAATAAAGATTTTCATAGATATTTCAAAAGAAGAGAAAACTTGAAAAAAATCCATTAAGTAACACAAAATATTTGGCTGTGGTCTGTGTTATACTAATACCTCAAAACAATTTTCAAGGCATTTATCTATATGATATATATTCCTAATACTATAAATTAATGTTTTTGAGTTTTACCTTAACAAATATAGAATAACCTTAAGAATTTCAAAATTTAAAACAAATGTCTACCTTTCAATAGCAACAGAAGTTGTCTGATTTATTGCTGGGTCCAAAGGGAATTAATTAGTAAACTTTCCTTCATCACTATTAGTTTGAAGTCAAGGGAAAGTAGACCTAGACCAGAGTATAGACCTGGAAAAAAGAAAGTGTTGGAGGCATGAAAGAAACATGAAAGAAATAAAGAATAATCTTCATTGAAACAAACCTGTCTTGTAATTTAAAAGAGATACTAGTAAGTTAAAAACAGGGTCATTTATTTTAGATGTTCTTTAGTGTGGATCAAAGTATGCAAAAGAAGGATTCAACTTTGAAGTTAAGTTTTCTGCTTTAATTCACATACTCATAAAGCTTTTCACTTTCAGTTTTGCCTTAATAAATTTACCATTTATATATTAAGTGATACTATGCAAGCACTCTGCTAATTGCTGCAAGCATATAACAGTAGATAAATATAAGTTTATTTTCTCTAAGAATTCACAGTCCAGCAAGAAGGTGGGGAAGAGAGATCCAATGACCAGTACAAATAGTTTCTGAAGATATATAGTGTACATTATGCCACATCGACAGGGATACTGTACTCCTCATAGATATCATAAGTTTGTATATATATTAAAACAATTTTGGGCAGAAGACAACAAATTATCTTATTCTCATGACTCTAGCGGGTTTGTTTGCCTTTTCCTTCTTTTCAAATATAGGTATTGAAGGGCAGCAATTAGCAAGGGTACAGAACCACTAGCAGGAAACTTTCTTAATATAGTCAAAGATGGCTTATGAAGATTAATTAAATATGGCCCTAATTAAGTCTGGCCTTATCTTTTCATGCTCACAAACTTGATTAAATAAACAAAATCTCTAGTATTCCTTTAACGGTCAACTGAAAAAGATACCGACACTGATCATTAAAAGCAGTATGAAAGTGCATAGATTTATCTGGGCAACAGAAGTAACATGTGAATCAGAATATTTGCGTTTATAGAACCAGCACATTCCCTTCTTGCATGCACATTGACAAGTCATAATTAGCATATGGTTTGATGAGAATTAGAATAAGGGTGGTAACATAGATGAGTAACATATGTATTAGTAACAGGGCTAAGGTAGCCTAATGTGCATGCATATATATATATATATATATGTGTGTGTGTGTGTGTGTGTGTATATATACACATATATAATATATATATTTGCAATTGGAATACTCTTGACATTGAGTCCATAATACTCAAAGATTACGACAAATGCCTAAGTACCCCTTGACAATTAGTGAGGTATCATTAAAGGAGCAGTAATATCTGAAGTCTACTAAATTAATTTCCCTTTCATATTATATATATGTATATTAAATATATATTTGGACTTAAAATATATATATATATTGGGATTGAAATATAGAGGGTTAAAATGTGTATATTTAGATGGTCATTATCACCATTAGCCTCTCTGGCTCTTCTTTTTCTTGGTTTCCATTTGTCAACTCTTCTGGCTGACACATATTGCATTTATATGTGTTAATACCTTCCCACTGGCCTCTGGTCAAACTGCTGGTTTTGTCACACATAAGATATGTGGCTGACATTTAAGTCATTTCATATTGACTTTTAAGTTCGTGTCAGAGAACATATGGTCACCGAATTGGGGTGAGAGAAAGTTTATACAAAACTGAAGAATAATCCCAATATGTATTTCCTTTATTATTTTTTAATAAAGTGAAATATTATTATGGCTACTAGCAGCCTTATCTCTTCTTGTAGCAGTTATGACACTCTGAGTTTCTAGCTTATTTAAAATGGGGATTATATAGCAAGAAGAATAATGAAATTTTATGGAATAAGTTGTTTCACCACATATGGAAGTCAAGCAATATTTACTAACACAAAGCATAAGAAAGAAAAACAAAAACAGTTGTTATAAAGATTTGTATACCCAAAATATTACATTATCTTCCTAGTAGCCCACTTGGCCAATATATAACAAAAGTAGATGGAGAAAGGTGGCTAATGCTATCTTGTCTCAAAATGTTCCTCCTTTAAGTTTCCTTGACTTACGTTATCACTAATACTGAAATATTGGCCTTTAAAGATCTCACATTAATTGAACATTATATGTCAAAATAGACTGATGGCTATAACAAGGATGAGGAAAAATAAGAGTGGTGTCCCAAAGTATTTAGCTAGGCAAAAGAAATAATTACCGAAAAAATTATAGAAATGCAGAACCAATTAAAAACATTTAAAACCACACTTTCTTGAGGTGGTAATTGGATTAATGGGAAATTTGACACACTTAATTAAACCCTTTTTCCCATATAAGGTTATTTCCATTTTTATTTTATTAAGTCCCTATATAATTACTTATATTAATTATTAGAGGAACAGACATAGCAACAGCCACATTGTGGCATGAAATGCAAAATGTGCATGCTGTATTAAAATAGATCATAAGTTTTCAAAGAAATGTTATGCTTACAGTTGTTTGCTTTGACAGAAACATCTAATACCTCAAAGGTTGTGTACTTTTATTCCAATGGGTATTCCTCAGTAGAAAAAAATTCAGAAGGAAGTCTAGATAGCCTCCAAGATCATATCTAGCAAAAAACTTTAGATTTTTTTCAATAAAAAATATGCTTGTTTCAAGTGACAGAAATGCAAATAATACTTGTTTGAAAGAGAAGGAGCTCAGGAAAAATACAGAGGAATATTAGTTTGAACTGTTGCTAGACATGGAAGCTACGCAGGGGACTCACTGTCATTTCTTCCCTTTGTTCTCAGGCCGCCTCTGTTTGTGTCTAGCAGCTCCAATTTTGTATCAGCTTTACTCCTACCTTCTATTTTCCAACCATTCCAATGAAATTCTCAGAATTAGACTTTTTTTTTTCTCTTGGCTTAGGTTTCATATCCATCCTTGAATGTGCCCAGGGGAAAGAACCACATAATTTGCTGAAGTGTGGGTTATGTGCCCATGTCTTGGCTGAGAGTGGCAATGAGTATGTACCTCTACAAAGGAAAATTCAGGTTCTATGTCCATCCTTCCCCCGGCTATTAGTTGATCCTGTAGAAAAGATTAATGAATGAATGATCAGTCTGCTTCCCTGTTCTTCAGTATTCTTACCTCTATCAAATTTTAAGTTAGAGTTCATTTTCTTTCAACAATGATGGTCACACAAATTAAAATACTGCCATTTCTCCTTGTCCAATGTACCATCATCTGGTGGACAAGAATTCTCCCAATGGGAAAAGAACTATATGTACATGATAAGATATTTCCGTCACTACCAGTTGCCTTCCAGAGTAACTCATCTTAGCACAAATACTCCTTTCAAAGCTTTGTAATATGGAACTGGTGCTTCAAACCTGGTACCCCCATGAATATTGATCTTAGAGTATGTAGTCAAAAAATCAAGAGAATAAAGCCCTAGTGCAGCCTTGTCCAGTGGAAATTTTTGTGATAATGGAAATTGTGTCTAATCTGTGCTGTCCTATAGAGTAGTTACTGGTGATATGTGGCTATTAAGAAATTGAAATATAACTAGTGTGATTGAGGAACTAAATTTTTTATTTAATTTCATTTTAATTAATTTAAATTTAAATAGCCCCACGTGGCTGATGGTTACATATTGAACAACAAAGCTCCAGTCAACAAGCAACACGAGGACATGTCTCTACTGCTCACTGTTGCACTCCCATGTGGTGCCATTTCTGGAGTATAGCAGCACCTAATGTTTGTTGTTACTGTATACTGTTGTATACAAATATCTTTTATTCACATCTAGGTTAGATGTGGGGCATCTTTGTAAATATATTTGTATAAAGTGTATAATATATGTATAAATAGATGTACAAATGTTCAATACAGGTTAGATATACAAACACCCTATAAAAATACAGGGTCTTTCTTAGATGCCCAGAATGTTGTGATAGACAATAAAATAAATCAGTCTATTATAATCTATGAGTTGAGTAGTCTCAATTTAACAAAATATTCCCCTAGCAGAATATAATATGTACACCACCACCACCTTTAATAAGATCAATATTGATCCTTCAAATTTGGCAATGAAGAAAGAATACTCATGTAGAGGTACATGTTTACACTTGTAGTTCCAATTCTTTTCCTCTGATAGACTATTTCTGACTCAATTATCACATACTTTATCTGCTAATGCATTAGCAAGGTGATAAACATGCTGTATTTACCATTATTTTTCACTCTAATGACCTCTCACAATTGAAATTTGTTTAACACCAGAGTAGTTTTGGGGAGATGCTCTTTCCTCTTTATTGCACTGTCCTCTAATTGAACAGAGGATTGTTCTTTGATTACCCACTCTCGGAAAGGACTGAGGCATTGAAACAAGAGTATATACACCTTGGAGAATCAAAACCAAAATAAAGGAAGCAAACAAACAAACAAACCAAATCTGCTACCAAGAGGTGCCAATGATTAGATAATTGGTTTCACAAAGTGAGGTAGTTTGAACAAGGACTAAGAAAAAAAAATGAATTGGAGAGTGCTTGGGTTTACATCTCATTTGAATGTTCAAATGGGACTTAAGTATGAGACCTTTAGCAATTTCTTAGCCTCTCTATGCCTCAGTTTCTCCATCTGTAAACTGGGACTAATAAGTGTCCACCACATAGTAATGCAAGAATTAAATTTACTACATAGGATGAATTTTGAATAGTACCTGGTGGTAGTAAGTGTTTAATAAAGAGTAGCTATTATCATTATTATTAATGTTTTCAACATGATCAGAATATGGTCTCTATAGAGATGTTTCTCTGGCTAGTTTCTGGCATTTCTCTATGGAATGGAAATTATCTGCTCTTTCTAACCCTAGATTATACCCAAGCAGAACTGGATCCCTCTAAAGTCCAGAGCACAGACAATGAGGTCTGTTTCCCAAATTCCAGAATTCCTATCTGTTCCTCCCTCCCAAGATTAACATTGTTAATAATAGCAGCCTTTTAAGAGTGATTATTTTCCACTTTCTAAGATGCAGCCTTACCCCATGACTTCCATTAAACAACCATATGAGAATATTCAACTAACCTTCCAAAATTATAAACACAAAATCTATCTCCAAATATTTTTTGCAAGGGTTGCAAAGTTTACAAAGCGGCTACATATTCAATGCTCCTTTGACTTGATCTTTAAAACAGCCCGTGAGATAAGTAACAGCATATATGTTTCACAAAGAATACCAAAAATCAAAAGGCCAAGATATAGAGAAAGGCTTGGCATCACTATTGTAAAACAAGGTCTTCTGTTCCTGAGCCCAGGTCTTACACATCCAAGTGCAGAGGTGTTTTTTTGTTTTGTTTTTTTGTTTTGTTTTGTTTTTGTTTGTTTTTTTTTGTTTTTGTCTTTCTAAACTTTAGACTTTCTGATCATAAAATATAAGTGCTCTCAGTTAGTTTGTGGGGAAAACAAGAAATGAGTATGGTGATGCTATAATTTACCCGGATACAAGGTCACTCACAAAATATGAAACACTGTGTATATTGCTATGAGTTGTTTTGCAGAACCTTAAAAATCCAAACAAAACTCTATAAACTTTTCAGGAATAAAAACATCAAGGTGCTCACTATTCTATTGGGAAACATACAGTTTTAACTTCAGTCTACTTTAAATGAAAATAGTGAAAAGAAAAAAAGATAATTAATTCCATTTTATTTTTTTTCTCTAATGTCTTGTTTATGCTAGTGCCCAAAAACATGTGTTGTTACTATTGGAACTCAGAAGTTTGTATGCTTATTTCCATATCAACTATTGTTTTCTCATTGGGAATAATTAATTTTCACTACTTCACTTTTATACTTATATTATTTTCTCACAGTTTCTTCTTCAATCTCAGATTCTTTAATTAGGGATTTTACTTAAAAGAGAATGATAAAAGGAACAAAGAGATTTGATGTCAAAGCAAAGTACCTAACTGAAAAATATTCAAGTGAATTCTGTGTTTGTTATCTTAAAATAAAACTTCAAAGTAAATGGTGGAAGATATTTGGGCTCCTAACTTTTAAATATAAAAGCAAAAACAACAGAAAAAAGAAATGGTGAAAAGCCATGTGGATGAATAGTTATTTATAATTGCACATGTTATTGCCTACTGGACTCTTTCTAGCTTTTCATTTATTTTCTTTCTGACTTTTTTACTTGGGTAGAGGGAGAATATAATTTCTTAATAGTGGGACATTATGAATAATTTCAGTACATTGCTTAAATATATTACATAAAAAGGTTTTCTTAATCAAAGGATATGATTGTGTGATACAATTGCTGACCCACAGTACAGGACCTGGCTCCTAATGTTTAAAGATATCTGGTTACCATGACTATAATTACCATAATTTTACACCTAGTAATTTTTTCTGTAGAATTAATTTCCATAACTTATGACTTGAAACAAAGACATCAGCCTTGTTCCATAGTTTCCAAGAGCAGAATTATTATAAACCTCATAAATGCCAAATGTTATTATTTTTTCTTTTTTGCTCTCTCTGAATCCTCCAAACTGGTTTCCTCTTGTTAAAATTCAAACAGCTGTGAAATGGTCAGGCGATTTCAAGATGAAAGTAAATGTGAAGTGACCTTCATCCATGCTGAACAAATAGAATATTATAAACATACTTTCCAGTTGAAGTTACACAAAGCAAATTAAGAAATACCTAGGGCTATAATTTACTACAAAAATGTTTTTCAAATTTCTGACAGTTTCATTTAACTGACTAATTAAATTTGCTTGTAGGCATCTTAGAGACGGAGCCTAATAACTGCACTGTCAGTTGGGAAGAAAATGAAAATTACTTTTTTTGTAAGAAATATGTTTGTAATGGTCCAGGTCTCCTACTAAATATTTGACAAATATCTGTAAGTGGTTATGCCTAGTTGTATTAGATGATAATGCCAATTCTATTAAAAGGTGATTAAAAGAAAATCTCACAAGTAATAGCTTGGAAGTGTAAATGTGCTGTTTTTAAAGAATCTGCCAAGGGGAGGATTTAGAATAAATTTCCACAACATGAACAATATGCATAATTGCATATTTTGTTTACTCATTTCATAGAAATCATTATAGGAGGATGACTCATTTTGCAGTTCTTCATTTGTGATTGTATGCCGCTTCTTCCCATGAATGGCCAAGAGCAAATCACATCCCCAGGAGTTTGTGTTTCCTAGATGCCAAACAGATATTGTTGGGAGGACTTAGAAGTCAGTTTCCTAGTACAAGGTCTCATGTTGAGAAGGCTAATGGATTTTTGGATTTTTGGATTTGTCTCTAATGAAGCCAAAAATAGCAATTCTTTTCTGAGGCATGTTGTAAGGCTGCAAGGAAAAACATTCAAATAAAGTTTTGCAAACAGTGTCTTCAGGTGAATCTTACAATAAAATATTCTACAATCTTCTGTAATTATACCCCAGAATTGTGGATAATGGTCAAAACACTGATTTTCTCTTTTTATTCTCTTTAGAAACAATCCAGAATCTTGGCATGCAAAATATAAAACACCTGACAGTGTTTAATAATTATCTCCTTTCATTATGTGTAATTGTGTTATTCATTTCATGAAAATGGCATTTAAAAGAAAAATGTGAAAGCTATAATTATATAATTATTTTGCCAAGTACCAATGTTAATATGTTATGTAAAAACCAGACTAGCTCAGGGTTTAAAATTTCAGTGAATATATATTCAAAATTATCCACATTTGATTTTAGTGCCTCTTACCTCCCATTAACCTGTAATCTCTTCGAAGCCATGAATTGGTATTTGCTCATCATGGAATGCCCTTGAGCCCCTAGTATAGGACCTGACACATGGTAGTCATTTGATATGCATTTGGTGACTTGAGTTGATGGAAGTGATTAAAATGAAACTAAATTAACAGGGTGTGAAAATCAGCGAAGAGGCAAGTTGAAAAGTTAAATCCTCTGTGGTCTTTTCTAATAATTTTAGGCTTTCTCCATGATTAAAAAAGAAATCAATGCTCTAATCTGTAGCAAATATGAGAACATACTTCTCCTATAGCAAAATTTACACTATTATTGGTGTTAATAACCACGGAAAACTGGGAGGTTCTACACTTCTGATTTATTTTGCTGCACAAGAAATTTAAATTGATATGATACTTAGCCAGTCCTACCATCCCAACTTTATTTTTCACAAGCAGCTAGGAATAAAATCTTGACCTCAGACTATACTATAACTGGAGTCTACATGAGACAGGCAAGCAGGTAAGCCCTGAAATTAGGGCTAAGCCCAGGACAGTGCTCAGGAAAAAATTCAAGAGCAAGCCAGCGGTGTTAGACAACAGTCTTTAGTATAACGGGATCTGCTCCTTGCAGAGCAGGGTTACTTGCTGGGCAATGCACCCAGAAGCAGAAGTTGTGGGCTGTATTTATACCCACCTTTAATGCAAATTAAGAGGAAGGCTTTGCAGAAATCTTTAGAAAAGGGGCAGTAACTCCTAGGTCCTTACCATAGAAAAGGGCAGTAACTCTGGGTCATTGCCATGACATTTGTAAACCGTCACAGAGCTGGATAGAGAGATGTATGCTAATAAGCAATGAGGGCTACTAAGGGGTTGCTTTCTATGTCATCTGCTGGTTCCAGCTGGTTTTTGCACTTCATCCTGTCAGACTAGGAAATAAGTCCTGATGATCTCTTACTTCATACACTCCAAATTACACATTACATAGATATTTTAGATGGGTCATTTTTGCCATATTTCCATGGTTACTATCCACCAGCTAAAGACCACCAGAAACATATCTATTGTCACACAGAGTTGGGTTTATTTAGCCTACTGCAATAAGAGTATGTACCAGAGTAACCATGGGAAGTCTCAGTGAGGGGGAATTTGGAGGATGTATCTTACAGAATTTGTGTTCAATCTGGGTGATTTTAAGGCAAGCTTAGGAATGTGGGTATCAGTTTTGGATTGGATAATATCAGGAAGTGGAAACAGTTTGGTCATTGGTTGTCTTGATTTTTTTTTTTTTTTTTTTTTTTTTAGCTGGGATATCTGAAATTAAGGTAGGGATATATTTGTCAGGGGTCACGAAATGACAATCACTGAAGTTAGCAAGAAGAAGGGGTAACTAGTTCTTTTGTTATATACTTTATTTGCTTAGTGTATCTGTCTCTGCCTTATTCCACTATGGTTAGAGAGTGACCTTTTGTGAGTTTTGTTTACACTCCACGTTTTATACATTTAGTTTTAAACACAATAGACTGAGAGCTTCAAGCTGCCAATTTGTGAAGTTGTCTTTTACTCTCTTACAAGGCAAGCTTGTTCTTTCAATGTCAGATATCCTCTTAGTCCTGTTATTTAGGAAAACCCTATAAATGGAGAAAGTTATGTGGATATCCTTTTCCTATGGCATAACCAAAAGCAGAATTTCAGTAGCAAAAGTCTAGGATGAGAAATAGAAATCAACTATTTATCTTGGGAAACTTTCTTTCAGGTGGAATTTCATAAAGATTCATCAGTCTCATCAGTCTAGAATACAATCAACCTTGATAGTTACTCATTTCATATTATACTCTGTAATTATTCTTGGTATAAAAAACTTCTAATTTTACATAAAAGTAGCCTGAGGCAGTTGTTCTTATTTTCTGAAACCCAACCAGATCAGGAGAAGAGAAAAAGTGCTCGTATCAAAGCTAAGTCATTGAGAACAAGAGTGTAGATTCAGCAGCCAATGCTGACTACCCGTGAACCAGTATCAGATTTAAATACACAAGGATGTGTAGGTAAGCTGTGTACTTTCAACCAAAACCCTTCTGACGCACACCTGTTGTTCCTTAATCAGTGTGCCCATAAAAGACTAGAGATGGGGAATGTGCTGGGGAATAAGTGTGGATCTAATATTATTGGAAGCATAAATAACATTTTCATTATGGATATCAATGATTCTAGCTTAAAACGTATACACACACTGGGCCGGGCACGGTGGCCCACGCCTGTGATCCCAGCACTTTGGGAGGCTGAGGTGGGTGGATCACGAGGTCAGGAGATTGAGACCATCCTGGCTAACATGGTGAAACCCCCGTCTCTACTAAAAATACAAAATATTAGCCAGGCATGGTGGCAGGCGCCTGTAGTCCCAGCTATTCGGGAGGCTGAGGCAGGAGAATGGCATGAACCAGGGAGGCAGAGCTTGCAGTCAGCTGAGATAGCACCACTGCACTCCAGCCTGGGCAACAGTGAGACTCCATCTCAAAAAAAAAAAAACAAAAAAACACCAAAAAAAACCATATACACACACTGATCTTAATTTTAGGCATAGTGAAATTTTCCAAAAGCAACGGAGCACTTCTATAATACCTAGTGGCAAACTATTTAGAACATTTTCTAGCTTACAGAATAGTGTTGACTTGACATTTTACTTTATATTTTTTGTCATTCCATTAAACTAGAATAAAAATAAGGGGCTAACAGTCTCTGATCCCTCTGATCTACGATTCTATTTTACTAGCAGATAAGTTCAAGAATAGTCCAAGGAAACTTAAAGTAGAAGCATCACATGTCGTGTTACTTCCAGCTAATCAGTACTATAGCATAATAAATTGGGATGTTAAGGACCCAGATGAAGCAGACATTTAATTGTGAGGGCATCTTGCAAAGTAGTTTCCACTCTTCGTCAAGTATCTTTATATGGCTCATTTCCCCTCGGAAGAGGAGTATGGGTCTACTATTTAAAAAGATATAGAGTAAAGGCCTCAAGCACAACAGCAGCAAATAAAGGGGTAAATGTTGACCACGTGCATGGAATTAACAACTTGAGAGAAAAATAGAGGCAGGAGAGTTTGCTTAGCAGCAGGAGAATCTTGCTTCAATATCTGGTTTTATCAACATAAAATTTTTAAGGAAGCCTCGGCCTAAAAATTATGAATAGATCTATAAACCAAGATTCATTTTGATTGTGAGTTATAGAAACTTTAACTAAAAGAAGAGAAAAGCGGGAGGAAGTGAATGAAGGAATGTATTGATTCATGTTTCTAGGATACTGGAGATTGACCTTTAAGCACAGCTGAGTCTAGGGTCCGAAATAATATTCAGTATCAGATTATTCCTATATATTATTTTCTTTTCTTTTCTTTTCTTTTTCTGGTTCTGCTTTTCTCTGTATTGGCTTTAGCTTCAGGTAGGTTCATTACTCATGAAAATCCAGTTCCTCCCCAGCAGCCCAAGAGCTTCTTCCTTTTAATTCAGCAACAGAGTAGATACTCTTCATGCCCCGTCAACAACCCCTTGGCACTAATTGTTCCCAACCATGCTGGTGGCTTCTTATAACAATAATCTGCAGTCTCCCTGCTTGGGGACTTTCTCTGGGTGCAAGAGAGAGGGCATGCTGAAAGTCTGGAGTAGTTAATGCCCCCTGGAACAGCCCTCAAGTTTAAGAGTTGTTCTTCACCATTGTCCAGAAGTTCTCAATGAGAATGAAGCCCAGATTCCCAGAGCACTAACCTCCTTTCCTTTCCTGACTTCCCCATTCCCCTGCCAATGTTCTTTTGGATCACCTCTCAAATTAACTACTTTCCCTCAAGTTTTTGTCTCAAGGTCTGCTCCTATAGGACTCCAATCTAACATATGGAGCCTCAGAAGAAAGATTTTTTCCTTCCAGGTATTAGAAAAATATACTAAGTCTAGGGTACTCTGAAGGCCAACTCCAAGTCACATGCATTCCTTTTTGCTAAGCAAAGAACCAATATGTGTGTTTCTTACATAAAGTAATATTTGTATATTATAATATATGTGGAGCAGGCAAAATGTTGTAGTTTTACAAGAGTTGGGATATCTCATGAATTAAAAACCGTTGTATGAGGCAAATAATAAGAAACATCTACTTCTGGCTTCCAACATATATCAGCCAAATTACTACTGAGCTACCCAAACCCTCCACAATCGTTCAGAGTAGCATTCTAAGTCTGAATAATCCAGTATCAATTATAACCTATTTTAAGCTATTAGTTTTGGTGCCTGTATCCTGATATTGAATTAAGTCCCTTTTGGAAATTACCTTAAAAAATAGAAAACAGTATATAATATAGGTTATAGACTATAGAAAATAAACTTTTCTGTTATTATTGATTATAAGACAAAAAATGTGCTAGACCCTGATGAAAATAAGAAAAAATGGAAACAGTACTGGCAAGTTGGGTATATGAATTCTGGTGAATTTGAGAATAAGCTATATCTAACAAAGTGCTTTATACAGGCACACCTAATTTTTTTGCACTTCACTTCATTACACTTCATGGATATTGTGTTTATTACAAATTAAAGGTTTTTGGCAACCTTGCATTGGACAAGACTATTGGTGTCATTTTCCAATAACATACTCACCTCGTGTCTCTGTATCGAATTTTAGTAATTCTCTTAATATTTCAAACTTTTTTAACCTCTATAATATTGGTTATGGTGATTTGTTTTCAGTGATCTTTAATATTACTATTGTAATTTGTTAGTTGAGGGTGCTCCATGAATTTTGCCCATGCCCATATAAGATGGCAAACTTAGTTGATAAGTGTTGTTTGTCCTGACTGGTCAGCCAGCTGGCCATTTCCCATCTCTTTCCTTGTCCTCAGCCCTTTGAAACACAATAATATTAAAATTAGACCAGTTAATAACCCAACAATGACTTCTTGGTATTCAAGTGAAAAGAAGAGTCACATGTCTCTTCCTTTAACTCAGAAACTCAAAATAGTTAAGGTTAGTGAGGTAGGAATGAAGAAAGCTGAGGTAAACTGAAAGCTAGGCCTCTTGTGCCAAAAAACAAGTTGTGAATGTAAAGGAAAAGGTTTTGAAGAAAATTAAAAGTGCCACTCCAGGGAACACACAAGTGATAAGAAAGCAAAACAACCTTATTGTTGATATGGAAAAAGTTTCAGTGGTATGGATGTATGATCAAACCAGCCATGACATTTCCTTGAGCTAAAGTCTAATCAAGAGTAAGGCCCTAACTGTCTTCAATTCTATGAAGGCTGAGAGATTAAGAAGCTGGAGAAATAAAATTTGAAGCTAGCAGTTCATGAGGTTTAAGGAAAGAACCTATTTCTGTGACATAAAAGTATAAGGTGAAGCAGCAAGTGTTTATGGAGAGGTTGCAGCAGGTGTTTATGGAGAGGTTGCAGCAAGTTATTCCGAAGATCTAGCTAAGATTAGATTATTCATGAGGGTGGCTATACTACAGAAAAGATTTTCAATGTAGATAAAACAGCTTTCTATTAGAAGAAGATGCCATCTAAGACTTTCACAGTTAAAGTTAATGTCTGGCTTCAAAGTTTCAAGGGATAGATTGACTATCCTGTTAGGGGATAATGGAATGGTGATTTTAAATTGAAGTCAATGTAATTCAACATTCTGAAAATTCTAAAGCCCTTAGAATTATGTTAAATCTACTCTGCCTGTGCTCTGTAAATGGAAAAATAAGGCTTAGAGAACAGCACATATATTTACAGTTTGGTTTCCTGAATATTTTAAGCCCACTATTGTGACTTACTGCACTGAGAAAGATATGCCTTTCAAAATATTACTGCTCATTGACAATGTACCTGGTCACCAAAGAGCTCTGATGGAGATGTACAAGGAGATTAATGTTGTTTTCTTGTTTGCTAACAAAACGCTCATTCTGTATCCCATGGATTAAGAAGTAATTTTGACGTTCAAGTCTTATTGTTTAAGAAAGATATTTCATAAGGCTATAGTTGCCATAGATAATAATTCCACTGATGGATCTGGGCAAAGTAAATTGAAAAAC
This sequence comes from Homo sapiens, assembly GCF_000001405.40. NCBI lineage: Eukaryota > Metazoa > Chordata > Mammalia > Primates > Hominidae > Homo > Homo sapiens. The sequence goes on from NC_000009.12 coordinate 12,399,507, forward strand.
CATTTGGAAAGGATTCACCATTATATGCCGTTAAGACCATTTGTGATTCATGGGAGAAGGTGAAAATATCAACTTTAATAGGAGTTTGAAGAAGTTCCAACCTTATGGATGACTTTAAGACATTCAAAACTTCAGTGGAGAAAGAAACTACAGGTTACAGCGGTGGAAATAACAAACAAAATAGAATTAGAGGTGGAGCCTGAAGATGTGACTGAATTGCTGCAATCTCATAATAAAACTTGAACAGAAGAGAAGTTACTGCTTATGGAGGAACAAAGAAGGTGGTTTCTTGAGATGGAATCTACTCCTGGTGAAGATGTTGTGAACATTGTTGAAATTATTATATAAACTTAGTTGATAAAGCAGTGGCAGAGTTTGAGAGGATTGACTCCAATTTTTAAAGAGGTTCTACTATAGATAAAATGCTATCAAACAGCTTGGCATCGTAAAAAGAAATATTTTCTGATAGGAAGAGTCAACTGATGCAGCAAACTTCATTATTCTCTTATTTTAAGAAGATTTCACAGCCACCCAGCCTTCAGCAATCACCACCCTGATCAGTCAGCAGCCATCAACATTGTGGACAAGACCCTCCATGAGCAAAAACATTATGACTCTCCGCAATCTTCGATAATCATTAGCATATTTTTGGCCATAAAGTATTTTAGATTAAGGTATGCACTTTGATATCTAGAAATGCTTTTCATATGTAATAGACTACAGTATAGTGGAAACATAATATATATACTAGGAAATCAAAAATTTGTTTGAATCCCTTTATTGCTGTATTTGCTTTATTGCAGTGGTCTGGAACTGAACCTGCAATATCTCTGACATATGCCTGTATCAGCTCCAGTGTAAAATACTGTAAATATCTATGCAAATTGTGGCCTTTAATAAAAACATAGGAGGATGTTTCTTTTTATTTTGTTTTCATTTTTTTTAGTCAAATCTCCACTATAACCCTAAGTTCTTTCAAAGAAGCCTTGTCTCTACTGAAAGTCTTCTTAACCCTGGTGTAAGACCCATCCATAGGGTTTATTCTAGAGTCAGATGCAGGAGTGGAAAGGCACAATTAACATCATCATTTCTATGTTGAAGAATTTACTTGATGACTGGTGGGGATGAAGAGTGAGGTAACTTTTCTAAGTCATACATATATCAGAAAAAAAAATAAGCTACGCAGTATGAAAATCAAACCTAGGGAAAGAAAATGTCCATAGGGGAGCAATTAGCATTATGATCCTAAGTAGAAAATTCATTATTAATCATATCAAATCATTTGCTAGTTACAGAAGCAGTGAGAAGCCATGGGTCATTGGATATCACTGTGGGAGGCTAAGTAAATTCAAGTTCACCTCTGAAAGTGTGGAAACTATTTTGCTATAGAGTTCATGGGAAGATACAGGCAAAGCAATTCATACTCAACATTAGATAAAGAATTGACTGTCCTAACACTAATTTTGCTAACTAGAAAGGGTCTCTCCAACTCACCAAGGTAGACAGCTGAAGTTCTGCATAATAACATGTGCATGTGCCTCACATCTACTGTGACATGGCTTCACAGGTACAGACTACTGAACAGGTTACATATTAAGCAGAGTTAAAGAGTTATCATTACAGTACTTATAATGCAAAACAAACAGTATAAACAAAAAATCCTCAGCATTAGGAGGAAAAGTATATTTCATTTGGTTATCACAGAATAAGCAGCATCCCTCTGACTAAACTTCAAAATAATTAAATGGGGAAGTGCAAAATAATCTTAGAGTAATGAAAGAAAATGGAAATTATACAAAAGATAGCATATTTAATTTACGTGTCCTTTACTTTTCCTTGATTTATAGGTAACATTTTCATGGCCCTACATATATTCTGCTGTTTCAATTTTGCAACATTTCATGTTTAACTATCATTCAGGGATGAGAGAACCTGTTGACGTTCAGCTTGATGGGTTTTGGCAATGAAGACATCAAAATCTGGGAATGTTAGATACTTAAAGAAGATTGACAGTGTTTTCTTACTGAATTAAAACAAAATAAAACAAACATTTTTAATACATGAATGATAAATGATTATTCTCCCACAGGCCTGCAGGAGGGTTAGGTCAGATCCCAGGACAGATGTGATCAAAATGCATTCTTGAGGAATGTCAAATGGTTTGTTGATTTTCCAAATGTGCACTTGGTAATTGCTTGAGTGGACATAAAGTCTACTGCAAAAGATGAGAGGAACAAGCCAAAGGATGAGAAAAAAATGATAGAGAATGTCAGCTGTGTATAAAGCGCACTCACCTTCACTCCCCTAAAAGGCTGAGAAAAGCGTAGCTATCATACCCTGCAAGGAGGATGGAAAGGTGCCCTGGAAAGAAAACACCCAGGGTGTGACACTGGGCAAGTAGTATTACTTGGCTGATTCTTGTCTCTAAAATCAGAGAGTTGGATAAGGAAGTCTTTGAAGCTCCTTTCAACCCTAATATTCTTTTACAGTGTGACCTTCCATAAACAGAATTCCTATTTTTTATATGCTACAGGGAAATTAAAAGAAAATGAATATACTTTATAGGGCCATTCAGTCAAATGAATCATCTGCTCTAATTCATTTTGGAAAAATGTGTGTAACATTTAGAAAGTCAACAAATCATCTGAAGACATAATAGTATCTTAGCTCTTCTTTAGGGTAGTTTTAAAGAGGAACAAATGTGGATGTGATCAAACATGACATCACTCTGCTATGGAATGCCTCCTAACCTCCCCTCCAACAATGCTGTACTTCAGAGGCAGCTAGAGAGGGAAAAGTCACTGTATTCCAGGTGTTAGAGGTGGTAGGAAAACTGAGACACATAATGCCAGGGTTTTGTTTAAGCTTTGGCATGGATTTGAAATGTGGTCTAAAATAATTTAATAATCTCTTTATTTTAATTATTTTTCACAAGCAAAATTTGCTTCATATCTGCTCCTGTCTTTCACAGACATATATGTTAAGGAAATTGTAAAGACAATCTGTGGAAGGCCTTGAGCTGCTCCAAAGAAGTGGCATAGAAGCATAGTGCTGTTTTTAATCATCATTATAGTGCTATTTATTTTTACTGGGTGACTCCATTTGACTTATACAGTTGGCATTACAGCAGTAAAAACAAATGTACTTTTTCCTTGGCAAAGCATTTCATATCTTCTTAGGGAAGGTAAGAGTGCCTGCTGAGCATTTCAGAAGGTGCATTTTCATGTAATTTCTCAGCTATTTAAGCTGAAGGAGCTGTTTAAACTTCTGTTTTCTGATTTTCTTTATTTCTGATATTTGAACTTCATTTCAGTTAAATCTTACTAATCTGCACCATGCATTATTCTTATCTGTAGGTTTCAAACAAAACAATAAAGGGGTAAAAGAAAAAAATGATGGTCAGTAAAAGATTGTGTATTATATTCAAATATCAACTGTTAATACGTTGTCAATTAATAAACATTAAATGATGCTAAGATTATTTCTTATTCACAATTAAATCATGCTACTAAATTTTTCAATTCATAGAACATTTTGAGGAACAAAAACTATTAAACATTTTATTTTATATGCAAAGCACTTGTTTGACGCTTAAATTTTGTGGCTGTATATATGAAGTCAATTGGCAATAACAAGAATAGTAGCTTCCTATTTGCCAGGAACTCTTTTAAAAGAGGGCTTTCTATTATTATTTTCCAGGCAGTTGTGTTAACTAACTTAATATTCATAAAAATTATTGGTTCAAATATTATTGTTACTTCATTTAAAATTTTAGAAAGCTAAGTCACAGAAAAGTTGAGGTGTAACTAGTTTGAGCCTAACAGCTAGTGAAGGTACAATTGGGATTTGAATGCAGGCAGTCTGGTTCCAGAGTCCACACATTGACCATAATTTTATAAAGGTTCCTATCCTAAGGGAAGAAGAAATTTTCCACTGATGTTGTGGGGAACTCTGTTACTGTAGATATGTAGTTTTATCACCAGTGTCATCTACTAAGATGTGTTCACACAGTGTTAAATAATAAATTATGATGAGGAATTGGAACACAGCATTTGAGTGAGAGCTGGAAGACACAGTTTTAGTTCTGACACCTCTCTTTACTTAATGTTTCATCTAGAACAAGTTATTTAATATCCTTGGACCATGATTCCTCATTGGCAAAATAAAACTTTTAGGATGCAGAATCAATAAAGCTTTTTCTAAATTATTAAATGCAGATCCACAATTACAGTGCACTTAGTTTTGTCTAAAAATAAGTGATATGAACATTTTCAGTTCAGTGGGCAAATAAACATTATTGCTATAAACACAGAGAAAAAAAAAAGTTCATTGTCATTCCATTGACGTGGTCTGGATCTTTGGTAAGGACCAGGCTGGTTCTTAAGAAAACAAAACAATAGAAGATCGGAATACCATCACAAGAGGACATATGGAAGCAATAAGAAAAACAAAATGGGTCATAGGTTTACACTTTGAGTTCAGTACACTTTTGACTGAAAAAAAGGAAAATGCCTTCATAGAAAGAATATAAAATGCCACAAGGATATGACAAATAAACAAACCATGTTAAAGCTAAGATTTAATTACAACAAGGAAAAGGGCTTTTTCCTGACTTGCTAAACCTAGAATCATTTGGGAGTGACATATAAACATTACAATAAATTAATCAATAGGCTTGGGTACATAGTATACTTCAAGTTTCAAATAGGAAGACCACAGCTGAGGGCGAAAGTTCCTACAGATTCTCATACTCTGGGCCATCTGTGTTGGAAGAATACTGTAGGCATCAACTTCCAAGTAGCAACACAATATAGGAATTATTAGACATTAGAGGCACTCTAAATATTCAAGTTTCATATTTTTCTGTAGTATTTTCTGTAAACAAGAGAAAGTGGGAATATGTAAGTGAACGAGAAAATGAAGTAAAGTATGTTTGCTGCAATGAAATTTTGGTAGAAATAGAGTCAGGTGCTCTAAGGCTTTGTAATGGCATCCCTGTGATAATGATCAACAAGGGTTAAGGGAGCGCCCTCCTGGGATTCACTGTGCTCTGGCATATCTTCCTCTGTCATTAATTAGAAGCATATCATCTCATATGTGCAGAAAGAAAAAAGGTTAATAGAGTCCCCGGGCATACATAAGTATTAGACTTTGGTTTAGATAAATTATGCTAACAAAGTTATCAAAGCATTCAAGATTTTCCAGTGACACCATTGCATCTGTAGAACAAAATCCTTGAATACACACAGTCTCAAAAAATTGTCTGAATATCATGTTCTGTGAGGCATGATAGGCAAATGACACATTTGGGGATCAAATCTTGCCTTTAAACATCTCAAAACACTCTCAGACTTTATGAACTGGGAAACAACCAAACAAAATAGATAACAGTATCCCCATTTTTCATGAGGAGAAACTAAGGTTCAAGTAAACTGAAAATTATGCGATGCCACTTGACTCTACAGTGCAGTTAGGATTTTAATCAAAGTATCATTCTGAAATTTAAATATTTTTCCATCCCACTATGATAGTGACTAGCAATCAATGTATCCTACACAACTCCTTAATGGTATAAAAACATTTTGAAGAGTAGGTCCAGTAAAATAATTTTTAAGCTATGACTCATTAGAAAACAAAAATAGCTGCAGATGTGGTAATAAAACAACTCTCTAGAATGTATAGAATTGTCTTTTAATATAAAAACATCTGGCTCAAAAATTAAATCTTAGAAAAACATCTTAAAGACCAAATGTCTATTATCAAAGTGTTTCACTTTCAACCAGATATATTATGATATATTACAACTGTGCTGTTAGCTCTGTAACAGCACATTACCACTGCATTGCTGCTTTGGTTAAAATAGATTCTGTTGCTAGGAAAAACTTCCAGACTTGTTAAAGAATGATTCATTTTAATTGATATCTTTATTCCTCCTTTGCTGTAGGCCATATGTCACAACAGAAAGAATTTTGATTTGAAACAAAGAGATCTGGAATTGAATTTCTATTCATCTACTTACCATCTGCAGGATATTAATCAAGCTACCGTGATGCACCTCTCTAACGGTCAATCAGCAGTTTCACAGACTTTCTTTATCCCCACCTATTGCCAGATTCCTCTGAACTCTGCTCACCTGCCAAGATTTCCTATCATCTTTTTTGATCCATCACCAATTTTCTCCTCTGGACCTGTGGGTGTACATAATCCTAAGTTATGGCCGTTGCCAGTCAGCTTGATGCCAATGAAGCCTCAAGTGACAGTGCTGCAGGCTTTGAAATTCTGGACCCTGATCATCGGTCTGGGTACCCTGACCATTATTCTGCCAATTCTCTTTGCCAAACTCAGACATCATATCTCTTCCAGGCCCCCATTCTGACTCCTGTTTTCCCACTCACTCTTTCTCTTAGTGAACGTGGAGTGTGGACTCATGTTTCATTGGGGCTCTTGTCTGTGGATCTTGGAATTGCCTCTGCTGCTCCATTTATTTCATCATGATCAGGCAATGTCTTAGAAACATATTTTTAAAATCATTAATAATTTTTGATAAGGAGATCTTATACAGACTCTTTGAAATTTTCAAAATTATGTTTAAAGAAAGCAGATATTTATACATGTCCCATTGAATAAAATGTAAGTTTAAGTAGCATATGAATGCATGCAATTCATCATATATAACATTGCTGCTATCTCTTTTACAAATGTCATTGCATCTCTTCTGTATATTTTGCTTGTCTTTGTAGGTATGTTTCATAGTTCCCCTCCTTGTGCCTTGCCCTAGGATGCTGAATTCTATAGACTTCATCACCAGGCTACCTGGCTCTCTAGATTTTAGTGTAGTTTGAAAAATGGAAGTCTTCACTGGTAGGAAATCAAAGAAGAAGAATAAAGAGAGACTGAGGTATTTATACCCGAATCCTCAAATGCAGAAGGTCGACAGAGGCTGCATTCCTCTAGTTGGAAAGACCATTCCTTATAACAGCTCTCACTAGATCATAAAAACATTCCATCTCCTTTCCCCTCCTGGCCTTTGCAAGCCCCTTGTTAGTTTCCTTGGTCATACCCACGCTTTTGTACATAGTTAAATTCTACTCAACTACTCCTTTTGAATGTGACACAATTTCTTTTTTTTTTTTTTTTTAATACTTTAAGTTCTAGGGTTCATGTGCACAACGTGCAGGTTTGTTACATATGTATACATGTGCCATGTTGGTGTGCTGCACCCATTAACTCATTTACATTAGGTATATCTCCTAATGCTATCCTTCCCCCCTCTCCCCACCCCACGACAGGCCCCAGTGTGTGATGTTCCCCTTCCTGTGTCCAAGTGTTCTCATTGTTCAATTCCCACCTGTGAGTGAGAACATGCGGTGTTTGGTTTTTTGTCCCTGCAATAGTTTGCTCAGAATGATGGTTTCCAGCTTCATCCATGTCCCTACAAAGGACATGAACTCATCCTTTTTTATGGCTGCATAGTATTCTATGATGTATATGTGCCACATTTTCTTAATCCAGTCTATCATCGATGGACATTCGGCTTGGTTCCAAGTCTTTGCTATTGTGAATAGTGCCGCAATAAACATACGTGTGCATGTGTCTTTATAGCAGCATGATTTATAATCCTTTGGGTATATGCCCAGTAATGGGATGGCTGGGTCAAATGGTATTTCTAGTTCTAGATCCTTGAGGAGTCACCACACTGTCTTCCACAATGCTTGAACTAGTTTGCAGTCCCATCAACAGTGTAAAAGTGTTCCTATTTCTCCACATCCTCTCCAGCACCTGTTGTTTGCTGACTTTTTAATGATTGCCATTCTAACTGGTGTGAGATGGTATCTCATTGTGGTTTTGATTTGCATTTCTCTGATGGCCAGTGATGATGAGCATTTTTTCATGTGTCTGTTGGCTGCATAAATGTCTTCTTTTGAGAAGTGTCTGTTCTTATGGGATCCTGACCGATACAGTCTCTGTGCACCAAGTTTAACTGAGCAATGTTGACAAGTGCTCAGCCTCTTTTATGGAATATTTGGTCCCTGTACATAAATGGAAGAGGAAACTGGTAGACATAGTTTATAATTCTTCGGTCAGCATTTTAAAGTTTGCTAGCTTGCTTAAGAATATCTAGCTTACTTAATTTCTAGCTTGCTTAAGAATATCTAGCTATAATCCATCGATACATAAAGATATATAAGAGTAGTCAAATGTAATAGAAAGTTTTATATACTTTAATAAGGTTTAAGACTTAATTCTGTTAAATAAAAAGATATTCAATGTGAAAGAATGTGTGCACAATATTTTACCTTCACTATTCAACTTCTTTTATACATAAGTTAAAAAAATCTTTTCCAATAAGTATTGGAAATTCCTTGCTCGAAAATTAGGTCCATAATTATGATCTTGGGAGTGTAATGATTTTACATTCTCCCTTTCCTTCTACCTCTTTTTGAAGCTGTATCATTAAATTGTCATTTGCACATCTTCTTTTTTTATTCTTGTATAACTGATGAATAGCACATGGAAATTCTGAAAAATCAGGTGAGCAGTCACATTGACTTTCAGAGGAGACATTCTAGTTCTTGCTTGATAATCTTCCAGAGAGGACTTGCTTTTTTTAGAAAACTGCAGTAATCACTTAGATAATATTTCCTTTTGTCTAACCCAAAATTTTAGCTCTAGAGATACTTATATTTTGTTTCATACTACTTATAAGACTAATCTGTAACATTTGCTTTAGTAATTATGTGACATCAAGGTTTTCTAGCTTTCTTAAAGTCTATAGACTTCCCGGTCATGTTTCAAGACATCGATGGATGCCTGTTGTAACAGAGGCTGATGGCTCTCCTCTGAGCCTGGCCTTTTCTTCCTGAACATACCACCAGTTTACATTTCCTGGGTTCCTTTGATCAGTTGTGGTAATTTGACGGTTTCCACCTCACTCTGAGAATAAGTAAGTCTCATTCTTAAACCTGGCCTAAGAAAACCTCAAACCATGCAGTCATGTTCTTTCCTTTTATTGGCTGGATTACATAGAGATAACCGTCAGACTTACCATGAAATTTGTGTGAATAACAGTAGAGTGATTATCAGCATTGGTTGCTGAGTAACTTCATAGATCAGAACCCTCTCCTGTCTGCGCAGAATTTGTCTTTTACTGAAACTGAAGAAGAAATATACTTCTGTTTTGTTTGAACGAATGTACATTTTTGATCTATTTGTTGTAAAGGTTAGCCTACCTTGACTAACAAAAATTAAATGAACAAATTAATTATCTCTCATTGGTTTTAAAATTATTTTATTATTGGTGTAGTGTGTTTACTTGACACTTTATTCTTTTAAAAATACTATATTTTTCTTTCCTATTTCAAAGAAGCATTCAAAAAATAAGCCGTTTTACAAGCACATTTAATGACTAAAGAGGGATCAGTAAGTTTCATGAATTTTGCTAGGCTCTTGGAGTGATCAAAGACTCTTGTCTCATAGATTTTGTTGATTGGTGGAGAAGACAGACATTAATCAAATAATGACATAAATAAATGCATATTTACAAATGGAGATAACTGATTTAAAATAAAAAAGTAATATGAAACACCATAAATGAAGCTGGCTTACTGTAGGGGAAGAATGATTATTTAATAAAATGATGTTCAAATTGAAATCAATAACAAGAGTAGGATTAGACTGGGACAACAAAAGTGTAGACTGTATCCCAAGCAATGGAAACACTGTACAAAGACCCTGTGGATGAAGGCATCACAGCAATGCAAGGACTTGGTTGAAGGCCATTGTGCCTGGGGAAGAGCCATCCCTAAGGTATGAGATAACGCCAAAAAAATTGCTGAGAGCCAGCAACTTATTGAACACTGCCTCTTTGTAGTTACCTCCTCTTCTGTTGGAAATATTAGTGTCACACTCCCTTCATTCATCTTTAATATCATGTCAGGTTACATTTTCTAAATGATGCCACAGCAATAACTCCAGTCTAATTTGCTCTTCCAGAACCTTGCCACTACCCCAACTATAGCTGAAGTCTATTTCCTCTTTCCTTGAAAAGAGGTAAACTGTTAAGGCTATCTCAACATGTAGTATATAACAAGTGATGTCACTTGACTTCCAAGACTAGTTCATCAAAGGTAATACAGCTACCTGGCTTTCTGTATTGAGATGATCACCCTTGAATACAACCATTGTGATATGAAAAAGCTCAGGTCACATGGAAAGGCCACATAGAGATGTTCCACTCAAAAACATGCTAAGGTTTCAGCCAGCAGACATCATTAACCATCACATTTATGAGGGAGCAAGCGAATGAATTCCAGTCTTTGGTTTTCAAGTTGCTCCAGTTGATGATGAGTGAAACAAAGACAATCTATCCCCACTGAATCCTGTCTAAATTGCAGATTTATAAGCAAAGTAAGTATCATTCATTTATTCCCCTAAGTTTGGGGGTAACCAGAACAAGTACCCGGATTCCTTCCCATTTTTCTTTGTTTAGTAGTTTTCTTTAGCATAATAGTGTAATAAAGTATTTTTTTTCCAGATTAGGTTTCCTTGCTTCAAATCATCACTCTATTACTTTTTAACTATGTAAAAAGAGTACAAGTTATTGTATCTCATTTTCTTCATCTGTAAAATGGTGGAAATGATGGTACTTACTCCATGGTATTATTGTGAATACTAAATAAATGTTTCATGTAAAACATTTATTACAGTACCTAGCACATAATCAATACTCAACAAATATGTAGATTTTAGTTTAACTGTGAAAACTTGACATTTGCTAGCATTCCCTTCATGATTATCTTCTATTATCTTCTTTGATGTGTTATTTCAATTATTCTTAATGATTCCTGTTGTTTCAACTGTCACTTTTTTCCAAACGACATTTTGTTTCTTCTTTCTTAATTAGGATTTTAGGCTATAGTAAAAACCAATGGCATAGTATAATTTTTGAGAGTTGTCTCATATGCTTCAGTATTTACTTCTTCCTTTTTAGCATATATGATTACTGTAGCATAATAATAAGAAATCAGTATGTCCTGGGATGTCAAGTAAAAAGTACGAGAGTCATCTTACAGTTATATGACTTCTTAGTAAAGTGAGAACCCACCCCCCAGCCCCGCCAAAAAAAAAAAAAAAAAAAAAAATCTGAAGCTGGAAGAGAATGAGACTGTAATTTGAGAAAAAATAAATTTTTGATAAACTTTGTTAAGAAAAAGAGAAGATCCCCTTCCAAGTAAAATTTGGGGAGGTATAAAGAGAAGAAAAAAGAAAAAAAAAAACCTCTACTTAGAATGATTTAAAAAGTCATGTTAAGTTTTGGTTGTTTTTAATCTCTCAATGATTGTGAAATTGGCTTCTGGTTTTATCTACTAATCTACTTGAAGTGTGTGCCTAAAAGGAAGTATATACTTCTTATAAAGAATTAGAAAATTTAACTTTTAAAATGCATAACTGAGTCTTAATATTAGTGATTGATCTCAGTGGGAGTAATCCATGCTAGTGATCATGAGTGACGTGGCAGAGTTGGCTTATAGGGAGTGAGTATTAATAGCAATGAATCTCCCCAAAATGTAATCCGAGCTACTCAGGAGGCTGAGGCAGGAGAATTGCTTAAATCCAGGAGGTGGATCGCTTGAACCCGGGAGGCTGCAGTGAGCTGAGATCCCGCCTCCCGCCACTGTACTCTTGCCTGGGTGACAGAGCCAGACTCCGCCCCCCCCAACACCCCCCACAAAAAAAAAATATGTCTATGAAATTTCCCATACTTTATCTTGTCAAATGCAGTCTTGTGCATCACTTTCTGGTTCAAGGCTAATAATCCTAATATTAGAGAACACTTACGTTGTATTTAATTATTTAATATTATAGAACATTTACAGAACTCTAAGCTATTTAGCTGATATAACTTAATTAATTATCAAAACAACATATTGGTACTATTATAATCTCAATTTTTAATGGAACAGCATGCATAGAAAGGTTAAAATCTTGTTTAACTCTAGGTGCTTATGTTGGAGGTTGGGATTTGAGTGCCCACTAACTGGCTCTAGACCCTGCTTGTCATCATTATGACATGTAATGGGCCACTGGGGTCTGCATTATAAGCTCCAATCTCTTAAGAATGACAATTAAGATCCAAGTCCTTGTTTCCTACCTATATCTCCCTCTCACCTTCTCTACACTAACTAGGATCCAACTAACCTAGAAGAGTGACCATTTTGCAAGCCTACTCTGGATTTTTCTATCCCATTATTTTTTGTCAAACTCAAAGTGTATATGATATGCTTTTATTCCTCTTTTTAGATTGTCAAAATCCTAACAATTATTCTCAGCTAAGTTGTGTCTTCTCCATGTATACTTACTTGATCTAGCCTATTTATGAAGCAGAGAGGAAATCTCTCTCTTTCCTCTTACCACTCATATATTTTTTTCCATAGGTTACGCGCTAAGCTTCCTAAAAGCAGGAATTACTGTCTTCTTTACTTGTGTCCGCAAAATGGTATAAAGCCTTACAAAAAACATAAGTTCTAAAAATGTAAAACTAATAGAAGAAAACATAGGGGAAAAGCTCCACAACATTGATCTAGGCAATGACTTCTTGGATAGGACTCCAAAAGCACAGGCAACAAAAACAAAAATAGACAAATGGGATTGTATCAAGCTGAAAAGATTCTTCACAGCAGAGAAAACAAATAACAGAGTAAAGAGACAGCTATAGGCTGAGAAAAGATATTTGCAAACCGTACATCTAATAAGGGTCTAGTATCCATAATATATAAAAGGAACTCAAATAGCTCAATAGCAAGAATACAAATAACCCAATTTAAAAATGGACAAAGGATTGAACAGATGCTTCTTAAGAGACATAATTGACTAATAGATAAATGAAAAAATTCTCAGCGTCTCAAATCATCAGAGAAATGCAAAATAAAACCACAGTAAGATATCACCTCATACCTGACAGACTAGCTATTATCAAAAAAAGAATGATAACAAGTATTTGTAAGAATGTGGAAAAAATGGAACCCTTGTATGCTGTTGGTGAGAATATAAATTAGTGCGGCCATTTTGGAAAATAGTATGGGAGTTTCTCAAAAAACTAAAAAAAAATTACCCTATGATCTAGCAATTCCACTTCTGGATACATATATATGTGTGTGTGTGTGTATATATATATATATATATATATATATATATATGAAATTTCACAGTAAAATTGAAATCAGTATGTTGAAGAGATATCTGCCCTCCCATGATCATTGCAGTATTATTCACAATAGCCAAGATGTGGAATCAACCTAAGTATCCATCAAAGGATAAAGAAAATGTGATATATCTACACAATAGAATACAGTGTTTAAAAAGGAGTAAATTCTGTCATTTGTGACAACGTGGATGGAACTAGAGGACATTATGCTAAGTAAAATAAGCCATGTACAGAAAGACAAATACTTTATGATCTCAATTATATGTGGAATCTAAGTGAATTGATTTCATAGAAACGGGGAGTAGGAAGGTGGTTAACCAAGATAACAGGAAAAGGGAAGGAATGGAGAAAAGGAAGAAAATGATCAAAGCATATAAAGCTCCAGTTAGACTGGAAGGATAAGTTTTAGTGATTTATTTCCCTGCATGGTGACCAAGTTAATAAGGTATTGTCTATTTCAAAATTGCTAAAGCAGATTTTTAATGTACTCACCAAAAAAAAAAAAAAAAAAAAAAAGATAAATTGCTGAGGTGAAAGTTATGTTAATCAGTTTGATTGAATCTTCCTATAATGTATACATAGACCAAAACATCACATTGTAGCTATAAATATACACGACTTTTGTCAGTTTAAAAAAGGACAAAACTATGCCTATAATCTCAGGCATAGTTGGAAGCCGAGTCGGGCGGATCACGAGGTCAGGAGATCAAGACCATCCTGGCTAACATGGTGAAATCCCGTCTCTACTAAAAATACAAAAAATTAGCCGGGTGTGGTGGCACACACCTGGAGTCCCAGCTACTTGGGCCTGGAGTCCCAAGAGGCTGAGGTAGGAGAATCGCTTGAAACCAGGAGGCGCCACTGCACTCCAGCCTGGGTGACAGAGCAAGACTCCACCAAAAAAAAAAAAAAAAAGGATAAAACTAAAAATAAAAATCAGTACTCAAAATCTCTTCCCAGATGAATTGAATTATGTCATTATCTTATAGCTCTCTAGAATATAGCAAACATTCTAAGAATTACACAGAACCACTGTTTATAAAAACCTAAAGAAAAATATTTTACATTAACATTTTTTATATTTTAGGTATATACTATCCATGTAAAATACATAATGTAATTGACTTTTTAAATTAATTTATGTGGTAAAATATGAACAACAATAATTTTCAAATTATTCTAATATACCAAAGATGACTCAAATGCCAAACTCAGATCATTAGGAAACTGACAATTACAATGTTATCTGATTAATCTAAAGTGATCTTGACATTCAGACAGGATAATCTAATCAGAAAGAAAAGATTATGTGTTTTGTGCCTTGAGTTGTTTTTCTTAATCTTTATAATTAACTTCATGCAACCAAATGCGTTTCTTCAAAATAGAGATGTCACACTACATCCCTTAAAATAACATAATAAATGTTCATCTCCCTGTTAATTAATTTGAGTTTTATGTACTCTATGCTGCAGACCAATACATCTCTGCAGTAAATGTGTCAAGATAACAATGACATTTTCCTCACTTGGTATTTGAATTCTCCTAACAACATCTAATTCTGTGGAAGTACAGGATTTTCCTTAGTGGCCATCAGTCTTGTACTTTGTTTTTTGTTTTTTTTCTTTTCTTTTTCTGATATGTGAGGAATTTAATCAGACCAATCGTAGTCAATTGGTTCATTTCTGTTTAATCTGTTAAATTATCTCTCTCTCCCCTCCCTCCCCCAACTCTTTCTCCCTCTCCTTCCATCCTCCCTTCTCTACCTCAAAATTAATGAGTGATTACAGTTAAAATGTTAATTCTTAATGAGAAGAAGATTTTTTGCTTGTCTGATTCAATATGTGGTTGTCAGGAAAGCTCCTAATTTAACAGGTACCCAAACTGCTTCCTGCTGTATTGACACAGAGCCATTTATACTCACGTTTACACAAACCAATTGCTTTAGCTTCAGGATAAACATTCCGAAGGGCGAGAAAATATTTTGTGGCTTGACCGTCCAAGAGTGGGAGTGTTTGATTACGTGCACTCTTAGCGAGTTGTATAAACCAGGTGGAATAACCAGGGCGTGCTTAAGTTTAACATTCTTACAAGAGGGATATTGACTGCATGATTTTATCTAAGAAAGAATTACTCTTCTGTGTATAACCACACATTTCAATCACTTTGAACAATAGTTCAAGCAAGTTTAGTTTTCTTAGTGGAGCTTAATCAGACTTTCACTGAAAATATTTTTACGTAAAATAATTAACCAAACGTAGTTCTACAATTCATTTTTCCCTTTTCTGGCATGTCTTGGAGATCTGACCTCTTTAGGAAGGCTTTTAGACAATGGGAAGCTACAATTTAATATCCTTGGCTTTAATAGACACTAAAGATTACACTGCAAGCATAACTGCAGAGCTTCTAAAAGACAGACAGTGCATATATTCCATGTGGGAGAAGACCTCCAGCTGCCGCATATTTGCAACCATTTCCTAAACCTCATCTTTTTTAAGTTTCTTCCTATTTTGATCCTGATCTAAGCCATCCTTTGTGGCTCTTAGCTTGGAGTTTGTGGTCACTGAGTTTTTAACTGGATAATTTTAACCAATTGCAGTTACTCTTCCAAAGCTAAACTTGCTATTTCAAAGGGGTTTTATAATCTCTTGAGCTTTGTATTTGGACTGTAAACCCAGTTGCTGGTATTTAGGCATCAAAATGACTTTTTTTAAGTGTTTAAATAAGGGTAAGGCTTATAATCAGTAAATGTGTGTAGTGGTACAGTGTTTTGGCTTATCTTTCTGGAAAAATACTTAAGGCAATTCTAACAATTGTCAAAAATATGTTATTTCTGCCTGAGGGCAAAAACATTGACTCAGACTTGTCTCATGTACCAACCAAGGAAAAAAAAGGTTGATCTGTTTTAGTTTTTGAATGTGTAATGTTGATGTTGTACAAGTGAGTGTATTTAAACACGCGAGTTAACAGTAGAGATTGTTAAATCCATAAATTAACTATATTTTTTTCTTTACATATTGCAGACAAAATTATTTAAAAATACATCTTAGACATAGGGGGAGTAGTCCCCCCCTCATCCAAGGTTTCAGTTACCGCAGTCAACCACAGTCTGAAAATTAGGTAAATATAGCACAATAAGATATTTCAGAGAGAAAAAGACCACATTCACATAACTTTTATTATAGTATATTATTATAATTGTTCTATTTTGTTATTAGTTATGGTTGTTAACCTCATATTGTGCCCGATTTATAAATTAAACTTTATCATAGGTATGTGTGTATAGGGAAAAACATGGTACAGATATTGCAGGACAGGCAATACCCCAAATTGGAGCTTAGCCCAGGAGGGTTCTTGGCTTTGCCAAGGAAAGGATTCAAGGGTGAGCCAATGGTATTAGACAGAGATTTTTATTGAACAATACTGCTACTTGCAGAGTAGGGCTAACTCATATGCCATGGGGGCAGAATCGGTAATGTATTCCTACTCATGTAAACCCATTTTCAATTACATGCAAATTAAGGGGCGAGTCAAAGCAAATTAAGGGGCGGGTTATTTAGAACTTTCTGGGGAAAAGGTGATAACTTCTGGGCCATTGCCATGGAAAGGGTTAGTGACTTATGGGTTATTGCCCTGGCATTTGTAAACTGTCATGATGCAGGAGGGAGTGTCTTATGCTAATGAGAAATAAGGGCAGTGTATTAGTGTATTAGTCTCTAGTGGGACAGGACTAACAGGATAGATGTATATGTGAAAGGGAGTTTATTAAGGAGTATTGACTCACATGATCACAAGGTGAAGTCCCACAGTAGGCCATCTGCAAGCTGAGGAGCAAAGAAGCCAGTCATAGTCCCAAAACCTCAAAAGTAGGGAAGCCAACAGTGCAGCCTTCAGTCTGTGGCCAAAGGCCACAGAAAACTACTGGAAAACTACTGATCTAAGTCCAAGAGCATAAAAGCTAATGAACTTGGAGTCTGATGTTTCAGGGTGGGAAGCATCCAGCACAGGAGAAAGATGAAGGCTGGAAGATTCAGCCAGTCTTGTCCTTCCATGTGCCTCTGCCTGCTTTTATCCTAGCCGCACTGGCAGCTGATTAGATGGTGCAACATAGACTGAGGGTGGATCAGCCTCTCCCAGTCCATTGTTCAAATGTTAGTCTCCTTTGGCAACATCCGCACAAACACACCCAGGAACAATACTTTGCATCCTTTAATCCAATCAAGTTGACACTCCATATTAACCATCACAGGCAGCTAAAGATTTCTTTCTTCTGACATCTGCTGGTTCCCACCAGTTTCTTCCCTTTATCCTGTCTGGGTCAGATCCTGTTTTGCTCAGCAGGATTGTGACCAGAGAACAAGTCTGGCCAGTCTCCTACTTTATATACATGGCTTAAAACATTCACTGGAGGCTAGACATTCAATGGGAATTTCAGGAATTCACTGAGGGTCCTGGAACTTACCTTCCACAGAGAAAGGGAATTACTATACTAGGGGATCAATTTAGTACAAACATTAAAATAAATAGTACTTTGTAAATGTACTCTAAATTAGGTTTAAAAGTATCTATGAGAGTCCTTGATTAACTTCAGCACTGTTCCCACTCAATATAAATATAGCCTGTGGCTGTGTACATTGTATAGATCATTTGTGCTACTCAGTAACATCTGAAGAATATTAATCAGGGTAAAGTAAGAGATAGAAGGCTAAGGAAATTCAGTATAAACATGTAACAGAGTGAACTTTCTAACCTCTCTCTGTTGTACAGAGTTAAATCTATTACTTAGAATTGGCCAACAAATACACAGGAAGGATTTACCAAAGGGTTATCAGATTTTATAACAATCAGTGACAATGATGGGATGTTATTGTGAATTTAAGAACTGAATTTAAATTAAGATGAAATGCCCTAGATTAGGCATTAGATAAAGCTGCCCATTATATTATTAATTTTAATTAGATTCTTTGCCGCCTTATGTTCTTTGATCTGAGCTAAGTAATTAAGCCCATTTTACTTTCTAATTGGATTATACTGCATGTCTTGCTAAATCCAAAGATAAGAAAATGTGCAGGCCCTAAATATATACTTCTTTGTTTTTGATGTCCTATCTATAGAATAGTGCTCCGGGGATGTAAGAATACATTTTAAAATTTATTTGTTCGACTAAAATATAGAGTTGATCTTTCCAGGGACATTGTAAAACATGATTTCTTACATCATTTATGTGATCTGTCCTGCTGAGTCCTTAATTTTCAAGCAGAGGCTTTTGGAATCTTGGAGGAAGAAATTTTCAAGTGAAAAGAATTTGAATGATGCTAGTATGTAAAGAGAGACCCAGGGTTTCAGAAGGCAAGATGTAGCCCACTTAAAGAGGGAGAGATCCCTAAGTCAAGGTAAGGCCAGACTCTGATGGATTATGGCTACTGAACAAGATGTTTAATTTGATGGTGCAGCTTAATCTTAAACTAATTGTCAGAATGATGAGAACTTTGAATTTTATGTTGAAGATGACTTTTGGGGTTGAAAATAAAGATAATAGCTAAATTTGAGCATTTATTACATTCAAGGCACTATGGTAAGCATTTTATATGAATAATTGCATTTAACCTTAACATCTACCCATTAGAGTAGATATTTTACTTAAGCACACTTTACAGAAAATGAAACTGAAGCTTAGAAACTTAGACTTGGCCATGGTGATATATGTCCAACCTGAGACTTGAACCAATGTCTGTATGATTCCAAATCTTATGTCACATCCCTCTATAGCAATTCTAAGTTAATTATGAGTATTGGGAACCTCTCTAAGACTTCATTTTCCTATCTGTAAAATGGAGCCTAAAGTGCCTACAACTCAGTGATACTGTATATTTTTTAATGATTCATATATTTTAATGATAAATGTGACATCAGAGAACACAATAGGCTGGCCAATGGTTTTATTTTTTTCCCTTATATCATAGCTAAATGGAATAGTCATCTGCTTGAATCCAATAGCATTTATTCAATGCAATGATAGCTTCTGAACTGGTCTCTCTGCTTTCCTCTTACTCTTCTATTGCTTATTTCCACCTATCAATCAGCCAGAATGGTCCAATGAAAATGCAAGGCAAGTCACGTCAGTTATTTGCCTAAAACCTGTAAAGGTTTCCCACTTCACACAAAGTATGGTTCAAGGTTTTCTCCATAGTTTACAAGGCTCCCTGTGGTCTGATCACACAATTGGTGTGATTTTGTGTCATATAACACTCCTCATCCTCCAAAGTCAGTCAGCCAGACATGCCCCTTTGTTTTTTCCTAAATTGTGGACAAGTGTTCTTGGTCTTGGGGCTTTTATACTTATGATTCCTTCTTTTTCTTTCCCTTTTTTTTTTTTTTTTTTTTTTTGAGATGGAGTCTCACTCTGTCACCCAGGCTGGAGTGCAGGGGCGTGATCCCAGCTCACTGCAAGCTCCATCACCTGGGTTCATGGCATTCTCCTGCCTCAGCTTCCCCAGTAGCTGGGACTACAGGCGCCCACCACCACACCCGGCTAATGTTTTTAATTCTTTATTAGAGACAGGGTTTCACCGTGTTAACCACGATGGTCTCAATCTCCTGGCCTTGTGATCCGCCCACCTTGGCCTCCCAAAGTGCTGGGATTACAGGTGTGAGCCACCGTGCCTGGCCCCTTCTTTTTCTTGTGTACATGACTTGCTCCATCTCTTTATTCAAGTCTTACCTCAAATGCGTTCTCTGAATGTGTTTCCTGACCATCCTACACAAAATAGGATGAAATAGCACACACACTCCACCAACACCACTCTCTCCTGTATCTTTCTCCTGACCTGTTTGAGTTTTATTTTTCTTCATTGCATATATTATGTGATTATTTATTTATTCACTTATGTATCTTTAATTTTTATGATTGCCT
Source organism: Homo sapiens (assembly GCF_000001405.40). Lineage (NCBI taxonomy): Eukaryota > Metazoa > Chordata > Mammalia > Primates > Hominidae > Homo > Homo sapiens. Next base: position 12,419,621 of record NC_000009.12, read on the forward strand.
TACTTTTACTGAGACAGTTTTCATTAGAGGAAAAGACTCAGTTTTCTTTGTTCACTACAATATTCCAAGAGCAGAAAAAGAATGGCTCATACATTGTATGAATTTAGTTTAAAAATTAATAAATGATCAACGAATGAATGAGTGAATTAGTAGGCATGCATTAATGACCATTATGCTAAAGATGCTGTTTTAGGCATTATAAATTAAGTTGGTTTTTAAACACATATTTTCCAAGGACATTCACTTCTGGCAGGTGTGCATCTTTAGCCAAGATATACATGAACTCTTTTAGCATTTTCACAGTGTTGCAGCATGCTGTGGTCAGTGTTCGGAGTGTGAGAAATGGGTTTTCAGTTAAATTCGAAATAGCAGCAAACAACTTCTCTGAGTATCAGAAAATTATACCATAGGTCACTACAGTAGTCTTCTATTAATCTCTAATAAAACAGTAGTGCAACGTACTTTGTAAATCAAGTGGTTTAGTATGTAAACTACAACTTTGTCATAGGACATAATTCAAAGATTACAGGAATTTTCAAATGGTGAAGTTGAGTTGTTAAATTTTTTATTTAAAATATTGTTTTTTCTCTGTCACATGTTGCTATGAATAAAATAAGTGCTATAAATATAAACAACATAATTTCTTGTGATACATATTAAAGGCTATCTTTATGTCAAATGTGAGCAACATTTCTTTTGAGCTACACAGAAAAATTAAAAATTAATTAAAATCTTTCTGGCATGGGAGGGAATCCCACTTAACTCATTACATAAAACTTACCTATCATTCCTAAAATAGAGCACCATGGCACATACATTAAACATGACTCTTTGAGAGTGATGACTATGCCTTCAGACCAATAATCAGTAGAGCATCTTGAGTTTGGTTAGCTATTCAAACTTCTCTTCTGCCTCTTCTGCATTTCCCCCTTTTCATTGCTAACATTTATTACCTTAGGTTGGGTGAAATGCATGCTTTTGGTGTGCTATAAAAATTCCACCCTTTTGGTGAAAATTAAAAAACCTTAAAGAGCCCAAATTTACATATATGTAAATGATTTCTTCTTCTTTTTTTTTTTTTTCTTTTTTTGCAGAGATAACCAGTGAACAGGATAAAGGATGTTTCCTTTCTCCAGATAAATTTTAAACATTTTATTGAGATTTTAAATAGATTTAAACAATTGCTTTTGGGGGTATGTAATACTATCCATTGTTTCATTGTGTCCTTGCCATTTAAAGAGCATGAAGATAGATAGCTTATAAAAAGTTTCAGGTAGTCAAAGCTATATCAGGATCTCAACAGGAATATTCAGTATTATTAAACAAGGCATTTCTCTTTTAAAAGGTGGAAGTTCATTCCCATCAAAGGAGTCATTTAAAAGTATCAGTGTGGCAGTGCAAGCTTTTGCTGGATCTATGTTAGATTAGCATTCTGTTAAAAATTAAGCTAGGAACTCCGAGCCTGTACTTTGGGGTTCTTTATTAGAAATAATAATTATGAACAATAATTATTTTGAGAGAAAGTAAAATTTTAAGTGAATTGAATGTTTTCTTTAGGAGAAATGGCTTAATGCATTTTATGGAGATGTGTAAATCTATTAAAACTGTGGTTTACATTGCGTTAAATTTATGATTATTGTTTTTTGGACCGTGAGCATGCTCTTTAATGTAGGCAAGTTGTAAATGTAGCCAAGTGACAGCTGTTGCTTGGGAAATGATAGAAAGAATCTAAACAAACATATCTCCTACTCGAAAGAAAACTGCTTGAGAAAAAGAAAAATGTACTTCTTTAATAGAATAGTCAGAAGTAATCTCCTTCCTACCAGGAAAAATCTACCTTTATAATTATACAACTCGGTATTTTACCTCTTGCTTCTTACATCCAGAGAAAGGAAGGATATGATCTAAAGAAGCTCACACCACTGGAAAGGGGTTTTACCCTAGACTGAGCAGAAATTTAGTCTTAAAATAAAATATCCAGAATTTGTAGGTGGGTGACAAAATAAGAATATTGGCAGAAGTATTTTATCCAGCAAGCTAAGTCTTTTTTAACTAACTGTAAGATGTGAGTATAAAGAAATGTGACTGAAAAAAAAAGAAAAACCAGGATGGCAGAGTACAAGTGACTACTCTCCCCTTTCAAAAATTCCCAGTGTCTATTGTCCCGTTTCACAGGGTGACAATAGTGCAGAAAATATAATAATGCTTCCACAGCTCTAAAATATGTTAGCTCCAGCTCTAAGAGGAAATTAATAATGTTAGAGTAGGTTACAGTGGAAAGAGCTTGGGGTTTAAAAGTTAGTCATGGATGTTCTAATGCCAGTTCTGCTTCTTACAAACTGTACTATATTAGGCAACTAACATGAGCCTCACTTTTGAAAATTTCACATTACAGTTGTGAGCATGATACATAAATAACACATAAAGCACCTAATATCTGTTCAATGCTTATTTTGTACTTTCTTTTATCTTTTTTCCCTGTCATGATTAAAACCCCACTTTGCTAAATATTTTAACTAATATAGTTGCTACCTTTTCCAATTTGTTTCTCACTAATTTGAATATTCCACTCTTACATGCAATCTATCCTCTAGTCAAACTTAAATCTTTAAATATGCCTCTCCTCATTTATAATTGTTTTATTTTTCATGTAATTTCTTTTGTTAAAATGCTACCCCCTAAACCTCAACTTAATCAATCACAATTTTACCCATCCTTCACCATTCAAGCAACATGTACAATTCAAGGAATTTTCTTCTTCCAATGAATGTAACTCCTTCCTCTATGCTTCCATGTAACTAATTTCTATCCCTGGACATCGTTTCACATCACTGATCACATTGTTAGTATTTTTAAATTAAATCTGAGGACAGTTTATCTTGAAGTCTTCCACAGTAGATACCTCCAGTACACATTCAAAAAAGATGTTTTGGGTAACTGTCTGTGAAATAAGAACTACAAATCTGTCCTGCTTTCCATCAAACATCTGTAATACAAACAGGTTCTTAAATCACTCCACAGTGTGAATAATTCAAATTTGTCTACTTAAATAGTTCAGGATAAATTAATTTGTGCTGTATGCTATTTGTTAGAAAAAGTACAATATAAAAATAGTACAAAAAACTTTTTGCTAAACTCAACTTTTGCAACTTATTTATCCTTTGGATCTTTTTATATAATGTTTACTACTTTCAAATGAAAAGAATTTATCTCTCTCACCCTCCCCGTCCTGTTTGAAAAAATGTGCAAAAAATGTACTATATGTCCTTGATGCTGTTCATAACTTGACTGATGAAAGACTTGCAATTGTCATTTTGACAACTAGATGTAATTAAAATTATCAACTATTGTATTATTATTATCTTCCTTAATTGCTGTTCAAATTTTACATGCCACATGGAAAGTAATTATAAAACTCGATATTTTTCAATGCAGTCTTTTCCCAAGTCAGTCCTCATAAGTACATGTCAGTTGGTTCTGTTTCCTTTTGCAACTAAGAATATTTCATATCTGATTTTACTTTCTCATAGTCACTAATTTCTTGCTATCCTCTGTTGTTAACATGTGTGCTCTGACTTTGCTAGCAGGACTGATCATGTTGATTTTCTATTGAACTAGGTAGAGAAATGGCCTTGTATTATCTCCAAAGATAGTCAGCCTTCATAAGTCATTTATCAATTCTTATTGCCATGAATGTAGGAGTAATTGAAATTCTGTATTATCATCACCCACCGAAGTGACTTGAATTTTTCCCTGTGATACTTCCCTATCTCTTCTTATTATACAATACCTCTACTGCTAATTTATGCACACATTGAATATTCCAATTCTGTTTTGTGTGATAGGAGGCACGTGAGTATTATGTAATGCTGCTACAAAATAATTTATAAGAAGAAAAGGAAGTTTAATATATGACAACCATATTGTTACAAGATGTGCTTTAATGTATAGCATGTAAAATTGAAGAGAGACTGAAAAGAGAAGCTACATGTTTATCTTTTCTCTGCCCAATAATGAAAAATACCTCTAGCTAAACTTACCAAAATATGTACTATATGTTATTGTATTTTTCTTCATGTGCTAGGCAGATTAGCCCTGCCACAGGTTTGATGACTCATTAAGAAATAAAATATGAAGTCTTTAGCACAACAAAAATTTCCTTAAATGCTAAAGAATTTTAACACTAAGTACTTGCTTGTGCTCTCTTTCTAGTCATTTACATAAAAGTCACTAAGCTTGGGATTCTGGGGTCTTCGAAATGTTTAATTCTTAAGCTATTTGGATTGAGATTACTATACTTTAAGTAGGCATCTATGAAGAAGAGGAGAAAGTTGCATCTACTCATCGGTATCCTTTCCACTGCTTATTTACTGGTGTAGCAGCCAATTGAGTGAATGCAAACTTAAACACTGCACATGTCATCATTCACACCTATTTGTACATAGACTGTATGTATGACCTACTCTGTCTCACTCAAAATGTACAATTTTTTTTAAAAAAAACTGAAATTCCTTGAATTAACTTCACCAAATCATATCCCTAAACACTTCTGGACTTTCTATTCCAGACATTACCATTATCTTAATGCAAGTGCTCATAATTCTTTCCTAGGCAATTATGAGAACATACAGACTGTCCCCTCTTTGTCATGCCACACTGCTTTCAGATAGGTCTTTGTAAGAGGAAATCCTAGTAATGTAACTTTTATGTCTAATAACCTCCAATGATTCGCCATTAACAACAAAAAGTCCATGCTTCTTAACGTATTAGACCCTTTTTCATCAGAATAACTTTTTCAGTTCCTTTTCTTATCATTTCCCTCTTTACAAATGACCTGTAACCATTAGCTGTAGTTTCCGGTACATGGAATGCTTACTCTTATCTCTGTTTTTTTATATCCTTCTTCTTCCTAAACTTTCCTCCCCATACCAAACAGTTTCAACATCTTTACTAAAAATCAGATCTCGTGACTCTCTAATTTCTTAGATAAAATTACTCATATATAGAAAAATGTTTCATTGTTAGTATATCCATTATCAGTCTACTATATATTTTAATGTGTTTCAGATGGGCTTCCTGAAAGCATAGATGTCCTAAACCATCTTTACATTCAATATTTTGTAAATTTTCCTACACTTATCATATGTGCAATGAAATTTGAATGGAATCATTTTGATTTAGCAGATTTTAATTATTCACCTATGTTGGGATAATATTTTGTTGTATGAATTTATAATTATATCATATGTGCTAAATCAGAGTAGAGTACTTTTATGCAGGGTGGTGTAGGAATCTGACTTATATATGTCCTATGTATAAAAATAATGATATCTAATTTGTGCAAATCAGCTAATTTCTTCTTCCTTGTTGAAAAACCCAGATCCCCAAGAATGGTTTATTCTCAGAAAATACTGCTTATGCTATAGAGTTCTTATCAATGGAATTCTTCCACCTCTCATCACATTTTTATGTTCACGATTGAAATCCCTCTTCAGACTTCATCCCTGACTAAGATTTTCCTTGCCAGAAGTCCTTTCCAATTTCCTCCTATCAAATATCTGCCTTTACTCTTGGCATCTCCAATATAAGTTAGAATGGATATATTAAATGATAGCTTTTATAGTATCTCTTAAATTATGGTTTTGCTTGTTATAAAATGTATTAGTACTTACTGTTTAAGTAGGGAAAATAACCTCTAAATGTATTATTACATATGTGAAAAAAGATTATTCTGAGTTCTAAACAAGTAACTAGCATGCAGACTTACTTGTTATCTAAAAGGATCTATCTTAAATTAAAATTTGATTTGAAAAAAATAATGAAAATAAAAATACACTCAAAAAACAGGAGAGGCTGAAGGTGTCTTAGAGATCATATATTTTTACCTACTAAGCTTAGAAGTTAAATGAAAAAAAAACCCACTAGGACAAAGGTTAGTTAACGTGCTTGTCTCAAATCACATATGCAGTTAGCAAAGTATCCAACATGAGAGCCCCAATATCACAGGTTCCCAATATAGAGCTACATGTAGGGTATCATACAGAATTTCTGAAAAATAAAAATAATTATCTAGATGCCTGACTAGGAATCTTATCTGCACTACAGCTAAAAAAGACCCATGTTCTAGACATTCAGACAACATTTTCGCTCTCACATGAAATTTGTAAACAATCTCCTTGCCCCCATTTCTTAAATCAGGAGTATACCTTGAGAGTTGACATTAGGCTTGCTTTTGATTATTCTGAGAAAACAAGTGTTCATTCATACTTATGTTTGTACATTCCCTGCATATTGAAGAAACTAGATATTGCCTTTTTGAGAATAAGTATCAGCATAGCTTGATTCAAGCCATGAATGCTCTTGACTTACTTTGATGCAAACTTGCTTCATGTGAATTATGCAACTGCTCTTGGCAACTATCTGTGGCTGAATTTATATGCTCTGTTAAGCATCCAATCATCAAGACAGCTATTGCTACCCTTGCCATCAGAAAACTATATTTCCCTCTCCTTACATTTAGTATGTGCTATAAAACTCACATTTATTCAAGCTTGCTCAGGCCAAGTTTTATATTTCTTCTTAGTGCTGTACTGATTATTTACCCATGTAACTACACTGAGAATTAGCATCAAAATGAAGATATGAGGACCAACCATAATAAAGATGTTATGAATACTCAAATCTTCAGATCTGAAACTTTCTACTTTAAGAGTCTAGCACATAAATGTCAAAGAAAAGCACTAACCTTGGGATTTATGAAGAGACCTCTAATGCCATCCTGTGGACAGTCAAGAAAAGACATTTTCCTTTTACTAAGGCAGCTGTGTTTAATGATATGCAGACCAAAAAGAGAAGGACATGTAAACATGCCATAAATAGCCGGCACGGTGGCTCAGTCTGTAAACATGTTGGGGGGCCAAGGTGGGTAGATCTCTTGAGCCTAGAGTTTGAGACCTGCCTAGGCAACACGGTGAAAACCCATCTCTACAAAACAATACAGAAGGTAGCTGGGTGTGGTGCACGCGCCTGTATTCCCAGCTACTCAGGGTTGGAGGGGTTGGGGAGTGTGGGGTGGTGTTTGGGGCAGAGGCTGACGTGGGAGAATGGCTTGAGCCCAGGAGGTCGAGGCTCCAGTGAGCAGAGACCATGCTACTGCACTCCAGCCAGGGAGATACCCTGTCTCAAAAAACAAACAAACAAACAAGAAAACATAAATACATCTTCGCAACACAAACATACTCAAAACAATATATATTTATATAACAGTAATGATTATAAATGATATGTATGTATATACATATATATATATGTGCATGTGTGTGTATGTGCATATGTGAGAAGAGAAAACAAGTAACTAAAAGGATGAAGCCAAAATGCTAACAGTGGTTATGTCTTAATGGTGCTGTTTTTAAAACAGAATTATGAGGTCCCAAAGGATATAAGTCCTGAGCTGAATTTCAGAGCTCTGAAAGAAGTTATAAATTGAATCATTTACAGACAGAAATAAATAAACCAAAGCATCTTTAGGTAGAGGAAATAGAGACCCTGAAATACTCAGACTTCAAAGGTACATGCTCAAGGCCAATACCCCTGATGAATATAGATGCAAAAATCCACAACATAATACTAGCAAACTGAATTCAACAACACATTAAAAACATTATTCTCCATAATCCAGTGGGATTTATCCAAGGGTTACAAGGATGGTTCAACATACACAAATCAATAAACATGATACAGCATATTAACAAAATCAAGGACAAAAAATGTGAACATTTCGATAGATGCTGAAAAAGCATTCGATAAAATTCAACATCCTTTCATGGTAAAAACTCTCAACAAATTAGGTATCAAAGAAACATACCTCAAAACAATGAAGGCCATATATGACAAATCCACAGTTAATATCACACCGAATAATGAAAAATTGAAAACTTTTCCTCTAAGATCTGAAAGAAGACAAAAATATCCACTTTCACTACTTTTATTCAACATAGTACCGGAAGTCCTTTTCAGAGCAAATAGACAAAAGAAAGAAAGCGCATACAAATTAGAAAGAAATAAGTCAAATTTTCCTTGTTTGCAGATAACATGTTTTTAGAAAAACCTAAAGATTCCACCAAAAAATAAAAATAAAAACTGTTAAAACTTATCAACAAATTCAGTAATGTTGCAGGAAACAAAGTCAACATACAAAAATCAGTGGCATTTATGGTTAACAACAGTAAACAACTGAAAAAATTTAGGAAAGCAATTAAATCTTAAATAGCTACAAAAATTATAAAATATCTTGCAATAAATTTAACCAAACATCCTTTAAAGAAAATTATAAAGCAAACACCAATGACATAAAATAAGGATATATACATGAAAGGAAAGATATCCTATGCTCACTGAATGAAAATTATTATTGTTGAAATGCCCATATACCCAAAGTAATCTTCAGAATAAATGTAATCCCCCATCAAATTTCTGTGACATTCTTCACAGAAATAGAAAATGCAGTCCTAAAATTTGTATGGAAGCACAAATGACCCTGAACAGCAAAAGCAATCCTGAGCAAAAAGAACTAGCTGAAGGCTTCACACTACCTGACTTCAAAATACGCAACGAAGCCTTAGTAACCAAAACAGGATGGTAATCAGACACACAGACTAATGGAACAGAGTCAAGATCCCAGAAATAAATCCATGCATTTACAGCCAATTCATTTTTTACAAACCCACCAAGAACATACATTAGGGAAAGGACAGTTTCGTCAATAGATAGTGCTGGGAAAACTGAATAACCACATGCAAAATAATAAAACTGTACCCCTATCTCTCACCATATACAAAAATTAAATCAAAGTTAATTAACAACTTAAGTGTGAGACCTGAAAATATGAAAGTACTGAAAGAAAACATACGGAAATGCTTCAGGACGTTGGTCTATGCAAAGATTTCTTGGGTAAGACCTTTAAAACACAGGCAACTGGAGCAAAAATAGACAAATGGGATGAAATCAAGCCAAAAAGCTTCTAAATAACAAAAGAAGCCAGAGTAAAGAGATAACCTACAGAAAATATCTGCAAACAATCCATCCAACAAGAGATTAATAAGGAGAATATATAAGAAATTCAAAAAACTAAATATTAAAATACAAATAATACAATTAAAAACAAGAAAATCATCTAAAAGCACATTTCTCCAAAGAAGACATACAAATGGTCAGAAGCATATGAAAAAATGCTAAACATCAGTAATCATCAGGGAAATGCAAATAAATCCATGACATAAGACCTCACACCTGTTGAAGTCACTATCATCAAGACACAGATAAGTGTTGACAAGGATATGGAGAAAGAGGAACTCTTATATACTTCCACTTAAAAAAAAATCACAGGCAAATGGAATGCACCCAGCCTTGGTCAACTGGGTGTTGAATCATGTAAAAATACAAGATTTGGATTAGAGTGTTTGTTCAAATCCTGGTGTAACATGAGGGTTATCTTAGCTGCATTATCTAATTGTTCTTGTTTCAGACTTCTCATCTCTAAAACAAAGACCTCTGCCATATATACTGGTAGCACTGGAAAATCAAAAATACTATGCAAATGAATTATATTGCTACTATTTTGAAACATTACATGAACAGGATATGTAAATGTTGCATGCATTATCCTTTCTTATTTTTTCAAAGGGATCTTGCAGAGAGTATGCTTGTGGAAACTTTAAACAACTAAAAAATATATCTTGACCTTTTATATTGTGCTTTTATATTCTCTCTAGAGGAAATTTCTTATAAACTGTATGAAAGCCTGTCTTGGATGTGATTTGTGAGCCAAAGTTTACATGGCTTGCTAGATAGAAGCCCGATTATCTAGAATATCTGAGTTTTAACTGAAAAAAAAAATCTAAAAGCTAAAAGGAAGATATATTGTGAGCTTTCTAAATAGTATCTACCTAGATATTACTTAACTTATTCATAAAGCACCTTTCAATAATAGCAATTCAGTAATTCTTTCCAAGCACACTTGGAATATTAAAAAAAAAAATAGAGAAAAAAGATATACCCACAATATTATTTGGATTTTATTATATTTGAAAGTGTGTGTGTGTATGTATTCAACATTGGAGCTAAATGTAGGCTCAAGAATTAGATACAAAAATCACTATAATAGGATAGTGAATCTGTCAAGAAAACTCAAAGATGTACTATATCTTCAATTATATGCAGGCATGGATTACATACAGTGAGAAAGGGAGAAGACCTGCAAGGCCATGGCACCAAAACCCAGAGCCCAACATAAAGTCCAGTGGCCAACCCGGAACCACAGTTCCAGGGTGGCAGCAAGGACAATTTAGACCCACCATCCAAACTCAATGACCAGGAATGGAAAAATGTAACCATGATAGTAAGAGAGAGAATAACTCAAAATTTTCCAGTATCTTCCAAGCTTCAATCCACCTAACTCTGGAATCCCAAGGGATATGTTTTTATGTGTGCAGATGTATGGAGTACCTGATACAATTTGTTATATGCATATGACGCATAGTGATAAAGTTACGGCTTCCAGGGTGTCCATCACCTGAGTACAGTGCATTTTTGTTAAATATAGTCATCAAACTCTGCCACTGAATTTATTCCTTTTATTTTGCTATATGCTTGTGGCCTTTAACCCACTTCTCTTCCTCATTTCCCCTCCCGACTACTGACACTTCCAGTCTGTTTTCTATTTTTCCACTCTACTTCCATGTGTTCAAATTTTTTAACTCCCACATTTAAGTAAGAATATGTAATATTTGTCTTTTTGTGCCTGGCTGATTTCACTAAAGATAATAACCTACAGTTTCATCCATGTTGCTGCAAAGACATGATTTCATTTGTCTGTGTGTGTGTGTGTGTGTGTGTGTGGGTGTGTGTGTGTGTGTTTGGCTAAATTGTATTCCATTGGGTATATAGACCACATTTTTTAACCCATGCATCTGTTGATGGGCACTTATGTTGATTCCATAACTTAGTTGTTGCGAATAGTCCTGCAATAAAGATGAGGGTACAGCTATCCCTTTGATATATTGATTTCTTTTCCATTGGAGAGATATTTAGTAGTGGAATTACTGGATCAAATGGCAATTCTACTTTTAGTTATTTGAGAAATCTTCATACTTTTTTCCATAGTGGATGTACTAGTTTGCATTCCCACCAACAGTGTATAAGAGTTTCTTTTTCTCCACAGTCTCACCAACATCTGGTGTTTTTTTGTTTTGTTTTGTTTTGTTTATAATAACCATACTAACTGGGGTAAGACATCTTGTTGTGGTTTTGATTTGTGTTTCTCTGATGATTAGTGAGGTTGAGCATTTTTACACATACCTGCTGGCCGTTTGTATGTTTTTTTATTTGTTTATTTTGTTGTTGTTGTTTTTTGAGAAATGCCTACTTATTACCTTTGCTCACTTTTTAGTGAGGCTATTTATTGCTGTGTTTTTTTTTCCTGTTGTGTTGTTTGAGTTCATTGTATATTCTGTATATTAGTCCCCTGTCAGATGAATAGTTTCCAAATATATTATTCCATTAAAGAGGTTGCCTCTTCATTCTGTTGGTTATTTCTTTTGCTGTGCAGAAAGTTTTTAGTTTAACAGAGTTCAATTTATCTATTTTTGTTTTTGTTGCTTATGCTTTTGAGGACCCAATCATGGGTTATTTGCCTAGACTACTCTCCAAGAGAGTTTTCTCTAGGTATTTGATATGATTTGGCTCTGCATCCCCACCCAAATCTCATCTTGAACTGTAATCCCCACATGTCGAGAAAGGGACCTGGTGGAAGGTGATTGGACCATGGAGCAGTTTTCCCCATGCTGTTCTCATGGTAGTGAGTGAGTTCTCATGAGATCTGATGGTTCAAAAGTTTGTCACTTCCTTAATCTTTCTCCTCGTGCTGCCATGTAAGAGGATGATTGCTTCTTCTTCACCTTCCACCATGATTGTAAGTTTCCTGAGGCCTCCTCAGCCATGTGGAACTGTGAGTAAATTAAAACGCTTTTCTTTATAAATGACACACTCTTAGGTAGTTCTTTATAGCAATGTGAAAACTGACTAATTACAGTATTATTATAGTGTTTTCATAGTTTTGGGTCCTACATTTAAGTCTTTATTCCTTCTTGATTTGACTTTTTTATATGGTGAGAAATAGGGATCTAGTTTCATTCTTTTATATGTGGCTATCCAAGTTTTCCAACATCGTTTATTGAATAGGGTGTCCTTTCCCCAGTGTAAGTTCTTGTTGGCTTTGTCAAGGATCAGTTGGCCGTAAGTATGTGGCTTTACTGCTGGGTTTTCTATTCTGTCCCATTGGTCTATGTGTCTATTTTTATATAAATATCATGCTGCTTGGGTTATTATAGTATTGTTACATATTTTGAAGTTAGGTAATGTGATGCCTTAAGTTTTATTCTTTTGCTCAGGATTGTTTTGGCTATCCAGTATCTTTTTGGATTCCATATGAATTTTGGGATTGTTTTTTCTAATTCTATGAAAAATTATGTTGGTAATTTGATAGGAATTGCTTTGAATCTGTAGATTGCTCTGGGCAATATGATCATTTTAATAATATTGATTCTTCCCATCCATGAGCATGGGATGTTTTTCTATTTGAAGTTTTCCTTGTAGATATCCTCCTTCTCCTTGGTTAAATATATTTCTAGGGTGATTTTATTTTTGGTAGCTATTGTAAGTGGTAAAAACTTTTTCTTTCTTTCTTTCTTTTTGCTAAGTTATTATTAGTGTATAGAAGCACTACTGATTTCTGCATGTTGATTTTATAACATACTACTTTACTGAATGCATTTATCAAATCTTAGAGATTTTTGGTGAAGTCTAGGTTTTTCTAGATATAAGATTATATCATAATGAACAGGGGCAATGTGACTTTCTCATTTTCAACTTGGATGCCTTTTATTTCTTTCTTTTGCCTGATTTATCTTGCTAAAACTTTCAGTACTATGCTGAATAAGACTGTTGAAAGTGGGCATTCTTATCTTGTTCCAGTTCTTGGAGGAAAGGATTTTAACTTTTTATTATTCAGTATAATGTTAGGTATGGTTGTGTCATATATGGCCTTTATTGGGTTGAAATATGTTTCTTTTTTTCGAGATAGAGTCTTGCTCTGTCACCCAATCTGGAGTGCCGTGGCGTGATCTCGGCTCACTGCCAGCTCCACATCCCGTGTTCACGCCATTCTCCTGCCTCAACCTCCCAAATATCTGGGACTATTAGCCCGCCATCGCGCCCAGCTAATTTTTGTGTATTTTTGGTAGAGATGGGGTTTCACTGTGTTAGCCAGGATGGTCTCGATATCCTGACCTCGTGATTCGCCCATCTCGGCCTCCCAAAGAGCTGGGATTACAGGCGTGAGCCACTGCGCCCAGCTGAAATATGTTTCTTTTATGCCTAGTTTGTTGAGAGTTTTATCATGAAGAAATGTAGAACTTCATAAAATGCTTTTTCTGTATCTATTGAGATGGTCATATGGTTTTTGCCCTTCATTCTGTTCTGTGATGTCTCACATATATTAATTTGTGCGTGTTGAACCATCCTTGTATCTGTGATATAAATTCCATTTGATCATGCTATACTGTCTTTTTGATGTGCAGTTAAAAATAGTTTTCTAGTATTTGGTTGAGGATTTTTGCATCTACGTTCATTAGGGATATTGGCCTACAGTTTTGTTGTTGTTGTTGTGTCCTTGAATGGCTATGGCATCAGGAAGATACTGGCCTCATAGAATGAGTTAGATAGGATTTTCTTCTCTTCATTTTTTTTTTTTTGAAATAGATATAGAAGTACTGTATTAATATTTCTTAGTACATTTGGTAGGATTTGGCCATGCATCTCTCAGGTCCTGGGTTTTTCTTTGTAGGGAGGCTTTTTAATATTTAATCACTCTCACCATTTTTTATTGCTCTGTTCTGATTTTCTATTTATTATTAATTCAGTCTTGGTAGCTTATATGTTTCCATAAACTTATCAATTTTTACATACATTCCAGTTTGTTAGCATATAGTTGTTCTTAATAGTCTCTTATGATCTTTTATCTTTCTGTAGTACCAGTTGTAATGTATCCTTTTTTATTTCTGATTTTGTTTATCTGAATCTTCTCTCTTCTTGGTTAGTCTAGCTAGTGACTTAACAATTTTGTTTATCTTTTCAAATAACCAGCTTTATATTTTATTGTACTGTGTATATTCTTAGGTTTTACTACACTTAGTTCTGCTCTGATCTCTCTTATTACCTTTCTCCACAAATCTGGGGTTTAATTTGTTCTTGTTTCTATTTCCTTGAGTTACAGTGTTAGATTGTTAATTTGTAATTTTTCTGCTCTTTTGATGTAGGCATTTATAGCTGTAAACTTTCCTCTTGGAACCACTTTTGCTGTATCCTATAGCTTTCAGTATATTTTGTTTCAATTTTTCTTTCAAGAATATGTTTTAAACATTTTTATTTAATTTCTTCATTGACCCAGTGGTCATTCAGCATTTTGTTATTTAATTTTCATGCATTTGTATAGTTTCCAGAGTTCCTCTTGGTGTTCATTTTTAGTCTTATTCCTTTGTTGTCTGAGAAGATATTTGATATTATGATTTTAAAAAATTGTTGAGACTTGTGTCGCCTAATATAATAGTCTATCCTGGAGAATGTTGCATGTACTAATGAAAATAATGCATATTCTGCAGTTCTTGGATAAAATGTTCTGTAAATGTCTATTAATTCCATTTAATCTAACATCCAGTTTAAATCAAATGCTCCTTTGTTGATTTTATGTATATAGTGGGAGACTCATGTAATTAATTACAGTGGAAACTATAATTGTGGGATCAACAAAGAAATATGATATGTGGAAGTCTCCCACAATTATAGTTCCCACGATAATTACATAAGTCTCCCACTATAATTTTGGGAGACTTCCACACATTATGATTCTTTGGTACAATGTACCTGAGTAATGTATCACCATAGTGATGTGTGAAAGTCTCCCACTATAATTGTATTGCAGTTTGTCTGTCTCTTTTGATCTATAATAGTAATAGTTGCTTAATAAAGCTGAATGGTCCAGTTTGTTGGGTGCATATATATTTGGAATTGTTATATTCTCTTGATGGATTATTACCTTTGTCATTATGTAATGACCTTCTTTGTCTTACTTTGCTGTTCTTGATTTAAGTCTGTTTTATTCTATATGAGTATAGCTACTCCTTCTCACTTTTAGTTTCTGTTTGCATGGAATAACCTTTTCCATCATTTTCCTTTCAGTTTATATGTATCTTCATTTTAAGGTGAGTTTCTTCTCAGCAGCATGTAAAAGGATTACATTTTTAAATTTATTCAGCCATTCTATATCTTTTAAGTGCAGAATTTAGTCTGTTTACATTCAAGGTTATTATTGATATGTGAGGGTTTGTCCCTGTCATATTGTTGACTGTCTTCTGGTTGTTGTATACATTCTTTCTTTCTTTCTTTTTCTCTTATTGTTTATCATTGTGTTTTGGTAAATTTCTACAGTGGCACTACTGGAATCCTTTTGTTTCCTCCTTTATGTGATTGTCTTACCAGTGAGATTTATGCTTCCATATGTTTTCATGATGGTAAATATCCACCTTTTGCTTACAAGTTTAAGACTCTAAAACATTTCTTGTAGGGCTGACATAGTGGTGAAAAATTCTGTCATCATCTGCTTGTCTGGAAAAGAACATTATTTCTCCTTCATTTATTAAGGTTAATTTTGCTGGATGTATATACTTGCTTGACAGTTTTGTTTTTGTTTTGTTTTGTTTTTCTTTCAGCACTTTGAATGTATCATTCTATTCTCTTCTGGCTTGTAAGGTTTCTGCTGAGAAATTTGCTGGTAGTTTGTCAGGTTTTTCTTTTCAGGTGATTAGGCACTTTTCACTTGCCATGTTTAGGAATCACTTTTTGTTTTTGAATTTAGACAGTGATTATAAAGTTTTCTGGAGGTGACTTTTTTTTACATTGTATTTGCCTGGGGATCATTGAGCCTTCTGTATTCAAATATTAAATCTCTTTTTAGATTTGAGATGTTTTCATCTATTACTTTATTAAATAGCTTCCCTAATCCCTTTATTTTCTCTTCATCCTTGGGGATACTGATAATTTTTACATTTGGTCACTTTATGATGTACCAAATTTTACAAAGGCTTTGCTCATGTTTTAATTCTCCTTTTTTTATTTATGTCTGACTGGATTATTTCAAAAACCTGTCTTCAAGCTCTGAGAGTCTTACTTCTGCTTAATTTAGTTGATTGTAGAAGCTTTCAAATGTATTTTGTATTTCTTTCAATAAATTCTTCATCCCAATAATTTATATTTGATTTTTTTAAATGATCTATTTGGTAAATTTCTCATTTATATCCTTTTTTTATTTTTGTGTTATTTTTTAGCATTCTCTTCTATTTCCTTAGGTTTCCTTATAAGTATTAATTTTTTTCTATTTGAATAGCTTTAGGGCTATAAGTGGTTTTTGATTACTAGATGAATTGTACTGTTGTGAAGTCTAGAATTTTAGTGTACTCACCACCTGAGTAGTGGACATTGTACCCAATAGGTAGTTTCGCATCCCTTATGGCTCTTCCAACCCTTCCCCCTTCTGAGTCTTTTGTTTGTTTGTTTGTTTGTTTTTGAGACAGGGTCTTGCTCTGTTACCCAGGCTGGAGTGCGGTGGCATGATCTCGGCTCACTGCAACATCCGCCTCCTGGGTTCAAGTGATTCTCATGCCTCAGCCTCCTGAGTAGCTGGGACTACAGATATGCACCGCCATGCCCAGCTAAGTTTTGTATTTTTAGTAGAGACGGAATTTCACCATGCTACCCAGGCTGTTCTCGAAATCCTGACCTCAAGTGGTATGTCCACCTTAGGCTCCAAAAGTGCTGGACTTACAGGTGTAAGCCACCATGGCTTCTTCTGAGTCTTTGATGTTCATTTTACCACTCTGTATGTTTTTGTGGACTGATAGCTTAGCTCCCACTTACAAGTGAGAACATGTGGTATTTGTTTTTAGATATCTGAGTTATTTCACTTAGAATAATATTCTTCAGTTCCATACAAGTTGCTGCAAAAATATTGTTTTATACTTTTTTATGGCTGAGTAGTAGTCCATGGTGTTTGTGTGTGTGTGTGTAGTAGCAGTAGTAGTAGTATTCCATGGTGTGTGTGTGTGTGTGTGTGTGTATGCATATATATATAAAATCACATTTTCTTTTTCCACTTATCAGGTTGATTCCATATATTTACAATTGTGTGTTGTGACGTGACTAACATATGCATGCAGGTGTCTTTTTCATAGAGTGACTTCTTTTCTTTTCAGTAGATACCCAGTAATGTGACTGCCAGATTGAATGGTAGATTTAGTTTTAGTTCTTTGCAAAATGTCCATACCATTTTTTTTTTCCATAGAAGTTGTACTAATTTACATTTCCACCAGAAGCATATAAGCATTCCTTTTTCAACACATCCATGCCAATATCTGTCGTTTTTTGACTTTTTAATTATGGTCATTCTGGCTGGGGTAAGGTGATGCCTTGTTGCAGTTTAAATGAGCATTTACCTGATGACTAGTGATGTTGAACATTTTTTCATATGTTTGTCAGCCGTTTGTATATCTTCTTTGAGAAATATCTATTCATGTTTCTTGCCTACTTTTTAATGAGATTATTATTTTCTATTGAGTTTTTTCAGTTTCTTGTAAATTCTAGATATTAGTCCTATACAGGAGCATAATTTGGAAACATTTTTTCCCATTCTATAGGTCATATGCTCACTCTTATGATTTTTTTGCAGTGCAGAAGCTTTTTAGTTTAAGTCCCATTCATTTATTTTTGTTTTTGTTTCATTTGTTTTTAGGGGCTTACTCATAAATTCCTTGCATACACCAATGCCCAGAAGTTTTTTTTTCTTCTTCTTCTCGTAGAATTTGTATACGTTCAGGTCTTAAATCTAAGTCATTAATCCATCTTGAGTTAGTTTTTGCATATGGTGAGAAATAGGGATCCAGTTTTATTCTTCTATATGTGGCTATCCAGTTTTCCTAGCATCATTTATTAAGTAGGGTGTCCTTTTCCCAATGTGTACTTTTGTATGCTTTGTTAAAGATCAGTTGGTTGTAACTATTGGGCTCTATTTCTGGGTTCTCTATTCTGTTCCGTTGGTCATTGTGTCACCTTTTATACCAGCACCATGCTGTTTTGGTTATTGTAGCCTCATAGTATAATGTGAAGTCAGGTAATATGATGCCTACAGATATTCTTTTTGCTTAGGATTGCTTTGGCTATTTGGGCTCTTTCTTGGTTCCATATAAATGGTAGGATTTTTTTTAATTCTATGTAATATGATGCTGGTGTTTTGATATGAATCGCATTGAATCTGTAGATTGCTTTGAGCAGTAAGGTCACTTTAATGACCATTTTGGTTCTTCTGATCCATAAGCATGGGAATATTTTCATTTCTTTGTATTATCTATTATTTCTTTCAGCAGTCCCACCCCCCAACAGGCCCCCATGTGTGATGTTCCCCGCCCTGTGTCCAAGTGTTCTCATTGTTTGGAATTGAGTTCTTGATTAAATTCTCAGCTTTGTCATTGTTGGTGTATAGCAGTGCTACTGATTTGTGTACCTTGATTTCATAATCTTAAAATCGGTATTTATAATTCTTGATTTGAGATATTATTAATTTATTTTTTTATTGTGATTTCTTGCTGGAGATTTGTTGTTCCTTTGTTTGTGTCATATTTTCTGGCTTTTTCATGTTTCCTGTGTCTTTATGTTGGTATTGTGCGTATGGTGTAACAGTTGCTTCATATAATTCTTTGAAATTGTTTTCACAGGAGAGGATTTTTTCTTTAAGTTGTATATATATTGCTATTTGTGTAGGGTGCTTGGATGTGATTTTGGGTGCCTCAGTAGCACGACCTCTGTATGATTTTTTTCAGCATTACACAGCATCAGTGGTATCTGTGATTTCCTTGGTTATTTAGGGTGCAGTTATTAGTGGAGGCTGTGATGATGTTTCCTGGAGACTAATATGCCAGCACGGTCAGTCTTTGGTTCCAGAGGTAGTAGTCATTGGCTATGTATGCCTGTTTTTTGGCCCCAGACCGACTTACGCTGGCATTGTGTTAGTAGGTCCTAGAGGGTCAATTCTTGGGCCTTCAGGTGGCTGGTTTGGATGTTCATAGAGGGAGTGGTGGGCTGAGTATGTTGGTGGGTTCTCAGGCTTCTGTGCAGTTTGTGTGTTGTGAGTGTTGGCAGTAGTGGTAGTGGAACAACCTACCTGAACCCAGGCAGTCCGTGCTGATGTTGGTGGTTAATGCAACAGTTTGAGCAAGTCATTACCCTGGCAGGCTGGTAGCACATGTGGGTGGCTATCAGCTGTGGTGGTGTCAGTAGGTTGGGTTGGCTTGACTTCAGATCTCAGTAGGAGTGATCGGATGCCAACAGTGGAGAAATGGGCTGGGCAATTCCTAGGCCTCTGATGGCATACTTGAGTCCTGAGCGGATGAAACTGGACCAGCAGACATATCCTGAGGTCCCTTGGCAGTCTGTTCAGGCACCATTTATGATAGGCAGAGATGGTCATCCCCAGGCCGCCTTTGGAATGCTCAGGTATGTGCCGTGGTGGCTATGCTATGGACCTACTACCAGGGAGGGCAGGGCCCCTGTCAGCTGGAGCAGTGTGAGAAAGTAGCTGAGGGAGTGCAGTCTGCTCATTCCTAGGTTTCACAGCAGCCTGTAGCAGGGCACTGGTATTTGTCCAAGGGGTGTGTGGGAATGCCTGTTTCCCCTCTCTTCCTTGACCTAGTCGCTGGCAGTGACAAAAGCCATGTCAGTCTGGCCTTATGGCAGGACATAGACCTCCAGGAGCTAGGCTCTCAGAATGGTGCCAAGCCAAAGCTGCTCCTGGCTCAGATTCCTGTGGGACTCCGCATGAGTTCCCTTTCTGGGGCAATGTCTCTGTGCAATCTCTAGGCAGCTCCTTATGTTAGTCCCAAGGATCATTCAGTGATTTTTAATAGATGATTCTGGATATTTTATTATCTATTTATATTTTAATATGTCACTTTGTATTTGACTAATTTTACTTTGATATTTTTTATTTTAGAGAATATTTATTAATATATCCAGAGATATTAATTTTCTATAGAAAATTACTACCAGATTTAGACACATGTCAGCTTAGCACAGTTTGTAATCCTTTCTTTGTGTTTGAATTTGTCTAAAATGTGGAAGAGCTAATATTTTTAAATGCAGGGCAGATGGTAGGTCACACAATAAGAAACCGAGAATATTAAAGCAGAAGCAATGAAGAAGTTAATTATTGGCCACTTACATCCAACAGTAAGCTTTTATAATCAGATAGTAACAAAAATGTTAAGTATATACAAATGGAAGTTTTGAGATAAATTATAAATTATTAGAAATATTTTAAAAGAAATTATAAGCAGTCGTGTAGAGCAAAGCAATTTGGATATCTAATCAGTAGAGTAAGTAATGGTGGTGCAGAAGGATAGGAATACATGAATGGTCAAGTCTGAGTAATTTAAAATTTTAATTAGCAATATTCCTGGTAGTGACAACATCTAGTTTGCCCTTGGTGATAAAAATCACCTGCTTGCTTTGCCTCACTTTCTCTGATTGTCAATAGGTAATACCAGTTATGCTTTGAAAATTTATAGAAAAAGCATTGTTCATCATCTAAAAAACTTTTATACATATATTGATGACTACAAGCTATGAACAGTTAAAGCTCTAAATTGTATAAATCAAGATTTTCCCCATAGAAAATTGATTAAAATTTAATTTATGCAGGCTTTACTAACATCATGATTGTCCATCTCTTCTTTTCTAATGTGTTTCCTATAAATAAGCATAATATATAACTTAATTATAAATATGTATATATATGCATTGGGCCAATAGGTAAATGAAGTATAGTCATTGGAATATCAATACTGTATTTCTAAATATAAGTTAGCAGATTTTTTTTCAGGTCACAGGGCCCAAAATTTGAGAGTACCTTACTATACCCGCCCAACTAGAGATAACCAGTATTTTCACAGCTATGGTAACTGTTCACTCTTACTTTTACAACCTAGGTATGCATTGGTAAGTATTAATTTTTTTCTCTATTTGTACTTAATAAAAATTGATTTAATCTTTGTGTCATATTTTTTGGTCATGGCTCTTTTCATTTCCATCTTATGTTTTTATAATTCATTCATGTTTTTATATGCATAAAAAGTTTCACGCGCGTCCGTGTGAAGAGACCACCAAACAGGCTGTGTGTGAGCAATAAAGCTTTTTAATCACCTGGGTGCGGGCGGGCTGAGTCCGAAAAGAGAGTCAGCGAAGGGAGATAAGGGTGGGACTGTTTTATAGGATTTGGGTAGATAAAGGAAAATTATGGTCAAAAGGGATTTGTTCTCTGGCGGGCAGGAGTGGGGGTCGCAAGGTGCTCAGTGGGGGAGCTTTTTGAGCCAGGATGAGCCAGGAAAAGGACTTTCACAAGATAATGTCATCACTTAAGACAAGGACCGGCCATTTTCACTTCTTTTATGGTGGAATGTCATCAATTAAGGCAAGGACCGGCCATATTCACTTCTTTTGTGGTGGAATATCATCAGTTAAGGTGGGGCAGGGCATTTTCACTTCTTTTGTGATTCTTCAGTTACTTCAGGCCACCTGGGCGTATACGTGCAAGTCACAGGGGATGCACTGGCTTGGCTTGGGCTCAGAGGCCTGACAAAAAGTAATAAGACTAATTAGCTAATATATCTTATTTCTTTGTAGAATAGCTTTGTAAGCAAAAACTCAAAACAGAAAAAGTAAAACTGTGGTTGCTCTTGGTAGCTGGATGAGGTGGTGCTGGGTTTTCCCTCTACATTAATCTTCCAAACCAGAGTATAGTCTACTTCTACATACTAGCTGGCTTACACAGCCTAAATGTCCTTTTTCTCTTTTTGTTATTCTTTGAGGATGAATGCCATATTCTAGGGCTTATACTGCCAGCTGGCTTCTATAACTCACTGGCAAGAATGAACATCATGTACTGTAAGTCTAGAAATAGACTTTGAAGTCAGTGTCCTCACTCTGGAGGGCAAATATCAAAGCTGATTTGGTTGGCAATCCAGAAATATAAAATTCTACCATGGTTACCACATAGGAGTGAATTCTATTCTATTTGATGTCTATTATCTCCTCATTTGGTCTGGAAGGAAAAGAAGAAGTTCAGCGATAAATATTATTAGTATAAAGTATTTTAAAATTTGTAAAAACTTGAGGTAAAATTTTTTAAAAAAAGGATTTCATATCTTCCCTCTCATTAGTCGCTAGGTATTTACAGTATTGATGAAGTAAGTAAGTGACCTACAAGGTTAAAACAAAGGTTTAAAGTTAATAGTTAAGTAAAAAAGGTTATTTTCTGTCATGAGAAAACCCATACTATTAATATTTCTGGATCAATATTGTAAACATAATAATATGATATAGTTCATGTATTTAAATTTTCAGATAAGTATGAACATTAGGCATGTGTACATAAGGTACATTTATGTTCAGATACAGATACATGTATCTGAATTGAGGAGAGAATATAATTCTAAATTTTCCCTGAATTGTTTTCTGATTTTGCTTTACATCTCTTTATTTCACATTTCAAAAGGAGAAATCCCATTAAATGTAATTCTGGCTTCCACAAGTATGTGGTAAGATTTTTTATTCCTGTTTAGCTTAATGTGTTTAATTAAGTAAAACACGAAAAAAAATCAGCTATCAAAAATGAGGCAAAAACATGCAATTAAAATAACGTTGCTCGGCAATATTTATTTTAAAATATGTTGCCTTGAAAAATATTGTTAAGTTTGAGATCAAAAAACACTTCTAAATCTTGAATTACATCTACTCATGTTTAAACTGTATTTTATATATTTTTATAATGTTTCATTAAGGTATTAGCATTATTTTATTATTTCATTTGTCTCTACCCACATATAGAATACAAATAAAGTTATCAAGGTGTTATTAATTTATCATTTACAAAGGGCTTTCTTATATACATATTTCTCCTTTTATTTCAAACAGCTTACCATTCTCCCTTTACCACTCTTTCTAGTCAACTTTTCTCTTTTCTCCTAAATGACTTACCATTCTCCCATTACCACTCTTTCTAGTCAACTTTACAGTTTGTCTAGGATCAAATGAGATTTTTTTTCATTTGATCCAGGGTGTTCATAAATGATTGAAACCTCCAAGAATGTGGCATATAGCTTTCTCAGCTGCGTCTGCAATGATTGTATGAAAATATCATTCTGTTCTCATTGTTATTGATGTGGTCATTGTTGCCAATCAGGAGAGAATTATTAGATTCATAATGATCCTAATCTTCTGAGCCTTCAAGAGACTTTAAAAATCTTTATTTATTCTCTTCTTATTCACTGTGACATTTCCTCACTGGTTATCATTTTTAAAAAAGTGCAATAAAGTTCTAAGCAGAGTCTTTTCCAAGCCTCTATTTTCTTAAGAAAAAGAAACACATTTCAGCCTAAAACCCAGAAATTTCTGACAAAAACTAATACCCTGGCTTGAGCTTTAACTAGAGGAAATAGCCTCCTTAGAGAAAATTGAAAGTTTAAGCACATTCAGATAGGATTAATAAAAAGTTGCATTAAGTGCTACAGCTAGTTATAATTTTCACATAAAGTACTTTCATTTGATTATCATCTTGATTTCGTATAAAATGAACATATTATCATTGTCACCATATATTAAATGAGTATACAAGGCCCTCAGTTACTGTAGTTTGCACAAAGACAGTGACTGGTGAAAATGAAACTCCAAAGGCATATAAACAGAGCAAAAGACAGAGGGAATATTTGAGATTCTAAGGTTGTCTTCCTACCAATGGAAGAACCATATATTAAAGGAGTCAGGAATCTCATATTGAAATAACAGAAGCCACAGATGTTTTAACTCAATCAAGAAAATGCCGTATGTCTGTTGCAATGGAATATATGGAAATTTACCTTTATATGCACACTTTGCTTCCTTGAAGTAACAATGCTTGTTGGTTGCTACAGCTGTCACAAAAAAGCTTGCCAGAAGATCCAGGAGTTTTCAGAGCTTTAATACTTCTTTTAAGAGAAAAATGTACAATAATAGAGAGGACATAGTGGCTTGTTGGCATAAAAAGTCACAGCACAGTACCATCTATCTTGTGGTCCCTAACGTCAGGAATAGGACACCTCCTTAGGACTAAATCTAAATCTATGGCTCTGGCTTAGAATGATAAAGGAATGATCTAAGAGGTGACAGCCACAAAAGAAAATATCTCTATATTACAGAATTGAAGAATTCCAGATTTATCCACAATAGCTAATAATGTCTGGAAAACTCTTAGGCTAGCAAATGAAGAAGAAAAAAATCAAGCTGGCCACAGATGTCCAGAATATGCACCTTCATTTATTGTGCAGTCACGTAAGAGGAATGATCTCTCCAGAAGGTACAATATGAATGATTAAAGCTCTCTTTAATGCTCCAAACTACTTCCAGAGCTCAGTGGGAACTGTATTCTGTACTTCTGAATAAAAATTGAGTAAATATAAGTGCATAATTTTTTCTTGTTAGACCACATCCTTAAATTTTTTCTATATTTTTTATCAAATAAAGGATCACTATTTTCTTTTTTCTCCCAAATATTATGGATACTATATCTATATAATTTAAGACAACAAGAGTACCCAAGTTTTATTATTGTATAAAATAATTTCACCTACTCTAAATATAGGATGAATTGTCTTTCATCTCTTCAGAGAAAGGTAAAAAAAATTTTCTTTGTTAATTTAAATATATATTTAGCTAAGTGAATTCTATTGACTTTTTCTGTGTTGGCATCAAAGTGAAGAAGAAATTGTTGGGTATGGATGGACCTTAAAGCACATCTTTGAAAGTAAGAGAGTTAATCTCTTTTCTAGCTGATGGAGAACAGAAAAATAAAAAATGGTGCCTCCAGATAATTGGAAGTAATATGGAAGCTGATTATGGAAGGTTTCAGAAAATAGAAAAAGCCAGTGGATATTTGGGATTATAGTCTTATCATGAAACCAAATAATGATATCTGGGAGTGAGGGCAAGAAATTTAAAAAAAAAAGAAAAGAATTTGATTATGAATATAAAAATCTGCTATCCTAGTTATGAAGTTTTTCTCAATTATAGCAAGTTTCTTTACTTGAATATTATTTGCTTGGCAAAGCCATAATTCAGAATAGAAACTCAATAAATAACTTTGGGGAGAAAAAAGGAGGGAAATCAAGAAAGTGAAAGTGAGCGAGACAGAAAAGAAATAAAATAAAACCCCTTAACTGCTGAGCATCCCAAAATTTTTTTGTGTTTTCTTGACCCAGAATTATCCCTGATACCTTTCTGTTATTTCTCCTCACTATATCCTTCCTTGAGTAATACAGAAACAATTTTGCATTCTATCCCCATCTTCCTCCACTTACATATTTCCCTCTTTTTGCAAAACACTGCAAGTTGGAAAATTTAGTGAAGAATAAACTCTTGTCTATGCTTGACCAGTTCTAAGTCAGCAGCCACTGATAGACTTGATGGCATTCCCTCTGCAGGTGGAAAGGTAACAGACAAATTACCAGATCATTTAATCAGATCGTACAATACGTAAAGGCAGTATTTGGTTTGTTGGTTAATGGAAGCACTGAACTAAGAAAAGAGGATATGAACTGATTCTTACAGATACTTTTTTTCCCTGAAATCACCAGATTATAAAACCTAATCAAAAGAGAGCCAACATCTTTTACGTGAGAAAAATTCTAGAACCAAATCTGACTGCATGCATTCCCCAGTGAATGAATCCAGTGAGTGCTGGAACAACTGCTCACCATGCTGGCATCCTTTCCAATAAGTAATTTATTTACCTTGAGGGCTGATTACTAAAATTATTGTTTTATAGTGTCTATTTTTGTTTTCATATTTTAAAAGTATTTTTAAGAAGCTAAAACTTACCTTTCACTCTAAATCTCTTTACACTAAAAGAACAAAACTGGAGGAATCACATTACCTGAATTCAAATTATACTACAGGTGTATAGTAATGAAAACAGCATGGCACTGGCATAAAAACAGACACATAGATCAAGGAAACAGAATAGAGAACGCAGAAACAAATCTATCCACCTACAGTGAACTCATTTTCGACAAAGGTGCCAAGAACTTACAACAGGAAAAAGACAGTCTCTTCAAGAAATGGTGCCAGGAAAACTGGATATCTATAAGGAGAAGAATGAAACTAGAGCCCTATCTCTCACCATAGACAAAAATAAAATCAAAATGGATTAGAGACTTAAATCTACAAAATTAAACTATGAAACTACTACAGGACATTGGCCTGGGCAAAATTTCTTGAGCAATCCCCACAAACACAGGCAACCAAAGCAAAAATAGACAAATGGAATCACATCAAGTTAAAAAGCTTCTGCACAGCAAAGGAAATGATCACCAAAGTGAAATACAACCCACAGAATGGGAGAGAATATTTGCAAGCTACCCATCTGACAAGAGATTAATAACCAGAATATCTGAGGAGGTCCAACAACTCTATAGGAAAAATCTAATAATGCGATCAAAAATGGACAAAATATATGAATAGACATTGCTGAAAAGAATACCTGACAATGGAAAATAGGCATATGAAAAAATACTCAACATCACTAATCATCAGATAAATGCAAATTAAAACTACAATGAGAGGTCAGGTGCAGTGGCTCACACCCGTAATCCCAGCATTTTGGGAGGCCAAGGTGAGCGGATCACCTGAGGTCAGGAGTTCAAGAACAGCCTGGCCAACATGGTGAAACCCCATTTCTACTAAAAATACAAAATTAGCCGAGTGTGGTGTTGGGAGCCTGTAATTCCAGCTACTCGGGAGGCTGAGGCAGGAGAATTGCTTGAACCCAGGAGGCAGAGGTTTCAGTGAGCCAAGATTGTGCCATCGCACTCCAGCCTGGGCAACGAGAGCAAAACTCCACCTCAAAAAAAAAAAAAAAAAAAACCAGTACCTTAGATATATTAAAATGATAAGTTATATTACAACATTTTTAATACTGTATTACCTTTGCATTTCTGATATAATCTTTATCTGTTTAAACTATATTCTTATATTATTCTTTTAGTCTGTGCGATATGGTTTGGCGGTGTCACCATCCAAATCTCATTTTCAATTGTAACTCCCCTAATTCCCACGTGTCCTGGGAGGGAACTGGTGGGAGGTAATTGAATCATGAGGGCAAGTCTTTTCCATGCTGTGCTCATGATAGTGAATAAGTCTCATGAGATCCGATGGTTTTATAAAGGGGAGTTTCCCTGCACAGTCTCTTGCCTGCTGCCATGTAAGACATGACTTAGCTCCTCATTTGCCTTCTGCCATAATTGTGAGGCCTCTTCAGCCATGTGGAACTGTAAGTCAGTTAAACCTCTTTCCTTTATAAATTACTCAGTCTTGGATATGTCTTTATTAGCAGCATGAGAATAGACTAATATAGAAAATTGGTACCAGTAGAGCGGGGTGCTGCTGTAAAGATACCTGAAAATGTGGAAGCAATTGGGTAACAGGCAAGTTTAGAACAGTTTGGAGGGCTCAGAAGAAGACAGGAAGATGTGAGAAAGTTTGGAACTTCCTAGAGACTTGTTGAATGGCTTTGACCAAAATGCTGATAGTGATATGGACAATAAGGTCCAGGCTGAGGTAATATCAGATGGAGGTGAAGAACTTGTTGGGAACTGGAGTAAACATCACTCTTGCTATGCAAAGAGATTGGTGGCATTTTGCCCCTGCCCTAGAGATCTGTGGAACTTTGAATTTGAAAGAGATGATTTAGGATATCTGAAGAAAGGAATTTCTAAGTGGTGAAGCATTCAAGAGGAAGCAGATCATAACAGTTTGAAACATTTGCAGCCTGATGATGCAATAGAAAAGAAAAATCTATTTTCTCAGTAGAAATTTAAGCCTCTGCTGACATTTGCATAAGTAACAAGGAATGGAATATTAATCACCAGGACAATCGGGAAAATGTCTCCTGGGCATGTCAGAGACCTTGGAGGCAGGCCCTCCCACCACAGACCTGGAGCCCTAGGAGGAAAAAATTGTTTCATGGGCCAAGCCCAGGCCCAGGGCCTCCTTGCTGTGTGCAGCTTAGGGACTTGGTGCCCTGTGTCCCAGCCACTCCAGTCATGGCAAAAGGGGCCGAGGTACAGCTCAGGCTGTGGCTTCAGAAGGTACAAGCCCCAAGCCTTGGCAGCTTCCACATGGTGTTGAGACTGTAGGTGCACAGAAGTCAAGAATTGAGGTTTGGAAACCTCTGCTTAGATTTCAGAAAATGTATGGAAACACCTGTATCTTCAAGAAGTTTGCTGCAGAAGCAGAACGCTCATGGAGGACCTCTGCTAGGACAGTGTAGAAGGGAAATGTGGGATTGGAGCCCCTAAACAGAGTCCCCACTGGGGCACTGTCTAGTGAGCCATCATCTTCTAAGCCCCAGAATAATAGATCCACTGACAGCTTGCACCGTGTACCTGGAAAAGCCACAGACACTCAATGCCAGCCTATGAAAGCAGCCAGGAGGGGTTCTGTACCCTGCAAAGCCACAGGGGCACAGCTTCCCAAAGCTGTGAGAGCCCATGTCTTGCATCAGTGTGACCTGGATGTGAGACATGGAGTCAAAAGAGATCATTTTGGAACTTTAAAGTTTAATGACTGCCCTATTGGACTTCAGACTTGCATGGGGACTTTAGCCCTTTTGTTTTGGACAATTTCTCTCGTTTGGAACAGGTGTATTTACCCAATGCCTGTATGCTCATTGTATCTAAGAAGTAACTAACTTGCTTTTTATTTTATAGGCTCATAGGCAGAAGGGAATTGCCTTGTCTCAGATGAGACTTTGAACTGTGGGCTTTTGAGTTAATGCTGAAATGAGTTAAGACTTCAGGGACTGTTGGGAAGGGCATGATTGGTTTTGAAACGTGAGGACATGAGATTTGGGAGGGACTGGGGTTGTGGAATCATGTGGTTTGGCTGTGTTGCCAACTAAATCTCATCTTGAATTGTAGTTCCCATAATTTTCACATGTCGGGGAGGGACCCCCTAGGAGGTAACTGAATCATGGCGGCTGCTATTTCCCATGCTATTCTTGTAATAGTGAATAAGTCCATGAGATCTGATGGTTTTATAGAGGAGTTCTGCTATGCAGGCTCTCTTGCCTGCTGCCATGTAAGACATGGCTTTGCTCCTCATTCGCCTTCTGCCATGACTGTGAGGCTTCCCCAGCTGTATGAAACTGTGAGTCAATTAAACCTCTTCCCTGTATAAATTACCTAGTCTTGGGTATGTCTTTATTAGCAGCATGAGGACAGAATAATACACTGCTTCTAGAAGTTGTTTTATAATATTTAATGTTTTTGCCTTAATAGTTACAAGAATACTAATTTTTATTTTTATAAAAACCACATCATGTTTTGTATTGATTTTATACTCACGTAATAGAAAGAATTAGGATTTTTTTGTAATACTCTGAACAAATTTAAAAACCATTGGAATTATGTGGTCCTGAATGCTAGCAAAATTTCTCCATAAAATTCTCCAGGTCATTTGCTTCAGTTAAGGTAAAGGAATTGTTCTAGAACATTCTTTCTTTGACATTAGTTTGCATGTTCTATTTCATCTGGTGTCAGTTTTGATAAATGTTTCTAAATGACTACAGCTTTTAATGAGGATTTCAAATTTATTAGAATAGAGATGATTAAGAAAGGTCTTAATTAAGTTATTATTTTAATTTACTAGCCTATGTTTAATTTTTTTACTATCCTGGAACCATTTTCCTATTTTTTGTCTTTTCAACGTGTAGCTTCTAGTCTTCTACTTCAGAAAAGTTGCACTTAATCTATTATTAAGCTTTGCTTTATTTGACCATTATGTTTTTCTCTGAGGAGATCAAGTATGCCTGTATTGGATGTTGTGTTTGCTGTAGTGTGCTGTCTCCAAAGAAAGTTGATGGTTGATATCTCTTAGAAGTCAGTCCTCTCTGGAACTTGCATCATCTGGAAAGAGTTCCTTTATCCAAGGTTCATACCCCCATCCAAATGTAGCCCACCTTTAATTATAAGTGAAAGCACATGCATAAAGATCTGGTAACTGACTCAATATTGTTGATAACTATGAGTGGCCATCCTAGCTTCAGAGTGCTATACTAGTTCATCTGAAGCATTCTTATGATTGCACCACAAGACAAATGCTCCCTTTGCTCAATTCCATTTCTTTTTCTTCTCTTTATGAATAGATATCCTGAAAGCACTCTCTAATAAATGTCCTACCTTCTAATCTTCATGAAAGGCCCCACTTGTTAGTGTCTGAATAAGCAGACACTAAATTGGATTAAAGTGATGGATTAGTTATCAATTGCTCTATAACAAATTACTCCAAAAGTTGGCGGCTTATACCATATTTATTATATCACACATTTTCTGAACATCAGGAATCCAGAAGCATTTTAGCTGTGTGGTTTTGGATTAGGGTCCCTCATAACATTGCTGTCAAGCTGTTGGGCAGGACAATTGAGTCTGACAGGTCCATTCCCAAGTTTCCTCATTTGGTTGTCAGCAGGCCTTATTCCTTATTATCATGAAGAACCCTCGGTTCCTTTCCACATGGGTCTCTCCACAGAACTGTCTCATGAAACAGGATCTGGCTTACCCCAGAGCATGATCCAAGAAGAGAGAGACAGCAAGAACATGAGACAGAGTAACGTAGTCTCAGAAGTGACATAATTACTGTTTCTGCCTTATGCTTAGAAAGTAATCTTGGTACAGTATAGGAGGGGACTATGCAAAGGTGTACATAAGAGGATGCAGGGATTATTTGGGGTCATCTTAGAGGCTAGTTACAACAATTACTCACCCCAAGACTGGTAGATTAGTTCTATGTTGTTGCACAACAGCTTACTCCAGAATTCAGGGACTTAAAACAACATTTATTATTTCACAGTCTCTGTGGGTCAAGAATTTGGGCAACAGCTTAGGCTTACAAGGCTGTACTCCTCTTGAAGCTCAGCTGAAAAAGATTTGCTTTCTAGCTCACTCAGATGGTTGTTGGCAAGATTTAGTTGCTCGTGGCTGTTGGACTAAGGTTTCAGCTCCTCATAAGGTGTTGGCTGGAATCCTTCCTCACTTCTATGCCATGTGGGCCTCTTCATAAAATATCTCATGACAAGCAGCTGGCATGAGAGCAAACATGAGAGAAGGCAAGAGAGACTGCAAACAAGAAAACAGTCTTCTGTAACTGAATCATGAAAGTCATATCCATCATCTTACCGTATTTTGTTAGAATCAATTCAATAGGTTTACCTCACACACAGAGGGAGGGTATTATACAATTATATGCATACTAAAAGATGAGGATATTTGAGAGCCACATTACAACTGGCAATGTGTACCCCATGAGAGTTTGTGGGTAAAGTTAGCTGCAGGCACAACGTGGCTGTGCAATTTTTAAAAACTCACTGCTGGTGAACTAGAAGGTATATATGTAGAAAAAAATACAAGCCACCTATAAATTAGGCATTGAAGAAATATGGAGGATATACATATAGTAATATTAGGGATAATAAAGATTATTGGTTATTGCTGGAGACAACTGATGCTTGCAGAGAGACAATGTAGAAATGAAAACAATTAACCATCAATTAAATGGTAAAATGGGAGCCAGTGGACCTGCTTGGCATCATCCAAATCACATTTCTTGCAGCTAGAGGGAAAAAACAACAACAAAAACAAGCAGGAACAGGCCCATGACTTAATCACATCAGTACACCAGTAACGGAGCTCTAAAGATGGTGAAATTCCCAACGTACACAAGTTTGTTAAGCCAAGTTCGGCACCTTCATTAGGAAATAATTAAAATCTAAAAGGGGCATCTGGGTTGAATGATAGTCAAGGACAACTATTTAAGCAAGTTGTTACATTCATTTGAAACCCAGAATGTAATTGACCGGATTTCTGAGGGGCATCTCCTACACAGTAGCAATCCCATTGCCTGCCATTCCAACATGTCTGTAACACTATCAGTATCAAGTTGTCTTTTCCAATGCATTGTCCCTGGGTGGTGTCCCATCTTCAATAATCCCTAGTCAGCAAGCACCAAATTTAATACTAAAAGCTTAGAAGTGATCGGCATGTCACCAGCTGAGAATGAGATGATATTCTCAAGAAGAAAAATAGGCCAAAAATTCAAGAAGGAGGGAAATGGAGTTATATCAAAGGCATACTATGTCAATCTTCTTCCCAATTTTGCCGACATTACTGACAACTGAAAGCTGAGCAGTGTCTAACAGCAAGTTTAGAAACCTGTCCAAATGTTACTATTGCCAAAAAACTGCATTTTTCTGGGTCTCAGTGACCTTGTCTATAAATAATGATAATGTTATTTTCACAATGCACATTCTACAAAACTTCAGAAAACCATTTGTTTAGTATAAACGTTATGATCTTAGTATTAGAGCAAGGAAAGCTGTTGTTCAAATATTCACTCACAGAAAATGGGGATATATGTCAGAGGAAAAGTTCAATATCCAAGACAAGTTTTGGAAAATGTTAAAACAAAGGTGAGCAAAGGTTACAGAAAACTGAAAATAGGAATACTCAGAAGACCACCAGTGTTAACCCTTGCCACCTGCCCACTTGGAAGATGCTTTCACATTTTAGAAACTTATTTGTGCCACTTTTATATTTTGCTATAGTTGAAGAAAGACATGTGTAGAAATGTAAGTTCCAAATAGTTACTAGCTGCCATCTCCTAGAAGCAGGCCCTGAAGCGATTCTCCGGCCCTACTGCTTGAGCTGGGCAATTGGGTCCCCATGACATTCATTTGTTTACTGTTGCCAGGTCAGAAAGCCCTAACTTCACCAGAGAGCCTTGCCCCCAGGACTATCCCCAAGTTTTGTGGCCCAGGCATCCACAAAGTTCCACCTGAGGTCACTCTGCTCTTGCTGGTCCTCCCTATCTCATTGGATTGCACAGTTATCCTCTAACTCTGTTTCCCATTCTTGGCTATATACTGTTAACTATGTCCTGAAAAGTAAATCTAGTTGAAAAAATGCATCTCAACTTTTTCTTTGTATAGTGGTGGTTAAAAAACTATAAAATTGGAGAAAAAATGACAATACCTATAGTAGAGGAATATGAATCATCACAAAGTTGTATTAACGATTCTAATCAAAGCCATCCATTTTAATAAATATATTGTAATTATGTTCATCTGGTCTTGTTCCTCCAAAAAGCTCAAAGCATTTTACAAGTATTGAATTTCTATCTATATATTGAAAAAGAAACCTCAAGGATAAATCGTTGGAGAATGAAAAATTACATACTTTTTAAAGACACCTTGTTATTTGGACTATTTCATTTTTATGCCCTCTCTGGAAGGTACAATATGGAGGATCTTTTTTTCCATCATCTTAATGTCAGTATTCATCTGGAAGTGAGGAAACCATTTTTGGATAACTCCCTCTTTGAAAATGTGTGTGTGTGTGTGTGTGTGATTTTGTTACTTGGCTAGAGTTGCCATATCAACGGACCACAAATTGTGGGTTCAAACAACAGAAATCTATTGTCTAACAGCTAGAAGCCCAAAATCAACGTGTCAGCAGTGTGGGTATTGTCTGAAAGCTGTGTGGGAAGGATCTATCCCAGGTCTCTATCCTTGATATGTAGACAGCTGTCTTCTCCCTGAGTCTCTTCACATCATCTTCCACATGTGTCTGTATTTGTGTTCAAATTTACCCTCTTTATAAAGACACAAGTCATATAGGATTAGGAGCCCTCGTACTCCAATATGACCTCATCATAACTTAATGACATCTAAAAGTACCCTGTTTCCAAATAAAGTCACATTCTGAGTTACTAGGCGTTAGGATTTCAACATATGGATTTTTTTTCTTTTTCTTTTTCTTTTTCTTTTTTTTTTTCCTGAGATAGAGTCTTGCTCTGTCACCCAGGCTGGAGTACAATGGCACAATCTTGGCTAACTGCAAACTCCACCTCCCAAGTTCAAGTGATTCTCCTGCTTCAGCCTCCCGAGTAGCTGGGATTACAGGCGCCCGCCACCATGCCCAGCTAATTTTTGTATTTTTAGTAGAGACAGGGTTTCACCAGGTTGGTCAGGATGGTCTCAAACTCCTGACCTCAGGTGATCCATCCGCCTCAGCCTCCCAAAGTGCTGGGATTACAGACATGAGCCACCAGAAGCCTGGCCTAACATTTGGATTTTAAAGGAGATAAAATTCAATCTTTAACACTGAGATAAAGACTTGATACAATTTTAAAAACAGTCATTAACGCAAAGGAAAAATGGTAGATTAAAACATACAATGTAAAGGAATAAAGTTCTAACTCTACTATTTGCCATGTCTAGCCTCACAACCTTAGAAAAGTCCTAGAAGCAAGAGTAGTTTTATAGACATAGTTGTATGTAACTTTTTGTGAACTCTGGGCTATAAAACACATCAATCATGGGGCAGTTAATCAAACTGCAGGATTCAATAAGGCACTCATGAAATGCTTTTCAACTCTGGCTCTTGTATGAGGTAATTTAGTTTTTGAAAATTATCTTTTCACATAAACTAGACAAAACAATATCACTTTCTTACAGTGAGATAGACTTATGATTGTGATACAGAAAGATATTCCACATTGGCAAATAGAACTTCTGACTCTAATGGCTAAAAGACCTAATGAATAGTTATAGATTGTTTCTAAAAAACACAGGAAAAATTATAAATTCCTTTCATCTTCTTTTTTTTAAAAATTTCATTAGCCATTTGCTTGAACCAATTGATGAAAAGCCTACAGTTTGACCCACGTTTCCCGCTGACTTAATTAAACCAACTAATTATTTGAATGTCCAGAAATCAGGCAAACCCTAATACGTATAGATTTTTTAAAGGTAAAGCCTGCTTAGAAATCCTATGTAATGAAGAAATCCGTCCCCTTACCTGTACACCTGCTCCATGTAAATTATATAAAGAATAAAGTCAGGGATTAACTAATAGATCTATGAGTTATGAGTGTGTAATAGATGAATTAAAGTGTTGGTTTTCAATGTAGATGATAGCCTGAGAATGTTGATAACGCTTTGTGTTAAAAGGGCTAGTAAATTAAATATTATTGTGATAGAAAAGTATTAGAGAATTCAATTCAGTCTTCTATCAATTTTAATTAACATAGGGCTCTTTTTCCCTGCCACCTATTTAATTTCTTAAAACTTATCCTCACACTTTAATATATCATAAGGCATAAACTGCTATTGGCCTTCCTCACTTCTCGTTACACATGTTTTTTAATTTTAAGTTACTTCATTAAACATATTTTCTAGAATGTGATCTCTAACTTAATGGTAAAATGAGGTCAAACCTCCTTGCTCATTTTTATGTAGGCTCAAACAAACTGTCAATTAAAGTAAATGCTTCCCAAACTACATTCCATAAACACCTAGGGTATTAATGAGCCTATAACCTCTGTTGTTTTCCTTTCCCTTGACACTATAATTAAGAAGGATTCTACCACATTAAGAGTTATAGCTCCCATATTTAAAGAGACTATCTTAGGCTTTACAGATTTTTCTTTAATCTTTAAAATATACCTATCTGGCTCTTTAAAGCAACAACAACTTAAATGTTAGATGTCTTTAAATAAACAAGCAAATAATAAGAGAAATAGTTGGTTCACATAAATGAAAAGTCCAGAGGAAGGTATGATTTCAGACAAGCTCAGGCTTTCAAGTATAATTCCTATGTTTCCCTCCCTTCTATACATTTGCCTGTGTGGCTTCCCTTAACACACTGGTTCTACTCAGCTTAACAAACATCATTCTGGCCTTCCTAGACTTCATGTCTAGGCAACTCATCTTTATCCACAGAATCTGAGAAACTAGCAAACATCTCTCTACAACTTCCAATAAAAGGAAGAGAAACATCTTTCCCGATGCCACAGACATTATCTCTTCAGGTCTCGTTGGCTCAGATACAATCGTGTGCCTTCTAGAGGTCATCTTATTCAAATAGCATATCTTAGTATAGAGGAAAGGCTCTCAAAGAAAATCTGATAGCATCAGAAGGAGGAAATGGATGCTGGGTAAGCAAACAATAAATGCCTTCCAGAAGTAGGTATCATCATCTCCAGTTAGTGGATGAAAAAACAAGATGTAGAGAGATTAAGCTATGCTTCTATCAAGATACTGTTACTAGTAGGTGAAAATATACTAAAATAATAGGTTGTCAGCACCAGAAAAGATCTTCAACCACAAAACCATGTTCTACCAAAGAAGTTTAGAAAGTTTAAACCTTACCTCGTCAGCTGGTATAATCTTAAATCAACTTCAGTATGCCTATTTTTATTTCAAAAAAGTCTACATATAAGACAAACAATTTACTTACATATTTTTATACCCACTGTACAATTAATTATTGACTATCATACATTGCAAATAGTAGCCAAAATAAAGTATTTATTCCCCGGATTACACAAAAACAACACAACAATCATCATCAGACATCATGAGCAAGACACCAGCTTCTGGTTGTATTCAATATACATAAAATGTGCCATTAATTATCAAGATTTCAATTCGATAATACAGTAGTGGAGTTCTACAAAGGTTCTCTACTGAAATGTAGATGGATACATGAAAATAATGCAAATATGCTAAGAAAATATGTACTTTATACATTTCCCACCTTGCATCATCTGCTCCCTCCTTAAGTCATCCAGCTCCAAGAGATTCTATTAAAAGCTTCTACTGTAAGCACCATTTTTAATCTCTTCAAAACTTAAAAATACTAAATGCCACATTGCCGCTGGAAACCTCCTGAAATTCCAATGCACTGAGAAAGAAGTCTGTTAGAAGTGCAAATGAGAAGTTTGCTTTGTGGAAAACATTCAAACTGTTTAAGAAACAGGAAAGTGAAAGTTTACTTTTGTTAAAGTATCAATTAATCACAACCCTTCTCCCCTTGGTGTTCTGAAGCAATTGAGAAGTTGACACAGAGCCACATAGGAAGAAAAATAGCTACCTAATTAATGGTAACCAGATTGCAGACTGCAGTTGAAAACCCCAGGACTTCCCGGGGTTGATGAGACTTCCTGTGTCCTATCTCCTTCCTTAACAATTGAAAACCTAGAACTATAGACTGGGGTCAACTAGACTTGCCCAACCAGTTGAAGACAGAGAAGCTTGAAGTTTCCCACCCAGGAGAAGCAAGTGCTAACTCATTTGCTTAAAACATGGAAGAAACCACCAAGAGGAACCTCTCATTTCTTTTATCAACACATATCAGGAAACACAAGTAAAAGAGAAAAGAATAAATGAGTAGTGACTTTCACCCGGAGCCCATGAATCAACAAGGGAGAAAAGCAAAACTTTTCCTTTAATATGTTTTCTTCCTGGGAAGTAGAGAAAAATATTCTTCCCTCTTTGAAAACTAAAACCCGTGTCCTCCAAAATTGGTACTTGTTGTATGCAGATCAGTAAGATTTTTTTTTTCTTTTTGAAAAAGGCTTCCTATGTAGCTCTTCTTTTCTGGAGTGTGATGGCTAAGAGACTAGCTGTAAAGTTAAACTTCTCAGGTCTCTGTTCTGTTTCAGGCACTGATCAGCTGTGTCACATTGAGCAAGTAACTTATGTGATCCTTAGTTTTCTCATATGAAAAATGTGCATAATCATCATATCTACCTCAGAGGGTGGCTAAAGCTTTAAATGAGATCATCCATGTAAGGCAGGACATAGGACAGTACCTCTGCCTTCCTCATTTCATCAAAGGAAAATTACACTGGACACTTTTTAGAAATGGCAAGAAAGGGCCTGGCGCAGTGGCTCACTCCTGTAATCCCAGCACTTTGGGAGGCTGAAGCAAGTGGATCATGAGAGCTTACAGAGTAAGCTCTACAGAACTATTACCTGTTTTTTATTACTATTTCTACTTCTATGGGCTCTGTCCAAGAAAATCAAGTCATGACATTAGTCAGAAGATACTGTTATTCAAAGAGGTTATTGCAGGAGGGGGAAAGAGACTATTGCAATAGCAAGAAATGTATGATCCATGTCTGCAAGTATCTCCAAATCAAAGAGAAAAAAAATTATTTTGGAAGGTAAAAGAGGGGAGGAGAAATAGCAGAATATTTGAAGGGGAAGCTGAGCAAGCAAGAGGGAATGGCCAATGTGGTTTGACAAGAAAAAGGTCTCACTGTGTGGTTGGGTGATTCCCAGGAGAAGCTGATGAGAGGGCACATTCTACTTTTTTGTGCTTGGTTCAGGCTTGGAAGAAGTGTAGTTCAGGGGCCTGTAGGAAAGAGAAGCCTGTTGAAAGTTCAGTCAGGACAAAACATAGGGTAAGAAATGAGCAGCTGTGAACACTTGGTCATCTCTAAGTCATCCAGTTCCAAGTTATTCTCTTCTATCTTCACATCCTCAGACCCTGTTGTTCTTCAGTTTGAGTATCTCCTTGTACTGCAGAGGCTTTGTGTTCAATTCTGGGAGTGTAGTGCTGGGTCCTAATTATACACTGCTTCCCTCCATGACTGTAGCAGGTGTGCTGAAAACATTCTCCACTGGGTTTTCCACTGGAGCAGAAGGAACACCACCTACATATGCTATGAAAGTCATTGTTTTACCACTCCAGTGAAACCATTTCTGTACTTGTTGGAAACTGGTGAATTTCCCTAAAGTGTTTCTATTTCAATTTTTGCTTTGTGAGAAATAAAGGAAGTAAGCCTGTTCTACCCCAATTGAGCATTGCACCCAGGATCTTCTCAATTTTCTCCAAGTAGTTCCCTAGTATTACATCTTTACTTCTAATTTGGGATCCTCCTGCATATTTCATAGAAAGGGGAGAAAAAATAGCTTAGTGGAATACACATGTGCACAGCACAGCTCCCTCTTCTCCATATGCTAATGCTGGAATCTCTTACCTTAGCCAGAAACATCAGTGGTTTTATGAGAGACTGAATATACAAATAGACAATGGCCAGACTATAAATGACAGCATAACTCTGACCCAAAACCTTTGCAGCAACCAGTCCAGAAAGCCAAACCAACTTCTATAGCAACAGACCCAAAATTAAAGATTTGGTCAATGACTGTCTGCTTCCCTAAGTTTTGCCCCCACTCCCAATTCAGAATAAACCAGAGAAAGCCAAGTATGCTATCCAACCAATGACATAGAACGCTT
This sequence comes from Homo sapiens, assembly GCF_000001405.40. NCBI lineage: Eukaryota > Metazoa > Chordata > Mammalia > Primates > Hominidae > Homo > Homo sapiens. The sequence continues at coordinate 12,458,947 of NC_000009.12, forward strand.
CATTTCTAGTTAGCCTGCCTCTGGCTTCCTCATTTCATCAAAGAAAAATTGCACTGGACACTTTTTAGAAATGGCAAGAAAGGGCCTGGTGCATTGGCTCACTCCTGTAGTCTGGGTACTTTGGGAGGCCAAGGCAGGTGGATCACTAGGTCAAGAGATGGAGACCATCCTGCCCAACATGGTGAAACTCCGTCTCTACTAAAAATACAAAAAATGGCCAGGCGCAATGGCTCACACCTGTAATCCCAGCACTTTGGGAGGCTGAGGCAGGTAGATCATGAGGTCAGGAGTTTGAGACCATCCTGGCCAACATGATGAAACCTTATCTCTACTGAAATACAAAAAAAAAAAAAAAAAAATCAGCTGGGCATGGTTGTGGATGCCTGTATTACCAGCTACTCGGGAGGCTGAGGGAGGGGAATTGCTTGAACCCGGGAGGCGGAGGTTGCAGTGAGCCGAGAGTGAGTCGAGATCGCACCACTGCACTCCAGCCTGGGCGACAGAGTGAGACTCCGTCTCAAAAACAAAACAAACAAACAAAAAAAATTAGCTGGGCGTGGTGGCGTGTGCCTGTAGTCCCAGCTTCTGGGGAGACTGAGGCAGGAGAATCACTTGAACTCGGAAGGAGGAGGTTGCAGTGAGCGGAGGTTGAGCCACGGCACTCCAGCCTGGCGACAGAGCTAGATTCTGTCAAAAAAAAAAAAAAAAAAAAAAAGTAAAAGAAAAGAAAAAATGGCAAAAAAGACTTTATTCAAGACTATGCAATAGGGGTAAAAACAATTGCAATTTAAAAAGGAAATTAAATTGAACTCTGTTGAAACAAAGGCAAGAATATTTTTTAACACTGGGACTAACAAATGGAAAAATATTGGAGGACTTTAGAGGAGAGGAAGATCAATATTATTAGGCTATCTGTATTTGCTAACAGTCCTTATCAAAGTTGAGCTCCTGCCCTCCCACAGAGATTGGGAGACAGGGGCTCTACCTTTCCTGATTACATTTCATACAGATGGGTCACAGGTCCTTGAGAAAGATTTTCCTGAGTTGTATAAATTTACATCTGAAAGGGGCAGAAAAAGAATTTACAATTTCAATTTTTCTAAAGTAAACACTCTAAGAAAAGGGCGGTCAGGGGCTTATAGTTGGGAAAAGCTTCTAAAGTTTAATCAAGCTGAGGGAGACACTGGACTAGATTGGTCAATGCCAACAACCTCCAATAAAAACATACCTGAAGCTCCTCCCTTTGCCTTTTCTATGATAAAGCTTTCCTATTTCCCTGCCTACCTTTCTGTCTCTGCAAAACACAAGCATTAGTGTTGCAGGGCTTTTCCTTAGTTCAGCTGAAGATGAGGTCCTTGTCACATGACCACAAAAATTTAGGCTTGCAGACAATTTGAAGGGTTAGTAAGTCAGGGTTTTATTGGGTGAAAGGGGGAAAAAAAAGGGAAACAGGGACCCTCCATGAAGCCAGAGTCCCTGCCGATGCACTTCCTGCATTGCAGTTTGAATCCCAGGTTCCACACAGGAAGAAGAGGGGCAAGGCTCCTCCCTGCTGCAAATGGCTTGAACTTCTATGGCTCCACCCTAGTGCGCATTTATCCCAGTGCACAGGCTGGTTGGAGTTTTTCTGGGGACCCCTTCCCACCTGGCTGTCTCAATAGCGCCTGGCTCCCTTGCTTTAGCAAGCTCCGCATAAAGAGTTCCTGCTTATTTTCATTTGAGTTGTCTTCTTTCATTACCAAACTTGAAAATATAAAAATTTTCTGTAATGGAGATCTCGATCTTTAGACATTTTCAACCATTTTACATATAGTGTACCTTATTCTATGTTGTGCTGCTGAAACAGAATACCGAAGACCGGGTAATTTATACAAAACAGATTTATTTCCTATAGTTCTGGAGGTTGGGAAGTCCAAGATTGAGAAGCTGCACCTGGTGAGTAGCTTACTGCTGTTCCATCTCATGGCAGAAGAGAAAAGAGAGGGAAAGAGCAAGCAAGCGACCAAGCTCTTAGTATCATGCCTTTATAAACAGCATTAATCCGTCCGTGAGCGCGGAGCCCTTGTGACCTAAACTTCTCGCATTATGCCCTATCTTCCAGCATACCGGGGATTAACTTTGTAATGCATGCTTTTTGGAGAACACACTCAAACTACAGCATAGTGATTACTGTAATTAAAACAAAAACAGAAGCAGGTCTAAGGAAAATGATATTTCTCCATGTTTCAAATTAATAAAGAAGGCATTCTACAGTATTATAAATTTAGGAATATTAGTTCTATATATTTTTATTGGATAACTTTTTACCCATGTCTGCATCTTTGCGCACAAAAAATATACATATCCTGCAAAACACTAGTAAATTATATCATACATTATAAGTTTATAAATGCAAAATGATAGGGAGAAGGGTAGAAAGAATCCAGAGTGTGGCATAGGTGGAGTGGGTTGTTTTAAATAAGTAGATCTCAGAGTGGATTTCACTAAGAAGGTGAAATCTGAGCGAAGTGTTAAAGAAAATTAATCATGTGGCTACCCGGGGTGTGAAAGAAACTAGAACCTTGAGACCTCAAACTCACTATGCCAAAGGGAAAGTTAAACTTGGGAACTGAGTTGTACAAACACTGCCTTCCTTTTGTCCCAAACAGACAGCTGTAATTTCACAACCCTATGTTGTGCCTTATATATAAGCCTGGTTCCTCTAATCATTGGAATTCACATATCTCCCCAAACGGACTCCTTCACAAATGGCTTACAAGGAAATTTTTTGAGGGCCCCCAAATCTTTCAGAACATACATATTTTCCTATAAACTTGTCCTAAAACAGAATCCTGTTCAATCTCACCCTGAAAATGTCAATTACCAGCTTATCGTCATAGGTACCCGACAAGGACAAGACTAGAAATCATCCTTCCACCACTCCAAGACAAATTCAAGATTGACTTTTCCCTCTACTCCCTCTTTTCACATGTAAAATGTAGATTCACTGAGTGTTAATCAAAGCCTCACAAGAATGTAACCACTTGCCTCATTGTCCACCCTTCTTCCTTTCTTCCCCCTCTTTCCCCTCCTGCTTGCTCTTTTCCTTTTAAGTATTAGAGTTCTCAAAACAGTCTTTGCAAAAAGCACAGATGCACCTGTGATTTGTGTTTTTCCCAGTTGCATCCTCAACCTTGGCAAAGTAGACCTAAATTGATTGAGATTTGCCTTAGTCACTTTTTGTTTTACAGGGGGAATATTATTCCAGTCTTTGAGTGTGCTTGATGTGTTTGGAAAATAACAAGGAGGCCAGCATGATTGAAAGGGTGATTTGAAATGGATTGGTGGGAGTGGAAGGATAACAGGGGATGAGGTCAGAGAGACAATGGAGAGAGGAGGTTTCAGATGGCATAGGGCCATAAGGTCTATAAAGACAATGGAATCACATTAGCTTTTACTCTGAAGGAAATGAAGAGCCATTGGAGGACTTTGAGCAAAATAATCATTCAAATAATTTCATGTGATAAGAGAAAAGAACCTTGCAGTAAAGTCAGCACACCTGGCCTCTCTCCAATGCTGATCTTTCACAAACTTGAAAGAAGTTCAATTGCAATTTCAAGTTTTCTAAAGTAAACACTAAGAAAAGAGTGGTCAGGGCCTTATAACATTTAGGGGCTAAATGTTACAGGTAATGATAGAAAATATATATATTTTTTTCAGTTTCCAAATGGTTATTCTATCAGATTGTTTGAACATTAAATTTATCCTGTTTGCAATCCAAAATAGTTACCAGAAATTTGCTGTTTTGTGTGTATGCGTGTGTTTACTTTTATTGTTTTTCTAAACTCTTTGGCATGATTTTCGGGGGGTGTTCAGACTGCCACAATACTAGTTAGGAGAGGACATTTTCTTTGTGCTGCCAATTTTGATCATTTAAATTTTGGTTTGTTTGGGTTGTGACTTTTTTGTTTTTGAAGTCACCAGACACTACTACTGCAGTTTTCTTTCTCTCTTTTTTTCCTCTCTCTTCTTTCTTTCTTTCTCTTTCTTTTTTCTTTCTTTCCTTCTTCCATCCTTCCTTTCCTTCTTCCATCCTTCCTTTCCCTCCTTCTTCCATCCTTCCTTTCCCTCTTTCCCTTCCTCCTTCTTTCCTTCCTCCCTCCCTCCTTCCTTCCTTCCCTCCCTCTCTCCTTCCTTCCTTCCCTCCCTCCCTCCTTCCTTCTTTCTTTCCCTCTCTCCCTCCTTCTCTCCTTTCCTCCCTCCCTCCTTCCTTCCTTTCTCCCTCCCTCCCTCTTCCCTCTCTCCCTCTCTTCTTCCTTCCTTCTTTCCTTTCTCCCTCCCTCTCTCCCTCTCTCCCTCTCTTCTTCCTTCCTTCTTTCCTTTCTCCCTCCCTCTCTCCCTCTCTCCCTCTCTTCTTCCTTCCTTCTTTCCTTCCTTCTTTCCTTTCTCCCTCCCTCTCTCCCTCTCTCCCTCCCAGTAAGAATTGTGTTAGGTAATCTTGTATTATCCCTTATCACTCACAAAACCTCTGCTCTCTAGAAAATCTTATTGAATTGGAGAAGTTCCAGTTCCTCAAGTGGGTGGGAGATTGACCACTGTAGAAACCTAATGTTATGGCAGTTGAAAAAATGATCCAAAAGCCCTCTCATCTCTGATACATTTCCCTAATCTTGATACATTTTTTAACAAGTGTTGTTTTTATTCTTTTAATTTTAAGCTTAATTCTGCTCAAAGTTTCTATGATTCAGAAAAGAGCTGCCAAGATACTGTTCCAAAGAAAATACGTTTTTGTAGCTTGTGTGGGAATACTTCCAAAAGGTAAAGTAGATTCCTCTGGAAAAGACAGTATCAAAATTCTCCAGATGCCTGGAGCTCTAAGCCCATTATTGCATTCCACGTGCTGCTAGTAGCATAACAAAGTCAATCAGTACCCTTTGGTCAATAATCCTCCCAACTATTAACAGGAAAAAACTGTGAGCTTGTAAATGAAATATCTTGAGCTAGATAAGGTGCTCATTATCATGAGAGGAGCAATTTGCATGTTAGCATGGGGGAAATATGATAGGGTTTTAAAAACCCTCTTCACTCTCACAGTCAACTAGATTGTAAAGGACGTAATCATTGCCTCTTTTCTGTAAATTGCATTTAATAATTTTGCATTTTCCCCACAACTTTCCACTAAAAGGCAGAGATAACGAATAAAGGATTTTAAAAAGTAAGCAAAGGTTTCTTTCAAGTTTAATTTTCATCAGTTTTCTATTATATACAATGCAGAGGTAGATGTTTCTTGCTTGCTGGGAGTGGTGGGGAAGCTCCTATTTAAACATAATGAAATCTCAGAGGTGGTAGATAAACTATAATTCCCAGAAAAATAAGAGACTACTGTAAAGGCTCAAGGCCAGCAAAAAAAGGTTGTGTTAAAGCCACTGAGTATAGAACAGATCTTTCATAACATGCCATCCCTCATCAAGGTAAAAAGTTGCTTATCAATTTAAAGAGATGGAGTGGAGAGACAGGGAGAGAGAGAAAGCAGCAATGGCTGCTGCTCCTATAATAAGGTGACTAATTGTATGCTATTATCTGTTTGATGGTTTAAGCAGAATAAAGTGACACTGATCTGGAAATGTGAGAATGAAGCAGAACAAGAGAGTGTTTGTAAGAGGAATAATTTCAGGCACCCATGAGGCTTCACGTAAAACTCATTTGCACATAGACAGGGCTCTCTTGTGGATGATGGATAAATGTAATTCCTAGTTACCAGTGTGTCTTTTTTTCTTTTCTCTTTATTTTTTTTTCACCGACAAGGCATTGAAGACAGAAGAATGGAATACGGACAAAAATGGCTTCAAAAATTAGAATAATTTCTAAACTAATTTAAATTTCTAAATGATTAGACAGTGACTGTGTGGACTGTTCCCTCAGGTCACTAACACAGATATTCTTAATAGTCATTCCTGCAATATTCAATAGACGTCAACAATATTGTCCAATCAAGCTAAAAAAAAATGTGAAAATGGGCTGTGAGTTTTACTCAATACTTGAAAGCTTTCAATTAAGTTTTACATAAGAGAAAACATACATGAACTTTAATCTTTTAAGCAAATTCTTACTGAAAAGGAGAAAGGGGGACAATTTTAAAACAAGAAAGATCAAAGCCAATTCAAGATGTACGAGCGCCATCTGGTGTCCATAATAAAAATGCTATCAGTTTTTAGCAGTCAAACTCCCCTTTTGTGGGCTTTGTAGTGCAAAAGGGTTATGGTACAAAGAGTAATTCTTGAAATGGGATTTACTCTATGTCTAATACCCAGATGTTACTATTTACTATTTGTTTTTAGAGTAAACTAACCTAAGGAAGTGAAGTTGGTTGAAGCAGTGGGTTTGCTGTTAACACATATGTTCAAACATTTCAGCAAAAATAATTCATGTTTCAACTAGAGAATTCACATAATTGCTGCAGTTCTCCACTCTAATTTACTTAAGCAAACCTTCCTTGATACAGGAAAAGTGTTTCTATACTTTCAGAAGCAATGCCTGTGTAAAAATATTGGAGAAGCAGATGGGTAGCATATTTTTAAGGAAGAAACTTAGAGGCTTATAATGTTAATGCACTAAGATAAAATTAGCAATATATTAAAAAAAAGAAACCTAAGTAGTGGTACTTAAGTGTCTTGGAAATTTATGCACATATCTATCAATAGAACTTGAAAAATACACTGTCCTCCATCCTGTTCTGCGACTGATTTTTACTATACCTATATATTAAATGTAATAACTCATCCTGTTCTCTTAACATTCTTGGTATCATTCGAGCTACAGAGGTTTCTGACAGTTTCAAGGACCAGCAGAATATTTCACAAATGAGGTACTTGCTACTCAACAACAGTCAGCCCTCTGATATCAAGAAATCTTTAGGCTTACCCTATGTGGTTTAGTTGTATTAATGAGTCCTAAATAACATTGTGTTTCTTTCTTTGAATAAGTGCATTCAACAAAATTTTAACCATGCTTCTTTCTTACTGAAGCTAAGTAACATGCAGCAAAAACACAGTCATAAAGAAAGTGAAAAAATAATTTATATATCCTTTATCTTATAGAATAAGAAATCTGAAGAAGATAATGTTTCTTTTGTTCTAAAAAACTTCTGGACTTTTATTAAGAGACAAAAACCACTTCAATAGTGTAAAAATTGAGTCTTCAGAATGGTGTACCTTTTAACATCTGGTCACAGATAACTTTTGAAATTATTGCTGCAAAATAAAATGATTTCACAAGATTACAGCTAGAGGTTGGCACTTAATTTTCAAGCAATGTTGAGAAATTTTATGTGCCTTTCACTTGCAGCCCCAAGTAATTATCCCTACCAGAAAAGAACTGGACCAAGAGGCACTAGGGGTGCTGGCCAAGCATGTCTTTCTTGTGTCCCAAGAGAGAACTGTTGGATGTGGCAGAGGAGATGACTGGCTTCTGGGACTGTGATGTCTTAGCACCTGGCAACTTGCTCTCACCCTAGGGCTATAGCTGGCTTGGCACAGCAAGGAGTAGGAGAGGGCTTTAATATGATACAGGCATTCAGAAAGGCTCAGGAGAGATGACACTATTCGTACTAAATCATGAGGTTCAAAAATTGTTCATAAGGAACTTAAGTTTTGACTTCGAGCAAGATCAGTTATTCGGTAGCTATTTTTTCCCTGTAATTTAAGAATAATTATGTCAGATACATTACACTAAATGTCTACTATGTTTAAAGAATTTGCTCAGGAATGATAACATTTGTTGCTTGCATAAAATTAAAACCCATATGATTCAAGGTTAATTCTCTTGTACTAATAAACATAAAAGTACAAGAAATGTCTTCTTAAGAGTACATACATTTGTAAAAACATAAAATGTAAATTTGGCTTTGAAACATGCATTTACTGCTTAATAAAAATTTCATGTACAAACTTTTTCTTTACATTTCTTCCCAAACATCAAGAATTCTGTGCCATAATACAGAAGATGGCTAGGAGGCAGGCAGTGGAAACATCAATGTTACAGTCACATCACAATTTTTGTTTCATTTTCTACAAGATCTCTGCTTGAATATAGGTTAATTTTCACAAACATAAAAGTATATGTTTTATGCCTTAAAAAGTATTTTTTTTGTCTTTCGGCCAGTGCCGAGTGGAATGACTGGTTTGGGAAAGGAGGAGGGACTGGGTTCAGCTGTGGTGCTTTGTTGTAAAAGGCAGCCTGGCCTTTGCTACTGAGGAGAAAGATGAAGCCTCGGTCTCAAGTCCAAGTCCACCTTTGCTGTACCTTTGCCACATGGTACTGTATGCTTGCTGGCTAGAAGGAGGGTGAGGGATTTTTAGAGTCTGAGAATGAGTGTGTTTGAGTGAGTGGTATCCGCATTCTCAACTTCAAGTCATTGAAGCTTTTTTTTCCCAGAAAACAGGGGATAGATGTTTCATTTCCTAAAACTAACTGAAGTTTGCTTTACTGATGCAGCACAACAGATGTAAACAAACAAACAAAAAAAAAACAGAAGAAAACAAAAAGAGGAAAGATGCTTTTTAGGTTTTTGTTTGTTTGTTTGTTTTTGTTACTCTAGGGAAAACACTGATGAAAGGTCAGAGCTCCTATCCTGATCTTTTCATCAAGGCGCCTTTCCTAATAATATGGTTCAACTGTGAATGTAGAAGTTGGGGGGAGGGGGGAGAAAAAAACCTCTGGAGTTAGAGGATATAGAAAAATAAAAGTAAAATTGTTACAAATAAAGAATGCAGACTTCAAAAACTCAGTGTTGAATAGCAAAATGAACAGAAGTAGGTTCAATTCTGGATCTCTCAGTTACTGTTTTGCCTTGTACATCTTGTTTAAAGTCTGTGAGCTTTAGTTTCCTTATCCATCATCGGACATAATGTCATTTACTTCATAGATCTAGTGCCAATTTAACAAAGTTAATGTTTGTAAAATGTTTAGAGCATAGGTAACATAAATGTAGGTCACATTTATCTAACTTGTGTCATGTGAACCTCAATTACAGAACATGACAACATTAATATTTTCATTTTATGCATAAAATTTGAAGTATTACAAATATTTACTACGACTAGTGAATTATTGGTTGTTATTCTTGCTATATGACAATACAACTTTAACTGGTAAACTAAAATATCTACTATTCTTTGTTAGCACCTTAAAAATCTTACTATTCATTATGTACAATAAAACTTTCTCAAGGGATTATTATAACTATTATTCTTATAATTTAAAGCTTTATTTATGCTATATAATAATTTCATCCAGGTTCTCATTAATTCATGTGCTATTGCTTCCCCTATAAAAGCATCTAAAATTAGTCACTTTTGGAATTAATGTCAGAGAGTAAAAAAAACGCTAGGAAGAGGCCGGGCATGGTAGCTCCCGCCTGTAATCCCAGCACTTTGGGAAGCTGAGGCAGGAGGATCACTTGAGGTCAGGAGTTCAAGACCAGCCTGGCCAATATGGTGAGACCCCGTGTCTACTAAAAATACAAAAATTATCTGGATGTGGTGGCGGGCTCCTGTAATCCCAGCTACTCAGGAGGTTGAGGCAGGAGAATTACTTGAACCCGGGAGGCAGAGGTTGCAGTGAGCAGGGATTGTGCCACTGTGCTCCAGCCTGGGTGACAGAATGAGACACCATCTCAAAAACAAAAACAAAAACAAACAAACAAACAAAAAACACAAAGAAGAATGCCAAGCTACCACCAAGTCAAAATGTTAGCTTAGGAGATAGTACTCCTAAATGTTACAGATAATGATAGAAAATATATGTTTTTTTCAGTTTCCAAATGGTTGTTTTGTCAGATTATTTGAACATTAAATTTATCCTGTTTGCAATCCAAAATAGTTACCAGAAATTTGCTGTTTTGTGTGTATGTGTGTGTTTACTTTTATTGTATATTTGTTTTTCTAAACTCTGGCATGATTTTCGGGGGGTGTTCAGACTGCCACAGTACAAATTAGGAGAGGACATTTTCTTTGTGCTGCTAATTCTGATAATTTAAATTTTGGTTTGTTTGGGTTGTGACTTTTTTGTTTCAAATATGGCTCACCTTATGAGTATGGACCATGAGTTACATCTGGGTTACATATCACCAAAGAGACAGGAGAAACAGACATCAGATATTTTCTTTAAGAAGCGTGTAACTCTAGAGATACACACACAAGGATAACATATACTTTAGTGTGATGGTGTGTGGTGATGGCTATCAATGTTTTAAGGGAGTAACAGGTAATCAGTTGAAGGCAAAGAAAGTTGCTTAGAACAGGGAAATAAGCATACTGTGCACTCAACATTCCCCAAGCATCTGCTGTGTGCCAGAAACTGCCCAGTCATTGTGTTTACAAAGAGAAACATACACAATTCTGATCTCAGTCTCATGGGAGAGAAATATAAGGAATATGAAATTATACTGCACAGTAATTAGGATTTACATAAAGTTTAATGTAAGGTTTTGTAAAAGCATCAAAGGGACAATTAATGTAGCCTTTTAGGGTAGGGGTTGGGGGGTGGGGATATTACATTAACAAATAATCCTCCAAAAGGAAATACCTGAAAAATGTTGAAGGTCAAGTAAAAATTATGCCGATAAAAAGAATGGGGATGTTAAAGCACCGCAGACAGAACAAACAGCATGTGGAAAGCTTCAGCTGTGAGCAAGTAGTAGCTACTTAAGACAACTGGTCAGTAGGTGTGTTAAGAGTGGCAAGTGATAAAACAAGAGACAGAAGCCAGGGTAAGTCAGGAAGGACATTTTATATTTAAAACAATTGGGAGGCATGGAATGTTTTAAGCCAGAGACTGATGGATCAATGTGACTACAATATAGGAACAGATTAGAGGGTCTTGACAAGGGAGGCAAAGAAAAGAGATACTGATTTCTGAAATTAGTTAAGAAAATGGTGAATGTTTGAATGATGGATTAAGACAAATACATGTTCAATATATATGACAAGCGGTGACATAAAATGTTCCATTAGTGACAACTAAGTGACAGAAATATGTATTTAACTGTTTTATTATGTTTGTGTTTGAAATTTTTAAATAAAATATATAAAATCACTTTAAATGAATTGGTAATATACTGTTCCTTATATTGTGATAAAAGGTGATTATTGATAATGCAAAGATATTAAAAGATGCTCTGCATGAGACTAATTCAATGATTTCTAAAATCAATTACAATGATACATTTCTACATTAGGAACTTTTCATAGTTCTATGAAAAAGAGTCACATATGCTCTTTAAATAGTTTTTTAATGATATAATTAACAAAAAACATGTTTGAAGAAAAGTTAAATATTCATAACTCAAAAATAAGGAAGATTTTCTTTTTATAAGTGGAATCTACTAAAATTTTCTCTAACAAAAGAGGGACAAGAAAAATACATAAATAAGTTACATATAAGAACTACGTACAAAGTGGAAAAAGTGAAATAGCATTGGTCCTTACCCTGGGAGCACTCAAAAGCTTTCTTCGGTACATAGGACGTGGGACAAATCTTTAAGGAAGGGTTTTAGCGTGATGATAGAAGATGTATGGGTCTTGGCATATTCACTGAAAATAAATAAATTAGACAGGGCCCAGTGGTTCATGCCTATAACCCCAGCAGTTTGGGAGGCTGAGACAGGAGGATTGCTTGAGTCCAGGAATTCAAGTCCAGTCTGGGCAACATAGCAAGACTCTGTCTTTACAAAAAATTAAAAATAGCCAGGTGTGGTGGTGCATGCCTGTAGTTCCAGCTACTTGGGAGACTAAAGTGGGAGGATTGCTTGAGCCCAGGAGATCAAGGCTGTAATGAGCCATGATTGTACCACTGCACTCAGCCGGGGCAATAAGTGAGATCCTGTCTCAAAATATAAATTAATAAAAATCAATCAAAATCAATCAATAAAAACAAATAAAATTTTAAAAATAAAAATGAAAAATTTAAAGTTATTATATTCTTTCTAACCAGTGAAATTAACTAAAGTTTCCTAGTCTCCATGTAAGAATAAATTTTCTTTATTTCATACTACTAGAAATTAAAAGATTACTAGAAATCCAAAAGAATAATTCTTAATAGTGTAAACATTATGTTAAGAATGACTCAAAGATGATCACATATGTTGCAACTTTATAGCATTATGCTAAATATTCTAGCTAATGCAATGATATATGAAGAAAAAGAAAAATACACATACCAGAGAAGATAAATACCAGATTAACATACAAAATAAATATCTTTCTATACAACAGTATAACCCATTTAAAAAGAATGGAACATTACAATTGCAATTGAAGCCTTAAAATAATATAAGAATTAACTAAAACAAATAAGGATATTTAATAAGGAGATATCCAGTTGAGAAAAGTAGAGATATATAACATTCTAGATTAGAAGACTCAATATTTTTAAATGATGATTCTCACAAAGGTAATGAAAATAAAAAACTTGTAAGATGATTTGTGCATCTTGGCCTTCAGATTCCAAGGTTCTAGAAGGAACAAATTAGGGGAAAAAAGTATAATGTAATTTTTTTTTTAGATGGAGTCTCACTCTGTCGCCAGGCTGGAGCGCATTGGCGCTTTTTTGGCTCGCTGCAACCTCTGCCTCCTGGGTTCAAGCGATTCTCCTGCCTCAGCCTCCTGAGTAGCTGAGACTACAGGCACGCGCCACCACACCCGGCTAATTTTTGTATTTTTAGTAGTGATGGGGTTTCACCATGTAGGCCAAGATGCTCTCCATCTCTTGAGCTCGTGATCCGCCCATCTCGACGTCCAAAAAAAAAGCATAATTTTTAAAGCGAAGAACAGTGAGGGTAGATATATTCTACCAGAGATATAATTTAAAGTCAAGAAAATTAAAAAGAGTTTAAATTTAAAAGAGTATATGAGAGTTTAGTATATAATAAAGTCACATTTAAAATAAAAATAGAATAGGTTTTTCAATTTATAACACAAAAATAATTTGTGATCTGTATAGATGTAAGAATTGTAAAATTAAGTTAGAGGTTCACTTTGCAACGTGCACAGAAATAAATTCTGCATGGTTTGAAACCTATATATCAATTAAAAAACAAAGTTAGGAGGAAATATAAAATAATTATATTGTAATTTTATTAGAAGGACAGTATTTCCCAAGCCATATATATCCAAGAAGCCATAGAGAAAAAAAGACCCACAAATGTGACCATAGAAATAAATGAAAATCTTCCCTGCCAAAGCTGTGAGTTATAAGACTTCTGATATATTAAACAGTAAAGAATTGTGTTATGATTGGTGGAACTATTTATGAATGCTATAATATTTAATGGATAAATATATAAACTATATTAAAAGGTCCAACTACTCAATAATTTAAAAAAATTAAAAGAACCTAATAGAAATGAATCATGGAAGTACTATTACTAAAAGTAATGACTAATACTAATCATAGAAATACAAATTTAGACAGAAAAAAATGTTTTTGAGCATGGGAAAAATAATTATTGAAAATATCCAATATTAGGCAGTGATGTGAAATATATATTCTTGTTGACTGTTGTTAAGAGCATATATTGGTATAGCAGTTTGTAAGATGATTTGGGATTAGCTATATCAATATGTCAAAAATGCAAACTCTTTTACCCTATTCCACTTCTAAGGATTTTTCACGAGCAAAAATGCTATTTCAAAATGGCTGTATTTTCAGATTGTAGCTACACTATTCTGTGATCTCTTTTGTACAATAGTCAAATACGAGAGAGAATTAGGAAACGAAAGTTAAATTTGTGTGTGTGTGTTCCAGGTCAGTGCTTTCAAATATGTGAGCCATGTATGTCATTTTAAATATTCCGATGACTACACTTTAAAAGGCAAACATAAATGCAAAAATAATTTTAATAATATATTTGATTTAGCCCCATATATCTAAAATATTATCATTTCAATTTTGGATCAATGTAGATATTGTTAGCTATATATTTGCACTCTTTTTCCTTACTATGTCTTCAAAATCTGGTTTGTATATTATAAAACACAGCACATCTCAGTTAGGACTAGCCATACTTCAAGTGCTCAATAATCACATGTGGCTAACGGTTACCATACTGGAGAGTGTACTTCTACATTGCAGTGTGTCAGACATAATTTTCACCATTATATCTCTGAGATCAGTGATCTGCACTTAAGCTTATGGATCATACCTATGACATAGGTATGATCTGTTACTGTCACCAAAGCTAATATTAGACATTGGAATCTAACCATCCACTGTGCTCACATTACTGTACATTTTGTACAAAGACCTGAGTGACACCAACGTTACCAACTTGCTTTTGTTAACAAAAAACAGGATCAAATAGTAGAAAAGGAATTGATGTTTTTAATCAATAATATCGGTTGAATGAATGGGCTTTAACAATTGTAGTCCAATTGTGCAATAAAAAGCTGTGTGGTCTTGATCAAATCATTTTGAATCTGTCTATCTCAGAGTTTACAGCTTTAAAACACCTACCTAACAGGGCAGTAAAGCTGTTGTGTGAAATCAATATCATTGCTTTCCAGATTTCGTTATTTACGCTATCTTTTTCCAAAATGAATTAATTAGTTAACTACTTGTAGACATATATAGAATTCAAATGATAAAAGCAGATGCCATTTTAAAACTGAAGAAATTTGGCAATACAAAGTTAAGATACAGAAATAAAATTACAGCAGGGCTAGAATCAGAACTTAATATGCTACCATAAGATTCTATGTAAAAATTTTGCCCCAAAATTAGTTACATTATTTTTCAGACAGAGCAATTAAAAAAAAAAAACAATATCTGATTTGAGTTACAAAGTTGTTGATATGGTTTGGCTCTGTGTCCCCACCCAAATCTCATCTTGTACCTCCCATAATTCCCACGTGTTGTGGGAGGGACCAGGTGGGAGATGATTGAATCATGGGAGTGGGTCTTTCCCATGGGGTTCTTGTGATAGTGAATGGCTCTCACAAGATTTGATGGTTTTAAAAAACAGGAGTTTCTCTGCACGAGCTCTTTTTTTTTTTTTTTGCTTGCCGCCATTCATATAAGATGTGACTTGTGCCTGCTTGCCTTCCACCATGATTGTGAGGCCTCTCCAGGCATGTGGAAATGTAAGTCAAATTAAACCTCTGTCTTTTGTAAATTGCCCAGTCTCGGGTATGTCTTTATCAACAGCATGAAAACATACTAATACAGTAAATTGGTACATGGGTAGGGTGTTGCTGAAAAGACACCCGAAAATGTGAAAGTGACTTTGAAACCGGGTAACACGCAGAGGTTGAAACAGTTTGGAGGGCTCAAAGAAGATAGGAAAATGTGGGAAAGTTTGGAACTTCCTAGAGACTTGTTGAATGGCTTTGACAAAAATGCTGATAGCGATATGAACAATAAGGTCAAGGCTGAGGTGGTTTCAGATGGAGATGAGGAACTTGTTGGGAACTGGAGCAAAGGTGACTCTTGTTATGTTTTAGCAAAGAGACTGGTGGCATTTTGCCCCTGCCCTAGAGATTTGTGGAACTTTGAACTTGAGAGAGATGATTTAGGGTATGTGGAGAAGGAAATTTTTAATTAACAACATATTCAAGAGGTGCCATGGGTGCTGTTAAAGGCATTCAGTTTTATAAGGAAAGCAGAGCATAAAAGTTCAGAAAATTTGCAGCCTGACGATGCGATAGAAAAGAAAATCCCATTTTCTGAAGAGAAATTCAAGCCGGCTGCAGAAATTTGCATTAGTAACAAGAAGCTGAACGTTAATCACTAAGACCATGGGGAAAATGTCTCCAAGGCATGTCAGAGTTTTCCATGGCAGTCCCTCCCATCACAGGCCTATAAGCCTAGGAGAAAAAAGTGGTTCCATGGGTCAGGCCCAGGGTTCCTGTGCTGTGTGCATCCCAGCTGCTCCAGCTGTGGCCGAAAGGGACCAAATAAAGCTTGGGCTGTGGCTTCAGGGGGTGCAAGCCTCAAGCCTTGGCAGCTTTCACATGGTGTTGGGCCTGCAAGTGCACAGAAGTCAAAAATTGAGGTTGGGGAGTCTCTGCATGGATTTCAGAAGATGTATGAAAACACCTGGATGCCCAGGTAGAAGTTTGCCGCATGGGCAGGACTCTCACAGAGGACCTCTGCTAGGGCAATGCAGAAGAGAAATGTGGGGTTGGAGCCCGCATACAGAGTCCCTACGGGGGCAATGCCTAGTGGAGGTGTGAGAAGAGGTTACTGTCCTCCAGACCCCACAATGGTGGATCCACTGACAGCTTGCACTGTGCCCCTGGAAAAGCCTCAGACACTCAACATCAGCCCATGAAGGCAGCCAGGAGGGAGGCTGTATCCTGCAAAGCCACAGGGACGGAGCTGCCCAAGTCCATGAAAACCCACCTCTTTCATCAGAATGACCTGGATGTGAGACATGGAGTTAAAGGAGATCATTTTGGAGCTTTAAGATTTGACTGCCCTGCTGGATTTCAGACTTGCACAGGGCCTATAACCCCTTCGTTTTGGCCAATTTCTCCCATTTGGAATGGCTGTATTTACCCAGTGCCTGTATGCCCATTATATCTAGGAAGTAACTAACTTGCTTTTGATTTTACAGGCTCATAGGCAGAAGAGACTTGCCTTGTCTCAGATCAGACTTGGACTGTGGACTTTTGAGTTAATACTGAAATGAGTTGGGACTTTGGGAGACTGTTGGGAAGGCATGATTGGTTTTGAAATGTAAAGATATGAGATTTGGGAGGGGCCGGGGATGGAAAGACATGGTTTGGCTCTGTGTCCCCACCCTGTTCCCATAATTCCCACGTGTTGTGGGAGGGACCCTGTGGGAGATGATTGAATCATGGGGGTGGGTCTTTCCCTTGCAGTTCTCATGACAGTGAATGGTTCTCACAAGATCTGATGGTTTTAAAATCAGAGTTTCTCTGCACAATTTCACTCTCTTTGCCTGCTGCCATCCACATAAGATGTGACTTGCTCCTTCTTGCCTTCCACCATGATTGTGAGGCCTCCCCAGCCACGTGGAACTGTAAGTCCATTAAACCTCTTTCTTTTGTAAATTGCCCACTCTTGGACATGTCTTTATCAGCAGCATGAAAACAGAGTAATACAACTGTATCTGTTGGTATTGGGTATATTGGCTCAAATCAGACTGCCTGAGAATGAATTCAGGGTGATACAGTTTGGCTCTGTGTTCCCACCCAAATCTTATTTCAAATTGTAATCCCCAGCTCTTTAGGGAGGGAACTGGTGGGAGGTGATTAGATTATGTGGGCAGTTTCCCCCATGCTATTCTCGTCATACTGAGTGAATTCTCATGAGATCTGATAGTTTAAACGTGTGGCACTAACCCTTTGCTCGCTCACTCTCTCTCTCTCTCTCTCTCTCCTGCCACCATGTAAGAGGTGTCTTACTTCCCCTTCACCATCTGTCATGATTTTAAGTTTCCTGAGGCCTCCTCAGCCATGTGTAATTATGAGTGAATTAAATTTCTTCTCTTTATAAATGACCCAGTCTCAGGTAGTTCTTACAGCAGTGTGAAAATGGATGAATACACTGGACACACCAATTTCTAGGTTTGTGACATTGGCCTTGTTTGCATCTTAGTTTATTAATAAATAAATAAGAGGTATAATAATAGTATCTTCTCTACAGGGTTTCGAGAGAATTAAATAACATGTCATGTAAGATTCTTGGAGGAATGCCTGCCACATAGTATGTTATAAACATTTGTTTATAACAATTTTATTTTTCTTTTTCTATGAAATTAAAAATGCAGACATAATGCAGGCTTGGCACTCAGCAAAATGCCTGACATAATAGTAATTTAATAAATATGTTAGTTAACATATGTATGTACCTTTAAAAATCTGAATCAAAGCTATGTTCTGCATATTCTTTTTTTTTTTTTTTGTAAATTTTTTTTTTTTATTATACTTTAAGTTTTAGGGTACATGTGCACATTGTGCAGGTTAGTTACATATGTATACATGTGCCATGCTGGTGTGCTGCACCCACTAACTCGTCATCTAGCATTAGGTATATCTCCCGATGCTGTCCCTCCCCCCTCCCCCCACCCCACAACAGTCCCCAGAGTGTGATATTCCCCTTCCTGTGTCCATGTGATCTCATTGTTCAATTCCCACCTATGAGTGAGAATATGCGGTGTTTGGTTTTTTGTTCTTGCGATAGTTTACTGAGAATGATGATTTCCAATTTCATCCATGTCCCTACAAAGGACATGAACTCATCATTTTTTATGGCTGCATAGTATTCCATGGTGTATATGTGCCACATTTTCTTAATCCAGTCTATCATTGTTGGACATTTGGGTTGGTTCCAAGTCTTTGCTATTGTGAATAGTGCCGCAATAAACATACGTGTGCATGTGTCTTTATAGCAGCATGATTTATAGTCCTTTGGGTATATACCCAGTAATGGGATGGCTGGGTCAAATGGTATTTCTAGTTCTAGATCCCTGAGGAATCGCCACACTGACTTCCACAATGGTTGAACTAGTTTACAGTCCCACCAACAGTGTAAAAGTGTTCCTATTTCTCCACATCCTCTCCAGCACCTGTTGTTTCCTGACTTTTTAATGACTGCCATTCTAACTGGTGTGAGATGGTATCTCATTGTGGTTTTGATTTGCATTTCTCTGATGGCCAGTGATGATGAGCATTTTTTCATGTGTTTTTTGGCTGCATCAATGTCTTCTTTTGAGAAGTGTCTGTTCATGTCCTTCACCCACTTTTTGATGGGGTTGTTTGTTTTTTTCTTGTAAATTTGTTTGAGTTCATTGTAGATTCTGGATATTAGCCCTTTGTCAGATGAGTAGGTTGCAAGAATTTTCTCCCATTTTGTGGGTTGCCTGTTCACTCTGATGGTAGTTTCTTTTGCCGTGCAGAAGCTCTTTAGTTTAATTAGATCCCATTTGTCAATTTTGTCTTTTGTTGCCATTGCTTTTGGTGTTTTAGACATGAAGTCCTTGCCCATGCCTATGTCCTGAATGGTAATGCCTAGGTTTTCTTCTAGGGTTTTTATGGTTTTAGGTCTAACATTTAAGTCTTTAATCCATCTTGAATTGATTTTTGTATAAGGTGTAAGGAAGGGATCCAGTTTCAGCTTTCTACATATGGCTAGCCAGTTTTCCCAGCACCATTTATTAAATAGGGAATCCTTTCCCCATTTCTTGTTTTTGTCAGGTTTGTCAAAGATCAGATAGTTGTAGATATGCGGCGTTATTTCTGAGGGCTCTGTTCTGTTCCATTGATCTGTATCTCTGTTTTGGTACCAGTACCATGCTGTTTTGGTTACTGTAGCCTTGTAGTATAGTTTGAAGTCAGGTAGCGTGATGCCTCCAGCTTTGTTCTTTTGGCCTAGGATTGCCTTGGCGATGCGGGCTCTTTTTTGGTTCTATATGAACTTTAAAGTAGTTTTTTCCAATTCTGTGAAGAAAGTCATTGGTAGCTTTATGGGGATGGCATTGAATCTATAAATTACCTTGGGCAGTATGGCCATTTTCACGATATTGATTCTTCCTACCCATGAGCATGGAATGTTCTTCCATTTGTTTCTATCCTCTTTTATTTCCTTGAGCAGTGGTTTGTAGTTCTCCTTGAAGAGGTCCTTCACATCCCTTGTGAGTTGGATTCCTAGGTATTTTATTCTCTTTGAAGCAATTGTGAATGGGAGTTCACTCATGATTTGGCTCTCTGTTTTTCTGTTATTGGTGTATAAGAATGCTTGTGATTTTTGTACATTGATTTTGTATCCTGAGACTTTGCTGAAGTTGCTTATCAGCTTAAGGAGATTTATGTTCTGCATATTCTAATAAATGCTAGAAAATCTTTGGCAGAGAAAAGGAAGTAAAAGAAGCCTCTCTCACTAAAAGAGTCAAGTAATCTTTTCCTACAAGGTCTGAACTGCTATCTCTGTTGATTCTGCTGATGTTGCAACCATTATCCCTTTGTAAGCCAGGATATAAAGAAAAATCTCACTGAGTAGTACCTAATGGGGGCTCTATAATGCAATACAGGGATGGTATTAACAATTTGAACAAATCGTATCCTTTCAGTAAGTGAATATTGTACAACAGAGCCATATTGTCATGGGTAATTATCATTCTTGAAGTCTCTCTCTTTTTTATGCTGCATATAATTCTATCATACAACATTCTCCTACCCTACAATGTAACTATCAACTAACTCAGCTGTACTATCAACTTAGACACTCAGTAAAGAGCTGTTTATTGAACTGAATTTGCATATACAGACTGTCAAATTCCATTATGACGTAAAACCTAAAGAAAAATGGAAACATTTACACCAAAATTATTAGCAAAATTAACTTTTCTGTCCCATTAAAAAGATAAACAGTTCCTGTATGAAAATTTGGTATATATTTATGAACAATTCAAACCCTAATGAACTTGGACTCTCAAGTTTATATTTGAATCTTGCATGTCACATATAAATGTTTGCACATAAAAGTATGTGGTTTAAAAAATAAATTTTTGCCGGGCGCAGTGGCTCACACCTGTAATCCCAGCACTTTGGGAGGCTGAGGCGGGTGGATCACGAGGTCAGGAGATCGAGACCATCCTGGCTAACACGGTGAAACCCCATCTCTACTAAAAATACAAAAAATTAGCCGGCCGTGGTGGTGGGTGCCCGTAGTCTCAGCTACTCGGGAGGCTGAGGCAGGAGAATGGTGTGAACCCAGGAGGCGGAGCTTGCAGAGAGCTGAGGTCAGTGACTGCATTCCAGCCTGGGTGACAGAGCAAGACTCCGTCTCAAAAAATAAAATAAAATAAAATAAAATAAAATAAAATAAAAATAAAAATACATTATAATAATAATAAATAAGAAATAAATTTTCTTTCTTATTCCAACCCCCATTTGTAAGTAGAACTTGTACAATAGATCTTTGATAGAATTATGTGCTTCTCTTATTTTCCCAGCTCATTAAAAATCTTCATCTTTAATAATTCCCCTAAAGGCTTTGCAGGGTTTCTCGTAATTTGCAGACACATATTGCTGTGTTTAAAACTTTTATACCCTCTCATACAATAAGGAGTAACTGCTCTTCTTATGAAAAGGGAGAATGAGGCTGATCGATTTGCTTTCTCAGTAGTATTGAGACAATTCCTCATCAGATTAATAGCTCTATGTTTCCCCCAAATTCCTTGCTTTTAAGGGATAATGAAAGAGAAATACCACCTAATATCTTCTACCCCTTTTTCAATTTCAAGCTTGAATTGCGTATTCCCAAACTTTAAAGGATTATTTTTCCTTTTAAAATCTTTTAAAATCAATTCTTATCATATTTGCTACTTACTAATTTGTTTTTAAATTTAAAATCACCATTACATTTCAGTTTTTACTTCAAAATTCAAAACGTAACTCTTTCGCATTACACCTACTCTGTAAAATTGAGGTGAAGGATTCACTTAATTTTCTGCATTGCATTTCAATACACTGATGCTGGCACTCACACATTATAGGTAAGAGGAAAAATTGCACAGATTTTTCTGAATCAAAATTTTGAAATATGTATTGAAGTCTTTAAAACATCCATAATCAAATCATTCAGCATTTCACTTTTGGTCCCAAACCATTTACATACATAGAGATTTGTGTAATAATGCAACTAAATGTATTCCAAAATAGTTTCTTATGTGGAGATTAGTCAAAGGACTCTTGATAATTGTTACAAATGAGAAACTAAATATATATGCAAATATATGTATTGATTAAATATTTTATAATATGTGTATGTAATATATATACCTCTTCAAAGGATGCATAAACATATAAAAATAATTTCCTAAAATATAAAAGAATGTACATTATGAAAAATATAATCTTGATTACATGTAAAAAGAAAATTATGACTACACATGCTAAATTTTAGTAGTGGTTAACTCTGACTGGTTGGTACAGATAATTGTAATTTCTCTATTTGTGATTTCTGGCATTTCCTTAGTTTCCTATCATAAAGGGTTTTTTCTCTGAAGTTGAAATTGTTGAACACTTTTCAGAGGAGAGAAATTATTCAGTAAAAAATCTGCCTCCAATATTGTGGTAAGCACATTATAACAGCTTCTTGCAGACAGAGAAAAAATTACAGGCAGTCACAAAACCCAGGTCATATAATTAACTTCTCTTGGACAGTGACCCTTTAACCTAGTTCAAATCCAATAACATTGGGCATATCCAGAAGACAAAATAGTTCTCTATGTTCTCAATGTCACTTGGTGTGATGAGGATCCCTAGCCTGTCCTATCCATCGTTGCATTTATGTACAAAGTATTTTGTTTGTCCCAGTTTCGTGTTATTTTTGTAGCTTCAAAATGATAAAACATAGCAATCAGGCATCCCACCTGTCCTGGATTTTAACCAAGGATAAAATAAATCACAACAGCTTTGCACTCAGTTGAAAATTAATATTCATTGCCAGAGTAACGAATAAAAGGCATGATAATATCATGTAAGTCGTTAGGTCTGTGGATGTCACTTTTGTACCATCTAAATTATAATATTCATCATTTTTCAGGCCTTAGTGTGTCTTAAAGGGAGACTACAAAACATATTTAGAGCTTGCCAGAAGCTTGGTGGCTGCTGAGATTCATTTTAAAGGACTTTTAAAAAAAATCGTTGGTACTTAATATCATCAGGGTCAAGGGAGTATTTGAGAGACTTGATGCAGCAGAACAAAGACAGGTCGGCAGGCTTGCTGCCATCTAAAAGTTATAAGGCAGAAGAAAACCTAATTTTTGCACTCCCTTAAGAGACTAAATGAGCAAAGCAAAGAAAACAAAGCTATAATAACCTCTCCCTAAAAATCCAGCTTACTGTTCTCTCTTCTCAGAATGTAAATGCTAAACATTTAATTAACTTAGAGTTGTTTCCTAGTATGTGTGGTTTAATTGCCACACACATTTTTTAAGGTAAGCCTTGCCTTAAGCTGGTTTCTTTGATATGAGAAAGAAATCTTCGATTTGAATTCACATCTGAAAGGACATAAAGAATATCATGGAAAAAGAAACTTCCCAATGTCTTACTAGAAATTAAGATTTAATATTATGATTGTGCTAGAAAAAAGTTGCAATTGTTTAAAGGCAATTCTTAATGCT
The DNA here is from genome assembly GCF_000001405.40 of Homo sapiens. Classification (NCBI taxonomy): domain Eukaryota; kingdom Metazoa; phylum Chordata; class Mammalia; order Primates; family Hominidae; genus Homo; species Homo sapiens. Next base: position 12,482,075 of record NC_000009.12, read on the forward strand.
GCCCTCTGTAAAAGTAATTTCATGGAGAAAATAAACTGACATACATATTCTAGACCTAACTCTTTTCCTTCTTCAAGTTGATACCCTGCCTCACTAAGCATTTTCAGAAGCTGATGACAATCATGAACACTGGCTATCTCTAGGCTTTGTCTCCCCTCCCTTTGTCATCTCACCTTCTGATATGATTGCTAACAAGCAATGAGAAGGCTGAAATTATCTCACAGAAAACCAGAGAAGCAATTCATACTTTAAAAAATATATGCATATGAATGCATTTTACATGTATTACTCCATGTTATGATAGTAATAATTGTGAAAATAATGATAGCAACTATGTATTAAGTGTTTCTATGCTAGAAACGGGACTGAGTATATATTTATAGATAGACAATGATATGATAATTATATGAAATATGTATATATAAATATGTGTGTATATTCAATTGCTTTAACTACATATTTATGTTGTTACACATAAAGCAATTTCATCACATACTTTATATTTTATGAATTCCTGAAACATCCTAAAAAGATGAGATTTTTATTCGCATGAATTTACCAAAGAAAAAACAAAGATGTTCTAGAGACTTATGCTTTCTGGTTCATCATGTAAAAAGTTTAGAAATCACCAGTCCATCCTAGTCATAAACAAAAAGCAGAACAAACTGAAAAATCAGCAACTTTTTTTAGATCTATCAGAGAAGCAAGGTACCTGACAAACAGCTGCCCCTAAATTGGAGAGGCAAACAAGCAGATATGGAGAATCAAAACTGGCTGGAGCAGAAATTCATGAGCAGAAGGCTTTGTGGGAAGCAGTACCAGGGTAGGAAAATACAAACTGTCATTGTGTTTGAGTTTTGTTGAGGGATCAATATGGACAAGTCTGAAAGTGAAAAATTCCAGGGGGACCTAATCATAAGAGGGCTTCCATGATTTTTTGAGTTTTTCCTCCAGGAACTCAACCCAGTTTCACAAACTGAATATTAGAGAAAAATTATCTCATGCTTCTGGCAGGGGGAGAGGAAAGCAGATCATTCAGAAATAGACCAGAACTCTCTGTTCTTCTTAACAAGGCCTGCCCTCAGAATAAACTACTTTACTAGAACCTATTCTACTGTGGTTTTATCACAGTCTAGCAAAACTGGAGGAAGGGAAATATTTGACTCCAGCTCCTTCTAGCTATCCTACGCCAACTAAGTGCGGGGGCAGAGGATGAAACTCATTGGTGAAGGTCACAGTTCAGGGGCACATACTCATCAAAAAACTGAGACCGAATCACAGGACTATAGAATGCTTCCCCTCACTCCTCACCCACCACACACCTTAACACTACATTACCAAAGTCCTATTTACTGCAGTTCTTTTACCCAGTACATCATGCACATTTTTCAACAAAAAATTACAAGACATACTAAAAAGCAAAAAGCATAGTTGGAGGAGCCTGGAGAAGCCTGAGAACCAGAGTCCGACATGGCAAGAATGTTGAAATTATATGACTGGGAATTTTTAAAATTATGATTAATTAGCTAAGGGCTTGAATGAAAAAAATAGAAAACATGCAAGGACAGACGGATAATGTAAGCAGAGAGATGAAAATTCTAGGAGAGAATCAGAAAGAAATGCCACTGATAAAAAACACTATAACAGAAATGAAAAATGCCTTTGATGAGCTCATTAGTAAACTGCACATGGTTCAGGAAAGAATCTCTGAGCTTTAGAATATGACAATAGAAACTTCCAAAACTGAAAAGAAAAGAGAAAAAAAAGGCTGGCAAAAACAGTGAATAGTCCAAAAACTGTGGAAGAACTCCAAAAGCTATAACATATGGGTAATGAGAATTCACAAAAAAGAAGAGAGAAAAAAAGAAGCAATATGTGAAAGAATAATAATTGAAGATTTCCCCTAATTAAGGTCACACATCAAATCACATATCCAGGAATCTCAGAGAATATCAAGCAGAATAAAGGTTAAAAAAAAAAAAAAACTACACATAAACATACCATATTCAAACCTCAGAACATCACAGACTAAAAAAAAAAAATCTTGAAACAAGAAAGATGAAAAAAATTTCACCTAAAGAGGGAAAATTATAAGAATTGTAGCTGGCATCTCAGAAACCATGCAGGGAAGAAAAGAATGGAGTGAAATATTTAAAGTGTTGAGAGTAAAATCCACCAACCTAGAATTCTCTGCTATGCAAAATTATCCTTCAGAAGTAAAGGAAAAATAAAGACTTTCTAAGACAAAAATTAAAAGAATTTTTTGCCAATAGACCTCCCTTGCTAGAAATATCAAAGGAAGTTGTTCAGAAAGAAGAAAAATTATGTGGGTCAGAAACCAGATCTACATAAAGAAAGGAAGAGCATCAAAGAATAAATAACTGAAGTTAAAATAAAATTTTATTCTCTTGCTCTTAATTGATCTAACATACACTGTTCAAAATAATTATAGCAGCATTGTATTATGTATGCTTATATATATGCTTATGTATATACGTATGCTTACATATATATCACCACGTATATATATACACAAAAAACAATTATTTTTCTATATACTAGCAATGAAAAATTTGAGATTTGAAATTTTAAAATACAATTACAATGGCACCAAGATAATGAAATGCTCAGATATAAATTTAACAAAATATATACAGAATATGTATGCAGAAAACTACAAAACACTAAATCAAAAGAATTAAATGAAAACATAGTCTGAACTCATGAATACAGTCTATCCATGAATAATCTGGAAGACTGGCTGCTCTTACAGTGCCAATTCTTTCCGTCTTCATCAATAGATTCAATAATATCTCATCAAGCTGATTTATTCCATTGCAAAGTGTTACATCTGAAAATCACTGGATGTAATCAACATCAATGGGGCAAAGAATAAAAATTATCTGATCACATCAGTTGATACTGAAAGTATCAACAAATCCTACATCTACTGTGGTTAAAAAAAATTATGATGATGTGTATATTTCAGGATAGCTGGATAGATTTTGAATGTTGTCGCCACAAAGAAATGATACATTTTTAAAGTGATGAGTATGGTAATTACTCCCACTTGATCATTACACTATGTTTATATGCATCTGATCATCACACTATGCTTACATGTATTACATTGTACCTCACATGCATATACAATTATTACGTATCAATTACAAATTTAAAAAATTAAAAAACAAATTCAGCAAGCTATTTTGTAGCTATCAAAAACTGGATTCTTAAGTTTACATGATAAACCAAAAGCCAAAAAGAAAGCTAGAGAACTCACACTAACTAATTTTTAGACTTTCTGTAATGCTTAGGTAACCAAGACACTGTGGAATTGTTAAGAATAGACACAGACAACAATGGAACAGGCCTGATACTTGACAATGGTGCCATGACAAATCAATGGACAATCTTTTTACCAAATGGTATTGGAACAAATGGCCATCCACGTGCAAAACATGAAACTAGCCACAGACCTTACACCTTTATTAGAGATGACTTCAAAATGGATCATAGACTAAATATAAAATCAAGACTGTAAAATTTCTGGCGTACACCTGTAATCCCAGCACTTTGGGAGGCCGAGGCAGGTGGATCACCAAGTCAGGAGTTCAAGACCAGCCTGGTCAACATGGTGAAAACCTGTCTTTACTAAAAATACAAAAATTAGCTGGGCATGGTGGTGGGCGCCTGTAACCCCACCTACTAGGGAGGCTGAGGCAGGAGAATCGCTTGAACCCAGGAGGTGGCAGTTGCAGCGAGCCGAGATTGTGCCACTGCACTCCAGCCTGGATGACAGAGCAAGACTCCATCTCAAAAAAAAAAAAAAAAAAAAGGCTAAAATTTCTAGAAGAAAACAGGAGAATATCTATGTAACCTTGAATATGATGATGAGACTTTTAGATAGAACACCAAAGCAAGATCCAGGAAAACAGAATTGGTGAGTGTGAGTTGGATTTTAGAGAAGTTAAAATCATTTGCTCTTGGAAGCACACTGTTAAGAGAATGAAAAGATGAGGGAGGAGTTAGAAATAAGGTACTAGCACAACATGTGAAGCTGCATAGTATTATGTGAAAGTGGACTTTGATTACTTGTAAATGTGTATGCAAATACTAGCACAATTATTTAAAAAATTTTAAAGAAGAATAATAGATTTGCTAAGAAAGAAGAAAAAATTGAATAATATAAAATACTCAATTAAAACCACAAAGGGCAGAAAATGGAAGACCAAAAAAAAAAAAAGTAATAGTAACAAATATGGTAGAGATTAATTTAAACACATCAATAATCATCTTAAATGTCAATGGCCTAAGTACACCAATTAAAAGACAGAAATTGTCAGAGTAGATTAAAAACTAACATCTAACTAGATGTTGTCTATGAGAAAGTCATTTTAAGTAAAAACAGACATAAAGTAAAGGGATGAGGGAAGATACTCCATAATAACACTAATCAAAAGAAAGCATGAGTAGCTGTATTAATTTCAGACAGAGGGGACTTCAAAGCATGGAATGTTACTAGGGATAAAGAGGGACATTACATAATGTTAAAGATGTCAATAATCCAAGAAGATATAACAGTTCTTAATGTATATGCATGTAACAACAGAGCATCAAAATATATAATGCAAAAACTGATAGAATTGCAAGGAGAAATACATGAATTCACTATTATAGTTTAAGTATTTAGCATCGCTGTACCAGAAATGGACAGTTTCAGCAAGGAGAAAATCAGTAAGGTCATAGTTGAACTGAGCAGTTCCATTAATCAACTAGATACAATGGATATCTATAGACCACTTCACCCAACAACAGCAGATTGAACATTCTTCTCAAGCTCACATGGAACATTTACCAGATTAATCCACATTAAATGTCATAAAACACACCTCAACAAATTTCAAAGAATAGAAATTACACATCTTCTCTTAGACGACAGTGATATTAAACTAGAGATTAATAACAGAAAAAGAATTGAAACACCCCAAAACACTTAAAGATTAACAACATACTTCTAAATTATATAAGAATCAAAGAAGAGTTAACAATAGAAGTGTGAAAACATTTTGAAGTAATTGAAAATGAAAATACAATTTATTAAAAATTTTGGAATGCAGTAAAAGCAGTGCTTAAAAAGACATTTATAGCATTAAATGCATGTATTGAAAAAAAGATCTAAAATTATCTAAACTTCCACCTAAGAACACTATCAAAATAAGAGAAGACAAAATCCAAAGTAAGCAGAGGATAAGAATTAAAAATTAGAGCAAAAAATCAATAAAATTGGAAACCAGACATTAATAGAGGAAACTGATGAAACTGAAAGCTGGTTATTTGACAAGATCAATAAAATCAGTGTGACTATCCAGGTTAATTGAGGAAAAAAGGAGAACGTGGTACATAAACACAGTGGGGTACTACTCAGCCATAAAAAAGAATAAGATCCTGTCATTTGCAACAACACAGATGGAACTGGAGGTCATTAATAAAATAAGCCAGGCACAGATACAAAAACTTTGCTGTTCTCATGTATTTGCAAGACTTTAAAACAATTGAACTCATAGAGACAGAGAATAGAAGAATGGTTGGCAGAGCCTTGGAGGATAGTTGGGGTGGGCAGTGAGGATGGTTAATGGGTACAAAACGTATTTTTAAAGTGTGAATAAGATCTAGTATTTTATAGGACAACAGAGTGTCTATAATCAATAATAATTTAATTTTACATTTAAAAAAACTAAAAGAAGGTAGATGGATTGTTTTAACCCAAAGGATAAATGCCTGAGGGGTTAGAGATCTCATTTACCATGATGTGATTTTATGCACTGCATGCTTATATCAAAGTATCTCATATACCCCATATAAATATACACCTACTATGTACCCACAAAAATTAAACATTTAAAAAAAAACAGCATGTCAAGCATGGTCTTACTTTTGTGCAAATATATTTACATATGCATTGAAAAGAAACCCAGAAGGACATTCTAAAATTTGTAAGAGTGGTTATTTTAAAGATGGTGAATTTGGGGTAATTTTTTTTTCTGTTTTTGCATTTCTGTGTTTTCTATACTGAAAGAGAATAAAAAAGTCAGGACTGACACTACCCAACTTCAAGGCTTACTATAAAGATATATAATCAAAAAGTGTAGTATTGGCCGAAAAAAAAAAGTAGATAAAAACATTGATAGAACAGAATAGAGCTCCCAGAAATACACCCACATAAATGTAGTGGACTGATTTTTGACAAAGGAGTAAAGGCAACACAATGAGGAAAAGAGAGTCATTTCAGCTGGAAAACTGAACACTGGAACAACTAAACATTCACATCAAAAATACAAATCTAAACACAGACTTTCCATGATTCACATAAATGAAGACAAAATGAATCACCAATCTAAATGTGAATGAAATTCAAAACTATAAATCTCTTAGAGGATAACATAAGAGAAAAGCTCAACTACTTTGGATATGGTGATGGCTTTTTGCATACAAACTAAAGGCATGATCCATGAAGGAAATAATTGATCCGAACTGATCAATTGAGCTGAACATCATTACAATTTCTTTTAAAATTCTGCTATATTGAAGAAAATATCAAGATAATGAGAAGACAAGCTATAAATTGAATAAAATATTTACAAAAACACATCTTATAATGAACTGTTATCCAAAATTTCTAAAATATACAAAAATCACTTAAAAATAAGAAAACAAATAACCCAATTAAAATCTAGCCAATGACCTGAACAGACAACTCACCAAAGAAGACATACAGATGGCGAATAAGCATATGAAAAGATGCTCATTTAATATCATATGTCATTAGGAAATTATAAATTAAAACATCATTGAGGTATCACAATCCACCTATTACAAAGGCCAAAATTCAAAATTCTGACAACACCAAATGCAGCTGAGGATGTGGCGCTCAGGGACTCTCATTCATTGATAGTATGGATGCAAAATGGTATAGCCATTTTGGAAGGCAGTCTGGCAGTTTTTTTTTTTTTTTACAAAGCTAAATATAATATTACCATATGATCAAGCAGTCACACTCCTTAGTATTTACTGAAATGATTTGAAAGTTTATGTCCACAAAAAAATTCTGCAAATGAATGTTATAGCAGTTTTTTTTTCATAATTGCCAAAACTTGGAAACATCTAAGATGTCCTTCAGTAGGTGAATGGATAAATAAACTCTGGTATATCCAAACAATGGAATATTATCCAGTATTAAAAATAAATGAGCTATCAAGTCATGAATAGATATTAGGAAACCTAAATGCATCTTACTAAGTGAAAAGAAGCTAATCCAAAAAGGCTGCATTATGTGTGATTCCATCTATGTGACATTCTGGAAAAGACACAACTATAGAAACAGTAAAAGATTAGTGGTTGCCAGGAAGTAGAAAGAAGGGAGGTCTGAATAGGATATCTCACAGGATTTATGTAGAATTTTTAAGGCAGTGAAACTATTCTGTACAATACGACAATGGTGGATACATGTCATTATACATTTGCGAAAATCCATGGAATATCCAACACCAAGAGTGAACCCTAATGTGAAATATGGAACTTGGGTGACAGTGGGATGTCAATGGAGGTGCATCAATTGTAACAGATGTGCCACTGAGGTGCAGAATGTCGAGAGTTGGGTGGGTTGTGCATGTGTGAGGACAGGAGGTATATGGCAACAGTCTGTACTTTTACTGTGAACGTAACACGGCTCCAAAAAATACAGTTAATTAATTATTCTTTTTATTGAGGTTCAGAGGCTTTAAATGACTTCTCCAGGTAAAATAATTGTTAAAGCTATGTGGAATTTGAATTCAAGTCTATCTTACTTCAGTAGTGTCTCCACAACGCCACAATATCCATATGTACTTGAAACCTAAAGATGAGGTAGTGTTAATTGACTTCAGAGTCAACAGATTGCCCCCATCTTGGTTGGCCTGGGAAGGTGTTTCAGGGAAAGTAAGTTATAAATCAGGTTGAATGATGGAAATATTCGAAAGTGGATTTTCCTATGTGAGCATACATACAGAGTTAGGCACAAACGGATGAAAGAAGAAAGAAATAGCCAAGGGAAAAAAGTTTGGAAGGGGACAGCCCTGGTATTTTCAGAAGAGTAATGAGAGATGAGACTTAGTTCAAGTGGTGGTGAATAGAAGGATGTCCATATTTGTCAGGAGGCTGGAATTCAAGGCTAAATCCCAGAAGAGATGCTAAGAATGTAAAGCAAAAACCAAGAAATATTTAGAAGAAAAAGTTAAAATTATGTTAATGAAAAGGAGTATTTTATTTTTAGTACCAGGAATCTTAAAGAGAAGGAGGAATTTTACAAAAGAAGATTTAAACAGCTGGATTATATACCATAGAGAAATCAAAAATCATGATGACATGACATCCAAACATCGTTCAAATTTTCAAGTTACAAGTCCTGAAATGTTTCCCCTAGCTGTTGCAACAGTTTTCTTTAGAGATAATCATTTTAAAGTGTCTCTCTAGTTTGGTGCATAAACATTAAAGCAATTTCCTCATTTATTAGCTCTCCACTATGGACCTTGTACCATGCTAAGGGTTTAGATAGATTAAAAAGATGGTAGATAGACAGATTAAATAGAAGATAGATAGATCGATAGATAGATAGATATGTGTGTATATATATACACACACATATATAGACACACCCAGAAACTCATAGTATATGATATAGATGTATATCAATTAAAGCTACTACAATCTAACACATATCACTCTCCCCTTCACAAGCATACTCTTTACAGTCTTTTTCACACTGCAGCTTCAATCATATGTTTGCTTAACTTGCTTTTCATATTAGAGTAAAAGCTGTTTTATCAGCAGCCTGTCAACTAGAAATCTCTATTTATGGCTACTCTTGCTCATTTGCAGTGCTCAGTCACTCTCCAAGTGATGAAATGTGAATCTCCTATATACAAAAATAACCATTTGCACAGTGCATGCTCCTCTTCCCACTCACTCTCGAGATTGCTCCATCACAGCCACAACTCAAACTGTCCCAATATAAAAACAACACCTAGGTAATTCACTTGTGTTCAATTGCTACATCAATTGAGAAATGCCAATATCCATTGAGCATATGTTATGTGTCAGGTTCTGTATTTGGTATATCTCATGCATTACTGCTTGCGAAACTCATAGATACATATTAAGTAGAGGTTTCATTTCCATTTTTCAGGGAAGAGAAACAGGGCTCAGAGAGGTAATACCAACTGTGCAAGGCCACACACCTCTAGGAGTAAATCTGGCATGTGAGTGAGATTGGACCTAGTGATTGTTGCATACTTGAAGGTGTTTTGATTCATCAGGCTCTGCCAACCATAGAACCCTAATTTAGGACATGAAAAGAAAATGCCAGGTTTCTGTTGATTAATGCTATCCTTCTGAAAATGCAAATGGCTTATTTTAATGAGTTGGGTCATTATAATAAGATACCTGGAAATTTAAATTTGCTATTTACTTGGAAAGAAGGAATTCAAAATGATCTACACCAAATAAAGCTTTCTATAATGAATTTGACTATTTTTTTCTTTTTTTCCCCAAGTGATATGGTTTGGCTCTGTCCCCACCCAAATCTCACCTTGAATAGTAATAATCCCCATGTGTAAGGGCAGGTCCAGGTGGAGATAATTGAATCACGGGAATGGTTCCACACATACTGTCCTTGTGGTAGTGAGTAAGTCTCATGAGATCTGATGGTTTAATAAATGGGAGTTCCCCTGCACAAGCTCTATTGCCTGCCGCCATGTAAGATGTGACTTCGCTCCTCATTCACCTTCAGTCATGATTGTGAGGCATCCCAAGCCACATGGAACTGTGAGCCAATTACACCTTTTTCCTTTATAAATGACCTATTCTCAGGTATGTCTTTATTAGCAGCATGAGAATGGACTAACACACCAAGAATATATACAAGGTCACATGGCATGTCTTTACTTTGTCTGCCTTATAAACATTCATTTCAAATCTAAAGTGCATATACTTTAATTACTTGTAATTTTATGTCTCAGCATAAATGGAATTCCATTCAGAAACAACATCTTCAGCTGTGATCCTGGTCTATTTTTACTCTATTGTCACTGAAATCACATTATCCTAGTCTGCTCATTGGCTGTTCTTACATATTTGTCATACATTTATAAGAAAACACTTAAATGGATTTTTAAATGAAAGTAAAACATTCAGTACATATTTAAAATATTAAAAAGTACATTTTTACTAAAGATGAATAAATTAAATAAGTAGATCAGCATTCTTCATGTACAGGGCCTTGAGGTGTTTTTATGAAGCAAATGGATGTCATAACTTAAATATTAGACTTTATTTTAGCAAGAATATTTACAGGTAGCACTCAGGAATGCTCAAGACTCAAAGGCAGAAATTGAGGAAAGCCTATAGGAGTGGCAAATGAAACATAAAGGAAAAAAAATTCCTGGAGAGGAAAAGCAAAAGATAAGGGCAGCTTTAGTAGCAAGTAGAGTTTTTGCATGCTTATTTATTCAAAGCACTACCAAATTTGAGTATTGGATGGGATACTTATTGATTATCGAATGGGATGACAGGCATGAGCTATCACAGCAGGCCCCTTTTTTTTCTTTAAATAACAAAAACAGAGACCGCCAATCTTGGAAGTTCAGTAAAATCTTCCCGATGTGATCTCTGGACAGATAGCTGAAAAATGAGTGTGAATTACCTAGATGACCAGGTGTTGCGAGAGTAAAGTGTAGGAATCTTCCACAATGAGATTATCAGAAAGTAAAAGGACCTACATGAAGAAAAAGCATAATATATTTTAAGAAGTACTTAATGAATCATTATGGCAGAGTAATGGTGTTTAATGTAATTTTGTTTTATTTTGTCTCTTTTTTTTCCAATTTTTCAAGCTGTGGGACTCTTTCTTTAAAGGTATACTTATATGGAAACCCAGCATGTACTCTCTTCTTCTTTCTTCTTCCCCACAAATGTAGCTACTGTGATTGAAGGTGAGCTTTGAGGTGGCTCTGAAGTGAAGTTCTGACAGATTCCCACTACACCCTTTAACACACAGTCACAACATGCTCAATACACAAAGACAAACATACATAGACACACACGAACAGACACACACTCAATTGTCTCTGAAAGTACTTTGTAGAAGACTAGCATTCTTTATGGCATTATTTTCACACAACTGGACTGGAAGCTGGAGTGTGATGGTAAGAGTCAAAGAAAGGGAGCCAGAATAGTAAATAAACAATTAAGGACGTTGTAAATAGTCTTTGACGTTTGTATGTGAGTTATATCTGAGGTTAAATATGAGTTTAAAACTTATTGAAGGCAATGGAGAGATAATATTGACTGTTATGGGGGGCAGGCAGGTGAGTGATGGATCACATTGTGCTTTAAAAAGTTTACTCTCACCCTAGTGGTAGGGCCAGTTTTGAGGCCCTTGAGATAACCGCATGACGCATGATGGGCCTGAGGTAAGGTAATGTCAGTGGGGGTGAGTGGAAAGAAGCAAGTAGACTTGAGAGATGTTTAGGAGGAAAAATTGTCAGATGTAGTGTTAGTTGCATAGGAATGGTTAAAGAGAAAATGATTTCTTCCTTGATCAACCGCATAGACTATTTTATAACTTATTAAAATAAGGAACATTGAAGGAAGCTTGGTGAAAGGAAATAAATAAATTTAATGGATTAAATGTTGAGTTTGTGGAAAACTTGTTTTATTAAGCTTATTTAATATTTTCATAAATAAGATACAAATAAAATAAATTTAAATAAAAATGAGTTTATTCAATAATTTATGTGGCTGATTTAATGATTTCAACTTAGTGGAGTTCATTGAAATACATATACTAAATATAAATAACAACTTTCCTTTCCAAGCACCCCAACTCACTATTCTCCCTCTTCATTTTCTTTATACTAGTTAGAAGTGAGAAAGGATTGTAGGAAATTTAACATTCCCAATTAATAATTTCTCAGTACGGCTGATTTTTTTCGAGAAATCTACAATATTTTTCCAGGTATTTCTTGCTTCAAGTTTTAGTCCTCTCTGAATAATTAAAGCCTCTCACTTAATCTCAGGCTATCCTTATGATGTTACTTGCAAAAAAAAAGAAAATTATTCATTTATTTCTACTCTTTTTGCCAAAGAGGCTGCAGGTATGGGGATATTTGCTTAAGTCCATAAAAGTCTGTGGTAGGTGAGGGGAGGTGCATTACTATTTTATGGTATGGCCTTGCTGATTCTAAATACGGGGGCATTCATGAGTATGATCTATTTTTCTTTTCTTTTCTTTTCTTTTTTTTTTTTTTTTTTTTTTTTGGTGGCTATCCCCATTGCTCTATTTTAGAACCAATTTCCTGGTTTGAGGGGACCCAGCTGACTCTTACCACACACCTAATATCAAGCATCACACAGGGGAAATGTGGCTGCTTCCTTTAACCAATTCCAGACTGACAGTGTCCAACCTTATCATCCAGATCTGTCTTTACTGCACTGGGCAGTCTGTAATGGGAGATGAAGAGATAAGACAAACAGGTCCTGCTTTCAGCTCCTTTTTTTTTTTTTTTTTTTTTTTAGCTTGCCTGATCTCACAGAACACATAGATTTGGCTCGGTGGAAATCTCTCATGAACAATCTTTGCCTTTTCTCAGATTGCTATCTTCTGCCCTTTTCCTGGATTCTTTCTTCATGTTCCAATGGCACTGAGATGACTCAGTAAGCAACCAGTTAGAAAACTACAGGCAGACATGTTCAGTTTCATGGTTTCATGAACTGTTATCTTGAAGCTCTTCCAAATTTGGAAGGAGCAGATTAAGCGTATTGACCTCTACACCTGTAAGTTGAAAGACGAAAGGAAAAAGAAAAAATAGTTTTTGCCTTTATGAACTCATCTCTCCCAAAAATATCTATCCCCACTCTTCCTTATTCTATTAGTGGAAAAGTATAGAACAAGGAATTTACCGTATTGGTTCTGTAGGAATGTCACCTCTCCCAAATCTAGAGGTGTTTAATCTAGCAGTTTGATCTTTTACTTTAGAATATGAAATGCATAGAAACTTTTATTTTCAGCTATGAACTGTCTCCAGGGTCAACTTTATATAGGTCAAAAAGCCTGTAGAGTAGAAAAGGGTACTAGTTCTTATTTCAAATCCAAGGGACAAAGAAGCTGCCATAGACATGTAGATAAGAGTTGTATAATCCCAAACTCTGGCAAGAAAAACTTTACTTAGCTGCTCTTGCATAGATATGCATCTAATAATGACGACGGCCCCATTCCTGTCTGGTTGTTTTAGATAACCTTATTTTCAGTGTTATTTTGAAGATATTTACACTCATTGATATTAGTGACGTTAATATATGCATGTGTGTGTTTGTGTGTGTGTACGTGTGTGTGTGTAAACGCTTAAAGAAAACTTTTTACTTTATATTCACTAAGAAGGATAGCTGCTGTGCGGCGTAAACTAACAATTTTTTTTCCCAGTTCCAACTGGAATTCAATTCCAAATAGAAGCAAAATATAGATCCATATGCAAATCATAGTAATAGCTGGAAAAAAAATGTTCATTCATTTTGTAGCAACCATTTTTTTTCCAGGTCTTATAAAGTAAATATTGCCCTTTGTGTTCTCACACAACATCACTTTGGGAACTTACAGCAAGTCATCCCCTTGCATACAAACTGAAGGAAACTCTGAGGCCAGGGAAATAATCGATCTGATTTAAAACAAAAACAAACAAAAACCCCAAGGTTTTGGACATGGATGCTAGGCTACATTTACCAGAGAGCTGTGATACCTTGTCATTATTACCTGAATACTAATCCAATCATGTTTCTTGCACCTCCTTTTCCCATGAACCAAAGGGAATTCACGCTCCAGGGTTTCCCCTAATTTTAATTATCTTTTTGCATTTCCTACAAAAGTAAAGCACTTGCAAGGAAAGAATCAGAACTTTCTGTGAATTAGAGCCAGGGAGAGCTGCCAGAGAACTGAAAAGAGATTGGAAAGGAATATGAAATACTATTGAAAGGGGGGTTAGCAAGAGATGGAAAGACAATGAATGAAAAAAAAAAAAAGAGGGAAAGAAACTTTACCCTACTTCCACCTCCCAAAAACACATAAACAAAATGTAAATGCAGCCCATCATGAATTGTGATGCTCAAATCTACCCAGACTCTTTAGAATAATAACTTAGAGTTGCATATCACTTTACATTTTGAAAGCATTTTTATATATTATGCCACTAGTTCTTCATAGCAGTCTACATAGGCAAATCAGAAACTCTATTATTTTTCCTGTTTTCAAGCTGGAGAAAGAAATGCCAATGCATAATCAAGAAAAACTTATGTGTGTAAATGAAATTCTTTGTAATAAACCCAATTTGTTTCTCTTTTTAAACAGCTTTATTGAAGTATAATTGGTATACAATTAAAACCACACATATTTAAAATATCTAATTCAGGAAGTGTTGCCATATGTATACATACGTTAAAACCAGCACAACAAGTAAAATAATGAATTTATTTATTACCCACAAGAGGAGTTTCTTCACGTTTTTTGTAATCCCTTCCCAACCTCCATTGTATAGCTTCACCCCAGGCAGCTACTGATCTGCTTTCTGTCATTATAATTTACATCTTCTAGGGTATTTTTTAATAAATGGAATCATACCATATGAACTTTCTCCTGTTCATTCAGAATAAATATTTTGAGATTTACCCACATCATGCTATGTATCAATTATCCATTACTTTAATTGCTGAACAGTAGTCCACTGTGTGGGTACAATGGATATATCACAGTTTGTTTATTTACCTGTTGATGGACATTTGGATTCTTTCCATCTCTCCTGTATAAGTTTTTATACGCATATATGTTTTTCTTTATCTTGAGTAAATATCTAGCAGTAGAATATCTGTGTCATATCTATGATTAACCTTGAAAGAAACTGACAAACTGTTCCTCTTCAAAGTCATTGTACCACTTTATACACCAGCCAGCAGCATATGAGAGTTTCACTTGTTCTACATCATCCCAGCATTTTGTACAGTCTTAAAATTTTACCTGTGCAACTAGGTATGTAGCACAATATTGTACTTTTTTTTTCTCTACTAATTAGTGATTTTAAGCATTTTTATATGCTCATTTGCCATTAGTATATGTGGGCCTGGAGTTTTCTGTGTAGAGTGGATTTAATTCAAGCTATCTATTTCTTATTGAATGAACTTTGGTAATTTGTATATTTCAATGACTCAAATTAATGATTGGAGCTTTTTAAGAAACGAGGGTTAAAAAGCAAAATAAGTTCGAAATAAGCATTACAAAGTAAATAAGAATAAAAATAGTAATCATTGAAATGATAAACAGAAAAATAATAGTGAAAATAAATAAAACTAAAAGCAGATTTAAAAAAAAGATCTCCACTTTTTGACATTTGAAATGTCTCTACTTACAATGATCAGAAAAGTAAAGATGAGACCTAAATGAACACTGTTAATGAACCTATGAAGATTTAAAAAATAAAATATTATAAAAATTTTATACCAGTCATTCTGATAAATTCAATGAAATGGAAAATTTCTTTAAGACACAATATACTGAAGCTTGATCATGAAGAAACTTATGATATCTGTAACATTATATCTGCCTAAAAATTATATTCACAGTTAAGATTCTCCCATGAAGCAAACTCCAGATCTAGACAGCCTCACTGGCCAGTCTGACCAAAAAGATAAGAAAAAATAATACTAATGATAAATACAATGTTCTCTATAAGAATGTTCTCAAAAGTTTCATTCATAGTAGACCCAAATCCAAATGTTTATCAGTTTGTGAACAGATAAGCAAATTGTGGCAAATCCTTGCAATGGAATATGACTCAGCAATAAAAAAGAAAGGACTTTTGATACACATAATGACATAGATGACAATCTCAAGCATTGTTTTAAGCTAATAAAGCTAGGCACAAAGTGTCCACACTGAATAACTACATTTATATTAAATTCTAGAAATGGTAAAATTATACTCACTTAAGATCAGTGGAAATGGTAAAATTATACTCACTGAAGATCAGTGGTTACTGGGGCTAGGAGTGGGGAAAAGAGATTACTTATAAAGGGGTATGTGGAGATTTTTTGTGGCAAAGGAAGTTTTCTGTATGACTGTAGAAACGGTCACAGGACTGTATACATTTGTTAAAATTCGTCTAATTTTACATTTAAAATATTATTTAAAATAATCATAAATACTATGCAGAAACATAAAGTGCATTTTAAAAGATAGAAATTTGAAAGAAACAATGGTTTAGTTACTACTTGCTATGGTGACAGAAATAAAAATAATTTATACAATAAAAGTGAAGCACTTTAAAAAATATAACTAATACAATCATGTGTAATCCTCAGAATTCAAAAAGAGAAATTCTTATACCACAGATCAGATCTTGTGAAGACATAATTGATGAACTAGAAGACTGATCTAGAAAAATGACTCAGAATCCAATTTAGAGATTTAAAAAGTTGATAGTTTTTTAAAATATGGAAAAGATACAATGCTGCATATATGTGAAGAGTAACAAAAGAGAGAATGAGGAAAAGAAAAATATTTAAAGACAAACTAGTCATGGATTTTTTAGTACAATGCACAAAAATATTTTAATATCACACAAAAAATCAGATTGATTCTCAAGCAGGATAAGTGAAAATAAATTAACAACTGTGCACATGATAGACAAACTGCAGAGCACCAGATTCAAAGATAAATCAAAAGTAAAATGAGAGAACAGACTTATTAAATGCATCACACTGCTTCTCAGCAATAACTGACAGAATTAAATGGAAAAATAACTTTAAACTGAGGAAGTAATGTCCTTGTTGACTTAAAATTTTAAAGCCATAGTAAAGCATTTTGAAAATCTGGGTGTTGCTATCATGTAAAATCCATGAGACATGAATAGTAACTTTTAGGCATTTGAATCCAAGTGTACATTAAATAATTTAATCCCATTAACAAAACAGAATTACAACTAAACCAATAAAAGGAGCAAAATAAGATAAACAAACCTTAGTCAATCCAGGAGAAGTAGGAATGGAGAATAAAGTATCAAAGAAAAAATATTAAAGTGGAAAATATATTAGAAATAAGTTAAAATATATCAGTAATTACAAAAAGTATAGAAGACTAAATAAATGCAATAAAGATTCTCCAACTGCATAATAATACAAGAATCCAGAGATATACATCTTTAAAAGATGCCTCTAGAGTATAAGGACAGTAAATGGTTGAAAGAAAATAGATGAAACACACCTACAAGCATGATCTAATCAAAGAATGCTAGTGCAGCAATATCACTGTTAGGTAAAGTATACTTTTTATGTCAAAGGACATTATTATGTTAATAAGTATAATGTCAGAGTGACAAAGCCAATTCAGCTGGATAATGCCTAACACATAACTTAATGCATTTAGCAACAAAGCTTCATATTAAATAAAGCAGAGGAGAAGGAGGCAGGTGAGAAAAGCTACAATTAGAAGAAACAAGCACTTGTGCTTGGCCCAGGATTCAGCTTAAAGCACCCTTGGGTGGAGATAAGGATTGTTGGTGAATAAAGGTTTTGGCGCTTTAGCCCAAGAAGTCTAAGGCTGGGTGTCTGATATTCAGAAAAGTGCCACCAGCACTTGAGATGTGGAGGATCTGAGGTTCAATGGAAACAAGAGTTAGGTTTCATATTTTTCCACTTAACTGTTTGTTAGGCAACCTGAGGCTCTGGGGTCATGAGTCCTGTCACTGCACAGATGGTAATATACAGTGAACTATTAGCTTTAAAAATAAATTAATTATATCTACATATAACATATAAATATTGAAATTATAACATTAAGGGAGCAAAGCAAGTGGCAACATGACATAAACAATATAACTAATTTATGTGCATTTTGGAAATCCACAAAACAATAATGTATAGTATTTTTGAGATTTTATATGTTATAAAGTATTTTCTAAATGTTCTCCGGTTACATATATACATGTATGTATGTTTATGTGGGGTGGGGGGTGTTAAGGGGATATTCTTCTGGATAATAATGGCCCCTGAGAAAGCCAGGAATTGAATACAGGGGTTAGACTCAATACTTTATTTCTTAAAAGAGATCTGATGTAAATATCATAAAATGATACAATTAATAAATTCTGCCTGCTGGGTAAATAGGCATCTGATTTGTTTCACTGTACATTTTTCTGTGTGTGTATATATGTACATATATGTACATATATACATATATACACATATACATATATACATATATAAACACAGAATACATATATATGTATGTGTGTGTATACACGCATACACATACATTAACAGTTTTAAGTAAAAGAAAAATAAGGACTATAAAAATGATGAACACATATAATTCCATTTTGTAAAGTTTAAACTATTTTTTGACCTTGTTTAATAAAAACAAGAAAGTACTTAGATGTTTGAAGTGTTCAATTCTTATCACTGACGTTCCCCTTGAAATGGGATTACAAATAGAAATATGTTGTTGAAACTTAAAGACAAAAATAAAAATAGCTGTGCACATAATCTCAAATGTGACCAGAGATTCCAGTGATTATCAATGATGTATTGCCAAATGCTCAGAAATTTTTGATTTTGTTCTTACATTAACCAAAACCATTTTTGAACATTTCATCTATTTGTTATTTAATGTTGTACCGATTTCAACTGATTTATTGCTCCAGTTTATACAAGGAAAGATTAGAAGTTATAAAAGGCATTTAATCAATACCAAACTATTTTGTCTGAGATTCTAAACATTACAATTTGGAGTAGGTTTTGGTGATGTATTCATTGGGACAGGATTCTCAAAGTGCTGCTCAAAAAACTAACAGTCTAATTTTCTTAACGGACAAATGCAAAGACTTAGTATCAGAAAAATATTTTTTCCACTTTAACTTTTATTTTAAGTCCTGGGGTACATGTGCAGGATTGTTACATGGATATATTGCATAATGCTGAGGTTTCAGCTTCTATTGATCCCATCACCCAGATAGTGAGCATAGTATACTACTAGAAAAACTACCAATAGGTAGTTTTCCAACCCTTGTCCCCCTCCCTCCCTGGCTCCAGTA
Organism: Homo sapiens; assembly: GCF_000001405.40. Taxonomy (NCBI): domain Eukaryota; kingdom Metazoa; phylum Chordata; class Mammalia; order Primates; family Hominidae; genus Homo; species Homo sapiens. The sequence continues at coordinate 12,501,241 of NC_000009.12, forward strand.
GTTTCCAGTGTCTATTGTTCTCATCTTTACGAGAAAAAAAATTTCGAGGCTTGAAATTAGTATAGTTTGAAGTACATGAAAGTAGTTTTGAAGGTGTGTTTATCTAAAAGGGTAAATTTACAAAAGGAACCAGCAGTCTCATAGTCTCTATGGATGGGGACTTACCTAGATTTTAAGGACCCATCTTCACCCTACTACATGGACAGGGGCCAGTCTTCTCCCAGAATCTGTGGGACAGGGCCCAGATTGGTCATGGTGCTTACCTGCCTAAAGACATGGGAAATTGAATTTCAGGGTGCAGGAATAAATATTAAAATAAAACTTCTTCCTATGGAAATAGAGTAGACTATTTTTCTGTGTTGATTAAGTGTTCGAAATTGAAGGATATGAAGAAACAGTATGTGGTGGGAGTGGTGGTGGTAATAGTGATGGTGTTTTGGGGAATCATGGCAGGGGGAGAAGTGCAAAGAGCCTTCTTGCTGTATTTGAAAAAAATGTAATCTTTGTTGTAACTCTATGCAGCACAGCAGGCATTCTAAGTAACTGGAATTAAAATTATAGACATAGATGCAATGTATATACTACATATTATATATACTATGGCACTCTATGGAGTGCCAGCCATGGAGATTACTTCACACTGTGGTTAGTTGAAGGGATCATGTACTGCTCAAGTGAAAAGGGAAGGATCATTAGTTTTTGAAGTGGATTCTAATGCAGACTTTCTAATGATTTATTACAAATCTGAAAGAATCAAGTATGAAAGACATTGAAAACAATTTTTTTGATTGTCTCAATGGTTATAAAAGACACTCATTGATGAGTGTGTGTGATGGGCCACCAACACCAAGATCTGTTATACGTTTTTAGAATATTATTCTAAAAATAGGGTTTTTTTGGTGTAACTAAGTGTCTGCAACTTACATCATTTTGGTAGGAGTTGAGATAGGCTATTCATCTTCCAATGCCTATTTATAAGCTTAAAAATTCACTTACCTGTTTCTATTCCCATTTTATTTGTGAGTATGTTTTTAAATGCTGGCTTTTAAATGCACAAATTTTTTTTCTAAGCTCTTATTTGTACATCTCCTCATCCTTAAATACTTTAAAATAAATCTTGACTATCTCTATGTCTTCCTAGATAGGAAAGAAGCAGCCTGGGGTGAAAGAGCATTTAAGATAAATGTGGTTGATGTATGAAAACAGGACACTTGTCTGCAGACATAAGCAAAGCAAAATTACTCAGTAGCATGATTGATTAAACAGCCTGCCCACCTATGCCCCAAAAGCTAGAGTTTAAACCCAGACACTGCCTCAAGATTTGGGATTCTAAATACCCAAGTGTACCACAAGATCAATCCTTTCACCTATATCTTAAGAGACTGCTGTTAATATTCCAAGTATAGGCAGATAATCTGACATGGGCATTTCTTCCAATCTGCGGTTTTGTCTAAGAGAGTAGTTTTCTTCTGGAAAGCACTATGTCAGCAAAAAGTATGATACTTCACAAAACCTGCATTTTTTTTTTCTTTTTTGAGAGATTGAGAATTTTGCTCTGTCGGCCAGGCTGGAGTGCAGTGGTGTGATTTCAGCTCACTGCAACCTCTGCCTCCCTGGCTCAAGCGATTCTCTTGCCTCAGCCTCTCGAGTAGCTGAAATTACAGGCATGCACCACCACAACTGGCTATTTTTTGTATTTTTAGTAGAGATGGGTTTTCACCATATTGTCCAGGCTGGTCTCAAATTCCTGGCCTCATGTCATCTGCCCACCTCGGCCTCCCAAAGTGCTGGGATTATAGGCGTGAGCCACTGTGCCTGGCCCAAAACCTGCATTTTATGAGTGAATAAATTCTTAAAAACAAAATAGCAAATGTAATATGTTTTTTCATCCCCAGGATAAATTGAGCACAAGTGCTTCGTATTTGGGTGGAATTTTCTAATGAGGATGGGGGAAAAGCTGAAGTTAAAGATGCCTGTTTCAGCATTTCCTAGAGAAAGTAAGAATTTTCACGTGTAATTTTTTTCAAAATGTGTCTTGAATTAATTTGACATTAATTATTCACTTGATAGTCCAAATTACAACTTTTCTTTGCATGAAAACCAGGTGTGTTCCAAATACCCTAGGCATCTGCTATTTTTTGCACACAAGTCAAAGGGGGAATAGCACTGTGAAATAAGAGCATTGCAAAAGAATGCCTCTAGTTTTCACATTCAATGGCATAAAAAAGGCACCAAATAAAAAGATCCTTTTTCCCTCTTGTTTTTTATAATGAAATATGTACTTTTGGTGCTGAAGCAAGTCATACTATATTTAACGGGAATGTACATGATGTCAACTTAAAACGTCAAAAAAAAATTATATTTTAATTTTAGTCACCCACAAATCCAAACTATGTCAAATTTAACATCGTGTTTTATGCCATGGGCTATTAAAAATGACTTGTTCATAATCATGTTATCTTAAAGAAGATTACTGTTGGTTTGGCAAGAATTGCATGTTTATAATCATATCCAGATTCAGTCCTTGAGGTAAGCTGTGCTTGATTAATGAGTGAAGTGATCCAAAATACAGTTTTGTAGAAGGTTTTATGTTTCTAAAGCTCCAAGTTGAAGGACAAACTTTACAGGGGAGGAGCCTCCTTGGGGGAAAAGGATGGAGCAACAGAGAGCTGCCTGGGGCAGTCTTCGCAAGAAAGATTGCATGCATTTTTCTGGCTGTGTTTACCTAAACAAATAGAGATAAAATATTTGGTATGGTATGATTGCTGAGCTAATTCCACAAACTAAAGTGAGCTCAACACTATCCACAGCAGGCTTTTCTTATTCCCAAATATTGTAATTAGGTTCTTCTACATTTTCTTTCAGATCAACTTTTCAAGAAAGAAAATAAAAATGCATATTAATTTATTAACAGGTCATATGATTCCATTCCAGGCAGAGAATAGGCAAAATGATTGATTCTTCATTCTAAGTTGATAAAAGGCCTATTTGCCTGGGAAAAAAAATAAGCATCTTATATTGTCCTAGGATCTGCTTAAAATACCTGGTAGATGGCCCAATTTTTAGATTTCCATAGCGGATTAGGTTTCAACATAGATATATTTCTTGACAATAGTCTTACAATGCATTTTCCTCACATTTTGTCCATTCTGTGGAGCAGGGAAAGATTGAATGTGTCTAAATACTTTTGGAGAAAAATAATTAAACTCAGTAATGCTTTGTTACTTAAAATGTATCACAAAGCTAGATCAGTTAATGTAAAAAAATAAATACAGATTTCAAATATAGAGAGCAGTTATTTTAAAATGCTCTTTACGGGAAACTATAGGAATCCCCAGTTCTCTCAATACTCTGCTCTCAATCAACTCTAAAGATAATTCTCGTTAAGGAATGCTATTTTTTTAAGTTCTTTTTTGTCAGACATTTGATAGTGATGGAAAAAGTAAAGTCATAAATAACATTTTAGTTAAATGATTTACCAAGTAATATTTCACACCCTATATATAATTTACCCCAATTTTAAAATTTGAATTAGGCATCAACCAATTTGTTAACTAACATTGTATTTCTCCATTACCAATGAGAACATAGAAAAACTAAGATATTTAGCAAAATAAATATTTCAGGTTTTTAAGTGTGCACGATAGAAATAAGTGAAGGTAGAAATATTTTTCCACTCAACAGAATAATCTGATTGAATTGGGAAGCTACTCATATTTGTTACAATTTTAACATAATTTCCAAATTAATATAGTAATATAACCAACTACAATATGTCAGATGCAGCTCTACTCACTAAATATAATTCTGAGGTAAACACAATGCCCAGATGCTCAAACATTTTAGTAAAAAATATTAATCAATTATTAAAATAAATGTAAAATTATTGAAGTACTGTTAATAATAGTCCATCTTAGCTCACTAATAAGTTTATGTCAATACTAAACATTTGAGTAGCTTTTTGAAAAAGATATATTCTGTTACAATATTTCACTATATTTTGGTCTAGCCTCTTATTTCCAAGTATTCAGCTCTTAAATTCTTAATTTTTATATAAATGTCTACTGCCTCAGTGATATGGTTTGGATCTGTGTTCCCAACCAAATCTCATGTCAATTGTAATCCCTAATGTTGGAGTTGGGCCCTGGTGGGAGGTGATTGTATCATGGGAGTGGATCCTTCATAAATGGTTTAGCACCATTCCTCTGGTGCTGTTCTCATGATAGAGTTCTCATGAGATCTGGTTTCTTAAAAATGTGTGGCACCACATCACACTTATTCTAAAATTGACCGCATAATTGGAAGTAAAACACTCCTTAGTAAATGCAAAAGAATGGGAATCATAACAAACAGTCTCTCAGATCACAGTGCAATCAAATTAGAACTCAGGATTAAGAACCTCACACAAAACTGCACAACAACATGAAAACTGAACAACCTGCTTCTGAATGACTACTGGGTAAATAATGAAATTAAGGCAGAAATAAATAAGTTCTTTAAAACCAAAGAGAACAAAGACACAATGTGCCAGAATCTCTGGGACACAGCTAAAGCGGTGTTTAGAGGTAAATTTATAGCACTAAATGCCCACAAGAGAAAGTAAGAAAGATCTAAAATAGACACCCTAACATCACAATTAAAAGAACTAGAGAAGCAAGAGCATAAGCTAGCAGAAGTCAAGAAATAACTAAGATCAGAGCAGAACTGAACGAGATAGAGACATGAAAAACCTTTCAAAAGCTCAATGAATCCAGGAGCTGGTGTTTTGAAAAGATTAACAAACTAGATAAACCACTAGCTAGACTAATGAAGAAGAAAAGAGAGAAGAATCAAATAGACACAATAAAAAATGGTAAAGGGGATATCACCACTGATCCCAAAGGAATAAATCTACCATCAGAGAATACTATAAACACCTCTATGCAAATAAACTACAAAATCTAGAAGACATGAATAAATTCCTGGACACATACACCCTCGCAAGACTAAATCAGGAAGAAATCAAATCCCTGAATAGGCCACTAACAAGTTCTGAAATTGAGGCAGTAATTAGTAGCCTAACAACCCAAAAAAGCCCCAGACCAGATGGATTCACAGCCAAATTCTACCAGATGTACAAAGAGGAGCTGGTACGATTCCTTCTGAAACTATTCCAAACTATAGAAAAAGAGGGACTCCTTCCTAACTTATTTTATGAGGCCAGTATCATCCTGATACCGATACCTGGCAAAGACACAACAAAAAAATAAAATTTCAGGACAATATCCCTGATGAACATCGATGCAAAAAATCCTCAATAAAATACTGGCAAACCGAATCCAGCAGCATATCAAAATGCTTATCCACCACTATCAAGTCAGCTTCATCCCTGGGATGCAAGGTTGGTTCAACATATGCAAATCAATAAATGTAATCCATCACATAAACAGAACCAATGACAAAAACCACATGATTATCTCAATAGATGCAGAAAAAGCCTTCGATAAAATTTGACACAGCTTTATGCTAAAAACTCTCAATAAACTAGGTATTAATGGAACGTATCTCAAAATAATAAGAGCTATTTATGACAGACCCACGGCCAATATCATACTGAATGGGCAAAAACTGGAAGCATTCCCTTTGAAAACTGGCACAAGACAAGGATGCCCTCTCTCACCACTTCTATTCAACATAGTATTGGAAGTTCTGGCTAAGGCAATCAGGCAAGAGAAAGAAATAAAGGGTATTCAAATAGGAAGAGAGGAAGTCAAACTATCTGTTTGCAGATGACATAATTGTATATTTAGAAAACCCCATCATCTCAGCCCAAAATCTCCTTAAGCTGATAAGCAACTTCAGCAAAGTCTCAGGATACAAAATCAAATGTGCAAAAATTGCAAGCATTGCTATACACCAGTAACAGACAACAGAGAGCCAAATCATGAGTGAACTCCCACTCACAATTGCTACAAAAAGAATAAAATACCTAGTAATAAAACTTATAAGGGATGTGAAGGACCTCTTCAAGGAGAGCTACAAACCACTGCTCAAAGAAATAAGAGAGGACACAAATAAATGGAAAAACATTCCATGCTCATGGATAGGAAGAATCAATATTGTGAAAATGGCCATTGTGCCCAAAGTAATTTATAGATTCAATGCTATCCCCATCAAGCTACCATTGACTTTCTACACAGAATTAGAAAAAACTACTTTAAATTTCATATGGAACCAAAAAAGAGCCCATATAGCTAAGACAATCATAAGCAAAAAAAAACAAAGCTGGAGGCATCACGCTACCTGACTTCAAACTACAAGGCTACGGTAACCAAAACAGCATGGTGCGGTACTGGTACCAAAACAGAGATATAGACCAATGGAACAGAACAGAGGTCTCAGAAATAATGCCACACATCTACAACCATCTGATCTTTGACAAACCTGACAAAAATAAGCAATGGGGAAAGGATTCCCTACTTAATAAACGGTGTTTCGAAAACTGGCTAGGCCATATGCGGAAAACTGAAACTGGACCCCTTCCTTACACCTTGTATGAAAATTAACTCAAGATGGATTCAAGACTTAAATGTAAGACCTAAAATCATAAAAACCCTACAAGAAAACCTAGGCAATAGCATTCAGGACATAGGCATGGGCAAAGACTTCATGACTAAACACCAAAAGCAATGGCAACAAAAGCCAAAATTGACAAATGGCATCTAATTAAACTAAAGAGCTTCTGCACAGCAAAAGAAACTATCATCAGAGTGAACAGGCAACCTACAGAATGGGAGAAAATTTTTGCAATCTATCCATCTGACAAAGGTCTAATATCCAGAATCTACAAAGAAAATAAGCAAATTTACAAGAAAAACAAACAACCCCATCAAAAAGTGGGCAAAGGATATGAACAGACCCTTCTCAAAAGAAGACATTTATGAGGCCAACAAACATATGAAAAAAAGCTCATCATCACAGGTCATTAGAGAAATGCAAATCAAAACCACAATGAGATACCATCTCACAACAGTTAGAATGGCGATCATTAAAAAGTCGGGAAACAACGGATGCTTGAGAGGATGTGGAGAAATATACTTTTACACTGTTGGTGGGAGTGTAAGTTAGTTTAACCATTGTAGAAGACAGTGTGGTGGTTCCTCAAGGATCTAGAACCAGAAAAAGCATTTGACTCAGCAATCCCATTACTGGGTATATACTCAAAGTATTATAAATTATTCTACTATAAAGACACATGCACACATGTGTTTATTGCAGCACTGTTCACAAAAGCAAAGACTTGGAACCAACCTAAATGCCCATCAGTGCTAGACTGGATAAAGAAAATGTGGCACATATAACACTATGGAATACTATGCAGCCATAAAAAGGATGAGTTCATGTCCTTTGCAGGGACACGGATGAAGCTGGAAACCATCATTCTCAGCAAACTAACACAGGAGCAGAAAAGCAAACACCGCTTGTTCTCACTCATAAGTGGGAGTTGAACAGTGAGAACACATGGACACAGGGAGGGTGACATCAGACACTGGGGACTGTTAGGGGGTGGGGGGCTTGGGGAGGGATAGCATGAGGAGAAATACCTAATGTAGGTGACGGGTTGATGGGTTCAGCAAACCACCATGGTACGTGTATACCTATGTAACAAACCTGCACGCTCTGCACATGTATCCCAAAACTTAAACTATAATAAAAAAAGAAAAAAAAAAAAGAAAAAATTTTTTAAAAAGTTTGTTGCACCTCCGTCCTCTCTCTCTCCTTCCTGCTCCAGCTAAGTGAAGTGCTGCTTCCTTTTTGCCTTCTGCCATGATTGTAAGTTTTTTGAGGCCTCCCCAGAAGAAGAAGCCTCTATGCCATCCGTACAGCCTGCAGAAACTGAACCTCTTTTCTTTATAAATTACCCAGTCTCAGGTATTTCTTCATAGCAAGCAAGAACAGACTAATACACTCAGTTTATACTAACAAGCTATGCTCTAAAGGGAAACTGATATTGGAGAGGTAGTCATATACCTAATTGATGCTTCACAATTTTGCATATGTAAAAACAGATATAAACTTTCTAGATATTTTATAAAAAACATCAGACTTAACAGATAATCAAAATACTACATTAATTCATTTATATAAGGGGACATACACTATAGATATTAACATATATTCTAAATGTACAATATCTTGAATCACCAAATTGATGCCAGAGTGAGAAACAGTATAATCTGATTTTCTTTTTTGATTTCCAGCATTAGACTCAAAGTGTTAAGAAAGTAATATAGATCATAAGGGTTGGATTGCAAAGAGTAGATGACAGTGTTGCTAATTTTTATAAAGTATTTTGGCTTTTGCCCATTTTATTTTACTATTACATCTCTAGCTCATTGGGTATAATTGTGATCCTTTGCAAATCTAAATTATTAACTAAGAGAATAGGTATGAGACAGTCAAAAGGAATATAGTGAGACAAATAACTGTAGAAAGGTATTTCATTTCAGATAAAAAATGAAATCATGTGTCTCAGTGACATTTAATTAATAGAAGACATCAAAATTCTGTCTTGGTAATTTTCCATTATATATGATTATCAACATAATTCATTACAAATATACTTTTTTCTTTCTGCTTTTCCTTCCACACAAAGCTTTTATATATCAGCTATTTTATTATAATCAGTGAATTCACCATAAAATAGAAAAATATTCTTATTTCAAAACTGAGGTTCAACAAGGTAAAGTGAGTTTATTCATGTTATTAGAAAAGTTGAGGTAAAATACGTATGTCTTACCCTTCATTTCAATCTTCTTCCTAATTAAGGTAATTACTTACTTCCTAAGTAAGGTAGTAACACGTTACTACCTAATATTTCTTAGCCATCTTTCGAACTCCACCTCATCTGCCTTTTAAGATTTAATGTAAGGGTCCACTTCTTTGGGAAGACTTTTCTGACCCTCTACCATGATCATCCTCAGGCTTGCTTTCTCCTTCCTCTGTTCTCTGCTAGCACTTGTAACAAATCTCTGTAATCCTATTTACTCCATTGTACCATGTGGTCCCCAAAAAGTAGGATATGAACTACTTGGGAGAAGACGTCATGTCTTACTTATTTGACATAGTTCCCCCAACTCTCAGCAGCCTTAAATTCACATGGTCTAAAAGACACTGAACAAATATTAAAGGAATTAAATTGATGTTATTTTAATTTTTAAGAATATTTTGATAGTTAAAACAGGAACCACAGTGGAAAGAAGACTGGGTGCAATGCCTGCACACTTTTCCTCACATGTAAAACAAGCAAGGTATTGATCACCATCACTTTTAAATCTTGCTTATGAGAATAAATAATTCTAGGAATTTCTTCCTCAGAACCATGGTATACCCAAAAGTGATTTTTCAATGCCAGAAATGCTAATTTACCAAGGCTATATCATCAATTGTTGAAGCACTTCTGTTAGGAGTGATGTCACTGCATGGCAAGTTGGCAATTATTTGAGGAGTTATTTCAATAACTGCACAGCTCTTTGTCTGATTAATGAAACTGCCAAGGGATTAATAACTCCAGTTACAGAAATGTATCATTGGAGATTTGCTGAATGGTGTGTCGTAAATTCCAGACACCTGAGAAATTACGACAGAATTTGATTAGAATGGCTACTTTCATCTCCCGTTTTTCACTAAATTCACTCCTCATTATCTACTGCTAGCACTGCCTGTTCTAAGAAAGAAGAAGGTAACTTAGTAACAAAATACTCTGCTTGCTAAAGCTATTATTTCTTTCATTGTCTGCACTATCTAAATTTTCTTGTGGACAATATTTAAACATGCCAGAGCAGATTCAGGAGAAATAATATCAGAGGAGAAAGTTTCTGTGGAGTCTATAATGTTTCTTTTGATGAGGGTCAGATCCAAAAATATTGAGAAACAAAGCAATAACACTCAGCAAAATATAAGTTATGGGCCAAATATTTTATGCATTGTTAGGAGGAAGCTTCAGGCAGAATGTAAATAGATACATGGAGCAGGAATTATTGTCCCATAACTCAAAGCTCAAGATATCCAGATATGATTACAAAAGTACAAACATCTTTGTTGCTTCTCTTAAGGAAGAATATGTTACATTTTAAGATGAGTGTTAAAAAGCACTACTTATTGTCTTCAAATATTTTCATTAATAAAATGAAATAAATGATTGAAAACAAACACAAATTAACAAGTCTTAAATTACATATATACTATATTACATATACATTTATTAGTATAAACTAGTATTTATCTCAAGAGATTATCAATTTGAAATAAGCTTGTCTCCTAAAATGTGAAAATTTATTTTGGGAAAAATAAAAGATTGTTGAGGCTCTTAATTACCAATAAATTGTTCGTGGAAAAAAATGCAATATTAGGAATCCAAAGATAACCAGGCTTTACAATGTGGTCTCCTTGATACTAACCAAATAAAAACAAACCCCTCTCATATTTGTACTTCCACATTTACTGCAGCCCTAGTCACAATAGCTGAAACTTGGAATCAACATAAGTGCCCATCAATAGATGATTAGATTAAATATGTGGTATACATACACAATAGAATATTGTAAAGCTATAGAAACATGTGATACACATACACAATCTAATACTGTGAAGCTATAAATGAAATCCTGTAATTTGCAGCAACGTGGATGGAACAGAAGGTGATTATGCTAAGTGAAATAAGCCAGGCACAGAAAGACAAATAGTGCACATTCTCACTCATATGTAGAAGCTTGAAAAAGTGGATTTTATGAGGATAGAGAATAGACTTGTTGTTACCAGAGGCCAGGAAGTGTAGGAGGGAGCAATAAAAGAATTACTGGGTACAAAAATACACTTAGATAAAAGAAATAAGACCTAGTGTTCAATATAGTAAATAACAGCCTCTTGTATATTTGGAAAAAAGGCCAGAAGAGAATAATTTGAATCTTCCCAGTCTAAAAAAAAACATAAATTTTATGGTGACCAGTATTTTAATTACCCTAATTTTATCATTATACCTTATATGAATGTATCAATATATCACATGTACCCCCAAAATATGTACATCTATTATGCATCAATTTTTAAAAATTCTCTCAAAAACTGAGTCAGTACAAAGAAATAAACATAGAATGAATATCAGTTTATAACAATAGAAGCAGATTATTCAAAGACTCTAAACTGTTTCTTCATATTTAAATTAGACAACAATAGAAGTAGGTCTCAGAGACAAATTGATTTTCCTTCTTTCAACTTATACCTTATATCATGTCTCTAAGAATTATGACCTAAGCCAGCATGCACATTTCAGTGAGTATCAGAGAAAGCCCTGACCAATACAGTAGGGAAATATACCAGGAGAGAGATGGCCCATTCACAATAATGAGCACCAGCCCAAGACTTCCACCAAACCTCCTGCAGTAATAGCCAAAACAGTGTTTATCTTATGCCTGGCACTCTTCTACCCACTTTACATGTATCAGTCCGTCTGTTCTCACAACAGTCCAACAGTCCTATGAGTCCAAGACTAATAGTATCCCATTTTACAGCTGAGGAAACTGAGCAACAGATTGAACAGTTAATACATGATGGAGCAGGGACTTATAGTCTGGCAATCTGGCTTCAGAGTCTGTACTCTTTCCTTCTCTGGTACACAGATGTCAACAGCATCATTCTTCAGATAACCTGTGCAGAAGCTACTCAATAATATAACTCAGTTAAATTTCCTCCAACATGCATTTCATTCATCATAGTTACAGGTACTCACATCTCCTTGATGTCTGGCCACTTAATTTTACTTTCTATTTCTTTACCTCCTACCTCTTCCTTTCCCCACATTTTCAGGTTCGCATTTTTTTAAATGTTACTTTTTTAAGACACAAGGATTTCAACATTATTTAAAGAAAGAAGAAACTATTCCATCATCGAAATCTGTGGGGCTCAGCAGGACAGCTAGAACAATATCCTTTCGCCACACCCTTAGTCTGGAATAGGCATTAGTTATTTGAGAAATCAGCCAGGATTCTTGCCTTTTAATATTTTGTGAATGAAAAAAGGAAAACATAGAATTCAAAAAAGTGTTGGCGATTTCCATCCCTGTACAAAATCTCAAATGAGTATACACTGAAATTTCAAGGGAGCAACAAATACAAATTATCTTTTCCCATTTTATGAAGGAGTCTTCTGAGTGTTACATTCAGCCATCACCACCAGTCAAAATACAGGAAAATCAAATTAGCAAAACTGATTTGTTATTAATTTTAGCTAAAATGTAATTTATAGTCCCTTAACATGGCTAATAAAGTGAATAGGAAGGAGAAATAGAGAAAAAAACAGCATGTGATGTAGTCATATTATATAATCTCAGTGTGAAATACAGAGATTTCCCTTCCCTCCCCGACCCCTATTCTGGAAGGCCAGTAAATAGGACACATTTCCCTTCTTCTATATCTGAAGCCTGAAAAGAAAGCTTAAGAGAGATGGGAAAAATGATGAGTCCTTCTATTGTAAATGTGACAGAACCTCTCTAATGAAATTCTGAGTATAAACAAGGTAACTTGAGCCTCCAAACTGAGGTTGGAGAAAACATATAGATTTCCAAAAAGCCTTAGCATTTTCAGAAACAAAACTCATAAAGTTTCAAAACTCCGTGAGAATGCAATTCTCAGCAGGAATACTAGGTCAGAATCAGGGGATGGAAATGAAAGAACTAAGTGAAATATAAAGCCAACTTGCCCAGCAGGCCTCACCAGCCATTGAATAAAATGAGTTTTAGAAAAACCGAACAGGGGTAGTAAAATACCTCATATAATTGTCACTGCAGCTATAATGCCTTGTAGCCAAAGACCTAACCTTGCATAGCTCATAATGCATGGTGTAAGATATTTATATGTGCATTTTCAGGGCCTAGTGCTTCCTTGAAGGTTGTGATACTAAATGAAGCAAGAACACTCCCTAAAGAGGGAAGGATCTTACCCTTTCTGTCATTCCTGAAGTTGTATCAGATGGCCTTGATAGCCTAAAACAAACCTGAAACAAGTAATGTCAATTATCAAGGTTCATTTAATTACAGGGATTTTTCACCCTCCTCAAAGGTAAATGGTAGTTAATAATTCTGTCTTGATGTGTATACCAAGTTCATTCTAGCATCTAATGTTCTGGAGCAAATGTGTGTGTAGGTGTGTGCATGCACACCGGTGTGTTTCTGAGAGTTTGTGTACATTTATACATTCAATGTTTTACAAGGTTCATTACAGGATTTATAAAGTCTACAATGGTAACGTTGATTACTTTGAATTACCATACAGGAGAGGCCCTTGCATTCTCTAAGCTGAGCTTTATTGGGCAAATTTTTGCTCTATATTCTTATATGCAATAAAATGTTACTTATTTTTATTTTTGTTGGAGCTATTCCTAATCAGGACACCAAGTTTGAGAAAAGGAACATCTACATAGTCCATGTTCAGAAGTTTATTTTATTTTATTTTATTTTATTTTATTTTATTTTATTTTATTTAAGACAGAGTCTCACTCTGTCTTAAAACATGGAAAGGCCTGATCTCGGCTCACTGCAACCTCCGCTTCCTGAGTTCAAGCAATTGTCCTGCTTCAGCCTCCCAAGCAGCTGGGATTACAGGCATGTGCCACCATGCCTGGCTAATTTTTGTATTTTTCATAGAGATGTGGTTTCACCACGTTGTCCAGGCTGGTCTCGAACTCCTGAACTTGTGATCTGCCCGGCTTGGCCTCACAAAGTGCTGGGATTACAGACATGAGCCACTGTACCCGGCCCAGAAGTTTATCTTAACAGAGCCATTTAAAGTAATTTTTATTATTATAACACTTAAGAAAGTCCTTGAATGCTGAAAGGGCCATGTGTTTTTCATGTTATGAGGTCCATGACTGTAACATTTATTATGCTTTTAGAATGTCCTGTCACATCATTAAATTACATCTAAAGGTTTTACAAGACTAGAAATTATTTACATCAGGCTTTAACAGAATCTTCTCAGGGAAAGACAAGAGGTGACATAATAAACTGTCTTCAATATGAGAGATAGGCAACCTCTCCTATAAGAACTTCAAATGACTCTTTTAAAAATGAACCCCTGTAAAAGAAATTTCTGTCCCTTCTTTTCGGCAGGTCTTGGGTTTTTAAGTCATTTCTTGCTTCATGTTCCCTTCCCTTTGATTACTTCTACAAGGAATTCAAATGTAATACTGGGAGCCTACTCACTTAGATGACCTGAAGAGCAACTGAGTGTCTCTTTTCTAGAATACAGATATTAATGCTGGAAATACAAAGCGTTATATTAGGGTCTATTTTGTGGAAAGTCAACTTGTATCAGCCTACCTTCCATTTTAAAATAAAGCAAAAAAAAAATCACTCATAGGTGGGAATTGAACAATGAGAACACATGGACACAGGAAGGGGAACATCACACACCAGGCCTGTTGTGAGGTGGGGGGAGGGGGAGGGATAGCATTTGGAGATATACCTAATGTTAAATGACGAGTTAATGGGTGCAGCACACCAACATGGCACATGTATACATATGTAACAAACCTTCACATTGTGCACATGTACCTAAAACTTAAATTATAATTTAAAAAAAAGAAAAAAACGCTTCCAAACGTACTATTGTTCTTTCCTTTGATTCAAGTACCCTTCATGGTTTCTGCATGGATGCAGCTCAGTTTTATCTGTTGAATCTCAGATTAAATACTAATTTCTCAAAGAGGCCGTACAAGGCCCCTGAACTAAAGTAGTGTTTATTTCCCCCATTATTCCCCAACCCAATTCATTCCTTACATTTTTATTGCATCTGCATCTGCATGAATTACACATTAGGTAATTGAAAGTACTCACAAGAGTCTGCAGGATATACTAATAAAGGCTTTAATAAAGGTAAACTGTGTAGTACAAAGGGATTAAAAAAGCATAGGTAAACATCAAAGGGATTTGACGTGTCCGGGTGCAGTTTCCTGGACCCTTCCCCAGTTTCTCTGGATGCTCTTGTCTTCAGATTACAAATCAACAGGATCCATGCCAGACCCCTCTGTGTCAAGGCACAAGATCACTGGGGAGTCTTTTATTCTTTACTGGTCACATAGCTAAAACCAGGCATTTTAACTAGGTAAGCCAGGTACAAACTATCAATCTATTAAATTTTACTAAACAGTGTAGACAAGATGTTATAGGGTGCCTCCAGAGGAGACTCACACTTAACATAGCACACCATAAATCACTGTTTAGTACACTTACTCCCTATGCTGGCCAAGGGATTCCTATCCTGACCAGACTTCTAGCCCTCCCTGGAGATAAGAATAGAGGTACTACAAATCAGCTGCAAATTAGTCCATCTTTACCTAACATCAGCCTTTAATTGTTTTACTTTTGCATCTATTTATATTATTTATTATCCATTATTTGTAGGACCTGGGGCCAGAAAACAAATAGAGGCCCCAAGTAAACTGTCTGACTCATTCTTTTACTACCTCTAAATATTCCAGCACTAGAGGGAAATTCCAGTGCAGATCTCTGGCCTGTGAATACACTCAGGCATAAGAATGTGAATAGCATTGGGGCTGCAATGTCAGAGGATTGATCCAGGGAACAAGTAGGTTTAGGGTCATTTGAGCAGGGAACACTGGGGTCCCAGATATCCAAAGCATGATATTGAAATTGTTAACTTCATATACTTGGTCCTGCAATTTCTTCACCCCATGAGGAGGGGCAGAACCCAAGGAGACCCTGGATGTAGCCCTGAAAAACACAAGGATTAAGGTAGGGGCTCAGGCACTCAGGTGCCTTAACAGTACCGTCTCTCTTCTATTATTATCTCTCCAATATTAGCAGCCTCCATGACAACAGGGACTATGATAATTTTCTGTACTATTATGAGCCCAGTTTTCAACATAGTGCATAGTGGGCACCCAATCAGTGTTGAATGGATATATGGGTTAAAGAAAAACGAATGAATGGATGACAGAAGCAAAACAATTTCTGAGAATATAAATCTATATTGGAAATGTCATTTTCAGATGTGACATTGGAATATAGAACATGGTAAGGAATAAGAAGATTATAGATTAACATATAGACTCCGTTCTTATGAACAAACTGCTACTATTAATAGAGCTATTTATGTTCAAAGATTAAAATAGGGATTCACATCAGCTATATAACTTAAGCTGGTTGTATAATTTATCTCAGTGACAAAACTAATGAATTAGTGATATAAATGGAATATTAGATATACAAGTTAAAATTTCACTGCATGTTTTATTTAAACATGTGCAAATAAATGTTTAAAATGTGGTCCTAAATCAGACTGTAAATAAAAATATAAAGCGTAGCAGTCTGTAGGACTAAGGAGGGAAGGTGATTAAATGACCATGGGTATTCATCTTGCATGGAAAAGAGGGGAAGCTTGAAATGAGAAGGACAGAGAAAGGCTAACTAAAGGAGAAGTAGAAAGAAACATTTTATCATAGTCTGGTGTCACCACCATCAATATTTATTGTGCTTGGCTACTCTGTACTTTGCATTAAAGTAGGTGCTATGAGTAACTGTTCTATCAACACTGGTGTTGCTGAATCATCTGAAACTGAATTGGGCCCAGGTAACAGAGAATTTGGTTGTCCTAAAAAGTTATTTTAGCTGTTTATAATGAACTGAGAAAAGCGAACACTTCCAGACTAGATGCTGTTGCAAAGCCAAAATCTGTTTGCAACAATAATTCAGACATTTCAGGTTAAAAAAATTTAGTAAATATTGTTCCTCTGTATTTTGTCTATGTCCATCTCCCTCCCACATTTTATTCTCATGAGGAATTGGTTGTTACCTTTTAAAATCGTATCAGTGAATGAAATTTCAACAACCCCAAATTAAGCTTTCTCTACTGACATCTTTCTTCCATATTTGTTTATCCTTATCTATCGCAACTTTGTTTTGTGTCTCAGTCCAACTCCCATTTTTGCTATTCCTTAGATATTTTGCATTCACCTACAGAAAAGGGGAAAAAAGATTCCCTGAAGATATTCATTAGATCTTTATTCATTTTTCAAGTGTTCAACATAAATGTTTTATTCTATTTCAAATTGTAAATGTCAAGAGCCTGATACACTATCCCTAGTGAAATATAATCAAAGATTTTTTGTTTGTTTCTTTTCTTTTCTTCTCTTTCCTCTATGTGGCTTTCTTGATTTAGCTCTTTTGCATGAAGGATTCACACCTATACACTGCCCATCCAGTTCCTCAAGTTTCAGCTCACACATTCCTCTCAACACAAAACTCGTTTTCCTCTTTTACTGCCTTTTACCACACTTACTGTTCATATTTTATTTGTCCATTGAACTTTGATTACCAAGTGACTTCCCTTTTACTTTTGAATTATGTTTTTTCTTCATTATTGTTCCCATGTGCATTATTGCATTATTTATCTTTCTGTATTATAAATGTAGTTTCACTAATCGGATCATTAGCTACATTTTGTCAGAAACCTTACCTCCTACTTCTTATTCCTGCATAATGCAGAAAAAGCTGTAAACACAGTAGCAAATCAGAAGTTCTAAATTTTGACATTTCAGTTACCCACACATTTGGATAATGTTTTATATTTTGAAACCTGATTATACATAGTCGAGTTTACTAAATCCCATAACAACCCTTTAGATAATCAGTCACATATTAAGGGTGACAGAAAAGAATTCTAGAAAGACTGTGTTACACAATAAGGGAAAGGACAAGAAGCAAACCAAAGTCATAAGACTCCAAGGACAGGGACCTTTCTACACTGTTAGAGAAAACACAGAAACTACATGTTCTGATATTAGGGTTGAACATGTAAATACCAACACTGCAGTAATGATGTTTAGCCAGCAATTCACAGATGAGCACCCTGTGAGCAGATGAAAATAGCATAGCTAGAGACGGGGCAGCATCTGTGTCATTATTACATACTCACTTTGCAAGGTACACTGCATCTGTGCTGGCTTTAAGGTGGTTTTATTAATACACTAGGTGATAGATATATAAAGCATAAAATTCATAAAATGCAAAAAAAAAGAAAAGTCACACCAGTGGAAAAAAACCGAAAACCTCTATGTACACGGTTTATATATCCACCCAAATGTTTACTTATTCTCTTCTATGCATCTCCTCTAAATAGCTATGAAGATGGATATGCTTATTACAAGAAAGACTGTAGGTATATTTGGATATGGGAAAGTACAGTGGCCACATAAAAACTGCATGATTTATAAAAATAGAAAACTTATTTTTCACCGATGCATGTTGTAGGATTGAATGGTCATCACTGTTTTCTCTCTCCTTGATAGAGGCTGGTGCTGCTCTCCTCATTTAACAGATAATAAAATTACGATGTCTCAGGTGATAAACAAAACTAATGGCACAAGTAGAAAGGAGTTTGGACCATTTAACTGCCAGTTGACCAATTTTACTATAAAATAAAATTCCACTTTGGAGGATAGCATCCTGACTCAAAAGCATTTGTATGAGTTGATATCTCTCTTTTATGCAAGTATGATTGGTGTCAGGTCAAGCAAATAAACAGTCAAAACATACTGTTGTTTCTTCTGACTTTATTGAAAAAAGTTATTTTGCTAATAAAGATTTTCTTATTTTTCCATAATTCCAAGGTTATGCACTTGAATAAAGGAAATGCATTTGTTTGATTGCCCTTAAAATATTCAAGGTTTAAACCCTCTCGTGGAAAACACTTGCCATTTGAATCTACAGACAGTTCTCTTTAAAGATGTCCTTGATTAAAGATAACACATAATGATAAATGGATGTTAAGTTTCTGGTGAATGTTTCATTGACTTTGTATTGCTATTACGTTAATGCCAGCAATCATGTTAAGGTTCTGCCTGATTATCCATCAAAATGCTGTATACCACTTCTTCATTGCTAAGGCCCCAGAACCATTCTTTACTAGGTTCATTACATCCTTTTCTATTCCTTGTTTGGCTTATCTCTAAGTTTTAAACTTGTTTATTGTATACGTCTCCTAGTACATCCATTTGCTTGTTTTATTCTATAAATTTCTATCATCCAATTGACTCTAGCTTCATATCCCTATACTCTATTTCTCATTCTGCCTTTGGTGTCATGTAAATGCTACTTATAAAAATCAAAGCAGAGGTTCAATGTCTTAGCAGAACTAAGCTCGTAAAGCTCTGGTATGCTCACTAGATAAATTTTAAGTTGAGACACATACATAAAATTAAGTTAAGGCACATACGTAAAATTAATAATATACAGAAAAGCAAGCAAAGAAAAAACCAAATACACGAGTGATTAAATTAAAACTGGTAATATATTTGGTAAATGGTATGTCATATATATATATATATATATATATATATATATATATACACACAGACACACATATATTCATATTTCTTTACATATATCTATATATCTTTAAATCTATGTAGACAGCATACTTTTGCTATAGTTTTATTTTCTTTCGTACCTAGGAATTTTCATATATAACATTATGTACACTATTTTGAATTTTCTTTTTTATTTGGCTATTTATCACAAACATTATTCCATTTCAATAAGCATTGGCAATGTCATATATGCCATCGTCTTACTGGCCTCTTTTTAATTCCTCAAACATCCCAGGCATATCTATTCTCAGACATTTGAACTTGCTGTTTCCTCAGCCTTTGCTTCTATTTCCCACAAATAGTATCATCCCTTGGTCTCTTGCTTCATTCAGTTCTCTCGCAAATGTTGCCCTTCAGAGAGGCCTTCCTGGAGAACCTGGTATGCTATCCATTCTTACTGCATCCTTTATCACAACAACTGTATACTCCCTGACATTATATATTATTTATATCATGTAATAAATTTCTATTGCTTTATTTTTTATCTCCCCACCAGAATGTAGGCTATACAAAGGCACGGGATTTGCATGTTTTGTTTACTACTCTCTCCTCAATGTTTAAAAAGTTTATAGCACATGCTAGAAAATCAATTTTAAAAGTCAATGGTTGCATGAATATTATCCCAATGCACGACTCCAATAATAATTCATATTAATAATCCGATAATTTAGTTTTTTGTAAAACTTCCCAGATTGTCTTCTAATGGAAGGTGGAATAAATTCCAACATCAAATCCAATTAGCAGCCAATCTCCCCACCTTAACAGTGCTCATCTATGATGGTAATTAAAAAGGGTAAGCACATCTATCCCAGTGAAATTTCAGGAGGTTTTCATTTTGTAGTTACCTAGTTTATTGTTCCTAGATAACTTCCTAGAGGGTAGACTGTAAATTTATCTCTCAACTACAATGATAGTTGTAGTTATTTTTTGTTGGTTGCTAGGCTCAATTCCAGTCTTCATATACGTGTTTTATTATGTGTTATTCTTCCAATATTTTGCAAGGACCTTAAAGACAGGTATTATGGGATTTTAAAAAATGTCCTTACATGTTTTTGTTGATTTTTTTTCTAAAAATCTCATAAGGTAATATAAAATCCTCAACAATTATTTAGTCATTTATTTGTTGCTTGCTAATTACCCCAGCTGTGGATTCTAATGACCAAGTAAGCACAAAAACAACAGAAGTTAGAAGATAGGGTATTTCAGCGGAGGACTTCAGGGAAGTTTATGTTGATTAGTAACAATTATCTTGCTAATATATATTTCTTCTTATGCTGAACTATGTTATTCGACTCAGCAGAAAATTTTTATCTATTATTCATAATAATGTGCATTAACAAATTTTTATCCCTTTAGGCATGAGGCAGGATTCTTGTAACTACAAACATGAGGAGTGAGGCTGTATGTTACTCACTAAGTTTCTGGAGGCAAACTCATTGGGTTCAGAGTCCACATTTCTGTATGACTATTATTCAGAAATAATAATCTTATTGATTTATGACCTTGAACAACCTAACCAAACACTAGTCTATGTCAGTTTCCTCATCTATAAAATGAGAGTATTTACATTTCTTATAGGATTGTTAAGAAGACTTAAAATGAATAAAGTATTTATAATAAAATGATTTGGAATAAAGTGCTTAGGATACAAGTACTTAGAACTAAGTACTTAGGATAAAATATATAAAATACTATGCTTGAAATAGTGTTTGCTATTATATGTTAAAAAGTAAATGTCAGTGATTATTTAAGTTGACAGGAAACATGTTTGCATTCTCAAAATAAGTTTAACAGTAACAAATGTTATTTGCAATATGTATATAGATTTTTTAAATGAGGACTTCGAGAATATCTGTGAATCATCCCACCATTATTGTATCTCATTTATGAAACAGAATCAGTGAAAAGCCCAGAGAAAAAGAAGGTGAATCCATGTAAAAGCTGAAAGAAAAAAGGGAGAGAAATATAGTAAGAACCAAGTGAATAGGGGCTAGATAAATAAAATCTTACAGAGGGAGGGTTAGGCTATTTGGCAAAAAGAAGCTTAAGAGAGTGTTGAAGAGAAACTAGGTAAAGATAACTGGGAAAATGAACCATGAAATTCAGGAGGTATTGCTAGAATTCTGATTTAGATTCCTTTTAACATACTTCAGGAGATAGGAGTAAATTATAAAAGTTGTTCTCACCCTACCTGTTGTTTTGCACAACACTCTAATCTAGGAAAAAACCAAGTAAGTCTAAAATATCAATAGAGTTTCCCTAAATTATTTATAATTGTTGAGCTGTCACTACATGCCATATAGGTGAGATAGTAGATAAGCAACAATGTGCGTGGACTGCAATAGCACTTCACGCCTTGCTCCAATCCAAGAGCGTAAAAAAACTAGATAATGGCAAGACATATTATAAAGCTACAGTAATCAAGATAATATGGTATTGGTAAAAAATAGACAGATCAATGGAACAGAAAAGAAAGCCCAGAAACATACCCATATAAATATTGTCAAATAATTTTTGACAAAGGAGCAAAGGCACTACAATATAGAGAAGACAGTCTTTTCAACACAGGTTGTTGGAACTACTGGACATCTACATGCATAGAAAATGAATATAGATACAGATTTTAGATCCATCACAAAAAAATTAAGTCAATATGGGTCATAAACCTAAATGTAAAATGCTAAACAATAAGACTCCTAGAAGATGACATAAAAGAAAATCTGTAGAACCACGGCTTTGTTAAGTACTTTTTGGATGCTACACCAAAGGCACCATACATGAAAGGAGTGATTGATAATCTGGATTTGATTAAAATTAAAAACATTTGTTCTGTAAATGGCATCATGAAAAGAATAAAAAGACAAGCTGCAGAGTGGGAAAAATAATTGCAAAACACATATCAGATAAGTGACTATTATCTAAAATATACAAAGAACTAGAGCTAGAAGAGGTCAGTTAATGTTGTTTAAGGAAAGAAGCTACCTCCATAACATAAAAGTACAAAGTGAAGTAGCAAGTGCTGATGGAGAAGCTACAGAAAGTTATTCAGAAGACCTAGCTAAGATCATTGACGGAAGTGGCAGCACTAAAAAACACATTTCCAATGTAGATGAAACAGCCTTATATTGGAAGAAGATACCATCTAGGACTTTCATATCCAGAAAGTCAATGCCTGCCTTCAAAGCTTCAAAGGAAAGGCTGACCCTCTTGTCAGGGTCTAATGCAGTGGTGATGCTAATTTGAAGCCAAAGCTTATTTGCCATTCTAAAAATTTTAGCGCCTTTAAGAATTATGCTGAATCTACTCTCCCTGTGCTCTCTAAGCCTGGATGACAGCACATCTGTTTACAGTGGTTTACTGAATATATTAAATCCATTGTTGAGACCTGCTCAGAAAAATAATATTTCTGCATCTCATCAACAATATACTTGGTTATCCAAGAGCTCTGATAGAGATGTACAAGGAGGTGAATGCTGTTTTCATGCCTGCTAACACAGCGTCCCTTCTGTAGCTCACAGATCAAGGAGTAATTTTTGATTTTCAAGTCTTATTATTTGAGAAAAAATTTGTAAGGCTATATAGCTGCCATAGATAGTGATTCCTCTGATGGATCTAGGCAAAGTAAGTTTAAAACCTCTGGAAAGAGTTTAGCATTCCACATGGCATTAAAAACATCCATGATTATAAGAGGAGGTCAAAATATCAACATTAACATATATTTGGAAGAAGTTTATTCCAACCCCTATGGATGACCTTGAAGGGTTCAAAAGTTCAGTGGAGGAAGTTATTGAAGATATGGTAGAAATAGCAAGAGATCTAGAATTAGAAGTGAAGCCTGAAGCTGTGACTAAATTGCTGCAATCTCATTATAAACTTGAACAGCTGAGGAGTTGCCTCATGAATGAGTAAAGAAAGTGGTTTCTTGAGATGGAAACTACTCCTGGAAAAGATGATGTGAACATTACTGAAACATCAATAAAAGATTTAGAATATTACATAAATTTGGTTATTAAAGCCTTGTCAGGATTTGAGAGGATTGTCTCCAATTTTGAAAGAAGTTCTATTGTGAGTAAAGTGCTATCAAATATCATTGCATGCTATAGAGAAATCCTTCATGAAGGGAACAGTCGATTGATGCAGGAAACTTCATTGTTCTCTTATTTTAAGAAATTGCCACAGTCATCCTAACCTTCAGCAACCACCACCCTGATCAGTCAGCAGCCATCAGCATGGAGCCAAAACTCTCCACCAGCAAAAGGATTATGACTCACTGAAGGCTCAGCTGATCATTAGCATTTTTTAGCAGTAAAATCTTTTTAATCAAGGTATACATTGTATTTTAGACATAGTGCTATTGAACATTTAATAGACTACAGTATAGTGTAAATATTACTTTTATATGCACTGGGAAAACATTGTTACTCGCTTTATTGCAATATTCACTTTATTGTGGGTGTTTTGGAATAGAAACAACAACAGAACCGAGGTATGCCTGTATTTATACTTTTGAATATAGAGTTCTTGCACATATTTAGCAAGATTTATTTCTGAGTATTTAAATAATTACTGTCTCAACAAATGAAGAAAAATTCCAAATTGGTTTAATAGTGAAAATTGTAAGCTAGTTCTGGGGATTCTCAAGGTGTGGACCCTGCTTCTTCTGAGGGCAGTCTGCCTCATAACATGCCAACATAACTTATTGTTGGCATATAAGCAGATTCCAGTCTCCTTCAGTCAAAAGACAGAAAAAGCAGAAGACCATGCCTGGTAGCCCAGTATTTAATTATAAGAGTAGCAGAGCTCAAGAGTAGGTTAAAATCTCAATGCAGCCAGGTCTGCTATGCTGAGATTAAAGCTATGATTAGTAAAGAAAAGTACTCTGGGATGTGAAATGGGGACATTTGGAATACACTTGAAAATATTGAAGCCCCAGAATCCCCTTAACTGTCTGGATGCACAGAAGTGGCATACTCCTTCTTTTGAGAGACTAGTGCTCCATTGTTGCTTGAAGTCAATGGAAAGTCCTCTGGCTTGTAAGACAAAATACCTGTTCTCATGATTTGTCCCCACCTGCCCTCCTGGTCACCAGATCTATAACCATTTCACAACAAAACTGAGCTAAGAAAATGTTGGCTTTCTAAGGGAAAGGGGGAAGGGCTTATACCTTATATGGAGCTGCAGGATCTAGCTTAAATTCACTGTCATGAACTAAGACATGTACAATTAAACTGGATACTGAGGGTGCTGGATCAAGGGAATGGAATGTAATGCATATTACAGCAAAGACTGCAAGAGACAGTGCTAATACTTTGCAAGGATAGCCCATAGGAAACTTGGAGCAAGAGATGGTCCACATTAAGTGACTTATAAATTCTGAAATTGTTATAGTAGATGGGGAAGAAAGAAAGAAGCAGACCAAAAAGTTGGGTTTGCAAAACTAGACAATATTATATAAAGCCAGAACATCCACAAACTGACAAAAATGGATACTTTTTATTAGAGAAATGAGAAATGTACTAATAGTGGGGAATAGTAGTTATTGAAAAGCTTAGTGGTAGCTCTCCTCCACAGGCCAGCAATCACAGCAGGCGATACCATTTCAGAATTAGGTTCATTGACAGCAAGGGTATGATGGAATAATTATAGAAGTCAGATGGCAGATCTTAATTCTAGAAACAAGATTTGTGAAATTAATATAAGTGGCAAAGTTAGAGTGGCAGACAAAGAGACATGTCTCCACCCAGATATGAAGATGGTTAATTAAAAAATTGTGTTAATAGGGACAAAATGCCTGGAGAGGCAATATGAGTATCAAACCATAGCAACTAAGACAAATCAAGGATGGATTATTAGAGGCCAAAGGAAGCCACCACAATAAAAGCCATAATCAACCTTCAATAAATTGTGGGTGAAGTATGAAATAGAGGTTGAGGTCTTGTTTTTCATATTAATTTCCCTGCCTAACTTTCCATTCTCATTTTTTCCCATTTTTTCTTTCCAGCACAAAGAATTGAAAATACTGTTATGCCTCCATTAAATTATGATGCCACCATTACAAAAAATCCATTGACCATATATGTATAGATCTATTTCTAGGTTTTCTATTCTGTTCCATTTATTTATATGTCTATTCTTATATTGCACTGTCCTGATTTTTGTAGTTTAAGTCTTGCAATGTTATAATTTTAAAATTTTTTTACTATTAAAAATTAATTTTAAAAATAAATTTTAGCATCATCAACAATTTTGACAAATAAATATTTTATCAGGTTTGCACTGACTCTATAACTCAATTGTCAAAACTGACATTTTGACATTTTGACAATACTTGATCTGCCAATCCACAAAAAATGGGACACATTTTACAAATTTCTCTCAAAAATGTCTTGTCATTTTCAGTACTCAAGTCTTATACTTTTAAAATTAAGTTTATTCTTAGGAACTTATTATTTGGGAGCTTTTGTAAGCAATATTTAATTTGGCAATTTAAGTTTTTAGTATAGAGAAATGTAATGGATTTTGTGTAATGCTCTTGGTTCTTGTGCCTTTTAAAAATTTCCTTACTAATTTTATTATTTGTTTTGGAGAGTTCTTAGGATATTCTACAAAGACCGTCATATCTTCTGCGAATAGAGACAATACTGATTTCTATTATTTCTATTCTTTTCCTAGGCTTATCGCATTAATTGGAGAATCCAGGACATTATCAAATAAAGGTAAGGAGAGTGAACAGCTTTGACTTGTTCCTCAGTCTCAGAAGGAAAGCGGTAAGTCTGATATTAGCTGTGGATATTTTGTAGACGTCCTTTATCAGGTTGAAAAAGTTCCCTCTATTACTGGTTTGTTGAAATTTTTATCGTGAATGAGTGTTTAATTTTATCAAATGCTTTTTCTATATATAGAGAGATGATTTATGTTTTTTCTTTCATAGTTTTTTAATACAGTGAATTATATTGATTAGTTTTAAAATGGATTTTTTATTATTTTAAAGTTCTAAACTACATTTATTGATATATCTTAAATTTATTTTATTATAAAATTTAACATTTCATTTAAATGTAAACTTGCATTTCTGGCCCTTTATTGGTCCTAATGCATTACGCTTTTTAGTATTGCTGGATTCAATAGTGCCATATTTTCAAATATTTTGTAACTGTTTTCATAAAAGATATTAATCTGCAATTATCTTTTCTCATAATATCTTTGTTAGATTTTGGTATCAGAATAATGCTGGCCTCATTGAATAATCTGGAAAGCCATCCCTCCTTTTCTTTCTTCCTTTTTTTTTTTTTTTTTTTAAATAAACGGCATCTCACTCTGTCACCTAGGCTGGAGTGCAGTGGCACGATCATGGCTTACTGCTGCCTAGACCTCCTGGGCTCAAGCAGTCCTCCCCCTCCAGCCTCCCAGGCAGCTGGGATTATAGGCATGTGCCACCATACCCAGCTAATTATATATATATATTCACACACACACATATATATACACATATTGGATCCTGTCTCCCTAGGAAACTGCATAGTAGAGACAAGGTATCACTATGTTTCCCAGGCTGGTCCGAAACTCCTGGGCTCAAATGATCCTCCTGCCTCAGCCTCCCAAAGTGCTGGGAATACAGGCTTGAGTCACAGCACACAGACTATCACTCCTTTTCTACTTTCTGAAAGTGTTTGTATGACTTTATTTCTTCAGTGTTTGAGAGATTCACCAGTGAAGCCATCTGGACCTAGAGTTCTCTTCATAGGAACAGTTTTGATTACTAATTTAATTACTTAATAGATTTAGAAAAATTCATAATGTTTATTTTGTGTGTGTGTGAGCTGTGGTAGTTTGTGTCACGAAATAATTTATCCATTTCATCTCAACTGTCAAATTTATTTGCATCAAGTTTTTCACAATATCTTATTATCCTTTTATTATCTATAAAATATTCAGTGATATCACATCTCTTATTTCTGACATTCATCCATTGCTTTCTTTCTCTTTTTTTCCATTAATCTCACCAGGAATTTATCAAGTTTATTAGTCTTTTACAGATTCAGCTTCTGATTCTATTAGTTATCCCTATTTTATTTTTCTCATTAATTAATATTTGTTCTCATCTTTAATATTTATATTTATCTACATAACTTGGATTTAATTTGTTTTTTAAAAAAAATTTTCTATGATGGAAGCTTAAATAATTGATTTTAAATTGTTTTTAATCAATTTAAATTGATTTTAAATTTAACTTGATTTTAAATTGTTCTTCTTTGCTAATATCATTTACTGATACAAATTTTCCTCAAAGCACCACTTTAACATCATTCTACTAGTTTTTATAAGTTGTTTTTATTTTATTGTGGTTTGAAATATTTTTCTCACTTTTCTTATGACTTCTTCTTTGATGCATAGATTACTTAATGTGTCTGAAATTTGCAAATATTTAAGAAATGTGTTAGGCTGAATAGCTCCCAAAGATATCTGCATAATAATCCCTGGAAACTGTTAATGTTACCTTACATGGCAAAAAAAGACTTTGCAAGTATAAAGTTAAGGGTCTTAGATGGGGAGATTATCCTAGATTACCTGGGTATACCTTAATTGTAGTCTTAAGAGTTCTATAAGATGAAAGCAAAGGGAGATTTGAATACAGAAAAGAAGACAATGAAACAACAGAAGTAGATTTTGGAGTGATGTGGCCACAAGCTGAGGGATGCTAGCAGCCACCAGATGCTAAAAGAGGCAACAAACAATTTCTCTGTCAGGAGCCTCCAGAAGAAACTAGCCTTACCAACACCTTGATTGTAAGACTCATTTTGTATTTCTGACCTCCAGAACTGTATGATTTTTTTTTTTCTGTTTTTAAAGCAAGTTTATGGTCATTGTTTTACAGCAGCAATAGGAAACTAATAGTGGACAGATACCTTTCAGTTATTAATTTCTAATTTGCATGGTTTTAGTCGAATTATATACTCTGTAAGATTTCAATCTTTTCAAATATATTCAAATGTATTTTATGGGTAAAAATATGATTTATTTTGGTGAATATATAAGTCAGATAAGTCAGTATCAATGCATGAGACAGAATTCACACCAGTAATTGGGTATCTCCTTTTAATATTTTTCTTTTTCTTTTTATAAAATGTTATTGTATATCTGGGTTTGGGTTTCTTTGCTCTTACTGTGCTTAGGTTTAGCTAAACTTCTTGGGTCTCTAAATAAATGTGTTTTTTAAAAATAATATTTGGAAAATTTTTACGCATTATATCTTCAAATAATTCTCTTTTTCTTATGGTTCCAGTTGCATGTATATTAGACCATTTGCTGTGCTTCCACAGGTCCCTGAGCCTTTAATCACTTTTCTTCAGTATTTTTCACTCTCTATTCTTCACTTTGAACAATGTCTATTGATGTTTTAGAGTTCACTCATCTCTAATAGTGTCAACAGCACTATTTATTCCTGCAGGGATTTTTAAATTCTGTTATTTAACCCATCTGTAATTTATTTTGCTTTCATAGCTAGAGAAAAAAACAATCTTTTAAATATTTTATTTTTCTAGATGGCTGGTTATCTTAAGGCAATTTATTGAATTAGACAATAGTTTTCAAAAAGAGCTCCACAAAAATATAGATGACACTCCTTTTCTCTAGAGTCTACGCATTGCTTCCATGATTTCAGGTGTGCATTTCTGATCATGTCATTTCCCCAAAATTAACATTATTGTAAACAAAACCCATTTGCATAATTTGGTCATTAAATGCTTTTTATCTGGGAGAGTAAATAGTAATTGCAGTCCCCAAGGTAAAGTCTTATATGGGTAACCGGCAAAAATGGTGTCCTTTGTTTCTTCTATAAACAGAGAAATTGCATATAGCTAAAAAGAGTAAGTTTCTTAAGAAACTCAGGCTAATTTTTTATGCAGCTCAATTTTGGCAAAATGTAATATATCTTAATAAGTGTTCTTTTTATCAGCCATTTATCATAAATTTATTTAGAACACTAAATTTTCTTGATATATGATTTTTAGGGTATAACTTATGTAACATGGTTATATATTCATCATTACTATTCATTCCCAATAAAAGGAATGAATAAATAAAGACTGAACTTTAATTCTTTCTTTTCTCTGCCAATGTGTTCTTGAACCAGAAGTTTCTACCTCCAAAATCAATTCTTAAATTCAGGCTTTTGTCTTTCTTCAACTTGTCATGTGTGTGTGTGTTCATGTGTGTGTGTGTATGTGTGGGTGTATATGTGTGTGGGAGAGAAACAGAGAGAGAGAGACAGAAGGAAGGAAGGAAGGAAGAAAAGAGAGAGAAAGAACGAGAAAGAAAGAAAGGAAAGAAAGAAAGAAAGAAAGAAAAAGAGAGAAAGAGAGAGAAAGAGAGAGAATGAGAGTTTTTTAATGGGAGAAAAGTTGGTGGTCAGTCTTATATATTAAAAAGACTTGCAATAAACTAAAATCATGGTAGGTTTTAAAACACTACATAATAGTACTACCTGTGGGGGTCAGTAATAATAGATTTTTTCTTGACCCAGGAACCCTTTTCTATTAACTATCCAAGGGAAATATATATATACCATAAAAAAATGGGAAAAAAATTGCTATAGTATTTTTAGCTTAATATTGGTAATCCCTAATGCAGAACTTTCTAAAAGTTGTGACTTATGTACAAAGACTAAGTGAAGGTTCATCTTCTCCCTACAACCAAATGTTAACCTTACCACAAAACAAGCAACAAGCAAAAGACATGACTGAGTTATGATGCACTCAATAGTTAAAAACATGAGGACTGAAGAGCAGTGTTGCAAGGATTTAGGCAAGGCAGTCCTTTGTAAATTTCACAGAGTGGAGATACAAAGCAAAAGTAAAAACAAAAAAATTTTTTTGGAATTGCTCCGAGATAAGACCTGTGTCCTCTTACAGAAATAATCTTGTGCAGTATACTAAGATTCTCTTTTACACCACTTTGAATCTCCTTTGCCCCACTTCTTGTTCCAGCCACTGCTGCAGGGAACAGCTCCAAAGCTTGGATCAATTTTACCTAAGTGTAAATTGTCAGTACCTTTACCTCGGGCTCAAATCATGTAACTCTCGTGTGTACCCTAGGGCTCCTCACACTGTTTCTCACAGGGTTTATTTTTCATTGGCTTAGTAGAATATCTGCCTAAACTGCTCAGAACTCACATGAAAGTTTGTGAAATTTAATACTCATGTGGTTACCTTGACCAATGGAAGATGGAAACTGCCGCATAAATGCTTTCTCTTCTCTCCCCTGAGGGAGACATTTTGGGGGTACACTTCAGAGATTTCCTCAGAAAGGCACACTGGATCAAGAACTAGTCACCCATGCTGTTGGACAACTTGATAATGCATCTCCAAATTTGCTTTTTTCTTTGTTCCCTGTTTCTCTCTTACCTGTACCTCATTCCTAATCTGTGGAAACACATTGTTACATAAAATATTTATATATTATTTTTCATCTCAAGCTCTGCTTTGAAAGGAAAATCCAGCCTAAGTAAATAGAAGAAAAACTCAGTGGCGGTACCCTTTAATTTATCGCCACCACATACTCTAGGAAATACAGCACAAACCATGTTGTGGAATATGAGTCCATTAGATTAGCATCTTGCCTCTAAAAAAAAGAGCAAGAAGAACATGGGGAAAGAAGCAAATTATTCCTCTTCATCCATAATGACTGTCAAAAACCCTAAAGTTTGGAGGAAGTAAAAATCCACTTCAAAAAAAGTCAAAGAAATGAATCATTAAGGTATGTAATATTAACTGTAAGTACTGCAAAAATGTTCAGGCCAAAGGGACACTGACAGGATTCTTCCTGGAGAAGGCTTTATGGCAAAGGGGTTGGGTGTGTCTTGAAAAATGGTTTACATGAACAGAGACTACAAGTTATTCTAGAATTGGAGTTTAGAATGAGCAAATGGAAGCATTTTATGCATAGTTGAAGAAATGTGCATGACAGGTGAATGGTGGGATTGAGTCAGAGAAGTAGGGTAGCAGTAAAGTTGATCTGTGCTTCATTCCTGTCCTTTTGTAAGCAATCTGCCCTTCCTCCCACATCCCTCCACCATCTATGAACATGCATGTTTTCTGCCTAAATTTGATTCACTTATGTGCTTCTGGATACTTGGTTTTGACTACCCATGAAGACTTCGCTCTTTGGTTATTATCTGGCTTCTTTCTAGGATCCATACATTTTATGATTTTAGCATGTGTAAGGCTTTGGCACAGCTGCTTTAATTCTCCGCCACATACCAATTTTACTGCCTGAGCCAAGACTGTCCCTCCCTAAGAGAAGAAAAGAGAGAGTTAGAAATGTAAGGTGTAACCAGTTCATAAAGGGTCTCAGGCAAATTAGAGGAGGTTGGACATTATTCTTCAAGTATAGGTTCAATTTCTGGTTCCAGTTTAAACAACTCCTTTTATATAATAGCTTCCTAGAACTTAACAGATGCTTAAGGCAGGAATACAAATGAAGAGATTCAAGAGCTGTCGGACACATTGGCTCATACCTGTAATCCCAACACTTTGGGAGGCCAATGCTGGAATATCACTTGAGGTCAGGAGTTTGAGACCAGCCTGGCCAACATGGCAAAACCCCATCTCTACTAATAAATAAATAAATAAAATAAAAAATTAACTGGACGTGGTGGCTTACACCTGTAATCCCAGCACCTCGGGAGGCCAAGGCAGGCAGATCACTTGAGGTCAGGAATCCAAGACCAGCCTGGCCAACATGGCAAAACCCCATCTCTACTAAAAAAAAAAAAAAAAAAAAAAAAAAAGTACAAAAATTAGCTGGGGGTGATGGTGCATGCCTGTTTTCCTAGCTACGTGGGTGGCTAAGGCATGAAAATCACTTGAACCCAGGAAGTGGAAGTTGCAGTGAGCCATGACTGCACCTCTGCACTCCAGCCAGTGCAACAGAGTGAGATTCCATTAAAAAAAATATATAGAGAGAGAGATTCAAGACCTATTTCTAGGGAGGAATTCACATAAATTAGTTAACAACTAGAGGTGGATAGTGAGTGTGTTAGGCAGTTTTTGTGTTTATATAAAGAAATACCTGAGACTGAGTAATTTATAAATAAAAGAGGTTTAATTGGTTCACAGTTCTGCAGGCTGCACAAGTATGGCACCAACATCTTGGCTTCTGTTGAGACCTCAGGAAGCTTACAATCATGGTGGAAGGCGCAGGGAAGCAGCATATGTATTAGCCTGTTTTCATCCTGCTGATAAAGACATATCAGAGACTGGGTAATTTACCAAAGAAAGAGGTTTGTTGGACTCGTGGTTCCAGATAGCTGGGAAGGCCTTACAATCATGGCGGAAGGTAAAAGGCACATCTCACATGGCAGCAGACAAGAGAAGAACTTGTGCAGGGAAACTCCTCTTTTTAAAACTATCAGATCTCATGAGACTTATTCACTATCACAAGAGCAGCATGGGAAAGACCTGCTCCTATGATTCAATTACCTCCCAACAGGTCCCTCCCACAACACGTTGGAATTCAAAATGAGATTTGGGTGGGGACACAGCCAAAGCATATCATTCTGCCCCTAACCCCTTCCAAATCTCATGTCCTCACATTTCAAAACCAATAATGCCTTCTCAACAGTCCTCCAAAGTCTTATCTTATTTCAGAATTAACTCAAAAAGTCCACAGTCCAAAATCCAAAGTCTCATCTGAGACAAGGTAAGTGCCTTCAGCCTATGAGCCTGTAAAATCAAAAGCAAGTTAGTTACTTCCTAGATAGAATGGGGGTACAGGCATTAGATAAATACAGCCATTCCAAATGGGAGAAACTGGCCAAAACTAAGGGGCTACAGGCCCTATGCAAGTCCAAAATCCATCAGGGCAGTCAAATCTTAAAACTCCAAAATGATCCCCTTTGACTCCATGTCTCACATCCAGGTCAAGCTGATGCAAGAGGTGGGTTTCCACAGTCTTGGGCAGCTCCGTCCCTGTGGCTTTGCAGGTACAGCCTCCCTCCTGGCTGCTTTCACAGGCTGGCACTGAGTGTTTGTGGCTTTTCTAGGTGCATGGTGCAAGCTGTCAGGTAGAGCTACCATTCTAGGGTCTGAAGGATGGTGGCCCTCTTCCCACAGCTCCACTAGATGGTACCCTAGTAGGGACTCTGTGTGGGGGCTCCTACCCCACATTTTCCTTCTGCACTGCCCTACCAGATGTTCTCCATGAGGTACCCACCCATGCAGCGAACTTCTCCCTGGGCATCCAGGCATTTCCACACATCTTCTGAAATCTAGGCAGAGGTTCCCAAACCTCAATTCTTGACTTCTGTGCACCTGCAGGCTGGATACCACATGGAAGCTGCCAAGGCTTGAGGCTTGTACCCTCTGAAGCAACAGCCTGAGCTGTACCTTGGCTCCTTTTATTCATGGCTGGAGCATCTGGGATGCAGGGCACCAAGTCCCTAGGCTGTATACAGTGGAGGAACCCTGAGCCCAGCCCACAAAACCATTTTTTCCTCCTAAATCTCTGGGCTTGTGATGGAAGGGGTTGCCATGAAGACCTCTTACATGCCCTGGAGACATTTTCCCCATTGTCCTGGGTATTAACATTCAGCTCCTCATTATTTATGCAAATTTCTGCAGCTGGCTTAAATTTCTCCTCAGAAAATGGGAATTTTTTTTTTCTATCACATTGTCATGCTGCAAATTTTCCAAACTTTTATGCTCTGGTTCCCTCATGAAATTGAGTGCCTTTAGCAGCACCCAAGTGACTGCTTGAATGTTTTGCTGCTTAGAAATTTCTTCCACCAGATACCCTAAATCATTTCTCTCAAGTTCAAAGTTCCACAAATCTCTAGGGCAGGGGCAAAGAGCTGCCAGTCTCTTTGCTAAAACATAACAAGAGTCACCTATACTCCAATCCCCAACAAGTTCCTCCTCTCCATCTGAGACCACCTCAGCCTGGACCTTATTGTTCATATCACTATCAGCATTTTTGTCAAAGCAATTCAACAAGTCTCTAGGAAGTTCCAAACGTTCCCACATTTTCCTGTCTTCTTCTGAGCCCTCCAAACTGTTCCAACCCTGCCTGTTACCCAGTTCCAAAGTTGCTTCCATATTTTCAGGTATATTTTCAGCAACGCCTCATTCTACTGGTGCCAGTTTACTGTATTAGTCCATTTTCACACTGCTGATAAAGACATATGCAAGACTGGGCAATTTACAAAGGAAAGTTTTATTGAACTTACAGTTTCCTGTGGCTGGGGAGGCCTCACAATCATGGCAGAAGATAAAAGGCACGTCTCACGTGGTGACAGACAAAATAACTTGTACAGGGAAACTCCTTTTTTTAAAACTGTCAGATCTCATGAGACTTGTTCACTATCACAAGAACAGCACAGGAAATACCTGTCCCCATGATTCAATTACTTCCCACAAGGTCCCTCCCATAACATGTGGGAAATCAAGATGAGATTTGGGTGGGGACACATCCAAACCGTTTCAGCATATCACAGAGAAAGAGGTGGAGTAAGGAGGGAGGTGCCATGCTCTTTTAAACAACCAGATCTCATGTGAACTTTGAGCAAGAACTCCTCATTATTACAATAGGGACTCTGTGTGGGGGCTCAAAGCATTCATGAGTGATCCACCTCCATGACCCAAACCCCTCTCACCAGGCCCCACCTCCAACACTGAGGATTTCATTTCAACATGAGATTTGGAGGAGACAAACATCCAAACCATATCAGTAAGAGAAAAGAAAACATCATGATTCTTAGGTTTCTACTTTGGGCAATTGGATATCTTTTGAAAAGGAAAGTAGAAAATAAAATATTAAGCTTTATTCTCCAGCTTTTAGCACTTATCTGTCTGGTGACATTTTGTGATCTCTAAGCCTCACTCACTATGGACCCTGAATATTTTATAATTATAGCACAAGACGAAAGACTCAGATTCTGATGTCAGCCTGGGTAAAAATTCTGATTCTAACATTTTTAGTTGTTTGACAAAGATGTTTAATTTCTTTGTGCTTCAGGTTTTTTTTAATTTTTATTTTTAACCTGTGAAGTAGTGATAATAATTACACCCAACTTACTAGGTTGTTGTGAGGAATAAAAGACTTCTTACATGGGAAATAAGTGAAGCAGTATCTAGCCCACAATAAGTACTCAGACAGTGTCAACCATTGGCACCTAGATTTCTTTTTAAAGAAAGACAATTTATTTGCCAGGCCTAATCTTAAAAAACCCAACCCAGCCAGAATGGTGCCAGTCAGCTTGTTTGATAAGAGGATTAAAACAGATAGGCTGAAAATATAATTCATTATATTTTGATTTTGTTAAATTTAGTTAACAATTTTATTTTTGATATATAAATACCTACACATTTGGGAATTTTAAATGTCACTTTCAAGCATTAATTCTTCACAACAGAATGTACTGATTATCAAGTAGGAAAAGATAACATAGCAGTAGGGATGCCCCTTTTCCAATCTTAGGGGACACAACTCCAAAGGATCCCAAGGTGAGTCATGCTATGCATAGGCGGTGCAGCTAAACAAGGAGGTTAGTGGATGGATTCACAAAAAGAGGAGGACATAGCATCTTATTATACATGGCAGCTTCCATCCAAATAATGTCAGCGTAAACAGAGCTCCTTGTTTCTCATGCTTAGCATGAACTATATGAATAATAAGCTAAGTAGCTCCTATTTTCTTTGAAAACTGAATTCATCGGAATTAAAACTATTGTTATTTTAAGTTAAATAAAACCAATTTGAACATGTTTTTCCTGCATCAAAAGCTTGAATTATTCATTTTATGTTTAGATTCTCCATGATATTTTCTTAGGGTAACTTTTAGAATATGAATTTATAAATGAATATTGAGATATAAAACCATGAAATTGAAAATATTAACAAATCATTGCAAGCAAGAAGTATCAACTACTAATAATCACAAGAAAGCTAAAAAGAAATATGGGGTTATCGTTGTTTTTCATCTTCTTTTTAAATTGCCTCATAAACAATATGTAAATGTGCTAAAACTCCTTTAAAAATGTTTTATAATGAGAATATACTCCAATGCAGAGCATATAGCTAGAATTTATCTCTTGAAAGTATGAATTTTGTATAGCTCAGGGACCATCCTGTCACAGTTTGCACCAATTTTGTTCCCTTAGACAGGCTTATTTCTGTCTGAATTTGCTGGAAGGTATGTCAGCACAGTGAAAAATAAATAATAAAAAAGAATTAGATGAAGACAAAAGCAGTTATTTCTAGTCCCCACTGCCTTCCCAGGAGAATGTATCCCAATAATTGGAGGGTCCATTGTTTTGTGAAAGTATAATGGGTGAAATGATGCAAGATTTGAGAAGTCAGTGTGAGGCAATGTATAGGTCATTTATGCACATTATAGGTGTACATAAAGAAGAAAGAGAGCTAGAATATGAAATCAGACCCAGTAGGAATTTAGAGACACAAGACTTTGGGCAGAGCAGAAATATCTCTTGGGGAGAATTTATAGTAATTAAATTAAATTATTTAATAAAGTAATTATTGCTGTATGATGTAAAATGTAAACTATCTTCTTCATTTCTCTCCGAAAGCTTCTGTAAAATATGCAACAATCACATATGCTCAGAGGACTAGATTTGCAAAAAAGCACTTGTCTCTCTGAAGATAAGTGTTAAAGAAAAGTCAAACAAAAACCGAGGCTGTCAGAAAGGACCATCACACAGAAAGATTACACCAACAAAACATAAACCAAAGGACTCTGAAATTATGGCAGGAAAATTAAACAGAGCTTCTTCCATTGTCATGTATCAGAAAACGTTAATATTTTCTAGAATGGCCTTTTCTTCCACATGAGATTTCATTAAAAAAAATACAAAAATACAAAACTGGATATTAGGCCGGGTGCTGTGGCTCATGCCTATAATCCCAGCACTTTGGGAGGCTGAGGCAGGTGGTTCACGAGGTCAGGCGTTCAAGACCACTCTGGCCAACATAGTGAAACCCGGTGTCTACTAAAAATACAAAAAACTAGCCGGGCATGGTGCCAGGCACCTGTAATCCCAGCTATTCGGGGGGCTGAGGCAGGAGAATCTCTTGAACCTGTAAGGCAGAGGTTGCAGTGAGCCGAGATCGCGCCACTGCACTGCACTCCAGTCCAGGCGACAGTGCGAGACTCCATCTTAAAAAAAATAAAAAAAGAAAAAGAAAATAAAATAAACTGGATATTAGTAATTGCTTAAGCAGAGAATATACTTGCATGAAATAGGATCCTTTAGTTGTAATTCAATAGATGTTTGGAATTATCATTGAACACATAAGAAAGAGAAACCAATGTGTGAAGGAATACACAGCTGTGCATTTCAATGATTGGCTGTTTTCCTATGTTCTGTTGGCACCTGAAAGACAGGGGTATGCAGGAGCTCTAGGAAGAGTGCTAAGATGGCAATTTCTTCTTCGGTCACAAACCAAAGTAGTTTATTTATTTATTTGTTTGTTTGGCCTAGTTTCACTGGGTACAGAGAAAGGTCAACATGTTAAAGCAATGTATTCAAACATTTAAAAGATTTGAAATAGCCTGGGCGCTGGGGAGTCATTCTAATTGCTGCTTTAAATACCATTTGGGTAGGTCAAAAGGAGAGCCTGCAGACGGGCCACGTTGGAGAGATAACCTCCGCCCGGCAGGCTGCAGGGCTACAAATCCCAGGGAGGCTTCAGTGCTGAGGTCGGCTGCAATCTGCTGCCAGTCGGATCCTGTGCAGCCCACAGGGGAACTTACCCGGAGAAGGACGAGCAGAACATGGCTGCCTAACAGATGGCACTGAAACATGCCGCCTCTGGTGAGACAAAAAGCTGCCAAAACCAGGTGTTTCACAGGTTTTCTGCGTTTTTTTCTTTTTCTTTTCTTTTTGATTTTATCTT
The DNA here is from genome assembly GCF_000001405.40 of Homo sapiens. Lineage (NCBI taxonomy): Eukaryota > Metazoa > Chordata > Mammalia > Primates > Hominidae > Homo > Homo sapiens. Next base: position 12,539,571 of record NC_000009.12, read on the forward strand.
ATTTTCGTTTTGTCTTATTTTCGTAATTTCTCCGTGTGGGTCTATTCCAAAAGTTTCCATAGGAGCACAGCTGTCTAGGAGTTATCTAAGGAAACAAGATTTTTTTTTGCATAGAGATTTTGGAAGCAGCTTTTGGGGACCACCCATACATAACACATACTGAGAGTCCTTTAATCAGGTCATTTCCAAGCACAACATGAGCATAAGTGGAAGTTTCAACTGTTCTTATCAGTTCTTGTGGGAAAAGTGGCTAAACTAAACAGATTGCTTCATTGGTGAAAACTGTGTCAGCAGCCTCAGAATACTCAGATTATTCCTATTAATAATCTTGCATGTATGTTCAGCAAGCCTTCTTTGCTCTGTTAAACGAAGTTGGGAGTGGAGGAGATCTTCTAACGGAAAGGACACAGAAATGCGTGCTTATGTTCGTGGTGCAACAGTAAAAGATGATAGGGAAGCAAAAGGCAATTAATGAAGACTGCTTTGTGCAGGGACAGTTGGGAGCACAGGATGATTCTACATCTATTATAAGTCAACCCTGCCTTGACTCATGGGAAAAGAAAGTATGGGTCTCATGATTCAAAACTCAGGACATCTATGGAGAGTCACATTTCATTTGTAGGAGGAGGTCACTCTTCTTCAACATTTTACACTCCTTCATCTTAGAGAAAGCTAACCTTCCAGCCTCCCATCCATTCCTTGCTTCTGACTGGGTGATTTGATTCAGAGACTTTTATGCTCAGTCACCTCTCTCCTTAAGTAGATATGAGCATGAAAGCCCTAAAATGCAGACCAGGAACTAAATGAGGCAAGTAGGAAAGTTTCTTAGGATTTGAACTGTTTACTAGCAAGTCCTGCATTTGGAGAATTTTGAGACATTGATATATAAAATAATGAAGAGTTCATTTACTCATATGTCAACTACTTATTAGGTTCTCAATGCTATGTTATGTCAGAATACAAATGATCCTCAACTTGCCATCAGGTTTTCCAATAAACTTTTCCTAAATGGAGACTATGGTGAGTAAAACATGCATTTTACACACTCAGCTTGCCAAACATTATAGCACATCATAGTTTAGCACAGCCTACAGTAAATAGCCTCAGAACATTTCCAGTAGCCTACATTTGGGCAAAACCACCTGACAACACAGTACATTGTAGAGTATCAGTTGTCTACTCTCTTGATTGCGTGGATGACTGGGAGCTATGGCTAACTGCACAGCTCCGCATTGACAGAGAGTATCTTGCTGCATGTTACAAGCCCAGGAAAAAATCAAAATTCAAAATTTCAAGGATGGTTTCAAATGAATGCAGGTTGATTTTGCACCATTGTAAGGAAAAAAATTGTTGTCAAACGATCTATGATTTCTTGGTCATTCACCCACTACAGGAATGTTGTGGATAGCTGCATGTGATTGGCAAGGTGAAGTTTTAGCATTCCAGGATCTCAGCATCCCAGAAAATACATCTTTATTGAGAATAACATGACTTAAACTATGAATATCTGGCAATTAATAAGCATATGGTCATTGTTACTTTTCATTCCCTTCATTTTGAGAGGCAGTATGCTGTTGTACAGTGAGTTTTAACATATCCAGGTAGACAGCAATCTGAGTTCTGTGGAGGTGCCTCAGGCTGATGCAGAGGAAAGTAAGGGAGTGAGCAAGTACAACTCTATGCCACTGTCTTCCACATATCCCTGAGCTCTGACTCTCTTTTATTTTATGGTTTAGTATGAGATTGCACAGGGGAATAAAAGGCTGGAAGGAGGTAGGGAGAGGGAGGAGCGTTTAAGGCCATTAGAAGAGGAGAAAAAACATTGGCTTCAAATAAGAAATCTAAATTTTTGTTCTGACTTTGCTACTTTCTCATTTTGTGAAATGGGCACATTATTTAACTTTTTGTGCGTCCGTGTCCTCAATCTTGAAACAAGAATGGTCATACCTACCCTTTGGTTAAAGAGAAGCTTTAATAAAATAACGTATGTAAAGGGCTTAGAAAATCACCTCGCAATCAATTGTCTTTTCTTATTTATAAATATATTTTAGAGCATTTATCCATAAATTTATTTTAGAGCCCTTTTCCAGTTACTGTGCTGAGGATTTCAGAATTTAATAAAATAGAATTTTCAGATAGAGTCCTATGATCCACTAGTGAGTTGAAAGGGGTAGACAAATAAAGGGAAAATTAGAGGCCCAAGGTAGGAGTTGAAGTTAGATTTTAAATGCTAATATACTCCCACAGAAGTTAGGTGAGCCATATGAGGCACTAAGTCTTATAGACAGCAAATATCACAAATATGCCTTTGTCCTCCAAAGAAAAATACAAAACAGAGTTTTGAAATATTCTGCTTTGTCTTAGCTGTAGAAGAATTGTTATGTTGATAACTAATGATTTGCCTATCTCCTCCTTTTCCAAAAAGGACTTGTAGAAGCTCATTTCCATGCTAAAATTAGAGGAGGCTTGGGAAAGAGTGGAGAAAATTTGATACACTTTTTAAATCAAGGAGCTCCTACAGAACCCATGAACATTTAGATAGTGCTGTCATCTTGCCCAGTGGATCAATAGCAAGATAGGAGTTGGGCTACAGAGTTAAAATATGGGCAGCTCTAAGAAGGAAGGGAAAATTGTCATAGTTATTACATGAAGATACATGATACACAGGCGCACACATTTCGGTATAGGCTAAGCTAACAACAAAACCTTTCAACATTCTGTGGCTCTAGCAAAAATATAACTCATTCTCTCTAAGGAAATAAGTGGATGGGTTCATAGACTCCTTCAATCTTGTTACTCTTAGTCCCCAAGGGATTCTCATGGCTAGCTCAGCAATTTTCTGCATTTTAGTCAAGGAAAGGGGAAAGAACATATGTTGAAGGTAAAAATTTTCCTTTTAAGCAAGTGATATGGAATTTATACACATGACTTCTGTGCATTTTCTTTCTTCAAGAATGTAGTGACAAGGCCACATCTGGCTGCAAAGGACGCTGACAGGTGTATCCAAAAAAATTCCATTACTCTCTGGAAGAAGGTTAGAATGGATTTTGGTAGACAACAAGCAATCCTCCCTACCCTGAGAGTATATATATCCACCATGAGTCAAATTTCATTCTATAGTCAATCTAAACATCTAGATTTTCCATTTTTTTATTTTTTTTAAATTATTATTATACTTTAAGTTATAGGGTACATGTGCACAACGTGCAAGTTTGTTACATAGGTATACATGTGCCATTTTGGTTTGGTGCACCCATCACCTCATCATTTACATTAGGTATTTCTCTTAATATTATCTATTCCCCAGCCCCCAACCCCCCAACGGGCCCCGGTGTGTAATGTTCCCCTCCTTGTGTCCATGTGTTCTCATTGTTCAACTCCCTCTTATGAGTAAGAACATGCAGAGTTTGGTTTTCTGTCCTTGTGACAGTTTGCTGAGAATGATGGTTTCCAGCTTCATCCATGTCCCTGCAGAGGACATGAACTCAGCCTTTTTTTGTCTACACAGCATTCCATGGTGTATATGTGCCACATTTTCTTTATCCAGTCTATTACTGATGGACATTTGGGTTGGTTCCAAGTTTTTGCTATTGTGAATAGTGCTGCAATAAACATCCATGTGCAAGTGTCCTTATAGCAGAATGATTTATAATCCTTTGGGTATATACTCAGTAATGGGATTGCTGGGTCAAATGGTATTTCTAGTTCTAGATCCTTGAGGAATCACCACACTGTTTTCCAAAATGGTTGAACTAATTTACACTCCCACCAAGAGTGTAAAAGCATTCCTACTTCTCCACATCCTCTCCAGCATCTGTTGTTTCCTGACTTTTTAATGATCGTCATTCTAACTGGCATGAGATGGTATCTCATTGTGGTTTTTATTTGTATTTCTCTGATGACCAGTGATGATGAGCATTTTTTCATATGTCTGTTGGCTGCATAAATGTCTATGAACAGACATTTCTCAATAGATTTTCCATTCTTAATCATAATGCTAAGAGCTTATATAATGAATGTGATGTTATTGTTTCCATTTAGTTTTTATGTATTGAAACAACTCAAAACACTTTGAAAGCAGGCTGACAAGAAGTCCACTAAATTTAGCGTTAGTAAATATAAGTGGCATATAATCTTTTTGCCTCTACTTTTATTTTTATATTTCAAAATCCCATATATAACTTATGTATTTATCATTATAAATGTATTGTTAATATGGATAAGAATTTTATAATTTCTGTCCTTAAAGATGTTAAGAATTGATATTGACTTTAAGAATTGACATAAAGGATTAATGCCATCGTTAATGATAGTAAGGATTTCTATCGTAAACTAAAGGATTTTTTACATGGTCATTACTAGGGAATAAGACATAGTGTATCTCTAATTGTTTATGGCATTCATTGCCATTATGGGATTGGCACGTTTGGACCTTTGTTCAATACGATTACATTGAGTTATTGAAGAAACATTTATGCATTGAAATATGGCACTAGATATTTCCTTAAAGTGCTGTTACTCTTGGTATTGCAAACCCTCACACTTCTCTTAGCACTCAGATGCCCCAACTTGTGCCTCCACTTAACACCTGTGTTCCCACCTACCCCCTCATTCCACACACATACACACTTTTCAGTAGCTCATTCTGCTGAGATGTGTTTAACCATCCTGAGTTAGTTATATAAAACCAACAAGATGCCCAAATCTTTAGATTCTGTCTCTATCAATTACATAAACTGGGTCTATGGTAATATTTTTTTGCGATCATGTAACATATGCAAAAACTCTTTTCTGCCTATTTTTTACTTAAATTTGAACTTTAATTTGTCTACCTTCTCTCTTTGTGAGTCAATTACAAGTTCAAATAAGTCTCAAAAGACAGTACCATAAATTGATGCAATACTCAGTGAAACAATGGGCATTTAAAGTATCCTATATAATACTACCAATTCATAGAAAGTCAGCTAATATACTTTATATACATATAAATCATTATAATGATCTTCCTAGGCTAATTTGTGCGCGCACACACACACACACACACACACACTCAGCCTTTTACTTTCGGTGGGACTCCAGTGTTTTTCAAAGAGCTCTAAAATTACAGCATTTAGAATTACAAAAATCACAATTATTAGGAGGACATTGTTCTCTTCCAACTTGCTTAGACACTGAATTGTCACAGTGAAAGCTAATTTTAGGCTTCATTTTCAGACCCACGGAGAATAACACTAGCTGTACCATAACCTTTGTTCTTGAAAATCTGTTTCCCCAAGCCAAGTAATGGGTTGATTCCACTATTCATATCCTGTCATTCATAATTTCCAAGGTGTTATTAGTCATCTGAGAACTAAAAGAAATGCCACAGTTTGAATATTGCAGCAGAGTGTGCAAATTTAGCCTTGACCTACATACAAGTTTTATAAGAAATAACGAGAAAACTATTTTATTGGCCCCCACACAAAAAAATAACTAACAACAAAAACAAAGCTTTTATGAGCTGTTGGATTCTAGAGAATTTTTGAAACACAAATATACAAGGTGAAACAGAAGAATAAACTGAAAAGAACAAAAAAGCAAAAAAGTAAATAATTTATCTAGCTAGAGAGACTTAAAAATATAAGGGATTAGAAGAAAATCTTTCAAAGCAGAGATCCTGTAAAACCTTAACCATATGCTTTTTTTTGTCAAAATTGGATTTGTTGTGTCACACCTCCGTAATTCAGACCTGCAGTGCTTGGAAAATAGCTTGTTCAGACTTACCCCATAATGATTTTCTTAGCACTATTTTTCAATGAATGTTTCCTAACTTGGAAAAACATTATGGGTTGTTATGAAGCTGTTTTTATCTGGGTCAGTGAGTAGTTTAGTGAAGCAGAAAATATCCTCCAGAATGGAGTGAGGATTCACCTAACTCCAGATGGTCAATATAGCTAGCATTTTTATATTCAGCACTGCCATATTTCTTTAAATGAAGTGCTATACAGGTGCCTCAATTATTTAACATATCATGGTTTAAATAATGTTATATTTTGGAGGTGGGAGACAAGGAAATGAAAGTGACATTGTTTCAGTATAGGAGCACTATATCCAAATAAAACTGTATAATGAACCAGACTCTACTTCTTCGGTAGAAAAAAACATCTGTAAGTTTTCCAGAATTTCCTCCTATATGAACTTAAATCACTAAAAGATTCAAGGTTCATTGATAAGAATATATAGTTTTTTTTTCAAAAATTCTATTTCAAGTGTTTACTTTTATTTTTCCAAACTTTAAAATGATTTTATTTGTGTCAATTTGTCTGACTCACCCTGCCTTCTGTGTTATGAAGACATTGGAAACTGTTTTCCAAAAGCCTAGTTTCTTTGTGAGGGTAGCACACATGATACCCTTTCATAAAATAATAAAACCTAGAAGAATAATCATATTGTCCTTGTCCCTTCTTAGAACGTACATTTTTAAAACAATTATCCAGTTATCAGGGTGAACTGTTACTAGTAATTATAGTCACTTCCCCACCAAAATTAACATTGATCCTGGGCAAATAGCCAAGATATAAATACTGCCAAGTCCAGAATGATCTTTTTTTGGTTCATTTTGATAAGACTCAATTCCTGACTATAATAGTTATGTGAATAGTAAAGAAATCCTGATCTTACACAGTGTTGATTACTGAAACAGATTCTGGGTTTCATTCTAATGGCTTCAAATGGCATACTCTCTCAAGGAGGTCATGCCTTCTTGCTAGAATTCCAGCTTGGTTTATAGAAAACTTGCTAGTTTGTGTAAAGATTAAAAATTCAAAATCCAAAAATAGCCTACATATTTTCTGGGGTTTACTCATAAATTCTACAGATTCTGTTAGGAAGATCTCTCTGTTAGCATATTATTAACAAGATAAATTATTTGTAGAAACTAATCTTTTAATTTTTAGAGCATTTGGCTATGGCATATTTTTGACTCACTTGAAATATTAAAGTTTATAATTCTGTATGTTCATGATGCCGTTTCATTTACTATGTCTTTTAATAGGTCTTTGCATCAGAAAATTTTGTCACAGTAATGCTGCATTTGAAAATACATCACAACTCTATGATTTAAAACAACAATCATTTTATTTTTTCTTATTTGTTTGTTGACTCACTGAATGGGTCTTCAAGCTACGGGTTTGTCTAGTTATGCTCCATGTGCCTCTCAACTGCCTTGGCACAAAGGGGCAGCTGGGTCATATTCTTTTCATGCCAGTGGAAGGATTTCAAGAAGAATGAACCACACTGGCACACTCTCACTCCCAACCACATTCTGTTGGCCAAAGTGGACCACAGGCCAAGCCCAAAATTAAAAGGATGGAAAAAATGCATTCTATCATTAAAATCACATGGCAGATAAAGCGTCAAACTTTTTTTTTTATTTTTTATTTTTATTTCCGAGACAGAGTCTCGCTCTGTTGCCTAGGCTGGAGTGCAGTGGCACGATCTTGGCTCACTGCAACCTCTGCCTTCCAGGTTCAAGCAATTCTCCTGCCTCAGCCTCCCTAGTAGCTGGGATTACAGGCATGCACCACCACACTTGGCTAATTTTTTAGAATTTTTAGTAGAGACAGGGTTTCACCATGTTGGCCAGGCTGGTCTTGAACTCCTGAACTCAGGCGATCCGCCTGCTTGGCCTCCCAAAGTGCTGGGATTACAGGCGTGAGCCACCGTGTCTGGCCTTCATCAAGCATTTTGAACAAAGATATTGTCTTCCAGTCTTCATACTTGGTAATATAAGATCTTCCATACTGCCTTAAAAATACCAAATTTTAACTGTTGAATTAAATAAAACAGATCTGTAATACAAACAGCTGAACAGCATATACCTATTAGCTTTTCTCATTTGTAGAAATAAATTTCTGGAGAATGACTGATTACGCTAGTCAAGAAATGCCCCTTTAATAACTTTTAAATGTTAGGTAAAGAATGGATGTGATGAGAATTTAAAATGGCATAATTTAAGACCCCAGAGGTAAATGCATAAACTACTTCTGTTCAGTCCATGCTGATTGCAAGATAGAAAGAAAATATCTTGCTATGCAAATCCTAAGATTCAGGCTAGGCTCTCTTTATTCTTTAGTCACAGTTGCAGACATCCAGCCTCTATGCAACAGCCATGTTGGTTATTAAAATATTAAAACATTTGCCTAACAATTGGTCAAGAGCCACTCTCCCGATCCCACATACTGAGCACAATAAATGCAGGACCAAATTCCCTCCCCTGGTACCCTTCCCCAATCTCTTCATAATCCAGCAACCGAAGCTGTCATACCTAGTGTTTCAGGAGTCCGCAGGACTGTATCAGTCCACAGACAGCATTTATTCTAATCACAGAGTGCCCTCTGGGCAGTGCTCATGCTATGCGGGAAACTGAAAATGTTTAGTATCACTCATCAGTTTGATCAAGAGTAGACCATTTAAGTTTTTGATGTGTTCCAAGTAGAGGCTAGATTCCATTGCTCATGATAGACACTAAAAAGCAGTTTACTTCTTGCTGCTGTCCAGCTCACTTTCTCTAGCAGTTCAACCCTTGGGAGCCAAAGGGAAAAAAAAGTAACACTTTTAATATTTGGAGTAATAGTCAAATTAATCATAACATTTGCCCCTCAGTGTCTTCTAATAATATTTTTTTCTTTTTTGCCTACAATGTTTTCATTTTGGAAAATTAACCTATTACTAATTTTTAAAAATTAGCTAGTGTTTCAAATATCAGTAATAGCCAACATCTGTGTTATTTTAAGTTGACTTAATTTTAAAGTCCAATACCTATAGCCTTCTACCTGAAGAATAAAATTATAGAGAAATGTATATAAAGACTTAAACCAGGAAAAAGAAGACCCAGAAATGACCAGAGTCTGACCATAGCACTTGCAGTACATCATACTAATTAAAATTATGGAATATAAAATTTCATTATTTTCGTAACCCTTGCTTAACAGTTTTCTCTTTGGGACAGCACATTTTTAATCCTTTAGAAGGAAAAAATGATGTCATTCTACAGTGAACAGTAACTTCAGAACAGAACACCTAATTGTGGGCCTATCATCAGAGTTCTTTTAACACAAAGGATTGGAAGGAGAGAGGAAAGTGAAAGATCTGGAAGATGGGTATGCTTTTTAGGGCCTCAAATTCGATGTGATTCTCTGACACCTGTGACTGTCACAGGGCCCTAAAGGCCTAGACATGAGTTCTCCTGCTCTCACTAGATATGTTCCCACCCAGAAAGCTTTCCTACCTTGTAATTTCCCTAGAAGCCAGACACTGTACGCCCCAGCTCGCCCTCAATCAGATGGGTTTTGTCTCCCTGCCAGACACTAAATATACATACAAGCCAATCACATGTTCCTGAGGAAACCAAAAGTCACCTCACTCTCTCGTCACTACAAAGCCTTCCTCCTATAGCGCCTCACTCTGTTCCTGGCCGCAATCCTCCGTGTGGTTCTACATATTCTACAGCACCCACCTCCCCTAAGATGTGAATATATGCTATAATGTGCAAATTACATCTGTCTAGTGTCATGTGTCATGGGTTCAGCCATTCTGGACTATTTAAGGTAGAGGATCCCTCCTTCACCAATAGGGTAAGTAGGAGTGAATCAGAATAGGGTGAAATAGACTGAAGTGATTGCTATTTCAGGAGAAAAGCCACAATTTAGAAGAGACAGGGTCCATCAACTATGAAATTCCAGCCCATTTTAATCTATTAGATACTGTGCTTAAGGTCTGTGAGCTTTGCCAAGGCCTACAAAAACATTTGAAAAATGTTAGCTCCTAATGCAAAAACAAAAATGTGAAATTAAACTTAATGAAAGATGGATTAAACCTCTGTAATATATAATTACTAAACTCTTTTATAGTTATATGTCAATTAAGCTTAATGTGAAATGTGAGTATATTTCAGTGTGCTTAAGACATGCGGATGAATGGCACTGGTAAAATTTCCCTAGGAAATAAAATTATTCAGAACTGCGAAAACTGACTTAACAAGTAAATGTTAGTTTCTAGAAATTCAGAAAATAACAACGAGAAATGAGCATAAAATGACTTGCACAAAGTAAGAGAAAAAAGGAACAGCTGCGGTAAGAAGAGAGGGCCCAGTAAAAGACAAAATATATTACTGCAGACATGCAGAGAATTGTTTTCCAAAGGGCTAAGGAAGGGGCATTTTGCCTGCTGGAGAATTCCTGGTTATATTTAATAAGAGAAAACATTAAGAAAAAGAAAACATACATTCTCTCTTATCTAATGTACTCTTGGGTTAGAAAATAGTGAGATCCCCACATTGTGGTCAGAATATTCGTAACATATATTCAAGTCTTCCACCCAACAACCTATTTCAAAAAAACTAAACTAATATAACTACATAATGGCATAGGGCAGTGTTTATAGGGCTATTCATCCAGGTTCTTTCAAACAAATTCAACTGAGAGTAAACAAATAGTAAATGAACAGTGCCAGAATGAACACCACAAACCAAAACTCTCAGCATCTTTTTCCAACTGATATAACTCTAATGGAATAATAAATAAGTATGTTTTGTGCAGAGAGAAAGATGGTATATCAGTCAACACTAGGAGTCTGAATGAATGTACATAATATGGCATCGTCTTTTTGTTATAGGTTTATCTTCACTTATTTTCTCATCATTTGAAATGAAACTTCATCACTACTATGTATATTTTTCTTCCTCTGTTTGTCATTGTTCTTTCTTGTTTTTTCTTTCTTGTTTTAAATAATTGTGATTGTGTTTTCTATGAAATGACTGAAAGTATTATGACCTATACAAAATAATCAATGTATTACACATACACTGTCATCAGTGGTAGTTATATTTATCAAGATGGAATATGATGCACAGAAATTACCTGTGACATTTATTTTGAAATTCATAAAAAAGCTTGTAGCTCTTGTGATAATGATAATATTTCTCCTAAATCTTTAATTTGGAAAAAAATCAATCATTTACTTAAATAGTAGGAGTATATGAAGGATTGAAAACAACTGCAATAAACAGTTTAATAAAGAATTTTTAATTTAAACATGGTGAACAGTAGAGAAAAAAATCTGTCTTCTGAGAGGTTTTTTTATAAACAAAATTTCTAAAAGGCTGTCTCCTATATGTTTAATGTAATAGAAACTGTGCTAAAGAGAAATGGTGCATTTTTTGGAAAGTTAGAGTAATAAAAGGTTTAAGTCACCAAAAGGTTGACTGCTAACTTTAATTTAGCCTCATCTATTTAAATGATTGCATTATAGCTGACAACATTTTGTGACATATACTGAGTGTAACGATTCATTTATTTTTTCTGCTCTAGTAACTGCATCATAAATTATCATTAATGTCTACCTAAAACTCAGTAAGAAATCTTCTTGGCATATTAATCTGTACTCTATTAATAGACAAATTTCAATGTCCAATATAAATTTTCTGCTTTCATTTTCATAATGCCCACACAGGCTAAGAACATTCACGAGATTCTAGTACCCTTTCTAATATACACAATATTTAACCATTTAAGTGCTTTAAATTATAAGAGAGTTTTAGGTTCATCGCCTTGTCTATAAACACAGAATACTAAAATTTCTATTATGTGGTAATTTGAACTAATTTAATTTTTAACTTTATACTCAGTATTGATTTATAATTTTAAAACTATATATTATAAAAAATATGTCTGAATGACTAAGATAAGGGGCAGATGTGTAACTAATTCTGAAAATACTAAAATATGCTATGAAAATGTTGTAATTTTTAAAGTGTGGAACAAGTACAGGAAAAGACAAAGACAGGCAGATAAACCAAGAAAGAGAGAAAGAAGAAAAGAGCCTGAAAGCAAATCTTGTTAATGGAAGAATTAAGACTATGAGAAAGGGTAGCATTTCGAATCATCAGAGAAAATGTACACTTAAATGTAAATAAAAATAATAAAAATACCCAAGGAAATAAAATGGGCATCTACAAAATCTTATGGGTGGAATTGATAGACTTATTTTTTTTGAAAAAAGAGTTTCAGACATAAAAATTTTACATTCCTGTCAGGCAATGGTTAACATTTTAATATTTAAAGAGTTTTTAATAAAATGAATATATCAATATAATTGATAAAACAATTTACAAAAGAAGAAATGTAAATAATGAACATGAGAAGAGGGTTCAAACTCATTAGTAATTTACATAAAACTAGAAACAGTGATGGGCCTCTTTTTTCATTACTGATTTGGCGAAATGAAAGAAAAATGGAAAAATGAAGGGGAGAAAGAAAAAGAAAGAGGTAGGGAGACAAAGGAAGAACAGGAACACTGAAGTATAGAAAGTAGAAAAGCATATATGATGGAAAGAAAGGAGAGAAAAAAGGAAAATTTCTTACCCATGATTAGACAAGGTATTAAAAAATGGGCAATTTTATACCATGTTAACAGCCATAAAAATTGATACAAGATATCTGCTGCAAAATTTTTCAGTATATCTCATAAGTGTGTATATATCTCAGCTTTCTAGGAATTTGTACTAGACAAATCAAGGTTTGTATAAATATTTAGCACAAGATGTTACAGCATTGTGTTTATGGGAAAAAAGTTGCAAGCAATCTAAATGACTGATTCAAGAAGTTCATTGAGAAAATTATAACATGTATATATGAGTTGCAATTTTTAAAAATAATGCTGTTAAAAAGTAATGAAAAAGGAATAAGATATATTACTTAGTGGGGAAAACATGGTAATAATACCAATATAGCTTACAAAATAATTGCATATTTCATTTGACAGTATACATTATATATTATTTATATGAAATTGCTAATAGTGGTGTCTAGTACATTCATTCAGTTGTAACAAAATACAATAAACTCAATGGTTTATAAATAACAGAAATTTATTTCTCAGAGTTCTGAGTCTGAGAAATCAAAGATCAAGGGCTGAAAAATCTTATGCCTGGTGAGGGGCACTTTTCTAGTACACAGATGGCCATCTTTCTACTGTAACCTTAAATGGAAGAAGGGACAAAGAAAGTATATTGAGCCTCAGCCCCTCTTTTATAAGGATGCTAAATCATGAGGATTCTGTCCGCATGACCTAATTACCTCCCCCAAACCACTTCCTAATACCATCACTTAGGGTTAGGATATCAATTTATGAATTTTGTGGGGACATAAACATTCAGACCATAGCAAGTTGTTATAATGGAATGGGATATTCTGGCTTAAAACATTCGGACCATAGCAAGTTGTTATAATGGAATGAGATATTCTGGCTTATTTTTCTACACTTTACTTGTATGTTCTTTTTTTTCTATTAGATATTCACTACTCAAGTTTCAGGCAAGAAAGTTGCCTTGTGGGTTTTGACAATTTGTCGACAGAGATTTTGTACATATACCTTTAGTTTTTAAATCTTTTTCTATTAGCTAATAATTTTTCTTTACGAATAGCCTATTCTTATTTTTATATCTCAAAATTTCTAAACATTGGAATGTGATATTATATCCAGGCTGCCACTAGAGGTATAACTGGAAGTACAAATATATGTTTCTTACTAAAAAGACATTTTATAGCTAATAATGATAGTGGATATTTAAAGAGTACCTATATATACCATGCACTAATCAAATTGGTACTTTGTATACATATATATATGTATATATATATATATATATACTTTTTTTTTTTTTGAGATGGAGTCTCACTCTGTCACCCAGACTGGAGTGCAGTGGCGCGATCTCAGCTCACTGCAACCTCCGCCTCCGGGGTTCAAGCAATTCTCCTCAGCCTCCCGAGTAGCTGAGACTACAGGCGCATGCGGCCATGCCCAGCTAATTTTTTTTGTATTTTAGTAGAGACGGGGTTTCACCGTGTTGCCCAGGCTGGTCTCAAACTCCTGAGCTCAGGCAATCTGCCCGCCTCTGCCTCCCAAAGTGCTAGGATTACCGGTGTGAGCCACCGCGCCCGGCTATGGCTATATGTTTTCAGTAGTTTATAAACTGTAACTTTATTTTTTCAGCCAATATGATTTCTTATTGCTATTTATTATAAAATTATAACTGCTCTTCCAGGAAATATATTTGTTTCCCAAATGTGATAAAGTTACACTTGAGAGTAGAATAATTTTTTTAAAAAAATAAGTTAAACAGTAAGGCTAACACTCAAAATACTATGAGCATACCCTCAATACTGTCCATAATTAATTACAGCTACATTTAAAAAATAAGACCAAAGAAGAAACACTAGCTAAGGAAAACACAGGTCACACTATATACTGATCCATGTCCCCTTTCCTTACTAGTTGTTCCCACTCTAAAATTCGTATCTCTAAAATGAGTATTTCACAATTTGACAAAGTTTTTCATTTTCCTCAGGACCCCTTTGCACTTACAACTACCTGTTTTTCACGAGTTATTTCCTCTGCCACTTAGATTCAATGGCCTCTTTTCATTAATTTTTGCCCAGCAGCAAATAACTGTATACTTTCTTCCTTTAACCTTGGATGATACTAAATCGAAGCTCATAGAGAAAATAACTGACATGTCATGTCCTTGGTTCATAATAGATGTGAACGACAACCATTTCTGAAATCTGAATATAGAGTGACTACTCACTAGTTCTAATAGGTTAGCCTAACTTTCATTCAATACTGTCAAATGATCAGGATTCTACTAAATCCCAAAGAAGACTTGCCAAGTGATTTAATTTTCATTTTCTTACCATTCTGTATCCCAGTAGGCTTTACACATTCCTCTCAAAGAGCAATTAGTAAGTATTTAATATCAAAGGCCTTTCTGAGAAGTGAATTTAAGTGTGGAAACCCTCACCATAACAAATTCACTGCATCACTGAGAAACAGGCTAGGATAAAACAAAATCTAAAACTTAAAAGAGTTAGAAGATTGTTTCCCTTTCATGTAATAACTTGGAGATAGGCAGTCTAGGGGTAACTTGACGTTCACATGAGGTTTTATCTTATGGCTTACCATGCATGGTTTCCATTTCCAAGGCTGCTCGTGGTATCAGGAAGAGCTGGAACTCTTGTCATTTTGTGTATATTCTAGGCAGCCGGAGAGAAGAAAAGATTTACAGAAAGGATATTTCCCTATCCTTTTAAAGGCACGCCACAGAGATTTCATCTTACTTCCACTCAAGTCTCATTGGCTGGAACTTAATTGTATGACCACATCTATTGCAAGAAAGACTGGGAAAAAAAACGAAGAGTGGGAGGATGGACTTTAAAAAGACTGCCAGCAGATGCCGCCACGTGCACTTCACACATATTTACACATGTTTTGCACTCAAATTCAAGTAGTTTATGAAGCCCTCCCCATGAGCCCTATGCCAAAAATCCCTGTCACACAGATCCAACAATAAGAACCCCCACTCACACAATGAAAATTCTTATGCCAGGTTTATGACTTGATAGCCCTCTTGGGCCACTCTTTATAATAGAGACTCCACCAGAAGCTCTTTGGTAGTTACAAATTATCTATAGGTAATTTATATTTATTCTCTGACTTTGATTTCATCCTGTGTGGCACAAACTTCAGCCTCACTAAAATATCCTTCTCATTTCTAGTAGAATACAGGATGTGTTTCATATGACCTGCCATCAATTCCTTTTGGCCATTACCTGGTGATTGCCACTTTTTTCCTCCTATTTTAGCATTTTGTTTTGATTTCTCCTTCTAGAAATCACAATTTCAAGCCTCTGACATGAAAAGCTTCTTTGAAGGGGCATTTTAACTGTCTTTGTAGCAAATGACTTTTTTAGGGGTTTGAGGGATTTGATGGCTGATCTAGGAAAAAGATATGACCATGAGGTTGCTTTGACCAGTTTGCAGGTGGGGGATGTGCAGAGGTTATGGTGAGGTGGTTTGGGAGTGCAGGAAAGAGATGGGGGCATTGCTACCTCAAAGAAGTAGAGAGCAAGGGAACTCTCAGAGGAGTGGTGGATCAAAGAGAGGGCTTAGATATCTAGGTGATGTGGCTTAGAAGGATGGTGGGAAGTCTCTGGACCAAAGAAGCTATAACTGCTAAGTCCTATCGTATCTGTAGGTAATAGCTGTCATGTGAGGCTTTATGGAGTATGCAAAACAAGCAGACTATGAATGACTAAAAATTTGCTTGTTTGGGCCATATTTAAAATAATTTGATATGTAAAAATTTGAGTTTGGGGGCTGTTAGGCTTTTGAGCTAAGGGTGTCTCAGCCTGCAGTGAAGAAATAACCAAAGGGCCAATGTACAGAAGCTATCTGTGGTTCATTTATACTGTTAACTGGAAAAAAAAAAAGCACACCACAACTTATAAATTTAGAAAATGAGAGGAGACTTTATGTCTTATAAGGGGTTACAGCCTTTAAGGTGGCCGCCATCCTGCAGGTTGGGAAAGGTGCCTCCTGCAAAGACCAGGGACAGGCCCTGCCAATTAGTAGGGGTGGGGATAGAAGCTGTTTGCTGAAAGGGTTGACTAAACATACATTTTCAACATGTTACAAGAGGAGCTATGAATATTAATGAAGGTGGTCCTGACGCATGCGTATTGGATAAACATGCATGTTACAGACAACCCATGTTCACTTTTGGGTGGAGACTTAACATTTAAATGTATTACGGTTAGGCCTTATATGTCAAAAGATTTCCTCAGGACTTGAAGGTATATGAAATATGCAACTTCTGTAAACCAGCCAGAATCAGTCCATTGTCGGAGGTCCTTCTTGATGGGAGAAAGTTATTGAAATCAGTCTCTTGTCCAATCATAGCTGTAGTTATGGCTGGTGAAAAAGAGGCTGGAGTTCAGTGTCTGGCGGTGGATGAGTTGCAAATCGTTTTACTTAGCTTGCTTATCTGGAGGCCAGTGCTTGTTTAGCCTAGAGAAAAAGAAAAGCTTTGTAGCACAGTTACAGCATAGTTTATTCTTTAATTGTACCCATGCCAGACCCTTGCCTGGCATGGCCTTAGGTCTTGTTTGTAATTGGGCATCTTATTGCAACAAAGAGTCTGTTCTGTTGGTCTTATGATCTCTATGTTAACATTAATGCTGGTCAGTTGTGGGTAAACCATGAAAGGGGGGGATATAACAAAGCATATCTGACCTCCCATCCTGTCACCAACTCAGTTTTGTTTTTTTGTGGGGTCCCTTTGGCCGCAAGGAACTTAGTTTTAAGTTTTTTTTTCTGGGGGCCCTTTGGGGTCTGTACAGCACGTGGTAGCGGGCGGGACAGGGGTTAAGATTTTATTTTTAGTTTACAATACAATACTTTTCTTTTTTTTTTTTTTTTTTTTTTTTATTCTTCTTTGTTTTATTTATAATTTTTTTTTTTACAATTCTTTTTTTTTTTTTTTTTTTTTTTTTTTTTATTATACTCTAAGTTTTAGGGTACATGTGCACATTGTGCAGGTTAGTTACATATGTATACATGTGCCATGCTGGTGCACTGCACCCACTAATGTGTCATCTAGCATTAGGTATATCTCCCAATGCTATCCCTCCCCCCTCCCCCGACCCCACCACAGTCCCCAGAGTGTGATATTCCCCTTCCTGTGTCCATGTGATCTCATTGTTCAATTCCCACCTATGAGTGAGAATATGCGGTGTTTGGTTTTTTGTTCTTGCGATAGTTTACTGAGAATGATGGTTTCCAATTTCATCCATGTCCCTACAAAGGATATGAACTCATCATTTTTTATGGCTGCATAGTATTCCATGGTGTATATGTGCCACATTTTCTTAATCCAGTCTATCATTGTTGGGCATTTGGGTTGGTTCCAAGTCTTTGCTATTGTGAATAGTGCTGCAATAAACATACGTGTGCATGTGTCTTTATAGCAGCATGATTTATACTCATTTGGGTATATACCCAGTAATGGGATGGCTGGGTCAAATGGTATTTCTAGTTCTAGATCCCTGAGGAATCGCCACACTGACTTCCACAATGGTTGAACTAGTTTACAGTCCCACCAACAGTGTAAAAGTGTTCCTATTTCTCCGCATCCTCTCCAGCACCTGTTGTTTCCTGACTTTTTAATGACTGCCATTCTAACTGGTGTGAGATGATATCTCATAGTGGTTTTGATTTGCATTTCTCTGATGGCCAGTGATGATGAGCATTTCTTCATGTGTTTTTTGGCTGCATAAATGTCTTCTTTTGAGAAGTGTCTGTTCATGTCCTTCGCCCACTTTTTGATGGGGTTGTTTGTTTTTTTCTTGTAAATTTGTTTGAGTTCATTGTAGATTCTGGATATTAGCCCTTTGTCAGATGAGTAGGTTGCAAAAATTTTCTCCCATGTTGTAGGTTGCCTGTTCACTCTGATGGTAGTTTCTTTTGCTGTGCAGAAGCTCTTTAGTTTAATTAGATCCCGTTTGTCAATTTTGTCTTTTGTTGCCATTGCTTTTGGTGTTTTGGACATGAAGTCCTTGCCCACGCCTATGTCCTGAATGGTAATGCCTAGGTTTTCTTCTAGGGTTTTTATGGTTTTAGGTTTAACGTTTAAATCTTTAATCCATCTTGAATTGATTTTTGTATAAGGTGTAAGGAAGGGATCCAGTTTCAGCTTTCTACATATGGCTAGCCAGTTTTCCCAGCACCATTTATTAAATAGGGAATCCTTTCCCCATTGCTTGTTTTTCTCAGGTTTGTCAAAGATCAGATAGTTGTAGATATGTGGCATTATTTCTGAGGGCTCTGTTCTGTTCCATTGATCTATATCTCTGTTTTGGTACCAGTACCATGCTGTTTTGGTTACTGTAGCCTTGTAGTATAGTTTGAAGTCAGGTAGTGTGATGCCTCCAGCTTTGTTCTTTTGGCTTAGGATTGACTTGGCAATGCGGGCTCTTTTTTGGTTCCATATGAACTTTAAAGTAGTTTTTTCCAATTCTGTGAAGAAAGTCATTGGTAGCTTGATGGGGATGGCATTGAATCTGTAAATTACCTTGGGCAGTATGGCCATTTTCACGATATTGATTCTTCCTACCCATGAGCATGGAATGTTCTTCCATTTGTTTGTCTCCTCTTTTATTTCCTTGAGCAGTGGTTTGTAGTTCTCCTTGAAGAGGTCCTTCACATCCCTTGTAAGTTGGATTCCTAGGTATTTTATTCTCTTTGAAGCAATTGTGAATGGGAGTTCACCCATGATTTGGCTCTCTGTTTGTCTGTTGTTGGTGTATAAGAATGCTTGTGATTTTTGTACATTGATTTTGTATCCTGAGACTTTGCTGAAGTTGCTTATCAGCTTAAGGAGATTTTGGGCTGAGACGATGGGGTTTTCTAGATAAACAATCATGTCGTCTGCAAACAGGGACAATTTGAAGAAGTTGAATCTCTGAATCGACCAATAACAGGCTCTGAAATTGTGGCAATAATCAATAGTTTACCAACCAAAAAGAGTCCAGGACCAGATGGATTCACAGCCGAATTCTACCAGAGGTACAAGGAGGAACTGGTACCATTCCTTCTGAAACTATTCCAATCAATAGAAAAAGAGGGAATCCTCCCTAACTCATTTTATGAGGCCAGCATCATACTGATACCAAAGCCGGGCAGAGACACAACCAAAAAAGAGAATTTTAGACCAATATCCTTGATGAACATTGATGCAAAAATCCTCAATAAAATACTGGCAAACCGAATCCAGCAGCACATCAAAAAGCTTATCCACCATGATCAAGTGGGCTTCATCCCTGGGATGCAAGGCTGGTTCAATATACGCAAATCAATAAATGTAATCCAGCATATAAACAGAGCCAAAGACAAAAACCACATGATTATCTCAATAGATGCAGAAAAAGCCTTTGACAAAATTCAACAACCCTTCATGCTAAAAACTCTCAATAAATTAGGTATTGATGGGACGTATTTCAAAATAATAAGAGCTATCTATGACAAACCCACAGCCAATATCATACTGAATGGGCAAAAACTGGAAGCATTCCCTTTGAAAACCGGCACAAGACAGGGATGCCCTCTCTCACCGCTCCTATTCAACATAGTGTTGGAAGTTCTGGCCAGGGCAATCAGGCAGGAGAAGGAAATAAAGGGTATTCAATTAGGAAAAGAGGAAGTCAATACAATACTTTTCAACCTCGAATTAGACACTGCCTTTACAGTTGAGAACTGCCCTTTCCCCTGGGGAGAAGTTAATGAACTCAGTCTCCAAGTGCCCAAAAGGAAGAGAGTTCTTCAGAGTCCTCAGGCTATTTATGCCAATTGATGTTCTGAGTGAAAATGTGGAGAACACTGATGAGTAAGGGGTTGATGCAATGGCCTTATGTACCACACAGTTCAGGCTAGAACCCAGAGGCAGAAGGGTTGGCAGGTGCTGCAGCTCCCCAGTCTCTGAATATCCCATAGAGTAACATAAGTGGGAAGGGCATGATTATGTGCATTACCATTTTGTACTCCAGGAAAGGAACTTTGCCTCCTGCTACTTTCTCTTTTTACAGTTGCTCTGAAAGAGCATGTAAATGAAAGTCATAGCAGCAGGCTGCAATCTATTCTCTCCTTACTAGGGAATGCTTCAAAAAAAAAAAAAAAAAGAAAGATGGCCCGATGAATGTTAAATGTGGTATCAAGTTCACTATATCAAACAATGGGATCTGATAAACCTGAAATGTAAGGGTGAATTTCAAGAGAAGTTGATTAAATGCTGAAAGGTTTAAAGATAAGGTGTTTCACCTGCATTTCTGAACTATTTCTGAAATCCATGAAATGAATGCTAAAGCTGACCATCAAGACCTAAGAAGGAGCAAAATGGTGTGATAAAGATAAGATTTGTATGCCTGCAACAGGAAACCTACATTACAGTGAATTAAATGACATGGGAAGCTTGCATATATTTCTAGATTGACAATAATGTGCTTATTTGCTTTTGGAAAGTGCTGCTATCAATTTTCTTTGAGCTTTATGGAATATCTTTTCTCTGAGCTTCACAGGGTATTCTAATAATTTAGTCACCCATCTTGAGTACACAATTATATAATTATTTTTAAAGGTTTTCTTCCTTTAAGGACAATATTATGTTAATTCTGCCACAATCTATTTGCTGATTCTGAATTTAGATGCATTGTTTTGGAAATATAGGCATCTATACGGATTGAAATTATATACTTATTTCCTTTATCTGGAGGAGTAAAGCCTTGTTACAGCCTTGGAGACTAACAGGGGCCAGAATTTCTTAGGAATAATGAGCAGGGAATGAAATAGTTATTTGGAAAGATACATACAGTTACATTTCTGATAATGTCCTGAGAAGAAAAGAACACACTCTCACTTTTCTGCACATCCAAGATAAGTTCTGTTAGTGTTTTGATCTCCTGTCTTATAGCAGGCCAAAATAGAAGTCTTATGGTAATAAGTAGATCTAGGTGCAATTCAATATGGACCAAAAAAGTAAAGTATAGCTTATAGGTATCAGCATTGGTTGGCATTAAATAATATATATTTAAGTTTGCTTAGATATTCTTTTCAAATGTCATTGCTATGCTGCCAGTAACTTTCCAAGTGCTGAAATGTTGTCCTAAATTTATTCTGACATTTTCTGTTTTCTACATATCTTATTAATGTAGGTACATTATTTGGGATAAGACGATTTTTAAATAAGTATAAATAGAAATACCATTCATCAGAAATAATTTTTGGCTAAGTCTTTTTTTCCAAAAATACCATGACTTCAATTATTTAGATAATCCTCCAACCTTATTTTCACACATATTGCCTCAGTAAATGCTAACGTAGTATTCCATACACTAGCCTGTGTGCTCTTTGACGTCAGCGAGCATGTCCTCTTAATCTTCCTGATCCGAGCACTTAATATAGTGCCTGGCCTCTAGTAGTATTCAATAAACGTGATATCACATGTAAGAGTGGAAAAATATATGATTAATTCTAACCCCAAAGCAACGGGGATACACGTCTGTGCTGCTTACACAAAACAGAGCCTGACAAAATAAATATTTCCTAAATGAATGAATGAAGTTGCTTTAATTAGGTGTATATTCTGAAGTTAATTTTCAATTTCTAAGTACTTTGGTCTCAGATCCTTGTAACCAAGATTAATGCTTGCAGTTTTCAATAAATATAATTTACTGGAAAAGATTAAGAGGTACCTGCTCACATCAATTTAAAGACTGCGTTATATAAGTCCTCAATACATTCTGATACTGGGTGATAAAAAATACAGACCCCAGGTTCATTGTCAGAGCAATTCCCGACTTGCTCTGACAATTGGGGAGGAATTGGTGAGAATATGGAATCCAAAATTGTTAAATAAATAATACTCCAAACTCCCAAATGCCAGACAGAAATAGTATGCAATTAATCTAATAGGGTCAGCCTATAGCCCAAGGTTAGTGATTAAAGTTGCAATGGTCTGCTGTATTGACACAGAACTTTGACTTCAGACAAATTTTATCTGGAATTCCAGTCATTCTATTACTGAATTATAAGTGATATTGCTATTCTGTCATCATTGTGTATAAATTCTGTATTGAAATGAAAGCATTTCCCAGACCTTTTGCGTAGTGTTGACCTTCTTTATGTTAGAAAGAGAATTATCAAAAACACAAATTCAAACCAATAATGTTTATATTCAGCCAGACTAAGAAAAAGCAGTAGTGGAAAAAAGTACTAAAAATAACGAATAATGCCTTCTAAAATATTTCTGGTTTTGCTTTATTTTCCCTATCTTTAATTATTAGTATTAGTTGTGTTCATTTTCCACTCTATATTTAGTTACATATCCTTTAATAAAATCTTTACAATTTTGTGCACAGAAAAGCAAATCTCAGAAATGTTTGTCCTCTTTCTACATATCCCTAGCCTGGCTCTCCATGTCATTAATGGTGCTGAAACTAGGATGTCAGTATAATTCTGCCACTTCTCCTAAGAAATAAGCTTTTGGAACAGCATGCATTCAATGATTCATTTATTTGTTCCAAATTAATAGCTAATGATATTCCAGACATTGTGCTATGTGATGGTGTTAACAGTGTTGAGCAGTAATAGAGCAGAGCTCTGTGATGACAGTTGTGATGAGTATCACAGAAGTAAATGTCCTTTCTTCTGTGAACATAGGTATCAGGAATTGGCCTGACAGAGAAGACGTCCTTGAGAAAAGACAAAAAAGATCATAGAGCTGAGAGTTAATATAAGATGAACATGGTAGGAGGAATATTTTGGGTAGAGGAAAGAAGAGAGGACAAATCCCCATTACAGAAGGAATATGTCACTGCCAAGAAACTGGAGGGAGACCAGTGTAGTTGGAGCACAGAGAATGTGGGAAAAGGGCAAGACTGTGGGCTGCTCTCTAGGATTCATTTTTGTTTCTTTCTGCTCACAGAGTAAATCTTATTTTTCAGTTGTTCTTGGTGCTTAATGATGGTAATATGACTGGAACGAGTCAATGGAATATGAGTATACATAACCTGTGCTGTTTCCTCCTCAAAGATTTTAAGAAGAGGTTGTAGCTTTTCAGAAGAGGTTGTAGCTTGGAAGAAATGGTGACAAGACTTTGGGACTGATAGATCTACAAGAGAAAATGAAATATGTGTCTCTAAATTAATGAATAGGAGAGAAAAGCTAGCCAATCAGAATGCCCAGTTTGAGCTGTTATAATTGAGAAATATGTTTCTGTGATGTTTGATACCATATATATTTTGGTGTTTATTTGTTATTGTAATTTAGCCTAATATAACTAGTATGGAAATGTGCAGACTGAAGTGGGGTATTGCTCTGACAAAACGTAAATATATGGTCCTGAGGAGCAATCAATGATATATTTTGCCAGAAAGCTAGAGATTTCATGTTATGCAAGTGGCAACATACACGGTTAAAATATTGTCTAACATTTTAGGAAAACAGGCTATGTGTCTTTTGAGCCTCTAATTTTAGGAAAGCTATTGGAAAGAAACAAATTTTAGTGCCTTCTTTTGGCTTCTTGATGCTTATAAAGAAAGGTATTAAAAGAAAGAGATGAACTCAACCAAGGAATTTCTGGCTTTCAAAGGGAAATAAAGAGGAATAGAAAGTTCAGAAATTTGGAGGCTCACAAAATTTGACTGCTTCTGAGAATTCCAGAGTAGGAAATAAGACTAGAAGTTTAAGCAGCAATGACCCATTAAAATTTCTCAGTTTTACAAAAGAACTCAGCTCTGTGACAAATAGAAAAGGATAAAGCTTTGTCAGCCATGCCTATTATCTTACATAGCCCCAAGGTAGCCATCAATAAATTCAGGGAGCGAGAGAGAGACACCAGGGAAGGGAGCAAGGAAATAAAACAGGGTTAAGAACTAGCCTCAGAAAGAACTTTGAGAGTTCTAGAGATGGCTGAAATCAAATGAACCAGATATCTGAAATGTTTTTGGGAAAGTTCACTGGAAAAATAAAGGCTAGAACATCACTTGATTGTTTTAGCTATACAATAATCTTTGAACTCCAAGCAGTGTTTGAGCAAGATATACGATACAAAGATGTAAGCCCTCAAATTGGGCACACTCTTCAATTTTCAACTTATGTGTTCAGGGTAGAAAACAAACAAGGACAAACCTCTGTGAAGTTGGTGTCTTCCACAGAGCACATTCTATATGTAGTCGAGGAAATCCTTCCCCTGCTAAAGCTGGAAGTCTTCACAATGTCTCCTGCAGAGGTTTATGTCATTGGTATAGACAAGTGACTGCTGTGTATTTTATATTGTTAATGTATTTATTTATTTGCAATATTTCTGTTTCTGTTCTGGTATTATAAATTGGCACTCTGGGTTGTGGAGGACAGGCACAAACAACTTGTATTTTGATTGACTACACCTACCTAGACTATGAGGAAACATAACCTCATTGAATAAGCAGAATTCTGCTTCTTCAAGCCTTCTTGAACTTTGAAGTAGATGCAAGTATTCGGTACACATTGTATGTGATTTGGGGTTGTTGCTTTTTAGGAGGTGATAAATGTGTTTATATTTGAGAAGATTAAACATTATATTTGGTCACCAGAGGACAACAAAAATTGAACAAAATATCACTTTTGCAGAGGCTTTAAGTGCTCACCAAAATTCATATCTTCCTTTTTTTTAGCTGCATTTAAAACTTTCATTGCACTTATATGTGCCCATATGACTAGGTTCTTAATGAAAGGTGAACAGAAGTAATATGTGCCTTTTTATAGACTAAGGCTTTTATAAAACAGATGTGCCTCCTTTTATCCAGCTGTGTTCCTTGCAAAGCTGGATGAAGGTGTCAACAAGGTCTTTGGGAAAAGCAAAGTCTCAAGAAGAAAAAGAGCATGAATCTCTGAGACATTGCATGGGAGAAAACCACTCTCTGATGAAGAATACCCACCTTGGCGAGTTGAGTGAATGAAAATAAATGCTGAATGAAATCAAACCATTATTTAGCCAATTTTTCTACAGACATGATAACTTACCCTATTATGACTAATAAAGAGGACATAGTGATACAAAAAAAAAATGGGACTAAACAGGCAAAAGACCATGGGGGCCTTATAAAGTAAAGTGATGATATGTTCCCATTTGCCTGGCAGAGTTTGAATTTAAGCCCAAAGCCCTAGAGTCTCATCCAGTCTAACTTTTTTCCCAGATTTTTCATTTTTAATGAAGTATTATTAATAACCTCTGATGAGTTTGGAAGCTTCTACTTTGTACTTCCAGCATCTGCCGTGTATTAGTGTTATGTAAGAAGCACAGACAGTTAGCAGAGTCTTCCCTTAACACCTATTTAAGCCTGAAAGATAACCAGCAATAAGCAGGAAGTCTTTGCTAGGTTTTTTCAACATGCGATATTACAGAGTCCCCCTTTTACTGACATCACAGAGGGTGTTCACTTGTAAAATGAAGTGTGCTTGGTCACAAGCAGCTAGGGAAAACTTCCTCAATCTTCTGTCTTTGGGTGAACTCTTCAACACTGCTTCTCAAACCTGGCATTTAGCATATGAGACATTTTCATGACAGCCCATGACATCAGCCTGTGAAATGCCTGAAACTGTCAAGCAGCCAGTTGAGAAAATCAGTGAGGACTATGGGAAATGTATAAATTCACAAACAGGTAGTATGTGTTGAAAAAAAGAAGGTGAACAGCCCTGCTCAGATTCACATTAAAACTAATCTGAACATTCTCGCTACAGTGGTTTTGTTATTTATTTTATAGTATAAGCCTACAATTGTTTCTTAATTTTTTGTTTGATAACCCTGTTTTTCTTTCCTTAAACTCTTTTAGCAGCAATGGACTTAAAAATTTCATGATTAATAAAAAAACAATAGGAATTGAAATTGTGTTACTGACATAAAATGTAGTTCCAACTTTCCCATTCACCATGAGGGTTGTGCTGATATCACTGGACACAAAGAAACCAAAAAAGGCAAATCTGTTCAGACAGCATCAGTAGCAATTCTAACAGTTAGCTATCTAGAGATGATTGTGCCTGAAGATTGTGATTTAACACATGTTGCAGTAGAAGGTATATTTATGCGTCACTGTAGACTCTAAAATTTCATTTAGATCAAGTGATTATTCATATAAATGGATTTTACACATCTTTAATTTCAAGAAAAGCTGTTAATATGTTTATTAGCAAAATGAAAAAATTAAACAGTGACAAGAAGCTAGTTTTATATAATTTCATCATGTGCTTCAAGTAGAATTCAGTAATTGGATTTCTTCATCCAAAATATGGAAATACAGTATAACATTCTGAAGTTTATTCATTCAAAAGTGAATCCATGTCATCTTAAGGAAAAGGAAGAGAGGGAAGAAAAAAAAACAAGAACTTAATTTTAATATGTGAAATACTTACATGTAAATATCAAATTATATTGAAGTGGCAATTTTAAAGTATGTCTTAATTTTCATCTGTGCAAATGTGAATTTCAAAGCCATGTGAGAAATTCATAGAATATGAACTATGAAATTGTTTCACATTGAATAGAATGTGTTACATTATCAATGCAAATATATCACTCACATATCTCTCCATAATAAAGGTCACCACAAGCCAACGCCTGCATAACCTGTGACTCTGCTGGGTAAACATTTATATTTCCCACACAGAACACTTAACCTCAGTCTATGAAAGGTGACTTTTTCCAATTCAGTATATTAAAATATTACCTCCAGGCTTTTCTGATTACCTTGAACTGTATTCTGCATGAACTGGTTGCTTTTCTATAGCTCATTGTTTCCACCAATACCACGGAACCTGAATTCAGGCTACGCATTAGCAACTAGAGTTAACCATCCTCATATGCAACACTGAGCATTGATCTCTCAAAATGTAGCAAGAATGGTTAACCAGTCAATACACAGATTATCCCAGTTGCTCATGCGGAAAGTCTCAGAATCATTGTTCACTTTCCGCTTGGGTTCATAATCAAATCCATTTCAAATCCTGACAGCTCTACCTTGAAATATATTTATATTCTGACTACTTCTCACCAATCCTAGAGCTCCTATCCTAAAGTACAGTTAGTTTTCACTTGCACTATGTTATTAGCAAGCATCCCAACTTGTGCTGTAACTCAGCCAGTTGCAGGATGAGATTCTTCATTTGATTTTCAGCAATCTCAGCCCTTCAGCTACAGGAGATGAGTCTCTTTAGGGGATACAAAGAAACTTTCAGGTCATTTATGCCTCGCTTGAGCTAGAAGTTCAAGTCCCTGAGCTCATTCTTTTCTTTAACGACTTTGTCCAGCAACATTAAGAGCAACCAGCCAATCTCATTATATTAATTAGTTTTCCAAGAATTTTTGAGAATATCATATACATGTTTACCTGGCACCTGCTTCTTATAAGTGTTTTTGCATATCTCTAAAGCCAAATCACGTATGGAATATTACTGTTCTCTTCAGTATTGAAGAAAGACCTATTAGCATCTTTAAATTTAAACATTAGAGTCAATTCCAGAAATTCCAGAACAAATTCAGAAAACTCATCCTTAACATTCTGTTTTTCTATAATCACTCTCAGTACTGAAATCTATATTAGGATTTTCCAGAAAAACATAATCAATAGCATATTTACATTATAAACCAATTTATTATGAGGAATTAATTAGCTCATGCAGATATGGAGGCTGAGAAGTCCCAAGATTTTCAGCTGGCAAGCTGGAGACCCAAGAAAGCTGGCATTATAGTTCCAGTCTAAGTCTGAAGGCTGGAGAATAGGGAAAGCTGATGATGCAAGCTCTAGCTGGAGTCCAAGTCCAAAGGCAGGAAAAGACTACTGTTTCAGCTTGATTCTGGTCAGACAGAAAAAGTAAATTCTCCCTTACTCAGACTTTTTGTTTTAATCAGACCTTCAACAAATTGGATGACACATTAGCAGGGCAATTTGCTTTACTGAATCTACTGATTCAAATAATAATCTCTTCCAGAAACACCCTCTCAGACATACTTAGAATAATGTTTAGCCAAATATCTGGGCACACCATAGCCCAGTCATGTTGACACATAAAATTAACCATGGGAATCATATACAATCTGAATCCCTGATTGTCACCTCTCGGATTTTATCACATCACTTTTTTCTATGCCAGCCTCTTGCTGTTCCTACGTACATAAGATATATTACCACCTCAGGGTCTTTGGATTCATTATATCCTGCAGCTATAATATTTTGTCCTCAAATATACATATGGATTGATCCATTACTTAATTTTGGTCTCTTTTGTAATATCAACCCCTCAGAAAGAACTTCTCTTATCATCCTAAAATACAGTAACAACTTGCACTAATTGCTTACACTACTTGATTTTAAACCAGGCACTTACCACTATCCCACCTTATTCATTGGTTTGTTTGTTATTAGTCTCTTCCCATTAGAAAGTAGCTGTATGATAGCAGGAACAGAGATTAGTTTTTAGAGTTCACTGAAGTATTATTTGCTCTTACAATTTCTGACACAGAGGAGGAGCTAAGTTAAAATATGTGGAAGGAAGGAAGGAAAGAAGGTAGGAAGGAAGGAAGGAAGGAAGGAAAACCCTATTTGTTCTTCTAACTAATGTATTAATACATGTTTGAGTTTATTCTCCATTATTCTATAAGCAGGAAAGCTAAATTCCAGGCCCATAAATCAATTTATTCCATTTTGTTTTTAGACCATTTTGAGATACTAATATCTTAGTCACAGATCTATATTCTCAATTTCAGGAGACATTAGGATTTTTCCGCCTCCCTCTTTACTTCTTATTTCTCTCTCATGGAGCTTTCCTGAGGAATTGCTGCAGAGGGAGAAGGCAGAGACTGCTTCAGAGGAGAAACAAGAATGGCGAGATAACAAAGGTTCACACATCGTTCTACCACCCCCAGATTCTTTTCTCCAATGCAATCACCCTGTTCTGATCTCTAGCCCTGGCAGTGTCAAAGGGATGATGCTTTCAAGAATGAATGTCTCTCAAATTCATGTGGTATATTAGATGGACTTGAGATATCCAACTGGGTACTGCTCCACAGTCTGTCTACTGTCGGGAGTTTGTGGGAATCCAGATTCTTTTTCTCCAATCCTTAGAACACTGTCCATGGGAGTAATTTGTGTCACCAGGCAGCCCCTTGCATAGGTGTGTAAGGGGGATAGAGAAAATAAGTCCATTCTTCTGTTTTGCTCATTTACCTTTATTTCACATCAGGTTATCTGAATGAGAGAAGGAAATCAGACTAGTTTTACTTATCAAATTATTGCTGCAGATGGATTTTTTTTTTTTTTTGAGATGGAGTTTCGCTCTTTTTTGCCTAGGCTGGAGTGAAATGGCATGATCTTTGCTCACTGCAGCCTCTGCTTGCCAGGTTCAAGTGATTCTCCTGCCTCAGCCTCCTGAGTAGCTGGGATTACAGGTGCGAGCCACCATGCCTGGCTAATTTGTATTTTAGTAGAGACAGGGTTTCACCATGTTGGCCAGGCTGGTCTCAAACTCCTGACCTCAGGTAATATGCCCACCTTGGCCTACCAAACTGCTGGGATTACAGGCGTGAGCCTGGCCAGATTCTACACATACAAGTTAGTTACATAAAACATAAAGGTCACTGTGGTTAAGAACAGAGGGAGAAGAGCAAAAGCAGATATCAAAATGTGATTTACTAGGTTGTGTTGTTAAGTAAGAGTTACTATTTAATATGATTTTGTAACCAAAGTAGAATTGCCTAAACTACATATAATAGTTCATTTAATTCTCACAATACAGATAGATATGATATGATGAGGAACTGTGCATCAGAAACATGCTGCCATTTCTTCAGGTTTACATAGCCAGCGAGTGGCAGAGCCATTCCCAAACCTATTTCCATTTGACTCTCTAAGCCTTTCATTTTCCACTATTTCACATCACTTCCAAACAATTATATTTGTGAACTAGCCAAACCAGGACTGTTGAAGCATGCATATTCTATATGGCTCTTGGGTTGAAACCGCTGCTGACCAATAATACGCCTTGTTTTAGATTAGTTTTCTTCAATAACCTTTGCAGGAAAATAAATAATTTACACATGCTGTTCCTAGGTTTCTCCCAATGTTTATTATTATTAGTCATTCTAACTCCTGAAATTTTACATTATATTCTTGGAAGAAATTCTTATGCCCATGTTGATTGTAATTAACTAATCTTTCAGCAATTCAAGTAGCACTGTCAAGTTGTGACTGAGAATATTCTAGTCATGTGGCCCAACCATTCATTTTTCTGTAGCATGACATTTGCCTATGCTAAGCTGTCTGCATTCTAGAAACATCTAGTGAAATATGCTACCACCGACCACATCCTAGTGTGAAATTTCAAACTGGTTCCGCATACGCCTAACAGTAGCCTAGAAAATATTTCAATAAGTAACCCATTACTTATAATAAACCAAACAACCCATTTCAATTGACATCTATTCTTTTCCACCCTTCCTGAATCACTCATGATATTGTAGCCTATTTGTGTTTTTCTATGCCTAGTAAATCTAAAGCTTCCTTAAGGCCAGAACACTTGAAATACTCGATGCTGGATGAAATTTCCTATGCCACCACCACCACAACCACCACTACTTCTACCACCCGGAATCATAATACGCACAGAGCAGACCCTTCAAATTCTTAGTGTTAGTTCCTTTATTTCTAGTTCAACCAATTATTCCCTTCAATTCTAGTCTTAGACACGTAGTAATTATCTTCCCTTGCCAGGAATGATCTCTTCTCTGTATACCTACTCAAATAGTATAAAACCAAATTAGGGTCCCAGGTCAGACTGCAGAGCCCACAAAAGCATGAGTTGTAACAATTTGCTTATTTGGTGCCAAAATCATAGATGATTTACCACGAGATCAAAATGTAGTCATTTCATTGAAAAATTAATATATTATGCAGATACGAAGTCCACAAAATTTAGTGGACTTTTTTTACAGTTATGTACTGTGTTAGTCTGTTCTCACGCTGCTGTGAAGAAATACTCAAGGCTGTGCAATTTATAAAGGAAAAGAGTTTTAATTGACTCACAGTTCCACAGGGTTGGGAGGTCTCAGGAAACTTACAATCATGGTGGAAGGGGAAGCAAACACGTCTTTCTTCATATGGAAGTATCAAAGTGAAGTACAGACTGGAGTGGGGGAAAAGCCCCTAATAAAACTGTCAGATTTCATGAGAACTCACTCAGTATCGCAAGAACAATGTGGGGAAAACAGCCCCCATGATTCAATTGTCTCCTTCTGGTCCTGCCTTTGACATGTGGGGATTATTACAATTCAAGATGAGATTTTAAGTGGGACATAGCCAAACCATTTCATGTATCATTAATGACTGTTTTCTCATTCTATGATAAACATTGACATAGCTGCTCAAAACAGCACAATACATATAGTAGAATTTAAAACTTCCTTAGAGATATCTCTAGAATTATAAACATTTAGCAATGAGTTGTTCATATTGTTTAATAAGGATTTAATTACCTATATTCACGCTCTTTTTTTTATAATTTAAGCTTAAAAGTAAATTTTAAATATAGGCTTCATCATAGAAATATTTAACTTATAAAGGCGCTTCAGGGTTGGATTTTCATAGCTTTTTTCATTTCTGACTTTTGTTTAATGAGCGGACTGTATTTATTTTTATTCTTTTTAACTTTTGTTGTAAGTTCAGAGGTACAAGCCCAGGTTCGTTACATAGGTAAACTTGTATCACTATAGCTGTTTTTAAAAGAGAGAAAGCATGATAGAAACAATAGAAAATAGGCAGGAGTACTGCTGGATAGCCTGGGGAATATAGTCGAGATTTCCAATATGACCTTGGCCAGACCATTTATAATCTGCTTCAACTTTCATATCTAAAATGAAAGCTATTGGTTTGTTTGTTTTGTTTTTGCAGGGTTTTCTGAGGTTGTTGTTTCAGTAACTTATTCGCTTTTTTTTCTGAATCTGAGGCTCCCAAATGAATCCAAATGTTTGTTTAATGCAGAGTGAATTTTACTTTTCTGCAGGAAATTTTTGGATATTGTTTCTTTAAATGAAGGGATGAATGGAAATTTAAAAGTGAAATAAAAACATGAAAGCTTATCAAGTCTCAAACTGAGATTATCTTACTGAACATAAATTTCAAGGTCAACAGGAATTTGTAGAATATTACCTGTCTCTCTATTTTTATAACCCTGATATTTTTTCCCTATGAATGAAAATGCATTGAATCTGAGTATCTGATTAACTTTAAAATTTAAATGATCACATGTGTAGCTCACTTTTAAGGTTAGCTTGTTTTGATGATTTCTGCTCTTTCTGGCTTGTTTCCTGACTGATATTATTAAAAATAATTTCTAAAATATTTATGAAGGAATGGATCTATGCATCTCTTTTCTTTCTACTGAGGAAAATTAGAAAGTTGGCCCCTAATATTTCTTTTTCCCTCTAGATGCACAGGTTTTAAAGTAGCAGTCTTTAAAAGATAAGCAAACTGAGTGACTAAAAAATAAGGAGGGGATATCTTTTCATTTTTAGCCATTTTTAGTAAATGGCTGAAAGGTGACATATATTTCCAAAGGTGACATATAATATTTGTTCATTCGTATTTTAAAAATAGACCTAATGCTGTTAAAAAGAATAAAAAAGGTTGCATATTTTGGAAAGAAATGTATAAGTATAAATGTATATTTTTAAAAAATGTATATATTTCCTAAAAATATATTGAATATGTTGAATTCTGAAATCCAGAGATTTTATTTTACATAGTTTTCAGGGAAGTTGAACTTCAAAGACTGATGGTCTGTAAAAAAGGAATTGTCCAGTCTATGATTATAAGTTTGACACCCACTGTCAACATCCTATAATTGCAAATATAGAATTATGAGGTTATTAAAAGAGGATGGATATGGTATTATAATTCACAGTTAAAGGTTAAAACCAAGTGCTCATGAAGAAGAAAAAAAAATATTATTTCATGGATTCCAGGTAGTACAAGAAGAGCAAAAGTCATCTGAGTTGTCAGAAGACAAACTTATTTATGTCTTCATTTGTTCATTGAGCAAGTAATCATTAAGTGCTTACAGTATGCACAGCATCTTACTAATCTCTTTTATAAGTGTATGAATGAAAGGTCATAGTCTCTAAAAATTAATAGCAAAGAGCGCTGATCTGGTATATGTGGGTTGGGAAGATTTTCCCAAGGTTTCCCATTTAAATAGAAATTTAATTTCTATTTCCCATTTAAATAGAAATATAAAGAATATGTAAGAGTTACTGTATGTTCTGATGTGATGGAGAAAGGTCTTCCAGGCCGTGCAAACAGTTTATAGAAAGATTCTAAGATACAGAGATCACGAAGCATTAGAAAAACTAAATGAAGTTCATTATAGACAGAGTGTAGACTGGGCAGGGGGAGGTGGTAAGGCTACTGTGCTGACATTTTTTTTTTATATATTTCACAAAATGAAATCAATGACTTATGAAGCAAAACTTTGAAAAATTTTAGCAGACTTCAGTTTCTACAATAATTCTAATTATAGATGTCTATTCTTCACTGATTGGTATTTGAAAAGCCCTGAATACAATGCATAGCCTTAAGTTGGAAACATTATTTTTAATAATTAAAATATCTCTCATACTTATTTCTAATAGCTTTCTGTCTCTCTCTTTTTCTCCTTACACACACACACACACACACACACACACACACACACACACAACTGAATTTTGTTGTCTCATCTTTCCAGGAGATTCAAGTCGTCTTTACTGTCTTCCTTTTCCTCATTGCATTATATTTAAAGAAAACTTCAATTTAATTAGAGCAAACGCATTCCAAATTCCCTAACAACCATAAAACTCCTTGAAAGCTAAGAGTAAGTGAATATACATGAGTTGGAGTTTATTTTATTTCTCCAGGCCTGTGGATTTTATCCCTGTCTAGAGAGTTTTATTTGTGTTTGCATATTCATTTTTAAGACTCTAGGTATTGATTGTGGAAATATTATAGCTTTATGGGGAAGGAATGTTAGTGGAAATGTCTGCACACCAAAAAAACACACAGTTGCATTTTATATAACAGTTACACAAACAAGATTATTTTAGCGGTAATTTGTAAAATATCAGCTCTATTTCTGTTACAACCAGATATAAACTGCCCGATTAATGTGAGTGAGAGGATATAATAAATGTGTTAGATAACAGAAAACACGTGGAAACTGCTCTTTGATGTTATTCTGTTCTTTAAAAATTATTCTTGAAAGTACACTATGTGTCAATTTACTACATGCTTCTCATGTGTGATGTTATATAATTCTTAACATAATTCTAAGAAGTGGATATTATTATTCCCATTTGATAGATGACAAAAGACGGGGCCTACAAAATTTCACCAGTTAGCACCAAGTTTATAGGTGACAGAACCAAGATTCACTTGCAGGACTTTCTAACTCCAAATCCCCTGTCCTTAATACCATTTTTTTTTCTATAAGAGCTCCATTTCTTTTGTTTTTGATCTTAAATTTTAAAGGGCTGTGATAATCGTATACCAGTTACTCTACCCAAAAGTTAATCTCCCTATGAATAATATGTAGTATATTAGTGTACAATGGAGGACTGTATTAATTCTCTTTAAAAGAGATATTTCATTGGTCCTTAGGAAAAAAATGATCCTTTTTCTGCCACATTTATCATTTCCTCTTTGTCCTTCTTCTTCTTAAATGCATGAGTTATTATTCCTTCACTAACTCTGAACTGTTCCTTTTAATAATCATATCCAAATATATGGTTTTAAATGTGACTATAATAAAAATCAGTCCGAACACTCTACCACCAGTCATCTGCCCTGGATTTTAGTCCACTATTTTAAGTCACTTGAATGCCAACCAGATTTATAACCTTTAAGTCATATGTTATTCCTTCTTTCTTGTCACTTTTTGATAGCAGTGATAGGACCGCCATCAATATTGCTTGCTCTATTTTTATTTTAAAAGAAATCCTAAATTTAATTCAAGGAAAAGTTAGTACATTATCAGCTAACTATATAAATAAGTTTTTTAAACACATTATAATAATTCTTTATAAAGCAATAAGTATTTATATTAAAGTACACATCACATCTTGACCATATACTTTTTATAATCTTTTTTCTTTATGATTTCCAATAATGGTAGAGTTATGCCTTTGCTGAATCTATGACCTGGTAGTTTTTTAAAAAAAGAAAAAATAAGAATTTTTGGTCCAGTACAGTTCCATGATTGGAGTGTAATTTGTCTTACATATTCCTTGAAAGACTTCCCAGTATAATCAATGGCTCTGATTTCTTCTGCTCGTGACCCTTTCTCCTTGTTCACTACTCTTATATTTGATAAAGCTGGCTTCTCATCATTTTGACAGCCCCCAAACTGCTCTCTGTTCCTGCAGTGGATATATATTTAGCGACTTGGCCACATTTTAGTGTACGTCTATTACTCAGCACTCTATTGCAGACTGTGGAAATTTTTAGGAGGATTATAGGTGAAGGTTTCCTACATTCCCTACAGTGAAGTGATGTGCTTGTAATGGTCAGGAAGTTATTTTTATCCTACCTCATGACACTTCCATGGTTCCTGGGAGTTCCTGTTCCTAATTTGTTCAGTCTTCCTATCAATTCTGTGAGCTAACCTGAGACTCTTTCAATATATACTTTTTTGCTAAAGTTAGAATTCTAACAGACACACCTCTCTAGAATATCCTCTGTTGTCCATTTTGGGCACAGCTGTCTTATTTATCTTCTCATTTATAAATATAGTCAAATAGTTAAATATAGTTTAATAGTTTACAGGACTAAGTAAAGAGTAAAATAGTACTAGGAAGCAGAGTATATTAAATGCAAAGACAGGAAGACATCTATGAACCTAAGACCTCATGAAAATATCTTTTCATCTTTCTGAATAAAATTGACTCAACAATTGCAACGCTAGTGTTCACCTTCAACACGAATGAGTACAAATTGTGCTTAGATTTTCCTCTCTAATACCATTCTCCACTAAAAGAGAGGAAGAGTGATTCCATTTTTTTTGATGTAGGAAAATTCATAGTAGGTCTGGAGCTTCCAATTTTTGTAATTAAGGTTGCTTTAAAGAATGACAGAGAAAGCACTGACAGAGAAAGTACTGAAAGAGAAAGTAGCCCCTTAAAGGGTCTGCTCTGAGCCAAATTAAACAATTTAATTTTTTGTTATCACTTATTAAAAGTAATTAAGTCTATGAAAGAATATGTAATGCTACTGACACAACAAAATTTTAACATGAAGTACTCAAAATAATAATTGAATATATAAGAATGATGACTATGATAGAATATACTTATGCTGTCATTCTTTTTAATAAGAAGGAAGTTGTACATTGACAGGAATTTTAAAAATATCTTAAAGACACTTTGATATATATATATAAATTTATAAATTTATATATGCATACAAATATATGTGATTTATAAAATGTATTACCTCTATAACTGTGGCAAGTTAACAGAAAATTATTCTGAATAAGCAATTGAAAATATAAGCGCTGAACCAAAACCAAGAAAGAATGATTAACACGGATCATACAGAGTATTTCAGAGATACTGTATTAGTTTGCTAGGGCTGCCATAACAAAGTACCACAAACTAGGTGGCTTAAACAACAGAATTTTCTGTTTCAGTTCTGAAGTCTAGAAGTTCAAGATCAAGGTGTCAGCAGGGCTGGCTCCTTCTGAGGGCTATGAGGAAGAATCTGTTCCATCTATCTCCTCTAGCTTCTGTTGGTTTGCTGACAATCTTTGGCAGTCCTTGGCTTGTGGAAGCAATACTCCAAGTCTGACCATGATCTTCTCCTGATATTCTTCCTCTGTGTGTGTGTCTGTGTCCAAACTTCTCTAATTTGTCTAAGAACACCAGTCATATTGGATTGGGGCCTGTCCTAATGACTTGATCTTAACTAATTACATCTTCAAAATACTATTTCTAAATAAGGTCACATTCTGAGGTACTGGGACTGGGATTTCAGCATATAAATTTTGGGAGGCGCAGTTCAACCTATAACAGACACTTAGTGCCATGATATATATAAAAGGAACAATATGTGAATAAACTGAATGCTGAGCATGTTTAAATGTTGGCATATCAAATTAACAAAGTAGAATGTGGAGCAATTAAAATTGTAAAGATGAAGAGCCTCCAAAGTGAAATTATTTATTTAAAGAAACTTTTTTTTTACTGGTACAACTATGAAAGCTACATATATGTGATAAATGGTTGATGGAAATATACATAAGTAAATCTAATTAGGGGATTAAGGCCAGAAATTGGGATGAATCATTAACATTCCTTTTAAGATGTTTATTTAATAGTAATGTGAATATTGAAAAGGGAATTATTGTGGTAAACCACTGAACCTATATTTTTTTTCCTTGGGGAGAGCCTGATTCACAAGCAGAAACCTCATTAAGCCACTCCCAGTGATACCTAAATCAAAAGCAGTCACTCAGGAGCAAGAGGAATATAGTTCTAATAGCAGGAACACAAATTGAGCACATTCAATATCTGAGAAGAATGTTTCATTCTCTTGAAAACTACCTACACACATAAAAACTCAATACAGGTGGCAGTAGCCAGTGTGCACAGGGGAGCAACTCTACTTGCCACAGAACATTCAAGTGCAGGAAAAACAATTAATTTCCATTACTCAGTTCTACAAATGACAAAAAAAAAAAACTTCATCTACTCATACATGGATATTGAAAAGAGCTTTAATATGGAATGAGTGATCATTTGTAATTGGAGATGCTTATTGGGCTCTCTGAATAGGAATTAGAAAAATCTATAGGAAGTTTTACCATATTAACATTTTTTTATCTCTAGGTTTAGGCACTATGATCCTTACCTAGTAAACCAAACCTCTTAGAGAAAAACTAGCATTCCCTTCAATTTTACAGTGCTTTTCAGTTTAGCTCTTTCCTAGCTGATACATGAGATGTTTGTAATTTTGTTAATCATTCAATTAATTAATACAGTGTGTGGAGTGAAATCCAAATGATTCCAGGGGTATCAACATATCCAGGGAGTTCAGAGAAGAGTGGGAAGTTTTCAGTGCCAATGAGTAGTTTTGAAAATCTGTAATTTCAAAAATATTAGGAAGATTCCTGAGTAAAGAAAGCAAAAATTTCATTTAGACGTATTCTTTCCTTTTCTCCTAAATCTTATCTCTTCCCATTTCTCTTAATCATATCTCATGAAGCGTAATCTTATGAAGGTATAGTGAAAGGAGAAAGGACAAAGAAAATGTGAATGAGTTGGGCATTATTGAAGGGGGCCTACCTAACACAAAAATTTTTGCAAAACTACTCCTTAAACTAGACTTGAAATATTGTATTGGCACATGTTTTATGTCAGAAGCTATCCATTGGTCATTAATCTATGCTAAAATTTTGCAATCTAGTCCTTCTTCTGTGTTCTCTGTATTGCCCCCCGTAACCTCTACAGTCATTTAGAAAGTTATAGGAGAGTTCTGTTAGCTATTATCATGGACAATTACTTGATTGACTAAATATAAAAGAAAATTAAACTTCTTTCTCAAGAATTCTAAAATTATATTTAGAATTTGATTTAATAAACATTTGCTGAGTACCAGCCATCTTTATGACTCTAAACTGAAAATGCAGAAAATAAATAGGTACATTGATATAGAGATGACTGATGAGAAGCATGATTTCAAATTATATTGTGTATCAGATTTAACTGGGACTCATATTAGTAAGGTAGATTCTGTCATCCTGCTGAGATTTTTCCAATTCAGTAGAGCTACATCAGCAATGAGAAATAAACACTCAAATACCTACACCAGTCTAACTACTCCATGGGCCATATTTTGAGAATTACTGATCTAAATGAAAGAAGTAATAGAAATGTAAATTTTAAAAACACAAGGTACGCTCAAATGTCAAACTATGAAAGAAAAGTAATATAATTAGTAAAGAAGCAGTCTATGGATTCAGGACACCTACATTTATTTATTTATTTGATTTCTTATTGCCAATTATTTTAACATCTTTACTGAGATATAATTGATATCCAAGAGCTGCACATATGTAATATATACTATTTGAGGGGTTTAAACATATGCAAATACCCATTATACCACCACCACTATCAAGATAATAAACATATCCAACATATTCCAGAGTTTCCTTATGTTTCTGTTTTGTTTTGTTTTTGCTATATGAACACATAACATGAGATCTACCATCTTAACAAATTTTAAAGTGCAAAATACTGTATTTTTAACTATAGGTTCCATGTTGTACAGCAGATCTCTAGAACTCATTCATTGAGCATAACTGAAACATTCTACTCACAGACAAACAACTCTCCATTTTCCCCAACCCTTAGCCCATGTAAATCAATGCTATATTTTCTGTTTCTATGATTATGAATATTTTAGATTCCTTATATAAGTGGAATAATGAACTATGTAATATTTCTGTGATTGGCTTATTTCACTTGAATAATTTTCTACAATTTTATCCATATTGTTGCAAATGGCATGAATGTATTTTTATTAAGGCTGAATAATTTTCCACTGTATGTATACGCCACATTTTCTGTATCCATTCATATATTAATGGACATTTGAGTTGTTTCCACATGATGGCTATGTTGAATAGTGCTGCAATGATCATGGGGATAAAGCTGTTTCTCAAGATCCCAATTTCACTTTTTTTTTTTTTGATATATACCCAGAATTGGGATTGCTGGATCACATGATAGTTTATTTTTAAAAAATTTTCAGGAATCTCCATGTTGTTTTCATAGCTCTACATCGTTTTACGTTCCTACAAACAGTTTACAAGGATTCCAATTTCACCACAACCTCATCAAAACTTCTTATCTTTAGTTTGTTTTTTTAAAAAATAACAGCCAACCTAACAGGTGTGAAATTATATCTCATTGGTATTTTTAATTTGCATTTTCCTGATAATTAATAATGTTGAACATCTTTTGCATACTGGTTGGCCATTTGTAGGTGTAATTCAGAGAGATTTCTTTTCAAGTTCTTTGTCAATTTTTAATTGGGTTATTAGTTTTTTTTGCTATTTAGTTATAGGTGTTTCTTATATTTTTTTAAATGAACTATTTATCAGATATATGGTTTGCCAATATTTTCTCCCGTTCTGTAAGTTGCCTCTTCATTCTATTAATTGTTTTCTGTGCTGTGAAGAAGAAACTTTTTAGTTTGATGTAGTCATACGTTATTTTTGCTTTTGTTGCCTGTGCTTGTTGCTTGTCTCATATACAAGAAATCATTCCCAAGACCATATACAGAAGAGTTACCCCTTCATTTTCTTACAGGAGTTTCACAGTTTCAGGTTTTAAGTTTGTCTTAAGTTTGTCTTCTTCTTGCATGTGTATATCTAGTTTTCTTTTTTTCATGTGTATGTCCAGTTTTTCCAACACCATATGCCAAAAAGACTATCTTTTTCCCACTGTGTGTTTTTGGCATCCTTGTTGTAGATCAGTTGACTGTGTAAGTGTTGCTTTATTTCTAGGTTCTCTATTCTATCTTATAGTCTTATAATTTGAAATCAGAAAGTGTGATGCCTTCAGCTTTATTCTTCCTGATCAAGATTACTTTGGCTTTTGGGGTTCTTTTATGGTTCCAGATGAATCTTAGGATTGTTTTTCCTATTTCTGTGAAAAATGCCATTGAGATTTTGATAGGGATTGCTTTGAACTTGTAGATTGCTTTGAGTAGTTTGGGTGTTTAAACAATGCTGAGTTTTCTGATCCATAAACATGAGATGTCTTTTTATGTACTTGTGTCTTCTTTAATTTATTTTATTAATATTTTGTAGTTTTCAATGTACAAATCTTTCACATTCTGGGTTAGCTTTACTACTAATAATTTTTTATTTTTGATGGTATTATAAATGTGATCATTTTCTTAATTTTCTTTTCATGGTTCATTGACTCTTCTAGGTAGTGGAGATTATAAAAGATATTTTCTTTTTAAGATTATCATGATAATGTTATAAGAAAATATACATCAAGTGTCTAACAAGAACAGAAGTCTATTTCTTTAAAATTCTTTTTCTTCCTCTTCCCTATACAAGTAGAGTAAGTGAAATGCTAGAGGTAAAAGGTTGTGAACATTCCTTTTTTGTTGTTGTTTTTTTTAACAGTTTCAGTTCTCCTTAGAAACTAAGTGATTCTGAAGACACCAACAATTGGATTGCCAGGATATTTACAGTGGAAGTTAACCCACCATGGACAGTTGTTAATGCGTTTGACTTGCTAAAGCACTTTAAGAATCTAAAACAAAAATTGACAAGTAAAGAGACAAAAAGATACTTTCTAAGGCTATATTAAAATACAAAAGCACATCCTTATACTAATATGGCAAAGTACA
This sequence comes from Homo sapiens, assembly GCF_000001405.40. Taxonomy (NCBI): domain Eukaryota; kingdom Metazoa; phylum Chordata; class Mammalia; order Primates; family Hominidae; genus Homo; species Homo sapiens. Next base: position 12,581,423 of record NC_000009.12, read on the forward strand.
ATTTTCTAGGAGCTGTAATAGGTAGAAAATTAGATGATAAACAACCGGCAGTGCAATATATTTAATCAAGGGCATCACAAGATTTCAGAACGTAAAAAGTGACCTCTAGAAGTATAGATTAGTGCAATTTTATCTAGGAAAAAGTCTCATAATTCAAATAAATATGTATTTGGATAAACTATCCCTTGGAGTGAGAAAGAGGCAGGGAGGGAGAGCATAGATGAACTCCAGCCACTGTTTCTGAGGTGATGTTTTGTACATGTAGGTTAGTGAGGGGACATCAAAGCAGCTTGTTAAGTAGGATACAATAGATTTAATTATCTATATTAAAAGCTACAAAGAGCATACAAACTTCTTTCAACAACTTTAGCACCAAACACAGGTTCATAAAAAACAGCATTAAATCCAATGCAAAATTATGAAAGCAAAAGTCCCAGTTCACTTTTAGAGTCACCGAATAGCTCTCAAGTCGGAAAAGCCTACCACAACAAGCAACCTGATGCACAAATGTGGGGAAATAATGTAGCCATTAGAAAGTTTGAAACTGAGGCTGCTGGGAAGGCGAATAAATCATTCATATAGACCTGGACTCTAGAAGAAGGGATGGCTGACTTTGAATGTGAATGTAAACGGTGATTTCAGTTGCCATTGATTCACTGCAATGAAAATTTTATTTTACGAAAAGTAATTGAATTGAGTACAGAAACAACTACAGTTGATTACATTTTCTAGAGTATTGCTATTTGTGTTGTGAAGCTGATATCTTAGCAAATTAGCACATCTGTAAGCATTCCCCTTGGGCTTGCTAACTGGACATGAAGCAACTGATAGTTGGTGCTGACACAATAGATTAAACTGAAAATTTTGGAAACCATAAAAGTCATGCAGGCATTATCAAGAATCAGCACTCTTTCTTACTATAAAGTTTGTAACTCTTTTGGAATCATTCCACCATGCCATTCTTTTCTGTGCCTTGGTTCAAGGAATGGAAAACCCAACATTCATAAATCTGAAAGTACTGGAAGTTGCACTACTCCCAGCTTTGGAGTCTTACTCATCTCTAACTCATTCAACCCAGAAACCTCTACATTTTGCCCTTACTACAGCTGTACATATTTGGTGGAAATAGTATATCCCTGCAACTCACATTAGAGACATATTCTAAAACCATAGTGAATGATTTTGAGCTAGCCAGTAAACAAATTGAAGTTTGTTAAAATTCATTCTGGTGTTCTAAATGAATCTCCTCCCACCTCCTCCATCTACAGTAATCATGTGGATTAAACAGCAAGAATAGTTTTGTTCAATACGTTCACCCTGTGGCAATGTAGCTGATTACATTAGAAATAACCTACTAATGAAACTACTACACAAATTATCATCCTGAACTATTTAGGCCAGTTCACAACTGGATATGCCCTTTATGCTGGCTAATTACATGCACATAATGCCAAGATAAAGGAGACTGTCATTCTAATACAATGTTGGAAGATGGCTTAATCTTACTTTGGACTGGTATTTTCGTCAATAAATGAGAAACAATGTTGGCAATGATGTCAAGATGGGCAACTAAAAATGTTTGAATCCTGAAAGATCTCATGTATGGACCAAAATAGACAAAATGAAAAACCTATAAAGCAGTAGACAACAGATAAATCATAATTACTGGGGAGGAATAGTTTTGAAAATAGTTAGTCCCAGTTGGCCCTTTATGTTTAAAATAATAAAGATGGGTTTATGACCACAACATACAATAAGGACTTCAGAAGGAAAATGATAGTTAGCACACCATTTCTTTCATTGCAGTTGTACAAAATTTACTTTTTAATGTTAGAGTTCTTAAAATGGAAACAACTTGACAAAATATTCATCATGAAATTTTGAGACCAAAATGAAATGCAAGAAAAGAACACATTAACCGTTCTTCACAACACTTAAGGAGGAATAAAGCAACTCAAAGGTCACCATCTTAGTACAGCATAGTTCTCTTATTTAGAATTGGGTTATTAGAGCCATTGTTAACGCTGCTCAGAAAAACACTGAGAACAAAAAATCCATTGTAGATAAAGTGATTGAAACCTTAGCTAAAGGGTGCTTGTTACCTTAATCATTGTTTGAAAGAATATACAGCAGGGGAAAAAATACATTTTCATATACAGTTTTGATTTTTTTTTTTTTTTGCTATAAGAGTATAATCTGTGAAGGATTTTATAAAGAATATTGAGAGGTCTTTTGCAAACATTATTCCATTTAAATATTTTTTAATAATATTTAGAAAAACAAAAAGGTGTATTATATTACCTAAACTTTGAAACAAAGACAAAATGTACAATCTGTGACCCAATCAACTCACCCTATTGATTGATCCATATAGTACACTTGCATTATGGCTGATTAGCTGTGAATGACATAAACCAAATGTCAATATCTAACCTTGAAGATAAATTCCAATCATTTTTCAGATCCTTGACTTGTGTGCCAACATGCATTTTTAAAGTTTAAAAAAAATCTAAGAATCAATTATTACATTAAGTAAGATTCTTGTCTTTATTTTTCTTTTTTCTTAATTTTCCTCAGTGAACATGTATTACCTTTTAATCTGATAAAGAATGTAACATTTTTACAAGTTGTCATGCATGTTGTCTGGAATATTATGGGTATTTATTTAATAATTGTTTGCATTTGTTAGTAGCAAATTAGATTATCTGCTAACACTATCATGTAATATGAAGATATAAGCAATCCATATACCTCTTTCTAATAGACTTGTTTAGCATGTTTGCCTGAGACTAATTTATATTTAGAATATTTTATACTTACTCATCATCCAGATATTTTCAAGTCAGAGCCTGTAAGACAATGTGTTGGAGAGACTGTACTATATTCAGGGAAGTGCTTTCCAAACTGTACAACAATTTGGAACACCAATTTGGAACATCCTCTGAAAATAAATTCTGCAGTAAAATAAAATTTGTTGAATTTTATTTCTAACCTTTTGATGAAGCTTGCCTTTCTTCAGAAGAATTCTAACTCTTATTTGCCTATAAAAATACCTATGAAAATCTTTAATATTTTGAAGTGTGTGTCTCTCAAAAATATGTTTCTCTATAGGACCTTTCATGCATGATAAGCAACTACTAACATCCCACAAATTGGTGTTCTAAAACACGTGCCTTGCAAACACTGACTCTGAAGAGTGATGACAAGAAGGAAATGAACCCTTTTGGACATTTTATGAAAAGTATTTTATCTTGTTTATAGCCTATCTATACAAAGTAACTGAAATAATATACAGTATATATTTCATCAAAGTGTTAAATGTTTGAGCGACATTCAATATTCTATTAAATTTAATGTGAAGTAAGCAACTGATTGCATCAATCTCTTAGGAGTCATTCTCAGTTATATTTGTCATAGCAGCAGCCCTCTGTAGAACTCGATATATAAGAACAAATCAGCATTATGAATTGTAAGAAGGTGGAGAGATGGCCATTATAAATCTAAATATTAGTGTGCTTCTAAATTACTGGATAGTGTTCAACATTGAACAGAATTTTATTTAAAATGCAGAAATGACTGAATGGTATAGGCCAGGCAATTTTATACTTAATCACTATAACCAAGAGCTTACAGTCATCATTGGTAATCCTTGCATTAAGAGATCAAATAGGTTTTTGAAATAAACACTTTCATTTTGTTCTTCTAAATACTTCTGTGTTAGGACTAGTATGTGCCAGACTTAGCAAAAGATTCACCTTAATCAGTACCACTGTAGCAGGGGGAAGATTGGTCCAGTGATTAATTTCATGTTGTACTCATGGGAACAAAACAGTTGAGTATATTTGTCTCTATAATCCCTTTTCCCAGATGTAATTACAAATGGAATTGATCAACCCATCTGTTTCTAGTGAGGCTGAAGCAGGCATATTAGAACTGCTAGGGTACGTAATAACTTAGTACAGATCATCAGTCCTTGGGGCTACAGGGAATTGGATATTAGAATCTTATTTTAAAAGAAAACAATTTTTCTTTTTCAAGTTCCTTCCTTCTTGTCAAGTTTCAACAAATTTCTCTTCTAGCATCTCTGTAGAGTCTTGTGAAGGAAAGTTAATAACTATATGTTTATCAGCAGCATGATAGAGCTAGAAGAATAATAGGTTTTGAAGACAGACAGACTTTCTTGACAATATTCAAATTGCTATAAACTCACCTTCTTGGAGCATCAACTACGTCATCTTTATAATGTGAACAATGATATTTAGCTAACAGAGCTATTAAAAAGATTACACAAGATCATCTTTCTAAAGCAACCAGACATTTCCAGAGAAATTGAGAGCAATTAATAAAAGCGAATCTTCAAACTTTATATACTATTTTTGCTGTGTAACTGCTATAGCATATTTTGACGAAAGTTCATATTTAATATACATGCCTTACTGAGCAATTTTAAAACTCAACACCCTCAAAATATGTATCCTAGACCAATTTCTTCAGCTTAGCCTGCATACCAAATAAATAAGGAAAAAAATGTCGTTGAACTACATAAAAATCTGCCCTTGATGTCTACAATCTCCTTAGAAGCATATTGATGCCAGTATAATTACAGTTACTGAAATCACACATATCAGTCTTCACGCAAGATTATGAGCAACTGTAGGTACAAAATAAAAGACTAAGATCTAAGTATTTTCACTAATATGCATTTTTGAAAATTAGAAATGTAAAAGAGATCCAAGTATCTTGATTAATCCATATTTTTGAAAATTTCAACTTATGAGTTTTTTGCATATATACATATTTCATTTAATATTACTTTGCTCATCGTTGATTCAATACAATGCTCTGACTAGTTTCCTAAGATATTTGTATGTGTGTGTATCTTGTGAATGTTTTCCACAAGTTTTAGGGACTAGCATACTCCCTCATTTAATGACTGCCAAAGCTAGCGTGGCAGATAGTGTAGTGCTGTAAATTTTCTACCAAGGAGCTTTCATGTACCATCTACAAACATTCTCAGCCAATGAGCAGTTCATCACCCAAGGTGATGTGAGCATGTTCTACAATGTGTATTTTTACACCACAGTGGCCTTACTTTCTGTCACTTATTTTGTACTCTCCAACAGTTTTGATTTCTAATACCTGACAAGAGTTGTGCAGAAGAGAAGTTATATCTGCCACAAGGAACCATCACTCTGTGTGTTAAAATTCTAGTCGTACAAAACTTCATAGTATCTGTAAGATAATTATTGATGAAGTAAAGAAAAAAATCAGTAGGCAATTAGGTAGAAGGTAGAAACACTCTAACATTGAGAAGGGAATTGTAAATTTCATTGAAACCTAACATAGGCTGGATTAGCAAATATAGAAAGACAATGTAGCCTGTCGTGGTCTCAAGGAATCTGAAGAGAATGGCAGAAAGACTAGAAATGGAGAAAAACTATCTTCAATGAGGACTGTGCCATAAAGACCCTCCAAATCTCCATTTTGGTTAAAATATTCACTACTGGGCTCCATCTCTCTCTTTTTTGTTTGTTTCTCTCTCTCCCTCTTTTCTCCCTCTGTAGACACACCCATTTGCATCAGCTTTCCAGGAAATGTGTATAACTATTACATAACTTCAACTGCATTCATTCATTTTAATTTGCTATCAAACAAAATCATGTTTCAAATGTTTATTATTTGTATTTACCTCTTATTTTAAATTTTGTCTTTACAGTGAACATGATAACAGTTATTCTATCCTTAAATGTTAATGCCCTGAAAATTACCTAGTCACCTCTGACCACAGAGACTTGTCAATGATTTTTCTTTTTGGTCTGAACTGAGAAGTGATTATTTTCTTCTAAATATTGAAAATATAAATTTTTTTCGAGTAAAAAAATTTAATAAGATTTTTGAACTAAGATAATTATCTCTCAATATGCATAACATTATTTGCTCCTAATTGTTTTAGTGATTGGGAGGAGTTTCATCCTACTTTGCAAACCAGTTATGTATTTCTCTGTTCAGTTTTTTATAGGTATGCATCCTCTTAGAAAGCTTTCTTATTTTATTTTACTTTTTTGGACACAGGGTCTCGCTGTCACCCAAGCTGGAGTGCAGTAGCGCAAGCATAGCTCAGTGCAGCCTTGAACTCCAGGGCTCAAGCAATTAATTCACCCACGTTGGCCTCTGAAAGTGTTGAGATTACAGGTGTGAGCCTCCGTGCCTGGCCAAAACCATTTTTATAAATATAGCCAGTAGTGGTTGTGTCACTTACAACATCTTTGATTGCCAGTGACAGAAAATACAACCTAAACTGGCTTATAATAAAGGATAATGTAGGCCGGGCGCAGTGGCTCACGCCTGTAATCCCAGCGCTCTGGGAGGACGAGGCGAGGGGATCATGAGGTCAGGAGATCGAGACCATCCTGGCTGACACAGTGAAACCCCGTCTCTACTAAAAAATACAAAAAATTAGCCGGGCGTATTGGCGGGCGCCTGTAGTCCCAGCTACTCGGGAGGCTGAGGCAGGAGAATGGCGTGAACCCGGGAGGCGGAGCTTGCAGTGAGCGGAGATCACGCCACTGCACTCCAGCCTGGGCTACAGAGCGAGACTCCGTCTCATAAAATAAAATAGATAGATAGATAGATAGATAGATAGATAGATAGATAGATAGATAGATAGATAGATAAAGGATAATGTACTCACATAACTAAAAACCTCAGAGAACAGGCTGGCTTCAGATGTGATCTGTGACAGGACATCAACAGATTTCCCCAGGACTTGGTTCCTCTATCTCTTATCTTTGTGAACTTTTAGATGGCTTTCTTCTCAGATAAGTAGCAAGATGTTTGCATCTTGAGAGGTAAAATTTACCTCTAAATTTTACATCTTGTGTTGTTCAAATATTTTCTACTTAAGCAAAGCCCTATGGCAAATACTTTTAAATTATTTTTTATCTTTTAGAGACAGAGTCTGGCTTTGCTGCCCAGGCTGGAGTGCAGTGGTGCAATCATAGCTCATTGCTGCTTCAGACTCCTGGGCTCAAGGAACCCTCCCGCGTCAGCCTCCCCAATACCTGGGACTACAGGTGCACATCACCATGCTCAGCTAATTTTTAAACTTCTTGTAGAGACGGAGTCTTGCTATCTTCCCCAGGCTGGTGTTGAACTCTTAAGCTTAAGCAGTTCTCCCACCTCAGCCTCCCAAACTGCTGGGATTACAGACGTGAGCCACTGCATCAGGAGGTAAATTCTGAATGGTCTAATCGGCATGGATTTAGCCAGTAGATTGGAATGCATTAAGTATCTTTTAGGTCTAGCTGGCATGTCTTACTGATAGATGGAGATGGAATCAGCTTTACTCAAAGCACAAACATTGAAGCCACAGTGGGAGAAAAATAATTAACTGGGTACTACTGGATTAGCTGGGTACTCTCACTAAAGGAAGAAAGAATGTGTGCTGAATGGCCCTGCAAAAAAGTAAATACTATTCAGCTGCAAATCTTATTTTTACAAAAGTATCATTTTAAATAGAAACATTTACATTTGAGCCATACTCTTCCTTTGTATACCTCCTCTTGTCCCAACACATGGTGGTCATGGTGGCAGAGTGTTTCTGCTTTTGGAAAAGGCTGTATTACAGATGTAGATGAATCTGAAAATTAGACTGAGGACCCCCTAAGGAAATGGAACCTTTTGATCTCTGGCCTTGATTGACAGCTATTTGAGTGAACAAAAACCTGGAAGTATTTCTCTAAAGTTTCAGATTAGATGCTAATTTTTGTTGTTGTTGTTGTTGTTGTTGTTTGTTTTTGTTTTTTAACATGGACAAGCTTTGCCTCTTCCTTAATGGATGACATTTTCCTAAAAGATGTATTGAATTTAAAATGCCATTGATTGTAAAACCTAACATCTCTTGTACAACTGGGACGAGAAAAGTAGCCAGTTAAATTATGGAACAGCGTTAATTATAGCATGCCTCCAGATATGTGAGATATTACAATGGGAGAAAATTGTGCTTCTTACAATTGATGCTATAAGTAGGGTAATATTTACATTGGGTTATATATTGTAATTGTTTAAGCCATGCACTTTGGAATCAGAGAGATCTGGGTTTGAGACCCAAATTTTCACATACAAGTAGTTTCACCACACCAAATTGCTTACCTTGTCTTTGGTTTCCTTATACGTAAGAAGTAAAATAATATATTAATGATATAGGGTTGTGAGGATTTAAAACAGATAACACACAAAAAGCCCATAACTTATAATAACTATCACTTAGTCAGCATTCAATAATCTTAACTGTTATTGGAATTAATCTGGATATATATAGTCCAAATAGATTAAAAGTACGCAGATATTCAAACACATTTGGAAACAAGACTTTGGAATGCTCACTCTCCTACCCACAGGCTTTTGAATTATTATCTAACCACCTGCTTTATATTTCTGAAAGGGTTGCCATAAGCCATTATCCATAAACTGGTCATTCTACCTCAATCACATTTTATTCCTCCAAAAATTACCCTTCTTCTTTCATCGTTGTCTTTTCCAAATCTCCATACTCTCTTTAGATTTCCTCCTTCTTCATCTTCCTTAAACTCCTTGGGGTGGCCACTAGACCTATTGACAGATATCCCTTTTCTCCCTCTTCCTGATACATAGGATGACCACACCTGCATGCCTCTTTGACTTTAGACATGCCTAGATATTTTGTTTTGATCCAGGAAATGTAAGCAAAAGGTCAATTTTGAGAAAATTTTATGTTGGGGCCAGGGAGCCATTCACCAGCTCCCTTTTCTTACCTAGTTTATGTAAAAACCTGTAAAGGCAAAGTTTTTGTCAGCACTGATGCCTGAGTGAATACCATTGGTCAAGAGTTTTCGCATCCAACAGGGATTGGGAATGAGAAATATACTTTTGTTGTGTAAGGTCTTTGAGATTTGGTGTGTTGCTTCTGATCATAGCAAAATCCAGACCAGTAGTTCTCAACCAAGGACAAATTTGCTTCCCAGAAAGCACTTGACACTGTCTGTAAACATTTTTGGCTGTCACAACTGGGGGCAGCGGTGCTACCGGCATTCAGTAGAGGTCAGCAATGCTACAAGGCACAGGGCAGCCCCAGAGTTCAGAATTATCTGGACCAAAATATAACCATTGTCAAGACGGAGAAAATTTGATGTAAGCTATCTTCACTAATATATTTTCTGTTTAAAATTTAAAAACTCTTTAAAATTCCTAGATTAATGCAATAAGTTGATACTTTAACAAATGTTCATCTATTCAAAGTTTATCCAACAAATTTCTTTTGGATATTCAGAATAAAATACTCTAAATAACTTTTAAACTGTAGTTATTTATGCTTTCAAGAAGCACAGACAGAATAAATTTACTTAGGAAGTTTAGGCTGAAAGAAATTTTAGAGCTCCACAATAAAATCAAGCAAATATAAATGCTGAGCTGAAGACTATGTTACACTTTAGGGAACTATGCTGGGACCATAACTTACCAAACATTGGTCATGTGTAGTTTATAGCCTTATAAAAATCAGAACTAAACTAAATTAAAGTAAATGCATTTAACAGTGCTATACGGTGGACTTCCTCCCTTTAATTTCTGTGAAATACTTTTCATCCATATGGTACAGTTCTGTCTAGAAGAGAACTAATAAGATTACGGTGAATCTCTCTAGGTTTTCAGATAATTTCTTCTTTGAAATATCTAGTTTGTCTTCAGAAATTAATGAAAAGGGACACTTTTTTCTGTTACTATAATTTACTTATAACTTCAGCCTCACAAAATAGGCATTCAGTTGGAGAAATCTGAAGTGATATTTTATCTTCAAAAGTAGTTTTCAAGTGTAAGGATTAACTTTTTTAAGTTTCTAGCTTTTAAGCAAGCATGACAGCCAACTGACAGAGTTTCACTGCTCCCAGGGAAAGGTGGGCAGGAGGGTGAGCAGCAACAAAAATAAGCTTCGCTTAAGACCATATGACCCTAGTTTAATGTATGTTTTATATTAATTCATGAACATATATGTTATACAATGTATGAGTTCAAGTTTGTGTCATGCAAGAAACTGTTACAAATAAATACCAAATCAACAGTATTTGTCTAAAAAATGCAACCCATTTAGTTTTTTAAAATCCACATAACTGTTTCTCTCTTTTGATAAACTCTTCCTTCACCCACTCCCATTTCACTACTGTTCTCTCTAAAGCAGTGATGTCAAATAGAAATATAAGCAAGCTGCAAATACAAGGAGCAGATGTAACTGTAAACATTCCAGTAGCATCATTAAAAAAGTACAACGAAAGAGGTAGAATTAATTTTAATAATATATTTTATTTAACTCAATATATCTAAAATATTATTTCAATGTGTTACATTCTGTTTTTCATACTAAGTCTGAAATGGAGTGTGTATGTTACAATGTAGGACAACCCAAATGGAATGTAGTGTATCTATGAGAACAACTCAAATAGAATTAGCCACATGTCAAATACTGTATAGCCATATGTAATTAGTGACTACTATATTGGATTGTATATATCTAGATAAATGATTAAAGAAATTTGCTCATTTTGGATAATAGAAGGAAAACTAAAGAAGAAAGATCAATCTTCAAAAATACAAGATTTTTGTAGCAAGTGAAAGAGAAACAAAATGTATTATTCTGAAGAACAGACATTTATAGAACAGTTGATGGATATCACTTGAATAAAAAAAGAATTGCTTTAGTTGCTAGTGTTATTCCAGCAACAAAATGGTTTGCACTTAACAAAAATGTAGGAGGAATTCAAGCTAGTCCAAGTATCTAGAAAAAGTAATATCTAAATTAAAAGTTTAAATAAAAGCTTAACCCTGTCCACTGTGACTGTATTACAGCAAACACACCACCATAACAAGTTTTCATAAGCTTTTGGTAGAAACCATGTTAAGTGTTTTACATCAGGATCTCAATTCTTCATAATTTTAATAAATAACAGCATTCTTTCTGTGTTCTCATGTTGAAGGATCAGTAAACTGAGGTTTCAAGAGGTTAAGAAAGTAGCCCAAAGGCATATGGATAGTAAGTGGTAGAGCTGCAATCTGAGATTAGGTGCCCTAAATCTTTACCTTTATCCATTTTGCCATCAGAACATTGATTAACTTACAGCACCCTTCTTACATATGACTCTACCTCCTGACCTAAACACACACCAAAGGCAATTTCAAAGACTAGGCATACTACTTCCCCAGCTTCTTCTATCTTACCCTAAGATGATTTCCAAAACAACCCACTTAATTGTGTGGAACACTTCACTTTCCTTTTTTTCCTCAATTTTAGGTTTTGGGTTCTCTAGAATTTTATCCCCAGGAGAAATATAAGAAATCCATAATTTAAAAGAGAAGAAAATAAATGTGCACTTAGTGTAACTATAAAATATTTGTGTTGAGGTTGGATTACATTTAGAGTATTTTAAAAGAAAAGTATCTTCCACTTTAAATATATGCTATTTGGTTTAATGCTGAAAAAAATTCTTAAAAATTAATTGATTTATGACTTACTTACTTCGAGTATAATTAGTGTAATTTTATTAAATTTAACACTCGCTTTTAATCCCCCTATTCCAACATTAGATATCAGGTAAACCCACTCTCATGAGAATATTAGTTACCTTGTTCTACCTTCATTATTGTCTTTGTGGAGTGTTATAATTATTTTTCTTATCAGTTCATTCTGCACAGTTCTGGTATCACCTCCAGCAGTTTGGGAACACATCATTCCTCTTAAAACCCTCCTATAATAATCCATTTATTCTCTTTCCCTTGAGAAACTTACCCTCCTTGTTGTTTCCAAAGTCAGCCAGCATCCATGACTCTCCTCCTTGCCAGACCTAGGCTACCTTCATCTTGTGGAAAATGTGTAACACATGAAGGCATGGGTTTAAATGTGATTCTCGTATAGAATAGAGAGTAGTAAGATAGGAATCTTCTGAGAGAATGAGATGATTGGTTTTAAGAGTTATCTCAAATGACTTAAAATGAATTGTTGTACCACAATTACTTAAGCTATGGAAGTCTCATCCTCTTTACATTTTCCTAAGGTATTGTGTTGTTTGTTTTGCTCAAGCCCTTATTATTATTGAAGTGCTGAGTAAAAATATTAAAAGAATCATATGCTTTCTATTTGTATTTGTTGACATGTCAAACGTTTTGGAAAGGAATGCCTCTCTGCAAACATCCATAGATCCATGTTACATATGCATCATTTGTTCATAACCTTGAGGTGACAACAGAGGCATCTGAAACATTATCCAATTACACACTCATACCTGATGATAACCCTTCAGTGTGTGCTTATTATGTAGAAAGAGGCTTTTAATGATGTCTCTATTTTATTTCCCATCAGAGTCGTAAAATATAATGCAAAACCAAATGGTAATGTAGAACTAAGAGAAAATCAACACTTCAGTCTTGCACTTCTGATAACCTTATCAGCCACATTCACAACAAGACATTAGAGCGCAATAGATGAAGGCATTTTCTGCAACTAAAATGAATTGCTGTATATTTCTTTTAAGTCTTGTCCTCTGTAAATCGTGTAAGTTGAATATTTCCTCTAACTCAAAATCACGCTTTTACTCTGACAAATTGCCTTGCAGGTGATTTCTTCATTTCATGAATAATTATTTCATCCCTGATTTTATTGTTACCTAAGTAGGGCAGAGCTTGCTTTATTTTGTTTTTCTTTCTCAAAGGAATAAAGGAATATCATTCCTTTCTCAAAGGAATGAAACACTATAATTTGTGCTCTTTATTAGCAAAATATGACCTTACATTTTGTAATAGTTGAAAGGTAAGCTATGCTCACGGTGGGATTGAGGGTCAAGGAGTACAGAATCTTTAAAGATTTAGTATTTTAATGGGAAGAGAATTAGTCTATAAACCTGAAATCGAAAATTTATTCAGAATACATTTGCATCTGTTCCCTAAGACTGCATTTCTCACTGTGATCTTTTCTCATTCTGATCTCTTTTAGATAAAAAATGTGTTCTAATTTAATGGCAGTGACAGAGGAAATTAAATGAAGAAAAATATGTAAATTGTTGCTTAGAGTCTAATGGGACCTTAACATTTAGGGCACATTGAGTAAAGTGTTCTTCTTTGGACCCCAGAACACTATGCTATAAGAAAAATATATCTGTATTCTGAGTCTGCACCCAGGCAAGATTTTTGGAAGAGCCTTAATGCATGTATCTTTTAGAAATGTGCTCAGCAAAGAAAAATCTCACCAAGGCCTTAAATAAATAAAGAGTGGATTTGTCTTACTCAGAAAAATGTTCAAGAGTAGGCCATCCAAGGTGTGTATGAAAGGTTAGTAATGTTATTAAGGGTCTTGGTTTTTATCAGGATCTACCTATGATTTTGGCTCTACCATATGTAATGTGTAGTACCCTATCCACGAATATTGCTTTCATCATGAGTTGGATGCTGCACCTCTAGGTGTTATATCCATGTTCCAAGAAATAAGATGATAAAGGGGAGAAAGATCACAGGATGCCTACAGTAGAGTCTGTTGCTTTAAAAAGGTTTTATAGAAGCATCACCAAATGACTTTCTTATGAATCTTAATGATCCTAATATATACATGTGTATGTGTGTGTATATATATGTATATATATATATATATATATATATATATATATATATATATAGTATTTTTTCACATGATTATGAGATGGCTCATGTGATTACAGAAGCTGAGACATTCCATGATCTTCCATCTGCATATTGGAGACCCAGGAAAACCAGTGGTGTAGTCCATAGTCTAAAAGTAAGGCCTAGAGAGCCAGTGGTATAGATGACAAGTTGAGTCTGAAGACCTGAGAACTAGGAGCACCAATGGCAGAAAATCTATGTCCCAGCACAAGCAGTCAGGCAAAGGGAGGGCGAATCTAATCTTATTCCACCTTTTTATTCTATTCAGGCCTTGAAGGAATTGGTTGATGCCCACTCACATCAGGGAAGGTCACCTGCTTTACTCAGCCCGATAATCTAAATGCTAATCTTTTTCAGAAACACTCTCACAGACATACCCAAAAATAATGTTTAATTAGATACCTGAGCATCCCATGGCTCAGTCAGGTTGACACACCAAATTAATCATCACACCCTATCTGAGTCACACAGGAGAGATAAGTTATTTATCGACCCAGATTCTGTCATAGAAGAAGGCATGATAAAAGGGATAGCTTTTTAGTAGATTTTTTAGCAGATTGAAATGGCAACCATTTATTATTACTCATGGATTGGGTCAGTAAGCAGCTGTTTTGCTGATCGGGGCCAGGTTCAGCTTATCTCAGCTAGACTTGCTCACATGTTTAGGGCCTCAGCTCTGCTCCATATGGTCTCTCATTCTCCAGTAAGCTAGCCTGGACTTGTTTTCATGGCTGCTGCAGAGCAGGTTAAAAGAGAGAGAGAGATAGAAGAAACACAAGATAACCTCTTGAGACCTAGGCTTGGACTTGGTACATCCCTCCTTGTGCCATACACTATAGGCTATGGCAAGTTCCAAGGCCACCTAACATTCAAGAAGTGGAAAAATACAGTAATATTCGCATCTTGAAAGAAGGAATTGCAAAATTACATTGCAGAGTGTGGTTCACTTTTGCAATCCGTCACAATATGGACTGAGCTTCCCAACGGGGGGATCTAGTCCCAGCTGTGTCACAAACTCATAAAATAACCTCAACTAGTTCATCAAAAGTCTCTGCCCAGTTTCACTGCTAGTCCAATGAAAATGATAACCCCTATTTTACCTTTCTCATAAACTAGATTTGAATAAATCATATGTAGGAGAGTAACTTTAAAAGCAAAAAAAGAGGTACTGAACTGTTGTAAGAGTTAACTTGCATTAAATTTTGCTAGAGCAAGAGGCATGTTGCATATGTTCCTGATTACCTAGAGAAATGTTTTAAAAAATGAAAAAAATCCCGACGCCATTATATCTCTTCCCCACATTTAAGTAGCATATACTTCTGTGAAAGTGTTTCTATTAAAATAAACAGAAATAAGTAAGTCTAATGGCTTTTCAAATTTTGTATGCTATAGAATCACCTGGAAGTCTCATTAAAACACAGTTTGTTGGGCCTCACAGTTTCTGATTCAGAAGGTCCAAATTAATCAGGGTTTTCGGATTGAAAATATGCCTTTCTAAAAAGTTCCCAGATATTGCTAATGCTGCTATTCTGGGCCACAATTTGAGAACCAATAACAGGCCTGTTTCCTTCAGACTACACATACATGTCTCCTTAGGATGATTCTCATTCTCACTCAAATACCCAGGTTAACAAAGACTCCACTACTAGTATCTGGTAGAAAGAAAGAAAGATGGGGACTTGCACACCAGCTTTTACATGCTTAGGACTGAGAGTAGAATATGATATTTCTGCTCATGTATCATTAGCAAAAGCAAGTTGTGAAGCCATATTTAATTATGAAGAACTAGAGAAATAGAATCCTACTTTTCTTAAGAAGAGAACCTTAAATATTTAGAGAAAAGCATTAATATCTACTGAAAAATTCAGGAGTACTATGTAGCTAAATGGTAATGGAATGGAGGTACAGGAAAAATATTATCTCAAGATGTAGAATTTGTCTTACTTGGAGAATGAGTCACTGATAAAAATAAAGCAGGCAGAAGTTGCTTTTAGTAGGAAGATGATAAATTCAATTAAGATATTCTCAGTTTGAAGCAACATCTGTAACTAAGTGGAAACATTCAACATTTTCTGGGACTTACAGCCCTGCAGAGGTTAGGAATGGAGATGTGGACTTAAGTGTCATTGGGATTGAAGATATAGTTTAAGCAATAACAATGGATAAAGTCTCTGAATATGAGAATATTAAAATATAAGTACAGAGAGAGCCGAGGACTAAATTTTGGTGGTTTCTCACAACTAGGAAAATTAGAAGGGGAATAAGAACCAATAAGAAAGTCCAAAAATAAAAAACTAGAGAGATTCTATAGAACCCAAGTATGAAAAGGGTTTCAGGAAAGAAGAGGAAAAGTGTTAACTTACTAGATGCAAAAATGTCCAAGGAGACTAATAACTGGGAAACAATCCTTAAATTTGTCAATTAGTTAATAACTAGTGACCATTGATAGAAGTTTCAGTAGATTATTAGAATTAAAAGATCAGCATACCACAAGTTAAGAGATTGGGAAAAAGGTATATTCTTCAAAGAGAAACTAATTTTTTTATACCTAGGAAAGTTCACAGACACAGTAAACATTACCCTGCATGAGGAGGAATTGTAAAAATTAACAAATGTGTGAAAAGTTTCAAGGTATGATTGACTTTATTATTCCCAAGTTTCTAAATGCCAGTGGCCACAAAAGCACCAAAATTTTATAACTGTAAAGTAGCACATAACGTCATTATTAAGTAGGAAGTGGTTATGTTCTTCACTTTCAGAAAGTAAAATAGAAAATATACCAATAACTCATATAGTTAGTTTACTTAATAACACACACACACACACACATACACCCTCAAAGTGGTAGCAAAATAAGAAATGGAGCCATGGGTCTTTGAATCTCACTCTAATACTTTACTAGATTATCTTACCTTACCTTAACTTGCATTATACTATGTTCATCAGTTACTTTTTGTTGTGTAACAAAAACAACCACAAAAATGTCAGTGTGTTATAACAAACATTGATTTCTCACTCTCACACCTGTGGATTGGTTAACAATCCACTCATTTAGGCTGGGCTTAGTTGGGCTTGATTCCAAGTGAAGGGTGCTGTACAGGTTTGCTTCACCTGCTTTTTGTTCTCCTTAGGCAGGTGCCATGTTTTTGGTAGTGACATAAGAAGCATAAAACAGCAAACACAAATGCACAAGCACATTTCAAGCACCTACCTCTGTTATGTTCACCATCATTCTATTCGCCAAAGCAAGCACATGATCAAATCCACCCTCTATGTGGTAGGGAAGTAGTATCTGCTGCTAGTGGGACGTTTTAAAGAGATATTTCAGAGAAGAGGGATGGTGGTGTGCTGGAGCCAGCTTGCTCCAACTCATAAAAGCTAATCTCCTCTCAACTCTGCATTCAGGGATATCATATGGATAATCTGAAATTGGCCATGTTATTATTATTTACACCATGCAAATCAACAAATGCTACAAATTAAGGGGGTTGTTTATGTGTTTGTTTTTTAGAGCCAGTTGACAAACATTTGCCAGCACACTTCTAGGAATAAGTACAGTGAAGAGTAAAAAATTGGGAACATTAATACTATTCATTGATATTTTAGTATTACACATACTCTATACTTTTATTTATTAATTTATTCTACTTTATTGAGTGGTTACTATGTTATCAGGTAGTAAATACTGTGTTAGCAGGGTGTGAGGATACAGTGATGAGTAAGACTTTAGTTCCATTCTTATGTTTTTTCACTGAGAATAGTGGAAGAACTATATACACACACACATACACACACATTCATACACACACATTCACACACACATTGCCAAGTTATTTTAAGTGCAATGATAAGCAAAATGTACAACACAGTACATGATCCTAGAGGAAAGAAAATTATATTTTTCTACTAAATCCTCAAAATGCTACGAACAGAGTAAGATTTGAAGCCAAACATAGGTCTAAAACATTGGAAGCTCAGAATGTACTGGAAGAGATACCTTGGCATTCCTGTATGCAGGTCTCCATGTAACCGTGACCCTTTGCAGCAATTTTAATCATCAGTGGCTTTATCCAGTATCTCAATAGCACTAACAGCATGGCTAACAAGAAAATAGCAAGGAATGCTATTTTAATTAGCCTTTATTAAAATAAGCTATTAAATGAATCCAACTGGATTGGTTTTGTTGCATTATTGTTGTGCTGTTTTATCATAAAATATTTCTGCGATTTTTGTTAGATTCAATCAGCTTTAAAAGGATTCTACCTATATATGGTTTTCCCATGTTATGGCTTCCCTACTTAACAGCTGTGTAAATTATTTTCAAAGCTGTACAAGAAAATCAGCAAGGGCAGAAGTGCATTTTGCTTCTTGCTTTAAGACATCCAGTTATGAGCCAGTTATTTAGGAACTTCAATTTGTCAGGTTTGACAACATTGTAATTGATTGCAATAATAAAGCCCTTACCAAAAGCTCAATTACTTTCAGGAAATTTGCCTTGTTTTCTTAAGTGTTTTGCAAGTATGATAAGTAGGTTGTGGCGCTTTTCTTGACATAAGTGCATAAGAGATATATGATCTCCCTTAGTGCACATAGTGACAAAAGATCAAGCTGTTGGGCTGCAGGCTACAACAAATTGAACCCATTGAATTTCAGCTGTGATCTAATGCAGTGTTAGGTTTGTTTCAGTCCATTCAAGTGATACCTTTCCATGCAAGTGCCATAACTGTATCCACAAAACTGATCAATGGAGGAGTGATGTTTCATTATTTAAGTAGGTATTTATTGTTTAAATGGGATAAGCCTTTATTTATTTGCATTACAAATTACTAGGTGGGATTTAAATGATAAATCTCCAGCTCGAACCACTTTATAAGAGATCTATAACAAAACTTTATAATGCAGTTTCCTATGCTAAACAAAATGGTGTCTAATTTCAATAATTCTAATGAGCCTATTCAAGTCAGACAAATAAATCAATGAGCAAATTACTGTGACATTTATTTGTATTTAGATTTTTCTAAAAATAACAGATATTGGTGCATAATTTTCCTTGAATTTTAGTGGTGTATTTGAAATGATAAAATACTACCAATTGACCTTGAGGGATGGCCTTATAATCTGATGCAAAGTAGCAATTTTCTTGCTTGCAAACAGTTTCATCCGTGAATAGAGGAAATAATTTATTGTATTAACTGCTAATGCTGGATTAAAAACGATAAAAGTTTCATCTGAAACTTCAATAAATCTCTTAAGAGTCTCTCTTAATAGGTAAGGGGGTCTAAGCAGATTGTAAAGGTACAAGATACAAAATATTAGGGAGTATTTTCCATAACTATTTGCTACCTTTAAAAACTGCAATGCTTTGCACCAATAGCGGCTCTAACCTGCCAGTAGCACTCTTACAGGAAGTCACTAAACCTAAAGAATCTCCCTTCTAAGGAAACATTTTATTTTTCTAATTTCAGCTCCTAATTCTTGATTTAAAGAATCATACCTTTTTCTTATGCATATACTTTAAGTCCTAAATGCATCTAATATTTATGACATGTGATAGGAGGAAACTTCATAATCCTGAATCTACCATTCTGATTCACTAAAATAAGCTGTTTCAGAAAAAGTTGAAGTCTCTTTTCTGGAGAATTACAGGAAGGAACAGTGAAATCACTTTTCTAGTGTTTGAAATAGTATTTTTAATTCTGCTACAGCAAGGAGCCAGATAACGCGTTAGTTTCTTTCAAAGTCTGATATGATTTTATGATTCTATAAAATATACAAAATTATCAACAATTAGGCCACCTGAAAAATGTTTGAATCTAATCATCTAGATATGCACTAAAATACTAAAATAATATGCATAATATCAGATAACCTTGATAATTACTTCTTCCATTAAATAAATTTAATCTTTCAAGAAGTCTCCTGTGCTATCTACTTGACTATCGGAAAGGATAGGAGAGTTGGGTAACAATTAATGAAGCAGTGCCCACCTAGTGGAAAGTTCTAGTCATATTTCATAGGGCTTTCTGTTTTAACTTATTAGCTATGACTATTTCCACCCCTTTAATCAATGACTTTGCAGTATATATAAAAACATAAGTGAATGGCATTCACCTGGATGCTACAAATAACATGTAAATAATAAACTCAAGATTCAAAACTAAATAGGCCAAAATATTGGAGAATAATAGGTAAATTAAAACTTTATTAGGAAAAATTAAAATTCATGTGGAAAGAAGCATGAGGAAACTTTCTATGGTAATAATAATGGATTTAAATCTTGATAGGAGTTTGAATAATATTTTGAACTCAAGTTCCTGGTACACATGCTGAGGTATTTATGAGTGTTTGTGAGAGTTTTATGCTGCCATTTTATTTAAAATACATCATAAAATAAGACAATTTTGTGAATGAATAGATGGATGTATAGAAAGATATGTAATAAAGTAAACACAAGCAAATGTTAATTGTAGAATCTAGGTTGTGTACATGTGGTTATTCACTATATAATCTTTTCAATTTTTCATTACGTTTCAAAAGTTTCCTAATATAAGTTTGTGAAAAATTTATATGTTTGGTCTTAAACAATATTGAAGAATTCCTGGAACTTAATAGTATTCTAATAAGTTTGTATGGAATAAATGAATAAATAATTACATGAATAATTGAATGGTTTAAAAAGTAAATATTAAAAATGGAAAAAGTCTTAATGGCAGCTTGTGTGTAAAATATTCTGGGGTTTTAGGTAACCTATTACTTATTTTCCAAGTAATGTACCGAGCCACCAAGGAATCAAACACAATTCCAGATGATAATACAATAAACACAGTGTTCAAATTAAGGGGATAATAGAGCCATTCTGTTCTGGTCAGAGCATATCTAAATTATTGCATCCTCTTCCAGACACTCACCTTTACAAAATTATAACAGAGAAATGACTACCAAGAGGAGAATGACTGGGGAACAGTGAGCTCAAAAATTCAAGCCAGATAGGAAGAAGTTAAATGATGTAGAGATTTTCAAACTGGAGAAGAAAATCCCAGTGAAGAACCTTATAGTGGATACATTCCCACCATTCCCACTCTAACTCTTTTCACGGTTCTCATTTCAGCTCAGTTTTTAACTATTTCAGAATGCATTATATTACAGTCTTAATTTAATTATTTTTAAATAAATATATAATTTATTATTTTGTTTATTTTGCATGTAGTGCCAGGAACCTTATACCAATTGTTGATCTTGGTCTTACTCCTGCATGTGCACATACACACATAGACGCACATGCACACACACACAGAGTCTCAATTTTCAGCAAGAATCTAAGCCTCTTGAGGGAATGAACTGTGTTTTATATATATCTTTGTATTCCTCAAACTCAGCACAATTGTGCCCATTTATTTTATAAACATAGTGAAAAATATTTTTGTGCTAATTACTGCACTGAGATTGGAGCTTAAAAATTTATTTTAACACCTCCCCCTGCTCATAAACAGCTCATAGTCTAAAATTGGAAATGAACATAAAACCCAATAATACAAATCATTGTAATCAGTACAATGACAGGAACATACATAAAATACTATGGAAACCAATATGACAGTTGCATCTAACATCCCGGAGACGAGTAATGGGAGAAGCAGGAGACCTAAGCAAATCTTAAAGGATGCACGGAAATTACCGTTAGTATGAATGTGATGAGAAGAAAAAGAGGAGAAAATCTGTTTTAGAAGACTTCACATTACAGGTAGAGTCATTGCATGAGATAAAACATGAGGGAAGAGTGGTCGTGAAGCAAGGTATGCCAACTCCTTTAGCATACATTTTTGCAAAGAGTATTTGGCTTAGTAATAAAATGTGTTAAACAAATCTTAATCCTTTCATGCAATCAACTGCTCTAAATTAGGATGTCTCATCAACTAGATGGATTTCAGGATCCACCTAAAACTCTCTCCTGTGAAAAATAACCAATTCTAGACATTGCAGCTGGTTATTCGGGGGGGGAAAAGGCATTTTTTGAACCAGAATCTTTATTATGATAAATAAATCTATCAACTGTAGTTGCTGCAACACAAAAGTTATAGCAGTCTCTAATACTATTTACCCAAAGGCAACTTGTCTATTTAGTAATCTGCAAATAGTATGGAAGTTCTTAACATGGGGGTCATGTACTATAGGTTTAAGAGGTCTGAGAACTTTAATAAAAAAATTGCATATTACTAAGCTGTAAGTGAAATTAGCATCTCTTTTCATTTTAAATGTAGGCAACAAACCATAGTAGTCTTAGCAACACATATGAGTGGTTGTCAGTACAAATCCTTTATATTTTTGTGTAATATTGCAGTTAGTGCTGATGCATCAAATACTATATTACTTAAGTCATGCCTTTGAAATTACAGTTAATATTAGAATACCTGCTAGAAACTTGTTAGTTCATTGAGGATAAATAATTATGTTATTGCTATGTCACAAATTTATAAGACTCCTTTAATAACTGTAAGGCATATAACTGGTAAGCTTTAAGATTACATATAAGTCATATTATATGGTTAGCATATTATTCTAAAAAGGGAGCCATAGGCCTAATCAAGACTCCATGTACAAACATAAGAAAATAAAATAACATTTTAATGTTAATTTTAACAAATAATACAAAGAGATTTCAGAGGATTCCTGATTCCCAGTGGGGTCACCTTTTTTCGTTTTGTTTTGTTTTATTGTTTTGTTTTGTTGTTTTTTCTCTACTTCTGGAACTCTTTCTTATTAACCTTTTCATAGGTTATTATATTATGCCATTATGCATTAAATAATGTTTGTTAATATTGTTTATAAAGTTCTTTATCAATGCTAAAACTATTTGCAAGGGAATAGCCCATTGCTGCCTAAAATTGGATTTTTTAAAATTTGGGGCTAAAAACAAGTCAAATGTGGTCCAATTCACCTCTCTCTGTCAAGCTCACCTTTGGCCATCTCCACTGAGAAGCCAAGACTCTCAGGTCATCCATAGCCATTTTTGATTCAATTGCTTATACATCTTTTTCCAGAGTGAGTTGTTATTTTCTTCACTTTCAACTGAGAGATAAACTTCAGAGTATTTGATTGTTACTTTCCTGATATTTCTTCTTGGCTGGCTTTGGCTTTGGGGTTCACCCAGTGCAAGTTCATAGAGGTGGTGAGTCATCAAATGCCTGAGTCATTGCAATGCCAATGCCATTTTTATAGTGATGACAGCTCCACTTGGCTTTTTACAGCCCTCTCTTAATTCCATTTCATTCAGCCTCAGAGCCAGACTGCCTTAGGATTGGCAACAAGATGATCCCATCTCATTGATGACCTTAAAGGCCTTCCATTCTCAATGGATAAAGAAGTGCAGATAATTTTAGCAGTGCCTTTGGTGCCTCTATAGGCACATCCACCCACATTTAAATACACGTTTTTATGTTTACCCGTTTATCCCTCTCTGTGAAATATTGCAGCAGCTTAAACATTAGCATACTAATCCAGGCCTGAGGTCTGGGAAAGATTTATGGTAAACATTTTTGGTGCCATTATTCACACTATGTGTGAAGCTGAGTAAGACTTTCTTCTGAATCAGAGTAATACCAGATTCATATCACACTGGCTGCTCTGCTAAAAATCTAACTATTTTAACTTAAGTTATATTTCAATGCAAAAAAAATAGTTCATGCCAATGATGTCAGCATGGCACTTGGAAATATTAATAGCTATAGAGTCAAAGAGAATGATGTTAAAATCCTGGTTCTGTCATTTTCTAACTGTGTGACCTTGAGAAAGGACTTAACCTCATTTAGCCTCAGTTTCCTTTACTATAAAATAACTAATATTGTGAGGATTACATAAAGAAATAAGAGAACAGAAATTAAATGAAGAAATGAATATAAAGCCTGCTGTGCAGTCCATGCTCAATGAAAGAAAACTATTATGATAATGTTCGGTATTAATGACTAGTGATGCACAATAAGATTTAACCTCTTTCAGCCCAGATTGAACAGGAGAAATGTGGAGACATTGTCAGTGATGGACAAAATGTTTAAGCTCATCTATTCTACCTACTTCATCTTACAAAGTAAGAAAGTAAGACATAGAGAGGTTAAGGAGTTTATTCGAGGTCACTTAGTTATATATCTAATGGAAAAGCTAGGGCAAGATCTATTTCTTCTGGCCTAAATTCTATTCTTCAAGTGTAAAGATTTGAGCTTTATGGCTGAATGCCAAGAAGACAGAGTTAGAGCACTTAATAATAAAATAACAAATCTCCATCTCCTGTGTACAGAGGAAAAGTTCAAGAAGTTACAAGAGCAATGAGGCCATAAAAGAAAATAGCTGCCCTTCTGAATCAAAGAGTTCCTCCTTTATGTATTTTACTCCCATGGAGCAGGGAACCACAGATAAGGTGAACTTGGTTTCAGATGTGCCTCATCTTCACATAATATAAGGAGCACAGACCAGATTAAGATTGCACACAATTCTCATCCTGGACATTCCACTTCAATCTTTCTCCAGCTCTAAGGTTTTTCCCACTCCCTCTAGTATCCCCATCTGCTTTTTCTATCATCTATCACCACGTCTTCTTTCCAGCCTTTCTCTACTCTCCCTATTCTGTATTCCCATATTCCCCATCAGACACTGAGAAAAAACTAAAATGTCTTACTAGCTTTTTTTCTTAACATATTCTGCTCCCCTGACACCCTGGTCAGATTGTGAGATCTATACATGTAAATATATTCTCTTTTGATTTTTCCATCTCCATTGTCAAGAAAAGTCCCTAACAATAATACACACTCAATAAAATCATACCTGCTTTCATATGTGCTGCCACAGAGCAAATGAGTAAACCAGATCGACACTCCACTATTTGACACATATCCATCATTTCACATTGCCTTTAGGACAAGTAGCAACATCCTAACGTCTACTACACATTGGGCAGCACTCTGACCTCTTCCTACCTCTCCAACCCCAATTCCCAATACTCACTCTCAGCTCTACAGCCACTATCTTGCTGCCTTGAATGATTAGCCAGTATTTTTCTCACATTGGAAACTTGGCGATGCGATACCTTTACTGGGACACTTTTCACTCTTCATTACACTGTCTCAGAATCATCTTTTGGGTTTCAGCTTAAATAATTTCTCTGTTTGACTCCTTCCTATACACTGAAGTGTCATTTTTTTTTTTAATCTCAACACTTGTTTTTCACTAGACTTTCAAAATAGCAGCATGGTGTCATGTCTCTTTTCTTCCCACAGTTTTTTTATCCAAATGTCTCAATCCTTATTTATCTGGCCCTAGTGGCTTCTCTGGTTGTCCAGTCACTCCTCAAACTCTCCCTTCCTTGATTTCTGATCTGATGCATGGCCCACATTGGTAGCTGTGTATACTCACTTGAATTCTTCCTGAACTTGTACTTTTCTTTTCTTTGTTTTTTTAAATCTAGTTTGAGAGGCAATTCTCAAATTTGCTCATATCCATGATAATATGCTCCTAATAGGGACAATGCAGTGCTTCATACAGCTCAGTTTATTCAATTTAAGGAATCATTTTGTCACTAGTGCACACTTCCAGTCATTCTGCAAGTATCTGCTGACCACCTATGTGATTGTTGCTAGGATAAGCACTATGGAAATAATGATGAGCAAAGGGAAAGGACCTCTGCCTCTCCTTCAGGTGAGCTCAGGCTATTGAAGAAGACAGATACTACTCATCACACCCTATATTTATACACATGTGCATGTGCATGCACACACACACACATACATCTTGTTTAAGAACTATGAAAAAGATTGCAGCATAATTATTAAACCGACGAAGTCTGGATCCAGACTGAGTGGGTTTGAATCCTTGCTCTTGACACCTGTTAGCTGTGTTACTGTAACTGAGTTTTGTAACTTCACTATGATTCAGTTTCCTCATTTATAAAATGGGGCAGATATCGCCAGTTACTTTAGTGGATTGTTATAAAGACTGAGTCAATTAATGTATATGAAACACTTAAAGCAGTGCCTGGCACCGATCATCCCTTTGCAATTCTGTCCTTCCAAATTTCTTAGAGTTATATTTCCTTTTATTTTCTGAAATTATGTAAATAGAATATGGCATTTTTTGTTTTTTATTGTATAATTCTTTTTAAAAATTTAATTCAATTTTATTTTAAGTTCTGAGATAACATGTGCAGGATGTGCAGGTTTGTTACATAAGTAAACATGTGCCATGGTGGTTTGCTGCACCTTTCAACCCATCACCTAGGTATTAAGCCAC
This sequence comes from Homo sapiens, assembly GCF_000001405.40. Classification (NCBI taxonomy): domain Eukaryota; kingdom Metazoa; phylum Chordata; class Mammalia; order Primates; family Hominidae; genus Homo; species Homo sapiens. Next base: position 12,607,388 of record NC_000009.12, read on the forward strand.
ACAAGCATTAGCTATTTATGCTGATGCTCTCCCTCCAGCAGTGGTTTTTGAAATGGGCTTGTTTGGCGAAAGATAAATTGAGGAATCCTGTATTCGGAGGAGGGGTGATTTTACTACCATAGACTTGGAAACATTTAGTATCCAAAATGCTTAACCTTGTACCCCAAGCCCTCCATCATATTGCCCTTGCATAATTCTTCCTCATATTCCACTGTTCTTGTTTTTAATTGTTGTGCAACAAACCACCCCAACACTTAATGGCTTGGAGTAGCATCCACTGTATTATAGCTCATGATCATGTAGGGTCAGGGATTCTGCTGGGAGTCAGCAGAGTGACTTTGTATTGCCTGGGGCCACTTGGTTGTATTCACCCAATGGCTGGTCTGGTCTGGAGGGTCCAGGATGGTTTTAGTCACATTTCTGTGACCTTACTGGAAATAGCTAGATGCCAGATTCAGCTGGACTCCACAGCCTCTTCATGTAGTCGCAGGGCCTCTCCACATAATTTTTAAATAAGGCATTTTATACGGCAGCTAGCTTCTTCTACCATGTATGTTCCAAGATTCGGGAAGAGAAGCTGCCAATCTTTTAAGGCCTGGTCCAGAAACTGTTACTGGGGTACTTCCACCATATTCTATCCAACTATTCACAGACACAGAATCCTTGCTGTTGCAACCTGTTAGCTGTGTTGCCTTACAGTCAAATTGAAATAGAAGGAGACACAGAATCCATGTCTAAATAGGAGGAGAGACAAAGACTTTGTGGCCATCATTAACCTATCACACTTACCTGCCCGGAGTGGTGCATAAGTAATACTAAACTTGGCTCAATATCTCACATTCTCCTTAGTGCTCGATGCCTCGATGCTTCACGAGGTCCTGACCTTCTCTATGATACCCCTTTTGCCTTTCTTCTTCTGGCTAACTTTAACTCACACTTCAAATTCTAGCTCAGACATCATCAACTCCTGCCCCAAGCCCCTAAATAGACTCCAATTTAATATCATCCTGATTTCATGCCTATCTCACCTCCTGCCATACTTTACTGGGACAATCTGTTGCCTTCACCACCTTGTCAGCTCTGTGGTGGGAAAAAGTATCATGTTTTATTCATTTTTGTATTTCTAGAGTCTAGCACAATACTTGGTGTACCAATGTACCCAGGATGATCTGAATGACTGTCATCACTTTAAATTTTATTGAAAATGTACCAAGATTATTATATGAAATAAATTAATTTTAGTTCAAATGACCAAGGCACTTCAACAGAAATATTTAGTTTTCAAATATTGTTACCAGATTAAATGGTAAAATATTAATTTTTATAAAGATGTGAACAATCTTTTAAAATATTCAATCATGAGACTTTATATATCTTCATTTAATTACAATATCCATTTTTTTTCCTTTTGAGGGTTGAGTTGGCATAGCTAGACTGAGAAATAATTTTTACAAGTTAGACATCACCTAGAAGTCAATAAAAATGATGAAGAGGCTGTCTTGATGCTGACAGAGAAACAGAATTATATATGATCTTTCAAGTATAGAAAATTAATCTACATCTAGCTATAGATGTATTTGATCACAACCCAAAAATTAAAGTACAGGTAAGCTCCAAGGAATTTTCAGCTATTTCTAGGTATAACAAAACAGCTTGCAGAACTGCTCTACATTCAAAATTCTTCAGCCAATCTCCTCTTATACCTTTGATCTTTCTTCTTATTTTCTCAGTTCTCTCTCATTGGTGACAGAAAATATCTTCATGAATATGTATGGCTAAAATGTGTTAACATTTATTGAGCATTACTATATGCTAAGCACTATACTAAATGCTTCACATGAAATATCTCTTTATTAAGATGACTCTGAAAATTACCTGTTATTTATAGTGAGGAAATTCAACTTCAGAGGGTGACTTCTCCAAGGTCACACTGTTTTTAAGTAACAGAAACAAAATCTCTCTAACTCCAAAAATCCTGCTTTGAATCTCTATAAATTACTTCCTAAAGAAATTAAATCACAACATTTAATGAAATCTACATGGCTGCCCTCTAGACATAAATTTCCCTCTCACACTACTGAATAGTCAGTGAATTGAATAGAATATTCTTCATTTTGCTGAAATGAGGAAGACTATGGCAATATCAATTTAGGAACAGAGAGCCAAGATCAGTGTTTGGTATTGGGCATGTTGTGTTTTTAAATAAATGTGGCCTCTACAGAAATTTTAACACAGACTCTGGGACATCTTTGACGATCAACTGGATTCAGCACCAGAATAGGAAACTATTTACTATGCTTGCAAGTGGCATCATTATGACGGACAGGAATCTTTTGCACATGGGTAAATTAACTCTGTATGTGTCTTTCTTGCCAGGTTTTACATGAGGAGGAGGATGATGTCCTGCCCTCTAGGATCTGTTTCTTTGTTTGGCATGTCCACACCTGCCACCTTCTCCAGCAGGTTGTTATTGGGAGGCTGGCCCCTCTTTCCTACTCAAGAGGCTGGGAACTACACTGAATCCCACCCCACCACCATGGTAGCCTGTACCCAATCACTGACTGCTGTGGAGTCACCTCCACGTCAAGGTGGAATATTTACGCCCAAGACCTTTCCTTAGAATCAAATTCCTTCCCTTTCATTTCCTACTCCATTTCATCATGGATTTCTCCTGAGAGCCCTCTCAAAAAATCCCTTGCTCACATACTGCCTTCTCAGGCTCCACTTCTAGGAAACCCAACCCAAAACAACATGGATGAGGGCCATATTGCTTCCAAACTGGGACGAGGTGAAGCTAATGCTCTATTTTGATAGTGTTGCTGCTCTTATTCATGAATCTATTTCATTCAACAAATGCCTTTAATGAGATAATTTGTGCAAGGCCCTAGGTTTCAGGGAAGATAAGCCTTGAGGTGACTATAATTATTTTAGGCTGATAAGCAACATTTAAATTTAAACAGCAATACCTGAATTAAATAAAAATTTCAGGAGTAACAAGGTGATATATTAATTAATTGACAACGAATGGTACAAGCAATACATAGCATGATGCTGAACTATAATCCACACTCCTGGAATCTTATAAGGGCTGTTTCAATAAAGTCAGAAGTAGTGTCATACAAGCATAAAAAATATTTAGCTCAAAGTAAAGGTGATGGAGGGAGAAAGGTTAGAGATAAAGACCTGAATCTAAATCCCATCCAAACACAAGTCCTGTGACTTTGGAATCGTTTTGTTATTCCTCTCTTAGTGTACATTTCTTAATCTGGAGAAAAAAACAGAAAAAGAAAACAACAATTATTTTACCAGAAAGTTTTGAACATTAAATATAAAGCATTCTGAGCAATGCCTGTCTCAATGAATGTCTTCATAATGTCATTAGCTGAAAGGGAATTTAGGTCTGGCACATCTCCAAAATGAATCAATGAGAAAAATGAACGAAAATTTCAATAAACCCTTGGTCAGAAGATATCTACAAGATCATAAAAAGATGTTAATCATACTCCCAATAACCCACCTCAAAACCTTGCAGTAAATTTTGAAACCTGGGAACTCAAGTCTTCGAAGCTTCTCAAAGTTCTTGCCTCTGTTCCTTCTAGGCTTAACTACCACCATCGCTTAGCTCAGATGCAGAACACCTCACACCTGGAATATTGGAAGAACCAAATCACTTTTTCTAAAATGTCACTTTATTCATATAACTCCTTTGACCTAAATGATCTATATGAATATTCAATGCTCCTGGAATAAATTCTAGACTTCTTAGTCTGGTATTCAAGGTTCTTGATGATCTCATGACAATCTACTTTTCCAGCTTCATCTCCTCCTGGCCCTTGATATTAACCCCAAATCTCAGGCCATCTTGTCTTCTCTCTGTCCCTGCACTTGCTCTGATCTTCTTTCTTTGCTCATAAGGAACAGAATATTCTCTCTCAATTGTCATCTCTCTAATTCTTATCAATGCAGCAGTGCCCAATATAAATGGCATCTCTTCCACAAGCTTTTCCGTATCATCCAAAAAGAAGTGACACTTATTTTTGTCTATGCAGTTCACTAATTCACTACGCAATAGCAGTAATTTGACTCCATTGTCACAGTTATTTCTGAATATAACTTTATTGCATGTTTTTGATTTAATTATTCTTAAGGGATAAACATATATTCCTTACATATTTGTATTCATTACTGCAGCTATCACACTATAAGACACATAAAGTGTGGTTGGTTAATATTTATCAAATAATTACATACATATAAAACCTTAGATTTTATTCTTTAGTAGATTTAATCTGTTAATTTCCACATTTGCACAGAAATCTGAAATTTCAGAAAATTGGGTTTTTCTATTTCATTTATGAATTCTGGATATTGATTTATTAATTTAATTACCGGTACAGTAAGATATATAAAGTGGATAATGGGTATTCAACTAATGTTTGTTAAATGAACAAATAAGTAATTGACTGTAAATTAAGGAATGTCTGCCTTCATAAATACCTGGGAGAAAAATATAATGCCATTTCATTCCAAAGTAGTAACTAATATTATTTTGGTTAATTCTATTTTTCCATGTGAAAATAATGCTTTGCGGTGGAAAAAAATTAATTAAAAAAGGAGAACATTGCAATATTAAAATCCATTGACCAATAAAAAGAAACTAACTCTTTAAATGCATACTTATAGTATATTAGACTTTCAAGTCATCATGGAAGAAAAGGTAGTTGTATAATAAGTTTTGGATCAGTTCAAAGCCTGCTCTTTCTTTGAAACATTTTGTTCTAAATAATAGACCCTCAGAGCCAGTTTTATCCTTCAGTATCAAATTTTAAATGTGACTAAGAACAGACTATAACATGACGTTGTCTGCAGACCCCACCGTGTTCTAAGCTGGCCACTCTCATTAGTGTGAGTGCACATGTTGATAAGCCCCAGGGGGCATTTATGTGACACCAAAGAACGTTTCATGACATGCCTTCAGTCAAGATTTTACTCAGGCATTTTGATTCTCTCTCTAGTGCTATTTCCTCTTTTTCTGTAGCTTTTATTTGCACTTGACCCTATGTTTTAGAAAGTGCACACAAGTCAGTATTCCAGACATCCCAGGGACTTGAAGAGCTGATCTAATGTCTGTGTTGCAAGATAAAAAACAGAGGAATTTTGTTGAACCCATAAAAAGGATGACATTTTGCCTGGCCCTGAGCTGTTCTGTTCAAAATTGAAGCTTTTGCAGCTTGCGGCTCCTTGATTTGTGAGCTAGAGAGCATCATATCTTGGCCATTACTGAATCATAAAAGTTCTCTGCCTCTTCCCAGCCCATTTTATTTAAAAGGACAAAGAGAAACCCTTTATCTTATAAAATGCATTTTCTTTTTATTTTCCTTCATTGCCGGAATGTATTCTGTAAGGGTTCAGTGAAAACATATGTAAATGGTAATTTGAAAAGACCATTGAGCTGATACAAGAAAGGGTTATTTGGGTGGTTAGATTGGAATATGAGTCATGGGAATAGGGTACTTTGCAGTACTTTTTTGTGCCATATAATCTTGTGAAAGGCTAGAACCCTGTACATATTAATTATTTTCATCATCTATAAAATGGTAATATAGAGCCACATAACACACCCAGGTCAGGGTCTGGTTTAACCACAAAAGACTGATTGGTTCAAGGTGGAATGAACTGAGCATGAAGGAGAAGGCTTCATTAAGAATTCCTCTACATTTAATATAACTTGGGTAAGAGACAGAGACCCGTGCAATGTTTCTAAACAGCATCTGAAGTAGTGATTTCCCAGCTTAACTGTATCACCTTATAACTAAACCCATCTCTATAGCATAATTATTCCTTTATGTAACAACATGTGTTCAGTGCATTTGATAATCAGTCACTGTCTTGGCTGCTGGAAATCAATAGCATAGTCATCCTTCTTCAAAGAGCTTTCAGTCTATTTATAAAGATTTTCTTATGTCAAACAGATAAGCATTATTTAAATGCTTATAGTAGGCATAGTCTCATTGTTATATAGATAAAAGATAATACAACATCATTTTATGTGAAAAGAATATCAGAAATTTGCACAAAAAATAAGTGTGCCACACAGTTAATTTCTAAAAGCACCATTTTTTGTGAATTTTGTGATGTTTATTGTTTTGTGAGCTTTTTAAAATCCCTAATCCATCATGGTTTATTTTCTCATTCTAAATAAACATTCACTTCTGTACATAATTTTGTATTCTTGTTCTTAAAGTATTCATTGAAACTCTAGAAACTTGTGACCCCACACAGCCTCAGTCCAGCTCTGGTACAACACTGTTATCTGAGATGATCTACACAAAGTCACAACATAGTACCTTGCATGAAATAGGAGGTTAAAGCATGGCAGGGATGATTATTAGCCTAGTTCTTGACTAGTTCTCTCTTTGTCATTCTCTCTAGCCCTGGAAAAGCATTTTTCTACAGAATCAGGGAAAATCACAACATCCATGATTGTCCTTATTAGTTCGAAGAATTGTTTCAGTGCATGACAAAACAATTTTTTTTCAGGAGTGCTATATGAAAATTAGCCTTCTGTTTAATTTTGTACAGTATTTATTAGTTTGTGTAAGAAAGTATGAATCCTGGCCAGGCACGGTGGCTCACGCCTGTAATCCCAGCACTTTGGGAGGCAGAGGCGGGCGGATCGTGATGTCAGGAGATCAAGACCATCCTGAGTAACACGGTGAAACGACGTCTCTACTAAAAACACAAAAAATTAGCCAGGCGTGGTGGCGGACACCTGTAGTCCCAGCTACTCGGGAGGCTGAGGCAGAAGAATGGAGTGAACCCAGGAGGCGGAGCTTGCAGTGAGCCGAGAGTGCGCCACTGCACTCCAGCCTGGGTGACAGACCGAGACTCCATTTCAAAAAAAAAAAAAAAGTATGAATCCTGTAAGAAAACAAATCTAGAAACTCTGAAGCCCCTTGTAAATTGAAAGCACAGTTATAGGCAGATAGAGGTGGAAACAAATATTCTATATAAATGTTTACTCTTCCTCCATTTTGAAATGTCTGTTGGAATAGTGGAGAAAAAATGAGTGTGAATCGAACAGTTCTTTGGTGAAGAAAACTCACAGGTGGTTAATGTTCTCTATAGCGAGATGTCCTCAATAGTAATTTCTCTTTTTCTCTTCTGAAAAAGATGGAGAAAATATTCAGGGTTTCTCAGTGCTTGGAAAGAAAAATACAGCCATCCTTTTCGTTGGCTTCAAATAGTCTAAATAGTGTCAACAAACCCACTGCAGCTGAGTCAGAAGGAAGATAGCCACCTGTGATAAGCAGCCCTGGGTAGCTTTGAAACTGAGCCAGCCCAGAGATTGAGGACAGGCTTCAAGGAAGGACTTTTGACTTCAAGTTAATCACTTGGTGCTGATTGATAAGGGAAAAGGAAAGATCATTAGGCAAAGTTGACCTGTCTGGAAAGCATTTATTTCTTTAAAATGTGCTTTAGAATTGTCCGTCTGTCAAGATGTTTTTATTCAGGTTAATGTTAATATGGCCTTCTATGTTTAATAATTGTGTGGAAAAATTTGGTGCTCAGTGCATTTGGGAAGAATCGGTTTAAGTGAAGCAGAATACAAGAGTGTCATAATAAAGAGTGCTAACTCCAGAGCTAGACTGTCTGCATTGAAAATCCTGACTTCCTAGCTCCATGACCTTAGACAAGCTCCTGAACCTCTGTAAGACTTGGTTTTCTGAACCAAAGAAATTAAATTAATGATAGAATCTATCTCACAAGATTGCTATGAGGATTAAGGAAGATGATCTCTACAAGGATATTAGCCCAATCCCTGGCAGATAGTAAAGGCTTCCTAAAAGCAAATGCCTCATTAAACTTGAAATCATCCATTCCCAGTACCCCTCTAGTATATTGATCTTAGTTTCAAGAAATGTTTGTGTTCCTCACTGTGGAAGTGGCAGTTAATAGGAATTAAAGAATATTAAGAATTTCTTTGTTGGTTTAAGAGTGTGTTTTACCGAAGAAAATCTCAAACAGTCCCTGTAGAGGATGATAACATGTGGACCTTCCCCAAAACAGTTAAACTGGTTTTGTTGCTGGGGAGCTGACAAGAAACAACTGACACAGCTCCACAAAATCGATCTGGTTCTACCTCAAAGAACAGATATCCAGGCAAATGGATTTACTTTATTTATCACAATTCAGAATAGAAGTTATAAACTTTCAGGCTTTTATGAAGTAGTTCCCTGGGGCTGAAGCTTTTTGTTATCTTTTCTTCATGGTACAATAAGGAAAGATGCAGATGGATGGCATCAACAACCAAGCAAAGATGATGAGTGACTATCTTAGAACCACATAACTTCAGTGTCAAGGCGTGTAGAGAATATGTCATAGAGTTAGATACTAAGGGTAATAGCTTGACCTTGGCAAGCTGTGTAAGAATGTATGACATTTTGTTGAATAAAGAGAAACGCATTACAGATAGCTGGAGTTTCCACATATTTGCAAGGGAAAACAGCCAGAGAATATTTTTCAGTTATTTTGTTGTGTTAGTTATCCTTTACCTCCTAAATTAGTTTTTGTCTATCTATTGTCTATTTGTCTATCTATTATCTATTTGTCTATTTATTGTCGATTGTCTATATATTGCCTTATAAACTATGTTTTCAGGGGGTTGGGTGGTTTTGGTTTTGGTTTTGGTTTTGGCACTATCTTTCCTTACCCCTGTTTCAAGATGACAATTTCTAACTCAGTACGAGAAACAAAATTTGGAGTCATTCTTAACAGAACATCCTATATAAATTTAAACAGCATACTGGGAACTTGTGCCAAGGTATCACCACCATCTGGGGAAAAGAGTTCTAAATATCAACTTTTATTTTATTGATCAACAAATACCCACATTTGAAAAGTCTACTCAAAAACTAACATAAGAGCAACATCAACCTGGTAGAGCATGAAGTGATTACTGTCTTCCTCCTGTACATATATAAACAAGTTCCTTAACACTCATCCTCCCAGTGTTTTTTTTTTTTTAAATCACTTTTGTGATTGCCATATAATCTTTTTTCAGTCTTAGGCTCAAAGCCAATTTTCTTCTTGATAAGATGTCAATAGTTAAACCTTTGTCTGGATCTTTCAAGATGCTGAGGTTTTTAGGACACTCTCCTTCCAGGTATTAATCGTCTCCTATTTCTTTGGGTCCAGTCAACTGCAAGAATATTCTTGGCTGCACTGGCTCTTTGCTATGGCAGCCTCTCACACATAGTCCTCTCGTAGTCCATCCTAGTCTATAGCATAGATAGCAATTCTTTCCCAGAAAATATCAAATTAAACTACCTTTCAAGTTGTTAGCACTCCTTTTTTGGGGAGTTGGGGAGTTAGCCAAAATTTAGCACAGTATGTTAGCAGTAAGTAGTTATTGGCAAGTAGTGTGTGCTTAATAAATATAATATTAGATGATGGTTTTAAAATAGCATTCTGAGAATAGACCTCACACTCTCCCAAATCCCCAGTGGATAATCAAAAAATACATAAAATAGAGAAAATATTCAGTATCACTGGAAACTAGGGGAAAAAATGCCAGTATTCCCCATCCCTGATGCTAAGAAAGAGAAGTGTCATCAAGAAGTAGGAGGAATTGACCATGGCTGAAATTTGCTAATAACACCAAAATCACAGGAACTGGAGTTAAGGAAAGTAGAAAAAGACAAATAAGAATTATATCACAAACTAAAACTTGATGTTTGGGAAAACACACACGCACACTCACTAGAAAAGCCAAGCTTCACAAGACAGCTATTCCAAAGAGAAAACTGGCAAATCAGCAGGTTGTGGATACCTGTGGAGAGAAGAAAATTAACTATAGGTAGGCATGTAGAAATACGGTTCCAAACTGTGAATAGAAAAAAATTGAATCGTGATATCGTCAACAATCACAAAGGAAAACGTTCTATTTCTGATATTCCCCTTGCTTCTCCTTCTTATTTCCCTCAAACTGTTGAATGCTATCCTGGTAATATCAAGTCTGATGAACCCATTATCCCAAAGGGAAGAGTTCAGGTGGGACATTATAATAAGAATTGACATTATATATTGAGACCTTAATATGCCAGCCTGTGTTCCAAGCGCATTTATTATCTCACTTAACTGGAAAATGTACTTGTGTTAACTAAAAGATTGGAAAATATAGAAGAATATATCATAAGAATGATTATTGAGAGAACTGAAATGAGAATAAAATATAAATATATATATTTTATACAGAGTACATAAAAATCATCTTTGAAAGATTAAATACATAATTTACCAATTAATAATTAATAATAAGTCTAGCATAAAATCGAAGATAAGTTTTCAAAAATCATAATTTAGGGAAGTGTGGAAGGAAAACTAAACATGCTCAGTATCTCCTTTTGCATAGTAGGATTCAGTTTACATTGTTTCATTTTTCCATTTTTATTTTATTTTTTAGTTTGCTCACTAAGGAAATTTAGATTGAAATGATTATAAGAACAAAGTTTAAAAGAAAACCCATGAAAAGGTAGAAGATAAAGGTAAGACAAGGTAAACATAAAAGACAAAAATATAAATAAAACACAGAAATGAGACGATTTTAATAACTCTGAAGGAGAAATTTATATTAAAAGACAGAGGCTGTTAGACTGATTGAAAAAATTAAAGCACATTTTATTTACAAAGGAAATATATGAAATAAAAACATTACAAATGTAAAATTTTAAAAATTTTAAAAGAATACCAAGATAATTTCTCATTTAAAAGAAAAGGAGGAAAAGCATAGGTTATAGTTGTAAAAACAGAAAAAAACAAACCTCAAGTTAAAAATTAAGTGAACTTAATGGAGCCATTTTCAATTTCTCAAAATACATTCTTCATAACGATAATATCATTATGATTATCTATATTAAAATAGGCATCTCTCTACATATACACACAACTAACATAAGATAGTTTTTAAAAGATAAAATACTTTCAAAAACTATTTTAAGAATTTAAAATAGTTTTAAGGGCAATACAAATGGAAAGGAAAGCAATAGTTATAACCTCTCATACCTCTTATTATGATACTAATTTATAATGATTTCTAATTTACTAAAAAAATGGAACTGAACTTTTAAGTACCTAAGAAACATTAATGAGAATTCATCAAATCAGCCCATAGGGAAAAAAATCAATATGTTCCCCAAAGAACAACCTATGAAGGCTATATTCTCTGACCAAAATTTATTGATATGTGAAATAAATAACATTTTAATAGATAAATCAAAACACAATTTAATTGAAAAAGTAAAACCAGAAAGTCCACATTTCTAAATTATTTTTTTGAAAAAAGTAGAAGCTGTAATTACAGACTACTGAGACATGTAAAAATATTTATCATACATATCAAAATTTATAGTGTGCTGACAAAACTATATGAAGACAAATTGATGGCCATAGATATATTTATTATTAAATAAGAAAAATTGAAATGTCTCACCCAAGGCCCTCCTATAATTCTATTTTACTTCCCTTTTCCACAATTCATACATATAATTGATTCTGTTATTCATGTTAATTATGTTTTATAAAGTTGTGGTGAACACTGAATTAGCAAATGCCAAACAATTGTCCCTAGGGCAAATACTGGGTTACCTTCTTGGGAGTTTCCAATCACAGTATTTTTGTAAGCTGATAAATACATAACCTTGTTTTATGTGTGTTTCTGTTTAAAGACACCTTATTTAACATATAGTGTTGATTCATTAGCATAGAACTTAATTTCAACGGCACTATAACTCACCCCTAAAGGGAGTTCATGCAACATGCATTTTCTCCATAAGGCACATCACAGCCTTTTGAGCTTAGGAACACTAGACAGTACTTTAGCACTACATTTAGGGGTCATTTTAAACAGCAAAATTACCAACGAAAATGCAAAAAAATGTGGCACTAAATAAACTCCAAAAAGGTCAATGGTTTTTAGTATCACAGCTGAAACAAAAAGGCAGAGCATCATTTTGTTTAACGTTAAGCTGGTAATGTATGCAGTAAGAGACTGAATTTTTTTTGCTGCTCTGAGCATGTCCATGAATGACCATGAAAGAACCATGAATATGGATCTTAAAGTTACAAATAAATTTTAGCTTGTAAGCAGATTCATGAATATGGAATCCATGCATAACAAGGATAGACTGTATTTGCATGTTATCTGAAGAAATTTATATGTATTTGAAACTGTATGCTCCATATGTTTCCAACTTTATAATATAAGATATTTCTTGGAAGGATATACTGATGATTTAAGAAAAATAGTCAATATTAATAATATGATTTCAGGAAAAGATAATCTGAGCTTTCTAGTTATAAATTTTTTCAAAAACGCCTTCTGTTAACTAGAGAGTACCCCAATGTAAGTATTAATGGCCAATACTACCTATTAAGGACTGAAAGTTTATGTTCCCTACAAAATTAATATGTTGAAATGTAATTCCCAATGTGATGGTATTTGGAGGTGGAGCCTTTTGGAGGTAATTAGGTAGGTCATGAGGGTAGAGCCCTCTTGAACCAGATTAATATTTTTATAAGAGACAGAGAGCTTTTTTCCTCTTTCTGTCATATGAGAAGATAAGAAGTTGACAGTCTCCAACTGGGAAAAGGACCTGTACCAGAATCAGACCATGCTGGCACCCTGATCTCAGATTTCCAGCCTCCAGGACTGTGAGAAGTAAATTTCTGTTCTTTCTAAGCTTCCCTGTCCACAGTGCCTTGTTCCAGCAGCCTGAAGTAAGGCACTACCTAAAGTATTTAGAGGCCACCTGCCTCTGAGCACAATCAAAAAATAAAGTTAATGCTTCCCTAAAATTACAAAGCAAATCAGGGTATCAATATAATCTAATTCATAGAAGTTAATTCAGGCTCAAGTTTATGTAGATATGACCTGTTTGACAAGAGTAAAATTTAATTATAAAAATTTCCCAGGATTATCTGTCAAATAATCCATCAGAGTTTGGCATATGGAGTTTTTGGAAAAAAATAGATGGCTAAATATTAGAATAAGCCCCTTTTCCAAACCATAATAAAGTTCTGTCTTCGGGATGGCAGTACCATAAAGAGGAGCCAGTTTCATTGTCAATGTGTCTCTCCTTCTAAGAAGGCTTTACTTTTAGAGAATAAACACAAGGCAAGAAAATTTTCTTCCTTAAATCCCTGTAGTTTCTGACACCCCTACCCTCAGTAGCCACATATATACTATCCCTTTTCTCCCAACCCCACTTTAATGACAGTGTTGTCTTTAATTTGCAAGCTAAACTTAATTCAGCACCTATATACATCCTAATTAAGGCAGGAAATGTAATTCTGTCCTTACAACTATTGGGCTCAGAAACTGATTTGATAGCTTAAACTATAACAACAAGGGTGTCTGGGAGAATGAACCAAGTCACTGCCTTCACCTCAGCCCTGATGAATATGCCTCATTTTTATTTCTGGTTTACTTCCTCAGTTTCTGCATATAACTACAGGTTCATTCCAGGACTAATCCTTTGCTCTGGATCTCAGATGTCTGACATCTACATTGCTCTTGCCAGTCACATCTTCCTGAGGGGTACTCTTTTTAGGTCTAGCCACTCTGTGGAATGCTGCCAGTCAGCTGACACCAACTATCACTGCTACTTGAAGGTACCAAATGCCCATTCTATTGACCCATTTGAAATTACAGGGGAAAACAAAGCTGGCCTGACACAAGCCTTTGAACAATAATAAGCTCCCCTCCTCAGGGCCTAGGCCAACAGGTAATTCAGCTCTCTTTTCACATGTCCACTTCTATAATTCTACCTTATTCTCTTTTCCCACTATTCCAGTGTTATAATCCAACTCAACTTCAATTGGCGTACATATTTTAAGCAAGAGGTTGTGGTAAGATGCTGCTTCAGAGACTGAGCAGAGATCAACTATAAGATAGTAGACCTACCAAGAACATTGTCACCATAAACCTGTAGAGATGTTTAATTCAAACTATCCCAAGCCTATGAAATAACAGCAATTACATTTATCCTCCCACCTGGGATACTTAAAGGTTTTACTTGCTGCTTTAAAAAAATGAGTTATTCCAATAAAAAGTGTTTAGTAAGTTCAAAGGATCAATCTCATTATAAAGAAAATGTCAAGCCAATTTGTTAATCCTTTTAAACTAAAAGTCAAAGATTATTTTATAATGAGTTCTTTATTGAAGCAAAATTCATCTCTTTATATTTTCTATGGTCTGCAAATTTCCTTCAATATTTATTTTATTCTTCTGAACAAAGAACTTATAACACATTTCCCCCCAATGACAAATCATTACATTTAGGAAAAGGAAGTGTTGTCTTTCAATTTTACTATTGATTGTTTCTCTCTCCACTTTAAATATATGAGCATATTAGCAGAATTAGGTAAAAAACATCCTCAATTTAATCCTATGAAATAATAATTTGATTTAACTCATATATTTGGAGGATCTTTATTTTCTCTTTATTTTAAACTAAAAGGAATTGTTTCTAATAAGTATGAAGTGATAGCAGGAGAATTCCAAATGTCAAATCTATTTGGTCTTTATTATGTGAATAGATTTTTCCAATGCTTACATTAAACTTAATTTAATAACATTTTCTGCTTCCACTTATAGCATTTTTCTATACTTCAGGTAAATCAATTTTATTTAATCAGCCAAGATCTAAGCTGTCATTTCAAAGGCAAAATTTTCACAACCAAATATCTCTTTCTCTAGCATGGAAGTATTTCTTTCCCAAAGATTTGCTGTTTCTGTTTGACAATTCTAAGCATTAAGAGTGTTCAGATTTATGTCACCCAGCAGACTTCTACAGGGAGAGCCTGAGTTTTCTTTTTTAAGACAAAAACTGAAGTACAAAGAAGATTAACCACTAAGGAAAATGAGAGCTTTTTAAATAGCAGAACTGTTGGCTGAAACACTTTGGGTAGAAGTGTTTGGGTAAAAAATAACATTTTCCCAAGATGCTGTGATATTTTGTGCTAATATTTCACACCTAAGGTGTTGTTTTCTTCATGCAGAGGCAGCAATCGGTTGGAAAATAGACAAAACACAAACTAACACACTTTTTTTTTTTTACTCTTAAGACTTAAGCTAATTTGCTACATAGTGATTAATGCTTTAATCAGGATTCTTGGGTTTGAAAATTAATCATTTCATCAACAGAATGTAGAATTTATATGGATGGAAAAATGCTATAAATCACAAGAAGAAGCACTGGAACGTTTAGACATTCTGAAATTATTAATTTTTCAAAGAAGCCTCTGTCCACCTTTCCTTTGGAGTCTTCTCTGCTAAAGCTCCAATCCATTAATTAGTAGCTACATTGCTCTGAGTAAATTATTTGACTTCTCTAGCCTTTTTGTCTTTATACCTTAAAATGCAATATTAAAATTCATAAAGTGACTCCTCCTCTTGTTAGCAGGAGCAGCACAGTCCTTTGCAAAGGGTCATGAACACAGGGAGGCTTATTCATTAAGAGCCATTATTATAGCAGTATGCCATATAGCCCCAAAGAATCCAGAATGCAGTGCTAGGTTGGGAAAAAGTTCCACCAGAAAGCAGAAGAAGGTAATGGAAAGGGTGGGGAGGCAATACATATATATGTTCTAATCTCCTCTATATGAATAGAATTCCCAGAGCAGGGAGATAAGTCAAATAGGTTGAATTGAAAGTCAAGAGTGAGAATAGAGCTTGAGGCCGATATACTACCAGAATTTCTGGAAAGAAACTTCCTCATGGAGCATCCACACAGAGATATCTCACAATAGGGCAGCTGCAACAAAGTTAATCCAGCAGGGCAGCACAAGTGTATTTTGCCAGAACATCTTGATTTCCTATATAATCTTGAAGCTGTCCACTGGGTTATATGTGCCCTAGAGAAGGATACAAGTAATTAAGATAGCTGATATTGCTTTGTAGTGAAAATATCCATGGAGAGTTGATGAAGTGTTTGTGTGTTTCGGGAGGAAATGGGGTGCATCAAGGACCTTTAACCAAAGATCAGAAAACTTCAGGCTGAGTTACACACAGCGTCAGCAAGACAAAAATGGGCTCCCATTCAATGGATTGTTATGACTCTCCTAAGAAGTGCCAGCTCTGGGTAAACTACCAGCAGGGCTGCAAGAATCCAAATGAATCTTCAAGAACCTCATGAGCAGGTCCCAAGCCCTCTTCTTTCCAACTACTACTGAGCACATAATGTCCCTGGCTTGCCCCTACAAATAGGCCACCAGAAGAGACTGAGAAAGAGAGAGAAGATCCAAAGTACTTCACATTTTCCCCAGAGACTGGGTTCCTAAATAAACTATTTAAATGTTGGGGTTAAACTGAGATAACTTTCCCAAAGAGACATAAATTTAGTTTCCTCCTGACTCCTTCCCATTTTCTAGTAATATGGAAGTTTTATAAAGAAGGGCAAATCAGTTTTAAGAAAATTAAATACATATTTTTGCACTTCTAAATGTAATATCAAAAATTAAGTTGCCCCTATTATTATAGTTCTCTTCCAGTGTGGTTATAACAATTAAATGAAATTAATTAACAAGTAAATGAAACCTGTGGTGTGTAGCATAGCATCTGTGAGTTACATGTCATTCAATTCATGGTAGCTTCTGTAATTATAAGATGTCTAGAAAGGTAGGCTGTCAGGTCAGGCGGGGTGGCTCACACTTGTAATCCTAGCACTTTGCCAGTCCAAGGTGGGCAGATCACTTGAGGTCAGGAGTTCGAGACCAGCCTGGCCAACATGGTGAAACCCCATTTCTATTAAAAATACAAAAATTAGCCAGGCATGGTGGCGCATGCCTGTAGTCCCGGCTACTCAGGATGCTGAGGCAGGAGAATCGCTTGAACTCAGGAGGCGGAGGTTGCAGTGAGCCGAGATGGTGCCACTATACTCCAGCCTGGATGACGGAGCCAGAAAGGTAGGCTGTAAGACCCCTTTGTTTAGACTTCCTTGTACTTTGTAAGGAGCTCATCTCTCCGACCTGACTGTTACATATTTGCAATGTGACTGCCCATGTGCCATGCCTCATGCTTATAGTCCTGCCTATGGACCACATCATGCAATGGCACCGTGCTGGTACAGGAAGAAGTTATATGTAGGAACCTTGATAAAAGAGCCTGGTGGCTATTAAATGGATTACTAAAAGTTGTTTTTAAATATGTTTTTCATGTTGAACTATGAGGGTGATATGAATGGACGTATAACAAAATTGGTAAACTCTCAGAAATTCTCAGGGCCCTAAAGAAGATCACCCTACATCACCACCATCTCAAGCATATCTTCCGCGAGACACAGAAGAAACTTGAGAAGCCACAATGAGCACATATACTGAGCACTGATACTGATGCACTTGGCATGCATCACAGACAACTGTAATTTTTGGTAGACTGATTGATGTGACAGTGTTCATGTTAAACAATGCAGTTATACTTCACATTAGTCCCAGTAGGCAGGTATGACCCATCAGTATTCTCTACGGCAAAAATAAAATGTACCTCTAACCTGTCTCACAACTGCTTCCTGATTCTTCCGTGTTCCACCATGATTCACGAGGGAATGCTGGTGGACCCACCACCTTGAGGGTCCATGGGTGCATAAGAGATGACTGTAATGCATCTCTGGGGAATGATGTGGGAGGCTTATTAGGCAAACCCATTGTGTAAATGTACTGACAATAATTGTTTTTATATTGCAATATAAAGAGTATAACAGAACATAACAGATTTTGTATCCTTGGTTTGTTTTGGAAACTGAAAAACTGCTGCTTGATTTTGTTATTTTAAGTATGCTTTTTGGAAGAATAATTTAAAAGTAGAAAGGGTTTAGACTGTAAAAATGATTGCTTTCTTCCTGTAGTCTGCTTCCTACAACACTCAAAGAATCTGCAAGAAGAGTCACTGTGGCCACAACAAAGCAGGAAAGCCCCCTTAAGCAGATTATAAATACTTTTCATAATTAAGTTATTCTGAAAAGAAGCACCATACTATCTTACCCCTGTTTACTGGAGCTCAGTAACCACATGAATCTGGCCCGGTGGCTGCAAATGTGGCATGCAAAACCTCCCACTAAAGTTTTAAAGTACGCCCTATGTGCTAATAGTCCTATGATTATTAAGTTGGGTTTTCAAATACCTGAACCCAGGAAGAAGCTGTCTTGGGAAGAGAGAATCAAGTACCTAATTTATGCAAAGGACATCTTCCCTTCTAAATTAATTAATTAATTAATTAATGTGACGTATATTTTGTAGCAGATCTACTGGGGCTAATGTAACCCTGATTAGTTTGAGCCAATCAATGCATGGCATTTCCCTGACAACTGTTATGGGTCTAGGAATGGGCAAAACATTTAAGTAGTTTCAGTCAAGCTAAATAGAAGGATTTGCTTGGAGAAGAGAACTTGCTAGAAATGCAAATTTTCAGGTCCTGCTTCAGACCTACTATGATGGGTAGTTTTATGTGTCAACTTGACTAGGCCATGGTACCCAGACATTTGGTCAAACTCCAGTCTAGATATTGCTGTGAAGGTATTTTTTTAATGATTAACATTTAAACAGAAGACTTTGATGAAAACAGATTGCCCTCCATAATGTAGGTGGGCCTGACCCAATCAGTTGATGGCCTTAAGAGAAAAACACTGAGCTCCCCCAAGGAAGAAAAAGTTATGCCTCCAAACTGCCATCGGACTTCAGCTGAAATATCAGCTCTTCCATGGACTTCCAGCATGCCAGTCTTCCCTACACACTTCAGACTTGCTAGCTTCCACAATCTTATGAGCAAATTCCTTAAAATGAGTCTTTCTCTATATATTTACATATATACGGTATCTATCATGCACACATACATCATATTTGCTCTGTTTCTCTAGGGAAACAACTAATAACACTGTTACTAAATTGGAAACTCTGGAGGTGGGGCCCAGAAATCAGTGTTTTAACAAACCAAGCCTTCTAGGAAATTCAGATACACCTAAAGTTTGAGGTCTACTATATTACTTCATCTTTATTGCATCTCATTGACAATTCAGTGGGAGAAGTTTGAAATTATACCTTGGTACATTTGCTAGTATCAATGTAGCTATGATGAAATTGTTTCCCAGAATTCCCTGCATAGATTCAGATTAGTGTAGGCCACAGAGGCCATTTTCATGTAATTTGGAGGGTGGAAGGGGAACAGCAGAATCCTGTTTCACATGCTTTTAAGTTTAGAACAGGGCACGAGGTATTGTTGCAGCTTACCCACGTTGTGGCCTATCTGTTGGACCACCTGCTTGGCCTGAGCAATAGCCAGGCTCATAGAAATTGCATTATCAGATCCTCCTTCTGGTTTTCCAACATCTGGCCCATGTAGAGAGTGGCCAACATATCCTGCAGAGCACTCCTGTGATTGAAACTAGAGGCATGGAGATATTGAGAAATGGAAGCAGCTTCCAGACAGTGTCATGGGTTCTTGCCCATTCCCATAGGTTCTAGTTTGTCCTTGTTTCTTCAACTTCCTTATCCTTCTTCCTTTTGCATGTGCAAACACAACAGTTCCACAAAAAACTGTTTAACCAGCTCCCATAAAGTCAGGCATCTTTAATACATCCCTTAGATCCTATTATATCTCTTTCCAATGGTCTGTTTCTCTGATCAAATCTGACAGATACATAAACAGAACCAGTTACCATTATAGAGACTGTTTTATGTGCAATAAAATAGAAAGACTTATGTATTTTACTTGTAGTAAATTCACACCCTCCATTACCTCAGCTTATGTAGTGTATGTTCTGCCCTTAAATGTTTACAGCACAGCATCTTTTGTCTTCCTTAAAGTCTCTCTTCTGCCCATTTCCTTTTACATTCAGATTTTTTTTCTTGTAGTGCACTACTTTTCTTTTCCCATGCTTTTGTCCATTGTTCTTTGTCCTATTATCTTCAGAGACTGTGAATAATTCTTTCCCTTTCCCTTTATTATGGTGTTTGTTATCCCAAAGATACGGAATTTCCAGTGACCATGACTCCCCTGAGCACTCTCTTTCCTAATAGCATCAATTTATTTTCCCAAGTTTCTTCTACTCTTACCATCTGATCCTCATTTATTTTTATGCCCTTTCTTCTCAATTATGCCACACTTCTATCCTTGTTAAAAAAGATACATTGAGACCACAGAAAAGACCTCAAATATATACAAAGGGATTTAAACATCAATGATTTTATAATTGGTTTATAGTCATTTTAAATGACTGATTTTAAATATTAGTGGAATTTTGCATTTCACTTAAAGAAATTTTAACATGCGTCTGTGTGTGTGTGTGTGTCTGAGTGAGAGAGCGAGACTTGCTGGGGTGCAGTGGCATGAATCTTGGCTCACTGCAATCCCTGCCTTGTGGTCTCAAGTGATACTCCTGCCTCAGCCTTCTGAGTAGCTGGGACTACAGGCATCCACCACCACACCTGGCTAATGTTTTGTACTTTTTTGTAAAGATGCCGTTTCACCATATTGCCCAGGCTGGTCTGAAACTCCAGAGCTCAAGTGATCCACCCACCTCAGCCTCTGAAAGTGCTGGGATTACAGGCGTGAGCCACCGAGCCCAGCCTAACTTTTTATTTCTAATGCATTATCTGGCTTATAATCTAAAATTATTAGTGAATGCCTTTATATTGTTTTTAAAAGTACCTACAGTGTACCTTCTACACTTAGAAATCACTGTATTAGAAAGAAGTTTGCCTATTTAACATGAGTAAGTCAACTGTGGCACAATTCATTTATAATATTTAGCCATTACGGGTGTCTGTAAATTAAGTTCCCAGAATCGCTTTTGTATCATTTTCATAAGCTCTAGTGTTTTCTACATTTTGTAGCCAGTTTTTACTGGTATTGGTAGATGATCTCTTTTATTACATATTGTTCTGAAATACTATTATTCTATAAATTATAGTATACTCTAGCAAAATGTATTATGCTATATATACTATATTATACTATTGTACACTATACCACAAATTAGTTATGTTATAATATAAGACTATATTATGCTATCGTATACTGTACTAAAAATCAAAGTCAGTTTTTTGGCCGAATGACTTAAGGTAATTCATTCCAGTCATTCAGGAAGGCATTAAACTATGTAAATAAGAACTGTCCAATTTTTAATAGTTAGTGTAACCCAATCAGATCATGTACTCAGTTGTATCACATTCATGGCTTTAATTTTAAACATTTTGACAGAATTTTTTAAAACCCAGGTTTAATGGTCATCTTCAATGATAAGAAAACGGAGAGATTTCAGTTACAATAGTGACTCAGTCACTATGTTTGTATGAAAATTAGTCACAGAGATGCTCAAATAACCTTGGTAAATAGTAGATTCAATACTGATTCATAGACATGAATTACAATTTTGACTTTATTATTAAGAATGTGGTTGATTTAAAAAGATCAATGTAAATTGCCTTAAAAATAATTTCTTTGAATCTAAGAATCCATGATATTGTCCACCCTCCACTACACTTGTCATTTCCATAGTGGAGATACACCTCATATTGTGCACACACACACACACACACACACACACACACACAGTAAGTAGTCCTGCTGGGAAATACCTTCCACCATCATTAAAATTCTTTTCACACTGCCACTTGATTTATTTCAGACCTAATTTAATATCTTTCAGAACCCAGATTTATTGGTTCACGTGAATGAATTACAGATTCTGATTAGTTTACTTTTATCTCCAAAAAGCCTATCTATGTCATTTCCAAAAGACTCTTTTTCATATTGTACACAGTCATGTAGAAATGGTATATGTGGTAAGCCATACTTAAATCCCCAGTCAAATAAGGAGGAAAGAAATGGTGCCTCAAGGTCTTGGAATGTCATTATGCGTGCTCAGTAATTCCAAGGACATGTGCTTTTCAATGAATACAAATTACTATGGATAAGAAAAGGCTTATGTAGACTAATTGCTTAAACAAGCAGCAGTTCTGTATTGTTACAGTAGAAAATTTTAATTACAGTGAGAGAAAAAATTGCATAAAGTATTTTGTTATTTATATTTTGCCTGGAAGGTGCTAATTTATTTAAACATAAATAAGCTTATTGAGCCTTCTACTATTTCTATGTGGCTATTTAGGTGTCTGAAACCGTGCTGTGGGTTAGAGGAATTCAGAAAAATAGAAGAAATAATTACATGATACAAGCAAATTCAAAACAAGGTTTTCCCTATTGTCTTGGAATTTCAGCCTAAATCATCAAATGTGAGAACAATGAGTGACTGACACCTTCACCTTTTAAGAGAAGCACTAAACATACTCCCAAAAGACTTACTAAGGTGCGGCCACTCTGCTCTATCAACAAAACTCCTTCCTCATTCAAAATAACACAAGGCTAGAGATTCATTGAGGGAATTGTCTTTGATGACACTGGGAACGTTTAAGACTGTCTGGCATTCTCCCTTTCTTCCTCAAGTGAGCCACAGACAGAATACAGAGTTCTCTGAAGAAGGCAGATTGGAATCTTATGCCCCAGCAGGATATTTGTAGAGAAATTTGTCAACCTGTTCTTTGCTGCCACAAGAGCACAGTGAAAGAATATTTCTGAAAAAAGCTTTCAATATGTCCTTTGGAATTTGTGGAGCATTGAGACTGGTGCTCATGTTTTCCTTTCTCTTGGAGAAGTCAGAAAGCAAAAGGCAGGCTGAAGCAGCATGAATAGGCAGGATGAGGAGACAGGAAAGGAGTAAGGACAGAGTTTGAAGGGGCAGGTAACTGAGTTTTCCTTTAGACTAAAGAAGCCAGACTCTGGTGGTACTAAAAGCACTCTACTACAAAGGCTACATTGGTGGGTACAGTGTCACCACACTTGTGCCTTCAAAGAGAAGCAGTGGAGGGAGAAATGAAGGAGATTAACCAGAAAATATGACACAGTCATCAGAAAATAAACTGTGGCTAGGTGTGGTGGCTCACACCTGTAATCCTAGCACTTAAGGAGGCCAAAATCGGTGGTGGGGTAGATCCCTGGAGCCCAGGAGTTCGAGACCACCCTGGGCAACATGATGAGACTCTTTCTGTACAAAAAAATACAAAAAGTAGCCAGGCCTGGTGGCACGCACCTGTAGTCCCAGCTACTCCAGAAGACTGAGGTGGGAGAATCACCTGTGCTCAGGAGGTTGAGGCTGCAGTGAGCCCAGATTGTGCCACTTTACTCCAGCTTGAGAGACAGAGTGAGATTCTATCTCAAAAAAAAAAAAAAAAACCCAACAATGAATTGTTAGCAGGAAAGAGAGTGGGAGAGTGTTTGCCTAAGAACCCAATAAATGGCACAAAAGAGTCAGCTTGTTGTTTCTGCTACAAGGAAGGAAGAGAAGGTCTAATTACCATAACACCCATCACATAGAGTTTCCTCTAATCACATGGTCCCTTGACTTACAGGATGATGCTTGATAGGCTAGAACCCACCAAAGAATGGTAGATGAGGAAGAACGCAGAGATAACATCAACAACAAAATCAGACCCAGCCTCCCTTCCCATCCCTGCCTACCTATCTCACACCAGGCCTGCTCTGGGGGAGGGGGGAAGGGAGAGATGTGAATTGGATCTGAGATGGAAGTGTGATTAAGTTGGTCCTGGAACTAGATTGAGAAATAGAAGTAGTCAGAGAAGCTGTGGGGTGTGCCTGAAATGCCACCAATTGGAATAGAAGAAGGATCACTGCTCCTGGAAAAAAAGAATCAACAAGGAGGTTATCTGATGCTGCCCCATCAAGTTCAGTTCGTATAATGTCAATTATACCTAAGTATAACCAAAGTTCCCCAGTGCTCATGAAGATGCTGTATAAAACAATTGGCCTTTCATCTCTCATAGGTATCTACAAATACACAACGCAATTTTGAGCATTTTCCTTCACCATATTTAAGTAATGTATACATGAAAACACACATACACACAACCTTTTGACAAGGAATACAAAATTGTGTAGTTTCCAAATTCTTCCAATTATGTACATTAATTATGTGCAGGGTTTTTTTTTTTTTTGTATACGAATTATACCTCAACAAAGCTGGAAAAATTGTGGAGAAATCAGCATTCACACTTCCTGTTATTGTGGTTCACAATCACCTCTAATTTTCCTGAGAGGATAGACAGTTGGATTGATCTGAAAATTTTTCCTGAGAGGATAGACAGTTGGATTGATCTGAAAGAGAAAAGGAAAAAAAGAAATTGAGGAGCCTAGTACAGACCTTAGGCTTTCTTTATTTAAAAATATAATATGATGTAAGTATCAGGTTTTGATAGAGAAAACAAATTATAGAATTAACACTATTGGCTCTTGAGAGTTCTTAATGTGTTCGAGTACTATATTTTACATTTACACAAAAGAAAGACAACACTCATTACCTTAATAATTGTATAATTTTGAGAAAAAAATGTGTAAACAGCCACCAAGACACACACACACACACGTGCACGTGCCCGTGCACACACACACACACACACACACTTTGAGAAGAGTTAAGTTTTTTTAAAAAAAATACGTGTGGTAGCCTAATGATGCAGAGAATCATTACACTAAATGATGCAGAGTAATACATGACTACGACATAGATAAGTTAATCTTTAAACTGAATCCTGAAAGATTAGTAGAAGTCAGCCAAGCATAAAGGGAGCAGAGGGGTTTAGGAATGTGGAGCTCTTTTGAGGTGAGTGAAGAGCATATTTAAAAACACATATCCCAGTAAAAATGGAAATGTGAGTAGCTTGCCCAGTTTCACTGAAACATGGGGTATGTTCAAAGGTTCAAAGAAGGAACAGCAAATTTAAATGGGAGAAATGATCAAGAAGCATGCTTTTTCAAACGTTCAGGGTATGCTTTGAGACAGTGAAAGAGAAGAGCTCAGAAAGCCCTACACTTCAACCAGAGAACTCTGCTTTTATGTTTTACATATAATGCCACCTTCTACATTACGTTTTAATTGAAGTGATCTGCAACTTAAGAAAAACATTAGGATCTATGAATCTTGAACAATAAGAGAAGGTAAATGAATAGACAAAACAAGTAATAATAGAAACAATACCATAAAAAAAGAAGATAAAATATGGTAAGTCATAACCATAAAGGACTTTTAATACTCTTGATCTTCTATGAAACTCTTTTTCCTTGGTGTTTTCTGATTCCTGTCCTCTTATCCCCAAATTGTCTCTTGATATTCTCTTTCTCTGACAACTTTTCTCTAATCCACAACTTAAATATTTGCTCAGAAATTTGTTCTTTTGTGAGCAAAAATGTTTTACTCTATGGTAAATTATCTAGTCTCCATATTTGTCCTCTTCATTAGAGTGGAGGTTCTTTATGAGCAGAAATGTTCTGGTTCACTTTTTTTCCCATTTTCAGGTTACCCTATCCAAGCTGTCTTTGAGAAATGGCATTCACCACTACTATGGCTTAGACTCTTGCTCAGGTTAAATGCCTCCAAGAATGACAAAATGAGATTTAATATTTCTTTCATTTTCCTTTCTGTTGAACGTGTGTGTGTGTGTGTGTGTGTGTGTGTGTGTATATATTTTTTTTTTTTTTTGAAACGGAGTCTTGCTCCGTTGCCCAGGCTGGAGTGTAGTGGCATGATCTGGGCTCACTGCAACCTCCGTTTCCCGGGTTCAAGCGATTCTCCTGCCTCAGACTCCCAAGTAGCTGGGGTTACAGGCGCGGGCTAATTTATTTGTATTTTTAGTACAAACGGGGTTTCACCATGTTGGCCTGGCTAGTGTCAAACTCCTGACCTCAAATGATCCGCCCACCTCAGCCTCCCAAAGTGCTGGGATTACAGGCATGAGTGAACCTGTCTATCTTAATGTCCTATGGCAACCACCAGCTCAAACCCTTTAAAAGTAAACTCATAATCTTTCTTGGTGTTTGCATTGTTTCTCTTCTTTTTTATATTTTCTTAGAGAATACAGACATTTCAGAGATTCTGCACCAAATTTATCTTCCAATTTGGTTCCACTTCTCCAAATTCGTTCATCTCTTGCCTGAACTTCTGAAATAGTGTCCCAGCTCTTCTACAACCAGAATTTCTTTTATCTAGCAATTGACTAATTATGTTTATTTATTCATTCCACGAAGATTAATTGGGCAACTACAGGATTCTAGGAATTCTTTCATGTGCTGGAAAATCAATAATGAATACCTCCAAGCTACTGAAGCATTTCTTTATATGATCACAGTGTAATCTTTGCAAAGCTAATCATGTCAACTCTGTTAAGAACCTGAATCAACTCTGTATTGCAAACAGGCTATGGCTGTGCATGTTATAGAAACCTATTTATGTTAAGGATCCAGTCTATTTTTTAAAAAACCTCTTCTCCAAATTACTCAATTTCTAGCTAACAAAACTTCTGCCCAATCTCCAAGCAATCCTTGTTTTTTTCTGGCCTTTTGTACATGGTCATTTATACTTCTGCTCTTTCCTTCAACTCTGTCTAGGGAATGGCCCAAATTGTAATAACCAGTTTACCATCTTCTCCATAAAAGTAAAATCGGTCAGTTAACCATTTTCTCTGGGTCTTCTTCTGCTTCAGTGCCATCACCAATCATCAAACCCTCTAGATTTTATTTTCTGACTGCACAGCTCAATGCTTTCTTACTGCTAGTAGAAAACAATTCTCTATATACTCCCAAAAACTTACTTTTTTTTAATCTTCCCCATACCTTTTCCTACCCTGCTAATATTCAAATACTACATGCTTATAACAGAATCAAAACATATAAAGACCTAATTTGAATCTTACATTTGGGAAGATTTCTAGAACTATAGACTATTTTACCTTCCTTCTTTTTCAACATAGAATTTCTGAAAGAAAGCAATCCCATATGTTGAACCTATTCAAATTTTAATTATAAGTTAGAAGTAGAATCAGTATTAAATATACAATAAATAAATAATCATTTAGCTGAGTGTGTGACTATTCAGCTCTGTTGCTAAACACATTCTCCTAATTTCTTTAAATAAAGGAAATTTAATGAATGAAATTAAATTGCCCCCATGTAGTGTATACCAGTATTGAATTCATTTGGTCATTCCACAGGTATTCTTTGGATGATTACTATGTGCAAGGCACATTGCTAAGCCAAGGGTATACAGGATTAAATAATAAAAACTCTTTGCTCCTAATATATTCACAGTCTGGTAGAAAATTTAGAAAATAAAATCAGCAAATATAACATAAATTTGTAAGTTCTATGGAAGTCTATATGGCAAACTGTGTAGTCCAGAAACTGAGCTTATAAGAAGGAGGTAGACATGTAGATGGAGAAAAGAATGTTCCACTGAGTAAGGACGGGTGTCTAGCATGTGAAATTACAGAAAAGAATGTAAGTGTCCAAACAGCCCAAGCTAGGTGTGCATGTGAACTTAAATCTGGAGTCCCTCATGAATCGTATGTCTTGAGCTCATGAGTCCATTTTATTGTTGTTTCTCCCACAGTGCATTGAGTAGTAGGTGCTCAGCAAATATTTCTTCAGTGGATTAATAAATAGTTATAAGAACTAATAAGAAGTGACAGTTCTTAAACTATTTGGAAATTCTAATATGTGATACGGACCTACTGTCTGGGACTAAAAATAACAGTGTTTATAAAAATATGTAGTTTTAAATTTGATATATAAGGTTTGCTTGGACACCACAGATTATGACATAAATTTCACAAATGGTGCTGCAACAGAGAATATCAAGATTATTTTACATTCATTGTGAACCAGGAGTTGTTTTTCCTTTTTTTCCAGACAGCATTAGTTAGACAGAACTGATATGGCACAGATGTACACCAGTGCAGAAAAAAATAATTAGTTGGATAAATAAATATATGTTTGTGTAGTGCTATGTGTGTGTGTGTGTGTGTGTGTGTGTGTGTGTATACACACAGATATCTGTATGTGTGTACATATACAGATATCTTTAAATGTAACAACAATAATGTCATTTATTGTAAACCTGATAGAGCAGTAGAGTGATGATGTTGAAGAGCTTGCCACCTCTACAGTTTAGTCTGGAAGCAGTCTTATACTACCAGGCAAAGCTAGCTACGCTCCATATTTTTGTGGACAACTGTGCTACTTTCATTGCTCCACGGTTCTTTAAAACCAAGAAATTCTAAAGAAGCCCACAGGAAAACAGGAAAATGCTTACTATCCCTAGATTGGTTGCTAAGGACGAAGAGTAGAACAGGGTAGAAAGAATACAGATGTTGGGAATCTGTCAGACCCGAGTTAAAACTCTAGATCTAGACTGAGTGACTTTGGGCAAAGTAAAACTCCATTCCTGCATTTCTCCTCAGAAGCCTGAAGAACTCTTACACATCCATAAGATTCAACTTAAGTGACCTCCCTGAAAATCTTAGTGGTTCTAAAATGAAAGTCTTGGCATTTCTCCCACTCTCCATTGCCCACTGCCTCAAAACTGGCTTTCCCAATCAGCAAAAGAACCTACCTTTCACCCAGTTACTCAGGCAACAATGCTGTACATGGGTGCTGCTTTTTCTCTTTTGTTCAGATACCACATCCAATACACTAAGAAGTCCTGCCAGCAATATCGCTGAAATAAATTCTGAATCTGACCACGTCTCATAACCTACCCCACTACTACGTTAGTTCAAATCCCCATCATCGCCTGGACTTTTATAATAACCTCCTATCTCATCTTTCTGCTTCCACTCTGGTCATCTTGCATTTTGTTCTTCATAGGACAGTTAGAAAGTGTACATCTTTTAAAAGTTACATCTTTTAAAGTGTAAACCAGTGTCTCATACCTGTAATCCCAGTACTCTGGGAGGCAGAGGCAGAAGGATTGCTTGAGGACAGGAGTTCAAGACCCTTGCCTGGCAACATATCAAGACGCTTTTTCTACAAAAAATAGAAAAATTATCTGGATATGATGGTGCACACCTGTAGTCCCAGCTACTTAGGAGACTGAGGCAGGAAGACCACTTGAGCCCAGAAGTTCAAGGCTTCAGTGAGCCGTGACTGCATCACTGTATTCCAGAATGGACAACAGAGTGAGACCCTGTCTCAAAAAAAAAAAAAACAAAAAAACAAACCACAGACACACACACACACACACACACACACACACACACACACACATCAGATGATGTCTCTTGCTTACTCAAAATTCTCCAGAGATTTTTCATCCCAATCAGAAAAAAAAAAAAAATTCCTACCAGATCTTGCATGTCCTGCCCTCTGTAAAACTCTCAAAGTTTCCCATGGATCACATCCTCACTCTATCCTCACTGGCTTTCCTGGTGTAACTTGAGCAATGCCAAGCACACCCTAACTGCAGGGCCTTTCCACCACTGTTTCCTCAGATCTCTCCTCAGATCTCCACATGCGCAACACTCAGGTCATGGTTCACAATCTCTTTCTCAGAGAGTCCTTCCTAGACTACCCCCTCAAAGGCAGTCCTCAGAGTAGTCCTCCTTCCTCAACCCTACATCCTGTTACACTGTTAACTCTTCTTATTCCTCCCTAATATTACAATGTATTTATTTATTTATCATATGTCTCCCCTAATGAACAATAAAATCCATGATAGTAGAATTTATGTCTCTTGTTTACTATCTATCGCCAATGCTACTCATAGTGCTTTGTACATGGTAGGTGTTTTATAAATGTTTATTTAATGAATAAGTATCCTCTGAGTTGTTCCCTCATACCCTCTCCAGACACCCACTTTGGTGCTCTCTGTGATATGTGTCCATTGCACCCAGCGCATCTTCTTTTTTCGAGAACTTACAATGAACTTGTTTACTTTTCTATATCCATCACTAGGTTACGTGGTTTTTGGATTCGAAGACCACATCTTTCTTATTCATTATTGTATGCCCGGTGTCGATGCCCAAATCTATTGTATAATAAATGCTCAGTAATATTGTTGAATCAACTAGTGGTTCATCATAATGCCTGTGGCCAATTCAGTACTGAATAAATGGGAGCTATGATAATAATAACAGGTATTCTTATTTTATGCAACTGGAAACTCCTTAACTAGTGCCCGCCTAAAGAGAGGAAAAAACTAATTAAGAAATAAATATAGGTGTGAAAAACAAGCCATTTGTCATTTCTATTTTAATTGTAGAAGGCACAATCAACTTAGTTTAGATTTATCATCCATAAGGTGGTCACTCAGAGGTGAGGAAGATGCCTGCAGTTTATTTCTAGCATGCTGTGAAGTATTTTCCCAGTCAAGGAAAATAACAGGCATTAGTAGCATTGTATTCATTTCTCTTCTCATACCACTGGGCACCAAAAAGAAACATTCTTTTAGTCTAGGGCTATTACAACACACTTACATTCAACACTGGTTTGAATTTAAGCGTGTGTTTATAGAACGCTCTCGACTAAATAGAAAAAAAAAGACAGGTGAATTTCCTTGTGATTGAAAAGCAGTTGCTAAGCCTTTAGGAAAGCTGTCAAGAGATTACACATGATTTTCAAGAGTAGAGATAAGAGATTATCTTAATCCCTAAAAAAGAGCAGAGTCAAGTGACTGTCAAAGAAATGAAGTAAAATCTGAACCATCGGTTCCTCCAACGCAGTATCATTTTGAATTGCTGTTTTAGGTATTCATTGAAAACAATATACTCCTTGGTAAACTATCTGAATTTTGCATTAGGGTATGAAGAATTTGGGGATTTAATTCTTGTACTCTCATGGAAATTTCTAGTAACATAATTTCCTAGAATCCTAGATTCCTGTGTCTGCCCATGCCTCCTGAACAATATAGGTATTCGTTATTAAAATTTGAGGAGCACGAACATTTGGCAGCCTGTTATGTCATTAGAATGTATGTTCAAAAACCCTTTAAGGGTCAAAACCATTTCAATCCAAACGAGGGTAACAGGAATTATTGTGTGTTTATGGTAACAATGAACAGGTGAATGATTTCAGGTCCAGCACCCTCCATTTGCAATTATGACATTTTCTTTCCTATGTGAACACCATCAGAAATCTTTGATTTCTGGCCTCAGACTTCTGAGAATTCTTAGTCACTATCCAGCTTTAGTCATTCAAGAAATTTTCAGAGTGTTTTTCATTTTGAATACATTGGCACACACTCGAAGACTACAAAACAATGTCTTCATGCTAACACCAAAGGATAATTCCTATGAGACCAGCGAGTAGAAGGCAAGTCTTGAATTTGAGACATTTTCTCTAGATCATTTGATCTTTAACATTTCAACTTGAAAATTTGCTTTCAATCTTATTTAAATGTCATGAATTTGGGTGGAATCTTGAAAATATTTAAGTGGTTGATAATGCATTATTTCAATGCAGGTAACACTTTCCAAATAAAGCATTAACTACACCATATGGCAACAGAAATCCTGTGGAAACCACAAAATGTGTGGTTTAGAAATTCATTGATTTCACTGTTTTATTTCTTTTTAGCACATCTCCTTTTCCTCTCCACCCTTTTTTCCAAAGTCTTACCAGTTCACCACATAATCACATGGTTAGTAACTTCAAGCGGTAGTCCACTTGACAGTAAGGTGACAAATGCTTTCAAAATATAATTTGTTTATGTACCTTTCCAAAATGGGTTATTTTGCACACATTTCCAAGAAATAAGTCCAGAATATAGTAGGAGACATTTGATATCTTCAGTATCTATTATTTGATTATCAACAGGCCTTCCTAAAGAATATACGTAAATCTTAAGAAACACATATATGGAATATTTGATGAAACTGTAGTGCACAAGGAATTTGTTAATTACTTCAGCTATTCAAGGGTTCATTTTTTTAGCTATCTGCAGTGTTCCAGGAAAAGATATTCAGATCTTTTATGTATCAATTCATATTCTTGTGCACAGACATACTTGCATATAAAAACAAATATCAAACCTAATTTAAAAAGAAGAAAAGAAGTCTTTTGAATGGTACAATGGTACAATAATAAGATGTGGAAAGTCAGCATTGGTCAGTGTTGTCACATAATGTTATTGTAAATCATGTAAATAAATATAAAATATCTGTTTTGTTGTTGTTTGCCTGTTTTTATTTTCCGGTTTCTGATATAATTAGAAGAAGCTTATTGAAAAAAAATTCTTGAAAACCCTAAAGAGGATAAGAAGGTTGTAACCTGAACATATCAAATCCACTTTCCCCTAAGTTACTACTTTGGAAAGATATTTCCCAGACTATTATTTTCTGAAAGATAATTCCTAAAGCTGTCATTCTTACCTTGGTTTTCCTTTCTCTCTCTCTCTCTCTCTCTCTCTCTCTGTTTCTATCTCTCTCATTGCTAATGGTACTTGGAAGTTAGTTAAAATTCTCAGGGAATAGAAACAATTATTAAATAACTTTAGATACCTGATATGCCTGACATGACCAAATATGCCCTAAATTTATACTTTCTGGGCTCAGATCGAAGTTCAGATCTAAGTTCAAAGCTCTAAACTAGAAGCTTTAGTATTTTTATAGATTCCAAGGGCAAGGCTATGAATTTTTTACTTTTAGATGTATTTTTTTACTGTTTGTAAAAGTCGGATATCATAAATCTGGTAGTTTCAAAAAAGCTGCAGATTTTTCAATAGTGGCCCTTGTATTTCGATTTAAACCAAATGGGACCAAACTTATTACTTCTACTCTGAAAGGTCATTTTTCATCAAGATTGTATTAGAAAATAAATCATTTAAAGCCATCCTTTGGATGGTTCCTTGCATGAATGTCTTAAGAAGAACACGTAATAAGAGCCTCTTTGCAAAGCCAAGCTTATTTGTTAATTCAAAGTGGTCTAAAGCTGCCACCTTCTGGCACTAAGGTGATATTTCAGTAAATTCAGTATGCTGCTGAAGTGCTATGACATTATTACAACAACCCTCACAGTACCTCCATGAATATCAGAAAGAAGTCTGTAAGCACAACAAAGGCAAACTGCCAACATTCTGCATTTATTTGTGTGAAATATTAAAGCACTATTAATAGAAACAGGTTTCAGAAGTAGAACTCTAGGAACCAAGCAAGAATCACAACTTGGTACTTCATCAATGGCCTTCTTTGAGCCTAGTTAACTTAATTCCTTACTGAAGAAGCATAATTTAAACTTCGAAAATACTTATAAATCTAAATCAAAATATTCAGTTATCTTTGTTTACCAAATATTTGAAAGTATAAATTCATATTATTAAAATATTTTAAATGCATTTATCAATGTTTCTGATTATCAAAGGTAAAATGAAGTCTTTTTAATCCTATTGATAATGCAGGACAGATGATAGCTTTTCATTTTGGAATAATCTCTTAGGATAATTAAGGAACAAAGCCCAGAGCCTGAGTAAATGGGTCAACTGTGAAAATCTACCCAGTTCCATGAATGACCACTTTCTTGTTTTTCTGACAAGGCCATTTTCTTCTTCTAATAGTGAAAATAACAGATTAAGAGCTTTATTGTTTTTCCAATTTCCTATCTTTCATATAATGCTTTTCTCTAAGTGAAGGGCAGTAGGGTTAAATATTTAGAATGAATAAACTAGCTCCAAGAAAAGAAACTGGCAACTTCTGTGATGCTGAGTAATTAAACAGACCTACAGAGCCTGCTGGAATTGTAGAACATAAGCAAAGATTAATGAGGCTTGAAAATGTAGAGTCCCATGGTCTCCAAGCAACGTGCAAGGTGTCTCACCTCAGCTTTGTTCACGTTGAACAGCTGCCCATTTTCAAGGCAAGCAAAATTGTATTTGCTCTTGCTTTGATTCAGAAATAGTTTGGTAAAATCTATGACAAAGTATTTAGCTTTTAAAAGTATCCTAAATTACCTTTTTTGTTCCCATCCGTGGTAGCAGACTTTGCTTTCCGCCCTAGACAGCAGATTTTCCATGAGTAGGTGTGGGTATTCTGAGTTCTTTTCCTAGCTTCCATCTTAATCTGGGTGGTCAATGAACAGAATCTTATACAGAGCCCCATTCACTAGGGTGTAACAGTCAAAATAGAAAACAGGTTATGTCTTCATTCTCTTCTCCCACCACTAGGACCAAAGAGAGGTACACTGCTTCTGGTGGTCAGGGAGTTTTGAAGGTTTACAATATCTTTGGTGAAGAAAACAAAGACTGTCATTTAAAAAAAAAAGTTTCTCTCAAATGAGTTCTAAATTCATGGTTGCTGATAATGCCAAATAGTTATTCCAAGAAGACACAGAAAAATTGGTTTAGTCTTATTTTTAGATTAAGGGGGCACAAAATAACTCCATCTGTATCGTCACAGGGGCTTCATTTATTTAATGTATCTTTTTTTGTCATCGGAAGTGGGGGCCTCTTACAGGGACCTCTGAAATGTTTTAGTCCCTTTATATATATATACATTTAAATTAGGATTTTTGTATGTTCAAACTTAGTCTAGGGTTTTGGAATTATCTGTCTCTTTCCCATAAATATTTACTAAACTCAACCACACAAATGTAAAGTTATACAGGCTTTTAGTGCTTTCCTAACGTGGTTAATACTCATATTGAAAATACCATAAATTCTGATTAATGGCAGATACCAACCTATGGACCACATAGTACAAACTCATGAAGAGTAATTGTTTTCTCATGTTATTTCATCTAATTTTAGTGTGTGTTAAGGGTGCCTTCGGAGAGGACTTCACACCCCTACCCCTCGCCATTGTGTATAGACATTTGAAAATTCCTTAACTACATTATCTCTGTGTGTGTGTGTGTGTGTGTGTGTCTCCCCTCCTCTCTTTCTCTCTGAAATCAAGTACAGATTTACCCAGCCAATAAGATTGTATGTTTCATGAAACTGTTAGCAGTCACATATAGTCTGTTGATTTATTATGTATTATGTACAGTATACACTTAATGATATACAGCATGCTCATTTTAAACGTGATCATTCTATGGACATATAGGGGCAAGAATATTGCTTTTGAACTATAAATAATTTCTTTATCAAACATAAGAAGCTAAGCACTTGAAAATAAATGTCCTCCAAATAAAAAGCCTCTTGAATTACTCGTGTTACGGAATGTTGAGACTTCATTCTATGTGGTATTCTCAATCCACCTTTTTAGAGATTTTTTTTTTCCATTAGGAGAGATGACAAAATTCTCTCTCTATCTTTGTGTGTGTCTGTGTGTGTGTTTGTGTGTGTGTGTGTGTGTGTGTGTATGGTAATTAGTTCAGAAACTAAAAATATATATGTAAATAATCACATGATAAATTTACATAAGATAGGTTAGTAAAGGTCATTTAATTTCTTACATTCTTGCTTTTATTCTCTAGAATACCATTTAGTATGCTATACATTTTCTCAGTTCATGTGTTAAACATGCTACTTCAGTTTGCCCATTTAGGAGCAGACTATATTTTATGTTTAAATGAGTAGAAACATTTTAAACACATTTTCATCTAATTTGGTTATCTGGAAGATGTATCTAAGATAAGGAATCCCTTTGAGTTTTAGAAATTTGCAAACATTTATTGACCAAGTACTTCATTAGAAAAACAAGAAAAGTTTCTGAGCAAGCACTTCTAGTGCATGTAAATGTAGTTGCTCATACATGATGTATACTTAGCATTCTGTAAATATATATTCAAAAATTATACACAGAAATGAGAAATGTATAATAGTTGAGAAAATATTATATAATATTTTAGTTATTTTAATTGTTAAGTGACTATTTCAAAAATACTGATTGAGTAAAGTTTTTTTCATTTCAGTTTTTTAAGTTTTTGTAATAGAATAATTCAAATGTCTGAGTTTAAGAATTTATTCTGGTACATAGTTTGACAACTGTCATAATTAGAAAAAGTTATACAGACATGAACAGACAAAAAGCCATCATTGGCTGTTCTTACTTAATTAAGATAGTCATTTATTATTTTTAGAAATAACCTATTTAAAAATTTGCTGTAATATGGCTAGTAAATGGACATCTTTCTTGATATCAATCAGTTGTTCTGAAAAATTACTTATAATAGTTTTTATTTTATATTTTATACAAATATTTGCAAAGTCAAGAAAAACTTTTCATTTGTTTAAACAGATAATAAATTCTATGTTTAAGTGTTTTAATTGTGCACATATGAAAGATTAGTTATAACTTCACGACATTGAACTTAAAATCACCTAAGATCCAAACATTTCCAAGTATCTCTCCTCAAAACTTTCTTTCTGTGGCATAAGTCTTTCCCAGGAAATCATTATCTTTTCATTCATTGTTAACATTTTACATGTAAGTCTGTTTTTAATTTCTGCTAAGATACCATTTTACCAATTGTCATCAAAGACAAAATCAGAAGTTGTATCACTTATTTTTCTAAGCTGTGTATGGTACAAAAGATTTTTATGAAAGCCTTTTTTGTATTACAAAGTGTTTCAAAAGTCTACTATTTAGCAAAGTATAGTGCACTTACTAGAAAACACTTCAACTGCAACATATTGCAGTATGATGCAAGGAAAGGAAAGCATGAGAGTCAGTTCTTCTTGCCCACTCTTCCTCCAGGATTCTGGATGTACTCAACTATGTTATGTGACCATATGACACACTGGCCAATGGGAAGAAGCCAAGGCAACTCAAACAGTAAATATTAGTAATGTTGAATTATGTTTATTTCACCTAAACATCTAATTACATTTATTTCATGTAAATCTAAAGTCTAATATTTCCTTAAAAATCCCAGTAGAACATTTTGCCCACTGAGGAGGAAATCAGATCCTCATAATCAATAAATATTCTGTCTTGCACTCTAAATTTTGAAAATACAACTAACAAGGACATCATTAATGTGTTTTTTTTTTTTTTTTTTGGTACAAGTCCTATGTCTTTAGAGATCTTCAATGATTTACTTTCTAAGACAAACGCTGTATCCCCTTTATAGATCCTGAATCTTTTATGACAAACACTGTGACCTCTTTTAAATGCATGCTGTTAGTTCCCTTTCAAATAGCCCTTTTAGATTTTGCTAATCTCAGAGTCTCGAGTGCATGGTTTGGTTTTGTTTTTTTCTTTACTAAGTGCCATAATCTCAAACTCCACTGTCATTCACTGTGGCCTGCTAACCACAAGGCACATCTTGGAGGATGTCTTAAGTTCTTAAGTGTAGGTGGAAGAACAGTCTGTAAGTGTGATCTGTTAAAAAATAAAAAATAAATAAAATAAAATAAAATAAAATAAAATAAAATAAAAACTAGGTGTGGCAGTTTCACCTCTGGCTGGTGAGCACTCTCCTGCCATCCTGAGCACAGTTCTTATAAACAGGTAAGTCTTGCATTTAAATGATGGGCCTGTGGTATTTTTTCCCCCATGACAACACTATGGTTGCGGGTGCGTTGGGAGTTTCCTCCCTTACTTTGGGATTCACTTTTCTAGAAACTGGTTTAAATAAAGAAACCTTTAAAAATAATATATCTAATTGTGAGTAAAGATTAGTTAAAATAGTCCTTCATTCTCATTAGCTAGGTTACAAGAAAGCTCTTTTAAAAGAATATAATAAAAATTAAAATGTCAATGAGTGGTTCTAAAATCTCAGCCTTGTTCAGTAATTTTGCTATATGCATTTTCCCAGCATGAATGGTGAAAAGGTCATATGTGATTAAAAAAAATCCATCAGAGTGAATATCAGATTTAACACTATAGTAACATGAAGATAAAGATGTATAATTCAGCTGGCAGCCAAGTTTGGTTATTTGATGCTTGCCAACTCCCAGAAACCTTATTTATATTTGGAAGTCCCTACTAAAAGATTCTTCAATGACTTCTATCATCACAACACAAGCATTATTGTACATTTAATGTGATTTTCTGCTGCCTCTTGGAAAAAAATGGAAAGAATTCAAATCAAGAAGTGAAATTATGAGAAAGGTATATAAAATAAAATGGCCAAGCTTTAAAAACTGTTTTTATTGCCCAATAACACTACTAAGAAGACAAGAAAGGTTTAAGTACAATCTATAAGATAGACACATATCAATTATATAAAATGATTACATATTTCAAACAAAAAGAAAACAGACTGTCCTAGAAATTTTTTGTATTTAAAGAGAAAAAATTAGGATCTTCACTGAATGCATTCCACATGCACAATGGACTCGTTCCCCATCACTCAGAATGTGAAGCAAGATGTAATAAGTCCCTGCTTATTCAATCTGTTTCAGGCAAGCATAAACAAGAAAGCAACAAACAGCTAAGGAATTATGGCCAGACTGTATTTTCAGGCTTCTTGAAAATTATTTCACAAAGGACATTAAACATATCACATCCCATAGGAAAAGGAATGGTAGGAATGAGATCTTTGCCCTGTTAATTTCATTTCAAATCTTGTTAAAATTAAAGAGTTAATAAAAGCCTTGGTTTTCAGAACCAAGAAACATCTTAGGGGACATGATATAGCCAAGTTTTATTTCATGATCCCATAATACCCCTCTTGTTGAGTGATTGCCAAGCTGGGGTCAGGTATTATCTTCAGCAGCCTCCGGTGGTTTGCCAAGGCCACATTCACTCAACTTTCAAGAACATTAGGCCTGGGCATACTCCCTCATCTCCTCGATAACATATTTTGGAAAGATATATAAAGTTCAAGGTAATTAAAATAACAAAGAGTAGATTGGCAAGGTACATTTGTTTACTTGTTTTTGTTTTGATTATATACTTGTTCAACTTATAGTAAATTAATTTTCTGAAAATACAAAAAAACTCAAAAAAACCTATATTTTCATGTGTATTCAGCCATATGATAAACTTGTATTTGCTACCCATTGAGAGACTAAGATGGTGCTAGACACTGAAAGACCTAATGAGCAACACATAGTCCCTAACCCAGAGAGTTTTTATTCTAGAATGAGAAACTGACAAGTAAGCAGGGAATTCATAAACATTATAAAGTGTATAATAAAAGACAACTGGGAAATTTAAAAATTTTTTTCAATCAGTTTAGGTTGGGAATGAGGCTAGTAAGAATAGACTTTCTAGTGTAAGTGAGTCTCAGAAGACTTTGCTGAAGGGAATGGAGCAGATGAGAGAAAGAAAGTGTCCCAAATGATACACATTGTTGCTAATGCATCGAACATAGTGCATTGAAGGAATGGGGATGCCAGAGTATTTCAATTTGGCTGGAGGATAGATATTGAGAGGCAAAAAAATAAAACTGAAGAGGTAAGTAAGCACAGGCCCTGAATTGATGTTGTCAAGTTTGCACTTTATCCTGAGAGCAAAGATAAGCCACAACAACTCTCAGTGATGGATATTATTATGTTCATTATAGAAAAAGGAATTTGAGGGAGGCTGAGGCAGGCAGATCACCTGGGGTCAGGAGTTCAAGACCAGCCTGACCAACATGGTGAAACCCTGTCTCTACTAAAAATATAAAAATTAGCCGGGTGTGGTGGTGCGTGCTTGTAATCCCAGTTACTCTGGAGGCCGAGGCAGGAGAGTCGCTTGAACCTGGGAGGTGGAGGTTGCAGTGAGCCGAGATTGCACCATTGCACTCCAGCCTGGGCGACAAGAGTGAAACTCCGTCTCAAAAAAAAAAAAAAAGAAAGAAAGAAAAAAATAACAAATTTGAGATTCAAAGATCATAAAAGATCATATGTGATTTTTGAAGGTAATTTAATGATGTATAAGTTTGGGTTCTGACAAGAAACAGATAGCACACTTGAAGGGTAACTGAGGAGAGTTGAATAAAGGGACTATTGAGGAAGGGACTATTGTTCAGGGTGTAGGGACATCAACAAGGAGTCAAACCAAGTAGGAAGTCCTTATTATTGCTAGGCTTAAAGGGCCAAGGGGAGAGAATAATTATCAAAATGCAGTAAGAAAAAGATGTGTAGAGAAGGCCATGTGACATTCAGTAAAGGGAAGCCTCTTATCCACTGTGCCCAACAGGAAGGGAGCAGGGGCAATAAAATCCTTGATCCCACGTTGCATTGGTTGAATCTAACAAGAAACTAGATGTATTAGTCCGTTTTCCTACTACTATAAAGATACTACCTGAAAGTGGGTCATTTATAAAGGAAAAAGATGTAATTGACTCACAGTTCCACAAGGCTGTGGAGGCTTCAGGAAACTTACAATTACGGGGAAAGGAGAAGCAGGCACCTATTACATGGTGGCAGGTAAGAGAGGTATTGTGTGTGGGAGGAAATGTCAAACATTTATAAAACCATCAGGTCTCGTGAGAACTTACTTAGTATCATGAGAACAGCATGGGGGAAATTGCCCCCATAATCCAATCACCTTCCACCAGGTCCTGCCCTGGACATATGGGAATTATGGGGATTACAATTGGAGATGAGATTTGGGTGAGGACACACAGCCAAACCGTATCACCAGAGGATAAGAGAGCCTTTTGATGCAGTCTGAGGATACAAATCATGGTGGAGAAAGGTGGGGAGAGGATCTAAAGGGGCAAAGAGGACAAGCAGGAAATCAACAGCAAAGCTCAAATTTAAGCATGATCTTCTGTCTCCCAAATCCCAAATCATTAGACATAGTGTAAAAAAAATAAACAAATTATATATTATTATATGTATTTTATTTATATATTATATATATATATAATCAAGCACAATAGTTACTTTTATAGGCCAGTATTCTTTTTCCATTTCTATATAAGTAAAATATATTGGCAGTATGTTAAAATTAATTATTTATTAAAAGAACAGACTTTTAAAATCTAGAATTGTCTGGATAATTAAGAACTGTGGCATAGAATTTGGGCAGTAGAATTTACCTCTATGTTCCCACAAAGAA
This sequence comes from Homo sapiens, assembly GCF_000001405.40. Classification (NCBI taxonomy): domain Eukaryota; kingdom Metazoa; phylum Chordata; class Mammalia; order Primates; family Hominidae; genus Homo; species Homo sapiens. The sequence continues at coordinate 12,648,158 of NC_000009.12, forward strand.
TGCAGTGGTATTAGTGCTGTATGAAATAATAGAAAAGAATAAATGAAAATTCATTTAAAATGCAAATAATTATTAAAATACCTTGAACTTCACAATAAAATATCTAAAATAATTAGGATTCATGCAATTTCACATTCATTTACTTCACTGGTAAACCAACTTACCAGTGTAAAGTGCCTTAAAGAAGAAAAAAAGTTTTATTATTTTTTGTTTCCTTAAAATACTGAAGTATCTTTTGTACTTTCAGTAAATTATGTATTTAATTTCTCATATTCATCTTTGATAAATTTAGCCAAAGTTCTAATTGCACATTTTATTTTCAAAAAAAAAAAAAATACGTAGCCCAATACAATATACTCTAAGAAAATGGAAAGAGGAGAATCATTCTTCATGAAGCATCCTATAGTTATCTTCCAGGAGGAATAACAAAATTGACATACAGAATGTGCATAGAAGCACTTAATGGGAAATAATTTTATTTCTACTGAGGATAAACTAGATTGTTAACATATTCAATTCACCCAACTTCCCCACACCTCCATTTCTTCCTTCAGAATTTGAAGTAGTCAAATTAGATGACCACTCAGATTTATCCAGCTCTGAAATCCTATGATTTCTAGATAATTAAAACAGCCATGTCTGCAATTAATAATACTATACCAATAATACAGGAATGAAGAGCCCTGAGTTCTTCCACTTAGATGCTATTAACAAAAATCAAAACTCTAAGTGAAAATCTATTTGCATGTAAAATAGGGGCAATAATGTAAAATTTCTCATGGAATTATAGGGAGAATTAGATGAAAAATGAATGCACAGTGATTCCAAAAGATAGCTCTGTATAAGAGAAGTAATAAATACCATTCACTCTCTGTGAATCTGTAAGATTGCAATAAACATTCCCTACCCTATTTCTGTAGCTCCTTGCTGATAACAGTTTTTATCTCGCTGAATGCTGCTGCTAGTCCCTCAGGGACTACATTTGCTGAAAAAATTACATGTTTTATGGTTTCTCTCTGTTTGATCAGCATCTTGTTCACTAGAGCAAGAATGAAAAGTATAAACATGGAAATGCTGCTGAGGATAAAATATCAGACTAAAAGAAGCTGCTGTCTTCCTCCCAACTACCTCACCCTTAACTCATTCCAGTGATGTTTTCAAAATGGAGGAGAGTTTACAAATTAGAACTAGTGAAAACCTGTAATAACTTCCTAGGGAAACAAATGTATTTATATTTGAGTCTCATTGTAAGACAGTAATACCCACAGTGGAAGAGGGGTGAGTAATACTGGGAAGCTTCTCCAGGGGAAAATATTTTCAGTTCCATTTTTTTTTCTTTTACCTGCATTTCCCCTAGAGGATCATCATCTGCCCCTTTGCTATAGAACAGGCTGAAAAAATCTTGCTGTATCTGCACTGGTGTGGGAATGAGAGAGAAACCTCAGGTTATACTAATTCCTGCTGGGGTGGCAAGTGAATAAGGGGTGCAGGTATTTCTGATGGCCCTCAGTGGCTCCTTCCACCACCTCTACTCCAGCACACAAATGCAGGTCTCAGTAAACGGTTAAAAAATGGACATTCATCTAAGAGGCAAGGTCTCTAAAGAGAAAGCAAATCAAGACCAATCTCAGATTATACTTCCAGATATTCGCCACTCTGAAGCTCAATTCTTTCCTACTCTTAACTCTGCAGGGGCAGGCAAAGCTAGAACCTAGGTTTCAGCCTTTTGGGAAGGCAATATTAAGTAACGACTATTTACAGGGAAATGTAAGCTCTCAGGGAAAAGCTATAAGATTTCTTACATCAGCAGAGCACAAATATTACAAAAGAAAATAATCATACCAAAAATCATACAAGGGATAAAGCCAAATTTGAGTTCCAAATAAAACAAGAAATTAAAGATACTGAATATTTTCAAAGAGTAACAGAGAATGGTAACATGACTTATGAATAAATGTTTATAAGAAGACAATTGGAAATATATGGTATAAAAACATGTTAATGTGCATAAAGCATCGAAAAGAAGTGTTGAATAACAAACTGAGCACAATGGAAGAATGTATCAATGAGCTGGAAGATCAAATAGTGAAATTTTCCAGGAAGTATTAGGAAGGCATAAAGAGAATATAACGTCAACTTAGGACATAGCCATTTAGACAGGTAAAATAGAAGTGTCAAAATCTGTATAGAGGCAGTCACCAAAATAAAAATAAAGTATAAAGAAGAAATATCTGAAAAAGTATTAACTCAGAAATTTCCAGAATTAAGAAAAATAAAAAAGTAAAATGCCAGGGAGGAGGGAGAAATCCTAAATACTTGTAAGTTGCCAAATAGAATATTTACAAAGAATAAAACCTGAACAAAAATAGTAAAATTTTAAGAATTTCAAAATAGAGAAACGTCTAAACACTTTCAGAAAGAAAGGTAAGGAAAAATAAACAAATTTTCAATACATTTCCAACAGCAATATGGATTGCAAGAAGAAAATGGTGTAAAATCTGCAAGGTACTAAAGGAAAATAACAACAGAGTCAGGATTTTTTGTCTAATTAATGTAGCATTTAAATGCCAGAATAAAATAGACATTCTCAGTTATAAAAGGCTTCAGAATGTTTTCACCAAAAGAACATGTATGAAAACAACCTTAAAATATTTCGGCAAAATAAAGGAATTAATCCCAAAAGATATACTAACAACAAGGATAAATAAATAACTTAGAAGAAAAATGTACCTCATTCTGCATCTGGATCATAGCCAGCTTATAGTAGCCCAACTTACCCTCTTAGGGTTCATTGATCTCTAGGCTTAACTGCACTGCAGTTACTGCTTTGTCAACTAGCCTGATATTACTATGTAATGGGAGTCAATTTAGATCAATAATACTTGGAAAATTTGAGTTACATAGAAATGAATGAAGGGTGTTTACTACATGGGTGATACTCAACAAATGTATTTAACACTTGCAAATTTCACCTTATAAATTTTGATCTGAAAAAATTAATGAAGTATCATCTCTCTAGCTCAATAATAGACACACAGTAGCCATCAGAAAACATCAAGTTCATTTTTTCCCTTCAAATTACCAGTAATATGGGCCTAAGCAAGTGAGAAGCCCACACTGGAGAGCTGCTGAGTCAGATGAGCATGTGCACATTCTAAGAGTACTGTATTGTGTTGATTTTTATCATAAATTATGGTTAAATGCCCCTTCTAGCTATAAGCTGTACTAGAGGCTCTGCTCTAATACTACTCTAGGGTTTCTGCCTCCTTTCTGGTATCTATAAATTTTTGAAAATCCCAAATTTTCCAGTTTATTTAGCTCAACTTTTAGAGGACATACACAGAAACTTATTATTGATATAAAAATGATGTCTTCTGGATAAAATACAGACTTTTTTTTCACAGAACCAAAACAATACATATCAATGATACATAAACATAAATTTACATATGCCCTACTCATGTCAACATTACAAAAAGTGGCAATCATGAACAACCATGTGAATAATTTAGAACATAAAATTTCATTTCAACTATTGCTATTGCTTGAATGTGTCCCTGAAAATTCATGTGTTGGAAACTTAACCCCCAATGCACCAGTGTTGGGAGGTGGGGCCTAATCTCCTCTACCCTCATGAATAGATTAATGCTGCTATAAGAGGGCTTGCAGGAGTGAATTTGCTCTCCTTCACTCTTCTCCCATGTGAGGACACACATGCATCTTCTCTTGCCCTCTGCCTTCCACTCCATGAGGATGCAATAACAAGACCCACACAGGGTGCCGGCACCTTCATCTTGGACTTCTCAGTCTTCATAACTGTGAGAGACCAAATTTCTGTTTCTTATAAATTGTCCAGTCTCAGGTATTCTGTTATAACAGCCCAAATGGACTAAGGCAATATCATGATGGCATACATCTAGTTTCTATTTTTGTTAGTCAATATTTCTTACCTTCAATTTAAAAAAAAACTTCCTATTTTGCTGAAAAGAATTAGAACACTTGGCTTTGGATTTAATCATTATCCCTAGCAATGTTTTAGAGATAGCCAAGTGTTTCACATTTTACAAGCCATACATTTTATGTTTAATTTAATTTTAACATTGATCTGGATTTTAAAATCAGCATTATTAGTCAGAATAATGGGCTTTAGAGGGTAATAAGAAAGAATCATTAAAAAATTGTGAAGGAAATGCTAAGCCATTATTCCGGATCACTGGATGTTTCTTTGCCACTCCCATTGAGTTTGAAATTTTATAGCCTGGAAAAGAGTAGTGAATATGAATTACTGCTAGAGACAAAGCCTAAAGTAAGTTACTGCCTACCCATCAAAAATGATATGACATCTTAAATTTATAGTCAGAGGAAGTTTTCTTTAATCACTTATAATGCTGGTTTTAAAAGATGATATGTATATTTTTAATCATCTATTTTACCACTAGCTGCTAAAGAGACCTTTTATGTTTGTGAAGTGTGCAACCCTCTCTAGAATTTTCTATAGGAGATCTATTCTTAGAACTTTAAATTGTGTGTGTTTTATTATAAATAAATAAATAATAAAGCTTTGTATTTAGAAATAATTTCAAACTTACAAAGAATTTCCAAAAATAGTACAAAGACCATCCATAATCCTTTACCTCAATTCACCCAATGTTAGCATTTTGCCCTATTTGCTTTATAATTTGATCTCTTTCTGTTATATAAAGGAGATGATAAGTCAAATAAGCAACAAGCATCTGAACATTTGCAAAAGTATTGTTTTCTATCAACTTTATCATAAATGATATAAGTCAATGCATCCTCTGGTTTTGTGACAGGTCAGATGCTTCGCTCCAATATCACTCTAGGAACTGTTCCTTTTTCTGCTTCTTACTTCACTCAGTAATCTCCTTTATACAAGTTTTTCTCGTGTATAGAATCAGGCCTTGGATCAGTTATCATATCTTTATAGCTTCCTTTAATCAGAATAGTTTCTTAGCCTTTCTATGTCTTACATGACATTGAATTTTTTTGCTGACTAATCTTTACCATACCTCCTTTCTAAATAGAATGTTCCTCTTTTTGTCTGTCTGATGTTTTCTTATAATTAGATTCAAGTTATGCTTTCCCATCTGGAATACAACATAAATGATGCTGCATCCTTCTCATGGTATTATATGTAAAGGTGCATTAAGTTCATCTGCCCCTATTTGTGGAATTAGTTTTGATTACCTGCACCAAGTGCTCCCTTATTCTTCCACTGTATAGTATTTTTTTATTGCTACTAATAAGGAATCAGTGGGGAAATACTTTAAGACCAAAGAAATATTCAATTCTTCATCAAAATTTCTATCTCAGATTCAACATTTATTATTGATTCTTACCTGATACAATCTTTACTGTAATGATTACAAAAAGGGGATATTCCACCACTTCTGCCATATTTAACAGTCAATACTTGGCATGTTACTATAAACAAGATATTCAATTCTTCCTTCTTTCAATTTCTTTTTAATCTATTTATTATTGATATGGAGTCATAGATCCCTATTTTTTCCAATCCTTTGTCATCCATTACTCTCCTTATTTTGGCACTCAAATTGTCCTTGATTTGGAAAGTAGAAGCCCCTTTAAGGTGACTCCAACGTCTGTGTGACAGAACCCATCATTGTGTTTAGCACTTTCATTTTTAGCACTTTCTTGCTTTCTGGCGTAACGCAATATTCTAGGCTCATCGTCCCTGCCCCAACCCTGTACTCAGTAATATTTCAAGGAGCCCTGATTTCTTTTATTGGAATGAGGTAGTAGAAACCAAGATCTGGGTCCTACATGTGTTTATCAATACCTGGGTGCCTTGTTTGTAAGCCTTTTCAGTGGACAGTTAGGAAACATGGCCTGTTTATACAGCCATGCGTATGTCAACACACATAAATGCATAAACACACACAAATATATACACATATAACTGAACATACATGTATACGTGAATATTTTAGAAATCAACAGTCCATTCTACTTCCTCCTATTCCAACCCATTCCCATGTGTTAATTCTTGGCATCCCCATTTTACATATTTTTCTCTATTTTATAAATTTATTTGCATAAAGCTCACACATTTCTTATCCCAGGTATCCATTTCCTTTGTTTCCCTTTTCTCCTACTTCAGAACCATGTGCCTTGATAGTCTCTTAGTTCTCTGAGCTTCACTGTACTCATTTGTGAAATAGGCATGAAAATAATTCCCACTTTTAGAGATGTTGTGAAGAGTAAATGACACAGAGACTTTAACACAATATCTGATGCGGAAAGAATTTAATAACTGATTAGTCAGAAAAAAAAGAGAAGCTGTATACTCAAAATTCTTGGTGGTAATAGTCGTGATAGTAGTAGCAATAGAATTAAAACTTTCCTTTATTTAAAAAATCAATCTATTCTACTGATTACGTATATACTTAGGCCTGACTTCATAGCATAACAATCCATTTCAAATGTATTCAATTTTAAGTTTATTCAAAAATCACTCACTAAGCTTAATATTTTCTAGGTGTTGGATTTAAACATATAAATAATACACACCACTTGCCTTTGAGTAGTTTATAATAGAATATGCAGATGCAAACAGACGAAATAGTTATGAAGACAAATTACTATAAAGGAAATATGCTGCACAGAAGGATGGGGATCAGGGAGATTGTGTTAGAACTGAAAATAAAGTATTGATTACTATGAGCAGAATCCAGATTGTTTCTATAATACCTATAAAAATAGTTGCTATGGAAAATTAAAGGGCATTTTATAATACAATATTGTTATTTTCCTAATTCTAAAATTCCTCTGAAATTATTGTGTGGAAATATTCTCTAATAATTTTTTCTCCCTCAAGAAAATGTTTCCCCCTTCGTGGCCTAGAAAATAAAATTCTAAATACATTTCCTGGTATTCAACAATTGTCTGCCATTTAACAATCAACTTAGGGTTTACGACTTCCTTTTACGAAATTTATACTTCACTCAAACTGAAAGTGACTATTCTCTTCACAAACTTAAATTTTTCTTGCATCATTTGTTGCTTATTCTGTTCTCTTTTCCCTTTCCTTCCATGTCTCGTATTATTTAAAGTCACTTAAAGTGACTTAGGAGATGAAAGGACATGAATATGCATATCAAAAATAATTTAGTGGAAAAGGCAGACATGGAATGGAAATGAGCATAAGATATCAACAGTTCCCATGCCATTTATTAAAAACTGAGACCAAGAAATCATTTATTTTTATGCCTTAATTTATCAATTTTATGCTTCTTTATTTTCTTGTCTTTCTTCTTTCCTTCTTTCCTTTCTTTTTCTGTTTATTTTTCATTTTACTTTTTTACTCTTCTAAGTATTAATCCAATAAATATTTATTGATTTTACATTGTATACCAGATACTGTTCCACATAATGTTATAGGCAGGAAAATATTCTGGTAAAGAGGTAAAAAAAATCCTTGTGCATATAACTTTTACTCAGTGGGTTTCGTTAATTTCTAGGCAATTGTTTACATACTGAGAGATATGAATAAATAAATAAACAAAACAGTTATATGATATGATGACAGAATATTGTAAGTCCTCCAGAGAAAAAATAATTCCCAATAGGAATGGAAAAGAGTGAATATCTAGAAAAGGTGTGTAGCCACATTCTTTCTGAAGGATGACAGGTGAGAGACCTGAGAATATCCAGGAAAAGGGCGTTTCAGATATGCCAAGGGCTTAACAAGAAGGTCCATCTGGAGTCACTGAAGAAAAGAATGTAGGCCTTGCTAGGCCAATATTCAAATTTGGATTTTCTTCTAGGTGAAATTAGAAGCTATTGGAGAATTTTAGAGAGCCAATGTAATCAGTTAAGTTTTTAATACATAATTCAGGCCATTATTTGGAGAATAGATTGTAGATAAGCAGCATTTTAATAAGCAGGCTCTTTCTGTCATCTGGCAGAAAAGTGATGGTAACATTGACTAGAGTCGATGGCATGGGCATGAACTAGGTTAGTGGGCTAGGAGGTTGCGAGAAGAAATTGAATTTGAGAATATCTGGGATGGTGGTGAATTACAGGATATTTTGAAGCACTGGATCTGAAATTGAGCAAGAAAAGAGTCAAGTGTTAATTTCAAATCTGTTGGTTTGCACCATTTTCTAAATAGAGTACTCAGTAAGTACGTAGTAACTAAATAACTCATTTTCACTCATTGGTAGGAGTGGTGTTAGATTTATTATTAAAATACCAATATGATTTGCAAATAAGTAATACATTTAATTTTGGTAAATGTTTGGAATGCCTTATAAAGTATCATGTCCTGAGATTTTCTTTGAAGCCTACAGAAATATATATATTCCATAAAATGAAAAAGTAGAGTTGGTAATATTAGGGGAAAGTTAGATAATTTTAGAGTAATACTCACAAAGTTATAATTTTAACTGTTTCTTTGTGGGAAAGGTTTTTACTGCTCCAAGTATAGCAAGAAGAAAAGAAATAAACTCTGCCCCTGACCTTCATCTCTATTGTGTTTGGAAGTTGTGTAATATGCTCTCTGAATTTGAATTGTGACAGCCAGCACATAGCTCCCTAGATACCCCTAAAACCAATTAAGAAAAGATTATGCTTCTATTCCTCCAGTATATGCACTCATTGGGAGAACTGATTTTCCCTTTTGCCCCAGTGACATAAAACTTCTCATAGTCCCCAGCCTTTCCTTCTGCTTTTTTGCCTTTACTTCAACTTAGTTTTCATTCTAAACATTATTATCCTCCAAGATTGGCTTCAGTAAGTTTATTCCATACTTTTATAGCAATCTGTGATTAGCTATATTATTGCACAATAGAAGTAGGGTGGAGTGGAGGGAGTTGACTCTCTTGTTGGGGGTACCTCTATGGTTTGCTTCCCTAGTTCCCTGGGCTTGCCCCTTGCAGCCTCTCCTAATATGGCCACTAGGAGAGTTGAATCAATTCTAAAATGTCGGCAAAGGTCCAGATTACTCTGCAAGGCAAAGAAGGCCTGCACATATGAGACCTCGGTCCATTTGCCCTCACATTTACAGAAAACGTCCCATTACAGAAAAAGTCCAATACTGCAGAATGGTATTGAAATTCATGCTTTCTTCCTGAAGCCATGCTTCTTTTCTGTGCCTCAAGGTTCTTGGCACTAAGTTGGCAACCAAGGAAACGACAAGAGCATTTTCAACACATATTTATATACAGATACCAAGGCACACTTTCCTTTTGTCTGTGCCACTCTTAACCTTCCATTTTATACTTTTGATGACTAAGCCAAATTCTCATTCAACCCAGTAGTATTATCTCTGTGGTTTGCAACAATACCCTTAACAGTGTATATAAAAAAGAGATAGGAATCATTACAGCCACAAAAGAAAGGATGATAGGAACAACTAGGTCCTAGTGATGACATCCTAATGGGTGGTCGAGAACTAAAGTTATTCCAGGGGTCTTTGGATAACACCAAGTTGTAGCCTCAGCCAGATACACTCCCTTGCCCCAGAACTTCCTTCCAACCCCACCCAATGGCTAGATCTCCATGAAGGGAAACTGGATTGGAACAAAGGCAACATTCCCAACACCCAGGGTTGATGGGGGATTCACAGTGTCCTCCCTAGTGACCCCATGCCTTAAGTCTGGCAGCCATGCTAGTCACTTTTAAATGACTGACAGAGGGCTGGCATTTATTTATTTATTTATTCATTTTTTACTACTGTGGAGTTTAGGGGCTCTAAAAAAAAGAACAAAGAGCAAGTCCACTTTTACTCACTCTTTGCAGATCCTGGACGAGCCCTGTGAAATGTTACGGAATCCTTGGAGTGTTGTTTTTCCAGCTAGAAACCACTGTGGGCAGTGGCACCTTTGCCCCCGTTTTGCTCAGGCCCTCTGGGCTCATTTTGCCTACTCGGCTTGGCAGCCTGCACTGGCCTCACTCTCCCAGCCTGGATCCCATGCTTTCCAAGGGCAAGCAGAGTGGTGAGGGGTGTGTGAGCAAGCAAACATGAGTTCTGGCCACTGCTTACAGCCAGGCATGATGGCTGCAATGGGACAGGCAGCTCCAGGCACAGACAGAGGTGCCAGTTCCCTGTGAGTCCTTGCTCTCCTGTTGTCTCTTCAGCTCTCAGCAGAGGGGAGACCCCGGGGTGGGTAGCTACTTTCTGCAGCTTGCTGTCCCGTCATCTCCTCAGCTCTCAGTAGAGAGGAGAGCCTTTGGTGGGTAGGTCTTCTCTGCAGCCTGTCATCCTGTCATCTCCTCAAGTCTGACTGAATCTGGAGCTTATATGGGCCTCAGAGGGGAGGAGGTGTGCGCTGATAGGTCCAGGGCAGGCATAAGCAGGCTTGGAGAAAACACCACAAGTTTCCACTCTGGTCTGTGGGACCAACAACCCAGCTTCCAGGTTTCAGGCCCTCCCCAGCTTAAAGGTGGGGCTCCACCAGGCACCCGCCCTCTTCTGCCAAGGAGCCTGTCTGCTTCCTGATGCCCTTAATGACACCCAGGCCGTTTATGCCAAAGGGTGGGTCAGGCCAGCGCCAAGCTGCCCTCAACACCCCCGCCTTGGCCTCCCTCTCGTGTTTGTTGCCACCCAAATCTGGAGGGGGCTGAGGCAGCAGGGGCTGGAGTGTCAGTGCTGCCCTGAGCATACACCAGCCTGTCCAGGCTGCAACAGCGCCTGGGGTCAGCCCCAATCTTGCTCTGAGATCAGAGCAGGTGCTGGGAGTTGGGAGAGGCCCAACAGCGGGAGCAGGCACTTCCAAGCCTGTAGGGGCAGCCTGGGCCTTCCAGGGCCCCTGATCATGCAGAGGTCCCTGGGTCCACAACCACAGCTGGGTGGCTGCAGTTGTGCCCAGCAGGGTGGGGCTCCTGACTGCTCCGGGCCCCCAAGAGTACTGGGATACCTGACTCTGCAGCTCCAGCTGGGTGGCTGCATCTGTGCCGGGGGAGTGTGAAGTTCCCTCCCTGTCAGCTCTGAAGGGGGCAGGGCTTCCCCCTGTCCCTGGCTCCCGCTGGCTCCATGGAATGCACAACCCCAGCCATGCCTTCCCCACTGCAGCTGGTGTCATGGCAGCTTCTGCTCTAGATGGACCACTGCTGCCATCAGTACTACCTGTGAAGTCCCAGTGGTGGTGGCCACACTAGGATTGCACTAGGTCAGACCTGATGCTAATGCAGCACTGGGCCTTACCCAAGTGGGGTGCAGTGCTTGTGTCACCCCACTGCAAGCCCAAGGTGACTCAGCAAGGAGAGGCAGACTCCATTTGTTGGGAAGAAAGTAAGGGAAGAGAACAAGTCCGTACCTGGCAATTCAGAGAATTCTTCTGGATTTTATCCAAGAACACCAACACACTACCTCTATGACTGCGAGAACCACCGCATTAGTGGCATTGGGGTGCCGCCTAATGTAGATACAGTTTAGGTGGCAGCACCCAAGTTCTTTTAAATACCTGAAATCCTTTCCAAACAAGCCCCGACTGTGAAGACTATAAGAAATACCTAACTACTCAATGCCCAGACACTGATAACATCTACAGGCATCAAGGCCATCCAGGAAAACATGACATCATTAAACGAACTAAATAAGGTGCCAAGGATCAATCCTGGAGAAAGAGAGATATGTGAGCTTTCAGGCAGAGATTTCAAAAGAATTGTTCTGAGAAAACTCAAAGAAATTTGAGCTAACACAGAGAAGAAATTAATAATTCTATCAGATAAATTTAACAGAGATTGGAATAATTTAAAGGATTCAATCAGAAATTCTGGAGCCAAAAATGCAATTGGCATATTGAAGAATGCATCAGAGTCTTACAATAGCAGAATCGATTAAGTGGAAGAAAGAATTAATGAGCTTAAAGACAGATTATTTGAAAATACAAAGTCAGAGCAGACAAAAGAAAAAAAGAGTTTAAAAAATGAAACATGACTACACAATCAAGAAAATTGCCTCAAAAGAACAAATCTAAGAGCTACTGGCCTTGGAGAGGAGGTAGAGAAAAAGACAGGGGAAGAAAATTTATTCAAGGGAATAGTAACAGATAAATTACCAAACCTAGAGGATTACATCAAAATCCAAGTACAAAAAGGTTATAGAATACCAAAGAGATTTAACCCTAACAAGACTACCTCATGGCATTTAATGATCAAACTTGAAAATGTTGAGAGGATCCTAAAGCAGCAAGAGGAAAGAAACAACATACAAAGGAACTCCAATATGTCTGGCAACAGACTTTTCAGTGGAAACCTCATAGTCCAGAAAAGAGTGGTATGACATATTTAATGTACAGAAGGAAAAATAGCCTTTAGCATAAATAGTGTATTTGGTGAAAATGTCTTTCAAACAGGAAGGAGAAATAAAGACCTTCCCAGACAATCAAAAGCTGAGGTATTTCACCAACAGCAGGCCTGCTCTACAAGAAATCCTAAAGGTAGTTCTTCAATCTGAAAGAAAAGGATGTTAAAAAGAAAGAAAAAATCATGTGTAGGTACAAAATTCATTGGTAATAGTAAGCACACAGTAAAACAGGATACTATAACACTGTAACTGTGGTGTGTAAACTACTCTTACCTAAGTAGGAAGACTATAAGATGAACCAATCAAATATAATAACAACTTTTCAAAACATACACAGTAAAATAGAAACAACAAAAAATTAAAAAGAAGAAGAACAAATTTAAAGTGTAAAGTTTTTAATTAGCTTTCTTTTTGCTTGTTATTTTGTTTGGTTATGCAAGTAGTGTTAAGTAGCTACCAGCCTAAAATGATGCCTTGTAAAATGGTATTTGCAAGTCTCATGGTATTCTCAAATCAAAAAACATACAATGGATACACACTCACAAAAACAACAACCAAAAAAAACCCCAAAATCCCAAGTAATTAAATCATTTCACCAGAGAAAATCACCTTCACTGAAAGAAAAAAGGGAAGGCAGGACAGAGAGAAGAGAAGATGAGAAAAACAACCAGAAAACAAAATGGCAGGAGAAAGTCCTTACTTATCAATAATAATATTGAATGGAAATGAACTAAACTCACCAACAAAAATATATAGAGTCGCTGAATAAATTAAAAAAAACAAGACCCAATGATCTGTTGCCTACAAAAATGCATTTCACCTATAAAGTTACACATAGACTGAAAAAGAAATAGAAAAAGATATTCCATGCCAATGGAAACCAAAAAAGAGCAAGGATTTCTATACATATGTCAGAAAAAAATAGATTTCAAGACAAAAACTGTAAGAAGAGACAAGAAAGGTCATTATATAATGATAAAGGGGTCAATTCAGCAAGATGATATAACAATTGTAAATATATGTGCCCAACACCGGAGCACCTAGATATATAAAACAAATATTATTAAAGCTAAAGAAAGAGACAGACCTCAATACAATAATAGCTGGATATTTCAACATCCCACTTTCAGCATTAGGATGATGCCTTAGACAGAAAATCAACATAGAAATATCAGACTTAATCTGTACTGTAGACCAAATGGACTTAATAGATATTTACAGAACATTTCACCCAATGGTTGCATAATACATATTCTTCTCCTCAGTACATGGATTATTCTCAAGGATAGACCATATGTTAGGTAACAAAATAAGACTTAAAATATTCAAAAAATTTGAAATAATATCAAGCATCTTCTCTGATCATGTGGAATAAAACTAGAAACCAATAACAAGAGCAATTTTGGAAATTATGCAAACATTTGGATTTTAACAATATGCTCATGAATGACCAGTAGGTCAATGAAGAAATTAAGAAGGAAACTGAAAATATTATTGAAACAAATTATAATGAAAACACTACAGACCAAAACCTATGGGATATAGTAAAAACAGTACTAAGAGAGAAATATTTAGCTTATAGCTAAAAATATATCAAAAAAGAAGAAATAATTCGAATAAATAACCCAGAGATACAGCTTGAGGAATTAGAAAATCAAGAGCAAACTGAAACTAAAATTAGTAGAAGAAAATAAATAATAAAGATTATTATTATAAAGATAAATGAAATTGAGATGAAGATAGCAATACAAAAGATCAATGAAACAAAAAATTGGTTTCTTTGACAAGATAAATTAAACTGACAAACCATTATCCAGAGTAATTAAGAAAAAAAAAGAGAGAAGACCTGAATAAATAAAATCAGAGATTAAAAAAAGGGAGACATAACAACAAATACCACAGAAATTTAAAGGATCATTAGTGGCTATCATGAGCAACTAAATTGAAATGAATTGTAAAATCTGAAAGAAATGGATAAATTCCTAGACACATTCAATCTATCAATATTGAACCGTGAAAAAACCCAAAACTTGAACAGATTAAAAAAAGGTAATGAGATCAAAGCTATAATGAAAAGTCTCCTACTAAAGAAAAGCCTGAAACCTGATGGCTTTACTGTTGAATTGTATCAAACATTTAAAGAGAAACTAATATGTATTCTACTCAAACTATTCCAAAAAATAGAGAAGAGAATACTTCCAAACTATTTCTATGAGGCCATTGTTACCCTAATACCAAAACCAAAGACACATTACAAAAAACTACAGGGCAATATTACTGATGAATGTTGATGCAAATATTAACAAAATACTAGCAAATTAAATTAAACAACACATTAAAAAGATTATTCATCATGACCATGTGGGGTTTTTCCCAGGGATGCGGGATGATTCGACATATACAATTTAATCAATGTGATACATCATATCAAAAGAATGAAGGACAAAAGTAATATGATCATTTCAATTCACACTGAAAAATCATTCAACAAAATTAAATATCCCTTCATGATAAAAACACTTAAGAAACAGGGTATAGAAGAAACATAACATAATAAAGGCCATCTGACATACTCATAGCTAGTATCATATTGAATAGGTAAAAACTGATGGCCTTCCTTCTAAGATCTAGAATATGGCAAGAACGCCCACTGTCATCACTGTTATTCAACATAGTACTGGATGTCCAAGCTACAGTAATCAGACAAGAGAAAGAAATAAAGAACATCCAAATTGAAAAGAAAAAGTCAAATTATTCTTCTTTGCAAATGATATGATCTTACATTTGAAAAAATCTAAAGTTTTCACCAAAAGACTATCAGAACTGATAAATTCAGTAAAGTTTCAGGATACAAAATAAACCTACAAAAATCAGAAGTATTTCTATATCACAGCAGTCAACAACCTAAAAAGAATTTAAGAAAGTAATCCCATTTACAATATCTACAAATAAAATAAAATGCCTGAAAAGTAACCAAAGAAGTGAAAGCTCACTACAATAAAATCTCTAAAACATTGATGCAATAAATAGAAGAAGACACACACAAAAATTGAAAGGTATCCAATGTCCACAGATTGGAAAAATCAATATTGTTAAAACATCCATGTTACACAGTGCAATCGACATTCAGTGCAATCCCTATCAAAATACTAATAACATTCTTCACAGAAACAAAAAAAAATCTTAAAATTTAGATGGAATCACAAAAGACCCAGAATAGCCAAAGTTATCCTTCCCAAAATGAACAAAACTGGAACACTCATTACTTGAGTGTAAATTATACTACAGAGCTCTAGTAACCAAAAGAGTATGGTGCTGGCACAAAAACAGACAGCAGTGGAACAGAATTGAGATCCCAGAAATAAATCCATGCGTCTACAGTTAGCTGATTTTTGACAAAAGTGCCAAGAATATACATTGAGAAAGGACAGTCTCTTCAATAAATAGTGCTGGGAAAACTAATATCCATATGCAGAAGAATGAAACTAGACCCCTGTCACTCACCACATGCAAAAATCAAATCAAAATGAATTAAAGACTTAAACCTATGACCTCAATCTATGAAACTACTAAAGGAAAACTTTGGAGAAACTCTGTAGGACATTGGAATGCGTAATGATTTCTAATACCTCACAAGCACAGGCAACCAAAGCAAAAATGGACATATGGACACATCAAGTTAAAAACCTTCTGCATAGCAAAGGAAAAACTCAACAAAGTGAAGAGACAGCCCACAGAATGGAGCTCCCCATCTGACAAGGGATTAATAACCAGAATATGTAAGGAACTCAAAAAACTCTACAGCAAAAAAAATCTAATAATCTGATTTTTAAATGGCAAAAGATTTGTATAAACATTTGTCAAAAGAAGACATCCAAATGGCAAACCAGCATATAAAAAGGTGCTCAACATCACTGATCATCAGAGAAAGGCAAATCAAAACTACTATGAGATATCATCTCACTCCTGTTATAATATTTTTTTACCCAAAAGTCAGGCGATAAATGCTGGCAAGGATATGGAGAAAAGGGAATCCTTTTACATTACTGGTGGGACCACTGCTACTTGTATACTTGTACGTTGTTAGTACAACCACTATGGAGAACAGTTTGGAGGGTCCTCAAAAAACTAAAAATTGAGCTACCATATGACCCAGCAATTCCACTGCTAGGTATATGCCCCAAAGGAAGAAAAACAGTATATATTAAGAGATGTCTTCACTCCTATGTTTGTTGCAGCACTGTTTGCAATACCTAAAATTTTGAAGCAATCTAAGTGTTCATCAAAAGATGAATGGATAAAGAAAATGTGGTACATATACACAATGCAGTACTATTTAGCCATTAAAAAGAATGTGATCCAGTTATTTGCAACAACATGGTTAGAACTTGAATCATTATGTGAAGTGAAATAAGCCAGGCACAGAAAGACAAACATCACGTATTCTCATTTATTCGTGGGATCTATAAATCAAAACAATTGAACTCATGAACATAAAGTAGAAGGATGGTTACCAGAGGCTGAGAAGAATAGTGAGAAGCTGGGAATTAGGGGGTGAGAATGGTTAACGGGTACAAAAAATAGTTAGAAATAATGAATAAGACCTAGTATTTGCAAACACAAGGTAATTATAGTCTAAAATAATTTGATTCCACATTTTAAAAAGAGTATAATTGGATTATTTGTAAACAAAGGGTAAATGCTTGAGAAGATGGATACACCATTTACCCTGATGTGATTATTACATATTGCATACCTGTGCCAAAATATCTCATGTAACCCATAAGTATGTACAATTATTATGTACCCACAAAAATTAAAAATTAATAAAAAAGATCCATTTGCACAAGCAAAAAATGCATAATAAATGTAAAGTTCGTTTAGCATTAAAAAGTACATCATTGATTTCATAAATGTAATTACTTATTAGGTAACAATAACAAATAATACAACTTCTGCTAAATAAAACATGGTTGAATTTCAAAAATATATGTTTGTTAGGCAAAAGAGTACAGAACACTCTCTCTCTCTCTCTCTTTTTTTTTTTTTTTTTTTGAGATAGTCTCGCTCTGTTCCCCAGGCTGGAGTGAAGCGGCATGATCTCGGCTCATTGCAACCTCCGCCTCCCAGGTTCAAAGGATCCTTCTGCCTCAGCCTCCCAAGCAGCTGGGATTACAGGCATGCGCCACCACACCCGGCTATTTATTATTATTATTATTATTACTATTATTATTATTATTATTTGTATTTGTATTTTTATAGAGGTGGGGTTTCACCATGTTGGCCAGGCTGGTCTTGAACTCCTGACCTCAAGTAATCCTCCCACCTCGGCCTCCGGAAGTGCTAGGATTACAAGCGTGAGCCACCACGCCTGGTCCAGAATGCTCTCAAGGTGGAAAAGCATTTTAACTAGAAACAGACATGTGGGAACCTTTGGGATGCTGGAAATATTCTGTATATTACTCTCATAGTTGTTACATGAGTGACTAGATATGGAAAAACTCATCAAGTTGTACACTTAACATCTAGGAATTTTACTATTCTAAAATTTTGTATTTCAATTTTAAAAATCCTGTGAATGGGTTGGTAGAAGAAGACAATTCATCCCTTTGAGCCATGACTGTATTACACAGACTGTCTTAATTGCACTTTCATCCTGTATTGCCAATATTAAATCGTATGCATATTTTCAACTCTTTATTATTTATCTTAGAAGAACAGAGCACCAGATCCTAAGATTCTATTATAGTATCCTCAGTATCTAACTCATTGCCTGGCATGAAATCTACATAAACAACAAACGTAAAAGGTGATTGTGAGGAATACATATTATAGATTTGGATAATAATCCAGAAAGATACAATCCCAAATGCCATAATTCCAAATGTTGAAATCCTGAATCATCAAAATTTCTAATGTTAAAAATTCCTAAAGTCTAAAACTCTTTTGTCTGAAATCCCTAACATCTAAATTTCTGAAAATAACACCACAAGGTACTTGCATCATGTTACGCGCAATTATTACTTTGTTATTGCCTTTGTGTAGAAGAAAATTATTTTCAGTTGAATCTCCAAACTAGATAATGACAAATCTGGAATTCGATACAATCAAGGCTTCTAAAAGTGAATTTTAAGGTGTTACCAATAAAGTTCGACTTTGCCATTCAGCCCAAGGCATTTGGCTGAAAATTCAGACGAGTGGATTGGCCACATGATACAGCAACCACAAAAACTTCACCTTGCCAGCATTGGCAATACTTCTAGCTGATGACATTTCAGGAACTTTTAATGAATTGAAGCTGCATATGCCTGAAGCCCCTGCAGCCACTGACCGGTTAGAAAATAATTATGCAAATAGTAAGATAAGAAGAAAATTATGTAAGTGTGTTACTGTTTTATCACCAGTATTGTTTTCACCAAACTTGTGGTCTGTATATGAATGCATGCAGAATGGATTTCCTTGTGCTACAAACAACATAGAAACATGGCACAGAAGATGGGAAAATGCAATAAGGAATGCCCATGTTGGTATGTGGGGGGAATCATGGAATAATTGCTAAAAGAGCAGCGCCACATAGTGTATGAATGTGAAAGTGTTACCGAAAAGAGGTTCCAATTCAGACCCCAAGAGAGGGCCCTTGGATCTCACACAAGAAACAATTCAGAGTGAGTTCAAAGAGTAAAGTGAAAGCAGGTTTATTAAGAAAGTAAAGGAATGAAAGAATGGCTACTTCATAGACAGAGCAGCCCCAAGGGCTGCTGGTTGCCCATTTTTAATGGGTATTTCTTGATGGTATGCTAAACAAGGGGTGGTTTATTCATGCCTCCCCTTTTTAGACCATGTGGGGTAACTTCCTGACGTTGCCATGGCACCTGTAAACTATTATGGCACTGGTGGGAGTGTAGCAATGAGGACGACTAGGGGTCACTCTCGTGGTCATCTTGGTTTTGGTGGGTTTTAGCTGGCTTCTTTACTGCAACCAGTTTTATCAGCAAGATCTTTATGACCTATATTTTATGCTGACCTCCTATCTCATCTTGTGACTTAGAATGCCTTAACCTTCTTGGGAACGCAGCCCAGCAGGTCTTAGCCTTATTTTACCCAGCTCCTATTCAAGATAGGGTTGCTCTGGTTCACATGCCTCTGACAAAAGTATTCTCTAAGCAGAGCGATGTTCTAAAAGAAAAAAAAGCAATTATTCATCTGGATGCAAGACTTCAAAATACAGTTAATGATCATGAAAATTGCCAGCTCGTATGGCCTATCTCCATGCAATTGCCCATAATCTATATACCGTAATACACATTTTCATATGTCAAATTTTTAATTTCTTAGTTTTTCTTTTTTTAGTTTTTTTTTCACTATTTTAAATTGTCAGCATTTTTTTTCCTAATTCTTTATGCTCTATATGTTATCTTCACATAATTTCCAATACTGGAGGTATAAATTGTCTAAAGACTTTTAGAGAATTATAATTAGTTTTATGCATGTTTGGCAAATGTGACAATGAAATTGCATTATCACAACACTGACTTTGTGTGTAAGCATTGTGCACATACGCAAAAACGAAACTCTCTCAGTACATGAAGAGACGTGCTTTTTGTGAAAGACAAAATTCCTTGAGATCTTGGCTCTTAGGGTGACTGGTGCAATTGTGATGCAGTAGTGACCCATTGTGGTTTTTGACTAATCTCATCAAAGGACTTAGGTTGTCCTTCTAGGTACCTCAGATGACTGCAGTTATAAAGCTGGGTGCACACAATTACTAACCACAGTAATATGCATTTATACATTTTGCTTTTTGACCAATTTTTTATTAATATAGTTTATCCACTCATAACTGTTATGTTATCTGTTGTTAGCCTACCTAGATGTTTACGCTTACAAAAATATGTATGTTGTATTGCCTATTTTATTGTATAAAGTGGCCCATGATGTGTTCCATCATGTTTTTATGTTTCTCAAACAAATTTCCTTTTAAAAATGTAAATAAATACATCTTTAAAATTTTTATTTCTTCAGAATTATATTTTTTGAATTTTGATGTGTCAGGATTTTAACATTCAGGATTACGGCATCAGGGTTGTGTCTTTCAGGATTGTGACTGGCTTTTAAACATTAAAATATATGAACATATATAACCTACTACAGTGCCAAGAAACAGTATATTTTTCATAAATACTACTTTCCTTCCCTTTATAGCAATATAACTTAATTTTGTGCTTAATTTGCAGGATTTATGCCAAGCTGCTTTTTATAATTCTGTAGCAAAAATATGTGAAATGCACTGTGGTGTGTATTCTGTCAATAATATGGGTTTCCTTTAAGGTATAGTTGAAAGAATATGACAGAACTACTGGGTCAGTTGCCAAACAGCAAAAGTTTAAACAATATTGAGCTTCCATTAAAGGTGAGCAATGCAATATCTGGGGTAAAACACTAGATTTTCCACCACACGTTTTAAAATATATATGGTTAAAAAAATAGCTAAAATATATAAAAATAAATACTTCCAAACAATTCAGGAATGGTGGAAGTCTAATTCAGTTAGACAATGTTATCATTTTGAGTGAATTTTCTAGTAAAAGACTAATGTTCTCAAGCCAACACTGAGTCTTATCTGTTTCTATTATGATTACTTCTAGGCTATGTAGCATTAAAAAAAAGTCTTCTTCACATGGATCTGGGGCAAGGGAAGGTTGCCTCCAAAAGAGATAGGCAACTGGCATTGAAAGCAGGGGAAACAGAGGAGTACAAGAGGTCTCATATTTTCCAATCAGAAGTAACCGGCATAATTCCAATATGAGCCTTAAACAGTAATTCATAGAGACAGACAAAATTACCAGCATCAATTTCTCATTAAACTGCTGCTCACATGAGCAACTATATAAAGTGTGTTTCTACAGTGAGTAGCAGCAGGAATATATGCATTTTATGATGGGAAATTATTTTTCTCATGAGTGACTGGAGAGGTCAGCTAATCAAACATAAATTAATACAGTTGATGAAAGAGTTGAGGGTCTTACAATTGTTCTGTGAGACAATGGATTATCCCCAATGGCTTAACCATCTACTAACATAATACTATATTATTAGGTTACTTTTTGATACTATACAGTATATTTTATAAGAGTAATCTAGTCTTTTAAAAAAACTAAAAAGGAAACCTTGAAAGATATCGCACAGAAGGATCTTAAAACAACCACAAAACTTACTTAAATTATCCACATAATTCCACTAACTCTCACGTTTACATTGACTAGGATATGTGTGTACATGTATCTTGAAGTCAAAGACAATTTATGTCATGTAAGAATGCAAAGGTGAATCCTGTGTTTAGACACATTTCCACATGGTTCCCCCTACTGCAATAAGTTACAAGTAAATGTTTTGTTTTACAAAAAAACAAGGATAAACGTAACAAAAAAAAATTGTGTAGAAAAGTTATTGCTAGCCCCCTAAAAAATAAAATGGTAAAATATTTTCAAAGATAGCACTAAGTTAAAAAGAAAATTTTTTACATTGACAAACATATGCGTTTCTTCACTTGCAACGATTGGAACACCCTATCTACAGTAGAATCTATGGAGCCTGCAAATACCTTAAGAGAATTTTCAAAGGGTATACCCTCTCTAGCCAACCACAATTCGAAAGGGGAAAAAGTGGGAACCTTCTCAACAGATGGGGTGGCATAATGTGGCGGGGACTGGGGATTTGCATGAATATGAATTACAAATAGCACAGATAACATGGCATTCAAAAGCTGTTAGAAATCTTGAATGTCAAAGTCATTTAGCTGACATTTGGAGGGACATAATTACCTTAAGAACATGGAAATGGGTTGGTCTAAATTGCATGGACAGAGAATCTGAGGACACACAATAGCATTGCTTTGGCAATAATTGTGACAAGTGGGCATGGCCAAGTAAGCCAAGAATGGCACACATTAATGCAGTGACATTTTTTTCAATGTGTGCTGCCCTTTCAGAAATATGCATATAAGGCCTAAAGAACCTCTGACCCATTATAAAATAACAGGAGACAAAATAATAAATAAATAAATAAAACAAGCTACCATAAGCCCTATCACTGGAAGTCTAAAGGAAAGTGTTCATTCACATTTCATACACAGACTTTTACATATTTCAAACATTTAAACTGTGTTTAACAATGCTAGACCTCAAAGTTTCATCATTTGTCACAAGTTTACTTGCAATTTACTGAATGATACCTAGATTATTTGCATTGAAAAGACCAACAGTTTCTGATTTTAGAATGTGATGCTGTTAATTAAATTTTCTATGTATATTAACATAAATTGTCAACCCAAAATTTCATACGTAGTTAAAAATTATAAATTTTTCCATCAATTTCTTATTTATTAAGATGTATTTTAAAAGGCGTTTAAAATGTAAGGTACTGTGAAATTGTTGGGAAATATACCAAACATAGTACACACAATAACAGGTCAGATCACATTTACCTGGAGTAATTCGCCACATGTGGTAGAGACATTTTAAAAAGCATATTTTACTCCCTAATTTTTGTCCTTGCTGTGAGGCCTTCCATATCAAGCCTGCTATTAAAGGACACTGCAAGAAATACTCCACTAATGTTTCTTTAGATAATCACATATCGTTTCTAAAATACTGATTAAAATTCAGCACTAGTGATGGCAATGAACACTTTAATATCTACCCACTGAAAGGAAATTCGTGAACCCTAATTAATATTTCATTTTCAAAAGTGAACGAAGCACTTGATTTCTTTAATAGATCAATATCTCAGGCTATAATAACATTTGGAGCCCCAGCAAGCAGACTTCAATTTATACTTCAAATTTACCTCAACTCTCATGCTAGCCTTGATGAACCCAAGACTGGCTGATCATTATTTCTTCCTATCTGTAAATAGCATCTGTGGTCTATTCCACAGCATTTAACACTTATTCTCTCCAGCACTGTTTCCTACTTTCTTATATGCATCAATCTCTTCTCTTTAGTGGAAATATATAAACTATTTATGAAAAGATTAGTATGATATTAGGAATGGAATAATTAATGATAGAATTTATTGATAGATTAGAAAAACATGGATTACGTGTTATAATGAAAACGAGAAGCATCAATTGCTTATTTTATGTTAGAAACTGTCCTGAAATCTGGAATAAAAAGAAAAATCACATGTAGTCCTTTCTATAAAGGAGATCACAGGATGTGGAGTAGTCAGGATTCTAGATACACGAATATGTAGACAGAAATCATAGTGATTGACAGATACATATGATGATAATTACTATAATAGAAAAACAGTATTTTAGGAAGTAATGTGGAAGACCCAAGGAGCTAATGAAAGGAATAAAACCACTCATCATAGAGAAGCCTATTTATTAATTGTAAACTGTTGCAAGGTCAAGTTTTAAGAATCATTCAAAATCACACAAAATTAAATTTGAAAGAATAAACACACGACATTTGAAAAAAGGATGAGAATAAAAACCAGTGTTAGGTTATTTCTAACTTGATCTAAGTTGAACATAATATTGAATTCATTATAAGATATTTGTAAGGTATTCTGGCCTAAAAAAATTTATTATGAAATACAGTAATCAAAATCAAAACTGGTTCATCCACTTAATGAATGAATATTGACCATGTGCTCCGAGCCAGACAATGTGCTAAGTTGTTGAGAGAGAAAAGTGAACAAGAGAGACATGGTCCTGTCCTCATAGCACTTACAGTATTTCCTTTTGAACAGTGTTGTATTTATTATATTTAGCTCAATATAAATCTAAAATTTTGAACGATTATATTTATACTTTCCTGGCACTAAACATGCATGTGTATTGCAGGAAAATGTATAAAATAGAAACATGGTTTAGGAAACTGTAAAACTATCACTTCAATACTTAATACTTTTATTTTTCTGTACACCTTATTACTTAAATGTAAATAACAGATTTTTAAAACCTGAGATCTCATTCCATATAAAATCTGTATCATGTTTTCATGTAGCTTGATGTTTTAACTATTCTTACATCAATCTTCACAAGCATAATTATTAATATTTTCATATTCTCCCAATTCATTTAACAAATAGTTATTCAAGGCATACTCTGTCCATTCTAGATTCAGCTGATAGAGCTGAGATTAGGGCAGACGAAGTCACTTGCTCTCAGGGAACTTGCAGTGGCTCTTATGGTTTTACCATAATTAATTCACTATTTTTGAAACTATGTTTATTATTTATCACTAGCATGAAAAAATGCAATGGAAGTCTTATATAATTATGTGACATATACTTGATTATGTTATATGTACTTGACAACTGAATATAGTGTCCTTGAAATAAGTCATTTTATGTGCAGTTTAATGTTTTTGATATATACTGCAAAATTACTTTTAAGAAGAATTTTATAAATATTCACATGCCTGTCTGCTCTGTATGAAGGTGGACAGCATTACACACTGAAGGCTTTATTTTTTTAAAGGCTTTACCAATGTTGCAGTCAAAAAGTAACATCTAAAATTATCTTTATTGATTATGAGATTGCATAGATTTTCTTAAATTCATTGGTAAACTCTATTTATTCAACCTGTCTTTGCAAAAATTTTTCCTATTAGTCAATTGATAGTATCTCTCATGGATTTGTAAGTGCAATTTGTGTGCTTTTGTCTGTAATTTTTATAAATAATTTCCCTTTAATAAAAAGGCTTTGTATTGGAAAAGTGTTTGCCTATTTATGTCAAATATTCACCTCTTTTTTAATATTTACATTTTACATGAACTATTTTAATCTACTTTTCTTATCAATATAATAAACAAAATAAATATCTAACTTGATTTTCTTCTATATTGTTACCATCAACGCAGGAGCAGCATCAAAAACTTATCTCTAATGTTACTGTAGATATATATATATTTTTTCTATTTCCTGTCTCATTGCATTAGGTAGAACTTCTAAAACAATGTTCATAGTAGCGGTTATCCATGCTGGCCTCATCTTAATTTTAATAAAAATTACTGAAATGTTTCACTTTTAACTACAGTGGTAGCTGTTGACTTAAATATGCAGTTTTTACTGAAGTTAAAGAAAAATTCTGTTCTAAGCTCGAGTATATTTTTACCAAAAACAGGTATTAGATTTTCCTAAATGTCTTTTTAAGCATTTACTAAGAACTCCACAATACCTCTTACTTTTACTTATTGATAGAATATATTAATCATTTTCCTAAAATTAAATTCCCATTTGCATATACTAAATGAATTATTTATTAAAATTTATGTAGTTCAATATGCTGCTGGAATTTATTTGCTGCTATTTTATTTTGGATGTTTTTGTACCTATATTCCTACATGAGATGGTTCTGTAGTTTTGTTTTTAAGTGCTATCTGTATGTGCTTTTGGGATTAGGGTTTTCAGAGTTTTATGAAATACATTTGGAAGAATTTAGCATTTTCCTGTGATCTACTGCAATTTAAAATGCTAATGGTCTTCATTGATCCTAATTACTGTGTGAACTTAAGTGCATCTTGCCATTTATAGATGGAAAATGTCTGAAACTATTTGTTATAATAGTGAAATTCTATGTGGCCTAGTTCCATGGTAGATAGAAAAGAATTGGGAGTAGGATTAACCTAATTTTTCTTACACATTCCTAAGAATCTTAAAGGCTATCAGAGTACTGAGATTTGTCATCAAATTGAGACGCAAAACATTATTTTGTATGGCACAGAGCTCAGTCTCAGAAAACTACGCTTACTGCAGTCATATATTTACGTAAAATTTTTTATTTACATTGAATAGAAGGTTTATCTGTAATGTATACCCAAACAGACATCAAATAAGACATAATTAACACAGTGTAGATTTTACACCTGCCTTTCCCTGCCAACATAATATTTGTTTTTATTATTTTATGTTTTTTTGTCACTGTCCTCAACATTGTAACACTTCCAGTCTAGAGTTATATACAGTGAATTTATTTTTCAGTTTTAAAAATAATGGTTTTACCATATTCGTTTTAAACAACTAATATGGGTTGTATATCTTATAGTTGTTCCTCAGCATTAATTAATCTCCAGAAGTTAAGGCTGTGAATATATAATTAATGAACAATGTGAAGGTGAGATGTCATTTAAGCAGTTGGCAGATTGTCTTTAAAATTAATAATCTGTTTCTCCAACTGTTTGCACTTATTTCAAGGTGCTACTTTCTTCTTGATGCCTTTTTTTCACTTTTTTCCTGTTTTATTGATATGTAATCTTTTGCACATTTATGAGGTGTACATGAGTGTTTGGTACATGCATAGAATATACAATGATCAAGCCAGGGTATCTAGGGTATCGATCACCTTGAGTGTTTATCATTTTTAAATGTTGGCATCATTTCAAGTCATCTGTTGCAGTTACTTTAAAATACACATAATATTGCTGCTAAGTATAGTACCCTAGTCTGCTGTCAAACATTAAAACGTATTTCTTTTAATTAACTGTATGTTTGTATCCATAACTAATGATCATCCCTAGTCTCTCCCACCCACCCTTCCCAGTCTCTGGTATTTATCATTCTATTCTCTATGTCCATGAGATCAAGTCACATGTGGAGGATAAAAAACTTAGTGACTTTAAGTCTTAAGTAACTATTCATGGGATAGGCTCTGATTGCGTGCCTGGCTATGGCATAAAAAACTTAATTAGAAAAGAGGAGACATGGTGCTCTTAAATTTATGAGAATACATTTTCAAAGTTTAAACTGGTGACTTTCAAACTTCTGAGGAAAGGAAAATACTGCCTTCTTTGTATCGAAAGTCATGGGTTGCTCGTACATATGCGTACGTACATGACTGATGTCACTTGGCTCAATGAACAATGCTAAGTTATCAAGCATCCATGAGAACTGCATTTGTGGAATTCATTCAGTTATTTTCGTTCGTATATATTTCTTTGGCATTTTCTCCAATTCTTAAAAAGTAGAATAGTTTTAATTTTCTTACATTGGAACTTCTCTAACTTGGTCAACATGATTAATTCCTTTTATGTCTTTTGAACCTCAGTTTCTTTATACGTAAAGAGGTTCAGCTGGATTAGATGTTCTCTGAGATCTGACCCCTGTGCAACATACTACAATTTGTAGTTAGAAGATATTGGCACTGCAGATCTCATTAAGGACCTGAATAAGACTTCAAGTTTATGTATTTGCCTGCATTTATATAGATATATATTTTACATAACTAATTCATTTAAAATCTCTATGAGTTTATTCATATGGAAAATAACAATAGTAAAAAAGACTACCTTCATAGAGTTGTGAGGAAATTAAATAACATTTATAAGCACTTTCACAGTACCCAGCCCATGATGAGTGCTCAATAAATGTTGTTATATTAATTTTTATTCTTCCTTGGCATCAGTGGCAATGTTTCTAATCAAGTACTAATATCATTAAGGGCAGTGTATTCTATCTTTTTTTAAAAAAGAAACTACAGTCATAATCTGAATCATTATTTTTTAGTTAAATTGTATTCATCTGTCATACAATTTCTCATGTGCACAATTTTCAGAAACATTTTAATGTTTCTGAACAATTCCTTATTTTAATCTCTACATCTTTATAGTAAAAATGTTAAGCATTGTGTGACCAATTTTGAATAAGTCATTTTGATACTCATGATTTTGTCTCGTAATAGCTAAAATAATGAGTGCTGAATTAGTTAAGTGGTTTTTCAGTGGGTTGATAGATTATTTAATGAGTTGGCATTAAGCAAACAATGTCCATATAGATAAGAAATTCTGTAAAATGCTCTAACTTTAGCTATTAAAATTATGTCAAATTTTCGAATAAAGAGATAGTGGCATGCAAATCAAATTCACAGGTATCACAGAGCTGGATATAAATAGCAGGAAATTAATAGATTAGAATAATAAGGCACCTCATCATGCTATAAAAATTGACAACATTTAGCAACTAAAATATAAAAGGGAATAATCAAACACCAAAATCAGAAATATAAGGTAAAACAAGTTGATACAAGAGATCTCTCTAATCAACTGCATGAGTAAAGAATTAAGGATTAAATTTACCATAATCTCAATGGATGAGGAAGCTGTCAAAAAATACAACACAAGCTTAGGCTTTAGGTTAGTTGAAAAATATGCTATAGAAGAATGATGCTGGAATTCCCATATTATTCTTTGCTGGGAAGAACACATTTGAAGAATGGGATACACTTCTGGGTACTTCAATTTCAATACAACATTAACCAGTGGGAGAATGTTGGATGAATATCAACAGAATAGGAATATATCTGGAAATGGAATGATTTAAAAGCAGTGTGTGTGTGTGTGTGTGTGTGTGTGTGTGTGTGTGTACACATATACATATGTTTGTATATGTATTAATTACAAAATTACCATGGAGAAGAAAAATTAGAGTAACTGGATTGGGAAAGGTGACAGCCACAGTGTTGTCACAGTTGGGGCTGTTCTTATCATTTGTGATGCTATACATGACGTGATGGAGCAGAAGTCACTGAAAGGCTAAATGTGCTTGTATGGCAGAACATTAAAAGCTGCCCATAAAATGAGAAAAAAAAATCCCTGCTTCATTGCCTGGACCTGATGGGCTCAAATATTAGCTGGAGAACTATATAAGTAACTAATTTTTTAAAGAGTGCCTTGGAGATATTGTTGAGGACATTGTGAAATACAGTGTTTTTGTCCCAATATGAAGCCCCTTCAGAGAAATTTCTTTATTATTGTAGACAAGAAAGTTTTGATCTCCCATCAGGGGAACTTTTTGTTTTAATGGACAATAAAAAGTCTATAACATTATATTTCCCTTTTTACTTCTATTGTTTGAAAACAGAATTCACTCAGTCAGCGATTCAGTGAATATTTATCATATTTATTTATTATATTTTCCTATTATATTTCACAGACTATTCTAGGTACTGGCAATGCAATAGTGAAAATGATAGGTAAGGAACTTTCTCTGTGGAACATCCATTCTTGTGGGCATGGAGGGTGGAAAGAAAGATATAAAATAAGTAATGAAACACATGGGCAAAATATTTTCAGTAGAGAGAGATTTACAAAGATAATTAAATAAGTCAACATGATTGAAAGAATATACCATTTAAAGTAGGCATTAGTTGGGCGCGATGGCTCACGTCTGTAATCGCAGCACTTTGGGAGGCCGAGGCGGGTGGATCACCTGAAGTCAGGAGGTTGACTCCAGCCTGACCAATATGATGAAACCTCATCTCTACTAAAATTACAAAAATTAGCCAGGCGTGGTGGCGGGCACCTGTAGTCCCAGCTAGCTACTCGGGAGGCTGAAACAGGAGAATTCCTTGTACCCGGGAGGTGGAGGTTGCAGTGAGCCCAGATTGAGCCATTGCACTCCAGCCTGGGAGACAGAAAGAGACTCCATCTCAAATAAAATAAAATAAAATAAAATAAAATAAAATAAAATAAAATAAAATAAAATAAATAAAATAAAATAAAATAAAATAAAATAAAATAAAAAGTACGTATTAGAGTTGAGTCCTGACTAATTCAGACAACTGCCAAAGCTCAATATCAGAGCTTTAAAGCAAAGGGAACAGCAAGTACAAATGTCCTCAGGAAGGCAAGAACCTTGGCTGTTGGAAAATAGGAGAAGGAGGCTACAAAAGTGATTGGAGCTTGGTGAATAAACAGGGAGATCAGAGAGATGGGCAGGAATCAAGTGTGGGCCCCACTCATTAGGATTTTACTCCATGTGTAAAGGGAAGCCATTAGAGTATCTTTAACAGGGGACAGCATGATCTGTTTCTTAACTTTAAAATGATCAATCATTCTATAATACTGTGAACTCTTTAGAAGCCTATGATTTTCATATATGAGCATATGCATTCTTAGTTTCCCACATCTTAATCTTCTGATTTCTTTACTGTCTAGTCTTGTCAATTTATTATTTAAATATCAACATTTAGTGTTTATCTATATTCTTGAAAGCTGATTCAAATCTTATAAAAGAATGATGGACCATAAATCTTAAATTAAATGAATTATGATTTGTTGACATTTTTGATAAGGATTGACTTAAAAGGCAGAAACTTGGATTTTAAAAACCCTTTGAGCCTGATACTCTAAAGGTCTATTGTATCTAGCTTCATAAGGATACACTGACTTTTCTTTCTTGCCAGTAAATCAAACAGAATCTCTTCAGTTGGCTTCGGCTTTCAGAAACACAGTCTTTTTTAGGTTATTCCTACTGTTAGGGTGAAGATTCCCAAAGCCTGGTTGACTCAAATTAGAGAGAAGAAAGAAACAAAGAAAGAACAAACAAAACTATTATTTCAATAATATGTCAGACATTTAACAAATAATTGCTGTCTAAAAGCATCATCTTCTAAAAATTATCTGAACATTCTGGTAGCAAGTTACTGAGAAATAGCAAACATTGCTTCTCCAGTTTTCTTAATATCAAATTCCTTTTTATAAGAAATGTTATTGAGTTAAGAAGAAAATGTAAAATATGTATATAAAGATTTATATTATGACAAATTAATGGAGAAAGCCAAAAGAATACAGACTGCTTTTACAAGTGAGGAGCAGAAGGAATAAAACTGTCAATAGCTAAGACAATGAATGTAAAATCCTGATGCCCACAAGCTTCAGAGGAAATTAACTGCAATTTTGTGATTTCCACCCTCAGTGTCTGATTATATGACATACCAATATCTGTGGCTCTTTGAATGTTTCTCATTTTGGAATCTTCAAGGGACCTTCTGTAAATGGGCCAACCATGGTTTCCCACTAAAGATTAGAGAGAATTTAATTCTCCACAAACGCAGCTGCAGAAACTGCCTACTGTAACCTTAAGACCAGTTTTACGCAGTAGACACGGATATAACTTGCTGCAACTCTAGGACTAGTTTTACATAATGCCTGCTTCCAAAACCTTATTGGTGCCCATGAACTTTCTTTTAAAACAATATATAACATATTCCTTTCTGATAAAACTTCCAAACTCCTCTTTTTCCTTTGGACGTACTGAAGACCATTTCGTGTGTGTGTATGCTACAAATTGTGATTCTGTGATTTCCAACATAAAATGTTAACTTTAGATATTTATCTCTACATATTATTTTGACCTTGACATTGTGAACTAAGGAAGTTGGGTCAAGGAAAATCAAGTATTGCTTCTTTCTATAGTGGGAATGAAAAAAAAATAAAAAGAAATTAATTATCTGTGTTACAAATGATAGATGAAGGATATAATTTTAAATTCAATGTAAAGGCACACTCTATCATAAACAGATTTTGTAGTAAATTCCACCTCTACGCAAAAACCTTCCTGACCTAGTTAAAAAATAAAGTTTCAATCCCTCTCCTTAGCCTCTGTGTTTCCTTCCATCCCTGTGTTTCCTTCAAATCGCATATCACAACTTGTAATGTTTTTAATGTATATTTCTGTTTATTTAAATGTCAGGGTTTGGGATTTATATTTTTACTTGTTTCTCTCTCTCTCTCTGTGTGTGTGTGTGTGTATGTGTGTGTGTGCATGTATGTGTGTGTCTGCGCGTGTGCACGCGCATGTGTGTTTATCCTGATTCTTCAACTAGAATGCAAGCTTCTTGCAACCAGGGCCACTTTTGCATTGTACATATTTGTATTCCCTTTTTATTGTATTCACGGTGCCTGGCACATAGATGATCAATAATTTGTTACAGAAAATAATGATCCTATATCACTAATCAAAATCAATCATTCCATGCTCTATATTCTCATTGCTTTGGTTGTTTACCTCTCTTTTAGCAATTAATATTATGTGCCACTTTTTAATGATTTGAGCTCCTTGAGAGTAGGGACACATCTCATTCACCTTTGTGTGCTATTACATTAGCCAGTGCCATCCCCACAGATAGAGTTATTAAATGATAGCTGAAATGACAATAGAAGCTGCAGAAAGCTGCTTCCATTGCTTCTCTGCAACAAAGACAGAATTATTTGGCCAGACGTTGAGATGCTTAACTACTGAAAGGCTGGATCTCAATCTCAAAACTTTGGGTTTATTCCAGGATCATATGAGTTACAA
The DNA here is from genome assembly GCF_000001405.40 of Homo sapiens. Classification (NCBI taxonomy): domain Eukaryota; kingdom Metazoa; phylum Chordata; class Mammalia; order Primates; family Hominidae; genus Homo; species Homo sapiens. Next base: position 12,680,536 of record NC_000009.12, read on the forward strand.
AGAAGAAAAAAAAAAGAGAGAAAGGAATGCAAACTATTTCTGCCTGAAGGCATAATCTTACCCTAAAAGTCGTATGAAAATTCCAGCAGCAAGTCACTGACAAATCACAAGCATTGTTGTCTGTTTTCCTAATTATATATTTCAAACACTATGTATTAGGAGACAAAGAAATGGGAAAATAACCTAATTCTGGTGTATGTTTCTAACTTCTGTAAAGTTGGGAAAACAATTAAACTGAGGAGCGTAAAAATAGTTTAAATCCTTTTCCACTTCAAAGAAACAAAAAGGAACCTTGGCTTTCTCCTATAAGGTTTTCGATCTGGGACAGATAAAAATATAATGTTAATTTTTTAACAACTCAACAGAATGCAGCATCCTTAAGAATGAATGCGATGAATTGGTGCAAGTCCTACATGGCAGATAAAGGGGCCCTGTGGTTTGCCTACTGCTATCACATACTGACTTAAACCAATGGTGGCAGCAGCTGGTTCTTTGCACTTCAGTTAAGGAGCAATGAGTATATCAGTTCTTTTCATATCAAATTATCCACATTCTTTGTTTGAGAATAACCTGCAAATGTAATAAGCAATGTCCTTTTTAACTTTCAATGTAAAAAAATTACATTGCTCTTCAACATATAGAATAAACTATGAATATGTCGTCATAGACACAGTGTGTGCCTTAAAACAGGGTTAGCTTTTTTCGAAAATAAAAATGCAGGATTACTGAATAAATTTGACTATCTATAAACAACAAAAAAAGTATGTTTTTCATGCAACATACTTACACTAAAAATTACTTGTTGTTTATCTGAAATTCACATTTACTTAGGAGTCCTGATTATATCTGGCAACCCTATCCTAAGTTTAAATTTCACCTTCACTACCAGCTACGCTTTGTTAGTTATTTAATCTCTCTGAGCCTGGAAAATTAGAGTGAACATATCTATATCTTTCATGGGCTTTTTTTTTCTCTATGCTTTTACTGTGGTAAAACACATGTAATATAAATTGTACTATCTTAAGCATTTTTAGATGTACGGTTCAGTGACATTAAGTAAATTCATACTGTTGTGCAACCATCAATACCATCCATCTCCAGAACTGTTTTCCTTCTTGCAAAACTGAAACTCTATACCCATTAAACAATAAATACCCATTTTCCCTTTATACTCAATCCCTGGCAACTTCCATTCTACTTTATATCATTATTTTTTTGACTACTGTCAGTACCTCACATAAGTGGTATCATACAGTATTTGTCTTTTGTGACTCACTTACTTCACTTAGCATAATGTCTTCAAGCTGCATCCACCATTCATCTGTTAATGGACACTTGGGTTGCTTCTACATTTTAACTATGAGTAATGCTATGAACATGGTTATATAAATACCTCTTCAAGAGCCTTCTTGCAATTCTTTTGGGTATATACTCAGAGGTGGAACTTCTAGATCATGTGGTAATTCTATTTTAAATTTTTTGAGAAACCACCATATATGTTTCCACAGCAGTTGTACCATTTTACCTCCCCGTCAACAATGTACAAGGATTCCAGATTTTCCAGGTCCTTGCCAACCTTTATTATTTTCTGTTATTTTGATAGCGGTCATACTAATGGGTGTGACATAGTATCTCATTGTATTTTTGGTTTACGTTTCCCTAATGATTAGTAATGTTGAGCATTTTTTCATGTACTTATTGATATTGGTAAGTCTTATTTTGGAGAACTAGATATTCAAATCCTTTGCCTATTTTTTAATTGGGTTAATTTTGTTTTTGAGTTTTAGAATTTCTATACATATCTTGACATTAATTCCTTATCAGATATATGATTTGCAAATATTTTCTCCCATTTTGTGTATCAAGGGTAATGCTGGCCTCACAAAATGAGTTCAGCAGTGTTCTCTCCTCTTTAAATTTTTTGGAGAAGCTTGAGAAAGATTTATGTTAGTTCCTCTTTAAATGTTTATTAGAATTCATCTGTGAAGCCATCAAGTCCAGGGCTTTTCTTTGTCAGAAGATTTTTTATTACTGATTCAATCTCTTTACTAATTGCAGGCTTATTCAGATTTTCTATTGGTTCATAGTTTCGCCTTGGTAGGCTTTGTGTTTCTAGGAATTTGTCCTCTTTATGTTATCCAATTTGTTGGCATACAATTGGTTGTCATATTCTCTTACAATTCTTTTTATTTTTGTAGAATGGTAATAATGTCTCACTTTAATTTCTGATTTTAGTAATTGAGTCTTTTTTTTCCTTAGGTCATCTAGCTAATGTTTAGTCAATTTTGTTGATTTTTTTGAGGAACAACTTTTTGTTTCATTGATTTTCTCTGTTATTTTTCTATTCTGTATTTTTTAAATCTGTGCTCTAATCTTTATTTTTTCTTCCTTCAGTCAGCTTTGGGTTTAATTTTGGTTTGGGGGTAATTTTTCCTTTCTTTAATTCTATCAATTTTTGCTTTATATATTTTGGCAATCTGCTTTTAGACATGTAAATATTTACAGTTGTTATATCCCTTTGTGGTATTGAAACTTTTGTTTATATATATTTAATTCTATCCATTTTTGCTTTATAGATTTTGACAGTCTGCTTTTAGGCATGTATTTACACTTGTTATATCCCTTTGTGGTATTGAAACTTTTGTTTTTATTATATATATATGTACAAAACATATATATATATATATATATATATATATATATATATATATATATATATAATGTTTTTTGTCTCGTAACATTTTTGCATTTAAAGTCTATTTTGTCTGATATTAAGATAGGCAGCCCTGATCTCTTTTGGTTACTATTTGCTAATAATTTTATTAAGGATCTGGTGTATGTAATAGTCACTTTACTCTTGCTGCTTTCAAAATTCTTTGTCTTTGTCTTTCAACAGTTTAGCTATAATGTATCTCAGTGTCAGTCTCTTTGAGTTTATTCTACTTACTTTGTTGAGCTCCTTGGATATGGACATTTATGTCTTTAATCAATTTGGGGAAGTTTTTAGTTATTATTTCTTTAAATATTCTCTCTGTTCATTTTTCTCTTCTTCTGGAGCACCAGCAATGTGTATGCTGGTCCACCCAATGGTGTCACACAGGTCACTCAGGCTGTGATAGCTTTTTTCCAATCTTTTGTTCTTTCTGTTTTTCGGACAATAATTCCCACCATCCTATCTTCAAGTTCACTAACTCTTTCTTCTGCCTGCTCAAATTTGTCTTTGAATTCCTGTAGTAAATTTTTTTATGTCAGTTATTGAAATTTCCTGTTTCAGAATTTATTTTTAGTTTATTCTTAGATAGTCCATCTCTTTATTGATATTTCCATTGTGTCTATACATCATTTTCTTTACTTTCTCCATATCTTGTTTAGTTCTTTGAGCATTTTTAAGACAGTTGTTTTAAAGTCTTTGTCTAGGATATCTGTTATCACATTGTTTTCAAGGATTATTTCTGTTGGTTTATTATTATTTTTTCTTTGAATGAAAGAAAATTTCTGTTTGTTTGTATGCCTTGTGATTGTTGTTGTTGAACACTGGGCATTTGAGCTAATAGTGATAGCTCTGAGAATAAAATACTCCCCTTGTTCCAGAGTTTTCTGTTTTTCGTTTTTGTTTTTGGTTTTGTTTTTGGTTTTGTTTTTGGTTTGGTTTGGTTTGGTTTGGTTTGGTTTGGTTTGGTTTGGTTTGGTTTGGTTTTGAGAGAGGTTCTCACTCTGTCACACAGGCTGGAGTGCAGTGACATGATCATGGCTAACTGCAACCTCTACCTCCCAGACTCAAGCAATCCTCCCACCTCAACCTCCTGAGTAACTAGGAACACAGGCACTCGCCACGACACCCGGCTAATTTTTTTGTATTTTTGGTCAAGATGGGGTTTTGTCATGTTGCCCAGGCTGGTCTTGAACTCCTGAGCTCAAGCCATCGACCACCTACGTGTTCCAAACTGCCGGGATAACAGGTGTGAGCCACTGCACCCTGCCTTTTGTTTTTGTTTTTGATTATTGTAGGCTTTCTCTATGCTAAGGATCAACCTGACATAAAAAAGTAAGCTCTTCTTAGATCTTTTCTGAGTTTGTTCCTTCCCCTGAGCATGAGTGATGACTTTCTAGTTTCCTCTATATATGCAGTTGCTCTTGAGTTTCCAATATTCAATGTCTTATTTCCAAAATGGTAAAAAAAGATAAAAATAAAGGGGAAGGAGGTGCTGATGATTTAAATCCCCTGGAAGTCACTTCACCAGGGGGAGAGGGGCAGTAGTCACCACATCTTTGTCTTCACCTCTGTGATCATAAGCAACAATCAGTGATCAGAACACAGATCCCCAATATTTGGAGGATAAGGTCCTCTTTGTCCACCCTGACTCCCACAGGATGCGTGCAAACTGATCTAGGAACGTGTGCATGGCTTCCGCTGTGCTAAGAGCTGTAATTGACCAAAAGTAACTTCAATTCACCTTCCAAGTCCTCCTCCGGAGGATACAAGCCATCAATAGACTCTAGAGTTCTGAAATGTTTATATCAGACAGGCTCTGCCAGTACAGTTGTTACCTAGGAGAGGAGACAGATTTCTGGTATTTCCTACTCCACTATCTATCTTCCCTGAATTGCATTTTTGAGATAATTGAGACATTACTGTGTTTCCTGGCATAGATGTCAGATCTGAAGTAAACCTAAACATACCTTTTAATATAAACACACATTATCAGTCAAGATAAAGTTAAATAGATATTATGCTGACAATGCCCAAATCTAAATCTAATATAAAACCAGTTTATTTTTCATATATGTGGCATTGGTTGGGATTCTATGCAATGGCTCAATAATCCAGATTGCTTGGGTCTTGAAGCCCTAAAATTTCAGCATGGGACATTCTCTGTAATTGTCAGGCACAAGCGAGAAAGGCATAAAAGTTATCTCACTAAATACTTGAGACTCAAAGTGATATACTTCACTTTTCCATACAGCCTGCAGACAAAACCCATCATATAGCTCTGCCTAGCTACAAGGGGATGGCAAAATATAATCCCATATATCTGAAAGGAGAGAAGAACCAGATATGGGTAAGCACTACAAGTTTTTACCACAATATTTATTATGAAAATTAGAAACAATTATAGAGTTAAATAAGTACTCAGTGGTATAACCTCCTTCCTAATGTAGAAATCTCTTCCAAGATGTCACCAGCGCTTTAACTAACTTTTGTTCAAATGCCTCTACTGTCATGGAACTCACAGCCTCATTATTAAATATTTTCTTCTTTGTTGTAATTGTTGAACTAAAATCTTCCTTCTGATAATTCACAAGATTTGCTTTACCCTGTGACTGTCACTTTCAATGTTTGCACTTTATTAAAAAAGAAAAACAACTGTAGAAAATGAGGTGCAAATTAAGACGACATATTTATTTTTAAAATGAAGAAAAACCAAGTACTTGATGAAAGAATAGATCACTTTTAAGAGCTAAGAATGCTTAGGAAAAGTCACAAGATATAATCAGTCAGTTAGAGTTTTCTTTTAATTTTTTTAGACTACAAATTATTCTTCAGAAGATGAGGATGGATGTGCAATAGGGCTTATTGTCTTTTTGCTTTTCATTTTTATTGTTGTGTGTATATAACACCTTCCTTATGAAAAAATAAGTTTTATGCAGCAAATTTCTGAATAAAAACAAAGGAAAGTTTAATACCTTAGGTAAATTTTAAGCTATCTTTTTTAATCTATTAGCCAGATACAAGTATTTTGTGTAAAATATTATATTTCAAAAAATGATAAACTGTGCTGATGGGAGTGACTAATGTTTAAAGGCCAAATTTTTTTATTCAGTGATTAAAATAATAATGGGAATATCTAATATATACCTTCCATGAACAGAGAACATAAAGTATTTTGTAACTGGAAGATTATGCTTCATCTATTCACAATAAGAGTTTGCTTTCCATTTGAACTTTCTTATTGATTAATACCTGGATTTAATTTTCTCTCTCACCAGCTTCCTATTTTGTTTGTTTAAATTTTTCATGCATATTGGCAGACTATCATTGAACAAATCAGAAAGAATATAGTGCTCCATTTTTATTGGCCTACTTATAATTCTGCATACGAAAATAGCTTAATGGTTGAGCTCATTTCAAAAAAGGACCAGATGCAGTGGTTCACACCTGTAATCCTAGCACTTTGGGAGGCCAACGTGGGCAGATCACTTGAGGTCAGGAGTTTGAGACCAGTCTAGTCAACATGGTGAAACCCCGTCTCTACTAAAAATTCAAAAATTAGCCACGCGTGGTGGTGGGTGTTTGTAATCCCAGCTACTCAGGAGTCTGAGGCAGGAGAATCGCTTGAATCTGGGAGATAGAGGTTGCACTGAGCCAAGATAGCACCACTGGACTTCAGCCTGAGTGACAAAGCAAGACTGTGTTTCAAATATATATCAATATGGGAAAAGATTTCATAATGACCACTGACTAAAAGGAGACTCAGTAAGTCCCCAAAATATAACAACATAATTAGACAAGGAGTTTGATATTAAATATCATAGGCTACTTTGTCTATAATTGTTAATACAAGATGTCAACACAGTTCAAAAATGAAATATATATTGTATGAATCAATTTCTCATCTCCTTAGACATGTTTGACTGCTTTTTATAATTATCTCTCTGTCCCTCCACCCTCCTTTAGTCTTCCTGTTTATTTTAAATGATATAATAACACAATCACAGCAGTTGTAACGTTGTGGAAATAGTGCTAGAAATGGGACTAAGACGACCTGTTCAGTCTCAGCTTGCTTATTTAATGGTACACAAATTTGAGCAGATCATTTTAGTTTTTTGAACCTCCATGAATAAAGATACCTACCTCATAGAATTGTATGAGGATTAAATATGAGATGTGTTGAAATTTGCCCCAGTGCTGTCAGTACTTCTTGAGTTCCCATCCCTTTATGATGTCCACAGAGACAAAAGGTCTCAGACAAAAAGCTAGAATTATGAAACAAGTGAAAGTCAAATATAATAATTGAAAAAAATCTATAGGCCTTTGAAAGTTATAAATACAGAATAAATAGTGCTAATGGATCATTTTCTAATTTTTAGAAAAGGCCTTTTTCCCTATAGAGTTTATATCAGTGCATTTTTACAATTGTACTGAAGAATTTTTATAAATATTTTACAAAATAAAGAAATCGCTGTTGACAAAGCATTTGTGGACCTCAAGAGATTCTGGATGCTGTGTGTGATAGATGTGAATAAACAGACATGCCAACACCAACATTTACAATAAAGAGCATGCCAGCCTATGCTATCAGTGGCCTCTCTTTCTCAATATGACCCATGGGAATACAAACACATATTTTTCTGCCGCTTTTCTGAATGGGTATGCATTTCTGCATGAAGACTACTACTTCCTACCCACTCCCTCATACTGGACATTCTAGGTCCCTGGGCTTCCTGTTTAGTGGAGGGTTACTAAGAGATGTTAATTGACAATCAAGTGCAGAAATTCTTTTATATTACTAATAGTATAACCCTGTAACCCTATTCCGTGACTCTGCAATGAAAAGGGAGGATGCTATAGCACCCCCAAATAAAAGCCTTAAGTAATCAAACTCACACAGTTATAGACATAACTTATTTTAATTATCTGCTTAATTTAAATTTAAGTGATATTTGTTAACCATACAGAGTCCATGGGGTAACAGTGATTGGGAGTGCCTCCTCTAGTCCATCATCTTGTGCCTGAGCAAGGTTACTGCACTTGGAACCTCATCCTCCTGGCTTGGCTTCCACAGTCACATTACAGCAATCCTCCACACCGCTCTCACGGTGCTCTCTATCCCTCTTCCAGCACCTCAGTGCTACCAAATTCTTCATTCCCTCCTCTTGTGATGTAACTTCTAACATCCCGTCTCATGGCAGATTATTAGAGTGCGTAAGGAGGAAACAGAGGTAAATTTTGGTTCTGATGAAGAGGTAGAAGGGGTCAGGAGGTTTCCATCATTGTCTGTCTTCTGCAAGGTTATCTAAAAAGTGAAGAGACATCCTTAAAGTGAGTATTGACCAAATGTCAGTTGTCTCTTCAGACTTCCTATGGTTTAAAAATAAATGAAAAGAAAAAAGCTCTGTTTTCTTACCTAAATTTGAGTTATATTACCAAAGGCCCCTTAGGTAATGGGGCCTTTATACGTTCCAGAGTAAGTAGCATATGGTGTGTGCATGCATGTTTCTCTCTCTCTCTCTCTCTCTCATTCTGTGTGTGTGTGTGTGTGTGTGTGTGTGTGTGTGTGTGTGTCAGTGGAGAGAGAGAGAGACGAAGAAAAGGGAGGAGTGATAATCCTTCTAAACGTATACAAGTTGCTTGTGAGAAAAATAGCAGTAATCATAACACACCAAGTCCCTTACTGCTGGTAATGCTTTTCATGTGTCTCTCCAGATTGCCTAATTTTAACTTCTTAAATGTCTCATCTCCTCCTCTATACCCTGGAAAATTATAATATGCTGATTCAATTTAAAAAAGTTATTTGAAATGTAGCCAAACTCATTTGATCTTCCTCAATTCATCACTGCATATGGGTTTCATCCCATTTTATTAGTAAATTTGACACTGATTATGATAAATCCATCCAGTGCCACACATCTCCATCTGCAAATTTCAAGGTTTAATTTTAAACTTTTTAGGGTAAGAGGTTTTTAAAATATTTTCAACCTGTAGGATTTCCAAGACCTTATTTCTAAATGTTTCAATATGACCAATCTTATACATGTGATTTTATATTTCTATATCAGATATAAAAAAGATTTAGATTATTTAGGCTTTCAGTTAGTTCTTTTTATACATGAAGCTACTTTTACGAGCAAGATGAAGGGGAAGTGAGATAGTGGCAGTTGCTGTCTTTTGGATGACAGGCCAATTTACTTCTTGCTTCTAAAGGAAGTAGGCTTTACCCTTTAAACCTCCCCCATCATATGTTCTTGCATGTACTGTTTCCTTTCATCAGTAAGTTCTCCTGATCTTCTCTGTCTCTCCCTCTCTCTCTATCTCTCTCTCTGTTTGACTGTTTCTCTGACATTACCCAAAGATAACTGTTTTTTTTTTCTGGTCTCAGAATTATTCGATGTCCTTTAGTAGTGAGGTCAGCTTCCACAAATGCCTAATTAAAAAAAATTTTCCTTAAAATAGGCAAGAGGAGGAGGAGTTGAATTCCAAACACCTGGAGTCTCCTTTGATTAGCAGTATTTAATTTCTGATAGTACCCAATTTATGGCATTTTAGTGAAGACAATTCTAAAAGTTAACAGAGAAGTCAGGCCAATCTTTCCGATAGGATGACACACTCCTTTGTAAATCTTTAAATGCTTTTCATTGCATTATTTGTGAGTAGGGACCAGCAGTGTTCCTAAATAGGAAGTGTGTTTTTTGCCAACAGTAAGTCCCATAGATCTCTGGTTTTCCTGTTTAGTGGAGGGTTACTAAGAGAGAGTACTTAATTTCTCACAGTTGGAAATTTTCCTGGTTTCTCTAGACCATGTAATTCTTCAAAATGTTATAGGGTAGACCAAGTTCTGAATTTTACCTGTGCTTTTGATTAGGCTTCAGTTTGTTTTACAGATTATTGTATTTCTTGTCTCCTTCTGTGCTTTTTCCACAGTGCAGGCAGTAATCACAATATCCTTCATAGAGTGTACTACCTTGCCCTTAAGGATGTTAGAAACGCATGGTATCGATTCCCATTGTGCATTTAGATAATAGCAATACAAGCACAGAATATTATCTTGGCACCATAGAAGCTCTACAATCCCCAAGTGTCAGTAGTACATTTTCTTCAAACGTTAGCAACCTCAATCCCTGGCAAGAAAAAAAACAGATTATGCAATCTATAATGATCTTACTCTTCAGCAAAATTCTATTTTTTTGTGTTCGTTATTAGAAATTTCCACAGACATATTTTAGCAGTCATATTTCTGCCTGCCCAGCTAGAGTAAGCTCAGTGAGGAAGGGGGTCTGTTGCTACTCTTCTTTAATGATGGAAACACTGAGGAGTATATGAGGAATTTTACCCATTAGATGTGTGAGGCTAAGAGATCTTTGATCATGCCACTGCTCTCCAGCCTGGGCGACAGAGTGAGACCCTGTCCCAAAAAAAAAAAAAAATGATATGTCCACTCATTAAAAACTTCTGTCAGACCACTCTTTTTTATAAATTTTTAAATTTTTTAATGATCTAACAAGCTTTATTTTTATCATTGTTAAAAAAATCCTTCTTTTGAGTAACACAATCACAAAGTAAAGAATGTTATCATTGATTTAACCAGTAAAAAAACAATACTTAACAATAAAATTTTTCAAACATGGCTCCAGGCCATCCAGATGACTTAGTTATCCTCCTTTGATGCCCTTCTCTTCTTCGAATGAATCACAATGAGGCAGAAAAATTTTCATGGGTGCAGAGTAGGTGTATATATTTATGGAGTATGTGAGATATTTTGATACAGGCATACAACATGAAATAAGCACATCATGGAGAATGGGGTATTCATACCCTCAAGCATTTATCCTTTGAGTTACAAACAATCCAATAACACTTTTTAAGTTATTTAAAAATATACAGTTATGATTGACTATAGTCACCCTATTGTGCTATCAAACAGTAGGTCTTATTCATTCTTGCTAATTTTTTTGTACCTATTGACTATCCCTACTTCCCTACTCCCCTCAGACACCCACTACCTTTCCCAGCCTCCATTCTTCTACTCTTTATGTCCATAAGTTCAATTGTTTTGAGGTTTAGATTCCACAAATAAGTGAGAATAAGTGATGTTTGTCTTTCTGTGCCTGGCTTATTTCACTTAACAGAATGTCTAGTTCCATCCATGTTGGTGCAAATGACTGGATCTCATTGTTTTACTGCATTTTGCATATGTACCATATTTTCTTAATCCATTCATCTATTGATGAACACTTAGGTTGCTTCCAAATTTTAGCTTTGTAAACAGTGCTGCAATAAACATAGGAGTGCAGATATCTCTTCAATATATTGATTTCCTTTCTTTTGGGTATATATCTAGCAGTGGGATTGCTGGATCATATAGTAGCTCAATTTTTAGTTTTTTGAGGAAACTCCAAACTTTGCTCCATAGTGGTTGTACTAATTTACATTACTACCAACGCTGTATGAGGGTTTCCTTTTCTCCACATCCTTGTCAACATTTCTTATTGCCTGAATTTTGGACATAAGCCATTTTAATTGGGGTAAGAGGGTATCTCACAATAGTTTTGATTTGTACTTCTCTAATGATCAATAATGTTGAGTATCTTTTCATAAGTCTGTTTGCCATTTGTATGTCTTCTTTTGATAAATGTCTGCTCAAATATTTTGCCCATTTTTTTATTGGATTATTAATTTTTTTCTATAGAATTTTTTGAGCTTCTCATATATTCTGGATATTAATCCCTTGTCAAATGGGTAGTTTACAAATATCTTATCCCATTCTGTGGGTTGTCTCTTCACTTCATTGATTGTACTCTTTGCTGTGCAGAAGATTTTTAACTAGATGTGATCCCATTTGTTCATTTTTGCTTTGGCTACCTGTGCTTGTGTGGTATTGCTCAAGAAATCTTTGTCAAGACCAATGTCCTCAAGATTTTCCTCAATGTTTCTTCATTGTAGTTTCATAGTTTGAGGTCTCAGATTTAAATATTTAATCAAATCATTTTTTATTTGATTTTTGTATATGGAACGAGATAGGGACCTAGTTTCATTCTTTTGCATATGGGTATGTAGTTTGCCAGCACCATTTATTAAAAAGACTGTCTTTTCCCCAGTGTATGTTCTTGGTATCTTGGTGAAAAATGTCTTTACTGTAGGTGTGTGATTTTGTTTTTGGGTTCTCCTGTTCCATTGCTCTATGTGTCTGTTTTTAGGCCAGTACCATGCTGTTTTTGCTACTATCACTCCGTAGTATAATTTGAAGTAAAGTAATATGATTCCTCCAGTTTTGTTATTTTTGCTTAGGATAACTTTGCCTCTTCAAGGTTTGGTGTTCCATATAAATTTTAGGATTTTCTTTCTGTTTCTGTGAAGAATGTCTTTGGTATTTTGATAGGAATTGCATTGAATCTGTAGATTGCTTTAGGTAATACGGACTTTTTAACAATCTTGATTCTCCCAATCCATGAACATATAATATTTTTCCATTATTTGGTGTCTTCTTCAATTTCTTTCATCAATGTTTTGTAGTTATCATTATAGAGACCTTTCATTCATTGGTTAATTCCTAGGTATTTAATTTTATGTGTGGCTATTGTAAATGGGATTACTTTTTTATTTCTTTTTCACATTTTTCACTGTTGGTATATGGAAACTTTGCTGATTTTGGTATGCTGATTTTGTATCCTGCAACTTTACTGAATTTGTTTGTCAGCTCTAATAGTTTTTTAGAGGAGTCTTTAGGTTTTATTCAAATATAAGATCTTATCATCAGCAAACAAGGATAATTTGACTTCTTCATTTCCAATTTGGATGCTCTTTATACCTTCTCTTGCCTGGTTGCTCTAGCAAGGTAATATGTTGAATAACAGTTGAATAACAGAATAAAAAAAAATCTCTGCAAAGTAAACAAATCTCACTAGTTTATCTGACTTGTATTCCAAATTAGTGCTTCTGGCCTTTTCTTAAAACTTTAAGCATCACAAGGAAATCAGTTGGAAGGGAATCATGTGCTGATCAAGTCCTTAAAGGGCAGAAATATTCACTGAAGTGAAAAGGATTAGTAAAGGGTGGAAAAAAAGACCAGCCCCCCGCCTAGTTTGGGTGAGCAGATTTGGGATTAATTATCAGGCAGCAATCCACATGCACTTAACAGTTCTGACGTGAGAGGACAAGAAACACAAGCAAATATAAAACATTCAATTCTAAGAGAAGTTCATCAGAGACATCCTTCAGGATTGTGAGGTACTGGAAAGAAGTCCTATGGGGAGTGGGTGGACACGTGCCAAAACTCCATTAGTGTAAGGGACTTTAAATCACAGAAATTAACTTGCTGGAAATCTGTTCCCAATTCTTCCTTCAGCTCCAAGGTTAAATTAAATGTAATTAATGATGGTGACCTGCTAATTCATGCTTTTGATAACTGATATCTAGTATGTATATATATATAAACAAAATGACGAGGACAGGGAATTTAATTATTTGGGTATCACACATGCAGGTGTTATATATGCCAAATTTTAAAGGTAAAATTTGTGTGAAATGTCACACTTTTATTATTTGTGTGAAATGTCATTTTACATATGGGTTCCATTTTGAAAGTGGTTTGGGAAGGGGGCATACCATTTTAAGTACCAAGAAAAACTTGCATAATCTCATTTTACTTTCTCTTTTTCAGCTGGATTTTCCTCTACGTGCTTCAGTCTTCTCTACACAAAGAGCTGCAAACCAGGTCTTTGTTTTGCACTCTTATTTCAAGCAGAATGAGTGCTCCTAAACTCCTCTCTCTGGGCTGTATCTTCTTCCCCTTGCTACTTTTTCAGCAGGCCCGGGCTCAATTCCCAAGACAGTGTGCCACTGTTGAGGCTTTGAGAAGTGGTATGTGTTGCCCAGACCTGTCCCCTGTGTCTGGGCCTGGGACAGACCGCTGTGGCTCATCATCAGGGAGGGGCAGATGTGAGGCAGTGACTGCAGACTCCCGGCCCCACAGCCCTCAGTATCCCCATGATGGCAGAGATGATCGGGAGGTCTGGCCCTTGCGCTTCTTCAATAGGACATGTCACTGCAACGGCAATTTCTCAGGACACAACTGTGGGACGTGCCGTCCTGGCTGGAGAGGAGCTGCCTGTGACCAGAGGGTTCTCATAGGTAAGTGGAGATATGAATGAGTTCATAAGTCCTGCATGAGACTCAAGGCTCTTAATAAAATCTTAAATCATTTGAGCTGGAGGAATACCTGGAAATCATATAGCTCAACCCTCTCTTTTCATAGTTGAGGAAACTGAGGCTTAGAAAGGTTAAGAAACTTGTTTAATGTAAAGGGTTGGAGTTGAAGCTCAGAACTTCTGATCAATATTTTATTCTGAAACATTTATTGAGCAACCACTATATCCTAGGAACTGTGTTAGGTATTATGACTAGTCAATTCAGTAACTCCTTCAGGTAAACATGTTAATTGTCATAGATGAGGTTCAGAAAGTTCAAATCCACACAGGTGATATTTAGTAAACCTGGAATTCATGCTGAGATCTACCTAGCCCTTATATTTTAGTTCTGCAACTACCCCTGCTGACCCTTAAAGAAGTTTCCCACCATGATGATCAAATTCAGCATTTGAGATGAAGAGTTTGGCCTGCAGACTAAATAGCATTAAATAACAAAGCACTAAACAGTAACAGCCAACAATATTTGATTGTGTTCTATGTGCGAGATAGTAGACTAAGGGTTTAAATGAACATGTATTGAGTCCTTACTATGAGTTAGGCCTTGGGCTAATTGCTTTTTATGTGTGTGGTCTTTGAACTTTCAATTCTGTAAAGCAAGTATTATTTTTATCCACATTTTAATGATTAAAAAAAAACTAAGACTTGGAAAAATGTGCCCAAAGTCATAGAATAATTCTCTGGTCTTAACTACTATGTTATATCACCTAATTTTCAAAGATTTATAATGTTAAAAAGACAGAAAATTCCAACAAAAATGCCAACAGTGGGCAGAAATCAACATGACAAGGTCACAGAAACATAAAATCCATAGGTAAGATTAAAGAAAGGTAATATAAATCATGCAGTAAATTGGAGAGAGAAAAGGGAAGAAAGAGAGAGAAAGCAGGCTTGAAGAAAGGGTTTTAGTTAAGGATATTTTTAAAAGTGTAAAATAATTTAAAACACATTTGAACAGATGGATAAATGGGTCGTGGTGTGTTACAAGATGATTATGCTCTTTCTCTACCCATCCCCGCAAGGCAGATGTTTTCATGCTTGAATTTTGTATCCCTAAAGTCAGGAGAAATCTTCTGGACTTAAGTAAAGAAGAAAAGAACCACTTTGTCCGGGCCCTGGATATGGCAAAGCGCACAACTCACCCTTTATTTGTCATTGCCACCAGGAGATCAGAAGAAATACTGGGGCCAGATGGCAACACGCCACAATTTGAGAACATTTCCATTTATAACTACTTTGTTTGGACACACTATTACTCAGTCAAAAAGACTTTCCTTGGGGTAGGACAGGAAAGCTTTGGTGAAGTGGATTTCTCTCATGAGGGACCAGCTTTTCTCACATGGCACAGGTACCACCTCCTGCGTCTGGAGAAAGACATGCAGGTATGTAAGAAGCATTTCAGTTTGCAGACTCTTTACAGACAAGATGCCTTGTTTGTAAGTGATTTTAATTCACTAGTTTTCAGAATCATCAGAACATTTGATGAAAAAGCAATTTTATGTTACTAACCTGTCTTTGGCATTTCGTTTTCTCCTTATTTTGGTTACTTGTTAATTAATCTTTATCTTGGTGAAGTGAAAATAAAGCAAAATCAATAATGAGCAAAATGAGACATTTGCAGGAATGAATTAAAAGTTTAAAAATATTTTGCAGTTTCATTGAAAACATGACTTTCATAAAGCTTGAAACAGAAGAATCTCATTTGCATGTCTTCCTTCTCTACTAAATATAAGCAGATTCCTCCTCCTGGTCAAGTGATGTGGGTTAGAGACTTCTCAATCTTTCCAGTCCTAAATGTATATCTCATCATTCCAGCGATGATTCCCTCCAACATGGTATAGGGTTTAAATCATGAAAAATAATTCCTTTCAATTTAGACTCTCATATTTTCATTGAACTATATTTTTCCACGTTCCCTACCCTTTGAGTCTTACAGAAGAAACCTATTAAAATATCACATCACTATATAAGAGGACAGATATTTTAATTTGCTTGGCTATAGTAATCACTTTACTATGTATATTTATATCAAAGCACCATGTTGTACACCTAAAATATGTAAAATTTGAAAAAAAGTTGAAAAATATCAAAATAATTATATCAGTCAGGCAATATTTTTAGTGAAAAGACATTGGCTTTTTATTTGGCACAAAGTGAACCTCAACTCAAGCAGTTATTTCATGCTTATTTTCTAAGCAGATAAGCTTCAAACATATTAAAGTATCTAGTTACGTAGATTCTTTACTCTTATTTCTTTTACCAACTGCTCTGTTCCTTGAGAAAAATATGGAAATTTTAAAATAAAAGTTTAAGTTGTTAGATCTCAACTAGGAAATCCACAAAGTAAACCTGTTTTCTATGTGAAATAACAGCAATGAATCTCCCCCTTCAAGTTAAGATATAAAAATTAAGCTAAAAATATCTGAAGAAGGGAAAGGCGTTTAGATTCATTTATTAATTTGCAGAATGCTGTGCCAGCATTATTCCGAGAAAAAATAAATGGTTAGAAGAGAGAGAATTAATGCACTAACATACAGGATAAAATATTCTTTTGAAAGTACACTATCCATTTGCAGTTTGAGAGTGATTAAATGAATTCATCTGATACTCTGAACGTCATATTTTATAGCTCTGATTGCAAGTAAGACATTTAGTAGATTATAGATAAATCTGTCATTTGTAATTGACTGCAGATCTTCATGCCTTCAAGTCATTTTCTCATGGGCACACCAAAATGAAAGGGCAGGTGGAAAGTATCTAAAAGCTTCAATTTTGCCTGTGTAAACTTCAACCTCTATGACTTACATTTTAAAGACCCAACAGCACAAGGGATGCAACAAATTAGAATTTAAATGTAATTCGTGGTTGAAATGCCACATGAATATGCTCTGGCTCCCAAATGTCAGTTGCTGAACCACAAACCGATTCTTAATGATCCCTTGGAAGCTGTCACTAATTTTTGTGAACCACAATGATGGCTTCTAAAGGAGGACTACAAACCCCTGGAGACCAATAACTGGGGATAACTTGGAAAGCTTTTGGCTCTCTAAAACACCCAAGGATAAGAAAATGCTTCCTAGGAAGGGATTTAAAGTGAAAAAGTAGAAATATACTGAGTGCTTGAGAGATAAGATAAAACAATTGCAATCCCTACATTTAAATCCCATACCATAAATAGAACTTCTCAAGGCACCAAAGAAATGAGAAATAACAAGGAAATGTATGTTTTAAAGAACCGAATGAAATAAGCATGTGATCTTGAGGCCAGCATTTTTAAAAATGTGAGATCAGCTTTGAATGGAAACTAGGTCTCTGATCTAAAAAACAATGGGCAGAAAGATTTACTCTGCTTCTGTTTAGCATTTTTATCAGTATAAATTTAGGCAGAAGCCTGAGTCTTAAAAGTTTAGATTCTAAGGCAGGGTTCCCTAAATAAAACACCTTCCGTGCTCAGTGTGAAAGAGTCCATTGGCCTGTTGCCAAACCAGAATCTAAATGCCTAGTCATTCAAATTAAATTTAAAAACAGAAGCAAAACAAAAATTAGCACTCCACAAAACATATTTTAAGGCTGGATCTGGCTCCAGACTAAGAGTTAATGATGCTTGAATTAAAGATAGGAAAATGGAAGAAGGTGGAAATGCCAAGAAGTGGATGTTGTTATTGATAACTTTTTTGTATAACCAATATAAATGTAATTATCTGCCTAAAAAAGAAAAAGAAGACCCTTTATCCCTTTAAATCATTTTCAGAAATGTCTGCATAATGAGTTGAGTTTCATTCCCTCTAATGCCTAAATGACACCTTGTAATAAATTACCAGCTTTGTTAAATAAGGTTTTAACTCCTCTGGGCCCCTCAGACACCGTTGATATACTAACCAGTACCTTATTGTCTGAAGAGAGCTAATAGAAATAGACTGTCAGAGAGTAGACCAAACAGAAATGAATAATTGTAAACAGAAGCAGAGAGTATTAATGTGGTTTCTGTGATCTAGGAAATGTTGCAAGAGCCTTCTTTCTCCCTTCCTTACTGGAATTTTGCAACGGGGAAAAATGTCTGTGATATCTGCACGGATGACTTGATGGGATCCAGAAGCAACTTTGATTCCACTCTAATAAGCCCAAACTCTGTCTTTTCTCAATGGCGAGTGGTCTGTGACTCCTTGGAAGATTATGATACCCTGGGAACACTTTGTAACAGTAAGTTCCAAATGATAGCTTGGAGTCAGAATTTCTTTTTAGATAAAGAGATTAAATATGTTGCCTGAAAGGCCCTTCATTCTACTAGAGAATTCAGACTAAAATCTACTTTTATTATAGAGTAACAGTGTACCAGGCATTCATTAAACACCTAGAATGTTCAAGGTACTCTAGAAGTTGCTCCAGGGGAAACAGAAAGTGCCTACACATTTTTACACTGCCTTTCTTGAGTAGTTTGGTCAATATCTTGCTAACTTTCTTATTTTGGAAATGTCTAGTTGTATAAACTAATCCTCTTAGTTTTCTTAGCACTACTTAGAAGTCATGTGTCTTGTGTTGGAATTTCACAGAAAATGTTTCCTAAGAAAATGTGAAAAATAGGCAAAAAGTTGGAAATGCCCTGGGAAGAAAAAAAAGAAAAGAAGCAAACCAAATGTATGCTTGCAGTTATAAAGTTAGAAAACAAAAGCTGATATGGGGGATAGTTTTCAGAAAAGGAGTATATTGTACTGATGTCTGCCCCCTAGCTGCTTTCCAGCTCTTCCAAAGTGAACACAGTAAGAGTACGCCTAATCAGTTGTCCCAGCATCCTTTCTCCAGTGATCTGAATGCCACCACTGTCACAGGTCAAGTTTCTGCCACATGTAGATCTCTTCCTGAGCTTTCTGTTCTCCTCCTTGGATCATATTATTATTTGTGCCTGTGGTAGTAACACAAGGTTTAATTATTAGACACCCCCTACCTCATCTTATTTTTCTTCTTCAGGCATGTATGGCTCTTTTGATTGTTCTTCCATATAAAAATAAGAGTTATGTGAATTTGTTTTCTTATTATAATCACCACATACTTATTCTACATGTATTATTTTATGCATCAAGTATTATTTTATGAACTTAAATAAGAAATACTCTAAATAAATCAGCAGGAATTAGATACATATTTTCACCATTAGATTATTTAGCAATGTATAGGAATAAGAGAAGTGATAATATATGAAAATTTCCTCTGTAGAAGTTTAAAACTTAGAATAAATTTGTATTTGTTTGGTATGCTGAATGCATGATCCCACCTTGTGGCAGAGAACTGAAATTGAGGATCAGGATGTCTGCAGATGCCAAAATGTTTATACTCTTTGTGACCAGGCCATTGTATTTTGGCCTGAGAGTTTTCTAGACATTTCCCAATCACCCTGATGATTGGATACCAAAATAAAACACAGTTTAAATGAGTGAATGCAATCATAGCACAGGAGGGGGAAGAAAGAGGAAGAGATTTTCTTTTCATCATAATTTTTCTTGTCAATTAATATAACAAGTCTCCTAACTCAGACACATAGTCTCATGACAAATTGAAGAATATTTATTTTAGGTTAAAATATTTTTAAGATTATCCCTTGTCTCACTGCAAGAGATAAATGGCAGACATTTTATTTATAAGGCAAAGGAAAGGGAAAAACTATCATTTTATTGAACATATATTATGTATCTGATATAGTATGAAATGCATTGATATAGTATCCTATTTAGTCTTCATAACAATTCTCTCTTCTATTACTGTTCTTCTTTAATGATCTTGTCCATTTCTGTAGTTCCATTCGTCATCTTTTACTGGAGACCCACACGTTTCCACCTTTAGATAAAACCTTCTTTCTTTAAATATTCCATACCCATGTCTTCACATGCTTGTTGCATAGTATTTCTCCAATATTCAAAATTAATGCGCCAAACTTGGTGGATTGAAAATAGTTAATATTTTATTGCAGCTAACGTTCTTCCAGCCACCAAAATACCATCTTTGAATCAACATAGAAAAACACTGTTCTTTATTCACAGTACTTCTCAAATATATTTTCTTCTTCAGACATGGGCAACTTTCCATTTATTTTTATGTGGAAATTCCACAGGACTTTGGTCCATAGGATGTTAGGTGCAATGGCAGAGTTTGTCCATATGCAAACAAATTTAAGAATCACTGGAATAAAAAACAAACTGGTTTATTTTTTATATAAACTAGTTTCTTTACTGTCAGCATTTTCTACAATGGAACTCTGTGAGGGCAAATTAGAATGTAATGTTTTGAAACTCAAGTAATTAATATTTGTTTCTTGGGATTTATTGATAGCTTCCTGAGCAGTAATCCCCAAAACATCAGCTTGAATTGATAGTCTAGCTAGTGATGGTGAAAGTTTTGGGTGATAATGTACACTCAATAAATAGTTTCCAATCCCACCTGAGGCATATGTTTTAGTTACATATTATTTAAATTTCATTATGCTAACTTAACAGGTTCTGATTATTACGTTAATTATAAAGCATAGAACATGGGAGGCTTTCTGAATGAAGGAAAAGGAATATGAGTTGAAGTTGTAAAATTATCTCTCACCAGCTTAGTGGATTGTTTTGCTTGTCCCTTTACGGTACATATATTCCTTTCTGGAGACCACTGGGACAGAATGATGCAAAATTTTCCTAACCAATCACCTCTCCTCCCACCCATCTAAGGTTTTGACTTCTCTCCACTTCCTAATAAATCACACATAACTTTCTTATCTTGATACTTGATTTTTTTTTCACAATATAGCTCTGGTCTAGCTTCTTTTCTTTCCTACAGTCCACTACTATCCTGGCACATACTCCAGGCAAACTATTTCCCAAACAGGCCCTCCCCCTTTTTTTGTTTATTTTACAGCTAACATGATCTTTTCCATATAATGACAGGCACCAAACAACTCTTCAGCACCTATTCAATGCCAGGTACTGTGCCAAGTCTGTGGGATACAAAGTTTTTTTTTGTTACAGATAGGGGGTGTTATAGACAGAAGAAAGTGTATCATCTCTTGCCATTTCCTCTGCCTAAAATGTTTGTCTTGTAAAATTTATTTCACCTAAGAAAATTTTTCTTAATCCTATGGGGCTTTGTGTAAATCTCTCTTCTTTATAAAGCCTTTCTGGAGATCTGACTGGGCAGGATCTCTCTCTCTCTTTCCCTGCTCCCTCCCACCATCTCTCTTCTTTAAGGCTCCTATCATATTATCTATCCCTAGTATCACAGTTCTTTGTTTGTTACTGCCCTTCACAAAGTTTCATTATTTCTCACATTAATTGCTGAAAAAGTTGAAAAATGTGTGTTGGTTGACATATGTATCACTTTCCAAAGAAATGTAAGGGTTTTTTTTTCCTTATTTCTCTGAAGGTTTAAATAGACAGCATTTGCATACAAAATATCACATATATGTGACATAAAGATTTTAGTGTAGAACTAGATTTATGAGATTATTTTGGCAAAATTCAATTTTCCATGGAATTTTCATTTTAATACATTCTTGTGGAAGAAGCATATATTGATTTAACAAATATCAACACCTGTATCTGTTAGTGTGATTCTTTTTTTTCCTTCAGATACTTTTATGTATCTCATATCTACTTGATTCAAAGAAATGGGACATGGTAACTTAGATTTTCTCATTTTAATGCTACCAAGTATGCATTTTTAAATTTTCTTTTCTACCAAGGAAAACCTATATTTCATATTCATGCTATGTATAAAGTTTTAAAGAGCGACAATAAGAACTCCAAACATTGTGTAAATGTTTCCACATCCCATTTTTTTCTGCAGGCACCGAGGATGGGCCAATTAGGAGAAATCCAGCTGGAAATGTGGCCAGACCAATGGTGCAACGTCTTCCTGAACCACAGGATGTCGCTCAGTGCTTGGAAGTTGGTTTATTTGACACGCCTCCTTTTTATTCCAACTCTACAAACAGTTTCCGAAACACAGTGGAAGGCAAGTAAATGAAATCAGTATTTTTAAAAGATCTAGTTATCAGAGAAAACTGAATTATTCAAAAGCAAGTTTCTTTGAGAAGGCTTTGAATAGTATATTAATCCTGTGTGTTTATGTGAATGAGATTTTCTATTATGATACACCTGCTTGAAAAAGGAACTTTCTTAAAAAGAAGAGTCAACCATGAAGCTCTTTTCATTATAGGTGAAGCCCTTGGAAATCATGCTCTAATTTCTTAAACACCCAAAAACTTTTTAAATTCAAATTTCTGGTAGCTAGCTGGCCAATATGTAACTATATCAAGGTCTCTAGCATTGGCAAACAATATTCAAGACTTTGACAGTGTATTAAATTAGTTTAGTTTTTTTTTTAAATAGAGTAATAAAAAAAATTCCAAACAATTAGTTGACACTGAGTAAAGCCTTGCTTGCGCATATGTTTTATTTAGGTCCGTATTAACCTGTAACTTTTTTCAAAGGTCTGTACAAATTCAAATTAGCATCTACTGATGCTTAACTTGGTTTTCCTTATTTCACACAAAGTATTTTAAAGCTGAGGAAAGTGAGGTATAAACAGGTAAAATTACTATCACAAGATATTCAGCTAGTTACTAACAGAGCGTAGGTTCAAATTCAAGTTTTCAAAATCCAGTGTCTTTGTATAATAAATTTTGATACCTCCAAATGATGCTTGATATATATATATATTTAAAGTCTTCAAAAGAATATAATTACTTTTATCTTATAAACTTGTTATTGTTAAATTTTTACCTTCAATATAGCATTGTCCATGTCTAATGCATCCCATCTCCCCAAAAAATGCAAATACATTTCTCTGCCCTATGATCAGAGATACTTGGTATACAAATCTAATAATTATTTTTAATTCTCTCACCTTTTAGTCTCAAAATTATATGCCATATTAACCTATTTTTGATCATTTTAATAACTACCTGAATGCACTGATTTGAATATGATTCAATAAAAAAAATCACTATATTTTGGCTAATCTGTAAACTAAGGCCATCAGCACTGATGTTTTAAAAAATGTACAGATTGTGTCTTCTTAATGCCCAATCAGAAGACAATTATACTTATTTCCTGACAAAATGTATAAAAAGACGAGTGTCAAGCCACGTTCCATATATATCACAGACAATCTTTAAATGTTTTTGAGTCAAATAACAATGGAATAGATGCTTGAAAAAATGCATAGGTGGCTAAATAAGTGGCTACAACTATACAATTCATCTTAGATGAAGAGAGAACTGGTTAACATATTTTAAATTCTGATTTCATTTTATAATGCACAACAATTCCCTGATCTCAACCCTCTGGTCCTTCAACCCAATTAGACAGCCTACATTATAGACCCTCCATTTTTATTTATGACCTGTCTTATACCAATCCTTGTTTTCTCCCTTATATATGGAATATATATATATATGTGTGTGTGTGTGTGTGTGTGTGTGTATATATGTGTGTGTATATGTATATATGGAATTGAGATATTTATCAAAAGCTGTATAAATGTTTTGACAGTAGGTTTTCCCGATGTTTAAAACTAGCACAAAGATGGAAAGAAAGCCCTGAGGAATTGTAGCTTCCCCACAAAAAATAGTTTTCCAAAAATAAACGTGCTAACAGTCATTCAAAAATAAGGTAGGAGGCTGAAGTAACATCTGGCAACTTAAGTTCCAAGACAACCAGAGCATTCTTCTCCCAATTGTGTCAGCAGTTTTTAGCAGAAACTGGAGATTTTCACTATCTTTATTCCCATGTAGAACAATGTCTGCCTTGTCAAATAGAGTGTCTATATATTTTGACTGGTATCCTTTGCAGGTCATTATTTTTAACCTGGAGGCTACATTTAGAATGTCATGCCACTAGCATAAAACCAGCCTAGCTCTGGGTATAGCAAACAAATGTCATCAACCATAGGTACAGAGAAGCAGTGCTGTTATATTAAGGCAAAAATTGGCCTGACGAGCCTTGAAAAAATTGTTTCCCAATATAATCATTGCTATTACCTGGAAAAGTGAAATATTTGCAATAGTTTTACTATTCTCCTCCTTACCATGTGTCTAGGTTACAGTGACCCCACGGGAAAGTATGACCCTGCTGTTCGAAGTCTTCACAATTTGGCTCATCTATTCCTGAATGGAACAGGGGGACAAACCCATTTGTCTCCAAATGATCCTATTTTTGTCCTCCTGCACACCTTCACAGATGCAGTCTTTGATGAATGGCTGAGGAGATACAATGCTGGTAAGACATTTTCATATGCCTTTTGCATGCTCAGCTGGGCGGATTGTTTAGATGGCATAGTTATCAGTTCAAGCTGAGCACTCAGCGCATAAAAACACTTTCAAAATAAGGATAGCATAGCTGTAATATCAAGTCACTTCCAGACATTCAATTCTACTTTGAAAATGCAGGCAAGAAGTCTCTCCAAATAGTTATTATAGGATGATATTTTTAACCATTTGCTGGGACTAACCAAATCATCTCTCCTAATTTTTGCTACGAAAAAATGGCTACTATGTTTCACAAATTGTTCTTACCCTCATCTTCCAACATAAATTCTCATTACTTTTAAATATAAATGAGGAAAACCTTATAGAGCTCTTCTTTGATATCCCAAAAGACTAAAAATTTTATACCCATAATCCACAGTTCTTATTTTTATTACTTAATGGCCCCTCACAAATAGAAATTGTGTTCCACTTGAAAAGTTAATGTTGGCTTTTATATCACACTATAGGAAATCTCTTTTAAGTTCATTTCAATGCATTCTTTAAAATACTATTTAAAAGGCCTCTTTCTCTGCCTTCCTATGCAGCTGAGAGGCTAGCATTATTTTTCAAACAATAAAAGTGCTTCCACTGGTTAAAACATCGCAAATTTTCATAGGTTGAAAGCATTCTAAATTTTGGCTTTTGTGCCTTTAGCTCATAACGCACATAAACCTGATATTGTAGCTTAACTACCTATTGATTTATGTATCCATTAGGCATGCTTTCATTTCTATGTGTGTATGTGTGCAATAACGTCCTCTAATCCAACCTAATTAGGACCATTAATTGATGAAATTGATGAAAATAGTTTGTTCCATCAAAAATTATTTAAGAAACAACTTACACATAAGCCTGTAATCGCAGCACTTTGGGAAGCCGAGATGTGGGGATCACTTGAGCCCAAGAGTTTGAGACCAGCCTGGTCAACATGGTGAAACCCCGTCTCTACTAAAAATACAAAAATTAGCCAGGCATGGTCATGGGCACCTGTAATCCCACCTACTGGGGAGGCTGAGGCAGGAGAATCACTTGACCCTAGGAGGTAGAGGTTGCAGTTAGCCAAGATCACACCACTGCACTCTAGCCTGGCTGACAGAGACAGAGTTAGTTTTCAATCAGTTATGAATTCAGTTATTGCAGTTTCATCTCATTTTCATGTGTATTTATATACATAATGACAACCATAAATCTATAATTTACACTGTCAGCTTTTTTAAAAGTGAAACAATAAATGAGTGACTTTTGAAATACAATATGAGGGCAAATATTTTAGCCATACACCTTTAACAAATCTTTCCAAAATGTTCAATTTACATACTATAAAAACAACATCCTTCTCTTTGTTTTACAGTCATGATGACCACTTTATGTTTGTTTAACTAGATTACTTTTATTACAGTAATGAGTAAACTCAAATTAATAGGTTTAGGAATTAACAAAACCAGCTTTTGTTAAACATGCACTTCTGGGAACTACATGGCAATGTTCAAGTTGTATTTATTCAGTTATTCACAATGCCGTGGGTGTTAGTAAACTTTTTAGAGGAAATGGAGACTATTCAGTAACCTGGCAAGTCTCTTAAGTGGAGTTTTCTTTCACCTATGAAAGAAAGGAAAGATATTCCTTCACCTTGTGTATCTTGGCTGAAAATATAATTATTTCACATTGATAGCAAGTTGTTAAAGGTTCTCCAGATTTTAACTTAAAGGTCATTGATGAACCAGAAAAATACCTTTTGAACATTTTTTTCTGACATTTTCTTTGTTTGCAATATGTGTAGCATAAGGTTTCTCAGTAACTTGAATTGTAGTGGGAAGAGAAATACCGTAAATAAAAAATAGGAAACTACCCTGCAGCACATTTCTGATAAAATGTGGCCATAAAATTATAGGATAGGTCAATGTAAACACTTGCAAACTGCATGAAAGCTAAGCTGAAACAATTAGCCTCCTTCTTAAATATTCCTTGTACCTGCAAATACGTTTTAGAAATCAGTGTCATAAAACAACTGTGAAGAAGAGAAAGAAAAATTAGAAAGATTAAAAAAATTTATAAAACTGTCTGTAAAGCAAGAGTCTTGTTTAAAATAAGTCTAGGAGTGGAGGGATGGAATTCTTTTTCAAAATGATTGAAAGGTTTTTACAAATATAGAAAGCTCTTTACAAATTGCAGAATAATAGAATTATTAGGCTTGGAAAGGAACAAAAATTACACTTTACAGATAAAGAAAAGTGGAGTCATTCAAATATTAATGTCCATTACAGGTTCCTTTCATTAGACATGAAATAGTACAATTGAGAGCATCCAAACTCTAGTTACTACCATGTTAATTTCTATTTACTAACATTTCTGATCTATATACACATTCAATTCAATTCCTTCTCTTTTATTTCAACTGAGAATTATATGAATTAAGTTTTAAATATAGCAGCCCAGAAGTTCAGTGTATTTTCAGAAGAAGCAGTTTATACGTTTCCAAGAGTGATCACTACTTTACTTTTTGAGCTGTGAGAGAAATGAAGTAATCACACGTACACTTAAGTCTTTTCATATATATTATTTTCAAATCTACTATTTCCTGGTCAGTATTCAAGGTACCAGAAATACGATGCTATACAAAATTCACCAACAAATTTTCTTCCTGAAACTTTTCTTCCTGTTGATAAAATTGACAATAACCATATGTAAATACATATACAGCATGTTAGATGGTGGAAGTCTCTATAGACAAATAAAATCAGGAAATAGGATAGGCAGTACTGTGTAGATATATGGAAGAAGAATGTCCTAAGACAAAGGAACAGGGAGCCAACTGTGGCTGGAGTAGAGTGGGGTCTGGGGAGAGAGTGGTGAGAGATAGTAAGGTCAAAGGGATAACAGGAGGCAGAGCTGTATGCCACAGCAAATTACAGGTTTATGTTTTCTTTGGCTTTGAAAAATACATTTAATGAATTTTATTCAAATTGCTTTATGTAATTTTTAAAAATTATTCAAGATCACCATAGGTGATGAAATACTAAAACTCCCCTGCTTTTAAACTCTCTTTTTTATTAAGTGGTATATTGGTACTGTATTCAAAGCATTTTCTGTTTTATGTAATTTCTCATCCTGCTGTAGTGAAACTTCATATCTTTATTCAGTGTAAAATAAGAATAAAATTTTTTCAGGTTCTCCTTGAATATTGGATGCCTTTAGAACTCAATAATGATAGGAATATTAATTTTATTATGTTTATTAATACGTTGTCTTTGGAATAATTTAGATATATCCACATTTCCATTGGAAAATGCCCCTATTGGACATAATAGACAATACAACATGGTGCCATTCTGGCCCCCAGTCACCAACACAGAAATGTTTGTTACTGCTCCAGACAACCTGGGATACACTTATGAAATTCAATGGCCAAGTGAGTGTTGAAAGTGTATTTTTACTGTGATAATTTCCAAAAGCAAATGTGTTATCTTTCAAGTAGAGTAATCACGGTATTCTGAAGCTATGTTTTCCATTTGGACTTGGAAACTTTCATTTGTACTTTTATTTGAGGATAAGGGAAGGAATTTGATATTTGTTGAGAGTCCACACTAAGCTGATATTGATCTTATTGTACAGCACCCTATCTCATTTAATCCTCACAATGCTTTGGGGTGAGTATGAAAATCTTCATTTCACAAATAAGGAAGCTGAGGCTTAAATAGGTTAACTGTTACAGATTCACATTTCTAATGAGGGAAGAGAATGAGTTTGAGCTTAGGCCCATGGAATATGCCCCAATTTTTCTACTATACCATATTGCCTGCATTTATCTATCTTAAAGGAAAAGGGAGTGAGATACTCTTAGGTATTTTTCTGAGATTTTGAAGTTCAAAAGTTTTTTGTTTAAATCTTTTCCCCAACAAAGGCAGTAGGGCATAGTGGAAAAGTACAAGACTTATATTCTAAAATATCCGGGCTCCAAAGCCAACTTTATTGCTTACCAACCAAGTGACCTGGGTAAGTGACTCAGACTCATTGAGTCATCATTCTCTCACTTTCACAAAATGAAATGGAAATAACAATGACTATCCCAATAGGGTCCACTCATTAAAAGAAATCAGGAAGTGGCTTCAAGGCCATGTGGCCAATGTAAATTAAATATGAGGATTTCTGTTAAAATAGACATTTCTAAATTTCATCTGTCCACTTTTTGGTGATAACTATTTTAATATTTGTCTTTTTATTTTTATCTTCCTTTCCAAATAGGTCGGGAGTTTAGTGTACCTGAGATAATTGCCATAGCAGTAGTTGGCGCTTTGTTACTGGTTGCACTCATTTTTGGGACTGCTTCTTATCTGATTCGTGCCAGACGCAGTATGGATGAAGCTAACCAGCCTCTCCTCACTGATCAGTATCAATGCTATGCTGAAGAATATGAAAAACTCCAGAATCCTAATCAGTCTGTGGTCTAACAAATGCCCTACTCTCTTATGCATTAGTATCACAAAACCACCTGGTTGAATATAATAGATTGAGTTATTAACTGTATTTTCTTTCACTTTATTACCTTCTTTCTAATACAAGCATATGTTAGCATTAAAGTTCTAGGCATACTTTTCAAAGCTGGGAAGACCCTTTCAGAATCTTTTCAATGGGTTTTAATTTTCAGTTCTATTTAAAATGGTGAATGACACTAAACTCCATGATATTTAAGGATAGTGTGAAGATCTTTGGCATGATTTAAAGGTTGAGTATGTGAAGATATAAGTAAGTGAACTACCATGCTTTGTTTACGTGTAAAGGAAAATAATGTTTGATAGTAAATGTCCACTTAAAATACATGAATGGGCATTTCTAAAATGTTAAAACATAAACACATTTCCATTCATGGATATTTGTCAACAGATTTAAAGAAAACCACAGTTATTAATTAAAGAAAATTAATTATGTGTAGTTATAAACCAATGAAATTTTGATTAACCTTTTCAAATTAATGTTCCAGTTTGAAGACCAATCAAATATATTATTTAGTCAACATATACTATTTAGTCTCAGGTTCAAGGCTACAACAAAAATCACCATCTTTGTCAAACTTTGGAGAGGGAAAATCTTCACTTTCTTAAGCAACAATGGATATTGCCTGTGTTTGCCACTGTGTTTCCCTGCCTCTCAATTCGCTGAAAAAGGAACTACCTATCCTTACATTTCACCTACTAATGTCTCTTCTAACATCTTAGAGGTCCATGGAGAAGGCATATGGAGAACATGTTTTATACTGCTCTATAAATAGTATTCCAATCACTGTGCTTAATTTAAATAGCATTATCTTATCATTTATCAGCCTTTTATGTATTTTCCAAGTAAAATATTAACATATTATTTCATTGGTCTTCTTTTTTATCTGGTTCTATATGAATGCTATTTTTTCCCTTCTCTTCTAACATGAAATATATTTTCTCTTTTTGATCTTGTGCTATGAAACAATCTTCCAAAGAACTGTATAAGGTGGTCATAAGTGAATATTTTAATTAAAATTGGTAAAAATAAATAATAACAGTAATAATCATGCACTATAGAAAATGGCTAAACTGAGATTCTAAATTCTACAAACAGAAACAAGTTTAAGTTATGTATCCCTGATTGGTTACTGGGTTTTCCTATATTCAAAAATATTAAGGCTATATATACACAAGATAAACAAATAAAATATATCAAAGAGCATGCATATAACAATAGGATGTTTTACACTAGCATTATTCAATTTATTCTCTTGGAATACATTGCGATTTGTTAAAATACAGTATACTCACAGCTTTTCAAAGAAATTACTGTGTAATGTAAGATGCCTTTTTATATAGAACATCAATGAAACTAAATACTTCACTTTATATTTTTGTAGACTTACTAATTACTCATTTCAGAAACATTTATTAAGCACATACTAGATATCAAGTATTTCAAGGCACTATAGATTTAGAGAGAAGAAAATAAGAATTGTAAAATTGAGAAGGTCATGTTTGACTTGTACTTCAAGGACTGCCAATGGATTTACCAAATATAGAAGCAGAGAAGGGAATTTTATTCAAAAGTGACAGCATGGACAAGGGCACAGAAGTTTAAAAGAGCATGGAACTTTTTAAAATATAAAATAGGTCAGTGTGATTACAGTATAGTTTTTATGGAGGGGAGTAAAAAGATAAATTGGAAATAAAACCAGAGTGTCCTATATGCAATTCTTAATACTTGGAATTAATTCCATGGGAAATAGGAAACAGGGAGAGTCATAATCAAGCTGTATATTTATAAATATAGTAGTGATGGTGCTGTTCACAAATAACGTTGATGAGAAATAATTTGGAATGGTTAAAAGCAAAGAAACTCATTAATATGGAATAGATTGTGGGAGAGAGGAGAAAGCCTTGTTTCAAAGCATTAATTCTAAATAATCATAATTATAAGATAAAGTTGTACACATCTATAAATAAATAAATACAGCTTATATTATAAATACTATATAATATTGAAATTATAAGTATAATATAAATATAGCTTTAAGTAAATCATTACAAAAATGTCAGTTAACAATGGAAGACTGTGAGAGAGAGGATTAAAACAAGAGCAAAACAGAAAACTATTAACAAAATGGCAGTTAGTAAGTCCTCAGCAATCAGTAATTATTTTAATGTAAATGGCTTAATATCCCAAATAAGAATGCTTAAAGTAGCTGAGTGAATCAAAAAACATGATCCAGTGACTTGCTGTCTATAAGAGACTCACTTTAGATTTAAAAATACATATAGGCTGGAAGTAAAGAGATGGAAAAGGATATTATGAAAATGGTAAAAAGAAAAAAAAAAGAAAGCAGGGGAGGCTATCCTATCAGACAAAATAGACAAAGTCAAAAACTTCCTCTAGAGGTGAAGTTCATTATATAATAATAAAAGGGTCAATTTAACAAGATATAACAATTGTAAATATATACATATTCAATATCAGAGCACTTAAATATACAAAGCAAATGTTGATAGATCTGAAAGGAGAAATTGATATCAATACAATACTAGTAGTAGAATCTAATATTCCACTTTCAATAATGTATAAAACATCCAGGTAGGAGATCTATAAAGAAAGAGAGTACTTGAACAACACTGTACACCAGTTGGACTTTAGGGACATATACATTACATACCACTCAACAGCAGCAGAATATTCTTATACTTCAGCAACATGTTCTTCTCAAACACAGGTGGAACATACTCCAGGATAAATTACATCAGACCTCAAAACAAGTCCCCCCAACATTAAAAAGATAAAAGTCATTTCAAAGATCTTTTAAGATCACAATTGAGTAAAATTAGAAATCAATAGTGCAAGAAAGTGGGAAATTCACAATGACGAAAAAACAATACACTCTTAAATAACCATTGGGTCAATTAGGAAATCATAGAGGAATTTAAATTATATCTCAAGGCAAGTGAAAACAAAAACACAACATATCAAAACTTACAAGATCCAGCAAAAGTACTAAAAAGGAATTTTGTAGCAATAAATGCCTACGTTGAAATCTAAGGATCTCAAATGAACAACCTAGCTTATACCTCAAAGAACTAGAAAAAGAACAACAAACTAAGCCCAAAGTTAGCAGAAAGAAATAAATAATGAAAATTAGAGTAGAAATAAGTACAGAATAATAAAACAAGAGAAAATTCAGAAAATTAAGGGTTTTTTTTAAAAAAATAAAAAAATGGACAAACCCTTAGCTAAACTAAGAAGAGGAGAGGACTCAAAATCAGAAATGATAGAGGAAGCATTAAAATGTGTTCCTAAGAAACAAAAGGATCAGAAGAAACTTTTATAAACAATTATATGCCAACAATTGGATAACTTATAAGAAATGGATAAATTCCTAGAAACATACAACATACTAAGACTGATTTCAGAAGAAACAGAAAGCCTGAACATAACAATAACAAACAAGAAAACTGTTGCATAAGCACCCATTTCTTGTTGCATAAGCACCCATTGCATGTGAGTGCTGCAAATTGATCTAAGCTTTATAGTCTAAGTGGAGTCCATTAAAATATCTGACTGTCCTACGCGTGAAAAATAAAAAGCTATTACTTTTTTGGCCCTCAGTTATATCTTGTCTTCATGTCCAGAAGCAGATTTCACACATAGTGCTTACTTACAAGTCCACATAATTTTAAAACATGAGAAGATAAGTTTGGGGCTATTAAAATACTGTTCCAGGGTTCGTTTATAAGACATTTGTTTGGAGCTAAGTCCATGAATATCCAATAATGCTATGTATTTTTCCTTTGCTATAGCCTGCTCAAAATTTTCACAACCAACTGATCAATGGAAGATCAAGTTGAGCAGAGAGCTAATATGAATGTGAAAACATAAATTTAAAAAATGTATCTATAAACCAAGAACAGAGTCTGATATGAAATAGACAAACTTTAATAAGGAAAAATGCAAAATCCGGTAGTTAAAAAGCATGATGGCAAAACTGAAGGGTAGAAGGAGGCAGGAGTTTTTGCAAAATAACCAGGGAATTTTAATTTCAAATTAAATATAAGCCAATAGTGCAATGCAACCGATAAAGGGAAAAATCAAATACAACTGATCAAGTTGGAAAACAGTGAGCTATTGGGCTTCATTAATCCACAAAAGGAAATATGTGGTAAAGTTGGAATCACACCTGGCCTATTTATACAACTTTCAGGCCACACATTAAGGGGAACATTGGCAAACTGATCTTCTGCCTGGATGTTTTATCCATTATTAAAAGGGGAATATTGAAGTCTACCACTATTATTGTATTGCTGTCAATTTCTCCATTCAGATATGTCAATATTTGCTTTATATATTTAAATGCTCTAATATTGAATATGTATATACTTATAATTGTTATATCTTCTTACTGAATTGATCATTTTATCATATAATAACCTTTATCTCTAGAGACAATTTTCAATTTTAAGTCTGTTTTGCCTGACATAAATATAGCCATTTCTGCTTTCTTTTTGTTACCATTTTGGAATATCTTTTTCTATCTTGTCACTTTCAGCCTATGTGTATCTTTACATCTAAAGTGAGTTTCTTGTAGATAGCAAGTCACTGGATCTTGTTTTCTTCATAATTCAGTCTTGACGTATTGTTATATTAGTTCATTTTCACAGTGCTATAAAGAAATACCCAAGACTAGGTAATTTATAAAGGAAAGAAGTTTAATTGACTCACAGTTCCGTATGGCTGTGCTGGGGGAGGTCAAGTAACTTACAATCATGGCAGAAAGCAACGGAGAAGTAAGTACCTTCTTCACAAGGCAGCGGGAAAGATAAAACGAAGGGAGAAGAGCCTCTTATAAAAATCTCCAGATCTCCTGAGAACTCACTCACTATCAAGAGAAAAGCCTGGGGGAAATCACCCTTATGATCTAATCACCTCTTACCTAGTCCCTGCCGTGACAAGTGTGGATTACAGTCAGAGATGAGATTTGGGTGGGGACACAGAGCCAAACCATACTGCTTGTATATTTATAAGAATTCATCAATTTCTTCTATATTATCCAATTTTTGGCACATAATTGTAAATAAAAGTCCCTTATGATCTTTTATATTTCTGAGGCTTCTATTACAGTTATTTTTGTCCCTATTCATCAAGGACTGAGGCCCCTACAAATCCCCTCAATTCTCCTGCATTTAAGTGAGTGTTCTTAAAGAAACCTTTGTTCCCAAAAGATTTTTAAAAACCATATTTACTGTAATATTATCAAGATATTACACTAGGAGCCATACTTTACCCATGTTTTCTTTGGTTTGTTGGTTCCTAATTTATAACTATGGGGTAGTAAATGTGGTATGGAATTTTAGCAAAGTAGAAATTAAGCCAAATTCATTTATCCTTCAGCACAGCATATTTCTCAAAAGTTTCCTATGGAAACTTTCTTATAAAGATGGAATAAATCTGAGTATTGTCCAGTCTGGCTCTTTCATTATTCAGATGAATAAATTGCATTACATGGAGGTGAACAGATTCGTACAAGACAATACAGCTAATAAGAACTTACTTTCATATTCCTCCAGAAATCATTTCATTTGGTAAGAGGGAATACAGGATAATGCAGAAATTATAGGATATGGCAAGGATATAACAGCACAAAACACTAAGAAGATGTGGTTGTCTCATAATCATGAAGATCAGAATAACGAGGCTACTTAACATTGTTTCACCAATTTCTAGTGCAGTGTACAGTAAATTTTTACAAGGGGGAAGAATGAACAGACCCATTTTACTGAAATATTTCATACATATACGAAATTGAAAGATAAATGAGACACAATACAGTTATAAGGAAGATGGGAAGATGAGATTGATAAGTTCCTAGATAAATAAATATTGTTGACTGAACCTATAGAATTAATACAGGATTAATTAAGTATTAATATCTATTAGAAATTTTTGCAGAGATAACTTAAGCCTCAAAAAAGGTTGGAAATATGTAATTATGTACATAAGGTATCACACGACATGCTCTCAAAAAGTAAATAATTTGAATTTTGATTTGAATAAGATATGCATTAATTGTATAATTATTTTCTTAGTACATTTTGAAAGTTTTGGGAAAACAGAGCCAAATCTTTGTATAGTTCCCTATCCTTATCCTAGTGGAATGTCTTGCATGTAATAAGCTTTGGATAAATACTTATTAAAAACACTAATAACGGTTTGAAGAGAAGAATGACGTCAATGCAAATAAAGGATAATAATTATGATCTCAGGGCAAAGAGGAGGATTAGAAAATCAAAATTTTTAAAAAACTGATTATCTAGAGAGCAATATTCTGGGAATGCAAATGTTTCTATTGTTGAAAAAATGTACCCTATAATCAAGAAAAGTAGGTCAATAGTTCCTATGGCCTTAAAGAATTCTACAGTCTTACGATTTTATTCTCTATTATTCCATGCTTAAATAGTCTAATCTATTGATTTGTCTGCTTTTTATAACAGGAAAAGAGAAAAAAAACACATTCACGAATATTCTGCAAAATAAACACACCATTATTCACTAATAAATTGTCTTTCTCTTATACCTGGGGATGCCAGTAATATACACCTTTACTTTAGGACCTATCTTGTAGCCCTGAATGATTTGTCTGTTAAAGGTTCTAAATTTCACCATTGTTAGAGAAGAAAGATTCAAACCTGAGCTAGCTTAAATAATGTCTGCAACTCACCAAAAAAATTCTTATCTATTGGAAATGACCTAACATAAAGTAAGAAATGATCGAACACAAACTACATTTTATGTCAAGTGAAGGAGACAGAAGAATGTAAAAGTTATATCTCCATAGGAGGTGTGTGGAATGTAAAATATCTTGTGTGTGGGCAGTAAATACCTTGGAGGTGTGTGGACAGTAAAATACCTTGTCGAAAGGATATATTCAGTTCTATTAGATTAGAGGAATTCATCCAAAAAGGATTATAAAACACCAAACAAATTAAAAAGTGGGATAATTATTAATTCTAGGGAAACAGCCATTTGTTTCAGAAAAGAAAGTCATTGTAGTGTACTATGTAGTATGCTGTAAACAACAAAATTTCCATCTAAATAGTAAAAGAAATTGATTAAATAATAACAAAAATATGATATAACTAAATTGAAAAATGTAAGCAAGGATGAAGTAAAATATGTTGGTGAGCAAGGCTATGATAAAAGCTGAGTCCTCATCATCCAAGGTAGAATATCAAAACTTACTGTCTCTAAATTTTTTAAAAAGATAAAAATACATTTAAAAACAGAGGCAAAATTAGAAGAAATAATTTGAAGAGCTGAAAAAGTTGTATGAAAAAGTGTCATCTGTGTATAGGAAAGGCTGGGGCAGGAGACCTTGATCATTCTTTATCAGCCTTGACTTTTTTAAATAAAAATTTTTAAAAAGCAGGTGATGCTTCTGGAAACCTCGGTGAAGAATGATTTATTTCAGAATGTATAACACTAAAGCAGAAGTTCATTCTTAATGTGTTCTCCTATTATATAGAAGTATTTAGACTTCTAATCTGGGGAAAAGAGAAAAAAGGACATGGCTTTCAAATAGAAACTTAGCAAAATGAGTAAGAAGAGTCATTAAGCACTTTGATTAAATAAGTAAATTACACATGGAAATACACTCTGGCATTCTTTTTTATTTATGCTCCAAAATATAGGCTTCTGGCATGTTGTAAAATGTATTTCTCCATTGTTATTTCTTTCTGGTCTTCAGATTTACTCAGACTTTTGCCACTATATCTGCTAAAAACTGAATAGAATATTACCACAAGATGGCACCTTTGAACATATTTCAAAATGTTGATTATGAACATCAAATGCCTCCAACTGAAATGAACAGTGAAGACACCTGTTATTCCTTTTCTGGTTTTAAAAAACGTTCATGTGATTCTTGAAAGCAGAAGAAATGAAATTTTCATTTGAGTAGAAATGGGTTTGTGTGATTAATAATCTCCACATGGCTGAAATTTCCAACTAAATAACAATGACAAAAATGTATCTTCTTTATCGACTAAAACTCTCTTGTATACATTATCCCCCTTCATCATGATCACTGATCATAAAGCCCTTCCGGGCCACAAAATGAAGAGTGAGTGGCATATCACCCAAATGGTTCCACGTACAATAGATGATTATGCCAGGACCAAAGACATTGATAATTTCTGACAAGGGTGAAAGGGCTAGCCAGCTCTGGGAATCGTCTGCATTCAGCTGCTGAGAATACAAATACTGAAATCACAGTTAACTGTGTACATGTACACTTAAAGATTTCAAAACTAGCCTGAGAAGCCTAAAAAAATTATTTTAACTTACCTTGAAAAAATTATAATTTAGAGAAAAATTGCAAGAATAAAATAAATTCCCATGGACACTGCACCTAGATTTAACAATTGTCAGTATTTTGCACATTTGCTTTTTTACTCTATCTCCATGCATGCCTATGTGCGTATCATTATTATGAACATTTTTCCTGAACAAAATTGAAAGTAAATAGCAGATATTATGACCTTTTATCCCTGTTTTAGTATGTGCCTCCTAAGAGCAATGGCATTCCCTTACATAATCACAATACAACTGTCAGGAAATTTAAAATGGATGCAATACTATGTTCTAATATATAGCCCATATTCAAATTTTCCAGTTGTTTCAGTAGTATCCTTTGGAGTGATTTTTTAAAATAACAAACTCAACATTTTGAAGAAGAAATTAAAAAATGGCACATAAAAATATAAACAACATAAGGGAAACTTAAAGAGTAGAAGAAAAGGCCAAGAGAGGACATTCTATCAAATTTCCTTTAGGGGAAATAAGTCAACATCTGTTTGTGATAGGCAACATGATAAGACTAATTCTATATTCAAACAGCCCTAGTTTGGCTTCCTGTCTCTTCCATTTATTAGCAATGTGTCCTTGAGCAAGTTGCATTACTTCTCTAAGCCTGTTTTCTTTATCTGTAAAATAAAGGCGGTTCTTACAAAATAGTGATTTTTAGAACATCAGAAGTGATAATGGTAAGTATATCTCCCAATACCTAAAATGTAGTACTTGCTTAACAAATTTTAACTTTTATTCCTAGAATAATGAAAACTTAACTCTTTCCAGCTACCTCCTTAAAAAAATGATTTGGAAAAAAAGAATTTATCTCTTGGTTCCCAAGTTAAATCTCTTGGTTCGTGATACCATGTTGCACACGGGTTTCCATCTGAACACTCTCATCCCACTGCCATTGAAGGGCATGTCACAGCTAATTATCTGTCATCACGCCCTGTTGCATAGGCAGTACCTTGCCTGCTGCTGCTGGGACCTCAGTGCTGTCTGTTGATTCATTTGCATTGCCTCCTGAGTGTCTCTGCTGTGTATGGATCACACAGAATGAAGCTCAGGGGCCAACTGGCAGGCCCATCTGAATTGTGGAACATATCTAAGTCCCCTCCTCATTACTTAGTGAGTAATGTGGGGGATGTTCCCTGGTTCACACACCCTGGCAGTGTAAATGGTCATCTGCTGCCTCATCTGCTTCTCCGCGTCTGGGGTGCAGGACCAGATCGGCTGAGGAACTTTGCTAGCACTTATGCAAATAGCTGTGGGAGCTCCTGGGTTTGGCAACATTCCTTTCAGTAGCCTCATTTGTGGCTGCGCCGTCTGCCTCTTTTGTGCTTTCACAGCTTTGTGAGGCAAGCTCAAAATAGATCTCTCCCATACTCAAGTTGTATTTATGTCCCTTTACCATGGAAAGATTGAAACCCTTCCCAATACGTTTAGTGCTCCCTGTTCGGTGTCTGAGTGACTGTGATGTTTCAATTTAAACTCTAAAAGAACATGTATTTGAGGCAAAATCAGACTATGCATATCTAGTTCTGATTCCCCAAATTAGACTTAAAATATATAAATAAATTCTTACAGCATGTGTAGACATAGAACAAG
The DNA here is from genome assembly GCF_000001405.40 of Homo sapiens. NCBI lineage: Eukaryota > Metazoa > Chordata > Mammalia > Primates > Hominidae > Homo > Homo sapiens. Next base: position 12,719,189 of record NC_000009.12, read on the forward strand.
TCCCAAACTGTTAGGCATATATGTATAATACCATAATTTTGTTCCAATACAAACTTCATTCTTTCAAATAAACTGCATAATATATACTTGTAAAAAAATCTGCCTTCAATTTATTTTAAAAAATTATCTTCAAACTACTGACTTCAGAAAGTAGCTGTGGCCATTCAGAACAGGGCATTACTGAGTGACAAGGATACTGTTTAATCTTGGTATGAATTCTTATTTCATTAAAGGATGAGGTTTCTTAATTTTTCCTTCTCTTTCCTCCATATTACTCTATACCTTTTACTATGAGATACTCCTATAGAAACTAAATTTAAAGTCTACCTAGAAAAGAAAAAAAAAAAAAAAAGCATTGTAAATAAGCCCCAGCCATGAGAGTTTTATCTATCTACAAGCGGCTGTAAGAACCACTGGAAATAAATGATACCTAAAGCTGTTTTCCTCTAGGTGTCAGTATACTCCCAGAACTTTTAAAGCTTAGATTTAATGAAAAAAGTAGGAGCACAGTAAAATAAATGTTTACTGCTAGTCCATACTATTTATACATTTGAAAGATTTTTTTTGAAAACTGAACTAAATTTGCCACTATGAATGTTCATCTGCAGATGACAGAATAGATTTTGTACTAGAAAGAACAAGATATGGCTATGATATATTTCTACAAACACACATTGTTTTTTCCATCTTTTTTTGGCATTGGAAAGCCCTATCATTCATTATTGGCTATCATAAGTTACCTTGTCCTGTGGACAGACATTAACATTCTAAAATTTCAATAAACTTTGTAGATAATTATTGATACCCATTACAATAATTGGGCTCAATTTAAAATGCTCATTGGCAGGAAGTCTTGCATTATACCTTTATCACCAATGGCGTAGATTTGTTTAATTAGACTAACACAGAATTTTTAAAATAACACAAGATACAAATATGTTAATGAGTGTGTGACTGACATTTATCATAACATGTATTCTATTAAAACACTGTCATCCACATTCCTCCAGTCATAGAGAATCCTTCTCTATTTTCTCTCCAAATTAAGTTTCCTGAGGAGGCTGTGTATCAACTGGATGACTCCCAGTGATCAAACCAGGAAAGTAATAGTGACACGCCTGCACCGATAGTTTCAGTGTATTTAAGAAATTCATTACGCCCTATTTTGTAATTTTTCTCCAAGCTTTATTTTGAAAACTGTCAAAGCCCCAGAAATCTGAAAAAGCAAAGCAAAACAATGAAGACTTGTATAGACTATTTATTTCAACAGTTGTGAATATTTTGTGACATCATATTTCTCTAAATAAATACCTTGACATGTAATTTAAGCAAAACATGTTTCTGAGGAGATCATATAAATTATTGTTAATCAAAATCTCAGGTAATGTAAATAGCTCTGTCAGTTTTCCATGAAGCCCTCAATCCAATTCTTATATGACACACAAGGAATGTATGGATAGATGTATGTGTCTAAATTCCTGCTGGTATGATTGTAGTCCTCAAAAAACGCTGGAGATCTGGATCAGGTAGATAATCACATACAGAGCAATCAGGAAGCAAAGCCAAGTTGATAGGATCTTTGAGATCCTTTTCAGAGCTCCTACTTCAAAGCCAGCACAATCCCTACCCTCCGAAGAGCCAATCAGTGCACTTTACGTCTCATATCTCTACCATTACTCTGTTACCTGAGCAAAGTCTGAAAACCACCACTGGAAAATTCAGAAATATAATTCTAATGACCTCACAGATAAACCTCTCCAATTATGGCAAAATCAGGTACCTCTCTGATCACAGACAGGAACTTAGAAATAACTAAAAACTAAAAAAAAAAAAAAAAAAAAAAATTACCATGATGGAAGTGACTCTGCCAACTATAATGGATGAATATTTATTCATTTCTTAGTTTGGATGGGTGACAAATTATTAGCCTTTCTTAGGCACCAACTCTTAGTCTACTCAAGTTTCTTCCATAACCTTATGACTAACCTAACTGATCATGTCACTCTCATAGTTCAAGATTAAATTTCATCTATCAGTGTTCTCCAGAGAATAAGGTTGGGACAGTGTCAACTTTTTTTGAGACTTTATTTTGTACTTTGTCAAAACATTAAATAATTTTAATTCTGCTTAAGTAAATTTTTTTTAAGAATATCTTTGAAGATCTCTAGTGAAATTATTTTATAAGTTCAAAGTACTGTTTTAGTTTTATATTTGCTACTGTAACAAATTACAACAAACCTAGTGGCCTAAAACAAGACAAATTTATTTTTTTCACTTCTGAAAGCTGTTTTTACAAAGTCACCGGGCTGACACCCATGCATGGTCAGGCCTGTACTGTCTCGGGAGGTCTTTTTCTTTGCCTTTTCTAGCTTCTACAGAAAGTGTCATACCTTGCATTCCTTGGTTCATGGCCCTTTCTCTATCTCCAAAGCCAGTAGGATCATATCTTCTCTGACTCTGCTTACATGTCCTTATGTCACATGGCCTTCTTTGCCTCTGTCAAATCTCCCTCCATCTTTACTTTATGCGAAAATTTGTGATTGCATTTAGGACCCACCCACCAAATAATCCAGGATAATCTCTTCCTTTGAAAGTCCCTAATTTAATCACATCTTCGAGGTCCACTTTATCACATAAGGTAACATTCACAGGTTCCAGGTATTAGGACCTGAACATCTTCGGGGGTCATTTTTGAGCTTACCATAAATACTCTCTTTGTGTGCCCATTTTGAGAAATTGGCTCAGTTATTACCAATAGATAAAAATGAGGCCAGTTCCAAATTCTTCATTTTTCTTCATTAAACTGCTGTGAAAAGTTTATTCTTAGACAGTTTTCTGGCAATGATAGAAGACACTGAATCAAGACTGTAAAACTGACTGAAGAATTCTGCTTTTACCTCATAAATCTTCCCCCAAATTTCCTGCTCTCCAATTATTTTTCCTCCTCTTTACATGGAATCTTTTTATGCTATATTTCTACTTAGAATACTTCTATGATAGACATTTTGGTTTCACCAATTAGCAGAGAATTTCAAATTCCTCCTCTAAACCTAGTTTGTTTATTGGTTTGCTTTCCTTTTCTTTACATGTTCATGTAATTAAGATGGCTTTAGTAGTCACAGCTTGCACAAGAAAGGTTGACTCACCTGCCCGTGTGAAAACATCTTTCAGATTTAAGAAGAGTCCCAAGGGAGCATCCCGAGTTTATTGCTCTTTGCAGGCTATAAGCTCTCCTTAAGTGATCTCAACCATTTTCATACTTTTAATTACCTTCCCTAGGCTAATAATTCCTGAATCTCTATATTTAGCCTTAGACACTGCCATGAGCTTCAATTTCACATATTTAATTGCTGGCTAGAGAAATCCATTTGACTAGCTCTCGAGACTTTCAAATTCCAAATACCCAAAATGAAACTATTTCTTTTCCCTATAAAACATGCCTCATCCCTCCTCAGCTAAAAGTGCTACCATCTATGAGACACTTCAGGAGAAACCAGGCAGTCAATTTGGATTCCTCCTTTCTCTTTAATCTGCCAGTTGGCCACCCCACCTTTATAATGAATATACAACATGTCTGCTCATGAATCTTCAACAAATATTTTTCAAGTCTCTTCTCTCTCGAATTTTTCACCACTGCCTAGCTAGACCTCTGCAACCCTTTAAAAAGGCCTACAACATTTTCATTTCCTGAAACTTTCAGTATGTTAACATACTGAAAAAAAATGCTAAGTTAGTTATCACTGTATATATATTAAATACTAAACTGAATGAACTAATGGTTTCAATGCAAGTAAAATGGTGCTATTCATGAGAAAATTATAGGGCTTATAAAAAATTCAGACTGCGTTACGGGAAATATGACTAATATTGAAATACAAGTTTAAAATTGTTTGATAATATGTTCTTTCAAAACTGTCAGTGTTTGTCTGAGATTGAATGCATACTTTCACTTGAAGATAATATTAGATGTCTATATTTGAGAGTCTCTGAATGTGAGTCCAATACCACACGGCCTTTCTGTAACTTCCTCTGTCCTGCCTCTCCTTCACTGATAGAACTGAAGCCTGATCCACCATAGTTTTCTCACTGCCTCCAAACAATGCTCCTCTCTTCCAAGGCTTGATTTACTAAATCTTAACTATCTCCCTGCCTCACTTAACAGAGTAAAGGACAATCTCAACATGGTATTTTATGCCTTCTGGGACCAGTCTGTGATAATTTGGCAAGCTCATCTTCTGTCTCTTCCTCTTCCCAAATTTTAAGTTCTAAGCCTATGAAATGTTTGCTTCTCTGAAAGACCCATACGTCTTCATACTTCCAGGCTATTGTTCATGCTGTTCCCGCTAGTCTACTGTTTATCCACCTAACTACTTCTCAGTAGTCCACCAGGCAAGAGTCATTCACTCCACATAAACTTCCCTCATGACCTTGCTGGGTGCAGTCCTTTGCAATGCAATTTGTCCAAGGCGTATCCTTGACAGTTTCCACACCTTCATGCTTGTGATATTGTGTTCTTGGTGGGCAGAAACCATGTCTTACTTATTTTTGTGACCAGATACCCTGCAGATGATCTAAGACAGGATGGAAGCAAATTGATATTTATCAAATTGAACAAAACTGAGTGAACTTGGAAGGCACTGATTTCACAACTTCTAACTTCCACAAGGTGGCAATATTTTATTCTCAATAGAGAGCAAATCACAAAAATAGGAACTTAATGCAAGGATGGTGTTCAGTATAGATATATAGGTATGTCATTATTTTAGAATATATATATATCGAATATATATATAATAATATATTGAACTCCAGTCACGTGTATGTGCCTGTGTAGAGTGAAGCTGTTCTCCCAGCTACCCATTTATACTAGTGCAAACTGTCAGCGGACAAGTTGATATTTCCTTTACAATCTTTACAAAAACATAGTTGAAAAAATATTAAATTAGTGGGCAGTGGTTAGAGTAGATCTTCCTAAATAAAAGGGACCTTGTACCCTTTTCATCCATAGTGTTATCACCCAAAGATTTTCAAAAGTAGATGTGACACTGAACTTCAATTCTTGGTATTAGTTGGGCGTGGCGGTAGTAGTAGTCCCAGCTCTTGAAAGGCTGAGGTAGGAAGAACAGCCTGGGTCAGAGTGAGATGCTGTCTCTAAAAATTTTTAATTAAAGAAAAATGTGAATTCTGATCGTTGGGATAATTCAAGTATATTCCCAACTAGTGAGACAGGAGGATGGAAAAATTTGGGGGGTTTATGAGCAAGGAGTTCTTGCCCAGTACAATATGAACCCTCTGACATTCACTGCCTACAGTATGAAAACTTGATAATAATGCTTGTCTTTAAACTATGTTGTGAAGGATTGGACATTATGCAATTTATAATACATTTAAAGTATCCAGCACAAAGAAGAAACTGAGAATCTGGTGACAATAATAACTATTAGAGACAGTAGGAGGGGTCAAGAAATGGGAATTTCATCTGGTCTTAAAGTTTAAATATTTTAAGCTGCTTTTTTTTTTACTTCAATAGACTACTTGGGTTTGGATCTGTTTCCCCCACGTTTTGATGTATGTCACCTAAGCCTCATTTTTCTCAGCTATAAAATAAACCTCTAGCAATCCATATTAGGTAGCCATAGATGAAACAAGAAACCTGCGTGTGTGTGTGGTGTGTATGTGTGTGTGCGTGTGTGTGTGTGTGTATTTAAATAAAAACATGACTACGTAGAAAAGTATCCCTTTTTAATATTCCTTAGTATTCACCTTGTCCAGTTGGTTGCTGGCTAGTCTAGCTAGCAGACTGCTTACCACTTCTATGGTTGGAACACAAAAGCATAGGGAATTGAATATCTGAACAAATAAATATCTCCCCCAATAAGTAATTAATTCCTAAAATTCCACAGTTAAAGATTCATTCTTTTGATTTAAAACCTTTGACACCTGGTAAACACATGCTTAGGCAGGTGACTCTTGAAGTCTTATTTGCATCTAAGTATGAGTGATCTTACTAGAATCCGTCCCCTTAAACAGATTTTGAAAAGAGGAGGGTGGAGGAAGTATAAAACCTCCAAAAACCTTGAGGGGGATGGATAGGGGTTTGGGGGTACACTAAGTCCATCTTTTTTTTTTTTTTTTGAGATGGAGTCTCGCTCTGTCACCCAGGCTGGAGTGCAGTGGCGCGATCTCGGCTCACTGCAAGCTCCGCCTCCCGGGTTCACGCCGTTCTCCTGCCTCAGCCTCCCCAGTAGCTGGGACTACAGGCGCCCACCACCATGCCCGGCTAATTTGTTGTATTTTTAGTAGAGACGGGGTTTCACCGTGGTCTCGATCTCTTGATCTCGTGACCCGCCCGCCTTGGCCTCCCAAAGTGCTGGGATTACAGGCGTGAGCCACCGCGCCCGGCCTCCATCATTTTATATATACCTCTCAATCATGCTGAAGTTCATTTCTAAGTACATTTATTCTAATGTTATAGATAAAATGGAGCTCAGAGAGGCCAAGTAACATCAAGTAGCAGAGATTTTATTCAGAGGGAAATATGTATGCCCAAATTATATAAAGTCATGCACCACATAAGAACGTTTTGGTCAATGACAGATGGCATATACCATGATGGCCCCACATGATTATAATAGAACTGAAAAATTCCTATGGCCTAGTGACATCATAGACCTCTTAAGGTCTTAGTACAACACATTATTCACGTGTTTGTGGTGATACTTGTGTAAACAAATCTACTGTGCTGCCAGCCATATAAAAATATAGCACATATAATTATATACAGTATATAATACTTGACGATAATAAACAACTATGTTATTGGTTTATGTATTGATTATACTATACTTTTTGTCATTATTTTGGAAGGTACTCCTACTTATATAAAAAAAAGGTTAACAGCAAAACAGCCTCAGAAGAAGGCAGTGTTATCATAGGAGGTGACTAACAGCTCCATATGTGTTATTGCCCTAAAGAACTTCCAGTGGGACAAGATATGGAGGTAGAAGGCAGTGATATTGATGATCCTGACCCTGTGTGCCTAGGCTAATGTGTGTGTTTGTGTCTTAGGTTTTAACACAAAAGCTTAAAAGTAAAAAAAAAAAAAAACTTAAATATTTTAAAAATAGTAAAAGTTTTATAGAATAAGGATAAAAGGAAAAAAGATGTTTGTGCTTTTATAAAAATATTTGTGTCTTAAGATAAATATTATTACAAAAGTCTAAATAATTTTTAAAAATTGAAAAATTAATTAATTAAAGTTATAGTTAGCTAAGGTTAATTTACTATTGAGAAATAAATTTTTTTTAAATTTCGTGTAGCCTAAGCATACAATATTTAGAAAGTCTACAGTAGCATACAGTAATATACTAAGACTTCACATTCACTTCACATTCACCAGTCACTCACTCAGAGCAACTTTTAGTCCTGTAAGGCTTCATTCATGCTAAGTGCCTTTACAGGTGTACTGTTTTACAAATATTTTATACTGTATTTTTACTGTGCGTTTTCTATGTTTAAATACACAGCTGCCTACAGTATTCAGTAGAGTAACGTGCAATACAGGTCTGTAGCGTAGGAGCACTTGGCTTTATCATATAGCTTAGGTGTATAGTAGACTAGACCCTCTAGATTTGTGTAAGTACAGTCTATGATATTCACTTGATGACAAAATTGCCTAAAGATGCATTTCTCAGAACATATTCTCATCATTAAATGATACATAATGTAGTTCCAAAGTTCATACTATGAGACCAAGGTAATACTGACTTTATCAGCACAGTTCTGTGTTAGATACTCTGCCACTCCCATTTCACATTTCCACAAGGCTGACAGGTTATGGATAATTAAAGGAAAGAAATTGTTTAACTAGGAAATCCTTGTTAAAATGGCAACCCTGGGCTCATACCTGTAATCCAAGCACTTTACAAGGCCGAGGTGGGAGGATCACTTGAGCCCAGCAGTTGACGGCCAGCCTGGGCAACATAGTGAGACCCCATTTCAAAAAAAAAAATGGCAACCCCAACTTTACAGCTCTTATGCATACATCTAGATTTCTCCACCTTATCATTCCACACATATAAATACGTTTAATATATGTAAGAAACGTGAATGTGTTTTAAATTCTAGCCTATCTTTTGGTAGTTATGAGTGTTCATAGAACATACCACAAGTAGTAGTTACTTTCTGAAATTTTCTTCCAACAAAAGTTATTTCACTTGTTATCCCAGCTGTTTTCTTTCCTCACTAACAGCAACTAAAATTTTAGGTAATGTTGTGGAGAAAGCTAAAATGATACTATAGTTTCTTTCTTTACAAAATTAAATATGGAAATTGAAAACGACCTCTGTTAATAGTTTCCAAAATTTCACTGTCCCAGCTTGACATAACTACTAGCATTTTTCAAAAGCGATGGCTCTATCATGAGGTTTTCAGCATTTTTGTCACTGTCTTGACAGATGGTAAAGTGCATTTCTACTAGCAAAAAGGACAGAAGAAAAGACATCAAAATTTTTAGTAAGCAAATAATGTTTCTTAGTGCAATGCCAGGCCAGATCTCATAAATCATCTTTAAAAATCAGCCACTTTGCTGAAATTCTACAATGACGCAGGACCTGTTCAGTCATCATGATCCCTAACACTCTTTTCTTATTTGTCTACAAATATGGTTTTCTAAATTGCTTTCTTTAGTCAACTAATCAAATAGACTATCAAACCCCTTTCTTAAGTAAAGAATTTATAGAATGTGGCAAGGGTTTTATTTATTTGTTTATTGCTTCAATTCGTTCAACAAATAATATATTACAAGCTTACTGGGCATAAGGTACTAGGAGTTTACAAATATATGTAAGGCGTGGGTCTTGGTCCCTAAAAATGTATTATATAGGAAACTTGAATATAAAAAACAACTCATGTTTAATAAACAAGTCCCCAAATAACCTTGTTGTGTTGAGCCCCACCAAGTCATATTAAGAGTCAAATGTCTACAGGGACCAGTAGGTAATAGAAATGAATGAAATGCATCGGGAAACACCCTTTTAAAAGGGCAGCTACCACTCAACCTAAGCTAATTGTTATTATCCAAACATTTGTATGGGAGAAAAAATATATCTTCCTTCTACCCATCTTAGTTTCATTGCCTGGCACTCCTGTAACAAAACAAAACAAAAAGAAAAAAAAACAGATATACAAGATAAAAGGATAATTTACTTAATATAAGTTTTACATGACACAGGAGGCTTCACAAGAAAACAAAGACCTGAGGAAATTATTAAGCCTGTGTGTTTTTATTCTAGATTTGATGAAGAGTGGACAGTAGTGGAGAGATATGGTAGGGTGAACGGTATGAGCTCTATTACGTGAAGGAACTGTGGGAAACTTAGCAAGGCCTGCTTATTTGGATCCTTCTGAGTGTTCCATCCTCTTGAGATAAAGATGTTTTTTTCCCTCCAGGTATAGGAGGGCATCTTTCACATGAGGGTCTTAAGACCTGCTTAAGAAAGACGGGTGGGGAGAAAATCAGAGACCTTCCTGTTTTTGCCATTTTCTCAAACTTCTTCAGGTTAAAATGTTCAATATGTCAAAGTGCCAAATTTTGGGGTAACGTGTCCTGGACCTCGTCACATGCAGGTCCAAGATTGTCAGGTTTTCTTATTTTTCAAAAGAAAATTCATATTTTTATGTGGAAACCTCCCAATATTTTATTAGCATCACCTGAAGATATTTGTAAATACCATGTAAGCTTTAAAAAACATACAAAAACAAAAGAACAAGAACAAAAATATCAGCTTGTAAATCTATATAGTCTCAAAAGAGAAAGAAATCATATCTGACCAGCATGACCTAGAAAGGCTGGATGCAAAACACAATATTTTAGTTGTGTCTTAAAAAGCTGAAAAAGTTTTCAAAGGATGGTGAGAAAACTAAGAACTTTAAAAGGAGACAAAATTTGAAGAAAGAGAAGGCAGCTGGAAAATCTATTTAGAATTCAGAGAGGTGTTTTTATTAAAAAAATACATCTTTAGAAGTCTCTATGTAGAAATACTCTAAGTGTCTGTTGACGGACAAATGGATAAAGAAAATGTGTGTGTACATATACATAATGGAACACTATTCAACCATAAAAAGCAGAGCCTACCACTTGTGACAACATGGATGAACCTGGAGGATGCGAGGTTGAGTGAAGTGAGCCAAACACAGAAGGACAAATACTGTATGATCTCACTTATATGTGGAGTCTAAAAAAGTGAAACTAATGGAAGCAGAGAGCACAAGGCTGACTGTCAAGAGCCCGGAGGGAGGAAGAAATAAGGAGATATTGGTCAAAAGGCACAAACTTTCAGTTATGAGACAAATAAGCTCTGGGAATCTAATGTATAGCACAGTGACTACAGTTAATAGTGTTGTATTGTATACAAAGAGAGCAGTTCTCACCACAACACAAAAATGGTGACTATGCAAGATGAGGAATATGTTAATTAACTTCATTATAGTAATCGTTTCACAATGTATACATATATCAAATATATACACCTAAATATATGCCATTTTATTTGTCAATTAAATCTCCATAAAGCTGGGGAAAAAAGAATTCTTTATGAGGTAATCATAATGATCTATTGATCCTTTAAAAATTAATGATGAAGATACAATAGTGCATTAAGATTTCATCATTTTGAAAGAGATGTTTTTTCTTTTTGTTAAAAAACGAAGTGAGTTTAATCGAGAAAATAAAGCTAAGCCAAGATAAGAAAATGTTATTTGTTATCCCGTCACCTAAATACAACTGCTAAAATTTTGTTAAATAAAAATAATAGCAAAAATGTACTGCATATTTACTATATTCCAGACACTGTACTACTGCTTTTCCAGTCTTCGCATAATTTTTAAGTATAAATATATATTGTGAGTAAAAATAGATTATAGTACATATATTGTTTTTTAAATTACTTTTTACACAAAAATAGTATGAATATAATTCTATGACATTATAGTTTCTTCTACAGTGTCACCCTTATCTCCTTCTTACTATGCCATTGTAGTTGCAATTATATAACCGTTTCTCTTGGTGGGTATCTAGAATGTTTGTAGTATTTCCCTCTGTAAAGTATCAGCTTTGATGGATTCAACCAAAAGAAAAAGAAGAGCCAACTCAAACCACTTAAACAGTATTGAGTGGCTTGTTAAGATTAACATAACTGATTAAAATCCAGAGGTAGGGCACTGGTTAGCTGTGATTCAATTAGAGCTCAGTCTCCACTTCTCTGAAATTCTCTTGGCCCTACTCTTCTCAAAGGGTTTGCTTAGTCCTTTGGCTGGTGAGAAAAAAAAAATGATACCATCAGTTCTGAGCCTCACATTCAAACACAGCAACATTCAGAGGAAGAGACACTGCCTCTTCTAGTGCCCCCAGCAAATGCCCTCTTAATCCTCATATATTCATTTCTGAACCATTTCCTGTGATTGGAGAAAAGCTCTCAATGGGTAAGTGTAGGTCATTGTTTCTCAATAAATGACTGGAGAAAGGGGAATTTCCTAAGGCCAATAAGGCTCAGCTTTAGGACTGGGAGCAGGAAAATGTTAGCCCTGAATCAATATGGGTGACACAAATAAACGAATGTAAATGAAAAATCCTTGGAAAGGAGATAATTGGATAAGCAATCAATGGTTTTCATTACAATAAATAACAATATAACAAACACTATTAGAAAAAGAAAGATGAAGAGACCATGAGGTTGTCTACAGTCATTATTACCTTAGGATTTATTCCTAGAAGAAGAATAAATTGCTGGAGTAAAGGAGATATTTTAAAATGTAAAGTTGTGTGTGTTTTGTTTTATTTTGTTTATGCAGTGCCAAATTGTCAACCAGAATTGCTTCACCAATTTATACTTTTTTCAGCAGTCTGAGTTCCAGGAAAGAAAGGTCTATTTGGCTGACACAAAAGTGTAAGTGGTGTAAGTGGTTGATACTTGATAAGACTAGAAACAATCTTGGACTGAACAGTGGATATCCTTAACTGCCATAATGAAGGATTTTGACTTTAGTAAGAATTTAACTATTTAACTATTTTTTTACTTGAAATGCTACCTTTCCTAAAAGGGATTTTAAAGGGCTTAGAGTGAAAGAAATATATATATAATAAGATTAATTAAATATGAATATAGGCAAATGAGAAGCCAAATTTGAAAAAATATTTGCAAAAGACATATCTGATAAAGAACTGTTATCCAAAATATTTCAAGAACTCCTAAAACTCAACAATAAAAAATGAACAACCGTATTGAAAAATAGTCAATAGACCTGAACAGACACCTCACCAAAGAGGATGTGCAGAAGGCAAGTAATCGTCATTAGGGAAATGGAAATTAAAACAACAATGAGACGCCACTACACACCTATTAGAATGGCCAGATCCAAAACACTGACAACACCAAATGCTAATGGGATGTGGAACAATAGATACAATCATTCATTGCAAAATGGTACAGCCACTTTGGAAGAGAGTCTGCTGGTTTTTTACGAAGTTAAACATAATCTTACCATACAATCCTGCATTTTACTCCTAAGTATTTACCCACTAAAATAAACTGAGGCTTACACAAAACCTACATGTGGATGTGGATGTTTATAGCAGATTTATTCAAAATTGCCAAAACTTGGAAAAAGTCCTTTAGTAGGTGAATGGATAAACTGTGGTACACCCAAACAATGGAATATTATTCAGCAATGAAAAGAAATGAGCTATCAAGCCATAAAAAAGATATGGAGGATGCCAGATACAGTGGCGCATGCTGCACTAGGTTAGCATGAATAGGGTGACCTCCCTACGGGGAGCACAGGACTATCAAGTTGTCTAAGGAGGGGTGATCTGGACAAGCTCAGAGGCAGAACGGTTCAAACCTCCTATGTTGATCAGTAGTGGGATTGCATCTATGAATGACAGCTTCACTCTAGCCTTGGTAACATAGCAAGACCCCAACTCTGAAAAAAAAAATGGTGGAAATTTAAGTGCATATTACTAAGTGAAAGAAGCCAATCTAAAACTACTGTTTTCTGTATTATTCCCACTATATTACATTCAGGAGAACACAAAATTATAAGGACAGTAAAAAGATCAGTGGCTGCAAAGGATATAGGGAACAGAGAGATACACAGACAAAGCACAGAGGATTTTTAGGCAGTGAAACTATTCTGTATGATACTATAATGGTTGATACGTGTCATTACATGTTTGTTGAAACCCATGGAATACACAATGCCAAGAGTTAACCTAATGCAAACTATGAACTTTGGGTGATAATGATGCACCAATGTAGGTTTATTGATTGTAATACATGTACAGTCTGCAGTGGGGAATGTCAGTAGTAGGGAAGTTTGTGCATGTGTGAGGACAGGGAGTATATGGAAGCTCTCTACTTTTCTCTAAATGTTGCTGTAAACCTAAAACTGCTCTAAGAAATAAAGCATATATATATATATATATATATGTGTGTGTGTGTGTGTGTGTGTGTGTGTGTGTGTGCGCGCGCGCGTGTGTGTGTGTGTGTATATATATATACACACATATATATGAGGGTTTTTTTTGAAAAAGGAGTTTATGTGCTTTAGAAAAAGATTAATCCTACATTGTTGTTCAGAAATAACGGAAAGTAAATGAAACTCGCAGAAAGAAATGGGTAGAAAGCTACTGTAATTGTCTAGATAAGGATTCATAACATTTTAAATTAGGATGTCATCAGTAGACTACAATAGAATACCCATGGGAAATAGAAGAAACAATCAGATTTGCCCACTGACTAAATGCTGACCTGTTTGGGGCAAGGTCCCATTGAATGATCATGAAACTTGAGGAAAACCGGATCCAACTCCATAATTCTCGAGTGATGAAGAGTCACTTTAAGCTGATCTTTGTTTACCTTTTCAGTTTCATCTTCTATAACTTCTCAAGCATCTGTTTTTACTCAAGCATCCCTCTAAACAATACCATATTCTTTCATGCCTCTGTACCCTTGCACAATCTTTTCCCTAAGACTGAACAATCTTGCCCTGACAGAGCAGGTTAAAATATCAGCTTGGCCATTTATTGGCTGAATAACCTTGGACAAGTTAATTCCCATTTTGAATTTCACTTTTTTATTTATAAAATCGAAGCAACAACATAAAAATACACACCTCACAGGTTTCCCAAGGCTATTAATAGAGATAAAATGAAATACCAATCAGAGGGCCAGGAACATAGTCAATGCACAACAATATTATTTTTGCTTTTCCACTCACCTCTAGTAACCTCGTTTACTCTCTATCCAGCTCCCCTTAAATCCTGTTCTCATGAAAAGACCTGATAAAGTGATTTCTACAAATGCGTAAATAACTGATAACCCACAAAGTGTTTTTTTTGACTTATTTACCAGGTTGCATAGAATTTAAGTCCCCTAAATTCCATAACTATGGAATTTAAGCGTCAGGTGATGACTGCAGAAGGTACTCTCTCTTGCAGGGATTTCTCGTTCTCCTTGAATTTTCTCTACCCACTGTGTCCTCGTCCTCCAAAACTGACAGAACAAGCAAGCCTCTACTTCCTTACTACCCCCAAGCATCAAGCTCTTGCTGTCCTCATGATCGTACTGCACATTGTGTATACCTCCTTTATAGCAGGAATCAAACTATATTTCTGTTGTATGTATCTTCTTCCCCACCAGCCTGTGAGTTACTTGAAGAAAGGACATAGTTTTCCAAATTTGCAACCTAGGACCTTAAAAGAAACATGGAAAACCATAGATAATAAATAAACATTTATCAAATGAATGATACATAAATTAATGATGGCAAAACAGCAGGTATTTTACTAATTTAATACAAAAGAATTCTGGCCCTTTTTTTCTGGAGGCCATATCTGTGAACATAAATATTTGGGGACTATATTGAGATTGCCACAGATAAGTTCTGAACTATTTCATGGTTTCTTGTCAAGAGAAGGCATGGTCGTTTTTCTCTCCCCACCCATATTAGACCTCCACTGTGACCTTGAAATGCAAGGATTAGAGGGTGGTGCAGCTTGCAAAGAACCAAGTGACACCTAACTTTCCCTTTTTTATTATTTTCACTTCTAAAGAACTACCCTGATACTGTCAAGTCTCCTTCAGAAAAATGAGCTTTGTTGCACTATGTCACATGAATAGTATAGAAGACTGACAATGGCTCCCAAAGATATATTCCCCCTAATCCCAGGCATCTGTGAATTGTACCTTATTTGGTAAAAGGATTTTCCAGAGGTAATTAAGTCAAGGACGTTGAGATGAGAAGAGTATCCTGCATTCTCTGGGTAGGCTCTAACTGACATTACAAGTGTCCTTATAAGCAAAAGGCAGCAGGAGACTAGACACATATATACAGAGGAGAAGGCAATGTGAACACAGAGGTAAAGATCTGAGTGATGTGGCCACAAACCAAGGGATGTCTGCAGCCACCACACGGTGAAAGGCATGGAATGAATTCTGTCCCAGAACCTCCAGAGGGAGCACATCCTGTCAACAGCTTGATTTCTGATGCTGGCCTCCTTAATTGTGAGAGAATAAATTTCTCTTGTTTTAAGCTACCAAGTTTGGGATAATTTGTTATAGCAGCCACAGGAAACTAATCCAAATAGGAATTTATCTGAGTCAGGCAAGCCATCAATGATCTGAGTGACTTCAGAAATTACCAGCTTCCCAGTATTTCTCTTTTCCTACCCTTTCTCTGTTCAGTTATCCTTTTTCTCAATATTTGTTTCTCCTCTACTCCCTATAGTTCTCTATCACATCATTTTCACTTACTCTTAGTTGGTGTTATGTCACACTTTTAGCCTGCCATTATTCCTCACGTAATTGATTCCACAGCATGGAATTGCTCTTTTCATTCTTTCTGTGTTGTGCTGCCTCAAGCTGCCAGCTCATTTTATTATTTCCAGTTCAGAATCCTAAAGAGATGAAAATAATTGGCCCAGCATACAATAGATTACTTTGGATTTGTTTCTCTTGCATCAGATCTACAGCTCCAGTCCAATAAGCTAGAGTTTGAGACTCTTGGTAGCATTATGGCTGCCTATGTCTGGTCCTTTCATAAGAATCCCATGAATGTGTAATTCTCCTTAAATATGACTGTAGGTGTGGCCCTGCGTGACAGCCTCTTTCCATGCTTTTTACATTCAGAAAGTTACAAACAGACTAAGGGGAGAATAAGCCAGCCACTGTCAGCACCATGACTTTACAATACACTGCTGCTAAAGCTAAATGTAAATTTTGTGGACTTATTCTATCATAATGAGGTTTACTTTCCCAGACTTTCGGGCAACAATTTTACATGTGTATCACTGCAGCAATTTTGACTGTAAAATATCATTGCTTCAGCTAATCTGTTCTTAACACATTTGAATGTTCAGGAAAAGAAAACCGACATGTCTAGTCAGTTTACAAATAGACTTAACTGTGTACACATGAAAGGCTCAAAGTTATTGTGAGAGTTGAATGGTTAAACGTCTGTTGCTAGCTACATTCATCATGGCCTTACATTGTTATGACTGCATGAGGTCATTTTATTAGATGGAACAAGCAGCAAACCAATCTGGGTCAGGACAGGATAAGAGATACTAAGGGTTTTTCCTTTCTCAAGATATTCTAGGTAAAATTGCATTCAGGATGCAGGAAGGTACAAAAATACTTCTAGGGGATTTCCTAAATGCGGTTATTGAGAACCAATTTTAATTTAAAAAGCAGCAGCATTTGGCGTAGAAGGAGGGGAACAACAGGATATAATGTTGTGCACAAAAGCACATGCACAATTAGTAGTGGTAAATAAGGGCATGAGACAAAGACCATTGTTCCACCTTCCCAATTCCATCTGCTTGCACTCAGAAGCTTGTATGAAAAGCTTTACATGTGATACCTGTAGGCAAGGAAACAAAGACAATGAAACAAGGATGGAAAATTTAAGATGACTTACAATTTCATTGCCCCAATATCTTGGTCATATTCCCAAACCTGCCCATTTAATCACCAGCTCTTTTGATATTTAGTCACATGTTTTCCTGTGCTGCCTTGTTACTGTTTAAATTTTTAATTAAAAAATCATGTTTTAAAAGGACTGCAAGAACTACAGCAAATTATATTTTTTAATCTTTCAGTGTAAGAATGAATGACAAGAAATTACACCACATGACCAGGTTATTTTGGTGAACTATTCATGGATTGCTTTCAGAAAAGTATTAACTTTTCCCTTCTATATTTATTCTTTTAAACTAAGATAATACATTATTCAAATTCACTTATTTTGTTTTTCCAATGTGAGTATGATCTGCATTAGCCTTAGGTAGATGGTCTCATTCCCAGGTTGAATGTTTTACGTGCTGCAGCATAGCTGCATCTCCACGTATAGAGACAAGCTCTCTGCAGCCCTGGAACCTCAGAACTTACAGCAGCTGATCTGATCTCCCAGCCTCCTCTTTAAGAGAATAAAATTATACACCTACCTCCCAAGGAGCTTTCCTCTAGACAACGTGGCACTTTCAAGGTGAAGACTAAGAATTGGAGATTCCTGTAGAACTTCCATTAAAACTCTCCATCTAACATCTGTTTTCCTGTTTTGTTTTGTTTTCTTTTTTTTTTTATTTGAGGCAGGGTCTCACTCTGTCACCTAGGCTGGAGTGCAGTGGCACAATCACAACTTACTGAAGTCTTGACATCCCAAGGTCTAGCGATCCTCCTGCCTCAGCCTCCAGAATAGCTGAGTCTATAGGTGCCACCACAGCTGGCTAATTTTTGAATTTTTTTGTAGAGAAAGGGTTTCACCATGCTGTCCAGGCTGGTCTTGAACTCCTGGTCTCAAGTGATTCCCTCACTTTGGCCACCCAAAGTGCTGGAATTTCAGACTTGAACCAGGGCACCCAGCCTCAAATCTGTTTTCTTATCTAAAAAAAATCGCTCCTACCTGGTGACTGGTTCAGCAATGCCCTCACTCAGGTGAGTCCTGATACTTTCATGTATCAAATTATGATTCAGGTACCTTATAATTATAGCTTAGATTAGTACACTAATGGTTTCACTCATCTGGGTGACAAGGCACCTAGAAGTCATAGATATTTTAGCAAATATCCCCGGAAGATTTATATATGTTTAAATAACAAACACATTGCTTTATTCTAAATGAGTAGTAATCTCCCACTGGATATGTGGTGACAGACAGAAAAACTTTCAAAAAAAACTTACAGAATAAAAATTCAAAGTTAAGGAAAATCTATCCATTTAATATGTTATTTCCCTGAGAATAAGAAAAGGCTATCATCATGGAATTTTATTTCAGGCATGGAACCCATATATTGCATCCAAACACAGTTTGTGAGTGACTACAAGCCAATAAATATAGCATCTCACAAGGAGTAACAAGGGCAGAAAGTGTGGCGTCTGTGAGATTAACTGAGAAATTACAGAAGAGAGAGTTGTCCTTTGTCTGTAAGGATACTGACTTCAGGAATACGTGCTATCTTATAACACAGTTGTTTCTCAGCCTCAAAGTTAGACCAACAATCTATTATCCACCAGGGAGCCTAGCTCTGTTTAGCTTTAGCAAAATGAGGCTCGCAGCCATTACACAATGGTATCAATGCAGAAAACGTGTAATTTGAAGTTCACAGAAACTTTTATGTCTAAAGACACAAAGTCCCTTCAGTTGAGCTCATCTTCAGCCTTAGAGCTTGACTGGATTTTGAAGGAAACAAATCAGTTTGATAATTCTGATCATGCATTTCTAGAATTGTCTTCATATTCATGTGATGAAGTGCTTTACTCTCCATTAATGAGCTCACTTCTTAATGAGTCTAGCCTCCCTTTCCCTCAGAGCTCCTCTAGGAATCTTAGCCATGTGGTTAAGCAGTAACATCTGCTACCCATTTTTAGATCCTCTTAATGGGACTTTTTCAGCGCTTAACAATAGAATAAGGTCATTTCATATGTAGCCTCAGTCTTCCAAAGATTGTTTAAGGGTATTTTTGAACTATTTATTTGTTTAAAAAAAAAAGCTGTAGTTTTTCCTCAGATTTAGATATGGGATGAATGGGGAATGCTGTGAATCAAATTTGGGATAATTTTATCTTCTTGTCAGGGAATAGCTTCATGTTTTATCTTCTCACAAAATCTATAATGAGAGAGCTGTTTAGTTCAAGTCTGGTATAGGTCATTAATTACTACTATCACAGGGAGGATTTTTTCATCCAAGTCCAACTTGTTGGAAAACTGTTTTTTTCACAGGTCACTGCCCTGACTCTGGCCTCCCTGGACTCATACATGCCTGGATATGGAGAGCCTGTGCTCCACGTGATGTCTGCTACTGGGCTTGCAATGTTTCCTCCAAGTATGGTGTGCAGACATCTGCATCAGAATCACTTGTGAGTGCCTGTTATAAAGTATTGGATTGCAACCCAATTCTACTGAATTACAGTCTTACAGGTAATGCCCAAGAGTCTGCGTTTTACACATTCTCCAAGTAAATCTTGTAAGCATTTCTTTGGAAACAACTGAGGAAGAAGTAGAATAATGATATTACAACCCAGAGATAATATCAGTTATCTAAATGTGGTATCTACCTGTCCTTAGGAAACCAACTTGCTCTGAAAATAAATTAAAAGGGAGAGGGTTTTATATTTCTTTCTGTTGATTTAGAAACCCTCTAACTTAATGAAATCCACTTCTTCATAGTAGATTTAACCATAGCAGATGAATAGTGGTTCATCTGGGTTTTAGGATTTTTATATTCCCACTTAAAATTGACTTCGATTTGACTTTGCAGCAAAAAATCTATGAAAGCATTTAATGTCCAGCTATATCATAAAATCTGTTGTGTAACAGAATAGCCAATAGGAACATCTGGGAACCAAACTTTATTACCAGTCAAGCTTTAAGCTTGTTGCCATTGGCATCAAGGAACCAGTTTTATGCTGCTCCAGGAGACTACAAGAAAAATGTTAAGTAGAAGGGATGCCTTAGTGGTGACATATACATCTGTGCATGTTTTATAGCTCTCAGTACAATTACTTGATTACTTGTGGGGAGTTTCACCACCTTTGCTTAACAATCATTTTTCTTGTGTGGTCATTTTCATGTTAATATGCAGCTGGTTAAATATTTCTTTAAGTACCAGTAAAAAATAAATACTTAATGCAGCCAGATTATAGCCTGGATAAATGCAGAGAGAGAGGGTGGGAGGGAGTGAGAAACAGAATGAATGAACTAGACCACTCACTTGACACTAGTCTTAGGAATCTGGTCTCTGATTCCATTTTCAACAGGATGGTAACTGAGGGAAACAAAAAGTGCACTGGACTGTAAGTTAATTCTGCTCTCCTACTATCTATGTGATTGTATGAATATTTTACATTTCAAACCTCTTCTTTCCTTTTCTATAATATAAAGGAATTAAACTAAAGGGGCCCCCAAATGTATTTAATTTCTTAATACTAGTTTGAAATATAGAAAATGTTATCCAATTTAATTTTAAAGTAAAATATATCATAAGTTAATTAATTTAGTTTAAATTTATTTGCTAAAATATGGATAAGTGGTTCAGACTTTTATGGATGAGAACATATTAAATAAAACATGAATCATGTGATAATATTTTAATTTTTACTATCTATTGATTTTTCCAAAAATCAAAATGTATTAGAAATTCAGAAACACACGAATTTTTATTTTATTAATCATAGCAGTATCTACACTATCTTGAAAAATAGCAACTATGAACATAAAATAGAACTAATTCAATGTAAAAGCAATTCTTAGTTTGTATAAAGATTCTTGGATTCTTTGCAATAACTTCAAAAACAACTCCAAAATATTTGGGAACTACCAAAAATAAAGAATGAAGAGATAAACTTGAGCATCCTCTAAGTGGAAGCTAGATTTTATTCATCTACACAAGATATAAAAAAGTGAGAAACAGTTTAAACCTGACAGTCAAGGAACTCTTTTTGAGGATGTGATATTTTATCCTGAAACCTAAAAGAACAGAAAGAACTTGGTATACAAAGCTGGGGGAAAGAACATTCCAGAGAGACAGTATGTCATGTAAGTCTCTACAGGTAGACTACACTGTCTTTGTAGCTGCAGGAGTGAGAGGGGATGACTTTAGAGAGATAGACAAGAGCTGTAAGGCAAAGTCTTACAATTTGTCACCAAGAGTATGGATTAAAACAAAGCACAAGGAGAAAATTGTGAACGATTTTAAACCAGCCATATAATGCAGCTACATTTTGAGAAAAATCACCTTTGCTGCTGTATAAGTAATGGATTGGGATGGGGAAAGGCAGGGTAAATAAAAAGACCAGTAAAGAGACTCCTGCAGTATTCCAAGTAAAACATGACGATGGTCTGAACTAAAGGTGAAGACAACAGAGATAAAAAAGAAATGGAAGAATGTGATAACTTTTGGATTTAACAAGGCTTGATGATGGTTTGAATTCTTAAACAAATTGGGCAACCAGAAATTACTCTATTTTTCTGGTTTGTTTTCCTGGGTGGGTGATACCTCTTCTGAAATGTGGAAGATTGTGGATGAGGAAACAATTGGGGTGAGGGAAAACCCACTAATTATGATTTTCAGGTTTAAGGCATTCTAAAGATCTGTAAGTTCCTATTAATTTGGGCATGTCAGTCATTTAGTGAAAACCTTATTCCCACAGTTTGTCAGCGAAACCTTCAATCTTAACTATTCATACTTGCCTGATTCTTATCCTTCCACTTGCAGCTTATATTTCCAGTGGGGACTTGTGTCAGCCCTGGCCCTTGAGGCAGTGTGCTGGAATGAGGAGTGGCAAGAGCCTGCTTATTAACTAGTCATGACAATATCCACCCACGCTGTGACTTCATTTCTGCTTCCTTGGAAGGGATGGTGAGTGGGTGGGTATGGCTCTAGGGCTGTCTGCCTAAGAAATGTAAAGCTAAACTATTATTCTAAACCTGAAAAATGCAGCAGGTAGTATTTTTCATATTTTTATTATGAAAATGTTCAATATACAACAAAGTTGAATCATCTTCTTTACACACCACCTAGATGCTATCACTAATATTTTAGCAAAGTTTTTTTTTCTTTATTTCTTCTAAAAAAATCGGAATACATATGCAGAACGTGCAGGTTTGTTACATAGGTATACGTGTGTCATGGCGGTTTGCTGCACCTATTGATGCATCCTCTAAGTTCCTGCCCCTCATCCCCCAACCCTCAACAGGTCCTGGTGTGTGTTGCTCTCCTCGTTGTGTCCATGAGTTAGTTCTCAATGTTCAGCTCCCACTTATGAGTGAGAACATGCAATGTTTGGTTTTCTGTTCCTGTGTTAGTTTGCTGAGGATGATGGCTTCCAGATTCATTGATGTCCCTGCAAAGAGCATGATCTTATTCCTTTTTATGGCTGCATAGTATTCCAGGGTGTATATGTACCACATCTTCTTTACCCAGTCTATCATTGATGGGCATTTGGGTTGGTTCCACGTATATGCTATTTTAAATAGTGTTGCAATAAACATAAATGTGTATATGTCTTTATAGTAGAATGATTTCTATTCCTTTGGGTATATACCCAGTAATGGGATTGCTGGGTCAAATAGTATTTCCAGTTCTAGATCCTTGAGGAATTGCCACACTGTCTACCACAATGGTTGAACTAATTTACATTCCCACCAACACTGTAAAAGCGTTCCCTTTTCTCCACAGCTTTGCCAGCATCTATTGTTTCCTGACTTTTTAATAATCACCATTCTGACTGGTGTGAGATGGTATCTCATTGTGGTTTTGATTTGCATTTCTCTGATGATCAATGATGTTGAGCTTTTTTTCATATGTTTGTTGGCCAGTAAATGGCTTCATTTGAGAAGTGTCTGTTCATATCCTTTGCCCGCTTTTTGATAGGGTTGTTTGTTTTTTTCTTGTAAATATGTTTAAGTTCCCTTTATTAAATATTAGACCTTTGTCAAATGGGTAGACTGCAAAAATTTTCTCCCACTCTGTAGGTTGCCTGTTCACTCTGATGGTAGTTTCTTTTGCTGTGCAGAAGCTCCTTAGTTTAATTAGATGTCATTTATCAATTTTGGCTTTTGTTGCAATTGCTTTTGCCATTTTTGTCATGAAGTCATTGCCCATGCCTATGTCCTGAATAGTATTGCCTAGGTTTTCTTCTAGGGTTTTTATGGTTTTGGGTTTTACATTTAAGTCTTTAATCCATCTTGAGTTAATTTTTGTATAAGACGTAAGGAAGGGGTCCAGTTTCAGATTTCTGCATATGGCTAGCCAGTTTTCCCAGCACCATTTACCGAATAGGAGATCATTTCCCCATTGCTTGTTTTTGTCAGGTTTGTCAAAGATGAGATGGTTGTAGATGTGTGGTGTTATTTATGAGGTCTCTGTTCTGCTCTGTTGGTCTATATGTCTGTTTTGGTACCAGTACCATGCTGTTTCGGTTACGGTAGCCCTGTAGTGTAGTTTCAAGTCAGGTAGCATGATGCCTCCAGCTTTCTTCTTTTTTGCTTAGGATTGTCTTCTTCTTTGATTCCATATGAAATTTAAAATAGTTTTTTTCTAATTCTGTGAAAAATATCAATGATAGCTTGATGGGAACAGCACTGAATCTATAAATTACTTTGGGCAGTATGGCCATTTTCATGATATTGATTCTTCCTATCCATGAGCATGGAATGTTTTTCCATTTGTTTGTGTCCTCTCTCATTTCCTTGAGCAGTGGTTTATAGTTCTCCTTGAAGACGTCCTTCACATCCCTTGTTAGCTGTATTCCTAGATATTTTATTCTCTTTGTAGCAATTGTGAATGGGAGTTCACTCATGATTTGGCTCTCTGCTTGCCTATTGTCAGTGTAAATGAATGCTTGTGATTTTTGCACATCGATTTTGTATCCCAACACTTTGCTGAAGTTGCTTATCAGTTCAAGAAGATTTTTGGCTGAAATGATGGAATTTTCTAAATATAAAATCATGTCGTCTGCAAAAAGAGACAACTGGACTTCCTCTCTTCCTATTTGAATACTCTTTATTTCTTTCTCTTGCCTGATTACCCTCGCCAGAACTTCCAATACTATGTTGAATAGAAGTGGTGAGAGAGGAGGACATGCTTGTCTTGTACCGGTTTTCAAAGGGAATGCTTCCAACTTTTTGCCTATTCAATATGATACTGGCTGTGGATTTGTCAGAAATAGCTTATTATTTTGAGATATTTTCTATCAATATCTAGTTTATTGAGAGTTTTTAACATGAAGAGATGTTGAATTTTATCAAAGGCCTTTTCTGCATCTGTTGAGATAATCATGTGGTTTTTGTCTTTGGTTCTGTTTATGCGATTGATTACATTTATTGATTTGCGTATGTTGAAACAGCCTTGCATCCCAGAGATTAATCTGATTTGATCATGGTGGATCAGTTTTTTGATGTGCTGCTGGATTCAGTTTGCCAGTATTTTATTGAGGACTTTCACATCAATGTTCATCAGGGATGTTGGCCTGAAGTTTTCTTATTTTGTTGTGTCTCTTCCCAGTTTTTTGGTACAAGATGATGCTGGCTTCATAAAATGAGTTAGGGAGGAGTCCCTCCTTTTCAGTTGTTTGGAGTAGTTTCAGAAGGAAAGGTAGAAGCTCCTCTCTGTATTTCTGGTAGAATTTGGCGGTGAATCCATCTGGTAATGGGCTGTTTTGGGTTGTTAGGCTATTAATTACTGCCTCAATTTCAGAGCTTGTTATTGGTCTATTCAGGGATTTGACTGCTCTCTGGTTTAGTCTTGGTAGGGTGTATGCATCCAGGAATTCATCCATTTCTTCTTGATTTTCTAGTTTATTTACTTAGAGGTGTTTATAGTGTTCTCTGATGATAGTTTGTATCTCTGTGGGGTCAGTGGTGGTGTCCCTTTTATCATTTTTTATTGTGTCTATTTGATTCTTCTCTTTCTTCTTCTTTAATAGTCTAGCTAACAGTCTATTTTGTTAAGTTTTTCAAACAAACATCTCCTGGTTTGTTGATTTTTTTGGAGGGCTTTTCATGTCTCTATCTCCTTCAATTCTTCTCTGATCTTGTCTGTGGACTGCATAAACAGAACCAAAGACAAAAACCACATGATTATCTCAATAGATGCAGAAAAGGCCTTTGACAAAATTCAACATCTCGTCATGTTAAAAACTCTCAATAAACTGGTATATATAGAACATATCTCAGAATAATAAGCTATTTCTGACAAATCCACAGCCAAGCTATTTCTTGTCTTCTGATAGCTTTTGGATTACTTTGCTCTTGCCCCTCTTTCTCTCTCTCTCTTTTTTTTTTTTATTGAGAAAGAGTCTCTGTTGACCAGGCTGAAGTGCAGTGGCATGATCTTGGCTCACTGCAACCTCTGCCTCCCAACTTCCACACCCGATTACTTTTGTATTTTTAGTACAGATGGGGTTTCACCACATTGGCTACGCTGTTCTCAAACTCCTGACCTCAGGTGATCCACCTGCCTCAGCTTCCCAAAAGTGCTTGGATTACAGGCATGAGCCACTGCGCCCGGCCTCTCTAGCTCTTTTATTTGTGATGTTAGGGTGTCGATTTGAGATATTTCTAGCTTTCTAATGTGGGCATTTAGTGTTATAAATTTCCCTCTTAACACTGTTTCAGCTGTGTCCGCAAAATTCTGGTATGTTGTCTATTTGTTATTGGTTTCAAAGAATTTGTTGATTTCTGCTTTAATTTCATTATTTACCCAGGAGTCATTCAGGAGCAAGTTGTTCAATTTCCATGAAATTGTGTGGTTTTGAGTGAGCTTCTTAATCTTGAGTTTTAATTTGATTGCACTGTGGTCTGAGACTGTTTGTTATGATTTCAGTTCTTTTGCATTTGCTGAGGAGTGTTTTACTTCCAATTATGTGGTTGATTTTAGAATAAGTGCCATGTCACACTGAGAAGAATGTATATTCTGTTGATCTGAGGTTGAGAGTTCTGTAGATGTCTACTAGGTCCACTTGATCCAGAACTGAGTTCAATTCCTGAATATCCTTGTTAATTTTCTGTCTTGTTGATCTGTCTAATACTGACTGTGGGATGCTAAAGTCTCCCACTATTATTGTGTGGGAGTCTAAGTCTTGTTTTCGTTCTCTAAGAACTTCTTTGATGAATCTGGATGCATATATATTGAATCTGATGTATTGGGTGCATATATATTCAGAATAGTTAGCTCTTCTTGTTGAATTGTTCCTTTTACCATTGTGTAATGGCCTACTTTCTCTTTTTTGATCTTTGTTGGTTTAAAGTCTGTTTTGTCAAAGACTAGCATTTCAACCCCTGCTTTTTTTTTTTTTTTTTTTTTTTTTTTGCTTTCCATTTGCTTGGTAAGTTTTCCTCCATCCCTTTATTTTGAGCCTGTGTGTCTTTGCATGTAAGATGGGTCTCCTGTATACAGCGCACAGATGGGTCTTGACTCCTTATCCAATTTGCCAGTCTGTGTCTTTTAATTGAGGCATTTAACCCATTTACATATAAGGAGAGTATTGTTATATGTGAATTTGATTCTGTCATCATGATGCTATTTTATTATTTTGCACACTACTTGATGCAGTTTCTTCATAGTGTCATTGGTCTTTATATTTTGATGTGTTTTTGCAGTGGCTAGTACTGATTTTTCCTTTCCATATTTAGTGCTTCTTTCAGGAGCTCTTGTGGGGCAGGCCTGGTGGTTACAAAATCCCTCAGCATTTGCTTGTCTGGAAAGGATTTTATTTATCCTTCACTTATGAAGCTTAGTTTGGCTGGATATGAAATTCTGGGTTGAAAATCCTTTTCCTTAAGACTATTGAATATTAGCCCCCTATATCTTCTGGCTTGTAGAGTTTCTGCTGAGAGGCTTGCTGTTAGTCTGATGGACTTCCCTTTGTATGTGACCTGGCCTTTCTCTATGGCTGCCCTTAACAGTTTTTCCTTCATTTCAACCTTGGAGAATCTGATGATTATGTGTCTTGAGGTTGATTTTCTCATGAAGTATCTCAATGGTATTCTCTGTATTTCCTGAATTTGCATGTTAGCCTCTCTTGCTATGTTGGGGAAGTTCTGCTGGATAATATCCTGAAGTATGTTTTCCAGTTTGTTTCCATTTTCCCCGTCTCCTTCTGGTACACCAATCATTTGTAGGTTCAGTCTTTTTATGAAGTCCCATATTTCTTGGCGGCTTTGTTCATTCCTTTTCATTCTTTCATCTCTATTTTTGTCTGTATGTCTTATTTCAGTAAGGTGGTCTTCAAACTCTGATATGCTTTCTTTGACTTGGTCAATTCAGCATTGATACTTATGTATGCTTCATGAAGTTCCTGTGCTGTGTTTTTCAGCTCCATCGGGTCATTTATGTTCCTCTCTAAACTGTTTATTCTAGTTAGCAATTCTTCTAGCCTTTTATCAAGTTTCTTTGCTTCTTTGCATTTGGGTATACATGCTTCTTTGCATTGGGGTAGACATGCTCCCTTAGCTCAGTGTAGTTTTTATTACCCATCTTCTGAAGCCTACTTCTGTCAATTTGTCCATCTGATTCTCTGACCAGTTCTGCACCCTTGAAGGAGAGACATTGCAATCGTTTGGAGGAGACAAGGCACTCTGGGCCTTTTGAGTTTTTGGCATTTTTTTGATGATTCTTTCTCATCTTCATGAGTTTGTCTAGTTTTGGTCTTTGAGGCTGCTGACCCTTGGATGGGATTTTTGTGGGGGCCTTTTTGTTGTTGTGGCTGTTGTTGTTACTTTCTGTTTGTTTTTCTTTCAGTAGTTAGGGCTCTCTTTTGTAGGGCTGCTGCAGTTTGCTGAGGGTTCACTTCAGGCCCTATTCATCTGATTTTTCTCCTGTGCCCAGAGATGTCACTCAAGGCGGTGCCTCCCTTGGCTGGGGGAAGGGGGTTTCCCTTCCCCGTGTGGCTCTCAGGTGGGCCTTCTCTCCATGAGTCACGCCAGCCTTCTAGTCAATTTTGACGAGAGAACCTGGATACCTTGGTTGCTGGTGAAGGATTCACATGCTTATTATGTTTTTTCGTTTTTTTTTTTCTATGGGAGCCTCCAAACGTCGCTGCTTCTAGTCGGCCCTCTTCGGGAGGTGTTTTATGTGTATATCCATTTATTTATTCCTCCATCCATCCAGTAATTCATCTTCTTTGATGCATTTTAAAGTAAATTGTGGACTTCAGCATACTTCCTACTAGAGACTTCAGCATGCATAACATTAAATAAAACGAATATCTGTCCATCTTTTTTCTTTTGATGAAAAAATTATTTTCATAATATAAAATTCTTATGTGTACATTCACTGAATGCTGACAAATGTATACATCTGTGTAACTCAAATCTTTGTCAAAATATAGACTATTAACATTACTGCAGAAATATTCCTCATACTCTCTCCCATTCAATCTCTACTTTCACCTTCCCAGAGGCAACCACCATTCAGATTTTTTCCATTCTAGAACTTCATGTAATTGAATTCATACAATTTGTACACTTATGTGACTGATTTCTTTAGCTCTTTATGGTTATTGCTTTTGATGATACAAGTAATCTTTGATTACCACCGAATCAAAAAAATCCCTCCAAGTTTTCCTCTAAAAGCTCTATAATTTTAGCTATAGAATCATATATATATAGTTCATTTTGAATTAATTTTTGTGTATGAAGCGAAAGTCAAGATTCTTTTCTGTAATATGAATATCCAGTTATGCAGTATCATTTGTTGAAAAGACTTCTCCTTTTCAAGCGAGCAACTACCTTTCCACTATGTATTGCTTACCTTGAATTGTACTACTTAAAAATACCTTTTATTCATTTGCATATTTTATATCCTTATTTATTTTTAAGAGAATTGTAAAATGAGCAGTTTTTTAGTTAGTCAGTTCTATAAAACCTGCCTTATCCTCTCCAGCAGAAGCGAGTCATAATTGACCAGTTGAATCTGGCCTATGTTGTCATTTCCCTATAATGGACAAAGGATGTTTATTACACAGAATACAACAGCATTATACACTCTGATGAGTCAGAGATCCAGGAAAATTATGATTTAGTGTTAATTCACATGATACTTTCTTTAGTGCTGCTTACTAGCTGTAGTTTATGGCTCAATTCTTACCACTCCCTGAAAGTTACTCTGCCCTCAACAATTCTGAAGAACTTATTCCCAGAAAAGCAGGTTTCTCTCACCTCCAGATATTTGTACATGCTCTTATCTTTGCCCGTAATGCCTCTATCCTGATTTCAGAGCAATTCCTTTTACACCAAAGGAAACCTTTCTCAATCCCCCATCAGTGTTAAATAGTCCCCCCTAGCTTCCCCTATGGCTTCTTGGCATTAGATATATTTATCCATATTCCTCGAATTATTCTTCCTACGTTTCTCTCTCCTCCCCACACATAGCCTCCTTAACATAAGCCTGAAAAGCATAAATCTATTCTATCTTTCTTTGCACCCCTGTAAATTATGACAACCACAACAAGAGTAGATTTGCTGAATGAAAGAATTTGAATTTTCTGAGGTAGTTTAAATTTCAAGTCTCTTCTACCTTATCAATTAGTATATTTATATTTACAAGATCGCACAGATTGATCACTTAGTCTGGGAATTTTAGGCATCTTTTTATACCATAAACTGGGGAAAAACATCTCCCTTAAAAGAATTTTAAAAAGACATTTGTAAATGTACCTAGTGCATATTCTCAAGTTTCCTTATACATGGATATCGAACTAATGATTGTAGAAACACATTTCAAGTACATATTCTCAAAGAACTGTGTTAAATGTAGCCTATTCTTTTCCAAATGTTGTTTTCTCCTGGTATACTATTTGAGATTCTGAAGATAAAACATACAAATAAGTAGATGGAGTCCCAATTTTGCTATTTATCAGCTGTGTGAAAGTATCAGTGAGGACAGTTGGGGTGATGTTGCAATAACAGAGAAGCTGAAAAATCACAGTGGTCTCACTCCCACAACAAGACTAATCATAAGTCAGCTGCAACCCTATTTCTTGTTGCCATCACTCTGGGAATCAGGCTAGTGAAGAAGCCTGTATTTAAAATATTGCCAGTCATCAAGACAAAGGAAAAAGAGACATGGAGAACCACACTGTTAACTCTTGAAGCTTCTTCCTGGGAATGCTGCATGTCACTTCTATTCACATTTCTGATAGCCACCTCTGAGTTCATCAGGGCAGGATACATAATCCTCATGCAGAGAAGGAAGTTGAAATAGTGTGTTTCACAAAAGCAATTTAGTCTACCAAGTAAATAATCTTGGGGAAAACATGTATTCTGTGTTAGTTTCCTCATCGATAAAATGACAATAATGCAATGATGATAGTAACTACTTCACAGGGTTATGTGGATTAGCAGAGATAATGAATTCAAAATACTTAGTATAGTACCTGACATGTAATTATTACTCAGTAAGTGTTAGTTTAAAAAATAAAAGGGGAGGAATCTCAGTTTCTGTATCTGTCAAATAAGTAATAGACTAATTGATACCCATAATATCTGGGACTTCAGCCAGGTGGTTAGAACAACTAGAGATTACTAGAATGGCTCAATTGTGGACATAGGTCTTGAATCTCTATTTTTCTCCATGTGGAGTCTTTTGGGGTTGAAAATATCCAAAACGACTCCCTCACTCACAGGTTCATTCCCTGAGCTGGGATAGCTGTAACTTCTGGGGGCTGGCCAACATGGCTCTCTAGCCACACATGGTGGGCCCAAGGTAGCCTTACTTCTTATATAGCAGCTGGCTACGCTCAGAACAGACATTTCAAGAGAGAGTATTCTAAAAGGCCCAGAAAGATGTTATAAGGCTTCTTAAGACATAGCCTGAGTTCCAGAACCTCAGTCTCACTGCATACCATTAGGCAAGCATATCACTAAGGCCATTAGGGTTCTTATCTCTTTACTAAAGTTGAGTGAAGAACTTGAGTGGGTGTTGTTAGGGGAATACATATTGTAGTAACTGTGTGGTGGTTTATTTATTTTTTGTTTATTTATTTTGTATTCCTTGTGCTTACTTTTCATCTATATATCTTCTTTAGTGAAGTGTCCATTCAGATTTCTGGCCCATTGTTGAACTGAGCTGTTTGTTTTCTTATTTTGAGTTTTGAGATGTTTTAAAATGTATAGTTTAAATAGAAGTCCTTTGTCAAGTATATGATTTACAATTATTTTTTCCAGTCTGTAGTTATCTTTTCACTCTCTTTGCAGCACTTTTGTAGAGCAAAAGTTTTTACTACTGATAAAGTCCAGTTTGCCAAGATATGTTTTCTTTTTCTAGATCATGGTTTGGCATTATATCTAAGAAAATTACTTAACTCGAGGTCACAAAGATTTTCTGCTATGTTTTCTTCTAAACGTTTTGAAGTTACATTTTAAAGTTAGCTCTCTAAACCATTTTGAGTTAATTTTTGCATAAAGTGTGAGACAGAGGTTATGCTTCCTTTTTTTTTTTTTTTTGTATAGGATGTCCAATTGTTCCATACTATTTGTTGACAAGACTATCCATTTTTCCATTGAATTGCCTTCATGCCTTTGTCAAAAATCAATTGCCCATATTGGGTATATTTTTGGACTCTAATCTATTCATTGATTTATATGTCTATCTCTTTCCTAATGTCACACTATTTTTATTACTGTAGCTTTATAGTAAGTTTTAAAATAAGATAGTTTGGATTCTCTAACTTTGTTTTTCTTTTACAAAATGGTTTTGGCCATTCTAATTCTTTTTGCCTTTCCTTATAAATTTTAGAATCAGTTATTTAAATATGCAAAAAATTATTTTGGTATTTTGATTTGAATTGCAACTAATCTATAAATCTACCCGGGAAGAATTGGTAGCTTAACTGTGTTGAGTATTCCAATCCATGAGACCTGTATATCTCTCCATCTATTCAGGTGTTTTTTGTTTCTTTTTTTAAGTCAGAATTTTGTACTTTTTTGTGTACAGATCCTGTACATTCTATTAGATTTATACTTAAGTATTTCACTATTTGGTGCTACCATAAAAGATATTTTATTGCAGCTGTTCATTGTTTATTGCAAGTAAAAAGAAATATGATTGATTTTTATATACTGACCTTGTATAACAGGAACTTTTTAGACTCACTTATTAGTTCTAAAAGTTTTTGTGTAGATTCCTTTGGATTTTCTAGGGAGACCATCATGTCATCTGAAAATAGGAATAATTTCATTTTTCCCTTTCTTATGTGTAAATTTCTGATTTTTTCTTGCCATATTGTACTGTCCAAGACTTCTGGTTGAATAAACATGAAGAGAGTGGATATCCTTCCTTGTTCACAGTCTTAGGAGTAAAGAGTTTGGCCTTTCATCATTAAGTATAATGTTGATTAAAGGTAGATGCTATTTATCAGTTTAAGAAAGTCCTCTTCATTTTCCTGGTTTCTTCAGAGATTTTACCATAAATACATAATACATTTTATTAAGTACTATTTCTGCATGAATAGTTATAATCATCTGATTTACCTTTTTAATCCATTATGATGACAACTTTTATGAATAGTTTTTTAAGGCTTATTTGTTTAAGTAGAGACAAGGTCTCGCTATGTTCCCCAGGCTGGTGTCGAACTCCTGGGCTCAAGGGAGGCTCCAGCCTCAGCCTCCCAAAGTGCTGGGATTGCAGGCATGAGCCACCATGCTCAGCCTGTTTTTTAAATGCTGAACTATCTTGCATCTCAAGATAAATTTCACTTGGTTGTTATGTATTGTTCTTTTTATATAAGTCTAGATTTGATTTGCTAATATTTTGTTGAGGATTTTTGTGTCTATGTCCATGAGGGAAACTGGTCTCTAGATTTCTTTCCCTGTACTGCCTTTTTACATAAAGGTAATTCTGCCCTCATAAAATAAATTTGGAAGTACTCTTTCTTTAATTTCCTGGAAGATATTATATAGAATTGGTGTGATTTCTTCTTTTAAAATATTCAATACAATTCACCAGTGAAATCATTTGGGATTAGAGATCTCTGTTTTGGAAGATGTTAAACTATTAATTCAACTTCTATAATAGGCATAGATCTATAAAGTGAGAGTGAGTTTGGTATCTTGTGGCTTTCAAGAAAATGACCAAATTTATGTTGTTGAATTTATATACTTAGAGTTCTTCTTGGTTTTCCTTTATCAGCCTTTTAATGTCTGTAGTGATACATCATCTTTCACTGCTGATAGTAATAATTTTGTCTTTTCTCTTTTTTTACCTGGTCATTCCAGCTGTATGTTTATCAACTTTATTAGTCTCTTCTAGAAAAAAAGCTTTTGATTTCATTGATTTTTGTCTCTATTTTGTTATTTTTTCTATTTAATTGATTTTGGACCTTATGTTTTTTTCTGATTTTTTTGGGTTAGTGTTGCTTTTCATCTGCTAGTTTCTTAAGTAGATACTTACCTTGTTGATTTAAGACTTTTCTTCTTTTCTAATGTAATCATTTAATGCTATAAATGTCCCTCTGAATGCTGTTTTAGCTCCATTACATACAATTTTATATGTTATATTTACATTTTAGTTCAGGTCAAAATATTTCCTAATTTTCTTTGAGGCTGTCTCTTAGATCTCATGGATTATTTAGAAGAATATTTTAACTTACACCTATTTGAGAATTTTGCAGATAGCTTTTTGTTATTGATTTCCAGTTTAATTATATTAGTGTCAGAGACTATATTTCATATGAATTCAATTTTTAAACATTTGTTAGGTTTTATTTTTTGACCCAGACCTGGCCTATCTTGGTTAGCGTTTCATGGTCACTCAACAGGAAATTAAAATCTACAGTTGTTTGGCAGAGCGTCCTATTAATGTCATTACATCCAACTGGCTGCTGGTTTTATTCAGTTCTTTATACTGGCTTTCCTTCTGTCAGCATGTTTCATCAATTACTAAGAGAAAAGTATTGAAGTCTTCACAGCCATAATTGTAGATTTGCTTATTTCTTGTTTCAGTTCTCAGTTTTTGCTTCATGTGCTTTGAAGTTTTGTTATTAAGAACATACACATTCAAAATCATTAGGTGTTTTTTGTGAATTAACTTTTATTGTTATGTAATGCCCTTTTTTATTCTTGAAAATTTTCCTTGCCCTGAAGCCTACCTTTTCTTATATGAATATGCTCTTCCAGCTTTCTTTTGATTAGAGTTTGAGTTGCATATCTCTCTTCAACCTTTTATTTTATTTGTTTTTTTGAGACAGCTTCTTATTCTGTTACCCAGGCTGGAGTGCAGTGACATGATCTCGGCTCATTCTAGCTTTGCTCTCTCATGTTCAGGTGATCCCGCCACCTCAGCTTCCCAAGTAGTTGGAACTACAGGCACACACCACCATGCCTGACTAATTTTTGTATTTTGTGTGGAGATGGGGTCTCGCCATGTTGTCCAGACTGGTTTCTAATTCCTAGGCTCAAGCGATCCACCCATCTTGGTCTCCCAGAGTGCTGGGATTGCAGGCATGAGCTAAGGCGCTCAGCATCCTTTTATATTTTAAACCTATGTAACCTGTTTAAATCTAACAGAGATAATTGATTTGTTGTTGTTGTTTTAGCAGGCTGATTAGATTCTCCACATATTTTTGATTCACATTCCGTGGACTATGATTCCAATGTTAGTTCACTATCCAAAGTGTTTGCAATACAATTTACATCTTTCTTGTGTGCCTGCCACCCAGTGACCAGTCTGGGACTTAGACTGTAGTCTACCCCAAAGTTCAGTTGTCAAAGCTTTTGATACACTGTTTAGCATCAGACCTACCCTGGCTCTTGGATGAGCCCAGGAATTCATACACATTTCATGAGATTGTTTCCTCAAGCTGCTTCTCTTCTGGATCTCTCCAGCACTCCCCAGCACTCAGGGGCCCTCTTTTCTGGGCTTCTGGCTAGACAGCCTGGGCTTTCACTGTTCTGCTCTACTGAACACTTCCCATGACTCAACTGGCCTGCAGGGCCAAATGGCAAGAGGATAAAGAGGGGGAAAAAGTAACAGTTTCTCCGCGTTCTTTTTGGATCATAGGTCCTCTGGTCAGAGAGTAGAATCCCCCTCCCTTAGAGCTTTACGCATTTGCTCACAGCTGACACCATCATTGCCCCATACAACCCCAAATGGTGCAAAAATCAGAGCTCAGCAACTGGTGCTTGTTTGGAGGCAGGGGTGGTATAAAAAGAAAAGAACAAAATGAAATGAAACCAAAAACACAATGTTTTATTCCCCAGTCTCTCTGTCCTTAGGAGCTCCTTTTTTCATTTCTTAGACAATACAAAGAGGTTTCTTTGGAACATTTAGGGCTTTTACCTAGTACATAGTTCCCGATTTGGGCTTCGTTTAAAGTTCAAACAAGAAATATTGAAAAACAAAATTAAGCAAACAAGACAAAATAACGAACTAACCATGAGATCATTTATACGGTGTATTATTTTCTTTCCTAATCTGCCTATTACCACCTGGGTCTGAGTTCTCAGAAGCATTCTGTTTAGGTTTTCAGTTGTATGCAGTGGGGAAGAAGAAGTTAAATATGCTTGCTCTATCTTATCTTGAGCTGCAGAGTATCATATCAAAAGCAATTTGAAAGTGTAAAGTTTCGTTGTTCCTTGCAGGTTTTCATATATTTTGTTTTGACATGACATTAATTCCAAATATGAAACTGCTCGAGTTGCATAAATACAAAATAAATATATATTTTTTATTATTTTGATAAAATGTATCTCAACATTTATTTAACAAATAGGATTCCTAACTCTACTTATTTGAATCTATGTTTAACTATTTGGATTTAACATACATATTTGTATTGGAAGGAGGGGAGAAGACTGAGCTCATTATCAAGATTATGATTACTTTATATATTTTAGGGACTAGATTTATGTTTCTGAAAATCATATTCACCTAAATTTTAACAGCATTTAAAGTCAACTCATGTGCCTAATATGGATTAGAATACACATATTTACTCAGCTGGATGAGTATAATATCAGCACTGGCAGTTTAGGATTGGGGATAACAGATTAACTTTAGTCTGTTTATCACAAAGCACAAGGGTTGTGTATCTAGACAGTATTCCCTCTTTGTAACAGCTACTTATACACAAGCAAAGACATAACTAATGAATTATGTAGATCATATGAAGCTCAATTCATGACATCTGAAGTAAAACATTATATACAATTCAAAGTTTATAAAAGAATCTCAAATTTGTTCCAAAAACAGGAGAAAATATTCAACAAACCCCATAGCAGAATTTTGGGAGAAGTGTTAAACCTCTCTCCCTATAGGCTCAAATGACTTTTTCAGATTTTGTGGAAACATTTTATTGAATGTTTTTATAAGAAAGTTAAACGTATTACATACAGTCTTTATTGTGTGTCTGAAAGAATACTAGCTAAGCACTCTTCAACAATTAGAAATGAAATCAACAAATTACATTTTCCATGGCATTTGTCTATTCTGAACCTCTTTTTTTTAGCCTGGGTCCTTAAAAAACTAGAGTAGTCACTGATAAGCTTTGGCAGTTATAAATCTATGGAAATTTTAGGCCCATTTTTGTACAATTTTAAAAAGTTTGATAACGGGTTGATAGGTGCAGCAAATCACCATGACACACATATATCTATGTAACAAACCTGCATGTTCTGCACATGTATTCTGGAACTTAAAATAAAATTAATTTTTAAAAAACTGTTCATGTTGTACCATTTTTAATTTTTTTGTTAATGAGGGTTCCCTAGAATTATCAAGTTCATATAACAGACATCCAAAGAATATTAAGAACTTCCTGTCCAGAGACAACATAGAATGGAAGCATGAACACAAACAAGGAGTCTTCATTTATTTTCCTGCTTCCATCTATTCATGTAGCTTTGGACAAGTTACTTTCCTAGGTTTTCATTTTTTTTTTGGAATCCCTGAGAATTTCATAATATGGGTTCTGTAACTTTAACTATATTCAGTGTCCTCTTTCCAAACTGGGACCTATAGCCTACCCTTTCGACCTAACTTTCGGCAATACTTCCAATTTCTTTGTTTATTTTTCTTTTGAATCCTACCAAAGTAACAAAACATCAACCTAACCATCCTTGCTCTTCACTTCAACTTCAGTTCTACTGAGGCTGTTAGGAAGTCACCAAAGTTTTATATCTGTGCTTCATGATTTCCCACTAAATTCCACTATGGTGGTTAATACCGAGTGTCAACTTGATTGGATTGAAGGATGCAAAGTATTGATCCTGGGTGTGTCTGCGAAGGTGTTGCCAAAGGAGATTAACATTTGAGTCAGTGGGCTGAGAAAGGAAGACCCACCCTCAGTCTGGATGGGCACCATCTAATCAGCTGCAGGCGTAGCCAGTATATAAAGCAGGCAGAAAAATGTGAAAAGCTTAGACCGGCATAGCCTCCCAGCTTACATCTTTCTCCCGAGCTGGATGCTTCCTGCCCTTGAACATTGGACTCCAAGTTCTTCACCTTTGGACTCAGACTGGCTTCCTTGGTCCTCAGCTTTCAGACGGCCTATTGTGGGGCCTTGTGATCACATGAGTTAATACTACTTAGTAAACTCCCATATATTTATATATATATATATATATATATATATATATATATATATATATATATATATATATACACCAGCTAATACATCTACCCTCAAGGCCTCTTAGGGATGTATTGGGTGCTTCCCTAGTCAGCTCCCTTTTCCGTTCCTCATGATGAAACTCTTTTCCTTTCCTCATGATGAAACTCTCCAACATCTCCAATAGAACAGACTGGAGACTTCTAGTGACTTTTGCCTGACAATGCCTTATTCTCACTTTCCGAAATCCAGTTCATCAGAGGAAATGTAAGTGGACATCCCATTGGCTAATCTCTCACCTTTTTCATAGCCATGAACTATGTTATTTTTCATGCACACTATACCTAAAAACCCATCATCTGAATATCAGAACTGGTCCTAAATTGGATGCTTCAGTGGGAGATTTGTCTTCAGTTGCCTGCTATACTCACATTCCACTTGCAGCACCTTTTTCTGTCCTCTCAGCACTTTGCTCAAACTATTTAACTAGCCAGAATCCCTAGGCTTTCCAGTTCTCTTCTATAAGACAAGAAATTAATTTAGGACAAATGAAAGCATACTCAACTGCTAAAGTCACCCTCTTCAGGGAGCATTTGCATTTTGAAATAAGCTTGACAAAACAGGTTTCTTCTTTGTTAGAGAATGAGTCCTCTATTTGGATTTTCTAGTATACTGACTTACAAAAAGAGGGATAAGTATGAGGTAGAGGCACCCCTAAAATAAAAAAGCATCTCTTCTTCTAATGTAAAGGATCGAAAGTGAGAATATGTTGTTTCGTTTGATTCTGTGGGGGTTAGATTTTGTGTGATTGTATGAGAAAGATAATTTGTATGTTTTGTTGTCCACCATATTCTAAGGTTTAAAATACTTATAAAATCAGATGGAGAAATGAGTAACAGGAAATTATTATATTATCTAAATGCATCTCTGATTTACTTACTAAACTGCATAAAAACTCATCACATGCAGTGCACAGTAATAATACTGTATAATAATGATCTGTAGTGATTCACCAAACACTTTCTATTCCTCAGTCATGAATAGTCTTAAAAGTACAGAGAAAAATCCATTTCATCCCCAATAGCTATTATAACTAACTACATATTAGTGTTATGTGTTTTTACTTAAACTGTAGAAAATTATTATACAACATATTTTATATAGAACAATAACCTCACAAAAATTTCTAAGAAAAAGGGATTTCGTGGCTATATAAGTTTAGGAAGAGCTGTAAACTATATAACCTCTTGGAGATTTAAAATGCACTTGACCCTATAAAAGGCTTTGATTTGCTCTACAGTAAAGAAATCTAACTTTTTTGGTAAAACTTTCCCCAAATTGATTAGACCACTGAACTCTCCATTTCACATAATGCCCTTAACATTCTGAACCAGTATACTTCATAACATATTTTGGGAAACATTCTGGTAGACTCTTGTCCATTGGGAGGGATATATTCTGGAGCTCTCATAAATCCCCAAATTCATGAATATCACTGTAGCATATAATTTCTGTCATAAAATACACAAATGTTGATCCTTATTGCAACAGTCACTGAAACACTTTGCTGAATTGTTTTCCCTGTCTCTGTGAGCAGTACATGGTAGACTCATTCATGTCATAAAGTCCAAATACCTTCACTGAATTAGGCACTAAACTCTTCATTTACCCCAAACTTCATTGGTTAAAACCTGCTATTTCCTTGACTTCTTTATTTTTCCTTTACTTGTACTACAAGGATTAGCAAAGGAGAGTTCTGAGGACAATTTCTCTCTCTTTCTCTCTCTCTCATAAACACAGGCATGCACACACCACACGCACACACGCAAACACACACACACACAGAGTTTTGTTTTGTTTTTTTTGTTTTGCATTGTATTCTTTGGGGCAAGAGGGTAAATTGTGATGCAAGCTCTCAAGGCACTACACGTATATAAGTGGAAGTAATATATAAACATGTATATATTATGAACATATATGCACACACATATATAACATATATACATATATATGAAATCAAACTTTCTGTTTAACCCATAATGATATACCAATAAAACAGGAATTTTGGGAAATGCTGGTGTCATATTGGAAAAGATTTTAGAGTCAAAAGAACTGGGTGTACTCTAGGCACCTTAAGCAAGTTACTTTATCTCTTTAGGATGTATAGTCCTCATCTGCTAAACAGGATTACAAGAGTTTGACAACTAGCCGAGATAAGGTATGTAAAGTGTCTGGCACCTAGGAAAATATCAAAAGGTAGTAATAATTATATAAGGAACAGCATCATATCTGAAATGAAGTCTATAAAGATTTCATGCATGCCCACCTGTATAGACATCAAGGCTAATAGCATGTTTGATTTTATCAACACCGTTTGCGAGCTAGTTCAGATTTAAGTAGTATGAAAAATTCAATAAACATCTCTTCCAGCCCTAAATAAAGAGGATGATACTCCGTAACCGAAATTCTGAAAGTAAATAGAGAATAACATCTTAGAACCAGTGCTCTTCTCAGTGTAGAGGCCAACAGCACACTAATTTTACATGCTTCTCCGTATCGTGCGTCATCTTCTGGAATTAGCAATCTTTTTCTTTGAAAACATAGCTGGATGCCAACTTTCTACTTATTCCTATTTAGGTCAATGCTCGGTAAGTATTTTTTTAGTAAAGAAATTAACATTAGATGAAATTATTGATAGTCCAAAGAGCAGAGATTTATAGCACTGACAACAGACAAAAGAAATGATAGTCATCTGCTTACTTTTCCACATAGAAGTTATTCTTTTTTTCTTCTCATATCCTCTATTTGACCGCTCAAATACTCTCCATCTTGCCTGAAACAAAAAAAGATGTGAATATAACATAATAGTAGAAAACTTTCATGTTCGATCCCCCTTTGTTCTACTTCCCTGTGTTGTGGCAGTGAAATTGGACAGAATCTCTATGAGGCAATGTGTCACAAATGGCAGGAATACAATACTTAATACACCACCATCTCTCTCTGACTTATAGACACAAACACACACACACACACACAAAGAAACCCATGGTATAGTAGATAGTGTTTCATGTGACTGATACCAAACAAAACACAAACAATGACTGGATTATTGCAACAACAGAGTCCATGCCATGGTTTCTGGGAACCTTTGGCAGCTATCTGCAATTTTAAGTGCTTGTTTTGCTAACTTTATGTTAGCAGGACTGTGAGCTTCAAGATGTGTGCCTTGTCCATTTAAAGAAGTTCCACTCATTCTGTGTGCTTCTCACCACATGAAAATAAAGCCAGAGCAAACAAATAATGCTCAGGGCTGAGTCACTTCACAAACCTCACTCGAAAAGAGTCTAGAAGGTCTTCTCACTTTCCCTGTATGGTATGGTAAAACCATAATATTAAGCTTGTGCAGGTCACCCTTTTTAAGATTAATTATTGTAGAAATCCTAATTTTGGAGGGGTATAGGGTAGGTTTTATTTGCTGTCATCTTGTCTGTTATAGACAAAACATTGATATGAAAGAAGAGGTCATCTTTCTTAAACAAGGTTAGGTAAAATTAATTCGTCCCTCCTAACAATCCTGTGATATAGATAGTATTAGCTTTCTAACATAGAAAATGAAAATTTGATCCAGCAGTTAAGCAACATGTGCCAAACCCTCAGGAGAACCTAGATTGTAGAGCAGGTACTCTAAAACCCAACTTAAATCTTCCTAATTTACACCTTTGTATGCCTTTTACTGCATTCATGAGCA
Source organism: Homo sapiens (assembly GCF_000001405.40). Classification (NCBI taxonomy): domain Eukaryota; kingdom Metazoa; phylum Chordata; class Mammalia; order Primates; family Hominidae; genus Homo; species Homo sapiens. The sequence goes on from NC_000009.12 coordinate 12,760,540, forward strand.
TGGTTCAGAAAATGTTTAGGAAACACCTTTGCCTAAGAAATATTTAATGAGGGCAAACAGTACAACTAAGAATAGTGTTATTGCTGGCAGCTTCCACTAAATCTATGCGTACAGTATAAGAAGGTAAAAAAATCAGTGAACATTTTTGAAGGATGATAGTTGTATTTAAAAAGCAAATCGTAATCTTCTCTCACAAACACCTCCAAAGGTGCTTAATGAAAAACGAGAAGGTGTGAATGTTATGATCTCAGCTCACACTGAGGATTCTTGTAACTATAATGAAAAATCCTTGATAGATTATTTAATCTATTTAAGTATTGGTTTTCTAATACAAAATCAGAATTGCACAACTTGGGTGACTGGTAAAAAGAATGAGTAACTCGGTGGTGATACACTTAAGTTCACAATATTATTGCCTGTAAATTTCCTGTGAATACACAATCAACTGACAATCCTTTATTGCCCATATCAGTTCTAGATATGGTAAGAGATCAAAACAAACATATGACACACATCATCCTGGAGGAGCCTACAGGAATTTGGTGAGACAGAATTTACAGACATAAAGAATTAAAATGCACTAGAAGATAATAAAGAATCAAATTTTATGAAACATCTTGCTCTATCTATCCACTATTGTTATCCACATTTTTCCCCAAAAAACAACTAAAGTTTACCCTGTGAAGCCTTTTTTTGAATTTTCTAGCTTATAGATTCCTCTCTTAGGCACTGTCTATTTAAATCACATCTTTATCAATTAGTATATATCTTTGCCTTTTTAATTAAAAAAAAATATACAACCTACTTCTCCGATTAGTTTATAAGTCTCTTGCTCAAGGTCCATATATTATTCCTTCTCATATCTTCAAAGCCAGATGCTTTGTTTTGCACAATGAAGGTACTACTCATTTTTTCCAGATTATCATAAAAATGATGACAATTGTTAATGAAGTATGAATTCACAGAACAAAGCAGAACAAAGCAACCACAAAGACAACAGCTGGTACCACTGAATTCACTTTACTGTGAGATCCAGCAGCGTGATAATTATGTCATTTTCATGTTTTATCTCTTGTTTTTGTCCTAACATGATGCCTGACACATATTAGATATGTCAATTTTTGACAAAGGAAGAAGAGTAGAAAGGGAGAGAGAATTGAAGGAAGGGAGAAATGAATCTGGGTATTAACAAATGGACTGGAATATAAGACAAGGTGCGAATTCTAGGCAAGAGGAACATTATCAACAAAGGACAGGTGGTTGATATTGACAGTGTGTGAGTATGTATGTGTTTGTGATGTTATGTGGAGGCCATTCCAACTGGAACAAAAAATTTATTTTATTATGGACATTATGTTGAACAGATGAGACATGCTTTATGCTGTGGAAGCCATACTGTGAAAATTAGAATAAATAATTCAAAATTGGAGCTAGAGGCAACAAAGCCATTACAGATTCTTAAGATGATGAAAAGTATTTGTATTTGTTTTAAATTACTTAGAAAGAGCATCTTGCAAGTTAGGTGAGAAAACTACATTCAGATCAAAATGTGATCATGGAGTGATAAACTAGAACTACAGCAGGATTGCCAAAATAGAAAAAAAATTACTGAAAGAAAATCAGTGGGGTTTGATGATTAACTGAATGTAATAGTAAAAGAGATAGAGACATCCTAAATATTAGCAAATCTCTAGATGGTGGGAGAGGTGGAACTCACAAATTGTGGGGCCCATACATTAAAATAAGGAAGTATGAAAAATAGTTGGTTTGAGGAAAGTTATAAATTTAATTTTGGATATGGTGATTTTATAGAGTGGTGCATAATTCAAAGGGATGTACTGTGGATTTTAAAAATAAAGGGATAGACAGAATGAAAAGCCAGGGAATTGGGAGTCACATGAGGTAGTAGAAAGGACCCCATATTAGAGACAAAATTACAAAGCCACAAGTTCTGTTCAGAGCAATGGAGAAGGTGTTTAGGGCTTGAATTATTATTTTCTTTAAGTCACTTAACATCTCTGAGTATTTATGTTTCTTTTTTTTTTAATTTTTTTTTTTTTTTTTTTTTTTTTTTGAGACAGAATCTTGCTCTGTTGCCCAGGCTGGAGTACAGTGGCGCAATCTCCGCTCACTGCCACCTCTGCCTCCTGGGTTCACGCCATTCTTCTGCCTCAGCCTCTTGAGTAGCTGGGACCACAGGCACATGCCACCACACCCGGCTAGTTTTTTTGTATTTTTAGTAGAGACGGGGTTTCACCGTGTTAGCCAGGATGGTCTTGATCTCCTGACCTCATGATCCGCCTGCCTTGGCCTCCCAAAGTGCTGGGATTACAGGCGTAAGCCACCGCACCCGGCCTGAGTATTTATGTTTCTTAAAATATTAAAAGATCACATTAGTTTCTGCTATTATTATCACATTATGAGGATAAAATAAAATGGTGATTATTAGAATTCTTGGAAATTGTCAAATCTTATGTAAGTCAAATTTAGAGATCAGAGGCAGAGGTATGATCTATATAGAGTTGGATTATCTGCTTTTCCTAGTAACTTACAGAGGAATATTACTCTCCCACATCTACTTTGAAAGCAATAGAAGATAGCAAAACTATGGAAAACAAAGAAATTATTTTCTGAAAAAACAAATCCTAGGACTGGTTGAGTTTTCTTCTGTCAAGCAAACACTTTTATTTTCTTAATTATAAAATAAAAACAAGACACCCCTACTCACTTATCAAATTTGTTTTACAGGCTTCAGCAAAGGGACCTGAACAGGTGCAAAAACAGAGACCCTGAGTAGGTAGAAGAGAGAGGCAGTGGTGCTGGTGACAAGGCTATATGGCCCTCTGAAAGCACCGATCTACAAAGAACTAGACCACATAGAGACTTGATCACTGGGGATTTTGACTAGAAAGGGGAGAAAGCATTTAATAATTATTAAGCACATGAACTCTGGATTCAGACAGAGGGGTGTTTATCCTCAGATAAACCACAACTTCTAGCTGTGTAGCAATGGGATATTTACTGGTGAGCTAAGCCACTAATTATAATATGGAGACATAAGACAACCTACCTCCTGGTGGTGTTGTGAAGATATGAGATACAGAGTAAGTACTCAATATGCACTAGTTGACATTATTATAAGGAAATAGAATTAAATCTGCATTGACCAGCATGATGAGGACATCACTCTTTTCTACTTGAAGTTGTTAAATATAAGAATAAAGAAAGGGATAAGAGAGAAAAGGGCAAGAAAGGAAGAAAGGAAGAGAGGGAATGCAGCAAGGATGGGTAAATAAAGAAGGGGAAATGGGATAAAAATGAGAAAGAACGAAGAGGCAAATAATGGAAAAGTTTGAAAAGAGCAATGGTAAAAGAAAACAGGGAAATAATGATTTAAATTAATACTTATAGTTTCAGATTTCTATATATTTTTCCTTGGCCATTATAATAGAAGCAGGACAAAATAAAATATAACTGGGAATGAAATTGGATACAAATTTTACAGGAAAATTCATGGGAAGCAGAAGAAAAAGGGAGAAAAGAGCCTTGGTGTTGGACCTATGAGAATTGATTGCAAGTGTAAAATATGACTTCATCTAGTTCTTTTCAGGGCCTTCTTTTTTCATATCTCTGTCACTATTTAAAAATATTTCTTAAATAATGTACAATGCAAGCCTTCTTAGTCAAATATGCCTTGGCCTTTATACACTACTTTAAACAAAGTACACTTACATAATTAGGAACGGTGCTATAATACAAAGCAAAGGTATTATATTACACCAGGAAACTTCAGTTCTATAAAACAGAGGTTATATTTTAGCAAACTAGCAAATCTTTTTTTAATCCCTATTCATACACAATTCAGAATGATGTAATGCCAGGTTATACATCAACTAAACTATTCTTTTAAGGCATCTCTGACCCAAATGCCTGTGGAATCTGTCTGGAGTTGATAGTATGCTGAAGAAATGAATAAACTCTGTGCTTGATCTTCTATAGATTACCACAGTTCTCATACAAGAACCAAAAATAACTCAATATAAGATACTCACATTATGCTTAGAAAATGAATATTAGTAAATGATGCAAGCTCATTGAGTTAGGACTTAATGCAGTTTTCTTGTGAATTGAGGTATCCTTCATATAGTCGGAGATTTACAGATTTGGTAACCAAGAGACTTTTTTTTTTTTTTTTTTTTTAGAGACAAGGGCATTTTTTTCAGAGACAAGGACTTGCTATGTTGCCTATGCTGAAGTGTCCTGCTATTCACAGGAGGCGTGATCCCACTACTTAGCACAGGAGGTTCGACCTCTTCCATTTCCCACCTGGTCCAGTGTACCGCCCTTTGGGCAACCTGGTGGTTTTCTGCTCCTAGAAGGTCACATTATTGATGCCAAACTTAGTGCAGACACCAGATCAGCATAGCATACTACAGCTCAGAACTCCTGGACTCAAACAATCCTCCTACCTCAGCCTCCCCAGTAGTTTGGACTATAGGCAGACACCTGCCTTTGCAAACTTTCAATCTGTAAGATGTGTACATTTAAGGTTGGCCACAGACAAAATTGTATAGTACCTGCAGTTGTATTCCATGGCTCATTACATCTCAAGCTCCTCTCCTACTCACACACCCAGACATACATACACAAGAACTCTATCTCCTTCTACACAGGACTCCCAATCAAGTCCCTACTCTATAGTTTTGGTTTTGGCCCTTCCCATGATACTATCTTCTATCTCATTCTCCCTCCAGCCAGTGATTTGCTAACTAAGATGGCATGACACAAACCAGGCAAAGAGTTCCTGAATATTCATGAATTGAATTTCTTTCTAGTTACCATATTTGCAATTGAAGGGGAAAGTTAACAAAAACAAAGTGCAATGGTAATACTGTGGGGGAGATAATATTGCTAGATTATTTATTAAAAATACAGAGTTTTCATTATTTAATAAAAGTAACATGTACTCTACTTTTGATTATTTTAGTCCACATAGTTATACTATGCATTTGGCAATCATCTTGCACAATTCCTAGAGTTACCCTTTGTTCTCTATTTAAGTTATTCCGAAATCAAATAATGTGCCAGAACAGGTAGCTCAATTAACTATGGGAGAGATATAAAGCAGATTTGTCTTGAAGTACCCAGAGAATGACCATATTATGGGTACTTTATAGAGTTAGGTATTTTATATTTAGTATACATTTAATATTAACAAAGGGTATATAGAAAACTCTTTATAATTATAATACAGAGTTGTTGGGTAATGATATTTTTACTTGTTAAACACTCAGGATTCCCCTTCAAAAATACACTAGTTAATTTACTTCTTCAAGGTTAGAAAAAAAAACCACACCTGTTAAAAAGTCACATATAAGCATTAAACAATAAAGACTTTCCTTTATCGCAAAGGAGTTATAACAATCTATTTACAAATAATACACATTTGTCTTTTCAGCATTCTATTATTCTCCTAAATCATCTCTAGCACAAAACCAAAACTTAAAGAGAGACAGATGTGTGTTTCTGCTCCAATTTATACACAGCTGTCAAATGAGATGGGTTACCATTGTAACAGAGTGATCATTTCTGTATGCATAAAACTGACAGATGTTTACCTCTATCAGAAAGTCTCTCTCTCTCTCTTTCTCTCTCTCTCTGTCTGCCCCCCACCGTCTCTTCCCCACTCCCTCCCCTTTTATTCCCTCCCTCTCTCTTTTTGAGACCATATCTTTTGCTACAGCACCTTAGATACTTATTGCCATATCTTCTGAACTGACCCTTTAAGATCCAGTCTTTACTCATAAACTCAAAACAAATATGAAGTGCTCTCTACTAGAGCATAATGAAATTTAAATAGAACTTAGCATGTTCTTAAAACAAGCTTTGAAGTATTTGAACAACCAAAGCCAAAGTTTATTATAGAATTGAGGGTCAGCCACTGCAAAATCAGCTACAGCACATGGTTGAGTATAGGAAAATCACCAAAGACAGAAGGAGTTGAGCAATTGCACTTTCAGCTGCCTTTTGTCTTCCGGAATGGCAGGGTGTCTGGGACTCCAGCCCTCCCCTGTGAATTTGCCAAGCCCTTGGCATTTGCCACATGAGACTGACAAGGAGCAGTCTCTGTGATCAAAAGGTCATAAACCCCTCTTTCCAGCTGCTTTTTGCACAAACTTTCATACAGCACCCTTTCATGCATGTGTTGCCTTCCCATCTTCACCTTTATTTTGGAGCCATGACCTTGTGAACCAAAGAATGAATTCCCACATCTTTTCAGTCTGGGCTCCACCAAATGGCAGAATCAGTCTCAAATATAGGTCCTGTTTTAGAGGAAGGTGTGATAGTTCATAAAAAATCAGAGACGGAGAATGGGAATAGCCTTCTAGAACATACTAATGTCCTCTAATGAGTAATTGTAAATGAATTTTCCAAGAAAACATGTATCTCCTTTTTTCTTTTTTTCCTTTTTTTCATCTATCTTTGACCTCTACCACACTTGGAATATGAGTTATCCAAAATCATCATCAGTAGTAACACGATTTTGTCCTCTCAACAATGCAATCATGTGCTGCATAACATTTCATTCAAGAACAAACCATATATAGTATGCTGGGCCCATAAAATTATAATGGAAGGGCCAGGCACGGTGGCTCATGCCTGTAATCCCAGCACTTTGGGAGGCCGAGGCAGGCAGATCACCCAAGGAGTTTCAGACCAGCCTGATCAACATGGAGAAGCCCTATCTCTACTAGAAATACAAAATTAGCCAGGCTTGGTGGTGCATGCCTGTAATCCCAGCTACTGGGGAGGCTGAGGCAGGAGAATCGCTTGAACCCAGGAGGCAGAGGTTGTGGTGAGCCGAGATCGCACCATTGCACTCCAGCGTGGGCAACAAGAACGAAACTCCGTCTGAAAAAAAATATATATATATAATGGAAGGTGAAAAATTCTTATCCTAGTAACATTGTAGCTATCCTAATGAAGTGGCACAATGCATTACTTTTTCTATATTTAGATATGTTTAGATACAAACATATCTTTATGTTGTACGTATCTGTATGTTTTATGTTGTAATTGTATGCAGTGATGTAAAGTAGCCTGTCATTTTTAATACTTTTTTTGTGATTAAGTAAGTTTGTATTTATTCTTTGCAGTGACTTTAAGTGTTCTTGGCTGTTCTTGGCTGTAAATATACAAACATATATTTAGATATGTTTAGATACATTGTTTTACAGTTGCTGACAGTATTCAGTATAGGAACTTGATGTACAGTTTTGTAGCCTAGGAGCAATAGGCCATCTCACATACCCTAAGTGTGCAGTAGGCTATCCAATCTATGTATGCATAAGTACACTCTATGATGTTTGCACAGCAACTAAATCACCTGATGATGCATTTGTCAGAATATATTCCTGCCGTTAAGCGAAATGTGACTATCTATGTTCAGAAGTAGAACTCTTAATAGTTTTGAAAGAGGACTAATGCCGATTTGTGGGTAATAGAAAAAATGTGGGTTTACAAATAAAATATATTTATTTTATTTTATTTTGTAGAGATGAGGGTTCTCACTATGTTGCCTAGGCTGGTCTCAAACTCGTGGGCTCAAATGATTCTTCGGCCTCAGCCTCCCAAAATGCTGGGATTACAGGTGTGAGCCAGCATGCCCAGCAAAGAATAAAATATAATTTAGAACAAATCTCAGCTTTCTCACTTGACACCAGTGGAAGATTGTATGAGTGATTTCACCTCTTGGAACTTCAGAGGCATCTTATTAGAGAGTTTCATCACATTCATTTTCCTGGGTTCTTATGAGAATTAAGCAGTACAAAATAGTGCTCAATACAACCTTTCATAAAATTGTGCTCAATACATAGCAGCTTCCCTTGTAGCCAGTACTTTTTCAGTTTCTCCCACATTATTTTATCATAGTGATTTATGCTACTCTGATGTGCAAGTGTTTTCTGATTATAAAAAAGGCCCCTGTTGATTTATCAAGTGAATATGACCAGTAACTATCTTTCTTAATATTTTCAGGACCTAATTACAGTATTTATCTTTTATATAAGATGCATATACTCAATATGTCTCATGATCACAAAGTATTCTCATTGAATCATGCATACTTCTGAAAGAAAATCACATACATACACACACGCAGAGAACGAGGCTAGTTAATAGCTTAAGAAGGCTAATTTTCAAATGTAGAGTAATGCTCTTAAGCTGTAAGACTAGGATCTACAGTTCTAATATGGAGGGTTCTTGAGTTTTAACTACCAAATAATGTCAGCTAATTCATGTATGTCTTTGCATAGAATTTTTGTGTTCTTTTTAAAATGGAAAAATGCATAAAAATTTTTATTCCTCGTTCTCTTTCTTCCAGGCCTTCTGAAAAGAAGTTCTACTCATCCTTCCAAGCCTATAGAACCAAGGATAAGGAGAAGCTAGGAGCCTAAAATATAGAAAAGAAATGATATATTCACAAGACGCTGTCAGAAAAGCATACTGATCACAAAATCATGACATTCGAGAGGGAATTTTATAGCATGTGCCGAATCCTGAGGTCAAAACCATAGTGGAATAACATAGCTCCCTCTAAACCTCTTAGACACCATCCTCTGTGTGAGTAGTCCTCACTGCTTTTTTTCTACATTCAATAGGGTTACAGTTTCAATTGCATAGCCTCTGTGTTACATTTACGATAACAATACTTCAAAAAAATCTGTTACATCCTTTTGAAATCAAAGTTCAGAGGATTGCTTCTAAGCTAGGACATAGAAATGGAGTATTTCTTTAGGACTTTTTATCTTTATTTTACTGATTATACTATAATTGTGGGGGCCATCTCAAATACAATTTTAAACATCATCAATGTATTTGGTGAAAGATATCAAAGGTGGGTTGTAAGAATTATGTCTATGATTATGCCACTGGATGGCAAAATACGGATGTATCTGTCATTAGTTTTCTAGCCCATAAAATCACACTTTTTAAAAAAGGCTAACAGCGGTTATTACCTAATTTATAAGTAATCGTATGGAGTGATGTAAAGTAGCCTGTCGTTTTTAATACTTTTTTTGTGATTAAGTAAGTTTGCGTCTATTCTTTGCAGTGACTTTAAGTGTTCTTGGCTGGTTTTTGTTGTTTTTGTTGTTGTTGTTGTTTTTAATGGAGTCTTGCTCTGTCACCAGGCTGGAGTGCAGTGGCACGATCTTGGCTCACTGCAAGCTCCGCCTCCCGGGTTCAAGCAATTCTCCTGCCTCAGCCTCCCAAGTAGCTGGGACTACAGGTGTGTGCCACCACGCCCAGCTAATTTTTGTATTTTTAGTAGAGACGGGGTTTCACCATGTTGGTCAGGATGGTCTCGATCTCTTGACTTTGTGATCAGCCTGCCTCAGCCTCTTAAAGTGCTGGGATTACAGGTGTCAGTCACCGCACCTGGTCCTTGGCCACCTTTATACCTCTGCCAAATAAAAAGAAAAGTATGAAACAAAAAGAAGATTCCAGTTATCTCATATTATTCACAGCCTCATGTCTAAACTACACCTCCAAGACCCCACATCACTCTATAGTGTTATGATTTGAAGTCTGTCTCCCACAAAAGATATCCTGAAATCCTGACCCTATGGTACCTCAGAATGTAACCTTATATGGGGAATGGGGTTGTTGCAGTTATAATTTGCTAAATTAATTCAATATGGTGGGTGTGCGTGTAAGAAGACAGAAATTTAGACACAGACACAGAGGTAAAATAGCCATGTAAAGACAGAGGCAGCGATTGGAGATATGCGAGCACAAGCCAAGGAATGCTGGGCCTCCCAGAAGCTGGAAGAGGCAAGGAGGAATCCTTCCCTAGAGGCTTTGGAGGGAGCATGGACCTGCCCACATCTTGATTTTGGACTTCTAACCTACAGAACTATAAGACACTAAATTGCTGTTGCATGGTACTTTGTTATGGCAACCCTAGGAAACTAACATACACGTTTCACAAGTTCACTATTCTTCCTGCTTTCTGACCTTGGGACTCATATTCCTAATTATGGCTTTGCCTAACCCTTAGACTTAAAACTGCACTACGTTTTCTGGCTTTGTGTTTTTATTTTCTTTCTTAACTATAATTAATGATCGCCCTCCAATGATTTTATGAAACACAGGTGTCCTGGTGCCAACCAATCCCAGTTTGCAGGAGACAATTGTTAAATTTTTGAGAATTTTGCAAGCTGGTTGCTAAACACAGCCATTTTTTTTTAAAAATTACATTGTATAAGTTTTAATATAGGAAAACAAAAACAAAGGTAATAAATGATTAAAACTCATCACTTCCTAATTACTTAAATACATTTTACTACTCTCTGTGCTTACTACTCTTGATGCTTTTAAGGTTATTTACATGTGTTTTACCTGTATAGTGGAAACATTATGTAATGATGAACTAATTCCCATCCTTTCCCAACTCACATCTCACATTGGTAGCTTGATATCAGCCATAATGAGAGTATTTACACCATGAATGTTGCTAAAAGCTACAAATCAGTTATTTTTATATTTTCAGAGAGTTGGTTATAAACATAAACCAGCACAGCATTGAAATGCTATAAAGTCCATTCTATAGGCCAAATTGGGATGGCTGTAGAGGAACAGAAAAAAGTTAGCTGGAGAGATCTCTTTTCTTGGCCCTGCATTGTACCTTTCAGCAGGAAGTTAGAGCTCAGGATAGCAAGAAAAAGCAAATAAAGGATGCTATTACAAATAATGAAGGCAGAGAGATTTGACCGGGATTGTGAAGAGGGGATAAGGAAGACTTAGATCCTGGTGACCTACTTTTAGTATTGTCTGCTAAATCCTCAGGGAAGTGTTTAGCTCTGATTATAAATATTAATTAGATTTCAATCAGAGACTATTTAAAGGGTCTGTACACCTTAGAGAGAGACATTTCAGATAGATTGATTGTTAGAAATATATACAGATATAGTAATATATATAGCATTTTCATGTACAAGTGGTTCAAGTTGGTAATAAGTAGATGATTTCACATAGTAAAACAGACCCAAGCCAGCTACAAAATTATAGGTAAATTAAATGACTCTATAAATAAGCATGATAAAACCTTAGTAACTTTAGCAGATATATAATTCCACTGTATATGGATAGGGTCAACATTCTTTAGCTTTGCTATAACATCTTCCTTGTTATGCATATAAACTGAACAAAAATATTTGTAGAAGCAGCAGCTCTACACATTTAAAAACAAACAATGAAAGAACCTGATACTTATTAAATAGTGACTTCCTAAAATTCTTAGGCATAATTTGAGGCTGTTGGCTGCTTGACATTATTCTGCACTGTGGGGAGTGGAGTCTCAGGTAAGAGACCCTGTCCTAGCCCTTGAGCTCTGTGACAGCAAGAGTTGGGAATGCTGCAAACTTGCAATCAGTGCCAGAAAGAAGGTGGAAGGTGTTTCTTCTTTTAACCACAATGCCAGCAACAGATTAAGGAGTGGTGTTACCCACACTACATGAAGCGTTGTTGAGTCTACTCTTGCTGTGAGTATTGTGTCTCAAATCAGGAAATGTTCTAAGTGTGGAATGTGTGAAGCGTGCATCACATCAGTCTGTTGTGACTGAGGCATTCTTTCAAAACCTGTCATCTGAGTCCAACAATGTTCCTATTTAATTAGCCACTAGTTTTTCTTTCTTTTTAATGATAAATAAGAGGCTCCCTTTCCTTCTCCGTGTACACAACATAGCTAGGGAAGAAACTCAGTCTCTTAAAGTCCTGCATAGTTTAACATTCATTCTTAGATTCTTTATGCATTTTGAATAGAAAAAAAAGGCAAATCCAGCTCATACATATGGTGGTCTTAAAAGGAAGCATATAATGAAGTATAAAAAATTACATCACAAATAAAAACAATACAATAACCATTTTTACAATTTTACTCTGCAATGTATTATTAGACTTGGAGAAACACTGCGAGTTTAGGTGGTTGTTGGCATGGCAAATGCTACTAATCAAAGAAACAGAGGTAGTTGGAGATGGACCAGAAAAGTAGGAGCAATGAGGGAGTGCTACTAAGAGTGATATGACTCAAGAATTTTTCCCTCTGTCTTTCTTAGTTCTCCCTATGTTCCCTCTCCCAGTTGTTGCTGAATTCACTGCTACCCCCAACCCCCATCCTGGACTCATTACTGCAAAGTCTTCTCAACTGATTCCCCAACTCAAGATGTAATTAGCTTCTCAGGCTAAGAGCAATTGGTAAAACATCTCACACATTTTTGTCCTTGTTGTTTGTGGGCATTTTTGTATGTTTATTGTTTTTATTTTTGTTTTTGTTTTTTGAGGCAGTTTCTCACTCTGTCTCAAAGACTAAAGGGCAGTGGCTTGATAATAGCTTACTGCAACCCCGAACCCCTGGACTCAAGCAATCTTCTGGCCTCACTCCCTCACCCCTAACCCCTTAGCTAAGACTACAAGTGCATGCCACCATGCTTGGCTAATTTTTAAATTTTTTGAAGAGGTGGGGTCTCGCTATATTGCCCAGGCTGACTCAGTTTCTTGAGAATCTTGAAAACAAACAAACAAAACACATGCTCAAGAACCAAAGTAAAAAAAAAAAGTTTTCAAATAGTTTGAGTAAGAAATGTCCTCAGATTAAACCACATAAAGCAGTTATGGTAGCATTAACAACAATCTATTATAGATCCATAAACATTCAATGATTTTAATATATTCTGAAAACTAGCTAAAGCATCATTCAAAATGTCTTCATTTTAAACTAAAATGTCAATAGGCATTTAACCGAAAAAAAATTTAAAGCTTGACATACTAAGCTTTCCTTCAAAAGTTTACATTTTTTTATATTTCACTGGAACAAAGTTACTTTGCATATACATCACACTTTTACTCTCAGAGGAGTTTCTCCTGCAGACTTCTTTAAAAAACTATATACATATATACATACATATACGTATATATTAAATTATCCTCAGCCTCAAATACTGATTTTGCAGTCTGTGATTCATAGCAGAAGAGGTGTCCCATTTTTCTATATTGACACACGATAATTTGACATTTGTTTTTTACTGACCAATTTCTAGCTAGATATTTCATCTATAAACTGCACTTAGCCAGCCTTATGCTGAACTTTGTAAGGGTTTTGTAATAATAAACTGTTCTTGACTGAAACACAAGCCTTTCATAATTACATGCCACAGTGCAATTCTTATGCAACGAGCTTGTGTTTTTCCAAATTTAGGACCAAGCATGTAGTTTTATCAGTTAGCTGGGATTTGGTCTTGTTTTCCCTTGATTCTGTAAGTGGTAGTTCTAACTTTGAAATGGGTCATCTAACTTATAACTATTTTCTTCATTTCTTTTTAAAAGGGAGAAATAGCATGCAAATTTCTGGCATGTTGATAGAAAGTTCAGCATTTTTTCCCTGACATGAAATATTTCATTTAGAATGCGTATGTTTCCTCTACGTATAAGGTTTCCTAGAGTCAGATATGATAAAAACAAACTCTGAGATGTATATACCTATGTTCCTACAAGTGTAAAACCTGAATGATGTCTCTGGAAATGGAGCCTCGGAGTGACCAGGAACACAAATACTTATATGTCACAGAAATAGAGGGGCACATACTTTGAAATATTTCAATGGAAATCAAAAATTGTAGTTTACTGGATTGAAATTAGTATCCTCTACTTAAACATTTTTGACACAAACTCAATGCTGATTCAGATCTGTAATCCATGTAGCTCATAATAACTTACTTGGTAGAAGTATTTCAGATTAATGAATTGTACAATTGTACAAATTAATAAATTGTACAATTGTTCAACTATACAATTAATTGTACAATTTGTATAGTTGAAAAAATCTATAAATTAATTTATAGATAAATTATCAAAGAAGACAACATTTTAAATAGTTATTCCCAATATTTTTTCTTCCATAATTAAAATAAAAGTAAGTATCTCAGCAATTGCTTGTTCTTAAAATTTCACTGCTATCTCAGCAGTCATGTAAGTTATTCTGGCTATTTAATTTTTCACTTTTGTTTGCATACTGTAACAGTTGGTAGGATAATTAATTTTGATTGTACATTTCCATTGAACTTTTGATGAAATTGTTTCACTCTTTTTATTAGAATAAAATTATTAGGAAAGTCTTCTAAAGAGAGGTTTTCTGTTTGTTTTTCCTTTGAGGAAGGTAGAGAGATGGGAAACGAAGACACCAAATATAAAGTCATTCCTCTATCTCTCATTTTAAAACCTGTTTTAAAGGTTGTAGCTAGTCAGGAAAACTGAAAAATCAACTGGTATTCCTAACTAAAGCAGGGCTTTGAAACTCTGCTACTAGCGACAGGGTTGGGAAAATTCCGGTTGCTCTTCTTGTCTGTGATATACGGTAGAAGGGTTGGTCCTGGTTTGGTCCACCTGCCAGCGGAGTTTAAAGTTTCCGAGGCTCAGAGGAACACAATGACTTGGATCAAACAGCCTAAATGGGAAGAAGGACATTTTTGCTGCATCAAGGAAGCCGTTAAACTCCTGCTAAGCTAACTAGCTCTTTTTTATGGGTCCATGCACACGACCGAACTCCTCTTTCACTGACCAGAGATTATTTCTGACAACCCAGGATATCCCGAAAGCTTGGAGGCATATGGCTGGAAAATGAAACGACCCAGGACATCGTTTCTGGCTGCATCATTATTTTGTGTCGCGTAGTACCAGATGGGCAGTCAGTGAGCGGCGCAGGGATGTGAACGGACGGTTTTATAATGTGAAAATTTTCCCTTGGTAAAGCTAAAACAGATTTAATTTCCCTCTCTTTTCTTTCACTACTTCCCCCTCTTTATTCCCCCTCTGTCTGCAATATCAGTGAACTCAACTTTGCAGTGAGGTGGCCAAAAAGAGAGAGAATGAGGAGATCTTGATCATCTTAGTGTCGGAGGAGTCGCAGCGGACTGGGAACTGCAGCTGCGACCCCCCGCGTCCTGTGCGGATTTCAGGGCTGATACCGCATAGGCGGTTATGGAAAGGACGGTACACCGGAGCGGCGGAGGATAGAGACCCTGGCCCCCGGAGAGGTCTGCTGATTTCGCAGCAGCCTTCGAAGCCGTGGCTGCCTTTCATCTGCTGCGTTTTATTACTATTATCGCCGTTCCGGAAAAGTCATGGAAGACAGCCCGCTGCCAGACCTCAGAGACATCGAGCTGAAGCTGGGGCGCAAAGTACCCGAGAGTCTAGTGCGCTCTCTCCGTGGGGAGGAGCCGGTTCCCAGGGAAAGGGACAGGGACCCCTGCGGGGGGAGCGGTGGTGGTGGCGGCGGCGGCGGCGGCTGCAGTAGCAGCAGCAGCTACTGCAGCTTCCCTCCCTCCTTGTCGTCCTCCTCTTCGTCCTCCCCAACCTCTGGCTCCCCACGAGGTAGCCACTCTAGCGCCCTGGAGAGGCTAGAAACCAAGCTTCACCTCCTCAGGCAAGAGATGGTGAGTGTGGTGCGCCAGCCGCGGGGGCTGGGACCTGGGCTGGGCCAAAAGATGGGGCGATCTGAGAATGGGGCTGGGAGAGAGGACGGCAGGGGCTGCAGAGCGGAGCGCTGGGCGCGTGGGAAATGCTGGGTGGAGGAATGAGCAGGGGGCGCTCATCCGGAGGCAGCTGCTGCGAGGCTTGTTTACCGCGGACTTTGCTCGGTCACGGTTTGCAAAGACAGCACAGTCGGCTGGCTCCACTCTGTGTACTTTCGGACAACGCGACTCACTGCGCCGGGCTCTATTTAGCTGCCAGCCCGTAGCCTCTTAGGCACCAGCCCGTTGAGAGTTTGCAGTTATTGCACCCATCTAAGGCCTGCTGTGCGCTGTTAACACTTCGGGTAGGTTCAAAAGGTGGCTCAGTCCAATGCACTTACTGCAAAAATACTTCCTGGTTTGCCGGGAGGTGGCGTGGCAGGGTCCTTGCAGCCTTTCCTCCTAGCTCACCCTTCCACCAGTACCGCTCCGCCCTCCTGCCCTCCCTTCTTGGTGCAGCAGCCGCAGCTGTTCCAAGGCCACTGTCGAGCAGATTCTCCACAGCTGGTTCTGAAAACAATGGCCTACTCGTCCTTGATGTACTTATGAATAGCTTGTTTCACTATTTTGATCCCAGGGAGCAGGTGATCCCCAGGCCCAGGGATCTGCTAAGGACCATCTCCCACCCTTCTCCCTCAAGTCTCAATCTGCAGTTGTTTTCCCTGCTGTTTGCAAACGTTTGCCTGAGCATAGGACAATGAGATAAGTACAAGGTCTAGGAATACTCATTCTGGAAGTATTTAGACTAAGACACTATTTACTTGCCATGAGCTCTTGGGCACGTCACTTCACTTCTGTAGACCTCTGTGAATTTGATGAGCTGGTTAGAGAAAATGATCCCTCCCTAAGTCCTTTGAAAAAAACGACCACAAAGCAACAGCATTTTCTACTAGCTTGGAGATAAGGAAAGTTGCAACAGTGGGCCTCAAAAAGAGAAAATAATTTCATTAAATTAACTTCACAGTTGCTTTTGATTTGCTTCAAAGTAGGCTAGGAGATTTCTATCACTCCGACAGGAATGCTGGAAATTATTTCTATCATTCTATCGTTTAGTTATTATAGAGTTCTATCATTTAGTGATTGTTATTTTTTAGGTTGGACAAAAATTTAAGGACAACCCTTAGGTACATAATGGAGAAGCTGGAAAGTGGAAGTCATCTTGATGAGTTTGCAAAATAGATGAAAAGATAAAATGGAAAAGATGACAAACCAACAGGTCAGGGGATGCCTGATACCGTATCACAAAGATCAGACATACGTGTGGAGACTAACAGGTAAAACTATTTTCCACAAGAAAATTTCTTGTACAAGGAATTAAGAATGTTGCTAACTCTGCAAATTAAGGACTTAATATGAGGGACGAAGACATCAAGGAGATGAGGAAATTTTATTCCTAACCATGTCTTCTGTAATTTTACCCATGGAATGTTAATATATTCACTTAATCTAATAAATAAATCTTGTTGAAACATATTTTCTTTCTCAGTAGCTCACTGATAGCACATCAAAGATAATACTGTCATTTTGCTGGACACTCAGACACAATTTAGAGTATTTATATATAACTTGAAAACAGTAACATTTCCAAAAACCGATGAACCCCACCCTGTCCCAAGGAATGATTGGTATGTATGTGAAGATCATTTTCTGACAAAAATAATTACGTTCCACTTAGGATGCACAACCATGTTGTCCTGTAGAGAAGTCACAAGTTTTGTGAGAATTTTTAAACTGATGATGTTTATTTCCATGGTAACGTGAGTATACATTTTACCTTCTATTGTAGTGATGAATCACAATTAGTTTTTTTTTATAGGTTGGTGGAAAAGTAATTGCTGTTTTGCCATTGCTTTTAATGGCAACCACAACTACTTTTGCACCAACCTAATATTTATTAAGACTTTACTTTTTTGAGACACAATTTCTGAAACTGGGATTTATGTTGAGAGTCTCTAAGGTCCCTGATAATTTGTCGCATTTGTTGTTGTTTTTTGGAGAATATTTCATCACTACTCAAATGATGGTCCTCTGGTCTGGTGGAAGCTTCGTAAGCTTTGAAGCCAGATAAACCAGGGTTTCAGACAAGTCTAGAGCAAGTCAGGATATCAATAAGACCCAATAGGATGTAGGGCTGCCTGTCTAGGGAGACATTTAGCTTATCTTCCCCGGCAAAAAGGCTTGTCCCGCTCTCTGTGGCCCTCATTCTAGTCATGGCTTTTTCACTCACTAGTGTGTGGCACTGAACAAGTTATAGAACCACTTTGAGACTCAGCTTTCTTGTTAACATAGGAATAAGAGCATCTCCATTAAGGCATTTTAAGAATTCAGTGAAATAATATAAGAAAAACAACTATTACATAGATATTCAAAAACAGTAAGGATGCTGGCAGTAATGAGCATTACATCAATGACATGGGTTCCGTTGATCTTACAAAAGCAGCCCTACATGGATAATGTGGATTTGGGACTGATGAAGGCCTAGATATCTTCTCCACCAGACTGACTCTATCATGTCATCTCCCATGTCATCAGATACTCTCTGTAGAGACGATGTTTCCAAACAAACTAACGCACAAAATATGTGTAGGTTTCCCTAGCTTCAGTTCAACTGGAAATCTTGATTTTTATTTTAAATTTAACTTTTATTAAACACATGCTATGTGCTAAGCATGCTGCTGATTGAAGTAGCATGTATGAAAGAATTGTAGAGCCTAATGTCAGGTAGTCCAGGAAATCTGAGGAACTTAAACCAATACAGTAGCCCACCTTATCCATGGGAGATATGTTCCAAGACCTCCAATGGATGCTTGAAACTGTGGATAGTACCAAAGCCTATATAGACTGTTTAGTCCTATGCGTACGTACCTATTGTAAAGTTTAATTTATAAATCAGTCACAGTAAGAGATTAACAATAATAACTAACAATAAAATAAAACAGTGTATTGCTATGTGAATGTCTCTCTCTCTCTTTCTCTCTCATTCTCTCTCTCTCAAAATACTATAATATTTTCAGACTGCAGTTGACTGTAGGTAACTAAAAGCAAAGCCATAGATAAGGGTGTACTACTACATTTGGTTACTTTGGTGAGACTTTACTATGTGTAAGACACGGTGCTAGTTAAACATTTTATATGTATTATCCCGTTGAAATCTTATAATCTTTTTTTTTTTTTTTTTTTTTTTTTTGAGACGGAGTCTCGCCCTATCGCCCAGGCTGGAATGCAGTGGAGCGATCTCGGCTCACTGCAAGCTCCGCCTCCCAGGTTCAGGCCATTCTCCTGCCTCAGCCTCCCAAGTAGCTGGGACTACAGGCACCTGCAACCACGCCCGGCTAATTTTTTGTATTTTTAGTAGAGACAGGGTTTCACCGTGTTAGCTAGGATGGTCTCTATCTCCTGACCTCGTGATCCGCCACGGCCTCTCAAAGTGCTGGGATTACAGGCGTGAGCCACCGTGTACGGCCGAAACTTTATAATCTTTTAACTAAATGTAATTGTCACCATAATCTTATAGACAAAGCATTGAGGTTTATTGAGCTAATGCTGAAGGTAGTAAGTGGAGGAGCCAGGATGAGGTCAGAATCTGAGATTTTAACCATGCCTATGCTGTCACTTCTTACACTTTAGAATACCTCCATGCTCATGTGGACACCTAGGAACAAATGAATATTTCTATTCTTCTCCCAGAATTTCAAAACATTAAACATGTTAAACTGTATTTTTGTTTACCATAAGCCTTCCCAGGAGGAACAAGCACTAAACACAGTCTCTGGCTTAGGATTTGGATGAACATATTCAAAAGCCATCTGCTTCCCAGCAATCATAATCATACCCTTTCCTTTTGGCCACTATCACCAAGATCTCCAGTAGTACTTCCTCTCAGTCCACAAGAACTGCCATGAGCAGTTAAAGGTTCTCCTGACACGACCAGTTCAAGTTTTAGAGCTCAATAATATTCATGATGTAGGAGTATCAAGAGCTTTTCATTGGTAGCATTTTAGTTCCCCAAGAGATTCTGTTCAGGATAAAACTTAGACCTTAGGTAACTCCCTAGAAAGAACTAGAAACTTGGAATCCTGACACCATCTTGTGTTCATTTAAGCAGTACTTTCAAATTGCTGTTTTTCCAACAGGAACTCAGTTATCCTCTTCTTCTCAAATGATATCAGTTGCACAGCACTGTGTGGTGACTTGCCAGGTGTGTGGTTGAAAACACATCCATCTGAATTGTGCTCATGTAAACTGCACTCATAGAATTCACAAGGAAAAAAAACAAGGTTATATTTCAAAAGTCTCGATCTTAGACCTCTAAATTAAACCTGAATTATTCATTTTCTTAAAAAGGGGCTAAACACTGTGGTGGATGTTGAGATATAACTAGGACAGTATTATTTCATTTTACAGATAAGGAAACTATGGCTTACAGAGATTAATTAACTATGATTCCCAGCCTGTTATTCAAACAAGAACCACTGTGAGCCTGGCTATCTGCTTGATCCAAAGTAATCCCAAACTATACTATATACTATATGCACTACGAAATGTGCCCATTTACTGTGAACGAACATTTTTATAGTAATTTCATCACATATCTACCAATGGATCTTTTGGCATTCCTTTAAAAATATTGTTTCTTTTTTTTAAAAAAAATAAATGTTTCTCATTGTAAAACTTCCAATAATACAGTAATAAATTGTATAAATAAGAAGAAAAGTTCACTTAATCTTACTCCTCCCCATTTTACTCTATACTCCAGAGGAAATACTTCTGACATTTTGTTTGTTTGTTTAATCCATGAGCTCAGCCATTTATCATATCTTTGTGTTACAAACATTCCAAATATACTCTTTTAGTTATTATTATTATTATTAGTTTTATTATTTGAGATGGAGTTTCGCTCTTGTTGCCCAGGCTGGAGTGCAATGGCTCAATCTCAGCTCACCGCAACCTCTGCCTCCTAGGTTCAAGCGATTCTCCTGCCTCAGCCTCCCGAGTAGCTGGGATTACAGGCATGTGCCACTACGCCCGACTAATTTTGTATTTTTAGTAGAGATGGGGTTTCTCCACGTTGGTCAGGCTGGTCTGGAACTCCTGACCTCAGGTGATCTGCCTGCCTCGGCCTCCTAAAGTGCTGGGATTACAGGTGTGAGCCACTGTGCCCGGCCCCTTTTAGTTATTTTTAAATGTACAATAAATTATTGTTGACTGTAGTCACCCTGTTGTACTACCAAACGTTAGCTCTTATTACTTCTTTCTAACTATATTAATGTATCCATTAACCATTCCACTTCCCCCCAGCTCGCTACCCCTTCCCAGCCTCTGGTAACCATCATTCTACTTCCTAGCTCCATGAGTTCAACTGTTTTCATTTTTAGCTCCCACGAATAAGTGAGACCACGCCAAGTTTGTCTTTCTGTGCCTGACTTATTTCACTTGTCACGAAATCCTCCACTTCCATCCATGTTGTTGCAAATGACAGATTCTAATTCTTTTCTTCTGGCTGATTAGTACTCTATTGTGCGTACGTACAACATTTTCTTTATCCGTTTGTCTCTTGATGGACACAGGTTGCTTGTAAATCTTAGCTATTGTGAATAGTGCTGCAATAGACACAGGAGTGAAGATATCTATTTGATATATTGATTTCCTTTCTCCTGAGTATATACCTAGTAGTGGGATTGCTGGATTATATATTAGTTCTAATTTTATTTTTTTAAGGAATCTCGAAACTGTTCTCCATAGTGGCTATGCTAATGTACATTCCCACCAACAGTGTACAAGGGTTCCCTTTTGTCCATATCCTCACCGGCATTAATTATTGTTTGTTGTTTGGATAAAAGCCATTATAACTGGGGTGAGATAATATTTCATTGTAGTTTTGATTTGCATTTCTCTGGTGATCAATTATGTTGAGCACTTTTGAATATACCTGATTGTCATTTGGATGTCTTTTGAGAAATGTCTATTCAGATCTTTTGTCTATTTTTTAATCAGATTATTAGACATTTTTCCTACTGAGTTGTTTGAGCTACTTATGTATTCTGCCAGTTAATTCCTTGTCAGATGGGTAGTTTGCAAATATTTTCTCCCATTTCATGGGTTGTCTCTCCACTTTGTTGGTTGTTTCCTTTGCTGTGCAGAAGTTTTTAACTTGATGTGATCCCATTTTTCCATTTTTGCTTCGGTTGCCTATGCTTATGGGATATTCCTCAAGAAGTCCTTGTCCAGAGCAATGTTATAGAGAGTTTCCCCAATGTCTTCTTTTGGTACTTTTATGTTTTAGATGTAAGTCTTTGATTAGATTTTGTATATGGCAAGAGATAGGGGTCTAGTTTCATTCTTCTGCATATGGATATGTAGTTTTGGCAGTACCATTTATTGAAGAGACTATCTTTTCTCCAGTGTATGTTCTTGGCATCTTTGTGAAAAATGAGTTCACTGTAGGTATGTGAATTTGTTTGTCAGTTCTCCATTTTGTTCCATTGCTCAGTGTGTCTGTTTTTATGCCAGTATCATGCTGTTTTGGTTACTATAACTCTGTAGTATAATTTGAAGTCAGTTTTGTTCTTTTTGCTCTGGATGACTTTGGCTATTCAGGTTCTTTTCTGATCCCATATAAATTTTAGGATCTTTTTTCTATTTCTGTGAGGAATGTTACTGGTATTTTGATAAGGATTACATTGAATCTGTAGATTGCTTTGAGTAGTATGAACATTTAAAAAATGTTGATCTTCCAATCCATGAACATGGAATATCTTTTCATCTTTTTGTGTCTTATTCAATTTCTTGCATCGGTATTTTATAGTATTCATTGTAGAGATCTTTTACTTCTTTAGTTAAATCCTAGGTATTTAATTTTATTTGCAGTTATTTTAAATGGGATTACTTCTTGATTGCTTTTTCAGATTGTTTGCCGTTGGCATATAGAAATGCTACTGATTTTTATGTTAATTTTGTATCCTACAACTTTACTCAACTTATCAGTTCTAATGATTTCTTGGTGGAGTCTTCAGGTTTTTCCATATGTAAGATTATATCATTTGCAAATAAGAATAATTTGACTTTTTTTCTTCCCAATTTGGATGCCCTTTATTTCTTTTTCTTGTCTGATTGCTCTATCTAGGACTTCCAGTACTATGCTGATAAACAGTGATGAAGTGGGCATCCTCCTTATTTCCAGACCTTAGAGGAAAGCCTTTCAGTTTTCCCTCTTTCAGTATGATACCAGCTGTAGGTCTGTTTATATGGCTTTTATTGTGCAGTGGTAGATTCTTTCTATACCCAGTTTTTTGAGTTTTTATCATAAAGAGATGCCAAATTTTATCAAATGCTTTTCCAGTATCAACTGAAATTATCATATGGTTTATTCCTTCATTCTATTGATATGATGTATCACATTGGTGGATTTGCATATGTTGAACAGTCCTTGCATCCCTGGGATAAATTCCACTTGGTCATGATGAATGATTATCTTAATGTGTTGTTGAATTAGGTTCACTATTATTTTGTTTTGGATTTTTGCATCAATGTTTATCAGTGATATTGGCCTATACTTTCTCTTTTTTTGATACGTCTTTGCTTGATTTTGATATCAGGGTAATACTGGCCTAATAGACTGAGTTTAGAAGTATTCTCTCCTCTGTTTTTTGGAATAGTTTGGGTAGGATTGTTCTTCTTTAAATGTTTGGTAAAATTCAGCAATGAAGCTATGAGGTCCTGGGCTTTTTTTTTTTTTTTAATAATTTTGCATGCTTCATTCTTTTTTATTCTTTTATTTTGTCTCCCTCACTGTATATTTTCAATTAGCATGTCTTCAAGCTCACTAATTCTTTCTTCTCCTTGATCAGTTCTGTTGAGAGACTCGAATGCATTCTTCAGTATGTCAATTCAATTGTTTAGCTCCAGAATTTCAGCTTGATTTTTAAAAATTATTTCAATCTAATTTACATTTCATTTTACATTTTCATTATGGATAGGATTCTGAATTCTTTCTCTCTGTTATCTTGATTTGTTTAGCTTCCCAAACCAGCTATTTTGAGTTATCTGTCTGAGAGGTCACATATCTCTGTCACTCTGGGATTGGTTACTGGTGCCCTTATTTAGTTCATTTGGTGAGGTCATGTTTTCCTAAATGATCTTGATGCTTTTGAGTGTTCATCAATGTCTGGGTGTTGACAAGTGAGGTATTTATTGTAGTCTTCATAGTCTGGGCTTGCTTGTACCTGCCCTTCTTGGGAAGGCTTTAAAGAAGTATTTAAAGAAAATTGAGTGTTCAGATCTAAGTATTTGCCTATTGCAGCCATATCTGCCCAAGCCCAATAATAGTATGACTCTTGCAGACTAACAGAGGTAGCACTTTGGTGGTGTGGGGTACTATATGACAGAATTCCCTGGATTACCAAATAGAGACTCTTGTTCTCTTACTTTACCCCAAACAAACAAGTTTCTCTCTGTGCTGAGCTTCCTAGAATTGGAGGAGGGGTGACACGAGCACCTCTGTGGCCACCACTACTGCAACTGTGCTGAGTCAGACCTAAAGCCAACACAGTACTTGATGTC
The DNA here is from genome assembly GCF_000001405.40 of Homo sapiens. Lineage (NCBI taxonomy): Eukaryota > Metazoa > Chordata > Mammalia > Primates > Hominidae > Homo > Homo sapiens. The sequence goes on from NC_000009.12 coordinate 12,784,665, forward strand.
ACCCGAGGCCTGTGGCAACTATTGCCTGGTCACCACTGATGTTTATTTAAGGCCCAAGGGCTCTTTAGTCAGCAGGTGGTGAATCATTCTAAACTTGTATTTTTCCCTTCAAGGTGGTGAGTTCCCTTCTGGCCCAGGGTGGGTGTAGAAATGCTGTCTGGGAGGGAGGGTCTGGAGTCGGGAACTTTAGGAATCTAGAATCTACTTGGTGCTTTATTTTACTTGGTAAAGCTACTTGGTAGCTGAGCTGATACCCAAATTCTGAGTCAAAGTCTTTTTTACTCTCCTCTCTTATTTCCTCAAGCAGAAGGAGTTTCTCCTCATGGCCACCACTGCCCTAGGCCCATGGCAAGTACTGCCTGGCTACCACTGATGTTTACTCAAGGCCCAAGGGCTCTTTTTCACCTTATGGTGAATCTTGCCAGGCCTGGTTATCTCCCTTCAGGGCAGCGGGTTCCCTTCTGGCCCAGGGTGTGTCTAGAAACGTCTGTTGTCCGGGAGCTAGGGCCTGGCATGGGGGCTTCAGGACTCTGCTTGGTGTTTTATTTTACTATGGCTGAGGTAGTATTTAAGTTACAAGGCAAAAGTCCTCTTTACTCTCCCCTCTTTTCAAACAGAAGGTGTCTCTGCCAAAACTGCGAGCTGCACTGTCTGGGGCTGGGGGAGGGGGTGACACAAGCACTCCCTCGGCTGGCCCAGCTGATGTCTCACTAGGTCCTGTACACCCTAAGTCTACTGGCTCTGAGCCCAGCACAGTACCAGAACTTGCCTGGGAACTTTCCTCCTTGAAAGGCCTAGGCTACCTTTCAAGTTTATTTATGACCCCAGAGCACTTTAGCCTGCAGTGTTGATGCTAGTCAGAACTCAAATTCTGACTTCTGGCATAGAAAATTCCCCTCTAGCTAGGTCCAATCTGAATGCTTCCAGTGTGGGAGCTAGCTGAATTCTGCCCTGTATTGCTTTGCACTGTGACAGTTAGCACTGAGTTCCAATGCAAAGTCCCATAATCACTGTATTCTCCCTCCCTCAAGCACACAGATATTCTTCTCTCTCTGCAGTGCTGCACTGCTAGGAGATGGAGGAGGGGCTGTGTAAGCAATACAAGAGTCTTTTCTGCCCTCTTCAGTGCCTTCTTCCTTGATATGATGTTAAAACCGGGTACTATGATTGTTCACCTGATACTTGGTTCTTATGAAGGTACTTTCTTGTTTAGATAGTTGTTCAACTTGATGTTTCTGTGGGGGTGACAATTGCTGGAGGGTTCTATTCAGCCGTCTTGCTCCACTTCTCTCAGATCTTTTTTCATGTCTTTGCCTGCATATATTTGCATTTTATATACAGACATAATGTTGATATGTTTGGATATCATTTTTCTTATTTTACATAATATTTTTTATATTACCTGGCATTTATTAGATGATTACAATATGACACACAGTATTTCAAACACTTTTCAAGTATTATGTCATTTCATTCTCATGCCTCACCCACTTATGAGGTAGACACTATGGAGTGTTAGATAATATAAGCAAATTACTGACAGAGCTTAAGAAATTCTTATCTAGTCAAATTTTATCTTATTCTGTCACTTCTCCTATACAAACCCCAACTAGTTGCTAATTATATAGAAAAGGTAATTACTTCATTTTTTATAAGTGATTATTCAAACACTTAATAGTTCTTTTCTAAAGCAGCTTCTGTTTACAGAGATCTGACTTAATCAGAACATTGCATTCTTCAATATGAAAAAATTAAAAGCCTTCAAACTGGACTGAACTTCAATTACACATCATTTTTAATGTAATTCAGTGATTGTTTTTCTGAGAATAATATTAATGAACCCTCTAAAATTAGATTAAATGGCTAACATGTATATATATGACATATATATATATATATATATATATATATATATATAAACCCTTGTGCCTTAAGTCTGTATAGCTCAAAATCATCTTAGATTTACTTATGGTAAAAATCTTCTTAAATTTGCTCATCTGGGATGCTCATGATAACAAAACAGATTCTGTTCTTAGAGATCAGACATCATCAGAATATTTGATTCCTCAACTGAAGACATAATATCTCTCAAATAGGCTCTTATGAAAGAGTGATGTGTAAAACTAGAACTATAATATATAACTAATGTGACCTCTCTTTGCTGGCCCACACCATGGAAAGTTAAATGATTGGGAAGGCATAGAATCAGGGCAAGAGTGAGATAAGAATTTACTTGTCTCCTGATACAATTGGACCCATCATTTCATTTGGCAGTTTCAGATTTTTCTCTATTTTTGGTGAGCAGAATAAAGTTGTTATGTTTATACCCACCTTAGTAAATTCACAAAAAGATTTTGACACAAGCATCTGTAACAGTGAACTGTTACATCTCATTATTAAAATGATACATATTATTGCTAAAACATGCAAAGAGTACAAAAGTATTTAAAGTAGAGGATAAAAGTTCTTCACATTCCTCTTTCCAATTCCTATTCCCTAGAGATGATTCTATGATGTCTTGTGTACCTTCCTGGAAATGTTCTAAATGCATACAACCATACCTAGTTTTATCTATACCTTAGCTGTAATGATAGACATATAATTGTGTAGGTTTAAATTTTAAAATTGAAATTCTGAGAAGTTCATGACGCAGCCATTTGTATAGGTATATATATATGTATATGTATATATATGCACTTGGCTTCAAAGCACAACTTAAAATGCTGTGACTTTGAATAGATTGTTGGCAAAGGACACCATTCAGAGAGAGTTAGTCTATTAGTATAAAAAAATTGCAGCTGATGAGGCAAAAAGACAGAGTCAGTAATCTCCAGAAACAGGCAAGAGCATCATAGGACCATAGCATAGAAAGAAACTTGAGAGGTTATCCAGACAAATTCTCTACTCTCATCCTAGCCAGTTGATCATCAACCTTTGGTTGAACTTCTTCATCAATGAGCACTTCTCTGGCTCTCAAAGCACACCATTTCATTTTCAGATACTTCTATTCAGTATATTTGTTAATTGGCATTCCAGTTGTTCCTCAAAAGACAATTCCATAATCATTCACCATGGGACAAAAAATACTTCACCGCGTGTGCCTGAAAGTCATACGTTCATAATTTATGATGGAAGCTTTGTTGAGTATTAAAAACATAGAAAGCTCAGCCAGACGCAGTGGTTCACGCCTGTAATCCCAGCACTTTGGGGGTTGAGGCAGGTAGATCACTAGAAGTCAGGAATTCAAGACCAACCTGGCCAACATGGTGAAACCCCGTCTCTGCTAAAAATACAAAAATTAGCCGGGTGTGGTGGTAGGTGCCTGTAATCTCAGCTACTCAGGAGGCTGAAGCAGGAGAATTGCATGAACCCAGGAGGCAGAGGTTGCAATGAACCAACGTGGCACCAATGCTTTCCAGCCTTGGTGACAGAGCGAAACAAAAAAGAAAGAAAGAATGAAGGAAGGAAGGAAAGAAAGAGAAAGAAGAAAGAAAGAAAGAAAGAAAGAAAGAAAGAAAGAAAGAAAGAAAAGAAAAGAAAAGAAAAGCTCAATGTGTTTCTCATAGGTTTGTATGTATATGACTAAAATAAAAGACTTTCAAGTGTTTGTTGCAAAATGAAAAAAGAATGATGATGCCTTGCCTTGGCAAGGATGGAGATAAATGGGCACTCTTCTGCACTACTGCTAGAAGTATACATTCAAAAACACCTTTAAAGTTAAACTGACACTATATTTTTAAAAAAAGAAAAATAAAAAATATACTCCTTAATTTGGCAATTCTGGTGCCAGTAACAATGTGGAAATTTATCCTATAGAAATAATAATAAATCGGTACAAAAATGTAGTTAGTGTATACATTCGGTATAATGTATAATTAAGAAAACTGCAATGACCTAAATGGCCAATAATGGCAAATATGTTATTTATGTGAATATGATAGAAATTTATGTAGCTATTAAAATTATGTTGTAAATTTATTTATGGAACAGAGAGAATGGTTATTATGGATGTATAAAGCATAGAACAAAAAGCTCGAATGAAATACCCTATAATGTTAACAGTGATATCATTGAATGATAAGGGTAGGGTTATAGGTTACTTTCTTTTTCTTAAGCTCCTGTATTTTGTCCAGTTTCTCTATACTAATTACATATTACAGTTTGGTAAGAAAAACTATTTTGAGGTCAGGAGTTCAAGACCAGCCTGGGCAACAAAGCGAGACCCTATATCTATATATATATATATATTTTTAATAAGCTGAGTGCAGTGGCATTTGCCTTAGTCCCAGCTTCTCAGGAGGCAGGGTCAGGAGGATCTCTGGAGCCCAGTAGTCCAAGATCACAGTGAGCCATGATTGCACCACTGCATTCCAGGTTAGATGCTGACAGAGTGAGAGTGAGATCCTGCCTCCCCCAGCACCCCCCCAAAAAAAAAAGAAAAGAAAAGAAAAAATATTGATAGATAAATAGATACAATAAAAATTAAAATGTTGGGCTTTGGAATAAGGTAGAGTATAATTCAAGGAACCACAACTCTGTGTTTTTCTAGAGATGTGCTTTTAAGCACTTAATTTAAATAATGAGATGATATATGTAAAGTAGCTGAGATTCTGTCTGCTAAATAGTAACTTACTAAGCATTAGTGTTTTTGCTCTTCACGTTTGATTAGTGGTTTATCTCTTTGGCTCAGGAAAAGATGAGACCAGAATTTTTTCTACCCTTTCTCTTTCTTCCTTTTATCCTATTTCATAGAAGGGTGAATGACAATATACAAATAACTTGTTTTCCTGAACATGCTACATCGGAGTCCCTAAATTTGGTATTGAGCGCCCCTACACAGATGCAGCACCTGGAGTGATTAGTGCCCAAGTAAGATTTAGCCATTTAAGGTTCAGAATGTCCTCTCTTTATAGAATCAGGTGAATTAATAACCAATTGACTCTATGATTTTAGTCATATTGGCTAATGCTATATGGACAGGTCTATCATAGGAAGGCAAGGGAGTTGACAACTACTTTAAGAAATATTTACAAACCATTCTACAGTTTCTTCATAGGGCATATGGGAGCCTGATGCTTCTTACCAGAAATAGGTGAATAAAATAGGACTCAGATAGATGTTCATATAGGTTTTTAGAAAAGAAATAGTCTTTGCCCAGAGAGCAGAAAAGATTACAAATAAATTAAGACTACAGATAAAGCCCTTTTTAGGATTATGCAGGAACCATGGACAAGAATCTGAGACCATACTTTAGTCTTATACAATTTTTTAATTGTGACGACAAAATTGTATTGCAAATAAATAATAATACACAAGAAGCCACCAAGTATAACTTAATTTTATCACTTAGATTGGTGATTTTAGTCACACTGTAAAACTTAATGACTTATGGTAAAGTAAATTTTATGCATTGACAAAAATCTTTCTGCAGTTAAGTCATGTTATTTTAAAAAAATATTTTTAAGTCTCTGGGGCTAAAGATTTCCAAAGAGTGAAAGTCTGTGGACAAAATTCTCTATACATGACTTCATCTGTCACTTTCCTATTGTGCCAAATTTTAGGCTCCCTCTCTTATCTTGGTTAATAATATTGCTCACTATCTTTTTCTCCTGCAGCATAATCACCTTAGGACAGAGCTGTGACTAATCAATGCTTATATGTCCTTAATGCCTGGCCAATTATTGAGGGACTAAGCATTTATTTAATTACTGAATTAAAGTATTCCTTAATCCTGCTTCTATTTTTTTGTGTTTGGACTACACTAGCAACATTTGCTTTTTTGTAGTGGATCATAGAAACCCAATGCCTCCTCTGCATCTCACCAGCCAAACTCAGTCATCTGGAACTTAGGTTCCTGGTTAAAGAAAGACTAAAATATATTTCCCCTGTCTATTACTGTAGCGATTCACTAAAAAGAAAAAAATAAAGAAAATAAAAGAAAAGGAGATTTACTACCTGCTTTGAAATGCTGCAGGAGAATTTCTCGTTGGTTGCAGGACCTGCTCTTTCCTCAGATATTGTCACTCTCAGGAACCATTGTTCTCAGAGTTGTCGGAAGAGTAGAGAAATGAAAGGCAGTAGTTTTTTTTTTTTTTTCATCCCTAAGTGCACAAAGAATATGTACATGTTAGTTTTTGGCATCTTCTTTTACTATACTAAATGAGGTTTTGAAGTTTTAGGATTAGAAGAAAGAACTTACAAGGAAAAAAACATTATTTGTAGCATTGTATATTACACATATTGACAAATGGTAAAGTCTGTGTGGTTTTAACTGAAAATAAATAGACATTTAATTCGGTAGCCTAATTTATTACCTAAGTAGCATCAATCACTAGGGCATTAATTCCCTGACTATCCTTGGCACAGCCCTCAGTATAGACTTGGCAACTTCTGATTGAAATGTGACTTGGGCACATTGTCCCTGAGGTGTCTGAAGCAGTTGCTAGCAAGCTTATAGTGAGCATCGTATCAGCAGTGTTCACATAAGTAAGATGGATGAATGGAATGAGGAAGAGTAGGTTTCTTGAGTGTTCATTATAGGATTCCAGAATTATAATGAATTTTAAGGAATCGACCTGTTTTTCTCTTTGTGATTTGAAAACAGATCCAAAATATGAAAAATGGCTACCACATATTCTAGTGTTGCAACAAAACCAGCAGCTGTGTGGGTTTCCCCCTAAAATTTTTTGTCTCTACGTGAACCTTTTAAATACCCATTTTCCCAAAGGCATCCATTTTACCACCTTGCAAGAAGCTACAGTACATACAATATTGTTGGTTTAATCTCAGTATTTTTTATTTATATCATCCAGAGGAGGATTTCCTACTAAGTGGCAGGCATTTTAAAATTTTTGTTTTGAAATAATTCCAGACTTTACGTAAAAATTGCAAAAGAGTACCAAAAGTTGCTATATATCCCTTATCCACATTCCCCCAGATGTAAACATTTTATATTGACCTTTCTCATTCTCCCCCGCCCTCCTCTCTCTCTCCTTCTCTCTCTCTCCTGCCCTCCTCCCTTCTTTTTACACACACACACACACACACACACTTTTTCTTAAACATTTTTCAACTTTCTTAAGAAATTTGCACATGATATCACTGTTCCTCAAAATAATTCAGTGATCATTCCCCTCCTCCAAAAGAACAGTTGTGGGGCATAAATGTTGTCCTTCGTCCATCGTGTGTACACTGTTGTCACACAATTAATGCCACAATTAATGACTTATGTCACTTTATTTCTGCTGACTTCAGACCTGTCCTAGGAATATTTTTCGACAGAGCTCTGCAAGTGGTCACCTCCCTTAAATCAGAAACATACCTGAGGCCAGTATTCAGGTAGATAATACAAGTGGGTCTGCCTAAAGCATAGGAGGGTTGATTAGAAGAACATGCCTTTAATTTCTCACCTTTCTATTGGATTAATGCCAGAAATTCAGTTCTCACAAATCATCTTTTCAGCCAGAGCTTCTGACCCATATGAAAATATAAAATAGTAGCTGGGAGGTTTGGGACTATACATGGTATTTAGTAAATATATTTTGAATGTTAGATGAAGTAACAAAACAATTGCCTTGCAATAGCTGTATGGAAGCAAGAATTCTGAGAACCAGTTTTGTTAGAAGAGGAAAGTGAGAATGAAAGACACAGGAAAAATAAATAATTTCTTAGCACTTTTGTCTAAAAAAAAAGATTTCTCCTGTGAGACATTATTTTGCATTGTACATATTTTGCATAGTGTACAAAGCACTTTGATGTGTGCCACATCTTCTCTCCTCAGTCCTGAAGTTATGAGGATACAATGATTAAATAATGAATGTAACATTTGCAGCATACATTTAAATACAATATTTGCAGCATATATTTGCTAGGATAGAGTATTTGTCCAATAAATGTGTCTATTAATAATGGCCTTCTCCCTGATGTTATAGTTGCTTTGTCAAGGAAGTGAAGAATCAAACTATGCTATCACTATTATCATAAACGACATTAGATTTACTTTTTTAAAATTCATACAAACTCTTTTTGGGGATTATATTTAGTAGTGAAATCCACATATTAAATTGACTCTTGAAAAATATCCACTTGTTTTTTCTTGAATCTGGCTATGATTCGTGTTTTTCAGGAATCCTGACCCTGACAACCCTGAGAAGTGAAACAGAATTTTACCATTTATATTTGTGCTTCTTTTTAAATTTGATTTTGTGTTTGCTTTGTAATGTAGTACTAGTTCCAATTATTCCTTATTTGGAAGTTTCTAAAAATTAGTTTGAAGATGCCGGAATAATTATGTGAGAAGAAACTTAGAATAACTAAGAGATTTATGGTCTCTATATATGTGTTTTTGTCAGTCTGGAAAAACGAACTAGAACATAAGAAGGACGATTTTGGTAGTCACTGGGCCCATGCTGATTAACCCAGATTGCATGTCACCTTAGTAGGGGTCAAACTTATAATGATTTAGAAGTAGATCTTGAAATTTCCCCTACTCTGTCTCATCCCCCTCCCTCCAATTATCATCCTTCAGTAGCCTGAGAAATTATAAAATAAAGTTACCACCCTGTCTACCAATGTGCATTCTGCTTCAGGGCAATCTTATACCACAGAGAAATGAAATCTAGATTTTCTATACCAATATGTTTAATATAAAACAACCATTTTCTTAGATGTCTGTTTTGATATGATTTAGGTTATCACTTAATGAAGGTGATACTTATCAGTGTACTTATATTTGTTGTCCATGACTTAACCTTATAGAATTAGACCGATGCATGTCCTGTCTTTCCTGCTAGGCATTTTTTGGACTTGTTTGGTTACTCAACAGCCGTGTTTCTTTTATTGCCCTCCTTTCCAACAATGTTACAATTTACATATACAAGTGGGATTATAAGAGACTAATTTTGTAAAAGGTGGAACACATATTCAGTGAAGCAATTGACTATTTCCACTCGAAGTTGAAATCTTATGGGGATTCATACATGATATGATCAAAAATTTTGAGAAGATCTTAATGACCATTGTGCATTATGATAAAGACAGTGAAAAGCTGCTTCAAATGGTATCCCATCTAGTCATAGTACAAAGAAATCTCTTTATTGAACGGTAGCTTTACTTAGTACCAAAGACGGAAAACCACCATGCTTTGAAGAGTGGCGCCTGCACAAAATGGAACTGCTCAAACATTTTGATTTAATTAATAAATAAAATGAGCTCAAAATATGGTCATTAGTAGTCAATAAATAAATAACAAGGCTTAATTCAAAAAATGGATGCCGCTTTCTGTGTTAGAGGCTTTTAAATAATTATAGCACAAACTTGTTATTGGCATTAATAAACAAGCCTGTTGAAATGATTATTGTTAGAGTCAAAACCATTAACCATTAATTAAGCCTCCTAGGAGTAATATCAGATGTCCACATTGTTGAGTTTAAAACGGAGATACAGAGACTGAGTGATTCGCAGTGGACAAAAACAAAGCCAGCTTTCCCCCTTCCTAAACTGGTTGTTCCGAGTGCCATGCAGCAGCCAATATAAACAGAGAAAATGTATTTCCATGTATACTTTAATTCCAAAAGTCCAAACATCATTACTGAGAATGCTCAGTAATTTCATAACATTAAATGTTGGGTCATTTTTGTTTGCTTTCTGTCTTAAGACAAATGGATTCTATTTGGATTGCACCCAATTCTGTTACTTTTTTTAAATATCATTAAGTTGATTTTGTGTCAACAAGATCAAATAACTTGAAAAACTTACCCTCTACATGAAAAATCCCCAATGTCCTTTTGTAAACAAAACTTGGAGTTACTCAAGTGCATTAACTCTTCTGAGAACAAATAAAATGAGTTAAGTATATGCTGAGAATGTCAGATTGGTTCATACACTTGGAAATGAATTTAACAAGAATCATTTGCCATCTCTATGACCATACACATGAAATTAATTTTGCCTCAGCCAAAAATCTTGTTTGCTACAATTAAACACTGATGATGCAAATCTATAGTAAACATACATATTTCCAAATCCTCACTCTTTGTTGAGCAACTGAGACAGATGGAAACTCTCAGCTGCACACCATTTAACAACATAAATGTCCACACTTTGGACATTACTCCCCATCTCTGCTTGTAGAAGTGTTTGTGTGAGAGGCATCAAGTGACTAAAGATATGTTTTTAGGCATCAACTATATTCAATTCTTGTGATAAGCCCCAAAGTAATACAGATGATGTGGAAGATATGTATTTCACGTTACTTAACTAATCATCAGGTAGGTAAAGTATGAGGTTGCTACTAAAAGATTTTAACCTCCATGGTATAGAAAACTCTTGTTTAATCTCAGAGGTCCCATGGTCTGTAATAAAATATAATTTTGATATGAAAGAAATTATATCATAGTCATTTAATGCTATGCTGGGGAAGCTGGTCAATTGCTTATCAATTTACAACCCAAGCCCCATCTCAGTTTCTCAGACTTGCCCTGTGCATTCTTGCCCCTTAACATTTGTAGATGATGTTGCTTTTGCCTGGATCTTTCTTCCTGTCCCACCCCTATTTCCTACACTTTTTGTAGTTAACTCTAACTTGTTATCCTTCAGGTCACACCACTGATTATTGTATATATCTTAGTAGACTATCAGTTCTTTCGTGGCTAGAACCAGGTCCAGTTCATTCCATCTTTAATGTTTAGCCGAGTGTAAGAGGTCAGTATTGGAGGAATACATTAATAATGTATTAATAATAAATTAATTATCTAGAAGTTTCTTTCTTCAAGAAATTCCTTCTAGAAAAATCTTCCTTCGAGAAAGTGATTAGAGAAATAGGATAGCTGTAGGTAGTGGTAATAAGGTAGTGATAAGCATGGATTGCCTAGGAAACCACAGCGAGATTGATTGAGACAGTTGTGATGGTTATGTTGGAGTTAATGAGAACAAGACTGAAAAGGTAAAATCAGCCTAATTAATAAAGAATACTGAATGCCAAGCTAAGAAGTTTGAACACGGTTTGAAAGGCAACACGACCACTTGTAGTTGTTATGTTAGGGAAGTGATACAATGAAAGTCGTCTTGTATTTTGGCACACTTACTCTATTTTTTTCTTACAATTGTCTTCTTGGGTACCAAACGGTCTCCATGTGTTTTTTATATCATGGGATCATTAAGGGATGTTGTACTTTTGGAATAGTCATAAACAAGAAAGCACACTGTTGATTACTGAGGAATGAACATACACAGTAAAATTAAAAATGACAAAAATATTTTTGGAACAAGAATAGGAAGAAAGTGAGAAGATTCTACTAGTATAAGATAAATAAATATTTTTAAAAGTTTGTTTTCTTCCTATCAGGTATAATTCTACAATTACACAGATTTTTATGGTTTCATAGTATCCTCTCAATAAATTAATCATGAATGCTTGTGACCTTTATTACTGTATTGATGTTTCCTAAACAAAGATTTAAATGTTTTAATCATCCAAATAACATTTATCTATGATTTCCCATTTATATAATTCTGTATGTTCATAATGGTTTCATTTTATAATTAAAGATCTTTTCTGTTGAAACGTAATGTACACTCCTGATAAATATTTTAAAGTACATAAAATATAAAGAAGAGTGACCAAAAAAACACCATTGCATTATCCAGAGGCCATTTTTGTTACCATTTTTAAAAAATTTTATTCAAGCATTTATCTTCTGTAATTTTTTGCATTGTTGAAATTATAATTTATAACTTGTATCTTTTTTGTAGTGCCTCCTTCTTTGCTTAACATTGTGTTATAAACCCTTTCCTGTGTTATTTTTCTAAACTTCATTTGTATTTCCTGGAAAATATTCTATTTTATGTGCATTTCTCTAATATTGGATATTTAACTTGTTTCTTATACTTTTGTTGTGATATGCTTTTCCACATTGCAGGTTATTTCTGTGATAATTTATAAGCTGGAGGAATATACCTCATTCCTTTTACGATAAAATTTTGCAATTCTTGATTTATTTTTCTTTTGCCAACTGAATATTCTAATAGTTTTTTTTAAAAAAGAGTGCATAAATGCTGTATTTACTGAGCTCTCACATAGAGGCAAAGAAGCAGATTAAGCATGTGAACTTCAGAGCCAAGTAAATCTAGGCCTGAATCCCAGCCCCTTCACTTTCTAGTTGTATGACTTGAGTAAGTTACTTGAGTAACTTGCTTGGGTAAGTTATCTTCAAATTGCAGTTTGAAGATAATCATTTCTACCATTTAAGGTTTGAGTAAGATTAGGTGGGGGTGGGGGGAAGTATTTAAAGTACCTGTCATTGTACCTGGCACTTGTGCTTTATTAAAGGCTAGAAGTTATTGTTTATGCTATTATTATCACTGGGGTTCTTTCTTGTCACTATGAAAGTCAACATGGGTTAAAAATTTCTGCATGGGATTACCAAACAAAAGCAATAAGAAAAACAACATACACATTATCAACAACCAAAACCCCCACTACCTCTGAAATGCATTGCTACCAGGACTCTTGCTATTTCTGTGATCCACCAAGAGCTTTACTTATGGAAACTATACTTATTTCCTAGAATGCAGTACATCACCACCCACTGCTCCTTACCCTACTTCCTGAGCAGGGAACTCTAATAACTACAAAACCAGCCTAGAAAGATACTACTGCTATGGTTGAAGAGTGACAATAGGAATCACACTGCGATTACTTTATAAAAGCAGCACACACAAAATGTTAGGAGGTACCAATGCCAAGTTTTAGCTGTCTAAAAACTTATATTTCTGAATCAGATGATAGACACTGGAGAAGAAAAAAACAGACCTTTTTACAACTTTGGGTATAGGATAGGTATTATACTATATGGATTGTATTTTTAAACCTGTATCTACCAGGATTTTCATTATTATCAGAAAATTATCTCAAATTCTAGTAATAGTTTGAGCAAAAGTTTGAGCTTTTATTATTGTAACTTTGTTTTTTTATCTGTATTATAACTTAGGAAAAGCTTTTGGATTTTATTTTAACTTCAGAAAGTTCTCTAAGGATTTTATTTAAGAATTACATACTTGCTTTAATAGAGAAATATCAAATAAACCCAACAGAGCTTTTTTAACAAATTCATATCCAAGGGAAAACATATAATTTGACATTCTCTTTGCTAATTATAGGGCAAACAGTTATATCCAATAAAATCCAGCTATTATTTAGTTTCACGTGTATTTGAACATAAATTCATTTTGTTTGTTTTCTTTTTTATCTTCTGAGTTTATGAATTATATTTATGGAACCAACTTCAAATAGATAATGAAATTTTCCCTAAAAATGAACGGTAATTTAGATGCTAGTTCATGGGGCAAGCATTTGATCTTAAGATATCTCTGCAGTGTTTTATGGGTATTGAATCAAAGTTTTAACATAAGCATCATTTTTATTTCTAGTTTACAATAAAAGCATGTATAATTTAGTATAAAATTGTAAATGCTTCATAGGTAAAATTTTAAGTGTAATATTAGGATAGGGCAGCATCTGAGCAAGAATAATAAAACTTGGTATTACAAAGCTGGGCGTCTGGACATGTCCTGATGAGCTCATCATGTGCCATCTGCTTCAATAATTCTGGCCACCAGCAAACATATTTTGCCAGTGAGTACTGTACAATCCTACCTATAGTTGGTTGACTCCTTTTTTATGAATATTTCTACCTGGCTATGGACAACACTATGACATGAAACATACTAGCAAACTACAAGTTGTATATTTTAATAGCACATTTTAAAACTGAAGGACAATTAGGAGTCAATTAAGTCTGCATTGCCTAGATTGTTTCCTTCTTCATTCTTTTCACCTTTTGTAGTAAGAACTGAGAAAAGTAAACCAAGCTATTCCCAGTAGCTTTCCTTAAATGTGGTGACCCATCTGTTGCCATATGCTAGGCATCTGCTTTTATCACCCTCATTTGTGGTCCTTCAAAGCTAGAAGTGATGAATTAACATCAAATTTATGCTAATCTGTGGTAGGAGAGAACAGCTATTTGCAAACTATTTAATCTGGCCATAGTCATTATCAGATATAAGGAATACAGGACAATAGGAATAGAAATCAGAAATATTTTTTTGAATTAGTGCATGACTTTTAGGTAACTGTAGCACCTCTATGGTTGTATTTCTGTATCAGCAAAATGTGCGAGTGACCCTTGCTTGCAAATATTTGTTGATTTTACACCCAAGTGACTACAATATCCAATATAATAGGGTAGAATCATTCATGAATGCTCATGCAGGTCAGTCTCTGTTTAACTTCAGTTGTAGAATTGCTTCTTTCTTGAAAGATTATTCTTTTTTTAATCCAGTCCTAAACTGTCATCAGAAAATGTTCATAGAATATGAAAGGCCAATTCTACACTGACCAGACCATAATAAAAATATTTTCCTATTATTTAGTATTGCGGAAAAAAGGGAATTAGAATCAGAACATCAAGATATTTGTCCCATTTCTAGCACTAAGTGGTGATACAATTTTGGCCAAGTCATCAAGCTTGTGTCCACATATGTATCATAGAACGCAGTACTCTGACTCCAAAATTAACTATGGTTTCTTTTAGCACTAGAAATCTCTGATTCCTCTGTCTGTCTTTAGGGTATATTTTCACTGTGGCTTGGAAATCATAACTTATGCATTTATCGACACAGTTTTCAATGCACATATGTAATTTTTCAGAGTAATACATATAATATCAGTGATATTTACATTGAAATAACTTTTTTAAAATAAAAATTAGGTAATGTGTATTGGGCAGGTTTTGTATGCTAAAACCATATATAAATAATCATTTTGAACAAGAGAACAACCAGATCATTACTGAAAACAAATTGTCAGTTTAATTAACCTACTTAATTACATTATATTTCAACATCCTTGAATGTGGAAGACATTTTAAAAAATTAGGCCGGGTGTGGTGGCTCACGCCTGTAATCCCAGCACTTTGGGAGGCCGAGGTGGATGGATCACGAGGTCAGGAGATCGAGACCACTGTGGCTAACATGGTGAAACCTCATCTCTACTAAAAATACAAAAATTAGCCAGGTGGCAGGCGTCTGTAGCCCCAGCTACTTGGGAGGCTGAGGCAGGAGAATGGCGTGAACCTGGGAGGCGGAGCTTGCAGTGAGCTGAGATCGTGCCACTGCACTCCAGCCTGGGCGACAGAGCGAGACTCCGTCTCAAAAAAAAAAAAAAAAAAGCCATTTTATGATATATATTCTATGTATTTATTTACACAGCATAATGTTTTGATATACATAGGGAAATGGTTACTGGTTACTACAGTCAGATGAATTAACATATATATTATCTCACATAGTTAACTTTTACATTCTCTTTTTGGGGTAGTAGCACCTAAAACCTACTCTCAGTAAATTTTCAGAATGCAATACAATATTATTAACTATAGTCCTCATGCTGTGCATTAGATTCCTAGAACTATTTATCCAACAGAGCTGCAACTTTGTACCCTTTGACCTATTTATGTCAATTTAAAAGTAGAGGAGATAACTAAATTTTATTAAGCACTGTCTAGTGAAGCTTTATGCTACATGCATATGTTATCTTATTCAGTTTTCCCAACTGCATTGCCTTGTCATGTACATAATGTATACCACTTTTTGGATTAGAAAATTGGTATAGAGAAAATGTTAAGTAACATATCCAACTGACAAAAATCCAAGAGTTAATTAGTAGAAGAATAACATATCAACCCCAGTCATCTGAGATCCAAAATCCAAATCATGTCTTTTTATAGGGTGTCCAACTGACTGGGATACCATTTACTACACTGTCTTCATTATATCAGGAAGTTCATAGGGGTTTAGCAAAACAACAAAACAAAAAAAAAACAAAAAACATATTGAATCAAAAAGAAAAAATCTCTTACTCATTTGTTGAATTTAAATTTCTGAGCAAGAATCATTCAAGAATATCTGAATATTTGAAAATCTAGTAATTTCCACAATAGAAAAGAAATAATGTCTGTATGATAGTATCTCTTAATGAGCTCAAATCATCACCTTCTGCCGTGATTCTAAGTTTCCTGAGGCCTCCTCAGAAGCTGAGCAGATGCCAGCATCATGCTTCCTATATAGCCTTCAGAACCATGAGCTGAACAAAACTCTTTTAAATAAATTACCCCGTCTCAGGTATTTCTTTATAGTAATGTGAGAACAGACTAATACACTTAGTAACCGGCAGCACAGCAGTGAGTTAAAGCTCCTGTCAAGTGCTTCTGTTTAGGATAATGTGGCGAGTTTTTTATGGAATGAACTGTCACAGCATTTCTCAGGGTTATACTTGCTCAACTGAAAGATCTATTTAATTTTGACTAGGCATAATGTTAATTATGATACCTAGGTATAAAAGCAATTGAAAATATTTAGGGCTTTTACATAAGGATAAAGATAAAAATTATTACCTTTGGTGCAAAAATAATTTCCCAGTGAGTTGTATAAGCAGAGAATGTGGCCTCTTAATTGTAGCAATTATATTGCAATTTCACATGGCACCATTCATCCAAGAGCATCCAACCTCTCCACAAGCTATAACTAATGGAGCTTAGCCGCATCTCTCCAAAGAAGCCTAGCATTAGGATATTATGTTAAATGTGGTTAAGTATATTAAAGATGGCTAAAGCTGTTAAGAAACTCGCTCATGGTGAAGTTGTGAATGAGGAATTAGAGAAGTACATCTTAGGAATCCATACCCCAGTTCCTTATTATGGAGCTCCAGGCTATGTATATATGTAGTATGTACATATATGCATGTAAGTGTGTATTTTCTAAAGGGAAACATGATTCTCAAACCATCTATTACTTTAATAAGTTTTTATTAGATCAATTTCATTAAACTGCTGTAAGACTACAATTTAAAAAGAAAATATTGCTTTAAAAACATTTTTAAATGGACAAATGATAAATTTAAAACAGTATGTTTAGGAATTAAACTTGGGAATGAGTTTTATTGCATCTGAAAGTCATGTGACAAACTTCTTTTATATTCATTCTTTTTAAAGGGCATAAACACAGACTTCAGGGAAATTTAAGAATGTTCCAAAAAGGGAGAATAACTCAAAACACAAGAGGAAGAACATATTTGTCATGGGAATTTTAACAACTGTAATACTGGGTTTATAGGGAGGAAATAGGAGATCAAGCCCTCTGAGTTTTTCTGGGTCATATATTTGAAAAGCACTTCATTTCCTCTGATTGAAAAATGGAAAGCATCCATGATTCACATATACAAATTAACTCTTTCTGAATTCCCAGTCCATTTCCTTCTGAGAGTGAATCTGTCACTCTGGATTCAGGAGAATGAAATGGTTGTTTGAGTACTAGAAGAGTTAGCCTCCATTCCAGAAGGAGATATACATAATAAAGTTGGCCTGGTGTCAGTCTAAGCTGTAGTTTTATCTAATTTCCCTACACAGCCCAAATTAATTTTTCTGTAACTTCCTTTGTTGTTATTAGTACATTTTACCCACACTAAAGAATAGGCCTGAGATGCTAATAAAGCCTCTAAGCTATTTTGAGGGCAGCTCAAAATCAGTGATATGGTTTGGATCTGTGTCCCCACCCAAGTCTCATGTTCTGTATTCATCCCCAGTGGTGGAGGTTGGGCCTGGTGGGAGGGGATAGAATCATGGTGGTGATTCCTCATGGTTTCACATCACTCTCCTTGATGCTGTCATTGGATTAGTGAGTTCTCCTGAGATCTGGTCTTTAAAAGTATGTGACACATCCCCCACTCTCTTCCTTCTGCTCTGGCCACGTGAAATGCTAGCTCTCCTTTTGCCTTCCTCCATGACAGAAAGTTTCCTGAGGCCTCTCCAGAAGCTGAGCAGATACCAGCTTCAGCTTCCTGTGCAGCCTTCGGAACCATGATCCAATTAAACCACTTTTCTTTACAAATTACCCAGTCCCTGGAATTTCTTTATAGCAACATGAGAGCAGACTAATGCACTCAGTAACCTGCAGCACAGAAGTGGGTTAAAACTCCTGTCAAGTGCCTCTGTTTAGGATAATGTGTTGAGCTTGTCTATGGAATGAACTGTCACGGCATCTCTCGGGGTTATCTTTGCTCAATATTCCAGATCCTCCATGAATGCCTCCAAATTACCTTTCCGCTTTTCCTCTACCAACACCTGCTCCCCTGGTTGTCTTGTCACTTTATTAGCACAAAATGAACATTTTCATCTCTGAGCCTTTGCTTATTTCTCTCATTCCAGATTCAAACTGGAATGTCCTTCTTGGCATGGATCACCCATACCCATCTGACTGACAGATGTCTTCTTTTCCTAAGAAAAATGAATCCATACTTACTCTCTGCTGCATTACCACATACTGTCTGTACCTGTTCTTCCTCTCTCATCGATTTCTTCATTCAGCATATGTTTATTGCTTTTCCATGTGCCACTTTAGAAACTAGGATTATTGGGTAGGATAGAACCACTGCACTGGAAGTGTTCATGCTTACCACCTCTTTGTCACTTGTCTTTATATTTCATTGTCACTAATGTGTTTGTTTTTCCTATATCTTGAAAAATTTCCTATCACTTCTAACATGCTGTATCAGAGAACCAAGACATTTTCAGGCTGAAAGGAATTTTGAAGATGATCCTCAATATTCTTATCTAACAGACAGGAGAATGGGGACATGGGAAGATTAGATACTTGTTATAGTACAGGTTAAGTTACTGGTGGAACCAAGACTAAAACCAAAGTTTTAGCTTTCTTCGCTATTCCCACTAAATGATACTGCCAATGGGTAGTTAAGTCACAGGACATCATAGGTGTAAATAAATACAAAACACCTGTTATCTCTGTTTTAAATATCTTTTTAAGTTATTTCTGCTGGAAAAGGATCAGTGTACATATAAACATGATAAATTACATCACATTCAAAGGAGAGCAAACTCTCACATGTCCAGGTAAAATTGTCTACATTAATTAGAGTAAAATTCTAGGAGAATACTAAATTAGAAAAGGAAATTGATATTTTAGGCAAGTGTGTCTTAATAAATGTAACATCATTTAAACTAGATCAAACACTTTAATTGTTCAAAACAGTAGCATGCCAAAGGACAACTTAAACACTTTAATTTCTACAGACTAGAGATAAAGCATAAAAATTTAGTCATTGATATCCTGTGGTGCCAGAGATATCATTAAGGTATTTGTGGAAAATAAAATGTAAACAGCTACATGAAATTATTAGCCCTGCATCATCACAATATTCAATACTTGGTATATGCTGAATTGCATACCATCTGAGACAGAAACCTATTAAAAATAAAGAGCAAATCTATTATTTCCTCATAGAATTCATTGTGATTCACACTGAAAAGACAAAGTTTATTTAATCATATTTGCATTAAATTATGTATTTAATAAATTCAGTGTATGATTTTTTTCCTGTGCAATAGGGTGGCTTTTATTCTCATTAATCAATGACAAGAAGTGGATAAATAATGACTAAAAAGGAGTTGAAGGCTTAGGGACACATATTTGATGGAAACTTTTGTCACAGCAGAATCATAGTTTTAAGCTCTTTTGTATCATCTGCATAGTCTATACCGTATTGGCCCCATCTACATTTGCATCAGTTCTAATAAGATTTTTGTATGTGGCTCTGTTATTTTGTTATCTGATTTTTTTTTTTTTTTTGAGACAAAGTCTCGCTGTGTCAGCCAGGCTGGAGTGCAGTGGCATGGTCTCGGCTCACTGCAACCTCTGCCTCCCAGGTTCGTGATTCTCTTACCTAAGGCTTCCCAGTAGGTGGGATTACAGGTATGCACCACCACTCCTGGCTAATTTTTGTGTTTTTAGTCGAAATGGAGTTTCACTATGTTGGCCAGGCTGGTCTCGAATTCCTGACCTGAGGTGATCCGCTTGCCTCGGCCTCCAAAAGTATTCGGATTACAGGTGTGAGCCACCATGCCTGGTCCTCTGTTATTTGATTCTATCAAAAAAATTTTTTTTTAAATAGTAAAAATATAGAAATATAAAACAAGCATATGCTTAACGTTTATTTGGCTCAATGAAGGAAATCATCAGGATGAAAAGATGGTTAAAGGAAGAAACAGAAGTCAAATAATTCATTAGGAAAGGTAGTCCGAGTTAAATTAACCAGGAAGTACCTTTTTTTCTTTTTTCATACTTGTCAGGTTGGGACTCTGGCGACTCACTACCTAAATCCAGCCCACCTGTTTTTGTAAATACTTTTATTGGAACACAAACATGCTCATTCATTTACCGTGACCACCCATATAAGCCATAAGTTGTAACCAAATTTAAGATTAACTAATGTCTTCATTAGAAAAGAAATATAAATTAAAAAAATTAAGTTAAATGATGTTTATTTTTCGTAATGACAAAACAAGGAAAATTTTGTAAACTAAAATTACCAAACCAATATATATCTAAAGATTCATCTTGATTCTTACATACTAACAATGCTTCTGAGGCAGCATTTTTATCTGGAAATTTATTTTTCCTTAAAAGACTAGAACATTCATTATATTAGAGATCAGTTTCTTTATTTTATGAGAATTCTGGGACTATTAAATTTGTACAAGTATTTAATAGACTCTAATATTAGAAAAAGCTGTTTTTACTGAAGACACATTGTAATTTAATTTATTGGTATATCCTAGAAGAAAAGACTTCATATTCTTATTATGATAAATAGTTATATGCATATATGAATACTAAATATGGTAAATAGTGGTGAAAGGTTTTTTTCTCAGTTAAATACACAACCACCTACAGGACTTGAAATTCAGTTCCACAACCTCAAGCAAAAGACACACAGTCTCAATGGTTATTCTCCTTTTCAGTGAAAAATGAATGTTTTCTTTATGGATTTAAGCAGACAAATAGACACACAAAAAATATGGAACAACTAACCATATTCTCTGTCTTCTACCACTCAACAAAGAATATATTCTCATCATCCTAATATAGGTTACCAAGTGATCTTGTCATAAAACCAGATTGCTAATTATTGTCATTCCAAAGGGGGAACATTTTATAGATTATGTGACCTCTACTCACCTAGTTATTCAGTACCTACTAGTCTCTGGAATCGGCTGTTTTATACACCTGTTTTATACATGAGGGTTCTCTTGATTACATAATTAAGCCCAACCTTGTGATCCAGTAGCAGTTGTGAAAATGGACATAATCCTAGACAATAAGTTAAACAAATGTGGAACTTCCTGGCCAAGATCAGGAGCGACAATGAAACAAACCAGAAAAAAAGAAAAGAAAAGAAAAACAGAATCAGAAGACAAATCTGACAGTCCGAAAGGGAAAATTCTATTGCTGTTTGTGATTCACCCCAGGAGTTTCTTGGGCAACTCTGCTTAACTAGCTCTAGCAGGTGAACACACTATGCACCTTTAGGGCAACCTTCAAATCTGTCAAAATATAATTTTTTTAAAAAGTTGAAAACATGACTCTTACACAAATATAGAGGGAACATTTGTCAAAGATTGATTTAGCTTATTTAATGAGAGAACCAGCAAGATGGTACAGCTGGTTCAAGAGAACTAGATGAGTAGGCTGTGTAGGTTGTATAGGTTGTATATTTTCTCAGGAAAATCATATGAATTCGTTTTCTAGTATACATATTAAATTATCAAACATCCAGTAGGAAAATAAAACTATAACCTTTGAGATTATCTTTTTTTTTTTCTTTTCTGGGTAGAAGCAATTTGCATTTCTTCAAGACACAAATCTACCAGTCAATTTACAGCTTCATAATGCTGGGTCAATTCAGTAGTAAACAGTAGGTCACACAAAACTATAACCACATAGATAATTAAATAATGCTTTGATGGCTTCTTGGGCTATGCTCCATTTTATCATGGAAGAGACATTCAAACTTTGCTTTATTTTCAAATGTTGGATAATTGTCTAAAACAATTTTATGTTTTACTTTTAGAAGTCTATAAATATTCTCAAGGAATTTTGAAAATTTTGAAAATTTTTGGTAAAAGTGGATTATACTAATTTACTTTTTTATTTTTTCTAGTAGGCCTAGAAAAAAAATAAGGTGTTGAGATTTCCATTTCTAGATTGTAATGTTCTTCATTTGAGGTGACAGTGTTGTCGCTATGCTCTACCAGGGTCTAGGAGAATGTCATGTACATACAGTCTCTCAATAACTGTTAATAGCCTCTTTTTGCCCCTCAGTTAGTTCTTTTGCCACTATTCAACTATATCACTCTACTCTTCTGAACAACTAAAGTCTTTTAAAAATGAGTCTAAACCATCGCGCCACTGCACTCCAGCCTGGGCGACAGAGCCAGACTCCGTCTCAAAAAAAAAAAAAAAAAAAAAAAAATGAGACTAAACCATCTTGGCTAACACGGCGAAGCCCTGTCTCTACTAAAATATATATATATATATATATATATTAGCCGGGCGTGGTGGCAGGCGCCTGTAGTCCCAGCTACTCGGGAGCTGAAGCAGGAGAATGGCATGAACCCGGGAGGCGCAGCTTGCAGTGAGCTGAGATCGTGCCACTGCACTCCAGCCTGGGCGACAGAGCGAGACTCCATCTCAAAAACTAACTAACTGACTAACTAACTAACTAAATAAATAAAATGAGACTGAAAAAGAGAATTGGCCAGGGTAATCTGATGTATTACGAGTAAACTTTGGAAGAGATTATCTGTTTCTCACAGCATGAAATATAAAGACCCTTTCCAGGCAACACAGTTTGAAGGAGAGACTAGAGACTATGTAGTTAACTAAACTTCAGTCTGATTCTGGCTCTGCCACTTAAAATCTGCAAGAATATGATGCCTTAGTCCTCTGAGTCTCATTTTCCTTCACCTGCATAGTGAAATTAATCTGTAACTTTATATTTAAGGTGGGTTTCTAGTAGACAAGTTATAATTGGGTCTTGTTTGTTTATCCACTTTGACAGTCTTTGTCTTTTAATTGATGTATTTAGACTATTCACATTTAAAGTGATTGATATAGTTGGATTAATAGCGATCATATTTGTACATATTTTCTATTTCTTTCCTTTGTTTGCTCATTCATTCTTACTTTTTTCTTTCTCTCTTTTCTTTGCTTTTTTGTCTTCCACTTCTCTGGTTTTAATTAGGCAATTTATATGATTCTACTTTTTCTTCTCTTGGCATATTAATTATACTTCTTTTTTAAGTACGATTTTTAGTGGTTGCCCTAGAGTTTTTAGAATATGTTTACAACCAATCTAAGTGCACTTTTAAGTAATATTATACCACATCATGGTAGTACAAGTACTATATAAAACAGTATTCCCAATTCTTCTCTCTTGTCTCTTATAAAATGACTATCATTCATTTCATTCACAAATAAGCTATAATCACTGAATGCATTGTCATTGTTATTTTGAACAAACTGTTCTGTTAGATCAATAAATAATAAGAAAAATTTAATATTTTACCTTCTTTTTTTCTTTCCTAATGCTCTTCCATTTTTTTTAATACAGATCTGAGTTTCTGCCGATATATTTTTCTTCTCTCTGAAGAACTTTTTAAAATATTACTTGCAAGGCAAGTCTACTGGTGACAAATTTTCTCCATTTTTGTTGGTCTCAGAAAGTCTTTAGTATTTACTACTTCACTTTAAAAAATTGTGGCAAAATATATATAACATAAAATATACTATTTTAACCACTTTTAAGTGTATAGTTCAGTGGCATTAAGTACATTCACATTGTTGTACCACTATCACCACCATCCACCCCCAGAACTTTTTTATTTTTCCCAAACTTCTTCACTTTTGAAGGATAATTCTGTTGGATACAGAATTTTAGGTTAGTAGTCTTTTTTTTTAAGACGGGATAAATATTTTACTCCACACTCTTCTTGCTTATATGGTTTCTGAGTATAAGTTTGGTGTAAATCTTATACTTGTGCAACTGTAGGTAAGGTGTTCTTTTTCCTCTAGCTTTTAAAAAAGATTTTCTATAATTCGAATATAATATGCCTAGATATAGGTTTTTTGGTATTTATCCTCCTAGATGTTCTCTGAGTTTTGCAGATCTGTAGCTTTGTGTCTGTCATTCATTTTGGGACATTCTCAGTAATTGTTGCTTTAAATGTTGCTTCTGTTCCTTTTTCTCTCCTCCTTCCAGTATTCCCATTATACATGTGTTATTCTGTGTCAGTCCATTTGCATTGCTATAAAGGAATACCTGAGACTGGTTAATGTATAAAGAAAACAGATTCATTTTGGCCCATGGTTCTGCAGGCTGTACAGGAAGCAAGGTGCCACCATCTACTTCTGGTTAGGTCCTCAGGAAGCTTACAATCATGGCAGAAGGAAAGGGCAGCTAGCATATCACATGCTGAGAGAGGGAAAGTGACGAGATACCACATTCTTTTAAACAACCAGGACTCACATGAACGTAGAATGATAACTCATTCATTATCATGAGGAGGGCACTAAGCCATCCCTGATGCATCTGCCCCCATGACCGAAACACCTCCTACCAGGCCCCACCTCTAGCATTGGGGATCACATTTCAACATGAAATTTGGAGGGGGCAGAACATCTAAACTGTATCATATACCTTTTCTAATAGCCCACAGTTCTTAGATACTCTGTTCTGACTTTTTATTTCTTTTTTCTTTTTGCATTTCAGTTTGGGGAGTTTCTGTGGACTCATCTTTAAGCTCACTGATTCTTTCCTCAGCTATGTCCAATCTACTTATGAGCCCATCAAAGGCATTATTTATGTTACAGTGTTTTTGATTTCTTGCATTTTCATTTGTTTCCTTCTTTGCACTTTCATCTCTCTGCTTTTATTACTCACTTGTTCTTGCACTGTCCACTTTTTCCATTAGAACCATTGGCGTATTAATCATAGTTGTTTTAAATTCCTTGTCTGATAGTTCCCAAATCTGTGCCACACTTGAGTCTGGTTCTGATGCTTGCTTTGTCTCTTCAGACTTTGTTTTTGCCTTTTAGAGTGGCTTGTAATTCTTTGTTGAAGGCTGGATATGATATAAAAGGAACTGTGATAGATAGGTCTTTAGTGCAAGGTTTTATATTTATGTGACT
This sequence comes from Homo sapiens, assembly GCF_000001405.40. Taxonomy (NCBI): domain Eukaryota; kingdom Metazoa; phylum Chordata; class Mammalia; order Primates; family Hominidae; genus Homo; species Homo sapiens. Next base: position 12,809,763 of record NC_000009.12, read on the forward strand.
AGGAGTTAGATTCTGCTTACTATTTGCTGTAGCTATAGTGTCAGAGACTAAAATTTCCTCTAGTATCCTTGCTTTTGTCTACTCTATTGTCTTTGGGTTTCCTTTGGCACTCTTTAAATATGGTCAGAGGCCTGCAGTTCTTTTTGCTGTAATCCCCTGTTATTATACAATAGCCTTATTGATGTGGTCGCAAGGTGTGGGAGAAGAGGAAGTGTTCTCCTGTCCATAATTAAGTCTCAGTCTTTTAGCGAGCCTGAGTTGGATATTTTGTTGATCAGGCTTTGGTAAAACTCCAGCCTGTTAGGTTCTGGTAAAATAGATTCCCTTAGGGACAAGCTTTTTTAAGGAGATCAGAGAGGTCTGGATGTATTTCAGAGCTTTCCTCTCCCTGCCAGAAGCACAGGGGATATTGAGAACCTGGTAGGTTTCCTGGAGGTAAAACTCATGAAAGTGCGGGGTGCCCCTGAGACTGGGTCCCTTTGGATTTTTTAACTCACAAGCTAGTCCACACTAACCTTCCAGCAATTCACCAATGACAGTTAGTGTTCCTACAGAAAGCTAAGGCCTTCTGCTTCCAGTTTTCTGTTCCTGTTAAGCTATGATTCTCTGTATCCATGTGTCTGTCTTCCAGGGCTGCAATTTAGCCAATGACCTCAGTTTTCTGATGAACCTAAGCATAGTTGTTGATTTCCAGTTTGTTCAGCTTTTTTTCTTGTTATGAAGATGGGAGTGATGACTTCTTAGCCCTTCACATATCAGACTGGAACCATAATGAGAATAATAATCAGCTTATTCACCGATTTGTTTTAAGAATGGCACTATATTTATTAGATAAATTAATATTTAAGGCATCTAGCTAAGTACAGGGTACATAGGAAGCATTTGATAAATGGCAGATACTATTATTAATATTCCTAAAGCCATTTTAAAAAGCTAAGAATGAATAAATCACTAGATTGGAAAGTTAATGTATTATCAGTGAATGTTGGAATATGTCAGGTGTCTCTTATTGGATGCTCTTCAGATCACCACTTACAGCTAGTGAAACTCTCCCATCTGGAGAGTCCCACCCAAAAGTTTCCAAATGAAAATATTTAGTCAGTGTTTAGACACCACATGAAAAACAAAACAAAACAAAACTGATCTTAAGCATCATAAAGTATTTCAAATATTACCAAATTATCATTAGCAGGTGAAAATAAATATTTGCAGCAAAATATCTGAGTCTTCATTATATTTCCTATGCAAAGGGCCATTGTACAGGTCTTTTATAAAAAAAATGTTAACCTGTGAAAAAGAATTAACTCCTAGAAGGAAACTCAATAAACCTAAGTAACTTTTATTACCATCCTAATCACCTCCTCTTTTTCTCCTACTGAGGCCAACTCAAAGCACATTTTGAAATTAAATGAGGAATTCTGAAAAGCAAGATTGCAACTTAATAAAGTTGTCAATATTGAAAATTTAGTAGTTTCAGTTTAGTTAATCTCGCTGCATTTTAAGCTCTTTAAATTATATCTGAATGTTATTATCTAAGTTTAGTCTATTATCTTATCAATGTATACCCTACTTTCATGACCCTCAGGTTATAGGGGATATAATTTATAAGTGAAATATGTTGAAAGCATCATTTTTGTCATTAATTATCAAACATAAATCATCTGTCATTTCTCCTTCAGGGTAAGAAATCAATTTCTCTTAGGGGAAAGAAAAGCTGTCCTCCTGTAGATGCGAATGGCTCTTTCAATAATCACCTTCAGTTTCCTTGAACATTTTTTGTTTTTGTTAACAAGTATTTAACTACTTACTCTATTTGTTCCTTTTATTCAAACTACAAAGCAATGTACTGGTAAAGTATCATGCCACAGACAGTGATTCAGCGTCTATCAACAAAATTATCCACAAGTGGAAAGATCTCTAGGACCTTGCTAAAGTGTGGTCTATATACCAACAGCATTGGTGTATTAGTTATTCAAGCTGCATAACAAATATCCCAAATCTTAACAACTTAAAACAGCAAACATGTATTATCTCACAGTTCTATATTAGGGAGTCTGGGCACAGATCAAGTGAAGGCCCCTGGATCGGGGTCTCTCACAAATCTGCCATCAAGGTGCCTTGATGAGGCTGCAGTCATCTCAAGGCTCGATCCAGGGAGGATCCACTTCCCAGCTCAATCACATGGCCAGTAGCAGTCGACAGGTCTATGTCCTTGCTAGCTGTTGTCCAGAGATCTCAGTTCCTTACTTTATGCATCTCACAAGGGGCAGTTCACAGCATTGTAGATGGCTTCATTCAGAGCAAGCATTTGAGAGAGTGTGCCCAAGGCAGAAGCCACAATCTTTTTGTAACCTTTTCTCAGAAATGACACCTCATCATTTTTGCCATAGTCTATTATTTAGAAATAAGTCAATAGGCCCATCCGATACCAGGATAGGGAACTACGTAAGGATGTAGATACCAGAAGAGGGTGGTTATTGGGAGATATCTTTGAGACTGCCTACCACAATTGGTAACAACTGGGAACTTGTTAGAAGTACAGAATCATAAAACTGGTGAGCAAAATTTAAATTTTAACAAGATTTGATCCATAGGTACATTCAAGGTTGAAGATCTCTGCTCTAGGAGCAGCGCCCATCCATTTTATTCTGTTGCAGAGATTGCTTCCTCACTTATTTTTACTCACTCTCTGTTGCCTTTGTAAGAAATACAGAGATCACTTTTCTTTTCAAGTCAGTTCTCCCCTACAAAAAATTTTACAAAGTAAGTTTACTAAAGCACTACTGGGCTGCACATAGCGTGTAGGAAATAGAATTGGGAGAATGAAGAAGAAATATGGGGCATAAGATCCACGGCAAACAGATTTAATTATAGTATCAAGAAATTACTAAAAGAGAAGATAAAGCATTTGAGTAGAAAAGATGTCAGGAATCATGTAAAAATAGAGATTACAGTCCTATCTCCTCAACAATCTTCAAATGCATTGCTGAACAACTCTGCATTATAAAGCCTACTGTTTATAACAGTGGCCTCTTATTTTAGAAATATAGCCATCAAAAATTATTATAATACAAAAGCATAAATGTTCAACTGAGTTTAGATACCTGGCTTATTCCCTTTTTCAGTATATTTCATGTCTCAACAATGCTGAGTCATTTATATTCAGTTTTTGAAATCTTTCCAGAAAAGACACTAAAAACTTTGGTATAAATATTTTACATCTATCTCAAATTTTATTCAATGGAAAAGATAAGATTACCTTCAGATTTTAATTACGTCTAGAAAAATAAAAGCCCTAAGGGGTAAAATGCAAGTCTCTAATCTGCTTATTACAAAATGCAATCAATTAAGTAAAGCCTTCATTCCGTACCTCCTCAATGGTACACTGAAGCTAATATCTACTGAGATGTGTGAGCTTTTTGTTAAATTTTCAGGAGTTTTGTGAACTAGTTGCCAATCACAGACATTATTAAAATTTAAAGTATTTATATAAACCTACTAGTTAAGTATTTATATAAACCTATAATTTAAAACAAAGGTAATAAATACTCAAAATTCATGGCATCCTAATTATTTTACTACATTTTACTTTCATGATTTTTTGAGGTTTTTAAAACATCTATTTTATTCACAGGGTGAAAATACCGTATATGCTCTAGTACCGAGTATCTCTTATCAATCCCATGTTTATGTTTAAGGACATTCTATAGACAGATTCAAATTGGCCATGTAGGAGTATTTATGCTACAGAAATTTAAAAACACTATAAAGCAGAACTTGATTTTTATTTTATTGGTTGTCTAGACTTAAGTGATAGAGAAAATTTTAATACTGCAGATTGAAATTGAAATTTGTGGCATGTCCCTAGTTATTACATTTCCAATAGTGCCAAAAAAAGGAAATATTCTCCATGTATTTGAAAACTGTTATTCAATTCAGTGAAGAAATTGCTGACATCATTGATGAACCAGTAAAATTCCAACATAACCCATGCTGAGGCTGAAACAAATTTCAGTTTAATTAATATAGTTTTCACTAAGTGAAAAATAATTTAACAGTGGATCACATATCAGGTGTAACAATAACAATTATTGAGGAATGAATTATCAATTGAGATTAACTGTATTTGTGACATTTTGTTTGAACTGCGTCCATAGTTTGCTATACATACAACAGTTCAGCAAGAATAAATAAAACATTCTCTGAAATCAGTTGGTTATATGGAATTGACAATAAAAAGTGCTGTATATTTTATTATTATCTGTCAAGTGTGTGTTATACATCTTCTATATCAGCACAATTTGTATTATATTTTGTAGTATATATGCATGCATGTGTGTGTGTGCATGTTTATTTTTCCCAGGAAGCTGCTTGTTAAACATTTACTGGCACACTACCCTGTGTCCTTCCCTTACAATGTAACTGTGGCCACTACAGATCACGGAGGAGCACATTAACATGCCCTGGTCTACCATGTGAAAAGAATATCTTAAGTTCTAAATTGAAAAGACACACATGCACAATACTTACTATAAATTAGTGGAAACACTTCTCTGGTCTGTGTTCAATGTGAAAAACTTCTCTGCTGTGAATATGGGGAGTCCATGTTTTCATTAGATCATTCTAAATGAATCTCGGCTCAGGTGATTTATAGCCGATTGCATCAGCCTAAATTACTCTTTGCACATTCATGTTGAAAATATTCAGGGAAACAGTTTTCACTGTATTAGATTATGGAAAAGGAATTGACATCACAGGCATCTAAGTATCAATTGGACCTAGAATCTGATGAAATCATACTGAAAAGCTGCATGTATTACTTTGGCAATCAGATGACTCACCAGCAGAAACTGTACAGATCTCACGAGCAGGCCTGGTGGCCGGAATTTATGCTTATGATTCACAGGAGTCACATGTGCTCCTTTCAAATACACCAGATACAGCTTTCTACTTTATCAAAACAACATCAATCAGTCCACTGTGCTGATGACAGTATTTTTATGTATGTAATTTAGTCCTTGGGGAAATTACTTTTCTATAACGTTCTGGGAAAAGAGTGAACTGTTTCAGTTATTGTTCAGTTCCACATATAAACAACAAAAATGGAGGAAGACAAAGCTGACTGATGTGAAAGGGAATCCTCTGTTGCCCAGTTAGAAACAAATTTTGTTGTAAATTTTGAACTGACTGAGAAAGTGAAAGAAAGCTTTGGTGGAAGGAACAGCACTGACTTTTGCATAATTGTAGGCTTTTCACCTGAAGCATTCCAAACCAAAAACAGTGAGTGGAAATGTTGTACAGTGTCTTCTCAGGCTGCAAAAAGATGATAATATTTTTATGGATCTTCTGAGAAAACAGAGGAGTGATTTATAAGTATAGATATTGAAAACACTGCTGGAAATTTTAAGGATGGGTAGGCAGAAAATCTTCTGTGATCATCAAATTGAGGATGTCCTGAATTTGGAGAGAGGGCAAATTTGAACACAAGGAGCTTATGCAAAAGGAACAAGCAAACAAACTGGAATAAATTGCTGGAAAAACAATACTCCAAGTGCTTTTAAACAGCTCTTCAGTTTATATAGACTTTTAAAAATATATTCTAAAATAAATGTGGATAGAAAAGAGGCCCTGACAGAACTAAACTCTCTTCCACCAACTACAAATCAGAGAGAACGATGATTAGTTTCTCCTAATGAGAAACTAGGGTTAGAGCATCACATTAAAAAGCAAGTCTAATCTTTCTTCCTTCAATGTATGTGACTATGGACTTGCAAAGAAGTCCTTCTTCCTTCTAATTCATATTACAGCTTGCAGGATGGTTGGGATTTACATCTTGAATATTGTGGATTTTACCATACAAATGTATAACTAGGAGGTGGCCTGCTTTTATCTGACTAGTTGACATTCATAAATAAAAGGGTAACAATAATGGAGGAGGGCTTTATGAGAAACCTGAGTATATGATGCTATCCAAGGCTCCAGAAAGGCAAAAAATGTCCCTATTTGGAAGATATATTCAGCAGCTCATGTGCACATTTCAGTTAATATATAGACATATTAAAGATGATATGCACGTTTGTCTTGGAGTGGAATACAAAAATGATTTTTATTCAAACCCAAATGGTGAGAGCAAAAATTATTATGACAAAATTTCTGATAAAGTACCTCAAATTAACATCAAACCCAAACTTCTAGCCTTAGCCATGAGTTTTTACCAGCTACATCTTTTGCTGGAGTTACTGAGCAGCAGAATTGATTCTTCTGTCTCCTCTATAGCCTGAATAATTTTCTCATAACGTAAACAATTTCGTAATCAAATGGCCACAGGAATGGCAAAATATCAGAGAATATGTCGAAATGGAAGGAAATCCTGGGATTATCTGATCTGTAGACTCTTCCTATTAAATTAAACATTAAATGCCTGAAATGTTATAAGACGTTATTAAATATCTGAAACGAAATCTCAGTATGAAAAGCAGATATGTTAGGTGGATGCCTCAGTTGAATTCAGTCTTCTTATTGGGTAAGATTAGTCTTTGTTCACAGAACTACTTTACCACCTTCACTGAGTCCCATGGTTCACTGCAGCTCGGAATGAAATCTCCTGATTTTTCTTCATGTATAAGGAAACTGAGGTCCTGTATGCCAAGCCACTTTCCCCAAAGGTCAAATAGGAAGATAGTGGCAGTGGCAGATTGGAGTCAGTACCATGTTCCTCATACAACACCACAAAGAAGTCAACTTGGTTAGCAACCAAAACTCCGACTGCATTTTTTTCTTAGATTCCATTGTGCCAATGCATAACCTTTGTATTCTTTCAATTTTTAAATGGCACTCTAGAAGAAAAAAAGATATCTGGGAAAGTTTGCTGTTAAGAATATTTTCTCCTTCAAGATTCCTCATTTCAAGTTCTACCATAGACTCAGTTCATCACCTGTCAAAAAAATGACATGAAATCTCAACATTCTCCCTAAAATACAGAGACCTGTGACATCATAATCCTGAAGCCTGAGAGACTAAGTAGGAAGCTGAACCATATGACATAAACTGTAAGGACCAGAGTAGAGGAGGGGAAGTGAAGAGGAAAAGAGGAAAGGACATCCACATCTCTTTGGACCTTTGGACCGATCAGTCTAAACCTTATTTTTGTCGTTGTTGTTTTTTGGTACATGTCCTGGTTGTTTGTTCCCTTTGTTCAGTTCATTTTGCCAAGTGTTTACAGAACACCCATGCTGTGCTAGTATCGGTTATCACCTCTGAACAAATAGAATAATGTTTGGAGTGTGACTTACACCTTGAAGTCCACTTCCTTTTAGAGATACTATCTCATATTCTGTAAATTTAAGCTAGGAATAACCTCACACCAGTTACTCGGTGTTTGAATCTGGAGAAGGAATAGAAGGCATTATCTGCTGGGAACGCTTCAATATTGAAATGTTCTTTCCCGAAGCTACTTTTTTTTTCCCTCTCAAGTCACATATTACTGACCCACAGCAAAACCCGAGATTCCAACAGACAATCCAATCTGAAGCAAAGTTTCTTATTCAGATGTTGGACAGGTACTAATTCAGCACCTACTTGTGTGAGATACTCTTCCAGGTTTTGGCATAGAGTGGTGACCAGGAAAGATCAAGACCCAAGCACTCTGTGGTGCTTCCATGCTCATGGGGGGAAGAGAAAATAATAAGTAAATCCATTAGAAAGATTATGATTTCAACTAGTCATAAATATGATGAAGGAAATATACATGGAAATGTAATATTAATCAAGGCATGGGTATTGCATATTATGATTGATCAGGAATCAGTTTCTCCTAGGAGGTGACATTTAAACTCAGACCTTTAGGAGATCTCAACTCTCAGTATCCTCAGAGTCAAGTTGAGGGACCTTATAAGACTCCAACAGAAGGAACCACACAGTTTCATGCTGCAAGGGCAAGGCTACTCTATTTTTAATTGATGGCTAGACTTCATTAAGACTGAAATGAATAACAGTGAGGAAAGGCGGGGCAGCTACTAGAGACAGAAGAGTCATTGTGATTTAGTTGTTTGGTGAATTGCTCATACTTTCAAGGGTCATCGGTAGCATAACTGCACCTTGGTGCTTGGAGAAAGCAGAGTGCAGCAGCTGGGCCAGCCCAGGACTCTCTGTGCCTGGAGCTCCTGGTAATGGACCTGCCAGCGTGTGAACTGACGTGCCCAGCGCTCCCACGGTGGGAAGCTGTTTACTCTCTCCCGGGAGGACACAGGGTTAGACATAGTTGAATCTATAATCATTATCAACCAGATCAACACGTTCTAACTGACTTGCTTGTGTCGTTTTTTTCCCCAACAGTAGTTCAATGGCCTGTGAATGTTTTGCTTCCACTAAAAAAAAAAAAAAAAAAGATTTTCTTATTTAAATAAGTCATTTCATGGTCAAAGGAAGCTTTTGTTACTTCATAGTCCACTCCTCTTTTCTTCTTACTGCTTAATAAAACTGAAAAACTTGTACTTGATGCAGCCACTGTGTAAGTCAGAGAAAAATTGCTGACAAAAAATGTATTCTAAGTATGTTTTAACCCCTGGTGGCATAGTTGTTAGGAACGTGTATTACTACTGTCTTAAGAGCTAAACTTTCACAGTTCCTAAAATTATGGCTATTTCCAAAAATCAACCAATTATGACTATTTCCAAAAATCAAGCAATGCTTAGTACAGACCTTAAGATAAGGAAGAAATGTGAGACATGGCTTCTTTCTTTAAGGAGCTCACAGCCTAGTTGAAATTGCTAAAAGACAATCATTGGCAGTATATGACAGTACAAAGTTAAGCTATGTTAGGAGATAAGCTAACAGGACGGTAGTGGTGAAGCAGGCCAGCAGAGGAGGCTGGAGCCCTCAAGTAGTGCTTGACGAGAGAAGTATGACTTGAAGAATGGGGAGTATTTGGAGAGGAAGAGAGTGAAGTTTTTCAAGAATGGGGAATGACAGAGGAGCATGCCCAGAGCTGGGAATGGGCTGGAACATTTTCATGGGAGAGGGTGGAGATGTGAATAAATGCAGCCGTGATTTATTTGGGTGGCTATTGGGAAATGGTCAGATTGATATTCTGCCATGGCTTATAAGGGGCCAGCATGTTTTATCAGCTACAGATGCCTGCTGAATGATTTTGCAAAAGTTTGACTCATATTGATTTTTCTGGGCTGCTCAGTGGACCTAGGCAAATTGTTGGTGATTTATAAATGTTTGTTATATTACTTGTAACTTGACCATTGTCTTCCTGGCTCATAGGGTGTGCGGAGGAATTTAAACATAAAGACTGTCAGAAACCTCCTTCCTCAACATAAAGTCATTGCAAGGTTATTGAGACACCCCAACAAATAGAGGGGCTTCTCAAGGCTAAGTTCACATCCTTCTGTTCATGAACGTCTCAGTGAAAAGTAATTTTCTTTGTTACTTCCTGTGCAATTTATTTTTAGTGCTTTGTTCAGAGAAGATGAAGTGACTCAAGTCACTTCAGTATTCCAGCAAAATTAATGGATTTTAAATTGTACTTTATGTTTTTTGTATTCATAGATATATTTTTATTCTTTTGAAACCTGTACAATCTTGCATCTCTTGCAGTTATTAATGGAAATTCCATCTCTCCTAATGTTTATTCATCATGTTCCCTCAATCCAAAGTTCCTCTTCAGTTATGGATTAACTCCTCATACAGAAATATTTTTACAATACAAATGAATACTTTTGAGGACAATTCGCTCTTTTCTTCCTTACAGTTTGAGTCATCCAAGAATGAATGTCTGATAATTCCAGAAACTGACATAAATCTGAATTAGCTCTGGATCCTAAAGAAAGAATTAGCATGACCCAGACTTTTGGGTTAGTAACCCAACTGGAGGGACAGAAATCGGTTTTTAAACCATAGAGAAGGCCGGACATGGTGACTCACGCTTGTAATCTCAGCACTTTGGGAGGCTGAGGAGGGCAGATCACGAGGTCAGGAGTTCAAGACCAGCCTGGCCAGCATGGTGAAACCCTGTCTCCACTAAAAATACTAAAAATTAGCTGGACATGGTGTTGCGTGCCTGTAATCCCAGCTACTCAGGAGGCTGAGGCAGGAGAATAATTTGAACCCAGGAGGCGGAGGTTGCAGTGAGCCAAGATTGAGCCACTGCACTCCCGCCTGGGCAATAGAGTGAGACTGTCTCAAAAAACAAACAAGCAAACAAACCATAGAGAATGTGACTAGGACCTCTAGTGGCCAAACATGGTCCTGCCAGGCTCTGTACTCGAGCCATATCTCTTCTGTTCCAACAGAACAATCATGGGAGTTCTTACAGCACCACCTCCCCAAACACCACCTCTTGATATTAGCAAATGTTTACAGTAAACTGTGGGACCTGCAAAGAGACCCTGCTTTGTGGCTGTGGAGATAGATATCCCTGAAGTAACTTAGAGCTATCAGAAGGACCACACACCTGCCGGGAGCAGTGGCTCACGCCTGTAATCCCAGCACTTTGGGAGGCCGAGGCGGGCGGATCACGCGGTCAAGAGTTTGAGACCATCCTGGCCAACATGGTGAAACTCCGTCTCTACTAAAAATACAAAAATTAGCCGGGCGTGGTGGCGGGGGCCTGTAGTCCCAGCTACTCGGGAGGCTGAGGCAGGAGAATGGCGTGAACTCAGGAGGCGGAGCTTGCAGTGAGCCGAGATTCCGCCACTGCACTCCAGCCTGGACGACAGATCGAGACTCCGTCCCCCCCCCCCCCCCAAAAAAAAAAAAGGACCACACACCTAGAAGGCACATAAGGGAATTCTCAGACCTTCCCAACATCTGGTATCCCACTTTTGATTGGGGTGCCCCTGATATATCTGAAACAAATAGTCAGATATACAGAAATATTTGTACACTTCGTCTCATAAATTGGATCAGCCTAGTGTATCACCCATCCTTTGGATTCAGGGAATATTAGAGCAATTTGGTTCTTAAAAGCAAAAGCATTATTCAGCACTGTCTATGTTGATATAGTCATAAAGAATACAGGTCTTTTTTGTACTCTTAACTCTTTTCTATAGATTTATCTTTCTTCATGTGTAAAATGAAGACAAAAATAATAATACCTGTCATACAGTGTTATTAGATTTTGCTAATGAATGCTGAACTTTTATGATGGTGCTTGGCACATTATCACTCCATAATCAGAGGCTTTTAGAGGCTTCTACGATGCTGAGGATGACTCCTTAATTTGTTCACCTTCCTTTTCTCCCCACGACTCAGGACCCACGTATATACGCCAACGTAAACATTAATAAACTTAATCTGGCCAAAGAGAAAATAAATTTTGTAGTAGAGAACCTGCCATTCAGTATGATATGTTCAGGCCACTTGGTTAGGGTCAGGGATGCAGCAGGGGTTTTATTGTGCCTTTTGGAGCCTGATGCATCTGGCAGGAAGTGAGTTTTTTTTATTATAACTCCTACCATCAGTCAGCAATTATCAAAAAGTTCCTGACAACCAGTCCACTTATATTTTATTCTGTGAATTTAAAATTCTGAACTGCAGCAGACAGTCCCCAGATGAATTTGAGGCCTTTCGAGAGTGTAAAATGGCTGGAATATCTTTCTTCTCTCTTTGTCCATAGGTTAACCTCAGAGCCACAGACGTCAGGCTCATGCGCCAGTTGCTTGTAATCAATGAGAGCATCGAGTCCATCAAGTGGATGATCGAAGAAAAAGCCACCATTACCAGCAGAGGCAGCAGCCTCAGTGGCAGCCTGTGCAGTTTGTTGGAGAGTCAGAGCACCTCCTTACGTGGCAGCTACAACAGCCTACACGATGGCAGTGATGGGCTGGATGGCATTTCCGTGGGAAGTTATCTGGACACGTTGGCGGATGATGTCCCAGGCCATCAGACCCCTTCAGACTTGGACCAATTCAGTGACAGCTCCCTCATAGAGGACTCACAGGCACTACACAAGCGTCCTAAATTGGATTCTGAATACTACTGCTTTGGCTAGTGACAGTTTTTTGCATGGGACTGGTGTGCAATGAACTTGTATTTATCCTTCTTCTCCGCTGCTATATTTTTGGTGTGATTTTTATTTTAATAAGATGACCTTTTTAAAAGAAGCTGATTTTGAAACTGCTTAATGGTATTGCTGTTGCTCCTAATACTTCTCATCTGAGCTGATTTATTTTTCTCTGTTACATCTCTATTTTTTATTTATTACAATGATTTTCTCCCTTCTTTTACAGTAGCACAAACAAAGTAGGGGGAAAAGAATAAGCAATAATTATGTTTTTGCTTTTGTTTTCAGAGCAATGGGTCAGGGATTACAAGAAAAACTTTGCTAAATTTTACAATAAACCAAAGTCTGATAACAGTTAATGTTGCTGCTTGCGTCCTTAAATGACTTAAGGTTTCATCTTCCAGAAGATATTGAGATATATTACTGTTTGCATATCAGGTTGAACAAAATGCTTGGAACAAAATTAAGCATTATTTCTAGACCACAACATTCTAGTGTATAATCAACCATACTGTTAGTCACACACGCCCACATGACAATCATCTGAAAGTCCCCAACTATACACATTCTGTTCAACCAACTCACCCTTGTGTTGGTACTTTAGATTAACATTTTGTCATCAGTGATTCTAACTCAAATCATATGTTTATTTGTGTAATAAAATGTATTATTCTCCCAAATTTCAAGGAATAATTGAGATTAAGTATGGAGGCCATTCAAGGCAAAAATGTCCTAAATTTAATTGCATTTTGAGATTTTGTTGGCATTTACTTGTATGTATTTTGTGATTCTGATAGGATGTATAAATACTTAGATGCATACAAGCCGATGGATAGAAAGACAGATAAATATCCCGATAGCCTACTATCAGCATCCTACTACTGCTTCCCTAAAGCAGAATTGTTATTCATTTAAGAAGTCTAATATGATATACATTCATCCTAGTATAAATAAATAATCTCTAAGTTTTCTGAAATGGAATATTTAACGCACATAGACAGTGGATATTTACTTTAAATATAATGTTATTAATCCTCTGCATTTCTTTTATCTTGATAACTCCTAGTGAGGGAATCTAATTAAGATTTCATGCTGTTCTTTGTAATGATAAATGTTTCCGGACTAAACACTCTATAATACAAATCAAAAAATCTTCCTTCTTATAACTGAGAAATGTTTCACCCAAATTTCCTTTGTTATTATATATTTACTACACATGTTGAATTTATTATTGTTTATTTCCAAGGCATGTATTATTCAATTTCTAATTAAAATATATCAGGGCTTATATTTTGCACTGATCTTTTCCCATAAGTCGCTTGATATAATCCTCATCACAACAATCTCATAATGTGAGGACTGTCATCATCCTATGTTTGAGGAAATTGAGGCACATAGAAGGTAGGCCACTGAGACAAGTCTCCCAGTAAGTGTCAAAGCCAGGATTTAAACTTGCATCTGTCTTATTCCTAACAATAACACTCAATAACCTCTTTGGTAATTATTGATGTTAAATAATAAAATGGGAATGAGAAAGCAAATGTAAGCTCATAACAAAAATTAAAAATGTAACCAACCAATTTCAAACAGAAGATAATGAAATATGTAACCATATGTCCACAACCTTGCAAGGAGAATATCCTCAACTACAAAGAAGTGGCAGGCTGCAAGAGTGTGAGGCATCAAAGGCAAATTCTAACTTCTTTAAAACCTACCCTTTGCCTTGAACAAGCCATGCACATGAAAGGCCATTTCTGTTCTCAGATCAGTTTCAGATCGTGAATACAATCTGGTAAATTTCTGTTACATTCTTCTCGTGCAACCCGCTTCCCCTGCTATATGGCCACCCCATGCCCTCTATAAATTTTCCCTCTGGAGAAAGGAAATGCAAAAAGCACAAGAGTATAATGTGGGAGAAGTGTCTGGAATAGTTTTCATTTATATATTGTATTTTAAGGAAACTATAATGAACATTGGCAGAACACTTGAGAATGTTTTTGGCTTTATGAGTTTCAATATTTTATATGCTTTACATTAATTCCAATATTTTTTGCAAGATAGCAAATAAAGATTCCACCATTTACATATATGGAATCACATGTAAGCCAACAATTTTTTAATAATTGATTTTACTAAAAGGAAGGCAATAAACATTTAAGCAACACTAACTGTTAACATATTCATTGGTCTCAAGAGAGTGAGTGCATAGGAGTGCACCATTTTTAACTGAAGAATCCCCATAACTAATCTCTGACCTGGACCATTTGATATTTGATCTCTGTCAGCACCAGAAGGAAAAGGGGTAAAAAGTTATAGTATTTTTTAAACTATTCTGCCTACACTGAGTTGTGTCTTCCCAGAGAAGATGGAATTTTCCTGAGTTACATTAATCTCTCAATTTTTATGGACTTGTTAGTCTTTTAATGGATGGAAAATAATTAGATGTAAGGAATTTAGACAAGTTAAAACTAGTACATTTTTGGAGTTTTGCAAATAAAGGAACTCTAGAAGACCAACCTAGGAGTCTTAACTAAACTTCAAGGAAACAATGTTTATACTACCAGCCAGCCCCAAAGTACATAGTGTAAAGTTTTAAGTATTCGTCAATGTTTGGAAATGCAAAAAACATTATTTACTGTGGGTGGACTATAAAGGTACTTGGAGCCCACAAATAATTGCATTCAGGCATTTGTTTCCACAACTTCATAAAAACACATACACTTTGGGAGGCCGAGGTGGGCGGATCACAAGGTCAGGAGATCAAGACCATCCTGGCTAACACAGTGAAACCCCGTCTCTACTAAAAATACAAAAAAAATTAGCCAGGTGTGGTGGCAGGCTCCTGTAGTCCCAGCTACTTGGGAGGCTGAGGCAGGAGAATGGTGTGAACCCGGGAGGTGGAGCTTGCAGTGAGCCGAGATCAGGCCACTGCACTCCAGCCTGGGCAACAGAGTGAGACTCCGTCTCAAAAAAAAAAACACACAAAAAAGAAACACAATCACCTCCATGATGACAAAATAAATATTTTTTTATTTTGTTTTGTTTTGTTGAGACAAGGTATCGCTGTGTCACCAGGAAGAATACAGTGGCACCATCATGGCTCACTACAGCCTCCAACTCCAGGGTTCAAGCAATCCTTCTGCCTCAGCCTCTAGAGTAGCTGGGACCACAAGCATGCACCAACATACCTGGTTAATTTTTTATTTTTTGTAAAGATGGGGTTTCACTATGTTGCTGAGGCTGGTCTCAAACTCCTGGACTCAAGTAATCCTTCCACCTCTGCCTCCCAAACTGCTGGGATTACAGGCATGAGCCGTCCTGACAACCAACAAATGATTATTAAGCCTAGCATAGTGGCACATGCCTGTTGTCTCAGCTACTCAGGAAGCTGAGATGGAAGGATTACTTGGGCCCAGGAGTCTGAGTCCACCCTGAGCAACAAAGCAAGACCCTGTCTCTAATAAAAATAAATACACATTAAATAAAGGAAAACAAAATAAATGATTATTTCAAGCTCCTCATCTTACTGATCTCACAGCAGTTGACATATTTGATCACTCCTTTTTGAAAGAATGTCTTCATTTTTCTTCCAAGACAAGACTTTCCCTTCATTCCCCAATGCCTGCATGTTTGCAGACTCCACTGCTGGTTTCTCTTCATTTTTTCTGACCTCCAAAGGCAAGAGTGTACTTGGGCTCAATTCTCTTCCAAAATTTCTCCCCTGGGGAATCTATTCGGTTTCACAGTTTTGAATGCCATCTATGTGCTGAGATTTCTAAATGTATGTGTCTAGCCCCAATCTGTCCCCTGTACTCCAGCCTCCCATGTCCACCTGCCCCTGCAGCATCTCTATTTGATGTCTGACAAGCATCTCAATCCTAACATATCCAAAACGGAAATTTTGCTCATTTTGAAATCCTTGCCAGTGTAGTAAATGGTGCCTCCACTCATCAATTTTTCAGTTCAAAACCTTGAAGTCATTCTTAACTATTCTCTTTCCATTACACAACATCCGTATCATATGAGTTACATGTTAGAAATATATCCAGAATGCTACAGATTCTCACCATCAACACCAATGCTATCACTCTAATTCAAGCACCATCGCTTCTCCCTGAAACTACTGCAATAGCCTTGTCTTGTTTCCTTCCTCCCATCCCTACCTTCCTACCGTCCGTGTTCAACACAGCAGAGTAATCTTCTAAGGCACAAGTCAGATTTTACCAGCCCCTATTCAACCCCGTAATGAATTTCCATCCTCTTCAGGGTTTAGTCCAAATGTTTACTGTGGAATACCAAACCCTGTGCAATCTGTCATCCTTCTGCCTGACCTCATCTAGTACAACTCCCCTCCTTTCTCACTGTGAAGCCTCATTTGCCTGCTTGTTAGTTCTTACAAATCTCAAAATCCAAGCATGTTCCTACCTCAGAATCTTTGCATTTCTCATTTCCTCTTTCTGAAATATTCTCCTAAATATGTGTAAGTCTTGATACCCTAGTTCTTTGTGTTCTCCAATCAACTGGCCGCTTGTCTGAGAGGACTTCTCCCAGAGTCTCCTGGCACTGTTTATCTTCCTTAGTCTGGCTTATTTTTCTTCCTAACCCTTATCAGCACCTAACATTTTGGGGTGCACTCTCTGCCTCCCCACACTAGAATGAAAGGTCTGTGAGAGAAATAACTTTATTTTGTTCACCGCCATATCCCTCAGAACCCAGAAGAGTATCTGTCACATAGTAGATACCAAGTAAATCTTTTTTGCCTAAAACAATTATTACACACATTAAAACAATTATTACACATTTGCTGAGTGCCTTTTAGGTGCCAGGCAATAACTGTGCTAGGTCCTGGTGTTAGGAAGATGAGGAAGGTATGAAACCTGTCCTCTGAGAGCTCATCTGTTTAGTATGTTTCTCTGATTGGAAGAATAATGGTCTCCACTCTCACCCCAAATATGTCCGTTTCCTAATCTCTTGAACCTGTTAAATGGCAAAAGGGACATTGCAGATGTGATTGAGTTAAGGATCTTGAGATGGAAAGATGACCCTGGATTATCTGGGTGGGCCTTATGAGAGAGAAGTAGGAGAGTCAGAGTAAAAAAGTGAGAGAGAATGGAAGAGAAGTGAAGAAGTGCAAAATGATATATTGCTGGCTATGAGGGTAGAAGAAGAGGCCAGAGCCAAGGAATGCAAGCAGGGAAGTTTCTATTTCTCAGCATGAACTTCTATATCAATCTTATGCTATTTCTATGTAATCACTGTTATCGTTGTTCAAATATTTAGCAGAGAATTCCTATTAAACACTAAAACTCAAATATTCTCACCTATCATTGAGGATTATTTTTATGTAACCCAAGGCCTGGTTGGGTCAAATCAGAGCTCTGGGACTGTTTCACATCTACCTGTATTTGTTTGCTAGTTACATTCCAAATATCGTCCAAGTTTGCATTCTTTCAAGTCATTAACACTGTCTGCAGGGTCTGTTTTCCAATATGGGAGGAAAAACTGTCAGAGGCTGCATTATTTCATTCTTTATTAATGAAGGATCCTGTACCAATAGGGAAATGTATGCTTTCTTGAAGTTTTAGATTATTCTCAGAGTAATTTACTACAATTATTTTGACATCAGCCAAATCCACCTATAAATCAAATATACTTCTAGCTAGCAACTCCGCATTTTTTCACTCTCATGCAAAGGAAGATTCCTTACTCTTTTATTGCTGATGCATTCCAGCTTCTTGTCACTTGGCCTTCTGCTAAAAGCAAATTTTTTGTGATTTTTATGCAAAAGTATTAGTGAAGACTCCCTCAATCAATCCCTGAAAATTTTGTTCATTACAAAATAATGGACTGAGATGATTATATATGTATATTCTGCTAAACCCTCAAAATTCTAGTTTTTTTTTTAAATTCAAAGATTACATGCTGTTAGGTGTGGAAGGGCTGCTAGAGGACATGTGGAATAGTACAAATAAGGAAAATGAGGCATTCTTGGGCAACTTGTACCTTTGATAGACAATATGGCCACATTGTGCGTCTAAATTAAGCTTCAGTAAATTAAGCTTCAGAAAATCATCAGATCCACACTTGCATTATGGAATGAGTGGCTCAAGATGTTTTCATGCAAAACAAAAATAATTTATTTTAGTTTAAATACAAGTGATGCAATATAAAAGGGAAAATAACAACATTTAAGAAGTAAAATGGCATAATCATTAACTTGCAATTAAGGAATAATATAAACCATCAAGGCTTAGGGTTCAGGGTATCTCTGTTTTACCTCCTCATGACTGTGTTTGAATTAAGTAACTTTGGAATAAGTAACTTTGCTTCTTTGTGCCTCAGTTTTCTCATTTGTAAAATGGACACAATGAAATCTGCCTCATAAAATTGATGGAGAATTAATTAATATTTAGAAAGTGCTTGAAATATAACCTAGCACACAGAAACACTTAATACATTATGTTATTATCATTATAATAAATAATCAAGTAATCTGTTTTATAGCTAAGAAGGAAGAAATTAAGACTAGCTCATCATAGTGCATATAATTTAAGTATATATACTATTGTGTGACCAATCCAATAACTTCTCAATCTCTCTGGAAAATATCTTCCATAAAGTCTGCAGAAATAAAATAGTTACATTCATAGCCCCCTAGTTGCTAGCCATGGCCATAGGACAAAGTTTTGCCCAATAAACTATAAGCAGAAATCTGAGAGAGGTTTCTGGAAAACCTTTGCTGACTTTGAGCTGTCTATATAAACCATTCTTAAACTAACAATATTTTGAGATTTTCACATCCGTATTTCCTATGGCAGTTGTAAACTCTTGCAGGAAAAGAATGTTTAAAGTGCAACTTGCATTTTAGTACTGTTAACACACAGTGCTAGCAGTGAATTAAACAAACGAAATACAGTTGTTTTTATTCCATCCTCAGTGTTACCTTAATACAGCTAATTGATATGGAGATGTTTTTTAAAAAGCAAAACAAGTTTTCACCTTTACAGTACATGCTTTAGAATAATAGGTCTTCAGAATGATCACACGATGCTAAATTCAGCTTGTTTTCTTTAATTTACTTTCTGGAAACCTACGAAGGTGCATAGAGAATTCTTTAGACATGGAGACTTTGTAAAGCATTGTTAATTTGCCCTCTCAAATTTCACTTGGAGCTATGTTTTAAAAAGAGGAAATAAATATTTATGTAATGTGTCACTTTCTTCTTTTAGATCACTTACAAATATAACAGCAGTTAAATGATAATGTCTTATTTGATAGATTTATTATAAATACAAAAACAAAGCCAATATTATTAGGAATAGAGTTTAAAATGGAGCTATACCTGACCTACTTTTTCCTACTAGGTTTGTCAAATCAATCAGCGAGAAAATAATAGGTGACAAAATGATGGCTGGATATAGTATTTATGGTATACATATCATTTATCATAGAGATTATTTTGATTGAATAGATGTTCAAAATAATTTATCAAAAATCTGTCATGATTCTATCTTATTCCAAATTTGTACTACTGATAGAACTTTAAAATACTAAAATCCTTGCAGATTTCATTGGCACGGTTCTAGGCAAAAATATCTGCCAGCATTCAGAGTGAAAGTCCTCATCAAATTGAGGGCTAAGTCTCCCACTTGAGTTCATGACAGGCACAATGTGAATACTCCCAAATCTCAAGACCAGCAGATCTATGAAAATGGCTGAAATCTCATGTAGTGTGTTCCAAGATGGCTGACTAATTAGAAAAAGTGAAAACCTTGAGCCTTTCAGAGAATTTGCAAAGTTAGACAAGTTGGGTCCATTAAACACTATTTTGAAAAAATGAAAATATTACAGTAAAAATGTTATTCTTTTTCTATTTGAGTTTTCTATTTTGTTGAGGAACATATATGAACTCACAGGTCTTGAAAGTCTTAAGAATTCAAGTCTGAGGTTTTGCTCTGGAACGGGGACCAGAAAAACGAACGACATGCAGTTTTCACCACAAGTTTTTTATAATTTTTATCATCACATCTGATATGTGATCCACTGTTATCTTAGGAGTGCTATGAAGAAATCCAAATTGCCAATTGCTGGTGTTGCCATCATTTGGTAGCTTGGAATGATTTGGTTTCATTTAAAGTTGAACAATTCAATTTTATATTAACACTGTGATCCATTCTTTCTTTTAGTGATGCAAATATTTCCACATTCTTCCATTCCAGCTTTGTGTTTCTAATTAAGAAAGTCTACTCTACTTCATATTTCACATATTAGGTTCGTGCAAAAGTAGTTGTGTTTTTGGGATGTGAATTTGAAATCATTATCATAACTAGGCTCAAACACATATTTATTAATCAAAATAGGAACCATTACAATCAACAGATTTTTGCCAATGAGAAATAAGTTTGTTTACTTCTGGAGCATAAAAATCCATGCTTTGAGATTCGACGAACTCTTGGAAAGCATTTTCTGCATCCTGCTGGTTGTGGAAGCATTTTCCCTGCAAAAAGTTGTCGAGATGTTTGAGAAGTGGTAGTCGGTTGGTGAGAGGTCTGGTATGTATGGTGGATGAGGCAAAATTCATAGCTCAATTCGTTCCACTTTTGAAGTGTTGGTTGTGTGACTTGTGAGCGGGTGTTGTCATTAAGAAGAATCAGGGCCCTTTTTGTTGAACCATACCAGCTGCAGGTGTTGCAGTTGTTGGTGAATCTCATTGATTTGCTGAGCATACATCTCAGATGGAATGGTTTCACCAGGATTCAGAAAGCTGTAGTGGATCAGACTGGCAGCAGACCACCAAACGGTTACCATGACCTTTTTTGGGTGCAAATTTGGCTTTGGGAAGTGCTTTGGAGCTTCTTTTCAGTCCAACCACTGAGATGGTCGTTGCTGGTTGTTGTATAAAATCTATTAAAATCATTGCATGTCACAATCAGATCAAGAAATAATTCGTCCTTGTTGCATAGAATAAGAGAAGGCATTTCAAAACAATGATTTTTTGGATTTTCACTCAGCTCATGAAGCACCCACTTATCGAGTTTTTTCACCTTTCCAATTCACTTCAAATGCCACGTGACCATAGAATGGTCGACGTTGAGTTCTTTGGCAACTTCTCATGTAGTTGTAAGAGGATCAGCTTCGATGAATGCTTTCAATGGGTCATTGTCAATTTCCGACGGCCGGTCACTGTGCTCCTCATCTTCAAGGCCTTCGTCTCCTTTGTGAAACTTCTTGAACCACACTGTATGTTCGTTAGCAGTTTCTGGGCCAAATGCGTTGTTGATGTTGCAAGTTGTCTCTGCTGCTTTATGACCCATTTTGAACTCAAATAAGAAAATCGCTCTAATTTGCTTTTTGTCTAACATAATTTCCATAGTTTAAAATAAACAGCAAGTAATAAGTAATTAGCAAAACAAACATAAACTGAGAAATGCCCATTAAAATTATGTATAACATAATCACATTTATTTAAGAATGTATTCCAATATCAAACAGCAAATTCCAACAATGTAAAAACAGCAATTACTTTTGCACTCACCTAATAGATTCATTTGGAAGCAAGGACTACAAAATATTTTTAATGTAAAATGTTTATTTAGTGACACTTATTCTGTAGTTCTATACTCTAACGTAATCCCTTTAAGGACTTTCTATTGCAGAATCATCTTCTTACCTTAGAGGTCAAGCCTAAAACTTTATCTGCCCAGTATCAGCTTTTTGCAATGTAAGATCACTCTTCCTTCTCAGTGAGAGGGGCAAAAAGACTAGAAATGTCATAAAGATTTAAGAAATGAACCAGATAACCAAATCTTTACTAAAGATTCTATTAGTAACAAACATTAATAATAAAGGCAATGGTACAAAAAGTTATGCAAAACCACAAATCATGCTCAACAGCCAATAAGATCTTTCAGAGGCCAGAAAGATCATCAGAAAAAGGTCACATTGGTGAGGACATGAGAATACAAAGATAAAAGTGTGTAACCTTGATAAAGGAACGCAGGGAAAGAAGTCTAAGTTCAAATGGAGAAAAAGAGTAAACTCTTATCTACTAACGTCAGGCAGTTCTAAAGACCAGCAGAGGTATGGCTCATGAGCAGGTCAAGCTAGATTAATGAGCCAGGGAAAGGCAAATACCCACTGTTGCCACCATGAACGTTAATCTCCCTATTTTCTGAGTATGCTCTGAGAATACTATATTAATATCATCACTTTTTCTTCTCCATGCTCAAGAATGTCTTTCTCTCAGTTCTCTATCATCCAAATCCATTTATCTTTGAAGATGTATCTTCTCCAGATAGCAGTCAGCTTTTCTCTAAACCTATAATATTCATTGATTGTACTATATGCTTTGGTACTTAAGAATTTACTCTTATATGATCTGAGGATGTGTGTGTGAGTTTACTCTCAAATTGCTTATAAATAAGTTTTAGTTTCTCATTGTCTGTAATATGATATATCTCATAATATTCACTGTCAGTATATGCCCAACAGATATTTCTAGAATTAAATTAATTGAATTTATTAAGACCTACCAACAAATAAAAGTAACTTCCCTGCCATCAAAAACAATAGAAAAAAGTATTCATACCATATGATTATTGTTATTTATTTATTACTATTTTTAAATTGTATTATAATATATATTACCATTATTTAAAATGTTTAAGTTAGCATAAAAACTATTATTTAAATTGCTTTTGCTATATGTAAAAAATATGAGAGCAAAAATAAAAGGTAGCAAACAAAAACATTAGTAAGTTGTATATTATTTTGACTAGAAAAGCCAACTACCAAATTAAAATGTTTAACAAAAGCATTAATAAAATGAATAAATAGATGAATATTTTTAAAAATCTGTAGTTTCATTGTATGCCATCATCATTTGAGAGACGTGACAGGATCCCATTCACAATAAGATAAAAATACATAAAATATTTAAGAGTAATTGCAAAAATAAATGATTTTTACCTACCTGAAAAAAAATAGACCTTTCAGAAATATATAATATAAAATTTGGAAAAAATCAAATATATTGTAAGAAGTTAAATTTTTCTCATTAATTTATATTTAAGGAAAGTAAATAAGAAAGTAAAAGAGATTGTTGTAGAAGAGAAAAGGAATAAATAAATCAATTTTGAATTTCATCTGGCTAGAAGACCAAGCAAAAATATGACAGTATCTATTCAGCAAAGGAAGAATAAAGAAAAATTTCCTATCTGATAATAAATGCTTTTAGAGCTATAATAATTAAAACAATGTGTTGCTGGAACAAAAATAGATCTCTTAGAATAGATTATATTTTTTATATATTATATATAAAGGTTATATATAATATATAAATATTTAATGTTTAAGAAGTATCTGAAAACAAGAAGGAAAATAGTTTTTTCAACAGTATTGAGATAATGTGTTAGAAATTTAAAGACAAAATCTATTTTTGTTGTTGTTGTTTGTTTGTTTGTTTTTTGATGGAGTCTTGCTCTGTCACCAGGCTGGAGTGCAGTGGTGCAATCTCAGCTCACTGCCACCTCCGCCTCCCAGGTTCAAGCAATTCTCCTGCCTCAGCCTCCTGAGTAGCTGGTACTACAGGCACACGCCACCACGCCCAGATAATTTTTGTATTTTTAGTAGAGACGGGGTTTCACCATGTTGGCCAGGATGGACTCAATCTCTTGACCTTGTGATTTGCCCACCTTGGCCTCCCTAAGTGTTGGGATTACAGGCGTGAGCCACCAAGCCCAGCCAAAAATCTGTTTTAGACTCACAATTTACGTGATAAACCAAAATAAATCCCATGTGTATTAAATTGTTAGTTTTTTAAATAACTAAAGAAAACTAGAGAAGACATTTAGTTTTAAATATACTGAGATAAAAATCAGTTATTAACACAATGAAAATTTTTATATGTAAAAAAGTTAAAACTATGAAATTTAGTAAAAAAGACAAGTATGTTGAGGAAAATAATTGCAGCAAATAGAATAACATAATGAATGTAATTGGTAAAAAATAATCAAAGTGCTGGGATTACAGGGATGAGCCACTGTGCCTGGCTAACAAAGTCTGTTTTACAATCAAGTATTGAATATCTCATGTAACTTATTAAATACTGTACTGAAAGTGAAAGACAGAATGGGTACTAGATATATGCTTTCAACTGAATGTGCATCACTTTCACATCATCACAAACTCAAAACTAATGTCAAACTATTGTAAGTTGGGTATTGTCTGTACGTTATTTAATTTTATTTTTATGGATTGGATTTGATGGATTAAGTTTTAGATTGTTTATTATTGGAAATATCAGATTTCCCTTATTATAATTGTGAAGTTCATATGCTCTATTGAGAATTTCTTTAGACTCATAGTCTACTGTACTGGGTTTAAATCTGAAGATTCCAATTATGAGCTATATGATTATCTGCCAACATGTTTTCTCATGCATCGAGCTGAAAATTTATCTTTCAAGGCTGGGTGAGCGGTACATCAGACAACATTACTATAAAACGTTCCACAAATATTAGGGAACATATCTCCTGCCTCACTTATGAAATGGTTCTGCAGTCCTCCCCAGAAGGCAGCTTTACAGGGAAGCGCTTATCAATTACGTGTTATTGTTTCATGATGGTGATTTTTTTCATGATTCATCCGAAAGATTTGCAAATGAAATATTCCATAAAGCAAGACAACCTTGAAAATGCCATAGTTTCAGAAAAGCTGGATAAGATAATCAGCTGTTATTGAAACTAAGCTTGATGTGATTTGGTATCATGCTCTGAGCTTGTCACTAAGAATATCTGATCTCTACCCATAAACAAACTGTTTAAAAACTAGTTAAAAGCTATCAGCACTAAGAATGATTGAATTTATTTAACTTAGTGCTGAATATACTGTAGATACTAAACAACTACGTACTATACGACCAATACCGGAAAAATATTCCATTAACTAGTCATTTTCTAGAAAACCTTTCAATGTTGTTTGACTAGTTTTAAATCAAATTCATAATTTGATTTTGTATAACTTGATTTTGGAATAATGCTTTTTGTTTCTCAGACTTGCCCAATTACTTTTTGATTTGCGCATTATCCATGTGTGGCTCTGCTTGTTTTTATAAATAAACTCTGAGTAAAATGGCTCTCACTGAAATTGCACTCATTTGAGAATGCGTATGTCCATGTGTTTATGGATACTGGCTTTCTTCTCTTAGCTTGACTTACCAAATTAACTGCCACTTGTTATTTATGTTAGAATTTAATCTGAATTAAATTCTCACAAAAGAAATAAAAACCTCATTTTAACATGAAGAGTTTGGTAGAATCCCTTGAATAAGGAAGAGAAAAATATGTTTATATACTGATAAATGAGGCTGTAGGTGGTTTTATGAAATGGTGTGGTTTTATGAATTAAAATGTTACCCTATTTTAAGATTTCTGACAAAACATGGGATCTATAATTATTCACTCAACAAACATATTTATGATGAGCTCTAACAGAGGTGGGTGCTTTGTTGGAGTTAAAGTTTTAAAAAGAAAAATGGCAGAATCTGATTTAAAAATTTTCATAGTTGCACAAACAAGCAAAGTAAGTGCAATAGTGACTGTGGCAGAAATCACAATAATTTTTTTTAAAACCAGATATTGACATTCCCCCAATCTTCTAAGAAGTATCATTTGTAAGCAAAGTCTGATTAAGCGGTTACTGTTTTTCTAAGAAGGGTCATGACAGTCTGTTCATAATCAGTAAACCCAAAGAGGCATTGACAAGCTTTAAGGTTGAGATATAAGTACCTTATCTTACCTCTGAAATATGTAAGAATTGGCAAGAAGGTTGGAGGACTTAGGGCAATGATGGAAGGGAAGAGTTAGAAAAGAAAAACCAAATTACAATGCAATAGAGAAATGTGGAGAAAGATTGAGAGATGAAGAAGCTGTTATGAACACTGCATCATTAGTTGGTAAAGCAAAGAGAAAATTTAAGTCAGACTACTCGGAAATATGGTAGGGTTATATATATATGGTACAGTACCTCCACTGGGATATTAAGAATCTTTCAGTAAAGATGAAGGTTGCTCTTCAATGCTTCTTTAGAATGATTTGTGTGTTTTTCCAGATGCATCCGCATTTGAGATTGAACTTAAGTTTAGCTGAGTGGATCAAGATGGCCCACATTTGTTTGGAAGTTATGTTTGAAGTGTTATGAGAAAAGAGAGGAAAGAGTTGCTTATTCAGTAAATGGATAAGTGGAATGAAGAAAAGACTTCAAATGCAGTCTTTCGGCTGGGTGTGGTGGCTCACACCCATAATCCTAGCACTTAGGGAGGTCAAGTCAGGCAGATCACTTGAGGCCAGGAATTTGAGATCAGCCTGGCCAACATGATGAAAATTCGCCTCTACTAAAAATACAAAAATTAGCCAGGTGTGGTGGTACATGCCTGTAGTCCCAGCTACTTAGGAGGCTGAGGCATGAGAATCGCTTGAACCAAGGAGGTGGATGTTACAGTGTGCCAAGATTGTGCTACTGCACTTCAGGCTGGGCTACAGAGCAAGACCCTGTGTGTGTGTGTGTGTGTGTATACAGAGAGTCTTTCAACAAAACTTAAAGATATCAAAAAAAAGGGATGAATATGTGTAAAGGCAAGAGTTTCCTGTTTAAAGCTACTAAATAAAATTGGGGATATCAGACATTATGAGTCTAACGATGAGATGCAATAGGAAATGAACGATATCACCTAAATTTTGGTACCTACAGAAGCAGGAACCATTGTATTCTCATCAAACATCTGAGCTAACTACTGTGGTTTTATAAATATATGAGGGATAAAAGGGCAAGTGAGGATACAAGAAAATGCGAACACTCAAAATCAAGATAAATACATTCCACAGGACAAATGTGCAGGTTCTCCAAATAAGGGAAGAAGAGAGAACTGTCAAATGAAAAAAAAAGTTAAGACACCATAGCTAAATACAATATGTAGACCTTGTTGGAGCTAAATTGAAGCAAATCAACAGGAAAATAGCTTTCTTTGAGAAAAGTTAAAAATCTGAATATACAAATACACTCTGGGTATCAGATATTATTAAAGTATTAATGTTAATTCAGTTAGGTGTAAACATAGAGAGAATTTTGAAATTTTTTATCAGAAATACATACTAATGCATGAAATAACATGACTACAATTTACTTTAAAATACCATAGTTAAAAATGTAGGAGGTGGAAAATAAAAATAAAATTAGTCAATGTTGATCTTTTTTGAAACTGGGTAATGAATAGGTTTATGGGTGCTTACTGTACAATTTTCCCTTTTGTATCGTTCTTAAATTTTTGATAATAAAAAGTGAAAACTAAAGAAAATGGAGAAAAAGTTTCCCTGCTCCTTTTTACTTCTCTGGAATCACAGTTCCAGAACTTCCATTTGGTTCTTCTTCATGTGTTCCATTTCTCTGCTAATATTTTCTATCTTTTCATTTACAGTGAACTTATTATCTTTTACATTTTTGAACACCAAATGAGTAGCTGCTTTAAAATTCTTCGACAATTCCAACATCTGGGTTATCTCAGAGTTGGTTTCCGTTATTTGGGTTTTTTTCTAGAAAATAGTTTACATTTTCTAATTCTTTATATGCCAAGTAATTTTGAATTTAATGCTGGATTTTGTCAATGTTATGTTGTAAAGATTCTAGATTCTGTTATATTCCTCTGAAGAATGCTGATTTCTTAGTTTTACCAGACAATTAATATAGTTGGAGTCCAAAAGTAAATTTTGCCTTTGGGCTGCTCAAATGTCATTTTATTTAGTCTTTTATTCTTAGCTGGATTTTGTCCTGTGTCTGGTACAGACAAAGTCATGGGCAAAATTTTAGGCAGTATTTGGAAGTCCTCCTCTCTGATTCTCCCTCCTTCTTAGAATCCCACCTCATTTTCAGTAACTACGGTTGCCTTAAACTCTGTTCTCTGGCTCTTCAGTCCTGAAAGTCTGCAGGTAGAGTTACAGCTAACTCAAGGAATCAACTTCAGTGGGCTTTTAGACTAAATGTTATAAAAACAGCAAAATCACCATATGCCATTTCCTTCTCCCTATTGTCAACTTACCTCTAAAATCTACCTGTTTTTATTTACTCTCCAGTTCTTCACATCATTTTAAATGTTTTTGTCCAAGATCTACTGTTGTGATTCTTGGGAAGGTTGGGTTTGGTCAGAACATTACTTGGCATACTACACACAAAAATCAAATGGTAGAAGCATAAGGATATTTAAAAATATGAGTATAAACAAACCCTAGAAGAATAAGAAAACAAAATAAGTTGAAAGATCATGGTAATGGCAAAAAAAAAATGAATGTGAAAAGAAAGGTAAATGTACAAATTACAAATAACAAATATCCCATTTGTTATAGACATGACATTAGTGCTAAAAATAACACAGTCAGTATTTTAGGGGTGCTAATAAATACATGAATTAGTGGATGGGAATGTTGTAGAGTAGTTGACGATAAATTTGATAAAATGGGTTAGTATCGAATTTTGATGAGCTTCGTGTGATATGCTGGTATCTGAATTTTTTCCTTATAGAAAGATAAGGAGCCCAATAGGCAATGGAAAAAAAAGCTATTCATGTAATTAGAGTTCCTTGGGAGAAGATTTGCAGAGGCCTCAAAAATTATGTAATTTTAAATTATGAAATGTAAATAGAAACAGAAAGTGAAATTTATATCCAAAAGCAAATTAATAAAATTTTGCAGACAATTCAAAAGTTATTGCTTCATGTTCCATGTTTATTTTTTTAAGCAAACAAAGAAAAAAAATGCATCCCTAACACATTGGTCCTATCTATCAAGAGTAAGCCTGAGAATAAATTGCCATTTTTGTAAGAAACTTTGCTCATTTTAAAAATAAAACTAAATGTTACTTAGATATTACAAGTATGACTTTCTTAAGATATTAATAGTTTTGGAATTGCTATAGCAACAGTGGGCTGCAAACATCCTCCCACAGAACAAGGAGGCATTCCACAAATGGCTAGGAAAGAAAAAAGTGACCAATTTTATATCAGTCATTTTACTTAGAGGATTATTAATTTAATTTATTCTTTCAACAAACCAACATTTGGTTTCATTGATTTTCTCTATTATTTATACATTTGCTATTCCACTGATTTCTTCCTTACATTTATTATTCATTTTTTCTACTTAGTTTCAATTTAATTTGCTCTTTTTAAAATAGTGTTCTAACAAGAAAGTTTAGATCATTAATATTATATCTTTCTTCTTTAGCTTTAGCTTCATCACACACATTTTGATATATTATACTTTTATTATAATTCAGTAACTTATATTTTCTCACTTATCTTATGATTTCTTTTTGACCCATTAGTTACCTAGAAGTACGCTATTAAATTTCCAAATATTTAGGCTTTTTCTAGTTTTTTAGTACTGTTAATTTCTAATTTAATTCAGCTATGGTCAGAGAACTATGAAGACTTCTTTTATGGCCCAGAGGTGGTTTCTTTTGGTGACTTTTTCATATGTCCTTTAAAATAATGAGAATCTTATACTGGTTGGATACAGTGTTCTCTACATAGAAATGGGGTTACAGTTTGATAGTGTTATTCAGATCTTCTCTATCTTTTCAAATTTTTATCTAGGCTTTGTATTGATTATAGATAGAGTTAAAAAAAAATTCCAGCTAAAGTTGTGGAGTTGTCTATGTCTTCCTTAAGTTCTATTAGCTTTTGCTTCATGTAATTTGAAGCACTCTTATTAGGTGCCTGTGTTTGTAACCGTCTTATGTTCCTGAAGTATTAACCCTTTTACCACTACAAAATGTCATTCTTTGTCACTATCACTGCTCCTTTTTCTCAATTTCTATGTTTTCTGATATGAATAGAACCCTTTGGCTTTATTATGTCCAGTACTTGTAAGGTACATCTTTGCCCATCCTTTTAGTTTCAAGTGATTTGGGTATATGTGTTTAAAGTGCCTCTTGTAGGTAGCATACAATTGCTTCTTGCTATATTTTATAAAGTTTTAAAATTTCTGCCTTATACTTGAAGTGTTTAGTTGATTTATATCTGATGTAGTTATTGATATGATTGTTTCAGATATGATATTTTGTTATTGTATTATATTTATCAGTTTTCTCTGCAGCTTCTTTCCTGTCTTCTCTGTGTTAATCAACTTTTTAAAAAATCCATCATTTCAGTTCCTTTATTGGCTTTCTAGCTACATCTCTGTTGAGGGAATTACAATATGTATCTGCTGTGGTCTAAATGTTTGTGTCCCCTCAAAATTCACATGATGAAATTCTAACCCCCAAAGAGATGGTATTAAGTGGTGGGGCAACTGGAAAATTATTCGATCATGAGAGCAGAGTCCTGATAAATGGTAATAGCACCCATGCAAAAGAGGCATGAGGCAGCTTGTTTGCTCCCATCATGTGACGATACTGCAAGAAGGCACAATCTATGAGAAAACAGGCTCTCTTTATATAAGACACCAAATATGCCTATACTTTGATCTTGGAGTTCCCAGTCTACAGAACTGTGAGAAGCAAATTTTTGTTGTTATAAGCCACCCAGTCTATGAAATTTTGTTACAGTGGCCTGAATGGACTAAGAAAGTATCTTTAATATCACAATGTTATAGCTAATATTTAATAATATAAGGTGGTGTATAGGAAGCTTGCAACAGTAAATCAATTTTTGCTCCACTCATTATTTTTCCATTTTTATTGCATCATACACACAAACACACACTGACTATAATAACACCTGGGGGCTTTCTCCTCAAAGAAATTCTTACAGAACTTTATGTACTGGCCGGGTGTGGTGGCTCACACCTGTAATCCCAACACTTTGGGAGACCAAGGCAGAAGGATTGCTTGAGCTCAGGAGTTTCAGACCAGCCTCAGCAACATGGCAAAACCCCATCTCTACAAAGAAAATAAGAAACAATAAAAATTAGCCAGGCGTGGTGGCACACATCTGCATTCCCAGCTACTCAGGAGGCTGAGGTTGGAGAGTCACTTGAGCCTGGGAGGTGGAGGTTGCAGTGAGCCGAGATTGTGCTACTCCCGTCCAGCCTGGGTGATGGAACCAGACCCTATCTCAAAAACAAAAAACAAAACAAAAAAAGAAAAAAGAATGTTATGTAGTTCAGGATGTTTGTTGATGATGAATTTTCTCAAATGTTGCTCAATTCAAGTTTTCCTTTTTTTTTTATTTTTGACAAATTATTTTGCCAGATACAAAACTCCTAAGATATATATTACATATGTGTATGTATATATATGTACATATGTTTTTCTATCACTTAAAATACATTATTTCAATGTCCCATGTCTTCTATCGTTTTCAATAAGAAATCAAACAATAGTTGTAATGTGTTGCCTTTTTTCCTTTACCTGTTTCCAAAATTTTCTCATCTTGCTTTCAGCAATTTGACTTTGATGGGTGTACGAGTGGTTATACTGATTGATGTTTGCTGGTATTATTTAATCTGTAGGTTAACATTTTCAGTCATATATGAGAGGTTTTCAGCTATTATTCAAATAATTTTTACCACTTTCTGTTTTCCCTGTCCTAAAGACACTGCAATTACATGCATATTGAACTGTTTGATATCGTCACACAAGTCTCCAAGGCTCTGTTCATTTCCCATCAATCCTTTATCTCTCTGTGCTTTGAATTGAGTAATTGCTATTGAAATATTTTCATGTTCACTGATTCTTATAACTTGTATATCTAATTCACTTTTTGATCCTATCTAGTAAATTCTTCATTTCAGATATTACACATTTCTGCTCTAGGAACTCCATTTTTAATAGTTTTCATTTTTTCCATTGGAATTTTCTAACATTGTATTCATTAAGATGATTTTTTAAATTCTCTCAACATAGTCTTATTTAAAATTAAATATAATATCTTTAAAATTCTCTCAACATAGTCCAAATTTTTTGGATGTGTTGAAAGTAGCTGCTTTGAAACTTTCTTCTGTTAAATACAATATTTGTTACCAGTCTGAGTTTATTCCTATTCACTGCTATTTAATTCTCCTGAGTTTGGATCACAATTTTCTGGTTCTTTCTGTATTCAGTGATATTTAGATAATGCTTTGTAGCAACTCTGGAATCTTTTGCCTTTTTTGAGCTTTTTTTTTTTTTTCTTAGTAAGCAATTAACTTGCCTAGACTCAAATGGTATCTCTTCCGTTGTATATTGTAGTTCTGTAGCTGACATATCTGCTTCGATTTCTGTTCACTTTTCAACTTAGTTCTCTGGCGGTTTCTCCAGGGTCTGCAATATTTAGCACTCGGTCCAGTATTTGGGCAAATTTTATACTAGATTTGGGGGCTCACCTTCTCTGTGGATTTTTTTCTGGGAAATCTTTCTTACATTTTTAGCTTCTCAGCCAGCCTTGGCCTATGTGCTTTGACATCTCAAATTAGCATGGCTTCAGCTAACTACCACTTGACCTACACATAGACTGAGAAATGCACTTAATGAAGTAGAAAACAAAAAAACTGTCATTTGGTCCAGCAATCTCTTTCAGAGTTAAGTTCCCCTCTCGTCCCTGCCTTTTTATTCCCAGTACCTTTGATTATCACCTAGATTGTAAAGGTGAGCAGTCAGATAGAGATTTCTGTGGAAATTATACCCTGACCAACAGGGTCTCGCCTCTTGGTTCTCTTGTTTCCAAGATTCCCCAATTTCCTAGCTTATCTTTCAATATCGATCTCTGTTCTTTACTTCCCTGAGCCAAGACAGTAAGGCGGAAGTGTTCTTCCGTTGTAACAATGTTCTATAGAGTAAATGTTTGTGTCCTCCCAAAATTCATATGCTGTGGCCAGTTGTAGTGACTCATGCCTGTAATCCCAGCACTTTGGGAGGCCAAGGCAGGTGGATACTTGAGCCAAGGAGTTTGAGACCAGCCTGGGCAACCTAGCAAAACCCCATTTCTATAGAAAAAAAAAAAAAGAAAAATCCAATATTCATATGTTGAAACGTAATCCCCAATGTGATGGTATTCCCAGGCGAGGCCTTTGGAGGTGATTAGGTTACAAAGGCAGAGACCTCATGAACAGAATTATTGCCATTACAAAAGAAGCTCGAGAGAGCGCCTTTGCCTCCTTTAACTATATGAGGTTACAGTGAAAAGACAACCACCTACCAACCAGGAAGCATTCCCTTACCAGACACCTAATCTGTAGGCTCATTGATCTTGAACTTCTCAGCCTCTAGAATTGTGAGAAATACATTTCCATTGTTTATAAGCCACTCAGCTACAATAGTTCGTTACAGCAGCCCAAATGGAGTAAGGCACCAATGGGAGTAAAGAAGTGCTCTTAGGCAAGAAAGTCACACACAATCTTTACTTCTTTGAATTTTAGGTTTTTAAAGGTATGTTCTCTTCCAGTTTCTGAATGATTTTTAATTCTTTCCCATACCTTTAAGGAGTTGTATTTAATATTTTCTCCATACTCTCATTTCTCTTCAGATTGCATAAATATTTCACCTTGAAATATTTTGACCATATTTTGTAATTGTTATATATGGAAGAGTTTGCATAATCAAATCTCTTCACCACCATTACCAACAGTTGTCCAAGCCGGAGTGTCTTAATACAAGACACCAAGAGAGTCCATGTGTTGGCTTACAGAGGGGTAGACTAGTGAATACTGTAATTGATAAAAAAAATTGTGCATGGATATGAATATATGCATTATTGTGAGGAGAGCGATCATTACTTTTCTCAGATTCTCAATGAAGTATGTGACACACAGAAAGATTAAGAACCACTTCTTTACCAAGAATTAGACTCTAACTATGCTTTTACGTTTTATTATAATCGTGTAACTAAAGTAACTTTCATCTTAGTTATTCCTCTGTAGATAATTCAAGTTGATTTAAAACTATTTTTAAATGACCAATTTTACTAAAAGTTTAAATCAAAGAAAAAAGTACGTAACTGCTCCCAAGGTAGCAATCTCTCCTTATTGCTGATGACCTGAGTGCCAGAACACATACGCTTTTATTCTTCTGTTCCAAGTATGGGTATGAAAAAAGCCACAGAAGTTTGGATTCTGCATCCCAGTCTCCTACTCTGTTCCAGGAAATGGACAAGGTTCTCTATAAAAAGTTGTGTGAACCTCCTTTACGTGCATCATGACATAGTGGTAATGAAATTTAAACAGTGCTAGCTGACTCCTGGCCTTGAATGCATCCGGCTTAATTTAATTCACCAGAGTGGAATGGAGTAGACTCAAAGTTTCCCTCAAAGATTGTACACAAACATTCATTTTAATCTCCTTAAATAAGACTGTTCCATTCCATTTTAAGATGATAGAATAAGCCCGGTTTAGAACTAGCTAAACAGACAACTCAAATTGAATCCATATTATTTATGTAACTGGACTTTAAAGGGTTTACTTCATTAAAAACAGGCAAATGAGTGTGTTGGTTCTTTATTTTCAACTGTCAGGAACTGTAACATAAATTGTGAATTAGAGCTGTATTTTCTGTTATACTGTAGAATTTCTGATTATTTTTGTTAGTTTTTATTTTATAATTGTGAACACGTACTTTCCAATACTACTCTTCAACCTAGTGCAGTATTTGCGAAATAGAAAAAAAGAACAGATGACCACACTGTGATAATTATATAGTATGTGCTGTATTAGCAAAGACAAGGAATTATGGCATCACATTAAAGAGATAGATAAGAATATTAGGGATACTATCTAGTGAAGAGATGACTCGCTGAGATTATTCTTACATAACTAGAAATGGATGGTAAAGCATTTATTCTGGCATTATTAGGAATAGGTGATAGGTCTTGTTAGAATCAATTTGAACAAGAAAACATGTCAGTTTGAGTGAAATGAGAGGCATTAAATGTGATTAAATCCTGAGATACACGTGGTGGGAAATGAGGTTGAAGGATTTGTCTATGAGAAGATTATGAAAAGTCTTGCAAACTAATGGGGATCCATGATCATTAAGAATTTTAGATACAGAAACAATAAATAGTAAAAGAAAAATTAGAGTCTCATCTTTCGTACAATTTCATGATTGTCTTCTTTATTGAACAGAAGAGGATCATGCAATCTATAGCTGAAAATGCCACTGTTAACAAATTTGTGAGCAATGTGAAAGAGAAAACTTGAGCAATCAAATAGTTATTTCATATTTCACGTGCAACTCTTGGGTATGTTTTTTCACATTAACCAAGTGGCTCAAATATATATATAATATCCTTACTTACATCACCTCAGTTCCTTTAACTCTTATCCTCAAGTGGACTTTATTTCATGGAAGAGTACTGTTATAATAAAAGCCAGAAGAGACTCTAGATGTTGCCTGGAGAAGAAGAGAAGATTAAAGAAACCATGTAAAGTCTTTACTAAGATGAAATTAGTGTCAGGATAATGTGTCCTACTTCAACCAAGCTAAAACCCTAACTTCAGCCTTCTCAGTTCTTTGCCTTTCAGGAATATCAGGGAACTGCTACTGAAATAACAAACTACACCAGTCACAGAAAAGAGTGATGTCAGTTTTCTGGAGAAGTGAAGATGTCTGGATATAAGATTGGATAGACATTTATTAGAAAGAATCCCTCCAAGAAGGCTGAAGCTAAAAATATAAAACTTATGCTAACACTAAGAAGTCTAAGAAAGTGGTATGCATGATGTTCTGGTGAAAGTATATAAGAAGGACATTCCTATTTTTAAGAAGTGAAATCTACACTTGAATTACTGTGTAATTGATTTACTGTGTAATTTACTATGTAAAAAGAAAGTGTTGCTTTTTAGTAATTTTATACACACACACACACACACACACACACACACACACACACACACACACACACACACCAGGCTTCTCAGGCTGACAGTGACTATATTTCTTTTCTTCTCTCAGTAATTATATTACATAATTACTGAATTATATTAATATATGTATATAATTCTATTCTATAATTATATATGTATATAATTCTAATTCTAATTATATACACATATATAAGGTATAATTATATGTAATTATACTTTTTAATAATTCTATAATTGTATATGCAAATAATTTTAATTATATACACATATATAAAGTGTAATCATATGTAATTATACTTTTTAGTAATTATGTGTATACACATATGTGTGTATAAATGTATAATTATATATCTATATATTATTATATATTAATATCTATATATTATATAGATATATACACTGTATTTTTGTCCTTTTTCTATAATCAACAAAAGACAGAGTAACAGACCAATATAGAAAATAGGGCACATTTTAATTGGATGGCACAAACATATGACAAATGGACTCTTCTTCTGTGAATTCTAGAGAACACTTAGAGTCAGTACTGTTGAACTCCCCCAGTTTGCCTTATTAGGAGTGAAGTTGGCACTTCATTTTATAATCATTGCCTTATGCTCCTTTCCACAAGTATCACAATTGCACAGACTCATGACGCTTGCAATGGTTTAATTTTGGGGAAAAAACAGTGCCATTCGTCATCTTTTAGTTTCACATGGTTCCATTGGTTCCAGTCACTGAGAAAAGTAAACGAGAAATATAGTCGCTGTCAGCCTAAGAAGCCTCGTATATAATGCCATAAACAGACAAATGGATTTGGGCAGAATGTAACCAGTTGGTAAAAAGAACAAAATAGACTCTACCTTAACATTAATTTATAAGTGTTCCTTTTCCCTTCCTTTAATGTATTATTTTTGCATGCTGTATGTTTGTCTGTGTATAGGTGTGCCAACTCTTAGCAAAAAATCTGCTTCAGGGATATTACTGAAGTAAAGTATGTTTAACTGTTTAACAGACAATTGCCATAAATATTTATTGTAATGTATTTCTCACCAGGATGATTACAATATTAGATGGCTACTACTTATAATCAATGTAATGTCCATACCTTCTACCAAAAAGCCAATTGTGATAACATACTGAGGACAACTTTCCAGTTTTGGTCAGAGGTACAGAATTACACAATCACTAGCAATCAACAAGAAGAAAAGGTTATCCCCTTTTTGAATTATATAGGAGATAATACATGAATAAATTGTTACAATGTGAAAATTATTTAATCCTAAAGTCAATACATTGGGTCTTCCTTCCAAAAACATTTTCTACTGAAAACAAACAACGGTCATATAAATGTACATAACAAGCTTGGCAGCCATTTGCCTCTTTAAAATCAAGAATCTTTAAATATTTTTACCCTTTGACCAAATAATTCCAGTAAGTGAATGTTTCTGTAGAAACAGCTTTATGTGGGGAAAAACATATATTCCCAGAGGTGTTCATTAGAGTGCTATTTATAATAGAAAGAAATCTGGAATAACCAAGAAGCCCTAAAAAAGTTGCAATTATGTACATTTTGCTACAAACTATTATATTAAAATTGCAATTATTTTATAATAATATTTTAAGTGGAATACATATTAGCTCATAAATTTAAATTAAAAGTTAAATTTAAATAGTTAAAAAACTCACCCACATATGTACCAGGATACCAACACAAGAATGCTTAAAAGAGTCCCAAACCGAAAAGATCTCAAATGTCCATAAATGGTAGAATGAATAAATAGTGGAATATATAGACAAGGGAACCTTATTAAAAAGCATAAGTTAACTATGTACAAATGAACAAAATAGATGAAGCCTATTAATATTACATTGGGCAAAAGAAGTCACAAAATACATATAGTAAGATTCAAGGATATAAAGTTAAACAATAAACAATGTTACTTAGAGAAGCATGTATAAACAGTAAAAGTTCAGATTAATAAATAAAAGGAAAGACATGATTATTACA
Organism: Homo sapiens; assembly: GCF_000001405.40. Classification (NCBI taxonomy): domain Eukaryota; kingdom Metazoa; phylum Chordata; class Mammalia; order Primates; family Hominidae; genus Homo; species Homo sapiens. The sequence continues at coordinate 12,847,606 of NC_000009.12, forward strand.
AAGTCAAGATAGTGATTACCTCCAAGGAAGAACAAGGGGGATATGATTAAGAAAGTACAGATCACATACAGGCTTCTAGAATGCTCACAGTGTCCTATTTCTTGACCTTCATGGTGGTTGTAGAGATAATTCTGTTTAAGTTAATCATTACATGAACTGGGACTTGAAGAATAGATAGAACTAACACATGTAATGATGAGATGGAAGGAATTTCCAGAGTTTGAAACAGTGTGACTAAAGGGAAATGTATTAGTCCATTCTCATGCTGCTATAAAGAATCAACTGAGACTGAGTAATTTATAAAGAAAAGAGGATTAATTGACTCACAGTTCTGCAGGGCTGGGGAGGCCTCAGGAAACTTACAATCATGGCAGAAGGGGAAACAAACACATCCTTCTTCACATGGCGGAAGGAAGGAGAATTATAAGCCCAGAGAAGGGGGAAGCCCTTTATAAAACCATCAGATCTCATGAGAACTTACTCATTATCACGAGAATAGCATGGAGTAAACCGCCCCCATGATTCCATTACCTCCCACTGGGTCCCTCCCACCACATGTGGGGATTATGGGAACTATTATTCGAGATAAGATTTGGGTGGGGACACAGCAAAACCATATCAGGAAATATGTAGGGAAACACAATAGACAAGTTTGGCTGTGTCAGTGAGTATACAAAGAAAAATAAAGGGAAATTAAACTGAAATAGGACGGCATAAAAAGTCCCTGCACATGAAGCAAATCGGTTACGACAGTAGGAGTTATGTAGTGATATTATAAATGATTCATTGACCTGGACTATTCCTTTGCTTCTGATTTTTCTATATTTCCCTGAAACCTCAGTATCACTCTAATACCCTGAACCATTGAGACACAGAACAGGCAAGGTTGTAACAGCCTTGTCAATCCCTTCCTTCCAAGACTGACAGGAGTTTAACATACCCACTTTCCAACACCATGTAGTTTTAAATCCACCAACACTTATTTGTCCTGGTCTCTAAGACTGAAATACTGTTTTGGTTCTTATATGCCGTTATTTTTTGTTTAGTTCCTATTCTAGAGGAAGCGCTAATGTGGTTGAGCCTTTCAAGTCACAACTACATAAATTCAGATTCCCTCCCTCCATGCTTCATCTGCCTCATGGGAACATCATTACCGCACTTGGAATTCAGTGCAGAATACAGTTTGCCTTTGGATGATATATGTGCTTATCTCTCTGATAGCTCCTGCTATCTAGGCCTGTTCTCCTGTTAATGTGTGCCTAGTGTCTCCTCCTCCATAAGCATGCCTGTTAGAAGCGTAGAAAAGTTCCCCGATTTATTGAGTCTCCTTTTCCAACTTTCAGAATAAAAATGATATGTGTTCAACAAATAACGGGAATGAAAATCAACCGCTACATATGTAAAAAAATTGAAACCATCACACAAGAAGGGGAACATCACACACTGGGGCCTGTCGTGGGGAGGGGGGAGGGGGGAAGGGGGAGGGATAGCATTAGGAGATATACCTAATGTAAATGACGAGTTAATGGGTGCAGCACACCAACATGGCACATGTATACATATGTAACAAACCTGCATGTTGTACACAGGTACCCTAGAACTTAAAGTATAATAAAAAAAAGAAAAAAAAGAATAAAATAAAAAAAATTGAAACCATCACGTCAGCTTGCTATTTTACATTAAATATGTTTACATCATTATTTCTAGAAGTAATGGAAAAACAATAAATATAAATTGTAATTATCAAAAGTAATATTTTAAAACCCAGAAGTCTATTTTTCAGGAGAAATGAAATCACACTTGCCTAAATATTTAATACAAATTGTGTTTGAAATGTACTCTTGCAGTATAATTCCTTGATAAGAAATAAGAAAAATTCAAGCGATTTCTAATGACCCTATACTGTTCTTATATTCACAAGTAGAGATAACTCATGGACATCATTTTCCTTTCCCTTAAGAATAAAGAGCACTTTGTTTTTGCATATTTTTAAAATAATATTTTCCCAGTAAAACAATCATAAAAGAGGGTGGTGCAAAGCAATTAAATAGCTTTGGTTATAAATTCTTCCTTTAGAGACTATGATTTGTAGTGATACATCTGGTTTCACAAATAGTGCTTATAATAACATTGCACTACTGATTTTTTTCTATGTAAATATTTGTTCCAATCCAATTTATCCTGAGTTACTCCCACTGAAGCAGCTCTCATAGTATGCCTGAGAAACCAGTTTTTTTAATGTCTTCTGTTCTCTAGTTTCTTGACTGTTGCATGAGCCAGGGTGCAAACCAAGGGATTTGTCAGCTCTCAATTATTGTCCATCCTGTGCTGCATGTTATTAAGCACAATGTTTTTCCTTAGGCCATTTTCTGGTAAAATTGTAAATCAATTCCAATTTTTGAATGGGCATATAAAAGAATATCTACCTTTATTTACTTATGTGTTACTATTAGGCAAATCCCTTTGACAGCAAATAACTGGCAGTTACTCAGGCTAGATCAAGCAGGAAAAAAAAAAAGAAAGAAATTCAGGAGTCCTCTGAGAAAGACAGAAAAACCATCAGGAACCTTAGTGGAATTCTCTCAACTTTCTTACTTTCTGTAAACCTCTTTGTGAAGATTGCCTTTCTCTGCTTTCAAGTCCACATAGGAGAATATGGTTTCCCATGCTTCTGAGTTATTAAGTTCCAAACACACATGAAATACAATTTACTGTTTCCCAGTCTCTGTTCTCATTTTTTTTTTTTTTTTTTTTGAGAAAGGGGTTGCTCCAATCCCATCCTGGTGTTCAAGTCTTGCCTTTACCAGGGGTCAGACCAAACATGGTAGCTGAAGGGGGTGACAGATGTTTCTATGATATATCTGGAGCCCTTAAGTGTGTCCACCGCAATCTATCTCATCCAAAACTAGCATTCTTGCTTCTTGAAATATATCTCTTCACTCTTATTACTATATACCTCTTCAATTTGATTTGAGGCCTAGAGCCTGAGAAGTCTACACCGATATATTTTGTAATAATTAGTACCTTTAAAAGAAAACACAAAAGACTTCCTGATCTACTTTGATTCAGTTCCCTCAGGTAACTTTGACACGTACAATGTGTAGCTATTCAAGACTGCTGCTTCAATTTTCCTACACAGACTCACTAAGCAGGTAGACAATTTGAAGTAAATACAGGAATATATGTTATGAGGAAGAAGCTGTGTGGGTATTAGGATAAAACAATGTGCAATTCATTCCTCTTATTAAAGAGCCATTTCCCCTTCAGGCAAATTATTTCACTAACATATGATAATGAAGGACTTCAGTCAGGCCTTTTTGACAAATTGGACATGTTGTTGGACAGGTGCCACTGTCTTGGAAATAACACAAAGCTTTTCTAGCAGAACTTTCTCACAAAGCAACCTGGGGAGAGAACACACAATTCCATCACTCCCAGATTATCTGATGTGAAACTTCGGAGGCATTCCTTATGGGATGAAAGAGACAAGAAGGCATTTGGGTAGTAAAGGAAAACTAAGACTTTCAGAGAAGAACAAAAAAGATGAATGTAATTAATGATAAAAGATATTAACAAGACTTACACTACAGAAAACAGAAATATTATCCTCTTAACCTCTTTTATTCTGTTGGTTGTATAAAAATCTATAGCTCAGAAGCAGTAAGTTTGGAAAGATGAAGTGACATACTCAATATAGCAAAGTACTACTACTGAAAAAGCTCAATTTTATATATATTACTTTAAAAGTTGGCACTTATTTAACAAACAAAACATATTTGATGGGATTAAAATTATTATGTCACACGGGCAACAGAATGAATTTTAGAAAATCATCTTCTTTGCTACAAAGAATTACAAAATTACAATGAAACATCTGTCAGCAAAGTATTCATTTATAACATCGTTTGGAAGATGGGTAATTGATGGCAGTATGACAAACTGGAAGCCAAGTATCTGTGGAATTTTACCAATGAGGAGAAAAATATTATAGAACCACAATACTTTTTAAAAGAGAGAGAAGGGAAAAGAGAGGGAGAAGGAGCTGAGGAAAGCAAGAAAAGAAGGAAAAGAGGGAAGTGGGGAGAAAGGAATGGAGGGAGAGATGGAAGTAAGAAACAAAAAAGAAGTAATGGTGAGAATCGTGCATTATTGCTTTGAGAAGTCCCACAACCAATATCAATTTGGCAGATTCTCCCTTTACGCTGTCCCATTTTATAAGACTTTATGGCTTTAATTACGTTAGGGACAGAAGTGCAATAAAAGAGCAGTGTGAGTTTCTAAAAACACAGACTCCAGTCATTCCTGTGAGACCCTTGTCAGGATTTTGGAATAGAGAAAATGACTACTTTATGAAAAGTATTCGCTAAGGAGAGCCCATTTGTTGCTTTGATTATTATAACCAGCATTTACATTGTACCAAACAGTATCAAGGTGCTAAACCATAAAATGAGCAGTGCATAATATGTGTTTTGCCAGTAGTGCAGTCTCAAATAGCATATCTAATTCAGATTAAATTTTACCTGTTCTTTTATCCTAAATTTCTATCCACTCTAATCATTGGGGTATGAGATGCTGACGTTTCAGTCCATAGGATTTTCATCAAAGGTAATGTTAGAATATCTTAATGTCCAGAATAAGGAAGCCAATTCCCTTTCCCTTTAAAGCCTCACTCCAGGACAATTTAGGGAGAACGGACTCAGCTACACTCTGGCACAAAGAACTACTTCTCAGTGAAATGATGGTAAAATGAGAGGTTTGGACAAAAACATTTTATCTTTCTCCTGTGTGATGTTATTATTGCTGGGAAGCCACATTTGATCCAATCTTCTCTAACTCTGAAAAACACTCTGCCACAAACACTGCATTATCTTCCTACCTGACCTGAACTTTTTTAGAGCAGCATTCCTGTTCTAGGTATATTACTATTCCAGTTACAAATTAACTGCCCAATTTTCCTCATATGTAAATTATTTTGCATATGGAAAATGGTTTCTGAAAGACCACTGGTATTTGCGGCAACTGGTTTCTGGATTAGGAGTTCTTTGTGAGTGGGGGCTATGTCTTGTGTTACTGTATCTTCAGCTCCTAGCACAACACTTGGAACAGAGTAAGAGCTCAATAAATAATGGAGGAACAAGTGGACTCCAAATGAAGCATCATATAGAAAGAGGAGACCCTCATTGCTCTCCCATTAGAGAGTGACACCACATAGGAAGATAAAATTCAATTTGCATTGAGTTTTCAGTATCTATTTCAGCCACAGACCAAGATCACAAGAAGACAGCACATGTACAAAGATACCTGATACCAAAAGCTCAAGAGTAAAGCCTGGGTTAAAGATGAAGCAAAGGTTGACAAGGCATTCAAAACTAAGCTTGATTGTTGTGACAATATAGTAATAATGAAGGAGGAGCAACTTAACTGCTGACAACTGGGAAATGTTTCAGTGGATCTGAGCACATCAATGAAATAAAATAGTATACATCCATGGGAAATGTTAGCTTCAAAGAGTCTTTAATGGCATGATGTATCAAATACCTCGTGGAGCATTGCAGATGCTATTGACCTATTAACCTTGCCTTTCGGTTGGTCTAGCTGTGCTGCTGACTGAGTCACATAAGTTTAAGCTGACAGAGCCAATACAGAGCTTCTTCCTTCTGCCCAAGCCTTCGCTGTTGACATTGAGATGTGGCTCACCACTGACACACATGCAGAGAAGTTAATAACCTGCACCGCAAACTACAGACCTGTGGGAAAGAGTAGCTGGTGAATAAATTCTTTCCTTTTCCCCCCATGATTGACAATCCTATGATATAGACTGTAAGCCTTCTTAGAGAATGTTTCCATGAAACTGAGCTCTCAGTTGTGCTTAGCAGCAGTTAAATTGAAAATATTTATATTAGTTTTCCCTCCTTCGCTGTTTCATTCACCCTTTTTCTTATTCCTACTCCCTGAAATTGCACTCCCTAATGAAATAATAGCACGTACGGCTTTGCCTCAAATTCTTCTTTCTGCAGAAACTAGGTAAAACATTTAGACTGATCCTAGAAAGAAGACGTTCAGGCCAGGATTTGGGGACTGAAATATCCAGTTTTTGAACGGCACCAAGCACTTTGGTCACTCACTAGAGTTATATTACTCTCCTGCTACCTACTATATTACTTGTGGAGTCTTAGATAATCTTTAATGGAACATCAAACTGGCACATTAACTTGATGATATCCTACTTATTTGAGTTGGTGAGCAGGAATGACAAATACATGATATGCTTTAGTAAGATATATGTATGTTAGAGGATTACAAATAGACTCCATGAATCCTCAGGAGTCTGCCACATTTGTAAAGCTTTTCTGGGTCCAGTGGCCCAGGGTCTATTGAGTAAAGAATGTGGTTGCACCTTAAATCTCATACCAAGAAGAAAAAGACAAAGCAGTTATATACTGTTTAAATTTAGGAGGCCACATATATTACTTGTGCTGAAACCCATTTATTTGGAGACTTAAAAGACTACTAATTTTGAATGGTAGTCTGAGTAAAAGAGAAATCTATAGCAAGTCCAGACTGCTGTAGGGAATGTTGGTCTTGCCATTTGAACCATAGACTGGTTAATAAAGTGGATGTCGATGGTGAATAAGTGTGCTGTGTGGAGTCTCTGTCAAACCCTAATGAAAGATGCACAGTGTAGACCCCTAGGATTTTGGAACAAAACCTTCTTGACAAAATGTACTCTCTGCTTCATAGTTCCTAAGTACCTGGACATTCATAGAGTCTAAATGAGTAATTGTGGTTTACAAAGTGACTATGCAACTGAAACTGCCCATCATAAACTAAGATTTATCAGATCTGGGTCAAAGTACAGGGTATGTTGCACTATGAACAGGTTTTAGGTTCTATGATACAAATTGTATTTTGGGGATCGGGCCTGAGCAGTTTCAGAGAGCATAAGTAACAGGTGATTGGATTCTTGTATCAATTACCCTTATCACACTGACAACTTGACTTCAACTGACACTGGTGGCCATATGGGAATTTTGTTTTGTTTTGTATTGTATTGTTTCTGTAGATGGAAACTCAGTATGTCGCGTGGCTGGACTCAAACTCCTGGGTTCAAAAGATCCAATCACCTCAGCCTCCTAAGTAGCTGGGAACTACAGGTTAATGCTACCACACCTGACTTGGATGGGCAATTTTTATAATTAACAGTATCAGAGAAGAAATGAACCTGAGTCTGGTTCATGGATGAATTGGCACAATATGTTAGTGCTGAAAATTAAATTGCTACCATGTTGAAACCTTGTGGAAGGTGGTGCTAAGAAACCATGCTGAGCTGTGAGCCATCAGGTTTTAGATGAGCCGGTGTGTATGTGAAGGGAGAAGTGGTTGGAGGCCGAACTAGAAGCAAAGACTTCCAGGCAGTGACAAAGGTTTTGGATTGTTGGTAAAGGGCCAGGAAGGAAAAAATATTGAGAAATTGATACAAGAAAATATGAGAATACCAGGAGCTCTGAGTTGTGCAAAATGTTTACTATATTACACCCAAGAGGGACTTCAGGTTTTCTCAGCCCCAACTGCCTCTTGTTCCAGCTGCCACTGTGGTGCAGATGTGTGTGTTCCGACGAACCTTAGGTAGGTGCAAGCTGACAGTTTCGTGCCTATACTTGCCCCTTCCACCTCCTATTTGGGACTTTCCTGTTGAAGCCAAGGCTTAAGATACAATCAGACCCCACTGTGCCCCATTTTGTACCTAAGCACACACAATGCAGAAATGTGGGAGAATGTATATCCTGTGGTGAACTGGCGAGCAAAAGTGCAGCCACTGTATAAATGTTCTTCTTTTTTTCCCAGAGATGAAATGTGCTAATATAGGGGTTATGAAATTTCCTAGAGGATGGGCCCCAAGACCATGTAATCTTATTGTCAGCCAGCTTAATATCGTGTCTCTGTATTAGCGTTTTCCCTTCCTTGCTTTTATTTCCTTTGCCCCCTAGATTATAATACAAGCTAAAGTCCCAGGCTCTTCTTTCTGAAAAACCTATGGTAAGGCACATGGGAAAATCATCATGGTATAAAGTTATGTGAAAAAAAACAAGATACGAAATTCTATATTAGAATGATTCCAGTTTTATATAATTGATGTCTAGAAAGAAGTATTAAGAATAATATATTGAAAGTTAGAGCATTGACAAGTATTACTACAGGGAAGCAGGACTAAAAATATTTACTTATTTATTTATTTTTACATTCTCTGGTTCCCAAATTTCTTACAGTGAACATGCGTGCTTTCAAAACCTGAAAAAAATTTCTATGGGAGAAACTGTCAGTAGATTTCTGCAACAAAAAGGGCATAGTCATGGTAAGGTACACAGCAAACCAAATGTCATGGGAAACAAGTATGGAAATCAAAACCAAGAAAATCCAAGGTCAAAATGTCAGAAGCTAACCAAGGGATAAGGCTAAGGGATAAGAGAAGATAAGGAGTTTGGTCCTGTATAGTTTACAGTGGCTGTCTTATTTGGAGGACTGGGTCCCTTCTGATATATTGCCTGTTGCATGAAACCTACCATCTGGGTGAACACCTAACAGAGGTATGGTATGATAAATATATGTTCTAATTAAAAATTAGACAGTACCTGTGACTGTAAGTGGAGGACAATCATGTAGGCTATGGAACAGAATATTTAAAATCTGAAAAAGTCTCAGAAAGTATAGACTACAGAAGAAACTAATTTTATTAAGGGAAATTATAGGTATAATTAGATGAAACATAGTATTACAGTAATATCTGTTACAGGACCACAACTTAGGAAGGCAAATGCATTTAAAAAAAAAGTTCAAGATTTGGGGATACAAGGAACTAGGACATGGGTAAAACTGTTCTTGTTGGGCATAAGAACAAGGAACTTGCTTGTTGCTTAGAGAAGGGGGTGGGTTGTGAGGGGTTAGGTGGCAGAGATAAGATGAGAATGAGTGAGGGGGCAGATGGATGAAGGCAGGAAGTATTAAATGATTCTTTCTTTTAATCTACAAGTCTTCGATCAAGTTTTCAGAACCCTGTAATTCTCTGTGGGACTTTTAGAACAATGAAAAAGAGCTGGGTTAAGGAACCAGCTGAGTTTGTTGCAAAGCACTGAAAGATGCAGGAATGCAGAAGGAGAGAGAGTAGAGATTCGCAAAGATGAAAGAGGGCCTGTGGGCTGTCACAGGAGGTAGGGCTGGGGCTAGAGACAAGCATACCAAGATCTCTGGGTCTATTAACTTCATGGGGGATGGGGGCTGGTTGCAGAACTCATGACAGGAAGGTCATGCAAAGCCAAAGTAAGTTTGGGATACGCAGGGGTCAGGACGAGGAAAATCAGCCTGCGTTAATAGTCAGGAAACAACATAAGAAAACTAGGTCTCAGAAAAGATGCTGCCTTATGAGAAATAAGGTTACTTATTTCTCCTCATGTTTCCTGTCACCCCCTGCCAGATTTGTAAAGTAGAGCCAAAAATGTACAGCAGCCATCTCAGAAGAATTTCCTACCACAATTTATTTTAAAAAATAAAGCTAGCCTGGGTACAGTGGCTGATGCCTGTAATCCCAGCACTTTTGGAAGCCAAGACAAGCGGCTCACCTGAGGTCAGGAGTTCAAGACCAGCCTCACCAAAATGGCAAAACCACATCTCAACTAAACACACAAAAAATAGCCGAGTGTAGTGGTGTGTACCTGTATTCCCAGCTACTTGGGAGGCTGAGGCAGGAGAATCGCTTGAACTTGGGAGGCAGAGGCTGCAGTGAGCCGAAATGTCACCACTGCACTCCAGCCTGGGTGACAGAGTGAGACCCTGTCTCAAAAAAGGGAAGGAAGGAAGGAAGGAAGGAAGGAAGGCAGGCACCAGTAAATGAAGTTAAGCAAGTCATTATAACTTGGAAGTTTATTAAAATTTATCAAATTTAAATAATAAACACTAGGTGAAAGAGATGATAATTTTACCCACAAAATCAGATAAGACCACAGAATCTTTATATTTCTACTTTTTACATTCCGTCAGTGATGTCAATTTGACTAATCCAAAAGATGAAATAATTCTAGAGGAAGAAAAGAGACATGGTGATGTTTGTTAGACACACAGCTAATAGGGATAAGGAGAAAGGGACTGAGAAAAATAAGAAGCATGGCCAAGCACGGTGACTCATGCCTGTAATCTCAGCACTTAGGGAGACCAAGGTGGGTGGATCATTTAAGATTAGGAGTTCGAGACCAGCCTGGCCAACATGGTGAAACCTTGTCTCTGCTAAAAATACAAAAATTAGCCGGGCGTGGTAATGCACAGCTATAGTCCCAGCTACTTGGGAGGCTAATGTGGGAGAATTGCTTGAACCTGGGAGGTGGCAGTTTCAGTGAACCGAGATCGTGCCACTGCACTCCATCCAGCCTGGGCGACAGAGCAAGACTCCATCTCAAAAAAAAAAAAAAAAAAGACACCAGATCAAATTAAAGAGGAGCAGGGCCAGCTTCCCAGATATGTGACAGGTCCAGTCGTACAGGGCCCCACACTTAGAAAGATTCCAGGTTTGGCTATAGGCCCTACTATCAGGGTCTTGAAACTCTTAGTAATTTGTTAATAAGGGGTCTCCACTTTCATTTTCCACTGGGCCCCACAAGTTATATAGTCAGTCCCAAGGCTGAGTTCAAATGGAAAGGAACAAATTTTTTTTAAATTTCTGTTAAAATTAAAGAAATTGGAAGTCATATGAGCATTACACAGCAGTTGCTTGATGAATATGTGAAATATTCAGTTGAAAGGGATGGGTAGAAACTAGGCAGTACAGATTATTAGACCCTGTTTCATTGTCATTAACCTCATGCAAAGTGGGGCCTCTTTGTGGCATCCCCTTGAGTTCTCTAGGCCCTATGGCATGGAGAAAAGCTAAACAAATATGCAAGTTTGATAAGGGGAATAAACGTCAACACTCACATTGGAAAAGTACACAAGAATGTGCAGGCATCGAGAGGTGATGCTTTGACCCAAATGATGAGGCCTGGGACACCTATAGGACACTGGAATCCGCCACTTGGAGGAGAATAGGAGAGGGAGGAACCACACAATAAATTGAAGTGCCTTTACACCCTGTAATACTAATAAATTAAAATGCCAAAAATCCAACCTGAAATAAATCTACCTCATGCAAATTTTCCTTGAAAATGTGATTATGTGAGAGTATTTTATTCTAGGCACTATGCTAGACTCTGGAAATTTAGTGGTAAAATAGACAGACCATGGTGTCTATTTTTTTTTAATTTTTAATTTTTTTAGAGATAGGGTTTTGTTCTGTTGCCTAGGCTGGAGTGCAGTGGTGTGCTCATAGCTCACTCTACCTTCTAAGTCCTGGGCTCAAGTACTCCTCCCCTTTCAGCTACCCGGGTAGCTAGGACTATAGATGTACATTATCATGCTTAGCTTTTTTAAAAGAAATTGTATAGATACTAGATTTCACTGTGTTGTCCAGGCTTGTCTCAAACTCCTGGGCTCAAGTGTTCCTCCCACCTCAGCCTCCCAAAGTGCTGGGATTACAAGTGTGAGCCGCCATGCCTGGCCATGGTGCCAGTTCTAAGACAGTCTACAGCCTAGCAAGTCAAGGCACATGAGTAACAGTATTGTTAATATTATGCTTTGAAGAAAATACAATGTTATGAAAATTTACACGTTAGAAGCCTAACCTAATATGAAGGAGAGGATTCAGAGCCTTGCTGAAGAAATAGCATTTAATTTAACATTTGCATGAATAGGGGTCAGCCGTGTTCGGAGTAAAGGATCTTAAAGGAACATTTTAGGCATATGAGCACTATAGTGTTATGGAAAATTACATGAGGTCTACAGTCCCCAGGGCAGAGAATTTTGCTTTTCTTTTGTTCTCCACTGTGCCCTACCATCTAAGACAGTGCTGGGCACACAGTAGATGCTCAATAAGTATTTATTGGATGAATGAATTAATGAATCATATGTTCTAGGAAAGCACTAAAGTTTGAAAAACTCTAAACCAAAGGGGTCATGATAGAAACAACCCTACAAGGAGTAAACAGACTGTAGGAAATAACAAGTAGAAGTGAAAATAAATTCAGAAAATTGTGTAGAAGGCATCACTACTCAAGGTCTGAATCAGCTTGAATCATTCCTTTTCGGAATCTCAATCCTGAGTCCAGGAGGATGGCAATCCTCCGGCCATACATAAAGGAAGTCTACGGTTTAAAAAGTTGCATAACCTACACATATTTTATGCAACTCTAAGTAATGAAAAACCCTTTATAGAAACCCGCTCAACTTTAGTAATTCCATCTACCTTTGAGTAAACTTTATCATGCATTGCCTATGAGTAGTTAAGGCTTAGATAGAAATGCTTCTCTTTCATTTTTGTTTTTTTTTGTTTTTCGGTCTAAGATAGGCTGACCACTGATCAAGATGAGGGTTTTTATTGCCTAATTCTTAAATCAGTTTACTGGATTGTTTGACTTGGCCAGAAATATAAAGCTTAACACAGACTCACTGTGGTGTGTGATTCAGGACTTGCCTCCCTTTTCTTTTCTATGATTCCATTGTCTCTACCACAGAGTTGCCACACCCAAAGAGTCAATTTCCTGCAAGAGTGACTTCAGTCCTTGCAGTAGAAAGAAAAAGAAAATTGGAACCTTACTTAAATTATTGTTTGCTCTTTCAGACTTTATAATCACCTAAAAGAGAACTTTCTCTTTTCACTGGCTAATCTTTCTGTCTCTACATGAACACAGTATAATTGAAAATATTTGTTAATTAGTATGCTTTGCTTTTCACATGTAATAAATCACAAAAACCAGTAGGATCTATTTAAAAATCACAATATCTTTTAATCATTTCCTTGATGAAGCCCATTATATGTATAATGAATAGAGCAAAAGCTCTTAAAGGCAATAATTATGTCTTACACAGTTTTTAACTATTTTAAATTCATTTCAATATGCCTAGTACACATCTATTTCCTATTTACAGCCCATTTTCTCATTAAACTATTATTAAAATATATTTTTATTTATCATTTATGTTGTACCAGACTTGAACAATCACATTTACATTACCATTATCTCATTGATTAAAGAAGTCAATACATATAAAGTTTTAAAAACAGTGCTGGGCACAGAGTAAGCACTGAATAAATGTTGGCTACTGTTTTCTCATTTAATCTTGACACCTCTAACAGTATCTGACAAGGTAGGTCTTATTATCCCATACCACACATGAGGATACAGTGCTTGGTGAGATAAAGTATCAGGTGACTTGCCCACAGTGATCCAGGTTCATACCCTCTCATGCAACCACTTCTCATTGTACATGATTTTAGAATATTCTTGGAATACACAAAAACCTGAACCTAGTTCAGAATTGTGGCATAATGTAGAGTCCATGTGGGTAGAAGACTATTGATTCTTTTTCTGTGGAGAAGTGAAGTAGACCAGCAGAGTAAGGAGCATGGGATGCAAAGGCTGCTGTAAAGGCAAAGAAGAATCCAGCCTTTTGTGTATGTGGCCTGTCCCACAGCATAAACCACCTGAGAGGGCTTATTCCTCCAGCACATGTACATTGCGCTGGCTCTGTACAAGGAGCTGTATTGGCACTGGGCAATCAGGCAACAGCAAGTAAGTCAGAAGCAATAACTATGCTCATGAAGCTAACAGACTAATAGTAAAATATTATCCAAGACAAACAGATAAAATAACTGCAAAGTGTGATAAATACTATGAAGAAAGCAAACAGGATTCTGGGATAGAGACTTGGTTACAACTTTAGCTGTTCAGGAAGCAGTCTTTGTAGTTTTCCTATTTTCAAATTAACTATTAAAATATAATCAATGATACTCACAGCCACTAAACATACATCATAAATAAGTGGAGATTGTCCCTTGAGTTCAAAAATATTTTAAAATTATTATTAAAAATCCATTAATTCTGCCCAGGTGCAGTGGCTCACACATGTACTCCCAGCACTTTGGGAGGCTGAGGTGGGTGGATCACTTGAACTCAGGAGTTACAGACCAGCCTGGCCAACATGGTGAAACCCTGTCTCCACTAAAAATACAAAAATTAGCTGGGTGTGGTGGTGCACACCTGTAATCCCAGCTACTCAGGAGGCTGGGTCAGGAGAATCTGAATGATTAAAAACCAAAAACCATATAATCTTAATGGAGTCAGAAAAAAATCCATAAAATGTGACATCTCTACATGACAAAAACTCAGCAATATTTTAACAAGTTCTCTTAACCAAAGGATATTCACAGAACTATCTAGAATAGCAGTCCTCCCACTTTAATTTGCATGAGAATCACCTGGAGGGTTTATTGAAACACTGATTGCTGGGACCCTCCTCTTTTCCCCAGAGTTTCTAATTCAGTAGGTCTGGGGTGATGCTCAAGCCTTTCCATTACTAACAAATTCCCAGGTGATACTGATACTGCTGGTCCAGAGCAATTCTTTGCGAACTATTGACTCAAACTCTTAATTGTAAAGTATTAATATGCAAGAATTTATGTTGAGGTCAGGATCAAAATAAGAATTTCCACTTCTATTTTATCACTCCTAGACCCCTAGACCCTATATCAATGAAGATAAATGTAAGAATGTTCAATATAGTAATGACAGCAATAGCAAACAAAATGAAATAATTTGTTTCCTTCAAAGAGGTATGGATAAGTTGTGGAAAAATTATATCATGAACAATCTACAACTATCCACTAAATATCTGTACTAACATAGACATATGTTGTTAAGTGGAAAATATCAAACTGCAAAATGAGGACATTTGTGAAGGTTTTGAAAACCTATAAATTAAGGCAACATAGTTAATACAACACATTTAAGGTAACAAAGCTATGGCGATCGGGGCTAGAAGGCTACCCATTAACTTTGGAATAGTGGTACCATTCAGGAGATGAGAGGGGAAACAGAGCTCCCTTCTGAAATCCCAGTACAGCTCCTTACAAAGTTTGCATATTCAACCAGTTCACCATGAATGCATGTCAGTGAAGGCTCATGCAGATAAATAAATAATGTTTTCTCCTTTATGATGATGGTGATTTGACAAACTTTTTGAAAGATCTCAACTGTTTTCTCTGAAAAGTTTCTTTGGGAAAATGTGATGAAGCAGAACCATGCCATAACCACTAATGTTGGCAAGTTGCCTTGATTAAAATTGTTACCATATTGTGATAAACTTCTGGTAGTTGTGTTCATCCAATTGCAAGAAAATGTTATTCCCTTAAAGGAAATATTTGGTTTCACCAGCCTATAAACCTGTATTAGTTATTCTAAGTCACTGGTTCAAACTGAAACCTAGTACCTGGTTCATAATAATCAACTGCAGATAAATCAGTTGACTCACCATCATTTGGCTGTCCTCTGTAAGAGGCACCATTAATATTAAAATACTCAGTAGCACCTGCTTAACATGTTTTCCTTCATACGAGATTTCCAGTTTCTTTGTAAGTTTGCCAAGTGTTTTCAAATGAGCCCCCTGGGAAAATGACCTATCAGTAATTTTTTTTCTGCATTTTCTCAGGCTGATAGGAGAGCAGCTCTTTGATCATGTTGAGGGTTGCGCTTCTTAGCTTTCTAAGAACAGAGAAACCTTATGCTTGTGCAGCTAGGCAGAGCTTTGTGCCAGCCCTGGATATTTTTATGTCTTACATAAACCTAAAAGCTAAACCCATGGACCGCAGTTTGGAGGAATAGAGAGTGTCTCAATATTTTAACTAAAATTATGCTAAGCTCTTCTTTTCAATTTTATCTTTTGAAATGCCAGTAATTTGCTCTTTTTCATTATTTTTTCCTCAACTAAATCCTCTTCCTTTCCTACCCAATTCCTCCTCTCACACCCTGTCTCAAACTAACAGAAAATGATTATAGTTCTTTCACAGATAAATATTTTGTTTCCATGATCTGTAATAACATCTGATAATATATGAGTAATTATTTTCAATAAACTAAAATAAAAGTAATCTTTCTTTTTCTTTCTATCTTGAAGTAGTGGGAGGAAAAATACTATTTGGAAGCGTCATGCCCTAAAATAGTGGAAAGCTTTAGAGGGATGGGTTTCACATCAGGAAATCTAGGGAGGAAAAATCTCTTCCTCTGGGATGGTGTTAGGTTTCTTTTTCCAGAGAGGGCAAAAGTTCCACTAATTAAGATAAAAGCAAAACCCAGATGCCTGTAACAGCAGTAAAGTTCATTTCATTTTCTCTTAGGCCAGAAAAGAAATCTGCCAAATTAACTCTAAATTTTATTTGGTCAGATTTAATTTTCTGATTGAATTTCCCTCTCTTTTCAGTATCTTTGCATTTAGAAATAAAGCATGTTCAATTTGTAAAAAAATGTTTGTTTAATTGTTTGACTCTGGTTCTTCATAATTTCATTGTGAATTGGTTTCCCTACCTGCAAAGTGTGGCTGTTTTTACCATAGAGACTGCTTATAAAGCTCATCTCCTGGGAGGACAAGAGCTGGTTTAGGAGTTTTAGGAGGTAACTGAAATGTGATCATCAGGATGAAAGGACAGTGAGCTCTGTGGGATTTGGGATAAGCAAGTATACTCACAAAAGCATTTTTATTTCTTAAAAAAAAATTATTAATGTGCCAGACAAACAACACATCTTTGACAGCACCTGAATAATAGTTTGCAGCCCCCTTAGTAATAAAAGAATGAGCTCTGGTTTGAGACCACCTGAAAGCTGGAAATTAATTCAAAGTGCAGGTTTGACCTAGTACTCAAGTAATTTAGGAAAGTTAGTTACATTCTTTAAGTCTCTATTTCCCCAGTTGATAACATTGTACCATAATGTTTCCACATTGAAGCACAATTATAATAATAGCAAATCCCCCCTATGGTGCTTGTAAAATGAACAATATCATGCACACAAATATGCTTTACACAGAGTTTGGCATATCCTATTTCCTCGATAAATGTTATTTGTTATCATCATCTCATGAGAACTTTTTTGTACACAACAATGTCCTATACAGAGTTAAAGAGTGTTTGGTTTGTTTTACTATATTTAGCTGCATAATATTTAAATAATAAATTACAAATAGCAAATCAAATAAAAAGTTTAGATAAGTCAATCACTTCCAGAGTGGAGTTGGAGAGACAGTATTTTAACTGATAATAATTTTACATGCAGATAAATGTTGATTGCAATTTTTTTTACTTTTTAAAAAGTTATTATACTTTAAGTTCTGGGATACATGTGCAGAATGTGCAGGTTTGTTACATAGGTATACATATGCCATGGTGGTTTTCTGCACTCATCAACCAGTCATCCACATTAGGTATTTCTCCTAATGCTATCCCTCCCCAGCCTCCCACCTGCTGACAGGCCCCAGTGTGCGATGTTCCCCTCCCTGTGTCCATGTGTTCTCATTGTTCAGCTCCCACTTTTGAGTAAGAACATGCAGTGTTTGGTTTTCTGTTCCTGTGTTAGGTTGCTGAGAATGATGGTTTCCAGCTTCATGCATGTCCCTGCAAAGGAAATGAACCAATCCTTTTTTATGGCTGCATAGTATTTCATGGTGTATATGTGCCACATTTTCTTTACCCAGTCTATCATTGATGGGCATTTTGGTTGGTTCCAAGACTTTTCGATTGTGAATAGTGCTGCAATAAACATACGTGTGCATGTGTCTTTATAGTAGAATGACTTATAATCCTTTGGGTATATGCCCAGTAATGGGATTGCTGGGTCAAATGGTATTTCCGGTTCTAGATCCTTGAGGAATCACCATACTGTCTTCCACAATCATTTAACTAATTTACATTCCCACCAACAGTGTAAAAGCATTCCTATTTCTCCACATCCTCTCCAGCATCTGTTGTTTCCTGACTTTTTAATGATCGCCATTCTAACTGGCGTAAGATGGTATCTCTTTGTGGTTTTGATTTCCATTTCTCTAATGACCAGTGATGACAAGCTTTTTTTCATGTTTATTGGCCACATAAATGTCTTGTTTTGAGAAATGTCTGTTCATATCCTTCGCTCACTTTTTGATGAGGTGATTTGTTTTTTTTTCCTTGTAAATTTGTTTAAGTTCCTTGTAGATTGTGGATATTAGCCCTTTGTCAGATGGATAGATTGCAACAATTGTCTCTCATTCTGTAGGTTGCCTGTTCACTCTGATGGTAGTTTCTTTTGCCGTGCAGAAGCTCTTTAGTTTAATTAGATCCCATTTGTCAATTTTGGCCTTTGTTGCCATTGCTTTTGGTGTTTTAATCATGAAAACTTGCCCATGCCTCTGTCCTGAATGGTATTGCCTAGGTTTTCTTCCGGGGTTTTTATGGTTTTAGGTCTTAACGTTTAAGTCTTTAATCCATCTTGAGTTAATTTTTGTGTAAGGTGTAAGGAAGGGGTCCAGTTTCAGTTTTCTGCAGATGGGTAGCCAGTTTTCCCAACACCATTTATTAAAAAGGGAATCCTTTCTCCATTGCTTGTTTTTGTCAGGTTTGCCAAAGACCAGATGGTTGTAGATATGTGGTATTATTTCTGAGGACTCTGCTCTGTTCAATTGGTCTATATGTCTATCTGGGTACCAGTACCATGCTGTATGGTTACTGCAGCCTTGTTAGTATAGTTTGAAGTCAGGTAACGTGATGCCTCCAGCCTTGATCATTTTGCAGAGGATTATCTTAGCTATACAAGCTCTTTTTTAGTTCCGTAAGAAATTTAAAGTAGTTTTTTTCTAATTCTGTGAAGAAACTCAATGGTAGCTTGATGGGGATAGCATTGAATCTATAAATTACTTTTGGCGAAATGGCCATTTTCACAATACTGATTCTTCCTTTCCATGTGCATGGAATGTTTTTCCATTTGTTTGTGTCCTCTCTTACTTCCTTGAGCAGTGGTTTATAGTGCTCCTTGAAGAGGTCTTTCACATCCCTTGTAAGTTGTATTCCTAGGTGTTTTATTCCCTTTGAAGCAATTGGGAATGGGAGTTCACTCATGATTTCGCTCTCTGTTTGTCTATTATTGGTGTATAGCAATGTTTGTGATTTCTGCACATTGGTTTTTTACCCTGAGACTTTGCTGAATTTGCTTATCAGCTTAAGGAGATTTGGGGCTGAGACAATGGGGTTTTCCAAATATACAATCATGTCATCTGCAAACAGAGACAATTTGACTTCCTCTCTTATGATTAGAATACCCTTTATTTCTTTCTATTGCCTAATTTCCCTGGCCAGAACTTCCAACACTACGTTGAATAGGAGTGGTGAGAGAGGGCATCCTTGTCTTGTGCTGGTTTTCAAAGGGAATGCTTCCAGCTTTTGCCCATTCAGTGTGATATTGGCTGTGGGTTTGTCATAAATAGCTCTTATTATTTTGAGATACATTCCATTGATATCTAGTTTATTGAGAGTTTTTAGCATGAAGTGGTGTTGAATTTTATCAAAGGCCTTTTCTGCATCTATTGAGATAATCATGTAGTTTTTGTCATTGGTTCTGTTTATGTGATGGATTACGTTTATTGATTTGCATATGTTGAAACAGCCTTGCATCCCAGGGATGAAGCCGACCTGATCATGGTGGATAAGCTTTCTGATGTGCTGCTGGGTTTGGTTTGCCAGTATTCTATTGATGATTTTCGTATCGATGTTCATCAGGGTTATTGGCCTGAAATTTTCTTTTTTTGTTGTATCTTTGACAGGTTTTGGTATCAGGATGATGCTGGCCTCATAAAATGAGTTAGAGAGGAGTCTCTCTTTTTCTATTGTTTGGAATAGTTTCAGAAGGAATCCTAGCAGCTCCTCTTTGTACCTCGGGTAGAATTCTGCTGTGAATGTCTGGTCCTGGGCCTTTTTTGGTTGGTAGGCTATTAATTACTGTCTTAATTTCAGAACTTGTTATTGGTCTATTCAGGGATTTGACTTCTTCCCGGTTTAGTCTTTGGAGGGTGTATGTGTCTAGAAATTCATCCATTTCTTCTAGATTTCCTAGTTTATTTGCATAGAGGTGTTTATAGTATTCTCTGATGGTAATGTGTATTTTTGTGGGATCAGTGATGATATCCCCTTTATCATTTTTTATTGTGTCTATTTGATTCTTCTCTCTTTTCTTCTTTATTAGTCTAGCTAGCAGTCTATCTATTTTGCTAATCTTTTCAAAAAACCAGCTCCTGGATTCATTGTTTTTTTTTGAAGGGTTTTTTGTGTCTCTATCTCATTCATTTCTGCTCTGATCTTAGTTATTTCTTGTCTTCTGCTAGCTTTTGAATTTGTTTGCTCTTGTTTCTCTAGTTCTTTTAATTGTGATGTTACGGTGTCAATTTTAGATCTTTCCCACTTTCTCCTGTGGACATTTAGTGCTATAAATTTCCCTCTAAACACTGCTTTAGCTGTGACCCAGAGATTCTGGTAAATTGCATCTTTATTCTCATTGGTTTCAAATAACTTGTTTATTTCTGCCTTAATTTCGTTATTTACCCAGGAGCGGTTTGTTCAGTTTCCATGTCGTTGTGCAGTTTTGAGTGAGTTACTTAATCCTGAGTTCTGATTTGATTGCACTGTGGTCTGAGAGACTGTTTGTTATGATTTCTGTTCTTTTGCATTTGCTGAGGAATCTTTTATTTCCAATTATGTGGTCAATTTTAGAATAAGTGCAATGTGGCGTTGAGAAGAATGCACATTCTATTAATTTGGGGTGGAGAGTTCTCTAGATGTCTATTAGGTCCACTTGGTCCAGAGCTGAGTTCAAATCCTGAATATCCTTTTTAATTTTCTGTCTTGTTGATCTGTCTAATATTGACAGTGGAGTGTTAAAGTGTCCCATTATTATTGTGTGGGCGTCCAAGTCTCTTTGTATTTCCCTAAGAACTTGCTTTATGAATCTGAGTGCTCCTGTAATGGGTGCATATATATTTAGGATAGTTAGCTCTTCTTGTTGCATTGATCCCTTTACCATTATGCAATGCCCTTCTTTGTCTTTTTTATCTTTGTTGGTTTAAAGTCTGTTTTATCAGAGACTACAAGTGCAACCCCTGCTTTATTTTGCTTAGCACGTATTCCTCTATCTCTTTATTTTGAGCCTATGTGTGTCTTTGCACGTGAGATGGATCTCCTGAATACAACACACCGATAGGTCTTGACTCTTTATCTAATTTGCCAGTCTGTGTCTTTTAATTGGGGCATTTAGCCCATTTACATTTAAGGTTAATATCGTTATGTGTGAATTTGATCCCGTCATTATGATGCTAGCTGGTTATTTTGATGCAGTTAGTTGATGCAGTTTCTTCAGAGTGTCGATGGTCTTTACAATTTGGTATGTGTTTGCAGTGACTGGTACTGTTTTTTCCTTTCCATATTTAGTGTTTCCTTCAGGAGCTCTTGTAAAGCAGGCCTGGTGGTGACAAAATCTCTCAGCATTTGCTTCTCTGTAAAGGATTTTATTTCTCCTTTGGTTATGAAGCTTAGTTTGGCTGGATATGAAATTCTGAGTTGAAAATTCTTTTCTTAAGAATGTTGAATATTGGCCCCTACTCTCCTCTGGCTTGTAGGGGTTCCTGCACAGAGAGCCGCTGTTAGTCTGATGGGCTTCCCTTTGTGGGTAACCTGACCTTTCTCTCTGGCTGCCCTTAACATTTTTTCCTCATTTCAACCTTGGTGAATCTGACGATTATATGTCTTGGGGTTGCTCTTCTCGAGGGGTATCTTTGTGTTGTTCTCTTTAATTTCTGAATTTGTATGTTGGCCTGTCTTGCTAGGTTGGGGAAGTTCTCCTGGATAATATCTTGAAGAGTGTTTTCCAACATGGTTCCATTCTCCCCATCACTTTCAGGTAAACCAATGGAACGTAGGTTTGGTCTTTTCACATACACCCATATTTCTTGGGGGCTTTGTTCCTTTTCACTCTTTTTTCTCTAATCTTGTCTTTTCACTTTATTTCATTATGTTGATCTTCAATCTCTGATATCCTTTCTTCTACTTGATCAATTCAGCATTGATACTTGTGTATGTTTCACGAAGTTCTTGTGCTGTGTTTTTTAGCTACATCAGGTCATTTATGTTCTTCTCTAAACTGGTTATTCTAGTTAGTAATTCCTCTAACCTTTTTTCAAGGTTCTTAGCTTCCTTGCATTGGGTTAGAACACGCTCATTTAGCTCGGAGGAGTTTGTTATTACCCACCTTCTGATTGCATTATTGAATGAAATATATCCTTGTTCTTGTGAATTTTATCAATGGAAAAGTATTCCATTGTAGCACAAATAATCTCAAAATTGTAATAGAAATATTCATGTGGATTCACATGGATTAACTTGTATAAAATATAAATAACTCAGTTTGAATATTGGCCATCTCTGCATTTTCGTGTTGTATGTTTTATGGTTTTTAAATTTTCCTTTTTTTTTTTCTATTTTTGGATCAGGGTTTCATTCTGTTGCCCAGCCTGCAATACAGTGGCACCATCATGGCTCACTGCAGCCTTACATCCCTGAGACTACAAGTCTCCTGAGTAGCTGGGACTACAAGCGCATGTCACCACGTTTGTATTTTTTGTAGAGACAGAGTTTCACCATGTTGTCCAGGCTACTCTCGAACTCCTGTGCTCAAGTGATCCACCCGCCTCAGCCTCCCAAAGTGCTAGGATTACAGGAGTAAGCCACTGCACCTGGCCAGTTTTTAAATTTCCAATGGCAATAAAAGTAGATCTAAATAGCAGAATCTTTTTGTACACTTCAGATAGTAAAGAAGAAAATATTGGGCAAAATCCATCAAAAAGCCATGAGAACTACAAAGCCATTATGTTTTCTTTTGAAATATATCTTACACACAGAAGTGTACAAAAGAATATATAATAACATGGAGAATAAGACTACGGTTGACCCTTGACAAAGTGGGGGTTAGGGACACAAACCTCTACACAGCCAAATGTCTGCATATAACTTTTGACTTCCAAAAACTTAACTACTAATAGCCTACTGTTGACCAGAACAGTAATTGACTGTAACATAATCAATTAACACTTATTTTGTATGTTATATATTAGTATTGTATTCCTATAATAAAGTAAGCTAGAGAAAGAAAAGTTAAGAAAATCATTTATATTTTTATATAGTTTATATATAATATGATTTTTATAAATTAATATTAATTTAAATTATAATTTATATTATATGTTATAATTACAAATTAAAATTTTATATTTTTTTAAATAAAGAAGAAAAAATATGTATACTATTCATTAGGTGGAAGTGGATCATCATAAACGTCTTCATCCTCATCATCTTCACATTTATTAGGTGGAAGAAGAGGAGGTAAAGGAGAAATTGGTTTTGCTGTCTCGGGTGGCAGAGGCAGAAGAGGTAGAAGAGGTGGAAAGAGAGGCAGGAGAAGCAGGCACACTTGATGTAACTTTTATTGAAAAATATTTGGGCCTGGTGTGGTGGCTCACACGTGTAATTACAACAATTTGGGAGGCCGAAGTAGGCAGATCACTTGAGGATGGAGTCTGAGACCAACCCAGGCAACATGCCAAAAGCCCGTCTGTACTGAAAATACAGAAGTAGCTTGGCATGGTAATGCACACATGTAGTCCCAGCTACACGGCAGGCTGAGGTGGGAGGATCACTTGAACCCAGGAGGCAGAGATTGTAGTGACCCAAGATCGTGTCACTGGACTCCAGCCTTGGTGATAGAGAAAAACTCTGTCTCAAAAAAAATTAAAAATTAAAAAAAAAGAAAAAAGAAAAGGAAAAAATTGGGGTATAAGTGGACCCATGCAGTTTAACCCTGTGTTGTTCAAGTGTTAGCTGCAAAGCAAGCACCTCTGTAGCCACCATCAAAACATCTATATTATAGGAATTACCTATAAAAAGTAAATAGGAAATTATACATGAGAGCGCTTTGTCATAATCAGTTATTCACAGCTAAGACATTTTTCAAAACAACTTTCCTCATTTTTTATTAATGGATAATACTATAAACATTTTGCATGGCTAAAATCTATATGTAAAGTACCTAAAACAATAGAAGCCATATTGGTAAGCCCTTAATAAATGTAATATATTACTATCATTTAATACATTAATGGTATTTTGATAACAATTACACTTTTCAAAGATATTTAACTCTGATTCTATATTCTATGTAAAAAAAAAAGATAGTACAAGTTCACAATTCCAATATTCAAGGGAAGTGAGGTAGAAATAAAAGAAATATAATTCCAGAAAATAACGTTATTAGGATTAAAAGTTACTCTAGACAACTATCTTACACATACTCCAAATATTTCATTTCTCAGTTGGGTGAAATAGACAAAAATGTTATTGTGGGATGTTCTTAGAACCTCAAGGCATTCCTTGTTCTCCTGACAGGATAAAATCAGGCTAATCAGAACCCCATAGACAGCTTTTGAAGAGAAAATAGGATTCAAAAGAAGTAAATATAGTAATGTTTTTATATGAATCCCAGATGTGATTAGCACAAGCTTTCTTTACTTTTTCCTTTAAGCCACAGCCCCACTGGCAGTGACTTTAGGTAAGGGAGTCTGTACCAGATTACACAATTTAAGAACTAAATGTATGAGCAGGGAGAATTCTGGCCTGGCCTCTAAGATTTGTTCAACCAGATTGGTTTGGGGAGAGCGATAGTTACTGACATGGTAGTTACGAACATGGCAGACAGTCAGGGAGGCAGTATGGATGCTAGTAAAGAAAATCAGGTTTGGAATCTTGTAAAAATTAACAAACTACATTATAATCCTACTACTTTTCATGTGAGCCATTGTGAATAATATTTATTCACTTCTAAAATGGGGTCGTTAGTAGGCCTGAGTACCTTACTGGTACACAGCAAAGAACAATGGTATAAAAGATAGCTTTGTAAAATAGAAAGGGCCTGACACATTAGGGGACAAAGAAGGATTATGTGATAGCTAAAACCACCTGGACAAAGATGCTGCCTGGCAGCAAAATGGCTTTGCAGAACACCTAGTTTAGGAGGGTTTTATAAATACAAAACTATGTGTAAAATATAGAAGATAGTTTCAGGGAAAGAAAGATAAATAGAACTGGTTATTTTACTCTAAGTTCTGGGGCAAAAATCAATGTCCTTTTCAAAGTGACCTATTCCAAATGTCTCCTGATCTGATTATCCAGTGAAATGCTGATATTGATGTGCCTTGGTAATTTACTTAGTGCTCAAAATAAAAATGCCCATTGTTCTCATCGATGATGAAAATAAGGCCTTTAGTACAAAACAAAGAGCCACGAGCCCTTTACTGTTAAGATGAGTTTACCTCTTGATTGTGAACTGATTGTCTTTCAGTGGTATTGAAATGGAGTTGAACAGACTTTCATTTATTTTAGAAATGTATGCAAAGTAATTGTGGGGAATCAGTAGACTGGTTAAATGAGGCCAGAAAGAAAGTTTCTAATTGAAAAGAATACAAAATTATATTCATGTGTAAAGATAAATATTAATATGTAGATGATATAGGATACTCTAATACTATAATTGTGATGCATAAACCATGTTTAATTCTGGTATAGAAGTCCAACACAAAAGTTAAAAAATAACTATAACTATAAGCATATGTTAATGGTACACAATACAAAAAGGTGCAATTTGTGATGGCAAACACATAAAGTGTGGGGGGAGGACAGAAGTAAAAGTGTAGAGATTTTATATGTAATTAAAGTTACATTATCAGCTTAAAATACATTGTTATAACTGTAAGGTGCTTTATGTAAGCCCCATGGTAACTACAAAGAAAATACCTCTAGAAGATGTAAAAAAGAAAATGAGAAAGGAATCATAGCATGCCACTACAAAAGAAAATAGGCTGGATGCAGTGGTTCACACTTGTTATCCTGCCATTTTGGAAGGTTGAGGTGGGAGGATCGCCTGAGCCCAGGAGTTTGAGACCTGCCTGGACAACGTGGTAAGCGCTGGTCTCTACAAAAAATAAAATAATGATCAATTAAGCACAAAGGAAGACAGCAAGAAAATAAAAGAGGGTCAAAAGAACTACAGGCTGACAGGAAAAAATTAACAAAATGGCAATAATAAGTCCTTCCCTATCAATAACTACTGTATTTTTGTTTGTTTTGGGGGTTTTCTTGAGGGGGTTGTTTGTTTTTTGAGGCAGTCTCGCTCTGTCACCCAGGCTGGAAATACAGTGGTGTGATGTTGGTTCACTGCAACCTCCACCTCCCAGGCTCAAGCTATCCTCCCACCTCAGCCTCTTGAGTAGCCGGGACCACAGGCATGTACCACCATTTTTTTTTTTTTTTTGGTATTTTTAGTACAGTCAGGGATATAAATCATTCTGTTACAAAGATACACGCACATGTATGTTCACTGCAGCATTATTCATAATAGCAAAGACATGGAATCAACCCAAATGCCTATCAATGATAGACTGGATAAAGAAAATGTGGTACATATACACCATAGAATG
This sequence comes from Homo sapiens, assembly GCF_000001405.40. Classification (NCBI taxonomy): domain Eukaryota; kingdom Metazoa; phylum Chordata; class Mammalia; order Primates; family Hominidae; genus Homo; species Homo sapiens. Next base: position 12,874,051 of record NC_000009.12, read on the forward strand.
CTATGCAGCCGTAAAAATGAATGAGATCGTGTCCTTTGCATGGACATAGATAGAGGTGGAAGCCATTATCCTCAGCAAACTAATGCAGGAACAGAAAACCAAGCACCGCATGTTCTCACTTATAAGTGGGAGCTGATTAATGAGAACATGTGGACACAGGGAGGGGAAGAACACATACTGGGGCCTTGTGGTGGGGGATGCAGGGGGAGAGAGAGCATCAGGAAAAATAACTAATGTATGCTGGGCTTAATACCTAGGTGATGGGTTGATAGGTGCAGCAAACCACTGTGACAAACATTTACCTATGTAACAAACCTGCACATTCTGCACATGTATCCCAGAACTTACAATAAAATATTTAAAAAATTGTTTTAAAAAATAAAAAAAAAAGAAAAGAAAAAAACTCTGAATAACCAAAACAATCTTGAGAAAGAAGAATACAGCTGGAGGGCCTCATACTTTCTAATTTCAAAACACTTTCCAAAACTACAGTAATTAATACATGATGGTACTGGCATAAAGACAGATGTACACACCAATGGAACACAACAGCGAGTCCAGAAACAAGCCCACACATGAAAGGACAACTGATCTTCTAAAAGGGTGCATAGAATGCACAATGGGGAATGTATAGTCTCCTCAACAAATGGCGTCCAGGAAATTAGACATCCAAATGCAAAAGGCAAAATTATCCCAGCTGTCTTCTTGGAAAACATAACCAAAAAAAAAAAAAAGAAAGGAACGTTCTAACATGCAACAAAATGCCAATAATAAGTCCTTCCCTATCAATAACAACTGTAGCTTTGTTTGTTTGGGGGATTTTTTTGGAGGGGGTTGTTTTGTTTTTTGAGGCAGGGTCTCACTCTGTCACCCAGGCCGGAATACAGTGGTGTGATGTTGGTTCACTCTAACCTCTGTGAGGATTGTGCACTAGAATCTACCTGCAAACAAATAATATTAGAACTTTATATTTTACCACACAGAAAAATAAACTCAAAATGGACTAAATATTTAAACATAAGACCTGAAACTATGAAACTCATAGAAGAAAACAGAGAGGAACCTTCATTACATTGGTCTTGGCAATGCTTTCATGGGTACAAAACCAAAAGCACTGACAACAAAAGCAAAAATAGGATAGTGGGACTACAACAAACTAAAAGCCTTTGCACAGGAAAGGAAACAATCAACAGTTGAAAAGGCAACTTACAGAACAGGAGAATATTTGCAAACTATATATCTGATAAGGACTTAAGATCCAAAATATATAAATAACTGCTTATAATTCAATAGCAAAGAGGTGAATCATCTGATTTAAAATGGATGAAGGAACTGAAAAGATATTTCTACAAAGAGAGCACATAAATGGCCAACAGCTATGTGAAAAAATGCCTAATATCTTAATCATCAGGGAAATGCAAATCAAAACCACAATAAGACATCACCTCACACTTTTTAGGATGGCCATTACAAAAAGAAAAAGGAAAAGAACAAATTTTTGCTGCCTTGGAAAAATTGAAACCCTTGGATGCTGTTGGTGGAAATGTGCAACAGTGCAGCTGTTGTGGAAAACAATAGAAAGCTTCCTCAAAAAATTAAATGTAACTACCATATGATCTAGAAATCCCACTTCTGGATATTTATCCAAAATAATTAAAAATAGTATCTTAAAGAGATATTTGACACTCATATTCATTGCAGCATTATTCACAATGGCCAAAATGTGGAAGCAACCCAACTGTTCACTGATGCATGAATGGATTAAACAAAATGTGATGTATATATGTACCATGGAATATTATTAAGCCTTTAAAAGGAAAATTCTGTTCTATGCTGCATCATGAATGAACCTGGAAGACATTATGCTAAGTGAAATAAGCCAGTCATGAAAGAACTAATACTGAATTATTCTACTTATATGAGGTACCCAAAACAGTCAAATTCATCATATCAGAGAGTGGAATGGTGATTGCCGAGGGCTGAAGCAAGTGGGAAATGAGGAGTTGCTTTTCAGTGGGCATTAAAATTTCAATCATGCAAGATGAAGTTCTAGAGATCCCCTGTACCACACTGTACCTGTAGTTAACAACACTGTACTGTGCACTTAACACTTGTTAAAAGGGTAAATTTCATGTTATTTTTTTTACCATAATAGTTTTTAAAAAAGATTAATGGTGCTCTCTTTTCCACTGTTAGTTTCTAAGACAGTATCTCTTTCTTTCCAGTGTCTCATTACGGTTTTGCCTTACTTTACTTTATAATTGTTGATTGAGTACTCTGAGTATATTGTATCTCTATCTCCTATGTTACCTAGTATAGTGCTTTGAGCACAGAAGACACTCAATGAATACTTGTTGAATAAATTCATTTATGCATTAGTAAAGAACAACTCTATTAAGACTTTCCAAATGTTACAGATTACCTAATTTGTGGTATTTGCTTAAAAGACTGATTTGTGCAACTATGGAAAGCTGTTCACTAGGAATTCAAGGAAGATAGCATGATTACTGATAAAAAATAGTTGGGAAAAACTTAATGAAAGTTGTTGGTCTTCATTCATACATACGTCAGACATGTTGAGGAACTACTTGGCACCATGAAAATGAAGACAGGCTCACAGTCTAATGAGTAGCCAGACATATAAAATGAAGTAAGTGCAAAAAGAAGTCAATATAAATATTCATAGTTACAGCAAGATTAGAGGAACTAAAACTATCAATACCTTAGGAGGTTGCCTAAAGCTTTATATCTAAAATGAATTTTTAATAAACTATATATACTCATGGGGTTAGAGAAGGGCCTTCTGGACAGAAGGAACAATGTGTACAAAGATGAGAAAACATGAAAAACCCTGGCTAATTAGGGAATTTGTAAAAACTTCAAAAGATGTGGAGTATAGAATATAAGCAGGAAAGTATCAGAGAACATGCGGTATTCAGATTCTGAAGGAGTTTAAGGTCCAATTAAGCAATTTAGGGGAAACAGATGCACAAAGACTCATGTCAGAGCTACTCCCATTTCCTTTCTAATCCCGACTAAATCCAAGACTAACAATAACCACCACTACCACAGCAACAAATCCTGCTAATAGTATATACAGCTATGTGCTGCATAATGACAGACAACATATGGGATGGTAGTACCAAAAGATTATAGTAGAGCTAAAAATTACTATCTTCTAGTGAAGTCACAGCCATCATAGTGTCATAGAGCAAGACATTACTTAGATGTTTGTGCTGATAATGCCAGTGTAAACAAACCTACTGTACTGCTAATTGTATAAAAGTATAGCACATATAATCATGTACGGTACATAATACTTGATAATGACAATAAGTGACTATATTACTGGTTTATGTATTTGCTATACTTTTTATTGTTATTTTGGAGTGTACTCCTTCTGCTTATTTTTTTAAGTCAAAAACAGCCTCAGGCAGGTCCTTCAGGAGGTATTCTAGAGGAAGATACTGTTATCATAGTAGATGACAGCCCCATGCATGTTATTGCCCCTGAAAACCTTCCAGTGGGACAAGATGTGGAGGTAGAAGACAGTGATACTGATGATCCCGACCCTGTGTGCTTAGGCTAATGTGTGTGTTTGTGTCTTAGTTTTCAATTAAAAAGCCTAAAAACTAAAAAGAAATAAAAACGTAAAAAATAGAAAAATCTTGTAGAATAAGGATATAATGAAAGAAAATATTTTTGTACAACTGTAGAATGTGTTGTGTTTTAAGCTAAGTATTATTATAAAAGAGTCAAAAACTTTTTGTCTTTTGTACCTTATTTTTACTGTAACTTTTCTATGCTTAGATACACAAATACTTCCCATTGTGTTACAACTGGCTCTGGCTACAATATTCAATACAGTAACATGCTGTACAGATTTGTAGCCTAGGAGCAATAGGTTGTATCACACAGGTTTATGGAAACACACTTTATGACGTTCACACAATGGTGAAATCGGCCCTTTTCTCAGAATGTATCCCTGTTGTTAAGAGATGCATGACTGTACATTGTGTAGATCAATGTATGTGAAAATTATACTCATTTGTTAAGTTCCAGAATATGTGTTTGATTTCCCCAAGCAGAAATAATCTCTCCTCTTTTTGTGTTTCCTCACAGTTTTTTACATTTGACTTTTTACTCTACATATGGATGAATTGTACTATATCATCTACTACTTTTTTTAGCCCTTTGCTTATCTCTGTATCTACAGTGAAGGCTGGGTTAATTGAATGACACAGACTAGAATTGAAGTAAAGCATTTTTTTCTAGTAAATTCTACAATCTTTGGTCCTTATTGTATAAATGTGGTCATAGAAAAGATACCTTTCTCACTATGGTTAACCTACATTAAAAAAAACTAAGAAGGAGCACCGTGTTTAGTTACTGACACCTAATCCTTTGTTTTTCTTAGACTTAGGTCAGCAGAAATATGAAGCCTGGTAAGACTGCCTGTATTTCCAGGTTTTGTAACCCTGGTTTATTCATCAAACTATTGTGAACTTTGGCCCAATCATGTTCTTTTGCAGCCTGTATATTTGTTTATCATTCACTTGCATAGAAAAGATACCACCTATTGTAAAGAATCTGTTTGTAGAAATTGTAGAACATGAAAGGAGGCTGGTTAGTCAATACGCGTATTTTGTGTTTCCCTATATAATGACCAATTGATTTGTTTCAGGGTAATCTCAGCTCTAACTGCTAATCCAGAAAGGAAGTGCCTAATCTTTACAGAACTACTGGAGTAAAAGGGTATGTTTTTCTTTGCTTATCACAGGTTTAATTATAGGATAAAACAGCAAAGTGTGTACCAAAGCAACCAAAGGACTTAGTGTGAAAAAAAAAATTCTAAGAGTTTAAATGCTAAGAGTTCAAATGCAATACTACGTAAAATAAATCACAAGTCAGGCTTCAGACAGAATGCGGACATCAGGAAAAATGGGTAAAATATTTACCTTTGTATACTAGAATCTCTATTTCCCTATTTGTAATTACTGCACCCTGCACTCCCTATTAGAGATACTTATGTTAATTTACCCTGCCCTAGTTAAAAGCCATTTGAAGATTCTTTGAGTGCTACATTCAAAAGGAAATACATTCTATTATTGAAAATCTATATAGCTAAGGATATTCCATTTCATAGTTAGATATTTGTGGTAAGCCCTTGATCATCATACATATCATTTTTGGGCCATTATTTGATTAGGTATACAAAAATAATAATTTAGTTCCTAGAGGAATTAATATGACTTTTTAAAGTATTCATAACTAAAAATAGGTCTTAAACTCTGGAAAAATTTGATCAACAAATAAAGCCAGTGTCATCATTCTTGATTTCTTGATGCACTTGAGAGGGCATCAAGTTGAATTTGAAGACCACTTACCTGTGTGATTCAGAGAAGCGGCAGTACCATGGGAGAGGGGGATGTTTCAATAAAGGGTTCTAGATTACACAACTGCAAAGTGTTTAAAAGGATAGTCTTTCTTAAATCTCTGAAGCTTGCCTATTTATCTGTGATAAATTATATGAATTTATCTAAGTGGATATCTTTTGAAAAATAATATGCTTCTATCACCCTTTTGCTGCCAGGAAACTCAATGTAATTTATCCTTTAATAGTGTACACTGTACATCAGACTAAAGGTAAAGTTAACTCTCCTCTGTTTCAGTGTTTTCATATATATATATAGATATATATATATTTCTGATTTCTTTTTTAAAATTCATTATTTTATATATATAGTAATTACAGTATAAGGTGATTTAAAGACATAAACTGCATGTATTACAAAGCAAAAGAATAAAAAATACTGAATTATAATTCATTGCCTTAAAATATTCTTGTTTAATCACTTGGATAAAGATGTAACTGTGTAATTTATTACATAAATATTTTGAGAGATTTGAGATTCCTTGCCCTTTCATTTTACCTTTTTTATGTTTATATGAGAAATAGCTTAGTTATAAAATTTTTTTTCACAGAGGACTTAATTCTCTTCTAATGATTTTTCTGTTGCACAAGTTTTAGAAACAAATGATAAGAGCAGGGATGTAAATGAGGCTAGGAGTTGAAACTAAGTGAGTGCAAAGAATCAATGACTCTCAGTTTTGTAGCTTAAAAGGCTAATGGAAATTGATGCCACCCAACTAAGATACAGACTACAGAAGTGGTAATAAGTTTGAAGAGAAATATAATGAGCTCTCATTTCTACCACACATCTGTGAATATTAAAAAGGAACTTTGGCACTTTTATTCTTTTTTGTAATGTTGCCATTACTTATTTCCTTTCCTATTAATAGATCAACAATAGATCATTGTTGATACCATGTACTTAAAGCAAATTAAAAAAAAAAAAAAAACAGAAAATCTGTGTCTGTGTTAATTCACTGAACCCTACCATAAATGTACCTCCTCCGAACTCTAGATGGAAGACACATTTCAAGGGTGAGGTTTCCAATGCTAATCTAGAAAAACAGACCTCAGTTTAGGGGAAGCACATGACACCTTACAATTTAGATCATCCCCTCTGGTTGAAATGTAAAATATAATGTAACATGTCTCATAGCCAGAGGGTAAACAGGCTTGGATTACCAGTGCATTATTTGGCTGCCCTCATCAGAAACATAAACTGTCTCCACAAGTTTAAGATAAAACAGGAGAGGCCTGATCATTTGACTTAAACAAAACTATCGTTAAGTATAACTGCTATCTTCCTTCCTTATATGGCTCACAACTCCTTGTCAAGCCCAGCTGGAGACTGTATCTAAAAGGATTACATTTGAGTTTTCTGAGGCTGCCCTTGTCTCTTACACACACTCACTAATCTGACCATCTTGTTTTTATTAAAGCTATGTGATAAAAAAAATCACATAAAATCTGTAAACGCCAACTAGACATGGAGAAATTCTGCCAGGAGCAGTACCACCCTGAGACAAGTCCTGAAAGGTAATAACACTGTGGTATTTGGCTGCCTGTTAATAATATTTCATGGAAGTTTCCACAACCAAGAAGAAATAGATAAATCCAAAGGATTTTTGCAGCCTTTTATTTACCTTTTTCCCCCCATGTGAAAATACAAAGGAAAAGGCACATAATACAGTCCTTTAAAAAACCCTTGGAGATTATTTCTACCAAGATAGCCAAACACATGTGAATATTAAAAATTAACTTTGAACTTTTATTGTTTATTGTAATATTGCCATTACTTATTTTCTTCCCCATTAATATGTTATAGCCCACCCATTCTGTGAACCAACCCAGAAAAAAAAAATCTACTCTAGGCAAACCACGTGCGCTTATCTAACAATACAAGCAAGGATAAAAGATTCAGACAAAACTCCCACTAAAACATGAAACTGTTAAAAATCATAAAACTTGTGAAAGTTTTGTGTGTATGTGTGTGTGTGTTTATGTGTATCAACAAAATACATCTGCTTTAAAAATTTCTCCTGGATTCACAGTAAACATTCATAATTCCAAAAAAAGAAGCATTCCCATTTGCATTGCTTAATGAAGACAAAAATATATTTTTTATTTCAGAAACCTGTATGTAGATCAACTATACACTAACAAAGTTATTCGTTAAGATTAAAGGAAAATAGGTTATTTAGTTTTTGTTATAATGATAATTGCTTCAAATGTTTCTTATCTAATTAGTTAATTAATTATTGAGTATCTGTTATATTTCAGGCCTGTATTGAAGAAAATTATTATAAGTGTAAAAATATATTTATAAACATATATAATGAATATAAGTGTAAATGTATATTACTATAAATATTAAAATGTAAAAAAATGAAACAGAAGGGTTAAAAACAAACATTCCAAAAATAATGTCCTGCTTCACCTACAACTTTTGATATTTAAGATTCACAGGCCATAGCCAGGCGTGGTGGCGGGCGCCTGTAGTCCCAGCTACTCGGAAGGCTGAGGCAGGAGAATGGCGTGAACCCAGGAGGCGGAGCTTTCAGTGAGCTGAGATGGCACCACTGCACTCCAGCCTGGGCGACAGAGCAAGACTCCGTCTCTTAAAATAAAATTAAAAAAAAGATTCACAGGCCAAATATGATTTTCAGAGGAAAGTTTCTCTGTGCAGTGAAGCTGAGAAGGGAAGTTGAAGAATTCTGTTAAAAGTGACTCAGATAATTAGAATGCACCTCATCTGTGGTCTTTCCAAATTTTTTATTTGAAAAAATCTCAAAACAAAAACAAGGCAAATACTATTGATTTGGCCTCTTTCTCTACATATAGACTGGGTCTGGTGCCACTCTGACACACAAAAAAATCAATTTTAATTACTTCTATGAACTGGATTCCTCACTGGAGCACAACAGTGTTTACAACGAGTTGAACAGCTCCATCTCTCCCAATCTCCACTCTGGTTCTTTAATTTGGAGTTTTGCACAGCCTCTTATGGTATCACCAGCTGCAGTCAAGAAGGGGCTATTTGGAGGTCAACATGGAAAAGAGACCGCAGCTTGAGTGGGAATTTGTGGAGTTTTACACAATGTCAACCCACCCTTTCCCTGTGGAATAGGAATTGTTGGCAAAGTAAACATTCTTTCATAGTCAGAATAATCTCAGCTTTCTTCTTGGAAAGTATACAAAAAAGAAAAGGAACATTCTAGCATGCAACCATGAGGAATGTGTATTAGGATCCCGTTCAGAGGAATCAAAGCCTGTATCTTGAATCAGTACTACTGAATGCCTTCCTACATCTGTATAAACTAGTACTTAGAAAACCCTATTCTTCATTTTTGTCTAGCAATATTTGAAAGCCTATGACATTCTCTGCAGTATATTAAATAGCCAGTGAAAAGCAAGGATGAATGGAATGTTCCAAAGTTATCCAGCAAATTCATCCTAAGAAAATAAACAGTTTAAATAATTCAAGTAAAGAAACATTCCATTGCCACTCTTTTTTCTCATTAACAAGTTTATTTTGACTGCATTATTCTAACACCTATTGTATCAGGGTCAGAATATATGAAAATATACTGTACTGATTTATATTTTTACTATAAATAATAAAATGTAATATAAAGTTTGTTTTCCTGTGTTGGGAAACTCATTTTGGGAGTTATTTTAATGAATGATGTACTCTTACATCCTCTTAATTTAGAAACCAAACAAGTTCAATCACCTCAGAAGTTGTGTCAATATGTTTGTTTTAAAATTAAAAAAACAAAAACTTTGTTAAGCTACGCTTGTTTTAAAAATTAAAAAAAAAAAAAGTTGTGCCAAGTAAGGTGAGAAATAGTGCTGAGGAATTCTGAGGATTCACAAATCCTTAAATGGTTTGAACACTTGCCTATTACAATTACTTTTATCTCTCTAAACTGCTACCTATCATTCAAGCAAGTCTAGAAAGAATTTAGATAAAACTTTCCTGGGATGATCATTTCTTATTTGTATGCTGTAAGTTGCAGGATACGACAAGATTTTGGCACTGAGATATATGTGTCACAGCTGAGTTTTGTATTCCATAATGATAATTTTCACTGCATGCAAATGAAGCTAAATTTTGCATTTTGCATTAGTTGCACAGAAAGCTCATCCCTTTAAAAATATAGGAGTTGTTGGCTTGTAGTTTTCTTCAGGAATGGGAATAATGTGATGAAAACAAGGATCAGATACCCTAAGCTCATCACTGAAAGGTATCTGGTTTGCTCTGCAGTGCATCACCCATAGGTCAAGAGAAAAGAGATTTTCCTCATCCATGTCTACCTTTCCCTTTCTTCTCTGACAATATCTTTTTCACCATCTCACCTAATGCAACACAGCACTGACAGATATTCCAGGACACCCAGCCTGCACAGGGAAAGTATTAAGATATATAATTAAGAAATATTACAAAATATGTATTATACTACTAATTTCCTCATCTTTTCCCTTCTCATACCCATAGTTCACCCAGCCGAAGTCCTTCTAAATGCAATTCAATACTCTGCGGTTTAAAACTTTCCTATGGCTGTAAACTAGTTCAACCATTGTGGAAGTCAGTGTGGCAATTCCTCAGGGATCTAGAACTGGAAATACCATTTGACCCAGCCATCCCATTACTGGGTGTATACCCAAAGGACTATAAATCATGCTGCTATAAAGACACATGCACACGTATGTTTATTGCGGCATTATTCACAATAGCAAAGACTTGGAACCAACCCAAATGTCCAACAATGATAGACTGGATTAAGAAAATGTGGCACATATACACCATGGAATACTATGCAGCCATAAAAATTGATGAGTTCATGTCCTTTGTAGGGACATGGATGAAATTGGAAATCATCATTCTCAGTAAACTATCGCAAGAACAAAAAACCAAACACCACATATTCTCACTCATAGGTGGGAACTGAACAATGAGATCACATGGACACAGGAAGGGGAATATCACACTCTGGGGACTGTTGTGGGGTGGGGGGAGGGGGGAGGGATAGCATCGGGAGATATACCTAATGCTAGATGACGAGTTAGTGGGTGCAGCGCACCAGCATGGCACATGTATTCATATGTAACTAACCTGCACAATGTGCACATGTACCCTAAAACTTAAAGTATAATTAAAAAAAAAAACAAACTTTCCTATGGCAACACATTAACTATGAGACACATACAAATCCATTGCAGAGCAAACAAACCGAACCATTACCTGGTTGCTTCTTATATTCTCTATCTTTCACTTTGTAATCTAGAAATGCCAGATTACTATAGTTCTCTAATGCAACCATGATGAATTATGCACACTGTTGTCCAAAATAATTCCTCTGCTTGCAATCTTACAAACCTTGACTTTGTTGACTCATGCTTGAGACTTAGCTCATACTTATATCTTCCAGAAAGCGGCCTATAACCCCTGAATTCCTAAGTCTTCACCGTGGACCTTTCATGTTAATCCCATAGCACCCTCTGCTGTCTTCCATTATAGCATGTATCATAGTGCTTTTTTCCATCTTTCCTTCTTATTGAACTGGAATTGTGAACTCCTCAATGTCAAGGACAAATGTATTGACCAGTATTTTATTCATCTCTCTGCTGTACTCCTCTTTCCACCTTTTGGATGGGAACAGGTGGACAGAGAGAGACAGAGTAAAGCAGAGACAAAGATACCAGAAATATCGAGAGAGGAAACAGTGACTAAGGGAACTCTAGAGCAGAACTACTTGCTTAAAGTAAGTCCCATTACCTAAGATTGTGTGGGTGTGTCTCTGTTGCTTGCAATCTGAAAGAATAGAATGAACATAACACTCAATAAATGTTCATGGGCTTGTCTGATAGTAGTGGGTTATCACAGCATATTAACATTAGTGTCGCTGAAGTCAGTATACAACCCCATCACTGATAAATTTGATTGGTTTAAAAGAAATTAAAATAAACAAATAAATAAATGTTCATGGGATAGCTTTCTGGTAAGCAACAAATATCCTTTTTACTTCTATCACATGCTCTGTTTCTTCACTCTAATCATTTTTTTTTCCCATTGGGAATGTCTGTTCCAATTATCTATGCCCATTCAGACCGAACTCTTTAAGCTTGAGTAAAATCCCATTGTCTCGAGGAAGCCTTCTCCAATTACTCCAGGAAACATTATTTTTATCATGTCTGAAACCCTAGAATACTGACTCTTATTCTCATCATTCATAAATATTTTAGGACTTCCTTTCCTTCATGTTTATTTAATCTCAAAAAGTGCTGTCTGATTAAACATATTGATAATTGTGTTGTGGTTGATTCCCATATTTGGTATTGACGATAAATGAAAATAATGATTAATTGAATGTTTTTCTCTTTTTCTGGTTTTCCTTTCAGTTAAAATATTTGTAGACCTATAATTTTAAAAGTTCAGATGTTTAACCTTGAATGTATTTAGACTTTTGTTTAATCTTCCATGTGTTATTATGAAAAACTAGTATTTCTAGTTTCTGTTCAATTTGCCACAACTTCTCTAGGTGACCTTGGGCAAAATTATTTCCTCTTTGGATTTTAGTTTTCTCCCTGTAAAATGAAGCAATAGATGGTAGAGTAATCTTTCCAAATGTCAGTGTTCAATGTCTGTAAACCCATAATTTCTTGCTTTATTTGGTATTAAAGAGTAGTAGTAAATGATTAAATCATGTACCTGAAGGTCATTGAACACATGTGGCAAATATGAGTGTCAGTCTATAACTCAAATGCACAAGAAATATGTTCATTTTCTGTAATGGTGTATAATTGAATAATTCCTATTTTGTGCTTTATTCTCTCTGGATGGCAGTAACCTACTCCTAGTCAATTTGGGGATTCCTTCCTTATTTTTTCCAAGATGTCCCTGTGGTCAGGAGTTTACAGAATGCCCAAGCAACAAGAGTAGGGCAGGGATTAAGTACTCAGTGATAGTTGTCCACAGTGGTATTTGCTGAAGTACCAGTCTTAGTCCATGTTATGTTGTTATAAAGGAATACCTGCGGCTGGGTAATTTATAAAGAAACAAATCTTTATCTGGCCCATGATTCTGATAGTTGGGAAGTCCAAGATTGAACATCTGCCTCTGGTGAGGGCCTCAGGCTGCTTCCATGAATGAAAGAAGATGAAGGTGAACCAGCATGTGCAGAGATCACATGGCAGGAGAGAAGGAAAGAGAGAGGGGAAGATGCCAGGGTCTTTTCAACAACCAGCTCTCCCAAGAACTAACAAAACGAACATCCCAAGGAAGGGCTTTAATCTATTCATGAGGAATCACCTCCCTGACCCAAACACCTCTCATTAGGCCCCACCCACAACATTGGGGGTCAAATTTCAACATGATGATTTGGAGAAGACAAAGATCTAAACCACAGTAACACCCAATCCTGCTACACTGGTCCACATAGGTTTTCTAAGTCATTCATTCTTCAGTCCTGTCTGTAACGCACCTTAAAGGCCAGGACCTTTCTCCATATGTCAAAACAGAAACATTCTGCTGTTCCCATAAATGCTCTGGACGCCAAGAAACTCTACAAATCTATTTCAAGATCCATCTGTCTAAGCACACACATAATCATCTTTTTTTTTACTAGGTTTCTACCTCTTCACTGGAGCACTCTCCCTAGGGAAGAAGTAGCTCATTTCCTTTCCTCCAAATCTACCAACACCATTGTCTTTGCTCCTATAAGTATCATCACTCCTCCTATTAAATGTGTGAACTCTTCTTGCTCCTATCTAAAGCTATCCCCTAAGTTTGCAGTAGAACAGGAATATAATATTTGATTTCATACCAACTCTCTCTTGCATCATCTATGTTCCCCTCTTGAATTGATCGTTCCCATCAGCATAAAAATATGCTATAATATCTTCCATTTACACACACACACAATCTTCCCTGATCCCATTTAACCCATCAAGCAATGACCTTTTATTTCACACTTCTTTTTATGAGTATAACTAAAATGATTTATTGACATGACTATCTCCATTTTCCCCTCCTACTTTCTTTTTTAACTCCCCTTAATCAAAGCTTTTCCATCATGTTCATTCAAAACAGCTTATGTCATAGTCTCCAATAATTTTCATTCCAGCAGCAAATCCAGTGGCCAGCTTTCAATCATCTAATTAGACTTCTCATCAGCATTTGAGGGGTGAGGGAGTGAAGCAAGATGGCAGAATAGAAGCCTACAATATTCCCACTCACTGCAGGAAAACACAATTTTTTTTTTTTTTTTTTTTTTTTTTGAGACGGAGTCTTGCTCTGTCGCCCAGGCTGGAGTGCAGTGGTGCGGTCTTGGCTCACTGCAAGCTCCACCTCCCGGGTTCATGCCATTCTCCTCCCTCAGCCTCCCAATTAGCTGGGACTATAGGCACCCGCCACCATGCCCGGCTAATTTTTTTTTGTATTTTTTAGTAGAGACGGGGTTCACCTTGTTAGCCAGGATGGTCTCGATCTCCTGACCTTGTGATCTGCCTGCCTTGGCCTCCCAAAGTGCTGAGATTACAGACTTGAGCCACCGTGCCTGGCCAGGAACACCCAATTTTAACAACTAACATTGTACAGACTCTCACCATCACAAGAACCAAAAATCAGGTGAGCAATCACAGTACCTGGTCTTAACTTCATACTCCTGAAGCAGGCATTGATAGGGTTGGAGAGACAGTCTTGAATTACTAAAGTCACCCCTACACCATCCCCAGCAGAGGCTATGTACACAGAGAGTCTGTGCACTTGGGAAAGGGAGAGCATAATTACTGGGGGACTTTACATTGAACTCAGTGCGGCTATTACAGTAGAGAGCAAAGCCTTGCTGGGCTCATCCAATGTCCACACACAAAGGAAGCATTTGGACCAGACCTAGCCAGAGGGGAATTGCCCATCCCAGTGATCAGAACTTGAGTTTCTTGATAAGCCTCACCTCCACTGGCCAAAGTGCTCTGGGGTTCTAGGTAGTCTTGAAAGGAAGCCTAGGACACAAGGACTGCAATTCCTAGGCAACTCCTAGTGTTGGGTGGGGCTCAGAGGCAGAGAAGTAGGGTGTCATGTGACCTAGGAAGACAATACCTGGGGTAGCTAAGGAGGTGCTTGCTCCACGCCTCCCCCAAACCAAGGCAGTACAGCATGCAGCAACAAAAATGTCTCCTTCTTTCTGTGTAAGAAAAGAGGAGTAGAAATGAAAGATTTTGTCTTGCATCTTGATACCAGCTCAGCCATGGTAGAATAGGGTACCAGGCAGAGTCATGTGGCCCTGACTCCAGACCCTAGCTGATGGACCACATTTCTAGGCCACATTTCTGGGCCAAAGGGAAGCTGCTGCCCTGAAGAGAAGGACTCAGTCCCGGCAGGATTTATTACCTGATAACTAAAGAGCCCTTGGGCCCTAAGTAACCAGCAATGATACCCAAGTAGTACACGATGGACCTTGGGCTCTGAGACATGTTCACTATAGGTGTAACCCAGCACATTCCCAGGTACAATGGGTACAGTGAAACATTCCTTCTGTTTGAGAAAAGCAGAGGGAAAGGTACAGGGGACCTTGTCTTGCACCTTAGGTATCAACTCAGCCACGCTGGGGGTAGAGCAACAAGCAGTCACTTGGCATCCCCAAGTCCAGGCCTAGGCTCTTGGACAACATTTCTAGACCTACCCTTGGCCAGAGGAGAGCCCACTTCCCTGAAGAGTGAGTCCCGTATTTGGCAACATTCACCACAAGCTGACTGAAAAGCCCTTAGATTTTAAGTGAACTTCAGCAGTGGCTTAGTGGAATCTCCCATGGGCTGGTGCAGGGGTGACCACAGGGAGAGGTTTCTCTGCCTGTGAATAGAGGAGGAAAGAGCAGGAAGGACTTTGTATTATGGTTTCAGTGTCAGCTTAGCAGAAGTAGAATAGAACATCAGATAAATTTCTCAGGTGTTTTACTCCAATCCCTGGCTCCTAGAAAGCATCTCTAGATGTGGCCAGCACTTGGGGAAACTCACTTATCTGAAGCCCTAGGGCCTTGAGTGAACATAGGCGGTAGATAGGTCATGTTTAAAGTGGGTCTTGGGCAAGACCCAGTACTGTGTTGGCTTCAGATATGATCCAGTGCAATCCCAGTGGTTGTGGCCACAAGGGTGCTTGCATCATCACACTCCCAGTTCCAGGTGGCTCAACACAGAAAGAGAGACTCTGTTTGTTTGGGAGCAAGTAAGGGAAAAGAACAAGAATCTCTGCCTGGTAATCCAGAGAGTTCTTCCAGATCTTATCCAAGACCACAAAGGTGCTACCTTTATAAGTCTGCAAAAACCACCATGTTATTGGGGGGGGCTGAAGTCCCTTTGAATACCTGGAAAGCCTTCTCAAGAAGGACAGACACAAATAAGCACAGACTGTGATGACTACAATAAATACCAGCTCTTCAAGGCCCAGACACTGATGAACACCTGCAAGTATTAAGACTACCCACAAAAACATGACCTCACCAAACAAACTAAATAAGGCACCAGGGACTAATCCTGGAGAAACAGATATACGTCCTTTCAAACAGACAATTCAAAATAGCTTTTTTGAGGAAACTCAAAGAAATTCAAGATAACACAGAGAAGGAATTCAGAATTCTATCAGATAAATTTAGCAAAGAGATTGAATTAATTAAAAAGAATCAAGCAGAAATTCTAGAGTTGAAAAATGCAATTGCATCCTGAATAAGGCATCAGAGGCTCTTAATAGCAGAATTGATCAAGTGCAAGAAAGAACTAGTAAGCTTAAAGACAGGGCATTTGAAAATACACAGAGGAGACAAAAGAAAAAAGGATAAATAAGGATGAAGCTTGCCTACAAGATCTAGAAAATAGCATCAAAGGGGCAAATATAATAGTTATTGGCCATAAAGAAGAGACAGAGAAAGAGATATGGATAGAAAGTTTATTCAAAGGGATAATAACAGAAATTCCCAAACCTAGAAAAAGATATCAACATTCAAGTACAGGAAGGTTATAGAACAACAAGCAGATTTAACCCAAAGAAGACTACCTCAAGGCATTTAATAATCATATTCCCAAAGGTCATGGATAAAAAATGATTTTAAAAGTGGAAAGAGAAAAGAAACAATATACATTGGCGCTCCAATACATCTGGGATCAGACTTTTCAGTGGAAACCTTACAGGCCAGAAGAGAGTGGAATGACATATTTAAAGTGCTAAGGGAAAGTACTTTTACCCTAGAAGAGTATATCCAACAAAAATTTCCTTTAAATATAAAGGAAAAATAAAGACCTTTCCAGACAAACAAAAGCTGAGGGATATCATCAACATCAGACCTGTCCTAAAAGAAATGCTTAAAGTAAGTTCTTCAATCTGAAAAAAAGGAATGTTAATGAGCAAGGAACAGTCATCTGAAAGTACAAAACTCACTGCTAATAGTAAGCACACAGAAAATCCCAGAACAGTATGACACTGTAATTGTGGTGTATAAACTACTCTTATTTTAAGTAGAAAGGCTAAATGATGGGCAGGGGGTGGTGGCTCATGCCTGTAATTCCAGCACTTTGGGAGGCCTAGGTGGGTGGATCACGAGGTCAAGAGATCAAGACAATCCTGGCCAACATGGTGAAACCCAGTCTCCACAAAAAATACAAACATTAGCTGGGCATGGTAGCACATGCCTATAGTCCCAGCTACTTGTGAGGCTAAGGCAAGAGAATTGCTTGGACCCGGGAGGCAGAGGTTGCAGTGAGCTGAGATCATGCCACTGCATTCCACATTCCAGCCTGGTAACACAGCAAGACTCCAAAAAAAAAAAAAAAAAAAAGAAAACACTAAATGATCAAGCAATCAAAAGTAATTAATAATAACAACTTTTCAAGACATAGACAGTATAATAAGACATAAAGAGAAACAACAAAGTTAAAAAGCAGGGATGCAAAGTTAAAGTGTAGAGTTTTTATTAATTTTCTTTTTGTGTGTTTGTTTTTGCAATCAGTGTTAAGTTGTCATCAGTTTAAAATAATGGGTTATAAGATAGTATTCACAAGCCTCGTGGTAACCTTATATCAAAAAACATACAACAGATACATAAAAAATAGAAAGCAAGAAATTAAATCACAACACCAAAGAAAATCACCTTCACTAAAAGGAAGGCAGGAAGAAAGGGAAGAAGGAAGATAAGACTGTGTAACAATCAGAAAACAAATAACAAAATAACAGGAGTTAGTTCCTACTTATCAATAGTAACATTTAATGAAAATGGACTAAACACTCCAATAAAGACATAGAGTGGCTGAATGGATGAAAAAACAAGACCCAGTGATTTGTTGCCTACAAGAAAGACACCATGTATAAAGATGTACATAGAAATGGAAATAAAGGGATGGAAAAAGATATTCTGTGCCAATAGAAACAACAACAACAAAAAGCAGGAATAGCTAATATTATATGAGATAAAGTAGAATTCAAGACAAAAACTGTAAGAAGCGACAAAGAAGTCAATATATAATCATAAAGGGGTCAATTTAGGAAGAGGATTTAATGATTGTAAATATATGTACACCCAAAACAGGAGCACTCAGATATATAAAGCAAATATTATTAGAGCCATAAACAGAGATAGACCTCAATACAGTAACAGCTATGGACTTCAACACCCAACTTTCAGCATTGGACAGATCTCCCAGGCAGAAAATCAACAAAGAAAAATATATAACATACCTGTACTATAGAATAAATGGACCTAATAAATATTTATAGAACATTTCACCCCACGGCTGTAGACTACACATTCTTCTCAGCACATGGATCATTCTCAAGGATAGAACATATGTTAGGTCACAAAACAGAAAACGTCTTTCAACATTCACAAACATTGAAATAATATAAAGCATCTTCTCTAACCACAATGAAATAAAATGAGAAATCAATAACAAGAGGAATTTTGGAAACTAAACAAGCTCATGAAAATTAAATATGCTCCTAAATGACCAGTGGATCAATAAGAAATTAAAAAGGAAATTGAAAATTTTCTTGAAACAAATGAAAATGGAAATACAACATACTAAAACCTATCAGATATAGCGAAAACAGTACTAAAAGGGAAGTTTATAGCTATAAGTGCCTACAACAAAAAAAAAGAAGAAAAATCTCAAATAAATAACCTAATAATGCATCTTAGGGAACTAGAAGAGCAAGAGTAAACTGAACCCAAAATTAGTAGGAGAAAAGAAATAGTAAAAATAGGAGCAAAAAAATAAATTTAAAATGAAGAAAACAATAAAGATCAATGAAACGAAAGTTGGTTTTTAGAAAAGATAAACAAAATTGACAAATCTTTAGCCAGACTAACAAAGAAAAAAGGGAGAAGGCCCAAATAAATGAAATCAGATGGAAAAGGAGACATTACAACTGACACTGCAGAAATTAAAAGGATCATTAGTGGCTACTATGAGAAGCTGTATGTCAATAATTGAAAAATCTAGAGAAAATGAATAAATTCCAAGACACATACAACCTACCAAGATTGAACCAGGAATAAATCCAAAACCTGAACAAATAACAAGCAATAACATTGAAGACATAATAAAAAGTCTCCCAGTAAAGAAAAGCCTGGGACCCAGTGGTTTCACTGTTGAATTCTACCAAACATTTAAAGAAGAACTAATACCAATCCTACTCAAGCTATTCCAAAAAATAGAGGAGGGGGAACTACTTTCAAATACATTCTATGAGGCCAATATTACCCCAATACTAAAACCAGACAAAGACACATCAGAAAAAGAAAACCACAGGCCAAGGTGTCTGATGAATATTGATGCAAAAATCCTCAGCAAAATACTAGCAAGCAAAATTCAACAATACGTTAGAAAGGTCATTCGTTATTACCAAGCAGGATTTATCCCAAGGATTCAAAGATGGTTCAACATATGCAAACCAATCAGTATGATACATCATACCAACAGAATGAAGGACAAAAACCATATAATCATTTCAATTGGTGTCAAAAAAATAACTTAATAAAACTCAACATTTGTTCATGATAAAAACCTCAAAAATCCTGCAGGATACAAAATCAACCTACAAAAATCAGTAGCACTTCTAGTATATATGCCAACAGTGAACGATCTGAAAAGAAATTTAAAAAGTAATCCCATTTACAATAGCCACAAATAAATTTATATATCTAGGAATTAACAGAGCTGTATTAGTTCATTTTCACATTGCTATAAAGATACTACCTGAGACTATGTAATTTATAAAGAAAAGAGGTTTAATTGACTCACAGTTCCACCTGGCTGGGGAGGCCTCAGGAAACTTAAAATCGTGATGGAATGGGAAGCAGGCACATCTTACATGGCAGCAGGCAAGAAAGAGAGAGGGGTGGGGAACTGTAAAATACTTATAAAACCATCAGATCTCATGGGAACTCACTCACTTTCATGAGAACAGCATGGGGGAAAATGCCCCCATGATGAAATCACCTCCCAACAGGTCACTCCCTCAACATGTGGGGATTATAGGGATTACAATTCAAGAAGAAATTCTGGTGGGGACAAAAAAAATTCTTCTGATAAAAGAAATTAAAGAGGACACCACAAAATGAAAATATATTCCATATTGATGGATAGCAAGAATCAATATTGTTACAATGTCTATACTACCCAAAGCAATCTATAGATTCTATACAATCTTTATCAAAATACCAATGACATCCATCACAGAAATAGAAAAAGAAATCCTAAAATGTATATAGAACCACAAAAGACCCAAACTAGCCAAAGCCATCCTAAGCAAAAAACAATACTGGAGGAATCACATTACCTGACTTCAAATTATACTATAGAGCTATAGTAACCAAAAGAACATTCTACTGGTATAAAAACAGACACGTAGACCAATGGAACACAACAGAGAACCCAGAAACAAATCCACACTCCTACAATGAACTCATTTTTGACAAAGGTGCTAAGAACATACACTGGGGAAAAGATAGTAACTTCAATAAATGGTGCTGGGAAAACTGGACACCCACATACAGAAGAATGAAACTATACCTTTATGTCTTGCCATATACAAAAATCCAATCCAAATGGATTAAAGACTTAAATCTAAGCCCTGAAACTATGAAACTACTACAAGAAAGCATCAGAGAAACTATCTAGGGCATTGGTCTGGGCAAAAATTTCTTGAGCAATACCCCACAAGTACAGGCAACCAAAGGAAAAAAAGGACAAATGGGATCACATCAAGTTAAAAACCTCCTGCACACCAACGGAAAAAAATCAACAAAGTGAGGAG
Organism: Homo sapiens; assembly: GCF_000001405.40. Taxonomy (NCBI): domain Eukaryota; kingdom Metazoa; phylum Chordata; class Mammalia; order Primates; family Hominidae; genus Homo; species Homo sapiens. Next base: position 12,894,765 of record NC_000009.12, read on the forward strand.
ACAACCCACAGATCAGGAGAAAATATTTGCAAAGTATCCATCTGACAAAGGATTAATAACAAGAATATATAATGAACACAAACAATTCTATGGGAAAGAAATCTAAAATTTGATTTTAAAATGAGCAAAAGATCTCAATAGACATTTCTCAAAAGACTTACAAATGGCAAACTGGCATATAAAAAGGTAATCAGCATAATTGATCATCAGAGAAATGCAAATCAAAACTAATGAGACATTGCACACAAGTTAAAATGACTTTTATCCAAAAGACAGGCAATAACAAATGCTGGAGAGAATAAGGAAAAAAGAGAAACCTCCTACACCATTGGTGGGAATGTAAATTAGTACAACCACAATGGAAAACAGTTTGGAGTTTCCTCAAAAACTAAATACAGAGCTACCATATGATCCAGCAATCCCACTGATGGGTATATACCCAAAAGAAAAGAAATCAGTATATCAAAGAGATACCTGCACTACCATGTTTGTTGCAGCACTATTCACAATACTCAAGATTTAGAAGCAACGCAGGTGTCCATCGACAGATGAATGGAGCTTAAAAATGTGGTACATATACACAATGGAGTATTATTCAGCCATAAGAAAGAATGAGATCCTGTCATTTGCAATAGCATGGATGGAACTCGAGGTCACTATTTGAAATAAGCCAGCCACAGAAAGACAAACTTCACATGTTCTCACTCATTTGTGGGATCTAAAAATCAAAACAATTGAACTCATGGAGACAAGAGAGTAGAAGGATGCTCACCAGAGGCTGGGAAGGGTAGTAGGGGGTGCATGGGGGGTGACGATGGTTAATGCATACCAAAAAAATACTTAGAAAGAATAAATAAGACCTAGTATTTGACAGAAAACAGGGAAACTACAGTCAATAATAATTTCATTGTACATTCTAAAATAACTAAAGGAATATAATTGGATTATTTGTAACACAAAGGATAAATGGTTGAGGGGATGGATATTCCATTTTCCATGATATGGTTTTTATGCATTGCATGCCTGTATCAAAACATCACATATATCCCCATAAATATATACACATACGATTTACTCAGAAAAATTAAAAATTAAAAAAATGTTGAAAAACTTTCTTTACTGTTTTCCAGGATATCATATTCTTCTTTTCATCTCCTCATGGACCACTATTTTGACTTTTTATTTTAAAGTAAAATATAGATATGGAAAGTCACATAAAGCAAATGTATAGTTTCATGAATTTTACTGAGATAAACACCCTGGTAACCAATGAAGAAATCGAATTTTGCAACCATCCTTGAAGCCCCACTATATGCAATACACTTCAATCAAAATCCCTTCTTTTGTTTTATCTAAAAGTAACCACTAGCTTAACTTGTGTATTACTTCTTTACATTGGTCTTATCATCCAAGTGTGGATCCTTAGCTATTACCTGTTTAGTCTTAGCTATTTTATACCTGATACGTCTTTTTCATATCTTTTAAACTGAAGGTTCCTATTCAATCTCCTTCTTTTCTTTATAATGTATCTGTTGATGAGCCTGGCCTTGATCTTCCTATTCCTGTATTATTTTTACATCTCCTAAGGCACAGTAATTGACTTGGCTGGTCAGGAAAGAACACCTTTTTGATTCCTATTCTTTTCTTATAATCCACATCAAATCAGGAAGTTCTGTTTTCACTGCCTTCAAAATGTAGCCTCAGTCTGACCACATCTCAACATTTCCAACTTGCCTCCTCTAGTCTAAACCCCTATCAACTCACCTAAATGATTGCAGTCCCTTACTAACTGGTTTCCTGGCCTGAACATTTTTTTAAACTGCAGCAATCTACTTTCTGTACAGCATCGAGAATAATCTATTTTTTATCTTTTATTTTTCTCTTTGCCTTTTTCAAATTTTGAAACAATCATAAAGTTACAGAAAAAAAAATTAACTCTCCTAAATAAACACAGTACAGCCACCAAATCAGAAAATTAACATGGATACATTACATCTAATCCTTAGAATCCATTCAATAGTTTTGCCAATTGTCTGAAGGTTTTTTAATTCAACAAAACTCCAGTTCAGAACAATTTCTTGCATTTAGTTGCTATGTCTCAGTATTCTTCATCAGTCTCAATTAGTTTCTTAGCCTTTTCTTAGCTTTCACAACTTTGATATATTTGAAGATTACAGACCGTTTAGCTTTTCATATTTTTATTCAATAAACTTTATTTTTAGAGCAGTTTAGTTTCACAGCACAATTAAGCAGAAAGTACAGAAAGATCCTATATACTTGCTGTCCCAACAAATGCACAAACTCCCCAACTACTGACATCCCCCACCAGAGTGGAACGTGCTGTATGATTCCAACTACATGACACTCTGAAAAATGCAAAACTAAGGAGATGGTGAATACATCAGCAGTTTTCAGGAGTTAAGAGGGAGGGAGGTATAGAAAATTTAAAAAAAAAAAGGACAAAAAAGGAGGGGATAGAGTAGGGAGGAGGGGATAGATGAATAGGCTAAGCACAGGGGACTTTTAGGGCACTGAAACTATTATGATACAGTAAAGTATGTGTGATACTTCAATTGTCAATACATGTCACTACATATTTGTCAAAATTCATAGAATATACACCACCAAGAGTTTATCCTCATGTAAACTATGGGCTTTGGGATATAATAATGTGTCGACGTAGGTTCATCAATTGTAACAAATGTGCCTCTGGTAGCACACGACATCCTTTCAGATTGCCTTCTTTTACTTAGTAATATACATTTCCATTTCTTCTATATCTTTTCATGGCTTAATAGCACATTTCTTTTTAGTGATTAATAAGATTCCCTTGTCTAGATGTACCACAGTTTTATTTATCCATTCACGTACTTAAGGACATCTTGATTGCTTACAATTTTTGGAAATATGAGTAAAGCTGCATTTTTATAGGATTCCATTTTCTTTTCTTTCTTAGCATATAAATTCTCCTTTATTTTTAAACCTTTTTAGTGATTGCCCTAGAGTTTGCAATTTACATTTATAACTAATCCAAATCCACTTTCAAATAACACTATACCACCTCACAAGTAGTACTAGTAACTTATAATAAAAAAACCCTAATTCTTCCCTCCCATCCTTTGTATCAGTTTGTCACTCATTTCACTTATATACAAGCATGTATAGTTCAATACATAGTTGCAATTATTACTTTGAAGAAAACTGTTGTTAGATCAAGTGAGAACAAGAAAAATAAAAGTTTGGGCCGGGCGCGGTGGCTCACGCCTGTAATCCCAGCACTTTGGGAGGCCGAGGCGGGCGGATCACGAGGTCAGGAGATCGAGACCATCCTGGCTAAAACGGTGAAACCCCGTCTCTACTAAAAATACAAAAAATTAGCTGGGCGTAGTGGCGGGCGCCTGTAGTCCCAGCTACTCGGGAGGCTGAGGCAGGAGAATGGCGTGAACCCGGGAGGCGGAGCTTGCAGTGAGCCGAGATCCCGCCACTGCACTCCAGCCTGGGCGACAGAGCGAGACTCCGTCTCAAAAAAAAAAAAAAAATAAAAAAAAATAAAAGTTTTTATTTCACCTTTATTTTTCCTTCTCTGACTTTCTTCCTTTCTTTATGTAGATATGTAGACTTTCTGACTGAGATCATTTTCCTTCTCTCTGAAGAACTTATTTTAACATTTTTTGTAAGGTAGGTCTACTGGCAACAAATTCATTCAATTTTTGTTTGTTTAAAAAATCTTTATTGCTCCTTCACTTTTGAAGAATAATTTAACAGGGTAAAGAATTTTAGATTGGTAGACTTTTTTTCTTCTCTCTACAAACACTTTAAATATGTCTCCACTCTCCTCTTACTTGTGTGGTTCCTGAGAAGAAATTATGTATAATTCTTTTTTTTTTCTTTAAACAAAGCCTTACTCTGTCACCCAGGCTGGAGTGCTGTGGTGTGACCTCAGCTCACTGCAACCTCCACTTTCCAGGCTCAAGCAATTCTTGTGCCTCAGCCTCCAGAGTAGCTGGGATTACAGGCATGCATCGGCACACCTGGCTAATTTTTGTATTTTTAGTAGAGACGGAGTTTCGCCATTTTGGCCAGGCTGGTCTTGAACTCCTGGCCTCAAGTGATCCACCCACCTTTGCCTCCCAAAGTGCTGGGATTACAGGTGCGATAGTTAAGATGTCTTATTTCCCCTAGGTTCTTGCAATATTTTTTTCTTTATCTTTGATTTTTTGAAATATATGCCTATGTATAGTTTTTTGTTTGTTTTTGTTTTGTTTTGTTTTTTGCATTTATGTTGCTTGGTACTTAAGCTTCCAACATCTGTGGTTTGATATCTAATACTAATTTGAGGAAGTGCTCAGTCATTATTGCTTCAAACATTGCTCCTCTTTCCTTCCCTCTTCTCCTACTGGTATTCCTCTTATGTATATGTTATTCCATTTTTGATTGTCCCACAGTTCTTGGATATTCTGTTCTATCGTTTTCAGTCTTTTTTCTCTTTTTTTTCATTTTGGAAGTTTTTGTTTTCATATCCTCAACCTCATAGATTTTTTTTTCCACAGTCATGTCCAGTGTACTAATAAGGCCATCAAAGGAATTCTCCATTTCTGTTACAGTGCTTTTTATCTTTAGCATTTCTTATTTATTCCTTCTTAAAATGTTCCTCTCTCTACTTATATTAACTATCTGTTCTTGCATGTTGTCTACCTTTTTCATTAAAGTCCTTAGCATATTAGTCATATTTTTTTTTCCTGGTTTAATAATTCCAACATTCCTGCCGTATCTTACTCTCTGGTTCTAATGCTTGTGCAGCCAATTCAAACTATGTTTTCTGTCTTTTAATATGCCTTGTAATTGTTGAAATGTGAACATGATGTACTGGGTAAAAGGAATTGTGGTAAATAGGCCTTTAGTAATGTGGTAGTAAAGTATTTGGGGAGAGAAAGTGTTCTAAGCCCTATGATTAGGTCCCAGTCATTTGGCAAGCTTGTGCCCGTGGACTATGAACTTCCTCAGTGCCTCTTAGTTGCTCCCTGTCACCGACACCCATGCTGTTACATGGGACAGGATGGTTAGAGGAGGCTGGAGTTGGGCATTTTCCTTCCCCTAGGTAGGTCAGACTTTGATAAAATAAGTTAAGCTCTGGTAAAATATTTAGGCCCTGCCAAAATTCTTTCTCCTAGGGGCAGGCCTTGTTAAGAACAGAGTAGTCAGGCATACTTCAAAATGATTCCTATTCCCCTCCCCCTGAAAGAAGTAGGGGATTTTCCTCCAGTGTTCACCAGGAGGATATAGTAAAGCTCCTGGAGGTAAAACTCACTAAAGTGTGAAGGCCTCCCTATGACTTGTCCCCTTGGAGTTGTTTACTTGTTTGTTTGTTTGTTTGTTTGAGACAGTCTGGTTCTGTCACCAAAGCTGGAGTTTAGTGGTGCAATCTCTGCTCACTGCAACCCCCACCTCCCAGGTTCAAGTGATTTTCATGCCTCAGGCTCCCGAGAGGCTTGGATTATAGGCTTGTGCCACCACACCTGACTAATTTTTGTACTTTTAGCAGAGACGGGGTTTTGCCATGTTGGCCAGGCTGGTCCTGAACTCCTTACCTCAGGTGATCTGCGCACCTCAGCCTCCCAAAGTGCTGGGATTACAGACGTGAGCCGCTGCATCCAGCAACATTTGGAGTTTTTAATTCTTAGGCTTGTCCACTTTGAGCCTCCAACAATTCATAAGGTTCATGTTCCCTCCCTGGCACTGGTTCCTGCAGTGGTTTTTGCTTGTGAGTGTCGGCTCCAGTAAATTGAAATCATGTCATATCTGCCTGTCTGTCTGTCCAATTTTGGGAGCAGCAGTTTTCCTTCTAACCTCATTTATCTGATGATATCAGAAGAGTTGCTCATTTTTCAGTTTGTTCAGCTTTTCACTTGTCATCATTTATTTCTTGATGTGTTTCATGAGTTTTGTTTGAGGCTTATTGGTGATTAGACTCAAATTATACATCTCTAATTACAGTATCATAGAAGTGATGCTGTGTTCTTCCCAATGCATCCTATCCTGCCATGTGGCAAACAATTTAAATCTGTCCCTTTACCAACAATGTTCACTTTGATCATTTAATTAAGAAAATGTCTTCCAGACTTCTCCAGTGCAGTTATTCTTTTCCTCTTTGAAATTGATGGAAATTTGGCGGGAGGTATTTTGAAACTAGGTAAATACTCCATTCCTCATCAAATTTTCAATTTATTCATTTATTTAATTATACCTATAAAAATTCATAGCTTCCTATTTTATTTATTAAGAAATACTCTCTTTATTTATTTTGATGCTCAAATTGACCCCAGTTTGACCAACAAGAACTTATTAAAGCTAGCTTAGCTTCTGTGTCGTGTTGACGCTTTTTCATCACTCTTTGAGCACTTCCTTTCTTTCATTTGTTATAAGTTCCTTATTCATCTTGTATTTTCCAAGCCCAAGGCCTGAAATCAACTAACTCATTTTAAAGAAAAATTGTATTTAAAAACCAAGATTTGGGTACTAGGTGTGCGCATTGCTACTAGGGTATCATTACCCCTGGTTTCTCCTCAGTGGACAAAAGAAACGGAAAAATATTAAATAATTACATACAATCATATGCATTTATATTTATACTTATATTTATTTCTATATCCATCCATCTATATTGAAAAACACAAGATAACACTAATGCCTCCAATTCCAATTCAATATCACAGAATTTATTTCTTTTATTCCCTATTCTGTATTTGTAACTCCCCTCTCCAAAGGAAGAAAAATGATTATATTAATATATTTACTTATATTGTCAGTCCTCTGTGGGCAGCCAGTCTTCCATCTTTGTCACCACCTCACGCCCCACACAGATGCCCTCCTCACAATGTTCAGTCTCTGACTCCACATTTCTGATTACGCTCCCATGTGGATGGCCTCTGTCCCCACCTGGAATCTGACATTCAATGCCAGTCTGCCCTCCTTCATGTACTTCTCAGGCTCTAACACCTATGCCAAGCCCCAGCCCCACTCGTAGACCTTTTCTTCATTTTACTCAGGCTTCATACACCAGGACATCTTCCTGTGCATATCCACCTCACTGGCTCAGGCTCTGATACCCTACATCAGTTTTCTATCACTCCCCCTCCACCTTCCCATGTGGACCCTCTCCTCATCCTGCTTGGGTTCTGACTTATTCCCCACATGAGGCTGCCCACAGCCCCACATGAACGTCCTCTTCATTCTTCTCAAGCTCTAACACGCCACACCAGCTGATATGGTTTGGCTCCGTAACCCCACCCAAATATCATCTTGAATTGTAGTCCCCACATGTCGAGGGAGGGGCCTGGTGGGAGGTGACTGGATCATGGGCATGGTGTCCCCCATGCTGTTCTTATAACAGTGAGGGAGTTCTCATGAGAGCTGATGGCTTTAAAAGTGTTTGGCAGTTTTCCCTTTGCTCTCTCATTCTCTCCTGCCACCATGTAAGAAGTGCCTTGCTTCCCCTTCACCTTCTGCCATGATTGTAATTTTCCTGAGGCCTCCCCAGCTAAAAAGAACTGTGAGTCAATTTAACCTTTTTCTTTATAAATTATCCAGTCTCTAGTAGTTTCTTTATAGCAGTGTGAAAACACATTAATACACCAGCCCACAAGGATTCCCACAGAATGATCTTTAAAGCCTAATCCAGATCATGGCACTGCTTACAACTTTCTAATCTTAGGATAAAATCCTAAGTACATATCAGGGCTTAAAATATATTACATCAACTGGCTTCTTCACTTGCTATCTCTCTGATCTTGTTTCTTATTATTCACTCCTTTTTTTAAGCACCCAGTCCAACCATTCTTGTCTTCCTGTCATTCCCAAGACATGCCAACCTCCTATGCATAACAGAGCCTTTATTTATTTATTTATTTTCTTCTATCTGTACTGAAGTGTTTTGTGATCAGGTATTCTATGCAGTTCTCATTCAAGATATTCTGGTCTCTGTTCAAAGTTGCTTTTCAGAGAGGACTTCCTAGATTATTGTATTTTATAATCCCCACACACAACAGTTTCTATCCAACATTCTTTCCAACTTTTTCTGGAGAACACTTGTCAGTACATAGATTGGCTTACTTGTATTTTGTTTTGTTATTTATAGGCCTTATTCCACACAGTCAGCAGAGAGAGTCTATTTAGCTCAATACCACATCCCCTATATCTATAACTGAAAAACACAACTTATTGGCATATTTAGTCATAAATACATTTTTGTGAAATGAATACTAAAGCTAGCTGCAACAGAGCCTCATTGCAAAGAAGGGATGGATAGATGAATAGATATATGATAAGTGAGTAATGGTGATCCTTCTTTGACATCTGGGACTTCATTGATTACAAAAGCTTAACATCTTGACTTGGCTAACAAGCAGTCAGCCTCTCACCTCTTACTTTGTCCTTACTCTGTATCCCTCCCAGATAATGTTCCCAGAGAGAGGAGACCTGAGACATGCTTCTCTCTTGAATCATCTCAACTAGGTCTCTTGATCAATGTTGACAAGAACAGAAAGAATAAATAATGGTAGGAAAGTGACATGAAAGAATTAATGAGACTTACTAGGAGGTAAAAGAAGAAGTAGTATCTCATTTTTCTGTGATGGTGAGACGGATTTCTTGGAATATCTTTCACAGATCAGTTGAATATTCTGTTGCCACATCATGGAAAGAAAGACTTGTTATAGGACTGTCTACTCCCTCAACCTGTGTACTTTTGTGCATTCCCAACATATAGCATATTGCTAAACACACAGCAGATGCTATATAACTACTTAATGAACAAATGTGTACTTGGATGATTTTACTTGTGATAGGAGTTTGGATGGAGTTTCAACTCAGAACAAAAGAGAATGTACCATATTTTACTGAAGGTCCGTAATTTTAAATCATTATAAATTATTGATATTCTTTGAATACTACCTCAGAGGACAAGCACAACCTGGGACAGTGTTGGGAAGCCTAGTACTAAGAAAAGACAAGGAGTTGAGATTTATTTTTAAAACATGATATCTAATAAAGAATGATAATTTCAGAAAGGACTCCTATATTCTTGGCCTGATCTTTTCACATTTTAAGAACCTCAGAAAATCATACACTTTAATAACTTGTTTTCACCCTAGGTTCCACTACTAATAACTAGATTTAATTCTTCTCTGTAAGATTCGTTGTATTATTCATCAGAAATTTCTTCAGAAAAATAAATGATTATTTTTAAGTATATTTTAACTTTAATAAGTTTATAGTCATGGATGTAGACTACTTAGAAAGCACAAAAAATGGATAAATTATTTGTTTGAGAGTTTCCTACGAATTTTTTTCCTCTTCGATTCTGGTTCATTTATACTTTTTGGTGTGGTCTTATGGTGACATTGCCCGGATCTAAGCATCCTCACATAAAAATCAACCAAGGTTAAAGCTGAAGAAAGTGACTTTCCATTAAATCATTGCTTTTTATTTCAGTGATGTTTTCCTTTCCTGAGGGATTGGCAGGATAGTGCATGGTGTTTATGTGTAGCTTCTTGCATTCCTGAGTGCCTTACAAGATTTTCATGGGAATACATTTAGTTGGCATATTATAAAGAGAGCATACTCCTAAAAAGATGTTTATTTATCATTTTCTATTCTTGAGTTGGTCAAACTAGTCTTTACTACTTACAGCAAGTTCAAATATTTGGCATTGGCAAACACAGGGCTTTCAATATTTTAATTGAAAGTTTAATGCTGACTGACTTTATTAGATGCAGTTCAAGAATCCAGTTAGGAGAAATACATAATTTTTTTCCATTCAACACATAAGACACAGAGAAAAAGACATTTGCAATTATTTCTACCTTGCAGAGAATTTAACTTCTGTATGGACGTCCAATATGTAGGTCAACTTACCCTTTTGCCAGGCATTGTTCTCGCATTCAGCAGGATTCTGCTGGCTTGGTATCTTCAGAGAGCACAACAATGACAGGTTTTTCTGATGAATTCAAGTGACAACTAGCTATTAGGAAATACCTGGGGCTATGAGCTGTTGATTCAGCTGAACTCTTTACATATCTAAATCCAATTGATTTCTGAGTGTCAATAGGCCTTTGGCTTTTGAGTCAGAAGAAGCCTGAGAGTGACTAGGAAAAGACATGAAGGCTGGCATAGAAGTTAGTGTTTCTACTTCTACTTTATGGTGGAATATTTTTGTGGTTCTCAAGAAATGTCCAACCCCTGGTTTGGTAAAGACTTGCCATTCTGGATTAAATTTGCATCAGCAGTTCATTTGGCACAGAAATAGTCATTTATTTGGATTCCACCTTTCCTACTCTTGAACATTATTCTTCAGTTACTTTTAAGAATCTTCCATGGTCTGTCCATAATTTTATCTATACTGTATAGTTCAGTTGGTCAAAGTTGTCTTTTCTGTCTTCTATTCTTCCAAAAGCTCTCTTCTCTGTGAGCGTCTTGAGTCCATCTCTAGTTTCTTAGACACCTCATCTCTTTATTTGTAGAGGAAGAGCTTTAGGTTATCCCTTGGTATGTTTGGATAAGGTATGTGAGAAAGACAGAAAAGTTTTTTATGCTAAGGTGACAGAACCCAAACTGGTAGAATTCCAAACATCGGCCAGTAAATGGGGAAGAATCTTCCCACAGTCATGACTCATTTTCTGCAGGTGCAAATATTTAAGTTATATTATAGATAGTATTTTCAGAATTGAAAAGCAGCCGAGGTGGCCAGATCACCTGAGGTCAGGAGTTTGAGACCAGCCTGGCCAACATGGCAAAACCCCATCTCTACTAAAAGTACAAAAATTAGCCAGGCAAGGTGGCAGGCACCTGTAATCCCAGCTAATCAGGAGGCTGAAGCAGGAGAATAACTTGAAACTGGGAAGCAGAGGTTGCAGTGAGCCGAGATTGTGCCACTGCACCCCAGCCTGGGTGACAAGAGTGAGACTCCACCTCAAAAAAAAAAAAAAAAAAAAAAAAGAAAAAAGAAAGAAAGAAAGAAAAGAAAAGGCAAATCTCCCAAATTTCCAACGAGCAGACCTCACTAGACTTAATGGCTTAAGAATGCAAACTTGGCCAGGCACGGTGGCTCATGCCTGTAATCCCAGCACTTTGGGAGGCCAAGGTAACTGGATCACGAGTTCAGGATTTCAAGACCAGCCTGGCCAAGACGGTGGAACCCGTCTCTACTAAAAAATACAAAAATTAGCTGGGCGTGGTGGTGGGCACCTGTAATCCCAGCTACTCAGGAGGCTGAGGCAGAGAATTGCTTGAACCTGGGAGGCGGAGGTTGCAGTGAGCTGAGATCTCACCACTGCGCTCCAGCCTGGGCGATAGAGTGAGACTCCATCTCAAAAAAAAAGAATGCAAACTTGTTAATTAGCTAGTTACTTAGATGCAAAACTAACCAAAAGTTGGAAAACAAACATATCTCTGAGAACATAAGTACAAACTCACGTTAGGCAGACCTGGGCAAAAATCCTACTTCTGCCACTAACTAGATTTTTGACAATGAGCAAATTTACTTTGACACTGTAACAGTAACTTAGGCCTTATTTTTCTCTTCTATAAAATAGAAAGAAACCCACTGGTTTCTTAAAATGTGACAGAAATCTACATGAGACATCTAACAAGACATTTGTAACCAAGGTGATTTTTCTGGCCAGGTAAGCAAAGCAAGCATCTCTTTCACCCCTATGGTTCCAGGTGGACCCTAAAACTTGGTTGATAAAAACAGCTTTCCAATTTAGAAGACCATTCTCTGAAGATTACAGTACATCTTAATAAGGTTGCTATGAAATACAAATAAGAACACAAAGTACATTGCATTGTGCCTACACACAGTGGGCTGTTAATGTTAACCTTTCATCTTTATAATGTTAATAACTATAATAATGATAGTAAGAGGTAATGGAAAAATCTGAGAAATAGTCAAAATATGATGAGGCTAGTGGTCAGATTGGACTCATGGGATCAGGGCATTGGTCAGATCACCATAGTCTGGAGTTTGTCTTCAGCATGTTGGTTCAGAAGACACAGTTGATCACTACTAGGGAATGATTCACAACGACCAAACTCACAAACAGATGTAATCATTTAGGAGAAAAGTCATTCTCACACGCAAAGATCCCGATATTTTCAATTCAACTCACCAGAAGAAATCAGATTAACTTAAGCTTTAGAGAGGTGAATTAGAACCAGGGGAGGAAGTTGGCTTATGTTAAAGACAAAAGTACATTTTGTAAAGCTGAGGAATCTGTTTCCACTGCTGGGATTGATTTAGCACATGAATGATAAGGGTAAGATATTATATAGGGGTGCCAAAACTTTCTATCTTCCAGGCACTTCTGGTGTCATACTGCATTTAGGTCTTACTATTTTTTTCTCCCCCATTTTTGTCTCCAAGTTCATCAATTTCCTTCCACTGCCAATTTATTCATTCTCTTTTTCTTTTATCCTTCCTTTATATTTTTCCTTCTTTAAGGAAAAGTCTCTTTATTTTTGTAGACTGGATAAAATACCTTTCAATAGTTTTTAGCATGTATACTTTAATAAAGTCATTCTCAGGCAGCCGCAGCAGCTCACACCTGTAATCCCAGCACTTTGGGAGGCTAAGGTGAATAGATCACTTGAGGTTAGGAATTCGAGACCAGCCTGGGTGACATGGCAAAACCCCATCTCTACTAAAAATGAAAAAAAGAAAAAAAAACTAGCCGGGCCTATAGTCTCAGCTACTCGGGAGGTTAAGGCAGGAGAACTGCTTGAACCTGGAAGGCAGAGGTTGCAGTGAGTCGAGATTGTGCCACTGCACTCCAGCCTGGGTGACAGAGTGAGACTCCATCTCAAAAATAAAAATAAAAAGAAAAAATAAAGTCATTCTCCTTTAATGCTGTTCAATGGCCTTTCTTGACCGCTCAATTCACATATTGACACTGTGAGTTATATTTGTAGCTGAGTGATTTTATTCAATGCACATTGATTTTGGCTGAAGCTAAGATTAACTTCATATTCTGGAGGCAGTGTGCTTCACTTGCACCATGCATACTATAAATATGCTGATAAAACCTATAATGCATCTGAAGTGCACTATTACAACAGAAATGAGTAGCAGACATGTAATAATTTTCTGTGGGAAAGGTTTCAGAGTTGAACCTGAGATGCTAGAAACTTTTGTCCCTATGCCTGTAAATTTTCCCATCATCCCAGACTTCTGTGTTCCAGCCCACCTTTCATAGCGGCTCCCAGGTCTGAGAGTGATGGAAATTCTGCCTCTCAGAATCGGAATCAGTTGTATTAATAAAAAAGAACAGGACCAGTCGGTGGGCTTCCAACCAGAATTTGCCCTACCTTCTAGCCTTTTCAATATCCTTTACTAAGACTCCCAATCAGAATTTTTCTCTTTTCTTGCCTGTTGTGGTCTTGTCTAGAGATTTCTGTGTGGAATGTTTTGGTTGCTTCCAACGTATTTTTATTTAAGTAAAAATAAGCAGCTCTCTGCCTATGGTTGTTGTGGGGACGGGAGGTTAAAATTATATAATACATGGAAACAATTTACTAGGATGCCTAAAAAATATGAAGTGTTCAATAATCTATGCCTCTTCCTTACACTAAACAATAAGCACCATGAAAGTGATATCACATTCCCTGAACTTAATACAGGGCCTAGAAGGTGGTCAGTCCTCAAAAAAAAAAAAAAAAAGTTGAGGAGAATGAAATGAATGAATGATGAGAGGAAAGGAGGAATTTTAAAAACCCTTTTACATAGCTTCCTTTTCCTTTTTAAAACTTGGAGTCCAAGAGCTTTTCATCCTTTTCCACCAAAGAACCCCAAAAAGAAGACAGTAAACATTGCCTGGAAGAACAGAGACCTAGCTCAATGTGGCTGGCCCTAGCGCAGAAGATTTTGAATAATTGTTTAAAAATCACATTTGGGGGCATGTATCTCTGATTTTCTAAATGATAATTTCTGTGAATAAAATCTCACATCCTCATGTTATTTTTGCACACTAAAGTTTGTGTGCCAGTGCTTGAAAGAAAACAAAATTGCACATGGATGCTAATGGTGGTTTTGTTTTTTAGGATTAAACAAAGTGCCATCTACTATTAAAGAAAACAAGAATTGGACTTTCTTAAGCTTTTAATCACAGGGGCTAGAGCTACAATATACTAGACACTAGTCATTTGTGGCTATTTAAATTTAAGTAATTAAAATAAAATGTAAATATCCAGTTTTGCAGTCACACTAACCACATTTCAAGTGGTCAATAGCCATATACGGCTACAAGCTACAGTACTGGGAAGCACAGCTCCACGCTGCCTAACAGGTTCTTCCTGCCCACTGCACAAATAAAAACCACGGCATTGCAGTAAAGGAAGAGTTTAATTGATGCAAGGTCAGCAGCACCATGGGGGAGATGAAGTATGAAGTTATTACTCAAATCAATCTCCCTAAAAACTTGGGGATGAGGGTTTTTAAGGATAATTTGGTGGGTAGAGGGTTAGAAAGTGGGGAGTACTGATTGGTTGGATTGAAGACAGGATCATAGGGAGTTGAAGCTGTCCTCTTGTGCTGAGTTGGTTCCTGAGGTGGGGACCACAAGACCAGATGAGCCAGTTTATCAATCTGGGTGGCATCAGCTGGTGCACGGAAATGCAGGGATGTGCACAATATCTCAAGTACTGATCTCAGGTTTTACAATAGTGGCTCCCAAGCCATTTTTTCTAATCTTGTGGCTAATTTTGCTAGGCCTGCAAAGGCAGTCTAGTCCCCAGGCAAGAAGGTGGTTTGTTTGGGGAAGAGGCTGTTATCATCTTTGTTTCAAAGTTAAACTATAAACTAAGTTTCTCCCAAAGTTAGTTTGGCCTATGCCTAGGAATGAACTATGCCATAGTTTTGCCTATGCCTAGGAATGAACAAGGATAGTTTGGAGGCTAGACACAAGATGGAGATAGTCAGGTCAGTTAAAATGTTTGCAAAGGCTGTTTCAATCACAGAAAGTTCCATAGGAGAGCGCTGCTCAGGAGAAATGAGTTTATCAGGGCTGGGATACAACAACTGAAGACAGTGGCACAAAAGCTAAGAAGATGCTAAAGACCTATAAGGACTTCTCCACCCCAAATTAGCACACAGGGTCAGAGGAAAGGAGAGGAATTGGAAGAGAACTAATATATGCCAGGAACAGTGCCCTGGCAAGGCAGCTGCACCCAGAAACAACTCTACTCCAAGGAAGGGGAAGCACTAGACTTTGGCATATAGATAATCTTCTCTGCCACAAACATCCACGATCTTTAGAAAAAGATTGCTGAATTTACAAAGGTACTGAATTGGAAAGTCAAAAGAAGGGCTGCATTTCTTGTTGCGTTGAAAATGGTGTGTGGAAAGCAGTCGTGGTGCTGGAAATAAGAATTTGAAAAGCAAAAGAGGCCGTGGACTCAATTTCCCCTGGCGTGGAGTTGGATACTCACAGCAATCTTACCTATAAAAGTATATAGACTGTTAAAACCTATCAGAATTAGTATCGCATTTGTACATTGGACCTCAATAAAAAATTAACAAAAAATGTACGTATGCTTTATTTAATCCTCAAAAGCATCCTATGTGAAAGCCACAGGTTCTCAGGTTTCACAAACTTACTCAAGGTCACACAGCACTTACAGTAACTTAGATTTTTTTAAATGGTAATTAATTTTGTATTGTATTCATTTTTACTTCTATAGGACATGAGCACAGATACCTCCAGGTAATTGCTGTCAAAGAAAGATAAGCAAACTATAAATCATGTGTATAAAGTACTGGCATCTAGACCTTAACCCAGGAAAGATGGTTCTGGGTCAGCACAACTGTGGTTTATTTTTAAGAACAACGACTATGAAGTATTTGGATCCAGCTGGGTACAGTGGCTCACGCCTCTAATCTCAACACTTTGGGAGGCTGAGGCGGGTGGATCACTTGAGGTCAGGAGTTTGAGACCAGCCTGGCCAACATAGTGAAGCCCTGTTTCTACTAAAAATACAAAAATTAGCCAGGCGTGGCGGGCACCTGTAATCCCAGCTACTCAGGAGGCTAAGGCAGGAGAATCACTTGAACCTGGGAGGCAGAGGTTGCAGTGAGCCGAGATCGTGTCACTGCACTTCAACTTGGGTGACAGACTGAGATGCTATATCAAAAAAAAAAAAAAAGTATTTGAATCCAGGTCTTTTGAAGTCTCAGGCATTGACCATCTTGGTCTGTGAAGTCCTCACTATGATAAATATGCCAATTATGCAGCCTTCAAGTAGATCCTCAGTTACATGTACCTGAGGCAGGGAAAGGACTAAAGCCAAAAGCTCAATTACAGGCACCACTATGGAGAGTCACGGCCCCTTATTTGAGGCTGAAACAAAATATCAGAAACCCACCCAAGGATAATCCAGACTTCCGAAATTAGCAGGCGATCAACTGAAAAGTCCAGACATTGTTCTATATCATCTGTCAACAAGAACCACTTTCCTTTCTGTTCTTTCATGTCTCTGATTTTCAAGAATTCGTTTAAGATTACAGGAGGCAGTGAGTTTTAATTAAAAGTAAATTGAATAGATTAGCAGACTGGAAAATGAAGTCAATTATTCCTGATATTTTCTCATAATTCTATAAATTTATATTGCACTATGGATAAGCCCAAATTTTATTACCTTGTATTTTAAATTTAATATATATTTATAAATATATTTCATGGACCCATCCTACAATTATAGCCATTCAAATGATTTTGTTAAGAAATCCATATTAAAAATGTTTCATATATGTAACATATATGTAAACCTTAATAGCACATAGCTATTAACGAAAGTCAATAATATTGTAGAAGGTTTAATGACTAATTAAGGAAAGATGAATTATTTTTCAAGGATGAAAGACAATAAAATATTCAGATTATTTCGGAGCAATAGTAGGAGAGGGGGCTGATTGTGAAAGGAGGTTTCTCTTATAAAAGAAAGAAAATATCAGGCCAATTCTCCCAAAAGGGATCTATTCTGTGAAATGAAGAGTACGGCTGCATTAGGAGATAAGATCCAGGGGTCCATGTAATTTTTTAACAGATAATTACATATTGTAAATATGGTATTTAAATAGTGATGTTCTAGCAGTTTAAAATAGCAGAATATTTGAGAACAGAGAAGGTTGAAACTGTTATCAAAATGAATTAGACCTATGGAATTTATTATTGGTTATAATTTTTTTCTATCCTGTATATATTTTATTGTCCCTGTGTAAATTAATCAAAATTGCCAGTTATTGATTGAATGCTTATCTTACGTAAGTAATTCCACTACATAAGCACTCACAGTGTTGTTAGGGTTGGGAAGTGGGGGAAAATAAACGCATTAAAACATGAGTGACAAGAAGAAGTTCAAAGCAATAGATGAAATTTCATGAGGCAGCTCCTGTGTCAGTGCCTGAGGAATCCTTCCCATGTTCTTACTAGCAGTGCAGAGGAGAAAGTGAACATTTCAACCTGAGAGATTACAGAAGAATTTGTTAATCATTTTTGGTTTTACTTATTTTAAATATTTACTTTTTTGGAAGTATAATTTATATACCCAAAGATGCACTGATATTAAGTTTTCAGTTCTATGAGTTTTGACAATTGCATACACCCATGGAAACATAACCAAAATTAAATATCAAATATTTCCATCTCCTCAGAAAGGTAGCTCTTTCTAGCTAATCCCTTCTTCCCTATAATGTCTTCAGGGGCAATTATTATCTGATTCCTAGCATCATAAATTAATTTTCTCCATTCTTGGACTTTATATAATGGAATTATAGACTATGACCTCTATTCTGGCTTCTTTACAGCAGCAAGAATTTTCTGAGATTCATCCATATTGTTTCACATATTAGTACTTTGTTTCTTTCTAATGCTGAGTATTAATACTGCTATTCATTTCTTGATTATCTGTCCAAAGAAAGTTCATATATTTAAAATTAATGTATTAATTTTGTATTGCTACATTAAAAAATTCACTGCAAACTGAGCAACTGATAACTGTACCTATTTATCAGCTTACAGTTCCTTAGGTCAGTCTTAGGCTCAGGTGGAGTTGGCTGAGTCTTCTGCTCAGAGTCTCAGATGACATGACTTAAATAAATCAAAGAGTCAGGCTGCCGAGCTGTTCTTTGGAGGCTCGTGGAAGAATCCGCTCAGTAGGGTGGTTGGAAGAATTTGGTTTCCATGGTCATGGGCCTGAGGTCTCCATTTCCTGGCTGGCAATCAGCTGGGGGAGCTCCTCTTAGGTTCTAGGCACCGCACCAACTGCACCACTCATCACTTGACCCTCTTCATCTTCAAGCCAACAAAAGAGCATCAAGTTCTTTTTGTGCTTAGAATCTGATTCCCTTTCACCTTCCTCCTCTATCACTAGCTGGAGAAAGTTTTCTGATTTTAAGGTTTCATGTGATTGAGATAGGCCCATGTGGATAAATTCCCCTTCTTAAGGCCAACACAAGTGATTTCTGTTTAGGTGACAGCTTTCTTATTGGAAGGATCAGTTGGTGATCTTTCTGGACAACTGTTTTCTTAAGTCTTTTGCAATGTTTTGGGCTCTTTCTGTGTGTGTGTGTGTGTGTGTGTGTGTGTGTGTGTGTCTGTGTACTCAACAACTTAACCAAGTGTTTTATTTCCTTATGCCCTGGGTTTTTATACTTTTGCTAGAGTTTGGCTTTTAGTTTGCTTTTGGTTGCCTCAATCAGTAACATTTTAATCTTGCCAAGAAGAGCTTTTGTCCAGGGGCCCACCCCATCCTAATCTACAGAGCCCTGCTTTGTTGTTGTTTGTTTCTTTGGCCTTGCTCCCCTCCAGGACTGATGCATCCTCAGGGCCAACGAGATGTGCCCCCTACCACAGAGCTCAGGATTACCCTTCCAAAGCATACTCTTGACACCTACAATCCCCAAAACCCTTGCCTACATGGCTCCAAGCCCAATTCCAGATTCTCTCCCCAGGACTAGCCATTCAAGGGCCAACCATGCTCCCACTACCTAAAAGATGTTTCCTAGAAGTCTAGACAGAGTTTGAATATCGTTGCTGGGGTATTCACACATGTGGAAATAAAGCCCTTCTCTATCAGTGTCAGAGTGAGAGTAACAATGTAAGAGGGAGGGCTGGGAGGTGGAAGCCAGCATGTAGAAATTCTAAATCCAATCCATGATTTCCAGAACTCCGTGAAATATGGATAAAACATACGTTGAGGTTGTTAGCTTCACCTATACTTTCTAAACATTTAAACCAATGGTATATTGCCCTTCATTTGCACTTTTCCTTCAGACCTGACAAATGTTACGGAGCAGGCCTAAACCCCCTAGACCTGGGAGTATAACCTATGTCCAGGTTCCAGGACTATAGGTAGTAATTGGCCTGATTTTTTATGTTCCTTTTTTTTTTTCAGAGTCCCAGACGGGAACCAATTCCTTGTCACTTTCTTGCTCTAACAATAAGAGATTTTTCTATTTTCCTTTCAGTAAGGGGCATCATTCCAGTGCCCACCTTTATGCGGGAGACTTAGTTATACCTCTCTACTTCCTATACGCCCAAGATATGAATTCTGCCTCCAGGTGAAATTAAATTATTTTTCTAGTTTGTAGAGGCTATATCCATGACCATTATCCCTGGAACCACCATAGCATCATATTACAAGCTTATAACTAGAGCCCTAGGTTCCTACTTACATCTGGCACCTGGGAAATTATCTTTTTTATTTAATGTCATCTATGTGTCCATAGCAGGAAAAGGGTCTCCATTATCTTATTTCACTGTGCAAAAGGCATGAATCCTCCATCTTTACAATAATATGAATAAATCTATTAAGTACAACATGCATACTATAGGCCAAAAGATAAAGATGTCATACAAAAAATGGAAAATAACTGAAATTTTAAAATTCAAGGATGGGCCAGACACATTGGCTCATGCCTGTAATCCCAGAAATTTGGGATGCCAAGGTGAGTGGATCACTGAGGTCAGGAGTTCAAGACCAGCCTGGCCAAAATAGTGAAACCCCGTCTTTACTAAAAAATACAAAAATTAGCCAGGCTTGGTGGTATATGCCTGGATTCTCAGCTACTTACAACGCTGAGGCACAAGAATCGCGTGAACCCAGGAGGCAGAGACTGCTGTGAGCCGAGATCGCACCACTGCACTCCAGCCTGGGTGACAGAGCAAGACTCTGTCTCAAAAAACAAAACAAAACAAAAAAACATAAAATAAAATTACAAGATGGAAAATCTGTTTACTAGTGAATTTTCTCTAGAAAGAGAGAAAAGCCTTGGTCTCTCTAATGCAAGGAAATGGCATATTTCTCCCAGGTTGAATAAAAAGCAGGAATAACACTCAAGGATTCCTCCCTTGTACGGACAGAGGTCTTGGAATAACACACAAATAGCTATTTGACATCTGGACATGACTACCTCAAAGACACTTCATTCTCCATTTGTTTGCAACCTACTCACGGCCTTTTCTCCCAAATCTGTTTGTATTTCAAGGTTCCCTATTCCCATTCCCACTATTTATTCAGTTACACAAATCAAATCTACTGTTCTCCATAATTCCTCTGCCTTCCCTTCCCTCATATCAAATTCATTGCCAAGTACTCTCTAATTTACCAAACAAATTCCTCTGCAAATACATCTGTTTTTCTCCATCTCCACTCCCACTCTCCTAGTCCACATTACTATACTATGTTGTCTGAGTTACTAAAATGGCATAATCCTAAATGGCTTCCCCATGTCTACTCATGTTTCCCTCCAAAATTTTTTCCACCCTGTAGCTAGAGGGAAGTTCTAAAATTCGTAACTGATCATCTTATACACACATGCACATGTGTGTGCACATCTATACACACTGCTTAAAACATTTCACAGTAGCCTTCTACTGTTCTGAGGATTAAAAAGCAACATCCTTAACACAGCTGCCAAGGCCTTGCAAACTCTGTTTCTGTCTGCCTCTCAGGTTTTCAGGTCCTTGGTCATATGGACGTACTTATATTTCTGCAAACGTGCCAGGTTTCCACCTTCCATAGAACTTTTACACATGCTACTGCCTGTCCTGGGAAGGTTTTCTCCCCACTCTATTTCTAACTAATTCTTAGTCCTCCTTCACATAGCAGTCCATTAGTCACTTTAAAAAATCATTTTTAAGTTAAATTTATTTTTGACAGAAACATCAGAAGACTAGCAGATACGGAAAACCAGCATCGCTCACCACAAACTATGAAAGTAAATACCTAACTCTTACAGTAAGTTCTGTCCATCTGAGGGTCACCTGAATCCATCCTGTGTACCTCCACGGTACCATGTGGGGAGACAGTACTGATTGGAAGTCAGGAGGCTCAGCTTCTGAAGATTTGTGTGTCCTTAGGAATGTCATTGAGAAACCCCTGGCTTCACTCAACTGTACAATGAGCTGGCTGACCTCTCTCTAAAGAGCCCTGCTGGCCCACTGATCTGATGAAAGCTCTCTTTGTTCTGCTGACTATTCACATTGTTCCTGGAAGAATTTGGCTCCAGATGAAGAGAGAGGGACACTGTGCCCAGACTCTAGGAATAGTGGTGAGGATTATTTTCTGGTGATTCCAAGAGCAGATGAGATTAGGGGTTCCTGCCATGAGTGTTTTAAAAGAATTCTGAATTATTAAGTGGGTCCTTTTCCCCATCATAATGTTTTGAAAAATGCCTCCCTCACTGCCTCCTTCATCAGTCACTTTTTAAGGAACACTTCCTCTGGACGCTTCATAACTATATCATATACACCCCTATTAAATGACCTTTTTACAGCTGAAATTTTGCATTTCATTATATGATTTTTTTTAAAATAAATATTTTCCTCTCCCAATAGTTTCTAAGCTTCTGAGACCGAGGAAGTACTTGTTTTTGCTAATTAATATATTTTAGAGTGCCAGGCACATTTGTAATTTGTTGAATAAATATGAATAAATGAACAATAATACATGAGCAAGTGAATAAATGAGTGCATGAATGAATGGTCTTCTCAAGTCATATGGTTTTGAGGAGTTAAATAGCTTTAACTTCTCCCTGAAAAAAGAAATGAGGCAGTCCTTGGTTTTGCTGAGAGACGTAAAGGCTATATTCCCAGCACATAAGTCACAACAGAGAACCCAGGCTTCTAGAGAACAGGGAAGCAAGATGGTAACATCCACATCCACACTGATGAGGATGACTGGCAGAAATGCCCATGCACGAGCAATAGCAGTGTGCTGTCTGTACCAGGGAGAAAATGTGCCTAATATTTGAATAGGATTTTTAGAGATTCATGTTCGTCAGGGATCAGGTGTATTTTTCTCAGTTGATGAGTCCCCAGGGTTCTGGAATTCCCGGGATTGCACTAGCAGAGACTTAGCCAAAGACTGCATTTGCTTCCTTACTACACTGACTGCTTATACAAAGGTATATACTATATCAGTTTCATTTATTGAGTTGCACTTCAGAGCAGTAATTTCCAAATTAGGGTCAAGAAAGAGTGAAAGTGAATAAAACAGATAGGAGAGGTGAGACAGATGAGACTCCAGGACCTTTGCTTCAAAGTAGTCACAGTCTCATCTGTTTTATATTTTGAACTTTTATAGTTTGGTGTGTATCACTTCCAACAAAATGTATGCTCCATGAGAGCATAAATTGTTGTCTGTTTTGTTCAGTGCTATTTTACCAACACATTAAACAGTATCTGGTGCATTAAAAACATTAAATACAGTTTTTATTGAACTAATAATCAGGGCTTTATTTAAGAAAAGATTTCGCTATTTCTTAATGTTAAGTGTTCTTAATAAAAGTACTTTTCAGAAAATGTGGATTACCACTTCTTGAAGCATTTGTCTTCATCATTTTCATCCACCAATTTTTACAGTAAAAATCTTTTGCTGAACTCTTGTTCAGCAATCTGTACTGAATTCTTGTTCAGTACAGCAAAATACATAAACAAAATTCATGTATCCTCTCTGTGTTTAGAATACCAATGTCCCTTGCTTTTAGTTCCATCTGTTTAAATTGCTAAAGAAAATCATCTCCTCCTGTAAGGTCTAAGATATTGTCTTCTTAAACGTGAGTTTTGACATTTCCTACTAACTTTTAGAGTTGAATAACGTTGGTGATTTGCTTTCTGATATTTGTTTGAGTGCCTACATAAAATAATTTCATCTGAATACAACAATATGCTTCTTGTGCTAACGTGAGTAAGGCGAGCATTTTAAGAAGGCTTCTATTTAATAAAATACATATGGAACACCAATTTCACTTAATCTCCAATTCAATTTTATTGCCTTCACAGAATGCTGCTAGATCTTCCAAATATTGCTATCAAAGCCAAAAAAAATTTCCAAAGTTGGCTCACTAAATCTTTTGGATACTTCTGTGTCAGAGGAAGAAAAGGTGGTTGCAAGTCTGCTCAATTTTTATTACACTGCTAGAGGTAATGGCAATATTTAATGGATACAAAGTATATTCTCCTTTCCACTTAATAACAGAATTAGAATTTGAGTGATTAGTGAGTTTCTAATTTATAAATACCCATGTTCCAGTTTTATTTTCTCTTAACATAAAATTTCCAAGCATATAAAAATATTAAATAGCATTGAATATGATACTATTTGCTGAAGCTTAAGTTGATGATCCTAGACTATCCTTCTAAAAACCAAGATGTATAATTGCCTTGGTCAAATACTTAATAAATTCAATCAAATCAATAAATGGGTACACAAAATTCACAATTCACAATGAGCCAATAACTTAAATTACTGAAATATGTCTGCATAAGTAATTAAAAACAAAAAAGAAAGGATTGTGATGAGACAGTGGCAGCAGTAGGAGAATTTGGTGTTGTTATTTCTCTCTTTGGATGCTCCTGTACAAAAACAGAGTAAATGTGATTGAAAAAAACAGAGTAGAGCTCCTGACCTCAGGTGATCTGCCTGCCTTGGCCTCCCAAAGTGCTGGGATTACAGGCGTGAGCTACTGGATGCCTATATTGTTGATTAATACTTGATAACCAAGTTGAAAACATCTACAACAAAGCTAGGTGGAAAGGAATCACCAGGAATCCCAAAATACAAACAAAAGGAGACAAATCACCACTAGAGATGAGACGTAGTATCAATGACTTTGCAAAATGAAGCAGAAGACAAGGAGCTTGTAACAGGTCTGAGAGTCTGAGAACTATCAAAATGTCATCAGCTAGAGCAGTAGCAGGTAGGAGAGGACACTGAGGCTCCAATGGGCAGGCTAGAGCAAGGAGGCCTTGAGAAGTTCTGACGGATAGTCTGAGTCTGGACCCAATAACTTCCTAACACTAATAAACTGATATATCTGCCCAAGATAACACCCCTTCCGGTGAGAAACTACGAAGAATAAAGTTCAAACTAAGCATTATTGGAATTACCATGGCAAAAAATTAAAAGTAAAATCCAAATGAAAGGGGCAAAGTAGTAGAGAAGGAAGATTTCAGAAAATACAAGGCCATGTATGAATTTATCACAGTGGATAGGAATCCTAGAACTGTTCTGTTGATTATGTAATTTGAACTGTAGCTAGTCCAAATGGCGATGTGCTGTACTTATATATGTTTTTGAAAACTTAGTATGAAAAAAATATATATTGAATTAATCATTTCATATTGATTCATATAGAATATTATATTGTTTTTATACTGATAATATATATATATTCCCTTTAATAATTTATATGGACTTTATATTAGATAATCAATAATTCTAATAATTCATCATATACAGTTTTCTATGATGTTAAAATGATAATATTATAGATATATTAGGTTAAAACATTTTAAAATTAATTTTACCTATTTATTTTTCCTTTTTTCAATGTAGACACTCAAAAATTTTGTTATATACATATTTTATTCTAAAGCAATGCCCCATCAGGGACTTATTTTACTAAAAAGTGAGCAGCAGGAAAGGATGATAATTGAATCCAATATAATATTGTGAGAGAGAGACAGAGAGAGAATGAGGAGTACATAACTCCTCTACAGACAATAAATGTGCGCCCGTAAAACACAAATGCTCACAAATTAGTTTAGAGCTGCTAAGATGCTTTTTCAAAACTAGTTGGAAAAAAGCTAATTTAAAAAATCTATGAAAGAACATAAATCACAATATAAAATTCTTAGAAATGAAGTAATTTGAGAACAGAATTTGAAAAGAAGTGAAAAGAACAAAGGAAAGGCTTAGAAATATAAGAAATCAAATCATTATGGAAAAGAAGACTAAATTAGCAGTAAGAGAAATATAAGCAAACAAAGAAAAAAATGAGAGATGGGATGACAGCCCATAGAATACAAACAATATAAGAGATATCAATCAACGCAATGTATGGACAGCATTTGGGTAACAATACAAACATCACTTAAAAAACCATGTGGAATGTAAACACTGACAAAATATTTAACATTAAGGGGGGCTGATCACTATTGGGGTGATGATTAAAAGGAGAGTTCTTGTCATTTAGAGATACATATGGAAATATTCATAGGTGAAATGGCATGATATCAAAAAATTGCTTGGGAGAGTGAGTGGGAGTTTAGAGGAAACCAGTCTGGCCATGAGCTGATCATTGTAGAAGTGAGTGATGGGTGTATGGGTGTTTACTATACTCTTCTTATTCAAACGATGTCTGAAATTTTCCATAATAAAAGGTTAAAAAAATCTACTTCCATTATGGATTTTAAAACACTAAAAGAAAATAAAGGTGGCTCTATACGTTGCAAAACAAAGTCAAAATAAGGGCTCCTTTTCTGTAACATTAGGTACTAAAATGAGAATTGCAGGAGGCTTCACCATAGTTGGTCAGTTTTTCCATTGATGGAACATTCCAAATCTTTATAAACCATCTGCAGAGGAAGGATTTGGATAGATTTTCATTCCACTGTAATAACAAGACTTTTTTTGAGAAAGAATTTCAAAAAGAACAGCTTTTATTTTGATTCTATGCATACACTGGAAACTAATTAATAAAACACTTAAAGCAATTCTCATCCCAATTACAAAATGTAGACACATGAAATAATGTAAACAATGTCCAATTATTCTGATCATATATTACATATATATAACACAACCAAAATTATTACTTTGACAGCATCTTGGTTATATGGTTATGACATAATTTTTCCAACTACTTACTTTTTAGTAACCAGATAACCAAAGAAGAAATATTAGTAATGAAAAATTATCTTTTAATATTCAGCAATAAATATAGGAGGAAAGAGAGATGAATTAATCCAGAAAACAGTATTTTAAAAGGGAGTATTTTATTAGAGACACAAATAGTGAATTTCAAAGTTCTTGCTTTTTCTAGTTTGCTCCCATTCTTTCTAAATTTTCTTCTTTTCTACAAGTCTATTTTATATAATTATTTTATATAATTCCTAACATTGATGTTCTTGGTGTTATAAACTTTGGGTCAAATAGCATAGGTTGCTCCAATCTCTCTTTTCATTGCATCCCACCTCTATCCTAAAGACAGACTTCTGGCCACCAAATAATTCAAACTAGAAAAACAAGATTGGTAGAGGAAAGAAAGTAATATTTCAGAGTACACTTGGTCAGATCATATGCCTTGTCCACCCCTCATGGATGTTATAATGTTATGTATAGTTAGTCTTATTTGAGCAATCCTGTGGGGTATGTAAATATGTATCTAAATTTTACTGGCAAGGAGATTATAGAATAATGTTCTCTTGGTACTTCAGTTTAACTGAACAGACCTTTATCAAGCATTTACTATTTGTGAGGCAAAGCAGATGGTGCTGAGGATTCAGAGAACAGAATATTGTACCTGCCCTCAATTTGCTCACCATTTGCTGGAAAAGACAAACCAAAGAGGAACTGATAAAATATTAAATGATAAAATATTGATGATAAAATATTACATGAGAAGTCTTGAATGAACAAAGTGCTATGGAGAAGCAGAGCTGATTGCTGGTTTTGCAAGGATCAGGAAGACTCCTGCGGTGAGGTGAGACATCCATGTGGGCTAAGGAGAATGGTCATGGGGTCTCACAGCGGAAGGGGGAAATAACAGATCTAAGCAAAAAGAACACAATACTCCTCCCCAGTAAGGAAAATAATGAGTGAAAATAAACTACAACAGTCAAGGGCAAAAGTCCAAGAAGAAAAGTAGAAAGGAGTGACGGGATACAGAACACAAGAATACAGCTGAGGGGAAATAAAGATAAAAAAGATGGAGTCTCTTATGCTCATCTTACATGCATTTTGCACGGTCTGAGTTTTTAATCGAAGGTAAAATAAAAAACTCATTTGCACCGGTCCCTGGCTTCCTTAAGTGTGTTTAATCACCAAGTAATAAGCTTTTTTCATAACAAGTAATATCTCTCCATTCTTCCAAACATTATGGGAATTGTTAGAGTGTTACATGCTTAGGGACAAGACCAAAGTGCTCCTTCTTTAGTGCTTCTGCCACAGTGAACAATGCTTTCCTATGTGAAGCTTTGTACCTGCAATCCAGATGCCTTTCCTGTTACTACTGTGAGGTTTAACGGCATCTATATGCATTTTTATATTACAGGCTCTGAATAAGTTGAATGAGACAGACTGTGCCTCCTATCGGCTGACAGTTGTTTTTACCAACCTCTTAGACTTCAGGGCATTCTATAAAATGTTGGAGGAATGATGCAGTAGTGGAAAGAATTATTTCAATATTAGAACAAGTGCAGTTTTTGCTGCCAACTCAACTCCCTTAATTAAAATGGAAAGCAACAACAGTTGGCTGAGAAGCCAGGTGAGAACACTTTAGAGAAGACTGAGCCCCATTCGAGCCTCATGTGGATCTGGCAAAGAGAACAGTTCTGCTAGGATCCACATGTGCAGCTCTGGCTCTCAGAAAGCCACATATGCTCTCTAGAAGAGTCAATGGAAAAAGAGCAGAGTGACTGACAGCATTTGCATTCCTATTCTCTCTTGAAAACACACTGGGTTTCACAGGCCTGCTTCTATAGTTTGGCGTTTGGAGTCTTGGATGTTGTAATTTTTAAGCACTGTCACTGAGGACCAATCACAGAACTCATCAAGTGAAATATGCATTTCTGCATAATGAGATAGTAATGAAATAGAATCTGCATGTTTAATATTCTGGAGCTTTAAGGTACAATGATGTTGTCAGCTTGTTTTCAACTTGGTTATCAAATATTAATCAACAATATAGGCTGGGTACAGTAGCTCATGCCTATAATCCCAGTACTTTGGGAAGCTGAGGCAGATAGATCACCTGAGGTCGGAAGTTCGAGACCAGCCTGGGAAACATGGTGAAACCCTGTCTATACTAAAAATACAAAAATTGGCTGGGCTTGGTGGCACATGTCTGTAATGCCAGCTACTCGGGAGGCTGAGGCAGGAGAATCGCTTGAACCCAGGAGGCAGAGGTTGCAGTGAGCTGAGATCGCACCACTGCACTCCAGCCTGGGCGACAGAGTGAGACTCCATCTCAAAAAAGCAAAAACAATATGTTGATATTAGTTTGATTTCCCTTCTCTTCTCAGACAAGAAG
This sequence comes from Homo sapiens, assembly GCF_000001405.40. Taxonomy (NCBI): domain Eukaryota; kingdom Metazoa; phylum Chordata; class Mammalia; order Primates; family Hominidae; genus Homo; species Homo sapiens. The sequence continues at coordinate 12,923,347 of NC_000009.12, forward strand.
GTAGTGGTCAAAACTGCAGCCCCTGACCAAGCACAGTGTCCCCAAGGCCTGGTCCAGGCAATGGAGATGGCACTACCGTCCACAAGTGTCAGCATATAGTGCCAAGGTGTGTGTTCTCAGACTTGTCACTCTCCCAAGTGTGTGCTGATCAGAGTCAGGAAGACAACCTGCATTCCAGTTAAGGGTGGGTGGTGGTAGTGGTTAGTGGGTGTGGGGATAGCAAGCCAAACAAAACAGAAAGTCAAGACAGCTAAGGAACATTTGAAGCTGACAGTGGTGAGCAGAATCTGGAGACAATTTGGGGATGAAGAACAAATGTCTGAGTGTATGCAGTTTCTATGGTTATGCTCTGGATGCACTGAGAGATTATGCCTCCAAACAGTAAAAAATTTAGCTAACCATAATTTAAGCAAACATTCTCACATGACAAGAATTCTGGAAGTAGGCAGAATTCTGGCTTTGGTTTAGCTGCTCAGACATGGCAGAGCTCCAGGTCAATGTCTCTCATGGCCCTCTTGACATTCTTCTCATGGTTGCAGATTATTGCAGAAGCAAGTCACGTCATCACATAGCCATGTTCAAAGCCAAAGAACAAGATGATCCAGGGCAAAAAACTTATTATCAAGACAATCCCTCTAAAATCAGGAAGGGATAGAAAGCTTCCCAGAAAAGTACAACTCATCTACCAGATCAGGATGTAGGGTGGCCAACTTGACCTTATTTGCCTGGAACTTTACCAGTTTTAGCATTGGAAGTCCAAGGTGTGGTCAAAACAGATCGTTGGTCACTGTATTAGGGTCACATGGCTATCTTTGGTCCAGAGGCTTAGATCCCTTTTCCTGAAATTAAGGGCTTTCTACTCACTATCTTAATTGGTTTATCTTAACCACAGAGGAAAACATGTTTCTTTGATAGCCTAGGTTCTTTCAACCTTGACTGCGCTTTCGAATAATCTGGGGGAGCTTTTGTAAAAATGCTAAGGCATGGGCCCCAATCACCATGATTTTACCTTAATTAATATGAAATATTTCTTGAGTATCAGTACTTTTTAAAAGATACTCAAGTGATTCTAATGTATATCCAGGGATGAGAAACTACTAGAAAAGTCAAACAATAAGACCAACCATTGAACCAATGATTGAACCACTTGATAAAACATTCCTGGAGCAGACAATATAATTTGACATGATTGGCAAGATAATAAATCCTTAAATGAATGTAGTACTTCATTTTTGAGCATTTTTTCATATGCATTATCTTTATTGACATTCAAGGTTGGTGTTATTTCCATCTATAAATTAGAAAACGAAGCTTACTTTGTTTTTCCCTCCTTACCCACCCCACTCCTCCATTTGCTCATTGGGTTTCTCTATCATCATCACTACTTCTCCTGGCTGAGGGTGAATGAAAAGTTGCCCATGAACATGAGAATATAGGGTGTTAGAGATGAAGATGTAAGTTATAATGATATTAACAAAGCCACAGATGACTCTCCTTTTCCTAATCTTCTGGGCAGTAGAAATATGCCAATGCTTATAAATGGAGATAAAGGAAATTACATGAGTCTGGATCTCACATAGAGAGCTCGATTATATGTGGCAAAAGTGTGCCCACGGGGTCTTTAAAGTAAGAGTAATTGACAGTGATTTATCCAGAAATCCAGAAGACGATGAAGCCAGAGAGATAATCCATATAGTAGTTTACCAAAAGGCTATAGCTGGAAAGGTTCCAAGGATCAGATCTGAGAAATATGACTAGACTACAAATGGGATATCAACTACAATTTGGGATATAAAATGTGTGGTGGATCAGGGCAAGTGGTTAACATGTGCCAGTCACTATGCTAAACACCTTAAATACATTATTTCACTTAATTCTGAAAATGGTAGTAGAAATGTCACACGTAACTAGGAAAATAGAGGTTTAGAGAAGTAGAGAGAGCTAGTCAATGTCACATGACCAGTTCGTGGTGGAGCTAGGAGTCACATGCAGGCAGTTGACCCCATGATTCATAATTTTAACTACTATGACATCCACTGATGTTCTCAGTATTCAGAACATCAGAAACACTAGGGTATTGATGATATAGTACTATAAGGGGTTAATTGTGTGACCATTCAGTCAGCCTGAAGAAGCCAGGTATTACCAAGTGGTCAGCACTAGTTTTTGCATTTGTTAAAGTGAATGAGAGACAACTGAAAACTAGTCTATGTCTTCATGAGATGTTGGAAAGTAAACATTATGTGTAAGAGCCAACTAAAGTCACTTTTAAGTAATAAATTCCTATCACTTCCTGATGGTCTTAGACACTATTATTCAGCGTAACATCAGTAGAGATGTCCTGTTCTTCCATCCACAGAGAGGAGGATTTCTGCTGTACCACTGAGCTGTAATACTGGTAAGGGTAAAGGAAGATGGAGGCATCATTGGAAGGATCAAAGGGCAACTACCTTGATTTAGAGGAGAAAATGAAGCTGGGAGAAATGACTGTTCGATGTGCTAAAATCAGGCTCTCTTTTAGGCTCTAGAGAAAAACATTTAAAGGGAGCTCAAAGATTTTACATAGACTAGTTTGGTTTTCCAAGATAGACATGCCAAGATTTGGAACAGAAAATCCAATAGGATTGTCTTAAATTTTGCCTTTGGTTTGGGGAAAGATGTGTCACTAGTCATATTCTAAGTTACTGTTACAATGAGAAGATGTAAGGGTGATTGCTTTAAGGGTGGCTTTTCAGCTAAGGGTGTGGTATACATACTTTTGACCAAACCAACTCTGATTTCTTATTCTGACTCTATTAGCTTGCTTACGACTATTGGGCCAGCCACTTAACGATTTTGTTCTTCAGCTTTCTCATTGTAAAATAAATGTATCAGATATGACCCTTAATTATTTCACACTCTATAAACTATATGTGATATGTCTTCCTACTCAATAAGCATCTTGACAGTATATAAAGCTTTAAGTGCTAGACAACTAACCATTGGACAAAAACAAATAATAGCTGTGCAGTATTTAGAAACTGATCTAAGTGAAAGACGACACAATTGCAAATCCAACACAACTCTTCTCAACACACAGACACATACACATACTCTCCTAATGAATATTTAAAGATCTCCAAATAATAGATCAGAAAATGTATTACTTCTCCACATTTTTTCACTTATTACTCTGAAAAAAATAAGTGGAAAGTGAAACTTCATAATAAATTGGGGTTTAAAATTGAGACCAACATCATTAGGGTAAAATGTGAGCACAGCATATATTCAGAATCTAATCCAGTAGTGATTCTCAGATGTGTTAAAATAAAAACTTCAGCTAAATTAAATTTAAAGGAGTTTGAGCAATGAAGGATTCGCAATTCGGGCAGCCCCCAGAATCACAGCAGATTCAGAGAGATTCCAGGGATGTCTCCTATTCAGAAAAAATTTACACACAAGAAAAGGGAAGTGATGTACAGAAATTGGTAGTGAGGTACAGAAACAGCTGGATTGGTTACAGTTTGGCATTTGCCATGTTTGAACACAGTTTGAACATTCAGCAGTGTATGACTGGTAGAAGTATGGCTGCTGGGATTGGTCAAGACTCGGCTACCGTTACAGGTGCATACTCCTAAGTTAGGTTTTCAGTCTTGTCTGCCTCTTAAGTTAGGTGACAGTCCATCCACAAGTACCCAAATACAGAAGTATGGAGTCCTTCTCAGGCCATTTTTAGTTCACTTTAACAAATGGGTGGCTTGCAAACCAAAAATAAAATTCTAAGCGCCCCCACCAACCATCTGAGTGGACTTTCTCCTCAGCCAGGATTCTTTTAAAATTTAACCTGAGAGACTGGTGTAGGCCATGATGGGAAGCAGGGGTTGGACATACCTCACTGTACCTCTCCAACATCAACGCAGACCTTTAAGTCTGATAAGAAGCATTTACAATCTATTCTCCCTGAAGCCTGCTACCTGGAGGCTTCATCTGCATGACTAAACTTTAGTCTCCACAACCTCTTATCGCAACCCAGACATTTTTCTTTCTATTGATGCCAGGCCTTTAGATAAACTCAATCAATTGTCAACCCAAATATTTGAAATCTACCTATATCGAAAAGCCCCCACTTCAAGTTCTCTTGCCTTTTTGGACCAAACCAATGTTATTTCTTAAATGTATTTGATTGAAGCCTCATGACTCCCTAAAAAGTAGAAAACAAGGCTGCACCCTGACCACGTTGGGCACATGTTCTCAGGATCTCCTGAGGGCTGTGTCATGAGCCATGGTCACTCATATTTGGCTCAGAATAAATCTCATCAAATATTTTACAGAACTTGACTCTTTTTACCAACAGGTCACATGAATATGAATTGATTGATTTCTGAAAAAGATTTCTGTCTTTATGTTTGCAGCTTCAGTGTGAAGTACAGTCTTGGCAATCTTCCTGATGGTTCTGGGTCTTGTTATGGGCATCTACTTAGCCCATTGAAGGGAGCCAAAGTAGCCCAGGTCCTGAATGAGTCCTCATTCTCACCCATATGGGTGTCACCAGGGTATAGAACCAAGTGGTGCAGCTGCTGCATAGGACTGAGCCTGGGCTAAAGGAGAGGACTCTTCTCCTTGAGGCCTTTCACCTACTGCAATGTCCGATAGTATAGGCACTAGCCACACAGAGCTCTTTAAATTTCAATTCTAGTTATTTAAATAAATTTAAAGATAAATTTAAAATTCAGCTAGTCAGTCACACCACATTTCGTATGACTAGTGGCTATCTTATTGGACAACACAGATATAGAACATTTCTATCATTGCACAAAGTTCTATTGGCAGTAATTCCCATTAGTACTAGATGCCAGGGTGGAAATTATCCTGTTATTTTTCTGGGTTTGAAAGGATAGATCTGGGTTTTATTAAGGAGGCCAAGTGGCATTTCAGGAACTGTGGCAGGTGCCTCCTCACCAGATCCTACCCCAAAACTCAGGTCTCTGCATTCTGTTGGAGGCCCAGGAAGGAACTAATTACCATGCAAATGTTGTTGTTTGGCCAGTGTGAGAGTTTCTAATGGCAATGACAGGACAAGCTAGTTTTCCTCTGAAGATATTCCTGCTCTACCAATTCACTCTTTGCTAGATAACAGACATTTGTGGCAGAATAATTTACCAAGCAGTTTTTGCTCTGCCTACCTCTTACCAGAGGAAACAAAAAGAAAGATGAAAAAATAACTTTGTCCTTACCTTTCCAAAAGTTCCCAGCTTCTGGTATTTCTCTCAGGGGTTAACAGCTTTTGTGCAACCTGGCCCAGCACAGAGGCTGCTAGATATCTGTTGTCCAACATCATCAGGGCTCATTAATCAAAGGGAATTTAGCTGTGTACTTCTTAGGGGGAGGATAGAGGGACTGGGTTGAAAGAGGGGGTTGCCCAAATGTAGCAATGACTCCTAAAATTTAAGAAAAGGGATGTGGTGATGGGTTCCATAAGGGGCTGGGACCTTTGTGGAAGTCCCAGTAAGGCAGTAGGACTTATGACAGAGGGTGCTGCTGTGCTTTCAGAGGTGGGGAGTGGCTAAACATCCAGCATCATAGTCTTGGGACTGGCAGCAAAAGATGCCATGGCCCACATTGGCAGAGGCTGTGTCATCAGCTGCCTTTGAATGGACCATCTTCTCATATATATAGTGTGTATCCTACTGGCAAACTTGGAGGTTCAAAGACTGGAGGCTGTTTCCTAAGGTTTTTTTGTGTGTGTTGTTGTTGTTTTTGTTTGTTCGTTTGTTTTTCCCTATGAGAATGTACATCACACTAACAAGGGAAAAGAGTCCTCAGCAGTAAATGATATTAGGTATCTTCCCTTAAAAATGGGGGGATGAGACACAGATTTAATTTAATTTATAAAAATTAAACATCATCAGCCGGGCGCGGTGGCTCATACCTGTAATCCCAGCACTATGGGAGGCTGAGGTGAGCAGATCACCTGAGGTGTTCAAGAGTTTGAGACCAGCCTGACCAACGTGGCAAAACCCCATCTCTACTAAAAATACAAAAATAACCAGGAGTGGTGGCACATGCCTATAATCCTAGCTACTTGGGAGGCTGAGGCAGGAGAATCGTTTGAACCTCGGAGGCGGGGGTTGTGGTGAGCTGAGATTGCGCCATTGCACTCCAGCCTGGGCAACAAAAGTGAAACTCTGTCTCAAAAAAAAAAAAAAAATTAAATATCGTGTTATTTGCATCTCAGATTTGTGAATCAAATTTATTTTTACACAGATTACTCCATGTAATATCTGCAAATGTTTTAACTATTTATTGTAGGTAAGTAGTTATCATCTTTTTTAGAAGGGAAACTGAGGCACAGTGAAATACACACCCCCCACACACACTGAGTACACTAACTCAGAGGTAGGTATGATAGACAGAAGACCTGTTTGTATTTCAAGGAATTATTTGAGTGCGAGTAACAAAAAAAAAATCTAACTGGTTTAAACCAAAAGGAAATAATTGACTGATGTAAACTGAAAGTTCTGGAAATAGGGCTGGTTTCTGGTAGTGGGACTCAAATTATATTATCAGAATTCAGTTCCTCTCTACTTCTAGACTCTCTGTCTTCTGTTCTGACTTTATTCTCAGATTTTGTGCAGGGGCAGGATGGCTGCCAGCAAGTTCAGGGCTATCATTTCCCAGGTTTGACTGCAGCTGAAAATGTGGCTCCCCTCTCATGACCCTCCCACTGGTCTCATTGTGCCTTGTTGGCTCCGGTTGGGTCCCAGAACCAATCACTCTGGCTAGGGCAATAGAATGCTCCTTTTGGCCATGGCTGAATCACCCAGACACTGTTGGGGTTTGGGTGTGGGAGAGGACACTGTTGGGGTTCGGGTGTGGGAGAGGACACCTGCACCTGCACAGGGACTGAGGCTGAAAAGGAAAATAGAAGCACTCTTCCAGAAGGGTGAAGAAATGCCGATAGTCCAAATCAAAGTGATAACAAAGAAGATGTTCAGTTCAGCCTTCTCTCATAGCCTACTTCTTGCCTTCTAGCCTAGAGCCACCTGATTGTCCCTTGAAGCTCTGAAATTTAAATTGAAGGATAAATATAAATTGTGTGAAGGAAGGCCCTTTACAGTAAACTGAATAATGCCCCCCACCCCGACCCCAAATATCCAGGCCCTAATCCCTGGAGCCTGTGATTATTTCCTTATATGGTTAAAAAAAAAAAAAAAAAAAAAAAAAAAAAAGCACTTTGCTGCTATGATTCACGTAAGGATCTTGGGATGGGAGATTATCCTGAGTTGTTACCCTAAATGCAATCTCATGTCCTTGTAAAAGGGACTTGAATCCATAAGACTTTCAGGTGAGGGAGGCCCAATTCTAAATCCTCCCTAAGGCTGCCATTTTCTCCTCAGTCACCTTCTATCAGAAATTGATTCTTTCCCTGAATTGTCAAGCTCCTTAGAGGAAACCTTCAACAGATCAAGAAAATAAGATGGTTGTAAAAAATGTAGTCTCTGCCCTGGATCATCCTCAATCTGCCCGCTCACCTACGAGAGAGGAAGAATAGAAACCCCTGGAATGGGCCCTCTCTGAAAGTGTCTGTGTTTGGACACTCTCTCTCTCAGACTGGGGAGAGGGAACAGACTTTTCAGGTCCCATCACGGTTGACAAAACACAGCACAGCGGGACAATGTGCTGTGGGAGCAATAAAGGCAGTTCAGAGCTGCCTACGAGTCAAGCAGGAAATGAGTCCAGGAATGACAGTGAGAGTTATGCCCCCAGGAGACACTGGCAGTAGAGTGGCAATGTTCCCAGAGGATAAGGATGTGAGAGATGAAATTAAGAATTCACTCAAGGGTCAAAGGGTCAAGGGAGATAGTCAAGACTGAGTAGTTCCCAGCTCTGCAATCATGATCAAGAGACATCCTGAGAACTAGGGAATCAGGAAACTCCCAAAATCGAAATGGAAATCTGAAATGGTCTAGTGGCTCAAGAGTTCAAAGAATGCTCCCTTTCACCAAGAGCATTGGTTACAAGATCCAGAGAAACTCTCGCTTACAGGACATCTTGCTGGGGAGTTCAAGCCGCCATTGGATTCACTGCACAGCCAGCCACTGGGTTGTACTTTTGAAGAGCCCTTTGATTCGAATAGCTTTGCTCCCAGTGTCTTTGAGTCCCATTTTCAGACTGCTCACGGGGGACTTGACAGTTTCTCAGGTGTCATATGCCCACAGGGTGAACTGCAGAAACATTAATACACATCCTGGATTCCTCCATTTCAGGTCCCAGTGGAGAACAAAGAAAATAATTTAGACCAAAGTGAAGAAAAGCCACTAAGAGACGCAAATCAGATGAACATCAAGGAACAGATGCAGGATTGAGGCCCTCCTGCCCCAGACACCTGACACAGAAGGAACAGGCTTCTTTGAAAAGAAATTCTGAGAAGGAATGAGGCAGGTAGTTCAGTGATTTTGTTGCAGAAATAAAATCAAAGTGCAGGAAGGTTTTCTGTGCAAAGCAAGCTCAGATGAAAGCAGAGCTCTCTTGATGCAGCAGCACGTGGCAATCCTGGGGCTGCTCCATCAAGGATTAGATGTGGACTTCATGCGCAGGAGAAAAGTCAGTTCAAGGAGGACTTGCAGGCCCAGGCGGAGCCTGTAACTGGACATTCCCGTAATTAGAGGACCTCTCCCACCTGAGCAAAGCCAGGACATAGGTTTGCCCCATTGCTCTAGAGAGAGACAGTCTCTATCTCCCGAGACTATTTGCTATACAGACATCCTTGGAAAGACAATCAGAACAAAGGCAGTCCCTGTCTCTGCATGTAAGACAGGCAGAAACATGAGACACCCGTTGAAAGCTGTCCCCCAACAATAGTAACAAGGAGGAATAAATCTTTCTTTATCTTATTTTTCTTTTAACTTATTTCTATCCATGATACTTCACTTTTGTTATCTAAACAGTAGAATTAGAAGTAATTCTCAGGGTTTGGGACTGATTTCATTATACAGATTTATTAATGGACCTCAAATTTTCTCTTTCAATGAATATTCTTTTGATTATTATTGATATTGAACACTTTTAATTGATTTAAGAATTATATTTCACCTTGCTCCTGTCCTTGATCATTTATCTGTTACACTCTGGGGCTAAAATTGTGCTACTTGGTCTTAGAGCTACAATTTTAACCCTCAAAGTGAGGTTCTAGTGCTGTTCAAAGCTGCTGAGCCTGGGTCTGAGTAATCTCGCAGAAGGGCTCTGCTCTGCCTAGTAATTCCCAATTCTTTCACTTATCTGAAATTCAAAGGTTCACCTTTCTTTGTCTAATTTAGAGCAAGAATAAACTGGTTATAAAAAGTCACATAAATCCAAATGCCAATAAAGATGGAATAACTACACATTTTTTACAAAGATAGCTAAGGATCAAAGGAAGGAAAATTTTTCTGTGATTTAAAAACTTATATAGACTGACCAAGAATATGCAGTGAAATTTCTAAAAAGATAGGTAAGCTTACTGAGCAGACCTTTCCTTCACAATAATAGAGCTAAGTTTATATTTTACAAATAAATGTATTATATGGAAAATATTCATGGTGATTATGAATTTATGTTATATAGTTCTGGTGTTGGAGTATGATTTAGATAAAAAAATTTTCCTTTCCTTTATTTACATGGTTTAAAAACACAAACAACATAATAAAAAAAGACTTCCTCCAATCCTGTCTCTATCCACTCTATAAATATTTGTATTAGTTTCTTGTGCATCTTTCCCAAGCAAATCAAACATACATTCTGATTCATCTTCCTTCCTTCCATAAAAATCATATACATTGTTCTGCCCTTGCTTTTTTCACTTAAAATTATATTTTGAGATTGTTCCATATCAGAATATAGTACTTTCTCATTATTTATTACACTTTATATAATTATTTAACCTAAACCCTTTTAATGGTCATTTGTGTCATTTCCCATTTTATTCTGTTTTGAATAGCATTGTAACAAATAGTCTGTTAAATCTGTCCTTTCATGTATGTGCTACATAAATTCTCAGATGGGATGGCTGGGTCAAAGGATACATAGTTTGCAATTTGAATAAATTTACCAGATTGCAGTATATAGAACTTGTAATACTTCGCACAACCCCAGCAGTGTCTGAGAAATCTGCTCAATTGGCCTAAATTTCAAAGTGTTTTCAGCAAGGCTAGTGGAAAGTTCTCTAATATTGTTATTCACCATGTTGACCAAATGTTTTAAAGAGAGAGCCATCTACATTTATATAGAACTGTAACATTGATTTAAAGTGCCAGAATGTATTACTGAGAAATGTGTAGCCCTGAAAAGATAAAGTTGTGCATTTCTGGAAAGTTGAAGAAAATAGAGAATATTTATACACTATAGGAAATCATCAGAGATCTACTAAATTATTAACAAAGATTTTATCATCATAGCTCTAGATAATAATCTTCTATGTGTCAGTAACCGAAATTACAGGTCATTTTCTTAAATTGGCATCAATCGTTGAGAAGAAAACGTTCAACATATTTATACACCTAACTAGAAACTGTTAAAAAAATACCAGTCATAAACCCAAAGGAAGACAGTTTCCTATTTAAAGTAGGTTCCTATTTATTTAGAATAGCGTAGTAGTTAAGACAACAGGGTTTAAATTTAAGCCATCCTGAATTTGAATCCCAGTGCTGTTACCTAATATGGTCAATTTGTTTACAACTTTGCCTTTCTTCTCCATCCTTGCCATGCTCTGGTGTGGGCAGAGAATATTTCCCTGATGGATTGACTTTGGGCTTGGCCTGTGACTCGCTATGACTCCGGAATGTAAGTGGAAGTGACAATTGCCAGTTTCCCTTATGTAATTCTCCTCTTCCTTTGAGCTTCTTCCTTTCTCCAGGAGAGCAACATTCCTCAAACAGTGAATGCTTCTTCAGTCTTTTTCCCAGAAGGAAAAGACACAGAGAAGACTTGAATCCAACTAGCAACCTAGAGCCAAGCCCAGCTGAACCCAGAGAAGCACAACTTACCAGAGAAGCCCAGCCAAGCAAAAGTTTGTCCTCAGATTTGTGAGCAAGAAATAAGCAATGTGGCAACCTCTGAAATTTTCAGATTGTTTTTCCTGCATCTAACTGTGTATCTTTAGAAAAGATCCTCAAACTCTTTACGCTACAATTTTCTTATCTATAAGATGAAAATCATAATGGGAACACATAACCTATAGAGTTGTTAGGATTAAAAGGAATAATGCAGGTAAAGTGGAATCTTGCATGTTGTAAATGACTAAAAAATGATCAACAGTAACAATCCCTGGTTAGATCACAAGCTCAGTGAGAACACAGGCTTTGTCCTGTTCACTCTGCACAGTTCCTGGCACAAGTTGGTGCTTAATTAACATTTGAATGAGTAAGTGAACATATTAGTGAAGTGCACTTGCTCTGTTTCAAAGAAACACTTTGTTTTCAAATGTGTGGACATACTTTCAGTCATGGATTAATTTGAATGAAACCTTGTAAAAATGGGAAATAGAGTCACTAGCAAACAGTGCACGCTCTGAGAACAGCATTGATAAAACTACTCGTGAACTGCATGGCATGTTGGAAAGAGCACACATTTTGTAGTTTTTTTTTTTTTTTTTTTTTTTTTTTGAGACAGGGTTTCTCTCTGTTGCCCAGGCTGGAGTGCAGTGGTGCGATCTCAGCTCACTGCAGCCTCCACCTCCTGGGCTCAAGGGATTTTCCCGTCTCTGCCTCCAGAGCAGCTGAGACTACAGACATGTGTCACCATGCCAGGCTAATTTTTGTATTTTTTTTGTACAGACAGGGTTGCGCCACGTTGCCCAGGCTGGTAAATTTTGTAGTCTTAAACCTTGTGTTGAACCAGAGCTTGCCACTTATGACTCATGTCACTTAGATTAATTACTGGGAATTATAGTTGCCATATTTTAAAATAAGGATGATAGTTGCCCTATAGGTTTATTAAAAGAGTCAAAAAATAGTGTATACAAGTTTCTGGGTTCCATTAATGGTGTAAAACATCTTAGCTTTCCCCTTTCTTGAAATATACTTGTGACAGAGAAAGTAATGGGAATGCTTTGGAAGACAGCAATATAGATGTTATATTATTCCTTAAATCTCAATTCTCAAAGACTTAGGCTACATACACTATTTTAGCATCTCCCTAATCCACTTAAGTGAAATGAAGTTCTTATTTAAAATTCACTTTAATGTTGCCTCTTAAACTTTATTTAGAGGTTTTTTACATAATGTACTTAAACTAAAAATGCACTTTTAATTACAGGGAGGTTTTAAGGACAATAGTAATTGCAAGGAAAAGATTTAATTTAGATCCTGAATGTTCAAAACTCTCCAGAGAACAAAATATGGCTAAATATTTTTATACTATATATATATGTTTTAACAATTTGTATGAGCTCTTCTGTGAAAATAGTAATTGCTTCTTCTGAATTTGCCTCGTTGGGATGCCATTGGCCTACACTGAGCAGCCCTATCGGAAACAGACCTGTGAGACTCATAGCTGTGCTTGTTGAAAGGAAATTACTGAGACATTGTTCAAGTATATTGTAGGGTGTCCTCCTGATAGTGAACCCTTGGGAGAAATTCCTTTCTGGTCTTGGCAAGAACATGTGTGCTCTTGCATAGTTAGTTTGCTTTTAAACTACAAAAACTGGAAATTGAGTAACTGACCAGGTTTTCCTCATTACATCAACTGCTAGAAACCTAAAGTTCAGTTTGTGGCCTACCTAAAAAAAGCAGTTATATCATCAACACTCAATGGTAAATGCAAAGGACTCTGGTATTTAGTTTTATAATAGCGTTAGGCCTTGGTCATATACCTCTCTCCTTAAACTTTTCTTTTTTGCCTTCTTTTAGACCATATAGAGGGAACTTTTTTCTCATGTTTGTTTGTTTATCTGTTTACAAAATTTAGATTATACTATCTAAACCTGTTGGCCTGAAATTTTTTCCCACTGAAATTTATTTTAGATACATATTTTCAAGTCAATACCTAAAGATCTAACATACTATTTTTAGAAATTTCTAAACAGATGTTCTATTATCATTATAATGCATTATAGTTTGTTTAGTCATTTCTCCACTGATTGGCATTCACTAGAGTCCCAGTTTGACCACATTATTATACAATACATATCCTGTTCATAGATAGTGGCATCCTCATATAACTTTATCCCAGAGACCTTATTCTCCAAAATCTTACTTACTGCTATTTTATGTCATTTGATTATTTTATATCTTTTTTAGTTACTTAATATATTTTTTCAGAACAAGTTAAAGCATAATTCAACTAATTACATATATTAAAGCTTACTATGTATGCCATTAAACCTTTCCGTCTTATCCTTTCTGACTTCTTCAAAATTTAGAGTAATCAGCCTTCCACAGACTTGATATTCAAATGCACTTTCTCATTTTAACATGATTGATTTTTAAATGTTTATCTTTACTTCTGTGTTATTCTGGGACAGAAATTAAATTTAAATTATATTTACCAGTTTTTCCCAAAGTACTTAATAAACCTTGTCTTCTTGTCTACTGCCATTGCCAATACTTTAGTTAGACAACATTTACTTAAGGCAGCCAGACCCTGTAAATAGCTGTCTTGACTAAATCCATTCAATCCATCCTCTTTCTGTGTATTATATTTGGCTTTCATTCGAATTCATTCCTTTATTAATATCTATATTTAGAACTTACATTGACTATTCCATATATATTCAGTTTCTATTTTGTGAAGACATTGGCTAGGTACAAGAGATGTATTAGGGAACATATAGATATGGTCCCCGCCCATATAGATCTTAAAGTTGTTTGGGAAAGACAGACATTAATTAAGTGCATATACAAGTATACAATTATAACTAAAATATAAATAAAATTTACCTGTGATCTCTCTTTCCCACATAACCTCTTAGAAATATATGTTTTTCAATTATTTGAAAATTTAGTAATTATAGATTTGGTTGAGGAAAGGGCTATTTGAAATGAAAAAAACACATTGAGAAATGAAAAGAAGACAGGATTCAAGTGTTAAAAATACAAGACACTACAGCTATATGGGGAGCACTACACTATTACGTTGAATAATAGTGGTATAAGTAGCAACAGCATTCCCAGCTCTGTCTATGTGCCAGGCGATGTTTTTAGTGCCGTACATGTATTGATACATTTATTCCTCTCAACAATCACTCTTCAGAAAAAAGGGCTGTGTGAATCCACAGTACTGAATAAAGCTTGAGGGCAACTGAAATGATAAATAAAAAATGTCCTATGGAATTATGAAGCAAACAATGAGGACGCAATCTTAACACAAAACACTTCAGCTGTGTATTGGAGCAGAAGCTAGGTGAGAGACTCCATAATGGTTTCTTCTAGGTCTTGGCATTTGTTTGATAGTAAAGATCTCAAGAGAAGCTACTACTAAATAGATTACATTGCAAGTCGTGCTCATAATAGAAATCGATTATGAAACTAAATGACATATTTGGCCCTTATTGCTAAAAAACCTTGATTTTACTAATAAAAGTAATACTCTTGGTAGTAAAATAATAGTTAAGGCCAGGCGCCGTGGCTCACACCTGTAACTCCAGCACTTTGGGAGGCCAAGGCAGGTGGATCACCTGAGGTCAGGAGTTCGAGACCAGCCTGGCCAACGTGGTGAAAACCCATCTCTACTAGAAATACAAAAATTAGCTGGGCATGGTGGTGCACGCCTGTAATTCCAGCTACTCAGGAGTCTGGGGCAGTAGAACCACTTGAGCCTAGGAGGCGGAGGTTGCAGTGAGCCGAGATTGCATCAGGGCACTCCAGCCTGAATGACAGAGTGAGACTCTGTCTCAAAAAATAAAATAACATAAAATAAAGTGATAGTAGAATGAAATTAGTAGGATACAAATATAATAGAGAAGAGGATAGATAAGTTAAAATGGTAATGTCATTAATAAAAACATATGTGATACTACAATCATTATATTTGATTGATAAATGCAGGTACTAGCTACATACCTTATAAAAATAAGAATTTATCCGGGAGGCTGAGGCAGGAGAATGGCGTGAACCCAGGAGGCAGAGTTTGCAGTGAGCCGAGATCGCGCCACTGCACTCCAGCCTGGGCGACAGAGTGAGACTCTGTCTCAAAAAAATAAAAAATAATAAATAAATAAATAAATAAATAAATAAGAATTTACCTTTAATTTGTCATAGTATGAAAGACAGAGATCTGTATAGTTATCACATAAACAGAATAGTTCTATTCAAATAATAAACTGCAAAGATTCTGTAATCTTTTCGGACAAGATTTTATCTGAGAAATAGTGATAATTCTGCTCCCAGGATTCTTGAGAAATCCTGTGTCTCACAGTAAATTTTTGTTTGTCAAACTGAATTTGACTTTAGTTATCAAATACAACAAACCACTACAGTACATTTGTTGTTCTGTCTGACTTCCAGGGCCTTTGAGTCACATAATTGACAAGTACAAGGAAATAACAACTCTAAATTTATTTTATTGTCACTGAATAAACTATATTATGTTGATAAATAAGTGAATGAAAGATTCTGATTATTTTCTTGTTTCCCTACTCCATATTAAGAATTTAAGTGATCACTGCAATAAACCTTGAATAAGTCATAATTGACAAAAAATGTGAGTTATTTTTCAAAAAAATTATCTACATTATAATTTCATGAAGGAATTCTAATAGTAATTTATTTCAGTTCCCTGTGTAGTGAAAAATGAGGTTGTAAACTCAAAACTGAGTGAGATTTATGAATAGCTCAATTGTGCTTGAAGATAAAACTAGATCACTAATTTTCTAGGAGTTCTAAGTTGACAGAATTACAGCACTCTTTTCATATTGCCTAACTTTGATGTTGTCCTTTATTTATTTTCTTTTTTCTTGATGTGATTATTTATTGTCCAGGTGTTTGAAGCTATTACTAACTTGAGATTTACAGTTCCAACAGATGGTTGAAAAGAAAAAGATGGATTCAACACTCCTATAATTGTTGTCTTACAGTTCTTTTTAAAACTATATAACTGAAGCTACTCTATCAATGCCTATCTTTGGTACATATCATCTATCTAAAAGTATCTATAACCACAGTGAATCCATTATTTGCAACTTCTGGCACTTAAGACCATTTTGAAGGTCAATCTGATGTCTCTTTCAAGCCCGATTTCTCACTGCTCCCATGTTTGTGTGTTGCCCTGCAGTTAAGTGAAAAACTCACTATTCTCTGGCCTCATTTCACACTTTCCTCCTTACATGGCTTTTGTTCATTCAGCCAATATTCATTTATTGAGTACCAAGAATTATGCTAGCCGCTTTAGCTGCAGTATGAAGCAAGATATTAACAATTATAGTCATTTATCTTAGTGAATCTTTCAAATGAGAAAGTAGGGAATATAACATAATGTGATTTTTCCCCTCTTCCAAAATGCTTTCCATTGCTCCATTTTAACAGCAAAGATATTAAGCATTTTTCAAAATCAACTTATATGGAAACTTATCACATAAAGTTTTGCTATCTAGTTTCTTCTGTTACTGCTTATTATTGGAATCACTAAATTATTGTCTGAGGACATTCGGTACCAATTTTGTATCCTCAGTGGTGCCCCAGTGTGCAGTTTTGCACTTTGTAATAGTTTAAATATTTGTATGACATTTTAAAATATGATGTAATAGGCCGGGTGCAGTGGCTCACACCTGTAATCCCAGCACTTTGGGAGGCTGAGGTGGGTGGATCATCTGAGGTCAGGAGTTTGAGACCAGTCTGGTCAACATGGTGAAACCCTGTCTCTACTAAAAATACAAAAATTAGCTGGGCATGGTGGAGGGCGTCTGTAATCCCAGCTACTCGGGAGGCTGAGGCAGGAGAATCGCTTGAACCCGGGAGGTGGAGGTTGCAGTGAGCTGAGATTGTACCATTGCACTCCAGCCTGGGTGACAGAGCGAAACTCCATCTCAAAAAAGAAAAGAAAAGAAAATGTTGTAATAGGCACATAGTTCAGTAATTTTTCCCTTAGAAATGTTGGTATCCTTGCATTTTAATGCAATTGTGATTCTATTTTAGGGAAAAGCATAACATCTTTAAAATTTTAAGTCAAGGTTTAAAGTAGCATTATAGGCAAATTTAATAATTTACCTCTCTATAAAATTTGTACCAACCCAGAGTATTTATTTCAATTGTACTATTCTTCCAATTGCAAAAGTATTTACTGTAGTCTTTATGTTTTAGTACTGCCTTTTCTCCACTTATAGTATTTGTGCTACTGCTGACTTCTAAGATAATCCGTAGCACAGACTGCAATATATCTTATATCTTGAAATATTTTGTCTTTCCTAGAGTCTAATAAAAGTCACTTTTTAAGAACACTTGTTGAGCTTCAATCCTGCTTTAGTCTACCTTCATGAAGAAGATGAACATTTCAGATTATGTCCTGATTAGGCACTTTAATTTTAACAAATAGATATCATCTCTGTTCTTCTCACAAATGAGTGTTAAACGACATCTGCTTGTAGATGGTGCTACAGAATTTCTTTACTTCAGTTTTCTGATGAAGAGAATAACCTTGAATTATCATTAACTCAAGAATGAAAAATGTTATTCATGGAAAATTTTCTGAAAAATGGAATAATCTAGTCTAAACTTTTATCCTTAAATAAGCCAGAGAAATCTAGAATTTTCTTTATTTAAGCTAGGCTTTATCATTGACCTCATTTAATAATATAAAAACAGTCTTATGAAAATTGCCTTTTAACATACTTTATGGATACCATTGAAGGTTGATGCTATTCTACGGTTTCTCTTTTATGACAGTTGGCAGCAATATCCCATCTGTCCCTAAATCTGTGTTACTTCTAAACAGCAACTTTTCTCTCATCTTACAATGGCAATGAAGTCCAATGATCAAGGGTGGGTGCCTTGATCCAAATCCTGTGACCACCACTTATGTGTGACTGACTTTGTTTTCTCTTTTAGAAATCAGTGAAAAAGTAGTTTCTACCTCCTAGGATTATGAAAGGAGTAAACTATATCAAGCCTACAAAGCATCTACAAAAATCCCTGGCACAAAGTGGGCGTTCCTTGTTAGCTGTGATTCTTTGGAAAATGATAAATTTTGAAACTTTTTTTCCTGGCTTCTAAAAAATGTAAAGTCAAATGTGTTGCCTTTCTGACACTTTGGAAATGGACACAAAATCTTCTACTTATTTTTCTACTTTTATTCTCCCTTAATCTACAGTTATTTAATGTTATTCTCTGTCATATCACATACTGTTGGGTATAATTGTATGCTCCAGTATTTTAGGTTGAATTAAGAAGAATAAAAAGTGTGTATGCATAATATATTTTCATTTTAATCTTTTGCTACTTCAAGAAAAAATCTTTGGAATTAAATAGCTATCGAAAGAGGGAAGAAGAGAGTTCCTGGAAATGTCCTTGTTCTTGATTCATGTGATCAATTTGTGATAATTTAGTGACCTATAATTTTTGTATATTTTTCTATATTCTTACTATTATTGATGCATATTTCACATTTAAACATTTTTAAAACAATGAAAGTATTGTACCTTCTATACCTATTTGCACTGATTCTTCATCTTCTTTAACTATTTGCGCTGATTCTTTTTCAAACCTAATAAAAGAAAGTACATTTTCTCTATGTTGGGGTCAGCCGCCTCATTTTTCTTAGGCAAGGCTTAAAGACCAATTCTATAATTTCAGTTACAAATAACAAAAAATCAACTCGAAAAGACTTAAACAAAAAAAGGTAATTTTTCTGTTCACATAACTTCAAAATCCAAAGGTGGTTTATATTTTCAAGATGGTTTTTGTCAGGGCTTCTGCTGTTGTCTTCAACCATTTTTCCCAGGCCTCTTCTGTGATCCAAACTCACCTGCCCACTACCTCCATGACCCCAAAGTGGCTCCCAGCACCTATCAGGGCTGCGTACTGCCTTAAATGCATCCCCAATACAGAAGAGCAGCACTCTTGAGTTTCTCTCTAATAGGAATTACTTAGGTAATGTAACCCCTAAACTATTCACAGTGTCAAAGGAGAGATAGTTTTACCCTGGTTTAATCAAACCAACTAATTCTATCTCAGAAGCTGAGCACAGCAGCAACCCCACACAAAGAACATGAAGATTTTGCAGTGGAGAGCAGTGAAATAGTCTTGGGGTAGGAGATTAATTTATAATTACTGCCTTTTCTACATCTTGAACTTGTGACCGTGAAACCATTTATACTAATAGACAGGGCCATTAGTAGCTATTAGCACTAAGGGCAAATGTGTTGATTATTTCATTGGTTCTTTCATTCCTTTATACAACAGAATCTGCTGAAGTCTCTATGTAGACAGCCATTATTACCTAAGTCTTTGGGACACAAAAAGTCTAACTGGCTTCAATAGAGTGGTATGATGATAAGGGTGTGGAAAAAATTACTGGAAAACACATCAGTTTGCTTAGTGATATAATAAAAACATCAAAACTCCCCCTGTGAGAAGCATCAAAGCAATTTTACCCTCCTTGATAATTTTGCCCTTCCATTTGCTTTGCATCATGTGGCTTCAGTTGTAACTCAAGCATAGCTATCACGATTTTGCTCAGAACAAATTCTTAACTTATTTTATGTACTTTCTTTGGATCCAAAGAAATAGATTCTGAAGTATGTTACAATCAACCACTCTCTAATAGCATTTCCTGATTATAAAGCAATGGCTATGACTAGAAAGCGGGCTTCTTTTCAAAAAATGATGGTTTGTATTTTCATACATTGACTTCTGGAAAAATAAAATATAAATCAATTAAAATACTCATTTACCTCAAGGCAAGATAGTAATTTATGTCCTACCCTACTCACAATTACCTAAAGGTAATGATATGAAGAAAACAATGTTTGATTACTCAGCACTAGTAACAGGTCTGCATTTACTTTTCTATACAAATTTTTTTTGCAAAAACTTCAGGATTAAAGATCCATATTCTTTAATAGATACTTTCCTTAATTTTTAAAAAAATAAAACAAAATAAGGCTGGGCATGGCGGCTTATGCCTGTAATCCCAGCACTTTGTCAGGCTGAGGTAGGAGGATTACTTGAGTCCAGGACTTCAAGATCAGCTTGGGCAACATAGTGGGATGCCTGTCACTACAAACATTTAAAACAACAATCAAAAAAGAAAAACAAAGTAAAATTGAATTGTTATTCATTGGTACTCAAAAAGAGGGAAATTACATTTTTATGTGTTCGTATTAAATTGATCATTTCTTTAAAAGTTATTTTCTTTCCTTCTAAATTAATAAATTATTTGTCCCAAAGGATATATTATCTCTATATGCTGTTAGGGCACACAATAGCATATTATAAGTGATGTTTCAGTTTCTCTAATTAAGCACTAAGGAACACAGTTGACTTTGACAAATACTGTCATACTTTTCACTAATTGTACATTTCACTTGCTCAAATCACTATTCCATATATAAATTTACTGCCAATTCACTATTCACAATAGCAAAGACTTGGAACCAACCCAAATGTCCATCAATGATAGACTGGATTAAGAAAATGTGGCACATATACACCATGGAATACTATGCAGCCATAAAAAAGGATGAGTTCATGTCCTATGTAGCGACATGGATGAAGCTGGAAACCATCATTCTGAGCAAACTATCGCAAGGACAGAAAAGCAAACACCGCATGTTCTCACTCATAGGTGGGAATTGAACAATGAGAACACTTGGACACAGGGCGGGGAACATCACACACTGGGGACTGTCATGGGGTGAAGGGATGGGGGAGGGATAGCATTAGGAGAAATACCTAATGTAAATGATGAGTTAATGGGTGCAACAAACCAGCACGGCACATGTATACATATGTAACAACCTGCACGTTGTGCACATGTACCCTAGAACTTAAAGTATAATAAAAAATAAATAAATAAGTTTACTGCCAATTAAACACATGATATAAATATCTCTACTTACAACTTTACTTACAATTTCAATTTCCATTCTATTCCTGGAATAAATATATTCACTATGGGATTCTTTTTTCTTCACATCACTTATCAAATGACATATACAATAAGAGTTTACATTCATTTCTCTTGTTGTAATAGCTAATCTATCATGTAATAGCAGCATATTATAAAATATTATATTAATTACCTGCTATTTTACATAATTTCATAAATCAGAAAGAACTCACTTGGATGATAATAATGTTAATCTTTTAAAAATATTTATTTGATTGCATGCTTTTTAAGTGTAAGTGGATCATTATGGCAGGGTTGGAGGAAGTGGTGGCTAAGGGGAAATTTATTTGATAACAGACAATTGTGTACAATGTTTGCAGCACTGATTTTGGCCAAAGAATAAAGTATGTTATTCGTCTATGCTAATGGTAATTAGTGTGATATAACTGAACTTCCAGTGCACTTCTGTTAATTGAGATTTCCTTCTCATTTTTTAGAATTAAAAATTATCAACATGAGATTTTAAAATATGCAATATCATAAAGATAGACCCTTAAATATATCAAAAAATTTAAACAGTGTAGTGATTCTTTTCTCAGTGGGTTTATTTCTAATTAATTAGGGTAAGTTATTTTTTCATTCTACTTCTATTAATTTCCTTTTGGCTCATAATTTTTTCTCTAGCTCATGAAATTGTTTGACTTTGTAAAAGATTAATCTTATATTAGAAGTAATTATTTTTATAGGAGTGAACAATATGGTAGCTCTAAGGGTCTTTTTTAAGGAACTTAAGCCTTTAGGCATACGCATGTCAGTTTATGAAATGTATTCATATATTCATAATATAAAATCAAAGATAAAATTTTGTGCCATTTTTCTGATTCTCGATTTTTAAAAGAATCATCCTTTGATTGTACCTAATCTTTTTCTAACTTGTAGCTAATTTAAATTTATTTTCCAAAAAACTTTGGCCTTGCTGCAGGCACTCTGTTCAATTTCAGCAGGTTTTTATTTATGCAGAGATCCTTGAGATAGTCACTAGTTTTTACAAGTGGATGTCAGGTTTATCCTCAGTTTTATTTATTTTTAACACGTGTAGTTCTAGGGTACCTGGCAATGGAAAAGCTAACCATTAAAATCACTTCTACTCAATAATTTCCAAATTACAGGTGAAAGAAACAAAATGCATGGAGGATTGTCAGTAGGCTATTCTTGGTGTAACGCTTATAAAATTTCCTCTTGAATGGAGCTCCACCTGGGAGGTTTGTGCCCAGTTTAGTCTTAGTGATGATTCTCAACTCAAATAATTACTTTTATTATATTGAGCATTGAAGTAATTGGTCATTACCTACTAGGGCAGTACCTAGAAGGTATTGAGCACCTACTATGTACTATTCTGTAATGCTAGGAATACAGCAGTAAGCAGAAAACATCCCTGTTATCAACCAGTTTTCATTCTTATGAGTATACACTTGCATTAGTCTGGGTTCTCCAGAGAGTTAGAACCAATAGGAGCTATACATACATACACACACACACGCATATGTATGTAAGACACATACACTTACATAATTCCATAATACATATACTTATGTAAGACATATATGAACCCTGACATATATCTGTAAACATATATACATATATACATCTGTGTTCATGTGTGTGTGTGTATATGTGTGTGTGTATATATATATATATATATATATATATATATATATATATATAGTGTGTATATATAAACACAGTTAAGGAGGCTGGAAAGTTCCAAGATCTGCAGGGTGAGTTGGCAAGCTGGAGACCCAGAAGAACCTATGGTTTAGTTCCAGTCTGAGTTTAAAGGCCTGAGAACCAGGGAAAATAATGGTATCATTCCAGACTAAGGACCAGCAGGACTCAGGAAGAGCTTATGTTTCAGTTCAAGTACAAAAGCAGAAAAACAAACAAACAAAAAAGAACGCTGATGTTC
Source organism: Homo sapiens (assembly GCF_000001405.40). Lineage (NCBI taxonomy): Eukaryota > Metazoa > Chordata > Mammalia > Primates > Hominidae > Homo > Homo sapiens. The sequence continues at coordinate 12,946,307 of NC_000009.12, forward strand.
CAAGTCAAAGGCTATCAAGGAAGAAAGATCCTCTCTTAATCAGCAGAGTCAGCCTTTTTGTTTTATTCAAGCCTTCAATTTATTGAATGAGGCTCACCCATGCTGTGGAGGGCAATCTGCTTTACTCAATTTACCAATATAAATGTTAGTGTCTTCCAAAAGTACCCTCACAGAAACACCCAATGAAGTTGGCACATAAAATTAACCATCCTAACACTTATGCTTCAAAATCTGTAACTTCTTCTCAGAAGTCTCCCTTGAGTTCCATGCTCACATATCTATCTGCCTACAAAACATATAATCTTGAATGTTAATAGTTATCTAAAACTTATTAATGTAAAAGGAGAACACTTTATTCCAAATGCTTAACTTCCAGAAAAAAGCCCCTGCCTTTCTCAATGTTTCTCCTACTCTGTCAATGACACCATTACTTGGCCAGTAACTCAGGCTAAAAGCTGTGGAATCATTCCTGATGTATATCTTTCCTAAAGTCCTTATTAAATATAACTTACTATCATAGCATTGCCTATCTTTCTCCAGTGTTGCTTCTTCCAGTGCATCCTTCATTGACAACAGAAAAAAAACTTACTAAAATAAGCAAATCTGATCATGTCAACTCTACCCTCCTCATCAGCTAAATATTCTTTAATAGCTCCCTATAACATATAAACTCTATTCTTCTTAGTGTAACATAAAGAACCTTTCATGAAGCCTGTCTCTCCCATCTCGTCTCTCTTCATAATGCACTCAAACTATGTGAATCAGCCATTCAGCTATCCTAGGCTCTTTGTATTTCTCTGAATGGCACAGCCCTTAGACATCTATGCCTTTACATATGACTTTATCTCTCCTTAGTTTGCCTGTCTCCAACCTTTTCTACTTCAAGCATTTTTGTCTTTCAGAACCCATCCAAATATCACTTCTTCCCAGAATCCTTCCTTGACCTCCTGAGTCGGTGCTACGTGCATAGCACTAAGTGGGTACTCCTATTAGTACTTTTATACTCTGTGATAACTATATGTTTACTTGTCCATCTCCACCCTTTACTGCAAGTTTCTTTTGAGGAGAAATTTGTATTTGTGATTTGTATGTGAAGTCTGTCTGAACTGCACATACAAATCACCATGCATAGAGCCTGATACAAGCAAAAAAGGAAGAGAGAGAAGAAAAAGAGATTGTATAAGGTTCACAGGTTGTTAAGCATCTGGAATTGTAATTCTATGTTACAACTGGGAAAGGCATGATTTCCTAGGGTGCTCAACAGAAAAGATCTAAAAGAATGAATCATGATGTAGAGTGAAAAACATTCTCTTCCTCCAGGCTGTAAGATTCTCTGCAAAGGATCACATCAGACCAATGGATGCGATTCTCCTGTTCAATGAAAGGAGCATTACCAATTCATGAGTGGTGCTAGTAATTTCCCTGTTCTAATGGGGCAAGGCCTTACAGCAAGGTCGACATTCCAGAAGGGAGAACTTAAATGATACAACCATGAATACCCAGGAACCTGCTTTATGCCCCAGTTGTTCCCCTACCATCCATCAATCTAAAGGGGCCCATGATATCGTTGGGAAACAACAATCAATATCCTAAGATTTTCCTTATTCCCCATAATATAAGAAAACTCTTTCTTAAAACAAGTAAACAAATCTTCATCAATTGATGAACATTATGTATAATTTCCCAAAATTCTTAAAAATATTTTTGTTTTGAGAAAAGGTCTTGTTGTCATCCAGGCTGTAGTACAGTGACACAATCACAGCTTACGGTAGCTTTGACCTCCGGGGCTCAAGCAATCCTCCCACCTCAGCTTCCAGAGTACCTGGGACTACAGGTAAGTGCCACCACACCCAGCGAATTTTTAAATTTTTTAGTTTTTTGGTAGAGATGGAGTCTCCCTATGTTACCTAGGCTGGTCTCAAATTCCTGGGCTCAAGCGATCCTCCTGCCTCAGCCCCCCAACTTGCTGTGATTATAGGCATGAGCCACCATGCCTGGCCTAAAAATAATTTTCCAGAAAAAAAAAAAAAACTCCTTCTGTCAGGCCTCTGAGCCCAAGCCAAGCCATCACATCCCCTGTGACCTGCACGTATATGCCCAGATGGCCTGAAGTAACTAAAGAATCACAAAAGAAGTGAATATGCCCTGCCCCACCTTAACTGATGACATTCCACCACAAAAGAAGTGTAAATGGCCAGTCCTTGCCTTAACTGATGACATTACCTTGTGAAAGTCCTTTTCCTGGCTCATCCTGGCTCAAAAAGCACCCCCACTGAGCACCTTGCGACCCCAACTCCTGCGCACTGAGCACCTTACGACCCCCACTCCTACCCGCCAGAGAACAAACCCCCTTTGACTGTAATTTTCCTTTACCTACCCAAATCCTATAAAACGGCCCCACCTTTATCTCCCTCCGCTGACTCTCTTTTCGGACTCAGGCGCCTGCACCCAGGTGAAATAAACAGCCATGTTGCTCACACAAAGCCTGTTTTGTGGTCTCTTCACACGGACGCGCATGAAATTTGGTGCCATGACTCGGATCGGGGGACCTCCCTTGGGAGATCAATCCCCTGTCCTCCTGCTCTTTGCTCCGTAAGAAAGATCCACCTACGACCTCAGGTCCTCAGACCTACCAGCCCAGGAAACATCTCACCAATTTCAAATCCGGTAAGCGGCCTCTTTTTACTCTCCTCTCCAACCTCCCTCACTATCCCTCAACCTCTTTCTCCTTTCAATCTTAGCGCCACACTTCAATCTCTCCCTTCTCTTAATTTCAATTCCTTTCATTTTCTGGTAGAGACAAAAGAGACATGTTTTATCCGTGAACCCAAAACTCCGGCGCCGGTCACAGACTGGGAAGGCAGCCTTCCCTTGGTGTTTAATCATTGCAGGGACGCCTCTCTGATTATACACTCATGTTTCAAGGGTGTCAGACCACGCAGGGACACCTGCCTTGGTCCTTCACCCTTAGCGGCAAGTCCCGCTTTCCTGGGGCAGGGGCAAGTACCCCTCAACCCCTTCTTCTTCACCCTTAGAGGCAAGTCCTGCTTTCCTAGGGGGCAAGAAGCCCCCAATCGCTTATTTCCGCACCCCAACCTCTTATCTCTGTGCCCCAATCCCTTATTTCCGTACCCTGACCTCTTATCTCTGTGCCCCAATCCCTTATTTCCATGCCCCAACCCCTTTTCTGCTTTTCTGGAGGGCAAGAACCCCCCACCCCTTCTCCGTGTCTCTACTCTTTTCTCTGGGCTTGCCTCCTTCACTATGGGTAAGCTTCCACCTTCCATTCCTCCTTCTTCTCCCTTAGCCTGTGTTCTCAAAAACTTAAAACCTCTTCAACTCACACCTGACCTAAAACCTAAATGCCTTATTTTCTTCTGCAATGCCGCTTGACCCCAATACAAACTCGACAGTAGTTCCAAATAGCCAGAAAATGGCACTTTGAATTTTTCCATCCTGCAAAATCTAAATAATTCTTTTCGTAAAATAGGCAAACGGTCTGAGGTGCCTGACATCCAGGCATTCTTTTACACATCAGTCCCTTCCTAGTCTCTGTGCCCAGTGCAACTCGTCCCAGATCCTCCTTCTTTCCCTCCCGCCTGTCCCCTCAGTCCCAACCCCAAGCATCGCTGAGTCTTCCCAGTCTTTCTTTTCTACAGACCCATCTGACCTTTCCCCTCCTCCCCAGGCTGCTCGTCGCCAGGCTGAGCTAAGTCCCAATACTTCCTCAGCCTCCACTCCTCCACCCTATAATCCTTCTATCACCTCCCCTCCTCACACCCGGTCCGGCTTACAGTTTAGTTCCACAACTAGCTCTTCCCCACCTGCCCAGCAATTTACTCTTAAAAAGGTGGCTAGAGCCAAAGGCATAATCAAGGTTAATGCTCCTTTTTCTTTATCCCAAATCAGATAGCGTTTAGGCTCTTTTTCATCAAATATAAAAACCCAGCCCAGTTCATGGCTCGTTCGGCAGCAACCCTGAGACACTTTACAGCCCTAGACCCTAAAAGGTCAAAAGGCCATCTTATTCTCAATATACATTTTATTACCCAATCTGCTCCCGACATTAAATAAAACTCCAAAAATTAAATTCCAGCCCTCAAACCCCACAACAGGATTTAATTAACCTCGCCTTCAAGGTGTAAAATAATAGAAAAAAGTTGCAATTCCTTGCCTCCACTGTGAGACAAACCCCAGCCACAATCTCCAGCACACAAGAACTTCCAAATGCCTGAACCGCAGTGGCCAGGCGTTCCTCCAGAACCTCCTCCCACAGGAGCTTGCTACATGTGCCGGAAATCTGGCCACTGGGCCAAGGAATGCCCGCAGCCTAGGATTCCTCCTAAGCCATGTCCCATCTGTGTGGGACCCCACTGAAAATCGGACTGTTCAACTCACCTGGCAGCCACTCCCAGCTTCCCTGGAACTCTGGCCCAAGCCTCTCTGACTGACTCCTTCCCAGATCTTCTCGGCTTAGCAGCTGAAGACTGACACTGCCTGATCGCCTCGGGAGCCCCCTAGACCATCACGGACGCCGAGCTTCGGGTAACTCTCACAGTGGAGGGTAAGCCCGTCCCCTTCTTAATCAATACGGAGGCTACTCACTCCACATTACCCTCTTTTCAAGGGCCTGTTTCCTTTGCCGCCATAACTGTTGTGGGTATTGACGGCCAGGCTTCTAAACCTCTTAAAACTCCCCAACTCTGGGGCCAACTTAGACAATACTCTTTTAAGCACTCCTTTTTAGTTATCCCCACCTGCCCAGTTCCCTTATTAGGCTGAGACACTTTAACTAAATTATCTGCTTCCCTGACTATTCCTGGACTACAGCTGTATCTCATTGCCGCCCTTCTTCCCAATCCAAAGCCTCCTTTGCGTCCTCCAAAGCCTCCTTTGCGTCCTCCTCTTCTATCCCCCAACCTTAACCCACAAGTATAAGATACCTCTACTCCCTCCTTGGCGACTGATCATGCACCCCTTACCATCTCATTAAAACCTAATCACTCTTACCCCACTCAACACCAATATCCCATCCCGCAGCATGCTTTAAAAAGATTAAAGGCTGTTATCACTCGCCTGCTACAGCATGGCCTTTTAAAGCCTATAAACTCTCCTTACAATTCCCCCATTTTACCTGTCCTAAAACCAGACAAGCCTTACAAGTTAGTTCAGGATCTGCGCCTTATCAACCAAATTGTTTTGCCTATACACCCCATGGTGCCAAACCCATATACTCTCCTATCCTCAATACCTGCCTCTACAACCCATTATTCTGTTCTGGATCTCAAACATGCTTTCTTTACTATTCCTTTGCACCCTTCATCCCAGCCTCTCTTTGCTTTCACTTAGACTGACCCTGACACCCATTAGGCTCAGCAAATTACCTGGGCTGTACTGCCACAAGGCTTCACAGACAGCCCCCATTACTTCAGTCAAGCCCAAATTTCATCCTCATCTGTTACCTATCTCGGCATAATTCTCATAAAAACACACGTGCTTTCCCTGCCGATCCTGTCCGATTAATCTCCCAAACCTCAATCCCTTACAAAACAACAACTCCTTTCCTTCCTAGGCATGGTTAGTGTGGTCAGAATTCTTACACAAGAGCCAAGACCGCACCCTGTAGCCTTTCTGTCCAAACAACTTGACCTTACTGTTTTAGCCTAGCCCTCATGTCTGTGTGCAGCAGCTGCCGCTGCTTTAATACTTTTAGAGGCCCTAAAAATCGCAAACTATGCTCAACTCACTCTCTACATTTCTCATAACTTCCAAAATCTATTTTCTTCCTCATACCTGACGCATATACTTTCTGCTCCCCGGCTACTTCAGCTGTACCCACTCTTTGTTGAGGCTCCCACAATTACCGTTGTTCCTGGCCCAGACTTCAATCCAGCCTCCCACATTATTCCTGATACCACACCTGACCCCCATGACTGTATCTCTCTGATCCACCTGACATTCACCCCATTTCCCCAAATTTCCTTCTTTCCTGTTCCTCACCCTGATCACGCTTGATTTATTGATGGCGGTTCCACCAGGCCTAATCGCCACACACCAGCAAAGGCAGGTTATGCTATAGTACAAGCCACTAGCCCGCCTCTTAGAACCTCTCACTTCCTTTCCATCGTGGAAATCTATCCTCAAGCAAATAACTTCTCAGTGTTCCATCTGCTGTTCTACTACTCCTCAGGGATTATTCAGGACCCCTCCCTTCCCTACACATCAAGCTCCAGGATTTGCCCCACCCAGGACTGGCAAATTAGCTTTACTCAACATGCCCTGAGTCAGATAACTAAAATACCTCTTAGTCTAGGTAGATACTTTCACTGGATAGGTAGAGGCCTTTCCTACAGGGTCTGAGAAGGCCACCGCAGTCATTTCTTCCATTCTGTCAGACATAATTCCTCAGTTTAGCCTTCCCACCTCAATACAGTCTGATAACAGACGAGCCTCTATTAGTCAAATCAGCCAAGCAGTTTTTCAGGCTCTTAGTATTCAGTGAAACCTTTATATCCCTTTATGGTCCTCCATCTTCAAGAAAAGTAGAATGGACTAAAGGTCTTTTAAAAACACACCTCACCAAGCTCAGCCACCAACTTAAAAAGGACTGGACAATACTTTTACCACTTTCCCTTCTCAGAATTCAGGCCTGTCCTCGGAATGCTACAGGGTACAGCCCATTTAACGTCCTGTATAGACGCTCCTTTTTATTAGGCCCCAGTCTCATTCCAGACACCAGACCAACTTAGACTGTGCCTCAAAAAAAAAAAAAAACTTGTCATCCCTACTATTTTCTGTCTAGTCATACTCCTATTCACCGTTCTCAACTACTCATACATGCCCTGCTCTTGTTTACACTGCCGGTTTACACTGTTTTTCCAAGCGATCACAGCTGATATCTCCTGGTGCTAGCCCCAAACTGCCACTCTTAACTCTTGAAGTAAATAAATAATCTTTGCTGGCAGGACTATGCCAAATCTCCTTAAGCACTCTCTAATCAGACCTCCTGAGTCGTCCCAATTCTTAGACCTTTTATACCTGTTTTTCTCCTTCTGTTATTCCATTTAGTTTTTCAATTCATACAAAACCGTATCCAGGCCATCACCAATCACTCTATATGACAAATGTTTCTTCTAACATCCCCACAATATCACCCCTTACCACAAGACCTCCCTTCAGCTTAATCTCTCCCACTCTAGGTTCCCACGCCGCCCCTAATCCCGCTTGAAGCAGCCCTGACAAACATCATCCATTCTCTCTCCATACCACCCCCCAAAAATTTTCGCCGCCCCAACACTGCAACACTATTTTGTTTTATTTTTCTTATTAAGAAGGCAGGAATGTCAGGCCTCTGAGCCCAAGCCAAGCCATCACATCCCCTGTGACCTGCACGTATATGCCCAGATGGCCTGAAGTAACTAAAGAATCACAAAAGAAGTGAATATGCCCTGCCCCACCTTAACTGATGACATTCCACCACAAAAGAAGTGTAAATGGCCAGTCCTTGCCTTAACTGATGACATTACCTTGTGAAAGTCCTTTTCCCGGCTCATCCTGGCTCAAAAGCACCCCCACTGAGCACCTTGCGACCCCAACTCCTGCGCACTGAGCACCTTACGACCCCCACTCCTACCCGCCAGAGAACAAACCCCCTTTGACTGTAATTTTCCTTTACCTACCCAAATCCTATAAAACGGCCCCACCCTTATCTCCCTCCGCTGACTCTCTTTTCGGACTCAGCCCGCCTGCACCCAGGTGAAATAAACAGCCATGTTGCTCACACAAAGCCTGTTTGGTGGTCTCTTCACATGGACGCGCATGAAACCTTCTACTTATAAATGCCTTGATAGTGCCCAGAAGTCCCATTTGTGTCCTGCTTCTTCAGTCATTTCTGTTTAAATTTACTTTTTTGTAAGTACTAGCCTTGAAGATATAATTTGAAAAAAATTATTAAATTATTTCATTATACTGTATTAGATATCTATTGCTATAAAAATTACCCTAAACATACAGCTTAAAACAACAGACATTTATTATCTTATGGTTTCTCTGTGTTAAAAAAATCGGATGTGGCTTAGCTGGATGGCTCTGGCTCAGCGTCTCTCATGATTTTGCAAGGCAACATGTCAGCTTGGACCGCCGTTATCTGAAGGCTCAACTGGGGCTAGAAAGTCCACTGCTAATCTAGCTCACTTACATGTGTTTGGCAGGAGGCCTCAGCTACTTGCTGGCTGTTTGCATTAGGCCTCAGTTTCTTGCCACATGGACCTCTCCATAGGGCTGCTTGAGTGTCCTTATGTCACTCGTTTACAGTCAGTAATGCAAGAGAGAGAGCAGGGAGGAAGTACGATGCCTTATATGACTAATACAGAAAGTGACATACACTTATTTCTGCTATATTCTACTCATTTAAAGCAAATTCATACATCCAGGTGACAGGCAAGAGGAGCTGAATTAAGCTCCATCTTTTTTTGTTTGTTTGGTTTATTATTATTATCATTTTTATTTCAACAATAGATTTTTGGGTAACAAGTGGTGTTTGGTTACATGGATAAGTTATTTAGTGGTGTTTCATGAGATTTTGCTGCACCCATCACCTGAGCAGTGTACACAATACCGCTATGTGTAATCTTTTATCCCTTATCCCCATCCACCATTCCCCTAGAGTCCCCAAAGTCCATTATATCATTCTTGCTGACATTTCCAGGAACATCTCTTATCACTGTTTCCCTAGATCTTTCCACTGATCCATCTGTTCTCCATGCAGTTATCTAGACATGATATACTCTATCCGCACAGCTGCAGTGGAGGTAGCAGGGGAGAGAAGCGGACTGCGTGAGGGTCCTTGGTTATAGTTTTGTTTAGTTCGCTGGTTTTGTGTTGGTTAGCCTCCAGCCAGGAGGTGGCACTTTCAAGAGTGCATCAGCGGCCCGGCATGGTGGCTCATGCCTGTAATCCCAGCACTTTGGGAGGCCGAGGTGGGTGGATCTCAAGGTCAGGAGATGGAGACAATCCTGGCTAACATGGTGAAACCCCGTCTCTACTAAAAATACAAAAAATTAGCCAGGCATGGTGGCAGGCACCTGTAGTCTCAGCTACTCAGGAGGCTGAGGCAGGAGAATGGCGTGAACCCTGGAGGCGGAGCTTGCAGTGAGCCAAGATTGTGCCACTGCACTGCAGCCTGGGCGACAGAGCTAGACTCCATCTCAAAAATAAATAAATGAATAAATAAATAAATAAATAAATAAATAAATAAATAAATAAAAGAGTGCATCAGCTGCAGTAGAATAGGGAGGATGCAAGCATGCTCTAGGGTCAGGTGGTGGGTGGGGTCCCAAGAGATTATATTCTTTGTCTTCGGCTACCAGAGCGGGTAGAGAAAGACCATCAGGTGAGGGATGGTTAGGCGTGTCTGAACTCACTCTTCTGGGGCAAAGCTTGCTGGGGCCTCTGTAGGGATGGGGGTGTAGGTATCAGGTCAATGGAGTTATGTTCCCAGAGGGATTATGGCTGTCTCTGCTGTGTCCCACAGGTTTCCAGGGAAGTGCGAGAAAGCTGGCAATGACAAGCCTCACCCAGCTCCCACGCAGCCCAAAAGACCAGTCTCACTCCCACTGTGCTCCCCCAACAGCACCGAATTTATTTCCAGGCAGCTGGTGGGCAGGGCTGAGAACTTGCCCCAGGCTACAAGCCTCCCTGCTGAGAAAGCAAGCTGGGCTTTCCGGTTTCACCCCTCCCCACCTGCCATGGCTTCTGTGCTGGTATCTGCACTCCTCATTTGCCCCCTCCGCGGATTCTGTCCAGGAAACGTCATGCTGGGTCAAAATTGTTACAAACGTCAGCTGGAAATTTCCTTCTCCCTGTGGTCTTTCCCCAGTTCCACTGGCAGCCCGCCCCCATCCCCACTCAAGGACCCCTATGAGACAAAGTCAGGAATGGCTTCCATGGGGACTGAAAGTGCCCACAGGACTCTTCCTGATGCTTCTTCTACCACTATATTTTGCTCGCCTCTCTAAATTTATCTTAGCTCCAGCTAAGGTCAAATCCTTTTCCAGAGATCTGGACCTTCAGGTTCCCCAGTGAGGATGTGTGTTCAAAGGTGAAATTTCCCCCCTCACACTTTTAGCACTCAGTTTTTTTGCTGTCTCATGGAGCCTGCAGTGGCAAGCCACTTCCTTTAAAGGTCTGTGGATTCTCTCGGCTTTCCTGGTATGTTCCTGCAGTAGTTCTTGGAGCAAAAGTTCACAATGTGAGTCTCTATACACTGCTCATCTGTGCTCACTCAGTTCCTCCTCTAAGCTCCGTCTTTTGAAAGGAGAAATATCAAAGAATTTTTAGGCATATTTTAACACTACTACATATGGGTATTATAAAAACAATTTTTTTTTTACTTAACACAAATGCACAGTATTTCAGCTTTATTAAGTCTGTTTTCAGAATGAAATTCTCAGATGAGAACATGCATTTTGAGGAACACTTAAACTCCAAAATTACTTTTTGGAATAAATTTATTTTTATATCTATATCTGTCTCTGTTTGCATTGAATGATAGGGGAAGAAAATACACAACTATTTCCTCTCTATCCTCAGACTAAAAGAAAAGAATACCAGATCTATTCAATTCTTTATGTCCCTCTTTTACTTCCTGCATTTTAACATATCTGGATTAGCCAGCCTGGCCAGTATGATGAAACCCCATCTCTACTAAAAATACAAATAAATTAGCTGGGCCTGGTGTTGCAAAAGAATTAGCTGGGCCTGGTGTTGCATGTCTGTAGTTCCAGCTACTTGGGAAGCTGAGGTAGGAGAATGACTTGAACCCAGGAGGCGGAGGTTGCAGTGAGCCGAGATCGCACCACTGCACACCAGCCTGGGCGACAGAGTGAGACTCCATCTAAATAAATAAATAAATACAATAAAATAAAATGTCTGGATCAGGAGACAAAGTATAGTGGACCACACAACAAATAAAAAGGAAGCTGAATGAGACTTTCCATTGCGGTGCATGTTTGGGGAGAGGGAGGAGTATGTTCATAGTGGAGAATTTTTGTGTTTTTTTTTTTTTTTTTTGAGACAGAGTCTCACTGTCACCTAGGCTGGGGTGCAGTGGTGCAATCTCGGCTCACTGCAACCTCCACTTCCTGGGTTCAAGCAGTTCTCCTGCCTCAGCCTCCCAAGTAGCTGGGACTATAGGCACGTGCCACCACGCCCAGCTAATTTTTTGTATTTTTAGTAGAGTGGGGGTTTCACCTAGTTAGCCAGGATGGTCTCCATCTCCTGACCTTGTAATCCACCCACCTCGGCCTCCCAAAGTGCTGGGATTACAGGCGTGAGCCATCGCACCTGGCCCATGGTGAAGACATTTGACTGTCATTTCCTCCTTCACCCTTCTCACTTTTCCTTATCCTCTTATCCTTCCTTTTCCCTCTCTCCTCTCTTTTGTTGGGAACTGAGATTTCAGTTGACATACCCAGCAAGGGGTATAGGCCTAGCATTTCCAAGCCTGAGACTTTAGCTGCCTTCAGTTTCCTAATTTATTTTGGTAATACAAATTAAGCAATATGCTTGTCAAAAAACTGATTTTATTGACTGCCCATTTATCTTGCCCCTGGGACATTATTCTCTCTTAAGCATTTCCAAATTCTCTGTAAGTCAGGACCCCTAGTTCAAATTCCAACCTTTGCCACTTATTACAGTCATTATACACATTTTGCTCTCCATCTGCACTCTATTGTCTCAGGTTCTCTCATCCCCAGTGGTATCATGGAGCTTAGGTCTATAATAGCATATTTTCCAGGCCCTCTACAGAACATACCTTGTTGGTGGGTTTTCCAGCTTTATGTATTCTATCTACTTCAAAATGTCCGGTCCTCTAAGCCTCTTGATTCCCTCCTCCTCAATATGGCACAGAGTTTCTTGCATTTCTACTTTATTTAGTGGAAAATTTCACTTGTTCCAAGAACTCAGAATATTCCAAGTTCACCCTAACAGCATGTTAGTTGTATCTACCAAAATTCTAATCATGGCATTAAATATCATATCGCAGAAAAGTACTCCCATATTAACAAACTCTCTCTAACATGAATTTATGTTTCCTTTTGTTGCAGTCCCCTTTTCCCCTGTTCAATGAGGTACAGCCTCTTGTCCCACGACCAAGAAGAACAAGGCACGCAGACACCAGTGGGTGAGTAAGGCAGAGCAGAATTTATTAAGCAAAAGGAAAGCTCCAAGCAGTGAAAGGGGACCCTGAAAGTGGGTTGTAAGCAATGGGGCTGAGTTCTGGGTGTTTTATGTGGCAAGAACAAGGAAGTCTTCTGTGGGTTCTGCCTAAATGGGAGAGGGCAGAGATACAATAGATACACCTCCTAGGGGTGTTGTATCTGTGCATGCCTGGAGTTGGTCATGGTAACTCCATCTTGGTTATTACCCATGAGTGCCTAACTGAAACACACATGGTGGAGGAGGCTAAAACTGCAATGCTAATATCATGTTAATGACATTATAATGAGCTGGGTTAAGTTAAGGGTATTTAGGTTGATTTATTGTGCCTGCACCTAAGCTGGGACAGTCCCTTCTGAGCAGACCTCCTGGCATAAGGGGAAGTTCTTAACTACATTTCTTCCCTTTAGCTGCAGAGGCAGTGTGGGTGCTGTCCCACGGGTGTTCCTATGACTGTTGATCTTCCCGCTAGCTGCAGAGGTGGTGTTGCTGCTGTTCTGCAGGCGTTTCTATTACTGTTGCTCTTCTGCTGAGTCCCTCCCTGTCTAATTGCCTAACCTAACTCCCTCCTCTCACTTTGTTCCAGTATTCTTAAGATTCAGACTCATATGTATTCTTTACTGTTGCTTCATGTTAGGTCTCATTGAGGTCTCTTTCCTACCCCCTGCATGCCTATAATGTCCCAGACCAAGAGTTTTTTTGTGAGTTTGTCCTACGTAAGTGGTCTAATGGCCAAGAGTGGAGAAGACAGTCAGTCCTGGGGTGTTCAATGTTGTCTTGCAAGGGAGAGGCCTATGCATCATCTTCAGGTAAGGGAGGAGCATTAGTCTTTGGTAGAGAGGAATGGGCTAGTTGTGTAACCCCAGAAGGTTCAGGAGAAGAAGAAGAATGAAAATTTTCAATGCATGTACCTGAATGCCTCCATCCCAAGTTTCAGGACCTTGTTGACACACAATAATGGACCTGACCTTGACAGAGAAGACTTCCAGGGATTGAGAATTCAACTCACTATACATCTCTACTTCCCTTAAGTCCTGGGCCTGACATTTAGCTTTTTCTTCCTGTGTTGAGAAAGATGAAAGACCATTTGTGCTGTTTAGGAGGTCATCTGGCTTTACACTTCACCCTAAATTGGTGATAACACTCAGACATTCATTAACATTTCCAATATTTACCTTCACCAACAGTCAGCAACTTTCATAGTCCTTATAAGTACTATTAATATTTACCCCAAATTTCTCAAAGATAAGACATTCTGCCCACTATTGGGTTCATTCCACTTATATTTCACCTCTTTTCAGCACTGATGAAAGTGGAACAGTTGCTCTGGTACAGCATGGGTGATGTCATTCTCACTTCTAGCCAACAAGTGGGCAACCCAGCAGAAGGGTGACTTTAGAATCTGCTTCCTCCAATCACATCTGGTACAAAATGTCTGTGTTAAATTCCCCAGGAACCCAACTCTGAAAGAGAGATTTTCATACATGCAGTTTATTTGGGAGTTCCCTACAGAACAACACCTGCAAGGGAGTGAGGGAAGCTGGATTGGGTAGAAGAAAAAGTCGAACTGCAATACGGTTGCAATAAAGACCTTATTGGTCCCCTCAGGGAGCTCTGGACCTAGGATGGATATTCTAAATTGTTCTCAATTGAAACAAAGGAACCAAATCTGTTTTAACAAGTCATTGATGTGGGTTGACCTCTGCAAGGAACCCAACTTTAGGCACAGGAGGTTCCTTGGGCAGAGAATTCCTAGAGTAGGACTCACCTGTGTTTAGTCAACATATCCAGCAGCTGAGCAAATGAGACTTCCTTAGAAGCAGGGGGTAGGAAATTGATCTGATTAGCAAACCACTGCATCTACTACACTGTGCTCCCAGTAGCAGACAAAATGAAAGTACCATAAAAGTTGAGAAGAGGGTAAGGAAACTTTGTATAAAAAATAATAAGGCATAAATATAGAAGAGCATACTTTTTTTGTGAGTGATAGCAAATTGTTTGGGTTATACTAAAAAATGCAACAAAAAAGTATACATGAAAGATGCCTAAAGTATAATAGGTATAAATGGGAAATAAGTCAATTGGAGCAGAGTGTGAAGGGGTATAGATACCAGAGGAAGGAGTATGGGCTTTATTTAGTAAGCAATTGGAAAGTTTTTTGAGTTAAAGATGACATAAACTTGAGTTGAAAATTAAATAAAACATTTTTCTGATTTGTCTAATTCAGTCTATTGATTGTTCAGTTTCAGTTTACAACACATTTTTATCTATTTTAAAGATACTTCCAATACGATTCCCTCCTTCATTTCCTCTTTCTGTGTATGTTATATACACTGCATTCTTCCCTTAATAGCAGAAAAAAAGAACCAAGTACCTGGTTGGCTTGCAAAAAAGAGATTTGCATAGAAAAAGTCTACTAGGAGTAATATATTTGACAGTTTTGAATAAGCAATAACATGTGATGATTTTCTTATTGTACTTCAATTATCTGAGAAGTATGAAAACCATTACTCGAGTCGTTAAAGTTAGAATGAACAGTGGGGAATTCACTCTAGGAAGAAAATGTTTCTGTTGGCAGAATGCTGAAACAGTTAATCACATAATTATGCAACCCCTCATATCTATTTACCTAAACTTTATTTAAATTAATATGACTTTTGCCTGTTGCCTTGGAATATCAACTTCTAAAGCCATTTGGTAGCTATACAATGTACTCTAACAGAGTACTTACTGATTTTCTATGTTTTCTACTTCTGCTTTTAGTCCAGGATGTGCTGACATAAACTCCTATAACTCCATCTCTGCTTTACTTGGGAACACCATGATAATCAGCAATTTCTACAATCTGTTTTCTAAATGGTAAGACAAGTGGTATTTCAACACTAAGTGCCAGAAAAGTAACGATGCCACCAGGTTGTTTACTTTTCCCTATTCTGTTTCTAATGACTCAAAGCAGAGTATGACTACACAGACTATCTTACAAATTCCCTTTTTACTTTACATTTGTCACTAAAATTCCACAGAACGTTTGCATTACAGTGTTTCAGTCTGAAAAGTAGTACAGCTTGCTGGTGAAATAAAACTTGCTGACACATCAATGAGTGAAAGCCTACAGGATAGGTGGTGGGAGTGGGGAGGCTGTCAGTGAAGTTAGCAAGTCTTTGAAAGGCAGTCAAAAAAAAAAATAAACAGTAAGAAATGTTTGCACCATCCTCTGGACACTAAGTATGGTCCTGATCAATTAACAGGGGATCAGTGTTCTCTCTGGGGATGGTTTCCTTCACATGGACATACAGGCAGAGACACACCTCAACTGTACAATGGACATATGGATCTCATTGGACCATTATGACATCTCTATGAGCTAGGAAGACTCAGGATCATTCACTATATACAGATGAGAGAATGAAACCAAAAGAAGTTATCCAAGATGGAATAATCCATACAAGTTATCCAGGATGGAATAATTCGTAAGTGGCAACAGAATCAGTGTTGAGCATAAGCCACCTCTTTCAAACTGTGCTAATTTCACCTCATCACACACCTTCTGACTTTGAGAGCTTAGCTATTTGGTTGACCTAAATTGTAACTTAGTAGAAAATACATACCTGAGTCTCTTCTGTTCATATCCAGAGAAAGAACTCTTCAAGGAATGGTTTGGTGCTTTTGATTACATCTCAAATTTCAAGATCAGAAACACAAAAGCTGAACCAAAGTCCCCAACTTAAAATTAAAGGCTTCACAGGGCACCACATCACCTATGAATTATTCTTACTCACAATTTGAATTCTTACCTAGTCACAATTTGAATATGGCACATTCTTCAAAACAGCTGGCCTGGATCCCTCAAAATCATCAGTGACATTGAAGACAATAAAAGGAGGTGACTGTTCTGGATTAATAGAAAAAAAAAATGGCAATTAAATGTAATGCGTGATTGGATCCCAGATCGGAGGAAGTTATTGGGACAATTGGTGGAATTTAAAATAGGGATTTTACACTAGGTAATATTATAGTGATGTGAAATTATGTGAGAGTGATTATGGCATGTAGGAGAATGGCACTGTTCTTACAAGATATATGCTGAAGTATGTAGAGGTGAAGAATCATGATATCTGCACATTATGTACAAATGATTCAGTAGAAATTATATGTCTATATGTATTAGACATGTTTCTATTTTATAAAGTTATATATTATATAATTATATATTATTAAATATATAAATATATAATTATATAATATATATTTTATAATTATATATTATTAAATATATAAATATATAATTATATAATTTATATTATATAATTATATATTATATAATTATATATTATATAATATATAATTTATAATATATAATATATAATTATATAATATATAATTTTATAAAATATAAATATGTTTAAATTTATATATAAATTATATTTATATAATTTTATAAAATATAAATTTTTATATAATAAAACATATAAATATATATAATTATTACATAAAATGTATATATACATATATTAAATAAAATAATTATATACATATAATTTTATATAGTATAAAATACATAGAGAAGCAATTGTGGTGAAATTAACAACTAGCAAGTCTAGGATGATACATGGGTGTTCTTTGTAATATTCTCTTAACTTTTCCATTGGTTTGAGATCTCTCAACAGAGAGTAGGGCAAAAATGGAAATAACACAATAAGATTTTTTTCTGAACTGTTTAATTAATTTTATTTGGATTATAGTAACTTTACATAAGCTATTATTAATGCTACTTGAACATCTGGTGAAGACATTACACAGTATTGGGTTTCTGTATGACTGGGCAAAACTTACTTTAAGCCTTGAGATAGTTTTGCTTTGTAGTATTATTTCTAGCATGAGTATTAACCTTTTCCTTTAGTAGTAATGAAATAAATAAAAATATGAGAAGAATGGGGAATGAGAGAAAAAAGAAAAATAGGGAGGAAAGAAAGAAAAGTGTCTTTCTATATTTTCATTGATTAGTTCCTTCTTTAGCTAAATTCAAGGCACTTTTCAAGTGTCATCTCCAACACCATCTACTACAGAAGGCCATAGATAAAGCCCCATATCTCCTTGTCTTTCCTTCTTCTTTTCTGCTCTTGGGATCCTCATCATCTCATGATGTAGTTCATATGACATTGGGCAGGAAGTGAAGTGGTTAAAAACTGTCTCAAGCTACTGTGACTGGGGAAACTTCAGAGGATATAACCAGACATTTCTGGCCAGGTGCTGGTGGTGTTAGTCTATACTTCCTCTTCCAGTAATCCCACAACATTTTTTACCTCCATTCATATTCCTGGATGTTTTTGTTTTGGAACTGAGGAATGACAAAAAGGAAAAGCCTAGAAAAAAAGGAGGGGAAGAATGGGCAAGCCTCTGACATCTATTTTGTTTTCATCCCTCTGGTCACAGTTTGACATCTATTATTAAGTGCTGAAACTAATAAGTTTTGCACTCTTCAATGAAGAATATTTGGGCATTTGGGGGAAAAGGAGGGCACAGAAAAGGAAGTGGCACCGAACAGGAAAAAGAATGTTCTTTCTGCCTCTGAGTAGAACCCAGCACCCTTCTGGCATCATGAAGAAAGTCAGGGAGCACCCAGGGGTGGCACTGTGATCAGAACATGGACATTTTCAAGATGATTAAAGTTTTTCCAAATAATTTCATAGGTAAAGGACAAGGACAGATGGAAATCAGAGCAAAAGATAAAAAGGAGGAAAGACATGAGGACGTGGCTCCATCTAACAAAATGGTCTGTAGGCACATGTAAGGGCTCCTTGTGGCCTCCTCTGCGAAGGTCCTGCCTTCATTTTGGAGAGGGCTAGCTACAGAACAAACCTTGATGTTATGAGTAAGACCCATGATCTTGTATAATGGCTGGGTTTTATTTTTAGCTCATGCTCCAACAGATATTTGCTCTTCCTACCAAAATAAACTTCCAATGCCCTTCTATCAACAGATAGTGCAGGGAACAAACCCTGCTGGGAAATGTCTCCATCTAAGAGCTGAAACACACTCAAAGAACTCTAATAGGGTCAGTAGGCCAGTGAGCTGCAGCCCCCACATACATTATTATTAACAAATTTAACAAGCATTCATTACTCAGCAGAGCATATGAAAAGGAAGAAAACCCCCCACAGAAATTGCTGAAAAAGACTCCTTAATTAAAGACTGTACTTACAGCAGTTGCAAAGTCAAAAAAGAAAGGAATTCCTAAGTTTACAAAGATGGGTCTCAAAGCAAGATGGTAACATACAGTGCACACATCCCAGGAGAGACAGAGAAACATGGAACATGTTAGAACATAACCACAGCCAGAAAATGAACTCTTCCTTGAAAAGCAGTACAATATATGACCTAGGAGTTAAGAAAAGAGCCTCTAAAGAGAGGCCTGGGTTGGAATTCTAACTCTGCCACCTTTCATCTATGTGACCTCAGGAAAGTTATTTAAACTTTTTGTACCACAGTTTCCCCATTTTAAAAGTGGATTTAATGGTATCCCCCTCATGTCGTGTTGTGAAAATCAAATGAGTTAATCTTTCTGAACAGTGTCTGGAACATAGTAAGCACCAATAAATGACAGCTATTATAAGATATTAATTATTGTTGGAGATAAGTAATCCAGAGGCTAAGTCATCTCAAACATCACTTCTTTCTGGGGGGGAAAACTTAAATAACAGCAAACCTCCCAGTGTCTTTCCTTTCCTCTTTTTGTTTATTAAATCTGACAACATATGCAAAACTGTATCTTGTTTTTGTCATGATCACTGTCAAATGAAGTTAAGACTTATGTTAACTGAGCCAATACACTTGAGTAGCACCACTTACAGGAATTTACCTTGATGGGGCTTATTCTTGTCTGGGTGTTTGCCTGTTGAAATAGCACCTAGGCCCACCTCCATCATGACACCACGTGGATGGATGGCCTCTTCAACTAAACAGTGAGCTCACTGATTCCAGGGCAATGGCCTTAATCAGGAGCTGAATCTGTGGTGCCTAAGCCAACACAGTGCCTGGCATTTGATAAAGTCTGCTGGTTTTACCTCCTGTTGTATGCCTGTTTTTGTTATAAGCAGCAAATATAATATTGTTATAAACTTCAAGCAGCTGGAAAAAGCCAGTGAAAGTGATTATCTTGGGATCCCAAAGATCAATTTTTCAACCTTCCCTTTTGTAATAACTTGCCTTCAAAGCAGCTAAGTTCACTGGTTTTGTTTCTATGGTCTTGCATTTCAATGTGGATTAATTTTACCTGATTATGAATATATAATGTCAATAAGAAAGTGATTAATTTTACCTGATAATAAGTAGGTTATGCAGTGAAGTTAAGCATCAAACTACCAAATGTATCACAAGGGAGGTGTCCTCTGGGATTACCTGCCAATGACACGTCAGCTCTGCTCAGTCCAGATGATCTGAGATCAGGATATTAAAAGCCAAGAGTTGACAAATATTATAAAGGTTTAATAGTAAGGTGGAATTAGAATGACTAAAACTGAAGGAGCAAAAACCTCTAAAATGTGACCTCTTCTTCATTTCTTCCTAGTACCAGACATTTTATCTTCCGGTAGAATAGTCTTCTATCTCTGAATGGCCAGTCAATTACATAATTTGTTGTTGTTGCTCTTAAAATGTATCTGAAAGCTAATGATTTGTTCAGGATCACTCTGCAATCCAATGATGAACACAAAATCAAATTCATTACTATTAAATATTTAATAACATGAAAGATTCTGAAACTTTACATTAAAAAAATTTAAGTTCAGGATCACATGTGCAGTTTGTTATATAGAGAAACTCGTGTCAGGGGGTGTTGTTGTACAGATTATTTCATCACCCAGATATTAAGCCCAGTACCCAATTTTTCTGATCTCTCCCTGCTCCCACCCTCCACCCTCAGGTAGACCCCAGTGTTTGTTATTCCCCTCTATGTGTCCGTGTGTTCTCATAATTTAGCTTCCACTTATAAGCGAGAACATGCAGTATTTGGTTTTATGTTCCTGTGTTAGTTCACTAAGGATAATGGCCTCCAGCTCCATTCATATTCCTGCAAAGGACATAATCTCATTCATTTTTATGGCTGCACAGTATTCAATATTGTGTATGTACCACATTTTCTTTATCCAATCTGCCACTGATGGGCGTTTAAGTTGATTCCTAAACAGGATTAACCTAAATTAGGTTAATTAGGTTGATTCCTAAATGCCCATCAATGGCAGATTGGATAAAGTGCTGCAATTTGAATAGCGCTGCAATGAATATACACTTGCATGTGCCTTTATGGTAGAACAATTTATATTCCTTTGAGTATACAGCCAGTAATGGGATTACTGGGTGGAATGGTAGTTCTGTTTTTAGCTCTTCTACATATGAGATCTCAACTTTTAAAAGTCTTTATCTGAGATGTATTTTACCTTGATGATCAGAATTTGAATTACAATAGATTTCTAAAATGCCTCTCATTATAGTAAGAAGGTATATTTTTTTCCATAATGTATACTGTGCACATGTACTTCAAGATTTCTCCTTTAGATTTGTTAGTACTTGGTTTGTTTTCAGATCTTTGTCATAAGCCAATATAAAATGACCTAGATATTTCCCCAAATTTAAAAGTATTTACATAGAAGAAATTACAACAAAATGTGAAGTGATTTATTGAATTTGATTCTCCATTTTACATCTGGTAGGAATTGATGTAGACTTGGGATGTTACCACATGCCCCAAGCAGCTATTTTGGCTGAACAGGAAATTAAACTATATACCTAACTGTCTGCAGTGTGTGGCACTTGTAAACTACCGGAGAGAATGGAAATACTATGACAGAATTTCCTATGATTCCTTTCTTCAGGGATGCCTGGACGTCTGTTTAGATCCCTTCAAGCTTGTAAGGTGCCTGAGGCAAAAGTCAAATGTATTCAGATGCAAGGCAGTTAGTCTCTGTCTCTTCTGCCCTTCCCAATTTTCTGCCATATTTGACTATTTTAGTACATAAATTAAGCAGATTTATGTATTAAAATAGTCAAATATGGCAGAAAATTGGAAAATTATTTTCTGTACATAAATTATTCCAATCTTCAGGAAACTAGCACAGTGAAATTTTGAATATTTGCTAAGTGGAATTCAGTAAGTGCTGATTGAATTTAATAAAAATTCTGGCCAGGCACGGTAGCTCATGCCTGTAATCCCAGAACTTTGGGAGGCCAAGGCAGGTGGATCACGAGGTCAGGAGATCAAGACCATCCTGGCCAACATGGTGAAACCCCGTCTCTACTAAAAATACAAAAATTAGCCGGGTGTGGTGGCGTGCGCATGTTGTCCCAGATACTCGGGAGGCTGAGGCAGGAGAATCACTTGAACCTGGGAGGCGGAGGTTGCAGTGAGCCGAGATCGTGCTACTGCACTCCAGCCTGGTGACAGAGTGAGAATTTATCTCAAAAAAATAAATAAATAAAAACAAAAAATAAAAATTTAAATACCATACTATTCTAGTTATCTCTACCTGTATAAGTCAGCAAAAACTTAGTGGTGTATAACAATAATCATTTTTTATCATTACCTCTAACAGTTGTAATGAGGACTGGGCTCAGCTATACAGTTTTTCATCAGGGTCTCTCATGCAGTTGCTGTCGTATAGTATTGAAGATGAAGTCAGCTTGGAGACTTTCTCACTCACAAGTCTGGTGATTGCTGCTGTCTGCTGGCTGTGACGTCAGCTAGGGCTATATGCCTGGACACCTCCTACACATGATCCCACGACGTGGCCTGGACTTCCTCACAGCATGAAGGATGGATTCCAAGAGCAAAAGTCTGAAGACACACAGTCAGGCAGATGCCGTATTGCCTTGTTATGCTAAGCCTCAGGAGTCAGAGTCACAAAAACCAACATATTTTCAAAGTGAGAATAAACAACCCCGTCTCCTGATGGAAGCATGGCAAAGCATTTGCAAACATATTTTAAAGCCACCACCTAAATATGACATTTAAACTTTTCTATAGATAGGATCTTAATTTAACAACAAAAGGAAGGGAAACAAAGAACTACCAAGACATCTAAGAAAATAGGAAATTTGGGATGTTTAGAAAACTAAAAAGGCTTACACAATGTGTGTGTGTGTGTGTGTGTGTGTGCGCGCGCGTATGTGTATGAACTGTCAACTGAATTAACCATAAATTTGGGCTGATTATTGTTTATTACTACACAGTTTCATGAAAGCACATATTTTAGACAGATTTTCCTTCTTGTCCAGCAAGTAAGGATTAAGTGATTTTTATATGGTGGCAATAAAATAAATTGGAAGATAAAAAATTGAAAAAATTAGATACTGTCTTAATAAGTCAGACTGATTTAAAAGCAGCATTTAATATTTGTTGCAAACAGAACTAACAAAATGATACAGGAAGGCTTTCCATTAACAAATGAATAAATATGTTCAACTAAGCATGGACGTATTATTATCAAGGTAAAATTAAAATAAAAAACCGTAAACCACGACAGAAATGCTGTTTTATATTGAAAAAGCCAGAATTAATAGTGTAGATACAGCAGTATTGAACTTTTAAGCATGGAGAAATTAATAGAAATACAAGCGAAATGGCAGAATTTAAACTCTATTGGCCCATGATAAATCATGTGGTTAAAATACATAAAATATCAGAAAATGTAATAATGGAGTGATCCCAAATTATTTGACTCACAGAGAATATCCCTTATTTTAAAATAGCCATGGATCATCTGATTTTAGAAAATACCATAAAAATAGATTAACAGTATATATCCTACTAAAAATTTGGTCATGACATATTCTCATATCACAAATACAAATGGTTAGTAATGTATATAATAAATGAACAAACAAATGAGAAAAATTTTTCTAAAATCACTTAACACTATCCTAAGTAATCTCTAGGAAATAATGCAGAAGGATTATTTAGAAAATAATCAAAAGAAATATTACATAGCAAACCTACGTACTGTTGACTATAATCAGAAACAAATTTATATACTCAGATGCTTTCATTAGAAAAATGATAAAAGAAATTACTTAATTCTCCAGTTTAGACCAAAAGACTTTAAAGATTTAGGAAAAGAACAAAAGGTTGACCTGAGAAAATATTTAAAAGATAATAATAAAAGATACAAAAATTTATTTAATGTAAAATAGGAAAATAATTTACAGGTTTAATGAGAAAAAATAATTATACTAACATAAATGGAAAAATCTATTCTTAAGATTTAATTTGCATTCCTAATAATGATACTACTAAAATATGGAATAGAAAGACATTTTCTCAACATCAAAAAATGTATATTCAGAGGAAAATGACTAACATTATAAATATGATTTAGTACTAATGTTATTCCTAATAAAATAAGAAATAAGATGTGTTCCCTATATCTTTTGTAGGCAATATTGCTTTGACAATCTGATTAACAAGGCATGAAACAAAATTGAAAATCATGCATTTTTATAATTGTTCTGTATTTCTAATTTATTAATTTTTGATTGACAAATCACAATTTTGTGTGTTTATGGGGTACAATGTAATTTTTTGGTCTATAAAAAAGCAAGAATTATTGAAAGGAAGAAATATAATTATATGTAAACATTTGCATGTGATTACATAGCTAGAAAACCAAACAAATTAACAAAAATCTATTAGAACTTAAAAAATAATTTAGCAAGATAGCACAACAGAGCTTTCCAAATTTTAAAAATCTTCGATATATGACTACTTTTCATTTTCTCCTTTAAGGATGATCTCAAGGTATGGGGAGACTACAATAAGTTGCTGCTTGGCAACCCACACAAAAATTAGGAAACTGTAGTAGTTTCCTAGAGATGCTGTAACAGATTACCACAAACTTGATAACTTAAAACTCCAGGCATTTGTTGTCTCACAATTTTGAAGTCTAGAAGTTGGAAATCAAGGTATCAGCAGCTCCATGCTTTCTCTGAAGTCTCTAGGGAAGAATCCTTCCTTGCCTCTTCTACCTTCTGGTAGTTTCCAGCCATTCTTGGGCCTCCTTGGCTAAGTGCTGCATCACTCCAATTGCTGCTTTTGTCTTCACATGGCTTTCTTCTCTGTGTGTGTGTATCTTGGTGTCTCTCTTTATAAGGACACAAGTCACTGGATTTAGGACTGACCCCAGTCTAGTATGACTTCAACTTAATTACATCTGCAAAGACCCTATTTCCAAATATGGTCACATACACAGGTTGTGGGTGGATATGAATTTTGGTGGAACACTATTCAACTTGATACAAAAAATATCCCCACCTTGCTTCAATTCCATCTGTTTACACATATATCAAATCTCTTGCTTTTTGCATTTTGCCCCCAGTTTCCATCTAATCTCAACTCTCAATATGGCCAACTGTGTTTGTACTATTTACAATGGCATGGGCTGTGACTCCATGTCTGAATGGAAGTCCCATATTTACCAGGCTGGAAAAATGCAACTTTAAGAAAGAGAAGACCACTCTCATTCTTTTACCAGTGGGTTGTTCTTGTTTTGTTTTGTTTTGTTTTTCTCGTTTGACAGAGTCTTGCTCTGTTGTCCAGGCTAGAGTATAGTGTCACAATCTCAGCTCACCGCAACCTCTGCCTCCCAGGTTCAAGCGATTCTCCTGCCTCAGCATCCCAAGTAGCTGGGATTACAGGTGTGTGCCACCATGCCCAGTTAATTTTTGTATTTTTAGTATTTTTAATTTTTGAATTTTAGTAGGGGTTTCACCATGTTGGCCAGGCTGGTCTCGAACTCAGGTGAACCGCCCACTTTGGCCTCCCAAAGTGCTGGGATTACAGGTGTGAGCCACAGCACCTGGCCTACCAATGGGTCTTAATCCTTACTTAGGATCAGAATTACCTAGTGAAATTCTTAAGAACACAATTGCCTGGGCTCCCATCCTGTCCTCCCAGATTGATTCAATCAGACATAGGTGGAGCCCAAGCATTTGATTCCAATGTGTGGCCGAGTTGAAAGCTACCGCCTCGTACCTTTAACTGTATCCCCAATACACAGTGAACAGAATGATCATTTAGAAAATGTGGTCAATATGGATTCACAACAGCAAAAAAGTGCACAAATAATCAGCTAAGATTATAGGGCAGCATTGAACAAATCATTGATCTGTGACACACTATAGGGGTTGTGGATGTTAAGAAAAGGTAAGAACAAATGACAGCTTCAGTCCTAAGGAAGGTGTTTTCAATTAAGATGGAGTACAAGGGAGTAGAAAAGGAACAATACGGTCATGTTAATATGGCTGACTAATCAAACCTTTTATTTTCAGAATTTAAAAAAATAAAAAATGTTTGTTGCTAACTACATAGATAAATAGAAGAGTGCTTACCCTCTGGCAATTCAACCTAGTGAGGAAGCAGTTATGTAAAATAAAACAAAAATTAAAATGCAATATATTATATGAAAGGAACATGTAAGAATATACTACAATTTAAAATGTGCTCATCCTTTGACCCAGAAATCCCATCTAGGGAACTCTAGTCTAATAATATAGAGTTTTATGTTAGGATATTTGTAAAAGAATGTTTATGCACACATCATTATAGTAGGAAAAGAAAAGGAAAATAATAGAAAAAAAGAGATAAAACATACATGTCCACTAATAGAAGCAGGCTGAATAAATTATAAAACATTTGTTTACAGAAAGACTGAGGTATATACATGATACTTTGGTTTTAGAAAAGCAAGTTCCAACATAAAGCATACTGCATAACCATATTTTTGTAAAAAGAAAATAAAAAATCTCTACATGTTTTTAAAGTTATGTATTTATTTGTTGGAATAAAGACAGAAGAGTTTAAAACAAGTTACAAGCATTGAGTATACTGGAGAAATCTGATTGGAGGGAGTAAGAGTACAGTCCATTTACCATTTTTCGAGTATACTTATTTTGTTTTGCTTTTGACAACAGCATGTATTACATTTGTAATTTAAATATCTGATAAAATAATATAAGAAAATACATTATGATATTCTTTTATTTTTTTCTCAGTTCAAGTTTAATACAAACTACAAAAGATCAATGGGTTGATGCCCTCTACTGACACATCATACAAATCAGTGGCCTCCCCACAATACGACTCAGGCCATCCCTTCCAAAAGAAGAAAGGCTGGTCTCTCCACCCCCTGTAGGAAAGGCCTGCCTTGTAACACACCACAGTTCGGCTGAATCTGAAGTCTTGTATTTTACTCATGGAAAAAAAAAACCACAAAAGAGACTTTGTTCTCAGGGGTTCCCACTGCAGCCTGGCACTAAAACAGCCCAGCACTCACTCCTGCTTGGATAAATATTCTTTGCTCTTTTGGACATCAGTCTTGATAGTATCACTGCCAGGTTTCCAGCCAGCTGGGCACACTTCCCTATGTTTGTCAGTGAACTGGAAGGCCTGAACTAGTCTCAAAGTCTCATCCACAGAGCAGTCAACAGGGAGGTCATTTACAGTGATCTGCCGAAGAATACCCATATCATCAACGATAAAGAGGCCCCTGAATGAGATGCCTTCTTCAGCCTTTAAGATCCCATAATCCTGAGCAATGGTGCACTTCGGGTCTGAGGCCAAAGGAATGTTCCTGGGTCCCAGTCCTCCTTGTTTCTTAGGGGTGTGGATCCATGCCAGCTGACAGAAGTGAGAATCCACAGAAGCACCAATCACTTGGCAGTTGAATTTCTTAAATTCTTCTGTATCACTGAAAGCAATGTTCTCTGTGGGGCACACAAAAGTGAAGTCAAGCCGGTAAAAGAAGAATACAACATATTTCCTTTGTAGTCAGACAGGCTGATATCTTTAAACTGACTGTCTGGCATAATGGCTGTGGCTTTGAAGTTGGGGGCAGGGTGCCCAATTTTAGCGTTTCCTGAAGACATCTTCCTATCAGCAGTCCTGACACAAGCCTCTGAGAACAAACCACCAACACCAGGCAGGAAGAGGACGCTGTGATAGTTATTCTTAATGAAACATGAAAGCAATAATATTTTATGCTATATGACTTCCTATTTCAAATTAATTGGAACTGTTCTGTAGACACCAACAGAATCAAAAACTATTTTATATCAGTGTCAGCTCATAGAGACAGTAGATAATAGAAATATAAAGCACAATTTTTAAGGGAATTGCATATAAAAGGAGATGAGAACCAGGTCTGAAAACATTTTGTTTATTTTAGCAACTGGTGATTTTCATCCAAGATTGAAATTATATGGGTCTCATTGTTCTTTCTTCCAAAAGATAACGTTGCACCTGTCTTTTTATCATGACTAAACCACTAAATTTATCATTGGTGTGACCAAAATGCATTGATGAGTCAAACATGGGTGAGGTATTCAAAAGCCATAAGAGACTTGCACAATCATTCTAATAATCTTCCTTTTCCAGAAGCCTCAACCACCTCTTCAGCCCTGAGTGCCAGCAGTGGGCCAAAGAGTCTCTCTTGCCAGCATTAGGCTGAAGCAATGGAGTAGAGAGAACTCCAATTATTGTTCCATGATACAGGTTATTTATTCTTTTTGAGAGTCTGTCCCCCCAGAAAGTGCTTAATTGCATACCAATTAATATCTAACTGGCATTCTTCAAGGTGTGTCTATTTTATTAAAACATTTCAGTAACATAAATTACAATTGTCTATTCTTGCCTCTACATAATGGTGTTATATTTCATATCATTTTATAAGCTGATGTATTTACAGTGTTAAATTTGTAACAGCAAATTTTATTAATGTGGGGAAATACAGTTTAATTAATATACATTATTTCGTATACATTAGCATGACAATCATACCCCCTCAATGGAAATACATGAACACAGCCACAGCGCCCCCAGTTTTCAGACCCTCACGGGTTGATTTCTGTTGTTAGATGTTGCTGCTCTGTGTTCTCTATTGGACAGGTTCTTAAAAATCAGAAATGAAAAGTCCCACAATTAAAGCTAGGTTATATCACAATGTATTATTAAAAGACAGTGATCATTTTTTCTCTATAGTAATAATTTCTCAGTTTTTATTAGCCAAATTATATTGCCTTCTGAAAACTTCCAGAGAGTAAGCACAATAGAATATTTCTAGGAAAATGGGGAACTTTCATAAATACGGGCTTGGCTTCCAAGTTGAAGCCAAAGCCAATTTTATGAATTTAATTTTTGTTCTACAAGGTCATGAACTTACAGGAAAACCAAGGGCTAAATTTAAAGCAACATTGATCTTATATATGAATCTGGACGAAAACTATGCAAGGCAAGGCAGTTTATGCTGAATTAAGCTGTGTTTGCAAAATGTGATAAAAAGCACTGCCTATTTTGGAACCCATTTCAATGGGTGTGCACTCATGAGGGCTAAGTCAAATAAAAAAGTCTGCCCAAATTTATCTTGGGGTGAGGCTGTCAGATTTCACACAGCTTTCATTGCCAATAGCAAGCATTTCTCAGTCAGAGTGGACCATAAAGTTGCCATTTTTCAGAATTGAAGTTTACTCTTGAAGAAATTTAACATTAGAACAAAAAGCCAAATACCTATGTCTAAAACCAGCCCAAAGAATTAGCTGTTTCATATATACGATATATATATTACACACACATACATATGTACATGTATATGTTTATTTGTGTACGATAGAGATATATATTCTGTGTGTGTATATATATATGTGTGTATAAATATATAAAGAGTGAGAGAGCCAGAAAGAGATAGGCAAGAGGGAGATACACACACACACACACACACACACACACACACACACATCACTGGTTAATTATATTTGAAGACAATAAAAGGAAAAAAGTTTATAGTATTTTTTCTAGTAATATTGAGGACCAAGCCAGGCCTTTTCAGGTACATTATCTTATGAATCATACAACAATTATATGAAATAGCTATATCCTTTTATATAGCCTTTTTTTTTTTTTTAAATCGAAGACAGAGAATTTCAGGGACTTTCACAAGAAACACAGCAAAGCTGGGTTGTAAAATAAGGTACCACAACTCCAGATCCTTTCTTCTAGCTTTTAACTTTTTATAAGTCAGTGATTCTGCTCCTTAACTAAGAGGAATGGAATTATGAAAATACCAGCCTAGGCCAAGTATGCATGTTTTTGATCCACTTTAAATGAGTTAGCATTTGAATAGAACACAGGACAAAGCTTAAGGAACAAATAAACAGACAAGACGATAGTGTATATTAAAAATTCAATCAAGATACTACATAAACATTTAAAAGCAAATACCTAGGGGGAAGAACTGTGCAGAAAAGAAAAACTGAGGTATGGAAGAGACGGGCTAGACTGCTCTGTGGAAAATGTGATGATTTTGTTAAGTTAAATTTATGGCTAGTGCAGATTTAAAGAAAGAGAAATAAACAGAATAACAGCTTAATGTTACATTCGAGTAGAATTCAAGTTATCCTGTAACAATTTTAATTTAAATATAATATGCCAACCTCCACCTTTAAAGCAAAATAAAAGCATACGTAATGTCCCATTTTTCCACATAATGAAATTGTGTTCCATTATGTCACCAAATGGTTATTATGAGCCATATACATTTTACTGAAAAATAATCTGCACCTGAAAAAGGTAAAGTAGAATTTAAGGGGCTTAATAACATTTGCAGATATGTTGATTATTGGTTCACTTAAAGTAAACCTTTGAAACCCAATATTATTTCAAAGTATAGGAAAAATGTAATAGATGCCTATTTAAAAATTCCCACATAGCTATAACCCCTAATATTTTACCAATCCAAAAGCACAAAATCTTTTGAAATTACTTGGATTTGTAAAACTATCAACTTAGAGAAGGCATGTGAATGAACCCTTAGAGAAAAATGAGTTTTAAGATGAGAGAAATTAGGGCAACATTTTCCCCAACTCCCTTATAAATGAGTCTAGTATGTTACTCATACTACATTTTAATGGGAACATATTCAATAAAAAACATATAATACTAATTTTTAAAAATATTATAAACTATATAAAACTTGCAATATAAAATATTAACTTTCTGCTTGGGTTAATTACATTTTTATAAATAAAATATAAGCTATTCATAAAAATGAGAAAAATAAGGGAAAAATGAACATAACTTATGAATAAACTTATTAGTAGGAGGATGACAAGGGCTAAAACTATTTACTCCCATGCTACTTAATATGATATTAAAGTGTATACATTTCTTGGGAAAATGCATGTGGAAACATTTCATTTAAGGTAGGAAGGTAGGAGGGACTGTGGATATTTGTCCAGGGAGTGTAAAGATTCAGCTGGTGTAGGATAAGGAGGAAAATATCTGCAGAGCTGTATTGAAACATTTGAGAAGCTATGCATGCAAGAAGAATTAGGTATTTTTCCCCTGAGCTCTAAGGCAGTGGTAATCAAACTTTAAAGTACATTTAAGTGTGATGGTTAATTTTATGTGCTAACTTGCCTGCACTGAGGGATGCCCAGATAGCTGGTAAAGCATTATTTATGAATGTGTCCACTGAGGGCCACTTTCTGACTCATAGCTAGTGCCTTCTTTCTGTGTCCTCACATAGCAAAATAGGAGAGAGGTCTCTTTCTGGCCTTTTTCATAAAGGTACTAAGCCCATTCATGAGAGCTCTGCCCCTATGGCCTAATCACCTCCTAGTGGCCCTACCTTATAATACCATCATCTTGGGGGTGAGTATTACAGCATATACATTTTGAGGGGATGTAAACATACAAACCACAGCAATAGGAATCTTCACACAAGTTGTTTACAATTTTTATTTCTGGATTCCATGCCTGGACAATCTGATTCCAAAAGTAAGAGTTGACATTTTCAAAAGCAGCATCAAAGCTTGCAATGAATATGGTTAATAAATTAGACTCTAGAAAAACCAGTGGGTTGAGGGTGTGACATTACATCCATGTATGAAAAGCAAGGAAATAATTAATTGATAGTCTATTTATAGTCCGTCAGTCTGACAGTCTATTCATTTCTGTTGGGGAGCAGATGCCGTACAGCCTACACACCCCCTCCCTTATTGATGATCACTTGAAGATATTCATCAACAAAAACTGAATGCTCAATTTTTTTTTTTTTTTTTTTTTTTTAGACAGAGTCTCGCTCTGTCGCCCAGGCTGGAGTGCAGTGGCGTGATCTCGCTCACTGCAAGCTCCGCCTCCCGGGTTCATGACATTCTCCTGCCTCAGCCTCCTGAGTAGCTGGGACTACACGCGCCCGCCACCACGCCCGGCTAGTTTTTTGTATTTTTAGTAGAGACGGGGTTTCACAGTGTTAGCCGGGATGGTCTCGATCCCCTGACCTCGTGATCCACCCGCCTCGGCCTCCCAAAGTGCTAGGATTACACGTGTGAGCCACCGCGCCCGCTGAATGCTCAATTTTTAAAATATATTCAACAATCAGACATTGCTCATCAAGTTCAAGTCTATTCCCCTGCCTCTCACCTGGATTATTGCAACAGCCTCCTTACTGGTGTTCCTGATTTTACCAGTGCTTCCCTGCAGTCTATGTTCAACAAAGCAAGGCAGAGATCATTCTAAAACATACGTCAGATCAAAACTGTACTCAGCTCAAACCCCCAAATTTTACTATGGTGTAGAAGGCCCCATACGTTCTACCTTTTGTGACTACCCTGACCTCATCTCCCTCTTCTCTCTACCTTCCAAGCAGACAGGCACACAGCTTCCTCACCTGACCACTTCAGTCTTTTTCTCAGGTGTTACTTTCTCAATGAGGCTTTTCCTGACCACTCTAGTCATAATTGCAATATCCTTTTCTCTGTTTTATTTTTCCCAAGTTATTTATCACATTCTACACAATGTACACCATGTATTTTGTTAATTGTTTTCTTGTGTATCACCCCACACAGAACTGCATGTTTTATGAGGGCAGAGATTTCTACCTGTTGTTTACTACAGTATCTTCATCTAGGAGATCAATAAATGTTTGCTGAATAAAAGAATAAAGAAAAACTTAATGTTGAACATGTAACTATAATACATTTTTCTGCATATCAAAAGTCCTCAAAAGCACAGCTGGGACAACTATGTTTGGTAATGGATTATTGCATTTCAGTTAAGTTCCCATGTTCTTGTAAAGGAATTTAGGAACATAGATGGATGAGACTTTATGACTTTAAAGTCCTTTCCAGGGTTAAAATTTACTCCATCTATAAGCAATTCTCCCAAACAAATTGTGGCAGAGATGACTAATTACCCACCCTCCAATCTATACTGTTCATATACACTACATGCTATTTCCCCCTTCCTCTATAGTAGTAGATTCTTTAGCTGAACACATGACCTCCTAGCTAAACACCACAATGCCCAGTTCCTAGACTGCTTTCCATTTTGATGTGAGGCATGTGAGTAGGGTCTTGAAAACAGGATGTGAGTGTGTGTGTGGCAGGGCGGGGGTGGGGGTAGGCTGTAAATTATACATAAGTAGTCCTTAAAATAAATGAACATACCAATGCAGTCCTCTTTCCCATTTTATACTGGTGTGATAAGTCATCTTATCCTCAACCATTGGCTAAAGATAACTCTTTAGGATAACACAACCACAAGATGATAGGACCCCGCCAATTCCATCAAGCTACCAAATCTGCTGCTCTGGACTGTTATAGGAGAGAGAAATAAAATAAATAAAACTCTCTTGTTTAAGCCAACGTTTTATTCTAGTAACCTAGCCTGTGTTGTAAATAATATATAGCATTTTGTTTCTTTTTTTTTTCTTTTTGAGACAGAGTCTCGCTCTGTCGCCCAGGCTGGAGTCCAATGGCGCCATCTGGGCTCAGTGCAACTTCCACCTCCCGGGTTCAAGCAATTCTCCTGCCTCAGCCTCCCGAGTAGCTGGGATTACAGGCACCTGCCACCATGCCCAGCTAATTTTGTATTTTTAGTAGAGATGGGGTTTCGCCATGTGGGCCAGGCTGGTCTGGAACTCCTGACCTCAGATGATCCATCTGCCTTGGCCTCCCAAAGTGTTGGGATTACAAGCGTGAGCCACCGCACTTGGCCAGCATTTTCATAGATAAAATAATCCTTGAAACTCTAAAAAAAAAAAATTAAAATTCCAATATAAAGGTGGTAAAATTATGGCAGTAGTTCATTGATTTATTTAGAGGTGAAGGGCGGAAATCAAAATCATGTAGAAGTAGGAACTTTAAAAATATAACTTTATTGACTATTTATTTAATAAATATCAGTCACTTTGCTGGGATTGTATATGTATATGTTATTTAGTCTTTACAATAACCTCCAAAGGTAGGTATTATTATAAATGCTTTACAGGTAAAACAGATAATGCTCAAGATGTTTAGAATTTTTTAAGGCAGCACTATAAGTAAGTGCTAGAACAAAGAGCCCAAGTCTATGAGCATTTCTCATTTCTCAGTGTCTTTCCCACTCTCTGATCTTTAGATTTAGATGGATGCTTTGCTCCAGAGGTCTTTGAGAATTTTAAATAGAAGTAGTTGATTTACCACTTGACAAATACATCCCCAGTCTTCCTTCCTTGGAACGAAGTTCTGTGGAAGCAATGTGATTCAAAACCCTGAGTAATGGGTGTAATAACTATTAAGTTGAGGGCTAATCCCCAATTTGGACTTGGATTTCCAGAGTAAGATATTTAACCTGTCTGGACCTTAACCTGTTTGTCTAGTTCCTGCTGTAAGATAACTCAAATAACTGAGTCTGCTTAAATGAGCTACAAAAGCATTGGCATTAAGTGGAATTTGGTAACCCCAGACAGAATCCCCATTCATTTGAGCAGTCTGGAGTCAAAAGCAAAATTTAAATCCAAAAAACACATACACAGTCCGGATTCAATAATTCCACAGATGTGGTTACAAAGTAGATTCAAATGTTTATGACTTTTTTTCCTGGCTAGAAAGAAGGGAATTCATTCAAGAAGTTTAACAAAAACAGCAAAGAAACTAAAGGTACAGTCTTGAGGCATTTACATATATGTATGCACATATATGCATACATATATACATATACATGTATACATATGCATGTATAACCTGGTGAATTCCCTGCACCCACATAGACTGCTGTCACCCAGCCTGCAATGAACTCTGGTGGATCATCACTGCACTGTGTGCTCAGCAGCCTTCAGACCTGAGACAACTCGACTATTTGGGACATTTATCTCTTGAATCTGGAAGCCTTCCACATTGGCAAGAGCTCAACCTTAGTCTGCTGAGAATACTAACAAAGTGTAAAAGACCTGACTTTTTAGACAGCTTTACCTGCCAACACCTTGATTTGACATCCAACACAGAGTGGAGCCTGTGGCCTTAACGTTTGGCTGGAGAAAGAATGAATACTTTTCTCGTTAAACTCTCCAATTCATCATTATGGCCCTCATGTCAAGGCAAGATTTTTCTTCCCAGCCTATTATTAAGAAAAGTGTTGCACCTGGTTTCCCTGGTTTCTCCTCCTGTCTCTCCACTTTCCTCTCCCTCCACCCTCCATAAACATGGACAAAGGTTTTTGGTCTCCTCTAGTTCATACTAGACAAGGAAATATTTGGGGACAAGCTGAGGGGACAGCTGCGCAAGAATAATGGACACCTGTGATTTTCTTCCCTTTGCTGTAAATAATTAGATAATTTGCATCATCTTCTAAAACTATTTTTACTATTTATCCAGAGTTTGGAGAATGTAACTTACTATTTCATTTCTATTCAGTGCTGTGTTTCTATTCATTCCATATTGCTACAACTTTGAGGTGTTCTTTGATTCATATGTTACATATCTATCAGACAAACCTATAGTAAATCATTTTCTGCCTCATTCATGATGTGAGCTATTATATGTGTTTACAGTAACTAAAATTTGTTAATAAGGGAAATTGCAGAGATTCTCTGACGATTAATAAAGTATGTAAGAAAGGTTTCCAGAGCTCATTTTCTCTTTAGGGATTTTGCTTTTCTTGCTTATTATATGCATGTGTGTAGGAAATGAGAAACCATTCCATGTGTACTGTTGGAAATATTACTGTTAAAGGTGAAAAAGTCTGTAGTATATGTAGCCAATGGATCAAACATTTAATGAGCATTTTTCTTGATCTTCAGCTTAAATTTTTTTTTAAGTTTCTTGATAAATATAGTAAATGTGACTGGATAGAATCCTTTCTTTAAAAAAAAGGTACACTTATGGGAAATGTCCAGATAAGATCTTAAGAATTCAAGTATTTACCATAGAGATGCATTGCAGTATATTAGAAAGAACATCCCGTGTGAGATTTAAAAAAAAAAAAAATACTACATACAAAGTGCCTTGTAGATGTCACGCTTTGCCTGACATGTATTATTACAAACTCTCTTATTTTTAAAAGGAGGCACAATCTATTTAGACATCTGCATCATATAGCTATATCTGAGTTACAAATCATCTCAAAACACAGTTGCTTAAAACACCAATTGTGTACTATTTTTCGTGAGTCTATGGGCCACCTGTGCACTTCTCCTAACCTAGTCTTGGCTCAGCTAATCTCAGCTGGGCTTGTTCATGCATCTGCATTCAACTGATAGGTTAGCCAGAGGCATGCTGATCTAGGATGGCCTGAGATGCATGACCTGACTCTGCTCCACATGATCTCACATCCTCCAGCAGCTTAGCCAAAGCTTGTTCTCATGGCAAAAGCAAGGGTCCAAGAGAGTGGGTGCAAACTTGAAAGGTCTTTGGGGCCTCAATTCAGAATGGGCATGCCATCACTTCCATCATATGCTTTGGCCTAAGGGCCTAAGGAAGTCATAAGTCCAGCCTAGATTTAAGAGGTAGAGAAACAGACTTCATCTTTGAATGGGAAGAGCTGCAAAGTTAGACTACAAATAGCTTGGATACAGGGAGAACTCATACCCTTGCTTTTGCCATGAGAACAAACATTGGCTAAGCTGCTGGAGGATGAGAGATCACGTGGAGCAGAGTCAGGTCATGCATCTCAGGCCATCCTAAATCAGCATGCCTCCAGCTAACCTATCAGTTGGATGCAAATACATTTGTTGGGTTCTTGGGTTGTAGTTGTTACCTGCCTCATAGCTACTGCTTACTTGAATGTGCCTGACAAACCCAAAATGCACAGGTTAGAGATGACACTTTTGAACTTCAACAGGAAGTATGCTCAAGTATGTCAGAGTATGGCATTGTCTTTTACATGGAAATATGTGTGTTATCTTTTACTTTCTGTTAATCCTGTCTTTAAAGTTGATGCCCACAAGTCCCCAATATCTAGACCCACAAAACAACATAAGAACAAAGAGAAGTCGATCTCCTACAGCTAACTTTATCATACAGGGGAGGCCGAGTCAAGAAACTATAATTCTTCAGGACTGTTTGGACCAAACTAATCTCCTTCAGCTTAAAAGTACTGTGGTAATGCCATTGCATATGGCTGTGTACACAGTAACCTTGCACTTAAGTGTTTAAGGATGTCTGCCGGGTCAAATGGTATTTCTAGTTCTAGATCCCTGAGGAATCGCCACACTGACTTCCACAAAGGTTGAACTAGTTTACAGTCCCACCAACAGTGTAAAAGTGTTCCTATTTCTCCACATCTTCTCCAGCACCTGTTGTTTCCTGACTTTTTAATGATTGCCATTCTAACTGGTGTGAGACAGTATCTCATTGTGGTTTTGATTTGCAATTCTCTGATGGCCAGTGATATATACCCAAAGGACTATAAATCATGCTGCTATAAAGACACATGCACACGTATGTTTATTGCAGCACTATTCACAATAGCAAGGACTTGGAACCAACCCAAATGTCCAACAATGATAGACTGGATTAAGAAAATGTGGCACATATACACCGTGGAATACTATGCAGCCATAAAAAATGATGAGTTCATGTCCTTTGTAGGGACATGGATGAAATTGGAAATCATCATTCTCAGTAAACTATCGCAAGAACAAAAAACCAAACACCGCATATTCTCACTCATAGGTGGGAGTTGAACAATGAGAACACATGGACACAGGAAGGGGAACATCACACTCTGGGGACTGTTGTGGGGTGGGGGGAGGGGGGAGGGATAGCTTTAGGAGATTTACCTAATGCTAAATGATGAGTTAATGGGTGCAGCACACCAGCATGGCACATGTAACTAACCTGCACATTGTGCACATGTACCCTAAAACTTAAAGTATAATAATAATAAAATTAAAAAAAAAAAAAAAGGATTTCTGCCCCTTCAATGTTTACCATGACAATGAGGAAGAAGAGAAAATCCATGTTGAGCCTAATGTCTTCTCTGCAGGAGTAAATCTCAAGCATACTTCCTGTTTCTAGATGTCTGTAGATTTCCATAGAAAAATAAATTGACTTGCTGAGCCAGCCAAGGATACACATTCTCAGGAACCTCACACAACAATCTTCTTCTGATCTCTTTTCCCAAAGTGTCAGCTTTGGGACACTTCGAGAGTTCTGAGCTTTTCAGCAACATCGGTAACACCATTGTAGGACCTAACATTATAGGACCATAATATTGGCCCACCATAACATTGTAAGACCTTGAAACAAAAGACTTATCTCTTTATTCATTTTTTAAAAAAAGAAGTGTTGAATGAATGCATTATGAAGTGAAATCTACACATAAGGCCATGTTATTAATGAAATAATTCTTATCAAATTATTTGGCAGGTATTTTGTTAGATTCCAAAAGAGTGAAACTTCTGCCTGGAGTTCAGTGAAGCATATCAAGATATGACCCATAAGAAATCAGTAAACCTCTGTAAATTAGACAAGAATTGTTTATTTTGTCCCATTTACTGGCAAGATGATGATTTATGGCTCTAGTTTTCACAATGTCAGTAGCATTCATGGAAGAAGAAGAGGTTTATTTTAGGACTGCAGGCAGCATTATTTTATTCCAATGTATACTGATGTAGAAAGTCCTAAATCACAATGGTAAGTAAAGCTTTGTTTCTTCACAAAAGTTAGGAACAATAAGATCTGCTAAACTCTTATGGTGCTTCATCATGCATAAAGTATAAAAAGTTTCATCCCAGCAAAATTTTACTTGGCAAAGAAACTACACCAATTGAAGACCTTTAAATAGTCCCAAAGAGATGCACAAAAATAGGAATTCTTCCTTAATGGATTAGTGTGCACACAGCAGATGAATACCAGGAGCTGGCTTCACTCAGAGACAAGAACAACTTCTTTCCGTTGTTGTCGATTCTTTTATGACCTCCTTCTAAGTCATAAAAGCAATGTCAATAATCTGAAATTGATGATACTGGTGGACCAAGGCACTGCTTTACATTTTTTTCTTGCTCTTAGTTACAGATCATGCCATGACTTCACCAAGTTCTTTCAGTTTTTGGCTTCCTTAGCTAAAGGATTCTCTGAGTAGCATTTGAGACAAAGTTTTAATATTTCAACAAATTTGAGATTTTTTTCCAACTACATGCATTTATAATTGAAAATTCTTCTCATAGAAAAATATATGAATCTTTCAAGATATTTTAAATGTGGGACAATATGAAATACATAAGCAGTCTCATTGTCTTCCTTTTCTCCTTGTCTAGAACCATATAATATGTGAGTAGTGCCTTACAGCAATGCTTTCAGTGATAGAATATGTGAATTTTCTATTTCTCATTTTAACACTTTCGAATTAACTTAGACCAAATACATAAAGATAGATATCCACAAGCCTGATGTCAGGACATGTTTTATTTAACGCCTATAAAGAGAAATCCATTACAGAAATTATAACACAAAAAAGATGGTTATAACTATTTAAATTATACAGTAGGATCTCCTGGCTCACTACAATTTGTTTAGGGTGAAACATTGCTTCCAAAACATTTTATATAAAAGTAATTTATTTAAAAATAATTTTCACTGAAACAAGAAAAATACCAGAAGAAAAAATATATATAATTGAACGTGGCTCATGGACTCCTAATTAGGAACCTCTGGTCTAGGCCGGGCCATTCTTCCATTATGTGATATTTTCAAATATTTTGAAGCAAAGAGGGTTGAAATTCTCATTTTAACCAATTTTCCCCTCTGTATTCAGGGGCATGGAACACATCTCAATAAACTATGGGGAAAACAATAACTCTTTTATTTCAACCTGGCTTACATTCATATATAGGAAAGTCTTCTGTGCTTTTAACTAAAGCACACTTTAACTAGATCTTTCCAGAACACTTCTGTATACTAATAATTAATAATCATGATAAAGACTATGTGGTTTAGAAAATTTATAAAAGGTTAATGAATTATCCAAAAAAAGCTGAATTATGCATAAGGTATTTTTAGCTTTGAAACCCTTGTGATTTCAAATACTTCTGGTGCTCTGTATCAGCTAATGTCTTACCCAGCCAGTACAGCTTAACCCTTTATCCTCTAATGATTACTTTTGTGAGAAAGTAGCTGGTAAGTACTAAGTACTAACTTATTATTTGATATCCTGTAGCTGAGTGCTCTGCAAAAATGTTGACCATGACAACCAATAAGACATACCTTTTATATGTCTATCTAAAACACACATGTGCATAAGTATTGAATTTAACTATGCTTGCCATAAATCATTCTCATCATTATTAAGTTAAATGCACTGTAATTTTTTTTATCAAATGTTAATCTATTACATATGGTAATGCTGGTCTTGACCTACTAAATTTATTTCATCAACCTACAATACACTACAACTTACAGTTTGGATCACACCAGCCTAATCCCCCCCAAAATGGCTTTTTTTTCTCTGAAAAATTAATGAATTTACTTAGTCAAATGTGTTTCTAGAGTTTATCTTTTGAAAATGAGGACTACCTATTCTATTTTCTTGAAAATTTATAATTCTCAATTTACAGGAACATTCTACTATCCAGAGCACATTATTCTTTAGATAATCAACCATTATATAATAATAATTATTATTGCTATGTGATTTGTAGATTTATTTCTAATCTTCACTATAAGCCTGAAATGTATATGTTGTATGATTCCCATTTTGTATTTGAGAAAACTGAGGCTCAAAAAGTTGAAGTATCTTATATGATCCCATTGACAGGGTGTGACTTCAGGTTCCTGGACTCCAATGCCTCCTATGTTCATTGTCCTCATTGCCCCATGGCTAACATTTTCCAGCATAAACAAGGCAGCCACCATTTTCATGGGTACTCACAAAATAGATCTGCAGACCACAGGTTAAAAAATTAAGATGACTTCTTGTGTATTTCTCTTCATTTGTTTGAGAGAATTTTATTGAAAATTGTTAGGTACATTGATGATAATACATAGATGAAGAACATAAGAATCCTCTCACCAAGAATCTTAAAATCTGCTAAGTAATTTCCATGAAGAAAGGACCAGAAAATTGACCGGGGAACACAGAGAAGGACTGACGTGTGCATCAATTAGAATGTTGCAAAAACTTTTTTGACCATGACACATAGAGGGAGGAGTGATATTTGGTCTCAACCATAAAGGATTTCAAAGGATAAAAAAGAGAGGTATGGTTATTTCAGGCTTACCGAAGGAGCTTGATATAAAGTATGGGAAGCAAGAAGCACATTGGGTGTCTGGAGCCCTGAGCAGGCCGCCCAGTGTAGCAAGCAAACAAGATAGAGGGAGGATTCAGGAACCAACCACATTCTTGAAGGGACAAAATACCCTACCATTAAAAACTCAGACTGTATTCTCTGTTCTTGGTTTTTATTTTTTTTAAATGTTTTTCCTTACTTTAAAAATTTCACTTGAAAAAGTAGGTTTGACTCAACTTCTATCAGTCTTCAGTTAGTCAGAAAAAAAAATCAAATACAGCTGAATTCAAATGTTAAATTTTAAATCGTTTGACCAAATGGTCATAAAGTCTGGAAACAAAGGTGAATACATATAATGGTATACACACTCACACATAGGTTATTGATATTACATTACAGCACATAATGTGTTGAATGATATTGTATTAAAATGTTTTCCAGACTTTATGGCCATTCAGTATTTTACAGCTCTATTGCATAAATAGTTTCTATCACTTGATAGCAACATGTAGCAGCCTAAACAATACACTGTATTCACAGTGGGAAGAATACTGTAGCCTGAAAATTTAAGTAGCATCATCCAAATAGTCTTTTAATTTACTATATGCTGACAAAACTTAAGCCTCAAAAAAAAAAAAAGCTTGTCATACCTCAGAGTATCAAACTTGCTGATAAGAATTAGAAAAACAGGTAAAATGCAGCTGTTTTTATCAAAGTATTTTATTTAGTCTATTTTTTTTCACCAGAACCAGTCTATCATCTAGTGACACAGACACAAATTAGAACCAAAGGTAAATATTTTACAAAACCCCATTCTTAAGCTGTTTATGTTTTTGCTCTAAATATCATGCTTTCCTATAGGTATGTTCAGAGTTAAACACAAGTTCTGGTCTGCCAGCTGTAACTTCATTCCATTTTCATATCAGATTATAAGTGAATAGTGACAATGCTATCAATGGGTATAACTGCTAATGCACGTCAGTTTATGAATAATTCACTAACCCGGTAAAAGCTTTAAGAAATTAGGCATTATTTTTCCAATGAAATTAAACGTCATATCCCTACCACCTAACGCAATGCACATAGCAGACAGTCAATAAATATCTGTTGAATAAAAGACTAAATTAAGTCATATAAGCTCCAGCTGTGACAACTCTACCATAATATTCTTTAGAAGTGCAAACAACTATAGGCCTTTCAAATATACTTAAATGGATACAGAAATAGATTAAGATAAAGAGGTTAATTATGTGTGGTTTCATATTTCATTTTAGAAAACCAATGAATAACAGAATGGTAAGGGATGCTCCACCATAAGAACACTCACTATTGTGAAAATTTACAGGATTTGTAAAGTAAGATTCTCTGTTCTTTTCACCTGTGTTAATTCTACTGTCTATCTTTGCTGCCCTCCTCTGGAATTCTTATATCACCTGGTCCTCTTTTCCAAAGAATATGTACTTTATACTTCACTTTAGAATAGAACTATAAGAGATAATTCAAACTTTTTCATTTCTATTTTGCAGTGCTCTTTTTATCGAATTTTATAGCACAGGCTTGGAGGCAGAGAAGTGACAGTGTAATGACTGCAGGTTATTTCTAGGATTTATCCCAGGACACATTTGTTCTATTTTGTATAACATTTAATGACACTTTCTGAACAACCTATGAAACGGTTTGGTCTTTCAAAATATCTTCTGTAAGACTACTATTTGACTAAGACTGTGAGGCACGCTCATGATCAGAGGTATTACACTATTTTTTGTTCCAGAACTGACTTTGTCTAGTCTTGTGTACATACCATGAGTATATTTTACAATAGAAGACCTTTCTAATAAAAATAAGTCAGTGCTAATTTGTTAATTCACAAAATTTTTTTGAGACAGAATCTTGCTCTGCCACCCAGGTTGGAGTACAGTGACACAATCATAACTCACAGTAGCCTCAACTCCTGGGCTCCATGCCACCATAACAGGCTAATTATTATTTTTTTTATTTTTGATAAAGTAAGGGTCTCACTATGATGCCCATGCTGTAACTCATAATTTTTAAACATTCTTATGTACAAAGGCAATTTGTATCAGTGTACAATAAAAAGCACATATAAAATATAATATTTAAACATTAAAAGAAATGTAAAAAGAAATCATGTGAAAGGAAGAGAAATAGAGAGTGGTCTAGCACCAAAAGTATACCAGATATTGTGCCTGTTGGTATTTTCACTTTATCTCATTTGTTTTTCCCAGCAGGCCTGCTCAGTCAGCAGGAGTCACCATTGCATAGTGGCTAGAATTAAAACCAATAATAATAGTAATAGTAAAAGACAGAAGCAGTTGCATTTGAATAAACTCCAAAACTTACTTAGCTTTGCTGGGCCTTAATTTTTCACCTACAAGGTAGAGGGAGATAATGTTCAATATGTACCTCATTCAGTGGGTCTGAAGACTAAAATAAGTTTTTTTCTTTTTTAACAATACAATGATTCAACAAAATTTTACTGAGAGCTGTGTTTCAAGATGTTCCAAGCCTTGGGGATTCAGCAGTGACCAAAGTGATCAATGTCCCTACCCTCATGAAGCCAATATTCTAGTGAAGGAAAATAATAAAACAAAAAATCAGTAAATATTATGTCAGATGTGATAAGTGCTATGACAAAAATAAAGCAGAATAGGGACAATGAAGAATGACTGGCAGCTATTGTATATGGAGTGACCAAGGAAGGCATCTTAGGAGAGGTGATATCTGAGCAGAGCACTGAAGGAAGTCATGGAATGAGCCCCATGATTATACAAAGGAGCACTTCTCAGGCAAAGAGAACAAGTGCAAAGCCTTTGTAGTAGGAATGCACTCAGTAAGTACAAGGAATGGCAGATAAGCTAGTATGGTTAGAACAGAGTGAGTGAGGAGAAAAATGATAGGAAATGAGATCAGAGAGGCTGTGAGACATTCAAGCATGTGCAGCCTTGTGGGCTAGGTTAAGAACTTTGCATTCAACTCTCAGTGAAATGCATTGAGAAAAGGAGTAACATAATCTCATTTATGTTTTTATTCTGGATTACACAGCTGCTATACAGGCAATAGACAAAAGGGAAGAGAGCAAAAGCAGAAACTAAGACAAAGTTCCATGTGATGGCAGGGACCAGTGTAGCTGTTATAGAAATGATGAGAACTGGTTGTTGTATTAGTCAGGGTTCTCTAGAGAGACAGAACTAATAGGATATATATGTAAGTTAATAGTTTATCAAGTATTAACTTATATGATCACAAGCTCCCACAATAGGCTGTCTGCAAGCTGAGGATCAAGGAGAGCCAGTCTGGTCCCAAAACTGAAGAACTCAGAGTTTGATGTTTGAGGA
Source organism: Homo sapiens (assembly GCF_000001405.40). Taxonomy (NCBI): domain Eukaryota; kingdom Metazoa; phylum Chordata; class Mammalia; order Primates; family Hominidae; genus Homo; species Homo sapiens. The sequence continues at coordinate 12,990,408 of NC_000009.12, forward strand.
CAGGAAGCATCCAGCACAGGAGAAAGATGTAGTCTGGGAGGCTAGGCCAGTCTCACCTCTTCACATTTTCCTGCCTGCTTTATATTTGCTGGCAGCTGATTAGATTGTGGCCACCAGATTAAGGGTGGATCTGCTATCCCCAACCCACTGACTCAAATATTAATCTCTTTTGGCAACATCCTCACAGACACACTCAGGATCAATACTTTGTATCCTTCAATCCAATAAAGTTGTCACTCAGTATTAACCTTCATAAGTCCACCCTTTGTCAACTTGAACCCATACTCATCTCCTGAGATCATACTTAATCTTCAAATAAAGAAAATAATAAGGTCATAGTTATGCCTAACATAATACAACTATCCTTCGTACAGCCAGAAACGCACAAATCCCCAACCCAAATACTATACCATAAAGTTAACAATACTTAAATGCTGACATGAAGTCAGTAAATCTTCAGTCCAATCAAGTTGGCACTTGGTATTAACAATCACATTTGTATTTTGCATCTCTTTGAGTGGTAGTGCCATCAGATTTGCTGATCTACTGGAAGTGAAGATGAAAGAAAATTAAGTTTTATATATCAATTTTTGGTCTAAGTAACCAGAGAATAAAGACGGCATTTACCAATGTGAGAAACAATATATGAGTAGGAAGTTTGGAGTGGGAAAAAAAAATAAGAGTTTGTTTTGGACATATTAAGTTTGATACTATAGTAGAAAGCCTAGTAAGCAGTTGTATGTCCAAGTGTGGATGTTGAGTGAACAATCTTGGCTGCAGATATAAATTTGGTAAAAATATGATATTTAAAGCTATGAGACTGGATAAGATTGTTTAGGGCTCAGTGAAAACCCAAGACCATTCCATGAACTAAGCCCCGGAGTATTTCAATATTTAAAAGTTAAGGAAAAGAAGAGGAACCAGAAAAGAAAACTGAGAAAGAATGGTGAATGAAAATCAAGAGAGGTGCAACTCGGGTGACAAATGAACAATTTTTTTCAAAAAGGATGGGGGCTAGCAATTCAAACCAAATGGTTGTAACAGGTTGATTACATGAGAATTAAAACTGACCTTTGAATTTGACAATGTAGAGATCATGGCCATGTTTACAAGAATAGGTTTTCATTCTTCCTTTTAAAGGATGGAAGGAGAGGAATAGAGGGAGTGAGTATGGAAACTTTTTCATTAAGATTTTCTCTGAAAGGAAGCAGAAAAAGGGGATAGTAGGTGGAAGAGCAATAGGATGAAAAGTACAAAAAAAAATTTGCAAAAATGACCATAATTATTCTCTTCCCTGTATTCATTTCCCCTTTGCATTGTGACTTTGCAGATCTTCTCATCAACAGATGGAATCTGAAATGACCGTGCAGCTTGTTTGACCGTCAGAAGGCAGTGAAAGTGATATTGTTCTGAGCTTCATCATGCCTTGCAAACTCTCCACTTTCTCTTGAAATACCTTCCAATCACCATGTTAACAAGCCCAAGCTAGTCTGCTGGATGATGAGAGACATGTGTCTCCATCACCTCAACTCTCCTTTTCACCCCCTCACTCTGTCACTCAAGTACGGGCAATCAACCCCCCGAAGCAGAGCCACCTAACCAAATAAAAATTAACCAAGATACATGAGGGAGCCCAGGCAAGAACAAAACAGCCCCACTGAGCCCAACCTAAACTACCAACCAAGAGAATCATGAACTGACAACATAGCTGCTATTTTAAAGACAATGATTTTGGGGGTGCAGCAAAACGAAACTGACATAGAAAGGAGTTTTTTGCCATTGTTTTGTCATTATGGTTATTTGTTTTAATATGGGAGATAATGTAGCATGTTTGCTTGTGGGAATAATTCAGCAAGAGGAAAAAATAATGGTGATCAGAGAGGAGACCATTTTAAAAGCAATATTTTGAGTAGGATAGGAAATGTGAGTTTCAGTCCACTGGTAGGAATTTTGGCCTTATATGGAAGCATAGATAAATAGCATGTGCAAAGAGGAGATGACAGAGTGCCATGTACACTATATGTAAGTGCTCAATGAACACAAATCAATATGTTTAAATGATATGGCTATCCTTGGAAACATTAATTACAGACCTAAATTTTAAAGTAAGTTTTTCTGGTCTCAAAGCCCTTTCTAAAATAACTGCCAGGGATCTTTTTTTTGCTTTATGTAGAATTATTTTCTTAATTATCTCCATATATCCAAATCCCATCCATTATTTGAAAATAAGTATCACCTTTCCATGAACTCTTCCTTCATATTCCCATCTTAAAGCAATCTGTCATTCCTAATACAACTAAGGCCCATAATAATTGTATCTCAGTGTTTTCAAATACACTTACAAATTTCTTACTTGTCTTATAATTATATGGATTAATAGAAACTCCTCATTAATGAATTATATGCTAACTATAATTGATTATAGAATTATGAGTTATTAGAATCTATATCTGATTTATCTTTTAACCACCTCAAGATCTACCTAATATAATATGGAATGTATAAATATGAATGAATGAAAATGTTAAGGTAATTAAGCATTACATTTAATGTCCTGACATAGACAGTCAAATGGGGGTAAATTTAAAGGCTGACATAGTTTAACACATTATTTTAGGTGTATATTTATTATCCACTTTTTAAAATTTTAATATTTATTTGTTTATTTAAGGAGGGAGCCTCGCTCTGGCACCCAGGCTTGAGTGCAATGGTGGAATCTCAGCTGCAACCTCCGCCTCCTTGAGTTCAAGCAATTCTCATACTTCAGCTTCCCAAGTGGCTGGGACTACAGGCATGCACCACCATGCCCACCTAATTTTTGTATTTTTTTTGTAGAGATGGGGTTTTACCATGTTGGCCAGGCTGGTCTTGAACTTTTGACATCACGTGATCCACCCGCCTCGGCCTCCCAAAGTGCTGGGATTTACAGGCATGAGCCACCATGTCCAGCCTATTGTCCACTTTTAGATATATGAAAAGCCTACTCATTCATTTGTGTACACGTATGGATAGACTAGATATTATGGAATAGTTTATCAGTAATTTCCTGCAAATAACAATTGCATCTTAATTTCTGAACTGGAGAATATTTAGCAACTATTTTTGTAAGCTTTTGTCCTTTTTAAGAACAGATTGTTGATCCCTTCTCTGATCTCTAACAGTTCATTTAAATTATCTAAATATTGCTGCAGCTGGATGTAGGAAGCTATCTTTATGAACTCCAGCCAATTGCAACATACAAAGAAACACTCAAAAATGCCTAAAATAAACATGCAAAATAGAATATGATGCTTCCTACATAGAAAATTCCTTTTCTCGCTTTTGCAATAAAAATATATTCCAAAGCATTAAATCATTATAGAAATAAATGCCAAATAGTTCTTCTAAAGACCACTAATATTTGCTTAATCGTATAAGTTTCCCTAAAAAGAAAAGATATCATGCAACAAAAATGCCCCAATTCAGCTACACAACCAACTGATCCTTAGGAAAAAGTAAAATCCTGTTTCTCTGTTATCTATTAGATTGATTAGTAAGGATACTACTTGAGGGACAATAGAACTGGCATCTGTAAGCTGTAGAGAGCACCATTGTGCATACCTCCATTGCATAAATTCATCTTCTAAAATAGTTTTAAAATGTAAATGAAACAAGAACAATTGTGAGTTCTCCCAAATAGCTGTGACTATATATCCCTGAAAACTTGAAAAGCCAACTCTCATAGAAGATTATTTGCTGGTTAGTTTTCTGTCTAAAAGTGGGTACCATCTTTAAAGACATGAAGCATACTCTGTGATAAGAAAGAGGAGAAAAATCTAAGCATGATAAAGCCAAAACTAGAAAATCTGAGTAACAGACTGTTAAGTCAAAGAAGCATTAGCTGCACAATGAGATGAGAGCAGCTCATATAAAGACTAGAGAGCAGGAGAAGGGCCTGAGACAAAAGAATGAAGTGCCCAGAGATGTGAACTTTCCTGTATCTCATAAAATTATAATGAATTCTTAAAGACCAACTGGGGGCTAAATCGACATTTCAGAGTCTCTGGAGCCGCACATACAAGTGGAGTCCATATCCGCTCATGAAGTCTTTTCCAAGGGCATCCACCAGGCACTCATGAGAAAGATTGCTGGCAAAGCATAAGACCTGTGTGCCTCCCTCAATGGCACAAGCATGCATGACCTGCCAAAGAGTAAAAGTGGAGCAGGAGTATCTACAGAAGCCTATCCATTCTCCAAAAACTCTGTAAATACCAAGAAATGATCAGCTGCCACTAGCAGCAGGCACAGAACCTCCCACGTCCTGATTTCCTTTCAAATACAAAGCAAAAGCCATCTACCACTGAAGTGGTAAGAATCATGCCCATATCTCAGAGTTGACCTTGGTGTGCCATGAAACAAAAGCCAGCTTCCTCTGGGGCAGAGCAGGACCCTTCCATCCCTCATCCGAGGCAAAGATAAGCTGCAGCTGAGGAAGTGGCAAAAATCCCACTTGTGCATAGAATTCTGCCCTTTTCAAGGCAATGTTCAGCTACTACCCCGGAAGGACAAAAAACTTACTCACACCCAAGATCTCCCACCTATACAAGATAGTTTTGTTGACACTAGGAGGAGAAGCAGGAAATTTGCTTACACTCTCCAAGTGCACTGGGGAACAAGCAGGAAGGTTGAGAAAACCCCACTTCCTGGGCTCATATATATATAAGACCGGCCCAAGTCTGAGGGTGGAGTAGGGGAATGAGAAACCACTCCCGTTACCACCAGAGACCTTGCATCAAATAACAAGGAACATAGTTGTGCCTTAGGAGAAGGGCAAGAGCATGGACAAAGAACCCTTCTGTGATGCAGGTGAGCAAGGCTTGCTGAAGACTGGGGGTGAAGCAAAAACATTGAGAAACACACTCTGGAACCCCAAGCCCCACTCTGGGCCAAGATAATAGCAGCCCAACACTAGAGGATATCCACTGACAAAAAGAATGTACTTTGATTTTTATGTCACCATGTATAAAAACTAACTCAAAATGGACCATACACCTAGGTGGAAGAGCTGAAGCTCTAAAACTTCTAGAAGAAAACGCAAGTAACTTCTAAATTCAATAAGAAGACAAACAAGATATAAGAATAGCAAATAAGCACCTAAAAGATGCTCATTATCTTTAATCATTAGGAAAGTGCAAGTTTTTAAACCACTGTGAGATGTTATCAATGCTATGTACCTGTTAGGATTACTAATGTAAAAAGACTGGTCATACCAAATTCTAGATAGAATGCGGGAAAATTTGAAATTTTCATTTATTGTTGGGGGAATGCAAAATGCCACTTTGAAAATATGAATGCACAGCCACTTTGAAAAACAGTTTGACTTTTTTTATAAAGGTAAGCATGCATTTACTATATGGGATAATAATTCCACTCCTATTCATAAACCGAAGAGAACTGAAAACATGTTTCTGTACAAGGACCTGTACGTGAATGGTTTTAGCAGTTTGGGCCGTAAATGCCCCAAACTGTAAAAAATCCAAATGTCCTTCAAATGGTGAGTGGATAGACAGATGGTGATTAATCCATAAGTGGAACACTATTCATCAAGAGAAAGAAACAAACTACTGACATATGCAACAAAATGGATGATTCTTGAAGCATTGAACTAAGTAAAAAAAAGCCAAGCAAAAGACATATATTGTATGAGTCCATGATTTGACATTCTAGAAACTTCAAAACTGTGGGAATACAAAACAGATCAGTGGTTTCTAGCAGGTATGATGGAGGAAGAGGATTGCCTGAAAGGTGTGTGAAGAAAGCTTCTGGAGTGATGAAAATTCCATATCTTGATTGCAGTGGCCATTATACAACTGTAGACATTTTTCAAAACTGGTAAATGAGCTTTTTTGGTACGTAAAATATATCACAATAAAAAGAGAGAGAAAATTAAAATCTTCAACATTTAACCCTGTTCAAAATCAGAGTTAAGAACCACTGCATCCTCATTAGTATAGAGATGAGTTAAAAAAAAAAAAACTGCAATAGTCAAGCAGAAGTATAGCATTTGTACATGAGTAGAAGTTGTTGACTATCCAGCAGCACCTGGAATTTCTTGGTCACAACTTGACTTCATTGGAGACAGAAAAGGTGCATCCTGATTCCAAAAGGTCTGTTTAAGTCAAGGAAACAGGTGTGATTTACCTTACACTACTTTTCTCCAAAAGAATTAATAAAGGAAATTGTCACTACAGGATGTACAATTGCTGAGAAAAACTCAGCAATAAAGGCTAGCAAAAAAATACGGGAGGTTGGTTGATGAGGTCCTTAGAGAGAAATAATAAACAAAATTCAGAAATGAACTTCCTTAGCTTTGTTCTTTTAGATTATCCTGTTCAAAATAAATCCTACCCAAGCCAATGGGGAAGGGGAGTTCTGTGCTTCCTTGAAGATTTTAGCAAAACTTGTTTATGTTTTCGATTATTGTAAAATCTCTGAAAATGGAACAACTAGTTGGCCCTGAAGAGTAGCTCTTTGCTTTTATTTTCCATTATGAGAAAAAGTATGAAGTAGGTATATAAGCTCTTACCCTGTGTTGGTCACCGCACACAGTAGGGTTTGAGGTACAAAGTGTGGAGAAAGTGTTCTGAATGTTTGCATCACAGTTCTCTAGTGAGCAAGACGTTCCACCTTCTTACCTACAAATACACTGACACATAAGCTGTCTGAGTTCCTGCTGGAGTTGGTTTAAGCAGAACACATTTATCCAGCGATATGATGTGGTTGGATGTGACTGCCAACAATGCTTAGTGGCATAATTTATTATGCATGTCCTTTATTGGGAACTCCTTTTCAGTGGTATTCAATGGACTATAAATATCACTTGCTGTGAAATGCAGATTGTTCTTACAGATGCTTTACCACATCCCAGAGTTAATTTCCAGTTCTCCTTTAGCACACTTCCCAACGTTTTATATCTTTGTTGTATTCTTTTCTTTTGAAATACCATCTCCTTCTCTTGTTGACTTTAAATAAAAAATAACACTCCAAAATCATTAAAGAGGCTCCTTCTAGCTCTAAGTTTCATGAGCATATTAAAATAAAATCTATTGAAATCAATCTCTTCACTGAGCCAGTATCCAAACCAGAAAAAAATATTTAGGAACAATTTTTTCTGAACTAAATAAAAATGAATTTTCAAAAAAAGTGTCCCAAATTCTGAATAAAAAATTAAACTTTTTAATATCATATTAAAAAAATGATTACTGAAGGAGATTTATACATGTCTGATGTTTTATTCAGACCACTCAAGCTATTTTTGTGATTGTCAAAACCATAAAATGTCTGTTTAATCACAAAATGTCTGTTTGTACTTTCTTTTTCCTCTTTGGGAGGCCCCAATTGTAACATAAAATGAGTTGCAAAAAAGAAAGGAAAACTTACTGTATCAGAATCTGTCTAGAAGTCATTACTAATAAACATAGACTTTTTAATCAATTTCATCAGATGTTCTAAAATAACTTGCAGGTCTCTGATCACCTCCTTTTTAATAAATAAAATATTAAACAGGACATTTAACTCATCCACATTTGGGAAATGTACTTCATGCTGTGTTCCATTCTCTGAAATCAGATATCCTGGGGTTATTGACAAACTATTCTAACTTTTTTGATTTTTATCAGAGCTTGGTTTATAATGTACAACATTAAAAAAACATTAACTGCTTGACATAGGAATGTAGTTTAAGAAGATTAAGATACATCCATAAAATGGAATATTACAAAGGCATTATAAGGTATTCTATAAATCTATAGTAAAATATATAGATATATGTTCATGACATATTGCAAAGTGAAACAATCAGGTTATAAAATAATGTATATGATAAATTAAATTTGAAAAGAATAAATATGTTGTGTATACATGGAGGCATGGAAATTTAGAGGAAGAAGATTTAAAAGAACAAACACTAAGTAACTGCAGTCATCATTTGGTAGCATTACGGGTGATAGTTTCTGCTTTTACTTTTTTATATTTTCTAATTTTTATGATGAACATGAAATACTTGCATAATCAAAATAAATATCTAAAACACATTATAAACTTTCAAGTCACATACTTGGACAAAAGAAAATACAGTAATTGGAGAGCAAAATCTAAAATAAATGCAGAAAACCATATATTCAATCTATAAGTGTTATGCATATGCCAATATCAAGATAATGTTTTTCTACATAACTAATGATAAAGCCAAGCATGAGGCATAACAAACACTTAGGTTGGAATAGCTAAGGTACTTTAATGATAAGTCAAGAAGGGGTACATAAGAGTACCCCTTCTTGAGTTTTGTAAGTAGTTGCACAGAAATAGTCACAGAATACTACCTATGAGTTACCTATTCTCTCTTAGTGACTCAGGAAGCTATCTGCTGATTTAAAGTAAGGCACACTCCTACATTAAAATACATACTTATAAAGAAACATGTAATAGAAGCACTAGTGTAGTGCTTCACTATAAGCCAGGCACTATTCTAAATGTTTCACATGTAAAACCCATTTAATCCTCTCAACACTATGATGTCATATTACTATTATCCCCATTTTTCAGATGAGGAAACGGATGCAAATAGGGGTTAAGTAATTTATTAAAATACTTAGGGCTCACCAGTGGCAGAGAAGAATCCAGATCTAGGTAGCCAGGATCTATATTTTTAGCCACTATGTTATACTACTTCTCAAAAGAAAATTAATAGAATATTAACAGAAAATAAAATTCTGATGTATATACTACATATATATGTATAGACATATATAGATACATATATATGTATAGACATATATAGATACATATATATGTATAGACATATATAGATACATATATATGTATAGACATATATATATACACATGTGTGTATATATATATATATATATATATATATATTTTTTTTTTTTTTTTTTTTGAGACAGGTCTCACTCTTTCGCCCTGACTGGAGTGCAGTGGCCCAATCTGGGCTCACTGCAACCTCCACCTCCCAGGCTCAAGTGATTCTCTGGTCTCAGCCTCCCCAGTAGCTGGGACTACAGGGATGCCCCATTACCACCCGGCTAATTTTTGTGTTTCTATACAGATAGGGTTTCACCATGTTGGCCAGGCTGATCTTGAACTCCTGACCTCAAGTGATCCACCCACCTCGGCCTCACAAAGTGCTAGGATTGCAGGCATGAGCCACTGTGCCTGGCCTACTTTTATATATATTTTTATATTAGAAACTAGGCCAGCTGCGGTGGCTCACGCCTGTAATCCTAGCACTTTGGGAGGCCGAGGCAAGTGGATCACCTAAGGCGGGAGTTTGAGACCAGCCTGGCCAAAATAGTGAAACCCCATCTCCACTAAAAATCCAAAAAGTAGCCAGGCGCGGTGGGGGGTGCTTGTAATCCCAGCTACTTGGGAGGCTGAGGCATGAGAATCGCTTGAACCTGGGAGGTGGAGATTGTGGTGAGCCGAGATCCCACCACTGCACTCCAGCCTGGGTGACACAGTGAGACTCTGTCTCAAAAAAAAAAAAAAAAGCTATTTTGGTATTTTGGTGGACTTTTTATAATCACAGACTTTTATCAGGCAATCCCATGTGCAAGTTCCTGAAGCTGATGCACTAGTTTTCAGATGTTTGCTTTCTGCCCAGAGTGGGGGGCTTGCATGCTCCAAGTCTAGATAATCTCCGAGGTTTCCATTGTTGCCTACAAAGTCCCTGGGTAATTTTTACTTTCTCTACCCTCTGAGACACTCTCAGCATGCTCTGACTCAATGGAATATTCTTGATACACAGAATAACTAGGGGAGAGAAGAAAATAGTCCCTTCCACATCTCTCCGGAAGAGGCCACTATGAATTTTCTCACCTCATTGACCCTTCCATATTTTCTGGCCTATTTTAAATTTAGTCCAGATGAGGAAAAATAAGGTCTCACCATGACCCGACAGGTAAAGGAAAGGCATGAACTTGGCTGACACTTTCCCTTGGTGACAGTCTAATTAATCCTACCACATTTCTTTCTCTTTTTTTATTATTTGTTTATTATTTTTGATACAGAGTCTCACTCTGTTGCCCAGGCTGGAGTGCATGGTGCGATCTCAGCTCACTGCAACCTCCACCTCCCCAGGTTCAAGCAATTCTCGTGCCTCAGCCTCCCAAGTAGCTGGGATTACAGGCATGCACCACCAGGCCTGGCTAATCTTTGTATTTTTAGTACAGGTGGGGTTTCACCATGTTAGCCAAGCTGGTCTCAAACTCCTGGCCTCAAGTGATCTGCCCACCTCGGCCTCCCAAAGTGCTGGGATTACAGGCTGAGCCACCGTGTCCTACCCTAATCCTACCACATTTCTACTGGGTTTCATATGTTACAGCTCAAGACCAAGTCTGACTAATGATTAAAATTGTTAGTATGCTAAAGTTTGGTGCTTGTGAAACCCAGACAGCAATACTCAATTAAAAACAGGGCTACTTAAAAGGTTAAACAAAAGCACAGTTGATAAATGTATACGTTCATTTCTCATTAATTATCTTAGCCATTATTTAATGTTTGGGCAAAAAAATACAATTCAACAATATGATGAAATTCAAAGTAATGTTTTGACCATCTAATTCATAATTTATAATATCCCAGCACCAAATTTTTATAGCATTGTTCAGCTAATGGGTTCAGAGAAATATTCTGTGATTGTTCTGGGGAAATTAGAGACAATAGTTCAGCTGAAAAACGCCTGAGTGGGCTAGGCGTGGTGGCTCATGCCTGTAATCCCAACACTGAGAGGCTGAGGTGAATGGATCACTTGAGGTCAAGAGTTTGAGACCAGCCTGGGCAACATAGTGAAATCCCGTCTCTAATAAAAATACAAAAAAAATTAGCCAGGCATGGTGGCAGACGTCCATAACCCCAGTTACTCTGTAGTCTGAGACAGGAGAATCATTTGAACCCGGGATGTTGAGACTGCAGTGAGCCATGATCATGCCACTGCACTCCAGCCTGGGCAACAGAGTGAAACCCTGTCGCAAAATCAATCAATCAATCAATCAATCAAACAAACAAAAAACACCTGAGTGTCTTTTCCTCTTATCAATCTTAAACTTTCTGGGGATGTGTGAGGTGATTCCGTAACTACTATAAACACAGAAGGAAACACTGGGGAAATGTAGCAGCTCAATCACCTTCTCCCTGCTTTCATTTAATGCTGAACTTTCTATAATCAATAATTGATTCTGATTATGCTCCTATCACTAATTTCAACTGAACTATATATGGGGGAAAAAACGTCTCATAATGACCACTTCTCCGTAGGTAAAATGCCATATCTCTGAGATAAGAGAGAAAGCATAAGAGCTTTTGTCAGTTCCCCTGGCTCCCTCTGTGTCTTCAATTCCAGCCCCTTTCTCAAGGTCAATATTCAGGGAAGCACTTAGGTTTGGAAGTATCACAGGAAATCTGTATGCAAATACCTAAGTGATTTGAGTATTTTCCCTCTTCTGCATAAAAGCATTTGAAGTCCTTGAATTATTTGTTAGCCTTTCTCCTAGATGATTGAGCAAATTTGTTGATACAACAGAATACATTTGAAAATCTTGTGGAATAAACACAAAACGGGTCAGCTTTTTAAAAAAGAAATGTGCCTTTTAAAGAACATCTGAAATTTTCTCAATGACAAATATTCTTTGATCTTTGGGGTAGAAGAAATAGTCATTAAAAAGTGAAAGTAGGTTAATCCACATTGCTATCGTTCTCACTCTACCGAATCACTCTTGTTCAGTCTGGGTAATGATTACAATCATATGATAACCCAAAATTTCCACCTCCAAGCTGTTCATTTGTCCTAAGGCTGTTGCAGAACAACAGAATTGCCTCAGGTGACTATGCTCCTGTGCATGAAATTATTTTCAACAGCCTGAAGCATAACAGAATGTTTTATGTGACAAGTTTAAGAAATGTTACTTATCAGACTGCACAAGGGTCACATTTTACCTCTGCTGTCAATCTGATCTGTCTGGTTGGATTTTTTTTTAAAAGCTTTCATCATACTTGCTCTGCATCTCAGATACAGTGTCAAACTAACACATAAATGAAGTTGCTCTCTAAAGCCTGGGCACCCTAACTTAGACGTCCTCCATCTCCTTGTGCCTGACATTTTCTAGCTCCCCTTGGATTATTATAAATGTTTGAAGAACTACAGAGACAAATCTTTTCAAAGAACAGGAACTGAATGTTTACAATGACAGGTAACTAATTAAAAATGACTTTTGTATTTTTCAGTTATCCGAAACTAAAAAATACTTTTATATCATACAAAACAGAGATACTTTTGTATTACACAAAACTAAAAAATACTAGTTTGACGTTTGATGACATTCAGAAATTAGGAGCACAATTTGGAAGAATCATTTAAGTATTCTCTAAGCACCAGAATTACATAACACTTGTCTTCAGAAAATGTAAAGTATTTCTCAGCATAAGCCTGTCTAGACCAGAATAACCATGGGGCTAACAGAGGTCAGCCCAGAGATTAGCAGAGGCCCATGGGTGCATGTGCTGTTCCCTTTGTTATATTGTGCAGGCAGGTGATTCACCCTGGGCCTTTCAACAAGTTGAAGTGGAGAAGGTGTCAGGCAAGCATAATTTGAAAGAACTCAGATGAATCTCTTTTGCTTCCAGTTATGATTGGTGTCAACCGAACTCTTTTAAAATCTTATCAATTAATCATCCATTCATTCAAACATGCACCAAGAAAATATCTATGAAGGGAAAAATCTAGTAACCTGGCAGGTGTGTTAGTCACAATTTTCCATTAGTGGGTCGGCATGTTGTCAGCTCAGGATAGTTAATACACTTCCAGGCATCATCTAGAGGAAAGAAAGGCAGGGAAGAGGAAACAAGAAAAAGAAAAGGAAGCAAAAAATACAAAAATAGAATGGAGATGAACTAGAATGGAAATTGGCAGCACTGAGTGTATGGCTACCTAGTAAATTTGTGATTCCAAATCTGGAAATTTATAAAACAGATTTACCTGATTTCCTGGATGATTTTCAAATTCAAATCCTGATATGACTTGGTCTCCCTTTTCCCTGTTTCTTCCTCTCTCTTCAGTGCTTTTCATTATTAAGTACATTGTATAAAGTCCATAGAGATTGTAGAAGTTGTGTGCAACAAATGGTATAGCAGGCTTCAGGTAGAAAGACATGAGGTCATTCTGAGCTTGTGGAAGAATGTGGGCAAAAGAATAAAAACAAGACTATAATAGCAGATTATAATGCTTTGGTGAGCACTGTGCAAAGAGACCACATTGTAACAAAAGGTTCAGGTGGAAAATGGTGGAATATTAGATTACGTAGATATGAGACAGCTTTCAGAGCATCTGACCCCTGGATGGGAATTTAATCCTTATGCACTGCTATTAGTCTCCATTGCTGTTGTAATAAATGAACACAAAGTTACCAGCCTAAAACAACATCCATTTGCTGTGAGGTGGCAGCAGCAGGATAAGGTATCACGTCGCATTGTTTCACACCTTCATTAACTTCATATTCTGTTTTCTACATGCCCTCCAGCCTGGGCTCACACCTTCTAAATAAAATATTACCCCTGTAACCCTTCCCTCAGTCTCTACTTTCTAGAGGATGTTAACTAAGATTATCCCTTTGTTAACTGTGCACCTCATAGAGATATACGCCAGCATGTTCATAGGACATTTGACCCATTGGCCAAAATTACCTGGAAGGACTTTAAGAGAATACCTCTCTCTTAGAAATATAAAATTGGGCTGGTAAACACTAATTTCTGACTCTGCTTGCAGCCAAAATCGAGGTGACGTAGATCACTATGTATACTGAAAAGCAGAGAAAGCTGACCTGCTCAGACAGAAAAGAATGAACCAGTCCAGGCGCGGTGGCTCATGCCGGGTGGATCAAGAGGTTAGGAGATCGAGACCATCCTGGCTAACATGGTGAAACCCCGTCTCTACTAAAAACACAAAAAATTAGCCGGGCATGGTGGCAGGCGCCTGTAGTCCCAGCTACTCGGGAGGCTGTAGCAGGAGAATGGCGTGAACCCGGGAGGCAGAGCTTGCAGTGAGCAGAGATCGCGGCACTGCACTCCAGCCTGGGCGACAGAGCGAGACTCCATCTCAAAAATTAAAATAAAATAAAATAAATAAATAAACAAACCAGATTTACAGATAAGCAGAGATCTGAAACCATAGGACCTCAGAGAGATAAGCTGATCCTCAGGAAAATGGAATTAATGCTTGCCTTCATTTCTGATGAGTTTTCAGTTTTTTGTTTTCCTTCCCTTTTAATCGGATGCACTTATATCTTCTTAAGTTCCCTCCCCTTGGATTGAGCTAGTCTGAAATGTGGTTCAGCTGCTTGCAATCAGAGGGACTATTTCAATTATTGTTGCTACGTAACAAACCATCCCAAGATCTGATGACAAAAATCATCCACTTTATGATGCTCACAGATTCTGTGGGTCCAGAATTTGAACAGGGCATCAGAGGAATTACTTACCTCTGCTTCACAATGCTTGGGGCCTCGGCTGGGAAGACTTGAAAGCTAGATGTGATTCACTGGCTGGAAGCTGGAATCATCTGGAGGGTCGTCACTCATATGTCTGGTGAAAGATGCTGGCTGTTGGCTAGGGCCGAGCAGGGCTGTAAGCTGGAACATCTCAAAGTAGTCATTCTATATGGTCTCTCCACAGGGGCTCATTGGACTTCCTCACAACATGGCCTCAGCATTCCAAGAGAGGAAGGAAGTGTGTGGCATTTTTATGATCCAATCTCATAAGTGACATAACAGCACTTCTGCCATACTCCAATGGCTGCAGCAGTCACAAAGCTCCACTCAGTCTCCAGGAGAGGGGACGTAGACTCCACCACTCTATGGGAGGAATGTCAAGGTCACATCAAGATCTTGTTGCAGCCAACATTGGAAAATACAATCTGATGCAGGACTTGACCCTCAGATAATAGGTGGGTTGGAGCCAGATTCTGAAGGTTTCCAGGCAAAGTGGGAGGTTTGGAGTCCATCCTGGAGTCAGTGGGAACCAGAGATATTGGAGCAGAGAAGTGAAATGGAAACAGAGGACTAAAAAAAGGTAACTAAATAGAAAAGACAAGAATTACAGTCTCCTGAGATTGTCCCATTTAATATGGCCAGGATTTTATTGTCTGATGCCTTATCTTTTGTGTTTTGAAGACGAGCCAGACTGACACTATCATAAAAATTATCAAATTTATTCCCAATGATTTTGTGTTACTGCACCAATTTTGTTCCACAATAGAACTAAAAGCTAATGGAGGCCTATATGTGGCAATATGAGTATGCAAAGTAAATCAGCATGTACCAGTTTATGGAAGTGATCTTGTTTTATTCTATTAGAAAAAAAATGATTTTCATTGTTTATCATAGCACTGACTACACACAAAGCGCTATTCTCTCGCCCCCATTTGAGGTCTACGTTGGAGGTTTTCTACACACAGGAAGTGTTGGCTTCAGTGGAAAACTTTTGAACAACACATGACATTCTCACACATCTACAGAATGTGGATGTGATTTCAGGTTTAGCATGGAAGTTTAGTAGCCTGTAAGGAAAGGCTGTGGAGTAAATTATTAGTAAAGTATTCATCAAAGAAAATAGTCTAAAATCTTTTAAGAGCAACAGTATGTATTTCTTTCTTTTTGCCAAGAACCTATTTAATTTTTATGCTACAGAAATACACACTTTTATCCATCACAAGTTTAGGTCAAACATTGTATCTAAAGACATTTAAAGAAATCCAAAAGAGTAATACTAAATTAAAGATACTATGTAGAATTTTTTGTACCCAAAAAATTTCCTAGTACATTTATTTCATCTATTTCAACAGCTGTATATGCAGCCTTCGATTTACTAGAAATCTCTCAGCTTATTTATGTCTCCCAATTGCATTTTTCATTGCTTGTTTAATAAGAAGATATACGGATAACTTCAGCCATTTTTTCCAAGTATCCCTCGTTAAAAATCACAGGAAATGATTCTCGAATAAAATAAAGGTTACATGTACCTTAGACTTTACAAATCAGTACTTATATAGAAAGAGACATATTGTTTTATGAAAAGATATTGGTTTAATGATCTATATGGAAGTAATATTTCATTCTTAAAATAACTCTAGTTTTCATAAGGGATCCAGTTTTGTACTCACAATGCGTTTTACGCTGGGGAGATCTGCCATTTCCATAGAACTGATATACAGTGTCTTCACTTTTGAAGCCAAGGTAGGGAACATTCTCTCTCAGAGTAGGCACACAGGAGAATCTTGCACCTTATTTGTTTCACATGTTTAAATATTGTCTTTATCTTCCAAGTGTTTCAAATTTCTTAAGGTCTGAGACAGTATCTCTTCCTTGTTAAGGCGTTAAATAAGAACTTACTGAACTGTTGGATTCTGTACAAGAAGTAATGGCTAAACTTACTGCAATCTTGCTATTAGTGTTTTGACACGTATCCACCATCTGATGAGTAAAATTTTGGATGATTTGGACAAAAATTCCATATATATATTAGGTTAATATATGTACAATCTGTGATCACGATGTTTACAATAAAGATATTTTATTCCTTCATTCATTGCAAAAAGCTGACAGATACTTTCTAGGTGATGGAATAGTACCTATGTGGAACTTACACACCAGAGGGCAAGAAAGGCGATGAATAAATAAGTAATCCAAGAGGATGGTTTGTTCTATCTTAAAAATGAGGTCTAAAGCAGCAATAAAACACCACAGTCAGCTTTCTGCTGTTGCTGCCTTTCCAGCCCTAGCCACAGAACTGAAGCTCTCCTCAACCTCAGACCATGAGATAATCTAATTTTTCAATTTGTAATGAGGCTTAGTATCTGAAGCTGTGGGAATAAATTATTCAGGCACTAGCTCAGGGGGCAGAAGCGACAGAGACCTCTACTTTAAGGCATACCCAAAGGGTTCCTAAATGAAACCCACCAAAGAATTAGTCACTGGGACATGCAGCAAACTGGAATCAGGGAAGCCACATCAACCAGCCTGTCAGAAATGTGAGACAGATGTTTGTCTGAGAACAGATGGAAATAAAGACTGGCTGATCCTTCTGCCCTCAGATGGGTCTCTGTTCCTCCAGTATTTATGTGTGCCTTCACACAAAGTGGTAGCTAGAGGATATAAATACACAAATAATAAGTTGCTTTCTTTTTCT
Source organism: Homo sapiens (assembly GCF_000001405.40). Classification (NCBI taxonomy): domain Eukaryota; kingdom Metazoa; phylum Chordata; class Mammalia; order Primates; family Hominidae; genus Homo; species Homo sapiens. Next base: position 13,007,637 of record NC_000009.12, read on the forward strand.
TTTTTCTCTCTTTTCTTTTTTCTTTTTTATTCATTTATTTTTCTTTTTGACAGGGTCTTGCTCATTTTCCCAGACTGAAGTGCAGTGGTGCAATCATAGTTCATTGCAACCTCAAACTCCTGGGCTCAAGTGATCTTTCAGCCTCAGCCTCCCGAGTAGGTAGGACTACATGCACGCCACCATACCCAGCTAAATTAATTTTTTAGGTTTTTTTTTTTTTTCTAAAGACAGGGTCTCACTTTGTTATCCAGACTAGTCTCCAACTGCTGGTTTCAAGTGATCCTCCCACCTTGGCCTCGCAAATTGCTGGGATTACGTGCAGGAGCCACCATGCCCAGCCCAGGTTGCTTTCTGTTCCAATGAGTTCAAAAAGTGCACAGGCTCTGGTCTAATCACTAATCATTTAGTTTCTGAGATTGAAATGTTAGCTCACAGTATTCAAACCAGTATATTTTTGCTGTGATACTCAGTTGCCACAAATAGCAATAATATTTGGCCCTGATTGAGGCACACACAGGACACAACTTGGTTTCTCTTCCATCATAGCCTCCAGAGCTTGGTGAGCACCCCCTTCCTTACCCTTTACTAACATCCCCTCAACCTCTGGCCTCATTCAGGTATTGAAATATCCAGTTCCATTCAATTTCAGTCACAACAGGGTCTGCTTGTACACTCATTTTCCATCAGCTCTCATCAGGCCTGAGGACAGGGAAATGAGCGAAAGGGAACCAGGTTGTATATATGAATGCTGTGGTAATGGAGCATCTGCGTGGGCAATTCCATGTCCCTGGCTTGGATAATGGACTCGTTGCTGATCTCTTCAAATCCTGCCTCAGCTTTTGTACTTTTCCAGTCACAGCTAGGGACCTGGCCCACACACCCACGGCATCTCTGCCATACTAAATGTGGCCCTACATCTTGATCCACTGTGGGTCCCTCTCTCTCTAAACATGTCTATTTCAGCCAGTTACCACTTCTCCAGCTAAAATCAGACATTCATATCCAGGCATCATGGTCCCAAATGCCTGGAGACACACATCAGACCGTTCTGCAAGAGTTCTCTCACCAAGCTCTGTCCTGGTGGCTGAACTATGAGTGTAGGACTGTGAGCATGTAATGCTCACTCCTCCCGCCCTTCTGATACTGCCTACTTTTTAGACACTTCCAAACTCTACATTTGATTCTCTTAGATCTTCCTAAATTTTGGCCTGCATGAGGATAGGGACAAGATAGACAATCTCTTCCCCTCACCACCCTTACAAGGGAAATAGAAAAGTCAAAGCTCTCTTTACTCCTAACCATTCCTTTCAAGACATTCTCCTCTTGAATTTCAAGACATGGCTAATAGTCACTGGACCAGTTCTTCTCTTGTTAATGAATCATATGCATGTATCTCCCAGCTGGCTGTCTCTAGAATATGAATGTATTACCATTGGTCATCCTAAATTTGAGGCTTACCTGAAACCCCAAGAGAGCAGGAAAATCCCATTTCAAATCCTGTCATATATTAAATTTATTTAAATGATGATCTAAATTGAGACACCAGTCATCAATTCTAAAAGTGAAACTAATATAGGAATCCAGGAGATATACTTGGTTTTTTTTTTTCTTCCTTTTTTTTTTTTTTTTAGACGGAGTCTTGCTCTGTTGCCCATGCTGTAGTGCAGTGGTGTGATCTTGGCTCACTGCAAACTCTGCCTCTGGGGTTCAAGCGATTCTTCTGCTTCAGCCTCTGAAGCAGCTGGGGTTACAGGCGCCCGCCACCACACCCAGCTAATTTTTGTATTTTTAGTAGAGGCGGGGTTTCACCATGTTGGCCAGGCTGGTCTCGAACTCCTGAACTCAGGTGATCCACACACCTCAGCCTCCCAAAGTGCTGGGATTACAGGTGTAAGCCACCAACCAGACCATTTTTTTTATATAAAAAAGAATTTGTCTGAATGAAAATCTACTTGTGCTCTACCTCTCTTCTTGGCAATGCGTTCTCGTTTTATTTTGGCATTGCTTATTTAACACAAGATTTTTATCTTTAGAAGAGAGACAGTAGGAGACAGAGAAAGCAGAGGCCAGTGGGAGAAATGTAGGAAAAGAAAAAGGAGAGGATATTTGTGAATGAGAGATTCAGAATTTTTAGATGATAATTTTCACCCATTATTCTAAATTCTATATGCAATTTTGCTCCCCCCATCCAAAGAAAATAAAATAATAGCAGATAAACAATGTTTTTTACTTTTTGTGACATGGCGTACATCTTTCAATGGAAGTGCTTATAAGAGTATTTGGGGAACAACATACATGAATTTATTCTAACATCAGAAATTATCTCAGAAGCTATATCATTTTATTCTGAGTATGCGAGGCTGTTCCCAGCTGATTCTCAAATGGCTTTGAAAGGCAGAGCCTCCCTGACTGCTGACTGGTTGGATTAAGGCCCTCAGGCATCTATTTGCAAGTGCTGATAAGCCTGGGGACAAGGGAACCTTCAAAGGTTTGTGCTAGGTGCCTGGAGATTCTCAAAATATATAGAACTGAAGCATTAAAAAACATGAATGTGCTATCCCAGCCCTACTGGCTAGGTCAGATACCCAAGAGAGAGAACTGAATTTCATAGAGGATTTTCCTAGCCTAGTTTGTAATTTTCTTAATCCTGCTAACCTTGAATCATATAACTCTATGTTTAATTTATTAGTGTTCTTCTAATACACTTATATTCTACATTTGTGTTGGAAAGGCTATAAATATTGTTCCTTTATCTTGATCCAGTTATCATGCTTTTTATAGATAACTAGGTCATATTCTATGTGCTTGATTACAGGATATGGGCAATGATTTGTTAAACCTTTTACTCTGTTAATACGCCAGTGCTGTACACCATCCTTTTGCACTTGTTTTATGAATGGGGTCTTATATAATGAAAACTGAACATGTTAAACATGTATGAGCTGTAGCATTCTTTTTCCATCAACAAAGAGTGACATTGATTATAGGACTTGGGAATCTACAACTAATTCCATGTCTAAGAACAAAAATCTCTATTTATATTGGGACAATGCTCAAGTAACCTAAATGTCCTCATACCTCACCAAACAGGAGGTAAATGAGTGGAAATGAGATAATATTTAAAACCACTACCTAAATCTTACCACTCCCCAGCCTTCACTTGCCAACCTTACAGCCTTGGCTACCACTATCACTCCCAAGCCCATCTATCTCCTCTCTACTTTTCTCTTGTCATTCTTTATTCTTTTATTCAATGCAGACTTTTTCCTTGATGTAGCAAAAATTGAGAACCTTCATGTTTACATTTTATAGTCTCAACCACACAAAGATTTGAACAACTGTATCTTTCTGCGTTTTTGAACAAAAGCACAAAATCCAAAGGCACAGACTCATTAATCCATGTAGGGTAGCAACCAATCCCTGGGCCAATTAAGTGCAGTCAGGGAGGTAGCTACATTGAACATAGGCTGCTTCTGTGATAACTTGTAGATTACGAGGAATGGGTACAGTTCCAATAAAAGCAAGAGCTCTCTCTTAACAGGAAAATAGAGTCTTAAGTATTCATTCTTTCACTCATTTACCTATTATGTGCCCAATATTTTCTAGATCCTGGGGAAACAACAATGAACAAATAGGAGGGATATAGTCTGTGTTTAACAAAGCTCACAGTGTTATGGCAGAGAATGGTAGTTAAATAAGAAATAAAAATTCAGTAAAATAATAAGCTATCATGAATACAGTAAGTGATATGGCTCCTGAGAAAATAATTTCTGATGTCAATACATTTACTGCATTCATTTACTGAATTACTTATTAAGAGAGGACTTATTAAATAGTTAACCTATTAATGTCATCAATAGGTTCTAGGAACCTCACTTCATCAGTAGTTTCTTAGAAACTGGGACTTCAAGTGAAATGATGTACAGCAGATCCACAAACAATGTCCTTTTGTTCAACTCTTTTGTTATAACACTGATGAGGAATAAAAATGGCTTTGTTATACATCATTTTGGTTGAAGTCATAGATTCCAAGAACCTATATATGATGTTAAATGAGGACTTACTGTACTTTGAAAAAAATCATGCACCATCCTAAACACTTTGTATGCATTACCTCCTTTAATAGTTTTATAGAACTTACTCATCACTTTACAATTGAAGAAACCTGATGCTTAGCCTGGCAGTACAATTTACTCAAAGTCACACAGCTAAGAAAGCAAAGATTTGAGATTTTGAGAGAGGTCTGCCTGTCTTAGTCTGTTCAGTCTTGCTATAAAAGCATACCTGAGATTGGGTAATTTATAAAGAAAAGAGGTTTATTTGGCTCATGATTACAGTGGCTGGAAAGTCCAACATTGGGCAGCTGTATCCAGTGAGGGTCTCATACTGCTTCCATTCATGTTAGAAAGCAAAAGAGAAGCACGTATGTGCAAAGAAATCATATGATGACAGAGGAAGCAAGAGAGGGAAACCAAGGAAGCCAGACTCTTAACAACCCACTCTCATGGAAACTAACCCATTCCTCAAGAGTGAGAACTCACTCACTCTCTCAGGAAGGCATTAGTCTATTCATAAGGCATCTGTTCCCATGAACTAAACACCTCCCACTAGGCCTCACCTCCCAACATTGCCACATTGGGGATCAAATTTCAACATGAGTATTGTTGAAGATAAATCCCATCCAATCCATCGCACTGCCTAACACCAAAATCTGCACAGTTCTACACTAAGTTATACTCTAAATGCTAATCTGATAGGAGAAGCCCATAGGAACATGTAACAGAGTCCCATGATCAAGGAAAGATTCTCAGAGAAACTAAAGTAAGAAACTAAACTTACAGATAAATAGAATGTACCTAATTGAAGAGGAGGTAGTGTATTCTAGATAAAAAGAACAGCATAAGCAGAGATGTGGATAACATAGTCATGGTTAAGGAAATAAAAGGCCTGCACTAGTGCTGGAACATATGGAGGGAAAATGCTAGCAAGAGAAAAGTTAGAGGAGAATGCATCCATGTTGGTGTATATATCAATAGTTCCTTTCTTTTTATAGGTGAATAGTATTTCATCATATGGCTGTGCCACCATTTGTTTATCTGTTCGTCATTGATAGGCATCTAGATTGCTTCCAGTTTATAAATAAATCCATCACGATTTATTTGTATGAACATATGCTTTGATTTCTCTTGGACAAATACTTACAAAGGGAAAGGTGCTTATATAGGAGTGTGTGCTTAATTTTATAAGAAATTGTCAAGTTGTTTTCCAAAGTAGGTGTACCATTTTATATTCCTACCAGAAGTGTATAAGGATTACAGCTCCTCCATATATCCCTGTCAACACTTGGAATAGTCAGTCTTTCTAATTTTAGACCTCCTAATAAGTGATGATATCACATGGAGAGGTGATATCTCCATGTGTTTTTAATTTGTGTTTTCAGCTTTTCATGTAGTTATTTGTCATCCACATATCTTCTTTGGTGAAGTGTCTTTTCAAGTTATTTGCCCATTTTTATTGGGTTGTTTTCTATTGAGTTTTGAGAGTTCTTTATGTATTCTGGATTAAAATTTTTTTATCAGATATATAACTTGCAAATATTTTCACTTAGTCTTTGACTTTTCATTGTGTTTACATCATGTTTTGAAGAGCAGAAGTTCTTAATTTTGATAAAATCTAATTTATTGATGTTTTACTTTGTGCATCATGCTTCTGGTATTATATCTAAAAATTATTTGCCTAATACCAGGATCATGGAAATTTTCTTATGGATTTCATTTTAAAATTTTATGCTTTTTAGTTTTGCATTTGTCTTTGATTCATTTTGGATTAGTTTTTGAATCATATGGAAATGCAAAGGACCGGTAATGACCAAAAAAACTTTGTAAAGAAAGAACAAAGTTGCTGTACTACCTGATTTGAAGACTTATTATGAAGCTACGGTAATCAACAGAGTATGTCATTGGTCTAAAATTGGACAAATAGATGAACAAAACAGAGTAACAAGTCTAGATGCAGACTCACTCATATATGGTCAATTTATTTTTGACAAAGGTACACAGACAATTCAGTGGAAAAGGCTAACCTTTTCAATAAATCATGCTGGAACAATTAGATATACATATGCATAAATAAATATTGATCCATACTTCATACCATCCAAAGTTGGTTATAATTATAATTTAGCTAAGAAAAATGTGACAGATGAAGTCTTGATTGATAGGACAGATAAATTACTATTGCTAACTTATGTCAACAATAAAATTAAACCTATATAAGAGTAAAAATATCAGAAGGGGAAAAAATTCACTAAAATAAAAATATTGTATATAAGATACATAGATAAAATAATAACACCGAAAAAGGAGGTACAAAGAGAAAAAGCTTTAAATTAGATCAAAGAGTTTTCTAAAAGGAAATGTCATCACTTTAGAAAAGAATGTCTTCTTATTCCACTTGCTTTCAAGTTTCCTTTTAGTCATGGAATTCTTTATTCAAGGGAAGTCTTAAGCAGAACTAAAAACAAATAACTGTGGTTGAAGCCAGGATGAGGGGCCAACAACCACATTAGCTTACCACTCTCCACCCCATCCTACTATACATACACAGAAACATCTACCATGAGGTCCATAGAATACTTTTGAAAGACCCTAAGTTGCACTCACTGGGTTCTTTGTGTTAATGTGGGAGAATTTGTTTAGGGTGGATAGAATTGTGAATCATCAGTATGCATATTTTTAGCTTAACTAGATGTATTAGTTTCCTAGGTCTACCACAACAAAATATCTCAAACTTGGGGACCTAATGGAAAAGAAATGTATTGTCCCATTTTGGGGGAGGATAGAGATCCAAAATCAACGTGTTGGCAGAGTCATTCCTCCTGCAAACACTCTAGTAGGGAGGAAGGATGCTGTCTTGCCTCTTCCCACTTCTGGTAACCACAGACATTCCTTGCTTGAGGAAGCATAACTCCAATCTCCACCTCCTTCTTCACATAGCATTCTCCCTGGGTCTTTGTATCTGTACACAGCCATCTTCTTATGTGGACATCAGTCCTATTGGATTAGGGGCCCACCCTAAACTGGTATGGCATCATATTAACTAATTGTATCTGCAATGACTGTATTTCCAAATAAGGTCACATTATGAGGTACTGGAGATAAGGATTTCAACATGCCTTTTCTGGGGTGAACATAGTTCAACCCATAACACTAAATAATTCCAACTTTTTCTTTCACTTTGTTGTGCCAATATTCACTCCTAATAACAATGTATTAGAGTTTGGTTGTTTTGGGGTGCTAAGCCTTATTAGATTTTATCATTATGTCTAACTTCATGGCTACAAAATGATACTTATCTGTTGCATTCTTCTAATTACTAGTGAAATTAAACATTGTTTTATATGTATAATGAGAATTCTAGTTTCTTCATTTGTAGATTACTTATTCATGTTTTTTGTCAATTTTTCTATTGGCTTGTTTGTAATTTTTCACGGATTTGGAGAAAGTGTTTATAGCTTCCAGATACTAATGGTGGCTACTTAAATGTCTGCTACATTTTACATATTTAACAATTAAAACTTAATTTTTAATACAACTCACTCTTTTAACCTAAAAAGATAGAAATGACAAGTTGGGGATGGAGGGGAAATACAGAGCATTTGTCAACTATGGAGGGAGTGTTGAAATTGTATTGTTTTACAAAATCCAAGATGTTCCATCATACATGCATGTACAAACACACACAGGCACACCCACACACGTACACAGAGATGTACAAACATTCATAAACTGCTGATTATTCTTACTCAAAGGTGAAATTGCTGTTTCCAGGCAAGTAGCAAAGCTTCACGTGATGCCAGGCCCCTTAGCAGAGAACTCAGAGGGATTTTCCATGACTTAGAATAAGATCAAGACAAGCTTCAATAACTAGTTTCAAACAATTCCCTCTATTCATCATATAAAACATTATTGCAGAACTAACGAAATAATCTGAGTGTCAACGTGCTGGGAAATAACATAAGATTGAAGGAAAGAAGGAATAAAGTAAGGAACTACATGGAGGAAGCCACCAATAGGAAATCTAAAATTTTATGATGGATAAAAACCAGCTTACCTTTAGAGTTTATTCTATTTGTAAACATCCAGGATTATGACTGGAAGAGGGAATGCAAATATCTAAGAATAAAAAGTGGTTGTTTTCCCTTTAAACTCAGGAGGATTTTATAGATAATCTCTTTTTAGAGTATAATTTTTTCATTCATAAAAGTAGTGTGTATATATGTTCAAACCTAAAACAGAAAAAATATGCAGTCACACTAAACTCAAACGAATTTCTTTCTGGTTTGTTTTACATATAATTTTTGTGTCTGTTTCTTTTGGTTAACTGGTATGTTCCTTAGAATAACCTAGGTTATATTGCAGTAACAATTTAACTGTGATATCTAAGGGTCTTAATACAATGAAGTTACATTTATTGTTAACTCTGAGTGTCCAATACATTGTATTTTGCCCTACTCCACACAATCTCCAACTGATGGAAGCTTCACTATGGAAAATGTAGTTTCAGAACACCTTTTAGTGGAAGAGTGAGAATACTGGAAAATCTCACAGAGATGTTTCTGTTCACATTTCATGCACAAAAACTAGTCAAAGGCCACACACAACTGCAAGGGTGCTAGGAGGGGTAGTTTCCCCTAAGCCCCAGAAGAAAAGAGAACTGGATATTGGTAAGCATCATAGTGTCTACCAGAGCTAATGTGCTTTGTTTTCTTTTTGTTTTGGAGCAGTGGTGTTTTTTCTTGGTAATAGTTTCTGAGGAATTTTGACTTATATCTTTTTATCTTACCCAACCCAAATTTGTCTCAGAATTGCTGGGAATTTCCGTGTGCAATGCTATGTTGGCACTATTTAAGCTAAGCATATTACTTGTTAAATCCTTTCTGAAAAGGATCAGCTTAATATACTAGGAATTTAGCTGACAGATATGACCAGAAAGCAGCCCTGGAAGGTGGCAGGAAGGCAGCACTCCGTGCTCATAACTCTTTGTGAATTCGCCATTACAGAATTTTCTGTCCCAGCATTTCAACAAAACAGGAGTCCCTCAGCCTGAAGATTAGAAAGTAATGCTTCTTAACTTATTATTAATCTGAATTTGATTCCTCCTCCACAAATGTGGTCATTCATATTTGATTTTATTTTTCAGTAAATATATAGCCCGTTCTCCTTTCCTGTAAAGAAAACTTAAATAGCCATAAAAAATATTGAAATAATCCAAAAGTTAGATAGGGTAGGAAAAATCAGTTTCAGGTTTAATAATGTCAAATGTGCATTTTCACAACTTTAGGGGGAAAGGAAACTAAAATTTAAATCAAATTGGAAAGAAATGTGATTTTTTAATCTGTTCTATACATTTTGAGAATTTTTTAATGTGAAGGTTTGATAGACAGCCATACTTTTATCACTGGACATAGTGATCATTACTCATAGACCTGCCTAGCATCTTACAAAGGATATTTCCTTTCAATTTTGATCTCTGTTTTTTATACATACACTATACACTAGTTTCATTTGAGTAGGAGAGAAGTTATAATGTACTGATCATGCACTTATGGGTTTTGTCACTGAAATTTTAAAATAATCTTAGTTCAAATGAACTGTATTTGGCTTCAGGGCCCAGTATTAATGCCATCTATATCATAATGTCTTAGAATTCACTAGAAGTAATTGCATGTTTGTTCTTTTGTCATAGCTCTTTGTCAACTTACCCCTCTAATAAAGAATTACTTTTTTAGGTTAATTGAGTGCTGTTTTTCTAACCTCATTGATTCTAAACTCCTTGAGAACAGAACATATCTTTTATTTAATGCTGCCAAAAACTCTACATTAGCTTCCCATAGCTTTGTAGTAACAGATTACCACAAAGTTAGTGGCTTAAACCAACAGAAATTTAATCTCTCCAAGTTCTAATTTATTCTCTTCAAGTCCAGAAGTCTGAAATCATTGAGCCAAAATCAGTGTCATCAGCGTCAGACCTTCTCTGGAGTCTCTAGGAGAGAATCTGTCCCTGTGGCTTCTGGTGGCTGTCAGCTTCCTTGACTTGAAGGCACATCACTCCAGTCTCTGCCTCTATGGTCACATTGCTTCCTCCTTTTCTGAGTGTGTCTAATTTCCCTCTGCCTCTCTTTTATGAGGACACTTGTGATGGCATTTAGGGTTTACCTGGATAATCTCTTCATCTCAAAATCTTCATCAAATCTACAAAGAGCTTTTTTCCAAATAAGATTGTATGTACAGGTTCCAGGAATTAGAACATGGACCGATCTTTGGGATCTATTATCAGCCTACCACATATCCCAACTCTTGCCCAGCTTGGAGCACAGTCCTAAAGTACCCAGTAAACCTTTGTTGATTTGAAAAATAATATCTTGAGGGCAGTAATTTTCTGTCTGTCCAGTTGCGACATCTCTTATCTCTACTTTTCCCGGGTTATTTCTTCTTCCGTGGACTGACTTCCTTGCTCACCATCAAAACCAATCTAAAATGGCATCCTTAATCTTGGAGAATTAAGAATTTTCCACTTCAATTCTCCACAGATTATTGATTCATTCTTTCCATGGCTTTATTCTGGAATTTGTGAGTGAGACAATCTAACTGGCCCACTCTATGTCCAGTGTGGATTGCTCACATAAGGCAGCTTCTGTCAAAAGAAAGAGCCCAAGATTTTGCTGATTCTCTATTAAGAGAGAATATATGGCAGAGGAGATACAACTGGTACCTCTACTATGGGGGAGGCATAGGAGAAATACTTTCTTAATCTTTGGTATGTAATATTAACTTTAGTCTTCATGTTTGCTAATCAGAGTTTTAGGACCTGGATTAAAGGAAATTTACTGAGTCACACTATCTCTTTGCTTTCTATGCTTTACCTCCAGAAATCTTCCTTTGATGGGCAACAAGTTTAAAACTTGTATACTCTTATGAGCTCAGAGCAAGATACCCGATTGTTTCTTACCCTACTTTAATCTCTAACTCTATATATGACATCTTTTGGCAAAATACTATACATTCCTTCTAGTTCTAATTTTCTAAACTTCAGCAGAGAAAAGTTGTGTCTTTTTTTAGAATTTTCAGATACGTTCTATCAGACTTTTTTACATTTTTGGTAAAAGGTAAGATGTAAGAATTTCATATGTAGCATCAAAACAAACTGTATTTTGTAAGACTTGTCAAGTAATATTCTCTGAGAGATTTGCATAGTATGTAGATAATTGTAATTGCAAACTAAATTATTTCACCAATATTATATCCTAAAGAAGATTTTATACATTTGTAAACTAAACTGTAACATTTGTCATTTTTTATTGTACTGAGAACATTTAACATGAAATCTGCCCTTTTAACTCACTTTTAAGCATACAATACAGTATTGTTAACTGTAGACACAATGATGTAGAGAGACTCTCTAGAACTTACTCATCTTGCATATTGGAAACTCTAACTCCATTGAGTGGCAACTCCCCTTTTCCCACACTCACTAGTCCCTGGCATATACTATTCTCTCTCCTTCTACAAGTTTGTTCATTTTAGATATCTCATATAAGTGGAATCACGCAGCATTTGTCCTTCTGTGACTGGTTTAGTTCACTTAGCATAGTGTTCTCCAGGTTTATCCATGTTGTTGCATATTGCAAGATTTCCTTCCTTTTTGAGACTGAAAAATATTCCACTGTGTGCTCATGTCACATTTTCTTTATCCATTCGTCTGTCAATAAATGCTTAGGTTATTTCATATCTTGGCTATTGCTAATAATGCTGCAATGAACATGGGAGTTCAAATATCTCTTCAATGTTCTGATCTCATTTTTTTGGTTAAATACCCAGAAGTGAAATTTCTGGATCGTATGGTAGTTCTATTTTTAAATTTTTGAGGAACCTCCATATTGTTATCCATAGCAGCTGCACTACTTTACACTCCTACCAACAATGCACAATGGTTCCAACTTCTCCACATTTTTACCAACATTTATCTTTATATATACATACTTATAAATACATAAAATGGGCATAGAAACAGATGTGAGGTAACTTCTCACTGCGGTTTGATTTGCATTTTCCCGATCATTAGTGATGTTGAGTGCTTTTTCATATACCTGGCCATTTGTATGCCTCCTCTGGAAAAATGTCTATTCAAGTAATTTGCTCATTTTTAAATTGAGTTATTAGGGTTTTTGCTATTAAGTTGTAGGAATTCCTTATATAGCTTGGATATTAATCTTTCATTATATCTATGGTTTGCAAATCTAGTCTCCCTTTCCATAGGTTGCCTTATCACCTCCTGATTGTTTCCTTTGCTGTGAAGTTTTAGCTTGATGTGGTCCCACTTGCTTATTTTTGCCTTCGTTGTCAGTGCTTTTAGTGTCATGTCCAATAATCATTGCCACAACCAATGTCATAAAGTTTTTCAGCAATGCTGTTATCTTAATGTATCATTCTCCACTAACTTGAACAACTTCAAACTAATGTAAAGTATACTTTTAGTAAGCAATTAAGAAGTAATATAAATTTCTAAATGAATGTATTTTATTGTCTCTCTTAAGCAAATCGTGAAATCCAAAAATTGAAACAGAAACAAAGGAAAAAAACAGAGAAGTTCTATCTTGTTGCTGCCAACAGGCTGGAAATCCCCTTTAAGAAAATATTTTAAACTTAAGGAAGCAGCTGGAAGCATTTAGATATTCCAAGACATTTCAACATTCCTTGTAGACTGTCATTTAAGAGGGATTTTTAATCATGTGTTTTAAAAAGAAATAAAGAGTGGGTTTATCAGCAAAGTGACTTTTTGAAAAATTGCTTTTTTATTTGTAATCAAAGCAGAGATTATAGGTGTTTGGCTTTAGAGAAAACATTTTCTCCTAAACCTTGAAGAAAATATCTCTGATTTATGTCTGCTGCTTCCCTCATCCCTGTCCTCATTTTCAAAGCGGTATACGGCAGGGTGACGGAAGGGCGTTAATCTGACAGATATGGAACCAGTAATTAATTAAAAAATGTTTATGGCATTTCCTCTTAACATTTTATGTATGTTTTTGTCTGCTATTTTACAGTTTGGACTTTTTAAAATATTGTTTTCCCAAGAGACTCATAAGCTTCTTTCTTAAAATGCTTCCATCCTTTTTGTTTAATTCCTCTCAAATTTTCCCAGGACATTCTTTTGCTCCCATAAAGTACAAAAGTTAATTTTAGAGTAGTTAGTTAGCTTTCAATGGATGACAGCTGTCCTGGTCACTCAGCACCCCCATGTTCATTGCAGCATTAATAACAGTAGCCAAGATATGAAAACAGCCTGCATGTCCATCAATAGATGGATGCATATAAAATATAGTACACACACACACACACACACACACACATACACAATGGAATATTATTCAGCCATAAAAAAACAAGAAAATGCTGCCATTTCCAACAATATGGATTATACTAAGTGAAATAAGCCAGACACAGAAAGAAAACTACCGCATGATGTCACTTACATGTGGAATTTTTAAAAGTCAAACTCACTGTAGCAGAGAGTAGAAGGGTAGTTACCAGAGGCTGGTGGGGGGGGGGGGGTGGGCAGTGGAAATGAGATGTTAGTCAAAAGGTACAAACTTGCAATTACAGGATTGATAGGTCTTGGGGATCTAACAGATAGCATGGGGACAACAGTTAATAATATTGCATTGTATATTTGAAATTTTCTAAGAGAATAGACTTTTTTCTTTTTATATGGTATATATTTTATTAGGTTTGTACAAATATATTCTCATATTACAAATGCAATTTAGTGGATGCATCTTCCTTTGATATTTGAATCATCTGAAATAACACAAACAGAACTATACATTCAAAAGAATCCTCATTTGGATAACAAAAAAAGACAAGTTAAACAACAAAAAGCTTTTCCTTTCTCACAGGTGGACACTGAAGTAGATCCAATTTGGTTTTCATTTTAAAAGCCCCCCAAACCAAAAGCAGCTTAAAAACTAATTAAAATGGATTTAAAACTTGTTTACTAAGCTATTGGTCTCTAGCATCATTTTCTGTTTTCTGTTGTTTTGATGCAGATTCTTCTTTGTCTGTTTCTTCTCTTGTTCTTTTTCACTGGTCCAGTTGCACCATTTTCATCATGTTCATCATCACTAACAAATTTCATTTTCTTACCCTGAAGCTGTACTTTTCCTTTAACAAACTCAGGCGAGGCAGCTTTATTAACCTTTCCTTTTAAATCTGCGACCTTTTGACTTCCATTTGTTTAGGGGTTCGTGTTGGTCTTTCATGATTTTTTCAATGCTTCTTTTTCCACCTGTCCTTCTAGTACTTCTCAAGTCACTTCTTTGTTAATTGTAGATTACCATTATTTGCATCTTTGGCTTTACCCAATGCTTCCTCGACTTTTTCTTTAAATCGAATTATTCCCTCTTTTGCACCTCTGACAACGTCTATCCATTTTAGTTCACCGTGACTTGAGAAAAGGATGTGTGAACCTTCTCTACAGGTCTGATCATCTAAGTCACCCAAAAATTTCAGCAAGCATCCAGTCTTTTTTTTCTAGAGATTTCATTTCAGCATCATGTAGCTTTTATTTTTCTTCTTGCTCTTCTTTAGCTCTTAATTTATCCTCCATATTATTTTGTCTGCTTTCTTCACTTTTTTCAGCAAAGTAATATTCTTTGAAAAGTATTAGTAGGCTGTGTCTTTGTACTTCTGGCCAGGGGTCTCTACAAACTTTTTGGCAGATTTAATGTTATCAAACACAGCAAACACTGATCCTTTAACTGCTTTATGCAATGTTCTTCTCATCGGTACATTTTGTACTTGACCTCTATCTTCTAATCATTCTTTTATGTCATCAACAGTTGCATCAGTTGGGAAGCCTTTGATACAAATAGATGTTTTTTACATCATTTTTATACCCATCGGTCACTTCAAGGAGGGGTTTACTTGGAGACATTCTGGTTTTAGTTTTATCTTCACTGATTTCCATGAGTTCTGCCTTGGATGTCCTCAGTGCTTCCACAATTACATTAAAGTCTGTTGTGAGATGGTTTAACCTGTTGAATTTTATCAATATCTCCAAAGGTACCCACCGTTCATTTAGTTTAACCTGTTCCTTTAAAAATTTGTCCCACAGCAAATTGAAGTCTCCAAATTAATACTCAATTTGATGACAGATTTTGGCCTTCAGACCAGCATTTTCAGCCACTGTGGCATTCTTTAAGATCCCAGTCCTGCAGAGTCAAGCCACAAGCTCACAAACAACAACAGTAACATCTTGACTTCCCCCAGTAGCTCTTAAGTGTTCTTACCACACACACAAAAAATGGTAACTATGTGAGGTAACAGTATGTCAGTTAACTTGATTGTAGTCATCATTTTGCAATGCATACATATGTCAAATAATCATGTTATACACCTTCAATGCATACAATTTTTGTTGATGAATTGTACCTCAATGAAACTTGAAAAAATATTTTAATAAAGTAAAATAAAATTTGCATTTCTGATTTTATGAACCTGTCTTTTACCCTAGGAAGGCCAGGTCAAGGTTGGGGAAGGGAGGAAAGAATGATCTCTTTTTCTTAGTCATCCATATAATTTCTTTATGTTGAAAATGTCTTCCTAATGCTTACTTTTGTTTTACTTATAATCTCTTAAAATGGAAAGATTTTAATGTAATCAAATATTTAGTATTTTCCTTTATAATATCTGCATAAAAGGCAAAAGAAGGGAGGAAATATGAAAATGAATGAGATTCAAGTTTAATAGAATTTGGCAAAAATAGCACCTTTTTCTTTTTAAATGATATTTGCTCTAGCATATGTGTATATTTGCTTATGTTTGTAGCTGATACCAGTTCTTGAGGTAAAGAAATTATTTCAGGTCTTGCCTATGATGGGTATCTTTGTAAGATCACTCTAAGTCCAGTGGAAGTTTTCTCAATTATGCAGGTGTAATATCTCCACAGTCATCTCATTTCAGGAGAATAAGGCTTAAACACACATGACTCATGCCACTCAAATGCCAGTAAGACCGCTAACCAAATATTCATTTAAAATTGGAAGCAAGTTCATAAAGCAATCAGTTAGTCAGCTGAACAAAGCGTCCCCTCCATAAAGAACAGAGTCATGAATGAGTGTAAGAAGTTACTTAGATAATATAGAACCAGAGAAAAAGGAGTTGGGAATGGCACTATCCTAATACCTGTCTTTGAATTATTGACTGAGACACAGTCTTTATTTAATAGGGCCTAAATGGACTATTATGATTTGATTGCTATGACTGTGAGTAAACAAACAATTGTCCTTTTCTTATCATCACATTTATGACTTGTAGCATTGTTTTTATCAGTATATATTTGGAATATTTGATGAGCATCTTTTGGCCTTTTTTGAAGACATCCAAGTCAAATGTAGGATTCCAATTCTTCTTGAGTTAAATAAACTGACTTGTTAGTCTTGTTACTTGGGGGGTTTCCCACACATTGAGTGTCATGTTAAGCAAAATTTACTCCTAAAAGACAATTTAATGGGGTTGATGAGTAGGATACACAGGTGTGCAAAAATTGCAAAACTAATTGAAGATAATGAATGCTCCACTGCTCTGCCCTGGAGCCACAGAACAGCAGGTAACATGTCTTAGCTTTTTCTTTATTCTGTTTTTCAACATCTTCTTTGCCAATTGAGAAATCTGTTTATTTTCGGTACATTTAGAGTTTGGCAGTTTAAAATTTTCTGTTATTTATTTCCAAACCATCTGAAAATTTGTCAGTTTTTGTTTAACCTGTTAAAAATATTGAGTTGCATTTGTAGCTTTATACAAAGTAGTCGCTGGTTTCCAATATAGTTAAGGTTTGTAGATAAACACCAGTCCTAAGTAGAAATATTTCTATACCTCCAGCCAATAGGTAGACATGTGCATTATCAGATCTGATCATACTGGGTGATCAATGGAGATTAAATGTTTCCAATTTCATTACATGCATCTGATTAATTATCTGAGTACCAATTAGGCAAGCATTATTCTTTGCAATTCTAGAAAGAGACAAAATATGTGTTCCAAAGGTGGCTGGGTTGTTGTTGTTGTTTTGAGATAGAGTCTCGTTGTGTCACCCAGGCTGGAGTGCAGTGGTGCGATCGGGGCTCACTGCAACCTCTGCCTCCCAGGTTCAAGCGATTCTCCTGCCTCAGCCTCCTGAGTAGCTGGGCACACACCACCGCCCCCAGCTAATTTTTGTATTTCTAGTAGAGATGGGGTTTCACCATGTTGGTCATGCTGGTTTCGAACTTCTGACCTCAGGTGATCTGCCTGCCTCAGCTTCCCAAAGTGCTGGGATTACAGGCGTGAGCCATCGCACCCTGCCAAAATGGCTTTTTGAAAAGCTCTTTGAAAAGATGACATCCACATGTGAAAAGGTAAACATTAGGAAAGTTAAACAGCCTATAAAAAACAGTGAAATAGGTGTTTCCAGGAATTATACGTTAATATAATACATAGAATAAATGCTGGGTTCAAATTAGTTTAGGGAAAAGGTCAATAAGCAAACTTGGTCAGAGATTGTTCCATTTCTGGTCGGACTTGAAGGATGGATAGAATTTGGGAAGAACAGAAGATAAGGGTGAAACTGTGGTTGGTTGGAGATACTAAATTGTGTGAACAGAAATGTTCTATTATTAGGTTAATGGCATGTTTGAACACTTCTTTTGTGTTCATGGGAACTGTTTTAATAACGTTATAACAAAGCATATTCTATTGTTCAGAGTTTTGCTTTATGGACTTAACTGAGATTTCTCAGAAGCATGCTGTATGCTTGTTTTCCATTTTTACTAGCACTGGTACATAACCTGATACATAAAAGTCATTTACCAAATCTTAGATGAATGAAATGAGGCAAAAATAAATTCTGATAGATTTTTCTTTAATTCCTGGAGGTTACATTTTCAGTGAGAAAGGCAAGGGATACCTGAATATTCTCTGGTTTAAAGTGATATTCTATTGGCTTTCCTCTAAAAAGGAGATGAATTGAAAAACACACTTGAAAATACTGTGTTACTGCTGAAAGAAATCATAGATGACATAAACAAATGCAAAAGCATTCCTCACTAATGAATTGGAAGAATCAATATTGCTAAAATGTCCATCTGTCCAAAGCAATCTAGAGACTCAATTCTATTCCTATCAAATTGCCAACATCATTTTTCACAGAGTTAGAGAATTATTCCAAAATTCTCACTGTTGGTGAGAATGTAAAATTATTTCAGTCCCTGTGGAAAGCAGTTTGGAGATTTCTCAAAAAAAAAAATTTGAACTACCATTTGACCCAGCAATTCTATTACTACATATAAACCCAAAGGAAAATAAATTGTTCTACCAAAAAGACACCTGCACTCATATGTTCATTGGAGCACTATTCACAATAGCAAAGACATGAAATCAACCTAGGCACCCATCAATGGTGGATTGGATAAAGAAAATGTGGTACATATACCCCCATGGAATACTACACAGCCATAAAAAAGGATGAAATCATATCCTTTGCAGCAACTTGGATGCAGCTAGAGGCCATTGTCCTAGGTAAATTAACATAGAAACAGAAAATCAAATATAGTATGTTCTCACTTACAATGGGAGCTAATTCCTGAGTACACACAAAGATGGGAATGATAGACACTGCGGACTGCTAGAGTGGGGAGGGAGAAGGGCAAGGACTGAAAATCTCCCTATTGGTTACTATGTTCACTATCTGGGTGACAGGATCAGTAAAAGCTCAAAGATCAGCATCTGGCAATATACTATACCTTGTAACAAATCTGCACATATACCCATGAATCTAAAATTAAAATTATTTTTAAAAGAGATTCAGGCCAGGTATGGTGGCTCACACCTGTAATCCCAGAACTTGAGGAGGCTGAGGCAGGAGGATCACTTGAGCTCAGGAGTTCAAGACCAGCCTGGGCAACAAAGTGCGACCCCTAGAGAGAGACAGAGACAGAGACAGAGAGAGAGAGAGAGAGGGAAATTCAAATCACAAAAACTAAAAAATAATCCTATGTTAAAGTTAAATAGGATTATTTTTATGTATTAATGTATTCACTCAATAAATATTTATTGGATACTTAGTACACACTGGATACTACTGTTCTGGGGAAGATGATATAGTGATTAACAAAGTTAATAAAACTTCTGTCCTCATGGAGCTTACATTCTGGTAGAGGGAAACAAACTAATTTGTTAAAAAAGTAAAAATTATTATATGAACTGTAGTTTGTAGAAATTGACCAAATTGTTCGCTTCTTTCTGTATCCCCACCTTGGCTGTGTCATGTCACCATGCCTGAATTCTGATTCTGCATTTGGCCATGCCACCTGCTTTAGCCAATGGGGCACCTTGCTAGTTTGCTGATGGTTGAGAGGCACATGCCACAGAGGCAAGACTCCCACCTCACTGGGCCCCACCTAGATTAGCCAGCAGCCAGGGGAGCCACAGACCTGGAAACGAGCCTAGCCCACATCAGTGGAGCTGCCTAGAGACCCACAGTTGGCCACAGACACAGGACAGATCAGACAAGCACTGCACACTTGGAGCTAAATAAACGTTTACTGTTGCACACCATGGGATTTGAGGTTCTGTGTGAATGCAGCATTTTTGCAGCAATGGTGATAATTGTGTTTGAGAAAAATAAAACTGCAAATGTCAACAGGGAGAGCAGGGAGGGGGTCGTTTGCAAGTTTATGTAAGGTAATCAGGGAACGTCTCCCTGAGAAGATGACACTTGAGAAAAGACTTCAGGAGGTGGGAGAGGGACCTATGTCTCTATCCAGGACGGAAGGGGGAGTGCTTCAAGCTGAGAAAAGAACATGTCCGAAGAGAGAGCCTCCTATGTCTGAGGATCCCAAGAAAGTCAGTGTGACCGGAGCAATGGCGAAGAGATGAAGGAGATGAGGTCAGTAAAACCAAGGGAACAGAACAGACCCAAATTCTGTGGCTCTCCAGGAATTCTCAAAGCTGTGTTATGCTTACACGCCTTGTGAATTCTAGAATGGGCATTTGGAGTTCTGCAATTCCTCACATGTACTTGATAATCCAACCCTTTTTTATACAGAGCATCTCAAAGCAAGAGAGCCTGCAGAACCCTCCTGTGGGAGGGCTAATTTATTGACATGCAGATAAATGTGTTGCCTTAATCTTAAGGTCCCAGGCTAGGCCCAGATAGAAATGTCTGAGACAGGTTGAAGCTAGCACCCTGAGTATGTTCCAGAGGATCCAGGCTCTCAGGTGGAGCCAAGTCAGCTTCAAATCACACCCCTCCAGCTACGTGACTTGACATGCAGCACATATACTGGATTTTATCATTAGAAAAGTTTCACATGTGGCATATTACGTCAGCACATGAATGTTCCAAATGAAATAAAATTCTACCAGGGGAAAAAATTAGATAGTGTGTTAAAATACACGGAAGTTATAAATCACTAAAACATCCAGGCTTTCCATTAACAAAGAAAAAAAAAAAAGCCAGGGTAGATTCTCCAGATGGTCTCAATCCACATCATTTGGGTGGAAACCAAATGCTTCAACCTGTCTCGGCAAAGAACATCTCGTTTCGAAATAAAAGTAAGAAATGGAATGCCTATGGTGATTTTGAAGATGGATTAATGTTTAAGTGACTTACATTAAAATGCACATGGCTATCGATTTCCTACAGGACGTATCATCTCAACCCAAAGCCCTTACGCTGGAGAGGTTCTGCTGTCTGTGTTGAATTTAAGACAAATGTATACATGACACAAGCATTTTCATTCATAGTCTATTATTTTATTCTAAACTCCCCTCTTTTCCTAACTCCTTCATTATACCTTTTCACCCCCACTCCTGGCAATTATAGCTACTTCTTTTAAAGCAATAAAGGATTTTAAAGGGGAGAATGTATAGCATCTCCACCAAGTACAATCCACAATGTGTATTTTATTTGAGTTGTTAAAGTTCTTGGCCATCAGAGATACTACTGAGTATATTATGGCTTCCGTATTTTCCATCTGTCTTATTTACATATTGATATAAAATGGCATGTGTAGAAACACCTTGAAATAATGTAAATTAAGCATTTTGCAAAGGAACATGTCCCTTAAACAGCATAGTACATACATTTTTTAAAGTTTCCATGTAAGTAGGAAATATCTTTCTGCAAACTGAGAAGAGGCAAATTTTCCTTTGCTCCCTTGAAAGGTCTGTATTTCCTCTGTTCATGACTGATCAGACTCTTCTAATTCCTTTTCAAAACTGTAGGCCCAAAGGAGACTTTTCCCCCAATTTCTGATCCACATAGCTTACAGGGGAGACTTAGAAAATATCTGTAATATCCAGGAAATGGTGTGTATGAGACAGCCAGAAGCAAGTCTCTGAGATTCTCCTGCTATGCAACCTACTATCTACCTCCTTCCAGAAATGTCTGGGTTATTCCTCCTATTGGAATGGAGACTCCACATGTAAGCATCACGCTGCATCCTTAGAGGTAGTAGAGGGGGAATATCTATTGTTTACCTACCTTAAGAGAAGCCCTCTCTACTAGATCCTCAAAAATATCAAAGTATGGCACCATTCCTGGCCACAAGACAGATACATTATAGTTGGGTAAATAAGGTAGCATTTCTATTTTAAAAAAATATTAATTATTCAAAATAAATTGAGTTCAGATACTAATACTATATTAATAGAAGTGCAATAGAATAAGAACTTACTCTGGGATGAGTCAGGCCATCCGGGTAAACTTCAGAGGGGTAGAGACTTTGATTTCACAGCTTTGATAACACAGCTTTGAGAATTCCTTGTAACATAAGCCCTGCACTCAGGCAGGTTGAGAGACGTGGAGGTGGCTGCAAGCAAGGCTTTTGGTGGGTACATCTATTCCTTAAAACAAATAAATAAATAAAAATAAAATATATTTAGTGAATCGGATACTATCATAGGTGGAGAGACAGTAAAAAAAAAAAAGCAAGATAGAATGTCAGGTCCTTTAGATTTAATATTATAGAGTAAAAAAGCAACAAACATGTAATGGGAAAAAAAATCATCACATCAAATTGTGATAAGCATTATAGGAAAATAAAACAGGATGACGGCACAGGGAGGAATAGCCACTTCAACCAGGATGGTGAGGGAAGACCTTTTTAATGAGCTGGCATCAGAAAGCTCATCAGAAATTGACCTGGGACAATGGCTGGGCAGAGAATGTGCAGGGCAGGATTTCCTCAAGTCTAGGTTGTAGAACTCTGGCATCCTGGGACATGTCTAAAAGTGATAAGAAAAAAAGAACCTTTTCCATAAATTTCCCATGTGGAGATTCATAATACACATTAGCAAATTAGAGATGCTTGAAAGTCCACAGTAAGGAGAACCTATTCAACTCAATGCTTCTCTGACGTGCCTGAACATGATGGTTGTTTTTTGGGGTTAGTTGTATATGTCTGTGTTGGGAGTCATTGGGGAGGAGAGGCCAGTTGTACTCTAATAATATCTCTACTACTGGTTTGCAAAATGCTGTTCATGGCAAACTAAGAAGTTTGAAGACTCCAATAGAATAAAACCTGAATGGAGCCTCCTGTAGTTGTGCAACATGTTGGCCTGTTTAGAGTTTGATCTATAATAAATAAGAAGCCATTTTAATTTTCGTACAGGAAACATACAGGGTAAAAGTGTCTGTTTTGATAGTGTTACCCTGACAGTGATAATGCTGAGTAAAGTTAATGAAGGAAAGAAAACACAGAGTAGTTGGGAAAGTATTGCTCTAGCCTAGGCAAGAATGCTTGAACCTCAACAACAGCAAAGGAAATGAACAGCCAAGGGAAGATATGAAAGATTACTAAAGAAGAATTTGCCAAACAAGAGAAATTGCCAGATATCTGGAACATGGGAAAGATACTAAATATTGAGTTGGAAGCAGTGGGTTGGTATTAAGGTGATAAATCAGAAATAACAACAAAAAAGTAAATAACATTATAACAAGCAAACTGAGGACAGGCAAGGACAGCGGATGAAATGGCAATAAGGATTGAAACAAAATTTTGGTTATGATATGAATAGCCTAGAGTGAAAACTTTAGGAGTTTATTACTCATTTTATAAGGAAGCTACTAAAGCTTTCTTAGTAGGGCATGGGAAGATTAGCAGTATATTTTTGTAAGCTTTGTTGGGTACCAGTGTAGTTTAGAATTAACTGGAGAAGGGAGACAGTGGAGCAGTGTCTAAGAGACAACAGTGGGAAAAGGAAAGAGGAGAGACTCAAGCTGTTTCACTGCTAGAATATGGCAACAGGCAGGGCCAAGTTTATAGCAAGCACTCACAGGTACAGAAAAGTCAAGCATGGGCCGGGCGCGGAGGCTCACGCCTGTAATCCCAGCACTTTGGAGGGCCGAGGCGGGCGGATCACGAGGTCAGGAGATCGTGACCATCCTGGCTAACACGGTGGAAAGCCCATCTCTACTTAAAAAAAAAAAAAAAAAAAAAAAAAAAATTAGCTGGGCGTGGTCGTGGGCGCCTATAGTCCCAGCTACTCGGGAGGCTGCACTCCAGCCTGGGCGACAGATACTCCGTCTCAAAAAAAACAAAACAAAAACAAAAACAAAAACAAAAATCAAGCATGATAATATTGTTATCAAAATATCAGAATGGAAAGAGGGGGAAGGCAGTCAAAGTTAAGGGTGGAGGCAGCAGGTGAATCAGAACAGATTCTCAGTTCCATCTGGAACAAGTTAAGTTTGAGTAGCTGGTGGGTTAATCAGGAAGACACATTCTGCAGACAGCCAAAGCTGAAGGGAGATGAAGATTGTAGAGACAATTAGGTTATCACTGAGGTTAAAAGTACCAAACAAGACTGTCCTGCCTCCACGACTTACTCTCTGTGTGACTCTGTGAAAGTTACTTATCTTTTCTGTGACTCAGTTTTCTCTCTCTCTTTTTTTTTTTTTTGAGTTGGAGTCTCACACTGTTGCCCAGGCTGGAGTGGAGTGGTGCAATCTCGGCTCACTGCAACCTCTGCCTCCCAGGTTCAAGCCAGTCTCCTTGCCTCAGCCTCCCAAGTAGCTGGGATTACAGGTTCCCACCACCACGCTCCGCTAATTTTTGTATTTTTATTAGAGTCAGGGTTTCACTATGTTGGCCAGGCTGGTCTTGAACTCCTCACCTCAGGCAATCCTCCCACCTCAGCCTCCCAAAGTGCTGGGATTACAGGCATGAGCCACCGTGCCTGGCAGAAAATAACATTTTAATTTTGTCATCATGTTTACATAAGTTCCAATTTTTTTTAGGTCATGTAAATATAGAGCAATTTAGGCAGAGAATAATTTCAATTATTGACCACAAGAATTGTTTGTTTGTTTGTTTTAAAGAAAGATTTTTTTCTTTTCTCTCAAAATGGTACTGTGACCATAAAGACATTTTCCTATAAATTCATAAAGAAAATAAAGATAGTTTGGTGCTTAACACTCGAGACACCTGGAGGTAAAATAAATAGTTGCCAAGGATTGTATTTACAATTATATTTTATATGAAGTAACACATGGTCTTATTAGCTTCAGTTTAATATAATTCTCCCTGCAAATGTCAGTGGAAGTGAAAAGAATCTTCCAAAGAAGCTGAACCGGAAGCCGATATGCTTACAAGCATGGGCGTTGGGTTGTGTTTTGATTTGGTAGGGAAAGTAATGGAAAACTCTGGGCTTCCTAGGTCCCTCTTCCTTGACGTATAGGCCACAGTGATTTGGCAAAAGCAGAACTGAAGCAGAACTTTCTGAATTTTTTCAGCGGTAGTATATGACCCCATTATACACACCAACTGTGTGGGCTGAGCACGTGTGAGCAATGGAAGTGAACAACCTAACACAAGATGAGACAAGGATGATTTAGTGAAGAGTCGCAACGCCTTGAGAACATAGCCATAAAGCAGGTTTATTTTCCCAATCATTGTTAACAAATATGCTCTGCTCATTAAGATCACATTTTTTTTTCAAGCTTGTTAGCTCATCTGATCATATAAATTTTCACTTGTTTTATGTCATTAGAGGAGTTCCTTTTTCCCGCTCCGGCGCCTCATTGTTGGAGCAGGGCCATCTCCACATGGGACTTCAGGGAGGGAGGCTGCCGCTCTCCCTGAACGCTGCGATCGCTGAGGCCTAGAGGCTGGGTATGAACACAAGTGTTCTTCCAGCTTCCTACTACCTGCTGTTTTTGAGTCTAAAATTATCAGAGATTGTTCATATTTATTCATTTATTTTTGAGATAGAGTCTCACTCTGTCGCCCAGGCTGGAGTGCAATGGCACAGTCTCGGCTCACTGCAACCTCTGCCTGCCGGGTTCAAGCAATTCTCCTGCCTCAGCCTCCTGAGCAGCTGGGATCACAGGCGTGCGCCACCATGCCCAGCTAATTTTTTGTATTTTTAGTCCAGACAGGGTTTCATGAGGCTGGTCAGGCTGGTCTCAAACTCCTGACCTCGTGATCTGCCCACCTCGGCCTCCCAAAGTGCTGGGATTACAGTCATGAGCCACTGCGCCTGGCCCTAATATTTATTATATGCATGACCCTGAAGTGGCCAGGAAAAGCTGAGATTGGGAGGTAAACCAGACAAATGAAACTATAACAGGGCCAGGATTAGAAATCTCCTCCCAAATTCCCACTTCATGGCTCAACTACTAACTAAAACCCTGGTGCTCCTCTGAGCAATAGGAAGTTAAGTAAATTTTCCAAAGCCATTAAGAAAGCTATGCTTGTTTAAACTCTCAGTGTAACCTGAAATAGTTTGAAACAACTGTTTAGAAAAAGTGGGGAATAAACGCTATAGAGGGAAAGTAGGAAATAATAACATAGATAAACAGGCAATAAACAAGAAAATGGCTTTTGTATCAAAGACAGACAGAAAACATTTTTTTCTTGATGGTTCACTTTCCACACATGGAAGTTAAGCTTAACAAAAGAAGAACTGTTTTCTGTCTTTCCCATCTTTATCTGTATCCCTCGGCACCAACAGTAGTACCTACCACACAACTGGCTCTCAATAAATAATTTGAATCAATGAATCAATTGATAATTTTGGCCAGATTTTTAAATAGATTATGGACAAAATTGATACGAGTAATAGTGATACAGCGGTAGTACCTGGCACATAATTGGCTCTCAATAAATAATTTGAATCAATCAACCAATTAATAATTTTAGCCAGATTTTAAAGAGGTTATGGACAAGTGATACAAGTAATAGGATCAACACAGGTTTTCAATACAATAATTAGATTATAGCACTGAACGTCTCTGTCAAATATTAAATGCTCTCATTTAGCTTCCAGATGTTCTTTTCATTCCTGCATTAGAATATTTATCAGACTGCTGTAGCCATTTGTTCACATGTCTGTCTGCCCCACTAGACCACCACGCCTGCCTTTCTCCTGCTTGTATGTGTCTGGCACATAGCGTTCAATAAATATTTGATGAGTGAAGGAACAAATAATAGGTACCTGGAGAGCAAACATTCCAGATGCGTTACTAATTGAGATGTCAGAAATCCTTCAACTTTTCGATGAAAAAACAACCGTAGGGTAATATGCTTCTCAAGGTTTCTCAGGCCCGATGAACGATTTTGGTTTATTTTTCCATTCCTCAAATGCAGTGGCGGGGAAAAACGCGTTTCTTCCGCTGAAGTTACAGAGATGAGCACATGATGGCGCTCGCGCTGCACCGTAAACCCAGAAGCAGCTGAGCAGTGTGGATCCCTGGGCTCCTCCACGTCCCTCCCTCTCCTCTTCTGCCCCCATTCTTCTGCTGTTTCCCCTCCGATCCTCCCTCCTACCCATCCATTCAAGCTCCATACATATTAACAGTTGCCAAGAAGCTGTCAGAACGGAACTGGGGTACTGTCCACCTGAAGCTGGTATTTTCTTTGTTCTGTGACAGGCCAAATTCTGTGTACTCCTTTTTTTTTTTTTTTTAGAAGAACATTTTGAATGCTGTTTAAATTGTGTATCTGTAGTTCAGGATAGTTATTTTTACTTTGCCCTTCATTGGCCCCTGCAAGTACCTATCCTTCCTAAGCAAAATAACCAAGAGAGCAAATGGTGTCCTAAGTCATTATAATCCCCTCAGCTAGGGAAATTGAAACCTAAGCCTTTGCCAACATATACAGAAGAAGTAGACAGTTACAGACGATTGCTACGTTCAGTGCAGATTGGAAAAGTTGGAGAACAAAAATAAGTTACATGATAATCACTTACCTGTTAAGAATTAAAAGTGAGTTTAGAAAGTAGATAACTAATGCAGTTTTAAAAAATGGAAAGAGTAGCCCGGCATGGTGGCTTGTGCCTGTAGTCCCAGCTGCTACAGAGTCTGAGCAGGGAGGATCACTTGAGCCCAGGAGGTCGAGGCTGCCGTGAGACATGATCACGCTACTGCACTTTAGCCTGGGTGGATGACAGAGAGACCCTATCTCAAAAAAAAAAAAAAAAAAGAAAGAAAGAAAGGGAATGGGGATAGAAGTTTTTAATTCAGTCTTTAAAGTGGGGTTTTCTTTTCTTTTTGATTGAGGCAAGCATTATATACGAGGGCTTGCTCCAAGGTTTATGTTTTGTTATAATTTACATTTAATAAAGTGTATTCATTTAAGGAAATAATCCAGTGAGTTTTGACAAATGTGTATACACTAATGTAAAACACTGCCACAATCAAGACGCATGACTTTTCCAATGCGTGAGAATGTTTCCTCATGATCTCTCAGGCCAGTCCCTGCCCTCACTGGTTTCTATTACCTGAGAACACTTCTACCTGACTTTGACCTTCATGTAAATGGACTCACACAGTATACATGCGTTTTTTGTGTCTGGCTTCTTTTGCCCAATATATTTTTGATGTTCATCCACACTGTAGAGTGCATTTGTACTTTATTCTTTTATTGCTGAATAGTGTTCAACTATATGAACATAATTTTTTATTCGTTTTCTTCGTAAATCCTTAAAATGTTTCCAGTTTTGACTACTATCACTAAAGCTTCCATAAACATTCTTATATATGTATTTGTGTGGATATATGCTTTCTTTTATTTAGGTGAATACCTAAGAGTGGAATTGCTGGGTCATAGGGAAGTTGTAGGTGTTTAATATTACAAGACACTGCCAACATTTTTCAAAGTGGTGGTGTTCCTTTCCTAGGAATTCCATAACAAAATACCAAAAACTGGGTGGATCAGAACAAGAGAAATTTATTCTCTGAGTTCAGGAGTCCAGGAGTCCAGTATCAAGGTGTTCTCAGAGCCACACTCCCTCTGACAGCTCTAGGAAAGAATCCTTCCTTGCCCCTTCCAACTTCTGGTGGTTGCTGGCAACCCTTGGCATTCCTTAGTTTGTGGCAGCATAATTTCAATCTCTGCCTCAAGCTCATCTGTCTTCACTTGGCCTCTTCCCTGTATGTCTCCTCTGTGTCTCTGTGTATCAATTTCCATCCTCTAATAAGGACACCAGTCATTTGATTTAGGACCCATTCTAAACCAGCATGACCTCATTATAACTTGATTACACCTGTAAATATCCCATTTTCAAATAAGGTCACATTCTGAGGTTCCAGTTAGACATGAAGTTGGGGGACACTATTCAACCCCATACAGTGGTTGAACAGTTTTACAATTTCCACCACATGTATGAGAATTCCAGTTTCTTCACATCCTCAGCAGTGCTGGATATTGTCATTGTCAATTCTAAAATTTTAGCCATTGTTGTGTGTGTGTAGTGGTACCTCATTTGGGCTTCAAATTTCAATTCCCAGATAACAATTGATGTTGAGCTTCTTTTCATGAACTTGGCCATTTAGGGATCTTCCTTTAGAAAAGTATCTGTCTTTTGCTCATTTAAAAATTAGGCTATTTTTCTTCTTTTAAATTGATTTTTAGGAGTTTTTTATGTCATTTTTAGGAGAGATAAATCGTTTGTCGGATACATGTATTGCAAATACTTTGTCTCCCAATCTGTGACTTCACTTTTCATTTCCTCTTTTTTTTTTT
The DNA here is from genome assembly GCF_000001405.40 of Homo sapiens. Classification (NCBI taxonomy): domain Eukaryota; kingdom Metazoa; phylum Chordata; class Mammalia; order Primates; family Hominidae; genus Homo; species Homo sapiens. The sequence goes on from NC_000009.12 coordinate 13,036,699, forward strand.
CTTTCTGAGATGGAGTCTCACTGTGTTGCCCAGGCTGGAGTGCAGTGGCACAATCTCGGCTCACTACAACCTCCACCACCCAGGTTCAAGCCATTCTCCTGCCTCAGCCTGCCAAGTAGCTGGGATTACAGGTGGCGATCACTGCAACCTGGCTAATATTTTGTATTTTTAGTAGAGATGGGGTTTTACCATGTTGGCCAGGCAGGTCTCAAACTCCTGACCTTAAGTGATCCACCCCCTGGGTCTCTCAAAGTGCTGGGATTACAGGTGTAAGCCACCATGCCCGGACCACTTTTCATTTTCTACAGTCTTTCAATCAATGGAAGTTTAATTCAGGTAAAGTCAAATTTTTAACTCTTTCCTTTATATTTATTGCTTTTTGTGTCCCCTCTGAGCAATCCACCCAAACTTAAAGCTGCAAAAATATTGCATTTTCCTCCAGAAGCTCTATAGTTTTACGGTACCACAATGATTCTAAGAGACCTGCAGCCCTAACCACATAGCTAAAACTATAATCTATCCTAAACTGATTTTTGCATATGCTGTAAGAATTAAAGTTCATTTTTTCCCCACATTTGTGTAGTTGTTGTGGCTCTATTTGTTGAAAAGAAACTTCTTTCTCCATTAAACAGCATTAACTGAAAAATTGTTGACTGTTTACGTTGTGTTGAAAATTAATTAATGGCATATATTTTGTTCCAACCATCTCCTTGCCTGCTCACGCCATATTGTTTAGGTTACTATCATTTTATAGTCTTAAAGTCAGATAGTGTGAGTCGTCCAACATTGTTCTTTTGACGGGTAGTATCGTCTCTTATAGATACTTTTCATTTGCATGTAAATTTCAGAATTAACTTTTCCGTTTCCACCAAAAAAGAAAAAATACCTTTTTGGATTTCACTGGGATTAAATTGAATTTATAGTAAGTAGGCTTTTTAATAGTTAATTTGTAAAACCCATTTCTTGCTCAGAAAGCCTCATCTTCTAATCTTATTTAATTTTCCCAAAAGTGTCTTGTTTTTGAAAAATATGTATAAATGTCTCAAGCCAGATCAGAACCTATTTTGAAAATCTTGGAAATCATCCAATCCATTTTAAGCAACTCTGCCTTGAAAAAAGAAACTTCTTCCCGATAATTTAAGTCTGTGGAAAGATTTTTCTGACATTAAAAAATGTACATACTTGGAGGGAGGAGCCAAGATGGCCGAATAGGAACAGCTCCGGTCTACAGCTCCCAGCGTGAGCGACGCAGAAGACGGGTGATTTCTGCATTTCCATCTGAGGTACCGGGTTCATCTCACTAGGGAGTGCCAGACAGTGGGCGCAGGCCAGCGGGTGCGCGCACCGTGCTCGAGCCGAAGCAGGGCGAGGCATTGCCTCACTCGGGAAGCGCAAGGGGTCAGGGAGTTCCCTTTCCGAGTCAAAGAAAGGGGTGACGGACGCACCTGGAAAATCGGGTCACTCCCACCCGAATACTGCGCTTTTCTGACCGGCTTAAGAAACGGCGCACCACGAGACTATATCCCACACCTGGCTCGGCGGGTCCTACGCCCACGGAGTCTCGCTGATTGCTAGCACAGCAGTCTGTGATCAAACTGCAAGGCGGCAGCGAGGCTGGGGGAGGGGCGCCCGCCATTGCCCAGGCTTGCTTAGGTAGACAAAGCAGCCGGGAAGCTCGAACTGGCTGGAGCCCACCACAGCTCAAGGAGGCCTGCCTGCCTCTGTAGGCTCCACCTCTGGGGGCAGGGCACAGACAAACAAAAAGACAGCAGTAACCTCAGCAGACTTAAATGTCCCTGTCTGACAGCTTTGAAGAGAGCAGTGGTTCTCCCAGCACGCAGCTGGAGATCTGAGAACGGGCAGACTGCCTCCTCAAGTGGGTCCCTGACCCCTGACCCCCGAGCAGCCTAACTGGGAGGCACCCCCCAGCAGGGGCACACTGACATCTCACATGGCAGCATATTCCAACAGACCTGCAGCTGAGGGTCCTGTCTGTTAGAAGGAAAACTAACAAACAGAAAGGACATCCACACCAAAAACCCATCTGTGCATCATCATCATCAAAGACCAAAAGTAGATAAAACCACAAAGATGAGGAAAAAAGAGAACAGAAAAACTGGAAACTCTAAAAAGCAGAGCGCCTCTCCTCCTCCAAAGGAACGCAGTTCCTCACCAGCAACGGAAGAAAGCTGGATGGAGAATGACTTTGACGAGCTGAGAGAAGAAGGCTTCAGACAATCAAATTACTCTGAGCTACGGGAGGACATTCAAACCAAAGGCAAAGAAGTTGAAAACTTTGAAAAAAATTTAGAAGAATGTATAACTAGAATAACCAATACAGAGAAGTGCTTAAAGGAGCTGATGGAGCTGAAAACCAAGGCTCGAGAACTACGTGAAGAATGCAGAAGCCTCAGGAGCCGATGCGATCAACTGGAAGAAAGGGTATCAGCAATGGAAGATGAAATGAATGAAATGAAGCGAGATGGGAAGTTTAGAGAAAAAAGAATAAAAAGAAATGAGCAAAGCCTCCAAGAAATATGGGACTATGTGAAAAGACCAAATCTACGTCTGATTGGTGTACCTGAAAGTGATAGGGAGAATGGAACCAAGTTGGAAAACACTCTGCAGGATATTATCCAGGAGAACTTCCCCAATCTAGCAAGGCAGGCCAACATTCAGATTCAGGAAATACAGAGAACGCCACAAAGATACTCCTCAAGAAGAGCAACTCCAAGACACATAATTGTCAGATTCACCAAAGTTGAAGTGAAGGGAAAAACGTTAAGAGCAGCCAGAGAGAGAGGTCGGGTTACCCTCAAAGGGAAGACCATCAGACTAACAGCAGATCTCTTGGCAGAAACCCTACAAGCCAGAAGAGAGTGGGGGCCAATATTCAACATTCTTTAAGAAAAGAATTTTCAACCCAGAATTTCATATCCAGCCAAAGTAAGCTTCATAAGTGAAGGAGAAATAAAATCCTTTACAGAAAAGCAAATGCTGAGAGATTTTGTCACCACCAGGCCTGCCCTAAAAGAGCTCCTGAAGGAAGCGCTAAACATGGAAAGGAACAACGGGTACCAGCCGCTGCAAAATCATGCCAAAATGTAAAGACCATCGAGACTAGGAAGAAACTGCATCAACTAACGAGCAAAATAACCAGCTAACATCATAATGACAGGATCAAATTCACACATAACAATATTAACTTTAAATGTAAATGGACTAAATGCTCCAATTAAAAGACATAGACTGGCAAATTGGATAAAGAGTCAAGACCCATCAGTGTGCTGTATTCAGGAAACCCATCTCACGTGCAGAGACACACATAGGCTCAAAATAAAAGGATGGAGGAAGATCTACCAAGCAAATGGAAAACAAAAAAAGGCAGGGGTTGCAATCCTAGTCTCTGATAAAACAGACTTTAAACCAACAAAGATCAAAAGAGACAAAGAAGGCCATTACATAATGGTAAAGGGATCAATTCAACAAGAAGAGCTAACTATCCTAAATATATATGCACCCAATACAGGAGCACCCAGATTCATAAAGCAAGTCCTGAGTGACCTACAAAGAGACTTAGACTCCCACACATTAATAATGGGAGACTTTAACAGCCCACTGTCAACATTAGACAGATCAACGAGACAGAAAGTCGACAAGGATACCCAGGAATTGAACTCAGCTCTGCACCAAGCAGACCTAATAGACATCTACAGAACTCTCCACCCCAAATCAACAGAATATACATTTTTTTCAGCACCACACCACACCTATTCCAAAATTGACCACATAGTTGGAAGTAAAGCTCTCCTCAGCAAATGTAAAAGAACAGAGATTATAACAAACTTATCTCTCAGACCACAGTGCAATCAAACTAGAACTCAGGATTAAGAATCTCACTCAAAACCGCTCAACTTCTTGGAAACTGAACAACCTGCTCCTGAATGACTACTGGGTACATAACGAAATGAAGGCAGAAATAAAGATGTTCTTTGAAACCAACGAGAACAAAGACACAACATACCAGAATCTCTGGAACACATTCAAAGCAGTGTGTAGAGGGAAATTTATAGCACTAAATGCCCACAAGAGAAAGCAGGAAAGATCCAAAACTGACACCCTAACATCACAATTAGAAGAACTAGAAAAGCAAGAACAAACACATTCAAAAGCTAGCAGAAGGCAAGAAATAACTAAAATCAGAGCAGAACTGAAGGAAATAGAGACACAAAAAACCCTTCAAAAAATTAATGAATCCAGGAGCTGGTTTTTTGAAAGGATCAACAAAATTGATAGACCACTAGCAAGACTAATAAAGAAAAAAGAGAGAAGAATCAAATAGACACAATAAAAAATGATAAAGGGGATATCACCACCAATCCCACAGAAATACAAACTACCATCAGAGAATACTACAAACACCTCTATGCAAATAAACTAGAAAATCTAGAAGAAGTGGAGAAATTCCTCGACACATACACCCTCCCAAGACTAAACCCGGAAGAAATTGAATCTCTGAATAGACCAATAACAGGATCTGAAATTGTGGCAATAATCAATAGCTTACCAACCAAAAAGAGTCCAGGACCAGATGGATTCACAGCCGAATTCTACCAGAGGTAGAAGGAGGAACTGGTACCATTCCTTCTGAAACTATTCCAATCAATAAAAAAAGAGGGAATCCTCCCTAACTCATTTTATGAGGTCAGCATCATTCTGTTACCAAAGCCTGGCAGACACACAACCAAAAAAGAGAATTTTAGACCAATATCCTTGATGAACATTGATGCAAAAATCCTCAATAAAATACTGGCACAACGAATCCAGCAGCACATCAAAAAGCTTATCCACCATGATCAAGTGGGCTTCATCCCTGGGATGCAAGGCTTGTTCAATATACGCAAATCAATAAATGTAATCCAGCATATAAACAGAGCCAAAGACAAAAACCACATGATTATCTCAATAGATGCAGAAAAAGCCTTCGACAACATTCAACAACCCTTCATGCTAAAAACTCTCAATAAATTAGGTATCGATGGGACGTATTTCAAAATAATAAGAGCTATCTATGACAAACCCACAGCCAATATCATACTGAATGGGCAAAAACTGGAAGCATTCCCTTTGAAAACTGGCACAAGAAAGGGATGCCCTCTCTCACCACTCCTATTCAACATAGTGTTGGAAGTTCTGGCCAGGGCAATTAGGCAGGAGAAGGAAATAAAGGGTATTCAATTAGGAAAAGAGGAAATCAAATTGTCCCTGTTTGCAGATGACATGATTGTATATCTAGAAAACCCCATCGTCTCAGCCCAAAATCTCCTTAAGCTGATAAGCAACTTCAGCAAAGTCTCAGGATACAAAATCAATGTACAAAAATCACAAGCATTCTTATACACCAACAACAGACAGAGAGCCAAATCATGAGTGAACTCCCATTCACAATTGCTTCAAAGAGAATAAAATACCTAGGAATCCAACTCACAAGGGATGTGAAGGACCTCTTCAAGGAGAACTACAAACCACTGCTCAAGAAAATAAAAGAGGATACAAACAAACAGAAGAACATTCCATGCTCATGGGTAGGAAGAATCAATATCGTGAAAATGGCCATACTGCCCAAGGTAATTTACAGATTCAATGCCATCCCCATCAAGCTACCAGTGCCTTTCTTCACAGAATTGGAAAGAACTACTTTAAAGTTCATATGGAACCGAAAAAGAGCCCGCATCGCCAAGTCAATCCTAAGCCAAAGGAACAAAGCTGGAGGCATCACACTACCTGACTTCAAACTATACTACAAGGCTACAGTAACCGAAACAGCATGGTACTGGTACCAAAACAGAGATATAGATCAATGGAACAGAACAGAGCCCTCAGAAATAACGCCGCATATTTACAACTATCTGATCTTTGACAAACCTGAGAAAAACAAGCAATGGGGAAAGGATTCCCTATTTAATAAATGGTGCTGGGAAAACTGGCTAGCCATATGTAGAAAGCTGAAACTGGATCCCTTCCTTACACCTTATACAAAAATTAATTCAAGATGGATTAAAGACTTAAACGTTAGAACTAAAACCATAAAAACCCTAGAAGAAAACCTAGGTATTACCATTCAGGACATAGGCATGGGCAAGGGCTTCATGTCTAAAACACCAAAAGCAATGGCAACAAAAGCCAAAATTGATGAATGGGATCTAATTAAACTAAAGACCTTCTGCACAGCAAAAGAAACTACCATCAGAGTGAACAGGCAACCTACAAAATGGGAGAAAATTTTCGCAACCTACTCATCTGACAAAGGGCTAATATCCAGAATCTACAATGAACTCAAACAAATTTACAAGAAAAAAACAAACAACCCCATCAAAAAGTGGGTGAAGGACATGAACAGACACTTCTCAAAAGAAGACATTTATGCAGCCAAAAAACACATGAAAAAGTGCTCATCATCACTGGCCATCAGAGAAATGCAAATCAAAACCACAATGAGATACCATCTCACACCAGTTAGAATGGCGATCATTAAAAAGTCAGGAAACAACAGGTGCTGGAGAGGATGTGGAGAAATAGGAACACTTTTACACTGTTGGTGGGACTGTAAACTAGTTCAACCATTGTGGAAGTCAGTGTGGCGATTCCTCAGGGATCTAGAACTAGAAATACCATTTGACCCAGCCATCCCATTACTGGGTATATACCCAAAGGACTATAAATCATGCTGCTATAAAGACACATGCACACGTATGTTTATTGCGGCATTATTCACAATAGCAAAGACTTGGAACCAACCCAAATGTCCAACAATGATAGACTGGATTAAGAAAATGTGGCACATATACACCATGGAATACTATGCAGCCGTAAAAAATGATGAGTTCATGTCCATGGTAGGGACATGGATGAAATTGGAAATCATAATTCTCAGTAAACTATCGCAAGAACAAAAAACCAAATACCGCATATTCTCACTCATAGGTGGGAATTGAACAATGAGATCACATGGACACAGGAAGGGGAATATCACACTCTGGCGACTGTTGTGGGGTGGGGGGAGGGGGAGGGATAGCATTGGGAGATATACCTAATGCTAGATGATGAGTTAGTGGGTGCAGCACACCAGCATGGCACATGTATACGTATGTAACTAACCTGCACAATGTGCACATGTACCCTAAAACTTAAAGTATAATAAAAAATAAAAATAAAAAAATAAAAAATTGAAAAAAAATGTACATACTTATGATCAGCAACCCATAACTTCAAAAATGTTTCGGGAGCTTTTCTTAAAAATACTAATTTCCATTTCATTTAACTGTTAGCTACTAAATACTTCTCCATAGACTAGGTTTGATGGAACAATACTATCTAGTTATTTTAATTATGTTTAAATTATTAAAAAATTAAAAACAAATTCATTTTTCTTTACTTCTCTCTCTTACTCCTCTATCCACTTTAATGATATATTCACAATATATGTGTACAGAATGTTTGAAAAACAAACCACACACCTGCCACATTTTACTTTTCAAATGTTTTCAATCTTAGGTGTATTCTCAGTCTTGTTTGTGTTTCTTTCCACATGAGATATTTCACTAGGAAATACATGAAGAATTTAGAAACTTGAAAACTATGACCAAAGTTAAAATGTGAAAACAAATTCTTAATTATTGTTGTATCCCTACATTTCTTTCAGATATCTTGCTCCATGGCAGTGAAGTATGTTGAAGGGATTCAACCGCCCTGCCTCCCCAATATTCCATCCACTGTACCCCAACTTCTCCCCAGTTGTAAGTGACTGAAATACCTGAGTGGCAGCACACTGTCTTTCATCTTTTCAAGTCCAAAGGGCTGAGAGCTTTAAAATTAAGGAACTATTGGCTATGGTATCACAATGATTCTACGAGACCTGCAGCCCTAACCACATAGTTTGAAAATTAGTCTATATGTTGCAGGTGCCATCTGCTGGGATTGTCAAGGAACAATCTTCTGCTCCAAAGTCACGATGACTACCTCAAAGTTTAGGAGATTGGGTGGGGTGGGCCATGGGGAATAAGCAGGCACCCATCTTCTGGAAACACCGGCAGCTGCTGAGGTGCTGATAGTGCAGGCTCTCATGGTCATCTTTGCTCTTGTGTCATTCTGCAGCCTTTGAGCTTTCGCCCAGGATGGAAAGCTCAGAGCCAGGAGGCCACTCTCCCATTCAGATTCCCTCTGATGTTTGGCTGCCACAAAATCCCTCCAACTAGAAGAAATTGGTTTTGGACTACTCATTTCCTTTGCGTGATATTGCCCCTATTTTAGGTATAGAATACAATTTCATGTTTTAACCATTGGAAAAAAAACTGAAAATTATCATTTTCTCTCTCAATAAATTCTGACTTTCTATTGCCTGGATAAGATGTCAAAACTTCTTTATTGAAGAACAAAGACTAAAGATTAATTTTCTACTTTTAAATTAATAAAATTCTTAAATCTCCACTCCTTTCACCTTAACACCCTACACCACCCAGATCAGGCAGGGAGTTGCCCTTGGGCATCAAGGAAGTCACATACACGGAAAAGCAAAGAGGAGCAGCACACGCGTCTTTGTAAGTATCGCCTCATTTGTCATGACTTTTCTTCACTATCTCTGCCAGAACCAGCTACACAATTTGCGCACCAACTGCAAAATGAAAATGTGGGCCTCTTTTTAAAAAATTATTAAGAATTTCAAGACAGTGACAAGAAAGCATTAAACCAAACACCAGAGCCCTCTAAAGGTGGGGCCCTGTGTCACTGCACAGCTCACACACCCCTGCAGCTGGCCCTGGCCACTGCCTTAGTTCATGTCCTTGTCACCATGGTTATTATTCAGCTGCCTCCTAACTCATGTCCCTCTTTAGATTTTCTTTCTTCAGAATCATCCTATGCTTACTTTCCGTACACAAGGTATCTACAGCAGACCTCTAGTTCTCTCATCTCCCTGATTAAACCCACTAATAAGTCTCCCATGGGGTCATGTCCAAGTTATAAATGTGTACTTCAAGGTGCTCTTTGGTCTCACCTCTACTTGACCCGTCATCTCCATCTCTTTCCCCTTCCTTGTTCACACTCTGTGCTCCACCCAAGTGTGAAAATGCAATACTATTTAGGTATCACAGATTCAATTCTCACACAACTAGAGAAAAAAGGGAAGATAATGCTGGGCCGTGCTACACAGGAAGCTTTAATTTCAGGTTGTTAGTAGCCTATCCTTTCAGAAAACACACAGCTACCAGATATGCTCATTTGTCAGCACAAGAAAGCTACAGAACCAGAAAACATGATGGTGTTTTAAACGTGCTTGAGATTCGTAGACAGTCTCAATGTCACTATTTCCAATCCCACTGTAGCAAGAATTCCCAAATGTTCTAAAATTTAGAGATTTCATCACTCATGTATCCTTTATTTGTTTCCTGATCCTTTGAGCAGATTTTTATTGTACACTTTCTGTACGTCAGGTGCTTTGACAGGTGCTGAGCCAGAAAGACGAACAACAAACAAAAAATAAAAATGAAAAGAGATAACGTCTGTTTTCAAGCAGGTCATAGCATAAATAGGTTAAAGAAGCAGTTATAATATCATATACTATGGCTGTCATGTTGAGCACTGACTATGAGTCAAGTTCAGCATGGAGAGCTTCATATACGTTTTTGCTAATCCTCACAAAACTTAGGCATTCACGTTCCTATTTAACAAATGGGAAAGAGTGTAATAACTTGCCATAGGAAGAAGGTTATAAGCTAAGATTTACATCAAAGTTTCGTTCCAAAGCTCCGTTCTTTCCACTTTGTTACGCTGTGCTTTATATATACTGAGAATGGTGCTCTAAAGCAGGTGCACACACAGTGATGTGACTACCAAGTTTGCCCCAGGTTACCTAATAGGCTGGACAGAAGAGGATAAGAAGTGATTGGCCTGGTGGACAAAAGTGAAGGGCAAAGGAATGGCTGCCAAAGAAATACACGTTGCCAGACCCCAAAGAGCAGTGTATTCTGGGAACTGCGAGGTCTAGAAGGAAAGGATCATATGTGGGGAATAGTGACAAGGGAAGCCAAAAACTTAGACAATGGGCTTTGCGGGCCAACTGAAGAGATTGAGCTTTGTTCAGTACCTGATGAGGGGCCACTGAGGGGACTTAAATGGGAAATAACACATTAGGCCTGAATTTTTGAAAGATCTTCCTGGTACCAATCTGAGGAAAAGATCAAAGGAGAAAGACCCCAGAGGTAGGAAGTTCATTCAGCAGACGATTGTATAGTATTGGTAAAAACAAAGATGGCCTGAACAAGTTAGTGGGAAGATGGATAAAAAGAGGCAGCCTATTTTAGGAGACGTAGAGCAAGAAGTGACATTTGGTGATTAATTAAATCAGAATTTTGTGGTAAGTGTGAAAAAGGGATCTAAGTAGACCCTTGAGGATTTCTAACAAATATTTGAGTGGTTGGTTCTTTAACCCAATTATTCACAGTTCCAAGTGAGTAGATCTTTGAAATTGTATCTTCTGTTATAAACCTCTATTTAAGAAACCGCAATTACCTTCTTCTTCTTCTTTTTCTTTTTTGATAGAGACAGGGTATCAATCTGCTGCCCAGCCTGAAATGCAGTGGTGTGATCATAGTTCACTGCAGCCTCGAACTATTGAGCTCAAGCTATCCTCCTTCCTCAGCCTTTCAAGTAGCTGGGACTACAGGCACCCACCACCATGCCCAGCTAATTTTTCAAATTTTTTGTAGAGATAGGGCCTTGTTGTGTTGCCCAGGCTGATCTCAAACTCCTGGCCTCCAGCGATCCTCCCACCTAGGCCTCCCAAAGTGCTGAGATTACAGGCCTGACCCACTGCACCCGGTCCCATTACCTTCTTCTACGTTTCTTCTGGACTGAAGCAAATCTTCATTCCCTCTTTTCTCGAATCACATTGTTTTGTTGTTTTTGTTTCTTTTTTAATGGAAGAGCCCACTTAAGCTCAATAATTACTTATGGGTATGGTTCCTTTCTTCTCAATTATTCTCTAAGAAACCAGGTGCTATTTCAGGATAAAATATTCCACAGCATGTGTTCGTCTGTCTCCAGGATTCCCCCGTCTCCCAGCCAGGTCTGGGTTTTATTGATCACTAACAAAGTAACTTACATGTGCAGTGTAAATAAACATGATATTTTATTTTTGTAAAAACAAGGAACCAACAACTTTCAAGAACTGGGTTGGCTAAGGCTCAAGCCAGTTTCTATTAAATAAGGATTCATCTGGTCACTTGAATTTCTTACTCACCCTCTGGAGACATTATGTGTGATTGGATTCAGACAGTTTGCACAATGCAGCAGATTAGCTAATTGCTCCTCTGCCTACTATAAGCACAGCTGGCTACATTGGTTGAAAAACCAACCCAGGGAATAGGCTATGAAATTGGTATTGAAGCTTTGGCAGCAGACTAACCGATCAAGATACTGAATGCAAAGCTAAAACACAAAGCACAGCTTGTTTGGTTTGGTTTGGCTTTTTTATCAGTAATTTCTACTGGCGGAGACAGATGTTTCTTAAAGTGGCAAGAGATTTGCAAAGCAGAATGTTCTACCACTTACTGTAATTGCTTTATTAATATTGTATGTGTTTATGGCTTCTATCTTCTGGCTTGTGGCACCTCTTACTTTAAATGACTTTGGGTTTCCTGATGACTGGCAGTTAATCTTGACTTCAGAGATTCTTTGAGTCATGCATCCAGCTTTGCTCCTGTATAGTGAATTATTTCATATGAAGCCGAATTCTTGTTTGTGTTTATTACGCTTAGAAGCCCTCAGGCGGCACTGAAACATCATCAGACAGTGGTCCTATGTATGTGTTTATGTATATATACATATATACACAGACATACACACACATACATATTATATACATATACACACACATATTATACACACACACATATACACACACACATATACACACACATACACACACATATATATACACACACATATATACACACACGTATATATGAAAGGGAACCTCTGGGTAGCTGAGAAGTCCACACTCAATTACACACCCTACAACAGAATGGACTTATTTTATCCCCAGCCAAGTCTCAGGCTTAATGTCAGCTACAGTATCATTAGAAGGACGTAAAAGATTCTAACCCAGCATCTTGAAAAGACTGGGTCAGTTTGGGGGAGTAAAGTTTGCAATAGACATATCCTAAAATAACCTCTCTTTTAGTGCTTCATTTATTTTGCTTTGAAAGTACAGACCATATTGTAATTATCTTCCAATGTGTTACTAAAAAGAAGAAAGAAGGAACTAATAAGGAAATAAACCAACAAATGAAAATTAAATTTGGAGTTGAGATTTTTCTGAGCAGATTTGTTAGTTTGTTCAGCAGCTATCGAATTTCTTTTCTTCCCTCATCTGGCCTATCAAAGTGGCTTTTAGCTTTTCCGACATATTCGCTCAATAAGCTCTTCTGCAGTGTGCCTGCTTACTGAATTTTCCTGGATAAGGAGAAGGAAAGGGCTTCGTCTGGGGAATTTTAGTAGGAGATTTGTGGTTGCCATCATTACTGTAATTTGTTTCAGGTCTGCCCCTAATGACAGCTTGTGGGTTAAGTCTCGGCACCATCCAGCCACAGGCCGCAGGGATATGTGAAAAAGGCAGGAAAGCCTCCCCAAAGATCCTAATTACCGAGTCATTTCTAGAAACTGCTGGGACTTCCTTGTGAAACCAACTAGCAGCAGAGGGCTGAGCCGTGCATTATGTAGTCAACGTTCTGCACCATGCTGTGACAGTAAAATTCCCTTGTGCAAACACTCACAACTGGAGGCCTTCATACTCCACTGGTGAAAAAGAAGCATCTTTGTTTAATTCATGCCACTAGGAGAAAGCCTACTCGATATTTAATTTTAATCTAACATGTCAGATTTTTTCCATGCCAACAAATAGCCTGCCAGTTATGCATAATTCATTGTAGTGGACAAGACCTACATCAGTTTTAGAGAAAATGCTGTTGAGAGATATGGTGTAGCAGTCAGCATAGTCATCTTCCCGGGAACATTGGATTAAGGTATTTTCAAGCCGATCAATGTAGATGGTTTATGTATAGACAGAAATTAGTTGGTGAAAAAAGGAAAAGCACTGAAGTAGAGTAAAAACATGTAGATTTTGGAATACACCCTTCACGAGGAGCCTAAATAAGTATAGCTTAAAGCAAATCACAGACAATCTTTCATATTTCAGATTCTTCATCAGTGCCACTGGCCTTTCTTTCATAATGTGTGTGAAATGGCTTCTCGAACAAGCAAAAAGAATCAGAACTGTGCATATACTTCCAAGATACTGCATTATTGCTGCATTTCATTTGCAAATATTAAGAAATTTGAGCCAACATTGGCTTTTTAACTCTCATGATTTAAAAATGTCAAATGATACAGAATTACTAGAACCTACATTCCACCATGACAAATCTATTATCACCTGTTTTTGTCATCAGTAAGCAACATCTCCCTGCTCCACAAAATCTAATCTAATTTCTCCGCTTAATGCTATTTTAATGCTAATTTGCTAATAAATGTTTTTTAAAGCAAGTGGAGAAAAGTATCTATAGAAGTTACATTTCATGTATGTAAGCTAATAACATCTTGCAGGTAAACAGAGATTACTTATAAAGGCCAGGTTAACATATAATATTATTAAAATACTACCATTTCCTCAAGCTGTTCAACTGTACAATCCATCTGACACATTAACATACTGCATAGTTAAAAGGCTGCACTTGCTACATTTTCCCCAGATTTTTGTTTCATTTATAATATTATGTACAAAAAAAGTCATGTTCAAGATACTGCTTATCCTCAACACCCCTGAAGTGTTTTGACAGCTATATGACTTTTTTTTAAGTAACAGAGCCATGTATACATGCATTTGTTCCTCCTTAATAATTTTTTATCATTTACCAATATTTTCTTTCACTTTTCCTTATGGTTAGCTCTTATGTTGTACATTTTTTCTTTGTGGTAACCAACCTTCCAATGGATGCCACTGACCAGAAGCTACCTTTCTTACCTCTGGCTATTTTACATGTGACACCTTCCTGACCCACAGTAAAATTTCTTTCATTAAAAAAGAGGAAAAGGAAAGGAAGAAAAAGTAACTCACAGATATTTTTGCTCCAATTTCTCATTTTCTTCAGTTCCATGATGTGCAATTCTCAAGAATCTAATGTTCCTTGGGCTGATCACTATTCTCCTTCAGTAAAACCACAGGATGTAGCTGTTGGGCACAGAAGCTAAATGTCATGAATTCAGTGCCCTGCTCCTCGGCAGGAGACTCTGGCTGCGTGCTTTTTATGTAATTTTTTTTCACCTCCACTGCCTTATTGTGCTAACGAAAGTTGGACAGTAATAACTAGTATATTTTCACACTGCAGTTAATGATTGTAATAGTATAAGGTAAGAGGGTAAATACTTATTAACACAAAAAAGTACAGTATAACCAACCCTACAATGAATAGAAAAAATTATTTCAGCAGTTGATGAAAACATGGATACATTTGACAGAATTGCTTAGGGGAAGAAAATCGCTTGCAGGCCTCCTGAAGGCAAATTAACTGGGTGTGTACCTATTTAATCCTTTCAAGACTGTAAGTCTAATTGTTGAAAACTGCCACCCTTCTTGTCTCCTACCCAAGTCTGAATAGGCACCCGCTGGTTCTACCTTACCTTTTGGTAGCTAATCTGAGTTTCTCTTCCCAAGATGCACCACAGTGTCTGCACGATAAAGGAGGCTAATAATACCTTCCTAGGAAATTCTAGATTCTGTTTCCTGGGGTTAATAGTTGATCAAATAATGGACAATCAGAGAAGTATAGCCATTTGGATGAAGAGGGAAGGAGGGAGCAGCTATGGATAAAACAGGAAAAAAAAGATACGTTCAGCAGATATTCCATAGATTATCTAAATTCATTTTTTATTCTAAATTAACACTTTCACGTAACGTCTTTCGATGCCACATTGTCCTATTAGCTTGCTGGCTAGACTTATTAAATAAATCTATCTGTCTATCTATCTATCTATCTTTCTATCTATCTATCTATATTTTAATGAGATTTCCATGATCATCTTGTTCCTTGCTGATCTAGCCATTGACAGCTTTCCCTGGAATATATGGAATATATTATCACAAGGAGAAGGCACTCATCATATTTAGGGAACGAATCCATCAAACCTCAGAAGAGTAAAATAATCTTAGTTAAATGCATTAGAAGTAATTTAATAAGATTAGTAAATTAGCAGTCTAGAGCTCGAATCTGAAACTATTTTATGAGAAATGTCATGAAAGTGAAGAAATTCTCATGAGACAATTGACTTATGAAGGAGATTAATTTTATAGTTCTTGCAATTTGAGATGAATCACTTAAGCACTCTAGCCCTCAGCTAAATCATAGCATCAATAAAAGAAGCGAACAGGGTTGGCCAAGGTGGCTAAAACTCTAAAATTATTAGATTTAGGTTACATTTAAACTTGTGATTATTATTGAAGAAGGAACAGAATGACTTAAGAAAATGAGAGCATAGATATATCATTTTAGAGTCTGTGATAATATAGACTTTAGCAAAGTAGAAATATGCAGTTCAGAGTAGAAATATGCAGGATTCTATGGCCAGAGAATCTAAAAATTTCACAGGAAAGGATGGGAGAAGCTAATATTTCCAAGCAATCACAGAAAGGAAGAAAAAGGAAAGTATTTAAGGAACTATGTCACTTGGAAGCAGACATGAAAACAATATTTGGAGAGCAGGGGGCTTATTGGGGATACGAGGGGTGATGCTGCCTGTGTAAGACAACAGGAGAAGGAAGCAGATTTGAACAAGAAAGACCATCAGATCACAATGCAGTTATGACCCTTGTGAAAAGAAACCAAAAGGTGCAGGATTGGGCAGGGGGCCTCAGACAAAGTTTCTGCCAGCCCAACCGGAGCTGCAAACGGAAGACTGCTGATGGGAGCTGTCTTCCAAAAATGGCCAGGCCCTAGAATTGGCTGGGAATATGGGTTCAGCCATTGGCTGGAGACTTCCGAGAAAGTGGCCTTGGGACTTCCCAGGGTGGGACAATGTACAATGGGAAGAAATTTATGAAGAACACACAACCACGGTGAATCTACACTGATTGAACTGCTCCATCTTTTTGCCCAATGTATGTTCTGGGTGTTTTCAGGATCCTTCTTGTGTGGATTCTCCCTCAGTCCTGTTGATAAGTCACAAGTGAGTGAGTCGCCAAGCCACATTTTGTCTCCTCTTGGAGGCAGCCCCCAACCCATTCACTAGATAGCGTTCTAGATCCTTTAGTAGGTTGTATTTTGAGCCCCTCCTGAAGCTATGCAGGAGGTCCTTGCCCAAGTCCTTCCCTTGGTGGGACTTTGCTGGGTTACTCAAATGAAACATCAGTAGGATGGCAGAACATCAAATGAATCAGTGGCATCCATGGTTGGGTCAATGTACATGAGAGGTTAAGATCCCAAGAGAATGTGAAGTCAGATAAGGACATAGAGTCCAAGGAAATATGGAGTGGATGTGGGAAACAGGTTGCAGAATCTATGTTCTGGGGATAGAAGGGAAAAGGCCAGTGGTGGGCGTGGAAGATGGACCAATGTAGAATCCAGTGTCAAATGGGGCTCTGAGGGAAGAAAGGCACTCAGTGGCAGTGGTGAACAAAAAGAAAGTCAGAGTATGGCTTGGTCAGAGATAGGGTGGAGACCAGAAGTAAGAAGGTCAGAGTGAAGGATGCCTCAGTGAAACCCACATGTGACAGGGAGAGAGCAGCATCAGTCTCCAGCTGCCCACACAACAGAATGTCCTCCTCCATGGTTGCTCCATCGCATCTTGCAGAGCAAGGATTTTACTGTAACTGCTCTGGAAAGCAACCCTAGAGAGGAGCTTGTGCAAATTCCTCCAGGAGATAAATACAAAGATTATGCAGAAACAGAACAGGTTCAGGCAAGCCTGCCAGGGGTCACATCCTCTGTATCATGATATCCTTCTCTCCCTTGCCCCAAGGCTTGCTCCCATGTCTCCTTCCCTATGGATTCTCTCTCTCACATCAATGCCAGGCTGTACTGGGTCCGTAGAATTACACAGGGCAAGCTTGGAAGAGAAATACAGGAAATAATGTAAAATATTAATTATATTTTTTGTAGAGAAATATTCAGTGCCACCGTGGAGCCTTTCAAGAGAGCTCTTTAGCAGAGAAAGTAGGAGCATGCATTATATCAGATGAAGGTAGGAGCAAGGGATCTTGTAGGATGCAGAGTGACAATTTACACTGGAAATAGACTCTTTCAGATGAGACTCTAAAAACCCAAGAAACTAAAATCAAAGAATCAATATCAGCAATAGTGAGGCTCACATATGTACAGTGTGTTACCATTTACAAAGTGTTTCCACTCCTTATCCCAGGTGGTTATCAAACAATCTCATGAGATTTTCAGGCAAGGTGCTCTTCCGGAAAAGGATCCTGAGACTCAGGGAAGTTAAATGACTTATCCAACACACAGAATATCTGCCTCCAAATACTCATTCCATTTGGCTGGTCCACAGTGCCCAGATATTTGGTTAAACATTATTCAGGATGCTTCTATGATAGATTTTTTGGATGAGACTAACATTGAAATTGGAGGACTTTGAGTAAAGCAGATTGCCCTTCATAATGGGGATAGCCCTCATTCAGTCAGTTGAAGGCCTGAATATAACAAAAAGCTGACCTTTCCCAAGCAAGGATTTCTCCAGCAAATTGTATTCAGACTCGAACTGCATTAACTTTCCTCTGAGTCTCCAACCTCCCAGCCCACAGGGCAGATTTGGACTTGCCAGGCTTCATAGTTGTGTGAGCCAATCCTTTAAATAAACCTCTCTACATAGACACACACACATCCTATTGGCTCCATTTCTCTGGAGAATCTCACACACACTGCATCTCATGCCACCACCCAGTAAGCAAACTGTATTGTCCAGATCCACCATTCTTTCATTCTTATGCATGGTCAGAACAAGGAATCCAAGAACTCCCTGGGTTCTGCTTTACTTCTTATGGACCCGTCTTTTGATGGTTCTGTTTCTGAGAAGGACTTTCTCTAGAAACTGAAATCATCAGAGATTGTGAACGTGGGTCTTCATGGAATGGAGATTTTAAGGTTAACCCTTGGAAATCACAGAGTTGAACAGGCAGAACATTAGCTGTTACTATTTAACCTTTGGTCCTTTTCCTGGCTTGCTGCATTGATGCCGAAAGACAAGAAAAGAATGAAGAATCTTGGACTTAATTCTCACTCCCCTCTCTTTTAGCAAGCTGCAGACATTCATTATTCATGAATAATATGCCTTTCTGGATTGCATTAATTAAGATCAATTTTCCTTCCTTGTTATTCATTTTTTAAAGTGCATAAAATAATTTTCTATTGTTCCCACTCTGGAAAAACTCAAATAACAAAGATTTCCTACATGAGGTTCTCACTTGATATTTCTACAAGCAGTCCTTTGCTGATGAGGGGCACAGACTTTCCAGTCTTTAAGAACATCTGTGCTCGATTTAACATAATTCTGCTCCCTGAGCAGAGATGGGGTAGCATCTGATCAAAGGCTCACCGTTATTCTCCAGGTCAGCCCTAACACATGGAGGATCATCCGAAAGACACCTAAGATGGGAAGGCAGCTGGGGAATGATATTGAGGGACTGCTTTCAAGTGTCCCAAAATCCATTCATAAGCCAATCTGACACCCCTGAGTAAGATATTTGGGATCTACCCTACAAACCTTGCCCCACTCAGGTAGATGGTCTGTGGGTTTTGCATCAAAGTCCTGGTCCCTGCTCTAACTTCCTTCCTGCCCAAATTCTTCCCCTAGAATGTATTAAACAGAGCACAGATGTTCTATTTACTGTATTAATACTATTAATACTAATTATATTAAATAGAGCACAGATGTTCAGAAAGTCTGAAGTGTACCCTAATTTTTGCCAATTCTCAGGCATTTATACTCATGAAATCTTCTCCATCTTTTATGCCAGCTTCTCCACATAATCTATTTTGGCCCTGCATTAACCCAGACACAGACCTCAACCTCCGCTTCAAGCATCATGAAAGCATGTCACTTGCAAAAAAAAAAAAAAAAGCATTAACCAGCAAAGCCGACTGTACTGAAAATCCTACATGGGTGATAAATGGAAAGAGGGTGTATAGCCCATCCCCCTACAGTTTAAATTCCTTTCTATGTTATCACTCTCCAACCAAAGTCCTTTTGTACCGCTTTGTCCTTCAGGCTCTCAATTCCTCCTCCTCCACTGAAGCAGTGTCTTGCCCTGCAAGTCCCCCTCTCCTCTCTCCCAGGTCCTCACACCACCACTACCACAACTACCACAGTATTTCAAACTCTTCTCTCTTTCTTATATAGAGCTTGTCAGCTCTTCAAACTCCCTACTCCAACCTGGATAGTGAGGTTCATACTGATTTGGAGAGTAAGTGAGGCCTAACTTTTTAAGACAGCAGTGGGAGCCACATAGAACCATATTCGTGTGTGTGTATGTGTATGTGTGTGTGTGTGTGTGTGTGTGCGTGTGCGTGTGTATGTTTTGAGTCACATCTGTAGGTTACATCTTCGGATGTAAATTAGGAAAAAACTTTCCTAATTTTTCCCATCTACTTGGTAACTTTGCTACAAAATCCTTTCAATACTTATTAAAAATAATTAATGGACTCATGTATATCCTGGTGTATATATTTGTCTGTTTTATCTACCCATGTTAGCCAAACATTTAAGAGATTCATAATGTATTTTTGGCCTAATTATTAAGATTTTAAGCTGGTGAATACACGCACTGCATCATTTCTGTACTTTGATTTCTTCAATTCCTCTGCTGGTGCTAATGTATCACCTTGCTCAGAACTGCCAAATCTTTCCCATCCATGGGATGAGGCTTCACCAGAGTTGGCAGCTCCTCTCTTTCACAAATTCCTTTGGCACCAATAGCTTCTCCTGAGTTGCTAACCTCAAAGGGCTATGTCTTACTTCATTTGGGCTGCCATAACAAAATGATATAAACTGGGGAGCTCCTAGACAACAGAAATATATTTCTCGCAGCGCTGGAGGCTGGAAAGTCCAAGATTAAGGTGCCAGCAGATTTGGTGTCTGGTAGGGCCCACTTCCCCATAGATGGCGCCTTTTTGCAACGTCTCACATGCTGGAAGGGACAAGGCTGCTCTTGGGCTTCAACAAGGGCACTAATCCTGTTCATGAGTGTGCTTCCCTCATGACCTGATCCCCTCCCAAAGGCCCCACCTCCTGATACTATCATCTGAGAATTTCAATGTACAAATTTGGGGGGACATAAGCATTCGAACCATAGCAAGCTTACACGTCAGTCTCTGCCACACCCTTATCTATCCTCTCTTTAATGAAAGTTGCATTTCTGACAGAAAAGTCCCTGTGCACACCTTAGCATGGCTGGCATTGAATCTAAAGGCCAAAGGACTCTCATATCTAAAAACATACTTTAACGTTTTAGAAAAAATCAACTCCAGAGAAACTATTTCCAGGTGAGAAATAACTCTAAAAATTACTCATCAACTGCATTCTTCAAAAATATCAAAGTCAAGGCTGGGTGCGGTGGCTCACACCTGTAATCCTGCCGTTTGGGATGCTGAGGCAGGCGGATCACTTGAGGTCAGGAGTTTGAGACCAGCCTAGCCAACATGGTGAAACCTCATATTTACAAAAATACAAAAAACAGCTGAGTGCTGTGGTGTGCGCCTGTAATCCCAGCTACTTGGGAAGCTGAGGCAGGAGAATCTCTTGAATTGGAGAGGCAGAGGTTGCAGTGAGCCAAGACTGCACCACTGCACTCCAGCCTGGGTGACAGAGTGAGACTCCATCTCAAAAAAAAAAAAAAAAAAAAAAAAAAAAAAAAATCAAAGTCATAAAAGACAAAGAAATCTGGGAAACTGCTCCAGATTAAAGGAGATTAATGGGGCATGATAAGTAAATAAGTAATATGTGATCCCTACTGGGTCCTGTACTGAAGGAAAAACATGCTGTAAAGCATATTGCTAGGTAGGCAAATTGACAAAATTAGAATAGAGATGCTACATAAGATAGAAGTCCTGTGTTCATGTTAAATTTACTTAAATTGATAACCGTACTGTGGATATATATAAGAGACCGTTCTTTTTCTTAGGAAATACACATTTAAGTATTTAGAGGGAAAGGATCATGATGCATGCAACTGAATTTCAAAAGTTTGAAACAAAGAATGATGTTTGTATAGATAAAGAAAGCAAGTGGCACAAACCATGAACAATAAATGCATCTGGGCAAAGGGTTTTGGGATGTTCTTTAGTGTTCTTGGAGCTTTTCTATGAGTTTCAAATTGTTTCCAAATAAATGATTCTATGTAATGGCCCGTCAGTCAGTCCCACTGAGTTTTTACTCCCTTTGAGATGGACAAAGCTTGGGCCCACAGCTATCACCATCATACCCAACTCTCCAAAGTGAGCAATTCCAGCTTTTAGACAGTCGTATTAGGTTCTGTCTCAGGCAAAAATACTGAGATCTTCTATTAAAATTGTATTTTTAATGTTGTCAATAAAGGTTTTAAAATATATTGGAAAAAAGAAAAAAGAGTAAATGAAATAAAAATAAACACTACATATAAAGATATAAAAATAAAAAGAATCACGTTTGCATCATAATTTGAGACTCTTGCCTTGTTACATACCAGCTGCGTGACTTGGGAAATGTCATTTTACCTGTTTGTTTTTCAGTTTCTGTATATGGAATGTGGAGCTAAAAATCCCCAGTCACATGACAAATGGTAAATATAATTAAGAACATAAATAGAATCAGTAGAAGCTTACCTGGGCTTGAAATTTCTTTTTGCAGATGATCGTAATTATTATGGGGGGATCAGGTACAGCACCTAGCCTAATAATCTGTGGGACACAGTCCTACAAGCCTAGAGATGATAGGCTTGTCATCTTCCTGCCAAGATGTAGCACTTCAGTCTTCTTGTTTTTACGCGTTAATAGCACTACCCCACAGAGCTAATCTGCTGAAGACCAACTCCAAGACAAACCCCACCCCATTTCAGCCTTTTCAACACAATCCTTTCAGGCCACACTTTTGTCCACCTCTGAGTCCCCCTTTCTAATGCTGGGTTCACCGATTTCACCTAATTTCTATTTCTCTTCAAAGGTTTTCTATGTTGGGATAAACCTGCCCTTGCCCCATATTTGCTTTACCATGCATTAGAAAACCAATTTATACTTATTACTTATTTATTGAGATGGAGTCTCGCCTCTCGCTCTGTCTGCCAGGCTGGAGTGCAGTGGCAAGATATTGGCTCACTGTAACCTCGGCTCCGCCTCCTGGGTTCAAACGATTCTCCTGCCTCAGCCTCCCAAGTCGCTGGGATGACAGGCACGTGCCACCATGCCTGGCTAATTTTTGTATTTTTTAGTAGAGAAGGAGTTTCACCATGTTAGCCAGGCTAGTCTCAAACTCTTGACCTTGGGTGATCTGCCCACCTCGGCCTTCCAAAATGCTGGGATTACAGGTGTGAACACCCAGCCATTGCTGTCCTTTCTAATAGAAAAATTTTGTTGCCAGCCTCCTTCAACATAGAAACAAATCCTCGGGTGGAGACATCCAATTCCTCTGTACTTTGTTCATCAGTTTAATTATCTGGAGAGAAGGCTGTGCTTGCATGAAGGGTTTGACCTGCATTTGGAAATTGCAACCTGCCATCTCTGGGATGAAGGGTGTACTTCACCAGAGTCTTGATTGAGGCAATGGAAATTTCCAGTTGGAAAACTTAAGACAATGAAACATGAGGCTCTATCCTACAGTCCAGTGCTAAATCATACAAAATGAATTTATGTTTGAAAAGAATACAAAGGTTTTGACACATGGCATATGTAGTTGCAAGCACATATCAAAATATACACGTTTTTAGAGAATTATTTTAAGCAATTTTTTTAGGCTCAAATCCAATTTTTTCCAGGTGTTACTTTTAAGAAATCATTCTTAAAATGATTATTATTCATTTTAGGGGACACTGTTTCAGACCTGGTGTTTTAGGGCTTTTGTATAATAAAATAACATTTGAGGAACAAGAAAATTTTTTCAACTCATCACATAACTGAAAAACGATAATCAATATTTCTGCTGTCTAACTCCCTTTTCCCAGAGAAAATAATTAATGACCTTTATTTCCAGGATATCAGATAAGGGATTTCAAGAATGGAATACAGGAATTACAAAAATGTGTATCAGGCCCAAGAAACTAAGGAGGAAATGGGTTTAACTCCCTATTTTTTATAATAAGAAACAGAGGTCCACGGAAGATTTACCCAGGACTACTCAGCTCGTGACAGCACATCCAGGTCTTCCTTGGTCTCCGCGCTCTGGATGCTGTCCTATTCCATGGTCCTGCACATGCCACCAACTCTGCAGCCTTTTCCTCAATATCTCTTCTCCTCTTCAAGGCCTCTTCAAGGCTTTCTAGACAGGCTGCTTCAGATAACACCCTGAAACTGTTCTTATTTCTATTCTAGGTGTCTTCTCACTGCTATATGAAGATTCCTCTCAACTCTAATGGAAAATGCCATTCTTGTTCACTGAAATGCAATTTGATACCATTTGCATCTAGGGGCTCTTCCTTTCTTTCTTTTCTTTTATCTCCATTTATACAACATTTATTGAACATCTCTGGGTGAGAAGAACTATGATAGGTGCTGAGGATATAAAGAAGAGTGAGACAAATCTCCTGCCAGAAAGAACTCAGTCTTCCTTCTGCTGTCATGACAGAGGACATAACCCATCTACCAGCTTGCATTCTTTTGGTTCTTATTCTTTTCTGTTGGACATGGACATGATCTAGCTAATATTAGATGATATTTGTTTACATGAGTTCTATTATGTCTGCCCATCCATCCATCAGTCCATGCATCTATTTATCTCAACAGCTTGAGGATACCATTCTGCTCCCTAGCGTGTCAACTTGCCTGATTTATTAGTTAGCCTAGCATAGGCATGTTTAGTTATAATACCGTTTCTCACAATGAATGGTTTTTTTTCCATAGGGTAAATCGTTCTGAGTTATGTAAAATGAGAATCTGACAAACAGTGTCCCCTCAGGGATGAGGTACTTCCTCCGTTATTTTGTAAAGCTGTAAAATGACATTTAAAGACAGTACCATACAATCAAATCTTCCCAAAACACCAGAAAGGAATTAGTAAACTTCTAAAACTTGAGTCTTCTTGTTCTTAATGGTTAGTCTCTTAATTAACAGCTTAGAGATCCCACCTGCTGTCAAAATAATTGTGCCATCTTCTCACTTAATTTTAATGTGACCTCAAAGGACTACTAGTTTTTTTCTCTCTCTCTTAGAGATTTGTTTTACTTTCTACCAGTCTTTTCTCAGAGATTATTTCAATACACATTTTAACTCAAGAGGAGCTGAAATGAAGGCGTGTTTTAGTTTTTAAAATACAGGAGCCTCTTTGACAGGGAGGGGATCTGAAACAAAATAAAGGGAGCAGCCTTATTAAAACTTGGAGCTGTGCTTGAACACATCCTAAAATGATTAAATTGTGTGTTTTGGTTAAAAATTATAAGTTGGGTAGCTTAAAGCCACTCCCATTGACTAATAAAATGGAAAATATTGGGGTAGCCCAGATACTAGTTTTCTGTGAGCTGCTTCTTTATGAATTGCAATGTGAAATGTTCAGTACAAGTGGCAGTAAACAAAAGTAAGATTAAAAAATGCCTGAAGGATACGTGAGTCACAATAATTATGGAGTCGATTTCTGCCTCCTGATAAAGACTACTAATAAATTCTAAGTATATTAACTGTAGCTACTGATACAGTAATAAATATTGACGTACAACAAAATTCAGAATCTTTTTTTTCCAGCCTGAATCTTCAGCCTAGCCTGGCAGCTATACATTACTCAGAATTTAATGAAGGGAAATTTCTTTATGTTTTTAGATTAAACAACAACAGAAAACTCTATGTCTATCTAATAATAATATATTACAGTTTATATGAGATGTAAATAAGGCATTGCAGTTACAATGAATTATTAGGGACCCAAGATTTTTTATAATACTAAGTCCTCAAAAAGGTCAAATAATCTGTCCCTCTAAAAGAATCACTATATCATAACAACAAAAAAAGCAAAGGAGTTTGCTTGACTTCTTGGTGTTTCATGTAAGCCACAGAAATTAAGAATGCGCATCCACTTTTCTTCAAAAAATGATAATAATAATAAAAGCCTTTTATTTCCATCTGTTGATGTACATCCCTGCTCTTTGCTTTTCTCCCCAAAGTAGCTCCATTTGGGAAACCTTATGAGAAAGCAAGCTCTTTATAATTGGCTTTGCTTTTTCCTATATGTCAAAAATCTAGAAAGTGGTATGTAATAAAACGATCCCCAGTCTAGAAACTGGACAACCTGACCCCTAGTTAAATTCCTGCCTTGGGTTCGCTGTGAGACCCTGGGAAATTCATTTACTATGTTTGTACTTCTATATTTTCATTTAGGAAATGAGAATATTGACCTGGATAACCTGTACAATCTTTGCTGGTACAACTGTATGATGTAAAATATGACTTTGTAAGCTCTAACTTTGCACCTTTAAGAATGTTGCATTTGAATCCATTATATCTTTGAATTTTTTTACGTTTGAATTATTTTCTGTGTGACTTCCCTGAGAACACTAGCAATGGAGTAACATGTGCTCTAGCTAAATGAACTAGGTTTTCATTTGATCTTAGTAGTTAACCCAGTACAAAAAAGAAAGTTTGAAAGTCCATTTACAGACACCAGTCACTCTTTCTTCCATTCATCCTGAAATATGCCTGGCCATTTTTCTTTAACCTGGTTTTTATTTCAGTACTCTTCTCCATCCTATCTTCCCATTGCCCCTGTTCCTGCCTGGCTGAGGAGCCCCACACTGAGCCATCTTCTACTGATCAGCTCACACACCTTGTTTCACGACATGTTCCCACTGCTCTAAGAAATGAGTTGCTTTTCCCTACTGCTGCTCATGTCTTTCCCACCGCCATGCCTTCACTTCTATTACTGTCCACTTTTCTCATCTTCATCCATCTACAGTAATACTGTCCAACAGAGTTTTCGGCAAAGATGGAAATGTTCTGTGTTTTCCAACATGTCAACCATTAGCCACATGTGACTAGTGAGCACTAGAAATGGGGCTAGGTGGCTGAGAACCTGAATTCTCATTTCATTTAATTTTCACTGATTTAAATTTAAATAGCCACATGTGGCTAGTGGCTAATATATTGGACAGTGCAGCTCTAGATGATATCATCATTAGATGACTAGTTCAAAACCCACTCTTTACAGGATAGGGCTCATTAAAATCACCTCAAGAACTTTAAAAAAAGAGAGAAGCCCCCAGTTTCATTTGCAGATTTTCTAATGGAATTGGTCTGCCGTGAGACCTGGCAATGAATATTTGTAAAAGGTTTCCCAAATGATTCTAACGTGTAGCCAGAGTTGATAACGATTGTTCCAGAAAACATGTCAGGCTTCCCATTTCTCAATACTTGCTTGATACTTCTGAACCTCTGCACAATAGTCTGAATCATTGTATCTAGCATGTCCTTTTACTACTAGCTTCAGTTTTCTTCATCAAATTGTAAACATCTTTTCTTGTTTTGTTCACCGACATGACATGTCCTGAATAAGTTTTTAGTGGCTGAACTTCTTTCACTTATTGTACATATTCTTGAGTTGAAAACTATTCATGTCTTTGGATTTGATAAATCCTAAATGAGGTTAGGCTTGTGTGGTTTTCTATTCTGTCTTTAAAACATCACTATTGGTTGTAATTAGTCTATTAATGAAAGATGTCTATGCTAGGCTGTAAGTTCCAGGAGAGCAAGCGCCATCCCTGTTCACAATTGTATCCCTAGTACCTAATCTGACACATAGAGGAATTGAATGACTTATTGTCTAACAAATACTTTAATGAAAGAAGTACTTGAATAGATGCACTTAAGGTAACACCCGTGTATTGCCTTGTTGATGAAAAGTGAGCACACTTTCAAAAGATCAAAATACAGACCATCTGCATCTTGAGGTCGTATGCATGTTTGTGCATGTGCATGATATGTGTGTGTGCATGCATGAGTGTCTGTGTGTGTGCATGGATGTTTTGTGTGTATGTTTGAGATACATGATTATTATGAGCATCCTTAAGAGGATCCAAAACTTGCTGAGTATTCCAAAGGATCTCTCAGCACCTCTTGGTTCTGCACAGCTGGTAGCTCTGCTCTCCCTAGCTATAGTCCTGGGAAATATGGTATTAATACTGAGTGAACAGATGGTGTAGGGTGTGTTACTTAAGACAGTTTTGCCAGGAGGTAAATTTATGCTTTATAAATGTACTTCAAAACTATGCTATTTGATTTAATCACTTAATGCAAAGACAGCTGCATACTATATTTGCCTTAACTGCAGTTATATGGGTTATCTGCCAATCTGTTAATTATAGTATTTTGAAAGACTTCAGGAAAAAAACAGTAATTATACAGATTGGGGGTGGAGGGGAGGAACATTTCTGAAGCCTAAATTCAGACATTCATTCCCAGCTAACACAAACTTATTGAAGACTTAGAAAACCTGTTAAGAAAGTGGGAGTAGATATGATGGTTTTCCTTTGAAAGGGACTTACGTGTGTGTTCTCACTTTGCGTCAGTTATCCTGGATAGTAACTGCCAGAGAGATGGGAGTTGAGTGATATTTCAACAGGACAGAACTCCAATCTACTCACACTAAGGCCTTTCAGCAACTGCTCAAGCCCTTAAAATTAAAAGAAATGAAAGGAGGAGGTTCAAACATGCCCTTGACTTTTTTCTACTTTCCCATAACCTGCTTGTTCCCTGAGTCCTCTGTACTTAAATTTTCTCTGCAAAGCTGTTGCAGCAATGATTAAGCATGTTTAATTAATACACTATCAGAGAAAGGGAATATTTTAAGCTTAGTCTGACAGCTTCCTTTACTTGCTAAGGACTAAATGTCACAAACTTGTAGGAAAAGTCTGGCCCATTTCCCCTATCCCCTGGGAATTCATGTTAAATGAATTTCATTGTCATTTTGAGAACAAGATTTCCTGTCTGTGGGCAGTCCCAGGATTAAAGTGTTGAATGGGATCCAGGTGGTAAATCAAAGAATTCTGGAAAGAACGTTAAAGACTATTTGGTCAAAGTCTCTCATTTGACAGGTGAAGAAACTGAGGATGCAAATCCTTAAATGATTTGCCTTCTGAAACCAGTTAAGGAAACAGAGTGACTTTCACAAGGCACCCTTTTCCATCAGTATAGGCATTTTTCACATGCATCCCACTGCCGACTATGAAGAGATAGAAAATAAACGGAGGGATCAAAGAGTTTATTTTCTTGTGCTAGTTCAATACATGACTGAGTGGAGCTACATCTAGGCAAAATGAGAAGACAGTCATAATAGTAATAGCTCTTCTCATTGATTTCCCATGGCCTCCACATTCCACAGCAGCCAGGGCCATCCACTTTGAGAACAGTGCCCATGGGGTGGAGCATCGCAGCCTGAGAGGTCATCAGCTGCCTACTATGTGCTAGCCAATGTATTGTGTACTTTCCCAACATCATCTCAATTACAATATCTAGAAACCTACAATTCAAACATTATTTCATGCATTTCAGAGAGGAAAACTAGCTTTCAGAGTGTCGATGATTTTACACAAAAAAAGGAAGAGAAAGGAATCAAAGACTCTCACTACAGAAAATCACCAAACAGCAAAGGTAGACAACAGGACAGGAAGAAAGGAAAAAAAGATCTCCCTACGGTAACCAGAAAGCAAAAAATTACAGCAGATGCAGAGGTTGAGTAATTTGCTTCAAGCCACACAGGTAATTTCTAATGGAGTTCCATATTTAGACTTGGACTTACAGATTCAGAAGGTGTTGCCTTCCCAAGAAAATATTTTTTTCTTAATATCTTTTTTCCAAAACTGGCTAAAAATACTTCTTCCAATCCTCTGAGGTCCTATTACTGAGCCTGTTCAGTACCATCTTGCAGCCTGTTACTCCTAGGTTATCCTCTGCACAGCAGTCCATCTGATGGATATCTCATCTTCATGGATAGGCTCTATGGAATGTTCAACAAACCTCAACTGATAACCTGATATGTGCTTAAACCAGGTCATCAAAGCAGCCACATAGGTCCCAACTCTTTCTCTGCAGGAAGCACCCATTTTGAGAATATCCTGGTCATGTTGATATGAAGCTGCTTATCTGACCAGAAGAGTCATTAATTTCTTCTTGTGTTAGGCAGAAAGAGAGAATAATGCCAAAGTTGCCAAATGGAGGAAGAATTGGAGGGTCAGGTTTGGCTTTTGGTACCTCTCAAATCGTACTTAAGTGACTGCCCTACTTAACTATGGAGGAGTGTGAAGGGACTTACAAGTGGTCCCTAGGATTTCCATTTCCTTAAGGACATTTAGATCAAAATTAGGACAATGGTCATCACTTTGAGCCTTTGGATCTCTGCTTTGGGCCTTTTTTATAGAACAGAGGCAGATGTTTTATTAAATTTCTTAAATGCGTGCCTATGTGTGATTTCAATTTTCATGTTTTGTGGCAGCATTTTTGATCAATATTCCTTGGCTGCTATCTATTTTCTCTGTTCCTTTTCTGACTTTTTAAATATCTCTAATTAAATATATATAATATATATATAAACCTTATATATAATATATAATAAACTTTAGTTAACTAGTAGAGGATAAACCTGCTTCTGCTTCACTCAAAGATAACTTTATATATATGTATATATGGTTTATATATTACATAATTTGCATCAGTTATCCTGGGTAATAACTGCCGGAGAGATGGGAGTATATATATATGTGTGTGTATAGATAGGTAGATAGATAGATAGATAGATAGATAGATAGATAGATAGATAATCTTTGAGTGAAGCAGGTTTATCCTCTACTAGTTAATTAAATAAAGTTCATGCATTGGAGACAAGTATTCTAAGGAGAATTTTTTTTCTGTTTTATACTAAAGTTAAAAGCTTTATGGCATAGATACTTTATGGCACAGGGCTGAGCGTGTGTGTGAGTGCGTGTGTGCTTCTTTATGGTATAAAATAACTTTCAGGGAAGATCTGTCACTAGTCCAATTACCCGCTTCTGTTGTTCAAAAGAAGGCATTGCTCCTAGGAGGTATGTCAATTTTGGAGAATTCCAGCTGTTTAGTTTCACAGCCCCACATAGAAAATCTAGGTTTCCCTTGGCATCCTTATTTAACCAGCACTGCATCTGGCAATCCTTCTTAGATACTGTGATTTAAGATTTAAAAAAAAACACACACACACACACACACACACACACAAAAAAACCTTCCTACTGTCATCAGAGATAAAATCTGTGTCTGTATGCCATTATACTTGTTCCTTTGGGGTGATTTCTAAATCAAGGGAGGAAAATAAAATGAACTTGATTCCATCATCTAATACGTGGAAGCTCCCTCTTTACAGATAATTTGTATTTTTATTTATATTTCATTTTATTTAAAAAAATCTTACTTTTTAAATATAGAAAAAAATCACACCCACTCACATATAGTCCATTGATCTTTGACAAAGAAACAAAGAAAATTTAATAGAGAAAGGTTTTTCTTTTCAACAAGTGGGGCTGGAACAGTTGGGCATTCATGTGTAAAAATATAGATCTAGACACAGACCTTACACCTTTCACAAAAAAAACTCAAAATGAATTATAATCCTAAATACAAAATGCAAAACAATAAAACTTCTAAGAAATAATATGGGAGAAAATATAGGAAACATTGGGTTTGGCAATAAGCTTTTAGATACAACACCAAAAAAATAAAAAAAATGCAAGAAAAAATGATAAGATAGACTATCAAAAAAATAACTTCTGCTCTGTGAAAGACACTGTCAAGAAAAACATCTTGAGAAAAATCAAGACACAGACTGGGAGAAACTTGAAAATAAGCAAAAGATCTGAACAGACATCTCATCAAAGAAGATGTACATACATCAAACAAGCACATGAAAATACTTTCAACATCACATCATTGGGAAAATTGTAAATTAAAACAACAATGAGAGAGCCAGGCATGGTGGCTCATACCTATAATCCCAGCACTTCAGGAAGCTAAGGTGGGAGGATCACTTGAGCCCAGGAGTTCAAGATCAGCCTGGGCAGCATGGCGAGACCCCTATCTCTACAAAATTTTAAAAACTAGCCAGGTATGGTAGCTTATGACTGTGGTCCCAGATACTCAGGAGTCTGAGGTAGAAGGATTGCTTGAATCCAGGAGGTCGAGGCTGCAGTGAGCCATGCTTGTACCACTGCAATCCAGCCTGGGAGACAGAGCAAGAGTCTGTTTTTTTTAAATAAAAACAAAAAAACAATGAGATGCCACCACAAACCTATTAGAATAGCTAAAATCTCAAACACTGACAACACTAAATGTTGGCAGGGATGGCGAGTAACAGAAACTCATCTGTTGCTGGTGGGAATGCAAAATGGTAACAGCACTTGGAAGAAAGTTAGGCAGTTAGTTTCTTATAAAACTGAACTTACTCTTGCCGCATGATCCAGCATTCACACTTCTAGGTATTTACTCAATTAGTTTGAAAACTTACCCACACACAAAAGCCTACATGTGAGCATTTAGAAGCTTTATTCATAATTGCCAAAAACTGAAAGCAACCAAGACATCCCTCAACAGATAAATAAATCGACAAGCTATGGAACATCTTAACTGAGCTATCATGCCACCGAAAACCTAGAGAAACCTTAAATGCCTATTGTCAAATGAAAGAAGCCAATCTTAAAAAGTCACATGACATGATTCTAATTATATGACATTCTAGAAAAGTCAAAAAGCTACAGAAACAGCAGAAGGATCATGGTTACCAGAAGGGGAAGAGATGAATAGAGAAAGCATGGGATATTTCTAAGGCGATGAAACTGCTATTTATGATGCTATAACGTGGGTAAATGCATTATACGTTTGTCAAAACCCATAGAACTGTCCAACATAAAGAGTGAATCTGCATGTAAACTATGGACTTCAGTTAATAATAATGCATCAATCAGATTTATTAATTATAAAAAAATACATAATGAACAATATTAATGCGGCCGGGTGCGGTGGCTCACGCCTGTAATCCCAGCACTTTGGGAGGCCGAGGTGGGCAGATCACAAGGTCAGGAGATCAAGACCATCCTGGCTAACATGGTGAAAACCCACCTCTACTAAAAATACAAAAAAATTAGCTGGGCGTGGTGGCAGGCGCCTGTAGTCCCAGCTATTCGGGAGGCTGGGGCAGGAGAAGTGAACCCGAGAGGCGGAGCTTGCAGTGAGCCGAGATCGGGCCACTGCACTCCAGCCTGGGTGACAGAGCGAGACTCCATCTCAAAAAAAAAAAAAAAAAAAAAAAAAAAATCAGGGACTTTGACAGAGGAGATAAGATGTCAAGGGAAGAAAAATGGGGAATAATAGTGGAAGTAAATAAAAGGGAAGTAATACCTGTTTGTTTATAAGGCATTTTACATCTGGTGAAATAAAACTGTTTCCAGGTTAAATTTAAATTTATAATATGCATGCTAACATTATTTCCTTACAGAATATAAATGACGTTCTGCAACTATAGGAAAATTAATTACATGTATGAAACAATTTTGGGATGATCCACCCCCTGCTTTAGTATGCCCTGAAGGCCAAACTTACATATCCGTCATTCACAAAAACTTCCCTTTTTCATAGATTCTGCTTTCACACTGCCACACCTTCTACACTTTAAGTTGCCCTAGAGTGTCTTTTAAGTCTTCATGAAAAAGACTTCAGACAAATGATTTAGAAATGGATTAATCCAACAAAGGGTGTTACCCAGTGCACGCCTGTGGCTGTATGAAATGCAAGCTAGGACAGAGTTTAGGATGCAGCTTGTGTCTAAGTAACTTAGCTGTCTTTGCTCAGGAATAGTAGACTGAATATCACCGGGAAGAAAAATGTTCTTTTTTGAAAAAAGACAAGGCATTCAGCCATGAAGGCCTGTATCATATGTTGTGTTCCTTAGGATCCAGAAAAAGGTCCCTAACAGAGTTGAAACCCACTGGATTCTTGTGGCTGTGATGTATGTCAATAGTTTTGAGTTCTCTACAAAACTACAGAGACCAAGGTACACTATTGACACTTTCACTCATTAGGAATTACCTGCCTTTTTCTTCTGTCTTATTTCCCCAACTAGATAGTGAATTTCTTAAAGTTAGGAAACATGGTGTCTTTTTCCTTTTTTTTTTTTTGGATCATAAAACCATACTGTCTTAAACATCATATATGCTGAAAAAATGTTAATTTTTAATTATTATTTTAAATTTCACTTATATTTCATTTAAATGTATGTATTCAAAAGTACATGTAGTACAGGTTATAAATTTGTCGTGTTTCTCCTTTTTCTTCTTGAATGTATTTTTCTCATCTTAAATTCATTTCAAAACTATATCTTATAATAAATGTAACATTTTCTCTTTTCTATTTTCTCCAAGCATGTTACAAATCTTCTCAAATTGATGTCATATGTTATTTACTATACACTTTTTATATATGCTCAGGTATGTGTGAGATGCCTGTAAAATAGATTATTATGTGGAATTTTTATCTTAGAATTTTCATATACTTTGCCTGAATGAACACTTAGGTGTACTTTTTAAATGTCAACATTGATTCATATTTTGACTTACGTGTAAATGTATCTAAAAATGAAACACAAAATTTGACAAAGACATACAACCGTCTTTTGACAGAACCACTGCACTTTCACAGCACAACTTACACATACATTTTTAAACATTAAATTCTAGTTGTAGGCTTTTTACTTCTGGCCATGTTGAAGTAACTAATACTGGACTTGCTCTCTTGCTGTTAAAGGAAAAACAAACACTATAAAATTGGATGAAATAAAAGAGACTGCTCTTTTCAGAGAGTAGACAACAGCTAGAGCTGGACTGTGATCTCAGAGAAAACAAAAAAGATTGGATTGATTCCTACATTCACCCTGATCTCACCCCGATGACAGTCCCCTTATTTTTTTCTGGACCATAATGCAGTATAGCAGAACCCAAGCAGAGAAGAGAAGACAAAAATCCCAATTTGGGGAGATTGAGACAGTAGGAATTTGCAGGTAGATTACAGGAA
Organism: Homo sapiens; assembly: GCF_000001405.40. Lineage (NCBI taxonomy): Eukaryota > Metazoa > Chordata > Mammalia > Primates > Hominidae > Homo > Homo sapiens. The sequence goes on from NC_000009.12 coordinate 13,071,003, forward strand.
AGAGAGAAACTATGCAGAAAATATCTCTGGAAATCTGAAATGGATTCCTTTTCAGTCTGTTCCTGAATATTAAATTTCAAATTGAAGAGTGCCCGGAGCTCATACAGAGCCAGGAGACAATGTTACAATTGCCAGAGTACAGAGTCCTTGTTAAAAACCCAGGGTATTCAGTATTGACCCTAAAAAATTATGTCTTTGTAATAGGGTTAAATCAGCTACAGAGTAAAAGCTACTCAAGAAGAACTTAATAATATTTAAAAGCAAAACTCTAAAAACTGACGTGTAAGTTACTTAACTAAGTGCCAGAACCAAGTTCACCACTTTTAAAGACAACAAAAACGGCCAGGCGTGGTGGCTCATGTCTGTAATCCCAGCATTTTGGGAGGCCGAGGCGAGCAGGTCACCTGAGGTCAGGAAGTCAAGACCAGCTTGGCCAACATGGTGAAACCCTGTCTCTACTAAAAATACAAAAAATTAGCTGGGCGTGGTGGCGAATGCCTGTACTCCCAGCTACTCGGGAGGCTGAGACAGGAGAATCGCTTGAATCTGGGAGGTGGAGGTTGCAGTGAGCTGAGATCGTGCCATTGCACTCCAGCCTGGGCAAAAAGAATGAAACTCCATCTCAAAAAAATAAATATGTAAATAAAAATAAAGACAACAAAAGTAAATATTTACCATGTGTAAAAAGTATATATTTTGAATATTTAGAGATAGAAACCACGATGTTGAGATGTTCAGTACGCAATAAAAAATTACTAAGGATTCAATGAAGCAAGACATTGCAGCCATTATCTAGGAAGAAAAAAAAATCAGTCACTAGAAACAGATCCAGAAATGAAAATGGTGGTAGAATTAGCAAAGTCTTTAAGTTATTACATATTCACTCAATATCTTTTAAAAATTAAACGTCACAAAGAAAGAAATGTGAGACATAAAAAATGGTATTTGTAGAGCCAAAAAATATAACATCTGAAATTTAAAAAAAATTAGACATGGTTAATGACAGATAATGCAGAGGAAAAGACCACTAAAATTAAAGACATAGAAACTGAACAAACTACAATACAGAGAAAAAAAAGAAAAAAAAATACAGAGAGTCAGTGACCTATGGTCCAATATTAAGCAATCTAATGTTTGTATAGTTGGAGTTCCAGAAAAAGAAAAAAAAACAGTGAGTGTGGGTGATTAAAAATATTTCAATAATAATGTTCAATTTTTCCAAATTTGATGAAATCTATAAGCTTAACACATACTGCACAGTTTAAGTTCAAAGAAAACCATAATCTACTTGCTAAAAAAGTCATAAAGAGAAATTCTTAAATGCAGCTAGAGAAAAAAATGGATACACTACATATTGGACAATAAAGAGGGGAATAATTTTAGACTTCTTGACAGAAATTATGCAAAGCAGATGTATTAGTTTGCTAGGGCTGCCATAACCAAGTACCACAGATTGGGTGGCTAAAAAATAGAAATTTATTTCCTCATAGTTCTGGAGGCTAAAAATTATTCAGAAAGTTTTTCTCCCTAGTTTGTAATGACCATTGTATTAGGGTTTTACAGAGAAAGAGAACCAATAGGATATACTACATATGTATGTTATGACACATATTAATTGCATGTATAATATATTATGAATGTCGTATGTAGTGTGTATTCAATGTACATATCCTTCATTATATATTTTCTTCATTATATAAAAATGAGGAATTGGCTCATGCATGCTGGAGACTCAGGAAAGCCGATGTTGTTATTCAGTCCCAGTGAAAAAGTCTGGGAACCGGGAGAGCTGATGATGTAAACACAAGTTCAAGGGCAGCAGAAGATGAGATGAAATGTCCCAGCTCAAGCAGTGAGGCAGGAAAATGGGGAGAATTTCTCTTCTCCCACCTTTTGTTTTAATCAGGCCTTCAGCAGATTAACCAATACCCAACCACATTGGAGAGGGCAATCTGCTTTACTGAGTCCACCAATTCAAATGCTAATCTTATCTGGAAGTACACTCAGAGACACACCCCAAAACAATGTTTAGTCTGGGCATCCCATATCCCACTGAAGTTGACACATACAATTAACCATCATAGCCATATTCTTCCAGTATCTTCACATGGTCTTCTTTCTGTATCTGTATTCTCTTCTGTTTCCTCTTCTTGTAATGATGTCAGTCATACTGGATTAGGGCCCACGCATATGACTTCGTTTCACCTTACTTAGGTAAGGACATATCTCCAAACACAGTTGCATTCTGAGCTATTGGGGGCTAAGACATCAACATATGAATTTTGGGAGGAAACAATTCAGCCCGTAACACCAAATAACAATGAAAAGGCATATTTGAAATGATAAATGAAAACAAAAACTTTTTAATCTCTATTTGTAAAACCAGTAAAAACATCATTAAAAATAAAGGGGAAAAAGTGTTTTTATACAAACACAACCTAAGAGAATTCATTACCAGCAGGCCTGTACTACAGGAAGTTCTTCAAGTGTAAAGAAAATAAAACCAGATGGAAATTCAGATCCACAAAATTAAGGACATTTGCTTCTGGCAAAGATGGAGTGACAGACTAGATTTCTTCTCCCACATGAAATAACAAAAAATGGACAAAATATACAAAACACAGATTTGCAGGACACTGTACATAAAGTAACAAACGATAATAACCTTGAGATGGGAAACAAAGGAGATGTGCCACACAATTCCTTCAGCTTACTGCTTTCAGAGAGTCTCCAGGCTGCAAGGCAGGGAGGGCAAACTCACATAGAGCACAGCGGACTCGCTGAGTTGAGCGGATGGAGGTGAGAGTCTAGCGAGACCAAGGTGGCTAGAATTTGCAGAACAGAGAACCTGAGAAGAGAAAATTACACAGGGAGCGAACTCTGGCGTCTACTGAGAGTTTCCCTCACGTATTTAGTTCAGTACTAATGAGTGTACATGTGTGAGAAAACTACTTGAGATTGTGAAAAAAAAAATTACACAAAAGAATGAAGGTATTAATGTCTGGTAATCATGGGAAGAGTTTCTATTCCCACAAGCCATATGAAAGCCCTCATGATTCCTGGGGAATTGGGTAAAGTGCACAAAAAGAATAATTAGCTTTACACGGAGCACTGTTCCTATACCACCTAGCAAATCTTCAAAAGCAAGACCTGAAGGGATTTTACTTGGAAGTAACTTATTGTGTCCCAGACAGAACTCAAAAGTAATTATAAAAATGTTTCTAAAAATCATCAAGCAGCCGGGCGTGGTGGTGGGCGCCTGTAATCCCAGTTTCCTGGGAGGCTGAGGCAGAGAACTGCTTGAACCTGGGTGGCAGAGGTTGCAGTGAGCCAAGATCACACCACTGCACTCCAGCCTGGGTGACAGAGTGAGACTCCTTCCCTCCCCTCCAAAAAAAAAAAAAAAAATCATCCAGCACCTCACAAGGTAAAATTCAGTGTTTGATATCCAGCTAAAATTAGTAGGCACACAAAAAGGAAGGAAAATGGCCAGGCATGGTGGGTGACACCTATAATCCCAGCATTTGCCCTTTAGGAGGCCACAGAGGGATCACTTGAGGTCAAGAGTCCAAGACCAGCCCAAGCAACATAGCAAGACCCCATCTCTACAAAAAATAAAATAAAACTTAGCCAGGTGTGGTGATGCACGCCTGTAATTCTAGCTATTCAGGGAGCTGAGAGAGGAGGATCACTTGAGAGCCCAGGAGTTCAACGTTATAGTGAGCTATAATCATGCCACTGCACTCTAGTCTAGGCTACAGAGTGAGACCCCTGTCTAAAAAATAGGTGGGGGGTGGGGCAGAAGAACATAAGCCATAATGAGGAGATTAATAATCAGTAGAAACAACTCAGAACTGACACAGAAAAGAGAGAATTTTAAAATATTAAAATAACATTAGTAAGGTGAGGGGTATACACCTGTTATCAATAACCTAGGTGAAGCCCAAAGGAGAGGAAAGGGAGGGCAGGGGAGAACAAATACTTGAACAAGAAAGAACCAAAGCATTATTAAACTTTGATTAAAACTATAAATGTACAGATCTAGGAACCCCTAGGTAAAGAAACATAAAAAGAAATTTGCTCAATACCAGTGGTAAAGAAAAAATTTTAGAAGCAGGAGGATAAAAAAAGACACATTATATATACAGGAACAAAAATAAAGATGCTAGCAGATATCTCATCAGAAACCAGGCAAGTGAGAAAATAGTGGAATAACATCTTCAGAGTATTGGAAGAAAAAAAATCTGCCAACTTAGAATTCTATACCCAATACACATACCTTTCAAGAATGAAGGCAAAATAAGCGTTTTTTAAGATTTACAAAAGTTGAAAGAATTAATTATAAGCAAACCCACATTACAAGAAATGTGAAAGGAAGTTCTTTAAACAGGAGGTAAATGACAAGAGAAAGAAATATAGATCTACAGAAATAATAAATAGTAATGGAAATTATAACTATATGGGTAAATATGTGAGATTTATTTCTCATTATTTAAGTCCAAATTGACAGCTTAACAAAAATAGTTACAATATACTATTGTGGAGCTTATAGCATATGTGAAAGTGTTTGACAATGTTAGCAGAAAGATCAGGAGGAGAGAATTGGAAGTATACTATTGTACAATTTTTATACTGAAAATAGAGAGGTATAATATCATTTCAAAATAGAGTATGATAAGTTAAAGATGAATACTATACATTGCTGAAATGAAAAATAAAGAATTATAATGAATACATAATAAAGTAGCTGCTATGGTCTGAATATTTATACGCCATACCCTCAAATTCCTATGTGGGCACCTAATCTCCAGTGCAATAGTATTAAGAAGTGAGGCCTTTAGAAGGTGATTAGATCATGTTGACTCTTTGATCTTAGACTTCCGAGCCCCAGACCTCTGAAATATAAATTTCCATTGTTTATAAATTACTCAGTCTAAGATATTTTGTTATAGCAGCCTGAATGGACTAAGAAATAAAATATAATAATAAGAAATATTTAACCAATGCAAAGAAGGCATAAGCAAAATAAAAGTGAACAAAGACCAGATGGGACAAATAGAAAAACAAAAATTAAGGCAATAGAAAGCAAGATCATATATTTGAAACAAACCATATAATAACTATATTAAATATAAATGTTCCAAATACCCCAATTAAAAAGAAGGAATTGTCAGATTTGATATAAAACTAAGATCGAATTATATGCTGCCTACAGGAAATTTACCTTAAATAAAAAGGCACAATTGGATTAAACTTATGAAAAAAGGTGCAATGCTAGTACTAATCAAAACGATATGGAGTGGCTGTATTAATATAGACATAGTAGATTTCAGAGCACAGATTATTACCAGGGATTAAGCGTTTCATTTAATAATTTTAAAGGGGTTAAATCTTTAGGAGGACCTAGCAATCTTAAATGTTCATGTACTAATAATACAACTTCAAAATACATGAAGTAAAAACTGATCGAAATATGGAGAAAAAATAGACAAATCCAAAGGTTCAGAAAGAGATTACATGTTCCTCCTAAAAATTAACAGAATATGTAAACAAAACATCGGTAAAGACACACACTATTTGAACACCAACCAACTTGACCTGACATTTTTAAACCATTTCACCCAACAAGAATGTAATGTACATTAATTTCAACTACACTCAGAACATTTACCAAGATAGATTGATTATACTCTGGGCCATAAAGCAAGCTTACAAAATTTAAAAGGATTTGAATTATACAAAGTACAGTCATATAACATTTGGCAACAGGGATACATTCTGAGAAATGCATCATTAGGTGATTTCATTATGTAAATATCATAAAGTATACTTAACACAAACCCAGGTAGTATAGCCTACTACATACCTTAGCTATATGGTGGTGTAATCTATTGCTCCTACACTAAAAACCTGTACAACATGATACTGTGCTGATTACTGTAAGCAATGGTAATTCAATGGTAAGTATTTGTGTATGTAAATATAACTAAACACAGAAAAGGTACAATAAAAATGTGGTATAAGACAGTGGTCCCCAACATTTTTGGCACCAGGGATCAGTTTCACAAAAGACAATTTTGCCATGGACCAGGCTAGAGGGGATGGTTTGGGGATGATTCAAGCACATGACATTTATTGTGCACTTTATTTCTATTATTATTACGCTATAATATATAATGAAATGATTATTCAACTCACCATAATGTAGAATCAGTGGGAACCCTGCAATTGTTTTCCTGCAACTAGAAACTAGATGATCCCATTTGGGGGTGATAGGAGACAGTGATAGATCATCAGGCATTGGATTCTCATAAGGAGCGTGCAACCTAGATTTCTTGCATGCACAGTTTATAATAGGGTTTGCACTGCTATGAGAATCTCATGCCACCACTGATCTGACAGGAGGTGGAGCTCAGGCGGTAATTCTCATTCACCTGCCGCTCACCTGCCACTTACCTACTGCTGTGTGGCCCACTTCCTAACAGACCACGGACTGGTACCATGGGGGTTGGGGACCCCTGCTATAAAAGATAAAAAATGGTAAACACGTATCAGGCATTCACCACGAACAGAGCTTGCAGGACTGGAAGTTGCTTTGGGTGAGTCAGTGGGTGAGTGACGAGTGAATGTGAAGGCCTAGAACATCACTGTACACTACTGTAGACTTTATAAACACCGTAAAATTAGGGTATCCTAAATTTATAAAAAATATTTCTTTCTTCAATAATAAATGAACCTTAGCTTACCAAAACTTTTTTACTTCATAAACTTCTGAATGTTTAGCTTTTTGACTCTTTTGTAACAGCATACAGCTTAAAACACAAACACATTGTATAGCTTTACAAAAGTATTTTTTCTTTCTTTTTGCCTTTATTCTATAAGTGTTGGTCTATTTTTAATTTTTTTTGTTTTTTACTTTTTAGGTTTTTTGTTAAAAATGAAGACACAAACATACACATTTGCCTAGGCCTACACAGGGTCAAGATCATAAATATCACTGCCTTCCATCTCCACATCTTGTCCTACAGAAGGTCTTCATGGTCAATAACACACATGGAGTTGTCATTTCTTATGATAATGCCTTCTTCTGGAATCCTCCTGAAGAATCTGCCTGAGGCCATTTTATAAACAGTTTTTTTTAAATAAGTGGAATGAGTATACTCCAAAATAATGATAAAATACAGTATAATAAATACATAAACCACTAAAAATTAGTTAGTATCACTATCAAGTATTATGTACTCTACATAATTGTATTGCTATACTGTTATGCAACTGGTAGTGCAGTAGCTATGTTTACATCAGTATCACTACAAACAAATGAGTAATGCATTGCACTATGATGTAATGACAATAGCTATGATGTCACTGGGTGGCAGGAATTTTTCAGCTCCATTTTCTTATGGGATCACTATCATACATGTGGCCCATCTTTGAATGAAACATTGTCGTGCAGTGCATGACTCTATGTACCCTCACCACATCAGAATTCAATTGGAAATTAATAATAGAATGATCTATGAAAATTTTTCAAATATTTTGAAACTATACACCCCTAAATAACACATTGGCAAATAAGAAAGCAAATGTAAACTGGAAATTATTTTGAACTAAAAAAAAGAAGAAAGTACAACATATCGAAATGTATGGAATAATGCTAAAGAAGTACTTAGGGAACAATGTACAGCAAAATAAAATGCCTATATTAGAAAAGAACAAAATTTCAAATCAATGACCTCAGTTTCTACCTTTAAAAAGTAGGACAATAAGGGGGCTTTAAAACCAGGTTGAATAGAAGAAAAATACAATAAGGATTATGACATAAATTAATTTCAAAAAATAAAAATGTTATAAAATCAATAAAACTTGGCTGAGCACGGTGGCTCACACCTGTAATCCCAGCACTTTGGGAGGCTGAGGCAGGTGGATCACAAGGTCAGGAGATCGAGACCATCCTGGCCAACACAGTGAAACCCTGTCTCTGCTAAAATAAAAAAAAATTAGCCGGGCATGGTGGCGAGCACCTGTAATCCCAGCTACTCGGGAGGCAGAGGCAGGGGAATTGCTTGAACCCAGGAGGTGGAGGTTTCAGTGAGCTGAGATTGCACCACTACACTCCAGCCTGGTGACAGAGAGAGACTCCAAAAATTAAATAAATAAAAATAAAACTCAAAGCTGTTTTTTTCAAAAATATCAATAAAATTGATAAACCTTTAGGCAGACATACTAAGAAAAAAAGAGAGAAGATGTTATCAATTTTAGGAATAAGGAGAAGGATATTCCTACAGATTCTATAGATACTAAAAGGATAAGTTTAATTATGAACTTCATGTCAATAAATTTGACAACTTAAATGAAATACAGAATTTCTTTGAAAGATTTAAGTGACCAAAGCTAACATAAGAAGACATGAACAACCTGAATAACACCATGTCTATTATATAAAGTGGATTCATAGTTCAAAACCTTTCTACAAAGAAAACCCCAGGCCCAGATGGCTTCACTGATAAATTCTACCAAACATATAAAGAAAAAATAACACCAATTCTGTATAAACTCTTTCAGATTTAAAAGAATAATCCTCACTCTATTTTATGAGGACCATATTACATTGATATCAAAACCCTACAAAAACATTTATAAAAGAAAACTATAGGCCAGACACAGTGTCTCATGCCTATAATCCCAGCAGTTTGGGAGGCTGAGACAGGAGGATTGCTTGAGCTCAGGAGTTTGAGACCAGCCTGGGCAAAATAGTGAGACCTCATCTCTGCAAAAAAATAAAAATAAAAAAAAAATTAGCCAGGCATGATGGCACATGCCTGTGGTCCCAGCTACTTGGGAGGCTTAGGTGGGAGGATCACTTGAACCCAGAAGGTTGAAAGGTTGAGGCTGCTGTGAGCTGTGATTGTGCCACTGCACTCCAGGCTGGGCTACAAAGTAAGCATCTGTCAAAAAATGAAAGAAAAAGAAGAAAGGAGGAAAGAAAGAAAGATAGATGAAAGAAAGAAAGAAAGAAAGAAAGAAAGAAAGAAAGAAAGAAAGAAAGAAAGAAGGAAGGAAGGAAGGAAGGAAGGAAGGAAGGAAGGAAAACTATAGACAGATATTGCTCATGAACATAGATGGAAATGTCATAAACAAAATGTTAGTAAGTTGAACAATATATAAAAAGCACAATACTTTATAACTGAGTCAGTTTTACTCCAGGATATGTTTGGTTAAACATTTGAAATCAATTAAGGTGCTTCACCATATTAATAAACTTAAAAAATAATAAGCTCAATAGGTACAGAAAAGGCACTGCACAAAATCCAAGGCACCTGATAAATACTATCAGCCCACTAGGAAAAGAAGGGAACTTCCTCACTTGATAAGGAATAGAAACAAAAAGCCTACAGCTGATTTCATACTAGACAGTGAAAAACTAAACACTTTGGAACAAGGCAAAGATATAAGCTCTCATAAATTGAATATTATATCGGAGGTTCCAGCTAGTGAAATACACTGTGGGAAAAAAAGATTAAAATTATCCAAATTAGAAAGAAAAAATAAAACTACCTTTATTATTGTCTATATAGAAAATCTAATGAATCTATAAAAATGCTACTAGAATTAATACGTATTTAATAAGTTTGCAGGATACAAGACCAATATACAAAATCAATTGTATTTTTACATTCCAGCAACAACCAGAAATTGAAATTAGAAAATAATACCAATTACAGTAGTATAACAATATATTAAAAACCTAGGAGAAATAAATCTCACAAAAGATGCAAAGGACTATACTCTGAAAGCTACAAAAGATTACTTGGAGAAATTAAAGTCACCTAAATAAAAAAGACTTTACTCATGGGTCAAAAGACTTAATATTGTTAAGATGTCACTTTATCCCAAATTGATTTATACATTCAACATAATTACATTCAAAATTCTCAAAGGCTTATTTTGAAAAAAATTTGAAAATGGATTATAAAACTTAAATATAAATGAAATGGGCCTAGAGTAGCCAAAAGTACTTCGAAAATTCAGACCAAATTTGGAAGACTAATGTTACTGTATTTCAAGGTTTATTTAAATCTAGAATAATCAAAACAGGGTGATATTAGCATCGAAAAAAGTCAATAGAATAGAAATACCTGTACACATATACGGACAATTGATTTTCCACAAAGGCAAAGGCAATGCAGTAAGGATAGTCTTTTCAACAAGCAATGCTAGCATGATTGAATATCCAAATGCCAAAAATGAACTTAGATATAGACCTCAACCTTATATAAAAAGTAACTCAAAATGAATCATAGACCAAAATGTAAGACTTAAAACTATTAAATATTTAGAAGAAAAGATAGAAGAACATATTTGTAACTTTGAAGTAGGTGAAGATTTTTTAGATACACAGCAAATGCATGATCCATAAAATAACAAATTAATATTGTCTTTATCAAAATTAAAACCTCTGCTCTTTGAAAGACACTGATAGTAAAATGGAGAGAAAACCACAGATTAGCAGGAAAAATAAAGGACCTGTATCCAGAATGTATATAAATACACACACAAAAACAACAACAACAGAAAAACAACCAAGCCAATTTTTTAAAAAATGGGCAAAAGAGATTTGGACAGATGCTTCATCCAAGAAGATATACAAATTGTAAATAAAAACATGAAAGTTGCCCAACATCATTATTCATTCAGGAAATGCTAATTAAAATTGTAATGTAAAAACCACTGTACACCTATTAGAATGACTAAAATTAAAAAGACTGGCCATACCAAGTGTTGGTGAGGATATCCACAAACTGAAATTCTCATACTTTGATACACTTTTTTGTAAAATCAAATATATGCTTTCCTTATGACCCAGTAATTCTATGCCTAGGTTTTACCTAAGAGCAATGAAAGTGTTATATCAACAAAAAAACTTTTTTTTTTTTTGAGACGGAGTCTCGCTCTGTTGCCCAGGCTGGAGTGCAGTGGCGCAAACTCGGCTCACTGCAAGCTCCGCCTCCTGGGTTCACACCATTCTCCCGCCTCAGCCTCCCGAGTAGCTGGGACTACAGGTGCCCACCACCACGCCCGGCTAATTTTTTGTATTTTTAGTAGAGACGGGGTTTCACCGTGTTCGCCAGGATGGTCTCGATCTCCTGACCTCGTGATCCGCCCGCCTCGGCCTCCCAAAGTGCTGGGATTACAGGCGTGAGCCACCGCGCCCGGCCTACACGAAAACTTTTTTATGAGTCTGTTTAGCATCTTTATTTATAATAGCTGAAAATTTGAAATATATGTTCATCTTACAGGTATGAATAAACAAATCGTGGATACAACAACAACGGAATACTACTCGGGAATGAACCATTAATACATAGAACAACACAGATGACCTCAAAAACACGCTGAGCAGAAGAAGCCATACAAAAAGAATACTTACTGTGATTTTATTAATATGCAATTCTAATAAAGAAAAACTAATCTGTAGTGACAGAAAACAGGTCAGTGGCTGTCTGTGAACAGGAGTGGCGACTGGGAGAGGGGAACTTGACTGAGAAGGACACAATATCCCCAACTTTTGGGGATATTGGAAATGATTGATGTATAGATTTGTCGAAGTATTTTAAAATCTACACTTAAATCTGGTACATTTTATTGAATATAAATTGTGCCTTATTCAAGGTGATATTTAAAAAAATCGTAGCTATAGATGGCTAACTTCACAATACATCCTAGCCATAATACCTATTCAGAGAGATCTACATCATTTTCTATACTTAATGTAGCTCAGATTTGTCTTTTACTTCAAAAACAAGAGATTTAATGCGTATCAAAGGAAGAAAAAAAACTTTCTAAAGATGTGCCAGCTTCCTTTCAAAACAATCATTTATATAACTGAGATGAAAATGTAACCATCCTATTTCAGCATTCAGTCTTTTCAGCTGAAGCAGATAAAGATCTGGGTTGCTGAAACTTGTTTTGCTGCTCTATAAAATAGCTGCAGTATCATTGACACTTAATAGGCATGAATCATGGCACAACCTTTCTGTTTAAAGGCTGCATGCGGCACAACAGTTGCATTCTAAACTCTAACTATGGGGTTGAGGAAACCTTTAATTTGACCTGTCTTTAAAATTCTGATTTAGTCCAGTTTATACCACCTCCCCCCACTCCCTTGGGATGCAACTACAACTACAATTCTGGTAAAAACAAGAGTGACTATCAAGTCAAAAGGCATGGCTTGGATTATCACTCTGTCCCTTTATATATTGTGTGAATTTGGACCAACTATTTAAATATATTATCTTTATTTTCCTTATCTGTAAAATGGAGATTGTTGTTCCCATCACATGAGCGTTTTGAGTACCCTGTTCCATAATGTGTATGGGAGAATCAAGTCATTCTATGCCCTTAGTAAATAATGATTGAATAGAAAATCAGAGCTTGTGCAAAAAAACTAACATGTTGGAGGCCACCCAGAAATAATGCTACAAGTAAGAGAGGATGACTGGTATGACACTATGCAAACTAGAAGAGAGTTAATTGGCTGTTATTCTCCAGGGCAGGCTGGCCTTCAAATATGACAGAGGAAATCTTGGCAGAGTAGTGCAAGATGGAACGATAGTTGAACTGGATTAAACATTGGGTTAACCAAGGCTGTCTTCTTTCTGGTTTAACATATTCAAGTATCTCCTTTAAGCATAATCTTATCCACAGAGAAGAAGAAAAGAATCCCCCTCACAGACTTCTCCCCTGCCGTCTCAAAAATAACCTTCCTTGGTAAAAGTTGCCAAATGAAAATATATTTTCCAAATCGGGCAATATTCGTGAGATAAGAAGGAGTTCTGACAGGTTTCCACTTTGGGAAAAGACACTTTACAACTGCAGGTCTTCATACCTGAAATGCCAATGACTACTTTGAGGTCTAAAGATTTCTCTTCTGCTCTAAAAAGAAAATGCAACATATTTGAGGTTAACTTTGAACATCAAAGTATTTTTTAAGAAAGAAGTGTCAGAATCCACTATGGCTGTCTCCCAAGAAGTCCTTTTTTTAAAACATTATTACTGGATTGCTTTGGATTGTGGCACACTGTCTCCTTAAGAACATATCCTTGTAGTTCCCTAAGAAAAGTCAATGTATATCGAACCACTGCATGAGTAATAGTAGACTTACTCACCAAGGAGAAAGTTGAACAGAGCCAGAACCAATTTTGTCTGAAAAGTTCCTATTACAAAGCCTTTCAGGAAGCTGCTTGTCAAGCCTCAGGCCACATCTAGAATTAAATCCCTTGCAAATCTAAAAAGTGAGTTTGTGCAAACAGGACAGAGTATCAAAATTACTTGTGGGAGTTACAAAAGGATATGTTGGTGACAGCATTAGAGCTTTTGTAGAAAAGCCAGCACCTAAGCCACTAATTGTCAGCATTGTCTCTGAGACACTGCAGTTTGCTTTCACTAATCTCAGTTTGTTTAAAGATTCCCCAGGGCAATAATTTAGTTCAGTGTACAGGCATATTTTGTTTTATTCTTCTTCACTTTATTGAACATTACAGATACTGAATTTTTTACAAATTAAAGTTTTGTGACAACCCTGTATTAGTGCCATTTTCAAACAGCATGTGCTTACTGCATGTCTCTGTGTTACATTTTGACAATTCTTGCATTATTTCACACTTTAAAAAATTATTATAATATTTGTTTTGGTGTTCTGTAATCAGTGATCTTTGATGTCACAATTGTAATTGTTTTATGGCACCACAAACTGTGCCCATATGAGACAGCAAACTTAATCCATAAATGTTGTATGTGTTCTGACTGCTCCACTGATCAGCTGTTTCTCCATCTCGCTCCCTCTTCTCAGGCTGTTCCATCCCTTGAGACAACACTATTGAAATTAGGCCAAATAGGAACCCTACAATGGCCTCTAAGTGTTCAAGTGAAAAGAAGAGTTGTGTGTCTCTCACTTTAAATAAAAAGCTAGACAGGAGAGGTGGCACATCCTGTAGTCCCAGCTACTCAGAAGGCTGAGGCAGGAGGATCACTGGAGACCATGAGTCCAAGGCTGCAGTGTGCTATGATTGCGCCCGTGAACAGCCACTGCATGCCAGCTTGGGAAACATAGTGAGACCTTGTCTTTAAAAAGAAATTAAAATAAAAACAAATATAAATTAAAAAATCAAAAGCTAGAAATGATTAGGCTGAGTGAGGAAGGCATGTTGATAACTAAGACAGGCCAAAAGCTTAGTCTCTTGCACCAGTTAGCCAAGTTGTGAATGCAAAGAAAAAGTTCTTGAAGGAAATTAAAATTGTTACTCCAGTGAACATGAATGGTAAGAGAGCTAACCAGCTTTATTGCTGATATGGAGAAAGTTGTAGTGTTTTGGATAGAAGATCAAACCATTCCATTAAGCCAAAGCCTAATCCGGAGCAAGACCCTAACTCTTCAATTCTGTGAAGGCTGAGACAGATGAGGAAGCGTAAGAAGAAAAATTAGAAGCTAGCAGAAGTTAGTTCGTGAGGTTTAAGGAAAGAATCCATCTCCATAACATAAAAGGGCAAGGTGAAGCAGGAAGTGCTGATGTAGAAGCTGCAGCAAATTATCCAGAAGCTCTGAGATCATTGATGAAAGTGACTACACTAAACCACAGATTTTTAATGTAGATGGAACAGCTTTATCTTAGAAGAAGAGGCCTTCAAGGACTTTCACTAGAGAAAAGTCAATGCCTGGCTTCAAAGCTTCAAAGGACAGGCTGATTTTGTTCATAGGGGCTAATGCAGCCAGTGACTTTTAAGTTGAACTCAATGCTCATTTACCATTCCAAGAATCCTACGGCTCTTATGAATTATACTAAATCTATTCTGCCTGTGCTCCATCAATGAAACAACAAAGTCTGAATGACAGCACATCTGTTTATAGCATGGTTTACTGAATATTTTAGGCCCACTGTTGAGACCTGCTCCAAAAAAAAGTTTCTTTTCAAAATATTATTGCTCAGTGACAAGGCACTTGGTCACCCAAGAGCTCTGATGGAGATGTACAAGGAGATGTTGTTTGTTTTCATGCCTGCTGACACAATAATCATTCTGTAGCCCATGGATCAAAGGGTGATTTTGACTTTCAAGTCTTATTGAAAAAAAAAAATACATTTGTAAGGCTATAGTTGCCATAGATAGTGATTTCTTTCTTCTTCTTCTTCCTTTTATTTTTTTTTGAGATGGAGTCTCGCACTGTCACCAGGGCTGGAGTGCAGTGGTGCGATCTCGGCTCACTGCAACCTCTGCCTCCCAGGTTCAAGCGAGTCTCCTGCCTCAGCCTCCCAAGAAGCTGGGATTACAGGCACACACAGATGGTGATTTCCCTAATGGATCTGGGAAAAGTAAATAGAAAACCTTCTGGAAAGGATTCACCATTCTTGATGCCCTTAAGAACATCTGTGCTTCATGGAAGAAAGTCAAAATATGACCATTTGGAGTTTCTTCCAAACTCCAATTTCTTTTGGAAGATGTTGATTTCAAAAGTTCAAGACTTCAGTGGAGGAAGTCACTGCAGATGTGGTGGGAATAGTGAGAAAACTAGAATTAGAAGTGAAGCCTGAAGATGGGACTGAATTGTTGCAATCTCATGATAAAGCTTGAATGGATGAGGATTGCTTCTTATGGATGAGCAAAGAAAGCAGTTTCTTGAGATGGAATCCACTCCTGGTGAAGATACTGTGAACATTGTTAAAATGACAACAAGTTATTTAGAACATTATGTACACTTAGTTGATAAAGCAGTGGCAGAGTTAGAGAAGATTGACTCCAATCCTGAAAGAAGTTCTACTGTGGCTAAAATGCTATCCAACAGTATCACATGCTACAGAGAAGTCTTTCATGAAAGGAATAGTCAAATTAACAAGGCAAACTTCATTGTTGTCTTAAGAAATTGACACAGCCATCCCAGGCTTCAGAAACCACCACCCTGATCAGTCAGCAGCCATCAGTATTGAAGCAAGACCTTCCACCAGAAAAAGATTAGAACTCACTCAATGCTCAAATGATTGTTAGCATTTTTTAGCAATTGCATATTTTAAAATTAAGGTATATACATGTTTTAGACACAATGCTCTTGCACACTCAGTAGACTACAGCATAATGTAAAGGTAACTTATATGTACTGGGAAACCAAAAACATTCACGTGATTCACTTTATTGCAATATTCCCTTTATTGTTGTTGTCCAGAACCAAACCTGCAACATCTCTGAGGTATGCCTGTCATTGAAAAAAAAATAAGTATGTGTCAGGCAGGACTTTTGTCAGGACAGTGGAGATCTTACAAAAAAATAGCCAAATACCATAAGAGTGTTAAACTTAATTTATCTTAGACTTAGCAACACTATTTATTAATTTAGAGATTTTTAGCCCCTATCAGGCAGGGATAAGTGTACCTAGCATAGTTTTTGGAATTTGGATATGCTCAATGGATGTTCATGTTGTTCAAAAATTGAGAATCTACTCTATGCACAGCACTGTTATTGCGAATAGATAGTCTTTCAAAAATATAGGTTAAGGCCTAACAATGTCTAATTGAGTTTTCTAAGGAAATCTCATTATGAGGCCTCATAGTTCTTCAAGATGTCTCCAGAGCATTCCATTCTTCAGTAAGTAAAAGTAGCATTTCTATATTTATAGAAAAAATTAATTCTGAGTGTTTCAAGGCCAAAGATACCAGCTAAGGTTACTTTTTATTCTTCAGGGGAAAATTTATGCACAAAATGCTGAAGGCTGCAGTGACAGTCACTGAGTTGGAAACGGAAACTTGAAAACTGATTTTACTTTCTTTCTTTCTTTCTTTTTTTTCTTTGAGACAGAGTCTCGCTCAGTCGCCCAGCCTGGAGTGCAGTGGCTCGATCTCCGCTCACTGCAAGATCCGCTTCCTGGGTTCACGCCATTCTCCTGCCTCAGCCTCCCGAGTAGCTGGGACTACAGGGGCCCGCCACCATGCCCAGCTAATTTTTTTTTGTATTTTTTTAGTAGAGACGGGGTTTCACCGTGTTAGCCAGGATGGTCGCGATCTCCTGACCTCGTGATCCGCCTGCCTCGGCCTCCCAAAGTGCTGGCGTGAGCCACCGCGCCCGGCCTGATTTTACTTTTATCAGTGAAGTATTACAACATAACTTTATTGAATAAAACACAAAATAAGCACTCTCAAAATCCATTTAAACTTACATCAAAAAAAAAATTCAACCAAATATTTCATTTACCCAGAAATAAAAACTTTATGTTAGAGGACAGAAAGAAAAAGAAAATCGGGGGAAAAATGTATTTAAAAAGGTCATTATTCTCTTCGAAATTCCAGCAATGATACTAAATAGTAATATCAATGAAAAGCCAGGCTTCTAAGAAGTGTTGAGTACTTCCTGTAGCTATTATTTTACGTTCTTCATATAGAATTCTTTTTTTTGTTGTTTTGTTCTGAATACAAAGAGCCTGGCTTTTTCACTTTTATATTTTCCCACCTTAAGTTGGATTTTTACAAATGGAGGCATTCCTTAAGAGTTGACTTAAGAATTCATTGATTTAGTGCTTGATGTTAATTTTTTCAATAACCACTAAAGCCTGTGCGATACCCTTCTTTTTGCCCAAAACATGTACTTTAAAAAACAGCTAATTTTCATGGAAGCAAAAAGAATATAACCACATCCTCAAATCTGGAAAAAGTTGTATCTTACTTTCTACTTTTGTACAAGTTTCTGAGAAAATGTAATGCTCCAGTACTTTGGAAGTAAAAGTACTGGAACTTTTACTTTTTCTGAAAAGTTCTTAGAGCTACTCAGAAGAAATGAGAAAGATGCGGTATCAGGGGGAGGACAGGGTGGGAGCTGGAGGGGCGGGTTGAGCGCGGGGAGGGTAACGGATAAAGGAGAACAAAGCAGAAGTAGCATGGACTCTACTGCCCTCTAGTGTTTGGATTCCAGAAGAAGATTAAGGTGTTTCCTGGCTTTCATGTGTTCTCTTGTGGGTTTATTTTTCCCTGGAGAATTTTAACCAAATGGGAAGGTGTTCAACCAAGTGACAACATTGCCTGAAGTATCAGGAACAGCCACGTTTACTTCATCAGTCATAATGATCATCGGATTTTTTCTCTGTTTACTCAGGTCAATGAGGAAAACACATCAAACACAGAACCAGCACTTTAAAAGTATTGCTGGAAAGATTCTTTTCCCCCCCAATAATTTAAAAGCAGAGTTTTTAATCGTCTGCACATTTCCCCCAATCTCTTGCATTTCTTGTGAGCATCTAGTTCCCTTTTAACACCTTGAAAAGCCCCAGAAGTCTGAGAAAGCTGGCCCGGTGGTGTCACTGTTGCACTGTGCGTGCACAGATGAGCACTGGTTGTTGAAATCTAAATGGCTGATGCTCCTGGGGTGTTCCACATGTTTTAATGTGGGTGT
The DNA here is from genome assembly GCF_000001405.40 of Homo sapiens. Classification (NCBI taxonomy): domain Eukaryota; kingdom Metazoa; phylum Chordata; class Mammalia; order Primates; family Hominidae; genus Homo; species Homo sapiens. Next base: position 13,089,429 of record NC_000009.12, read on the forward strand.
AAGCTATTTCATCTGCTACACTTACTTCTCTAAAACGTGTAGGGTAATCCTTACTTTTTTATTACTAAAATTTCCTTATAAATGGAACTTGCATCTTCTTATAAAAACATTTTAATGATGTTCATCACTAATCTAAATTTATCCATTTGCAATGCACTTCCATTTACTGAATGTGCTTTATAACCATATATATGCCAATTGACTATACAATGTACACATGCTTTTCTAAGTGCACAAAATATTAAATTATCCACAAAATGGCTCTGCCTGGTAACTTGATATTACAATCACTATTATACAAACATAAACATTTAATCAAGCTTGTATAGAGAATTGTATCAACAGTAAACACAATTGTAATCAAAATATCTTTTATGTTTAGTCTTGTTTCTATGTAGTTGTCACAAGATTTAGTAGCTGGCACAATAATAAACTGATATGGTAATTTGCCTGATATTGCTATGGGGAGAACAGATAAAACTTAACTGAGCTCCAAATCACAGATATGATGTAATAATCAGTGAACTTTAATACTTGCTAAGCAAATTGTTCATCCACACTTTCCTACTCTGTTAAGGAAAGAGTTGAAGCTGAAAAATATTTCAGGTAGCTTCTTGCTAGAAATTTGTATACATTAGAATATATATATATTCTAATGGTTTAATGTCTGAACTATATATGTATTCTAATATATATTCTCTCTATATATATTCTAATGGTTTAATGTCGGAACTTTCAGAGTACAGCTCAATAAATTAATGGTAATAATTTGCTACTATTCATTCATCTCCTTTCACCAACTTCAAATGTACAAGATTAATGCTTGTTTAATTTCCTTCAATTAAGCTAACATGATAAGCTACTTTTATAAATTATTTAAGTATTGGATTCTTGAAAAAAACCAACATTTTCAAATACTTGTCTTAAATTAAAAGTCACTTATTATCAGAAAACCTGAGTTTTAGTCCCAGTTTCACCATAGATTATTGGTAACATTAAAGATGGCTCATCTATAAAATTAGGGGGTTGTATTAAATTCTTCAGTAATATAAATTTTTAAATTGTATTGAAAATCAAAACTTCTTAAGCCTATTAAGGAGTTTGGAATGATAGCATTCTTGGCTCGAAGTATATATAATCAATGTTTTGGTCAAATTTAACAAGCTAGAAAGATAACAGGTAATTGGAATATAAAAATACACCCATGTACAAGAACTTAATGAGTAAGAACAGCCAACTTAGAAACATATTTGACCATGAGAGGACTGGCTTGTACTTTACACTCTAACCTTCCAATATCAACTAAATTATTTCGTTGTAACTTAGTGGATTTGCCAAAAGCTGACCCAATATTTCCCTCTCCAGCTCCATGCTTCCTGCATGTTGGACAATACACAGAGGTTTTTCTTTTCACCACTCGAAACTCAGTTAACTCCTCAAAAATAATAAACACATCCTCTTGACCCTTTCTTGCTTTCAACTCCTGTCCAGTTTCCGTAGGAAAAATATACTATACAACATGCTAACTTAAAAAGAAAAAAAAACTATTATAGCCTGCTCTGTGACACATCTGTTACACATTATGGAAGTAAAAAGCCGAAGGAGCCCCAGTCCTTCTGGGGCTAAATAATTCTATCAGTTCAGAGTTGGTGTGGTATAGCTGTGTTTCCCAAAAATGTATTCCTTGGAGCTTGAATCTCTCTCGATATTTTTGTTCCCCAGTGAAGATTTACGATATATTGCTATATTTGACATTCTGATAAGTCTGTCAAAACAAATTTCTTTAACTGTGTTTAAACCAGTGTTCCAACACTTTATTTTTGGAGCATAGATTTTTGTTTTTTAATAAGTAATATAAAACATTTGAAAAATACTGTTCCAGAGATAAAAATTTATGAGCGCAAAAAGAAAGATGAACTCTGATTAATAATAGCTACTATTTTTATATGTTCATTATATTCCAGGTACTTTCGACAAGATACACTTTAACACCTATTAGCTCATTTGACATAAAACTTTCTGAAGGATAAGGAGTCTGAGCTCAGCCTTGAAGAATGAATAAACCAGGAATATGTTGAGGAAAAGGTCATCCCAGAAAACGGTAAGTTTAAACGAAACTATGAGGCCAGTATATGCCAATCTTGTTTGGAAAATGGCAAAATGAATGAAGGAGCTAGAGCTTCTTTAGAACAAAAATGAGGAATTAGACTGGAGCATTAGAAGCTAAGTTGTAGGTGCCTCTAGTACTAAGTAAAATGTGGACTTGTTTTTTCTAAGCAGTGGGGTGCCTAAGACACATTTGAGCCAGGAGTGGCATGATTAAACAACTGGTCTAAGCCAGTTTTGTCAGTGATACATGGAGCGCAAAGAAAATAAAAACCACACATTTGGAAGTAAAATCAGGATGCATAAAAGACCTGTACTTTTCATTTCTAAAGCATCTGAACATGGCCAACAATTTTCTTCAAAATCTTAAGTGTTTTGCTCATCACCCTGCTCTGATTAAGCCTAGCTTTCCTCAAACATTAGCATCTAGCGCGTCACACACACTAGTTTTTCCATGTAACTTCATTTTATCAGAATACATTAGTAGTGCTTAATTGTCTCATTCAACTATAAAATTTTAACCCATGTTGGGAGTTAAATATTTGGGAGTGATAGAACCCATCTGATAAAGCACTGGAGAGGTGTGGCCAGTGAAACAGGAGGGGACCCATCAGGGAAGAGGGGCAGCTTGGTCAGTGGAAAGCACAGGGCGCCACGGCAAACTGCCCGCCAAATCCAGACAAAGGCTTGGCAAGCAGGAGGGGAAACTCAGATAAAGCCCAGGTGCATTTCATTCAAAGCGTGGGCAGACGATAACAATGACAAATGCAGGGCAGGCGGACCACACTTGAAAATGTAAAGCATGTAGGCCAGGCATGGTGGCTCACACCTGTAATCCCAGCACTTTGGGAGGCAGACGTGGGTGGATCACTTAAAGTCAGGAGTTTGAGACCAGCCTGGCCAACATGGCGAAACCTTGTCTTTACTAAAAATACAAAAATTAGCCGGGCATGGTGGTACACACCTATAATCCCAGCTACTTGGGAGGCTGAGGCAGGAGAATCACTTGAAGCTGGGAGGCGGAGGTTACAGTGAGCCGAGATTGTGCCACTGAATTCGAACCTGGCCAGCAGAGTGAGACTCGATCTCAACAACAACAACAAAAAAAAAGAAAAAAGAAAAAAGAAACTGTAAGGCATGCAGTATGCAGTAATTGGGCACTAGGTGAGAGTTGGTGTTTTGGATATGGAAGGGAGGAAAAATATCTTTTCTTTCTGTCCTTCTATGTTCTCAGCTGGGCTCCCTGTAACAAAATGCAAATAAACAAAGAAATGTCTACACATTTATTTAATATAAGCTCTATGTGACACAACAACTAGATTTGATTATAGTAGGTCTGATGAACAAGGGGAGAGTTACGGGAAACTGTGATAGGACAGAAAGGGGGTATGAGCTAAGAGTAGTAAACTGGGGGAAACTGAGGACGACCTGTTCATTTAGATTCCTCTTGGCGATGCTCTGTCTTTGGAAATAAGGATTCTCATTTCCTCCAGATAAAGGGAGAAAACCTTTCACATGAGGGTCCTGTATGACCTGCTTCAGAGGAAAGTCAGAAAGTCTTCCCCACATTCGCTGTTTCTCAAATGCTTTCAGCTTAAAATATTCAATATGTCAAGGTGCCATACATGGGGTAGCATGTCCTGAACACCATCAGACAGATGTGCCAGCCCTGAAGAGGGAACCCAGAAAGCATGAAGATGACAATCAAGGCAATCAAGGACAAGGACAAGAAAAATAAAAGGTCTAAGTAAAAAAGATATGAAACATGAAAGAGGTGACTCTTTGTTTGATTCAAGGTAAGCCTGGTAGCCAAGACAACCATGCTGACCTGCAGATTGCATGGTGAGAGTAAACTCTTTCCCTTCTTGTCCCTGCTCAGGGCACACATTGAGAAACAGGGCTAGCCCTCTGACAGTGACCACATAAGACTACCTTGGGGAGGGAGGAGCTACTGAACTCTCTTCACAGTTTAGAGGAGGAAGATTCTTCCCTTAACAAAACAGTCTGGATCTAGAGAGCCTAACCATTCGCAAAAACAGTGGTAAAATGTATTCTAAGTTCTCTCCTCAACCACCATACCCTCCGTCCCCAATTCCTGCCAAATAAATGTCTCCACTTGGGAGCTGGAGACATCTTCTGTATAAGGATTTAGATACCCATATGTGGGAAACAGAAGCACCGTGGTTCTTGCTGCCCTGGCTCTTACAGAACTTTCCAACTGGTAATGAACTGTTGCTCCCCTCACTGCAGCTCCTGCATCAGAAATTTTCCCTCCATATCACCAAGGCCATCCAAGTCCTCCAATGCCCCCACTTCGGTTGGGGGACTTACAGGTCACTAGTCCAGTGGGATGGCAGGTTATCCACAGGCAATGGCGTGGGAAAGGGGCAGAGTCAGGGCACTATGGTTCAACTGCAAAGCAGATGGCAACTGGGGATTATCATTCGAGGACAATTTGGCACTCAGTCCTCTCCCCAAGGCTCCTTGGTCCTAACAATGGAGGACTGATTCTTCTCCTCCTTCCCACTTGAAGGTCCCCATGTTCTCACTCCTTCCATTCCTTCTTCCTCACCAGCCCTATTCTGATATAGTTTTGAGGAGTGAAAACACTCTCTGTAAGGCACCCACATGTTTTTTCCTAACATTTTTGCCAGCAGCTACTTTGAGACTTCGCTTAGGTTTCAGTGTGGTCTGCGGGGACAAAAGTGTGGTGGGGGAAAAATGGCCCTTTGATAAAGGGAAAGAGAGAGAGAATATACATGGAAAATAAACACATTTGTACTTCAAAAAAGGATATTTTTTGCTTGCTATTATCTACTTATATGCTGAATCCAGGTAATGGGATGACTTGTCAAGAAAAGCAGTCAGAGTTAATGAACTGTATTTCTTAGGGGACTATTGTGTGCTTCTGTCCATGACAGGTGAGAAGTATATAAAGTTTCTGGGTCATCTGGCGGTCCTGGGTCAGCCTAACATGCCTGGCATGCAGAAGTGGTCATTCCTGTTTGAAGACAGAGGAAAGGAATGGAGCAGTAAAAAAGGGGAAAGAAAAAGTATTGAGGAATGAGCCAGGAGGGGAGGGAAGGTAACTTTAAATCCATTTTTTGAATGTGAAAAATTAGGATGAAACAGAAGTGAAAAGATTTTTAAGGTTAATGGACGTAACAACGAACATTTTGTAAATGAAATGAATGTTTAGACTGCTTTTAGTTATATTTTTTGGTTGCCAGACTGTGCTTCTTTGAATATGGTCTACTTATATTTGTGTTACATATAAATTATGGTGTAACCACTGATCATGCCTTTATGAAAACTAGCCTTAGATTTCAACTTTACAATATAAATGGCATACGTATGAAGGATTTGGAAAGGGCCCATGAGAAAGCGGAAGCGATTGAGAAGGTGATGAGTAAGCCATGGGTAGAAAGGGCTTAATCGTCAGGAAAGTCATGTTTAGCTATGGAAGATGAAAGACTAGGGCATGGGGAAAATAGACTTCTCAGAACTGTCCAACCACTTACCTCCCCATAGACTTTGGCTTCTTCTTTTGTCAAGGAAGGGTTGAAAACATCAAGTCTAGATAAAATTTGGGAAATTCTGAGAATACCTGCGGTTCTTCAGCCTCTCTAGTAAAACAACGGGTTGGAATTTAAGGCTTCCCCTGGTTCTTCCATCAAGTTGCCTCTTCCTTCTTACCTTTGCCTTACTTTCTCAGCTTAGCCTCAGGCCATGGACTTTTTGTCTACTCATCTGAACTGAGGTAATTAATGTTATGATCCTCCTTGAGTAAATGCCATCACTGCCACTTGCTACTTATTTTTATCCAATGCAAAGACTACATCCTTTCATTCCCAGGAATTTAGCTTTTATTTATTTCCCCAAGAGATGTAAGGAATCATTCTACAGTCCTGAGCAAGAGTGAAGATAATCACATAGAGAAAAAGAATATGGGAACTGCAAGGGAACTGCTATGACAGTGTGAATAACATACAAATACCTTTGGTACAGGGAGAGAGTAGTTTGGCGGGGGGGAGAAGGAGAAGTAGGGGAAGATACTACCAAGGATGTCCCTATAGCCATTGGGCTTGTAATCAATTATCTGTTTCTAGAAAACAGTCTCTACAGTGTTCATGCAGGATACAGGTAAAAAAAAATTCTCTAACCAAAGAGCACCCTGGTTATCAAATCATAAATACAATTCATTGTTGTCCTATGTGTTGTTTTTGGTTTATACTTATTTTGATTATACTTCAAGTCAAATCTACACTAGAGAAATATTTAGATATTGGACCAACTTACTTAATAATTTAATTCAGAAAACTCATTTCATCTGGAGTATCTAAAATTTGGCATTACTTCACATCTCCATCTCTAGCCATCTGTTATGATGTCTCTCAAGGGACTTTAAGATGGCTCATAAAGGACAGAGGAAATATTCTTTTTCCTTGCATGACACTAAATGGTACCATTGGACTAAACTATGTTGATTATCACTAATATTACCTAAGGTAAAAGTCAAGTAGATAAACAAGGCCTAAGTACTAATTTCTATGAAGAGTTTTTGTTCGTCCAATAAATGCTGCACCGAGTTTGGAAAGTGGGTTTGATTAAATAAGATATACATCATATAATATTTTCTTTTTTATAATACAGACTATCTTGAGATCAGTTGTGATTGATGGAGAAGAATTCACATTCCAGAAAGATTAAGATCATATTGCTCGCATCCACTTAGATACCATGCACTCTTATGGATACCAGTCACGGGATACCAGTTTTGGTAATGTCTGCAGAAAGCAACAGCAGTTGCTTCATACACTGGAGACCTTGAACATTTTTTTCCCTGGCTTCCTTAGTTTGTGAAAAATATCCATAACTTACCACCATCTCAGTCCCATTTTCCCAAACCGAAAAATTAAAAAAAAAATCTGAAAGAAATGAGAGATAGAAGATGCAAACTAGCATTGGCCTGCATTTGCATTCTTCTTGGTTTCTCTTTTTAATTGTCCAAGTCCTTCCCAAAATGATTCTTTCATTTACTTATAATTATTAACTCATATTTGTTTAGCAGACAGTTATGAAGCTTAGTCATTGTATGCAACATGTAAGATATTACAAATTCTGGCTTTCATCAAAATTAGAATTATAAATTTGCCCCTGCTCTTTTGTTTTCCACTAGACTCTGAAGACGTCCATATTTAACTTTCACATTGAATGGCAGAAATCTCATCAGAATAGACTTGAGGCTAATGATCTTCCCCTTTCCTTTCAATGAACTTTTCTTAGTTCCCTGCCTTCTTCCTTCCTTCCTTCATCCCTGCTTCCCATTTCTGAGCAAAACTCTGGTGTTAATATTGTTTCCAGGATAGTAACAGAGTTCATAATGTAAATACAACAATACACTGGAACCATCTGTTACAAAATGGATATGTCCAAGACACAATGATGATAACAATGGCAGAAAGTTTATGCTAGGGGTTGGTGAGGGCTTGTTCTTTAATGGATCTTAAATATATATGATTTTATATATATATATATATATTTGCAAAATTTAAAATTATATGCCATCTTATATTTTTAGGAAGTTGTGGGATGTATGTTATTCATTAACAAAGTAACATATCACCAGAAAGGTTTCATTTCCAGGGCTACGTAACAGGAAGTAGAATGCTTGTTTAGACAGTATCTTGTCAATATGGTAACTTTTAACCTAAATGTGTAGTTAACCTAGTATACAATAACAATGATCAATGTTTATATAGCACTTTAAAGACGTTCACATCCTTTATATATTTTGACTTTCAAAACCCTGGAAGATATTATCCTCATGAATAAATAGAGAATAAAGAAACAAAATATCGAATTGGGGACTCCAATCCTATTTTTCCCTTTCAAAATTTTTTTAGCAACCAGAGTTTCTAATCTGTCTAGTATTCAGAATTCCTATACATAAAGTTCTATTAACTTTTTCTAGTAACTTTTCTTTTTCATTTGAAAGTTGAAACATAGATAAGCCTCCTAAGTATCATGGGAAGTACATCACATCAAAAAAATATGGTCCATGGTTCACAAAGAAAAAGTTACCAATGATTTTCACACCTCAGAACTTCCCATCACAATTTTGACATGGACACATATATCTTAGCATAGCAAATGATAACTTCCACACAGGTGGCTCCGCACATATATTCTTTTGGATCTCAATTCCTTAATGTTTCAAAGTGATTCTTGGCCCTTCACTGTCTTCCAATATTTGAAATGTATGATTTTTAAAATAAATATTCATAAAACATTTTACTAGCAAGGAGATTGAGACTGGTTTAGCAACTTAACTCATCCAATGTGCAAACCTAAAAATTGGGCTTACGTGTACTAATTGTCTGCTGTCCAGTTCAGAGAGGCATCACTCTTGCATGACACCCATAGAAAAGCATGCTACAGAATCCCAAATAGAAGCTCTATTTTCCCAACCCTAACACAAACCTTCAACAGCATGAGCTTTCAGAGCCAGGTCTTTGTAGACCATGAAGCTTATTTTATGGTCAAATGGGATCATCCCTTGGCAGAAGTCCTCTTTAGAAGCAAACTTCCTTTACTTGACTGTTTAAAATAATGTGAAAACTTAACCATTAGAGGTATATACAATTTCCACCTTACATTTCTCCAATTTATTATCAACCATTTGAGAAATAATAACGAATATGAATGAAAACAAGCATTTTGCCAGCAGTATGATCTCACCAACTTCCTTCTAGAATACTGTTTAGTCTACCAAGCTAAGTTCTTCTTTTTCCCTCCTTTTGAAGAGGGACTGTACATAAAAAGGGCATTAAAGTGGAATCTACTTATCCTAATTAACACAGATGACTGGAGAGGAGGGATTATATGAGTGATGGATATTTTGCAATTTCCCATTATCTTGAAAACTAGATACTTGGCTTATTATACAAGTGCTGGGGTTTTGATTGATAAAACCTCTCACTAGGTTTAAATATCTCCCATCCAAAACATCTCTTATTTAAAATGTTAAGGAGTGGCACATTCACTTCACCAATCAATGAGACCTTGCAGCTCTCAATTCTCCTAGAATCCTTTTTGTTTTTAGCTTCCCTTTCTGGCAGAAATTATGAGGAAATCTCTAGAATAAGAAAGTAGGAAGGCACTTTACAAGTTTATTTTGAAAGTCGGGATACAAATTCATAGTAGTGTTAGAACACTCTTTCAGATGGCCCCCCACAATTCCACTATATGTATCACCACAGCTCTGAAGTTACACTGACTTTCGCAGTGGTAACAATATTTCTAGCATTTATCAGGTGCTATCATATGCAACCACCTCATCTCATTTGATACTAAGAGTGCTGTGAGGAAAAATGTTATTATTTCCATTTTACCAACAAAGCAGGCAGAGGCTCAGAGAAGTCAGTTGCCTGCTAATCAGGAGCCCAGCCAGGTTACGAACTCAGGGCCCTGAGCTCTGAAGGCCCATGCCCTTCACACTACATTTCAGAGAAATCTAGAGTTCCTTCCTTATATGACATTTATCAGCTATGATTTACATTAAATGCAAGAGCAAGACAGGCAAAGTGAAGGATAAAACATTGATAACTTTGCTATATGAATAACTGTAATGTACAGAAAGGAAAAGCTTTAGAAAAAATTAACTACTGTACACCAAAAATAGAAATTCTAAGGCCCCCCAACCATCTGAATGGACTCCTCCTCTCAGCCAAGGGCATTCCAAAGTTAACCTGAATAATGAGTTCAGGCCATGATAAGAAGGGGTAGCCAGACATGCCTTATTATACCCTCCTCCCTTTTGGAATTACTGATAGAACAGATTAGGTCTGACAAGAAACATTTACAATCTATTCTCTCTGAAGCCTGCTACCTAGAAACTTCATCTTTATGAGAAAACCCTGGCCTACACAACCCCTTATCATAAGCCAAACATGCCTTTCTGTTAATAACTCTTTCAACCAGTGGCCAATCACAAAATCTTTGAATTTGCCTATGACTTGGAAGCTCCAGCTTCCACTTGTCCCCCATTTCCAGACCAAACCAACATACATCTTACATGTATTGATTTATATCTCATGTCTCCCTAAAATATATAAAGCCAAACTGTACCCTGACCACCTTGGGCACATGTTCTCAGGATCTCCTGAGGGCTGTGTCATGAGCCATGGTCACTCATATTTGGCTCAGAATAAATCTCAAATATTTTACAGAGTTTGACTCTTTTGATCAACACCATTGAATAGAAGCAATAATAAGCAGACACTTACAAATAAATGTGGTTGACAACTATTACAAATGTAAAGTTTAAATGTGAAACTTTTCTCACAGTACTTTGGGAGGCAAAGGCGGGTGGATTGCTTGAGCCCAGGAGGAGTTCGAGACCAGCCTGGGCAAATGTGAAACCCTGTCTCTACCAAAAAAAAAAAAAAAAAAAAAAAGCAAAAGTTAGCCTGGTGTGGTGGCTTGCACCTGTAGTCCTAGCTAGCTACTCGGGAGGCTGAGGTGTGAGAATTGCATGGGAGGTGCAGGTTGCAGTGAGCCAAGATCACACCACTGCACTTCAGCCTGAGTGAGAATGTGAGACCCTGTCTCACAAACAAAAACAACAAAAACAAATGTACATTTTCTTTCTTAACCCTAGGATTAAACAGTAAAAGATGAGGAAACTGTATGTTCTTTAGGCTAAAAATAAGCCACTTGTTCTTAAAGATCAACCAGCATCCTTTATTACAAACACCTGACACCACTCTCCTATTTTGATGAAAACTCTGAAAAGTAATCATAGTTTACTGGTCCTTTATTTTTAAAAATGTAGGTAATAAATACATGTGTATTTATAAGAAATGTAATAGGAAAGTGTAACAAATATTAGAAATAGGATTTTAAAAATCATTCTGAAGCTAACAGCAGTAGTTGCTGGTTATACTTTTAATTGCATAGGTATCCAAATGCAACAAAATGAAGTTCATGGGAATACATTCCTTAAGTGAAGAGAACTCATAGTAAGGTTTTTAAAGCTCAGTCACGTTTCTGAAATATCTGTAGCAAAATATCTACATTTTTAACTAAAGCAAAATATTTTCTAGAGAAGTTACATCTTAAAGAATTGAACAAGTTTATAAATATCTCAGCAATGATTAACCAATCCGATTTATACGTAAAGAAAGCAAATCAATTTATTTAGAATTCCACTAGTAAATTATTCTCTTTGTGTGCAGTCTGTAAAAATATAAACTTACATTTAAGTACTTCCTTGCTAGTTTGAGAATCATCTTTTTCTAATGGGAATGACAGGCATATATTTTGATATTCACAGAAAGAACAAATCCAACAGTAGTAATAACTTGTTTTAAAAATAAGTATTCAATTATTTCATTTTAACTTATAGAATTGTATTTCTTTCCACTAAAAAATAAGCATGTTAGGCTTTTTGTGGATTGTGTTGCCTTACTCAAACTTTTCTGGAGCCAGTGAATGAACATATTTTATACTCAGTTGAGAGATTTCTATCAGTATACTTAAAGGCAAGCAGGGTGCATAATTAGGTATGCCTGCCATCTGCATAGCCCTCCAGGTGCAAAAGGCATTAGCTTTATTTAATATTATCACAACATTAATTTTACTCCATTAATTTATGTCATTTATCCTTTATTTCAAACTCAGATTTCCAAAACTAAAGCACTGGGTGCGATGACCCAATTCTGATTTTAGTGAAAGTCTTATAAACAAAATCTTAAGCAACCTCCCTAGCTAAGAATATACTTAAGAACAGGAATTGACTGGCTGGCTTTCACATCTTAAAAAAAGGAGTCCTATAAACAAAATGTTCTTGATTTTAGTGTTACTATTTTAGAGTTTTTTCCAAAGAGGAAGCACATCATAAGATCATGATTTCAGGTGGCACTGACAAGGCACCAGGAAATATTAAATCACAGCATTAGAAAGGTATGAAAATGCCATTCAGTTCCTTTAAGCCCAGAAAAGTTTCCATGGAGTTTTTAACACTATTCTAACATTTGTGATTCTCCCTTTCTAACAGAGAGCAGGGTGCAGACCTACAGTTTTGACTCTTGGTAGATAATAGTATCTTGGCAGAATTTTGTTCCTTTGCTTTATGAACTTTTGCTCATAGTCATTTTGTATTTATGGCAAATGATACTGGTTTTCCATTGAAAGTAATGAGATACTATTTCTTTTGAGCAAATTCAACTTAAAATCAGTCTGCTTTAAAGAAAAATGTTTAGTAATTTATAGTACAGTTATAGAAAAACATGGGAAACATCATGAAGGTTGTATGTAAAACAAGTGAAACTTTGGAAAGTTTTGTATAAGTTGATTTGCATCCAACTTCCAAAGAAAAAGACATGATTACACAAATATAAAAATGGAAGGTTATTTAGAGAAAGTACTGAATTTATATGACTCTATGTCTTATAAGTACAACTGCTGCCATCATTCCTTAAAAGCTTATTCTGTGCACAGTATTAGTACTTCACATGCAGTTATCTCATTTAATTTTCCAAAACAAGATAAATCTTTTAAGTTTTGCCGAATGTAATAAAGTACATTTAGGTGAATGAAGTTCAGTGTAGTGGAACCGTGAATGCCAAATATTTTAAGGTAGACTCGGGTCAAAAATCATAATTTCCAGTACATCAATAAGAAAATATGTAAGAAGAAAAATTATGTTTTCCAAGGATAACTGTGTTTGTTTCTGAAAATATGGATGTAAAGAGGAGGAGGGTGAGGGGAGAAAGGATCACAAAATACTCACACTTGACACAACCTTCCAAAAAGTGTCTAAAGTTAAGTGAATAAGTTGAAGTTTCCTCCTAGAAGCAGCCTAAGGCAGTGTTTTGATGGTGTTATCCTTTTGGAAATTTCAAATAACAACTCCAGTGAAGCAATTCTGAGATCCTTACCATACATTTGCCTCCTGCTTGACATAATGCCTTTTAAGGGCCTATTATTGAACTTTCAGTACTTGACTGACAATAACAATTCTTACACAGATAATACCATTTTTGTTCTAAATTACACTGAAATGAATATGGAATACTTGTATTTTGAGGAAAAGGAAAATTCAATGCCAAGCATATAAAAATCACCTTAAGAACATTTGCTTTCCCCAGTTTTCATGCTCTTAGTTAGAACTTTTCTTGACACCAATTTTTTGCCTCTTAAGGTATTGAAGGCCAATCCTGCCTTACAAATAACTCTCTTTAGAAAAGGACAAAGTTAAACATTAATTCCTAGTAGTCAAAGTTGAGAAACATCTTTGCACAAATCAAATGCATTCCAGAATATCTGTCACTGACATGAAACAACACACCAGGGCTGCTGAAAGCAAGTGATGATAGTTTTGACATTCCCACACCTAGACCAAAAAAAAAAAAGCCTATTTATTACTTGTCTCCCTGAACACATCCTTTCAACTTCTCTATTCACCCTGGGATCTCAAGAGGGGCACCAAATCATTGTACGGCATTCTCAGACAATAAACTAGCTGAGCAAATCTAAGGCAGTTTAGTATCATATACCTCAGAGCAGGGAAGAGCTCCTTTTGCTTCTTCCTATCTATCAGAATCTGCTTTGTCAAGATTCATAAAATGGAAAAAAAAAACCCTCTCCTCCTTTATCTTTTTTTTTTTTTCGCGACGGAGTCTCACTCTGTCACCCAGGCTGGAGCACAGTGGCGTGATCTCGGCTCACGGCAAGCTCCACCTCCCGGGTTCACACCATTCTCCTGCCTCAGCCTCCCAAGTAGCTGGGACTACAGGCGCCCGCTACCATGCCCGGCTAATTTTTTTGCATTTTTAGTAGAGACAGGGTTTCACTGTTAGCCGGGATGGTCTTGATCTCCTGACCTCATGATCTGCCTGCCTCAGCCTCCCAAAGTGCTGAGATTACAGGTGTGAGCCACTGTGCCCGGCCCCTTTGTCTTATCTTTAACGAATTTTAATTTTTTTATGCTTCTAACTCCATCACTGTTCTGATATATGAATTTTACTGATTGGCTACATTACCTTGCTATTCCTGCTGCTAATATATGTGTGTGTGTGTGTGTGTGTGTGTGTGTGTGTGTGTGTGTGTGTGTGTGTATATATGAAATACTTTATTACTGTTATTATCCTTTTGGAGTGGTATGAAGAATACCAGAAATCTGTGGTATTTCCAGTTTGATTTAATCAAACGTAATTATATTTATGGAACCTATTATGGGCAATCCACTGTTTTGGGTAGTATGTTGGCATTAACATTGTAATAGTCAAGTCTTTATTTAAACTCTTTGTTCAAGTACTTTCTTCTTTCTTCTTTCACCACAGACAACTACTATATTTCCAGAAAGAAAAAATATAGCAAGCATAAGGCTTCATTACTTATCCCCAGGACTTATGAATCTATATTCTTTTCCTCTCAAACTTTACTTTCCTTCCTCCCTCCCTCCTTCCATTTTCTCTTTAATGTGCTTTGTCTTTGTTAATTAATAGCTACTCACAGAGTTTCTCCTGTTAGCCAGACATAATGACAGTAGCTCAGGACACAAACTTTTTTTTTTTTTTGAGACAAGGTTTTACTCCCATTGCCCACTGGAGTGCAATGGTGCGATCTTGGCTCACTGCAACCGCTGCCTCCCAGACTCAAGTGATTCTCCTGCCTCAGCCTCCCGAGTAGCTGTCTGGCTAGTTGTTTTTTTTTGTTTTTTGTACTTTCTGTAGCGACGGGGTTTTACCATGTTGCTCAGGCTGGTCTCAAAATCCTGAGCTCAAGAGATCAGCTCACCTCGGCCTCTCAAAGTGCTGGAATTACAGGCATGAGCCACCACGTGCAACCAACATTTAAGATACTCTAACAGTTTCCCAGTGCTTAAACAAAGTACCACAAACTGTGGCTTAAAACAACAGAGATTTATTTTCTCACAGTATAGAGGGCAGAAGCCTGAAATCAAGGTGTCAATAAGGCCAACTTCTTTCTGAAGGCCCTAGGGAAAAAACATTCCTTGTCTCTTCCAGCTTTTGAGGGCCCCCTAGGTATTCCTTGGCTTGTTTGTTTTGTTTTGTTTTGCCTCCATCTTCATGGGGCCTTCTTCCCTATGTCTGTGCCTTCACAATACCTACTTACACAGAAACCAGTCCTAGGATAGAGAACACCCTAAATCAGCATGAACTTAACTCATTACATCTGCAAAGACCCCATTTCCAAAGGTCACGTTCTGAGGTTCCAGATGGACATGAATCATGGGAAGACACTATTTAAACTGGGCTGTTCTTGTTGGGGGCACTTAGACATTATGAAACTTGAAGGGGTTGGGTGGCTTTCTCCCATACAGTCTGGTATGGAGCATCCTCTATAAAAATTCTTTGCTAGCTCAAACTCAGATGTGAGGTTAGTTCATCTTCCAGCAGCCTACCATGAAATAATGGCATCTTTCGTTATGGAGAGCCACTAAATGATGGCTAAGAAGGTAGATGTGTCACTGGGATACTAAAATGAGTTTTGTTACATTGAGCGCCTAAATTTACAATGATTGGTTAACAACTTTGAGTTGTTACAATATGCAGTTTCTTCTATTCGTTTTGTGTAACTAAGAATCACGGAATTCTTATATTTTAGAACTAAATAGAACCTTTGTGATAAAATAATCTATCATTTTACAGATAAGATGAATGAGAGGGAAATGCACGTTTGTTAGCTAATTTGGTACAAAACTAGTAGAACAGAGTTCCCCTCATTCCTTGCTCAGTGTTCAAGTTGGACTTGTCATGTTTATTAATACAAATAATTTTGATTATGATTTTGTCCATCTGAATACACTTGAATAGTTCTTGACCACACAAAAGAGCAACTTACAATATTACTGCATTAACAGCATTTGAGAAAAACATATACAGGCAGGATACTTCTCTTTCTACAATGTCATCTTCCTCTCATCTATGAGGAGTCTATGAATCTTTAGTGCTAGAAAAAATTGTGGAGGTAAAAAATATTAAGCTTTCCATAATGATGTTGTCCAAAGTTCCTTTAGCTGTAACTATGGACACCATATGTGCAGTTAGACATGATAAAAACCAATTTTAAGTTGTAAATCTTGAACAGTATATAACAAAGCTTTTCCACAGTAAAAAGAACAAAAAAAATGCTTGCTGCTTATTTGTGCACCACTGAAAATTCTTATTTATTCACTTTAATTCTGCATTTACACAAAAATGCTGTAATAAAATATCTGTACACTACTTCTGTTACAAATATAGATATTTAAAGTGACTTTATATATTCTAATGTAGGAGTTTCACGCTCTAAAATGGGAATGAACACATGATAATTCCTCACCAGTTGTCTCAATAAACAGCTCCATCTGTTTCCCTTAGTCTTAAACTATTGTATTATAAGATGTTAATATAAGTCAATGAAATGAAGTTATGTTAATCCCCTTAATTTTTCTATCAATTTACTAATGGCATACAACCAAAATAATTAGTAACACATTGTTCTCTGTCATTAAGATTAATATGAATTGAAAACCAATTGCACAGCACACTAACACATTTTTAATGTTGCATCGGTTGTTAAAACCAGCACTAAAGATTCTGGAACCCTTCTATGTTCCTCTATGGTTAGCAGCATAGTTGCTTTCTAGAAAAACCATAGTCAACATGGGGTGGCATCATCATTTACTTATAGCAACATGAAAATATTTTACAAAAGGTCAAAAATAAGAATGAAAATTGAAATGTGCATTAAATATAATTTCTTTATAAAATTTAGGGACATTGCTTCATGTATTTGCCATTTACTCAATTGTAGAAACCAATTTTAGCAGGAAAAATATATATGCATATTAGAGGTGGGGAGATGCAATGTTTTTATAATACTGTTGAAAATTTTAAAATACTGACAGTATTTTTAAAGATTTTCATTAGAAAACCTTTTTTTCTTTTTTTAGTTTGGGGTGGGGAGAGGAGGTAGATTGCCAAATTGAGGCATTTTTTTTAAACTCCCCGAGATTTTCTTCTTTATTTTATATTTTCATTTTTCATCCTAATTTACTGAAGCCATTTTCTTTGGTTAGCTTTAGAATTATCTTTCTTTATACTAACCAGCTTAGCATGTAATAATTCTTGCCCATGTGACTACAAAACATTAGATATCTCCACAAATAAAAACGAGATTCACCTACACAAATATTCCTTCTCTTTAAGTTCACAAAATGCAAGAAGAAAAGAAAAATGATGTTAGGTTGTCAGTAAGGAAAGCATTTCTAGATGAGAAAAAGAAACTTAAGTGTTATTTCCCCCCTACAGTTTTGAAGACCCGGCTGAACACAGCATAAAAATTGTCAGGACCAGTGCATTCTCTTTACAGTAGGAGGTGAGCTAGGGGTTGGGTTGGTTCAATTCTGGCAGCCAATTCAAGAGAGAACCATCAAAGTGACAGTGCCTTTTGTCCGTTTAAGGATGGCAACAGCTTCTTCATGGGTGACTCCTTCTAGACTCTGCCCATTGACAGCAATGATCTGATCGCCCCTTTTCAGACGTCCGTCTTCAGAGGCTGCTCCCTGCAAATTATAAAGTAGACTTGTTTATTTCTCAAAAAATGCTGCCTTGCAACTCACAACAGAAAAAGATCTCAACAGGAATGTAAATTGCTCTGCTTGTACACACACACTGCTCCCAGTGCTCCATGGGTGCTCTAAGCCATTAAGCAATGATGAACATAGACAAAGAAGGTCTTTCTCCTAAATGGTTTTAGCATTGAGATACCAATTTGAGAGAGAATTTAGCAGTCGATAGATCAGTTGGATGGGTTTTTGGCTGTTCAGCACAGCAGTTGGTGGGAACACAAATTAATAAAGAATATTTGGGAATTTGCCTAGTAGGAATGATTCAATAGAATCCAGGATTTTCTATCCTGTAAATAAGACCTACAGAAAGAAGGTAAAGGATTAGGTAGGAACAAAAACAGTTTTACAGGACAAGGGCTTGGGGGATGACAAAATCCAAAGGTCTGCAAAAGCACAAAGCCACCTGAACATTCCCTATGGCAGGATAAGGCATAAGTTCTAAATTTAAAACCCACTGCTATTTCTTTTTGTGGTTTTGAAAAAGCTATTCAAGCTGTCTTAGTTCTTACTTCCCAAGGGTAGAGAGATTCTTCATATTCCTTATGGACCCTAAATGATTAAGATTAAATACAGACATTGGTGTTAGAAAAAGAACCCCATCTTAAAGCACGCTTATAGAAGACAATTATGCAATTAAATATAAAATTAAAAATATGGAAAAGTTAATGAGGAATCCATAATGATGAAATTCTTAAAATATGTTCTAACTAGCATGCCTTAAATAAATTGTTCCTAGGCTGAGGAAAAGGACTGTATGACTCTTCTATTCACTAGCAAATGCTGTTTGTATTTTTGGACATACCGATAGCTTTTTTAAAAATCTTATAAATTAAGCCTATAGCTAGCTTGTTGTAGGTACAACACTTTAAATTGGCTAAAAAAAAGATCTTTTCCAAAATAATAAAATAAAATATCCATAAAGAACTATACCACTAATCCAAAGGCCCTGTATCAAATTTTTAAACACGTTTGACTAAGTTTTGTTTCTTTTGACACTGTAAAATTTTGAGATTCTAAATTTTTCCCTGCAGAAAATCTTGTCGAATTTTGTAGCCCCTGAAAAACGACTTAACATATTAACAATAATTACATGGGTTTAAATTATTTTAATAGCTTTACCAGTACTGCAATATCTTTATTCTTATTCTAAACCTTCTTAAGCTAGAATAGGTATTATATAATTATAACTATACAGTCTTTTTAATTGAATCCCTTGATTGCAAATCGCTGACTTATTATAGATGATAGGGCTGCTGGATACTCCCTACATTTTTTCAGTAGTTATTTTTGTTTTATTCAATGAAATTAAATTTATAAAATAAATGCTTATTAATTTTCATGTGTACTTTATGTACTTCTCTATAACTATTTTATATTTCACAACAAAAAAATGCAAACAGAAATACCAGTGCTCTACAGCATACTTATTTAAAATGTCCCATTTTCAAAAGACGATCATGTGCAATTTGTGTTCAAAGAAAAAAAAATAGGCTTTACTAACCAAAGTTCATTAATATTTTTATGTATATTGTTGAGTTTCCATGGAGTTTCAATTTGAGCCTATTTTCCTTTAAATATAATGAAACCTCAAATTGGACAAAAATATTTAATGACCTGTTCCTGTAGGGAGTTTTGAAAAGAAATGATCAACTGTTAACCATTTGGCATTACCTCAGGCCATAAACTAATAAGCCAGCTGCTGACCACTATTAATGAATGTTTAGGGGAAAAGAGGGTGGTTAAAATTTGCAAGCTTACCTTTGCAAACACTGTTTTAACATAAATGGGTAAGTCTCCATGAGGGCTGCCATATCCTCCAACTATACTGAAGCCTAAGCCATCTGGTCCTCGCTCTAGTGTAATAGACTTACATTGAGGAGGTCTACGGTGAAGGAAAGGAAAAAGAGGTTTTAAATTAAAAAAAAAAAACTATACATATATGTTATGAATTATCTGACATCCACCTAGAGCTAGCATAATTCTCTTTGTTACTGACAAGGAGTATATTACGGGTATTTTTGAGATGCTTAAATTGTCAGTGCATGCTGTGCTTGGTATTTTAAATTTACATAATCTAATGAAATCCTACTTAACACCCTAATTCTATTACTCATTTACAGTTCCCTTAAACTAACATATTCATGGCATGTTCTCATTGTACAGAGAAGCTCATTCTTTTTCCAGTTTATTTAAAGTGAGAGGGCTAAAGTTCAGGGGACTATATTAGAATAAGTCATAAACATCAGTACGCCCAAGCTCAGAGAGAAAAATCAATTATAAGCAATGGAAAAGCTGCATCAAATTATTTAAAATTTCTAATGCGCCTCTCTCTTCTCCTCTGTTTTCCAATGCTTTTGTATCCAAGTATTGTTACTTAATACTGTGAATTTTTTCAGTCCAAATGATAATATATTAGATGAATAGGCAGTGCGGGAAATTTTAAAATGATAGATTTGACTTGCTCCATATTACATGAAGTGGTAACATCAAGACTAAAATGTCCTCCGCCCCAAAATCAGAGCTGAAACCATGGGAAGGGTAGTAGCACGCATATCTATCTAGCTAGTTATCTATCTCTACTTATCTTTGATCAGCTAAATCCATGCCACAATTATTTAAGTTTAGAAGCACCTGATATGTATAATTCACACTTCATATATCCTATCATTTTACCTGTACGTAATTCCTAGAAACATGGGACAGAGAACGCAACTGTCAGGAAGACTTGATTCATAAGTGAAAAATGATACACTAATCATCATGTATGAACTCACCCTAAATCATCCTGAAATATACTGCTTGACGTCAGCCCAGTGAAAGAAAGACTGGAACTTGCAGGCTCCTGCTGATGACCTGTGACCACACTCACGTCTCCTCCAGCAACCACCTGCGCACAGGAGGAGGATAAACAGAAAAAACACATGTTCCTGTGGCTAGGGAAAGTAATTTTTCTTCAGAAAGAGCACTTGGATTAAAATGTATATTTTATTGTTCATTTAAACATTTCTGTTAACATAAAATACAACCAAAGAGAATGAAATTTCACAAGGTCCAGAGGCTCTTAACTGTCCTGACAGTAAACATATTCTTCTAATTCTATTCTACAAAGTTCTTTGATGTTTTTAAAATGTGGTCTCATATGTAATTACTTTTTAAAGATCTTTAGAATATAAGCCACTTGCTAGCACCACTTAAAATTCCAGCAAATAATCATGTACTGCTAAGGCCTGGATTTTTTTCCCCTTAAAGTATAAAACAATCAATGCATCAGAGTAAAATGTTACAAAATATGTCTCATATGCACTTTATTGGAACTCTTAATTTAATCATTTATGTTCAAGAGAAATATTAAATAAAATAATAGCAGAAGATTTAATCATTTTTACTGCTTTAACATCAAAGCTCATGTGTCTTCAGGCTACCTATATTCTGAATTATGCTTGGGATAAAAATCTTACCTGCATTTCAATGGAGCCAGATGCATTTTTCAGTAGGTTAACTGCTTGGGTGTGAGTCATGCCCTCAGTGGATGTGCCACAGATGGTGACAATCCTATCCCCAACCTGCAAGGGAGAGAAAGAAACAGCCATCTGCTAAAGCAGCCATGGAGAGTGGGTCTTTGAGACCTAAGTATTCATTTCCTTCTCCACCTTCCACATGACATATATACTGCTACCAGCCACTGAAATATAACCAAGGAAACCACTAATTCCAAGAAGTCCAAAAAGCAGCAACCACAAAAAGAAGCAGTGCATAATGGTTGAGTTCCATATCCAGGGGAGAGGGAGGGAGAAGGAGAAAGTCACTCTTCCCTGCTCTTCATTTCTCTTGGGTGAGACATTACTTCCTATTAAAAGAAAAAAAAATTCACTATCATTTGGAAACTGAAATTTCTCTGGACATTACTATTATAATCATTAGATGTGACTCTAAGTCGGAGGTTGGCAAACTAAGGCCCAGAGGCCAAATTTGGCCCACTGCCTGTTTTGGTTAATAAAGTCTGGTTGGAAGACAGCCATGCTTATTTGGCTGCTTTCACAGCGCAGAGTTGAGTAGTTGCAACAGAGACTCACAGGTCCCACAAAGCCTAAAATATTCAGTATCTGTCCTTCCAGAAGTTTACTGACCCTGTGCTATGTATACAATCAGGTTTTAAGTGTCAGCCATAAATTTGGATATCAAACGAGGCTGAACCATTCCCAGCCTAAAGACTATTTAAACTAAAATGTGGTTATGTTCTGAGACCTATTTGAGGTATGAAACCATAGAGATTTTGCTTTAGAGAGACTGAGTTGCGTTAATGGAATATTCATGTAATTTTTAGAGCTGGGCAGTTGGCATAAATTCCATTGCAATGCTCCACAATTTGGATAATCCCTCAGCTTTGAGGCAAGTTGCATATAGTTTTATAACATTGTAAGTCATATTTATATTAAACTTCTGCAAAATTATCAGTGAATGCAAATAAGTAATACTTTTCAATTTAACAGAGTTAAATCGGCGTTTAAACCAATCAAATATATAAGATAAAAATTTCACTTCATACTGGTGTTCTGAAAATACTTTCTGTTCTCTTTTAGCTTGTTCCACAGAATTTCAACATATAAAAATATGTATTAGGAAACAACTATAAATCTTCCTATTTAACTGCAAATCTGCATTTTCTCCTTTCTTTTAATATTCTTTATCTTTTATTCCAAGCAAGCCTTGCTGTGGTTGGATTAGATGATTTAAAAGTAAATATAGATATTTAAAACTGCCTTGCAACAGGTAGCCAGGTTCAAAGGTTTATAAAAACACTTCTGCACATTTTGCTAGGGCTTCTAGGGTTGATAGTACGACTCACTCTGAGTTTTTGGGTCTGTGCTGCAACTCCAGTTGGGTGCATCATTGCAATAAATATAGGCACATCACCAAGTGGGCTGCCTACTCCTCCAGCGATGCTGATTCCCAGTGAGTCAGTAGGGCCCTGCCATGGAACAGATATAAAATTTTGGTCAAAGTGATATTTTTCATTGACCTTTTGTTTATTCTTTGGCATGATATCTATAGTCAACTCTGATTTTCTAAGTGTGAGGGGGAAAATGAAGAAGTGCAAGAAAACTGCATTACTTTACTTGACACAGGTGCTTAGCGTGGCTTAGGAAAATAAGCATCTGTTCAGGAAGTAA
This sequence comes from Homo sapiens, assembly GCF_000001405.40. Classification (NCBI taxonomy): domain Eukaryota; kingdom Metazoa; phylum Chordata; class Mammalia; order Primates; family Hominidae; genus Homo; species Homo sapiens. Next base: position 13,112,349 of record NC_000009.12, read on the forward strand.
AATAAATCAAGACATGCTAAATGAAAATCATGTTGTGGAACTGATGAAAAGCAGGTAAACTCATGAAGTGAAAAGACCACACTTTTGGAATCAGAGTCCTGTGTTCAAAGCCACGAAGTCATACTTGCAAATGCTGGAACTTGGAATAAGTCCACTCCACTCAATAAATCATTAGATCTTCATTTACAAAATGGAGACAACAGTGCCTCTCACAGAGGGCTGCAGTGAATATTAAATGACATGATGATGACATGAAGTGTCTATAAGAGTGCTCAGAACAATAGTAAAAGCTCAATAAATCACAGCTGCTTTTACTTTGTCTCTTGTGCATGGCTGTCAAGGGAATCTGTTTCAGAACTAATAAGTATCTGTTGAAGAGAAAGGTTTACTTATAAGAAGTGAGAGGCATGGTATTATTTTGTGTGGGGTCAATTTTATGCTATTTTCAGCAAAACAGAGCATGCAAACAACGATTTTTCAAATGAGGTGCTGTGATCAGGAAATTCATTAAGGACTACATTATGTTATTTCACATGTAATATGTAAGAATACATACTTTTTGAGATGAATACTTTAAAACCGTAAGAAAGTTAACAAGAAAACACATATGAAGATGTCTCTTAAAACGCCAGGGTTTATATTGTTTTCTCTCCCCAAGTTACCTTTTTCATTTCGACTGTTCTTAATCCCTGTATTTCAGATGCCACTGTAAAGGCAAAAAAGATAAAATAGGGTTATTTTATGTTCATTCACTTTTTATGTTCGTTAAAATATCTAAAGCTGGATGGGACTAAATGATAACCTAGGTTTCTTTTTTTAAGGGGGTGCTCAAAGCTGCTAGTACACATGATTAGATCTGTCTTACACAGAACTATTTATTTTTCCAGTTGGAAAAACGTGTATACCATCCCATTCTTCCTTCTCATTTTAAGTGTTGATTATATAACTATGTAATCCACTTTGAATGAGTCAAGGGCAGAATGTGTTTTGCATAGAAAGGCACATGTGCACGGCTGAGAGGAATAAAGTCATGGATGCATTAAAAAAATTCACAAATTTAAGTGCCTAAATTTCTAGAATATTAGTCATACTGCAAACAGAGATTGCCATATTGTTAGTTTCTTCAATTTGAACAACTCTCAACCAATGCACCAAGCCAAAAATCCCTCTGCAGCATGATTTCACGTAATTAAAACACAGGAGGATCACATTAATTTTCTCAAATTTTTGCAATCTTCATGGAAAAAGAAGGCTTCACTTAATGGCATCTTCTGATTTACTGGTGTTACATTAAACACAGAAAAGGAATAAAATCAAAAACACCAATCTGCTTAGTAAGAAAAAAAAATTACAGAATCCTGATTATAATGTTTAGTGTATCTTGTAGGGTAAACATCAAATGGGAAAAGCTGCCATAGGCAGAACTTCATGTTGTTCAGACTTTTTGCTAACACGTGTTTTTGTACCTATATTTGGATATGGGATGATTTGGGGGAAAAGAAAGCTCAGAGGTAAACAAGACAAAAAAATCAGTGTTGACAGCCAAATTCAAACCATGTTTAAAATACTGAACCAATCTTACATGCATTCTTCTTTGAGCTACTTTCCAGTGACTCAGATGTACTGGATCCAGAGAGTGGAAAAGTGAAAGATGACAGGCTGCCTTCACTCACCTACAAATATACAACAATTATTTCAGAAGGTTTTGCAAGTAACATACTCCCTAAATACCACTTATTTCAGAATTTAATCTAGAGACAGATACCTGTTAAGCAACAGTGGCATTTGATAATTTGATGAGCAATTTAAACACAGTTCCTACTGATTTTTTTTCTTTTAAACAGAGAATGTGTCTAGTGACATAAATAAATTGAAGCTAAAAGGGTAGATGAAATTGATTCCAATCTACCTAAAATTTTAGTGGATAGTCATAATCTCATTCAAACTAATCTTCTTTAAATTTAAACTGATGTTGTAGGAAGACTAGGACTTAAACAAAAACTGTAGAATTAGGGCCAGCTAATAGGAAACTCATGGTAGTAATTTAGAAAGTTAGTATGGGGTCTTTAAGGACAGACTGATGAAAATGGGTTTCCATCATCAGTAGACAACACTGAGGAGAAGGTCAAGAGGTCTTGTCAAGAGTCTTGAAATATTTAACATCATATTTTTATACATGGTGCTGAGTATCTATAGTTCACTTATATGGGACTTTTCAGTTGAATATTGATTGATGTTGCTATAAAATATTTTTAAAATATGTTATCTTGGGGCCAGGTACGGTGGCTCATGCCTGTAATCCCAACACTTTGGGAGGCTGAGGCGGGTGGATCACGAGGTCAGGCGTTTGAGACCAGCCTGGCTGACATGGCGAAACCCCATCTCTAATAAAAATACAAAAATTAGCCAGGCATGGTGGTGCACGCCTGTAGTCCCAGCTACTCGGGAAGTAGAGACAGAAGAATCTACTTCGCCCGGGAGGCGAAGGTTGCAGTGAGCTGAGATTGTGCCACTGCACTCCAGCCTGGGTGACAGAGCGAGACTCTGTCTCAAAATAAATAAATAAATAAATAAAATAAATAAAATAATAAAAAATTTGTTATCTTGGTAGGCTTTACAATTAGGTAGTTACCTTTTGAGATTATGGAAAATGAATCATGTCAAAAAAGAATGCTTGAAATCAATTTCCTTAGAATGACTTACAAACTACTCAACAGCCACACCTTGTTTACCTGGCTATTCTGATTCCTTGTTCTTCTCTGTCTCAAACTCTGCACCTCAGTCACTATCCCACGCTGCCAGGGGACCAGACCTTGTACACAGACCCACAGTCAGGGCCATCTATGTGTCCTCTTGGCATGCCGATTGCATCGCCCTGATGAACTCCACAGCTACCCACCTGGCTGCTTTGAGATGGCCTCCTCTCTGAATGGAATGGACCAGCTTTGATTCTTCCAACTTCCAAGGTTACTGTGCCTAGGGAACACTGGGGGTGGGCATGGGGGGTGTTTTATGGAAATGTTTAAATAAAATGCTATAATCATCTTTAGGAATACATTTTACTCTTCAAGACTTTTTTGAAAGGCATCTTCCTTTTGGAATTTCTATAAGCAAGGATACCTCCAATCCCTTGTGGAAAATGGCTTTTTATAAAACATTCAAACTAATAAAAATAATCAGCAGCAGCAACACCAAGTGTTTACCTTATCACCTCATGATTTCTATGGAGACTACTTGTACCAAAAAGAAATGGAGAATTGAGCAATTATCTCATGAAACACACTAATTTTGATAGGACAAACAAGCTGAATAACTGAGGGTTTAAAAAACAAAGCGACTGTAATCCCACCACTTTGGGAGGCCGAGGCGGGTGGATCACGAGGTCAGGAGATCAAGACCATCCTGGCTAACATGGTGAAACCCTGTCTCTACTAAAAATACAAAAAAATAGCTGGGCGTGGTGGCAGGCGCCTGTAGTCCCAGCTACTCAGGAGGCTGAGGCAGAAGAATGGCGTGAACCTGGGAGGCGGAGCTTGCAGTGAGCCAAGATCATGCCACTGCACTCCACCTGGGTGACAGAGCGAGACTTGAGACTCCACCTCAAAAAAAAAAAAAAAAAAAAAAAGCGAACACAATAAAACCACCACTACCACCACCTCAGCAACTTGTTTTGCCCTCAGTGGAAGAGGTACTTAGATAATTGGGTAAATTCTCTATCACTACACTGTGCCTGAATAGACTTATGATATAAAATTTAGATAAATACTGCTATCAACACAAAACATGAACTGAAGACAATCTTTCTTGCACCCCTTTACAAATAAACCATAGGCATGCAAGAAATGCCGCACAGTCTAATATGAAGTAGCACAAGAAGGTGTTTGAGATCCTGTTTTGGAGTCACTGGATTAAATCCAGACTATGTGATTTATTAGCTGTGTGACTGTAATGGATGTTTAACCTTAATAAATCTTTTACTCTGAATTTTAAAAATGTACATCATTATAGGTTGTTGAGATAAATAAACCATGAACAATGCTTATGACAGTGTCTAGAATGGAGTAAGATTAATATAAATATTGGGCACTGATATTATTATTCAGTGATGAGAGTACAAAGGGATGTGTTATTCTGAAGATGTTGATCATGAATCATACTCTGAAAGGTCAAAACTTGACTTGTAATATCCATAAGTTGGTTTTTTTATTTGTTTGGTTTGGGGTTTCTTACCAAACTCTTCTTGAAACTATTTATATTTTCAGTTTACATAACTGTAAGGTTAACAAGTCCATACGTTATTCACTGTGTAATGTTGCGACCCTTTCACCTACCTGTAACACTTCTCTTTCAAATATCAAGGGTTTTGATTATTTAAAAAAGTGTTAATTTTTCCAATACAAAAGTGATTTACGCCCAGTAAAAAGAAAATTTTGGAAATAAAATGAAAAAAGATGGGGGAAGAAAAGGACCCATAAGTCCAACAATTACCTCATAATTATTGTTTAAAAAACTTATAAGATTGTATTTTACATAGTTGCATCTATGCGGTAAATACAATCCTCTGTCTTATATTCCCCACTAATTACAGTAGTCCCCCTTTATTATAGGGGGGAATATGTTCTAAGACCCCCCGCCAGTGGATGCCTGACACTATGGATAGTGCTGAACTCTATATATACTATGTTTTTTCCTATATATAAGGTTTAATTTATAAACATAAAATAAGGTTTAATTTATAAATTAGACATAAGAGGATAATAAAATAGAACAATTATAACAATGTGCTGTAATAAAAGTTATATGAATGTGATCTCTCTCTCCTTCTAAAAATACCTTATTTTACTATACTCTGGGCAACTGAAACCACAGGAAGAGAAACTGCAGATTAGGAGCGACTACTGTATATATTTTATCATGTTAAAATAGTTGTCATGACACTTTGGGAGGCCGAGATGGGTGGATCACGAAGTCAGGAGATTGAGACCATCCTGGGTAACACAGTGAAACCCTGCCTCTACCAAAAATACAAAAAATTAGCTGGGCGTGGTGGCAGGCGCCTGTAGTCCCAGCTACTCAGGAGGCTGAGGCAGGAGAATGGCGTGAACCCGGGAGGCGGAGCTTGCAGTGAGCCGAGATCACACCACTGCACTCCAGCCTGGGCAACAGAGCGGGACTCCGTCTCAAAAAAAAAAAAAAGGTGTCATGAACATCCTTTCAAACAAATACATGTTTGCCATGCATCCTTGCTATTTATACCAAAGTTTATATAGTTTTTGTCAACCACATTGCTTCCAATTTTCCCACTATTACAAATAACACTTCAATGAACTCTATGTGCATGAGGAACTTTACGTGCATGAAGTTGTGTATAGAGGATTATTTACATAAGAGTTTTAAATGAACAATTACTAATAAAACAAAAATAAGCAGCCCCAACAACAAACATGTAAGTTATACAAATATTTATGGTGTTCATTATATACTTTCAGATTAGCTTTTTTTTTTTTTTTTTTGAGATGGAGTTTCACTCTTATTGCCCAGGTTGGACTGCAATGATGCGATCTCGGCTTACTGCAACCTCTGCCTCCCGGGTTCAGGCGATTCTCCTGCCTCAGCCTCCTGAGTAGCTGGGATTACAGGCATGCGCTACCACACCTGGCTAATTTTGTATTTTTAGTAGAGACGGGGTTTCTCCAGGTTGGTCAAGCTGGTCTCGAACTCCCGACGTCAGGTGATCCACCCGCCTCAGCCTCCCAAAGTGTTGGGATTACAGGCATGAGCCACCACACCTGGTGAGACTAGATTTTTAAATGACTGGTTTAAAAATTATTTACATTGTTTTATGGATGCTTCCATTTTTTCTTTCTTTAGGATATATAATTCTTACAGAGATAACAATTGTTTTTAATGTGTCTCCAAAAAGAATGTATTCCTCCTTAAAGAATTCTAATTACATTATGTTTTAAAGATTGAGAAACCTAATGAGAAGTGACGAATGTTAACTTTGCTTTAATAACCAAATTTATAAACACATTCATATGCCAGATCTTATATAAACCTGAGAGGTGAGTAACAAGCACCTACTTGAAAATCCCTCCAGGAAGCCCAGCCACTCAGAGGCTCCCCTTAGCGTATTAGACCTCCAACAGCTCTACTGCTGCTGAGCACTGTCATGCAGGCTTATGTTAATTGCTACCCTTGACATGGGTACTGATGATGACAGTTTTCTAGTCAATGTTGAATTATATTTCTTCAGGTCATAAAACACACTAGGTTAAAAAAACAAAACAAGGAGATAAGCATTGCCTATTTACAGGAATGCAAATCCCCTCTAGAAACTGGAATATTCCCTGACAGAGAATATGCCTAGAGTCCCAGGAATTATATTGTCAAATGACTTTTCTGTGCTTTACAATTAATTCATTTTTAAAATGAAACTGGTTCTGCCTTTCCAATCAGAAAATGATCCTTCATGGTGAGTTTGCTTTGGAGGAAACCAATTTTATGATGTAAAATGTACTTGAGTTTAGAATGATATCTAGGGATGGAGGCCTTATAATTACGATAATCCCCAGTGAAGGTACTGCTGAGTGAATCTGCATTAAATTACCTTCGTTGCATAAGGATGACAGATCTGCTTCTGATTTTAAATGTCAACTTCAAATAGTTCAACAGTTTTGAGTCAGAATAGTATTTTGATCAAACTTTCCCTTCTATGGAACATAAATGATAAAATCTTTTCATTTTAAAAGATTTGAGATGACTTTTTATTTATTTTTTTGAGACAGGGTTTCTGTCACCTAAGCTGGAATTCAGTGGTGTGACCCCAGACTCATGCGATCCTCCCACCTCAGCCTTCTGAGTAGCTGGGACTATAGGCACGCACAACCATGCCCAACTAATTTTTATATTTTTTTGTAGAGATGGGATTTTGCCATGTTGCCAAGGCTGGTCTCGAACCCCTAGTCTCAAGTGATCCACCTGCCATGGCCTCCCAAAATGCTGGGATTATAGGCGTGAGCCATTGCACCTGGCCTTGAGGTGACACTTTAAATAAAGAGAAGTCATTACTAATTTGACTATGATAGCCCAATGTTAAAATTATCTTTTTTCTTCTACGCTATTACACAGAATTATTTTTTGCATTTTTTACCTTTAGCAAAGCGGCAACCGCTTCTTGGGTGGCATTACGAACGTCTTCCCCATTCACCATTAATATCTGGTCTCCCTGCATCAGTCTTCCATCGGCATCTGCAATTCCTCCTTTGACAATGTCTGACACAAATACTCCAGTATCGTTTCTACACACAATTTTGAATTTCAACATTATCTTTTGCTCAACTGTAATGCAATGCTTATTTAATAAAAAGTTACGTTTTTACCCAAAATTTTTACTTGTTTTTATGACTTTAAAAGTTTTGTTATTTGGAGCAACACTGGGGCAACATTAGAATTATATTTTTTGATAAATAACAGCTTATGTCTTACAGTGCTTCATAGATTAAAATGATCTCCAATAAGCATATTTATTCTTCATCATTTATATACACTGAGTAGAAGCGTGTATTACCATTCTCATTTTATGGGTCACTCGGCTACTAAGTGGCAAAAGTAAGACTTAAGAGTCAGTCCTTGGATGCAAAATCTGCTGTTCTTTCCAAATCAGAATGGAGCTTTGAATAATATTAACTTGTGGTTACATAAATGTTGCTATCACCATCATTAATATTACTGAAAATCATAACAGATGTGTATCTCAAACTAAACACCATTTATTAACTCAAAATCTAAGTACCATTGCTGTGATGTCTTTTATTTGAAATCATTACACATCTTCCACACGAGATAGGTTTATGCAAAATAAACACAAATCTTATTCCCATCCTTTCTTTCACAAAACTATAAAAAAAAAACCCAAAACTTCTAAAGATACGAAGATAACCATAAATAGAAATATATAGTAAAAGCTGAACTGTATCACTTGTTCTTGCCAAGGTCATGACATCAAATCATTTCACCATTTGATCCTCCGCTTTCCCATCTTTAGAAACAGGGTATTGGATTAGACGGTCTTTGTATGGTCTTCCCAAGGCACAGAGTTTAGGGTTCATTAATGGTGGTTTTTATGATGACCTGGTGACCCCACATCCTATAGTAGCCATGTTACCCATGTCATATTTCATGAGAACTAGACTACTGATACTGTATTCCAAAAAAAGTCTATTTTTTAGACATATTCCCACTGACACTCAAATAATATGCTAAATTCTTTCTGTGTTTAAAAATAATTAGCCTTTAGCTGTCTCTGAGAAACAAAATGGTGTAAATGTCCTTTTATTTCCATACAGAAAAGTCGCTGCAGAACCAGGTGTCTATGCTGCTGGTTTGGCAATTCTGAAGAATGCCTATTTCCAAAGAAGGATATTCTGAAATAAAGATCACCATTTCACAGATTTCTGACTCACTGGAAAAAATAAGCTGCTTTGAAATGGTGGCTATCTGAGGCCCAAGAAATGACAAAATAAACTTAGAGACACTGCAGACTGCAGGGGCACTTTTTACTGAATGCTGACTTCACAAGTTTAGCTATCTGGTAGATTCTGAGATCAGATCCAGATGGGCTTATAATACTAAAAGGAAGAAAGATTTATGAAACTTGCTGGATTATTTGTTAATATCACTTATAAATGAGTTTGTTAATATTACTTACATGTAAATACTTTTAAAATGTACTCATATACAAATGAATTAGGTTGTGAATTTTTGCGCATTCACTATTCCATTACCACCCGGGCCCCCTGCTTTAGGCCCTGTTGATGGCACGCTCTTATTCGCTCTGATCCTTCTCCCTACAATATCTTCCACTCTCCTTTAATAAACCAATACTCACTTATCACTTTTAGCCTCAGCTCAGACACCTTTTTTCTTGGAAATTTTCCCTAATTCACTTTAATTAAATAGGGTCACTTGGTCCCTTTCTCCTTTGCTACCATGGGTCCCCCACAAAGCATCTTTGTCACTCATCAATAGATTCCTTTGTTGCAAGAATATATTTAATTCGACGTTCACCAGACGATGAGTTTTTGGAGTTCAGGAACCATGTCTTATTTAACTTTGTTTCTGAAAACTTAACGTATTTCCTAGCACATAGCAGGTGCTCAAAAATACACCAAATGACTTTTTGTTAAGTGCCTTCAAAACCTTCCAATATTCTGATTTTAAAAGTCCAAAACCAATGTCTTTTTATGGTTCCTTAGTGAGGGGGCTAACAACAGCTACCTACTGAACACTAGCCACTGATAAAAGATTCACCTACTGCTATTACTCTTTAAAATGATTTAAGTCCCATCATTTCCAAGGGAGCATTGGGTTTGTCCTCCTCAATCACACCTTTTACCAACAATACTTAATCCTAGGCCTTTTCCCGGCTTCTTCTGCAGCTCAATAGTGAGGGTGTCACACACTTCCTCCTCTTTGTATGGGGCCTCATCTCTGTAGAGTGTCAGGCGCACTCTCTGTGGCGTCTGTCTCAGGACATTGATTGCTTCATCATGTGTGGCCTTTCTCAAGTCAATTCCATTCACCTGTACAGAAATGGGACACTGACTGTAAGGAACATGAGAAGTAAAGGAGAGTTAGGTGGGGAAGGGAAGAGAGAGAAAGAAGCAAAGAAAGAAACACTCCCCCCAGGAGCCTTTTCTCTGTTAATTTTGAAGGTCAAAAACAGGCATTCTATACCTCTAAGATCTGATCTCCAGCCCAGAGTCTTCCATCTTTACATGCTGCTCCTTCTTCATAAACTTCATGGATAATAATGGCACCCTAAGGGCCCAAACAAAACATACCCATACTTATCCCATTCTCCTAGGAATGGTGAGCAGAAATGGAGTCCAAACACATTATACTTTGATAGACAGCAATAAGGGTTATAAACTCTGGCTCTACAGTACAAGCTCCATATAATTCAAGGGAAAGTGTAACAACAATTTTTGCTAAAAGGCTCAAAGGAGCTTATACTTTTTTCCTAATGATAGAGAAGATTAAAGAAAAAAACTATAAAATAAAACATGCATACATAGATGAGAGATAACTTTCTTATCCATAAATGAAATCACTTTTAAGGTATTTTTGACATCTAGAAGACTTTGTCTACAAAGTATCAATTTTTCAAACTCTTTTTTTTTTTTTTTGAGACGTAGTCTCACTCTGTCACCCAGGCTGGAGTGCAGTGGTGCGATCTCAGCTCACTGCAACCTCTGCCTCCCACGTTCAAGAGATTCTCCTGCCTCAACCTCCCAAGTAGCTGGGATTACAGACGCTACCATGCCTAGCTAGTTTTTGTATTTTTAGTAGAGATAGGGTTTTGCCATGTTGAACAGGCTGATCTCAAACTCCTGGCCTCAAGTGATCCACCTGCCTCAGCCTCCTAAAGTGCTGGGATTACAGGCATGAGCCACTGCACCTGGCTCAAACTCCTCTTAAAATGGGTTTAACCCAACCTGGATATCAGCAAAAAGGAAATTAAAATGTAGCAAGGACTGGTGAACTGATAGAAACACTTTGAAATTTCAAGATCAAAATCACCAGTGTAGCAGAATATTGCTGAGTCAATATTTATTGGCTTACTCAAAGGAAACCTCCCCCGTATCCAATTGAATATTTGCCCTATAAATTAAAATAACAAATACAGGTTTTTTCGGCCTTCACATTTCCTTTACTAGAACTGATAGAAATCTCCCCATAATCGTCTCTGAGGCCTGGCTGAAGGACGGCCTGTACAGAAGCACCTCTGGGTGGTGCTCACCAGCAGCGTGTCTGAACCCCCAACGATGCTCAGGCCCAGCCCTGTTCGCCCTTTGGAAATCTCGATGGTTGTTTCGCAGCCAGGGATAATGGGGCAGGTTGCAGGATCAGAAGCAAAAATTGCTGGTGTTGATGATCTGCTTGTATCTAAAAATAAGTTAAAAATGAAATACAAATAAAAATTGGTTACTAAGGCATATCCATCAAACTCATCACACAGATTGACTCTGAGGGATGGGGCAGAGAAATGGGCCCATGACTGTGGGAAAAGAGACTTTGTATTTACCTCAATCTTTTAATTATCTTATATTTAAAAATAAAACAAATGTGATTAAATCACCATTGTTAATTTAGGGTAGTGGGCCAAAAATTACCTATTTAATTATTTTCTATGCTATCCTACATGTTTTAAATTGGTAGAGATATAAAGGAGAGGATATGAAGAAGAGAGAACAGAATTAAATTGAACCTCAAGTTTCACTTTGATATTCTCCATTTCAATGGAGGCAAACACATTTCTTATGAATTAAAAGATTTATAGAACTCATAACTGAGATATGTGGCAAAGACCTAGAAGTACATTCAGGGAATACCACAAAACATATCAATAATTTTGGTTCTGATGCCTGCTTTTCGGGGCTTTTTACATTTTTGTTTTCTTCTTATCCTAGAGCATCTCTTCTTATGTAATCAATTCTGAGCAAAAATGCACCATTTGCAGTTTTCTCCTTGGGTCTCACTTGATGTTTTATACATTCAGATGTCAAATCCTGGTGCATATATGTTCAGAAATGAATAGATAAGAATAGATTATGAGAAAAGGGGAATATAATTTCACACATTATTTTATCAGAGTCTTCATATCATATGTTTTACGATACAACAAAGAGCATACAGCAAATAGCATGTTTTGGGAAAGCTAGGACACTTGGTATAGTAGCGTATGCTTTAGACAAGATGTTCTCTTTTTAGGAAATCAGAAACAGACTATTTTCTTGCTCCTTAAATGGTAAGAACAGGTGTAAGATATTTTCTTTTATGTTAAGTTTTCATCTAGCATTTCATATTTTTATAGACAACACTATTTAGGGATCAACATAAAATTGAAAAATGAGAAAATTTCCATAAAATCTTTTAACACTTCAGTGAATTATCCAGTCTTTCTAAATAAAGGATTATTTTCGGAGATGTATTACTTTAAGACTTTTTCATCCAACTACATTACAAATGATTTAAACTAGTGTTTCCTTAAAAAACTGTTAAAAGAACAGTTTGGAGGCCAAAAGAAATTTCTCCCCTCCACCCCCCGTTACAGAAAAAGCCAATGCCTTATTTTTTTTTGTTTGTTTTGATGCTGCAGAGCTTGAAACTGTTTTATTACACACCAGTGTATTCTTTCTCAAAAAGTAACTCAAAGGAATAATGTACCTCCATATACTAGACTGGAAGTGTAATGACACATTAAAGTGTCACCCTATGGTTCACGTAACCTAAATCCATTTCCATTATGACAGGACCCACTATTACACCTAAAGCATAGAACTCAGATCTGTAGATCATGGCAATGACTAAAGAGTTTCTTACAGTGGCAGGCAGTACTGATCCCACCTATGAAATAGGATAATTGCATATCCATTCTACAGAAAAGAAAGCTGAGGCTTAGAGAAGTTAAATTACTTTCCCAGCTTAAAAAAAGAATCTACGAAATGATATTTCTAATTCATTAGTTAGAGGCCTGGAATCAAGGTGCCCTTAGCAATATATTTTTGGAGAGCAAAGAATACTATTCCCTTGTTTTAGAGATGAAGAAGCTGAGGCTTTGAGTGGGTAGGTTTCCTAAGATGCCACAGCTGCTTAATGTACAGCACATAGATTGCCTGCCTAACAGTCCAGTACTCTTTTTCCAGAAGTCCTCTCTTTATATCCTGCCCTCACCATAGGGCTCCCTGACTACAACCTTCCAAACAGTGAGCCACAGGTAGGCAGCTGGCTCCCAAGCAGAAACCCTCTGCTGAGTTCAGGTGTTCCATATGTGCAGGACTCTCATGAGTCCAGAGGCCTTACTTCGGATGGACTCCGGTTCTGGGGAGCCAGACTGTGGGACCATCAGAGACTGGGAGCTGTTCTTTTTTTCTCCACTGGCTGCACCAGCTGCTGAAGGAACAGCCTGGGAATCTGGATTCTCAGCATGGATGGTAAGTTTTACTGTCATCTTTGCTGTCTTCAGAAGGCTAATAAACTGGCAGGGTGTATGTGTGGAAGAGAAACAAAATTCAAAGCTGAATTAGTAGACATACCAATGAGTCACCATTATCAATGGAATCTAATTCTCTCTATGGTTAAGGGGAGGGACAGATGCAAATTATTTCTTTGTCAGGACTTGGGTAAAGAAAGAAATGGCTCTAGTTTCTCTCTAGCTTTTCCAAATGCTTGATGTAGATTAGGGCCATGGTTAATTTCTACTCTAAGTCTAGCTCTGACCACATTTTTTTCTTATATAAGACTTTCAACTTTTTACATCTCTAATCTCATCCGTTTTTCTGAATGCCTACAACCTTAGAAGATATATGGGTTATTTTACCTACTTCCTGATTCTATAGAAGCAACTTACACAAACAGTTTTAATAAAATAGAAACACATATGTTAGAAGCAGAATAAGAAAAGTATACAACAAAAAAGTCAAGGTAAACGAAAAGTTAAAACACAGATTTATGGGTTAAAGGATCTGGCCTAAATACTTACTAAAAACTGAATTTTTAAAAAGTAACTTTAAGCTTCTTACTGTACAATGAAGAAATGATAAGTTATATGGTTCTCTCTCACTATAAGAAAGAAAAAGCATACCATATTTCAAGGAAACAAAGCTTTTTTCTGGCACTAATAAATAAAAGGCCTCAAATGAGATACCAAATAAGTATTAAGATCTCTTTTGAGGAGAGGGAACTCAAGTACAAGATATGTTTAACCCTAATAAAAATTACGTATTTAATGGTTGAGTCTTACAATCTGTTTATAAAGTAGTATACACAATGGATATTTATAACAGCAAACATTCATTAAAAAATATTTTGGCACTAACAGTCACTGTTAAGGAGTTTAAAGTTTTCCTAAGGAAAAAATGGAAATATTTATCAAAACTGCCCAGTGAATATTGAATAATTTGTGTGGCAACGAAAAATACCTTAACACCAACTGGAAAATAAGAAATAGAAATTGAAGAACTTCTGAACAATCTCTTCTTTTCCTTAAGAACATGTCTAATACAGCTACATAACCCTAATTCTCTATGATCGCAGACACAAACACTTTAATCATGCCCAAGGATGGGCCTACATTACCATTTACTTTATTTTGGAAAATTACCTTTTCAATAGGGTAACCAACAACAATTTCATCATCTACAGCCAGTATCTGATCTCCGACTTTGAGTCGTCCATCCTAAATGGAAACGTAGAAGAATTTGAGTGATATTCCAAAAGTAATTCCCTCCCCAACTACTTAATGACAGCAAGAAAGGTAAACCTCACCGTGGCTGCTACCCCATGCTCTGTTAAGCTCTTTATGATGACTCCACTGAGTGTATCTTCTTCGCTGATAGCAATACCCAAACCCCCCTGATCCTAGAAAAGTAAAAACAAAAATGCTCAGAAGACTTGAAACAGATTAATTTTATCCAAATGGATACCAAGGGTAAGAAAAACAACTAAAACTCTTCTGAAGTCCAGAAATCTAAGACCTTAGACTTTAAATCTAAGATCTTAGAAATCTTGTCTTTTCTTAAACAAACTTTCAAATTTTCCTAATGGGAATAAATTTTCCTCCATCAAACATTCAAGTGTTTTCACTCTTCCCATATGTCTGACATCTTTAGTAACTTTAGCAAAATATCTAGACAGCAAAAATACATTCAATAATTCAACCAAAACATTCAGCATTTACAAATTTTGTCTAATGACTGAATAAGTCATTCAAAACCAACCAAAGAATCCCGCTTCTTCTCTGGCCTGTCGCTTGGAAATAACAACAGGGTCTAGCCCCTTCATTCTTTTCTGCCCCTCTTCTTCCTTTAGCAGGCAGTCTGCCATTACTGATGCAGACTCTGTCCTTTTGGGGGGTGAACACTCAGACTTGTTTCTCCAGACAACAGCATTTCAATCTGCTGCAGACTGAAAATGCCTCTCAGTCCCAAGACAAGCTCTGAGAACCTGCCAAGGCTGGGGAGCTACACCTACTTCGCTACATTTTCCACATTTCCCTTTATCAAAACCAAATGTTCAGAAATATTGGCTTTTAGCTTTCTTTAATGTTTACTTTAATAAAATTAAAACAGAGTTTTTAACATTTTCATTGCCAGAGCTAGCCACCTTCTAATTTTTTCTCCAGAGAAAAGTTACAAAAAGCAAAGAAAAGAAAAGAGAATCTTGACATGGTTTCTCTGAAATATACACACAAGTTAAATGTGCCATCAGAGATGTTTATGGTCATGGCTGTGACATCAAGGTAGGTTTCAACATCATTTTAAAGATTATCAACATGTGGCTCTTCTGAGGTAGATTATTAATGCCTGATGAGTTTGAAACTGTCACTGACCATCTCTCTACCACCTCTCTCTTTCCAGGCAATCAGTCATGTCTATCTGCCAGAGTAAGCTGCACCTTTAGAGTGAGCAGAACTGACTTTACCTTCTACCTAACTATAGAAATTTGGATATGCCACTTAACATCTCTAATTCTCAATTTTCTTACCTACGAAATCTAGATTTTCTTATCTACAAAATGGAATAATAATACTTGTCACATAACAGTCATGAAAATACTTTATTGGTACAGTGGGTATTTGCTGATTGTTTACCTAATACTGCTTCCCATCTTACCCCTCTATAAAAATTGATTTTTATTAGAATATCTAGCCTTCCCACCCACTCCTCTCTCTCCTCCACCTCCATATTCTCTCTTCCCCCTTCTTCCCTCACTATGTTTCAGGCTGTAGATTAAAAATATGAGCAGAAATTCTTTGATACTTCTTCCTTCAGGAAGGAACCTAAAAGCATGGGCTAGACTTAGTGACTTGATTCTAACAAAGAGAATACAGCAGAAGTAATGGTGTATAATTTCACAGCTAGGTCAAAAAAGGCAAAGGCACTTCCTCCTTGCTGTCTCTCTTGGATAACTTGCTCTGCAAGATGCCAGCTGCCATTGTCCTAAGAAAATTCAAGCAGCCCCATTTAGAAGAAATAAGGCCTGTTGCCAACAGCCATTTGGGTAAATCATCTTGGAAGCAATGTCCAGCCCAGTCAAATCTTGAGATGACTGTAGCTGTAGCTGGCAATGTGTCGGCAATTGCACAAGAGATTCTCAGCAGAACCCCCAGCTAAAATGCTCTGAAATTCCTAACCCATAGAAACTGTGAGACCATAAATGCCTGCTGTTTAAGTTGTGAAGTTTGGTGGTAATTTGTTACATAGCAAAAGTTAAGGAGCTCCAAGAATGGGGTTTGAACAACTGAAGTCAATTCTACAATTACAGTCCCATGGTCACAGTCCCTGGCTCAAAAGTAGACACATGATCTGAATTGATTCAATTAGGATGAATCTTGGAACTTTTGCTCAGAAGGCTTGAACAGCCATCCTCTCCCTTCTCCCAAGATACATGTAAAAGAAGTAGCACATGGCCAAACTATGGTTGGCAGCCATTCTAAAACCATGAGAAAGACAAGCCTTGGGATAAAGCTGACACTGGATGGCACAGTGTCACACAGACAGGGAAAAAAACGGGCTCTCGATGACACTGTTCAGTCACAGGACCAACTACCCTTGAAGGTTGCTGACCTGAGTCCATAAATCTTCTTCCTTGATGAAACCTGATGGAATTAGTTCATTTTTTTCTGTTATTTGCAATAAGAGGAGTCCTAAAAGAAACAATAAGCTACAAATCTGCATGTATAATATGCCCAAACTCAACTAGAATACTACAAAAACAACTATATACACATCAACAAACAATTTATTGATATCAGAAAAGCAGGATGAGGCTGGGCGTGGTGGCTCAGACCTGTAATCCCAGCACTTTGGGAGGCTGAGGCAGGTGGATCACCTGAGGTCAGGAGTTCAAGACCAGCCTGGCCAACATGGCGAAACCCCATCTCTAATTAAAGTACAAAAGTTAGCCGGGCATGGTGGTGCACACCTGTAATCCCAGCTACTCGGGAGGCTGATGCAGGAGAATCGCTTGAACCCGGGAGGTGGAGGATGCAGTGAGCCAAGATCACACCACTGCATTCCAGCCTGGGCAACAGAGTGAGACTCAGTCTCAAAAATAAATAAATAAATAAATAAATAAATAAAAATAAATAAATGAAAAGAAAAACAGGATGACACATAAGAAAGGATAACAGCATATGAATGTGCAATTTTTTATCTAACTGCTCAACTTTCCAACTTACTTTTACCAGAGTGCATATAGTCCTTAGCAAGAAGAGATCTGAGATATTTTGTTTGGGGCTAGTTATTAAAACACTACCATACAGGGAATAGAAAACAAATTAAGGAAATATATTTTTGTGGGTTTTTTTCTGTTTTAAAATATTATTTTAAACCTTTTTTAGAGATGGGGTCTTGCTATGTTTCCCAGGCTGGTCTTGAATTCCCACCTCAGCCTCCCAAATAGCTGGGACTACAGGCATGTGCCACTGTACCTGGCTCCAAGGAAATATATTTTTGAACAACGAGTTGTATAATTAAACAGCTAGAAAAGAGTAAACAAGAATTAAAAGTGGAATTC
The DNA here is from genome assembly GCF_000001405.40 of Homo sapiens. Taxonomy (NCBI): domain Eukaryota; kingdom Metazoa; phylum Chordata; class Mammalia; order Primates; family Hominidae; genus Homo; species Homo sapiens. The sequence continues at coordinate 13,129,932 of NC_000009.12, forward strand.
AGCTAAACAAATTAATATTATTTGGAGAATTATTTTGAAGGTAGAAACTTCTCTAAAATTCAAAAGAAGAAAAACTCTTCATCATATTTCAAGGCTTTCACCACATAAACTTGTATGGATATGAAACACAGCTTTGACAATCACAGAAGGCTACTACCTGCTTTGATGTATGGGTCCTTTCCTAGGGCAAACTGTGTCAAAAATAAATCTTTAATCAAAAATGTTTTCTGATCAATTGAATTTGCATTTCAGTCAGCTACTGTGGGTTTAGATTCTATGTATGAGAGCTTTCTGCTTATATTCTATTTTCCCATTTTTAAAAAATATAAAAGATTAAAAAAAGATAATTCACTTCTCAGGAGTTTCTAAGGAGTCAAAACAGAACTAGAAATGAGCTGTTATTAGAGCTCCCACTTTTAGACAATGCAAAAATCATTCTCTTCCTGACTCTCCTGATCTCAACATTTTTCCCCTTATGCATGTACGGCACATAACCGTTCATTCACTCTTCCTTCGCAGATACTTACAGTCTGAACTATGTTGATGACACTGAGTAATGGAAAAAAAAGTGAGAATTTCTTCTCTCAGCATGTGTATGTTTTAGATGTACAGAAAAGATACCCACATCAAAGTTCATCACAGGAGACAAGCTCTAGGGTCAAACATGGTTAAGTGACAAATAAAATGAAGACATTAATAGTAAGCACTATATAAGCCAGAATATTGAAGTAATATTTCAAAATAAACAGAGGTGAGATTTAAGTTGGATCTTTAGTGTATGTAGGATTTATATAAGTTAAAAGAAATCAGAAAGACCAAGTGATATAAACCAAGGCAAAGAGGGATAAATTCTCAAAACCTTCTCCATGAGCTCTTGATTCAAATCAGTTTGACTGAAGTACAGGATTCCTAGAAGGAACATACAGGCATTTCAGAAAGGCAGATGGGGCCCAGTAGCAAGTTGAAACAGGTAATGGATGGGAAATGGGACTTGGAGGCAGAAGACCAGAGTTCAATTCCAGCTCTACTATTTGGAGTTATGGGAACAGTTCAAAGTGGAGAAAATAATAGCAAGCTCACAGGGTTGCTAAGAAGTAAATAACATAATGAACAAATGTTACATTACCATTAAATTACTTTGTCAAATAACTATAATTTAAAAATATATAGGATAGTAAAAATGACAAAAGATTTCAGCTGATTCATGAGTGTTAAAAGCTGTTTCTTTCTCCCTTCTTTGCTTAATTTTTACTCCCAGAGCCATGTAATAATGGGGTTAGGAGTGCCAGGCTTAGTGTAATATGTCACTCAACATCATTTGTAACAATGGCTTCCTCAAGAGATGTGTTCAAGGATATATTCTATGGGGAACTCACAAATTCATGGTTAGAAGTATTAACAAAAATAATAATAATAACTCACACTGTGGTAAGCACTTTGTATAAATTCTTTCATTTAATCCTTCCAATAGTATCTCTAATATAAAGGGATTTTCCTCATCTCAGGAGGAAAGTGAGACCCAGACAAGTTAAACGGTGTAGAAAAACAGCCTGTTGTATGGCAGGAGTGACACCACCTTGAAGCGAAACCGCCATGGTGACCAATGTTTGACTCCTGCATACCAAGGTGTTCTGTAGCGAGCCCTGTAGCATAAATAATCCTTCATAAAGATGTTTACCTAACCTCTCCACTGATAACAAGTTTCAGCAAGAAATTCTGAGACGTGACCAGCTACATGTCTTTATCCCTGCTATGTAAAGAATACTTTCTAGAGGGTGGATGCTGGGATCCACTGTCTTGTGGCCACCAGCAGCATGGCTTCTGTACGTTAAGTCCCTATTAAGTATTTCTTTCTGATAAACTGGATTTGTCAGCCTCTTTCTTCAGGACCCCAGCTCCCTCAGTCTTTGGAGGTTGCTTTGCATATACCTGCTCACCATGGAACAAATGGCTTGCCTATTGCCCAGAGAAGTTAAGTGACTCCAAAGCCCACACTTAAAATCATTAAAATCATGGTTAATTGCCTCTTCTGTCTAGCTACTTTTAAAAGATTCTTGTATGTTCCCCTTACTTACTTTGGCTTTCATCAATAAATACATTCTAGCTACCTGAGCTTTAGATTTGTTTGAAATCTACATATAAATGGAAGCTTTCAGCGGGCAATACATTGAGGTTCTCCAAGGTCTTGCATTCCTCAATAGCATCTAATTTAGAAAGGGAAGTACACATAATAGACATCTGCTGAATAAATAAAAAAGGAGGCGAAAGGCAGAAACCAGCTTTTATATTGCAGAATGAAGGAACCTTGCTCATTAGCTCATCCAATCCCAACAATAACCCTTAATATAGGCAGCACCATTTACAGAAGACGAAAGTGAGGACCAATGGGATTAAGTGATTTATAGGCAATCACTCAGGATGTGAGAAGGGCTTCTGACAGCACAGGCTTCTGTCCACCCTCATTGCTAAATGCCCAGCCAAAGAACTTGAATGTATCTGTTTGGAAATGAACGTCCTTGGGAGGTTCTGAGTAGGGGATTAAGATGCTATGAACATCTATCAAGCACCTTAATCAGGTAGCCTAATGTGGAAATAGATGTGGAAACAGAAAACATCAGAGAAAATCAGTGACAGGTAGCCATCAGGCAACTCTATACCAGCTTATTCATTCCTAATTATTAAAACAATAATAATAGCAAGCACTATTTGTATATGTGTGCCAGGTGCTGGAAACTGAACATATGTATATTTAATTTTCACAATATATACTTAATTCTCACTACAAGTCTATGAGGTAAGTTGGACAATTATTAAGTCCATTTTCAAAAGGTGAAACTATGTACACGTTAAGAAACATGCTCAAAGTCACAGTCTCATAGATAGTGAGTGGCAAATCTAGGTCTCTGACACATGTGGTCTGGCTTTAAGTCTGCTCCCAATCACTACAGTATGTTGCCCTTTATCCATCTAACATGTTCATTCCACAGACATTTCCTGGGCAGTCATTATATCCTAGAATATACTAAGCCTTAGATGATACATTAAAATCAATACCATGAAAGGATATTTAAAAATTATCTAATTTTGGACTTTTCTAAAGATCACCATAAACAGATTTTTTAAAAAAATCATTCATTATAAAGTATTCAACATACATTTAAATGTTTCATAATTAACAAATTATAGGGAAATGACTGCATCATTAAATATTATAAACTCTTACTTCAGGATTTAGGAGGAAAAGAAACTAAGAGCAGAAATCAGAAAGGGAAAGAGGAAGATGTCATCTCTCTTAAATGGCAATAGAATGAGGGATTCTCAAACTGAAGTGTATGGACTTCTTGATAGAAAGGTAAAAAGACTTTAATAACTTCTTTTCTTTTTAACCACAACAATAATAGTCCATGATAAAGACTTCTCTTATATGTATAGTAAGATTGCCTTTTTAAGGCAATCATCGGAGCCGAAAGTTCACTTCTAAATATATGAGCTTTCTTATTTTTAAAGGACAAGACTATAACTTCTGTTTCTTTATTTTTATTTCCTCCGTAGCAGGACCTTAGTGAAGGAATCAATGGACAGATAACTAAATTTCATAACTTGGAATAATTATAAAAGGGCAAGCTGGACCCCTGATAAAGTATCAGCACAGTCATTTTCAAACGTAAACGTGCATCAGGCGGGTCTAATAAAACACAAACTTCTCGGCCCAACCCTAGAGTTTCTCATTAAGCAGATAAGTTTGAGTGGGCCCAAGTATTTGCAGTTCTAACAAAACCTCAGATGATGCTGATGCTGTTAATCTGGAGACCACACTTTTGAGAACACAGTGAATTAGAACACTGAGGTAAAGGAACTCACATCATTTCATTCCAATTCAAAGCAGATTTACCTTGGGAAGCTCCAGATGTTGCACATTTTTAAATGAACTGAGGTCCACAGCTGCATCAGAAGTAGTAACAGTTGGCTCTGTCTGACAGAGGGAAAGAAATGACAAAAAGAGCAACTGAGTGTTAGGAAATTTGATTTGTTTAAATATAAAGGCCACTTATTCAAAATTATTTTATACATTATATAAAATTATTTTACATTTATTTATTTTAATACACTATTGCTATTTTAATACATTTATTTATTATAATACATTTTTGCTATTTTAACATTCTATGGAATTTATGAACATTACATTCTCTTCAAAATACTTACGAGGTGTAACTGGACAGCAATCAGTTGAGAGCACAGATAGACCAAGTGGCTTGAAGACTGCCTGGGTTTACTGTATAATGAAAACCGATGGTAGCCCAGCTAACAAATGGTGAAACTCAGTGACAGAGCATCAGCAGAAACACCATTCATTATTCTTTACTGTGTTATTTATCAAGTGAATTGAAAACTTTAATGAACGTTATTAAAATACTCCATTTCCTTAAGAGACATATTTAGTACAACTAATATGAAAAGAAAATATATTACCTTATAACCTAATTATCTTAAATAACCACGTGGCTTAGTGGAACGTTAGGAGCAGCCGGAATGAGACAATGATTTGTACATCTATCTTATGTATACATAAGCTCTATGTTTATATATTCATTTAGGAAAGAATGTTTCTCTTCCTACAGGTACCCCCACTGATAATCACCAAAGTTCCTCTAATTTTAAGCTTTTCATTCTCTACTAACTCCTTTTATTCATCATACACATGTATCCAAAGCTTTCCTAAATCAAAACAAAACCACTCTCCCAATTCTCTGTCACCCTCTAGCCACTGCCTCTCTCTCTCCTTGACTTCTTGTCCATCATTTGCTTTCTCAAAAACCACTAACAGTCTCCTAGTTACCACACCCAAGGGACTCTTTCTACTCATCTTCTCACTGGATTCTTGCTACATGGCAGCATGTAGAGCTGTGGAGTGTACCCTTGAAGGACACTCTTCTCCGCTGCTCTGCCACATGCCCTCCTGGTTCTTCATAGTCTCTGATCTCTTGGTTAGCCTTCCTCCTTACTGTTGCTACCACATGATTCTGCCCTTGGCCCTCTTTCTCTCTAAATGCTCTCTGTAGCAAGCACCTCAGCCTCCATGGCTAAGAAATGCCAAATCTGCATATACAGGAAATCATCTCTAAACTGGAGACCAAATGTCCCAATGTACATTTTTACCAGGCTATCCAACAGGCACTTCGTTCTTAACCTGCCCCAAATAGAATGTACCATATTTTTGCAAATATCTTTCTGTATTTTCTATTCAGTAAAAGACAGCCATCCCTCATGTCACTAAGTCAGATATCTGAAAACCTTGTATATCCTACCTGTTTTATTCTCCAGTCCAAAGAGCAGTATCTGGTATAAGGCAGAGTACTCAGAAAATATTTGTTGGATAAACACATCTTCAACCACTCATTTTTCCTCAGTGAGTACATTTAGTTGGGGATGAAGTATTATCAATTTGGGTCTTAAACATCTGATGTAACCATTCCCTCTTCCAGCTTTAGTTCAGGTCCTTGTTAACTGTTTCCTGAATTATTCCAATAATTATCTTACTTCCTCTAACCTCTCTCCCCTGCTACCTCTGATTTTTCTCTACAGTACTGCCAGAGAAATTTTTAACTAAACATTTCTCATTCTTTGAGCTCCACACTGCCTCAAAGACAAAGCTGGCACATGTTGGCCTATCAATGTATCCCATGATCTGACCCTGTCCCCTTTAACATTGACCCTTTCCCCACCAGCTTCCATTCCCTGCCCCTCATTGCTCAGTGATGCTCTACAATTTAGCTTCCTGCATTGGCCAAAGTCTCCATGCCATTCCTCACTCCATGCCCTCCGCTTGCAACATTTTTGCCCCCCAAATCTTCCAACATACACTTCATATGTAACCTTCCATATAAAGTTTTATCCTCAATTTCTTTTCAGAGGCAGAACTGATAACTCTTTTCCTACCCTCACTATTCCCTAGGCAGACTACAAGTACTCTTCACATAAGTGGTATGCTTATTTCCATGAGTGTCTTCTTATACTAGGATGTACACTCCTTGAAGGCCAAGGCTATAACTTATCTACCTCTAATATCCCTCTCTAAGTGTTATGTAATTGTTGATTGAATTAATAAGGCTCACATCAATCAAGTCTTCCCAGAGAAACAAACATAAGTTACATATACCTCCTTATTTTGAAGATTTTCTGAGTTAGAAGGCAAAGGTTCTACTGCATTTCCAGGACATACGGCCATCTGATTCACTGCATCTTTATTTCTAAAAGCAAAAAAACAACAACCTATTATAACATCATGGTATTATTTTCATTCTCTTACTTCAAGAGTCAGAAGGTTATTAGAGAAAATTATTTAACCCCCAAAACCTGGAACTGTGACACTTACAAATTTACAAACGTTTTCTTTTTTTTTTTTTTTTTTTTTTTTGAGACAGAGTCTCTTTCTGTTGCCCGAGCTGGAGTGTAGTGGCACAGTCTCAGCTCACTGCAACCTCCGCCTCCCAGGTTCAAGTGATTCTCCTGCTTCAGCCTCCCTAGTAGCTGGGACTACAGGTGCGTGCCACCACGCCCGGCTAATTTTTTTTTAGTAGAGACGGGATTTCACCATGTAAGCCAGGATGGTCCCGATCTCCTGACCTCATGATCCGCCCGCCTCAGCCTCCCAAAGTGCTGGGATTACAGGCATGAGCCAGCATGCCCGGCTACAAATGTTTTCTTTTCATTCAAAAGAACTCAGAGAAGAAATGCTAACAAAAAGTATTTGGTAAACTAGCAAAAGAAAATGATCACCTGATAAAAATTATTTTCACTTTAGAAGGGGCACATTTAATGATTGATGAGGCATTCTGATGACTTCTTCCATATAAAATCTGACCATTGATCTGTGAGAAATAAATATCATTAGTTGGGCCTGAAATCTTAGTATCATAAAGTTTTATCATCCTTCCTCATTAATGAAAAGCACATTTTTTCTTCCTTTAAAATATATTTTATATTAAATGTTATATATTTTCCTCCCCAAAACATGAAACTGACTTTTCATGGTGAATAAAGAATAGCTCATGTTTAAAGCCAGCATTAAAATAATGCAAATGAAGTCTGACATCCATGAACTGCTGATAAAGAGGCACCACTTGGACCAACTGCAGGAGAGTAGACAACAAATTTCCTGGCAGGCACTGGGCTCCCAGCATGCTCTGCACAAAACGAGGGCTCTGTGGAAAAACTTGCGACCTGCAAGACCATCCTGGGAAGTTCCTTACTGTCATATTTCCCACTTAGTCTCAAAACTCAAGCCCTGGAAATAGGTCACTGGGAGAAGAAATGCTAGGTAGATTCAGGATTTAGGCAGCAAACTGTGCCTAAACAGCACAGTGCCTAACGCAAATGACTGGCTCAGTCATTTGGTCATTTAGCCACTGCCTGACTGAGCCTCCTGTGTCTATAGGGAAACATACTCAGCATGAGAAGAGTATAAAGGCAGTATAAAATCATGTGGATCCCAGCCCAGGAGGGGCAAGGACAAACAACACAAGCAAATAAAATTCTAAACCCTATAAAGTATGGTCCACAAATTTATTTTGTTCGGCAGGCTGAGTTACTGCTTGTTCTTTAGCCTTAACCTTGACCCCACCCCACCTCACCCTCATCACTTCTCCCATTAGTGATTCAAGTTCCAGAATGTCCAGTGGGTCAGCCTCTGGGGAATGACTGGTCACTTGGCTTTTCAAAAACTCCTAATAAAAATGCAGCACACAAAACAAATGCTTTTGAAGTGTAAGCTTTATTACTATCTTGGGGCAAAAATTGTTTCTGGTGCTACACAGTCATGACCTTTTAATGGAAGTTAATGGGAACATGGACTCTACTTGGTAGAAATTTGGTTTAGAGCCAGATTTGCTGCAATGCATCTATTTTATTAAGCAAGCAATGGCTTTCTCAGTCACTATAAGGTATGGGTGATTTTCTGGAAACTGACAGTTCCATTACCCTTATAAAACAAGAATAAATTCAAAATTTTCCACAAAAACTTACCTCTAGAAGCTCATCTGCAATTTGCAATCGACCATCTTTTCCTGCAGCTCCATTTGGATCAATCCCCACTATGAAGACACTCATCCTGGATCGGTCTTTGTTCCCAGCAAGACTTAGGCCCAAACCACTATGACCTTTCTCCAGTTCAATCATATGCAGCTCGCCTGTTAGGGTTCCATAACGCTCTCTGATATTTTCTACATACAACAACAACAACAAATACATATTTACAGTTAATTTACAGTCAAATGCTTTACTGTGGAAAGCTATTTAGTTTTACCTCAAAAGGACAGATTTTATACCAAAATGTACGCTTTGACAGTTAAAAGCTAAATAGACTAGGCACTTGGGCATCAGGACTGGTTTCCTGGAGGACCCAAACTTTGAGGAATTTCTTTGCATCTAGGGTGCAGAGAGCACAATGTCTGATTAATCAGTTCACCTTGGAGTGGTTACACCAAAGAGAAGTAATTCATTTTACAAACTCTCAAAAGACTATGATTAAACCAGAAACTTGATCATTTGCAGAGGAGAACAGAACTAAGGCATCCAGAATATCTGTGTTCACTGATCAGTGGGAGCTTTTCTCCCATAGGAATTTCAACATTGTGTATCACATCATGTTGGGCAGTTGCTTGATAGATATATGCAAAATGAAGAGAATGAGCTTTCTTATTGCACAGAGCTATTAGGCCAGGACAACTTGATATATGTAACCCAGTTTTGGGACACACGTCCTAATGAGATGAGACCATTTACATCTCCTACCCCACATCTTCAAGAGGTGATGGTTATTGTGCACCCTCTTTAATCTAAGAGGGCTGACGCCTCACGCAGGTGCTCCAGTGCACAGCCACAGATGAGCGACCAGCCAACAGCCAGCACTACTTGACAACCATGTAAATGAGCTGTCTTGGAAGTCCAGCCCAGCTGGGCCCAGTCACCCACTGCCCTTTGATAGATTAATAATAAATTATTGTTTTATGCCATTACATTTTGGGGTGGCTTCATAATAGAAAACTGAAACATTTCAGTTCACGTTTTCCTCAAGATTACATTCTGACCACATTGATTGTTAGCAATATGCTCTAGTGTCACTGAGAACAGACTGCGAAAACTACAAACTTTACCAGTCATCTTAGAAAACGTTATTATATGGCTAATGGGCCAATGCCATGCATTCTACATTGATTCTTAACTGCATCAATTTCATAAACTATTTCCTGACTCCTTCCACAATACAGCAGCACAACTTTTATGTTCTGTACTTCCTAAAAAGATGTACTACAGCTTTCTTAAAGGAAATAATTCGATTTTTAAAATAAAACTTTTTAAAACAATGACATTGATAACTTTGGGCTAAATTTTAAATATTTTCCTGCAAAATGGTATTTCCTTAGAAAAGAGAGACTCCCTATTGGTCCTAATAACAGCTGCCTATGAAAGACTGCTGGGCGCCAGGCACTGTGCTTAGCACTCTTGGCACTATCTAATTGAATGTTAGCAACCTGAGGGGAGAACTCCATTTTAAAAAGAGAGATAACCACTAGGCTAAAGCTTAGAGACAGTTAAACAGCTTAGTCAATGCCTAAAGTTTTTATCTCCACAATTATACTATGTCACCATTCTGGTATAGAAAATACACCAGAAGTTCAAGGTGTGATATCAACAACCAGAATATCCTCATTCACATGAGGAATCTGATGCCCAGAAAGGGGTGGTGACTTGTTTGAGACACAGAGTGGCTGATCCAATACTAGCTTCTGAGAGAGTGCCCTGTCCTTATTAATTCTCATACAAAAGGCAGAGTGAGCTTTAACAGCACTTTTAAAGGAAAGGAAGAGCATGATTTCATGCCTCAGGAATGTATGCTGTATTCAAGCAAAACAAACACTATTTCTTTCCACACAGAATTGCAGTATATATCACAAAGCTGCAACATACTTACTTATCCAGGGCGAAATCCTTGAGAAACTCAGAGCTATTTTAATACCTCTTACAATTAAATGCATCACAAAAACACAACTTACTCCAGCTGTAACCAAACTCATCCTCTTTGTCCACATCTTGTGAGATTTTGCTTGCAGATGACTGTGTGTGATCACTACCCATTTCGGCAAAGGCTGAAGGAGGGGGTGGGGGCACACTGCACAATGGAGCCTTCTCTGGCTCTGACTCTGACTGACTGGGTGCCTGTGGGAACAAAAAGAATGCAGTGGGTTTGTACAGTCTAAGGAAGAAAACTTCAAGAAGAAGAAATAAGAGTATACTGTCAAAAACAAAGACTGGCTTTAAAATATCTAACAAATAATGGAAAGCTCATATATGTATATAATATATATATAAAATATCTAACAAATAATGGAAAGCTCATATATATATATAATACCTAACAAATAATGGAAGGCTCAGATTGTTAAATATTTTATATATATACATATATATATATATATGTATATATATGAGCTTTCCATTATTTGTTTGATATTTTAAAGCCAGTCTTTGTTTTTGACATGATATTCTTATTTCCATATATATCTATGTATATATATAGATAGATAGATAGATATGAAATATTAGATGGGATTCAGGTAAAGTTTAAATATATCAAACCAAGTAGTATCAGAGAATAATTCACTAAACTTTTATTTGCTATTTTAAGCCAATGAATTAATGAATTTGAAGTCTTAAATGACTTGGTAGAAAATTGTACAAACTTTCCCTTCTAGAAAAAAATGTCATTCAAAAGTTATAACTTTTGGGTCTGGGTAAGATTTGAGGCATCTAGAAAAATCTGCCAAGAAACTGCAGAAAAAAAAATTAACAAAGAAGTTGCCCTTCAAAGCTTATTAGTGAGACTAAATATAAATAATTATTTATTGCTACCTGAATCCTCTCTCCATATGATTCTCTTAACAAATCCAGGACAGCAAGTATCACACATGCAGGCTTGTCTACCAGAGAGCCAGTTTGTTAGCACAGAGCACACACTCGGATGTGAGCGGCATGGTTTTAAGGACAACACCAGCTTTCCCTTGCCAAGGCAGATCACAAGATAAATGAGGAAACACAGGAGACTCCTTAATAGAAAGCCAAAGCATGGCATACTGGCTGTCACTTAGGGTCATAGGTCCTATTTCGAAAAAAAAAAAAAAAAGTACTTGGCATCATCAAGTTCTTATATTGCAAAAATAATTGCAGTTTTTGCCATTAAAACTCCAATTACTTTTGCACTAACCTAATGTTACAGATGATCAAACAATGTTAGAGTTTGAAAGGTCTTTAAGTTGCTGAGTTCATTTTATTCACTTTGCAGATGAATAAACCTTTGGAACCTGAGGCTACAAGAAATGAAAGTTTTTGTTTCGAATCAAACAGTGGTACTAGACTTCTTTTTGCTTAACTCTTAATCCAGTGCACTTTCCATTATATCATGTTGTCTCCTCCAACTTGCATAAATAAGACAGTACCAAACTCAAAGGTCAGGAACATCCAGCTAAAGTTCTAACCTCGGTATGAAGTTGTCCCTGATACCTTGAACCTATAGTTTTCCTATATATCTTTATTTTACTTTTTTACTGCATAAGAATTCCTCTGATACAATGTTTTATTATATATGTTTATATCTAGAAAAATATTATGATTTTTTTTAAAAAACTGACTTCTTGTAAGGATACATTAAATGATAAACACGCACAAATACTTAGAAATTATTAATTGGTGCCACGAATTAGGATACCTAAAAATATATGTAACACTAGAACTATTTGAGACTGAATGCGACCTTTCTTTGTTGATTCAGAAAGCACTCAATTTTCTGGCAAAGCAAATCGCTGACTGATAGAGATTTAAGGGCGTAAGTGTCAGATTACAGAATCTGCTATATTGAAATGTTCAGTCTATATGTCATTGGACAAACAGATAAAAGTTACTAATGTAAATGGAACCCTTGTTATGTTCCCAAATGCTGTGCCATAAATGTCTCAAATTAATAATATACCAATAAAAATGAACAAACACACACACATAAAACCCTCATTTGGTCCAATCAAGTTTCATTATCATAGTAAAGAGGAGCAAGGTATGTACTTTAGAATTTTTCTGGCTAAAAAAAATTTACTTCTCTGTAAAATTTTATCAAGCATTGATTAAGTCCATTCCCTTTTTAAAAGGTAAAACAAAAGCTAATTTAAACTTCTCATAATTTTAACAAATCTATAGATGACATTTTATACATCTTGCTGCATAATTTTTCTGAGCTGTTATTTTAAGAACAAACAAACAAACAAACAAAACCTGCTTATCTGAAAAATTGTCTGGGATCTCAGGCACAACATTTTCATACTGTGAGTAAATCAAAATGGTGCCCTAACCTACCTGACTAATAAAACCAATATAAGCCTCTATTTACTTGAGGGGCAATCAGGTGTTATGTTTTCATATCCCTGACACCCTCATTCTCATCAAGATCATGTATCTGCCTCGTTAGTGACACTTTTTAAAATTTATTTATGAAAATATAGCTCTTTAACAAAGATTGTTTAGCCTTCCTTGTCAAAAATGCAGTGTATACTTGAGATCACTCCATGCCATGTATGTATACATCAAGTACAGCACACACATAAAGCACACTGTAACACACCCACATACGAAAATTCCACACTGACACAAACCTTAAAGGGTGTGGGAGCAAAAGGGTTAGTTGGGGAACAATGGAAGATAATTCTACTTGAATTCAGTAATTCCTATAGCAATAGAAAACATATTCCTTCAGATATAGCATCTTTGGTTATCCATATCAATAACATGGTATTTGTTACAATAACATGGAAGTCTGATGAATATTCATAAAGTGTTTCCTGAAAAAAATTGTTGATGGCTTTCTTCCTTTTCATGATCAAATTATGGTATATAAATTCTTATAAATTTGTGTTTCGATTTTGGTTTTATAATTTCATCAGAAAATGAGAAGATCCAAGTATAGATTTACGAGCATTGAAACAGTTACGTTTCCTGATTCAGGCAATTACATGGGCATGCTTCATGAATATTCAACAGACTCCTGCATGTACACATACACAATTATTTGTGCAGTGATTAACTCATGGAAGAGCTTTTATGATCACCTTGTAGAAGTATGAAAAGGATTTAAATCAACACATGGTTTTAAAGAAATTATGTGTGAAAGTATCATACATTTGGCAACTAACAAAAATTTAAATATCAGAAATTTTAAATGACACCAAAATGAAAGAAAGGCACTGGACTCATGATTCTCCCTTACTCTTCAGAAGGGCCATTTAATTTCAGCAATAAAAATAAATATTCTCTGGCAGGAAAATGTGCTTAAGAAAGGATCTGCATGCCCACTCCAAACAGCTTTGTTTTTTTGTTTTTTTTTCCCTGCCCAAATGTAGCAAATAGTGAACTGGGACAAAGACACAGTAGTAACAAAGAACAAAACATTTGCAAAAGGCAACCAACAGCAAGACAATGGGCATTATCCAACCTTGTCGGCGTTGATTTGTAGAGAGTCAGCAAATGGGTTAGTGCTGCTGAAGTTGTACTTAGGGTAAAGGTTGTGCAGCAAGGAAGGCAAAGGGGATTTCTAAAAGGAAACATAAGAGGCGCTGAACGCAAAGGAAATGTATTGAAAACAACTCAGTTTTAAAAGCAAAGTACATACCGATTTAAAGAACTGCCTGTGTGAAACTAGATCCTATCAGATCCAGTCATTAATAGCAACATCTTAAAACAGTCTGGAACTAAAGATTTGTCTCTAATGACCTGAATCTATACCTGAGTCTAAATCAGGCCACAAACCACAAAGGAAACTAGTTGTCAAACTGATCCCAAATTTCTTTTATTTTTGCTCAATGTCTTCGGTATTACTAACAGAGGCACATATATTTTGCCCATCTTATATATTAATACATGTTTTATGAATACCAGTAAACATGTTCAAAATTAAAACCACAAAATTTTTTATCTACATCTAAAAGCTAATTTTTTTTAAATAATCTGTCTAGAATGCAAATTATAAATTGGTCTGCTAGTTCACTGGCAACCTTCATTATTCTTTTATTTTGCATCCTAGTAAGGAAACTTTCCATATTTTGACTGGATATTAAAGTGCTTCAGAGCAATTGTATTTTTTAAATTAAAAAAACAGTAATTTATTAAAAAATGAACTCCTGTAGAGTGGTGTTCTCTATTTCTGCCCAGTTTTTGTGGAGGTAGAAACATGGAGATTCATGTTTTAAATAAATTTCCTATAAAATTGCCCATATTACTGGAGAATTTATGAGGCTTTAGATAATATTTGAAGTCCTGCCTTAGAGTGTTTCTCAGAGGTTTTGTGGCTTGCCAGTAATAAGCCCTGAGCCAGACTGTTAGAGTTGAAAATACATATTAAAGTCAGGATGACTGCCAGATAGAATTTAGCATTTTCATAGTTTAAAAAAAAAAGTAATTTCCTTAGCACAATAAATTCTTCTCCTTCTTTTCACACCCGCTATCTTTTTCTTTTATTGACTATATCTTTCAGGGGAAATTGCAGACATTTAAAATTCATTTTGGCTCCAATTAAATGTTTGTGTTACTTTTCTCTATAAAAAAGCCCCACTGGCAGGCATCAAGTATAGGGAGAGGTTGTCATGTGACACCACGCTGTATGAGAGAACACTCTGGAAAGACTCTATCCTCAGTATGCCTGCACTAAAGCTTATGCCACATTACCCTTTCAATCTGCTCTTCTTGCAATGTTTTTCCTACAGAGGGAAGACAGGAAAAAGAAATGGGCACAATGACATTTCTGCTCATCTCAACTTTCTCCCTGCTTTTCAGTTTAAAATGTCAACTCCTGCTTTACAAAAGAGAAGATCACAAATACCAAGGCACATGACCATTTATTAACGTGGAAGAAATGACTAGGCAGAGGTGACAAATATATCCTAGGCAAAATAATTCAATGCTATGGAAGGTGGAGATTATTTCTAATCTCCATACATTGGACTTTCAGTGTCCTGTATAATTCTGTAGAACATCAGAAAACAAAACTAGCAACAAATTTAAAGAAAGCTCTAGTTTTTAAATTTTTATTACTTTTGCTTTCTTTTTAATTTGCAGATCTCAGAGGATTAGAATTTGGCCCTGATAGCAAAGTGTAAAAGTATAGCATAGGCACAGCAGACGAAATGGTAGATTACTCTATTATTAGGAAAAGATATTTAGAAACAGACTATTTCTTATTAAAAAACCAATGATGAAACTTCTGTTTATAGTCCCAGGGGCTGAGAAAAGCAGAAATATTAACAACGAAGAAGCACAGGGAAGACAAAAACATTCTCTGGCCCATTCTAAATGGGGCCCCCCTTTCAGTGAGAAAATGTGGTCAGACTGAATTCTGTGAAGGGTCATACTGGTGAAATTACCAGGGCTAGTTCTGGAAATTTCTGATTCTTGAAGAGCCTAAGGGCCAAAGCAACTCACTGGTTTTTCAGCTTATGTTTAAGATTTCCTAGGAGCTTTATCCTATATCTACAGATAACACAATTACCAGTAAGAGACTTTTAAGTATGTGCATTTGTGATTGTTCCTTTTAGATTACTGGAGACCTAATTATTTCCATAAGGAAGTAAATCATTGAAACAAAACATATCTCATTTTAAATGCAAAATTAACTTTAATTTTCTAAAGCAAAATAAGTATGACTTGACTAAACATGTCATTCATAACAAGATTTATCCTGGAACAATTGCTATAAAATCAGGTATCATTATACCTCAGAGAGCAAAATAAGAGTATTTTCCAGGTGTATGAGACAAGATCTTCCCGGCTCATTGGAAAATGTGCCTGACATTGAAAGGAATATTTGTAGTTTTAAGTTTTTAAAGCAATATTGAGAATCACTATTCAGCAATTTATAGTATTGTCCCAAATGATGTAAAAATTGTAAATTATAAATAAAACAAAAAAAGGACTAAAATCCACCCACACACAAAAAAAATAGCTTTAACTTAAACACCCATTTAACATTATTATGCTGTGTCTATGTTTAACACACAAATGGGAATAAATGTAAAAGGATTTATAGTTATTTAAACAAATGGAATAGCTTTGTAAAGAATGCAGCATGATGCAGCCCTACCATTTGGCAAATTTTCTTTCTGAATGGATAATTATTACCTAACAATAAACAACTGAATGATTAAAAATTGCAGATGTTGAAGTGCTTACATTAAAAACTACTAGATTCACTCTTTACAGTAAACCCAGACCACAGTTACACCTGTCTTCACAACAGAAGGAAGGGCCATTAAAATAAATCTGGTCACTTTACAGTCCATGGCATAGAATATTGATAAGTTACTTTGACAGAGCTCATCTAAAGAGCTGTTGGTTATTTTCATCATTTGAACCTTAACATCTTAAATTCTTAATTTCACAAGTTAAACTGAGCCCTTATATCTTAAATTCTTAACTTTACAAGTTAAAATTAAATATATTTTGCAGATAAAATTAAATATTTTAAGTTTTAGACGATGCGTTCAACTTCCCTCACATATGTTGATATTTTTGTTTTAAAGACAACCAACCCTAAAAACTAGTAAGCAGGAAATTCAAAGAGAATCACTATGATGGGGGTTGTTAACTTAAATCCAAAAAAGGAGTCTGTAAGTGCTTCAGGACATCTAGGAAATGGTATGCAATTTTTGAATGGATGTGTATGTTTCTAAAGAACTTTCAAAGGGGTATGTGAATCCAAAATACTTAATAACTGCTGCATGTGAATTTTTTTTTTCATGAGGCATAAAGAAGGAGTTGAAAAAACAGTTTTAAACTCTTGGCATAATTTTCATCTTCAGCATCAAGTCATAACAAATCCAAAGCCTCGCTCTGTATCTTTGTTAACAACATTCATTAAATGTAACTTACATTTTCTAAAATGTTTTTTAATGCTATTTTACCTGTGGTGACTGATGGCAAAACGGGTTGGTAGGTTTCTGTCCACCAACAGCTATACAGTGATGAAGAGCTATACAGTGATGTGGCTAGAGTACAGCAATGATGAAATCACTTGTAAACAAACCAAATCTGCCCTGAGCAAATTTAACGTTCAGTGGGATACACAAATACATGAACGATCATTCACAGATGATTATGGGATTGCATAAGTAGGAGATTCTGTCTAGAGAATAAATTTCAAGAAAATGTCATTTCTTTGGTTTCTAAGGGGCTCCACTAGAGATCACAGATGATTAACCTGAATTATGATGCCACATTCCTTTTAATAACTTGTGTATTTTGTGATTAAAATGAATACTAATAATTAACCATCTAGATACCTAGAGATACTGATAAATCTACTTCTGTGTATATTCAACAGACCTCAAAAGTCTTTATTAAACATGGTGGAAGGGATTTCCAGGATAACTCAATTTCTGAGAAAGCAAAACAAACTTCTAACAAGTCTCCTGAGATTTGAAAAATCACTATCTTTACTCATACAGACAACTTGGCCCTTGATACATTAGATTCCAAGTTGAACACTGTTTGGATATGCCTACCTTGCCCTTTGTGTTCGCTTACCCTTGGTCTGTTTATAATGCTCTGTACCATAAAGACTACAGGGTTGCCTGCTTTCCGAATGGCTTCCACAGCTTGTTCATGGCTTGCATCTCTGAGGTCCATTCCATCCACCTGCAATGGAAGGCCTCAGCTTAACATTTCAAGAATCTATAGAACAACAAAAAAATGTGTGGATATGGAGTTTTAGGGATACTTGGTTAGACTCCTAGAAAATCTGTTTTAATATCAAAAATAATTGAGACTACATGTGAAGCTGCAGAACTTTCTGTCTGTCCAGCAGACTTGTGGTCCCTTGCTTTGGACACATATCTCTGTCTCCAATAATCAGTTCAAGACATAATCAATTGAAATGAAGGCTCTGCTTCTGCACTCCTTACATTGCTCAGCTGCTCCTTTAAATTAAAAAAATCAGTATCATTAACAAAATTATATGAGGGAACTATCTAGCAGCACTGTCTTCATCATGAAAGTCACTGTACTAATTTTCTTCTAATTGACTATAGGGTGGTTTGGGAAGTAAGGGGTGATGCCTTGTATAATTTTCTCTGTACAGGGAAGCTTGAAGTTCAAAACAAAATTCTGATATCCAGAAAAATCAGATAATGGTAAGGTTAGTTTTGCAAAAGAATCCTTGCAGTAGATATGACAGGAGCTGGAAGCTAAGAAATTGTGTTTATTTGTTAGTAATTCTTATATAGTTTGACAATGAAAGTTATTTTGTAAATTTTATTGATCATGGTTTGCCTGAGTATTGATCAACTCAGCTTACACACTTTATGAATAAGAAGGAAAATAGTTTAAAAGGCCAAATGCTAATTCTGTCAGAAAACTATAGGATGTTAGTATCATTTTATCATTTCCAATTACCATGTTATGATATATACAACAAAAGAGTAAACCCAGAGTGGACACAACTCTAGAAAAGAACATTATTAGATCTTTGCATAGAACATTATTATCTTTAAAAGAATTATATAGATTTAGATAAAAACCTCCCTCAGGTTGATACTTAGATGACAATATTTTTTTCAGTGCATATTAAAATAGCTTCTAACTTTTTTGTAGAACAAAAGTCAGTATTCACATCTACCATATGTCTACTATATATTCCATTCGTGGAAAAATTTAAAAGGATGTTAATTATCTTTGCTCAAGACCAAAGTATTCCAAATTTGCAGATCTGCACTCACCTAGTCTATATACATTTTGAGAAACTCTTAGCAGAGACACGCTTTAGAATCCTCAGGATTACAGAGGACTGAGGCTTCCTACATACTAGAAAAGCCCTTGCAATATGGCACAAATCATTGCTAAATTGCATACAGTATTTTAAAACGCACAAAAAAGTTCTTTCTTTTCCATTTCAAAGGTGAACTTTAACTTTTTAAATATATTTAAACAACATTTGAGAGCAAATTATGACCATTCTTGTCTACAAAAAAAAAAAAATCTCTTTTGCTATTTAGGTCAAAGGTATTTAATAGTGAGGTATGCATAAAATAAACTTCTTAGTGACAATCCAAAATTTGAAATTTTAGGTAGTGTCCTAAATAAAAGAGTTCGTTAAAAGGGGTCTAAGGTATCATCTAATGAAAGAATGCAGGAGAGAGAAAAAGCCTATCACTCTTCCTTATAAACGGTCATCAAAAAAAAAAGGACATGGTCCCTGTTTTCGCTCAGGTCCCAATCTTCTTCCGTCTAAGGCTCTCAAAGACAGCCAGTCAATGAAGGAATCAATCAGTCATCAAAACGTGCATTTAAAGTCATGGTTGATATGTTATAATCTTCTTCTAAACAAAGTCTTCCAGTGTGTAAGTTATATGGGTTTAGAAAATGAGAGTCACTTGTATAAAGTAAATATAATGGTCATTACAGTGGTAATAAAATTGTCTTTATTTGCAAGTTGTCTCTTTTAGTCTACTCTGTAAATCCTGAAAACTCAGAAAATCTAGGTCAGGTACTCCTTTCTCTATCCTTCTAAATAAAATTATGCTTATCCCAATGAAATAATTTATCACACTGTTCTGAAGTGACTTGATTACTTGTCAAGTCTGTCCCACTTGGCAGGCAGGCACAGTGCCTTGTTTACTGTGGGATGCCCAGAGCCTGTTATAGCACCTGGAATGCAACAGCTGTTCCAGGAATATTTGTTGAGTAAATGAGTGAGTGACTTATGAGAGGAGAGTCTATTTAAAATATTGAACTTTGCTTTGAATTAAGAGATTACACACAACTTGACATGCTTCTAACACATAACAAAATGCACATACATGTGCACACACATGCACACAGGCACACATACAGAGCCTTCATTGATGAATGAACACAGCACTGAAAAGGAGCGAGATCCTGGCTTCGACTGAGAAGGATTTACATGAAAGGTAACTGAGGTGTCAGCATTAAATATTTTACTAAAAAAGACTCACTTGGAAAAAAAAAACTCATCCAACAAAGTTTATCTGCAATGAAATGATAATAAAGTACTTATTGAAATAAAATCTCATTAACTTAATTATATCTACATTTTTGTGTGTACATATACATATATTGTATGTCTAATGTAATCTTAATTCAAAATTTTTCCCTGAGAATTGTGCTTTGTTCTTTCAAACAGAACATAATTATTTTACCTTGGAGCCATTTTTTTTTAAATGGTTGGCTTTATCTCCAAACATCAGTCTCTATATCAAAACATATAATCTGTCATTATATACATAAGAGAAAATTACGTATGAAAATAAACAAATAAGAAAGAAATAATTTATCCACACACACATTTTACTCGAATGCTGGGTTGAGTAACTAGTATGAAGATGACAATTCCCTCGGTACAAAGGGTGGAGCAGGTGAAAAATTTTAGCACATGTACCCTAAAACTTAAAGTATAATAATAGTAAAATTAAAAAATAAATAAATAAAACAAAACAAACAAATTTTAGCACAGAAAGCTCACTAGAGGGTACCTCTACGATTCTATCTCCAGGTTTCAAGGTTCCATTTTTGCCAGCTGGACTATCTTCCAGAACATGTTTGATGAAAATGCCCCTCATCACTTCTCCATTGCTTAGCCGACTCCCCATCCCTCGTCCACCAACAATGCTGATGCCTAAGGATTTGCTTGGTTCTCTCCAGAGTTCCACCCTAAAAAATAAATAAAATTTTCAACTCTTAGGAAAAATCATAAGGGTAAAGCTTCATGATGCTGAATTTGGCAATGATTTCTTATATATAACACCAAAGGCACAGAGAACAAAAGAAAAAATAGATAAAATGTACTTTATCAAAATTAAAAACTTCTGTTCATCAAATGATACTCTCAATAGAGTAAAAAGGCAACCAACGGAAAGGAAAAAAGTATCTGCTAATAACATATCTGATAAGAGATTCATAAGCTGAATACAAAGGGAACTTCTAAAACTCAACAACAACAAAAAAACAAGTGGTATAAAACATGGGCAAGTGTCTTGAAGATACATAAATGACCAATAAGCACATGAAAAGATGTTTAACATCACTAAATATTATGGAAATACAAATCAAAAGCACAGTAAGATACCATCTCACATCCAACAGGATGGCTACTACCTACTAAAAACACACACACACACACACACAAATTAACAAGAATGCAGAGCGTGTGAAACCCTTGTGTACTGTTGGTAGAAATGTAAAATCGTGTAGCTGCTATGGAAAAGAGTATATAGGTTCCTCAAAAAATTAAAAATAGAATTATCATATGATTCAGCAATTCCACTTGTGGGTATTATACCCAAAATAATTCAAAGCAGGATCTCAAAGAAATATTTATACACCCATGTTCACAATAGTCAAGAGGTAGAAGCAAACCAATTATCTATCAAGAAATGAGTAGATAAAATACTATATACATTCAATATTATTCATCCTTTAAAAATGAAATTCTGAAACATACCATAATATGAATAAACCTTGAAGACATTATGCTAAGTGAAGTTAAGTCATCTAAGTAAAATAAAGGACAAATGTCATTTAATTTCACTCATATAAAGTACCTAGAGGTACCAAATTCATAGAGACAGAAAGTAGAATGGTGGTTGCCTGGGATGGGAAGAGACAAGAAAGGGGAGTTATTGCTTAATGGGTATGGAATTACAGTTTTGCAAGATGAAAAAAGTTCTGTAGCTAGACGGTGGTGGTGACTGTAGAGCAATGTGAATGTACTTATGCCACTGAACTGTACACTTACAAATGGTTAGGATGGCTTAAAATAATAATAAAAATATTTTAACACAATGGAATAAAATGTCATATATGTTAATTTTTACAAATATTACTTTGCTCAATTTATTAAGGTTTTACTAGTAGTAAAACAAAGATAGTTTAAAATACCTTCTCAATTATGTGTCTTATAGAATCTGATATTAATGTATTTCTGAAAATGATTTGTTATAAGTAAAACTGGACTCATACTCCAGGCTGTGGCACATACCAGTGTAAAAGGATGATTTTACAGGATCTTAGTATTACATATATTAAGTAATCAAAAAAATCAGCTACTGCTAAACAGATAGCAGCTTCTAAGCTTAGCAACCAAATCAAGGGAAAGAACACTCCTGCACACACTATGTCACAAACCCACCTCTGTAGAAGGAGAAGTCATTCTTGCCAAGGCAGACCTGGTCACTAACAGTCAAGACATGAAGAGCAGTGACTGCCAAAATCCTACAGGATATGATTCTCTCACTACCTCCCTAACCTCCCCTGCTGATATGGTTTGGCTGTGTCCTCACCCAAATCTCAATTTAAACTGTAGCTCCCACAATTCCCACGTATTGTTGGTGGGACCCGGTGGGAGGTAATTGAATCATGGGGGCAGGTCTTTCCTGTGCTTTTCTCATGATAGTGAATAAGTCTCATGAGATCTGATAGTTTTATAAAGGGGAGTTTCCCAGTACAAGCTCTCTTCTCTTGTCTGCCACCATGTGAGATGTGTCTTTCACCTTCCACCATGATTGTGAGGCCTCCCAAGTCACGTGGAACTGTGAGTCCATTAAACCTCTTTCTTTTGTAAATTCCCCAGTCTCGGGGTACGTCTATATCAGCAGCATGAAAACGGACTAATATACCTGCCATGGGCTCTGTACTTTCCTCTCTCCACTCTAGCTACCACATCATCTCCTTACTATTCCTTAAGTTCATCTGGTATGCTCCCGCCTTGGGGCCTCGGTGCTTGCTAATTCCTCTGTCTTGAACACATTTCCTATACCCACAAAATAAAGACATGAATTCATATGTAATAACTGCAAATAGCTGTAAGCGCTATGAGTATATTTAAAGCACATACATCTTGTGAAAAAGCAGGATGTAAGAAAGAGTAAGGTGATTTGCAGTGAGGTCTTTGGCCTAGATGAGTCAGAGTTCAGGGTGTTGGAGGAAAATCGACGAAACAGAACTTTAAGGAGATGATGAGACCCTGCAATCTGCTCCATGCTGCACAAAGGAAGACAATGTTGGACATTAAGTAGGATAAGACAGCATTGTCAAACATGTCTTCAACACTGACATTTAAGGAGTTCCTAGAGAAGAGGAAAGGTTGAAGTAAGGAATCCTGCAAAATGATTGAGGTAAGAAGAGGCTGGGAATGAAAGAGCACCACAAAGAGGAAAGGATGGGAACCAGCTGAAATGAAAGCAGACACTGAGGCACATCTTCCTTTGGCCAGTAACTCTTTTTCTTGACTGCAAATCTATAACTCTAGAAACTCTACCTGTTTAGTTTAAAACGACCTTACCATGATCCTTGATCTTATAAAATTTTTGTGAATAAAATAGTTAAAATCCCATTCATTGTTTTCTCTTACTCCAGAAATTCTGTGACAGAAAAGAACCAACATCCACCATCCTTCCCTATTTTTGTTTGTTTTTGTTTTTGTTTTGAGACAGGGTCTCATTCTGCAGCCCAGTCTGGAGTGCAGTGGCATGATCATAGTCCACTGCAGCCTTGACTTTCAACCTCAATGTCCTGGGCTCAGGAACTCCTAAGCTCAAGTAATCTTCCCATCTCAGCCTCCCTAAGTGCTGAGATTATAGGCATGAGCCACCACAACTGTCCCTTCCCTGTTTTCTTAAAGCAGTTCCTAAGGCAAAGTGGCAAATGAGTTAGTAAGTTTAGCCATTGTACATATAGTACATTTTACATATAGTAAGTTCAGCCACAAGTGTAAATATTTAACAACCCAGAATACATAGGTAGGACTCCTTAACTCTTTTCTTAAGAATAAAAAATAAAATAAAATAAAAAAGAAAGAAGGAAAGAAAATGTCTCCAAGGGCTCTTTATGTTTGGTGCAAATTAGAAAGTGATTCTTATGACTTCTTGAGTAATACAGAAAACATAAGTAACAGCAAATGTTTATTAAGGGTTGTACCATGTCCTCAGTATTATTCTCTGAGTAAGTTACATATACTTTCATTTAATTTTCACATCATACCTATAAGGTAGACATTCTTACTGGCCCCATTTTACAAAGAAGAGAAGAGACACAGAGAGGTTAAGTAACCTTTGGATAATAGCACCTTTGCTCTCATAGGGTTTGGCACAGATAGCAAAATACCCTCCCTGGAAGTAAAGGTTGTAAATCCTTAAAACAATGAAGAAGGTAATCAAAGACAGAACTGCCAAAATGACACAGTAATGAGAAACCAGACTCATTTATTCACTGAACAGACAATAGAAACACAGTGAAAGAAAAAGGAGGCCTAGAAAAGAAACTACAGAATATGTTCATTTCAGAGATCGTTATGTAGGGAAAAAAAAGGCAGCCTATTTGAGTTTTATACATAGGTTTAAAAAGAATGAAATTCAGGAAGACACAGGTAAAACACAGCTCTGAGGCCAGACTGCCTGAGCTGTGAACTGAGTCTCTGGGTTCCAGTCCTGCTCTTTTGCTACTTAATGATTATGTGACACAGGGCATTTATTTAGTCTCTGTCTTACTTTCCTCAGCTGTGAAATACAGCCAACAAGAGTCTCTACACAGAGTTTCTGTGAGGATTAATTAATACATGTAGGGTCCAAAACAAAAGCTTTGGCACATAATAAGCAATTGATAAATCTTTTATTACTAGTTATGATGGTGGTGGTTGTGGTGGTGATGAAGGTGATGATTACTGCAGTAATGAAAGCAAGATATGAAACTGAAACTCAATCCATACAACAAATGAGCAAATGTTCACCCTATCTGATCAATCCTGTTATACCTACCACACCTTGTTTATTGAGAAAGAGTACCATTTTCCACCCATTAGATTGACAAAAAACTTTTTAAAAAATGATCATATGATGTGGTAACAAGAATGTGGGGAAAAGGGAACATTCATATATTGGAAATAGAAATAAAAATTGGTATAGCAGCCAGGTGTGGTAGCTCATGCCTGTAATCCCAGCACTTTGGGAAGCCAAGGCAGGTGGATCATGAGGTCAAGAAATCGAGACCATCCTGGCCAACACGGTGAAACCCCATCTTTACTAAAAATACAAAAATTAGCTGGGCATGGTGGTGCGCACCTGTAGTCCCACCTACTTAGGAGGCTGAGGCAGGAGAATTCGCTCTAACCTGGGAGGCAGAGGTTGCAGTGAGCCAGGATCGTGCCACTGCATTCCAGCCTGGCAACAGAGTGAGACTCTGTCTCAGAAAAATAATAATAATAATTGGTATAGCAACCTTAAAAAGCAATTTGACAACTGAAAGTAAAAAATGCATATAAACTTACAGGCCAGCAATTCCAATTCCACTTCTGGATATATTCCCTAGATAAATTTTCATGTGTAAGTATAAAGAAATAAATATATTTACTGAACAGAATTATTATAATAGCAAATAACTATTAACTATCTAATATGAATCTGACAATGAATAAACTATGGTATATTCACATATTGAAATGCAACACAACAACTAAATTGAATGAATTAGATCTTTAAGTATCAAGCTTGATAGATTTACAAAACGTCAAGAATTGAGAGAAAAATTAAGCAAAATGGAAAATAATACATGTAGTAGTATATCAATTGTGTAAAATGAAAATCACATGCAAAATAAAATACAGCCCATTTTATAATCTTAAAATTTATATTTTGCTAAAAATTCTCTATTTTCATACAAAGTACATTTTTGTTGATTTCATGAATGACTGTCCCATCATGTTTTCAATGCTATGAACCATGTTCACAACACTAACTCCTAATTTATTAAAAGCTCTGGTTACTCCATTAAGCTTTCTTCTCATGTTCTATGAACTTCCCCTAGAAGTAGCTTAGTGAATCTAGGAGAACCACTACACTAGTGAGTACAGAGTACCTTCTTAGAAGGATTTATGGAATCTTTGGAGGTATTCTTCACGTAAGGTTGTTAGCACCTTTAGAGCTATCTTAGGATTGCATGAAGGTTAAAAGCATAAAAATTTTCCAGTCCAGAAGTTATGTTCTTCTTTCTCATAAGAAAATTTCATGATTTCTGTGTCAAAGGCTTTCTCTTTGCTTAGGTACCAGTGACAAATATTTTATCAATATAGACAAAGCCAACCACTGACTCACTATGTGCCAGGCACTCTGCTAAGGATTTTAGATGACACTGAATTTTCCCCCAAATTCAAAAGATTCTATTATTAACCTCATTTTACAGATAAAGTAGCAGAGACCTAGCAGAGATTAAGAAACTTGTCTTAGAAAGTATCAGAGCCAAAATCCTAACATGGCTCTTACTGACACCAACCATTTTGCATACTGCCTTCTGTATTAATCCTTTTTCATGCTGCTGATAAAGAAATACCTGAGACTGGGCAATTTACAAAAGAAGGAGGTTTATTGTACTTACAGTTCCACATGGCTGGGGAAGCCTCACAATCATGACAGAGGCAAGGAGGAGCAAGTCACATCTTATGTGGATGGCAGCAGGCAAATAAAAGAGCTTGTGCAGGGCAACTCCCGTTTTTAAAACCATCAGGTCTCCTGAGGCCCATTTACTATCAGGAGAACAGCATGGGAAAGACCTGCCCCCATATTCAATCTCCCACAGGGCCCCTTCCACAACATGTGGGAATTATGGGAGCTACAAGATGAGATTTGGGTGGGGACACAGAGCCAAACTATATCACCTTCTAAAATCTACTTTTCCTCTCATAATATTGTTACTAAAACTGACCAACCTATCTTTTTTTCCTGTGATTACTGTCCTCCTAAAAAATTCAAGTTTATCACTATGACTACCTGCTACAAAACAGTTTCATTTAACTTATTTCTACCTCTATCCACAAATAAATAAGACACTTAACACCTCAGAATATATTTTCTGCCACAGATCTAGCACTTATACCCTGTTCTCAATGTAGGCAGCACTATAGAGAGCTTGGGATTTTTTAAGTGAGTTAAGTGACTTTTGATGAAATTCAAATAAGAAATTCATGTTAGATGGCTGGAAATACATGCTGCTTCTTTGAAAGCAACATAAAATAGTGTTTTTTATATTTTAAAAATATTTAAATGTGATGGCTGCAGGTTATCACTGGTGGGCAGGGGACGTCATTAAATTGCACTGGCATTTACGAATATTACAAATTCTTCTCTTGAGCATTTTATTTATTCACTATGTAACAAATATTAATGTTTACTGAACACAAAGCATCACATTGTGATGGTGACCTTTAGGTCTGTTTGGGGTGGATGTCCACTGATTACCTATGTTTTACTCTTAAGGTGAAATACCTTGTGTTCTTAAATTGTTTCATGTGTCTCTACATCTTGCCCAGCCAAGTACATTAGAGGTTCCTTGAGGCAGGATTTGCATCTTCTATTTATTTCCTTGTTATTCACAAAATCATTGGCTTTAAGTCTAGGTCCATAATCAGGACTCAGTAAATTCCTATTAAACTAAAGTTGATTTTACTCAGCATAAACACATCAGTATGTTTTAGTGATGCACGTGATACATCTAAGTATATTTGAGGATGTCATCTTATCTATTATACATGAAACTGGTGCTAGACAGATTATGACTTAGGATAAACTCAGCCTGTGGTAACAAGGCTATGAGGGTACTTTTACACACAAACACACACACACACACACACGTTCTGAATATATATGTTTGCCTATCTAGTTTCTACAAATGCTAGGTAAAATTTAAATGAATACTTTTTGGTATACCTAAGATAAAACTCTACAGAACGTATTATCCATTCCAACTACCTATGAATAATTTTCTTTAATTTAGTCCCTACTATGTGCCAGATATCTCCATATATGTTAGTTTTAACCCTGTGTGATACACATTATTCTCTCCACTGTATACATTAAAAAATGATGGGTTAGAAGTATTAAACAACTCACCCGATATAACAAGAAGCAAGTTGTAATCCAGTACTTGAAACCACACCTGCTTATCTTTAAACACTATATATCCATTGGGTGGACAGAAGACAGAAATAGTCCTTACCGCCTGGGCTGATTCCAATTGCTATATGCTGTGTTTTGAAGTTCGCTTTCTTCACCCTCTCCCTCTTCTCGCTCTGGTAATTCTGGAATGTCTCTGGTTAAAGAATTACACAATGAGTACCCCAAAATCCTAGTAAAAACATGCAAGATTATATGTACTCTACTATTGATTTAGCTAAAAATGCAGGACTGTTTTATGTTTTCACCATACATGGCCATAAGTATAAAATATTTTTACATCGGGGGGAAGAAAAACGTAACCAAACAAAATTAAAACCTTGCTTTAGAATCAACGTACCATAGCGTAGAGCTGAACACTAAGACTCTTGTCTAGTCTGTTTTTTCCTTGATGAGACATAGGAGCATAAAGGAAAGGAATGGGGAAAATAGGATAAATACCAAGTTTGTAAAGAAAACCCATTGAACAAGCATGTCTTAAATTCCTATAATGTGCAGGAAGCTAGAAGCACCATGTAGGTTTTAAGCATGTATGCACAGCCCTGAACCTTGTCCTGAATGAATTTCTAATCAAGTTTGCCAAGAGTTTAGTATCTCTGCTTCCTAAGGATGGACCAATGATTTTCTTTCCATTTTTGAAAAATTAAGTGAAAGACTTTGGTCCAGCTTCACCCCATCCAGAGGAACCTGGCACAGAATACTTCTTAATGGAAGAAGCAGTTTACAACGCGTCTGTGTTCAAGGTCACCTTCCGTTTATGTAGCAATTTAGATTTTGCCAAATGCCAGGCATGTAACAAAATGTGTCCAGTCTACTGATTGACTGTAAAGAAAACTGTACAATAATAACAACATCAAGAAATATTTTGTTAGTCCAAAGGAATACTTTGTATCAATAAATGAGGCTGAGAGGACAATAGAGAATGGTTAAACTGATTATGGCCTGTGCCTTGGCTGTTGGTAAAAATTGGATTTCTAAAGAAATATGTCCACATATTCCTCTTAAAGCAGAGAAGGCTATAAAAACTCTGATTCAATAAATGTTTTCAGTTGATATTTACAGAAACTGAAGAATCAAAAGAAAGTATGTAAAATTACAGCCATTCTCCCCTGACAGGAATACTGAACTGTCTCAACTGATATAATATGTTGAATTAAAGATCAGAAGTCATCTAATCCAGTCATCCATCTGAGCTTGAATGCGCTTTGCAACATTTCTGGCAAGCAAATGTCCAGGCTCTCCAAGAACATCTCATTCTTTCTTGGACCTGAATGTTAAGTTTTTGTTTTTAAGCTATTAGAATAAAATCTCTTTGCTATAGGTCCTACCCATTGGTTTTGTGTTTGAATTTCCCTCCTGTGCAATTAAAGAATAACGCCTCGAATGAGGGTAGGGCTCCTAGAGTCTAAGTCTGACACTAGGGTAGGACTGGTGGGAAGAGCTCCAAGAGGGAGATCCTAAAAACAATGTCAAAGAGTTGACAGAGAAATAGTAAAAGTGAAATCTTTGTCCAGAGGATGCAAGGCAGAGAGGTAAAAATTAGCCCTGACCTGGAAATACAACAGGACAGAGTATGACGAAGAAAGCAGAGTTAGAAGACAGACAAGAATTAGAACTTAGAAACAGTCCTTAAAATATTCAGTGACAGGCAGGGGATGGGGGGAGGTCCTTAGCCCTAAAGCCTAAGCAGTGAGAGCTATTCAGAAACACCGTAGCCACAATGCATCTTGCTTCTTCCTTTTTAGGTACAAGAAGATAAATATCCTGAATAATCCAATACAAGGACCCCAGTCTCTTCAGATGATTCTATAATCTTGAATCCTTTCGCAAACCCCATATATGCTCCTCTATAGGTGCTGATTATTGTTTACTCATCTTAGTGTGTGGTTTCAGGGACTCAAGTGTCATGTCTTCCTGCATGCACTCAGCCAAGAAAGAAGTCAATCAACTGCTTTTCCACTGTGTTAAACCACTGAATACCAACAAAAATGTTATCAACTATAATAAGTAGATCTCTTTATATCTGCAAATATGTACCAGGTAAAGTAACTGGCAGAAAGTCACATGGTGAGAAAGACACATGATGAGAAAGACACTGGCAGACAGCATAGGTGAGATTTGGATTGAGGCCATCTTACCATAAAACCTGAGCTCTTAACTTTCATGCTATGCTGCCACATATTTTTATATGGCACATGCTTCGTAGACTTGTGCAATTCCTTCCTTGCTTCCAATGGTAAGAACATGGAGTATGCTTACATTCTACACTTGGCTCTGGCATTAATTAGCTGCAGGAAAGTTACTTAACCTTTCTCTTGCAGATTGTTCCACCAAAAATGCATATCCATGTGTTCTATTTTAAGCATTCTGATATCCACAGAAAATATACTTTCTCTGCAGTGAAGCAGCTAGTCACAGCACAGGACAATCCAGGCCATCCTCTTGTCTGTGCTTGGAGGAAGCACAGTGCTCAAAGTGGCTTTCTTTCTAATAACTTTTGAGTATTTTAAGGCCCTAGAACTTAACAGGACTCAGATGTTACCTGGTGTATTCTTTAAGTAAGTCATTTGACACAATATTTCAGAGGGACATTGAAATAATTGATTTTACCAGTTTGACAGGAAGCACCAGGAAACTATAACCAACTCATGCCATTAACCCTACAATGGAAATCCTGGAGTGTGGCTGAGCTTTGTAAGTGTAAAGTAAATATAGGCGTCTCCCCTATCCCTCGTATCCTTGGGTCCAACATCCATGGATTAAACCAACAGCAGACCAAAAATATTTGGGAAAAAAATAGATGGTTGCATCTGCAAAATACATGTGCAGACTTTTTTTTCTTGTCATTATTAAAATTATATATATATATATATATATATATATATATATATATATAAAACAGGTACTTACATAGCTTTTACATTGTATTAGGTATTATAAGGAATCTAGAGATGATTTAAACTATATGGGAGAATGTGCATAGGTTATGTGCGAATACTACACCCTTTTATATAAGGGATTGAGCATCTGTGGATTTTGGTATCCATGGGGAGTCCTGAAACCAATCCCCAACAGATAATGAGGGACAATTATACTCCTTTTCCCATAATATTCATGAGGCCCCAAGGACCATGCCATTCCTTCCCTTTATTAAACAAATAACATACCTTCCCCTTCCCTGACACTTTCTGTATTCTGTAGTCATCTGTAATGTGCAGAGGAATCAGTGAAGCAAGATCACAATGAATGCAAGGTCACTGGAGACCGTGGTGTTCTGGGATGTTCTGACATCCTCTAAAGAATGGTACAACTCGACCAGGCATGGCGGCTCACGCTTATAATCCCAGCACTTTGGGAGGCCGAGGCTGGTGGATCACCTGAGGTCAGGAGTTCAAGACCAGCCTGGCCAACATGGTGAAACCTCATCTCTACTAAAAGTACAAAAAATTAGCTGGTCATGGTGGTGGACACCTGTAATCCCAGCTACTCAGGAGGCCGAGGCAGAAGAATCACTTGAACCCGGGAGGCAGAGGTCTCAGTAAGCCAAAATCGCACCATTGCACTGCACTGCCTGGGCAACAAGAGTGAAACTCCGTCTCAAAAAAAAAAGAATTGTAGAACTCTCTTCTGAGAAGACCTCAGAGTGCTTGCAAGGCCATTTCTGCTCTACCACATGCTTACAAGAAATTTGGTAGTCAGTTGCCAGCACAACTGAAAAACACAGGCCCACAACTGAGAGTGTAAAATGGTACATTCTTCATGGAAAAGCAGTTTGACATTATTTCTCTCCCTGATCTTGACTCAGTCAGCAGCAGCATCAAAACCCAGTTCCTGCCTTTCCTAAGAAAAAAGAAAACGTTCCCTTTATTATTTAAAGGCTCTTAATACTTTGTATATCAAGTGCCTTTAAAAAGCCAAACACTGTTTCCTAACATGCATATATGCTAACGGGTTCAGCTCAACATTCTCCAAAAGAGCAAGAAAATTACAAATAAAAAATGTTTCTGGTCTAGGCATGGTGGTGCATGCCTGTGAATCCCAGCACTTTGGCAGGACGAGGTGGGCAGACTGCTTAAGCTCAGAAGTTTGAGACCAGCCTGAGCAATATGGCAAAACCCCATCTCTACAAAAAATACAGAATTAGCCTGATGTGGTGGCACACACCTATAATCCCAGCTACCTGGGAGGCTGAGGTGGGAGGATTGCATGAACCCAGGAGGTAGAGGCTGCAGTTAACTGTAATGGCACCACTGTACTCTAGCCTGAGCAACAGAGTGAGGCTCTGCCTCAAAAAAAAAAAAAAGAAAAAAATTCTGAATTTGTATGCATGTTAATAAAAGAATAAATAACATTTCTGAAGAAGTTTGCTAATATTAAAAGAGTAAAAAAATCATACAATTTCTTACGTTCTAAGAAATTAATGGAATAATACTCATTTGGGGCAAATTATCAAAACTCAACATGTTAAAAGTGCTACATTGTGTGGTAAAATTAAATATTAATTTATTAATTTGAATATTTATATATTTCTCAAATTTTCCATACTATATAATAATTACTTATATAATTGAGGGAAAGGGAAGAATATTTTTTAAAATCTTGAAAGAGGAAAAGGATTCAGACCTTTTCTTTGCTCTAGTCCTCCCTGACTCTGAATTCCAAATTCTCTACAACTTGCTGTACCATTCATTGTATTAGATTTAATGTTTCACTTACCTGCCAGTGTATGAAGAAAAAATATCCAGTGCCATTACTCTTCCAGATTGTTGTCCCAAGCTTATTTTGAACTCTTCCAAATGTTCTGCAGGCACATAAGTAATTCTGGAACAAACCAGAATCCATGGAAGTGAAGGGAAATAATATTTTGCCTAATTGTTAGGAAAAGCTTCTAAAATAAAGGAAACAAATCATATTGTCCCTTTCTCCCTACTTTTTCATACAACTCATTTAATCAGTATATTCAGCAGAGAATCCAAACTTCAATAGGATAAAGTATTCTATAGGGAAGAGTAACAACAGAAACTAAGTTTTTAAATGCTGCTGATTAACTATGTGTTTACCAATCATCATGCAGAGAAGGAAAACAATTATTTATATTATCAAATGAAAAGGCTAACAACAATTTTTTTTAAATTAGGAAGATCTATAAATCCCTAGAATAATGATTGTCAGCAATAACATTAATTTTGCCCAAAGATTTCTGGGATCTCTAGCAGAAACAAATTAGGTATACTCTATTAAAATGCTGAATATCACAAATTACTTTGCATCTTTCTATAATACATAATTAATTCTAGAGATTAACAAGCATTTTCAATAATTATGTTAGCTCTATTAAGTTATGAACTCTTAAGTCTGAAGTATGAGATTAAACCATTTGAGTTTATGGAAAGACTCTTACTAATTTGAAGCAATTTTAAAAAATTCACTTTGGTCTCAAAGAAAAGACTACTATTTACACGTGAATGGCCATTTACTAATTCAACAAGTACTGACTGAATGCCTATTATGCGGAAGACACTGTGCCAGATGCTGACTCCTGCTGTAATGTTTAGAAACTGATAAATGAAAATTCAAGTCTACTGCTGTCCTGCTGTCCTGCTTCTGACATGGTGGACATACTTTTTAAAGTAAACTGTTTCAAGATCTTCAAATTAATGAATAGTAACATAAGAGAAATACTGTATCTGAACTCAATACAGCATGTTTGTGCAACTAAAAATTAGAAATCACAAAGATTATTAAACCCTCTGTCCATAATTTATCTGTTAAAATAATAAGTATACAAAACCTCAGCACTGGAGGGCAAAGATAAAAAGATTGTCTTTTATGTTGTAATAAAATAAAAATTTATACCAATGTCATAATTTACTGAAAGAGGAGTATACATAATTTCAAATATATTGGTTATTCTATAGAAAGCATTCACTCTTTCACTTCAAAGTGCGAGGTCACTTGGGTTTGGAGTCGGAAGACACAGTTCTGCTACCACGCAGAGTGTCATGGGGTAAATCACCACTGCTGAACCTCCATACCCTCTACCACAAAAAGGATGTCACTTTTGTGAAGCTACTGTAAGCTGAGGAGCACAATCCAAATAGAAGTGAGTGCTATCACAGGTCATCAGCTCTCCTGGTCATACTGATCACTTGGGCAGAATACATGGGGCCTCTGGGAATCTCTTCGTGACACTTTTACCTCAAAGGTCAAAAACTGAATCAAAGTACAGATCAATGGATTTAAGACTAGGCTAGCTGAAAAAGTTGCATTCCAATTCTGGCCCTATTTAATTTATTCATCTATAAAGACATCTTCTCTATGGTGCTACAAAAATATATTGAATAGCAAATTTGCTTTTAGCCCTTCAAATAATACATTATGTCAGGAAAGAAGACTGATTATATTTTAAACAATGAAAAAATAAAATAAAGATAAACATAAAACCTAAAATGTGAAAAGCTTATTCAAGAAAACTGGTATTATTCCTAAAGATTCAGTAAAACTCATATAAATAAAACGTAAGTTTAAAAAGCCAGGAAAAGGTCAGGGAAGAAAGGCAGGATAGAATAGCAAAAATAATAGCAATCAGTACGAAGTCTTTAATTTTTTATTGGTTTGAGAAAGAAGGTAAAGATGTTTCCATCCCAAACAATGTTAAAAATGAGTTTTTCTTTATATTTGTTCAAAGTTGTTTTTTATTTTACCGAAAGGTGAGGAGTGTAGGCATTTACAAATATTTTTCTGATACTTTGCATAGCAGTGAGAAAGAGTAGAGACGGTAGTTTTCCTAACTATTTAGCCACTACAGAGAGTGAGGCCACCAGAACAAGCATCCCACAATGCAACAGAACATGCAGAGCCATGCTAGCACAAGCCTGGTCACAGGATCATACAGAACTTCCAAATCGCCAGCAAAAATGCCAAAGCTAAATTATGAGCTGCGAGAACACACTGAAATGCTTATTTGAGAGTTGAATTAAAAATTCAAACTAACTTTTGGATACACATGGACTAACTTTTGGTTACACATGGACTAGAAGAAAAAAGAATACCATTAGAGATGCTGAAATGTGATATGGCTATTAATGCAGAGACTATTCCTGCACGTGCAGACAGGATCGTTCCCTTACAAAGGAGCTTGAAAGCTTCATAATTGGAAAATATGATTTTCAAATGAGTTCACAATCATCAGTACAATGTGAAAACGTAACAATCTCATAGCTCTGTTGGATTTTATGTTCTTACTTAAACAAAGAAAACAATCTAAAATGTATATACAAAATCTATATCTGGATCTATTCTTGCATTGGGACATTACAAAAGCACAAAATTGTTTTCACAGACAAGTTGTAACACACAGCCATAATGAGCTTTCGAATCACTGATACTCACACATAAAAGGGGGCTCGATCGTCAGCAGGTGCTGCAGAAAATCTAGAATGTGAAGCATACGCCGCGGCATCTTTTTACAATGGTGTTAACAAATGTCAATGTCTTGTGCTGAATGTGAGATGCATACATATGTAGTTAAAAGTGGGTGCTCCTGGTTGTTTTTTTTCCCCCTTTCCACCTCCCTCCCATCTACACCTCCCCCAGAAAAGCATCTGCTCTTTACTAGTGTCTATAGCAGTGATTATTAACAAGCATGAAAAAATGTAACTGCAATCAGTCTTTTATTCCTTGATCAGGAATTCATCCCACACTTTAGGTTAAGGCAGGTGAATTCTGATTCAGCTCAGTAATTATCTGGCAGATGTTATAAGCAGCTGCTGCTAAGCACAAAACCCTGGCTATTATTACAGAAATATAAGAGCTCCTGGCAAGGTGGAGGGAGAAGTGAAACAGAATGCATTCTGGTGAGGCTTCGCATCTGGTTTTCCATAGAAAATAATGAAACCTGGATCTTAAACTGGCTGTTCTTGAACTCTTGAAACTCAAATTATCTACCCATGCATGCATGAACACACACACACAAAAGTTCCTAGCTATCTATCGTAAATGGCAAAAAAGAAATCCAGTGCATTCTCTCAATAAGCAATGCTTTCCCTAAAACCAATCAGTTATGTAACTCAACCACAGTCTCCTTTTTTAAAGTTCCTACAATACACCCCTCCACCACCACCCAGATTAAGCTAGGTTCATAAAGAAAAATAATGAGAAAGAGATGTGGATGGAGCCTAGATCCAGGTAATGAGCACAAAGCTTAATGGGCCTGAGGCAATGTTATGGTTCTATTCAGAGTAATGGAAGGACTAAAAGTTCCTTTTGGGAAGATTATTCACATAGCTTTCAAGGTAATTCTAAACCTTTTGCTTCACGAAACAAGTGGTAAGGGCCAAAAACACTTCATGCAAAATGCACAGAACATGCTGCTCAGCCCTGGTCAACCTAAATGGCTCTTTGTGTTTTAAAATCTAACATATTTTTTTTTCTGAAAAAGCATTATGTAAGGATGATTTTAGTTTATTTTTATCATTACTCAATGAGTTAAGCTATAAGCATTTGAATCAGAGTATCTTTAAGGCATGTGAGAAGAAATCAACGTGTTTTGAATGTCTGCATGTGTGTTTACATACACGAGAGAGAGACTCACTGACTGAATGAATGGATGACTGATTTCCAGAGGAGGGAAGGTTGTACGATTTTTCTTCTTTTTAAAATAATTTAAGATTCTATAGTACATTTTGCCTCCTGAGATCCTAAAGCAAGTACTTATGAAGCTAGCTCTCTAGATACCCTTCATAGTCATAATAAAGCTTCTGCCCACATGATAGGGTAAATTCTGCTGAATCAGTGGGAGAGGGGAAACGGAAATACACAACAAAAAAATGAGGAAAGGGGAAAAAAGACTTTGAGCCTGAAAATGTACTTCAAAAGTTTTCTAGAGTTGACCAGATGCATGACTTATGCCAAACTGGTGTCACAATGGTCTTATTTTTTAACGACTTTTAAAGTTCTGCAGTACATTAGAACTGAGTGGTAGGGCTAGTACCAAGTACTAATTCTGGTGATCAGAATGCCAAAAAGTGGGCAGCAGACTGGTATCAGCACACACAGCATAAATGTACATCATGGCACAACAAATCAGATGAACAGTTACTAGTCCATCTGCATTTTATACTACATCTAATCCACATAAACTAAAACCCTGCGATAAATACATAGTCTCCACATGATCTAGTCATGGAACACTGGCCATAAGCGGTAAAGAAAACACTTGAAGTTTCTCTTTTCTTATGATAAAAGGACTGACATTTTTAATGATGTTTACTTGTACTCCAATTATTATAAGGCAGTTAAGGAACAGTAATATGATCTGATGATCTGTTCAACTGTAAACAAAAGTCAAAAAAGCATACACAAATATGAAAGCCCATTAGTGAAGATTTTGCCTAAAAATAATACTTTTTATATAAGACAGCGGAATCTGCTCCAAATGGTATATACTTTTCTTCTTTTTATTGACCACAGAATGAAAAACAGTCTGTACAGCTTTTGTTACCTAAGCCCTAGCAATACATACTTTGCAAAAGGACTAGTAATAGAGAATGTAGTCAGTAAAATAACATTAATACAAAAAAGTCCCCCATACTAGTAATCATTACATCGATTTTAGGTAAACAATCTTTCCCTGAGCTCTTATTTTATGATGTTATCCCTCATACATTAAAAACAAATATTCAATGATTAATGCTAGAGGAAAATGCCACATTGATGAAGTGTCACAATAAAGTAATGAGCTGATTTTTATGTTGGCTCAAGGAATGGTTAGTGACTTAAAAAACAAACCACATATATGATGTGCTTTTAGTACATTATGGGGTTATTGGAAATTTTAAGCACTTCCTGACAAAATATCCTCCATGACCTACAAACAGACCATATCAACATATTGGTCTATCCCCTGGGGTCATGAGATAGCTCAAGAAACGGTAAGTTTTGGGTCAGATGGACACTGTTTTATGTTGTCTTTTGCATGCCTGGCCCTTAAAGAACTGTCTTAGTTCTAGGATTCACACAGGTCAATTAGGTAGGGTACAATTCCTTATATCAAAGCCAATCCAAACATCTTTCCAAGATCCTAAAAGTGGGCCCTCTTGCTCTGTGAGAATCATTGCATCCCTCACTTCTATGGTTGTTGTAGAAATCACTGGAGAAGTATAATTAAAAATACAAAGCAACGTTTCCAAATTTTTAATACTGATATAGTCTCAAAGAAACTAAACTTACAATCGAGAACTACTCAAAAATAGTCAATTTCTTGAGTGATTTATGTTAAAAAAAATGTGATAACGTTTGCATCTCAAACAGAAGTGAATACTGAAAAAGAATTCTGATTAATTGAAATTCCTGAATTTCCCAAGTTAAACTGGGCTTCAAATGATACTTACTTTATGTCAGGGCCAATGAGAGAATGTCTTCTCAACATAGCTCGTGCCTGGGCATTGGTTACACTGATGGTAGACTCTTCATTAATGGACAAGATGCAGTCCCCAATGGCAATCCGGCCATCTCGACTAATGGCACCTCCATGAATAATGCTTCGAACGATCATCCCCAAGCCATCTTTATTAGCACTAACTGTCATTCCTACAGGAAAAGAGAAATGCAAATATAATTAAATACATGATTTTTCAATTCATTTTAATTTGAATTTAATAATTTCTATGATTTATAGATTAAAAAATACAAGTAACATTTCAGTCAATAAAAAGCATAGCAAAAACAGGAAAAAGTGTTTCTAACAAAAAATATTTTTAAGTAAATTGTAAATGTTTGTGAAATTGTATATAGTCAATACATTATAAACAAAACAGATCTACATTGTGGAATGAATGTAATTTAGACCATGTGATGTGCTGACCCCTTGAATAGAAAGGTCTCTCAGGGAGAGTACTATGATAGTATCAAATCAGTTTTACAATATTAGTTCAGCTTTTACACATAAAAGAGAATAAAAGGACTACAAAAGGAAAATTCATCATGTAAATTAAGCAATTATCCGCTATTACCTTAATTCTTTATCACTTGTTTATTCAGGATCTATTTACTATATGGCTAATATGTGCCAAGTACTATGTTGGTTGCTTAGGATAACAGCATAGCACAGAATTCCTAACATCAAGAAGCCTGTATTGAAGTCTTCATACCTGGAGCCTACCACAGTGGTGTGGGAAAGTATAACAGTTTGTTGAAATGAATTTATATGAACTTAATCTATTTCCATTTTATCTCTGAACTTCTTTAAGCTTCTAATTTGGATATTAAATTGCCCTCTTTTCACATCCCCTGGATGTCTCACAGGAAATGCAATCTTAGCATGTATAAAATTGAACCTGCAATTTTTCACCTCACTTTATTTCTCCATTTTTCTTCCCTTTTTTGGTAAATTGCACTACCACACTACCCTCCATTATTCAAAGTAGAAATACCGGGGTCTTTCTTGATGCATACCTCTCTCTTATCCCCTATATTTAATCCAACACCAAATCCTGTCATTTCTATCTTCAAAATTTATCTTGAATCCATTTACCTTTTTCCATTTAGACACTAACTCCAGACTAAGGCAACACCTTCTCTTGCCTGACTTTTTGCAAAAGCCTCCTTCCTAACTGGTCACCTGCCTTCCATGATTGTCTCCTTCAATGCATACTTCCCTCAGAAGACAGAGAGGCCATTACAAAAAAAAAGACAAGTAATATCCTATCAGTCCCTTGGCTGCAACTCTTCAATAGTTTCCTGTTATAGTAATACACAACATACTTGCTCAGCACAGTCTGTAGGACAGGGGTACACTGGCCTTTGCAGTGTGCATCCTTGCTTTGTGTTATGTCCTTCTTGGTTCCCTAAGTTCTAGCCACAAATGCATCTCGTCTCTGTCCGTTTTGAAGTCTTTGCCTGACACCTTCTTTCTGCAGCTCTTGCACAGCTAACTCCCTCTCACTCTTCAATATCACTTCCTCAGAAAGTCCTTCTCAACAGACTCTATCTGAATTAATGTTCCCTTTGCATCCTATCCTCATTCTATTCGTTGAAAAATATAAAATCTTATAAATTATATTTGAAACTTTGCAAAAATAATGTAAGTTCACTTAAAACGAAGTGCTGAAAGTTTCTTCCAAAACAAAATTATATAATTAAACAAGCTATGGAGAGATATAAAGCTACCAGGGTATTTATAAAAACTTTTCTTTGACAGATGTCACAAATTCCTTTTTAGGTTTTTATATATTTAAAAAATGATGTCTTTCCAAATATTAATTCTACTCATACCAAATTAGATATGATATTTCAAACATTTTAAAAAATGATTCTGATTTTGTTTCTAGCCTAATATTTCATAGTGGATGTGGGCAATTCAGGCTCCTACTTACTGTTTTCTGATAGAAATAAAACATTTTTAAATGTACTTAAAATATTCTGTTAAGACTCATACTAACGATTTTGAAGTGTATTGTTAAGAAGACACCTCTGCTTACCATAAAACAATAAGATACCGTTTCGGGTGAGAAAAAAGGCTGAATCTGAAATTTTTCAAAAGGTACTCCATTTTGTACTGTTAAAGCCAGCCTTCCCACCAATACCCACAATATAACTGTACTTTGGTAAAATAAAAATGTGTCAGCACAAAGTAAAATTTAACTCAGTGGATCACAGTGGGAATCTAACTTACCATCTTGTTCTTATTAGCACCATGCAGACTACAATAAGGCAAGACACAGACATGGAACCTATCATGAGCTATGGCCAACATGATCTCTGAATTCACTTTTAATAGCATATTTAACTCACGATTCTCAGCTATTAAGGCTGTCAGGTCACATCAACCATGTAAACCAAGAGGTCAACATCAGTTAGCTGAGCTTATACTTTCCTTTCACCAAATGACAATTTTCCAGGTGCAATAACTTGGAGGTAATCTCCACTAACCAGATTTTGGTTGTAACTTGTAAGATCTCTCAATTTTTTTCCTGGAAGAAGTATTAAAGAATATCCCAAATCCCAAATCCCAAATCATGTGCTTTGTAAATAGAGAACTGGTTACAAACCTGAATTCCACCACTTCCAATCAGCACAAGCTTGCAACTGACTTAACCTCACACAGAGCCTCAGTTTACTTACCTTTAAAAAGGGATGACATTTACTCTTAGGGTTGTTTAAAGAACTAAGTGAGAAACACATATGTAATAGTACTTTGAAAATACCTGACACAAAGTGTACGACAAAATTTAGTCACAAAACTAAAAACAAAACAAAACTCATAAAATATGTTTAAAATGCATCTCTCCCCCAAATCAAGGTTACATTGCTCCCTAAAGACTAAATGCAAATCTTAATTCAGCTTCAAAATGAAGCCTGTTAGTACAACAATCATAATGTGCCCTTGGGTAACTCAAGTACTGAATGTATTGTACGGTCTATGTGAAAATCAGAGATAGACAGGCTTGAGTTCTGACTCTACCCCTTTAAGGGTTGAGTAATTTCAGAGAAACTCCTGAGTCTGTCTATGTTTCTGTATCTAATCAGTGAAGGGAAGATAAAGACTTCCTTTCTTTTCCCCTGAAGAACCTTGTTTTTTTACCTTCAAGTCCAAACACCACATTATTAAGCAAGGGACCACAGACTTATCAAAAAGCATCAAGATTAGAATTTTTCAAAGGTCACTATATGCACGTGTATATTTATTAATGTATCTGTATTTCTGTATATATTTTCACTCTAAATTTAACAAAATTCAAAAACCCAAATGATTCATGAAATCAAAACAATGGATTATGACAGCCTTTACAGAAAGCTGTCATTTATTAATAACTTCTTCTGGTCATCACTAGACAAAGAAAAAATTAGCCACAAAGCTAAAACTGCAAACAACTGCATATAGCTGATTAAGGGGAGACTATGAATCTAAGAAAATGAGCTCATTGATAGACCTCTTCATAATATACTTTTCCACTAGCACAAACCCAGCCTCTATTTAGACTTCCTAACATACTATTTATCACACTTTTTGTTACTTTAAGTTATACAGCCAAAACCTTCCTACACTAAAGCTTAATTTAATGCTTTAATATTTACATAGATTTTTCAAGATTCCTTTACATTTAGTTATTCGAAGTGCTATAGAAATCTGAACATTTAGCATCTCCTCTGAAATGAGGTAACAGAGTAATGTAATGTTGTTGCCTTGGCATGCAGTAAATTTTAACTCCAAAATGCCAGAGGAACCTCACTGGGTCCCAGGAAATCAAAACGCCAGGGAGAAAGCCCTATAAACATATTGGGCATAGCATATCAATAATGGAAATGAAGCAGAAAAGTTAAACTAATTGTGATTTACACTTTTATATTACAGTGTGAATGGTAAACTAATGGTGCTGTGATTTCACACTTAAATGTCTTACTTTGTTTTTTGTTTTTTTTTTTTGAGACGAAGTTTTGCTCTTGTCACCTAGGCTGGAGTGTAGTGGCACGATCTCGGCTCACTGCAACCTCCACCTCCCGAGTTCAAGGGATTCTCCTGCCTCAGCCTCCTGAGTAGCTGGGATTACAGGTGCCCACCACCACCACGCTCAGCTAATTTTTTGTATTTTCAGTAGAGACGGGGTTTCGCCATGTTGGGCAGACTGGTCTTGAACTCCTGACCTCAGGTGATCCACTCGCCTTAGCCTCCCAAAGTGCTGGGATTACAGGCGTGAGCCACCGCGCCCGGCCAAATGTTTTACTTTCACTAAAAAAATGACAGGGCTCTTTTATACTTTAATTTTAAAGTCAGGCTGTTGAGGGAGGTTTAAATGGGTTTCTAGATGTGATGGAAAGGAAGGACACTTCTACCTTTCACTGTTTTCTTCCAATAACTTAATTAACCTAGTATATTTTATATCAAAACTTAAAAACTAAGGTGGAAGCAACTCAAGTGTCCATCAGTAGATGAATAAATAAACAAAGTATAGTGTATACATACAATGGAATATTATTCAGCCTTAAAAAGGAAATTCTGACACATGCTACAACATGGATGAACCTAAAAGACATTATACACAGTCAAATATGGACAAATACTGTATGATTTCACCTACATGAAGCATTTCATCAAATTCATAGAGACAGAAAAATGAATGGTAGTTGACAGGGGACTGGTAGAGAGAGCAATGGGGAATAATTGTTTAATGGATACAGCGTTTCAATTGGGGAACCCAAAAAACGTTCTGGAGATGGATGGTGATGATGGCTACACAACAATGTGAGTGCACTTAATGCCACAGAAATGTACTCTTAAAAATGATGAAAATGGTCAATTTTATGCTGTGTCTATTTTACAATAAAAAATCAATGTATCTTGACATATTAGGAGAATAAATAAGAAAATCCATATAATCTCCCCAATAGATGAAGAAATGCTTTGACAAAATTCAGCATTCTTACAATTAATTAAAAATTGGTAAGCAGGCCGGGCAGGGTGACTCGTGCCTGTAATCCTAGCACTTTGGGAGGCGGAGATGGGTGGATTGCCTGAGCTCAGGAGTTCAAGACCAACCTGGGCAACATGGTGAAACCCCATCTCTACTAAAACACAAAAAATCAGCTGGGCATGGTGGCAGAGGCCTGTAATCCCAGCTACTCAGGAGGCTGAGAGGGATGAGAATTGCTTGAACTCAGGAGACGGAAGTTGCAGTTAGCCGAGATCATGCCACTGCACTGCAGCCTGGGCAACAAAGCGAAACTCTCTCTCAAAAAAAAAAAAAAAATTGGTAAGCAATCCAAATAGCCAGATTGCAAAATCTGATGTACCCAAACCATGGCTCTTACAAGAGCCTCCTAACTGCTTCACCAACCTAAGCTGAATGCTCTTCTTAAAACACAAATCTGCTCATGTCACTCTTCTACCCTTAGCTCCCGCTGCCTACATGAAGGATAAGGCAGTAGATGGCTGCAGCAGAAGTTCTGTGTCCTACACACAAACCCATCCAGCAGTTGTCTCCCATTTATCCTTCCTTTAGTTCCAACTCTGATTTTGCCAGTCATCATACCACACTTCATCCATAACAAACCAGTTTCAGTAATATTTCACATCTCTCTGCCTTACTTCTAAGCAGCTTTCATCTTTTTCAAATTCCTCAACTATGTGGTAAAAATCTCCTCTTTTTAGACCTAAATCATACATCTCCTCTTTTCTGAAACCATTCTAAAGTTCTCCACACTTGGAGAGTAGGGATTAGTTATTCCCTCTTTTAAGCCTTTAATGTTCTCTGTAAGTATCTATTATAGCATGTACAATATTTTAATGCCTTTAGGATTTTAAATGTCAATTAGCTTACTCTCTTAAACTTGTGTTAAGAACAGTGATATTATGGTGTCTATGCATAGTGGATATAGTATTAAAATAAATGTTTGCTAGTTGAGTAAATACACTAGAATAATAGTTCTCAGATAGGCTTTGCAAAATCTCTGCCTTATCAATTATTCAAGAAAAATGGGTTCTATGGCCAATTAAATGTGAAAAATGCTACATTTGATAATCTCTTAGTGATTCACAATGCACACTGGAGTATAAAAGATATTGAGATGTAAAAAGAAACCCGTCTTCTTAAATTTATCTCATCCCAAACTTTTAAACTTGGAACTCATTTATAACTCCTATTAACATCCTACAAAACTAGTATTTTGAGTAACATGGCATCAGAAATACTAAATT
Organism: Homo sapiens; assembly: GCF_000001405.40. Lineage (NCBI taxonomy): Eukaryota > Metazoa > Chordata > Mammalia > Primates > Hominidae > Homo > Homo sapiens. The sequence goes on from NC_000009.12 coordinate 13,174,668, forward strand.
AGCCAATGAAATAATTCTGGCATGGCTTAGATATCTGTCTCATAATTAATGAGTTATGCAAAGTTCTGCAGTTCAAGCTTTGTATCATCATCCTATTAAACATAACGTACATAAGAAATATTACAACAACACAAATACTATCTGCTACAATTCTGTTTAGCTGCTGTTGGTAGTACCCCGCCACCATCAAATGGAACAAAATCTTGGAGACCAAGGCTGAAATCCCACTCATCAAGTAAGCACTGCTGGATTCCTCTGCCAAATCTCAAAACTTAACAAGGAAACAAGACCCTGCCATAAGACGTCAGTGTAACGGGTAGTGGTTGCTTACTTCATAGAAGGAAAAGGATCTCTGATGCTGAATTAACCAGAGTCTTGGGCTGCATTTGGACACTCAGAGCAACTCATCTACCATTCTATTTATCAAGAAAGACAGGGCTGAGTCACATGACTGTGTAACTCAATGAGAGAACAAATGTGCTCTGCCTCAACACAGTTTTAGCTATTGTAATTAGGATATTTCTACAGAAAGTCTTTTTTGCCCAATTCAGAGGGTTTTGTGGTTAAAATAGGACAAAAAAATCCTGCCACCTGGGAAGTCCTACTGAATAACTCACATTTACATTTTGGTGGTGGCACACCTGGTTGTCTTTTTAGTCTTTCTTTCAGTGAGTGAAAGAAATTAAATATAAACTGACTTATACATCACTGGTACATTCAAAGTAACTAATAATTTACTTTTCCAAAGAATTTAGAATTCCAAATTGCTGAGTTTTCATTTTCTAAGAATTCCTTTTCTGATTTGCTGTTTCATACACAAACAATTCATATATCTTTTACTGAATGTAAATGAGGCTTGTGAATACTCTGAATTAAGAGAATGAGGGATTTCTGCTCATATGAAGTAAACAAACCTGTAAACCATTTCAAAAAAATAATGAGGACATAGAAATAAAAACTACAGGAAAATTTCTACCATCTGTTCTCTTATCTACAGCATAAAAAATTGAAATTTACCATGTTCAATATTTCCCCTTGTCAAGGGGGTTGAGGAGTAGGTATATGAGGAAAATGAGAAACTTACCTAGGCTAGAATTGCCTTTTGCTATATTAATAGTCCTTTCAAAAGATTCTTTAGATACATTTTGAAGCATGACACACTCAGCATTACAGGCCAGGGAGCTCTGTTCAAGCAGGTACTCAGAGCCCTTTAAGAAAGAAAAAGAAGTCACAAGTCACATGGAAAGGGAAACTAGACTTTGGAGCGTGATTTCAACATCACGCATGTTCTCTAATTGATTGTGCTTTATTTTGCAAGAACCTGCAACCAAAACAAGTTCATAGGTTGCCTTCTGAAAATCTTAGTGTCAAGAAGCACTCATTCCAAATGAAGAGATTAGCCAGAATAACCTTACTTCACTATTCCCTATCTCATCATAAAACACAAACCATATCTTTAAAATATTACCTTTCCAGCTGAATCGGGTAGCACAGAAGGAAGTTCTGCACTTGATATAACTTCACTTGGTAAATGAGATTCAGTCCACACTATTGTGTTTTCACATTCATATTGTTGTTCAATAGCATTTGCAGGTGTGTAGTCATTTATAGTAAAGCCAGAAGCAGGCCCCATACTTATGTCCACCGAAGGTGTATTCTCATCCTGTCTTTGCAGGAGATTCTGGGTATATAGTTCCTCCAGAGACATATGCAGATCAAGTACTGGATCACAAGAATTTTCAATAACATCCTGGTAGTTAAAAAACAACAACAACAAAACATGAAAAATGTGACCAGAATTACATCAATATATAACATCACTTCTTAATGAACAACTATTTAGTGAAATGTAAAACATAACAATTATTTATTACTCAAAAAGCATTAACAAACACAATTCCTCACTTAGCAGATTTTCTGCATATCTTTATTTTCATAAATGCTTTTAAATACATTTCCTGAAAGTCATACATCTCACGTTCTACTGAGTTATACTTGTACAAGATACTGTACGTAAGATCATTTAGAAATACTATGTTCTATTTACAAATAAAATTATTCAGAGTTCAAATTACATAGAAGAGCAAGTAGCATACTTCCAAATCTCACTTAAAGTGTAGTTTGTTTCCCATCAGTCTGAAGTTCCCATTTATTATGAGCTCAAGGACATAAAAAGTATGACATTAATTGATTTGGACTCATAAGGGCCTCCAAGAGAAAATTATTTTGATAGGCATTTATAAGTATTTATGGAGAAGAATAGAAAGTTTTACAATTCAAATTATCGTAGGAAAAATTTGCATAAATATTCTGTACGATATAACAGAAGGAATAGTAAGACGGGTTGTCATAAAATGTATGCTCTAAATCCAGGCTCTGTTATTAACAATTTGTATATCACAGAACCTCTCTTTATATAATTTCTACAATCCTCTGAAACTCTAAAATTGTAGAGTTCTATATAAATATGTATATCTACTTACAACAGATATATTGTATCACTTGAGTGCTTTGGGAAAGCAGTTGCTTCATAAACTGCTGTTGAATAAACATATCAGTTTTCCCTTCAATTCTTTCATTGATAGTTTCAATGTATAAAAGTAGCATATGAACATACTATTGCATAAAGGATTCAAGATACAGACATATACTGTGTATGCATATAGAATACAATATGAAGAGTTTTCGCTATGGCTTCTACTTCCATTCGCTTCCCCAGTAAAAATGGCTAGCATCAGTTAGGTGTTTATCCATCAAATTTTTAATGCATTTGCATAATATATACATATAAGTACACATGCACACACTCACACATACAAGCAGATATACATATATATTTTTAAAAACTAAACACAGCCATACAATAAATAGCACTTTTACTTTTTTTGCAGTATCTTTTCATCTTGATGTGAGAAATTTCCATGTCAGTTTAAAAACAAGTCAACTTCAATTTTCTTATGGCTGTAAGTTATTCCTAAGTATGAAAGACAGTGGTGTGTAGACTGTGAACCAGGATGCCTGAGTTCAAATCCTGGCTCAACACTAATTAAATGTTAGAGCTTGGACAAGTTACTTAAACACTATGCCTAATTGGGGAAATTAATAGAAACTAATACAGGACTTTTGGGAGGACAGAGAGTATTCATATCCACAAAGTACTAAAAACAGGCCTGACTTAATAGAAAATGCCCAATAATTGTTAGCTACTGCTGTTATTTATATTCTACATCTTTGTCCACATGTGTGAAGATATATTCACTATGAACCACTAGAATTTCAATGGTTGGTCAAATGATATGCACACTTAAAATGCTGGTACATATTTTTAGTAGAGACGGGGTCTCATCGTGATGGTCTTCATCTCCTGACCTCGTGATTCGCCTGCCTCGGCCTCTCAAAGTGTTGGGATTACAGGCGTGAGCCACTAAAAATACAAAAAAAATTAGCCGGGCGTGGTGGCTGGTGCCTGAAGTCCCAGCTACTCAGGAGGCTGAGGCAGGAGAATGGCGTGAATCCAGGAGGCAGAGCTTGCAGTTAGCCCAGATTGTGCCACTGCACTCCAGCCTGGGTAACAGAGCGAGACTGCATCTCAAAAAAAAAAAAAAAAAAATTTGGTACATACTGCTAACTTGTGTTCCAATTTTCTCTTACAGAAGGAAAATATGGGAATACCTGTTAATGAATCTTGCCAGTCCTAGATTAGTTTGGCAATCTGATTTGTAAGAAATATTAGTGTATTACTATGTGTGTTCCTGACAATTATCAAGGATAAGCCATTTGTATTTCTTCTGTTAACACTCTCTTCATATTCTTTATCCGATTTTTCTCTGAGTTCAAATTACATATAGAGGCAAATAACTCATAATTTCAAATTTCACTTAAAATGCAATTCAGTTCTAATCACTTTAAAGTTCCTATTTATGAAGAGATCAAGAGCATAAAGCATATGACGTTAATTGATCTGGATTCACAGGAGCCTCCAAGAGAAAACTATCTTAATAGGCATTTACAGGTATTTATGGTGACGAATAGACATTCTTCTTGTCATTGGCACAGTCTGAATATAAAGTCTTTGTGATATACACTGCAAATATTCTCCCAGTCTGTCACTTGTCTTTTAGTTTGTACAGGTAATATTTTGTCGTGCAGAAGTTAAATTATTTCTGCAACCAAATTTGTCATTCTCTTGTGCTTTTGCGTTTTATATATTACTTAATAAGTCCTTCCACACAAAGTAAATGAAATGCTTTCTAGTATTTTTCCTCTTTTATAAATGCTTTCTTTTAGATTTTAACCATCTTGATTTATTTCAGGGTATGGTGTGAGATATGGGTCTGTCACTTTTTTCTAAACGGGTAATTAATTGCTCCAACACAATTTATTACACTCCTTTCCTTGAATGTGACTTATTATCTCTCTAGAATTATCAGATATTCCTAGTACAAAGAATTGAGGCAAGTGGAAATATCATATAAGCAATTAACATCTGTAGTATCTTCAGAAACAAATGACAGGAAGGTATCATCCTCCACAAGCCCAGGATCTAAACAATAACCTGTTGGCTCCCTCACCCAACTTTGATAATTTTATTCTTAGGAAAAATAATAATGTACTTACTACAGAACTGGTTAGCTTCCATATTGCTAAATTGATTATAATAATTAGTAAATCATCTCCCCCATGCCTCAAAGATAACAATCAAAATTGCTTTTCATTAGCAAAAGAGGTCAAGTCGCCCTTGTTAGCTGGGGTGTACTGTAAATGGTATAACAGTCCCATGCATTATTCATGAAGGAGTTAACACAGACACACAGAAAAGAAAGAGCTAATCAACACAGTAGACAACATACGCCCACTTCAGAAACGTTTCTGGTTGCTCAACAACCAACTCAGTTTTATTTTTAAAAGTCTTGTGGATCTAAAAGAAAAACAGTTCTTCCCTCATAAGATGTACAAAAATAACCACAATTTCCCAGTGCAACTTGATATCTAAAGTGAAGTCTTTCAAAAGTCTATATTAATATGTGACTTCACTTGATATATTCTTGTCCTCAGTAAAAAATTAAAAAAGGTTAAATTAAAATGTCAAATATACTTTTTAAAAGTTCTATTTCTTAAGCGCAATGCATAAATTAAGGTTAGAGTTGGGCATATTATTTACCCAGATAATATATTTACAAAAACTAACTAAATACACGAGCATTTAATAGCCATAACCTGCTTTTCTTCAATAAGCAGTCTACCAGAGGATCCTTATTATACATTTAAAAAATAGATTGCAACCAAAGCTGCTCCAACTGTCCTTCTCCCACTCTTTCTGAGATAAGGTACACTTCCTTTATTGTTTTGACACTGATCCTACTAAGGAAAAAGGCAACATCTTTTATACCTTGGAGAGCCTGCAATTTTGTCACTAAGACTCTCACAGTCACTCATCATTTTGATTAGAGTGATTTAGTTTTTTATTCTAACCCCATCTGCAAAAAAAAATAAGAAATAGTATCAACATTCTAAACATGGATGTGAAGGCAATAATATTTTATGCTAGACAATGACACTAAGTAATAATTTGTAAGAATGTTCAGACTACTAAAAAATATCATTAAATCCGTTAGTTGAGTTGACGTACAAGGTGCAAAAGGGTTCCTATCTTGATAAACATCAAGTTCAACCTGCATTAGAATAAAAAGTAATTCCTGGCAGAACTGATATTCAAGAACGAAGGATAGACACCACATTGGTAACAATATCATCACCGGACAGAGTAAGAGTATGAGTGTACACGGGAGGGCAGGGTGTAGAGGTGTGAATAAGGAGTAGAAGGGGAAACTTGAATAGATATTAAATCTTTATCCATTGTATTTTTAAATCAAAATAGGAAAAAAAAATGTTCTAAAAACCATGTTAAAATTTTAAACAAAAGTCTGCCAATTTAAAAACCAATTATTTCTGCATTTTGTCATATCTTTGGAGGTAACAAGGGAAAAGGAGTAAAATGATTAACCAAAGAAATCAAACATAAAATAATAAGAAAGGAAAAACACGGCTAGAGCCATGTTGCTCTTAAAATCCATATTTCAATGACCTGCCTCTATTAAGCCAAATGCCATAGAGGCGGGTATATTTTTCAGGTTCTTGAGTAATTGTTATTTCCCGTAAATCTTTACATGGTAACTAATCAAATTAAGCAAATACATACTCTTAAAAAAGTAAAGCAGAATGGACCCCCAAATTAGATAATTTTGTGAGGAAGAGCCCCAACATATGGCTACAGCCCTTTGGTGTTTAGGCTGCCCTGAAGAGCGAGGCCTCCCTCTATGAAGAGTCTGTGCTGTAGGTGATTAGCACTGATCACTTCTGGTAGTATACCTGACGAAGGCCAAAAGACCATTCATCAAGGGGAAGAGACAGGTAAAATTATTTGTTCATACCCTGTTGCCATTTAAGGCTACAAGATAATCACATAGTTAGCAAAGTCAAAAATCTAAGGAATTGCTGAGATCCTCACATTCTATTTTAATCCTTCTTTCAAATCAAGATAGAGGCATCTTTGTTTTTCTTAAAAATCATATACTATACGGTATTACTTTATAAATTAAAAAGCCTTTAAGTACGCTCACTTTTAAGAAAAATTGTCAATTGTAAATTCCATAACAAATCACCATTGTGTCTTTTTAATATAAATTTGTTGCAAAGAAACAGGAAGGACACATTATATATTTATTTTATTTACATAAAAAATTTTAGCAAAAGTCTAGGTATTAGAAAGTTGTCACCAAAAATATAAAATGTTGCAGAGATTTTACCACGATGCAGGAACAGTCCTACTTTTTAAGAAAACTAAAAGCACACAGGAGTTTCACAATGTGTTTTAAAACACCCTCATTAATGTCTTCTTTGTTGTTTTGTAGTTTAAGTATTTCAGTTGATAAACGAGCTTGCCAAAATTTGCTTCAACAAAAGAGTAAACTGCTTGGGGAAAACAAAATAAATAAATACAAAAGGAGGCAAACAGACTTCGGTAAGCCAATATGTTGTGCTGCATACAGCCAGCATTTGCCCTGTAAAATATATGCTTCTCAGTATGCAGATTGTGTAATCCCTTTAAGTAACAATTACTAAGTTAAACAATGCAATCTGTCCACTGGGAAGAAGACGTGTGCTATGCTGTGGATTAGGAGATTCCATCAGGAGATGAACTCAGCTTCCAGCCCTGAGGCCAGTAAAGACTGAACACATTCCAGAACACATTCCAGACAGGACACAGCCAGACAGACAGTCTCAGGTGTGGTGAGAGAGGAGCAGCTGCTCCACTCAAGATTATACCTTGCAAACCATTTCAAGGAGACTGCCCAGCATCATTTGCAAGGATAACAGGTGCACCTTGAACATAAAAGAAAATGCTTTGAAAATGTTCTGGCCAAAAAACCTGTTAATCAGGAAAGGAGGAAAACAGTGCTAGACCTACGGAAATTCTACTTTCCAACTTATTCATAAATACCCCTTCCCATTGAATTCAATTTATGCAGAAAATACATATTTCGTATATTAAAAAAAATTGTCCAGTCTTTTCAACTTAATTTTAAATGTATGTTTATGGTATATTTCCAATATAGAAAAATAAAGAAAATATATTCATATATGAACTCTTTGCCATGATTTAATAGATATAAACATTCTGCCATATTTTCATCAATCTCTCTTTCCTCATAATATGTTATAATGTATTAGACACATAGCTAAATTCCCATACTTCCTTTTTTCTCCAAGGATAACTTCTTTTTTGAAGTTGAGAAGTATCCTGCCAACACATTTTTAGATTTTACTACACACATGTACATAGATATTCATTAAAAATATATGTTGAATTGCTTTGCATATCAATTTCCAAAAAACAACTGCAAAGAATCAAAAGAAAAATGAGCAACCCAATACAAAATGGCCAAAAGATATGAAGAGATCTTTGATGAAAAGTGAAAAACAAATGGCCAATATTATGAAAAAAACATTCATTCTCATTAGTAATCAGGAAATCCAAATTAAAATAGTAAGATACCATTTCACACCCAAAACATTGGATACATTTTAAAGTATTACTTATTGAACATTATAGAGTATGTCACCAAGAAAATGAATAGAGTTGGGGCATTTATGCCAATAATCTATTTCTAAAATATAAATGGCACAGATATGTCAAATAGTGACTAAATTCTTCGTTCACATCCAGTGACATAAACATAATTTACCATTCACTGTGATTTTTTATGTAAAGTATTCTTTGGCATCATTTTGTATAAAAACATATGACAGCATTAAGTTTAACTTAGCTAGTAAATGTTAAATTAATGCAAGAAATATTTTACTATCCAACTTTGCATAGAAGTCAGTTTTAAAACCATTAAGAAAATAAAGTTATTCTTGTAATTTTTCCAAAGTATACACTGCTAAAAACACAACTTGAGAAATATATGATGCTAAATTTTTCTTTCTGACATGCAAACCCTAATCAAAGCTTTGAGCCTCTGTATCTATCATTCTCAGACACTAAATTTAAATAGTTTCTAGTAATCTGAAAGCTATCCAACCAACATTAGCTAAATGAAATTGTACTTTAATCCAATAATGAATCCACAACTGGAGAAACATAATGTCTCCAATATGTTATTCCCACAACTCCCCATAAGGACTGAGCTCTGGAAAATTACACACAAGACTTTCCTATAAAAGAAAAATTGGCTTTTCCTTTGTACCTTAGGAGGAGATGATGGAAGGGAAGAACCATAGTTCAGGCCATCACCACAAGAACTGCCATGAAGAGATAAAATAGAGGCTTGAGTAGAGTAGATGCTGTCATTTTCAGGAGAGTATGGAGACTCAAATGTGGATTCATCTACTAAGTCAGCATCATTTGTGCCCACCTAGAAACAAAACAATAATATCAGTTGGGAATTCTGTTCTATTACATATATGACAAACAATCTCCACTTGAGACTAAAAGGCAAACTGGTATCATTCTTTTATCTATTGTATTTTCTATATGCCCTCTTAACCCTCATCAGACACTGCTAATGCAGCAGAACAAGGATAAATAGCCCACCTACAGCAGAAAGTGCTGGCATACAAGGTTATTTTATTTCATCAATAAAAGGGCTAAAGGCAACAATTAACAAAGGGCCTGGATGAAGTCTATGTTTAAACAGTTCCATAGTTAAGAAAAATATTTACTTTCTTACAGTTCCCATGCCCAACTCTTACAATTTTATAATAAAATTGTGTCATAATTTTTCCTAGTCAACTAAAATAAACTGTTATTCAATGAGGCAGCTAGGCAATTATATATTTGTAAGCCACACTAAAACTATATATTTTGTTTAAATTATCTTGAACTAGATTTTAAAACCATTCAAGTTGCAGAAACCAAAAAGAAAATCTGTGATTTCATGCTAAAATTATACTAACAAACAAGGGGCCTAATTATGATCTGGTTATGGTGAAGCTTTAAGTTATAAACTTGTAAGAAAACTCATAAAGAGTGAGATAGAGAATTTCACTACATATTCTCTAATAATCCTATTGCTGTCTTCTGTCACAGAATCAAGATTAATATTTAAATTATGATGAGCTTGAAGTTCTTTTTGCAATTCACTCAAAGTCATACCTGAGAATAGGCAGAACTGACATATATACTACCTTTCTCTGATACTACCAGCATTTTCTGTCTATCTTGGCAAAATTCCATATGTTCTAATTTTTTTTTTGTAATTTCAACTTACTGCTTACCCAGGAGAAGTTAGAAGAATTATAACATTATATCAGGTCACATTCTTACAAAAAACTATTAAAAATACCTGTGGGCCATTTTGAAGTGATTTTCTCTTCAAATATACTTCATAGGCCTAATAATATATTTTAAATACATGTTCAAATTCACTAGTGAGTCACTATGTGGAGGTTTACCCTTACAAATATACATAACATACAACAATCTAGATAGACACTATTAACTAAGCCTTGTGTCATAGATTACAATACATATTTAAGTAACATTAATGAAAGAATACCTCAATATAATTTGTATGTATATTGCTGATATCTTAGGATCTTAGGAGAGATATTAACAATCAATTCATTTATTTACTGTAGAGATAAAACACTAAGACTCAAAGAAATTGAGTGACCAGTCCAAGATTACTTAGCTGGCTAAGGAGAAGACCCAGGACGCATATTACTATTATAAGATGCCAAGCTCACATAAAAGTGGAACTAATCTTCCTTTTGATTGGTATCCATTAAGGAGGTTCAAGGAAGCCATGTAAAGGCTAGAGAGAATGCTATTTCGTCGGGTACTTTAGAAATAATCATATATAGTATTTGTATCCTGTGACATTTCAAAAAGTATTTGCTATGGCTGGGTACTATTTACACCACAGTACTGTATGTAATTCGTTGTATATACTAAGCTATCTAGTTTTGAAGTGCTAACATAATACCCATGGAGAGCAGGGCCATAAGTTACCTGGTATGTTAAGTATTACAGTGTGAAATTATTGCATTTATTATAACATATACCAAAACTTTTCAAATGGCTATTTCAAGAGCTTGCAATTTAAAAATATTAGCAAAAGGAATTGTCTCCCCCGAAATTACAATCAGCAAAATGTATATATAGTCAAAGAAATAATTCACTCTGTTTTAAAGCAAGATGTGCGCAGTTATAAACACATAATGAAGAATTTAACAGGTTTTAAACCTTTCTCCAGTCTAATGAAACTCAAACAAGTATTTAAAAAGCAAGTATATTCCTTTTTAGCAACAGTGCACAATGTTTGCCCCACAAAAAACGTTGAGTAAGGAACCTAGCTCTAATAGTAGGGGTAATGTGAACAGGATGTACAATTTGTTGTATTTATGTTGAGTAAATGTCACATGTATATTCATGCCTGGTATTTAGTTTTATCCTTTAGTTATTGATATAGCATTGTACCCTCTACAAGAAAAAGTTTCTTAAGGGCAGAGTGCCTGCAAATACTTTTATTCCAATGGATACTATTTTAAACATCAAACAGAAATAAAATTTTAATTTATAATTTTTCTGGTAAATCAGTATACTTACATATATGTATTTATAGAAAACATGGGGTTTACCTTTCCATAAAACTGGTGTTCTTAATAACTGAACCAATTTATATGATTCTCACACTATTAATATCTAATGGAAAAAAGATACCTATTACCTCATTAAATACAGCCAAAACAGTGATTTATGACTGAATATTGAGCACAGTTAAAGAATGCCTAGAGATATCTAAGCGTGAAATTGGAGCAAACAAATGCTCCACAAACTTTAGATATGGCACAAAGATTAATTCTACATACTGCTACAATGCAACGTTAATTAAGTTTTCCTCACAAATGTTTTTCATATTTATTATGGTTTTTCTTCCCATTTTCAATTGTGAGAACTAAGTTGGAGAAAACATGTTTATCTTTCCAAATATAATAATGAACAAAGAATATAATAGACTTCTTCAGAATATTTTGAAAGGCAAAGTAAGACATATCAGGTTTCTGAAAGAAAGCTTGATAAGTCATAGCCACTAACCAGAGCCAAGTCAGCCCTGAAGAGGGGTTTGTCAGCCAGCCCTGCTTCCTCACAGGAGTGTGGTGGGTAGAGAAAGGAATCCTCCTTAGCAGAAACATAACCTTCTTCTGGTGAAAGCTGCAGGGAAAAAATGGTATTCATGGAAAAGAGAGAGAACAGCAAAGAAGAAAGAAAATGGAAAAGAAGAGTAAAGGTAGGAAAAGTGAGGGGGGCGAGAAGAGAAAGAAATTGGAAAGTTTTCAAACGATATGACTTCAACATAGAATGGTAAGTATGCAATCTGATATTCATATTTGACATTCATTTGATAAGACACAATGAGGATTATTTACTCTAATATAAAAATCACCTGTTGGATGAGAATCCCTTTCTACTAATTTTTCATTCTTCTTATAAGAATTTTTTTAAATGAATTTTTTTTTTAATATTCTAATAATCTTCCGGTTATTTTTATCTGCAAAATATTCTGGTCAAACAATGACTTCCTAATATAGAAATGAAGCAACTTTTAGGTATTAATAAAAGAAGTTGCAGAAAAACAAAATATTAAAAAGAAATATCAACTTCTGTCATCCCTTACAAGAATATTATTTTAAAGAATCCAATTTACTTGAAAAGGAATGTTAGTGAACTCTACGGGAATTCAATTTAGCATGGCTTATAAAACAAAACGAAACAAAAACCAAATCTCTACATATCCACAGTCTGCTTAACTTGCAGGTTAGAGATATCGTATCACAAACTTGGTCACGCTGACAGAAAAGCTAACATATTTATTCCACTCTCAGACGAAATGGGCTAAAATATTTAGATAATCAGCCTGCCTACATCACCTGGCATCAGCAAAACATACAGAAGAAGAATTATAGGGGAAAAGAAACTGTTTTTCTTCTTTGCCCATATATGTGAGTTTAGTATTTATTAAGCCTCACTTTGGGAAGTAGAGGTATTTATCATATGCTGCAAGGCATACTGAATTTAAAATATCAAATACCGTCATAAAAGAAATTTATTTTGGAACTATACAGAAAAAAAAAAGACTGCTTCTGAATAACTGGTATGGTTTCATCTTAAGGACAGTAAAACTAAAAGGTATATTGAGTCATGTTTGCCATTTCTCTCTGTCCAACAGAAAGACCAGAACCAAATGCATAATCCAATCTTAATAAATAGGTAGAGTCCCTGATAGCCTATCTTTATTCTTACATTCCCATCCATAGTGCTCTTTTGTCATAATTTTTACAAGCCTGGTTCGATTTCAGATTGGATTAACATATTCTTCAATCATCCTGCCCTCCTCCTTCTCTTTCTTTTTTCATAAATATATTTTAATAGGCTACTGAAATTCTCTGTGGACTAAAAAGTGGTGCACAAAACTTTGGCACTTAAAATACATTAACAAAGCTTACTGTTTTAACAAATTCTTTCACAAAAATCAACAAACCCATATTGCTACTTACGAAATTATATTTATGTGTTTGCATTTTCTTAAGACTTCAAACTATATTCACGTACTGGAAAAAACCCACAAATATTGAGAACATCTCTAATATTTAACTGCAATACAATGATAAGTGCCATGTTGCAATCACTACATTTAATATAACATACTGCTTTATGTAGCACGGATTCATAAAGTTGTTTCTATTATTACAGTAATTTATGATTTGGGAGCTATTCCCTGCCAGGAGAGCCACAAACTGATGAACCCATTTTGGAAAGTTTAATTTCCTGCTCTGCAGTAACTAGACAGCAAATGTGTTGAAGTCAACTGAATTTAGCAACTTGAAGCCACTCTGACAGAGATTCTACTTTATCCCACTGTGATTAAAGATTTTATTGTTAGTTAATGCTATTAATTTTTTTAACACCCCATTACATTGGTATAGATATTGTAAGCCATATTCATTTGAAAATATTTGATTTTGCATTAATCATGACCTTATTATCAAATATAAAATGTTAAGGCTGGGCGTGGTGGCTCACACCTGTATTCCTAGCACTTTGGGAGGCTGAGGTAGGGGGATCACTTGAGGTAAGGAGTTCGAGACCAGCCTGGCCAACATGGTGAAACTCCGTCTCCACTAAAAATACAAAAATTAGCCAGGCATGGTCGTGGCTGTAGTCCCAGCAACTCAGGAGGTCTTAGGAGGCAGGAGAATCGCTTGAATCTAGGAGGTGGAGACTGCAATGAACCGAGATTTCGCCACTGCACTCCAGCCTGAGCAACAGAGCAAGGCTCCATCAATCAATCAATCAATCAATCAATGTCAAAAGTGAACCAAAGACCAGTAAGTTAGAAGTTTATTTATAAACTTCCTGGCTATTTTCTTTCCTTTATTTTTTTTGAATATTACTCAAAACTAAATCTTTATACGAATGGAGCTAGTAATCACGTTGATGAAAACTACTAAAAGTCACGATTCAATCATGAGAACACCTAAAGCGAAAAGTAGACCTATGAACCATTTTGCTTATAAATATAAAGGGAAGCAATAAAGTCTGAATTCTTACGGGTAAAGGCTTAGCAACTCCTATTCTCACAGTCCCTGACGGTGCTCCCTTCAGTGCTTCTACAGCTTCCTCAAGACTGCTGTTTTCCAAGTTAACATCGTTTACAAACATGAGTCGGTCACCAGGAAGAAGTCGTCCATCCTTTTCAGCAATGCCGCCAGGCACCAAAGAACGAATTATAATCACAGTGCTTGCTGGATCAATTGGATCCTGACAGAAGGCAAAAGGAAAGAGTCAGCTCATTTTACAAAGAAAATTCTTCTACAGGTCGTCCACTCTAAATCGTAACGAATGAGTAATTGTCTCAAGTGCCTTTAAAAATTTTCATGCCAAAAAAAATCCATACAAAATTTCTAATTATTTAGACAAAAGCTATCTCCATTTTAGAGGGTTTAGGAAGAAGTCACCTTAAACAATGGCACCCTCACTTCCTAATGTTCCTGAGTAGACCTCTTAAATTGTACAGATAACTTTAAAATTATAATTTTAACTTTGATAAGTTATCAAATTTTATAACTATTATTGGAGGCCAGATGTTGGGTATATTAATTATTAACAAAAGCATTGTTAAATAGGGTGTTACTGTATGGAACATCAACTCACTACTAGATATAAGTGCACTGAAGGTAGGACCCATCCTTTTGAAATGAAAGAATAGAGAGCAAGGCCATAAAGTATGTGGTAGTGAAGTGTTTTCAGACACACAGCAACCTTAATGTTTTAACAAGGCTCCAGAGTCAGGCCCTATGAACACAACTTCCTGGAGTCATCCAAGGTGGCTTTCTGATTTAGTGTAAGTAAGGAACAACAGCTGCACTCTATCAGACAGGCTTTACCATCTCCTCCCTTAGCAAAGAATGCAATGCAAGCAGGGACAAAGGCCAACTTGACCAATTTAAGTATATTCATAAATTTAGTCAAATGATTGGAACAGCAGAAATATTAATTGGAATATCAGATTATAAATTAGCATTCATGTTATAGACAAAAGAAATACCTACTTCTTTATGACTTACCACTAAAATATGAGTCATCAAATAAGCCCATGGAAATACAAATAGCATAAGCACTTCCCAAATAACGAAAAAACACCCACTATGATATTCCTAAAATGTATCTTCCAATTCCAAGAGATGAAATAAAAATAGCTCAATGAACTCAATGTTAAAAGAAATCCTTTATGATAATCAGTGAATCCTATAAATCACTATTTTGAAAGACTGACTAGAAAAAAGAAAACATCTTTGATGGTTATAAACTATCATCATCTGCTTTTTCTTTGATAGCAACAATAGGCCTTTAAAAATTGTTAAAAGTAGTATATACTTACCTGATAATCTAAAATGCTAAAACCAAGTCCTTTGCTCCCTTTCTCCAGCTCTATGTGCTGAATGCCAGCCTCCCACATGGCCAAAGGTGCTTGAACCTCTTCTGTACTCTGACCCGCATCAGTCATCGCCAGCACTGGATCCTCTGTCTCTGATGACCCGATGAACTCACCTAGATCTACGTGAGGCTGGATAATATCAGACAGCTCTTATTTCAGAGGCATTGCATTAGCTGACACACATACCAACACTACAAGAAAAGGGATATTCCCAGCATCTGTCCAAACAAAACATCCTCAAACAAGAGTAGCAACAGCTTTTCATGAAACCTTTAGGAATTAAGGTAGTAATTACTGAAAGTTGTTAAGAAGGAAGAAATACCTAAGTTTTAACAAACATTAAAAATATATGATTCAAAGGTCTATGAAAATATGCAATGGTTATATCTCGACAGCAGGATTGTGCGTGACTGTCACTTTTTTCATCAGTGTTTCAATCATCTCTAGTCAGAAAAAAATGTAAAGCTATTTTGATATTAAATAAAAGGAATTCTTATGATAAATAAAAACAAGAGAAAATGGATATATGCAAAAGTTCTATACTCTATACAAATAAGAGTTCTAAAATGCTGTGACTTGTGCATATGGTTATTTCATTAACAAATTAACATACACAGTGGCAAAACATAAGATTTGAAATCAGATTTGCCCCCAGCTTGAAGCAGCTTGAATATTTAAAATTTGAATTACATTGAGCAATATTCATCAACTGGGTCCCAGAGTTACCCATCTCATAGAATTTTCTGAGGACTAAATGAAGTAACATATATAAAGCATCAGACAGAAATAGGGATTCAAAATACTAGGTTAATATAGGTTAATTCAACTTTGTTCATCTGTATGAACATAACTTAAAGAAAGATGTGTTTATGAGGATGAAATTCTAGTTTGTAGAATATCTTTGCTTCTAATCAATTATTGCACAGCCTAGGACCACAGATACAAATGACACCCATTTGCTTTATTGTAATAATCCCATTATACACATAAAAACATGTATGGATACATATAGGGTACTAGACTTTGAGTGCTATAAAATTTGGAATTATGTTTCTTGTTCTACCCTATTCTAATCACCCATATGAATACTAAACTATGCATTTTATTCTTCAAAATTTTCCAAATTATTCCATTGTACTGATTCATTCAATATACTATAAATCAAATCCTAACATCATCTCTCAATATACCTTAAATGAGATTTGACTGGACCACATATTATGCAAAGTCCTAATCCTAACTTTAGCTATGTATTGTGTATCCTCAGAAAAGCTGATTAGCTCCATTTCTTGACATCATGATACGAATGAATGAAAAACAATAAACAAACAGGAAAATGTGAGTTCCTGAATGTCACAGAGAATTATCTGACATGTATCATTATGGGCCAAATTTATTGTATTTTAAAAGGATAGTATGTAAACAAGTAAGACCTATCCACACAGAAATGCTGTGTCCATCCATATTTTAGCCATTCACTAAGTGGTAACTGTGTGCCAGGCAGAGTTGGGTAGGTTATTTAAAAATATTTTTTACCACATATGTACTATGTACACACTATATACTTCAGTTTTCTCTTCTGCAAATGGAGACGAATATGAGCATCTACTTCATAGAAATGCTGCAAGTAAATTAAACAAGTATATAGTATGCATTAACATCTAACATGATTACATAACCTTATTTAACCTTCAGGGCAACTTTTTGAGACAAGCATCATGACTTACATTTTACCAAGGAGAAAACTGAGGTTCAGAAAGATGAAGTGATTTGCCCAATTTCCCACAGCTAGTGTCAAGTCTGATTCAAACCCAGATTTGTCTGACTTTAAATTCTATCCTCCAAGCCATGGGCGATGTGAGTAAATCAAATACCAAATTGAAAAATGCTTAAAAAATTTTAAGCCATTTAGCCTTTCCATTATATATGTAGGTTAGCCTCATGTATGCAAATCTGATACCTTTTCTGTTAGCTCAATATCACATAAGTCCAGGCTATCCAATTCTGATTGGGTGGTGGGTGGCACAGTTCGACGACAGCACACCATTGTCACTTCTATAGGCAGTTCTTTTAAGATATTCACCACATCTTGGTGATTTTCCCCAAGTAAAGTTATGCCATTTACCTGTGAAAAAAGATACATTGTCCAACAAACAACACTTCATAATATGAACATTCTTTTGAACACAATTTTTTTATTAAATATAAATTTTACTATAGTCATTACCACAGTTTACTGTGCTCAGAACTATAGTGAGACCTGTGGAAATACTATCTAAATTTATGTGCAAGTTTAGAGTATTGTTGGAATTGGAGCTTCTAAAGCACTCAAAGAAAAACCACTAGCTTTCATCTATGTTTGATCTGCCAGTGTAGTGGTCTGGAAAAAAGAGACAATAAAAATATTTCCAAAGAATGAAAAGGACAAGGAGAAGAATAGTATAAAACTTTGACATTTTGTATAATTATAAAGTAAAAAAAAAATTGGACAATGACATATATTGTATGCTAGTGTACTTTAAAAAGTGAGGGAAAATAATATATTCAAACTTTCTTGTTTATGCATTAAAAATACTGGCAGATTACAAAGAAGCAAATATATTAGTAGTTACCTAATGAAGGGTGATGAGAACTGGATGAATTGGGACAGGAAGGAGACCCTTTTCCATTCTTTATCTTTGTATTCTCTGTGATTTTAAACATCTGAATGCGTTACTTATTCTAAAAATTAAATAAATGTTAAAAAAAATTTCAAAGACTGTTTTTATAGTTTTCTGAACCTAAATAAAAAATGGCATGGAATTAGTTCTAAAGCTAAATGTACACACAGATACACAGATACAAAATTTCTGCTTTGGGTTGTTTTTATCTGTAGATTTCTCTCAAGTCCCCTTTGGAGGGGAAATTTAAAATGAGAATTTATTCACCACATTAAGCCTCCTGCAAGCTTTTCCATGTCTTATTTAAGGAGGAGAAGGAACAGCATAGCTCCTTACTTCCAATAGCTCGTCTCCACTGAAGAGCTTCCCGCTGTGTCCAACAGGACCCTCTGGTAGAACAGATCGGATAAAATGATGTCCCACTGTCGCTTCCAGGCTTATCCCCAATCCACTGTTCTCACTAAACTTGCTCACATGGGCCACCTGAAAAGAAAAAAAAAAAGATCACCACAATTTTTATATTCTTTTTATTTTTACTCATGCACACATTTTATGTTTTATGTTTACCCAAAAGTGGTCATCTTTCTCACAAAGCTTCAAAAACCATATTGTAAAACTGCAAAGCTTTGGGGCTTTTCCTTTGAAAGAGTACTGGTGTCTTTTGATTTCATGAACTTACAAACTGAAAGGAAGCAGTGAGCCGCAAGCTCCCATTACATAGGTCTCATCTGTTTCTCATAAATAGGTACAATTTCTCTCTTGTTTCCCAAGTAGAAAAACGAGGTTCAGAAAAGGTACCATGACCAGAGCTGCACAGCTAGAAAAGGGTTTGAAGCTAAACAAAGAACGCAGAACCACATTCCTGGGTTTATGCTGTAACCAGAGACAACGGTCTTTAAAAATGATCAAACCTTAAAACCAAAGAATGAACTTCCAATTTTCTACTGTTACATTAAATAATGAAGAATATTAGAAAGCTGTTCATTTTCACACAGAATCCAATAAATAAAATATTAAAATCAGAATGTATGCCAAAGACGATCTACTTTATCCCTTTTATTTTATAGTTAAGGCAACTGAGGGATAAAAGGACTAAAAAAAAGTTTGATTAAAAAGAGCTCTTTCAAATTTTAATGATAACGTGCAGAAGTCAGTTTCAGAAGCGATATCACCTGACTTTGAAATCTAATACTGGATGAAATCCTTCTCACCCCTGAAAACCCAATTTAGGCATCACTTCCCCTGAGAATGTCCCATCCAATAATGTCCATTAGTCAGTCCTGTTACACTACTTCCCTTATGATTTCATTTATGCTGTATCGCTACATAGCAAACAATTTGAAGTCAGATCTATGTCTTATTACCTTTATCTTGCCAAGGCCCATAAATATCTTAGTCCTTTTTCATTTATTGTATACTTCCGCACTTGACAGATTACTAGGAATGCCACCAAGAAAGCATGAGCACAAAGGGCAGTTAAAAGTTCAGTCTTTGGATAAAGAAAATGTATATACACCATGGAATACTACACAGCCATAAAAAAGAATTAGTTCATGTCCTTTGCAGGGACATGGATGAAGCTAGAAGCCATCACTCTCAGCAAACTAACACAGGAACAGAAAACCAAACACCATATGTTCTCACTCATAAGTGGGAGTTGAACAATGAGAATACAAGGACACAGGGAGGGAAACATCACACACTAGGGCCTGTAGGGTGGTGGGGGCAAGGGGAGGGAGAGCATTAGGATAAATACCTAATGCATGCAGGCCTTAAAACCTAGATGATGGGTTGACAGGTGCAGCAAACCACCATGGCACATGTATACCTATGTAACAAACCTGCACATTCTGCACATGTATCCTAGAACTTAAAAGTAAAATTTAAAAAAAAAAGTTCAGTCTGAGCTCTGATGCCTACAACAAAATGGCTAGTCAAAGGGTCTCCTTCATTATTCAATTACCACCCGAAGGACTGCAGTCTCAGTTATGCACACCTGCCACATTAACCCTATCCCTCCATGAAAATAATTTCTGAAGTTTCATGTTAACCACTGTTAAGATGGACCTTAATCTATTTTTCCTTAGGTCAATTTAAAATGGTAGTAACAGCTATACTTACTCAATTCATATTTGACTGTTAATCATTTTGAATGTTTAAAAAAAAAAAGATTATAGCAAGGTGCAGTGGTGCATGCCTGTAATCCCAGCAATTTGGGAGGCTGAGGCAGGCAGACTGCTGGAGTCCAGAAGTCCAAGACCAGCCTGGGCAACATGGCAAAACCCAGTCTCTACAAAAAATACAAAAATCAGTTGGGCGTGGTGCTGCATGCCTGTAGTCCAAGCTACTCGGAAGGCTGAGGCAGGAGAAAAGTTTGAGCCCTGGTGGTCAAGGCTGCAGTGAGCCATGACTGCACCACTGCACTCCAGCCTGGGTGACAGAGCGAGACCTTGTCTCAAAAAAACAAACAAACAAACAAAAAGATGATTATGGTCATGAGGACTAAATGAAATACTAAGAACACTACTGCTTGGCACAAAGTATGCTATAAACGCTAGTTATTAATATATGTCATCTGTTGTATCTTCTCCCTTCTAGTCCAGAGGTATATAAATATTACAAGAAATATGAAAAATTCTACCTAACATACTATTTTATTTTTTCTTTTGAAATCCGTGAAATTTGCTGGTATGGTATGTACCTTAAGATTGATAATTTATAACAATTTTATTAGACCCCCTTTTGGGATGGTAGATCACAATGGCTATGCTAGATATACAGGCTACTAATAAACATAAAACATTCACCACAGCATAAGTGGTATGAAAAAAAGTATGCAGAATTAACCTCTTCAGGAAGGTAAATACATAGGAGTGGAAAAGAAAGAGTAGAAAAGAGTCCTTTTACAATTCTGTTCATAAGTCATGATAAATTTTGTTTTATTTTTAAATAAACTCATTCTATTTTGATTCTTTCTATAAATCATAGGTTTAAAAATCAGAAAAATCCTTCCTTGTGTCTATATTATTCATACTATTACTGGAAATATTAAAATACTGATAAAATGCAAGTTTCAAAACTTCCATCCCATTTATTTCAGTTCGTTACTATATACCTTTCTCCAACCTAAATTTTTTTTATTACCTGGATCACCATATTTAGGTTGTCTAAAAAAGGCCTGTACATTTGATTCTTCTCTGGAACTCTAATGATTGCCTCTATTATTCCCTCGAACTGCCTGCTCAAATACAGTTACAAGTTAGAAAATTACAGAAGGTCAGCTAACCTACCACTATTTCATAGTTAATTCCCATAATCCTTTGCCATTTTGTCAGCAGAGCAGCTTCTTGTTTTTGTGCATCTTCTATTTCTTCTATCTCAGCTGACAGTAATGGATACCCTGAAACAGTCAAGGCAATTAAGTTAGCAGCAAACTACAGAAATCTCCACATCTTAACATCCTGTACCAAGGATTCTCTGATCAGAACCCGCTGTATCACGTCAGACTCTTCGCCCAATATATGGGCTATTCTCATCTCCATAATTATTTAAATACTTCAATTAAGAACCCTATAATTTGTATGTTTGACACTACTCACTTTTAACAGATGTATTTTAAATCTTTACCTCCATTAAAGTGCCCATGTATTATCTAATTTTTATTTAAACGAGTAAGGACTCTGAGCAGTTCCAGAATTCACTTCATAGTCCTCTGGTAATGCTACAGTAAAAAGGGATGTCGTCTTCAATGTTCTCTGTTTTATTTTCATTTAGTTCATCAGGGGAAAAAAGGACTATGCTATTATTTCACAAAATCAAACAAATGAAATCAACAAATAATATATGTAACTCCATATATGAGAAAATATAAAGAAATAATAATAAACTAAGGCTACACATTAAAATAAAAGCCTATTAATTGGTATCTCAATAATTTACAAAAAGAGAAATTTTTAAAAGGACAGAAAAACACTAAACAAATTTTGTAAACAATACTGAATTTAAAATGCTTACCTAAAACAAGAAACTGGTTGAGAAATTTGAAGTCATAGTCAAAGATTTCCATATTTCATAACAGTTCTTACTCGTAAGATTTGTCTTTTTAAAATCTCTATTAGGCACTATTCTCTAAATTAAATTTCAATATCCTTTTTAGCATTCAAATTTCAAATTTAAAAAATGTTAAAAAATTCAGATTTCTTATTAGTTGCCTCCTCTTTTAGTGGGAATATCCAGGAGCTTTCATTCCAGGCATATTTTGTAGGTCTGTTATGCTTTAAGCTAATAAGATGATTCTGTTTTCTCCTTAAAAGACTGTAAACAATAAACTATATATATATATATATTTTTAGTTTGAAGACTAGCCTCCCCAAATAAGTGTTACTTCCTCAAAATTAAATTCAGTCCAGAGGTTAACAGATATAAAAGCACAGCTAGATAGAAGAAATATGTTCCAGTGTTTTTGTTTGTTTATTTGTTTGTTTTTAAATTAGATGGGGGGTCTTGCTCTGTTGCTCAGGCTGGTCTCAAACTTCTGGTCTCAGTAACACTCCCGAGTAGCTGGGATTACACCAATAAGCCACCATGCTGAGCAATTCTAACACTATCGGGTGACTATGATTAACTATATTCTCTTTTTAAAATATTTTATTGATACATAATTGTACATATTTATAGGGTATATGTGATATTTTGATACATGTATATAATGTGTAATGATCAAATACAGATAATTAGGATATCCATTCCCTTAAACATTTATTATATTTTTTGTGTGTGTTGGGAACATTCCAAATCTTCTTCCTATTTTGACATACACAATAAGTTATTATTGTCACCCTACTGTGCTGTTGAACACTAGAACTTATTCCTTCTAGTTAATTGTATTTTTGTACCCAGTAACCAATACCTCTTCATCCCACCCCTCCTCAAACTCTTCCAAGCCTCTGGTCATTCTACTCTCTATTTCCAGAAATCAACTTTTTAAGCGCCCACTTATAAGTGAGATCATGCGGTATGTGTCTTTCTGTGCTTGGTTTATTTCACTTAACACAATGTCCTCCAGTTTCATCCATGTTGTTACAAAAGACAAAACTTCATTCTTTTTGTGGCTGAATGATATTCCATTGTGTATATACACCACACTTTCTTCATCCATTCTCCTGTTGATCGGCACTTAGGTTGCTTCCATATCTTAGCCATAGTGAACAGAACAGCAATGAACATAGGGGTACGGATATCTCTTTGCTATACTGATTTCCTTTCTTTTGGATATATACCCAAGAGTAGGACTGCTGGATCATATGGTAGTTTAACTGTTCGTTTTTTGAGGAACCTCCATAATGCTCTCCCTAGTGGCTGTACTAATTTACATTACCATCAACAGCATTATGAGGGTTCCCCTTTCTCCACATCCTTGTCAGCATTCATTATTGCTTGTCTTTTGGATAAAAGCCATTTTAATAAGGGTGAGATGATATCTCATTGTAGTTTTGACTTGCATTTCTCTGATGATCAGTGACGAACATTTTTTCATATACCTATTGGCCATTTGTATGTCTTCCTTTGAGGAATGTCTATTCAGATCTTTTCTGCATTTTTAATCAGATTATTTGATTTTTTTTCTATTGAGTTTTTTGAGCTCTTTATATATTCTGGTTATTAATCAGATGGGTAGCTTGAACATATTTTCTCTCATTCTTTGGGTTGTCTATTTATATTGTTGTTACCTTTGCTGTGCAGGAAAGCTTTTTAGCTTGATGTGATCCCATTTGTCCATTTTGGCTTTGGTTGCCCGTGCTTTTGTGAAATTACATAAAAAATCTTTGCCCAGACAAATCCAATGTCCTGAAGCATTTTCCTAACGTTTCCTTCAGTTCTTATATTTAGGTCTTTAATCTCTCTCTCTGTGTGTGTGTGTGTGTGTGTGTGTGTGTGTGTGTGTGTGTGTGTGTTTTAGGACAGGCCTTTGTAACATATTTTGAAGTCTGTTGGTGTGATGCCTCTAGCTTTGTTCTTTTTGCTCTAGACTGCTTTGGCTATTTGGAGTCATTTGTGGGTACATGTGAATTTTAGGGTTGTTTTCTCTATTTGTGTGAAGAATGTCATTGGTATATTCATAGGTATGGCATTGAATATATAGATATCTTTTGGTAGTACGGATATTGTAACAATATTAATTCTTCTAGTCCATGATCATTCTCTACTTCTGTGAAGAATGCCATTGGTATATTCATAGGTATGGCAATGAATATATAGATATCTTTTGGTAGTATTGATATTTTAACAATATTAATTCTTCTAGTCCATGATCATAGAATATCTCTCCATATTTTTGTGTCCTTTTCAATTTCTCTCATCAGTGTTCTGTAGGTTTCACTGCAGAAATCTTTTACTTCTTTGTTTACATTTATTCCTAGGTATTTTATTTTTCTTGTAGCTGTTGTAAATGGGATCACTTTCTTGATTTCTTTTTTGGATTATTTGCTGTGGTGTATGCTACTTATTTTTTATGTTGAGTATGTATCCTGCAACTTTACTAAATTCATGTATCAGTTCTAACCATTTTTGGTGAACTCCTTAGGTTTCTAAATATAGGATCATTTTATCTGCAAATAAGGACAATTTGACTTATCTCTTTCCAATCTGGATGCCCGTTATTTCCTTCTCTTGCTTAACCGCTCTGGCAAGGACTTGCAGTACTTATGTTGAAAAAAAGGTGGTAAAAGTAAGCATCGTTGTCTTGTTCCAGATCTTAGAGAAAAGTCTTTGGACTTTTCTCTGTTCGGTATATTAGCTGTGGATTTTTCATATATGGCCTTGATTATTCTGAGGCATGTTCTTTCTATTGCTAGCTTGTTGAAAGATTTTATCATGAAAGGATGTTGAATTTTATTGAATGCTTCTTCAGCATCTATTTGATGTATCCCATTTACTGATTGGCATATGTTGAAACATCCTCGCATCCTTGGGATGAATCAAACTTGATTATGATTAATGATCTTATTAATGTGTTGTTGAATCTGGTTTGCTAGTATTTTGTTGAGGATTTTTGCAACTACGTTCATGAAGGATTTGTAGTTTTCTTTTTGTTGTGTGTCCTTCTCTGGTTTTAGAATCAGGGCAAGGCTGGCCCCAAATAATGGGTTTGTGAGTATTCCCTCCTCTTCAATTTTTTGGAATAGTTTAGTAGAACTGGATTAGTTATTTAAATGTTTGGTAGAATTCTGCAGTGAAGTTTAAGTCCTGGGATTTTCTTTAATTAGAGACTTTTTATTACCAACTCAATCTTGTTACTGGTCCGTTCAAGTTTTCTATTTCTTCATGGTTTAATCTTATAATCTCGGTAGACTGTAAGTGTCCAGGAATTTACCCATTTCTTCTGGGTTTTCTAATTTACTAGTGGGCAGTTGTTCATAATAGTCTCTAACAATCCTATGTATTTCAATAGTATCAATTATAGTGTCTCCTATTTGTCTCTGATTTTATCTATTTTAGGTCTTTTTGGCTTACTATGGCGAAAGACTTGAGGATTTCATTTACCTTTACAAAACCAACTTTCTGTTTTCTTACTCTTTTGTATTTTCGTCTCAATTTCATTTATTTCTGCTACAATTATTCTTTCTTTCTGCTCCTTCGGGTTTGGTTTGTTCTTGCTCTTCTAAGGTTCATAATTAGTTTGTTTATTTGAAGTCTGTCTTCTTTTTTGATGTAGGTATTTGTTGTTATAAACTTCCCTCTCAGAACTGCTTTTGCTGTAGGCCATAGGTTTGGTATGCTGTGTTCCCATTTTCATTTGTTTCAAGAAATTTTTAAATTTCCTTTTTAATTTATTGACTCATTCACTGTTCAGAAGCATAGTATTAAATTTCAATGAATTTGTAGAGTTTTCAATGTTTCCTCTGTTATTGATATCTAGTTTTATTCCATTATGGTCAGAAAAGATACTTGATATGATTTTGATATTTTAAGATTTATAAAGACTTGTTTTGTGACCTAATATATGGTCTAGCCTGGAGTATGTTCCATATGTTGTTGAAAAAAATGTGTATTCTGCAGCTGTTGGACGGAACGTTCTGTAAATGTCTATTGGGTCAATTTGGTCTACAATGAAGTCTCACTGATGTTTTACTGTTGATTTTCTGTCTGGACAATCTGTCTACTGCTGAAAGTAGGGTGCAGAAGTCCCCTGCAATTATCATATTATAGTAAATCTCTCCCTTCAGGTTTATTTTTTTTAATATATTTGGGTGCTCTGATGTTGGGTGTATATATATTTACAATTGTTATAACTGCTTGCTGTATTGACCTACTGATGCTTTTCTCATTAAATAATGACCTTGTCTTTTTATTTTTTTACTGTTCTTCACTTAGCCTATTTTATCTGACATAAGTATAGCCACTCCTGCTCTTCATTTTTGTTCCCATTTGCATGAAATTTCTCCATTACTTCGCTAGAAAGCAATATAGCAATATTGGGGCTTCTTTGAATGTGGTGTTTCTTTTCTCTTGATGCTTTCAGTATTTTTTTTTTTATTTTGCTAGTCTGATTATGATGTGCCTTGGGGATTTCCTCTTTGTATTGAATATAGTTGGTTACCTCTAAGCCTGTAGCTGGATGGTGTTGTCTTTCTCCAGATTTGAGAAATTTTCAGCTACTATTTCCTTAAATGTGCTTTCTAGGCCTTTTTCTCTCTGGTCTCCTTCAGGAGTCCCTATTACACAGAGGTTAGTTCACTTGATGGTATCCCATAATTCTCATAGGTCTCCTTCACTCTTTTAAATTCTTTTTTCTTTCTGCTCCTCTGATAGGGTTATTTCATATGGTCTATCTCCAAGCTCACTAAGTTTCTCTGTTTGATCAAATTTGCTTCAATCAAAACTTTCTAATGAGATTTTGGCTTACTGTATTATTTATTTCTAAGGTTTGTATCTTTTATTTATAAAAGATAAAAATAAAAGATACAAAGATAAAAATAAAAGATACAGTGAAACAAATTTCTCATTGTGATCCTGGATTATTTTTTAAATTTCATTTTGTTTTCTATCCATATTTTCCTGTGATTCCCTGAACCTCTTTAACAGGATTATTCTGAATTTTCTGTACAACATTTCATAGATCTTCAATTCTTCTGCGTCCATTGCTGGAGGTTTGTTGGTTTCTTTTGGTAGTATCCTATTTCTCCATGTTTTCACAATCCTTGTATTTTTACATTGATGATGGTTCATTTGAGGAGTTGGCTACCTCTTCCAGTTTTTGCAAGTGCTCTTTGGTGGTGTTAGAGATTTACTACTTAGTATCAGAACTTAAATGCTGGGCTGTTGTTTTTTTCCCATTCTGGGGAGGATTTACATGAGTACTGGAACTAAAACACTTCCCTGGAACTAACTCCTTGACTTGCTATTATTTCCTCTAGGGTAGGCTTACAGTGAGCACTGAAAATTAAACACTGCCCTAGAATTTTATTGTTGTCCTGCTATGGGTCTCCAGCCTGGGGAAGATTTAAGCTGGCACCAAAACTTAATCCCAACCTTTCAGTTGTTTCTAGGCCAGGAGATGGCTCCATGAGAGCACCAGGATTTTGTAGAAAATCCAACTAAGGACAGGATCTTTCCACAGATTGTACCCCAGAAGCACCATGGAACCAGCCAGTATCTTCAACATGGCGTACCCACTTATCAGAGTGCAGAATACCTGCCAAGATACATGCCAGTCACTGTGATCAGTGCCTCTGTCTTTGCTCCCAATTCACCCCAAGTGCTTTAGCCCTCCTGGAACTCCCAGTGGTTCATAGGAATGGGACCTAGGTGGATTTCCAGTGAAAGATTACCAGACCAGTGGAGAGAATGAATGTCTACCTCCAATTTCCTCCTCTCATCTTGGGAGCTGTGGGTCTAAAGAAATTCTCTTTGAATGGCATTATGCCAGTTTGAGGAAGGGTGCAGCTCAGCCTAAAATTACCATTTATCTTATCAGTCATGGCTCCTCTCAATTCTGTAGGCCCAGGAAGTTTCTCTGCTTCTCTCTCTAGTTCTGGTGAACTCAGGGTGGTATTTTTGTCTTTGATAGTTTCCAGTTGTATGTATATAGGAAGAAGGATGTGGGAGGCACTTCTAATCTGCCATCTTGTTGATGTCACTCTTCAATTTACTGCATATTTTCAAATAGCCAGAGGAGCAAGATGTTGTGCTGAATGTTCCCAACACAAAGAAAAAATAAATCTATGAGGTGATGGATATGCTAATTACTCTGATCTGATCATTATACATTGTATACATGTATGGAAATATCAGACTGTACCCCAAACATATGTACAATTATTATAGGTCAATTAAAAATAATAAAAGCAAATAAACAAATTCAGTACAGAGAGAAATAAGTATGCAAGGATGAACACAGACTACAGGGAAGCTTTGAACTGATTCTGCAAGAGAAACAGGAGGGTCAGTTCAGAGTCCTATCTCTTTCCACACTTCCTTTTTCTAAGTCTGCTGTGTTTACACAGCTAGACAGTGATTTAAGCGGGTGAGATTATGAATGGAGAAAGTGGGGAATCGTGCTGCTGATAAAAACAGTCTGCAATTCATATTCAACCAACCTTTAGCAGAACAACTCTCCATTCTCACCTTCTCACAACTGCCCCAAGACTGGATTTCAGGCATATATTTAAAAATCATAAAGTCTAAACCTCTGATCTTGCTGGAAAGTCAAATGACTTGTCCAGGCTTGCACGATGTGTAAAATATCTGTGGAAGAGGCAATAATATCTTACCCCTTGTCTGAGGACTAGTACTAGGGCAGATGCATTAAAGTCACTTAGAAGTTTGTGCTTTATTTTGTTTAAAAAAGATTCTGGGACTCCTGATTCTAGGTCTATAGTCACCCCCATGTATCCTGCCACACACACACACACACACACACACACACACACACACACACACACAGAGAGAGAAAGAGAGAGAGAGAGGGATTTCTCATTAGCTACCTTCACCAAAGCAAAATAGATGGTTCTGCGCCTTGGAGACGACTCCCACACCCATGCCCACTTAATATCACAAGTATCATGCTCTAAACAATTTTACCCTTTCCTACAATTCCTGATATTCACTTTAGCCTAAATAATTTCTTTACTTATTAGTGTAAAAATGGCAGAATGTTATTAGTACAAGTGAACTCTATAGATCTAACTTCTGGAATATCTCTGCAAACATAAATATCCCTTTAAAATTGTAAAGCTCATTCAAAATTTTCAGCAGAAAATCCAATAATGAAGGAACAGATATGTTAAAAAACAACAAAGCTTCGGTATAAGTATATTCACATGAAGGGAGGGAGATCAGTCTTGTATTCTGTTCAGTGAGTTTAAGTTACCAAGTACCTAAAGCAATCTGAAAGGTAAAGGAAGCACACAGCACAACAGAATAAAAAGAGGGCAGCAACATTCTGGCAAAACTATGTATTAAAATAATGCTACTGGCCAGGTGTGGTGGCTCGCATCTGTAATCCCAGCACTTTGGAAGGCCAAGGTGGGCAGATCATTTGAGGTCAGGAGTTTGAGATCAGCCTGGCCAACATGGCGAAATCTGTCTCTAATACGAATAATAATAATAATGCTACTCTAAATTTTTAAAAATAGCTTAATGGGTCCTAAGTTTATAGTGAGAGAATTCCCAGAAGGTATGATAATTTATCTGCAATTACCTTCCAAACCACTTCCCAATATTAAATCTTGGAACCCCTGAAAAATTAAGAAGTGATAAAAAGCCTCCCAAAATTGAATAGTCTCATTCCCAAGAGCTTATGTGTTAATGATTCTCCTGTGTTTATTTTTAAATACTTTATAATTTTATTACTGTTAGTTTATGTTGGCTGTATAGAAACAAAGAGATTAAATTAGAACCACACATACAAACAGTTAATTCCTAAGGAGTTCTGGTCAAATAAAAATATGGAAGTAAGAATAGATTGACTCAGCAAGAAAGTGTAAGTGAACGATAAACAAAAGTATAATTTAGCTATAAATGGAATGTTTTAATCCATAAGACCACTTAGTCACATTTATAAACAGGGATTTACAAACTTCACTTTTTGAAATTTTTTTTAGTAACTTACAATATATCCATAGAGGCTTAATCACATTTGTAAAAATCATTTCTAAAAAAGAAAAATAATGAAGTACACAATAAGCTGGCGCTAGGTGTTTACCTTCTTCTTCAGTTGGTAATATGTTGGTGTTTCTCGTCGAAGATAAAAAATCTTCATCTTTTTCATAATTTTCTTAAAGATAAAAATATTTTAGTAATTTTATCTTTAGTATAATCAAGTACTTGAATTTTTCTAAACCCAGTATATTTATTTGAACTCCTACATGAGAATCTGTTTTTCAGAGATAAACTTCTCAATAACTATATGTACTTAAAGGCAAGTTCTGTTAGTGGAAAAGAATACATTTCTCCTGTGATTTGCCCCTCTGTCTCTTAATAGTGCAATATGTATAAATGGCATAAATATCAGAATGGTCAACAATTTTAGAAATGAAACAGCACTTTTCAGCGAAAAGCCTGATTTCTACCAATAAACCCCTGAGCTACACAGGGGTTTCAGTAATTTGCAGACATATTCATGTACAAACAGCTTATGAATGACATTTCTAAATGTGGAATTAAAGTCGATTCCTTCAAGGAAAGGCTGGGCATTTAGAATTTTTATGAAGGTCACATAAATAATCCAGGCAGAAGAGCATCCCCCTAAAGTGAGAACATTGCAATGACATCCAGAAGTAAGGCAGAAACAGAAAGGTAAATGACTGCCTGTTTCCAACTGAGAAATGGTGACAATGAATAGGATAGAAAGAAATCTGCTCTATTCAGAAGCCTACTCCATAGTTTATAAACACATTGCTGGTTCCAGTCAATCCTGACTTTATTA
The DNA here is from genome assembly GCF_000001405.40 of Homo sapiens. NCBI lineage: Eukaryota > Metazoa > Chordata > Mammalia > Primates > Hominidae > Homo > Homo sapiens. Next base: position 13,205,759 of record NC_000009.12, read on the forward strand.
CACTTCTTTACTCGCCTTGGTTTATAATGAATAGTTGAGGGTAAAAAGCATTCTGAATAATTAAGAACCATTCTGAAATAGTAAGTTACTTTGGAATTTAAAAAAAATTGGAGACAATATAAAGGTCTAACTAAAAACCAGATTAACATAGGATTACCTTTGATTATGCTGGCATTAACAGGAGACAAATCTGCATCTTTTGTGACGTCTTCCCTTGACATGAGCTCGGCTTCCTGCTTCATTCCTCTCCTCATTAGTGTCAGGAGCACAGTTTGTCCTGTATGTCGCAATACCTCTACTGCTTGCTGATTAGTAAAACCCTGAAGGTTTGTGCCATCTACCTGTGATTAAAAAAAAAAAAAAGCATGTTACATGTTAAATAAATGGATATTTGTATTACCAATTCACAAAATGTGTATGTATAGTTGTTAGTGTGAAAAGAATGGAGAATAAGTATTCACCTTATCAGGGAATTGACAGTAAGACCCTAATATCTCTTTGGAAACCAGTATTAACAGGGATGCACTAGAATCATTTGAGAGGCTTCTGTTTATTTTAATATAGATTCTGGGGTACCATATCCAGAAAATGAGTCACTAGTTCTAGGGTAGGACACAGGCTTCTATGCCTTTTTTTTCCCTTTTTGTTGAGACAGGGTCTCACTCTATTGCCCAGCCTGGAGTGCAGTGGTGCAATCATGGCTTCCTTCAATCTTAACCTCCTAGGCTCAAGCGATCCTCTCATCGTATCTTCCCAAGTAGCTGGGACCACATGCACACACCACCACACGTGGCTATTTTTTTTTTTTTTCTTTCTCACTCTGTCACCAGGCTGGAATGCAGTGGTGCGATCTCGGCTCATTGCAACCTCCACCTCCCAGGTGCAAGTGATTCTTCTGCCTCAGCCTCCCGAATAGCTGGGACTACAGGTGCGTGCCACCATGCCCAGCTAATTTTTGTATTTTTAGTAAAGACGGGGTTTGACCATGTTGGCCAGGATGGTCTCGATCTCTTGACCTCGTGATCTGCCCGCCTCGGCCTCCCAAAGTGCTGAGATTACAGGCGTGAGCCACTGCACCCGGCCTACTTTTTAAAAAAATTTGTAGAGATGGGGTCTCCCTATGTTGCTAAGGCTAGTCTTGAACTCCAGGGCTCAAGGGATCCTCCCACCTCAGCCTTCCAAAATGGTGAGTTTACAGATACAGGCCACTGTGCCCTACTTCTACTCCTTTCTAAATATGCTTTTATATTCCTCAGGTGATCTCAATGCACAGTTAAGTTTGGAACCAGAACTATGCAGGATTAAAAGGTATAGAAGACAGTGATAAATGTGCTCACTGAGTGCACTGATGTATCACAAGGTCATATTTATATGGCCTTTCAAAAAAGAAAGAAAAAAAGTGTCCTGTCTATTTGTCTTTTCAGAAAAATACATTTGATTTTCCCCTTTTCACAAATGACAAAACATTCAAAAATGTCCCGGTGATCTTTCCAAAATATAGATATGATCATATCTCCCCAACCCTCTCTTCTACAGAAAACTCCTTAGGACAATGCTCCAAATTCTCAACGTGGCTTAGAATGGCCTGTGCCAACTGCTCCCACCTCCCACCAGCCCCAACCTCATCTCTCATGATGCTGTCCATTACTCTCTGCCCCTCAGCCACAGAGGGCTCACTTCCATTCCTCTGACTTGCAGTTCTCTCTTCAGCCATGGAGTCTCCGCAAGTCCTGTTACCTCAGCCTGGACTCTCTGGATAGCCCACTCTAGACCATGCTCTTTCTCAATAGCTTACTTAGAAAATACATATAATTGCTTTATATTTCAGTTCAATAGTTGTTTTCATAATAAACTACCTTGATGTCTTTGACTGCCGTCAAAGCCCCCTTTTACCCATTCTTCCTCATAGCATTTTTCAGAATTTTAATTTTACATTTTCTGCTATTATGCAGTTTATGACTATATACTCCAAGGACAGGCTCTGTATCATTTTTCCTTATAGTAGTGTCATCAAAACATGGTGCTGTCCATACTATAGATATTAAAATACAGAGCCATTGGCTCATAGGTCAAAAACTTATTTGTAAAGCAAATTATATTCTGAGGTAGATAAATATAAATTTTAACAACATGTTGTTTAATTCATAAAATCACAGTAAAAACAATTTGAAAAAGCAGAGCAATAAATTTAATGCTGAAATTCAAAGTCATTAATATTCCTTAGAATTGCAAAATGACTATAAAATGACTGTACGTGTAATGCTTTTCCAAGCATAGTGGGGCCATATTAGGCACTCAAATGTTTACTAAGTTAGAAAAGATCTGGATTTTATAATCTAAATCTTGTAATTCAGATGTTTACTAACTTAGTAAATATGCGAAAATTATAAGATCTAGATCAAGGCTGGGCGCAGTGGCTAATGCCTAGTAATCCCAGCACTTTGGGAGGCTGAGGCAGAAGGACTGCTTGAGCCCAACAGTTTGAGGCCAGCCTGGGCAACATGCTGAAACCCTGTCTCTATAAAAAACAGAAAAATTACCCAGGCGTATTGGCACATGATTGTAATCCCATCTACTCAGGAGGCTGAGTTGAGAGGATCACTTAAGCCCAGAAGGTTCAAAAGGCTGCAGTGAGCCATGATCATGCCAGTGCATTCCAGCCTGGGCATCAGAGTGAGACCCTGTCTTACATAAATAAATATTAAAAAAAAAAAAAGACCTAGATCAGTTGTCTCCAAGATGGAGTACCCTTACTGCAAAGGTTTCTGAAAGAATATAATAAAACCTCTAAATAAACATTTTAAAAACTCATTTGCTTTGTAAATATGTGTATATGTAGGTGTGTATATATGTAATTATGTATATGTACACATATGTAAACAGCATATAATGTCTAAGTTTATATAGGATATATATATATAATATATATAACAACAATATATATGAATATATAGTGAGGAAGAAAGAGGGAAAATGAGTAGTTATTTTTACTAGAGGGAATATTCAATCAAAAATCCAGAAACCTCTGATCTAGATGAAAATCTCATACTCTGTCAGTTCCTTAAACCTTCTATGATACTTCTGAGCTGGATGGTGACTTGAACATAAGTATCTGGCTCTGTTCTTTCTCCCTATCTCCACCCTGCTGATTCCCTGTTAGAAAAACTAACAAAATAGAACAGAGAAAACACTGCAACAAAACTGGAAACCAAAGAAGCACCAAGGTCCTTAGACCAGCAACTTGGAGGAATTTCTACTAGAAATGGTCTGCGCATGGCCAGATCAAAGGCAGGCCAACTGAATCTCTGTATGTGTGGGAATAGCCTGTCTGGTCTGTAAGAAGAAACTTCAGCAAAAAACAAAAAACACCCTCTCATTAAGTGAGGCAATCAGATGGTATATGTGGATCCTAACCAGTAACTCCAAGAAACACACCAAGTACTAAAGGCCATACTAAGCTGGGTTGCATGTAATAGCACAGAATTACTTTATTTGTAATAAAAATTACCTTAACCACACATGTGTGCATACAAGCACACACACAACTCCAAATAACTCCTGGCTATCAGAGCAAACACAGAAAACAAAAACAGGCAAAATCCCCCAGTGTGATCCTCTACCACTGGTTTCCTCTTCATTTTGTTAATCTACAAATGAATCAAGTGAAGCTACAGTAAATTTAAACTTTCCCCTTCCCTGTCACTTTGTCAATTCTTAAAACATCTGGAAAAAAACCATACAATCTGCAGCAGAACCCATCTCAACTTCTATCTGTATAAGCCCAGTTATTTTTGAGAATGACCAAGGGTCATGGAATGTGAAATATCACGGTCCAAAAGCAGGTTGCACACTGAAGATCGGTGCATGTATCTTCCTATGAAGTTGTTATTGCAGTGAACAGGAAAAAAGATATTTCCTGAAACTTACTATCAAAATAGTTCACATTTCCTTGTATTTATGGAAGCAGGAATTACAAAGAAGAAACAAGTATCTACCCCCCAAAAAAAAGAAAAAGAAAACTTACAATGAAGGCAGTCAACAAGATTTTAAGTACTGCAAAAACAAAGTCCAGGTCATGCATGCAATTTTCCCATAGCTCAGAGGAAAAGAATAAACCGATAAAAAATGATCAGAAACAAGGCTGGAGACTCATAGGCTGAGCTAGGAAATCCAACACACTAATAAAAGAAATTATAAGGAGAAGATGATAAATGAGGGGGAAAAAAATCAAAGAAAGGATTAGGGAGAAGGGAAACTTACCCAACTCTACAAATCAAAAAGGCACATGAAAAAACAGAAAATGATGAGAAATTACAAAAAAAAAAAAACCTCACACCTGAATGTATCCTGGTAAAATTCTTATATTTCAAAGATAAAAAGAAAAAAGATCTACCAGCCTCTAGGCAGCAAAGAGAGAGACTAGGTTATCTGTACAATTGTGGAAAAGAAATTACAAACCAAGAATCTTATACTTAGTGTGATGTATGAGAAAACAGAAATTGTGCTTGAGATGCTATGATTATTAATATCCTATATCAAAGCAAGTTGTAAAAAGGGCCACCAAGCGGAAATTTAAACTAGGTGGTAAAGAACTACAATTCACACACATTCAGGGCATAAAAGAACTAAGTGTTGTTAAATGTTAAGAAAAACTTAAGAGGAAGTTTTTTTTTTTTTTTAAGAGGAAAGAATGCTATATACCCTACCCACCCAGGTATTTCCCCCTTGACTTCAAGTCCAAAGTCACCTGCAGAAGAGGCAATGCAGCAGATTGTGTCTAATGCCATCAGGAGGATAAGGAAGAGGTTGTTTAGCTGCTTTGACAGTGGAGCCAGAGGAAACTTCTGTTATGTTGGGAGCTGCTCACCTCCCTGACTTTGTCTGGGCATAGACCACACAGGAGTGAGCCAGGCTCAAGTCATTTTGAAACCTACTACAGGACTCCAAGGGAATGATGGGACTCAAAAGAGACAATCTATGAAACAGACTGCTGAGAAATCAGGGGCCAGTGGGAAGAAGAGTCAGCTACGTTAAAAATCCATCATCTGTTATTCATGGAAAATTAAGCCAAATATACCTCCACTGGAATCTTCCAAGAGCCCAAGAAGAAACCCTCAGAGATAGTCAGTTCTGAACATCTGCCAGGCTCACTTAGCACAAAGCCATCTTTCAGCAGTCAGACAAAATGCCCCTTCCTTCTTCCTTCTCTTCTCTCAACTTTTACACCATAAAAGCCAAAATAAGGTGTGGGCAGAAAAGAAAAATTAGGTGGGGAGAGACAGACTGAGTGATATACCCTCTATCTCTAGGTAAGCCATCAGTTCATAGCGGGCTTCTAATATGCCAGGGGGTTCATTTGAAATTAGACTATTATTTAGTATGGGAAAAATTTTATTACTAATTTGCAACTGTGTCTGATTATTTTGATTGGCCACAGGATAACTTACTCTACAAGAATACCCCAAGACATGAAGACTTGCCTAAGAGTTCTTCTAGGGGAAAGGGAAGAACCTTCCCCATTAAAAATTAAAAGGGGCAGTTGATGACAAAATTTTTTAAGTTAAGATTATACCTAATAAATCCTCTTTGTCCAACATATTTGTTATCACCAACTAAATAGTCAAAATATAAGAAGTCAACACAAGAGGTTCTCAGAGACAAAAAGTTTAGAAAGTCCGCTAAAACATTCTCTTTCTGTAAAGTTTACTCAAAACACTCCAGCCAAATGAGTTTAATTGGATTTAAAATTCAAACTAAGAAATCTGTAGTATACAAGATACAGTGCTGAGCAACAAAATAAGTAAAATTCAAATCTAAATAATAGTATTACAGCAACAAAATAGAATTTAAATGTTTCATGTCCTTAAAAGAAATATAAGGTAGTATGTAATAATCTGTCTGTAACAACAAACTGTAAACAACATAACGATCCATGATTAAGCCTGCTTCAATATATCACAACAGACCTACATGTGCTTACATAACTACCTTTCCCAGGTAAGTTTTTAAGTAAAATAAAAAGGTATAGGCAAATATAATATGATGCTATTTAAGTATAAATACATAGAATTTTTCTAAATTTTAAACCATAAACTATTATTAGTGGCTATTATGAGTGGTTTCTATGAGAAGGCTTTTTAACCATGTTCAAATTTTATATTCTTTAAACCTTAAAGACAAAAATTAATGTAAAATAAATGAACATGTTATTTACTCTCACAGTAATAAAGGAAAAAAATGGCAAAAATCTCCATGTTGGGGCTCCATGAAAATTCATAAAATGCATAGAACTTTAGGCTGTTTTTTATCTGCAAAACATTCTTATTGTTCAATTCTATCTAAAAGTGAAGTTTTATTTAGAAAAATCTAATGTGTATGATTTTGTTTATTTAATAACAACTTAAAATATGTTTAAAAACTGTGTTTTTTTCCTTTATCTTCTGAACTTGATGACTTGGATTTTAAAATGTATTCCTTACTCAAATGACAGAGAATAATACTAGCACAGAAGAAACTGCTATAATGGAACAGTCATGAACTTTTAAACCTAGACTTCTGTTCAAATGTCTTAGTTACCTTCATCTGTATTATGGAAATAAGATCTATTTTCCAAGAATTATACCACATGGCACTTTGTACTGGGAAGATACTCAGAAGCTGGTTATTAAAAGAGTAAAGAAGTGAGTAATAAACATAAAAATCTCCAAGGCTTTTCTGGGAGAGGTTTTTGTTCAATATAATCACACCCATGCTACATATGAGCCAAAGTCACGAAGCCTAAGGGGTCCTGGTTAGCTCTGGTTCCCCTTTATCACAAGAGAGTCAAGAAGTCAGTTCAGAACCCATGGTACCACAGAGAAGAGTGCAGTAGAACTAGGTAGTATAATGGCAGCAAATTGCCTATGTGCTATCTCATGAAAAGAAGAGATCCAGGCCAGGTGCGGTGGCTAATACCTGTAATCACAGCACTTTGGTAGGCAGAGGCGAGAGGATCTGTCAAGCCCAGGAGTTCAAGACCACCTGGTCAAGGTTTAAAAAAAAAAAAAAAAAAAAAAAGAAGAGAGCCAACATCCTCGTAGTGTGCACTGCAGACACTGCAATTAACAGGAACAATTACAGGGGAGAAATACTAGTTGGAACAACTTACAAAATCTGGCCCCTGAGCATACTCAACCTAGGTTGCCAGGGCCTCCTCCAACATATCCTATACGTATAAAGAGAGAACTTCAATCTATGAACACAGTCACAGAAAACCAAAGGCAACGTTTGACACTTTTCCTTATTTATATGCTTATTTAATAATTTTTATCAATCATAATTTCCTACTGCTTTTAGCATATTGAATATCAAACTAAAAAGAATGAGTGTTTTTATCTAATGACAAGTTTGTTCAACTTTTTGAAAAAACAACAGACTCCTTTTGTCAAATAGTCAAATTATTTAAAGAATACCAACATATGAAATGGGAAAAATGGAGACATTCAGTCTATTCCTTGTCACTGTAATGCCTACAGTGAAACCCTGTTGACCCAGGGGTCCACAGAACACAATGTGTAAAACAAGAACCTTATAACAAAATATTTTTAAGTTACAAAATAACTCTTCAAAATAGTAAGAAATAATTTCTTAATCTCATCACTTCAACAACTACAAAATAAAAATAGATTATACTCCTAATAGCTGCTGTCAAAACAAAAATCGAACAAATAACAGACAAAGACTGCAGTTGTGAAAATGCAACTGGATGTGAAGAACATTACTGCAAATATCTCAAAAGTCCACAAGATGGTGATATTTAGTAAAAAATTAATACATGTTCAAAAGCATTGCATGATGTTCTCCAGGAATTTAAAATGCTTATATCTTTGTAGTAAAAGAATGTTTGCTAAAAATTAAAAATCAGAATATTGATGAGTGAAGTCAAGTGATTTTATTGAAAGCAAGAAAACAATTCAGAGAAAAGATTCTTCCACCTTTGCATCAACAATTTCCTTCATCACTGACCTTGCCTAAGAGGAATTATATTTGAGATTCCACTTATATAAGAATGAAGATAATGACAAATTTAGGGGGAAGTTATCATGAGACTCTTTCAATGATAGCCCTCAATAAATAATATCTGCTTAATTATTAAACTGCTATCAGATATCTGCTATCAGATATTGTCAATAAAATACTCATTTGATTTTCCTGAATATCACACAAGAGAAGTTTCCTTATCCCAACTTTGTAAGTGAAGAAACTGAATCAGGGCATTTGGTAACTGGTAAAACACAGAATTATCATAAGATTCAGCAATTCCACTCCTAAGTATACACCCAAGAAAAATGAAAACATATATGTACATAAAAGCTTGTACGTGAATGTTCACAGCAGCATTATTCATAACAGCTAAAAAGTAGAAACAACCCGAATGTCCATCAATTGATGAATGGGTAAATAAAATATGGTATATCCATATAAAGGAATATTATTCAGCAATAAAGGGAAATGAAGACTGAAACATACTACAATACAGATGAAACTTGAAAGCATTATGCTAAGTGAAAGGAGTCAGTCACAAAGAACCACATCTTGTATGATTCCATTTACAGGAAATATCCAGAACAGGCAAATCCATAGAGACAGAAAGTAGATTGGTGGTTGCCCAGGACTGGGAGAATGGGGGAGAAGGTGACTGCTAAGGGGTACTGAAAATGTTTTTAGGGTTCTGAAAAATGTTCTAGAATTCACCATGGTAGTGAACGCACAACTCTGTGAATACACTAAAAGCTACTGTACTGTACATTTTAAATGGGTGAATTGTATGGTATGTGAATTACATTTCAATCAAGCTTATTTTTTTAAAAGTTTTCTAATTGATTAATATAGATTACTTAGGAGAAAAAAGTAAATTAGCTATGCTTTCAATTTGTAATTCAGCATCAGATATGGATTTAGACTCCGTATGTATTCCTTCTGTCTTTCACTTTCCCTCAAAACAAAAACATGTACAGTAATTCATTTACATTGTATGGTAAAATGGAGATACACAGAGAAAGCTCACTTCGGGCATATAGCCAGATGAGGTGGCAAGCACAACTTGATCTTTAGTGTAGATCTGAAGAGGTGAACAGGTGTAGGTAGGAGTTTCACAGAACAAAACCCAAGAAGACTCACGGAGTTATAATGTGGACTTAAAGGGAGAGATAAAGGACTCCTCCATTTTTTAAAATCGTGGTAGAAAAACACAATATTTACCATCTTACCCATTTTGAATAGTACAATTCAATAGTGCTAAGTATATTCACATCATTGTGCAACAGGTCTCCGGAATTTTTTCATCTTGCAGAACTGCAGAAATATACCCATTGAACAACTCCTCATTTCCCCTCTCCCCAGTCCCTGGGAGCCACTAATCTACTTTGTGTTTCTATAAGTCTATTTTAGATACTTCATATCAGTGAAATCGTACAGTATTTGTCTTTTTGTGACTTATTTCACTTAGCATAATGTCCTCAAGGTTTTTCAGTGCTGAAGCATGTGATAAGATTTCCTTCTCTTTAAAGACTGAATAACATTCTATTGGATATATATATATCACATTTTGATATATATATATCAATATGTGTGTATATATAGCAATATGTGTCTATATATCTATATATGTCAACATATATATCAATATGTGTGTATATATGATATATATATATATATCACATTTTGTTTATCCATTCATAGATATTTGGGTTGCTTCCATGTCGTGGCGAGTGTGAATAATATTGCTATGAATAAGGACTCCTCTACCTTAATATCCTACTTTCTCACTATTATTAAGATTCTAAGGGAACAACAGAAACTTAAGCATAAACAAATACCTAATAAGATAAATCAGCATTCCCTCAAGATGTCTTTCAAAGAATATGAATATATGTTTGGAAAAATAAAGACCTCACAATTACAAAAGTTTAGTAAACACTAAGGTAAAACAGATAAACAGGTTTCTCTATTGCAGGTTTTTTTTTTTTTTTTTTTTTGTCTTTTTTTAGAGGCAAGATCTCATTCTGCTGCCCAGGCTGGAGTGCAGTGGTGCAATCATAGCTCACTATAGCCTTGAACTCCCAGACTCAAGGAATCCTCCCACCTTGGCCTCCCAAGTAGCTAGGACTACAGGCAGACAACATCATGCCCAGCAATTCAGCAATTTGTTTTTTTTTTTTTTTTTTTTTTTTAGAGATAGGATCTGCCTGTGTTGGGATTACAGGCATGAGCCACCAGCTCAGTGAAGACACCCAGCTGTCTTCAATTTTTCTATGTGCACTGTGAATTCATACAAGACTATATTGTAGGCAGTTTTCCCTTAAACTTATTTGATAAGGAAGTTTTGTTGCAGGGTCTCTTGAATTTCTGTTTCAGGCTGCAGTCTGGGGAGTCCGGTATCAACTGAACACTGAAATTAAAGTTGGGCTCTTCTGTACAGTGCCTTGAATAGCCATGTTTAAAACACATTGATGTTACAACGATAACAATGATAGCTTGAACTAATTACAAGAAGCTAGGTTTTTTTTTTTTCATTCTTATATATCCTCAGGGCTGAAAGCAGCCGCGGCCATAAAGCCAACAATAACAGTATCATTCTGCTGATTAAAAAAAAAAAAACAATGCAGGCATCCCTAATTCATATTCCAATACCCTAAAGGTACTGGACATCTGGTCTCTACCTCTGGAGTATCTGCAAGGAACGTATAAGTGTAATATTAATGTAATAAATTCATTACAACCAGAAATTAGATATATCAGGAATTATTCAAGAAGGAAGTCTCCCGTTTGGAACTGAGATGAGTAAAGCTTATATCCAATACCCTTATTTTACTTCCACAAAATAATAGAAAGGGTAATTGTAATAATAGCCTCAAGTCACCAAAAAAGCTTAAATTAGTACAGAGTTAACTCTAGCTCTCAAAACTAAGTAAACTAGGAGAATACAATTCTCAACCATGAAAATTAACAAAGCTATTGTTAAATGTGTAACTTACTGCTATAATTTGGTCTCCAATTTGGATTCTTCCATCATGCTCAACGGCACTGCTTTTTGTAATGCTCTTTACAAAGATTCCTGAAGGTTCTAAGATTAGAAATAGTTTATTTTTCACAATTTTCAAAGCACATTCAAAGAATATCCATCTTCGATTCTCCAACTATAAAGCTCTAATTCAGAATAAATACGTATCATCTAGTAGAAACACAGGCTAAAGAATAAGATAATTGTTTTGTCTGTCTTAAATACAATATAAGAGTCACCTACACTAAATTATTCCTAAGGAAGTTTTCAACCAGTTTATCCAACAACCTGAAACATGTAATATCAACTCAATATTTTATAAGAGATAGATATCAGAGGTAATTGTCAAGTTTAAAAGAATACTTAATGTTTAAAATTACCCAATTTTTTATCTCCAATGTAGCCAGCAATGGTAATTCCTAATCCTTGGACATTTTTAGTGAGTTCTACATCAAATGTCTCACTTTCTTCACCTTTCTGAGTAGAAGCATCAACCTAAAATAAAATCAATAAATATACAGTGAAATAATACGTAAAAAAAACAAAAAACAAAAAACAAACAAACAAACAAAAAAACCATGATAAAATAAAGCCACAGGCCTACTTTAATTCTCTAGCAAAGAATTATAGCAGAGACGATTCCTTTAATCCTGAAAACAGGGATAGGCATCATCATATTTTTGCTCAGAAAGGGATATCAGGCAGGAATAAGGTTGAACCTTCCCTTATCAGAGAATACATTATTGTTTGCGTACAATAAATTTTAAATCAAACAGGTTTTTTTTAGCAAATTCTATTTTCAGAGATGGCTCATCTTAATTTCTGGAGAAGTCAGGATGCAGTACATCTGAAAGAACTAATGTTATGAATTCAGATCAACAAGTTAAATCTAGCTTTGCCACTTCATCTAGAAAGAAAATATCACTTTGGTCAACTATCAGGAAAAGAATAACAACAACTAGACCAGCTACCATTTATTGAGCAGTTTGTGTGTAACTCAGGATTAAGACTCTACATGTCTTAATTCATTATTCCTCATAATTCCTCATAATTCAGCATCCTGAATGATAACTGAAAGTGGGTTTCTCAGATGCCACCTTCTCTAATGTGTAGAGTTGTTACAAATTCTATGTTGGACTGAAGAGCAAGTCTCCCTAAAATTAAGCATTAGTTGATTGGTACAATATATCATCAATAAGCTATTGGTACTATGTATTAGCATGGTGTCAGCAGATCCTACAGAGAACCTTAAGAAGAGCACAAAGAAATCAAAGCTATAGATTCTAATGGACAGTCAGGTTGGGGCTAGCTGATGTTTTCTAATTTCTTTAAACAAACTCTGACAGTCCACTTAAATGAGATATAATTTTACAGTAAAGTTTGATTTATTTTTTTCATTGCACATAATTATCTGTGCAAACTTAGCAAAAGTTTAAAGTTTAGATAATTACAAGAAAATGACAGGATGAAATCTGCTTCAATTGAAACAAATGTGTTTTCTATTTTTAATAAGACTTATGCGAGTGCTATTTTAGAGAGTGGCAATTTGACTATCGAATGGTTTTAAAAGGGGCACAAGCTTCAGAAATGATGATATGCACAGAACAGATATTTTTCTAAGCTTTCAATTACATCAAGTGGTTTTCGGTATTGCATTCATTTATATATCGCTGAATAAAATGTTTTGTTTACCATAAAAGAATGCCATTTAAACACTTTCATAAACAAGCATTCTTTACTTCTTTCTCTTTGCAAAAAATAGCAACCAAATTCAATCCTAAAAACAACAGAATCATGGAAATTACAAGTGTTCTAATAAAGTTTTAAAGGGCTTGTGGAGGAGGTTAGGATATTAAAAAAGAATTTGTAGCAACTGCTTAGAAAAAACTTTAATAGAACAAAACATAGATTTTTTACATCTATGGGAAAAGAATATAGGACGTGTATTTACTATAAGGCTTATCTAGAAACTGGGTGTAATTCTTAAATATTTAAGAGACTTCTGGATAAATTATTTTGTTGATATTTATCCTCTGTAGTCTTGCGACCTGTAAATCTGCTGAGATACCCACTACTTTCCAATAATTTTGAAATTCTCTAGCTTTTTTCATATCAAGTTGACAAGGATGGAATGCTATGCATATGAATAAAGTTTTTGTTATAACACCAAAAGAATAACTTTTGTTTAAAAAATTATATAACTGGGTCAGAATAATGACTACTTATTACAAATCTGATAACAGTTCTAAGACATACTTTAAAACAATAACACTAAAAGGTTTTAGTAAGCCTTATTCATACTCACCAAGCCTGCCCCCACTCCTCAACCTCCACACATTCAAAACAAAAACAAAAATACTAATGGGAAAGTTGATGAAAGAGAATGATTAGAACTATGACCCACCTTACAGAGAGTCTTCTAACTGAGAAAAAGACAGAATTAAACATTTTAGGTATCAGTACCAAATAATTTTTAAACTTTTACCCATACTTTAAAACATTATCCTCATAAATATGCTGCTTAAATAAAAATGTAAAATAATCTAGCATGTTTAAGCAACCTATTTTTCATTTGTTTTACACATTATTCCTGATTAATAAAATATCATTAGTGCTAAAGCATCCCTACATTTGAATTTCATTCCATTCTTTAGCACTAATATAGGAACATTAGTAAGTCTAGTTTCTAAGTAAACATCACTGTCGTCATCTAAGTGTTATTTCTCTGACTTTCACATTAACTACTCTTAACTACTTACCCGCAACTCTGGTGTTGAAGTTGGGGATGAGGAGAGGGTGATGCCCAAAGCAGTGGGTGCTGTACGTTCTTCTATGGCACCTCTTGCAATCATCAACTTAACTCTATTTCCACATTGCCTAAGGACTTGTGCTACTTGCTCACTGCTCATTCCTGCTAGATCTGTGTCACCAATCTTTAGAATGTGGTCTCCACTGCATAAACGCCCATGCTGAGTAAAACAATATTGAATAATTAGACTATTATTATTTTAACTGCAACAGATAAATCCTAAATGAGAAGGGATTAATTTTAGAAAAGCAATAATATGAGTTACCAATCAGGACATAAAATAAAACACATGGGTATAATATTAACTGTCTTTTGAAACATCCTAACATCATTCAGTGTGATGCAATAAATGAAATTCACATATAGTCTTTAAATCAATAGTCCATATGAACTTTTCATTTTGATTCTACCTACCAAGAGTTCATATGAACTTTTCACTTTGATTTCTACCTAAATGCCTTTTTGTGAATTTTTTGGAGGGAAAGAAGAAAATGCCCTTAAGCAAAGTTGTATATAAATCACCATGCAAATATATATTACCTAAAATGTGGTATAAACCACAAGAAAGCATTATATTAATATCACAACTTTCTGCCTGGCTATTTCTATTATAAATGTCCCAAAAGAACTCATGTGCAGGTGAAATACTTGTGAAGTGAAAATTCAGAAAGATGTGAGGAGTGAAAAGCAGTCTTATGAGCCTCCATACACATGCAGTCCATTAACTTTCTGCAATGATGGAACTCTTCTGCACTACTCAATACAATAGCTACGGAGATCTTGAAATGTGGCTAGTCCAACTGAGAAGCTGAACTTGTAATTTCATTTAATTTTAATTAACTTAAATTTTAATTTTAAAGGTGATATGCAGACAGCTACAATATTGAAGAGTGCAGCTCCACATTGAAGATAAAGCATGTAAATATCACATGCTAGTCAACGAGAGACATTTCATTTGATGCTGCTAGATGCTAACTAATGTTTAAAAGGAAGAAAAATTTGCATACTATTATATTACCGTTAACACCCCTACTGACAAGGTTGCCATTAAACAGGAATTTCATTTATGAATACAGGGAATATTTGATGAGCTGGACTTCCTACTTTAAGTTCAAACACACATGTATAAACAACCACTTTATTTTTTAAAAAGTTATAATCAAGGCAAAACTTACTTAAACCAGTAAGCCTTATCAAATTAAGATATAAATCATAACAAATGTGTTAAATCTTTTCTCACATATATTGCAACAATGTCACATATCATAAATGGTAATGCCTCAATAAACTACTCAAGTGATAAAAAACAGGCTGTGTTTCATACACAAAGATGATACCAATGACCCATCACTAAAGGAACAAGGTGAATGTTGTTTTTCTGCCTGAATACAAAAGTATATTTTCCCACAATACCCTGTGACTATAAAACAGCTGACTAGGTATATAAATACGAATTATGACTATAAAACAAATAGTAGCTACCTCCACAATTATCAAATCCATAACCTTGGCTTTAGTCTGAGGTTCAAAAGTGTTAAACTCATTGTCTAAAACTATAACTTAAGATTACTGTCCCTTTTCAAAGGTATTCCTCCCCTAGGTCTAAGACAACATTTTAGGGACACTCAATAAAACGAAAGATTCTAACTCAATTTCTTTGGCATCATTTAAGGCCAAAGTTTCTTCTTTCCAACAAAAAAATGTAAAAGATGTACCCATATTATTTGATAAAATAGCATAAAAGATCTATTGATGTAGCCTACCTGATCAGCTACTCCTCCAGGCAGAATGGTTTTTACTATCACACCAGTTGCTTTTCCTCCTATGATGCCAAATCCCAAACCAGATCCATCATTCACCAATTCAATCGTTTCCATGTGTTGCCAGTGAACCTACAAACAAAGCTCATATATGAATTTGTAGAAATTTACAAAGCACTACCATTTTACATTACAGTAGAAATTTTTGCGATTATTTTGTTAATATTAAATAATTAAATTCAGACATAATAATGAGTCCTAACAATGTCCCTTTCATTTGGTATACTTCCCTTTCAACAGAATGTAAGTGCCATTGACAGAATCATTCTTGAAATTATCAATATATCATCATAATGATTTCACTTCAACAGTTAAAGACAGGCATTGATTTGCAAGATCTTTTGTAGAACTTCTTTAAAAAAAAAGAAAAAGTTCAAAGAAAAAAAAAGGTCACATGTTAAGAATGTCTTCTGCATAATCCTGCCTTGAGGCAGGATTCCAAATTAGATGACTTCTTAAAAGTTACTGACAGCTAACTCTAACAATATAATTGTATAATTTTTAAAGCAAAATCAAGCTTGTATCTGTCTACAGATAAAGTCAATTTTGTTAAAGGACTACATTTTTCATTTTTAAGGAATGCTGTCAAAGGACAAAACTACACAAAGAAAAGTAATTGTTGTTTTAGAACTTAGAAGCTTTATCATGCTTAAAGAACAAATATTCCAGGCTGGGGAAAAATAAAAGAATAGTCAGACAAAAACTCAAGAAGTGCAAAGACCCTACACAAATTAGAAACTTGGAGATAACCAAAAACAACTTGAAAAATACGTTCTGTTCCTTTTGAAAATTTTAGGTACTCACCGGATTAGAGTGAGCTGAAATTGTGCTGGCTGCAGATGGAGAACGGGAAACTATGGGGCTGACAAGCTGAGGCAATGAGCCTCTGGCAATAACTAGCTGGACAGTATCTTTGGCTTTCTGCAGGATGCTGATAGCCTGCTGATGTGTAATTGTCTGATCAAGAGCCTGTCCATTGATAGCAAGAATTTGATCAGTTTCTTTCAATCTTCCATCTCTATCAAGGATGCAAAAGGGGATAAAAGACAATCTGAGAGTTCTCAAGGAAATGACAGCTTCTTTGGCATGTATGTTCAAGTCATTTTTAATCCTATTTTTAATTCCCACACTCTAAGCTTTTTCCTGCAGTTCTACTTTAAAAAAAATACACGCCTTGGCTGCAGGTCATCAACTCTCGTAAGGTTATTTCACTGCTACTCCTACTGAACCCCTCCCATATAAAAGTACTCTTTATTTCAGCTACCTACTCAGCCTACATTACATCTTGGATATTCTCATCTTCTAAAAATGAAAGTGGATATATCTATACAGTTGGCCTTGTGTATCCATGGGTTCCACATCCATAGATTAGATCCCCAACTGGGGATCACATCCATAGATTAGATCCCCAACTGGGGATCACATCCATAGATTAGATCCCCAACTGGGGATCACATCCATAGATTAGATCCCCAACTGGGGATCACATCCATAGATTAGATCCCCAACTGGGGATCAAATATACTCAAAAAAAATAATGCCACAACAATAAAAAAATCACACAAATTTTAAAAATACAATATGACTACTAATGTTTACATAGGATTTGCACTGTGTTAGGCATTATAAGTTAAAGATGATTTAAAATATATGGGAGAATGTGCACAGGCTATATACAAATACTATACCACTTTATATAAGGGACTTGAGCACCTGCAGATTTTAGTACCTGCAGGAGTCCTGGAACCAATTCCCCATGGATACTGAGGGGCAACTATATTAAATTATTGCTCTGGGTACATAAAAAAAATGCAGCTCGAATTATTATGGGTCATTTCTAGCATGGTAATTTTAAAAATCTAATCAAAAAGAGCCCATTTAATTAACAATGAAAATAATGTTATCCTCAAATTTTTCTTTCCTTACCAAAACTTAAGTTATGACTATATCTAAAAGCTACTCTCATTTCAAAGAACCTGCTATTTTATCACAACAATGTTAATGACTTCTAAAAACTGGTTAATAACAGATTATGTTCAATTTTTTGTTGCCATTCATTATTATTTTTCTAAATTCCTGCATAGTAACCAAAACCTTCAGAATGTGGGATCAAAAACAAAGAAGACGCCGCGACCATCTCACCTATGGGCCACACTGCCCTCTTGTATCTCTTGAACAAATATTCCCAGCTCTCCTCTGTTTTCACTTCTTAGTCCCACAACACTAAACCCAAGGCCTCCAGATGGAGGTTTGAGGAGCTCAAAAACTTCTACATGGCGACCCTGTTTAGGAAACAAAGCAAGAAATAAAACTAAAAGCCAGGCCATGCATGGTGGTTCACGCCTGTAATCCCAGCACTTTGGGAGGCCAAGGTGGGAGGATCACTTGAAGCCAGGAGTTAGGGACCAGACTGGGCTACATAATGTGACCCCATCTCTATAAAAAATAAAATAAAACTTAGTAAGTGTGGTGGCACACATCTATAGTCCCAGATACTCAGGAGACTGAGGCAGGAGAATCCCTTGAGCCCAGGAATTTGGGACTGTAGTGAGCTATGATCACAACACTGCACTCCAGTGTGGGTGACAGAGCAAGGCATGTCTCAAAAAAAAACTTAAAAGCCAATTACTGCAGTAACAGTCATCTTATCAGAATCATTTCTTTGTTAAAAAAAAAAGAAATTGAATAACATTTTTCCAAGGTAATTGTTAGCACTTTATCCTGAAGAATATTTCTATAATACAACATATAATACTCAAATTTAAATGATGATAAAACTGTAATAGAAAACGTCTGAACCATCTAAACTCCCACAAAACTGACTTTTTGTTCCAATGTTTTCAGATGTTATAAATGTCACTATATTCTTCAAATTATCCATAACTTGATCACATTCTTAAATTACTACAGGTATTACAATAACTAACAGAAAGAAATGTTCTTACCTGGGCCATATTTTTGATAAGCTGATCAAATTCATCACAAGCAGGTTTCCCATTAATGTGTGGAATACCAGGTCCTGTAAGTGCTTCCAGATTCCCATTGTTTGGGGATAATAAAAACGATTCATTTTGCAGAGTAGGAATCACAGCTGGGCTGAGATGAGGAACGTGGGCATATTCAATATTTGAAGTTGCTGAAGTTGCAATATTTACCTAAGAGTAATGCAGGGATTATTAAGAATTTTGACATTCCATAAACTATTTCATAGAAAATATCCCAAGGGTACAAGGACATACAAATGAAATTTCAAAATGTCCAAATCCTTTAATCCAGCAATTCTATTTTGGGAAATTTATTTCAAGGATGAACATTAGGATAATACACAAAGATGTGTGTGCATCACTAAATGTTCAATGCAGCACCATTTATTAGATGGGAAAATTCAAAAACTACCGCCAGGGTTCAACTTCAGGGTACTCATTAAAACACACCCATAAATATATACATCCACACATATATTTTTCTGTCCCCAGATCCTATGAAGTAACCTCTAAACTCTCAGAATTTCCCCTCTCAGAATTTCCTGAGTGATGAGGTATCTTTCTTCTTCATGGTGGGCCCCAAGGCCACATGATATAAGCCCAAACTCGGAGCTGAATTTTAATCATATAGGCAGGGCAATCAATCACACCTATGAAATAACACGCCAATAAAAAATGCTGAACACCAAGATCAGGTAATCTTCCTGGGTTTGCAACACAGTCAAACACAGCTATACATGTGTTTGTGCTTTAAGCTAAGTGCTATTATGAGAGTCAAAAGTTTAAAAAAAAATTAAGACTTTATAAAGGAAAAAAAAGTTACAGTAAGCTAAGGTTAATTTATTATTGAAGGAAGTTTTTGTAAATTTACTATAGCCTAGGTGTACAGTATTTATAACTTATGTATAAACTCTATGCATAAGAGTTTTTTACCTGTCCTTAAAAATAAAACAGAAAACTCATTGTTACCAAAGTTACCAATAACTCAACCATTATATTGGCTATCTAGTAGCATACAGTATATTGACTATCTAGTAGTGTACAGTAATGTCGTAGGCCTTCACATGCACTCACCACTCACTCACTGATTCACCTATAGTAACTTCCAGTCCTGCAGGCTCCATTCATGGTACGTGTCTCCTATACAGGTGTACCATTTTTTACCTTTTAACCACATTTTTACTGTACCTTTTCTATATTTAGAAACACAGACAATTACCATTGTGCTACAACTGCATACAGTACTCCATATAGTAACATGCTGTACAGGTTGGTAGACTAGGAGCAATACCAAATAGCCTAGCTGTGTGGTAGGCTATATCACCAAGGTTTGGGTAAGTATACCCTACGATGTTTGCACAAGGATGAAATCACCTAATGACACATGGCTGTACTCTATACATATTGTCACACATCGATTCTGGGAGAGTTATACTTTCCCAGCAAAATGGAAGCTTCCAGTTTGGAATCCTCCCATAATCTGCACTACGCATCTCTTCCTTTGGCTGACTCTTGACTGCATCCTTTCCCTACCATAGATCATAACCATGAGTTTAACAGATTTCAGAGACTCTCTAAGACCTTCTAGTGAATTATGAAACCTCAAGGTGGCTAGGGGAACCTCGCAAATTTGCAGCTGACATCATAAGTGAGGGTGGTTTTGTGTATCCTTATACCTTTAACTTTGTAGCTGGACCCTAACTCGCCACAGTTGGTATCAGAAGTGTGGGGCAGCACTGGCAGTCTGGAGGACTGTGCCCTCAAATCGTGCTGTCTGGCTAACTCCAAGTACAATGACACACGTAACAACAACGGAAAAGATCATCCCACTTTGGGAAATGATTCTATAATTATTTGTGTGTGCCTTTTAAAAGAGTTTGAAGTTAAATCTAAATAATAATAAAGCAATGCAGTCAATCCTAATTTCATATTTATGTTGGGTGCCTGGATTGTGACTTTTTATCTGTAACTACTTATCAGAAAGCTTACTTCATTGATGTTTTTGAGTCACTCTCTGACCTCATCTCCTAGCAGTCTGTCCCTCACCCACTTAGCCCTAGCTGTGCTCCCCTCCTCACTGTGCCTCAAAGTGCCAAGCTGTTCACTCTACCAAACAGGTATATTCTTCCCCAAATATCCACATGCTTCCTTATTTCATTCAGGTGTGCCTAATCTCACCACAGAAAAGTCCTCCTTCGCATTCCTATCTAAGACAGCACCATTATACTCCACGAACTTACTGTGCCCTGTTTTAATTCATGGCACTCATTACCACCTGATCCACACCCTGCTGTCATGAAGCTTTCATCCCAGTCAGTGGAGACCGACTAGAATGCAAAAACTCTCCAGTGGAAATTTTTGACTATTTTATTTTTACTATGCCCTCGTTCTCTAGAAGAATGCCTTATACAGAGTTGTTCAACATACATTGGCAGAAAAAAAATGTTTATCTATTTTTTAAGGATCTAACTCTGATCCAATCTCCTGAACAACCTTTCAAGTATCATCTCAATGCTAAGGATGATGAAATTACGTAAAGTCACACAGCTAAGTTGTTTGTGACCTAGATTTTTTTTCATCACGGTGTTCCTATCATCCTTGTATTATACAGAAAACATACAGTCCTTGTATTATCCACAAAACATTTGAGATATCATTTAAAATAAAACATTAGGTAAAGAACATCCACTGACAGAAGCTATCAAAATATTTCACAATATGTCACCAAAATCTATACATAAGAGTTTGTTACCTATCCTTAAAAATAAAACAGAAAACTCATTAAGTTACCAAAGTTACCAATAACTTAACCATTATATTAGCTTTCTACAATCACAGATGAAAAAGAGATCAATGTGTTGAGAAGAGACTTTTGGGAATCCTTTTAAATGTTTATTTTAAAATCTATAGCAGGCATGATCAATTATTATTTTTTCAAAAGTAAGCTTCTTATGCCAAGATTGATTTTTTTTTTATCCTGAGCCATGGCAACTTCAATAAAGTTTGCCAGCAGAAGACACGCAGCTCAGGTTGAAGCAGATGGCATAATGAAATTTGTGACAGCCTGAGGATCCCACACACCAAGACCTAATGGCTATGGTATGTTTGCATAGGAAAAAATATTTGGACTTATGCTATGGTAAGCCAGAATGAACAAATCGCATCCCGAGAATAGAGAGTCTGTCTGTAAGAGATTCATGGTAAAAGAGAAGCTCTGATATTATGAAAGAGTAGGTATACAGGCATTCTAAGAGTAAAGTGAGTGAGAGCAGAACAAGTAAAATATTACAAAATGAGAACTGTATAAAAGTATTTAATATCAATTGTCATTTCCTAATTTGTTAAAGGTTTGAGGAAGGTCAATGACTCCTCCTGCTTCATCCCTGACCTTGAGGTCTACATAAATGTAAAAGCAGAGGTTATAGAGATCACATATTTAAAAACTATTATTTAATTATACCACCATACAAAAGTCTTATTTATAAATTGGCAAATTTATACTCATAAGAAAAAGCAGAAAGGCACCTTTGATTATGCTGTAATTGTTTATTAAAATGGCTTTCTGAACTATAATCTCTTTGAGGAATACGAGTGTATCTTATTTGCCTTGATAGGTCTGTTCATAGCAGTCATGCCACAAATGTTTAATGAAAAGATCTTGATTCTCATCCTTGGTTTATAGAATATAAAATAAACAAAAGAAAACATAAATATCTGGCAATTTTTATATACAGATAAACATTCTGTATAATTTATGGAAGTTGTTAGTAAATGAGCAAGAGTCACCAAATAATTATCTGTTTTCTGTTTAAGTTCTGGCTGAACATTTCAGTCTAAAGGGGGCTTTTATGTATTTAGCAAATAAACATATATTAATTTATGGATTTTAATTAGTGCTATTACCTAAAACATAACCTAAATATTATACAACTTATTCAATTTAAAAGTTTGCAAATTCTATGTGAAAGGGCAAACTAAAACACCTTCTAAGTATTTAAAAGTACAGGAAAAGTCCTCTTATAAGATGCAGTCAGAACCAGTATTGATTCACATACTACAAAAGGTCAAGTAAAGCAGAAAAAATAACAAAGAAAAAATATGTACCTTATTTTAACTTAAAACACATGTATATTCATTTGTATATAGGATTTCTTCATACATGCAATTTGTTCAATCTTGCTTACCATAGCATAAGCCCAAATACTTTTTACTATGCCAACATACCATAGCCATTAGCCATTGGTGTGCGGGATCCTCAGCCTGTAACAAATTTCATAATCATAAACATCTTTTATCATAAATATATTTTACAGTTTGACCTAACATAACTAACAATTTCACCAATAATTGTTTTATCAATTCACCTATATAGTTTATCAAAATATTTTCATAGAAAAACTTGTCATAAATTTGTATATTATATAATAAAGTTGTGCAATTATAAAATAAATACAACTGGTACAAATAGCTTTAAAAATGACTTTTTGAGAAATGCACATTTAGCTGGTACAAGCTAGCGAAGGACACAAACTAGAGCATCTCTGAATAGACAACTGTTTAGTGCCCTGGGTATCATTCAATATGCCTTCCAGAAGAAATGGACAGTATCTTCTTAGGAAGTTCCTCATTTGCAGGTGTGCTAGGAGAGCTGTTTCTAGAGTAGCATCCAAGAAAACATAATTTATCTTTAGTTCTATATACAATGAAGGTCACTCTGTGTGAATAACTGTATCAGAGTAACCTTTCCACTGAGAACAATTAAAAATGTGTATAAAAGCTGTTAAAAACAAATAAATAAACCACTTTAAAGGTATCAAAAAGAAACCAACTCTTCTGCCATACTCTGTTGATGCAAAGAAGGCAGTATCCAGCCCACATTAAACAGGGGAATATACAGAAGCATGAATATCAGAAGGCAAGAAATACTGGCCATCTTAGAGGCTGACTAGAATGGCATATCATAGCAAAACAGCTAAAAGCCAAGACAGAAAGAAAATCTTAAAAACCACTAGAGCAAAAAGGTATCTAATCTTCAAAGCACAATAAGACCAACAGCTGACTTCTCAAGAAAAACAATAAAGGTCAGATGTTAACAAGATGATTTAAAAAAAAAAAAAGATAAAAATACCTGACAACCTAGATTTTTCATGCCACACACCACACTTACACACACACACACACACACACACACACCCCCATCCACCCCACACACAATTACCTTAGATTTGTATAAAAGAAATACCAGAGTAAAATCTTGGGCAGAAAAAAAATTAAATCTCAGAAGATCCCTATGCAGAAAGTATTATAGTACAAAAAGGAGTTTAAAAATGTAAATCAGTAGGAATTCCTTAAACCAGTAAATAATTTAAATTTGTAGAGCTTTAAATATATATGTAATTAAAGTACATACAGTTGCACAAAAGGTAGGAGTAGGGTAAATAAAGTTGAAGTGTTTTAAGTTCCTTGCATTTTTTGGAAAGTGGTAAAAGTACTAATTAAAGTAGAATCAAATAAGTCAAGGATACATATATCTGACATATGACTCATATCTAGAATATATAAAGAAAACTCAAAATTCAATAGTAAAAAAAATCCAACTAGAAAATGGGCAGAAAAAAACAGACAGACATTTCATGAAAGAGGATATATGGCTGGCAAATAAGTACATAAAAGAAATTTAGCATCATTAGCCATTAAAGAAATGCAAACTAAAATCAAAAAGAAATATCACTGCGTACCTATCAGAATGGTGAGGATGTAGAGAAGCTGGATTGCTCAGACATTGCTGGTGGAAATGTAAAATGGTACACCCCACTGAAAAATAGTTTCGCAGTTTCTAAAAACAACTAGATATGCATTTACCATACAATCTAGCAATTGCACTCCTGGATATTTATTGTACAGAAATAAAAACCTAGGTCCACACAAAATCCATACACAATCGCTCACAGCAGCTTATATATAATAGTGAAAAATTGGAAACAAAATACCCCTCAGTAGGTAAATCCAATAAGAAATACTACTGAAAAATAAAAGAAGAAAAATATTAATATATGCAACTTCAAGATATCAAGGGCATTATGCTGCATGAAGACAAGCCAATTTCTAAAGGTCACATACATTATGATTTTATTTTTATAACATTCTTGAAACGACAAAATTATAGAGATGGAAAATGAATTAAAGGTTGCCAGGGGTTACAAATGTAAGAAAGTGGTTAAATATGACTATAAAAGAATAGAATAAGGGAGATATTTGTGGTGATAAAATAGATCTGATCTTGATTGTGGGGATAGCTAGGTTAATCTATATAAGTAAAAACAAACAAACAAAACAGAGGGAGAGGAGGGAAACGGGAGGGAGGAATTTAAAACAAATTTTTAACTGAATGATAATGAAGATACGACATACTGCATATACTGCAAACTACATCCAGAAATGTTGGATATGCAGCTAAATAAATGCTTAGAAACTTAGACTTAGATGTAAGAGGGAAAAAAAGGAAAGACAAAATGTCAATGAGCTAAGCATCCGAATCAAAAAGCTAAAATAAAACAGAAAACCAAATCAGAAAAGGAAGAAAATAACATATATTGCAGCAAAAATCAACAAAACAGGAAAATGATACAATAAAGAAATTCAAAAAAGTCAAAAAGTTGATCTTTGAGACAAAGATGAGAGTAATAAAACTGATAAACCTCTAACAATACTGATTAATATAGCAAACATAAATTTCCAGCATTGGGAATAAAAAAAAGGAACATAATTAGACTCTACAGGCATGCAATAACCATATGCAAAAAAATGGGGAAAAAAATACATGAAATGAACAAATTCCTTGGTAACACATTTATCAAAATATCAATAGTTTGGCCAGGTGCAGTGGCTCACACCTGTAATCCCAGCACTTTGGGAGGCCGAGGTGGGTGGACTACTTGAGGCCAGGAGTTCGAGACCAGCCTGGCCAACATGGCAAAAACCCATCTCTAATAAAAATACAAAAAATTAGCTGAGCATGGTTGTACGCACCCATAATCTCAGCTACTTGGGAGGTTGAAGCACGAGAATCACTTGAACCTGGGAGGTGGAGGTTGCAGTGAGCCACTGTACTCCAGCCTGGGTGACAAAGAGCAACTCTATTTAAAAAAATAATAATAATAGTAATTTTATATCTATCAATGAAATTGCATGCACTATTAAAAATCCCCCCTCCCCGCAAAAATAAAACAAGAACAGGTTTAGAGAGTTTCACTGGTAAATTCTTCCCATTTTTTTTTTCTGAATTAACATCAATTTTTTGTGACAAAAAAAGGCTGAATTGTTCTCTACTTTTTGTTTGAGGCCAACATAACCTCAATTGCCAACTCTAACAAGGATTATACTAGACAGAAAAGCTATAGATCATAAACATAAATAGAAAAATACTAAATGAGAATGTTAACAACTCAATTCAAAGATACTTAAAGAGGAAAATGATTATGACCAAGTTGGGCATTCCAGAAATGTAAGGTTGAATTAACACTTGAAAATCGTTTAGTCTAATTCACAAAATGAACAGAATACAGGAGAAAAACAGGATCAGTTCAAAAGATGGGAGAAAAAAAATAATGGATAAAATCCATGCTATTACCACTTCTATTCAATATTAGACCCAAGGTTTTAGGTAATACAATAAGGCAAGGAAAATAAATTAAAAGTATAAAGACTAGAATTGAAGAAACAAAAACTGTAATTATTTGCAGACCACATAATTGTGTGTACTGAATATCCAAATGAATCCACAAATAAACCATTAGCTGTAATAAGTGAACTTAGTAAGTTGGTGGATGTAAAATCAATACCAAAAAATAAACTGTATTTCCCAGCAAAACAATTAGAAACTAAAATGTTTTCTAAAAATCTGTTCAAGATATGATTAAATTTGTTTAATTGGAACACAACATAGGGTTTAGAAACAGACCCACACATATATGACCCCGTGATTTACAACAATAGTGACAATGCAAGGGAGAAAGGATGATCTCTTCAATAAATGGTTCTGGGTCAAATGGATATTCAAATGGAAAATTATTTATAAACATACACATGCACATAAATACTTTATTTCTACCTCACACCACATTCAAAATTTAAAAGGTAAAACTTTAATAAAGCTTCTGAGAGAAAATCTCTGTATTTTAGAAGTAGCCACAGGTTTCTTATATAGGGCAAAAAAGAAAAAAAAAGCAATACCCACAAAGAAAAAAATTTATTTTTAAAATTTAAAATTTGTTTTTAAAATAAAAACAACTTCTGGTCATTAAAAGATACAATTAAAGGAGTGAAAATGCAAAACACAAAGGAGAAAATGGTTACAATACAAATATCCAGCAAAGAAGTTGTATTCAGGAAATATAAAGAACTCTTGTAAATCAGTAAGAAAAAGACTGAAAAATCAATAGAAAAATGGGTGGAAAAAAAAAAAAAAAAACCAGGAACTTCCCAAAAGAAGATATCCAAATGACCAATCCCATATGGAAAGGTGCTCAGCATCATTACTCATCAGGAAAATGCAAATTAAAACAATAAAATGATACTATAACATATCCCCCAGAGTCATTAAAATTGGAGAAAATAAATTTAAAGTGGGTAGTACTAAGTGTGAGCATTGATGTGGAGCCACAAGAACTTTCATACACTAAATATCGTGAGAGAGTTGGACTTATAATCGCTTTGGAAAACAGTTTGGCAGAATCCACGAAAGCTGAATATATACCTTAGGACCCAGAAATATCACTCTTAAGTGAACATCCAAGAGAAATACACACTTATGAATATTAAAACATAGGTAGTAGGAAGTTTACAGCAGATTTATTTATAACAGCCAAAAGCTGCAATCAACAGAAGAGTGGACAAGTATATTCTAGAATATTCAAACAGAAAATGAAAAAGAACTACTACTACACATACAATACAAATGAATCTCACAGACACAAAGACAAGACAAAGAAGTCAGGCACAAAGCATATATGCTCAGACTGTATTTACATAAAATTCAAATAGTAATACTTATCTCCGAGATAAAGTCAAAATAGTGATTCCTAAAGGGGAGGATTAGGACTGACTGAAAGGTGAAACAAATTATGAGTGCTGATCATTTTCCATATCTTGATTTCGGTGAGGGTTACATGTATATTTAATTTGTTAAAAAAATCCTTGGGCACACTTTTTCCCTTTAATGTATGTTATTTCTCAAGTTTTCAAAGTTTGCAAAATAAGACATATAATCAAAGCAAAAACTCTGGGGCATTCCAGTGAATGATGTAAAAACACGCCTCTTAAAGAAGGCAAGTAGTAGCGACAGCCTGTATACATAAAGCTACACCTTGTCTATCCGCAACTATGAATTTAAAGTTCATTCACCAGACATTCACCTTAAAATGAATGCAGAGCACAGGAACTAAATAACTGAAGACAAAGTTGGTCTACCACTGTGATGTGTGGCCCTCCACAGGGTTGATGTGGATTCAACTGGCTAATTCCCATTCCCAGAAGGAGTCCTTTAACAAGTGCTCAGGTAAAGATGAATCCTCAACAAACATATTTTAATCTCTGTAATACATTTAGATTTGTCTTCCCAAATATTATAAATTTTTAAAACTTTTAATCATTTTATTGCATACCAAATTCTTTTTTGGAAATAATAATTATGCCATACTTTCACACTATTTTGATATATGCTGGTACAAGGCTAATGTAATTATGAGATTTCAAGATTATAAATTACTTATACTTCTTTTCAATAATAACATTTATAATATTTTGACCATATAACAATATGATAATGCACTCAATTTTAACCCAATAGAATATTTTCAAATACATATATTCATTTAACTAAATGTGCTATAAAGCATTAAAATATCACTTCTTATATTTCATCTATTCCTTCTGAGTTGTTAAGTGAAAAGAAAGTTAATATTAATAGCTTTGTTTTAGTGGTTACCATCAATTTTTGCATAAGTATTTCTGTAATTACCTACAAAAATGACTGCTTAGGATCAAACTTTATTTCATAAAGCATTTTTTGGTAGATTATCAAAATCTGTTTTATGATTCTGTTATTTTGACTTATTCTCAATACACAGTATAGCAGTAAGAATAAAATGACCAAAATACTTATGTTTGATGGATATTATATCATTTAAAAGCTAAAATATATGTTATCTTAAATTAGGTTAGTAAGAAAAAATGACTACTGCTTTTGCAACCCTAGTTTTGGTAAACTGTTTAAACTGACATACATTGCTAGTTCAGTTTCCCATATTTTTTGTTTATTTGCTACACCTTATTGTAATGAGAAACAAGAAATAAGCCATTCTTCAGGGAATTTGCTGTAACAGACGCACCTCTTAGAAATGCAGAATTTTTTTTTTTAATCATGCACCTTGTATTTTCTTCTTGCAGGACAAAAACATGTGCTTTTTTTCTTGTGAATTTACCAAAAATGCTGTAAAACACTCTCTGGAAATGATCCCAACTATGAAATGCAAAGATAGGATGCTGAGAGCATTCAATGAAATACAGCACCAAACATGATAGCAATCACAAGAAAAATTTTTTATACATGATAGGACTCCATTGCAAGTTTGGAACCTAGAGAGGCCTCCTTTTTCATAAATCTTTCAGTGAAATACTGATTAAAGCACAGCTCTGATGCATTATTGAACAGGCAAACCCTTGCACAGTAATTGATGGTGGCACTCTGATTTAATGACCCTTATTTTTAAAGCTAATTAAAGAAATTGAACTGCATGTTCAAAGGGAATTAGCTTAATGTGACGAAACTATTTTGGACATAAGGTAGCTCCTAGCTCCTGAACTAAATGAGACACAAAATGGAGCAATAAGTTATAAGAAGGGAAAACAATATTTTCAAATAGAACAAGCACAATTTTACATTTTCTATGAGACCTTCCTTTCATTCATTCAAGTATTTATTGAGCATCTAAAATGTCTTAAACATCACTAGGTGATAGGGATAGTAATTAAAGTGACAAAATGCTTTCCATAATCACTAATGTGTTAAATATCCTATAAAATTATTCTACTAGGCTTAGTTCACTCAGATACTGAGATAAGATACCTTTCTGTTCACAGCCATGAATTCTCAAATACCAAAACATAGTGATTGAGAACACACATTATACTTTGCAGATATTTTTAAGTAGCCTTTGACTATCATTTGCTGATAAATTTAAAAGATAAGGGTATTCAATTTAGAAAATAAGTCCTTAACCCAAGAATGCTGATGGAGTCATTTTAAGTAATCAAAATGTAAATTTTCTGCACCTGCCCCTATATAGGTACAAAGCATATTTGTCTTAAAATTCCCTTGTGCTAAAAAAGTTAAACTGTGAACTATAAAATTAAAGACAGAAAGCAAAGAACACTTAAAAACTAAACAAGGAAATAAAGAGTATGTAAGACTCTGACTTTTCCCTTTTTATATTTGGGAAGGTGTACCTGGATGATCAATAACCTACCCAGTGTAACACTGATTGTTATAACCTGTTAAATGACAAAATCAAATACAAAGCTATAGACTTTAGCTTTTATACAATGCTGTCGACTTAAGTGGATGAATGAGGAGTTAACAGATTATTTTAATATTTTAGTTTTTATTCAAACCTGCAAAGATCTTATTCATTCTTAAAACTACGTAATAAGAGATTTTTATTAAAATCAATCCACAAGGCATACTGCACTAAATGCTGGGTTTTGTGTGTGTGTGTTTCTGTATATATGTGTGTGTGTGTGTGTGTGTGTGTGTGTATATGTATATGTGTGTGTGTGTGTATATATATATATATATATTTTTTTTTTTTTTTTTTTTTTTTTTTGAGACAGAGTTTCACTCTTGTTGCCCAGGCTGGAGTGCGATGGCACAATCTCAGCTCACCGCAACCTCTGCCTCCCAGGTTCAAACGGTTCTCCTGCCTCAGCCTACCAAGTAGCTGAGCTGGGATTACAGGCATGTACCACCCACCTGGCTAATTTTGTATTTTTAGTAGAGACTGGGTTTCTCCATGTTGGTCAGGCTGGTCTCGAACTCCCGACCTCAGGTGACCCGCCCACCTCAGCCTCCCAAAGTGCTGGGATTACAGGCGTGAGCCACTGTGCCCAGCCCTCCATGTGTATTTTATAAACTCGTTTTCTTCTTCTTTAAGAAGGCCTAAATGACACTAAAACCTTTGGGAATATACTTAGGTAAAAAAATTAAAACTCCCACTTCCCCAAATTTCATAAAATATTTATGAACACTCGAATAAAGATTGGAAAATAACTTGAAGTTAAAACATAGTTTTGTTTTAAAGTCTTTTCATTATTGTTATCAAAAAATTGTTTACCTTCTTTTTTAAAAACTTCGCTCCTACAATGAAGTAGAACGTACCAGGATGTTTTACCTCTCCCCTGAGTTTCCACCGAGATCCTAATTTCAAAAATAATGGGTTATTTTTTCAAATACGTTTGATCTTTTTTAATAGTATCTTTATTTCTTATTATTGTTACTGGGTGGATAGAATTGTCCAAGATACGCTGAAAAAAAGACTACAAATTGCTTTCAGCGCCTATCATAAAGAGCAATATTCTATTTCTCCATCCTTTAAATTACAAATTCTTGATACAGTAAAACTTGTTAATTTTATTAAATCTTGACCCTCAAGAACATGTGTTTTTCATATTCCATGCTTCAAAATGGTAAGCAGGCCAGGAGCGGTGGTTCACGCCTGTAATCCCAGCACTTTGGGAGGCTGAGGTGGGCAGATTGCTTGAGTCCAGGAGTTCGAGACCCGCCTGAGCAGCATGGCAAAAGCCCGTCTCTACAAAAAAAAAAATTGCCTGGCTAGTGGCACACACCTGTGGTCCCAGCTACTCAGAGGCTGAGGTTGGAGGGTCACGGGAGCCCAAGAGGTCGAGGCTGCAGTGAGCCATGAGCATGCCACTGCACTCCAGCCCAGTCTACGTGACAGAGCAAGACACTGTCTCAAAAAAAAAAAAAAAAAAAAAAGGTAAAATGGTAAGTACAAAGTGTTTATGCTGCATAATAAATTCAATGATTGTCTCACAGAAAACACTAATTTGAGTTGCAAGCTGAACTAGCCTAGCTACTTTTTTTGTATCGTATTTGAAAAAAAAAAATTACTGAAAATCAAACTATGATTATATAGACTTGAGTATAGAAAAGACATTTTCTCAAAAATAAACAAAGTAAGCCTGTCACTTCAAGGAAGACAACAGACAGTATTTGCCGCCCATAATAAAATTTGAGCTTTCAAGTGAAAATTAGAATTTTAGAACATCTGTATCTGCCACCTTGAGCTTGACACCTTTCCATAACTTGAATTTGTTGATAAGACTGCAACTGATATCAGCAAGTATAACTTTTGTATATTATATAATGAAATGAGAAATGTGATTTTTCCATTTTTCAAATTTTCCAAATGACCAATGAAATATAAATTAAGCTTTAGTTAAAAAAAATTCAAAGAGCAAGATAGACAAATAGATTTTCCTGTAGTAGAGAGTGAAATACTTATTGATTTGGTTTCAGATTTCACAGTGATATAGGAGTTAAGAAGAAATTACTTAGGCAGATAGCGAGGGTATAGTCCTTGGTAAGGTTTTCCAGAAAAGCAGCCCCAAAATCATTTTCTTCTCTAACAAAGAGCAGCCTGTGAAACTGAGCTGCAGACATAAACAACCAAGCTGTAAGCTTGCACAGGTGAATGCCAGCAGTTGTGCCCACTGGACTATACTACCTGGGACTAGGCATGTTCAAAATGGTGGCTACATCTTCTCTTTTTGCCAGCCATGTGTACAGTAAGGAGCAGACAAGATGGCAAGAGCCAAGTGGAAAGTCCACTTACATAATAAGATTACAGTGGGGTGACCAGCCTTCCCCTCGAACCGTGTAAACAACATCACACCTGGTCAAACCAACCGGAGAGCCCTACGTAAATCAGACACCCCCTTCTCAAGCCCGCCTATAAAATATGCTGCAGTCGGCTGCCTTGCCCCTTCTTTCGGATGCCTCTCTCTGGCAAGGAGCTGTTCTCCTCTCTCCTTTCTTCTGCCTATTAAACTTTTCATTCCTCAACCCACCCACATGTGTCCGTGTCCTTAATTTTCTTGGTGCAAGATGACGAACCTTGTGTATTTACCCCAGACAACAATGCTACTTCAACAGTGCAACTAAACTTTAAGAAAACTCCACAAATTTTGATGCACTATCAAAGAAGGATACCACAATTATCTGAAAAGCTGTAACCCTCCCTTTCCCAGCTTACATATCTGTGTGAGGCAAGATTTTCTTCAAAAACATCAACTAAAACAGCAAATCCAAACATTGAATGCAGAAGCCGATGAAAATCTAGTATTCTGCTATTAAGCTGCACATTAAATATATGTGCAAAAATATAAAATAGTGCCACTCTCCTCAATTTTTAAACATGTAATGGGTTTACTACTGTGATTTTTAAATAAATAAATATTTAAAACACTTCTGAATTTTGATTTCTAACATGGCATATATTGATAGATAAAACCATATGAACAAAAGATTTTTGCAGACCTTAATAATAATTTATGACTACAAACTGATCAGGAAACCAAAATGTTTCACAGGATATATGTCTTGAGAATAAATTCTTACTTAATATCACCTACTAATAAATATCATTACCAGAATACAAATCTGGATCAGGTTTGTCTCCAACTACTATTAGACCACGCTGCCACAATCTGAGATCAGATAATCATAAGAAGCCCTCAAATCACCCAGAAATCCTTAAACTATATTCACTATGCTGTGTAAGAAGAAAATAAAACAAAAAATATGGAGTTCTATGATTAAGATCTAGGCTCTGGAGTCCAGCCTGCCTGGCTCTACCACTTAACCTCTCTATAACCCCATTTCCCTATCTATAAAATGAGGAAAATCATATTACCGACTTTATAGTATTGTTGTAATGATGAAACCATTAACTATAATAGAACTAGAACAGTTCTGGGCACACAGTAAGACTTTATGCTATGATAATTGCTATGATATGATAAATGATGTACCTTTTCAATGTCATTGCTAAGAGAAAAAGTAGGGTCTCCAAAATAACTTCAGTTATTTGGTTAATTTACTTAAGTTAAAAACTAGTTGTCTGGCAAGGAAAGATAAATAATGAATGACAGTTTTGAATATTTAAGAATACTCATGCATTCATTTATTAAGCAATCAGTTTTAGAGCTTAAGTATCATATAAGGTACAAAGTATTTAAAGATGAATATGGCATGGACTTTATGCCAAAAGTGGTAAATGGATGTCAAGCAAACCTGAAATACAATTAATTCTAAGGCTCCTTTTTATGCTTGTTAAGAACAAATGGCAAGTGGAATGTAGCATATACCACAGTCTAGGCATGTGTGTTTATGCATATTTACAGAATGTCTTTTCTTTATTTAAATCTCAACAATTCTGTGTTTTCTTAGCTAAATTTCCAAGAGAAAAAAATTTAAAAAGTGTAGCTTGAGCAAAAATTATATTCTTATCAAGGTATGCTGAAATTTTCTACATCATAGTGGGGAAGGTATCAAAATTAAGTAAATTAATCTATTTGAAAATGGAAGGCAAATAAGTAATTTAGAAACTGAAAATTTAAACAAACAACATGTTAGAATTTTTGCAGTGTTTTTCCTATCAGTCCCACATTTCTAGGAGACAAACTGACTCACTGTTCACAATCTGCTTAGAGGAAAATAAAAATAAAATAAAGCCTTACAGAGAAGTATAATTATATAGGAATGGACACATGAAGACTGATAATATTTTGCCACATTCTCTCTCCATTCCACTATTATCTTTAACCAGATCATTCACTTTAACTTTAAAATCTAGCAAAATTGTTAATATAACCAGAATGAAGTACTGGTTTACGTTAAAAAGAATCTATGATTAAAATCTGGGAGAAGAATTTATAGGACATGGCATATTTTAAGTTAATGAATTTGAGTTTAGATGATGTTTAGCTGAAGTGCATTTCTCTTCAGGGATGCTATTAACAGTTTTTCCATCTTATTTGTTCATTAACACAGAGAACTAAGGATTCAGAAACAGTGTAACATAATAAAAGTAAAAAAAAAAAAAAAAAAAAAAAAAAAAGACTGGCTTCAGGGTTAGACAGACCTCAAATTCTCTTAAGTCTATCAATGAATAATTGTGTGGGTCAGATTATGTTATACAAGCTAACCCCCAATTTCCTCACTGGATAAAATGAGGACAAAACCTACCTCCTGGAACTGATGGACTAGTTAAATGAGGCAAAGTCTATAGCACATAAGGGCTTCTTGAAAGGTAATTGTTGTAGCTTCAAGTGAAAAATAAGGCCTATTAGTCTTAAATTTGGAGGTTAAAAAAAACTCATTTAGGTTATAACCAGTAAATTTCACATTTTTTTCCTTCTCCTCCAAAGACCATTTAACATTGTCACAAAAATACCATACAATTATCACCATTTGCTGTTTTAGACACACATGCATAGCCAATAGCAAGATGGTGTTGCATTTTAATCCAGCACTGTATAAAAAGCTTGAACAGTGCCTTCTTGCCCACGGTAAAACAAAAATTTTAGTCCCTTCAATGGCTCTATATTTACAAACTTTTAGCTAAAGGAACAAACATTTAAAAGCTGTTATTGTACCAAAAATAAAGTATTTGAAATTCCTACAGTAAATAAACTTTACGGTAAATGTAAAAACATAAGAACCACTCATTCTCTTTTAACTTCTCCTAGATAATGCACACTAGAGTCTCGAGAAATAGATACTTTGCTGTCAGGTGGCTACAAAGCTCTATCATAAAAGTAAAACTATTTCAGGTGTAAGAAAGATCATTTTCATTTTCACAAGTAACAACAGCTGGGAAGAGTTCCACTCCATTTTTAAATAATTCTTGTTAATGAAATCAAAGCATATTTCTTTCGTTCTGTCCTCCTTCCCCTACCAACACCAAGTCATAACTTAACCTAGACATTCTTGGAAAGACAGTAGTCATCTCCCCTTTACTGATAGCAAGCATATAGGTGAATCATCCTCCTTTCGGTCTCAAATTAGAAACTATAGGGAAAGGGTCATTTTTAGTTTGTTATTTATATAAGAAGAGAGGGAAACACAGGCACTTCTGCTCTTTAAGATATGAATCAAACAAAACAGTATCTTTCTGATTGTCAAAGTTAAAATAGAGCAAGAAAATGCTCAGTTCACAAAGTTTCTCATTTTCCCATCACTCTAAAATGATAAATGTAAGAAATTATTTGAGCTGCTGCTGTTGCTACTTAAAAGCAACATACCTCAACACTTTGGCCATGAACTCTTCGCAGTCGTACAAATCTGTATCTACAGAATAAAGACTCCTCAGACATGTCCTGGTATAGTGTGTGTTCCACCTAACAAACTCTGCTTACCTCAGATATTTGAAGCTGAACCTCTGAAGTACACATTGACTACCTGACTACCTACATTTCTAGGTTTTCTAGAATTTGCTCCTGTTTTGAGCATCAGAAAAAAAAATTCACACAGAGTGTATATTACTTGTGTGGCCTTGGGCAGAAAAACCATTAGTAAATTAGGATGTGATGCTGTATTCTTAGAATTAGTAAGATGAAAGCAGCATTATTTTAAAGAACAATTACTATATTTCACAATTATAACTGAAGATCTTACTTATCAAAATGTCATTAAAACCACTACCTTAATTTTATGTTAGGATGCTTTTTTTTTTTTTTTTTTTTTTTTTTTTGAGACAGAGCCTGGCTCTGTTGCCCAGGCTGGAGTGCAGTGGCGCAATCTGGGCTCACCACAACCTCCACTTCCTGGGCTCAAGCAATTCTCGTGCCTCAGCCTCCCCAGTAGCTGGGATTACAGGCATGCATGAACACGCTCGGCTAATTTTTGTATTTTTAGTAGAGATGATGGGGTTTCACCACGTTGACCATGCTGGTCTCGACCTCCTGGCCTCAAGTGATCCGCCTGCCTTGGCCACTGCATCCAGCCTGTTAGGATGATTTTATCATGTTAAAAAATGTGAAGAAATAAAAAACAAAATGATTGCTAAAATAATGTACATACTAGAACAATTAGAAGACAAAGTTAATACAATATCCAAAAAAAAAAATGCAAAAGAACAAAGGTGATTAACCAACCAACAAATAAAACATCTTACTTAAAAAGGTTCTTCACAGTCTGGCTCCATAGTTTCCTCTCCTGCCAATACCCCTCATATAATCTACTGCTCTGATAATATAGGTCTGCATGGGGCTCCATACCAGGGTTTCTCAACCTCAGCAATGCAGACATTATAAGCCCAGTCATTTTTTGCTGTAGGAGGCTGTGCTGTACATTGAAGGATGTTTAACAGCATCACTGAACTCTACCCATTACCTGTCAGTAGCAGCTCCCGTATCTTCCAGTCACGACAGTAAGAACTAACTCCAGACATTGCCAAGTTTCCCTCGGGAATGGAGAGCATAAAATAATCCTGTTGTGAACTGCTCTGTATCCCTGTAAACATTGCTCTCTCTACCTGAAATCATTTCCCCCACCTCTGCAGAACTCATTTTTCAAGACCCATTTTCCATGCTGTTGCCTCCACTGTGAGGTTTTCTTCTAGTAAAAGTTACTCATTCCTTCTTTACTATTCACCTTCTTTGTTTTCTTTCTGTTCTATTTTCCCCTCTAGATAGTGAGAACCTCCATCTTATTATTCTTTGTATTTTTATTAATTTTAGATGTTCAACAAAGCTTGATTATTAAATGAATATAAGAATATGAGCCTCCATGAGATAACCCACCCATTGCCAAGGGAAAACTGGTTCACTGAATCCCACATTGAACAATACATAGTCCTTCAGTTCTATCTCTTTTTTTTTTTTTGCTTTGCTTCTAGGAAACAAATTAAATGACATACTCAATTTTAGTAACCCAAGGTCCTTGGTATATCTAGTTATGTGACTTTTTTTTTGGTCTTTGTTTAGGTTTACATTTGAATCATTCATTATTTAACAAGTCTTGCCATTAGAAGTTGCTTCAAATTCTTTTTGAAATGTAATTAACAAAAACTTACATAGAAATATAAAACCAAAATTTTACATCATGAAGATCTCATTTCACGAAAAAATTTCAAAAAAAGATCTAATTACTCTAATCAACATTTAAGAGTAATTTTCAACCCTGATCCCATGTTAACACAGCATCTCTACAGTTATTTCAAGAGTTGTCATAAAATTTCCAAAGAAAAGTCTGCCTTAATTTTGTGTGCATACACATTACGCATCTAGATGATATATGTGTAAGCCTACACTTTTTGGGAGGAAAGTAAATGAACTAAAAACCTGGAAATATTAAAGAAACACCAACAACAAAACAATAGAATGCCACACTCCAAAAAGTCTGAAGGTCACTGACGAGGAGAGACCTCCTGAATATTCTGTGCTGAGGTTTATTTGCCATCTAAGCAGCTTTTGCAGCCTGAGTCATCTACATTATTTCTCCAATCTTGGAATTGGTCTCTGTTGCCATAGCTTTAAAAATAATCTTAGCAATGTCGATTTTTAAGTATTGGTCCTAAATTTCTATTGAAATTAATCATTTTAATTCTCAGTTTTCCTACAGATAATTCAGGGTAAAAAGATTAATTTAGTGCCACTGGTCAATTCTTAAGGCAACGCAATTAATTAATCAAGAGAGTAGCATCCACCTATACTGGACTGGAGAAACTTCATAGAATAAATATGCAAATCCAATATCCTCAAGGCTGACAAGTTTCTATTATTAAACTGCTAACGTGTTTATTTCCCCCACAATAGCTGGATTTTTGTCATGAATACGCATTAAGCCCTGTAGTGATTAGCAGTGATGACTAGGTGACAGTGAGGACACTACTTGAGAATTTGCATTTGACAGATCATTGACACACAGTCACAGTTCTTTTTTTTTCTCTTCACTTAAACAGGAATCATGCAATAGGAAATGAACCAGAGCTATTAGAGATTATTCAGGTTTAATAGCATGCATCCTTTTAGCTGGCGTTAGAACAATACACAATGTGGCAGAGTTAAACAGAGACATCAATTATATTCTCAGACCTGCTAATATTTTTGACAATATTTAAATAGCACATCCCTTCAGGGCATGGCTTTTTTGCCCTCTCAGTTACACACCTGTCAAGTGTTTAATTTGCCAAAGGGAAACAGTTTGATTTCTAAGGGCAGTCTTAATACTGAAGAAGCAAATTGAAAAAATTAAACATTATTGAATAGAAGTAATGAGAAGGATCTGAGGGGAAAAAATTGTAGGCTTAATTCAACATGGTATGTCAGCATCTGTCATTAATACAACAATATGATCATGTTCTCCAATATGCTGCATATACCTCAAGCTTTTCAATTATTCAGTCCCTTTACTTCTAAAAAAAACAGGAGACTGATGGAGAGGGAGAATCAGAGGGTCGTATTTTCTAATAATAGTAAAAAAGATGGAGATAGTAAATTGCAGCTGTCATGCATATAAAATTATACATTTGAAAACAGGTAAGGTATGAGGTAATAAATATAAGCTAGCCATTGGTCAGATTTGTGTAGCCACTGGTTTAAAAGAATAAATTTAATTCCTGAATTCATTAATTATTAAATTATAATTATTAATAAATCAGCAGTTGGTAAACTACATAGAAAATTTAAATCTGACATGACAAAACTCTAGAGTACTTATATTTAAATTTTAGAATAGAAACTAATATAAGTTTTTAAATTTTTACTCTAGTCATGTAAGAAAGAATCTGGTAAACAAATGGAATTGAATTAGTAAAGAATGGAGATTTAAAAAACGAATCACAGACACTGTAAAAAGTTATTAATGATTTTAAACAAAAGAAAATTCTTGGCATCTAGGGTTCAACTTTCTACCTTTGAAAAAAAAAAAAAAAGAAGAAGAAGATGTGAGACAGGCTCCAAAGAAAACTGAGTTCTAGTTCTACTCTACTCTTATAATCAAGTCACTTAACCTCTCTAAGCCACTGTAATCTACAGGGTATAAACTAGGTGTTTTCCTTGGTCCCTTTCAGTATTAGTTTTCCCCTGTATATGAACATGTGATCAAGGAGCCCAAAGTCCAAAAACATGTAAGACATGTCTCATAGAATTCACAGACCTCACAATTTATGTAGTCTTAAAATATATCAGTTGTCTATCAACAAAATAATAAGATAATGCTGTAGTTGGTCTCGGTCTCAACAAATTTCCAAGTAGGTTTCATCTGAATCACGTGGGACCCAAATAGTCTCAGAGCCCATATTCTACTTCCATATGGAAATGGTAAAACAAGCTTAATAGGCCGGCCTATTTGTCCCCTCCTTTCATGAGACACTGTATGCACAAATAACTATTCCTTTTACATTAAGACTGTCTACAACGGAAATTTCAAGTTATCTCACTGGGCCAGTGGTATATCCCAACAGACTTGCTAGCACTCTTTTTGTTTCAACTTTTCTTCTCATTCTAATCATGTTTTCACATAACATATTAAGAATAGAAGATATCTGTTCAACTTCTTTACACTCTGAAAAAGCAGATAATTTCCACAACATAATTATGCTTTTATTTGGGATACTGGTTTCTCCAAAAGCTTACCAATCCATTCTGAAAACCAGTACTGAAAATCAATCTTGCCAGGCGCGATGGCTCACTCCTGTAATCCCAGCACTTCGGGAGGCCAAGGCGGATAGATCATTTGAGGTCAGGAGACCAGCCTGGCCAACATGGTGAAACCCCATCTCTACTAAAAATACAAAAATTAGCTGGGCGTGGTGGCAGGCACCTATAATCCCAGCTAGTCAGGAGGCTGAGGCAGGAGAATCTCTTGAACCCAGGAGATAGAGGCTGCAGTGAGCAGAGATGGTGCCACTGCACTGCAACCTGAGTGGCAGAATGAGACTCTGTCTCAAAAAAATAAAAATAAATAAAATCAATCTTTTCAATAACTTGTAAAGGAGACAAACACAACTACATATAACAACAACACCTTAAATTCATGATCACGACTTTTAAAACCATTAAATAGACATTTACTATAGAAAGGTATTTGTGAAGATTCTTCTTGACTTAACTTTTTTTGCTACAAAATATTTAGATTAAGAAGTTATATGACATTAAACAAATTCATTCTCTCTTATTACTATTTGTTCTTTTGCATTAGCCACACTTTGGGTTTTTTTTAACTGGAGCTGTTCTTTCACTCAATTATGAAACTAATCTTCAAGTTTCATTTTTAACCTTATAAGGCAGAATATTTGCTAGCAAGTCATCTATAACCATTAAATTAATGCTAAAGACATTAGAATGAAAACTAACTTGGATTGAAGGCATAATGAGATTGACTTCAAACCTTGAAGATAACATTTTTTAAATATTTTTAAAGCATAGAAATGGTGATTAAATTAAGTAAGTTCAAAGAACATCTGACTTCAGTTTTCATTCTGTCATTGTGAAATGTTTCAATTTTAATATAAATGCTAGGACTTTTTAATGCTCATAATTTTTACAGAACAAAAAAGCACTGTGTTACATTTAGAAGTTCTAATGTTTATCACCATCTGAGCTGTCATGGAAGCAATTGCTACTTACACTCTTTAAAGAAGTGAGAATTGCAATTCCTCTAACTGATGACAATGTAATTATTCCTTTTACTGTCAAAATAGAGGTGATTTCCCTTCCTCATACACATGATTACACATGCAAATCCACGCTTATCTGAAATCTTGTAAGTATACTGAATGTCCGAATCTGAATGAGCAAGATCACATGAACAATGAGCCTCAGTGATGATGGAAACTAAGTCTACAGCCAACCATCCTAAACATATTTTTATCATCCGTTTTTCCTGTAGAAACTCATTCTTCAGCATCCACACAGCTTTCAACACAATGTCATATCATCTACAATATACAGCAACAACCATTACAAAAATAACTAGGAGGAAAAAAGCCACAGTGAATCTGAATGTCTCATTTGGAGGTTTAAATGACTTCATTAACTATTCATTAACACATAGAAAAATCAGCCTTTCAGAAAAACACAAGCCTTTCACAAGATCTATGCCATGTCGTGAATGCCTGCTTGGGTGAATGATGTCCTACCTGGTCTTTCAGCTGCTGTACAGAAGTCTGAAGGCTCAGAATCTGACTGAAGAGAGGGCTCTGCAGGACTGACTTCAGAAGGCTCAGTTTGTCTTCATTTGCTACATCCCCACGTTCTCGCAGCTTGGTTTGCAAGCGCTCTGCTGCATGCAGGGCCCGATTTTTGTCTATACCAAAGAGCAGCATTTGTCAATAACAGGATTCAAAGGACACATGTCCAGCCTAAGAGGACTCCATCTTGTAGAAATTCTAAAACTATTTCTATTGAGTGCATAAAATTGTCTCTTTTAAATTGAATAAAAAAACAGTAGGCCGGACCCAGTGGCTCATGCCTGTAATCCCAGCACTTTGGGAGACTGAGGCGGGCTGATCACTTGAGCTCAGGAGTTCGAGACCAGCCTGGCCAAAATGATGAAACCCCGTTTCTACTAAAAATACAAAAAATTAGCCGGGCATGGTGGTGCGCTCCTGTAACCCCAGCTACTCAGGAGGCTGAGGCAGGAGAATCACTTGAATCCAGGAGGCAGAGGTTGCAGTGAGCCGAGATTGGGCCACTGCACTCCAGCCTGGGTGACAGAGTGAGACTCCATCTCAAAAAAAAAAAAAAAAACCTGTAGAGAAAGTACACATTTTTTAATGGAGTACAAAAATACAAAACTGAATACTTTTTAATATTTTAAATCTTTCTCCAAAATTAAATAGCAAACAAAATAGCATATTTACATCTGCTTCAAACCAAATCAATTCAA
Source organism: Homo sapiens (assembly GCF_000001405.40). Taxonomy (NCBI): domain Eukaryota; kingdom Metazoa; phylum Chordata; class Mammalia; order Primates; family Hominidae; genus Homo; species Homo sapiens. The sequence continues at coordinate 13,248,384 of NC_000009.12, forward strand.
ATAATTATTGAACACTGTACAAATCAGACACAAAGTTGCTAAAAGTAAATATATTGAGTAACTATGTCCTACTAGTCCTAGTGTCTTACAAGCATACTTACGCCAGACAGTTTCCACCACAAATAATAGTTAAAAACCTTTCCCTGAAACACAAACATATACACTTACACACTCTTATATGTGAAGCCAAAATTTTTTTTTAATGAAGACTGTTCAGATGTATTACTTAGATTCATGATGGTAACAAGTATATCTATTTAAACGTATTTGCCATATCCCAGTAATGTTAAAAAGTGGGAATCAGTGGGGCGCGGTGGCTCATGTCTGTAATCCCCGCAGTTTGGGAGGCTGAGGCGGGTGGATTACTTGAGCTCAGGAGTTTGAGACCAGCCTGGCCAACATGGTAAAACCTCATCTCTACTAAAAAAAAATAAAAAAAATCAGATGGGTGTAGTGGCATATGCCTGTAATCTCAGCTACTCAGGAGGCTGAGGCAAGAAAATCCCTTGAACTCAAGAGGTGGAAGTTGCAGTGAGCCGAGATCATACCACTACACTCCAGCCTGGGCGACAGAGTGAGTGAGACTCCATCTCAAAAAAAAAAAAAAAAAAAAAAAAAAAAAAAAATTGGAATCATCACCAGAGATACTTTCTATAGCACCAAATCTGAAATTGCACAGAAAGAGGGTAATTAAAATATGAACTGATGTTGATCATGGGTTCACACACACACACACACACACACACACACACACAAACTTAAACAAACAATATTTACTCATATGCAGAATTTTAAAAATAAATGATAAAGATACACATGAGCATCTTATTCTGTTATATGTCCCATGTTATCACAGGATACAAATCTAATATTAATTTCCACATCAATTTTTAGAAAGTGTGCAACTCAGCACAAAACAGAATAAAGACTAGAAAACAACAGTTTAAATAATTCTATATTTGCCCTTTCCTTTCCACTTTCCTATTAAGAACTTTCCTATGTGGACTAGTAGTCTTTACAGCATGTGGGTTTAGTATAAAATGGGAAGTGAAGGAAATGTACATACGTACATTTTCATTACCAGCACAGTACCAGGAACAAAAGTCATCATAGTGATCCCACGACCACAAAAACAAGTCCTTCTCCCGTTACTGTCACTGACTGTCACTCTATCCCTCAAAACCCACCGACATCAAGGTATCTGCCATAATGATTAAGGTGCCAGAGTGAAATCCAAACACTTTCCATTTAGTCATACCCAAAGAGTTACCTGGAATAGGGTAAGGAACTAGAATGTCAGATAATTGCATGTATTGTACCATACCTGATATATCTACCTGTAAAATGGTTCTACAAACTAGTTTCTTTAAAACTAAAGAGCAGTGGGAAAAACAGTTTATTAACACATGAGTCTGGGAAATCTAGATATTTCAACCTAAATTATCTAATGTAGAAATTAAACTGCCTTAAAGCATAAGACTAAGCAACATTTTTCTCTTTATCAATTAATAGCAAGAGCTCAGTAGAACTTCACCTGCCAGAAGTAAAAGTAATATCTTCTTTCAGTATTAAAAATACTGCTAAACTTCCAGATGCTTTCCAGAAATAGATATTAACCAGAATTAGGCTCATAAATCAGAATTGGGCTTACATTAAGCTTTATTAAAACCCATAATTGGAAGAATATCTCATATGTTTTTAATTTTTGCTTATAAGTAACGTATTTTTACAACACTTTAGATGAAATTGTCCAAATACAGAAACATATTACCTTAATACAATGCTAGTAGGTAAAAACTTTTTAAATCTAGATACCATAGACAGAATCCTGCTATGTTAAACACAACATATGTCAAAAATCCCAATGGGAGGAGTTACAATTCTTATAAAAGTAGGCAGAAAAGAATAAGTCTTACCAATGGCTTCCAACATTTTTTTCAAAGTTCAGTGTTCTTCTCTGAAATGATTAACAGCAATTAAAATGGAACTCTGTGCAAAAAAGAAATAGAATGGTTATGTTTTATCAGAACTTTATATTCTAAAGCTATATACTCTGAAGAACACTTGATACAACTCTAATTCCTTTGACCATTAAAATCTTGTTGATACAACTTAAGATAGTTCGCTTTACAGACAATAAAGTAAACATTTTAGGACTTATTCAAAATTATCTTCTATGTATATATTTACCCATAATACTTGCATAAGGTAAAAGACATAAATTCTATTTTAAATAAGGTGGCAGAAGTTTCAAACATATTTCCATAAAGAGTTCTCAGTACAGACCACTATAATCTTGTATTCACTTACAGATCTTTAAGCACAGAATAAGGAGCTTACTTAACTCCACATAAGAAATTCTGTGGCAAAATCATAAAAAGTAGAAAATGTGATCCTGCCCTCAAAGGCTCACACTCCTAACTGAGGAGACAATACATGCATACCTATTAGAAATGAACTGTGGGCTGGGCATGGTGGCTCACATCTTTAATCCCAGCACTTCGGGAAGCCAAGGTGAGTGCGTCACTTGAGGTCAGGAGTTCGAGACCAGCCTGGCCAACATGGTGAAACCCCGTCTCTGCTACAAATACAAAAATTAGCTGGGTGTGGTTGTGCACACCTGTAATCCCAGCTACTCAGGATGCGGAGGGAGGGGAATCACTTGAACCCAGGAAGCGGTGGTTGCGGTGAGCCGAGATCATGCCACCGCACTCCAGCCTGGGCCACAGAACAAGACTCCATCTCAAAAAAAAAAAAAAAAAAAAAAAGGAAAAGAAAAGAAAAAAAGAAATGAATGTGACACTCAAGCAGTACCTGAACCACTGGAAGATAATACTTTAAATCACGGATGAAAAACTGAACAAAAGGGAGTATACAGTGTTAAATTTTTCAAAAGTTCTCAAAATACTCTCCTGACTATAATGTTCTCCTCTTTCCCATTCAAAGAAATCTTCTCAACTCCTTCAATCCACACATCTCATCTTTCTCTAACAATACTTAACTAGATTCTTTGAAATACTGGATACAGATCTGCATTGCTAACATCCACGTCACTAACCCATCTTGAGCCTTTGCTGCCGAACAAATCTGCACAGCTATCCCCATAGTTCCATCTCTCTTTTGCCTCACAGAAAACCCTGAATCATGAGGAAGACAGTCAGTCAGTCATTCCTTCAATAGAGAAAAGAAATCTACCACCACACGTTCTCATTTTTCATCTGGAAGCAAAATGGAATTTCTCTTAGAAAGAACAAGTCGCCTCCTGTTACCTCTTTAAGACAAAATTCATTTGGCAAAAAGGGAAGTATGTGATGTAGATGAGCAGATCTACAGAGCATCAATGTCTGCAATTAGCTCTGTGTGATAAGAGAGAACAGTACGTATTGATTTGCCTTATCCCAATGTAGAATATACTATTTGAAACATCAACTCCATTTCAAATGTTAAATTGTTTAACTACTGGCACTTGTTTTAAAAAGTGCCTTTGTGTCAAGAAAAGAGGACACTGGCTCTGACCTGGAATTGAAACTTAAACAGAAGTGTGGCCTTGAGCAAGGGACCTATCATCTCAACCTCAGTTTCTTTTAAAACACACTTACTCATTGGGTATATTTTGAAAAATGAGATAAAGTATGCCAATTTCCAGCTCATAGCATAACTTGTAACTATGATATATTTATTCAGGATTAATGTCCAGTCAGTATATTCCATATAGATAGGCATTCCAATGCCGAGCATTGCATTATTTCATGAGGCCTAATATAGGGAAATATTAACAAATAAATTGGTGATTTATTTACTCTTATTTACAAGGAGAATATGATACTCCTTCACAAAACAGCCTACTATTAGCCAACCCCCCTCAAAAACAATTAACTTCTGGCAATTAAAACACATAAATAGGCCGGGCGCGGTGGCTCATGCCTGTAATCCCAGCACTTTGGGAGGCCGAGGTGGGCGGATCACGAGGTCAGGAGATCCAGACCATCCTGGCCAACATGGTGAAACCCTGTCTCTACTAAAAATACAAAAATTAGCTGGGTGTGGTGGAACCAGCCTATAATCCCAGCTACTCAGGAGTCTGAGACAGGAGAATCACTTGAACCAGGGAGGCGGAGGTTGCAGTGAGCCAAGATCGCGCCACAGCATTCCAGCCTGGCAACAGAGTGAGACTCTGTCCCCCGCAAAAAAAAAAAAAAAAATCGGGCTGGGCATGGTGGCTCATGCCTGTAATCCCAGCAAATAACTTGAGCTCAGGAGTTCGAGACCAGCCTGGCCAACATGGTGATACCCCATCTCTATCAAAAATACAAAAATTAGCTGGGCGTGGTGCATGTGCCTGTCGTCCCAGCTGCTCCAAGAGGCTGAGGCAGGAGAATTGCCTGAATAAAGATGCCCCAATATAAGGAAGCCCAGGGCTACAAAAGTATGTTTAATCACCCAGGAGGAAGCATGATAGCAATAAAAAAAAGCATGGACTAGAGAGTCTGATAACCTGAATTTAAATTTCAACTAGCTATACGCCCTTGTTAAGTCACTTATCTTTTCTGAATCTGAATCTCTATTTATAAATGAATGATGTTTATAACGTTTTGAAAGGATAAAATTATACATGTGTTTGGTATGCACATGAAAAAAATTCTAAAGATAGACAGTGTTCCTGACATACATGGGAGGTAGACCTCGGATTTAGAAGCTCACTGATTTATGAGAAGTCTGCAGAGAAAGTACAGCGTAGGCAGTTCCTAATTGAGAAAAACACTGTTGTCCAGAAGTTCACCTACAAGTCAGTTATGTTAAAACAGAATTACTTTTTCTTCCCCCAAAAAATACACAAAGGTTAAAAAAAAAAAAAGCCCCCAGATGAGAGAGCTCTACTCTTTTGTATTTCAATGACTTTAAAATTACAGTTTCAGAGTTTCTTTTCTATGCTTGGATGTCCCTAAAATAAATGCATAGCTTTTTTTGAGATTTTTCAGGGGATTTCACCATTAGCAACCATGACAAAAAAATAAGAATTTTTAAAAATTGTTCCTTTCTGTGCCTGATACTCCTGTACTGAGGATTCAGTTCTAATTATAAACAAACTCATCTGTAATCACAAAATTTTTTAGATAGAGTCCATTCCCTTCAAATTGCAGCCACGAATTCCTCTTGTCACCTTTTCACCACACTACCATTTCCTTTCCCTTTTTGCCCATCTAAACACCATATGGAAACTTAAGGATACCTGAGTGATAACAGTGGGTCATGGCCAACTGGCATGACTTAAAGAAGATCCAACATGTCAGAAGAATGGCAAGTTCTGAGGAATTTTCTTTCTTTTTTTCTGGGCAATTCATGCTAAGCAGTGACAATAATGAATCAGAGAGGCAGAAAAGAGATGAGCTATGGATATGGTAAGAAGGAGTTCAGCACTAATGCTGAAGCAGAAGCAGCAATGATAACAGCAAACACACAGCACCTATCACATGCTAGGTACTATTCAAATCATGCTTCCAATTAAGTCCTTTAATACTTACACAATCCACTCACTTTATAACAAGGAAAATGAGGTACAGACAGATTAAGTAACTTGTCTAAGGCCACATCGCTAGTAAGTGATGGAGCCAGGTTCTTAACACAAGCCATCTAGCTCCAGAGTCCACAATTTAATTTCTACAATATGCTGCCTCTAGAAAGCAAGATTTAACTTCCCTGTTTCCAAGTTCAAATAGACCATGCTCTACATAAAGTGAAACCAAAGGAAGAAATAGAGACCCAAAATGAATAAAGTCTGAAATGGAATAGACTGTTGTAGATAGTCAAATTAGCCAACTGTTCAGACAAGGTATGAAGAAGTCAGAATTATGTATATTAGAAACCACCGGTCGGTCTATCAAAGAAAGATCAGGAATATTCGCCATTTATGTAATGTTAATGTCCATACATCTTTAAACAAATCACTTTTAAAATCCAAGATTTTAATAAAAACCCTTAAGAAGCCTCTTTAAATAGTTATTCAAAGTACATTCAAAAACATTGCTTTTACATTTCAAGGTACTAAATCCCTCAACACAAAGAGAATTAAGAATACACAGTATATTGTTGTAATTGTTCAATTTTATTATTAGTTGTTGTTAATCTCTTATTGAGCTTAATTTGTAAATTAAACTTTATCATAGGTATGTATTTATAAAAATAAAAAATGGAAAAAAAACATGGTACAAGCATATCTGAGATATTGCAGGATCAGTTCCAGACCACTGCAATAAAGTGAATCTCTCAACAAAAGGGGTCACATGAATTTTTTCATTTCTCAGTGCGTACAAAAGTCATGTTTACACTACACTGTAGTCTATTAAATGTGCAGTAGCATTATGTCTAGGAAAACAATCTATACACCTTTATTAAAAAAGTTTACTGTCAAAAAATGCTAGTGATCATCTGAGCCTTTGGTGAGTCACAGTCTTTGAGCTGGTGGAGGGTCTTGCCTTTGTGTTGATGGCTGCTGACTGACGGGTGGTGGTTGCTGAAGGCTGTGGTCACTGTAACAATTTCTGAAAATAAGACAACAATGAGCTTTGCCACATTGATTGATTCTTCCTTTCATGAAAGATTTCTCTGAAGCATGTGATGCTGTTTGACAGCATTTTACCCACAATAGAACCTCTCAAATCCTGCTCCTACTTTATCAACTAAGGTTATGTAATAGCCTCAACCCTTTGTTTTCATTTCAACGATGTTCACATCTTCACCAGGCATACATTTCATCTCAAGAAACCACTTTCTTTACTCATCCATAAAAAGCAACTCCTCATTCATTCAAACTTTATCATGAAAGTGCAGCAATTCAGTCACATCTTCAGACTCCATTTGAAATTCTAGTTCTCTTGCTATTTGTAACGCATCTTCAGTGACTTCTTCCACTGAAGTCTTGAACCCTCAGTGTTATTCATAAGAGTTTCAGAATCAACTTCTTCCAAAGTCCTGGTAATGTTGATATTTTGCCTTCCTCCCATGAATTACAAATATCTTAATGGCATTTAAAGTAGTGAATCCTTTCCAAAAGGTTTTCCATTTACTTTGCCCTAATGTAGCAGAGGAATCATTAAGTACAGAAGCTATAACTTTACAAAATGTACTTTTTCAATAATAAGACTTGAAAGTCAAAATTACTCTGTGGTCCAGGGGCTGCAGAATGGATGTTGTGTTAGCGACATGAAAACAACATTCATCTCTCTTGATGAAACTCTATCAGAGCTCTTGGATAACCAGATGCCTTGTCAATGAGCAGTAATATATTTTATAAGAACCTTTTTCTGAGCAGTAGGTCTCAACAGCGGGCTTAAAACATTCAGTAAACCATGCTATAAACCGATGTGCTGTTATCCAGTCTTTCTTTTTCCATTTACAGAGAACGCAGGCATAGCAGATTTAGAATAACCCTTAAGGGCCCTAAAAATTTTTGAAATGGTAAATAAGCACTGGCTTCAATTTGACATCACCATCTGCATTAGCTCTTAATGAGAGAGCCTCTTTAAAGCTTTGAAGCCAGACATTGACTTCTCCTAACTACTTAAGTCCCTGATAGCCTCTTCTTTCAATATAATGCTGTTTTATCTACATTAAAAATCTGTTGTTTAGTGCAGCCACCTTCATTAATGATCTTAGCTAGATCTTCTGGATAGCTTTCTGAAGGCTCTACATGAGCACTTGCTGCTTCACCTTGCACTTTTATGTCATACAGATGGCTTCTTTCATTAAACCTCATGAACCAACCTCTGCTAGCTTCCAACATTTTTTCTGCAGCTCCGTCACCTCTCTCAGCCTTCACAGAATTGAAGAGAGTTAGGGTTTTGCTCTGTATTAGGCTTTGGCGTAAGGGAATGTTGTGGCTGATTTGATCTTCTATCCAGACCACTAAAACTTTCTCCATATCAACAATAAGGCTGTTTTGCTTTACATGCAGTCACTGGAGAAGCTATTTTAATCCTTCAAGACCTTTTCCTTTGCATTCACAACTTGGCTGTTTGGCACAACACACTTAGCTTTCAGCCTATCTCTACTTTCAACATGCCTTCTTCACTAAACTTAATTATTTCTAGCTTTTGGTTTAAAGTGAGAGGCATGCAACTCTTCCTTTCACTTAAACACTTAGAGGCTATTGCAGGGTTATTAAATAGCCTAATTTCAATACTGTTCTGTGTCAGGGAATAGAGAGGCCTCAGAAGAGGGAAAAAGAATGCGAACGGCCCGTTGATGGAGCAGTTGGAACATGTGCAACATTTATTAGGTTCACCATCTTAAATGTGCAGGGCTGTAGCACCCCAAAATAATTAAAATGGTAACATCAAAGATTACTGATCACAGATCACTGTAACAGACATAATAATAATAAAGGGCATGAAATATTATAAGAATTAACAAAACGTGACACACAGACACAAAGTAAGCATGTGCTGTTGGAAAAAAATGGCACCAATAGACTTGCTTGACACAGAGTTGCCATAAACCATCAATTTATTTAAAAAACATGCAATATCTGCAAAGCACAATAAGACAAAATTCAATAAAACAACATAGACCTGTATATATGGGGTAAGGTCCTATGTTTGGTTTCAGGCATCTACTGGGGGTCTTGGAATGTATCCCCCATGTTCCAAGGCGTGGGACAACTGTATTCAAATCTGGTACAGAAAAAATACCAGTTTCCCTCTAGCTGCTGTTCATGTATCCTGCTAGTGGCCATATCACTATTTGGTTATAACTGAACCTAAAATCTGTTCCAATAGGCTTAGCTCTCAGAACCATAAGACATACCAATAACAGCTCAATGAATTCAATATCTGTTAGGCACCAGAGTGCTAGGCAAGTGCAGTTTATACACGTTCCATCATGCATGTGGGGACTCTGACCATCTTGCTCCCCACAATAGCCTCCCGTGCCTGACACATTATTCCAGATAACACAACAGAGAAAAGGACAGGTCAAGGTCTTACTCAAGGTCAAACAGCTAGTAAATGGGAGAACTTGGAATTGAACCCTACTGTCCCTTATTTTAAAGCCCAAACTCTATCACACTACCCATATTTTCCAAACTGTCTCACAAAAATCACACGGTGAAAATATATTGTCAAATTTATAAAAAAGAAGATACAGAACAAGGTATTAAGTTGCTACACTTTGTACAGAAGAAGAGGAGGGTAATTGCTTAGGTAAGTAAAAATCGATTGGTGTATGTTTATAGAAGCATAGACTATTCTGCAACTTTTTCAAAGACAATGATAGTGGGATATGGCAGGGCTGAAGGACACTGAGATAATCTTACTTTGCACTGCATTACTTTTGTGTTTATCAAATTTTATACCTTAATAGAGGGTTGCCAGATTTATCAACTAAAAATACAGGATGCTAGTTAAATTTGAATTTCAGGTAAATGAATAATTTTTTAGTGTATGTCCCATGCCACACTTGGGACATATTTATACTAAAATCCAATTTTATCTGAAATTCAAACTTAACTTGGACATCTGTTATTTTATCTAACAATCCTACTATGTACATGCTAGCTTAGAAATAACAACATATAAAATCATTTTAGCTTTCACGCTTCCTGTAAAACTTTAATATAATGAGACAGCTGCCTAATCCTTAATAAATCTCAAAGATTTTACCTGTGACCATATGATTCTCCAACAACTTGTTGGTAACACTAGTGTCAGAAGGGGATAAAAATAAAACAGAATATTTGGTATTATTTAGAAATAGGAACTGATTAACTGAGTAATCATTTTACATTTCAACAAGTTGTAATGGTAACATGTAGGCACAGCTTTTACGAAGTAGAGAATCAGCGTTTGAAACATAACACAAACCATTCTGCTCAATGCAGATTATATGGCAACTAACAAGTGAAAATATGTTTTAGGCTAAAAATAACTCTATGAAGAGAAACTGCCCAAATGCATACAATTTTCTACTTATCTTAAACAATTCTGACTGAAAAAGGAATACGACATTAAAAGGGCTTGTTTCAATGGCTTGCAGCTTGTCAGAGTTGCTCAGCATCTGTTTTTGCATTTAAATTTACCATTTCTATCATTCATAGTTGCCTCAGCAGTACCTGAAGTAAGCAGACGAAGGCACAGTTGTAGTCAATTGCAAGTAGTTTTTCATAAATCCAATTGTCCATAACAGCAATATTTATACTTTCAGTCATAATTCCTACTTTTGGGTAACATTACTGAACTACAGCTCTAAAAGTATAGAAATGTCACAGTACCCACCAAATCATGTAGTCATCCAACAGAAATCACTCAGTCTTTTCTTAGCATCTGTTCTTCTGAACTTCTCCCTCATTTTTATAGGCTTTGATCAAAAAAGCATTCATGAATACAATTTTTATTTTCAAGTAGACATTTATAAATCTTCCTAAATTTATTCAATGAAAATAAGATTAATTCAATTTTGCCCACCAAAATGAAAGAAAATCAAGTATTAAAGAACATTAACTTCACAACATACTTCAAATACTGATTAATATTCTTGTTCTTTCTTTATGAAACTGCCAGATAAATTACCTGAAATGGAAATGCTGTAGTCCCAGCTACTGGGGAGACCGAGGCAGGAGAATCGCTTGAACCCAGGAGGCAGAGGCTCAATACAGCTCAATCCAATTTTATCTGAAATTCAAACTTAATTTGGACATCTGTTATTTTATCTAACAATCCTACTATGTACATGCTAGCTTAGAAATAACAACATACAAAATCATTTTAGCTTTCACGCTTCCTGTGAAACTTTAATATAATGAGAGAGCTGCCTAATCCAGCCTCCGCTGGATACATTAGGCTTCCTAATATAGCCTCCGCCTCCTGGGTTCAAGCGATTCTCCTGCCTCAGTCTCCCCAGTAGCCTGAGATCGAGCCACCACACTCCAGCCTGGGCAACAGAGCAAGAGTCTGTCTCGGAAAACAAAAAGAAAAGAAAAGAAAATGCAGGGAAGGTCAAGGGAGTAGAAAAGGACTCAAATTCTGTCATTCACTGATTCTGCAAATACACATGGGGCACTTACATGACTAGCATGTTGTCTAGTAGCAGCATTGGAGAAATGATGATACAACCTGGGAACTCACGTACAAGTGAATGAAAGGAAAAGAAATGAACAATTAAAATACAAGAACACAAAGGAGGGTCACCCAAGCTTAACTGAGAAGTCAGGGAAACTTCCTGGAGTCACAGACCCCTGCACAGAGTCTTAAAGAATAGGTGGGGGAGAAGGTCTGATGAAAGAGCTCCCCACATAAATGCAAGAGTGCATGGTACCTTCTGAGCACTGCATGTAGTTTCTTATATAGTAACCTGGATTGGGGCTGAGGAAAAAGGAGAGACGGAGAAGATGAGCCTGGAGATGTGAGTAAAGGCTGAATTACTGAGGGTCCTCCATACTACTCTTAAAAAGTTTAGATTTGTTTTTTGTTTTGTTTGAGATGGAGTCTCACTTTGTCACTCAGGCTGGAGTACAGTGGCACAATCTCGGCTCACTGCAACCTCCGCCTCCCAGGTTCAAGCTATTCTCGTGCCTCAGCCTCCTGAGTAGCTGAGATTACAGGCACCTGCCACCACGCCCGGCTAATTTTTTTTTTTTTGTAATTTTAGTAGAGACACAGTTTTGCCATGTTGGTCAGGCTGGTCTTGAACTCCTGACCTCAAGTGATCCACCCACCTAGGCCTCCCAAAGAGCTGGGATTATAGGTGTGGCCACTGCACCCAGCCATTAAAGAGTTTAGATTTAATTAGAAGTTTATTTTGGCAAAGTGATCTTTAGAAAGATCACTCTGGCAATGGTATGGAGGACATACAAAAATCAAGAGAAGCTATGGATAAAGAAGCCAGGTAAGAGGCATTTTCAAAACTAGAGAAGAAAAGGAAAATAAAGGAAAATGGGAGCTAGATTAAGATTAGTTAAGAGATGTAAGTACTGTGACATGGTAATATGGAGGTAAGGAAGATGGGTTTAGGATAAATCCCACCTTTCCGGGCTTTGGTTACTGATGGATGGTAATACTACAAGGAACATGTCAGTGTTGTGACTATTCTAGAAATGTCTGCCCTAATAGAGTTTGAATAGCTGAGTATAGTACCTTACGATGTTGCTATGGAATGAACTGTGTTGCCCAAAATTCCTATGTTGAAGCCCTAACTCCAGTGTGACTGATTTTGGAAACAGGTCTTTTAGGAAACAGTTAACGTTAAATGAGGATATAAGGGTGGGGTTCTGATCCAATAGAATTGGTGGTCTTCTAGAAAGAGGAAGAGAGGAAAATCTGTCTCACTGTCTATGTGCAAGCACTGAGGAAAGGCCACATGAGCACACAAGAAGGTAGCCACCTGCGAGCCACAGACAAAACCCTCATCAGAAGCAGAACCCTACCAGACCTTGATCTTAGACCTTTCAACCTCCAATACCATGAAAATAAATTTCTATGGTTTACACCTTTCTAAACAATTTGTTATGGCAGCCCAAGCTGACAAATACAGAATTCAACCATTCCGCAGGCCCTCCTCCAAGGACTATGCTATCATGTACTATGCTTCGCCCCTTTCTTCCAACCATAACCAAGGGAACCAGGGCTGGGCTCCCTAATTCAAGGGAAGCCAATCTAAGTGCTGACATGAAAAACATGAATGGACTACAGTGTCTCTTAAGAACTTAAGAAATATTGAGAGAATAAGTCAATTAATGGTAGAACAAGAGTTGAGAAGATAGAAGGTGGCTGAGTAAGGGATGAAGAAGCTAAAATGGGGTACACACAAGCCAGAGTTATGAGACAGCAAAAACAAGTCAGTTGATAGAGACAGAATACAGCCGACATTAAGAGAGGCAGGCATTCCTTGGGAGATGCAACACAGCCAATAAGAGGAAAATAGAGTAACTGGTCCCTACAGATGCACAATCACTGATCTCCATTTTTACAATGAACTCCATTTTGCCAGAGGTATGTTGTATGAAGCTCTGTTTGCTCCATTTAAACACACCTATTTGTTCAAACACAGTCTGCTTTGGTATGGTACCATATCATTACATCCAAAAAAAAAACCCTCTCAAATACCCTTGCTTACGAAATACCCTTGTTCCTTTATTTCATTTGTACACTGTACTTCTAATAAACATTTGAGGGAGCAAAGACAATTTTAGTAGGACCACTAAATAATTAATAATCCTACAGGAGAGATAGTTACATCAGAAAAACAAAGGGCAGGGAAGCTCCTACACTTGATGGGTGAATATAACACTATAAAGTTCTGTTTTGCTCAGAGCCTGAGAAAAGCCATAAGCTGCCACCAAATAAAACATAAATCCACTGTTAAAACAAAGGTAACTGACAGAGTATGGTGGCTCATACCTGTAAGCCCAGCATTTTGAGAAGCCAAGGTGAGAGGATCACTTTTAGCCAGGAGCTCAAAACCAGCCTGGCCAACAAAGTGAGACCTGTCTCTACAAAAAAAAAAAAAAAAAAATTGTTAAAATTAGCCAGGCGTAGAGGCACATGCATGTAGTCCCAGCTACTTGGGAGGCTAAGGTGAGAAGATTATCTGAGCCCAGGAGATTGAGGCTATAGTGAGCTATCATCACGCCACTGAACTCCAGCCTGGGCAACAGAACAAGACCCTGTTCCTAGAAAATGAAAATTAAAAATTAAAAAAAAAAGGAATGTGAGCTCTGACAAATTTTCATTATATAAATGAAATCTTAGTAACTGTGAACAATATTTATAAATAGTAAAAATATTTCTGACCAAAAATCTGCATTCAGGCCAGCCACAGTGGCTGATGCCTGTAATCCCAGCACTTTGGGAGGGCAAGACTGGTGGATCGCTTGAGCCCAGTAGTTTGAGACCACCCTGGGCAACATAACAAAAAATAAAAAAAAAATTAGCCAGGAGTGGTGGTACACACCTGTAGTCCCTGCTATTCAGGAGGCTGAAGTGGGAGGATCACCCGAGCTCAGGTGGTAGAGGCTGCAGTGACATGTAATCGCACCACTGCACTTCAGTCTGGGCCGACAGAGAAAGACCCTGTCTCAAAAAAATAATAATAAAAATTAAAAAGAGTTCTCTTCATAGGAGGATAGAAATGTTCTTTCTTCAAACTCTACTAGAAAAATTCAGCCAAGTATACACGTTAAAACTTTAATGTACCACTAAAAAAACAGAAATAGAGTCTATATAATATATACACCAAGATGAAAAAAAGATGAACAAAAAATACTCTAGCAATCTAAAAGAGGTTAGGAATGAGAAAAAAAGGAAAAAGGAGAAGCCATAGTAAACAAAAAACACAAAACAAGGGCAACAAAATAAATTCAGATATCCATATTCACAATAAACACAAGTGGGTTAGACTCATTTTTTAAAGAACAGACTCAGAGTCCAAATCTCAATAATGAAATGGAGATTTACAGAATAAGTAGTTTATTTATATTTTTTAAATATAAAAAATAGTATATGGGCCACATAAAAATATGTATATACATACTTTCATCGTATTCAACAATGGATTAAAAGGACACATTCTAAAATGACAGCAGTTAGGAGTGGACAAATGGAAGGAGTAGCCGCATACGGGGGGACTCAATGGGGGAATTTAGCTTTCTCTTTTTTTTGTGTAAGGAAACTGTATTTTTATAATGGTTTTAAATTATGCATGTAAAAAGCAGCTGGGTTGAAATATTTATGCATAAAATGATATAATGTCCACAATTTGCTTCAAAAACTTCCAGGAAAGGGACAAGGGAAATGTCTGAGACAAGAGAAGAAACAAGACTGACCATGAACTAGTAGTTGTTAAAACAGAATGATGGATATATGAGGATTCACTGCATTTATGTACATTTGAAATTTTTCATAATAACTATTACAAAAATAAGGCAGCCGATATGTGAAAATGTTAACAATATCTAGTTTTAGAGGCTAGGACTAGAGATGATTAGTGCAATATTTTTCAAATCCTCCTTGTCCTTGTTTGGCAAAAAAAAAAAAAAAAAGATTTCGCCTAAAACTATAATACTAACTTATTCGGGAAAAAATAATGTTAACATTGGTAAATTCTCCCAGAACAATAATTTATTCAGCTAGACTACCTAATTCCAGCAAAACTAAAGGAAATATTATGAAAACATTTCTTCAAAATATATCTCATAAAGAATCATTTTCAGTTTTACTATTAAAAACGAAGCTTTATTCTCATTTTCTGATGCTACTCTGCTTCTAATTTTACCAAGCTGTTTGAGATACAGGCCTTAGAAGCAGATACTTATGGCCCTGGATTAGTCAACTTCTCATCAGAGAGCAGGAGGGCAGGAAGTGATGAACAACTATTGCTGTTTTACTTTGAACATACGTTCAAAAACCCCACCTTTGTGAATTATGGGGGATCCCAAGACAGTATAAATATAAACCTGTTTCAGTTTAAATAAAACTTATATATCTTCTATGAATATTCAAATGACAATAAAATGAACAGTTAGTCACACAATATATATAAGCTAATACTAAATTATGGAAAAGAGGCATGTTAATCCACAATTATATAAACATACACAGATCAAAATCACTACATTGACCAAGAATCCACATACTTTAAGAAAGTTTGGTGAAAATAGTATAGTATCATACCTTTTCCTATTAATTTTCTAATGGAGGGAGTGAAGCCTACTGAAAATGAAAATATATATAATATGGAAATTGAAGTATTTTATTACTTACAAGTATTCTTATATAACAAATGTATTTATACCAAAAAACATGTTCATTACATTTGCTTTGGCTTTTGAAAGTTATTTTTATTTTTAAGATGGTTGGTCTGAGGCAAAATGATCTTTCAAACAGTATATACATTCTTACTTTACCTGCAGATTTCCTAAAACACATAGATACACAACTTTTATAAAGAATATTAGCAGATTCATATCCACTTCCAGAATTATATATATTTTATGATACTTTGAGTTAAATACCCTTATTTACTGCTTACGCTCGACTATAAAGTTAATTTTAAAGTTGAAAGGAGCGTCAAAAAACATATAGGTCAGAGAGAAGCTAAAGCTCACTGAGGTTTGATTACATAACAAATCAGTGGTGTGTCTGGGATCAGAACCCTGGACTGCTGGACTAACTCAACCGACCCTCTGAAAGGTCTGACTTTCCTTTTCTAAAAATGTTTAAACCAATCGTTTATAGCCCATTGCATTATATTTATTTCCTTCCCCATTAACCCTCACCCATAATTTAAAAAAAAAAAAAAAAAGAGTCCAAAATACACATTAGGGAACTATGGATTCTAACACCTTCTCTCTGAACATCCATTTTACATACTTTTCATTCATAATGTTCCTTAATGTATCTCTATTGGACAGGGGACCCTCCCCTCAAACTGTTAACTCACACCAAACATGGTGACTGAGGGGAAAGATTTAAGTTCTGAGAATTAAGATTTGGCCTCTTCTGTTCTCTCACTCCTTAGTTAGACCCAAAGGAATGCAGGTTGTTGGGCAGATTGCCCCTATTTGTACCACATTTTCAGTGTTAAGGGCCAAGACACAAGATGCCAGGCATATTTCTTGCATAGAACCAGGCAGGGGGATTCTTCCAAGAGCTGCCCTTGCAGGTGAACACAACAATGTGTCAATGCCAAACTCCAGAGGCTGCCCATAAAGCACTCACTGTAGCCACATTATTTTCTTGGGGGAAATCTAAAACATGCAGAAGACTTAACTTTGTGCCACAGAATTCTTCAGTGCAGTTCCTACACTGGCAACAAATTCTCCAGGGAAATTACTTCAGGCTCTTACCTCCTGCTCTTTTGCCTGCCTGGAATGAGGCAATTCAATGAGCCCAGGTCGACTGTGTCCTGGGCAGGTCGACCGTGCATTTGGGCTCTCACCTGTCATCCCAGCACTTTGGGACGCTGAGGCGGTCAGATCACCTGAGGTCGGGAGTTCAAGAAAAGCCTGACCAATATGGAGAAATCCAGTCTCTACTAACAATACAAAATTAGCCAGGTGTGGTGGCGCATGCCTGTAATCCCAACTACTGGGGAGGCTGAGGCAGCAGAATCACTTGAACCTGGAAGGCAGAGGCTGCGGTAAGCCGAGATTGCACCATTGCACTCCAGCCCAGGCAACAAGAGCGAAACTCCATCTCAAAAAGAAAAGAAGAAAAGAAAGCATTTGGTACTCAAAAGCATACCCATGGGACCCAGAAATATAGTTGGCAGCTGGTCTCTGTTAGAACCTACCAACTGCTGTCGGAGGTGATAGTACAAAACATGTCTGCCATTTCTCAGCTGCCCTCTCAGGGACAGGATTTTCATTGACTTTGTGAGATCTCGATGACACTGGGGCAGAACAATAGGTGGCTTGTCAGTTGTGACTGAGTGGCTCCTCAGGGGAAAGTGTTAAAGGATGGAGACGATATTTCCAATACAGACAAAACTGTGGAACTAGGAGGTAGGAGAGAAGACCATAGTATTACAATCATGCTGCTTCAACATACCTCCCCATCCAACTTCAGGTTTATATATTCTCCCAAGATCATTTTCTAGGACTTTCCCAACTCTTAAAATAACTCTACTTCCACAATTTCTCTATTACCATTTCAAATGGCTTCTCCCGTCCTGGAATCTTTTCTACAAAAATTATGAAGAGTGTTGTATATTGCATAAACTCCTTAGGTATCACTGAGCTATAAGTACTATACATAATTAGATATTTTTATCCTTCCCCAACCATCAGCGCCTCCTAAATTCAGTCAGTGGCTTTCATGATTTCCCTTTGCTGAATGTGGACAGGAACAAAGTTTACAAACTTCACTCAGGAAAGAGCAGGCTCAAATTTCTCATCGGAAGTCCTCTGGGAAGAAAACAGCATTTTGGAATAATATTTAATGTGGTTGTTTTTCTCTCCTGTACTGTGCTTGTGGTGACTAGTGGTTTGACTCCTGTTGGTTTAGTTCCAACTCTGCACGGAGAAGTACCACAGATGCATGTACTGAGAAGGGCTTGTGAACAATCACATTCTCTTTCTCCTTCTCTTGGCCCATTCTTTGCAATACTTTTGGTGGAGTATTTAGCAATTCAGAACCCTTAAATTCAGCAGACAGAAGAAATCAACAATTTTTTTTCAATTATCAATCTTAATTATTTGAAGATGTAAGAAAATTTTGTAAGCTTTTACTCTTTCCAAACACATAACTTGTTAAGACCACATTTAATAGATTCAGTAGAGAGTCAAAGAAAATACTATAACTTTTCCAAGGCTCCCTAACTCAGACCTTTTATTAAGCAATCATATTTCTTCAGCCATTATTATGTGGGGTACTGAAAAGTCTATATAATGAAATGTCAATAACTATCTGAATAGTTTCATGCAAAAGTAATCTCATTCAGCTACTCAAGGATTTGGGGGCAG
Source organism: Homo sapiens (assembly GCF_000001405.40). Taxonomy (NCBI): domain Eukaryota; kingdom Metazoa; phylum Chordata; class Mammalia; order Primates; family Hominidae; genus Homo; species Homo sapiens. The sequence goes on from NC_000009.12 coordinate 13,266,835, forward strand.
AGAAAGAGAAGGAGGAGGAAGGAATTAAGAAGGACAAAGGCTTAAAAGCCTTAATTAGAGGGATGTCTACCCTGACTAGAGTCGCTAAGTAACAAACTAACTTTCCATATCATTTCGCTGATGTAAAAAGGCAACTTTATTCCTCAGGAATATACCCACCACCAAATACTCCAAGAGGCAAAACTTTCCAAATATATATTCATCACTGGAATGTCTAAAATGTAGGCTTGGTTGCAATACACAATTTAAAGCAACAATCTATTATTTGGGGTTCTTAAAAATGCTATTCAATAACAACTAATAATAAAATTGCATTTAAGAATTGACTGCTATCGCATGTTATAATAATGACTTTCCCAGAAAATAAAATAGGCTACATAAGTAAATTTTTTAGGCAATGAAATTGGCGTCAGTTTTACTGTTTGAAATGAAACCATTTGTTTATAATAGCTTCCAAATATCCCTGTTTTCTTAAACAAAACCTATGTCCTTTACAAATATGCATTTCCTTTAATCCTACCAAGAGCTCCATACTTTATACCCTCATTTTCAGACAAGAAAATTGAGGTTCAGAAAGATAGTGTTTTCTCCTTCATGAAGCTTTTAAGTAATAGAGCTGTCTTACCTATGCTGTAAAGTACAGAGCTTTATGATATCTTCTTTTCCATTGCTGAAAATTATGTGTACTTTTTACACTACTCAGGATCCCAAGACACACCCCATAGTACTTCCAAGAAGCAGAAATGAATTTGAAAATTGCAAACTACAAAATTCAGCTTATTCAAAGTAATGACACTTAAAAGTATCAATTTATCTGAGAAAAGACATGGAGAAGAATGTGTTTGATGTATGGCAAGACACAAGTAACAGGGGAGGAAAGGAAGAAGAAATAATTGAGGAAGCTGAAAGGGAGAAGGGATGGAAAGATGGAATGGCACTGAGATGATTTGGAAAACTCTCAGAAAATTCCTTAGCATTCACCAGGCTAACAGAATATAGAGCAAAGTGGTGCTGACTGAGGTTACAGACGCACAGGAAGAACTGTCATTTCTCCCACCAAAGTGAAATCTGATCTCAAAGGAAGAACTTCAGCTCCCTTTTCCTTCACGCACAAAGTAGCAAAACACAGAGTCATTAAGTCTGAGTCACTTTCCTTGTGACTCAGTTGTCAAAATCCTGTAAGATAAGGTATTCAAAAGTGTTTGGAAATGGGAAGAAGCATGGAAGCATTAGACATTTATTATTAGCAACAGTATTAGCATCAGAATGGCTAATTAATCATGTTTCAATTTTAAAAAATGAACAGCAAAAGGAAAATTATATATATATATATATACACACATAGAGAGAGAGAGATCTAGATATACAGATGGTACTTATAATACATCCCAAAAAACCACACCAATTCATCAAGTATTAAGTGAGCACTTACATATTCCTAGCCATGTGTATAGGAAGATTTAGCATGTGTATAGAAAGATTTAGCATGAAGGTACTTGCATAGGATCCTTCAATTCTTATTCAAATAAATTTTTTATATCTAATTTTGTATTTATAATTTTCTATTATTTTTCAGACAACCACCCCAAATTCCATATACTTCAGGCCCCCAAGTCTTTATCCACCTCTGTCACTGAAGCATATGACAAAAGAAGAATGAGGATAACTATCTAACTTCTGAGCTCCCAATTTAGTGGAAAACGGTAAGTAATTATACGGCAACGTGATAGGTAAAGTTCCGAGTACAGAGGAATTCAATACTGCCAACGTGAGTCAGAAAGAATTTGTAAGAGATATGACACATGAATCATCTCGAAGTATGAGCCGATAAGGAGAGTGTGGAGGAGAGCAGTAAAGGGAAAGGCATTTCTCACTAAGGGAAGGACATCTGCTAAGGCAACAAAACCATAAAGAACCCAGATAATTTGATGACAGTGAGGCTGCAGTACTTGGGTCCAGAATGACAGGAGCTAGGAAGGTAATGTTTCCATGGCCTCACTGGGGCTTTGCCCTGCAGGCATGCTGGACCATGCAGGGACATTGGGGAGGGAGTTTGGAGGGTACAGGGATTACAGGGATAGAGAAAATTTATTTTCTGATAAAACAATTCTTGCAATAGTGTAAATATTCCACCAAAGAGGGAAAAGAACTAATGATAATACAACCAGATGTTAGGTTGTTAAAAAAACCTCATAGAAAAAGATGAGAGCCTAGATGAAGGTAATGGCAAGAAAAAAAAGAAAAGATACAGACTCATTCATTAGAGGCAATCAAAAGGACTCAGTGACCAGTTGGTAACTGTTAGGGCCAGGAGGGGTGAATGAGTGAGACAAACAGAGGTCAACTCTCCCAGTGATTTTAATCTGGGAAACTAGAACTATCAGGACATCATTTAGCCAAAAGAACAGCAGAAAGATAAATATATGGTTTTAGAGGAAAGAGAAATATGGTTATATTCCTTTTGGACATACTGAGTTTGAAATGCCTCTAGAAAACAGGAAATAATTGAATTTTAATTTCATGAAGGTAGGAAGTTTTGTGTTGCTGTTGTTTCCTTTTTCTCTCAGGGCTATATCCCCAGCACCAGAAGTAATGGCTGTGAGATAAATTAAAAATCCTAGTGGAATCAATAACATTCCTGCAAGCTCCAAGATGAAATAGTGTACATATAGAGAGGAGCATATTATCTAAAAAAATAAAATTTGCCATGATCCTTTCTTATTCAGCTCCATACTAAACCAAAACAAATGTACCTCTAGTGCTTCTGTTAATTGAACATGCATACAAACAAGAAAAAAATAAAATCTGTTCACAATAAAAGAAGTATTTTTCATAATCTGTACCAAAGAATTCCTAGAGAGAACCCTGTAGTCCTCTGCCAGCAAAGAGATGTTACTGTCTAAATCCGCTGATAAGCTTGTCAGTCATTGGTAGTCCACACTGCTGAGAATACACTAAGAAAATTCAGCAAGAAATGACAATTTACATCTTGCTGGCAAGATTCCAGGTAGTTCAGATAAGGGAAAATTGCATGAAGAAATCCAAATTACTATGAACCTATCTGAACACGTACCTTAGCCATATAAGATAAATAAGCATGCAGCAATTCGATCTCCTAATTACTAATTCACAGATAATGTAACAAGCTACACTATTTAGTTACCATATGTAATTCTATAGGATTCATTGGGGTTATCTTGACAAGTGATATTTTCTCCATGAAAGCATTTTAAAAGGGCTTATTCTTTCAATGAACGTGACTATTTGCTTCTTAATTAACTCATCTACTATTTAAATGCCTCCATTAACTGCTTTTTACTCTGGCACTCAAAAGACTAAACATTAATATTAAGAGCACAAACCAACTTTTACTTTCGTAATAATCCAGAAAGGACATCTGCTTTAAATGTTGTTTTATTTATTTTGTTCGTCACTTCAATTAAGTGATCAGAAGGTACAGACAATATATAAACATTACAAATGACCCAAAAAAGGCTGAGTGGTTCCAGCCAACATAACAGGTTTTCATAACAGAATGAAGACATCTTATTTCTTGATTTCATCTGACCTTATAGCTTAGCTGCATGAGCTAAAGCTGTGTTGACCAACACAGTAGCCAGGAGCCACACTGAAACACACTACTGGGCACTTACACCTTGGCTAGTTCTAAAGGCAATATGATAAAAGACATGGGTAAAAGACATGGCATATTTTGGAGAGCTTTTTTTTTTTTTTAAGAAAGTAAAATATCTCAACAATGTTTACACTGATTATATTTTGAAAGAATAATTTGAAGAAACTGGGTTAAACAAAATATATTATTAAAATTAATTTCACCTACTTCTGCTTTTTTCTTCACTGTGGCTACAGACAACTTAAAATTACATATGTGGCTCACATGATATTTCCATTGGCCAGAGCTGATCTAGAATGATGCAGATCTTCCCCTCTCCAACTCTTGGGGTGTTTGATGATCTGAATTGTAACATATACAGAATGGCAATTATTTGAATAATTTCAGCACCAAATTACTCCTTTGTTATCCAATTCACTATATGACTGTCATATACATTTGTCACAGGAGTGACAGATCTATCAAACATGGTAAGAATTACAGAAAACATGCAAGTGGGTGAGGAATATTTAGCAAGCAGTCAAAATAAAGCATTGGGTTCAATACTGAAACTACTGTGCTGTGCTTAAACTCTTCATACGGTAGGATACAAAAGTTTATGGAAAGCCTCAATAATCTCCTGACTTTTTACTTAATCATCTCCTATCTTTCAAAATTAAATATTTTTAAATCTTTTTTACAATTACCGGTAGTATTTTTTAAACTATTGACTTACATATTTTGTAGCTCCAACATTTAAATAAGGGCCTTTAAATTTTCTATGTTATGTTTATCAAAATGGGGCATGAATTTAAGAAGACTGAGAAACACCATCAAATACAAAAGTCGGACTCACACAGTTGAATCCAAAGGGGATCAGAACATGCCACTCCAAAATATGCTACTTTGGCATCAGTATTATTTTGAACTGAAGGCAAATAGGAAACGGAAGACAGGAGCACTCTCTCCCCTGGCCCTTTCTGTGTAAAAGTAGAACACAAAATTCCCTTTGTAAATGTGACAGAAATGTCCGTTTGTAAAGATGATCATCTCTCCCTTACCAGTGAGAACAACTTTTATCATGAAAATGATGCAAAAACCCCAAATCTATCCTCTTCTTTGGGTCTCTTCTTTTCTGCGTAGCCCCCATGAATATGAAATTAAAAACATCAATTAAATGTTAATCTGTGTTCTGTTAGTTTTAATTCACAGGCCTCACTTATAGAACCTCAAAGAGTAAAATTTTTCCTCCCTCACAAAACCAAGAATGAATACGCACCATAAGACAACGGAAGTGCAGGAGAGTTCTAAATGACTTAAAAACTCTTTAATGGTATATCCATGCAATGACTACTACTCAGCAATGACCAGTACTGAACTATGAATACAGGCAACATGGATGAATCCCAAAATAATCACATAGTGAAAGAAGTCAGACAAAAGAGAACATACTGTATGATTCCATGTATTTAAAGCTCTAGAGAACGCAAACTAATCTACAGTGACATAAAGCAAATGAGTAGTTTACTTGGAGATGGGAGGGGTGGGTAGAGGAAAGGACTACCAAGATGCATGAGGAAACTTTCGGGGGTGATGGATATGTTCACTATCTTGATTGTGGGGGATAGCTTCAAAACAGCCAAAATTCAACAAATTGTACACTCTCAATATGTGTAGTTTATTGTCAATTATGACTTATACCACAATAAAACAGTTAAACAATTATAACTTATACCACAATAAAACAGTTAAACACTCCCTCCCACCTCCTTGAGAAAAGGATAGGGGCTGAATAGGTTGACTTTAGCATCCAACAGATGTTCACTGAACATCTTAATGAAGCTAGCTAGGGAGCAATAACCCAGGCCCCAGGGCTATTTCTTCTCATTTTCCTCCCTCAGCCAAAGAGCTAAAAATACTTTGTGACTTAGTCTAACCCGATATATATTCAATAGATTAAATCAGAATGAAGAGCCATTCCAATGCTATAGTTTTGTAAAACAGCATAGGATAACTGCATTTCCTAGCCCAGAAAACTGTGAATGTGATGGGAAAGGGTTGGAAGGGTCAGACAACACTCCACTGAATCATATCGATGAGGCCCCTGTAATCCCAAATTAGAAAATGAGGCCGAGCGTGGTGGCTCACTCCTGTAATCCCAACACTTTTGGAGGCTGAGGCGGGGAGATCACCTGACCTGAGGTCAGGCGTTCAAGACCAGCCAGGCTAACATGGTGAAACTCTGTTCCTACTAAAAAAAAAAAAAAAAAAAAAGAAGAACAAAAGAAAATGAATGCTGTCCAGAAGTGGATTCAGGCCTGACTTATTAAAATGCAATACCCTGGGACACTTGTGGGGAGTGAGAAGCCGAGGAGGAAATACATAAGCTTTATGAAATTTACCCAGTAATGCCTTAGACAAAGCAAGACCTATTAAGGGGGCTGCTATGGTCTGAATGTTTATATTCCCCCCAAATTCATATGTTGACATCCTAACCCCCAAAGTAATGGTATTAGGGGGTGGGGTCTTTGGGAGGCAATTAGATCACAAGGGCAGAGTTCTAATGAATGGGATTAGTGCCCTTATAAAATAGGTACCAGAGAGCAGCCTTGCCCCTTCCATACCATATGAAGACACAGCAACACGGCATCATCTATGAGGCCCTCACCATTCACAGAATCTGCCAGTGCCTTGATCTGGTACTTCCCAGCCTCCAGAACTATGAGAAATAAATGTATGTTTATAAGGGACCCAGTGTTTGATATTTTGTTATAGCACCCGAAATGAACTAAAACAGGGGCCTAGCAAGGTATAAGAGAAACTGGACATATCTTAAATATATCGGAAAGGAGTTTTTAAATTGTAGAATAATCTTTAATCTTTATGACTCTATCATCATGGTTTTGTTACGTTAGTGATATCTTATGAACACAGAAGGATAGCTTCTCATGACCATTTTCTATGACAGTTCCCTGAAGCAAGGTATCCTATGGAGCCACCTGAGTACACAATATAAAGTTACTGTGAAATTAACAATATAGTGAATTGGTTAACAAAGGAGTAATTTGGTGCTGAAATTATTCAAATAATTGCCATTCTGTATATGTTACAATTCAGATTATCAAACACACCAAGAGTTGGAGAGGGGATGATCTGCATCATTCTAGATCAGCTCTGGCCAATGGAAATATCATGTGAGCCACATATGTAATTTTGTCTGTAGCCACAGTAAAGAAAAAAGCAGAAGTAGGTGAAATTAATTTTAATAATATATTTTATTTAACCCACTTTCTTCAAATTATTATTTCAACATATAATCAGTATAAACATTGACTATTAACACTTAATTTTAAGCAGAAATCAAAATTTTTTAAAATACGTTCTCCACTGGTATCCTACATGCCACGTGGTAGTGAACTGTATCATATCTCTTCAAAAGACCTGAGACATCAGTTCAAACAAATGCTATTAGTATCAACTCAAATTATATAACATTTAATAATCTCAGATCAGATGATGCTCATTTAGAAAGGCAGCAATTGGTGAAATCTATTGATCAACAGCTGCTCTATCCATTTGTTATATCAAAATAACTTAAATATCTTCATTTTCAAAATATGTGTCTTGGGGATTTTCTTGTGGGAGTGGTATCTGGGTGATCTAATTACAGGCAAGCTTTCCGTCTTCTTTTCACTTGTATCTTCCATACCTTTTAAAATGTGCTATTTACTAAAATAAATAATTACCTTATGTATTTTATTATCAAAATAATTTTAAAACATAAGCAACAACATTAAGTTTTTTCTTAATTTTTTTTTTTGGTAGTTGATGTTACTGGGTTTTTTTTCTTCTTTTTTAATAAATGTTTCATTTTTCACTTTCCCCTCATGCACTTATTTATAGCACCTTGGATCTGGAGGCAGAGTGGTTTACAAGAAAATAACAATGAATGTTGCTTTTGCAGACACAAATAAAACTAAAAAGTGGATAAAGATAAGAATTCCCTAAACAAAACAAATTTAACCACCACAGGCAGACAGGCCAGAAGAAAAAAAGTAAGAGTTTGTCTCCTTTTATTTATTTATTTATTTTTAACTTAGCTGGCCAGATTGGGAAGAATGGCTCTAATGGTTTCATTAACTCAACAAATAAAATTGCAACACCTAAAAAACAAAAAAAAAAAAAAGTTTTTATTTTATGTAACATAAATTCCCTTTTATTAATCATATTTTCCCAAAAGGGGGAAACATTTCTGAAGGAAAAAAGATTATGCCATACATTACCCCACAAAACACGTATAAGACAGACAGTTTTTAGATCAATGGAATTTAAAGAATAAATTCTGTTGTTTTAATCAGACTCAAAAACCACTGAGACATTTACAACACAGTGTTTCAGCTTTGCCAAATTTAGCGCTTTACTATTTTTAAGAACCATTAAAAGAAATATTTTAAGAAAACGAATGCTTTTATAAAACACTTAAAAAAAAAATTAATGCTCTGTCCACAAAAAGGCCACAGAGGCACAATTTCCCAATGAACATCCAGAGAAAGAAAATAAGTGGCCTCAGGCCAAAGATAAAATACCTTTGTCCTCAAATAGCAGCTTCCCTTTCTTGCCAAACATCAAATTACCCCAGTAATGCTCAGACTATGCACTAGCCTCCAATACGAGCTCACTGCCTCAGAGTCTCACTAGTTTACACACTAAGTCTCTTTGAGAACCTTGTTATGAGCTAAACTGTGTCTCCTAAAAATTCACAGGAAATCCTAATCCCTGTACCTCACAATATAACTGTATTTGGAGATAAAGGTTAAATGAGGTCACTAGGGGTGGGCTCTAACACAATATGACTGGTTCCCTTATAAAAAATTAGGCTATAGACATACACAGAGGGAGGGCATGTGAAGAAACAGGGAGAACTCAGCCATCTACAAGCCAAAGAGCGAGGCTTGGTAGAAACCAATCCCACCAACACTTTGATTTTAGACTTCCAGCCTCCAGAACTGTGAGGAAATAAATTCCTGTGGTTTCAGCCACCCACTCTGTGTTATTTTGTCAAGGCAGCCCTATCAAACTAATACAGATTTTGGTACCAGGAAATGGGGTGCTGCTGTAACAAACACCAAAAATGTGGAAGTGGCTTTGGAACTGGGTAATAGGTAATGGCTACAAACGTTTTAGGGTGCATGTTAGAAAAAGCCCAGATTGCACTGAAGAGGTTAACTCTCAGAAGGAAATGTGACTTGGGTTATTGGAAAGTGGAAACTTCAAGAGATAAAAGTCAGCCTATACTTCATTGCTCTCCATTAATTGCTCTTCCCTATCCAACCTTTTCCCCTGGGCACAAATCCTCTATTCCACTCCAGAAATATACAAATTGAATATGCTCTCCAGTACCCACTGCCCACTCACATCCCAGCCTCTTCTATACATGTCCATTTTCAAGGGAAAACCACTGACTTAAGCTCTACTTCATATCAAAAAAACTTTCATTTCCACCCTCTCATCTCAAGACCAAAGCCTTTCTGTGTCTTATTTACTAACCTCAATGATAAGAGCAACTAATCCCTATACTTCACTACTTTCCTAGAATCCCTGTAACATTTTTAACATGTAAAACCTTTCTGTTATTTCTCCCATTAGATTCCTCCAACTAAGACCCTACACTTCTGGAGCAGAATCATGTTTATTCTGTACTCTCCCCAATGCCTAACCCAATACAACATTCTTCCTAATCCATCTATTACTACCTACTACATGAATACCTCGGATCTTCTCTGGAAACGTATCACAGGAAGGCAATGGATTCCTCACCACTGGTTTCCTTTATCGAGAAGTAGTTATTTACCTCCTTAGTCTTATTCTCCCACATGGAATCCCACTAAAATTATTTAATCACAGTATATCAATTTTACCATGCTAAATATCATTTCCGAACTGTACTTATATAAATGCTCTCCTATGCATGACACTAATTTACAAGAAAAAATGAAACCTTTATTGTTATAAATATGGGGTTGATAATGTACGTAACAATATCAAATGAAATCCTACTTTAGGCCAAATATCTATTTTCAAAAGTACATACAACTGTTTTGGACATATATCATCACTCATACGCACCATCAAGCAGTCCTAAATTCACCAGGAAGTTGTCTGCTTCTTCTCTTTAAAGTGTAGGATCTTTCTCTGGCAGATGTGCTATTTGCTCTACCATATTTGGGGACATTCCAGTCCAACTTTGCCTCAAAATATTTCATGAAATTCAGAGTACTTTGTACGTTTCCAAATATACAAAATGTAGCCAACCTGCAACTCAACCTGAGAGAGACAAGACTATGTCAGATCTGGGATGTAATCTGGAGAAAATAATCTACCTCTAAGTGAGGATAGTTACCTTCCAGGCAATTCATTGTTCCTCTCCAGCTTTTAAATCCCTTAATCTCAATTCTAGACAATGGATTCACTTGATCATTTGTCAAGCAAAATCTCTCCACCCTAGCAGTTAAAAACTAAAAGTGGCCAACTAGACCTAAATCCATGTAAAGTTACATATCAAGGATTTCCAAGAGTCTCTCTGAATAGCTTCAACTTGTAGAAATATACTAAACTCTGAGACCAGCCTCTATTCCTCACAGTTAGGTACATTTAAATGCATCTGAAAAGGAAAGATGTCTTTAAGGGTCAAGCAGAGCAATGTCTAGGTGATAGGACTTTGAAGCACACTAAAAATTGACTAAAGATCCCTCCCTTTCCAAGCCACAACCTTCAGGCCTAGTCAATAAAAAGGAGTGTGGTAAAGGGACAAAGAAAACCAGAACTAGAGAAGGTAAGTGAAAAGAATAAACACAGAAAGGATCAAAGGAAAAAAAAAGGAACATATGTAAGAAATAAGGTACACCATAATCTATTAGTAATATGTTGAGAATAATCTTCATTAGTTTGTTTGTTTTGGCAAATGAGATAGGGAAGAAGAACGGAGAGTCAAGGGGTACCCAAAACTAGTTTTGCCTACATTGCACACAAGGGTACAGGTGCCTCCATCCAAAGCTTAGTATTGTATTAGAAGATCAAGTCAAGGAACGTTTTGCTAGGCTTTTATTTTTATTTTTTATTTATTTACTTATTTATTGAGTCAGAGTCTCGCTCTGTCACCCAGGCCGGAGTGCAGTGGCGCGATCTCGGCTCAATGCAACCGCTGCCTCCCGGGTTCAAGCGATTCTCCTGCCCCAGCCTCCCTAGTATCTGAGACTACAGGTGCGAGCCATCACGCTCCGCTAATGTTTGTATTTTTAGTAGAGACAGGGTTTCACCATGTTGGCCAGCCTGGTCTTGAACTCCTGACCTTAAGTGATCCACCCACCTCGGTCTCCCAAAGTGCTGGGATTACAAGCGTGAGCCATTGCGCCTGGCCAAGTTTTGCTAGGTTTTTAAAACACTATTGTTTGCCAAAATTCCATCAGGTGCTAAGGCATACATTATACAAATTTAGATAGTTCCAACATTACAAGATGTTCATTGTAATCACTCATACCCAAATTCAACATGTAAAACTCCCAAGCCCGAAACCATCACCTCCTCCTCGTTAGTTTTCAGATAAGGTGTTATTTATTCTATAAAGGGTAACCTAAACCAGGAATTTCTAGGGAAACACGAAGGGGATGTTTACATCAAACTGTCTACAAGGCAGGACGAGGCAGTCTGATCACTTATCAGATTCCTTCTCTATGACATCAAGGAACATGGAGAAGTTTTCCTTCTACGCTGGTGAAGTCATGGTCCTCTTATCTATCTGATGATACCTAGGAAACACTAGCCTCCAACCGCAGCCCCTACTGCAAAAAGGCAGTCAGTGCCCATTGCCGGGGTCTTCCCAAGCGGAGCACCTCAAAAGCCGCACCGCGCAGTAGAGGTCTCCAGGGGCCCCCACTCGCCCCCAGTGACTACGGAGCGGCCTCTACCTCCCGCCGGCGCCTGGCCACTTCTCCTCCCCCGCAGTCTCCGCTTGATTTCCATGTGACTGCAGGCAAGAATAGCCCAGCCTTTGTGCCTCTGCAAAGAACGCAAACAAAAATGTACACCATCACCACCCAACAAACGCGCAACTCCGCAAGACACAAAGCGTCTCCCAAACATCGCTTCCCTGGTAACATCCGGCATCCTGGGGCTGCCAAATCGCAGACAAAGACGCCCATCAGCGCGGGGGGTGAGGAGACTAAGGGAGAGACAAGACCAACGTGCTCCCACCAACGGGAGCGGCGGTTAAAAGGGCGCCGGTGCCAGGGGTGAGGGACGGGGCACCGGTACCAATTAGCGGCTCGCCTCGGGGTCCCCGCGGCTAAGGCGAGAACGCAGGACCAGGAGCATTGCTGCCCACTCTCTACCGCAACCCGCACATCCCGGGACCACGTAACGGCGGATGGGGCGTCCGGGAGCGGCCCCTGCAGGGGAGAGCAACAGGCTCCCGCGCCCTGGAGGCCTGGTCTGCGCTCCGGGCCCCCAGGCTAACACCCCACCCCCAGCCCCCCGACACCAAGACTGTGCCCCTCTGGGTCAAGGAAAAGGAAAAACTTTTAAACCTCTTAGTCAGCGAGAGCAAAAGAAAGGGGTGGCGGGGGTGCTGAAAGGTCTAGGATTATCCACCGCGGGGCTGGGGGGAGTGGAGACTTGCGAGTAGCAAAGGAAACTTCTAGACCCCATCCTTTTAAAAAAGCCACAGCAGCGGCTTCCGCGAAGCGCCGGGCCGCGCGGGGTGGGGCAAGCGCACCGCCCCACCGCCCCACGGCCCGCCGCCACCCCTACCCCCACCCCCACCCCCACCCCCATCCCCGCCCCCACCCCCACCCCCAAGCGCCGAGCCCAGGGCGCCCGCGCACCTTCCCCGCCGGCGCGCGCGCAGGGCGCGGGGGCGCGCCTCGGCCTCTGGGCCGGGGCTCAAGCGCCGCTTACCCGGCTCGCGGCGCCCGCCCAGGGCCGCGACGCGAGGGGGCGGAGGACTGGGGAGCAGGGGTCGCCGGGGCCTCTGGATGCCTCGCCTCGCCCACGCTCACTGTCTTCTCTTCTGAAGTAACGACCCGGCGAGGAGCTTCGGATCAAAACGCACAGACACTCACGCGTGACTGAGAAACTTAATCCCGCGGTGGCCCGACGCCAGCCTAGCGCTCCGCCGCGCCCCCTCCCCCAGCGCGCGCCGCACTTGCGCCGACCGGGGCTGCCGCGGAGGCGGTGGCGGGGCCCAGGCTGCTGGGGCTGCCGTGACGCCTGCGACCGGCGGGGCGGCGGGCGCGCCTTGGCCAATCAGGGGACGCGGCCGAGCAGGCCTGTGCGGGGTTTTAAACTCGCTCCTGGGCCGCTCGACCTGGGGTGTGGGTAGTGGACTTGTGAGGTGGTCAGATAAAATATAGGCTGCTCTGTTAAATGGGAATTTCAAATAAAAAAAAAAAGGAATAATTTTAGTACAAGTATATCCCATGCAATATTTGGGACGTACTTATGCTAAAAAGTTCTTCGTTGTTTATCGGAAATTCAAATTTAATGGCAGTCTTGTATTTTTATCTGCCGATTTTGTCAACCTGCGGAAACTGATAGCCTGTTTCTAGCTCCTCAGATTTTCCTTATGTGCACTGCCCTGTGGATGCTTTCTGCATGGGTAGCTTACTGAATGGCATAGGATGCTTATGAGAAGCGCTTTAATCAGAAGGGTGGGGGCAGTCCTCTCACTTTCTAAGTAACTTTTCGCACATCAGGGTGCATTCTTAGTCTGATGATCCAATTAAAAAGCAAAAACAGTAAACATGGAAAAGTTATTAGAGTTGCATGGCCCCAGGAAGAACAGATATTCATTTCTATTTTGTGCCACTTAAGATTTTCTTTCTGTTATCCTCAATTTGGAAGTCCCACGAATTTTTTTCTGCATAAGAAACTCTTTTTCAAAATATCCCTCTGATATTAGATTATAGGACCAAAGGATACTCAGAAGTCCAATTTAGAACATTTAAAAGAATTTCTTTTAATATTCTGAATAAAAATACTTTTTTCTCATATTCCTTGGACTTTCAAACACATTCACAGCTGTTGACCTCTCTCTTCCTAGAGTCCTCCCCACCCCACCCCTCTTGTAATTCCATGCAATCACACTCTTGGTTTTGCTTCTTCCGCTTAGTCAAGGGCGGATGTATGGGCTCTGAAGCTTGTACAATTGGGAGCTCTGCTTTAACCAAAAAAAAAAAAAAAATCTTTCTTTAGAAAAATTCAAAAAATAAATGCCCATGTAAACACATTGCTAGGGTTGCTCCCAGGCAAGAGAAGGACCCGGAACGTTAAGCTACATCAATTTCCAGGTAGATCTGCCCCTGTCCCCAGGCCACTCTTCAGTCTTCTTTGCCTCCTCTCCCCCAATCTTTAGATGCTGGAATTCCTTAAAAATCAGTTACGGGCCCTCTTTTCCTTTTAACTCTTACCTCTAAATACATTTTCACTTCTAGCTTATGATCTCGTACCTACAGAATCTTACATTTATACCTTCAGATTTATCCATATATTCAAGTGTTTATTTGGCTTCCCTGTTTGCTTGTCTCAAACCTAGATTGCAAAAAAAAATGCAGCCGTGATACTTCTGCTCAAGCCTGGTCATCTTGTTCAGTGTCCCAGTGAATGGAACTGCCATAGATGCTACATGATTCCCACAAACTACGATAAACCCATTGTGATGCATTCTTATGGTACCCTATGCTTTTGCTTCATAATATTTTTCCTACTTTGTAAATATGCATTTGATTTTGTAATTATGCAATGTCTCTTCCCTCTTCAACCATAAACTCCATGAGAACAGGGGCTAAGTCACCATTTTATCCTCAGAGCCTAGTAAAAACTTCACACTTGGTTGGCACTCATATGAAATAGGATGAATATACGACTGCAAGAATGAATAATTTCTCCATATAACTTTTGTGTTCTTGTCATAGAGTCACCTCAAGGCATCCCATTTGGAAAGGATTTTCTTATTGCTTAGAAATTCCAAAGGGATCCTCCTGTTTGAATAGCACTTCTACTTGTCAGTTTTCAAATCTGGTCATTCTCAAATACAAAGGAAGTACGTGCATGAAATGTTAGCTGCTGGGGTAGTGTAGGAGGAAAAGAATTTCATAACTAGCTACTGAAGGAATTCTTTGAGTCCTAAAATTTTAAATGGCATTTTTTATATTGAACCATAGGGAAAGAGCCCATAAAACTGAATTAGAGGAAAGTTTTAGAAATTTAATTCCCTGGTTTATTGTGGATAAATGAGATTAAAACAAATAATTTTACCTTGGTTTAAAAGGTGCTATTGTTCTAGTCTCCTTTAGCGAAGCAAAGCCCACATGCCCTCTTTAAACAGCAGTATATCAGAGGATAAAAAGGCATCTGGTTTAGATTAGTCCTTGCATAAAATTATCCAGAGTTTGGGGATAATTCCACCCTGAAGCTTCTCCTTTTGAAGTTAATCCGTATAGCTATTGCTCTATTCTCTTTAACTTGTTCTAATCCAGAAAACCTAAGATTTTCTAGAAATCCACCGGGGATATAGTGCACTAGTTTAAAAAAAAATACCTAAAATAAAAGTTAAAAACATTAAAGTTGAAATAAAATCTTGCAGAGAAAGACAAAGTGTAAAGCAGATAGAGTAGAGGTGCTCTACTCTATGGGATGGCTTGAAACCCCATACGTAAATAGATTAATAATGCTTTCTATTTCATGTTAATACAGGCTCTGGGGTCATTCCACCTATATCCTCAGTGAGGCATTCTCCACAATAATTTGTTTTTCTCAAATTTGAGTCATATTCAGAGGACTTTTATAAGGGAAAAAGTCCTGGAAACTTCTGAGATTGGTTTAAATTATTATTGTTGGTTTATTATTTATTGTTCATCATAATTGAACAGTACAAATATAAACTATGTATATGATATTATTTTACATTTGTGGCTCCTCTCCAACTCTAAAACTAGTGAAAGGCCCGGGTTATCTACTCAAAACCTTTAACGGCTGCTGAAAAGACAGATCCTGGAAATTAAACTTTTGATCCACCAAAATAACAGAGGATTCTTTTAGTTGCCTGCTGAGCACACAGTCTTCATTCTGCTTTTTAACAGCAGATAGCCAAGACGTAGGTGAGACCCCCATGCTGGGAGATGTTACTACAGAACTGCAGGGTTAGAACTCTATGAACCAAATCCTTTCCCAAGGACTGATTTGGGGTAATCCTAATAGTGGGGTGATGGGCTATTTTTATCACCTTTAGCCAGCAGTGACTCTTATTAATAATGCAGCATTTAAATGCAAACTAGATGGCATGCTTGCCAGTCCCTCTACCTAAGGGATATCTAATATATAACAACTGTGCAGTTTTAGTTTATTATAGTTTGTAGATTTTTTATGTTGTCTACTGGCTGACTGACTTTATGGTTTCAATTTGCCTCAGATGTCTCAATTAAAAGAAGAGTTCAGATAAATTTTTTTTCAGTTTGTTCAATGTTAAAAAGCATTTTAAATAATCCTTAATTTTTTCTCTCCATTGAAAAGAAGTCAAGGTTGAAAAAAGAAGATAAAGAAGAAAGAGAAGAACATTAGGATAATGGATATATATGTGTCTAGGAGAAAGCCATTAGGGGGAGAGAATGACTAAGAGAGAATCCCAGGAATGAGAAAAATGTAAAAATTATTTCTCTTTTGAGAACATACAGAGTAATCTGTCTCTCTTCATATAACAAACTGTTTATAGAGAGATAAAGGCTCTGAAATCTCCAGTGTGTCTGATTAGGCCTCATCTCTCTAAGCATGAAAGAAAGGGCATTGGGAGGTCATGACCTTCTGACCTTGAATTCATTTGCATTTGTACCCACAAAATTCTAACTCTATAAGGAAATTCCAGGAGAAAGCATTGGGGCCAGGTTAATTTTAGGAAGAAACACATCCAAACTGTTCCAGAATCTGTGCCTCAAGTTTATGCCAGCTAGAATGACATTTTGAACTATCTTACAAAATATCTTCCCTGTTATGCATACTCTGAGGGCATAAGTGAGTTATCCAAAAAGAAAATCAAGAAAAACAATAACAATAGTGAAAAGAATTTGTTCAAGTTGCATAGTATCTTTTAGGTAATACTCCCCCTTCATGATGGCAGAAAGAACAGAGGGGAAAAAATTGAGCTATTGAAAACACCACTGAGTCAGTGGATTATGTCTTACCTGAAGCCCACTCCACCTCTTGTCTTTCCACTTGTATGAGCCAATAAATTTTTTTTAGTTCTTAAACTAGTTTGAATTGAGTTTTCTGTTGTTTGTAACTAAAAGCATTCAAACTGATGAAATACACATATTAAGCCATTCACAGTGAGCTAGACAGGTACTTTTAAGTTTCAAGGAACACACTGAGATTACCTCAGTCGGAGCTTATTAAAGGATAACTAGGAATATAAGGAAAACATGAGTTTCCACTGGTGAACAGCCAGGTCTCACAGAAAATGTGACATCTTTCTGGTCACAACACAAACACACAGAAACAAAAGGTCATTTCAGAGGATGCAGCTCTAGAGATGAGATTTTCTTACAGTCTGTGTGATTCTACCATAATTATAATCCAGTATACCTCTGTCCCTATGTATCTAGCTTTTCTTCTTCCTCTAATGTTTGTTTATATTGGGTCCTTGAAAGTCTGGTAATCGTGGATGGTCTGTTTATATTTAATAATGAGGCAGTGAGCAGTGTGGGGCTCTGTGCATACCGCAAGGCTTTGTTGACTTGTACTTCACTTCTGAGAAAGCATTACACTCAGGGGCTCCTCCATTCCAGAATAAAGAAGTCTTTACTCCATAGCCATCTGATGTCTTTTGAGAGGACATTTCTGGATGTTTGCCTGAGAAATAGATGCCTGGCTGCTAGGACTTACATATGGAAGCTATGTGTGCATGCGTGTGTGTCTAGAGTGTGCATGTGGGTGTTTATGTCTGTGTATCTGTGCATGCCTGTGATGGTGGTGATAATGTCGGTTGTTCCAATACCCAGCTTTCGCTCCTGACATTTTACTTCCACTCTCCATTGTACCTAGGATTTCAATGTTACCAAGCTTCTCTGCAGTTTTGGTGGATAGGATAGCTCCCTCCTCTGCTGTAGTATCATAGACCTAGGACACTGCTTCTCAAACTAACTGCAAAGGGTCAGGTGATTTGTTTTTTAACTTCCAATGTGTCACTGACCAATGCACTAAAAATAAATTACTAGAAAAATGACATGCTTGGATGTTGTGTCAGTGTTCAATTGCTATAAAGATTTTTAAAGGTTAAGTTTTAATTTGTGTGTGTGTGGACCAGGCTGCAGACCACACTGTGGGGAGCATTATTCCAGGTGTAATGCATACAGAAACAATGCATCACGCGGATGCTTGTTTAAAATGCAGAATTTCGGCATCACCTCGACCTACTGAATCAAAATCTTCAATTTAACCAGACCCCCAGGTGATTTCTATGCACTTTAAAGTTTTTAGGCAGTTTCCACTCCATCTGTTTTTTGTCTTCCAGGAACGTGCTGCTGTATCGCTACCTAGAAAGCCTTTGCTTCAGAGCTTCAGACAGCTAGCATCTTCTCCTCATTCAAGTCACTGGTCAGATGACACCTCTGTAGAGAAGACGTCTTTGGCTCACCAGTAAGTTAGTAGCCCCTTCTCACCTCACATTGCACTGTATTGTTATCTCTGCAGCATTTATCACTATTTAAAATTGTTGCAGTCTCCCTCCTGTCTCCTACCACCATCCAGCTAGAATGTAAGCTCAATGAGAGCAGAGATTTTGTCTGTCTAATGTCCTGTCCTTTCCCCAGTGCCAGCACAGTGCCTGGCAGGTAATAGGCACTCCATGCTGCCTACACTCTGCTTCTTCGTTCCTCAGGAATTCTGCTCACTCTGAGCTTCTGTGTATTGCTTTCTCTGTATGTCTCTGAGTCTGTAATAGGAAGCCCAACTCAAACTGGCTTATAAAATTAAAAAGATGTTGGCATATGTAATAGGAAAGGTACAGAGTGAATGCAGTGATTAGGTCTAGTTCAGTGAGGGTGCAGGCCCCAGCTCTCTCTGATTCTTCTGCAATAATCAGAAAGAACTTCTGATTCTTCATGTGTCAGCTTATGGCCAAGCTGATCACTAGATAACCATCTCAGTTCCAGCTCTCAGATGCACAGAGAGTTATGTCCAGAGACCATCCATTGCAATCTCTCTCTTTTTAAAGAGTAACTCGGCCAAAAACCTCCAACAGTATTCCTTCAGCATTCCTTAGGCTGAATTGGATCATAGGCCTGTTCTAAACATATATGCACGTGGTATAATTACAAGCAATAAAATGCGCAGATCTGAAGTGTACAATTCAATAAGTTTTGACAATTATATACGCCCCCCATAGACAGTAACCAAACCATGATGTAGAATGGTCCCATCACCCCAGAAAGTGTCCTTGTGTCCTTTCCAATCAACCAGGAGTAGTAACAGTGCCTTGCCAAGCCATATTGAAATCTGAAACAAAACGAACAACAGCAATAGTGATCCTGTCTTTAAGATGTTGATGTTTTATTCATTGTGGATTTTTTACATTTTTTTTAAATATTACATTAAAATATGATTCCTCTTGATTACTGGGGTTGTTTGGTATTCCCTCCTTTAATTTTGTGCCCAGGAAGACGCCTCATTCATCTCACTTGCCTCTCCCTAGTTGCAGCCCCACAGCTTTTAAATCTCTCCATATGATCTCTTTGTATGGTCTTCTCCATATGGTGGCCTTCTTCATGAAAGCCAAACTTCTTTGATGGCAGCTGAAGGCTCCCAGAGCAAATGGCCAAGAGAAGCCACCAGGCCAGCTGCATGCCTTGTCTAATCTTGCCTTGGATGTCACACAGTGTCACTTCTGCCATAGTTCATTTATTGAGGCAGTCACAAAGGCCCACCAGGCACACACAAAAAAGGACATAGACCCTATCTCTTGATAGAGAAGTGTCAAAGAACTTACATGAACCCTATTGCTTTTATAGGCATTTTGAGGGTTTAGTGAATAGCCCTTACTTTTGAGTGTTAAATATCCCTGTACAAATTTTTGAAAAAAAAAATGTATCTTGCATTCAATTTAAAGCATCTCATCTTTGCCCTCAGGTTTAGTTGATTGTTGGTTTAATTCACCCTGACTTCTCTCAATTTACTCACTGCTGTTTCTAACTCTTCTAAGTTTAGGTTAAGGAGCTGGGGATGAGATGAAAAGGAACAAAAATATCTTTTTACTTGGCTGAGTGTTGAAAACTGTCTTCTATGGCAGATCTCCAAAGGCTGGCACTTTCTCTTATGGGGCGGTTTAGTGAATTGTTTGGAGACCTTCTCCACTCTGGCTTCTTCGATCTCTACCTTTTATGGGGATGATGTAACGTTCCTGATGACCTCATAAGATTCGCCTTCAAATCCTGCTTTCCTGGTACACCCCACACAAACTCTTCCTGATAGAGTCCACTCATCCCAGCAGGCAGTTTTTCTGGGAAGTCCTTTCAAAATGGTGCTAGTCTAGACACACTACCTTCCAAGTTGCCTGTAGGTGTCACAGAAAAACTCAGCAACTCAGCTTCACCCAAATCTACAGATTTTTCTTGGACCTGCCATCTTAGGCAATTCTTGGCAGCCTCCCACATTCAGACCTTTCTAGGATAGAGTCAGGTGGTAAACTCTGTGCTCTCCAAACTCTGGGGGATCCAGATCAACTTTCTCTGAAGACTTTCTGCCATGCTGTGTTTCAATAGCTGCACTCGAAATTTCCTTTATCCACAGTGAAAACGGAAAAAAACTAGTGAAATTGGCTATAGTTTCTTTACTGCCTTTCTCCTCCAACTTCATTTGCTTCTGACTTACTTTTCTGCATATCTTTTTGCATCTTGCATTTAGTGCTTTTCTTCTAGGTCCAACATTTCTGCGAGTAGTGTGTGAACTTAGCAACCCCCTAACCTTGACCCAACCACAAAAACACACTTTTTCAACTGCTTTAAGGCCATCTTTACCCAAATAACTTTTGCACTAGTTTGCCTGACTTGATATAGTTTGGATCCAACAAATATTCTCACATAGTTTCTTCTTCCTGATGTTTTCTCTTCTCTTGGATTCCAAGTAATTCTTCTCTCCTGCTTGTTTCCTCCCAATCTTCTTTCTGCATATAAAATTTGTTTTAAAATGTTTTATTATTCTCCATGTTGGTATTACTTTTATTTTTAGAGCCTTCTGAGAAAGAAAAATTATTCTTATCAAAATGGTTGTACCTTGAAATCTTGACATTTTGATTATAGCCACTTTATCAAAGCAAAATTTTTAATTTATACATTTTGTCATTGCTCAGATTCCCTAGGAAACATGAAGTTTACTGGAGAATAGCCTTGGAGTCAACAACTGGGTGAGGGGATTGTGAAAGTAGAATTGGGCAAAGAGAGGCATCAAATGTTATAGTATGAGGCAAAGGCTTCAGTAGATCCTATATGGTACTCTGGAACTAACAGGGCCCTTTAGAGTTGTCCCACCTTGATGAAAAGGATTGGCCTTTGATAGGCCTACAGAAATTGCCTAATTTATTAAAAATTATTCCCAAAGATTGTTTCAACATTATCATCCTTATCTACACCTTTGTGGACTTTGCTGAAACTGCTTTTCCTAATTCTGTAGTTGGTTTTCAAGAGTTTTTCAATTAAAATGTAATTATATTGAGTGGATTTATTACAGGTAGTTAGACAGGCATGAGCGGGGCAGGAGAGGCCTCTTCCTCCATCCACTAGGAGTGTTGGGTGATGGTTCAGCAATTACTTCATTGCCTCTATAAGTGTGATACGTTGGCAGCCAGCACCAGGGAGAGGCTATTTCCTCATGGTCCACACCTGTTACACTACAGTGTTCATTGATTGCAGACGCCAGGTGGACACAACTTCCCAGGTGTACACATTAAGAGACAAAATGGCAGAATAATGACTTTCTGGGAATACTCTAGCAGAAAAGGGAAGAAAGCCTCAGAAAGACATGTGTACAACTTCCTAAACACACTGTGCATGCTCACTTCCCAAGGGTAAGGAGGGCACTGCACATGCAGGCAGTCCACCCTATGGGAAGAATCATGTGAAAGGAGCCAGCCTATAAAGTCCTAGGATCAAGGTTAAACATCGCACTTAATCTTCAGGTGCCCGCCTGGGTCTCTTCCAAGCGTACTTTCCTTTCTTTCCTGTTTTGAGCCTTTTCAAATACTCTTCCACATACCTGCTCTGAAATTTGCCTTGGTCTCTTTTTCTGCCGTATGCCCCTCAGTTTAATTCTTTCTTCTCAGGATGCAAGAATTTGTTGCTGCAGACCTGTACAAATTCACCACTGGTAACTCAGATACCTTCCACCAGTAACAGGTCCTGCCAACTTCCCTCCTTTCTATGCACAATGGGCCAGGGCAAATCCAGTCAGAACATTGGGTAAATGGTGCAATCCTGAGTACAGCAAGATTAGGGTACAGTCAACCCATAAAAGTGTTTTCAAGTGGAAGGAGACAAAAGGATGACTGATTCAAGCCTAGGAAAACAAAAATAAAGATCAAGTCCAAAGGTAGAAGGAGGGTAATCAACAGGAAAGGTAGTTGGATATCAGGAGCAGGACAGAAACTGGAGTGGGGAAGAAACTAGGGCAGAGGAAGAGTAGGACACAAACAATGCAATTGCTACAAATAGCACCCAGTGACCACAGTTTGCCTATATTGGTCATTTAGCCTTGAATATTTGGTGAATGAACTTGTTAGCATGGCTTAAAAGTATATAAAAAAGAGGAAACATTTTCATACTTGGGGTTATTTCAAGAGAAAAAGTATAAGCCAAATAGGAAATCAGACCAATATTCATTCTATGTAAAACAGGCCACAATTATAGAATCTAAGAAAGCAAGCCCTGGACTCAAAAAGCTTTAGTTTGACTCTGGAGCCAGGACTTACTTTCTTGGGCAAATTGCTTAACTTTCCTAAACTCGTTTCCCATCTGCAATGACAATGACACTATCTGACAGAATTGTGAAGAGTCAGAGAACTAACCCTTGTAAACTGCAAACACAATGCCTGGTATGTAATAAGTGCCCATCAGTAGCTAGATATGATGATGGTAATGCTAATGGTGATAATGGTAATGGTGATGATTATGAAGAAGAAAATAGAGTGATTATTATTATTTGAGACAGGATCTTGCTCTGTCACCCCGGCTGGAGTGGAGTGATAGAATTCTGGCTCATTACAACCTAGACCTCCCAAGTTCAAGTGATCCCCACAGAGTAGCCTCCAGAGGCTCAGCCTCCAGAGTAGCTGGGGCTACCTGCATGCACCACCACACCTGGCTAATTTTTTTTTTTTTTCTTTTTTTGTAGAGACAGGTTCTCACTATGTTGCCTAGGCTGGTCTCAAACTCCTGGACTCAAGCAGTCCTCCTGCCTCAGACTCCCAAAGTACCAGGATTACAGGCATGAGCCACCACACTGGGCCTAGAGTAATTTGAATGGCACCTGTAACATACTCCTGTCCCCAAATGTCTACCTCATTGTCCTGTAAATGCTAATCATTTTCTTCTGGATTTAGGTTGTAAAAATATTAATGGACCTTGTAATGCAGAATTCTCATAAGCAAAACATTTTTATTATAACAGAAAATTTGCTTCCAGATCCTTTCCTATATGATAACTAGGAAAATGATAAAGATAAAAATCCAGGCAAAATGCCTGAGTACCTACAGCCTAGGAAGTTTAATTAACTGAACCAAAATCTCACAGCTACAAAGTATTAAGGTAGGAGTTTGAACCCCTCCAGTCTGAGCTTAGAGCAGTGGTTTGAAGTCCTCATTGTGAATCAGAATGCCATGAATGATTTAAAAAACCATACAGATTCCCAATTCCACCTCAGATCTCTCTTTCTGTTTAGTTTAAGTAATTTCCCCCAAATGATTCTAATGTGTAGCAGTGCTGAGACATACTGGAGGAACCCAGAAAGAAAAATAAAAGGTGAGTTATGCCAATTTTAATTTGAAATTAAAAAAAAAATGTATTTCAACATCTGTCTTACTTAGGAGACCTAGCATGGCTGCTACACTCTGGCAAAAATCCATTCTAGAAACAAGAGGAAAGCGTGGATTTGGCAGTCAATAACAATGGTTGGGGGGCAGTGGTCCCTGCTACTCCAGAGGCTGAGGCAAGAGGATTGCTTGAGCCCAAGAGGTTGAGGCTAGCCTGAACAATATAAGGAGACCTCATCTCAAAACAAACAAACAAGAAACGGCAGCAAAGACATGAGATACTATTGGTGGGTGGGAATTGAATTGCAGAAGCCTCGAGTAAATTAGCTACAGATCAATGTGGAAGGTTTTTTGTTTGTTTGTAAATCTGCAAAGGAGAAGAAAAAACATCATAATAAATACTCATGTACCTATCATCCTGATTTATCAACTGTTTGTACCTTGCCACACCCATTCCATCCCCCTCAATATGGGCACACACACTTTCCTTCTGCCAAATCATCTACAAGTAAGCTACAGATGTCATGAAACTATATTCTTAAATACCTGTGTAAGAACAGTCTCTTACACAACAACATCCTCATTGCCACACCTAAAAAAATCAGCTCTTAGCCGGGTGCAGTGGCTCACGCCTGTAATCCCAGCACTTTGGGTGCTGTGTAATCCACAGGCAGGTGGATCATGGGGTCAGGAGATCGAGACCATCCTGGCTAACACGGTGAAACCCCGTCTTTAATAAAAATACAAAAAATTAGCCGGGCATGGTGGCAGGTGCCTGTAGTCACAGCTACTTGGGAGGCTGAGGCAGGAGAATGGCGTGAACCCAGGAAGCACAGCTTGCAGTGAGCCCAGATCGCACCACTGCACTCCAGCCTCTGGGCAACAGAGCGAGACTCTGTCTCAAAAAAAAAAAAAAAAAAAAATCAGCTCTCAGACTCCTGGGCTCAAGCAGTTCTCCTGCCTTGGCCTTAAGCATTAATTTGATATCAGTATCCAAAAGATAGTCACAATCAAATATTGTAACCATATTTAAAGTGTCATTCTTAGCTGTGTTTTAAAATCCCAGCATCCAAACAGGGTTTGCATTGCATTTCGTTGTTTTGTCTTTGTAGTGTATACACATGACCACCACCACCAATCCTACTCCCTGATTTCTCTCAGCTTTTCATTAAATTGAATCCTTTGAGAAACCCAGGCCAATTGTCTATAGAATATCCCATATTCCAGATTTATCAGATTTTTTTCTTATGATCAGACTAAAGTCAATGTCTTTGGTAGGAATATTATAAATGATGTATACTTTCAACTACATTATATTAGGAGGGAATACTATCAGGCTATCCCATTAGTGACAATTCCACGCTTGACCACTTGGGTAATGGAGTGACCCCAAGTATCTCCATTGCAAATGCATATTCTCCTCTTGGTAATGATTGATAAATCTATGATGTGATAAACTGGAGCCATGTGAACAACCTATTTCCCAACAAACTTCAATCCATTAGTCATTCTTGGCTGAATAAGCTGTTAAATTGTAGGTACCCCATTAAACTAAAAATTGTGGTTTTTGTAATAATGTTATTCTTTGTGTGTGCTAGCTAGTGGTTTTTTTGTAAAGATGAGTTTTTCCTTTTTCTCCTTGGGCATTCTCTCTTACATTTTTTTTTATATATATATAGTGCTATAATATCAATTATTTATTCTATAGAATTATATGTTAATATGCATTATATAATATTTTATTTATTTACAACTAAATGTTGGTATCCATTACTGTCATTATTCTTTTTTTGGTTGTCAAGTTGTCTCAAATTTGTCCAATGATAATCCCTTGAAAATGCTGACTGCATCTTTTTGAGATGATACCATTAATCGTGAGCACTTTTTATTTCCTGAAATAAGATATTCCAGGCTAATCTTTTACTTCCTTTTTCTTTCTTTCTTTTCTTTTTTTAAAGACAGGGTCTTGCCCTTTTGTTCAGGCTGGAGTCCAGTGGTGTGATATCAGCTTACTGCAACCTCCACCTCCCGGGCTCAACGATTCCTCCCACCTCAGCCTCCCAAGTAGCTGAGACTACAGGTGTATGCCACCACACCCAGCTAATTTTTCTAATTTTTGTAGAGATGGAATTTTGCCATGTTGCCCAGGTTGGTCTTGAAATCTTGGGTTCAAGCAATATGCCTGCCTTCTCCCAAAGTGCTGGAATTACAGGCATGAGCCATCATGCCTGGCCTTACCTTTCACTTTCTTTGTCCTAGTCCTGGAATTGGCCATTTCTCCAAAGGGGCCTGTTTTCTTTCATGGGGGAATAATATCTAGAAACAATCTAGATATTAGGGGTGCAGGAGAATTCTGTCTCTCAACAATGTGTCTTAGGGATAATCACTGTCTGCTTGCCACTTCACTGCAGAAATTGGCAGCAAAGCTCAGCCTGCCAAGCACTACTTGTAATATTTCAGTAGCACAAAGAGTTGATGAAAGCAGATGAGAATGGTCCAGGCTCCCTCAAGCATTCATGTCTAATCCTTTTTCCTCTCCAAAGCCTCCGGACTGGTGGATTATAACCTAGCAAGACTGTTTCTGTCAATGTTGTTTATCCCTAAGGGGTTAAGTGTTGAAGGTTGATGAGCGTTTTGGCTGGAGGAGGGATAGCAAAGCCAATTGAGAAACAGAGATTCTGTGGTGCCTAGGGCACTCTGCCTTGGGGCTCATGCCCTTCCCTCTTTTAAAATTTACTGACAATGATTAGAATATGGTCTTCTCCTTTATTTTTATCAGCAGAGATATCAGTCTGTTGATGCCTCGAGGGAATGTAAACTCACAGAGCAAAATAACTAGACAAAGGAGAAAGAAATAGCTATTAAAACAACAACATTAAAAATACAACAAATGATTTCTGAATGTATTTAAGAAGATAAAGGAACATATTTGTAATATATGACAAAGATAAGAAATTAGAAAAAAATGTAAATATTAGGTATAAAATATACATTGATATAAAAAGAATGGATGGAATAAATTTTAGGATGGATATAGTTGGAGAACAAATTAGTGAGATGAAAGATCAAATTGATAAACTGTCTTAGAAACTGGCAGGAAGGAATAAAGCAATAGAAGTTGAGAGAGAGTGTGTGAGATAGATAAAGCATTAAGGTATGTGAAGGATAGAAGCAGAAGTACCAATATCTTAATAGGTTTAGATAGTGACCAGAAATAGAAAGAAAAACAAGGGAAGAATATTTGAGGAAATAATAGATATATTTTCCCAAACTTAAAGATAAATGAAATACTTCATCCTGAAAGGATCTATAGAGCACAAATGGGGGAGAGAAAATAAAAACCCCACATATAGAAAATTATAATGAATTTAGGAGTAATATAAACAAAAGATAATTCTAGAAGCTTCCTGAGAAAACATATCATTGACCAAAAATCTGAATTATACTGAAATTAGACTTAGTAGCAGCACTGGAGGCAATGTGATAAACTGTCCAAAGCATTTCAAGTAGAGAACTTTGGGGCTAACATTTTGTAACCTGACAAACTATGGTTCAAAATGAGAGCATAATCAAAATAATTTCAATCCCACAATCTTGAAAGTTTTTCTCCTTAAACTCAGAATACAGAAGGAAGTTACCAGATATGAAGAACAACAAAACCAGAACACACTACAAAATGAGAAAATGTGGAAAATAAAGGTAATCAAATTGCAAGTAACGAGTTTATTGCTGCCAAAACAAAAACAAACAAAAAAACACAAAAAATCCAACAATTACGGATTAAAATGAAAAGGAAAAAAATTGTATCCACAACTTCCATGATGTGAACATACACGAAAACATTTCTTATTTTATTATGGGGAAGATAAAAATATTATAGTTTTAATAAATCAATAGAGGCTGATGCAGTGGCTCATGCCTGTAAACCCAGTACTTTGGGAGGCCGAGGTGAGCAGATCACTTGAAGTCAGGAGTTTGAGACTAGCCTAGCTGACATGACGAAACCCCATCTCTGCTAAAAAATAACAAAAATTAGCCGGGTGTGGTGGTGCATGCCTCTAATCCCAGCTACTTGGGAGGGTGAGGCATGAAAGTCGCTTGAACCCAGGAGGCAGAGGTCACAGTGAGCCAAGATTGCACCACTGCACTCCAGCCTGGATGACAAAGTGAAACTCTGTCTCAAAAAAAAAAAAAAAAAAATTAAAAATTAAACAATTAAAAAAAATTTTTTTTAAATTAGCTCTATGTCATGGTGCATGCCTGTAGTTCCAGCTGCTTGGGAGGCTGAGGCAGGAGAATAGCTTGAGCCCATGAGTTTGAGGCTACAGTGTGCTATGACTGCACTCCAGCTTGGGTAATAGAGTGAGACCCTGTCTCAAAAAACAAACAAAAAAACAAAAACAGAAAAACAAATATGGCTTTTAAGACAGAGACAATTACATACACAGAAAGCTGGAATATCAACCTTAACAGTTAACAAAATAAAATTTAAAGCAAAAAAAAGTCACCAGGACAAAGAAAGCTTTTTTTATACTGGCAAAAAAGAATACCAGATGAAGAAAATATAATTGTTATAAATATATAGGCACCTAATAATACAGACTCAAAATATATAAAGTTATAGTTGTTAGAATTCCCTTCTCAGTAATTTTAGTTAGAAATTTTAACACATTCCTTGCAAAAATTCATATGTCAAAGATAAAATGCAGAAATATCAAATAACTGAGCACCATAAGTTTGAATAATCAGATATACAGAAAACGGTATCCCAAATAAAAATTATATATTATTTTTGAGCACACATAAAAATTTACAAAAATAGGTATGTATTAGGCAAAAGAGAAGCCTAAATAACTTCCAAAGAATCAATATTGTGCATAACATATTCTTTGACGGTGATACACACAAGGAAATAAAATTACAAATTAATAATGAAATTCCAGCTTTTTAAAAAAAATCACACAGTGTTAAATATCAGGTTAAAAATGAAAGCATAAAATAATTTAAGAAATATTTAGAACTCAGTAATAATCGACCGAATTATTTACTAAACCACCCCTAAATCAGGCAGTTTAAAGCAATAAGCATTTATTATTCTTTACGTGTCAGCTGAGTGGTTCTGCTAATCCTAATCAGGCTTGGTTAATCATGGCTGAGTTCAATCATGCATCTGTAGTCAGCTGACAGGTTGGTCTGAGGCTGACTGATTTAGGATGGCTGTAGCTAGGCCAGCAGGGGTGACTGACCATGTGCCTTTCACTTTCTTGCAGACTAGATCAGGCTTGTTCCCATGGCAGCAGTACAGTTTAAAGAGTGTGAATACAAGCATTCTTAAGGTCTAGGCTCACAACTGGCACATTGTCACTTCTGCTATATTCTGTTAACCAAATCAAGTCATGAGACTAGCTCAGATTAAAGAAGTGGGGAAAGACCCATTAATGATGGGAGGGGCAGCAAAGTAACATTACAAGGGGTTTTGGTATAGAGCGGGGAATAAATGGAGGCATTTTGCAATCAATCTATGGCATAATGAAAATAATGTTTGTCGGCCCGGCGTGGTGGCTCACACCTGTAATCCTTGCAATTTGGGAGGCCGAGGTGGGCGGATCACGAGGTCAGGAGATCGAGACCATCCTGGCTAACACGGTGAAACCCCATCTCTACTAAAAATACAAAAAATTAGCCGGGCGTTGTGGCAGGCACCTATAGTCCCAGCTACTTGGGAGGCTGAGGCAGGAGAATGGCATGAACCCGGGAGGCAGAGCTTGCAGTGAGCCGAGATCACGCCATTGCACTCCAGCCTGGGCAACAGAGCAAGACTCCATCTCAAAAAAAAAAAAAAAAAAAAGTTTGTCAAATTTGGGGAACTTAAAGTCATACAGGAAAATTATTAGGTTTAAATAATTTGGGAACAAAAATATTTTGAATAAATGAGCTAAGCATTCAACAAAACAACTTGAAAAAGATCTAGTAAGCAAACATAAAAATAATACAGATAAGGGAAGAAATCAGTAACATGAAGAACAAAGAGATAAAGAGACATAAAGGAACAGAGGGAGAGAGATGAAATGACAGAATGAACAAAGCCAAAAGCAGTTATCTTCATAAAGATTAATAAGATCCATCAGTCACTGGTGAAATTAATCAAAAACAAGAAACCAATTCAAACAAAATACAAAATGAAAAATAGAATATAATTTCAGACACAACAGAAATTTAAAAATAATAAGAGTATTATGAACAACTGTATGCTAAAACAATGGAAAACGTGAATGAAATATATACATTTCTAGGGATAATATAAAAACAGATTGATTCAAGGAAACTGAAAACTTGAATCTACCATTCAGTATTAAAGAAAGGTAGTGATTAAAAATTGTTCCTTTCCAAAAATCTCACATCCAGATGGTTTTATAACCTTTAAATAAAGAGCTAGGTATTATCTTATAGCAAGTGATTTCAGAAAATAATAATTTTAAAAATCATCCAGCTTCATTTTTTGGGTAGATGTATTACAATTTCAAAACCAGAAAGCAACAATAGAAGAAAATAGAACCCATTTTGTTACCATCCAGGGGTTTGGTCTAGGTCCTGCTTCTGGGTGCACAGAAAGCCAGTAACTGAGATAATGTGTATTGCCAAGGAAGAAGGCTTTAAACGGGTGCTGCTGCAGTGGGGGAGACCAGAGTTCAGTGTCAAATCTATCTCCCTGACCAACTAAAACTAGGGGTTTATATAGCAGGGAAGAAATGTAACAATGTGTAAGAAAACAGGGATTGGAGAGGAGCCAGGAAGCAATCTGATGAATGAGGGGTCCTGCATCTCATTGTCTGGATGTGGTGATCTGTTGAGTTTCTGTTCTTTGATACTTTTTTTTGAGAGGCCTGAAAGAAGTCCTGAGGAAGAAACTCAGATAAAACAAATATGTTTCAGTCTTTAAGACCAGAAGAGTTTATTTCTATATTCATCAAAAATAATTGTCTATGGAACAATTGGGTCAGTTTCAATATCACTTAGACTATAGAGATAAAATTTGTAAATAATGTATTAAATATTTAATCTAGCAGCATATTAAAAATATCTGATGATCAGTAAGAGTTTAATCTCAGGAATGCAAGAATGGGTCAATATTAGAAAATCTATTAGTCAAATTCACTACATTATCAGACTAAAGGAGAATAATCATTTATTTCAGTCATAGCTCAAAAGCATATTAACAAAAAAGCAGCACCTGCTTGTAATAAGAACTCTTTAAAAGACAGAAATAGAGGAAATGATTTTAACTGCAATAAATGTTTTATATTATAAATATAGAGCAAAATTTTATTTTTAACATGTAATCTTGAGATGTATTACCTTCGGGATTAAGAACAAGACTAGGTTTCTTATCACAGCTCTTTGTTTAGCATTATCCTGGAGGTCATGGACAATGCAAAAAGGAAATAAAAAGAAATGAATTGGAAAGATGGAAAGAAAGAGATGATATTGTTACTATTTCAAATAGAAATGATCATCTACTTAGGATAAAAAAAAGTGATGCCAAGGTTTGATTTTCAAAAACTTGAAAACATGACTGTCATACAAATGTAAAATATGTATGTGGTAAAAATTGATTTAACTTATTAATAAGGGAACCAGCAGAATATTAAGTGGGTTTCAAAGGAGTCACAGTTAGGGTATGAGGGATGAGGAGGGGAATGCTGAAATATACTGAAGGGAAATAAGGTGGAATAAGATTGCTTCATTACATTTTAAACTGACACATATTCTACAGAGCAATAAACCTGTAATCTTAAAATGCAATTCTTTCTACTGGACAGAAATAATTTGCATCATACTAGACGTAATTCATTTGCATTGCTTTTGGACAAGAATCCTAGTTTTTTGTTTGTTTTTACAAATTAACATTTTCCTTTATAAAAATAATAAAACATCTCGATCAATAGCAAATAAGTCAAACAAAGGTACATGCCCTTAGAGAATGAGATAATCCTTGGGTGGATCTACAAGAAACACCTCAGAATGTTTTGAAATGATAAACAGTCATTTCTTTCATATACTTCCAAGCTTCAGATATTTTTTCTTAATGGTATCAACAAATAAACCACTAGAACTTGGAAGTAATTTAAAAATTTGCCAAAGTTGCTAGAAACAAGATAAACAGAAAAATCATTAGCATTTTTCTACATCAGTAATAATCAACTAGAAAATACACTAAAAAATAAGATATTCTTGGGCGGGGCACAGTAGCTCACACCTGTCCTTCCAACACTTTGGGAGGCTGAAGCTGAAGGATCATTTGATCCTAGGAGTTTGAGACCAGCCTGGACAACATAGAGAGACTCTGTCTCTGCAAAATAAAATTAGTCAGGGATGGTGATGCACACCTGTGGTTCCATCTACTCAGTGCGGGGTTGAGGGGGGTGCTGAGGTGAGAAGATTGCTTGAGCCCACAAGGTCGCGGCTGCAGTTAGCTGTGATCACTCCACTGCACTCCAGCCTGGGTGACAGAGGCAGATGCTGTCTCAGAAACAAACAAAAAAAACCAGACCAAACCAAACAGATACTCTTCACAATAGGAAGAAAAATTGTAGAATATATAGGATTTAACTAAGAATATTCAAACCTCTATGGAGAAACATAAAACTCTAAAAGGAAATAGTACTTAGTAGCTCTTGTTGGTGAAGCATGTCGGATCAATTTCATAGGTACTTAGAATTGTGGGAGTTACACATGTAGGCACCAGAATGTTTGTGATTAAAGGAATCTCGAAAGTAAAAATCTTACCAGAGATGGAGGATGAATTCCTGGCATTAAAAACCATAGGAATACAGATACAGATTTCAGAAACAGCTGTGTGCATGCATAAAACCTCTACTGACTTAGTGTATCTGTGACCCAGATAACCTGTGGAACCTTGCAGAGAGAGGACACTAGAGAGGGAGGCTGACCTCAAAAGTTTGGAGGAGCCTTCCCATATGAAGAAGCTTAGACTTTATCTTATAGGATAAGCATAATCAGTAAGTTGTTTCTTGCATTTAAATAGCTCGATAAGATTGGCATTATCATTATCATTATTATTATTGAGAAAGGGTCTCACTCTGTTGCCCAGGATGGAGTGCAGTGGTGTGATCATAGCTCACTGCAGCCTGGAATTTCTGGCCTCAGGTGATCCTCCCACTTTCGTCTCCAGAAGAGCTGCAACTACAGGTATGCACTTCCCTGCCAGGCTAATTTTTTTTTGTAATAACAGGTCTTGCTATGTTGCCTGTGCTGGTCTGAAACTCCTGGCCTCTAGTGGTCCTCCCACCTGAGCCTCCCAAAGCACTGGGATTACAGGCATGAGCCACTGTGCTAGGCAAGACTGGTATTTGCAGAGATCACTTTGGCTCAGCATAAAGGGTGTATTAAGGCAGAGTGTGGTGGCTGCTGCCTGTAATCCCGAAGATTTGGGAGGCCAAGGTGGGAGGACTGCTGCAGGCCGGGAGTTCCAGATCAGCCTGGGTGAGACACTGTCTCTACAAAAAAAAAATTTTAATTTGAAAAAAAAAAAAGAGTGGATTAAAGGGATAAAAGACTTACACAGGAAAGGCATTATAAATAGGTAATTGTAATTAACGTTTATTGAGTTTACACTAAATACAAGGCACTGTGCTAACTCTGCATAGGTTACTGAATCTCAATTAAGAGGCTGTTGTAGTAAATCAAGTGAGACATGATGGGAACATGAAGTTTGAAGGTAAAGAGGGGGGGATTTATCTGAGACACACTGGAAATGTGACATTTGTAGAACTTGTGTTATTGATGTTTGGGAATGTGGGCAAGGGTAATAGTGGAAGTGAGAGTTAAGGGAAAATGAAAAGAGGATAATGTATATGTTTCTGGTTTGGGGGATTAAGATGATGTTACAGACATTCAGGCAAAGGTTGAAGGAGAGAGATTTGGTAGAAATTAATGAATTAAATTTTGAATATGGCCCAGGTGTGGTGGCTCACACCTGTAATCCCAGCACTTTCGGAGGCCGAGGTGGGTGGATCACTTGAGGTCAGGAGTTCGAGACTAGCCTGACCAACATGGTGAAACCCTGTTTCTACTAAAAATACATTTAAATTAGCCAGGCATCGTGGTGTGCACCTGTAATCCCAGCTACTCAAGAGGCTGAGACATGAGAATCGCTTGAACCTGGGATGCAGAGTTTGCAGTGAGCCGAGATTGCGCCGTCGCACTCCAGCCCGGGTGGCAGAGAGAGGCTCCGTCTCAAAAAAAAAAAAAAAATATGGTGAGTTTGAGGTTTCTGTGAGACATTCAAATAAAGTTGTCTTGTAGCTGGCAAAGTCATATGATAGAGAGTTAGAGAGTATTGACAAGCTAAGGGTAGGAAAGATGTACTGATCTTGGAAAACATATTTTGGCCTCAGTGGAAGTTTTATGAATCAGTCTGAAACTCCATTGTAATAAAAAGACTTTCCTATTGCTATAGTGTGTCCATCTTCCTATCATTTCATCACTATAGAAACTGGAGAAATAGTCGATGTTGGAAAAGGAGGTTGATGTGTTAAATGGCTCATATTATGTATAGACTTAGTGCCCTGGTTGAAAAATTCTATATGCTATAATCACACTGGTGAAATACATTAGAAAGTTATGGGGTGGGTATTACATAAATTAACTTTCCTATACAGTAGTGATAATAACTAGCATTTAACAATACCCAAACTACTTCTTATTTTAGTTTACAAAACAAACCCAAAAAGTTGTTGCTATTTGATTTAAAGATTGGCAACAGATTTTATGTAGAGAGCTGAAGTTTAAATATCTTTTTTACTAAATAACTCTTTGGTTTGGGGAAGTTTTTTGTTTGTTTTTAGTTTTTCTTTCAGAGGGATGAGAGTAGAGGCTAGTTTGTTTTCAGCTGGAGTTTAGAGAATATAATGGCCCTAATAATTTAGACATTATTATTGATCCATATTGCTCCAATTATTTTTTTATTTTTTATTTTTTAATATACTTTAAGTTTCAGGGTACATGTGCACAACGTGCAGGTTAGTTACATATGTATACATGTGCCATGTTGGTGTGCTGCACCCATTAACTTGTCATTTAACATTAGGTATATCTCCTAATGCTATCCCTCCCCTCTCCCCCCACCCCACAACAGGCCCCGGTGTGTGATGTTCCCCTTCCTGTGTCCATGTGTTCTCATTGTTCAATTCCCACCTATAAGTGAGAGCATACGGTGTTTGGTTTTTTGTCCTTGTGATAGTTTGCTGAGAATGATCGTTTCCAGCTTCATCTATGTCCCTACAAAGGACATCAACTCATCATTTTTTATGGCTGCATAGTATTCCATGGTGTATATGTGCCACATTTTCTTAATCCAGTCTATCATTGATAGACATTTGGGTTGGTTCCAAGTCTTTGCTATTGTGAATAGTGCCACAATAGACATATGTGTACATGTGTCTTTATAGCAGCATGATTTATAATCCTTTGGATATATACCCAGTAATGGGATGGCTGGGTCAAATGGTATTTCTAGTTCTAGATCCCTGAGGAATTGCCACACTGACTTCCACAATGGTTGAACTAGTTTACAGTCCCACCAACAGTGTAAAAGTGTTCCTATTTCTCCACATCCTCTCCAGCACCTGTTGTTTCCTGACTTTTTAATGATCGCCATTCTAACTGGTGTGAGATGGTATCTCATTGTGGTTTAGATTTGCATTTCTCTGATGGCCAGTGATGATGAGCATTTTTTCATGTGTCTTTTGGCTGCATAAATGTCTTCTTTTGAGAAGTGCCTGTTCATATCCTTAGCCTACTTTTTGATGGGGTTGTTTGTTTTTTTCTTGTAAATTTGTTTGAGTTCATTGTAGATTCTAGATATTAGCCCTTTGTCAGATGAGTAGATTGCAAAAATTTTCTCCCATTCTGTAGGTTGCCTGTTCACTCTGATGGTAGTTTATTTTGCTGTGCAGAAGCTGTTTAGTTTAATTAGATCCCATTTGTCAATTTTGGCTTTTGTTGCCATTACTTTTGGTGTTTTAGACATGAAGTCCTTGCCCATGCCTATGTCCTGAATGGTATTGCCTAGGTTTTCTTCTAGGGTTTTTATGGTTTTAGGTCTAACGTTTAAGTCTTTAATCCATCTTGAATTAATTTTTGTATAAGGTGTAAGGAAGGGATCCAGTTTCAGCTTTCTCCATATGGCTAGCCAGTTTTCCCAGCACCATTTATTAAATAGGGAATCCTTTCCCCATTGCTTGTTTTTGTCAGGTTTGTCAAAGATCAGATGGTTGTAGATATGTGGCATTATTTCTGAGGGCTCTGTTCTGTTCCATTGGTCTATATCTCTGTTTTGGAACCAGTACCATGCTGTTTTGGTTACTGTAGCCTTGTAGTATAGTTTGAAGTCAGGTAGTGTGATGCCTGCAGCTTTGTTCTTTTGGCTTAGGATTGACTTGACAGTGCAGGCTCTTTTTTGGTTCCAAAGGAACTTTAAAGTAGCTTTTTCCAATTCTGTGAAGAAAGTCATTGGTAGCTTGATGGGGATGGCATTGAATCTATAAATTACCTTGGGCAGTATGGCCATTTTCACGATATTGATTCTTCCTACCCATGAGCATGGAATGTTCTTCCATTTCTTTGTATCCTCTTTTATTTCATTGAGCAGTGGTTTGTAGTTCTCCTTGAAGAGGTCCTTCACATCCCTTGTAAGTTGGATTCCTAGGTATTTTATTCTCTTTGAAGCAATTGTGAATGGGAGTTCACTCATGATTTGGCTCTCTGTTTCTCTGTTATTGGTGTATAAGAATGCTTGTGATTTTTGTACATTGATTTTGTATCCTGAGACTTTGCTGAAGTTGCCTATCAGCATAAGGAGATTTTGGGCTGAGATGATGGGGTTTTCTAGATATACAATCATGTCATCTGCAAAGAGGGACAATTTGACTTCCTCTTTTTCTAATTGAAAACCTTTTATTTCCTTCTCCTGCGTGATTGCCCTGGCCAGAGCTTCCAACACTATGTTGAATAGGAGTGGTGAGAGAGGGCATCCCTGTCTTGTGCCAGTTTTCAAAGGGAATGCTTCCAGTTTTTGTCCATTCAGTATGATATTGGCTGTGGGTTTGTCATAGATAGCTCTTATTATTTTGAGATACCTCCCATCAATACCTAATTTATTGAGAGTTTTTAGCATGAAGCGTTGTTGAATTTTGTCAAAGGCCTTTTCTGCATCTATCGAAATAATCATATGGTTTTTGTCATTGGTTCTGTTTATATGCTGTATTACATTTATTGATTTGCATATGTTGAACCAGCCTTGCATCCCAGGGGTGAAGCCAAGCTTTTTGATTTGCTACTGGATTTGGTTTGCCAGTATTTTATTGAGGATTTTTGCATCAATGTTCATCAGGGATATTGGTCTAAAATTCTCTTTTTTTGTTGTGTCTCTGCCAGGCTTTGGTATCAGGATGATGCTGGCCTCATAACATGAGTTAGGGTGGATTCCCTCTTTTTCTATTGATTGGAATAGTTTCAGAAAGAATGGTACCAGCTCCTCCTTGTACCTCTGGTAGAATTCAGCTGTGAATCCATCTGGTCCTGGACTTTTTTTGGTTGGTAAGCTATTAATCATTGCCTCAATTTCAGAGCCTGTTATCGGTCTGTTCAGAGATTCAACTTCTTCCTGGTTTAGTCTTGGGAGGGTGTATGTGTCGAGGAATTTATCCATTTCTTCCAGATTTTCTAGTTTATTTGCATAGAGGTGTTTATAGTATTTTCTGATGGTAGTTTGTATTTCTGTGGGATCGTTGGTGATATCCCCTTTATCATTTTTTATTGTGTCTATTTGATTCTTCTGTCTTTTCTTCTTTATTAGTCTTGCTACCAGTCTATCAATTTTGTTGATCTTTTTTAAAAAGCAGCTCCTGGATTCATTGATTTTTTGAAGGGATTTTTGTGTCTCTATGTCCTTGAGTTCTGCTCTGATCTTAGTTATTTCTTGCCTCCTGCTAGCTTTTGAATGTGTTTGCTCTTGCTTCTCTAGTTCTTTTAATTGTGATGTTAGGGTGTCAATATTAGATCTTTCCTGCTTTCTCTTGTGGGCATTTAGTGCTATAAATTTCCCTCTACACACTGCTTTGAATGTGTCCCAGAGATTCTGGTATGTTGCGTCTTTGTTCTTATTGGTTTCAAAGAACATCTTTATTTCTGCCTTCATTTCGTTATGTACCCAGTAGTCATTCAGGAACAGGTTGTTCAGTTTCCATGTAGTTGAATGGTTTTGAGTGAGTTTCTTAATCCTGAGTTCTAGTTTGATTGCACTGTGGTCTGAGAGACAGTTTGTTATAATTTCTGTTCTTTTACATTTGCTGAGGAGTGCCTTATTTCCAACTATGTGGTCAATTTTGGAATAAGTGCGGTGTGTTGCTGAGAAGTATGTCTATTCTGTTCATTTGGGGTGGAGAGTTCTGTAGATGTCTATTAGGTTCGCTTGGTGCAGAGCTGAGTTCAATTCCTGGATATCCTTGTTAACTTTCTGTCTTGTTGATCTGTCTAATGTTGACAGTGGGGTGTTAAAGTCTCCCATTATTATTGTGTGGGAGTCTAAGTCTCTTTCTAGGTCTCTAAGGACTTGCTTTATGAATCTGGGTGCTCCTTGCTTTATGAATCTGGGTGTTTTATGAACCTGGGTGCACCCATATAAATATATACGGGTGCATATATATTTAGGATAGTTAGCTCTTCTTGTTGAATTGATCCTTTTACCATTATGTAATGGCCTTCTTTGTCTCTTTTGATCTTTGTTGGTTTAAAGTCTGTTTTATCAGAGACTAGGATTGCAACCCCTGCCTTTTTTTGTTTTCCATTTGCTAGGTAGATCTTCCTCCATCCCTTTATTTTGAGCCTATGTTTGTCTCTGCATGTGAGATGGGTTTCCTGAATACAGCACACTGATAGGTCTTGACTCTTTATCCAATTTGCCAGTCTGTGTCTTTTAATTGGAGCATTTAGCCCATTTACATGTAAGGTTAATATTGTTATGTGTGAATTTGATCCTGTCATTATGATGTTAGCTGGTTATTTTGCTTGTCAGTTGATACAGTTTCTTCCTAGCCTCGACGGTCTTTACAATTTGGTGTGTTTTTGCAGTGGCTGTTAGTGATTGTTCCTTTCCATGTTTAGTGCTTCCTTCAGGAGCTCTTTTAGGGCAGGCCAGGTGGTGACAAAATCTCTCAGCATTTGCTTGTCTGTAAAGGATTTTATTTCTCCTTCACTTATGAATCTTAGTTTGGCTGGATATGAAATTCTGGGTTGAAAATTCTTTTCTTGAAGAATGTTGAATATTGGCCCCCACTCTCTTCTGGCTTGTAGAGTTTCTGCTGAGAGATCAGCTGTTAGTCTGATGGGCTTCCCTTTGTGGGTAACCCGACCTTTCTCTCTGGCTGCCCTTAACATTTTTTCCCTTCATTTCAACTTCGGTGAATCTGACAGTTATGTGTCTTGGAGTTGCTCTTCTCGAGGAGTATCTTTGTGGCGTTCTCTGTATTTCCTGAATTTGAATGTTGGCCTGCCTTGCTGGATTGGGGAAGTTCTCCTGGATAATATCCTGCAGAGTGTTTTCCAACTTGGTTCCATTCTCCCCGTCAGTTTGAGGTACACCAATCAGACGTACATTTGGTCTTTTTACATAGTCCCATATTTCTTGGAGGCTTTGTTCATTTCTTTTTATTCTTTTTTCTCTAAACTTCTCTTCTCACTTCATTTCATTCATTTCATCTTCCCTCACAGATACCCTTTCTTCCAGTTGATCGAATCAGCTACTGAGGCTTGTGCATTCATCACATAGTTCTCACGCCTTGGTTTTCAGCTCCATCAGGTCCTTTAAGGACTTCTCTGCATTGGTTATTCTAGTTAGCCATTCGTCTAATTGTTTTTCAAGGTTTTTAACTTATTTGCCATGGGTTCGAACTTCCTCCTTTAGCTCAGAGTAGTTTGATCGTCTGAAGCCTTCTTCTCTCAACTGTCAAAGTCATTCTCTGTCCAACTTTGTTCCATCGCTGGTGAGGAGCTGCGTTCCTCAGTTGGAAATGCAGAAATCAGCCGTCCTCTGCGTCACTCACGCTGGGAGCTCTAGACTGGAGCTGTTCCTATTCGGCCATCTTGGCTCCACCCCCATCCGTATTGCTCCAATTATAACCACAGTTTTTAACTTTACTAGTTAATTATATAGAGAGAAACATACCAGTTTGTTTTTCCATTTGCCTGTGTTCTCTGGGATGCATTTCTTACCTATCTCCGCAAATACCATTTTTTTTTTTTTGAGATGGAGTCTTGCTCTGTTGTCCAGGCTGGAGTGCAGTGGCATGATCTCGGCTCACTGCAAGCTCTGCCTCCCGGGTTCATGCCATTCTCCTGCCTCAGCCTCCCAAGTAGCTGGGACTACAGGCGCCCGCCACCACGCCCGGCTAATTTTTGTGTTTCTTAGTAGAGATGCGGTTTCACCGTGTTAGCCAGGATGATCTTGATCCCCTGCTGTATGATCCACCTGCCTTGGCCTCCCAAAGTGCAGGGATTACAGGCGTGAGCCACCGTGCCCTGCCACAAATACCATTTTTTAGGTTCCTTGGCCAACTGGCCTTCAGTGGGGTTCCACCAATGGATGCGCAGAAAAAAAGAGTGAAACCAGGTTTTGCCCTCTTTCTTTTAACTTTGGGCAGCCTTTGCAGTATCTTGTCTCCTTCATGACTCTTGCTCCTGCTAAATAGACCTCCTTGATCCTGCTTTTGAGCTCTGGTAAACCTACTTTACCCTTTGTCACTTCCTCCCTAGGAGCACTAGCAGCTTCCTGCAGTAGCTGTATTTAGGAGGTCTCACCCTCCCCTCTTTGATTTCCCTGTTTTTCTGGTACCTTAGTAGCCAGTTCCTCATAATAAACTCCTTCTGTTAAACTAGCTGACACAGGCTCTGTTTTTCTGCCGAGATCCTTATATACCCAGTCACTTGTGTCCCCTTGCACACAATGAGAATCATATGGAATTCTAAGGTTCCTTTCAGCTCTTATTTTGTAGACTGCTTCCCACCACTTTCCCTCATTCATTTGTTCAACATGCATTTACTGCACTGCTCCCAAGGGCTAGCCAATATATAACAGTGAAAAAACCAGTCTTGCTCTCATAGAGCTTGTATCCTACCATATGGTAGGAAAAGCAACTGTCTCATTTTGACTAGGACTGAGGGGACTCTCTGGACACAGGACTTTCAGTGCTAAAACCAGGAAAGTCCCAGGCAAATTGGGGTGAGTTGGTCATTTGTGTTTTGGAAGATAGATAAAGAGCAACAATTATAAGAAGACGTCAGGTGGTCATAAGTGCAATGAAAAAAAGTAAAGCAGGATAAGAAGAAAAGGAGGTTCTCCACATGGTGAGGTTTCTTTTTTGATAGTGCGGTCTAGAAGACCTTTTGGATGAAATAACATTTAGCAAAGGCCTGAATGAAGATATGAAATCAATATTGCAGATATCCCGACTGGGAGGCCAAAGCTCTGAAGCAAAAATATATTTGACATGTGTATCAGTCACAGTTCCAGTGAAACAAATGACATCGTAAAAAGTAGGCAGGGACCTCGTGATCCACCTGCCTTGGTCTCTGAAAGTGCTGGGATTACAGGCATGAGCCACTGTGCCCAGCAATCATGGTGAAACCCCACCTCTACTAAAAATTCAAAAATTAGCTGGGCATGGTGTCTCATGCTGTCGCCTGTAGTCCCAGCTACTTGGGAGGCTGAGACACGAGAATCACTTGAATCTGGGAGGCGGAGGTTGCAGTGAGCCAAGATTGCACCACTGCACTCCATCCTGGTGATAGAGCTAGACTCCATCTTAAAAAAAAAAAAGTAGGCAATGAGTAGGGATACTTTGAAGATAGTATGGTACATTTGGGTTAGTAACTGTGGGACTTTTTTGCAACCCTTAGTTCTGAAGGGGCAAGAGAAGGGAGAAGTTTCCAGAACTTGCAAACAGAGAGACATGTGGAATGAGATGCCTGACAGCAGCCGAGGACTTCAGTGGAGGCACAGGATCTCAGACCTCATGTACCTTCTCTCAGTGTTTCTGTCCATCCTTTCCGTTACTGCAGGGAGGGAGGTGAAGAGAAGAAAGCAGAATAGAGAAACAGCAGAAAATAAGCAATAAGATAGTGTTATTGAGGAAAAACACAGGGCAAAAAGTAGGAGAAATTTCCTTGTTGTGGATATTTCAAGGAACATCTGTTTTGTGGAACAGATGTATTAGTCCATTCTCACACTGCTATAAAGAACTACCTGAGACTGGGTAACTTATGAAGAAAAGAGATTTAATTGACTCACAGTTCCACAGGCTGTACAGAAAGCATAGCTAGGAAGGCCTTGGGAAACTTACAACAATGGAAGGGCGAAGGGGAAGCAAGTGTGTCTTCACATGGTGGTAGCAGAGAGAGCAAAGGGGGAAGTGCCACACATTTTTAAGCCATCAGATCTTGTGAGAACTCAATATCATGAGACTAAA
Organism: Homo sapiens; assembly: GCF_000001405.40. Classification (NCBI taxonomy): domain Eukaryota; kingdom Metazoa; phylum Chordata; class Mammalia; order Primates; family Hominidae; genus Homo; species Homo sapiens. Next base: position 13,309,055 of record NC_000009.12, read on the forward strand.
AAGTGGGAAATCCACCCTTATGACCAATCACCTCCCACCAGGTCCCTCTCCAAACCCTGGGAATTACAATTTTGATATGAGATTTGAGTGGGGACACAGAGCCAAACCATATCAGTTGGCTAATGGTCATTTTGAATTACTTGCCTTATCGTGATGTAGTCTTTTTCTCCATCCTCTCCCCAGCAACAAATCTCTAGTGCACCTATAGTCACAAATGTTGTGTGTATGTGCACATATGCACACTGTGAATGGGGATGGTTTTTACAGATGGGCCATTATGATGCGGAAGAGTGACCAGCACATGCAAAATAAGCAGAGATTTCAAGATAGGGGTGACCAAGATCAAATGCCACCCAGAAATTGCAGACATCCTCAGGAGGGCTTTGGACATTGACATGCTATGAAATTGAGGATTTGACTTGATCTTATATAAATCATAAAGAATCAGCAGATCCCAGTGAACATCCTTAATCTTTTAACAACTCTAGTAGTAGTCATTATTACCTACATTCATGGATAAAGAAACTGTTTTCAAGAAATGAAACTGCTTGTCTTAGTTTACATAGATTTAAACTGAATAATGGATTTCTTACTTTGTTGAGTAGCTGGTTTTCTTTTCTTCCTCCCAGCTTTATTGTACTGAGCAAATGATTTTCAAACAGTGAGAATAATCTAGATAGGTTTCTTTAAGAGAATGTACAATTATAAAGTGGGAAAGGAAAGCTTTATGGTTTCTCAGAGGATACTTTCTAATTTTTGATCTCTAACATTGACTATTTCTTGGGTTAATATATTATCCTATTTGGAAAACTCAGTATTCTGCAAATTAGAGATATTTCTTTGAGTTATTTCATTGAATTGAATAATTATATTTGGTACTTAATGGTTAATTTAATATTATTCGTCCTGAAGTGACATCTACAAAATCTACAAAGCACATACTCTTTCTTTCTTTCCCTTCCTTTCCTTGCCTTTCCTTTCCTTTCTTTCCTTTCCTTTCCTATCGCTCTCTCCCTCCCTCCCTCTCTCCCTTCCTTCCTTCCTTCTCTATTTCTCTCTTTCTCTTTCTTTTCTCCTTCTGCTCCCTCCTTCCCTCCCTCCCTCCCTCCTTCCTTCCTTCCTTCCTTCTCTCTCTCTTTCTCTCTCTCTCTCGATGGAGTTTCACTCTTATTGCCCAGGCTGGAGTGCAATGGTGCGATCTTGGCTCACTGCAACCTCAGCCTCCCAGGTTCAAGCAATTCTCCTGCCTCAGCCTCCCAAGTAGCTGGGATTACAGGCGCCCACCACCACACCCAGCTAATTTTTGTATTTTTAGTAGAGATGTGGTTTCTCCATGTTAGCCAGGCTGGTCTCAAACTCCTGACCGCAGGTGATCCACCTGTCTCAGCCTCCTAAAGTGCCAGGATTAAAGGCGTGAGCCACCACAGCTGGCCCACTTTTTATTTTTCAATGCCCTAATCTATTTCACATCAAACAGTTCTACAGAAATTTTGGGTGAAAGGCAAATTGAATTTGCATCCATGGTTCTTCCAAGTTAAGCTTCTTAAAGTTGTAGCAGACTATCAGGAGACTTTATTCCTCATTTTAGAGAGGCCTACAAAGATGCCTAAATATGAGCTAGGTTTAAAGTCAAAAATACTTTCTCCTAGATCTTCTATATATGTCTGTTAATGCACATCAGTAGAACTGTCACAAATATACTAAAACCGTCTAACCACATGTGAGTCCCAACATATAGTACAAATATTAATCCAACCCTTTTGCTGTGACACTGCTGATATAGGAACTGTGATAGAATAGGCTATCTGATGCTTCACCAGCATGTGAGTACATGCTGATACACAAACAATACAATCAAATTGCAATGGCCCTTAGAACTCACCTATTTATGTAAGACCACAGCCTTTCCCACTATTTTGAGTTGTCCCCAGCCTAGTTGTGAGCCATTTGTGTTCAGGTACGTAATCGTGTGCGATCTGCTTTCAGAACTTCTTGTCAATAGTCATGGGTACCTCCAGCTGATGGTGCTCTATGTGAGAATGCTACTCTGGTGGACGTAGATATTCTCTGCTGTGGCCACCTGAACCCTTAGGGCACCTTGAGTGGTTGCACTATGTAAGTAGAAAGAATGACCTTCTTCCTAGGTCTTCCTGCCAGTACTACTTATTGTGCTTGGTCTAAAAGGGATCTTCCCAATGGAAGATACACCACATATAATGATAAATTTATTCCCTCATTGCTTTGGGTTCTGGGAAGGACCTGGGGGCAGTGAGAGCCCCTAAGATAGTTTCCATAGTCATTAATAATTTCATCTATTTCCCCTAGAGCATTCAATTTTTTTTTTTTTTTTTGAGACAGAGTTTTGCTCTGTTGCCAAGAGTGGAGTACAGTGGCATGATCTCAGCTCACTGCAACCTCCGCCTCCTGGGTTTAAGTGATTCTCCTGCCTCAGCCTCCTGAGTAGCTGGGATTATAGATGCAAAATACCACACCTGGCTAATTTTTGTATTTTTGTTAAACATGGGGTTTCACCATGTTGGCCAGGCTGGTCTTGAACTCCTGACCTCAAGTGATATGCCTGCCTCGACCTCCTGAAGTGCTGGGATTACAGGTATGATCCATCATGCCCTGTCTCCCCAGAACATTCAAATATTATTCCTTTCTATGTGGCAATTGTGTGAAGTATACTGGGGACTGCTGGATAAGAAAATCTTTGAAGAACATAGATCCTTGAGGTTCTTCTAATCTGTTTTATGGAGACACTAATTAGTGAGACTGCATATGTGAGGAGATGCCATCCCAGTTTTTCCATGATACTCCTCTCTTATCTGTTCATCTCAAAGACATCATTAAAACAATCCCTTCCCACAAAATAAAGGAAAAATAAAGACAAAAATTACTTCTTCTTGCACCAAATCAAAGACCTCATGTATCGAAGGTTCTTTAGGAAATAAGTATCTTTCCCATACTTACTATAAATATCCAAGTTCTAAATGCAACCTAGGTAGAATGCTAGATTACATTAAAGTATATTATTGTAATACTTTAAAATACATTGGATTATTTAAAGCTTCATTAAAATAAAAATTATTATATAACATAGAAATACCAGAAAATTCAGTAAGCTGATGTGACATAGGCTATGACATTTATATTCAATTTCATTCTTTTCTTCTTCCTTAGTGACAGAACCCTGAATTTGTTTAGGGTGGCAATGTGCATTGGCAGAGGCATTACAGCAAGAGCCTTGAACATACCTTCAGAATCTTGCTAGGTATGTCAAGAATGCAAGTCCTGACTGCCCTTGATCCAGGCCATGTTTCATGGTTGTTTTTGCAGCATGCAACCTTGAGGGATGAAGTATTACTTTCAGAACCAAAAGCATGCTTGCTTTCTGCTCGCTATAAAATGTTGGGTTTCCCCAAACTCAGTGCTCTTCTTCTGTAACACACCTCATTGCATGTGTAGGCTTTCATCTGGGCCCATGATATCATTCCTGTGGGATATGGGGGCCAAGGCAACCTACACAAACATGCTAGAGCTCATTTGGCTTACTGTGCCATGATTGGTAAAGATCCAAGTGTCTCTTGTCTTCAGTCAGCATCCAGGTAAGAGTAACTTAGTAGCTTGTAAGTTAGGTAAAATCAGACTCCAGACTGAGCTTGTGGGAAATCAAGTTATAGCTATATGTGATCAGGTATGAAAGTTCTGGCCAAGGATGGTAAGAAGTTACTGGATGGAACCTGTGTGAAGGTTTCTTAAAAGAGAAGGGGTAGGTGGGCTGTTCTTTCTCTTTTGTCCCTTTTATTCTCCTTTTTTATGTTGTTGGAATAAAAATAAGATTGACTTATCTCTAGTAGCCATTATGGGCCATGTGATGATTTTGAAGATGAAATCCTACATCAAGATGGCAGAACAGAAATACAGAAGAAGCTTAAGTGCCTACTGAACTTTGTGGAGTTTTAATACCATTTTGGCCTACTTCTTGCCTGCCTCTATGTAATTATTTTTGGTGAGAGACTAAACTGTTATGTGTTTATTTTTAAAATTTTTTAAATTTTTTATTTTTAGACAGAATCTTGCTCTGTCACTCAGGTGGAGTGCAGTGGTAAGAACATGGCTCACTGTAGCCTCAACCTCCTGGGTTCAAGTGATCTTCCCATCTCAGCCTCCTTAGTATCTGGAACCACAGTCGTGTGCCACCATGCCTGGCTAATTTTATTTTTATTTTTTGCAGGGTTAGGGTCTTGCCATGTTGCTCAGGCTGGTCTCAACTTCCTGGGCTCAAGAAATCCTCCCAAGTCAGCCTCCCAAAGTGCTGGGAATAGAGGCATGAGCCACCATTCCTGGCCTACTGTTATGTCTTGGTTATAGTCCTTATGGCTCCCCTACTTTCAAAATTATTAAAGAATTTTTTTTAAGACAGGATCTTGCTCTATTGCTCAGGAGGGAGTGTGGTAGTAGTATGACAGCTCACCACAGCATTGACTTCTGGGGCTCAAGTGATCCTCTCACCTCAGCCTCCCAAATAGCTGGGACTACAGGTGCAAACCACCATGCCTGGCCAATTTTTGTATTTTTTGTAGAGACAGGTTTTTGCTATGTTCCCCAGACTGGTCAAATAATTTTTATATAGTATGACTACCTATTAAATATAATATCACTAGATTTATTTATTTATTTTAGAGACAGAGTCTTACTCTTTTGCCCAGGCTGGAGTACAGTGGTGTGATCATAGCTCATTGCAGCCTTGACCTCCTGGGCTCAGGTAATCCTCCCACCTCAGCCTCTTGAATAGCTAGGACTACAGGTGTGCATCACCATGCCTGGCTATTTTAAAAAATGTTCTGTAGAGACAGGGTCTTGCTATGTTGCCCAGTCTGTTTTTTAATTCCTGGGCTCAAGTGATCCTCCAACCTATGTCTCCCAAAGTGCTGAGATTACAGGCATAAGCCACTGTGCCTGGCCTGATATTAGTAGTTTTAAATGTTTCCAAAGCATTAGTAATTTATCAGAAGTACCCTATGGACCCCTCTGAAAAACTGACTGATATAATTGGGGTTCAGAGGGTCTGTTGGTCAGGCCTCTGTACCCTTCTCCCACCAACCTTCACCAGAGAAGGCTTATTTTTTTTTAATCTGTTTTGTATTAATTGGTCTTCTGATTAAGATTTCATTTGAGGAAGGGCCCTACCTCTATAGGAAAGTTTGAAAACTACTGTGTTAGAGAAATAGTTTATGAAACACCACCTATGTTATTATGTGAACTTGAAATTAGGAAACTTTATCTTAAGTTTATTACTTGGAATTCATTTGCTATCTTTGTAATTGTATTTGCAAGAATGGAAAATTAGTTTTAGTTGTGATGAAATGCATTTTGGCAGTACCAGAACATGACTTTTCTGTTTGTAAGTAATTTTAAAAGGTTATATTCTTCCCTGAGTGCCCATTTGTGAGTACCTATTATTACTATTCTACTTTATGTATTAGTATCTTGGGAAGAATATGCCCCTTACTGTAGAACCAGGGATTACAATATTATTTTTTAAGATTTTTAAAACAACTACTAAAAGGATGCTGTAATTACAACACATTAAAATGCTTTTACTGTTGTGCAAAAATTATAACAACTGCTTTAGCTTTTACCATAGTAAACACAGAAAAACTGATAAAATACATAGAGTGAAAAAACATGATTTTTTAGATGCTAATTATCTGAAGTAAAATCTGATTTGGTTCTATTTTATTCTTAAGTAGTCATATATGTATATTTCCTTTGAATTCAGATCTAATAACATGTATACTAATAATGAGAGTTGTGAAGTAGTACACATACTAGTCTTGAGTTTAAACTCCAAGTTTAAACACCAAGGTGTTTTTCAAGATGTTTTTCAAAATTATAATAATGTAAAGGTTGGTCTACTAAAATCCTTCAGTAGCAATAATGCTATTTCTTATGTAGATAGCTACCAGAAAAAAAATGCTTTAATGAACCATTCACTATGGTTTCATTTCCTTCCAGTAAAGGAAGATTATGTAGCACAGGGATCCAGAATCAACAACCTATTGAGGCTGAATAGCACTTTGAGTAGGGATCCATTCGAAATGTTTAACAATTAGTGAGGCATAGGCACTAAAGAGAGGAAGGAGATGAGATTCCTCTTTATGGAAGGAGTGGCAAAGTCACATGGCATTAAGTCATGTGATATGGGAGGAAAGTCTGTGACTATCTTTGGAAACAATCTACTACATTCCTTTTTTGTCTGTTTGTCCCAATTGGCTTACATCTCAGAATTAGAACTCTCTCATGGGTGGGCTAGGAGGAGGAGGCAAATCATTTTGTTTTCTTTTAGAAATATTAAGCACTCCTAAGATTCCACATGAGCTGCATTAAGATGCCCTAGAAAGATCCAAGAAAACTCAAGCCACAGTCCTCAGAGTCATTAAAAATCAAGAGGCCACAGTGTAAACTTGTGACTATGTTCTAATAACTTAAATAAGGTGTTAGAAAGGGTGATGTGCTGGAAAACTCCTAATGTGACTCCTGTGACTTTTATGACATTTCTCAAATGTTGCCTATATTGTACCCAAGATAAAAGGTCCTCCCACTTCTCTAGTGAAGACATTCCAATTACTGAACAAATTCTGATCAGTAAGATGTCCAATTGCAAAATGAATATTCCAAACTCTCTTCCTTATTTATAAGCAAACATATTTAGTAAATATGATGAAAGAAAAGTTCCCATTGGTAAAATCAATAGAAAGTGTAAAAACAAAACTAGAAATAAAATTTGTTAAAACAGAACATATATTTATAAGATTATTACTCAATTAATGTACAAAAAGAAAACTTGAGTAAATGGAAAGCTATGCTTTGTTGTTAAATAAGACTTGGCATCATATCAGTTCCCTTACATTAGTTTAGAATTTAGATGTAGGCCAGGCGCCATGGTTCACGCCTGTAATGCTAGCACTTTGGGAGGCCGAGGCGGGTAGATCACGAGGTCATATTCAAGACCAGCCTGACCAACATGGTGAAACCCTGTCTCTACTAAAAATACAAAAATTAGCCAGGCGTGATGGCGCATGCCTGTAATCCCAGCTACTCAGGAGGCTGAGGCAGGAGAATCGCTTGAACCCAGGAGGCAGAGTTTGCAGTGAGCCAAGATCACGCCATTGCACTTCAGCCTGGGCAACAGAGCAAGACTCTGTCTAAAAAAAAAAAAAAAAAAAAAAAAAATTTAGATGTATTTCTAATAAAGATTTAAAGATTTCCATAGAAATATTTAAAGGAGAATTTGAGTCACTAACTATAATGCATATATAGAAGGATAACTATTTAGTGCTTCTAATTAAAGATAGTTCAATAAAGCATGCACATCTCCCTTTACTCCTTACTTCACTCCTTGCTAAAATGAGAGTAAATGAATATGGTCATATTTTCAAAAGGCATAAATAAGGGTAAAAATATTGGGAGAGGAGACTACAATAACAACATTCTGAAAATTAGAGATGGAAAGCTGCAAAACCACTTGATTTGTGTTGCAGGCTTGGAAATTGGTAACACCAGGAACTTCTAGAAATGGGAGTAGGAGTAGTACAAAAGGAGTAGAATTGACTGCAAGTGTGTGTGTGTGTGTGTGTGTGTGTGTGTGTGTGTATTATTTTTGACAGAGTCTTGCTCTGTCACCCAGGCTGGAGTGCAGTGGCACCATCTTGGCTCACTGCAACCTCTGCCTGGGTTCAAGCGATTCTCCTGCCTCAGCCTCCCAAGTAGCTGGGATTACAGGCTCATGCCACCATGCCTCAGCCTCCCAAAGGGCTGGGATTACAGGCATTAGCCACTGCGCCCAGCCTGAATGCAAGTATATTTAAGCAGAAGCAGGCTCCAAGACTCCGTAACCCATTCCACAAAGCTAGATTGTGAACTCTTTCCTAACATGGCAGAACACTGGGAGGTTATTCTTTGTGATACCAAACGTCTTTGGCCCGGAGAATATTGGGCACAGTTGAGGGCCAGGATACTGTACTGAAAACAGCAACATTAAAATGTAGACTGGATAATTAGTTGTTAATATCCAACAGTCTTCTCCTTAATTCAGTTCCCAGAGCATGACCTATCCTCTTAAGCATTGTAAGACCTATTTTTATCTTAAACCTGATCTATTCTCTGACCTGTTTTCTTAAGCATAATATTAGAAAATTATTTATGGAAGAATCCAGTCAATCCAAGGTAAAATTCCTAAAGAGATTGCTATTAGATGTTCCCCCAAACCAAAACCAAAACCAACAAAAAAAGAAGAAAAAGTGATTGCAGGTGAGGTTCCTCAGGAAATAAACTCTGAAACAGAGATTAGCTTGCAGGAAGTTAATTAGAGAGCACTCATGGGAACCACACTCACGGAAGGAAGGAAAGGAAAGGAAGTAGGATTGAGGAAAGGTAAACTGGACTGCGGTCACACCTCAAGCTGATCCCATGGGGAGTTCTGAAATAATAATGGTTTTTCAAAGTTGTCCTGCAATATGACAAGCATGGTGGGCTTTTATACCTTCATGCTGACCAGTCACTGGATGCAGGTTGCCCCCAAGAAAAGAGTGTGACTTTGGTGAGGAAGTTTTCTTTAGTTGAGAGCAATTTCCAGAGCTGCCAAACAGCTAAGGACTGTCAGTGGCAATACTCCTAGAAGCTGGTGAAATAAGTTCTTCAGTTCTGAAGGGGGAGCTGGATAGCACCTGCCAGATCACCCCACATGTGAATCCCACACTTGTCCATGTGCATAAGTTTCCTATTGGCTATTTAGTGTCTGTATCAGGCAGGAAAGGTTATGCTGCTGTGAAAAATGCAATGTTCTGGCTCAGTCAGTTTCAGTTTGAGACTAAGGCTTCTTGGCAATAGCCTCTATATGGAACGTTGCTGGCTTTTTGCATGTAGGAAGAGCACATGTTATACCATGTACTGATTCTTAAAGCGTTTGCTCAAACGTGACAGGTATCACTTCTGTTAACATTTCATTGGTTAAAGCATGTCACATGGCTAAGCCTAAGGTCCTGAAGTGAGGATATATCATACCCCCTACATCAGTTAATCTATTACCCTAGAGCTTAGTGAGTCAATACAATATGTATTGATGTGTTGTTTTTCATATTTTTAAAGGTTAGCTGGGCTCAGCATGGCGATTCTTCTGCTCCTGCGGCATCAGCCAGAGTCAGTGAGGTGGCTGTATTCAACTGAGAGCTCAGCCAAGGCTAAAATATCCAAGATATGACCTTTTTCCATATATGACAGCTGGTAGCAGTTGTCGTTTAGTTAAATATTAAGTTGAAATATTTCAGGAAACAAAGCACAAGAGGAAAAATAATGGAGAAAAGAAAATAAGAGGATCAGTCTGGGAAGTCCAAATTTTCAATAATCAGAGATGCAAAGATAGAGGATGAAGAAAATCAAGAAAGATAAATTACTGTGTAAATAATGTTAGGAAATTTCCCAGTAATAAAGGTCATGAGTTTTCAGATTACAAAGTCACCCTGATAGCAAAATGGGTAAAAATGATCTAAACCAAGCCACATAATTATGAAATTTCAAACATTTGGGATAAAAGATAAGAGCCTATATGCTACTAAAGAGAAAACACAGTTTCATTTAAAAGATCAAGAATCACAATTTCACTGGACTTAGTAATAGAAATACTGGGAGTTAGAAGACAAAGGAGATTGTTTTCAAATTCCAAGGGAATAAGATTTCCAATTTATAACTTTAAACTCAATTAGCTACCTATCACAACTAAGGGTATGTAACAATATTTTTCAGGTGTGCAGAGTCTCAAAATATTATCTTTTATTTACCAAAATAAGGGAGTAAATCAAGAAAGCACAATGCATGCAAGCCAGGAAGCAAGAGATTGATTAGAAAAGACAGAAAAAGGAATATCACAAGATAATAACTGCCTTCGAGGGCAAACAGTACAGACGAAAAAAATGAAATTCATTGAAGACTTAATATATTTGAACAAACTGGAGAAAATTAACATTTCTAAGAGAGCGTTTACGTTTGAGTTAAAATGAGTAATTTTATGGTTCATATTTAAATGACATTTACATAGCTGTAAAAATATAACCCTGAATATTGAACTATATTGAAAAGTATGGGTGAGGAAATGTGGAAGGGGAGCAGTTTAGAATGGGATGCATGGAATAAGAATTGGTGAAAAACTAAACCCTCATCTCCTCTAGTGGGAGGTAAATAGATAAGTCCTGTAACTGAAATATTAAGAATTGAAACTACTCATTTTATTTAGAAATAGAAAGTATATCTGTATTAGTTCATTCTCATGCTGCTAATAAAGACATATTCGAGACTGGGTAATTTATAAAGGAAAGAAGTTTAATGGGCTCACAGTTCCATATGGTTGGGGAAGCCTCACAATCATGACAGGAGGCAAAGGAAGAGCAAGGCACCTCTTACATGGTGGCAGGCAAGAGGGCATGTGTAGGGGAACTGCCCTTTATAAAACCGTCAGATCTCATGAGACTTATTCACTATCAGGAGAACAGCATGGGTAAAACCCGCCCCCTTGATTCAGTTACCTCCCACTGGGTCCCTCCCACAACATGGGATTATGGGAGCTACAATTCAAGATGAGATTTGGGTGGGGACACAGCCAAACCATACCAATATCCCAATAGAAACATCTAAAAGAATAGACTCTTCAATTCTGTGAATTAATAAATTCTCTTTTTTGCTAAAGTCAATTTGAGTTGATTTTTCTGGGGTTTTTTTGGTTTATTTTGTTTTGATTTTTGTTTTTACACTAAAAGAATCTTGTCCAATACATATACACATATTCTCAGATCCCACAACAGAATTTGCAGAAATATTTTGAAAAACTTCCCATGTGATTTTGATGCATAGTTTGGTTTGGGCATCACTACTCAGAAGGACTATGATCTTAGCAATAAGCTGTATTCCTTCAGTAAGGAGTCTAATGAACTCATCTTTCAAATTCTGATAGAGATGATAGCTCATGTTCCAGCACACCTCTTCACTTTTCTTCTTATCTTCAGCTTAGGAAGCAAGATTTTATCTCACATATTCAAGTATGAAATAGTGATGATAGGAGGAGAAAGAAATACATTGCTTTCTTAGGGGGAAAAAAGAACCCAAAACAAAAAACAAAGGACTTGAAGAAATCAGGAATTTTGTTATCTGATAAACCCATAAATTTCCTCATGTGCTTTGAACTTCCTGACTCCCTCTGCTCCTTTGCCTCTGTGCCCCAAATCTGGAAAAACGTTTTAGTACTTTATTCTTTATAAATAAAGCTGAGCAAGGGTAGTGCCTTCCTTCTATGAAGAATCTATTTCTTCTGCCAGGAGATATTTTACCAGTTGAACTGAATCTGTAAATTCACTTAATAAAATGGCCAACTGACATTCTTTATTACTATGTCACCTGATGAACAAATATCTCTCCATTCCAATTCATTCTGTAGAAAGCAGAATTCTCTTAATATCTACTATATCAGTGTTACTGACATAAAATTGAGATTGAAATGCTTAAATAATAAAACCACCAAGTAGTTGCGGACAGGGAAGAAAGTCCCAATTATCGATTGCTGCATAACAAACCATTCAAATTTTAAATGGCTTAAACAATGGCCACTTTTTAATATCTCATGATTTTGTAGGTCAGAAATTTGTATTGGTCTAGGTGATTATTCTGTTTCATGTGGCATGAACATAAGTCACTCTGAGGAACTGAGCTAATGAGTAGACCAGTCTGGAGGGTCCAAGGTGGCTTTGCTTGCATGTCTGTTGCTTGTCAGAGGATAGCTGGAAGGCTGAGTTCAGCTAGGACTGCTGACCATAGCCTCTATACATGGCATCTCTAGGATGATGATCTCAGGGTAGTTGGAGGTATATGACTGGCCAGGGCTTCTAGAGGAAATGTTCCAAGAGATCTGGGCTGAAAATTCAAGGCTCTGACCTTAGGCACAGAAGATCCAGAATATCTCTTTTGTTATATTGTATTGGCCAAGGAAGTCATTAAGGCCAGCCAGATTCAAGGGGAGGGGAATTAGACTCATTGCTTCTTAATGAAAAGATTAGCAAAAAATTTGTGGCCTCTTTTAACCTACCACAGAAATTATCACTACACTTACATTTCTGGGAATTGGAAAATCCCTTACTACCTACCATCAATCTAGAAGTTATTCTTCCTACAAAAAAGTAGAAGAGTTCAGGCAGTGGCTCACGCCTGTGATCCCAACACTTTGTGAGGCCGAAGGGGTTGGATCACTTGAGCACAGGACTTTGGGACCAGCCTCGGCAACATGGCAAGATCTGAGCTCTACAAAAAAAAAAAAAAAAATTACCCAAGTGTAGTAGTGCACAACTGTCATCCCAGCTACTCAGAAGGCTGAGGTAGCCTGAGAGCTTGAGGCTGCAGTGAGCCATGATAGTGCCACTGCACTCCAGCCTGGGCAAGAGAGTAACACCCCCAAAAAAGTAGACAAATAGTATGCCACTCAGATCCTTAGAAGATAGAACAACAAAGAAGACATGAGCAAGATACAGAGACCCGTAACTGAGGCAACTTCAATGATTAGAAAACAAAGCCTTTATTGATAATAAGAATCTGATTTAGTGATTCAGCAGAGCATATCAGAAGAGGCAAAACCTCTGTACCAATATAATTGAAAAATACTTTACATTTAAAATAAGTAATTTGCAGATGTAATAATCAATAGTAAGAATTTTCTGGTAATCAATAGTAAGAATTTTCTGGTAAACAATAGTAAAAATTTTCTGAAAATAGTGTTACATTTTACATGTGAAAAACTTCCCAGTTCAGGTGCTGAAATACAAGAGCAACAAGAAACCCACAAAAGTAGAACCTGGACAATGAAAAAAGAAGAGAATTATGGATATGGCAAGAATTAAGTCCATCCTTTTAGCCAAAGATGACTATGTGATTTGGGTGGTTTCTTAATATGGAGGATTAAGTTTTTATTGTAAAAATCCTATTATATTTGTTTTTATAGTCTGTTTATATTCACCATCTCACCATCTAGCTGAAAATATTTTTATTTGACTCAGTAATATTTTTATTATTTCTGACTCAGTAAATATTTGTTGATTGGCTAATTAAATACATGATGCAGTTATAAATAAAAGAATAATAAGGAATGCATAGTTGAGAGTAACAACACCATCCCCTATGATGACATAAGATTATTCATAATCTGTGTGATAGTTGAAAACAATATAATGAATTAGAATAGAAAAAGCTAGAACCTCTGTTTCTGCAAACCTAATAAACAACTTTAAAGATGCCCAGTATTTTAAGATAATCGATTTTGACCTGAAGTTATTTCAAGTGACAGCAAATTTCTTTAAAATGGTCTGCTTATGTTTTGTTTCTAATTTAGAGATAATTACTCCAAGGGTGATGTAAAATGTGTATAGAAGTATACAGGAATAGTACAGATTTCCTTTTTTTTTTAAAGTGTTTAATTCAAGCCTATATTTGTAGTTTCTAAACTGTTGATCCATCCAGCGTTTTCTTGTCACAAATGTGCACCAATGAAAAAATAAAAAGTCAAAGAGAATCACTGTCATCCCTATCAAAGGAATGGCTCCTTTCCTAAAATTCTTCGAAAATATGTGTTTTACAATCCTTACACCTCAACAAAAGCGGCAATGGAGTAAATACCCTGGTTTATGTTGTTCTCACAATTAAATGGATATCCACAAACTACCTGTCATAAAAGCCCTCTCTTTTTTTCCCGGTGCTTCTTCATTGTTTTCTTGTTTTCCCTGGGACATTGGGACAGAACCACTGGCCCTTTGGTTTATGACTGAGTCCCAGACTCAGTCATAAACCAAAGGGAAGTGGAGGCCACTCCCTGGGGCACTCGTGGTTGTCACAGCCGCTCCTTTCTCTGTAGACCTGACCAGCACGCTGTCTGTCTCCTTGCGGTCCATGGCAAGGTCTGCGGGGGCCTCTGCTGTAGCACTGGAGTGGTTCTTTTTCTTCAAGGTCTTTGCTTTCTTGCCTTGGCCGTTCCTGTGGTGATCTCGTCGTGGTCGTGATCATTGGATGCATCCTCTCGATTCTCATCGTTGCACTGTCGCGGAGAACACTTTGTTATCCGGCGTTTCTCCCTGCGTGATTATCATTCTTCCCCGCATTGTGGCGGGCTCTGCAGCTAGCAGGGAACCTGATCTCTGGCTGCTGCCCAAGGAGCTCGGCGAGACCGCCCATCTGTCCGGTCCTGCTCTCCACCAGCTCCTTCGTCGGACTCAGTCTGGATCTTCTCAACGCCCAGCTCCTGGCTCCGAGTCAGGGCTCTCTGGATGCACGGTAACACCCTCCTCTTCTGGGTACCCTCCCTCCGTCTCATGTTATTATGAGAGATTTATGTGATAAATAATGTAGCCATCCAACTCCTTCAGGATTTTCTGCAGGGCCAGCCCAGGCTTGTCTGGTTCTCCCTGTTCCGGGGACATCACCTTCCAAAAAAGTCTCCAAGCCTGGGGCGGTGAGCGTGGGCACAACCCCTAGGGTCACTCACACTTCCCTGGCCATCTTTTTTATTATAAAAGAAAAAAATTATAGTCTTGCCGTTGACACTGAACCCTTTGATGGTAAAGATAGGCATGTTAGAAAAGTTGGTCTCCCAGACTAGCAGGCGCCTCTTGAAGGAATTATATTTCAGGAATAAGAAGAAAAAGATTACAGCTTGTAGTAGTCAGTGGAAGAGCAGAGCAAGTTATCAAGTGTGATATAAAGAATTCAGGACAACTACATTTTAAAAAAGACTTTCCTGAGAAATGATGGATAACTTTATATAACTTGAAATTGGAAAATAATACTCATAGTTTATCTTCATGAAATGTATTATAAATTTGCTCTGCCCTGTTAAAAATATTAGTTGTATGGCCTGGGATATGATACAAACTGGAGCCAGGCCAGGCATAGTCACTATGAATGCTTTTTATTTGTGTGGGATTGTAATTATTCAAATTAAAATTTAGCTATAGTTACTCTTGCCTCAGTGCTGAATGGATTGTAAGCATAGCTCTCATGGAAATTGGAATTATGCTTTCAGTGTACCTACATCAGGAAAGGGCATGGAGTAAAGGCTGTAGACATAAAATGTGGCTTTGGTGAGTCTGTATTTTACTGAATTGATAGTGTGGCTTCATGTAAAGATGGAAATCTCTTTGTTCCATAGAAGATTCCTCTGAATTTCCTTCTTAAATATAAATATATATTTATAAATATAAAGTATATTATACATATATATTCATGAATATAAAATTAATTTTTGCATACTACAGGAAATCCAGAAACTGCACAACAGTAATATAAGACACCTGTCATTTCACTACTTAGAGATAGCTGCCATTTACATCTACTTGCTTTACTTTCCAATGTCTTTTTATGTATATATTTGTGTATATATAATCAATATTTCAGAAGTCTGTATAGTGTAGTGGTTGAAAGGGCAGTTGGCTCTCCATATCTGTGGGCTCCATATTTGTAGATTCAATCAACTGCAGATCAAAAATATTTTTAAAAAAGCACAATAGAAATAATATGACAATAAAAAATAATACAAACAAAGCCCCAACACAGTATAACAACTATTTACCTAGTATTTATATTATATCAAGTATTATAAGTAATCTTGAAATGACTTTAAGTATACAAGGGGACAGGCATAGGTTTTATGCAAATATTCTGCCATTTTATATAAGAGACTGGAGCATCCATGGATTTTGGTATCAGTGAGGATCCTAGAACCGATCCCCCATGGATACTGAGGGATGACTTTACATACTTTGGAACCAAAGTGCTTGGATTAAATTTTGGCTTCATCAGCTCTTACCTATATGATTTCTCAGTTTCCTCATTTGTAACATAGTCATAATAATTACGTAGGGTTCTTTTGGACATTCAATGATGTAATTCTCATTAGAGCACCCAAGTAAGGGTTCCTTCTCCTCCACTTGTCCAAAGCTTCTTGAAGAGGGCCTGACTGTGTCTCATTCAATGGAAAAGCACTTGCTGTGATGACACATTAGCAGAACTTGCCAGAAATCTGCCCTGTAGAGTGCCAGGGAAATCTTTCATAAGGAAGTGTTTCATAGGAGGCTCTGCTACAAAACTGCTTGTTAGGGAAGGACAGATGCCAAGGGAAGCTGCTGTTGGCACTGTATTGCAGAAGTATTGTATTGTATTGTATTGTATTGTATTGTATTGTATTGTATTGTATTGTATTTATTGTATTGTATTGTATTGTATCCAGGAGAAGCCACAGAATCAGGAAGTAAAACCCTTTCCTTCCAGTGTCTCTCCAGCATCCTCCACTGACAAAGCTTAGCATTGAATCAGATGGTAAAGGAAAAATATCTAAAGACCCTAGTTCAATTTTCACAGAACAGGCAAAAAGGATGAATTTGGAACTGAGAGAAAATAGATAATTGGTAGTTATTTTAAAACACTTAGAACAATGCCTGACATAAAGTCAGTGCTCAAGAAATATTAGCTTGGACTATTTCAGTCACATATGCACACAGATGTGCAAAAATTGGATTGCCTCTACTGAATACACATTTTGTACTCTGAATTTTAGCTTAACATCACATTATGATTGTTTACATTAAAATTTCTTGGAATCCTAATTTTATGTCTATACAATTATCTATAATGAAGAAATATAATTTAGTTGTTACACTATTGTATATATTATGGATTATGTCTAATTTTCAGTCTGACAAGTAAAGCTGGGTGAATATTCATGTTTTCAATGCATTTAAAGGAAATTTTTTATTTTATAAAAATGATTTTAGAGATGGGTTCTCACCATGTTGCTCAGGCTGGTCTTGAACTCCTGGGTTCAGGCAATCCTCCCTCCTCACCCTCCCAATGTGCTGAGATTACAGGCATGAGCCACAATGCCCAGCCTCAATGCATATTAAATAATTTCTTTATGTTAGCTTTCTAAGGAGAGATTCAAAGAATGAACATTCTTAAAATGTTTATGTCTTGTCAAATTTATTTTCAGAAATATATTTCCAATTCATATTTTCTCTTAAAATTTGCATCTGACACAATAGATTTAATATTACATAATTTTAAACTTTGACTCTTTGACATAAGACAAATTGTCTTATGTTTGTCTTAATTTGCAGTGTGACTACTAACAAGGTTTCACATGTCATTTTATACTATTTACTCATATTTCTATCATAGTATTAGAGGTTTGTTTTACTATTTTGAAAACTTCTTAATATATGAAGCATAACAATCACTGCGTTACTAGATTTTTTATAAAGACTTTCCCCCCTAATTTAGAATTTGACATTTATTTGTCAATTTAGCATCTGACAATTTTTTTTAAGTACAGGCTTTACATTTATAACTCAAAAATAGAATCCTCATGATTTTTCATATCTTTTGTGGTAAGATACTTCCACTCCCTTAAGACTGTTTACACATTTACTTATAGTTTTTTTCTAGTTTATGATTTTATTTGTTAGAGATTTAATTCTAAGCATGTGAAATTAAGTTCGGTGATTATCTAACACTGTATTTTTTTCAAAATAGATTAATTAGGTTACAAAACATGTATTAACCAATTTAAGACGATTGAAATTATATCAAGTATCTTTTCTGACTACAATGGTATCAAAATAAAAATGAATAACAGAAGGAATTTTGAAACATTCACAAATACATGGAAATCAACATACTCTTGAATGGCCAATAGGTCAAAGAAGAGCTTAAAAGATAAATTTAAAAATAAGTTGGGACAAACAAAACTGGACACACAGCAGATTAAAACTTATGGTGTGCAACCAAAGCAGTTCTGAAAGATAAGTTTGTAGCAATAAACATCTACATCAAAAAAGAAGAAAGACCTCAAATAAAGACGCTAATGTTATACCTCAAGGGGCCAGAAAAAGAAAAACAAACTAAGTCCATATTTAATAGGAGGAAGGAAATAATTAAGATCAGAGCAGAAATAAAATAGAGACTAGAAAAACAATAGGAAAGATTAATAAGGTTTTTTTTGTGAATATAAAATTGAAAAAAATTAGCTACACTAAGGAAAAAAAGAGAAGTCTCCAATAAATAAAATCAGAAATGAAAAAAGAAACATTACAACTAATACTGCAGGCTGGGTGTGGTGGCTCATGCCTGTAATCCCAGCACTTTGGGAGGCCGAGGTGGGCAGATGGCTTGAGTCCAGGAGTTCAAGATGAGCCTGGGCAACATGAAACCCTGTCTTTACAAAAAAATACAAAAGTTAGTCAGGTTTGGTGGTGTGTGTCATTAGTCCCAGCCACTTGGGAGACTGAGGCAGGAGGATTGCTTGAGCCTGGGGAAGTTGAGGCTGCAGTGAGCCATCACAGTGCTACTAAACTCTAGCCTGGGCAGCAGAGCAAGATCCTGTCTTGATTAAATAGATAGACAGATAAAACTAATACTACAGAAATACAAGGGAGATTAAGAAACTGTTATGAACAACTATATGCCTACAAATTGGGTAACCTAGAAGTGGTGGATAAATTCCTAGAAACATAAAACCTACCAAGAGTGAATCATGAAGAAACAGAAAATCTAAACAGAGCAATGATAAGTAAGCAGATCAAATCAATATTTTAAAATCTCCAATCAAAGACAAGACCACGGTTTGATGCTTTCACTTCTGAATTCTACCAAACATTTAAAGAAATATTATTGCCAATCCTTCTCAAACTCTTTCAACAAATCGAGGAAGAGGGAACACTTCCTAACTTACTTTATGAGGATAGCATCATGCTGATATCGAAGCCAGACAAGCACACGACAAGAAAAGAAAATCCAGGCCAATATCCCTGATGAACATAGATGCAAAAACACTCAACAAAATACTAGCAAACTGAACTCAACAGTACATTAAAAGGATTATTCACCATAATCAAGTGAAATTTATCCCTGGGATGAAAGGAGAGTTCAGTACACACAAATCAATAATTGTGAAACAAGATATTAACAGAATGAAGGAAAAAAATATGGTTATCTCAAGAGATGCAGAAAAAGCTCTTGACAAAATTAAACATCCTCCCATGATAAAAGCTCTTGCCAAATTAGATATACAAGGAATGTTCTTCAACAGAATAAAGGCCATATGTGGCAAGCTTAGAACTAATATCACACTCAATGGTGAAAATTGAAAGCCTTTCTTATAAGATTAGGAACAAGACAAGGATGCCCGCTCTCACCATTTCTATTCAACATACTACTGGAAGTCCTAGCCAGAGCAGTTAGGCAAGAGAAAGAAATAAAAGGCATCCAAACTGAAAAGGAAGAAGTTAAATTGTGTCTATATGCAGATGATATGATCTTATACACAGAAAAATGTAAAGACTACCTAAACTTAGAACTAATAAACAAATTCAGTAAAGTTGCAGGACACAAAACCAACATACAAAAAATCAGTAAGGTTTCTATATACTATCAATGAATTATTTGAAAAGCCAAGAAAATGGTCCCATTTACAATAGCCACAAAAACATGCTTGAAGTAAATTTAACCAAGGAAGTGCAAGATCTGTAATGCTGAAAACTATAAAACATTGATGAAGGAAATTGAAGAAGACACAAATAAATGGAAAAATATCCTGTGTTCATGGATTAGAATAAGTAATATTGTTAAAATGTCCATGCTACTCCAAGTGATCTACGGATTCGATGCAATCCATATCAAAATCTCAATGACATTTTTTATAAAAATGGAGAAAAAACCGTAAAATTAGCTCTTGGCATTTTTGTGGGAAATCAATGGATCATGAATACGTGGATTTATTTCTGAGCTCTCTACTCTGTTACATTGGTCCATGTGTCTGTTATTAGGCCAGTGGCATGCTGTTTTCATTAAAGCTTTGTAGTACATTTTGAAATCAAGTAGTGTGAATCCTCCGGCTTTGTTCTTTTTGCTCAAGACTGCTTTGGTAATTAGTAATTCTTGATTGTAGGAAATCCGAGAAATACAGAGAAACAAAAAGAAAAAAATTTAACATCATTCAAAACTGACGATCAGAGAAAGCATGTTAACATTTGGTGTATCTCCTCCTATTTCCCTGTGCATGCTTAAGAAAAGAAACAATTTTTGGAAATAAATCTTACATAGTTTGGCATTTTTTCTGTTAAATACATACACATACGGAGTATTTTTATACTATATAATATTTTAAAACATATTGTCCTTAGAGTTTGTGTGGCATTTTAGCACATGACTTCTCTATAATTTTTTCTGCATATTGAACATTTATATGTTTTTTAAAATATTTATTTATCTAATTTTATTTTGAGATAGATTCTCACTCTGTCACCCAGGTTGGAGTGCAGTGGCACAATCTCAGCTCACTGCAACCTCCACCTCCCGGGTTCAAGTGATTTTCCTGCTTCAGCCTCCTGAATAGTTGGGATTACAGGCGTGTGCCACCATGCCTGGCTAATTGTTGTAATTTTAGTAGAGACAGGGTTTCACCATGTCGCCCAGGCTGATCTCAAATTCCTGATCTCAGGTGATCCACCTGCCTCAGCCTTCCAAAGTGCTAAGATTACAGAGGTGAGCCACCGTGCCTGGCCAATATTGTTTACTTTAAAAAGCTATTATGATGGTATGAATACTTGTCTAGATCATTATGCAGTCTAATTAACTTCTAAAGGTAAATTACTAAAACTCGAATTACTAGGCCAAAGGGTATGACTATATTTAAGGTTCTTATCCATAATGCCAGATTGTATCTCGTGAAGTTTGCATCAATTAATGCCCCCAGCAACAATGTTAATGTCTTTTTCACTACATCTTGCTCTGCACTGGATGTTTAAAACAAAACACGGGCTGGGGGAAATCCTTCCAATTTCACTGGTAAAAAATATATTTGACAATTAAAATATTGTTTTGCCTGAATTGAATAGGCATGTACAACCTCAATAATCTTTAGGGGAAAAAAAAATCTTAGCTTTTTGTTCTTTTGCCAGCTTTCTTTTAAAATAGCTTTAAAAAATTTCTATTATTTAAAAAATAGTATGAAGAACTTAATTGAGCTTAGGTTAAACCTAAAATTGATTTGGGAAGAAATGATATCTTGATGATATTTCATCTTTTCACAAAGGAGCATGTTACCCTTTGCCATTTATTGAAATATTTTATATTACTTAGTAAATGTTTTCTTTACCTAGCCCCTGTATATTTTTAAGGGTTATTCCTATGTCTTTTATGATTTTGGTATTTTAATGTATTGGGACATTTTATGATTTTTGCTGCCACTGAGACTAACATCCTTTTTCCCTTTGAATCATCTAAATTGTAATTTCAAGATTAGGGAGAAACAGTATAATGTAATTAAAAGCTCAGATCCTGTAGCCAGGCTTTCCCATCTGTATCTGAATTCACCTCTTACCACCTGACTTGGGCAAACTGGCCATGCTGGGTATTTCCCTTTCTCCCCTCCAGAGTCCTCTCCCTGCTCTGCATCCTGCTCTGTGTCCCTAAGGTTCCCCTCACTGGGGCTTCCTTGCCTTCTGGCTTCCAGTTAGGTTCAGCCAATGAGGGCATTGGCAGGAAATCAGAGTGGGAGGAAAGTGAGGGAAAAGTATTTGTTTCCAAGATTTCCTCCCTGCTTAATTGGTGCCAGGGGCTGTGTCCTGCCAAAGGCTACAGCTCTTATCAGAAGGCCTCTCCACATAGCTACCCTTCCGGCCACATTTCCCTGCTGTTGCTAACCTAGGGTGCTGCAAGATCCTCTGGGGCTTTTCTAACACATGGCCCATGCCTGGGTAATGTCCCCATTAACCAGCTTGAGTGTGTCATCTGCTTCCCACCAGGATCTTGACTAAAAGCAAATAGCACACAGGAATAGTACATATCCTTGTCATTTTTCTCATATCATTGGGAATGACTCTTGGCTGCCATTGTGATTATAATTTTGGCAATCAATGTTAAGATAGGAATTCTACAGTATGTTCAGGAAGTATCATTCTTGTTGTGATTTTCCGAGTTTTATCAGGAAAGATTGTTGAATTTTATCCTCTGAATTTTCATATATATAGTTTGATTTTAAATTGGACTTACTAATGTGTTATTTTAAATTTTGAAGTTTTCTATCAATAAACCATTCTTTCATTCATCCCTGGAATAATCCAAATGAAATTTACTTTGCTAATATTTTATTTTCAGATTTTTAAAAATAATCTCAACTGAATGCTAGATATGTTGAGGCCATCTAAAACAACAGACTTAGGAAAATTAATACCCTTAAACTGACCTTTGTTTAAACATGCATCACTTTGAATAACTGGAAATTTTAACAGCCTTTTATCACCCCAAATTCCTTTTTGTGCTGTTTCCTATAGCTTGTAGTCCAGAAGCAATTGGCTTATGCAAGCGTTAAGAAGGCATATTTGAGGAGGGTGGTGTGGGAGTGGAGGAGACAGACCGCAGCATAATGTCTAGGAATTATGACTAAACTAGAGTGAAGAGTGTATAAAATAATTGTTTTCCTCCTCCCTTTTTTCCGTATTAAAAAAAAACCACTCTGTTTTTTCTATCATATTTTCTATTGGATTTAGAACTTAGGACTTAAGTTTATAGCACTTGGTAATTCCAATATTTTATACATCTTATACCACACAATACCATTTTATTTCAATCATGGAATTTTAATTTTGGTTCCCATGAGTCAATCCCATCACAGCAGGATCCTGAGCACAATATCCCCTAGAGATAAAAATAATCGTATTTAATATTTTTATGAATGATTACACATTTGGTGTCAAGCACTTGAAACATTGGAATCAAAACATATAATTGCTGAACCATTGGCATAAAGAAACTGACACTATTTTGTCTGTCCCCAAAGAGTCTGGCATTGAAACAGAAGTAAGACTACAAAGATTTTATTGGAACATTTAAATGAGATTCTACTTGATTTCATATGACTTAATCTAAGGACAGAATCTGCAAATATGAAACTTTACAGGCCGGGCATGGTGGCTCATGCCTGTAATCCCAGTACTTTGGGAGGCCAAGGTGGGTGGATCACTTGAGGCCAGGAGTTTTGAGGCCAGCCTGGGCAACATGGTGAAGTACACATTGTCTACTAAAAATACAAAAAAAATTAGCCAGGTGTGGTGGCACGTGCCTGTAGTCAGCTACTCAGGAGGCTGAGGCAGGAGAATCGCTTGAACCCAGGAGGCGGAGGTTGCAGTGAGCTGAGATTCCGCCACCACACTTCAGCTTCAGTGACAGAGTGAGGCTCTGTCAAAGAAGAAGAAAGAAAGAAAGAAACTTTACATTTTCATCCAAAATTTTGTCAGACAGTACCTAGTAATGACAAAATGTTTTTATTTGTAATCAAAGATTTACAAATAACAAAAAAGTATTAGAATTTGTTTGGAGAAGAGGCAAGTTGCTAAATTGCATAGTGGAGAGTTTACTTTTTGATGTGTTTTCTTATTTATCATCCTTTGTCAATTCCCACTCCCTAGCTAAGGATATTCCCTTACTCTGAACCCACTGGCATGTGAGAATTCCATTCCCACAATAAACTTGCTTTATGGGCTCTCTTTTCTAGTATTCTTTTGTGATTTAGAGCTGCAAAATCAAGTGTGAGAACATGCAATATCTAGTAAAAGCCAGCATTACTGAATGAACTCATTAAAGCCAAGGGGGAATTGCAAACTCCAAAAATTAAAACATCTGAACATCTGTTAAAACTCAAACTGTGTTTCTTCTTTGAGAAAAATAATAAATCTGATCAACTCTCGGTATAACATCTAAAAAGAATAAACAAAGGAGCTAGATAAGTAAAATTAATTCGGCAGATGGTTCAATAAGTTAGGAACTGAGACAACTCTTGAAAAGTTTCTGTAATTTCTTTTGAAAAGTAAATGTAAAACAGGAAAATTCCCAAGTAACAACAAAAACAAAACTGAGGAATTACATTTACCAATAGTATAAGAGATACAAAACAAATAAAAACAACTGAATTATGTGTGAAGAAAGGAAAGTCAACTGGCATGGATTTTATCAGTACATATTTTATCAGAAAATTTAAAAGTTGTTTTAAATTTTATTTAAAGTTGTCTACATAAGCTTTATTTTTTACGAAGTACTTTTTCCTGCTCTAAGAAAAGGCCTTACCCTGACTTGATCATTACACATTGCATGCATCTAACAAAATTTCACTTGTATGCCATAAATATGTAGAACTATAATGAATCAAAAAATAGGCCTTATGAAGTTGTTTTTCATTCTTCTCTCTTTTCTTTTTTTTGTATGTTTTCGCAATTGGCTTTGTCTCACAATGGCAAAATAAAATGTTTGTAGTATTTGTGAAAAAGTCAGGTTTCTATGGAATATATGTCATACACGTGCAAAAGGCATCACATATTTCAGTGTTGCTGTAAGTATTAGTTAGGCCAGGGGCGGTGGCTCACGCTCATAATACTAGCACTTCAGGAGGCCAAGGCAGGAGGATTGCTTGAGCTCAGGAGATTGAGACCGTCCTAGGCAACATAGTGAGACCTCATCTCTATAAAAAATTACCCAGGCGTGGTGGCACATGCCTGTAGTCCTAGCTACTTGGGTGGCTGAGGTGGGAGGATCACTTAAATCCAGCAGGTGGGGGATTCAGTGAGACATTATCATGTCTCTGCATGCCAGCCTGGGTGACAGAGCACGACCGTGTCTCAAAAAGAAAAAAATAGTACTCTTATTGTCTAAGAATAGACAAATTCTCAACTCTCCTATTATAATTATTTATCCTTGTTCTCTCTATAGCCTCCAAATTAAGGTGTGGTTTCTGTCTTTTACCCTAGAAATTCTTAATTTCTTCATGTGGTAGCAAATTTAAAAAATAATAAGAAAAAAATTATCAGTTTACATGCTTTATGTTAGGGAATATAATTTTATTAATGAAGCCACTGTTTCCTTAAGTTACCTCAGTGTAGGTGTCAAATGGTATCAAATACACCTACATGGCTGGGCCCCACAAACTGGCATCCTGAAACGTCAGCTCCACACCCACCCCATCCTCATCACTGTACTTTCACCTCAAGCAGAACACTCAAGGTAGGAGAGATGCTCACAAAATTCTCCTTGACCTTTGATTTTGTTCTCCATATCAGATGTTGCAAATAATACTGTTTCAAGCCATCTGGTTTTTCAGCTCCCAGGTATAGATTTATCAAGTATGTCTGGTATTTTTGTGGAAACCATCTGGAAACATAAATACAAAGGCCTGCTTCAAGGTATGAGAGAGAACTTTCCGTGTGGACACCTCCACCCCATTCACTTTTACGCAAATGCTATTTCCATGTCTGCTGCCATTTCAGTTGCAAGTTCCAATGTCGTCTTCTACGCTGCTGTCTTTTAGGCATCAAGACTCTGAGCTGGGATTGAGATTGAACTCCTAGGATTATTTCCGTGTTCCCCCATTCATATCTTCTCTTCCACAGGTCCCCTTTTGCCTTCTTTGTCTCTTTTTTCTCCTCCCTCCCCTGTCATCCCAGCTCCAGCTGCCCCCAGCTTCCTAGACAATTTCACTTCCTTGTCAAGGTTTTCCCTGACCTTGTTTTAGTTTGGGAAAGCAAATAATAGAGGTGATGCTGTCTTAGGATACATGGCATTCCCATGTAGCATTTTAAAAAGTAATATTCTATGTAATCATTTTTTTTTTTTTGAGACGGAGTCTTGCTCTGTCACCCATGCTGGAGTGCAGTGGCGCAATCTCGGCTCACTGCAAGCTCTGCCTCCCAGGTTCACGCCATTCTCCTGCCTTAGCCTCCCCAGCAGCTGGGAGTACAGGCGCCTGCCACCATGCCTGGCTAATTTTTTTGTATTTTTAGTAGAGACGGGGTTTCATCGCGTTAGCCAGGATGGTCTCGATCTCCTGACCTCGTGATCCACTCACCTCGGCCTCCCAAAATGCTGGAATTACAAGCATGAGCCACTGTGCCCAGCCAATCATTTATTTAAATATTTAATTTTTTAAAGTCAAAAGTTTGTTTACATGAACATGGTAAAAACCAAAGTGGTGCAAAAAGGTTATAAAATTAAAAGTGCATTTTGCTCTCACCTTTGGTCCCTATTCATTTGATTGTTCATCTCAGAGGAAACTCCTGCTCTTGGTCCTATGTACCTTTCTAGAAATAGGTAAGAAGATATGCATATTTAAACAAATATTTATGATCATTTTGCATAAATGCTAACATGCTTTATACACTTTTTTATCTTGCTTTTTGGTTGATGAAATAGTCAATTTCCCTTTTACCTTTCTGTCTATTTTTTCTTCTATATTTAAAATTTGTTTTTTCAAATTTTTTTGTTCATTTTTCTATTCCTTTCACAGGTATGGATACTTTTCTGTTTATTATCTTTTTGTATTGGTTAGAAATTCCAGTATAATATTGAATAGCAATGGGAACATTTTCACTTTTCCTGATTTATAGTGGCTGCTTTATTAAGTATGATGTTTACCATACCTTAAAAATAATATCCTCTATTAGATTGAGGAAGTCTATTCTTAGGTTGCTGTGAATTTTTATTGTGAATAAAATGTGTAAAAAGTGTAAAATTTTATCATGATATTTTAAATCAATAGAGATAATTATGTGATAATTTTCTCATTTCAAGGCATCCCTCAGAGATATTGTGGGCTCTGTTCCAGACTCAATAAAGTGAGTCATATAAATTTTTTGGTTTCCCAGTGCATATGCAAGCTATGTTTATACTATACCATAGTCCATTAATTTTACAATAGAACTATGTCTAAGTAAACAATGAACATACCTTAATTAAAAATATTTAATTGCTAAAAATGTTAACAATTGTCTGAACCTTCAGTGAGTCGTCAGCTTTTTGCTGATGGTGGGTCTTGCCTCTATGTTGATTGCTGCTGACTGATCAGGGTGGTAGTTGCTGAAGGTTGGGATGGCTGTGTGGATTTTTGCAAAGAAGACAACAATGAAGTTTGCATGCATCAGTTGACTCTTGCTTTCACAAAAGACTTCTCTGTAGCATGCAATGCCCTTTGATAGAATTTTACCTACAATAGAACTTCCTTCAAAATTGGAATCAATCCTCTCAAATCCTGCTGATATTTTATCAATTAAGTTTATATAATATGACAAATCCTTTGCTTTCACTTCAACAATGCTCATAGCATCTTCACCAGGAGTAGATTCCATCTCAAGAAATCATTTTCTTTGCCCATCCATAGGAAGCAACTCCTCATCAATTCAACTTTCATCTTGAGATTGCAGCAATTCAGGCATATCTTCAGACTCCACTTCTAATTCTAGTCCTTTTGCTACTTCCACCGTGTCTGTAGTTGCTTCCTTTACTGAAGTCTTGCACCTGTCAAAATCATCACGATAGTTGGAATCAACTTCTTCCAAACTCCTGTTATGTTGATATTTTGGCTTCCACCCATGAATTACAATTGTTCTTATTGGTATCTAGATTGGTGAATAATTTTCAGAGGTATTCCATTTACTTTGCCCTAAACCAGCAGAGGAACCATTATGTATGGCACCTATAGCCTTATGAAATGTATTTTTTCTATAGTGATACTAGAAAGTCAAAATTACTCCTTGATCCATGGGCTGCAGGAAGGATGTTGTATTAGCAGGCATGAAAACAACATTTATCTCCTTATACATCTCTATCAGAGCTCTTGGGTGACCAGGTGCATTGTCAGTGAGCAGTAATATTTTCAAATTTTGAAAAGAAATCTTTTATTTTCCAAGGAGTAAATCTCAAGACTGGGTTAAATGATTCAGGAAACTATGCTGTAAATAAAGGTGCTGTCATCAAGGCTTTCTTACTCCATTTATAGAGAACACAGGCAGGGCAGATTGAGCAGGATCCTGAAAATCCTAGGATCCTTAAGAATTAGCGTTGGCTTCAATTTAGAGTCACTGGATATATTAGTCCCTAATAAGAGAGTCAGCCTGTTCTTTGAAGCTTTGAAGCCGGGCATTGACTTCTCCTCTGTAGCTACGAAAGTCCTTGATGGCTTCTAATTTCAACATAAAGCTGTTTCATCTATATTAAAAATCTATTGTTTAGTGCAGCTACATTCATTAATGATCTTGGCTAGGTCTTCTGGATAACTTGCTGAAGCCTCTACATTAGTACTTGCTGCTTCACCTTGCACTTTTATGTAATACAAATGGCTTCTTTCCTTAAACCTCATGCACCAACCTCTGCTAGCTTCCAAGGGATCTGCCTGCCTTTTTTTCCTGCAGCTTCCTTACCTCTTTCAGCCTTCATAGAATTGAGGAGAGTTAGGGTCTTGCTCTGAATTAGGCTTTTGGCTTAACAGAATGTTATGGCTGTTGTGATCCTCTATCCAGAACACTGAAACTCTTTCCATATCAGCTATAAGACTACTTTGTTTTCTTATCACTTATATGTTCACTGGAGTAGCACATTTTTTTTTTGAGATGGAGTTTTGCTCTTGTTGCCCAGGCTGGAGTGCAACGGTGTGATTTAGGGTCACTGCGACCTCTGCCTCCAGGGTTCAAGCGATTCTCCTGCCTCAGCCTCCCAAGTAGCTGGGATTACAGGCATGTGCCACCACACCCAGCTAATCGTGTATTTTTAGTAGAGACAGGGTTTCACCATGTTGTTCAGGCTGGTCTTGAACTCCTGACCTCAGGTGATCCACCTGCCTTGGCCTCCCAAAGTGCTGGGATTACAGGCGTGAGCCACCGCGCCCAG
Organism: Homo sapiens; assembly: GCF_000001405.40. Classification (NCBI taxonomy): domain Eukaryota; kingdom Metazoa; phylum Chordata; class Mammalia; order Primates; family Hominidae; genus Homo; species Homo sapiens. The sequence goes on from NC_000009.12 coordinate 13,337,840, forward strand.
CCTGGAGTAGCACTTTTAATTTCTTTCCTTTTTTTCCCTCTCTCTCTCTCTTTTTTTTTTTTTTTTTTTTTGAGAAAGGGTCTTGCTCTGTTGCCCAGGCTGGAGTGCAGTAGTACAATCTCAGCTCACTGCAACCTCTGCCTCCTGGGCTCAGGTGATCTTCTTACCTCAGTCTCCTGTTTAGATGGGACTACAGGTTCATACCACCACACCCAGTTAGTTTTTTGTATTTTTACTAGAGACAGTGTTTTGATATGTTACCCAGGCTGGTCTCAAACTCCTGGGCTCAAGGGATCTGCCTGCCTCAACTTCCACAGTGCTGGGATTACATGCATGAGCCACTGCACCTAGACTAATTTATTTCAAGAACTTTTCCTTTGCATTTAGAACTTACCTGTTTGGTACATGAGGCCTAGCCTTCAGCCTATCTATGCTTTTGACATACCTTCCTCTCTAAGCTTAATCATTTCTAGCTTTTGATTTAAAGTCAGAGACATTCTAATCTTCCTTTCACATAAATATGTAGAGGCCATTCTAGGATTATGGAATGGCCTAATTTCAATATTGTTATGTCTGAGAGAATAGGGAGGCCAGAGGAAGGGGGAGAGAAAAGGGGGAACTGCCAATCAGTGGAGCAGTCCAAACACATACACACCATTTATTTATGCAGTTTGCCCTCTTACATGGGCATGGTTCATGGCTCCCCAAAACAATTACAATAGTAACATCAAAGATCACTGACCACATATCACCATAAAAGATATAATATTAATAAAAATTTGAAACATTGTGAGAATTATCAAAATGCGATACAGAGACATAAAGTGAGCATATGCTGTTGAAAAAATGGCCCCAATAGACTTGGATTGACACAGTGTTGCCACAAACCCTCAGTTTGTAACAAAATGCAATTGTCTGTCAAGTGCCGTAAAGCTAAACACAATAAAGTTAGGTATTCCTATTTACCATTAATATAGCTATATTGTAAATCATATCTGTTGATTTTCTAATGTTATCTTTGCTTGCTGAAATAGACCCTACTTGATGATGATATATTGCCATTGTTATGTGAATACACTATTGAATCCTGTTTACTAGTCTATTGGTGTTTTTACATCTGTATTTATAAGCGAAGTTAGCTTATAATTTTATTTTATAATGGTTGTCTGTTTTTTATACTAGTCCTATAAAAGGAATTAGGTAGCTTTTATGCTTTTTTCCCTTCTTTATTTAAATCTTTTTTTTTTTTAAATTCTGAAACAGTTTTTATAAAATGGTGAGTTTATTAGTCCATTCTCACACTGCTATAAAGATACTACCCAAGACTGGGTAACTTATAAAGGAAAGTAGTTTAATTGACTCACATTTCTGCATGTCTGGGGAGTACTCAGGAAACTTACAATCATGGCAGAAGGCAAAGGAGTAGCAAAGGCATTTCTTACATGATGGCAGGCAATAGAAAGAGTGAACAAGTGAAGGGGGAAGAGCCCCGTATAAAACCATGAGATCTTGTGAGAACTCACTCACCATCACAAGGACAGCATGGGAAAAACCGCCGCCATGATCCACTCACCTCCCACCAGGTCTCTCCTTTGACACATGGTGATTACAGTTCAAGATGAGATGTGAGTGGGGACACAAAGCCAAACCGTATCAGTGAGTATCATGCCCTGATACTTAGTAGAAGTGAGAGAATTTGACTATTATTATATTGATTATTGGTTATTGAGGTTTCCTAAATTTCTTAAGTCAACATAAGTTGTTTTTAAAAACGCTTTCCATTATTTTTGCAAGTACATTGACATAAAATTGTTCATTGTACTGTAGTAGCACACTATGAAAATTTTTTGGTTTTGCAAATACTTCTCTTGGTTAACTTTACTAATTTTTTGTTGCATTGGCTTTTGTGAATAAATTACTATAATATATGTTTACTTGTCTGCTCATTATTAGTTAATTAATCTTTGCTCTGTTCCTTATAGTAGCTTTCTTATATTTTCCATAATTTTCCTTTCTAATTTTTCTCAGGTTTTTCTTTTCTATTTTTCCTATGTAGTTTTTTATTTTTTAACAGCAAAATATATATTCATTTTATAAGCATATGGAACATTTTCCAAGATACATCATCTGTTAGGCCATAAAACAAGTCTCAATAAGTTTTAAAATGATTAAGGTTAAAGTGTATTCTCAGGCCACAACAAAATAAAATGATAAATTAATAACAAATGAAAATTTGGAAAATTTACAAATACGTGACAGTTAAACAACACACTCTTTTTTGTTTGTTTGTTTGTATCCTTTTTTTCCTTCTTTTTTTATTATACTTTAAGTTTTAGGGTACATGTGCACAACGTGCAGGTTAGTTACATATGTATACATGTGCCATGTTGGTGTGCTGCACCCATTAACTCGTCATTTAACATTAGGTATATCTCCTAATGCTATCCCTCCCCTCTCCCCCCACCCCACAACAGGACCTGGTGTGTGATGTTCCCCTTCCTGTGTCCATGTGTTCTCATTGTTCAATTCCCACCTATAAATGAGAATATGCGGTGTTTGGTTTTTTGTCCTTGCAATAGTTTGCTGAGAATGTTGGTTTCTAGCTTCATCCATGTCCCTACAAAGGACATGAACTCATCATTTTTTATGGCTGCATAGTATTCCATGGTGTATATGTGCCACATTTTCTTAATCCAGTCTATCACTGTTGGACATTTGGGTTGGTTCCAAGTCTTTGCTATTGTGAATAGTGCCGCAATAGACATATGTGTACATGTGTCTTTATAGCAGCATGATTTATAATCCTTTGGGTATATACCCAGTAATGGGATGGCTGGGTCAAATGGTATTTCTAGTTCTAGATCCCTGAGGAATTGCCACACTGACTTCCACAATGGTTGAACTAGTTTACAGTCCCACCAACAGTGTAAAATGTTCCTATTTCTCCACATCCTCTCCAGCACCTGTTGTTTCCTGACTTTTTAATGATCGCCATTCTAACTGGTGTGAGATGGTATCTCATTGTGGTTTTGATTTGCATTTCTCTGATGGCCAGTGATGATGAGCATTTTTTCATGTGTCTTTTGGCTGCATAAATGTCTTCTTTTGAGAAGTGTCTGTTCATGTCCTTCGCCCACTTTTTGATGGGGTTGTTTGTTTTTTTCTTGTAAATTTGTTTGAGTTCATTGTAGATCCTGGATATTAGCTCTTTGTCAGATGAGTAGATTGCAAAAATTTTCTCCCATTCTGTAGGTTGCCTGTTCACTCTGATGGTAATTTATTTTGCTGTGCAGAAGCTGTTTAGTTTAATTAGATCCCATTTGTCAATTTTGGCTTTTGTTGCCATTACTTTTGGTGTTTTGGACATGAAGTCCTTGCCCATGCCTGTGTCCTGAATGGTATTGCCTAGGTTTTCTTCTAGGGTTTTTATGGTTTTAGGTCTAACGTTTAAGTCTTTAATCCATCTTGAATTAATTTTTGTATAAGGTGTAAGGAAGGGATCCAGTTTCAGCTTTCTCCATATGGCTAGCCAGTTTTCCCAGCACCATTTATTAAATAGGGAATCCTTTCCGCATTGCTTGTTTTTGTCAGGTTTGTCAAAGATCAGATGGTTGTAGATATGTGGCATTATTTCTGAGGGCTCTGTTCTGTTCCATTGGTCTATATCTCTGTTTTGGTACAAGTATCATGCTGTTTTGGTTACTGTAGCCTTGTATAGTTTGAAGTCAGGTAGCGTGATGCCTCCAGCTTTGTTCTTTTGGCTTAGGATTGACTCAACAATGCAGGCTCTTTTTTGGATCCATATGAACTTTAAAGTAGTTTTTTCCAATTCTGTGAAGAAAGTCATTGGTAGCTTGATGGGGAAGGCATTGAATCTATAAATTACCTTGGGCAGTATGGCCATTTTCACGATATTGATTCTTCCTACCCATGAGCATGGAATGTTCTTCCATTTCTTTGTATCCTCTTTTATTTCATTGAGCAGTGGTTTGTAGTTCTCCTTGAAGAGGTCCTTCACGTCCCTTGTAAGTTGGATTCCTAGGTATTTTATTCTCTTTGAAGCAATTGTGAATGGGAGTTCACTCATGATTTGGCTCTCTGTTTCTCTGTTATTGGTGTATAAGAATGCTTGTGATTTTTGTACATTGATTTTGTATCCTGAGACTTTGCTGAAGTTGCCTATCAGCATAAGGAGATTTTGGGCTGAGATGATGGGGTTTTCTAGGTATACAATCATGTCATCTGCAAAGAGGGACAATTTGACTTCCTCTTTTTCTAATTGAATACCTTTTATTTCCTTCTCCTGCGTGATTGCCCTGGCCAGAGCTTCCAACACTATGTTGAATAGGAGTGGTGAGAGAGGGCATCCCTGTCTTGTGCCAGTTTTCAAAGGGAATGCTTCCAGTTTTTGTCCATTCAGTATGATATTGGCTGTGGGTTTGTCATAGATAGCTCTTATTATTTTGAGATACGTCCCATCAATACCTAATTTATTGGGAGTTTTTAGCATGAAGCGTTGTTGAATTTTGTCAAAGGCCTTTTCTGCATCTATTGAGATAATCATATGGTTTTTGTCATTGGTTCTGTTTATATGCTGGATTACATTTATTGATTTGCGTATGTTGAACCAGCCTTGCATCCCAGGGGTGAAGCCAAGCTTTTTGATTTGCTACTGGATTTGGTTTGCCAGTATTTTATTGAGGATTTTTGCATCAATGTTCATCAGGGATATTGGTCTAAAATTCTCTTTTTTTGTTGTGTCTCTGCCAGGCTTTGGTATCAGGATGATGCTGGCCTCATAAAATGAGTTAGGGTGGATTCCCTCTTTTTCTATTGATTGGAATAGTTTCAGAAGGAATGGTACCAGCTCCTCTTTGTACCTCTGGTAGAATTCAGCTGTGAATCCATCTGGTCCTGGACTTTTTTTGGTTGGTAAGCTATTAATTATTGCCTCAATTTCAGAGCCTGTTATTGGTCTATTCAGTGATTCAACTTCTTCCTGGTTTAGTCTTGGGAGGGTGTATGTGTCGAGGAATTTATCCATTTCTTCCAGATTTTCTAGTTTATTGCATAGAGGTGTTTATAGTATTTTCTGATGGTAGTTTGTATTTCTGTGGGATCGTTGGTGATATCCCCTTTATCATTTTTTATTGTGTCTATTTGATTCTTCTGTCTTTTCTTCTTTATTAGTCTTGCTACCAGTCTATCAATTTTGTTGATCTTTTTTAAAAAACAGCTCCTGGATTCATTGATTTTTTGAAGGGATTTTTGTGTCTCTATGTCCTTGAGTTCTGCTCTGATCTTAGTTATTTCTTGCCTTCTGCTAGCTTTTGAATGTGTTTGCTCTTGCTTCTCTAGTTCTTTTAATTGTGATGTTAGGGTGTCAATATTAGATCTTTCCTGCTTTCTCTTGTGGGCATTTAGTGCTATAAATTTCCCTCTACACACTGCTTTGAATGTGTCCCAGAGATTCTGGTATGTTGTGTCTTTGTTCTCATTGGTTTCAAAGAACATCTTTATTTCTGCCTTCATTTCGTTATGTACCCAGTAGTCATTCAGGAACAGGTTGTTCAGTTTCCATGTAGTTGAGCGGTTTTGAGTGAGTTTCTTAATCCTGACTTCTAGTTTGATTGCACTGTGGTCTGAGAGACAGTTTGTTATAATTTGTGTTCTTTTACATTTGATGAGGCCGGGTACTCCTCTGAGACAAAATTTCCGGAGGAACGATCAGACAGCAACATTTGCTGTTCACCAATATCCGCTGTTCTGCAGCCTCCGCTGCTGACACCCAGTCAAACAGGGTCTGGAGTGGACCTCCGGCAAACTCCAACAGACATGCAGCTGAGGGTTCTGACTGTTAGAAGGAAAACTAACAAACAGAAAGGACATCCACACCAAAACCCCAGCTGTACGTCACCATCATCAAAGACCAAAGGTAGATAAAACCACAAAGATGGGGAAAAAAACAGAGCAGAAAAACTGGAAACTCTAAAAATCAGAGCACCTCTCCTCCTCCAAAGGAACGCAGCTCCTCACCAGCAACAGAACAAAGCTGGATGAAGAATGACGTTGACGAGTTGAGAGAAGAAGGCTTCAGATGATCAAACTACTCTGAGCTAAAGGAGGAAGTTCGAACCCATGGCAAAGAAGTTAAAAACCTTTAAAAAAAAATTAGACGAATGGATAACTAGAATAACCAATGCAGAGAAGTCCTTAAAACACGTGACGAAGCTGAAAACCAAGGTACGAGAACTACGTGACAAATGCACAAGCTTCAGTAGCTGATTCGATCAACTGGAAGAAAGGCTATCAGTGATGGAAGATCAAATGAATGAAATGAAGGGAGAAGAGAAGTTTAGAGAAAAAAGAATAAAAAGAAACGAACAAAGCCTCCAAGAAATATGGGACTATGTGAAAAGACCAAATCTACATCTGACTGGTGTACCTGAAAGTGACAGGGAGAATGGAACCAAGTTGGAAAACACTCTGCAGGATATTATCCAGGAGAACTTCCCCAATCTAGCAAGGTAAGCCAACATTCAAATTCAGGAAATACAGAGATCGCCACAAAGATGCTCCTCGAGAAGAGCAACTCCAAAACAGATAATTGTCAGATTCACCGAAGTTCAAATGAAGGGAAAAATGTTAAGGGCAGCCAGAAAGAATGGTCGGGTTACCCACAAAGCGAAGCCCATCAGACTAACAGTGGATTTCTCGACAGAAACTCTACAAGCCAGAAGAGAGTGGGGGCCAATATTCAACATTCTTCAAGAAAAGAATTTTCAACCCAGAATTTCATATCCAGCCAAACTAAGCTTCATAAGTGAAAGAGAAATAAAATCCTTTACAGACAAGCAAATGCTGAGAGATTTTGTCACCACCAGGCCTGCCCTAAAAGAGCTCCTGAAGGAAGCACTAAACATGGAAAGGAACCAGCCACTGCAAACACATGCCAAATTGTAAAGACCATCGAGGCTAGGAAGAAACTGCATCAACTAATGAGCAAAATAACCAGCTAACATCATAATGACAGGATCAAATTCACACATAACAATATTAACCTTAAATGTAAATGGGCTAAATGTTCCAATTAAAAGACACAGACTGGCAAATTGGATAAAGAGTCAAGACCCATCAGTGTGCTGTATTCAGGAGACCCATCTCACATGCAGAGACACACATAGGCTCAAAATAAAGGGATGGAGGAAGATATACCAAGCAAATGGAAAACAAAAAAAGGCAGGGGTTATAGTCCTAGTCTCTGATAAAACAGATTTTAAACCAACAAAGATCAAAAGAGACAAAGAAGGCCATTACATAATGGTAAAGGGATCAATTCAACAAGAAGAGCTAACTATCCTAAATATAAATGCACCCAATACAGCAGCACCCAGATTCATAAAGCAAGTCCTTGGAGACCTAGAAAGAGACTTAGACTCCCACACAATAATAATGGGAGACTTTAACACCCCACTGTCAACATTAGACAGATCAATGAGACAGAAAGTTAACAAGCAAATCCAGGAATTGAACTCAGCTCTGCAACAAGCGGACCTAATAGACATCTACAGAACTCTCCACCCCAAATGAACAGAATATACATTCTTCTCAGCACCACACCACACCTATTCCAAAACTGACCACATAGTTGGAAGTAAAGCACTCCTCCTATATAGTTTTTAATTTCCACTTTGACATATATCTGATTTGTGGATGAGATTTATAGTTTCTAAACAATACATTTTACATTTAAAAAATTAGTTATGATTTAATTGCAGTAATGACCAGATACTTTTTTCTACCCAACTTCTCCCATAATATTGTTCACTTTGTATTTTACTGCCCCTATAATATTTTTATTTTATAGTAAATAATTATCTTTTTCATGTATTTTCTCTATTATTTTAGAACTTTAATTTTGTGATTTTGCACATCTGTTTCAAAATTCAAAATGTACAAAAGGTTCTTTGGTAAATTTCTCTATCATTCTTTTAGCTCTCCAGTTCCCTTCTCCTCTGGAGGTCCCAATCTTGTCAATTTCTTGAATAGAAGGAGGTAGTTAAGCAGGAAAATGTGTTCCAATAAAAACCCAAAACACATGTCAATTTGAGCAGAGAAAGACCCTATATGCAGTTAATAGTGCCCAACTTACAGGGACGTCAAGATTAACTGAGATATTAAAGCACTTATGATCACTGGGGCACAATAAATTCTCAGCCCATTGGAAAAATATAAACATATTTGTTTTGATTATTTATTAATGCCATTTGAGGCTGGATAGTAGCTAAGAATATAGACTTAGGGAAATTCATTTATTTAATTAATAAAACTAATAGATACAATAAAATAAATAAAAGTTAAATAAGATACTCCTGGATTAGAGTCCCTCTGTTGCCATTTTTTAACTGTTGTGATGTTAGACAAGTCATTTTAACCTCTAAGATTTTCAGATTTACCTCCTATGATACAGGCATCATAATAATACTTAACTATTAGAATACTGCCAATTAAATGAAATCATGGATGTAAAGAATGTATACATCTAAATCATTGTATTGTCTTGAATATAATAAGCACTCAATATGTATATTATTATTATCTTATTGTGGTAGTAATTAATGATACAATTTTAAAATTGTATTTCTTTGGGAGGGCCAGTAATTTTTTCAGTTTAGACTGGAAAGATAGATTGGCTGTAGACAAGACATTTTAAAAATTGACAGGAATGTGACTCTCCTAGCCTTAGGCCGTAGGAATATTTATATTCAATTAGTTTCTTGGGTGTTATTACACTTTAAAAATGCAAAATATATTTGTGTCCATTTTACAGAAAAAGAAAATAGAGCTGCCTAAATATTAGATGGTCAATCTATGGATTCCTAGGGGACCTCAGAGATCAAGGGAATCACAGCCATGTTACTACATACTGCCTTATTTAACTTTCTATTTCTCCTCATCACCAGCTCCAGGCAAGACCACAGATTTAAGTTAAGCATATAATGGATGGGAGAAGGCAGGAGTAGGTGGGGAAGACTGATCTGGGTAGGAGGTAGGCTGATTGCCAGATTCCCCAGGGTGATACGGAAAGTTTTTATTATAATTTAGTAGAAAGTCTTATGCCAAAAGTGTTTCCATAAATAAATACAAATGTTGGTTCTTGTTGAAAAATGCAAATCAGATGGTTTCAATGCTTTAAACCTTACTTGGAATACCTTAAATAACAAGCACAAACATTTACGTGTGTACATATATACATTTAAATGTATACCAAATTAGGCACGTAGAAAATGTATTAGAAAATCTATTATAACAGACCCCCACCAGCGTCCTGACATCAGGCTGAAATGCAAATCAAATAATGCAACCCTGGAAGCACTGCAGGAACTTTCATCACCACAGTAAGTATTCATTAGACCTTTCTTTAGGTTGTATTTAAACAATCGCAGCCAAAGGCAGACAGAAATAAACATCTGGTCTGTCTGGCTGTATCATTCCTATTCCAAAATATTAATCTTCTACTTAGAGGACATCAAAACAAACTTGGGCAGATTAAATATGCCAGTATCTGATCCAAAGTCTGACTGTTCTATATGAAGTAGAACTGATCTGATGTTTTTTCTTGACAGCTGAAGCACATATTACAAGGCTTTCTTAGAACTAGGATGTTGGCGTAAACTATAGGGACCTGGTGGTTGAGTTGAACTAAGATTGTCCATTCCTCATAAAACATCTGTAGAATATTTGGGTATTACTTGAGTGGCATAGATGATGAACATATATAGTTTCCTTTATTAAAGCTTTCCTGACAAAATCAAAATATTTTCTAAGCTATGGTGGCCAATTTGCTTCTAGATAATGAATTCCTGGGAAAGAAAAACTGTATTCTAAGACTATTGGCTAGTCTATCAAATTGCAAACTTTTCCAAATATAAGGTAGATTGAGGACAGATTTCATATTTAAATTATAAATCATCATTGAACATTTTTATTGATAAGTAAAGAGAATGTCAATAGTAACAATAACTATAGTGATTATCATTATTATGTGCCCCATAATTCACACATCTTATTATAAAAAATACATATATATTGCAAAAATACATTATAAAATATAATACGCCCTTTAAGTAGTTTCGTCATTAAGTGACTTGGAGGTGGTTGGAGACTTAAGTAGTGGCTAAGATGGAACTTAAAAGCAGGTCCCATGTTCTGCCTTAAAAAAGTTCTGGGCATGGTGGCTCATACCTATAATCCCAGCATTGTGGGAGGCCAAGGCTGGAGGCTCATGTGAGGCCAGGAGTTTGAGAATATCCTGGGCAACATAGTGATACCCTGTCTCTACAAAAAATAAAAAACAATTATCTGGGTGTGGTGGTGCACATTTGTAGTCCCAGCTACTCAGGGGCTGAGGTGAGATGATTGCTTGAACTCAGGAATTTGAGGCTGCAGTGAGCTATGATTGGGCCACTGCACTCCAGCCAGAGAAAAACCCTTTCTGAAAAAGAAGATGAATAAATAAAAGAGAAGAACAAGGAGGAGGAGAAGGAGAAGGAGAAGAACAGGAGGAGGAGGAGGAAGAGGAAGAAGAAGTGGCGGTGGAGGAGGAGGAGGACCTCTTTTTCTGATTGGGAAATGATGACTTATATTTTAAAATTAAATGAAGGACTTAATAAAATGGCATATTATGACCCATAGACAACTTTTGAAAGCTGAGAATGAGGTAAATAATGACTTCAAATCTACTAGTTTATGTAACTCTTCCACAATTTGACTTTGGTTAAGAGTGTTCCAGTGAAGCACTTGAATAGGTTTGTAGAAACTCTCATTGCCACAAATGGAAAAAATAGTCCAAATGCATATTTTAATAACAGCAGTTATGTAAGTGAAAGATTACATGATTAATTTGTAAATAAACACTATTCATTTATGAGTAGATAAATTATGAATAGATAAACCACATTGTGCTAGGTGTAGGTGGTAGGGATGAATAAGGTATTTTGTCTGCCCTCAAAGACTGCATTCTAGTAAAATGAAGTGGGACTGAATATGCTCACCTTATGCCCAGGAGCCAGGTATATATGAATGGCAATGCACTTAGAGATCGTATGATGCCTTTGGTACTGGAATCTGTAAAAGTTTTCGTGAATGGTAAAGCTGGATTTAACATTTACTAGGTTAACAGTAGAAGCAGCAGCATGCCAGGGCTGCCACTGGGCAGGTAACTAACACTGGAGGAAGTACATGATCTCAAAAAGCACCTCTGGATGTAAACTTGATGAAAGGTAATGACAAGAGGAGAACAGAGCTATACGAGTTCAGGGACAAATCAAAGGACAGAAATCAAACCCATGGTGGAACTGTTGGGAATTCTAATCTCTCAGTGGGCACAGAAAAAAAATCAGATGTTGGAGGTTCTGGGATAAAGAGTCAGAAATTAGATGGGTGGTTGTATGCTGTGTTAGTTGCACATGTGGTCTCTTATCAGGAACATGGATTTATTGTATTATTATAATATAAGATATATATTATAATTATTATCGTTCAAAGGAAACTGGAGCCAATAAATCACCATGGAGATATCTCCAGAGTGTTTGCAGATAGGGCAAACTCAGCTGGCTGACTTAGCTACAAACCATGCCCCCTTCTCTCACCAGGCATCCTGAGGGCCAGAGGCACTCAATATACACAGAAGACACTAACCCAGTCATTTTCAATCCTAACTTCACCTAAGTGTCACCTGGGGAATTTTAGACACATACCAATATAAAGGTCTGTTCCCCAGAGATTCTGAATTTGGGATGGGGCCTAGGCATTGGCAGTTTTTAAAAAATAAATAAACTTTTTTTTTTAGAGTGGTTTTAGGTTCATAGCCAGATTGAATGGAAAAAACAGAGCATTCCCGTATAGCCCCTGTCCCCCCCACACATGCAGCTTTCCCCTCTATCAACATCCTGCACCCATGGTACATTTGTTATGATCAATAAACCTACATTGACATACCATTATCACTTGAGGTCCATAGTTTATATGAGGATTCACTCTTGGTGACGTATATTCTATGGGTTTGGACAAATGTATAATAACATAAATTCACTTTCATAGTATTGTACAAATTGGCAGTTTTTATTTATTTATTTATTATTTTTTTGAGATAGAGTTTTGCTCTTGTCCCCCTGGCTGGAGTGCAGTGGCACGATCTCGGTTCACTGCAACCTCTGCCTCCCGGGTTCAAGTGATTCACCTGCCTCAGCCTCCCGAGTAGTTAGGATTACAGGCGCATGCCACCACGCCTGGCTAATTTTTGTATTTTTAGTAGAGACAGGGTTTCACCATGTTGATCAGGCTGATCTCAAACTCCTGACCTCAAGTGATCTGCCTGCCTTGGCCTCCCAAAGTGCTACGATTACAGGCGTGAGCCACTGTGCCCGGCCAGACTGGCAGTTTTTAAAAAGGCTTCCTTGGCGAACCACTGCATCAGCAGCAAGCAGCCACAAAGACATGGTATCCAGAAGCTGCTCTATGATACTGCCCATAAAATTACCCTGGATGCCTCACCCCCCAGGAACTTTAATATTTAGACAAAAGCAAAAGAATATTTCTGAAACTCTGCTGACGAGTAGAGGAAACACTGACTTGCTATAAAGATGTCACTGTTCACGGGCAGGAATGGGAGCAACCTACAGAGGCTGAAATGTTCCCAACAGCCTCAGGGCCAGAACTTGGCTGGAAAGAACTTATTAATAACACACTTCCATTTTGTGTGATAATGGAAGGAGAGGATGATTGGGACCCAAGACAGATTTGGTTTAGAATCCTTTGTCAAGGTCTATTATCTTGAACAAAGCATCTGAATTCTCCATTTCTCAGATTCTTTTTTTTTTTTTTTTTTTTTTTGAGACGGAGTCTCACTCTGTTGCCCAGGCTGGAGTGCAGTGGCATGATCTTGGCTCACTGCAAGCTCTGCATCCTGGGTTCACGCCATTCTCCTGCCTCAGCCTCCTGAGTAGCTGGGACTACAGGCACATGCCACCACAGCTGGCTAATTTTTGTATTTTTAGTAGAGATGAGGTTTCACTGTGTTAGCTAGGATGGTCTCGACCTCCTGACCTCGTGATTTGCCCACCTCAGCCTCCCAAAATGCTGGGATTACAGGCGTGAGCTCACCGCGCCCAGCTCAGATTCTTTATCTGAGAAATAGAGATGGTAGTAGCTAACTTGAAGGGTCATTATAAGAATCAAAGTCCTTACATCCAGCCTAGCACATTCCCAGCATTTTATGGGTGATCTATAAATGGGCTCTATTATAGTAATTAGTAGTAGTAACAAAAGAAGAGTATGTAAAGAGTTTTTTTAGTGGTGTAATATAAACGAAAAAATAATGAGAATTCAAAGGCAGGGAAAGCCCTGGTTGTAGAATGGGCGGGAAATACTTCTTAGGATTTTTAATAATTTATATGACTTTGTACAGAGGAATGAGGGAGAGAAGGACGTGACTGACTCATGTATTTGGGGAAGACATGAAATGGAGAGATGTGCCACGTCTAGCTGGCTTTAAATAAGGTCAGAGAGAAGGGACTTGGGTCATATTTGAGTAGGGCAGTCTTGAGCATTAACAAAAGGAGTTTGCAACATGAGCAAGTATGCTGAGAAAAGACCACATTATGAACAGGGAGTATACAGAACATATCCAGGAGGCCCTCAGGTGACAGTAGGAGTGACCATCCCATAGATCTGCAATTCATGCAAAAGGCTTCTTTCCCCTTTATTTTCTCCCCAATTAGTTAGAAATACCATCTCTCATAGGCATCTTGGAGAAGAAGAGACATCTGGTTTTGCATAAGCGTAAGTTAAATGATTTGTGAAAATCTGTTATCAACAAAAATTACATTTCTTCATCATACTCAGCAAATATAACAAAAACGACTTCATGACAAATCCTTATTCTCTAAAAGAAAATGTTACTCGTATGTATATTTATGTTACCAAAAAGCTACTGAAATAAGTTAGCTGATGAAAAGAAAGAATTTGCCATGGCTAGTGAATTAAGGAGCTGAGAATGAAAATATGAACCGAGGATACTATTATTTTCAAATATCTTTAAGAATTAGGTGTACTTCATTACCAGTAGGTGTCACTGCAGGCATTAAACACGGTCTGTTTCTAGGGAAATTTGTCCCATAAATGTTGGTGTAATTTAACTGGTATAATATAGTTATGATAGGCATAAAGGATATTTATTCTGAAAAGCAATATATTTTATCATGGTCATGAACTTGTAAAAACATTGGCTTAAGGAAGCTATAGTGTATGCTTTAAATGGGCTTACTTAATACAATATACAGCATAAGTAATAGTCTCTTATGAGGTTTTAAATATATACAGTGGGTTTTCCTGGATAAGATAAGGTTGCTTTTCAGAGTTATTCCATAGAATCTGATTTATAGGACTAATTTAATGAGAATTCATAGACTCAATTGCTACCTTCTAAATCTTTGTGAAACTGACATTTTTTCCTTATATGTAACATTCTTGTAAGTTTTGTTAGAGAAGGGAAGGAAATTAAGAACTTTAACTGGAATTACATTAGTTATCCTCTTTTGAGTTTCTCTGGCCTTTTAAACATGTAGTATCTAGTGTCAGGAAGTTAAATTCACCAAGCTTTTTTAGAGAAACACAATTTAGTGGCATCCTAGCATCTAACATAGAGAAATATTGGCCATTAAAAAATAGTGATCTTGGTTCCCTTTCTACTGTGGTTTTAGAGTTGATTCATTTGTGCAATCTTGCTGGCATTGCTGAGTTGAACTTTTGAACAGAGTATTCTCAATAGAAACCCTTGCGCTTTAAAATTGATTTGCCTGTTGGAGGTGTTGGTGTTTCTTATTTATGCATAATTGAAGGGCTAGGTGTGTGAAAGTGCCCCTAGCGACTCTTTCATTTGTTCCATTTTACAAATTGAAACTGATAGTGGTGGTTGTGGTGCTTTTCAAGGGTGACTTGAGGGCAATCTAATTTACCTAGCTGTTCAAAGGTGAACTCAATATTTTCAATCATAAATTAAAAATCTACTCCAGTTTTCAAATCAGAAACAGCATAAATTACGTATCTGCAGGCCGTAAGTGTTCTTTGCCCTGGCTTAACTCCATTGATTTTACCAGGATAGACATTTCTAGACACTCTGTGTTTTAACATGTCCCTGTAACATCTAAAGTATTTTAGGAACACCATATTGCTTTCTTTTCTATGTATGCCAACAGGAATTTTATGAGCCCTTGGCATTTGCCTCTCTATGTAGACCCATCTATGAGAATATTTTCGACCTGTTAGATTCCTGGGCTAGCATAATTTGAACAGGGTTTCTCTGAAAGACATAATATTATGCACTAAAAATCTACATCATTGGAAAATACTTAGCAATATCAAATATGTGTACCTTCTTAACATATAACAATATGGTGTGCTAATTATAACATATAGACACTGCTCTCTAAGAAGCCTACAATTTAAACCTACATTATAGATCTTACAATGGAGGTAAAACTGATAGACAAAAATGCATGTCAACCAACTGCATGACACACAGATCATTGTATTTGTAGTGTTTAGAGTAGCACTCATATGTAAAGTTTGCTGCACAGTCATTGCCAAGTCCAATCTTCCAGATATCCTAAAACTTACACATGTACTAAATTGGGCTTCATAAATTAATATACTTCAATCATATAATTGTGGCAACTCATACTACTCTTTTTACTTTAATTCGTTTTGTTGGAATCTCTTTGGCTTTTATTGACGGCCAACATTGGAAATACTTTTTTAGGAATTTGATGTGTTGAAAGTAAGGATGTTGTTAAGAGTAATTATTATGTTTCATGGCGCTTCAGCCTTCAGTCTTCACATCAATACTGGCTTGCTTCTCCTGAGCTCTTTATAATTATTTTTATTTAGTTTTATACACACTGACATGTTTAATAACCAGATTTCTCTCTTCCCCCACATCCCCAAACTTTGGCTCTTAAGAAAGCACAGAACCCAAACTATGGTCCTACAGCAAGTAATGGTTTTTATGGTTTACATTTTTATAATAATCTCATTACTAAGAAACCATGGTTTGTTTTCATCTTTCTCACTTCCTTTTACTCCCATATTGCTTTGTATTATATATTCTTTTAGGCTCTAGGACTTTGGAGGACAAAGTGAGGAGGAGTATAAAGTAGGATACAACCAAAATAAATAGAACAGAATTTCAGGAAAGACCTATATTATACTTAAAATTCACATAACTAACCATATCCTAACACCTCTAGTTTACAATAAAGGTATCAGAAGGAAAAATAAACAACACTGAGATCCCACCACAATACTTACATTTTTATTCTGTATAACATTATTCTAAGAATTGAGTTTGTTGGTCTTCTGGGGTGGTGACACTCATACAGTAATTATATTTTTCTAGCTAATTTGAAAGACATGGTCTTAGGAACTTTTTGATTTGAAGCAAGAGAGTCTGTTCAACTAGCAAAGAAGCTCTTTAAGGTGAGAAATAATAATCCCTTGTTGGTGTTCCAGAATAGACATAGATATCTTAAATTATGATGAGGCCAATGAACAAAAATAAATAATGAATGTGATGGGAATTCAAAGCATCTTTGTTTTCTGATTTTTGTTTTGTTTTGTTTTGACAGCCTCTTGCTTGTTGCCCAGGCTGGAGTGCTGTGGCATGATCTCAGCTCACTGCAACATCTGCCTCCTGAGTTCAAGCAACTCTCCCACCTCAGCCTCCCGAGTAGCTGGGACTACAGGCGCGTGCCACCATGTCTGGCTGATGTTTGTATTTTTTGGTAGAGATGGGGTTTCACCATGTTGGCCAAGCTGGTCTTGAACTCCTGACCTCAAGTAATCCAGCTGCCTTGGCCTCTCAAAGTGCTGGTGTGAGCCACCTCACCGGGCCAGCATCTTTGAATTATAAAAACAAAGAATATTATTGAACCAGAAAGGAGTTACCTTTCTAGGTTCAGAATATGTCTTGCTGGTGGATGGGGAGAAGCAGCTGAATAGAGGAGATGAAGGTTGGTTTGGGTGGAGGAGAATGACTAGACAGAGTTCAACCAAGGAAGAATGACTCATTGAGGTCTCTTTCAGCATTATGGTTTTGTTATTTGATTTTGGACTCAGAGTATTTTGGCAAAAAGTGCTAAAGCTGAGACACGATATTAGTCTTCATTTATAGAGCACTTGGATAGATTTGGAAATGGAAACATATTGTGAACATAGAAGTAAAATATTTACTTTAGTAATTGAATGAGTAGTAACAATGATGGGGTAGGTAAGTGCTCTTAAAATTGAATCCTCATTCAATATTTACTGCCCCATTGACACACTGCACAATTGAATGATGGATTCCAAATAAGGACATATATTTTTCAAGTCTTAATAATTTTATATGATCAGTTTTTATTCTTCTTTTTATTTTATAAATTCACTGAAATCTTTTCAACCCAGCGTACATAGACTTCTTTTTAAAAGATAAAACTTTTTAAAACAAGGACTTAAAAAAAACCTGACATTAAATTCTAAAACAGTAAGTAAAAGAGTATTACATGTGCAAATTTGGGGATTTCTTCTGAAGTAATATGTTCCCACTTCTCTAACTTCACAGATGTAGTACTGTCCAAAATGGATGGTAGCATAAAGTACAAATTTGTTATTTAGACTTAGTTATCAAATGGATATAGGAGAAATATATTATTTTAAATTTGAATTTTGGCTTGATGTTTATCCCTTTAACATATGGCTGGGTTAAGTCATTACAAGAAATACAAGCAATCATTTGATTTGGAAGCCATGCATTTTCCAAATGACAAATGTCAATTTTCTGTTTAGTTGCTTTTATAAATGAGAAGCAGAGTCCAGTCTATTAAAGTGACTGAGACACAATTATCCACTAAATCACTGGCAAAATGAAGCTTGCATTCATCTCATCACAATTTCATTTCACTATATGATGGTTATATTTTTATATACTCGTGTGTCTACAACCTGCTCCATGAAAATTAACTATTAGCTGTAATAGAGTACTAGATCTGGAATTAGACAGATTTGATTTTAAATTTTGTTCTTCCACTTATGAGATATGTAATCTTGAGAAAATTACTGTATTTCTCTGGATCTCAGTTATCTTTTCATAAGGCCATTATGAGAAACAAATGAGAAAAGTTATGGGAAATGCCTGGCAACTTTCAATGCTAAACAAATGGTAATTCTTTTCCTCTTACTTTCTTAAGGATAACCGCCACAGTGAACTTTATCATTTTTAATTGAGACTTGTCATTTTGTAAGATTACATTGATGCAAGTAGAGTGTCAGGAGTCAAACCTAGATGGCTATTTTATCATTCTCCATATTGTATGTAGATTAAGCACTATATGTTGAGAGACACACATTAACTTTGAATCTAAAAATTCTCCAAAAGTATTTTAATTCACTTCAAAATCTAAAGTTTCTGAAGTTCAAAATGTACAATTAAAAACTTAATTATAAGTTTATTTTATTGCTCTCTAATCATTTTTATCTGACTCTAGTTCCTCTATCTCGACTGTAATGTCAGAGAAAGGGAGAAAACAATATGTTTTCTCTGACATCTTTCAAAGAGATCTCTGCATTCTTAGACTTATGGTTATACCTATATTTATTCTCAATAAATACCTGATGGCTGATTGTATAAAAACTTAATTATTAAGCCTGTAATAGTAAAAGAATAGCATTGAAGCTGGCAGTGTTATTTTTATTATTTTATTGTTATTTTTTGAGATGAAATTTTGCTCTTGTCACCAAGGTGGAGTGCAATGGTGCAATCTTGGCTCACTGCAACCTCTGCCTCCTGGGTTCAAGGGATTCTCCTGCCGCAGCCTCCCAAGTAGCTGGGATTACAGGAACCCACCACCACATCCAGCTAATTTTTGTACTTTTATTAGAAACAGAGTTTTGCCATGTTGGCCAGGTTGGTCTTGAACTCCTGACCTCAGGTGATCCACCCGCCTCGGCCTCCCAGAGTGCTGGGATTACAGGCGTGAGCCACTGCACCTGACCCTGACAGTGTTTGTAGACAGTCTGTATTTCCCTGGACTAATTGATTCTGTTTTGGAATTTTAAGGAACATCACCATATATGATTTCCATAAGCTTTACATTACTTAGTCTCTAAGGGTATTTAAGTAAACAGGATTAGATATGATTTGATTTGTGTGGCACAGAGGACAAGAATAATTCCTTGATTTTTGGTTTTGTTGTTTTCATGGTCTTAGGAATTCACAAAATCATTAGAAGGGAAAAGACAGTAGATTCATAGCAATACACTGTATTTTAACAAAATAAAGATGCCACAAACTTCATGCCAAGGGAAAGCAATGATATTTCTAGTCCCATTAATCTTAAAGCTCTCCTATTAATTTCAAGTCCAGGGAACTTAGCTAATACATTTTCCATTGATAGGCACTCTAAATCGCTTTCATATATATGCTATGGTGATGAACATTTGTCTTTGGAAATTGGGAGAGCTTTGGTGGTAAATAAGAAAAGTCTTCATTTTTTTCTTTTTTGAGGCAAACTGATGACTCTGAGAACTTAGTGCCTTTTTCTTTCTTGTCACACCCCAAAGACTTAGCCGATTGATTATTAGAAATTAAAAATGTCATAACTATATCTATCTTACAACCAACACAGTTAAAATGAACAAAATTAAATAGAAATTACATTACTTCTTGGGGCCCTAAACATTCCCCTACTCCTTTTCTCTTTTTTCCACCACTGGACCTTGCTATCTTCACTCCACTGTTAGCTCTAAAATGTTGAAACTAGATGATCTCTAGGCCCCCTTCCAGGCCTGATATTCTCTGAGTTTGTTTACCTATACATAATTTTTCAAATGTTTCATTAACAGCTAGTTGAGTCAATGTAGAATGAATATGCAGATGTTTGGCATCAGATGGCCAAACATCTGGATATTTAAACTTTTTTTTTTTTAGTTTTTAAAGGTGTTTAATTTTTTGAAGATACTGTCTGCATCTGAACTTCTGATTTAATTCCAGAAAGGTGGAATGTTAGTGCTAACCGATCTCTAAGGAATACTGTTTACCCAAGCCACACAGGATTAACAAATTAGAAAAGATTTCAGCCACTTTTCATTATCTTTTAATAGCAAATATCTGACACTGGTACCGAAGGCTAAATACTATTATTCGTTTTTGAATTTCTGCACATCTGCTCTCTTACTCATCATTGCCACAACATAGCTATTGAATGGGAATCTGGCTTTTATTAACAAAATTAGAGAACCTTGTGTGGTAGTAAGGAGGTAGCCCACCTCACACTTAACAGTAGTTGTAAGGCTCAAATACCTTAAAGGCTTTTTCCTTTATGTTGAAGTTCTTTTTCTGGTATACATAAACAGGCCTGCATACCAAAAACATGTAGTCACTGACTACATTCACTAGATGAGACTTGGGCCTACAGCCATACCACCAACAGACTAAACACTTGCCAAGGCTCACAAAGAAGAGTCAGGCCAGCTTTTTCTCTGGATAAATTAACTCTGAAACATCAAGTCAGGAAAGTAACAGGATGCAAGAATAAATACATTTCAGAGAGCTGAAGACTCTAAGATATAATCAGATTCTAGGGTCCTAGTCTGAAGGAGTGTCACAGAGGCCATGGTTTTAGCTAAGCTATTTTTTGAAGACTAACTCATGTAACCTCTTTCAACAGGGACATCTTTAATCTGTGCTTTGTGACTCTCCATGCAGGTTGCTCTTAAGAGCCTTTCTTACATTTTAGAAATTGGAATTTGTGTTTGCTTAACTAGTCTACCAACATTTCATCTCTTCTTCCTTCTATAATATTTATTTTATCCCCTGCCCTAAACCATGCTATTACCCCCAAAGATCTCATGATACTCCTAGACAAATTTTGACATCGATACATCTAGCTCTAAAACTCTCCCTGAGGCTCAGTTTCTTACCTATAGCTAGTTGGACCTCATTTCTTCAGCCATTAACACAAGATCCCCAATCCAAAATTATCCAGAAGTGAATAAACATGATACTTAAGAATTTTAGATTATTCCTAAAAATATTATGTAAAAAAATTACATTCAGATGTGAGTTGTCAATATTACTCAGGACTTCAGAGTTTTCACAAATTTAGCTGCATTAAACCTAACTGAAAGAACCACTTAGCTCTATTTGTCAGCCATCCCATTCCTGCCATTTTCACCACCATTGCCCCATGTTTGCACCTCTTTCCCAGAAGGCAGCAATAGCGTTATTTTTTGTTTATTTATTTATTTTTGAGATGGAGTCTCGCTCTGTTGCCCAGGCTGGAGTGCAATGGTGCAATCTCGGCTCACTGCAACCTCCACCTCCGGGTGCAAGTGATTCTCCTGCCTCTGCCTTCTGAGTAGCTGGGGTTACAGGTAAGTGCCACCATACCCAGATAATTTTTGTATTTTTAGTAGAAACGGGGTTTCACTATGTTGGTCAGTCTGGTCTTGAACTTCAGACCTCAAGTGATCCGCCTGCCTCGGCCTCCCAAAGTGCTGGGATTATAGGTGTGAGCCACCATGCCCGGCCATAGCCTTTTGATTGTCTGTCTACCTCCAATGTTTCCTTTCCAGTTCTCCCTGAATGCTGCTGCCAGGTGAACCATTAGAAGGTACAAATGTGGGCTGGGCACAGTGGCTCATGCCTGTAACCCCAGTACTTTGGGAGGCTGAGGTGGCGGATCACAAGGTCAAGAGATCAAGACCACCCTGGCCAACATGGTGAAAGCCTGTCTCTACTAAAAATACAAAAATTAGCTGGGTGTGTTGGCGTTGTGCGCAGCTACTCGGGAGGCTGAGGCAGGAGAATCACTTGAGCCACCTGGGAGGTGGAGGTTGCAGTGTGCCAAGATTGCCCCACTGCACTCCAGCCTGGTGACAGAGGGAGACTCCGTATCAAAAAAAATAAAAAAATAAAAAATAAAAGAAAGAAGATGCAAATGTGGCCATTGTCACTGCTTTCAACGACTCCCAGTTGCATTTTGATGGTGGCACCAATGCTTAGCCTAACATTAAGTCCCTCTGCCTATTTCACCTAAAGACTTTTCTATGCCACATTCCAGTAAAATTGGATAATTTAATGTTTTCTAAATATACTCTATGCTTTTATGCCTCTTGGTTAACCATTTCCTCTGCCTGCAAATGCCATTTCTGAAACAGTTTTCTGAGATTTGAACCCAAGTCTTCAAATTCTGATCCAGTCCCCTTTCAACAATTAATTCTATCTCTCTGCAAACAATTCATGTACACAGAATTAATATATTGCTAGGAATCCTGGTGTGGTAGACAGAATAATAGTCTCACAATGATATCCAAGTCCTAATCCCTGGAAACTGTGAATATGTTGCCTTATATGGCAAAAGAGACTTTGCAGATGTGATTAAGACTAAGGCTTTTGAGATGGAGAGATTATGCTGGATAATCTGAGTGGGCCCAATCTAATTACATGGGTACTAAAAAGTGAAGGATTTTTTTCCAGCTGCAATCTGATAAGATGACAGAAAAGGGTCAGAGAGATGTGACATTCCTGGCTTAAAGATAGAGGAAGGCTTCCAGGATGAATGTGACTTCTAAAAGCCTGAATAGCAAGAAAGTAGATTCTTCCCCAGAGCCTCTAGGAGGAAATAAGGCCTAGCTGACCCCTTGATTTTAGCTCAGTGATATCTTTGTCAGACTTCTGACCTACACAAATGTAAGATAATAAATTTGTGTTGTCCAAGAAGCTAAGTTTTTGGTAAATCGTTCTAGCAGCAATAGAAAACTAGTATGCCTGGGTTGAAATTCCAGAGTTTACTAAAATGACTATAAATCAAAGAAATTGGAACTTAAGATTTGTAAAGCTCCTTTCCAGTGACAAAATTGCTATCCTAGGCTAAGCTGTCTTGTTCCTACAGAGACCAAGATACTGCTTAATTAATGTAACAAATGAATGGGTACTAATGTACTAACCAGTCTTATCCCACAAAAACAAAATTTTTATGGGGGTAGGGGGATGAAGAGAAGTTAGTAAAGGGGTACAAATATGCAATTAGAAATGTCAGGCATGGTGGGACAGATGCAGTATAGATTATGGAAGTTATAGTCCCTGCTTTTCTGGCGCTTGCTATTATACTGCTTGTCAAGGAGAACAGACATTTAGGAAATAATTATAAATTAAATGAGCACTAAAAGGACAAGTGTGCAAATAGGGCCTTAATTAAAAATCAGAGAAGAGTTTTGGAAGATATGCTGTTTATGATGAAAGCCAAAGCATGAAGCAAAAAAAAAAAAAAAGAGTTTTCTTTAGTGAACATTCTTCTCCAAGAATATTTCCCCTAAAATATTTCTTCCTCTCTGAGGGCTGATTTCTTTAATGAATTAGCATGCCAATTGCATCACTTAAGATGTTTCAAAGACAAGTAACAAAATAAATCTAAGCAAATGTAACTGTTATTTTCTTAAGAAAAAGTTTAAAGGTAAGAGTCTTAGGATTGATGATTGTAACCATTTAATAAAGTTGCCAAGGATCTAGAATGTTTTTATCCTTCTCAACCATCCTCAGCTGGTTGGCCCTTCTGTTCCTATCTGTAAGGTCATGAGATTTCTGCTTGAACTTAGGACTCATGATCTGCTTCCAAATCTAGGAAAGAAATGGGGAGTTGTTTGCTTAATATGTATCTCTGTTTTTACTACGAAAATTTAATGAACATTCTCAGAAGCAACTCAGTCTCTACCCTAACCCTAAGAGTATTTCCCCTTCTATGGAAGGTTATAGCCAGAGTGTTTATAGTTTATATGATACTGATAAAAATAGAACCTGTTGGTATGTCGCTATAATGCAGCAGAGAATTGCTGTATAAAGTAGTAGGTAGACCCTCTAGGACCAACATGATCTCTCTCCTAGTGTAATCATATAAAGGGCTTCAGCCTACAGTGTCTTGGCTCCCAAAAACTGTTAGGTTCTCATCCTATGTGGATTGCACTGAGCATTGAAATTCAGGCAGGCTCCAGAAAGCTGCATGTACTCATTCTCTTTCATACTTATCTGGTACATATCGTTTGTACCACTTGTTTGCTGATTCACTAGTAAGCCAAAGTGAAAGCCACCTTGAACCAAGTCCACATGATTCTTCTCACCAACCTTTTAACCTGGATCAGTCCTTTGTCATTTGGCCTTGTCTTATTAGCCAGAAATCATATGGCTACCCCTCGCTGGAAAGAGATTGGGAAAATGGGTATCTGATATTTTCACTCTGTTGTACATCTGTACGGAAATTGACTGTTGGTTAGGTAACCTACAGCCTGTGAGACCCTATACATAGTTTTAGAAACCAATTAAGAAACATATATTCCAAAGGAAAGACCACCTTACTGACATGATAAAAAAGCCTTCATGTTTTTCATGAAAGTGATTTAAAATAAGTTTATTTAATTCCATAAGTATAAATTCTGTATACCACTTAATGTTACCTAGGTAAATTCTAGATCAAGTTATTTACAACTTATTTCTTTTGATAAGCCTGCTATAGGTAACCAAGACTTGGATAAATATTTATAACTTTATTTATTTATTTTGAGATGAGGTCTCACTGTGTCGGCCAGGCTGGACTGCAGTGGCATGATCTTGGCTCACTGCAACCTCTGCCTCCTGGGCTCAAGCAATCCTGCTGCCTCAGCCTCCCAGGTAGTTGGGACTAAAGGCGTGCACCACCACACCTGGTTAATTTTTTGTATTTTTTATAGAGACAGGGTTTCACTATGTTGCTTAGGCTGGTCTTGAACTCCTGGGCTCAAGTGATTGGCTTGTCTTGGTCTCCCAAAGTGTTCGGATTACAGGCTTGACTCACTGTGCTTGGTCTATTACTCTTTTATATCAAGGACAATGGATTATCAGTTTAATATATTTGACATTTAGGCAAAATCTTAAATATCAGCTGAAGAATTAGGTGGCTGTGGCAGACACTACAGCAGAATAGTGTGGTCAATTTTGTTGCATTTGTGTGGTAAGAGTTACTATTGCCCACAGAGCTTCTGTGTATGATTCCAGGATCTTGTATGCTCAATATTAACGAAGCTAAAGTCCATAGATGCGATGGGGTTCAGAACATACTACTCCAAAATATTTTAAGGTGAAGGAATTTTACAAAACACAGAAGCAGGAGGGGCACTCTCACCTTCTTCCACCCTGTCTCCCCTGAAGCAGGTCATAAAACCTAAGAAGATTTTCTGGCCTTCGCCTGAAGCAGGTCGTAAGACCTCATGTGAGAGGTACCTTCCCTCTAAACGTAGGAAAGGCGCATCCTTCTCTCTGAAGAGACGGGAACACAGAATCTGAACAAACAGGACCTGCTAAGTTCCACCCAGTTTATTACCATTAGATCATACCCGCTTTGCTCAGTCCCGTTTCTCCACTTCTTCATCAAACCCAGCATTAAGATACACAAATGTGACCAGGCGCAGTGGCTCACACCTGTAATCCCAGCACTTTGGGAGGCCGAGCCAGGCAGATCATGAGGTCAGGAGATCGAGACCATCCTGGCTAACACGGTGAAACCCCGTCTCCATTAAAAATACAAAAAATTAGCTGGGCGTGGTGGCAGTCACCTGTAGTCTCAGCTGCTCAGGAGGCTGAGGCAGGAGAATGGCATGAACTTGGAAGGCAGAGGTTGCAGTGAGGCGAGATTGTGCCACTGCACTCCAGCCTGGGTGACAGAGGGAGACTCCATCTCAATTAAAAAATCAATCAATAAATAAAAAACAAAACAAAACAACAAAAAAACCACACAAATTTAACTGATTCTTTAGGTCTCCATTTCCTTATGAAGGCTCCTGTGTCAACATAACCGTTAAATAAATTGGCATGTTTTTCTCCTGTTAATCTGCCTTTAGTTATAGGGGTCTCAGCCATGAACCTAGGATGAGTGAAGAAGATATATTTTTCCTTCCTTGCAGGTACATTCCCAATTATGGGTTAATTCCAGTCCAGAATAAGAGACAGAATAGCCTTGTGTATAGTCATATATAATTTTAGCTAGAGTAATTAGTAAGCATGTCTTAGTTCTTTTTCTAGATTTTTCCATGAGGACAGAAATGTTGTCAATTTTATTGTTGTATCTCTCACAAGGCCTGGGTTCAAATCTTTTCTCTATTCTTCAGTATTGATAACGACTTTTGGCAAGTTATGTGATCTCAGTTTCTTCACTGGTCCAGGAAGGTTTGTATGAATAACTGCCTTGAGGGCTGTGCATGTGTGTGTGTGCACGTGTAAACAGGACGTGCAAATTTATGTAAATAACTTAATTTAGTGTCACTGAGTCCAATAAATGCGAGTTGTTATTAATAACTGGATATATTGCTTAATTGGAAATTAAGGCTTACTTTTTCCACTAGCTACCTGTGTGTTCTCGGTTAAGACATTCAACTTTCTGGGCCTCATTTTTCATGTGTTAAAGGAGGGAGGTATGTTAGACTCTCTAAGTTGGCTTGCAGCTTTGAAGTTCAGTGATTCCCGGCTATGCCTATGACTTATCCCTGGGCATGCTGCAGTGGTTTGGGGAAAGAAAAAAAGCCCAAAACCCACCAAGGGAAAAACAATGTAGTCAGGCAATGTGGAAACTTCACCATGTAGTTTCATAACCAAATTCCTATTGTTTATTCCGTTACTATGGGCTGAAGACAAAATGCTGATAGTAACGGATAGAATATCTAATAAGTGGAAGGACCCTTTTAAGAAAGAGAACTTTTTCTCCCTCATGTCACGTGGAGAAACGAATCCTTCCATGGTGTTTTGTAAATGAGCTCTTGGCTATTGCTGGGTTGTAAGTTCCCAAGTTTAAGTTTTACCATTTATTGGCATCCAACAGAGAAGCAGAGTACTTTTATTTGGAAATACATTTGGAAAGGATTCCAGAGAGCCCAGGCAGCATTAATTGTACTCTAGTTTGGAGATTTTCACCTTTTCTGTGCGCTGTAACTAGCTGGCACTCTTCCAACTGTAATTTAGACTTACCATGAACTGTAGTTTTTTTTTTCTTTTTAAAATGTGCACTGTGATTTTTTTCTAACCAATAACTTCTTTTACTGTCATTCTGAATTTTAATTTTGTATATGCTTTTCTTATTTTCAAGCACTCTCTAACCTCTATATGTTTATTCTTAGGGAAAAAGTACATTTTATCCATTAATTTTAGTGATATTTAAACACTTTGGATATTTGGTGAATTTGGGTTCACTCATGGAACCTTTATTAATCCTATTATAAGCTTCCATCAGGATTGTCTGCTACCCCAACTGCTTTATTTAAATTACAATAGGAAATGCCTCTGAACTGTGAAGCACCCCAATTTGTGCTCTTTTAATCAAACAACTGCAGGCCACAGTGACTCTCATAGGGAACTGATTAAGCAAAATCAGGGTTCATTTGGGCAGAAGTTTTATTTTCAAGAAGACAAGAGAGTAGACAACTCTATGTGCAACCTTATCTTACAGCTATCTAAATATTATGACCAAATGATCTAGGTTGTAATCAACCAGGTATTTGCACAAACATCATTTGTATGAACTAGTAATCAGCCAGATGTACTTTGTGGTCTTCAGATTCAATTTATTAAATGGACAATTATTTTGTTGTTGTTGCAAGAGAGTCATTCTGCTCCAGGAACAAAGATGAGTAGGAGTGATATTGACCTAGAAAATCAGATCCAAGTTCAAATTCTTATTCTGTTTATGTGCACTAATGATAGTGAAAAACGTTTGGTTACTTTAAAAAGAAAAACAAACTAATAAAGGACTCCACCTTGGAAGAGTAAGAGAAGAAATGTATGTAGTTATCAAACACAACAAAGTTAAAAGAAAGGCTATATTTTGGTGGGCATGGGGGAAGCAGTGTTTACTCCAGATATAGCCGGTTAGGACTGAAGACTGAGTCAAGGACTAGCATTTTTAATGGACTCTCTAGTCAAGATTGGCTCAGGAACTGGGGAGGTCATGACTGACGCAAAAGACTTCAGAGACTTCAATATCTGCCACTGAAGTCTCTGGCCCACTGGCGTGGTGGAGGCAAGAGTGGGAAAGTGGTAAGGCTGAGAGTATAAAGAGGAATAATCTGCTCCCTGTGGTCTCTTGAAGATTTATGGGAAGGCAGCAGATTATTCCTATACCAAGCTTGTCTATGACTTCCCCATTGCTTTCTTCTTAAATTTCGTGGTTTATTTTTTCACATTTAAATATTCAATTTATTAGACATTTACTCTTGGTATAACATATCCTCCATGGATCCAACTGATTTTTGGACCCAGTTGTCTCGATATTATTTTTTGCATGATATGTATTTTCTCAGCTGGATTGAGGTACTCCCCTTTTATATTGTAAATTCTTTTATGTATTTGAATTTATTTCAAATTCAAATTCTGGATTTGCTATCCCATTGTTGAATCATGTGCTATTTAATCACTGAGAGTATAAAATATATATGTTTTTAATCTTGTATTGCTAGTCCCTTGCCTATCCCCACCATTTCCTACTCTTGAAAGACAACTTTTTAAAATTATTTTTTATCTTTTTCCCTAGAGCTGATCAGATAATAGATAGACTGATTCATACTCATCATCTCTCCCCTACATTAGCATTAACCTAGAACATAGCTACCTTAAAAATTGAGAATTTCTACAGTGTGCTTTACCAAATGACAGATATGGCAAGAGGCAAATCTGCTATGAAAACGACAAAAACAACAAAAAACCACACAAAAAAGCACATAAACGCCCCAAACAGCTCTACTACTTGAGGGAAGTATTTCCAGAGACATAGAATCTGGATTCCAGAAAGTTTTTCTGTCAGAAGTGCGCTGTCATTCCTCAGCACAGATTCAGGAGGACAACTATGATAGGTAGAAATAAAATAAAAGGGGAAAGAATTTTCATGGTTTGGAGTATGTTAATAATTACATTTAAATTGTAAAGATTTGAAGCTACTTTTTCATGCAAACTTTTTTGCCAGTACAGAATATAAAGTAGTTTTTTGTGATAGGTTAAGTTTATCTGCACACTTATTAGTGTATGTAAAATATTTTTTCAATTGTTTCCAATTTCTAACATAACAGTTATAGTTTTAAAAGATATTTTAAATAAAAAATAACCTGTAGTCAAAATTACAAAAAACATCAGAGAGTTTACAATTTTAAAAAAGATTTTGGTAAATCTGTTTGTTAAATAAACTACCACCATTTTATATTTGACAAATCTAGATTTTTGTTTTGTTAAAGGCAAGGTACAGTTACAAGATCATAGCTGTAGCAAATGTTCTTTTCTATTTATTGCAGGCTTTTTTTGGCACTTCTAGAAAGAAAAGAAACAAATGGATCAAGCAATAATGCAAGAGAGATCAAAGCAATTCCTTCTGTCAACAGTAGCAATTCATGCAAATCTCTAAACACCAAAGGCTTTCTATAGCTAAAGAAAAGACCACAAGAGAGGATCATTGTGAAAATCACATCACACGAAGTGCCATCAGTTTCCAAATTTTATGTTAAAAGTATATAAGTAGATTCTGCTTAAAGACAACCAATCTTGGTGTAGAAGAAGGGAAATGGAATTCAGATTTATTGAGCACAATCTATGGTATTTTACATGCATGATAGCAAAACCTCATACAGTGTACTCCTGAAGGGTACAGTGGTTAAGAGTGGGTGCCTGAGCTGTGTTGCCTAGGGTCTGAATTCCCTCTTGGCTACTTACTAGCCATGTATCTTGGTGCAGATTATGTAAACTCTCTCTGCTATCACTTTCATCATTATAAATAGTAAAATAGGGTTATTGTAAATATAAAATGGGTTAATTTCTACAATGCATTTGCAGCAGTGCCTGGCATATAGTTCGAATTAAATGTTATCATTTCCACTTTACTGATGTGTAAACAGAAGCTCAAATATAAAGACAATTGCCTTAATTTATATATGTATTAAGTGGTAGAGCTGAGCTTTTAGTACTGGTCTGTCTGAAGCCCTAGTTAGTGACGTCCTCTACACCTTTGCTATTCAAAGTGTGGTCACTGAACCAGCAATCTCAGCCTTACCTGGAAACATGTTAGAAATGCAAAATCTTGAGCCCACTCCAGACCCAGAGACTCAGAATCTACATTTGAACGAGATTCCCTGGTGATTTCTATGCATATTAAAGTTGAGTGCTGCAGAACACACCACTGCCTAATCAAACCTCTACCAAGAGAAAGGACAGTGGAGATTCATTTGAACGTAATCTATTGCTTTAGAGACCTCATATATCCCAGGATGGGGCTGGTCTTCAGTACTCTTCTGCTCTTCTTTGTAAAGTATATTACCTACAGGCTAACTCTCAGGGCTGGCTGTGAGTTTGTCTCTAGTGTGGACCAATAAATACTATTCTCTCTCGCTCTCTCTATTTTTTATTCATATATATATATATATATATATATATATTTGTTGTTGTTGTTGTTTTTTGAGACGGAGTCTTGCATTGTCACCTGGGCTGGAGTGCAGTGGTGCGATCTCGGCTCACTGCAACCCCTGCCTCCCAGGTTCAAGCGATTCTCCTTGCCTCAGCTCCCAGGTTCAAGCGATTCTCCTTGCCTCAGCCTCCCAAGTAGCTGGGATTACAGGTGCCCACCACCACACCTGGCAATTTTTTTTGTATTTTTAGTAGAGACGGGCTTTCCCTACATTGGCCAGGCTGGTCTTGAGCTCCTGACCTCATGATCCACCTGCCTCTGCCTCCCAAAGTGCTGGGATTACATGTGTGAGCCACTGCATCTGGCCCCTATATGTATTTCTTAAAGGATTTAATTGGGGCTATCCAAAGATAGTTGTGTCCCATGGTTCTGAGTAAAATTCTACTGAAGCATGTTTAGTAAAGGAAATGCTAACAAAGAATGTCACAACCAGTATACTCGTTTAGGAGTAGTCTATGAAAGTAGATTATGATGCTAGATAAAATTGGGTGCAAATCCTAATTCTTTCGCTTAAAATTTTTCTTTAAACTGTTTATGTAACCTCTCTGAAGCTTCATTTCCTTGTTTTTAAAAATTGTGGTATTAATAGGTACATCTTTGGGTTGAAAGGATCAAAGAAAACAAAGGTATGAGAAAGCACCTGGTGCACAGTAAGCGCTCAATAAATGTAAAACAAACATGAGCAAACCCTGACCTATGGCAGGAAGTTTTCTATCACTGTTAAGGAAATTTTTGCAGAAGAACCATTACATTTAAAGGAATGTCAGACAATGTCCGCTCCTCATGGAATGCAATGAGTTACAAACTGTACTTAAAAGAACATCTTCTATACTTAAAGTTTAGGCAATTGCTTTTATGTGAAACAAGCCCCAGGAGGGCTCTGTTTCTTAGAATCATCAGTTTCATTTTAGTCTGCACAAACATTTCATAGGAGAATTATCATTAGGGAATTGGAAAAAATATGTCCTTTTCATCATGTGATTTCTTTTTAAAAAAAGAGTTGCTTCCATCTTGTAAGGAATGTTAGTTTTATATCAGAACTCAAATTTTTACATGGGAACAAAGCCCTAATTTTATTACTACAAAATGAAAAGCAATAAGGAGAAATTCGCTTTCATTTACTATTTAGAGAGCATACCCCTTCCATAAAGGAAGGTGTACCCGCATAGCAATAAAGGCAGAGAGCAGCATTGGTAAACCTCCCTCAGTTCCGGTTCTCAGGACCACAGTGAGCAATGCACAATAGAAATGCCTTTCAAGTTGTTGCAGCTGCTCTGCTCTATGGAGCACCCACTGAGTTAAAGGACAGACACTCCACATACATGGGAAATCCTCAGGGTCCAAAGCCTAATTAATTTCCTGAAATCGATGAAAAATGGTAGAATCATGTGTATAAAGTACATATCAATTTTGGAATTTAAAAACAGCTTAAAAGTAAATTGCACACACTTTATTTTGTTCTTTTCCTGTGTTCACACACTGCCTAACGATTCAACTTAAATGCAACCTAAACATTTTTGCCTCACAGTTTGGCTTCAGTTACTTCACAGTTTTGTGTAGTTTGGCACACTTGAAGTTGGGTTTCATTGTAATTTGTTGTTATGTAGGTTGCAATGTAGGCATACCATTTCTGCACATGTTCTCTTCATTTCTTTCTCTCTTCTAAAAGAGAGAACAATGTTTAATGAGAATAAAAAATAAATAGAAAAGGATCTTGCACAGTTTGGGGGCAACTTTTTTGATTTTCTGCTAAAACAGTTTTACAGAGACTTGGCAGACTATACAAATATGAGATTAGATTTCATTTTCAAGTCTTTCTTTCTCCTTAATTGAAGCATCCAAATATAAAAATGTCTAGGCATGGACATCATCTCTATAATGTCTGTCCAATTTAGAATATATATATATAATTTTTTTTCTGGGAGACGCTGGGGGAGATAATGCTCCTAGAATTTCCTTCCCTTTGGAAACCCTAGTGGAGGACCACATTTATCACTAGGAGTTAAGAAAGATCTAGTCAGAGATGCTGCTGCTGGTTGCTTCCTGTTTCATCCTGTAAAAGAACAGGGCTAATCCACCCCAACATGCTAGAAATATGTAAAAAGGCTCTGAGATATTTGCATTTCATCTCTAAATTCCATTCAGATAAACTTAATTTGCTTTCTCTATCATTGCGTGATAATTTTCATGACTTTTTTTTTCCTTTGGGTTTTATAACTGTTCTCAGCCTAGTCCTTGACTGCTTGGACTTGCTAGTATGATTTAACATCAGTAACCCTTTGGAATATAGCTTCCAGTACTTGTCCTTCATCTCTGTGTCCCCACTAGTACATCATATTTATCATAATGTGGCTTAGTGAATTAAAATGAGTCTGATGGAGAGAAGAGAGTGTGAAGCATTCACTTACCTTAGAGGAATAAACCTCTCATATTGTCTCACAGTAGGAGAATCCATATGCCGTGGGTAATTCTGAGACTTCAGCAATTTCTTGGTCCCCAGGACATCCACTGAAATATATTTATCAGCAATTTACTTTTAGTAAGAATTGGGATTTAAAAAAATTATTATGAGTACATAATAGCTATATGTATTTATGGGATACATGTGATGTTTTGATACAGGCATACAATGTGTAATGATCAAATCAGAGTAATTAAGGCATTTATCACCTCAAGCATTTATCATTTCTTTGTGTTAAGAACATCCCAATTCTACTCATTTAGTTATTTTAAAATATACAATAAATTATTGTTACCCGTAGTTATCCTATCATGTTACCAAATACTACATCTTATTTATTATATCTAACTGCATTTTTATACCCATTAACCATCCTCTCATTTTCTCCCCTTTCCCACTACCCTTTCTATCCTCTGTTAACCATCATTCTACTCTCTATTTCCATAAGTTCAATTTTTAAAAACTTTAGCTTCCACGAATAAGTGAGAATATGTGAAATTTGTCTTTCTTTGCTTGGCTTATTTCACTTAACATAATGTTCTGGTTCCATCCGTGCTGTTGCAAATGACAAGATTTCATTCTTTCTTATGGCAGAATAATAGAGAATTGTAATGCTTTCTTGAGCTCCCTCCTTTGTACAAAACTGGCAACGAACATTCCAATAACTGTCATGAAAGCTGTGAATCTTTCCTTTGCTCTGGGATTTGTGCTGGTTCATGGGGAGTTGGTAGGTGGCGGAGATCCCTTGAGTTTTAGAATGCAGAATTAGAAATCTATTTCACTGGGTAATTCCAAAGCACTCAGAGTGATGTAGGAGTTCCATAATGCCTCCTAAAGTTATCAAGTTTCCTGATTTTCTCTGTAACATAAAATGTGGTCTTCTTTGAATATTCTTGGGATGTCCTGGCTACATTTTAGCATGAAAATTCATATCTTATCAATTCTAACTCATCTGTATTTTCATATTTTAACCTCTCTGAAATGGAAAGTGTCTGATTGGTACATTACAGTTTGATTGCCAGTATTTTCTTGTTCTTAGTGGTACATCAAATCAATGTTCCAGTTTACAATCAAAGTCATCTTAGATTCAAAAAGTTACAATACACCTTTGTGAGAGTACCTTCAAAGAGCTCTTACTTTTCAAATCTGGAATTCAGTAGGAAGCACAGCCCTGGCTGTCTGTCTCTGTATTCCATTCTCCAAAGCAAAAAAAAAAAAAAAAAAAAGAAAAGAAAAAATAAAGGAAGAAAGTAAAATGATCTTAAAATAAATCAAGGAAAAGCACAAATACACAAATATTTCAAAAACATAACATTTCAATTTATTTTCATTTACTACGAGCTGTTGGTCTGAGAGCTCTTTTTCTTTTAAGCTTACTTCAAGTGTCTGTAATAAATGAGGTCTCCATTTGCAAATACTAAGCCATGGTAGTAAAAAAGCTGCTGAAGTATCATTAATCTTCGCTTCCAAGAAACAACACCTCCTGAATTGGATTCATGCATTTGATGTGATCAATTGTTGCAATAGTGAAAGTGTCTGAAATTCTGAATCAGCTGTGCCATGACTTAGTTATACTAGAGTCATGATATCATTAAACAAGTCATTGTTCCAAAGATAGCTTATACATTAGATTATCTTCAAATATTCACAGAGATCCTAGCATAGCTCTCTATTGTTTGCTAGGGTCCCTCCATATTTAATATTTGTTAATATCTGGGTTTGGCTTTGAGTAAAGTTGGGAATTATTGGGCATAACCACCTTGAATCCTTCATGGCCACTGACCAAGCAGTAATGGAAAATGGGAACCATGAAATAAAAATCTCATCAACACAGTGAAATCCGTTCTTCTCTCTATATATAAACCTCATGTGTTGGCTTTGGCAGCAGTTTGAACTTTGTCATTCCAATAAAGTTCCTGAAATTCACTGGATATCACTTCTTTTACAGGAAAACATCTGCAAGGGTATTTATCTGGTTATAAACAAAAATATTTCTTATTTTTTCAAGTGATCTATCAGAAGTATTTATTTATATTTGCAATGTACATTATTGGCCCATCACAAAAATCTGTAAACACGTACACATGATTAAAACATCCTTTATATGTTTAAAAATATACCAACTAGAGAAGCATCCATAATGCTGTCTACCTCAGACCATTTTCATTATACTGTTGAATCTTACTTAGTTGAAGAGAGAACAGCTTTTAAACTGTCTTTGGGGAAATTTAGTTAAAACTTTCCACTCAAACTTCATTCAGCAGACTTTGCGGTTTAAATCTTTGAACACACACACAATGCACACATACACACTTACATATATATATATTTAAGATGAAATATATATTTACATATATGTTTAAGATGAAACTTTTTCACATTTCTAACATTACAATTAGATGCATCTTACAATCAATGGTAAGACGTAGTTGAATTGGCAGTGTTTTTTTTTTTAATTTGAGAAAATAATGTGGAGTCTTAAAACTAATGCTATCTCACGTGAAATACAGGAGGTGATGATAACTACCATTTATTGCTTATGCGGTCTCAGGCACTGTTGCAAGCACCTTGCATACCTTATTTAATATTTACAACTACCCTACAAAGTAAGTATTATTAGATAATTTTTACAGATGAGGAAAGTAAAGCCTGGATAATTTGAGTATACTTGCCCATGCCACTAATTTTAAATGTTAGGTTTTGAATGCAGGTACGCGTGGTACCAAAGCTTGATCTGTTAAGAGTTGCTTAACAATACAGAGAATCAATGTAAAAAACACCAACTTACGTTCATTTTTGCCTAAAAGCCTGCATTTGGAAAGTATTGTAATTTCTGTATGGTACTCTTGCCATGACAGTAGAGTTAGATTAATGAGATCATCATTAGATGATGAAACTCATCTAAATTTCTGTAAAGCATCAGCATGTTCAGACAAAATAACTTGTCTTTCTTCAGTTCACATTTGCTGTGGATTTTCTTTAGACCACGCACAGAGATGAGCAAATATTCGAGGAAGGCAATGAGGAAAAGGGATCCAATTTAAGGGAAACCAAGAAACAGGCCCTGGGTCAAGAGTAAGGATGAACAGATTTGGATTCTATCGCAGGGACCTGTTGTCACTCTCTTGTTGTAAGATGCGAGCAACACATTTTCCCTTCCTGTGACTAGGTTTCTGCATAATACTCTCTAGAGTACCTCTCACGATTGTGAGAAAAAGTGAAATTAAGTAAGATAAAGAAGCTTGCAAACCACAAACAACACTAAATATATTTGGTATTATTCATTTCTAGTGGATTTGTTGTAGGTGTAACCATTGACCAAAAATCCTTTCATGCAGACCTTGAGCCTCACAAGAGAAGATGTATCTGGGGAAAGCAGAATTATGTTCTGGAAGCCTCAAATAAAACATTTTTTCTCCTCTGTATTTCCTTTTCGGCAGCATCAATTGAATTAATATGACTTCTACATATAGGCACAAATGTTCAGTTCTCTGTGAATAATACATAACTTGATCCCCAGCTTCACCACTTAATTGTGCCACCTTGAGCCTGCTACATAACCTCTCTAAGCCTTAATGTTATGATTTGAAAATGGGAATAGCGCTTTCCATGTAAGGTTCTTTTGAGAACTGAATGGCATAAAGTGCTTAGGATAGGGCCTAGAACACAATCAAGGTTTAATGAATGTTGGCTATTTATTATTTCCTAATCAGCTGCAACCATCCATCACTTTTTAAGTCCCACTACTGAGTCCATATGTGAACACAGCAATTTTGTTATGAAAGATGTGAAAATACTATTCTAGACACCATGGATGCTATAGAAAATAATTAAATACTGTCTTGAATAAATTACATGTGGTTAATTTCTGCCAACTTAATTATTTTGCCCATTTAATTCATCCAATTTGACATATTATAGAAAGCAATGAGCTAGCGTTTTTATTTTTTATAATGTATAGGCTGTCATTACATTTTAATCTATAAGAATAAACTTGGTCTAAGTAATTGTTTTGGACTAACCCCAAACATCATTCCTTTTTCTAGATGAGTCCTCAAGTTGACACCAGCAATTTGTCCTTGCAACACTGGTTGGATGCTCAAATATCATTTCTTCTATTTCTGACATGAAGGCAGCTGTTTCTGAGCCATTTGGAAAACTCCATTTTATTTACATGCCATGTAGTGTATTCCCAAGTCTGCTATTTTGCTGCCCATCCCAAAATCCCTTCCAGATGTTTTCTAAAAATTTATCTCAAATACTGTAACTTGGCTTCTTCTTCTCCTACTTACATTCTGTACTGTACCATCTTCATCTTTAGGAGGCAGTTGAGATCAAAGATTCTGGATCCAGACCCCCTGAATTCAACTCCTAATAGGCTTTATGACCTTAGGCAAGGTACTTCTTGTTAGTACTTCGATTTCTTCATCTGTAAATCAGGGTTCTTAAAGGTAGCAACTACTGTAGAGGGTAGCTGGAATGATTAAATGAGTTAACGTGGAAAATGTTTAGAATAGTGCTTGGCACATAGTCTACGTACATAAATGATTGCCATCCTGATGACTTTTTAAAAATAATCTCTGACTTTCAATTGTTGTGCTATTAAATTTATTCATAATTTTACCATTCTAATAAATTAGATAATATGAAGTAAAACCAAACAGCAGAGGGAACAAGTATAGAACACAGATCCAGAGAAACAATGAAAAAAACTATGATGAGATTGGAAAATTATGGAAGGTTAGATAGGACAATAATTCCAATAGATAAAAATAAAAAGTCTCAGAAATCTGAGGAGAGGTAACTAGAAAGATGTAATAAGATGTGTTAAAATAAAGATAGCTAGAAAAATATCAGTGACCAGCATGGTGATGAAAATATTCCTTGAGTGATATAGGAGGAGGAATTTCAAAGCACCAAGGACTAGCTGAATGCAGGGGGAGGTGGCAGCAGAAATATGGAACAAAAAAGAATGGGGAGTGGCAACTCTGTGAGGATATTGCAGATGAGTATGGGCTGGAAAGAGGAGAAGAAGGGGCCATAAAGAGGGACAGATCCACCCTGGAAAAGTGAGAAAGAGCTAAAGCCAAATTTCTCAGCAGATTATCAATAGAGAAGAAGAGCATGAGGCAAAGGACAGGCTGCTGGACAGGAGTCAAGACACCAAACATCTCTGTTCTACCTCTCCCAAGAACCACCACCATGACCTTAGGCCAGTGTCTTAATATTAGTGAGCTAGACAATCTTTAAGGTCCTAAGGTCCTTTTCATCCCTAAATTCTGATAATAATATATGTGAGAGGAAGGTTGGGTAGGTAAAAATTATATATGCCAGATAATTTTTGGTCTTAGGAAAATAAAAATCAAGGACATTTCTACATGGCAATGCAAAGGAATGAATTCTTATCACACACAGGGCCATGGATGAATCACACATGCTGAATGACAGAAGCCAGGCACAAGATCTTTGCACGATATGATTCTGTTCACATGAGGTTCAAAACCAGGCAAAACTGATCTTTGGTGTTACAAGTCAGAACTGTTACCTTCTGGAGATGGTATTGACTTGAGGGAACATTTTGATATGCTAAAGTGTTCTCTATCTTGATTTACATGGGGATTACACAGGTGTGTCCATAGGTCAAAACAATGGAGCTTTACACTTTAGAACGGTTGTACACTTCATTGTTGTAAGTTGTATCTCAGCTCAAAAGAAAAATAAGTGAAGCTTCCAATTTTTTTAAGTGAAAAATATCTGCTCGAGATGAAGAGTAGGGTGAGAAATTGAAGGCCTTGGAGCAAGACAATTTTTATGGGGGTGGTGCCTGGGTCAGTGAGATAGAAATGAATGAATTATCTCATAGGAGGTACATAGACAGTTTAACTACCTTATATGGCAAATACTATTATTGAACTACCATCATTTGTATTTAATTTTACATGTATATTCCTTATGCACTCATGATATATAACAGTATATATATTAGATCAATTATTGTCAAAATACTCTGCTAAGTGTCTTAATGCTTCATGGAAGATGCTAAGAGTCCCCATGGGGTAGTGGGGTGACCTAGCTCCCTGATTTCCTCTGCCCCTGAATTGGACAGTGCAGCCCTACTTTAATCTGTTTTATAAACCATGGTTTGGTCGTAAGAGTTAATACATAAGCAGGAATTCACTGTTAAAAATGTTTGAAAATATGGTAGGAATATATACATAGGATGCAGACTATCTATGATCCAGAACTTTATCAGAAAATTCAAAATATATTTAGGCTTCTCTTCATAATTTACTTCAAATGAAAGTTTTGATGCTTCCCTTTGGGCGTTTTAAACCTGAGGGGGTGTAATCTCTGTCCTCAAGTCATTTAAAAGCCATGACCAAAAGCCTCTCAAGCTGAGCCACAGTGTTTCTGATCTTCCAAAATTAAAGATTCAGGGTGGAAGAAGAGTTTCACTTTTTCTGTTTTGTCTATCAGTTCCAACTCCTTGTTCCCCTGGAAAGGAAAAACGTTGTATTTACTCTTCTTGCTGCCAAGAGAATATCTGCCTTTTTGTTGAGTTTTTAGAGCTGGGGTGCATGTAAAGAGAACTGGAGGGATGATGAGATTTTATGAGTGTTTTATGGAGTGTGTGTCATACACTAGTTCCTTATTTATACAGTTGGGTTGGGGGGAGGAAGGAGGTGCCTATGATGATCACTGTTATTATTATAATTCTAGCCATGTATCCCACCAACTGGAGTTTCCTGTTTTCACCACCTTTGACAACCACCTCTGCCTTCCCACCCAGCAGGTTCATTCTTCCGTCCATCTGTTCAATTGACATTTATGACACTCATCAGGCATTTGTTTTCATACCTCTCCAAATTTAAATATTGTTCATTCTTTTTGTGCTTACTCAGAATGCACATCCATCATCATCACAGTAAATTCTAGACTTTATCCTCAGTAAGGTTTCCTTTTCCAGGCACCTAGTGGATATTTAAAAGCTCCTAATCATGAATGTTGGCAAAGTCTTTCATTGTAGTCTGTCTGTGTGTGTGTGTGTGTGTGTGTGAGATAAAGAGAGACAGATATTTCAATGTACTATCTACCTTGATTAATAAAGCTGTCCACATCTTATATTTCTTCTTCCTTATATACCTTGATGTCTTTATGTACACAAACTTCTCCCAATAAATATATATATAAAATAGGTATTCTAAAATAGTTTCAATACCTTATTTTCCATTAAAAAATTCCAATGTGGGCCATCTATGTTGATGTAGCCCCTCCTTGACAACCTTACTATTTTAACTATCTCTGTATTTTATCTTTTGCTCATAGATTCGATACTGGCTAACCAAAATTAGGAAGAAAAATATCTACTTTGCACTTTTGTACCATGAATTATTTTTCACAAGATGAACATGGTTTTAATCTGTGAGAGTATAATTTATGTTCTAACAAGCAAGGAGTTTTAGAGGATCAGATTAGTGAAGCATTGAGAAGCTGGAAGAGCACACCACATTCCTGAACTTCCCACACAAATGTTTCCATGCACTTTAGTCTGTTCCAAAACCTCAGCTTTCCAATAACCTCACGAGAAGCCTCCTGCCATTATTCTTTCATGATAAGCTTTAGATATATTTATTTTTCTGTCTCACCTTCTGCATAAAATGGATTTAGAAGGACAGAAGGGGCTTCTAGAATTTATTATCTTTCAAAGAATTTATGTTTGTGGTTTTTAGCTGCAGAAACCTTTGTTTCAAAGAAAACATTACCCTAAGCCAAGCGTGGAAAAAAAATAAGTGTTCAGGTGCTCCGGGTGAATTAGGACAGGGGCCTGAAGCCCTGAGAGCGGGGCTCGTTCCCACCTGATGGCGGCCCTGGAGGGATTCTTCAGAGCAGTGTGAAGTCTACTGATTTGCAGGCATGGTTCTCAATTCTGGCTTCCCTTTAGAGCCATCTGAAGAGCTTTTTAAAAATGCCACACCCAGGCTGGGCATGGTGGCTCATGCCTATAATCCCAGCACTTTGGGAGACCGAGGTGGGTGGATCACTTGAGGTCAGGAATTTGAGATCAGCCTGGCCAACATGGTGAAACCCCATCTCAAACCAAAAAAAAATATATATATATATCTATATATGCTCCAGGTGTGGTGGTGTGCCGCTGTATTCCCAGCTACTTGGGAGGCTGAGGAGGGAGAATCACTTGAACCTGGGAGGCGAAGGCTGCAAATGAGCTGAGATGACGCCACTGCACTCCAGCCTGGGCAGCAGAGTGAAACCCTGTTTCAAAAAAGAAGGTCCCACCTTGGAGACTGTGATCTAACTGGTAAGTGTGAAGGGCCCAGACAATTGCTTTTGTTCAGGATCTCAGATGTTCAGGGTGCAGCCATAGTTAATGGCTGCTTTAGAGCTGTGCTTCTCAAATTTGAGTATGCATCAGAATCACCTGGGAGCTTGTTAAAATACTGCTTGCTGGACCCGACTCCCTGAGTTTCTGATTCTGTATATCTGGAGTGTGGCCCAAGCATCTAAATTTCTAACAAGATCCCAGGTGATGCTGATGCTGCTGGTCCAGAGAATACATTTATAGTACCACTGCTTTGGAGAAATGGTGAAATTGGCCAGGATTATATATCGCACCTGCTACAATCTGAAAAGAAATCACCTTCCACTGAGTTTGCTCTTTTCTACCCTTTTTGACTGGCAAAATATAATTATTATGTTTAGAAGTGCTATTACGGAAGTGATCAGTTATTTTGGGCAGGCATTTGGGATCTTAGGTTGTGGTTTCCTCTCTGTATTAACCCTCCATCCCAAAACCTGCCACAGTGTTTTCCTGGATGACCAATTACTCTGGAACCAATTTTTCAAATTATCAGAACATTGAGACAATACGTTGAACAGTCTTATTTTAAAATGAAGAAATGAATAAACACAATAGAGTCTGCAATGTGTGACTTATGAGTCCATGGGCTATGATGGATAACCTAGAGCAGATGAAAACCTGCATTAGCCTTTGAGAAAATTTTATTTTATTTTGAGATGGAATCTCACTCTGTCGCCCAGGCTGGAGTGCAGTGGCGCGATCTCAGCTCACTGCAACTCCACCTCCTGGGTTCAACCGATTGTCTTGCGTCAGCCTCCTGAGTAGCTGGGATTACAGCATGAGCTACCATGCCTGGCTAATTTTTGTATCTTTAGTAGAGATGGGGTTTCACCATGTTGGCCAGGCTGGTCTCAAACTCTTGATCGCAAGTGATTCACCTGCCTCAGCTTCCCAAAGTGCTGGGATTACAGGCCTGAGCCACGGTACCCAGCTGCCTTTGAGGAAATTAATTAAAGTATCACTCAGCTCTCCTGCTGCCTTCACATCTCTTTCTTACACTTTTACTACCTCCCCGACAGAGATGTATGGAGAGGAACAGAAAATATTTACTTCATGACCATCACTGGGCCAACCAGATTTAGAAAAAAAGAGTTCACATTTATAAAAGGATAAACAAAGTTTTGGGACTCAAGTAGACTTCCTACCAGAATATCTATTTGGAGGCATGGTGTAGACTCAAGTCACTTAGAATCATATAGCATATGAGATCAAGCTGAACTGGGAGGCTGGAGGCTGGGGGGTGAGTGGGTCATAGAGTCTAGGTACTTATTTCTTGTGATAAACATAGGTGTAACAAGGCATGTGTCAGTGGAAGGGTCCACCCCATGCACTCCTTCATTGCCTGCCTGCAGTGAGTGCACCAATAGAGGCAAGAGTTTGGAGAAGGGCTGATTGGCATGGGAAGGATTGTTGTTGACTATTGTGGATTAAGCTGTGTCCCTTCAAAATTCATATGTTGACATCCTAAGCCCAGGTATCTCAGAATATGACCTTATTTGGAAATAGGGCTGTCGTAGATATAATTAGTTAAGATGAGATCATTATCGTGGACCCTAATCCAATTTGACTGGAGTCCTTATAGAAAGGGGATATTGGAACACTGAAAGCCATGCACACAGGAAGAATGCCATGTGAAGATGAAGGCAGAGATTGGGCCGATGTTTCCACAAGCCAAGGAGCCAATCCTGCTGACACCTGCATCTCAAACTTCTAGTCTCCAGAACTGTGAGACGATACATTTCTGTTCAGGCCACCCAGTTTGTAGTACTTTTCTATGGCAGCCCTGGCAAACTAAAATACTGACCGTGATTGGCATGTTAGACAACTGTGCTGTGGTGGAAACCCCATAGGACCGCTCCCTGGGAACTCAGGCATGTGTCTTGTGAGGGAGCCAACATTGGCTAAGGCACAGAAGACCAGGCATGACCATCCAGATATGTGACAACCAATAGGTCAGGTCCATGGGAGCAGCCAGGAAAGAAACAAGCCAATAATAAATACTTGTCCCCTTCCTGCTCCCTGCTTCCCCAATCAAGGCTGCTGGGTCTCCAAGAGGGAGCAGGAAATAGCTGTTGGAGTCAGAACACATCACCTGTTTCCCACTCTAGGTATTCAGAGTTCCAGTTCAAGGCTGTTGGGAGCAAGGATGATGGGGACACAAGGCATGAGATTTACATTACTTGAGATGAAAATTTTAAACAAGATTGAATTTTAATTGTTCAAAGAGACCAGAATATAATAGAATTTACTCAAGATGTTGCTAAGGGGTGGGAAAGGGAAACTTCAGAAAGCCTTGAAAAATTTTGGCCAAAGAAAAAATAAAGTGTTTCATGATTATATTTATTCCCCTGAGAGTTATGCTTACTGGAACTGGGCAAAAACTAGTAAAAAAAAATATTATTATACAAAGCTAATATCTTGCACTTAAAAGTATCTTCTGGGCTAAGTGATTTGCATACATTATATTAATTAATCAATCCCTACAGAATCCCAGAGAGATATGGGATGAACTGTTATTATTACAGGTTAAGAAACTGAGTCCCATAGAGGGTAACTTGTGTTAAGGCCACTCAGCTAGCAAGGGTTAAGAGCGAAGATTTCAATCAACAAATGTCTAAGGAGACCCAGGAGGGCCTGAGCTCCCCATGGTGTTACACTGCCTCTAGATACTTTGTTTCCAAACCTCATTGCTTCTGCCTTCCAGCCACAAGTGGGCTTTTCTCCGGAACCTTCTGGGAAACGCTCACGCAGAGAAATAGTGCAGCAACTGCCTGTGACATGCAACTAAGAGATATGACTACTACAGACAAAAACACCCTCAAATATTGAGATGAATTTCAGTCTCCCTCAGAATTTCTGAAAACAGGTGCTCAATTTACCATTTCACCTGGAAACAAAATCATAATCCCAGTTCTAAGGACTAGTCAACAACCCACCCTGATTCCAATTAATATGGCCTTAGTCATGACTCAACACTTCATAAAACCAAGTTAGATTGATGTGAAAAATAAAATTGCCACACAAGTTAAGAAAAATAAGGCAGAATATAAAATTGTGCATACACCATTGTTCCAATTCAATTCCAGTAGAGATAAACAGATTAAAATATTAACCATGATTATTCCTTGCTGATAATGTAGTAACTTATATTTTCTATTTTATTCTTCTGAATGTTCCTTTTTTTTTTTCAATGAGCATGTATTTCTCTGCAGAAAACTCTATTGCTGCAAGGTGTTTGTAGCCACTACCAAATGCTTCAGCATAACAAAACATTTATCTTCCCAAATTTCAGGAAAACATTTCCTAGTCTCATCACTATTAC
Source organism: Homo sapiens (assembly GCF_000001405.40). Lineage (NCBI taxonomy): Eukaryota > Metazoa > Chordata > Mammalia > Primates > Hominidae > Homo > Homo sapiens. The sequence continues at coordinate 13,382,554 of NC_000009.12, forward strand.
TGTAACACATTCTGCCTTAAAAGTCATATTTCTGCCTTTCCCCATCATTTAAAAAATGTTGTATCTCCTTTGCCGCTGTTTTTATTAGTGTGGTCATATAGTATCCCATGATTGAAAGTGGGGAAGGAGACATTGCGGCTTTCATTTCATTTTTGGTGAACCAGCAAAAACAAGATTGATGATTTTTCCGTGTGCGTAAGGTATTCTTTCATCTTGTAATTGGTTTTGAAATATTCTCAAGTTCCACTCCAAACTCCACCCTCTGTGCTGAGATTTATGAGAAAATGAATTATCTGAAAGCTCTAAATAGAATAAAATTACCAAGCAAAAGGACTTTGCTGACCATCTAGTCCAACTTTTTTATTTTACAGATGAGAGAATAAATGCCAGAATGACTCCTCCACAGTCATTCACCCAGCAAGCGTCAGAACCCAGACTAAAACTCCAGACCAATCATGTATATGAATGAGGCTTGTATAGATACTTTAGCAGATAACAGTCGTGGTAATCAAATGACTTTGATTAGCTAATATCAAGGGTGTTTCTAAGGGAAAAATTAAGTCTTCTAGGAAAATGTCTTGAAAATCTGTTTGGGATTGAGGTTGAAGCCTTGAGTTGACAATGGTTGGAAGGAGAGAGAGCTACTCTGTTAGATGTAAGACAAGAATGAGGTGTAGTGTGGGAGCTGGAGACCGTTAGGCTAAAATGGCCAAGGAGATTTTAAGATCAGGGATGTTTAATATTTAATTTTATGCTATTCCAACAGTGGAACAACCACAAGCTATAGTGTGAAAAACCAAGGTTTACTACACTCAAGAAATCACAGACAGGAAGTATTAACCACTGATTAATTATAGAAACATTAGGGAGGAAATTGAGTTTCCTGTGGAGTAAATAAAAGAGGTTTGATACATTCATCTCTACATTTTTGGGTATGAGTTGTCCCCAGTTGACCTATGAGATCTAATAGTATTCTAGCTAACAGCTGTTGTACAGCCTTTCATGTGTCAGGTAATGGCATAACAACTTTTCACATATTTCTTATAATATTTAGAACATCTTTACAAACTAGTTATTATTATTACCCCTTATTTCTAGAGTACAACACACAGGCTTAGAGAAGTAAATAGTTAGATCCAAATGTTGCCTCCTCCACTTGCTACCTTGGTGATCTCAAGCAGATGATTTAGTCTCTGAGTATCTTCTGAAATGGGGATAATAATTATGTTCAGATTGAACATGTAGTACTATGTAAATTACCTAGCACAGTGTCTTCAATAGGGAAGGTACTCACTAAATGGATTGGTAAATGGAAATTAGGACAACATAAACATATATTTGAAAACATTTCTTAAAGGTTGAATGAGTCATAGTTAAGGGAAATATGACATAATATTCTCATTCTGTCTTCAAACATAAGTGATGAAGATGTATATTGAATGATATGGTTTGGCTGTGTCCCCACCCAAATCTCATCTTGAATTGTAAATCCCACAATTCACAAATGTCATGGGAGGAACCTAGTGGGAGATGATTGAATTTATGGGGGTGTGTCTTTCCTGTGCTGTTCTCATGATAATGAATGAGTCTCAGGAGATCTGATAGTTTTAAAAACAGGAGTTTCCCTGCGCAAGCTCTTTTTGCCTGCCACCATCCATGTAAGACATGACTTGCTCCTCCTTGCCTTTCACTTTCTGCCATGATCTTGAGGCCTCCCCAGCCATGTGGCTCTGTAAGTCCAATAAATCTCTTTATTTTGTAAGTTGCCCAGTATCAGTTATGTCTTTATCAGCAGTGTGAACATGGACTATTACAGAAATTGGTACCAGTAGAGTGAGACACTGCTGAAAAGATACCCGAAAATGTGGAAGCAAATTTGGAACTGTGTAACAGGCAGAGAGTGGAACAGTTTGGAGGGCTCAGAAGAAGAGAGAAAATGTGGGGAAGTTTGGAACTGCCTAGAGACTTGTTGAATGACTTTGACCAAAATGCTGATAGCAATATAGACAATAAAGTCCAGGCTGAGGTGGTCTTAGATGGAAATGAGTAACTTGGGAACTGGAGCAAAGGTGACTCTTGTTATGTTTTAGCCAAGAGATTTGTAGCATTTTGCCTCTGCTCTAGAGCTTTGTGGAACTTTGAACTTAAGAGAGATGATTTAGGGTATCTAGTGGAAGAAATTTCAAAGCAGCAAAGCATTCAAGAGGTGACTTGGGTGCTGTTAAAGGCATTCAGTTTTATATGGGAAGCAGAGCATACAAGTTTGGAAATTTTGCAGCCTGACAATGTGATGGAAAATAAAATCCCATTTTCTGAGGAGAAATTCAAGTTGACTGCAGAAATCTGTGTAAGTAGTAAGAAGCCAAATGTTAATATTCAAGAAAATGGGGAAAATGTCTCCAGGGTATGTCAGAGGTCTTCACGGTAGCCCCTCACATCACAGGCCCAGAGGCCTAGGAGGAAGAAGTGGTTTCATGGGCAGGGTCCAGTGTCCCCGTGCTGTGTGCAGCCTAGGACTTGGTCCCATGTGTCCCAGGCGCTCCAGCTGTTGCCAAAAGGTGCCAACATAGAGCTCAGGCCATGGCTTCAGGAGTGCAAGCCCCAAGCCTTGGCAGCTTCCATGTAGTATTGAGCCTGCAAGTGCACAGACGTCAAGAATTGGGGTTTGGGAACCTCTGCCTAGATTTCAGAGGATGTAAGGGAACACCTGGATGTCTAGGCAGAAGTTTGCTGAAGGGGTGGGTCCCTCATGAAGAACTTCTGCTAGGGCATTGCAAAAGATAAATGTGGGGTCATAGCCCCCATACAGAGTCCCTACTAAGGTACCACCTAGTGGAATTGTGAGAAGAGGGCCATCATCCTCAGACCTCAGAATGGTAGATCCACTGACAGCTTGCACTGTGCACCTGGAAAAGCCACCAACCCTTGATGCCAGCCCATGAAAGTAGCCAGGAGTGAGGATATACCCTGCAAAGCCACAGGGGTGGAGCTGCCTAAGACCATGGGAACCCACCTCTTACCTCAGCATGACCCAGATGTGAGACATGGAGTCAAAGAAGATCATTTTGGAGCTTTAAGATTTGAATGCCCTGCTGGATTTCAGACTTTCATGGGGACTTTAGCCCATTTATTTGGGACAATTTCTCCCATTTGGAATTGTATTTACCCAATACCTGTGTCCTCTTTGTATGCAGGAAGTAACTAACTTGCTTTTGATTTTACAGGCTCATAGCCATAAGAGACTTGCCTTGTCTTAGATAAGACTTTGGACTATGGACATTTGAGTTAATGCTGAAATGAATTAAGACTTTGGGGGACTATTGGGAAGGCATGATTCATTTTGAAATATGAAAACATGAGATTTGGGAGGGGTGAGGTGCAGAATGATATGGTTTGGCTCTGTCCTGACCCAAATCTCATCTTGAATTATAACTCCCACCATTCCTACATGTCATGGGAGGGACCCAGTGGAAGGTGATTGAATTATGGGGGTGGGTCTTTCCTGCTGTGTTCTTGTGATAGTGAATGAGTCTCAGGAGATCTGATGGTTTTAAAAACAGGAGTTTCCCTGCACAAGCTCTCTTTGCCTGCCACCATCCATGTAAGACATGACTTTCTCCTCCTTGCCTTTCACCTTCTGCCATGATCGTGAAGTCTCCCCAGCCATGTGGAACTGTAAGTCCAATAAACCTCTTTATTTTGTAAATTGCCTAGTCTCAGGTATGTCTTTATCAGCAGTGTGAAAACTGACTAATACACTGAAGTAGCCTATTATGAGGAAGAAAACTTTTATTCTATTCCAAAAATTTAATAAAGATTGGGATTATGAAAGGCTTGACTATATTTTCTTTTCCTCTCTTGCTCCTCTTAGTTTCACTCTTCTTCCTTAAAATTTTTTTTATATTGGACACTATTCTTAAATAAAATGAATATTATCTCATAACTCAAAGCCGCTCCCCTGGCCTGTTGCCCTTACAGAGGGATATGAGGTTCATATTCTTTTTTTAAATTTTATTTTTGAGACAGAGTCTCACTCTGTTGCCCAGGCTGGAATGCAGTGATATGATCTCGACTCACTACAATCTCTGCCTCCCAGGTTCAAGTGATTCTCCTGCCTCAGCCTCCTGAGTAGCTAGGATTTCAGGTGACTGCCACCATGCCTGGCTACTTTTTGAATTTTTAGTAGAAATGGGGATTTGCCATCTTGGCCAGGCTGGTCTTGAACTCCTGTCCTTGGGTGATCTGATTGCCTCAGCCTCCCAAAGTGCTGGGATTATAGGCATGAGCCATTGTGCCCAGCCAGGTTCATATTCTTTATAGCTAGGTAAACTCTCTGAAAGAAGGAAATTTTTTTTGTTCACTGATCTCTCACAAAGGCCTAGGACAGTTGCTCCGCTTACAGGAGGCATTTTAAAAACATTTATGAATGATTGAAAAAATTTTTAAAAATTCAATGTATAGATTCTTTTTACAATATTATGCTATATAATTGTACTGCTGGGAGCTCCTCCATAGAGTCAGGGGCAGGGAGCATATACTGCTTGCTCAAGCTGTGGTTCCAAACACAGGCAATGAACATCACCGTCTCTAAGATATTACTGGTCAATTATAGCCTCTATTTTTTGAATGAGGAAACTGAAATGCAGCAAAAATGTTCTAAAACTGAGTGCAGAAGGCTTTACATCATTAGTGGTTTTCTGACCAGTTGACCACAGGCCTCCCTGTTCAACTATTTCAAAACTGCTTGAACTGTCAGACATGCAATAGCCTGACTACTTTATCTGTACATGGGAAAGATCAAAACCATGGGCACAGAATGCTGACTTAGCTCTTCTTCCTTCCCTATTCTACTTTCCTTCAATAGGTTAATTGTTTTTGTTGTTGTTGCTTTTGTTTTTTCTTTAGTGAACCAAACTGTTAATTCTCCCCAGAGACTAATTTGATGTCATACTTTCTAAATTAGAAAAGTTTGCTGAAGAATTTCTCTAATGTCTCTGTACAGGCCAACTGTAGCACACTGCCAACAAGAATTTGAATTCAGTGTAATTTGCTGGAAATGTTTGAGAACTTGGCATTCCCAACGTCTCTGCTCTCTGCTGTGTTAAAATTTTAAAAGGCTTTTTCATTCCCCGACACTGGACCCCAGACCTTGAACTCTGACTTTTCCATTCTTACTGCTCACTTAGGAGAAAGAAATTCTGGCCCCAGGATGGCTTCCTCAGAGGATCATCCTGATAACTAAAACCCCAATGTGCCTTTTTTAGTCCCTTGTGGGTTTTAGTAAAAGTCATCTGGGAGAGTCTTAGAGTGCCTTGAAATCTCTGCATAAGTATGGAGAAGTCCTTGTGACAAAAAACATCTAATGCCGTTATTAATAGGCACAACAGAAAGACTGGAGTGAATTTTTAGTGACATAGTCAAGCAAATCCTCAGACTTTCCTATAGCCCCAGTTAGAAGCACGTTGGATTAGATCACTAGAGTCAATCGGTCAACTCATAAATGACCAATGGGGAAGAGAAAGAGAAAACTATATCCCCAAGACTGATATTTTGTGGAGATTAACAAGAATATCTACAATATTTGTGTATAAACATCTGTGAGATTAACAATAAATTTTAGACACTATACACATATAGATATAATTACAAGTATATATGGACAAGAAATAAAGCATACAAATGTATAAGTCATGTGTCCTTCAAAACTATTCCTTTTTTTTCTCTCCTCTGTTTTTCATCAATCCATTGAGGTCACACAGCTGTGATTCAGGCCTTGGTGACAGAGATGAATCAGAGATGGCACAAGGGCCTGGAATTCTTGGCCAGCCTTACAACAAATTGTTCATCCATCAACCAGAAATGATGCATTGCTCTGATTCTGTTACGGTGGCCCCCAAATGTTAGCTAGGATATTTTGGAATTATTCCTATTACTTAGGCAGAGCCTCCTATCTTATTTCTGCTTCTTCACATAATACTGAAAAAAAAAATGAGTAATAGGAAAATTATCCTTAGTTCTTTGAGACTTCTTCAAAATGCCAGAGTGCTACCATGTTTTCTAGTTTACTTAGAGTCTCGAATGAAATGCTTTTCTTGGTTCAGGTTGAACAGATAAGATCTGATATACCCAAGTAAAATGAGTAATATTGATTATATAAATTATTATTTTCCTGCACTCCAATTTTAGACACAGGTTTCTCAGTGGGCTATGTGCTAGGTATCTCAAATGATGTCTACCAAGCTAGCCTCAGATTAAATTAATTTTAATTAACTTTCACTTAAAAATTATTGGTTAAGAACTTGGGCTTGAGAATCTTACTGGTCTAGATTCCATTTGTAGTTTAATCACTTATTTGTTACGTGTCTTTAGACAAGTCTTTAAACTTTGAAGTCTCAATGTGGTCACCTGAAAAAAGAGGAGAGTAATATTTACCTCATAGGTTGGTTAAGGTAAATTTTTTTATTTATAAGAAATAAATGAGATAATGTGTACCAAATACTTAGCACAGTCCACAAGCTAAATGGCAGCTGGTTTAACATCATGATGTTAGGGGCATATGGCTTGGTTTAACAAATAAGGCTTATAGCTGAGAATAAGGAAATTACTGAGAATAAAGTAAGTGCTCCATATTTGAGGTCTAGAGAAGCATCTTTTGCAGAGGTTTACTACCTCTCTACATGGCCGCTAGGAGAAACCATCTCATCTCAAAATGGAGCAGGGGGGATTGGGGGGTTGATAAAGGGGAGAATATCCTCAGTTTTATGTAAGTGCAGTACTGATGAGCAAAAGCTACTCCTTATTCTGACTTTCTTGTGGGAGAGAGGACATGAATACTTCCCCTTTTTGAAGCCAAATGGGTACAACCTCAAGATTTGGAGAGGCTGCAGTATCATACCCCACTGGTCTTCTGTCTAGCTACTTACATTGCTTACCTGCACTTACCTTCTGACATAGATGAAATAGTACTGGAGAGAGATAATGAGGTTCCCAGAGTGTGGAAGAAGGATTCTTTAGGAGCTACACACCTTGAGTGGGAGGGAGAGCTTATGGGTCAAATGAGAGTAAGGGGTCAGTGATGCCAGAGAGACCACAGGAAGGATTGGGTTCTGCTGGAAGAAGTGGGAGTTTCCCAGGGAACTGACAGTGTTTGAAAACCAAGGAACTGACAATGTTTGAAAAGAAGATGCTTTGAATAGAATCTGAGAGTGAAGCTCTAAAATAAACTGCTGAATCTTAAGAACAAAATAACATTGTTTAAGTGCAATAAAAATAGAAGTCAAGACTAAGAAAATTGCTCACAACCATGCAGTTACATGGAAATTAAATAACATGCTCCTGAATGACTTTTAGGTAAATAATGAGATTAGGGCAAAAGTAAAAAAAAGAATTCTTTGAAACTAATGAGAACAAAGATATGACATATCAGAATCTCTGGGACACAGCTAAGTCAGTGTTAAGAGGGAAATTCATAGCACTAAATGCCCACATCAAAAAGTTAGAAAGATCTCAAGTTAACAACTTAACATCAAAACAGAAAGAATTAGAGAAGCAAGAACAAATCAAACCCAAAGCTAGCAGAAGACAAGAAATAACCAAAATCAGAGCTGAACTGAAGGAAATCAAGACACAAAAAACCATTCAAGAAATCAACAAGTCCAGGAGTTGGTTTTTTGAAAAAAATAATAAGATAGGTAGGCTGCTAGCTAGACTAATAAAGAAAAGAGAGAAGATCCAAATAAACACAATCAGAAATGACAAAGAGAATGTTACCACTGACCTCACAGAAATAAAAACAATCAGATACTACTACTAACACTGCTATGCACACAAACTAGAAAACCTAGAAGAGATGGATAAATTCCTGGACACATGCACCCTCTTAAGAATGAGCTCCGAAATTGAGTCAGTAATAAATAGCCTACCAGCCAAAAAAAGCCAAGGACCTGATGGATTCACAGCCAAATTCTACCACATGTATAAAGAAGAGTTGGGAGCATTTCTACTGAAGCTATTCCAAAACATTAAGGAGGAGGGACTCCTACCCAACTTATTCTATGAGGCCAGCAGCATCCTGAGACCAAAACCTGGCAGAGACACAACAAAAAAGAAAACTTCAGGCCAATATCCCTGATGAACATCGATGCAAAACTCCTCAACAAAATACTAGCAAACTGAATCCAGCAGCACATCAAAAAGTGAATCCACCACAATCAAGTAGGCTTCATCCCTGGGATACAAGGTTGGTTCAACATATGCAAATCAATAAATTTGATTCATCATATAAACAGAACTAAAGACAAAAATCACATGATTATCTCAATAGATGCAGTAAAGACTTTTGATATAATTCAACATCCCTTAATGTTAAAAACTCTCAATAAACTAGGTATTGAAGAAACATACTTCAAACTAATATGAGTCGTCTGTGACAAACCCACAGCCATCATTATACTGAATGGGCAAAAGCTGGAAGCATTCCCCTTGAAAACCAGCACAAGACAAGGATGCCATCTCTCATTACTTCTGTTCAATATAGTATTGGAATTCCTAGCCAGAGCAATGAGGCAAGAGAAAGAAATAAAGGGCATCCAAATAATAAGAGAGGAAGTCAAATTATCTCTTTTTGCAAAAACATGATTCTATATCTAGGAAGCCCATAGTCTTGGCCCAAAACCTCCTTCAGCTGATAAACAACTTCCACAAAGTCTCAGGATACAAAATCAGTGTGCAAAAATTACAGCCAGGCCAAGACCCAAATCAGAAAGGCAATCCGATTCACAATTGCCACACACACATAAAATACCTAGGAATGCAGCTAACCAGGGTGAAAGATCTCTACAAATGAGAATGATAAAATACTGATCAAAGAAATCAGAGAAGACACAAATAAATTGAAAAACATCCCATGCTCATGAAAAGAATCAATATCATTAAAATGTCCATGCTGCCCAAATCATTTTACAAATTCAACGCTATTCCTATTAAACTACCAATGACATCCTTCACAGAACTAGAAAAAAACCATTTTAATATTCATATGGAACCAAAAAAGAGCCAAGGCAATCCTGAGCAAAAAGAAAAAAGCTGGAGGCATCACTCTACCTGACTTTAAACTATACTACAGGGCTATGATAACCAAAACAGCATGGTACAGGCACACAGACCAATGGAACAGAAGAAAGAGCTCAGATATAAAGCTGCACACCTACAATCATGTGATCTTTGACAAAGCTGACAAAAACAAGCAATGGGGAGAAGATGCCCTATTTAATAAATGGTGCTGGAATAACTGGCTAGCCATATGCAGAAGACTGAATTTGGACCCCCTTCCTTATACCATATACAAAAATGAACTCAAGATGGATTGAAGACTTAAATGTAAAACCCAACACTATAAAATCCCTGGAAGACAACATAGGCAATACCATCCTGGACATAGGAATGGACAAAGATTTCATGGCAAAGACACCAAAAGCAATCATATCAAAAACAACAATTGACAAGTGGGATCTAATTAAACTTAAGAGCTTCTGCACAGTAAAAGAAACTATCAACAGAGTGAACAGACAACCTATAGAATGGGAGAAAATATTTCCAAACTATGACAAAGTTTTAATATCTAGCATCTGTAAAGAACTTAAATTTAAAAGAGAAAAGCAAACAACCCCATTAAAAAGTGGGCAAGGGACATGAACAGACACTTCTCAAAAGAAGACACACATGTGGGCCAACAGCATATGAAAAATGTTCAACATCAATGATTATTAGAAAAATGCAAATGAAAGCCACAATGAGATACCATCTCACACCAGTCAGAACGGGTATTATTAAAAAGTCAAAAAATAACAGATGCCAGCAAGGTTGCCCACAAAAGGAAACATTTATACACTGTTGGTGGAAGTGTAAATTAGTTCAATCATTCTGGAAAGCAGTATGGCAATTCCTCAAAGAGCTAAAAGCAGAACTATTTGACGCAGCAATCCTACTACTGGGTATATACCCAAAATAAATAAATCATTCTACCATAAAGACACATGCATGTGAATATTCGTTGCAGTACTATTCACAATAGCAAAGATACGGAATGAATGTAAATGCCCATAAATGACAGATTGGATAAAGAAAATGTGGTACATATAGGCTGGGTGCGGTGGCTCACGCCTGTAATCCCAGCACTTTGGGAGGCCGAGGTGGGTGGATCACGAGGTCAGGAGATCGAGACCATCCTGGCTAACATGGTGAAACCCTGTCTCTACTAAAAATACAAAAAATTAGCCAGGCATGGTGGCGGGCACCTGTATTCCCAGCTACTCGGGAGACTGAGGCAGGAGAATGGTGTGAACCTGGGAGGCAAGGGCTTGCAGTGAGCAGAGATCGTGCCACTGCACTCCAGCCTGGGCGACAGAGGGAGACACCGTCTCAAAAAAAAAAAAAAAAAAAAAAAAGAAAATGTAGTACATATACACTATGGAATACTATGCAGCCATAAAAAAGAATCAGATCATGTCTTTGTGGGAACATAGACGGAGCTGGAGGCTATTATCTTTAGCAAACTAATGCAGGAACAGAAAAGCAAATACTGCATGTTTTCACTTATAAGTGGGAGCTAAATGATAAGAACTTAAGAACACAAAGAACGAAACAACAGACAGTGGAGTCTACTTGAGGGTGGAGGGTGAGAGAAAGGAGAGGAGAAGAAAAGATAGCTACTGGATACTGGGCTTAATACCTGGGTGATGAAATAATCTGTAGAGCAAACCCCCATGATGTGAGTTTACCTATGTAACAAACTTTACATGTACCCCCAAAACCTAAAATAAAAGTTAAAAAAGGCTGTTTTAATAACTGTCCATGAAGTTGGATAGATTTATTAATAGAATTCCCTGCTCAGGGAAAAAGGGGAGCTTGCTAAATTATATTTATGCCATCTTGGAGCCAGAAACAGAATGTGAAATACTTCAATCTTTTTGAGTCTTAAATAAGATCAATCTACAAATGTGGTATCTCTCCTCTGATTTTATGACATTTAATTTTTTTACTTCATGGAATTTCTATGGGTTTAGACCATCTCAGCCTTATATTTTCATTACTGTTCCCCTAAGAGCCTTTTTAGATTTATTTAGGTTTCCCTCCCCCCATGAAATCTTAATATCCCAGTTCTACTGTATATCTCTTTATGTGCTCAATGTGTATTTGTGCTTTATACATAACAAGAGCAAGATTCTTTTAACCTCAAGAATCAGTTTTTATCCCTTTGGGCGCAATATTGCCCCTGTGGAGATTGCATGGTTTTGAGTGACAGAGAGAAGCCCCTAACTAAGTTGAGTCTTAGTTTCCTCATCTAAGAATTCAGTTCAGTTCAATCAATATTTCTTACGCTCTAGGCATTGTTCTAGGGCCTAGAGCTTCAAAGGTGCAGGAGACATGGATGCTATTCTTACAGAGATGATTGCTGTGTGTTCTGCACAGAGCAGTTTCAGTATGTAATATGTTCCATAGCAAGGTTTATGATGGGCATAGTAGTTTTTCTTGAATGATGTCTTTAGGAGATTGTGAAATTATTTTTTCTTTTCTAATTTTTAAAATTTTATTCTAAAATATAATTAGAAATATTTTTACTGAAAAAAGAGATTTCTCAAAATGTTGGAGTTGAGAAGACTCTAGAGATTATCTCATTCAAACATCGTGGGTCCTCAGGCACATATGGAATAGTTGTTGCTGCTGGCTACTGACTTGGCCATAACTATTCGTCTGTTGCTATCACTTCAGTCCCAACTCTGTTGCCATCAGACTGAGTGACCTTGGTTAAATTATTGACCATTTCTAGGTCTCCATATCCTCACTTGTGAAATTTAGAAGATGAACTAAAGGAATTTCCAAGACTTTTTTCATTATGAAAATCTTAAGATTCTCAGATATTTTTCTTATGTGTACAATGAGGGGTGCTAGTATTCAAAAACAGTGTAAAAATTAATGTAGCATATTATTTAATAGAAGCATATACCTTCCCTTTGGGATAAAAACTGAAAATAAGCCAGACTGTATGTTAGACAGCAAGACTGATTCTTTGTTTAATTTTTCATGTATTTTCCTAAATCAGCCGAAATCCTAATCTCTTGTCACCCAGACTAGAGTGTGGTGGTGCAATCTCGTTCACTGCAACCTCTGCCTCCTGGGCTCAAGCAATTCTCCTGCCTCAGCCTCCTGAGTAGCTGGGATTACAGGCACATGCCACTACTGCCTGGCTAATTTTTGTATTTTTAGTAGAGACGGGGTTTCACTATGTTGGCCAAGCTGGTCTCGAACTCCTGAACTTAAATGATCCACCTGCCCCAGCCTCCCAAAGTGCTGGGATTACAGGTGTGAGCCACCATGCCCGGCTTCCTTCAGACTTTTTAAATGCTTTTTTTTTCTACCTCCAAAAAGCACAAGTGAAGTCCTGCCTGAATTGATTTCTTTACTATGTTTGAAATTGATTTTGGGTATGTGGCCAAACATTGTAATTCTTAGTTCAATGATCAGCAATTTTCATTATTTACTAACATTACATTGAATTGCCAGTATGAGAAAATTATTATTGGCAATAACCTGTTCTGCTCCTTTCTGGATCTCATTTACCTCTGTGGTGTTCCTGAACATCTTCTTTTTGTCTATAGGACTCAGGCCAAGACTGGCTAATTCTTTGTCATGATTTAGCACTGAATCATTTTGGTTGTTCTCTGATGTGTGATCTCAGACATAGAATGTCCTCCTATAGCATTCTATGCAAAACTGCACATAGCAGCATTCCCTAGTGAAATTTCATCAGTACTTTATGTGTTGCCAAAATAACATCAAATACCATAAAATATGCTTTATAATAATCTTACTTGCTTTTCTTTCTCAACTGTCAAAGATTATACAGATGGTTTGGTGAAAAGTCCACATTTACTCCCACAGAGTTCCCTTCACATTTCTACTTGATAATAATTTTTAACATTCATTCCTAATCATTTTTTTTTTTGTTATGAAACAGCTTCATTTTGAGAAGTGGGATAGAAACAATTTTCTCCAGATGAGAGGATGGTAATCCTTTCCCGGGGTTGTGTATGTGGGTTGGGGAATGGTGGGAAGAGAAGATTCATCACAGCCCACATATTCTCTGTGGACATAATTCTGATTTAAAACATTATGGGTAAACGATGAGAGATTGACAGCATCATCAAGGCAAAACTGGTGTCCTCGGACAGTGCTATCCAATAGAACTTCCTATGATGATGGAAATGTTCTGTCTGAACTACGCAATATAGTGTCTATTGAGCACTTGAAATGTGGCTATTGTGACTAAGGAAATGAGTTTTTAATATTATTTAATTTGTACCGGTTTAAAATGAAATAGCTGCATGTGGCTGGTGGTTACCGTATTCATATCACAGCCCCAGGAAGCAATGTGACTAGACGCAGGGCCCAGAGACCTGTTTAAAGTTGAACTTAAATCTCTGCTCCACTATTTAGGAACTGTTCCTAGGGAATAGTTGATCTCGTCTTAATAACAGACACAATCATCATACCTGCATCTTAGGGCCGTTGTGGTGAGCAAAAGAAACAATCCATGCAAAACATTGGACACAGTGCCTGTTACACAAGTTATACATATTAGGTATTGATTATTTGAATAATTTTTTAAGAGATGTGATTTGGACTGTTGTATCAAGAAGTTGAAATTATGTATCTAGAACTGAAGGTTGAATTTCTCCTTCATATCCCCTCTCAGGAACAATATCAGCTCCAGAAAAAAATTGAGAAAGTAGAAAATCCTTCCTGAGAGAACTTTGTAAATCAGGGACCTAACCTTCCTAAAGTTAGTATTTACTTCCTCTCAACATTCTTTGTTTCTTTTCAACATGTGTCTGTCTTCCTATTTCATTTTGTGTCATTGTTAAAAATCCAGGAATGTAAAAGTTCTTCATAGAACACTTAGTTGGCCGTGATCGGATTATTTCTGGTTTTCACTTCATGTTCCCTTCCAGGTATTTGTGGAAAGGGATAGTTGTCTGTGGAGAGGCCATCAAATGTCAGGTTGCCAAGCAGCAATCACTTTTGCAAACTATTTGGAAATACCTTGTGTTTGAACTTCTTGTTTTGTGCCGTCAATCCCCTTCCTCCACAACAAGGACTAAAGCAAGCTGTGTTTAGATGTCTTAATAGGGATGGTCTTAGAATGACACGACAATTAGGAAAGAAAAATTTACTTTCTTACTGACCAACACAAGTCACTTATTTTCATATGATGGTTTCAAATATGCACCCTAAAATTTAATTACATAAACCTTGCCTTTGGAAGCACCACTGGAATTTAAGGTGCATTTAAGTAATAGTGGATTGTTACTGGATGCCAATGAAAGTGCTTCTAGCTTCTATGTTAATGGAAAGTAAATTCATAATCAGTGATATGACAATCAGTATCTCATGTCAACCCAATATGCATTCTTTTTTCCTCTTAAGAGTCAGAATAATAAGAAACAGATTTTGACTTTTATGCTTCCTTTTTGCTTTTCATTTTTGTATGCTGTCAACATCAATGAAAAAGGATGTTGGAAATTTTCTCCATCTTTGCCCCATAATTAAAGCTGACTTCTTTATTTTGCATCCTGTTCAAAATTGTACAGGACCAAATGTTTACTACAATCCTGCCTCTCTCCTTTAGGGAGCACACGAATGTATATATCCTAACACTTTATTTGAGGCTGAGTGCCCCCTCATAGCCAGGTGTGCATTTGTTAAATCTAAACTCATAAGCAAGGGTGTCAGAGTATCATGAGCTACAAAAAATAAAATAAAATAAAACCTGTAACGTCTGGCTGAACATGCCGTCCTTCTGCAGAAGATAATTTATTTGTTTTCTTTCTCTTGCTGAACTGCCACGCTCTGCCTTTTGACCTCTTTTTTTTTGTTTTTTGTTTTACTGGAATATGGGTAGTTCATACCATTCTCTATTTTCCTAATGATTCTCACTGATAGTGTTAAAATGTGACCCCAATATAAATTAATTAAAGATTTTCATTAAACCTCAATCCTGGAACATTTAAATAGACTGCCTCAATTGTTTTTGTTTTAATTTGTGAAACACAAGTGTTCTTGAATCATGATTCCTAGTATTTTCCTAGGAATGAGACTACATTAAAATCTTAATTATTCCCTTAAGCTTTACAGGCATTATTTTATTTTTATGTCCAATGCCAGTTTAGCACAAAGTACTTTTGCAGTAATTTTCCTTTGGCATTCTATTTTTTTTATCTTTGAGGTTAGGCTTTGAGGTTTATGGAGAACATGTACAGGGGAGGGCAACTGTTACATCAATCATATTTAATCAGTACCTCTTTTCAGAGTTACTTGCATGATGAAACTGAAATATAATCTAAACTGAAATAAAAATTATTATTTGAAATCCTTCTTTAAAACTATACAAATATTTAACTGGAACTTATAAAAAGTATTTTATTTACTGATGCAAGAAAGCTATTCACTTTGCTACTACTATATGTTGAGTTTTCAATCAGAAAGTGATGTGTTATCATTAGGCAATATAGACTAACATTTTAATTTCAAAATCACTAAAATACAAGGCTGAAAGGAGGCCTTTGTGTTTTAAGTATGTTTTTTTTTGTTCAATTCAAGACAATAAAAATTAGTCTTATCTTCCTGAGGCTGTCCCAATGGGATATTTATATATATATGTTTGACTCTATTAATACACTATATTGATCTACAATTCATCTAATTGGTGAGAGGATGTTAATGGATTCCATTAGTCCATTCTCTAATTTCCACATGTTCTAAGGACCATAAATCTTTACATCATCTACTTGTAAGGAAGACCCAGTTCCAATAGAACTGGCTAAAAACAGGACAAAGGAAATTTCTAGGAAAATTCATTAGCGCAAGTAGGATCCATTCAAATATTCCTAAAGTCTCTCCTTTAGAGATATCAATTCCATTAAAAAAAAACACCTGCTGATAATAGCATATTACAAATGCAAATTTGTGCAAAATCTATTCTGTGATATTAGGGGTTATTCAGTTGGTCCTGAATCCTCAATCCCAACTGACCTGCACCATTTTTGCTTGTGATTGTTACAGTTATTTTAAGGGGTGTTGTCTAGGAGAGATAACCTATGTAGCTAAAACAATGAGGTCTACTCATTAGGGTTATTATAAGCAAAAGAGAAAAAGCTTTTTAAATGACTAGCACAGTGCCTGGGACACACAATAAGTACGGTGGCTATGATTATTATGAGGGCCACTTTATCATCTTTAGTAGTTTAGACAATAGTGATGGGAGTTGTAAACAAGTGCTTCCTGTCATCCTTCTTTGAGAGTATTCTCCCAGGTGTTTATCTTATAGCTATAACAACAGTAGAAAACCGGATGCAATCTTAAAGAACCCCAGAGCAGAGTTGATAGAATTGTTGGCTAACAGTACTAAACCCATCCATGCCAAATAAAACCATCTGGGAATTTGTAGTATTAAAGCATTAGACTTAGAGGGTTGAACGTCAGGGAGAGATGACCCAGTCAAGGCCCTTATGATTCTGAGAAGAAATCTGATGACCAAGGAAGAAAAGAAACTTGCTGAAGATTCCAAAGCTATTGAGTTTAACAAGCCATGAATACAACTGAGATTTTCACGTCATACAACCTTGTACTCTTTCCAATATTTCACAATGTTTCCACCTTAGTAAATGCTGATTTGGGAACCATATTCCTTTGTTTGGCTTTAGTGAATATTTGTTGAGTGCCTGCCATGTGCAAAATGCTATGCTTAGTGTTGTGGAAGGTGTGAAGATAAACAAGAGTTTGGCCTTCAAAGAAACTTACATATACATATATATATATGTTCCTTATATGTAAATTTACATCACATATAACACCTGAGGTTCCAGATGGTCCAATCTCTATGTGGTGTAACATATAAAAAACAGCAGTATCTACTGGCTCTTTGAAGAAAACTTCAATCTTGAACATTCCTTAAAGGAGTTTTATACAGCATACATATATATTAGAAATATTTCCTCTTTTCAAATTTCTTATTTATAGATGGCACTAAATCTTTTCATCTCTTTCTCATCCACACAGTCTCCTCATCACCACGGTCCTATTTCATTACCATCTTCCCTGCTGTATTTTTTTATGAAAAAAAAGAAAAAGAAGAAAGAGAAAGCAAGCAAGCAAACAAGAAAAAGAGAGAAAAAAGGAAGGAAGGAAGAAAGTGGGGCAGTGGAGGAGAGGCCAGGCGCAGGGGTTTATGCCTGTAATCTCAGCACTTCGGGTAGCTGAGGTGGGAGGATCACTTGAGGCCAAAAGTTTAAGACCATCCTGGCCAACACAAAAAGACTCTATCTCTACCAAAATAAATAAATACATACATAAAAATTAGCTATTTGTGATGGCACATTCTTGTAGTCCCAGCTATTTGGGAGGCTGAGTTGAGGGGATCACTTGAGCCAGGAGTTAGTGGTTACAGTGCACTACCACTGCACTAAGCCTGGGCAACAGAGGGAGACCTTGTCTCTTAAAAGAGACAGAAAGAGAGAGAGAGAGAGAGAGAGAGAGAGAGAAATCTTTGTATCAACTGCTTTCTTTTGGTGGGGGAAGGGTGGTAAATGTTAGCTTTCTGTCTTCTTGAATTCTTTCTAGAGTCCTGATAAAATTTTTCCTTCTACCTTTTAATAAACAAGTAATAACGTGTGGGAAAAAAGGAATGAATCTTTGGCAAGAGAAGGTGAAAAGTCCTTGAAAAGGTTGGATGACTGACTAGTCTATGTATCATTGTCAAGGATACTGTTACTAAACAGTATTTCTGATCATGACATTGACTAACAAGGTGATTATTGATGGCCACAAGATTCATGGCTGACTTTCAGTTGCTCCTCACACCCTACTTTCTAAAGCTTTTTGATTATCAAAGTAGAGAGAGGAACACATGAGAATCACTAGAACTTCTAACGTATTCTTCGTGTTAAAATAGATAACAATATTCTCTTAACAGGTTGCACAAAAATTTATTTTACATGAAAAATACTGATTTTTTTGAAAAGTTATTGATATGCCTGCTTGGATTAGAAGCTACAACTTTAACGGAGCCAGATGCTAATTATCAATCATCTGTTTTGTATGAGATGACAGGAAGACTTTGTGACTTTGGAGGGCAGAAATGTAGAAAGTGGGGGCTTGGGGTCACTGAAAGGATGTGATCAGAGTCTCTTTCATGATTCATAAATTCTTGGATCACTTTTTGTTTCCTTTCAGCTCATCTCACATTTCTTTATTAATAAAATAAATCATCCCATGCCTTATAAATGCTAGACTTTAAGCAAGAAACAATAATTTCTCACCCCAAAAGATCCATTGGTTTTAATATATGAACTAAGTGTCAATTTGGCATCTGATTAGCTGTCATTTGCAGTAAAGACTTAGGAATTTTAACTTTTCTTTTAATCTTCCAAATTAGCAAGGTGACCAAGTGTCTCATTCTATTTTATTTCTGCTAGATATGTTTGCTGATTGTTCTTGTCTGCAATCTATCTTAAAAGTTATCTAGGTGTTAATATGTCATTGCACAGTTTTCTCCCAAATTTTCCAATCTTTTTATGGGTGCTATTTCAGTTTTTTCAGGTAGTATTTTCAAGCTCAACTTCTGGATGTTTCTTACCAGTGGTTTCATGACACCTGCTCTCATTAATCTTCCACACCACAGTTTTGTCACAAGGAGTTTCATGCTGCCTGCTAAGACTTTGCAGAAAGGGTCTGAGGGTCTTCTATTAGGAATGTTTATTGACATGTCAACCCGCTCTGTGAACCCTCCCACGGGAGGCATTTTATCATTTCCCTCCGCTCTATACCTATTGCAGTATTCAATAAATGTTTACTTACTTGAATTGCTGAAGGTTTTTGAAACTGATGTTATGAGACATACTGAGACATTAGAGCTAAACTACCCAGTATATTCAAGTCACACAGAACTAAAAGGATAAGCTACCACTACTCTTTAAGTTACTCTAGGATTTATTTTAAACAAAGATTGAATATATTTTATGTGTCAGGTGCTTTACATATATTAACTTGTTTAATCTTATCAATATATATGAAGGTAAATACTATTATTTTATGGATGCTGAAGCTGAGGCTCAATGAAGCGTTGTAATTTGTCAGATGTTAGAGAGGTAATATGTAAGAAACAAGAGTTCAAATGTTGTCTTTTCAGACTTAATCATCTTTCTTGCCTGTCACGAGACCCCTGGCTATCTTTGTAAGAGGCAAACGTTAATATAGTTAATGGAGGTGAACCCTAAGAAAAAAATTACATTGTTTTCTCTAATTTTCAATGAAATTGGGAATTTCTTAATTATGCTATTTTTTCTATAATTATAAAGATTATGAAAATAAGATAATCTGAAGAGTAATATCAGGCAAATGCAGAATCTGTAAATGCACAAATATTATTAAAGTTTTTGGAGTTTGAACATATGATGGACATTTAATAGACACAAATTCAGATGTGTTGTGCTGTTGGCTAGGAACAGTACAGAAGAAGCTTCATCTACCAAATTCTATCCTTGACCGTAACTCCTACCTTCACAGACATAGAAAATAGAGTTTATTCTATAGAGGTATATACATATCAAAAATTCTTATTCTATGATAGCTTGTAGATTTGTTGGATTCCAAATCTTGAATTCAAATGGTATTGAACTGTGTATGTTCCATGTTAATGTTAAATTGTGACTTCTTACATAAATTGTTTAAAGTTAAAATGAATCCCTCCCAAAAGTGCCCCATTCTGGTGGGTTGGTGTTATATAATCATGTAATCACATTTTTTAATTTCCATGTTTTGTAAATTAGAAGTGGGACTCCCAGTTGGGTGTAGGTATTTTGGGATAATATAGCCAGCCGATTCTACTAGGCATCACATTTTACTGAAAGAATGAAGCATATTTATCCCATTTATTATTATTTGATAATAAAAATATTTAGGCTAAGTAAATATCTTGTTTTTTTAATTATACTTTGAGTTTTAGGGTACATGTGCACAATGTGCAGGTTTGTTACATATGTATACATGTGCCATGTTGGTGTGCTGCACCCATTAACTCGTCATTTACATTAGGTATATCTCCTAATGCTATCCCTCCCCCCTCCCTCCACCCCACAACAGGCCCCAGTGTGTGATGTTCCCCTTCCTGTGTCCATGTGTTCTCATTGTTCAATTCCCACCTATGAGTGAGAACATGCGGTGTTTGGTTTTTTCTCCTTGGAGATAGTTTGCTGAGAATGATGGTTTCTAGCTTCATCCATGTCCCTACAAAGGACATGAGCTCATCATTTTTTATGGCTGCATAGTATTCCATGGTGTATATGTGCCACATTTTCTTAATCCAGTCTATCATTGTTGGACATTTGAGTTCGTTCCAAGTCTTTGCTATTGTGAATAGTGCTGCAATAAGCATACGTGTGCATGTGTCTTTATAGCAGCATGATTTATAATCCTTTGGGTATATACCCAGTAATGGGATGGCTGGGTCAAATGGTATTTCTAGTTCTAGATCCCTGAGGAATCGCCACACTGACTTCCACAATGGTTGAACTAGTTTACAGTCCCACCAACAGTGTAAAATATTCCTATTTCTCCACATCCTCTCCAGCACCTGTTGTTTCCTGACTTTTTAATGATCGCCATTCTAACTGGTGTGAGATGGTATCTCATTGTGGTTTTGATTTGCATTTCTCTGATGGCCAGTGATGATGAGCATTTTTTCATGTGTCTTTTGGCTGCATAAATGTCTTCTTTTGAGAAGTGTCTGTTCGTATCCTTCACCCACTTGTTGATGGGGTTGTTTTTTTCTTGTAAATTTGTTTGAGTTATTTGTAGATTCTGGATATTAGCCCTTTGTCAGATGAGTAGATTTCAAAAATGTTCTCCCATTCTGTAGGTTGCCTGTTCACTCTGATGGTAGTTTCTTTTGCTATGCAGAAGCTGTTTAGTTTAATTAGATCCCATTTGTCAGTTTTGGCTTTTGTTGCCATTGCTTTTGATGTTATAGACATGAAGTCCTTGCCCATGCCTATGTCCTGAATGGTATTGCCTAGGTTTTCTTCTAGGGTTTTTATGGTTTTAGGTCTGTCATTGACGTCTTTAATCCATCTTGAATTGATTTTTGTATAAGGTGTAAGGAAAGGATCCAGTTTCAGCTTTCTCCATATGGCTAGCCAGTTTTCCCAGCACCATTTGTTAAATAGGGAATCCTTTCCCCATTTCTTGTTTTTGTCAGGTTTGCCAAAGATCAGATAGTTGTAGATGTGTGGCATTATTTCTGAGGGCTCTGTTCTGTTCCATTGGTCTATATCTCTGTTTTGGTACCAGTACCATGCTGTTTTGATTACTGTAGCCTTGTAGTATAATTTGAAGTAAGGTAGCATGATGCCTCCAGCTTTGTTCTTTTGGCTTAGGATTGACTTGGCAATGCGGGCTCTTTTTTGGTTCCATATGAACTTTAAAGTAGTTTTTTCTAATTCTGTGAAGAAAGTCATTGATAGCCTGATGGGGATGGCATTGAATCTACAAATTACCTTGGGCAGTGTGGCCATTTTCACGATGTTGATTCTTCCTATCCATGAGCATGGAATGTTCTTCCATTTGCTTGTATCCTCTTTTATTTCGTTGAGCAGTGGTTTGTAGTTCTCCTTGAAGAGGTCCTTCACGTTCCTTGTAAATCGGATTCCTAGGTATTTTATTCTCTTTGAAGCAATTGTGAATGGGAGTTCATTCATGATTTGGCTCTCTGTTTGTCTGTTATTGGTTTATAAGAATGCTTGTGATTTTTGTACATTGATTTTGTATTCTGAGACTTTGCTGAAGTTGCTTATCAGCTTAAGGAGATTTTGGGCTGAGATGATGGGGTTTTCTAGATATACAATCATGTTATCTGCAAAGAGGGACAATTTGACTTCCTCTTTTCCTAATTGAATACCCTTTATTTCCTTCTCCTGTGTGATTGCCCTGGCCAGAACTTCCAACACTATGTTGAATAGGAGTGGTGAGAGAGGGCATCCCTGTCTTGTGCCAGTTTTCAAAGGGAATGCTTCCAGTTTTTGCCCATTTAGTATGATATTGGCCATGGGTTTGTCATAGATAGCTCTTATTATTTTGAGATACGTCCCATCGATACCTAATTTACTGAGAGTTTTTAGCATGAAGCGTTGTTGAATTTTGTCAAAGGCCTTTTCTGCATCTATGGAGATAATCATGTGATTTTTGTCGGTAAATATCATCTTATCATTCAGGATAACATCAAGGGCATAGGTTCTGAATTTTATATCTTGATATATTGTAAAATTTACATCATTTTGTTGTTGTTGTTGCTCTGCCTTTGTCTCCCCTGTTGTCTTCGAGGTGTGGAGTTGGTGTTACATCCAGAGATTAATACTAGATATGATTGAACCTATTTCAGTGGATACATATAAAAGTTATTCTGATAAAAAGCATTCTCTTATAGATCCCTTCTGGCAAAAGTTATAAACTTTTTTTTTTTTTTTTTTTTTTTTTTTACTTTAAGTTCTGGGATACTTTTGCAGAATGTGCAGGTTTGTTACATAGGTATACACGTGCCTTGGTGGTTTCCTGCACCTATCAACTGGTCATCTAGGTTTTAAGCCCCACATGCATTAGGTATTTGTCCTAATGCTCTTCCTCACCTTGCCCTCACCCGCCGACAGGCCCCGGTGTGTGATGTTCCCCTCCCTGTGTCCATGTGTTTTCATTGTTCAGCTCCCACTTATGAGTGAGAACATCTGGTGTTTGCTTGGTTTCTGTTCCTGTGTTAGTTTGCTGAGGATGGTTTCCAGCTTCATCTGTGTCCCTGCAAAGGACATGAACTCATCCTTTTGTATGGCTTCATAGTATTCCATGGTGTATATGTGTCACATTTTCTTTATCCAGTCTATTATTGATGGGCATTTGGATTGGTTCCAAGTCTTTACTGTTGTAAATAGTGCTGCAATAAACATATGTGTGTATGTGTCTGTATAATAGAATGATTTATAATCCTTTGGGTATATACCCAGTAATGGGAGTTGCTGGGTCAAATGGTATTTCTGGTTGTAGATCCTTGAGGAATCACCACACTGTCTTCCACAATGGTTGAACTAATTTACACTCCCACCAACATTGTAAAAGTGTTATCGAATCATTTCTTCTTCCCAGAGCTATGCTTCATTGGTGAAATAGTGATTCACTATTTCATCTCCATCACTTGGAGAGTAGCAAGAATAATCTTTTATTATTATTATTTTAAAACAAATATTTCCACTGCTTTGTTATGACCTACATATATATTCTCTTAAAATTTCTCATAGGTTTTACTTCCATCACATGATCAGCATCTGTCCCATTCAAACGTTTTCAAAACTGGTTAGTGGTGATAAACTCATTTCAGAGGGACAGTGGTGACTGAAATGGATATGAAAACATTATCAACTTCTGCCACCTAAATGGTGATATGTTCATATTCTTGGAATCATTCTCCATTTTCACATAGAGCTTTATTTTCAATTTTTCAAAATAAGTTGTCCTGCTATATTTCAAAAATTTAAGTTGCCATCAATACTAAAATGTAATATCATTTTATGACAATGAGAGAAAAAATGCTGCCAAAAGAGCTCAGGCACACCATCAATTATAAGACATCTTCTTATTTTAGAGACATTAAAATGTGAAAGTCTTTGTTTCTTAGAATTGATGAATGCAATGTTTATTTTTATTATTAATTATCCCAAATGACAGCAAAACTCAAAGCATATCACTTTTATTTGTTGGCTCAAACTTAATTTGGTTCATTTTAGTACATAAGATGAGTGATTAAAGTAGGAGGTATCAAAACTTAACCAATTTATTTAATATGGATGAAACTCTGCTGTGAATGAAAGAATGAAGAGAAATATAAGTGTCTGTCAGAAACTTCAGTATGTTTAGCACACTATTTTTACTTTGGATAAATGTGTTTTGTGCTATGGAAAAATGCAGTGATATGGATCTGGTAATCCTTGTAGCTATGAAGCATTACTAATTACAACAAAATGTAACACAGTCTTGTAAATTTAAAACATGAAATCCAAAGCAATAATTGTTTTATAAGCTACACTTTTATTCTATGGATAGACTCGATAACACATTTGTGAACATTTAATTTCTACACTAGCATGACTATTTTATCTTATTTATGCTATTCAATAGCTGTTGTCTCTCTGGAAACATAAGCACACCCAACCTCTGAATGCATAAATTATTTAGTGGGAGAAAATTAAGAACTTTCAAAACAATATAAACTTTTTGAGGTCACCAAGGTACCATGAAGTAAATTATTGCCCCACAGTTCTAAATGGTACCTAGTAGCCAGGAAGAGTTTAATGCACCTTTCAAAGTGCCTAATTTACTCTCAGGGAGGAACAGAATAGTGGACAGGCTCTGGATGATGAATTACACATCAAGATGCATTTTCCCAAGTGAATTGGGCTCAATGTTGTCTGAGTAAAATGAATGCCTCACATCTATTTCAAACTTGTGAAGGAAAAGGTCTACAAATAGTTTCGGAAGTCTAAAAAACACCATTCCATTTACCTAAATGCAGTAAAGGGCAAGGCAAACTCAGTTACATAAAATAGGACTATTGGTGATAAAATGCTGGCCAAGGCAACTGAATGAAAAGAATCCCGTGTGTAGTTTGGAAGGGTCATGGAACAAGTAAAACTGAGAATGAAATCTCATCTGAAAGATAGCTAAACTTTCTGTAATTCTTGGGTGTTCCAGAAAGGACTTCCTTGCAAGAATTTAACCTGTCCAACCTTGTAGAATCTATCACATCTGCCAGGATCACAACTGAAGGTGGTATGTCTCCAGGCCATCAATGCTGTTGTATGTATTTACTGAAAAATTTCTTTGTTTCTTTTCTTTTCTTTTTTTCCTTTCTTTCTTTCTTTTTTTTTTGAGATGGAGTCTCGCTCTGTCGCTCCTGCCTTAGCCTCCTGAGTAGCTGGGCTTGCAGGCATGTGCCACCATGCCCAGCTAATTGTGTATTTTTAGTAGAGACGGGGTTTCTCCATGTTGGTCAGGCTGGTCTCGAACTCCCGACCTCAGGTGATCCACTCGCCTCGGCCTCCCAAAGTGCTGGGATTACAGGCATGAGCCACCGCGCCCGGCTGAATAATTTCTATTGCAAATAAATAATAAAGTATTTCTGCCTTTTGAAAATTTTCCTTTGTTAGTCTTACAGTTTCAGAGAGATTACATGAATGTCTGGTAACTTACTTATTATTGCTTTTCCTTTGGGGAGTGATAAAAGATTCCGGAGTTATTTTTGAATCCTGGGGCTCTGAACTCATGTGATCCTTACTTCCAAATAACTTTAAGCAATTGAAACTTAAAAGCACACTGACTTTGTATTATCACAGTTTTACTTTCACAGATGTCTGGCTATTCAATTCATTTAGTATCATATTTAAGACTACCGTAACTAAATGTAATGCTCTTAGACTGTAAGACCATTGAGGACAGATTCTATAACAAAGTAGATTGTGTTACTATTCACCAAATATTCGGGTTTCTCTCCCCGTGGTGCCCTCCCCCGTAAGAGATTATGTGTCCCCTTTTGGCTGAATTTAGGAATAGTCATGGGAGGAAGTGACATGTAAGTAGTTCTGTGCAGAAGCTTTGAGATTAGTGCTTGATTCACCATTTCTCTTTTCTCTCAATATCCCATCAATATCCCACGTCAAGGCTCCTCAATCGAACTGGGTGTGCTAGTGAAGATGATGATGGAGTAGATCCTGCGTTGACCTGTGAGAGACCTATAGCATAAATAAGGAATAACATTTGTCGTTAATGAGTGAGATTTTGTAGTCCTTTGTTTCTACAATATAATCTGTCTGACTCTCACTTGTGCAAGTGCATAAGACCTGGCACTTTGTAGGTATTCAGTAAATACCTGTTGAATGAATCAGTTTTTAGACTTTTGTAGCAAATCATTGTGCACACCACCTGAAACCTGGCTTTGATATATCATAACTGCCTGTGGGTAAAAATAAGCATAACAAAACATAATTTCCCTCTAGCTCTGACTCTACCTCCAGAAATAGTCCCTCTCCTTTGAGAAGTTTGGGAACATTCTTTTGTGCTTCATCTCATATTTTGTTCTTCTCTCCAGCTTCATTGGGATTGTGTCATTTTTTTCTGTTAGTGGCAAACTGGCATATGTGTCACTAGTTGTTACCTCAAGGTACTGCTGTTGATAATTTTAGACAATGACAGCATCAAAGATGGACTTGACTAATGTTGAGGATACCAGTGTCAGCATCTACTGGGCAGAATGCTTTGCCTTGCTGCTTTTCTTCTCGAGAACCAAACTTTTTAACAAAATGATCCTTTTGGGTTTGATTTTTTAAAATTTTACTAGATTTCCATACTTAGAGTCAGTCATGAGTTCCTAGTTGCTGAGCTAGAAGATAATCAGAATGACAGGCATCATGCCTTATTCAGAATCTGCTCCAATTCCGCTTCATGTCTTTGAAACAAATTTGTAGTATAATAGCTAAAATCCATTGAGGGAGTACTTATATGCCAGCCACTGTTCAAAGAGCTGTACATATTTATTCTGTTGAATCTTTACATCAGCCATGTGATGAAAAAACTGAGAAACAAAGAGTTTAAGAGACTCTGTGTGGTCACACAAAAAGGTCACCCAGGCTGTCTTCTTCAGAAACCAGTCTATATTATACTTCTTAACTATATTTCAACTTTTTTTAAAATTTGCTTTAAGTTCTGGGAATGTGCAGGTTTGTTACATAGGTATACATGTGCCATGGTGGTTTGCTGCACCTATCAACTCATCATCTAGGTTTTAAGCCCTGCATGCATTAGGTATTTGTCCTAATGTTCACCCTCCCCTTGTCCCCTAACCCCCAACAGGACCTGGCGTGTGATGTCTCCCTCCCTATTTCAACTCTTAAAAAAAAAATTTCCTGTGGCAGTTCCTTAGACATTCACGTAAGCAGAGCCCTAGTGGCCACATTCCACTCACTTTCCATTTATGCCCAGTCAAGGTTCATTTCCATAGCATACGACCCAGTGTCTGCTCTCATGTTGTTGACAAACATTAAGATGATAATGATAATCTCAGATATCATCTTGTCATTTTATCATGGCACATTCAGTGTACTATTCAAACTCATTATCATTACATTCAGGATACTATTCAAACTCCATGAGTTATTTAGAAGCAGTGAAATTGCATTTATTATAAAATATGATATATTTAAAATGTTTTAGCTGGGACATATTCTCAATTCTTTGTTTTAAAATGGGATATGGGACTTTTATTTTTATTTTTCTTACAAAATTTTTTTTTCAATAGAACAACAAGACAGCTTTGTCAATCTGTGTGATTTCCCATGTTGGATTGTGTAGAAAACAGATCTAAGTTGAAATCATGATTTGGCCTTGACAATATAAAATCCCTATGAGGAGTAAAATGCTAACTAATTATTACCCAAATGCCAGTGACATACTATATTGTAATTAAAATAACCTCATTTGTTTATAATGAAGATGGGAAAAGTGAGAAAATATAATTCTTACTGAATGATTAGAATTCAAAATTATACATGTATTCTATTTACAACCACTAAAAAGTTCCGGTGTATATTCTAATACACAAAAACTAGAATGGAATGAATCCCAATCATGATGGCTAGGTTAAACTTGTGAGATTTGGAGCCAATTAAAAATTATGTTTTCAAAATATTTGCTATTTTTAATAATAAAAGTAAAAAAACATGAAAACAGAACTTAATATTTAAAAAATCAGTTTCAACAAATTTAGCAATTATACCTAATAATACATTTAATTTCTGAAATTGCACTCTTAGTTATATTTATTAACAATCGAATTGTTGACATCTAATTTCTTCCAACTATATTGTTCTCTGTTCTCTTCCTAAGAAATTCAGAGGAGTGAAGTAAGGTGCATGGAATAGTTTATAGAAATAAGATAAGCAGAGATCTTATCCTGGCTCCTTCAGGAATATATAAGGTAATAAAACTCCACAGAGTTGTTTTTACTGGCAAATATTCAAATACCAGCCTTTGAGTTAGAGCTTCACTGGCCAAAAGTTGGCAAGGAAAGCTTCTGTGCAATGTCTGTGAATAAGAGTCCCTAAACTGACTAAACTGACTAGGGAAATTGCCAGGCTGTACTTGAATTTTATTAGTAACGCTTTAAAGTGCTAGCAACAAAGATCCTAATTAGGTTTCCTTAATTCTACCCAAGGTAGTTCATGAACACAAAGGTCAAGTTCAAAACCAGAGGCTTTTGTATCTGGGAGGGCTGAGAAACAGGCAGCAGCACACGTGCAGCCACTTTTTTCCTTTATCCAAGGTAGGCAAGAATCATCTACTTAGCATTTTCATGATATTCCCACCTTGGGTTTCAAATCTTTTTCATGAACGCTGTAAGCAGTTCATATCAATTGCTTGGAGTTATCATATGGAATGAAACTATTCGACATTCCACACTTAACCCACTGGTTTTTCAGATGAGAAAACTGAGACTCATGGAGGAAGGTAGGAAACTAATTATAAGCATGTTCTATTTTCAAGGTACTCTGACAGGTATTTGGCTTGTGTTCCTTCAAAAAATATCGTTAACATTCCCATTGGACAGATGATGAAACCGAGTCTCAGAGACGATAAGCAATATGCACAAGCTTATAGTCCTCACTAGCTACAGATGCACAATTGCCATACGATTCTATTGACCCTATCTAGAAAATTAATATATTTTGCTCTACCACCAAACTATAAGGTAATGTTATTCTTTCTCTGAAGAAATTAATGTATGATGTTAAAAGAATCCTTCTTGGGTCAATGACAGCCACTCATCTCCCTGTGAACCAGAGAAACAGACTTATAAATAATAAAACACTATGCATAGCAGCCACCTGGCACCTAAATATTAATAGTGTGTATGTGAAACACTTTTATATAACCACATTAAAGGCATTAAATAAATGTCAAGGCTTGAAAAATACCACTTTGGGTCACTGCTGGCCACTAAACTCTACAGTCTGACTATTAAAGCAGTGATTGTTTTTTTTTTAAGACATTCGCTTTTCTGGGCTTTTCTTTCCAGGAAAAATTGTATCTTTCTGAACCATAAGGAGAGCAGTTTGAAGCTTAAAATTTGTAAACATAATTACTATTTATGAAGTTTGAGCCATAGTTACTCCTAACCATTTCCACTCCTTTTCTCCCAACTCAGTGTTTTCAATCTCTCCACAACCTGGGCAACTCAGTCTGGGAAATTCTCCACAGTGCAGAGCAGAACCAGGGCCCTCTGTGTGCATAGAGGACAGGCTTTTACCATCAGTGATGAAGCATTTGTTCCTTTCTCCAGCTCCTTCTGGGAAAATGGACTTCCCAAGAGGGAAGCTTTTCTGATTAGGAAAGTTTTTCTGATTCCCTCTTCCTAGATAAATCATATTGTGAATTATTTTGTTGAATTCCTTTCCATTTGTTTTCTATTTAGTTCTTGCTTCATTCCCTGTAGATCTCATACATCCCTCTGAATAGTAAATTCTAATCTGTTTTCAAAATAAACATGCAATTGAAGAAAGAAATATTAGGAGGAAGGACAAGAAGGAAAGAATCCAACTAATCTTGATTATATATTTAAAGCATTTTTAGGAGCTATATCTTTCTCCACAGCTCTACTCTCACATCAATATATTATCTGACTTCTGTAAAAACAAAGGCAAACAGATACAATTTTTTTTCTAGTTAATTTTAAGCAAAATGCAGAACATGTCATCTACACACCCCTGGACCTTGGCCGATTTCCAGAACTCTAGATCTGTTTCCAGAAGCTTCTGCTGCTTTGTCAGTACAATTTCGGCTAGACTGACCTTATGATCTCCAGCATCATTTTCTAGTCATTCTTTTCCAAGCAAAGCCATAAGGATGGGAAGAAAATTCTCTGGAATGTGACAAAACTGGCACAATGAGAACCTTATAAGGTTTGTGCTGGCAGCAATGCAAAAATCACACTGGCTAGGAGAATTAACCATACCATGTGTAGTTTCATGGTAGGAACTTATGGTTCTCAGTAATTAATGTCCATGGTATAATCAAAAGCATATCATAATTTTATCCATGTTCTAATAGGAGATATATTGCTTTAAATATAATCGTATGTAATAGCCTAATTTTCTAGGCAACTTTTTGAGCTCTTCTACATTTTAGGACTAGAAAAATAGTGCCAGCTTCTGACAAATATGAAAAAAACATGTTTACAATGGATTTTAACATATTTTGTTTCCTTTAAATAACATTTATCCTGAAAAGTATTTATTAGTGCCATGTATATTTACGATAAGAAAAAAATAAAAGTACCCCTATTCTGATTGCTAAGATACAACCACTGATAACATTTTAGTTATTTCCTTCTAGCATTTTTCTGCACATTTAATTACATATAAATAATCACATAATTAGAGAACACTGTACAATTTGCTTCATCCTTTTTCACTTATGTGATAATAGCTATTTCCCTATATCCTATTTGATGTTAAAATAATGAATCTCTTTGAGGAGAAAAGAAGTTAGTTTTTGAGAGGCACCATTAAGTAGTTGCCTCATTATTAATTCTTTTTAAATTAATGAGAATTATTTATACTTATAGTTTGTGCACTTTTTGTTCTGTATATTACACTTCAATAAAAAGCTTATTAAATACAAAATCTCAAATTAATTAAAATGTGATTCACCATGACTACGTAACATTCCATCATGCATCTTAACTATGATTAATTAGGCCATTCTCCCATCCTTAGACATTTAGTTTGTTTTCAGTGTCTAATACAAATAACACTGCTATAAATACACTGGTATTAAATATTCCTCTGTATCACATTCACTTAGGGTAGAGTTCTAGCATTTTTTGCCTCTTTCTTGAGAAGAAATGCATTATAATGAGGGAGAACGATTAATGTAATACATTTTCTGCAATGTATTTATTGCTGGGGTAAACTGGTAGAACTCTTAAATTCCTATAATTATAGTCTGAAAGAGAAGGTGGGACTGCAAAATCCTGAGCTGGGCCCCACATGTGAACCAAGTTTCACCTATATGTGAAACTTGTACGTGTAGGGGAGATATTCTTCATCCCAGTAAAATGAACAGTTGTCTGTT
This sequence comes from Homo sapiens, assembly GCF_000001405.40. Taxonomy (NCBI): domain Eukaryota; kingdom Metazoa; phylum Chordata; class Mammalia; order Primates; family Hominidae; genus Homo; species Homo sapiens. Next base: position 13,413,829 of record NC_000009.12, read on the forward strand.
AAATTCAATTGAGTAAACCATTTTTGAGCACCAAGTACATGGCAGGACTCTCCTAGACACTAGATACAGAGATGCGAAAGGTACAGCTCTGTACTTGTTTAGGAATAAGAGTTGACCCCTGAGGAAGAGTCTCAAACCACTGTGGACATGAATGTTCCTCCTCATTTCACAATCCCTTTATCTGTACATTGGGATAATAATACTTAACCTCAGTGGCTTGTGGTGAGAATTAAGTCAGTGTTTACAGAGCACTAGCCAAGGGTGCTATTCAAAATATTTAACAATCCATATAAACTGGCACCAATCAATCAGAAGAAATCCTGGTTTGGACAAAATGGAGGCAGTCGGTAAAGAACTGTTCTCCGACCTGATGCCTTCTGGCCAAGTACTTTGTGCCCTTGTGTAATATAGGTACTGACGATCATTAGTTTTTCTTTCTTTATTCCTTTTGATTTCCTCAGGTAAAATAAAATATCCTCAAACTCATATTTGCTTTTGAATGAAATTATTTTGCATTCACAGTATTTGGAGAAAGCAACCTCAGAGATATGGTTTGTGATCAAACACTCTTCCTTTCATTTTTACCCAATAGGAGTCATTGGGCCTCTTCAACTGTTCTTCCATTTATTTCCTTTGTGTCCAACTCCTATTTTTTTCTACTGCCAACAGTCACAGCAGCTTGTTAGGAGAAAAATTACATCATATATTTACTCCTAAAAATTGGCAGTGAATATAGGAACCATGTGGGAGGTGGGGATGGGACATGGGCCTAGTCATATAAATATAGTAAATGAAAAATAAAAAAACCCAAAACCCTATTTTCTGGTAGCAAGCTTTAGGTTTTTGATTACCATTTAAACTGTTAAATTTTACCTAATTTACTAAAGTAAAAATAAATAAAAAGGATTATTACAGAAGTTGAATAACAACTACAAGTATAAAAAACACTCATCGATTACTGTAGATTTTTTTTAGGTGATTATGGTTAAGTAACTACAGTTCAATAACAACAACTTGGAAATATGTTAACATTTGCTCTTCAAATTGAGAAGATAAATACTTTACACTACAGGAATAAACCATCTGAGCTGCTCAAATCTCATATCGCCTTTGAGTTCCAATAAGATTCCTGCATCCTGCTGCCATCTGAAAAACTTCTTTTTGGAAACATAGGAAATGTGGAGTCAGGAATGGGAATATTAGGTGGTGCAATAAGGAATGAGAGTTTTCTGTAAGTTCATGTCAAAGAATGCCATTCAAATGCCCACTGCATAATATGGCTTTTATTGTACTCAACATGCTGCTTTGCCTCTGGTAAGTGCTTAATACACATTGAGGGAATGAGCAGGGACAGAATGAATGCTTCATAGACACCAGAGGTAAAGTGATATCTTTGGAAAGAATATTTACTCTGGAACCTGAATGTCCATCAAAGGTGCACTTGTTGGCTAATGTTGAGGATACCAGTGTCAGCATCTACTGGGCATGATGAAACCAAGTCTCAGAGAAGCTAAGCAATATGCACAAGCTTATAGTCCTTACTAGATAAATGTAGGGCAGAACCCTTTGCCTTGCTGCCTTCTGTTCTCATAAGCCAACATTTTTAACAAAATGATTCTCTTGGGTTTGGTTTTTAAAAAAATTTTACTAGATTTTCATCATTAGAGTCAGTCATGAGTTCCTGGTTACTGAGCTAGAAGATAATCAGAATGACAGGCATGTGGTGTCTATGAAGCATTCATTCAACACAGGTTGAAAATCTCCAATTCCATTAGTTACTATCTAAGTGAATATGGGAAAATATTTTAAACTTTGATCCTCAGTGTCCTTATATGTAGCATGAGAAAAATAACATATTTGCAGAATTGGTATAAAGTTTAGAGACAGTGTGTATGTAGTGACTGGTCAGAGTAGAGTCATAAGTAATAATAACTATCATATTTATTTGCTGTTTATAAATAATATAAAAGTCTAGGAACTACGAAATTGTGGGACTTTAAAAATAACAACGACAACAAACAAACTTCTCCTTATGGTATCCTCAACATAAATGTAAATGAGCACATTCAACAGTTGTGACATAAGAGAGGTAAAATTAGGAAAATATCTCCAAATAAACATTTTTTAAATGAAGGCTTTACTTCTCTTTGAAGTTTTTGTCGAGCAATGTTGATTTCCACAGTATTTCAATTTTTAGCATAAATAGCAACGCTTTGATCTTGGTAGGAGGCGTCCTCTCTGAGTTCTTGTACAATATGCAGGTAAATACCAATCTAAATATTTCACATTTCATCTACCTTCTCATGAAGCTTTACTGGATCAAACACTGTAGGAAAGCTCATTTTTTAAAAACTCTGATCCAGCCAAATTAAAAACTCTGATCCAGCCAAATTCTCTGGAGGCAAAAGAATGCTTTAGTTTGTCAATATAACATCTAAGGTGGAAGTAAGGCGGAGTAGAACAATAATTACCTTCTTTCAGGAGGGCTTTATTTATAGCCTCCTTTTTTTCTGTCACTATTAGATAAATTCTATGCAAGAATGTTCTCCAAGGTTTCTCTCTGTTCTTACCCTTCGGCTTCCAGGGCCAGAGGTCTTGCATTGGCTCTGCTTTGCTCTCTGTTCTCCTGGCCATCCTCAGACCCAGAGCCACAGGTAAGGTAGGCTGCTTCTTAGCCTTTCTCTTTTCTCCAGCAGACTCGGGGCCCAAATTGGGACCTTTGTGAGAGAAAATAAAAACCACCTTCAGAAAGGTGGGGAATCAGCAGGATTGGGAAATGGAATAAAAGAAGAAGAGTCACATGACCATTGCAGTCTACGCATTGAGGTGGGTGCACCGAGGAAACATGCGTGTGTTTGCTGCCATACCCTTCTCCCCCAACACCCATCAAATGCAGCTCCAGATGTCTTTAATTTCTGTAATTATTTCTGTAATTGTTTATTGTGGTCGGGTCAAATTGTGTATAGCATACGTTCTTTGGCCACCAGCATCAGTTAAATAATATTACTAATAGTCAATTTGCTCACTATGTGCCTGAATATATGCTAAATACGTTAGTCACTGAAGTTACTCCTCTCACTGACTCTTCAAAGTGGGTATTATCGACATCTTACAGAAAAGAGGAGCATATGCCCAGATTTCAATCCAGATAGTTTGACAAGAGAGCCATAGCTCTAAGTCACTCTACTGTATTCCTCTTTAGTTATGTCCCAGCCAGTTTGTATTGAAAAGAATGAGGTGCCAGGCGTGGTGACTCATGCCTTAATCCCAGCACTTTGGGAGGCCGAGGTGGGCGGATCACGAGGTCAGGAGTTCGAGACCAGCTTGGCCAGCATGGTGAAACCCCATCTCTACTAAAAATACAAAAATTAGCCGGGCATGGTGGTCCAGACCTGTAGTCCCAGCTACTTGAGAGGCTGAGGCAGGAGAATTGCTTGAACCTGGGAGGCGGAGGTTGCAGTGAGCCAAGATCGCACCACTGCACTCCAGCCTAGGTGACAGAGTGAGACTCTGTGTCAAAAAAAAAAAAAAAAAAAAAAAAAAAAAAAAGGGAATGAGGTATAGTGACTAACGAGATGCACACATCATACATGATAAGTCTGAGCTGTACTTGGTGCCTGCCCTCAGCAAAATTTCCTTTGCACAAAAATTGGGTCACAGGAAAACAATCAGACCTTCCTGACTGATCTTCCTGCTTCTATTCTCAATACTCATTCTAGCTCATTCTGAATATGGCCACTGATTGATCATGTTACAGCTTGTTTTAAAAACTCCTTGGAAAAAAATGCAAAACAAATCAAAATCAAAAGCCTCCTCCATCATTAAATTCTTCTGTAAGGTCCCTTTGCATTGGAAGTATTTTAATTGTCTTGAGCGAATCTAAGGTCTACATTGTAAATGTGTGTTTGTCAACTTAAAGTCAGGGAGGCCAATGACATGTTTCCTCACATACATTGAGTGCAGAAAGAGCACTGTGCTCCATATAGTATAGTTGCCAATTCTGGGAAGTTAAAGATAAAACTGAATATTTTATTTTATATAAAAATCAGAAAATTCAATTACCAGTATGTTGAATTTCCTTGTTTATTTCAGCTGATTAACAGAGCTGACAGTATCACTCAGATTCAATTTGTTGAATATTGGCTTGTGTAAATCTACAGTCTACATGCAATATTAACTGAATCTGAGCATCTTTTACAATTGTTTCAAATGTATACACGTTATTTCCCCCAAGACAATATTACAGATAGTGAATTTTTATAAACTGGTGTGGAAACATTATATTTTTCCACCATGTTTTAAGTGTTTATGGAACAATATATGTGTATTATTAATACTTTATGAAGTAAGCCATAGGTAAATTTACTAAGTTCTTGATGCCTGATGTTGCAGCATTTGAGAGAGGACCTTCTTCATTCCTAATAAACTAAAAACAGTATATATTTTTGGTCTAATTGGCATAGATCAAGGTAAATTACATGGCATATATTACCAATTAAGTGTATACTGTAAGCATAGTTATTAAAAAATAAACTTTTTAAAGCAGTCACTAAAATGCTTTTTCTTCTTCAACTTTTCCCTTCTCCTGCAAACCTGTACCAGTTTAGCATCAAAGTTTAATACTGCCATTTAGGATTACTGGTAATCAGTTTCTATCTATCCTCCCAGTCCCTTTCTCTAGCACTCCCATCTATAAATCCTGCCCTCCAACCAAACTGGATACTTCATTTTTCTCCAGGATGGTCATTGTATTTCCTTCTCTGTGTGTATCTGTGGATGTTTTGCCTTTTTCTCTCAACCAGATGGATCCTTTCTTTTCTTCAGGATTCCATTCAAATCCCATTTTCTCCCCTGAACTGATCAAGACTTTATTCCCTTCCATTTAATATAGACAAAATCAGATACATCCACAGTGTAGCTTAGACTTATTGTTTATATAATTTACCAAATACTTAAATTTATATTGTCTCACAGAAGACAGTGAGGAGTAAGCCAAAAAGTCAAATAACTGAAAGGGAGGTCTTCCTTACCCCTCCATAGTCCCTGAAGACATTACTAACCAACCTCTCCCATACTCTTTGCTGAGCCAAGACACCATGCGGACTTCTCAAGGTGGCCTTCCACTACCAATCAGAGTGGGTGCAGATGATGGAGTGGTCAAATCAGAATCTGGAAGCATCTGTTCTGCTTCTGGCTGCATCTCTTAAGAGCTGTGTGAATGGAAGCTTCTATTTCTTTATTTGAAATGGGATAATGCATACGAAAGCATATGAAACATTTTTTGAAATTAGATATTATAAATAGGCCATGTAATATGGTCTTAAACTATTATTTCAGTCTTCTATTGAGATAGAGCCAGTGGTGTGCCCATTTAACAACCAGGTCTCAGGAAAAAATAGCTCTGATTGTAGCCTTTGCTGACTTCCTTGGTGCAAATACCACATGGCAGATTTTAAACTACGAATGAGACATCGTTGAATACAGACTTGGAATTCACAGCAATACGCTGTTATACAGTGTTTTCATTGTACGGATACAGTAGATGTTGATCTTCTCAAGAACATAGATAATAGTAGAAGGTAGTAAAATAATTCAGAAGTGATGATGTTTGAGTATTGCCTTTTGTTTTAGATCTACTTTTAATATTTAGTATTTAACAATGGCTATTTTTAGCAACTGGCCTGAAAATTTCTGACAATTTAACAATTGGCTTTCACTAGTGGGCGTGAGTCAGCTCTAGCACACTTCTGGTAGCGTCCACATTTTCTTCTCCAAATGTATTAGAGCAAGGCTGGGCATGGTGGCTCATGCCTGTAATCCCAGCACTTTGGGAGGGCAAGGCAGGCGGATCACCTGAGGTCAGGAGTTCGAGACCAGCCTGGTCAACATGGTGAAACCCCATCTCTACTAAAAATACAAAAAAAAAAAAAAAAAATTAGCTGGGTGTGGTGGCGGGCACCTGTAATCCTAGGTACTCGGGAGGCTGAGGCAGGAGAATTGCTTGAACCTGGGAGGCAGAGGTTGCCGTGAGCTGAGATCGTGTCATTGCACTCCAGTCTGGGCAACAAGAGCAAAACTCTGTCTCAAAAAAAAAAAAATGTGTTAGTGCAAGAGCAGTGTTTGACTGAGTAGCATGCTCTTATTAGTGTTTGCATATAATAAGAACTTAATTTCTATTTTTTAAATGAATTGTGTATTAAAAAAAAAGACTGATTCCTCAACATATTTAACATATGTATTTATTCAAAAATTTTGTTGAGTGCACACAATTTGCCACCTACTCTGTTAAGCTAAGATAGGAGGAAAAACATCATATGGGTTAATATTTAATCACCAAATCTTCAAAAGCAACTGCTCAAAAAAGTCTGATCAATTATTTGTGAGTTCCTTATAAGTCCTCTGCCCATCTTTGCAACTAATAAAGGCAGTAGCCAGGAAGCTCTGTTTTACCTTCACTCTTTCATTTTGTTCAACTTCACCAAAGGTGACAAAACAGCAAGTACTGGTTTACAGTTACATTCCCATTTTCTTCAACTCCTTACTTTTTCTGATTTCCTCCATTTTCTGATTCCCTTACACCATTGCTCAGCACAGGGGACCTTAACGCAAGCAGCTCCCCTCCATGGCAGACTTTCAGATATACTACTAGGCCTGGAGTGGGAAGGGCCACTGCTACTGAAACTGTCCATGGCTAGGAGATCTGCTCATCTACCATGCCAATGCCCACAAACTCCCTCAGAAGCAGGTCCTGCTATTCATGCTCTGTGAGTGATGAAACTGAGGTTCCAAGAGATTACTTATCTTGCTCAGAATCATTTCACTAGTATGGATTACAGCTGGCAAAACTCTTATTTTTCCCCATCATAAGACTTTGATTTTTCCTCCTTCATATAACAGAAGAATGTCTTGCTCCAATTTTTGAAGTATGGCAGTCAGGAGAACCTTTCAAAAGTGAAGGAGTAGAGGTAGATGGTATATTATATTGAAATCTGACTTTCAAATAAAATTGCCTTAACAGTTTGTATTTGACTTTCTCCTCATTTAAACATAATAGAAGGCTGAATAGTCATGTTTTGATGTTTGAAGGCAAGTAACCACAGGATTTGAATTTCTCTTAAAGAGGTGGGTTACAACCTGCAGTTGAGCATGTAAACTATGAACCCAGTTGAAAGTCAACTCTAACGAGATTTTCTCCTCCTTCTCCTCCTTCTTTTCCTTTTAATTTTATGTAAACATTTATATTACTGAGGTAAACCATAATATTGTTTACTTCATGGTGCAGGAATACCACACATGCAGCACAAAGTATAAGAAAAATGTTACTCCTGGGATTTCAAGCTCAGGTTAAAAAATAAGACAACAGTCTCATTAATATAGTGGGGAAGGGACAGATGCTGCTGAAAGTTATGACTCTGGAAAGCCAGATTCATTTTTCAAGAGCCTTCTACAGCTAAACACAGATATTTAAGAACAAAAGATGCAGTAAAAGATTTTTTAGGAGTCTATCATTTGGAAATATGGGGCTGGTGGAACCATAGCCACTGTGATATGAACTCAATTGAAATAAAGCACAGGAAAATTAAATAAACAAAGCAATCAAACCCAAATAATATCATGTTGGCCCAGATTTGCATTCTGAAAACACCAGAATTTTCTACTTCCTGAGGGATATATCCCCAAAAAATCTGTAAGAGAACAAAAATAATGTGACAAGTAAATTTTCAGAAAAAAGAGAGAACAGAAACTGCAGCTAAAATACCAGTTGGGATATGATTCTCTGACCAGAGATTTTTATGAGAAGGAGGGCAGAAACCAATAGAAATGACTAAGTTCACCCTTTACTGGATTTTTATATAAAGTGGCTATTTACACAGTAGGCCAATACACAGGTGCCAAGAGAATGTAGACCAAGAAAGAAACAATGGAGTAGAGAGCTAGGTCCCAACACATCCATGCCAAAAGCCTACTGAAGGTCTTCTGCTTTCTGGGTAAGACATTCTGCTGGTAGGCACAAAAGGGCCTGTATAAGCGATAGTCAGAGAAGACACCAAGCCTCCATTTAAGGGAGCAAATATGGCTCTGTTTTGCCCACTGTGTATTCTAAGGAGAATGAGGCTTTGTGTTATGGAGCCAAGAAAAGGAAAAGTCCAAATGATTAAAAACACAGAAGCAATTTTAAGTTTCAAATAGAACTCAATGCTGGAGAAAAAAAGTCAAGCATCATCAGAGAGGTCTAATTAATAACAGGTCAATTCCCTTTCTCTGTATGTTTTTCCCTTCTGTGGAACAAAAATGATCTGTTAATTTTATTCCAGAACAGAGAGAACCTCTGTGAATTTCGTAGACATTGCTACGCATTTAAAAGGATAAAGTAAATAATTTTTCTGTGATTTTTCGTTCTGGATAAATGTACAGTTGTTTAGTTAGGCCAATCTAGGTAATAATAACAATGAAATATAGGGATGTACAAAGTGTTCTAGCATTTAATTCTCATCACTACCCTACACAATGGTGGAGAAAATATTGCTATTATAATTTATAATAAGGAAACGGAGGCTCCCAGAGGTCAATTTACTTGCTCAGAGTCACATGGAAGTAAGTAGTGACTGTGGTTAGGATCCAGACCTTTTGTGTCCATGTCCAGCTAGATCACATTGTCTTTCTTAGACCAGTGAGAAAACTCATTGAAATGATACAGGAAGGTTCATTGTTGGCCTTTCAGTGTTTTGTTAATACATTTTGGTACCATGGGATGAATTAATTTAACAGAGTTGTCTATTTTTTCAAACATTATTAAAAAATGGACCTGAAGGATGATTATGAAAGCCTTTTCCTTACAGGTCCTGAATTACAAATGTTACATTTGAGAGATTACAGAATTATCTCCTTACGATAATAAATAGTTTGCATATTTAAAATTATAATGTGCATAATCCTCATTTGTGGTAAATTGAACCTGAAGAAAAATTATACAGTAAGGATTGAGAATCATTTGAAAGTCAAAGGGGATGGTTCAATGAGGAGAAAAAAATGCAATATGTAGTCACTACTAAAAGCTTATATCCAAAGAATGTTTATACCATTAAAGTGCCAAAAATATAATGCTAATGGGAAAAAACTACATATACAGCATAATCCCAATTTTGTTTAAATAAATACCTCATAGCTCTGTGTATGTACGTTTGTGCATATGTAAGTTGTGTGTGTGTGTGTGTGTGTGTGAATATACAATTGGAAGGAAATATTGGAACCCACAATATCTTAATAGTGTGTGCTTTTGCTCTATGATGGGAGACAGTTGATTTATGAATGATTTGGGGAACTATGCTGGCATAGTAGTTATGCTGTGGAGTGAATGACTGACTTTGACTCTGAAGTCCATCACTTATTGTGTTCCCTTACATACACTTTGGCTTCATTGTTTCATGTGAAATGGGACTAATATTAGGATCTACCTCCTGGACTGCTGCCAAAATTAAAGAGGATAAATATTAAAATATATCAAACAGTATGGTCATTGCACATAGTAATTCTTCAAATATGGCAGCTGTTAATTGAATTTTCTTCTTTTATACTTTTCTGAACTGTTCAAATTTTCTAAAAAATATTGTTAATGTTTTGTAATCAGAAAATAGAAATAAATCCACAAAAGTATTTAAAAGCGACAGAATTAATTTAGCTAAATTTTTAAGCAGTGAGTTGGTAAGAGGAAGTGTGGTAAGGCAAACTTTTTAGTTTGCCACATTTTAGTCTTTTTAATTTAACTTAATTTTTTTTATTTATTTAATGTTTTGAGAAAGGGTCTCACTCTGTCAATCATACTGCAGTGCAGTGGTGCACTCTTGGCTCACTACAGCCTCAACCTCTTGGGCTCAAGCTATCCTCCCACCTCAGCCTCCTGAGTAGCCAACACGCCTGGCTAATTTTTGTATTTTTTGTGGAGAAGAGGTTTTAACCACGTTGCCCAGACTAGTCTGGAACCCCTGAGCACAAGGGATCCTCTTGCCCCGGCCTCCCAGAATGTTGGGATTACAGGCATGAGCCACCATTCCAAGCCTTATTCTATTTTAATTCTAACAATAATTTGGTAAGATAAGGTATGTTCCCTGTCTGCTTTTATAAATGAGGCTTCGATCCTGGACCAGTCTCTCACTGGTAGTTAAGGGTTAAGAAATGAAATTCCAACTGGGTCTTGCTGTTTCCAAATCTAAACATGTATCTATGGTCTCCACTTTTCTTACCTACCCTTCCTCAAAGGCATGATCCCTATTCCCTGTGTCCCTACCTTTCTAGGTAGTTGAGTAAGAAAAATAAACCTCTGAAATCACTAGCAAAAGAATGAAGCAGCAAAAAGGCATGATGGGAATTCAGAGAAATGGTCAGAGTATCCCGGGGTAGTCAGAACAGGGAGGAAGCAGAAATTGTGTTGGGCCCTGAGGAATCAATATTGATAACACAGGTTAAAGGGATATGTCCATAAGAGCATGCGACTAAAAGGCAAGAACCCCGGGATACAGAAAGCACTCTGTCCTTGTGATAAGGCAGGAGTCTAATTGAGCTGATAAACACACGCCACCTGTGGGCAGCTGAACTAAAAGAGGACAAGGTGATACACTCCCACTGGGGCCTCAGGAGCTGTAAACATTCACTCCTAGACACTGCCGTGGGGTCAGAGCCCCACAACCTGTCTTTCTGCTTCCACTAGGGGTTTTGAGCAGTGGGGCGCTGAAGAAGTGAACCACACCCCCATCACATGCCCTGAGATGGGGACAAGGGAACTTTTTCTGTTTCAGTAGTTGAAGAGCACACAGAAGGGATCTACTTAGCAAGATCAAGGAAGATTTCCACAAGGAAGTGCGGACCGAGCTAAGATATGATGAAGGAACAGGAATTAAATACATAACAGAGTGTGAGGGCAGGAGGCAAGCATAAGGGTCAGGCTTCCAAAAAGGTCAGTCTGATTACAGCAGACGGAGCAAGAATCAGGGTTAAAGCAGAAGAGACTTCAAGGAAGGAAGGAGGCAGATCATGCAGATCTTTTACAAAAATCCGTGGTCACAAATTTTCACCCAGCTCTGTGAGTTAGACAATATTCTCACTTTGTAGAATAGCAAGATGAAGCTCAAAACTGAGAAACTGGACTATGGTCACAGAGCCGGTAGGTGCTGGAGGTGGGGTTGGAATAAGATCTATCTACACACTTTAGGGCCTGGATTTTGAAACGATTGAATCTTCCAGTGTTTCACAATCTGACATTGATGCATTGTCCAATAGATGTTCCCTGTGGGTGACCCATTAGGGACAACTTTATTCCCTGGGCTCTTTGCTCGCCTGTAAACAGTGTACCAAAGGGAGGATACCCTGCTGTGCTCTGCCAGATAAAAATTATGTCTGCTTCACCTATCAAAGTTGAATCCTTCCTTCCTTTTTTTTTTATAATTTTTTTAAAAATTTTATTATTATTATACTTTAAGTTTTAGGTGCACAATGTGCAGGTTTGTTACATATGTATACATGTGCCATGTTGGTGTGCTGCACCCATTGCCTCGTCATTTAGCATTACCTTCCTTCCTTCCTTCCTTCCTTTCTCTCTCTTTCTTTTCTTTCTTTCTCTTTCTTTCTTTCTTTCTTTTCTCTTTCTTTCTTTCTTTTTCTTTCTTTTTTTTTTTTAAGACAGAATCTCATTCTGTCACCCAGGCTGGAGTGCAGTGGCAGAATCTTGGCTCACTGCAACCTCTGCCTCCCAGGTTCAAGGCTCTCGTGCCTCAGCCTCCTGAGTAGCTTAGGACTGCAGGTGTGCACCACCTTGCCTGGCTATTTTTTTTTTTTTTTTTGTATTTTTAGTAGAGACGGGGTTTTGCCATGTTGGCCAGGCTTGTCGTGAACTCCTGGCCTCAAGTGATCTGCCCACCTCGGCCTCCCAAACTTCTGGGATTACAGGCACGAGCCACTGCATCCAGTCTTGAATCCTTATTTCAAATAGTGTCTACTTTTCAGTTTTCTGATCAAAGTCATCAGTATTCAGAGCTTCGCTGGATTACTATGGTGCATATTTTTCCCCAGGAAATAAAATAATCAGTTACATTGTTCCATTCCCATAAGACCTTCTCTTGTTTATTGAGCAGGAATAGCAACATTGGATGTTTATTATGTACCAGGCATTCTGCTAAAGCATGTTATATATATATTATCTCAAGGCAACCTCAACCACCCAATGAGGTAGAGGTGTCCCATTATTCCCTTTTTACAAATGAGGAAATTGAGCATCACTGAGTTTAAGTGGTTTGCCTTAGTCACTCAGTTTATAAATGACAGAGGTAAGGTTTGAATCCAGAAGACCTGTCTGACGCCAAAGCTACAGTTTTAACTTAATGTTTGAAAAATTCAACTTTAAAAAGAGAATTCGTATTTTAAAAGAATTCATGAAATAAGAACATTCCTGAAAAGGTTGCATGCCAGGATATACTGTAATTCAACAATAATTACATTGTTAAACAAGGAAGAACTCATCATAAAAAGATTCTCTGTGGCTATGACAACAATTATGGATGCTTTAAGAAATCAGTAATTTCCTAAATTAAGATACAAAGTTTAAGATGCAGGGATAGTTCTTTAAACAAAAGTGGTTCACTTCTCAAAGATGAAGGATACATATATTTTGAGGCAGTGTATGGGGGGCTGGGGTGAGGAGACAGAAAGGGAAAGAGAGGAGTGAAATATTCTATCTAGGTAACCTTTAACAAAATTGCAAGTTTGTTTTCAAAGTTTATACGGTAAGAGGGTACGGTGGAAGAAAGACCTCATCGTTAAGGCAGAGAACATCCACAGAGCAAGATCTTGTCTCTGTAGGGCTATATTGCTTCCTTTCTAAAAAAAAGAAAGGTTTTCCTTCACAGTGCATTTACGTCAAAATTCTAAAACCTCTCACATGAGCCTATCACATCAACCTTGTCAAGTCTCACTTGTTGAAATGAGTGGGATTTGAAAACTTCTGAGTGTGCTATTACATTTTCCATTTATGTTCAGGGAATATGGCTGTGTGAAAAGGAGGCCAAGAGTTGTGGGGGTGGTGGATTTGAGGGAGAGACAACTCTAAATGAGTGAAACCAAATAGATTGATTGTTTCAGGTGGTGGAGGGTAGTCTCCAAGAAGGATTGGGCAAGGACTTTGAGAAGAAAATGCATTTTACTTTTTACATTTTTAACATTTATTGCCCTCACTAAACTACATGTTACATCAAATATCAGAGTTTAAATAAAAGAATCCAATGTTTCTTTGCTTCAAAACTGTAAACAATTTACAACTGATCTATTTATTCTCGATGAAATAACAATAGATACTTCTTTTTATTTTCTTCTTGTCTTTTTTAGAGCTCAAGAGACAAGGAAGCATCATGTAGAAATTTGATATTTCCATTAAGATTTCTCAGCTTCTGGAAAACAAATTTGATATTTGTGTCAGGTTGGAGAAAATGCAACCCTAAACCTAACCTTAATTATATTTTAACCCTAACCCAAATTCTGTGTAATAGAGGGTACTAGGCAAGGGAATGACCAGATGTTTTTTAGAGAGGGCAGAAGTTGTTTACTGATGTTAGAAAATTCACGTAACTTGGGCAGGAGAGGTGGCTCACGCCTGTAGTCCCAGCACTTTGGGAGGCTGAGGCTGGCGGATCACCTGAAGCCGAGAGTTCGAGAAAATTCATGTAACTATCCACTTCTAAAATTCTTAGCATTTGTATTGCTATCATTATAAGTGAACATCTTTCAGGTTTACCAAAAAGCTTAGCCATTTTTTAATCAAAATTTAATTTGGTGAAGATGTTTTTTAAATAAGTAAACAAATTTCTGATTGATAGAGATCAAATGTTTTCCCCTAGTAGCCAGTAGAGGGAGCTGTTGGCATTTGATTTGGCATTATAACTCGACCTGGAAGTTCCCTTAATTAATTCAATGTTTGAAATCAAACCACAGTTTAAATGTAATGATATTAATATGCAAGAATAGACGTGTAAACGTGGAGATTTTCCATTCCCATTAAACTTTCTACACAACCACAGATTTCTGGTTCTTCTGTGGGCCCCTTTTAGAGAGCTTATGTTATAGAAATGTTGGCTGCTGTAAATTAAAGCTGCTCAGAATTGAGTTCATGTACCTAGGCAATGATTCAACATTTCTGAGACTGATTGCAAGTCAAGAAAGAAAGCAGCTTCTTCCTCCAGCTCATAAAAAAAGAAAGCAAAAAAAGATGTTTGACCTAGAATTATACTTGAAGTTTTCAAAAGAAAAATTGTATGTATTAGGTTGATAATAAGTTTGATTATCTCTAATCCAGGAGGAAGAATCCTCTGTAGTTAATGTTCTGGGTATATTTGATGCCGTCCTTGTGGTGAAATATAGCATATTGATTTTTCTTATATTCCCTTCACCCCAAGTTCATTTCCACAGCTATAGTTTAAAAAGCAGTTATTCACAGCCTAGTGTTTAAAATATACTTCTCCTTTTTGTAATAGGTTTAAGCTAAAATGGATTATAAGTAATAATTTCCAAGCACTTCACCAAGTATTATCTTTATCTCAATAAACCTTAATATATAATGTACACATAAACTGCAGTTGTAACTATCTGCAGATAACCTAGCAGACAGCCGGGGAAAGGATTACTCTGATAGTAGTACTTCTCAACCAGCCTCGGAATTCAGTTGTAAACCCCCTAGGTAAGAGAAAGTTTGAAGAGAGAGTTGGAAATAATCATTCTGATTCACTTAAATGTTTCCCCTCCCTAATGTAAACATAAAAATAAACTATTGCATATTTAAATATATGATATTAAAGACATGAAATCTTACCAAACTTGAAATAGAAAATTACTCTAAAAGATAAAGAAAGCAGTGTTCTGTTTTGATACGGATTAACAGATGAACATTAAGCTCTCTACCCGATCGTCACCGATAGATTTAAGATTACTCCTTAAGGCTACACTGAAAGCATACTAGAAATAATAGGGTTAATTGTGTTCTGAGTACATAAAGAAGTGCCACTTTCTGGGGACAGTATGCCACATTGCAATTGGCAAACTAAATGCTAAACCAAAATCACTTCCCCTGTTCACAAAACATGTGGAGCTTCTTGGAAAGAAAAAAAAGGTGTTTTTTAACTGAGTGGGGACAGTGTTCTGTGCTATTTCCAGGAAGTGTGTATTTTCTCAAATCACTTATGCTTTTTAATCTGTTGGACCTGGTCTATGTTTTGTGTTGATTTCTGGGCCTTCCAATCAAAATTAATTTTGCTATTCTTTCTGAGAGAACTTTTTAGAACGAAAAATGAACCTCTCATACAGTTGAAAGACAAGGACCAAAAGTGCTGTATTATACTTCTTGAATGGTTGAAATCTAGTTGGAACAAAACCCCCCAGCACTATTAAAAATATAATTTTAGGTGAAATTTCATTCCATATGAAGCATTAATTTTAATAGAGACTTATATATAAGCTCTCATTTGAATAATAATGTAAAATTAAATTTAAATTGTAAATAACGTCCAGATACTAGTTGTTTCCTGGCTCAAATTCTTTAGCACATATGGTGCTAGCATAAGCTTGTGCCTGTCTGCCTACTCTGGGTAATTTTGCATGCAAATAGTTTTAGTGCCTATGTTGAGGTGCTAAAACGTGTTTAGTACACTTGAAAATATTTGCATTGCAAAAGGAGAGCGAATCTCCTGAGGAAAATCAAATTGATATTTTGTATTAAGAGACCACTTTGGACACTGCGTGGTATTCTGCTAGGGAGAATTCTGTTTACAGTGCAGCTAGCATTTTTAATTGACCTTTAGAAAAGAAGGTCTGGCTTCAGCTTTGCCAGGTTTATAAACCGTTGGACCATCTTCTGGCAGCATTCACCACATTAATCAGTCAAGAGAGAAAGAGAAGGAAAGAATCTCCTTGCCTTGGCTGGACTGTAGTGTTTCATGCCTCAATTTGGTGGATTGGTAGGATAAATATGTTAATTATAATTAAAAGTTTCAGCTGGAATGTGCCTAACTAATTAGCTAACTAACTAACCAGCTAACTAAGGAAAGGCTTTAGTACAGTGGAGCGGTGGTGGGTGCTGGGTGTGAGGCCCCACACACTCTTCCATTTGCCTCACTCCCATCTGCTGCATTTATGGGAACCAGTTCGTTAAGAGTCTGAATTGAATCCAAATAAAATGCATTTCTGATGCAAGCCCGATGACTGGTGCCATTCTCCGCTGCATTATGTCAAATTAGAGTTTGTTTGGAAAAGAGGTTACAGGGATCCTACGTAAATGTCGCTTGCGCAGAACATCGATCAAATAAGAGTTATGCACAAATTTGCCATCTAATTCCTATAAATAAATTGAGCACCTCCCTCCTTGATTTTGCTCCTATTCACCATGAGTGATTAAAAAATTAGCACTCCTAATAATAAATAAAATTCAAGAGGCAAGCTAGTAAGAGGTTTGTGGAACTTTTCTTATAACAGTTATTTCAAAGTTTTTAGATAATTTTATTACAAGAACCAGTTCAGGTGTAGTATATCCCTATAAAATGAAAGTAAGTTCAAGGTCCGTAAGAGAAACAGATGATACTAGGTCTACAAGAGGAATTCAAATGTGAGACCCCTCTGTCTGCAACTCCCTCCTCTGTCGAGAAATGATGCCAGATGGAATCCTGATAACTCCCATTGTTAAAGCAGCTCTATCGCTTTCAGCCCAAGCACCATGCAAGAGTTACTACTATAGATGCTTCTATTGGCTAAAACGTGCTGCAGGATCCAGATTTTTCTGCATATTTTACTCCTTCGTGCTTAATATTCTTTCATCCCTGCCACTTCTCACAGTGTGCAAGGTGCAGTATTTTGTGTCAATGAATAGCCAGAGACAGGTAGCAGGCAAGAGCCAAAAGGAACTCATTATGAATACAAACCAGTAAGGAGGAGCTGACTTACTGTGCTACTGAAACTTTGCTTGCAATCTAGTTCCTTTAAAACAATCTTAAAAAAAAAAAAAAAAAAGCCTCCGTTGTCTGTGGGATCCTAGCACATCAATCAATCCATTAAGTAAGTAAATAAGGCAATAACTAAACAATAAATCATTTTGAATTTCACGCATGCACAAATCTTTTGATACATAAATGACAAGGTTTAGGTTCGGAGGCTACCACCTCTGTTCCAGTAGTTATCATACAAGATAAAGAGTTGTTTTTAAACTGTGGTGCATTGCTCATTCTGGTCCCCACATGATGGGGCTTCTTTCACCCCTTGGGTGGTGGTGTGTGTATGATGCACGGCCTGGGAGTTGTTTGTGTGTGTGTGTGGTGTGTAGCGGGGGCCATGCTGTTAGGGGGAAGCCTACCACACATTTCTGCCATCGCAGACGGTGGGCAAACAGCTGTCTCCACAGCTGAGACCACTGGAGCTGCTTGCGCTGCTCCAGTAACTCGAGAGCACACGGCTGGTCCCTGGATGGCACAGAGCACTGTGCCTGCAGCAAAGTGCCTGAGCTTTCCTGGGGCTGAGCGGGCGGGGTCTTTGCCACCAGACACAATAAGCATGTGAAATGGGGTTCATGAATTATTCATCCTTGGTGTCCTATGAAACAAAGAAATGATATGTTTGCTGGTAGATAACTGTGTTGTGGCATTTGTAAATCTTTTTGAATTTGGAGTTGATCATGTTTCTTGTGTTGGTGGGGAAATGTGTGTGTGTGTGTGTGTGCGTGCGTGTGTGTGCGTGTGTGTTTTTTCCCTAAAATAAAAATTTGGGAGTTCAACACAATAATCTTACAGCAAAGGTCTTCCATGAAATATTGCATGGATTATACTATTTTGGCTCATGATTTACGGATTTTAAAAATCTCATTCAGTGAAAAGGGATGTTAAAATGGTTTCACTGCAATAAACTACAGCAAGATACCAGGTTCTCAAGGAGTTTATTTTTCTCCTTAGTAGGCATCCAGCCCACTTTTGTTAATGCAAGTTTCATTACTGTGGACTAGAGAACAGTGGTGCCTTCAGCATGACACTACAGCATCGGGAGGAATGATTCTTCACTTTCACTAAAATATTAGTAAAAATGATACTTTGGCGAATTGAGCCCTAAATTGTGTTAGTGACAGTTAAATACCCACTAATTTAACACCAGTTAAACTGGCAATAAAATGACCCCCAACTGAGTTAAGCCACCATCCTATTCCTGCACAATAGCTCCAGCCCTAATGCCAGTGATCTATAAAGCCACTGGGTAGAGTTTATGCATTTGCATAACAAATATTTCTGGAGTGTTGTATAAAGTAGCTAGCTACTCAAACTTATCATAATTGTTATTTATAATTATCATCTGCATATTCCTTTCATTTATTCTTTAATATCTCAAAGAAAATAAAATGATTTAATAGTTCTTCATTATCTTTGAAACACAACCTGGTGAAACATATCATGGTAATGTTCACTGTCATCTCTTCAATAATTATCTCAGGTCTGTCTTCCAGTAGTCACTCATGCTTTCTCCATCACACTTTTTTTTTTGCAGTATCTCCTCGCAGTCTCCCTACCTTTCAGGTTGCCTGTGAAGTACTGTGTATCCATAAACCTCCCACAATCTGATATGTTTGGCAGAGAAAATCAGGGAAAAGGCACGTTGATTGTGCTGAAAGAAAAAAAACAAGCAAAAACAAAATATGGATCTGCCAATTACATGCTGGAGTGAAAATACAATTCCTTCTTGCTTTCAGGTGAGGGAGTTGGCAGGTGGGGTGTGAATTGGTAGGTAGTAGGACTTTCAGTAAAAAGAAGTGTAGCAAATGCTGTATGATGGGTGTTTTTTGGATTTTTTGTTGTTATTTGTTTCCTTAAGCCCCAATAGTGTACCAGATAGTAGACTCAAGATATATATATATATATATATATATATATATATATATATATATATGCACACACACACACACACACACACACACACACACACACGTAATGATTACCTGTCTTTACCTTGGACATGTAGGATTAATTAAGATTACAAATAAAATTATAATAGGACATAAATTGCTTCTTACCTTTTTGAAAGAAAATAGATATCCAGTGGAGGTAAATGGTAACAATGTCCTGGAACCAATGAGATAATCATTAGGCATAGAAGTGACAACCTTAAGAGGAACAAAACAGAGACAGAGCCCTAAAGGACTTAGGCAGAGTTTAATGGAAATTTTCCTGATTTCTCATTCACTGCTTGCATCACCTCTACTTCCTCCTTGTGTACTTTGTTTTAGTGTGAGACAGCGGAAGTGGCTAATAATATTTCCTCCCCTCAGCCAGGATGCTTTTTCAGCTTCAGTTGGTCATTGAAAGAGCCCATATTGCTATGATTTTCTGGAATATTATCACTTGGTCCTCCAAAATTTTGTTTTTAGTATATAGAAAAAAATCCTTTATGGGAATAACAGGCAAATTAATGTTTCTAATTATGTATATTATTCCGTTTATATATCTGAGAACTAGGGCTGGGCACGGTGACTCACGCCTGCAATCTCAGCACTTTGGGAGGCTGAGGTGGGTGGATCACTTGGGTCAGGAGTTTGAGACCAGCCTGGGCAATGTGGTGAAACCCCGTCTCTACTAAAAATACAAAAATCAGCTGGGTGCGATGGCGGGCGCCTGTAATCCCAGCTACTTGGGAGGCTGAGGCATGAGAATTGCTTGAACCCAGGAGGCAGAAGTTACAGTGAGCCAAGATCATGGCACTGCACTCCAGCCTGGGAGACAGAGTGAGACTCCATCTCAAAATAAATAAATAAATAAATAAATAAATAAATAAATAAATAAAATAAATATGTGAGAACTACAAGGACATTTAAGTAAAAGGTATTTAAGGATATATGCTATAATAGCAATCAAAGAGAAGAATCAGCAGGAAATTAATCAACAATTTATAAAATTGATAGTCTATGTACGGTTAAGAAAACCCAGGATCTTTGGATCACAGACACTTGGATTTGAATCCTGTCTGTGCTACATTTGTGCTACAATGACATTTAACCTTCCTAAATATGTGTCCTTATCTGTAAAATGGGGACAGAAATACATAGAATATTTTTTAAAAATCAGAACTAGTGATCTACTATTTGTGAAGCATGCATGGTAATCTGTAACCCTCTAAAGACGTTAAAATCACCTGGAGAGCTTTGAAAATCTGTTGATGCCCTGTTACCATCTCCGACCAATTACATTCAAGTCTCTGGGGAATGGACCTTGGCATTATAGTTTTTAAAACCTCCCCAGGTGATTCTAGTGTGCAACCAAGGATTTCAACAACTGGTGGAAAAGTCGAAAACTGAATGAACACTCAGTAAATATTTTCCAGCTTTCCTTGTCTATGTGGTATGAACATTAGCCTAATTAGGATGCAGATTTTTATTACTCAAAAAAATTCTCAAGGTCAGTTCAAATCTTCATGCCTTGAAGGTAAAGAAGATGAAACCAGGAGGTTAGTGGACTCTGGTCATATTGTTAGTGGTGGCAATAAGACTGGGATCCCAGTATTCCTTTTAGAATTTCAGAGTTGTCCTTCCTAACACACCTTTTAACAGGGAAAGAGTTCTCAGATGAGGCTAAGCTGATCTTTCCTTTTCAGCAGTATTTTATGGCAATGAGGATAAAACTAGTGTCAGAAGCGAAGGATTAAACCTTTATCATCTTCATCTTGGTCTAGTAGCATTCATTCATCGAAATTTTTGAGCAGAAAAAACAAACCTCAGCCCTGCTTCCACATGGAGGGCAATGCATATGTAATGTGGCTTCTGAAATTTGGTGTCTTAAGGCTTCTCCATCTCACTGAGGATTTCCTGTGCAATTGATATGGAAAATCTGAGTGATTTACCACAACACAGTTATGAGCCATCATACAGGTGCATTTAATTTTTAATTACTCTTAAAAATGTTTTTAATAATTAGTAGCAATAACCACTAATTGGCATATAAGCCATTCTTGCACCAGCAGGCAAACTGTAGGTTTACTTCAGCACACCCACACCCAATCAACTGAAAATTGCTTGAATGCTTATCTTATAATTACTGTGCTTAATGCTGTTTGCATTGTTTGGAAGCTTTTGTGATTAATTGATTTTTTTTTCTTTTTTTTACCTCTGAACCTGTAAATGAATGGCAAAGATTAGTCTTCTGCTCAGTGACATCTTATTTACATTGAGTTGTTAGGCACATTAAAGGGGAAAAATTATGGATTTTGTTTTTACATGCCAAGTGTATTTCCTCTGTTTATGCTATGGTTATATAGACCCCATATAGAAGTTGAAACTGCTCTTACTACCTGCATGTCTTGTGCCAACGCTATGCAGAATGGCACAATTACATTTTTAGGCCAACTATTAACCTCTACGCACCTTTATACCTTCCACTTATTTTTCTGGGTAAAGGGCAATAATTTGAGAATGCCTCTATTTAAATAGAGGCCAACATAATTCAAGTTGTTTAGTTTATTCCTTGAGCATCAATAATTGATATATATGCATGCTAGTAATTGTGCTTTTGATCTGAAAGTGGCAGTCACAATTAAGCTCAGAAACAATCATAAAATAAACGAGATTATTGGTATGCTAAGGCAATGTTTGAAATAGATGATAGATCTGCCAATGTTTTCATAGTACTAAATGGCAAATAAAATTTTATGATGACAGAGGCAAAGGATAAAAATGTGACTTTATAATTGTAGGCCATTTTATATTGGTGATGAACTAATGAAGACATGGACGTGGATATTTCTTACTCTGTTTATTCACTCACTGTAAAGTTATTGGGAATATGATGTGCCAAGGAATGTGCTAGACAATGAGGATATGGAAAAAATAAGTCATTGTGGGAAAATGTGGTCTTGGGAATTAGAAAAAGTCAGTGAGAAAATCTTGGTCCCATAACTAGTAACTGTGTCTAAGACATTAAGAAAATTAACTGATGTCTCAGAAAATAATTTTTGTCATCTGAAAAGGGAGAGTATTACCTACCTTGAAAGCTCATTGTGAAAATTAAATGAAATACTATACATAAGTATTTTGTACTTGGTTGGTGTGCAGTATTTAATGCATGCCTGCTATAGTTTTAATTAGACCAAAGAATCACAGTTCAGTGAGAGAATGCGATACACCTATCTCTTGCAGGGTTCTTTGATTGCAGGCAACAGAAACTCAGAGGATCAACTAGAACACTGGAGAATCAGGCTTGAAAACAGAGGAAGAACTAGGCATATATGTAAGGATTTGGGTACCAGGAACTTCTCAACGGTTTTGGAGGGCACTGCTGGTGTACAAATGCATTCAAAATTCCCTCCTTATTTTTGTATTTTTGTTCTCAAGATTGAAAGTCAGAGAGTGAGGAGAAGAGAAAGAGACAGAGAGAGACAGAGAAAGGGGGAACTATGGATGCCACTATAAAATAAACGGTGATGAGTGATTAATAACCCAAAGTCCACACAAAATATTATGTAACACAGAAACTGATTACAGTGCCATGAGTAGGGTTGCCTCCATGGACATGTCATTTTGCAATTACAAAGGGCCCTATGCCTAGCAGGCCCTACACTTTGTTTAATGTTCTGTGTCACCATTTTGAAATTCTTAATAATTTATGAACAAGGGGCTCCACATTTTCATTTTGCTTTGGCTGCACAAATTTCATAGCTGGTCCTGGTCCCACGTTCTAGAGTGGGGGTCTAGTGCTGTAGAAGCACAGAGAAGGGAGAACATCCAGGTAGGGATTCATACAAAGACCAAGGAAGGGTTCAAGGAATGAGAGTTAAAGTTTCAGGCAGAGATGGCCACATGGAGAAATGGGAGAGGGCATTTAGATGATGAAAACCTAGAAACAGAAGCCATCAGCAGTTCTTATTATGAAAGATATTAAGCACAGTTCTGGCATAATTTCCACTGAGTCATTCTCTTTAAGAGCCGTAAAGCAACTAAATTATGATTATAGATTGGAGAAAACTCCCTCTGTCTAGAAGTCTGCAAAACAACAGAGGAGGCCTGCAAGAACTATAGGCAGAATCCCACCAGAGCTAAAAAAAAAAAAAGTGGTGTGTTTTTAGGCCACTAGAAACTTATGACTTAACTGTCATCTGGGTCTTCCTTCTACCCAGCCTCCTCCTGAAGTCACTGGAGTAAGAGCTGTCCCCAGTATGGAATCCTGTCTTCTTGGCACCGAGCTCATGTATTTATGGTAGTGCTTTTGAGTGGGACTGTGGGGTGAAGAAGCAGAGCAGTTTAGTTGCTTTCCATGTATTACTTTAGAATTTATGCAACTCTGCTTCTCAGTGTTCCCGTAGACCATGACTTCTCCCATTCTTTTATCAAACGTTTTTATAGAATCTCAGGATTCTAGCTCAACTCTTTTCCAAGGTATGAAAATCCTTAATGTGCTCCTCCAGTGCATTCCAGTTTTCCTTTTTTTTTTTTTTTTGAGATGGAGTCTTGCTCTGTCACCAAGGCTGGAGTGAAGTGGCACAATCTCGGCTCACTGCAGCCTCCACCTCCTGGGCTCAAGCGATTCTCCTCCCTCAGCCTCCCAAGTAGCTGGGACCACAGGTGCGCGCCATCATGTCCGGCTAATTTTTGTATTTTCAGTAGAGATGGAGTTTTGCCATGTTGGCCAGGCTGGTCTCGAACTCCTGACCTCAAGTGATGCACCTGTCTCGATCTCCCAAAGTGCTGAGATTACAGGCGTAAGCCACTGCGCCAGTCCTGGGTAGATTTAATTGTCAAAAATTTCTTTCTATTGAGCTGAATTTGCCCTCTCTGTAACATTCACTAAGACATGTTTCGGAGTCACCCAGATTAAGCCTGACTCCTCTTCCTTATGCAAATTGAAAACATGTTCTCTAATTACAGTGAAAATGTTATTTGCCCTGCCCCATTCCAGTGAGAAAACATGTATAAGATTTCCTTTAAAGAAAGCTTCTTAGAGTAGTTTGAGACTCTCCTATTAGCTGAATAGGATATGGTATGGTATGTTTCCAGGATAGCACAGACCTGGAAGTTTCCCCTACAGATTCACTTTGTCTTCTAAACTTCATACTCTCTATGGGAAACAACTTCTCCATTCCCTCTGTCATATGTAATGCACCAGGCACATATCCAGCTGAAGCCATTGCATGGGAGACAGAGCCAGTCACAAACACACTTGTGTCAGGAAGGATAGCCCAGACATTCGCCATCTGTGTCTCAGCTTTCTCCTGCTCTCTTCTTAGGTTGCTTGTCTAGGGACACACCCACACACTATTTCCCACCCACCCTGACAATGGGAAAATTGGCACATTGCACAATTTTTGAGAGAGGCCTATTGTACAAGATTTCCCCTGAATTATAGTGAGTTTTTTCAAGGATATGCTGGAGTATCATGCATTCAGATGGGTGAGTTGAAGTTAATCTACTCAATAATAACAACAAAATCATCTTCAGGATGACTTTGTTTGTTTTGTAGGGAAATCAAGTCAATGCCTACAGGCTTTTTTTCATGAGCATAAACATTCGTTGCTTAAAAGGGAATTAGAATTGTACATATTTGTATATTTTCCAGAGAGTCATATTGACCAAGGCCTCTTCTACAACCAAGAACAGAATACCATGTCTCCTTTTCTTGAGTTGCATGGCAATATGCCGCCTCTTAATGCTGAAACCAAAACCATGGCATTGTGCTCCCCTAGCCCTTGAATATCAGTTTCAGGAATACAATAAGAGATCGCCCAATTTTCTCCCCTTGATCATCTCTTTCTCACTTCTTATGCTCTAATTTTCTTTGTAGTTTTTTTGCACTTGATTATTTGATCCCTAGCCAAGGAAGAACTGTTTAATCAGGAAGGACTTAACTGGAATTGAGATGATATCAGCAACAGATACAGAAATTCAGAGAATGTAAGGTAGAGCTAATTATTAAAATAGAAGCTAGACTATTTATAGAGCACCTACGCTGAGCCATGCTCTCTGATGGGAATGAAGCATACATTTTCTTTAATACTGCCTTGCAACTCGCGGGCAGAAATTATACATTTTAAAGATAAGTAAAAAGTAAACTGAGGCCCCAAACATTTATATAATTATCCTTAATTCAGCTTGCTTTTAAATGGTGGAGGTAGGATTCAAAGACATTTGACCTAACTTCTAA
Source organism: Homo sapiens (assembly GCF_000001405.40). Taxonomy (NCBI): domain Eukaryota; kingdom Metazoa; phylum Chordata; class Mammalia; order Primates; family Hominidae; genus Homo; species Homo sapiens. The sequence goes on from NC_000009.12 coordinate 13,439,010, forward strand.
AGTTAATGTTTCAAGTGAAGAAATGAATAAAAAATTCTGGTCTTGAAATACTTGGACTTGGCTGCATGTGATTTATACTATCTTATAATGCTACAAGATGCAGTGTGCATGCATATATCACATTATTTCTGGTGTAATCTGGAATTCCTTTAGCTAAATATTGAACTTCTAAGATTTTATAATGGTGATCAAGATTTTGGTAACAAATGTCTTGCTTTAAACCATTCCAGACTGGATGACAAGGACATTTATATGTGGAGCTATAGTTGATTTTGCAACAGGGAACCATAATTTTTGTTAATTCTGCTTAATGCTGTTGGCACGGTCATTTGTTTTCTTGTAGCGAAGATTGAAAAAATTAAAATATATATTAAAATATATTTTGGATGTACACATTTATATCTGTTTATTTTTGTTGGAGAAAATATAGAGCTGTATTCAGAGGTAATCTTTAGCTTCAACTCCATTTACTATTTCAAAAGTCATTCACAGTGTTAAATCACAATGTGCTTCCCTTTTCTTTTTTTGGCCTAAGCATTCTATGTTTCCCTGTTCTTTTTTGCCTGCCTTAATAAAATAGAATGTCAGTCCTCTAAGGATGACAATGCAGGGAGAATTAAAATATAGGTAGGATGGCCAGATTGGGCAACTATAACGTAGGTCCAGCAGGGCTGTCCCCTCTGTGAAGGAATTACTCATTCCTTGGCCACATTCGAGGGGGCTAGATTTGCTTTTATTAATTGAACTAGCAGGTGACAGCAGTAGAGTAATACAGACTTATCTAATACAACACAAATAGAGGCTCAGAGATCCATCCCAGGGGGAGAGTCTCTATTACCAAATTTGGAGGATCCGGGCTTAGTATTCTTAGAGGAGCTAGTGGATTTTCTTGCTAGTATTACAGCTGGCTAGTATGTAAGTATTAGAAGGTTAGTTTCCTTAGAAATGATCTAAAATAGGAATTATAGGCAAGAGAAGGAAAGGCTAACAAGGCTAACATGTACTTTTTAAAAATCCAGGTTTTTCTTATTTCCCAAGGTCATTGGGAAATTCAAATCAGAACAAGATGTGAAATCACAATTCAAATAGTAAAGAATTAAACTAGCTGGTGACAAATAGATGTATATTATAGTCTGATTTAATAGTCATAAATCCTAATATCTGGTTGGAAAGCTTTTTTGGCTTTGCTTGTAAAATGTGTTGTTTGTGTTTATTGCTGGAGTTAGGTCATGGTGTGGCTGCTAGGACTCTGGGTTCTCAAGTAAGAGGAAGCTTACATTCTTCACAAGCTTCCCCACAATGTGATCTTAAATGCTTTATCATGTTTGCTGTCTGAGATGTGATAAAAATGCCCATATAGGGTTTGGTAAGGAGCACATGAATTAATATACGGAAAGCATTTAGAAAGTAGCTTGGCTCAGGCTAAGTGCTCAGAATTGTTCTGTGTTATTTACCATTAAGCAGATAGAATATTAAATATTTTCAACACTCATCCATAAAAGTCTTTGGTGCTAAAGAACCTTTGTAGTGCCTGGGTATTTTACTTCTACGAAGACTTCAGCTGAGAAGCACTTCGTTCTGAATGGTGTTGATATTGAGGACAGTAGGCAGGGGAAAGGCATAACTTCAGCTCCCAAGAGAAAAACTCCATGCACTTCTGTGCCTTGGTTAAAAAAAAAAAAATGATTAACTTATTCTATGGAAGGGATTAAAATACTCTGGAGAGCCAAGAAGTTTGATTGTCCACAGAGAGGAAGCCATATATCCCTGAACACACGTCTGTGGTCTGTCACAAACCAGGGTTGGAACTGCAGAACTCTTAGACACCGTTGTTCTGAGAGAGCGAGGAATTGTGACTAGGGATTGCGAATGCAGCCTTAGGACATAGTTACACTCAGCTGTGTGGTGGTCCCAGTATTTCATTCTGTGGCACCTTGACTGGACATAGTGGCATTACATGTAGGAGGCAAATTCTCTCCAACATGAGGTGCTGAAACAACTTTCACACTTCTCAGTTCTTCTGCCCTGGTCTTCAGTTCCTCCGTGTCACTTTTTTCTTTGTAGTATCAATAGACATCTTCAGGAAACTTTTGAATTACTTTTAAAGATTTATGTTATAATAGATAACCAGACTTATAAATGATCTCTCAACTTTCCCTACTTTTATAGGTAAAGAAAGCAGGAAACTGTGACTAAATGAAGATCACAGAGCCAGTTGATCAGTGGGGAAGCTGCATCTGAAATCCAGGACTTCTAGATCCTGGGTCAACTGGTAAGCAGAAAGATCTACTAGTAACATACTGGATTTATTAGATAATAATATGATGTTGATTATTAAGGCAGTAAATATTTTTGAATACTTATTATATACCAGCCATTGTTTTAAGTGCTTTTTATTTACTAATTCATATAGTTCTTTTCATAAGACTATGAGGGAGGTATTATCATTATTCCCATTTTACAGATGGATAAACTGACATATGGTGAGATTGAGTAACTTGCCCAAACTCACACAGGTGTTAAGTCACGTAACTAGGATTTGATTTCATATAATCCAACTCCTGAGTCCATCCTTTTAAGTACACAGATATGCTACATGTTATTTAATTCTGCCCACACATAGAATAACTTATTCCTATTAATCTGCTTTACTTTTAAAAAAAGTCTACATCTTTGGATTATTGATTAGAAACCAAAAATTCATCAAAAACCACACATGCCCATTTTATACCTTTCATATAGTTAGCTATGTACACAGGAAACTTTTTTAAAAAATTAATCAGTTTCTGTGTATACGTTAAGATCTACCACATAGAGGGCGTTTCTCTGGGAAGGAGTGAGCAATACTCAGATTGTTAACATATTCTGGCCAATTAAGTTAACAAACAGTCATGCATAGAGTATCCACTTTTGAAAAAATATTGAAAGTTGAAATAAACTTGACACTCAACTGTACTCATCATAATTCAACTTAATTTTAATTCTGATTTTGAGGGCATGGCGAGTTTTGTAATGGCCTCCAGTCTTCCCTATTAATGTAATTTTACATTCCCAAGAAGGATGGATACAGAAGGGGTTAGCAATTAAACTGTCTTTAAATGATACTTCAGGAACTTGTGTATAAGTTATTTCATATGACTATATCCTGGGGGTCCACTTTTTCTATCTGTCACTTCCTTACATTAAAAATGCAAAAGGTGAAACAAATTTGAGTTATTTAAGCCAAGTGATCTGTTGGAGACCCTGACATGAGAATTTACCTACACCTTTAATCTATACATATGCCACAGTGGGATTCACAAAAAGGGGAGAATAGTAGGAGATATTGTCTCAGTAATAAAAACATCAAACTTCATAAATGATAGGATTTGCACATGAGAACTAAAAATTCTGAGTAACAACCAACATCTACCATCCACAAATTAGCAAGATAATATTTATGCTCCATATCCCAATACAAAATATTTTATATGTGGAAATTTGGTTTTCCTTCCCCAGAGAGTATCCAGAGGTTATTATTTCTTTATTATTGTTGTAATTGTAATATTTTTACTCCCATTCCAAATACAAAACTCTCATTCAGCTCATCGTAATATAAAAAATGTCTGTGCAAAAATCCCATCTAAAGAGTTCTTTAGAAATTTGAATAAGATGCGTACTCTAATTTTGCTATAGAATTGGTTTTTTAAAAAATGAAATACTGAGCATGATCAAAAATAATTATTTTCTTTGCAGGAGTAGTAATGCTAAAAACTTGCTGTATTCTTGCAGATCTCAAAGTTTGACTCTATTCTTTATTTGGAATTTACCCTATAGCAAACTAAAAAATAACAATAGGGAACACACACACACGGCACATATAGACAAAGAGACAACTTGCATTGAGGATCCAGTCATCCATCCCCGGAAGAGATGTGTAATCTATGTGTAACAATACTTAAATCAGCACGACATTTACAACACATATTAAGTGGTTTGTTATTTATTTCGAGACTTTAATTGGCACAATATATTAACAGCATTGTTGTAAGGTTTCCACTGAAGGCTTTATTTATTTTTTCCTAAAAAGAGAAAGAACAGGGAGAAAAGCAATCAACCAGTATTACACTGTTACCCCTGTTTTGTTATTCCTTTAGCCTGAATGAACTGTTAAAGTTGAAGGAAAAAAAAAACTAGCTTCAGAAACCATATTTTAGATTCAATCCAATTTTATTAAACCCAGAGCAGTGTTTTTTCTGCCATTCTAATAGAACCTATTATGAGATTTTTTTTTTCCCAGGGACAAAAACAACACCAACTTTCCCTCCCTAAGAGCTTCTTATTGTTCATTTTCGTTGCTATTTGGAGAAAAAGCTCATTAAAATATTATGAAGCGCATAGCATAATTACGTGCCAGCCTTTGCCAATGAGGAACATCTGTAGCACAGTGTATGTATATTTATATTACAGTAAACTTGAGTGCAGACTCTCTCTTTCACCCCCTTCTTTACTTTGCCTCTGTTCTGCAATTCTTTGTCCTGACTACAGAACCCGGCAAATGTGTGAAGCGCACAGGCTACAGTGAGCGCATTGTCAGCCTCTCGGGGCTCCAGCGCCAAATGTTATTATTCTATCATTAGCCTGTAGCTCACGCCAGGGTAAACTGTGCTCTGCTAAATGCCTCCAAACCTTTTTTGCTCTTTTTATTTCCCCAGTTATTTTTAAAATGTATCTTTTCCTTCGTTCGCTCTCTGGCACAGAAAGCTTTGCAAAGTGCATCCAACACACACCCAGTTCCCAAATTCGTGCTTCTCTTCCTTCTTTACATTATTCCACTTGCTTTAAAACCAAAGAACCTTGGGCATAATAAAAACATTGAGAGCTTGCCTATACCACAAATATTTGTGGAAAGCACATGGTGCCATTTTGCCAGACTACTCTTATTTGTTAAACTGAGTTAAGTGTAACGTGATTCCAAAAACTGCCTTTAGAATGAAAGAAAAGGCTTCTAAAGCCAGGGAGATAATTACCGCAATCTGGGTTACAGAAAATGCAAAACAAAGGAGCACAATCCCACTTTGTGTGTGTGTTGTGTGTGCGTCTTTTTGTTTCGTTTTGTTTTGTTTTTTTTCTTTGTTGATGTACCCAAACATGTAAATATTCCATGGCGTGTGTTGTACGAAGATGGAAATCAACCCGAATCTTTCACAGACATAACAAAACATACTCTGTAGTGGACAGTGGCATGTTTGTGGTGGGAATATCTTTTTAGGAGGGAGGGCTTTCTGTCTGTCTTTTTCTCTCCCCATCTAGCACACACACACCCAGGAGTTGCAGTTGTCACTAGTTGCCAAGACTCTGACACCCAACTACCCTTCACTTGAAACTGTCAATCCATTTTTGCACACATAAATAAACGTCGAGTTGCAAAGAATTAGGGTTCTAAAATATTTCATATGAATCCATAAACATGCTAAAGAATCTTCTAATTCCCCTCCCCCATGTTTTTTTTATGGCGATTATTATGCTATCAGTCTCCCTATTGTTGGGAAGGTTGTCCTCTGGGATAGTTTTGTAGACCGGACGGTTCTCAGTTTTCCTTTCTTTGTCTGCCAATTGTTTCTAGATTGAAACCACTTTCTGAGAGAGACAATTATTACCATACGTGTATGTGTATGTAAATATTAATAATCATTGCATGTATGTATATTTATGCATACAAAAATAAACACTATCCCCACACATATTTCTCATTTTTTAAGTACTAGTTCTTGCTTCCATAAAACGATTTGTGTTCCCCAGTTTCTACTTCATAAAATGTACTTTATTAAAGAGAAAGAAAGCAAATCTTGTACATTTCCTTGTTTGATGTTTAGAGTAAGTGAACCTTGCAGGTCTGAGCTAAGCTTTTTGGTATGTTTTAGCTGAGTCCAGATTATGGGCTATAGGTTTCGAAACTAACATCATCCAGTTTTCTCAAAAACCGTCGTGGCAGTTCTCTCTTTAAATTTCATCTGGACTGTCTCTAAAAGCCCTAGCTGACCCCATCATGTCCTTCTTTTATTACTAAACATGCTTCTTTCCACATGCACAATGACATGGTATTTTTCAGGGCAAAAGGCAAAAATATATTAGGGGTTTCTTTCCTTCCAGATGTAGACATCTTGTCACCCGAAGAGCAACCAGAGGACGTAGAAAATGGACCTGATCTCAGATGAGACAAAATAGAGCATGTCACTAAGGTGCATGTAAGGATAAATCCATGCAGCTCTAGAAGCAGGATTTGGCAATAGAACTGTCCCATTGAGCCAAAAAGCCAGCCAGGGCATGGAAGCTTGTTATTATGGCTTGCTCTGTGAGTAAGACCCGCAGGGAGGATGTGAAGGCTGCTTAGTGGGAAGCCTGTTTAGAATATGGGGAAGTAAAAAATGAAATGGGTCTTGAAGGATTCCGAGTCTAATCAGGCTGTGGATATTCCTAACCTTCTTAAAATCTAAAAATAAAAAAAAAAGATAAAATTGCAATTATTTTTAATCCCCAAAGAAGATCATAGATCCCATCTTGAAATTCTGTTACATAAAAGACAGGTAGTTCTAAACATAGACATTTTTAAACTACCCATCAGAAACTGGGTGAGAAGCAGTGCATTGGAGTGAAAGTACAGGCAAGTGCTCATGATTAGAAATTAGCACTAGGCAGTTCATGAGGGAGCTAAGGTGAACCACATTCACAATTTTGGTTAAGAAAGCCTAAAATGCTAACTATCACTATCTGAATGATGTTTAGCATTGTTGGCTCTTCTCTTCTGTGTCTTTCATTTTTGTTTCTAAACATAATTGAATTCTTTTTCTCTTCACTTAATATTAGAATGAACTATGTGACATTTACAGTTTGGCATTTTTGACTTACAAAAATATAATTTATATAGTTCGGCCTAACAATTCTGATAATCTAATTTCTTGTGATTGTTAGAGTCAAGTATTACTTTTATTTTGTTTGTTTTGTTTCTTTTCCTCTGCTTCCACATTTAGTCATCCTTCATATTTTAATGCCTGTTGACATTTTGGAAAAGTGAGTATTTGGTTAAATGAAAAGAAACCATTTAAAACCTGTGTTTAATGTGCACTCTAAATTAGATCATTTTCCCTTCAATTCTATTCAGAGGGCCTCTGTATAGAGCTCAGTTTTCCAGATCATTTGGCTACTGCACATATTAGGGCCAGGATGTCATTTTGATGGCCTCAAGGCCTCTACTTCTCTTCAAGTTTTGAAAAAAGGGCAACTTGATTTTAAAAATAATCCATGTAAAATAATTAGGGTCAGAGAGACAAATGTGTTCATAAGCTCTATTCCAGAAAGTGATCCTTTCATAAACTCAGTTCTCCCGAGGGTGGGGAAGGGAGTTTCCATAAAGTATTGTCCATATGCTTCCTAACGTGTGGGAAAGGGAAAGAATGGCTCTTTCCTCCTCTGTTCTCTAGGAGGGGTCATGCATTCTGGAAAATAATGCAGAGTGGTACAGGCTGAAGCGGAGCGGAGAGGACACTGTTTCAAGATTCCTGCGCCAGCTCCTTCGTTGTTATAGAAGTTGGACTAAATAAAAGGGTAAGGACTATCTGAATGAGAATCTAAAATAGCCAATGCTATGAGAGTTTATTCTAGTGAGAGATTTTCAGCGTGTTCTCCAGATTTTAGGGGAAGAAGACATGAATGGAGAAATTAAAGACCAGATGTATTTTATCTCCTCTGTTGCAATTGGACAGCAGAAAAAGCGGAGCCCAACACACATCATCAGTTTAGGAATAGCAATCAAAAGGAGTTTTAAAAATTTTTATATAACATGGCACAAGTAATGTGTTCATAAAAATCCCAGTTCTATTTTACTTCCCTGGCATATAACAGCTTTAATTTATATTAGTTTAAAAAGTCATGTTGGCATAACTCCTGAATATGAGTTTTGCTTAAAAAAATTTCCATAGCATCACTAGGAACTAAAAATATTAATCTTCATATATCTCAAAATAATAATAACGCACCTTTATACTATTCTTTATAATTACTAAAACTAGAAAAAAATAATATTTATTTTGAAACCAATAGGTGGTGCTATAAATTTCCATATTTTAATTCAAAGCAATATGTTCATTTTACTTTCCATTCCTCAGCGGCATTAGAAATATTCCTAATTATCACAGTATGATTTTTTATGGCAAAAAAAATCCTGCAGTTAGCCACTGCGATCTGTCTCTTTTCCAACAGAAAACTGACTATAACTCAGAGTGAAAGATAAAGGGAATCTACACAATTTTTGACAGAAAAGTAAATTTATGGAAACAGATCCATATATCATTCTTTGTGGTCTCTGTTTTTTTCCCGTAGTTCTTCAACTAATAGGAATGCTATGGAAGAACATAATTTAAATGTTTAATTTAATATTTCATTGTATGAACTCTCCCTAGGGGCTAGATTTATATAAAAAGCCATAACCACAGTAGTGATAGATCACAATTCTGTATTATGGACTCCCAGAATCATGGATCACAGCTTAGAGAACCTTAGAGATCAGGCAGCTGCAGATGAGACAACTGACAAAATAAAAGCCGAAAGTGCTAGAAATAGGCACTTGATATTTGTCATCATGGGAACCAACATGTTTCTGGTATAAGAGCAGTTCTGAACATTGGAAGACACTGACAAATGAAAATCCAAATTCTATTGCATCTTTCAAGTGTAAATAGTATTTTCACACTGACATGTTTCCTTAATGTATATACCCTGAAGATATACATCTAAATCCTTTCCTTCTGTTAGAAAAGCTATGGAAATCTTTCACAACTTCTCTCTCTCTTTCTCTGTGTGTGTGTGTATGCATGTGAGTGCACACATGTTATAAAACTGGTATGTTGAAGAAACATAAGAAGTTCAATGAGATCTTGTAAAAATGCCAAAAAGGACTATGGCAGCTGCAACTAGCTGCAATATCAACCCTATCATTCCTCAAACATCTGGGTGATTTCCACCTCTCTTCTTCCAGATGTTTTGGTATCTTGTGGAGATAGCCTTAAACACTTGTCAGTATTGAATGAGCAGCCTCGTTTCTTATTGGGAGATGTGTTTGTAGAAGACATTATAATTTGCAAACGATTACACTGTGTGCAGCAGACAGTTTCCTCCTTCCCACCGGGAGACCTTTCTGTGCTGGCTAGTTATTTCCTGCTTCCCCAAGGCTTGCTTTTTTCTGCCCTTCAGGGATCAGCTGCCTCCTCCTGGCTTAGCTGGTAGAGATTGGACTGAACCAACTGTTAAATAGTCATTTTTATATTCAAAAAATATTTTGTAATATTGAAGATACAAAAAAGAGGAAAGCATGTCTTAAGAGTAGAAGTAAGAGTCCCTTAGGAGACATTAATAGAAATGTGGGAAAAGGAGTTGAGATCTTATTCTATGCTATGCTGCAGAAAATTCAACTGGAGCATTATGTTCAAGACTGAGCACCGCATTTCAAAATGGGTTTTGACAAATCAGGGCACAACTGAATGGAAGTAGCAAGAATGATGAAGAGACATGATATGCCATATGAAAAATGGTTTAAGGAACTGCAGACTTTTAGTTTGAATAAGAGAATATTGGTGAGGTTTAGTAGGGTTGGATATGATAACTGTCTCCCAGTAATTGACAAGCTGTCATATGGAAAAGACATTAAAGATATTAGATGTAATTTTAGCATACTTATCAAGGATTAATAGAAAGAAGTTGCCATTTGGCATCTGATTTCACTGTCAAGATATTAGCATGAGATGTAAATAGCTTTCTTTCACTATTATAAAGTGAAATACAACACAAAATGAATCCAGCTATAAATTGAAGTGAAATAGACTTAAATAAGCATGGCGTGTTTGGGCACAATAGCAAAAATAAACTTCTTAAAAATTGATCTATTCAGTAAATATTTATTGTACACCTATAATGTACCAGGTATTTTTCTAGGCAGAGGAAATAAAGCAGTGGACAAAATAAAGTTTTTGCTCTTACAGAGCTTTCACTTGTAGCTGAGGGGTATGGAGTCAATAAATAGAGGAACAAAAATATGCAATATATCAGGAGGTGCTAAGTGCTATAAAGAGAAAAGGATAAAGAGGTGGAGTGCTATTTTGGATAGAGAAATTGATCAACACTACCTGTACATTTGAGGCAGAGGCTGATGAGAGCAGATCACAGAAAATGTTCCAGTAGAGACTGGTTAATCAATTTGGGAGGGATAAAGTATTGGCACATATTTCTTTCTGTGCTTATCTACCCCACTAGCTTATACGTTTATTTTGAGCATGGGTAAAATGGGATGAGGAATACATATTTCTTCACGTCTAACACTTACTACCTGCTACACTGGGGTGGAGTGAAAAGTCTACAGGGAATTAGGCATTGGATATATTGCATGAAAGTACCCAATCAATGACATATAATTAATTTCCTTTGTAAGCATTCACTCTCTTCCTTCTCTTTTCTCAAGTCTACATCTTCCCTTTCTTCTCTAAGCCCTGGACTAATACAATAGTATTAGTTTTATTTTTTACTATTGCAAATATGTAAGACCTTCAGTGCTACGATTGATAAAAAAGAAGTGTAAGGAAGATAAGGTTGCACAGAAAATCATCTAATCCCGCTAGTCTCAGTTACTTTCAATGCGGGACTCCCTTCCTGACACTTCTTATAAAAATAGGAAAGGTGATTCAGCTTTTTTTGCAGGGGAACACAACTTGTTTAATTAGGATTAGATTCAGCTGCATGGAAATAAAATCTAAATAACTGTGGCTTAAAAACTAAAGGTTTCATTCTCTCGTAAAAATATCAGAAGTTGGAGATACAGTGCAGATAAGGCAGTAGTATAAAATCTTCAGAGATCCAGCATCCTTTGAGGATTTCATCACACCTAGAGTGAGGCTGTCTTGTCTATATGGTCCTAGGAGTTGCTGGAGGGCCAGTCAACCATATGAATTTGAACTTACGAAAATGAACACTAATATCTGAATTACTTTCATCTGCTTTTATGTAAGCATTTCTATTTAGTAAACGAACTTGGATGTTAAAAAATATGGTGAATACTAACCTCTTTAACACACAAGAATTATGAGACCCAGAGAAGTTAAATACCTTGCTTGAGACCCCAGAGCTAGCTATTGATGGGAAGAAAGGAAAACTTAAAACTCCTGATCACATGTGTCCCATTTTCACTGTTAGGAGAGTCAGTATCTTATCCAAATCCCATGTAACAGTGAACATAGAAGAGCTGAGAAAATACCACACCATTGAATCTACCCACCAGACTATGCATACCTTCAGTGTTCAGTAAATATTATCATCTACTTTAATGGTGAGGAATATTAGAAAATAATGATATACTCCATCTGTAGCAACATCACACTGTTTTGAAACAACTTGACACCAGGACAACAGGAGAAAGTATAGGAGATGCTGTTTCTGGGAGCATAAGAATAACACTAATGTACCTTTAAGAAAGTGCCATTCAGTTACTGCACCAATTTGTTCTGAAACATCCTTCTTTTGCCCTTCTTTTATTCCCTTGTTTCAAAGAATTTTCAAAGATGTTTGGAAATGTGATCCATTAGCTATAGCAGCCATGAAGATGTAGGACAATTGATTTGGTAAGATGATATGACAATTGCTTCTTTAATATCAAAGCTATTAGAGAAAATCAGGGCTTTGCCTTTATATGATATCTAAGTAATGCAAGCCATTAAAATACAGCCTCCATGAAAACTGGGCAAAATGGTTTCAAATAGGGGTTGAGTATGTTTGAAACAGAGAAATTTGACAGAATCAGTTCCTATTTTGTGTATAGTTGAACTGATTGAATTACTATTTCTGCCTAGAACCACAGAAGCTCAAGAGACTCCGGGGCCTAAACCACAAACAATGGCTCTTTTGTCTAAGAGGAACCCATGGTGGGGCTATTACACACAAACATGTGTGATTTCAACCTAGAGCAGAATAATTAAGAATTCAGCTTCAGTCCAGAGCAGCTTATGCATCTGCCTACAGGCACTCAGCCCAAACCTTGATATAAGAATGGAACATACTACCACACACGAAAGTAGGGAAAACGTTTTTCCTTTTCTCAATTATTTAAAAGTGACAATTAATTGTACCTGTGATTTGCTCCGTCTCAGTTTTGAGGCATATAAAGGAACAATTTCTCACATTTATGGGAGAATGGTGTGAAAGTCATTGAAATTGACATGATACAGAACATTGCCACATTGGGATCTACTGAGGAAACCAGACAGTGGAAGGTGATACCCAGATGACACTGTTGGAGCGATTCCTTCCATGAAGCTGCACATCTGGATTGTGCTGCTGCCAGGGAGAAAGCAGGCACTTCTATTAGCTGTAGCTCAGAATTAAAATGTAGAGAAGCAGAATGTGTTCTGCAACATGCCAATGATGTAAAAATGTTCAGGGTGAGATGTTGACTTTTGTGTGGTGTGTGTGTTTTGTGTGTGTATGTCAGAATAGTTTGCAATATTATGTGTTCATGCTTCTGAACAATAGCATGTGCTCTTTTAAGCACAAGTTACACCATGGGCCCAGTAGGTTTAGGCACACTTCATGGGAAAAGCCCACTTTATGTGTGTCAAGAGAATAAGAAAATGGCAGTTTGTCCATAAAGTCTTTGTCTGTAATTAAGATAGACACATAGCTGGTTGATTAAATGATATTGAATGATATTTTCTTTATCCCTGAATCCATCAGGGCTGGGCACTTGTAGAAGGTGAAGAAAAATGTTGATAGATTCAGGTATGCTTTGAATGTAGTAGGAATTTAATATTTATTCACCTAGTATATACAGACCATATATACACATTTAAATATATAATTATTGCACTGCTCAAGAATAATATTGTTTATTTCCTGTTAACATCCATCTAGAAGAAGAAATATTTAAGTCATATAGTAGAGCCTATCATCGATCAGGATTAGCAACCAATGAGGCCAGTGAATCTGACTCATTTTGCTCATTATTATTGCTGTTTATAGTTTGTATTCAAATTCAAAGACCAGATTCCTAATGAGTGGTTAAAGCCTAGGATGGTGCAGTGATATGGTTGGTTTTGGGGATTATATACCAACAGCCTGGATAGCTAGAGTGACCCAAACTAAGCAAAGAACCTTTTCATGTGTCACTGCATTTCATTGTATGACATGATTCTACCACGATATTTTATAGATACAGTGACATGATGCATTAATAGAAACAGAATAGTTATTCTGCAAGATGTATCTTGTCTTGTTGGCTGGACATGTAAACTGAAGATCCTGTAAGTATTCTTAGAGCCATGGACCTACCATAATATTAAGGAGTAAAGAAAAATGAGGTAGAACACACGTTTTCTATTCTCTTACTTTTGATTCTCATATAAGTCAGTGTTGGTGCACTGAAATGGTGGCAGCAGAATCATAAGTTTATTTAAGTTGTAATTATGGAATCTGAAAGCTGGAAGAAAACTTGGAGGTGTCCAGTCAACTTTCCTTATTATAGATGAGAAACTCAGGACCTGGAAACTTTACCCTTTCTTATCTCCGGAAACTAGAGTCTGAAATCCAAGCCACAATTCCTACGGCTTTTGTCTCCTTTATCTGCCCCATTGACTCATTAAGGCCAAATATATGTTATTAAGTAAAAACAAAGTTTATGCATGTTCTTGCTATGTAGCTAATTTATTAAACCTCCAAATTTAACTTCCATCTACTTCCAAACTCCCCAATGCCACCCAATACTCTCTGGTTACCAGAAATTTTAATTATTGTCCATGGCTGAAAATCCTTCCTTCTACAAACATTATAGTGGTCTTAATTTTTCTGGAAATTACCTAAGAATATAGAGGAACCCCAAATAAAGGGGCATTTCTAAAGTTATTCTTAAATTTTTGATTGGCTCCATGAAGATTCTGTGGTGTGTAGACAAAAGCCACTTCTGAATTTTATCCCCTTTTATTCACTTGACTGCTTCTCCAGAATCCATTCTGTTAGAGGAGACTCACCCACACCAAAGAGTCCTGGCCACACTGAGGTAGAGAAGAAGGCTATGAGGCCCTCTGGACCAGATGCACACTGCTCTGGAGTTGGATGTAAGCAACGACGGCTCTGCAATGCAGTGCAACAATGGGACTCATGATGTGTTACAGTGGGTAGTAATGGAGTATTACCCTATGGCTTCTAAATGTGCAATGAGAAGCCACCAACTATTTATGTATCTAATGAGCAAATCACACACACACACACACACACACACACATACACACACACACTTTAATTTTTATTTACTGTAAACTGGTTAGGTTCTTCAAGCACACAGAAAAAATCGAGTCTTAGAAGTATTCAATTTGCAATTTGCTTCTTATTTATTGCCAAAGTGAGCGCAAAACCAACAATAATGAAATGGTAGAGCTCTACTATCCTGCTCTGAGAGTTGCTTTTTTGCACAAGAAGCATTTTCCAGAGTTGTTTTGTATAGGTCCTTGGACACCACTTCAGTGTTAATGGTTCTGAGATGTGGGGGCTTACACTGAAGTAGACTAAATGTCCATGCATTTTGCTTAATATTGAAAAAGATCTTGTGTATGTTTAACTAGAGGGTTGCATTAGTGTTCAGAATGCATATTTTTATCTTCGTCACATCTCAACGGATTCTAATGCTTGTTGGGGGGCACCCCTTAGTCCCTGTGTCACCAAGGAGGGGCTGCCTGGTGAGATTTTCACATGGCATAATTCTGGCAGTACCTCTGGGGATTCCACCATCCGACCCAAGCCTGGTCTCAGAGTTTTCAAAATGTCTCCAATTTTATAAATGCACTTTCAATTAAAGATAGTCATTCCCCAGTAGTTAATTAAGGAAGTTTGTATTTTGTCATTCCCTGCTTGGAACAAGTGAACAGCTCAGTTTCAGCGTGGGAACAGGAGGAAAAAGAGGAATGCAAGAAGGGCTTGTGAGGGTACATCTGCAACTAGAACTGAAGATTGGACAGTTCCCACATAGGCAAATTCTGTTAAGGCAAGTATGTGATCACATGAAATCAAGCAATACTGTTATATTAAAGAATACAAATAAAGAGACTTCTCCAGAGAATATTTTGTTGGGAAATGTAAATAGATAGGGAAAAATAAGTTTAAGTCTTGCAAAATTTTAGGTTTGATTTTCTGGGAATTTGCCACATGATAAAGCCTAACAGAGAATTCTAGATATTATTCTAAAAATATACTGAGTTTACACAGTTTTATTTGCTTTTTGTACTTAAAGGGGGTAATAATACTTATTTATAAAATTCTGAAAGTGAGACATGCTTTCAAGAATTGACAGATTTCAGAAGATAATTGCAAGGGCTATTTGTAAAAGTTCAAGTTTGGCTGAAAGGTCATTGGTTGAGAATTGCATCTTTATGCTGCTTCTTTATAGCATTTATAACTATATAGTATATTGTTTCTATATCTATATATTATATGTAGATATCTTCAAATATGCATCTTATAAGTATATTTTTGCTTAAAAATGCTTAGTAAAGAACTCTAATTTCAAACCCTGAGTATATAAAATGATGCACAATTTCACCAGAATTTCAGAATAAAAAAGGCTCAGATGTTTTTGGAATTAGAATAATCTTTGAAGGAAAATCCCAAGTTTACCATAACCAATAGGAATAAAAACTGCCCTAGGTAGAGAGAGATTCAGCTCTCTGGTAGATTAGCTAGTGGGCTAAATCGCTGGCAAATTAATTTTATATTCCCTAATAATTAGCTTTGTTAATCTTGTGCCCTAAGAGACTTTCTATTCATGGAATCACAAACAGCATTTGTTGTTGAAAAATACTAACACTAGTGAAACCTAACCCAGAAATAGACCCTATTAAAATATGGCTAACTGAGTTTCATGTCAAGGCTAAGTAAAAAATACAGTAAAATAAAATAAAGCCAAATTTGTCTAAGGTGGTGGAATGTGTGGGAGGGCATGGCAGAGTATGAGATGTTTAATTTTCTGGAATAGCATCCTGTATCTCTTCCACCTCCTAAATGGCCACTGTGGAAAGCAATGTCATAGACCCACCATTAACACACCGTCTTGCTGTGTCTCACATCTGATTTGGTCCCCAAATCACCCAGAGAAATCAGCACAGCTGGCAGCTGTTTTTTTTTTTTGTTTGTTTGTTTGTTTGTTTTGAGACAGTCTCACCCTGTTGCCTAGGCTGGAGTGCAATGGCACCATCTCGGCTCACTGCAACCTCTGCCTTCTGGGTTCAAATGAGTCTCCTGCCTCAGCCTCCTGAGTAGCTGGGATTATGCCACCACGCCCATCTAATTTTTGTGTTTTTAGTAGAGACAGGGTTTCACCATGTTGGCAAGGCTGGTCTCGAACTCCTGACCTCGTGATCCACCCGCCTCAGCCTCCCAAAGTGCTGGGATTATAGGCGTGAGCCACCGCGCCCGGCCTGGCAGCTGGTTTTGATTGAGAACTATGGCATTAAAAGCAATAGTAGCAGTCGGCCGCTGCTGATAGTGAACTACCTTTTCCTGTAGAATAGAGAGCTAATTATTTGTCTTGAGATTTCTTCCTCTCTTCAAAGGAAACCACTTTGATTCCTCCAAAGTTGTCAAGCATAAAAGAGCCCTGCCCCCAAATTGGGATTGCCTTTTTTCATTTTCCTCATGTTTTCTGAGATTTTCACTGTTGTTACTCTGGTCTGCATATCCTGTTTTTCTGCTTCTACTCAGACATGCCAATTAAAGAAAGATACAGTTTATTTAAAAAATATGGTCCTAGTATTGACTGTAAAGAGAGCTCTTAAACAGACCTGAACTCTTCATTGGGATTAGCTGAATGTAGTAAGTAAATCCCATGTTGAATGGTGACCTTGTAAAGTCTCCAACAAGCAGGGCTGTATTGAACTTTGCAGCAGCTTAAGTGAAACAAACCTGCTTCTTCCCTGGGGCATAGTCCTGGGGCAGGCTATGTAATGGGCAAGATACCCACTGCAAGAGGCTGCAAGAATGGTCTAATGTATTCATTTCCAAAATGTGGTCCCTAGACCAGCAGTTTCAGTGTCATTTGTTGCACATTCTGAAGCCCCTGACAAATCTGGGTGCTCAGCACACTGTTTCAGCAAGTGCTTCAGGTGTTTCTGATGCATGCTAGCATTAGAGAACCACTAATCTAGTGCATAACAGGCTTTACATCGACACCTGTCTATGTAAGCATAGTTTAGCTTCACTGTAGGGGAAAGACAGCATCTTGAATTGTAAGAAAAGTTGGATGGGCAGATAAGTCAATGGGGAAAAAGCACCCTTATATCTTGACTATGTAAGGACAGCCTGATACTTAGATATTTCTCCTTCTCTTTCTTTTTCTTCCCTACCACACATCTGTCACACACACACACACACACACACACCCCACACACACACCAGTTTACAGATACTGTACCATTCTTTCCATAATTAGTTGTTACTATACATTAGACACCATTGCAGAAATTCAGAATACTGTAATGAACAAAATACACTAAGCCCCTGATGTCATTCTGCTTATAATCTCATAGGGGAGAACTTCGAGCCCATAAGCAAGTGAATACATGCAGTGCAATAATGGGGCCGGGAGTGTAGGGAGTGACAGGGTAGGGATGGGGTGCTATTTTGGATAATGTGGGTAGGGAAGTGTAGATAACTCTTGAGCTCCAGCTCATATCTTCTCAGCTCTTTCTTATTTCATACTTCCCTGCATCAGTCAGATTCACATAGGCATCAACTAACAACACTTCAATTTAGAGTTACCTTGCATCTCCAGTCTCACACCACCTCAGTTTCATTGTACTTTGCATCTCTAGTATGCACAGGGGATTCTCTGCCCTACTGAGAATTATCCGTCGTAGCCATCTTGGTACATGCATGTGCTCACTTGCTCAAGGAGGGTAACATGGCATGGGGCAACCCTTGACCAATTGGAGATGAGGGGCTGGTGGATAAATGCTCCCCTTTTTCTCATCTGGGAAGATTATTCTGGGGAGCATTCTACATGATTCTTGAAGGGAGTCATCTAGACTGAACTCTGGTTACCTACAACAGTGGTCAGATATCATAACGTACCTTGATTTAGATTTTTCTACTTCATCCATGACTTCTTTCCCTGGGATCGAGTCCCTCCCAAACCACTTGAATTCAGGCCTTTTCTTTGGCTGGGCTTTTGGGAGAACCTGGACCAAGACAGTAGCCATCTCTGAAGAGGTGGTATTTTGGTTGAGATGAAAGAGACATGGGGAAGTCATGCACATAGCTTGAGGAAGAGTGTTCCAGACGAGAACAAATGTTGTGAGACAGGAATATGCTTGGCATGCTGAAGGATGAGTGTGCAGGCTGGTGTAGCTTGTGTGGAGTAAGCATGGGGGAAGAATGAACGTGGTAGGGGATACGGTGCAAGAGGAAGCAGGATGCCCGCTCACGCGGGGCCTCAAAGGCCATCAAAGAGATTCTGGCTTTTCCTTTGAGTGAAATGGAAAGAGAATGGGGGATTTTGGGCACAGGAGGGGCATTAATCTGAAAGATGGTTTTAAAGGATCACCCTGGCTCCTCTAGGAGAGCAAGGGTAAAATCAGCAAAACTACTGAGGAGGTTTTTGTAGCAACTCCGGCAACTTGGACTGTGCTGGTAGCAGTGAAGGTGATGAGCTGAGAGAACTAACCGTTGAATTGGATATGGGGTGAAAGAGAGGAATTAAGGATGTATCCAAAACTTTTTTCCATTCATTTTGAATAATTGAAATGAATGGGGTTGCCAGTGAAAGTATTGATGAGAGAATTCCTGAGCAAAATAGAGGAAACCTGATTTTAAGAAAAGAAAACCAAAACATGTTGATTTGTATTCTGGTTTATGAGTAACAGTCTAACAGTTATGACCACTGGAGAGTCAGGCATTATTCTTAGCCTATAAACTAAACAGGGACATTGTCCAGAATAGTGGAAATTAAACAGGCCATCATCTTTTCTGAAGACATAGCAGACGTCAACATGATAGAAGCAAGTTTTAAAATAATATAGTATATAGTTTCAATAATATTTATAATAACCATTTATTACATCAACCACTCTTCTTGAATTATTATAGTTAATCCTTAAAACAATCTGAAAGTTAGGTATATTTATTCTAATTTTATAGATTATAAAATTGGCAAATAGTGTAGCTAAGTAACTTCTCTAAGGTCTCACTGCCTTAAAAAGAACACATCTGTGATTCAAGCCCACATCTTCCTGACTCAACTAATTTTTACTATTGACCACCGGATCTCCTTGTCTTCTTCCCATCTTTTTCATAATGGCCTTCCAAACCTTAACTCCTCAACTTCTGCCAGCTTAGGTGAGGCTGACAGTTTCTTTCTCTCATGGTTTTAACACAGAAATTTATTTCTCTATCCTGTAATAGTGAAATGCAAGAATTCCATAGATTCACAGTAATGAAACCTTGACTCTTTCTGTCTTGTTGCTATGGTAGTGTTTTTTTTTTTTTGTCTTTTGTTTTTTGTTTTTTTTTTTGAGACAGGGTCTTACTCGGTTGCCCAGGCTGGAGTGCAGCGATGTGATCCCAGCTCACTGCAGCCTCAAGTGATCCTCAAGCGTTCCTCCCATCTCAGTCTCCCAAGTAGCTGGGACCACAGGTGTCTGCAACCATGCCTGGCTAATTTTTGCATTTTTGGTAGAAAGGGGTTTCTCCATGTTGCCCACTCTGGTCTTGCACTCCTGAGCTCCAGCGATCCACCTGCCTCGGCCTCACAAAATGCTAGAATTATAGGTGTGAGCCACCGTGCCTGGCTGGTAGTTTCTTTTTAACCACTTTTTTTCCCCACCTTCTCTGCAATAGGACTTTGACCAGGCTTAGTAGATAGATTCAGCATCAGGTGCAAAACTATTCTACCCTAAATATGCCGCTATAAGTAATTATACCAAATTGGTTTTCTTTCACCATTTCACTCATCCCTTCATCACCTACCTCTATACTCTTCTAAGATTATTTTCTCTTTCTTCATTTCAATGCATCTTTCTCTCAAAGGCCTGAATACGAATGGTAAAATCATTTTTGGGGACAAATGTAAATGGCTCTAAAATGGAGCAAAATATACCAGCTGACATGGTGTAGAGACTGTTTTTGACTCAACTTCCTCCCTTTCTTTCCTAGTATTTGCAATGTGGGTCGATTTCCCACATTGGGAAATTGAGTTGAGTCACATGGTGACTCACCTGGTGGGTCAAGGTAGTGCCCTGCATTTGCATCCCATTCAGAAGGCTGGGGGTAAGTCCAGCAAGACCTCTAACCAAAGAAGTTCTGAGGGCAGGCTGGATACTAAGAGGTGCCCACTTATAGGGCGCCATGATTTTAGAGGGAAAATTCAAGTTATAGTCAAGAAGAAGAACCCAAACCAGTCAGAAAGCAGGACCAAGTTCAGGCCTGAAGAACGTAGTGAGCTTGTAAATAGAAGAATGTGTAATAAGGCTATGAGCCAGAATGACCAGAAACACGTGAAGCGTAGTGTGTAGGGTAGGTTAGGACAAGTGGTTCAGACTAAGATTGTGTCTGATCAGAGGGTAATGGAAATCTGTTTTTATGACATGCCAGCTGCTTGGTACAAGCATAGATTTAATGGATTAAAAGCCTGGAAACCAGAGCTTGTTCTTAAGTAGGAGACTTTAGGAACTATAGGATAATAGCTTAATTGTTCATCATCCAGTTAGCCAAGGTCAGCTCTGACAGCTACTTCTGTGTAAATATCTTCACCCTGTTGATCCATTCATTCTTGCACTGCCATCAGCATTTTCAAACATGCATCCAGCCTGTTTTGTGTCAAGTACTCTACTGGGGAGCAGAACGGGAATGAGAAAGATGAACTGGCATCATCCATGTTCCCAAGTTTTTAGTTTTGTTTGGAAATAGATTTAAAGCAACTAGTGAATAGAAATAATATTACCTCATAATGCATTGATGAGAGCAGGTATGAGACTCAGTGGAAACACGGAGATAGTACCATGCTCCTAAATCAGAGATGGTTTCACAGAGAAGGTTGTGCTTGAGTTGATTTTCAGGCATTAGTTGAAATTTGTTGAGCAGACAGAGGGGAGAGGAGGAGTGATGTAGGAGCAGGTTTCTAAGCAGAGAGAACACCTGCAATTGAGAAATGGTTAAGCATGGCATGCTCAGGAGACTTCAAAGAAGTTCAAGTCTCTACTGTCAAGTATCCCTGATGGGTGGGGGATTAGTCAAAGATGAGGCTGCATAAGTTAGGAAAAGGCCTGACCTTAGGAATTGAGACTCTGTTAGGTACATGAAAGTGTGTCATTTGGTAATTGTCACATGAATTGAATGTTTGAGAAGTCTTCTAGGGGCAGTCATGGATTTTTTTTTTTTTTTTTTAGACAGAGCCTCACTCTGTTGCCCAAGCTGGAGTACACTGACATGATCTGGGCTCACTGCAACCTCTGCCTACTGGGTTCAAGCAATTCTCATGTCTCAGCCTCCCAGGTAGCTGGGACTACCAGCGCGTGCCACCATGCATGGCTAATTTTTGTATTATTATTATTACTATTATTTTGAGATGGCGTCTCACTCTGTTGCCCAGGCTGGAGTGCAGTGGCGCAATCTTGGCTCACTGTAACCTCCGCCTCCCGGGTTCTAGCGATTCTCCTGCCACCATGCCCAGCTGATTTTTGTGTTTTTAGTAGAGATGGGGTTTTGCCATGTTGACCAGGCTGGTCTCGAAACCCTTACCTCAGGTGATCCACCCACCTTGGCCTCCCAAAGTGCTGGGATTACAGGTGTGAGCCACCATGCCTGGCTTAATTTTTGAATTTTTAGTAGAGACAGGGTTTCACCATGTTGGCCAGGCTGGTCTCAAACTTCTGGCCTAAAGCTATCCACCCACCTTGGCCTCCCAAAGTGCTAGGATTACAGGCATGAGCCACTGCGCCTGGCCAGTCATGGACATTTGAGCTGTCCTTTTTAGTATGTAAAAAGCCATTACTAGGTGGAGCTGCAGGGACAAGAGAATCTTGAAGAGGCATTATAAATACTCACAAGCAAAAGCAGAGGATTCCCCCTTCCTCCCAGGAGTTTAGAATATTCTAGGACAAACAATTCTAAACCACTTGAGCAACAGTGTTTCTTCTCTTAGGGTCTGTTTGAGCCTATATTGTTCAAAAACTCCATTATTAATATATTTTTCTTTAAATAAATTATTTTCTGATAATTTAAATAATTCATTTCTATTTTGCAAGGCCCCAGCATTTTGGTTGGAAAGATCTGTCTTAAAGAAAACCCATGTATTTTTTCAGTGCTAATTTTTGACTAGTCAGAAAAATTACTTCTCTCTCTAAAGAGAGCTTTTTCTCTGGACGTGGATCAAAAAGTCTCTTGCCTGAAGTACCCAGGATATACTGTAAGTTCTGGTTGTATTAGTTAAGTATTTTTTTTTTATGCTGAAAGTGTTAGGTGTGTTTACCTTCATTTTCCTTAGAGGACTGTAAATATCACTCTCAATTCTTTCAAGGTTGGCTTTAATTGAAGAAGAAAGTAAAGCAACACTCACTGGGGAGTGGTTGAGTGACTATATTCCTATAAATAATATGTGCTTAAGAGTATGGTCCTTTGAATTCTCTAAGGGAAAGTACTGCCTGTAGCACTGATGCCTGAGATGAAAGATCATTTAGGCAGAGACAGCATCTGTACGCCCTTCTGTTGCCAATGCCTCGCACTGCTCCTTATTCCTGGCAGGATCACAGTGTTGGCCACTCCTGAGTGTGATGGAAAATTGCAGGAGATGGAGAATGACTCCGTGATGGTTAACCCAGTGCTTACCAAACTTGCTTGATCAAAACAGTCACCTGGGTCTTTAATGATCCAGATTCTGGGTCCCATCCCAGACCCCTAGAATCTCCAGGGCAAAGAGCCTGAGAATCTATATAAAAAGCAAGTATCTCAATGACTCTTAAAGTCAGGAAAGTTTGAGGGAAACAGGCTTATTGTGTCTTCACTCTATATAAGGTATAAAGTCTTAGAGGTGAGTGGGGAAAGATACATCAAGGTTCAAATACAGAAACATTTGTAGCTGAAAATTCACTGTAGTTCCCCCTTGCAACTCAGAGTGTGGTCCAAGGACCAGCAGCATCTGCCTCACCTAGGAGCTTGTTAGAAATGCAGAGGTCCACCTCACACCTACCGAATCATAATCTTAATTTTAACCAATCCCCAGTGATTTCTGCACATGCAAATTTGAGAAGCATTGATCTACAGCAAGGGTCAGCAAAGCATGGCCAAAAGGCCAAATCTGGCCTGTCTTGTAAACAAGGTTTTATTGGAATACAGTCTCATCCATTTATTCATACATTGCCTATGGCTGCTTTTATGCCACAAGAGAAGAACTGAGTCAATACGGCCTATGGAGCCTCAAATATTTACTATCTCACTCTTTATAGAATGAGTTTTCAACCTCTTATCTAGAGTATATGGAATGCCAAAGAGTTTACAGATAATACTGTATAATAATAATTACAATGCTATTTATATCAAACATAACTTTTTATTCAATCTTACAAATTCCATTTTTCACTCTGTTCATTGTCCTTCAGTATGAGGTGTGAATGCTCATTGAGATGAGATATTATTGCTTTACCATGTATGACTATGTGACCTGTATCTCAAACACTTTCATCAATCCCCACCAGCCAGTGAAATCTAATTCATAACATGGCATTTAGACCTTTCCTGCATCTGGACTCAACTTCCAACCTCTTCTCCCATAAATCTCTCTGGCACATCATGCCTCTTGTCAAACCGTATTTTTGGTCTTTCTAGAAGGTAAATAGTTGCTTCTATCTAAACACTACCAACTTCTCACTGTTAAAAATCCAGTCAAATAATTCTTTATCCATAAAGGGATCCCATTTCTCCCCCATGATATTTGATGCTAGTGTTGGACTCTCTCGTGCAATAGCTATTTTGTGCCTACCTTATCTCCTCCAGTAAAGTAGACATGTTTTAAAAGGTGAGATTTTATTGGGAGAGTTTCATAATTTCAAATGAGCCAAATCTCTCTCTTTGTATAGCTATATAGAGAGATTCTGGGCCATAAAATCTCCAGGTGACTGTTATGATCGAGCAAGTTTGGTAAGTACTTTCCCTCCTTGATTCTCACATCGCACTCACATGAGGCTGGATGAGATCTGGCCTCATGTGAGTGGGATGTGACAGCCAAGGGAAGAAAGTCCCAGGAGCTAGGTTAAATAGACAGGAGTAGGCTGGGTGTGGTGGCTCACGCCTGTAATCCCAGCAATTTGGGAGGCTAAGGTGGGTCGATTACCTGAGGTCAGGAGTTCGAGACAAGCCTGGCCAACATGGGGAAACCCCGTCTCTACAAAAACACAAAAATTAGCCAGGTGTGATGGCACATGCCTGTAATCCCAGCTTCTTGGGAGGCTGAGGCAGGATAATTGCTTGAGCCTGGGAGACAGAGGTTGCAGTGAGCCGAGATCATGCCACCGCACTCCAGCCTGGCAGACAGAATGAGACTCTGTCTCAAAAAAAAAAAAATAAATAAATAAAAATAAATAATAATAATAATAGACAGGAGTAGTCCTTAAGGCAACTAGAGCAGACATTGCTGGTGTTTCCCCTAATCCTTGCAGACAACTCCAGGTAATCCTAAAGATACATGGGACAGGAGATGGTGAATAAATACTCCAGCTTTCTTAACTCCTTGGTGCTTGGTGGGACAATTCTTTTTTTTTTTTTTTTTTATGAGACAGAGTCTTGCTCTATCGCCAGGCTGGAGTGCAGTGGCGCGATCTCAGCTTACTGCAACCTCTGCCTCCTGGTTCAAGCGATTTCCCTGCCTCAGCCTCCCAAGCAGCTGGGATTACAGGCAAGCGCTACCACGCCTGGCTAATTTTTTGTATTTTAGTAGAGAAGGGGTTTCACCATGTTGGCCAAGATGGTCTCAATCTCCTGACCTTGTGATCCACCTGCCTCGGCCTCCCAAAGTACTGGGATTACAGGCATGAGCCACCACGCCTGGCCGGTGGGACAATTCTGAGCAGTGTTTCATACAGTCTCTCACAGGGACCCCAGCAGGATGGAACCCAGTGGCCCAGAGCTGTAATCCACTCATTAAAGACCATGTGTTGGTTGTCCTCCATTTCCTGTCTTGCTCCCAGCTTCCTCACAGTACTTCTTGGGATCAGTTTTCCAATAAACTGCTTTCACCTAAATCCTTGTCTTAAGATCTGCTTTTAGGATAACACTAACTGTGGGAGGCAACCTCTAAGACGGCCTCCAGTGATCCCCACTTCTTGGTATGCATGTTCTAGTATAATCCCTTCCCCTTGAATATAAACGTGACTTGGTGATTTGTGTCCAGTGAACAGAATATGGCAGAAGTAAAGATGTGTCACTTCTAAACTTAGGTTATAAAAAGACAGTAGCTTCAGTCCCTGTCATGATCTTTGGAATTGTTCACCCTGAGAGAAGGCAGCTGCTATGCTGTGAGGTAGCTCTGTGGAGAAGCTCAGATAAGTGAACTTAGAAGCCAACCTCATGAGGCTGCTTAGAAGTGGATCCTTTCCCACTGGAGCCTTGAGATGACCACACCTCAGCCAACACCTTGATTGCAGACTCATGAGAGACCCTGAGCCAGAATCACTCTGATAAGCTACTCCTGGATTCCTGACCCCCAATAACCATGAAAAAAAAAATCCACTGTTTTCAGATCCTAAGCTGTTGTTTATGGCACTAGATAACGAGTATACAAACTAAGACAATTGCATGAATCTGCATTATTGGGGTTTCCCTTGGAAGACTATTTCCCTAACTCTTTTGACCAGATTAGTCCCCATGCTTTGTGTGTCCAGAACACCCCGTATGTTTTCCTTAACACTTAGTACTCTTGTGATCTCTTGTTTGAAATTTACCTTCCTAACTAGACTATGAGAACTGCTTCCATCCTTTTCACTGTTTATTCCCAGTGCTTCTAAGAATTATCTATTTAACAAGTAAAGGCATTAGTCAAGTTGATTTTGTATGTAGTTAGTAAAAATTCAACCATTTGTTTAACAAATAAAAAGTCTGAAAATGGATCTTCAGGTCCACCTGAATCTTAAAGCACAAATGATTTGTTGGAATTCTGTCATTCTCTTCCTCTATCATTCTTTGTCTTTTTCTCTGTGTTACTTCGCCTTTCTCTTCCTCCTTCTTCTCGCCTTCCATCCTGTAGATATGCTCTGCTTTATCAGTCTCATTTCCAAGCAGGCCCTTTTGAGATAAATGATTGCCGGCATATCAAACTGAAATCCTCACAGGTGAACAAATCTGGCAGAAATAAATAAAGCATCCTAGAAATTTAGAAAATGTCCCGGGATTAAATCTTTCTGGATTAACCTGGGCTGTAAGGCTACCTGTGGGCCAATCACTATGGCGAGGGTAATGTAATACACAAACTGTCCAGGCCCAGGTCCAAGATCTAGCTCTGGAGTATGAAGAATGGGCTGCTACCCAACCCATACAGATTGAGTAGGTAACTTCCTAAAAGAAAATCAAGGTGGTGTTACCAGAAGAAGGAGAAGAGTAATGGATCCTAGGCAGAAAACAAGACAACTGTAGAAAACAAACAAAAAAATGAAACAAATAAGAACAACAAGATAGCTCCATACAGTGGGGATCAGAGATATAATTGAGAAGATCCAAGACTATAGTTAGAAGAAAGACAATAGTATTAGTCAAATATGGAGGGCAAGATGCTAACAAACCAATCGGAGCAATTGTAGAGAAGAGAAGAGAGTTGTGAAGAGTGTGATCATGACTTAAGATTATGTACAGAAAGAATGTGTCAGGATTCCTTCCCTATCTCACACCCCTACCCCTCTCTTGCCCTACACACGCATTCTTGAGCTTAATGCACACCACAGGAGGAATATTAAAGGAACTAATCAGGAATAGTGAAAAAGGACTATTTAGATGTAGGTTTTCTCTGTGTGTGTGTGGGGGGGGGGGGTATAAAGTGCCTTTCCCCACAGCCTACCCATTCACAATACTCTCATGGATAGTCACTGCTGTTATCTCTGAAAATTGTCAATGCAATAATTTATTTTCAATTTCTCTCTAAAGCAACTAATTTAAACCGTAAGTGTCATGGAATCATACCAATCTGGACACACCCTAACACTAGATGTAAAACAAAATTTGCGGAATAGACATTTGGGAGTCTATATGTTAGCAACTCTTCCAGGGCTTACGAAAAGGCATTAACTTGAAGAGTTATTCAATTCGGAATTAGCAGATGTTGAGCATCTGCATGCTATTCACAACTCTATTATCCTGGACATAATTAACTTGTGTTACTTCATCTGAGAATCATCACCCTGACAAGGCAGTTGCAGAGTAAAGATGGTGGACACCACTGGCAAGACAGTATGATGGCCTTTTTAATATGCCCCCAAACACTGGAAATAATGCTATCCAATTTGTACTTCTTGTGTTTCTGCATAATACTTTTAGAATGCAGTTCAACTCTCTCTCCTTGCAGAAATCCTGGTTCTCATCCTTTTCTCAATGATGTTTTCTTCAGTCTCTTCCTTGATCCAATCTAATATGGGTTTGCCAATCACAACACTACTGACATTTTGGACTGGGATTTTTGTTCTAGTGCCTGTCCTATAGGACATCTCTAACTCATTGTTCCTCTCATATTCATAACTGAAGACATATAAAATAAAATTTCTTCTTTTCCCAAATCTCTTCCTCTTCCTTTTTTTCTTTTGCTTCAGTTATAGGTGACACTCCCACTTCATTCTTCCAAACTAGAAATCTTTGGGTTATCTTTTAATCCTCCTTTTAATACACTTTCAGGGACAGATTCAGCTTTTGTGGAATCTAAAACTTATACAATTTGACAGAGCTTCTTTAAAAAGATTACAAGTTTATAAATTAGGTACACGGACTTGGAAGTGGGTCGTGTAGATGAATGAACTTAAAGCCTAAGGTTTATTAGTTTCATGGTTAATCCTCCTTCCTCTGTGTTTATTAAGACATTACTTACTTAGGTAAAGCATTTTTATTAAGTGAAAAGATCAATAGCCTTCCATCAAAATAGGGGAAATTTTTATCTAGTAAAAAACAACTTTTACACAATGTCTACCTTTTGTCAGGACCATTATGCATTTTTTTCTCATTTAATTTTCCTTAACACCTATGAGGAAGGAATTAATACACTCTTGTGAACAGCATGACCTCAGAGGCTAAACAGCCTTAATCTGATTTATGGTTCTAGCATTTACCATGTGATTACACAAATCACTTTGCCAGTTGGAGTGTCGAATTCCTCATCTATGAAATGAAAATAAATTAGAGAACCTACTTCATTGAGTTGCTGCATGGATTAAACTAGTTACTGTGTACTACGTACAAAGCAGTTAGAACAGTGCCCAGAAAGTAAGGACTACATTATGTTAGCTATTATTATTTTGCTATTAAGAAAACCAAGGCTCTGAAATTAAATAAATAACCCATGTCATGTACTTAAGACTGGGGGAAAAATAGGAAATTAAACATAAAAGCTCAGGCTTTTCTCTCCACACCAGATCTGAAGAGGAGCCTTCCTGGGTTTTGGCAAGGAAAAAATATGTTACTACTAGTTCAATTGCTTTGCAAATTCCTATGCTAACATGAAGAGATTAGACTGTGAGGGGGAACAAAAAACTAAAAACTAAATGTTAGTAGGTTTGTTTTGAATAAAAATAGTTTGGATTTAGGTATAAATATAACAGAAGCACAAAACTTATACTTAGAAAACCATAAAACCTTCTTCCTAAAAACATTTAAGAAGACCTAAATAAATGAAAAGACTTCCTATGTTCATTAATTGGAATACTTAAATTGTTAAGGTGACAATACTCCCCAAATTGGGCTACAGATTCAATGCAATCTCTATCAAAATGCTTGGTGTCTTCTTTGCAGAAATTGGCAAACTGATTCTAAACTTCATGTAGATGTGGAAGAAATCCAGAATAGTAAAAACAATCTTGAAAGAGAATAAAGTCAAAAGACTCATATTTGTCAATTTCAAAACTTACTACAAATCTACATTAATCTTGACTGTTTGGTACTGGCATAAGGAAAAACATACAAATCAATGGGATAGAATTGGAAGTCCATAAATAAACCCTCACAGAAAAATTCCCTGTCCAGTCCTGCTGTAAGCATATGGTTCCAAAGCTCAGTAGCCTATCCAGAGATGTCCAATATAGTTGGGATACCAGCTGTATCCCTACGTGGAACAGGGCCATCTTGTGTATACTTTTCATGCTTCTCTGCCTCACTCTCTTTTTCCTCACTTTGGCTGCCCTGATCCAAATATTTTAATTCTTAATAAAATATTAGCACTTAACCTTTGCTTTAGTTTCTATTTCCTAGAAAAACTGAGTTAAGACAAGGAGTATCAGTGCTTATCCAGCAGTTAATAAGAAAGTGTTTTAGTTGCAATTTTCTTGTTGTTTGTAGGTGAGGTTTTTTGAGAGATAGGGATGGTAGGGTTTAGAAACCAAACCTCATCTGGACCCTCTCACTTATCATGTATGCTTCCTCCTTCTTCTGGTGATTGAAACATCTCACAGGGATTTCTGCTTCACTGTTTATTTCAAAATGACAATTCTGAATTCTGTGATCTTTTGCATGTATTTTTACTGGGAGGAATAGCGTTAGTTATTTTATGAGGTTAAGAAAATCACCGTACTTAATTCAGCCAACATTTTGTGCAGCCTATATTGCAACCAGCCATTACGATTAGATAAAATATGGTTTCTGTCTTCTTGGAAATCTCAGTAAAGTGGTGAAAATGGACAGATATACTTAAATCCAAATTGACTGAAGCGTTTCCTACTAGATGAAGAAGTACAAAGGAAAGGGAATCTGGAAGAGAGATTAATCCCAACTGGCAGAAAAAAAAAAAGCAATGATTTGTAGAGTAATTGGTAATTGCTCAGGCTTTGCAGTGTATGTACAAATGCAAAAGATAAGAGTGGTACAGATGGGCGATATAGGCATAGAATAAATAGAGGTAAGCAGAGAAGAAACTGCAGAGTGAATTTAAGGAAAGGAACATAGTTTATGTGTGAGTGTGTTGTGAGGGGTTCAGATTAGATACAGTGAGTGACGATTAGAAATAGCCAACATCTAGATCATAGAGAGTTGTGAATGTGTTGAATAGTTCTATGCAAACCTAACCCAAAAAGCCCAAGGAAGCTGAGAGGCCAAAGAAAGAGGCTGACAAATTCAATTTCTCAGAAAGAAACATTGAATAGGAACTTAGCAACAGAAGTCATGTCTGTGTTGCTGGCAGTGGCAAGACAAGATAGAAGATCCCCATGCCATTACCATCCAGATCTAGGGCTTATATACCATAGGGAAGGAATCTGTAGGACAATCATAGGGAAAGGGAAGGATGCTGTGTGAATCTGCCTAAAGGCAGGATTTGTAGTCAAGTGTATTTGGACCTAAGGGCAGAATTTACAGTAAATACATGCCCTTACACAAGGAATCAAGGAACAGTAGACAGAATAGAAATCTTAGAGGCATTTTCTGAACTGGGGTTCATCAGAAGCCAACATGGCAGATGAGCATCCAACGTGGGGTTGCTTTAGTCTCCACAGACTGCCAGGCTGGGGATTTTAGAATTAATGTAGATGAATTTGGAAGATATTGAGATGTTTAAATAAAAAGGCGATACAATAATGTCTGTGCTTTATAAAGATGACTTTGCATGCATGAAGAATTGGTGAGGGAACAGTCTGCAGGCGAGAATAATGAAGATCCTAACACAGCAATTCAGATGATGCTGATTGACTGCAGTAGCAGTGGAAGTGCCAAAGTGTAAATTTACACAAAGGAGAAAATAAGAAAATTTAAAAATTTGTTTTGTGAATTTGGGCAGGAGAGATGGAATCTTGGTTAGCAAAAATGTTTAGCTGAATTATTTAGATAGCAGTCTTAACACAACCCCATTGTGAGGAAGTTAAAATGCAGTTGGTGCTAATGGCTATTTGATTACACTAGTTTGTAATATTTGATATGTTTGCACATGTCCTTCTTATCAAAATCGGTCATTATGCTATAGTGAGGGAATTCGTCCAAATGCAGGTCTTAAGGATCTTTAAAAAAGCTTTTGAGCTGTTTTTTTCCCCTCATTGGCTATGAATACTTTACGTTGTTTTCTTGAAGACTTTCCTTTGTACAGATGTTCTTTACAGTCCTTTCTACAAAGAAACCTCCTTTTCTAGAAATAATTTGCCTTATTTGTAATTTTTATCATGAAATTTTTTAAAACTTGCACAAACATAAGCAGAATTGTATAATAATCCCTCAGGTGATTATCCAGCTTTTAATATTACCTACTCATAGCCAATCTGTGTCTTTTGTTCTTCCACTCATTTACCCCTACTTCTGCGTTATTTTGAAGAAAATCCTAGACATCTCATTTGATCTGTGAAAAATTTCTATATGTAGCTCCAAAAGATAAGAGCTTTAAAGAAAAAACATAATGACAGCATCGTAACACCTAAAAATTAGCAATGATTCTTTCAAATGATCAAATATTCCGTGAGTGTTCCAATTATTTATGTATTACTGATTTTATAGTCTGTTTCAATGAAGATCCAAACAAGGTTCACATATGGTGATTAGTTCATATATCTCTCAGATCACTTTTAATTTATGGGTTTCCCTTTCATATCTGTTTTCTTTTTTCCTTGCAAGCAACCAGAAAAACTGTTTGTCCATTAGAAATTCCTTACTGTGTGGAAATTGTTGATTGCAACCCCATGCTGTCATTTAGCATGAGACTTAGGTATTTATCGTAACTTGGATTTGAATCCAGAGCAGTGAGCTTTAACATGGGGTGATTTTACTCCTCCCTCCCCTACCCATCCTCCCATGGGAAATTTGGCAATGACTGGAGACATTTTCATTTTCACAACACAGGGATGAAAATAGCGTCTAGCAGGTAGAAACTAGAGATGCTGCTAGACATTTGAGAATACATGAGAATGTTGTGGGAATACCTTGCACAACAAAGAATTACGTGGCCCCAAATGTGGATGGTGTTGGGGTTAATCTAGAGGCTTGATCAGATTAAGGTTCACATTTTGGAGTAAGACTACTATAGTGGTGTTGAGTGGTTACTTCAAATTATTAGTGATACAAGGAGCTGTTGATTAGGAGTTGTAAAAAGTTGCACTCTTTTTTTAACTTAAAAAAAATCTTTATATTAGATTCAGGTGTACATGTGCAGTTTTGTTATATAGGTAAATTGTGTGTCACGGGGATTTGGTGTACTGATTATTTTGTCACCAAGGTAATGAAAATAGTACCTGATAGGTAGTTTTTTAAGTCACCTCACTGTCCTCCCACCCTTCACTCTTAAGTAGGCCCTGGTGTCACTTGTTCTCTTCTTTGTGTCCATGTGTACTTACTGTTTACCTCCGACTTATAAATGAGAACATGCAGTATTTGGTTTTATATTCCTACATTAGCTCACTTAGGATAATGGCCTACAGCTCCATCCATGTTCCTGCCAATCACATAATCTCATTTCTTTTTATGGCTGCATAGTAATCCATGTTATATGTGTACCACATTTTCTTCATCCAGTCTACCATTGAAGGGCATTTAGGTTGATTCCATGTCTTTGCTATTGTGAATAGTGCTACAATGAACATATATGTCCATGTATGTTTATGGTAGAATGATATATCTTCCTTTGGGTATATACCAATAATGGGATTGCTGGGTTGAATGGTAGTTCTGTTTTAAGTTCTTCGAGAAATTGCCAAACTGCTTTCCACGATGGCTGAACTAATTTACATTCCCAT
The DNA here is from genome assembly GCF_000001405.40 of Homo sapiens. Lineage (NCBI taxonomy): Eukaryota > Metazoa > Chordata > Mammalia > Primates > Hominidae > Homo > Homo sapiens. The sequence continues at coordinate 13,471,943 of NC_000009.12, forward strand.
CAGCAGTGTGTAAGTGCTCCCTTTTCTCTGCAACCTTGCCAGCATCTGTTATTTTGTGACTTTTAATAATAGCCAACCTGACTAGGTGTGAGATGGTATCTCATTGTGGTTTTGATTTGCATTTCTCTAATGATTAATGATGTTAAGCATTTGTTCATATGTTTATTGGCTGTGTGTCTATATTCTTTTGAAAACTGTTCATTTCCTTTTACCACTTTTTAATGGGGTTGTTTCTTGCTTGTTAATTTAAGTAACTTACAGATTCTAGATATTAGACTTTTATCAGATGCATAGTTTGCAAATATTTTCTCCCATTCTGTAGGCTGTCTGTTTACTCTATGGATAGTTTCTTTTGCTCTGCAGAAGCTCTTTAGTTTAATTAGGTCCCTTTTGTCAATTTTTGTTTTTGTTGCAATTACTTTTGGTGACTTCATCATGAAATCTTTGCCAGAGTGTATGTCCAGAATGATATTTCCTAGGTTATCTTCCAGGGTTTTTTATAGTTTTGGGTCTTTTATTTAAGTCTTTAATCTATCTTGAGTAGATTTTTGTATATGGTGGAAGGAAGGGGTCCAGTTTCAATTTTCTGCATAAGGCTAGCCAGTTATCCCAGTATTATTTATTGAATAGGGAGTCCTGTCCCCATGAATTGTTTTTGTTGACTTTGTTCAATATCAGATGGTTATAAGTGTGTGCTATTATTTCTGTGTTCTCTATTCTGTTCTATTGTTCTGTGTATCTGGTTTTGTACCACTACCAGGGTGTTTTAGTTACTGTCATTTTGTAGTATAGTTTGAAGTCAGGTAGTGCAGTGCCTCCAGCTTTGTTCTTTTTGCTTAGGAATGCCTTGGCTATTCAGGCTCTTTTTTGGTTCCATACGAATTTTAAAACAGTTTTTCTAATTCTTTGAAGAGTGCAATTGGTAGTTTGATTGGAATAGCATTGCTTTGGGGAGTGTGGCCATTTTAACAATATTGATTCTTTTTTACCCATAGGCAAAAAATGTTTTTCCATTTGTTTGTGTCATCTCTGATTTCTTTGAGCAGTGTTCTATAATTCTTGTTGTAGAGCTCTTTCACCTCCATGGTTAGCTGTTTTTGCAGGTATTGTATTCTTTTTGTGGCTATTGTAAATGGGATTGCATTCTTGATTTGGCTCTGAGTGTGGACATTGTTGGTCTACAGAAATGTGACTGATTTTTATACATTAATTTTTGTATCCTGACATTTTGCTGAAGTTGTTTATCAGATCTAGGAGCTTTTGGGCAGAGACCACAGGATTTTCTAGGTATATAATTATATAATTTGTGAAGAGAGATAGTTTGACTTTATCCTTCCTGGTTGTATGCCTTTTATTTCTTTCTCTTGTCTGATTGGTCTGGCTAGGACTTCCAGTATTATGTTGAACAGAAGTAGTGAGAGCTTCCTTGCCCTGTTCTGATTCTCAGGGAGGATGTTTCCAGTTATTGCCTGATCAATATGATGTTGGCTCTGGGTTTGTCATAGATGGCTCTTATTATTTTGATGTATGTTTCTAGTTTGTTGAAGGGTTTTACCATGAAGGGATATTGAGTTTTATCAAAACACCTTTCTACATCTATTGAGACAATCATGTGGCTTTTGTCTTTAGTTTTGTTTATGTGATGAAATAAATTATTGATTTGTGTATGTTGAATCAAACTTGCATAAGAGACAAAGCCCGCTTGGTTGCAGTAGATTAGCTTTTTGACATGCTGCTGGATTCAGTTTGCTAGTATTTTGTTGAGGATCTTTGCATCTATACTCATCAAGGATATTGACCTGAAGTTTTCTCTTTTTATTATGCCTCTGTCAGGCTTTGGTATCAGAATGATGCTGGCCTCATAGAATGAGTCAGGGGGAGTCCCTTCTCCTCAATTTTTTGGAATAGTTTCTGTAGGAATGGTCCCAGCTCTTCTTTGTACATCTGGTAGAATTTGGCTGTGAATCCATCTGGTCCTGGGCTTTTTCTGGTTGAAAGACTCTATTACTGTTTCAATTTTGGAACTTGTTTTCAATCTATTCTGGGATTCAATTTCTTCTTGGTTCAATTTTGGGAGGTTGTATGTTTCCAAAAATTTATCAATTTCTTCTAGGTTTTCCAATTTGTATGCAGAAGTGTTCGTTGTAGTTTCTGATGATTTTTTGTATTTCTGTAGGGCAGGTGTTAATGTCTTTTTTGTCATTTCTGATTGTATTTATTTGGATCTTCTTTCTTTCTTTATTAGTCTAGCAAGTTGTCTGTCAATGTTTTTTATTGTTTCAAGTAACAAACTTCTGATTCATTGATATTTTGTATGATTTTCCACACCTCACTTTCATTCAATTCTGCTTTGATTTGGGTTATTTTTTGTCTTCTACTAGCTTTGGGGTGGATTTGCTCTTTTTTCTCTAGTTCCTCTAGGTGTGAGGCTAGGTTGCTAATTTGAGAGCTTTCTAAGTTTTTGATGTGGGTATTTAGTGCTATAAACTTCTCTCTTAACACTACTTTAGCTGTGTCCCAGAGACTCTGGTATATTGCATCTTTGTTTTCATTAGTTTCAAATAATTTCTCAATTTCTGCCTTAATTTCATTGTTTGCCCAAAAATTATTCAGTATCACATTATTTAATTTCCATGTAATTATATAGTTTTGAGCAATTTTCTTAGTATTAATTTCTGTTTTATTATGCGCTGGTCTGAGGACATGGTTGGTGTGATTTTGGTTTCCCTGAATTTGCTGAAGATTGTTTTATGGCCAAATAGGTAGCCTATTTTGGAGTATGTGCCATGTATAAATAATAACAATGTAAATTCTGTGGTTTTGGGGTGGAGAGTTCTTTTGGGGTGGAGAGCTCCTCTGTCTCTTAGATTCATTTGGTCAAGTGTTGAGCTCAGGTCCTGAATATCGTTGTTAGTTTTCTGCCTTGATAATCTGTCTAATACTGTCAGTAGATTGTTGAAGTCTCCCACTATTGTTATTGTGTGGTTATCTAAGTCTCTTTGTAGATCTCTAAGAACTTGCCTTATAAATTTGGGTGCTCCAGTGTTGGATGCAAATCTATTTAGGATAGTTAAGTCTTTCTGTTGAATCAAACTCTTTACCATTATGTTATGTACTTATTTTCTTTTTTGATCATTGTTAGTTTGAAGTCTGTTTTGTTTGAAATTGGAATAGCAACTCTTGCTTTTTTCTGCTTTCTGTTTGCTTGGTAGATTTTTCTCCATCCCTTTACTTTGAGTCTATTTGTGTCATTGCATGTGATAGGGGTCTCTTGAAGACAGCATACAGTTGAGTCTTGCTCCTTTATACAAACTTGCCCTTCTGTGCCTTTTAAGTGGGGCATTTAGCCCATTTACATAGAAGGTTAATACTGATATGTGTGAATTTGATTCTATCATCATGTTGCTAGCTGGCTATTATGCAGATTTGGTCATGTGATTCCACTAGTCAGTGGTCTATGTGCCTAAGTGTGTTTTTGTGGTGGCTGTTAATGGATTTTACTTTCCATGTTTAGCACTTTCTCAAGGACCTCTTGTAAGGCAGGTCTTGTGGTAATGGATTCCCTTAGCATTTGCTTGTCTGAAAAGAATCTTATTTCTCCTTTGCTATTGAAGTTTAGTTTGGCTGGATATAAAATTCTTGGTTGGAATTTCTTTTCTTTCAGAATGCTGAATATGGGCCCCAAATCTCTTCTGATTTGTAGGGTTTCTGCTGAAAGTTCTGTTTTTAGCCTGTTTGGGTTCCCTTTGTAAGTGATCTGCCCATTCTCTCTAGCTGCCTTTAATATGTTTTCTTTCATCTTAACCTTGGAGAATCTGATGACTCTGTGTCTTGGGGATGGTCATCTTGTATAGTTTCTCACAGGGGTCCTCTGCATTTCTTGAATTTGAATGTTGGCCTCTCTAGTGAGGTTGGGGAACTTTTCATAGAAGATACACTCAAATATGTTTTCCAATTTGCTTGCTTTTTCTCCCTCTCTTTCAGAGATGCCAATGAGTCATAGATTTGGTTTCTTTATATGATCCCATATTTCTTGGAGTCTTTTTTCATTCTTCTTTATTTGTTTTTCTTTATTTTTGTCTCACTGAGTTATTTTGGAAAACCAGTCTTTGAGCTATGAGATTTTCCTCAGGTTGGTTGATTCTGCTTTTAATACTTGCAATTGTATTCTGCAATTCTTGAAGTGAGTTTTTCAGCTCTATCGGATCAGTTTGGTTCTTTCTTAAAATGGCCATGTCATCTTTCATCTCCTGTATCCTTTTATTGTATTCCTTAGATTCCTTGGATTGGGTTTTGACTTTTTTTCTGAATCTCAATGATCTTCATTCCTGTCAATATTCTGAATTCTATTGCTGTCATTTCATCCATTTCAGACTGGTTATGAATCATTGCTGGGAAACTAGTGTGGTCCTTTGGAGGTAAGAAAACACTCTGGATTTTTGAGTTGCCAGAATTCTTGCACTGGTTCTTTCTCAAGTATGTGGGCTGATGTTCCTTCAGTCTTTGAAGTTGCTTTATTTTGGATGGTTTTTTGTTGTTGTTGTTGTTTTGCTTTTTTTTTTTTTTTTTGAAGGAGTCTCACTCTGTTGCCCAGGCTAGAGTGCAGTGGTGCAATCTTGCTTCACTGCAAGCTCCACCTCCCAGGTTCATGCCATTCTCCTGCCTCAGCCTCCCTAGTAGTTGGGACTACAGGTGCCTGTCACCACGCCCAGCTAATTTTTTGTATTTTTAGTAGAGATGAGGTTTCACCATGTTAGCCAGGATGCTCTAGATCTCCTGACCTCAGGATCCACCCGCCTCGGCCTCCCAAAGTGCTGGGATTACAGGCGTGAGCCACCACACCCAGCCTGTTTTTTTGCTTTTATCTTCGTTAATGCCCTTGGGTGTTTGATTGTGGCATAAAGTGAATTCAGTCGAATGGCTTTGTTTCTGAAAGACTTTGGAGGGCCAAGCCTCAGCTTAGCACTCCTGGACTGTATGCTCTATCTCTGGTGGGGGGCTGGTACCATCCTCTGACTTTGTTCTCTGGTCCCTTAAGGTTAGGAACTTGCTGCACTGGAGGGAGTGAGATGTTCCCAGTCTGCTGAACACAATACTGTAATGGATGGTGCCAGCCAAAACTCTTCATTAGGGTGGTGGCAGCAGGATCTATGCTGTCTTGCATGTACCAGCAGCCATGTCAGTGTGGCAGGGTGCATACATGCTGGCTGGTGTGGCATATTAGTGGTAGTAGGGCTGCAGTGTTCCCGCACACACTTGCCCATATGTGCATTCTGGCAAAGCAGTGAGGGGGTAGCCATGGGTGAGTGCATGCCAGCAAAGCAACCTGGGGGAGGCTGTGGTGAGTGGAGCATGCAAGCGGGCTGGTATACATTGGTGGGGGCCACTCTGCTGGAGATCTCTGATGGTCAGGCGTGGTCTGCTGGCAAAGCAGCTGTGATGAAGGTCCCAAGGAGCACCCTGGTGGACATCCAAGGATGTGCTGCAAGTGAGTGGAGCCAGGCTGGGGCCCTGGGAGAGGTCAGCAGATAGTGAGGTGCTCAGATTAGCCTGGCCCCATCCCATGGAGAAGCCTGCCCTGTGCTGTCTAGGTCTGAGAGTCACCCCAAATCTAAAGTCTCCTAGAGCAGCATGGCAAGCCTTATGAGATGGGAGTTCCTGACAGTGCTCCACTGCAGACATTCTTGCACCAAACCCTCTGGGCTCCACATAGGCTGGAGTCCTGTGCCTACACCTCTCTAGGCAGCTTTCCTGCTAGCTCAGGGTCTGTGGGGTTTGTGGTGTCTCCTGCTGCCAGGATTCCAGCAGTCCATGGTGAGAGTGGGCCATGCCTTGCCTGTTCAACTCACCCCTTCCCCAGGAGTTCGTGGGGGCCAGGAATGAGTCCTGGTGCTTAGCCCCATGCAGGGTTCTCATCTTCCTCCTACTTCAGCCCAGCATCTGTGTCATCCCTCTGTCCACTCTCAATGCGTTCCCTCTGAAGATCTGCTCACAGTGCACCAGTCTTTCTGACATCCTGGTCTCTATGTGACAGATTTTCCTCTTGGCTGCGTCTGGTCAACCATCTTGGCTAAAACTCCAAAAGGTAATATACTAATTGTATCATTCCTTTTTTCATTTGTTAGCTGGAAAACATCTGTAAAGAGAAATTTCCTCTCATCTGCTTTTTGGTTACCCAGAAAGATGACTTAGTTTAAAGCCTTAAAGTCTGTTGAATATCTGACAAATGAATAGGATTCAGCCAGCATGCCTGCATATGTTTTCTTTTCAAAGCACTTAGACTCAGGTCCAAAATAAGTGGAATGATGTAGACGATGTCAAGATTAATTGGTTTAGAATACACAAGCCTTTCCTTTTCAGTCTTACTAGACAATCTATTAGAGTATTTCTACTGAGAGTTTTTCCCCCTCAATAACTTTAGCTGTATTTAAAGTTAATGAGCTTTTTCAATTAAAGCCACAGATATTTAGCCTTTGGATAGCATTTAGATGAATCAGGGTGTATCTAATTACACTGGGTAAATTCTTAAGAAGCTGAGGAGATTCTTTATTCAGAACAAGCACATTTTAAGTCAGAGTCACGTAGTAGATATCATTCCAACCTGTATGCAAATCATCTTTGTGAAAGGAGCCTCTAGATGTAGCTGAGAGTTTGAGAAATGCATGTAGTAGAAAGCATAGAAAGTACTCTTTTTGATAGAAATTTGTCAATTCTAGTGCTAGAAGGCAAATCAGACATATTCTATTACATGATTGTTCATAGAGCAATTGTAGTTCATTCGTCAGGAGGCCTGTAGTTCACTGACTTATTGGCCTAAATTCAGGGATAGTTAGAATCAGATGTCCAAATAAAGTTAGGAATTTGTTACAAAATGAGTTTTTCAGTGGTCTGGCTAGAATAAGTGAATACTGTGATTGACCAGGCTTGGGATTTGTGGCCACTTTTAGAGCCATGGGATAGCTTCAGGTCCTCCAGAACTATTTGGACTGAGATAGAAAGAGGATGGTTTCCAAGCTGAGATGCTTCAGGCAGTCAGATAAAATAGATGTCCACTAGGCTTAGGTTTTGTGGTTTTTCAACTTTTACTGTCTACCACTTCTTTCCTACCAAGGATCTTACTGCCGTTTTGTCTTTCTGGATAAGACACTTTCGCATAAGTGTCTCCCTATGCAGAAAACTAGAATAAATCTTCTCAATGTGTTTATTAGTTGTTTCCTGAAGATTTTAGTATTTCATTTTGCAGCTTGCCAATTGTTTCCTACACATAATTTTAGTGAATTAGCCTTAGTTAGGCAGTGACAGTTGTTGAAATTACAATTGTGCAATTCTTTTCTGAACATTGAAGTTAATGATTAGATCTCTCTTTCAAGAAGGTTGATTTATTTCAATAATTACAGCATACCATTCAGGACACTAGGGAAAAGTCTTTGTGTTTGTGTGTGTTTGTGTGCACATGTGTTTCATTAAATATTGGAGGAGAAATTTAAACTTTCTCTCTACCTAGTGTCAACTATAGTAAATTCTTGAATTTTGTACTTTATGGATGTTATTTTAATAATTTTCATTAGTAAAGATAATAGGGAGGATATTTCTAGCAGCAAAATGGAAACAGAAAAAAAAAAGTTTGAAGCATTTACTAAAGAAAGAAAAAGAAAAATTTAAGATTATTAAGTATTTTACATAACACCAATAGGCATTAACCAAAGAGTTATCGAAGGTGAAAATAAGATTTCATGTGATAACATTTTTCATGAAGATATATTTTTTAAAATTACAGGTTAATTAGTGATAAGTAATCATCTGCAATACTAATTTTGAGATCCTGTCATAATCATATTATTATCCCTTGTTTTCCAAAAGGTCTAGCAGAATGTGAGAATATTTCAGGCAGAGATCTTGGGACTTGAGTCCTTCATGCCATTCCTCAAGCCATGTACACACAAGTGTGTAACTCTCAAATACTGCAGGATATAACCAAGTGATCACACAATTAGCTGAGAATGGTTATTAATTTGTTGTGCATTCAAAACTTTTCATTTTTAATTAATTGTGTTACGTGCCTTTATATCCCCTGGAGGAAGTATTATAACACATATCCTAGAATGTGTGGGAATTAAATTGATTTACATGTACTAAATGCAGAAGGGTGTATAAAGTGATATATTTAAATGCCTAGGGTAATACATTACTCAGTTTATTGAGAAGGTACTCAATAGATGGCAGCTACTATAATTGTCATATTAAAAACATTAAAATAAGAATATACCTTAGTTTTTAAATAGCTCCAAAAAGGAATATCCCATAATTTACTAAGTAATAAACTACTAGGTTGTTCAATTTTCACTATTAGTAACTTTTCCACTGGTTGAAATTCCTAATTCTTTAGTTTCTATTGTTTCCTTAGGGTAATATGAACAACTGGTTATGAATTTTAATGGTGGAAACTTCATACCTATGTTGACCTTAACTGATCATCTTTTAAGTGTTTGGGAATAAACATTCTTTATGCATATTTTTGAATCTTGTTTTCACACATGTCTCTCACTTTATATACCTCTTAGACTGAAATGTCACAGTTACGTCCAGGAAGATTTACCTGTTACTCAGTGTAGTAGGAGAATTTTTTTCAATGTTCCTCACTATACTGTCATCTCTCTGTCTCCTGACTGGAAGAGAACACCAGTGATTTAGGTCGCTCATGACATTTTTGTAGAAAAATGCAAGTAAGAGATGCATGCTATAGTAGATGTTGTTGTGTAGTACCCAGATTTCCCCAATGTGCCTGGAGCCACTCATTCCCTCAGCTGCTGGGAGTGATGACTGCTAATGGCTCCCAGCTGAGCAATCCCCTAAGCATGGCTGTGTACTGAAAGGGGCATTTAAAAGTTACGCTCCCTGTCTCAGTGTAGCACACATCCAGTGACTTGTTGTGCGGGGCTATAATTGCCTCATTTTGCGACATCTCTGAAAGACCATCACCACTTTGGCATTCCTGTGGGATCAACTCCAGTCTCTGTTGGACCTGCATCATGATTCAACTTGTCCCTATGCCCAGTCCTGCTTTCCTTACTTCCTTACATGTGTTGTTACCAAGAGCAATCCTTAGTAAACATCTTGCATGCAAATGTCTGTCTTAGAGTCTGTTTCCCAGGACTCTCAATGGCCAACAGTTGGTGCCAGGAGTGATCCTTAGAAGTGGATGAAAATGAAATTTTGGAGCCGGATCTGTGTCTGTCTGGTTGGCAGTGAGGCTCCCATTACTGGTGATAGGCACAATATTGATAGCCCCTGGAATATGGTAGCAATAGAACTTTTAATACTTTCACCAGTGGTGAACTGGGAAGAGATACTATGAAAGAAAATACACTAGCTGCTGCAACATCACTGGTATTTGACAAATTAGGTGTGTGTAGGGACAAGGAGAAGTAGTTGTTTTAAGAGCTAAGCATTGGATAGCTGTTGCTCTGGCAATCAGTGCATTGGAAAAATATATGGTAAATGCCTGTGGGTGAGTAATCACCAATTTAATGCTAAATACAAAAACCAGAGTTCTTCTTTGGCAGCATGTAAAGAGACTCATCTTCTGCAGCTGGAGGACAGAAAAGCTGAAGATCAGGCTCAGTTACTTCACTGTTCTTTTTCTTATATGGTTCCCCAGGAAAAGAGACCAACCACAACCATAGAAGAGCTAATCCCAAATGGAACAAATTTATTACATGAAATGAATGACTGAAGTGATGCAAGGGGTGCAGTGAAAGCTGTGCTGCTACATGGCCTCTTTAGGGATTAAGACCTTCATTCTCAAGCAACTGGGAGTGTTTCTGCTGATGGTTCACAACTGAGGCCTTTCTCAAGCATTGCCCTAAATTAACAGGAACTGCTTCATGCAAATTTACCTCCTCCCAGGAGGCAGTTTAATTCAATAACCAATCCACGCAGGTGTAGAAAGACAAGTTATGTGGCTGCCATACAAGCCAACAAACAAGAAAATTAAAACAAAACAAAAAACTCACCTATGGGTTCAGTATTGAAGGGTATTAACTGTAAGGGCCACTATTCTTTTAATGGGTTACATCATACAATTCTGTTCTGTTTCAGATGCCAAAACTTAATAAAGGCATAAACAAATAATGCCTAATAAATAAACACACATAATCCAGACCACAGGTTTTCTTAAAACTATTTTAAAGTAATGGAACTCTTTTTTGTCCAGATTAAAAAAAAATTATTTCAGATTACCCACATATAACAAGTCTGAGAATGGAGTTGCTCTAGTTGAAGAACTTCCCTTTTTCCTTCTTTGTAGTAGTTCATAATTTGTGTAGCAGGAGCCCTCCTTCTCCTTTTCTTCCTTTTTCTTCTTCTCCTTTTCCTCCTCTTTTGCTTCCTTTAATGGACTTCTGGAGCATGTTGGAGGAGCCCCTACGTCTCCTCAGAACAATGTTTGCAAATCACTGCTCGAAATAACTGCATGATAAGGATGCTACAGTGGTGACTTAGACACTGAGTGGGGTGTGGAAGTTGATTTCTTAGTTTCTCTAGCCTTTAATTCTGTAATATTCATTATATCTTCTTGGTCTTTTATTCTCTATATACCAAATCCTTATTTAGCATCTCTTTGGAAATCACTTTCTTTTTCAGCATCTTGGAATAACTAAATTTTTGTTTTTGATTACATCTCCATTACAACTAATCGAATGGTCTACTAACCAAATTTGCAAACTGTTCCTCTGTTTACTCTGAAGCATAAACTGATATCATCCACATCTAGAGCAGCCACTGGCGAAAATGTGACACCAATTTCTGTTAGAGATCATTTCATTTTTTATAAATGACGAGTTTGGGCACAGAGAGGTTAAATGACTTGTCTGTCACATAATTAAACAACAGAGCTGGGCTGGAATATAGATTTTTATTCTGTCAGTCAAAAGTTTCCTATGTACCATTTTGAGCACACCAACAGATGAATTCAAATCTATTTCACCAAGCATTGCTTCTCAACGGCATTACACAAATTTTAAAAAATTTTAAAAAAGAAATTAAGAAAAACAAGATCTATCCCAAAGTTCTAACACATCTACCATCTTCCTTTTTCTATATTCTCTTTCATACCCATAGTAGTTTCACAGTTATTATCGTAATTTTTGCATCCAGGTCCTTTTTCTCCTCCTCATTCTTCCATCTTCTTCTTTTTCTCTTTATCCTCCTTTTCTTTCTCCCTTTTCTCCTTTTACTCCCCCTACTCCCTTTGCCATCTTTTCCCTTTCCTTCCTCCTCCTCTTTTCCATGTACTTTTCCTCCTCCTCCTCAGGGATATCTTGTAGCAAACCTTCCAGGTTCCTCTTTTCATTGAACAAAAGGAGTAAGAGGATCTTTTTGTTTAATCAAAACAAGCCCTTTCTCTTGGATGACGATTCTGGGGAATGGTTGGACAAACCTGCATGTGATATTCAGAGATTTGAGGAGACAGGAGAAACAGATAAACTAACTCCTTTTTTCTGAGATTTGAATGGAGGTTGTGGGTTAGGTTAGCTACAACCAAGGCCTAATGAGTGTAAATGCCTACAATCTTATTTCTACATGGGTAAGGACAGAAAGAAGTATAACAGAGTAGAAACCAAATGACTATGCCTGGCCTGAGTAAAGGTGAGGAGAAAAGGGGGAACGGTGGTTATATATCAGGAAAGAACTAGTCCTGATCTTGTCTTGTGGCCTACAATGGGATTGTGAATATGGTTAAACAAAGAGTTAGATGTACAAGGAACTAGTATATTTGGGGTCTCAGGCTACTAATGAATGGGTTCTCTGAAGTGAGCATGACATCAGGGAATAGTCTTCGAGTGAAGAACTTGCTACTACAAAAAGGGCTCCAATCTGGCCTTCATGGTAAAGACCAGAACAGGGGGAGTATAGCTATATTCTGAGAACAATATTTACCTTCCTGCCACCAAGATATCCCATCAGAGTCCCTTCGGTGTTTGGCAATTTCCAATCAGCTCTGCTCCAGAAGCAGCACTAGTTCCCACAGCCTCCTTTTTCTCCTGGAGAAAATTTGGCTACATGATTTCCAATGAGCTTTCCCCCAAGAGAGCCACAATTCCACTTTGGCCCCTTTCTCCACCAATGTTGACTCATAAAGCAACCAAAACTGGAAATGTTCACTGTTCCACTACTCTGGAGCATCTTCATATGCTGTGGGATAGCTGGTAAGGTAATGAAAAGAATTTGGAAACCAAGGGCTCTCTCTGTTTTGCTAGACAGTTCCCATTGCCAGGTGTCACTGGTGAGCAAACATCACTTTGGTCCCTTTACAAGTTACTGGAGCTGACTTTCCCTCAGCCACTTTTCTTTGGGCATAGCCGGAAAAGACCATATTATATTCTGCAGCTAGCAACTTCCAGCAACAGGCAGCACATGGAGAAATGACTCAAGTAGACTAGATTCCTCCCATCTCTTAGCCCCCAGAGAGCATATTGCCAAATCTCTGGCAATATTTGGGAGGCAGTTGAGGACTTGGTGGATTAGCCTAAACTTTATGACATACCTGGCTACAGGGACCTGACAAGGGTACGTAAGTTGCATCCTAAACCATAAAATGGCGAACCTTAGCTAGGCTTGCCTTCTACTTCTTCACTTCCTCATGCATTATGGACATTTCCCATATTGCTACTTGGTTTTCTGTATTTGTTTATTGAATGATCTTTATAATTATAATTTGATTGCAGCATAATGATTCCCTTAAGAGGGTGTGCAATAATTTGTTAGGCATTCATTGATTGCTGGATATTTTGGTTTTTTCCAATGTTTCATGATTATAAATAATGTTGCAAAGATATGCCCATCGCTTCTTTTCTTATTTTAAATCATTTCCCTAGTGTGCATTCCCAAGAGTGGGATTACTGAGTCAAGTGTAAACATTTCAGTTAAAGAAATCCAAGGGGAAGAACACATTCTATACACTTGAAAAGTAAACTATGAATCTGGAAAATACCAGTTGACTGGGGCTGAATCTGCACCATTTGCATTAATTTAAAATGAAGGTAAACCTTCCTCTTCTATAACTAAGTCCTGTGAAATAGCATCAACCACATAGGCTCTACCAACACGCTGACCAAACAGACTTAACTGCAGGCCTGTGATACAGCACAACAGAAATTATCTCACCCTTGGGTTCAGTACAACATCCAATTGCATTATCATTTTCCCAGTAAATAGCGCTTGCCATCTCTAACTACAGCTGTGTGAAACCAACAGCGTCCACTTGGCGGGGAATCACATTCCAAAGTGTTACTCAAGTATTGTCCAGAAATAAAACTTAAATCATCTCTCCTGGCTGGCTGAGTGTAAGGTACTTTCTATTTACCAAAGGCTAAAATCATGCCTTTTAAGCAAACTTTGGCTTTAAGTATCAGTTTTCTGACAGGGGAGGGTATTTTTATGGCCTCAGAATGTAAGGTGAACTCACAAAACTCTTCCTTCTTCCTCTTCCCATGGTTTTTGGCATTCAGAATGTATTCCTGGAGCTCTACCTAAAGGCAAATTCCACAGTTGTCTTACCATCTCCCAAGGGAAACATATTTCACAATAGTTACACTAAGGTAATATTTGTTTCACATCAACAAAAATTTATTGAGTGTGTATGCAGCAAGGCATATAGGAAGAATATGGGCTTGACTATCGTACATACTTGCTGTGTATCCAAAGACATTTATGAAATTTTCCTAAATTCCAATGGCCTCATCTATTAAATGAAATGAACAATGCCACCTTCACGAAGTAATTGTGAGTTACAAATAATATAAATGAGAAAAGTGCTCAGTATACAATAAGCAGTCAATACATGTGAATTCTTTTTCCTGGGTCCTAAATGGAATACTGAAATGAAAGACACAGTTTCTGTTCTCAAAGCCTACAGAATAGCAGATGAGCACAAACATAGCTATGATACCAAACAGCCTGTGACAAGTATCATAAAACAAAAACAAAGTTTGGAGAGAAAGAACAAGGGGAGAGAGAGATGTCTACAGAGTGGTCTAGAGTCAGTACTAGATATGTTTTAGATAGCAAACTGAAAATAAGCATGGATCTGGACTCAGCGGTCATGGGTTTCACCGAGTAACCTAACTTCTTTGAGACTAAGTTTCTTCATCTGGAAATGAAAGAACTTAGATTCCCACTTTACAGAGATTGAAAAGCATAATTCTCTTTTGTAACTATAACATTATTTGTATTTTGTTAGTTATTTTAATAATGAGAACTCCAAATTTAAGTATCTGGATGGCTAGGTGCGGTGGCTCACACCTGTAATCCCAGCACTTTGGGAAGCCAAGGTGGGCGGATCATCTGAGGTTAGGAGTTCAAAACCAGCCTGGCCAACATAGTGAAACCCAAACTCTATTAAAAATACAAAAATTAGCTTGGTAGTGGCCCATGCCTGTAATCCCAGCTACTCAGGAGGCTGAGGCACGAGAATCTCTTGAACCCGGGAGGCAGAGGTTTCAGTGAGCTGAGATCGTGCCTGGGCAACAGAGTGAGAATCTGTCTCAAAAAAAAAAAAAAAAAAAAAAAAAAGTATCTGGGAATGCTTTAAGAAGGTGGTGGAATATGAAATAAATAAATTTTATAAAATGGGTTGGGTGTTGACCACATATTAGAAGAATCAGCTGAAGGAGCAGTTTAAGTAAAAGATCTTGGGTAAGAAAATGTACCATCGGATGAGTGAATGATTTAAATGGAAAAATACTGTAAAGTTACTTGAATCCATATGGGATATACTTCGTATGGATAGTTACCTGAGCATGCATTTGTGTGTTATTTGACATCAGGGGAAGCTCTTGACATTTTTTAAACGAGAAGTAAAGCCACTCTCGTCTCAAATTTTAGAAAATAATTCTCACAGTGGTAAAGAGACGGCACAATCCCCATCCTTTGTTGAAAAACCATGTATATTACACATCAAGGAGTCAGCAATTCAATTAAAGAGGTTAGTTTTAAACATCCTGTGGCCTGAATTATGGTCTCCAAAGATGTTTATATTCTGAGGCCCAGAACATGTCAATATGTTATCTCACAAGAAAAAAATAAGTAAAAGGAGGAAGGGGAGATTTTGCTGGTGTGATTAAGGATCTTCTGATGGAAATATTATTTTTGGATTATCCAGGTAATCACAAGCGTACAGATAACAGGCAGGCAGGAATGTGAAAATCAGAGAGAAGAGAGATGTGCACCAGAAGCTGGAGTAATGTGCTTTGAAGATGGAGGAAGGGACCATAAATCAAGGAATGCAGACAGCCTGTAGAAGCTGGGAAAGGCAAGGATGTGGATTCACTCGAGTCTCTAGAAGAAACGCAACCCCGCCAACACCTTGATTTGAGGACGTCTGACCTTCAGAATGAGAAAATGATACATTTGTGTTGTAAGCCACCCAGTTTGTGAAATATGTATCAACAATTGAAAACTAGTACATAGTCAAATACTCAATCTCTGTTTTTTTTAGCTTATCATTTTCAATCTCTGTCTCCAACCCACAAACCACATGCATCATAAATAAATTAAAATACCAAAACTTTTCTTCTAGAATTTTTTTGGGAATACAAATTCATATCATTGAACTAAATATTTTAGAACCCATAAAAAAGGTCAGATTTAATCTTTAAAAAAATCCAAGATCTGTGTGTAAGTGGTGCTTTTGCCTACTTGGTTTTGTCTCATCAACTAGACACTATTTGGAGCCAGGGAGTCACTGAATTGCCCATTGCAATGTAGTCTCAGCATAGGACTGGAAGGGCTCCACAGAAACAAAGTTAAATTCCTGATGCTGCTTCTCCAAACAGCAGTACCCTTCAAGATGTATGCCCATTCGTAAGATTTTTTTTTTTTTTTTCCTATTCCACGTTCAATTTGGCCCTTGTACAGCCTGGAATTTAGAGGAAGAGAAACTCACTAACTTCTAAGCGCAGTTAAAGTTACAAGAACCTGGAAAGGGGGAAAATGTATCGCAAACTAAGATGCTTTAAGAACTTACCAGGATTCCTTCGTGGCCATTCTTTTGTTTTCTTATCCCCTATGACTTCAGCCAGAAAACATTAAAATGAGTTCCTTATACTGTGCATGGTTTGCAGGTGAAGGTTGTCTGAGCTTTAATTTGCTGTTTGATTCGCCCCAGGAATTTCAGGTGTTGCACGAGGGACTAAAGTACAGAGCGTACCTAAGTTCTTGGTTGTTAGCCATTGGACCATGGCCACAGTATTATTAAACCATCCAAGCACGCTGGGTCTCAACCACAAAATTTAATTTTCTCTACTGCAGGGACTAATCAACTACCATAGACTTAAAGAGACTGTTTTTATCTACAAAAAATTTCCCCCTTCAGACTGATGTGGAGCTAATTTTAGTTTTGTCTATCCTCAGGGTTACAAACATTGATATAAATTCAGCTTGATGACAAACAGATAAGAGGTAGAATTTATATGAATACAATCTGTAATATAAATTAAAGAAAGATGAAAGCTCCAAGGTTTTTGGAGATTGGTGACACCTTAGTAAATAATGCTTAAGAATTCCATTATAAGGAAACTTTACCACACTTGTTAACAATGTATTTTTACATACTCCAACTACCACGGAATGCCTGTTTCTTCCTGCTGTCCTCATACAGATTTCCCTCGTCTTTGACTCCTTTCCTTTTTGTTAGCACATCCTCAGCCTCCACTCTTGTCACATCCCACCTCTAACCATGTGTCAGGGTTCAGAATTGGTGTTATTGAAGCAGAAGCAGGGAAAAGAAAACTATTACATGCATTGAATGCCTGTGATACTAATCCTGGGCTATCTTCAGGCCTGTTTTATGATAGAGAAAAATAACCCCCTAATATGTCGGGACCACTGGTTTTCAGGTGCGTATTACTGGTAACCAAATGCTTCCAAATGATTCTCATATCATCACATTAAACAATCAAGATTTTAAAATGATCCCCTTTTTTAAAAAAAAGAAACTTGTAAATATCCTTCAACCTTCCAGTTGTTATTTTTGAAACAATTTAAATAAGACAGACCCAAAAGAATTAAATACAATTCATATTTTTGATCACCTAATGGCTGCTATGGAAGCAAGGGATGCCACATGGCATCGATTGTTCCTCAACTGATGCAATCAACATGGAATATTAAAATGGAATGGGCTGCCTCTCGAGGTGGAAAAACTTTTGATTATGTGGATTACACGATCAGAAACAGCAAATCCACATGGCTCTGTGCCAAGTGACAATTGAGGAAGGGCACTGCCTCGCTTTCAAATATTTAAGGATGAGCTCATTGAGACATCAAAGAAACAAGTTTCTATTATAGCAGAGGATTGATTTGATTGCTTTAGGACACAAATTGTTTGGCATAACACCAGAGATTGGGGGTAAATTCCAAGTACTTATACAGGTGACCCAAGACTTACAGCTGCTTAACTTGTGACTATTGTTCAGGAAGCAATTAAGAAGTAAGTACAGAGGTGCAGTCAGCAGTACACTCCAGGGTCCTCCTGGGAGTTACAGACTTTGGGGGGCTGGCTAGAAAACCAACTATAATTTTTGATAATTTCTATTGAAACCTATAAAGTTCTGTACAACCAACATAAAAACTCGCTTTCCAAAGCAATTTGTATTTTATAATGCCAGGCTTGTCCAGAGAAAACAAACTAGTGCCTTCCTCATTGCAAAAATTATATATATATATATATACTTTTTCCAGTGGAGCACAAAGTTGATTCTCACTGCGGATTGATATACCTGATAGCTAGACTACTTTCTGTGGTGTTTTCAATCTGATTAAAATTCTACATATTTACCTGGAAGGGCAATAAGCTTCCTGGTAAGAATCAAAATGGCTAACTGGAAGGAGACAAAAGGACTAATAAGGAAGCACTTTATTTCTTTTTTACCTTAGTAGGAAAAACACTAGTGTGTGTCTGTTTGTCATTATTACACCTTTCTTCTTTATTTGAGGAAACTCCAGTTTCGTTACGTGGTAACTTCCTCAGTCCCAGGAGGTGATTCCTGATTGTCATAAGTAAATCACAGGTCACCTTTTTCCTCCACTAGTTATTGGTATGGGCGTGGATAGAAGAGCCAGTTCTGGTCAGTGGGGTATGAGCAGAAGTAGGAAGAAAGCCTTTTTTTCTGCCATTACTTCCCACCCCCACTCCAATTGGGAACGTGGTTTCAGGAAGCTTTGATGATTAGTACTTTGGCAGTGATTTTGAGACCATCAGGGGAGACCTCAACACCCCACTGGAGACATGCAGAGGAGAAGCTTGGGAAGAGATGGGCCCTTATTGATATCGAGTCCCAAGAGCAACCCAGCAATCACCTCCTCTGGCCTTCTTGTTCTGAAAATAATAAATGTTTTAGATTTTACGCAACTTGGTTGAATATTTTGATGCACGTAGCAAAAAGCAATCCTAAAGATAAGCTGAATAAATGCATCCTTCCAGGGAATGACATAGTGCTTTATCATGGAACTCAGAGACTTAAAGAATATTATTAGGAAGATTTGAGGTCCTTTGGACCAAAGAACCACAATGATTACCCAAAGGTTTTTGTTTTGTTTTGTTTTGTTTTGTTTTGTTTTGTTTTCTTGCAGGAAATTGTAGGAAGAATTTTAAACAGAGCACTCTTCCTCTTGTAAAAATTAACCCAACTCAGAAATAAAGGAACAAGTGAGTTGAAGAACTTCATGTCAGTCTGATATTTTGAGGATCAAAATTCCGGCAAAAGTGTAGGATGTGCTGAATAACATTTGATTTAGTTATCTAAAATGTTTTCGTTTGCTATGTTTAAAACCTCTTTGGAAAGTTTCATGCCTGTGTTCCAGGAAGTTGGGACATCTTAATTTTGCTTATTAAAAGAGGCGTGGTCTCAATTACCTTCCAAAGGGAGAAAAATCTTAAGAAGATCACTATGCAACTCCCAGCTATAAAATATATTATCATTACCTTTAACCATAAGAAGTATTTTTTAGACAATTCCTGAGAAAAAGAGAGGATAAGAGGTAGAAATAAAGGGCAGAGAAGTGGAGTGTCAGAAGTGGAATTGAATGAAATAATGAGCCCTTTAAATTCACTAGTCTGGCAATAAAGGTTGTACTATACACATGTTAAATGTATCAAGAGGAGGCAAGACAGCCCACACAACTATGAGAGAAAGTGATTTTGAAGAGTTCTTTCAAAATGATTGCTTTACAGGAAACATTAGCTTTAAACAAAATTGGGAATAGAAGAAAGTTCTTACTAAAGAAAACAATTGTAAGTATTCTTAATTGCCTGGAAATAATTTGTCATGCAAAATTGGACCATGCATGATACATTTATAAAAATGGTTTAGAGGTACTGATGTTGTAATGCTGCATGTTTTCTTTGCACATAGTGTTCTGATAATACATTCAAGACAAGGGATCTGATTTTCACTTTTATCTCTCTTCCTCTCCCTTCTCTACAACCGCTACTTGCTTTTTGGGGCTAAGGAGGGACAGAAGGGAGGAAGAGCAGGCATAAAATAACTTCAAGAGCCAATGCTGCTACTCAATGTATTTTATTATTTCAGGAATTCCTTCAAAGCTGGGCTGCAATTACATTTAAAACAGGAGAATAATGGGCTATTGACATGTATATGGTTTTAGAAATATAAGGCCTCATTTTCTCAGCTGGAATTTCCCCTACAATGTGCATTTGCATTACATTAGAGATGCTCTTTTGGAAAAAGAGGATCACGTGCATTCAGACATTTTGACATTATCTGGGTCAGAAGGAACATTTAAAAGCAATAGCCCTACAAGTACCAAAGCTCTCTTACAGGCAAGCATCACAATGCATTAGGGAAGAACGAGGCCATCCCTGAGCATCTCCCTGCATTGGCCATGTTTTATGACATACCTGCCTAACCCAGACATTAATCTACTGAAGATGGATTGGCCTGGTCATGGTCCTCTGCTAACCTTCAACGGCGTGTACATTACCTAAATTGAAATCTGCACTTTTTCATGCCACGTGTGGTTTGATGTGACGGTCCAAGGAATGTAGGGTGCATTAGAATTGGTTTTTATGTGAAGAGAATCTCCCTTCCTATTTACCTTTCAGCAGGGCAGCTGTAGGCTTTCCTTCTCGCTTGACAATGAAGGCATTCTTTTTCACTGCTTAACCCAAGAGTAGCTACGCTGGCTGGCTCAGAATTGCATGACACTGGTCAGGTATGTAAGCAACTCAGTGCCTTTCCTATTCCCAGAAGTGCCAAAGACATAATGAAAAAGGAATGCAGAAGTTTTCACCTGTGATAATTATCTAAAAAACCCTGTAAAATGAAATCTTTGTCATCTTCCAAGAAGAGGTCACTTGTACGTGTCAGTGATTACATGAGCTCTTTATGTGAACTGAAGGACCTGTATAATTGGTGTGATACAGCAAGAAAATCTCATCGACGTTGCATAAGGTGTCTATAATTTTCTAATCTCCCACATCCTAGTTCCCCAGACATGACACTCTTTATTTACCCTGCACTTACGTTTCTTTCCTGAATAGGCAGGAGAACTAGACTTGTACTGGCCCCTCTGTAATTAGTGGAATGAGGGGCAGTGTTGTGGGGAGCTAGGATACAGTGAGTCTTTGTGAAACTTGCCATCTCTGAATTTTCCTGTTATTCCACAGGTTAAAAATGAAAGAGTAAATGAACACCATAGGGGTCAAGGGCACAGGCTTTATGAATGGACAATCTGAGTTCAAATCCTACTTCACCATCTACTAGAAATGTGTGACTTTTGAACTTAGTTTCCTCATCAGCCCATCAGTGACACTATGAGAATTAAATGAAATGCTGTAATCATTCATTCATTTGTTCATTCAACAAGTACTTAGAAAACACTTCCAAATATGAAGCACTGTATGTGCCTCCAGCATTGGGGATACTACGTTATGTTGTGCTTTCATGAAGCCTACAGTTGTTAATCCAGGAAAGCATTTAGGATACAGTGTTTGGCACATACTAAACACACCGTAAATTTGCTATTATCATAATTACCGTAATAAAAGTATGCAGAGTCACATTTCTACACTTCCTTGCTGTTATCTGGAAGAGCAACAGAAGGGTTATTTTAAACAATGGTATTGACACCCTCCAGAAAAGCATATGTTAGTAGAACTTTGACTGGTCATGTACTCAGTGCAGATACTTTTGTAAAACCATTAGGTCTCTGTTTTGGCAACTAAAGATGATGGTGCACTGGTGTGCTCTGAGCATTTTCACTTCAAGCTTATTGAGAACCAACTAATGTGCCAGACACTCTTATGTGGGGTGAGTCTGGAGAGACTTTTTCCAATTATTAAAATCATTTTTGCTGCCCATGTTCATGGAACAAATTCGAAGACATTGTCTTGCTCCTGGGTATAAACACTGTCAATGTTTTGATACATGAAGGACCTATTCGACATCGGTGATAAGAAGTGCCAATGCTGACACTCAAGCAGCTGGACTTTTCTTTGACCCATTAACCCTCCTGCTGGAGAACTGAGTTCACCTATTTACTGAAAGCACTTAAAGTAAGAATGACATTGCCTAGTAGGGCTCCCTGGAGCTGTGTTGCTAATGGTTGTGGCATAAATAAGGAATCTCTGGGAAATGGGTGGCAAAGAACTAAAGGGAAATAGGTTGATGTAGCCAGGCAGGAAAGCTGTACACCTGCTGGAGTTACACCTGGCATGGGCCAATTCCATTTGTTCTCTCTTTCTTAGGCAATAAATTTCCTTGGTGAGTAATGGTGCACACCTACCAATTTAGAAAATTAGGGAGATAGTTTCCGTTCCAGGGAATTGGCTCCAAAGGGTGTGTGGAGAGCTGGAGACTCTTTGAATAATCCAAACTCTCCACAGAGTGTTCCTTAGAATTTGTCTCACTGGCATTGGGAACAATTTGCAGAAAGTACAGAACATTACACATGCCTTTGATGACTAGAGGAGGAAGGGCTGTGCCAAGAACATGGTGAAATACTGTACACCTCTACCGAAAAATGTCCCGAAAAGGTCATTGGACAGTTTTGTTGAAAATTATTTATTTCCTAGACTTTGAGAATAATGGCAATTAAGCAAGACCTCAGATTTGATCAATCTTATGACTAAAACACAGAATGATTTTAGAAGTACTAATTAAAACAAATACTGGTAAAAGCAAGCCCAATTTACACTGAATTTTGTTGAAATGCAGCTCTCTGGGGTTTTTTTCCTTTAAAATTGTGAAGGCCTTAGTCTGTTTTCCTTTTCCACTGCTTTGTTATTTTCAGGAATTTTGTGGGTATAAAGTACCTCTATAAGGATATTCTGTTATAGAGAGCATCTTTACAGAAGTGAAACCAGCAACTGTGTGTTTTTTGCCTCTAATGGAGATCCAAATGGAACCTTGTCTCAACATCACCAGAGCTTCTGGTTCCCAATTCCTTAATTGGCACCTGGAAGCACTAACAAAAAAACAAAAGTTTCTGCCAACCTCATTTGCTTAGATAGCTTTTGTGCTCACATTTTCTCCTAGCACCAAGGCATCAGGGAACAGAAGACACAGAGGAAATAAATAATTTTCTAATTAAGCTAGTGTGCAGAGGCAGCACTATATTTCTCTGATTGTGTAAACTTAAATATATGAGTCAAGATAGACCAAAAGATGCATGATAACAAAAATTCAAAAATTCCATTGGCTTAAAATATTAAGTTTATTTTGTAGTTTCTACTACACTGTCAACTTGGCTTGGTAGGGGCTCTGCTCAACTAGATCACTGGAGGATACTTGGGCATTTTCACACATGCTTCCAACGTTTCCACAGCAGGGGAGGAAGAAGAACAAGGATATGTGAAAACTGGCTTTTAATGCTAAATGCAAACACATATCATGTTTGTTCCCATTTCTTTGGCCAAATAGGACATATATCTAAGCCTAAGTCAGAGGGGCAGAGAGGTCAATTCTTTCAGGTACCAGAATGTCTACACCCATCATAAGCTACAGTAGGATTTTTTTGGTAATTTTATCTTTTTGTGTATGGCGTGATAGCCCAGGCGAATATAGAAAAGCTATGAAAGCACAAAAGTCAGGTTCAAACTAAAATACAAATTAAATTCTCCCTTCCTTCACCTAGATTTTTTTTAAGTAATTTCAACTTTTATTTTAGATTTAGGGGTTATACATGCAGGTTTGTTACATGGGTATATTGCTTGATGCTGAGGTTCAGGGTATGATTGCTCCTGTCACCCAGGTAGTGAGCATAGTACCCAACAGTTAGTTTTTCAACCCTTGCTCCTCTCTCTCCCTACCCCCCTTTAGGAGTGTCCAGTATCTATTGTTGCCATCTTTATGTCCATGAGTATCCAATATCTAGCTCACACTTATGAGTGACTACCATTTTACCTAGCAATTCAGTTAATGGGTATATATCCAAAAGAAGATAAATCATTCTGCCAAAAGGACACATGCATTCGTATATTCATTGCAGCACTATTCAGAAGAGCAGAGACATGAAATCAACCCAGATGCCCAACAATGGTGGATTGGATAAAGAAAATGTTGTACATACACACTGTGGAATACTATGCAGTCATAAAAAAGAACAAAATCATGTCCTTCAGCACAATATAGATGCAGCTGGAGGCCATTATCCTAAGCAAATTAATGCTGGAACAGAAAATCAAACACAGTAGGATTTGTAGGAGTCTATCATTCCACTTACACTGTAATTTGTTCATTATATTGAGCCAGTGGTTCTCAACCAGCAGCAACTTTGCCCCCTAGAAAACATTTGGCAATGACCGGAGATATTTTTGGTGGTCAGGAGGCGGGGAGATCCTGGCCTCTAGTGATTAGGGGACAGGGGTGCCGCTAAACATCCTAGAATGCACAGGACAGCCCCCACTATAAATTATCTGGTTCAAAATGTCAACAATAATTAGACTACTGGGTTTCTTAGAAGCTAGTGTAAATAAGAAAACGCATGCTCACACAGAAACAAAGACATCTTTTAAAGCTCTAGTAACTGAAACTGTGTGGTATTGGTAAGGGAATAGACAAGACAAATAGATTAATGGAGCAGAAAAGAAAGTCTTACCACTGACGTTTTCAAACAACGGGGAATGATGTAAGGGTAATTGTCTATCCATGTGGGAAAAAGATAAAGCTGTACCTTTACATCATGGCGTTTGCAAAAATAAATTCTAGATAGATTAGAAAATGTAAAAGTAAAAGCAAGATTATGTTTATTAGGAGAAAACATAAACATGTTTCTATGATCAAAAGTAAAAAAAGAAAAAAAAATTTAAGAAAAATATGCATAATTTTGATAATATCAAAACTACATGACAAGCCAAGAAACTGAGAGAACACTTGCAAATATCTATACAATACTCAAAAATTAGCTAAAATATATAAAATTTCATCAAACATAAAAGAAAAAAAGGAAAATACAAATTGAGCCCAGGGCATCTGGTAGTATCTCAAAGTAAGGAAATGCTCAAAAAACAAACAAACAAACAAACAAAAACAATGATGGCATGTCTAAGGGACAGAGAAACCCACCCGAAAGAACTTACAATAGCCAAAGCTAGAATAATTTGAGCAATCAAATAAATAACATAGTACAGGATTATAGCTTAAAGTATAAAATAAATATACACAAGCCCATACTGATATAGAGAAATGATTTGACAAATAAATAGGAGAGAAGAAACAAGTCTTTTTGCAGAAGAATTTCAAATACTTTAGTAGACAGTATCCACCTAGAAAGTGGAGCTTGGCCACTGCCAGTCCCACTCCCACCTTCCTCCCCTCACCTTGAGTGACTTGCTTCAAAAGAAAATAATATGGAAAAAGGAGAAAGTAACTTTACGGTGGAAAAACCTGGCAAATACTACCTTGGTAGGTGACCAAGTTTAACATGAAAAGTCAGAAGTCGTGTTGATATCATGACCCCTCCGATATGATGTGAAAAGGGGGGCATGTTACCTCTGTGAAACACATAACACCAATCCAATCATGAGAAAAAATAGGGACATTCACAAAATTCCTAACCAATACTTCTCAAACTGCCAAGGGCATAAAAAGTGGGAAAAGACTGAGAAACTGTCATGGACCAGAGAAGACTAAGGAGACATGGTGACCAAATCCAATGTGGCATTCTGATGGGGTCCTGGAATAAATAAACTATGCTAGTGAAAAACTGGTGAATTCCGCCTAACACCTGGAGCTTAAAGTAATGTGCCAGTGTTGATTCCTTAGTTTTGACACATGTACCATGGTGATGTAAGATGTTAACAGTGGGGGAAACTGACTAAGGGGGACACAGAAATTGTCTGCACTAACACTGCAACTTTTTTGTAAATGTAAAATTATTCCATAAAAAAATGTGTATTTAAAAGGTGGAAAGAGGTAGAAACAGAAGACAAATAGCCCAAAATAAAAATGGGTAAAGATAATAAATGGAAAATTCACAAAGGAGGAAACATAAATTGCAATGAATTTATAAAAAGATACTCAACTTTATAATAAATAAGGGAAATGCAAACTAAAATGAAAATGAAACATTTTTCAAGTTTGATAATGTAAACTGGGGAAAGTGAGTATTTTTTTTTTTTTTTTGTATTTTTAGTTGAGACAGGGTTTAACCCTGTTAGCCAGGATGGTCTCGGTCTCCTGACCTCATGATCTGCCTGCCTCGGCCTCCTAAAGTGCTGGGATTACAGGCATGATCCACTGTGCCCGGTCCTGAAAGTGAGTATTTCAGTAAATTACTGGGAAGTATAAATTAGTACGCTTACTTCACAAAGCAGTTTGGCAGTATGCATTAATATTTAAGGCAATGGCTCACACCTATAGTCTCAGTACTTTGGGAGGCCAAGGTGGATGGATCACTTGAGCCCAGGAGTTCTAGACCAGCCTGGGCAACATAGTGAAACCCCATCTCTACAGAAAATACAAAAATTAGCCAGGTGTGGTAGCAAGTGCCTGTAGTCCCAGCTACTTGGGAGGCTGAAGTGGGAGGATCCCTTAAGCCTGGGAGGTGGAGGCTGCAGTGAGCCAAGATGGTGCCACTGCACTCAAGCCTGGGTGACAGAGTGAGACCCTATCTCAAAAAAACAAACCAAATCAAACAAAAACAAAACAAAACCAAAAAAACCCACCACCACAACAATCAACAGCAAAGATTTAAAACATGCAACAGCCCAGCAGCCCAGCAATTCCACTGCTTATTAACTACCTAGAGAAATGCTTTATATGGTAATATGGTTTGGCTCTGTGGCCCCACCGAAATCTCACCTTGAATTGAAATCCTCATTTCCCCATGTGTCAGGGGTGGGACCAGGTGGAGGTAATTGGATCATGGGGGTGGTTTCCCCCATGTTGTTCTTGTGATAGTGAGTGAGTTCTCATGACATCTGATGGTTTTATAAGCATCTGGCATTTCCCCTGCTTGTACTCACTTCATCCTGCTGCCTGGTGAAGAAGGTACCTGCTTCTCCTTTGCCTTCCGCCATGATTGTAAGTTTCCTGAGGCCCCCCACAGCAATGCAGAATTGTGAGCCAATTAAACCTCTTTCTTTTATAAATTACCTAGTCTCAGGGATTGCTTCATAGCAGCTTGAGAACAGGGTAATACATATGCGCATAATGAGTCCTACGTGTAAGTATTCATTGCAACATTGTTTAAAATAGCAAACAATTGAAAATAATGTGTCAATCAGTAGGGGATTATTAAAAATGTTCATTCATAATCTGGAATACTATGTTTCATTAAGAAGCTCGACTTATGCATAATGTATAGTATGTATGTTGTATAATGTATATATACGTATAATGTTTATGTAATGTATAATATATAATGATAGATATAATGTGCTGTGTAATGGAAAGATCCATGAAATATGTTGTTGATTGATAATAATTCATTTACAGAAAGCCACATTCTCATTGAGGTAACACATAGAAACACATGTAAAATAATAATCTCTGAAGTACACACACTGTATGCAAATCTAAGAAAAAGATCTGCAAGGATCCATGTTGAAGTAAAAATAGTGTTTACCTTGGATAGCAGACTAGGTAGAAAATGCAATATATGGGTATCTGAAGAAGAGGGCAGTGATACTTTGAAAATAATGTATTTTTATTTGTTATATAATTAAGAAGCAAGTTAAAATAAATAACCTCCTTGGGACTTGTTAAAGATGTTCAGTTTTCTAGAAATTAGAAATTCAGTAGGTCATTGGTGGGGCCCAGAAATCTGAATTGTTAACAAATGCTTTGGATGATTCTAAGGCAGTGGACATATGAGACACTGCATTCAAGAATCTGGAAGGTAGCAAGTATGTTTTTAAGTTGCGTTCCATATATTACTGACTTTACTGAGCCAGGCAGGATTAATTTTATATGTCCCACAACCAGTCTTAAAATTTGAAAGGGCCCAAGCTGTGACCCAAATGAGAAACAAGACAAAAGATTAAGGCAGATGGAAGATAAAAATGTCATCTTCATTATCTATAAAGCTGATATTGGAGGATGCTTCTGTCTATGGACAGATCTTCATAATATTAAATTGCATAATTAAACAAACTTACCTACTCAGTCATGCAGGCTGGTCTCCACTTTTATTTATGACCAAGAACATGTGTTGTCTTCAGTCAGATTCACCTCCATGAGTAAGAGAAGTACTACCCAATATATTCTTTCTTGAACTTTTCATTCCTTTTCTCCTGAGGAGCAGTGAGTAAGGGACTGCTCACTGGATCATCCTAGTCAAGGTCTTCCCACATGGAAAGAAACAGCTTAGAATAGGGAAGGACGGAACCCCTAACAAAGCAGGACTATACGAGAAAAAACCATGGCATTGTTCAAAGAAGCCGCACTCTTAGGAGACAAGTCTATCATTAGTATCTTCGAACTAATGGTTCAATCTTTCAATTCCATGTGTCTCCATATTTTATTAAAATTGAATTCACCTTTTTTATATGTGATAGATTAGTAAAATAATAGTTGTCAATTTTTTACTTCTTTCTGTATCCATGACCTTTTGGGGTCCCCACTTAACACTCACTCTGGGCTTCACCATAATTTTTTTGGCCAGTGGAACTTGAAAATGAGACTTAAAGTCTGTTTGCATACTGGGTCTTGGAACATTTGCCAGTGCCACCATATGAATAGGCCTGGGCTAATTATTGGAAGATCAGAATCAGATAGCCAAGATACTCCCATTGCCCCAGCTGAATATTGCACACAGCCTCCAGACCTGTGAATGAGGTCATCTGACACCAGCCAGCACCAGATGACCCGCCAAATGACTGCAGACATGTGAGTGAACCCAGATGAGATCAGAAGCCTGGCCTGAACCAGAGAAAGACCCACCCAGCAGTATTGTCAACTAACAAAGTGGCTAAGTGGCTAAGTTTTGGGCTGGCTCTGCAGCAAAAGCTAAATGATTCTCTATATTGCAGGAACTATATAGCTACATAATATCCTATATTTTCCTTCTGTACTTTATAATGTGGAAATTGTGAAACTTCCTAATGCTAAAAATGTAAGTACTATTTTATGATCTGATCTTTACGAAATAAAACTAGACAAAATTTAACACAACCATTTTAAATCTGTAGGGTTTGTTTTTTAGTTTGCTCTCCTGACACTCATACCCAAACTCTAAGTGAACATTCTATAGTTAAATATAAATTTGACAGTCTCACTTCTAAGGAACTACAGTAATGGTTGTGGAGTCAACTTGCATAATAACTATATTTAAATATAAGCATCTTGATTAGTTTAGGGCGTTGTTCTCAGGACCATGCCCTTGGACAATACTGAGAAATACTCTGAGTCTTAGTACGTTCCTAGGAAGAAATTGAGTATATACTTCTTTCCCGTGTGATGGTTTAAGGAGGGCATTAGTAAGCTTGAGTGTTGCAAACATGCCACCCTTCCCAATCGTGTTTTTACCAGGGGCTAGTTTGAACTGTGTATTGGTGGGGAACTGTTTGAATATTCAAACATAATGAGTTTCATCGTTTATGTAACTTTGCCTTTACATGGTTATACATGGTTTATTTACTCTGAGGAATTGGTACAACTTTGCCTATAAATAATAGGATGTTACTTAACTTTCCAGAATTCTCCATGAAAGGGGCCATCAAAATGGAACAGTCATCTCAGCAGATCTGAAAGGAGTGACTTCAGATGCTGCCTGCCAGGAATAATCAACTACTGCTTTCCAATTCATAAACAGTCCAGGACTCAAACCTCTCCCCTATTCTATCTCAGTCCAACCTCAGTGACTCATCTAACATGGTGCTCCAGCACCCAGAACCACCACCAACAGTTCTATCATCCTCCGCTTTGTTGTTCTACTCCCCAGATTATCCCAGCTACTTTGGAGATCTTTGGTGAATGCCATCAAGGTTGACAAATGCATACTGTTTGTTGCAATCAAAGCTATTTTAACACAATTGGCTATAGTGGAGAAACGTCCAGAGGAATAAGGTTGAAGTATTTAAAATTTCTCACTTAGTTTTAAGTTGTAACTCACCTCACGGAAACACCAAAAGCTAAAGAGAAATTTCTTTGCCAAAATCAATCTTATGAAATAATGTATTTTGGTACATGCTGAGAGATTACCAGTAAGAACGACAGCAAACCCCATTAAACATCTGCACCTACTTAAAGCCACAAGTTTTTGCGCTGGCATGAATGTCATGCATTCTAAAGTGATTCTTATTGTTTAAATTAAGGGCGGTGGCATCCATTTTGTTTACTTGTAGCAGTGTGATTGCCATTAAAAGAATACATTTGATTGTTTTACATTTTCATTCCTAAGAGCAAAGCAAACTCAAAGCAGGAGCTGCTTATCGTGCACAAGTGTAAGCATATATGCTCACCACAGGAAAAGAGAGCGGAGATTTTGGTAACCACTGCAAAATGCTAAGTATGACTGTAACACCACCTTAGGTAAAATACTGGCTTTAGGGGTGATAGAAGTTTACCATGCATTCTTTTTGGAAGGAAGTGGTTCTGAATATTAGTGCCTTGTCCTCTCTGCTTTATTCTAGCTGATTCAATGAGAGAGGTAAATCGTTTATTTTGTTCCTAGAAAAATGAGACATCCTTATCCAACTCTATTTATTGTTGTTTTAAGCCGAGGCAAGAACTTTAAAATAAGAATGCAGTGGTTACCTCTGTAAAATTGAGGGTGGATGGAAGGACAGGCAACTGCAAAAATATACAAGAGCGCTTTTTGTAGTGAAGGGAATTTTTTGATATCTTAATTGGGGTGGTTACATGGGTATGCGCATTTGTCAAAACCCATCAAACTGTACACTTAAAATATGTACCTTGTATTTTTAAATGAGAATAAAATAAGAATGAGGAGGCCAAGTCAAATAGGGTTTTATAGACTGTGGTAAAAGATTTGGGTTTTGCTGTGTGTGAGATGCAAATTCACTGGAGGTTTTTCAGTGAAGGAGTGATACGGTCTCATTTGTGTTTTGAGGCAAACTCTGTCCATGGCAAAGCCTGAAGGAAGGAGACTGTCCAGGGGGCTGCTATTGCAATCGTCCAGGAAAGACCGGATGTTGGCCAGGCAGAGGTGATTGTGGTGGAGGTGGTGAGAAGTGGTGGTACTTCTGCTGTGGACTTTGTGCTGTGCTGTGCTGTGCTGTCCAGATCCGCCTAGACATGTGTGAAAAATTTAAGCCCCAGCTGCTGGGAAGGTTTCGTTGCCAGCGCTCCGAACTGTCTCTTCTGAAGACAGCCACTTGCTGGTTTCCTGGAGCAGCCCAAACACAATGATAGGTTGATGCAGGGCTATAAAGGCCTGCTCTGTGGCCACTCCTGAAGGGCCATCCCAGCCTTCAAGTTCCCTGCAGGGTTGGTTGAGGCCTTGTGACTGCAGCTCAGCCCACTCCTCTCTGCCATCCTGCTTCTCTCCCTTTCCCCATGCAGGTGTCAATTCTACAAACACTCTCTGATAAATGCTCACCTCTGTCTCAGAAGCTGATTCCTGGGGAACCCAATCTGTGATGATTTCTAATAGAAGGAGATTCCATTTCTTATTGGTCTATAAATGAAAGATAGGAACCTCATCCCCTCATCTAGTCATGTATGATGGGTTGTGATTATCTAGATGTATTACTCAATGATGAGCCTCTCCCACCCTCTGCTCCTAACTGGCCATGGGGCACTGGCAGCCATTTAACTTCTTTGCTCCTCAGTTTCATCTTCTGTAAAGTAAGGAACAATTTAATCAAACGGGATATTCCAGATTTTTTTCAAATTTTGTGATGAAATTCATTAGAAATATTAAAAGTATCTAAAAACCAGCTTATTATTTTGTTGAAGGGACTCTTGATCTTGTCTTTTCTTGATTCATTCCCTGCTTATTTGCTGTTTTTCAATTGTCATGTGTATCTCTAAAAGGTACATAGGAGACATGAAAGATTAGACTAAGCCTACCACTCCTGTAAATTATTTGCAAAACTAAGACTGAGTTGGAGAAGATTGTTGTGAAGAACTCTAAGCTTGATTTCTTGTTTTTTTGTTTGTTTGTTTGTTTTCTTTTTTGCATATTTAGTCTCCGCCCTAATGATTCTAAGTGGCTCCAAGTCACTGCCTGACTTGATATAGCTCTCCTGGGTCTTGATCGTCTCTCATGCCATTTGATTAAGGCAAACTTGTTTCACTCTTTACACATGTTTCCACTGCCTGAAACATTCATAACTCTTAGCACAGTTAACTCCTACTCATCTTTTAGCTCTCAGCTGAAAAGTTACACCTTCAAGGAATTTTTTTCTTGACTATCATTCTTGCCTGGTGATTACAACCTGCTTGGAACATTCCCATAGGCTTACTCCATGCTGTGGGGAGATTTCTAGGAAACTACATGTAACTCAACATGTGAGTAACAGTGATGGTGAACCCAACTCCAATATAAAAAATAAGCGAATTGTTTAAAAAATCTTTTTTAGTTACTAATAGCAACACATTACTGGTAATACATTTCAAAACAAATTATCGGTAATTTGTTACACAGCACTGGTTGGTCACTATACCAAACAAAATTTGGAATCTTTGCTTTATTTTATACAATATAAGTAAGGAAAGAAAGTAAACAAATGCATCCTGATTTTGTAAATTTAACTTTTCTTTGAAGGTTTTTTCCTCTTTGTGGCATGGGCAATAAGGATGGGGAAGTAATGATTACACGTTCAACCACCTTTGATGTGTCGGCAAGGAAAGAAATATTTATATGCCTTTCTGCAACACTGTGTGATAGACTTAAGATCTCAGGGTGCAAATTCATTGACAGTCTTCTCCTGAAGAAGTGGGGTCTATGTCTCCACTTGATTCTGGGCAGGCATTATGACTGCTTTTACAAATAGAATAAGAAATGACATTGTACCAGGTTCTAGTCTCAGACCTTAAGAAACAAGCAGCTTTGATTTTCTGTTTCTGGGAGCCCCAAGGCTATGTTTAGATGCTCCAGATGACAGAACTAGCTAAATTCAGGCTCCTAGCCCCTTCTTCCAAGAAGCCAGATATGAGAATGAAGCCATTTTGGACTCACTAGACCAGCCCACCCACCAGCTGATACCTCCAGGTAACCTACATTTATACCATGTGGAGCAAAAGAATCATCTAGCTGAGCCCAAGCCACATTTTTGACACACACAAATGTGAGATGCAATCAGATGATTGTGCTTTTAAGTCACTAACTTGGGGGTAGTTTGTTACACAGTAATTGATAACCAGAGCACCCTAATTGACATACTTTTTCTTCTGTGGTTTTGTTTTTCATTACTTACATAGTCAATATATCTAGCTGCAGTGTGTCTACACCACTAAAGAAAACAAATTGTCTTTTCTTTGTTTCCAAAGTCCTTTTGTATTCAGAGTCGAAAGAGAAGTTTAATGAACAATGGAGCCATCCATTATTTGTTGGCGAATGAGTCTGTTTTCATGCTGCTTATAAAAACATACCTGAGACTGTGTAATTTATAAAGAAAAAGAGGTTTAATGGACTCACATTTTCTTGTGGCTGGGGAGGTCTCATGATCATGGCGGAAGGTAAAAGGCATGTCTTACGTGGTGGCAGGCAAAGAGAGAGAGTGAGAATCAAGTGAAAGGGGAAACCCCTTATCAAACCATTAGGTCTTGTGAGACTTATTCACTACCACAAGAATAGTATGGAGGAAAGTGCCCCCATGATTCAATTATCTCCCAGCGAGTCCCTCCCATGACACATGGGAATTATGGGAGCTGCAATTCAAGATGAGATTTGGGTGAGGACACAACCAAACCATATCAGTTGGTAAAGCATAAACTATTTAAAAAAACAAAGCCAAGGAGGAAGGAGGACTGCTTGAGGCCAGGAGTTTGAGACCAAACTGGGCAATGTAGCAAGATCCCATCTCTACAAAACTAAAAAAAATAATTAGCTGGGTGTAGTGGTCCATGTAGTCCTGCTACTTGGGAGGCTGAGGCAGGAGGATCACTTAAGCTCAGGAGTTCAAGGCTGCAGTGAGCTATGATTGTGCCACAGTACTCCAGCCTGGGCAATAAAGCGAGACTGTCTCTAAAAATAAAAAAATACAAAAATAAAAAAAAGGAGAAAAATCCAAACAACTTGTTTCTAAAGAAAGATGAGCCAGGCATGGTGGCTCACTTTGGGAGGTCAAGGTGAGCTGATTGCTTGCGCCCAGGAGTTCGAGACTAGCCTGGGCAACATGGCAAAATCCTGTCTCTACAAAAAAAAAGAGGGAAGAAAGATGAGCTTTATTGTACCCTGTACCCTGTCTCAGAGGAGTATCTATTTTGAATGTAACTCCTCCCACCTTGCCGTTTTTTGCTTGCTAATACTGAATTCAATGTAACCTTTTTAAAAAGAAGCATAATATTCATTGTATACAGTGTTGGTAGTTTTCAGTGCCATATATTTGCAATAGTTCACATTTGGCATGGGGTGTAATGCTTAGCCGGCCCCTTTCTATGCTCACAGAACTTCCTCCCTCTCCATCTATTCTTCTTTGCCCTCACATTTTGCTAGGATAATCAAAAGCTTCTCAAAGTCTGGCTCACATTCTATTTGCATAAAAATCAAACATTTCATGAATTAGAATCCCAGGAGTGCAGCACAGGAATTTACTTTTTTTTTTTTTTTTTTTTTTTTTTTTTGAGATGGAGTTTCGCTCTTGTTGCCCAGGCTGGAGTGCAACGGTGCAATCTTGGCTCACTGTAACCTCCGCCTCCCAGGTTCAAGCGATTCTCCTGTCTCTGCCTCCCGAGTAGCTGGGATTACAGGCATATGCCACCACGCCCGGCTAATTTTTGTATTTTTAGTAGAGATGGGGTTTCTCCTTGTTGGTCAGGCTGGTCTTGAACTCCCAACCTCAGGTCAGGCCTGCCTTGGCCTCCCAAAGTGCTGGGATTACAGGCATGAGCCACCCGCCCGGCAGAATTTACATTTTAAACAAGCTCCCAGGTGATCTTATGCTCAAATTACTGTCTTTAGGGACATTTAACTCTCCTTGCTTTTAGCCCCTCCCCATTATGGCATTTCAGTGTGAGTCTTTTAATACCATGTAACAGCTTTAATCTGCTATGGCTTCTAAGTTATCTGCTTTCCCTTCATCTCCCGGGTTATTTCTATGTTCTGTCATTTTAGGTCTCCTTTGTTTCTTAATTACTAAACTGACTAATAATCCAAGGGCTCTAAATATAATATTTAAATCTATTGGTCTCTTTTTTGCTGATCTATTTGTTTTTGTTTCTGTTAGAGGTTTAGAGTTTTTTTCTCTCAAAGACATTATAATGGCAGAAACATTTTCATTATACTTAGATTATCACATTTTTTTTCTGATTTTAATCGTTTCAATTAGCTGGAAAAAGAGCTGCTTGACACAGTTTTGACCTTCCTCTGAATATTTTGATATTTGTATTGTCTGCTTTTCATAACACACCCATGTGTTTTTCACATAATCAGGTGAATATTACAATATTTAAGCATTTCAGTGGCACCAATGCATATTTGAACCCTGAACTAGCCAATCAAGACTCACAAGGAGGCTGGGAGTACTGGCTCATGCCTGTGATCCTAGCACTTTGGGAGGCCAAGAGGTGGATGGATTGCCTGAGCTCAGGAGTTCAAGACCAGCCTGGGCAACACGGTGAAACCCCGTCTGTACTGAAATACAAAAAATTAGCCTGGTGTGTTGGCATGCACCTATAGTCCCAGCTACTCGGGAGGCTGAGGCAGGAGAATTGCTTGAACTGGGGAGGCGGAGGTTGCAGTGAGCCAAGATCGCGCCACTGCACTCCAGCCTAGGTGACAGAGTGAGACTCTGTCCCAAAAAAAAAAAAAAAAAAAGACTCACAAGGAGTGGATTTCAGGAAACCAAAATGATATGTCCTTAGCACCTGAAAAAATATGCAGAAACTCAGTTACATATGGAATTCATTAGGCGTTTTCTTTGTCCATTCCTGACCAGTTTTCTTACCACCCACCCCATGAAAAGTAGGTGATCTGGGTGAGTTCATTCACATGCCCTGGTTCAATTTCTCAAGAACATGTATTGATCACTGCCATAGTTCAAAGGAGGGCCTTGAGTAGGGAGGTGGGAGTGGGGGTCTTTGAAAGCAGTAGGGAATGAAGGGAGGAGCCCACTTGGAGCTGGGATTCTTGAACTCCCAGTCAATGCAGAGAATGCAGTGATTTATGAACTGTACTGTACTAAGCTACGGTAAAATTGTTTGGTACAATTTAGGGCATACTACATTTCTCCAGACA
The DNA here is from genome assembly GCF_000001405.40 of Homo sapiens. Taxonomy (NCBI): domain Eukaryota; kingdom Metazoa; phylum Chordata; class Mammalia; order Primates; family Hominidae; genus Homo; species Homo sapiens. The sequence continues at coordinate 13,507,769 of NC_000009.12, forward strand.
CAGTGATTTCATTTCAACCTGAACAGTTACTCTGCAGTCTATAAAATATTGACATTGCCTTTCTAAACATATACATTATTTACTGTACAGTGTATAAAATATTTATGTGATTTTCTCTAAAGATACTGTATGTAGTGCATTATTTTTATCCACTTTCTCCCCCTCCTAGAGGCAGGCATGCCATGAACTGGAAAATGTTTTTGAGATCAAGGAAAAGCAGCAAAAAGGAAGGCGTTACTACTTAACTGAGAGAGGAGATAAAAATCTTTGTTCTTGATGGTCTTGATCCCACCTGCCTGGGTGCTGCAGCTCAGTGCTGCCTGAGAAAGCAAGTGACCAAGAGGAGCAGAAGACTACCAGGTATCAGGTGCTTTGGGTTGACTATGAAGAGCTAGAAAAGAAACTCAATATTCACCCATCCAAATTTTCAAGGAAAAAAGGAAGAAAAACCTGCATATGCACAACGTCTAAGACATAACAAAACATGAATCACTCATCTGTCACGATTGCCTACAGTACAGTATAAACTTCATACTCACCATCTTGACCAAATAGTTGCTATCCTCTTACTTCACTTGGTTTAGCTTCAGAGACATTTTCTCTGAGGTGCAGCAGAAAATGTGAAAGGGAGAACTGAAGCATTCATTGAGAAACTTTGAGCTGGTAACATGCAATTGTGATTCCCTAAATCCTTAGTAAAATTTACACAGCACTCCAAGTAAATAAGATTTCTAATTTCTCCAATATCTCTTAAACTTTTCACATCATTTGGAATAAATACTTTGACATGAAGCCTCTCTATATCTGTGAGTTGCCAAATATCTGGCTAAGAAGTTAAAAAAAAAAACAAAAACCATGAGAATGTTTTGTTTTGTCTTCATGATAGTAATTTGGTTTGAAGTTATCCAGTTAGGGTCCAGACTTGGTTCACATTCATTGGAATGCAAAGTACCATTAGTTCTCCAGATTATTTTTTTAAAAATGGGCTTCATTTGCAGAAGCTCAGGATAGAGGGGGATGGTATAGAGTTCATTAAAAACCATTTAACACTAAGCTGAATGTCAGTATACTTTGAAAGAGGCCTATTAGTTAATGTACACAAGAAGCTATCAGCACTTGTGATAAGTCAAAGAAACCAAACAGTGAAACCCATTAGATGGTACTTGTAAGGCAGTTGGGTTTTATGAAATGTTTTAGATAAATTAGATTGGGATTGACAGAAAAAGTGGCATTAACAAGGAAGGATTTTTATTTAGAACCCTTACTTGGAGCCAAAAATCCTCAGTTTTGACTGACCTTAAATGATTAACTTGGCCACAATGAGTTGGTGACCTCATAGGAGATACAGAGGACATAATTACACCACAACTAGAAGTGTATTTGTTTGTCTTTTTGTGGCCTTTTCATGGATATAGTGGATATAATAGACAGGATTCTCACCAATACAAAAATAGTGTTACTGCTTCCAAAGACCATAATTAAAAACCTCCCTTTCTTAGTGTAGTCTGCTGGCATTAGAGTGAAAAAGCAATTCTGGAACATAATTCTGATAATCTGGCTAGACCTAAGAATAATATTTAGAACTTTTAGATGAATATTATTTCTTTCAAGTGTACTTGCACAAAATGCAAGGTTGTGATCTCTGACAAGAATATTCTATGGTGACAATTGGGAGGAGATGCTTATGATTTTACAGATAGCTGGGGAGGGGCGCAGAGGAGGTAAACTAATGAGCCTAATCTGAAAACAACCACAATGGATGGTCGCTCCACTTCAAAGGAAGATTTACAGGAAGACCCAACGTTTTCATGAAGGGGTAGAAACTGAAAGGATAGTGATGTGCCATACCAAGTTATTATAATACATTTTAGATATTAAAAACTCAAAATAAGCATTATTACCAGCTACTTCCAAAGAAAAATAAATTAATGATACATATGCCCATGTCAAATTTTAATCAGTGTAAGTATATGTGAGGCCTCTATGCTTAGCTGATTAAAAACCATGCTTTTGGGTAATTGAATGATTTGACTCCATATAAAATGTTTTGAATAAAAGCCAGTTACATGTCAAAGAATATCATTAAAGCTGATCATTTTGGTTTTAGTATAGTTGATCTTACGCTATTTTTTCTACTGATGAGTAGATAGCAGACCTAGTTGTGTCTAGTAAGGTTACTTCTACCGCATAGCAACAGAAACATGTCATTGACATAAGGAGGAAACTTAATCATTTTGCTTCTCAATAGTCAGGAGCTATTTGCTTAGCTCATCCGACAGTCAAATATTATTAGAATGAGAGTTAAGAGAAGGGAAACCAAATTAAAAGTGTTACATTTGTATCTTTTTCCTTGTTTCAATTTGTAGAGGACTTTCAACTAAGTTCTAGTAGCACAATAATAGCTGAACATTTCATGAATTACTACTATTTGCCAAACATTGTTCTACATTATCTACAGTATTATTTAATCTTCATAATAATCCCGTGAGGCAGGTATCATTATGATACCCATTTTATAGATAATGGAAACTGAGGCAGTGATGGTTTATAACTTGTCCAAGGTCATGTATCAAATAAATGAGAGAGCCAAGATTTGAATGTGGGGACACTAGACTGCATCTTGGTTGAGCCCAAGTTCTCTGAGGAAGTAGCCCTCAGATAGTCCAATATCCAAAATCTATCCTTTACCAAAAATAGATATTTATTCAGAAAATGCTGATTCATTTTGATACGAATAGATCATAAAGTAAAATGGTTACAACATGTTATGGATGTTGAAACATTTAGAAGAGAATGTGAAATCAAAAACCAGTGTGTGTGTATGGTAGGGGTGAGGGAAACTGTTCGAATGAAGGTAAGACAGATATACCGCCCCTCCCGAAGCCAAAAAAAAAAAAAATGCTCCCTTTTTCTAGTCAGGATTATTACAAAGCATATCATCTTTAGAAAATAGCCCTGAGAAAAGAGAAAATGTCACAAGTTAAGGGGCAGGGTGAATTATGGCCTGTTTGGTCTAAGTCTTGACCACTGGCAGGATGCCCTTTCTCTCCAGGTTAGAAGCCCAGTGAAATATCTGCAATGACATTGCTTTAGCCTCCTGGCATTTGATATTGGATACCTGTCTGTTAGCATAGTTTGCGAGCAGCTATTACAGATAACCACATTACAAAGTAGATAAGACGACATCTTTGGACCAAGTTTGCCCTGGTCCAAAATAAAGATTGTTTTGTTGACTGTTGGAGACATAATTAGATTTATCATAAGGATTGCTGGGTTTAAATGTTGGCCTTTTCACTGAACATGTATTTGATTTTCTAAAAGATCTCTAAACATTTCTCTAGCTTTCTTTCTGGAGTATGTTTCACAATTGTAATGCATAGTTTTCATTATTGCTGCACAGTTTTAGTGTGAGCATGGCAAATTGGTCAAGTCATCATTTGCCTCTACTTATCTTTTGTTAAAAACATGCATCATCTTTTTTTTCCTCTGCTCAGGAATACTATAATCATACATATAATGACTGCACAATTTGAGTTTATAAACATCTATTACTACATTATCTGCCTTACTGACATGTTTGGAGGATGTCAAAAAGAAGAAAAAATAAACACAGTACAACAAAGCTATAGTTCATTAAACATTTCATATTGCTTTAAATCTAATACATTAAGTCTATAGTATGTTTAGACAAGATGTATATATTTAACAACAAAAGTAAAAAATTGCTCTGCTGAAACGACAGTGGATTTTAGTTCTGTGGCTGTAATAATTTGAGGGCCAATCACCTATTATTGGTACTTTAAATTTAGCCTAATTGGCTTCAAAACATTTCTTCAAGGAATAGAAACATTTAGCTCTGTTAAAAGAGAAAGCCTTTTCACCAAGGGAAAAGGGTAACTTATGGTATAGCAAGCTTCCAAACACATGAATTAAAGTAGAGTTAGTTCTGTTAACTACAACTAGATAGATGTTAGAAATGGAATCAGTTCTGGGTCTCCCAGGGGTCACAAAATATCTTCACAATATGTCTCAGGGTTTGCATGCTTTATTTCAGCTCTAGTTATCTGTGACTGTCTGCCCACTCTTTCACCAGACTGGCTTCTATTGCCTACACATGGTCCCACATGGTGACCCGCAGTGTGTTTCATCTTACAGGCCCAATACTCTCATTTGCCAACTGCAGCCCTGATTCTCAACTGAGCTAGCGTGTCTACTCCAGATGGAGTGTGCATATCTCAATCTTTAATTATGGAGAGGAGGGGGATGAGCAGTATGAACATCCATCTTTCATATTTTAATATAACTTTATATTTGGAAAAGTTAAAATATAGCCATTATTTCATTATGCAAATTCTGAAAATGAAAGCTCCACACAATCTTCTTGGGGAATGAGGGAAAATATTAAAACATAGTGACATGTTTGACTGATTCTCTCTGTCTGTGTCGTTTAGTTTAAATTGAAGACACAGTGAGAGTTGGCCTGAGGGATTCTAGCCAGCTGCTGAATTGACTGGCCTTGGGGCAGTTTTTTCACCTCTAGTCTAGTCCATTGTACTGGAGAGAAGGATCATGTGGAAGGAACTTGCCCTATCTCTTCAGCAGGGAGGGTGGTGATGTCGTTCCCAGAGAGAGCACTGTGGGTGGTTAAGTTCCCCTCCCCACCCAAACATGTTAACTAGGTAGCAGAAGTGATCAATTCTATTACATCTTGGGCTCATATTTTAAAAAAGGGATATAATTTAAATGTCAAGAATTGAGAAAAGAGCATGCGGGATATGAGATATTTCAAAAGTAAAAGTGTATTTAAAATGAAGTTCATGCACTATGGTTTGAGGAGGATAGATAAAGACCATCTGTTGAGATAGGGTCCAAAGCAGTTTTGCCACTGAAATCATAGATGCAGTTGCACTCAGATGCCCTGCTTCTGGTGAACATTTCTGGTGGGAAAGAATTCTTGGCTGAAAGCTGCCAAGTTTGCCTAACATACTTAGCATTAGGAAGGATCAGGCAGAGCTCACTAGAAGCGAAGATGCAGGCCAGACAAAGTGGCTCACGCCTGTAATTCCAGCATTTTGGGAGGCCGAGGTGGGTGGATCACCTGAGGTCAGGAATTCGGGACCAGCCTGGCCAATATGGCAAAACACCATCTCTATTAAAAATACAAAAATTAGTCAGGCATGGTGGTGTGTGCCTGTAAACTCAGCTACTAGGGAGGCTGAGGCACGAGAATCGCTTAAACCCGGGAGGCGGAGGTTGCAGTGAGCTGAGATCGCACCGCTGCCCGCTCTCCAGCCTGGGTGACAGAGTGAGACTCCCTCTCAAAAAAAAAAAAAAAAAAAAAAAAGGAAAAGAAAAGAAGAAGAAGAAGATACTGATGCTCTCAGCAGGTTTCCTTCCACACATGGCTTTCCAGCTTTGAATGGAGAGCAGATTTGCACCTATCACTAAAAGACTGGGAATTCAGGTTTTAATGTTTCAAAAAATGTGCTTGGATTGGCCTTTCCTTCTTTTCTTTCTTCCAAGGGAGTAACTTTTCCTTGGAGTCAAGTAATGGAGCCAAAAAGAGGAGAGTGTTCTTGTGTTTGGATCGGGGAAGAACAGGGTATGGAGGAAGCAAGGAGGCTATGGAGGGCAGTAAAAACTAGCTTTTCTTTATAAGTTTACTTCTCAGGGCCATTCCACGTGACCTCTTTCTAACTTATTTTGGACGCAGAGAGAGGAAAGATGAGATCAGGGGCCCCCAGAGTCGACAGAGACAGAGAGGAAGTTATTAATTCAGTAAAGCTGTATGCTTCAGAAAACCCTCCCTATTGCCGAAGAAGAAAATGTTCTGTGGAATTTTCTTTTTTTGAAGGTCGGCATCCTCATATGATATTTACATGATATACTATAATAAGTGACCCAGATAGGATTATGCGCAGCATTTTTATGGCTCTTATTCATTTCTCCTGTTAAACTGTACAGTCTTTATCCCACATGGATTTGCGAGGAGGCTGGGCTTTTCTCAGCCTAGGCCTGCCGAGACAGCTCCTGGTATGCCTCTTTTGACTTCTCTCTCTGTCCCATCTTCCCGGCTGTTGTCAGTTTATTTTGCCTTCAGGCGGAACAGGGCCTCTCCCTTCCTGTTAGTGCTTTGTCACTGCTCAGTCAGCGTGTTACCAACTCTCCCCTCTCTGCACGGTTTCTCCTCTTCCCACCTCTCTTTCAAGAACACATCCAGAGGTGTCCAGGAGCGTCCCATCTGCCCTCTGGACTCATCTGGTTTTTATTTGGTGACCTTGAGGAAGAGGGCTTTAACTTTGCTTTAGGTTGTGGGGAACCAGGCTTTCAGAGGCCTCTCGGAGGGAGGAGAGCCTATTCCCAGGACTCACACAGGCCTGAAGTTATTAGCTTCGTGAAAGCTGTTTCTCTGTTTTGAAAACCTGCGTGAGTCTGTTATTGTTGGGTACCCCAGAGGCTAATCACTCAGAGGGAGTCTGATCCTGCGCTGTCTGAGTGAGAGCACTGCGAGGCCTTTGTCTCCTTGCTGCCTGCCTGCCTCCGAATGCAGCGGCGCACCTGGCATTCCTCAGTCACCCTGTCTGAGGCAGAGCAAACCATTCACACCAGGAGCTCACAGAGGTGGGAGCGGCAGAGGATGTGCAATTTTGAAGTAAATTTATCAGGTTGTCTGAAAACACAATGTTAAGGGTTTACCTCAATTTGTTTTATACCTCTCTATATTCATGAAAGTCTTGCTGTATGTGGTTTTTAGAACATTTTTCATTTTTCTATTGTGAAATGCAACATGCATTTAGAAAAAATACACAAAACATATTGGTTCATGTTAAGAAAATATTATGAAGCAAACAGCTATGTAACTACCACTTTATTATTTAAAATGCTACTTTTTTAATGCAGGGGAAAAGGTCCTTTAAAACATGGTCTCTTTTGACTTATGGAAAATAAGTAGGAATTTATAAGTGAGAATATTAATTTGGATTTTATTTTAATATTTTCTGAGATGGAATTTCTCCGTCACCCATGCTGGAGTGCAGTGGCACGATCTTGGCTCACTGAAGCTTCCGCCTCCCAGGTTCAAATGATTCTCCTGCCTCAGCCTCCCGAGTAGCTGGGATTACAGGCACCTGCTACCACGCCCAGCTAACTTTTATATTTTTAGTAGAGATGGGGTTTCACCATGTTAGACAGGCTGGTCTCAAACTCCTAACCTCAATGACCCACCAGCCTTGGCCTCCCAAAGTGCTGGGATTACACACGTGAGCCACCACACTTGGCTTTGATTTGGATTTTAATATCTTAAGGGTACAATTGTTGTTTTGTGTTCATATACTTGCTGAGCAATTGACTCTTATTTGCCTGTACATCAATCATTTCATGGTTGAGGTGAAATTTTTACTCCAGGTTACCTTCCCTCATGAAACTGCTATATTTAGGGCTATCTCCTACTTCTTCAAGGCTTAACCCATAAAAAACTAAATTAATCTGTATATTAAGGTACACAAAACAGAATTCTCTGTACTGATAAATTAAGACTACTGCAAAATGACCAAGTCAATCTAGATATCATGCATTAATTACTTTTGGAGCATTCTAATTTTAAGATCACTCTCCCCATTCCCATGAATAACTCTACAGGGATGACTAAGTGAAATCTTTTCACCTCAATAAATGTTTAATATATGCCTACCCTGTGTTGGGCATTGTTCTTTATCCTTGAGCCATATGAGAAATAAAAAAAATTCTTGTTCTTAAGGAGCTTACGTTATGGGAGCAAAGAAAAGGGCCACAATAATAAGCATAATGCATAAATAAATTATACAGTGTGACACAAGTTGATGAGTGCTGTTGAAAAAAAGAAAACACATAGCCAAGTCACAGAATTGAGAGTGCAGTGTGGAGGTGATGGGCAGCTTACTGTATTAAATAGGGTTGTCAGGATAAGCCTTCTTGAAAAAATGAGATGTTATCAAAAGATTGAAGAAAGTGGAAGAATTAGCCATACTAGGGAAAGAACATTCCAGAAGTGGAAGAAGGAACAGTTTGAGCAAAGGCTCGAAGACAGAATAGTGCCAAAGGTATTTAAGAGAGAACAAGAAGGCCCGAGAAGAGTAGCTGGAGCAGAGAGAATAAGGAATAGAGGAGTTTTACACAAGGTCAGAGATCTGCGACCAGATCATATAAAGCCCCGTAGGTCACTGTAAGGACTTTGACCTTTACTATAGTAAAATGGTGAGGTCTTGCAGGGTTTTAAGCAAACGGATGCATTATCTGATTAACTTTTCAAACAGATGTGCCAGTTATTAAACTATTGTCTCTTTTTTTTTTATTGTATCCTTTTTTCTACTCTTTTAATAATTGTAGACGGTGTTCTCATCTCTTAACTCCAAACTCATCCTTCTGATACTTGACTTTGTGATGCTGAGGATGGGACTCTTCAGACCACACTTCTTTTTTACAGGTTCCTCCTGTTAGGCTCTGTCCACAGGAGACAGTAGAGGGGGACAGCAAGAATGAAGGCGAGAGAAGGGACTTGTTCCTTCCTGTTTGCTTCTTGTGGGCTTCGTATGTGTGTCATGTTTCTAGCAATGCTTCTTTCAACCTAGTAGTAGGAGTCCCTTCTCTTAGCAGCAGTTTTCAGTGTTTCTAACAGTCCAGAGCTAACCTCATCACACTCTCTCAGAAACCTCAGTGCCTCTCATTAGAGGACTAAGCTAGTTAAGTTTTAATATTTCCAATCTCTTTTCTCTAGTCCCCAGCTATAGAAGATGCTTTCTGCTCTTTTTACCTCTGTTATACCCCTTTTTGTCTGTTTGCTTACTCAGTTAATAACTTTATTCCAGGTAGCAATTATTTATATTACTCTCTCTATTAATATAACTAGTGTGATTCCTGTCTCGTAAGTGGGCCCTGACTGATGTAATGAATCACGGTGACTGCTGTGTTGAGAATAGACTAATGTGAAGCAAGAGTAGAATTAGGGAGAGATGTTAGAAGCCTAATGTTTAGGCCAAGCAAGAAATGCTCAGAACAGGGAGGCAGCAATAGAGGAGATGGAAAATGAGTAAATTCTGGATAGCTTATGAAGAAAAAAGTAGATTGAATTCCTGAAAGTTTGGATTTGAGTGGTGAGAAAGAGAGGGTCAGGGATGATTCCTAGGACTTTTTAGCCTGGGCAAGTAGAAGACTAGATTTGCCATCAACCAAGATGGGGAAAGCTATAGGTAGAGTAGATTAGGGGCAAAGAATGAAAAATTCAGTTTTAGACTCATTATTTAGACATTAACAGAGATGTCATATAGGCAGTTGGATATAATCAAAGAACTAATTCTCATTCTTTTCTACATGGCCCTGGGCCATGATCACAACTTTTGCTACACTAGAAAAATTTATTGAAAGATTTATGCTCTTGAAGTTAAATTATTTGCAGGAATTTAAGTCATTGAGTTAAGAACACAGATGTTGGAATGAGACAGATCTAGGTTTGAATCCTGGTTCCTTGGTTCATCTGTCACATTGAATAAGATAGGTATCCTTTCTAAGCTTAAATTTCATCAGCTTAAATAAAAAACATTAAAAAGAATTTTAAAATGGTGAAAATAACACCAAACTTGCACAGTAATTGAAAAATAGAAATTGAAGGATAGACAGTACTGAGCACATTGTAACCTTTGCAAGTAAAACATCCTCCTCAGTTTCCTTATTTATAAAATGGGGATAATAATATCTATTTTATAGGGTTTTTTTGAGTATTACATCAGAACAACACATGCAAATCACCTAACAGAGGACTCTCTGTATAACAGACACTCAGTGCATCTAAGCTTTTCTCTTTATGTGCTATTTCATTGTATGCTGAAAACATCTCACTCATTTACAAATTTAACAGCATTTTTCAAAGTCTGTTCCACAAAGCATTAATTCCAGAGGATGTTAATAGGGGTTAATACAATAAAATTAAGTCTGGTCCCAAAGAGGTGGCAGGTGGCTGTACACCATGATTGGTCAGTATCTCTGCCTTCTACGGCTCTTCTCTCTTCTTACTCAGTGTTCTCTCATCCAGGTTGATATGGTTTGGCTTTGTGTCCCCACCCAAATCTCATCTTGAATTGTATCCCATAATCCCCACAACTCCTGGGAGAGACCTAGTGGGAGGCAATTGAATCATGAGGGCGGTTTCCTCTATGCTATTCTCATCATAGTGAGTTCGTTCTCATAAGATCTGGTGGTTTTATAAGGGGCTTTCCCCCTCCTTCACTCGACACTTCTCTCCTGCTGCCATCTGAAGAAGGTCATGTTTGCTTCCCCTTCCACCATGATTGTAAGTTTCCTGAGGCCTCCCTAGCCATGCAGAACTGTAGGTCACTTAAACCTCTTTTCTTTATAAATTACCCAGTCTTGGGCAGTTCTTTATAGCAGTGTGAGAAAAAGACTAATACACTGGTTGGCCCTCTCAAGATCTCTTTTTGGATCAACTGTAGTTACCCAGAAAATGACAGTATATTTTTCAAGAGACTACTCTGCCTTCCACAGTCAGAGGAAAAAAATGTATTAAGTGTCTGTGATTAAATCCAACTAAGTACCTCCTCTTTACCGGGCTCTACATAGCTGGAACTCAAATATGATGGTTCCTTGCTAACAAGGAGCATTATATTTGGTATCAGGGAAGGAGTAAGTTGTTTCTGGGTATAGATGTTTCTGAAGGAGTATGGCAATTTGACTAAGGATATAGACTCTGTACCCAAATCCTAGCTCTACTATTTGCTAGCTGTGATTTTGTACTCAGTAAATACATTGTTCTCTCTCAGTCTATTTTTCATCCCTAAAATGGAGGAACTAATAGAGTTGTGTCAGGATGAAAGGATATGACACTTGTAAAATACTCTAATGAGAGGCCAGTCCATTACAGGCACTTGGTGTTACCTGGTAATAGTAAAAAATTCACAATTTGGTTGAAAGAAAAAAGTCATTTTTTTTTTTTTGAGATAGAGTCTCACTCTGTTGCCCAGGTTGGAGTGCAATGGCATGATCTCAGCTCACTGCAACCTCCACCTCCCAGGTTCAAACGATTCTCCTGCCTCAGCCTTCCCAGAAACTGGGATTACAGGCATGAGACACCAGGCCTGGCTAATTTTTGTATTTTTGGTAGAAATGGGTTTTCAGCATGTTGGCCAGGCTGGTCTCGAACTCCTGGCCTCAAGAAATCTGCCCACCTTGGCCTCCCAAAGTGCTGGGATTACAGGAATAATTTAAGTTAGTGCTAAGCTGCATGTTACTGCTAAAATGTGAAATAAGAGTTGAAAAAAATAAGAGTACGGGTCACAGAAGTGAGGAGTAATATTACAAAAAGAAAGAACGAATCTGAGCCTTAGATAATAGGGAATTTGTGTTACTTCTGCTTTTATTTTGTTGTTTTTGGAATGAGGACAAGGATAGTCAGAGATTACGGCAGTATAGGAAGAAGATATATTGAGCAAGAATGTCAAATTTCATTTCTTTTCTGGAGGTCTGTGTTATTACCTTCTGATTAGAAAACTGGTGTTAGTCTATTGCTTGGTGGATGGGATGTTATTGTACTGTTATACTGCTTCAACTACAGATCTTTTATTCACGATTCCAAGTTAAATTTTTAAATATTTTACAAAGAAGGCAGGTGTGAGTCCCCTTTCTTTAGTTGGCACATATCTCACTAGCATTATTATATAATGTAGCTTTTGAAATAATTTCAACTGGGATGAAGTACATATTTTCTTTTAGCTGTTAGTTTCCAAAGCATGACTACAGTACCAATTGGCATATAATTTTAAAGGCTGACATAACACGCAAAAGAAAGGATTTAGATATTTAATATTTAATATCCCCAAAAGATTACTGTAATTATTTATTTTTTAAAAAAGAGATGACTAGGAACATGGTCGAGACATTTTTTTTCGGTGCAAGTGATCAACGAGAGAAACAAAAGTCATTCATTGCAGAGGAACATTGCTTATCACTCATACTTTGAGAAATGCGGGGAAGCTTTCCAGTTCTGCGGATTTACTTCTTGTCTAATTCACTGTGCTTTTAAAATGAGCAGCTTGGCAATATAGAAATTTAGACTCACGTTTCTATCTATAAATCATCAGTTTGTCCCTTATGTTGACAGTTGCTGTACAAAATCAGAGAATTTCAGAGTGTTCCAGCAACAAAATGTAAGAAATTTCAGAACACATAAATTTTAAGTGTTTTCTACCTACATCAGCAACATCATTTTAGCAAAATACGGAGAGGACATTCAAGTGCCAAGATGGGAAATAAAATAAATAGGAAAACAGAGTTCAAAATAGGGGGCATGCTTGGATAACCAAACTAATTATTGAGAGATGCCATTGTGACTTACTAAGCTGCTTGTTAGTTACCTAAGGGAAGACAAGTTGGAAAGTGAAGAAATATGTGCCAAGTCCAAAACTGAGGATCGGACCAGAAAAGCACTATTTCGAGCAAATGCTATGTCTTTCATCATTCAACTATTGAGCAGTTACAATAATGTAAGCCAAACACTATGAATCATTAGAGATAAAAACAAGATGAATATGACTTAGTTGACCTCCTCAAGGAACTTATAACTTGGTAGTGGTTTTTGTGACTGGTAGCCTTAACACAACTTTTACAAACTGCCAGATTCAATTGAAGATGTGGATGAGGGAATAGGAAACAACCATATAGATGATATACAATTGATTATGCGATAGGACCACCAACCTAACCATTTCCAGCATTTGAGAAGAAATATTCTTGCCCCCATTTTCCTCACAAATTTAAGAGGAGTATCAGTTAAGTCCTTTGTGACCCTTAAAAGGAGCAAGCCAACATTTTCATGAATAGCCTATTCATATGCCAGGACCTGGACCCCTATATTGACTTTTACCATTTCCAATTATTTTTCACAAGTGATACCGAAGGGGTGAGGGAGTGAGAAAGAAAAAAAACTTCACAAATTGACTCTTAAAAATCACATAGTTTCACTTTTCTCATTCATTTAGTTTAAGTGCCTTGGCTATCGCCTTTATATTGTACTTATTTGTAACGATCGGTTAAATTGATGAATAGCAGAAATAGTAAATTTAATAGATTGTGCTTAATATTTTGCTCTTGAGCCAATGTTCTTCTAAATTAGTTAGGTTTCAATGATTATGTCTTCTTTTACAACTGCCTCAAATTCCATAACTCCTTGTACCTAGATTAAGGACATTTAAAGGAAATGTAGCAGCAGGAAAGAGCTGAGTGTTAGAGAGAGTAATATCTTAATGCATTGTTATTGCTTTATTGATCGGAATCGATTCTTTCCCTTGTTCATTTTCGTAGGTGCTCCCATCATGACAGCAATTGTGAAAACTGCAAAATTTCTCCTACTTACAGCTTTCTGTATTCATTTACCATAAATTTTAACAGAAACCTCAAATCTCGCTACAAAATGTTTTAGCGCAAGTATGAATTATTTTAGAGAGCTGGTTAATAATCCCTTTGGCTCAACTGCATTCCTCTTAGTTTACTGAATTTATATGCTATGGTTAAATATATATATGTATATTTTCTGTGGCTATATATACATAATCTTTGGCTTATGTGACAAGGGATTCCCTGTTAAGAATAATTTAACAAATATGTCCTTTAAAAGATCGCAATAATAATGATGGGCATTACACACACACACACACACACACACACACACACACACACAGTGATCTTCAGAGTACAGGAAAGAGGGCATCTGATGCATTTCCAGGCATTATCCTCAGGTGAAAATGGACTAGCAAGAGTAGGAAGGTAGCACTGTTTGGGTTGTAGGCAAAATTAACAATAGTATTTCCACAATCATTGTTCTCTTTTTGAATCCATGCTTTCTTATGACTTTCTGAAAAACACCAGGGCTTTATTCATCTGTTGGCTCTGTATGTGATTAGCAGAGGTGTCATTGTTCTCAGCCACATCCTGTTTTCCTTTAGATGGCCCTTTAGGTTCAGTGGGAGTGAACAGAGGGTCAACTTTGTTGTCTCTTGTGATGGAGAAAAACAATGTTCGGTTCAAGAAAACTATAAGCCAATTTTAACGTGCTCCTTTTAGCTTGCAGTTTTGAAAATGAACTTTATTTTCCATTAACAGTAATTGCTGTAAGAACTCATGGCTGCTTACAGCATGAGCTCTTACTGGTGGATAGCATCTGTCAAATCTAGAGGAGGCAGAATTATTTGTGGTCAGTACTAGTCAGTTTTCTACTAAGTACAAATCAATTTTCACTTTTCCCTTCTTTATACATGGTCACCTGTTCTAAAATATTTGAGGAAAAGGGAGAGTTTGCCTTATTCCTGCTAGGCTGTTAGCCTTTATCCCTGTGGCTCTGGACTCAGTTCATGAAGAACTGCTGCAAGCTACGGGGAGACCTTAAAAACTGTGTGAACATGGGGTGGCTCTCTTCACTCTTACGGCTTCACCCCTGCCTTATGTCATCTGAGCATAAAACTATGTTTGCAGTTACAACATAAATGATGATATTTAAAACTATGCAACATGGGCTTATTCTCATATAGTTCCAGAACCAGAAGCCACACAGTTAAAGCCTTTGCAATCTGTTGGCATCCTCTCCTGGGTGCACCTAAATCTTGCTGTGCTTCCTCAGGTCTCCGACTTCCTTCCCTTCCTAAGGAAGCCTCCACCCCAACACATAGTCTTGGTCTAGCCTTCATTCTGTCTTGGTCCTCCCATACCACATTTCTCCAAATCTGGATGAGCACCCAGTGGGCTTTGCTTCACTGATGTCCTATAGAACAGGCCAAAGTGGCTATTGCACCCCAGCTGAAGACCAGGCCCCTTGAGTATCTATCAGTGAAAATTTTTAGGTAGTCACTTTTGGATCAAACTCACATTTCTTCTGAAGACTAACATTAATATTTGAATTTTTCAATCTAATTTATTAAAGAGTATATATGTATATATGTTACCCTATAATCTGGAAGTTACTGTAATATTATAACATTAATTTCTTTCTTTTCATTGATCCCTCCAATTCCTCAAATCTTCTGTGAACACCAAACATAAAACAAACTAAAGATTCCAAACACTTCTTAATGGTTCATATTTTGGCTATACAAAAACACAGCTGAAGCTTTGAATTTATTTCCCTAGTGTTTCTGATTGGGTGGGTGGGGTTATATATATATATATATATATATATATATATATATATATATATATATATATTTACAGTTACATTTAAAAGAAGGGTTGCCTGTGAGTTTGGACAGTTGACACCAGATTAATTCCTCTTTGCCTCATAGTATATGGACAGAGTGTCAAAGCTTGAAATGACGAGACCTGGATGAAGATTCCAGCTCAACTATTTACTTGCTATTTGACTTCATACAGTTTTCTTAAATCTGGCGATTTGGTTTCCTTTGGTATAAATTGTGGCCGATAATAGTGTTCGCCCCATGGTTATATTATGGTTAAATGAGAATTTAAGTGAGAATATTTAGTCTAACTCCAAAGACCCGACAGGGGCTTGATAATGTAATGTAGTGAATCCAGGTCTAGTTTTGCTGTATAATAATAGAAGGTTATTACCAGCCTCACAAACAGCCAAACTTCGAATGAAATTACTAATGACTTGCAATATTGACTGTATTTTCATTTTCTTCCTAATTTGGCAAAGTCATGTTACATGAGAGCTTTTAGTTTTACATGCATTTTTCTTAAAAAATTCACTAACAATACTAATTGATAAGTTGCTTGTCAATTATAATTCATAGGCAGATATTAGGCTGTGATCATTTCATTTGAATTTTTATGTAGGGACCATTCCAGAAACACTTATTTTCATTTGCTACTTGTAATAGCAGGAATTGTCCCCATTTATTGCATGAATAACTGTGGCTATATGCCTGAAAGATTGTTAAGTGCCTAATACACATTATTTCATTTAATCCCCACATCAACTCCAAAATGTTTAGAACATTAACATGATTTTACAGATTAAGAATCTGACGGTCAGACAAATTAAATACCTTCCACAAAGTCTTCCAGTTAGAAAGTAGGAGGGCTCTATTTGAAGCCGGATCTGATACCAATGCCTGACCATTCAATAACTACATATTTTATGCAACCTTATACTTTCTTCTAATAATATTTTCTTTATATCACAAATAATTCTTTCTTATAACTACCTATCCCGCAGTTGACTCCCTGATGCCATCATGGCATTCTCAGGTGGTAATCAGCTTTGCCTCTGTACTGTTCTGAAGGGGAATCTCCTAATGCTTCCACTCTTGGAAACTAAATTTAGATGACATTTGTCACACAAGACCATGTGGGATGAAATATTGCCATCAATAATCTTTGAGTAAATTCTTTGAATTAAAAGTACTGTAAAACAACAGAAAAAATATTGAGGATGGGTGGATCCACGTGATGGTATAACGTTTCAGCTTAAGCAAAATTTTAACGAACCACACTAAAATGGCAGCACAGCTACAACCCACTAGGAGTTGGAAAAATCACAAGCCGAATGTAGTGGAAAATCATCTCTACAGTATCAGAAATCCCCTCTGTTTACAGAAGCCTGGGATATGTTGGTTATTTCTCCTGACCTCGTCTCCATGGAATGTGCTGTATTATCACATAGAAATACCTAAACCAGTCTGTATTGTAATTCCTTAGGCTATAATGTAATTTAAATTCAAAAGATCCAACTGGGCTGGGCGAGGTGGCTCATGCCTGTAATCTCAGCACTGTGGGAGGCTGAGGCGGGCAGATCACAAAGTCAGGAGTTCGAGACCAGCCTGGTCAATGTGCTATAACCCCGTCTGTACTAAAAAATACAAAAATTAGCCGGGCGTGGTGGCAGGCACCTGTAGACCCAGTACTCAGGAGGCTGAGGCAGGAGAATTGCTTGAACCCGGGAGGCGGAGGTTGCCGTGAGCTGAGATCACGCCACTGCACTCCAGCCTGGGTGACAGAGTGAGACGCCATCTCAAAAAAAAAAAAAAAAAAAGATCCAACTGAACAAAACTGAACATAGATCCAATTGGGAATAGAACAGGCTTTTATAAGCATGCAGGCAAATTCATAAAAACATAACAGATTTGAATACATAAAAACTTAACTTTCCTGTATAAGAGCAGTAACAACAAAATAATCATAAAATAATTAGGCAAATGAAAAACTGGCCACTTTGAATAGATGAGTTCTAACAAATTAAATGAGAAAAATACAAATGTGCTGTGAGAAAGTAAAAAGCGTGAAGAGGGAATGAACCAGAAAAGAAACTTTTATAGATACTAGGTATATGAAAAATGTTTAACTCTACTAGAAATTAGAGAAATAAACATATTTCACTTATCAAAATAGAGGTATGCAGAAATTTATATAGTCATATATATATGTCTGTGAGGACGGAGAGACATATGGGCACTTGCCCTGATGGTGGGAATGACACTGGTATGACCTGGTTGGAAGTTGTACCATTTTGGAAATAGGTTTCTAAATCCCTAAGTATGTTTTTACTACCTGGTTCAGTAATTTGACTTTTAAAAATTAATTTTAAAATTAAAAATTAAGAAACTAATTTACACAGTATAATAATTTAAACTGGGATCCATGCAAAGATGCATCAAGAAATTGTAAATTGAAGACTTGATTATAAGAGCAAAAGTTTGAAAATAGTATGTGTTCAGATGAATAGAAAAGAGTTGTGAAAGAAGTTACAAAGGTACCTACCTAAGAAGACAATCTGCAGCAATTAAAAAACCATGCTTTAAACAATACTTAATAATATAGATTAATGTTTATTTTGACTTGCTAAGTGAAAAAGATGTTACGGAGTTGTATACGTAATGTGATGCTGACTGGAAGAAATTATAAATATTCACAGAAAAGAAAGATAAGAAATACTCCAAAATATTAATATCAACTAACCTTTAGTGGACATTGGGATTAGGAATGATTTCCATTTTTGTTTATACTGTTTTTCTTCATCAGTGGCCATGTATCACTTGGGAAAAGATACACTTTAAAAATAAAAACTTTAAAGACCATATATCCTACCAAAACGACTAAGATATAATGCAGTTTAGATGGAATATTTTCTTTACTTGTTGTCCAGATATTTTCATTCACACTCCTAGCCATTAATCTATTCTTTTGTTTCCAGGATGTGTTCATGAAACTGTATTTCTCACTCAGAACTCAGAGAAGAGATGAAAGGCTGTTGTTACCTTTCCTTTTTACACAGGCAGTAAAATATATTTTTAATGGTTCTGTTTTAAATCCCTGTTGTTAGAAACATTTATTTAACCTCTAACTCTGTTCTACTGAGACATTTTTGTTTACATCAGGCTAGACCTTGACCTTCCCAACCTCACACTCAGGGGAAACTTGTTGTTGTTGTTGCTTTTAAAAAAGATTTGATTGAAATTGTTTTGGCTGATTCTTTTAGATTTGGAAATAGCCAAGAGCTATTCTGCTTCAGACTATTTGGGGAGACTTTATTTTTCCCTCCTCCGGCTTAAAAAGATTTCATTATGAAAGTGAAATTATACAGACAGTGAATAAGACACGAATATGTCAAAACTTTTATTCCCCCCTGGAGCTTGAGTGGTAAAAATGATCTTTTGCCATTGCCATTGCAACTAAGAGAACTTCTTAGTTCTCTCCTGTTTTCTTGGAGGCATATTGGCATGCGGGCAGAGCTTCAGATACAGTCTTCAGGGTTCTTCAGATAATTGGAAAGGATGAGGGTTGGTGTCTAGTTTTAGGTAGCCGGCATCTGGCAGCCTTCCATAGAAACACCTCTAACTGCCTCTAAAGGAACTTGGAGTTGAGTTTACTCCACTTTGCAGAGAATACCAGGAGTCTGCTCATATGTTTGCTACTTAGTCTATGGAAAGTGAGAATATTGTCACTATGGAAAGAGTTTTTATATGTGTGCAGGGAATGGTGTAAGAAGAAAGAATGAGTCCAAATCATTTTTATCCACCTTTCTATTCTAATTCCTTTCAGCCTCCGGTCTCTGGGAAGATATTCTGAAGGTTACAACTACATCCATAGCTCTTCATGTATCACAGAACACTCCCAAGGATACATGGGAATGACAGAGGCCACAGTAACCACCACATGACCCCAACTCTGCTCACTATTGTGGTGTCTTCTGACCAATTATTACTGAGAAGTTTTCATGAGTATTCAGGTGCAGTCCTACCAGTTAATTTTTCCTCTCTAGGAAATCACTATTTCTTAAAGGAGCCCTGCCTTTTTTTTTCTTTTTTTAAGTGGAGTATGGCACTTAGAAGCTAAGATCTAGTGTTTAGTGTGCTCATTGTTACTGGGATGCCATTGCTTCTAGGTGTTCTCATTGGACAGAGCTAAGAAATATATGTGTATATATGCACATATAAATATTTACATATATATATATCTCCCACACACATACCTCTTCAGTGATCTCTGTATCTTTCTGTGTGTATATTTGTCACAAAACAATATATGTATAGATGTATTCATTTATATATATATATATGTGTTCGTTTCTCCAATCCAACACCTCAGGCTTCTTTCTTTTCTTTCTCCTTTTCCTCAGGTGTTGCCAGTCCAATTTCTGAGGCTTCTTTCTTTTCTTTCTCCTTTTCCTCAGGTGTTGCCAATCCAATTCCTCAGGCTTCTTTCTTTTCTTTCTCCTCTGCCTCAGGTGTTGCCAATCCAATTCCTCGGGCTTCTTTCTTTTCTTTGTCCTCTTCCTCAGGTGTTTCCAAGCCAACACCTCAGGCTTCTTTCTTTTCTTTCTGCTCTTCCTGTTTGTAAAATCTTCTCTAGCAGTATAAAATTTAGCTCCCATTATCCTCAACGTATTTAATTATTTACTTCATCAATTTGCCGTTGAAGAGCTGCCATCAAGCTGCATTCTCTGCCTCTCCCTGCTGCAGTCTGTATCCAGGACTGGCTTGCTGACCTGTACCTCAGAGAAAGGAAGGAAAGAGAAGGGAAAATAGAAACAGAAGGTACAGCAACTTTTTAACAACTTTTTTCCTTATTCCTTTTGCTCACAGTATTTCTCACACTCTGCCCCTGCCCCGAAGGTTTGACATCCCAATCCAAAGCACACTAGCATTCATAAATGTGAATTTTTTTTAATACTTTGTAAAATTATGATCACTTCAGATAGTTTTTTTTTTAAAAAAAATCTTAATGCCTATATATACCCACTCCATCCCCTGTAATATCCTTAACTTCTTGCCTTTTAAATCAAACATAATAGCTTTAACAACAGAACAAGACCTCATTTGACATTAAAATATACAAAATATGGTGCTAGAAAAACTTGACCTCACATGCAGAGATCTTCAACTGCCAGCAAAAGTTAAATGTATGAGGTAACTGTGGGCTTTTCTCAAGTTCACATTTCTGGTAAAGTCTTTGTGTGTGTGTGTGTGTGTGTGTGTGTGTGTGTGTGTGTGTGTGTGTGTGTGTGTGATTGCTGTTTTTCTTCTTTGTGGATTTTCCACCCTCTACGTGTTTTGAAAACATCAGTGCTGAAAAACTAAGCTGTCAAGAAAAAGCTGTAAATTGCTTTTTTGAAACTAGAATATGCTGACCTCTTCCTTGAGAATGAAAAAGGCCTCTCTTTTATTGGGCAAATTCTTATCCAAAGTTTTGACCCATAAGACACTTTAAATCTGTAGAAATTGCTAACAACACATTTTCTTTGTTTTCTGGACACAAAACTTGACTGCATTTTCTAGCCTCCCTTGCCATTACACAAGGCCAAAGGAATATGGCTGAAAGTGATGTACAGCAACTACCTCTGAGCAATGCTCTCTGTTCCCTGTCTTTGCTCATATGGTGGCCAGACGAGGAGCACTCAGTAGAGAACTCCAAAACCTAATGGTGGAGCCACTATGGGGAAAGAACCTGGTTCCTGCTTGGGGTAGAGTGCCCTCATTCCCTCCACTCCGTTCCTACTAACCTGGACAGGACTGTGAGGTGTGCAAGTAATAGACATGGATAATTGAGTTTTGTTTGATACTGTTTGTTACAATACTTAACTTACTATGATTAACAACATTTCCAAAACAAGATGCCATGTGGGTTTCTACTAGGAATAATTCACAATGTTCACTGATGGATAGATTTCCAGTGGCAGGCTATAGCAAAACTTGTCTGTCTGGGAAAAATGGTTGTGGGTTTTTTTTTTTTTTTTTTTTTTTTGAGATGGAGTCTCGCCCTGTCACCCAGGCTGGAGCTCAGTGGCTGAGTAGCTGGGACTACAGGCACCCGCCACCACGCCCGGCTAATTTTTTGTATTTTTAGTAGAGATGGGGTTTCACCATGTTAGCCGGGATGGTCTCAATCTCCTGACCTCATGATCTGCCTGCCTCGGCCTCCCAAACTTCTGGGATTACAGGTGTGAGCCACCGTGCCTGGCCGGCAAAATGTTTTTATTTTACTTCACTATGAAGTTTCCTTCAGCTTCAGTGAGTAATGTAGTGATACTTTTTAAGGTTCTGAAGCTTTGCAACCAGAGTTCCAAGGAAGGTGCTCAGATATGCCCAACTTCGATGGCTTGTCTGGAGATAAATGACTCCAGGGAAAAACAGTGACGGTCCCTTCTGTGAGCCAGCATACTGATTCATGGAGCTATTTCATGTCTGGTCAAGTGTAAATACTAATGAATGTTACTATAACATCTCTTTGAGATGTGTAAGGGTTAATATTCTTTCCAGCATGACCTAGTTTACTGCAAGAATGACTAAGTAATAGGGAGAACTAAACTCAATATCACTATGGTATTTCCTTTCCTTGGAAAGAGTTTCTGGCCATGAAAGGTGAGCTCATTTGCGTTTTCACTTCTGTCCATGAAATAAGGAGAATGACTGAGACATCACCTCTCTGGGTACACAGGTCGTCTGCTGCTCCGCCTGTTTGGGATGCTCCTAGTTGCTTTTTTAATAACTGGTTCCTTTACCTCTTAGAGTAGACCCTGGGGCATTCTCTGTGGAGGGCTCTTGACACTGGAAATTCCTTCTTTTGGTTGATCAAAGCTGGTGCAGCCTGACCCCACCCCAGGAAGTGGTGGCAGACACATCTGCTCAGCCTGGCGTCCTGCCAGCTGGGGATTTATTCTGGGGTGAGTGGGGAGAGGGACTTTCATGTCAGGAGGGGATTTATTGTTGGCTGATGGGGTGTGGCAAGTGTGAAGGGTGGGAACCACTTCAGCTTCTTCTCTGGATTGTCTGACTTTTTGTGAGGTAGAGTTTAATCTTTGCATGTGGGTTCCAAGACTTTTGTGAAAAGTAAGGGCAAGTGCTGAACTGATGTACTTTAATGATCAACTGAAATGCTTTTTTGGAAGTGAAGTATGGACTTGTAAAAAGCAAGATGACAAAAGTTGAAGGTTTGCTGACTACACAGAGTAAAATACTGTTTAGAACCAAACAGCTGAAGATAACATTCTGACACTCCTCACCAGTTAGCCAATCTAGCTCCACAGACCTAGGGGAATAATGGAAACTGAGGCTGGGTCACTTGGTATTCTGAAATTCTGCCTTCCTCTAAGGGAAGTCATTGAACATTAGACCTCTTCATAGCTCAGTGTCTTCATGGTAACAATGGTAATGACACTAAAATGATGCATCGAATTCTCTAAAATATACCATATCTTGTGAAATTATTATATTTTGAGAAAGGCAGAAGATGACATTATACAGTGCTGGCCCAGGAACGCTGAATGACTAGAGTAGTAAGGTAGTCTGATAAATGATACCAAGATGTGGTTCTGAGCTCCGTGCTGTATCAAGCATTCAGTATATAAACAGAGAAGAAATTCATGAGGTTTAATTGAGTTTGATTCTAGAGTTTGAGAGAAAGCCAGCATTTTTGCACTTTAGAAAATCTTTTATTTTCCCGGCCTTTATATTGCCTTTTAAGGCTACCAAGGGCAGGAATTTTACACAGGTCTGAATAATTGGCCCCCTCATGGATTTCATCTAGCAAACACTTGTAGTGTGGCTTTGATGCCAACTACTGGGCCATATGGTGAGGTTTATACAAAATAAATACAAGCTATGGTCCCTGCTCTCCATATAGCAGGAGTTCCCATTTGCAGCATACATCTAAGAATTCAGATAGGGCCAGTGCTCATTTGTAAATTAGAAAAGAGATGCTTTCTTAGGCGGACACAGCCATGGCTGCACAGTTTGGTGAATGGAGTGGGGGCCACATTTCAGCCTTCAATGGTTCCTTTATCCCTTACCCTGGTGCATCTTTGTGTGCTTTGAATTCCATCATATCTTGAGGAACTGTGGGCTATGTCTGCCAGGAACCTTAGTTGTGTGAGAGAACAAAAAGACCTCCTAGCAAATAAATCATCCTAAGGAAAGAAAAATTAGAAGCAGAGAACTTTAATCCAACCCCAACCCATCGCAGTGAAATAGACTGGGAGATTCCAATGGCAGCATGGTGTCTCTATACCTTTTGTCACTCTGTGAGTAAAAAACTGAGAGAGCTGTTTCAGCAAAACATGTTCTGTGGAATAACATGGAGGGAACAAGGGAGCACTTCTTGGGATCTTCCATATTAGAACACAGGGCAGAGATAGGTGAAGGTGGGGAGAGTGTGTTGGCTTTAGCAGTGGGGCGGCCTCTGCAGGTTCAATCCAGTGGCCCAAGAAGTCTCTGTACAGATCAGCAACAGAAGATGGAGGCTTTGAGATGGCTTCAGAGTGGCTGAGTGATAACTTTTCCAGCACTGATCAGTGAGGGAGAGTGGAAAGTGTCAGCTCCCTAAATCATCATCTATGTGTTGTTTGAAGAATTCCGGAAATACCTGGCAGAGGAGCAGGCTTAAGCACTAAAGTTCCTGAAACTGGGACTTAAGAGTCCTGTGAATATTATTTGTTGCTGTATTGTGGCATTATTTTTATATCAATGCAGAGGTAAACAGGGAAACCGGAATAGCACATACACGTACGGAAAATGTCATACCACTGTAGGATAACTTTTCCTTACCATAAGGTGTGAGATTAAAGATGGTAGAGGATCACAAAATGCAAGTTATCTGCATATATTCCATTTGGGTCCAGTTTCACTTGTTGGAGATGACAGAGTGTATGAGATGGTAAGCAACTTCACAGAATTAATAAGTGGGGCTTCCTGGACAATGCTCTTAAATCTCTATTTTAATAAATGACAGGGAGAAGAGAAGAGAAAGGAGGGGTGGAGAGGGGAAGTAAGGAGACCGGTTGGTCTATTGTGAGTGGAAGGTATGTGAAGGGGAATGTACTCTAAATTGAAAACCAAGATTCCCAGGTTCTCTGCGTAGTTCTGCTCCAGCTAGTAAAATGGGTGTGGGAAAATCAATGACCTTCTCTAAGCTTTGGTTTTCTCATTTGTTAAATGAATGGATTGAACTGATGAACTTTTAGATTTCCTCCCTGAGTCCGATGTTCACTTCTTTGTCTTTTAATACAGTCATAGTTTAAAAAAGAGAGTTTGCCTACAAATCTTGTGAATGGTTTGTGGCTTATTCTAATAGGACAGGACTTCAACCAAATTACAGTATATCCCCAGCAAAGAGTTTGCTTTCTGACTGGAGCTTTTTGACCCGTGGGTAGTTCAAGTCAAGGTTCTATAAGTACACATTGAAGCCTTGTTTCTGCACTGCTGAGTGTGTATGTTTTGCCACCTTTCCCACCCCTTCTTTCTTTCCTCTCTAGTTTCCTACGTGTCAGTTCCTATTTCCCTTTTGGTCACTGTATAAACTTGTAGGACTTCTCCTAACCCTATCAGATTGGCCAGGCATGTAGTTTGTGTTTTTGCACATCCTGCCAAAATAAGCTTGGTCATTTACCTCTGTTTATTTTCCCTTTCCAGACATCAGGTATTGTCTGCATTCCAGCGCCCACACAAAAGTAATATCTCCCCAATTAAGGCTACAGTGTCTCTGATTGTTGCTAAGGTTGGTGGACTTGGAGTCAGACCAACCAGAGGCATTTATTAAACAGCAGCCAGTGACATTTGGTTTCTTCAAGAGTTTTCAAATTCTCCGCAACAGCCATTCAAGTGACATTTTCAATAAACAATCTTAGAGGAGAGGACAAGACAGGGGAGGGAAGATGAGAGCAGAAGAAAGGAGGGGAATGGAGAGGAGCTGGAGGAATGAGGGGAGCTAAACTGTAAGAGAAGAAACCCAGAGAAAAACTGACACCTTCCCATATTTCTTTCCAGAAAAATTACTAGAATTTTGCCTTTATAGGATATTGCTATTCTAGTTTTTGACCAAATTGCATTTTCAACATTTAAAAAATTAATTTTAGGTTGATTCTGGTATCTGATGTTTTGGCTGTAGTTCACAAAACATCAGTTCTCCCTGACCTAAGAACATTTAGGTTCTTTTTCAGGATCATCTTTTGGAAGCAACATTCCAGAAACTTATCTCCTTTCAGAATCTTCATTGACACCTTGACCTCCATATACCTTTGTAGTTTCAAGTCAAGCTGATTTTTTGGGTCTGTTTTCAATGCTTTTCCACAGAAGTAGCCCTTTCATACAGTGGCATCACTATTTAAAAAACACTACTATTCCTATAGCTAGAATTGTACCTATTCCTTATGGAAAAGAGGTTAAATGCTGAGACCATACACATATTTTTTCTCTTTTATTTCTTTTTCAACTTTTGTTTTCGGCTCAGGAGGTACATGTGCAGGTTGGTTACATGGGTAACCCTGTGTGTCACTGGGTTTTGGTATACAAATGATTTCATCACCCAGGTAGTGAACATAGCACCCAGTAGGTAATTTTTTGACTCTCACCCTCTTCCTACCCTCCATCCTCAAGTAGGCCCCACTGTCTATGGTTCCCCTTTAGCTCTCACTTATAAGTGAGAACATGCAGTATTTGGTTTTCTGTTCCTATATTGATTTGCTTAGGATATTGGCCTCCAGCTGCATCTGTGTTGCTGCAATGGACATGATTTTGTTCTCCTTTATGGCTGCATAGTAGTACATGGTGTATATGTACCACATTTTCTTTATTCAGTCCACTGTTGGACACCTAGGTTGATTCTATGTCTTTGCTATTGTGAATACTGCTGCCATGAACATACATGTACATGTGTCTTTATGGTAGAATGACTTATTTTCCTTTGGGTAGATACCCAGTAATGAGATTACCGAGTCAAATGGTAGTTCTGTTTCAAGTTCTTTAAGAAATCTCCAAACTGCTTTCCACAGTGGCCAAAGTAATTTACATTCCCACCAGCGGTATATAAGCATTCCCTTTTCTCTGCAACCTCATCAGCATGTTATTTTCTGATTTTTTAATAGTAGCCATTCTGACTGGTGTGAGATGGTATTTCATTGTGGTTTTGATTTACATTTCTCTAATGATTGTGATGTTGAGCATTTTTTCATATGCTTGTTGGCCATAGACATGTTGAGAAGTGTCTGTTCATGTCCTTTGCCCATTTTTTAAAATGAGGTTGTTTTTTGCTTGTTGATTCATTTAAGTTCCACATAGATTCTGAATATGAGACCCCTGTCAGGTGCATAGTTTGCAAATGTTTTCTCCCATCCCTAGGTTGTCTTTCTACTCGGTTGATAGTTTCTTTTACTGTACAGAATCTCTTTAATATAATTAGGTCCCACTTGTCCATTTTTGTTTTTGTTGCAATCGCTTTTGGAGACTTCATCATGGAATCTTTCCCAAAGCCTATGTCCAGAATGGTATGTCCTAGGTTTTCTTCTACCGTTTTTATAGTATTAGGTCCTATATTTATGTCTTTAATGCATCTTGAATTAGTCTTTGTATATGGCAAAATTAGGGGTCCAGTTTAAATCTTCTGCGTATGGCTAGCCAGTTGTCTCAGTACCATTGATTGAATAGGGAGTCCTTTTCCTATTGCTTGTTATTGTCTACTTTGTTGAAGATCAGAGGGTTGTATATGTGCAGCTTTATTTCTGGGTTCTTTAACCTGTTTCACTGGTTTATGTGTCTGTTTTTGTGCAAGTACCATGCTGTCAAGGAGCTTCCTTACCTTCCGTATTCTGCATTCTGTGTCTGTCATTTTAGCCACTTCAGTCTGGTTAAGAATCATTGCTTGGGAGCTCAGGCAGTTGTTGGAGGTAAGAAGACACTCTGGCTTTTAGAGTTTCCAGAGTTTTTGCACTCGTTCTTTCTCATCTGTGTGGGCTCATGTTCCTTTAATCTTTTGAAATTGCTGTCTTTTGGATGGGTCTTTTTGCTTTTATATTCTTTGATGCCCTTGAGGTTTTGGATGTGGCATAAATTAGGTTTAATCGATTGGCTTCGTTTCTGGATACTTTCAGGGGTCCAAGGCTCAGCTCAGCATTCCTGGGCTATGTGATCTAATCCTCAGGGGCTGGGACCTGCGGCTTTGCTCTCTGGCTCCTCAAGGTTAAGCACCTGCTGTGCTGGAGGGGCCGAGGTGTTCCCAGTTCACTGGCAGCAACATCCCCAACAAAGGCTGTCAGCAAAAGTGTTCCAGTGGGGCAGTGGTGGGACCCCACGTACATGTACACCAGCACATGAGATCCCCAGGGAAGGCAGAGGTCCTCATGCACATGGACACTGGTGGGGCAGTGGTGGGTCCTCCTGCATGTGCTTACTGGCAAGGTGGCAGAGTGAGGTTCGAGTAGGTGCATTGTTGGTGGGGGTCCAGCTGCAAAAGCACTCCAATGGTTAGACGGGCTCTGCTGGTAAAAGAGCAGTGGTGGTGGCTGCTGTCAAGCTGAGGCTGCACTGTAAGGGGATGCAAACAGACAGGAATCCTGGGAGAAGGTAGCAGACAGGTGGGTGCTCAGATCAGACATGCCCTGTCCCGTGGTAAGATGGCCCTACTTTGTCCATGTCTGACAGCCAACAAAGGCCAGGCCACTTAGAGGGATATGGCACGCCTTAGTGTATGGGCTCCCATGGCTATGCTTCACTGCAGTCATTCTCAGACCAAACCCTCTAAGTTCCATGCAGACTGGAGTTCTGTCTCTGCCAACTTTATGGGCAGTTCTCCCTGCCATCTCAGATGCCAGTGGGAGTCATGGGTCTTCTGCAGCTAACATCCCAGAGGTCTGTGGCAAGAGTGAGCCACTCCATGCCTATTTCACTCGCCCCTTCCCTGGGAGCTCCTCAGGGCCAGGAAGGAGTCCTGGTGCTCAGCAACCCTATGCAGGGTTTCCAGCCTCCTCATCTTTTAGCCTGGGGTCTGCATCTTCTCTTTGTCCACTCTCAGTCCCTTCGTTCCAAAGATCTTTCAGAGTATGCCAGTCTACTTGGTGGCCTTGTCTCGCTCAGTGGGAGCAGTTTCTCCTGGCTACTTCTGGTTGGCCACCTCGGCTCTCCCCTCTCTATATCCTCCTTAAATCAGATGTTTTTCAGTTGCCTGTAAACTACCTACCTCAAATATTGTGCAAATACTCTCATGTTTTCTGTTGGGAATGAGGTGAGCACTATCATTCTTATTTGAAAGTTGTTACAGAGAAAATGGAGAAGGATTATGTGGTTTGAAGATCGATTGACCAGTATCTATACTGATGACAGAGAAAAAATGTGATTAAATGAAGGCAAAATAACTTTTTTCTTATGATATTGAAAATAGGAGATAGTGAAGTACTGTGTCTGGCTGAAAAGTGTTGCTGAATTTGGTTTCACATACATCTTCTATATAATGGTAATAAGAGATACATATAAAACTGTTCGGAATGATTTAATAAGGATTTAGATCTGGGTAAGCCTAGAGGGAGAAATTTAATCAAGTTGACTTTCTATTGTATATAAATAGAAGCAATATTGTCCAGAAGCAAGTGGATGCTGCTCATGGTTTTCTGTTTTTATGGAAAATTAGTAAAGAGAGAGGAACATAGGAAACAAAAATTTTAATTACCTACTATGTGCCAGTCTTTTGTTTTCAATTCCCTCATTTATCCTTATACAAAGCTCCCTAGGGGAGTTACCATTATCCTCATTTTACACATGAGGATACCAGCTGGGAGCCATAAAGTAACTGGTCCAAAATCACATAGCTAGAAAATGGCACAGCCAAAATTTTAACTGAGATCAGCCTGACTTCAGAACTGTCTTCTATCTACCTGATAGCCTGTCATGATTTTTGTATTTAATCATTCACTTTCTTCTTGTTTTGGAGAAATTATGCAGGATTTGATCACCAATACCTGTGCAATTCCATACAGTATGTTAATTACCATTCTAAAATCATTTTAGTATTGAACAACTCACCAAACTGAATACAATACAATTCACCAAATACTGAAATGCTTTCTCTGGAGGGCCAATGGGCCATTCTGTTCTGAATCCACAGTGTATTGTTAGCTACTGTTCAAGTTTGATTATTGCCAAATATGTCTTTGGGAGCATTCCCTAAGTATGATAGAATCTTTACTAACTTATTAACATCTGAGGAGTTGGGAAATTCTGCAAGCGTTATTAATGCTGAATCAATTGAAAATATAAAATAGGCAATACTGTCTCCTGCTTTGGGAGAGGGTAAGTGGTTACAGCAAACTCACAAAGATAGAGAGAAATAAACTTCAGAAAGATGGTTTCAATCACTGTCGAAAACAGTGTACATCTATGTGAGATGCTATATGAAAATGTGGAGCAATGGCTTTCCTGGTAGGTGTGAAAACGTTAAGGCAAGGCACCAATCAGTAGATCTCCAATTCCTTGGGTGCTCTTCAGGAAAGGTATTTCTTATTGCAGTCTCAAAATCAAAAGAGAGAAACAGAAGAAACACTACAATTATTACCATCATAAAATTCTGTCAAGTATCCATTTAAAAAGATAAAATTTCTTGTTTCTGAGCCAAGGATGATCGAAGTTACATACTTTTTAAACACACGTGTAATTCTTCTACATCTTAGAGAAACTTTGGACAAAAAATTGGGAAATATACACATGAAATATTGATTCTAATCCCTGGTGAGTAATCAGGTTAACCCTATTCGTAGAATAGGGTTGAGATAATTAATAGGTGGATGTGCCAAAATGAGTAAATGAATCCATTATAATACATTATGTCACAATCCTATCTTTGCTACCATCACTTTAAAATAAAAATAACATTTAACAAGTTCTGTGCCATGAAGTTGAAAATAGAATGTTAAAGATTGTCATTATTTCTTCTTTGGGAAGGCTTGTGACTGATAAGATAACTATTGCCTAAACTATTTTAGCATGTGGAATTGGCACAGATAAATTCTCTGCTCTATGTACTAATTACTGTAATTTGATCATTATAATCATTATAATTTCATATTCACTTTATATGAGATACTCTTTTAACACTGCCTGTCACATCATAGTAAATGTGCTTGCAAGATTTTTTTGGGGGGAGACACTATTATATCTTATCAACAATGCCTTTAGTAGCTTAATTATGATATGCCTTCAGGATTTTTATAACACCTGTTATAAAGCCTGTTTCCTGAATTAGAATGTTATATTTCTAAGAGCTGTATCAAGATATTATTTTAAATGAATTGCTAGTTGCATTTCTAATATTTATATGAGAACAATTACTAAAAACAACATAAAATTTCATCAAGGAGATACTTATTAAATTAATAATGGCCTATCCATATGATAATAGAATACTACATATTTACAAAAAGAATGAGGAAAGTCTATATACTGAGTTAGATTTCCATGGTATATTACGGGATCAAAAGAACAAAGTGCAAAACAGTGTACATAAAATATATTTTGATACAAAACAGGGGATACATAAAAATTGACCTCTATATTTTCTTTCTTTTTCATAAAAAATAACTCTGGTAGGATAAATAAGCAAGTAGTAAGAATGGTTTCCTGAGAGTAAGGAGAAGGGTATACGTGGTAACTGAATGAATGGAAGATGGAGTTGAAGAGAATCTTTCACTGTACTCTTCTCCTTAGTCATTGTTGATGGCTCCTGGTGCCATGAGAAGTTTTTGATAGTCATAATCACTGCATCAATCTTTCTTTTATTCCTTTTGGATTTCGAGTCATACATACAAAAGTCTTTACCTTTTGTCATTTTATCACTTGTATAATTTTTATAATTATTGTATTTTTTAGTTTATTGTGGTGCATATTATGAGAAATTGTGATTATCCAGTTGTCCCAACACCAGTTATTTAATAGATTACCACTTACCTATTGATTGGAGACACTATGTTGGTCATATATTAAATTATATGTATTTGAACTATTCCATTACATTGATATGTCTGTGAATGAGCCCCTATTTTTTTCTTTCTTTTTCTTTTTTTGTTATTTCTGTGTGTGTTTGTTTTTGAGATGGGGTCTCACTCTCTTGCCCATGCTACAGTGCAGTGGCACAGGGCACAGCTCACTGCAGCCTCAAACTCCTGAGCTCAAGCGATCCTCCTACAGCCTCACAAAATGCTGAGGTTATAACTGTGAGCCACCGCACCTGGCCTCATGTTTTAATTACTAAGACTTTATGCTTTAAAGTTGATATGTCTATAGGTCTAATCTGCCCTCATTGTTCTTCTCTTTCAGAGGTTTCCTGGCTTTTAAAATGTATTTTTATAATCATCTAGTTTAAACATGTTGGTCTTTTAATTGAGGCTGTCCTAAATTTATAAATTTACCCTTATGATGTTGAGTATTCCTGTCCCCAAACCTGAAATGTCTTTCTACTTATTCAAGTCTTTCTTTGGCATTTCAGTCATGTAGTACAGTTTTCCTTATACGGGACTAGAACATTTCTTATTCATTTCTAGGTATGTTATTTATTCTTTTATTATACTTTATGTTCTGGGGTACATGTGCAGAATGTGCAGGTTTGTTACATAGGTATATGCATGCCATGGTGGTTTGCTGCACCCATCAACCTGTCATCTACATTAGGTATTTCTCCGAATGCTATCCCTCTGCCAGCCCTCAACCCGCTGACAGTCCCTGATGTGTGATGCTCCTCCCCATGTCCATGTGTTCTCATTATTCAACTTCGACTTTTGACCAAGAACATGCAGTATTTTGTTTTCTGTTCATGTGTTAGTTTGCTGAGAAAGATGGTTTCCACTTCATCCATGTTCCTGCAAAGGACATGAACTCATCCTTTTTTTATGGCTGCATAGTATTCCATGGTGTATTTGTGCCACATTTTCTTTATTCAGTCTATCATTGATGGGCATCTGGATTGGTTCCAAGTCTTTGCTATTGTGAATAGAGCCACAATAAACATACATGTGCATGTGTCTTTATAGTAGAATAATTTATAATCCTTTGGGTATATATCTAGTAATGGGATTGCTAGGTCAAATGGTATTTCTAGTTCTAGATCCTTGAGGAATCACCACTCTGTCTTCCACAATGGTTGAATTAATTTACACTCCCAGCAACAGTGTAAAAGTGTTCCTATTTCTCCACATCCTCTCCAGAATCTGTTATTTCCTAACTTTTTAATGATCACTATTCTAACTGGTGTGAGATGATATCTCATTGTGGTTTTGATTTGCATTTCTCAAATAACCAGCGATTATGAGCTTTTTTTCGTATGTTTGTTGGCTGCATAAATGTCTTCTTTTGGGAAGTGTCTGTTCATATCCTTTGCCCACTTTTTGATGGGGTTGTTTGTTTTTTTTCTTGTAAATTTGCTTAAGTTCTTTGTAGATTCTGGATATTAACCCTTTGTCAGATGGATAGATTGCAAAATTTTTCCCCATTCTGTAGGTTGCCTGTTCACTCTTTTGCTGTACAGAAGCTCTTTAATTAGATGCCATTTGTCAATTTTGGCTTTTGTTGCTATTGCTTTTGGTGTTTTAGTCATGAAGTATTTGCCTATGCCTATGTCCTGAATGGTATTGCCTAGGTTTTCTTCTGGGGTTTTTATGGTTTTAAGTGTTACGTTTAAGTCTTTAATCCATCTTGAATTAATTTTTGTATAAGGTGTAAGGAAGTGGTCCAGTTTTAGCTTTCTGCTTATGGCTATCCAGTTTTCCCAACACCATTTATTAAATAGGAAATCCTTTCCCCATTGCTTTTTTTTTTTTTGTCAGATTTGTCAAAGATCAGATGGTTGTAGAAGTGTGAATTTATTTCTGAGGTCTCTGTTCTGTTCCATTGCTCTATATATCTGTTTTGGTACCAGTAACATGCTATTTTGGTTACTGTAGCCTTGTGGTATAGTTGAAGTCAGGTAGCATGATGCCTCTAGCTTTGTTCTTTTTGCTTAGGATTGTCTTGGCTATGCGGGCTCTTTTTTGGTTCCATATGAACTTTAAAGTAGTTTTTTCCAATTCTGTGAAAAAAGTCAATAGTAGTTTGATGGAGATAGCATTGAATCTATAGATTACTTTGGGCAATATGCCCATTTTCATGATATTGATTTTTCCTATCCGTGAGCATGGAATATTTTTCCATGTGTTTGTGTCCTCGGTTATTTCCTTGAGCAGTGGTTTGTAGTTCTCCTTAAAGAGGTCCTTCCCATCCCTTGTAAGTTGGATTCCTAGGTATTTTACTCTCTTTGTAGCAATTGTGAATAGGAGTTCACTCATGATTTGGCTTTCTGTTTGTTGTTGGTGTATAGGAATTCTTGTGATTTCTGCACATTGATTTTGTATCCTGAGACTTTGCTGAAGTTGCTTATCAGCTTAAAGAGATTTTGAGCTGAGACAATGGGGTTTTCTAGATATACAATCATGTCATCTGCAAACAGAGACAATTTGACTTCCTCTTTTCCTAATTGGATACCCTTTATTTCTTTCTCTTGCCTGATTGCTGTGGCTGGAACTTTCAACACTATGTTGAATAGGAGTGGTGAGAGAAGGCATCCTTGTCTTGAGCTGGTTTTCAAAGGGAATGCTTCCAGTTTTTGCCCATTCATTATGATATTGCCGTGGGCATTTCTAGGTGTCTTAAACCACTTGCAGCTTTAAAAAATTGACTTATCAGTTATACATGCAAACTGGTTGTTGTTTATGTATATGAAAGCAATCATTTTTTGATTGTTTATTTCGTACTTCCCTACCTTTCTAGATTTTCTTATTGTTTGTAATAGTTTTCTCATTGGGTCTCTTGGATTTTCAGGTATGTTATCATATTACCTGAAAATTGTGGTAATCCATTCCCGCCTTTTCACTTTTCAGGTCTCTAGTTTCTTTTTCTTATCTAATTGCAATGGTTAGTTTAATAAGCTCCTTTAGAAGATTCTGCAAAGACTAGCCAATGGAATGAAGGTTACAGCAACAGGGTCTAGATAAAATAACCCATTTATATGTGCACCATTTTAAATAACTCTTTTGGCTCTATCAGCATGACCTGCTAGTCAGAGATTTTTCTGAGGCAGTGTTTCTAAGAAATGAAAATGTATTTCACCAGGTTTTGGAATCATCTTTGGTATATCAAACTGGAGCTTTCCTTGGAGGCCAGGTTACAAATGGCCATGATTCAACTGAAGTAATTTAAAGGAAGATACACAGACAAACTAGAGATTTTAGCAATTAACCAGTTAATTCCTCTTTTCCACAGACTACATTTACTGAATGTGGTTTTTGCAAAATCCCCATCTTCCACCTTTCACAATTTTCAAATTCAGTTATTATAGTTGAACATATCCACGTTGAGTTTAAGAATGACTTCATCAATGGCAGCAAGATTGCCTGGTATATTGTGTGATGATATCTGTATTTGTATCTATATTTAGCCAATTTGGGGCTGAGTTTGGTTCTAAAATGAAACAAAAAATATTTGATAACTAAATAAAATGAATGTCAATCAAGCTCACAGTTGCTAAGTTTAGGGATTCTTTATGCAAGAAGAAAAAGATTAGCGAATTCTTGTGAAAATCCACGGCTGGAATTACCAATTGCAAGACTGGTTTTCCACAGTTAAAATTTACAAATGTTCCTACTGGCACAATCTTCAGAATATTTGATCAATGAGGAAGTTTATTATGGAAAGAAAGGCATAGTAATGATAATAAAGGAAATGTCCCAGCACTACCAAAGTTAAACAGAGTACAGTGTCCTCTCAGGCCCTAGGGCCATGAAGGCCCTACTCTGGTTTGAGGAGCACTTAACTTGTAAAAGGGTTGATTTTCCTTAAACACCTTGAAACTCACATCTGGACAAAAATGAAGATCAGTAAACCTGCCAGGAAACAAGCAAGCAGGTTCAAAATAAAACTTCCCAGTTGTGAGTTCTTGCAATCTAGTTCAGTCAACTGTCTTTGTAGCTTGAGAAAAGAGAAGTTGCCAGCTTGGCAACCTGATGAAAGTTGCTCCTAATTTAAGCTCCCATATTTAGCCAAACTCTCACAACTTGCAAATCTACAGGAAACCAGCAGGACAGAACATCCATTCAATCATGAAAATCCACCATTGTAGCTTACTAGGATGAGTGTTAGTTACTCATGATGTCTACCAACTTGGTAACAGCAAGGTCATCTCTCAATTTCAGAGCATGTACATTTTGACCTACTGTTCAAATAGACTTCCAATGATGAATGGAGGGTGATTTCTACCAGGTGAAAATCTTATTTGTCTATCCTAGACTGCTGGTAAAAAAAAAAAAAATCCTGAATGAGAGCCAAAAGATACATGAACTGAATTATATATACTGAGAAGAATTTGTAAATCAAGTGACTGCTGATTTGTAAGGAGGTTCTCTTGAGGTGTGTGTGTGTGTGTGTGTGTGTGTGTATACACATGTGTATGTATTTTTGTTTATTTTGTCTGTATCAATGCTGTGCAGTGCCAGGTTTTATACATTATCAAATATATAGTCATTACCTATTGAAAAGACTAAATATTGGCTTGGAGGCATTGGCTAAACTTTACCATAGTTCTTTTTATAATTAGATTTTTTTAAACCTAGCCCCACATGCTGCTACTTTTAGCATGATGCAGGAGGGTCTAGTTAAGTTATGCTATATGCTTTTCAATTAAACCATAACTTTCACATGTGCATTTTGTTGTGCTTACCAACATTAAATAAATGGATAACACCTGAATAAATTTAGTGTCCCAGAGTTCACTTATTCTGGAAACTAACTTACCAGTGAGAGGTTTTTCATGTTAGTTCAGTCAAGAGTTTTACTGAGTTGAAGTAAAGCAGTAGTTCCTTAAGCATAACCTCTAAAAACAGGTAATAGTAAAATACATACTAGTATTTATGACTGACCCATTTCTCAACCCATTTAAATCTGGAAAGATATGTAATGTGAGTCTAGTTTATACACTTAGGCTATTCATATATACAGTAAAGCTCTTTCATAAAGCTTCTTATCAGGGGAAATGTCTTAGAAAGGAAATGGAAAATTATGGCCATAGAGTTAGTACATAAGATTTCCAGTCTTGCATTTTACATTTATATCTCTTTGTGCTAAAAGATATAGCTACTGACAATAACATTGCACATGTGCATAAAGTGATCCAAGAGACATGTATTGCTAGCACTTCTTGGAACCTAAGAACCCTGTGGCCTCACTTTACTGTTCATGACATTTTTCTTAGTAAAGCTGATTGGCAATGACAATCAACTGAAGTTTCTCATTTTTGAAAGTTTTAACACCTGATTTTGGTTAGGTATCTGTTGTGGGGACTTATGCACAGAGGTGCTTAGTGAATATTGGTTAATAATGATCACTACCTGCTGAATAAAATTAAATATTGTGCACAATGTAGACACTGATAAATTTGATGAAGAAACTAAATATGTCTGAAAGAGCTAGATCTTGCAAACTGTAGTCTGTGAATGACTTGTCATTTGGGGTGTCCATTAAAAATTAAAATTCCTAGCCTATACCTAAGACTCTGTGATTTATAACTATGAGCCTGGGAACCTTAATTTTAACAACTCCTTTGGCAAATACTTCTGCATTGAAATGTTCGATAACTATTAATCTTTAGCTTATCACAAGGTTATCACAAGAAGAGTGGTTAACTATGTGTGGTTTGAGAATAAAACATGAAGATGAAAAGGTGGAAGTAATGGGGAAATTTAATATGAAGAAACTTTCTTAAATCAATAAAATTTACCCCACAAACAAAAAATAAGAAAAGAGTAAAAGAATAAACAACAACAACAGAAAAAAAGAAAAAAGTTATCAAACAAAGGAATAGGATGACTGTGAATTAGTGAGTTTCCTATCTTGGAAGTATTCAAGCATATCTGGGATGTTTATTAGACAGTGCTTCTTAAACTTTACCATGAGTATGGATCATGTGAGGATCATGTTAAAATGCAGATTCTGGCTCAGGAGGTCTGAGGTGGGACCTGAGATTCTGCATTTCCAACAAAGCTCTCGGGTTTGGCTGAATCTCAAAGGAAATGTAATCTGCAATAGCTCCATTATGCAAATAGTAGTAACATTGAAGGAACTTGGGAATGAATTTCTAGAGACCTAGTTTTGAGTCCTGCCTCTACTTAACCATGTAAATTAACAGTCTTCTCCCAAGCCTGACAGTCCCACAATGGAGGAGAACATGTGCTCCTTTTTACAGCTGACCTCTTTGACTCTGAACTGACAGCTTCAATTTTTTATTCTGATAATACATGTATACATATGCCCTAGTGGTGACATCTTAAAATTTGATGCTTCCAATTTCTTTGGTTTGGGTAAAACAGACTCAAGCACATAAGAATTATATGTAAAGTATGAGTAAATAGACTCTGAGTAAGTGTACAAAGATTCCTAATAGGTCACGAGGATAAATGTAATAACACCATTTTTGCTCTTCAAGGGTCTTTAAATGTACTTTCAAGGTTGTTTTGTTTGTTGTTGTTGCAGGGGGAGGGTGGAGCCTGTTGGAATTGCTAGAAATCTGATTTTTGATAAGTGGGGTATTTCTTTACCTGTCATCCTGATGATGATAATAATAGTAACTGTTTTCTATTGGGCTTTGTTCTCCTTCTTTTTTTCTTTTCTGTCTTCTAAAATTCATTAACCTGAATTACTAATAGAGTGGGGAGGTACTAGGATGAGGATAGGCAAAATGGAGTTGATACCAAAAAAAGCTAGATGTCAAAGTAAAATATTTAGATATAATTCCATGTTTTAATTGAAGGTGTTGGAACTCTGAGGCTAAGAGGTACTATTACTTTAGAGGGCTAATTAAAAGTAAGACTTAGAAATAGGTCTCTAGAAATTCCTTCCACATTCCTTTAATGTTAGTACTATTTGTATAATGGCATCATTGCAGGTTACTTTTTTTTGGAATGGCAGTGCAATAAGAACTTGTAGTTTATTCTTATTACTTTACATCTTTAGGTCACACCCATAGTCTAATTTTTAGGTGTCAAAAGAAACTAAGACAAAATTATATGTCTTATAGAGCATAGAAAACATGAATATAGGCCGGGTGGTGGCTCACACCTGTAATCCCAGCACTTTGGGGGGCTAAGGCAGGTGGATCACCTGAGATCAGGAGTTCAAGACTAGCCTGGCTAACATGGTAAAACACCGTCTCTACTAAAAGTACAAAAATTAGCCAGGCGTGGTGGCGGGCATCTGTAATTCCAGCTACTTGGGAGGCTGAGGCAGGAGAATTGCTTGAACCTGGGAGGCAGAGGTTGCAGTGAGCAGAGATCATGTCACTGTACTCCAGCCTGGGAAACAAGTGAAATTCCATCTCAAAGACAAACAAAATAATAAAAAAGAAAACATGAATATTTCATATGTTACAAAATATTTTCTATTCACTTCTTTGAGCTTTTAAATATCAAATGATATTTGATCAAACTTTTCATTTGCGGATAAGCTGTTGTAAA
Source organism: Homo sapiens (assembly GCF_000001405.40). NCBI lineage: Eukaryota > Metazoa > Chordata > Mammalia > Primates > Hominidae > Homo > Homo sapiens. The sequence continues at coordinate 13,546,542 of NC_000009.12, forward strand.
CACATTTTACTAGCATTGCTATATTTTAGTAAATTTAAAACTCATTTTCTGACAATGATCCTGACTTCTCAAGATTGGATTAAATTACATTGATCACTGTGCATAAGACAGGATATAAAAAAAAGCCAGAACACACATAGTGCTTGCTAGAAGGGTTTTTATTAAAAACAACAACAAACACATAAACACAAAAACAGCTTAAAGAGTAAGCACTTTTGTTTGAGGTGTCTGGAAAGATACATACATATTCAATTTTTATTACAAAATGTTGGATAATGAGACATCACTACATTGTGTCTCCTTGAAGTTCTTTGGTCATTATTAATCAAGATATTTTTTGGCACTTCTCTTGTATCCGTATATTTTCTCTTTATATCCAGTGTGTGTTGGGCAGTGTGGGAACCTACAATGTAAAGCATAGGTCTAGACCGTTGTTAATTTAGGAATAGACAAGTCAGATTTAGAAGGACTGGTTTAAGAGCATGGGCTTTGGAGGATGTCAGATAAGGGTCACAAATCCATGCTTACTAAATATGTGATCTTAAGGAATTTGTTTAATATCTCTGTTACTCAGAGTCCTCATCTATAAAATGGGAATCAAAATACCGACTTCCAGAAATGTTATAAGAAATAAATAAAATATGAATGCCAAGCACTTAAATTTAGAGACCGAAACATAGATGCTACATAAATATTTGCTGCTGAATGAATAAACTGGGTAATCTTGGGCAAGTTATTCATGAACTTCTGTTGCTTCATCTGTAAAATGGGAAAAAATATTGCTCAATCTCAGAGTTGTTAAAAATAAATGAAACCATGTACGTATTTCATATATGTACATAGGGCAAAATGTACCTCTGGAATCTAGTAAAAACCTAATAAACTGTACTCTTTGGCAATATTATTTTTTAATATTTAGAAAACAAATGCCAAGGTTCATGGTACAATATGAGTTCAGAGAAAGGGCAGACCATTGTGGGTGGGAGTCAAAAAGGAAGGCTTCCTCTAGGAGGTGCAACTCTGAATTACAGTTATACAACTCTGCAGGGGCCACTTTACCTACCCTCATAACCCATTGTTACCAGATGCCTTGTAGCAAATGGAAACCAAGGTGCCAAGAAATAGTTTCTCGCAAAATCCCAAGGAGTTACACGTTCATGGGAAAGGGCTCATGTGAGTTCCACCAATGGCCTTTGCATTCCCTGGTGAAGGGCAGTGAAGCATAAAAGATTACTTTGTTTTTGTGAACACTACTCCTGCAAAGGCATTATTTTATTTCCTCAGCATTCATCTGCTTCAATTATATAGTTCACATTTGGTTTGTTTTTGGTGGTGGTGGTTTTATCTTGGATTTCTTCTTTTTTCAAATTGGAAATAGCTTTATATTTTCTTCTGATGATATGTGACACATGCTCATGATTATTAATCAATAGGGAAAATTGAAGGAGAAGGTAAAGATATTGGAAATTTTCCCTACAAATCAGAATTTCTAAAAGAGAAGTAGGAGAGGCCCTAACTTCATGCAGAAATCAATGATAATTAACTTTGATCCCTATAGCAGCCAATAGAATCTTAGCTACAACTCTGGTCATGTCATTCTCATGTTTAAAAAAAGTTTGTTTCTTTTTCCCCCACCAGGACAGTCTTAGTCTTGAGCACAGCATATGAAGCCCTTTTGTGATCTGATTCTTGCCCAACTTGTCACTTTCCACCATTCTCCCTCTACCATTAATTCTATGTTCTGGCCACAGAGAACTACTTTAAATTCTCCAAGTGTTCCCTTCTTACCTTTAAAGCGTTTTTCACTTTTGAATTTTACACAGTGGAGAACTAAGCTAACAAGAGCCCCTCTTACTATAAACACATAGAAATGCTAGATAAAATACAGCTAAAAACAATTTTAATAAATGCTGAGCTTAAAAAAAAAAATACCTGGTACCAGAACTTAAGAAGAATTTGAAGTCAGAATTGCAAACTTCCTAAAGACTTGGTGGCTTAAGAGGATAGTGGACATAGATATACGTCCTAAAAATTATGAAGAGTAATTATTCAAAAAAGAGCAGGAGGTGTGGTGTTGACTGCTAGTTAAGTCCAGGAGCTGGAATTTGATCCCCCTTTTCATAAAACAAGGGCACTGAAGGGACTATCCTTTCAGTAAAAGAATTCAAAAGAATCCACCCAGCAACCAAAACAGGCCACAAGAAATTTTCTATGGTTTGAGAAAAAAGGGTTTCCATAGAAAACTGAAATCCCAGGCCTCAGGCATGGGTGGGTATTGATTCTGAATTTGCATTATCCTTATTGTGGGGGAAACTCCAAGACTTAAATTTGTTCCTGACTGGAGAAATTAACCACTCATTAAGGACACTCCTATAACTCTAGAGGAATGAAATTACAGTAAAATAAAACAAAAATAATAACAAGAAATTCTTAATGAAGAGGCACTGACGAAGATTCCAAACCGTCTAAGATAATGATTCACTATAGGAGGAGTTAGCACACCAAAACACAAGATAATTTAAATTCCAAGAACCTGAGATTAAACAAACTAAAAGATGCTATAAAAGTAAACAAGAAGAATTAGAAACCATCAGGAAGGAAGAACATAAATTGTCTAAAAAAAACAAAAAACAAAAAAACATTTTTTTCCCAGGAAAAAACCCAAAAACTTTTGTAGAAATAAAATATATAGTAATTGAAATTGGAAAAAAAGACCAATAAACAAAAACCCACACTCAAAGGAAGGAGTGACACATCAGTTTAGACCCATCCAAAGAGAGAAATTGACTCCTGGAAGAGCTGAGGAGTCACCCAGATTAACTTGAAGGTAGAAGGATTTAAAATTATGAAAGAAATGTTAAATGGTTAAAAGACAGCAATAGAATGATTAGCTTTAATATATTTAAAATGATTTAAAGAGGGAATAGAAAGAATGGAAAGAATAACATTCAAGCTGCTAAACATGAAGCTTTATGCAACAGATGAAAGACATGAATCCTTAGGTTCAAGGAGGACAAAATTCCCACATATTTTCAGTTCCAGCCATGAAGAAGTACTACCCTAACTTTTCTACCAAAAATATATAAAACAAAGGTCTGAAGGTATTGGTGAGCAACAAACAGAGGCGTGACATAAGAGTCTACGATCCTTAAGAGAATGGACACATATCTCCAATTCCCCTCACAATCTTTGAAGGGCATTTATCAAACAAAGGCACAGGGAAAGAGAGTTTGAATCAAAATTGGCTGTATTCCTGGACTGAAAAGACAGAGGTCAGAATCTGAGGCAGGCAAAATTCTAGAGAGTAGGGAACCACAGAAACAAAGTTTAAACATTGACATTCAAATTCCCTTCAAGGAATTGGTCAACTTTTTAGCTGAACATGTACATGTTAAAAATCCAAGGAAAACATGGGAAGTTGCAAAGTTGAACAAAGATTTCAGCATCTATGTGTGTTAACAAGACAGGGATTAAAACTCAAATCCTGCCATGACGGTGGGGTTTTGGGAAATAGCCTTGGCTCTTCTTCGATGAGACCCAATGCAAGTGCAACAGCCTTAAAAGTAAGGCCGTACTTTAGGATTAAGAGTTATATCCTAAGAATAAGATAAAAATGAAAAGAGGCCAATTCAAACAAATTCTTGATAAAATTAATATATTCAATAAGTACCCTATTTTCCTGTCATAAAAAAAGTTCTTTTTGGTGGAAGATGTCCTCAGAAAAATCCTCTACAATTCTTCATTCACAATATTCAGCAACTAAACAAAAATGTAAACATATGCTAAGAACAGGATTAAGTGAATGAAGATGAAGAGAAAAAAATAGATTTAAAGGCAGAGCCAGAGGTGATATATTATTGACATATCACCAGATTTTAAAATAATTGCAATTAGTATTTTTTAGAAAATAGCAAAGCTGAAAAATACGACACAGAAAATTCTCGATATTTTTGTCTGTTTTGCTCAAATTGTTATTTGGAATATTTAGGAATGTAAAAGGACAGTCTAGAATTGAAAAATACAGTCTCCTACATTTAGAACTCATTGTGAAATGGGAAAGCTCCCTTATCCCCCTTGCAGGGTGTGACAGGGGGAGTGGCTCGCTTCTTCAGTGCCCTGCTACTCAAACCTCTAGGGGTCATACAGATGGGCAGGTGATGGGATTCTGACCCCACGGCAGCATCTAGAGGTGAATGTTTACAGTTCCTGAAGCCCCAGTGGGTGTGTGCTCCTTTAGGTTTGCCATCTGTAGGCAGCTTGTGTTAACTAAATCATTTAGACTCCTGCCTTATTGCAAGGACAGAGGGCTTTCTGTATCCCAGGGTTCTTGCCTTGGTCTACTGGAAGAATCAGATCACAGGTGGGCTCTTAGAATGAGTGCAAGGTTTTATTGAGCGGAAGTAGATTTTAGCAGATGGGGCAGCCAGAAGGGAGATGGTTTTCCCCTGGAGTCGGGCTACTTGGCAGCCTGGGCTCTCCTCTGACTGCTCCGGCTAAACTGCGCCTCATTCCTCTATCAGTGGCCTGCTAGCATGGTGGTGTCTGTCCTGTGCTCTTCTGCTGGTGTGCTCCCCTCGACCTCCTCTCGACGTCCAGCAGCTTGTGTGTCTGCCTGCTAGGGTCTTGTGTTAATAGGCACAGGATGGGGGTGTGGCAGGCCATGGTGGTTTTGGGAAATGCAACATTTGGGAAAGAAAACAAAAATACCTGTCCTCACCTAGGTCCATGAGCACAGGCCCAGGGGTGGAGCCCTAGCCAGGGACCATGCCCTTCTCTACCCGGCACTTCCCTTCTTCCCTATTCAAAGGGACCACACCCTTCCCTTTCCAGCACTTCCCGTCTGTGTCAATTAGATGGCTTTGACAGTTTATTGGGCACAGCAGAAAATAAGATTAAAACAGGAAGGTAGTTCAGTTAAAAAACAGTCAAGCTAAAGAACACACACGTGAATGAAAAAGAACAGGGAATAAGAAACATGGTGAGCAGTAAAAGACATTTGAAAAAGAAATATTAAACAATGAGAAAGAGACAGTGGAGCAAAAACAATGTATCAAGAAGTAATGACTAAAAGTTTTCCATACAGATAAAAGGCATCAGCCAAGATTCAAAAATCTTTGGGAACCCCAGACAGAGAATACCACACTTGGGCACATCATAGTCAAGTTGCTCAACTCGGTCAAAGAGAAATATCTTAAAGGCAGCCAGAGAAAAAGGATATTTTATCCTCAAAGGAACAACAGTAAGACTGAGTTGACTTTCAATAGAAAATAGGAAAAGCAGAAATTTAATAAAAATTAATGTGCTAGTATCAATGAGAAATCTTCTTACCTGGAATTCTATATGCAGCAAAATATCTTTCAAAAATAAAAGATTAAAATAAAGATGCCTTGAGACAAAAATTGAGAGATTTGGTTGCCAGCAGACCTGTATCCCCCAAAATACTAAAGTATATTCTTAAGGGTGAAGAAAAATAATCCCAAATAACATAGAACTTCAGGGAGGAAAGAAAAACAATAGGCAGAAAAACATGTGGGTAAATATAAATGAATTTTGGCTACTTAAAACAACAACCAAAATATTCTATAAGGATTATCACATATATAGGAGCAAAATGTATGTCGCCAATACCACAAAGGATGGGAGAGGGGAAATGGAAATGTTAGTTGTAAATTCCTTGGATTATTTGAGAAGAATATTTAAGATAGAGTATAGCATGTCAGAGATATGTACCATAAATTGTAGGATAACAACTGAAAATATATAAGATATATGTACAAATACAGGAGGAGAATTAAGTTAAAAATATTTGATTAATCCAAATCAATGTAAGAAGGAATAAAAGATAGAGACATAGACCAAATGAAAAATAAATAAAAGGTAGATTTAAGCTAAACTAGATCAGTAAGTACATTAAGTTAAAGTAGCTAAACACACCCCTTAAAAGATAAAGATTGTAAGAATGTAGTAAAGAAGAAAAAACAAGTCCTGCTTCAAAGAAGTGCTCTATAAATATAAGGAAAATGATACATCATATAAACATTTACAGTGAAGTTTACTCTATATAATCTTTTATATTAAAATTAGATAAAGTTGGTTCTTTTTACTTTATTGTCATGTAAAATAGATACAGTAAAATTTATCCTTTTACAAAACTGTCCTATGTTCTGTGAGTTTTGACAAATAGCTACAGACCTCTAACCACCGTCACAATCGAGATACAGAACAAGTCCATCACTCTTCCCCTCTGCCAAATGTGTCATGGTGCAGTCTCTATTTATTCAGCTTGTTTTCACTAGCCATGGCAATCACTGATCTGTTTTATGTCCATATAATTTTGGCTTTTTCACAATGTCATACAAATGGAATCATACAGGATGGAGTCTTTGAGTCTGACTTCTTTCACTTGCATAAAGCACTTGAGATTCACCTATGCCGTTTTGTGTATTCGTTCTTCATTTCTTTCTTTCTTGGCAGTATTCTGTTGCATAGATATACCAGAATTTGTTTAACCAGTACCTAGTTCAAACATTTGTATTGTTTCCAGTTTTGAATGATAACAAATAAAGCCACTTAAGCTTTCACGTACAGTTTTTGTGTGAACACAAGTTCTCATTTCACTTGAATAAATACCTGGGAGAGGGATTTCTGGTTTGTATGATAACTATATTTTTAGCTTGATAAGAAACTGTCAAATTGTTTCTCAAAGTGTCTATATTATTTTGCATTCCCACAGCAATGTGTGAACGATCCAGTTGCTCTACGTCCTTGCCAGCAGTTAGTATGGTAAGTATTTTCAAAATGTTATCTATTCAAATAGATGGTTAGTGGTAGCTCATTGTGGCTTTAATTTGCATTTTCCTAATGGCTAACTTTCCTAATCTTTTCATGTACTTATTTGCCATACGTATCTTTTTTGGTTAAATGTCTGTTCATATGTTTTGCCTGCCAATTTCTTTTCTTGTTAGTGAGTTTTGAGAGTTCCTTATATATTCTACATACAAGTCTTTTATTAGATATATGATCTGCAAATGTTTTCGCCCACTTTGTGGCTTCTCTATTCTATTCTCTTACAAGTATTTTTCAAACAGCAGAAATTCTTAATTAAATTTATTTACTTTTTCTTTTATAACTGTGCTTGGTTGTCACGTCTAAGAGATTGTTGCGAGCCCCCAATAAGCAAAGATTATTTTCCCAATTTTTGCTAGATGCTTTATGGTTTTTGATTAGTGAAGATATGATTGGAGGAGAAAATTCAGGGGCTTTGAAAATACTATCACGGTTCTATGTTTTTTAACCTGTGTGGTATTTACATGGGTGCTTGCTTTATTTTTTTTTAAAATGCTATATATCTGTACATCCCTGGGTATGTTTACAATAAAAAATTAGAAGAAGAGTATGACAAAAATTTGACATCCATTCATGTCGTGGGAAAAATAAGCTGTAAATATCATACTTAATGGAGAAAGATTTGCAGCATTCTCTTTGAAGTACACTAGACAAGTTTGCTCACCATAACCACTTCTATTCAGCATTGTTTCAGAGGGCCTGGCCTCTGAAATAAAATAAAAATCAGAACAAATAAATATTCAAAATGATTATAAAGATTATTTCTATATAATATCTGAGACAATCTACTAACAAGCTATTAGAATTAGTTTTAAAAATTTCACATAGTTTCTGGAAATAAGATTAACATAAAAGATAAATAATGTGTAATACGCTATGACTCATTTTAACAAATCATTTTAAATGTAGTTAAAATATTCCATTCAAAAGAGCAATGAATATAATAAAACACATACAAGTCTTTCTGCATGGAAAAGTTTAAATTATGTGTAAGGACCTAAGGAAGGCTAATATAAATGGATACACTGTTTTATGAATGGAAAGACATGCATGTTAAAGATAAATTCACAGTCCCAATTCTGAGTATGTTTTTATGGAGCTTGACAAGGTGATGTTAAAATTCATTTGAAAGACAAAGGCTAAAGAACTCAAGACAGGGTCAAAGAAAATAAAAAAGAGAAAAATTTCTCCAAGAGACTTGGTATAAATTGTTTTCTATCTGGTGGCACCTACTTTAAGATTTAATCAATGTCTTCTATTCTATGAAGCCTTCTCAGCCTATGACAATTCCCCTCCCATGTAATTTCATTGCATTCTCTGCTTATCTCTTTCATAGTATTTATCATAGTGTTTATCATAACTGTGCTGAGATTTGTATTTACTCCTTTATCTCCTGACTGAGCTATTAAGTGATTGTGCAGTTCATCTTTGTATACCCAGAGTGCCACATGGGATGTAGCTCACAATAAAGTTAATAAATGTCAGCTGCTTGCTCTCTGGCTTTACCATTAGTATTTCTTGGTAAGATGAGCTTATTGTTTCCATTAAGTTCCTCACCTAGGCTTTGGCAAAGGACATTAAAGTTTGGTCATTTTTCATACTTAACTACCTGGGGCTCAATTTTAAAGTGATGTCTGCAAGTAGCTCTTTGTTACTATCCATGTTTTCTCTAATGTTGAATAGAGTCGTGAGTAAGAATGCATTATGGAGTTTCTTATCTGAAAAAAGCTTAGATTATATCCATTTCACCCCTCCTTTCAGATTACAAACAGGGACTCAGGCTGCTCAGATAATTTCATTTAAAAATAACTTCAGTTATGTTTTATCTGTTGCATACTATTTCTACTTCCTGACTTGAAATTAAATTGAAATCTCAAATTGATCATTTATAAATCTGACAATGAAAAGAGCCCGGAAACTGACAATATAGGAAAATATGTAGAAGCTAAAGGGATAATAAAGTACAATACGTGATGTTTAAATATGCATAGCATGTTATTTTTACCTATAATATTCTCTTCATCCTGCCTCACAATTAAGCTTAACTCATTAAAAGTTATTGGGAAATGGAGAATCATACTTAAGGGACTATTCAAGAGAATTTCAGCTTATACTCTCAAAGCCTAGATAAAAGTATTCTATATTTGTACAAGCTACCCTCAGGCAGTTGTTTATGTTCAGCAAAGAGTTATGTAACCTTTTGATTTCAGTTACCTCTTTCATTAAAGAAACAATTCTGAATACCATTATTTATTTCCTTTTGGAATCTCACCAGGTGAAACGATCATTCTAATTCTATGTATGTTGGCTACCAGAAAACTTTGGCATTGGTTTTGCAGTTTATACATCCTGTTTGTGTTCTCTCACATTGTGAGCAGTCTTCCTATTTGCTTATACAATAGCTCTCTCCACATCTACACTCCCCCTTGTTTTTCTTGTGTAATTTCTTATGTCATTAGAGCTTACCTATTGAAAATTTTTAATTAACGCCACAATGCAGCCAATGCGTTTAGTTTTTTGGCGATGTGCTTTGGAGGAATCCTTTTTACAGTAACATAAATAATCAAGTATTAATTTGAATCCCCCCAAAACTATTTTCATACATGAGAAATCAATTTCAACGAAAAGAGAAAGTTAAGAAGTTTTCACAAAAACAACCTCAATACAACTAAAAGGACTTGCTATTGGAAATTAAGGTACAAATAATCGAACTGTACAATCACAGGAGTTTATAGAGCAAAAAGACAATGCTGAGTGCTATCATACTTGATTGACATAAGTGCATTGATGTGATGTGAGTAGTAGTTGCAATTAGGAGAACTATTGAATGATACAATGCGAACTCATCTTCTCCCCCGACAAACAGGAGACAGGAACACTTGCCACTTCGGTGGAAGTCAAGGGCAGATTGTCATTGCAGAAGTGCTCAATCATTTCCTTCTGTGGGAGGACTCATGCTTCCACTTCTTACTGCTTTATAGAAGAATGTGAAAGATTGGAGATTTTTATTAGCTTTTAAGAAAGAATCCTCAGTACATTGAAAAGATGATTTAATAATATCTGCCATCAAAATTGTAATAATTAGCTGATGATGATATGACATTAAAAATACAAGAACTTGAAAACATAGGCACAGCTCCATATATAGAATGCTATGGTGCCATTATTTTTCAGTTTTGATAAAAGTCTGCAGAGGGTATAGGATGAAAATGAATGCATAAATAATTAATTTTAATCTATTTTCCTGCCTCTCCTCAATAGGCAACAATTCTTGTAACTTACCAACATAACATCAAACACATAAAACAGCATTTTTTAAAATCCAAATTTTATTGTTTCAAATTGAATATATGCTTGAATTTTTCCATTTCTATGTTCATTTTTGGTATTGTTCATGTAAAGTCAGGCGGTAAAGTGGAAAAGAACTGTTAGAAACATGATCTTGCCAAAGAATAAACTTCTGCAAAAGGATTTTAAAGCAAAACCAAAAAAGGAATGTGATTTAGTACTGATACATTTACAGCAGGATGTGAATGCTATGGGTTGGAAGATTACAGTGGGTAGAATATTTCTCTTTTCTCTCCCGTTCATAGAATTTCAACAGTGGATTAGTATTTTTGGATAATGTTCAAAATGTACAAAATTAAAAGACTGATGCTACAAGTCCTATCATCCACAGTTTTATTTAATAAGCCTTTCCTAAATCAGTGATTTTGAAATGTACTTTTGCTGACCTATTACTGTTTTTCCTCATCCATTCAATTTACAGCAAATGTATGAATAACGTACTTTTATTATTAATAGTAAATTTGACGTTTCTTTCAGGAGTTAATCTTATTCATGTTTTAGACTTCTTAAGGGTTTATGCTTATGGGTTTTAAATCATACTCCAAATCCCATGAAATACACATAATTTCAGATCTATTTCATGTTGTGAATAAAGGGACATATTCTTTCCTACCAGCTTGTCTCCAAAGGCATGGCATTCTTCTGCTTTACTTAGTGTATTGATCCACAGCCAGCAGGAAGAGAACATAGCTTAGCCCTAGGCAGCTGAAGGTTGTGCTCTCTTGTTTATTGGTTTGTTTTTCACCCTATTCCTCCAACTTCCTTCAAGGCCCCTTAGAACTTTTTATAATTTTCTTACATATTAAATAGCATATGCCAGTCTGAGGAAGTCACTGTGCAATTGTTTTTAAAACTTACTCTGTCCTGTTCAGATTGGCTTTTAGAAGCGCTTTTGACTTTTTTTTTTTTTTTTTTTTTAACGTTGACCGAGTTCAAATTGTAAAAAGGAGAGTCTGGTTTAGATTTTTGAACAATCATTTCAGTATAAATGGGGCCCTGATGATGGGGTTCTGCATGAGCCAGACTTGTGGCTTCTTGTAGTTTTCCTTATTTTTCTGTTTTAGCCACAGAAGTAATACATAAGCTTAAAGAGAAGGTCTCTCAAAGGGTGTGGTACAAGGACTTTGAGTCCTTTGGTTGAGGAGGACACACGAACAGATAAGTTTCTATTTAGAGTAATTAGAATAAGTAGCTAATTAAAGGTTTCTTGGCACTTAAGTATAGAAACAGGCTGAAGTGGCTCTGCTGTCCTCAAGCTTGAAGTACTGCCAAAGTGAACAGTTTGGACAATTTTTGATGCTAGGAAAGTGGTCACATTGGGTTCTATTTAGGTTTGGGAAGTAAAACTACCTTGCTTAACAGATTAAGTAAGAATGAATTTTAAGACGTTATTTATCCTGAGTGAATGTATTGTATATCCAGGTATTTAAATTTCTTCCAATCTTGCTCTAAATTATATTTTTCTTTAGTAATATTAAAAAGTAATAATAGCAATTCTGATTTATAAATATTTATACCCTCAATGAATAAGACCAATTTCTTTAGAAAAGTTTTTTTTAAGACAGAGTCTCACTCTGTCACCCAGGCTGGAGTGAAATGGCACTATCTTGGCTCACTGCAACCTCTGCTTCCCAGGTTCAAGCGATTCTCCTCCCTCAGCCTCCTTAGTAGCTGGGATTACAGGTGCCTGCCACCACGCTTGATTAATTTTTGTATTTTTAGTAGAGACAAGGTTTTGCCATGTTGGCCAGGCTGGTCTCAAATTCCTGACCTCAAGTGATCCACCCGCCTCAGCCTCTGAAAGTGCTGGGATTACAGGTGTGAGCCACTGTGCCTGGCCAAGATAAATTTCTTTAGCATTAGATTCAAGACCCTTCACATCTGATTTGCCTTTAGGGACACCAGATAGACTGTGCTAGAAAATAGTCATTGATCTATTTAGGGTGGCTGGTGATCTACATCAGGTACTATGAAGTTGGAAGAGTCATAGAACTGCTACAAACAAAAGTCTGATGGGGAATTAGTGATTTGATTCTGGTCTTAAATACAAATAAATACTATAGACAAAGAGACAGAGCCAAATAATAAGTGGATGGTCCTTCCTCTCTGTTTTATATCTCTTGTATGATTATTTGAGATTCTTTGTGCTCATTTCTACAGACCCTGTGGCTGCCTGATGTTGTGCCCATTGACTGTCCTGTCCCTTATTCTGGTGCCAGTTCATGTCTTGTCCAGACCTAATTCTTCAGGGGTGAGCTGGACAGTGAACAAAGAACAAGAGAGATAGGAAGAGCTTCTTCCCTTCTCTGTCTACCACTGCATTTGACTTAACTAATATTTCCAGCTAACAGGGAAAGTCAGTTTTTCCACGAAAAATGACAAGTGTCCTGAATGAATAGGATCTTTCTAGGAGAAACCGAGATCTAGAAGAGAAATATCTCTGAGAGATAATGCATGGGGAGGAGACATAACTTCTGCAAGCTGGGGAAATAGCTTCCCTTGCTCCTGGATAAAAGGAGGAGTGGTCAGTCTTTTCAAGTCCAAATTGGCACACAGTATTTATAATCTGAAAGTTTATGTTCCTTACAAATTCATGTTGAAATCCGAACCTCCAAGGTGATGGTATTAGGTGATGGGGCTTTTGGGAAGTAGGTCATGAGGACTGTCCCCTCATTGCGGGAAATAAGACTTAGTCCCTAACAGGCTTTTGTATTTCCATTTAAATAAGGTCACCACTAAGAATATGATTTCCGTATGATTCTTACAAACCATTAATCAGCAAAAGGTGTAAATGGAATTATATTTGGCACAAATAGAAAATGACTTATGTAAAACCAAATTAGAATCATATTTACTAAATAATAAAGTAAATCTGCATTTTGAAAAATGAATAGTACAGCAATTCCAGGTATTATATTAAGCATTTTAACAAGGAAGCTTATGCAAAGAATATTAGTAAAGCTGTGACCGCAAATTTCTTTTTTTCCTGTTAGGTATGAACCAAATACTAAAACTCTACTAACAACTAGATAGTAGTTTTAACTCGTTTGAAGACACAGTTGAAGATATTAAGTAACAGGTGGAAGGACTGATTAATCTCTGCTGAATAAACACTCTAATATGTTGTATTTGTACATACTGGTATAAATGAAAAATTGTGAACTTTGGAGCCAAGACATACCTAAGTTTTATCCTATATGACTTTGGGATAATTTACTGAATGTCTCTGAAACTCAGTTACAATCTAAAAAATGGGATAATAAAAACTAAGAAGACAATTGTCAAGAGGATTAAATGTGTACAGCCTGCCATAATGTAAAGCACCTGGTAGGTTCAATAAATATTAGCTTTCCTTCTCTCAGTCTTTATTTGCTCTCTTTTTCAGTCACCCCACTTTTACAATACCCCAGACAAGATGGAACAGCTGATTTCTAACTAAATAAAAACTACAGTAAAATCCTAACAGAATCTGTTGAAAATAACACTTCCACTTGTGTATGATGATATTAATACCTTAAGATAATCATTACAGTCCATTTGTTGAGAAATACTCATTTGCTCATGGGCTGATCAGACTTGCCCGAGCTCAGGGAAAAGACAAATTCCTCCTTCTATTTAGCATGTTAATCTGTGAATATACAAAAATAAATGAGAATTTTAGAAAGGTATTTTTCTCTATTTCCTTAAAATTAGTTTCACTGTGAAAAATGAAATGGTTTTAAAGCTTAGTACAAATAGTGAGAAAAGTTTTATAAATCATTCAAAGGACCTTTTAACTCTAAAAATTATTATTTTGGCATTCAGTATGCTGACTCAATTGACAAGTATAGAGGCTGAAATGTGGGGTGTTTGCTATTGTGAAATAGTTATTTTTTTAGAGTGCAGGTGAAATTAGAAAAAGTGGAAAAGGTGTGTGTATGTGTGTGTGTTTTAATTCTTCAGATTTTAATGCAAATAGATTGGAGGGGTAGATAGGCACGCTGGGATAAACAAAGTAGTTGACACCTATGTCAAAGGGGTAATTTCTTCATCCATTGACACATATGTGAGCATTGCTTTCGGATATATGAAAAGGAGAAAGAGAACTGTTGATATTAATTTGAACAAAATGCATCTGGGTATGTGAATGTGTATGCACACATGCACGTGTGTGAAGAGCAAGAAAGACAGACAAAAATAGTCTTCTCCTCCTCTTCGCAGCAGACGTGGGTCTCTTTTCTGCATATGTCTTGGATAACCTCATCTATTCTTATATGTGAACTATTTTGCTAATAGATTCATACTGTAATGCAAAGTAAATCTCATCATCTCTGTTTGCTAGACATACTTTTACCTCAAACTCAATATGCCTAAAGTAGAAGGCTTTGTCCCACATCTTCCCTGCCCACCAAACAAACTAGTCCTGACATTAAAAATTCAGAGATTTGGAGCTGGAAGGAAATTTCAGTTTATGTATCCTGACCTCCCAGAAACCACCATGTAATGCCACCCATAGTAATCTGTGAGTTGGTCATCTAACTACATTTTCAAAGCTGAGGAGCTCATTACTTGACCAGATAATCTATTACATGAAAAAGGAAGATATTATCTTGCAAGACAACCCTTTTCATACACACGTATATTTATCTATATATATGTATGTATGTCTATAAGTGATTAAGAGAATAGTACACAGATTGTTGTCTACTACATGTCAGATAAACTATTAGTCTTAAATCCCAGCTCTGCTCCTTACGTACTAGATACAATCTTTGTCCTGTTACCTAACTTCTTTATGCTTTGATTTGCTTATTTGTAAAATTAGATTAACAACACTGTGGCGGGGCTTTTGTGAGGAGGAAATAATACATAGAAAATCCTTAGCATGGTGTCTGGCCCATAGTAAGTGCTAAGTAACTTATTATCATTGATATTATTATGACATATTTTATACATACAGAAAGGTAAAAGCATTACAGTAGTTTTTCTTGTCTGTAGGGGATAAGTTCCAAGACTGCCTGTGAATACTTGAAATCATTGATAGTACTGAGCTCTATATATACAATACTATGTTTTTTTGAGCTGATAACCTAGATGGCTACTAAGTAACTAATGGGCAGGTAGCATATAGGGTGCACAGGGACAAAGAGATGATTCACATCGCAGGCAGGTCTGTGCCGTATTTCATCATGCTACTCAGAACAGCACACAATGTAAATCTTATAAATTGTTTATTTCTGTAATTTTCCATTTAATATTATTGGACCATGGTTGACCACAAGTAACTGAGACCACAGAAAGTGAAAGGGGGGACTACAGTATGTAATTAGTACCCATGTCCCTACCACTCATAGTAAGAAATAAAGTATTAACTAATATAATTCAAGTCCCTGTCTATCTCTCTCTGGCCCTACTTTTTTTTTTTTTCCTAAAGGTTAACCTCTACTTAAATTTGGTATTCACCCTTCCTATGGATCTATTACTAAGTTTGTTAAATCAATAAATATCTATAAGCAATGCATAGTACTGCGTTACATGCTTCCTAACTTCATATGAATGGTATAACACGTTGTGTTTTCCTTTGCCACTTGCTCTTACTATTCAGCAATACATTTGTGAGATTTATCAATGTGGATAAAAGCTAGTTCTAGCTCACTCATTTTCACAGCTGTACTTTATTACATTGTATAGATATATCACACTTTATGCAGTTTTCTCTTATAAGTCATTGAGTTGACATCAACGTTTTTGCCAATATAAACAATGCCGCAAGGGTATTTAAACATGGGATGGCGAACAACCGATCTCTCAAGTTGATTTGAAATTTGCCTCCATGCAATCTCCATGCATTGTTTCTAACTCTTCCCTGTGAATATATACTGAGTTCTCATATTTCTTGTATATTTAGGTCTTGCAACTGTGATTTTAAAATGAGCTTATTTTATATAAAAAACTCTCACCGATCCCAGTTTTATTTAATACCTTTTGAAATTGTGCAACTAGTGCATGTGTGTCATAAAAATCATCACAACAATCTACAAGGGCATAAATGTAAGCGGTAGTAACTATCTGCCGCTTGCTAGTGATTACTGCCTGTTAGAGTTTGGCAAGCATGTTTCCAGTCTTTTCCTATGCTCATATCCATACCTTCAAACATGTACGTGTTACTATCTCAGTCTGTTTGCATTGCTATAAAGGAATACCTGAGACTGGGTAATTTGTAAAGACAAGAGGTTTATTCAGCTCAGGGTTCTGCAGGCTTTACAAGAAGCATGGTACCACCTCACCAGGTATGCTTCTGGTGAGTACTCAGGAAGCTTCCAATCTTGCCAGAAGGGGAAAGGGAGCTGGAATGTCACAGGGTGAAAGAGGAGGAAAAAGAGAGAAAGGAAATGCCAGTCTCTTTTAAACAACCAGCTGTCATGTGAACAGAGCAAGAATTCATTCATTGCAGTGGGGACCGGACCAAGCTATTCATGAGGGATCAACTCCCATGATCCAACCACCTCCCACTAGACCCCACGTTCAACATGGAGGATCAGATTTCAACATGAGATTTGGAGGGGGCAAATATCCAAATTATATCAGTTCCTTTGGTTTAGAATCACTTGTTTGCTATGTACAGAAACTAATTTCAAACTAGCTTGTACAATTTATTGGCTCACGTAGGTGGGAAATCTAATGAAGTTCAAGCACACTTGAACCAAAAGTGTTGATTCAAAAAGAGAATCAAGATTTTGCTTTTTAAATTTTGTACTATAATATTTGTTTTATTTTTAATTTTATTTTTCTTTCTGCAGGTATGCTCTGACCGCTGTTTTAAGTCATTTTAGAATTATTACATAGTTTTCCTCTTCCTCAGTCTCCTGACTTTTCTGTGTCTTTTATTTAGGGTAGCCTAATTTTCTTCCATTGAATATAGATTGTTATTTGCAGGAGCAAATTTGTTCATTATCATCCCCAGATTAAGATCCTTTAGATTAAGCAACATGGTAATTAAACTTCACATTCCCAATATCTTTTAGGGAAGGATTAGCACTTTTTTGAGTTATACACCAATTACCATTCCCAAGGGAAGAAAATTCCAGATCATATAGCAAGGCACATTATCACACAACCAGAATGAGAATAAGAAAATACTAAGAGCAGCCGAATAAGTGCACACAAGTCCACTGATGTGCAAAGAGACACATATACACACATTTTTGAAAATAAGGTTTTCTGTATGTACAGGTTGAATATCCCTAATCTGAAAGTCCAAAATCTGAAACTGTTTGAGTGCCAACATGGTGGTCACAGGAAATGCTCATTGAAGCATTTTAAATTTTGGATGTTTGGATTAGGGATGCTGAGGTGATAATATACCCAAATGTGAAACAATCCAAATTCTAAAACATGCCTGCATTTCAGATAAGAGATACTCAATCTATAATGTTATACAACTTAATAATTTTTACACACCATACCATTACATCTTTCTATATCACGACCTACCAAGCTACTACATTCTTTTTTCCAAAACTATAGAGTATTTCATGGTATTTGCTTGCTACAATTTATTGAACCCTTTGCTTGAGGTTGGGCTTTTAGGTTATCTCTACATTCTCACTAATACAAATTAAGCTAAATGGATACTCTTTTTCATTCACTGAATATTTATTAAGCCCCTATGCACCTGGCATTACCTTGGGCACTGGAGTATACAATATTGAGCACAAAATTACATGACTGACTTTTTAGAGCTTAGAGAATGGAGGAGAGACCCTTATTAATTAAACTATACACATAGGCGTAACATTACGTCTATGTCCATTCCTCTTAGGTAGAGTCATATGGTACTATAAAAGCATTTAATAGTAAGATTTACCTAGTAGGGATTCAGGGAAGCTTTTGAGTAATGGATTCTTCAGCTGGGGTCTGAGAGAGCTGTGTTAACTTTAGTGTCCAAATACTGAGAATCCAACAGTGCCCTAATTTGAATTATGGAGAGTGCATAAGACAGAACTTTTGGCCTGTTTTTCTCCTAAAGAATATTATAGTCCAAGAAACTGATTATTTGAAACAGCACATTATTGTAAATGTTGCTAAAATCATAATATAATTACATTCATGGTCATCAGTGTTTTTTGGCCTTGCAGTGGAGTTCTTTTAACTTCCTTGCCACAGACTTTGATATTAAAATTAAATAAAATACATTGTTTGATCAATTATGCGCCAAAATAGATTGACAAATTCACTGATTCTATCTATTGATCATGAACATGTGATGATCAATTTTGACAAAGTCATCAATATATTTGCACAATTTAAAGTTTTAGAACAAAAACCATGATTATTATCCATGACTACAGCAGAATAATACATAGGTATAAATTTTTTTTTTAATTTTAATTTTAATTTTTTTCTCCAGAATTTTTCTTTATTTTCCATTGTAGTTTGGGTGATTTATTATTATTATTATTATTATTATTATTATTATTATTATAATTTAAGTTTTAGGGTACATAGGTATAAATTTTTATCTTTTTTTTTCTTTTTCTTTTCTTTTTTCTTTTTTTTTTTTTTGAGACAGAGTTTTGCTCTTGTTGCCCAGGCTGGAGTGCAATGGCACGATCTCTGCTCACTGCAACCTCCGCCTCCCAGATTCAAGTGATTCTCCTGCCTCAGCCTCCCCAGTAGCTGGGATTACAGGCATGTGCCACCATGCCCGGCTAATTTTGTATTTTTAGTAGAGATGGAGTTTCTCCATGGTGGTCAGGCTGGTCTCGAACTCCCGACCTCAGGTGATCCGCCCGCCTTGGCCTCCCAAAGTGCTGGGATTACAGACGTGAGCCACTGCACCTGGCCAAATTTTTATCATTTTCCCCCTCAAGTTCATGTTCTAAAAAGAGGATCAAGTTATTAGTTTTCAAACATTATACTATTATATTTATCTTATTTTTAATTTAATTTTTCTTCTGACTAGTATGTTCTGACCACTATCTTCATTTATTTTAGAATTATTACATCATACAATTTTGCTGTAAAAACAAAGACAATGTTTAAAACATAATCCACTCTCCATATCAAATGCACTAGCTATACCGCTGCGTTTGGTTCACCTTATCCGTTTTTCTACTTACATTTCCTGGCCATGGCTAGTTATTAAACCCATTTTCTTTAGAGGTGATTAGAATCAGAATCACAGGCCTTGATGGTGGCCAACAATATAGAGCAGTGTAATACTGTTTCCTCCAAGAAAAAGATTAAGAGTGCTGTGGTACTAGAGCAATTAACTAAACAATCACCCTACTTACTATATTTATTAAGTTCTAAACCCTGGGCTAGAGAGGAAATCCAAAGAAAGGTAAACTCATGCTTTTTATTCTCTAGAACCTTCTAATCTAGTGAGGATCAACTATGGACAATGAGGAAATTGGGCACCATGGAGGACCATTTGATGCCTTGTCCAAGGACCTGGGTGCAGGTTGGGGTTCTATCAAATTCTAACTTTATAACCTAGGGGAAATCGCTGACCTTCTCCAAGTTTACTTTCTCTGACCTACAAAGTGGGGATAATATTATTACCACATAGAGATAGTATACCTGGCACATGATAGGCATCTAGTGACTCTTAGATACAAACAAGACATGGCAAATTAAACATGGAGGAGATAACTAAAAGTTTGATGCAACAGCAAATAATAGGTTAGCAGGTGAGGATTAATTTCCTAATGGATAATACACATGATATTAGAGTTCAGGGAACATTTGGAACATCCGAATACTGGATTCAGAGTACACAGCTGGCAGGTGGACAGGAATGGGGCCTGGAGTCACTAGGAGAAGCCCCCAGACAACAAACTGCCTTGTGTGAATGTCTTAACTACATTCCAGTCCCTAGCTTAACTAATATATTTTCAATATTGAATCTAAAAAGTCAAGCACAAAAGATTATATGCTGTATGATTCCTTCATTTAAAATACACAAAAGGCAAATCTCATCTGTGGTGTTACAAGTCAGGAGAGAGTTTATCTTGTAGGAGAGATAAGAGAACTGGAAGGGGCAGGATTGATGTTCCGGGAACTAGTGGTGTTCTGTTTCTCGATGTGGATGCTGGTTACAGGGACGTTTCTTAAGTTTGTGGAGATATATTTTCATATGTTCATAGAGATAGGACAAAAATACCGATCATACACAGCCTTCTCACAACTGTGATAGAGGGAGAAGGCTCTCTCTCTCTATCCTCTTTTTTCTGAGACAGAGTCTCGCTCTGTCACCAGGCTGGAGTGCGGTGGTGAGATCTCAGCTCACTGCAACCTTCGCCTCCCGGGTTCACACCATTCTCCTGCCTCAGACTCCCGAGTAGCTGGGAATACAGGCGCCCGTCACCATGCCCGGCTAATTTTTTGTATTTTTAGTAGAGACAGGGTTTCACTGTGTTAGCCAGGGTGGTCTCAATCTTCTGATCTCGTGATCCGCCCTCCTCGGCCTCCCAAAGTGCTGGGATTACAGGCGTGAGCCACCGCGCCCTGCCCCATGTGTGTACTTTTTAATATAATACTCTACAATAAAATTTCAAAATACATAAATTTTCATTTTGAAAATTTTGAAAAAATAAAGAAGGAATAAAGGGGGAAAATTAAGAAAAAATCACCTGTAATCCTAGGGCTTATAACAACTGCTGTTAACATTTTCACGTAGATGCTTCACACATAATTAAGATCACCCTGTATTAACTATACTGTTTTACAACCTATTTTTTTCATTAAGCAAGCATGTTACAAGCCCTTTCCCATGTCAGTGAATATTTTTCTAAAACATGATTTATGTATATACCATAATTTTCTTAGCCATTTTCTTATATTTTAATAATTATATTTCTATTTTTAATATTTAAATATCACTGTGTGATATTTAAAACCACACAGTGAACTCTTTTGTATGTAAATATATTACTTGTTTTAGTATTTGGCCAAGATAACTTTCTATCAGTCATAATGTTTAAGGATTTTTGTGCACGTTTTTTCAATTTCCTTTTAAGATTTGAGTTCATTTCCCTCAAATCCTTAACAATATTGAGAATGTTTTTCAGATATGCATTTTGTAGGTGAGCATTCTTTCACTTCTACATTTTTGTTTTTTTAATCCTGAGATTGAGCGTTGTTTTATATTATTAGCCATCTCTGCTTCTTTTTTTGGAATGCCTTCTCCTAGTCTTGGCCAGTTTTTTGTTTTTTCCTATTAGAGCATTCCACTTCTCTCAGATTTCTCAGTTTTGCAGTATCCCGTTGTCCAAACTCAATATTTCATTCAGACTAAAAGTTAGACTTTACTTGCTTTATGAACTAAGTTCATTTCTGTCCACTCACGCTTTTGGCATCTGATCCTGTTTGTGTTTCTGGTTTGAGTTTTTAAACTTTCTTCTGGGTTTTAAAAGTTCATTATAACCAAACTTACTACGGACAAAACAGTAATACTTTGTGGTAGAAGATATGAAGATTCACTATAAACTATTCCCAAGTGTAAGGCCATAGGAAAAAAAAAACCTAATTCTCACTACCATTCCCAACAGTCACCATACATATCCATGCTAAATTATAATTACAATTTTTGACCCCAAAGTTGTGGCATCCTAGTTTTAGTAGATTGAGCTCTTTCTGGTTTGTGCCGAGCATCTGGCTTGTAGATGAACTTTGTCATTTCTGTATTTTCTAAAAGCCTGTAAAAACAAACATGCTATTTCCCTCATTGCAGTAATGTCCATTAGAAAACACAAAGCAAACTGTATTTTCAACCAAGCACATGGATTGCCTGCAGTTTCCTCTCATTGGGGTTTGTTCTTCCTCCATCACAGTTGTGAGAAGGCTGTGTGTGATCAGTATTTTTGTCCTATCTCTATGAAAGATGACTTTCACATTCTCCAGTTTGGGCTGGTCACTGATGAAGTCACTGCTGGAAATGGCTCAGCCGTGCTGGGCAGCAGAGGGGGCAGATGTCTTTCTGTTTTATTCTTCATTTTTAATGTGCCCCGTGGCAAGCCTTAGTTCCTTCTCTCTGTTGGTCTTGAACCTTTACCTTTATTCTTCGCTTACTCCCATTGTTTTTTTTTCCTGCTGTCACTTACGGTGGGCTCGGGGAACAATGTTGCAGGAACATAGAGCTTTTGAGGGAAATGTAAATCGCCGGCGACACTGAGTCCCGTCTGTTTTCTCATCGGAAAGCAGCATTTCAGAGAGCTGAACTGGCGACACTGCTTGGCGAAGACACGCCGAGTTCAGGAATATTCCCTGTTCCCAGGCCCTGGTTGTGTCGAAGTGGGACTTTCTGAAGAGGGGGCACTCTGGGAGAGACGGGAGCAAAGGGGCACTTTCAGAAGCAGATGCTCCTGGCTTCGGAAGGAAAGCTGCTCTAATCGGAGTTCAGCCGTCTAGCAGACAATCCACAGCTTTGGAGAGAGACAAACAAAAAAGAGTCTCTTAGTCTAGTGCATAAATGTAAGAGGCTTGTCTTAAGTGTGTGTGCAGGACTCTAGCAGGGCTAAAAATGTTATGCAGAGTTTAAAGTGAGGCATTGTTTAGGTTTTAATGAAGGCAACCAATTTTTAACAACAGAAGTTCTGTTGCTGAATCCCCCTCCCCTTCGCCCTCAACATTCAGTTCCTCTGCCCCTGCACCTGCTTTCATTTTTGGCTTCTTGGCACTGATGTTCACAGAGACATCAGCTGGCAGTGGCAAACCGCTAAAAGCTCCCCTGCAATGCAGCTCTGCAAATGCCAGCCATTTATCCACTGGTGCATGCCAGCTTAACGTAAGGTCTCCCTTTCTCCCTCCAGCCCCAGCCCCCTCGGCCCCCCAGTTTTACTTCCAAATGACAGTAAATGATCCAAAGTGAGCAGTGGTTTGGCCCTTTGAGTATCCATTAAGTGTGGCCACATCTATTTGCTGCATCTATTTGCTGTGATTATAATATTTTGATCCAAAGAGTGTTGCAGAAAATTTAGATGACAATACTATTTCTTCTGTTCAATAAAGAGCTATTGGCCCACAGGCTCATTTCTCTCTCCCCAGCAGATGGTGGGATAGTTTCTTGAGGTCTCTTTGACTTGAAATAGCCTTTTTGTTTTTGTTGCTTATTGAGAGCCAGTTGCCCCAAATTTATTGAATAAAGACATCCACTTTTCAGTTTAAGCTAAGCTCCAATAGATAAATACTGACTTGGAATTGGGGACTGATGGACAAGCTGGAAAGGCAAAGGGGCTGTTGGAAGTTAAGTATTCAGCACAAGGCTTTGCAGTTTCAAAAACGATGCTTTTAAGTTCTCCATTCACCACAACAATTCTGGCTGTATACTGAGAGAGTGTGAGAAATCTGTGAGAAATTCGACATATATTTATTTTTCTTGGAAATTAGAGAATATCTTCACAGTGTACACTCTGAAGGGCTTTTGTTTTGTTTTGTTGTGTTTTTAATGATCTAAACCATCTGGGGAGTTGATAAAGGATGTGATTTTTACAAGCTGAGTTAGCAAAGCCTATTGCTAAATCCCAAACCTTTATCCAGCCTACAGATAAAACCAGGGTGGGAGAGCTTCCCTTCCAGCTCTGAAACACTATGATCCCACGTATGCCAAATGTTTTAGTATCTGGGTGGTAAGAAAAATAGAGAACTGACTAAGGGAGCCTGGCCCAAGGATCCAGAAATGGACATTACTTTTTCTTCTTCTTTTTTTTTTTAAGATTGGTGGAGATCACAAATTTCCAGAAAATGTGTCTGAAAAATAAGCCAGCATCATATTTTATCTGGGGCCTTTATGGTCTTTTTTTATCCAGGGACAGGAATTAGCACTTGCCAGTATTTCTTAGTCATCTACTTCTCAAATCTGGAGTCCAAAACCTGTCTTATAATACTAGACACAGCAGGTTCCCACGTAGAATTACAGAAGTGCTTTAATTGTACCAGTCGTCTTGCAATAACCATGATCTTATACAAGAATGTCTGTGTACTTGGAGTTTATGACAAATGTCCAGTTAGGCTTCTCAGGGTTCACAGTCAGCATTTGGGCCAGCCATGTGAATGAGATAGAAAAATCAGGAAATTCATTCCCAGAAACAGACTGTACACTGCCAGTGTTATTATGTCATGTTTTTAGACTCAACCCTGTCTTTTATTTTTATTTTTTTGAGACACAGTCTTACTCTGTCACGCAGGCTGGAGTGCAGTGGCAAGATCTCAGCTCACTGCAACCTCCACCTCTGAGTTCAAGTGGTTTTCTTGCCTCAGCCTCCCAAGTAGCTGGGATTACAGGCACGAGCCACCACACCTGGCTAATTTTGATTTTGTCTTTTTGTGTGTTTGTTTGTTTTTACTAGAGACAGGGTTTCACCATGTTGGCCAGGCTGGTCTTGAACTCCTGATCTCAGCCTCGACCTCCCAAAGTGCTAGGTCGTGAGCCACTGTGCCCAACCCAACCCTGTCTTTTCTCTGAGTTCATTCTCCTCTTTTCTAGTTATCCACTGTAAGGTACACAAGACTGAACTGAAAGTTACTCCTTT
The DNA here is from genome assembly GCF_000001405.40 of Homo sapiens. Classification (NCBI taxonomy): domain Eukaryota; kingdom Metazoa; phylum Chordata; class Mammalia; order Primates; family Hominidae; genus Homo; species Homo sapiens. Next base: position 13,571,249 of record NC_000009.12, read on the forward strand.
CTATTTGAACACAAGCATGATGCAAGTTATAAGTTGCTCATGGTACCTAACTAGAAGTCTGACACTATTTCCAAGGCTTGTTCATCCATGAATTGCTATTCTCTATGAGACCTGTGTGTTAATAAATCAATATTTAATTAATAGCTATCACATGCTGCTTATATGTTTTTCAAACATAGGTAAATTGTGTCAGAAATGTCATTTTAATACTTCATCTGGCTGGGCGCGGTGGGTCACGTCTGTAATCCCAGTACTTTGGGAGGCCAAGGCGGGTGGATTGCTAGAGCTCAGGAGTTTGAGACCAGACTGGGCAGCATGGCAAGACCTTGTCTCTACCAAAAATGCAAAAAACTTAGCTAGTTATGGTGGCATGCACCTGTAGTCCCAGCTACTTGGGGGGCTGAGGCAGGAGAATGACTTGAGCCTGGGAGGTCAAGGCTGTAGTGAGCCAAGATCGTGCCACTGCACTCCAGCCTGGGTGACAGAGAGACCCTGTCTCAAGAAAAAAACAAAACAAAACAAAAACAACTTAATGTCTAAGATGCTTTTGAAATTAAGGATCCAGCTAAACATTCAGGGGTTTCCCCCTTCTGCTGGATGGAGCCATGTTACATTGAAGAAACCCAGGAAGCTAGAGCTGGAGCTAGAGCTGGGGGTAACTGTTACAAGCATTTCACAAGTAATGCGAAGTCTTCCAAGTAATGTGGAAGACTTTTGGTAATACTGCTGACTTTCACAGTTGTTTGCTTATTTCACAAAGCCAAAGAGCTATATTACCCTGTATTCCTCACTGTAGCTCTGATGTGTTTCCAATACTAGAAGAAGGAGTATAATAGGCGATGGGCCATAGCATAGCATATCAGAACTTCCACACCTAAAATGTCCTTCAAATGATTTTTCAAAGTCCTTTAGCCTCTCTGAAACTTGGGTTTCTCATCTGCAAAATGGGAATGAAATTATATTGACTCTTGCCAATTCACAGGCTTGTTGTAAGGAACAAATTAATCTTTATTAACTTTAGATCACTATACAAATGTTCATTATTATAACTATTATTTGTGTTACTGCTTTGTAAACCACACAAGGCTATATGATTGCCAGTTATAATAATTATTATTTACATTAGAATTGTGTTGGCAATGCCTTACCAAATCTGGCCTTCTTCCTCTTTTCCCTAATTCAGAGTGGCTCCATCCAAACAGTTGAATGAGCTTTGACACCACCCTCTCCCTCATTTCTCATATTTTATCTATCTTAACTTCTATTGATTTTGAACTTCTTCAAGCTGAAGGAATTTAGGGCAACACATTGTATTCAGATCTGATGTGTAGTGGTTCCTAGCTCAACATTGAATAATTGAATACATTTATAAATATTTTATAGGTATTCGTATCCCACTTTAATTCAAAAGAAGGATTTAAGGAAGGTTATATGACACATAAATACAACAAATTAGCATATGAAAGAGGTAGCTGGGAAATACAAAGATAAACTAATGGTAGGTACCTGAAACAGAATCAGGAATAAGATTAATACAAAGTCCTAACATTGAGTCCTTTTTTTAAAATTTATTTTTTATTTCAATAGGTTTTGGGGTAACAGGTGGTGTTTGACTAATTTCTTTAGTGGTGATTTCTGAGATTTTGATGCACCCATCACCCATGCAGTGTACACTATACCCAATGTGTAATCTTTTATCCCTCACCACCCCCCCATGCTTTCCACCGAGTCCCCAAAGTCCATTATATCATTCTTATGCCTTTGTGTCCTCATAGCTTAGCTCCCACTTATGAGTGAGAACATACAATGTTTGGTTTTCCATTCGTGTTACTTCATTTAGAATAATAGTCTCCAATTCAACCCAGGTCGCTATAAATGCCATTATTTAGTTCCTTTTTATGTCTGAGTAGTATTCCATTGTGTGTGTGTGTATGTGTGTGTGTGTATATATATAATTTTCTTCATTCGTTGAGTGATGGGCATTTGGGCTGGTTCCATATTTTTGCAATTGCAAATTGTACTGTTATAAACATGGGTGCAAGTATTTTTTTTGTAAAATGACTTCTTTTTTCCTCTGGGTAGATACCTAGTAGTGGGATTGCTGGATCAAATGGTAGATCTATTTTTAGTTTTTTAAGGAATATTCACATCTACTTTTAGTTCTTTAAAGAATATTCACATTGTCTTCTACAGTGGTTGTACTAGTTTACATTCCCACCAACAGTGTAAAAGTGTTCCCTTTTCACCACATCCATGGGAACATCTGTATTTTTATTTATTTATTTATTTTTTGATTATGGCTATTCTTGCAGGAGTAAGGTGGTATCTCATTTTGGTTTTGATTTGCATTTCCCTGATAATTAATGATGTTGAACATTTTTCCATATGCTTATGGCTATTTGTATATCTGCTTTTGAGAATTGTCTATTCATGTCCTTAGCCCACTTCTTCATGGGATTGTGTGTTTTCTTCTTGCCGATTTGTTTGAGTTATTTATAGATTCTGGATATTAGTCCTTTGTCAAATGTATAGATTGTGAAGATTTTCTCCCACTCTGTGGGTTGTCTGTTAACTCTGCTGATTATTTCTTTTGCTAGGCAGAAGCCTTTAAGTTTAATTAAGTCTCATCTATTTATCTTTGTTTTTGTTACATTTGCTTTTGGGTTCTTGGTCATGAAGTCTTTGCCCAAGCCAGTGCCTAGAAGAGTTTTTCCATTGTTATCTTCTAGAATTTTTATCGTTTCAGGTCTTAGATTTAAGTCTTTGATCCATCTTGAATTGATCTCTGTATAAGGTGAGATATGAGGATCCAGTTTCATGCTCCTACATGTGGCTTGCCAATGATCCCAGCACCATTTGTTGAATAGGTTGTCTTTTCCCCACTTTATGTTTTTGTTTGTTTTGTCAAAGACCAGTTGGCTGTAAGTATTTGGCTTTATTTCTGGGTACTCAATTCTGTTCCATTGGTCTATGTGCATATTTTTATACTAGTACCATGCTGTTTTGTTGATCTTATAGTATAGTTTAAAGTCAGGTAATGTGATGCCCCAGATTTGTTCTTTTTGCTTAGTCTTACTTTGGCTATGCAGGCTCTTTTTTGGTTCCATATAAATTTTAGCATTGTTTTTCTAGTTCTTTGAAGAATGATGGTGGTATTTTGATAGGAATTGCATTGAAATTGTAGATTGCTTTTGGCAGTACGGTCATTTTCAAAATATTGATTCTACCCATCCATGAGCATGGGATGTGTTTCCATTTGTTTGTGTCATCTATGATTTCTTTCAGCAGTGTTTTGTAGTTTTCCTTGTAGAGGTCTTTCACCTCCTTGGTTAGGTATATTCCTAAGTTTTTGTTTCTGTTTTTGCAGCTATTGTAAAAGGGACTGGGTTCTTGGTTTGATTTTCAGCTTGGTTGCTGTTGGTGTATAGCAGAGATACTGATTTGTGTCCATTAATTTTGTGTCCTGAAACTTTGCTGAACTCATTTACTAGTTCTAGGAGCTTTTTGGATGAGTTTTTAGGGTTCTCTAGGTATATGATCATATCAACAGCCAACAGTGACAGTCTGACTTCCTCTTTTCTGACTTGGATGCCCTTGATTTCTTTCTCTTATCTGATTGCTCTGGCTAGGATTTCCAGTAATATGTTGAATAGAAGTGGTGAAAGTGGGCATCCTTGTCTTGTTCCAGTTCTCAGGGGGAATGCTTTCAACTTTTCCCCATTCAATATAATGTTGGCTGTGGGTTTGTCATAAACGGCTTTTATTACCTTAAGTTATGTCCTTTGACATTGAATCCTTACTATGAATGGGTCCGATTGTAACTAGACATTTCAGTAGACTCAAAATTTAGTGGTCATGAGATGGAAGCAAAAAACATTGTCTAAGACAAACACATGTATTCTGAATATAATTACAAGCGAGAAATTTCTGGACAAATCTCCTAAAAAGGACTCAATGAAATGTAATAAATAATATTCCTAATGATATAATTGTAGAAGGTATGTGTAACAGTTTCACAGAGCTGTTTCATTAAATGTTTTTTGTACTTGGTATTAGAGGTATTAAAACATGTAAGATAGACCTTGCTATCAAGGAATCACAAAGAAAGAGAAATCTACATTAGAAAAATCAGTGCCATTCACTAAGATAAGTTGAACAAGAGAAGGAGGTTGCATAGTGCAGTGGGGCACAGAGGAGAAAGTGATCATTCCCACTGAGTGGGCCAAGGATGCCTTCTTGGAAGACAGAGCACCAGATCTCCTGCATTTCTTCGACAATTTTTATCAATTGTCAACTATGTGGTAGGCAAGATGTTAGGTGCTAAAACTATGATGATGAAGAGAACAATGTCTTTGTATTTATAAGTAGACAAGGCCTTTAAGAGCATTTCAGTAAGAAAGACTCTCCCTTGTTTGTGAGTCATTCCCCGCCCCCCAACTGTGAACCTTTAATAACAACAGATCTCTTGCTTGCCACTGCCTTCTGAAAAGGAACATGGAACAATATCAGGAACTGCATGAGATGCTCTAGCCACTGTGCAAAGCTGCCAGAGGCCTTGGGAAAGGAAGTAGATAAGAAATAGGCTTCTAGGAATGCATGGGATGCCTCTACTTTGGACATAGGGAGGAGTGACTGAACCAGGACAAAACAAAGACCTGAATGTTTGGCATCTAGGAAGGCCAGCAGATATTACTGACCTCCAATTGAAATAACATGCTGGGAAATAGACATGAAAGTCATCTTTTTACAGCAAAGAAAAAAGAATATGCAACTCCTTTCCCTTATTTCTGAATAATTGAGATGAGCCAAGTTAATCCTACTGTCAGGGTGGGTATCTTGATTTTTCCAGTGACCAAGCTTCTGAGATACTTCCCACTGGTAGTGAACTGTTAGACCAAAAAAAAGTCAATATTAGTACAAATAACTCTTTGTTATTGCCTGTATAAATAATGCTCTAATATATTTCATTTAATATTTCCATGTGTGATTTTTTTTGCTGTATATAAAAGCAATACTCCTCAATTAGTCAGCATGCCTTGGAGGATAACAGCATATGCTATTTGCAAGGAAGTACTTGGCACTAAGAGGCAGCACAGAAATATTCAGTAGAGATTCCATTAGTCTGATGCTCAAAAAAGGGAGACAAGGTGCACTCATAAAACAATAAAACAACATATTATAATAAGTTACAGTTATATGATAAGTGTTATATGCACAGTATAGAAAATAGCTTATTGACAAAATGAGAGGAAGAAATCACTGGAGCAAGAAGAATCAAGAAAGATTTTATAAAAATTGGGACCTGAAGAGTGGGAAGAATTTAGATGGGAAGGACATCAGGCAGAAGCATTTCAGATCAGAAGAGAAAAGCTTATAAAGGTGTAGAAAAATAACTTTAAAAAATAGCATATGCAAATCTGGGAAGCAGAAGATGAACTATTAACACAATTGCCAAAAGAGATCTGTCTCTGTCTGTCTGTCTCTCTCTCTTTCTCTCCCCACCACCTCCTTCCCTGACACACACACACACACACACACACACACACACACACACGCCCGCACGCACGCATGCACGCATTCTTGGGAAGTTTGAAACCTTTGAGAAAGTAAATAGATGTAGATTCATAATGAAATATCCATCCTTATTAACAAACATCTGTCAATATACATTCCTTCAAAGGCATAAACATTACCAAATGAAAACTCATACAAACAATCCTCCAGGAAAAAAATAGCTTAATGCCAAATACGTCAATGCTGGTAGGTTAATTCTAGATAGATATGGTGTAAAACAGTAATTATCAGGGAGTTGAACCTGAATAAACCACATTCTTTGTTAAATTCAAACCCGATTAGTAGTACTAAATATCAGACTAAATCAAAATTTTTGTTACAAATAAAACCTAGCGTTTGTTTTCACATGTTTGCTTTAAATATATGCTGGAATATATTCTCTGAAACAAACTGGCATATCTTCTATTTTGGTCTCAAACAGAAAATTCTACCATAGTTTTTAAAATGTTAAATGATACACACACACACACACACACACACACACACACACACGATCTTCAGAGAAGTTAAGTTGCACAAGATCACACGTCAAAACAACTCTTTATGGCTACAGCACCCTGTGCTTTAAGTTATAAGAGTGAAAATCTCTTATAAAAGTAAAAATCTAAAGTTGTGTGCCAGAACCCCAGGGGAGCCTTTTGCATGCAAATGCCAGAACTAGCCCCAGATCCATTGAATCAGAATCGCCAGAATGGGGCCCAGATGTGCAGATTATTTTTAAAAAGTACTCTTTTAAGATATTGATGCATATCCCTATTTAAGATGCTGCCTACCAAAACTACAAAACAAATGAATGCATGAATGAATGAATACATCAATCAATAAAGGAATAGGGGCCCAAGTTTGTCACTGAAGTTTAGCAAGACAAGATGGAGAAATATTAATCTTTGTACCTTTCTTCCTCTGCCTCACTTCCCAACGGTCTTTTAATTAATCAGAACTCTACATTGCCCGAAGGAAAACTTGGATTGTAATAGCAGGGAAAAAGACACAATTTATGTTTATTTTTAGTGTTTCAATTAGGCTCTAGAGAATCACAAAGGCCTGGAGAGCAACAGCGTTGACTGGAAGAGAATGGGAAAAAGGAGGAGGGATTGCTACCCTTCCTAGGGTGTTCATGTAGGACACAGGCAATGGGTGAGGAAGTGGGGAATAAGACAGACATCCAACTAGCTCCTGCTAATATGGCACAGAATGAAACACGTTGAGAAAAATGACAGTAACATGCTGTCAAAATATGGAGGCAAAGGAGATTAACTCTGCCTGGTGACACCTTAAAGAATCTCCGAGGAAGTTAGCACTGGAGTTGGCAGTCAGTGCATGTGATTTCCCATAGATAGAGAATGCGGGAAAAAGCATTCTGGACACACCTTATTTAGGCAGTATCATATTAGATGTAGGCAGTTTTTATTAAGCTGAACAAAGCAGGTTCAAGAAGAAAAAATTGTTGTATTGCTAGAACTTTTTAGTTCAATTCTCTACCACTTTGAAAGATATAAGAAATACATAATGAAATTACTATGATTATTATTGATCGCATTCATAATTATTTTAGCTAATTCATAATTTGTTGAAGACTAGCAGATCACTTTCACTCACCAGGAGGTCCCTAGCCAAGGTGCTTTTGGTGGCTTCTCATTCTCAATCTCCTCTTCCCTTGCCCACCAACCCTGATCTGACACTTGCAGGCTGCTGGATTGTCAAACCTGTTACGTGCTTCCAGTGACTCAAGTCACTAGCCTGAAAATACAGTCCTCTGTTGAAATGCTCCATGCATCTGAACTATGGAAGTATAGAGCGAGTGCTCCAATCTTTGTAGCCAACTCTATCCGCAACTCATCAGTAGCTAGTGGGGAAAGTTTCAGGTCACGTAGAACAACTGAGGAATAGATTATAAAAGCTAAAATGTACCTTAGAGACAATCTACTCCTCTGTTTTTATAAACTATTGATTTTGAGGTTCAAAGAGGTTAGATAATTTGTTCATATCTGGAAGCTTCTAAGGTTCAGAAGTGAAACTTGGACCTAAATCTAGGTGCAGTATTTGTACTCCAATACCTGCGAAGGAAGGGAGTGGAGTGTTCAGCAGCAACACTCAGGACTGACTTTGCAGGGTGCTACTTCTCCTACCTACTTCACTTTAGGGCCAACTCTCATGTGAACTTGGTGCTTTTTCTTACTAATTTACTTTTCCAAATGAAGCAAAGATTAAAATCCTATACGTTAACTGTGTGCAAACTTGGACAGCAATAATTTCTTTTCTTAGAGTTCACAATATACCATACCAGGGAGTGATTTCAGAATTGGGTAGACTCAAATTTAATGAGACTTGATTATAATTACTCAAGTTGTATTGAAAATTGCTGAAGAGGCCGGGTGCAGTGGCTCACACCTGTAATCCCAGGACTTTGGAAGACCGAGTTGGGCAGATTGCCTGAGGTCAGGAGTTTGAGACCAGCCTGGCCAACATAGTGAAACCCCTGTCTCTACTACAGATACAAAAATTAGCCAGGCATGGTGGGAGGGCACCTGTAATCCCAGCTACTTGGGAGGCTGAGGCAGGAGACTTGCTTGAACCTAGGAGGTGGAAGTTATAGTGAGCCGAGATCACGCCGCTGCACTCCAGCCTGGGCGACAGAGACAGAGCTTGTCTCAAAAAAAAAAAAAAATAAAAAAAAAAAAGAAAAAGAAAAAAAGAAAATTGTTGAAGAAATTGAAGAATTATTCCTTCCCATTATAATGCACTTAGTAAGGAGCATGAATAAGCCAAACAAAGAATTAAAAAAATTTGCAGATCTATTTTTTAGAAAGCCTGGCTAAAAAGTCAGGATTCAAAAATAATAAATGACTTGGAAGAAATTATTTAGAATTTTGAACACATCTGAAACACAGATGAATTTCTATAGGTGGAAGACCTTATGTATGATTAATACAAAAAATTATGTCAGAGACCTGGCAAGGTAGCTCAGCGTGTAACCTCAGCAGTTTGGGAGGCTGAGGCAGGCAGATCACTTAAGGCCAGGAGTTCGAGACCAGCCTGGTCAACATGGTGAAACCCGTTCATACTTAAAAAAAAAAAAAAAAATAGCCAGGTGTGATGGCATACCTGTAATCTCAGCCACTTGGGAGCCTTAGGCACAAGAGTCGCTTGAACACCGGAGGTAGAGGTTGCAGTGAGCCGAGATTGTGCCACTGCACTCCAGCCTGGGTGACAGAGTGAGACCCTGTCTCAAACAAAACACAAAACAACAACAACAACAATTATATCAGGATAAAAAAAGGAATAAAGTCAAGCTAGTCTTTGGTTGATTTATAATGTAATGTTGCAGAAAACGGTATACTATTCAATTTGGAACTGAGACAAGAAAATTCAGTGCTGGGAACTGAGTCTAGATTTTCCGAAAAATGTAAAGAAAGAAGAGCTAATTCAAAACAAGAGCAATAGAGTGATTGTATCATTTGGAGACTAATGTACCTGGAAGACAGCATGAACACTATGATCAAAGGTTTGGTTAAACAATGATTGAAGTAACAAATTATTAACAGCCATGATAAACAGAAAGGGAAAGTTAAAATGAAATAAATCTGAAAAGACAAACTGAAGAAAGTTAAAGAAACGTCTGTGATGATTACTATATGAAAACAAAATGGTGAAATGGCTCAGAGTCATAGATATGCTTCCAACTATGAATTGGAATCCTGAAATTTTGAGTTTAAAGAAAACATAAAATGATAATTGTGATTATTATATGTGTTTATCAAAAAATGAGTTGAACCAATCAATGCACACGTATCTCTTTAAATTCAGGTGTAAGTGTTTGTCCACTTAAACTGAACATTTTTTATAGTTTTTGTTCGGTCAAAGAACACAAGCAATAGGAAATGCCTAATATATTCTTTTTCTTTTTTTTCTCTTTTTTTGTGATAGTTGAAGAGATACTAATCTAATGAAAATGAATCTGATCTAGAGTCTTCGGAAAATATTTATGAGGAACTATATCATATTACTCTAATTTCAACACCAAGCTTGTCAATACTGCTTGATAATGCTTAGAGGGCCCAACACTGCCCTTTCTCCAGCCATGCCCCTCTCCCAACGCAGGGCATCTGAGAGTCAAGGGCTGTTCTCACCTGGAATATGCCACCAAGACCTGCCACCGGAGGAGGCCGAGGAGCAGGGGTTACAGTGTGTGTGAAGGAAGGTAGTAAACAGAGCTTGGAAGTACTGAGTAGAGCGTCTGCTGGTGCATGAGGCCCCTCATGTTGCAGGATGGAGCCCTGAATAGAATGGGGGTTCAGGTCCACTCTCTTATGCCACCATGTTCCTCTGCAGAACTCTAATGAATCCAGTACTTTGAAATGTGAACCTGGTAATCCAGATTATTACATAGTTCGTTTGTTTAAGGCTGGAAGATAGAACATAATTTAAACATTGTTAACTTGGTTAACATATTTGAAATATTTGGACATATAGTATGTGGTCTTACCCTGGGCCTGCAAAGTTTTAGAGGCAGGCCTGTGTCTTGGCCCCTCTCAGGCTATGTGAGGTTCCAGAAAGCAGAGACTATCTTGTATTTTTCCAGTGTCTTTTACCATATCTGACAAGATACTCCATGCGTGTTTGGGAAATCAAAAAGAAATGAAATAGGAAAATGCAGGGACAGATGAGATGAACATAGGTAGAAGGTGAAGCAAATATTTCCAGCAGTTAGAATTATTATCAATCTGCCACATTTCCTTGACTTTCCTACCACAGGAGAGATATTCAGGAACGTTATTCCAGACTCAGAACTCAGCCCCTGATGAACAACAGGTCACCATGGCTGTACCTGGTGTTTTACAACCTTGCAGCCTGTTTTCTACACTGCCCAGGTCCCTGTGAAACTTCACTTTGCACGTGGTCAGAATCTCAAGGAAAAGGCAGTTTGAGGTCCCCCTAGCTGTTTTTTCCCCCTCAAGGAAATCAACAGAGCTGCCAGAACTTTTAACTTCATATTTTTTAACGTTGCATATTTCAGGAAAAATTTACGGCTCCTTTTATTACATTTTACAGGACCGTTGATAATATCCTTTCAATGCACAGTTTTTACACCTTACCAAGGAAAATGGACTTTTTTCCATGGCTCCTGTATGAACCTTTGAGTCATTTCTTTCTTTTTCTTTCTTCACAGAAATTCAGTCATTTAAATTCAGTTGCTGTTCTTTTTAATAGAGCCACGCTTAGTTTCATCACTCTGTAAGGCACTCACAATATGCACATCAGATTAATGTGAATACATTACACAATTCAGAAAAAAATTTTGCTTCTTCATCTTGAATTTACCCTAGGAAACAATGATATATTTTTCTTTCTCTCTTACTATTTGTGTATGTTACCACATCTCAGCAAAGGGTGAACTTGGGTTGGGCTCATTAATGTAGTAATAATTATTAGCAATTTAATGAACTAGGAACATATTTACTTTTTTGTTGTTAATTATAATCCTGTGTTTAGGAAGCTGATACTTTTTTTGTTTCTTACGGTAATTCTATAATAGTTGGCTGTCAGAGAGGATGTTTTAAAAATCCCTTTATATATAGTTACATTCTTACAAGATTTGCTTGAGCTAAGAAATAATTACTCTTCTTGACCAGCCACCCAAAAGACATCCAGTTCACAAATTTTCCTTGAATCTGTTTGCCAGCTATATAGGTGTGGGGAAACTATGTAAGCTCTCTGAGCTTCAGTTTCCATATTTTAAATGAAGTTGTCCCAAAATATAAGATGGGCATTAGAGATGTCATTTCCTGTGCTGGCACGCAGTGTGGTCCCCTTCACCAACTACCTTCACTTCTCCCTAGCCATATGCTCTGCCCCACGATAGACATTACTCTGACTTGAATTAGGCACTAAAGTTGAAGAAGCAAGCTTCAACTTTTTTTGAATTTTATTTCTGAATTGACTCTCTTGCAGCTGGTTGGATTCTTCAGTTACGAGGTCTGATAGATAAGTGGTTTTTCTTTTGGTATATATTTATCATTTTATTTCCTGCTTTTGTCAAAAAGAAGAAAGACATTTCTTTCTTCTCTACAGCAGATGGTAATAGCAATTAGACGCAGTTATAATCCCGACCCTCAATAGCCGTCAAGTCCCACTGTGTAGCGGAACTGGATGGAAAATGATCTGGATGTTGCAGTCGGCGTGCACTTGCCCAAAGCAATCCCACCTATCAAACACAAATTCACCAGGTGCCTGCCCCCAAAGTTGACCTGGCAGAACACAGAGAAAGAAATATTGTAATACGATGTCTTCTCTTTGTTCTATCCATTTCAATAAATTATAATGTGTAGATACTATCCATCCCCCTTATTACTACTTAAAATTTTCCTGATATCTGACTTTACCAATAACACCAACATTTTCTGCCAAAAGACTTTCTGATTATCAGTTTATCTGGAAATAACATATCAGAATGTATCCTCTTTTGTTTGTGAAAATTCCTCATTATAGTAAGATGATGTTATAGGCATTATCTAGGTCTGGTTTGAGCGTCTGCTAATGTTAATTCCAAATTATTTTATTTTGTATTGATTACAAACAAAAAAGAGTGTAATGTTTTTTCTGGTTTTATACATAATATTTTGGTAACTTTCGTTTAACCATATACTTAATATTGATTGAATAGAAGAATAAGACAGTTCTTTTCTATCTCTCCACTTCTATACATGCTGTCAGTAGACAGGGAGGAAGCTTCTATTCTATGCGTTATTGTACAGTTATTTTTTTTAAAAAATGGGGTTTCATCTTTTTCCTATGTAATCATCATCTTCACATATCTTACTAATTAAATGGCTAATTTGTCTAAATTGATTTCTCAAATCTTCCTAGGTCTTTTTGCCACAACAAGGGAATACATTTGAGTTTTTCCATCTTTTTTTTTTCCACAGCTTTATTTAGGTATAATTGAAAAAAAAATTGTATATATTTAAGGTGTACAATGATGTTTGAATGTATGTGTATATATTTTCCATTATTTTTTCTTTTTTTGTGTGGTGAGAACGATTAAGATATACCCCCTTAAGACATTTCCAATATACTATATGGTTTTGTTAACCATACTCACCACACTGCACATTAGATCAAGAGAAAGTATTCATCTTGCATAACTGACACTTTGCACCCTTTGATCAACCTCTCCTGGCAACCACTCTTCTGCTCTCTTTCTATGAGTTTGGCTATTTTAGATTCCACCTATAAGTGAAATAATGTAGTATTTGTCTATGACTGGCTTATTTCACTTAGCATAACATTCTCAAGTTTCATCCATGTTGTCACAAATGGCAAGATTTTCTTCTTTTTTTAGGTCTAATGGTATTCCATGGTATATCTAGATATATATCACATTTTCATTATCCATTCATCTGTGGCTGGACATTAGATTGTTTCCATATCTTGGCTATTGTGAATAATGTTGCAATGAACATGGGAGTGCATATATCTCTTCGACAGACTTATTTCGTCTCCTTTGGTTATATACCCACTAGTGGGATTGCTGGATATTATGATAGTCTTATTTTTAGTTTTTTGAGAAACCTCCATACTGTTTTCCATGATGGCTGCATTAATTTACATTCCCAGCCATATTATACAAGGTTTCTCTTATTTATCTTCCGTCTTTTTGATGATAGCCATTCTAACAGGTGTGAGGTGTAAGTTGGTTCACCTTTTTTTTTTTTTTTTTGAGACAGAGGCTCTGTTGCCCAGGCTGGAGTGCAGTGGCACGATCTCGGCTCACTGCAAGCTCTGCCTCCCAGGTTCACGCCATTCTCCTGCTTCAGCCTCCCGAGTAGCTGGGACTACAGGTGCCCGCCACCACGCCCGGCTAATTTCTTTGTATTTTTTTTAGTAGAGACGGGATTTCCCCATGTTAGCCAGGATGGTCTCGAAGGTTGGTTCATCTTAATGAAGGACCGTGATAAGTAATATAGCTATATCCCTGGCTTTTCCAATTTGGGAAGAATCACAGTAATCTGAATCCTAACCAACTGGACCAAAATAAGCCTAGGTTTTCCTCATGGTTTTTTTACCACAGATATTTCTAAGATTCTCCCCAAGAAAATTCATGTCCATTTTTCCTGTCCATTCTTATTGCTTCTTGCCTCTTAGTCTTATATGAATGTGTTGGAGCATGACTACTGTATTTGGGATTCAGCCTTCCCAATCCTCATTTAGTACCCAATAACAGACAATGGAACTGTCTTTTTCTTTCATGGCCATCTCTATCTCTTATCCTCTTACCCACAAAGATAATCCTCCTCAGGATTTCTACTAGGGCAAATTGTCAGAACTCCATAATTAGATATCAGTGTAATTCCCAAAGAATGAGCTCTTTAGTCTTCAATAAACCCACATATATCACTTCAACATTGTAATCTACCTTGGAATTCACACACTAGAATGAGGTCAACATATATCCCTACATCCTTATGCTGTCTCGTGTACAATGCTATAGCAAGGATAACAGATACAATTTCTAATAATAAAGAATAAATTTCAGAGCAATTGACTCTAAATCCATATTTAGGAAAGAGACCATTTTCAGAATAAAACTTAGACTTCTACCATCAACCCCTTACCTGCTGACTTCGGCATAAGTCACACTGCGAGACACTTGACCCTTTGGAGACCCATCCACCCTCAAAAAAGATCTGGCAAAGAGTTCTGGCTGTCACTTCTGCATATGGTGCCCAGTCGACAAAATATGTTTAAATGCACTGCTTGCCTCTATGTGATAAAAGACATTTTGGCACAAGACTTTATAGAAAATTGGGTACCAATTAGGCCTTGGAAATTCATGACCATCAAGAAGGGCAAATTCTGCTCTTTCAAAACATTAGCTCCTCGCTATTTATTTGCCAATGGATTGGGCATTTCAAGACTAGACAAATGACAAACATATACTGCAACAGCTCAAATGTGTATTGTCTTTTTGTATACACTGTTGTTATTTGACATTTTTAAAAAAACAATTAAGAAATTCAGGTCACATGAATAGGTTGGATACTTTCTGCAGTTGAACTAGTTTGTTACTTATTTCTATTTAGAAGGCTAGGAATGGAAAAGAGTAGCATTAGAATTGTGAACATTTCTGGGAGAGTTAGAGAGGGCCCTAACCTATTCAGTTGTTATCCCTACAGGAAGACAGATCTAATGTAGGGGCTGGCAAACTCATGGCCCACAGATCAAATGGACTTTGCTGTTTCTGTAAGTAAAGTTTTATTGGAACATACCCTGCCCATTCATTTCCATGCTGTCTATGGCTGCTTCCACACTAAAATAGCAGAGGTAAGTTGTTGCTACAGAGACGGTATGGGCCACAAACCTTAAAATATTCAGCCCTTTATAGAGAAAGTTTGCTGACCACTGATCTAGTTTAGAGCTATCTTTCTTGTGAAAATATTTTATAAACTCTCTAGTAAAGTTGGAGATAAATATATACTTCTATGAGAAGAAGCTAACACTTAGAGATTAGATTATCTTACTAAATTCATTCTACTAAAGTCAAAATGAGGATCTGTAAAGACTTCAAGTGTTGCCTGTGTATGTGCTGATGGGATAGTTGATTTTTCTCATCTCAGTCTGTTGGGACACAGTTGCCCCAAGGAAATGCTCTTAGTTTCAGTCATACTAAAAGTGAAAACATAAGGCCCACTGCCTGCTAATCACGTTGCATAAAAAAAAAAGAGAGAGAGAGAAAAAAACCTTTAAAACAAGAGACCGTTTTCCTCTGATCATCTTCCTCTTTAAGTGGATTGTTTGAGAGATATTAAAATAACCGAAGCAGCCTGGAGAATCCAACTTAAAAAACACATAAACCCAGCGTGCTTAAAGTTCAAAAGGTCTATTGCATAGTCACTATTAATCTCTCTATACATATTTTATTTAACCTTCTGTAAATATTGTCATTGTAAAGTGCTTTGGACAGGCTAATGCACTGGGATGTTTTGCTAATGGAAACAGAGACAATAATGCAGAAAGCAATCACAAGACGGGAAGAGGAGGAGGCAGATGAAGGAAAGAGCAGACTGAAAGCAGAGCCCAGGTTGTCTGGGAGAGGTGAGGCCAGGACACTGCGTGGAGCTGACTTCTTCATTAGTAGAGGCTGGAGCCATGCCAGAGCATTCCAAAGGACTACACTCGACTTTAGGAGCCCATCAATTCCCCCTCCCCATTCTCCTTCTCTCTTTCTTTCGGTGAGCTTTAAAAGAGCATAATGTTACTTCCCCCCCACATTATAATGTACTGCTTTCCATTGGAAAATCAGTATGTAAAACTGGCAAATATCTTTTAGTTCTGGATAATCAGAGAGTAACTTTCCATTTAGTCATCTACAGTGTTTGTTAATGAGAGTTGAAGCTTTGAAGCTCTTCCTGTTTTTATGATTTTGTTCCTCCATGGTGTGTGTAATTGGTTGTTCTAAAGGATGTGGTATCCATCTTCCTACTTCCTGTCATTCCTAAACAGCATCACAAGGCTACTTCCTCAAGGGTGCTGGGGATACCGTTTTCCTGTTTCATTTCAAGAGCAACACCACCATTGCTTGAACTGGTAAAGCATTTGCTTCCTTCTCTCTCTCCTTTTTTTTTTTTTCCCTCTCCTCCATCTTCGTCTTTTTCTCTCCCTTACTCTTTTGTTGTTGTTGTTGTGTTTCCCACACCAAAACACTGCCTCCAGGACTGCCTAAGTCCACGTTGGCGGGCTCCCGTTTGTGGTGCAGGTGTGCAGAGCCCTCCTCCGTGTCGTCGCCACAGCAACCCGGGGCTCTAATCTGCTGAATATGAATAGAAGAAACAGAAAGAGAAAAGCCATCCACCCCCTTCTGCTCCATCCATGAGTCCAAAAGAGGGATACCGTCTCCAAGCATTCCTGATAGTCCCCCAGCCATCGCCCAGGCAACAGTCACAGGGAACTGGCACGGCCTGCGGTGAGAAAGCAGTCCCTGTCTCAAGATCAGACCTCCTCCTCCTCTGTCTCCTCCTCCTCCTCCTCCGCTCCTCCCACCCTGGGTCCCCTATAGGCCCCTACAAACCTCCATCCCACTTCTGGTCTCCTTGCCCCACACCCTCCAGCCAGTGGGTCATTAAATCACAGACAAGGCAGAGTGTGGGGGGAGTATATGTCATATTTTTCTTCTAATGGTGCTGAAACAGTACTCTTGTGTGTATGTGCATGTACGCGTGTGCACATATATTCATATATGTGTGCATGCATGTATATGTGTGTTTATTTTAGGAGATTTTCATCCTAGTTACCTTTCAGATGAGCTGTGTTTATGAGCTGGAGAGGACGAGTTGGACAGAGAATTTTTCCTTATCGAAGCTAGTAGTTTGAAAAAACAGTCCTTTGCAGGTTCCACGACTTCAACTGTTTCTGGGCTGGAGGAGGTTTTTCAGAGCCCTTTGCTCTCTAGTGCCCATATCCAGCAGTGAAAGCTCTCATTTGTCTCCCCACCATCATGTTGATGCAGCTGGGTTTGACACTGCTTACCTCAGCATTTTTTTTTTTTTGGTTGAAAGACAGAAGGCTTCCTTGTGATCCCAGCCTTTTCCTATCAAATGACACTCAGCCATGGTTTGGGTGACTTATTTACTGGCAGCGGACCAGTAAAAACAAAAATGAACGTTCACAACTAATAAATCCTTGAGCTTAGATAGCTACAGCAACAGTGGTGGGATTACATCAAAATGTTCAGCCTGATACCACGGGGCTCCCAGGCAGTGTGGAACCTAATAAGTCAGGGGTAGGAAAAGGGGGTAAAACAAGACAAGGAACAGAGAAATTTTTTATACTCTGGGTCGAAGGCACACTCAGAAACTTTGAATGATATCATGTGCTTTCTTGGTTGGGGACTTTAAAAATGGGGAGCAGGGTACACTGTATTTGAGTCATTGGAATGGGAGGCAGCTATGCTTGCCACCTTTTTCTTTTATTCTTGGAAATTAAACCACACACATCTTCAGCATGATGAAGGAGGCCAGTCTAGATGGACTGGACAGCAAAATCACAGCTTTCTCAGCTGCACTGAAAGGAACTATTTTTATAGAGGACATGAGGTCAAGAATGTTTAGCAAACAAAATTGAATGTCATCTACTCCTAGATAATTCTCCAAGGACCTTCCTCCTCCCAGGCCCTTACTGAAAGTGAGGGCATCTCTTTCAGGCTAGTATGATAATATTTTTATTTGTCTTGGAATTGATCTTTTGGACAGAAGCACATTTTTTTTTCATTAGTATAAATTCAGAAAAATCCAACCACAAATCCATTGACTCTAGCTAATGTTTTCTCGCTTACTCCCTCTATGACTTCCTCTAGTTCAATAAGTAACTATACTTTCTGTAATGACTAACTATTGATTCAGCTTTTGTAATGGTTGAGCTTTTCCATACAGAGTTCAATCCCTGGGTAGAAATATGGATAACAAATGGGGACAATTTTAACATAACCCCGGTGTTTAGTTTATGTGTTGCTAAATATTACACTATTTGGAAATATGATTGATTGATTTTACTCTTCTTTTTAAATTTTGGTTTTGGTTTCATGACTCTCAGAGAGACAGTGATGGAGGACACTTACCTGAAGACAAATGAAATCACACTCACCCAGTAGTTCTGTCTATCTGTTATAATGCAGAAAGAAACATTACTTTTTGTTTTGGTTTGGTTTGGCTTTGCCATTGTCATACAATGAGGCTCTGATGGCATCTGAGTACCTGGAAAATGCCTATGGGAAGTAGGTCATTTGATCAAGTTGCTTTCCAAAGCACCTGATTAAAAGGCATCTTATAAAATTCTGCAGAGCTCTGTGTAATTATCTTTGAAGGTTCTTCCATTGCCACTTAAAAAAAATGGCTGGGATAAAACCAGAAAAATGAAATATATAAAGGCTAATTCTGACACCTTAAGGTGTTTAGAGTTCTCACTGTCTACCCAAAGATGTAGCTGCTTCAAATTCTTTCATTAGTTCCCAGGAAAGTAACACAATTGCTCTGTGGGTGAATCTAGCTATATTATTCCCCCTACCATAGAGATATTGTCTATAGTCATTTTCTCCAAGGCAAATCAAGTATTGTTTGAATGCTATTTTGAAATCCTTAGGAAAAAAGCATTATGCATTCACATCATCTTCAAATTCTGTTTAATTCCTAGAATCCTTATTTCGCTTCCTCTTTATCTGTGATTATGCCAATATGTTGGGGGCACCTAGTATGTGCCAGACACTATCCTGTGCTCTCAGAATTCAAAGAACTTGTGATCTAAATGGGGATGCAGGAGGATAGTAATAGCTAACTTTTATTGAATGCTTACTATGTGGCAGGTACTGTTTTAGCATTGTATATGTATTCATTTATTCAAGCCTCAAAACAACTCCATGAGGTAGGTAACAATTATCCTGTATTCCAGAAGCAAAACCAAGGTACAGAGAGGTTAAATTACTCTCCCCAAATCACATGCTACATTATTTTTAAAGTAGTGTTTGGAAAATATGTGACTGCCTCATGTTTGTAACTCACCGAGTCCAGTATCCTCAATACATAGTCAATAAGCAGAAGCCTTCCAGATAAGAAAGGGAAGGAAGAGGGAACTTAGAGCCCCAAGATTAAGCCCTGACATCATCTCAACCTCTCAGGATTGCAAAGAACTCTCACTGAGGTGATGGATAATAGCTTGCAGTAAAAATGCTTGGGAGGGTGTCTCTGTGTGGTGCTGCTCATACATCATTCAACTTAGTTGCTGAAAAATTGGTTTTAGGTTGTTTTAAATGTAAATGAGTTAATATTTCTAATGTGCTTGGAGAAGTGCTCTTAGAAGAGGACAGTGGTATATGGTACAGGTTTTTAAATAAAACTAATAAACTTAGTTGGGGGTTATATAAGTGAAAAAAATGTAAAGGCAGAGATGTAAGTCTAGCTGCACTGTAAAACACTGAGAGACAAAAAGCCTTGTGAGAGTCAGGAAATGGAGGATGTAATATCGGTGACAAGAGAGTCCTTCCTCAAGTCAGTAAGAGCTGCATCAACCATATGTGAGTGACAAAGGCTAGACTGGTGGTCACAGCAAACGTTAAATAGTAAAGCAAGGAGGTGACACAATCATATCTGTGTTTCATTGAGTAAGGTAATTTCTGTAGCAATGCAAAGGATGAAAAGGAGATTAGACAGCTGTAGCAGAAGCTCTAATTTAAATACCATTGCAAAATCCAGATGAGAGATGCTGCTGCTGCTGAAGTGGCAATGAGATTGGAGGTGGGAAAACTTGGAAAGACATTTAGGAAATAGAATCCAGAGAACATTGTCCTTGATTGGATGATGAATCAGGGCCCCTGACAGTGTGATGACAAGAAGATGAGACCTTGGTTTGGGGCATAGATGACTAGTATATAATGACATTCACTGAGAGAAAGATATTTGGGAGGCAGGGTGTTGAGCTAGTTTTAGGCATGTTGAGTTTATAGTACCAAACGTCTGAGAGAGAATGAGATAGGCAGTTAAAGACACAGTCTGTATCCCAGGAAGAGATAGATTTTGGAGTCATGCATACAAGGGGGGTTATTTTAAGAGATGGGAGTATATGGGGACACCAAGAGAAAATAGAGATGGAGAGAAGAGATATGGGAGCCAAGGACAGAACTTGGGAACTCAGGGAAAACCCCCTGGGGCCACTTTAAAGAAGATTACAGACAATAAAAGAAGCCTGGTCAATTAAAAAAAAAAAAAAGAAGAACTAAAAGACTCTTCTCAAGTCAAAAGTACTGTTGCTCTGTAATTCCTTCCTGCAGCTTCCAATCCATCATCAGAGCTAATCTACATTTTGAAACCATCAACCAATTCTCTGATAATGTTGGTCTTGAGACTTCATGAGCTCAAAGGCATCTTGGCACTGTCAAGCTTTTGAAACATAACTCAGTACCTCAACTTCGTAGAGGTCACTGAGAACATTCTCCTGCCTGAAAGCTTAGGTGCTATCAATCACTGATTAAAAAATGCCATCTCTTGCAAAGGCTGGCTCAGCAGAGGGGCTGAGCACAGTCTTGATGAGGAGAGAAAACGAATCCTAATTACTACCTTTGTTATCCTAGAGTTGGTTTTAAGAAATACTTTTTAAGAAATGCTGTTTACTTACCTCTCCTTATTCAATTGTTATAGGAGAATATTTAGGCAGCTTATTAGTACAATTACTGCAGGATGCAGTAAACTCCCCTCACCAGTGTATATCTTGAAAAGTATATTCAACCTCCCAAAATACAGTATTAAAACAACAACAAGAATAAAAATGCACCCTTTATGTGTTTCATTTATAATGGGCCAAATAAAAAAAAATACTAACTGGAATGTAATACTCCCAAAATTCGTATGAAATGAGGTGCCCTACCAGAGTTTATTTTCGTTTTTCTCTTATCCTTAGTAGAAGCAACCATTCGTTCTGTGTTAAAGTCATCCCTTTGGAGCAGATATTGAGTGACCCTTCTTAATTCTGTAGATATAAGGAAAGCAGGTGTTGGCCCTGGGGAAAAACATGCATGTGACTTTGTCTGACTTAATAAATAAGCACTTTTTTTCTGCTGGTGTACAGACTACTGGGAAGGAAACAGGCAAATTCAATTAAGGAGGAAGGCCCAATAATCCCCCAATCCCATCTTCCTGAACTTGAAATGGTGAAGATCTATGAATCAGACTAGAGTTGCCCTTACTCAGGATCCTAAAATGAAGTTACCTTAAGGTAGTAGTTTTCAAGTATGCTGTTTTGTCCCCTCGGAGACATTTGGCAGTGTCTGGAGACATTTTTGGTCGTCATAACTAGGGAGGTGGTGCTACTGGGATCTACTTGGCAGAGGCCAGGGATACTGCTAAACATTCTATAATGCATAGGACAGTCCCCAAACAAAGAAAGAAACTGCCTAATTGTCAATAGTGTTAAGATTGGAAACTCTGCCTTAAAGGTAGAAAGACATAGAACCTATGGACTGATTCCGAAACTGTCAAGAGAAAGAAAGGAGAATAACGGTTTTGGTACATGAATGGCATTCTCTGAAGCCAGTTTTGTTCCATTTCTTTTTGTCTGACCAGTGTTCCAAGAAGCAGCACTCTTGGGAATAAAAACAAATGGTAATTAAGGCTGTCACCGTTGCATGTATGTGTGTAGCTAACTTAATTACAACCTGAAGGGATCATACTTCCTGTGTGCTCTGCATACAAACTTTGAAGATAACTTTGAATCTTTACCATGAGACTCAAACCTTTTACTGTGGAATTACCTCATGCCCTGTAACAGTTGCTGGGTGACAGAAGGAGCAATTTTGGGTTTGGCCCATTTTCTGGAGACTCTCCATCTCTGAAAGTATTGCTAGAAAGTAGGGTCCACTGACATGGTTTGGCTATGTCCCCACCCAAATCTCATCTCGACTTGTAATCAAATTGTAATCCCCATGTGTCGGGGGAGGGACCTAGTGGGAGGTGATTGGCTCATGGGGATGGTTTTCTCCATGCTGGTCTCATGGTATTGAGTGAGTTCTCACAAGATCTGATGGTTTTATAAGTGGCGGTTTCCTCTGCTCTTCTCTCTTACGCTACCTTGCAAGGAAGGTTCCCACTTCCCTTTCTGTCATGATTGTAAGTTTCCTGAGGCCTCCCTAGCCAGGCAGAACTGTGAGTCAATTAAACCTCTTTCTTTTATAAATTACACTGTCTCAGATGGTATTTTTCTTTTTTGCATTTAAAATTATTTTGTTTTATTAATTTTTTATTTCCATAGGTTTCTGGGGAACAGGTAGTATTTGGTTTCATGAGTAAGTTCTTTAGTGGTGATTTGTAAGATTTTGGTGCACCTATCACCAAAGCAGTATACACTAAATCCAATTTTCAGATGGTATTCTTTATAGCAGTGTGAAAACAGACTAATACACTCACGCAGCATCAAACAATGGGTGTCAACACCTTGCCCAAGAACTTAAAAGGAGCCACTTTGCTTCATGTACTGCTCACCAGGCTACTTCTGTTTAGCAACCAGTTCTTCTCTATTGCATTTTGCTCACCAAGAGAGAACTAAATCAGCCTGGAATCTCTTGCTGCCTCTCACGCTACTCCCCATACCCACACACCCACCACCAACCTCCATGAATGTATACCAGGGAAGAGATGAGGACTACCGCTTGTGTGCCTATGAGGACTCAAACATATCCTAGAACCTGACAGGGACATGATAGTTTTTTTCCCAGCAGTATAAAAGAAGACCAAAGACCAGGACAATTGCAGTGGGCCATGACACCCTCTGCCTTTGCATGGACAAAAACACTAGAACATTATTTTAAGATATTGGAGCCAGAGGGAGCCCTAAAGACCATTCGGCTTGGCTGGGCACAGTAGTTCACGTCTATAATCCTAGCACTTTGGGAGAATGAGGTGGGCAGATTGCTTGAGTTCAGGAGTTCGAGACCAGCCTGGGCAACATAGTGAAACCCCATATCTACAAAAAATATAAAAAATAGCCAGGCAGGGTCCTCATGCCTTTAGTCCCAGCTACTTGGGAGGCTGAGGTGGGAGGATTGCTTGAGTCTGGGAGGCAGAGGTTGCAGTGAGCCAAGATCACACCACTGCACTCCAGCCTGGGCAACAGAGCCAGACCCTGTATCAAAACAAAATAAAAAAACATTTGGCTCAGTTGTCCCAAGGTGGTACATGTTAAAAAGATTTTAGGTGCCACATGAATAGGGCTTTAAACAACATGAAATCCTATGAGTTGATGAATATGTTAATTAGCTCAATTGTGGTAATCATTTCACTATGTATATGTATTTTAAAACACCACAATGGTACACCTTAAATTTATGCAATTTTTTGTCACATATTCCTCAATAAAGCTCTTAAAAATAACATTAAATCCATAGTAAGATACTTAGTACATTTCAGTTCTGTTTCAGTCTGTCTAGTTATGATTGAATTTCATAATACTGAGTGGCAATAGAGAGGGGGTGGGGTTTGAATTCTGACTATGCCGCCTGTAAATTAACTTGTGACCCAATCCTGACCGAAGAGAAGTTGAAGACTTTTGAGGAATTCTTAGATTTTTAAACTCTAAAGCTTATACCTTAAGCTTCTCTATTATATTGCTATCCTGACTAAATAAATTATATAAAGGCTGGGGGACCCTATCTTGTCCTCCACTGCATGTCTAGGTCTAGGCACACCTGGCACTGTTGCCATCTATAGGCACTTAATACATATGTGTTAAATGAACATTTTAAAAAACCATATCAATTATTGACCAAATATCTATTTTCATTTTAATGACGGTTTTTCATTATATAGATTTTCTCCCAGGCTAAATGTGAAATCATGAAGTAGACTCAGTCATTTTCTCACTGCATTTTTATTTTTAATAGATTTGGTGAGGTGTAGTTGATGGGAAATAAACCACACGTTTAAAGTGTACAGTTTGACATGCTTTAACAGATGTATACGTTTGTGAAACTTGCACCATAATCAACATAACGAATATATCCTTTATCCCCCAAATTTGCTGGTTCTCCTTTGTAATCATCCTCTCTATGGTGAAATATCTGTTCAAATCTTTGTCCATCTCTATTGTTTTTTGGAGAATACTTATTCCACAAACATGAATAGATTCCATGCTATTTTGGATATTTTGGGTGCCTTTTTTTCACTTCATAGAAACAGTGCTTTTCTCTTTCTTATAATTAAGTTCACCCTTCCAGACCCACATCAAATATTGTCTTCCCTATGAAAATGTTGTAAGGTTTTGTAGTCAGAATGTATTGTTTCTCTGAGTTTTAATAGTGTGTATATATTGCATTATAATTAAGTTACTGCATGTCTGTCTTATCCTTACCCATTTCCCAGGACACAGTGTAAATATTTTCAGAATAGGACCACTTGTTATTTATTTTTACAGTCTTTGTGCCTAACACAGAATCTAGTACATAGTATTTGCCTAATGGATATATACTGAATAATATGTAAAATTTCATTCCACATATAGTACAATTGAAATCTATTTTTGATAAACATTCATACTTGCTGTCTGCACCGGTGCTGTCTTTATTTATTTATTTACAGATGGAGTCTCTCTCTGTCGCCCAGGCTGGAGTGCAGTGGCGTGATCTCGGCTTACTGCAACCTCTGCCTCCTGGATTCAGAGGATTCTCCTGCCTCAGCCTCCCACATATTTGGGATTACAGGCACACGCCACCACACCCCGCTAATTTTTGTATTTTTAGTAGAGGCAGGGTTTCTCCATGTTGGCCAGCATCATCTGGAACTCCTGACCTCACGTGATTCCACCTGCCTCAGCCTCCCAAAGTGCTGGGATTACAGGTGTGAGCCACTGCACATGGCCGTTTGGCACTGTCTTTTTTTTTTTTTTTTGAGATGGAGTGTTACTCTGGTTGCCCAGGCTGGAGTGCAATGGTGTGACCTTGGTTCATCGCAACCTCTGCCTCCCCGGTTCAAGCAATTCCCCTACCTAAATAAAAGCAAAAATATTTCTATCTTGGTATATGTGTGATTTTTGGTTTGGTTTTTGCCATTAAAGTTTGAGCTTGAGTAAGAGTGTTTAGAGACAATCAAAACTCTTAATTTCTGCCCAGTAGATAAACAAAAACAAGGCAGAACTGTAAAAGCGCATGGCACAAAGCTAAAACGCAGTCTCTCCTCTGTTCTCTTGGCTCTAGCAAACTTGGGGTTACAGACAGGCGGCAGTTCAGCAATAGCTCACCCTAAGGCATTGCCAAAGAAGCCCTTAGCAAGAGAATGGATTGCTTGTTATGGCAATTTTAAGGGGATATGAGTGAAACTGAAAGAAGGCACTCAAATAATTCCTTGTGCAACCTCAAAGGGTCGCCACAATTCCCCTGTGTTTAAGAGGACCCCTACATCCAGGAAAAAAGATCCCAGCCTGTGGAAACAACCCCAAGCCAAAGGCATGAGGCTCCCCAGGGGAGGGCCCAGCAGGAAATGCCTCTTTGCTTTGCAGTAGAGTCCAACACTTCAAGTTCTCAGAGATATGTGTTTGTGGTTTACCTAAAGGTGGAGAAATTCTACTTGGGACCCACACCTTAAATAATTAGCCTTCCCAGTGGTGAATTTTGCAATTAGGCTAAAATGTTTACCGTCAAGTATATGGCATGTGGATTTGACAAGAGAAATTTTCCGTAATTCAGGTCTAGAAAAATTATTCCTAATCCAGATGTGAGAGAAAATAAATTGAGAGCATAAAATATTTTAACTGTAGTCCCATGATAGGCCAAACCCAATATTATGGTGAGCCAGGGCCCCCTGTTGCAGCAAAGTACTTTCCTGCATGAAGTAAATAACTTCTTCCTAAGCATGAAATGTTGCTCTCTAGAGGGTATTTTAGTAGCCTGGAGTTTCTGTAAGATTGAGATTGTTTAGTAAGTTTGAGTTGAATTTTGTTTCTTTTTCCATCTCTCAGGCTGTAGTCTAAATAATACTTATCCAGTGCTTTTTTAAAACAACAAATCCAGTTCGATTTGATTCTTCATAAATGTTGCAAATTATCTTACTGAAGCTAAAAAAAGGTACAGTTTTAAAAGATAGTCAAGAGTTAAGGGAGGAAAAAAAAAAAAAACACCTAAACTAAAGCAGGTATAAATAGGAATCTTTGCAACAGTTTTAAGACTTAAGAAGTTCGAGTTTAATTCCACCTGCTGTTGTCTCAGTGGGAGATTAACTTCCAAGGAAATAGCTGCCTTGGAGGGTGAGAAAGGAGAGAAAGGACTATGCTGGAAATCTCCCACTGGAGAGGACATTCTTCGGCCTCCAAAGGAAGCATCACTCACTTATTTGCTTATGCTGTTTTGCTAAAAGATACACAAAGTAAATTAAGATTTTGCAGGCCGGGTGCGGTGGCTCACGCCTGTAATCCCAGCATTTTGGGAGGCCTAGGTGGGCAGATCACTAGAGGTCAGGAGTTTGAGACCAGCCTGGCCAACTTGAAACCCCCGTCTCTACTAAAAATACAAAAAATTAGCTGGGTGTGGTGGCTGGCGCCTGTAACCAGCTAGTTGGGAGGCTGAGGGAGGAGAATCGCTTGAACCTGGGAGGCAGAGGTTGCAGTGAGCCAAGATGGCACCACTGCATTCCAGCCTGGGGGGCCATAGAGCAACAGTCTGTCTCAAAAAAAAAAAAAAAAAAAAAAAAAGAATTTGCTACCAGAAACTTTATATGATGTATACATCACACAACTAATCATTTATGTTAAATTAAAATATTTAAATAAAAATATAGATTTAAAAAATCTATTTAGTGTGTGAATAGAATGGGAGGAAACTAAAAAATTGAGCACATAGATGTTTCATAATTCCTCAAATATAAGTAGCATAGTAAACCTAAGAAAATAGTGTTCTTTTTTCCCAGTAATAAAAATTATCCTAACTGATATGTTTTCATATTTGTGATAGCTGTCAAGCAGCCCAGTTTAAAATTTGAAGGCCACCAAATTTAAAGCTTGTCAAAGGCACACTAATCACATTTATTTATTCACTTTTTTTTGTTCTTTGTCTGCTCTATTTGTCAGTCACTGGGAGAAGTATCAAACTCTTGAACTAGGAGTGTGGATTTATCAACCACTCTGCATGATCTTGCCAATTTTGCTTTATATATTTGAAGTTTACATTGTTAAGTGTTTACAAGTTTAGAATTATTATATTTTCCTAAAGATTTAACAAGAGCTGACTCTTACAAAGTAATTACTGTGCAACTCACATAATCTAAATATGTTACATACATTAACTTAGTCATTACAATAACTCTGAGAGAGGTGTTACTATCCCAATTTTATGGTTGAGGAAAAGTTTGGAGAGCTTAAATAACTTATTCAAGTTCTCAGTACCTGGAGACATCAGGATTTGTACCTAGATATTATGGTTCCTAAAAACATGCCCTTTACCAATATACTGTACTGTCTCCCTATCTTCCTGTTATTATCTATTGGCCCTTTTCATCACTATGAATGACTTTTGGCATAGTTTGTATTGTCTGATATTATTATAGCCATGTAAAAGAAATCCAGACTTTGGCAGCCTGTGGCTGCTAAGTGGATTACAAAGGCATCCAGAATTCAGCTTCCATAGCTTCTGACCTCAAGGAAACTCAGAGTCTAGGAGAGTTGCTGAAGTTCCAGCCAACACAAATGTATTGCATTTCAGAAAAAGAAGACAGGCAGGAGAACACAAAATACTTGTCCATTTAAAACTCTGCTCCCTAATATGATAGCCACCAGCTGTATGTGGCTATTGAGCATTTGAAATGGGCATAGCCTGAACTGAAATGTGCTGAAAGTGTAAAATGCACACCAGAATTTCAAGATTTCATACAAAAAATATGGAAGTTAACCATTTATTATATTGATTTCATGTTGAAATAATATTTTGGATATATTGGTTTATATAAAGTACATTATTCAAATTAATAGCCCAGGCATGGTGACTCAAGCCTGTAATCCCAGCACTTTGGAAGATTGAGGCAGGAGGATTGCTTGAGGCTAGGATTTCAAGGCTGCAGTGAGCTATGATAGCGCCACTGCACTTGAGCCTAGGTGACAGAACAAGACCCTATCTCTAAAATTAAATTAAAAAAATTAACCTGTCTCTTCCTACTTTTTTAAGGCAGCTACTAGAAAAAATTAAATTACATATCAAGTTTTCATGTGTGGCTCACTTTATATTTCTGTTGGACAGTGATTTAAAGAGCTTCCTTGGAATTCCCATCCGACAACTACTGCTTACTTTTTACCAGCAAGAATTTAGCCCCTGGCTAACTAATAATGGCGACTACAGAATGTGGCCCTCTAAGCCTATGGTTACTCGTAACTGTTCTTAAGGGAGCACTGGAGAATGGAGACTTGGGGAGAGCCTCCTTTCCCTCAACCCCTGTAACAACCAGTGGATTGATTAGGCTTTAATTTGCTTTTGTTCTTCTACTTATTTGATATGTATATACTCTTTTTCTGTACTGTCAGTGAAAGCTGAAGAAGCGTATCTGAATGAATAAAATCGAAAATGTCTCTAGCCTCTTCCCAAAAATGAAAGAATATTTAAATGCTTTCACTTGGATTATTTACTTTACTTCCATTTTACATGTGACTATAGTCTAGTATTTTGTTTCTATCATGCTTTACACTGCCAAAATAGTAATTATTTTATATAGTAGATTATTATTTAGACTTACTCACATGCTTACCAACTTCTATGCCTGATATTATTATTATTATTTTGCATTTCACTCCTTTCTTCTGGTTCAGTTTTCTTCCTTTAGTATTCTTAGGGTGATCTATTAGGGATAAATTACTTAATTTTTTATTTCATTGAAAATGTATTTTTCTAGTGCATTTGAATGATAATTTAGCTATTTGATAGTAATTTTCTTTCAACATTCTCTAAGTCTTTCCTTTCGGAATCCCTATTGACTATATGTTAGACTATTATCTGTTACCCTAATTATCTGTTAACTGCTTTTTGAAATTTTCTATCTGTGAAACTCCATATGCTGCATTGTTATTCTTGGTTCAGAACAATCTTCTACTTTACAAATTCTCTTTTAAGCTGCCCAATTCTCTTTTACTCTCGACTAATTTTCTTTTTAGCATGAACATTGAGTTTTCAACGTTTATAGTCATGTAACCAGCCTCATTATCAAGATACAGATTTCTACCATCCCTCCAAATTCCCTTATATGGCACCTTGGAAGTCAATATCTTCATCTCTACCATCCCGTGGCATCTCCTTATCTGCTTTGTGCCTCACAGTTTTGCCTTTTCCAGGATATCATAAAAGGGATCATACAATATATAGCCTTTTGTGTCTGTCTTCTTTCACTGGCATAATGCTTTTGACATTCATTCATGTTGTTGCTTGTATCAGTAGTTTATTTTTTTATTGCAGAATATTATTCCATTGTATGGATATATCACAATTTCTTTATTCTTCATCAGTTAATGGATATTTGTGTTGTATTCGCTTGTTGGTTATTATGAATAAAGCTGCTGTAAGCATTTACTTACAGAATTTTGTGTAGTCATATATGTAAATATCTAGGAGCAGAATGACTGAATTATATAGTAGGAGTATGTGTAAAGTTTCAAGAAATTACCCAACTGTTTTCCCAAGTGTCTATACCATTTTGCACTTGCACATTCTCCCAGAACTTGGTATTGCCTGTCTTTGATTTTAGCCATTCAAGTTGAAATGTAGTGGTATCTCACTGTGGTTTTGGTTTTGATTTACCAAATGACTAATGATATTTAGTATCTTTTCATGTCCTTATTTGCCAGCTGTATCACTTCTTTGGTACGGTGTCTGTTCAAATCTTTGCTCCTCTTTAATTTTTTTTTTTTTGTATCCTTTAGTCACAATAGTTCTTTATGTATTCTGGATACAAGTCTTCAGAAGTTAGGTGCTTTGCAAATATTATCTCCCAGTCTGTGACTTGTCCGTTTATTTCTGTTAACGATGTCTTTGAGAAGTTTTTACATTTTCATGAAGTTAAATAAATATACCAATATTTTCTTTAATGGTTTGTGCCTTCTGTGACCTAAGAAATCTTTGCCTAACTCAAAACAATGAAGATTTTCTTCTAGTTTTTAGAGATGTTTCATAGTTTTAGCTCTTACATTTAGGTCTATGTTTTATTCTGAGTTAAATTTTTATTTTATGTGAGGTATGGGATCACAGACTAGTAGTGTACCTCATTCCCTTGAATCCAAAATGTTAAGCAAGATGTCTTCTCTGCCTTGATGTCACCTGGAAAGGAAAGAAAGAGAAGAGGTGTGAAAGTAAAGCTGAATATAATTCATTTACATTCAAGGTTATTACTGATTTGTGAGATTTTGTTCCTGTCATATTGTTAATTGTTTTCTGGTTATTTTATATATTCTTTGTTCCTTTCTTTTTCTTATTATTTGTCATTATGCTTTGGTGGTTTTCTGAAGTGGTACAGTTTGAGTCCTTTCTCTTCCTCATCTGTGTGCTTTATCAATGAGTGTTATCCTTTTCTGTACTTCCATGATAGTACATGTCATCCTTTCACTTTCAGGTTTAGGACTCCTTTGAGCATTTCTTGTAGGATCGATCTATTGTTGAGAATTCCCTCAGTTATTGCTTCTCTGGGAAATACTTTATTTCTCCATTTTTAAATAAAGGATAATTTTGCTAGATATACTATCTGTGGCAGGCAGTATGTATTTCTCTCCTGGCCTATAAGCTTTCTGCTGAGAAATCTGTTGTTAATCTGATGAGGGTTTCTTTACAGGTGACTAGAAACTTTTCTCTTGCTGTTTTTATAATTTTCTCTTTGTCTTTGCTTTAGACAGTTTGTCTGTAATGTGCTTGGAGAAAACCTTTGCATTGTATCTGTTTGGTGATCTCAGAGCCTCCTATATCTGGATGTCTAAATATCTTGCTAAATTATTTCATTAAATAGGTTTTCTAACCTTTTCATTCTCTCTTTGCCTTCCAGGACCCTGACAATTCAAACATTTGGTTGCTTTATGGTGTCCCATGTGCCATGAAGGCTTTGCTTATTCTTTTTTATCCTTTTATCTTTATTTTTTTCTTATCGGGTTGTTGCAAAAGAACTGTCTTCAAGTTTTGAGATTCATTCTTCTTCTTGATCTAGCCTATGTTGAAGCTTTCAAATATATTTTCTTTTCATTCAATGAAGTCTGTAAGTCCAGAGTTTCTGGTTGGTTCTTCTTTATGATATCTACTTCCTTGGAAAATCTCCCATTCATATACTTAATTGTTTTTCTTATTTTTTTTGTATTGTTTTTCAGAATTTTCTTTATCTCACTGAGCTTCTTTAGTATCGATACTTTGAATTCTTTTTCTGGAATTTCATAAATTTTTTTTTTTTGGGATCTGTTTCTGGAGAACTGTTGTGTTCCTTATGTTGATATCTGTGCGTCTTGTGTAATAGTTACTTCTTCTAATTTTTAAAAATTTGCTTTCATAGGGGAGAACTTTTTTCTGAAGATGTATCTATGGTATTGGTTCGGTAGAGCACTTCAGCTTTGATTCTGGGTACATACAGCAGTATAGTCGCTACATGATTTATTTGCTTGTAAACAGCATCAGTGGTGTCTATGAGTCCTCAGTGGCTTAGGGTGCAGTTATTAATGGAGGGTGTGGTGAAGTTTTGCTGAGGACTATGACACCAGTAGGCCAGTCTTTAGGCTTTAGTGGTGGCAATGGTGAGCTGAGCATGCCTATCCTTGAGCTCTAGAGTAATGTGTGCTGGCACTGGTATTAGTGGGCCCAGGCAGGACAATCGTTGGGTTTCCAGGTGGATTATTTAGATGCCAGTAGTGGCAACAGTGGGCTGGGTGGGTGAGTTCCCAGGCCCCTGGCAGCAGTATGGTATGAACGATGGCAGTGGTAGTACAACCCTTTGGGTACTGAGCGGTGTGTGCTGGTATTGACAGTGGCTGCAATGGGCTGCATAGGACAGTCTCCAGGCACATAGGTGGTGTGTGCAGGTAGGTGGTAACAGCTGGGGGCAGAGTAGAAGGGTCGGGAAACCCAGCCTCAGGCCCTTCCTAGGAGTGTTCAGGTGTCAATAGTGGTGGACTAGGCTAGGAAATCCTCCGGTCCCCAGACTGTGTCTGGCATGGGGTGTGTAGAGAGGTGAAGCTGGGCTAGGTAGGTTTATCCTCGGCACCCCCAATGATGTGTATAGGCCTCAGCCATGGTAGGTAGGGGTGAGGCAATATCCAGACCACCAGCAGAATGCTTGGGTGGGGTTGGTAGTGTCTAGCTGCTGCTCTGCAGCAGAGGGTGGAGCCACTTTCAGTGGCGGCAGCTTAGGCCAGTGGGTAGGGAATGTGTGCACCCCTTCAGCCTCTGCTTTGGTGGTGTTTGCACCTCAGTCCTGGTGGTGATCGCCTGTTTCTTGCTTACATTTCAGCTCCATGGGCAACAGCCCACACTTCTCTTGCTCCTCTGCCTTGGTGCTGCGGGGCCTAAGACAGCATGCAATCTGTTGGAGGTGGAGCTCTAAAATGGCACTTTGCTGTAGCTGCTTAGGTGTCAGGGTGTGTGTGGGACCCAGCATGAACTCTCTCTCTGGAACAATGGTGTCACACAATCCCCCAGTGGCTCCCTATGTTAGTTTCAGGGCCAGTGAGGGTTGGGGGGCTTTCCCGTGGCTAGGATTGTGGGAGTCCATGGTGGGAATGTGGACGGCTACTGGTCTCTCACTCACCCTTTCCTCACATTAAGGAGTCTTTCCTGGCTCCAAGCCAATCACAGCTGAGCAGGCTGTCTCACTTCCCTCTTCTTCCTTGCTTTAGGTATTTCCTGTTACTTTTCTGTTGAATTCCAGTATTCTTTCTTGGATGATCTATTCGAAGTGTGATTATCTACTCACTATTTTGGTTCTTAGTGAAGAAGGCTAGTGCAAAATGCCTCTAGTAAGCCATTTTGAAGCCCTTTCCCTATTAATTAAAAATAATATAAGACCAAAACTCCTGATTTTGACTCTTGTGAAAAAAGAGGTGGACAAAATATTCTAAGTATTGATCTGTCTCTCTATACACTGCTGCAACCATCATATTGGCCACACAGGAAGAATTCTCCCTTTAAAACTGGACAAATGACCATGTTTCTGATTTTCCATTGCTTACTTAGCACAAGCCTGTAAAAGTCAATGTAATTTTATTAAATCTTGAAGATAGGAAAAGGAAGTTAACAGCCGACTCTAGGCAATTTGGGGTACAGAATAGAGCTTATTTGTTGGAGCAAACTGTCCACTATACAGGCTGTTTTCTTGGTTGTTAGCATTCTTCATGTGACAGACATCCTTTCAGAAGCCCCTAAGTAAGAATTCTTTTAGATTTTTTTTTTTCTTTTGAGATGGAGTCTCGATCTGTCCCCCATGATGGAGTGCAAAGGCGCAATCTCAGCTCAGTCTGGAGTTCAGTTGCATAATCTTGGCTCACTGCAACCTCCACTTCCAGAGTTCTCCTGCCTCAGCCTCCTAAGTAGCTGCTACTACAGCTGCCTGCCACCACACCCAGCTAATTTTTGTATTTTTAGTAGAGATGGGGTTTCGCCATGTTGACCAGGCTGGTCTTGAACTCCTGCCTCAAGTGATCCACCCACCTCAGCCTCCCAAAGTGCTGGGATTACATGCATGAGTCACCATGCCCAGCCAGACTTTCACAGACTCTTTAAAAAGCAAAGGAAGGTGGCTAAGCTTTTTCTTCCATTTCCATAGGTTTACCCCTTATGTCTAGTTCTGTTAGAGAGCCCAACCCCTCCTTTCACTATTGAGACTGAAAATGATCTCACTCTTTAGAAAACTGAAATTATCTTATCAAAGCAACGTTCTTTAAGATAACCATATCTTAATAAAGTAGCTCAAACATTCCTAAAGCAGGAATTGTCTCTTTCCACTAATTGTGAACAAACACTGCTTGGGAAATAAAAAGATTTGTGAGACTCAAACTTTATAATTTAGTTAGATTTAAGAGGTGCATAAGCCAAATAAACCAATTATTCAAAGTAAGTAGTATATTATTTCATGAGTCTTCAGAAAAAGTAGAGATTATTGTGGAAGAAGTTTGGGCTTAAATTATACCTAAGGACATGAAAGTGAAGAAAAGTCATTCCAAGCAGGGGCATAATGTACATAAAAGAAAAGACAGTGTAACATGAAAGATTTAAAGGATAGTTCATAGAGAGTTTGGTTAGAGAAGCAAGTAGTTATAAAATTGCAATAGCAGAAGAAAGTGATATAACTGAATTTGAATTTCCTTAACTTCCTTTTTAAGGAAGTGGGGTCCAAACACAAATTTTGGTCCAAGTGAATTAATGTGTAAAGCATGATTTTAAAATAATTAACCTAGAGGTGGATGTTGGGGTGTACTGACAAAGACAGGTTGAAGCAGTGAAACCAGTTACAAGGCTGTCTGTTGTCGTGAACAGACAGTTCTGAAATGATAAAAATTTGACCTAGGGTGCTGATGATAAAAATTAAAAAAACAAAAACAAAAATGAAATCAAAGGAATTAGAAGAAAATCTGACTCATATTTTTTGGACTTTATTTGATTTTTAAAAGTTAGGTAATTATTAATATAGAAATTAACTTAGTAACTGATCTCCAGTGGGGGTCTTTGTAGTTCATAATATTTTTATAAATTATATGAATTTGGCTAAGTGCATGTATACATGTCATCCAAATATAAACTGTATCACATTTTTAGATGCCCCAAGTGATAGTGAAATGACTATGCTCAAAGTGAATACAATAGTCCATAGGTGCATCACACCCTTCCCCAACACCCTTCTTGCTTGAATTCATCCCTCTAAAGTGAAGTAATTGAAGTTCCAAAAAAAATATTTAAATTGTAAATTTCCTGTAGATTATCAAAAACGCAGAAACTCAAGCTGTCTCACAAGTACTGGTGGGTCAGTTATATTTCAACCAAATGTTGTCTTGTGGCATGTCTCATTATTGACTACAGTTGGATTTGCCTCTAGAAGTCAGATACAGAAAATGCTTTGAACTGTACTATTCATGGCCTAGATTTCAGTGAGAGGATATGAATATTCGTACCTGGCATGAAATTCCCTTCATGTTCTTTTCCTCTTCTCACCACTTTTTAAAGTCATTAGAATGTCAGGTAAGTCTGTTTTCTCTTGGCATTTCAAAGGGCAACAGTCAATTTTCTTTCAGGTGGGACTTTTTTCTTTTTTTCTACTTGGTTTTGTGTTGTATTAACTGTATTTTGCTGGAAGTGTTTTCATGCTGGTGCAAATCTAGACAAAGAAAACTTTTATGCAAAATAAACAAAATAGAATGTACTGAGCCAGGATTTCTTTGCAGGACACGTTCCTTAGGCTACTTCTGAGAGGTTATTTATGGATGGCTGTTTATCCCCTGGAGCCTGACTTCATTTCTTGGTGAAGTGAAACGTCTCTGTGTTTAGTACATTGCTCTGCCACCCCTGGGAATGGCTGGATGTCAAATATTTACTCCTGTGGGATCGAACAGAAATCAGAGATGCACAGAGAAAATAGAAGTCAAATGCGGCGTCCTTGAGAATTGGCAAAAATTCAAAGGAAATGGATTTTAAAAGAAAATATTTAAAAATAAAGTGATAGCATAGTGTAACTTTCTTTATTGGAATGAGGGAAAACCCACTAAAATATAAAGCTACTTCAAGCAGAAGAGTATTTTCATCTTATTGCTTTCTTAGTGACCACACCCATCTCATTTTCTTACCTGGCTCAGTACCAGGCCCAGAGGGAGAGGTTTTAAATTTTTATTTTTTTTAATTGAAAACGGATGCTGCACCTTGTTTTTCAAGCCTGCATTTTTCATCAGAAAGAAAAAAAAAAGAACACCTCGCCAAGTATTAGTTTGTTACCTATGCAACCACATAAAACCTAGGAATCAAAACTTGGCATTCAGCTTTATAGACAGTCACACTGGAAAAATCAAGAAAGTCCCAAATAAGTTTGTTGTCTTCCCAGGACATCTCATTTCAAATTGTGTGTCTGATTCTCTCATCCATCTTCTCTACAGAGTTTCTTTTGGCGTTATATTTCCTGTATTGTCAGAAACGAAGCTACATTTAAAAGGTTAAATCAAATAAACCCAGCTACAAAAGGGTTTATAAAATAATCATAGTTGTGAACAGCAAGGAAAGAGGACAACCACTAAAACCATAAAGGGAATCCTTCATGGATGGCCGTGCTTTAAAGTTCACATGAGCTATGTAACATTAGATGCTTTTAAAATTCAGAGGACAAAGTACAGGCATGTTTGTGCATTTCTCTTTCATTTGACAAGTTTTTTTTAGTTAGGTCTGGACCAGATACTCTCTGCTGCTTGCACATGTGTAATTGAGGAGTTTGCTTTGGTAATGTTTTCCACTTTCAAACTTGTGTACTATCAAGAGGTAAGAACAATCCCACCTCCTTCTAAACCCCAAAGTGACACCAAATTCCGGCTTGATCTCCTCAGTGTCAGAACCAGCATCCATTTGAAATATTGTCCAAGCAACTTACTGGTATCTTGGGAAGCTGTTAATCACAGACTGCCCTGCCTTCTGTGAAACTGACAGCATTTGGAAGGCTGCTGGGCACACTAAATTTAAAAGTAAATGTTTGGCAGCTTCAGCCGTCCTCAAGTTTGGCAAGGAGAGTATAATCAACAAAGGGGCATTACTTTTAATTGTATTTAAAAATATAAGTCCCTGCAGTATCCAGAGCTGTGTGCTCTGAGAGGCCCTTGTGCTGTTTGCCCCTTTGCACCAGGGGGGATGCAGTTTATACAAGCAGGCTTTGTTTTAATTAGTGCAGCAAGCAGCCTCCCTCCCCACCTCCTCCTTTCAATGCTTCCAGTTTACAATTGTCCATAACCCCCTCAGCTAAAAATTGTTACCAAGAAAAATTCCACAGAAACCAAAAGAAAAGGGCCAGCAGAGACTGTGCTTTTAAAGAGCTTTTCCAGACTGACTCGGCAGAGCTGTCTGCAGGGAGTGAGTCGCTGAGCTATTATTACTCCAATGGGTTTCAGCTCCGGGGATGTCCCCCAAGGTTAACAAGATAGTTCCGTTAAAAATAACATTAAATTCTTCTCCCTACCCCTTCCCCCAAAAGGGGAAAAACAACAACATGCCCACCTTTTAATAACATTAAGGATCTGGTTTAAAGTGACAAAAGCCAGAAAATTCTAATTTAAGGGGGTTAGAATTCTATCTCCAAGCCACGTCTTTGAGGACGAATAAAATCCAGACTTAATGAGGTGAGTTAAGGATAAAGTGCCAGCTTTAACCCAGCATTACAGAGCTTTTGTGCCTCCTGAGGCAGGCTCTTCTGAATGTTGAAGCAGTAGATAGCAAAAATTAGTGTTTAAAAGAGAAACAACTTAAGGTGGGATGAGAAGCACATTGTATGAAATCGTAGTCTTGGACAAACGTTGTTTTACGTTTAGCAAAGAAAAGCACTTGGTTCTTGCGCGCTGATCAAAACCTTTGTCATCTGATTAGTTGTGCGAAGGATTTTTTTGTGCTGCATCTTTTTCCTTTTGATTTTCAACATTGCACACACCCACAAATTCAAGTCTTCATTTTCATTGAAATCATGTTGAACAATCACTCCTTTTATTCTTTAATTAAAAAAAGAGATGCTCAGGAGGGAAGATTTTGTAAAGTATTTGAAATTCATGCTTTGTTGGACCACTGGATTATAAAAGCTGTGAAGGTGTCATTAGAGACTTCGCATAATCAGTGACTGGGTATAGATCAATATCACTCACTCATTTCCAGGACAGAGACTGGTTTGCGACCTGTGTTCACAGTTTCCTTCAAGGTATACAACCATGTGGAGAAAGGACTTCTCAAATTAGGATTTTAAACTGAAGTATTTTCAGGTTAAAATGTTTACAGTCTTAAACTACTTTGATTCCATTATATTTGTGCATATTTTTAAAATATAAAATTTAAGCGTTTTTGAGAAGAAATACTATGTACTCGTGTGATATCAAATAAGCCTCATTTATTCACTTGGAAAATGAATATAATTTTTAGGCAATTATCAGTGTAATTTTTTTCTCCCTATTAAAAAAGAAAATTTCTGTTTCTTGTTTGCCTCTTTCTAACTTGTTTGTTGTAAACATCTCAAACTGACCTTTTAAACTCTAATTTTATGCTGAAATGAATATTTCCATTACTCCCAACACTGATATATCCATGGAGCTAAAGGAAAAAAGCCCATTTCCTACATATTAGTTAGAGAAAATTAAAAAAAAAATCTATTTCTATCAGTGGGTGAGGGGACATCATGGTTTTTGCAACAACCATGTTTGGTAAAATATGATAACCAGAGTTCTCCAAAGCTGGATGTATATCCACAAGTAGCAAGCTGCTCCACTGTGGTCCTGTCATAAACAAAGTATTGTGCTGTGCTCTCTGGGCTCCAGTAGCGATTTGACTTAGAAATTTTGTATAACCTTGTTTTTCTCATGTGAAGATGATGGCACTAATCAAGGATAGCAGTATTTTCACTTTAGGCAGTTTTTTGGTGTGTTATTAGAATGGATTTTACAAAGTCATCTATAGCATTTTGATATCTAGTCTCTTCACAGCGCATTTTAAATGGTGGCCAGGTGGCTGGGATTAAAGGCCCGTTATGTGGCCAGAGGAGAGAAATCAACAGGCCCACACAAGAACTAGACCTCTAACACCTGACTTCATGGGTGCCATTACTTTAAGAACTAAGCAGCTTTATTGATAAGAAACATACTGCTATCTTACCTTTTGAGGAAACGGTCCCATCCTGAAGTGCTGGAAGTTCGTAAGGGGGGTATTAAGTGTGTGGTTTAGGGGGAGGGCGGGGTGGGCTTCAACATCTGGCACTACCACTTCACTAGCTGTGTGACCTAGGTAGGGCTGGATATTTATTACTCCTTTCTTTTCAG
Source organism: Homo sapiens (assembly GCF_000001405.40). Taxonomy (NCBI): domain Eukaryota; kingdom Metazoa; phylum Chordata; class Mammalia; order Primates; family Hominidae; genus Homo; species Homo sapiens. Next base: position 13,610,318 of record NC_000009.12, read on the forward strand.
CTTCATTTTTGTCACGTATAAAACAAAAATAAGGTCAACCTTATAAAGTAGGGTTACATAAAATAATAAAAACTTATTTATTAGGGTGACTGAGAAAAGTACTCAATAATGGTAGCTATGATTATTGTTATTACCATTTGGTCTGGCGTATTCTCCCATATTTTTTGTCACCCTAATTTTAAGGTTTTAAATTCCCTAAGAAATTTTGGAAGGTTTAAAGGCAGAAGTGGCCTGAAGAAACTGGTTATTCCTGTTTTTTTTTTGGTGAAGTCTCAACCCATTCAAGAGATCCTTCAGGCATCCTGATGAGGAAGGTGAAAGCGTCCTGTTTGGAAGCTGCAAATTTCCAAAGGAGTCTGAGAAGTCTTGAGTCTGAGAAGTCATCTCTGACCGTAAAGAAGGGATGGTTGTGGGTGCCACATGGAGAGGGGAGATCCTGGCCATGGCTAGCTTCACACTTACATTGGGCCTTTTTTTGTTCCATTTATGACCGAATAATAAACTTTGATTTTTTTAAAAAACTGAATGTTGTTCAAATACTGGTTCCAAGGACAGCAGAACAAAGGAGGTCTTGGGAAACTGGGTTTGGACTCTGTATCTTCCATGACTGACTAAATGACTTTGGGCTCCGATGACTGGATGCAGTCAGGGTAACTGGAAATAAGATATTTTCCAGAGGCTGGTGGCTGGCCATTCTCCAAGTGCTGTCACCCCAGATAACCACCTCCATTTCTTCCTTTCCAAAATCAAAGAGCCAAGATAGCTTGGATAAAGATTAAGCATAGCTGTGTGACCCTAGGCACATCACGTAACCTCTTTGCTTTTTCTTAGAAAATGAGGTTAACAATGGTCAGCTTTCTGAAGACACAGGTGTTAAAATGAAAACCACTTTAACGTCTTTTTTGGTGAAAACTATAACAAAAATGAAATGAGGTCTGTATCTTTCTTGCTATAGTCAAGATGATGGATAAAAATATGTTTTTTTCAGTTCACTTATCCTATTAACAAATGTTAAATTACAGTGTTATTCTATTAGTAATTTAGGCACATAGAGAAAATGAGGCTATAGTTTAACACAGAGTTTCCTTCCTCCAAGACACAGTGCAATCAAACTCACTGAAATGAACAGAATCATTCTCAGTCTACATGTTGGGCCTATGAGTACATAAACAGATATGATTCGATCCTGCTGAGAATTAAATTTCTAAAAGAATTGCGAGGGAAACATTGATTGAGATAATGGTTGCACTTTTCACTATTGACATGAAAGGTTTTAGTCTTAATAATTTTGAAAGTATTTCCCTAAGGGTTCTGTTTTCCAAAACAGTCCTTTATGCATTTGTCATTCTCAAGTTCACCTAATCCTGCGCTTCATAATGAGAGTTCCATGGAACTCCAGTTCTGAAGAATGTTAAAAGAAAATACATAAAGAAAAAGAAAAAAGCTTTCTTTCATCAAGCTTGGTATATATTGGGTGTCTTAGTCTATCTGGACTGCTATACCAAAGTACCTTATACCAGGTGATTTATAAACAATAGATATTTCTTGCTTATGGTTCTGGAGGCTGGGAAGTCCAAGATGTGCCAACAGATTTAGTGTCCGGTGAGGACCTGTTCCTCACAGATCATGTTTTCTTTGTGTCCTCACATGGTGGAAGGACAAAAAGGTTCTCTCAAGTGTCTTTTATAAGGGTTTAAACATGAGTTTGTGGGGGAGGGGGCGCATTCAGACCATAGCATATTGGGTAAACAAAGTCACTTTTCTATAGTACAGTACGTCTTAGAAACTTTAACATTTTAATATTCATTATGGATCTTTAAGAAGAGGATATACTATGGAAGCATTACTAAAATGTATTTTACCAAAGAAATATTTGTTTCAAAGAGCGTCTCCTATAAATGGTGGAACACACTGTGGGGAACTCTGGTTTGGACATAAGAGTTTTAAAATCTAAATTCTTAGCCTGGATGGCTTGTACTTCCACAGCGTATAGTCATTGATCCTTTTGTTAATCCCTGTAACGCTTGGACACAAATAGTGGCAGCTATAGAAAGGCAGAGCTAAGAAAGGGGCTGAGCAAAGGAAACGTTTTTAGATGACCAAGATGGGGAAGTTAGGTCTTTGTGCAGGAAGTCATAGATATTTTGGAAGCCCGAGCCAGAGACACACATGGGAAACTGCAATCATATCTGATAGATAAAGTCAAGCACAATCCCTGGTCCCAGACATCAGCTACACAAATGTACACAGGATAATATCTTTTGGAGAGGACTTGAAGACTTAAAAGAAATAGCCAATTTCCCACCATCAAAGGGAAACTGCCCAAGGACAGCCAAATGTTGAGGCTTTAAAATAAATTTTTTTTATGTAGAAATAATGTGTTGTCACTGGAGAAGATTTGGGGAAGGAGAGTAGATTAAAGAAAATAGAAATTATTTGTCCCTCTACTATTCAGCTATTTGCTGTATATCCTTTCAGTCTTTTCTCTATATGTATAAACATATATATCTTTTGTATATTATATATATATAAATTTTAATGACTTTCCCATTTTATCTTAGCTCATTAGAATGCCTCCTCATTAAAAATCTTTGAAATCACACTTTACAGTGGTTACAAAATATTTCATCATATGGATTTATGGTAATTTCTGTTTTTGAACTTTTAAGTTGTTTTCTAATTTTTCACTATTATAAATAGAGCTATTGTGAATATCCCTGCACATAAATCTTTGTCTGCATTTGTTTATTTCCTTAGGATGGATTCCTAGAAGTGGAATTACTGTATCTAATGGCTTGGATTTTTTCAAAGCTCTTTATACACTAAAACCTAATAGCTTGCCAGAATATTCATATCAATCTACACTCATATGGCATATGAAAATGGACAAAGAAATAATGACGATAGTAGTTTAGGTATCTCTAAATAAAAGCATCCAAAGGAATTCTTCACCCCAAATTGTGAGAAGATAAAGAATTTGTCAGGAAATTATTATACTCACTCTTTATTAAAAATTCTGTACATTTTATCATAGAAATATGTATATATCAATTTACAGTTTTGTCAGCGAAACAGTTGAGAGTCTAAGTAATAATGATGAATTGCTATATTTAGTTCTAACATTTTTTTATCTTTGCTCTGTGAAACTCATTACCCCATGATCTGCTCTAAACTGGGGTTTCCGCTTTGAGAATTTTGGGGTTTTAGTCATAGATTTGCTTAAAATGAAGTTTTTGTTATTATCTATCAATTTTGGATACTTAATACCCTCTCATTTGCTTACTTCTCTGTTCTTAGACCACACCTTTACACTTGTTTCCTCCTCCAGAAAACACTTACTTTCTCCTCCAGAAATTATTTCTCCATATATTTTCTCATTGACTCTCTCATTTCATTTAGATCTCTGTTCAAATATCACGTCTAAAAGAGCATACTTCCTGCCTCACTCTTTACACTGCTTTATTTTTTCCTGGTAAATATGATTTGAATTGGTGTTATACATTTATTTTCTATTTGTGTGTTATTCTCCCTCTCCTCACAAGAATTAAAACTCCATGAAGGCAGAAACTAGGAGTGCATTATCTGCTACTGTATCCCTAACATATCCATAGTGTCTGGCACTTGGTAGTGGCTCAAAAATATTTGATGAATGAAAGAATAAAATAACTTTCCCTACCTTTGACCAAAGCTGTTTACCTGTTGAATTTGCTAAGGAAAACATTTGTGTAGCTGTAACTTTTTGTAAGTACAGCAGTCTATATTTGCCTTGTTCCTGGACTGTGTCTTTTTTCCTATAAGACCAGAGGTTTTAGTCACAGGCAATGCTGAAAGGAAGAACACTTAAACACCATTTAATGAGAAGAGCCATTTCCTGCTTAACGTCTAATCTGTAAATTGATCTCCAACTGAACAGAAGTATGGATACCGCAATGCTTTATGTTCAACATTTTTTACATCTGCCTGGACTCAGGGGTCCTATTATTTACTTATGTTATATCTGATATCATGAGGCTGGACAAAAAGCCAGATCTAGAATAGATCTGTGGTGACAGGGATGCGGGGTGGGAGACATGGGAATCTGGTCAGTATGAGTAATGTTCTCTGTGTTTGTGGTGCTTCGAATATCTTCTATTTCTCTCTCTCTCTCTCTCTCTCTCTCTTTCTCTCAATCTCAAGGAACAGCCTCCTACTTCTATGTAGATTTGAAGTTGACATTCAATTGACCCCATCATTTATGATTAAAGGCTGAGAAAATATGACATGAAATATGGTTTTGGGTTGAAGTTATGAGTTTTATTAGTTTCATTGTCTCTACCCAGGAAACTAGTAAAAATGACTTAATTCTTCAGTCTTAGTTACTTCATCAGAAAAATGAAAAATTATATTGACCTCTGAGTAACTGTAATTCAAATATTCTAAGATTATGATCTATGGCAGAGCTTCCCAAGTGTTTTCTATGGAATTATGAATTGCACAAGATGTCCCTACAGAGCAGAAGGGTCGACAGATTCCATTGGATAAGGACAAATAAGTCAGAGAGAGTCAGCATGTCATAGCCCCTTAAGAAATGCAGATCATGCATTAGCATATTAAGTATTAATCTATAATAATTATAGATCCCCATTCCATCTTATTTATAGACTAAAGATTTTCAATCTTTTATATTTGTTCCTATAAGGAGTAGCACAATTTCTTTGATATTTTATGTTTCTTCTCCTTAGCATGTTCAGATAAATTACAAATTTCTTAAAATTTAATGGTTGAAACTATATACTTATTTGGGTAGAAGATATGGCTTGGATACATATAAGGCAATATTCTGTTGGTTTTATGTATCCTTCCTGATTAGAGCCAAAATTTTATTATCTCTTGCAGTAGCAGCAGTTGACTGAAGCAATCCCTTTGGGGAACATCTTCAGACATCTCTCTTAAAACTTCTTCCTTAGAATCTACCCCCATAAAATGTTTTCACTCTGCAGCCAGGACCGGAAAGGATAACTCATTTCTTCTCCCACCTAATATCCTTTTTAAGAAATGGAAGTTACCACTTAGATTTTTCCTTGTTCAGAATAAACATCCCTAGGTCCTTTACCTCAGAGGTAGCAAAGTATTGGCCTATGAACCTCCTGCTCAAGTTCGGAGACGGTTTGTTTATTTCACACAGGGATTTTGCTGTTGTTGTTTGTTTTATTAATTGAGCCAAGACATAAAAATTCGGAAGTTTTATATAAATACCCAAATTTCAATTTTCACTTGAAAAAATAAGGAGTAGTAGTGACACTGGGTAAACATTTCTACAGATGGTAATTGGCTAGCGGAGGGTGGTGCTGCCCCCTTTAAAATAGCATAGGTTTTCCGGTGTGCCATAGTCCCCATCGCTCCCATTGTGCTGCATCTCCTGAGAGAGACTATCAGTTTTTCTTTATCCTCAAGCTTACACTGATTTTCTCCCTAATAGTAGAGAAATATTTTTCTGCTTCTATTCTATTTCAGGTATTTATATGAGTGATCTGGGTACTGTAAATACTTGAGTGGACAACTCCTGCTTTAAATCTTGCACAAATGACTTGGTGTCAAATTTTTTTCCATTCTGATTTCTCTCTTCTGAGTGAGGATTGTAGCCTTTGTTTGCCTTAAATGTACCCATAAATGAACACAGTTTTCCTGAGGTTGTCCAGCCAAAATATATTACAACATGTTGTTATGGACTGGGTTGTGTCCAGATTCATATGTTGAAACCCTAACCCCAAATGTGACTGTTTTTAGAGATGGGCCTTTGGGAGGTAATTAGGTTTAGATGAAGTAATGAGGGTGAGGACCCCATGTTGGCATCAATTCCCTTTTAAGAAGAGACACCAGAGAGTTTGCTTCCCTCTATGTCCACCATATGAGGAGACAGCAAGGAGGAGGTAAGGAAGAGGCCTTCACCAGGAGCAGAAGTGGCTTGCACCTTGAGCTTCAGAACTGTGAGAAACCAAATTTCCATCGTTTAAAAACCACGCAGGGCTATGGTATTTTATTATGGGACCCCATAGTGACTAATATACAAATATAGCCGAAGATTATTTACATGATATTAAGCAGATGATGAAACGAGAGAGTAGTAAGTCTGCCGAAAAAGCTAAGCTATTTTTAAGCATGCTACTATTAAGCCAGGGCTCCCCTATCCAGCCCTTATTTAGTGGTTTTTCATCCCAAAGGAGAGCACCTTAAACATATCTTAAGTCACCTGGTAAGATGTGCTTCAGTGGTTAGGAGAGCACAGGATATGCATTCAGAAGAACTGGGATATGGTCTAGGCTTTTGCCTTTATTAGCTGTGTGCTGTTGGTTATATCTTTGTACTCTGGGTCATAATTTTCACATCTGTAGCAAAATTGATGGCATTATACTACTGTGACCCAAAATAAAACAGCTTTGTCTTATAGAGCTTGTTCCAGCTCTGAAAATAATGTATTGGTTTAAAAGAATTCTCCTATGGTATGTTTCTTTAACTTTCCAATGCTTCAGCACATTCCTGAATTTAGCCTGACACTCTCTTAAAAGTTTATGCCGTTTCTAAAGTCTTCCTGGTTGGAGGCCTTCCTGGTCACTTTTTGTACATACTCTTCTTCTAGCCTGAACTTACCAGAGAAATTCTTCTGCTTTATATACCTCTATTTTTTTCGTTGAGAACAGCTATGAAAAAATATTTGATTTTTGATATCTTTCCACTATTGTCTGCCGGTTTTCTTTTTGAGATGTTTTTTAGGCCATAGAATTAGCCCTACCCCCTGCCTTTTTTGTAGAGATGGGGTCTCACTATGTTGCTCAGGTTGGTCTCAATCTCCTGGCCTCCAGAAATCCTCCTGCCTTGGCCTCTCAAAGCATTGGGATTACAGGCGTGAGCCACTGCACCTGATCTAGAATTATCCCTTTTGCGTGTTTACTTGTGTATTTGTTTTGATCTTCTCTTACTCTCCTGATATCTAGGGTACTCCATTTAATTATGCTTAGCTTTTCTGTCTCCTCATTATCAAGTTACTAAAGATTACATGGTCATATTATCCCAATCTACCAAAAAGAGAATCTAAACATTAACTTAAGATCATTGTACTTTCTCTACCTTTGGGGACTAGAAATCTTAAGTGAAGGAAGTCAGAAACTGGCCAGATGCTTTGCTTTTAGCCAAATCAGATTTCCAGTAAATACTTCTAATCATTCCCAGATACTCCGATTTTAGTGAAATGCTATTACATACTCAATGGCCGATCAATAGAAGCTTTAATAATAGTTAAGAGATAGGGTAATTACAGTCTGAAATTGTAAGCCAAAGGTCTCGGTTTAAGGAAAAGACTCAGCATGCAGGAAAATAGTGTCCACTTTCTATATTCTCATGCACCCTAAGCCCTGGCCAGAGTAATAGCTGTTTACATTTTGCCTAAGGATGCAAGGGTTGGTCTCATGAAAACCTGAGATGACCATTGACCCAATGTTTTGACCTCCTCTTGAGCTTCTTCCTATCCCTGCCTCCCATATGTTCTGTTCTGTGACAGCTAAGAAGCCAAGGCAAGGGTGGGACTTTTCTGGGAGGCAATTTACAGTCAAGCCTGCACATGAGCAGCAGCACAAGGAACTGGGCATCACACAGAAACTCACTGAATCAGATCTACTTCTTTTGCAGACTCAAATGACTTAGACTTAGGAAGTTGGGTGGTGCTTGGAAGTGAACCCTGCAAATTTTGCCCCTGCCTATCTCTCTGCATGCAGTGACGTTTATCCAAGGCACAGGAAGAGTCTGCAGCTGAGAGAGTCCTGAAAAGAGGTCAATCCTAGAAATGTCACGTCTATGAATTTTGAAATCAAAGACATGCTAAGAGAAAGCACAATAACTATAAAACATACGTCTGACTTTCTGATTTCTTACCTTGTTATTGTGTCATGACATTGTGTTATCATAACCCAGATTCCCTTCAAATTCTTCATTACGTTCACAGCCATGATACCGGTCCTTATTGCAGGGCCTAAATACCTGCTGCTAGTTAGTGGGATGCACATTTGGCGACAGATCTCCTCGTTCTCGTTCATTCTGTAGGACTAATCTGCAGTTTTGACTAGTAGACAGTAGTTCATGTGTAAAGCTGCCTCACATGATAAGCACAACCTAGTAGATATAGTATGTCTCTCTACTCCCAAGAGAATGGTATGCCCCCATGGCCTTGATCTAGTATCAAGTTAAAATCATTGGCAAGGCAATATAGTAAAACTCACATCACGGCTGGCCACATCCTATTAGGGATCTCAAAAATAAAAGTAGAGAGCTCTATAATTTTCACCTTTAATATAAAAGCAATAAGCAGCTACATTGAAAAGCACAGTAATGGCCTAATTGTTTGTTGTCAGTCCTACCATATGAAAAAAATTGCCTAGAAGAATTTAAAAACAGCTTATGTGCTGAATATAAAGAAACCTAACATTTTATTGCTTCTCAACATGGTTTCATTACATTTCAAAGCAAGCTTTCTCTTTTTTAAACAAATGTATGTGAGATACTACATGTGTGTCTACTAGGTAAAATGTTAAGTGTATCCATGTTACTTCGACTGCATTGTTACTCAAAGTTGAAACTACTCACTTATCCCACATTCATTTTTTTTTCATTCTCTTCAAAGAATATTTTTTGTCATAAACCAATGGAAATTGGGATATTTCTATGTTTTAAATTACATTTGCCATTATTTTATACTATAGTTTTCTACAATCTGAGTTCTTAAAAGTTTGTTTAAAAATTGTATTTGAAAGCCATTTTGAATATATGTGCTGGTTAAAACATGATTAATGTGATCACTTCTTAGTCAGATAGTTTTCATTAAACTTTACGGCAAGAACCCTGGAATGGAGATTTCAGACTGTGTACCTTTAACTCAAAATGGGACTAAATTTAATATTGGATTAACAGGTCATTTGTTGTTTAACGATGTAAAAGTTCCAGTAAAAATAATGGCTCATGAAACCTTAAAATATACTTAATACAACATTTTGAAAGGTAGAAATCTTATTTTCCTTCATGGGCACTTAGAATTATAGTTGAAGGAGCCCAGGAATATAAATAGAACTTTTTCTCCTGAGTAGAGGTGTTACCCTCCACCTGGCTCACTTCCCACTCAGGTAATTACACCAGGCCTTTTGAAATTATCCCTGAAGTTCTAATTAGACACAATCTTCTTTGCCTCCTGTTGTAAACTGCTGCTTTGAGTCTTGCTCTGGGGTAGGTTTCATATCCATGCCCCTTCCCCTTCTTCCTGACTATTCTTGTGACTTTGCTAATTAATGCTCAGAATAACACTATGTGATCTGAAAGGGGCTATGGAAGTGCAATGTCTTATTATCTCCACCACTGACACTTTAACAAGGCTTCTGCCTTGTTAAGCAAGGGGAAGTTGAGAAGGAAAGAATCAACATTCCATGACATCTATACCACCAGTGATATTGCTTGTTTTTCCCATGAATACTTCTCTAGCAGCTATTAGGCCCTCTGGAAGAGGGAGCTTTGAACCAGATGCTGAATCATTTTGCAAGTGTGAATGATGTTATTAACAGCTCACTGTATAAGGGTAACACCTGCAGCAGTGAATTATCTTAATCAGTTTTATAAAATATTTTAAAAATCATGTCAATAAAGTACCAAAACCAAGGGAGAATTTCCTTTGAAACAAAGAAGAACAAAATCATGAAATGTGCATGTTTGCAAATTTATAATAATTTTCCTGCAGTTTTTTTTCAAGAGCTGTTCAGATACAGCCTATATCATCTTGGAAGTTTATATAAAAATTTTCTGGAAATGCATACAAACAGTACATTATCTCTGTTGTGGCTGCCTTAAAATCATTATCTAAAATATGAAATATATGCATATAAGTGTATATGAAAGGTGATGACCTTAAGGCAGCCCTAACAGAGGGTTTACATACTAATATGTGTGTGTGTCATAAATTTGTCTAATATACTTGCTGCCTTTTCACCCATTTTTAGTCTGCTATAAGTTGTTCAAACCCTGTTGTGCCCTGTCACCCTTGACCTAGTTAAATCTTTTTCTTCCTGTGTGGTTGCTTATGATGTAGCCTCCTCGTTCCTCATATCAGTTACCCCAAACCCCAAACACATCATAGATGCCGACCACAATAAAACCTTAATGGTCAACACCAGGGTCACGTAAATAAGGTCCTCCCTTTGTATGTGTTTTCTTTCTTTAAACTAGCCAATCCACAACTTCTAAGAGAAAGCCTGTGGGATCATGCCCATCAACCTTAATAAACACTTAGTCCCACAAATTCTCTCTGTCCCTCTGTCCTTCTCCCTCTGCTATCTCCCTCTCCTTTTTCCTTCTCTCCCTCTGCTTTTTCCTTCCCTCCCTCATTTCTTCTTTTTCCTTCTACCTGCCATCACCCTCTGGCTTAACTCCCTGCTGCGTCAGGATTTCCCCATCAGTTCCCCTAAGCATTCCAGGACCCGTAAGTGATAACAGTCTTCTGTTACATACATTTTAGTTTCATTTCCTCATTGGGTCTCACTTGAAACATATATTCCTGAACCTAACATTCTTTCCGGTCCGGGTTCTTTTTTAGACAGTGGCTATCTTGGTAGGAACAAACTAGACACAGGTCAGACGAGACTCACAAGGGCATCTGCCAGTGTAAGTAAGATTCCTGTGAAAGGGATACCTGGCCTCAGGTCACTTGGGTATTAGGCCTTCTGCCAGGATAAAGAAGTATCCCATTTAAGACACACCATAAACATTTGCAACCAAATCCCTTGAATTTCTAGTCAGGGCGGGGGCTAGAGCTTATGGCCACTCTCAAAAAGAAAAACCAAGACTAATTTAGAAAGGAGGTATAACAAATAGAAATAATAATATCCATCAAAACTAGAAAAAACTAAAAATTCTACAAGAGGAGCAATGCTCTCTTTATGTGTTTGACAGTCTAAGAAAATATATTACTCTGCAAAATTTTATGTGTCAGATAAGAAAAATTGAGAGAAACTGCCCCAGAATATGCTTTTATTGAAATTATGTCTCTTTGAGATGTTCAGAAATGCTTTAGATTATAGGGTTGAGATATGTCATAAAAGGAATTAAAAATAATCTCTAATTTTAGTAAGTGGCTAGAGTTTGCATTGTTTTCAACTACTTTTTGATAAATTCCAAGGTTTGGACACTGAGCTTTTCTATATAACACTACTGACAGAATTAAAATGACATGCCACAAAAGGAGTAATTCAGCAATTTAAACTCTTTAACAGGGATAATGAAGTGAGAGTTTCTGGAAAAAATACCTTGTGGGTTAGTTCTTTGCCAGCAATCTCCTCTTACTTGGAGAAAGATCTAAACTGTTAGCGGTTTTAATTTTTCAATCAATTATGTGACTATTTTTCTTATTTTCTGCTGGGAAAAAATGGTGGGCTATTTCTTAGTCTCCAAAGGTGGTCAGTATGGAATTAAAACATGACAAGATTAAAGCCAGCCCTCGTAGATTACAAGAAGAGACTTATACATTACAGATGCAAATTCTGAGGCACTGGCCTTGGACATCACAGTGTTATTACCAATTATATTCTGGTCAAGAAGGTAAGTGCATGGAAAGTGAAAAGGGGGCAAAAACTGCTGGGCCATGTTGTGCTGCCATCAGACATTGAAATTTTGTTCAACTTTCTTCCTCTGTCGTTAGTGCAGTGTACGATTCCAAAACCAGGACATGAACTGGATGGTTACTCTGGTGATCTGGCACATACTTTGTAAATATTTACATCATAAAATTTAGAGCCTAACATTTAGCTATGATGTTGACACTCCAGTATGACACTTCCAAATGTTCCCTCACATTGGATCAAGGCAAATAATTTAAAAAAAGGAAATTATTTGAAGAAAAAAGACAGGATTATAATGAATTAAATACTTCCCAATACCTACATCAAGTTGGCTTTTAATTCACAATATCAAAATATCTGGGCAGTTCAGGATCCCACATTTCCATGGAGAAGGCACTCGTCTACTTGGGAGGCAGCATGATGTAGTGGAAAGAACATGACTTTGAGGCTCATAGACCCGGATTCACATCCTAGCTCATATGCTTAATAGCTCCATAAACTTAGGCAAGTTACTTTCTCTCAGTTACAGTTTTCTCATTTTAAAAACACCTTCTTTGCAGTGTCTTGTGAGGACTAGACGTGGTGATGGAGAATACGTTGCAGTTTGCATACTATATGCTGGGAAATCAAGAATGACACCAATACAGATGTTTTCTCTTCATTAAAACTGGCTGAATTATTCTATCTCATTGATTGAATTGAGTTCATTTAGCAATGGCAGCAAAATATTAATACTTCTAAATAACATGTCTTACAGTACATCACCTGGTATGTAAAACACAATCGTCTCTCAATTACTACCCCCTGTTTCTTTAACAGTATTTAAATTTTTATTTTGAACTTTAAAGAATGTAAGCATAATCAATACATTTACCTTCTGTATCAGTTAAGTGTCAAGATGGAAGGAACAGCAGTCTCAAGATAATGCAAAGAGTTTATTCATCCAGAGGTGATTTATAAAGATGAGAGAGGATTAGGGGAATTGCATGTAAGAGTACAGGAACCTGGGTCCAGCTGCAGTGGGAATGTCACCATTTCTAACCCCAAATCAAAGCAAAGAAAAAAGGGAAAAGTTATAGGAAATTAAAGGAATTGTATATTTCTTTCTCCCCTTGTTTGAGCCTAGCAGTGACCATATATTGAAGAATACAGTTAATCCCAGGTGAGTCTTAGAAAGACAGCAAGGGGAAAAAGTACAGATGATCTTTCTTAGCTCCCTCTCTCTGATCTGCCAGGGCTCCTGATTGGCTAAACTCACCCAGAAGCCACAGGGCTCAGGTTCCTGATGATACAATCCATTCAGGTCAGCCTTGTATAGAAAATGTTGTAACTGGCAGGGCGTGGTGGCTCACACCTGTAATCCCAGCACTTTGGGAGGCTGAGGCGGGCAGATCACCTGAGGTCGGGAGTTTGTGACAAGCCTGCCCAACATGGTGAAACTCTGTCTCTACTAAAAATACAAATAAATTAGCTGGGCCTGGTGACAGGTGCCTGCAATTTTAGCTACTCGGGAGACTGAGGCAGGAGAATTACTTGAACCCAGGAGGCAGAGGTCGCAGTGAGCTGAGATCGTACCATTGTACTCCAGCCTGGGTGACAAGAGTGAAACTCTGTCTCAAAAAAAAAAAAAAAAAAAAAAAAAAAAAAAGGAAAATCTTGTAACCTTGTTAAGTTTCATTGTTTTTTTTTTTTGTTTTTTGTTTTTTCCTATATAAGCAAACTTTAACTTTTAACTTCAACACACTGACCTCATTTCTCTTGAGTCTGTATATCTTGGAAGGCTATTCCTAGCTTTTCACTTGATAAACTCTTTAAACTGGATCTTGATTCTTTTGATTATGTCAGGTTGACATCAAAATAACCAAGATATGGAAACAACTGAAATGTTCATAGATGAATATAGATGAAAAATGTGGTGTGTATATGTACTATTATATAAGGATGAATATTATTCCATTATGTATTTGTATTTAATATTTACTATGTATAACAAACTTTATTCAGTCTTAGAAAGAAGGAAATCCTCTCATTTGCAACAACACGGATGAACCTAGAGGACACTATGTTAAGTGAAATAAGCCAGACACAGAGAGACAAATACTGCGTCTCTCTTTTATGTGGAATCTGAAAGCATCAGACTGATAGAAACAGAGAGTAGCAAGGTAGCTGCCTGGGGATGGGGGGATGAGGAAATGGGGAAATTTTGTTCAAAGGATACATTTATTTTCACTTATAAGACAAATAAGATCTGGAGATCCCATGCACAACAGAGTAACTATGGTTAATAATACCATATTGCATACTTGAAATTTGATAAGACATTACCTTAACTGTCCCTAGCATGAGCACGTGCACGCACATACACACACACACACACACACACACACACACACAGAGTATGAGGGGTTGGATAGATTAATTAGCTTGATTGCAGTAATCACTTCACAATATATATGTTTATCAAAACAATATGTTGTATACCTCTGATATTGTGATATAATAAGAAATACATATTTGATCTCTGCCCTTGGTTCCTGGCAGACAACTCCAAAAACCCTTGGAATTTCAAGTGACAAATGTCTTTTTGGATGCTAATGAGGTGACTCCTGGCTGAAGGCTCCAAGATAACCTCAGGATGGAGCCAGGCTGGTTGCCAGAAGAGCCAACCATGTAATTAGAGGGTTGGAACTGTCAGTCCCACCCCCAATCTCCAGGGAGGGGAGAGAGGCTGAAGGTTGAGTTGATCACCAGTGGCTAATGATGTGATCACCAATCGCTAATGATATGATCAACCATGCTTATGTAATGAAGCCTCCTTTATAAAAGCCCAAAAGGATACCGGTTGGGGAGGTGCTGAGGCACCTGGAGAGGTCATGGAAGCTTCTCACCCTTTCCACATGCCTTACACTATTCATCTCTCAGTGTTTCCCCCCTGAGGAAAAAAAAGTGGGTCCTCTAAACTTTTCCGGAGAGAAACAAAAGTGATGAAGAAAGAGGAGGGCAGGAAGTAGAGACAGTAGCATAGTACGTCCAGGCTGGAGTACAGTGGAGCAATCTTGTCTCACTGTAACCTCTGCCTCCAGGACTCAAGCAATACTCACACCTCAGCCTCATGAATAGCTGGGACTACAGGCATGTGCCACCATGCCTGGCTAATTTTTGTATTTTTTGTAGATTTAGGGTTTTGCCATATTAGCCAGGCTGGTCTCAAATTCCTGGGCTCAAGCAATCTGCCTGCCTCGGCCTCCCAAGGTGCTGGGATTACAGGAGTGAGTCACTGCGCCTGGCCAACAGTAGCCATTTTTGATAAGAGGATCTCCAGAAGCTACTGTGGATAGAATAAATGAGGAGGTAGGACAAATCTTCCTGTTAGAGTGATGAAAGGAAAGGTCAGTCTTCTCCACAGTTCTAAAATGTCCAAATATCTACCACATATTCCATTTTTCAAAGTACTTTCAAAATTATTTCAGTTCTACAAAAAATTAACTGGGCGTGGTGGCGGGCGCCTGTAGTCCCAGCTACTCGGGAGGCTGAGGCAGGAGAATGGCATGAACCCGGGAGGCGGAGCTTGCAGTGAGCTGAGATCAAGCCACTGCGCTCCAGCCTGGGCGACAGAGCAAGACTCCATCTCAAAATAAACAAATAAATGAATAAAAAATAAAAAATTATTTCAGTTCAGGGAATTATAACCTTTCTATTGCCCATTTTATTTTGGATTATTTGATTTTTTGCTATTGAGTTGTTTGAGCTCTTTGAATATTCTGGTTTCATCCCTTGTTAGATGCGTAGTTTGCAAATATGTTCTTACATTCTGTGGTTTGTCTCTCCAATTTGCTGATTGTTTCCTTTGCTGTGTTTCTTAGTTGATATTGTCCCATTTGTCCATTTTTGCTTTGGTTGCCTGTGCTTTTGAGGTCTCAAGAAATCTTTACCCAGAGTAATGTTCTAGAGAATTTCCCCAGTGTCTTATTTTAGTAGTTTTATAGTTGCAAGTCTTAGATTTAAATGTTTAATACATTTTTTATTTGATTTTTGCCTATGGTGAGAGATAAGGGTCTAGGTTCATTCTTCTGGATAGGGATATCCAGTTTTCCCAGCACCACTTACTGAAGAGACTGTCATTTCCCAAGTGTATGTTCTTGGTGCCTTTGTCAAAAATGAGTTGACTGTAAATGTGTGGATTTATTTCAAGGTTCTCTATTCTATTCCAATTGGTTTATGTGTCTGTTTTTTATGTGAGTACCATGCTGTTTTTGTTACTATAGCTTATAATATAATTTGAAGTCTGATAGTGTGATGCCTCCAGCTTTGTTCTTTTTGTTCAGAATTATCTTGGCTATTCCAGGTCTTTTGTTGTTCCATATAAATTTTAGGATTATTTTTTCTATTTTTATGGAGAATATTATTGGTATTTTGATAGGGATTGTACTGAATCTGTAGATTGCTTTGGGTAGTATGGATATTTTAACAATATTGATTCTTCCAATCCATGAACATGAAATATCTTTCCATTATTTTCTGTTCTCTTCCAATTCCTTCATCAATGCTTTATGATTTTCAATGTAGAGATCTTTCACTTCTTTGGTTAAATTTATTCCTAGGTATTTAATTTTATATGTAGCTATTGTAAGTGAGATTATTTTCTATACTTATTTTTCAGATTGTTCACTGTTGGCATATCAAAACACTACTGATTTTTTAGATGTGAGTAAGCATTTTTAAAAAGGCATGCAAATGGCCAAAAGATACATGAAAAAATGCTCAGCATCACTAATCATCAGAGAAATGCAAATAAAAGCTATAATGAGATATCATGTCACCCCAATTTAAAAAGCTTTTGTCAAAAAGCCAGGCAATGTGGAGGGGGTGAGTTTAACTGGCAAGGACAACCTGCTCTCACCATGGGCCTCTGAAATCCCAGTAGGAGGAGACTTCTTGAACATCACGGACACTTGAGTTGAGAGAGAGAGCTGCTTAGAGAGGTAGTAGAGACAGAATTCATCTGGTAGGGAGCCCAGGACAGTTTGGTGCAGGAGCATCTGTAGGGGAGCACAGCCAGGAATACCCATCCCCTTAGTATCAATTTGCTCCCACAGGAGACTTCAAGACTTCAACCCTAGTGTAACTGTTGAACCTGAACTCTGCAGGGCAGTCTTGCCCATGAGATAGGACTAGTTCAACCCACCCTTTGCTCTGACAGCCTCTCCTGGGGCCCCAGCCTGGCTGTGACTGCTTGCAGTGCAGCCCCTAGGTACCGGCTGGGGACCAAAATCATAGCTCCTGCACTAGTGGACCACACCTGACCAACAGAGTGCTTCAGCAGAGCTGCCTGCAGCAGCCCGCCCATACTGTCCCCCAGTGCAGCCTTCCCCATACCAATTTGCCTACAGGCAATCACCCATGGCCACCCCCATATCACTTTGCTGGCATGTGTGTGCACAAGCGGACCTAGCCTTCTCTTCCCTGTTAGTGTGCATGTGTGGGTGTGCCATGCCATGTCACTGCTACCAGCATGAATGCACCCTGCCCCCTGCCGTGCCATACTGCCTTTGTTGTCAGAGTGTTGGCGGGCACAGAGCCCACCAGCCCTGCCCCTGCCAGTGTCCCATTTCTGCACTGGGGCTGCTGTTGGAAAACTAGGCACAGAGAACAGCAGACCCCTTGCCTCAAGCACAGAGTGGCCACTGCTGCCAGCACAAACATGCACAGAGGGCACATACCGTCCTGTACCCACCAGTGCCCTGCTCCTGTGCTAACACCACCACTGGTGTGAACAAGGGCCCTGCACCCCCAGCCCTACTGATACTACACAGAGGCTGGCATTGCAGCACCTGCTAGCTCCCTGTTGTAACCAACAAGCATGTACCCCATTGCACTGCCACTGCCACTGCTGCTGGCATAAGTGAACAAAAGCCGATCCTGCTGCCACCACCCTACAAAGTATTTTGGCTGGCACCACCCATTGGAGTGTCGTGACTAGCAGTCTAGGAGCACCTTGGCCCTTCCAGTGCAGCAGGGTCCTAACCTTGAGGAGCCAAAATCAAAGCCAGGCCCAATCCAGTCAAACAGAGTTAGAACACACAGTGCAGGAGTCCTGAGCTAAGCTTTGGCCTGGCCTCCTAAAATCTTCCAGTAATGAAGCTAGTCAACTGAACCCATCTTATACCACAATCAAACCCCCAAGGTCATCAAATAGGATCAAAGAAAAAAACACATCTAGAGGATAGCAACTTCAAAGACTGAAGGAACATAAACCCACAAAGGCAAGAAAGCACCAGCACAAAAGCTCTGACAACTCAAAAAGTCAAAGTGTCTTCTTTCCTCCAAATAATGGCACTAGTTCTTCAACAAGGGTTCTTAGCCAGATGGAGGTGGCTGAAACGACAGAAATGGAATTCAGAATATGGATAGGAAGGAAGATCACCGATTTTCAGGAGGTCATTGAAACCCAATTTAAGGAAGCTAAGAATCACAATAAAATGATACAGGAGCAGACAGACAAAATAGCTGGCATAGGAAAGGACGTGACAACCTGACAGAGCTGAAAAACACTCTACAAGAATTTCATAATGCAATAACAAATATTAACAGCAGAATAGACTAAGCTAAGGAGAGAATCTCAGAGTGTGGAGACTAGCTTTCTGAAATAAGACAGACAAAAATAAAAAAGAATAATGAATAATGAAGGAACAATCCAAACCACCAAGAAATATGGAATTATGTATAGAGAATGAATCTATGACTCACAGCCATCATGAAAGAGATGGGAAAAATGAAAGCAACTTGGAAAACATATTTCAGAATATTATTCATGAGAACTTCCCCAACCTAGCTAGAGAGGCCAACGTTCAAATTCAGGAAATGCAGAGAACCCCCACAATATATTTCACAAGAAGATCATCACCTAGACACATAATCATCAGATTCTTCAAGGTCAAAATGAAAGAAAAATTGTTATAGGACAGGACACTTACAAAAGGAAGCCTATCAGACTAACAGTGGACCTCTAAGCAGAAATCCTCCAAGCCAGAAGAGATTGGGGGCCTGTATTCAACATTCTTAAAAAAAGAAATTCTCACTAAGAGTTTCATATCCAGCCAAACTAAGCTTCATAATCAAAGAAGAAATAAGATTCTTTTCAGACAAGCAAATGCTGAGGGAATTCATTACCAGTATACCTGCCTTACAAGAGCTCCTGAAAGAAGGACTAAATATGGAAAGAAAAGACCGTTATCATTCACTCCAAAAGAGATGTAAGTACAGAGACCAATGACGCTATAAAATAGCCACACAAACAAGTCAGCATAATAAACAGTTAACAACATGATGACAGGATCAAATCCACAAATATCAATACTAATCTGGAATGTAAATTGGCTAAATGCCCAATTAAAAGGCACAGAGTGGCAAGTTGGATGAAGAACCAATGGTACGCTGTCTTTAAGAGACCCGTCTCACATGCAGTGACACCCATAGGTTCAAAATAAAGGGATGGAGAAAAATCTACCAAGCAAATGGAAAACAGAAAAAAAGTAAGGGTTGCAATCCTAGTTTCAGGCAAAACAGACTTTAAAACAACAGAGATAAAAAAGATAAAGAAGAGCATTACATAAAGGATTCAAGCAAGAAGACCTAACTACTTCAAATATATATATGCACCCAACACAGGAGCACCCAGATTCATAAAGTAACTTCTTAGAGACCTTCAGAGAGATGTAAACTCACACAGAATAATAGTGGGAGACTTCAACACCCAACTGACAGTATTAGACAGATCAGAGAGGCAGAAAATTAATTAACAAAGATATTCAGGACCTGAAGTCAACACTGTGCCAAATGAATGTAATAGATATCTACGTAACTCTCCACCTGAAAACAACAGAGTGTACATTCTTCTCATCTGTACATGGCACATACACTAAAATCAACCACACAATCAGAGATTAAGAAATCCTCAGAAAATGGAAAATAACTGAAATCATACCAACCGCTCTCTTGGACCACAGCACAATAAAAATAGAACTCAAGACTAAGAAAATCACTCAAAACCATACAATTAAATAGAAATTAGAGAGCCTGCTCCTGAATGACTTTTGGGTAAATAATGAAATTAAGGCAGAAGTCAAGAAATTCTTTGAAACTAATGAAAACAAAGATAAAACATACCAGGATCTCTACACAGCTAAGGTAGTGTTAGGAGGAAAATTTATAGCAGTAAATGTCCATATTAAAAAGTTAGAAAGATCTCAAATTAACAACCTAACGTCACAAGTAAAGAACTAGAGAACCAAGAGCAAACCAACCCCAAAGCTAGTGGAAGACAAAAAATAACCAAAATCAGAGCTGAACTGAAAGAAAGTGAGACATGAAAAACCATTCAAAAGATCAACAAACACAGGAGCAGTTTTTTTGAAAAAAAAAAAAAAATGAGATAAATACACTGCTAGCTAGACTAATAAAGAAGAGAGAGAAGATCCAAATAAACTCAATCAGAAATGACAAAAGGGGTATTACCACTGACCCCACAGAAATACAACTAACGCTAGAGACTATTAGAACACCACCATGCACACAAACTGGAAAATCTAGAAGAAATGGATAAATTCTGGGCACATACACCCTCCCAAGACTGAACCAGGAAGAAATTGAATCCCTAAACAGATCAATAATAAGCTCCAAAATTGAATGAGTAATAAATGGCCTACCAACCAAAAAAAAAAAAAAAAAACCCCAAAAAACCAAAAACTCAGGACCAGATGGATTCACAGCTGAACTCTACCAGATGTACAAAGGAGAGTTGGTACCATTTCTACTGAAACTATCCCAAAACATTGAGGAGGAAGGACTCCTCCCTAACTCATTCTATGAGGGCCAGCATCATCCTGATACCTAAATCTGGTAGAGATACAACATACAAGAAAACTTCATGCCAATATCCTTGATGAACACTAATGCAAAAATCCTCAACAAATTACTAGCAAACCAAATCCAGCAGTAAATCAAAATGCTAACCCACCATGATCAAGTAGGCTTTATGCCTGGGATGCAAGGTTGGTTCAACATACACAAATTAATAAATGTCATTTATCACATAAACAGAAGTAAAGACAAAAACCACGTGATCATCTCAATAGATGCAGAAAAGGCTTTTGATAGAATTCAACATCCCTTCATGTTAAAACTCTCAACAAACTAAGTATTGGATGAACATACCTCAAAATAATGAGAGCCATATATGACAAACCCACAGACAACATTATACTGAACGGGAAAAAGCTCAAAGCATCGCCCTTGAAAACTGGCACAAGACAAAGATGTCCTCTTTCATCACTCTTATTCAAAATAGTATTGCAAGTCCTGGCCAGAGCAAGAGAAGGAAATAAAGGACATCCAAATGGAAATAGAGGAAGTTGCACTATCCCTGTTTGCAGATGAAATGATTCTATATCTAGAAAATCCCATAGTCTTGGCCCCAAAGCTCCATAAGCTGATAAGTCACTTCAGCAAAGTCTCAGGATACAAAATCAATGTAGAAAAATCACTAGCATTCCTATACACCAACAACAGTCAAGCCAAAATCCAAATTGGGAATGCAATCCCGTGCACATTTGCCACAAAAAAATAAAATACACAGGAATACAGCTAATAAGGGAGGTGAAAAATCTCTACAACAAGAACTATAAAACACTGCTCAAAGAAATCAAAGAAGACACAAATGGAATAAATAGGAAAAATCAATTTTGTTAAAATGGCCATACTGCCCAAAGCAACGTACAGATTCAATGGTATTCCTATCAAACCACCAATGACATTCTTCACGGAACTAGAAAAAAGTATTTTAAAATTCATATGGAACCAGAAAAGAGCCCAAACAGCGAAGGCAATCCTAAGCAAAAAGAACAAAGCCGGAAGCATCACAGTACCCGACTTCAAATTATACTACAGGGCTAGAGTAACCAAAACAGCATGGTAGTGGTACAAAAACAGGCATATACCCAATGGAACAGAATAGAAAGCCTAGAAAAAATGGTGCTAGGATAACTGGTTAGCTATATGCCAAAGATTGAAGCTGGACCCCTTCCTTATACCATATACAAAAATCAACTGAAGATGGATTAAAGACAAATGTAAAACCCCAAACTATAAAATCTCTGGAAGGCAACCTAGGAGTACCATCCTGGTTGTAGGAACAGGCAATGGTTTCATGACAAAGGCACCAAAAACAATCACAACAAAAGCAAAAATTGACAAGTGGGATCTAATTAAACTTAAGAGCTGCACAACAAAAGAAAACTATCAATAGAGGGAACAGACAACCTACGGGATGGGAGACAATTTTTGCAAACCATCCATCTGACAAAGGTCTAATATCCAGCATCTATAAGAAACTTAAACAAATTTACAAGAAAAAAACAATCCAATTAAAAAGTGGGCAAAGGGGCCAGGCACTGTGGCTCACACCTATAATCCCAGCACTTCGGGAGGCCGAGGCAGACAGATCACAAAGTCAAGAGATCGAGGCCATCCTGGCCAACATGGTGAAACCCTGTCTCTACTAAAAATCAAAAATTAGCTGGGCGTGGTGGCACTCACCTGTAGTCCCAGCTACTCAAGAGGCTGAGGCAGGAGAATAGCTTGAACCCAAGGAGCAGAGATTGCAGTGAGTCAAGATCGCGCCACTGCACTCCAGCCTGGTGGCAGAGCGAGACTCGGTCTCAAAAGAAAAAAAAAAAAGGGTGGGCAAAGGACATGAAGAGACACGTTTCAAAAGAAGACATGCATACAGCCAACAAGCATATTTTAAAAAAAACTCACTATCACTGATCATTAGATAGATGCAAATCCAAACCACAATGAGATACTATCTCATGCCAGTCAGATTGGCTCTTATTAAAAAGTCAAAAAGTAACAGATGCTGGCGTGGTTGCAAAGAAAAGAGAATGCTAATACACTGTTTGTGGGAATGTAAATTATTTCAACCACTGTGGAAAGCAGTGTAGCAATTTCTCAAAGAGCTAAAAACAGAACTACCATTGGATTACTGAGTATATACCAAATAAATATGAATCATTCTACCATAAAGACAGACGCATGTGTATGTTCATTGCAGCACCATTCACAATGGCAAAGACATGGAATCAATCTGAAGGCCTATCAATGATAGACTGGATAAAGCAAATGTGGTACATATACCCCATGAAATATTTTGCAGCCATAAAAAAGAATGGGATCATGTCCTTTGCAGGAACATGGATGAGAATGGAGGTCATTATCCTTAGCAAACTATTGCAGGAACAAAAAAACAAATACTGCATGTTCTCACTTATAAATGGGAGCTAAGTGATGCGAACACATGGACACAGAGAGGGGAGCAACACACACTGGCGCCTAAAAGAGGGTGGAGGAGGGAGGAGGGAGAGGAGCAGAAAAGAAAAACAACTAACGGGTACTAGGCTTAAGACTTGGGCGATGAAATAATCTGTACGTCAAACCTTTGTGACAAGAGTTTATATATATAACAAAACTGTACATGTCCCCCTGAACCTAAAAGTTTAAAAGAAAAAACATAGGCAGTAATGGATGCTGCAAGGATGTGAAGAAAGAGGAACACCTTTATACTACTGGTGGGCATGTAAATTAGTAAAGCCACTGTGGAAAACAGTATGCAGTTTCCTCAAAAAACTAAAAATAGAGCTACCCTATTATCTAGCAATTTCACTGCTGGTTATATCTGAAATAAATCCATCAGCATATCAGAGAGATATCTGCACTCTCATGTTATCACAGCACTCTTCATAATAACCAAGATACGGAACCAACCTAAGTGTCTATCAATGGCTGAATAGAGTAAAAAAATACAGTGTGTATACACAATGGATTATTATTGAGCTATAATAAAAGGATGAAGTCCCGTCATTTGCAACAGCATGGATAGAACTGGAGGACATTATGTTAAGTGAAATAAGCCAAGCACAGAAAGATAAATATTGCATGTTCTCATGCATATGTGGGAGCTAAAGAAAAAAAAAAAAAACTGATCTCATGGAGGTAGAGAGTAAAATGATAGTTACCAGAGGCTGGGAAAGGTCGTGCGAAGGGGAGGGAAAAGAGAGGTTGGTTAATCATTAGACAAATCTAGTGTTCGGTAGCACAATAGGGTGACCGTAGTTAACAATAATATACATTTCAAAATAACTCGAAGAGTGAAATTGGAATGTTCCTAACACAAAGAAATAATAAATGCTTGAGGTAATGGATATCCGATTACCCTAATTTTATCATTATATATTCTTTGCTTATGTCAAAATATCACATGCATCCCATAAATATGTACCACTATTATGTATTCATAAATAAAAACAAACAAAATGATTGCCATAACAAAGCAAATGCTTACAGAACTAAGAAGATGTATAGGCAAAGATAAAATAATAATAGAATATTCCAACTTCTTTCAGTAAATGATAAAAATGGAGGGGTACAAAAATCAATAAGGATATGGATGATCCAGGCAGCATTATGACTGTTACACCAAACAACTGCAGAATGTATGTTCTTTTTCATTGACTATTGAAAATAGTCATGCACCGTTTACCAAGAAAGATTATATACAAGGTCAAAAGAAAGTTGCGACACATTTCTATGTAATTCTAGTATAAAATATTTCAATATGAACAACAATAAAAATAAAAGACACCAAAATGTGGAGATTGCAAGCAAATAGTGCTTATGGGAAAATTTATAAACTTAAATTTAGATATTAGAATAGAATCAACTCAATTATGTTAATCTGAAGAAATAAGAGCAGATTAAACTCAAAAGAAGCTAGAAGGAAGTAAATAATAAAAGAACAGAAATAAATGTGAACAGGTATAAAATAAAGGATCTCAACAAAGCCAAAAGTTCATTTGATGAAAAGAGTGATATAAATTAATCTGTATTAATAAGCCCTCAGGAAGACATATATTACTACAAGGAATAGAGAAAATACAAACTAACCAATACGAAAAATGAAAGAGGGAACATCACCATAGATTCTGCAGATACTAAAAGGGATGAAAATGTGCTACTATAAATAACTTGATGCCAATACATTTAACAACTTAAAATGACATTAATTTTTTGAAAAGCACAACTTCTAAACCAGCACAATTGAAAATAAAAATTAAAATAGTGCTATACCTGTTAAAGAAATGAAATGTGTCATGAGAAATCGTCCCACAAGGAAAATTCCAGGCCAAGCTTCGTTTATTAACAAACTCTTCCAAACATTTAAGGAAGAAATAATACCAATGTTACCAAAACTCCTTTAGAAAAGAGAAAAGAGGGAACATGTCCCAACTCATTTTATGATGCCTTAATACTGATGCCTTATGTGAACACTAATTAAAATGAAAATTATAAATCAATATTCCCCATGAAGACAGATACAAAAGATTGGAAAATTGAGCCCAGTGATGTATAAGAAGCATAATACATCATGCTCAATGGGATTTATCCCAGATATAAATGGTTGATTTAGCATTTGAAACCAATCGTGTAATTTGCCACATTAATATAAGAGAAAAAACTTTATATGTTGGAATTACCATTTCTAGAGATGAAAAAATTTTGGCAAAATATAGTACCTGTTCATAATATATTTATTACCTGTTCATAATAAATATGTTAGCAAATTAAAAATAGAAGAGACTTTTTTCAATCTGTGAAGGATTTCTATTAAAAATTTATAGATAACATCATAATGTAAGATATTAAATGTTCTCTCCCCTTTGGGAACAAGGCAAGGATCTCCACTTTTACTGCTTTTATTCGAATATTGCTCTAGGTCCTAGTCAGTAGTCAGTACAATATGGCATGAAAAAATTAAATAAAGATTGAAAAGAAAGACATAAAACTTTTGTACTTTTAACAAAGTACAAAACAATCTATAAACCATTAGGATAAAAAACTTAGCAATATTGTTAGATACAAGGTTATAATAAAAACTAAATTATATTTCTGTATAATAGGAACATAAAGCAGAACATAAAATTGTAAATAAGACCTTTTATAAGAGCATTGAACACACTTTTGAATACTTAGGAATGAGTTTAACAACCTGTTTAAATCTACTTTTAGATTTAAAAGCTTCTACAATAAAAATAAAACATAGTAGGAAAAAATTATAAAAGACCTAAATAAATAGAATAAGATACCATATTAATGGATAGGCAGATTCTATATTATTAAAATGTTAATTCTTCCAAATTAAACTACAGCATCAATACAATCAAGCCAGAATGCCAGCGGGTTTGAGTGTGTATGTAAATTGATGAATTGATCCTAAAATTTATATGGAGATGCAGAAAACCTAGAGTAATAGCCAAGACAATCTTGGCATAGAAAAGGAAAGTTTTAGACCTTCTGCTACACCATTATAGGATTTACTACAAAGATTTACTATAGTAGTAAGACAATATGGTAGTGGCACAAGGGCAAATATTTCGGTGGAATAGAATAGAGTCCAGAAAGAGGCCCACAGTTAAATGGTAACTTGATTTATGAGGAAGGCACTAGTGGAATTTATTGAGGAAATGTTAGTCTTTTCAATAAATGAAGTATGGGAACCTGTATGGAAAAAATAAACCTTGACTCCTCATATAGTCACAAAAAATCAATTCAAGATGGATCATAGACAGAAATGTAAAAGCAAAAACTGTAAGGTTCTAGAAGAAAAACATAGGAAAATATTTTCATAAGCTTGGGTAGCCAAAAATTACTTAAATGGCATACATAAAAGCACTAATTAGAAAAATAACAAATAATGAATTCGATTTTATAAATATTAAAAACTGTCATTGAAAGACTTCAATGAGAAAATGAAAAGGCAGCCAACAGACTGCAAGAAGATATTAGCAACAGATGCAACTGACAAAGGAGTTGACTCCAGAATATATGACTTCTATATGTCAGTGAGAAACAGACTTGAGGAGATTATCATGAATTATCTAGGTGGACCCAAGGTAATCATGAGGATCCTTGTAAGTGGAAGAGGGAGGCAGGACAGTCAGAAGATGCAACATCAGAAGCAGACTTCAGAGGGATTCAATCTCTGGCTTTACAGATGGAATGGGGCTGCAAGCCAAGGAATGTGGGCTGCCTGTAAACTGGAAAAGACAAGAAAATAGATTTATCCTTGGAGCTTCTGGAAGGAATCAGCCTTGCCAATATCTTAATTTTATTCCCATGAGACCCATTTTAAATAAAATGAAAAATTCTATTTACAAAATAAACGTAATGTGCTGCATTAAACCACTAAGTTTGTGGTGCTTTGTTACACAGGAAGAGAAAACTGCTATGACTTAGAATTTCAGTTTCTAGACGGCTACCTTAAAGTAGCTGAAGGCATATACAAGAATGTTCTTGCAAGTATGATAATAGTAAAAACTTGGAAACAAACTGTCTTTCAATAGGAAAACAAAACAATTGCAGTTTATATTTTGGACTATTGACAGTTAAAAGAATGAACTAGGTGTACATTTTTATCATTAAAAGACCTCAAAAGTATATTCTTTTTTTTTTTTTTTTTTTTGAGATGGAGTTTTGCTCTTGTTGCCCAGGCTGGAGTGCAATGGCATGATCTCAGCTTACTGCAACCTCCACCTCCACCTCCCGAGTTCAAGCGATTCTCCTGCCTCAGCCTCCTGAGTAGCTAGGATTACAGGTGCCCACCACCAAGTCTGGCTAATTTTTGTATTTTTAATAGAGACGGAGTTTCACCATGTTGGCCAGGCTGGTCTCGAACTCCTGATCTCAAGTCATCTACCCTCCCTGGCTTCCCAAAGTGCTGGGATTACAGGCATGGACCACCGTGCCCAGCCTAAAAGTGTATTATTGAGTGAAAAGCAAGTGCAGAAAACAAAAGCAGTATTCATATTCATTTCCTATGGCCGCCGTAACGAATTACTATAGTAATGTAAATGTATACATTTACTGGCTTGAAAAACCACTCATTTATTCTCTTACAGTTCTGGAGGTCAGAACTAAAATCAAGGTGTTGCAGGGCTGTTTTTTTTTTTTTTCTGGGATCTCTAGGCGAGACTTTGTTTCCTAGCCTTTTCTAGTTTCTGGAAGCCACCTTCTTTCCTTGGCTCATGACTTATACCTTGTACCATAGACCGTTTATCTGTCTTGTTTCCATTGTCACACTGTCTTTCTCTGTAGTCAAATCTCCCATTGCTTTCCTCTGACAAGGACATTTGTGATTACATTTAGGGTCCACCTGGATAACCCAGGAAAATCTTCTCATCTGAAGACCCATAACATTCACGTCTGCAATGTCCCTTTTGCTATGTAAGGTAACATTTGCAAATTTTAGGGATTAGAATATGGATGTTTTTGTGGGCCATTATTTGGTTTACCACAGTGTCATATAATTTAGATAATTTAATGCATTGCAGGAGGTGCTTCATTCAGTACTGTATAGCAAGAACCACCAACTCCCCAGCCTATAATGGAATCCCTCTTCATTTTCTAATTCTACCCAATCAGTCAATTCTACACCTGTCACTTAACAACTTACCTATTTGCAGCTATAACTCTCCATATTGGAGTTCAATCATTAAATAAAAACTGATGACTTTTTTTCCCCAAATGTAGCTTATAAACTTGAAGGAAAAAATAAAAAGTAAGATTTTGAAGAGAACGGAAAACAGAGCAATTTCAGAAAACGAAATGGAAGGACTGATGGTCTGTTTTAGGGGAGCTAACATTTGGATCAATTAAGAGTGTAGGGAAGTTTGAGGAGGGTGAAAAAGGTATGAGAATGGGAAATATCACACCAAAAAAACATTGCAACATTAGTAATGTTGAGCACACAATTCAGGTTGGTGGCTATGTATTTGTGAGTCATATCAATTAGCCATGTTGTATGATTTGTTTTTCTAACAACATTCAGTATTAAGGTAAAGAAATAGAGAGTAATTGCTTGGTTCATCCAAGGCTGAGCTGTCACCAAGGAATGCAACAAAAGCAAGGGACAAGAGAGTAGAGAATATATGTGTGAGTGATTTTTAATGGTAATTGAACCCAATAATGTGAGAAGTGACGAGAGCAGTAGGCAGATAGAATTGGTTGAACTGATATATTGGAGGCCACCATGAGGTAAAACTGTTTAGTAAATAAGACAAAAGAATAGGACAGTGGAATGTTGGGCTTCTGACTTTCAAAGATGGACCAATTTCAAATGATGACAATGTCTAGAATATGACCATGGAAGGAGATATGTTTTCTGAATTGAGGGAAAAGCTCATGGAAGATGAAAATGCAAAGAATCATGTAAGGACGTGGTATTGACTAGCTCATCAGCATGGGCATTTAGTTCATTCTTATAATATTAGGAGCTTGTATGGAGAATAAAAGTATTACCCAAGTATTAAAAATCTTCATTCATGGGGCTGAATAATCAGAACAATATGTTGAGCAATTAAATAGGCTATGATGTCATTCATTGACATAGGGAATAGATACAGGATAGAAAGCGGGTATGTTGGAGAGTAAGACTGTCAATCTAATTTTGAATACATTGAGTTTGCACTTCCTGTGCAGCAGCAAAATAAATCTCTCCACTAGGCAGCAGGCCATATAGGTTGGAAAGTAAGAAGAATAAACAAGATATTGAGAACTTATAGATTGTAATTTAAATAAGAAAACTAAATTGAGGTAAGCCAAATAGATTGTGTAGATTATTTAAATTTTGTCAGTAAACTGATAATGTGTCAATGATTGTCCTTGTTAATGCCTGTTTTATTTTTATTGCTTATAATTTTATGTGAGCTGATAATTCATTTGTTCCTTACTTTTTTTTTTTTTTTTTTTTGAGGCGGAGTCTTGCTCTTGCCCAGGCTGGAGTGCAGTGGCACGATCTTGGCTCACTGCAAGCTCCACCTTCCGGGTTCACGCCATTCTCCTGCCTCAGCCTCCCTAGTAGCTGGGACTACAGGCACCCGTCACCATGCCCAGCTAATTTTTGTATTTTTAGTAGAGACGGGGTTTCACCGTGTTAGCCAGGATGGTCTCGATCTCCTGATCTCATGATCCACCCGTCTTAGCCTCCCAAAGTGCTGGGTGTTCCTTACATTTTATATGCACACACACACACACACACACACACAGTTTCTTCAACTTGTTCATTAACTTTTTTGATTTCCAGGTGATGTTTTATAATTGATTTTGTTACTATAGTACTTAATAGAAAACTACCAATATAATAGGTAACATATATTTCTTTTTACTAAATATGCAAATATTCTACTGTTTTTTGATTTTTGGTTCTGAATTTTTTAAAAAAGAACTCAGATAACATAGTTGGCTGTGACATACCTTGATGGAATTGAACTATTTCACCTCACTTTAGGAAGTAGACTTTGACACAGTTAACATTTAGCTCTCCTCTATAATATGTCATCTTTTTACCTCTTGTTAGGGTAACTTCAGTATATTCTGTTAGTGAGTGATTACAAGCTCGTAAGAGGGTACTATGAAAATTACATACCAAAAATTTCAATAACCTAGAAGAAATGGATAATTTTCTATAAACATACAATCTAAGACTGAATCACAAAGAAATAGAAAATAAGAACAAACCAATAATGAATAAGGAGAATTAATCAATAATCAAAAACTTTCCAACATTCTACCAAACATTTAAAGAAGAATTAATGCCACTCTTTCTCAAACTCTTCCAAAAAACTTAAAAGGTGGGAACACTTTCAGACTCATTTTATGAGGCCAACATTACCATGATATCAAAGCCAGAAAAGGATACTATAAGAGAAAAAATATTTAGGCTAACATCTCTGATGAACATAAATGCAAAAATCCTCAAGAAACTACTAGCAATCAAAATCCAACAATACATTAAAAGTATGACACATGATCATCAAGTGGTATTTATTCCTGAAATGCAAGGAAGTTTTAACATATTAAAGTCATTGATGTGGCTGGGTAAATTGGCTCATGCCTGTAATTGCAGCACTTTGGGAAGCCAAGGCATGAGGATTGCTTGAGCCCAGGAGTTCAAGAGCAGGTTGGGGAACATGGTGAGACTCCATCTATACACAAAATTTAAACATTAGGCATGGTGGCATGTGCCTGTGGTCCCAGCTAAGTCGGGGGACTGCAGTGAGCTGTAATTGCACCACTGCACTCCAGCCTGGATGACAGAGTAAGACTCTGTCTCAAAAAAATTTTTTTAAAAAGTCATGAATGTATCAATGTGATATACCACATCAACAAAATGAAGGATAAAAATCATGACCGTCTCAATAAATGCAAAAAAAATTTGACAGAATTCAACACCCTTTCATAATAAAAACATTCAACAAATTAGGTATAGAAGGAATGTACCTTAACCTAATAAAAGCCATATGTAATAAACCCAGGGCTAACTTCAACTCGATGTCACAAAGCTGAAAACTTTTTCTCTGAGGTCAGGAACAAGATAAGGATACCTACTCCTCACCACTTCCATACCA
Organism: Homo sapiens; assembly: GCF_000001405.40. Taxonomy (NCBI): domain Eukaryota; kingdom Metazoa; phylum Chordata; class Mammalia; order Primates; family Hominidae; genus Homo; species Homo sapiens. The sequence continues at coordinate 13,641,459 of NC_000009.12, forward strand.
TATTGTACTAGAAGGGCATAGTCAGAGAAATTAGGCAAAAAAAAAAAAAAAATCAGAAAAATGCAAATTAAAACAACAATGTTACCTCTTACCTGTTAGAATGACTATTACAAAAAAAGAAAAGATAACAAGTGTTGGTGAAGATATGGAAAAAAGGGAGCCCTTGAACACTGTTGGTTGGAATGTAAATTAGTACAGCTATTATGAAAAACATGATGGAAATTCCTTTAAAATATTTAGAATTACCATATGATCCAGCAATCTCACTGCTGGGTACATTTCCAAAGAAATGAGACAAGTATGTTGAAGAGATACATGCAGTCTCATGTTCATCACAGCTTTGTTTATAACAGCCAAGATATGGAGTCAACATAAGCACCCATGGATGAATGAATGGATAAAGAAAATGTGGCATGCATATATATATACACACACACATATATGTATATGTATATTCCATTGCACATATATACACACATATATAATGGAATACTATTCAGCCTTATGAAAGAAGGAAATCCTGACATTTGTAACAACATGGATGAACACGGAGGATGTTATGTTGAGAGAAATAAGCCAGGAACAGAAAGAAAAATTTTCTATATATTACATATATATAACATTATATATATTACATACATATTACATGTATATATTACATTATACATAAAATACATATATATATAAAACACACACACATATAATCTAAAAAAGGTAAACTCTGAGAAGTAGAGAGTAGAATGGTGGTTGCCAGGAGTTGGGGGTACAGGGTGGGGATTCGTTTGTCAGAGGGCACAAACTTTCCATTAAATAGAATGAGTAAATTCTGGAGATCTATTATACAGCGTGGTGACTGTAGTTAATATGTATTGTATACCTGAAAATTGCTAAGAGAGTAGATCTTAAATCCTCCCACCAAAAAATGTACGTGAGTCGATACACATGTTAATTAACTTCATTTAACCATCTCACAATGTATATGTGATTCAAAACATCATGTCATATGCTATAAATATATACAATTTTGATATGTCCATTATGCCTTAATAAAGCTGTAGGAAAAAAATAAAGTCAGGAAGTCGGGCAAAAATAAGGAATAATAAGCAAGGAGTTGATTATGTTTTTGTTTAGAAATTTATTCTCAAAACTAATTGCTTCTTTATGTATGAAGCTGAGTCCTAACCATACACTGAGTAAATAAAAGCAAGTTTGAATTTCTACAAGCATGATGGAATTAATATAATCAATTTTCACGCTGTATCCAAAAGTCATGGACATGGAATGTACTTAAAATCTGAAAAACCTGCTGAAAGTTTTACTATTCTGTAGTTGTATGACTTTTGGCAAATCCCTGTTTCTCTGACCCTTAGTTTATTCATTTAGAAAATGTAGATAATGAAGTGAAAGATATTAAGATACGCTGTTTATGAAAGTTTTCTACAAGGACATAAAAATGAGTAGAACTAACATAAAACTATAACTTAATTCAGTGTCATTATAGTTGCATGGCAATCTCTACCAAGGTACCAATTCCTTAAGGAAGATGTTAATTCCTTCCAGGGATGCTACAAATGTGGTACAAATGGGCTAATTAACCTACCAGTTTTGTTTCTTCATTTTAGAGCAAACCAAGAAAAAAAACTAAAGTGCAACAACTCAAGTGATCAAATTATATGAGAAAAGTACAGTTCATGGTGCTGTTCTTTGGAGTTACGGTGTTTAGTTTTCATTTGCTCTATAGTCCCCAAATTATTCACCATTTTCAGAATCTTTCACGAGTTTTTATGAAAACCCCTAAAACCTTAATAAACAAGTTCCAGTGCAAGAAAAAATTCCAGGTCAGTCAAGAAGCCAGAGGGAGAGAGCTCAGTAAACCTCTCTTCTAATTAGTGCTTGAAAGAAGCCAGTGCCTCAGAACAATGGGTACACGACGGGTGCTGCTAGTGATAGAAGTAATTGTTGACCTAGCTGTTCTTACAAAATATTGCTTTCCCATAGGCCCTAATTATTAGTCCTGTTATTTCTCCACTGTTTGACCAAGACTGGATCTGTTCTTAGTTTGGGGTCTGCTGCATGGCAGTGCTTAGCTTTGCTAATTTTGGAATAAATTATTTTAGGTGGAACCTTTAACAAAAGCTAAATTTCAACACCTTAACTCCTAGGTAAGTTATCTGTATTTTGCTACCTTATATTTTTCTAAATCAAGATGTTCTCACAGGCATGTTGGTCCCCTTGAATCTGTGTCAGATGAACAGATGTTAAAATGCACAACCATATCTAACACAATTTCACCAGCAATGGGTATGTATAAAAATGATGATATTTAATGACATTAATACTTAGCAAAAAAAAAAAAAACTGAATATGACTAAAACTGAAATTCAAAGCAATTCAGAGTGTGAGTTTGGAATAGAAAGCCTGTACATTTAAATGAAGACTTTCAGTTGATTTTATCAGAAAGTTTTGACTGGTTAGGGTACCCATAGGGACAGAGGTTTTTAGTCTTCCTACTTAGATGATGGGAGCATGTCTGCTTTTTTCCTCACTGATGTACTCCAGATACAGTAAGTGTTCTGTGTTCTAGGGGTAAGAGCAGGATGGAAGGAACCCAGCTTTGAGCCTTTTGATAGTGTGGATTTAATTAAGCTACACATTGCATCGAGGTTGCAGCAGTACAAATATGTTTATTCCTTACTTTTAACACAAGAAATTGTCATCCAAGTAGAAGAAAAAATATATTTTTTTCATTTAAAAACCAATGTTATTCATTAAATTGGAAAAATGTACAGACTCCTATGCGTTAACCACTGGATTAAACATTATTAATGTGAAGCATACTTCTGATTGAATTTAAGAAGGGTCTACATTATAGTTTATAACTAATATTAGTTTCTAGTTTACTAAAACATTTACAAGTTGAGACTTTGGGCTCCTGAGATTTCATCTTTTGCCTCCATATCAGCTTTTGGGACCATTTACTTTTTATGCTGCAGTAGAAACGTGGATATACAAAGTGTGAAATAGAAGGAATACTGGGCAAAAATTCAAAGGGCATGGGTGCCATTCTCAGTTGTTCTGCTAACTAATCATATGAGCAGAAACCACCCTGGTAACCCCACACGATTTAATTTCTTGCCTGTAAAACTCTAACAGTTGTAACAGCTCTGCAAGACCAGTTGTGGGGCTTCCAACAAGTCAAGTGACCGTCTACTCACAGTTATAAAATGAAAACCACGATACCCACCTCAGAGAGTTGTGTGAGGATTAAATCAGCAAATATACATAAAGAACCTCTCAGAAGAATATGAAACAGAGTAGCTACCATTATGAACATTATTAATCCTCAGAATACACAATGCAATATGAGTTTTATTTTAATGAAATCCATGTGTTTATAGCCATTTCAGATTTGCAGTAAAGTATTTGCAGGTCACAGAAACATTTACAGTAAAATGTCACTTCAGTATGTGTCTGCCTAATTTAACTCTTTACCATATCAGACTTTTCTTTCTCAAATTAAAGTGGTTAAGAGTGATTTAAATGTAGAAATAGAAAACATTAATACTAAGTGATTATGGCATCTCTGTTATTGTACTTTCTTTTTAGCACAAGTTCTGGGTTTAGCACAGAATCAGAGAATTTGTTACAAACAGGATTTAATTAAGTGATTCACTAGCGCATTTGCAGACAGCCTTTCTGCTTCTCCTGTTGCATATTGAGAGAGAACATGCTAGCATGAGAACAATCCTCTTCAGGGGATATACTAAAAATAAGGAAGTTCTTGTGTTTAAGTTAAATGTAAACAGCACCTTTGCACACTATTCAGTGGAAGAAGTAATTTTAACTCCTACCCCATTTCTTGGCCTTAAGGATTTAATTTTTTAGTTAGGTTGTTTTTTTTTTCTCTTTTATTTTATCACATGTGCATCGGCACATGAAAGGAAGCCGATAGAAAGATGTTTAATTTTTCTAAAGCTGAGAAGCTATATGTCTTAAGGGTAATTAAATTATGATTTTGTGATTTTTCAATATGGATTATCAAACTTGAGGCCTTTAGAGCCTGCAGTAGATCCTTGGAAAGCCACAGCTAACATTTCGCTATTTTCCCACCCAGAGACCTACCTATTTCAAAAAGGAAAAATTATGCTTTTCTGCTTCAATTGTTGAATAGCCTCCTCATATGTTTTATTTGTAAAACAAAATATACACATTGTGAAAATGACAAAAACTGCACAGTGTGAAAAGAAACCATCTAGCTTGCATAGGCACATATTTTTACATATTTGTTTCTAAATGTACAAACAGGATCTGCTCTACAAAATGCTCCAGGATAGTATTTGTTTCAAATTTATGTAATCAGCCATGTTGCAAGATGGTATTCAAAGAAAAGCTCAAAGATGTGTTATCCTGGTCTCATCTCTAACATCCCCCCGCTCCCTGTAAATAACAGAGATGAAAATATACTTATTGTCAAATGATACACTAAAATATGGAAATGTCTTTATGTTATAAAACATAGTCATATCTAAAATATGAGCTCCAGCCTGGAGAGAATTTTTGTGTGAGGGGAGAACTCAGTTAAAGATCAGGGCTTTCTGCCTGTTTTGTAGATCTTAAAGTTTATAAGTAGATTTCCAGATGTTATACTATCAAACTATAACTTGAGTTCAGTTCATTAAAATTTCGTTGTTGATCAGGACCCTCAACTGAATTTCCAAATTATCTCTCTCTTACATATTCATTTTAATGGCCTTTTGGCAGCCTGCGTCTTGCACTTGCAGTTTTATTGACAGACATCATCCTTTAACACAAGATTTTTTGAACCCTGAACCAGCACATGCAAAACAAGACATGTGCCTTTCTGGAAAACCAGGGCTCGCCAAAAGAATGGCTGGCATAGCCTCCCAATCGCAATCAAACCCAAGAATCTTTTAATTATGCAACAGATATGTTAAAAAATAAAAAGAAAAGGAAAGAAAAAAATTTAAAATACTCTGGAAAACTGGATCGTTACTGGACTCTAATTCTTTCAGTTTATTGCAAAGGGTTCCAGCAATGCTTACCCTAAACATAAATGTGTCTCTTAAATGTGATTTAGAGTTTACAAAATATAGAGATTATTCCAAAATAATAAAACTCTATGGCCTGGCTGAGGAAGACTGAATCATCTTTTATTAGGACACTTTATTTTTTCCTGAGTTATTAAAGATGTTACATAAGGGCACAATTAGCACATTTGCTGGCCCTAATCTCAGAGAGATAAGATCAAACACCCCATAGAGCAAGATAGATGGTATGTACTGATAGAACAAATTATCCTTCAGTGAATTTATAGCTAGGGTGGGAATGCACTGCCTTGCTACCTGTGCTGACCAATTTTTTTGGCAGACATAAACCACAGTTTTAATAGGCTTCCTGCTCAAGTTTTGGAAAAACCTTCTTGCCAGTATAACTACTGGAAGAAATTGCAAAGATTTCTTCAAATCAAAGGCCAACGCAATGTGGAGGATCTTTCAGAAAGACTAATTGATAAAATAAACTAAGAAAGGCAGAAACTAATTATGAGAATAAATATATTAATCACCCAAATTTCTTTTAAATCCATTTCAGTGTTTATGAGAATTTGAGTCTATTCTTGTGTGCCTTCTGACTACATCCTGTTTCCCAAATTCTATTAGAAAGTAGTATAATTATTCATACTTTAGAGAACTTTTTCATGCTGGCTTAGCTTATACAATTTCCTAGGAATTAACTTTGTGAAGTAGGAATATAAATTTTATTTGCTCTTTATAAACTTGTATTTGGGAAGAGAATAAAGCAAGTTTTAACTGAATTACAAAAAAAAAAAAAAGCAGATGATAATCATTCTATGGGAAAATAGGTAAATAAGCAGCACTCCAAACTAGAGACTGGCAAACTACAGGCATAGTCTATTGCATTCAGCCCGTGAGCAGAGAGAATGCAACAGAGACTATGTGGCCCATAAACCCTAAAATATTTGCTATCTATTCCTTTATAGAAAAAATTTGTCAACTCCTGTTCTAAAACTAAGGACATCCTGCTGTACATTTTTGTTATTTCTTACCTATACTTTGTTATTGCAAATAGGAATGACAAAACTGGAAATCAAGAAAAACTAAGAATAATTTTTCAAAAGTTAACAGTAATATGCTACTCATTAGTATAAATACTGTAGGATTCCATCTATGTGAAGTTCAAAAACAAGCAAAACTAAACTATCATGATAGAAATCAGATCACTGGTGACCTCTGGAGATGACTGACAAGGAAGCTGCATGAGTGAACGTCTCAGAGTGATGAAAATGTCCTATATCTTTACTAGGGTAGTGGTTACAAAATGGTATATACAGATATAAGATTTCATTGAATTGTTCAGTTGAAATATGCAATTTACTGTCAATAAGTTATAATAAAAATGTAAATCAATCGAGAAAAGCATAGATATGTTTATACTATCTATGTATCTGCACATTTTGTAGTATAACGTAAAGAAAAAAAATTTAACAGCATCCAGAAAAAGAAAAAAAAATCATATTATCTACAAAGTAACATCATTTAGACAAAAAACAGATTTATCAACAACAATGGAGGCCAAAATACAATGGAATACAATCTTTAAAATGCTGGGAGAAAATAAATATCAGCCTAAAATTCTCTAACTGGCTACCCTGTCATTCAAAAGTAAAAGTAAAGTAAAATAATTTGTAGGAAACAGATTAAGAAAGTTTTTCACATATAGACCCTCAATGAGAAAACTACTAAAGAATGTGCTTCAGGAAGAAGACAATGGAATCTAAAAGGAAGAAATGGAGTGAAAAATGTGATATAGAACAAGGAGATAGATAGATATAAATAAGCATTTACTGTAAAGAAAAAGTTAGCTCTAATACAAATTATTAATTTAGGAGTGTTTGAAAAACAAGGTAGAATTGAAATACCAAACAAAAATTCATTGTGCTATATACTTAATATTTGTACATTTTACTGCACATAGACTACATTCGCTTTTTGAAATGTTACTAGAATAACAACCATCCTATTCCATTATTGTTAACACAAAGATAAGTACCATCATCATTTTAATTGCCTCCTATTCACTCCATTGGTGATGGAGGGTTTCCTGCCCTAGGGTTGTGGAGGTGGCTGAAACTATACATGACACTGGACAGATAAAATCAATAGGAGTTTATTGGTCACATATACTCACAGCCTGGGGGAGGAGCATATACCTCCCCAATGTAGGGAGGCACAGGGGCACACTCTGGAATGGAGTGAACAAGTAGGGGCTGTGAAAGGCAGGTGTTGTAGTATCAAGAGTTTGAGGTACTCCCTGGGCCACGGGAGGCTGTGATTGACTGAATCATTCTGTGGATTGGCAGGGAACCAAAACTCACTACTCAGGGCTAATCAGGAACTGCATCTAGTCCTTCTGATAAAGAGGGCTGTTTGGCTAGGGGAGGTTAGCAACGAGAACAGAGTGGAGAGCAGAACTTGCAGTTAGGCCATTTGAATTCCTCCTCCTTCCTCCCAGATGTTGAGGCAGCACATAATATTGGGCCTTAATCGCAGGCCTTACACTGTAATTATTACCTTGCCCAAGAACTGAATTAAACCCTGGAAGTGTTGATGTCCAAGCTTTTGCACCATATGGGGGAGTTATGAAGGAGTATATTACTCAGTAGTGTGCCTAATTCTTATTTCTAGTAGTCTTAGAGAGTACAATTTTAATAAAAGAAGGTGGAAAAGAAAAAACATTGTAATGCATAATGGTAGTTATATTGTTGAAGACCATTAGAAAAATATGGTATAGTTGTTAAGGATTGTTCAAGAAGTGTATGTGTGTGTGCCTGTGTGCATCTGAGAACAATGATCCACACTCAGTAGACTTTGATCTGTCTCCAACCATTGAGAAGGCCCCAAGAGAAGGAAACTGCACTGTGTATACCAAAGCCCCAGATAGACTCTGCTGCTTATTATCAACATGTCAGACTTAGAGGAATGTATTGATGTAGGGAGATGGAGAAATCCTGAAAAATTCTTTAGGTGGAGATTCCCAAAAAGGTGAATAGAAAATCCCATTATGTATGTCTAAAGAAGGTGCGCAAGAAGGGGAAGAGGTAGATCTCAGGTTAAGTAAGGAAGTTTAGGAACTATTATGTTATAGAAGTATGCTTTTGGTAAAAGGGACAGAGCCCTGCTTATGAATATTCCACTCCTATTTCTCTCTTATCTCCTGTATTCGCTCATGTCTTAAAAGTTGTTCATGTTCAGTGTGAAAAAAAATATTTTTCAAACCTTAGAAAATGATATCAAAAGCATATTTTTGGTTTATGATGTTATTACCAGACTCTTCTGAAAAGTATCTAGCATTTCTGATAGATTTTGATGAGTTTGAGTTTTTTTTTTTTTTTTTCCAAAAGGGTGGGGGTTGTTAGGAAGCTAGATTTTACCTATCCTGCTAATTATCCATATTTAATGAGCCAAATGATTTTTAACTAGACATTTCCTTCTTACCTTTAGCTAATAATATTGTCTGTTCACCTGCAGTTTTCTATAATATCCACCCAAAGAGAAGTCTAACCCATCTCTATTGAAGGCAGGTTAGTTTGAAATCAAAATTTGACATGTGTTTGCAATCAATTCATCTGAGAAGATGCTTTAAAAACAGACAAGGATCTATATTTCATAATAAAGAAAACATATGGTAGAGTTTATTTCATGATTACAACCATTTTCCAACAGTCAAATACAACTCTCGAATTAGAAAATGTAGCAGAATTGGTGAAGTAGGAGGGAATACATGGTGAAACCTACAACTGCTGAAGATTAGGGAAAGTTGCTCCTTGCAGATACATGTAATAGCATTTAAATCTCAGCCTGTCCATTTCTAAGCACATGCAGAGAAATCCTGTATCCAATTTGGTGACTGGAAGCTTCTTATGGTCCTCAGAGAATGAGGAGAGCTGATAAAGGATTTCCTAAAATCTTTCAGGATTTTAAAAGTTTCACCTAAAACATATTCTCTAGGTGTATGGAATGGAGTTCATCAGCTACAATGGTTTTCAACTGGAAGTAATTTTGCCACTTGGGGACATCATTTGGCAACGTCTGGAGAGTTGGGGTTTTTTTTTTATGTCTATACTTTAAGTTCTGGGACACATGTACAGAATGTGCAGGTTTGTTACATAGGTATACATGTGCCATGGTGGTTTGCTGTACCCTTCAACCTGTCATCCACATTAGGTATTTCTCCTAATGCTATCCCTCCCCTTGCCTCCCACCCCCTTGACAGGCTCCAGCATGTGATGTTCCTCTCCGTGTGTCCATATGTTCTCAATGTTCAACTGCCACTTATGAGTGAGAACATGTGGTGTTTGGTTTTCTGTTCCTGTGTTAGTTTGCTGAGAATGATGGTTTTCAGCTTCATCCATGTCCCTGCAAAGGACATGAACTCATCCTTTTTTATGGCTACATAGTATTCCATGGTGTATATGTGCCACATTTTTCTTTATTCAGTCTAACATTAATGGGCATTTGGGTTGGTTCCAAGTCTTGCTATTGTGAATAGTGCTGCAGTAAACATAGGTGTGCATGTGTCTTTATAGTAGAATGATTTATAATCCTTTGGGTATATACCGAGTAATGGGATTGTTGGGTCAAATGGTATTTCTAGTTCTAGATCCTTGAGGAACCCCCACTGTCTTCTACAGTGGTTGAACTAATTTACACGCCCACCAACAGTGTAAAAGTGTTCCTATTTCTGCACATCCTCTCCGGCATCTATCGTTTCCTAACTTTTTAATGAAGGCCATTGGAAAAGCATAGTATCTGGCCCGGATAGCTCCATACCTCATGGCACGGTCCCTCACGGCTTCCCTTGGCTAGGGGAGGGAGTTTCCCGACCCCTTCTGCTTCCCTGGTGAGGCGACACCCCACCCTGCTTCAGCTCCCCCTCCGTGGGCTGCACCCACTGTCTAACTAGTCCCAGTGAGATGAACTGGCTACCTCAGTTGGAAATGCAGACATCACCTGCCTTCTGCGTTGATCTCACTGGGAGCTGCAGACTGGAGCTGTTCCCATTTAGCCATCTTTCCTGGGAATCTTTTTGTTTTAATTGTCAAGACTTGAGGACAGGAGTCGCCACTGATATCCAGTTGGTCAGTCCAGCCAGGGACGCTGTTAAATATTTTGCCGTGTATGAGACAGCCTCCCACAGCAAAGAATTATGCAGCCCCAAGTGCTGACAATAGCGGTAAGGTTGAGAAACCCCGAGCTGAGCTATCAGGGGTCACACTTCACGATGACAGTGTCAGGGCTCCCCTGGTTAAGTGTGTGATGTGGGGAAGAGTCTCTACGAGGAACAAACGATCCAAGAAGAACTAACTGGTAAGATTTTTCTTGCTAAAGTCTTGAGAAAAAAAATCAATGTTATCCTAACTCAGACTGAATTTTAAAAGAAATAATAAAAGGTCAAATGGTAAACAATCTCTTAAGGAGTTAACAGGATCCAAAGAGTTAATTTGAATAGGAATGGAAGTGAGCATAATTACGGTTGAAGCAGAGAGACAGTAAAAAGAGAGGCTCTAGCAGTTAATATCCAACAGAGAAAAGTTAGCTCGGTTAAGACTCTGGTTATGGCTGCCTGGGAAAAGGGCCTTTCTTTCAGGGAGGAAACCAGTGAATGAGTTCATGATTAGTGTCAAATTAAGGCTGTATTCTCATAGAGGAGCTATGAGTAGAAGCCAGGGAATCAGATTATTGGGGAAGTTGGAGTGCAGGAGCACCATGATAACCAGCTGAGTGTAAAAAAAAAAAAAAAAAAAAAAAAAAAAAAAGCAACTAGAAGTAAAGCCAGGATAAGCAGAAAGTCACATAGAGAGACAGGAATTGAGTGGTAAACTTGGCAGCAGGTTTGAGAATCCCAGGAGTAAACGCTCTGTGGATAAGTCTGTGGGCATAGCCACATTATGAAGCCTGTGCCCAAGGCCCTCAATCGCACTCTTCTGGCTCATGATACCCAGTCTAATTTTATCCCAATGAAAACTAAAAGATCTCATTTGACATTTCCTTGGATGTCCTTGTGTAGTATGTAATGAACCCAGACAGAAATAAACCGTGTTAAGGCTCAATTCTCAATGGAGGCAGCTACCTGCTATATTCATTCTAGATCCCAGAATCTCGATGTAAAAGTTTAGTGAGTCCAGATAGTGAAGACATTTTTCTAAAATAGTATCTCGAGAGCTATTTTATTCAGATAGTTATTAAGGCAACAAGAAGATTGATTGAAGACGACTGAACTATAGAATTTTACGCTTTAATAATTTTACTACCAGAATCATCGTGATACCCTTGCAACAAAGAGGAAAAACTCCAAGAAAGTGTAGTAAAACAACTTTGCCTCAGTAAACAAGAAAAATAAACAGGATTATAGAAATTGTGAATATAACACACCTTGAACAAATAATAATAATGAACTGAACCAGTGACATTGGCATCATGTCACGCACATTATCTTCCCACCTGCAAGGTCAATGTTACTTTATTTTATACATGATGACACTTAGCTATAAATTTTGTAAGTGGGCCCTAAAGCAGCAAAATTTGTAGAAGCAGTACTTTAGTGTTTTGGGGTTTTTTTGTGTGTGTTTTGGTCAGTAGAAGAACTACAGAGGGAGTTGAGATTTTTAAAAAGCATAGTTATTTTGCTGTTACAGTGAGAGAATTGGGCAGTGGCATTAAATTTCCACTTCAGTACTGAAAGACATACTCATCGAATACATGCCATCTCAATACAGACAGTGAACACATTTCCTGATCTCAGGATGAGAACGTGATCCTATTTATGTAGATGTGTTACGTGGAGGGCACTGGGGGTAATCAATACACAATATCTATGGGCAAAAAACAGATTTATATAGACTTTTTATTTTCAGTTAAAGACTAAGGAAAAACAATATATAGGGCATGAAAAATTTGAACCAGACGTGGAAAAGAGACCTCTGAAGACACAGACGATGAGAATATTTCTGAACATTGTTAAGTACAAGAATAAAGATATAATAAGCTGTATTATATGAGGCAACAAACAATTCTTAAATATTAGTGGCTTACAACAAATAAGTGTAGTTCTTGCTTAAATTCTATGTCTGTCATAAGTAAGCTTTACGGCTCTACTTATCTTTGTCTCCGAAGGACTCAGGCTGATGGAGCTTTGTCTTTTCCTTCTGTGACTGTCAAATCAGAGGAAGAGAGCATGGAAAACTAAGCATTGACTCTTAGAGTTTCCACTCAGAAATAACTTGCATCACTTATATGCACATTGCATTTGCTTAAGCATCACAGAGCCAGGCCTGATATCGAGATGGAGAACAGTCTTACTTTGTGCTCAAACTGAGAGAACAAACTGCTGTGAAACTCTATTTTCTAACAGCTATCACAATCAACTCTTCTGGTCACAAATATATCATTGACTTTTTCTTCTGCCAGCAAATTATACTTACTCCCTTCCTAAGTTCTATCCAATCACAACACTGAGCTGAACTTCTATATGTGGTTCCTTGTGGTCTACAAACCTGTGAAGCAAAATGAAAAGTTATCTGTCTCCCATACTGCTGATATGCAACTTCAGAAAAGGAAAGAAATTCAAAAAGGAAAGAAAGAGTTCTACATTCACTTGTTTAAAGCAATTCTGAAATCCCATTAGATAGTTATTGCAAGGGTACTCTACCCTGGAGGTGGGAAATGTTCTATCATGAGTACTTGATTTACCTGATGGAATTGTCTCTTTTGTCCTACCTTCACTGATGTCATTCATTTTATCTTTTTTTTTTTTTTTTTGCAATGGAGTCTCTCTCTGTTACCAGGCTGGAGTGCAATGGTGCAATCTTGGCTCACTGCAGCCTTCACCTCCCGGGTTCAAGCAATTCCCCTCCCTCAGCCTCCCGAGTACCTGGGACTACAGGCGCCCACCACCATACCCACCTAATTTTTTGTATTTTAGTAGAGACAGGGTTTCACCATGTTGGCCAGAAGGTCTTGATCTCCTGACCTTGTGATCGGTCTGCCTTGGCCTCTCAAAGTGCTGGGATTACAGGTGTAAGCCACTGCACCCAGCCCATTCATTTTATCTTATCCTCGGCCACATCTGGAGAGGTTTTGGAAGCTCCTTCTTCAAGTCTTGCCAGCTTCCTCACACTGCTTCATGGATGTGGAATTGTGGGGGCCTAAAGGATCTTACTTACTATAGCCACAAATAATAAAAAATTAGAAGTGACTGAACAAGAAATGTGCAGGAACTATAATCTATCTAAATCTAGACCTATTTATATAGATCATCAATAAAATTGTGATCTTCTTTATGAAAGAAAAGACTACATTCACTGATTCGAATAAAGTAACAACCAGAAAAACATACTGGAACATTTAATGGAAAATGAAGAAATATCAAGGCCATATAATATTTCTCACAAATCAGTAAAAAGAAAAAACAACAATGTAAGGCAGGCAAATGATAAAAACAGACAGTTGAGAATAAAGGAATATAAACAGTAAGTAAATATCTCAACTTTGCTGGTAACCAGAAAAAAAAAGAAAAGCCACTATTAATATCACTTTTGTCTTTTATATTGGCAAGAATAGCAAAGGTTACAAAACACAAGGAAGTGAATACTTTGCACTGTTGATTTGAGTGGAAATGTTTAAAATTTTTTCAAAAGCAATTTGGCAATATTAATACAAAATTAACATGAAAGCATCCTTTGGTAGCAAACCAGAGAAATAACTATTCATGAATATTTTATATCTGTATCATTATATTGGTATCTCTATATCTTTTTCCCTCTCTATATGCACTACAGTTTTGTGATAGTAAAACAATGTAGTTAATTACCTCAATAAGTGAAGTTATAGAAGAAATTAAGGTATACCCATAATATAAAACACTTGGGGCCGGGCGCGGTGGCTCACGCCTGTAATCCCAGCACTTTGGGAGGCCGAGACGGGCGGATCACGAGGTCAGGAGATCGAGACCATCCTGGCTAACACGGTGAAACCCCGTCTCTACTAAAAATACAAAAATTAGCCGGGCATGGTGGCGCGTGCCTGTAGTCCCAGCTACACAGGAGGCTGAGGCAGGAGAATGGCGTGAACCCGGGAGGCGGAGCTTGCAGTGAGTCGAGATCGCGCCACTGCACTCCAGCCTGGGCGACAGAGCGAAACTCCGTCTCAAAAAAAAAAAAAAAAAAAAAAAAAAAAAAAAAAAAAAAAAAAAACACTTGGTAATTCTGGGGGGGACAATTTTTTTAACTAAGTATGCCATAGCAAGATTCCCAAGACATATTGTTCAGCGAAAATAAAAAGGTGTAATTATTTATTTACAAATTGAAATTTTAATACAAAAATATCTGTTCATGTATACCAATATATAGTAAGGGAAATAGTAGTACACATTCTGAATTCCTGACAGAAGATACTATAGGAAGGGCAGTTGGAATTAAAAGTGGGAGAATGATTAAGGAGATTTTTCTAATTTTACCTCGTTGACTATGTTTGGATGTTTTATCATAAAATTAAAAATGAATTGATGAGACTTGGACTTCTATCCAAGACGGAATTTCAGCAAATGGAGTTACATTCCAGCCTAAAACAAACAAAAATGGAAAAAATATCTGAAACAATGGTTTCAATATGCTGGACTTGAGACAATGAATGATAGTGATGCTTGGGAGATGGCCCAAGTGAGGGAAGCACTACAACTATCCCAGATCACTGCCTTGGCAGGTTTTCCAGTCCATGTCGAAGGGAGGCAGGTGGAGCCCAGGAGAATCCCTGAGTTGAGGAGACAGAGGTGAGAGACTAGACAGATCACGTGGCTTGAGTTTGCAGGATAGAGTACTGGAGAACAGAGAGCTACACAGAGACAGAACTCCTGACATTGAATTGGGGGCCTCTTTAAGTATTCAGCTGAGCACTAGTAAGGGCAAGCATTGAGAAAATTACAATAGGTTAGGGAAAGAACCACCTGAAAGACGAGCAGTAATAGTACCCAGTGCTCACACAGGACTGAAATAGTGCATGTTCTCACCAAACAGAGTGGAAAAGCTCAAGACTCATGGGGAACTAGGTAGAGTGCACATAAGAATCTTGCCTCGGTGGTGGGAATCATTACCCCTACACTGAGCACTACTCTAGCTCCTCCCAACATATCTGAAAAGCAAGCTCCAAAAGGATAAAACTGTTTTTAAGTAACTTAACCTCGTCCTGAGAACAAAACTCAAGAATATAAGAATACAAACATATCCCATATCCCAAAAGGTAAAATTCACTAAATCTGACATTTAATCAAAATCAAACATTATCAGACATGCAAAGAAGCAAGAAAATACAACCCACAGTGAGGAGAAATATCTGTCAGTCAAATTCAACACAGAACTGACAGATGTTAAAACTAACAAAGACATTAAAACAGTAATTAAAACTATTCCATATGTTCAAAACCTTGAGCAGAAACGTGGAAATATAACAAAAGAGCCAATAATTTGTGATTTTAAAAATACACTGAGGCTGGGCCCAGTAGCTCATGCCTGTAATCTCAGCAGTTTGGGAGGCCGAGGCAGGTGGATCCCTTGAGGTCAGGACTTCAAGACCAGCCTGGCCAACATGGTGAAACCCTGGGTCTACTAAAAATACAAAAATTAACCAGGCGTGGTGGCTCACACCTGTAGTCCCGGCTACTCAGGAGGCTGAGGCAGGAGAATCGCTTGAACCCAGAGGCAGAGGTTGTAGTGTGTGAGATTGAGCCACTGCACTCTAGCCTGGGCAACAGAGCAAGACTCTGTCTCAGAAAAAAAAAAATACAGTTGGAGGAATCAATGAACTTGGAGACATAAAATATGAATTACCAAAAAGGATCATAGAGAAAAAAATAAAATTAATGAAACATCAACGAGCTATAGGAAAGCTAAGATGTGTTCTATTATATGTGAAAGTGGTATCCCTGAAGGGGGGTGGGTTAATGAATGTAAATTTTGTTTAAAGAGCAGACAGGAAAAATGAAACAGAGAAAAGATGGGGCAAATAGGAAAGATGTAACAAGATGATGTAACTAACTCTAAACATATCAATAGCCACATTAAATATAAATGGTCTAAATATCCTCATTAAAAGATAGAAATTGGTTGGACACAAAAGACCCCATTATACCTGAGTACAATAAATGCACTTTAAAATAGAGATAAAGGCCAGATGCGGGGCTCACGCCTGTTATCCCAGTACTTTGGGAGGCCAAGGCTGGCAGATAGCTTGAGTCCAGGAGTTTGAGACCAGCCTGGGCAACACTGTGAAAACCTGTCTCTACAAAAAAAATACAAAAAAATTAGCTGGGCATTGTGGCACAGCCCATGGTCCCAGCTACTTGGGAAGCTGAGGTGGGAAGATCACTTGAGCCCGGGAAGCCAAGCTTGCAGTGAGCCGAGACTGTGCCGCTGCACTCCAGCCTAGGCAACAGAGCAAGCCTGTCTCAAGATAAAATAAAAGAGACAAAACAGGTTAAAAGTAAAAGAATGGAGAAAGATATGTTATGCTAATTAAAAGTACTACTATGCTAACACTAATTAAAACAAAGTCAGAGTAGCTATATTAATATCACACAAAGCAGATTTCAGAACAAAAACTATTTTCAGGGGTAAAGAAGGCAATTCACAATAACAAAAGGCACAATTCATCAAGAAGGCATAGTAATCCTAAAATTTTATTCACTTCATAATATAGCTTCAAAATGCATGAAACAAAGAGTGATAAGATTGCTTAGAAAAATAGGTAAATCCACAATTATAGTCAAAGATTTCAATATTCCTCTCACAATAACTGAGAGAAGAAGTACACAGAATTCAGTAAGGATACTGAAGTTCTGGACAATACTCTTAACCAACTTGACCATTGACAATCAGAGAACACTCCACCCAACAATAGCAGAACATGCATTATTTTAAAGTGCACATAAAACTACTTACCAATGTAAACCATATTTTGTGACATAAAACAAGGGTCAATAAATTTAAAACGATTCAAGTCACACCAAATAGTTCATTAAGCACAATGGAATTAAGTTAGAAATCAAAACAGAAAGGTATCTGGAAAACCCCCAAATACATGAAAACAAAATATTAAGATTATGTGAAATAATAAAAAGAAATACAACTATCAAAGCATTATTTAATACTGCTCAAACATAAGACTAAAGAATAGAATAAACATAGAAAATTAAACGATAAAGAGAAAACCATTTTCTAATTTTCAAAGAATGCTGAGAAAAAGGAAAATTAGCAGAAATAATGACAGATAATGTAGCATGTGAATGACTGAGAGCTAAGTTTCAACTTAAAAATAAGTATTTCTGGAAAAACAAAACTAGCACGAATCTAGAAATATATTTTAATATTAAAAGAAAACAATCTCCTGAGTGGAAAAATATATCAGGATTTTAAAGAAAATATTTTTCCAAAAATTTGCCAGCCTACTAATTATGCTGTAAAAAGCCATGATATCTATATATTAAAACCACTTCAAATGAAGTAATAGAGGTGTGAAATGAAAGCATCACGTCAAATTACTTTATGATAGAAGATACTATATACAGGTCCAGATCACCTCCTCCATGTATAGTAGAAACATTGTTTTTGGGAAACTTGTGTTACTACCTCTCAAATATGGAGCATGTCCAGATGGAAAATAATTTATCCCTTAAGCTGTGAGTTAAAACCTATGTAATGAAATCTGGATGTTGTAATGTTATATAAGGTTGTTTTGAGCAGAGGATAAGAGGGTAATAGGAAAACCACTTTTAAGTAGTCTATGGTTCTCTTGGAGTATTTCAAAATTAATCTCACTTTTAAATGAAAAGAATTAAACTTTAGTCTGACCTAGAGACGACAGCCACCTACAAGATTTTAGAAATCGTACAATGGAAATGGCAGAATGGTGGAGGGATTGCAAGTTGCTAGATCAGTGATTTTTAAGTGGGGTGATTTTGTCCCCCAAGGGACATTTGGCAATATCTAGAGACATTTTTGGCTATCACAATTGAGGGACAGGGATATTATTACTATCCAGAGGTCACAACCCGGGATGCTGCAAAATATAACACAAAAGACTCTCTCCTCACAGCAAAGAATTATACAGCCTCATGTCAATATTGTTACTGTTGAGAAACTCTGTGCTAGGTATTTCATTTGAAATAGAACACAGTTAAAAGATAATTCTGATAAAAATAGATGTTATCAATTATTTGTATAGCTTCAAATAAGTATGTTTTATAATCGAACATATCTATCTATCTATACCAGAGAACTAGGATCAGAGAGTAAAAGTAAACAGCAGAAGTGTAAATGTGAAAAGCATGAAAGTAAAGGCAAAGGTAAGAATAAACATATTAGTTAAGAACAAAAGATCATTATGAAACAGGTAAATGTATTAAATAACGAGAAGCTAGATTTAAAAATACTTGTAAAATATACGAAATACCAGCAGGCTCATAATAGTTTTTAGATTAAAGTAGAAAATCAGAAAGAAAAAAAACACAAACAACATTAACAACAAAAGAAAAGTGAAGAGTCACAGATACAGAAGAAATTAAAATTTGTAAGTGAATGTTATATAAAAATCTGTAACAATTAGATAAAAATTTTATAACACACAGTAATATACATTTTTATGGATGCACGTATAGGTAGTCAAATATAAAGCGATGTTACCCACATCTTCAGAATAGTCATTTCTAGGGTTATTTCTAGGGAACAAGAGAGGGGAAAGATGAAGTTGGGGCTTTCATTCCATGTGAAATATTTTATTTTTATTTTTAAAAATAGGCTCCGAAGCAAATTTAATAAATGTTAACAGCTGTTAAATCTGGGTGGTCAATATTTGGGTGTCTGTTATCTCCTGGTCTGACCTTTTCAGAAACATGTGAAATGTTTCATAATTCAAAATAGAGGAAAAGAAAAGTAAAATAATTCTTGTCATAGAATTTTGGCAAAGTTCTTTTAAATAGCTAAATAAATTAAATTTACTGACTTTTTTCCCACGCTTATTTTCCTAGTCAAATAATTCAAATGGATTAATCATTGATAATTTCTATTTTTAAAAGTATATTTCCTCTGATTTTACTTTGTTGTAGGAGTAGCCTAAGCATTTTCTGGGAACACTCATGTACAATAAACATCATATATCTAAATTCTGATTCCCACCCAAGATAGTTGAGGCATCCCATTGCGATCACAGTAAGACAACCAAAACTAAAGTCATGAGCCAAACTCTTAATTCATAGCAGTTACCACTGGGGCTGTGTCTCCTC
The DNA here is from genome assembly GCF_000001405.40 of Homo sapiens. Taxonomy (NCBI): domain Eukaryota; kingdom Metazoa; phylum Chordata; class Mammalia; order Primates; family Hominidae; genus Homo; species Homo sapiens. Next base: position 13,660,827 of record NC_000009.12, read on the forward strand.
TGATCAGCTGATGTTTCCACCAATTCTGCCCCCCACCATCTTTTAGGCATGGTGCCATGTGTGGAATTGGAGTTTTCTGACTCCTGTTCTCCAACCCCAGGCCTAATAAATGAAATGTTCACTACTGTTGCCAACACCTCGTGGTTCAACAGTTAACCTACTTCTGTATCCTGCAGCCAGTTTCCCTCTTCTCTTCCCATTCGGGAGTCCTGTCTGCCATTTGTAGAAACCATCCAGCTCATCTTCCTACTCTTAGTGTTGGGGATTTTTGCCCCTCTTCTTCCTTCAATTTTCATCTCCTTTCACTTAGGGACCACTCAGTTCAACCTACACCCAATGAGCCTACGTCGTCCTCAAACATAAGTTTGGGTCAGAGCATGGTTTGAGTTCCACTTTCATTTTTACTTCTGACTTGCAAAAGCTGTTAATAACTCTCTGGGGCAAAATGCTGAGAACTGAAAAGACCAAAACTTGACTCCCTTCTTGTTATACCTAGGAGAAAGAAACAGCATTGCTTATACTAGCCCTCTATAGTAGCTTGAACAGAATTCTCAATTGATAATTCTACCATATTTGCACAAATACTGCATGATTCCACACTTTCATAAAGTTTCTGTCAACTCTCCAGATATAAAATCAAATGCTCTTCCAGGAGAGAGTCCTCTAATACAGTTGCACATTTGGTTGGGAAGAGCTCTCCTTACCCTTCAATTTCTTCACAATACCTGATTGCTGCCAGGCAGCAATATACAAACATTCTACCTTCTGTTTGCCAGTTCATCATAGCACACCTTATGCTTTTAGCATTATTTGCTCTCTCACCTCTGACTTGTCTCTGTTAAAAGACAATTTTAGAGTGAGAAACTCCCGAAGGTCTTCCTATGGAATGAGTGAAGCAAAGAATTAATTGAATCTCTCTGCTATCTCCTTTCTCATTTTTTTGATAGCCCTTTTGTCCTGTATCCATCTCATTGTTTTTCTTTGGCTGGGTCCCTTCCTCTAATTTATTTAAAGAACTGTGTATTATGGGTTGTGCTGTTGTTTGCAATGGCTCTTAAAATGCTTTTGGATCTGTTTACCTTTGAGTTTACATCTGACCATCCATGTTGCCTGGGTTTCCCTATTGCTTCACTTGGATAAACATTTTGCTTTTATTATTATTATTATTATTATTATTATTACACTTTAAATTCTGGGATACATATGCAGAATGTGCAGATTTGTTACATAGGTATACACGTGCCATGGTGGTTTGCTGCACCCATCAACCCATGATCTACACTAGGTATTTCTCCTAATGCTATCCCTGCCCTAGCCCCCCAAACCCCTACAGGCCCCAGTGTGTGATGTTCTACTCCCTGTGTCCATGTGTTCTCATTGTTCAACTCCCACTTATGAGTGAGAACATATGGTGTTTGATTTTCTGTTGCTGTGTTAGCTTGCTGAGAATGATGGTTTCCAGCATCATCCATGTCCCTGCAAAGGACATGAACTCATCTATTTTTATGGCTGCATAGTATTCCATGGTGTATTTGTGCCACATTTTCTTTATCCAGTCTGTCACTGATGGGCATTTGGGTTGCTTCCAAGTCTTTGATATTGTGAATAGTGCTACAATAAACATACATGTGCATGTGTCTTAATAGTAGAGTGATTTATAATCCTTTGGCTATATACCCAGTAATGGGATTGCTGGGTCAAATGGTAATTCTAATTCTAGATCCTTGAGGAATCACCACACTGTCTTCCACAATGGTTGAACCAATCTACACTCCCACCAACAGTGTAAAAGTGTTCCTACTTCTCCACATTCTCTCCAGCATCCGTTGTTTCCTGACTTTTTAATGATCGCCATTCTAACTGGCGTGAGATGGAATCTCATTGTGGTTTTGATTTACATTTCTCTAATGACCAGTGATGATGAGCTTTTTTTCATATGTTTATTGGCCACATAAGTGTCTTCTTTTGAGAAGTGTCTATCCTTCACCCACTTTTTGATGGGGTTGTGTTTTTTTCTTGTAAATGTGTTTAAGTTCCTTGTAGACTCTGGATATTAGCCCTTTGTCAGATGAATAGATTGCAAAAATTTTCCCTCATTTTCTAGGTTGCCTGTTCACACAGATGATAGTTTCTTTTGCTCTGCAGAAGCTCTTTAGTTTAATTAGATCCCATTTGTCAATTTTGGCTTTTGTTGCCATTGCTTGTGGTGTTTTAGTCATGAAGTCTATGCCTATGCCTATGTCCTGAATGGTATTGCCTAGGTTTTCTTCTAGGGTTCTTATGGTTTTCAGTCTTATGTTTAAGTCTTTAATACATCTTGAATTAATTTTTGTATAAGGTGTAAGGAAGGGGTTCAGTCAACACCCTAATATCACAATTAAAAGAACTAGAGAGGTGAGAGCAAACAAATTCAAAAGCTAGTGGAAGACAAGATATAACTAAGATCAGAGCAGAACTAAGGAGATAGAGACATGAAAAACCCTTTAAAAGATCAATGAATCCAGGAGTTGGTTTTTTGAAAAGATTAACAAAATAGATAGACCACTAGCTGGACTAACGAATAAAAGAGAGAAGAATCAAATAGACACAATAAAAAATGATAAAGGGGAGTTCACCACTGATCCCACAGAAATACAAACTACCATCAGAGTATACTATAAACACCTCTATGCAAATAAACTAGAAAATCTAGAAGAAATGGATAAATTTCTGGACACATACACCCTCCCAAGACTAAACCAGGAAGAAGTTGAATCCCTGAATAGACCAATAACAAGTTCTGAAATTGAGGCAGTAATTAATAGCCTACCAACCAAAAGAAAGTCCAGGACCAGACCGATTCACAGCCAAATTCTACCAGAGGTACAAAGAGGAGCTGGTACCATTCCTTCTGAAACTATTTCAATCAATAGAAAAAGAGGGACTCCTCTTTAACTCATTTTATGAGGCCAGCATCATCCAGATACCAAAACCCAGCAGAGACGAAAAAAAAAAAAAAAAGAAAGAAAATTTCAGGCCAATATCGCTGATGAACATTGATGCAAAAATCCTCTATAAAATACTGGCAAACTGAATCCAGCAGCACATCAAAAAGCTTATCCACCACGATCAAGTCAGCTGCATCCCTGAGATGCAAGGCTGGTTCAACATACACTGATCAATAAATGTAATCCATCACATAAACACAACCAATGACAAAAACCTCATGATTATCTCAATAGATGCAGAAAAGGCCATCGATAAAATTCAACACCCCTTCATGCTAAAAACCCTTGATAAACTAGGTATTGATGGAAAGTATATCAAAATAATAAGAGCTATTTATGACAAACCCACAGCCATTATCATACTGAATGGGCAAAAGCTGGAAGCATTCCCTTTGAAAACTGGCACAAGACAAGAATACCCTCTCTCACCACTCCTATTCAACACAGTATTGGAAGTTCTGGTCAGAGCAGTCAGGCAAGAGAAAGAAATCGTATTCACATAGAAAGAGAGGAAGTCAAATTGTCTCTGTTTGCAGATGACATGATTGTATATTTAGAAAACCCCATCGTCTCAGCCCAAAATCTCCTTAAGCTGATAAGCAACGTCAGTCAAATCTCAGAATATAAAATCAGTGTGTAAAAATCACAAGCATTCCTCTACACCAATAACAGACAAACAGAGAGCCAAATCGTGAGTGAGCTCCCATTCACAGTTGCTACAAAGAGAATAAAATACCTAGGAATACAAGTTAGAAAGGGATGTGAAGGACCTCTTCAAGGAGAACTACAAACCACTGCTCAAGGCAATAAGAGAGGACACAAACAAATGGAAAAACATTTTATGCTCATGGATAGGAAGAATCAATATCGTGAAAGTGGCCATACTGACCAAAGTGATTTATAGATTCAATGCTATTCCCATCAAGCTACCATTGACTTTCTTCACAGAATTAGAAAAAACTACTTTAAAGTTCATATGGAACCAAAAAAGAGCCCATATAGCCAAGACAATCCTAAGCAAAAAGAACAAAGCAGGAGGTGGGAGGCATCATGCTACCTGACTTCAAACTATACTACAAGGCTACAGTAACCAAAGCAGCATGGTACTGGTATCAAAACAGAGATATAGACCAATGGAACAGAACACAGGCCTCAGAAATAACACCACACATCTTCAGCCACCTGATCTTTGACAAACCAGACAAAAACAAGCAATGGGGAAAGGATTCCCTATTTAATGAAAACTGGCTAGCCATATGCAGAAAACTGAAACATTTTGCTTTTTTAAATGATGCTTTTCTCTAGAATAACTTTTTGGATTTTGCTAGTAATGCAGGCAGAATTTTGTTTGAATGTCTAACTTTTAGCTGTATGGTGTACACCTTTCTTGGCCTTCTAACTTCTGATAGGTATTGGTAGAGGTCTCTAGGCTTTCTGTAGGTATACTGCAGACACAGACACACATACACTCTTTTAATTTTTTCCCAAATGCTTTTTTGGTTCCTTTTTTTCTAAAATTGAGTAATCTAGCAATTTTATTTTGCTTTACTTTCTCTCTGAAATGTTGAACTTAATCCTTTTGTGATCATCATTTAAAACATACCTCATTACTTCCTGAACAAACTCCTAATCTAGTTGATATACCAATTCCTTATTGTTGTACTACAAGCCAACCCCAAAATCAGTGGCTTAAAAAAAAACAAGCCTTTATTACTGTTCATGAGACTAAGTGTCAACTGAGGAGTTATTCTGTTCTTGTTGAGCTTACCCACATCTCTGTGGTCAGTCGTAGATTGGTGTAGGCAGCTGTAAGTCAGCTGGCTATCAGCTGGTCAAAAACAGTTTCTGGAACTACTGAATTTCCTTACATGGTCTCTTAATCTTCCAGCAGGCTAGTCCTAACTTAGCAAAATGGTGGTGACAGAATTCCAGCAGAGTATGGAAGCAGAATATGCTTCTTGAAATTTAGACTCAGAGCTGACACATCATTACTTCAGCCACATTCTATTGGTCAAAGCAAATCATAAGGCCAGCTCAGTTGCCATGGATAGAGAAAGAAACTCCAGTTCTTAAAGGAGGGGTGCAAAGTCATGTTTTGGTTTTGGTTTCGGTTTTGAGACAGAGTCTCACTCTGTCATCCAGGCTGCAGTGGAGTGGTGCAATCTCAGCTCACTGTAACCTCCGCCTCCTGAGTTCAAGCAATTCTTCTGCCTCAGCCTCCTGAGTAGCTGGGAATACAAGCGCATGCCACCATGCCCAGCTAGCAAAGTCATGTTATAAGTGACGTAGGTACAGGGAGAGGACTAACTGGGGCAATCGTTACACTCAATCTGCCTGCTGCAGTTGACTTCCGTTAACTTTATATTCAGAAAATGACAGTAAATTTAAAATATTTACCGAGCACCTACTATGAGAAAAAACACCGTATTAGTCATTGATAGGACTCTATTATCAAGTTTAAATCTCATGGGAGACTGAGGCAGGAGGATCACGAGGTTAGGAGGCCGAGACCAGCCTGAACAACATGGTGAAACCCTCTCTCTACTAAAAATACAAAAATTATCTGGGCGTGGTGGTGCGTGCCTGTAATCCCAGCTACTCAGGAGGCTGAGGCAGGGGAATCGCTTGAACCTGGGAGGTAGAGGTTGCAGTGAGTCAAGATCGTGCCACTGCACTCCAGCCTGGGCAACAGAGCAAGACCCTGTCTCAAAAAAACAGTACCTTCCCTTATTCCATCCCCTTCTATCTCCCCTAACCTCTGGTGACTGCTTTTCTACTCTCTGTTGCTATGAGACTTACTTTTTTCGATTCCACATATTAGTGAGAACATGTGGTATTTGTCTTTTTGTGCCTGGCTTATTTCACTGAGTGTGATGACCTCTAGTTCCATCCATGTTGTCTTGAATTACAAGATTTTCTTCTTTTTTATGGCTGACTAGTATTAGGTTTTGTGTCTATACCACATTTTCTTTATCCATTCATTTGTTAGTGGACACATAGGTCCGTTTTCTTGGCAATTGTGAATAATGCTGAAATGAACATGGGAGTGCAGCTATCTCTTCTACATACTGATTTCAGTTCCTTTAGATATATACCCAGAAGTGGGATTGTTGGATCATATGGTAATTCTATGTTTAGTTTTTGAGAAACCTTTACACTATTTTTCATAATGGCTATGCTCCACATCTTTGCCAATTTCTCCACATCTTTGTCAATACATGTTAACATTAGTTTTTTTTTAATAACCATTCTAATAGTTGTAAACTGATATGCCATTATGGTTATAATTTACATTTCTCTGATGTTTAAATATGTTAAGCATTTTTTCATGTACATGTTCAACATCATATGCATTCTTTTGAAAAATGTCTATTCATGTCCTTTACCTAATTTTTAATTAAGTTATTTGTTTTCTTGCTATTCAGCTGTTTGAGTTCCCTATAGATTTTAGACATTAAACCCTTATTAGATGTATTTCGCAAATAATTTCTCTCAATCCATGGACTTTCTCTTCAATGTTAATTGCTTCCTTGGCTGTGCAAAGCTTTTTAGTTTGACGCAGTACCATTTGTCTGGGTTTTGTTGTTGTTGCCTGTGCTTTTAGAGTCCTAATCAAAAAATTGCTGCCCAGACCAGTATCATGGAGCTTTCCCCATTTTCTTTTAGTAGCTTTGCCATTTTAGGCCTTACATTTAAGTGTTTCATCCAGATTGATTTGATTTTTTATATGGTGTGAGATAAGGGTTCAATTTTATTCTCCTCCCTGTGGATATCCAATTTTTGCAACACCATTTATTGAAGAGTTGGTTCTCTTTCTATTGCATGTTTTTGAGATCTTTCTTGATAATTGATTGACTGTAAATACTTGGGTTTATTTCTGGGCCTTCTATCCTATTTCTAAAAATAATATTAATTTGAAATAAGACAGAGTGGCTGACTACATTAAAAAACACGGCTATATATTCTGAAAGCACACACACAGAGAGAGAGAGAAAGAGGAGATTAATACTTCTACAAACTGATGGCTGGATGTGGAATCCCTCCCTTGGAAATAACTCTCTCTCTCTCTAGTAGTTAAAGGAAGCTGCTCTGGAATATGGTGGCTTAGTTCAAAACTGGGCTGCCCCCTCACCAGCTTTGCCACTTTAGGAAAGCTGCTGCCTCTACCTGTGACACAGTTTCTCCTTCTGTAAAATGGGGATAATGGCATTTTCCCACAGGGCTGCTGTGAGGATTTGATGAGACAATATGTGTTAAGAGCTTTGCACAGTGCCGGGAACACAATAAGAGCTCCGTAAATAAATGTGAGCTCATAGTATGGTTGTCATCATTGTTGCCATTACCTCCCTCAGAGGGATGCTCAAGTCCCCCACGCTCCCCAAACCTTCAGGGAGAAAATGGGGACACTGTGCTGAAATGCCCCAGCCTCCTTAGAGTTTCTAACTGAAAATCTTAAAAGCGACAAACAATTCATTTTGTGAGACCAGTATTATAAGGACATTACAGTAATAGAATATTACAGATCAATATTCCTGATGAATGCAAATGTAAAAATTTTCAAGCAGCAAATCAAATTCAATGCCACATTGAAAGGATCATACACTTCGTCCAACTGGGTTTTACCCCTGGGATGCAAGGATAGTTCAACATACAAAAATCAATCAACGTGATACATCATATCAATAGAACAGAATGAATAATGAAAATCACATGAACACTCAACAAACTAGGAATAGAATAAAATACCTTAACATAATAAAGGCCAAATATGAAAAGCCCACAGCTAACGTCATACTCAGTGGTGAAAAAATGAAATTTTTTCATTTAAGATCAGGACCAAGTCAAAAAACCCACCCACACCACTTCTATTCAACATATTATTGAAATTCCTGGCCAGAACAATTAGGCAAGAAAAAATAAACAGAAGGCATCCAAATTGGAATGGAATAAGTAAAATTATGTTTTTAGAATACATTATCCTACATGGAGAAAACCTTAAGAATTTCATAAATCTGTTTGAACTAATAAACAAATTCAGTAAACTTTCAGGATACAAAATTAATGTATGAAAATCAGTTACATTTCTATACATTAACAATAAACAATACAAAAAAGAAATTGAGAAAAAAATTTCATTTATAATATTCTAAAGAGAATAAAATACTTAGGAATAAACTTAACCAAAGAGGCATAAACTTGTACACTGAAAACCATAAAACATGGCTGAAAGAAATAAAATAATACACCAATAAATGAAAATAAATTCTGTGTTGATGAATAGGAAGATTTAATATTATTAAAATGATCCTATTACTCCATGTAATGTACAGATTCCATACAATCTTTATCAAAATTCCAATGACATTTTTTAAAGAAATAAAAAAATCTAAAATTCAAATGGAAGCACAAAGGACCTGAACAGCCAAAATGATCTTCAAGAAAAAGATGAAAGCTGGGAGTCTCATACGTCTTCATTTCAAAACATATTACAAAGCTACAGTAATCAAACCAGTATGGTACTAACATAAAGTCAGACATATAAACCAACAGAAAAGAATAGAGGGCCCATAAATCTGTGCATATATGGTCAACTAATATTTGAAAGGGGATCAAGAACACACAATGGGTAAAGAATAGTCTCTTCAACCAGTGGTCTTGGGGAAACTGTATATCCACATGCAAATGAATAAAATTGGAACCTAGTCTTTCACCATCTACAAAAATCAATTCAAAATGGATTCAAGATTTAAGCCTGAGGTCTGGAAATATAAAACTCCTAGAAGACAACATATGGGGGGAAAAGCTTCATGATATTGGTCTTGGCAATTATTTCTTGGATATGAACCCAAATGCACAGGCAGCAAAAGTAAAAACAGACAAGTGAGAAAACATAAAACTAACACTGTGCACTTCTGCACAACAAAGAACACAATCAACAGAGTGAAAAAATGAGAGAAAATATGTATGGACCTAAATGTCCATCAAAGGATAAATGGATAAAGAAAATGTGGTATGTACATACAAAGGAACATTATTTGGTCTTAAGAAGGGAACCCAGCATATGAAGTAACAGGAATGAACCTGGAGGACATTATGCTGAGTGAAATAAGCCCATCTCTGAAGGACACATGCTACATGATTCCGCTTATATGAGATATCTAAAGTAGTCCAGCTTATCGAAGCACGAAGGGGCAGAGGCAGAGGAAGAAATAGAAAGTTGCTGTTCAATAGGTATTAAATTTCTGTTATGCAAGATGAAAAAGTTCTGGAGACCTACTGTACAACATGGTGCCTATAGCTAACAATACTGTATTGTACATTTAAAATGTTGTTAAGAGGTTAAATTTCATGTTTGTGTCTTTTACCACAATAAAAAAAAGAACATGTAAGAAAGTTCATGTCTATCATATGATAGTGCCCATGCTATCTGGAAAAGAACCATATTGAGAAAAGCATGATATAATCCAGTAGCAAAGATTTTTTTCTTAGTGACCCTAGGCACAAATGTTTTTGGAATTTAGAGCCTTGTGTTTTATTACCTTGAAATAGTATCGCCCAGTTTAAGCTTTTTAGTTTCTTTATGCCTCAGTTTCCTCATATGTAAAATAGAGTTTTACATATTTTATGGAAGTTTTTAGGCAAATTTAATGGGATTAATTCATATAAATGCATTACAGAAACGTATCACTCAATAAATGATAGCTATATTTATACTTCCCAAAAGCTACAGTGTGATTAAATCAGGTTTCTTTGACCCGATAGGGAACACTACATACTAAGCCAGTGTGGAAGCCTGAGTTGTCTTTTATACTCTGTCCATAGATAACTTGACTTTGGCTCATGCTCTGATCAATACATGGCCTGATCTGTTGTGACTCAGTAGCAAAGTTGGCAATATCACTTAGGAGGATTTCCTTGGCAAAACTATCTTTTTAAAGAAATCAAGCAATTTATTATGTCACATAAAAAGAAATAAGAAGTAGAGTAATTTTTCAGGTTTATTTAGCAATTCAATGAAGTCAGCAAGGACATGTGTCTTTCTATCTTTGTGTTCAACTATGTTTTGTCCATCATCATTTTTTTGTTTTTTGAGATAGAGTCTCGCTCTGTTGCCCAGGCTGGAGTGCAGTGGCATGATCTTGGCTCACTGGAACCTTCACCTCCCAGGTTCAAGTGATTCTCATGCCTCAGCCTCTCAAATTGCTGGGATTACAGGTGAGCCCCATAGCGCCTGGCTAATTTTTATATTTGTAGTAGAGATGGGGTTTCACCATGTTGGCCAGGCTGTTCTTGAACTCCTGACCTCAAGTGTTCTGCCCACCTCAGTTTCCCAAAGTGCTGGGATTACAGGTGTGAGCCATGACACCCAGCCTGCCATCACCCTTTTATCTGTGTCTTCATGTTGGTTCTCTTAACGATCGTAAGACATCTGCAAGAAGCAGATGGAGAAATAAATACATGATAATTTGTGATCTGCAGAATCGCAAGCTAAAGCTAGAGAGAGAAGAGAAAGAGAAACTTGTGTCCCAGAAACTTGTGTAAGTATGCCTTTCTCTTCAGTCTGATTGGGCCATTTTAAATGAATCCACTCCTGGATAACAGGAAAATATATCTCAATTAAATTGCTCCAATCAGAATTTCTTCTGAAACTGAAAAAGGAATGAATATCTGAACAAAACTGTGAGAGTTAGAAACAGGAAGTGGAGGTGAATGTTGGGTAGTCTGCCAACCATGTTGACTAAACTCAATTTCCCGAAATGTACACAGCATACACTAAAGCAATCTGTGTCCGAAAGATTCACTTCAGGTTAAATTCTGAGAAGGGTCAATTATCAGGTATGTGAGCTTTCATTGACTTCAGGAACTGCAGTGTATATCTTACAAGGATATTTAAAATTTTTTCACCCCAAAATATAACTTATATGCTAAGTTATATCGATATTAAAATATAACCATAAATGTGGGTCAAAATAATTCAATTTTATTTATTGGATTTATTCTATTTCTTTTGTGTTTTTTTAATGCTAATATCTAGAATCTAGAATTTCGATGCTGACAGGAAGTATTATAAATTGGGTTTCCTGATACTGTGTTTTAAAAATTTTTATTAGCAGATTTGAAACTGCACTGACACTAATTTAAATTTTACAAGTAATTTTCTGCATTTTACGAAATGTCTAAAGTATATTTAGAACTAGCTATGTAGCCACTAGGAAGAAAGTGTGAAAGAACAGTAGAGAGTGGAGGTGGTTAGCTAATGTCTTTTAGTGCATGATTGGACTCTGAGTATATTTTAACATGTCGTGAGTGTACCAGTTAAAAGACTAATTGTTAACATGAGAAAAGAAATGGAGCTAAGTTTAAAAACAGAATGAGGAGAATCATTGATTAGTTCTCTATTTTTACAGCAGAAAATGTGACTTAGGTGTTTAAATTGTGAAGTCATTTGCAGAGAACACACATAAATAGTTCTCAGTAGATATTCTTTTACCTATATTTAGTATAAAGGCAGTCACTATTCTTAGCATAATTATTCCATTTTTCTTCATATAGTTTCATTGCTCTTGGTCAGAACAATGACACACTCATTATTTCTGTCCAGATTTTCAAGGATTATTGACGCAGTTGATGATATTTTCCTACAACCTACGTTAACAGCACCCATTGTTCAGAATATAGACTCTCACAGGATTGAGGTACGAGCACAGTTTAGATCTTAAGCCACGCCGGCTTGTGGGTAAAACTTGGAGTAAAATTAACCTCTAGGCCTAAATCTCACAGGCTTATTTAGATTTACCTTTATAATCCCAGGACATTGACTACTGTCTGAAGTACTCTGTGTTAGTTTCCTAGAGTTGCTGTAACAAAGTGCCACAAAAATGGGTGGTTTAGAACAAGTGACAGTTATTGTCTCACAGATTTGGAGGCTGGAAGTTCAAAATCACGGCGGGCAGGGCCATGTTCCTTCTGAAGGCAGGATCTGCTCCAGGGCTCTCTCCTACTTTATGGTAGCCTCGGGCATGCTGTGGCTTGTGCATAGCTCTCTTCTCCCCATGTCTCTTCACATCCTCTTCTCTCCATGTACGCCTCTGTGTCCAGCTTTCCACTTCTCTTAAGGATACAGTCGTATTGGATTAAATCCCATCTTCATCACCTCATTTAATTTAGTTACCTTTGTAAAAACCCTATTTCCACATAAGGTCACATTCTGAGGTACTGGGGGTTATGATTTTAACTTATCTTTTGGGAGGGGGTACACAATTCAGCCCGTGACATGTGCCTCCTTACCTTAGACCAGTGAAGGTCCCCGGCTCATATCTGGCATGGGCTGCCTTGGGTCACCACCCAGATGCTACTCCCCACATATTCCGGGCCATAGGGTTCAACATACTGCTTAGGCTGCAGCTCTAGTCAAACAATTGTTAGTTGAATGACTACTGCTTGCTAGCCTTGGGGATACATTAGAAATGGTTGTTGTCTACAAATAAATAAATAACAGTATAATTAGAAATGATGTTCTATGTTTTGGAGTATATGAGTAGGGTGGAGGGAAAAAGAATAATAATAAGGGGAGGGTACCCACCTACCTAGGTTAGTCACAGAAAGCTACTCTGAGTAGGTGACCTTTTGACCTAGGCCGGAAGGATGAGAAAAGATCAGCAGAAGATGAAAAACAGATAATTTCTTATTCCAGGCAGAAAAAATAGCATGTGCAAAGGCCCTGAGGCAGGAAAGAGGTGAGCCTATTTTAAGATCTGAAAGGCAGATAAGATATCTAGACTTTGCTATTACCCATTTTATAGAGCAATAGAGTAATATTTCCTAACGTATATAATAAAGGCAGAATTGGGATTGGATCTACTTTACTTTGTCCTCACCAATGCGTATTCTTCCCCTAAACAGATTAATTACTGAGTCCTGCTGGTTGTATCTGCCTTCCTCTCTATCCTTACTCCTACTTATATAGGAGTGGACACTTGCCACCTTCTATGAGATTCCTATATCAGCCTTCCCTAATGACAGCAGACCTGTCCTCTTAAAATTCATTCTTCACACTCCAGCCAGAGAGGACAGATAGCTGAGTTTCTGTTTGGCTTAACACCCACTGCTGAACCCACACCCTCTACAGCATGCCCCTAGGAGGCTCACTGTGATCTCTGAGGACTGCCATGCTGTGGCCTCTGTTCCTAATTCAGGCCAACTGTCTGCCATCCTGCTGTCAGCCCCGAGCACCATGGACTGTTTTTGCAGTCCTCCTCTTTATTATGCTGTTTTGCACCCCTAGCCTGTGCTGATGCTGTGCCTTGCTATAGGTAAGTTTTGGTGAAGTCTATTAAATACTTTAACATCTAGCTGATGGCCTTCCTCCTCTAAGATGCGTTCCCAGAACTTTTGACTAAGCTACATGGCCTTCCTTGGTGCTTCCATGTGCACATCCCTATCATTGCCCTCAGCACATTGCTCTTCAATGGTCTGTTGATGGGTTTTTTCATTGAGAACAATTTCAGGCAGACACTGTGCTTTCATCTTTGTACATACCCAGTACAGTGCCTGGAACATAGTGGATATTCAACAGTTTTCTGCTGAGTATGTGGATGAATGACAATTTCCAAGACATAGTTGAGAAAAAAACTTCGTAAGTTTGAAGCTACCTTGGATGTTTTAGAGAATCCAACAACCACTTTCTTCTAATTTATTCCTTCCCTCCTTGTTCAAAAATTCCCTTTATGCCAGTTTCTGGGCCTCAGAAGCCTCACCATACTCATACACCCTGCTGGAAGCCACAACTGTATTTGAATTGTCAGTCATAACACCTTATTCCCACCACTTCACACTCAATGTGAACCCAAGTACAATATCCTACAAGGAAATCATAACCTCTCTCTGCTTCTGGATTATGGTGCTCTACACAATAGTACCTCTAAGACTCGCCCTAAGATGTCTAAGTGCATCTCCATGAACTGCCACAATAGTCTCCAGGTGCCCTTCCACGTGGAAGGGCATTTCACTCAAAGCATGACTGGCAGCTCAAGTAGAGCAACAAGATGAGTGTGGGCAGCCCTGTGTCTTGCCAGGTCAGTGCTGGCGGCTGTGAGAGAGGCGATGACCCATGCAGGCGCTGCAGCAGCAATACAGAGGCTATGCAGGAAATGGGGAGTGGGAGAATTGCTGCAGCAGCAGAACTGCCACCCACTGGGAAGATATCAACTACCCAGGGCTCGACCTGGCAAAGGGAACATTCCTGTGATTCTGCGGGGTAAAATTCAGAACAAAAGGGCATTGTTATGTTCCAGAATTATGGTTCCTGATTCTATCTCCAATATTTAAAATGAGTCATCTATCCATTGCACATCTCAACATCTTTCTATGTAGTTCAGGACAAGCATGACATGAGGAATGTATAATTAGAGTCAGTCAAACTTAAAGGCTCAGAGATCTATTAATGCTTATGAAGTTTGTTAGAGAATATTTCTTTTCAGCGCAGCATATGCACAGGTTATGTGCTTGGAGGGGGAAGCAGCTCCATAGGCAAAAGTGGAAGGCCTTGAAGCTTTGTTCTTTTCTGAGACAGCACCCAGCAAGGTGTACCATTGCTGTGCTACATTCTGTGAATATTTTGGGGACAAGTGTCAGGACACGTTTCATGAGCACAGGTGCATTCTATTTGTGTCAGCATCTGTAGAGTACGGGAGGGTGTTGAAAGAAAAAGAACAGACTTTTCTCCCAACTCCAGTAAGGCTGCCGTTGGAAAAGGCTTTTCTTGGCATTTTTCTGAACACAGCTCAGTAATGCTTCTAGGTGGGGTATACTGAGAACAAGGGATTCCAAATCCAAAACTGTCCTACTCAAGCCCCTACTTAACTTGGAATGAGGTTGTGCAAGAAGTTGGTCTTCTGGTTACTTGTTCAACACAGCTGGAACCTTCCCTACCAAGGCAACTGTTACTTGGGTTCAGGGTTAGGGGAAGGTCATGATAGCCTTTAAAGGATGTGAGAACAAACAGCCATGGTACTGACAAGTCATTGGCTCTGAATTTTACCCCGCAGAATCACAGGAATGTTCCCTTTGCCAGGTCGAGCCCTGGGTAGTTGATATCTCCCAGTGGGTGGCAGTTCTGCTGCTGCAGCAATTCTCCCACTCCCCATTTCCTGCATAGCCTCTGTATTGCTGCTGCAGCATCTGCATGGGTCATCGCCTCTCTCACGGCCGCCAGCACTGACCTGGCAAGACACAGGGCTGCCCACACTGATCTTGTTGCTCTAATTGAGCTGCCAGTCATGCTTTGAGTGAAATGCGGAAAGCCGTGGTCCCCACAGAAGTTATAAATTTTAATTCTACTTGGACTTGAGAAAGAGTAGCCTTGATTGTCATTATCCCATTTTATGGAGTCCTTTTGCCTAGGAATCTGAGACAAATTTCCCAATGGGTACACTAGAGAACAGTTTAATGGTACTACAAAATGTCATATGTAGAAACACCCCTCCCAGTCCGCAGTCAAATTGTGTCCAAGAGTTGAGACTAGACATCTTTTTCTTTTGTTTCTCAGGAAGCTCCCTACCTAGTTGTGATACTTTGTGAGAAATGAGTCTCTCTTTTTAAAATATTGAGTCTGGAGAATATCATTTTGACAATTTTCTCTATAGTATCTCCTGCAAGGTTTATAAAGTCCCATTTATGCTAGTGTTACCCTCCCTTCTGAAATCCTAAGTGTTTATAATATCTTTATATGTAGCATAAATACTAACAAATATGATAAAGCAACTGGTGATAACTTTTTTTAACTTTAAAAAATATGGAAATGTTTTCGAAGTTACATTTGTTCATTTTTTTATATCCAAAATTGTTTCAGAATTGATTTACCTATCATAAGAATACTTGCAAGAATAAGAATAATGCAAAGAACACCCGTATACTCTTTAACCTATATTCACCCATGATTAATATCTTACTCCATTACCTTATTGATTGCTCGAGAGATAGATAGGTAGATAATGAGGGATAGATGGATAGATAGATAGATGTATAATATTTTTCCTGAATCACTGGTAGATAAGTTACATACACCACTGCCCTTTACTTCTAAGTACCTTAGTAGGAATTTCATTAAGAATAATCATAATAGTTATCAAGCTCAGTTAAAGTAGTATTGATATCTCTAATAAATCTAAGATATATTTACTTTAGATATAATCTGTCATCTGTATTTCAGTTTTTCAGTTGACCTAATAATAACCTTCACAGTAATTTCCCCCCTCTCCAATACTGGATCTGGTCTAGATTTACATATCACATTTAGTTGTCATGTCTTTTGCATCTCCCTTAATCTGAAATATCCCAAGATTCTTTGTCTTTCATGACCCTTTCATTTTTGAAGAATACAATCATGTTCCTTTTTTTAAAAAATAGGGATTGTTTCTTATTTGGGGTTTGATGTTTTCTTATGATTACATTCTATTTTCAGCAAGATGACAGCACAGGTGATCAATCTGGATATACACAATGGCCTTCTGCCTTTCATTGATATTAATTTTGATCACCCAAAGTGTTACCTGATTTCTCCACTGTATAATTTTTTTTCTCTTGAAACTCATCAGCAGTTTGTAGGGGAAATCCTTCAAGATGATTCAAGTATCTGGCTCTTCATCATAATTTGGCAGTCATCAATGTTTGCAAAATGCTAATCTTTCAAGACTAGCTCATCCTACACATTTGCCGGTTGACTCTCAGCAACATACCATAAGCAAGGACTCTGCTTTCTTTCCCACTTATTTAGTTATTTATCTATTTATTATTGGTATGGACTAAGGAATTTCTATTTTTAATAGTTTATAATTCATTCAAGTACTAAATAGTTGATGATCAAATTGCTCCAGATTTGGCAAGAAGGAGCCTATTCATATGGCTCTGTCCTTTTGGTATCCATCTCTTAGTTTTTGAGCCCTAGTCTAACTTTTAAAAGAACAAAATGTTCTAGGATCATCCATACCTACCCTGCCTGAGCCCTGGAATTAGCCAAGGAGTTGGAGTCCTTTTAGTGGTGAATAGTATTAGAGACCAAAGTTTGGGACTAGGCATGCCCAACTGGAATGTCTTTGCTTCTTGATGCTTTCAGAAGACAGAGCTAGGAAATATGCACATGTATATATACAAATTCATTCAGAAACGTACAAATATGCATACATATATGCACCCACACATGCACAGACATATGCATACATTCATGCTATATATTATACATTTATATCCACACTTTAGAAATTATGAGTTCACATCAGCATGTCCAATTCCAATTCACCACCACAGAGTACTTCATTGCCTTTGCTCCTCCACATTTTTATTTCTCTTCTCAGTGGCAAGGCTGAATCCCAACAACATCAACACATGTATTTATTGGCTCATTCATTTGTTCATATATTTCTATCCAAAATTGTTTCCAAATTGATTTACTTATCATAAAATTGCTTTAATTAGAAAAAATGAGATACTTCTTCTCAAGTACAGCTTCACTCCTTTCTTACACAATAGTCTTATTTCCATAGTCATAGGAGACACAAAAAGGCTTAAATTCAATTGAGTTCCAAAACTTATACTCTTCTTCTTAACAATATTGTTGTATAATCTTAGCTCTGGAATATTTATTTTATTACCAGGGAGGGAATTGGGAATGAAGATCACTCTGTCTCCTATGCTAGGTATGAACGTTAATTTTGAAGGTGAGTTTGGAGTTGGTTTGAAAATAATGGGTTGTAGAGAAGGCTTCCTGTACCCTTCAAGAGCCCAGCAGTGAGGTCTTGAGATTGCACACACCGGTTTATAATTTTATAAGCACTTAAAATTTTTAATTTACCCATAGATTTTCCCTCTATCTAAATATTTTTTGCTTAATATTTAGATTGCCAGAGAAGCTAGAGATTTTCTCGCAGGTAAATGAGGATGGAATACTTTAAATACAAATCACCAGGCTTTTGTACCTATAAGGGGCAGTAATAATTTAATAGTATCACAAAGGAAGTTACCACGCAGTAACATTTTCTAAAGTATGATTCTTGGGATACTATAATTATGTGGCAGCATTATTATGAGTATTTGAAAATAACATTCATAGATAAGTTTGGAAAATTTGTGGTAAAATACACTAAATATTTCAAAATTTTCTCCAATAATTCTTAGGGTTTTAATTTTGATAATGTACATTGCGTATTGCCAACAGGAAATAAAATTCAGGTCTCTGCACCATATTTTAAAACTGATTACAGGCATACTTCAAAGATATTTCAGGTTCATTTCCAGACCACCACAATAATGTATTGCAATAATGAAAGTCACATGAATTTTTTGACTTCCCAGTGCATGTAATGACAACAGTGAAGTTTGCTGTACCCATTGACTTTTCTTTTAAAAACGATTTTACTGTAGCATGTGATGCTCACTGATAGCATTTTACCTACAGAACTAACTTCTTTCTTTCTTTTCTTTTCTTTTTTTTTTTTTTTTTGAGACAGAGTCTCACTCTGTGTCCCAGGCTGGAGTGAAGTGGCACAATCTCGGCTCACTCTAACCTCCGCCCCCTGGGTTCAAGCGATTCTCCTGCCTCAGCCTCCCAAGTAGCTGATATCACAGGCACCCATCACCATGTCCAGCTAATTTCTTTTTATTTTTTTGTAGAGACGGGGTTTTGCCATGATGGCCAGGCTGGTCTCGAACTCTTGACCTCAGGTGATCCACCCGCCTTGGCCTCCCAACGAAACTTCTTTCAAAATTGGAGTCAGTCCTCTCAAATGCTGCCACTGCATTATCAACTAAGTTTATGTAATATATTGTCATTTCAACAATGTTTATAGCATCTTCACCAGGGGTAGATTCTATCTCAAGAAACCACTTTCTTTGCTCATTTGTAAGAAGCACCTCCTCACCTGTTCAAGCTTTATCATTAGAGAGCAGCAACTCAGTCACATCTTTGGGCTCCACTTCTAATTGTAGTTCTCATGCTGTTTCCACCACATCAGCAGTTAATTCCACCACTGAAGTATTGAACCCCCTCAAAGTTATCCAGGAGGTTTGGAATTAACTTCTTCCAAATTCCTGTTAATAATATTTTAGCGTCTTCTTATGAATCATGAATTTTCTCAGTGGCATATAGAATGGTGAACACTTTCCAGAAGGTTTTCCATTTTCTTTGCCCAGGTCCATTACAGGAGTTACTATTCATGGCAGCTATAGACTTATAAAACGTATTTCTTAAATTCTAAGACTTGAAAGTTTAAGTAATTCCTTGATCCCTGGGCTACAGAATAAATGCTGTATTACTGGACATGAAAAAAACATTAATTTCCTTGTGCATCTCCATCAGAGCTCTTGGTTGATGAGGTACACTGTCGACAAGGAGTAATGTTTTGAAGGAATCTTTTTCTCCTAACAGTAGGCCTTAGTAGTGGGCTAAAAATATGTAGCAAATCATATTATAAACATATATGCTGTCATCCAGGCTTTGTTGTTCCATTTATAGAGCACAGGCAAAGTAGATTTAGCATACTTCTTAAGGACTCTAGAATTTTCAGAATGGTAAATAAGTACTGGCTTCAACTTAAAGTCACCAGCTACATTAGCTCCTAATAAGAGAGTCAGCCCGTCCTTTGAAGCTTTGAAGTCAGGCATTGACTTCTCCTCTCTAGCTATGGAAGTCCTAGATGGCATTTTCTTCCAATAGAAGGCTGTTTCATCTACATTAAAAACCTGCTTAGTGTAACCTCCTTCATCAATAATGTTAGCAAGATCTTCTGGATAACTTGCTGTAGCTTCTACACCAGCACTTGCTGCTTCACCTTGTACTTTTATGTTATGAAAATAGCTTCTTTCCTTAAACCAGCTTCTTTCGTTAAACCTCATGAACCAATCTGCTAGCTTCCAACTTTTCTTCTGCAGCTTCCTTACCTCTCTTAGCCTTCATAGAATTGAAGAAAGTTAGGGTCTTGCTCTCGATTGGTTTGTCTTAAGAGAATGTTACGGCTGATTTGATCTTCTACCCAGATTACTGCAACTTTCTCCATGTCAGCAATGAGGCTGCTTTGCTTTCTTATCATCCATGTATTCACTGGAGTAGCACTTCTAATTTCCTCCAAGAACTTTTTCTTTGCATTCAAAAGTTATGTTACTGTTGGGTACAAGAGACCTAACTTTCATCCTATCTTGGCTTTTGACACGCTTTCCTCAATAAGAGTAATCATTTCTAGGTTTTAATTAAAAGTGACAGAAATGCCAGTCTTCCTTTCATTTGAACGCTTAACAGGGCATTGTAAAGTTACTAATTCGTTTAATATCAGTATTTTTGTGTCCTGGGGAATAAGAAGACCCAAGGAAAGGGAGAGAGATGAGAGAATGGCTGGTTAGTGGAGCACTCAAACCACACACAGCATTTATTAAGTTAATCATCTTAATTACGGGTGTTCATGGAGCCCCAAAACAATTACTAGAGTAACATCAAAGATCAATGATCACAGATCACCATAACAGATATAATAATAACAAGTTTGAAATATTGTGAGAATTACCAAAATGTTACACAGAGATAGGAAGTGAACATGTGCTGTTGGAAAAATGGTGCCTATGGACACAATATTGTCACAAATCTTCATTTTGTAAAAAAACACGGTATCTGCAAAGCACAATAAAGTTTATCTCAAAACAAGGCATGACTATAAACACAGGTGTGACACATGTCTATGGATTATATTATGATGCAGTACTAGTAGTCAAAATAATATACTTTGGGAAATGCCAGAAAGCAATATAGGAAAAGGTTTTGTTTTATTTTTTCTGGTGGAGAAATAGGTTATAGTGCTGGTCAAACTGTCCCATTTTTGAGAATTCCTGGGATCAGGATAACATGGGCTGGTTATCTGAAGTAGCTGAAACATAGACAGGAGGTGAATCTTGTCCAAGAAAGAGGGCCAAAGCTGAAAGCCAGAGAAGCCCAATTATGTTTTGTGTCCCAGGGCGAGGGACATGAAACTGAAGGACAAAGAGTTAGTGAAAATAGGAGCAGAATGAGAAGTAAGTGGAAATTAATTGAATAGGTCATAGGCTTCAACCATAGGCAAGGAAAGAAGTAAAAAGCTCTTTATATTATGTCACAGCCACTTGGTACATGAATGGTTTGGCCTGAATTAAAAGAAAAAGATTATGAAAGTATTTCTTGATGTTCTATCAGACCAGAAGCTTTGCTCTACTGACACCAGTAGTTGTTTTCTACACACTGAAATCCAGGGTGGTAAATAAGATCTCACCCACCACAGCCTTCCACAAGCCACTCTATGGCATTAGCAGGCACCTGCAGTCTACATTGGCAATAAAACACACTTCATTAAGTTCTAGAGCGCATGGATCTGAGCTCAAGCAATAGGAATAGGAACAGATATAGCCAAAGTTACATAAACACAGAAATTGTACTTTAAAATACGAACTGCAAGCACTGCAGTCGGGGAATACAAACCCCCTGCTCCTGGTTGCGTAGGACCACAGATTACAACACAAGGGAAGCAGGACCCAGAAAGGAGCATGTCCCTTTGTCATTTGTGGTGAAACCTTATACTAGTTCTCAAGTAATGAGGGCCTGGGGTTAATAACAGAATCATTCTCTAGTCATATGAGTTTATGTTTAATTACTTAATAAAGAGTATAGAGATTGTTCTAGAGAGTGAGACCAGTCATTTTTAAGTAACTCTACCATTTTATAAGATCCAAAAACATTACCATGCCTGGTGAAGTCAAGTAAAAATTATCCACCTTCCACTGCCATTGGGAATCTAGTGACCAGAACAGAGAAGCCACACTAGCCATTTTTCTTATATACAGAAGCCTGAACAAGGTTTCCTTCTCTCTACACATCACAAGTGCTCCCTAGGCTTTTCTGAGACACCCCCTCACCTTACTGGCTACAAAAGCAGACTCCTTCTAGATTCATTCTTACAATAGTGGCACACACTGAGGCATCAAAAACCAAGTCATCTAGGAAGCGGGCAAACAAGACTTAAGACTTCTAGAAGTAACTTGTTAGTTGACTGTGTCCAACCCATGGCTATACCTTCAAAAAGCTAGAGCAATTTGCAAAAACCTGGATTAGCCTTTTAAAGTTTAAAATTGTGAAAAAGCAGGAAAAAACAAATCGTTTAAACTAGTTTCTATATATGAGTGTCTATCTACCGTGGCAGGATGGCAGGAGAGATGGAGTGGTGGAACCAGGCAGGCTGCCTTCCATTCTTGGCTGGCCTGTTTCCTAGCTGGGTGAATATGGAATATTTGCCTTTTCTGAGCCTGTGTTCCCTGTCTAGCACCACCCTACTCCTTCTCACTTAGTGTGTTCTTACTACACAGGTATTCTTTGAGTGACTTAAAGTGTGCTCTTTCCCACCCTGTGGCCTTTGCATGTTTTTTTTCTACAGGAACACATGTTTGTAGCTGGTCACATGGCTGGCCACTTCTCATCTTTCAGCTCTTACCTTTTCAAGAGGCCTCTGATCACTGATCCTAGATCATCTCCCACTATTGCCCTCTGTCACGGTACTCTTTCATATTTTCTTTGCAGGAGGTATAACAATTTATAGCAGTGTATTTATTTTGTTGATTTACTTGCTTATAGATTATCTTCCCTACTATGCTTTTAGCATCCGTGAAGGCAGGGACTTTATTGTTCACTGCTATGTACCTGTTGTCTTTGTTTTAGCTTGTTCAGGCTGCTATAACAAAATATCACACTAGTCATTTCCACAACTGGCTGGCTTATAAACAACAGAAAATTATTGCTTACAGCTCTAGAGGCTGGGGAAATCCAAGATCAAGACATCGCAGGTTCAGTGTCTGGTGAGGGCCCACTTCCTGGTTGATAGATGGCTTTCTGTTTTCTGTGTCGTCACATGGCAGAAGGGATGGGGCAGTTTTTGGGGCCTCTTTTATAAGGACACTAATCCCATTCACGAGTGCTCCACCCTCATGACTTAATCACTTCCCAAAGGTCCCACCTCCAAACACCATCACATTAGGAATCAGGTTTCAACATATGAATTTGGGGGTGGGGACATACATTCAGTCCACAGCACCTTGCATCGTTCTTGACACACATGGATGTTCAATATGTATTTGTTGAATACATGAGAATAATATGTATCTCCCAGACATGTTTTGGGAGTAAAATGAATGAAATGTATATGAAAGGTCTAACTCAATTCCTGGCCCATATCAGGCATCAGTAGGTATAGAGGCCTTTCTTCATTCTGTCTTCCCCAAGTGCAGCACTCACAGAATTAAAACTTACAAGACACTGAATTCCTAGGAATAAAATTTGAATGGAGTAGTAAAAAGATTAACTTGATGTTTAGAAGCTTCCTGAAAGAAGGAGAATATTATTTGTAAATACATATTTAAAAAAAAACTTCAAAATACTCCAATATCCAAAGTTGGTACAATTACCTTTCCCTGTTTACATTCTTATTTTTTAATGGCAGATTAGTAACAGAAAGCTAGTAATCCAGGATATATTGAGCTAAAAAAAAGTTAACCATGCTATTTGACGAGCTATGAATTGGAGCTAGACTTCTTGACCTCCAGCCTGAGCTAATTATTGTTTTTTCCAATGAATATATACAATTCGTTTTGCAAAGATTGAGTTATATTTCATCAAGGCTAAAACATATAAATTCTATCTTCTTTGCCTCCTTTCAAGAAGCTTGCTATAAAAGGGTCTCCTCTGCTTTAAGTCCCCATCAACAAAATTTCTGCCTTTAGAAAAAAGCAACCCTAAACTCATCAAATTAGGGACAAACCTATTGTTATTCTATCAGCTATAGGAATTGCAGGATTACCTATTAAACAGTACTTCCTTCCTTTGTCACTTTCCACAGATAAAGGAGAGTCATTTTATCTTAGGGAAAAAGAAATTGGTGAAAATAAACCACAATATTTGTTAATCACGTGGTCTTGAATCCTCGGGGAAAAAAGCACAGTAGTCCCCCTTATCTCTGGTTTCACTTTCAGTGGTGTCAGTTACCCACAGTCAACTGCAGTCCAAAAATGTTAAATGGAAAATCCCAGAAATAAACAATTGATAAGTTTTAAATTGTATGCTGCTCTGAGTGGCATGATGAAGTCTCATGCTGTTCTGCTCTGTCCCATCAGGGATGTGCATCATCCTTTTGTCCAGTATATCCACACTCTGTGTGCTTCCCACCCTATACAGTGTGACTGTATAGGAAAAAACATAGTTCAATACTATCCATGGTTTCAGGCATCTGCTGGGGGTCTTGGAATTAATCCCCTGTGGGTATGGGGGGGCACTACTGTAAACAACATAGAATCAGAGATTTTTCTGTTTCAAAGTGAAAATAGACCAAACAGATTATTGTACAATCCTTTAATCTACAAGTAAGGAGACTGAGGCCTCAAGAAATTTGATGAATTCCCAGGCAGAAGTGAGCAATAGACTTGAGTCCAACACTTGTCATTGAAGTTGCCACATCCACTAGTCTTCTACTTCCATGATTTCTTTTCTTCCCCTTGGCCTAGTTTTCCATTCCAATGACTTTCCCCACCCTTCTTGTCACTCAGTTTTTCTCTGGGACGAGAGTTTTCCCAGATGGCCCAGAGAGTGAAAACTAAAATAAATTAAAATCATTCTTGTAAAATTTGCTTTGTTTATTTCCATTATTGCTAATAATATGTGCTTCTTTTGTTTTTGTTTTTGTTTTTCTCACTCACTTGATGTGGAAACATTCACCCCAAAATAAATTCTCAATCAAGACTATTCTCTCAGTGTCCAGGAGTAAGCAGTCTTTAGGCACAAAGAGACAAAGAGTCTTCTCATCTCTGTCTACAGATTTCTTTTTGCCAAGGCATTAAAGTTAGTAAATAATGAGCTGGTGGTGCCTTGGGCTGCCTACTGAGCGCCCATTTCCTGGTACACATGCTTTTCCCATATTTATTCTTCAACAGAAGGTTAAACCATCCTTGGGTCGGGGGAGGGCATGCCACTGTGGCAGAGATTACTAACCCCAGTTGGCAGGTACTCATTGGGGTCCCCTGTTCTTTCCATTTATTTAGAAGGCAGAATAGGGAGCAGCAGAGACATATCCTTCAAGGAAATATGCTCAGTGATAGCATGGCAAGTTTTTCCAGCCCAGTTTCCAGAATTAGAAAAACTACTCACACACCATCCAACTGAGACAGTAGTAGATATGAAAAGGCTTCTTCAGTTAAGCAGATATATATTTAAGTCCATAAAGAACATATATACAAAGTGCCAGGCCCTGTACCAGAGACTAGAGCACCAGGGACAAACAGGACAGACAGCTTTTGATCTCTACCTGAGGGCTGCACAAAGTGCTCTGGGTCAGCACTGGGACTTAGCCATCTCCTTCTGTATTAGTCCATTTTCACACTGATGATAAAGACATACCCAAGACTGGGCAATTTACAAAAGAAAAAGGTTTAATTGGAGTTACAGTTCCATGTGGCTGGGGAAGCCTCACAATCATGGCAGAAGGCAAGGAGGAGCAAGTCACATCTTACATGGATGGCAGCAACCAAAAAGAGCTTGTGCAGGAAAACGCCCCCTTATAATAACCATCAGATCTTGTGATACTTACTGTCATGAGAACAGCATGAAAAAGAACTGCTCCCATGATTCAATTACCTCCCATCAGGTCCCTCCCACAATACGTGTGAATTCAAGATGAGATTTGAGTGGGAATACAGCCAAACCATATCTCCTTTTTTTGGAACAAGTCCTTTCCTTCAGTCAATAACTACATCCTGATTACCTACTATGCTCCAGAAACCCTATTAGGCTCTCTGCAGGGTACAAATAGCTACAGTCTTATCCTCAAACAATATTCAGAATAGCTGTGGAGCCAAGATACACAGAGTCACATGAAAAGATAAGTTAATAATGAAAGGAACTGGTACTTTCTGGCACTCTGGAATGTTCTATGTCTTGATCTAGGTGGTGCTTACACAGGTATCTACATATGTAAAAATTCAATCTACATATTTAAGATTTCTGTACATTTTAAGATTAAAAAGTAAGGCAAGGAATTATTTGTTTTACATGTATATATATCCTCATACAATTCCAAAAATGATTTGAACCTTTTTACAAAGATATGCACAATTACCAGATTGTAAAATAAATAAGGGAGAAAACTGGAGGAAAGAAAAATAAAGACAGGAAATAAAAATAAGCCAAAGTTAATGCTATTACTGCACCCAAGCACCGCCCCCCCAACCCCCGCCAAATACATGACATTAAGTGTCACTTGTTACTTGTGGTGGGCTACAATTCTGGCTCTGAGTCTATGAAAAGAGGGAGATGCCGGGCGCGGTGGCTCACACCTGTAATCCCAGCACTTTGGGAGGCCGAGGTGGGTGGATCACAAGGTCAGGAGATCGAGACCATCCTGGCTAACACAGTGAAACCCCGTCTCTACTAAAAAAAATACAAAAAATTAGCCGGGCATGGTGGTGGATGCCTGTAGTCCCAGCTACTCGGGAGGCTGAGGCAGGAGAATGGCGTGAACCTGGGAGGTGGAGCTTGCAGTGAGCCGAGATCGTGCCACTGCCCTCCAGCCTGGGCTACAGAGCGAGACTCTGTCTCAGAAAAAAAAAAGAGGGAGACATGACTCATGATGATCACAAGATAAAAACAAAATAGCAGCTCAGGAGAAGGCCACCTATTCTTGGTTTTGAGGACTGAGAGACATTTTTCCCCACGGGCCTGCATGAAAAAGACACTGTAAAATATATCAAATCATGTCCCCAATAACATCCATACAATATATTTCACAGTGCTTTTTGCTGGGTTGTTTCTCATAAAGTTTTTTTTTTTTTTTTTAATGTGGGATAGTGGTATAATAGCAGACCACAGTTCAACAAAAGCAATTATACAGGGACTAAAAGGACACAGGCCAGAATATGAAGTGTTATTTGAGTAAAATAGATATTCTCTTAGTTTCAAAGCAGGGGAGTAGAGATGCAATGTAGAGAAATTGAGAAAGCCTTCATTGAAAAGGAGATATTCAGCTGGACCTTGAACAAACATCGGAAGATATCAGATAAACTAACAGGAATGAAGAGGTCACTCAAAGAGGGACAGGTGCAACCAAGAGGTGGAAGAAAGAATATGAAAGAAAATAAGTCATCCAGGCTGGTTTATAATGAAAAAATGGGCAAGAAGACTGAGAAGGTAAGTTGAGACCAGACATTGGAGGTACCATAGGTCAGGCTAAGCAGTTAATTCATCATCTTAGAGATAAACGGTAGAGGGGAGCTGAAGTATTTCAGGCTTCTGGACAGAATAGTATTATGATAAAAGCTATTAATATTTAGGAAGATTCCTCTGACTGTCTTTGGCCAAATAAATTAGAAAAGCAAGTTTTGGGGGGGGTGGGGTGCAAAACAAAAAAGAAAAATTAGAAAAGCAAGAAGGACCCAAGTTAGAAAGCTCTTCCCTAAATTCTCTAGACAATGCCTCTGTGATAGAACTTAGAGGTATCCTATATTTACCTGCACACAGGTTAAGACTGGCTGAAGGTAATTGTTTCTAAGGCCACAATGAAGCCACACCCATAACCACCAGTTAGTTGCCTCTCCTGAGCCATGGTTTAAATTTAGGCTGTGGTTTGAAACAACAACAAAAAACAGCTAAAGAAACCAAGGAGGAAGTTTTGGATCTTTCTCAAAGCAACATGGAAAAGAAGGGAGAGATGGAAAACAAAATATTTTGGAAGGGAGTGGAAAAGATGACCTACTCATGGCACTAAAGGCATACAGGGCAAAGGAATGTGTATGTCTAGAACCAAAGAGCAGGGCTGCTTCTCTGGCGTCTCCAGGGGAAAGGAAAGATGTTATGCAAACCTGTATGAAAGGGGAATCACTTCCTCACATGGCTCAGGCTGTTGTTTACCAGAGTAACATTCGGGCTCCAACTGTCCTTTCTTATAGAGAAAGGCTGTCTCCTGCTGTTTGTGGATCCAAGGCCTGCTGAAAGCTGTTTAGAAGTGCATACCACTCCATGTGCAGCTCCTTCATTCCTTTGCTGTGTTTGCATGCCTCACCGAGCATATTCACTGTCCTATGCCTTGCACAAAACCCTCACGTTCCTTTTTGGAATGCCTCTGTGTCTCTGTGTGTACTTGAATCTCCAGGCCAATGAACATGAGCTTCCTCCTTCTCAGCACCTGAGGAAAGTTTAAACAAATGTAAAGGCATAAAAACCTTTCTTCTGTCCTGATCTAGTTGACTAATAATGTATATATTGTTTTCTGTTTTTGAAAAAACAAGAAAAAAAAAATCTCTCCCTGCCTTTGGAAAAAAGCATGACAAGAGGCTCCACCTGCTGGCCTAGGGGCTTCCAGAAGTTTCAGACCTATTATCTCAGATTGGAAATAACATCCATTCCTACTCTTCCCATTGGTAGTTTTGAAATATAGTGCCATGTCATAGTGTCCATGGACATCACTTGGTTTATGCAGTTCTCCAGCTATTCAAACAGTCTGTAAGCCAAATACTTCTGGTGCCATGAAAAGAGCATTAGACTAAGAGTCAAAAACTCTACAACTCCACCACTTACTATGACAATGACATTGGGAAAATGCTTTTCTCTAATTTTTCAGGTTTTTTTCAACTGTACAACGGGAATTACAAGCCTTTTCCTCTCCATCTTACAGGTTGGTGTTGAGAATCAAATTGAGAACATTAAGGACATGAACAACTTTGTAACTGAAACACCCTGTAGGAACAAACAAGAGCCATGGCTTTTAGCCTAGTGGAGCTTTGCTGTGAAGAACTTTAGGAAATCTCTTCTTGAAAGAAACTTTTCATGTTAGGGTAATTTCTACAAGGTCTTGGATCTTTGCTGACAGAAGGAAATTCTTCAAGTTGCATCCTTAATGTGATTTGCTCTCAATTCATCCTTAGATTGTGATGTTCCTCTACCTCTCCCAGTGTGGGAGTTGGTGGGGATGAAGAAGCCAGGAACTTTGGTAATAAATCAACCCAGAGGGCAGTTCTCCCTCTAAACTTCACATCTCACGTAAGGTAAATGATGAAAAAAAGCCCTTTCGCTTACTTTTGTAATTGGCCCTTTTCCATCCTACTAGCCACATAAATAAGTGGACTGGAAGGGCACCTAGAGATAACATAAAGCAATTCTCACACATGAAGGGCATGGTCTGAGCCTAAGGGACTCATGCAAAGTTAGCCAGCTAGCCAACTGGGCTTACACAGTTTTCAAGCTCACAGATGTCTAGGTCTAAACTTAGCAGAACTTATGAGACTCTGAGTAGCTCTGAGATCGTTACTCACCTTCCTATGACTTTGTTTACTCATTTAAAAATAGATATGGAAAATGATCCTACCTCAAAGGGCCCTAGGGTAGTGTGGGCACAAAAAGTACCTTGCCAAGTTATGACTCTTTATAAATGCGTTTAATTATTATCATTTAATTAGAATTTAGAAGTCTGTATTAAAGCCTAAGTTTTAGGATAGTTTTACATAAATGCAATTAGCTTATTTATATGCATTATGTAAAAAATATATTCATATATATTATAAATACCATATATTATAGAACATATGATATAGATAACATAATATATAACCCATATATATCATATTATAAATATATGTTATATAATATATAATGCATATAATTGTATGCACGTGTATTATAAAATTTTATAGACACTGAAGATATGATTACTATTATGAATATTCTGCTAAAAATTTGAAATAGGAAGCATCTAAATTATTTAAACATTTTAATTAATAAATTTCATTTTGTAGAGCAGTTTTAGGTTCACAGCAAAATTGAGCACAAAGTACAGGGTTTGCATTTACCCTGTCTCCACACTCACACAACTTCCCCTACTGTTACTCTCCTCATAGCACCATCATAATACATTTGTTATGATTGATGAGCCTACATTGACTCATCATCACCCAAAGTCCATGGTTTATATTAGAATTCACTGTTGGTATTGCTCATTCTGTGGGTTTTTGACAACTGTAGAATGACATGTATCTACCATTTTAGTAGCATATCGGATAGTTTCATTGTCCTAAAAATCTGCTGTGCTCTGCCTATTTATCTCTTCCTTCCTCCTAACCTGTGACAACTGCTGATCTTGTTACTGTTTCCAAAGTTTTGCTCTTTCCAAAATTTCATATAGTTGGAATCATACAGTATATGGTCTTTCCAGATTAGTTTCTTTCACTTAGTAATAATCATTTAAGTTTTCTCCATGTCTTTTCAAGGCTTGAAAACTCAATCTTTTTGGTGCATAATATGTCATTGTCTAGATGTACCATCATTTATTGATCTACTCACATACTAAAGGACATCTTGGTTGCTTCCAGCTTTTGACAATTATGAATAAATCTGTTATAATCATCTTGTGCAGGTTTTTGTATGGACAAATCTTTAATTGATTTGGATAAATATCAAGGAGCAAAATTGCTGCATCATGTGGTAAAAGCATGTTTAGTTCTGTAAAATACTGCCAAACTCTCTTTCTAGGTAGCTGTACCATTTTGCATTCCCACCATCAATGAATGCACATTCCTGTTGCTCCACATCTTCACCAGCATTTGATGTTGTCAGTGTTTTGAATTTTGGCCATTCTATTGGGTGTGTATCTCATTGATGTTTTAATCTGCAATTCTCTAATAATAAATGATATTAAGCATCTTTTCACATGCTTACTTACCATCTGTATATCTTCTTCCGTGAGGTGGCTTTTCAGGTCTTTTGCCCATTTTTATTTGGGTTGCTTACTTTCTTATTGTTGAGTTTTAAGAGTTCTTTGTGTATTTTGGATAATAGTCCTTTATCAGAAATGTCTTTTGCAAATATTTCCTTCCAGTCTGTGGCTTGTCTTCTCATGCTCCTGACATTGAGTTTCACAGATCAGAAATTTCCATTTTAATGAAGTCCATATTATCAATTCTTTCTTTTTTTAATTTAATTTTTAAGTTCAGGGGTACATGTATAAGTTTGTGCAGGTACATGTGCAAGTTTGTTTGACTTGTGTCATGGGTTTTTTTTTTGTACAGATTATTTTGTCATGGAGGTATTAAGCCTAGTACCCATTAGTTATTTTTCCTGAACTTTTCCCTTCTCCCGTCCTCCTCCCTCCAATAGGCCCCAGTATGTGTTGTTCCCCTCTAAGTGTCCACGTGTTCTCATCATTTAGCCCCCACTTATATGTAAGAACACCATGGTATTTGGTTTTCTGTTGCTGCATCAGTTTCATAAGGATAATAGCCTCCAACTTCATCAGTGTTTCTGTAAAAAACATAATGTTCTTTTTATGGCTGCATAGTATTCCATGGTGTATATGTACCATATGTTCTTTATCCAGTCTGCCATTGATAGGCATTTAGGTTGATTCCATGTCTTTGGTATTGTGAATAGTGCTGCAATGAACATACACATTCATGGGTCTTTATAATATAATAATTTGTTTTGGGGTGGGTATGTGACCAGTAATAGGATTACCAAGTCAAATGGTATTTCTGAGGAATTGCCACAGTGCTTTCCACAATAGTTGCAGTAATTTACACTTTCACCAACAGTGTATAAGTGTTCCTTTTTCTCTACAACTTCACCAGCATCTGTTATTTTTTACTTTTTAATAATAGTCATTTTGACTGGTGTGAGATGGTTATCTCATTGTGGTTTCAATTTGCATTTCTCTAATGATCAGTGATGTTGAGCTATGTTCCATATGATCACTGGTCACATGTATATATTCTTTTGAAAAGTGTCTATGTCCTTTGCCTGCTTTTTAATAAAGTTGTTTTTTTCTTGTAAATTTATTTAAGTTCCTTATATATTACTGGATATGAGACCTTGTCAGATGCATAGTTTGCAAAAGTTTTCTCCTATTCTGTAGGTTGTCTATTCACTCTGTTGATAGTTTTATTTGCTGTGCAGAAGCTCTTTCATTAAATTAGATCCCATTTGTCATTTTTTTCTTTTGTTGCAATTGCTTTTGGTATCTTTGTCATGAAGCGTTTGCCCATTACTATGTCTAGAATGGTATTGTCCAGGTTGTCTTCCAGGGTTTTTATAGTTTTGGGTTTTACATTTAAGCCTTTAATCCATTTTGAGTTGATTTTTGTATATGGTATAAGGAAGGGGTCCAGCTTCAAACTTCCACATATGGCTAGCTAGTTATCCAGGTGCCATTTATTGAATAGGGAGTCTTTTCCCCATTGCTTGTTTTTCTCAGCATTGTTCAAGACCAGGTGGTTGTAGGTATGTGGCCTTAATTCTGGGCTCTCTATTCTGACTATTGCCGTTGATTTATGTGCCGTTTTTGTACCAGTACAATGCTGTTTTGGTTGCTGTAGCTCTGTATTATAGTTTGAAGTTAGGTAACATGATACCTCCAGCTTTGTTTTTTGCTTAGCAGTGCCTTGGCTATTTAGGCTCTTTTTTGGATCCCTATGAATTTTAAAGTAGTTTTTTTTTAGTTCTGTAAAGAATGTCATTGGTAGTTTGATAGGAACAGCATTGAATCTATAAATTGCTTTGGGCAGTATCATCATTCCAATAATATTGTTTCTTCCTATCCATGATCATGGAAGGTTTTTCCATTTGTTTATGTCATTGCTGATTTCTTTGAGCAATGTTTTGTAGTTCTCATTGTAGCAATCTTTCACCTCCCTGGTTAGCTGTATTCCTAGGTGTTTTATTTTTAGGGGGGTGGGGGGCAATTGTGGATGGGATTGCATTCCTAATATGGCTCTCATCTTGACTATTGTTGGTGTATAGGAATGCCAGTGATACGTTGATTTTGTATCCTAAGACTTTGCTGAAGTTGTTTATCAGCTTAAGGGGCTTTTGGACTGAGACTATGGGGTTTTCTAGATATAGAATCATGTCCTCTGGAAACAGGGATAATTTGACTTCCCCTCTTCTTAATTGGATGCCCTTTATTTCTTTCTCTTGCCTGATTGCCCTGGCCAGGACTTCCAATACTGTGTTGAATAGGAGTGGTGAGAGAAAGCATCCTTGCCTTGTGCCGGTTTTCAAGGGGAATGCCTCCAGCTTTTGCCCATTCATTACGATGTTGGCTGTGGGTTTCCCTTAGATGGCTCTTATTATTTTGAGGTGTGTTTCCTCGATATCTAGTTTATGGAGAGTTTTTAACATGAAGGGGTGTTGAATTTTATTGAAAGCTTTTTCTGCATATATTGAGATAATCATATGGTTTTTGTCTTCAGTTCTGGTTATGTGAAGAATCATGTTTATTGATTTATGTTTGTTGAACCAACCTTGAATCCCAGGGATAAAGTTTACCTGATTTAGTGGATAAGCTTTTTGGTGTGTTGCTGGATTCAGTTTGCTAGCATTTTGTGGAGGATTTTTTCACTGATGTTCATGAATGATATTGGGATTTGTTGTTGTTGTTATATCTCTGCTAGGTTTTGGCATTAAGATGATGCTGGCCTCATAAAATGGGTTAGGGAGGAGTCCTTCCTCATTAATGTTTTGGAATAGTTTCAGTAGAAATTGTCCCGGCTCTCCTTTGTACATCTGGTAGAGTTCAGCTGTAAATGCATCTGGTGCTGGTACTGGACTTTTTGGTTGGTAGGCTATTTATTACTGAATCAATTTCAGAGTTTGTTATTGGTCTGATCAGGGATTAAATTTCTTCCTGGTTCAGTCTTGGGCAGGTGTATGTGCCCAGGAACTTACCCATTTCTTCTAGATTTTCTAGTTCATGTGTGTAGAGGTATTCATAATATTCTCTTAGGTTATTTGTATTTCTGTGGGGTCAGTGGTAATATCCCCCTTGTCATTTCTGATTGTGTTTATTTGGATCTTCTCTTTCCTTCTTTATTAGCTAGCAATCTATCTATCTATCTATCTATCTATCTATCTATCTATCTATCTATCTATTCCCAAACAACAGCTAGCAATCTATGTATTTTATTTTATTTTTTTTCCAAAAAAAAAAGCTCCTGGATTCATTGATCTTTTGAGCGGTATTTTTGTGTCTCAATTTCCTTCAGTTCAGCTCTCATTTTGGTTATTTCTTGTCTTCTGGTAGTTTTGAGATTGGTTTGCTCTTGGTTCTGTAGTTCTTTTAATTGAGATGTTAGGTTATTAATTTGATATCTTTCTAACTTTTTGATGTGGGCATTTAGTGCTAGAAATTTTCCTCTTAACACTGCCTTAGCTGTGTCCCAGAAATTCTGGTATGTTTTGTCTTTGTTCTCATTAGTTTCAACTAACTTCTTGATTTCAGCTATAATTTCATTATTTCCCTAAAAGTCAATGAGGAGCAGATTATTCCATTTCCATGTAATTGTATTGGTTTGAGTGAATTTCTTAGTCTCAGTTTCTAATTTAATTGCGCTGTGGTCTGAAAGATTTTTTTGTTATGATTTCAGATCTTTTGTATTTGCTGAGAAGTGTTTTACTTCAGATTATGTGATTAATTTTAGAATATGTGCCATAAGGTGATGACAAGAACGTACATTCTGCTATTCTTGGGTCAGTAGTTCTGTAGATGTCTGTCAGGTCTACTTGATCTAGTGTTGAGTTCAGGTCCTGAATATCTTAATTTTCTGTCTCAATGATCTGTCTGAAGTCGTCAATGGGGTGTTAAAGTCTTCCCACTATTTTTGTGTGGGAGTTAAGATTCTTTGAAAGTCTCCAAGAACTTGCTTTATGAATCTGGGTGCTCCTGTGTTGTATGCACATATATTTAGAGTAGTTAAATCTTGTTGAAATGAACCCTTTACCATTATGTAATGCCCCTCTTTTTTTTTAATCTTTGTTGGTTTAAAAATCTGTTTTGATTGAACCTAGGATTACAACCTCTGCTTTTTACTGTTTTCCATTTGCTTGTTATATTTTTCTCCACCTCTTGATTCTGAGCCTAGGTGTGTCATTGTACATAAGATGGGTCTCTTGGAGACAGCATTCCAATGGGCCTTGGTTCTTTATCCAGCTTGCCAATCTGTGCCTTTTAATTGGGGCAGTTAGCCCATTTACATTCAAGGTTAGTATTGATATGTGTGGATTTGATCCTATCAATCATCTTGATGTTAGATGATTATTTCGCAGACTTGTTTATGTGGTTGTAAAGTGTCATTGTTCTGTGTACTTCAGTGTGTTTTTGTAGTGACTGGTAACGATCTTTCCTTTCCATGTTTAGTGCTTCCTTCTGGAGCCCTTATAAGGCAGGTCTGGTGGTAACAAATTCTCTCAGCATTTGCTTGTCTAAAAAGGATCTTATTTCCTCTTCATTTATGAAGTTTAGTTTTTCCAGATATGAAATTCTGAATTCTAATTTCTTTTCTTTAAGAATGTTGAATATTGGCCCCCAGTCTTTTCTGGCTTGTAGGATTTCTGCTGAGAGGTCCACTGTTAAGTCTGATAGGCTTCCCTTTTTAGGTGACCTGACCTTTCTTTCTAGCTACATTTAACATTTTTTCTTTCATTTCGATCTTGGAGAATCTGATGATTATGTGTCTTGGCGATGATCTTCTTGTGAAGTTTCTTACTGGGGGGTCTCTGCACTTTCTGAATGTTGGCCTCTCTAGCTAGGTTGGAGAACTTCTCATGGATGATACCCTCAAGTTGAGTCCATTTTCCTCGTCTCTTTTAGGGACACCAGTGAGTTGTAGATTGGTCTCTTTATATAATCCCATATTTCTCAGAGGTTTTGTTCATTCCTTTTCATTCATTTTTTTCTATTCTTGCCTAACTTATTTCAGAAAGTTGGTTTTCCAGCTCAAAATCCTTTTCTCTGCTTGGTCTATTCTGCTATTAATAATTTTAATTGCATTATGAAATTCTATTAGTGTGTTTTTCAGCTCTATCAGGCCAGTTATGCTCTTTTCTATACTTGCTAAATTTTTCTGTCAGGTACTGCATTGTTTTATCATCATTTTTAGCTACCTTGGATTGGGTTTCAATGTACTCCTGTAGCTTAATGATCTTCATTTTTATCTATATTCTGAATTCTATTTCTGTCATTTCAGCCATCTCAACCTGGTTCAGAACCCTTGCTAAAGAAATGATGTGGTCGTTTGGAGGAAATAAGGCATTCTGGATTTTTGAGTTGTCAGGGTTCATGTGCTGGTTCTTTCCCACCTTTGTGGGCTTATCTACCTTCAATCTTTGAGGTTGCTGACCTTTGGATGAATATTTTTTTCTTTTTTCCTATTTGAAGATCTTTAGGGTTTGATTGTGGAATAAGGTGGATTCAGCTGACTGGCTTCATTTCTGAAGGATTTTAAGGCGGGGGGCAATGCCCAGCTCCCAATTCCTGAACTGTGTGCTCTAACTGCAGAGGACTTATACTGGGTCCTGACATTATTTCCTGGCTCCTCTAGGTTAGGAATTTACTGTGCTGATAGAGGCCGAGGTGTTTCCAGACTGCTGGTCACTACACTCTGATGGTTGATGTCAGCCAAAGCATTTTGTAGTGCGATGACTATAGGATCCATCTTTGTTGGCATGTGCCTGCGGCAGTTGCAGCAAGGTGCTAGTGGGTGCCAGGCTGCCTTCCTTCCTATGGGCATTCACCACAGTGGTGGAGGCAACACAGCTCGGGGGAGGGCAGGGAGACTTGCTGGCAACTGTGTGTGCAGTGGTGCTGGTGGTAGTGTTTGCCAAGGGGTGGAGCACTGGTGGGCAGAGATTTGGTTGCCTTCTCTGTGCTGTGCAAGCAGGAGTGGTTGCTCAGGTTTGGGGAGGATCTGCTACTCTCTGTGCCTAGATTCACTCCCATGGCAGTGTGAGCACAAGGGCAGGATGCTGGTGGGGATGGGGCTGCCTGGCTGTATCCCAGCCAAGGCTCCGTCTGCAATGGTGGTGTGCAGGGGAGGGGAACAGATGAACTGCACTCCTGCACGCTGGAAGGGCAAGGAAAGCAAAACCTGTCCATGTGACCATGTGCTAGCAAAATGATGTGGGGAGATGCCATGGGCCTGGGGGAAGCTGCAGTGCAGGGAAGAATTACGCAGGCTGGTGTGTAGCCACAGGGGCCACCTTGCTGGAGCTCTGTGCTGGTCAGGCATAGTCAACCAATTCAGTTGCTATGATGTGGCACCCGGGGTTGTCCTGCAAACACATGTGGCCTGGCTGGAACCCCAGGAGAGGCCACCAGACCAAGTAGTGCTCAGGTCAGACCAACCCCATCTGATGGACAAGACTGCCCTGCAGAGGGTCCAACAGTTCACCTAGGGCTAAAGTCACTTATGGGAGCAAGTCAAGCCTAAGGGGACAGCCTTCCCTGGCTGTGCTCCACTACAGATGGTCCCACACCAAACCCTCTGGGCTACACATCAGCTGGTTTACTGCTCCTACCACATGTCTAATCTGCTTTCCCTGCCAACTCAAGTGTCCATGGTGGTTGAGGGGTCTCTTCCTGCTGGGGATCTAGAGGCCCGTGGCACTAGTGGGTTGCTCCTTGCCTGGTCAACTCAGTCATTCCCCTGGAGTGGTTGGGAATCAGGAAAAAATTTGGTTGCACAGTAACCTGTAGCCCTGTGTATGGTTCCCACCTTCTTCCCCCTTCAGCTCAGCTTCCATATCTTCCCTCTATCCACTCTTGTTGCTTTCCCTCTGAAGATCTGTTAGGAGCATGGCAGTCATCTTGGTCTCTGTGGGAGCTATTCCACCTCACTGCATCTAGTCCATCATCTTTCCTTCCACCCCCTCAATTATTTCTTCCATGTATTGCTCATTGAGTGTTGTATCTAAAAAGCCATTGCCATAATGAAGTCATCAAGATTTTCTTCCATATATCTTTTAGGAGTCCTATAGTTTTGCATTATTAGATCTGTGATCTATTTTTAGTTAATTTTTGTGCAGGATGTGAGGCCTATTTCTAGATTATTATTTTTTGCATGAGGATGTCCAATTGTTCCAGCAGCATTTGTTGAAAAAATTATCTTTGCTCCAGTATATTGCTTTTGTTTCTTTGACAAGGATCATTGATTATATTTATGCAGGTCTATTTCTGGGCTCTCTATTCTATTCCATTAATCTGTTTGTCTTCTGTTGCCAATACCATACTGTCTCAATTCCTGCAGCTTTGTAGTAAGTCTTGAGGTCAGATAGTGTCAGTCCTCTTACTTTGTTCTTCTTCAATACTAAGTTGGCTACTCTGAGTCTTTTGCCTATCCATATAAACTTTAGAATCGGTATGTCAAAACTCACAGAATAACTTGCTCATTTTTACTGAGATTGCACTGAATCTATAGATCAAGTGGGGAAGAATTCTTGACAATATTGACCCTTCCTATCTATGAACATAGAGTACATTTCCATTCATTTAATTCTTCCTTGATACCTTGCATTAGAGTTTTACACTTTTTCTCATATAGATATTATACATATTTTGTTAAATTTATACCTGCATATTTCATTTGTTTAGTGTTAATATAAATAGCTTTTTGTCTTTTATTCAAATTCCACTTGTTTATATCTGGTGTATAGGAAAGCAATGAAATTTTGTGTATTAATCTTATATTCTGTGACCTTTCCATAATTGCTTATTAGTTCCAGAAAGTTTTTTATTTTTTCTGATTTTCTTTTTTTTTTTTATTATACTTTAAGTTTTAGGGTACATGTGCACAACATGCAGGTTAGTTACATATGTATACATGTGCCATGTTGGTGTGCTGCACCCATTAACTTGTCATTTAACATTAGGTATATCTCCAAATGCTATCCACCTGCTCCCCCTACCCCGCAACAGGCCACGGTGTGTGATGTTCACCTTCCTGCATCCATGTGTTCTCATTGTTCAGTTCCCACCTATGAGTGAGAACATGCAGTGTTTGGTTTTATGTCCTTGCGATAGTTTGCTGAGAATGATGGTTTCCAGCTTCCTCCATGTCCCTACAAAGGACATGAACTCATCATTTTTTATGGCTGCATAGTATTCCATGGTGTATATGTGCCACATTTTCTTAATCCAGTCTATCATTGTTGGACATTTGGGTTGATTCCAAGTCTTTGCTATTGTGAATAGTGCCGCAATAAACATACGTGTGCATGTGTCTTTATAGCAGCATGATTTATAGTCCTTTGGGTATATACCCAGTAACGGGGATACAAAATCAATGTGCAAAAATCACAAGCATTCTTATACACCAGTAACAGACAAACAGAGAGCCAAATCATGAGTAAACTCCCATTCACAATTGCTTCAAAGAGAATAAAATACCTAGGAATCCAACCTACAAGGGATGTGAAGGAGCTCTTCAAGGAGAACTACAAACCACTGCTCAAGGAAATAAAAGAGGATACAAACAAATGGAAGAACATTCCATGCTCATGGGTAGGAAGAATCAATATCGTGAAAATGGCCATACTGCCCAAGGTAATTTATAGATTTATTGCCATCCCCATCAAGCTACCAATGACTTTCTTCACAGAATTGGAAAAAACTACTTTAAAGTTCATATGGAACCAAAAAAGAGCCTTCATTGCCAAGTCAATCCTAAGCCAAAAGAACAAAGCTGGAGGCATCATGCTACCTGACTTCAAACTATACTACAAGGCAACAGTAACAAAAACAGCATGGTACTGGTACCAAAGCAGAGATATAGACCAATGGAACAGAACAGAGTCCTCAGAAATAATGCCACATATCTACAACCATCTGATCTTTGACAAACCTGACAAAAACAAGCAATGGGGAAAGGATTCTCTACTTAATAAATGGTGCTGGGAAAACTGGCTAGCCATATGTAGAAAGCTGAAACTGGATCCCTTCCTTACACCTTATACAAAAATTAATTCAAGATGGATTAAAGACTTAAATGTTACACCTAAAACCATAAAAACCCTAGAAGAAACCCTAGGCAATACCATTCAGGACATAGGCATAGGCAAGGACTTCATGTCTAAAACACCAAAAGCAATGGCAACAAAAGCCAAAATTGACAAATGAGATCTAATTAAACTAAAGAGCTTCTGCACAGCAAAAGAAACTACCATCAGAGTGAACAGGCAACCTACAGAATGGGAGAAAATTTTTGCAATCTACTCATCTGGCAAAGGGCTAATATCCAGAATCTACAATGAACTCCAACAAATCTATAAGAAAAAACAACCCCATCAAAAAGTGGGCGAAGGATATGAACAGACACTTCTCAAAAGAAGACATTTATGCAGCCAAAAGACACATGAAAAAATGCTCATCATCACTGGCCATCAGAGAAATGCAAATCAAAACCACAATGAGATACCATCTCACACCAGTTAGAATGGCGATCATTAAAAAGTCAGGAAACAACAGGTGCTAGAGAGGATGTGGAGAAATAGGAACACTTTTACACTGTTGGTGGGACTGTAAACTAGTTCAACCATTGTGGAAGTCAGTGTGGCGATTCCTCAGGGATCTAGAACTATTTCTTCAGATTTTCTAAATAGACAATCATGTAATCTGCAAGCACAATTTTATTTCTACTTTCCCAATCTGTATACTTTTTTATTTTCTTTCTTTGTCTTATTGCATTAGCTAAGATTTCCAATATGAGGTTGAAAAGCAGTGGTGAAAGGGACATCCCTGCCTTGTTTCTCATCTTAGCTTCAAGTTTCTCACCATTAAGTATAATGTAGGATTTTTGTACATGCTCTTTATCAAGCTGAGACAGTTTCCCTCTATTCTTAGTTTGCTGAGAGGTTTTTTTTTTTTTAATCATGAAAGGACATTGGAATTTATCAAATGCTTTATCTGCATCTATTGATATGATTAGGTAATTTGTTTTCTTATACTTGTTGATGTGATGAATTACATTATTTGATTTTTGAACATTGAACCAGCCTTGCATACCTGGAATAAATTGCAATGGATTATGATGTGTAATTCTTTTTTTATATTGTTGAATTCAATTTGTTAATATTTTGTCGGAGAATTTTGCAGCTACATTCATAAGGAATATTGGTCTAAAGATAGTTTCTTTTTTTTTCTTGAAATGTCTTTGGTTTTAGTATTAGGTTAAGCCTGGCCTCATAAAATGAGCTAAGAAGTATTTCCTCTGGTTCTATCATCTGGAAAAAATTGTGAAGAACTAATAAAATTTCTCTCTTAAACGCTGGTATAATTCACTAGTGAACCCATCTGGGCCTGATGCTTTCTCTTTGGAGAGGTTATTAGTTATTGAGTGTATTTCTTCATTGGGCCTATTGGCATTATTTCTTCTTCTTTGAATTGTGGCAGATTGTGAGTTTCAAGGAATTGGTTTATTTTATCTAGATTATCAAATGTGTGAGCATAGAGTTATTTAGAGTATTTTTAAATTATCCTTTTAATGTCCATGAGATCTGTAGTGATGTCTTCTCTTTCATTTCTGATATTAGTAATTTGTATCTTCTTTCTTGTTTTCTTAGTTAGCCTGGCTAGAGGCTTATAACTTTTATTGATCTTTTCAAATAATCAGCTTTTAATTTTGTTGATTTTCTCTACTGATATCCTGTTGTCAAGTTCCTTAATTTTTGCTCTAATTTTAATTATTTTTTTACTTCTGCTTACTTTTGATTTGATTTGAACTTCTTTTTCTAGTTTCCTGCTTAGATGATTTATTTTAGATTTTTTCTCTTCTAATATAGGCATTCAATCCTATAAATTTCCCTCTAAGCACTGCTTTTTGCGTATCCCACAAATTTTGGTAAGTTGTATTTTCATTTAGTTCAAAATAGTTTTTAATTTCTCTTGAGCTTTCTTCTTTAGATCATGTGTTATTTAGAAGTATGTTATTCAATCTCCAAGCATTTGCGGATTTTCTCTTTTGTTATAATGTCTAGCTCTATTGTATTGTGATCTGACAGCAGACAATGTACAATTTTTATTTTTTAAAATTTGTTAAGATGGTTTTATGGCCCAGAATGTGGTCT
The DNA here is from genome assembly GCF_000001405.40 of Homo sapiens. Taxonomy (NCBI): domain Eukaryota; kingdom Metazoa; phylum Chordata; class Mammalia; order Primates; family Hominidae; genus Homo; species Homo sapiens. The sequence continues at coordinate 13,702,734 of NC_000009.12, forward strand.
GTCTTGGTGAATGCTCCATGTGAGTTTGAGAAGAATGTGTAATCTGGTGTTTTTGGATAAACAAGTCTGTAGATGTCAACTATATCCAGTTGATTGATAGTGCCATTTAATTCATCTAGGTCATTACTAATTTTATGCCTGCTGGATCTGCTCATTTCTGATAGAGGGCTGCTAAAATCTTCAACTGTAATAGTAGACTCATCTATTTCTCTTTGCAATTCTGTCAGGTTTTGCCTCATATAGGTTGACTCTTTCTTATTGGGCACATACACTTTAAGCATTGTTATGTCTTCTGGAATGTTGATCCCTTTGTCAGTGTGTAATGCTCCTCTTTATTTGTGATGACTTTCCTTGCTCTTAAGTTTGCCCTATGTGAAATTAATATAGCCACTCCTACTTTCTTTTCATTAGTGTTAATACAGTATATCTTTCCCTATCCATTTATTTTAATTTGTATGTCTTCATACTTAAAGTAGGTTTCTAATTAGACAACATATAGTTGGGTCATGTTTTTGATCCACTCTGACAATCTCTGTCTTCTGTTTGTTGTATTTAGGCTGCTGACATTTAAAGTGATTATCAATATATTTGAATTAATATCTATATTATCTGTTACTGTGTTCTAATGGTTGCCATTATTCTTTATTACTGTTTTTGTCTTCCACAATTTTTTCCCTTTTATGGCTTTCACTGAGCGTTTTGTATGATTCAAGTTTTTTTCCTTTTTTAACATACCAATTATGCTTCGTTTTAAATTTTTTTAGTGGTTGCCCTAGAATTTACAATATATATTTATAGCTAATCCAAGTCCACTTTCAAATAGCTCTATACTACTTCATAGAGAGTACAATTATTGAATTTTTACCATATTTTACCATGAATCTCTATCTCTTCTCCTTTGTGTTTTTATTGGACATCTTATTTTTCAAATGATTTAAGTTTTTAGATAATTCATGTAAGTTTTTAGATAATGCTATAAGATATAGAAACTGTAAAAAGATGATGCTTTTAAAATGCCACATAAAATGTGTGGATCCTACCACAGCTCATGCAAAGCCTACCTGAACTCTTCTCTATTATTGTAGGCGAGTCTTCCACATTGAAGGTCCTGCAATGAACAGTCCTCACCCAGATACTTTCATCTCTCTTTGGGCCTCACATGTCTCCATGGATTTTCATAGAGAATAAAAATTACCTCTCTATGATCACTATCCTTCAGCCAATACTGGGACAGGACTAAGTTGTCTTTGAAGCCTTCTTATCCCCCAGACCCCTTTCCTCTCTTCTAGTCTCTCATTCTAACCCCTAGCTATCAATGTCTCTTTTGAGGAGTTCATCCTATAGAAAGGATTCTTATACTCATTAGATTGTTAACTGTCCCTTGCTAAAGTGGTAACTGAAACATGCAGTATGGTATTGATGAGAAAAGTTGTAGATTTGAACCCAACTTTGCCTCTTATTGGAAACTTACTAAGCTCTGTTCCCTAAATTTCTCATTTATAAAATAAAGTTCATGATAGGACCTTGTAAGTGTATTATAATTAAATATTAACATCAATTTAATGCTCATAATTTAGCCAACTTAAGTTTGGATCACAGCTCCACCTTGGGCTCATAACTTAGACTGTCTGAGTATCAGTTTATCTTCAGCAGAATGGAGATAACAGTATCTATTTTTTAGTAATGTTGTTTTGATGACATAAGATAGCAGTGTAAAATGCCTTGATCATAGCTAACTCTGAAGGAATGTTAACTTCTTTGCCCATCCCTGTTAATTACAGGTTTTTCCAAAATAATGCAGTAGGGCGTATGCCTTTCGGAAACTATATTGCCTTTTAGAGGGCAATTTCAATGGACAACAACTTTTAGACCCAAGGAATTTACTGTAATGGTTGAATAGCAGGCAATGAAGACTAAATTTTGGGATAGAGAGCTATGCTCCTATAATCACAATCTACAAGTAGATATTTCTCTAATGCTAAAATGTTGCCTTACTTTCCACATATTTCCAGAAGCCCTGATCTCTACATTTCTGAATCTAAAAAGATCCATGATTCATCATGTCTAGAAATGGCTGGTCAAATATTCCTCACTCATCACAGACTACTGTAACTCTTTAAAAGGAATATTAACAATGATGGCTCCTCCCTCTCTCTTCCAATTGTGACCATTTCCACCTCATACTGCAGCACTTTCATACTACATTGTAATTAGTATTTGATCTATCTGTGCTACCTGTCTACTTTGAGGTCTTTGCCAGTCTATTCACCCTTGTGTCTCTAGCACCAATCACAGTTTCCAGCATAAAATATGTATTCTATTAATATTTATTAAATGAATAATACATCTGATGAGCACTAAACTTGGTTAAGCACAATGCTTGATTTAATCACACAATAATATTTTGAAATAGGTATTATTATCCTTCCTAATTTAGAGACCACAGCACTAAGTCTCAGAGGACTGCTGCCTTTGCAAGTTGATCTGTCACAGGTGGCAAAGATGGGATTTTAAGTCAGGTTTGTTTGGCTCAGTGATGTGCTAATAAAGGTTTAACAACCAGCTTTCCAGGAATCAAAAGCCCTTCTTTGTAGCATGTGCCAATAACTATGGTGTAAATTTTAAGCTACCAAGGTAACATCGGTGGGTTTGCAACATTCCTGAAATTTAACATTTGGCTACAAACTGACTTCATAATACCACTGGTTAGACTGCAAATGTGGGCTATTTCCAGCTTAGCCAACGCTGGTAGTCAGGTTCCTGTCTTAGTGACTTAGGATCCTAGCAATTGCTGCAGCACAGTCATCCACTATAACCTTTGACTGCTGATAATCTCTGTATTCCAGACTGTTTTGCAGCTGGTCACATGACTGACAAGTCCATTCATCAGGAATGTTCTTCCTTCACCCGAGGCCAGCCATCCACTTCAGCTTTTAGACATGAATTAAGCAGAACAGAGGTTTTTAAAGTAAATGCTTTAAGATATGCTAGTCTTCTGATTTCCCCCAACCCTAAAAAATAATTGGACAAAAGCAATACCCTGTTGGGTTGAGAATTTATAAGGGAGGGCTTCTTTGAGATGTACAGTTGTTTTGAGACTGAAATGGCAGTCGATAAGTTGTGTTCGTGTTGAAATAACAATGTAATTATGTGAAGCTGCTTATCTTTAGTATCTTCAGGCAGAAAAAATGTTTAGAAAACCTCACTGAGTCCCCAAAGTTTTCCAGGGATTGTCTGAGACGCCTTGGAATGCTAGCAGAATCCACACAGGCTGATTAGAGGGGAAGCTTTCAGCACTCTTAAAAACTCTCACGTTATTTTCTCCCTTGGGAAGCTGCTGAAGAACATGTTGTATTGGGAGTGCAAAGCCGCTAGGTCAATGGAATCATTTCTTTGTGACTTGGGGATTTCTCAGAGCCAGCAATGTTATCCAAGCTTCATCCCTGTGACTGAGGAGAATTGCATCAGCTGCTCACGGGATACCAGATCTCAGTACGACATCTATTTAAGCAATGCCCTGCATGGCAGATGTCAGAGTGCAGTTACTGGATGCACGTGTGACTGAGTACAGTGAAGCCTGGTTTATTCTCTTGGGCTTACTAGCAAGTTTCAAAAAATATTTGGAAAAAAAGTTGTGTTACAGTAATATGACTGTCAGGAAGAAAATTAGAATTATCTTTGTGTCCTATGTGTATAAAAGTTAGTTGTATGTGGTTCTTTGTGCATATTTGTAAAAATGCATGTGACATAGATGCAAAAAAGATAGGCAGTAGTGAACAGGTGTCTTCAGCTTAATGTCAAGCAACAATTTTTGTCCCAGCTCTGCTTCTATCTAACTCTGTGTCTTGAAATCACCACTTAGTGTTTCTTGTCCTTAATTATCTTGAATAGAAACACAGGGGTTTGAAATCTATGGAGTCATTTCCTTCTTTTTTAAAAATTCCTAGGTTACAGGAAATGAAATTAAGCAACAATCTTATTTCAAAAGCATCTTGAACAAGAAAACTTTCAAAAGAAATAAATGAATGATATTCAAATAATAGTATTTTTTAGAAAAAGTATTAATTTAGGATTTAAGAAAAACTCTGGTGATTTTTTTCCTTTTGGCCAAGGCTATATCCACATACATCTGGATAAAAGTGAAAAAGAAAATATGCCAATCACCCAGATGGTTCTAAGTGTTTGATATCTGTCATCATGCAGGCCAAACACCTGGGTGATTGTGTTCATTTTCACCCTTCAGCCAGATGTTTTGAAACCACGGAGGTATGTCTTACATAAAAAAAAATTAAGCAGAATGGGGTGCAGTAAGAGGTAGAAAAAGAAGAAAATCAGCAATTTTTGAGCACCTACTCCCTGTCAGACACTTTCTTTCGTATTTTAATCCTCATAAGAACTCCATGAGGCATTATCTCCAACTTATAGATAAGGAAACTGAGGCTTGGAAATCTAAATTATTTGCCAATGTCACATATCTAAGAAGTAGTAAAGCTAGGATTTGAATTCTGTATTATAGAAAAAAATATTAGAAATAAATGCAATTAAGTTACAGGTAATGAAATTAGAGCTGAGAAAGAGTGCCTGCGTAAATAACACATACATGTAGATATTGAAACAGACGTAACTACTGCTACTGTTATTCATCTTAAGAACTTTTTACTCCAAGTCTATAACAAATGCCCATAGAAGGAGTAAGCAAAACCAGCCTAGAAGAACTGGCCCACTGTTGGACAGGTCTCTTGGTTGTGCCATGTATTTCTTTGGCTCCAACCACGTAGTAAAATTGAACACAATTGTCTCATTAATTGTTTTACCTCCCTTAAGTTAGGAATCTTGGATGATTTTGTAAAACTACCTAGTTTATTATACAAGTGTATGTAGAATAGCGTGCAAATATATGTGTGATGATTTACTAGGAAGAAGATTCTGAATATTTGATTTTATAACTCATTGTAAATAACCTGGGGGGTAAACTTCCCTGTATACAGCAGAAGGCAAGTTGGCCCATCCCAAGGTTCTCAACAATGGCTTTATCTTTGGGGAAATAATGAATCAGACTATTCCTCCATTATATGCCAAGAAACATAAGTTCCTGAGCCCACATGGAAAGGGAACTGAAAGCACCCTTTGCACGACTCTGCTTATATGGTAATACTGCTGACTCACATCCAGGGCAAAAATGCCCTGCTCTTACCCAGACAGCAAGCACAGGAGAAGAGAATAACTCTTATGAGGTTACTTTACCTGGCTTCCCCACTGTTTTGTAACAATGCAGGTATGTCTTACATTAAAAAAATTAAGCAGAATGGGATGCAGTAAGACAAAAGATGATCCTGAAGATGATCATGGGTCTTGAATATGATTGTGATGGGAGGTCTGGTCCTAAGTTTACTTACCCCAGTTGCTGACCTGCAAGTTAGAGCACTGGGAAGAACATTCACTTTTTAAGTAAATATAAGGATGAGAATTTACAGAGTAAGGAAATGGGGTCGAAGGAGGGCAGATGAGTGTATAAATGTTAGTTCCAGAATATGAAGGAACGGGTTGGAGATAATGCATTCTTTGGAAATAGCAAATGCTGTTGAAGCTTTTCAAAAAAGGAAATAAATCATAAAAGAATTTGGAATGCTTTTTATGGGTTGAAGTAGAAGAAAATTGAACATCAATATGATTCTGGAAAGAAATTTTGTGTCACTGCATTATTTAAATGTTAGGGGAAAATGATCAAAGCAGCCAACATTCAAAAAGGAATAATCTCTTTGGAAAACTTAATACACACATATCTGCAAATATTTAGGGGACAAGGAAAGACTATGGAGGAAATTTTGTGTCTATATAGTTAGACATTTTCTGATCTAGACCTACCCGGAGGCATATGCTGAAAACCTTCAATGTTTAAGCTCAGTTCTTCCCTGAACCATTTCAAACCAAATCTGAGCATTCTTTTAGAAGTCCCATTCTCTCTAGTAGGTGGAGTCTTGAATTTTTTTTCACATTCTAATATTGGTATCTGATATGCCTGCCTGGGGTTGTCCTAAGATAGTAAGAAAAATGACTGCAATGTATTAAGCACTGTGTTTGTGCTAGGTATTCTGCTAAGTACTTTACATACGTTATATTACTTAAATGTCACAGCAGCCCTCTAAGATAAGCATTGCTAGTTCTATTACAAATAAGGGAAAGCTCCAAGTAACTCTTTTTTTTTATTATTATACTTTAAGTTTTAGGGTACGTGTGCACAATGTGCAGGTTAGTTACATATGTATACATGTGCCATGCTGGTGTGCTGCACCCACTAACTCGTCATCTAGCATTAGGTATATCTCCCAATGCTATCCCTCCCCCCTCCCCCCACCCCACAACAGTCCCCAGAGTGTGATGTTCCCCTTCTGTTCCCCTTCCTGTGTCCATGTGTTCTCATTGTTCAATTCCCACCTATGAGTGAGAATATGCAGTGTTTGGTTTTTTGTTCTTGTGAGAGTTTACTGAGAATGATGACTTCCAATTTCATCCATGTCCCTACAAAGGACATGAGCTCATCATTTTTTATGGCTGCATAGTATTCCATTGTGTATATGTGCCGCATTTTCTTAATCCAGTCTATCATTGTTGGACATTTGGGTTGGTTCCAAGTCTTTGCTATTGTGAATAGTGCCTCAATAAACATACGTGTGCATGTGTCTTTATAGCAGCATGATTTATAGTCCTTTGGGTATATACCCAGTAATGGGATGGCTGGGTCAAATGGAATTTCTAGTTGTAGATCCCTGAGGAATCGCCACACTGATTTGCACAATGGTTGAACTAGTTTACAGTCCCACCAACAGTGTAAAAGTGTTCCTATTTCTCCACATCCTCTCCAGCACCTGTTGTTTCCTGACTTTTTAATGATCGCCATTCTAACTGGTGTGAGATGATATCTCATTGTGGTTTTGATTTGCATTTCTCTGATGGCCAGTGATGGTGAGCATTTTTTCATGTGTTTTTTGGCTGCATAAATGTCTTCTTTTGAGAAGTGTCTGTTCATGTCCTTCTCCCACTTTTTGATGGGGTTGTTTGTTTTTTTCTTCTAAATTTGTTTGAGTTCATTGTAGATTCTGGATGTTAGCCCTTTGTCAGATGAGTAGGTTGCAAAAATGTTCTCCCATTTTGTTGGTTGCCTGTTTACTCTGATGGTAGTTTCTTTTGCTGTTCAGAAGCTCTTTAGTTTAATTAGATCCCATTTGTCAATTTTGGTTTTTGTTGCCATTGCTTTTGGTGTTTTAGACAACTCTTAATCTCAACTAGTAAGCAGCAGAGCTGGGGAACAAAAGTTCACACTAATCACCATTAGGACTGCCATACAGTCCCACATGCAGCCTCCACCCAACACACACTCAAATTTTTCTAGTTATAAACTCTGCCTATTCCCCTAAGGGATTTGAAACTCAACACTAACCTGGATCTCCTCCCAACAAGTTCTATACAATGGTCATTATATCTTCCGTGTGTGAAGACAGTCAAGAACATCAGCCAAAACTATGATCCCATCATCTACCTGAACGTACATATCCTGTTTCAGCCTCAAGATTGGTTCCCTTAGATGCAGGAGACAACAGGATAATCCCAGAATGCTCTGTCTGCCCTTGGCTCTGTAATTTCGATGTTTTCCACCTTGCACCAAAGCCAAATCTTACTGGAGTTTTTCTTCTCACTCCTGTAAGTCCTATCATTTTTGGTAATTAATCCTCCATTCCCCAATGAACAATGTATGGCCATGCAGGTCTCAGGCTGGCAATGAAGTTTGTGACATGCATAAAATCACTGTTCATATGACAGCTAAAATAGCAAGGTTCTTATTTTGTTCCTCATATTCATGACATGACACACCAACATAAGCTTAAGAAAACACTCAGTCTTGTTTCTTTCTAGATCAAGGCCTTCAGGCCTTCAATTCCCTCTCCCTATGAAGTGTTTAGGTTTCAGAGACAAACCATTAGAAGCAAAAAAGGCAAGATACTTTAAAAGATAGCAATGCAGATACAGAAACAGATCAACCATTACTTCAAAAAACCTAAAGCCAAAAACAGAAAATTCAGCTAACATTAAGGGATACTGGCTAGCAGAATAGCCAAAAAGGTCCTAAGAGTGCTAAATGATAAGTACTATTCAAAGTCTAACTCTTTGATTGTAACCACATGAGTCACATTAGCCTTTCTAAGATATCTATATCTCATATCTATATATCTATATCTAGATGTGAGATCTAGATATAGATATGAGATATAGATATCTCAGGAATATATATATGTAGTTACATACAGATATATAGATATTTCAGATATCTATAGCTCATAGATATATAGATATATATTTGATATATCTAAATATATAATACCTGTTATTTTTAAAGTTTTTGAACAAAATATATAAATACATATAGATATATCTAAATATCTAAATGTATATTTTTAGACACTTAGATATTTATGTATTTAGCTATATTTATCTTAAAATCTATTTTAAACATTTATATATTTATATATCTAAAATACATATTTAGACATTTATATATTTATCTAAAATGTATGTAGATATATATACAGTCAATGTATATCTAAAATATATGTTTTTAGACATTTATATATTTATATATCTAAAATGTATATATTTAGATATACATACATCTGATATATATCTAAATATATATTTTTAGATACATCTATGTATGTATAGATAAAGATATATAGATTTTTTAAAAAGCTTTATTTAAAAATAACAAACAGAAAACAAGTCATAAATTCACCACTCAACGAATTTTTACAATGTGAACACTCCTGGATAACTAGCATCTAGATCAAGAAACAGATCACTCCATCCCCACGGAAATTTCCTTGTGCACATTTCCAGTCACTTTCCAGGTCACACTCTGCCCAAATGTAACCACTCATGACATCTTACACAGTAGGTTTGTTTAGCCTGTCCTAGAACTTTACATACATGGAATCATGCAGTATGTACTACAGTTACGTGCCACGTAACAACATTTTGGTCAACAATAGACCATATGTATATCATAAGATTATAATACTGTATTTTTACTGCACTTTTTCTATATTGAAATACACAAATACCAGTGTGCTATAATTGCCTATAATATTCAGTACAGGAACATGCTGTACAGGTTTGTAGCCTAGGAGCAATAAGCTACACTATCTAGGCTAGGTGTGTAGTAGGTTATGCCATCTAGGTTTGATATGAGATCTATATATCTATATATTGATACATATACACACATAACTGCAAAGGATACTCTATATCATTAGAAGAATGACAAAATCCCCTAATGGCATATTTCTCAGAACATATCCCTATTGTTGAGTGACACATGACTATATTTTGTGCGTTGTTTTTTTAAACTCAGCATTCTATTGTAGAAGGATATTTGATTAGATTTTTCATTACTAGAAATGTACTCAATGCCCAATTAATATATGCTGAGCATATGCATTGCATTGCAATTTTCCTCTGTAAAATACACTCACATTAGTGTTTATCAGATCTTCTCATTTGGTTTGGATTATGCATCTAATGTGATGATTTTGTTTTGTGTGTTAATTCTAAACTCTGTAGCACTGGCAACCCATTATCTGCAAATTTTTAAGTACATTTCTTCACTCTTCTGTCAAATCATTTTAGAAAATTTGATATTTTAAAGTCTAGTACAAAACATTATATTAACTTGGCCAGGCGCAGTGGCTCATGCCTGTAATCCCAGCACTTTGTGAGGCCAACATGGTGAAACCCCGTCTCTACTAAAAATACAAAAATTAGCCTGGGTTGGTGGCGGGTGCCTATAATCCCAGCTACTCAGGAGGCTGAGGCAGGGGAATCACCTGAACCTGGACGGTGGAGGTTGCAGTGAGCCAAGATCACACCGTTGCACTCCAGCCTGGGTGACACAGCAAGACTCTTGTCTATTAAAAAAAAAAAAAAAAAATTGTTAACCTCTTGCTCCAGGAAGAATGTAGGAAGAACTAAAATTTATTATTGTTGCCAACAGTCCAGAGTTGTTTTTTGTTTTGGTGTTTTTTTTTTTTTTAAACAGCCTTTGCCCAACATTTAGTTCTCTGCTTTACGCTTGCCATTTCTACCTCATATCCACATTATTCTCAAGCTAGCTCAGATTCTTTCTTTTAGAACAAAAGTAGTTATGATGTATTACAATGAATTTATTTTATGTATTACCTCCTCCTGGGTAAATAAAATGAAAAATTAAAAAAAAAAAAAATGAACCTGGTGTGCAAAGGACTCTCCAAAGCAGCAATTCACCATTGGGCGGAATTTCAGATATTGATATGGTTAGGCTCTGTGCCCCCACCCAAATCTCATCTTGAATTGTAATACTTATAATCCTCACATGTCAAGGGAGAAACCAGGCGGAGGTAACTGAATAATGCGGGTGGTTTCCCCCATGCTGTTCTCATGATAGTGAGTTCTCACAAGATCTGGTGGTTTTATAAGGGGCCCTTCCTGCTTCGCTCGGCACTTCTCCTTCCTGCCACCTTGTGAAGAAGGTGCCTTGCTTCCCCTTCACCTTTCACAATGATTGTACATTTCCTGAGGCCTTCCCAGCCATACTGAACTGTGAGTCAATAAGCCACTTTAAATTACCCAGCCTCGGGTGTTTCCTTATAGCAATGTGAGAATGGACTAATACAGGCATCATAATCTAAGATACGTAGATGCTCAGGTGCAGGGGAAAATTTCTGGACACCTCAAATCCATGTTGTCAGCATATATGTTGCATTTATAATTGAATTGGAACTGGTCCATTGAGTACTGGTTTTAACACAACTCTATGCTTGAGAATAATTTCATCTTTATGATAAATGATTTTAATATTTGAAGAGTTTCCATTAGTATTTTTAGCCAGGGCTGGATGGGATCAAGGACTAAAGGAACAATGGACCAAAACAGACTTCAGAAATGAACTTGTGTCATTCTTAAAATCTGAAATTACTCCTTTCTCAGAACACGGGCCCTCTCTATCATATTCCCATTCTGCACCTTCATTTGAGTGGGAAAATCTACACAAAACAAAAAGATCTAACACAAAACAGACTTTATGCCTGCAAGAGAAGTCTTCCTGTCTTCTTCAACTACTGTCTTCCTATTGTAACCATAATTGGTTCAAGTTTTCCCCATAGACAAATATGTTGCTAAGTTATACAACAGAAAATGGAAAATGACTATTAGATTTTATTTTCCACAAGATAAGAAGATAAACTGATAGTGTAAAGGATCAAGTAGGATTAAAAAGTCTTTAAAAAATTGATTTAGCTTGTGATTTACTTGATAAGATCATAGTATTTGATGGTACAAGTGTCATCCAGAGGTGGCTTTCCACATTTTCTCTCTCTCATGCCCATGGCTTATCTGCCATATAATTCTTTTTTCTACGAGGCTGACAGTTCCTTAGAATTCTTCATACAGCTCTATGGGTGGCTCCTAATAACTATCTGAAGTAGGTATATGAAATAAAAATGCTTTGCCATTCTTAATCTAGAAACCCTAAAACCAGGTAATACAATAACCCTGGCATCTTAAATGACTCAGTGTAGATATGTTAACATGTACATTCTCCTTAATTGATGTTTTTAGAGCTACTTAAGAATAGAAGACAATAAAAAGCAGTGATAGGGAGGTATAGGAAGGGACAAACTGGAAACGCCTGAGACCCTATTAGAGGTTGTTACAACTGCATTCTAAACAGCAGCTAAATTAGATCAGATATCTTGGAAATAATGTACAACAATCATAGTTGAGAGAAAAGTAAGCTAGTATTTAGAAAAACAAAAAAAGTGAAATTTATTTAGCTGATTGAATGTAAAGACTTTCTTATTTCAGAATTTTAAGTAAAAAAAAGTATAATTTTTAAGTTAAACATAATATTTTCAAAAAACAAGATATGTAAATCAGTTCAATTAATTCAGATGACAAAACAGAGCATTGGGGAAATAACAAATTTTCTAGAGAAATGTCTTAAAACAACAGTGTTCCAAATAATTTATGTATATAATTCACTCTCAAGGAAGTGGAGCATAGCTTCCCTCTCCTTTAGAGTAGGCTGTGCTTTGTTACTTCTTTCTAAAGTGTACAGTATAAGAAGAGGAGGAGGGATAACTTTGCAGGAGGGAAAGCTGACACACACATGCTACTTCAGGCAGGTGATCAAGGTCAACATCAACAGTGGTAAGCCATATTGACAGTGTGAACCCTTGATAGGAAGTGATAAGATTGGCACTTGACCTCTGTGGTCTTCCTCCCAATACTCATAACCAAATTCTAGTCATGAGAAACACATCAAACACATTAATATTGAGGGACATCCTACAAAAAACCTTACTGATACTCCTTAATACTCAACTCAAGGTCATCCAGAACATGGAAAGTATGAGAAACTGTTTCCAGAAGACATGAAACTGGTACAAGGAAACAGAACAACTAAATGCAATGGTTAGGATCCTGGGTCATAAAAAGGTCATTAGGTAAAAACTAGGGAAATCTAAATAAAGTATAGTTTTTAATGAAAAATAAATGTATCAATACTGCTCGACTGTGAGAAAGTAACATACAAATTTTCTTTACTGTCTTTACAATTTTTACATAAATCTAGAACTATTTTAAAATAAAATTTTCCTAAAAAAGAAAGAAATAAACAAGAAGCCCTTTTGTTGGCAATGTAAACCTCACAGCCGTGCTTGGGAATGACAACCTTGGAGATATAAATCACTGGAACACCTCAATACAGACTGGTGTAGGCTTTCCCTTTTGGAAGTCTTTAAAGAAATAAGCTATTTCTCTCTAGGAATTCCTTAGTGTACTGCTGTCTTAAGATGGATAGGTTGGAATCCAAAAGCTCTGATGCCCTCTGGCTCCACTGTTTTATGAGTCTGTAATTTAGTTAATGATATTGGATATCAATTACCTATGGGTAAACATAATTTCCATTCATATTAACATTCTCACAGAGGCCTAATTTCTTTCAGACCTGTGTTGAATCATGCATTCATGTGATAATAGTATAAAAAGCTTTATTCTCATCAAGCTATTCTAAATGTTTTACTGTCTCCAACTGTACGAAGGAGTCAGGCTTGTTTAGCATGTGTTGCTTTCCAGATAATTTTATAATGACTGTTCCTTAGCACTTAGTTATCTTCCATGTGCTAGCAAATTAATATTAATGTTTACACTAAGTTCTCCTGATTCCCTCCTCTCCCCGCTCCCCACCCCCCCCCACCAAAAACGTGCAGGTAAGAGGGAATGTACAGACATGATGGAAGAATCTGCACATTTACTCTTATATAAATCTTTTTCCCCATAATTATAGGAGGTCCAGTGCTTATATACACTTGTCTCTAGAGTAACATTCTTTTGTTTAAGTCTCTAAACAAGATTAGAAAAGTGGAAAGGAAATCACATATCTCTTTTGTAGCCATAAATGAAACACTGGAACTAAGCCATAAAAAATACCAAGGCAATTTTTTTATTTTGTTTTGTTTTGCTTTGTTTTGTTTTGCTTTGTTTTGTTTGTATCTGGGACTTAATCCATTTTCTCCTCCATCACAACCTCTATACTTATTCTGTCCCACATTCTTCCCTCCCTCAGCAAGTATGTATGTGTGTATATATATATATATATATATTTTTTTTTTTAAATCATAGTTAGCTTTCATCTTCTGTGCCTTGTTCAAGCAAAAGCCCGTAAAGTTCCTTTAAGGCAAGCTGCTCCTGGGGAAAAGTCATGCTTCATACCTTCATTAGAGTGTTGAACACGCCTTGAACGCTTAATAAACTTCAGACAGTAAGATCAGTATAATTTGTATAAGGAGCAAGTAGATGAACCACGGAAGGATTTGGCTAACTGCAGTAAACTGGAGGTCCCCAAGGTCCCCAAATTTCTCTCTCTGTTTTCTCTGACCACTGTTAAATTTCCTTGAGTGGACTGGCCAGGCTGAATTGCAAGGTTGTAAATGAATCCCTTCCTTCCCCTTGAACTTGTTAAGCTCTCCCGGCTTCTCCCACTTTGTCTGGCAGGCTGCTCCACATCTTAATGACTTTTTGCAAGAAACAGAACCTCCTAATATCTAACACTCTGCCCTGTCATCTGCTGTTAGGCAAGCTTGCTTCTGAAGCTAATGACTTGAGGTTTCTCTTTCTTACTCTTTCTCTTTTGATTAAGTTTCCAGCCCATAGTGGAAAAGGAGAGGATATGATGAAGGGAGCGAGAAAAGTGAAGAGAGGACAGGGTGGGGGGCGGGAGGAGAGAGAGACAGAGAGAAGAGAAATGCTATAAATATGGGCCAGTACCTAATTATAATTCGAGACACTGGCAATTTAATAAAAACAACTCCTCCAGAATGCAGCCATAAGGAAAGAGTTTCCACAATCTGTTCATCTGCATAATTAGTGATTCAGGACCTGGGAACAGTTGGAACATTGCTGAGGAAGGCCCAGGTCACATTATTGATAACATAAATAACAAAGATACAGATTTCCCCAAACTACAAACATCAGAATGTAACGAACAACAACCTAATAGGAGCACAGAAAACAAACAGAAAGCAGATAAACTCTGGAGCCGGGCAGGCACAAGACTGGAGTCAAGCACATCATTCATCAGTCTAAATACCCTCAGGTTTCTTGGAGTCACCTAAAAACAAGAAAATGGGAAATCCTCATTGGTGATGCTTTCTGCAAGGATGTGAGCCTACAGCTGTGAATATGCATGTTCCACGAGGCAGACACAGTCTTTATGCTTTACACATGGGAACATAATTCGTCTTGAAAAAAAATTTGCATTGCTAAAGTTAGTTATTTAATGGCACAGGGGAGACCTGGCAAGTGAGTGCTAGAGACATGGTTTTCAGTTTAGAACTCAGCTGAATTCTATATAAGAGACTGATAAGTATATTTAATTCCTTTAAACATGTGTTAATTACATGCCCCCTTTATAAAATGATGTGCATTCTTATTGGCAATTTGAGAAGGGCTATCAGAACCACAAGAGCAGGAATCCTCTGTTTTTTATTCTGTATTTCCAGCTCTCACCATGGAGCTGAGAAGACAGGACATGCAGTTCACATTTGTTGACAGGCTGCCAAGAGAAAAATGCAGCAAATTAAAAATAAGAGGAGGTTAAGAATCACTCAAACTTTAGCTACCCAAATACAATCATTGGTGTTCAAGTCTAGGGCATAAACTTTATGCTGATGGAGATACAATTTCCAAATACTTCAAACCAAGTATCAGCTACATGGAAGTTGTAGATACACAGACTATTCAAGATTTAAGAGTTGCAGCTTAATCAGGCTAAGGTGTGTGTGTGCACATACACTATAAGCCCTGGCAAATTTGAATGCTTTGTGTCTTCAGTCAGTGTGAGACCTTCCTCACCGTGTGAACAAAGAACTGTCTTTGAGCCCAAACAGATGGGTGACAGCAGAAGAGACAAGGAAAGAATTTTCCACGCATATACCTCCGCCATGCATGACTGTCCCTAGGGTAAATATGTGAATAGTTTCAACTTTTAACAATAGAAAGGAAAATAGTAATACTTTTTAAAAAGTATATGTGGCTTTGTGCTTTCAGGCTTTAAAAACCACACACATACCTGCGGTTTTGAAATATCCTTAAGACACCAAAGGGGATGATCCTGTCTGACTGGGTGAATGAAATAAAAGAAAGACTGTCCTTTCAGTGGGAAATTAACCTATTCAAGCAGGGCTGTAATAATTGCACATTTGGTTGTTGAAGAATAGAAGGCCTTTAAAGTCTAAACTTGCCATTATCTAAAAATGGAAAACAATCAGAGGAATTTGCACATTTTAAATTAAGTATCCTAACATTAACCCATGAATACATATATGCATTCCATTAGTTTATTTAGCAAATACTTCTTGAGTTCTCATGATGTGTCATATACTCCTCTAAGCTCTGAAGTTACCAGTAAACGAAGACAAAAACTTCTCACTTCTTGTTTTACCGAAGTCCCTGTGAGTAACACAGGCAGTTGCCCCACTAGATCTTGCATTCCTGAAGAAAGTTTTTGGATCTGCAATATGACTCCCTTGATTTGAAAATCCAAAAACTTTACCTTTAACTGCCAACCGGTTCAGTACAATTGAATGAACTCTTGCAGCTGGCGCGAAGTGAGGCATGGAAAGCCTCAAAGGAATAGGGTGTCCAAAAGTTGAGCCTTTGTAGAACTATAGACAGTGGGGTAAGGTTAGATGCCACAGATACCTACAAATTATATCTGTTATTACAGAAGAATTTGAATCTTACAAGCCAAGGTCAGTATACCTTAGAAAACTCTATCTTTGCACTATTTTGATGGGTCAAAGAAGATGACCCAAAGCAGTAATTCCTAGAGTTAAATATTTCATAGATGGATACAATTAAAACACAACAACAAAACAACTAAAAAAGACTGCCCCAGGAGTGCCAACTTTTAATTTCAAAGAAGGACATTAAAAGAAATTTAAGTATTTTTAAAAGTAGAAAAAAACACCAGAATAAATTATAATTGCTTCTAGGAAGAGTTGGCATTTATAACCAACACACACTAGCTGTGTATAGGAATAGGCTGAATTATGCTGTTGTAAAAATTGCCACCACTCTTGCCCCAGTCTCTTTAGCTTAAAACAGTATGCTACATGTTTTTCATGGGTAGACAGGAGTGGTCACCCCTTGGAGATTGTGACTGTCAAAGCAGCCATCTCCAATGTGGCTGACCACTGTGCCAGGGGGAAAGAGAGCTCTGGATACTCCTGAATCAGCAGTTAATGCTCCAGTGCAGAAGCAATATACATGACTTCTTGCATGATTCATCGGCTGGAACTAGTCACATGGTCCAATCCAATTACAAGAAGGCCAGAAAGTGCAAACTTACCATGTGCCAGGTGAGCCAGGAATATCTGACAAGCAGCATACATTTGACAGGCAACACTGATGAGTGCCACAGCTGTAGATGATACTGTTCTTATTTTCTTATTTCAGTATGGACTAATGAAAATGTGGTCACATCCTTTTACAGATTTAAGTCTAAATTTGAGAACAACCCATGTTAGAAGGAAGAATATTTGCAGGCCAAATATAATTCTCTCTGGAAATTGAGAACTTTCTTGGAAGCATGTGCAAATTATCACTAGATGACCAATAATAAGGAGATTGCTAGGGGGTCTGACCCGTATGATCAAAGGTAAACAACCCTGAGAACTCAGATGCTGAGAGCAAGAGCAGCAGGAAGGGCACTGAAATGCAAAGCCTGCCCCAGTAGCAAAGTCTCTTGCACTCAAACTGAAAGACAATTTTCTTTAGCTGCCAACAACATCATGCTTTATAACCCGCTCCTAATCCACCCCCTCAAGGATGATTATTTCAGTGTTAACTCTCTGCACCCAAGCATCTGAACAGGTCTGAGTCAGCCCAGCAAAACCCAGCAACATTATTGTTGACCCTAAAGGTTGCATAAGAAATTTTTTTAAAGCATAGTTTCCTATGCTGTATGCTCATGCGGTCATGGTTCTTTTGCTCTGTGTTGTTGCTTTTATCGTTGTTAATACATGTGGCAAAACCAACCCTCAAAATTAAGTTAAATCTCTTTGCTCAGCTATTCTATTGAGCTGTGAGGCAGGGAAGTCTTACGCTGTTTTATGGAAATTCTGATTTTCAAAGTAATAAACAAATCTCAAAGGAACCAGAAAAGAGCGATTGGACCGATGCCACACACTCTGTGTGGGCTCAAGATACTGTACTTGATGATGGCAAATTTTCTTTTCAAAAACACCCCCAAACAAAGCTTAAGTTCCAGAAATGTTTTCTGTGCCAGACTTGTAGTAAATTTTCCTTGGAGGGCCTAATGCAAGATGAAGGACAAATGGAACTAAGATAGACTTGGTACCCAAGTGAGGGAATAAGAGAGTTCAAACAAATGTGCAACTAGGTTCAAGCCTTTGATTCTGTAATTCAAGTAAATAATCAATTTAGTGGGGAAGAGGGGAAGGTCAGTATCACCATATAATATAACACATATGAAATAAGATAAATTAACTTAAAAAAATTTATGATAAAATACTGTCTGAATGATTTAAAATAAAATGTATATCTCTCTCCTTCCTTACTTATCCCCAGGAATCCCACATTCTTCTTCTAAATGTAAAGTTAATGGTTTCTAATGTATCCTTTAGAAAAATGGTGGTACTTATCCTAATGTGTATATTTATACACATTTTTTCACCTACCCAGCTGGGATCTACTATATACTATATAGTCTTTTGTATTTTAATTGTTCAGGAGTCATCTTAGCATCATACAAATGCAGCCTGGGTAGATTTTTCTTCTCTGTTGTAATTTTTAAAATAATAGTTTGCTTTCCCTTTAATTTCATTGAGAAACTGCTCATGTAGCAACTCATGCATCTTGTATAGTACCTTGCACTGGAAAAAAAAATCTGTTGCATTGAAATATTTCAGGATTAAATATTAGCTATGAATGAATGGGGTTATCATCTTCTCCTCAAATAAATAACTAAAGCACTAAACAAATACTTTTAAACAATAAACTTGGCTTTGTGTCTGGCCCAAAGGGCTGTCAGATAACCTTCTCTTACAGAGCAAAACTCCCCAGACTGTGTTTATGTCATTCAAAGCTTCCTTGGATACCCGAGGAAAAAAAGTAAATTGAATGGAAATCATGGAAACCAGAAGTTACCTCTTCATCAGATTTTTTTCTGAAGTTTAGTCAAAATTAGAAAGAGTAACACAGTGAGAAGAGCACCTAGGGAGTGGTTCCTCCAG
This sequence comes from Homo sapiens, assembly GCF_000001405.40. NCBI lineage: Eukaryota > Metazoa > Chordata > Mammalia > Primates > Hominidae > Homo > Homo sapiens. The sequence goes on from NC_000009.12 coordinate 13,721,576, forward strand.
CAAACCCAACTGTCACAGCTCAGTGCACAGGGACATTGCATTGCAGAGAGATTAGGAAATTTAACTCAGCTGTTTTGCAGATTAATCTATTTATTGCTGAGGTGGATTATAAGAATGCACACAGGAATGAATGCAATGAAAATGACTAAAAGGAAAGGGAAATAGCTATTTATTGGACACCTACTTCGTGTCAGATACTACTCAGCTCCTTACTTAATGTTTCTCATTAATAAAGTTTCCAAGGAAGTAGTCTTCCCTCCAAAATAGGTAGGTAGGTAACAGGTAGATCACTACTTCACAGGAAAAAAAAAAAAGAAGTCCCTTATCCAAGTCACACAGTCAACAATGCTTTGGACAGGAAATCAAATATAAGGCTCTGACTACAAAGATAGTTTTCTTCCCACTATACCACAAACCCTCTTCAAAAATTATCTAGTTACTAAAATATGTGTCAGGCCCAGATGGTTTTACAGCTGAAATCTATCTAACTTTCAGTGAACAGATAATCCTTATGTTATTCAAAACATTTCTGACCATAGCAAAAGATGGAAAGCTTCCCAATTCAATTTACAAAGCTAGCATAACCTTACTTCCCAGACCTGACAAAGACAGAATAAAAAGAACACTCTAAAGAATTTCACTGATGAATATGGATGCAATACAGTACATAAATTGTATGTAAAAATCAGCAAGTTAAATCCAGGTGTCTATTAAAACTGTTGCATACCATGACCAAGCAGAGTATATTGCAGGAATGCAGGGATAGTTCAACATTAGAAAATATCAGAACATAACCTATCAAATTGATAAGTTAAATGAAAAAAACATAAATACATTATTTATCTCCTAAAAAATAGCTGCCATGTGTAATTTAGAAACAAAATTCCAGGTTTTTTTAAAAAGGGAAGAGAATGTGATAGAAGTTCAAAGACTTTTAAATGAATACCAGTAGCAAATATCATATTAAAAAATACTACACAAACTATGCATCTGACTAGAGATCCATATCTAGAATATATAAGGAACTTAACGGCAAATAAACTAATAACCCAGTTCAAAAATGGACAAATATCTTTTTTGAGACATTTCCCTAAAGAAGACATACAAATGGTGAAGAGGTATATGAAAAAATGATCAACATCCTTAACCACCAGGGAAATGCACATCAAAACCACAATGAGATACCACCCCACTCCAGTTAGAAGAGCTATTATCAAAAGGACAAAAGAAAACAAGTGTTGGTAAGGATGTGAAGAAAAGGGAACACTTACTGTTGGTGGGACTGTAAACTAACACAGCCATTATGGAAATAGTATGGAGGTTCCCTAAAAAATTCAAACTAAAACTACAATATGATCCGGCAGTCCTCCTACTGGGTATATATCCAAAAATGAAATCATTTTTGTTGAAGAGATATCTGCACTTCTACACTTATTGCAGCACTATGTTAAATACGTGAGGTGATGGATACACTAACCACCCTAATTAGATAATTATACAACATATATGTGTGTCAAAACATCAAATTGTACCCCATAAATATGTATAATCACGATGTATCAATTAAAAAATAAACACTAAAACCATGAGCATTAGAAAGTAGAAGCCAAGAAAACAGCATTAATTTAAACGACATTGTTTGGGGAAAGTCTGAGGTAATAAATTAGTAAAATTAAATAAATGGCATTAACAGTGGAAAGAAAGTCAACAGTGTTATATGCATATGATATAATTGCGTATCTGGTAACTCAAAAGACTGAAAAAGGCTAACAGCATTAATAAGAGATTTGATAATATGATTGGATACCAAATGAATACATCAAAGGACATCCTGTGTCCTGGGATCCAAAGATATACTTTAAAATAAAATTATTTCTTTTCATATTAATAAAGAAATTGAATGAGTCCAATAAGGTTATTTTTATTAGAATTAGACAAAGTGATTTAAAGATTCATTTAGAAAATAAGTGTATGGTGATTGCCAAGAAATCTATAACGTATGAGAATAATGGAAGAGGGATCCTTTCCATACCAGACACTAAGACTTGACAATGTAAGATTCCAGAGGGAAGGGTTTTGTCTATGATGTTTCCCAGAACCTACACAATGCCAGAAGAATAGCATGCACTCAATAATTGTTATTTCAGTATACAAATGAATTAAGCAAACGTGATCAAAAGAGCACAATTTTGGTCCATGAATAAGCAGGTAGAACAATGAGAGGGAAGAGAGAGTCAAGAAGCTGATTAAAGTGTATATTTTATTACATTATAAAAGTAGCATTCCAATTTGGTGGAAGAGACTTAGTACTTAATCAGTGGCTTTAAGAATATTGACTCTCAGCTGGGCGAGGTGGCTCATGCCTGTAATCCCAGCACTTTGGGAGGCCAAGGCAGGTGGATCATGAGGTCAGGAAATCGAGACCATCCTGGCTAACTAACACGGTGAAACCCCGTCTCTATTAAAAATACAAAAAAATTAGCCAGGTGTGGTAGTGGGTGCCTGTAGTCCCAGCTACTTGGGAGGCTGAGGCAGGAGAATGGCGTGAACCCGGGAGGCGGAGCTTGCAGTGAGCCAAGATTGTGTCACTGCACTCCAGCCTGGGTGACAGAGCGCAACTCCATCTCAAAAAAAAAAAAAAGTAGAATATTGACTCTCCTTCTGGAAGAAAATAAAGTTGGATCCCTACCTCACCCCAAACAAAAATAAAATGCCCAATAAGCTAGTAGTTTAAAATGTAAATATAAACGTATTAAGCATGCATTACCTACAACTTCACTTATATTAGACATCCCTGACTCACAACTGCCTGGACTTCCCAGTCCCCAGCTGTCACAGGCCTGGTGGGACTTCCTCGTTCAAATTAAACTTGACTCTCTCTTACCCTCTCTTCATCACCTAACACCTGCTCTTTCTTTCTGGTGTGTGTGTGACTATTCTCCAGATCCCCACTCCAATCGGATGAAATGTTCTTATAAGAAATTTGCTTTCCAGATATGTCTTCATGGCTGTATTATTTGTGTCCTAATTCGGCAAATAGAATTTCACAGAATAATAAATGTGACCAAATTAGTGGGATTTTAATACTAACCATCTATTGTATAATTGTGTTCTGAAATCATCTGTCCTGGGCAAATGATTATTAAAGGAAGCAAAAAATACATTTTTCATTTGTAAGATTTTGAAAATAATGCAGTAATCTTAAAAGAATATAGGGAGTTAGTTGATTAATTATAAAGAAGGAAGAGAAAATAGGGATAAATGGAACTGTCACCCAATTCTACAAACAAAAATGGAAAGATCAATATCATTAGTCCCTGTGGTCTTGCAGGAACTTTCTGGTGAATTTAGATACAACTTCTAGGACTAGGAAATGTGAAGAAAACCTAGAGTCTAGAAGACTACTTTTTTGTTCATATATTTTTGTTCATTTATTCCTTCCTTCAACAAAGGGACTCCCAAATCTATGAGAAATATTTTAACCATAAGACCCAGCACGTACTTGACCAGTTTTCATCCCCCTACAATGAAGCAAATTACACTTTAATGGTTTGTTATTGAGGGTGTGATTAGCTTTCTGTCAACAGAATGAGAAATTAAAAATCAGAGTCACTTAACCAAACCACAAGCTACATCCACCTTTCCCAAGAGGTAACTTAGTTTGGTAAAAGGAGCATAAACTTGGATGCCATACAATCTTGAGTTCAACTATTTGCTTCAAATATTTATTTGAAAAAATTTTTTTTTAACCTCTCAGAATCTCAGTTTCCTCATCTCTAAAAGAGAGATACTAAATAACTATCTTACATGTGAGGAAACTGCCTCGGACAATATTGTTCACTCCTGCTGTCCTCACATCTCTTCCCAACAGAATTTTTGAGGAGAAAAAAAAGAACGTTTTCAAGAATTCTATCTCTAATAGAAAGAAAATGCATATCCAATTTGCTATTAGATAAGGATCATTCAAAATAACTGTCCAAGTCATTTTTAAGCACCAATTTCATCAAAAGACATGTATTCCAACAATAGCATATTGATTTTATTCTACATAGGCTCTCTGCAGATTCAAACATTTGTTGTAGTGTGGGACAGGATTTTTGGCATCACTTTAGTAAAATGTTAGGTTCTTAGTTTGCATAACTGTTGCGCCTGTAATGAGCAGATACAAAGCCTTGGCTCATTTCGCTGCCCTTCACTCCAGAGCAGTGGCCATTTTTTCTTGCTCCCATCTGCAGCCCAAGAAGACTAAGTAAGACCCTTCCAAAGCCCAGAGATCTATGCTGCAAACTGAGAAAGAGTCCACAATAAAGAATTCACAAAAAATCCTCCATCTTTCAGCATCACAATGATAAAATAGTGTTTGAATGTCATCATCAGTAAAAAGTATTCATGACTTCAGTTATTGGAGCTCTCCCTACATGAGATCAGCATAGAAATTGTGGAAAGCCTCATAGACACTACCAGAAGTGGCTTTTGTATGAGCTCTTAATTGTGATTATACACCTACTCTTCTCTTTTAAAACCAGCTACCATATTGTTTGATATAGAAAAAAATTAGATAAAACTGCTCGTTTAGTGAAGCTCTGGTATGGGAAGATATCCGTCATCCTTTTATTTAAATAGCAAATGATTAAATGATTTTGTTAGTATTATTAGAAAGAGGTAGTGGAAATAGTTGTATGTCACAGCCATTATTGCAAGTTACAAAAATACCCAAGGAGTATAACAACATTCCTAATAACATTGTCACATGTATCGCTTTGTCAATTCTAATTCATTCTTTCTGAAAATATTTGTTTTGTAAACCATTTCAAACACTGCTATAGATGCTGGAGATAAAACATAAAATACAGGCTCTGCCCTCAAGGTAACGGCAGATGATTAAATAGTCCATTTTAGCACAATGTGGCAAATATTTCGATAGCAGTCAGAGAAAGGTGCTATGGGAACACCCAGAATACTTAACCCAGCCTTGGAAGAGAAGGAGGTTAATTCTTTCCTATTCATTCTTCAGTGATGAAAAGAAGAAGTCAGTTCTTTATTGAAGTTAACTTTTAAGCTTGTAGAATGAGTGAGAAGCAGCTTCCTAGGCCAACGGTACATTTTTTTCAGTTCTTAAAACTAGAGTAGTCCTCAAGACTAATAAGACCAGTTAATAGTGGATGAGCTTTGAGTATTTGCCATGGGCTAACTATTATATTAAGCACTGTATATGAATCATATCATGTATCTTTTCACAGCAAACCTATTAGGTAATTCCTATTGTCCCTATTTACATATGAGGAAGACACGATTTAAATTTCCTAACTTGCTCCTCCAGCATTACACAGCCTGAAACAGTGAGTTTGGGAATCAAACTTGGCCTGTGCCTTGACCTATTTAGCTGTTTCCAAATACTGCTTCCAAATATCCATTTAGTCTGAGTAGGCTTGTTTTTTGGAGAGGCCATCTGAAGCTCTTTCATACCATGCTATCTTATTACTTTTGTTGAATTTTATCTTATTCAATTCGAAATAAAACAGAGGTGTCACTAAAAAAGACAAGTTATATAGTACTTTATAATAGCTATATATATAAAATTTGACCAAAAATGAATAATTTTTCATTATTGTCAAGGACAGTGGAGAAACTGTCTTGTCATAACCCAGAGCCAGAGGTAGAAAACCAGGTTTTGTGAAGACTATGCTCAGCTGTCATTCATTTTGTCTTTCTCCCCTCCTCCCACCACCAGAAGCTAGGAAAAAGGCACAGAATGGTGTGCTGTTGTCTTAACTCACCTGCAAGAGTCTATTTCAGGGGACATGCAGGTTTTTCTGAATATGATGTCCACCAGAGATCCAGAGATGGGAGCAGACACTCAGGTCCATGGGACAAATGTAGGATAAATTGGGAGTAGTTTGATGGAATATTCTTATACCCCACACATGTGTCTACACAATCTTCTCTTTGTAGCCCTGATCATTCATTATGTGATAAGGTGCTATGTTTTCCAGCAAATTTGGTATATGCAGCCTGGTGGATAAGCATCTAGGCTTTGAATTGGGATAAACTGGGGATTGAATCTTTGTTCTTCTATTACTTACTCACTGTATGTCTGTGGAAAATTTATGAAACCTCTCTGAATTTTGTTTTTCTGCCGGTAGAGTGAAGCTAAGAAGACTTACCCATAAGGTTCTCAAGGACATTAGATGAAAGCATTTGTATAAAGTGCTGAATATGGTAGCTGGCACTTAGCAAGGACTGGGCAAATAGGAGTTATCATAATTATTAGGTTTACAATTCTAAACCTTTGGTGAAAAGTAACAATCCAAGGCATTTTTCAACAGCCAATTTTAAAAATGAATAGCTTCATGCCTTCCCTATAATATTCTTGTTCATATCGGTTATTTTCAAATGGAAATGTTTTTGAGGTCTTTTCTTAGCTTAAGTTTTTGAATTGAACCCACTTTCCTACTATAGTCACAAAGGATTCTCAATGTTCGATGCTAATATCAGAATCTAAAATCAGAGTCTTACAAAATTTAGGGCTAAATGAGCTAAGGGCACAGAAAAGCTCAAAGTGGCTTGTGTAACCAAAGAACAGCTACTCCTTCTCATTTGCCTCATTCAGGGGATGAATTGCTCCTTCTCTTCCTCTTCATCCCCCACATCCTAAACACATTTCCTGAAAGACCTTCTGGTTAAGTTCTCATCCCCTTGGCAAGGCAACTTGTCTGCTGAGCCAGTCAGCTGTCTCATTGAGATTCACTGCCAGGTGGACAGCTTTGATGGCAAGGAGGTGGCGTTCCGCCCAGTTAAGCAGCTTTCAAGCCTCAAGCCATAAAGATGAGCTCCTGGCCCTCCTTCCTCCAGGAGGATACTGCAGACATATTGCCTGCCCTTGGAAGGATGGCTTTCCTGTGGTGCAAATTATTGAGCTGTGCAGAACACCTTACTTACTGCTCTCTCCTCAGAGCACTTGAGACACAGACCTTGTCCAGTTTCTTGTGTCAGCTTTTTTTCCCGTGAAAGGTGCTGTTCAAGTAATTAGCTCGAGTTGGAAGCAAGCAGTAAGTTAGGGGCATATGTGTTTTTTTTTTTCAGCTGAGGCTGATCTTTGCATATACACCAGGGGAAAAAATCCTATGCTGTAAGATATGTACAAAATAAAAGAGCCCATGTTTCTGAATGAACATTTCTTTTTTCAATAGTCCTTGCACACCTTTTCAGCTAGATAAACCAATAGCTTTACACCTTGAGCAATGATGCTGTTTTCTAGCCCATTTTATAGACGTGAATATTAAGAACAAAAGATGGCCACAGACTTGAATATGACATTTTAAAAACGAACAGAATATTTTACATATTTTTATCAGAAAGGTATATGTGTCCATTAAAAATACAGGTGGGGGGAAACAAAAATCTCCTATTAAGACAGCAAGTAGAGAAAATTGTCATGGAGGAAACCTGTTTAGAAAACTCACCAGTAAAGAATGGGCAGTTGGAATTTTGTGAGGAGCACTTGCTGGGAGTGGGCTATGCTGTTGTTTTCACCGATTCACTGCCTCTCAGAAAGGGAGGCAGAGAGGAGCTGCCTCTCCCCTTGTGCATGTGAGAGAGGGTGTCAAGGAAACTCTGGGTCTTGCTATGCTTACGCAGGAGTTTGGTGAGCAGAATGTGCCAATGTCCAACATCCACCTGGAAAATCTAAAGGCAGAGATGAGTCATCCAGCTGGTTAGCTAGTGAAGCAAAAAAAGAACTGTTGCCACACTGGGGTGAGCTGCTTGCCTAGAGTGTGTCAAGCTGAAATGTGCGTGAATATTTACTGCAGGACATCAGGGTGGAGGTGGAGGATTAAGCCAAATGTGAAACATTTCAAATCCTGCTCAACAGGATACCCTTAAAAAGGGCTGGACAGGGGACTCAGATAGAGACACTCCACGTGGAAGACCACAGGAAAAGAAAGTGGAGTACAGCTGGAGTAAAATGAATTGTCTGCATCATGGGATGTTCCATCACATTTTGGCTTTGTAAAGAAACAAAACACACATGTACCCAACAATGAGTCAATCTGCCAAGGCCAGAAGTTGTGAAGCCATCTTTTGAAAGCACCAGTTTGCGTAAGAATGTTTCTGTCCTTCTTTGCCATCTTTCCTGTCCTCTATGCAATTTTTTCTATTCTCCTCAGGGTTAGCCAAATAGAGAAGAAAGGGTGGACGTCAACAGTGGGGAAAGAGGAAAGAAAGGCTACGTGCCACCACTCCCAATGTTGGTTGCAGGCAGTTTGATTATAGTTGCTCCTAGCAGGCCAGCTGAATGAGGAATGGCGAATCCTTATGTTTAAGACTGAAGTGTTGGCTAACATATTAGATGGGCTGTTTTTGAAGAAACACTGTGTATTGCAACCAACATCACTGTAAGATTTTGGTCTAATAATCAAAGTTGTCATAATATTCCAGGGGTAAGGAAAAAATCGAATAAATATTAAAAGGATAGTAAGAGATGTAAAAGAGAGTCATATAGACTCTGTCACAGCTGCACAGCTGCTGTAGTAGCTCAAAAAACAGCCATGACAGTATGTAAATGATGGGTGTGGCTGTTCTCCCATAAAATTTGCAGGCTACCGTGGCCCATGAGCTATAGCTTGCCAACTCCTGTTCTGCATCATCATTTTTAATGACTGCATAGAGTTCCATTCTGCAATTTTAACCAGATCCTATTTAATCATTACACTGCTGTTGGACATTTAAGTTGTTTCTAAAGTCTGCTACAAAAGGTGATGCTTGGATGCACATCTTTGTGCATAAAACTTGATGCCCATCTTATTTATTGTCTGTTCCTAACGTGCAACTTCTGGGACAGTTCCCATTTTAAGGGCTTTTGAACAATATTGCCAAATTGCCCTCAAGAAAAGTTGTAACAGTTTTCTTACTCACCAGTGGGGTGAGAGAGTGTCCATTTCCCTACAAGATAGACTACAAAGGGGAACCCGTTGCACATACATCTCACACATTTTAAAATAACGAAATGGAAGCTGGGCAGATTGTGTGCCTGAAGTGGTTTATTAGTTACAGTCTTGGTCCAGGAGATAGTGAGGCCCAACTGTCTCTGTTACATGATGCTGCTTCTAAGAGACACAGTGAGAACAGATGATTATCCACTTCTGAAATCTCTGGCTACTGTCTGGCATCACATTTTCTCGATTTTGTTTCCATGGGCTGCCGTGATTACAAGCAGAGTGAACCAGTGAACCAAACCGAGAGTGGGCACACACAGTAAATGATAACCCTATTCTAACCTTGTCGCACAGTGTGACCCTGGGCAAGACCCTGAACCTCAGCTGTGTGGCAGCTTCTCCGCAGAAAAATGTGACAGCACCCTCCGGGGAGAAAGAAACTAAATGATTACACTCCTTCCTACAAATATCAGATGTTCGTGAAAAGAGTTTTCTGACCCCATCGCAAGGGAGGAAGGACATGAACTCTTTAAAGATAGATGGCTACTGCTTTATCTGAAAGAATCAAAGCAATGGAATTTTAGTGCCTTTATATCATTTGGAAAGTTAGCACTGTTACTCAGTCTGGGCATTAACTGAAAAAATCTCTGCATCTTGCTCACCGATTTATATCATGGTCCCATCCTGGCCCTGTTTAAGCCCCAGGAAGACATGCACTGGGGACATGTTTCAGAGCTGCTACAAGCATTGACACCCTATCTCCAGGATTCTCCAAAGCATCTCCACTCATGTTTCTTGCTCTTTCTTGCCTTCTTTTGTTGTCCAACAGCCACTTGGCTCCCCACCCAGCTTCTAGGCCACCACTCTGACCTCTCTTAGTCTAATATCCATTTCAATGCAGGTTTTTGGCTTGAGGTCTCTTTCCAAATTTTGATAGTCTGTCTTAGGTCCCAACGCTGGAAGCTTGCACCCAAATCTAAGGACACTCCCTAGGAATATGCAATGATTGCGTGTGTGATCAGATAATTACCTTCAAAGATGAAGCCACAACTCAGCGGCTATTGCCTTTAAAAAACTCTTTTAACATTGTTATAACATCTGGAATAAACCTAGGCAATTTCACCACACAGTAGCTTAACCACTATGCCATAGGCTCTCCATATAATTATATCCATTCTCCACAATTTCACTGCCCTATTTATCTGAAACATGAATCAGACAATCTCACTTTTCTACCTAAAACCTTTCAGTGACTGTCTACTGTCCTCAGGATTAAGTTCCCTTGGCAGGGCTTAATGAGATATGTTGCTATCTGACCTTGACCTTGCCAGTCTTTTCACTTATCTGACTCATTTCCCTCTTTCCATTCTCAGAACCCTCCACTTCAAAAACCCGTTGCTCTCACATTCTAGATTTTAGCGAAGAATATTGAACCCAGGCTGTGCATCTGAATTGCCTGTGGAGTGTTTTAAATATATATAATGTTCAAGGGAGAGGGAGTATATAGGAACTCTTTGTGCTATCTGCTCTTTTTTTTTTTCTGTAAACCTAAAACTATTCTAAAAAAATGTACTAAATGTAGCCAGGTGCCACCATGAATGTTTGAAGTGGGCTGGCACTGGTTGGTGAGTCTGCTCCACAGGTAAGACTATTGCCTGGTTCATACTGATCACTCACCACTCCCTCTGAGACACACAGCACTTCCAGGTTCCATGATGTAGCTCAGACTGTTATTTCTGGGGAGGAACTATACAGCCGTCATGCATCACTCCATTGTGAAATCCTCCCAACTTGCCAGATAGAACAGACCACTTTTCCACACTGTTCTGTATTTCTCTGGACACACCTCTACCATGCAGTTGATCACAGAGTGAAATAGTGTTCCTTTATGCACCTGTCTCTTCTGTTAGACTATACACCCTGTCAGGGAAGAAGGTCTGCTCTCCTCATATTTGCATCCTCTATTTTATGAGTAAATAAGTGGATGACTAATAGTTAATATTTATTGAGCATTTACTATGTGTTGACCCAGCTTTAAGAGTTTTACACTCTAAGTCAACACTTCTAACAGGTTTAAATAGATAGTTTTTATTTCCCATTTTGTGCAACAGTCAGTAACTTGTTTGCTACATAGTTGGTTTCAAGTCAGAGTAGCCCAGATCCAGCAACCACTACATTTTGTGGCCTCCCATACGTTAAGGACCACCAAAATTCAGGATATCTGATATTAAGGGATATTTTAATCCATTCCTAAATATTTCTTCTATTTCGAACTTAAAATATTGAACTCTTTTACCCACTGTCATGTCTGTATGAGAGATTGGTTTCACTAAAGAATGCCATAAACATCAAACTAAAGTATACACGTAAGCACAAAATAGCTCTGGAAACCAGACTGCTTAAGTTCAAATCCAAGCTCTCTTAATAACTGTGTAACCTTGAGCAAATTATTTAACATCTCTTTGACTCAGTGCCTCTCCTTCAAGTAGGGATATCAATAGTTTCTATTTTATTGTTATAGAGTAAATAAATAAAGCAGAACAGCACTTAGCATGTAGAAAGAGCTATGTAAGAGCTGTGTGTGTATTTTTTATATAACCAAATCTAACTTTAACTGGTTTCAGCCATAAATCATCCAAATCATTCAAAAGATGTCTTATAACCTTTACCCTTATGGGTTCTTTAGGTAATACAATTTGTATGAATTATATATCATATGTATTGCATAATCTCTGATGACTCTTGACCATTTTCTTTCATTTAACTGAAAGTTCACAGCACAAATAATGTAACTTCCTGGTCTATCTCCTGGGAGTCATCTTTGTAGGTGTCATTTGGTCACAAACTTAAGATGTATGGTATGTTTATACAATTGCTATAATTTGTGTTTCTTTTGAAGTCAGCATTGGAGCTAGCAGGAGACAGACCCTACCACAAAGGCAGCTGCAACCACATTCTCTCCAGGAGACAGACCAGGTTAGGATTATGCAGAACTTGATCAGCAAACTTCTGTTTTCTTTTTTGTTTTTTTGTTTTGTGTTGTTTTGTTTTGTTTGAGACAGAGTCTTGCTCTAGCACCAGGCTGGAGTGCAGAGGCATGATCTCAGCTCACTGCAACCTCTGCATCCTAGGTTCAAGCAATACTCCTGCCTCAGCCTCCTGAGTTGGGACTACAGGCATGTGCCACCATGCCCAGGTATTTTTCTTTTTTTATATTTTTAGTAGAGACGAGGTTTTACCATGTTGGTCAGGATGGTCTCAGTCTCTTGACCTCGTGATCCTCCCGCCTCAGCTTCCCAAAGTACTGGGATTACAGGCTTGAGCCACTGCGCCTGGCCAATAAGCAAAATCTTAATGTGTCACCTGAGCTCATGCCAAATGTGCAGCACCATGCTTCCATGGCAAAGACTGGGAGACTAAAGGGGCCCCAAGAGACCAGTCAGGAAGCATGGTACTCTCTTTTAAGTGCCAAGATAAATGATTTAATGCAAGAAACAAGGACAGAAAGTTGCCAGAGATCTCAGAAGGTCCATAAAATACTAGATGACAGATGTTTATTGAACACTTACATGGAACCCCAAGTTTACTTCAAACCCAGCTCCCCTTATACTAAACTCCACTACCTGCCAATGCAATTTAAATAGCTAGACATTTTCAATAGGCACCTCATAGTCATATTCCTAGTAACATTTTGTTTGGCCTCTAGGGTGTTTCTCTAAAAAAAAAGTTTCCAAAATTTAAAAATAGGGAGATGTCAAATAAAATCTATATTTTTTGGCTTTCTGAAAAAATCAGGTCTGACCACCTTGGGCTACAATTCTTCATGGCAACAATTGGCATCTGCTGGGTAGCAGCTGTACCTTTACCTAGGGCAGGGGTGTTCAAGTCCACTCTGGGTCCCCTAACCCATCTTCTGTTCTGTAGGTATTTGAGGTTGCATCCTCTTGGATTTCATGCAAAACCCTTTATTAAATACTACATACTCAGTGATTGTTCAATTTATGTCTGAGGTCTTAAAAAAAAAGGTTTACTATTTTGTTGGGTTAAATGACGAATCAGTACCTGATAAGAAAGGTTCAGATCTTTAACAGTACAATAGCAGTTTTATGAAACCATAATATATATGCACGTACCTTTGTCCTTATTCTATGAAAAAAAGACACAGCTCAATAGAGAAGAGAAAGAAAATGCTTTGGGGTCAGCCAAAGTGGAGGCAAAGTGGATGCTGGCGCTGCCTCTTTGAGCAGTATAACTAACTCTCTCTGAAGACTCTCTCAAAGTTTCTGTTTTCTCTTTTCTACAATGAGGATAATTAAATCGGCCTCACAGGGACATTGCAAGGTTTAAAGCAATACTTTTGTGCTTTGCTCATGTTGTAGCTTCAGCTTGAAAATTTCTGAGCAGTCCACCCTTTGTCAGGCTGACAAACTTCTCTTATGGATCAAGACCAAGACACAAATGCCATTTATTCTCCACTCTTCCAGCCCTTGCTGCCCATGCCATATCCTCTAGCACCCTGCTCCAGAGAAAAATTAATGCCTGTGCTTCTGATTTCTATACTTAACATCTCTGTAGCAGCATGTTCTATTATATGTAAACTTGTATGTATATCTTTCCCTCCACAACAGGAAGCATTCTTTGTGTTCCTAGAATATGATACAGTGCCTGTTTTATATGTGTTTAGATAATAGTGACCTATTAAGAAGTGGATAAATGCCCTTATTTTTTCTTACTCTTTGACTCAAGATCTTAAGACGATTACTACTACTGATGATGATGTTTTATTAACTCAATCGCCTAGAATAGATGCATACACACTTGCACTTTTCCAAGCTGTCTGTTAAAAATATATGAAATGAGCTTATGTAGAAGGAATTTTCTACTCAAGCAGTTTTATTAGGATGGAAAAAAGTTTCCGTAATAAATGCTATGGGCGTGTTTAACCTCCATACGGCCAGAAGAAGCTGATCTGAACAATTCAGGGGAAATATGATAAACCCTCTTTTTCTCCCAGGATTCATATGTAATTTCAACCCAAAGTATTTTCAAATTTCAGACTTTTATCAAAGTCTAGGTGATAAGGTTCCTGAGGGCAAGGCTGTTTTGTTTATTAATTTATATAATCCTTGGAACAAGATCTGCCACATTAGAGAAATTCAATAAATATTTACTGAATCAACATATGAATATGTCAAGGATGCACTGGAATATCAAGCACTTGGTAGGAAGTAACATCACACTACATGCCAGTCAATGTGATAGTCACTTTCCTTTTTTTTTTTTTTTTTAAGAGAGACAGCTTCTCATTCTGTCACCCAGGCTAGAGTGCAATGGTGCCATCATAGCTCACTGTAACTTCAAACTCCTGGGCTCAAACCATTCTCCCATCTCAGCCTCCTGAGTAGCTGGAACTACAGGTGTGTTGCCACCATATCTGGCTGATTTTTTTTTTAAGAGACAGTTTCTCATCCTGTCACCCAGGCTATAGTGCAATGGTGCCATCATAGCTCATTGTAACTTCAAACTCCTGGGCTCAAGCCATTCTCCCGCCTCAGCCTCCTGAGTAGCTCTAACTACAGCTGTGTTCCCACCGTATCTGTCTAATTTTTTTTTTTTTTGAGACTGAGTCTCACTCTGTTGCCCAGGCTGGAGTGCAGTGGCACAACCTCGGTTCTGCCCCTCGAATTCAAGCAACTCTTGTGCTCAGCCTCCCAAGTAGCTAGAACTATAGGCATGCATCACCACGCACAGCTAATTTTTTGTATGTTTAGTAGAGACAGGGTTTCACCATGTTGGCCAGGCTGCTCTCGAACTCCTGACCTCAAGTGATCCACCTGCCTCAGCCTCCCAAAGTGCTAGGATTAAAGGAGTGAGCCACCATGCCTGGCCATGTCTTGCTAATTTTTAAAAATTTTTGTAGAGACAAAGTCTCCCTATCTTGTCCAGGCTGGTCTCGAACTCCTGGCCTCAAGTGATCCTTCTACCTCAGCCTCCTAAAGTACTGGGATTACAGGCATGAGTCAGCATGCTTGGCCACTTTCTGTACATAACCTCATTTACTTTTATAATTCTTCTCTGAGGTTGGTACCATTGTTTAACCATTTTACAGTTATGTCCTCTTGACTCCAAAGTCTTTGCTTTCTCCCACCACCCATGCCTATTCTTGAGGTCTGCATCTCATAAGAAAGGGCAGACACACAGAGCGTGTCCTTCTAGAGCACTGAAGGCAAAGGAAGGTCATGGATAGTTTTTCTCTCCCTGTGGACCCTCCCTGCAGTCATGAAGTTGTCAGTGGTCACAGCGACATTCCCAAGTGGAATAGCTGCTGTTGAACTT
Source organism: Homo sapiens (assembly GCF_000001405.40). NCBI lineage: Eukaryota > Metazoa > Chordata > Mammalia > Primates > Hominidae > Homo > Homo sapiens. The sequence goes on from NC_000009.12 coordinate 13,736,848, forward strand.
CTGGATTAATGAACAGGCTTTTTTTTCTTCTTCTAGTCCTGATCTGGCTCCCTGGCAAGCAGAACACAATTATGTCTTAACATTTAAAGCCTTTAAGTCATGGCATGCCTTGCATGCTGGTGTATATGGTTTTGCCTTATGAACTTAATTTTTATTTATTTAAATGGCCCTCATGAGAGTCAGTCATCTTTGAAAGGGGATGGTTAATAGGGCTTCCTTTTACTCTATCTACAGGAATCTCAATAAGAGGACTGATGTCCGATCTGATGGAACAGTATTTCCCTGTAGGCCATTATTTGCAACTGCTAGAGTAAGCAAAACAAAAACTTTTCAACAATGTTATATAAAAACAGAATCTGATGGCACAGAAGATCATGTGTAGGTCTAGAGGAAAATTGATCCCCAGGGCATGAAATAGAAAACCTATCATGGTACTCCCCTGCCAACTCCCCTTCCTTATACTGTCTTTGGAATGGATACTTTGGACCGGGAAAAAATTGATCATTTAATAATCTTTCCTGGCTTTAGCTAATTCAGAGCAACCTTTTGTTTGCTCAAATTATAGATGCATTAAATCTAAAACCTGTGTCCTTTTCTTGAATTATAAGTTTAAGTTTCAAGTCTGGGCCTTTCTTTTATTCTTTCTCCTCCCTGCCCCTTCCTCCCTTCCTTCGCTTTTGTGAGACAGAGTCTCGCTGTGTCACCCAGGTTGGAGTGCAGTGGTGTGATCTCGGCTCACTGCAACCTCCACCTCCCAGATTCGTGATTCTCATGCCTCCCAAGTAGCTGGAACTACAGGCACCCACCACCATGCCCAGCTAATTTTTGTATTTTTAGTAGAGACAGGGTTTTGCCATAATGGCCAGGCTGGTCTCAAACTCCTGACCTCAAGTGATCCACCCACCTCGGCCTCCCAAAGTGCTGGGATTATAGGTGTGAGCCACTGTGCCCAACCTAGTCTGGGCTTTTCTAGGTAACAGTCTGCATAAGAACCAAGTGACTTCAGGAACACTTTTTACTGTTGATGACAGTTGTGCTTTTTGCTTTCTTCTGGAGAAAAGTTTAGAAATAGTAAGATTCTTTGCAGGTTTTATTGACTTTTTTCTGCCCTTTGATTTCACATATGGGAATCAATTTGAACTAGATTGCAGAGATTTGGATTCAACTCTGGGCTATTTATTCTTCTGCATAGCTTCTGTACTAGAACCCTAGCATCAAAGTATGATTTCATGGTGATAGTCTGTTGTTGGATCATATAAATTCCACTGGGATAAAACACAGGCATTTTCTGCCTTTATATCTTTCAACATTGTACCTAAATTATTTGAAGCTGTTTTGAGTGAGTTGAATATGTAATCTCTCAGTGTAAAGAATGCCAAAAAAAAATCATTGTTGGTGTTAAGACTGCATAACAAATCACTCCAAATATTAGTGACATTAAAAAATAACCATTTTAGTAAGAAATTGTGCATGTCAGGAATTCAGGGCACTGCGGGGATCGCTTGCCTCTACTTCATAATATCTGGGGACTCAACTGGGGGTGATTTAAATGCCTTGGGGACTGCCACAGCTGGGGCTGGAGGATTGGCTTCAAGATGACTTCTTCAGGCTCTTATTAGGTTGGTGCAAAAGTAATTGTGGTTTTGGACCATGAATTTTAAATCGTAACTAGGCTCAAACACATCTTTATTGGTCAAAATAGGAACCATTACAATTAACACATTTTTGTCAATGAGAAATAAGTTTGTTTATTCCTGTAACATAAAAATCTGTGCTTCAGGATTTGACATAAGTTTGTTTATTCCTGTAGTATAAAAATCTGTGCTTCAGGATTTGACAAACTATTGGAAAGCATTTTCTGCATCCTGCTGGTGGTGGAAGCATTTTCCCTGGACAAAGTTGTTGAGATACTGGAAGAAGTGGTAGTCAGTTGGTAAGAGGTCACGTGAATATGGCGGATGAGGCAAAACTTCGTAGCCCAATTTGTTCAACTTTTGAAGCTTTGGTTGTGCAATGTGTGGTCAGGCTTGTCGAGAAGAATTGGGCCCTTTCTATTGACCAATGCCAGCTCCAGGCATTGCAATTTTTGGTGCATCTCATCGATTTGCTGATCATACTTCTCAGATGTAATGTTTTCACCGGGATTCAGAAAGCTGTAGTGGATCAGACCAGCAGCAGACCACCCAGCAGTGACCATAACCTTTTTTGGTGCAAGTTTGATTTTCGGAAGTGCTTTGGAGCTTCCTCTCAGTTCAACCACTGACCTGGTCATCACCGGTTGTCATATAAAATCCACTTTTCATTGCACATCACAATCCAATGGAGAAATGGTTCATCGTTGTTGTGTAGAATAAGAGAAGATGACACTTCAAAATGACTATTTTTTTTTAAATTTTTGCTCAGCTCACGAGGCATCCACTTATCCAAAGTTTTTCATCTTTCCAATTTGCTTCAAATGCCTAATGACCATAGAGTGGTCGACACTGAGATCTTTGGCAACTTCTCGAGTAGTTGTAAGTAGATTAGCTTCGATGAGTGGTCTCAACTGATTATTATCAACTTCCAATGGCCGGCTGCCGTGCTCCTTATCTTCAAGGCTCTCATCTCCTTTGTGAAACTTCTTGAACCGCCACTGTACTGTACGTTCGTTAGCAGTTCCTGGGCCAAATGCATTGTTGATGTTACGAGTTGTCTCTGCCACTTTATGACCCATTTTGAATTCGAATAAGAAAATCGCTCAAATTTGCTTTTCGTCTCACACTATTTCTATAGTCTAAAATAAATACAAAATTAACAGTAATAATTCAGTGTCAAAAAACATAAATGTACATTAACATGATGTATAACATAACCACTTTTGTTTAAGAATGTATTCCAATATCAAATGGCAAATTTCAAAAATGCAAAAACCACAATTATGTTTTCACCAACCTAATATTTGACACCTCAGTGGATGTGGCTGCAAGGCTGAGCTCAGCTGGGACTATAGGTCCAAGTGTCTATAGGTCCCCTCTCCAACATGGTGGCTCAAGGAACACTTCCCCCATGACAACCAAGTATTCCACTAAAGCAAGGTGGAAGCTGCAAACCAAGTGGCCTTTGCATAGTGTCACCTTAGAAGTTGCAGTGTCAGTTCCACCATCCTTTATTGGTGGAATTGGTCACAAGTCTACCAGGGAGAAGGAAAGGAAAGATAGACTGCACTTTTCAATGGGAGGAAAGTTAAAAGGATTTGCATCTGTTTTAGAAACCACCATACTCATTTAAACTCTGATATAAATTTTTTGGACATTTTATTTTCATGCACTAGATTACTATGTGGGAAAAAAATATTGTCTAAACTTTTCTGAAGTAAAACAAGCATTTTTGTAGACATAGGTATTTTGTAGCTAATTATCTTATGTAGCTATAATACGTAAGGGAGTAATTTTTAATTAGGTTGTCTCAGATGGCAAACTAGGAAAGTCACATGTGATAAAACTAGACATTTAATAAATAGTTTATTGAGACTTTTTTAGTGGCCATGATGGATGTTTGGCTATAATTTATTTGACATTTATCCAGAGTATTTTAATGTATTTACACTTTAATATAGCAGTTTCATTTCTAGAAGAAAATTAAAAAGTAGTCAAGGAGTTAAATAAAGATTTACTTACAAATATGTTCATCACAGAATTATTTGTATGGTACTGTAAAATTGAAGGCAATCTAAATATACCACAAAAGACTTTGAAAATTTTATGGTATTTTATTTCATAGAACACTGCAAAAACTCATGCTGTGAAGGATATTTAGTGACAGGAGAAAATATTCATAGTATGCTTGTTAGTGCTAAAAGGACTAGAAAATGGGTATATGAAATAATATCAATTGTATAAAATATCCAACTATATTGTATATATAAAACAAAAATATAAATCCTAAAATTGTCAGAGATGATCTGTTAGGTTTGAAATTTTGCATAAGTTTATTGTTTTTGTTGTGCTTTTTTAACGGTGCTTTTTAAAACTTTTCTAAAATGATTACATATTAATTTTTTTATATTTATAAAATGAATAAATATTGCATTACTTTGTAAAATATGTAAATTTAAATTTGTAGACCTTTTGAATTTTTTACCAAGAGGGTATATTCCCTCTTAAAAAATAGAAGAGAGAAGAAAAAGAAAGGAAAGGAAAAGTCAAAGAGAAATGGAGCAGCAAAATATAAATACAAAGAAGGAATTCTTTGCATGATAGAAAAACAGCCTAAACACTGTCTTCAACTAGTTGTCTCACTGAAGTTCTCTTTGAAGGGCCTAGAAGATCTCATCTCTATCTTTTAAAATCCAGTTTGCTTTAATTTTTTCATTGTGTCTGCTTGTTGTGGGTTGAAATGTCTGCCCCTCAAAAAATATATTTTGAATTCCTAAACCCTCAGTGTCTCAGAATATGACGTTATTTGCAAATAGGGTTTTAACAGAGGTAATCATAGAATTATGTCATTAGGGTGGGCTCTAATTCAACATGACTGAGGTCTTTATACAAGGAAAATCTGAACAGGGAGATGGAGAGGAAAGATGATGTGAAGAGACACAAAGGAAGGAAGAAGACAGACATCTACAAGTCAAGGAACACCTGAAGCTATGAGAGGCAAAGAGAAGAAGAAGACAGAAAGTGAGAGACCTGGAACAGATCCTCCCCAATATATTTAGGGAGCATGGTTTTACCAACACCTTGATTTTGGACTTCCAGCCTTTAGAACTGGAATACAATCAAGTTCTGTTGTTCTAAGCCATTCGGTTTGTAGTACTTCGTTATAGCAGCTCTAGGAAACAAACACACTAATATATCCTACTCTTTCTATCTTCCCCTGAAAAAGATTTTTTTTAATTGACATTCCTCTATTAAAAGATGAAGAAAAAAAGAGGAGGAGAAGAAAAAGTACAGTTCATAAAGCTACATAAAACACAACATACTAAAAACAAATAAAAATACGTATAAAGAAAGTTAAAGAGAAATAGGATAAGCTAGAAAGAGGAAAGATTGGGAAGACTTGGTGAGTTTAGGGCATAAAAAGGCTTGCCAAATTAGGAGAAGCCTCATTGCTTTCCCAACTGAGACAAAGGTCTTCCCCATACAAAAGATACGTTAGGATATCATCAACAATGTCCTCATCAGTATTCATTCAGGAACAAATTGATAGATAACTGGGAGTTTCTTTGTCAATATAGACTTACCACATCTTGCAAAAGCATAACTACCCTGGAGGAATTCAGAGGAGTAAGTAGTATGTGGATATAATACATCTGAGTTGTCACAAAGGAGGAAGGGGACAAGTAATCAATACATTTAGGCCCCAAACATGGCTCTAATGGTCTAGGGTAATCCAGATCCATTTCTTTCCCAGATTCATTTCCTTCTAAAAAAAATTAAATAAATAAAAATTAAAAAATAAAAAATAAAAGTAGCTCCATGCCCATGAAATGTAAATCTAACCTTTCAAGGCTTCAGGTAATTCCATAGTTTTTCTCAATTAGCACAATGAAAGCCCAATCTGGTTTGGTTTTGTTTTCTTTTGTTTAGACAAGATCTGGCTCTATCGCCTAGGCTGGAGTGCAATGGTGTTATCTCAGCTCACTGCAACCTCTGCCTCCCAGGTTCAAGTGATTCTCATGCCTCAGCCTCCCAAGTAGCTAGAACTACAGGCACCCACCACCACATCTGGCTAATTTTTGTATTTTTAGAAGAGACGGGTTTTTCCACATTGGCCAGGCTGGTCTCGAACTCCTGACCTCAAGTGATCCACCCACCTCGGCTTCCCAATGTGCTGGGATTACAGGCATGAGCCACCGTGACTAACCAGAATACTTCCAACTAATTTTTTTTTGTCCTGATAACACATAGCTAATCATTCTTTTAATGGGTAGAGCATTTCACTGTATAGCTGTATCATAATTTATTTAATCATTTGCTGTATTGTTGGGTATCTATGCTGTTTCCCACTTTCCAGTATTGGATAAATTCCTTAGAAGTGGACTTTATTACTCAAAAGGCAAACATGCTTTATATTATCTGGTACATATTATCAAATAGCCATCTAGAAAACCTAAACAATTGGGAACTTGTTTTTAGTTTAGAAATCAGAAAAAGTATTAACAATATTGTAGTCATGACCTATTGCTTATGGTATAGAACAAGGGTCAGCAAACTCTTTCAGCAAAGGGCCACATTGTAAATATGTTCAGCTTCGTAGGCGGTACCGTCTCTGCTGCCTCTCTGCCATTGTAGTACAAGAACAGCCATGGACAGCCTGCTGGGTTCCAATAAAACCTTATTTATGGATCCTGAAATTGAATTTCAAGTAATTGTCACATGTTATAAAATATTATTCTTCTTTTGATTTTTTTTCAGCCATTAAAAAAAAAAAAAGGCCCAGATTATGGTTCAGAGGCCACACAAAAACAGGTGCAGGCTACATTTGACCCACAGGCTGTGGTTTGCCAATTCTTGGTGTAGAATTTAGTACTTTGATGAACAATTTTGCAGCATACTAAAAAAAATCCCTTCTTGTGGAGAAACTTGAACTTTCCTGCAGGTTCTTCTTGACTCTTTAATATTCACATGATATTAAGACTTCCTTGGACACCACCAACTGTTAGAGCAGTCAGTGGGTAAATTAATGTCCCTGCACATTAATTGCTGTCAATATTGATTCAAATCACCGTTGAGCATATTTCCTAAGGATTTAAAGAATATCCATTCCTACGGTTTCTCTTAAAGCTGTCCTTGGATTAAGACAGACCATTACAGCCATGTTCAGAATCAAACTGTATTGATTACTCCTCCCCTTCCTCCCTCAACCCTCCTCCTTTGTGACAACTCAGACATATACATCCACACACTCCTTACTCCTCCAAATTCCTCCAGAGTGGTTATAGATATGCAAGATGTAGTAAGCCTATATTGAGGGAGAAAGACACTCTTACTTATCAATTGTTTCCTGAATGAATACTGATGAGGACATTGTTGATGATATCCCAGTGTATTCTTTGTATGAGGAAGACCTTTGTCTCTGTTGGGAAAACAGTTAGTTAGGCTTCTCTTAATTTTAGCATCTTTGTTATGCCCTAAATTCACCAAGTCTCTTTCTTACCTGTTTACTCTATTTTCTCTTTAATTAGCTTTCTTTATACATGTTTTCATCTCTTTGGTTATGCTGTGTTTTATGTAGTTTTATAAGCTGTATCTTCTCCTTTATCTTCATCATTTAATAGAGGAATTTTAGTTTTTAAAAAATAAGAATGAGGGGGTGACATGCAGGGATGTGGAAGATCAGGATTTGCCAGGGGGGCCAGGGGGTGGGGTGAGGATGGTCCTGATGCCCCACAGTAGTGTTTCAGCGTTCTCATAGGATTTCCTTCTAGTCTCTTTTCTCAGTGCAATACAGCAGCGCCATTCAAAACAGAGCCCCACATTTATTTAGCGCTTCTGCCTTTTGTCTAATGGCTCCATTTGTGAACCACTCTGCCATGGGAGCCCAGACACGGATTCTCCCCAAGGTCTGGAGACTCTCAGGCTGGAAGTTCTCTGTGCCCAAGATCAGAGCCCAGAAAGGAGCTCAGGCCAAAGAGTTTGCCCTGGGGGGTTATCTGTAAGGTTGTCGGGAATGACAGCAAAGAGCCAGGCTGCTTGATGAATCCAACGAACAGAAAAATCTGTCAAAACACGCAGAACGTTCATTGCAGGGATCGTGGAAACATTGCCTATTTGTTTGGAGCGCGTTTAATTATTTTTAAACATATGCAGTCTGTAGTTCAGTGAACATGTCAGGAATAATAGAGGAAGAAAAGCAAACGAGGGGAGGGCGGCGCTGTTCCCAGAGCGACTCCTCTTCGCAGCTGGCTGATGGGGAGAAGCAGTAGATGCCCTCCGAAGTGTGGCTCCCTGTCTGTCACCTAATGAAAAGCAGTAGGGGGATTAATGTCATTAGCTCCAGCCCAGCATGCTGTGTAGTAAACAGATATACATCCTGGCTCATTTGGGGGAGTATTTCTCAGCTCCTGCCCACTGGCCTGCAAAGGTCACTCCCCAGCCTTCTATTAGTTAAATGGGGAAAAAAATGGGTTGGTTGAGAGAATCTTGTGGTCCGTTCCAGTGAAAGCAGTCGCTGGGGATTCTGGTACCTAATTCTGCCCCTCCCTCCCCTCACTCACCCTAATTGGGCTTAGATTTCTTCTTTGGGAAAAATCTGAGGTAACCGGAGAAGATAAAAGCTCTAAATGCTTTGCAGAAGAAAAAATATATATTTTATTTTGATAACTAAATTGACTAAGGAGTGTGGAAAAAAATGGGGGTTTGCTGTTTGGATATCATGACCATCTCTCTTCACTCTTGAACCAAGAGCTTTTTCCACATATTAGCACACGCAAAGCTGAAGACTGAGCCATGCGTGTGTTCACTTTTCCCTAATCCACAAAAATGTGAACAGCAAACAGCCACAAGTGAATAAAACTTAAATATTTTATATTCTTAGAAAACACAGAAATTCTGACTTTAGAGTGGAAACTATTTAGGGAATGGGAAATAAAAACATAAGAATGTCAAGAGGAAGAACAAATACTTCCTGAAGATGGCGATGACCAACCTGTAGCCACAACAGGAACTTTTAAAAGGAAGAATACCCAGAATCCTTCAGAGAGAACCAGGGAGAGTCCGGGAAGCCATTTTGATAAAATTAAGAAATAGTAACTAAGGAAAAGAAAAAAGCATGTTTGAGGGAAATGTGGCAAGGAAAATTTAGAGTTAACGCAACGTTCTACAAATAGTAGATGAAGACAAAAATAAACGCTGCCTTGTAAGAATTTGCCGTCTTTTCTTATCAAAGCAGAACACTCTATTTTATACTAAAAGCTTTGAACTGTGCCCTGATGTTTATGGGCTGTTTAGTATTTTATAGCAATAGATGTTACTATCAAAGAAACAATGCAAATGAAAAAGAAAAAGAAAATTCAGAATCATTTGGGTTTGTTGTGTCACAAACTCAATTCTGAGCTCCCCCTCCTCACCCTTATGGCTTTCTGAGAGTCACTGGAAGTCATATTTCTTGAAAAGCACCATGGCAGAGTTAATTTTCTCTTCCAATAGTAGCAGGCCAGCAAGGGAGAAAAGGAGATAAGGAGAGGAGGAGCACACCATAAAAAAACCAAAGCAGAACAAAACCACAACAACGGGCAAATTTAAATAGTTTCAGCTTTTAGAGATGAACCTAAATTTTTAGGCCTAACCAGCCTCTAGGTAGAAACAGGATCTGAGAGCTTGATACTAGGGATCAGATTGTCCTCACTGGTCAGCTGTTGACACAAACCTTCAGACCCTTTTCCTAGGTCCTAGTTCACAAATACTCAAGGAGTAGGAGGCCCCCCTGATGCCTCTGGCTTCTTTAGAGACCCACGCACCTGGGAATAATTCGCTACCGCACTGCAGGTCCCACCAAGTCCCAAGGAAAATGGGGACTTCACCGCAGAAAGATTGCTACCTTGCCCAATCAGCTGCTTCCTGATCTTTCCTGATCCCCCATGTTCTTCACCAGGCCAGAGTCAATTCTCTCCTGCATACAGAGAGAGGATCATATGGTTCTTGATGGTTAGATTTAGGCCCCAGGGCCAGCCTAGGGGAGGCCTATCCTGGCTGATCTCTCTTTGACTTGTCTCTTCTGAGTCCAGTCTTCAGTGCAGGATACTCCTCACTCCTGGGTTCCTTTCTCCTTTATCAAAGCACTCATGCCATGGATGCTCAGAGTGGAGGTGGGTTACAGGTGGGGTAGAGGAAGACAAGGTCAGTTTCCGCTGTCTGAGGATGAACTAGGATCTACCTCTCAGAAGTATGATTACCAAAACTTATAAGAAAATGTTTACATCTTACATGACTTAATATGTTAAAGTAAAAGTTGTCCTTATGAACAAAAGGGGAGACTAATGAAACTAGGTATTATCCAAGCTTTTTCAGAAGGACAATTGTATCAGATAGACAAGGAATATACTCTGTGTGTAATTATAAGAAAAGTGTGGACTCCCTGCTTCATTTTAACTGATAGACTACTATTGACTACTGAGGTGTTTTTTGTTTTTTGTTTTGGTAAAAATAAAAATCCTAAGAGATTCCCTCTTGCTTAGCCAAATCTAGCAGTTTTCTTGTATGACAAAATAAACTCTTCCAGCTGCAGAAAGCTGGGGCTATATTTTTATCTCTGGGGTCTGGTGACTACATAAACTATAAGAACAAAGCTAGAGTGATTTATTTACTAGGTGTCGTTAGAAACTTAAGATTTTTTAAGGGTTTGTAAACATGTACAGTATGGGACATATTATATATACTGTTTGGCTAACACAAAACACTCACAGCAACCTTGCACATTACAAATTTGATCCAGAAAGCCAGTGGGGGTATTTTTCGTCCCCTTTCTTGTCCAACCAGTGTCACTGTCTTGCCTGACCTCAGTGTCACAGGGCCTTCTGGATGAGGAAAGAGGAGCATAGTGGTCTGAGGGCCCTGGCTTTGCTGGCTGAAGGAATCAAGGGCAATGGGATCCTGTGTTCTTTTCCTTGGACTTTAAAATTTTTTTTCTTTTTTTAAGACAGACAGGGTCTCACTCTTTTGCCCAGGCTTGAGTGCAGTGGCACAATCACGACTCACAGCAGCCTCTACCTCCCGCCTTAGCCCCCCGGAGAGTTGGGACTGCAGGCACACACCACCATGCCCAGCTAATTTTTGTATGTTTTGTAGAGACAGGGTTTCACCATGTTGCCTAGGCTAATCTTGAACTCTTGAGCTCAAGCCATCTGCTGATCTTGGCCTCTCAAAATGCTGGGATTACAGATGTGAGCCACTGTACTGGCCAACTTGAAAACCTAATGTGCACCAGAAGCATCTGGAAAATTTGTTAACAAAAATATAATTGCACAGATTCCACCTCTGGATACTCTGATTCAGTAGTATGTGTTGAGGTCTAAGAATCTGCATTTTTTAAATATATTTTTTATTTTTTTAAATTATACTTTAAGTTCTAGGGTACATGTGCACAATGTGCAGGTTTGTTACATAGGTATACATGTGCCATGTTGGTTTGCTGCACCCTTCAACTCGTCATTTACATTAGGTATTTCTCCTAACCCTATCCCTCCCCAAACCCCAACAGGCCCCAGTGTATGATGTTCCCCTCCCTGTGCCCATGTGTTTTCATTGTTCAACTCCCACTTATGAGTGAGAATATGCAGTGTTTGGTTTTCTGTCCTTGTGATATTTTGCTGAGAATGATGGTTTCCAACTTCATCCATGGCCCTGCAAAGGACATGAACTCGTCCTTTTTTATGGCTGCATAGTATTCCATGCTGTATATGTGCCACATTTTCTTTATCCAGTCTATTATTGATGGACATCTGGGTTGGTTCCATGTCTTTGCTATTATGAATAGTGCCGCAATAAACGTATGTGTGCATGTGTCTTTATAGTTACATGATTTAGAGACCTTTGGGTATATACCCAGTAATGGGATTGCTGGGTCAAATGGTATTTCTAATTCTAGATCCTTGAGGAATCACCACGCTGTCTTCCACAATGGTTGAACTAATTTACTCTCCCACCAACAGTGTAAAAGCATTCCTATTTCTCCAGTATCTATTGTTTCCTGACTTTTTAATGATCACCATTCTAACTGCTATGAGATGGTATCTCACTGTGGTTTTGATTTGCATTTCTTTGATGACCAGTGATGATAAGCATTTTTCATAAGTTTGTTGGCTGCATAAATGTCCTCTTTTGAGAAGTGTCTGTTCCTATCCTTTGCCCACTTTTTGATGTTTTTTTTTTCTTGTAAATTTGTTTAAGTTTTTTGAAGATTCTGGCTATTAGCCCTTTGTCAGATGGATAGATTGCAAAAATTTTCTCCCGTTCTGTAGGTTGCCTGTTCACTCTGATGATAGTTTCTTTTCCCGTGCAGAAGCTCTTTAGTTTAATTAGATGCCATTTGTCAATTTTGGCTTTTGTTGCCATTGCTTTTGGTGTTTTAGTTATTAAGTCTTTGCCCATGCCTATGTCCTGAATGGTATTGCCTAGGTTTTATTCTAGGGCTTTTGTGGTTTTAGGTCTTACATTTAAGTCTTTACTCCATCTTGAATTAATTTTTGTATAAGGTGTAAGGAAGGGATCCAGTTTCAGCTTTCTACCTATGGCTAGCCAGTTTTCCCAGCACCATTTCTTAAATAGGGAATCCTTTTCCCATTGCTTGTTTTTGTCAGGTTTGTCAAAAATCAAATGGTTGTAGATGTGTGGGGTTATTTCTGAGGCCTCTGATCTGTTCCATTGGTCTATATCTCTGTTTTGGTAGCAGTAACATACTATTTTGGTTACTGTAGCCTTGTAGTATAGTTTGAAGTCAGGTAGCATGATGCCTCCAGCTTTGTTCTTTTGGCTTAGGATTGTCTTGGCTATGAGGGCTCTTTTTTGGTTCCATATAAACTTTAAAGTAGTTTTTTCCAATTCTGTGAAGAAAGTCATTGGTAGCTTGATGGGGATGGCATTGAATCTATAAATTACATTGAGCAGTATGGCCATTTTCACGATGTTGATTCTTCTATCCATGATCATGGAATGTTCTTCCATTTGTTTGTGTCCTCTTTTATTTCCTTGAGCAGTGGTTTGTAGCTCTGCTTGAAGAGGTCCCTTCACATACCTTGTAAGTTGGATTCCTAGGTATTTTATTCTCTTAGAATCTGCATTTTAATAAGCACCTTCCCTCAATCTAGTCGTTATGCAATATTAGGATCACATGTTTGAAACATTGATTAGATCTTTCAATTACAGTAATGCTTTAAATAGCATGGCATTTGGGGGAGCACTTTTTAGGAAGGTGTGAAGCACAGCATTTGGTATGCACTGGGGGCCTGGCCTCATTTGCTTAATGCATGGTATGACTTTAGGACGACTCTTGTCATCTTGATGACATTGTTTAGTGTACATTGCAGATGGAATATTTTCTCTATTCCCTCCAGCAGTCTGTTTAGGGCTGGAACCAAGTGATCATAAAATATTGCATGGAATTTGAAAGTTATTCCATTTAACTCCTCATATTGGAGATCACGGATAGAGCAAAATGTGTGGGGCTCATATCACCTGTATGTATGATTATGTGCGCAACTCAGAAATATGGGGCCTTGAGCAAGAAAGTGCATTGTGGGTGGTGCTTTGTAAGTAGCATAACACAAAACACATAAGAAAACTATATATGTGTATGTGCACGCGTGTATGTGGTGAGTTAAGCTGTTTGGCACTTAATGGTTTGGACCTATACCAAAGGCAAACCACTGGAGAAAATACTTGCCATTTCAAGGACTGCATAAGGTGATGGAATTTCCTCTATGAGGCATAAATTTCACTCTTGCTGCCCAGCTGGCTGATTGTTCAAATTCAGATTCAACGAACACATATTTAGAGAAGGAGGGAAGAGGAGGAGATGAGTAATATCAAGCTGTGCAGATAAGAAGGCCAGGGCTAAGTCTTTGAATTTGTGCACAATAGAATGAATACCTTTTATCCATTCGCCCCACTAAACACCACCACCAGGAAAATCATTTTCCAATTAGTCAGCAGGTTTCAGCGTCATTACCTTTGAGATCAGATTTGCTACCATTCAAAAACGCATCAGAGGCAGTGGAGGAAGAGTTAAGCATCATTCCTGGCATGCGAGGTCTGGGAGGAGGTGAAATTAGATTAGCTGCAGGAAAACGGGAGGGTTTACATTACCAGAGGGGCTCTACCTGGCTCCAGGCTTAACAGTGAACAAGGCTTTCAGCATATGGCATTACAATGGATTAGTGATCAAGTACGATTAATCCTAATAGATCGTCTTTTGAACCTCAGTGGCTTGTTAGGTGAGAAAAAATTGTCTGTCCCCAAAGTGTCAGGTGAAACTCTCATTTGAGGTAAGACTGCCATGTGGAGATGGGTCTCCATCTGGTGGCTTCCTTTTGTGAAACTCCACCAGAAGGTGTTTTAATGAGGCTTTTATAGCAGGCACCACCTGCCACTAATCTTCCCCTCTAAAAAGGTGTAATTGAGGGTTGGTTTTACAGTATGGCTCATATCCTAACCTTGGGAATTCATCAAGAAATGCAAATCTGGGTGGGACGGTGTAATCATGAAATGCCATTTTGGCTTTTGGTTTAGACTGAAGTAGTTATAGAAATTTGTGGTGGGCTAATTACAACCAGCTATATAGTAGCTTCCCCTTTTCAGTTAGATCAATACGTGTGTCATCTCAGAATTAAATAACCAAGTTGATGGTGACCATATGTGTTCATTCAATTTTTTGCACATGTAAAGAGTTGCAAGGCTGCTAGTGGTTCACACAATTTAAAGGTTTCATTTACACTATTAAGGTTTAACTGGTTTGAATTCACTGCACATTCGTCCTCTTAGTAGATGCTTCAGTTCTACAATGCATTACTTCAATGAGACATGAGCAGATTACAAAATCACCGGCTCATTTTCTATCTATGAGACCTGGGGAGTAGAGGTATTTTTCTTTATGTCTTAAGATACAGATTTCTGTTACACTGCTATGCTGGCAGGTTAGTTATTGATTATGCTGACATTTCTACCCAGGACTTCAAAATATAAGACGCTGTAGAAGATGGAGTATTATAGAACTTTGATTTTTTAATTCAACATGAGTTAAGCTCTTACTATATACTAGTTAATGTTGCTACAGATTAGGAAATATTATTATTAACAGTAACAACAATAATATTACACAGACTCTGCTTCCCAATAGTGTGGTATCATTTTGTTTTCATTCTTGTGCTCCTCAGAACATTTTTGAAAATCATTTCCTTTTGCTAGTACCATCTTAGAATAATATGTTAAGAAACATTTCAGCTATACATAATCAAATCAGTAAAATAGTATATATACTTAGATAAATTTCAATATTTGATGTTCATGTATACTCCATTTTAAAAGTCAAAGAAATGCATGGCTCCTGTTTACTTGCCTTTCAATTACTAGTTTAATGATAGAGTACTGCAAGAAAGGTAGATGACCCAAAATATCCCCAAATCCAAACCTGCTTTACAGTTTGAGTTTGGAACAGCATTTATAAATATGAAATATGACTTTAAAACAGAAGACATAAACTGGCATCCCAAAGGCTCTGACCTGCAGTTTTGTATTTGGGCTTTTATTATTTTTGTTTGCTGGACTACCCAGGGTTTGTGTTTTTTAATACAAATTTGAATCCATGTGGATATAATACACTCTTTCCTTTTCACCAAAGGCCTTGTTTACTTCCCAATCTCACACCAAAGCACACTGACAAAACTGAATCCCAGAACTAAATAAGGCTGATATTCACACAAGTTTGTGAGCATTGATCCCATTACTTTACAATCAATCCCTCAGCTTGTCTCCATGCACGCAGTGAAGCCCGTGGGGATGTATGGGTGAGGGAGAAGGCAGGAACCTACCCAATTAGCAGGATCACAGAAGCCAAATCTACCATTTGTAGGGCTCAACATTTTATAACTATTTTGCTCCCCCAACCCTAAAGTCCTTGCTACACAACCAGAAGCCAGAAACTGGAGGGACAGGATAGGTAAGAAGATAAGACCACATTATTTAACCTATTTTCCACTTAGAAAAAGATTTTATGATCAGTTTGAAAACATGTAACTCTAAGTTCAACCTTCCCAATGGCTTTCTCCAGGAAATTCAGTTCTCACAGACATGAATGATTAGAACTAATCCTGCCAAAGAAAAAGAGTACATGAATATTGTTCTCTCATTGACAGGAGAATGAAGTTGATTATATTTTTCTTTAGCCTTTGACAAATTGGAAAATCAGTCTATCCTTTCCCCTAAATAATCCCTCAGTGTTGGTTTAATTTAGAGAAAATAATAGCTGCCTGAAGGTTAAATGACTGCCTGACACACAGTCTGTCTCTTAATATTGGCTATGTCCATGCATCATATTAAAGAAGTATCCAACTTCTCCCTGCCTCAGGTTTTCCACCTATTTTACTCATTCCACTAATGTCATCATCAGACCCAGCCTTGAGAATTATTATGAAGCAAGAAAATGTTGTCTTTGAAGTTTCCTCACTCGATGCTGCCCTTTAGTTTCCTTTACTGTCTGGTAATGCTCTTCCTGATTGCAGCCCCTCTCCAACTCTGGGACACGATGCCAGGGCTTCCAGCCTCAGACAGTTCACAACCACATCTGTCCATCCGTGTCTCTCCAGCCCAACCTCCCTGGGCCGTGATTTTCTAGCTACTTTCACCGAGCACCTGGTTGTAAAGTGGGTTTTTGTGCCTTGTGATTTTGGACTTTTTAAAGCATTCGGTCTTAAGCCAGGGGAATGGTTTTCTTGCTAAAAATGAATAAAAGCTCTGTAGCTGGATTAGGGAATCATATAAGACCAGAAGAGGCCTATGGATCGCCAAATCATACCATGCTTTGCCAGGTGCCCGTCACCATGCCTCGATAGTTTTTTGTATTTTTAGTAGAGATGAGGTTTCACTGTGTTGTCCAGGCTGGTCTCCAGCTTCTGAACTCAAGCAATCTGCCCACCTCGGCCTCCCAAAGTGTTGGGATTACAGGCGTGAGCCACCATGCCCAGCCAATGTGGATTTTTATGAGAGTGAGACAGTTATCCGGGTGTGTTTCCTGTGACTTTTAGGACTTGAAGATAGTCGCAATGGAGGTATATTGGCTAAAACTTTGTAATTCCATATTTTTGGTAATAAGTAGGTGAGTAGTCGCTTCTCTGGCTCAGCTAGACGTCAAATAAATTTCTTTAAACTCTTTTCTTCCTCACACAACATTCACCAGCATAGTGACGCTGGGTTGTATTCTGTGTAAAATTTACATCCCTCGGTATCTTCAGTTTACTACCGTTTGTCCTCTTTCATAAATTATGTCTTTATTTTATTCTTCAGCATTCACCTTTCCAGCTCTCCTATGCTCTCCCTAAGAGCCTTGCAGTGTGCCATTCTTCCTCTGGAGAACCCACCTGTAAATAAATTTTCCCCCCTCAGACTTTCTACATGAATCCCAAAAACGAGGTTGGCTCACCTTGACATTTTATTGTTATCTGGCATTTTACCCTCTATCTTCCTCAGTATGACACATATGTTTGTAACTGAGGCCAGGAAAGTTTTAAAAGAAGAGAAAAGAAGAAGAGTGAAAAGGAGGAGAGGGAGGAGCAGAAAGGACCAGGAAGAAGATTTTTGTTTAAATCCTTGTTTCTGTTTTAGATAAATTATTTGGACACTAATCCATCTCCCTAGAATCAGATAAAAATGTAGGTAAGCAAACTTAGATGAATTTCTCTATAAGCATGAGAATTACTCACCCAAAACACTAGAATAGGTGTAGCGTCGTCCCTGAAAACAAGTTGGTGGCATCTGGCAGAGGTTCACAAAAGTGCTTGTGAGACTTATATGAATGGAAGATTCCTGAAGCAGCACAAGATTTTGATTTAGTAGACCTGGGTTGAATTCCAGGAATTTCAATTTTTAACAACCACCCACAGTGGTTCTGATACTGTTCTAGAGAAAGAATATTTCAAAGTTTTGGGCTATTTCATCAAGATCTTCATTACTCTCCTTGGCCCTTTGAGAATCCTGAGTGAGGAATTTCAAAGATGAATGTGTGTAGAGAAAGAGCATGTTGCATAGAGAAACAGTAAATTTTATTACATATTATGCATTTTTTAATTTAAAGAAGAGCTATCTTGGACCAGTTATGCTCCATAAATACAGCATATAAGCATTAAACTTAAAAGAGTCTAGTATCTGAAACAGTTATTGTCTACTCACCAAAAGAACTGGAATGATTATAGGCAGCCCAGGCCAGGTATGTAATGTGGGTGTTAAGACTCTGTTTACAAAAACCAATGTGGGAAGGCATGGAATTTCCAGACTGAGTGCTACTTGTGTATACAGTTCCTCAATTTGTATTCTATAGGAACCCAAAGTTTGTTTGTTTGCTGCGGGAGCAAATCTCGCAATGCAGCAAAGCTGGACATTCCATAGCTCCTAAGCTGATGTGTTGCCCTGCCTGCCCTATGCTTCCCTCCTTGTCCACTCTAGCCAATTCCTTAATGAGCATCTGATTTAGATAAACTATAACTGTTCAGAGCATTATTGTTTAAAGCCCCCATGCCAGCTGACAGCACTATAAACTTTGAAATCACCAATCAGTAATTATCTTCATATATTCATGATGAAATAAAGTTGCAGAGAAAGCCAGTTTTTGTTTCGAGAATACCTTCTTTTAGTTCTTTTAGGGTGGTTGTGATACTCACGGCCATTGGATAGTCTCATGCACAAAGAAATTCAAGTTGCATAAAGCAAAAGTATCCAAACATGAAGGGCAATGATAGCATCCCAGCCTTTGGCCAAAAAAAGGACCCGATTCAATAATTTTGGGCTGGGTCAACCAGTACTTGAAATTTAAGTTTTTTACCCAACATTTCTATCATATATAAAGGATTGCAGGTAGACGTGGACTACTAGTACATAATATAAACCACTATTTTTTTAAACTCAGAATCTACCTGTGCATTCATTCTGACGCTTATCTTTTATTCCTAAAGCCTGCAAACTAGATGTAATACTAACTTTCAGCAAGCAGGCCTGGTGCTTACTCAGGAGAAAGTTTCCCTTCTTTGCTTTCATCCATAGGACTTTCTATTCTGAGACTGTTTGACTTCATCCCTGATTGATCTTTAACTGGCATGCATTAAAAGACTCTCCCTGAATAATAAGTGCCATGGAAATAGGCACCTTTCATCTTTGGAGGCAAAGGAGCCCTGTGCCACATGGTGGGGTGGCAGTTCCTTTGATCAGCATTTCTTTACTAGAGCCCAGCAACTGAGTCACCCTACCAGGCACAGCAATACAATAGGCATCCAGTATCCCAGCGGAACCAGTGCTAAGCAGTGATTGGGAATTTCCATCAGAGTATCTTAATCCACTAGTCTGAGTTGTCACCATGAGTTCCATGATGCCCATTAAAATGACTTCAGGTCACCTTTACTGAGCCTGCCCATTCACTCCAAAACAATTATCCTAATCCCCTAGCAGGCCCAATCCCTCAACACTTATGAAGTGCCCTCCTACGCAGGGTGCTGACATTTTCCAACAACACTGGCCTCTTTGAAATGCCAATCAAAAGTCCTCCTTGTTAAAATACACGACCCTCTCTGCAAGTATAAACAGACCTTCATGCATCACCACTACCACCATCATTAAAAAGCACTTACAGAACACCCACCTGTGCATGATGCTGTGCAGCCCGGCCCAGAGCAAGCAAGTGTTCCAAGTGCTGACCTGAGGAAGGAGTGGCTACAACCCTGCCACTTCAGGGTTCTTCTGCTGTTTATTTAACACAGACTGTGCCTAGGGGCATGGGCCTGCAGCAGACCATTTCTGGTAGGTGGGTAATTGCCCCAAGAGAATTAATTAGCTGCTTAACAGAGCAGATCTAGGAAATGTAGTGTGTGACAAAGCTCACCATTAAAGTTTTTCCAAAATGCTACTTCCCAACATGTTAGTTACCACTCCCCAGTACTCAACTACTTGGTTCTGCACGGGGTGATTCGGAAGGATCTTTCACAGTTATTTTCCTTCCCTACATACTGTCACCCTATTGACTACTCACCACTAAGGAAGGAAGGGTAAATAGAACCAATGTTGATCCATTGTCATGCTTTTGGCCAGCAAATCAGGACAGAGGACATAGGTTTATTTATCACTCCACTACTTACCAGCAGGGCAACTTTGGAGAAGCTGGTAAATGCTCTGGGCTTCAGTTTTCTTCAGTGTACAATGAGAACCGTACCACATATGGGTTGTTTTAAAGGTTGAGTGAGACAACAAAGGGTGGAAATTAAGTGCTTGGGACTCAGTGGTGTCAGAGAAATCTGGGCCAAATCTTAGACAAGACTGATAGTATTTACTAAGTCTGGGAGCCTTTTGAGAGGTGAAGCTGGGAAGGCGTTTGCACACTCAGGGGGTGAGAAAGAGGGCTGATGAGAAAGGAGTGAGAAAATAACACGAGACAAGGCAAGACATTTAAGGTTAGCAAAAGTTAGGCAGGGGCAACCAAAGAATTAGGGTGCCTGGAACCTAGGGGCTTCACTGGGAAGTAGTAAGAAGAGAGCGTGAAACATAAGAGAGAGAAGCAGTGGTGGAGGGGATCTGTGCCATCATCCATTTGTTCGTTCATTTCCTCAGCCATATACAGACGTCAGCATTTATTGTTGTCTACCCTGTGCCTGATGCGATGTTTGGCAAATTTACATGATTCTTTATGCAGAAAGCAATATAGTAATCTGGAAAGAACAATGATTGTGGAGATGTGAGCTTGAATCCTGGCTCTCACCTCTATGGTTTTAGCTTCTCATTAGCACCATTTTACCCTTCATTAGCTGGGTCCTTCCTGTGGGTCCAAGGGAGACATACGTTTCACATAATTTT
Source organism: Homo sapiens (assembly GCF_000001405.40). Lineage (NCBI taxonomy): Eukaryota > Metazoa > Chordata > Mammalia > Primates > Hominidae > Homo > Homo sapiens. Next base: position 13,757,364 of record NC_000009.12, read on the forward strand.
AAAACTTGGCATAATAAAAAAAAGATACTGATGCTTCAAATCTAGCTAAAAACATGTTTTGACAAAGATGTATATGATTTAATTTCCTCCTCCCCGTTGCAATATTTTCCCCACGATGCAAGTTTAGGTATCTGCCCTTTACTTAAACCATTTACAACGTGACAAGTAATAAAGGCTTTAGTAAGAAACATGAAAAGAATAAAACCGAAGATGCGATCTTTCCCAATTCAAAGATATTTGTTCGAAGCCGTTCCACTCAACTGTCTTAATCTCTTGAGAGGAGTCTTGGTTTATTGTGAAACAGTCTCCTAAGATTGCTTGAAATGCCTGTGACGGGAACCTGGTCTGTAACCTAGCAGTGTAATGGTCTTAGGTCCTTTCATGTCTTTTCCAATGCTTAATGATAGGTAACCTATATTCCAAAATTCTCAGTGGATGTCGTTCATTCAAAATATATAATACATATAGGTTCTAGCAAACAATATTTTACCTACAAAAGAAAAGCGAATGTGGGCTGGAAACATCCATTGATTTTAGATGTCCATGTACTAAAGAGGTTGTATTCAGTGTAGCTCACTCAATTCTGATTGAATATCCACATTTTTAAACCTGCTCTGTTAGAGCTAACCTATAGAACTTCAGTTTCTCTGTTGGCGAATGGTAACAGTAGTGCCTACCACAACAGGGATATCAGCAAAATTGCATGAGGAAAATTATTTAAATATCCTGGGACTGTTCTACCTAAAGCAGTCTTATCAGTTCTTCATCATACCATCCTTTTAAATGCTGAGGATAGGTCTCCCCACAATCTGAAAATATATTATTTATTTACATGTTCAGTTGTCTGTTTTCTTTTCTTCATTTACTAGAATGTATGCCCCAAGAGAAGAGGAATCTCACTTGTTATAGATCAAGACTTGCCTGCTCATAGGAGGTACTCAGTAAATGTTTGTTGAGTGCATAGTAGTTGATCAATAAATGACAGATATACACAAAACTATACATACGTGTATATATTCATATATTTATAGCTTCTTTACTAGATAGTATCGGTCTACATATATATTCATGATAAACATTCCATATGAGCTATCATAATCCTGATTTTATGTATATAAAGAAATGAGTTAAAAAAGGTTGAGCAACTTGTCTAACTTCACAGTGCTAAGAGTATTGGTCTTGGGAATTGAAACCATAAACCCAGTTTACATTTCTTCCATTACAGCACAGCTCCTATTCACTAATTTTTTTAAGAGATGGCCATCACTCTACCTTACCATACCCTGTTTCAGAGTCTATTTCATAGGTTGTAACTTTATCTATCCTTCCCAATGTTTCCTCAGCCCTCCTTCCAGCCCACAACAGCCTGTTCCATAAGTACGGGGCTATAGCCTGAAGTATCCTTGTGTGGCTCTCTGGCTCTGATCTTGTTATGGAGCCATCTCAGTGCTATTATTTCCAGGAGTGGGCTGCTCCAGCTTCTTAAAGCCCCTCATTTAATTGACTATTCAAAAATCAGATACTGTGAGCCCCCATCCCCACAGGGTTAAAGCACCCAAAAGAATCCCCACGGATTTCCTTCTACCTCACAGCAAAGTTTAAGCCACACATGCACCAGCTGCTGATGGACTCCACACCCCAGCTGTGCCGCTGAAGGGTGACTGTACTCGGGCAGCCGGTTCCAAATCGAGCTGCTGAAATGGGGCCTCATGAGGCTTTGACAGTGTTAATTACTGAATCCTCCCAGCCTGCCAGCCAGGCTTCTCCACGGAAGGCCTCGCCATGTGGAACTGCTCCTGGTGGCACTCCCTCTGAGCTCCCATTTGGCAGCAAGCAGACAACATTTTAAAAGATGTTTTTATTTGCTTTAGCGTTTGGTTCATCCTCCCTCCTCTGCCCCCGACTCTGACACTTCGGGACTGAAATATGTTTTTTGCAGTTGTGGCCAAGTTCTACCAGGTTCCTGAATCCTGCGTTTAATGAGTTGGTTGTCAGAGGAGAGGCCACAGCTGGAGGCGTTGACCCAGGTTTTATAGTCAGGGGTCTGTGCACCCAGATCCACCGCATGAATGGTACACGTAAGGGCATGGGACAGCTTTTTACTTTGTAAGTCTGACTAACTTTAGTTCCAGAGTCCTCCTACACAGGACATGCTCCACATTCATATATAAAATTTAACTTTTCTCTAAGAGTGCATACAAAAAGGAGCCTTGGTTGGGACAAGAGTGCTTTTGTGACAGGTTTCCTGAAAGAAAAGACTCCACATCACTTTTATGCCTGATTTAACTTGACCCGTCAATCACAGGAATTTGGCCAGCTATGCTATGGAACAATGCAAGTCCCATTCACAAGGGCTGTAATATGCCATTCATTAAGATGACTCTCTTGGCTTCCACCATGGGTGTCCTCTTGCTCCACCAGAAGACCTAAGGGGATAAAAAAAGAGCCAAGCCACTAGAACAGCTGCAATAGAATGCACTGTGGTCACAGGGCCAGTGCCAACTCCAAAGGCATGTACCAACCGAAATGCAGATGTTCGATTTGGCCATGAGAGATGGCATGTGGGCCTTTCAGGTTCAGTGAACCAAACAGGATGATGAGGGTTTTCATCTTCCAGAAGTTGTGCCCATAATTCTAATGGCTAGATTGAATTCTCCTTCTCCAGAAGATTAGCTGTAACCAGTTACTAGGGACTCATGCAGAGAAGACACTTGATTCTTTTTCTACCATAAAGTTTTCAGATGGAGCAAAGAGACAGGTACAAGTCAGGATACAAATGGAGTCTAGTGCTTTCTGCTGCCTCATCTGAAAGTCAGCCATGCAGGAGATGCCCCAAACAGCAAGTGGACAGCAAGTCATTTTTCTTGGGGAATCATGATCTAAATTTTCCACGTGAAAAGAGTCCCAGGCCTATTACTTCTACAGTTTGTATTTTCTCCCACTTAATTTCCCAAAGAAATGCAATCTTTTCCCCAAAGTTCAGTTCCATGGGTTGAATTGTGTCTCACAAGAATTCCTATGCTATGCTGAGGTCCTAATCCCCAGTATCTCAAAATGTAATCTTATTTTGGAAATAGGGTCATAACATATATAATTCGTTAAATTAAGATGAGGTCATGGTAGAATAGGGTAGGCTCCTAATCCGGCATGATTGGTGTCCTTATAAAAAGGGAAATTTGGACCAGAGACACTCACACAGGGAGAATGCTATGTGAAGACAAAGGAAGAGATTGGGGTAATGCCCCATAAGCCAGGGAACACCAAAAATTGCCAGCAAATCACTAGAAGTTAGGTGAGAGGAACAGCCTAGAACAGATTCTCCCTCTCGGCCCTCAGAAGGAACTTACCTGCCAATGCCTTAATCTTGAACTTCCAGCCTCTAGATCCATGAGAGGTACATTTCTTTTGTTTAAGCCATTCAGCTTGTGGTGCTGGTTATAGCAGCCCTTGCAAACTAATTAATATAGCAAGTGTAACTGCTTTTTTGCACTTGTGTCCCCTCAAAATTAAAACTCTTAGGGGGGATTCTCTACCAGTTTTCCAGGTAAGTTTTAGAGAAAGATACCTGCCTTACAAGCTGAAAATTGTCATAGGTGAGCAGATGATATTATGTTTGCAGGTCAATATACTCTCTGTAAGGCTGTTTGTAAGCACTGTATTTATTGCAAAATATTTAATGTCCCTCTGAGGAAAGGGGAAATTGAGATATGAAGGGCAGAGTCCTTGGAAATAAGGCTCCGTGGTGGAGAGTTGCATGCCCACTAGGGCTTGCTCACAGCAACGATAGCTGTAAGGAGATGAGGCAGAGGAGAAGTTGAGTGGTAGTGTGGCTACAACAGATGGATAAAATGATGACCATCCATTGTGTCCCTAAGACCAGCTCCAGTGTTGGGAATTATAAATTGTGTCACTGATTTCCTATAATTTTGCGAGGAAGAGAAACTTACCAGAATCCTGAGAAAGCTGTTCTCAGATGGGGTGAAATGTCCATAAAAGCCGTACGCTGCCCAGCAGTGCAAGGAATGGACTGTAGTGGATGCTGTGGTTGTTGGCCAATCCCCTCTTCAAGATGAAGACACTCATTTCCTCAGATGCCAGGAGTCATGGCTGCTGAAGGCTCATAGCCGAGGTTCCTCCCTCGGCATTGACCTCAGTCAAAGAAAGCTACCTCATCTTAGGACACACCCCATCTAAGGGACATCCCACATTCAAGAGCTCAAAGTAACCAGGTAGCAGTCAGAATTCAGTTAGTGATACTCTTGCTGTGTCCTCCGGTGGAAGCATTCCCTCTCTGAGGTTCAGAACTTATGGGTCTTTGACACACACAGTTTCAGAGACAGAAAGCATAAATTATCCAAATGGGTCTGTGGAGATAATCAGGGGCAATCCCAATATCACTTTTCTTCCCAAGTCTTGGTATTCTCCCTACTGGGGACATAATACCATGTAACGGTCATTATATGTGAGTGTACATTGTATACTATAGGATGGAGCCCCTCTCCTTACAGCACCCTCTCCAAGCTGGCACATCAGCTGCTGTTTGAAAATGCTATCCCTGTGGTCCAGCAGACCAGCAGCTACTGGGCAGTGCTGTAACTGTTATGATTAGTGGATCCATGGTCATATGTTCATAGTAGTCCCTTCTGTGCTATAAAGTGGGCTGCTTGGTCTGATGTGATATATGATCCTGTGTTTGTGGATCAAATGTGCCCCAGATAATGGGGCTGATGGAGGCCCTGGGAGAAAGAAAATCATACCCATATTCAGAATGTATTGATTTCAGTCAAGATAAATTGCTGTTTCTTCTAAAGTGGAAAGAGTCCAATATAATCAACTTGCCATGGAGAGGCTGGTCGGTCCTTCCTGAAATGTTGCCACATTAGAGGCTCAGTGTGGGTTTCTATCGCTGGCAGGTTGGCTATTCAACAGCAGCAGTAGTTAAATCAGCTTTGATCAGTGAGAGTCTGTAGTGTTAAAGACTCCTTCCCTGCCACCGTAACTACTTTGTTCATGAGTCAGTTGTGCAAGCACCAGAGTATCTGATGACCTAGACTCTATTTCAGATGCACCACTTCAAGAGATTGCTGTTAGGCTTGTCTCATCATATGACTTGATGCATCTGACAGGACCAAAACCATGGTGGGAAGTTCTGGTCACAAAATCATTTCATGTCCTACCATCATGCTACCAGGGTAGTAGCACACCATGGTCTTTGGCATAATTTTCTGGTGCAGATGGCATTATCTTTGTTCCAGAAACATATGTACCTACACTGTGGTGCTTTTACTGTGGTTTGCCATATACTTCATACAGGATCTTTTCCACCACAGTTATCTCTGTTACCATACCATATACTCTGTATAATAACATAGGGTCTGCCAGGCCTTAAGACCCAAGCAGCAGGGCCACTTGCATTGCGGCCTAGAACGGCTACAGAGATTTCCTGCTAGGTCCTACTCAAAGCTGACAGCCTTCCAAGTCATTTAAACTTGCCAGTGAAGAGCGAGTTTATAAAGAAGATGAAACTGCAATCCCACCATCATTCAGTGAGTCAGAAGCCAGTAGCAACTTACTGTTACCCAAACCTACTGAACTTGTTGTTGGAAAGATCTTTGTGAGGATTAGTAATTAGGTTAAAAAAATTAAGAAGAACCAACTTCAAAGCAAAAATTAAACTGTATTTCTACTTAAACAATTAATACACCTGAGTTAGTTTCCCAAACCCTAACTTCTGATTAAATGCCCTTAAAACTAAAAAAACAAATTGTTCATTTAACAAATCATACTCCTACTCAGAATGAGTTGACTCCAATGTGGGTACAGGAATACACTGCTTCCTAAATGCAAAGAGACCTACCAGGCACTGTGTTTCCTCCTTAGGGGTGAGAAGTACAAGGACAGTCCTGTACTTCAAGGGCATGCTCCTACATACCCCACTGATGCCTAAAACTTTACTGATACGGTTGGTCCTGGAATCTTTATAAAGTTTGTCTTTCACCTGGAGTGTATGTGTATGTGGCTTAACAAAACACCTAAAATTCTTGCTGCTTCCTGCTAGTCTGGTTTTATTAATATTATGGCTTTGAGATAGTGGGTGAAAGTGATATTCTACAGAATGTCCAGTTAGTACTCGTCCCTTTAACTATATAATTATGGAGGGTGGGAGAGTTAACACAGCTCTGGGGAGAGACTATATATGCACACATTTGTCTATTTCATGTAAAGACAAATTGCTTCTAATCCTCCTTCCTAATAGAGTTGAAAATGAACACACAAACCAGCCCAGTGGCTGCATATCATGTTCCCAGGGCTGTGTGGTTATGTGCTTATGAAGACATAACATCTGACAAAGCAGCTACATTTGGAGCTACCACTTGGTTGAGTGTTAAATGCTCCATTGTCACTTTTGAATTTTGCAGCAGTGAGGCTGATGAATTAAATGTTTTTGTATTACTACTGTTTTTGTATACTGCGTATCTTTAAGAATAGCACTAATCTCTGCCACTCCACCAAGGATGCAATATTATTTTTTTATTTCCTTCTGTTGGCTGGAATGGAAGGGCACCTTAAGAAGCTTTCTCATAGTCTTTCCCACTATGATGGTTATTGCACCTCAGGTCAAGAAATCATTGTGAAGATTCTTCTAACTAACTACTGAGTATATGCATTCCAATTATATATTAGGGTCCAGGAAAATGATCAGGGGCTGGATCTCTGAATCTAGTGACCTCTGCGAGCCAGATGTGGGTCAGGACTTCATTTATTACTTGGCTTTCCAATTCCCATGCTTATGCAGGGCCGTGATGACAACTACTGTCCCCAGGTACTAATATCAACTTAGATTCTGTGTCCGTACTACTTGAAATGTCTGGGTATACCCTTTTTTCTAGTATATGGTTACTAAGAATATGGCTGAAACTATTTTAGGTGGGAAACTGGAGCATCTTTATATACTAGTGGAGTTGTAGGGCCTTCCCAGGGACTTGGCATCTCCTTCAGTATGTGAGTTCTGAAGCTGAAATACTAATGTAATTCAGGAAACTGGAAAAGGGATCATGACTTTCTACTGGCTGGTTTCCAATAGTCTCCTGATATTTTCATCAAATAGATTGAGCAGTATCTTTGATAGTTGCCCACCTATCCTCCTCCTGGGTTCTATCAAGTATCTCCATGTTTTTATGTAGCTCAGGCAACATACACTACCCACGCTGGCCATGCTGTCATTACTACTGTGCCTGTTTTGAACAGCCACTTGGCCTCTATCATTCTGGGATTCTATCATCTGCATTGCTCTCAGGGTGCTTGGTTGTAGCAGCATCTCTTATGTTCAGCTCTGGCCTGGCCTTCAGGGCTTCAGATGATGTGAGCAGTCCTTATGTTTTGGAGAGGGTCATTTTTTTTTTACCCTGGGCCGTCCCATGGAACAGAATCACATGGAGTGTTTGGTGGCCTTATTCAGTGTATTCTCTCACCAAGTCTACTACCATCAGCCTCTTAACTCTTTCCTCTGCTGTCTCATGGCAGTTCTGGTGGCTCTACTTCATTCAGTGTGAACCTTTGCTTTCTCTAAGTTTATATCAGGATCATTGCCAGGGTGTTAAAAACTGTATCACAGAAATAAACTCTTCATTGTCCAACTTCATGTCCATTACCCTTGATATCAGAATGCTAAGAATTCTAGTTACTATCTCAGCTACATTTTGACTTGGACCTGCAGTTATTTTGTGGTATGGTCTATTTTCTTCATCAGGCTTAGCACTTTCATGGTTGCATTATGTTGTGGTATAAAAGTAATTACTGTTTTGGTGCCAATGGAAAAGTGGAGCTAGATCCTGAGACAAGTGTGTATTGTCCTACAAGACTGAGACTTCTTCTTCATCTTCAAACAAGGGGAAAAAGATAGCTATTACAGGGAAGAACGGGCCACTTCGCAGAGGGTAGAGGATAATCTAGAAATTCAAGGTTTTCAAATTCACTGATCCAGATTCCCCTCTCAAATCTCAAGATCCTACTCTTTGCTAAGCAGGGTTCTGACCTCAGAGTAGCAGACTTGCTGGGATTGAGAAGTCAGTCTTTTTTGTACCTCTGCTATTCTTTCAATACAATTTCATACCTAACCCTCTGCATTGTCTGCTTCTAGCTGTGTGAGTGTCTTGTCATATGCTGTCAAGGAGGCCCTCTGGCTTTCATACTTTACCTTGAATTGGTTGTTAATTACCCTTAAATGTTATTGTTTTTGTCAATGCATCAATAGTCCTTAGAAAACGCTGATTCTGTAATCTTTCTTTATAGTTACCATTTCCCCAGAACTATTCAAACACTTGAGATATTTCACTGACAAGTGTATTCTCTTTCACCAGAATCCCATCTGAATTCACCACCTGTAAAAGTTATAACAATTGCACCTCTACTGCATGGTAGGGTTTTCAATAACCCCCGCCTTACTCTGCTGGGGCTGCCACAACAAACTACCGTAGACTGGGTGGCTTCAAGAAGAAAAATTTATTTTCCCACAATTTTGGAGACTAGAAGTCTGAAATTGTGGTGCCAGCATGGTTGGGTTCTGGTGAAGGCTCTAATTCTGACTTTCAGATGGTCGCCTTCTCACTGTGCCCTCACAAAGCAGAGAGAAAGAGAGAGAATATGAATCTTCCTCCTAGGACCTCATTTAACCTTAATTACCTCCTAAAAATCCTATCTCCAAAAACAATCACATTGACGTTATAGCTTCCGTACATGAATTTGGGGGAACACGGTTTATTCCATTGCACCCATCTACCATCAATGATGGGAACCTGTTCAAAAACTCTGTTATAACCTGGTTCCTTCAACTATTGCTGGCACCATATGTCAGTTTCCCAGGGAAACAGACTCTGAGATGCTGCAGTTTTCATCTAGATGACTTATTGGGAAATACTTTTAGGAGCAACACCTGTAGGAAGGTAAAGGAAGCAAGACTGGAACTGTGATGCAGCCTCAATCAAGTCATCAGTTGATTCCAGAGAAAGCTTTGAAGCTAGGATGGCCATACAGAGATGTCTCACACTGAGGCAAGGGGACAGAACTTTTGTACCACTCCATGACCAGGCTTTAGATGGAGGCTGCATCCTGAGAAGAAGGGGACAAGCTTGGATGAGGCAGCTTTTTTCAGCAAAAGGCAATTCCCAGAGAGAGATTGAGTTGTCAGTCTCAGCACCCATCCCTCCCAGAGACTGGGGTAAAAGTCAATTCTAGGGTAGAGTGGGGGATCTGGGTGGCACGCTATAGCATCCACCCATAACAAACAAAAGCCATTGCTCAAAGATTACATGACATGGAAAGACTTACTTAATTATAAAAAATACAGTAGGAAGGAGGGAGCTAATCTTAATTAAATTACTGAATTTCAGACTGCTTTTTGAAAATATCTTTGCTCAGTGTGTTTATATTATACTAAGATATATAAATGGATATCAATAAATAAATTTAAAACACAAGATATTATAAAACATTAACTTTATGTAACATGATAAATAGACATGTTCTTAAAATTAACTGTTAAGAACAGAAGCTGAAAGCATTTGAAACATTTTGTTATTACCTAATTCTTTGATTTCAAAAAAAGGAAACTATCAATTTTATTGCTCTTAACCCAATTCCATCTTCTTGGTGAATACCACCTTGAAAATTAAAAAGTAAATCAAATGTTTTAAACTCATTTATTTTGTGTAAATATTGTCTGAATTAGTTCATATTCCTCATTTGCATAGTCTGAAAGAAAAAACCTTACTATGGTGTAAATTATTGATATGAAAGAAAATACTGCCTTGAGAACATTAAAAAACATTTGAGTCTTCAAGTAGTACTTTAGAAAGTATTCTCAGAGACAATAAACAATTTATCTGTATTGGGTCTAGCTACTTGAACATATTACAACACATGTTTAGAAAAATCTGAGCTTTATGTACGACTTTATACTTAGATGGAAGTTTATGTATCATAATTTGAGCAAATTTTATTACATAAAACTATCTTCAGAATTAACTTATAGATCAGTAGAAAAAAACAGAAATTATAATATAGAAAATGAATATAATATCAATAATTTCTCTTTTGTTGGACATTTTTACCTTTACTTAAAAATTGGTCAAATTTAGAAATGTCACTCTGAAAGCTTCATCTAAAGTTCCCAGAAGGTTTAATACCATTTCATGTCTAGAGATCTACACTCATCAACTGAGAAAAATACTTCAACTATTTTTTTTTACATGATTGTAGCAACTGCAGGATTCTTTTCAAGCAGGGCATTTTACTTTTGCCCAAATACAAGCAGTATTAGAATTATACACTGTCATAAATATATCTTACTACTGATTCATATAATATGACTTGGACCTTAACCAATAGCTTAAATTATACATAGTGATCATTCAAAAATGGACCCTTCATGGGTGGGGGAAGATTTTCTGTTTTGTCTATTTAAAAAATCCTCATTACATAATAGGAGTTCAGAGATACCACATTCAAAAAGAATAAGATATACAATAAATAACAAAAATTATGCAGACAAAGCTCTAGCGCCAACATTCGTCATAATTATTTAACCAAAATGAATTGGTCCTATGAATCTTTTACACAATTTTTTCCTAAAACTTTGCCATTTGTTATCCTATATTCTTACATTGTTCTGATTAAATTAGAAGGGCAGGCTCTGGCTTTGATCTTTTTGTCTTTGAATTTCAGACCTTTCTTTTTCACTCACTCACATTCTCATATCTATACTTGCGGCCCACACTTCTTTTCTGAGCTCCTGACTTGTATGAACCTAACTGAGTATGATCTTGACTCTCATTCTTTTATCAATTTCTTAATGGCTATTTTAAAGCTCCATCCCTTATTCTGTGTCCTCACTGCTTCTGCCTTAGCTTAGGCCCCCATCATCTCTTGTTTGGATTATTATGATCCAGTTGTTCTGTCTGCCTAATATTTTATTCCCTACTCATCTATTCTGTACATTATTTCTATGTATACCACATAGAAATACTAAAGTACAAATCTAATTAGGTCATATTTTCAGTTAAAAACTTTAATGTGGGCCGGGCACGGTGGCTTATGCCTGTAATCCCAGCACTTTGGGAGGCCAAGGCAGACCGATCACGAGTTCAAGAGATCGAGACCATCCTGGCCAACATGGTGAAACCCCATCTCTACTAAAAATACAAAAAATTAGCCAGGTGTGGTTGCAGGCACCTATAATCCCAGCTACTTGGGAGGCTGAGGCTGCAGCACTCCAGCCTGGGCAAAAAGAGTGAAACTCCATCTCAAAAAAACCAAAAAAAACAAAAAACAAAAAAAACCTTTAATGTGATTCCATTGTCTACAAGAAAAAGTTAAGGTTCTTGACATTACAGAGAGAGACAGCTCACCATTGTTGGCTCCTGGTTTCTTCTTCAGCCCACAGCATCTCATCCCTCTCCTACGAGGCACAGTCACGTAGTCACGTGAACGATAGGTCGTTCTCCAGATCAACGCATTGCTCAGGTCACTGGGCCTATTTCTTCCACCAGTAATTTCCACTTCTGTCTCACTAGATTGGCAAAGTTCTTCTGATACTTTTTATCATATTTCTTGCATTCTCTTACAAACGTTGACCTTTTCACTATAAATAGTATGATGGTTTATTTAGGTGTCAACTTGACTGACTTAGTAAGGGATACCCAGATAGCTGGTAAAGAATTACTTTTGGGTATGTCTGTGAAAGTGTTTCCAGAAGAGACTGGTATCTGAATCAGGGTAAGCAATATCCACCCTCACCCAGTGTGGGTGGACACCATCTGCTTGGCTGAGGGCCTTGACAGAACAAAAAGGCAGAGGAAAGCTGAATTTACTTTTTCTCTTCTGGAGCTGGGACACCCACGGCCCTCAGATTTGGGTGCTTGCACCAGTGCCCCCTCTTGGTTCTTAGACCTTCAGATCGGAACCGTGCTACCAGCTTCCCTGAAGCTGGTAGCATGGTTATATATGTTATATCTATATATCTAAATATCTATATATTTATAACATATATCTCTATCTGTATCTACCCTATTGGTTGTGTCTCTCTGGAGAACACTGACTAATACAAGCAGGGTCACCATGTTTTTTTTTTTTTTTTTTTTTTTTTTTTTTTTTTGGTCTCAACTGGGACACCTTGGAAAGTGAAAAGTGTGAGACTAATGCTTACTCTAATAGATTCTGAGGCAAGGTCATAACCTAGGACTTTTCTGGGCAAACTGATATGTATTATCCCTTACTTATAAGTCAAGTTCATTATTCCCTTTTCTTTATGCTTCCTCTCTTCGTGTCAACATCTATCCCAATACTTATTGTATTATGTTGAAATTACTTATTTATGTGTCTCTCTCACCTACTACATTTGCAGCTAAGCCCTTGGGGATTAGACACTATGGTTTATTAATCTTTGCATACATGAAAATCAGCACAGCAAATCTGATTAGGTCATCAGTATATGGTAGGTAATAGAATGCTATTAGATGCCACAAATAAAGGGATAAAAGGCCAAACATTTTCCTAACTTTAGATTCCTATTAAACCAGCCTGAAGGTAGAAAGTTCCATGTGCTCACCTCAGGATAATTCTTGGAGACAGTGTGAGCAGCCAGGATCAGGAAGGTGTAGACATGTTTGACAAACAACATAAAGGGCTAGGTAGTGCCCAGAAACCACAAATGAAATGGAAGCCAGATGCATATGAAATAAGAGTTGAGGAGTTCCTTGTATGAAAGCAAGGTTAAGACAATAAAGAGGGTCAAAAATCAGAAGGAGTCAAAACAGCCAACATGTGGCACGAATGACAAGAAATCTTGGAAATTTGACTAATTTAAACTTGTCCACATTCACAGGTGAAATTTGGAGTACAGAGCCAGTGATAAGAGATCACCTGAAATAAGTAGACCTTGTTGGCACCAAATGATCATATGTGTGTGTGTGTATATACAGAGACACACATACACACATATACAACAAGGTCATACTTTAATCAGGTCCATACATATGGATGTGAGCATATGTATAGACATACACTTCCCTGCATGCATAAAGTCACATGGTATATATAAGCAACAAGTAATTTTCATTTTATCTGTTGACTTAATTTCTATAAATTTAGGTTTTCTTAAATATGCAATATCAAAATTAGCTTAATTCTGAAAATTAGCTAAACCAAAGACATCGTGGTTTCTGATGGAATGAAAGTTTCTTACTGGAAGGCAAAATATTATTTTGATTACTTAGTTTTATTGCTGAACTTAAATATCCTCTCCTCACAAAGACCTTCTCAAACCTCCACGTAAATTATCCCAGTTGGGCACAGAATATACTCAATATAAAAATATGTTCTAATCTGGAACACTTATATTTTGTTTCAAATCAGATACATCTCTGTTTCTTCACCAATCTACACGGAGGCAGAAAGTCTGAAAAGAGCCAAGGTTATCATGAACATGATAATACTGACTCTCGTAAATAAATTATTTCCATTCTATCATCTCCATTTAAAGACTTTTTTTCAGTGATTCATTCCCCACAAGAAACATGAATAACTTTTCCCTTGGTGTTTTGCTTCTTTGAAGCTCAGTCTGGCCATCTTTTCTCCTACCACTGTTGTTTTCTTTGTTATCACTGAAGCCACCATCTGCTCTAAAGAGAGGGTCCTTAATGGGACTTGAAGTGCTAACAGTGCTGCCTGAGGCAAAAGTCTGAAGTTAAAATTTGGCGCACAACCATCTTTGCTTTCAGCACCGATGCAGCCATCTCTCCTGGGCACCCAGCATTCCCTGGGGTTCTCTGTTTATAGACCTCCCTGGTAGCGCTGTGTTTCCTGACAGTGTCTATCCTCTTCTGTCAGAATCTATTCCATATCCCATTTCATCTCAGGCAATTGTCTTCTGAAAATCAACTTTGTGAACTATTCCATGCTAAATGATTACTAACTGATCCCCTGAATTGACAAAGCTTTCCAACCAAAGAAAAGGGATGAATCTCCATGGTGCAATTTCTGGCCAGAAAATAATACATTTGGTAATTTAACAATTCCGTTACTCCCCAAAACATAGCATGTGGGTTTACTGCCAAGCCTGCAACGGTGTGATCTGCGCAAGGGTGATATCAATATATAGTTTAAATTTTCACAGGAATTGGTGTTTGGTGAAACTCTTCTAAAAAATCTTGCCAGCTCTTTAACACAACACGCTTAAATAGAAGTGAGCTGGCTAAAAAGCTGCCTCCAGAGAGGCAATTTGGAAACATCTGAGGGTCAAAGACAGGTAGCAACCATCGAGAAAAGCCTTTATAGAGTGGTAGAGGAGAGCTTTCTCTGCCTAGAAGACATATTGCTCTCACCCAAATCCAGGTTGGTCTATAAAAGCTCTTCCCTGGCAGCTGCAGCTGGCATTTTGAAAATCACATTATATAGGAGGCATTTTTTTAGAGGGCCTTTTGCAATGCACATTAGCAAAATGTATTTCCGTACTTCCGTGAATTTCTGAATTAGCAGATTACACTAATGACAGCCATAGCAACAGAACTACAGTTAATGAAGAAACTCTAATTGAGAAAGAAGAAGCTCTGTACTTCAAGAAATTGCGGCCACAAATACTGTAAACTTTCTGAAATTAATACACGGAAATAAACCAACATGAATGGACATGAGCAAAGCGGCCAAAGAAGCAAACACTGCTGGACTAACTGGACAAAAAAATAAAATTAGTAGTATAATAAATTATGATTCCTTAGGAGAGAGTGGTGGTTACAAGCATGTATATATACACATATATGTATATATAAGCATGTATATATACACTATATATGTACATATACTATATATACATAAGCACATATAATTCATGTATATATGTAGTATATACATGCTTACGTATACAGAGTATATGTACCTAACGGTACATGTACATATATATATTTGTGCTTGTGTTAACACATAAAATATGTTATAAACTTTACTTCCATGTATTTACAGCCATAATCCTTGTGTTCTTTTATTATTAAGGTTATAAGTAAAAGGCATTATGCTAATAAATTAAGGAGACTCATTCCACCGGATTCTATTGTAATATCTCTGCTTAAAGTATTTTGGTGGCTTCCAGTGGCACTTAAAATAAAATTCAGCCTGATTCAATAGCCTACAAAGTCTGCAGGATCTGACTCTTGCATCTTCCCCAACCTCAAGTCAGCCACTCTTTGCTTTGATCACGACACTGCAATCATCCTTATCTTCCACAAGTGCCCCAAACACTCAAACCCCATTCTTGCTTTGGGGCTTTGCTATGTGCTGTATACTCTAGCAGCTGAGAGTTCTCTTCCCTCTGCTGTTATCATGGCTGGCTCATGCCTCAACTTAAGTATAAACTCCTCACAGAGACCTCTTCAATTCTCCATATTTAAACTGATTTTCTCCAACCCCTCCACCACTATGTCCTCCCAGAAGTAAATTTTATTTCATTATGGAACTCATCACAAATTGTGCTTTTTTTTCTGTTTATTGTTGTTTAATAGCATATGGCCTGTCTCTCTCACTAGGTCGAAAACTGCATAAGGGTCGGGCAAAAATCTGTCTTGTTCACCATTTGATGTCCCACACCTAGCACGGTGTCTGGTTCACATTACCTGCTTGCGTCTGCTGGCAAAGCCGCCAAAGGGATGTGCCAAGGCAAACCTTAGTGATAATTAATTATTTGTTGGGAGGTACAATCTCTGGGCAACAAGGCTGAGAGGGGAAAAAAAGTGAAATAAGGAAAAAGGAGACACAAATATAAGGTCATAGTCAGGGCTGTCAATTACCAAGCTGGCTGTAGCTTCCCAAGAGACACAGTCTGTTGCTCAGCTATAAAGGATATGTTCAGATGAGCTAAACAGAGTCCCTGCACCTTAGAATGGTGGATTGGAGAAAACAAAAGAAAGGAGTTTATATCCTCTTTTCTCTCATTGATCAAAGTTCTCCAGTAGGAAGGTACCTACCCAGCCCCTGGTACTCTCAATCCCCGTACTTCAGGGAAGCCACTAGGGAAGCCAGATGGCAGACCCTGTGTTAGAATGCTTTATTATTGTTACTATTTTTGAAGGCAGTCTCTCCCTCTGTTGCCCAGGCTAGAGTGCAGTGGCACAATCTTGGGTCACCGCAACCTCCATCTCCCAGGTTCAAGGGATTCTCCTGTCCCAGCCTCCCAAGTAGCTGGGATTATAGGCATGTGCCACCACACCCAGCTAATTTTGGTATTTTTAGTAGAGATGGGGTTTCACCACATTGGCCAGGCTGGTCTCGAACTCCTGACCTCAAATGATCCCCCCACCGTGGCCTCCCCAAGTCCTGGGATTATAGGTGTGAGCCACCGTGCCCAGCCTAGAATGCTTTATTTAAGTTGCAAAGTGGTAAGAGGAAGAGGAGGCTTATGAATTTTGTTAAGTTGAGCCTGAGTTCCAGGTTTGTGTGGCTTCTACCGCAAAGGGTATGATGGACATAGTGTCGGAGCTGAGCACTCGCCAGGGAAGACTGAGAAAGTGGGTGTTCCCCAGAGATAGTCATGGCAGCTGCTGCCGTGGCAGTACTAGTAAGAGCCAGAACTCTCCATAACCAAGTGGCCGAGGGCCTAGGACAGAAATAAGGCCAAGGAAATGGGAGAAGGTTCTTCCATCTGATTTGGTGCTCAGTCAGTGTTTGTCAAATGAATAATAGCAGAATGGATAAATATAATGCTAGAAGCAGGCCAACTTAGTAAATGGATCCACTTAAAACCTGAATGGTTTGAACATTTCTTGTCTGGAAAGAAACCACTCTTGAATCTTACCATTTTAAACATGCAATATGACTTACCACTTCTGGACTTTCAGTAGAACGGAGTCTATTCATTATCTCCCAGCTCAGCCCTTTATTTCATTTCTGGCCACATGCACCAACAGCCTCATCCACCTTTCTGGTACATCTCTGCCCACTCCTCATCAGTTACAAAGTCATTTGCTTTGGTCTGGTCCATCTTTCTGTATCTCAGCAGATCAATCAGCAACTATTTACTGGGTGTCTAGTGTGGACAAGCAGCATAGGAGGAGTCATTGACTAAGAGTTATGGCAGCTGGATTCAAATCTTATCTAAGCTCCAGCTTCACGGAAGGGAAGCCTAGCTTAGCCACCGCATATCTCAGCATTGGACCAATGGGAAAGGGAAGGAATTTTGAGAACATGTACTAATCTGGCTGATGCTCAAAGAAGACCACCAGCAGCTCATAAGTTTCAAATGGCATAAAAATCTGGGGCTCAAATTGAGTTGCAGTGATATCTAAATGAGAGAGTGGATGAAGAACCACATATTTGAAGTGCAAGATGAGGGAGGACAATTCTGTAGTTGACATGTTTTGTCACTTCCTTTGGTTTGGGAAAAAGATTTAAGCCCTGAAGCTTATAGTATATGAAGCTGATGCCAGCCATCAAATAGAAGGGCCTGGTAGAGAGGAGAACGGAACTACAGTTTATTGAACATCTGGTGTGTGGTAGGCAACGAACATACAATTACTCAAATTAAGTCTATCCTCACCAACACTTTATATAGAGGTTTTATCATTTCTGTTTTACAGATGAGCAAATGGAGACTCAGTAAGGTTATGCCACTCCCCCAATTAAAGGCAATAACATTCGCTTGACTCTAAATTTTATGATTTCTTGCCATATCAATCAAACTTATAGAGAGACAAATACTGGGGCGGGGAGGGGCAGAATTTCATATTTCTAATCTGACAGGCTGGAGACCAGGGTAGGAGTCCATTCCCAACAGGGTTTAGGGGCTGAACTCACTCCAGCCCCCTCATTGCATATCACTGGACAAAACATTCCACCCTCTGTGCTTCTATTTTGTCTATATAATTGAGGTACAATTAGTTTCAGAGTGTGCCTAGGATTTGTCTTTCTGTCTCATTTACTGTACTGCTGTGTGAACTAAACAAACAAAATAAAAACCTTATAAGTCCCATATCCACAAGGAAGTTACAATCCTGTTAGAGAAAAGAAGAATACTCATGAAATTATTAGCAACACCAGATAGAACGCAGCTCCTCTTGGTGTGCATTATGTATATGTGCGTGCAATACAGATACGACAGAAGATACCAGAGGTGTCATCATTTTAGAAGGTGAAAAGGAAAGCAGGAATCTGATTCCGTGTAGAATGAGGGATGTGGGGAAAGAATGAATAAGGGAAAAAACAGGCAGGATCTAAGACAACTGTTGTCTTTCTTCAAGACCATTGGAATGGCTTCCATAGTCCTGTTAGTATAGACCAAATGTTTGGTCTAAGAACTCCCCTCTCTACCGTCCCCCCTCCTACCAAATACACACAGGTGCTTACGCGCGCGCGCGCACACACACACACACACACACAAAGATAAACTATAACTTTCCCCAAAAAATTGCAGTCACTTTCCATTTGACTTCTAGTGCTATTTGTTGGAATTTTAGAAAGGCACATTCTCTTTCCCATCTCACAATTTTGTGCCCTGTTAATAAAATACAGCTAGTCTACTTGTTTTCCGTACTCAAAGATGTTTGCTGGAAAGGAAGGGAAGGAGAATACTAAAAATAGAAAATGTAAAACTGTTGAATTTTTTTGAAAGTTGGGGAATCATGTATTCAGGATTCCATTTTCTCTTCTATTGATTTCAAGCAAAAGTAATCCAAACCAAAAACGTGTGTCAAAGGGATGGCATGCATGTGTAGAGACAAATAGCTTAGTCTAAAATGGAGTAATAAATAATAGCATTCATTGTTGAGCAGACTAGACTTAAAATTATATGCAGAGTTTCTGCATAAGCTACTTTTTCATTCAAAAACTTTTCTATGTATTAACATTTTTGGACTCTGAGCACTTTTATCTTGGTCTTATCCCAAAAATAAAGTTTTCATAAGTTGAACATAATGTCTTCAGGTGCTTTTGAGCTAAGCAAGGATAATTTTAAAAATCACATTTCTACCTTTATAACAATTAAAGAGAACATTTTGTGTATGGATAACTCCAAGCCATACAAAGTATAAAGCTGAAACTTTCCGTGTGTCTAATTCTCAAGGAAAGTAGATCTCTTGGATAATTTCAATCCTTTTTCTTAAAGATAATAAAGTTATGAATGTAGCCCAAAAGCCTCAGGCCTCATCAACCTGTGTATACAAATGTTTTAACATTAAAATGTAAACCTGATTTTTTCTATTTAAAAAATATTTACAAAACATTTAAAACTGCAACAAACATTTTAAAAAAACAAGAATAAAGAACTCATTGCCTAGAGAGAACAAGCATTCAAATTGTGCCATATTTGCTTCAGAAATGTTTTGGGGGGAAAATGAAATGCATGGAGTCGAATCACAGCGTGTGCCTTCACAGTTTCCCCTTTCTCAGAGGAGATCTTCTTGGGGGTAACTACCATCCCAAGGCAACT
Organism: Homo sapiens; assembly: GCF_000001405.40. Classification (NCBI taxonomy): domain Eukaryota; kingdom Metazoa; phylum Chordata; class Mammalia; order Primates; family Hominidae; genus Homo; species Homo sapiens. The sequence continues at coordinate 13,776,829 of NC_000009.12, forward strand.
TGTGTTCTTCCCCATCCCTGTTTTTAAAAAATGCCACCATAGATATGTATATGCATCCAAAAAATATATTCCAATGTTTCATGTATTTTAAAACATATATATAAGTGGCGGCATATTGTACTTATCCTTTTGCAATCTGCTTTTTTCACTCAACATTTTGTTTTTGAGAATTATTCATGTTGATGCAGAGAGGAAGTTAAACATTATTTCAAACAGTGAAAACATCCCAGCTCACAGAGGAAGTCTTGAAAAGTCCACATGGCATTTTGTGGATGTCCCCAGGAGTGTCTTGCACATGCTCAGGAGTCCCCATGCTGTGTGGGGCTGCCTGAGTGTCAGGTTCCTCAGCCACCCTTTCCTCAGCTGCTGACTCAAGATTCTGCTGTCTTCTAGACTGCTAGAGCCAGGACCTGTGGATCCAGATGTCCTCACTGCTGCCACTCTTGGGGCCAGCCAAGCCTCCATGCTGCCCTTACCCTCACTCCAACAGACAGATATTCACCAACGTCTCCAGGCATCAATGTCCCTCATACTTGTGGGCCCCCAACAAACAGTAGTTGGCCAGAAAATGAGAAAGAGCTCCCATACTTTGGTGTAACTGTTCAGGGGCCTGTACCTGGGTGCTTCTGTTAGGTGTTTCACAATTTGAGTGAGCTCTCTTAGGTCACACACAGAGAAAGGGAACGTTGACAGCTCTACATCAGCAGGCACATCACCTCCTGACTGAATCAGACTGGGTTCCAGGCCCAAGCTCCAACTGTAAAGATGTCTCCTCATTCTCCTCCAGCCCTCTGGCTGGGCTTCTGAGTGAGCCTTTATTCTCTCAAAGACCAGCTGATTTCTTCCTGAAATAAATGGTTTGCATCTTTCCAGGCTCATCCTTGATGAAGAGGTGGGGTTCATATATTTTATTTTCTTTTTACTCCCATGTTTGACTTCTAATATAATGCAAGTAGATGCTTGGGCAAGTAAGACAGAGAAAGGGGGAAAGTGCCACTCAATTCCACTCACCAGAAAAAATTAAACTTAGCTTTGGCTCAGCTAGGACCCCAAATACATCAAGACAGGTATTTGAGGTGAGAGGTTTTTTGTGTCTGGGCTAGGTAACCAAAGAAATGAATTACAGAAATGTAACCTATGATGACCTCATTTTTTGGAGGTCTGTGTGGCAAGCAAAAACACTGGGAGCCAGTCTCTCTAAATCGTTGCTGAAAAATTATTCTGAAAATAGTAGAATGATTTATCCAAGCCCCATGTGATTCCTTTCATAGACTGTTTTATTCCTAGGTTGAATATAAACTTATTGTCATACAAACACTATTTCAGAGTTCATACTTAAGGGTGTTTTTATATTTATCATCCACATTGTTCATGCATATTCTTTATTCATTAACATCATAAACATCTATAGAATGCTTACTATGTGCAAAGCTCCAAGCTACACACTCATTACAACATTAATCTTGGTCTATCTATCTTGGATTGAGATCTTCTATTAATACGTTACTCCCCTAGTAACTTGGGGCTTTCCTAGGCAGGGGTTGTGTCTTATTCATCTGTATATGAAACTTTAATTCAAATTATGGGTCTATCATTTGCTGTGTTAGCTGCGGTGCATTCACATATAACAGACCTCAGTTATGTGAAATTAATATAGTGATATTTAATGTAAAAAATTAGAGTGAGGATTGAATTTATTATAATCTATGTGGAAAAACAAAATCAGTACCTAGTGAGTATCAGTTTCTTTTCTGGGTCTGTAGCACTTTAAGCAAGGCTTTGAAGGAGAGTAAAGAGATAATAAATGTTTTCTGAATGAAATCATACAATACAATTCAAGAAACCCCGGTAACAACCACATGGAAAAACACACAAAGCTTAGAAAATGCTTTTTAGAGCTTCATGTCAGCCCCAGTTAATTTCCTCACTAATGAAACTCCGCCTGCTTGTTTCTGAAAGACAGAGGATGCACTGAGACCCTCAACCTTTGTATTTGCTAATCTGTACATCGTAAGTACTTAGCACGGAATTGACTCAGTGTCTACATCAGGGCAGCACAAACCAGCATGGGGCTGTGGCTGACTTTGATTTGGAATCCTAAGTGAGCCCCCTCAGCAGGATGCCTGAGCTCACATCACCTGCCCTTGTCAATCATTTTGCCTTTCCCTCCAATTCTATTTCAGATGAGACTCCCAAGGAAACACGGGAAATCATGCCATCCTCAGAGGCTGGGAAAGTTCAGTCCCATCCGAAACCCAAATGGGCCTAAGAGCTTCTAGTTTTAAAAATAATTTTAAAGCTCTTGATACTTTTGTCTCTAAAGATGTATTTTACAGTGGGATGGCCACATATACGCAAATTAGCTTACTATAAAATGGTCTTTATTTTTAACAGTAGATTTAATTTACTGTGTAACCCAGGGGAGTCCAGAACAGGAAAAGGCCCAAAGCAACAGAGAAAACAAAGCATTGACAATGTGCGAAGCTGTCATTTCTCTGAGCTCAGGCTGTGACAATCATCTGTTCAACACACTTGTTCATGACCTCTTAAGACCCTTCTAAACATCATGACACTTCTCAACACACACATATCAACGGCTATCAAAATAATAAACCGGTAAGGAAGCATAGCCAGGGAAGGCAAGTGACACGGGGTGCAGAGTGGCCCATTTTGCTAGGCAGTTTTTCACAGGGTCACTGAAGGCCACACTGGTTGCTCTCTCTCCGTCATTATTTTTATACCTCATGTCTTTTTCTTCTGGTTTGTTTCCCCATATACCACCTAAATTTCTTTACCAATGAAAAAATCACCATTGATTAAATATTCATAATCTGGCAGGCACTTTGCATAAGGATAAAGTATATGCATCACCTCTCTGAACTAGGCATTATTATCCCCGTTTTACAGGTGTAGTAACTGAATCTTAGAGAGGTAGGTGATTTGTCCAGTTACACAGTGAGTTCGTAATAGAAAGATTTCACGCGTTGCAGATCTGTCTGATGCCAATACCTGCATCCTTAAGTGGTACCCTCTGTAACTCCCCACTGCTGATCTTTGTCTCTGAACTTTCAGAAGCTAAAAATGGCATTCCTTGCTCATCTCAGAGACTATGACTAGCTACATTAATTTTCTCAATAAATTTTTTAAGTGAGATTGATAGAAGAAGCAATATGTCATCATCCTCTCATTTTCTATAAAATGAATCATATTTAAAGGAACTGAATCAAAAACTGACAGAATACAAGCACACCTTTTTGTTTGCTTTGCCCACGTGGCATTTTTTACAAATTGAAGGTTTGGGGCAATCCTGGGTCAAGTAAGTCCTTTTGGCGCCATTTTTCCAACAGCGTGTGCTCACTTTGTGTCTCTATATTACACTTGGGTAATTCTTGCAATATTTAAAATTTTAAAATTATTGTTCTGTTAGGGTAATCTGTGATCACTGTTCTTTGTTGTAACTATTGTAATTGTTTGGGGCACCATGAACGTTGCCCATATAAGACATAATTTTTGTGTGTCTGTGTGTTCTGACTGCTCCGCCAACTGACCATTCTCCCATGTCTCTCCCTCTCCTCAGGCCTTCCTATTCCCTGAGACATAATGACATTGAAATTAGGGCAAATAATAACCCTACAATGTCCTCAAAGTGTTCAAGTGAAAGGAAGAATGGCACATCTTTCACTTCAGATCAAAAGCTAGGAATGATTAGGCTTAGTGAGGAAGGTATGACAAAAGCTAAAATAAGCCTCTTGCACCAAATAGACAAGGTGAGAATTCAATGGAAAATTTTTTTTAATGTTTAATTTTTGTGAGTATGTAGTAAGTGTACATATTTAAGGGCTACATGAGATGTTTTGATACAGTCATGCAATGTGTAATAATCATCATGGAAGATGGGGTGTCTATTCCCTCAAGCATTTATACTTTGTGATACAAACAATCCAATTATACTCTTTTATTTTTAAATGAACTGTTAAATTATTATCAACTATAGTCACCCTGCTGTGCTATCAAATACTAGGCCTTATTCATTTATTCCAACTATATTTTGTACCCATTAACCACCCCACTTCCCCCTATGCCCTCCACTACCCTTTCCAGCCTCTGGTAACAATCCTTCTACTCCAGGCTTGTCCTACCCATGGCCTGCAGGCCACATGAGGCCCAGGACTGCTTTGAATGTGGTCCCACACAAATTTTGTAAATTTTCTTAAAAGATTGAGTTATTTTTGCATTTTCTTTAGCTCATTAGCTATTGTTAGTGTTAGTGTATTATATGTGTGGCTCAAGACAATTCATCTTCCAGTGTGGCCCAGGGAAACCAGAAGATTGGACACCCCTGTGCTACTCTCTATCTCCACAGGTTTAATTGCTTTTGAGATTTATATCTCACAGATAAGTGAGAACATGCCATATTTGTCTTTCTGGGCCTGGCTTATTTCACTTAACACAATGACCTCTAGTTCCATCCATGTTGTTGCAAATGACTGAATCTCATTCTTTTTTTATCACTGAATAGTATTCCATTGTATATTAGTACCACATTTTCTCTAGTCGTTCATCTGTTGATAGGCACTGAGTTTGCTCCCAAATCTTGGCTATCTATTGTGAAAAGAGATGCAACAAACATGAGAGTGTAGATATCTCTTTGATATGGTAATTTCCTTTATTTGGGGTATATACTTACCAGTGGGATTACTGGATCATATAACTCTATTTTTAGTTTTTTGAAAAACCTCCAAACTGTTCTCCATAGTGGTTGCTAATTTATACACTCACCAACAGTGTACGAGGGTTCTCAAAGGAAAAATGATTCAAAGAAATTAAAAGTGCTACTTCAGTGAACACACAAATGGTTAAAAAAAAAAAAAAAAAAAAAAAAAAAACCAAACAGCCTTATTGCTGAGATAAAGTTAGAGTGGTCTGTATAGAAGATCAAACCAACATAACATTTCCTTAAGCCAAAGCCTAATCCAGAACAAGGCCCTAACTCTGTTTAATTCCATAAAGCCTGAGAGAGGTGAGAAAGCTGCAGAAGAAAAACTGGATGTTAGCAGAGATTGGTTCAGGAGGTTTAAGGAAAGAAGCTGTCTCCATAGCATAAAAGCTCAAGATGAAGCATTAAGTGCTGATGGAGAAGCTGCAGAAAATTATCCAGAAAATCTCGCTAAGCTCACTGATGAAGATGGCTACACTAAACAACAGATTTTCAATATGGACAAAACAGCATTCTATTGGAAAGACTTTCATAATTACAGAGAAGTCAATCCCTGGCTTCAAAGTCTCGATGGACAGGCTGATTCTCTTGTTAAGAATGAATGCAGCTGGCAACGTTAAGTTGAAGCCTATGCTCATTTACCACTCTGAAAATCCTGGGACTCTTAAGAATTATGCTACGACTGCTTTGCCTGTGCTCTATCAATAAAATAATGGAACCTAGATGGCAAAGCCTACTATTGAGAAATGCTGCTCAGAGGAAAAAAAAAATTATGTTAAAATATTACCACTAATTGACTCATTGACAATGTACCTTCTCAACCAAGAACTCTGATGTACAGAGATGTACAAGGAGATTAATGTAATTTTCTTGCCTACTAACACAATATCCATTCTTTAGCCCATGGATCAAGGAGTAATTTCAACTTTTAAATCTTACTATTTATGAAATACATTTTGTAAGGCTATAGTTGCCATAGATTGTGATTCCACTGATGGATCTGGGCAAAGTAAATGGGATACCTTCTGTAAAGACTGTACCGTTCCAGATGCCATTAAGAACACCCATGATTCATGGGAGGAGGTCAAAATACTAACATTAATGGGAATTTGGAAGAAGTTGGTTCCAACCCTCATGGATGACTTTGAGGGGTTCAAGGCTTCAATTGAGGAAATCACTGCAGATGTGGTGGAAATAGCAGGAGAACTAGAATAGAAGTCGAGTCTAAAGATGTGACTGAATGACTACAACTCATGATCAAACTTGAACAAATAAGGAGTTGCTTCTTACAGATGAGCAAAGAAAGTGGTTTATTAAAATGGAAACTGCTTCTGGTGAAGATACTGTGAACATTGTTGAAATGAAACACAGGATTTAGAATATCATATAAACTTAGTTGATAGAGCAGGGGCAGGGTTTGAGAGGATTAATTTCAGTTTTGGAAGAAATTCTACCATAAGTAAAACACTATTAAACAGCATCACACGCTACAGAGAAATCTTTTGTGAAAAGAAGAGTCACTCAATGAGGCAAACTTCATTGTTGTCTTATTTTCAAAATTGCCACAGCCACCCCAACTTTAAATAACCACCACCCTGATCAGTCAGCAGCCATCAACATCAAGGCAAGACCCTCCACCAGCAAAGATTGTCACTCACTGAAGGCTCAGATGATCGTTCACATTTTTACTGATAAAATATTTTAAAAATAAGGCATGTGTAGTCCCAGCACTTTGGGAGGCTAAGGCAGGTGGATCACTTGAGATTAGGAGTTCTAGGCCAGCCTGGCCAACATGGTAAAACCTCGTCTCTACTAAAAACACGAAAATTAGCTGAGCATGGTGGTGCATGCCTGGAATCCCAGCTACTTGGGAGGCTGAGGCACAAGAATTACTTGAACCTGGGAGGTGGAGGTTGCAATGAGCTGATATGGTCTCAAAAAAATTAAAAAAAAAAATAAGGCATGCACTTTGTTTTTGGGTATAACACTATTGCACATTTAATTGACTATAGTATAGTGTAAGCATAACTTTTATGTGCCTGCGGAAAACAAAAAAATTGTGTGACTCATGTTATTGCAATATTGGCTTTATTGTGGTGATCTGGAACCAAACCTACAATATCTTTGAGGTGTGCCTGTATTGAGTCTTTTACTCTTCAACATTCAGCAGGGCATACTGAGCCTAGGAATCGCTCTTTAGGCCCAGCTCCTGTTGGGTTGACTGGTGAAGTATAAACAGTTCTTTCTAGCCCTCCAACTCCTCAACATGTACCCAAAGTTAAGTCATGAGAAATAATATTCAGGAAGCATTTCCTGAAAGACACAGGATTCATCATTTTAGCCCTGCTCTAACCCAGCACAGTGGAGTTTGAATAGTTGGGCCCCTCTAGAATTACTATGTTTCCTAAATTTAATTTTATGGCCTAAAATTTTATTTTATGGCCACCAAGTATGGCAACAGGGTACAATTCCACTGTGCCCCTTCACACGGACAAAGATGTGAATAGTGTCCTTTGGAGCTGTTCAACAGGTAGTCCTGTCTATAGGATGGTTCCATGAACATCAGCCTAGAATTTACTAGAAAGGTTATGAGCCTGTCTCTTATTCCTTCATTCTGTATAAGGATTCACAAAAGAGAACTCCCTCAGGCTTCAATGCCTGGAGCAATGTGCTTTTCCAGATTAGTTGTTATACCTCCAGGGCACAATGTAACATCTGTTTGACATTTTTGTATAGTTTTTTTTTTTGGAAATTCAGAGAAAGTTCTATATAGACTTTCAATAATTACAAAATTACATGGCATACATTTGTTATATTATTATTCCCTTTAATTATTCCTTTATCTCGATAAACTCATTTTCATCTTTTAAAAAAGTTAAAAAATTATTTAGCCTTCTCATATTCTTTTGGAATAAGTTAAAAATAAAATAATGCATAAAAGTAAGGTGTTCATTAATTTTTAACTTAAAGCAGTATGTATTTTTTTATATTACAGAAGCAACACATAATTATTATAGAGATATTAGATAACACTGATTATCTAAAGAGCATCAAAAGAGAAAATAGATGATCAAAGATCATCAAAAAGAAGAAAGTAGAAAATACATATAATTCCAAACCCAGGTATTTACTATTTGGTAGCTTGTTTTTTCAACACATCAATAGAGAAAATGCATTTTCCATGTTCTTTTGATGTGTACATAGTATATCTGTTGATTAATTTTTGAGTAGTATATTGTATTCTATTGCATGTATATACCTAAGTATAATTAATTGTCTATTAATTTGGGGCTTTCAAAATGTTTCATAATGTTCACTGTTATATACAGTATTACAATGAACATCTTCGAAGCTAAATCTTTAAAAATATTCTCAATAGTTTCATTTTAATAAGCTAGATTAATTTTAAAAGTATTAAAATAATTATAGATCTGATACCAATGAAGATCAACTCAATCAAGTCAGTCTCTCTCTCTCCCGCCCCTGCTTTTTTTTTTTTTTTTTTTTTTTTTTTGAGATAGATTCTCACTCTATTATCCAGGTTGGAGTGCAATGGCACAATCTCAGCTCACTGAAACCTCTGCCTCCCGGCTTCCAGCGATTCTCATGCCTCAGCCTCCCGAGTAGCTGGTACTACAGATGCCTGTCAACATGCCCCCCTAATTTTTTTTTTTTTAGGAGAGACAGGGTTTTGCCATGTTGGCCAGGCTGGTCTGGAACTCCCAGCCTCATGTGATCCGCCCAAAGTGCTGGAATTACAGGTGTGAGCCACCACACCCAGCCAATGTCTCTACATCCATCTCTTTGATTTTACTCTTGACCAGTATTTCTCAAACGTCCTTTTACTTGAAGAAAAAAAATTTATGACTTCAATCCTTCTAAGTCACTTTTTGAATCACACAGCTTCTTATATATTTACAAATATAAAAGCAGGAATGAATCCATATGCTACAGATATTGGTGAGTTGCAGTTGTGGTCTCTGAAAGGTGGTATCCATGTAGTCACATTTTTCAAAATAAATAAAAGATCTGCTGAGTTTGATGAGGTTTAAAAAGGTATGAGTCCTATCCAGGACTATGATTTAGTCCTCACACATAGTCTACTAGCCCTTATAACCTTTTAAAAAATGTATGATTAATAAAACATTTTTCATTGACTTATTCCTGGAGCTTTGCTTCCATTGAGACCACCTGGGGCTTGGAGCACCCAGATTCTCTAGTGAGCTGATCTGAATGCTATGCCTTCAAATTGCCTACCTGAAGCCTCCACCCCTTCCTCAACTAAAGGATGAAAATCGAAGCCAGAAGTTCAAAATACACCTCTGATTTTGAAGAGGCTGTTGGGATTCTTAAATAACAACAAAAAGTAGTTTGGTGCTCTTCTCTGCACATGCTACAGTAAGCCTTTAGGGGAATGTTCTGAGAGTGATTACTGTCGTGGTAAGCAATGGTTTTTGTAGGTGCTGGTTTGTGGGGTGATTACTTGGGCTTAATCTCTTTCTCATGGGTAAATGTGAAGCCTCTCCAGTTCACATTTGTTATTCAGGCAGAAATCAACTGAAATTTGTCTATAAGAAGATATTGGGCTGGCCCCTGTTTTGCCTCTTAGCGCCCTTCCTTACCTATCCTACATGCAAGCTCCCCACTGGGAAAGGGCAGCTTCCTCCATGGGATCTGTCTTGTATCTTGTCTCCATATTGTTGCTGGGAAACCTCTTCTTGAAGTCAAGTGATAAAGTTGCACTTCTGTTTCCAATGGCGCCCGTCCAGCCCGAAGTGAGACTGGCTGCTTTGTGAGAGCTTCTCAACTGGGTCGCCAAGCACAGTAGTGCAGCTGGAAAGTGTTTTCTCACTGTTGTGCCCCAAGACTGCGGTTAGTTTCAAATTCCTATGAATGTGACTAAAAAATGTTTGTGTTTTAGCCACAATCACTAACAAATTACACTCAGCTATTCAACGCACAGACCAAAAGAGAGCCTGACCCCATTATCAAAACTCAAACCCAGATGGTGAGGAGTCCCAGCCTAATGAGGGCCTCTCAGTCATTTCAAACAAATTTCTTGTCAATCATGCCACATTGCATATGGGGGTCTTCTTTCAAAGACATCCAAGTTTGAGGACTCAGAGGCTTTCCACGGCTAAGCAATGCCTTCCTCCTAAAATTACTCATTTTTCAAGAGCTTTGAGAAAATCCTCTTCTCTCCTTTTCCTCCCTTCCTTCCCTAAAAAGAAAAAAAAAAATCTATCCTGTCTACACTAGACAACTTTATCAGACTCAAATATCAAAATTGGAGCAGCCAGAAAGTCTGAACTACATTCTTGGCTCACTCATCAGGGAAAGAAAAAAACAAAATGAACTCAGAAGAAAAAGAAAGACAATATCAAAAAGCTTTATTGAATAGTCTTCTGAATGTAAAATAAATTTACCAGAAACTGTAATTCCAGGATCCAATGCTCACTTTGATTGCAATAAAGAGTTAGAAAGAAAACCACACTGTTGTCTGGAACTTGACAAAGGTACAAAGAGAATCCCCTGTTTTTCCATCTTTCTAGATGAGATGCAGAATTTTGCCCTCTGCCCAAAAGGCTTTGGCCTTACAGGTCTGTCTTGACCCTGTGTTTGCTCCTGTTCCATTTGGTTCTTTCCTTACTCTCAGTGAATCAAAGCCTGACCTCTCCTTGGCTTTTTCTCCTTTCTCAATACTCCATGCACGCTTCTCTGACTATGAAGTGTCGCCCCTGATGTTCTCTCTGGCATCTCTTGCAGGCTGCCATGCTTAGTGGTAAATTCCCTCCCCTGGAGAGGCAGTCACAGCTGTGTGTCCTACGAAAGGACTGAGCTGCTTGCTGCGTGCAAAGTAGAAGAAAACCAGTGTAAATCGCAGTCCTAATTGCCCATATGGGAGATTTGCAAAGAAGGAAGTGAGTACAATGAAAGAGCAGGGCAAGTCGTAAGCAGAAGGCTGAGACCGGAGTGCTGAGGGAAAAGCAGCCACCATATCAAGAAGTTCAGAAATTGTTTCTGCTACTGCTGCTGAGGATTCAAAGAGGGTTTTAGAATAAAACAAAGTCCGCTGGTGTGAGGACTGAACTCCATTTTCTGTGTGAGTCTGAGTAAAGAGAAAGATAAACAGAACCTTTCACCGATAGGCATATTTTAGAGTTCAAGTGTGACATGATGTGTCCAAAATAGATTCCACATGATTGGAGCAGATCCAGAATCCCAGTCCCTGAATAGCAATCAGTGTTGGAAGCTAAGAGCCGGCATCCACTATCATCACATGAAACATGGAAGAAACGGCAAATCCTATACAGCTGTTAGTGAGTAAGGACAAGCCATACATGGAGCTGTATGCTATGGGCACATTTTCTTAAATTACACAGCTTATTTTAAATTGAGGGTCTATTTGACTTTTTACATGTCTTTTAATGAATACCCAGACTTTACAAAACTTTCTTTTCATGAATTTTCCTTTCAAAGAAGGAGAGTTATGCTCTTTGCAATATTCAATCCAGGCAGAACTAATGACCCAAGGGCTTCATGCTAGTTTATTTTCATAAAAAGCTCCCCTTAATTTGAAATCACATAGGGTTCCAAGAATCTCAGAAGACAGAGGCCAAAAGTCCAGGGCCCTATATGACTTCGTCATGAAGAAGGCTGAGAGATGGTGGGAAGCTTCACTTTCAGGACCAGGTAGACTGTCCTATGTGGTCTGTCACTCTCTGACAATTTTCAAATAGGAGAAGAGGGGAGGAAAAATTGAAGAAGAAAGGAGGCAGGGAGTGAGAAAAAGAAGAGGAAAGAGAAAATGAGGCACTAGAAGAGAGATGAGGTTCATGGGACTCAGACATTTTCTCTTCTATTTAAGGACAACTATTTTCCTTTAAAATAGTCACCAGAAGGCCTTCAAGATCAGTCCCTCCCATGTGGCTAATGTTTAGAACATTTAAGAAATCTTTAAAACTTTTATAATTTGAGAGGGTCAGTTGTAGGTCATTTTCCAGCACACACACACACACACACACACACACACACACACACACACAAATCTAAAGGGCTCTTGTTGCTAAATGCATGTTTGTGAGAGATTGTCAATCAATGAACGATCCCTTGTGCCATGTTTTTTGGAGCCATACTACTATCAAAGTAAGAAAAGTAGCAATAAATGAAGAATCAAGCACTTATGGAGAAATGGCTGGTACAGCCATGTGCTACAACTGTACTCATACTGGCTAGGAAGTCAGCATCTGACCTCAAACCAAAATGATAGGAATTAGACAACTGGATCTTTCCTTTTGTGTTAACTTTCCCTTCATTACTTCAGTGTCCCCATATGTATTTGAAATTCTGTGACTGCTACTTTAGCACATCATGGACTGTTTGTGTTTACAGATATTTCTCTTTGGTTATACAATTGCCCCTTAAACAACACAGGTTTGAACCATGCCAGTCCACTTATATTGTTTGTTTGTTATTTTTCAACCAAATGCTAGATGGAAAAGATACAGTATTCATGAAACCTGCCTATGTAGATGCAAGTTCCACAGGGCTGACTGTGGGACTTGAGCATGCACAGATTTCGATATACAAGGGCAGTCCTGGAAGGAATCCCCCATGTATACTGAGGGACCACTTTATTAACCTCAATTGTCCTTTAGTATCTTAAAAATAGATCAAAGCAGAGGTTGGCAGTTTAGAATGTCTACAGGTTATTACTAAAATAGAGTGAAAAATAGAGGGAAAAAATGACAAGGCTCCTTCTCTCTTCATATGATGGTATGAATGATGCAAATCTTAACAACACAAAGAAAGAGTCCTTCCAGAAAGATTTCTGATGACTTTGGAGCTTTACTTTTTTCATTATACTTTGCAGTGCCTGCAAGTACTATAAGATATTTGTTTAAAGAGAGGCTTGTGATGGCCTGCTAGAGTTTAATTACTAAGGTTACAAACAAATAAAGCTTTAGTGTATTGTAAAGCATCGATTCATGGTTTTCACAAATACCATGAAATTACATAATCAGAAAGCTTAGAGCCCAAAGCAACCTTTAAGGATCACCTGGTCTTGTCTCATAGCTTCAGAGAAATCAGGTATTATTTATGTTTGGTAGATAAAGCACCTGAACTTCAAAAAGGCATAGCGTCTTGCTCAATCTCACCCAGTTAGTTTAGGGAATTTGACCTCTTCTCTTTTGCTGCTAATACAATTCTTTGTATGGAATGAAAGTCCAGCCAACCTTAAATCCATAGAGATAGAAAACATATTAGCAGTGTGCAGAGGTGAGAAAACTGTTCCAGAACTAGATACTGGTGGTAGTTGCCTAACATTTGGAATGTACTAAATGCTGCTCAACTGTTCACTTCAAATGGTTAAAATGGTGATTTTATGTGAATTTTACCTTAATTAAAAAACAAAATCAAGAATAACGTATTGCTGTTCACCGTTCATCTTTCTGTCTCCTCTACTTCCTGTCAAGTTCTCTGAGTTCAAGAACTGTGCCTTATGTCACTTTGGCCCTCTAACACCTGGCACCATGTTTGAGAAAGTCTGCTGGACCTCTTCCCCCAAAATCCAACCAGCCACAATAATAAGTATCCTCACACATAGCAAAACCCTTTTTATTGCTGAGTTTATGACATTGCCATAATTTTTTGTCCAGTTTGCCTTACTCCACTGTTGAGTCAGATAAGATTATCTGAGACCTGACTGGAGTTAGCTCACCTCCAAGAGCGTAAATAAAAGAACATATGGTTCGTTGATAGGACCAGCAGTGCCAAGGATAGTGGCCTGCATGAAGTAGATTCTTATTAAATATTTGTCTTAGGGGTGAGGGATGAATCCCCTGGGATCACCAGGAGCTAGAAAGGGATATTTTTTCACAAGAGTACAACCCAGTTTAGGTCCATGAAAACATCAGGTTTGAAGGTCCTATCCCTGTTAGGTCATTTAGACCCCTGCTCATGAGGTAGCCCACAGGCACTATACCAGTCCCATAACCACTAACACTTACCAGAGAAATAAGGTTGCCAAAGCTCAGTCCTATATATTAATACCATCTCAGACAGTGGAGAAAGACATGCATTTGTTGTTTCAATATATATCTGTTCCTCACTATCAATGTTAATCTTCTCATGAAAACTGTCTCCAAATGGAAAGCTATTAATTCAAAAGAAAAAAAGTACTAATTGCAATGGAAAAAGATATAAATGGAATAATACAGTATGTGTCCTTCTGTGAGGGCTTATTTCTCTCAGCATAATACCCTCAAGATTCATGATGTTGTCAAATATCGCAGAACTTTCTTCTTTTCAAAGGCTGAATGAGGCAGAGCACAGTGGCTCACTCCTGTAATCCCAGAACTTACAGAGGCCAAGACACGTGGATCGCTTGAGGCCAGAAGTTTGAGACCAGCCTGGGCAACATGGTGAAACCCTGTCTCTACTAAAAATACAAAAATTAGCCAGGCTTGTTGCCACATGCCTATAGTCACAGGTACTTGAGAGGCTGAGACAGAAGGATTGCTTGAACCCAGAGGCAGAGGTTGCAGTGAGCCAAGATTGCACCACTGTGCCACTGTACACTCCAGGCTAGGCAACAGAGTAAGACCCTGTCTCAAAAAGAAAAAAAAAGGTTGTATAATATTATACACACACACACACATACCTCACATATTTTCCTTATCCATTTATCTAACAGTGGACATTTAAGTTGTTTCCACTTCTTGTCTATTGTTAATACCACAATTAAAAAAAAAAAGACATTGTTATGGTTTGATTTGTGTCCCCACCCAAATCTCATTTTGAATTGTAACTCCCACATTTCCCACATGTCATGGGAGGAATCCAGTGGGAGGTAACTGAATCATGAGGATGGGTCTTTCCCATGGTGTTCTCAGGAGAGTGAATAAGTCTCACGTGATCTGATGGTTTTAAAAATGGGAGTTTCCCTACAGAAGCTCTCTGCCTCCTGCCATCCATGTAAGACCATGACTCGTAGGGTCCAGCAAGATGGCTGAATAGGAACAGCTCCAGTCTGCAGCTCCCAGCGAGATCCACCTAGAAGGCAGGTGATTTCTGCACTTCCAACTGAGGTACGTGGTTCATCTCACTGGGACTGGTTGGACAGTGGGCAGAGACCATGGAGGGTGAGCTGAAGCAGGGTGGGGCGTTGCCTCACCCAGGAAGTGCAAGGGGTCGGGGGATTTCCCTTTCCTAGCCAAGGGAAGCCTTGACAGTCTGTACCAAGAGAAATGATACACTCCTGCCCAGATACTGCACTTTTCCCATAGTCTTCACAACCAGCAGACAAGGAGATTCCCTCGGGTGCCTGGCTCAGTGGGTCCCACATCCATTGGCTTGAAATCCTTGCTGCCAGCGCAGCAGTCTGAGATCAACCTGGGATGCTTGAGCTTGGTAGGGGGAGGGGTGTCGGCCATTACTGAGGCTTGAGTAGGCGGTTTTATGCTCACAGTGTAAACAAAGCAACTGCAAAGTTCAAACTGGGAGGAGCCCACCACAGCTCAGCAAGGCTGACTGCCACTCTAGATTTCACCTCTGTGGGCAGGGCATCTCTGAACAAAAGGCAGCCCCAGTCAGGGACTTATATATAAAACCCTCATCTCCCTGGGACAGAGCACCTGGGGGAAGGGGCAGCTGTGGGCACAGCTTCAGCAGACTTAAACATCCCTGCCTGACAGCTTTGAAGAGAGCAGTGGTTCTCCCATCATGGCATTCAAGCACTGATAAAGGACAGACTGCCTCCTCAAGTGGGTCCCTGACCCCCGTGTAGCCTAACTGGGGGACACCTCCCAGTAGGGACCGACAGGCACCTCATACAGGAGAGCTCTAGCTGGCATCTGGCATGTGCCCCTCTGGGACCAAGCTTCCAGAGAAAGGATCGGGCAGCAATAGTTGCTGTTCTGCAGCTTCTGCTGGTAATACCCAGGCAAACAGTGTCTGGAGTGTACCTCCAGCAAACTCCAACAGACCTGCAGCTGAGGGGCCTGTTAGAAGGAAAACTAACAAACAGAAAGGAATAGCATCAACATCAACAAAAAGGACATAGACACCAAAACCCCATCCATAGGTCACCAACATCAAAGAACGAAGGTATACAAAACCACAAAGATGGGGAAAAACCAGCTGAAAATTCCCAAAACCAGAATGCCTGTTCTCCTCCAAAGGATCACAACCCCTCGCCAGCAAGGGAACAAAACTGGACAGAGAATGAGTTTGGTGAATTGACTGAAGTAGGCTTCAGAAGGTGGGTAATAACAAACTCCTCTGAGCTAAAGGAGAATGTTCTAACTCAGTGCAAGGAAGCTAAGAACCTTGAAAAAGGGTTAGATGAATTGCTAACTAGAATATCCAGTGTAGAGAAGAACATAAATGACCTGATGGAGCTGAAACATGCAGCATGAGAACTTCATGAAGCATACTCAAGTTTCAATAGTCGATTGATCAAGCGAAAGAAAGGACATCAGTGATTGAAGATCAACTTAATGAAATAAAGCGAGAAGACAAGATTAGAGAAAAAAGAGTGAAAAGAAATGAACAAAGCCTCCAAGAAATATGGGACTATGTGAAAAGACCAAATCTACATTTGATTGGTATACCTGAAAGTGACAGGGAGAATGGAACCAAGTAGGAAAACACTCTTCAGGATTTTATCCGGGAGAACTTCCACAACCTAGCAAGGTAGACCAACATTCAAATTCAGGAAATACAGAGAACACCACAAAGATATTCCTCAAAAAGAGCCACCCCAAGACACATAATCGTCAGATTCACCAAGGATGAATTGAAGGAAAAAATGTCGAGGGCAGCCAGAGAGAAAGTTCAGGTTACCCACCAAGAGAAGCCCATCAGGCTAACAGCGGATCTCTCAACAGAAACCCGACAAGCAAGAAGAGAATGGGGGCCAATATTCAACATTCTAAAAGAAAAGAATTTTCAACCCAGAATTTCATATCCAGCCCAACTAACTTTCATAAGTGAAGGAGAAATAAAATCCTTTACAGACAAGCAAATGCTGAGAGATTTTTATCACCACTAGGCTTGCCTTAGAAGAGTTCCTGAAGGAAGCACTAAACATGGAAAGGAACAACTGGTACCAGTCACTGCAAAAACATGCCAAATTGTAAAGACCATTGACACTATGAAGAAACTGCATCAACTAATGGCCAAAATAACCACCTAGCATCATAATGACAGAATCAAATTCACACATAACAATATTAACCTTAAATGTAAACGGGCTAAATGCCCCAATTAAAAGACTTAGACTGGCAAACTGGATCTTTATCAACTCAAGACCCATTAGTGTGCTGTATTCAGGAGACCCATCTCATGTGCAAAGACACACATAGGCTCAAAATAAAGGGATGGAGGAAGATTTACCAAGCAAATGGAAAGCAAAAAAAAAAAAAAAAAAGCAGGGGTTGCAATCCTAGTCTCTGATAAAACAGACTTTAAACCAACAAAGGTCGAAAGAGAAAAGAAGGGCATTACATAATGGTAAATGGATCAATACAACAAGAAGAGCTAACTATCCTAAATATATATGCATGAATATAGGAGCACCCAGATTCATAAAGCAAGTTCTTAGAGACCTACAAAGAGACTTAGACTCCCATACAATAATAGTGGGAGACTTTAACACCCCACTCAATATATTAGATCAACAAGACAGAAAATTAACAAGGATATCCAGGATTTGAACTCAGCTCTGGACCAAGCAGAAAAAATAGACATCTACAGAACTCTCCACCCCAAATCAACAGAATATACATTCTTCTCAGCACCACATCACACTTATTCTAAAATCAACCACATAATTGGAAGTAAAACACTTCTCAGCAAATGTAAAAGAACAGAAATCACAACAAACTGTCTCTCAGACCACAGTACAATCAAATTAGAACTCAGGATTAAGAAACTCACTCAAAACCGCACAACTACATGGAAACTGAACAACCTGCTCCTGAATGACTACTGGGGTAAATAACAAAATGAAGACAGGAATAAAGATGTTCTTTGAACTCAAATCTACAAGAAAAAAATAAACAGCCCCATCAAAAAGTGGGCGAAGGATATGAACAGACACTTCTCAAAAGAAGACATTTATCAGCCAACAGACACATGAAAAAAATGCTTATCATCACTGGCCATCAGAGAAATGCAAATCAAAACCACAATGAGATACCACCTCACACCAGTTAGAATGGTGATCATTAGAATGTCAGGAAACAACAGGTGCTAGAGAGGATGTGGAGAAATAGGAACACTTTTATACTGTTGGTGGGACTGTAAAGTAGTTCAACCATTGTGGAAGTCAGTGTGGCGATTCCTCAGGGATCTAGAACTACCATTTGACCCAGCCATCCCATTACTGGGTATATACCCAAAGGATTACAAATCATGCTGCTATAAAGACACATGCACACGTATGTCTATTTTGGCACTATTCACAATAGCAAAGACTTGGAACCAATCCAAATGTCCAACAGTGATAGACTGGATTAAGAAAATGTGGCACATATACATCATGGAATACTATGCAGCCATAAAAAATGATGAGTTCATGTCCTTTGTAGGGACATGGATGAGGCTAGAAACCATCATTCTCAGCAAACTATTGCAAGGACAAAAAACCAAACACCGCATGTTCTCACTCATAGGTAGGAATTGAACAAAGAGAACACATGGACACAGGAAGAAGAACATCACACACTGGGGACTGTTGTGGGGTGGGGGGAGTGGGGAGGGATAGCATTAGGAGATATACCTAATGTTAAATGACGAGTTGATGGGTGCAGCACACCAACATGGCACACGTATACATATGTAACTAACCTGCACATTGTGCACATGTAGCCTAAAACTTAAAGTATAATTAAAAAAAAAAAAGAAGTTCTTTGAAATCAATGAACACAAAGACAAAATGTACCAGAATCTCTGGGACACATTTAAAGCAGTGTGCAGAGGGAAATTTATAGCACTAAATGCCCACAAGAAAAAGCAGGAAAGATCTAAAATCGACACCCTAACATCACAATTAAAAGATCTAGAGAAGCAAAAGTAAACAAATTCAAAAGCTAGCAGAAGACAAGAAATAACTAAGATCAGAGCAGAACTGAAGGAGATAGAGACACAAAAAGCCCTTCAAAAAATCAATGAATCCAGGAGCTGGTTTTTTGAAAAGATCGAGAAAATAGATACACTGCTACACTGCTAGCCAGACTAACAAAGAAGAAAAGAGAGAAGAATGAAGTAGATGCAATAAAAAATGATAAAGGGGATATCACCACTGATCCCACAGAAAAATACAAACTACCATCAGGGAATACTATAAATACCTCTATGCAAATAAACTAGAAAATCTAGAAGAAATCGATAAATTCCTGGACACATACACCCTCCCAAGACTAAACTAAGAAGAAGTCGAATCTCTGAATAGAACAATAACAAGTTCTGAAGTTGTGGCAGTAATTAATATCCTACCAGCCAAAAAAAGGACCAGACCGATTCACAGCTGAATTCTACCAGAGGTACAAAAAGGAGCTGGTACCATTCCTTCTGAAACTATTCCAATCAATAGAAAAAGAGGGAATCCTCCCTAACTCATTCATGAGGTCAGCATCATCCTGATACAAAAACCTGGCAGAGACAAAACAACAAATTGTTAGGCCAATACCCCTGATGAAAATCAATGTGAAAATCCTCAATAAAATATTGGCATACCAAATCCAGCAGCACATCAAAAAGCTTATCCACCATGATCAACTCGGTTTCATCCCTGGGATGCAAGGCTGGTTCAACATACGCAAATCAATAAACATAATCCATCACATAAACAGAACCAATGACAAAAACCACATGATTATCTCAATAGATGCAGAAAACGCCTTTGATAAAATTCAACTCTCCTTCATGCTAAAAAGTCTCAATAAACTGGGTATTGATGGAACGTATCTCAAAATAATAAGAGCTATTTATGACAAACCCACAGCCAATATCATACTGAATGGGCAAAAGCTGGAAGCATTCCCTTTGAAAACTGGCACAAGACAGGGATGCCCTCTCTCACCACTCCTATTCAACATAGTATTGGAAGTTTTGACCAGGGCAATCAGGCAGGAGAGGGAAATAAAGGGTATTCAGTTAGGAAAAGAGGAAGTCAAATTGTCTCTGTTTGCAGATGACATGATTGTATATTTAGAAAACCCCGTCGTCTCAGCCCAAAATCTCCTTAAGCTGATAAGCAACTTCAGCAAAGTCTCAGGATACAAAATCAATGTGCAAAAACCACAAGCATTCCTATACACCAATAACAGACAAACAGCCAAATCATGAGTGAACTCCCATTCACAACTGCTACAAAGAGAAGAAAATACCTAAGAAGCCAACTTACAAAGAATGTGAAGGACCTCTTCAAGGAGAACTACAAACCACCGCTCAATGAAATAAAAGCGTATACAAACAAATGGAAGAACATTCCATGCTCACGGATAGGAAGAATCAATATCGTGAAAATGGCCATAGTGCCCAAGGTAATTTATAGATTCAATGCCATCCCCATCAAGCTACCAATGACTTTCTTCACAGAATTGGAAAAAACTACTTTAAAGTTCATATGGAACCAAAAAAGAGGCCACATTGCCAAGTTGATCCTAAGCAAAAAGAACAAAGCTGGAGGCATCATGCTACCTGACTTCAAACCATACTACAAGGCTACAGTAACCAAAACGGCATGGTACTGGTACCAAAACAGAGATACAGACCAATGGAACAGAACAGAGCCCTCAGAAATAACCCCACACATCTACAACCATCTGATCTTGGACAAACCTGACAAAAACAAGCAATGGGAAAAGGATTCCCTACTTAATAAATGGTGCTGGGAAAACTGGCTAGCCATATGTAGAAAGCTAAAACTGGATCCCTTCCTTATACCTTATACAAAAATCAACTCAAGGTGGATTAAAGACTTAAATGTTAGACCTAAAACCATAAAAACCCTAGAGGAAAACCTAGGCAATACCATTCAGGACATAGGCATGGGCAAGGACTTCATGACTAAAACACCAAAAGCAATGGCAACAAGAGCGAAAATTGACAAATGGGATCTAATTAAACTAAAGAGCTTCTGCACAGCAAAAGGAACTACCATCAGAGGGAACAGGCAACCTACAAAATGGCAGAAAATTTTCACAATCTATCCATCTGACAAAGGGCTAATATCCAGAATCTACAAAGAACTTAAACAAATTTACCAGAAAAAAGAAAAACAATCCCGTCAGAAAATGAGCAAAGTATATGAACAGACATTTCTCAAAAGACATTTATGCAGCCAACAAACTTAAGAAAACATGCTTATCATCACTTGTCATTAGAGAAATGCAAATCCAAACCACAATGAGATACTATCTCACGCCAGTTAGAATGGTGATCATTAAAAAGTCAGGAAATAACAGATGCTGGAGAGGATGTGGAGAAATAGGAATGCTTTTACACTGTTGGTGGGAGTGTGAATTAGTTCAACCATTTTGGAAGACAGTGTGGCGATTCCTCAAGGATGTAGAACTAGAAATACCATTTGACCCAGCATTCCCATTACTGGGTATATACCCAAAGGACTATAAATCATTTTACCATAAAAACACATGTACAAGTGTGTTTATTGCAGCACTGTTCACAATAGCAAAGTCTTGGAACCAACCCAAATGCCCATCAGTGATAGACTGCATAAAGAAATGTGGCACATACATACCACGGAGTACTATACAGCCATAAAAAGGATGAGTTAATGTCCTTTGCAGGGACATGGATGAAGCTAGAAACCATCATTCTCAGCAAAGTAACAACAAGAAAACTAAACACCACATGTTCTCACTTATAAGTGGGAGCTGAACAATGAGAACACATGGACACAGGGAGGGTAACATCACACACCAGGGCCTGTTGAGGGGTGGGGGACTGAGGGAGGTATAGCATTAGGAGAAATACCTAATGTAAATGACGGGTTGATGGTTGTAGCAAACCAACATGCTACGTGTATACCTATGCAACAAACCTGCACGTTGTGCACATGTACCCCAGAACTTAAAGTATAATTAAAAATAAATAAAAATAAATAAAATTATCCTTTGCAAAGAAAAAAAATTCTGTAAAATTCAGTTCCTAGTCTACTCCTGACACTTACTAATAAAAATCTTTTTAATGTAAAATTTAAAAAACTGTGACTTGCTCCACTATGCCTTCTGCCGCGATTGTGAGGCCTCCCCAGCCATGTGGAAATGTAAGTCCATTGAACCTCTCTTTCTTCTCAGTCTCTGGTATGTCTTTATCTGCAGTGTGAAAATGGACTAATACAGATATGATACATTTCATCCCAACCCAAATCATACAAACAATTTCACAGATAGAATATATTCTTAAAGAATGAAAACAAGTTTATACAGTAAAAATTTAGAATTAGTTTGTATATAAGACATAATAAAGTTTGTTTTGCCCAATATATTGTTCTACCATTTTCTTCAATTTTTTAAACTTTGAGTTCATAATTATAATTATGCTTAACTTAAATTACTTAAAAATAAATGTTATAGCACAATTCACCTTTACAGCAAAATACAGTGTAAATATGAAAGTGCTTCAAAGCATGTGAAAATAGCACACACACATAACAGAGCCTTAGAAGATGCTACCTACCTCTTCATTCCTTTCACTCTACCTAGGTATCAGTAGTGTACCGGCAAATGTTTAATAACTGGTTCTCCAGAAAAAAAAATACATGCATACATAAGTTTATTAATTACTGTTACTGCTATAAAGACTGAATTGCACACAATTTACATATAATAAGAAAATATACAATACTCTTTTACTGTAACTTTCACAGGGCTAATTGATTCTCAAATAATGCAGTAATTGGAATTTGCCTAACTCTTGTATCTGTAGCCAATCTGTGGTTGTAATTGACAAAGGAGTGTAGGACAAACATGAATGTTTGTTAATATTTTATTTATATTTATGTTAATGAGTAAAGACAAAAGTGAAAGAAGACACATATAAAAACTTTCCATGATTATCAATTACAAATTCTTTTGCTGAACTGAACAATAATAGATTTTGAACATGGGAAAAAACTCCTCAATTTTTCTGTGTTATTTGCCATGTAATAGTGATTATGTATGTACAGCATAATATTTCATCTCATAGATACAATATATGTAAATCTATTAAGAGGATAGGTAATAAAATATAGTAAAATAATCAGGAAATGATAACTTTGGGGTGTTTATTACCTTGTTTTCAGTATAATTTTTTAAGCTGTAAGTTTATACATTAAGTTTTTAAATGGCAAAAGTTAAAATTAAACTCTCAGTTCAAGAGATTAAGAAATACCCCAAAAATCCCTAAGAAAATAAAAAGAAACGATAAGAAAAGTAGAAGCAAATTAGAAAATAGAACAATAGATAAGTAAATCTAAGATCAGATTTTTTAAAGTAACATAATACATTACCACAAAAATAGCAAATCTAGTGGAGAAAAAAAGAAGAAAAAATACATTTATAAAATTAGGGAGAAGGCAGAGTAAATAAGAGCAGATTCACAGGTGTTTTAAAATATTGAAAATCATGATGAAATGATCATTTATGGAAAAGTAATATTTATTCAAACTAAATCCAAATGGATACAGTGTGAACTGAAATACTACCTAGAAGAAACTTGAAATATTACAAAGAATGTCTTCTAAAATGTTTCTAAACCAGATGTGCCTTCCAATGAGACTTTCACATTTTCCAGAAATGTAATTTCCATACTGTATAAAATCTACTTCTGCTCATAGAAACAGATGGGAAGTTTTAAAATTAATTTTGAAAGGCCAGTGTAATCTTGAAAATAAAACCTTATAAGAACATAGAAGTAGCAAGAACATTATGAATGTTATTGTTGATTAGCAATAAAAAACAAAAATCCTAAATAAGCAAGTTGCAGTAATAAAATAATCCATTATGATTATAGACAATGCCAGGAATGAAAAGATAGTTCCTTAATGTGAAATATATTAGTAGAAACATTGTATAAATAGATCAAAAAAGGAAAAACAACCAATCATCTCAAAAGATAAGCAGTAGGCAACTGATAAAATGCAATATCAATTTTGGATTAATAGTAGTGACAACAATACAAAATTTCCAGCCAATTAAAAAATCTGTCTGTACTTCTTTAACATGAGTTAGACTACCCATCAAACAAAGGCAGATCCCACTATTGCTTAATATAATGTTATTGTGGGTCTCAAAGTTTGATTCCCTGGACCAGCAGCATCAGCATCACCCCGGAAACTGTTAGAAATGCAAATTCTGTGACCCCACTCCAGTCCTACTAAATCAGAAACTCTGGGGGTGAGGGCGGAGTGGGGGTGGTTCGATCTATTTTTAAAAGCCTTTCAGACAGTGAGGTGCTAGAGCTGGCACATACTGGCTTCTGAAAGAAGCAAGTTGTGAAAAATTTAGGGATTTTGTAAGCCAGTTATTAAATACAGACATTATTTAAAAATTAAATACATAAACTTACAAAGTATATTAAAACAAAAAATAATAAATACTTAAAATGTATTGCTACCTAATTATTTTTTCTATATGTTACTATTATCTAAGCTTGTGGAACTATTTAGCACTATTGTATCAGTATGGTAGGAATACTACACAGTTACGTGCTCTGCACTATCTTCCCAATTCTGCCTTCAGTGACTTCACATCGGTGGCTTGAAATTGCTCATGATGTGAATACTTACAGCACTGAAATTGGCAAACAGTAAAAATCAGGGTTTGAGGTTTTGTTTTGTAAATTGTCTAGATTGGGGCTGGCAAAATGTTTCTGTAAAGGGCCAAATAATATTAATATCTTGGATTTTGCGGGACATACAATCTCTCAGCCAGAGCTGCCACGGTAGTGTGAAAGCCACTACAGACAATCTATAAACAAATGAGTGTGACTATGCCCCAGTAAAACTTTATTTACAGAACAAACATTTAATCAAATTTTTCCCGTTGGCCATAGTTTGTTGACTTTTGACCTAGACTTTTAGAAATGATGAAGATAATGTTAATAATGCAAATTAAATTTAAAAGTATGATGTGAAAATACTCATTACATTGAGAAAAGCAGAAAAAAAATGAGGAATATTTTTCCAGAATTAGAAAATGCATTTGATCCTGCAATTATTGCCAATTAAGTGAAGTTTCAACATACTTCTTCATTTTTTCATGTTAGTCTTTCACTGTAATGTATGTAAAGAAAAATGTCAAGTAACAGTCACATTAGAATGTTCGTTTATCAGTTGCAACCATAGGTTGACTAAAGGTACACAATTTTTGCCAAAATTAACAAAAGCTTTCTGTATGAGTCAATTGGCTCTGTGGAATTTGCAAAGACGAATTTTGAGAATCACTATTGTAGACAATAAGAAAACAAAAGGAAATGAGATATTGCTATTGGTTGGAAGAATCAAAAAAATCATTATTTGTGGATGCCTGTATTTCCTGCATAGAAAATCCAAGAGTCAACTGAAAACTATAAGAACTAATAAGAAATTTTACCAAGATGGTCAGATTCAAAACAAAGAATGAAAAAGGCAGTAGGTTCCCTGTCAATCATGAAAAACCAGTTAGAAAATGCAAATGGGAAAAATAATTAATAATTACAAAACTCACAATAAATCTATATTTTATAATACAAGTAAGCTTCAAGAAGTGTGTAATATTTACATTTAAAAGTTTACCAACACTCATGAAAAAGATTTATGTAAATGGAGAAAAAATCAATATTTCTGAAAAAAATCCAAAGTTTATTGTTTTTTCAATCAGTATATCAACAGAATTTTTGGGAAACTTGACAGTATGATTTTAATATTTCCTAAAAGAATAGAAGAGCAAAAATTTAAGAGAGTAATTAACGGGAATAAAGGGGAAGGGTGTAAGACTTTAATAGATTTTAAATGCACTGAAAACTTATAATTTAAATAGCACAAAAATTGTCAAAGAATGGCTGAATGTGAAATCAAATACAAATAATAACTGAAAGCTACCACTCTTTGCTTAATTAGCAAAGTTCCAAATTTTTATAGTGAAAAAATATATTTGAAGGAAAAGTAAAGTATACAGAATTCTAGAAAGCAAAAGGGAGTTTTCCACCATACCCCTCATCTCCCCACCCCACCTACCTGCCATTAACACACCCATTCCCCAAGGTAGTCACTTGCGAAAGCTCAAAATCACGTGTTTTCCACCCATTCCACACATGTGCGCATGCATTATACTTATATATCTCTACGTATGTTCTTCATATAAATGGCATCATAGCATATACATTATTCTGTCACTTGCTCTTTTTAATTACTGGTAGTTGACATTTTTTATACTGATACATTTATGTCATCTTTTCTAATGTTATTATAGTTTTCAGCTGTATGTTCATACCACAACTCATTTATTTTGTGCTACTTTAATGAGTATTTAGGCAGTTTCCAGAGTGCTGCTACTGCTATCTATGCTGTAACCAATACGCTTATACATATACACATATACATATATATTTTGAAGAACAATCATACAGCCCAGTTCAGAGCAAATTCTTCGATGTGACATTACTGGGTCAAATGATGTGTGCATTTAAAATTTTCACAGATATTGCCAAATAGAATCAAAGAGGTTTTACAACAATTTTTATTTTTACCATCAGTATATAATGATTCATTTTTACCCTAAGAAATCATCAGTCATTTTGTCATTGCTGATATGGTTGGTGAAAATACGCCTGTAATTTTAATTTCCATTGCTTTAAAGTTAGGTTGAATGTCTTATCATATATTTATAAACTACTTTTTTCTGTGTGTTACTTATTCATGTTTCTAATTCTCTCTGGAATTGTTTTATTTATAATTTTCTTCCTATATCAAGGAAATTATCCTTTCATGCTAATGTGTTTTGTAAATATGCTTTTGTGCCTTTACTATGGTGAGTATTCTTGCATTAGAAATTTTAGTTTCAGATAATAAAATATAATTGCTCAAGCAGGCTTCCGCATTCAAAGATTATGTTTTGCAAATTATCTGTAATTTCTCCTGTTATTTTTATAGTTTCATTCTTGTAAATAACTCTAATTTATTGTTAATTTATGTTATATAAAATGTTACTTATAGATTCAACTTCTCTGGCACAACATTTGTTCAAATTCTTGCGAGTTGTTAAAAGAGATTTAATCATGATCAAAAATATATGCAGATTCCTGTGTCAAGGGGCTTACAGTCTAGTGGGGGAGACTTCCAATAACTACACATTCCCATCAGAATTGAGATCCATCCTAGAAGCGAAGGGTATATAATACCTTTAGTAAATAAAAACATACAATTGGCATCAAGGAAGCCTCCCCAAAGCATTTGAGCAGAAATCAGAAAGAATGTGCTCTAGTTAAGAGATTTGGTTGCATGGGGAAGGGAGCCTTCCAGACATAGCCTGAATGAAACTGTGTGGGAAGAGTATAGCATGTCCAGATAACTGCAAGGAGAACAGAGAGACCAGGTGGAAGAGCTAGGGCAACAGTGGCAAGAGATGTGCCTGCAAATGTCAGCAAGGGCCAGATCAGGAAGGTTGAAATTTATGGTAAGAATTCTAATTTTTATCTTAACAGCAAGAAGTGGCCTGTTAAGAATTTTAGGCTGGATGATGATATAATCACTTTTGTATTTTGCAAAGATTATTCTTACCACAATGAAGAAAAATGGATATGAGAAGGCCAATTTACCATAGCCCTCCTGAATAAGGAAACAGATAAAAGCTCTCTCTCCTTTATAGAATGCCCATTAAATGCCAAGCAGTTTACATGAATTATTTTATAGATTTGTAATAGTCATATGTTAGATACTGCATTGTTTCCTTCAGGCTAAACTGCTGCAGCAAGAAAACACTAAAATGAGGAGTTTCAAGAACAGCGTTTATTTTCCTCTCACAAAACAGCCCAACGAGTGTTTCCGCTCATGAGGCAGTGCTGTGCCATGCAGCCATTCAGAGATAAGACCCCTTCCTTCTTGTCTCTCCACATCCCAAATTGCATTATCTTGTACATGTGCTGAAGGCTACACCACCAAGTTTGGATTCCAGCCACCAAGATGGAGAGTGTGGACATAGGAGTCCCACTGTTTTAAATGCACTAGACCAGAACTGGTACACACCCTCTCTGCATATTCTACTGATGAGATTCTAACCACACAGAAGCTCATCGCTGCAAAGGAAGCTGGGAAATATAGTCTAGCTTTGAGCCCAGGAAGGAGATACAGAGGTTTATGAATAGTTAACAGCCTCTGCCCTAGTTAAGGATTGCCTATAAAAGCATGAGGAGAGTGAAGATCAGAGAAGTTAAATAACTTTCCCAAAGTCACACAGGAGAAAGTGGCTGGATCAAAATTCAATCACTCACCTATCTGATTCCAGATTTTTTATCTTTTACTATACAGCTGAATTTCCCACCTCTCTAACCTCCCTGCCTCCATACCCTCCTCTCAGCTCTTAAGAATTCATAATCTAAAGTGCGGGAACAGAATTGGCCCCCTTCCCTTGAACTCTCTACAGTGTGGGTTGGTAAGCTACAGCTATCAGGCCAATTCAGCCTGCTGCTTATATTTGTAAATAAAGTTTTATTGGACCACAGGCTAGCACATTCTTTTACATATCGTCTATGGCACCTTTTATGCCAAGATGGCAGTGTGAAGTAGTTTCAACAGGACTGCAAAGCTGAAAGCATTTATTGCTTGGCCCTTTACACAAAGTTTGATGACCCCTGCTGTAGACTACTTTTTGTTCATCAAAATGCGCTTTTTCCCTCAGGGAGTATTTGTTAAATACGCTGTAAACTTTTATAACATAAATAGGAAATTATGAGATCTCCACTTGCTCAACAAAGAGGCTGAATTGCAACTTACCAAATAAAGAAGGAATTCCAGGATGAAGCCATTTAAGAGAAGAAATAAATGTTAAAATAAGCATTTCAAACAGGACCAAAGAGAGGCAGTATCAGTGCCATGCTGAAAGGCAACAGAGTAACTGTAAGAATAACAGAAACACATTCTGGAGCCGTTCCCTTTATACAGTGTTGATAAAATTTGTTAATACCATATGTTAGTCTTATGGAGGGAGGCATGGTCTGACTATGAATTTTGGAATTTTACCAGCAAACTTGTAAGATCTGAAGTCGCAGATTTGCTGAACTGCTCATCTCCGTGCAGTCTGTGGCTGAAGGTTAAAGAAGGAGAACAAGAGGGAAGGAGTAAAGCTGTTCTGCGTGCAGCTTGAGTTGAGTGAGGCTGGACAGGACACGTTCTTGTCAATCTCAACAGTTTTACGTGTCAACATTTAAATGGAGGAAAATGCTGCTTCCTTTGTAGATTTTTTTGTTTAATTAAATTGGATTTTAACAAAGAGTGATCTGATTGGCTGTCAAGCTATCATCTAGCTGTGAGATTAACAGGACCATAGCCACTAACTGGGACTTGTTAGGTACATCATCATTCATCAAATCAGTATGCCCATGAAAGGGAAGAAAATAAGCAGAAAGATCTTTCTGTGGACCTAATTTTGCTCCCACTTTTTGGACGTGATACCTAATAGGTTCATTGTATTTCAGTCTTTGTGCTATGGCTTCTATATGGTTTGTCTTTAGTTCTTCACGTCAAATGAAAGCCTGGGGAACCAGGACTTCTTCATTTCCTTATTTCTGATGCCAAAACCTGACCCCAATTTAATGTGGGATACAGGGAAGCAAGGGAAATGGTATTCATTTCATGGATCAGAAGACTTGTGTAGCTGGACCCCCACCTCCCATGAGCCGTGAATTCTGATTCTTAAGATATCTATTTCCCCAGAATCAGAGGGCAGAACGAGAAATGTCCAGAGTTATTGAGAGATGAGTTATTTCCCACTTTGTGTCAAAAAGAATCCACTGCAGTTGCTGAACCCCAAGTGCCCATACTTCCAGCAAAGCATTTTCCTCAGCATATGGTACCAGGCCCTGAGTTGGAAGCTTGTAGTGTTTTCTTAAAGCTATGAGAAGTGATAAAAAGAATCCCAGTGTCCTTCATCCTCAAATGCTTGTCATAAATGCACTGCTTTAGGGGGAGCATATGCAGTTCTCAACACAACTCCTTTTCATCCTCTTACTTATTAGAGATCAATTTTTGTCCTTCGTTTTCTTCCCCAGCTCCCAACCCCTGCTTCATTGGAATGCTTCAGGGCTTGAATTATTGTAGCATAATTCATGCCCAGATGCTGTAGGGGTACTTGGCCTTCAGGTTTGTGCCTAGCTACACCAAAGGCATGAGTTATTACACAATAATTCACGTCATGTCATGTCTTATTGCTTAATTAACTTTCCTATCAGAGTAACACATTTTTGCATCAGCAAATGTGGTGCCCTCATATGACTTAAAAGCATTCCTTTATTTTATGCTAGTGGGTCAGGAATACTGTGGGACAATTTATTAGAGGTGAGTTGAATCTCAGGGCTAGAATAAAACCTATCACCTTTTACGTAAATAAAATGTCAAAACTGCCCTCTGGATTAGGGGAAATGAAAAGTCAGGACTGTTAGTCTTTGTACCATATTGAGAAGAGGAGTTACTTCCTAGGATTTGTACTGACAAAAAGTAGAATAGTTTTGGTGGGGTTTTTTTCCATGTCCAATAACATAACTGTTCCAATTTCGAAACATCTGCTATCCTGTTGTGTGTGTGTGTGTATGTTTTTTTTTTAACTGGTTTTAGGTCTGCAGGTGCAATTGCAAGGGATAAAACATCTGTGGTTTGCCTTAGAAAATGAAGAGAAATATATGCAAAACTGGCAGATGATATCAGCTGCCACTAAGTAACAACCGTCACAGTATTTATTCTATAGCCTCACAAACTCACAAATCGGGAATCCATACTTTAGGATTTTTCCCAGCTGCATGTTCCAAGCTTATGTTCTGTCCACAGATCAGGAGAAAACTGTACATTTACTTTTAACTTCTCAGACTCAATTCACTCTCCGCCTATCAAATAAACTGTTTGCTCCCCTGTGCCAAAGAGAAGTACAAGTTACATCCTCAATTCTGTAGGAAATTGCTTTGTGTTCTTTTATGTGATGGTCAGTCAAGAGTGGCCACAAGAGGAGACAGGAGAGGCTCAGGAAAGAAGAAACTTTATTATATTCACAGATCCTAGAGAGAGGAGGCACAGCACACCGTGTAGTGCTATGTGGGAAAGACACCAGGGTGAGCAGGAGGCAGAAGACAGGAGTGAGGGGAAAGTTTAGACAAGAGCCTTTAACTGAGATTTTCAAGGGAAAGACAAGGCAATGCAGCATAAAGAGTTTCACATTGGCTAGTTTGAATAGTTTTGGTGGGCTCTAAGCTATAATGGTGGTCTTAGTTGTCTGGTACCTGGCCCTGGGATGATTAAGGCAGAAAAATATTGCCTCCTGGAGTGTACAAACTGGACAGAAGAGGGATGGCTCTATATTAGTTTGCATATTGAAGTCATGCTCAGCAGAGTCCTAGCAGTCTTTAAAAATTGGCTAGCCCCCTACCTCCACCACAGGGCAGGCTATTCTGAGCAAGAAAGTATTTTTAAGATGTCGAAACATCGTAATATAAAAACTACACAAACACGCATATATAATATTTCAATGTAGGTGCAATAACAATTGTGGTTGATAAGACAGGTTTGTCTCACTTACTGGTGACCAGCAGGAAAAAACAGTGCTGAGGGGAGCTAGCTGGTTAGCCATAATGAGGTCGTGCCAGTCCCGAAGGTCCTTACTTTATAAACTTGAGGAGTACTAGGAATGAAGAGAAAAGTTCCCATTAGTCACTAAAATGGCCTTCAACTTTGAGGGGAGAAAAATTTCACTACAAGAGATCATCCTTAGCCATATAGATTCAGTGGAAGGAACACAGAATTTGAAATTAGAATTTGGAACAGACTTTCATCTGAACCCTAGAACAACCACAGGCTGACTACATGACTTTAGGCAAATTATTTAATATGTCCAAACCTCAATTTCTTTAACCATGATATAGGGCAAATAATTACTATCTTGAGGGTTTAAGATGATAATTAAATGAGATATGTTCAAAATATTGTAATTATCATAATTACCTTGATCACCAATAAAAGAGCATAAACAACTATTCTTTATATTCTTTAATAATGAGTTTATGCAGAAAGGGAAAATGGCCCATGAAAAACATTTCCCATGAAGTTTGATATTTATGAGCAAATGGCATGGTTCTATGAACAAACACTGACAATGTGAATCGGGCAGTGTTTGCTTGTTGGAGAGGAAGAGAGTCCACCTCATCACACTTCCCAAAGATCTAATGCATTGATAAGTTAGGAATATCAGAGGGGTGGCAACTAGGGAGACTGAATTTCTATGTTTGGGCCCCAAGTAAAAATGTAGGCTTCACCCTGAAGGCAGTGAAAGAGTGTGGTTATACTGAGGGTTATGATCTCAGTCCTTGGAAAAGCAGGCATTATGTGGAAGAAGAAAGCAAATAAAAATAATATCAGGAGACCAGGTATGTGTTGGGGCAGATCCTGTAGAGACTGAGAATTTGGCAAAGTGTCTTCTCATGTCTCAGTTCAGAATGAAGCTGCTTTCCTCTGAAATAATTCTTTCAGGGAGCCATAAATCTGATTAACCACCTAGTAGTCATTTATACTTTAGTATGAATTCTTACATTCAAGTGCATTCAACTGGTACCCTCCAAATACCACAGTGAGAGAAGAATTTTGATGGGAGGTATTGAAAAAAAGGGTTAATTCTGCAATACAAATAATTTTTAAGCTGTTTCTCATGCAAACTCCCATGCAAGAAGGGAATCACATAGTGGGAGATCATAATTTCCAGCTGCTAGAGACAGATGCATTCAGTTTATGGATTTATCCATAGCAAATATGGAGATTGAAGTCAAGCTGAGAAGGCAGCTGTTGCTGAGGAGATGGCCAAGTAGGAGTGAAATCAAAGATGTGTCCAATCCCATTGCTGGATCAGAGAGGGAGCATGTCAACTGGGGTGCAAGATAGAATGAAGGAAAGGGTGCTAAGGGCTCTAAATTTGGGAGATGAGTGCCAAACAAATGGATGCCGAACAGATGGTTTTTAATTACTAAGCCTGGGTCTTTCTGCAGCCACAGGTCTTTCTATAGTCACAACAGTACTATTGGTGATAATTAGCCCTCTGGGACATTGCAAGTGGGAGATTGTTCTGGATAGAGCCACTTGGTGGAGGTCTGCCTAACAGAGAAACTATTGAAGGACACTGGTCATGTAGGGAAGAATAAGACATCAAAAAACCTAGGATGGGGTCTTCAAAGTGTTAGTAACCTACAGCTAATTGAGTCTTTTAAAAAATAATCTCACTAAACAGGAACTCTTACATTAAAGGTAAGTGACCTTGGAGCTTGGGACTGCAATTGGTATTTAATTACCAAAGCTGGGTTTTGCTGACTCGTTTATTGGCTACATCTCATTTATCGGCTCCAAATATCAAATGGGTCCCAGCAATAATAAAGGTCCCTGACTTCCCTGGTCTCCTTTGGCCTGGAATAAGTAAGCTGGAGCAAGAGGACAAAATTGAGTGTGGTGTGAGATGACCTAAACAAGGCTCTCCAACTGAGAGATCTTGCTTCTCAATGAGAGTGAAAGCATTAGCTTCACAGGCAAGGAGAAGCTGTGTGCAAGGGAATCAGACACATTTAGCCAATCCCTGCTAACTCCCAGCTTTTCCTGCGAGTCAGAAATCTTAAAAAAAAAATTATCCCCAAGGCCAGTTGTCTATGTGTACAAATAAATGTGTATGAGGAAGTGTGTCCTTACACATGTATGATCACACACTGGCCCTCAAAGAAACTCAACAAACTTTGCTAATGCCATCTAACCAGAGATGGGCGAGCCAGCCGCTTCCTACCATTACACAAGGGCATTGGAGCAGTGCTTACCCTCTGGGGATGACCTGGTGGTGCCCTCCAGACCACAGCAGCTGCTGCCTCTGAAGCTAAGCGCTACCGTCTCATTTTCTTTGCATCATCAGCACACAGCTGCCCTCCATCATCCCACTGGGGAGGGAGGGGAGCGTCTTCTTAAAGAAGGGACATCAGCTGTGCCCACTCTCCTCTGGCTTCACCCACATTCCACAGCTACTCTCAATAGTGCTCACTCAACCACCTCTAACTGGCTCTTGGCAGCAAGTCCTGGCCAAGTTTCTAACCACAGCTGTTCCACCTAGAGCATAGCTGGTCGGTCAGAGAATGGCCTAAAACAGCTGCATAACTCAGGATAGGCTGGAGGAGAAGAAAAGTTTGTGGGAACCCAAGGTTTGGTGAAGATGTGTGCATTTGATAGGCACGTGCTTCTGTTTGTAGGTATAGATGAGTTGGAGGGGTGTAAGATCATGTGAGGACAGCTGTGTGCGTATCCAATGGGTGTGGGGATGGCCAAAGGTATATGTGGTTGATTATTTGTGGAATGGGTAATGTACGTACGGTATTAGATCTGGCTCTTAAAAATTAGCAAGCCAAGTTGAATTTAGGTATGTCAAGATGATCTTCCAAATATTTCTAGAGCACCATACATTTACGTTAGTCTCATTGTTTATAAGGTTCAGGCATGTCAAGTGAGCTGTTTAAAGAACATCTAAGCCTTTATTTATATAAATCAGGGCTTTTTAGTGTAGCCAAAGACTTCGGGTGTTGCTCAGAGGTTCCTGAGCCCTCTTTGAAGCCCTCTGCCTAAACTCACCATTGAAGATTAAGTTTATCCAGAAACACCACTTGTTAGAGCACAGTTGCTCAGATGCCTGATGACACCAGCCACATGGCTGTATAATGTTGGATGCTCAAGCCACCAATAGACATCCATCTGAACTTAATTGCCCCCTACCAGAATTTGGTCCTGGTTACCTTATTTTCTGCTTCCTCACCACTCCACAGCTGAAACTAGCGACAACACCCACTTTACCCTCCCACCCTGACCCTGACTCCTGCCCAATTTGAGTCCTGGTATCAAGCATGGTGTTAATTCTGGGGGACACCCACACTTGATCTTCTTTTAGATTCCATGTCCCCACTTGTTGATTGTGTTTTAGATCCAGAGCACATGGTTTTCATTTGTCCTCTAGATACTAACAAGCATAGAGCACCCTATCAGGAAGACAGGCACAATTCGTGAGTTGAATTTTTTGTTATAGTTTTTTGGCAATATGCTCACAAGCTATTGCAATGGGAGCATTTCTATAAATTGCAAAAATCAGTGAAAGTTGGCTTTCCCAAGTCTTTAATAGAAATCAACTGAAATAGTATCCAAGGTCATTTAGTCATTTAAGACTCCTCACATGATCTGACTGCACTTCCCCTGTCATTTCAGTCTGACTGAACTGTTGAACATTTGCTATGTTTAAGGCACCTGGCTAGGCCACTTCACTGTTTCTTATGATGTCAAAGAATCAGACAAGTAAAAGCATGCTGCAAATGGCATAGACAGGATTGATTCCTGTTGAAAGAATGGTAAGACATTATGGAGATGACATGGGAGGTTGACCTAAACAATGAATAGAAGAATTTTCAATAAAAATTAAAGAAGGGATGTTGCAGGCAAAGGGAAAGGCATGACCAACATCATGGAACATTGATAGGGCAGGATCTGTTTGATTATTGCCCATATTATTCAAAGAGCTTATGGTAAGAATTGAGATTGCAAAGGTACTTGGAGGCCACAATTTTAAAGGACTGTGGAGGCCAGTCTGAAGGTATTTGTCTCAACCTTGGGGAGTCATCGAAGTTAAAACATTTAGGAAAAATATGTGAGAGAGACAAGAAATTGTATCATGGTTACCAGTTAAAAGATGGTAACATGAAGTTGTGATACATACTGAGACTCCTTCCTAGGGAGTTACCAAGTAGAGGCACCTCAAAGCTGAAAAACAACAAGGCCATACATCCCTGACTGGGGACCTGCTAACAAGGTGACCTTTCAGAAGAATCAGTAGAGCAGCCCCCCTGAAGGAAACAGAGAGGGGAAGAGGAGTCATCTTTTGGGAAGAGGTGAGTTTGTGAATCAGTATTTACTTCTCTCCATGTGGAACGGGGCTGAGAGGGAAGCAGTTTGGCTATTTATCTGTGCCCAACCAAGCCAGATGTTCCCTGGAGAATCACTCATGAAATCTGAAAGCATCATTAGGAAGTGAAGATTGTTATGAACCTTTGCTGCACCTGAAAGTTAACAGTCCCAAGAAAATGCATAGAATATTTTGGGTGTTGAATCCTAAGAGAGAGTAAATGAGTAAGTCCTAGTACATTAAGGTTGCTACCCCCTCACAGTCTCATACAAATTGAGGCAGGTGTACCAATGATCCCAAGTTTTCTGTGGACCTAGCCCAGGTCACCAAATAAGGGGTGGGCACCACTATGGGTGGGCCATATTGATGAATGATGGGTTGATGTGAGGAGGATACTGAGAGCCACCCACCAGGAGGGAGAGAAGGAAGCTGTTCTACCTCCATAAGACTGCTGGCTGGGCATCAAAGACCACCTAAGATGTAATGCTGTGTAACTGGAGGCTGGTTACCACCACCCAGAAATTAGACCAGGTATTGGCTGACTTTAAAGAAAAGATTGCCAGCTTGCCATCTTCAACATGCTGGCAATCACATGAGTGAATTCTTTTCAGTCACCCTGACCTCTCTGATACCCCCATCAGCAGAACAGTTGCCTGAGATCAGAAGAAAAGAGGTAAAGAACCAATTACACTCTACTCCTCCTCAATCAGCTTCTAGCAGCCTAGTCATATCTAATTTAATTAAAGATAAGATGTTTTGAATAGAGTCTGAGATTTTAATAACTGGATTGCAAAAAATCAGTAAACTAAGCTGATGATTACCAGGAGGGGCTGACAAAGTTAAATTTTCTTGCTGCCCATAAAGGTGGGAACTCAACTAATATAGTTGGTAGCAGTTTGGAGAAAAAAAATATGCAGTTACATGTATTAGAAAGTTGAGGGATTCCAATGTAAGTTCTTAAAGTTACAAGCAGTAAGGATCTGAACTAGGAGGCTAGCAATGAGGAAAGATAAGGGATATAAATATGACTTCAAAGATAAGACTGAAGAACACGACGCATGAGTAAATATAAAGAAGAGAGGAAAAGAGACAAAGACCCCAAGTCACTTTGGATTCTCTTTGTTTTGGGGGGACAAGAGGGAAGTCAAGTAACCTTTTGCAAATTCCATAAAATTCTACATCTCATGGTACTAGAAAAAGGCACTTATTCACTTATACCCAAAATTGTGCATGCAATTTCAAGGAGGTTCAAGAATCCTATGAAGCCCATCCATGGACCCCTTAGGGAAATATGAGTTTCTAACCTGAGCAAATAAGAGGGTGTTGGTACCACTAAACAAAATAGGATGGAAGTAAAGTGAGTGGTTTATTAGTAGAAACCCCAAATCTATATTGCCACCCCAAAAGTGTCTTCTAACTTCCAGACCCACCTATTCAACATCTCTGCTTGATTATCCCCAGGATTCTCAAAACTATCACGTCAAAAACTGAGTAATCATCTGTTCCCCAATCTCACTCTTCCTCTCATGCTCCCTAACTTGATGAAGATACCATTACTCCCCACCCTAGTTGCTTAATGTAAATTCTTCAGTATTATTCTCGACTTTTTTATTCTCTTCTCCCAAAACCAATGAAACTCCAATTTATGTCACTTTACCTTCACTTCTCTCCATTCCCACCATCATTTGCCATGTGCATAACAAAGCTTCTTAGCATGTCTATCAGCATCCAGTTTGGTCGAGACCAACCTATTCAAACTACTCCAACTAAAGTAATGTTTCAGAAATAATCCGATCAAGTAATTTTAATACTTTAGTCAACTAATGGTTATCATGGCCCTAAAGATGCAGTCCATACTCCTTTAATTACAGGGTGGTCCCTGATCTGGCCCGTTTATTGTCCACCCTTGGTCTTTCTGTCCTCCACACACATCAGTGATACTGCACCCCTCACTTTCCTCAAAGCACCATGCATCCCCACAATTATTTTCTTGCACTCTCCTTCACCTGGCTAAATTCTACCCACTCTTTATGTCTCCAATAAGATGTCACTTCTTCAGGAAGCCTTTTTGGACCTTCCCCCAAGTCTGGCTTCCATGCCTCTCCTTTGTTCTCTCCTAGCACCCTATGCTTACTCTTAAAGTACCATGACAACCCTGTATTGTAATTGTCTGTTTGCTAATTTTATCTCTCTGGAGACTGTCAGTTCCTTGAGAACAATGATGGGTATTCTTTTCATTCCCATATCCCTAAGACATAATGCAGTTCTTGGAACAGTGTAGGTCTCAAAGAATATTTGATTACTGAATTAATAAATGAATGAAGAATAAATGGAAATAGGATAATGGGATGGAAATATAAAAAGGAAGTGAACTCAGGGGGAACTTATTTTCTCATGTTATATCTCCTGGCAAATAGTAGTATCCTCATTACTGTCTCCACACCTTTCTTCTTACCTCTTCTCCCACTTGGAATGTCTTCTCTCCTGTCCCTCCCACACACACCTATTCCTCCAAGACTTGCCTAACTCACAAACGCCCACATTGATTTCTTACTTCTCTGAATTTCCTTTGGAACTTATTACCTATGAAGTACATTTTGTCATGTGAACACAGTCTTATATTTTCATTGTTTCATTTGAGTAAGTTTTATCTCCACATGAAGATAAGATTTTTTTTTTATAAGATAAAAGAGGTTATTTTCTTCATCACAGTTACCACAGACCTGGGTGTTTAGTCACATGCTGGGAAAAGCTGGCACTTAATAATCCCTGTTGATTAATTAACATCATTAACAATCATCAATGTCTTTCTATTCGACAATAAGCCTTATGAAATTTTCCCACTTATTTTGTTTCCAATCCAGGAGTGAATCAGGGAGCCCAGCCCTGCTTGAGAAATAGATCTTTTGAAGACAGCTGTGCTACTTTTAATCCAAGCATCAAGCCTGGAAAATCCACTCATTTAGCAAACACTTATTAGGGTAAATTATGTGCTAAACCCCCTCCAATCCCATTACCACTCTCAGACTCCTACCCACCTGCCCTAAATGTTCACAGTCATGATGATTGGCAGGTTCCCTTGAAGCAGGGCCTGGACAGGGACTCTTGTGTTAGTGTTCTCAGGGGAAGAGAAGTGAGGGCAGCAGGATAAGGCAAAACAAGCTAAGCATGCATGTGGCCCAGCTAGAAACTAACTGTAGCCTGGCCCCACAGGGAGCTCTGGAGCATGAATTTCACTTCAGAATTGGCCCTACCTTGAGACAAGGGCTGACTTTTGTCTTCCCTTAATCAATGGCTATAAGCTGGTAATGTATACTAAAGGATATAGTGGCTCCTACTTAGCCAAGGGTGACTCTGTAGAAAAGGAGAATCTATAAGCTAACAGTGAACATTCTTAGAAGCTAGAGTGTTCGTGCATCAGCCTGGTAAAGGAGGTCTGGATGGGGCACCAAGAGCATCCACAACAGATGAGCACAAATATGTTGTTTATAAAGAAAATGCTCCATCCAGAGAATCTGGGAAATAATAAAGAAGAATCTTGAGTGAGAAACACAATGGAGGCCTAATTTTACAGAAGATAGGGCCTGCATGAGATGACATGAAGTATAGTTAGAAAGGTCATATATTGCTAGGGAACTGGTCCTTCTAAACAATTCTCTGTTTAGAGAACAATTACAGAAGTGTAGATAAAACAATTCTTCAAGAACGCTATTCTGTTTTTAATAAAAAAGAAAAATACGGAGATTCAGGGAGATGATTCAAGATGTGATCAATATCACGCTAAATAAAACTCTTCTAGCTTTGTAATTGACCTACTTTATTAATTACTTTATGTACGGCTAGCCTGGTTATCCTGAGCCTTCCATGACAGTATAATAGTGTGAGGGGAATCCCTAAAGCCCGGTCTTGTTTTGGTTTTAATTCCTAATAGTTTTCTATGTCTCTATCACAGAGTTCCCAGTTATCAGAAGATCAGAAGCCAAAGTTATTTTTTAATCATCTTTAAACTTTTGCTTTGGGGTTCCTTGAGAATGAATTATTCATCTCAGGTATAGAAAAATCATGTACCCAAAAATACAGACACTCCATTAGACAGAGATAGCTTTACTCGCTGCTGTGTCTACTTTTAATTCTGTCTCTCCCCTCAGTGCTCAGAACCAACTTTGACAGAAAGAGAACAGGATATTCATGGCCATTTACATTTGCCGTTGGCAAGTGACCTTCTCCTTTGGCAGAACTGGGTGGCTGTATGGTAGCATCTTTCACAATTCTGGCTAATCTTCCACTTACCAGTCTGTGTGTGCACACTGGCATGACCCAACCATCTATCCATTTCAGGGTGTGGTAGGATTATGTGTCATGGGACGAGGTTTCTCCTTAAGCTTCCTCAGGCCCCTGCATGCCAGCCAAACACTTTATAGGCTCAGAAAGAAATGTTCCGAAGTACACAGAGACAGCAGTCACTGCCCCTAAATTACAACAAAGAACATCCCATTAAAAATGTTTGTAGCTGGCTTATGGATAATGCAGAGTAATTAGCAATCAAATTGGCAATGTGATGGCACAGGATACAGAGGGAACTGTAAGACTGAAATTCACCATTAGCTGGTTTAAAAAAAGTTTTCTTAAGCTGCTCTCTAAAGTTGAAGTGTTTGTCTCAGGGATCTATGTGAAAAATCTAACAAGTAACCACAATGATTTTCATCCACCTACCTGGCAATGCAATAGGAAAAGGCAGGGATTAAATGAATGCCAAGGTCCCTTGGTATGCAGAGACATGTCTTTCTTATCTTTAAATTCAATGCCTGTGCAGCCCAAAGCCTGGTGTAAAGTAGGCATTACTATAAAAAACAGGTTCATTTCCCCTAAATTTTTAGGAACATAATGAATTATCTAGCCCTACTCTGGGTTACTAGATCTAGAAAAGCTAGTAGAAATGCCCAGTATAATTAAACTTTGCAAATGTCTACAGGAGTGTTTATATCAACCTTTCTAATTATTGACATCTTCTTCAAATATTAGAAACAAGAACCTCTCTCATAATGGAGGTTGGAATTGGTGGCCTAATTTTAGTCTTCTAATTGGACCACCATTTAGAATCTGGTTTGCTGAGAGATACTGGATGCTGCCAGATACCTGAGAATGTTAAGCACTGATATACCTTAATCAGGGAAGCAGAAGTATATCCAATATCTTACTCCCTGATCTGTCTTCATCACCAAACCCTCCACTTACACACAAAACATGAAAGAAAGGAGTTACGCAAGAGCCCTTAGAAAGAAATAAAACATTATTTAGATGACTTTCACAGTAACATTCAAGGTTATCTTAAAGAGGGAGATTGCCATTCCAATTTTGACCTCACTATTTTGAAGCTAACAGAATTCTTTGGGTTTTGTCCATTTTGCCAGTGATGATGACAGGACATACCAGAGGGGAATTCCTCACAATTTTCTCAGAGGTTAGCCAAGAAATAAACAAAAGTATCAGTCTTTTAGCTTAACTAATAATAACAACCAACACAAAATAAAAATAACAAAAATAGTACTTAGTAAAATTAGTTAGAAATTTAAAAACTTAATCTGAAAAAAATAAGACTTTATAGGAAAACAATGAATAAAGTGTAAAACTGAAACTGTGCATGGTAAATTTGTGTTTCACTAAAACTTAAATAGAAAAAACAAATGTTTTGCTTTCCATATTTTTATTTTTAAATTGGATTGCATGCATGTGTATATGGATAAAATTAAGAAGACATGAAAGTACAAAGAATAAAAAAATTAATCAAACTCACTCACTCGTATAGTTTGGCTCTGTGTCCCCACCCAAATCTCATCTTGTAGCTCCCATAATTCCCATGTGTTGTGGAGGGACGAAGTGGAAGATAACTGAATCATGGGGGTGGGTCTTTCCTGTGCTGTTCTCATGATAGTGAATAATTCCCAGGAGATCTAATGGTGGTTTGTTTTTTGTTTTTGAGACAGAATTTTGCTTTTGTCACCCAGGCTGGAGTGCAATGGCGTGACCTGGGCTCACCACAACCTCTGCCTCCTCGGTTCAAGCAATTCTCCTGCTTCAGCCTTCCAAGTAGCTGGGATTACAGGTGCCCACCACCACACCCAGCTAATTTTTGTATTTTTAATAGAGATGGGGTTTCTCCATGTTAGTCAGACTGGTCTCGAACTCCCAACCTCAGGTGATCTGCCCACCTTGGCCTCCGAAAGTGCTGGGATTATAGGTGTGAGCCACCATGCCAAGATCTAATGGTTTTAAAAACAGGAGTTTCCCTACACAAGCTCTCTTTATTTTTGCCTGCTGCCATCCATGTAAGATGTAACTTGCTCCTCCTTGCCTTCTGCCATGATCGTGAGGCCTCCCCAGCCACACGGAACTATAAGTCCTTTAAATGCCTTTTCCTGTATAAATTACCCAGTCTCAGGTATGTGTTTATCAGAAGCATGAAAACAGACTAACACACTCACTATCTTGCCCCCAGACACCCATTTTTCCTCACAGGAAACAGCAACTACACTATTAGCAGGTTCCTGTGTACCTTCCAAAGATAAATTTTAATAGAATCCCAGAAGTATAATTGTTGTGTCAAAGGGAGTGTTCATCCTAAATTTTAATCAATTTGGATTAATTGCCTATAGAAATTGAACTAGTTTACATTCCCACGAGCAGTGAATGAGTGTGTTGATTCCCAACACTCTTGTCAATGTTTTCATCTTCATGAAGTTTATAGGTGAAATTCTCTTACTGTAAATGACGTTGATCAGCTTTTCATATGTTTACAAACCATATAAATTTCCTTTTATGTGAACTGGCTACCTAGTTGTCTCAGGACCATTTATCAGTTACTCTAGAATTTTAAATGCCACGTTGAATACATACTAAATTATTTTATGTATTTTGGGTTTATAGATTTTGTGTTCCCTAATTGATTTATAGTTGTATTCCAGGACTATGCTGTTTTAATTATTATAGATATATAAGTTTTAATATCTGATAGGTGTAGAACCCTCTCATTTTCATTTTCAGCATTATTTCAGGAAAAATAATATTCAGGGACTTTAGAATCAAGTTGTCTAGTTAAAACATAACCCATCTATTGATCATCTATCTTTTTAGTATTTCTATGAGGAAAAAAATCTTGAGGAAATTTAGACCTGCATTGTTAAATTAGATAAAGATGACAACTGAAATAAAGACAAAATTCATAATTTTGCTTACCGTGCCTGGTAAAAGTTGATACGTGCCTCATTCTTGTAAAATTTCCTATGACATTATCTTAATACATTTCATTAAAATAGATTTTAATAAATTTTGAAAGTAGCTTAATGTCACATGAAGGGAAATTGATAAGATATTTGGTTAGCTAAATATAGGTTCTTCTAAAAATCATTTTAATAACAAAAACTGATTATCATTAGTATAATTCTTAATAAAATAGACAATGAAACTATTTTGGGGGAAAAAATGAGGAAAATAATGTTCCAACATGTAAAAATGATACAGTTACAATCTCTCCCACTAAGTTGAAGAATATATTTTGGTGGAAGTTTAGAGACTGATATAGTATAGATGTCTGTCCCCTCCAAATCTCATGTTGAAATGTGATTTCATTGTTGGAGGTGGGGCCTAGTTAGAGAATTTTCAGTCCTGGGGTTAAGTCCCTCATGAATGACCAGGTAGCCTCCCTGTAGTAATGAATTCACATGAGTTCTGGTTGTTAAAAAGAATCTGGCACCTCTCCTCTCACTCTCTTGCTCCTTTTCTTGTCATGTGTGTGCCAGTTCCCCCTTCACCCTTCAGCACGATTGTAAGCTTCCTGAGGCCTCACCGGATGCAGATGGTGGTACTATGCTTCTTGAACAGCCTGCAGAACTGGGAGCCTAATAAACCTCTTTTATTTATAAATTACCCAATCTCAGGCATTCCTTTAAAGCAATGCAAAATGGACCAACACAGAAAATTGATACCAGGAGTGGAGAGTTGCTATAAAGATGCCTAAAATGTGGAAGCAGCTTTGTAACTGGGTAATGAGCAGACATTGGAAGAGCTGGAGGTCTCAAAAGAAGACAGGAAGACAAGGGAGAGCTTAGACCTTCTTAGAAAATTGTTAAGTGTTGTGACCAAAACACTGATAGAAATGCGGACAGTGAAGTCCAGGCCAATGAGATCTCGGATGGAATTGAGGAAGTTATTGGGAGCTGGAGCAAAGGTCACCCGTGTTATGCCCTAGCAAAGAACTTGGCTACATTTTGTCCACACCCTACAACTTTGTGGAAGGCTGAACTTAAGAATGATGATCTAGGGTATCTGGTAGGAGAAATTTCTAAGCAGTAAAACATTCAAGAGGCGTTGAGGCTGTTTCCAACAACCTATTATCAGCTACAGGAGCAAATAAATGACTTAAAGTTAGAACTTATATTTAAAAGGAAAGCAGAGGATTAAACTGTGGAAAATTTGTAGGCTGGCCATGTGGTAGAAAAGGAAAGTGCATTTTCAGGGGAAGATTCCAAACAGACTGCAGAGCAACCACTTGCTAGAGAGATGAGCACAACTAAAAGAGAGCCAAGTGCTAATAGCCAAGGCAATGGGAAAAAGGGCTCAAAGGCATTTCAGAAGCCTTCAAGGCTGAGTCTCCCATCATAGGCCTAGAGGCAGGAAGGAATAGTTTCAGGGACCAAGCCTTGGCACCATTTCCCCCTGCCACCTGGGAGGCTGCTCCCACTACCCTTCTGCCACTCCAGGTCCAGCCATGGTGCAAAGGGCCCCAGCTATGGCTCAGACTGCTGTTTTGGAGAACTCAAGCCACCATAAGCTCTAGTGGTTTCCATGTGGTGTTAAGCCTGCGAGCA
Source organism: Homo sapiens (assembly GCF_000001405.40). Taxonomy (NCBI): domain Eukaryota; kingdom Metazoa; phylum Chordata; class Mammalia; order Primates; family Hominidae; genus Homo; species Homo sapiens. The sequence goes on from NC_000009.12 coordinate 13,821,564, forward strand.
CACAGAATGCAAGACTGAAGGAGGCTTGGCAGCTTCTACCTAGATTTCAGAGGGTGTGTGGGAAAGCCAGGATTTCCAGGAAGAAGCCTTCTTTGGGGACACAGCACCAGCAGAGAGACTCATGTAGGGCAGTACTGAGGGGAAATGTGGGATTTGAGCCCCCACACAGAGTTCCCATTGGGCAGTTGCCTAGTGGATTTGTGGGAAGGGGGCCACTGCCCTCCAGACCAAAGAATGGTAGAGCCACTGGCAGCTTGCCCTCTGAGCCTGGAAAAGCTGCAGGTGACACTCATCCCCAACCTGTGAGAGCAGTCATGGGGGCTGTACTCTGCAAAGCCACAAGGGTGGAGTTGCTCAAGGTCTTGGGAGCTCGACCCTTGCACCAATGTGCCCTGGATGTGGGACATGAAGTCAAAGATTATTTTGGAGATTTATTGTCTGATCTGCCATTTTGAACTTTTGTAGAATCGATTGCCTCCTTTTTTGGGCTGATTTCTTCCTTTTGGAATGGGAATGTTTACCTAATGCCTGTACCACCATTGTGTCTTGGAATTAAATAACTTGTTTTTAATCTTACAGGCTCATAGATGGAAGAAACTTGCCTTGAGTCTCAAATGAGATTTTGGACTTTGGACTTTTGATTGCGTTGATGCTAAAAATGAGTTAAGACCTTTGGGACCACTGGGAAAGGATGATTATAATTTGCAATGTGAGGAGGCATGAGATTTAGGGAGCCAGGGGTGAAATGATATAGTTTGAACATTTTCCCCTACAAACCTCATGTTGAAATGTGATCCCCAGTGCTGGAGGTGGGGCCTAGTGGGAGGTGTTTGGATCATGGGGATAGATCCCCTCATAAATGGCTTGATGCCTTCCCCATAGTGATGAGTTCATGCAAGATTTGGTTGTTAAAGGAAGTCTTGGACCCTCCCCCTTCCTCTCTTGCTCCCTTGTTTACCATGTGATACACCGGCTCCCCCTTTACTTTCTGCCATGATTGTTAGCTTCTTGATGCCTTACCACAAGCAGATGCTGGCACTATGTTCCCTTTACAGCTTGCAGAACTGTGAGCCAAATAAACCTCCTTTCTTTATGAATTACCCAATCTCAGGTATTGTTTTATAGAAACACAGAATGAACGAATGCAGAGACTAAAGTAAAATACTATTCTGTTGGCAATTATTTAGAATTTCAATTTCCTTTGTGTATTAACAAAACATTTCTAAACATCTTTATTTCAGTAAATCTAATAAAAATATATATCAGTATAAAACAAATTTTGTTTACGTTTTCTGAATTACAGTATTTTATAAAATAATCCAGCTATTTCAGTGGTGATCTCCTAGCTGATTACCATTATATAGGGAAAAGAATCCTGAAGTTAGAGTCAGAAGACCTGGCTTTGAATTCTTATTTTACTTTTTGCCATACAGCACAGATTTGGGGTTTTCTCAATCATTCAGACCCTGAGGAAGGAGATAATGAAATTCTTGTGAGAATTATATAACATCATGGTATAAAACTCTACTCAACACAGAAAAGTTGTTCAGAATGTTTACTGAATAAAGCAATGAGTGAATAAAGAAAGGAATGAATAAAACCTTTGATTTACATCAGCAAGGCATGAACTTCTTGCACTGGCTCACACTTTTGCCTCACCACAGCTGGTACAGTTTAGTAACTGTAAAAGAATCCAGCCAGTTGGCCAGTTCCAGAAGTTACAGCTAAGATTGTGAATGCAAGAAAAATTAACTTACACACTTTTTAAACTCTAATTTTTCCTTCATTAACATAATTTTCTAATCAACTAGGTTAATCTAGACTGAGAAACTTTTTATTAAAGTATAAATAATTCTCAGTGGTAAACTGAGATCATTCACCTCTGACACTGAACTCAATTGCTTTTAGACTAACACTGAATTTCATGACTGTGGACTGGCCCTATAAAGTTTATAAAATATTAATAAGGTATTTGTTAAAGAAATTAATACAAAGTTTTTATTTTATAGGTTCTTGGGATAAGGTTCACTTTAACAAATTTTAGGGGTCTTTTTGGATTTCACATTTTAGTGCATCAAATGCATATGATTTCAAATTGGCAATAACAGGGCTCTGACTAGGAAATCACCTACCCAAAGACCCTATTTCCTAATATAATCACCTTGGGAGTTAAGATTTCAATAAGAATTTGGGGGAGATGAAAACATTCAAACCATAGCACTAAGGTTACACTGCCCAATATAACAGGTTTAGAATAACCCGGATCATTCTAGACTCTAATTCCTGATGAGAGTGGAGCACCTGGGCTACTTCCAGTCCTAATCAGCTCTGCACTAGAGAGCCACGGGGCTGTCGAACATACAACTAAGCATTTATTACCCGGAAAGGCAGAGACAGACATCGAGAATTTTTTTTCCAACTAAAGACTTCATCACTGGGGCTTTACTAATCCATTCTTCACCTTCTTGCACCTTATTTCCTGCAGGACACACAGATTTTAAAGGAAGAGTAAAAACCAGTGATTATGTTTCTGTACTAGATATCTGAGAGGTTTCTATGTTAAGATGGAAGGCTGAAATGTGCCTCTCCTATTGCTTCATCTAAAACTTCACTGAAGGATTTGTTTAAAGACACATCTCAAGGACGGGGAGAACAAGAGAGCACACACAGCAACCAAATTTTATAACTGGAATCAGGCGGTCCAGTGGCCCCTGACTTAGCCAACACAAGAGTGCCAAACCCTGAGCTGACAGTGGAGAAAGCAGAGGACCAGTGTCATTCCTGCCGCCCAACAATCTTCAAAAGGTACAGGATATAGAAGCAGAAGGGATCTCTGAATCTAGAAGTGAACAGTCAGAAAGGGCTAAAATAACAACTTTCTGAAAGCTGTTTGAGAGCTAATAAGAGGTTAGTAGAACTAGCTCAGCAAGAAGTTAGCATTCATGAAAATTCTTTAAAAAATACCTCCTCAAACAGATACATTGCAAAATAAATACATTACAAAATAAATACACTGCAAAATAAACCCCTTCTATTGCCTACTTCTTGGGGAAAATTTCTAGGCTGAACTTCGGCACACCCTCCAACCCCCATCTTGTTGCCATTCTACCAGGTTTGTGCAGTACAAAAACTGTACAGCTTTATAGCCATGTGCAAGAACCTTGAGTCCCTGTATCCCCTCCCAATCTATCTGACTATGAAACTGTCCCTCCTTCACCCTGGCAGGGACACATTCATAATTGCATCAACTTTGCCAGAATAGAGTCTTGTAAACTCTCAGAAAGGGGTTGCCAGGGAACAACTCTGTTCAGTTCATCTTTTCTTGGGAGCCTTCATCTTATGGAGGGAATTAGGTTTGTGCTTTGTACTCCATGTGTTTATTTTAATTTTGTTTTCTATAAATACTCAAGAGTGCTTTCTAAAACAAGGACTTTCTATGACTTAATCACAGTGCATTTAACAAAATGAGAAAACTGAACATTGCTGATGCAATACTATTATCTAATACATATTCCAGATTTAAATTTTGCTTGTTGTGACAAAAAAATTTTCTTTATAAGCTTCTTTTTTTTCTGGATTGAGATCCAATACAGAATGAAGCATTGCATATCATCCTAAGAATAAATAGTATCTTGTTAGGATATCTTTACATATGGTTAAGCTATAAAGAAATTATAGAGGCTAGCACAAAAGTCTGTATACTGGTTACTTCCAGGAGGTGTTGAAGGTGCTGGGAAGGAGGGATGTGCAGGCATCTTCAAAGGTACCAAGAACAATTTATTTCTTGGGTGATAGTTTCACAAGCGTTCATTTTATCATTATTCTTCAACTAATACATATTCATTTTTATACTTTTTAATAAATAGTACATTTTATATTTTGTTTTCTTTTTAAGAGGTATAATTTAAGGGTCTGCTTTAGGCACAAAATAGTGTTACTTTTAGTTAAATGGGCTCATATTACTCAGCTTGATCCAAGTTAAAAATTTGATATGTTCTTAAGCGTCATCTTGGTGTCAAGAATGAAATATGGTGTTTCTGAAACAGCGTAGGACTGAGTTAACCTCGGTTCTACTACTGGCTAGCTTGGAACTGTGAGCCTCCTTTTGCTAATCTGAAAAATTATGACATTAATTACTTCAAAGCTTTAGTAAAGATTAGAAGAGATAATTGCATATAGCGTTAAGATACCTCATTCATACTATGTTATTTTAAAAACATACTTTTCCTCTCCCTACTTTGCCATTCTGTCTCGATGCATCAGCAAACAAGTTTAACATGTGGTTATAAGGTTTTATTTTTAGCTAAATTTTATTATTAGTTGTTCTTTATTTCCCATGACAATGACTTTTTTCACTCTCTAAGTTGTTTAGGAAATAAAATCTTTGTATACGGAGGTAAAATTCTGGTTCTTTTTCGTCATAATAGCTTTTCCTGAATTTTATGCTCTATTTCTCTCAAAGTTGCATTCAAAGCATAATGAATCTCTTGGCCTTGCTATACATATTTTCTGAGTTGTTTTACTTTTAGTATTGGTTCCAGAGTCAGTTTCTAGCTTTTTGAATTTATACTAAACTATTAAGTGGGGAGGTTCCCATTTTTTATTTTTGAAAGTAGGTATTTGTGAAAGAATGTAATTATCTCTGCCATGAAAGTCCTGTAGAACTCACTCCTAAAACTGGACACCCTTTTTGTACTTGTTTGTGTGTGTGTCGGTGTGTGTGTATATAGTTGGAATTTGTAGATTTTCAACTACTGGTTCAATTACTTTAATGTTTGTATATTTATTCATTATTCTGTTTTATATGAGGGTATCCATTTTGTCCAAATTTTTAGAATATTAACATAAAATTTTAAGCATACTACCATTTGTTTGAAAAACCTTCTTTTAGTAATTTAGCTGTTTTGTCCCTACCATTTGTTAATCTCTCTTTTCATTCAATCTTCTCCAATTTATCTATTCTAGCAGATTTTGAAAGAATTGAATGTTGATTTTTAATTAATATTATCAAAGAGCACAGTTAGTATGATACCAGTTTTCTGAAATTTGTTGATACTTGCTTTGTGGCCCGGTGTGTAATCAATTTTCACAACTATCTCCTATGTGATTGAGAAAAAACATTTATTCTTCAATTGTTATGCAGTTGCTCCTCAATATACATGGGAAATTAGTTCCAGGACACCCCCACGTATACCAGAATCCATGCCTACTCCAGTCCAGAATTCAGCCCTACAGAGCCCACATATACAAAAAGTCAGCCATTGGTTTACTCAAGTTTCACATCCTGTGGACACTGCATTTTTAATCCACCTTTAGCTGAAAAAAATCCACATGTAAGTAAATGCACACAGTTCACACCTGTGTTGTTCAAGGGCCAGCAGTATATGACTATCAGATCAAGCTTCTTAGTTGTATTTTTCCATATTTTTGTTTTTATTTTTTTTTACTTTTTAGTTTTACCTACCAATTAGTAGGATACAGGCCTCAAATTCTCTCAATTTAATTGTGAACTTGACAATCTCTTTGTAATTCTCCAATTTTTGTTTTAGATATTTTGAGCCTACGTTATTCATTAATTTTTAAAATACAACGTGAAAATCTGTGTGTTGTTATATTTATTGTGATTAGGACATTTGGATTTAATTTTTTCATCTTATTTTGCAGTTTCTACCTAGCCTCTTTGTACATGCTTTTTTTTTCTTCATCTTGTGCCTCATTTTGAATTCACTGGCATGTTTATTACATATTTCCCTCTAGCACATTAAAAGTATTATCAAATACTTCTATTATTTTAGGAGTTACCTTAAAATTTCAACATGCATTCTCACATAACACAAACTAAAGTTAAGCTCACTGTCTCTTCCCAAATGATCAAAAGCTCTCAGAACACTTAATTACTCCCTTTTGCATTCTAATCCAGATTTTTCATTATAATGTTTTTTTCACAATTGGTCACTGTGATGGTCTTAGTTGTTTTATCCAGCCAATGTTTGATCACATTTACTTATATGATTTCCCAATCTATTTGTTCATTACTCCATTTTGCATCTCTGTCCTTCCTTGTGGATTCAGTTCTCTTCATCCCGAAGTTTGCTGTATATCCTACAATGTTCCTTTTGTTCCTTTAGTACATGTCTGTTGGTATTAAATGCTCAATTTTTCTTTGTCCAGAAATGCTGTGTTTCAACTTGTTTGTCAGTAATAGTTATGCTGGAATTAAATTTTCCTTGATGGATCTTTGAAAATACTATTATACTGTTTTCTGGTTTCTATTGTTGCTACTCAAAAGTCTGTTTTCAGTCAGTTATTCCTTTGTAGGTAATTCGTCTTTTCTTCCTAAGTTGTCTCAAACATTTCTTTATCTCTCGTATTCTGCAGTTGTATTTATCCTGCTTGGAGTTCTTCCACCTTCTAAATTTAACGATTTAAATCTTTCATTAATTCTAAAAACCTTCAACCATTATCCCTTTGAATATTACCACTCCTGGACTCTGTACTCTTTTGTTCTAAATTCTCACTGAATATATATTAGACTTTCTCATTCTTTTCTCCATCTCTTATTCTTTCTGTCATTTTTCCATCATTCTGCCTCTGTCTGTGTATCATTATCGGTGATTTATTCAGATCTAATTTGCAGTTCACAAATTCTCTCTTTAGCTATGACCAATTTACTGCTTAAACTCTCCATCAGACTTTTCATTTTTGTGATATTTTCCTTTACTTTTGTATTTTTTATCCAAATATGCCCATTATGTTTGCCTGTCATTTTTGATAGTACCTTGTTTCTTTTTCATGTCATTAGCTCTAGTTTCTATTTCCATCAACATTTTGTCCATATATATGTAACATTTTGAAATTAATAATTCTAGTATCTGAAATCTTGGGTGTCGATTATTGAAATTTACAGATTCTGCTGACTCTTGTTCATGATGGCTTGTACCCATTTGTGTTTTATAATTTCTGTTAGTGAGTTTTTATTCATGGGGCCTTATCTGTAGTAATCTTTACCATACTAAGTTAAGGGCTCTTACTTCCAAGAAAGGCTTTTTGTTTGGTTTCCCCAAATGTCTGAGGGGCACTGCAACTGAGGACCTCTTTATGTTAATGCCTTGGGCTTGACTTTGCAGAAACCTTACAAGTGGTGTGGTGAGCTTTTTTCAGCTATCCAGATCTCTGACCAGGACAGATCAATTTTTTAATCTCCCTTTGCCAGAAAGAATTTTCAAAGCCTACCCTTACACTGAGTGAGATTCTGGCATTATACAGGAGGGTCTTGACTCTTCATTGCTCAGCCTAAGGTTTACTTTCTATCCCCAAAAGACTCTTTAAAGATAGATTCTTGGTTACCAAGATTGGCTAATTCCCTTTGAGTACCTGCAGATTTATGGCCTAGTTACTAGTCTAGTTTCATATTTTTTGTGACTTTGACCCTCAAAAATCTTGTTTTACTTTCTATAGGCTTAGCTGTGCACTTGAGAAAATATTTCTTATACTTTATTATTTATTTCTAGGCATTTTCAGATCATCTTAATAGTCATATTGTAGCAAATATAAACTTTTAATCATTTTCTTAACTCTCCGTTCCAAACCCCATTCTGTGGTAGTCTTATTCTTTTTCATGCCCCACTAACCCATCCCAGGTACAGCAGTAGCCACCACAGCAGGAACAATCATCTTCCCATAAAGGATCATCACATTCCTCTTAGGGTCCACTTCTCTACACTCTGACCTAAAACATTTCTTTACTGAGACAACAAGTCTTGATGATAGTACAGCTCCAACTCATCTGCATTTCATTTATTTCCCAAGATTCTTGTCAGCCTGCGGATGTTCTCAAATTCACAGACGAATGTGGGGAAAAGGGGGAGGAGGGCAGCAGTGTTGACGACCTTCAGAATAGACTTTAATGAGAATTCTTTTTTTTCAATCCTGCTTCATGTCTGCTAAGATATATGGGGATGAAGAAAAGTAATAAATTCTCTCAATTGTAACCAAACAAGTACAGTCATGGGTCACTTGACGACGGGGATACATTCTGAGAAATGCATCATTAGGTGATTTAGTTGCTGTGTGACATCATAGAGTGTATTTACGCAAACGTAGATGGTATAGATTACTACACACCTAGGCTCTATGGCATACCCCATTGCTCCTATGCGATAAACCTATACAGCATGTAACTGTGCTGAATACTGTAGGCAATTGTAATAAAATGGTATTTGTATATCTAAACACAGAAAAGGTAGAGTAAAAATATGGTATAAAAATATAAAATGGCACACTTGTATAGGGCACCCTTACCATGAATGGAGCTTGCAGGACTGAAAGCTGCTCTGGGTGAGTCAGTGAGTGAGTGGTAAGTGAACGTGAATATCTACTACACTACTGTAGACTTTATAAACATTACACTTAGGCTACATGAAATTTACACTAAAAATGTTCTTTCTTTAATAAAAAATTAAACTTAGCTTACTATAATTTTTTTTACCTTATAAGCCTTTTTAACTTTTTGACTGTTTTGTAATAACTTAGTTTTAAAACACAAACACATTGTTCCGTGTACAGAAAATGTCTTTTCTTTGTATTCTTATTCTATAGGCTTTTTACTATTTTTAAATTTTTATTTTTTTACTTTTTAAACCTTCTTGTTAAAAACTAAGACAGAAACACACACATTAGCCTAGGCCTACACAGGGTCATGATCATCAATATTACTGTCTTCCACCCCCATATCTTGTCCCACTGAAATGTCTTCAGGGGCAAGAACATGCACAGAGCTGTCATCTCCTATAACAACAACGTATTCTGAAATGTCTTCTGAAAGACCAACCTATGGCTGTTTTACAGTAAATTTCTTAAAAATAAGTAGATGGGGGACACTCTAAAATAATGGTAAAAAGTATAGTAAGTAAATACTAAACCAGTAACACAGACGTTCATCATCATTCTCAAGTATTATGTACTGTGCTTAATGGTATTGCCAGACTTGTATACTACTGGCAGCAGAGTAGATCTGTTTACACCAGTATCACCACAAATACATGAGTAATGCATTGTGCTATGATGTTATGACATCACTAGACAACAGGACACTTTCAACTCCATTATAATCTTATGGGATCACTGTTATATATGCAGTCTGCCATTGACCGAAACAGCATTATGTGGCACACGAGTGCACTTCAAAAAGAAGTGCTTGAGTTATGATTTAAACAGATAACATATAAAATGGAACTTTAAAATAAACATACATTCTAAAACCTTATCATAGACCCTCAAGAGCTCTTTTAAAAATCTAATCACGGAGGAAAGAAAATTAACATTAACATACATAATTTTCCTTACATGGACATGAAGATGGAAAGAATAGACACTGGGGACTCCAAAAGCAGAGAGGCAGGGAAGGGGACAAGGGTTGAAAAAATACCTATTGGATACTATGTTCACTATTTGGGCATAGGTTCAATTGAAGCCCAAACCTCGGCATCAACAATATATCCACGTAACAAACCTGCACATGTATGCCCTGAATCTAAAAATAAAATAAGATAAAACATGTGTTTTTCCTGACAGCTTGTCTCCAAATTCACTGTCAGTATTCTCTCAAAGGCCAGGTGTGGTGGCTCATGCCTGTAATCCTAGCACTATGGGAGACTAAATTGGGAGGATCCCTTGAGGCTAGAAGCTCAAGACCAGCCTGGGCAGCATAGTGAGACTCCATCTCTTAAAAAAAAAAAAAATTAAGTTAGCCAGGCACAGTGGAGCATATCTGTAGTCCTAGCTACTTGGGAGGCTGAAGGAAGAGAATTGCTTGATCTCAGAAGTTCATAGTTACAGTGAGCTATGATGTGCCATTGTACTCCAGCCTGAATGACAGAATGAGACCTTGTCTCTAAGAAATATGTATCTATATCTATCTAGCTAGCTATCTAATCTATCCTCTCAAAATTTTGGTTTTAAAAATTTGGGAAAGACCTGATGAATCTCCAGTACAGCATTAGTTTTGAAATTTACACAAATATATAGGAAATATCCTTCCTGAGGTGTACAAACATATATGAATGTTAGCAACATAAGAATGGTCACCCCAAGTATGTAACACAATATATATGTGTTCTTTCGTACAGACTGTAGTCACACCTGGATTCTTTCATACAAATTTACTCCAAACTCTTAAATCCATGCCATAAATTAACAATGAATGACTAGCTAATGAATTTTCAACACAAGGACTAAAAGGAATTCCTATCAGTTCTTTCAAACATGCAAACCAGTAAACCTTAACACCTGTCAAGAATCATAGGTCTTGCCAGGGAAAAGGAGCAACATATTTAATTAAGCACACCCCTCTCCAAAAATGTTTCCTACTCAAATAAGGGTAGAACAGTACTTTATTCCCAGAGAAGCTTCTAGAAAGAGTTAACTACATTTGTTCTCTTCTTCTTCAACTCCTACTCAGTTCTCCACCCAAAACTATAGTTTCTGCCTTCAATATTTCACTGACACTGCCCTGGGTAAGGCCAACACCAACCTTTGTTTTTGCCAAATCCAGTGAACATATTTCCATACTCATTTGTGATTATTTGCCCACCTGATTTTCATAATACTTCCCTCTCCTTCTCTTTCTAAACAAATCTCCTTTCTGTCTCTCCCTTAAATGCTGCTGCTTTCCTGGGTACTGACTTCTTTCATTCTCAAACTACATCATCTAGCTGAGAAATCTAATGCAAACCTAGCGTTTTAACTAAGACTTTCATATTGATGCTCACTAAATTTCTACCTGTAGCTAACATTTTTTTCTTGAAATCAAGACCTGCCCTCTGGATACTTTTCTTTATATGTCTGATAAGTACTTCAGGCTGTACAAGACCCAAAATGAGTTCATTATCTAGTCTGCTATACCACCTCATCCTGAATCCTTGAACTCTGTGTCTGAAAGTCAACAGGAACATTATCCTACCACCCATCAAGTGAGACATTTAAAGGAGAATCCACCTGTTTTACTCTCTAGAGGCAATTACTCATTGGAGCCTACCAATCCTAGCTCTGTAACATCATTTCCTCTCAACCATTATTTCTGCTGTCATGACTTAGGAACTCATTATATCTCCTATTGACTCTTGCAGCACCCATCTGATTCATCTTCATACCTCTAGCTTTGTACACCTACCTTTCACCAGTCTAACCTCTCTACTGCTGTCAGGGTGGTCCTTCTAACATGCAAATCTGAACACATCACTCCTCTGCTTAAAATTCTTCAGTAGTTCCCAAGTCATGTTTCCCAAACTTTTCTTTCCCCTAGAGGTTCTGATTCATTAGATCAGAGCTAGGACTTTAAGGTCCTATATTTTAATGAGAGCCCCAGGCGATTCTTATAATTAGGCAAGGCAACCTTGATCTAAATAATTAAGTCTCAACTTTTTGCATAGCATGTAAGTCCAGCCTCATCATTCCTGCCTGTTTTCCCCAGAACCCCTCGATACATACACTGAAGTTAACATTTAACTACACTGAGTCATATATAATTCCCCTAAAGTGCCAAAATGCCATGCTGTCTTACACCTCATCACCTTTGTGTGGGCTGCTTCTGCTGCCTACAATGCAGTCTCTGGCTTATTCATTGGTCCTGCGATTTTTGGTCAAAATATTACCTCATGTATGAAGCCTTCTTGGATTTTCTCAATAAAATTTAGAGATGCCTTCTCCTGTGTACCCATGAATTTTGTGTATACCCTCATTACAGCACTTTACTCTACTCCTATCCTTCTATTATAATTATTTAGATCTACATTGAACCATTAGACTAGGGGATTTTCAGGAATAGAAAGCTTTATCTTCTTATCCATAACATTTTGCACAGATGCTAGTATTAAACATTAGAGAAATTAGCAAATAAATGACCAAAAACCGCATTAATGAAAAGTATTGGCTTGGATCCTAGCTTCATTCTGGCAAGAACTAGGTGTCTCATCAAAGAACAAGTAGCACACCCTCTCATAACCTGTTTCCTCACATATAAAAGTGACAGATTTCACACATGATTTCTTTTGGTTTATTATTTAATATTTTATTATGAAAAATTCAAACATATACAAAAGTACAAAGAATGGTATACTGAACCCTCTAGGGCACACATCTACCTTTAATCATTATAGACTCCTAGCCAATATTTTCCTCTATACCTCCACCCACTTCTCCTTCTTCAGATTATTTTAATGCAAATTCCACCTATCTATCATTTAACCCCTAAATATTTTGGCATGTATTTCCAAAAATAAAGACTACTTTAAAATCTTTAACATAATACTATAATAACACCTCGGTAGATTGAATATCAAAGGTCCTAATTCTTAACACACCCCCTCTTATTAGTATTATTCATCCATACCTTGATTTGGCATCAAATATTTCCCTACTTCTTGAATCTGAGTTTGGCCATATGATGTGTTTATGCTGTGTCCCCACCCAAATCTCATCTTGAATTGTTGCTCCCATAATCTGCACGTCACGGGAAGGAGCTAGCGGGAGGTAACTGAATCAAGGAGTGGGTTTTTCCCATGCTGTTCTCATGATAACGAATAAGTCTCATAAGATCTAATGGCTTTATAAATGGCAGTTCCCCTGCACATGCTCTCTTGCCTGCTGCCATGAAAGATGTGCCTTTGCTCTTCCTTCACCTTCCATCAAGATTGTGAGGCCTTATCAGCCATGTGGAACTGTGAGTTGATTAAACCTGTGTTTTTGTATTAATAAATTTTCCTGTCTCGGGTATTTCTTCATAGCAGTATGAAAATGGATTAATACAGTAAATTGGTACTAGGAGTGGGGTGCTGCTACTAAGATACCCCAAAATGTGGAAGCAACTTGCATCTGGGTAACAGGCGGAGGTTGGAACAGTTTGGAGGGCTCAGAAGAAGACAGGAAGATGTGGAAATGTTTGGAGCTTCCTAGAGACTTGTCGAATGGTTTTGACCAAAAAACCCAGGCTGAGGTAGTCTCAGATGGAGATGATGAACTTATTGGGAACTGGAGCAAAGGTGATTCATGTTATACTTCAGCAAAGAGACTGGCAGCATTTTGCTCCTGCCCTAGAGATCTGTGGAACTTTGAACTAGAGAGAGATGATTTAGGGTATCTGGAGGAAGAAATTTCTAAGCAGCAAAGTGTTCAAGAGGTGATTTGGGTGTTCTTAAAAGCATTCAGTTTTATTTATTCACAAAGATACGGTTTGGAATTGAAACTTATGTTTAAAAGGGAAGCAGAGCATAAAAGTTCAGAAAATTTGCAGCCTAACAACGCAATAGAAAAGAAAAACCCAATTTCTGAGGAGAAATTCAAGCCAGCTCTAGAAATTTGCAGAAGTAAAAAGGAGCCAAAGGTTAATTGCCAAGACAATAGGGAAAATGTCTCCAAAGCATGTCAAAGGTCTTCACGGCAGGCCCTCCCATCACAGCCTGGGAGGCCTAGGAGGAAATAATGATTTCTTGGGCTAGGCCCAGGGCCTTGCTGGTTTGTGAAGTCTCAGGACCTAGTAACCCGTGTCTTAGCCATGGCTAAAAGGGGCCAACATACAGCTCAGGCTGTTGCTTCAGAGGGTGCAAGCCCCAAGCCTTGGCAGCATACATGTGGTGTTGGGCCTGTGGGTGCACAGAAGTCAAGAACTGAAGTTTAGGAATCTCTGCCTAGATTTCAGAGGATGTATGGGAACACCTGGATGTCCAGACAGAGGTGTGCTGCAGGGATGGAGCCCTCATGAAGAAACTCTGCTAGGGCAGTGCAGAAGGGAAATGTGGGGTTGGAATCCCCCTAGAGTCCCAACTGGAGCACTGCCTAGTAGAGCTCTGAAGAGAAGGCCACTGTCCTCCAGACACCAGAATAGTAGATCCACCAACAGCTTGTACTGTGTGCCTGGAAAAGCCACAGACACTCAATGGCAGCTCATAAAAGCTGCCAGAAGCAGGGCTGTATTCTGCAAAGCCACAGGGTCGGAGCTGCCCAAGACCATGGTAACCCACCTCTTGCATCAGTGTAACCTGGATGTGAGACAGAGTCCAAGGAGATCATTTTGGGGTTTTAAGATTTGACTGCCCTGCTGAATTTTGGACTTGCATGGGGCCTGTAGCCCCTGAATTTTGGCCAATTTGTCCCATTTGGAATGGGTGTATTTACCCAGTGCTGTACCCCCATTGTGTCTAAGAAGTAACTAATTTGCTTTTGATTTTACTGTCTCATAGGCAGAAAGGATTTGCCTTGTCTCAGATGAGACTTTGGATGGTGGACTTTTGAGTTAATGCTGAAATGAATGAAGACTTTGGGGGACTGCTGGGAAAGCATGATTGGTTTTGAAATGTGAGGATATGAGATTTGGGAGGGGCTGGGGTGGAGTGATATGGTTTGGCTGTGTCCCCACCCAAATCTCATTTTGGATTGTAGCTCCCATAATCCCCACATGTCATGGGAGGGACCCAGTGGGAGGTAATTGAATCATGGGGTGGGGGGGGGTTCCTATGCTGTTCTCATGATAGTGAATGCATCTCCCAAGATTTGATGGGTTTATAAAGGGCAGTTCCCCTGCAAAATATACGCTCTTGTATGCCACCATGTAAGATATGCCTTTGCTCCTTCTTCACCTTCTGCCATGAACTGTAAGCCCATTAAACCTCTTTTTTAAAATAAATTACCCAGTCTTGATTATTTCTTCATAGCAGTATGAAAATGGACTAATATATGTGAATTGCTTTCATCACAGGGTTGTTAGTGGACATCATCCGAGCAAAACTTGAAAAGTGCTTATATGACTGGGCTTACCTGTACATGTTCCTGCTTTTACATGAGAGGCACATGCCTCCAATATAACCACTGGTCCAAGAAAGATAGGAAATACATGGAGAAAACCTGGTTTCTATCTGAAGTTTGGAGCCACCCCAACAAAAAAAAGCCTGAAGAAGGGGCACTCCAAGCCACTCAAAAACACATGAGCAAGAAATAAATGCCTATTGCTGATGCCACTGATATGTTATGGTTGTTTGTTATTATGCTGAAAAAACAGACAATAAAAATTAACAATAATTCCTTAATATCAAATACACAGAATGTTAACTAAATGATTTTTTATGTACAGTTATTTATAGGTTTAGAGGTAAAATTTGCATATGATGAAATGCATAAATTCTAAGTATATCATTTATTGAGCTTTGACAAATGATATACAACTATGTAACCCCAAACCCTGTCAAGATACAGAACATTACATCTCTAGAGAAAGTTCCCTCAGGTCCCATCCAAATCTATTCTCACCCACCACTCACCCCCTCAGGCAAACACTGTTTTTGTTTTCTATACCACTAGAGATTAGTTTTGCCTGCTTGAGTACTTTGTATAAATGGAATCCTACAGCCTGTATTTTTGTGTGAGGTTTCTTCAACTCAGTATGTTTTTGAGGTTCATCCATGTTGCGTGTATCAATAGTTTGTTCCCTTTTATTGATGAGCAATATTCTAATGTATAGATATGCAGTGGTTTGTTTAGCCATTTTCCTATTAACAGACACATGAGTTGAATCCATTGTTGGCTAAGCTATGGTGCACATTTTTATAAGTCTTTTTATAGATATATATTTTCATTTCTCCTGGGAAATTACCTGGTTGGGAAATTTTTGAATCAAAGGTTAGGTGTATCTTTTGTTTTATAGAAAATGATGGTTCCTGTTTCCAAAATGATCGTACCATTTTACATTCCTACTCACAGTGTCTAAGAGTTCTGGTTACTCCACATCCTTGCTAATATTTGATGTCAATCTTCTTTACTTCGGCCTTTCTGGTGGGTATGTAGTGGTATTTCATCATGGTTTTAATTTGCCTTTCCCACTTCCCTGATGATGTGGAAAGCTTTCCTTATGTTTGTTGGTTATTCATGGATCTTCTTTTATGAAGTATCTGATAATCATTTGCCAACTTTTTATCAGATCATTTTGGCATATTATCATAGAACTATAGGACTTTTTTTATAAATCTTGAAAACAAATCATTTGCCAGTACATATTTTGAAATGTTTTCTTTCAGTCTATAATCTACCTATTCAAGTTTTAAATTGTCTTTTAGAGGTTAAACTTTTTATTTTGCAATCACTGTTTCTCCAATGGATAACATCTTGAATATCTATGCTACAGTATCACAACTACTGACAACCATATAGTCAAAACCCAATGAAAAAAATAAATAATATATCTTAAAATATTCAAATAATCTCCAAAAAGCTAGAAAGAAGGAAGAGGAACACAATATTAAGGAGATTAATAAAAATGAATCATAAAATATAGACCTAACTAGATCGAATGTCTTTTCATTTTAATAGACTCAACAATTCATGATTATCCTAGTAAGTTTCTCAGAAGAAATCAATAAGCTGGTTCTAAACTGCATATAGAAAGGTAAAAGACCTAGAATAGGCAAAAATTTTTTTTAAGTTGGAATACTTACCTTGTCTGATTTTAGGACTTACTTTAAAGCTACACTTATAAAAGCAGTACGATATTGACCTAAGACCTACAGATCAATGAGACAGAACTCAGAAGGAGTATCAAAGTATCTTTGTTAATAAATAAAATTGAATTACCCCTAAGTAATTATATGGGGAAGGGAAGTTTTTTCCAAAAGATGGTGCTGAAACAACTACTTGTCCCACAAGGAAAAAAAAACAAAATCCAAGCCGTTTTTTTTCCCCCGCCTGTGGCAACATATAAAAAAAAACAAGTATTATGAAATACATCATAGACCTAACAGTAAAAGCCCAAATCATAAAATGTCTAAAAGAAAAAAAGGAGAAAACCTTTGTGATATTGGGTAAGATAAATATTTCTTAAACAGGCCACAAAGAATACAAACATAAAAGAAAAAAATAAACTAGATGCATTCTATCTAAATTTAAAAACATGAGCTCTTAAACATGGTTAAGAGAGCAAAAAGGCCAGACACAGACTGGGAGAAAATATTTTCAAAACACACATCAGGTAAAAAGTTTATATCTAGAACATATAGAGAATGCTTAGAACTCAATAATAAGACCGTCCTGAATTTTTTTAATGGGCAAAAGATTTAAACAGACATTTCATGAAAGAGGATCAACATCCAATACATGTGTGAAAAGATACCACCAGGCATTAGAGAAACATAAATTCAAATTGCAATGAGATATCACTACACACTCACTGGAAACAAATATTAAAAAGGCAGACAATACAAAGTGTTGGTGAGGATGTAGAACAACTAGTATCTCATAACTTGCTGGTTTCATTTGCACAGTGATACAATCACTTTGGTAAAAACATTTTGGCAGTATCTTATAAAAAGTTAAATGTTTACTTATCTTAGACATTTATCCAAGATAAATATTTTGTGTCACTTGAGTCAAAATAACTTATGTATATATGAATGATAGTAGCAGCATTATTAAGAAGCCAAAACTGGAAACACAAATATCATTCAACTAGTACAAAAAAGAAATTGTGACATATCCATATTAAGGACTATATTCAGCAATGAAAAGGAACAAACTGCAGGTACATGCACCAACATGCGTGAATTGTAATAGCATCATACTAAGTGAAATAAGTCAAGCATAAAGGTGATAAGAGGGCAGATCAGTAGCTGCCTGTGCATAGTAATCATCTGTGGAGGTAATCAACTGCAAGTGGACAAGAAAAAACCTTTTGAAGTAATGGAAATTACCTGATTGTGATATTGGTTACACAACTGTACACAACTGCCAACTTCATCAAAATGCACAAACTGGGACAATGTATTGTACCTAAATTATACCTCAAAAAAGTTAAGAACATACATATGAGAAATGTAATAAATCATAATATCAACAATAAAATCCCCTAATTATGAGACTATTTTGTTTTCCTCATAAGGGAAAAAATAATGAATGAGCAAGAGTCGCACCCATTCCTTCTTTCTACTAGAAATAAATGAATCAGTCTGGATGAAGTATTCATCAAAAATGATGCCATGCTATAATTGAGCATAAGAAGAGTACAAATTAAAGTTATTTATGTCTAAAATTTCCTTCCAAAGCTTCAAATGATTCAGAGGAAAAGAGAACATTGACATAATCATGTGAAATTCAATAGCTTTTTAGTCCTGGTTTCTCCATTTGGGTTATCTTTATTTTGGTGCTCTCTGAGGTCCTTTGTCAAATCCTCAGCCTCTCTCAAAAACAGTACACACTCCCTTCCCCCAAGTACTATCTAGACCTGTGGTGTAAGGGAAAGCCATCAATTGAAAGCTTCAGTATAACACTTTCACCGTTATTAAGTCATTGCTTCATTCATGTGAAAAAAAATTTAGTCAGTGCTTGAGTGTTAGGGGCAGCATGAGGAGGAATGAGGCTGTTCAGGAGTTACCTATGTAAGTACCAAGTGTAAATTAATGTGGGGGGATATAAAAGTATGCTTATATAAAATATTAAACGTATATGTCTGTCTTTGTTGAACAGTGACTATATGCCACAATTCTCTCATTTAGTGTTCCCAACAACCCTATCACCTAGGTTTATGCTTTTATCCCCATTTTACAGATGAGGAAATGGAGACACAAAAAAAGTAAGAAACTTGTCTGACCCATGCATAAACCAAACCCCCTGCTCTTTCGGCTGTGCAGCATAGACAACACAACCCTAGCAGAAATAAGGAAATGAGTAAGTGAAATGAAAGAAGAGGCATTGTTCCTGCCTTTCAGCAGCTCACAATCTTACAGTCTAACAATATAAAACAGGCCCTTGAGAGCTTCGAGAATAATGAGATGCCACACTGCGTGCATGTGTACGAGTACGTGTCTGTATGCGTAACAAGTAGGTTACTGACAGACATGTCAAAAGAGATAGATAATGAAAATACAATGGCCACAATTTGAAATTAGATATGCAAATTAAAGCCATTTCTCCCTACCTAGGAATTTTTCTGAGTTGCTGAGAAAATAGCAAAAATCGGATTGGGAATAGTTTTGCTTTATTTTCAAAATTATCTGTAATATTTCTTCTATTTATTGTAAACACCTTAATGATAGGTAGAATGCCATTTAAGCACTTTGAAGTCCCACAATGTGTTATTGAAGCTAACATGAAAATATTGCTTAAATGCTAATTGTGTTTGTGGACATGTTAAGTTTTTAAGAAACAGAAATAAGCAGGCATTTGCATTCTGATGCTTAAAAACCCCTGTTTAGGCCGGGCGCGGTGGCTCACGCCTGTAATCCCACACTTTGGGAGGCCGAGGCGGGCGGATCACGAGGTCAGGAGATCGACACCATCCTGGCTAACACGGTGAAACCCCGTCTCTACTAAAAATACAAAAAATTAGCCGGGCGTGGTAGCGGGCGCCTGTAGTCCCAGCTACTTGGGAGGCTGAGGCAGGAGAATGGCGTGAACCCGGGAGGCGGAGCTTGCAGTGAGCCGAGATCGCGCCACTGCACTCCAGCCTGGGCGACAGAGCGAGACTCCGTCTCAAAAAAAAAAAAAAACCCTGTTTAGTGTTTTAATCTAATGTTGATGTCACCTTTTCTCTAACATGTCTATTCCAACTAAATTCATATTAAATTTCAAATTCATAAGACAATGCAGAAAGCACAGGGTGTGCTTGTCACACGGGTGGCTTCAGGAAGAGCCATTTTAACCTAAAACCTGAGAGATTAGTCTAGACCCAGATAAAGAAAAAAGACAGAAGGAAAAGACAGAAACAAGGAAAGAGGGAGAAAGACAGGGAAGGAGGGAGAGCAGGAAGGAGGGAGAGAAAGGAGGAGGGAGGGAAGAAGAAAAAAAGGAAGAAAGAAAAGGAAGAAGGAGGGAAGGATTCCACTTTTCCAGACTCCTGAGGTTGGAGGAAAGGACCTTCCACCAGAAGTTTGTTCCTTATGTATCCATCGCTTCTGAACTTCATCTTGGCCATGGACTCTTAGTCAAATCATTAACCTCTTTGAGCCCTAATTTTCTCATCTGCAAATTACAGGTAATTGCAGTGATTCCAGTCTTTTCAGGCAAGACTTAACTGTGACAATATGTGTGAAAGCGATTGAAAGCCTCTAAAATATCTTACAAATATTCATCTATTGGGGGCCTGTGTGTTTAAATAGCATTGCCACTGCCAAGTTTTTGGGGAATAAGCATAGAACTTTACCCTGTGCAAAACTAAACTCCCCTGATTCCTCTCTGCAAGCAGCCCGAACGTTGGGAGATCCAGCAGGAAAGGAAAGCAACCCTCAGAATCAGGATGGAACGTGATGCCAAAGATGGGAGGAGAGTGGAAGCAGGGAGAGCTGGACTGAGAGACTGTTTAACGTTCAAAACCAGTGCCAAGCTAAATTAGAAACAGGAGTCTACATACCTGTAACTTACCTCATCGGTATATAATTTGTAACCTGAGATCCCCTCACAGAGAAGTAAAAATAGCAAGGCTCTCAAGCAGACTTCTGCTCTGCTGAGTGCAAGGGCAGGGTGAGGGAGGGCCAGCACTGGGGAAAGATAAAAGGGCCAAGGCAGAGAATGCCAATCATGTGGTCTTGGCAAGAACACCTTCTCTCCTATACCCTGGGTGATGGTATGGAGAATATAGCCAAGAGAGGTGACATCAGGAGGCTGACAAGCAAACCTTCCAGGCAGAGGAGGACCTGTTGCCCTAGAGTCACCTGTTTTTGGTTTTTGTCATAGGTCGTATGACATTTCCTCAAAGGGAAGTGTCACTGAAGTTCTGAGCCTGCCTAATCCTGCCATGATCAAGGCAAGTTAACTAGTCCAGGAAACGCCAGTACTCAGGCAGGTGCAGAACAGATGAGTCTGTTTTCAAGTTTTGTAGCTGGCTCCCAACACCCTGGAAGAGATGATTTGCTGCATAGTTGTCTCACTCTCTGTGAACACATTTTTCCCTCACTGGGTCAGTGAGCTTGGGAATCTTCAGAGAACAGTTAGCTTCCTTCCTTCAATTTAGGGTATAGTCCCTCTCAAATCAAGTCTATGCCATTTTAACATCACCAATTGTGCAAGTGATAGAGGAAAGCTTTGTCCTTCCTTAACTCCTGCTACATGGAAAAAGTGACAAAGTAGAAAGGAGAGGAAGCTTATTTTTTAATTAATCACATCAAAAAAATGGGCATGTCTCTGCATTCTTTGTAATGATTATATATTGAAAGCTATTAATATAACAAATGCAATACTGAGAATTTCTAATGTGGAATCAACACCATCTTTGTAAAGGAAACCTTACTTGTATTATTTTTAAAAAGGAAGAAGAAGAATCATCATCATCATCATCATCAGAGATGTTAGATCTCGGAATGGTCCCACAATTTCAAATTCTCTAAAAAAAAAAACCAAAACAAAGAAACCCAACCCAAGATATTAAACTAAATAATCAGTGCCCATTGGCTAGGCAAATTGCTCTCTAATGTTTCAAATATGTTTTTGTGTTAATTTGTAAAACTCTGTTCATGTAAATGGGTTTTGTTCATTCGTTTTGCAAGAATTCAAATATTCTTCCAGTTACCATTTGAAGAGAAGGTAATTTTTGTTTCAAACTGCCTCCTGTTCATAAATAGGTTCATCAGGTCTTATTTATTACGAAGAATCAAGACAGAACTGCAAGCTCTTCATGGCTTTCCTAAAAGAAAGCAACCAGGAACAACACAACAGAGTAGAAACAAAGAAGAAGTGGGGCTATCCAAACCTGGCTTTGAATCCTGGCTTTGCTCTATAAGAAATGTAACACCTGAGAGACTTAAATAACTTTTCTGAGCCTCACTCAATTGCCTTTCCTATAGTAATGGGAACAGTAGTGCCTACCATACTGGGTTATTTTAATGATTTGGTAAAATGGCATATGTCAAAGCCCCTAGAAAGAAACTGTCCAATAGAAATATCACGCAAGCCACATATGTCATTTTCTAGTAGCCACATTTTAAAAAGGCAAAAAGAAACTGGGAAAATTAATTATAACAACATATTTTCTTTAATCCAATATATTCAAAATATTATCATATCAAAACCCAATCAGTAGAAAAGCTTATGTTAATGAAATATTTTACATTCATTTTTTTTCTATGAAGTCTTCAAAAGCCAGTGTGTATTTCACACTTACAATACACCTTAATTTGGACACTAAATTTTCATAGGAAATGCTTGATCTATATTTAGATTTCTTAAGATTTTCAGTTGAAAAAACAGATTCACATACCCAGGTTGTTCCAAAAGTACTTAAAGTTTTCCAAAAACTGAACCAAGTATCAGTGTTTTAAATTTAAAATAATCAAGATTAAACAAAATTTAAAAGTCAGTTCCTCAGCCACACTAGCCCCCTTTTAAGTGCCTAATATCCACATGTATCTAGTGGCTACTGCATTGGACCTTGAAGCCCTAGAGCAATGTCTGGCACTTAGTAAGTGCCCAGTGAATGACATATTTTCTTCTGCCCACTAATATCTTATTTTAATCCAAAATTTGCTTAGCACTGAAGTTTCAACTTTGAAAGTAATGTGAATACCAACTATGACAGGCTTTCCCTAGCCTGGGAACCAAGCACTGAGGTGGCATAATTTCCATTTGCCATTCCACAAATCACCCAAAATGATCTTGTGGAACTGCAACCATCAATCCGCTCTAGTTTTTTAATGCATTTCAGTACTCCATATTGTTCATACCACACCCTCATGGTTTGTCATATCTCAGATGACAAATAATAATATGAAAGTCTCCATCGCATGCAAAATATGAAAATACCAGTGAAAGAATCAGCTTCACCACTCAAACTCTACTCCTTTGGAAATCTGTGAATTTTGGGGCTAATCAAAATATCTATGTGCCCATAGCCAGAACAATTAGGCCAGATAAATAGACAGATAAACAGCATCCAAGTAGGAAAGGGAGAAGGGAAATTGTCACTGTTTGCTGATGTCATGATATTATACATGGAAAACTCTAAAGATTCCACCAGAAAACAAAAAAAAAACTGTTAGAATTGGTAAGTAGATTCAGGAAAACTGCAGGATACAAAACCAATATACGAAAATCAGTAGCATTTCTATATACTAACAATGAGCTACCTGAAAAAGAAATTAAGAAAACAATCCCATTCAGAATGGCGTCAAGTAAAATAAAAATAAAACATCTAGAAGTAAATTTAACCAAGGAGGTGAAAGATTTGTATGCTGAAAACAGTAAAACGTTGATGAAAGAAATCAAAGAAGACACAAATTAATGAAAAAATATCCCATGTTCATGGGTTGGAAGAATTAATATTGTTAAAATATCCATACTACCCAAAGCAATGTACAGGTTCAATGTAATGTCTATCCAAATACTCATAATAGTTTCACAGAAATAGAAAAAAAAATCCTAAAATTGTATGTAACCACCAAAAACTTTGAATATCCAAAGCAGTCTTAAGCAAAAAGAATAAAGCCAGAGGCCTCATACCACCTAACTTTAGAATATATTGCAAAACTATAATAATCAAAACAGCATCATACTGGCATAAAAACAGATACAAAAGTGCCAAGAGCACACAATGGAAAAAAGGGCAGTAGTTTTAGGAAAGCTAGATATCCACATGCAGAAGAATGAAACTGGACTCCTATCTCATACCTAATGCAGGGATTAAACACTTGAGCACAAGACCTGAAACTGCCACACTATTACAAGAAAATACAAGGCAAAAGCTCTACAACATTGGTCTGGGCAATAATTTTGTCAATATGACCCCAAAAGCACAGGTAACAAAAGCAAAAATAGACAAATGGGATTATATCAAATTAAAAAGCCTATGCACAACAAAGTAAACAATTACCAGAGCAAAAAGACAACCCACAGATTGGGAGAAAATATTTCCAAACCAAATATCAAATACAGGGATAATATTAAAAATATATAAGGAACTAAAACAACTTAATAGCAAGAAATCAAATAACTCTATTTTAAAAATAGGCAAAAGACCAGAATAGACATTTCTCAAAAGACATACAAATGGCCAACAGACATAGGAGAAATGCTCAACATCATGAATCATCAGGGATATGCAAATTAAAACCACAATGAGATATTATGTCATAACTGTTGGAATGGCTATTCTCAAAGGTGAAATATGGCAAGTGCTGGCAAGGATGTGGAGAAAAAGGAACCTTGGAACGTTGTTGACAAAAATGTAAATTAGTACAGCCATTGTGTAAAATGCTATCGCAGTTCCTCAGTAAACTAAAAATAGAATCATCATTAGATCCAGCAATCTCACTACTGGGTATATATCCAAAGGAACTGAAATCAGTATGTTGAAGAGACATCTGCATTCCCATGTTCATTGCAGCATTATTCATAAACGCTAAGATGCGGAATCAACCTAAGTGTCCATCAACGGATGAGTGGATAAAGAAAATTCTGTATACATACACAATGTAATGCTATTCAGCCTTAAAAAAAAAAAGTCCTATCATTTGTGACAATATGGATGAACCTGGAAGACACTATGATAAGTAAAATAAGGCTGAAAAAGACAGACAAACACTATATGATCTCACTTACATGGGGAAGCTAAAAAAGTCAAATTTACAGAAGTATTTAAGTCAAATTTATATAATGAGGGTTACCAAAGGTTGGGAGTGAGGGAATGGGGAAGACATTGACCAAAGGGTACAAAATTTCAGTTAGACAGAAGGAATACAAACAGCATGATGACCATTGTAAATAACAATGTATTATATATTTTTAAACTGCTACAATAATAGATTTTACAAGTGTTCACTAAAAATATCTGAGGAGATGATATATTAATTAGCTTGACACACAATCATTTCACAATTATCAAAACATCACATTGTACTCCATAAATAAAAAATATATAGCCATGTGCCAATTTAAGAAATCCATAATTCACCTTTATAAAACATCTCCTCCCTGGAATTGTACAAAGAGCTTTTTGAATGCCACAGCTGTTAGTCCAAAGCTTTCTGAGCCATGAATATCTGACCTGCTTTCAAGAAGGCAGGCCAGTAAAAGAACTAAACCCCACTCTGCTTTTTTTTTTTTTAATTCCTTAAGGATGTAGAAATCTGAGAAAAAAATTAATGGAAGATTCAAATGTTTGGACTAGATGTGTAATCACAGTCCATGGTTCTTGCACCAAGAATGTGCACTGAGTTGTGAGGACCCAGATACTTTCCCCAGATCTCCACAAAAGGCAGTGTTAGGTCTGTCAGATGATCCAAAATCCACGGCACAGTGGTTAATAACTTCTTAGGTGTAATGAATATCTGCTCTTGCTGCCTACCCAGTATCCCTTCCCCATACCATTGATAACATTGCCCTGTTCCTTCAGGGTAAGTAACCTTTTATTGGACATAGACTGCTGGGATTCTCAATTAAATTGTCCTTTCCTCTCTGTCAACAAGTATGTGTTTGGCCAAAACCAAGCCAATCAATTTCTCTCTTCTTGAAATTTGAATCTTGAACAAAGTGTCACAAGGATTCATAATGGCTAGAACTTTTTCTTTCTGACATCTTGACATCCTAGCCTTAAAGAGTCTATAAGTTCTGTCTCTAGATTTCAAAAGCTTCCTTGCTTCTTCTTTCCAAGGACTGGTCTTACTTCATTTCGAGCTTTTTATTCAATCCCATAGTTCCATAGCCTTCAATAAATTCCCTGTTTTTCCATTCCTGACATTACCTAGAGTCTGTTTGTTGCTTGAACCCAAACATTCCTATCTGAAATAATAGGTAATGTTCTATTATCAAACATGAATTCTCTCAGGCCCATGGCTGCTTGGCCAAAATGAACTTGCTGCTCTTTCTCCGATTATTCAGACAGAGAGATGCCTGTTAATGAGCTCATGAAGTTGAGTAACAGTTTCAGACAATTGCTTTGCAGACTCCCAAGGGCCCTAATTAGAATCCTTTATTTGTCTCCAACTGAGGCAACCTTCACTGTGGAGGTGGGGATTTTTGAAGGACATGAAGAAAGTCTTCAGATTATTTTGACCTGAGAAAAACCCTTTGGCGTGATTCTAACTGATAAGATTGTAAAATACAGCCATATTGCAAAATCAAGTATTACTGAGCTAGACCCCAGGCAAATAGTTTTTCCATTTTTAGGGCAAATTATCCTCAATATTAAATTCCTTACTGATGTTTCACCTCCTTGCTAATTTTTATTTTTCTTTATCAAGTTGTGTGGGCTTTTATATTTCTTCTTTGGCAGTTCTATGACTTCCTAAAATAATTGCTGAAAAAGAAATATAAAAGGCCATTCAACTTGATAAAAACAGTCAAGCTGCCTATACTATCTGAAACAAAAAATGTGCACAATGAAATGTAAATATTGTTGACAGTCAATGGCTTCTATGTATAGAATACAGTGTGACTGTTAATGATGGAAAAATATTTGTGTGCTCAGAGAAATACAGGCCAATTGTTCTGCAAGCATGTTACAAAACTACTTCCAAAAGTTATACATAGTACAGGGTATAAGCCAATTTTTTGGCAGTCTACATTACCAGGGATCATTTTTAAATTAAATCTCATAATTCTATTGCTGTCCTCTGCCACCATTCATATTTCCTCAGGAATGATTTTCCTCCAAAACATTATTACCAGCTCCCATATATCAGTTCTCTGTGTTGATCTTGAGATCAAGCCACAGGTTTTTCCCCTTCCTCATTAGCAAAAGACTTGCTTGGCCTTGGGATAACCCATCTCTTGCCACATTCTCCCAGTATATTGTTTATGCCTTTTTTAACAAGAAATATACATTTGGAGGTTCAATAAATTCTTTCAGGGCACTCAGGTCACATTTGAAATCCTAATGAAGTAATGTGCAGAGCTGAAGCCCAGTGACCTATAAAGGTGAGTTCAGCCTTGCATAGTTTTCCCCGGAGAGTAACAGCTACACAGGCCTGACTTAGGCAATGAAAGAATGCTGTCCATAATGTTTCCCATTACTCTTATGTATCTTATGCATTAGTGTCATTCTTAGGGACTAAGGTAAAATGACATTCTGATATTGGAAAAACACATTATGGAATAGTTTATCTAAAGCACTTTGTATAAACAATAAAATAATTAAGTATTCACCTACAAAAAAGATGCAGTTGTTTCATTATTATTTGTCAAAAAATGTGAAGGGCCTGAGATTTTACTCAACTTGCAAGCTTACAAATTAGCCTGGTACAGTTTCATGGATGCTGGCAGAAGACACAAGACTTTTGAGTCAGAGACAAAGACGTTTATTATTCACAGCACAGAAAGCAGCAAGAACAATATATTTGTAAATTTCCCTTGTCCCCCAGTATCACGGGAGCAACACAAATGGTTCTAGTGGGTTTTGTTGTAGAAGTAGAAGCTCATGCTTAGGGAAACCATATCTTTTATAATGGGCAGTATACTGTACTGTAGGGAAAGATGCCCTAAGTGACCTATGCCCAATTTTCTAAAAAAAAAATTAGAGATTGCTTTTAGATAAATAGTAACCAAAAGTAGACAATAGCTATTTAGGCTTAGTTCTCAATAAGAAATCTATTACTTAGCCTTCCCACCCAGGGCAACATCATCTAAAATGTAATTGTCACTAGAATCAGGAATCTCTATTTAAGGACAACTGCAGAGCTTTTTTTAAAAAAAAAAAATTCAAGATATTAAATATATTCTTTGTGAATGACTTAACTACCTTATAAAATGAACTATAAATGACTTACTGAAAACATAGATATATTTTCCACTTATTATGGGCATAGCACAGCAATCACTGTGCTGAGTACTTTCTATACATTATTTTATTAAATCCTTCTAAAATTACTGGGTGTTATTATCTTTATTGTTGACATGAAAAAAAACAAGACTCACAGAATAAACTGCTCAGTACATCTATAAATGGCAGGATCAGGATTTGAACAGTGGTCTGGCCAACCCCAAATTCAGGTGCTTATCTGCTGTACTACATTGTGTCTTCAAATAATTACCTAGTGCTTAAATGTATATGGACACACAGAAAAACACAATACAATATGGGGGTCTGTTGTAAACTATCAATTCTGTCTCTCTAAGGTATTGGTAAAACCCTTAATCAGGATCAGGCAGTGTCATATCTTAGTTCTGCTACTCAGAACTGAGCTGGAACTGAAGATCTTCACTTTAATCTCATTCCTATATGCTTAGGGCTGCAATGAGACAAAGATATTCCATGCAGATATGCCCAATAAAAATGCTACCATATATACTGGATTTTTAAAATGTAGATATACACAATGAAGTACTATGCAGACATAAAAAAGAATGAGATCATGTTCTTTGCAGGAACATGGATGGAGCTGGAGGCCATTATCCTAAGTGAACTAACTCGGGAACAAAAAACCAAATACTGCATGTTCTCACTTATAAGTGGGATCTAAGCTTTGAATACATACGGACACAAAGAAGGGAGCAATAGTTACTGGGGCCTACTTGAGGGTGGAGGATGGGAGGAGGGTGAGGATCAGAAAACTACCTATTGGGTACTATGCGGATGACCTGAGTGACAAAATAATCTGTACACCAAACCCCCACAACATGCAGTTTACCTATATAACAAACCTGCACATGTACCCCTGAGCCTAAAGTAAAAGTTAAAAAAAATGCTACCAGATCTTACAATCTAGAGAATAAGTTTCCTGTAGCTCATTGGCCAAAATCAACTTACCGATTTTTCTTAACTAGTACAAATTTAACTAGCTATCCAGTAATAGATTTAGATAGCCTGTGTTCCGGATCATGTTTTGATCATCTTTGACCAATAAATTCCCATCCCTTTCTGATCTACACTGGCCCCTTGCAAATGATCTCATGTTTGTCTAAGAGGTGGTACATCAAACGCAAAAGTTAACATTGTATTGGAAACAGGGTGAGGTGGGAACCAACGTCACAGGATATTTCTTCATAAAAACAATTTAATAGAAGCTGACCCTAAACCTTGATTAACATGGAGGGTAGCTCTTAAATTCTTTGTTGTAATGCCAGACCACTACAGGTCAACAGAAACAAAGCAAACATCCCTACAGGCAAAAAATGAAAACTATCACTTCCAAGAACAAGAGCCATGCCTTAGTAAGAGAAAAATATTCTTTCATCATCATGGTTAAATAGTCTTGCCTTCAAGAAAAAAAATAATGTTTACCCTTGAGAAAATGTTTATTTAATAGCTCAACTAGTAAAGGAACTAGCATTGGAAAGTTTGCAAAGAAACTTGCCTTTGTATCCATGCTTACCATTGCTCACGAGACTGAAATCCATCCTTCTTCTCTGCCTGCCCCCACTTTGGGGAACAGCAAGAAGTATTACCCTTTTGGCCAAAGTACAGGGTGCTATTCAGTATTTCCAGATTCACAAAAGGGCAAGACTTTGTGCTATGAAAGAAGTGGCAATGTCTCTAGGAAGTCTTTAGGAATATCACAGTGAGAGACTTTAAAAGTAAGCATATGGAGCATGAGTATAAACATTAAAGCAGGAAAGCCTGGAATGTGAGAGATCCCCGTAGAGGGTCATCTACTTGTGAAGAGCTAAGGCTTAGGGAGTCTTTCCTTTGAGATGGAAGAGAAAATTGAGTTAGCTAGACTTGTAGTCTTTGTTTTTTTCTATATTATAATATCTCTCTAAATTGTCCTAACCCTTCAGTAAAGAACTTTGCACGTGTCTATGAAATGTGATGGGTAAGACTTTTGGATACTGAAATAACAAGGCTCACCCCATTTCCTCCCAGACTTGAACGTAGAAGGGAATTGTGCCCCTCAGGTGGCTCTGAATCACAGACATCAGTTAGTAATGATTCTGGATCCTGCAATCCTATTCTGCGGGCAACAACCTATGAATGGTCCCAAGCCTGCTGGAGGCAGCTTTTGCAACAGGGCCTCACTGACCTCCAGGCTACATCCCCAAAGATCAAAATCCAGCTTTTAAAGTGCACAGTGTGCGGGCCGGGCGCGGTGGCTCAGGCCTGTAATCCCAGCACTTTGGGAGGCCGAGGCGGGCGGATCACGAGGTCAGGAGATCGAGACCATCCTGGCTAACACGGTGAAACCCCGTCTCTACTAAAAATACAAAAAATTAGCCGGGCGCGGTGGCGGGCGCCTGTAGTCCCAGCTACTCGGGGGAGGGGGCTGAGGCAGGAGAATGGCGTGAACCCGGGAGGCGGAGCTTGCAGTGAGCCGAGACTGCGCCACTGCACTCCAGCCTGGGCGACAGAGCAAGACTCCGTCTCAAAAAATAAAAAAAAAAAAATTAAAAAAAAAAAAAATAAATAAAATAAAGTGCACAGTGTGCTTATTATTGTTGTAATCCTTTCTGCCCCTGTTTGCCATTACATTCATTTGTGCCAACACTGGGTGTGCAAAGTGGTGAAAACCAGAAATGATGGGCAGCAAATGCCCCATTTTCCAATAGGAGATACTTTAAGGAACCATTTGCCCTTTGCCAGGAAGAAAATGACTTTCTGGAATACTTCTTATCGGTTCTCTGAGATAGTTCATTTAATTGCCTCATGTAAATCTGTGTGTATGTGTGTGCACATGTGTGTTTTACAGAGAAAGCATAGATTAATGAAGGAAATGATTAAGAAAAAGAAGACAACAAAAAGCTAACATTTACTATCTTTTTAGGTGCCTTATTTATATTAGCTGATTTAATGGTCATCTCAAACAATCACTAGTATGCCCATTTGAAAGACAAAACGAAAAAGGCTCAGACATATTAGATAATGTGCCAAAATTCATATGACTACTCAAGGCAAATGCACGATTTAAACTGAGTTCTGAGTCCGCACCCTTTGCTATTTTCCAAAACTGCATGAATGTGTTTTGTAAACCATAGATATAAAATATTCCATGAAGGTGGGCTCTGCTGAACATATCTTTGGAGAGTTTTTCAGGAAACTGAGAAGAGAGATTTGGAGCTAGCCTAAGGGATTAAATGATTTCTGACAGACATACAACAACCCCAGCCTCCCTACAGATTAAGGAAGTGCTTGACCTCCATAGCAAGTTCCAGATCATGACCAGTTTTCCCTCAAGCAAACCAATCCTCACTAAAAGAACTCCAGGGGCTTATCAGGTGACCTAAAATTTCTAACCCAGGACAGAAAAAGTCAGCAAAATCTAGGGCCAGAGGCAGGTATGAGAATGTCTAGGGCAGTATTGTTACCAGATCTTTTCCCTAGGCACTGAGAGTGTCACACAACTCTGCAGTTAACAATATTTAACTACTATCTACCAGGGTTCTGGGGATCATTAACATACAAATAATTGTTCACATTTTCTTGTCAACAGCAAATGGTGAAAACCAGAAATGAAGGGAAACAAGAAGACAATGAACAGGGTTTCTAAATAAAGGTGTGGGGGATGCGGAGGTGGGAGTGGGATGGGCGGCCAGCAGTCACAGGAGAAGCCAAGGAGGCACAGAGGCATTTTCTCTATTTCCCAGTGTACAACTTAAGACGTCAACAAAAAAACTGCCCATTATCCCCAGAATCTCTGCTCTACTCACAGTCTAACTTTCCACAGGCTGAGGCCTGAGATCAGGAGGTTATTAAGGAAAAGTGATGTTTACAGATCAAGCCTCCACACCAGTCTGGAAAGTAGTTCAGGAGGTTGTTGTCCCCAATGGTTCCAAGAGAAAAATTATAGATCCCTAGAGTTTAATGTTCTTGAAAAAATCCATGAAGGTATTATGAAATACACATGCCATAAAATGCTTCACCTGACCTCAAGGCTCCAGTTAGTTATGATATTTGTTGAGTGGTTACTATGTGCCAGGCATTCTGCTAGATGCTTTGTGTGCTACATAAAAATATATCATCTTCACCAGAAAACCTCAAGTGGGTATTAACGATTCTCATTTTATAGATCAGCAAACTGAGTCTCAGAAAGCTTAAGAACAGAGCAAAGAACCAATCAGTGGTGCAAATAAGTTTCAATCCCAGGTTAGTTTTAATCCAAAGCCAGCACAAGTTCCATTAAATCAACAACTTCTTGAGTACGTGTGTGGCATGGGCAGGGGAGGGTATGAAACAGCAGGAATTATCTTTAAGTTTTGCATTAAAACAAACCTTTAAGCCTAAGATATTAATAAAGGCATCTATAGTTGTGCATTTTCAAGCAGCAGTGGTCAGACCAAAAGAATTCTTTAGGAACAGCAAAGAATTATCCTGATGGCCCTGGACATGAGGCCAGCCAGGTGTGGGGGCTGAATCTCTTAAAGCATTTCAGCTGCACCCAGAAGGCAAAGAGCCAAGTATTTGTACACAGAGCAAAATATATCTTTTCTCTCCAATGCCTCTGTCCCAACACTGATCAGGAAGTTGACACCAGCTAATTTCCTAGGGAAGGTAACGAGCTCACTCCAGGACACTTTGAGCCCTTTCCACCCAGATGCTTGGGGCTTCCCTGACTGAGTAGTCCTCCCACTCCACCTGTTTGCTCTCATGAATCAATAGAGTTCATGGTTATATGTTCAGGGTTATGGACTCAGATGGCCCAGCCACCTCATATTCCTATCCTGGATGACGGTGTTCCAAGCACATCCCAGAATAAGTATCTTGAGGAGCACTTGTCCTCTTCTCATTTGTGGTCCTGATGTAACCGAAGGAGTCAGAAGTCCTTTCAGAGATGAACTTGCCTTATCTTGCATTTGCTCTAATCACACTGGACTTTGATTCCCAAACGTACCTCACAGTTTTCAATTCCTCGGCCTTTGTGCGCACCATTTCTTTCCGCTGAGTGACCAAATTCTCTGTCTCCATTGAATAAAATGCAAATACATTTTCCTTTTCAGCATCAAACCATCAGTCTTACTATGACAAACGCTGGATTAGAGAACTTGGCTTGGACCTGTGACCAAGCCTAGACCTTGCTATCCACCCAAGGGGATAGTTAGATACTGCTCCAGAAAACTGCAATCAAATAAAATAAAAAATGCAGAAACTGGAAGTCTGTTATTATAGTCTGTGGTGGGGATAAATAAAATGATTACATTTTTAAATTGGATTTTCTCTGATAACCAGAACTAGGGATCCTTTTTGAGTGACTTCTTTCATTTCTATCAAACCTAGAAATGTGACAGCTTTAGGTCTGCTTCCTAATTTATGTACAATTTTGCTCATGAATCTATATGTAAGATTTTTACCAGAAAATTTATTATTTTGACCTGTTATTGCTTCATAACCTTAATATTTTTAGAATTAATATCTAGGAAAAACGTATAATTGTGATATCATGGGTGAGTGCTACACTAAATGCCATACTTAAAAGTTTAAAGTAATAGCAGTTAACATTTATTTAGCATTCACTATTACGCCATGTACTGTTTTATACACTTTATACAGATTCATTAATTAATCCTATTGATTAATTTATTCCTATTCATTAATTCACTTATTGCCTAAGATTGGTACTAAATTATCCCCACGTGATAGCTCGGCACAGAGAGGTCAAATGCATTTCCCAAGGACATGCACAGTCCGACCTCAGAGTTCTTATTCTCAACACTACGTGACGTATGTCTTCAATTTTCAAATTCTCCAACACTAAATTATAATTTATTTTGCTTCTGCTAGCATGCCATAAAATCCAATGATGCCCAAAGAAGTATTAGTAACAATAAGCACAGTTTAAATAAAGTTTGCTTATTCATTCATTCTCACATCAGTTAACATCTATCCACTGTCTACTATAGAGTGGCCAGTCTGTGCCAGGTATACAAGAGACAAAAATGAGTAAAACAGAGTCCTGGTTTCAAGGAATTCAGTTAAGTAGTAGAACGCTAAGAAGTCTGAGGTCGCTAACCCATTGCTTTATGCTTCTTGCTCTCGGCAACATTTTCCTGCCTTCCACCTTCTCTGGCCCTTCTGACTTTAACATCACTCTAGGCAACTTGGTCATTTCACATTGTTAGCCATGCTGAAAAACCAAACTTTACATAAGAAGAACACAATTACTACCATACTATCAATTTCAAGGCAAATTCTCATCTAATTTACACTTATTTATTTACATGCCATGTTCATTGCAGCTTGATTTGCATTGAGTATTCTATTCACAATAACTTGCAAGGGAGGCATCATTATCCACTACTTTTCAAAGCAGGAATCTTGGGGAAGCTCAGGTAAGTTAGGTGGCTTTCCCAGGTCACAAGCAGCAGCGCCAGAAGTTATCTGACTGTAAAATCCAAACTCTTTCCACCAGACTGTGGTGCCTCTTCTTCATATATCCTTTACGTATCTGGTCTTTTTTTCCTGGGTGTGGTTGGGCTCTGAATGTCTGCTTCCCTTCATTCCTTGGTAAGTGGTTTGAGCAAAGTTCTATGATACCACATACATAACACTGGACTCAACCGACCACAGAGGCAACTGGAAGGTTTTCTTCGCCTGCTTTCCTGTTAAGGGTGGAGGGAGCCTGAAGCAGCCAGAGCCCTTCTTCTCTCATCTGACCCCACCCTGACCTCCTTGGAGATGTCCAGAGCCAAACCCACTTCCCAAGCATCAAGCAGCCTCAGCCAAAACCTGTGTCTATGTAAGGAGCATGTGTCTGTATCTTCCTTTTTTCAGGCTGCTATAATAAAGGACTATAAACTGGAGGGCTTATAAACAACAGAAATTTATTTCTCACAGTTCTGGAGGCTGGGAAGTTCAAGATTAAGGCACCAACAGATTTGGTGTCAGGTGAGGGCCTGCCTTCTCATTCATAGATGATGCCTTCTGGCATTGTCCTCACATGGCACAAGGGACAAATGAATGCCTTTGGGTCTTACTTATGTGGGCACTAATATCATTATGAGGGCTCCTATCTCATGACCTAATCACTTCCCAAAACCCCCATCTTCTAATACCATCACCTTCAGGGTTAGGATTTTAATATACAAATTTTCAAACCATAGTAGTTTCTATGTGTACAAGAAGGGAGATTGGCTATACGAAAATTCTTTTGCCCCCGGGATGGGGTATGCTCTACATCCTCTCAGCTCTTGAGCAGTAGCCCTGGCTTGCTCCCCCATCTTTCCTACCTCTTCACAGAACATACCCATCACTGTCACTCTCTCCTTGAGAGGCTGGGACCAGGAAGATCGTGTGAGGCCAACCCACCACACCTGCTTCCCCTATCAGGTATAGTAAAGTGGACTGGCTTTCCTTTTTATTGGTTTCTTACTACAAATTTTCCTGTCATTTCCTATTTCGACCTCTTTTATCTAAGCCTGGAATGCAGTCAGCACATGTCATCCTTATTCAAATTTCGTACTTCAATATGAAATGATTGGGCTGTTGAATTCAGTCTTTCAGACATGTTCTTAACAGTACGTAGCCTACTAATACAGCTGAAAGCATTGGCGTCTAGCCCTGGACATCCAAAATGGAAGACTGCTTCCATTCAAGAGAAAGGAGACCACTCATTGCACAAAGAGTAGAGAACGACCCTGTTATACCTTATCTTGAATCTGAATTAACACTGAATTCTGCTTTTCACCATGACCTGAGTCTCATTTTGCAGGACTCAGGCTTTCAGACATGTACTGACACACTGTTTCTTTTTGTGAGTCTGTGCTTTGCTACACATGCAAGCACACACACACACCCCTACCTTCTCTACAAT
The DNA here is from genome assembly GCF_000001405.40 of Homo sapiens. Classification (NCBI taxonomy): domain Eukaryota; kingdom Metazoa; phylum Chordata; class Mammalia; order Primates; family Hominidae; genus Homo; species Homo sapiens. Next base: position 13,857,197 of record NC_000009.12, read on the forward strand.
ACCTGTATATTGAGTAAAAGAATACCAGTAATAAGTAGCCACAACATTTCTTAAGTGCATGTGAGTTTGTAAGGAACTTTACCTGTATCATCTCAACAAACCCTCAAAGTGACATAAGTATCCCCTTAAAAAAAGGAAGAATTCGTTCCTTAACAAGGTCAAATAACCTGCCAGTGTAACAAAGACATGTACCAAAAAAAGAGCTGGGAATGGGCATTTCAATATAAACCTGTGCTTTTGACTACCACAGTGCACTGCCAGTCAAGCTACGAGCAGAATTACTTGCAAATGGAAAGTATAGTGTAAAAGCACAAGGGAATCAACCTTTATTGAGGACCTACTATGCCTCTGATACTGTATTTAACATTGTATATGCTTCAAACAATTTAAGCCTGCAGGATCAGGTATTAAGAGTATTCATGTGCCCAATGCTCATAACATTTGTAATATATTAATAAGAGGATGTTTGGAGTTCATACTCATGATGAAGAATGCTGTGACTAATTTCAAAGCTGATGTTAGGATTAGAAAGTTTATTGGGTAGAAGGCTTTCTCTGCTCCTGTATTTCTTCCACATTGACCTCTGGGATTCTGTGCTAAGATTCAGTCACATGAGGCAGGCTTCCCCTTGTTATTTCTGTAATGAATGACTAAATTATGAATGTTTTTAGAATATGCCTCATCTCAACAACTAGTATATTGTCTAAAACTAAAATGAGCTCAAATAAATATTAGATAAATAAATGAGTGAATATGTATTTCTGGTAAGTATTAACATGTTCAATCCCAACACCTTTGTGCAAGTTTTTGTTAAATGGGTCCCTTGATTGCCTGTATCAAATTCATCTCACACACTTGTTAAAATCAATTCATCAGCACCTCCCAGACCTCTTGAATCAGTCTCTGAATTGAATCTCAAAGGCCTACCTTTTAATAAGGCGTAGCATATAAATTGTTTAAATTTATATGCTAGAAGCATATAAAATTTCCAAAGCATATAAAATTTGTGACCTGGACTGTGGAGCAAATCAACTTAGTAAACAAATTTTCTTTGGGAAATACAGGCCTGGGGTAAGGCTAGGGCCTCAAGCTTTTGGAAGAATATTTTAAAAGGGTAAAGGTGAGCTGGAAATTGAACTACATCAACATCTAACCTGTGCCCAAGCTGGTCAACAATTTGGAAATTAGTGAATTGCCTTGATTTATTCTTAATTCTTTTTCAACCCTAATTAACATTTATTTGACTTTTAAATTAATTGTAATTTTATTAAAGGAATAAATATAATTTAAAATATCAAATTGTGCTAATAGGCTTAGCAATAAAAACAGTCCCCTCTGCTTCCTTTCTTACATATCCTCCTCCCTGAAGGTAACCACTTTTAACTTTTTTAAATATTTGCTTAAGAATTTACCCTTATTTATCTAAAACTACATGTATTTACTCCCATATCATAATTCATCACATTTAGATTTTCTTTTTATCTGTGTTGATAAATTTTTATGTATTTTGATAAATGAGAATTTTAGCTCTCTTACACTCACTCTTCTCTACCATATGGCTATAACACAGTATCTTAATTATTAGATAAGGCAAATATTATTCATTGCTCAGTCAAGTGATACATACTATGGTTACACACCCTTTATCACACACCTTTTTTTCCTGGTGTTAAGAGTTCCATCATTTTTTTTAAATTCTATTTGTTTATTCACATCTCTAATTAAACCTCTTTTCATCTACCAAACTTTTTGAAATATGCCCCTTAATCGCTTTTGAACACGATTAAGCTCATTAGATAATTTATCATTTCTCTTTTAATGGATATAATCCTATTTGAATTTTCCACTCGACTGCTCCAGTCTATATTTAATACATTGCTCTTTTGAGTTTCACTTTTGTTACCTGGGAATTTCTCTTTGCAAATTTTCTTTCCTTCACATCTGTATTAGATCCTGGTTCTGGTATATTTGTCTTTCTCGATTTACTCTTATCTTACTAGAAAACATCTTCCAGCAACTTGCTGAAAAAAAGTGCATTGGAATGAAAATTTTTGAGACCTCACATATCTGAGAATGCCTTTTGTCATTACATTAGACTTGTAATTGTTATGAGTAGAAGATTATGGATTGAAGATCACTTCCTTCAAAATTTCAAAGGCACCATTGTTATCTACTTTTCAACAAAGTTGTTGGGAAGCCAACTGCCATTCTCACAGTATCCTGAAAACCTGATCCATTTTATGTTTGAATCCTTTTTTTCGATTTTCTATTCTTGGAAGATTTTTTAAGCTTGTTTTTATTGTGAATGTCTTGGTGTCAGTACTCAGTGGGCCCCATTCATTTGAAGATATTTGTCCTTTGGTTCTCTTGTTTTGTTTCTTTGCTCATTTTTCTCTTACTTCTCTGCTTATTTTTTCATAATTTCTACTAGATCTATCCTCTAATTTCCTTATTCTCAGTCTCTTTTTGTCCGTCTATTTGTTTTATTTCTGAATAACATTATTATCCAAAGTTTAGTGATTTTTAAAATTTTAAGCTATTATATTTTTAATTCCTAAAAGTTCCAACTCATTCTCAGATTATCCTTTTTAAAAATACCGTGTTCCAGAGTTCAGATATCTCCTAGTTTTCTCAAAGATAAACTATGTATTTCTTTTTAAAATTTTTTCTTATGTTTGGAGATTTTTAAGAGATGGAGTTAGAAAGTTCCTTATTTCGAAATTTTGAAACCAGATGTCTTGAATCTGATTTTAAGAAATTTTACCTTAATTACAAATGGTTCCCAATCATTGTTCACTAATATAGTCACCTAAAAAGCTCAAGGACATCATTGGGCCTTATCTCAGATGTATCAAATCAGAAATCTCATAGGGGAAGATCCCGAAATCCGTTTTGTTTTGTTTGTGTCCCAGATGACTACAAGGCCAAGTTGGCAAATTGCTACATGGATATTTTGTTGTGTTCTTAACCCTTCTCATGTGATAGTGACTAAACCTTTTTATCTGTTTCTCACAGCAATATTCCCTCCAGACTAGCTTGTTCGCAATTTGGAACAGAAGGGAAGGATTGCAGGGATGTCAAAGGTCTATTGCATCACTTTGTTATTGAATGTACCCATGAAACTGCACGTCTCCTTTGCCTTACATTCTATTTGCCATAGGCCAGAAGTAAAGGTCTTCATCTAGTATGACTACATTTTATTTTTCTTTGTCCAGCGTCATCCAGTGCCACTCTTTTCCCTTTTATCCATAACGTTCCTTTGCACACGAATGAATATATATTCTGTATTCCAACCACAGCGATCGCCCTGCCTTCATTCTACCATAACGCATGGTATCATGTCTCCTTGTCTTTCCACATACTGCAACAATAAATAGATTACTATTCCTTGTGCTGCATCTTTCTAAAAAGTCCAGAATAATATGTGGGATAGATTAGGTGAAGGAGCTTCAATGTACATGGACCCCGTTTTCTGTTTGTTATATCCCCTCAACCCACACACACAGATCTCCAGCTTTGTTCATTCGGTTCTAATATGACACTCCCCAAAAATGTCCGCCTCTTTATCACAGTCACCTGGAGTTACAGCCGTTAAGAAAAACATGCTTGAAATCAATGTTTCTTATGAGAGACTAACGCTAATAAAACTGTACAACAACCAATTTTATTCTCTCCCCAGCCTTGCAACTGCTGGGGAAATTAAGACATTATAGTTATTAGTCTGATCTCGAAACTCCGTTATAAATAAAATGTGACAGCAGATTTAATTGTTGAGAATCAGATCCTTAGTTCCTTAGAACAATACTCTACCAGGAAATTTGCTGGAAAAACTAAGTGCTTTTATGGCAAATAGATCTGTCCTGCCTCCTTCTCATTGCAAACAGAGTCGAGTATGCATGTAACCTATTGTCAGCCCCTCACCCACTCACCAGGCAAAATTCCAGGGACATGAAGTCAAAGTTGTCATCCTATGATACACAACTGAATTACACTTTCCTTTGCCACACATAAAAGGGGGCAAAGGTGGAAAATAGGCTGGGCTTAGAAATAAAAAAGGACACTGTCATTTTGTAGGGAATTTGAGTTAAAATAGGGTCAAAATGAAATGACACTTTCAACGACCAATTCAGAGTCAATGAAAATACCAGATAGTGTTTGCAAAGCCACGGCCTCTTGAAAAGCATTCTAAGGAAATTGCTTAAAGTGTCTATATGTGCATAATTGTTTATTCTCAGAACTATGGGCCAGTTCTCTCTGAGCACATACTCAAATCACAGCACACAGTAACATATAGGCCTGGGGGCAGTCAAAAACAAAACATGCAGTTCTCTTTGTAGGTCAAATTCCAAAGCTAAGAACTTTGGGAATATGTCTAAATGTTCCCCCCCTTGAGAATAGAGGCCTTAGGAGGACATGGTCATATAACCTAGGGGTCATTTACAGAAATACCCCAGGACCCTGTAGGAGTTAAAAAGACCACCTAAGAGAGCCTTGAAGATGAAGTTTCCCATAAATGGGGGATTAATGAATTTGGAAGACAATGAAGTGCAAAGAGATGAGTCAACCTTTGAGCCATAACTTGAATAAAGGGGTAAACAATTATTAGGAAGTGAGCTCCAGATTGTTTGTCCACTTGGGTTCACCATCTCTGGTGCAGATGTGGCCCCTTCCCTAATGTGATTACTAACAGGTAATCCAGCACCAGGCAAGTGTGAGTTTCTGACAATTTGCAGAATTCTTACCAAGCAGGAACTAGAAATCACATGGGAATTTGAGTGAGACCTGGCTATTGAGGACCTAAATAAATCCTTATGGAATCAAATCAATAATATATATATGCGTATCTAAATTTTCATATTAATAATTAATTTGCCTATATTTGCAAATTGTATAACATAAGAAGCTATAAAATGTATATAAAAATTAGTGTTTATAACATTTGTAACACTGTCCCATTTAATCCTCACTTCCATGTAGTTCCATTTTACAGATGGGAAAGTTGAGGCCCAGGAAAGGTTAAAAGGAATGATCTGAGATCCCGTAGCTGAGACCTGAGATTCCAAATAAGTTTTTAATCTCAAAATCAAAGTGGTTTTTTTAATCAAGGAAGAAAAATTCTATTTGAACCAATTCTAAGTTTTTCCATGCTTTTTATTACTTATACCTTCACCTCACATCTTTTCACATGAAAATAATTTAACTATTTAAATAATTTAAGTATTTAGGGCTAAGGGAGACCATCCACATTCCCAAATATCACACTACTAACACTGTGTTAGAGCCATCTGCAAAAAAATGGCCAATGTTATGAACTGAGTCTTCATCTTTTACTGAATGTCAAGTGTTAAATTCCGTGAGAAGCGGCATCTTACAGAATGCACAGCATTTTCAGCATTTCCCCATTATGGATTCCAAGTCTCTGCATTAATGCAAACATAGGGTCTGATATCCTTTAATATTAAATCCCCACTCTAGCCATCTCTAACAGAAAGTGGCCTTTGGGTGCCTGCCTGAAATAAATGGGGCTGGACAGGCACATTGGTCTTTTCTGGCACCCCAGAAACCAGAGATATTCCTCCCACAGTGATTTTGTGTGCAGCACTGAGTGCATGAATCTTGGATGTTGTTTCAAAAGGAACCATGAGCCATTTATTCTTAGCCTGAAATTGGCAGGCTTTACATTTTGGAGAATTTTTAATAGGACTAGCAGAGGAACCAACATTAGGGATTATTTTCTCAGTGTGGGGTTAGATGTGTAATGCATATGTTTGCCCTGAGGACCCCAAGCCACATACTGTAAAACTCTGTTAAAATGCCTTTCTCTGCAACTATTAACATTTTCCTGTGCACATTGTTCATTTATAATAGTCCCAGCCAAAAGTTTAGAAAGCTATGTTCCCCCATAGACCATTATTTTTATGCTAATTAATTAGCAAAACCAATATCTCAGCTATGAGATTCCAAGCTCTAGCTACTCAGTTTGGCTGAAATCTGTTTTTCTAATTATTGACTACTTTCTGCTACTTTAAGTCCGCCACCTAAGTTCTTGGACAGAGCTAGCTTCTGGGAGCAGGGGATGTCTCCAATGGCAACACAGTTCCACACTGAGTGGTGGAGTGGGAGGGAGGGATTGCAGCTGTTGGAGTCACTGTGGATTTGGGAGGAAGTAAGAGGAAGAAAGAGAGGAGATTTGTAGGACAGACTTAAAAAGGAAAAGACTAAGATCTTTTGACAAAATTTCAGTGAGGTGCAATTCTCTAAAGTTGCTAATACACTTCAACACTCTTAAAGGGAACATAGTATTAAAAACATATACAACAAGGAGATAATGAGTTAGACTCATCTGGAAAATAATTCTGTGTATATATTCTTGTGTTCTTAGGCTCTTGATTCTTTGATTTTATTTCTGAATTCCTGGAGCTGACTATATTTTTATTTCCAATTTGACAGGAATTTAGGCAGATTGTTTTCTCATTATTTCCCATATTTACAATTTACATTGCCTGTCTGATTGCTTACATTTGGGCATACAGATATACAGATATGAATATACACACATATAAATAGATACAAATAGATATAATCTCTCATGGATTTTCTATCTGATTATGATGGTTTTTATAAGGGTAAGAGGGAACAGAGCAGCTACTAATACTCTGAGCATAAACCATGCCTCATGGGCTATGTGTTCCATCTCATTCTAACTTTATAACAACCAAAGAAGAAAGAGTGATTATCCCTAGGTAACAGATGAGAATAATGAAGACTAGAGAGGTTACATATGTGACTAAGGTCCTAGTATGTGGTAGAGATAAGACTTGAATACAGATTTGTCTAGAAGAACACTGAGGCTCTTTCTCCTAAAACATGTTTCTTGGAAAAAGACTTGCACAACACGTGTATGCCTGCAGTTTGTTCTTAAAAGGAAAGTTCTCCTTTTAATTCCTTATTATGAACATTTACTTTTAACTCCTAAGACCACTCTCTGAGTGTGTACAAATGTATCATTGTCATAAGACATTTTTACACCTGTCAAATGGGAAAGGTCATTTCTTAAGAGCAGCCAGCTGTAAGTCAGGGGTTTTAAAATTAAAGAAGGAATTATGGGGCGTGACAGGCAATAAAGAAGGGGATTGTGTGGGAGAAACAAAACAGTTTGAAAAAGAAGAATCAGAGACCAAAGTTATATTTGGGGGATAGGAGGCAGGGTTGGTGTTTGGTGGTTTGTTTCTTTTTTTGCTAAGGGCAATTTTTCTCAGGAATCTATCCCACCCTTCAATATTTGGTGCCTTTCTAGGCACACATTAAGATCAGCGATTCCCTAAGTTCACAATATAGCGCTACAGCAACTAATTCTCCAATAATCTGATAATTTACTCTGTTAGTAATAATAACCAGCAAGGACTAAAGAGCTTAACTCCTTATTTTCCTCACTTCCAGATGATTTCCTTAGCTTTCAATAGAACCTTGAATGCTTTTGTCAGGAAAAATAATTCAACTGGCACCCCTTGAGGAATCGTGGAGGAAATTTTGCCATCATTTGCATTTTGAGTATTTCCCGAATTTTAATTATCCGTGATTGAACCACTAGTATGATTTCACCATCTTATATTACAGGTTTAGTATGATATACTATTTTTTATATTGACCCCTACTTTTACTGATATAGTTTTGGTTCTATTTGTTTTTTAGATGATAGCTGAGTGGTTTATTGAATTGTCTCAGCTTGGAGGAGTAAAAACATGTTATTGTTTTATTTTTCTCGAATCATTGCCCCTGGTACTATGTCAAATCTCTCTAACCCCTGAAAAAAGTATTGAATCCCGTCTTGGGCAGATTTCAAAAATCTCTCAGGGGCTTTTGGTTATTAAAGTTGCAATTGTCCATTTTCAGTTTTTAGTTATGAGCCAGTATAAAATTTCTTTCTCTACTCCATTGAAACATATATATTCAACCACTGCAGCCCAGGTTACTGGCATCAGACTTGAAGAAGGAGAGGGCAAAATTGACTCTTACTCTTTTCCCTAATCCTTGACCTTGGAATGCAGGCTATCTTATCTGTTCCATCCTCCTCTCTACATTTTTAAGGCCCCATTCTGTAGACATCCTCTTGGAGTTAACAGTCTCTGTTCTCTGGTAGCTGTGAGTCTTTTTGTGCGGGCACCAAGCAACTCTAGGCTCAATCTCTTCCAAATATCTCCAGTTCTGTTCCCCATCAAAACACCATATGACGCCTGTAATCCCAGCACTTTGGGAGGCCGAGGCAGGCGGATCACGAGGTCAGGAGATCAAGACCATCCTGGCTAACACAGTGAAACCCCGTCTCTACTAAAAAATACAAAAAATTAGCCAGGCGTGGTGGCGGGTGCCTGTAGTCCCAGTTACTCAGGAGGCTGAGGGGGAGAATGGCGTGAACCTGGCAGGCGGAGGTTGCAGTGAGCCGAGATCGCGCCACTGCACTCCAGCCTAGGCAACAGAGCGAGACTCCATCTCAAAAAACAGAAACAAAAACAAAAACAAAAACAAAAAAAACATATGACATCCTTTATTTTAACACTTCAGTGGTTTTTAGTATATTCACTCTATTGTATAGTCATCACCACTATATGTTTTAAAAGAAAGTTTTATATCACAACTACAAACATTTTTTTAAAACGCATCATTTGCCCTAATTAGAAGGTAATAGAAGAAAATTACAATGAAAACAAAACTGTGTTATTCATTCTTTGTTACTAAATAGTGCTGCCCATTGAAGTCTTTGGGCTTGAGATATATTCTTATTGCTAAGGAGAGATGTCATTGAGGGCTACATTGATATTGAGCAAGTGAGATTTTCTCCATTCTTATGAATCATCAAAAAGATTAAAGGTGAAAAAATGTTTTTCAAACGTGATTTCATAATTGAATTACTCAATGTCAAGTCCACTTAAAAATCACCAAAGACATGTGTTGTACACTTGAGGAAAACATTGTGTTGGGTATTTCCTGCTGTGTTTAGAGATGGCCCTCCTTTTTCCAGGATCCCTATGCTTTCCTCATTTTCCTTAGCCCTTTTCATGTTTGGATCTCTACAGTTACACCATTCTAGCCATAGCAAATGGCACGTGGGGAATAATTAAGGAACCCAGCCAACAAACAGAACTGAGGCCCCAGACATAGGGCCCCAGTTGAGTTGTCCCAGCATTTCCAGCCATTCCCACCACCCCAGCCAAGATCCAGTAATTACGGAGCAGAGGCGAGTGACCAATTTCACCATTCCTTAATTATCGACCCACAAACTTGTAAGTATAGTAAAATGGTTATTGCTTCTTGGCACTGGATTTGGGGATGATTTATTATACAAAATTAGATACCAAAACCAAAAATTCATAGGGTGACTATTTACCCATGTTTTCCCAGAACAGTCCCAGTATACACCTGTCGTCCCAACATAATTATGATTAGTGCTGGTTTCATTCACCCTTTAAGGCATCCCAGTTTGGATGACAGTTATATGTTCACTCTTCTAATATGCCATGTTCTGTACTCAAATTATGGTCTTGCCAAATGTCTAGTCTTCTAGTATCTTAAAGTTTGCATAACAGAGAGCCGAATGTTGCTTGCTTCTGAATTTGGACCACCAGTTGTGACTGAGCATACATATTGCTCTCAAGAAAAATTCAGAATTCTTTAAGTTTGCCTGAAAGAAAATAGATGCTTAAAATATATATTTATAAAAAGATTTCTCAACCGGTGACACTGAAAAGACCACATACCAAAATGTTATTTACATTGTGGTACCTAGTAACAGAAGAAACAGGTGTAAAGGAGAGAAAACAAAATTTTGTTGCCATGTTTCAATTTTCATTGCCACACATTATTGAAAGAACCCAAAGCAATAGACACTATTTTCAAGACTATCAGGCAAACTACGTGTTCAAAGACAAAGAAGGAAAATGTTGTTCACGTTTACTAAAAGCTGTTCCTTCTTCATTGCATCTATATAGCAAGCACAATTACATGTGTTATTTAATTTTCATGGCAAACCTGTGAGATAGGTACTACTATCAACCCCATTTTACAGATGAGGAAATGGAAGCTTGCAGAGTTAAGTAGTCTGCACAATCAATGCTGATAAATACAAGAGGCAGGATTTATACCCAGGCAGTCTGATTCCAGATCCTGTTCTCTTAGTCTTTAGCACTTACCGTCTCTCTATTCAAATATAACATAGAGAAATTAATTTGTCTGCATCAAATCAATTTGTAAGTATCATAAAATGCTAGATATGATATAATTTTGTGAAGAAAATGATTCTGTATTTTCTCATTATTTCCTTCTGGTGAATCTATTTCTCTTCTATTACAATCTGATCAGTCTTACAGGAAAGCAAAATCAAATATTACTGGGTACATTGTCTGTGGTAAATAACAATTTTAAGATGCTAAACCTACCAGTATTTAGCAATATTTCACTTAGATTATATACTAATTATACCTACATATTATGCTGCTTAGGATGTATATTATTTATAACAAGCCATTGTTGAAGAGTGATTAGTTCTACAAGGGCTGGTCCTTGGCTTGATATTTGTCAATTTTTTTTTCCTTTTCCTTTTAGCTGACATGTAATAAGTATACATTTTTATGGAATACAGAGTAAAGTTGCAATACATGTATAAAATGTATTATGATCTAATGAGGGTAATTAGCATATCTATCACTTCAAACATTTATCATGTCTTTGTGTTGGGAACTTCAAAATCTTTTCTTCTAGCTGTTTGAAAATATACAATAGATTATTAGTAACTATATTCAGCTTATATTGCTACAGAACACTAGAACTTATTCCTTTCATCTAGGTATAATTTTGTATCTGTTAACCAACTCCTCCTTATCTTCTTCTCTCCATTTTACCCTTTCCAGACTCTAATAATCACAATTTTACTCTCTACTTCTGAGCTCAACATTATTTTAGCTCCCACCTGAGTGAGAGCATGCAGTATTTATGTTTTTGGACCTGACTTATTTCACCTAACAGGATGTCCTCCTGACTCATCTATGTTGTTCCAAATGACAGGATTTCATTCTTATGGCTAAGTAGTATTCTATTGTGTATTTGTGTGCGTGTGTGTGTGTGTGTGTGTGTGTGTGTGTGTGTGTATGTAATGTATGTATGTATATGGCACATTGTCTTTACTCACTTAAGTTGATTCTATGTCTTGGCTATTATGAACAGTGCTGCAATAAACATGGAGGTGCAGATATCTCTTCAATATACTGATTTCCTTTCCTTTGGATAAATACCCAGTAGTGAGATAGCTAGATCATATGGTAGTGTTATTTTTAGTTTTTTGAGAAACTTCCAAACTGTTTTCCATAATAGCTGTACTAATTTACATTCACACCAACGACATATGAAAATTCCCTTTTCTCTGCGTCCTTTTCGGCATTTGTTATTTTTTTAAATAGTAGCCATACTAACTGGGGTAAGATGGTAGATTATTGTGGTTTTAATTTGAATTTTCCTGATGATTAGTGACGTTGGGCATGTCTTCTATACTTCTTGGTGGTTTTCCTGTCTTCTTTTGAGAAATCTCCTTTCAAATCCTTTGCCCATTTTTAAATCAGATTTGGTTTTTTTCTGCTGTTGAGTTTCTTGTATATTATGAATATTAGTGCCTAATTGGACAAATAAGTTAGAAATATTTCCTCCCATTCTACAGGTTGTCTCTTTACTCTGTTGATTGTTTCCTTTGCCATGCAGAAACTTTTTAGTTTCATATAGTCACATTTGTCTATTTTTGGTTTTGTTGCCTGTTCTTCTGAAGCCTTGCCCATGAAATCTTTGCCCAGAACAATGCCCTGATGTGTTCTCCCTATTTTTTTCTAGCAGTTTTATAGTTTTGGGTCTTATATTTGAGTCTTTATTTTGAGTTGATTTTCGCATATGGTGAAAGACAGGGGTCTAGTTTCATTCTTCTCTATGTGGATATCCAGTTTTCCTAGCACCATTTATTGAAGAAGGTATCCCTTTCCCAATGGATGTTCTTAGCATCTTTGTCAAAAATCAAGTTAGCTGTAAATACGCAAATTTATCTCTGGGTTCTGTATTCTGATCCTTTGGTTTATGTGTCTGTTTTTATACCAATACCAGGCTATTTTGGTTACTATGGCTTTGTGGTATATTTTGAAGTCAGATAATGTGATGCCTCCAGCTTTGTTCTTTTGCTCAGTGTCTCTTTTGGTTCCATATAAATTTTAGGATTTTTCTACTTCTCTAAGAAATGTTGTAGGTATTTTGATAAAGATTACATTGAATCTGTATATTTCTTTGGGTAGTATATTTTAATAATACTAATTCTTTTTGTGTTCTCTTCAATTTTTTCATCAATGTTCTAATACTTTCATCGTAGATATCTTTCACCCCTTGGTTAGATTTATTTCTAGATTTTTTTGTAGCTATTGTGGATTTTTTTTCAGTTGGTTTGCTATTGGTTTATAAAAACACTACTGATTTGTGTATATTGATTTTCTATCTCACAATTTTCATGAATATGTTTACTAGTACTGAGTTTTTGATGGAGTTTTTAGGATTGTCTATACGTAAGATAATGTCATCTATAAAGTGGGACAACTTGACTTTCTCTTTTCCAATTTGGATACCCTTTATTTCTTTCTCCTGCCTAATTGCTTTGGCTAAGAAGTTCAATACTACACTGACTAAGAGTCATGAAAGTGAACATCTTTGTCTTATTCCAGTCCTTAGAGGAAAAACTTTCAGCTTCTTCCTATTCAATATGAAGTTAGCTCTGGGTTTGTCATATATGGCCTTTATTATGTTATGTCTCTTCTATACCTAATTTGTTGAGAGTGTTTATCATAAATGGATGTTGAATTTTATCAAATACTTTTTCTGAATCTATTAAGATGATCATATGGTTTTTCTCTATTCTATTCTGTTGATGTGATGTGTCATATTTATTGGTTCACATATGTGGAAACTTCTTGCATCCATAGAATAAATCCCATGGTGTATTAGCTTTTGATGTGCTGTTGGATTAGATTTGCTGGTATTTTGATGAGGATTTTTTAGTTTATGTCCTTTTAGTTTGTTTTCTGTTGCTTTTAACAGAATACTCTGAAACTGGGTAATTTACAAATAAAATATTTATGTCTTACACTTATGGCAGTTGAGAAGTCCAAGGTCAAGGGGCTGCATCTGTTGAGAGGCTTCTTGCTGATGGGAGTTCTCTTCAGAGTTCCAAGGTGGCACAGGACGTTAAATGGCCAAGGATGCTGTATGTACTAGCTCAGGTCTTTCTTCCTCTTCTTATAAAGTCACTATTTCCACTCCTATGATAACCCATTCATCTATTAACCAATAGATCCATGAATTAATTTATTCATGAGTGCAGAATCCTCATGACCCAATCACCTCTTAAAGACGCCATCTATCAATACTGCCACATTGGAGATTAAGTTTTAACATCAGGCGGGGTGCGGTGGCTCACACCTGTAATCCGAGCCTTTTGGGAGGCTGAAGCAGGTGGATCACTTGAGTCCAGGAGTTCGAAGCCAGCATGGGCAACATGGCAAAACTCTGTCTCTACAAAAAATTTAGCCAGGTATGGTGTCATGCACCTGAAGTCCCAGCTAACTGGGAGGCTGAGGTGGGAGGATTGCTTGAGCCCTGTAAGTTGAGGCTTCAGTGAGTCAATCATGCCACTGCACTCTTGCCTGGCTACAGAGTGAGACCCTGTCTCAAATAAATAAATAAATAAGTTTTAACCTGAGTTTTGGAGGAGACAATGATGTAAACCGTTGTATACATTCATCTGAAATATGGGCCTGCCCTTTTCTTTTTTTGTTGTGTCCTTGTCTGGTTTTGTTATCAGGATAATTCTAGCCCTGTAGAATGAGTTAGAAAGAATTCCCACCTCTTCAGTTTTTTGAAATAGTTTGAGAAGAATTGGTGTTAGTTCTTCTTTAAAAGTTTGGTATACTTCACCAAGAAAGTCATCTCATCCTGGCCTTTTCCTCGTTGGGAGACTTTTTATTAACGATTCAATTTTGTTACTCATTATTGGCCTGTTCAGGTCTTCTATTACTTTCTGGTTTAGTCTTGGTAGATTATATGTGTCTAGGAATTTATCCATTTCTTCTGGATTTTTCAAGTTGTTGGTGTATACTTGTGTACATAATAGTCTCTAATGAGTCTTTGTATTTCCGTGATATCGGATGTTGTGTCTCCTTTTTTGTTCATGATTTTATTTGTGTATTCTGTTTCTTAATCTAATGAATAGTTTGCCAATTTTGGTCACCATTTCAAAAAAAAAAACAAGTTTTCATTTTTCTGATCTATTATTTTCTCTTTCCCTACATGCATACCTCACTTTATTGTATTTTGGTTTATTGCACCTCACAGATATTGTTTTTTGCAAATTGAATGTCTGTGACAACCCTGCATAAAGCAAGTCTATTGGCACCATACTTCCAATAGCATGTGCTCACTGCATGTTTCCATGTCAGCATTTTTTAGCTATGAACTTTTTAATTAAAATACATACACTTTTAGACATACTGCTATTGCACATTTAATAGACTACTATAATGTAAACATAACTTTTATATGCACTTGGAAGCCAAAAAACTGGTGACTCCCTTTATTGTGATATTCACCATATTGAGTGGTCTGGAACTAAACTGCAATATCTTTGAGGTATGCCTATATTTCAGTTTTAATTCTGCTCTGACCTTTATTATTTCTTTCCATCTAATAATTCTGGGTTTGGCTCCTTCTTGCTTTTCTAGTTTCTTGAGGTGCATTGTTAGGTTATTTGAAATCTTTCTGCTTTTTTGATGTAGGTGTTTACCACTATAAACTTCCCTCTTGGCACTGCTTTTGCTGTATCACATAGGTTTTGGTATGTTGTGTCTCTATTTTAAATTGTTTCAAGAAATTTTTGATTTTCAATTGTTTCATTGACCCATTGGTTATTGAGAAGCATGTTATTTAATTTACATGTATTTTTACAGTTTCCCAAAGTTTCTCTGGTTATTGATTTCTCGTTTTATTAAATTGTGGTCTGAGAAAAAACTTGATACAATTTCAACTTTTTTGAATTTGGTAAGGGTTGTTTTGTGGCCTACCATATGGTTTATACTGGACAATGTTCCTTGTGCTGATGAGAAGAATGTGTTTTCTGCAGTTGTTGGATGGAATGTTCTGTAAATGTCTATTACCTCTACCACGCAGTTTAAGTCTGATGTTTCTCTGTAGACTTTTTTGTATAGATTATCTGTCCAATGCTGAAAATGGGATAAGTTCTCAATTATTATTGCATTGGGGTCTATCTCTTTAGCCCTTATAATATTTGTGTTATGTATCTGGGTGCTCTTGTGTTAGGTGCAAATATATTTACAATTATTATATCCTCTTGATGAATTGATTTCTTTGTCATTGTATAATGACCTTTTTATTTTTCTTTACTTACAGTCTGTTGTGTCTGATGTAAATATAGCTACTCCTGTACACTTTTGGTTTCCATTAGCATGGAATGTCTTTTACCATCCCTTCACATTCATTCCATATGTATCTTTATAGGTGAAGTGCGTTTTTTTGTTTTTTTTTTTTTTTTTTGAGATGGAGTCACTCTGTCGCCCAGGCTGAAGTGCAGTGGCGCGATCTCGGCTCACTGCAAGCTTCGCCTCCCGGGTTCACGCCGTTCTCCTGCCTCAGCCTCCCGAGTAGCTGGGACTACAGGCGCCTGCCACTGCTCCTGGCTAATTTTTTTTTGTATTTTTAGTAGAGACGGGGTTTCACTGTGGTCTCAATCTCCTGACCTCGTGATCCGCCCGCCTCGGCCTCCCAAAGTGCTGGGATTACAGGCGTGAGCCACCGCGCCCAGGTGGTGAAGTGTGTTTCTTGTAGGCAGCAGTTAGTTTTTAGTTTTGTTTTGTTTTGAAATCTACTCAGCCAGTCTATACCTTTTAATTGGCAATTTAAACTGTTTACATTCAAGGTTGTTATTGACAGGTAAGGACTTAATCTTGTCATTCTGTTAATTTCTTCTATTATTTTGTGTATGTTTGTTTCTTTGTTCCTTTCTTCCTTTCTTTGTTCCTTTCTTCCTATCTTACTGTTAATCTTTGCGGTTGGGTAATTTTCTGTAGTAACAACATTTGATTCCTTTCCCTTTCTTATTTGCATATCTGCTCTGAGCTTTTTACAGGCATACCTTGAAGATAATACAGGTTTGGTTCTGGCCCACTGCAATAAAGGAAATGTCACAATAAAATGAGTCACATTAGATGTTTAGTTTCTCAGTACATATAAAAGTTATGTTGATCCTATCTTGTAGTCTATTAAGTGTGCGATAGCATTTTTTTAATTAAAAAATGCCAACAATCACCCGACCCATCAGTAAGTCATAATCAATTTGCTGGTCAAGGTATCTTGCCTCATTGTTGACAGCTATTGACTGATCAGGGTGGTGATTGCTAAAGATTGGGGTTGTTGTGGCAATTTATGAAAATAAGATACAAATTAAGTATGCTGCATCAATTCAGTCTTCTTTTCACAAAAGATTTCTCTTTAGCATGTGATGCTGTTTGATAACATTTTACCCATAGAACTGCCTTTAAAATTAAGGTTGATCCTCTCAAATCCTGCCTCTGATCTATCAGCTACGTTTATGTACTATTCTAAATTTGCTGTTGTCATTTCAACAGTGTTTACAGCATCTTCACCCATAGTAGATTCCATCTCAATAAACCATCTTTTTGCTCATCCACAAGAAGTAACTTCTCATCCATTCAAGTCGTATCATATTGCAACAATTCAGTCACATCCTCATGCTCTACTTCTACTTCTCTTGCTATTCCTATAACATCTTTAACATCAAAGTTACATCAAAGATCACTAATCACATACTACCATAACAGATAAAATAATAGAAGTTTGAAATATTGTGAGAATTACCAAAATATGGACAAGAGACACAAAGTGAGCACATGCTATTGGAAAAATGTTATCAATAGACTTGTTCAATGCAGAGTTGCCATAAACTTTCAATTTGTAAAAAGTGCATTATCTGTGAAGTACAATAAAATGAAGTATGCTTATACTTTTGTGTGATTTCACGATGGTAACTATCATCCTTTCACTTCCAGATGTAGAACTCCCTTAAGCATTCCTTGTAGGGCCAGTCTAATGGTGATGAATTTTCTCTGTTTTTGCCAGTCTGGAAAAGACTTTAGCTCTCCTTAATTTCTAAATGATAGTTTTCCTCGGTATAATATTCTTGGCTGACAGGCTTTTTGTTTGTTTGTGGTTTGTTTTTGAGACATGGTCTGGTCTGACTCTGTCACCCAGGCTATAATGCAGTGGCACAATCTCAGCTCACTTCAACCTCCACCTCCTGGGCTCAAGTGATCCTCCCAGCTCAGCCCCCTGAGTAGCTAGAACTAAAGCACACACCACCATGCCCAACTAATTTTTGTGTTTTTTGTAGAGACGGGGTTTTGCCATGTTGCCCAGACTGGTCTCAACTCCTGAGCTCAAACAATCTGCCCGCCTCAGCCTCCCAAAGTACTGGGATTACAGGCATGAGCCACCATGCCCAGTGTTTTTCTTTCTTTCTTTCAGAACTGTGAATATATTATTCCAATCTGTCCTATCCTATAAGGTTTCCACTGAGAAATCTTCTGTTAGTTTGATGTGAGTTCCCTCATATGAGATGCTGTTTTTAGAAATCGCTCCATCTTTGACTTTTAACAGGTTGACTATAATGTGCCCCAGAGAAGATTTGGGTTAAATTTATTTGGGGATACTTGAGCTTTCGGTATCTGGATATCTGTGTCTCTTCCCAAACTTGGGAAATTTTTAGTTATTTCACTAAATAGGTTTGCTATGTCTTCTTTGACCTTTGCTTCTGAAACTCCTGAAATACAAGTATTTGTTCACTTAATGGTATTCAGGATCCCAGGTACACATGGTCACCAGTGATGGCACATCTGGGGAGATCAGTCTTTGGGCCTCCAAGCAGCTTGTTTAGATGTTGGCACAGGTAGCAGTGAGCAAGGTAGGCAGGCAGGTTTTCAGGGACCTAGGCAGCATGCATGGCATCAAGTGGGGGAAGTTGTAGCAGTGAGCCAATCCTTGGGCCGCTGGGTGATTTTTTTGGCTATAATCCGTGTTAGTAATATCTGCAAGTTTCTCAGTGACCTAGGCTATGGTTGTTTGTGGAGGCCACCAGTGGGCCATCGGTGTGTTAGGGGGGGCAGAGTCACTGTGGGTGACAATGGCCCCAAGCAGCCAGACTGGGAAATGTACACTTCAGCTCCTTGTAACTGGGGACAGCTTTCCTGATGTGCTTGACTGCCTGTTATCCAGGGTGTAGGGCACTCCATGGGTTCAAGTGCCAGGGATGTAGCAGCACCACTGGGTCCAGCTGGTCTCATGACACTGCAGCCTTCTGGGTAGATGTGAGAGGATGCTAGCAGAACCTTGGGTATGTGGAAATGCAGTGGCTATGGGACCCAGGGCATGGTGTAGTCTGGTTGTTCCCCTGATCTCAAAATAGCGCTATGCTACAACAGCCTCTGACCTGGGCAGGTTAGAGGGGCCCCACGACAAATTTCCTCTCTGGAATAATGCAATTGTGTAGACTCAAGGCACCTTCCTATCCCACTGCACATGTCTGGTAGAAATACAGACTTCTGTGGATCTCCTGCTTACCTTTCCCCCATAGTAGGGAGTCCCCCCCTTGACTTGGAACCAATCCTGGCCAGCTGCTTCACTTCCCTTTATATGCTGCTCTCAAGTTTCTGTGCCTCAAAGGGTCTTTGTCATTTCTTTCCTGTATTCTAGTATTCTCTCTTAGATGCTCTAGACATGTGGTTATTTATGTTTTGCTCCTTCTCTGTGAAGGAGGTAAGCACTGGGCACCTGTAGTCAGCCTCTTGATCTCCAATTTTTTTTAACAGCAACTTAACTGATAGGATATTCTCCTCATATTGTCTAGGACACTGAAAGTGATACAAAAGTTATATTTGAGGCCGGGTGCAGTGGCTCATGCCTTTAATCCCAGCACTTTGGGAGGCTCAGGTGGGCAGATCATCTGAGGTCAGGAGTTTGAGACCAGGCTGGCCAACAAGGTGAAACCCCGCCTCTACTAAAAATACAAAAATTAACTGGGCGTGAAGGTGCATGCCTGTAATCCCAGCTACTTGGGAGGCTGAGGCAGGGGAATCCCTTGAACTGGGAGGCAGAGGTTGTAGTGAGCTGAGATTGTGCCACTGCACTCTAGCCAGGACAACACACAGAGAGACTCCATTTCAAAAATGTATGTATATTTGAGTCTTAAAATAACAGAGATAGAAGAGTGAGAAATTATAAGGCAAGGCCTCAAGAAATTGCATAGTTGAAAGAAAATATATTTGTCCATATACAAATTGGTTAAGTATAGCCCACCTCAGTGGAAGGTGGTATGTCTAGAATTACTGGAAAAAGTGCTTATTAGTAATTTACAGGAAGAAAAACAGCCTTCGTGTCTCTCAACATTAGGAAGAAAGAGTTCATCTTCAAACCTGTCCACCCCAAATCAGGACATCACTCTTCCCAAGAAAAAGAACCAAATACAGAAGTATACATCCCTTTTCATTGCTGTAACATGGGACAGGACTCTCTTTTGGCCAGAACAAAAAGGCAGAACACAGAGGACTTGCATTAGAGGCAGAGAGATAATGTCAGGCTGTGCAGATAGTAAAAGAAGCCAGACATTCTGTAGAGTAACACAGCTGAATAACAACAGTGATATTAAAATAGAGAGCCTTCTATGGCCATGAACAGTACTAAGTGCTTGAAATATAATAATCCATTAAATCCTTTTAACAACCCTAGGTGTTAACGATCCTTTCTGTCCCCATTTTATAGATTAAAAAACTGAGATATGGGAAAGTTAAGTAAATTGCCTAAAATCAGAGAGCCAGGATTTGGTCTAGATAGTCTGTGCTCATAACCACAGCATTATGCTAAACAAAGAACAGAGATTTCTCTAGGAAAGAACAAAGCTATTATTTTACCTTATATAAGGTTATTTTCTATTTAATCCAAATTCATGGGATGAGGCATAAAGAAGATGGAGGGGGAGATTAGAAATAAATATCAGGACCTTAGAGAACCATATCTGTAATGCATTCTGTAGGGTTACTTTTACGTACACAATATTTTGTGTGATCCATGATATGGACCCTTCTCTCTGGCTGTGTTCTGTATTTCAGAAAGTGATTCAGAAAGACCTCTAAGTCATAATGATTCCAAGCTTAATTCAAGCCAACCATCCAGTATGGTTTGCTTTTAAGTTCAGATGGGCAAACTGTATTAAGATGATGGGGAGGAGAGGAGGGAAATTATTTTATTCATTGTCGTGATAGATATAATTAAGTTGTAAATAACTCAGAAGTACCAAGGGAGAACTGCTGCAATCCTAAATAATGATTAAACCAAGCCTAAAAGAGACCAAAAAGAATCAGGCTTTCTGAACAGAACAGAAGGCTACACAGAAACTGTCTTTAAATGTGAGAGCAAACATATACATAAACTGGTGACATTCAACTTCAGGATGAATTCCTTACTCCAGATTTTGTAAAGCACAGAAATGCAGTGACTTCGTATTTTTAATTTTTTAAAGAAAAAAATACATAGCCCTGGAGTGATTTTAATGCATTCTTTCTCTGAGACTGGGACTTGATTAGATGGCAATTCAAGGTCCTGCAAATGCTGATCATGATGGAACCTAACTCCTCTACATATAGCCACAGCAAATGTTGGCAGGCACTCTGATGGTAGGCACTGCTGTTCCATTGCTCCATAGGCCATTATTACAACCCCAACAGTGCCAAGAGCAGATGTGTTTTTTTGTTTGTTTTTTTTTTTTCTGTTGTTGTCGGTGGCATGGAGTCCTATATCCCATAAATGTAAACTAGGTTTAATTTGGACTTTTAGTTAGAAAAGAAAAAGTTGGTTCTTAAGGGGAAAGATTTCTAAGGACCTCCCTTCAATACTGTATAGCAAAAACACAGAACATGCCATATGAACCTCACTTGGGAAATTTAAATAAGGAGCTTTAGAAACATAACGTGATTTGGCAAGAACGTAATTTGAATGTGGTTGTGAGGTCCCACTAGCAACATATGCTTTTACTAAGCTGTACTATTCCTTTCTTTCACAGTCTGAGCTTTTAAAATGTTACTTTATATTTTCTATGATTATCATTCAGAACCAAAACCAAAGTAGTTAACTCTGAATAAAACTATCCTATTATAAAATTAGAGCTCATCCTGAGGAAGAGAGGTAGGGGGGAATGTTTAAATGTGACCCCTTTCTCTTCTCTCCACCCCTTCCAAATACACTCATAAAAACTAAAACCGTGATGGGGGGGGAATGGAGGAAAAGTCTGTTTATGATTATGAATTGAACTTTGAACCATTCCTATTGTTCCTGCCAAGGATTTTTGAATGCTAATGTAAAAAGATATATATAAAGTAAGATCTGCTAAGGTATTTTAAGAGTCTACAGTAATGCACCAAGCTTTTTTCCTTGCTTCATTGTTAAAGATAATATGCCTTTCTAACAAAAATGCTTTCAAGATGTAACCATATTTTGAAATGAATATCATAATACATCCTTTGCAAGCCTGGAATTTGGAAACAAAGAACTTGCTTTAATCTGTTTTTCTTCTTACCTGATAAGCAGGATGACAGTGCTGCTGGAGGAGGTTTAGACCTGTCCCCAGTCTCATTTGCTTTTCTTCCTCTTTCTTCATCGTGTGGGCCCTGACAACCTTTCTTTCTGAAGCTACATAAATTAAACAGGGCTAAGACTATCAATTTTTGTACCAGCTCCAAAACAAGCCAAGACAAGAAAGAATCCTCCAGTTGATCGACAGACTTCCAGTATTTCTGCTAAACTGGTAGAGCGGTGAAGTCTCCATGCTTTCCTCTCTAATGAAATAACATCAGAGGTTGGATCCTTGGCTGTCTTTAATTTTTTCCCTTTTACGTAGCTAAAAAGATATTTCAAATGATGTAGAAAGACAAAATAAGCCAAGTTTATATTCTCCTTTATTGTTCATTCCTTCTATTTCACAAATGCTTCTAGTCTTGGGGTATCAGCTCCCCTGAAAGTCAGATCTAAGAACCTCAGCACACAAGCCCTGAAGTGGCCTGAAGTTCACAGGAAACCAGTGAACTGTGCTGCCTGAAATGGTCTTCAAACACTGATGAGTTGATTTTTCCTTTATGAGGTCTGGATCAACAAAATAACTTGTGATTTTTCAGATAGGTACATAAAGGATGGTTTATAATAGGTAATCAAAGGAAAAGGGTGGTATGATTCAATTTGCAAAGTAAATGATACATCAGTAGAGCCATCTGATTAGAAGACATAATTAGTGAAGGCAATAACATGAAGGATCTACTAGCTCCTAAGAAAAGACTCAGCAGATAGAAGGGTCCCAATATATTTTAGTTGAAACTGGATCTTAGATCTGACTTTAAAATCTAGGTTTCTGTGTGGACCTTAAGAAAAACTTCTATCAGCTTTCCTAAGAGAGGTTTTGGTAAAGATTTCCAGCCTTTAGAGGAAGGCTTAAGGATCCAATTTTTTCATGAAGAACATTAACCACCATAAAAACCTTTCTATTGTCAACACCCTTCAGCCTTCTAGAAAGAAGAACACTGCTATGAATTGTAAAGCCTACCAATCTTCTCCAACAGTGTACAACATTGCATTAGAGGAAATTTGATCTCAACAGAATAAATCTCTATTATTTCCAACAGACATAAGAATTTACATATGGTAAATTTCTAAGATTATGTGGGGGTTTTGGCACCTTTCTCCTACATTCTGCCTAATTAATGGTGGTATCTGGGTTCCAACAAAGCCCTCCTCCATGGGAAGCCTATGGGCCCCTCTTCTTATTCCACTCAGAATCAAAACATTCGCAATATTATTTCAAGATTGTGGAATTTCACAAAACCACTGCATTACCAGACAATTATGCATGCAATATTGTCTAATTGGCTAACTCCAGGAACAAAAGATGGACAACTGTTACAGTTATATTCTGATGAATTCAGGCTAAATGTGGCTTGAATCAAGGAATATGGTGACCCTAAAATTATAATGTTAAAAACAAATATGCAAAACTAGTAGTTTTATATCTTGTTCTTTCCTCTCATATCTGTGGACATTAAAAAAAAAAGCCTATGCAGCTTTTCACTAGTCTGAAATGGTATAGGTTGGAGAAGATTTTAGACATTTTGGACTTAATAGACAAAAACAATGCAGTTAAAATGTATTAAGCAATTTACATAAATTACCAAAACATTATCAAAACTACTCTATGAAGTAAGTGCAAATGGTATCCCCCTTTATGAATGAGAACACTGAGGCTTTGAAAAGTTGAGTGAACCAATCACTTACAGCTAGTAAATGACAGAACTGTCTCTGAATCAAGGTTATTTTTATATGTGTTTAGACTCCTGAAAACAGTGACTTGGAAAGTGTGTTTGTACAAATGAATGTGTGTATGTGCACGTGCTCGTTAAAGAGAGAGGGAGAGATTGAGAGACTCACCCTTGCCCCTCTTTGCTTTCTTATTAGTACCATCTATAAAATACCAAGTCTTTCGACCCAGCAATCCCATTACTGGACATCTACCCAAAGGATTATAAATCATTCTACCATAAAGTCACGTGCACACATATGTTTACTGCAGCACTACTCACAATAGCAAAGACTTGGAACCAACCCAAATGTCCATCAATGATAGACTGGGTTAAGAAAATGTGGCACATATACAGCATGGAATACTATGCAGCCATAAAAAAGGATGCGTTCATGTCCTTTGTAGGGACATGGATGAAGCTGGAAACCATCGTTCTGAGCAAACTATCACAAGGACAGAAAACCAAACACCACATGTTCTCACTCATAGGTGGGAATTGAACAATGAGAACACTTGGACACAGGAAGGGGAACATCATACACCGGGGCCTGTTCGGGTGTAGGGGGCTAGGAGAAGTATAACATTAACAGAAATACCTAATGTAGGTGATGGGTTGATGGGTGCAGCAAACCACCATGGCATGTGTTTACCTATGTAACAAAACTGCACGTTCTACACATGTAACCCAGAACTTAAAGTATAATAAAAATAAATAAATAAAATAAAATAAAATACCAAGTCTTTGGCGAACTGGAACCCTGGGCTTATAAACTATGCGCAACATTGCTTAATTAATCCCTATTCCCCATGGGGTATTGTGTTATGACTTATGATAGCACTGTCCATAGCAGCTTCATGGCAGAATGAAACCCAGAGGAAGAAAAACCTCTAAGAGAATTTAAAGCAAACAAACAAACAACAACAAACACCATCACGGGCAAACAGCATAATCAAGAATATGCTTCCTTGACATTCCCTCCTTAGCATTCCCTAAGTACCCACTGTCCTCTGTGAATTTCACATTTCTCAGTGTGGGCAAGAACTGAGTATTCTGTCCTTCTACCACTTATTCCAGAGAAATCAGTATTTAGTAGATACATATTCACCATTCTTGCCAACCATAATGAGAAATATGTCATAGCCAGTTGACTATGACAAAATAAAAATAGAATGTGTCAAAATTGAAGAAAGAGTCTGGTGTGACTTACATTTTTACCTTCACAGAACATGACGTGTTCAAAGTACATTGGAGTATCGTGTTGAATGTCCAACAGGAATCATTTTTTGTACATCACTACACCTGAAAATGACAAGGGAAGCAGAAAGAAAAGGGTTAAGAAGAATTAAGACAGAAAATGAGATGAAACAATGATAAGGCATCACTCCGATAGGCAAGACACAGGGTAGTATAGAAGACAATAAGTGAATTTTGGAGTAAGAACTAGGTGCAAATCCCCCCGTTAATACCTATTAGTTGTGTCTCATTGAACATATTAGTTCACTTCTCAATATCACTTCTAACCTCAAAAATAGGAAATGACAATACCTAATTTGAAGGATTGTTAGAATTGAACAAAATTTCCCTTATCCTCTGTGGGGAAAGTTGAAATTTTTCACCAACATTCATTATCCTTTTCTTCCATAGCAACTGAGTTGTAATTGGAGTGTAGCTATCCAGCTAAAAACTACATGTTCAATCCTCCTACCTCTTATAGTGTAGTGTGGCCATGTCATTGAGTTCTTGACAGTGGAATGTGAATGAAAATGGTATGTGCTTCTTCCCAGCTTGATCTATTGAATCTTGCACACACATTCTCTATATCATTTCATTCTTTCTGCTGGCTGGAATGGCCATCCCAAAAGCAACGCCGAGGATAATAAAACTGCATTAGCATATGCCCCAGGAAAATGGCATAGTGATGAGAGCTGCTGCTGAACTGTAACATCTTCCCAAGGCTATTTTGAGGCCAAAAAAGCCTATGTTCTTTAAGGTATTAAATTACCATTGAGTTTGTTTTTACAGTAGTTTAAACTACCTTAACTAATATACCTGGGCAATTTAAGCATTGCAAGTAGTACCATATAAAGCATAACTTCTACCTTTAGGAGCGTGCAATCTAGTTGAAGATTTAAGGTGAACACACAGGAAATTGTACCCCAAGACAGTATGTGGACAAGGGTGAGCTAATGGCATTGGAAAAGATCATTATATGTGTTGAACAAATAATTTCATTTTCCTGTTGGTCACCAAATAATTCTACACTTCCTATTTCTCTTTGTATCTGCATGGGACAGTATGTCTAATGATGGCCAACAGGATGTGGAAGAAAGTCGTATATGTCAGTTCTAAGCCTGGCTCTTCAAATGCCCAGTGAAATCCTCATATTGTCACTCCTTGTTCTATTGACTGCAGAATCTCCATCAGAGGCCTCTGAGTGGGCCTATGGGATACCATGGTGGAAGGATCCAAGCTCCTCATTGAGGAGGGCAGCCAACAGAGCCACCTGCCCAAGAATATTGGTTCTGAAGCTTGCCTAAAAAAGAAGTCATCTTTATAATGCGATAAGCCACTGAGACTTGGGGTTGTTTGACATAGCCATCAGCCTAGCCCGTCTGATGTAATGATGGAGATAAGTGATCAGAAAAAGAAGCAAAGAAAATTCTTGTGTGTGGGAATGATTGGAGGTGGTTTCTTCAGGGGTTAGTATTTGAGCTCATTTAGTTAGTAGAAATGATGGAGGAGGACAGATGGTGAATGTCGTTAGTAGTTTCAGATTTTACTGTGGTCATTTTCCCATCTTCTCCAGACCAAACATTTACTCAATAAAGCATTTTCCATTTAACTTCTCAGATGTTATTAAGCCAAGAACCCCTTCTTTTCAAATGGAATCTCATATAAAATCCTGATATTTAAACAGATACTACTTTAGATACTCTTACTGAAATAAAAACAGGGCTAGTTCTGACTTCTTGGCCACTTTCTTACTAATTACATGCCCCTAGATCACTCCCATGGAACCCCAAAATGTTGAAACAGAATTTGAGCATCAGTGTATCAGAATACACTCAGATGTAATATAATAGGTTTGCTCTAGCTCTTCATGGGGGAACCGCAGTGTGCAATGGATTACAGAGGATGCATCAGCAAACTGTGGAGTTGAGCAGAAAGCCAGTCTAATTACCCAGGAGAGACCACCCTTAAACAGCCTCATCAACAGAAGTAACATACCCAATCTGTCTGTTTCTCTACTACATACATTCACTTTTTAAAACTAAAGTTCCGCATGATTCTTTCCTATGAGAATGATAATTTAAAACTGAAGCTAACATCCTCTCAAAAGTAGCCAGTCTGGAGAGGATTCTGGGAAGAAGGAGCAGGAAACGCCAGGAATCTGTCTCCCCACATAGACAACAATTACACTGGCAGAATCTGTCTAATGTAATTATTTTGGAACTCTGGAGTCTTGCAGCTTTTACAGGAAGGCTTTGATAATAAGTTGCTTAGTGACAGATCAATTCAGCTTTTAGCACAGCAGCTCCCCACTCTCACCACCAGCCCTGTAACAGGCAACTGTGCATGTGATCCTAGAGCAACTTGTATACACCTTAAGGAATCCAGGGTGGGCAAAAAACTCTATCTTCCAACTAGTAAGGATTTGTGCTGTCATTGCTGCTACTGCTTTCGATCACAGAAGTGTAGATAAAGGGGAGGGAGGTCATTGTTGTTTCACCTCCCCACAATCCCTTATTGCAAGCCCCACTCTTTTTGGGTGAAGTGACTCCAAATAATTTAAAGGGAAAGTGCCCCTCTTTTGTTTCCCTGCTTCATTTTTCTTTTTCTCATTTGAAAGCCAGACACTGAATCCTAGGACATTCAAAAGCAACTGCATATACGGGGAAAATTAAGAAGTGATCATGCATGACTAGGGAAACGCACAGGGTCAGAAAAGAGCTGAGGAAACCTTAGGTTTATACCTTAGACTAATCTTTGGCACAGAGGCAGACTACAACAATAAAAATAAAACCAAAAAAAAAAAAAAATCATACTCTGGGTAAGGAGAATCTGATTTGCAGAATTACTTCATTATTAGATTCAAATATCCAGTTTTCAACAAAAACAATTAGAAGCACACAAATAGACAAGTATAACCCATTCAAAGGGACAAAAACTAAATAAACAGAAAGTGTCCATAAGAAAGACCTGCAGAAATTCTGCTAGATTAAAGATGCTCAAAGAACTATAGGAAAACATGGAGGATGTTAAGAAAATGATGTGTCAACAAAATGGAAATAGCAATAAAGATAAAACCTAAAAAGAAACCAAAAAGAAGTTCTGGAGCTGAAAAGCACCATAACTGAAATGAAAAACTTATTAGATGAATTCAAGGGCAGATTAGAGTAAGCAGAAGAAAGAATAAACAAATCAACAAGACAAGACAATTGAAATTATCAGGTGTGAGGAACAGAAAGAAAAAGATTGAAGTGACCAGAGCCTTAAGAGCCTGTGGGACACAATGAAGTAGACTAACATATGCATTGTGGGAGTCCCACAAGAAAATGAGAGAGAGAAAGGAGAAGAGAGAATATTTGTAGAAATGATGACTGAAAATGTCTCAAATTTGATAAAAGACATCAATATAAACATCCAAGAAGCTCAACAATCTCCAAGTAAGATGAACTCAAAGATACTCACAATGAGACACAATATAATTAAACTTTCAAAATCCAAAGGCAAAGGGAGCATCTTGAAAGTGACAAGAAAGAAACAACTCTCCACGTACAAGGGATACTCAGTAAGATTATCATCAAATTTCTCATCTGAAATTTTGGAGACCAGAAGGCAGTGAGCCAATATATTTAAAGTCCTAAAAGCAAAACAAAACAAAATAAACAACAAAAATCAACAAAAAATTCTATACCAGCAAAACTCTTATTAAAAGTGAGGGGAAAATTAAGACATTCTTAGACAAGCAAAGCTAAGAGAGTCCATTACCATTAAACCTGCACTGCAAGAAATACTCAAGGGAGTTCTGTAGGGTAAAATGAAAAGGATCAAGACAGTGATTCAAAGCCATATGAAGAAATAAGGTATCAGTAAAGGGAAATACATGGACAATTATAAAAGCTATTATTATCTTAATGACTTATAATTTCACTTTTTTATATGATTTAAGAGGCTCATGAGCTAGTATTATTATAACCTTGGATTCTAACTGCAAATTTTGTTTTACACATGGCTGAAGAGAATAGTACATTTAAAAGCATTATTAGCTTATATTTTAGGGCACACAATGTATGCACATATAATTTTGTACATACATGTGTGCACATATAATTTTGTGCACACAACTGAAATGGATAAATGGAGCTATTAAAGGATCATCATATGTTATTGAGGTTAAGCTGGTATAGAATCAAATTAGAGTGCTGTAACTTTAGGATGTTAAATGTAATCTCCATGGTAACCACAAAGACAATACCAATAAAATACATACAAAAGGAATAAAAAAGGAATTTAAACATTTCACTATAAAAAATAACTAAACATAAAAGAAGACATTAATGTGGGAAGTGATGGACAAAAAGGCTATAAGCCATCTAGAAAGCAAACAACAAAATGGCAGAGGTCCGTTTATACCAGATATTAACTGAAGTGTAAATGGATTAAACTATCCAATCAAAAGACAGATTGGAAGAATAAATAAAAACATATTATCCAACTATACGCTACCTACAGGAAAATCACTTAGGATCCAAAGGCATACATAGATTAAAAGTGAAAGGGTGGAAAAATATATTGAATGGAGAAAGTAACCAAGAGATAGCAGTAGTGGCTATGCTCTCATATCAGACAAAATAGACTCTAAATCAAAAAAGTTTATAAGAGACAAAAAAGATATTATATATTAACAAAAGTTTCAATACAGCACAAAGATACCATCAACATTTACACTTCTAGCAGCAGACCATCAAAATATATGAAGCAAAACCTGACAGAACTACAGGGAAAAATAGATGCTTCTACTATAATACTTGAAAATTTCAATACCTTTCTCTCAATAAGGGATAAACAATCAGAAGATAAGGAATAGAGGATTTAAAGAACACAATAAATCAGCTAGATCTAAAATTATGTGCAGGAACACTCTACTCAACAACATTCTTCTCAAGTGCACATAGTATGTTTTCCTGTATAAATCACATCTTAGGCCAGAACTTGTCTCAATAAATTTAAAAAGATAAATATACAAAATATCTTCTCTGACCCCAACAGTATAAAGTTGGAAATCGATAATAGAAAGAAAATTGGAAATTTCAAAAACTTGTGGAAATTAAATGACACAGTCTTAAAGAACCAATGAATCAAATAAGAAATCATAAGGAAAGTTACAAAATACTTAGAGACAAATGAAACTGAAAGCACACATACCAAAACTCATGAGATGCAATGAAGTTTACACTAAGGAGGAAATGTGTAGCTACAAATGCTTACATTAAAAAACCAAGATTTCAAATCAATAGCATAACTTTATAACTTATGGAAGTAGAAAAAGAAAACACTAAACCTAAAGCTAGCAGAAGAAGGAGATAGTAAGGATCACAGCAGAGATCAGTGAAATAGATAATAGAAAAATAAGGTATAAAAGAATCAATAAAATCAAACTTTGGTTCTTTGAAAAGATCAACAAAATTGATAAACCTTTAGCTAGATAGACTAAGAAAAAAAGAGAAAAGGCTGTAACTACTAAGATCAGAGGCAAAGTGAAGACATTACTAGTGATTCTATAGCAATAAAAAGGACCATTAAGACAGTATTATGAACAACTGTGTGCCTATAAATTGGATGACCCAGACAAAATGGACAATTTCCTAGAAACACAAAACCTACCAAGACTAAATCACAAAAAATAAAAAATCTGAATAGTCTTATAACTATAACTAGGAAGGAGATAGAATTAGTAACCAATAATCTCCAATAAGTAAAGCCCTGGATCTAATGGCTTTACTGATGAATTGTACCAAATATTTAAAGAAGAACAAACACAAATTATTCTCAAAATGTTCCCAAAAAAATGAAGAGAATGGAACACTTCTTGACTCATTCTACCCTGATACCAAAGCAAAAAACACTACAAAAAAGAAAACTACTGATGAATATCCTTTATGAATATTGATGAAAAAATCTTTACCGAAAGACTGGTAAACCAAATTCAGCAGCATATTAAAAGATTATACACCATGTCCAAGTGGGATTTATGCCTGAAATAAAAATGGTTCCATATATGAAAATAAATGTAACCTACTACATTAACAGAATTAGAGAGAAAAAACATATGATCATCTGAATAGATGCAGAAAAAGTATTTGACAAAGTTCAACCCCATTTCATGATTAAAAAAAAAAAAACCACTCAAGCTAGAAATAGAAAGAACTATTTCAACATAATAAAAGCCATATATGGAGAATTCACAGGGAACATCTTACTCAATGGTAAAAGACTAAGCACTTTTTCTCTAAGATCAGGAACAAGACAAAGATACTCACATTTGCCTTTTCTATTCAACATAGTACTGGAAATTTTAGCCACAACAATTAGATAAGAAATAAAAAGCAAAAGAAATAAAAGATATTCAAATTGGAAAGAAACGAGTAAAACTACCTCTATTTGCAGACGATATGATCTTATATAGAAACCCTCAACATTTCACACACAAAAGAACTGTCAGAACTATTAAATGAATTCAGCAAAGTAGCAGGATACAAAGTCAATACTCACAAATTAGTTGCTTTTCTATACATCAACAATGAACAATTTGAAAAGGAAATTTTTTTTTTAAATTCCATTTACAATAGCATCAAAAAATACTCAGGAAATTACTTAGCTAAGAAAATGAGAGACTTCTACAATGAAAACTACAAGATACTGTTGAAAGAAATTTAAAAAGATATAAATAAATGGAAATATAGCCTATGTCCATGAATTAGAAGACACAATAGGTTAAGATGTCCATAATACACAAAGCAATGTACAGATTCAATGCAATCCCCATTAAAATCCCAGTGATGAAATTTTTGCAATCTACCCATCTGACAAAGGGCTAATATCCAGAATCTATAAAGAACTTAAACAAATTTACAAGAAAAAAATCAAACAACCCCATCAAAAAGTGGGCAAAGGATATGAACAGACACTTCTCAAAAGAAGACATTTATGCAGCCAACAGATACATGAAAAAATGCCCATCATCACTGGCCACCAAAGAAATGCAAATCAAAACCATGATGAGATACCATCTCACACCAGTTAGAATGGCGATCATTAAAAAGTCAGGAAACAACAGATGCTGGAGAGGATGTGGAGAAATAGGAACACTTTTACACTGTTGGTGGGACTGTAAACTAGTTCAACTATTGTGGAAGACAGTGTAGCGATTCCTCAAGGATCTAGAACTAGAAATACCATTTGACCCAGCCATCCCATTACTGGGTATATACCCAAAGGATTATAAATCATGCTGCTATAAAGACACATGCACACATATGCTCATTGTGGCACTATTCACAATATCAAAGACTTGGAACCAACCCAAATGTCCATCAACGATAGACTGGATTAAGAAAATGTGGCACATATACAGCATGGAATACTATGCAGCCATAAAAAAGGATGAGTTCATGTCCTTTGTAGGGACATGGATGAAGCTGGAAACCAACATTCTAAGCAAACTATCACAAGGACAGAAAACCAAACACCGCATATTCTCACTCACAGATGGGAAGTGAACAATGAGAACACTTGGACACAGGGTGGGGAACATCACACATCGGGGACTGTTGTGGGGTGGGGGGCTAGGGGAGGGATAGCATTAGGAGATATACCTAATGTAAATGACGAGTTAATGGGTGCAGCACACCAACATGGCACATGTATACATATGTAACAAACTTGCACATTGTGCCCATGTACCCTAGAACTTATAGTATAAAAAAAAAAATCCCAATGATGTATTTTGCAGAAACAGAAAAACCCATCCTAAAATTCATATGGAATCTCAAAAAACCCCAAATAGTCATAATAATCTTGAAAAAACAGAACAAAGCTAGAAGACACGCACTTCCTGATTTCAAAACTTATTACAAAACTACAGTAATCAAAACAACGTGGCATTGGCATAAAGACAGACATATAAACCATTGAACTAGAATATATGGTCAAATGATTTTGACAAGAGTGTTAAGACCATTAAATGGAGAAAGGACAGTCTTTTCAACAAACAGTACTGGGAAAACTGGATATCCACATGCAAAAGAATGAAGTTGGACCCTTACCTAACACTATAAAAAAAATTAACTCAAAAAAGATTAAAAACCTAAATATAAGATATAAAACTATAAAACTTTTAGAAGGAAATATAGAGTCAAAGCTTCATAACATTAGATTTGGCAATAATTTATTGGATATGACACCAACAGCACAGGAAACCAAAGAAAAAAATAGACAACTTGAATTTTATAAAAATTTTTAAAATTTGTACATCAAAAAGCAATAATCAAGAGTAAAAAGACAACCTGCAGAATCAGATAAAATATTTGGAAATGATATATCTCATAAAAGGAATTAATATTCAGAATATATATAGAACTCCTAAAACAACATAGAAACAACTTGATTCAAAATAGACAAAGGATCTAAATAGATATTTCTCTAAAGAATAAATACAAATGGAAATAGCACATAAAATGATGCTTAACATCACTAATCATTAGGGCAATGAAAAAACAAAACTATACTGAAGGCTGGGTGCAGTGGTTCATGCCTATAATTCCAGCACTCTGGGAGGCTGAGGCAGGAGAATTGCTTAAGCCCAGGAGTTTGAGACCAGCCTGGGCAACATGGCAAGACCTGTTTCTACAAAAAAATAAATAATAAATAATTAAATTTTTAAAAAACGACAATGAGATCCTACCTCACCTCTATTAGGCAGCTAAAAATTAAAAATTTAGCATTTCAAGAGGAAAGCTTCTATTCCTCAAAATTCACCTATATGAATCACTTTATTACCTAACATCATATAAATGAATTATATCAATTTTATATTATTAATAACGGTTACCATTTATTAGTTGCCTACTATTCATGAAGTCAGGCATTAACCTCTAAGCCTTTCAGCAACCCCAGAATTAAACATTAATATCCCTAATTTACAGGTGGAGCTATTCATGAAGTCAGGCATTAACCTCTAAGCCTTTCAGCAACCCCAGAATTAAACATTAATATCCCTAATTTACAGGTGGAGCAACTGAGGCTCAGTCAGAATTCCTCTTTACCAGCCTCACCCAGCTTGCTTCTAAGCAATAAAGTTGATATTCAAACCAAGCTTTCTCATTTCAAAGGTTATCCACCTTCTATTGAACCAGAGTTGCCATCTTTCTTTCCACTCAGGGAGAAATATATTTTGTAGGTGCTCACAAAGCTCATTTTCAAAACACATAGTAGTATTTTCTGTAAGACAAGCCTGACATAGACCTGTGCTATATCTGTGAAAATTGTCCGAATGAAGTACAAATTCTGTCATTTGTCAATGTCAGAGTGATGACCACAGGCCCAAATATGAAAGCTGAAAAATATAAAGATTATTTCCATTGTCATTTGCTGATGTGCTATTGCCCTAAGTCTCCCCCACCCCATCCTAACAGCTTTTAATACCCTAAAGTTTCTTACTAGTGTATTACATTTTTAAAGGAAGAGTTCTTGGCTGTGTCTCCAGAAGAGACTGCACAGAGTCACTGACCCACAAATGTCCTTCTTAAATTAATACTGATTGTTTGTCTCATCAATCCATAAGACACGTTTGGTTTGTTCTAGTTCCAACATTTCCTTCTCACCAAAATTTAGATTCCTTTCCCTAGAGACTTTAGTTGAAACTCTACCCCATATTATATCTAATTCATAACAAACCCTCTCAGTGCAATCTGGGATTTAACAATTAGCTAAGATCCATATTTCAAAAATATGTAAGTTGATGGAATAATTCAGTAGTCTCCCAGACTTGAAATTTAAATCTGAGCAGTTGAACTAGACTATCATTGACTGGGTTCTTTTGAATGCCAATGGAATTAGGGGCCTCTATTTGTACATGCCCTCAAATGAATGGTTTGGGGTTGGTTTGCTCTTGGTTCTCTAGTTCTTTATTTATGATGTTAGGTTGTTAATTTGAGATCTTTCTAACTTTTTAATATGGGTATTTACTGCTATAAATTTTCCTCTTAACACTACCTTAGCTGTGTAGAGATTTTGTTATGTTGTATCTTTGTTCTCATTAGTTTCAAAGAATTTCTTGATTTCTGCCTTAATTTCATTATTTACCTAAAAGTCATTCAGGAGCAGGCTCTCTAATTTCTATTTAATTGTATGGTTTTGAGTGATTTTCTTAGTCTTGAGTTCTATTTTTATTGTGCTGTGGTCCAAGAGAGTGGTTGGTATGATTTCAGTTATTTTCCATTTTCTGAGGATTTCTTAATATCTGATTGTGTGGTTGATCTTAGTGTATGTGACATGTACAGATGAAAAGAATGCACACTCTTTTGTTTTCAGGTGGAGAGTTATGTAGATATTTATTAGGTTCATTTGGTACAGTGTTGATTTCAGGTCCTGAATATCTTTGTTAATTTTCTGCCTCTCTGATCTGTCCAATACTGTCAGTTGAGTTTTGAAGCCTCCCACTATTATTGTGTGAGTTTACATCTCTTTGAAGGTCTCTAAGAACTTGCTTTATGAATCTGGAGATTTATAAATTCAAAGGTGACATTTTAAAGGTTGTTGGGTCCCTTAAGAATATGATAAAAACTGGCTGGGCACAGTGGCTCATGCCTGTAATCCTAGCACTTTGTGAGGCCAAGGTGGGCAGATCACCTGAGGTCAGGAGTTTGAGACAAGCCTG
The DNA here is from genome assembly GCF_000001405.40 of Homo sapiens. Taxonomy (NCBI): domain Eukaryota; kingdom Metazoa; phylum Chordata; class Mammalia; order Primates; family Hominidae; genus Homo; species Homo sapiens. The sequence continues at coordinate 13,892,633 of NC_000009.12, forward strand.
GCCAACATGGCGAAACCCCATCTCTACTAAAAATACAAAAATTAGCCCAGTGTGGTGGCACACGCCTGTAATCCCAGCTACTCAGGAGGCTGAGGTAGGAGAATCGCTTGAAACCAAGAGAGACAGGTTGCAACAAGACAAGATCGTGCCACTGCACTCCAGCCTGGGAGACACAGCAAGACTCCATCCAAAAAAAAAAAGAAAAAGAAAAGAAAAAAAGGAATACGATAAAAACTATGATTTATTTCCCCAGAAAATTTGCATATGCACCCAAAGTTTTGGCAATAATTTCATGGAACTCATAGAGCCACTGAAGTTTCTAATTCCAGGTTAAGATCCCTTGCTTTAAAAGAGAAACTCAGACAAAATAATTTGTTCGCATTCTTTTTCTTATGATGACATGGAGTCAGGAGATTCCAATTTTTAGTGACATATAAAATGAGAATTATATGAGAATGACTCTGCTATTAGCTGTCACAACAACTGCGTTGAGGACCTGGGTATGTACTCTTCTACATTGGAAGCCTTACAGACCAATTCAGAGGACAATGGTCTCCACCCAGCAAGAAGTTACCTAGCACATTTGGTGGAATATTCATTCACTCATTCATTTCACAGATCAACTGATACTTACTGAGCACCTTAAGCACCATGTCTTTAACAATATATTGAGGATTCAAAAATGAATAAGACAACCCCTGAATAAACTCTGTTGTCGGCCCTTCCTCTCCTCCACATTTTTGCCCAGTCTTATTGCCCTCTCCTACCAATTTCAAAACAAGAAATTTGTCAAATTTATGTCAGATGAAATAAGGAAAATCTTGAAGGTTAAAAAAAAATCTCAGGTGTGCATAAAGGCAAGGCAAAGTTCTTATTCATTTTCATATAGCCCCCTTGCATTTAGCAAAGTACTATGAAGAGAGCTGAAAAATTTGATTGAGCTGGACTTGTGGAGTGAGAAGTGTATAAGGAACTCAGGAAGGATAATAGCTCCTATAAGCCTTGATGTCTCAATGTGCAAGAGGCAAATAATCTGACTTGTCACACCTACATGAAGATCTGATTATATGAGGGTAGCTTATTCTTCGTCAATAATAGCGGAAACCAACTGTTCTATGTTTATGGGACACTATGTGGATGACACTGTGCTAAGTAAATGCTTTATATGAATTATCTAATTTATTGTTTATAATGCTAAGGATTAGACATGACTTTTTTAAATTTTTTTCTGAAATTCCAGAAAACAAACTGAGGCTTAGAGAATTTAAACTGGTTTTGTCAAAGTAGTAGAGATATAGATATTAGAATAGGGGTCAAAGTAGGGAAATCCAAAGCATTCTAACCCAAAGTGAATGCTTATAACTTCACCACTCCAATAGTTTCCTACCCTTAGCAGAGCCCAGAGAGAATACATCAAACATATAAATTTTTAAATTAGGAATTAAGCATGGAGGAAGAAAGTCTAGACATATAAGAGTTACCTATACAGTGTATGCATATATACATTTGTCTGTGTGTGTACACACTGGCATGTGTGTAAGCAGGAAGGAGGGGAAGCTTATAGTGATCTGAAGACAAGTACTACCAACATCTAGTAACATCTGAAGTGAGTAGAGCCAGAAAGAAGTGAGAACAAAGAGCACAGGAATACTACGTACACAAACACCCACTTCATCATTTTCACAATTGTGCTGAATGCTACCCCTTCAGGAGAGTAAAAGCTGTAGCCAGACTGACATCCAGGCGAAACATCATTTTGAGACTCTCCTGGAGCAAAAATAAACGATACCATTAAAAAGTAGACAAGGAGCATGAACAGACACTTTTCAAAAGAAGACATACATGCAGCCAACAAGCATATGAAAAAATGCTCAACATCACTGATCACTAGAGAAATGCAAATCAAAACCACAATGAGATACCATCTCACACCAGTCAGAATAGCTATTATTAAAAAGTAAAAATAACAGATGCTGGTGAGGTTGTGGAGAAAAGGGAACACTTATACACTGCCAGTGGGACTGTAAATTAGATCACCCATTGCGGAAAGTGGTGTAGTGATTCCTAAAAGAAATTAAAATGAAATTACCATTTGACTCGGCAATCCCATTATTGCGTATATACCCAAAACAACGTAAATCATTCTACCATAAAGACACATGCATGCATATGTTTACGGCAGCACTATTCACAATAGTATAAACATAAATGCCCATCAATGGTAGACTGAATAAAGAAAACATGGTGCATATACACCATGTAATACTATGCAGCTATAAAAAAGAATGAGATCATGTCCTTTATAGCAATATGGTTGGAGCTGGAGGTCATTATCCTAAGCCAGGTAACACAGGAACAGAAAACCAAATACTGCATGTTCTCACTTATAAGTAGGAGCTAAGTAACGAGAATACATGGACACGAAGAGGGGAACAACAGAACCCGGGGGCTACCTGAGGGTGGAGGGTGGGAGGAAGAGGGAATCAGAAAAAAATACCTATTGGGGACTATGCTTATTACCTGGATGATGAAATAATCTGCACACCAAACCCCCATGACACAGTTTACCTATATAGCAAACCTGCACATTTACCCCTGAACTGAAAATTAAAGTTATAATAGCATTTAAAAAAACCTGTCTTCAGCATATTCTATCCTTCCTTGCTCCAATTCCCATCTCTCAGATCCCCTAAGCCCCTGGGAAAGGGCTTAATTCTATCCACACTATTCTAACTTCATAACATAATCCTTATTTCCATAGTCTAAAACTGAGGTCATAAATTACTGATTGTGCCTCTTTAAGTCTCACCCTCTTCTCAGTACCACGGAGCATATCACATTACTATGGAAACTAAGGAACCACAGAGAAGTTGGGGGAAAATATCCATTTTAATGCCAGAATCAAAACAAAGCTACTAATTCCCGTTAAACCCCCTTGGGGTGACAATGGTAATGAAATTATTTCTTAGAGAATTCCTTAGGAAAGAGCAAGTCACAAAAATTCAAATGGTAGTCTTCAGTTCTCTCTGTGGAAACTGAGTGGCCACTGTTCAGTATGTAAGGATCCTCATTTGTCACAAAGTTGGCAGAAGGTGCCAATCAAAGACCTTGGTTTTTTCTTTCCATTTTCTAAAATAAAATACAATCGGTAACCCTTAATTAACATTCTTTGTCAATGTCTTTCCTCAATCCTAAGGGTAAAGCTATAAGCTTCTCAACTCCCCTAAGCACTGTTAAGGCAACGTGTACCAAGTTGGAAAGTAACTCTTTGTTTGGATGTAATAAATTGCACATTAAATAATGATCAAAATGCTTATTAAAGTCTACATAAGAAATAACAAGCAATATCAATTGCATAGCTCTTAACCTTCAGTAATTATGTCATTTGTAATCAATTGCCTTTTTCATTAGTCATATTATATTCTGGAGCTGGTTTCTATTACCTAATTGTTTATCTTCAATAAATATGTTTTAATAAGCGATTGTGTTTATACTCCATGAAATAACAGTCTTAATTAATCTATGTTGAATACTCATTTGGGAACTTAAATTCAAAGACCTGCCAAACATTCTAAAAGCATGATTCATATCAAGATGAATAATAAAAGTTATACAATGTGCTAAAAAATACATATTTCAGTGACTCCATTTTACAGGAAGGCTGTGTAGAAGCTATTTTTTTTCTAATCTTGTGATATTTTAGAGAAGAAAGGTACATTTCCTAAGACTTTATGACAACATCCCTGAAGGTTTCCTATATGCTACTTACCAGGGCTGTATCACTAAAACAAGAGCCCTTTTTTTTATTATTTTTGGTTTTTCTACAACCAAACTAGACAAAGATACTTTACAATAGCACAAAAAGAAGACGGCTTTTACCATATGATAGTTTTGGACAGCAGCACTGTAATATAGTTAGAGGTAAAATATCAAATTTCATTTAACAGAGAAATATTAACCAATGGCAAAAGTACATGGTTCATTTTTCATTTCTCAAAACTATTAGACTGAATTGTCTGACTAGCAAAATAGATTAATCAGAAAACAGTTTTTTTAGTAACTGGACTGACTTTTCTCAGACCATCCTTAGATATTGAAAACTAACTCTAAAAGACTAAGAAACTTAAAAGGAACCAAAAATACGTATCTAGTCTTCATTTTTTTCATCAGATAATCAAATCTTTTTTGCTTCACTCTAAAGAAGCTGAGGACATTATAAGACTAGAAATGTTCTAGAATTACTGAACCAAAAAATAAATGTCAGCGATATTCCCATGGGGAACATACTTTTAAGTTCATTTAATCATATCATACGTACATTGACCTAGACAAATTACATGCAGTTGATGACAAAATTAGCCTATAGAAGACCTTGAAAAAGTGGATGTAAATAACCGAGGAGCTTGACATGACTAGAGAAAAGCGTGTCCAAGTGTGAAAACGGGCTATGTCCTAAGTACACTAAGGTCTGGGCAGAGCAGAAGTCCTTGGGCAGATCTTTCAGCCTTTGGAATCTCATTCTTAAAACATGACATTTCTGAAATCCCTGAGTTCATGGAACCATTGCCTTTCAACACATATTTTTAAAATCTCTAGAACCATCAAATAACTTCTAGTGATTTCTGTGAGGTCATGTTAAGGTTAGCATAGAAAAAGGACCACCCACATAGCCAAACCGGCATGTCTCTTTTCAATTTTCATTGTCAAAAGGACAAAGGAACTGTTTTAATGAAGTGTTTTTCAGTTGTCTTTTGTTTCACATTTTACACAGGAAAAAGGAAAATGTTTCTTCAGTTCAGGGCATCTGAATCATATTTCCAAGGGGACAGGCATTTTCAGGACAGTAAGTACTAAATTATAAATAACTTTCAATAAATTAAACTGTAGTCTGGCTTTTTTTTTCTTCCTTGGAAACATTTAGCCTTCAGAAGACTTAATTGTTCTTCAAGATAAAATGACAGTTGCTTCTAAAGTATATAAGGCAACTGGGCATATGTCAGTTATAAAGCAGTGACGAGATAATGTGGCACAACATACTTCAGCGAGAAACTCCACTGAACCAATGAATGCAAATGTATTCTAGCTTTCTGACTCGTGTCAACTGATCCAACTTGCAAAACTGGATAAGCTCTCTATTAGTGGTTTGAAGACCATAACAATCTTTGTTATAATTCAATGCCATCTTCTCACATGTACAGTGAAAGGAACAAATAAGGCAGTTATCCTGATGATCAGGGGCCAGAAAATAAACTGTATCTCAATTGTGTAGATATTTTCGGTGAACATGTTTAGGCTTTGTATTCATTAGTTAAATTTTTTCTATTTACTTTTCATCACAGATATGGTCCAGAGTTCCACAGAAAGAAGTAAAATGAATGCAACAGTCTGTACTTTCATAGTTATACAGAGTCTAATGAATGGAGTTAGATGATATTTATAAAAAAACAAAACTCTGATTTGCCCATCTTTCTCAATTCTACAGGAAAGTGATTTTAAGAGACAGTTTTCTCAAGAGTTGATGATTTCCCATATAATCCTGCATTCGAAAAAAATAATAGGACCAAAGAGGGCAGTAATTGAGACAAAGAATTAAATCACTTATCTGAAGATTTCTGGAATCAAAGAGGGAAATATTTTTGGACTAGGGCCTTTCTCTTACTCTTAAAATCCTCTCAAATAGCGGCCCCTCCATAAAATTGGTCATGATTAGATGCTTCTAGGAGTAGAGAAGAGAAGAGAAAAACGAATTTGTTCTCCTCTTCTACAACACAACCAAAACTTACCTCTGTGTTATTATTTCATAATATGCTCCCAATCAGTTTTTCCCAACTCTGTCATAATTCCCCTTTCATGCCTATAACTCAACTCAACTTATTATAATAAGAGAGGAATCTTTATATATATATATATACTCAAATTTAAAAATGCTTTTAGATATAGGCTTAGCTGCTTACTTACAAAAAAGAGTAGGAAGCATGAAGTAGCAGCATACAAAATCAAAGAGGTGGTCAACTGGGAAACACACACCAAAATAGAAGAAATATAGCAAAGCCAGCCGCTCCAGCATTTCAGCAAGACCCCACTCCCTGTATCCTGGGTTATAACTCTTCCTGAGTATTGCTGGCCTTTCTTATAAGGGTGATTGGAACAAGGAACCTAGCTGTATTCATCTTCTTACCTCTACAGCAGCATTTAAGTTCCAAGACTAGAAACTTAATATTTGATGAATGAATGAACAAAGGAGTGAATAGAATGGCAAATAACATGAAAGAAGATAGCAGGAGAGTTAGAACAGGAGAGGACAAGACGACGACAAAAGTTTCCGTTGTTTCCACCAAGAGCAACACAACTTTGCCTGAGAGCCTGAGCAAGTTTTCTTCACACCTGGCCATCATACAGTGTTTTTACAGACAAAAGATCAGCACTGCTTCCCTCTGTTTTCTTCCCCTGCTTCCCTCCCTTTCTTTTCAAACTAGGAAAGTTTGTATAAGTATGTTACTGCACAGACCACTGGGCAAATGGCCAACTGTCCTCTGGGGAAAAGCCAAACCTGATTCTCATTTTAAAGCGATACTGACTTTTATGGCCCGAGATTACTGTAATCAGAGAATATACATTGAGCTTGAACTCTCTCAGACATGTCCAAATCTTTACACTATAGAAGGTAGATCTTTCCAGTCTGAAATTTTTAAGTCAATATAATCATATGAACCCTGTTGTCAATATATGAAAAATAAAGAGATGTTCACCACGGGACCTTCATCTGCAAAGTCTTCTCTGACTTCCCTCAACTAGATTATAATCCTTCCTTCTTCTTAAGTCCAGTAGCACTTTAACTACATTCTCTTATAGCTTGCCACTTTCTACTTGGTGTTGTTATGCGGATGCATGTCTAATCAACTCAACTAGAGTCATGCTACTTGAGGGCAATAGCCCCTGCAAAAGCTTGAGAGTGCTTTATTCTTGTCTATAGAAGGCCCTCATAATTTTTGTTTATTTATATATAAGTAAATCTATTCTGATTGTAGTTCAGTTAAACCATTGATCAAAAGAACCCCTACCAATATCTTATATCCTAACATGTTTTGAGTTAACCATAATAGTTAACTCTCCTCGAGGGCTCATTTTATGCCCAGTGATACACTAAGTGCTTCTTTATTTCCATTTTTCCATGTTAACCCTCACTGGAACTCTCTTAGGTAGTCTTATCCCCTTTACAATTGAGGCAGCTGAAGTTTAAAGAATGAATTAACTTGCCCAAGCTCACCCTACTAGGGAATTGGCAAAACTGGGATTGAACCCAGGACGTTTGTTTCCAAATTCCACATTCACGGCTATTGTATAATCCTACTTCCTCGTCAGCTGAGTAAGGCCTTCCGGTCCTTATTCCAAAAATCATTTCTTAGAAGAAAACTAGGCTCAACAGGCAGCCAGATGCAGCTGTCAGAAAAAGCAAGATACTTCCTCACAAAAAGAAACACATTCTTCCAGGGCTTTAAATGCTGCCTCGCACCAGAAGTCCCAGTACCCTTGAAGGGAGGGTGACAGTAAGTCAGGCTTAAACCCAGGGTGACCTGGAAGCCCAGATAAACTGCAAGCTCCTGTGATACCCGAAAGGCTATTGTGTTGGCAATTTATCATCTAGGAAGCCGAGTTTTTGTTTTTGCACAGGAAATGCACTTCAAAGCTCCTGCTCTAACTGAAATACATCTTTCATAACTTAATTTACCCAGATTTATTTTTCATGAGCCATGTACTTTTTTTCAGAGAGATTTTTTTTTAACATTTCCTTATATGTAATTTTCTTAAATATTCAAGGCCTTGAGCTATTGTGTAGAAAAAAATTATGCTTAAGAGAGGTTAGAGTCTACATTTAGGCTCACAGTTAACATCGAAACACAACAGGTATGAATTATTACCCAATCTTTCAGGCTCTAACGTGTCTTCTTGCTTAATTGGAGCAATAAGTCCTAGGATTCACTGGGGATTTTTTCCTGATTGACGTCACCCGTCATTCTTGAAGCAAGATACTTACAAAGAGATCCTCAAAACAATGGAATATTTATTCATGTGCACTAACATATCCCCAGGTGTCAGGAAATCTGCAGCCCTGGGAATGAATCTTCTTTGTCCCAAAAAATGCCCTGTGGGCTGTGTTACTTTCTTGCTTTTTATTCAAAGCTTCGAATGAATGAAATGTTGGTGAAATTTTGAGGAGGTTCAGATTTGTTTTGGTACAGTGGGATGTGGCTTTTTTTTTTTTCTTTTTGCCTTTGCTCTCTCTTCCAGGGAATACCTGAGACTCTCTGGCCTTATCAGTGTCAAAAATTACTTTCTTAAAAAATCTTTTTTGGACTCAAGCCAGAGTTGCCTTTTAAGCATTTGAGGGGTGAGAGGTTTTGTTCCCTGTTAAAGGCCTTTTGAGCACTGCTGAGCACGTGGAGTAAGACTTTGGGGTTTGGGATTCCTTGGTAGAATCTCCAAAAGAACATTACCCAGGAAGCAACACAGTCACCCTGGGCATGAGACAAGAACAGGAACAGCACAGACATCATCAAAAAAAATTCTTTTTGCATAATAAATTGAATAATAAGATAATTTTGAATATTTACTATGTGTCAGTCACTGTTCCAGGGCCTTAGTTGTGTTACCATGTTCAATCCCAGTAATAACGCTCTGAGAGGAGGACTCTTCTTACTCTCATTTTACAGATGATTTAAGTAATCACCCAAGGTTACACAAGTAGCAACTGCTGGAGCGAGGATTACAAAACAAAAGTAGAGGAGATGCCATGTTAGAAGTATTATCTGTTTGATCCCTTTCATTCACTGTTAAATTGACTCACGGAAGGAGGAAGGAAATACATGAAGTGTAACATGAAGCTTTCTCAGTTACTTATCCACCATTTTGTCTTCTCTTTAAAATGTAAAAATAGACTCTCTTGCCTGCTCCCTCACCAAGCCCCACTTAAGTCTAGAATGTCTTGGGTAAGTTTTATTGAGGTGATTTACATTTTGTTTTTAGGAAGACCAGAAATTGTCCACTGCCAAGACATAATGAGAGGTTGTATTTGCCTAGAATCTTCCTTGATGAGGTGCAAAGGTAATTGTCAGATAGCACTAACTGGCTCTTTGATATCAGTTTAGGAAGTGCTGCACAATGTTGTTCCATTCCTTTTGCTGTGGAGGATGATGAAAAGTTGAGATCTAGAAGGGTACTTTTTGGAAGATTGGCCAACTACTTGCTCACTTTTTTCAAAAACAAATAATCCATTAGCAAGCACAGTAGTCCCCCTTATCCACGATTTCAACTACCTGTGTTCAACTGCAGTCCAAAAATAGGTGAGTACAGCGCAATATTTTCAGAGAGACCATATTCATATAACCTTTATTAAAGTATATTGTTATATTTATTATTATTGTTGTGAATCTCTTACTGTGCCTAATGTGTAAATTAAACTTCATCATAGGTATGTATATAGGAAAAACACATAGTATATAGTCAGGTATTATGTACAATTTCAGACGTCTACTGGGGGTCTTGGAACACATCCCCTGCTGATAAGGGGGTACTACTGTATACTTGGAATCCTTGTAAGTCCAAAGTCCAGTGCTAGGCTTTAGGAGGGAAAGAGGAAAAAAATCGAAAAAGACAGAAAGGAAGAAAGGAGGGCAGGGGGAGAGAAGGAGAGGAGAGGAGGAGAGAAAGAGAAAGAGAGAAAGAAAGAGTAAGAGAGAGAGAAAGACATAGAGAAAGAGAGAAAGAGGGAGAGAGAGAAAGAGAGGGAGAGAGAAAAAGAGAGAAGAGAGAAAAAGAGAAAGAAAGAGTAAGAGAGAGAAAGACATAGAGAAAGAGAGAAAGAGGGAGAGAGAGAGAGAAAAAAAGAGAAGGAGAGAAAGAGAGAGAGAGAGAAAGAGAGAAAAAGAAAAATAGACAAAGAGAGAGAGAAAGAAAAGAAGGAAAGGAAAGGAAAAAGAAAAAGGAAAAAGGGAAATGGAAAAGGAAAAGGGCAGAGTGGAGAGAAGGGAGCAGAGAAAAGAAAAACTCTTTAGAAACATCCACAAGAATCTGAAATACCTTTTCAGCTCATTACTGCTCCCCCCTCATTGAAAGTAATTCCAAAGAAATCCTTCATTAGGCCTATAAATTCCCTTGTGATTGGATACATTTTGCATATTTGTTTGGCCTGTTATCAATGAATATAGATAGAAAACAGAAGACAACAGATGCAGTCAGCATTTAATCTTTAAAAATCACTTTATGTTCTCCAGAACCTTGTGCATTTGTTAAATAATCCCAGGCTGCCTTGAAAATCCTGTTTAGTAAACTTTTATAAAGTCTTTCAATATGTTTCTTAGTCATCTTGTTAACATACAATGGCTCTTGCCTTTGGTGGGCATTTTCAGAATTGACCCAAATTGTATCTCAGGGAATTCATCTGAGGAGTAAAGGACAAGTTATCTCCTATACAAGGAGAAAGAATGCAATTAGAAAATCAAAAATTATCTTGTGTTCTTTGGCCTTGTGTCAAAAAGTATTTTTAAATTTATATTCCCTTTCTGGAAAATTTTAAAGTTCAGTTTTTAAATAATACTTTTATCTGTCAAAGGAGGTCTAAAAAATGAGACTGAGAGACTTCATATAGATCATCCAGTAGCATAAAACTTGGATTTTATCAAGAGGGATTTTACCAATATGTTCATATTTTCCCAAGACAGTCACAGTTTATGTCTATGGTCCTGGCATAATTATTTATGTCACCTCCTTTCGCTCCCTAAAATGTCCCAACTTGGATGATGAATTTCATGGTTACCTAAATTTTATATTGGAATATATGCATACAGCAAACATACTGTAGTAGAAAATATGAGTGCCTTGGACTATGGTATTAGTTAAATGATCTTACACAAGTTATTACCACTTTTAGCCTCAGTGTCCACATTATAAACTGGGAAATATAATCATCCCTTAAAGGGTTGAATGAGGATCCAAAAAGACAAGGTCTATGAAAGTGCTTTATAGACTGTAAAGCTCTCACAACTGTTGGCAATCTTTATTATTCTAATTCAGTTTTCAATAAATTATGCGGAAGAAAGGACCAGGAAACTACAAAAGCTGCACATCTGAGGAAGTAAGACTTTGTAAGAAAGAGCTGAATTTGTCTTCAGACTGGACAAGAAAAAAAACCTTTATGTTCAACTTCTAGGTCACCAATCTGGCCATTCAGAGATTAACAAACATTAATAAATGTATAAAAAATTGTGTTGAATGTTGTACAGGCTACCAATTTACTATTTTATTGTTTATCAATAAACAATTTACAATATCTTTATTCTTAAGAGTGTGAAAGAACAGATTAGAAGTGAGTGATGAGTAGTGAAGAGACTTTTCCAAGATTACATCTCTAAAAGAAGTAGAGTTGTACCTTGATCCTCTGCTAAATAAATATCTGAAGTGAGCTCGTTTGTCCAAACCACGTTTCTATAATGTGCTAACGTTTAATTTCCTGATTTTTCCTGTATTTAGAGACCTAAATTACTGGCACATTTTGATTAATCTGAAAGAATAAAGTGAAGGAGATCTCATAACTACCCTTTTAGGTACCTGAACTAGGTCACATTTTGATAACAAATTTAATCAATGGTGCTGTTTGGGGTACTTTACAGAACCATATAATAACACATTTCTATCGCTTCTCAACTGCCTCAAAGACTTAACAGTATGTTATGTTTTTGCTACTGGCCATAAAAGCTGATTTCACTATAGTTCATGATATAAGCCCATCGATTTAATTTAGCATTAGGAAAACAGTGTGTCAGTGTTTCTTCACCAGTTCAAACAGGTTAACAAATATGTGGCTTGTCAGTTTTCTGAGAAGGTTGCGTATTTTTTTTGCAATCCAGCACCACAGGTCATTGTGATTCTCTTTTTAACCAATCGGTGCTTTTAGAGAACCTCTCAGCAACAAGTAAACCAAAGTAATAAGGGTTTAACTTGCATTATTTTGGTCAGCAGGCCAAACTTAAGCCAACTATCAAACTTGTTTTAAAAATAAAAAGCAAACAAAACAAACCAAAAAAAAAAATAAGATCATGAAGAGTATCCTTTCCAAACTTTTAAGATTATTTATTTTGAACCCTAAAGGGTTTTTGTTGTTATTTTATTTTGACTATAAATTCTTTCTGCTCAAGAACAGAGTAGTAAATTTGGCTCACTGTCCCAGAAAAGGGGAGAATTTCTGGCAGTGAATCATTATAACAACACAATTTTTCCAGCTCATGCCTACCCATTCTCTAGATTAGAGTGACATTTGTTTGTAAAGCAAATCTAGGTTCCTTTTAATGAGAGGTGGTAATGCTCCATGATAAATAATCAGCTTAAGGATTAACCCTCTAAGCAAGTGGCTTATGGTGAGTCAACTGCCAGCCTAGAAATAGATGAGAATCTTAACATTTATATTTAGTGATTTCTTCTGTCATTATTGTGTTGACAGGAGTTATAAAGTGGAAAAGACACACAAATATAGATTCTAGAGACCTAAACCATTAGTGCTAGTGGGAATAATCCTAGACTCCCTCTGAAAGGCCAGATCTTTCAAAATCTGACCCCATCCACATGTGAAACTCTACCGAACTCACCTCCACTGACACAAATTTGTCATTCTTCCTTGAGCACAACCTGCTTTTTCACATCTTGGCTCCTTTATACATTTATTCTTCAATACCTTGAATTATTTGTCTGCCTAGAATATTCCTACAAAAACGGCTAAGTGTAAATATCATCCTCTCTACAAACCCTTCTCTGATTTCTCTACTTCCAGAGGTAATTAATCACTTCATCTGTAATATTAATTTATGGTAGCCCTTATCACTTTGCAAAAAACACAGAATCTATCTATAAGTTAATCTCCTTTTCTAGACTATGGGATTTTTGAATCCAAAGATATCATTTTAATAATCTGTATTTCCATAGCATAGCAAAAATTTTGGTACATAGCCGGAAAACAAATATTTGCCAAATTAGGAAAGTCATGATTTGTATCATGTGGTAGCATAGTACATAAAGCACTGGACATGAGATCAGAAGACTTGGGTTACTTTACTCTTTGCCACTTATAAGTTTTATGAACACAAGAAAACAACTTTATGCCAATAAATTTGACAACTTAGATAAAATTTAAATTTTTTTATAAGAATTACAATACTCCAGAACTGATGGAAGAAGAAATAGGGGGAAATTACATATTTATATATTCATATATATGAAAAGACATCTCTAGTAAGAAAATTGAATGAGTAAATTTTTTAATCCCACGAAGGAAATTTCAATGTTTTGCCAGTGAATTGTATCAAACATTTGAGGAAAAAATACCAATCTTACACAAACTTTTTCAGATAATAAAGTTGTTTAGAACACTTCCTAACTCATTTTATTGCCCATAATATTACCCTGATACTAAAACCTAACTAATACATTATAAGAAGAAAATACTAAAGACCAAGGGGATATACACAAAATTCTTTAACAAAGTATTAGGACACCAAACACAACAATATATAAAAAGGATAACACATTATTCCCAAGTGGAGTTTGTCCCGGGAATGCAAGGTTAGTTTAACACTAAAAAAATCAACTGATATGATGCATGATATTAATAAACCAAAGGGGCAAAAGTATATGAGCACTCAATAGATATACAAAAAGCATTCAACAGAATTCAACAGCCATTTGAGATTTTTTTTAAGAACTCTCGGAAAACTAGAAATAGAAAACAGCTTTCTCAATCTGAGCAGATCATTTAGAAAAATCTACAGCTAGTATAACTAATGATACAATATTTAAAAATGTTTTTCTAAGATTGAGAAAAAGGCAAAAAAGTCTCCTCTAACTGCTTCCATTCAACTCTGTACTTGGTGTGCTGGCAAGTCTAATGAGGCAAGGAAAAGAATTAAAAGACAAAGCTTGGAAAGAAGTAAAACTTTCTACTCCAGTGTGAGCCTTAGTTTCTACAATTGTAAATTAAGAAGTTGGGGTCTTAAATAGTTTACGTTCCAATCTATGTTATACTTCAGTAAAATTATAATCAGTTCAGTCACTGAAATCAGGGAGAAATCAAACATGACATCTTAAAACAATCATTTTTCAGGTAATTTATAGATTCAATGCCATCCCCATCAAGCTACCAATGACTTTCTTCACAGAATTGGAAAAAACTACTTTAAAGCTCATATGGAACCAAAAAAGAGCCCACATTGCCAAGACAATCCTAAGCCAAAAGAACAAAGCTGGAGGCATCATGCTACCTGACTTCAAACTATACTACAAAGCTACAGTAACTAAAAGAGCATGGTACTGGTACCAAAACAGAGATATAGACCAATGGAACAGAACAGAGCCCTCAGAAATAATAGCACACCTCTACAACCATCTGATCTTTGACAAACCTGACAAAAACAAGAAATGGGGAAAGGATTCCCTATTTAATAAATGGTGCTAGGAAAACCTGCTAACCATATGTAGAAAGCTGAAACTGGATCCTTTCCTTATACCTTATACAAAAATTAATTCAAGCTGGATTAAAGACTTAAATATTAGACCTAAAACCATAAAAACCCTAGAAGAAAACCTAGGTAATACCATTCAGGACATAGGCATGGGCAAGGACTTCATGTCTAAAACACCAAAAGCAATGGCAACAAAAGCCAAAATTGACAAGTGGGATCTAATTAAACTAAAGAGCTTCTGCACAGCAAAAGAAACTACCATCAGAGTAAAAAGGCAACCTACAGAATGGGAGAAAATTTTGGCAATCTACTCATCTGACAAAGGGCTAATATCCAGAATCTACAAAGAACTCAAACACATTTACAAGAAAAAAACAACCCATCAAAAAGCAGGCAAAGGATATAAACAGACACTTCTCAAAAGAAGACATTTATGCAGCCAACAGATACATGAAAAAATGCTCATCATCACTGGCCGTCAGAGAAATGCAAATCAAAACCACAATGAGATACTATCTCACACCAGTTAGAATGGAGATCATTAAAAAGTCACAAAACAACAGGTGCTGGAGAGGATGTGGAGAAATAGGAACACTTTTACACTGTTGGTTGGACTGTAAAGTAGTTCAACCGTTGTGGAAGAGAGTGTGGCGATTCCTCAAGGATCTAGAACTAGAAATACCATTTGACCCAGCCATCCCATTACTGGGTATATACCCAAAGGATTATAAATCATGCTGCTGTAAAGACAAATGCACACATATGTTCACTGCAGCACTATTCACAATAGCAAAGACTTGGAACCAACCCAAATGTTCATCAATGATAGACTGGATTAAGAAAATATGGCACATATACACCATGGAATACTATGCAGCCATAAAAAAGGATGAATTCATGTCCTTTGTAGGGACATGGATGAAGCTGGAAACCATCATTCTCAGCAAACTATCGCAAGGACAGAAAACCCAACACCACATGTTCTCAGTCATAGGTGGGAATTGAACAATGACAACACTTGGACACAGGAAGGCGAACATCACACACCGGGGCCTGTTGTGGGCTGGGGGCTAGGGGAGGGATAGCATTAGGAGATATACCTAATGTAAATGACGAGTTAATGGGTGCAGCACACCAACATGGCACATGTATACATATGTAACAAACCTACAGGTTGTGCACATGTACCCTAGAACTTAAAGTGTAATTAAAAAATTAAAATTAAAAATCATTTTTCAACAATCTCTCTGGAAAATTGTCTTCATTGAAAACCTACTACTTATTTCTGTTCTAAGCATTAAACAGGATAAAGAAGAAAATGAAGGACTCTCCTGCTTGAACTTATAGTCTAAGTATTGATGCAAAACTAACAACCAGTTTACAAGTATACATAACTATATATTTGTGCATTTAAATATCCACGTTTCCATCTGCCTCTAACAATTATATTGGGTCAATAGCATATTGCACATTTCTTTGCATTAATCTAACCACTTTTTTTAATTCATATTTTTGTCTTGGCTCATACTAGGTTATTTTCCTCTCTTCCCTTATGCTTTATAAACATTTAGAATGATACAGAATATATTTTCTAATTGTTAGAATTTAAATGAGCAGGACAATGAGAGCTGGAGTAACTGATTTTTAGAGGAACTAACTAATATGTCTTGAGCAAATACCATGAGTGGGTAAGAAAACTAAAACTTGTTTGAGCTCTTACTATGTGCTGGAAATCTTTATATATATATATATATAATCTCATTTATGCCTCATAGCAACAGTACGAGGAATGACTGTATGTCTGTTTGTATTATTAACATTATCATCATCATCATTACCATTTTACAGAAGAGGAAATAAAGATTCAGAAAGATTTCTGAAAACTTCCGCACAGTCACACAGCTATTATAATAAATGACAAAGTCAGAATTTCGATGCAAAATTCTTTTTTAAGAATATAGAGGTGAAATAACATGATGTCTCAGTTTTCTTGTAAATGCTTCAGTGGAAGAGCAAGGGGAAGAGTGGTAGTAAAGACAAATAGATGAATCAAAGTCTGAAAAATATTTATAAATGCTAAAGCTGGGTGACCATTGTCGAGACCACTCATTGTTATTCACTCTACTTTTATCTACAAATGAGATTATTCATAATTGGAAAAAATGGGAAAAATCTACTTTTTTTTTTTTTTTAAAGAAGACGAGTTTTCTCTGTTCTGCCCACTACTCTGCATAGCCTTCATAAAGCCTTGAGCTGAGTTTTGAATAATGTGGAAGGTTTGATTAGACAGAAAGAAAGGGAAGACAGAAAGGCCTAGGAACAGAATAAAAACGAGAACAGATTTTCTATGAAGTAAAGGGAGATGACTTTTTAAAGAAGAAGATATGAGCTGTGGAAGAGAGGAGAAGATGTAAAGTAAGTTTGGGAATGTTGGCTTAAATTCAATTATTAAGAACCTTGAAAGCCAAGCAAAGAACAATAGAACTTTAAAAAAAATCTTTATTCTAAGCTCCATCTTAATCCATCACTGAAGTATATATTGAGAATATTCAAAGGCCTAAAAAAATTTTAGATCAAATACTATACTAGCAAATATCATTAGAACAAAAAAAAAACCCACACATATCTTTTCAAAAAGGGACTTCAGTGTGGCAAAACCAGATTAACACCCCATTTGTTACAAGTCATTCTTAATTCAACAATATTTCATCATAAATTGGCCTTCCCTTGGAGTTTACTGTTGACCTTCTCTTGGAGTTTACTGGGTTTTTTTGTTGTTGTTTTGTTTTTGTTTTTGTGTTTGTGTTTTTGAGATGGAGTCTCACTCTGTCGCCCAGGCTGGAGTGCAGTGGCGCGATCTCAGCTCACTGCAAGCTCCACCTCCCGGGTTCACGCCATTCTCCTGCCTCAGCCTCCCCAGTAGCTGGGACTACAGGCGCCCGCCACCACGCCCAGCTAATTTTTTGTATTTTTGGTAGAGACGGGGGTTTCACCGTGTTAGCCAGGAGGCGTTTACTGTTTTTGTGACTAGTGAAAGGTCTAATAATGTCAACTCCTCGTAGGTTCTGAATTTACCAGGCTTCAGCGGGAGAAAAAGGTTGGTGTATCTGGAAGAAGTTTTGAGCCAGACAGACTAGAGACTGAATTCCATGACTTCCCTGCCATAAACCTGAACAGTTATTTAATAGCTCTTCATGTGTAAAATGGAAATGATAATGCCTCTCTCACAGTTGGTACACTTAAATAAAGAAAAATAGCATATGGAAAGTTAACCTATACGACTTAGTACAGTGCCTAGCATCTTGAACTGTATCCTTTCGCTTTGACCCAGTGTCAAACATTCTGATCCATTGTTACATTTGAGAAGCTGCCCGCTGTGCAGCTGCCTTCTGTAAGGAATATTATGACGGTCTGATCACAAAGCATCCCATCAATCTGCTTTTTCTTCCTCTTTTGAAATGTCCCCACACTGCTCCCTTGCCCCCTTGTAGCCAGCTAAGGAGGGCCAAATACACCTGTAGACAAATTAGAACATCTCCTCCACTTCCCAAATCCCACCCTACTTGAATGCTTGCCAACCAGAGGCTGTCTCAGTATTTCCTCTTTTTAGTCTATAAAATGTACCCTCCTTTCTAAGACCTTTGTATACCTGCTGAAAGGAAAATGACCACACATGAGTTCTGGATGCACGGTTATAAGTAAATAGCTTTCATTAATTTTGCATTGGACTTTGTTTTATCTTTGACACATTGTATGGCAGACCCACTGACCAGGGTCTGAAAATGGACCTATCACACTGAGCACAGTATCATGGCATGAGCAGTCCAGGGTATTATCTTTCTACCAAAAGAGGTTCTGAAGTCAAAAGAAGTATCCAGTTTGTTTGGCACTGTACACTAATATGTATCCATATCTTAAGGAATTATAGCAATCATGAGTATACTGAAGGCATTTGGTGAAAAACCTTTTGTTTAAGCCAATATATTTCAAATTTCTTCCGCATCACAGAATGCCCACCCCTCCATAATGCTATAATAAACTAATCACCACCTTCTTCATTCTGAGGTCACCTTCACATGGCTTAGTAGTGCATCCAGATATTACTAAGTAGCTAGTTAGAATAACAGGGGTGAAAACAAAGGCAAAATCAAGTTTATAAAGGAAGAGAGAAAGAATTATGAGAGAAAATAAAAGACAGTGGAATGAATCAAACAGCAAGGACATATATGGCATAAGTATATTGGAAGCAATTGCATGAGTCTCTTAATTCAAAATCCTTTTAGGGTTAGGGATACCATGTTAGAACCACTGAAATGTCAGTTACTGTAGTCAAGCAGAATTTGAGCCCCTTTCCCTAATATTCCTCCTAAAATAGTTTTGGTCATCCTTTAGTCCTATGTGGGGGTAAGTTTCAAATTAGAGCTTTAAATGTTGTCTGGCTTTGAAGAGCACTTAAGCTTATAAAAGAAATAAACTGGTACATTGCAGTGTCAAGCTAAATAGATGATTTATTGACACTTTTTCGGAACTACTCTAGGTTACTTTTTGTGGCATATATCCAAATGGAACAGCACCAAGGTATTTATATAGGCTCCAATTTCTGCACTTCTCCAATATCTGGCATGAAGTGTTTTTATGTTATATAACCTTTTCCCCTGAACTAGCTTTTGCTCGTCCTTTAAGCTGAAAATTGATCAGTGTCTGAGTATTTGGGTAGGCATACTACCACTAAGCAACTTACATGCTGGAGACAAACAGCCTGAAAATTCCTTTGCATTGTACTACTTTGAGCAAATTTAGGAGACTGGAGAGCTGACCTGTATATAGGTGGGTGTAAAACAAGAATCTGGCTGTATTAGAGTTCTCCAGAACTCTATGTAAATAGGACATGTAAAGCTATATAGGGAGGTATTTATTGTAAAGCATTAGCTCACAATTATGGAGGCTGAGAAGTCTCATGACCTGCCGTCAGCAGGCTGGAGGCCCAGGAAAGCTGGTGGTGTAGTTCTAGTCCAAACCTGAAGATCTGAGAATAAGATATGCTGATGTCCAAGGGTAGAAGAAGATGGATATTCCAGCTCAGGAAGAGAAAACTAATTTTCCCTTCCTCTGCCTTTTTGTTCTATTCAGGCTCTCAACAGATTGAATGTTGCCCACTCGCATTGGTGAGGGTGAACTTTATTCAGTCTACAGATTCAAATGTTAGTCTCTTCTGGAAACACCCTCTCAGACATATCCAGAAATAATGTTTTACTAGCTATCTGAGCATCCCTTAGCCCGTTCAAGTTGACACACAAAGCTAATCATGATACTTGCTTAGCTGTATGTGTGCTCAAGGTCCTTCCCAACAAAAATGCTCTTATTACTCCATCCAGGGATACTGCATCCTCAGTGCAGGTTCTTCCCTGTACAACGGTGCCAGACTAGATGGGAAGAGGACAGTGAAATCTATAGCACCTTCTTCTTGCTAAGACATGTGTCTGAGAGGCTGCATAATCTCAAATAAGTCAATTTCTCCAAATTTTCACAGAGATGTCACAAATGACCTGCAGCCCAGTTTCCATTCATTCGTTCATTCACTCAATCAATTAATATTGTCTCGGTACCCATTGGGTAAAAAACATTGTTCTAGCTATTGTAGGAGACTAAAAAAACAAAACAATGCAGCCTAGGGAGATTCAGCATGCACATGAATATAAAGTTTAAAGGGGTAAAAGAAGCAAAAATGAAATACTAGGAATGGGCTTCAGATTGTGGGTCTCATCTCTCAATTCTTCGTGGTAGGCCCCTTTATTCTCATCCTGTCTTGATCTTGTTTCCTTTCCTGGATTGAACATAATACAAATCACTTCTCCTAACTTTGATCACCATCCCCTCTTCTCTTTCTCATAAATCTTATCAGGGATTAGGAACATGGTCTCCACTTGCCTTTTCTTGTCCCTGACCAGCACAATTACAGCTTGTTTATCATACCTTTATCCCACAGTATAGGCTCTCCACTGTCCTGTGACCTAGACCAGTGATCTGCAACTTTTTCTGCAAAGCGCCAGATGATAAATATCTGGGGCTTTGTGGGCCACACAGTCTCTGTTG
This sequence comes from Homo sapiens, assembly GCF_000001405.40. Lineage (NCBI taxonomy): Eukaryota > Metazoa > Chordata > Mammalia > Primates > Hominidae > Homo > Homo sapiens. Next base: position 13,913,230 of record NC_000009.12, read on the forward strand.
CAACTGCTTACCTTTTTAGATATCGGCAGAAGCAAGCAAAAATTTGTATTTCATATAATTTTTAACATGTCATCAAAAATTCTTTTTTAATTTTTTCCAAACATTTTAAAATGTAGAAACCATTCTGTTTAAAAAATAAAGAGTACAAGGGCAGTTTTGTTACATAGATATATTACATACAGGTAAAGTCTAGGCTTTTAGTTTAACTATCACTTGAATAGCATCCATTGTACCCACTAAGTAATTTCTCATCCCTCACCCCCCTTCCACTCTTCCAAGTCTCCAATGTCTATTATTCAACATTCTCTGTGTGTACATGTTATTTAGCTCCCATTTATAGATGAGAACGTGGTATTTGACTCTGTGTCTGAGTTGTTTCACTTAAAAGATAATGGCTTCCAGCTTCATGCATGTTGCTGCAAAAGACATGATTTCATTCTTTTTTATGGCTGAACAGTATTCCATTGTGGGTGTATGATGTGTGTGTGTGTGTGTGTGTGTGTGTGTGTGTGTGTGTGTGTGTGTGTGTATTAGACACATTTTCCTTATCCAGTCATTCGCTGATGGACACTTAGGTTGATTCCATGACATTACTATTGCGAATGATGCTGTCAAACATACAAGTGCAGGTATCTTTTTGATATAGTGATTTCCTTTGGGTAGATACCCAGTAGTGGCATTGCTGGCTTGCATGGTAGTTCTATTTTTTGTTCTTCGAGAAATCGCCATACTGTTTTCCATAGAGATTGTACTAATTTACATTCCCTTATCAACAGTGTATAAAATAATGTAGGAACCATTCTTAGCTCCTGGGTCATGCAAAAAGGCCCACAGATTGCTGGCTCCTAGCCTAGAATGTATGTAAAGAGTATGTATGTATAGAGTGGCCCCAAGCCATAAGGATACAGGCAAGATGAGGAGAGGAAGAGAGAAAGGAAAAGCAATGGATAGGAAGGTATAATACTTAAATCTGCTAGGAAGTTAAATCTTATAACAAGTGCTCTGGCCCAGGGTTTGTGAAATTTTCATACAGGCATAACTACTATGCCTGTTCTGTGAACAGGCAAATGTTCTGTGAACACTGGTAATCGTTTTCGTAAAGCCAGTTGTAAATGTGTGTAGAAGAAAATGCTACCTGTTTACCAAAACTCTGTTTCTTTTTCTCCTGGTCAGGCAAGTAGGCTACTTTTCCCAACCTACCTTGCAGTTAGCTGTGGTCATGTAACTAGCTGTCACAATGAAATGGGAGCCCAAGTGAGATCAATCACTTTTAAGAAGAGGGGAGGCCTCCTCCAGCTTCTCTTTCCACCTTCTACCAACTGAATGTTATGGAAGATGGAGTTCCATTAGATGGTGGAGTCACACAAATGAGGGAGCCTTGGTCCCTCAAGAACCACATATAGAAGAGCTGCTCACTGACCGGGAGTTAACCTTATTTATGCTAAGGTATAAATTACTAAGAAATGTTGATTGTGTGACCATTACTTATAGAATAAAAAATACATATTCATAGTTTTAAAAAGTTATGACTTAATATGAAGAAAAAAACAGAACTTTTCACATCAATTGTGTTCAAAGAGCTATGTTTTGGGACACACAAAATAAATTACTGCCTCCCACCTAAATAGAATAGGAGCAATCACAGGAAGAAGGAAAGACCTATTTGCCTAACATATCCACAGAACTTAATATCAGGTTTTTACTGTTTTTAAGCCCTTAATGGGTCTGAAATTTCTACTCTAATCCTAACTCTTCCATTCTTCATTTTCAGAGACATGAAATTTTAGATTTTGAAAGGACTTGAATGGCAACACGTCTAACCTCTCTCCTTTAGAGAAAAACATGTTGTCAATATCAATAATATAATCCTCAAATTATATTGAGAATTATATCCCTCAGTCTCCTCTTTACCAGGCTAACTATCCCCAATTCCTACGGGATTTTTTTTTTTGCAAATGTATTTTAATCCATTAATCTTTCTCATTCTTCCTTCACTTGTTCACTCTTTCTCAGGTTACAAAGTTCAGAAAGGGACATGAGATTCTAAATAAAGACATAACCAACAAGGCCAGCCAGGCCTATGTATAGACAGAGTTGAAAGCTGCCAGCCTGGTTTGATTTGAGATGCAGAAAAGCTCCTGGTTCTCTTCTTCTCCAGCCCCAATCACCCAGACAAAAATAGTCCCCCTATCTTGCTTGCCAAGGACAATTTTCCCATCATTGGAGGGCCTTTGGGAAAAGGGGCAGAAGAAAGGCAACTATATTTCTTTTAAAAATGTGCTTGTCTGTATGCTAGATACATTATATACATTACTTCACTTAAACTCTACAAATATCTTAAGAAGTTACTAGTGCATATATCATAAAGAAAGCAATTAGTAAGAGATAAGAACATAAGCTCCACAATCAGGCAGACCTAAGTTTGAATTCCAGCTCCAACATTTACTGGCTGTGAGACCTTAGCTAATTTGTTTACCCTCTCAAAGCTTCAAGTTCCTGACCTAGACAGTTTATTCAACCTACAGCGTAGGATGATGTCATGAACAAGCAAGATAATCTATGTGCCTGTTCCACTGCCTGCCTCCGGACAAATACTCAGTATGTGTAAGCCAGTATTATTATCCCCATTTTACAGATAATCAAGTTGAGTCAGAGAAGTGATTTGCCTCAGAGCACAGAGCTAAGAAGTAGCAGAAACATCTGAACCCAACTCTCCCTCCAAAGCTTGTTTGTTCCACTACCATTTCCAAAAGACTTCTCATGAATTCATATGAATGGCCCAGGAGAAGCAGCACAAAAGTTCCACCACCATAATTTTAGAGTATCCAACTTAGGAACGAAGTATGTAGCCCTGATATGTAAGTAAGTAGGTAAGTATTTAGAGTTGGAAAGAATGAGTCAGAAGACAAGTTTCCAAGAAAATGTGGCTCAATTTGAAGGAGGGAGCAAAAAGGCCTCAAGGGAGCTTTACTGTTCATGGCCACTGGTTATGGACACTGGGAACATTTGAGAATTGTGCACCAAAAGTAGGGTGGGGTAGTGTTGAGAGCCCGCTTCACCTAAGATGCAAGAGCTCGAACAGGAAATTAAAAGTTAACAGAGTTCACACTCTGATCTGCACTTGCTTTGGAAAAAAAAATCTCAATTTTATAAATTGGTACAAAAGAAATATATCAAAGATAGCCAGTTATATAGTCAAAGAAAAAGAAGACAAAAGGAAGCCTGAAGGTAAGCCTGCTTTGTTCATTTTCATAGTTTCAGCAGTCAAGCTAGAGCCTGTCATATGCTAGATTTGCTATTTCATTTATGCCTTGGAGTATACATTGTACAGTCACTCAAAATTTGGTGACAAAGTTCTTGTCTCTAAAGCGGGACATGCAGAATCCCAATCACGGTTCCTTCACTTGGTGGCAAGTTGCCTCATTCTCTGTGCCTCAGTTTCCTCATCCTTACAATGAGGATAATAAGAGTACCTACCTCATAGGGTTGAGTAGGGAGTCAGTGAGTTAAAACATATAGCAGAAGGTGCTCAACAGATTTTTTTTTGTTTGTTTTTGAGATGGAGTTTCACTCCTGTTGCCCAGGCTGGAGCACCGTGGCAAAATCTTGGCTCACTGTAACCTCCACCTCCCGGGTTCAAGGGATTCTCCTGCCTCAGCCTCTCAAGTAGCTGGGATTACAGGCATGTGCCACCATTCCCAGCTAATTTTTGTACTTTTAGTAGAGACAGGGTTTCACCATGTTGCCCAGGCTTGTCTCGACCTCCTGACCTCAGGTGATCCACCCACCTCGGCCTCCCAAAGTGCTGGGATTATAGGCATGAGCCACCACACCTGGCCTGCTCAACAGATATTAACTGTTGTTATTCTCTCATCTAATCCTCACAATCAGTCAAGAAACTGAGACTGAAGTTGCTCAGTGGCTTGCGTGAATCTTCCCCAGATAGCAATCAGAAAGATCAGATCCCAAAGGCAGGATTTATGTCTCCAAGCATCATCTTCCTCCTCCTTGCCATGCTACTTCTGTGATGTATATTCTGTGATGTGTAAGAAAAAGCTCAATAACCTATCAGACAGTGCTTTCCAAATAATCTGAAATTTCCTTTATTGCTTTACAGTCATGACTGGGACTTGGAGATTTGTCTTGACTGAATAGCTGAATGAGTATCTTCATGTGGCCAAATGTCGTTAGTGACAAAAGGTCAATACATCAACCTACTTGCTCATAGTACAGAAAAGAACAATTAAAATAAGTGGGGTGGGCAAATACAGAGCATGTGCATTTTCTCCCTAAGATACCCTGGACAAATTACTTGTTGAGCAGCAACTGCTAACAGCAGTTACTCATACTGAATTAAAGAAGCCATCACTATACTCTTTTGTCATCCTCCCCACTAAAAAAAAATACTGAAGTGGTAGATGAGCCCTGCCTAAAATAATGAAGGACCCTTCATTATTAAATAATCATTTAATTATTATTATAATTAATAATAATCATTATTATCATTTAATTATTATTAATAATAATCATAATTATTATTAAATAATCAATTTCAAATCTTTGAATGGGTCATTGTTTAGTAAAGGGAATGGTTATTGAAAGCAGGGAGATGAATAAATGGAACTAGCCCAGCTCTCCATAAAAAGTTAGTTACTAGCTTATTTGTGAAAGAATCTGCCAATCAAATTATAGACAGTTAAAAAATGTTTCTTTCTCCCTATTGCCAACTGAATTAACATTTGCCCTCAAAATGTACATGTGTGCATGTTTGTATTTGTGTGTGAGCCTACAGCTGTTGGCTGGACATGAATAAACAAACAAGCAAGCATGTCTGCAAGCCATTTCCACTCATGCTGGTAGAAATACCTTGAAAAGATGCATGCTTGGGGAGACCACATCGCCTCAACCCATTGGGAAGACTTGGAGTGCCAATCCTTTGTAAAAACTGTAAAAAAAAAAAAAAAAAAAATTTTCATCTCTGTTCTATGTAAAATCTGGAGCACTACTCTGGACAAACTAGATCAGAGTTCAGGAAGTTTTTAACTATAAACACATAAAATTTCCATCTTCATAGGTCAAAACATGTTGAAGACCAGCCATTTATAGGGTTTTGTTGCATAACATTGCTAGGGTAATGGAGAGAAGTCCTGGGGTAGATCAATCCCGAATAGAAGGGAGGGTTTCTCAAATGATAGATGTTAGTAATTAGAAAAAAAAAAAGTTATATTGTAGAGAAACATATACCTGTGCATATAAGATCTAGATTAGCAACTGGGTATCCTTATGAAAGACCTTCCATGAAAGAGTTTCATAACCAGAAGCTCTCTTAGACCACAGAAAAACTCATGCTCAGTAAAATTTTTAATGTCTTCTGATATGTAGAATTTTTTTTTCCCCAGAACAATCATCAGCCTTCATATACCTTAAAGTGTATATTTTTTTAGTCAGTGTTGAAGGACGTGAATAGAAGCAGTTCAATTTCAATACACGATCCCTGATTCTCCCAAACATTCCAGGGTTATAATTTCTAATGGTAAGAAGAAATAAAGTCAGATGAGTTAAAGCATATCTCTACTGAACAAAATAGATGGTCAAACATTTTATTTACTTTTCTCTGGAACTTCAGTGTTTTCACAGGATCAGACTATTTACTGAAGATGCCATCCCTCATTCACCTTTATTTGGCACTGGATTTTATTAAAAAGGGAGAACAGATGACCTACTAGGCTTGAGGTATGGTCAGAGTTTTCTTAAGGAGTCTTCTTCACACAATTTAAAAATCAGATCCAATCTGATCATTCTTATCACTCAGCAAAGTAAAGTGAAAACATTTTGTCAAAATTCAACCTCTTAGATGAAGGAGCCAGCAAACCTGGTTTCTGCCTCCATGCAATTAGGTGGCTCAATTTGGAAAAGCCCCACCATAATGGCTCAGAGGACTCCCCATTTTGGTTGATGCTGCTTTTCTCTGAAACACAAAAGGTTAACCCCACCCATAGGTTGGCACATCCCTAAAGTCTCAGCCACTTCTAGAGGTCTCTCAATGACAAGTTCTTGCTCAGAGTGAAAACCAGCTGTAGGCAGAACAAGGATGGCAGGTGCAGGGGGAAATGATCACCCTAAGTACATGGTGGCAAGAACATGAGAGCTACGGACTTCATGGTGGAGGAATGCAGGCATTTCTAGATACCGTAACAGCCTCTGCAATGGCAAATAATTATGTTTGTGATCGTCTGAAACCCTGAAAATAAGGCTAACCAAGTCAGGGTTGCCTAAGGGCCACAGACACAGAACTCCAGCCAGTGTCAACATAAGGCTGGTAACTGTGATCACCACAGGCATGAGCAGGAATAAGAACATCCACTGTGTAACATGCACCCAATACCACAGACCTAATACCCAAACCCCCACATCTGCCTGGCTTTCACTAAGCCCTGAAATAATGGATTTAAAAGATCATAAATCATCTTTCTTAGACTGGAGGTTGCACAGGGAAATTCCTAGATGAACCTATTAGTTGAGAACAATCTGAAACCTTTCACCAAAATATGTAAACTGTAATATGTGATACCAAGAAAAGTCGTGTACCCTATTTTTGGTGCATTGTATTGCACTGTATTTATACATGCTTAACTTTCCCATTTGTCAAAGAGGTTCTTAAGAACAATAACAATGTCTTGTGTATCTTTATATCACCACACCTGCATAGAGCCTGACACATAGTAGAAACCCAATATATATTTACTGACCGAATGGATGAAGAATAAGCTTTATAGTAGTGCTAATAAGATGTTTTATGTTGACATTGAATACACATTACTTTATTTTTCCTTCAAAGATACAGAGAGCTCTGACTCCAAAGTAGGAGACATGATTTGTACTTATTACATTTTAGCCTAAGATCTACTATATGGTACCAAGTATATTGAGAGCTAGGAAAAAAACAAAAAGAAAAAGAATCACTACCTGTCAAGATATACCATCTATGGATAAAGAATATCATCCCATCTCACCACAGTAAACAGTTCAGCCTCTCCTATCTGTGCTCCTAGATGGCTTTCTACTCGCGGAAGAACAAAATAAATGATATGAAGTTAGGCAAGGTCCCTAAAGAATCTAAACTAGCTCTTAGCAATACAAGCCTCAATAAGGTCTTGAGGAGCTTTATAAGAGAGAAACAGTAGATTCTCTCCAAACAACTTTCCAAACAACTCAATTTTACAAAGTCAGTGCTTTCTGAATACAGTGAACACTGATACCAAAGGAAACAAAAAATGTGACAAGAACATTATGGAATAAGGCATAAGGGACACTAAGGTTATGAACCCAAAGAAAATTATACAATAGGAAGATTATATTTCTTTCAGTTCAGAGCAGGTAAAATAAGTTCAGGGTAAAACAAGAAAACCAACATTAAATCAAAGAATTCAGTAAAATGAATAAGCACTTTGGAGATTCAGATTTTACAGTTAAGAAAGACCAAGAATATTAGCCAAGTAAAGATAAGAGACTGCCAAGGAAAAGTAATATCCAGTAAAAGTACAGAGGGAAAAAAAACAGTATTTTACTTTTCCTTCCCATATTGAAATTTTTATAGAACTTTAAAAAGCATGTTGGAAGAAATTTACTTTTCTTTCCTTAATTATATAATTCTGGAAAGACACAGTCACTGTCAGCAATATCTGGAAGTATTGCATTAGAAAAGTCCATACTAGAAATTTTGAAAGAAAGTTTTAAAATGTCTGGAGAGTTTAGCTGTGGATACAGAAAGAAAAGATCATTTTAGCTCCAATGCTAAATTATTTTTCAACCTATCATGTTATCAACTGTGTATATAAAAGATAATATGAACCAAACAAGTTAAATGACATGTTCACATTTCTGTGCTCATTGACCTTTCAAGAATTTTGTAAAAAATATTGTAAGGATAATTCTTGATTGCTCTAATTCTCCCACTAATATTTAATATCATCAACCAAATAGTTCATGGTCCTGTCTTCCCATGCATGTAATTGTCTATTTCTATGTGGACACGAATTAGTATAGACTGATTGTTTTATTGTTCACATCAACAATGTTAACCAAACATGTTTGAAATGCTGGCCCTAAACTAAACACAAATTTCAACACAGCCACACTAATCAAGCCTGACTACATGAATTATGCAAAATATAAAACTGAAACATGCTTTTATATTAAATAACTAAAGTTCACTCTCTGTCTATAACCAATAGTATCAACAGAGTAAACCTGAAAATAATCATAAATGTTTCATGTAGTTTTAATCTTGGGAGAAGCAAGAGAAGTTTCCACATGGCTATCATAAAATAAATGTCAACAACATATGGGCAAATGAGACCAGACCCAGTATATGTGTAATTCTCTTTATTAGCAAAAATTAACCTAGGTTAGATCTCTTAGGTTAAGTGGTAGTAAGAGCTGGTAAAAGCAGTAACAGAAAACAGGCATAGAAAAGTAGAAGAATAAAAATGGGAACAAATCAAGAAAAGTCCTGCAGAGAGTGTGATTTAGAAGGCTAATATTTTCTCAACAGCAAAACAGATTATAATCTTGACAAATTTTCTGTTGTATTTTTTAGCATCTTTTATTAGAACATCAAAATTTTTAAAATAAATTTATTCACTAATATGTTATCTCATAAAAAATATTGAATACTGTCATCTCTCTTTCATAATAGAAAAAAACTTACATGTGGAGATTTCTGTGAGCATCTACCCTAGACCTGAGTCTAAATAAAGGAGAACAAAACAAAAAACCAAAATAAAAAAATCTCAGTCTTGAGACAGTTATTTTTTATTAAGTGACCATATAAACACATCTGACTTACGTTTTTTGTTGGTAGCATCAAGCAAATTCCCTGTACATCTTTTTCTTCAAAATACTCTTTGATCTAAGAACAAATTTAAATAGTATTGAAACTAGTATTATTACAGATACAAGGCATTCTTCCTTGGTTTCTGTGATTCTTTTTAGTATTGCTGAATAAACATTAGTAATGTCTATGTCTTGAGGAAGCTGAATTTGAATAGAAAATTACTAGCTTTATTATAATCACTTACAGACTTTTAAATTATGCTGTCAATATTTTCAATAATACATTTCACTTGTTTTAAATGTTTGGTTAGATAACCACCTCCTTTCTCCTCTTGCTCCAGCTACTCCTAATTCAATATAATCATTGAATAGGGTATCATGGTTCCTCCCAAACAGGCAAGAATTAAAGTCACAATCCTTAGGCAAAGACTCATTATTACTGGCTTGTTGGAATTAATCACATTTAAGGCAGCCATTTAACCTGATAACCTTCAACCTAATTGTCTCAATCATTCTATTCTCTTCATACCATAGCTACTTTCCCCAAAACTGCTACAAATCTGAACTGATGACCCAAGTTCTGTCTGTTGGCTGGCATCCACGGCTATTTCTATGCAAAGAAAACACCATGGGGTCATTTCACTACATTTATACTTAGGTGGTTCCAAGAGAAAAGTTTCCCCTCAATACAACTTCACCAGCAAAATATACCTGACGTAGTTTAGTACTGATATAATTGGCAAGGAAATTAAATATCTTTACACGTGTTAGTAAAACTACATTTTTTCCAGTTTGACTTCTCCATTTATACCTTAAAAAAGGAAAGACCCTGGAGTTTCCCTTGAACTGTACATTTTAGGTGTCTTGTATTAGATACTATTAAGGGAAGAATAACTGATATAAGAATTCTTAAGAATTAAACTTACATATTTTGGCAGAAAGGATCTGGACTTAGTGTCTAAAGCCTTAAGGTTGAGCTCTTTTCACTAACAGACCCATGCTGGGCTTCAATTTCTACACTTTTTGAGTAGTTTGAACCAGATGTCTCTGAAATTCCCTCCAACATCCTAAGCTCATTTAAGACTTTTGATGTGATGTAATGATTTATTTTTTTAAAGGTAGATGATCATAAACTCCTCCCTTGAGCCCCACTTTTCAGAGAACTTTCTTTATATAGGTAACTCCTATCAATCATTAAGGGAACAAAGAGATACAGTGTACATAGAACAATTGATATTCCAAAACTTTTTATTCTGATTTTGAAAGGCAATTGGAGACATAACTCTCCTGTAAAGATCCAGGTTGTAAAACAAAGTATATTATAGTCTTTATAGAGCTCTTATAAACTGTTCTTCCTCTCCCTTGGACTGCACAATTGATGACAATCTGAGATCTAGCAAAGTGCCGGGGCATGTTACTGAAAAACCAGGGTTTCGGTCTAGGTCCTGCTGCTCACCGCACAGAAAACCAATCACTAAGATGACAAGTATTGCCAAGGAAGAAGACTTTAATCGGGTGCTGCAGCCAAGGAGATGGGAGTTTGGTCTCAAATCCATCTCCCTGACTGACTAAAACTAGGGGTTTATATAGCAGGGAAGACATGGTTCAAAAGCAGTCATAGACTCCTCCACATGCAATTCCATGAACTAACACAGATAAGCACACACATTAAAAAATGCAATAAAAACAGGCACCAGAACCAAGCAAATCCTCACACTGGAATGGGTGCATTTATTTTTCACAGTTATTGTTAATTCCATATGAGTTGTTTGTGTATTCAGAATACTTGTTAAATTCAAAAAGAAAGAGGCCCTCAGACCAGGATTAGCAGTCAATGGAGTATAATGGCAATGAGATAGTATGGAAGTTGAAATTTGAAATTCTGCTGCAAAATGGTCCTGGAAAGCATTCAAGCAATTATCCAGCTAAACCAAAAAGAAAAAGAATTTCTACCATACAATTAAAAATAAAGGCAATGTTGAGGTAAATGGTCCAGATTGCCTTTCATATTGATTAAATTGCCTTCATGAATATGAAACTCTGCTTTGTCCACAGCCAAAGACTAATAAAATCACAGGATGTCAGAAGAGAAGGAACTATATAGATCAACTTATTCCATCACACCATTCTGTAGATAAGAAACCTGAGAGTAGTGTTTAAAGGATTTTAAGATGTAGAACAGAACCCAACTAGAACCTAAGTCTTAGAACCTTCTAGCTAGTTCATTCCAATTTACACAACATGAGTTAACTAATAGCTCATAAGGAAGAAAGATTAACATTAAGGGAAGAAAAGTTACGTTGAAAAACAAAAGAAGGAAAATATGGTTGTTTCATTTATATAGTTTGTTATCACTTTGAAACCATTATGTTAAATACACTTAATACAAAGTTTTAGAAAGTTTTATAATGCCACAAAGAAGAAATGCCGTATGCTGAATATGTTCTAAAAATGCTAATCTCTAAATACAGACTTCTTGAGGATTTGTTTTTCTGTGTTGATTGATATTTTATATCCATTCTTTAAAAACCAACTGGCAAGAAACACAAAATCTTTAATGTCTGGAATTCTGATTTTTATATTTTAGTAACATTTATTATAAATATTCAATTAAAATAATTGTCTTTATTTAAAACTATATCTTTAGAACAGCTGTAAATAAGTAGACAAACCACGACACCTTTTTTTCTTTTTTTTTTTGAGACGGAGTCTCGCTCTGTTGCCCAGGCTGGAGTGTAGTGGGCACAGTCTCGGCTCACTGCAAGCTCCCCAGGCTCACGCCATTCTCCTACCTCAGCCTCCCGAGTAGCTGGGACTACAGGCGCCCGCCACCATGCCCGGCTAATTTTTTTTTTTTTTTTTTTTGTATTTTTAGTAGAGACGGGGTTTCACTGTATTACCCAGAATGGTCTCGATCTCCTGACCTCATGATCTGCCTGCCTCGGCCTCCCAAAGTGCTGGGATTACAGGCGTGAGCCACAGCATCCAGCCCAAGGCACCTATTTTTAACTCACCCTAATTAAATGTCCCAAACTCCCTAATGCATTTAAAGAGAGTATAGAGAAAGTGAGCAAATGAGTGTGATTGTATATGTGACCTCTAAACTTTGAATAATGCATCCTCAGATGTTTGATAATGCCTATTATGGTCCTAAATGCTAAATGCACTTAAAAAGGAAAAATAAGACTGTCTGAAGAATAATTGTTATGCCCAAATACTGTTAAAAATTTTAAAGTTGATGTTGCCCAGGAAGATACCAAGGAGAGTCGAGCCCTCCACCCGGCTCACCCCAGTGTAGGTGTTCTTATCACACTTGTCTATGGATCTTCAACGAGGAAAGGAGGGGACATGGGATCTTCCACTACCAAATCTGGAAAGCTCTTCAACATTATAGTCATCACGCCTATTTTACAAGGAAGAGAACATTCACAATTTCGTATCTAATGACAAATAGCTCAGTGGCTAAGATCGAAGCCTTCCACCTCCCAGGACACATTCAACCTTTTCTCAATATATCTCATTCTCATATTTTAAAAATATAAAGTCTTATAAGTTGGGCAGTACTTTTCCAATAAAGTCAAATTTTTAAATTTTTTTATTTCATAGAAAATCTGAGAAAATCAAACACAAAATGTTTTTGTAAAATATACTTTCATGTCATAAGTTTAACATAAAAATCTAATCTGATTAATGATACCTCGCTACATTTGTCATACTGAGGCTAAAGCCTTGGACTTTACATAGAAAAGTTGTAAATGTGGATATTTAAAGGAAATGTCTCTTCACTCTTTAAAATATCTTATTTTAACTAGAATTCAACCAAGGACTCACTGGAGCAGTTAATGGAATATACTGTACTTTATTTCCATAATCGAAGCTTTTTTCTTACCGAGGTTTCCATCTCTGTTCCTCTCCTTTGGTTCTGTTCCTTAGTTTATTCCCTTCAATAACTCCCTCGCTCAGTTATAAGATTTTTTTCTCTATCATCCAACTCCATATCTTTCTACCTCCTTGTCTTCCCATTTTATTGTTGTAAACAACCTTACGAAGAACATTTTCATCTTCCAAGGACCCTTCCAACAATCAAATCTTCCTCTTTTGTGGGAATGCTGCCAAACCACTATCAAATCTTAACGTGTTGCTCATCCAAGTTCCTGCCTAGTGCCACCTGTGATCCCTTCACAATTTCTTCCCTGAACAGAAGCTACTACTTCCCATGCAAACTGCCTCCAGCCTGGACAAGCAACAACTGAACCAACAAACCAACCCAAACCTGTGTCTGTTTATAGAGCTACGACATCAGCCATGTCAGGAAATGGAGAGTCAGAAAACAATCTCGGTTATTGACTTACAGTAGGTGCTTGACAGGACTGTTTCTGAGTACCCAAAAGGTATCAAGCACACAGTCCTGACAACAACTCTGTAAATAGAAATTTTCTCCATGTCACAGTTGAGGAAACTGAGGCCCAGAGGTCCTTGGAGTGTAATTTTGGCCAGTCTCTGTATTATTTTTATTTATTTATTTATTTATTTATTTATTTATTTATTTTTTGAGATGGAGTCTTGCTCTGTCACCCATGCTGGAGTGCAGTGGCATGATCTCAGCTCACTACAACCTGTGTCTCCTGGGTTCAAGCGATTCTCCTGCCTCAGCCTCCCAAGTAGCTGGGATTACAGGCACCTGCCACCATGCCCAGCTAATTTTTGTATTTTTAATAGAGATGGGGTTTTCCCATGTTGCCCAGGCTGCTCTCAAACTCCTGAACTCAACTGATCCACCCACCTCAGCCTCCCAAAGTGCTGGGATTATAGGTGTGAGCCACCACACCTGTCCTGGCCAGTCTCTTTAAATGGAGTTAGCCCACCACTGAAAATTATGAAAGAGTTGTATAGCATTTCACTTTAATGTCTCCACAAGCCATGTTAGTCAGGACCGCCTCCTGCCATCCACAAGGACACTCTGCCCCTCCTCCTCCTGTCTCCTCTCTGATTCTCCGACCTCCACTCCACATATTCACCAAGGGCTCTCTTGTATATTAACCTTTTCTCACTAGACCACTTGAGACATTCTTTCATAGGAAAGTGATACCATTATTCATGCCCCACCTTTTAAAGATAGATTAGCTGAGAAATCATGAAACTGGCCTTGCTTTCAACTAATCAGTGTTGAAACTGGAATTAAAACCCATTGAGATGAATGGAACACACAAGCTAACACTGAAACTTCGTATTCTTTCAACTACTCCATGGGACAGTTATTCGCATCAGTTCCTTTTTATATCACACAGAAATTTCCTTTTGAGGTTTTCTTTAAAGAAATTAAGAGCCATAGCAATTACTATGTTAAGAATTAGAGTAATAATAAATAGCTATCATTTTATGTAGTAAGTATCAAGCATGAGCTATGTGTCTTACAAATATCTCATTTAATCCTCATAAAAATTATTATGTAGGTACTTCTGTTATATGTCACTTAACGATGGGATATGTTCCGAAAAATGTGTCCTTAGGTGTTTCATTGTGTGAACGTCATAGAGTGTATCTTCACAAACTAGATGGTATACCCTCCTACACACCTAGACTATATGGTATAGCCTATTGGTCCTAGGCTACAAACCTATACAGCCTGTTACTGTACTGAGTACTATAGGCAATTGTAACCATAAGTAAGTATGCGTATATCCAAACATAGAAAAAGTACAGAAAAAAATGCCATATTATAATCTTAAGAAACCACTGTCATATATTTGAACTGTCATTGACCAGAATGCCATTAATTGATGTATGACTGTATTATTTTTATATTATGAATGACTATTTTTTTGCCTTTATTTTCTTAAGTATATAAACTTCACTATTAAAGAAGTGTAACTCTGACAAGATCTCTTTGAAGGCAACATGCAGAATCTCAAAAGGCCACATGTAGAATATTCAAAAAGTGTTGAAGTTTCAAAAATCTTCTAATATTTTAAATGCCTAATAGACATAAAACAAAAGGTAAGTGGAATTTAAAACATATTCAATTTGGGGACAATTCTTTTGAACAATTATATATAATACTTTGATTTTTTCACTGTCATAAAAAATGTCAACTATCTACCATAAATGTGCAGGTAAACTGGCTGAAGGAGAAGTTTGTATTCTGCATTTATTACCAGATGAGTTCAATTTCTGTCCTCCCTAAAATCATGGTTATCAACCTTAAGTTTTAAAAACAGAACACGGACTTTATGAAAACAAAATATTTGAATGAGCATTAAAAACATTGTTCATATTTATACATCCACAACTCACATTGCCTTAAATATAGATTAGATTATACTAAGGGCTCACCTTACAGCTGTTTCAACACAGGCCTAGTGAAATGTGTTATTGTGAGTAAAGGGGATGGGTAGAGGTTTTAATACTGACAATCAAAATTGAGACTGACATAGTCACCAAGTAAAGAACATGCCATAATTTAAAATTAGTCAATGAATAATTTTTTTAATTATTGAAAATACAATGGGCTACGAAGATACATGCTTGATATATTTCCAGTCTAAATGCATAGCATGACGTCTTTGGCTGAACCACTTAAAACTGCCATGTTAAAGATCAAAACGATCACTTCTCCGCCTTTTGGCTAAGATCAAGTGAAGACTGAAACATATTAAATACTATATTTATAAAAATAAATTAATGAACAAATAAACACAGAGTGGAGAAGGAAAAACCTCTTCCTTACAGTACAATGCCAATCAACAAAAGTAAACAGAATGATGGAGTTAGAAAATCCCCAATGAATGCGTGAACGTTTGAGGAGGATTAGGATATTTACATGGTTTCAAAGTAACTCTCCACAAATTCCTTATTACTTATAAAGGATAACTTTACAATAGAATTTTAGAGTGGAGAAACTTGGCAGATACCACCTGAATCAGTGATGCAAGTTACCACCAACACTGGGACAAACTAATATATTTTACCTCCTGTTAGGATTATCTGCGAAGGGCAAAACAGCACCCATCACTTCTGTGATATTTTTTATAAAAAGCATAGCCTGACTCTAATCATAAGGAAACATCAGGCAAACCCAAACTGAGAGTCATTCTGCAAAACAACTGGCCTGAACTCTTGAATAACAAGGTCAAGAGAGACAAAGATAGGCCAAGAAACCGTTCTAAATCAACAGAGACTACAGAGACACAAATATAGAGCATGACCCCAGGTTGGATGCTGGGCCAGGAAAAAATTTTTCTAAAGGATGTTGTTGAGACAATTGAGAACATATGAGTTTGGACTATGAATTAAATAAGAGCATTGTATTAATGTCAGATTTTCTTATTTTGTAATGGTTCTGTGGGTAGAAAAGAGAATATCTCTTCTTAGGAAATCTTTTCTAATTTCTTCTTATTGTCTTACGAAATACAAATTATAGCATTTAGAGGTAAGAGGGCACAATGTCCCCAAATTATATCAAATAGTTCATAAAATGTACAAATACATGTAAATACATAAAGAAATGATAAAGTACATGGGGCAAAATGTAAACATTTTATGATTTATCAAAATAAGTACAAAGAAGCTTATCTTTAATATCATATGGCTCAATCTAACATCCACATGTTTATTGACATATATAATCAACTAAAAACCACTTAGGGACTAGAAACACTTACTAATATGATCGCAATTAAAAATACCTAAGAACAAGTATGTGAACCTGAATGAAATACAAATCAGTATATAAGTATGCTGAATACAATTGTCATAGTTGACATTCTCACAGCAAACATTGCATTTTTGAAATTATATTCTTTCAATAGCTTTTTGGCCCAAGACATAACACAGGAAATTATTTGAATGCTTGAGTGGGACATCTCCAAAGGACCAATCACATCATCACTGATATTGCATCTCACTTTTTACTTGAGTTTGTTGCATGGAAAAGTAATTCATCTCTTTGAATATGTTTCATAAGAAAAACAGAACTCTTCTAATTCTCTTCCAAGAAACCCTGGGGCAATAGTAAATTCTGCATCCAAAATTTGAAAGGAATTTTTTACAACTTGAAATCCCACCGTCAAAGTGTAGCCTGGAAAATATTTTTATAAAACTAAAGGTAGAACAAATAATGTAAAGAAAAAAAATCCGGATGCATTCGTACGCTAGCCAAGCAACATCAGATTATTCAGCACTGTACCTATTGATCTTCTTAATAAGCCAGACCCTGACACACTGCACCACATGGCACTTAAGATTCAGGGTGGACACACTGCAACATCATTAAATATTTTCTAAAATGATCATTCATTTTGTGGATGGATTTAATGCTAAATCCATCCGAGCCCCCAAAATGGAATTTTAATCTAATCCTAGTAATAATGCATTTTTCTCTAAAATCTTCAAAAACTAAACAAAATCAAGCCAAAAATGAAAATTGTTTAAAATAAAAGTCACCCATAATCTCGGCATGTAAAGATAACACCATCACTGTTAAAACTTTGGTATGTTTCATACCAGCATAAACCCATACATGACTCCATCCATCCATTTGTTTTTATATACAAAATAAGTGCTTTGTATACACAGTCTGTACGTTGTTGGTTTTCCAACTCCAAACATTTTCATATGTTTTTACGTATTTCTTTCATAACAATTCAAATGAAGATGCTATGGAAAGTGGACCAATATCTTCAAGACACAGAAAAGCAGCCAACCAATGGTGGAGGTGTTTAAGGACAGTTCCCAAGGTTTGTTCACCTGTGGGAAAGTCCAAAGTTGAACCTCAGTGTTAAGACTGCACAGGAATGAGAAGGTTCTTCTTCCTTCTCCTTCTCCCAGTAAGACCGCATGGTGTACTGATCCTTACTGTTAGGGAATGCACCGTAACTCTGTTTGTACTGGGACATTCACATTCTTTGTGTGGTCTGTCTTGGCCCTAATCTCAATTACCTGGTGAGACTAGAATGACAGTTTCTAATTATTTTTTTCAGTGTAAAAAACCCATAGACCTATATGACCATTTCTCCTATTCCATTAGTCCTATTTCCATTAGCAGTTGCTACTAAATAAACTGCCCATACCACAATCTGGTCTTAGCTCCTTTCCAATAACACCTCCCTCCCGTCTGCATCTCATACACCAGTCACTCTGTTCTAGCCACTGCTGCCTGAACATGCCATTTGTTCTCCCTTCCCTATATATCATTCCTTGCTCCAAAAATATCCTTTGATCACTTCTCTGTATATTGAAATTACACACACACATACACATATATACACACACACGCACTTATGTGTATCGTGATCTTCATTACCTTTCGTCATCCTCCCAATGTGAACTATATTTCCTTCCTCTGTTCTCAAACATTTGTTGTATCTCAATGCATTTTTTTCTTTCAAGCTTGAGTCAGATTTTGTTTTTGCAATTTTTAATTGTATCATTCCCCATAGAGAAACTTTCCTGAGGGCACGGCTGTGCTTTAGTCTTTCCTATTTCATGCAATTTTAAAATAGTATCATGATCATATTAGAAGTTTATCTAATATATGAACTGAAGAACTAAAACAGGAGAATATCAAGAGGCTTTGGACAAGCTAAACAAAGTAAACTACGGAAAATCTGCTATATTGTGGGTCAGTTAATTATTCAAAGAACCAAAACATGGCTGAGATAATTGTACAACTTTGTGTTTTAAGGGGAAGACTGGCCTCAGCATATATTTGTTTTATTCTAAATTTTAACTACTTCCAGAAACAATATTGGCCCAGAAGACATCAACTTTTTCCGAGTTTGGTATTGGCTTCACCAACCATTAATATGTTTCACTTTCCAGTGCCCCTATACCAGAAGGACTACATAATGTACAAAATGAAAATGTGGGGCCATTTGTTTAAGGTTATTCAGGGCTTCAGGATGTTCACAGCAGAGCATTAAACCAAGTACAGGGCCCTTCTAAGCACAGGAGTCTGCACAACCACACATGTCATGTGAAGCCAGTGCTGTCTGTATAAAATGTCTGTCTGCAGTTTTCCATTCTTTCAATTGAGGTAAAAACCAAAGATTCTCACACAAAGTGAATACAGACTTCCTAAAACAATCCAACAAGAAATGGAACAGAAAGAAGGGCCCAGAATTTTCAAAATATTCCTAGACCTATTATGCAAGTTTCTTTCTTGACCTGTGCACAGAATTCTCTGGGTTATATTTCCTTTATATATCTACTTTTAAATTATATTTTTGTAGGTTCCCAGTCATGCAACAAAATGCTTGCAAACCTTTTCCAAAAGGAGAGTGGGGGTGCGTTATTACATTCCAGAAACAATATTGGCCCAGAATATTTTGCTTTTGCTGATGAATATTTTACTTTTTTGGTTAAGGACTCTGTTCATCTAAGTTTTAGCTATTTTTTTTTAAATGGGCCTTCTCCGACCATCTCAGTCTTCAACACAGGACAATTCCTTTTGCAAAAAAGTGAAATGTATAGAATTGACTCCAGTCCTATAAGACCCATTACTTTCAAAAGCATTTTATCTCAGAGTGCAGCCTGCAACATGAGCCTTTCGGTGGGGTGGGGACTAAGGAGGGAAGTGGTGGAGAGGGAGGATGAGGGAGATCAAGGCCAACGGGAGAGCCCACCAGAGCTATGCTGGGTTATAATTAATGGCATGAGGTTACAACCTGCAGCTGACTTCGGTTACAGTAAAAGGTCAACCTTCTGCTGCAATTTGCATTTACTGATTTGGAGTCTGCTACAGTCTTCTCTTTCCCTCACTCCCTCAGGGTTGGCTGTCTAGCTGATCCCTGTTGCATGCCTTTCTTTATTCCAACAAAGATTCTTTTTTCACCCTTTACACAAACATGCATCCACACCCATACCTCCACCCTCACCCACGTTCCCACAGAGGCACACGGATTCAAAGACTGGACACTTCCACGGCTTTTATTGTACATCAGGGGATCCGAGGCTTTTGGATGCTTCTGCCAAAACCGACTGCATTCTTCTGCCAAGTCCTCTCCCTCATCCAGTGACATTTGGAAGGACAAAGGGGGCAAATTCAAATAGGCCTTATTTCCAAGTGGATAGTACATTCTCTGGTGAGCATAAAGCAATTTTGGTATCAAAATCGTTTCATCTGAAATACTCAAGGGCTTGAGGAATCTATCTCTGGTGGAACTGAAAATGGGGAAATGATATTGGAATGTAGGAGAGGGTAGGGAAGTAGCTAGCTGGAAAAATCCTGAAGCTATATGCTGCCAGAGCTGGTGCAGACATTCCCCAGGGAGCTGGGTATTTAGGAGACTGGAGATCTCTCTCACCACACCAGGTTCCCTCACCATGCTTTACTCTGAAACCACTGCTCCTCCACAAGACAGGGACTGCTTGCAGACATCAGCCTCCTGTCAACTCCCTTGCCTGCTCTTATGCTGGCAGGTGTACATATCCCTCTGCTTCTTTTCATTCCCACTCCACACCCTCCAATGAGTGCCCTGCCTTCTATAGCTCCCCGTAGCCTTTATTCAAATCACTGCATCTTCTATCCCAAAGATTCCCAAAGTCCAATCACTTGTGTAGCATCTTTCATGACTTGACATTTTCAGTTATCACTGACTGGTATTGTTATCAATATTTTTATTTTAATGACTCACTTTCCTTAATACACACATTTTTAATGGAAAGTTTTCATCACTGCTAAATGGAAACCGATATCACTTGCAAGCAATAGAACAGAATATTAAATGCTAGATTAGAATAATAAAAAGGCATTCATTCAGGGACCTCTAAAAGCCATCTCGCCTGTATCTATGGTACCCATACCCCTCTTTGAGAAGCACTGCTCTTACCAAGGCCTACTTGAGACAACTAGCTAGTCTAATCAATTTATTTGAGGAGAGGTGTATCCATCAGTTGTATTTTTACCTAGTATCCTTCACAGATAAACAGACACATATGCCTGGATGCCTTCATGGTCAATCCAGAAAGGAAAAAAGTCAAAATTCTCAGAATTTAGCTCCTTTGACTGAAAACTCTCCACCTCCCTTCTCTAAGCTTCTCTCAGAAAGACTGAGGAATGAATGAATGAAGACATCTATGTTGCAATACTGACCAGAGCCAGTGGAAAGTACATTTTGGATCTTATAGCTATGCAAGCTACCCATAAATATTGGGCTTTTCATTTAATTTGCAAGTATTTACTGAATTCAAATGAGGACTTAGACCTGGTACCTAAGATCTCATTAGAGATTCAGAGTGAGAATTCACAGCTTAACAAGAGAATTGGGCTTAGGAAATCCAAACCCCTTTAGTTTTCTCAAATTTGGTTACATTCACAGGTGAATAAAAGGAAGATCATTTCAAAGTTCAATTCATGTGCAATCTTCAGATTTAAAATTCAAATCTCAAGTTCATCTCAAGGCTTCCTGCTACAATGGTAGTCAACATAGTGACACCAAGAACAGCCTGATCTTACTCTCAGCATCCAGACCTTTCAGGGACTGGGATAGCTGGCTGATGGATGGTTTACGGTCGGAAAAGGTGGCTGCACACATGGATGGGATACACAAGGTGGCTTGTAAAACTTATGAGCCATGCTCTGTAGTGTGACCTGGGTGAAGTATGGTTAGGCTCCAGAGGAGGGATAATTAAAAGCAATTAAGTGCTGCTGGAGAGATGGCAGAATTCAGCTCAGACTTCACGGCTGTGCAAACCCAGTCTGGGTGAAGGCCAGAAGCCCAAAACCCTCACCTTATTTACTTAAGGAAAAAAACCAACAGATTATGAAGCCATGAGTGCCATCAATAGGACAACATTTAATAGGGTCTGAAAAATATTTTTGCGCCCCCGTGCATCCCAAGGAGCTGCACTGTCTGCCTATCAGAGGTACACCCTGGGGTTCCTTCACTATGTCCTCATACAATGCCAATGCAAAAGAAAAGAGTCATTCACATCTCAATGCATTCTTTTCTCTAATTTCTTGGCCATCACCTTAAAGAGAAGAGCCTCAGGGAATGAGAGGACAGAGGAAAGTGGTCTGGAGAAGAAAGTGGGAAACACAATATTTGAGGACAGAGAGAGTTCTGTGTAGAAACGCAAGAGGTGGGATTCTGGGGTATAGGATAGGACAGAGTCAGAAGAATCCCGCAAAACCAACGGGTGGGTGCCGCTTTAGGATCAGGGCCAACATAAGCCTAATGGAGTGCCTTGGTTTCCTAGGCAACTGGGAATAATAATACTCAGAAGGTGGTTACAGGCACCTGGTTAAGTGCTAGCCTCTCTAATAGTCATCTATAATTACCATTTTATTACTCTTAATATTATAACCTACTTGATATGTTCTTAATTCCTCTTATAACTGTCTTCTTTTTCTTTGGGCAGAAATAACAATTGTTATCATGTCATCCCCTCCACAATGAAGTAAGGAAGCATAAGTCCTGGATTAAGATTAAATGTGCTCAAATGTATGCAGAAAGCAAAAACACTAGGAATTCTGAGTAACCGGGCTCTTCACTGCCTGTATCCCCCCAGGAAAACAAAAGCAAAGCTTTTACACACAGGATGTTAGTTATTACCCATCTCCACCTGCTTAATGTTGAAAGGGTGGGGGGAAGAGGTGAGTTTTTCCCCCACCCTTTCAACATTAAGCACTTGGAGATGGATAATAACTAACATCCTGTTTGTATATCACAACCATGAGAATATATTGTTTGTTGTATTCCTTCTAAGAAAGGCAAAAATAAGATTTTATCTAGTCCTACCTACCCCAGGCACCTCAAAGAACTTCAAAAGCTTTCAAGAAGTGTCAACAGAGAACAGAGTTTATGTCTTATAAGCATAAATGAATTTCCTTCTGAAACGAACAGGAACAGTCTTACATGAGAAGGCTATTTTCAATATCAATTATATATGGATCTATGGGAGGATGTATATGAATATATACATATATGAAGCTAAGGGAAGCCTGTGAGAATAAGTGGGTCTGTGTTTACAAATTGAAGGAAAAATAGAGAAATAAAGTCACTTTTGAATGTGTCTTGTTGTCTTGAAGAAATAAAAAGGAAAAGCACAATACAATTCAATCAGGACTCTATCAACCCCAAGTCCTCCTTACTTTACCTACTAAATGTTTCTCCAATTCATCCAGCTCTCTTTATCTTTCACTGTCAACATCCTACAAAATGGTACAATTGATTCTTTCATATTATATTCTAAATGCTTCCTAACTCATGTCTCCACAGTTACTCTGATTTTACTTATAATCAATTTTCCACATGCCTGTTGGAGAGATACATTAAAAATTCAAACCCGCTCATGTCATTCCCTTGATTAAAACCTTTTCTGTACACCTCAAATTTCTTAAAGGCCAAGACTCTCCAGAAAGCACAGCATGACCCAGGCCCTGTCTACCTCATCAGCTTCCCATACACCCTTTGCTGACCACTTGCTGAGCTCCAGCCCCCTGGACCTGGCTTGCTCTATCTCCCATTCCCTATTCCCCTTCACCTAAAACTCACCTCCTCAGGGAAACCTTCTTGACATCCCATCCCTGGTCAGGTCTTCCTAAAAGTAGCTTATACTTCTCCATCCATAGCACATATTACAATTTAGAGTAATTATAAAATTAATTATTGAATATCTATTATTCCCTGATAAAAGACCTATGAGAGCCAAGATGGTATTTTTTTGTATTCCCATTTCCACAAAACCTAGAGAAGTGCCAGGTACCTAGTAATAGTCACTACTTATTGAGTGCTTACTACATGCCAGGCACTGTTTTAAGAACTTACGTGCATTAATTAATATAACCCTCATCACAGGCCTATAGGTTAGGTGCTACTCTTATCTTCATTTTAGACACAGGGAGGAGAAGAAATTTGCCAAAGATCTTGTAGCTTTGCACAGTGGAGCTGGAACTCAAATCCAGACAGACTCATTTTATCTCTTAATTACAATTCCACATTACCACATAGTTGGCATTTAGTAAGTATTTGTTAAATCAATGTGTTTGTTTGACAAAAGATATTTTCCAAGTAGCTATGGTCAGACACTATACATGATATGGGAGAGCAAGCAGCAAGGAAATAGAGAGTCCAACCCTCATGAGGTGTGTACTTTAATTCTTAGTTGTGTTAAATGCCCTTTTATTTTTTCATCGTTGTCGATTCTTATTTTTCCAGCACAGTTCAATTGTTAATGCTGTGCAGTATTAACTGTTTCACAGATCTGTCCCAGAAATTTTGTCTTTGGAGAGTTTTGTAATTGAATGCCATATTCGTAATAGTTCTGAGCTTTTTTGAGCCTTGCACATTAAAAAAAAAGAAGGGTGGGGAGGAGACAGGAAATTATAGAGTGCTCATTGACAAAAAGAAGCATAATAGTCCATCGGACACTTCTTTTTTTAGTGCCCTAAAATTGATAAGTGATATTGAACAACACTGTGGACGAACTTGTACACCTGTTTGCAGAAGATGCAAGAACAATTTAGTTTACACTCAGCAGAAGCTCAGAAAATTAAATTCCATTATAATTTTATGATAGCATTTTTATGTCCGGAGTTCTGTCCCAGAGCACTACCCAGAGAAGTGCATGGCCACTATAAATAAGAAGACCTTTATTAGTATAGTTTGCAACATTTTTGAAAAGCTGAAAAATTATGAATCCTCTTTACCAAAAACAAGGATCTACGGGTTAAAACACAAACATACATAGCCACACCTCCAGATTCAATTTTGCATTTAATTGCAGTGAGTTGATAAACCTGAGGCCAATTTATGGACTCAAAGGACCCCAAATTAAGAATTTCTGATCTAGAAGAATACACGTTTACAACGTTAAAGTTTAATAGGCAAATGAGTCATTAAGTTGACTCAAAAACAGTGGAGTTTTTTAAATGTAGATTCTGATTTAGTAAGTCTGAGTTGGGGCCTGCGATTTGGCATTTCTGAGAAGCTCTCAGATTATGTCACTGCTGCCAGTCCATAGATCATATATTGAGTAGCAAGGCCTGAGATAATCTCTCAAATGTCAGTGATCTCAGTTCGGCTTTTGATAAGACTGGGGAGTCAAGGATTTGAAATTGAGTTTCCTGGTCAGTACCTATAATCCAAATTTTTAGAAGCATTCGTTAAGAAGTAATTCATTTGCTGTAGACATTAAGGTTGCTAGAAACACTGAAAACATGACATGATTTCTCACTCTGTCCAAATGCCTCAGCACTTGTGCACAGAAGTGGCCTTCAGGAGAATCTGCATACAAGGCTAACATTGTCTACATGAAGAATTTGGATTTGCTCAAATACTTGAGTACTTGGTAAAGGCACGAGTGTTTTCTGCCATAAGATAGGGTATTCTTTGGCAGCTGTAACCAAAGGTTTTGGTATTAATCCAAAAAAATTAATATATTAAATCATTGATAGACACCAAATCAATAAAGTAAATTGAAAACTAAAATTGCTTTAGTTGTAGGTGGTGGGACGTGGAAAGGGAAAGCCAGAGATTTCTGGAAACTCCCCAGCTATATTTGTACCTTGAGGGTGCCTCTTGAAAATCTTAAGTAAGCTCATTGGAAACATGTCTTGAAAAACACTGCAGAATGACCTGAAATGAATGGTTTGGATCTATGTTACTAACAGGTCACCTCAAGAGTGTGAGTATCCATTTCTGAAGGTTTGCCCAATATATTCACTTCAGGGATTGAAGAGTTAAAGAAATCTGGATTTGAACCATCCTTTTCACACTCAGATCTGCTACTCTAAAAGTCTATGAGTCCATTCTTTTCTAACTTAATTAGGACCTGGAATTTAAGTGCAGTGTCAAGCATTTTGATATTTGTCCATCCTTCCCTCTCCCAGGGTGAAGAGGCTTTTTTTTTCATGGCCAGAAGTCACTGGTAATGAGTTAGATAATTATATTCTATTGTTGAGAACCTAGACCTGCTCATTCTTTTCCTCACTTTCAATTGTGTGTGTGTGTGTGTGTGTGTGTGTGTGTGTGTGTGTGTGTGTGACAATATTAACTTCACTTAACTGCTGGAAATTGCAGGGAGCAGACAACTGCAGCTGAAAGAGGTGAAACAAAGAAAAGAAGGAAAAAAAGAGGAGGGAAAAGCTTTGCTGCAGAGTTTTTTTCTTAAGGGAGGAAGAAAAAGATTTTGTATTTCATAACACAGAGCATTAAAATGATGTAGCCCCACACAATGAAAACCTTGTGTTTTATTAAAGTGAAAAGCCTTGCTCAAGGCCTCCATTACTCATTTCCGGATGGAATGGCAAAACTTCAAGTTTGAAAAGACTCAAGTAGCTACAATCAAACTTTCCCTGGTAGCAGCTGATAACACAGCACTTTCCAGAAATCCATTTTGTAGATTCTGCAGATCAGCTATTTTCAGGACTCTCAGAGGCTGAACTCTGCACAAAAGGGGTAGCAGCACAGAAAGCCTGGAGATACTTAGTGCTGTAAGAATGTTTTCCACTACTTTAGGGTGGAAACTGATGGGAAATTCAATGGGTGGGTAAAAAGGTCACTACCATAATGCGAAGACCAATGTTTCAGTATCTCCATCCCACAACTCAAAAGGACCAAGGCAAAAGTACCCAAAACCCTGTTACCCCACTCACCTTCCCCTTCAACCAGAAGGACGGGGTTCAGAGACTCAGGGGTAGACGTCAGGTAGCAAACAGCAAATCTCCTGCCAGTTCCTCATTTATGCTGGAGAACAGGCACCTGGTCTTCATTAACATTGCTGCGGTAGTTAATGCGTTGCAGGTGTGAAAGTGTGTGGCTGAAATCTGACAAAACACCTGTCTTTTGTGGCACCATTAGATCTGCCTAGTGTGGGACACGACCCCCTCGGGTGTGCTTTCTCCTGCCTTGAAAGCCACAGTAAGCATTGTCCTGTAATTACAAAATCAGAGTCATCATTGCTGGGAAGAATTCCTTAACAAATTATACCTAATTAGTCTGAAATTACCTTTAATTCATGGTGAAACCATAGGCTTAACTGTGTTCTATAACACCTTCCTTTTTATCTTTATGCAAATATGATTATACACTATCAAACTGGCACCACCAGGCATAAAAAACAGCTGCAGCTAGTTCTTTGGTTACTAAATGGGAACTGGACGCATGCCATTGATTATGTTTTCTGAAATGCTGCATCAAAAAAAATAATAATAATATCAGCCAGTTCCTTCTCTGTGAATTCTAGTTTTCTTCCCCACCCACAGAATCCTACTTGAAAGCTGTGAGATTGATCTCCCTTGCCCAACCCCCTACCTCCTCACCACATTTTCTGCAGAGACGTGTGTACATCTTGCTGCCGCCCAATCTTTTAGAATGTCATTAAGTGTCAAAACATACCTCATTTTATTTCTGATCACAGCTTCTTATGATATGGCTTATTTGGCTCTCATTCTCATCTCAAATCTTCACAAAACTTTTGATTCAATGCAATTTGATTCATGTACTGTGGATTAAAAAGTTACTCATGTAGCAGGCATTGATCTACGAGATTTACATATACTCTGTTATCTAATCCTGGCTGCAGTCCTATCCACTATGTACTACTATTATTATCCCCTTTTTGCAGATAAGGAAACCAAGGCATAGAGATGTTATATATCTTACATGAGGTCAGGAAGCTAGAAGAGACAGAGCCAACAATCTTGCTCAAGCCATCTGTTTCTAGCATGCTCTTATCCCTTCTAATAGGCATTCCCAATGATGTCCAAGGTCTTTCTAATTGACACTGATTACTTTCAATTCTCCTATCACACTTCTGAGCACAACATTGTAGGAAAATTTTTCCAGTTAGTTGGCATATAAAGGTGAAAAGTTTCATTGTCATCAGAGAAAGAAATCATAGCTGACTCCTCCGTTGAATCCATACAATTTGTGTAGCAATTATATTTCCTCCTCTACTCCAATGAAGGCATTTTTAGAACCAAAGTCATATTTTCTGTTTCTTTAAAAACAAAAACAAGCTGAGTGTATCATAGGTATTTTAAAATATGCATGTCTTCTAACTGGATCATACTTAGGTAACTTTTGCTCTGATACGAAAAATGTTTGAGATGCTTTCTCAAATTAAACCAGAGTTTAATTCTTCAGAAAGCAATTAAAAATATTAAATGCTTTTAGATTTTAAGGTCTGTTGCTTCTTTCTGCATCTTCTAGAGAAGTTCCTTGAAAAATTAGCATCGGCTTTACAACAGTCATTCCCATCCTACAAAGAATGACAGACCATATTATTCCTAAGTACGATCCAGTCCCAGGTTCTCTGAAGATTGTTCACTTTGAAAATGAACCCCAGACCACATCTAGGTTACTTTCCAGATAGGATTTTGCAAGTATATAAGAGATTAATTTTCTTGAACAATTTCAGGCTTGGTATGCAAAGTCAAACATGTAATCAGGTGCAGACGTTGTACCAGACACCTCAGTAGGATGTCTTGAAGTTCCCCTGGAATGTAGTGGTGAACTGGTTAAAAAAATAATTATAAGACTAGCGGTAAGGTTTTGGCTGAATACTACTTTTGTCCAGTATCAATCAATTAAAATGAAAGAATTTTTATGGTTGTTCAAACAAATATCCGGGTCCATCTGTGGCTATTTTATTTATGGCATTGCTGTTTTTCACCAACAACAAGTTGGCTAAAAATCAGGTTTTAAAATCTTAATTAGAATCAAAACATGATCTTCTCATTTAACGCCTCCGTTCAAGTTCATGTTACTGCTGTGTAGAAAACGGAGTCTGCTTTCTGGAGGCAGATCCTGACTCCTGCACCATGGTAATCTACACAGCCGGCCCACAGCTGAGGGATGAGCTGTATTTCTTTAAGTATTTTTATTAGGCTGATTCCCACAAGTTTAAGAACACTGTAATCGGAGACACTGCAAGGCCACATTAAAATAAGAGGAGGAAACTGAACTCTCATTCAACCCGTTTCCATGAAGTTTAGAATTTTCAACTCATTTCAAAGCAGAGGATGTTCCTTTTCACATCCTTCATGTTTTGTAAACACTGCAAGTGCTACTGGCTTCGTTTTCATTAGTAGGAGCCACCAGCTTATGTTTATTATTTTTAATTATTAGACCTTCTGCAAAGAGAACACTACTGCTGACAATTTATATTAGTGATGATGCATCCTGATTGGTCAGAGGTGTTATTCCCTCCTTCTTTCCTCACTAGTAATGTTTGTGATTATTTATAACCTCCACATTTTGGTGTGTCGTGTTTTTCCCCCAAACAATTTTCTGTGACACCAGTTAACAATGCGTAATTACGATAACCAAGGCTGGGTCTATCTGATGCCGAAGCATCCGGTTGGAAGGCGAAATTTAGTCAAACATCTGAATGTTTGAGCTGCATAGGGCCAAACATCTGGATGTTCCCAAATATTTTCTCAAATATTTGGAAACATCCACAGATTTCTCCTTGTGTAGACAAAACATCCAGATGATTAACTGAATGCTTCTCTTTTCATCTGGATATTTGGCCACTGAATTTTCTTTGGGTTCTCTATATAAGAATATCTATCCAGCTGTTTTACATAGCCATTGCTACACCAAAACAAGAAACACAGGGAAAAAACACATCCTATTGCTCCAAGGCAAGTCTATCTAGTTTTCAGTAATTGTGACAAACACCACACTGAAGCATAAATTACCTCCAGAAGGAGAAATCTTTCTGTAGTCTCCTCTTATCCACGGTTTTGATTTCTGTGGTTTCTGTTACCTGCGGTCAACCATGGTCCAAAAATATCAAATGGAAAATTCCAGAAATAAAGAACTCATAAGTTTTACATTGCTCACCATTCTGAGTAGTGTGATGAAATCTCACACCATCCCACTCCATCCCGCCTAGGATGTGAATCATCCTTGGTTCAGTGTATCTGTGCTGTCTACACTACCCACTTGTGAGTCACTCAGTAGCAGTCTCAGTTATCAGATCCACGGTTGAGTTATCACAGCACTAGTGCTCAGGTTACCCTTGTTTTACTTCATAGTGGCT
Source organism: Homo sapiens (assembly GCF_000001405.40). Taxonomy (NCBI): domain Eukaryota; kingdom Metazoa; phylum Chordata; class Mammalia; order Primates; family Hominidae; genus Homo; species Homo sapiens. Next base: position 13,943,056 of record NC_000009.12, read on the forward strand.
CCAAAGTGCAAGAGTAGTGATGCTGGCATATTGTTATAATTGTTCTATTTTGCTATTATTTATTGTTGTTGATCTCTTTCTGTGCCTAATTTATACATTAAACTTTATCATAGGTATGTATGTATAGGAAAAAACATAGTATGCATAGGGTTCAGTATTATCCATGGTTTCAGGTATCCACTTGGAGCCTTAGAATGTATCCCCTATGGATAAGGGGGAACCACTGTATATCCTAAAAGCTAGGAAGAAAAGAGTTCAAGTGTCAAGTCTCAGAAAAGGAAATTACTTATCCAGTGTTAACACCTTGCAGTAACTATTTTTGTTGGCACTAATAGTAACTTCTGAAGCTCCAGTCTCTGTGTTCCTTCCCCAGCCATGTTCTTTGGGCTCCCTTGAATTGTCCTCCAACTAGAGATTGACAAAGTTAGACTAGAAGCTATTAAAACATTCAAAACTCTGGTTAGATGATACTAACTCAAAACTGTACAGATACATAACCTAAAAAAATTGCAATTTTTGTAAGCAATAGCCTCTCATCCAGAAGCTGGTAGCCACACTACAACATGTGAACTCTTCCTGAAATAGTATATAAAGATTTATACAAATAGGCATTTTGTGCAGAGGAGGGAGAGTACCTAGAGATTTCTCTAGTCTCTCAAGGGCTGTTTTTCAATGAGTACCTTCTCCTTAGTAGGCATATTTTTAATACTTTCTAAAATTATTTGTGAGTTGGGAGAATCGATGCCTCTTATTGTATGTGGTTGTTTGTGATGAGTTCTAGCAACATTTTGTTTCCTTCGTTGGGCTGGTTTCAAAGATAACATGAAAAGCATTTAAAGATATCAAAGACACTTTATGTGTAGTCACCCCCAGCATATACTCCCTCTTAGCCAAGGATTGTTCAATTGCAAGAAACTGTTAGCCACTCAAGCTTGTGAAGAACAAGGAGTTTAGCTTAAGGAGTCAGAGTAATCTCTTGGAAACAGATGGCAGGACATACAAACAGGCCTCACAAGGGACTAGAACTAGGACCTGCGATGCCCAGAGGCACAGGGGAGCCACTCTTCTGGTCTCTGCCTCTCTGAGACCACATGGTCCCTCATCTCTCGGCCCTCTGCACTATTCTGTAATTCATCTAATCTCTCTGTCTTGGTTCCTCACATGTACAATGAGGATAATGATAGTATCTACCTTAAAAGTTAGATGTGCCTATCAATGAGTTAGTCCATACAGCGTGCTTAGAAGACTGCCTGTCACATAATGAGCACACAATGAATGGCATCCATTGTTATTGTTACTATTGATTATTCTCTTTGCAGACCAAACTCTCCTGCCTGCTCAGCAGTACATATGGCTTTTGAATAGCCACACTCAAATGACAGCCCCTGTTCCCCAGGTTTGTTTGTATGATTCTCATTCTCATAGTTAACTAACTGCTGATTCTGAATCCCAATTTGAAATTCTCGAGAGAGGATCTAATGAGCCCAACTTTGGGCAGGTGTGTACCTCTGGCCCCATCAGCTGCTGCCCTGCCCAGAGATGCCACAGAGCTCACTCACCCCTTCATGACCTGGTGGGCAAACTCTTAGGGAAAGAAGAGTGGGTCAGGGACGAAACAGAAGGCATTCTTATGCAGATAGCAACATTTTAAACTTGCATTATATGGCATTAAAGTTAGAACACATAGCTGAGCGTAAAGGAAATAATCTATGATCTCTCTACTTAGGGAAAATTTTATTTTTAATATTTTAGTACATATTTATCATGCATTTTATACATATTTTTACCTATTTTATAAATGTAAAATGATACTCTGTATTTTGTTTGCAGTTTTTTTCTCACTAACAAACTGAAATTTTCCATTAACTATTTAGTATTATTCTACAATATGTTTCTTAATGACAGGATGGCATTTGTTTAAATACATATAAAATAGAATATATTATAATAGCCCATCTTTGAACATTTAGATTATTTTCAATTATATAACTTATAACTGGTGCCCTCACATAGCATCTTTTGCATAAATTGTTATTCATATGGTTTTTTCTTCACTTTTAATTAAACAAGAAATAAACTCATGTATGGCACTTTATTTTCCATTTTTACTTCTATTGCATTATCTAGGAGTTTGTCTATTTTTATTTGTTTTTATCAAAGAGCCACTTTTTGGATTTATTATCAGTCTATCAATCATTTGGGCTGGCTTCAATGGTGAGCTGCTAATTAAGTTAAAAATAAAAGTCAAAGACACAATAAGATTCAGGACATGATGAGGATATCTATGGAATATATAACTCTTTTTAAAAATGAACTTAATGATCTGTTTTGTTTAGTTCAAACTTTCTGAGACTGCAAGCCTACTTTGCAAGAGGAAAATCTCCACAGCTATGTCATCTACCTGCTTATAGGGTGTAAAATTCAATCTATGACTAACAAATCAATATTGTAAATTATATTACTTGGATACTCATTTGTCTTACATTTATTTATTTAGCCTGCTCTGTGGGTCAAATAAGAGGAGAATCTTAATAAACAGTCTTACTACTATTGAACCTGACCATTTCTCCTTGTTTCTCTGACATTTTCCACATAATTTCTTTCACTGATATATTCAGATTCTATTACAGTATAAATTAATTATAGATTGAAACTTTAAATACTTACACTGCCTTTATTTGTCCAATATATTATTACTTGATGTAAATTCTATTCAGTCATATACTAATATTGCTAATCCTTGCTTTTATGTCTGAACGTGACCAAGATATTTTTGCCTAAACTTTTATTTTTGTACCTTTTGAGTTCCTTTAATATGGCAAATATATATATATATGCTGTTTTAATTCTGTCTGATATCTTTTTTGTTCTGCTCAGAATTTAATTCATTTATAACTAATCAGAACTGATCAGTTTTGCTAAAAGTTTAGTCGTGACTCTCTTAGAAATGAACACATATTAAGATTTTATTTAACACCCAAGCAAACCAGACAGATGTCCTAATCAGTTCAAAAGAGAATCTGAAGAACAGATACATTTGATCAGGAATAGACATTAATGTACAAATGGGAGCAAACTGGTTTCTTGAGGGGAAGCTGGAGGTAGGTCAATTGACCAGGTCAGGGCAGAATTTGTGTTTATAGACAAGAAATATTTAGCATTGCTATCAGTTACCAACAACTTACAGTTGTGAACTAACTCAAAGACAACTAGCGGCTAGAACTAGATAACTTACAAGGGTGTCCTGTATGGAGCCAAGCATAGTTTTTCATTAAAGCTCATATTTCCCTGAAGTTGTTTTTCGGTCATTCTGAATGCTTTCTGTTTTTTCAATTCTTTCCTATTTTATTTGTTTTCTATTTTATTCAAGTTATGTTTCTCCCTCTCTTCCATCTAGTTATTTATAGGAAATTAACCTCTCACTATGGTTGAACTGTTCGACTGTGCATTCTAATTTATTTTCCTCTAATTATTAACTTTAGATTACAACTTTTACTTCTTCCTACTAGTTTTTGTGATATAGTCCAGAACTTGAGGTCTAGTTTCTTGCCTTCAAATAATCACTGTCACTTTAAAATATGCATATTTTCAAGTACTAACATTTTATTGTTTCCTTAATTTATAATTATTAAGATTTATGTTTTACAGTGATAGCCCTCATCTTTCTATATTTCATTACTTCCCTGTTCTTGAGTGTGTGTGTGTGGGTATACTCATTTCTTAGTCAGAAAAGTTTTGCATATATTTCTAAAAGAAACATATGTGTAATTCATGTATTGGCAGTCATTGTATATCCAATAAAGTGTTTCTGGTACCTTTGTATGTCAACAAAACCTATATATATTATAGAAATCTTTGGTGATAGTCTTTTTTTTCCCATTTAAAACTCTGAGGAAATCACTTCATCGTCTTCTAGCTTCTCATTACAAAGGGAAAATCGAAATCTGAAACTGGATGTTTTTTATTCATTCACAGATGACCAGTCTTGTCTGCTTAGACGCATGTCAGATGGGTTTTTCCCCTTGAACTTTAAGACTTTCATCAGCATATATCTATTTGTTGTTAATTTCATTAATATTTTTTGGGATTTTTTGAGCTCATTCAGTTTACAAAACCAGACCTTATTCATTAGCCCAGCCAAATGTCATTTAATTTTTCTGACTATTGCTTTCTTTCTGTTTATGCTGATATCCCCTTCAGTAACAGTCACTCTCATGATGTCAGTAATATATCCTCCAAATGACTTACCTCAGCTTTGATTGTCTTTATTTTTTTGTCATTTACCTCTGCATTCTGAAATATTTTTTACCAAGCATATATTCAATACCCTTCATTTGACTTACTATGATGTTATTTCTACTCCTATTACATTTTTAAACTCTGTTCTTAAATGTTTACTTTAAAAACATTTTTTCCCTTGGAACTCATTTTAAATTTCTGCCTCTCTGCAACCAGTTCCAATTTCAAATCTGTTTATTGTATTATCATCTCATCTTACAGGTTTTATTTTATGGAACCCATGTTTTTCTAATATTCATAAGACCACAAAATGGTGTATAAACTGTATTTCTGTTTCTTTCTATAATTTTTTAAAATATGCTTCTGTCTGTGAATAGTATGATCCTGGTTGTGTATGTGCCTGTGTGTGCCTATATGTGTATCCAAAAATCTGAACCCTAAGACTAGAGGAAGAGGACAAAGTCAGCCAGCAAGATCATTTGTGTCACACAAGTCTAGAAACTCATAAGTTCATTAACACATGTACTTCTTAAAAAAAAAAAAAAAAGGAGAAAGAGAGAGAGTCCCAAGGGAAGACTAAAAACAAAAGAAATGGTTGAAAATCTTTTCAAGGATGTTCACCTCATATATCCAGCCAAAACCCACCTTACCCTAGAGGACTCTCCTCAGGTAGATTTACTCCCTGGAGAGACAAAACTAGTGCAATTCCAGAGTCAGGGTCCTTGGGCATAGTTGAGGGTGAAGCTGAGGTATCGTTCTGAAAATGGGGCTGAGGATCTAGGCTAGGAATGCATATTGAGCTATGAGACTCACGTTACCCATGCAAGAGACTGGAAGTTTCCTCTCTGAAAAATGGCTCCTTACAAAGACTCAGATCATGACACTCAGAGGCCACCAGCTGACAGGCCCTGCCCCTGCACACAGAAATTCTGATCTTCATTATAAATATGAACATACAGCCAAGGCTCACCACACATTTGAGAGAAGTCTCTAACAGGAAAGACTGGCCAAAATAAACAAATAAGACACGCTTGCAGGAAATAAAGACAATACAGTGAGCAAAGAAAGGTTTAAAAATTTTTTTAATATAGTATTAATAGTCTCATAGTAACCAGAAAAGATTTTTTGCGTCATGAGATAATAACACATTGCTATTTTTTAAAAGACTTTTCACAGAACAATTAAATAAAAATGCTATAAAGAAGGGATGATAACTGAGGAAATCTTCAGAAAGTAAAGCAAACCCACAAGAAAGGATAAAAAATAGGAGAGGAGGGAAAAAGTTAATAAAATCTGAGGAAGCGTCCGGGAGACCTAACATCTAAATAAGAATTTTAGAAGGAAGAAAATCTAAAAGTTGAAAACTAAGAAATTATCAAAGTAATAATACATAAAATTTGCCACATCTAAAATAAATGGCTTTCTGGATTATGAAGACCCAAGTGCACATCGTGATGAATAGACCCACAACAAAGAATATCTTTGTGAAATTTCACAATACTATGGGTAAAGAGAAGAGCCCAAATGCCTCCAAGGAGAAATAGCAGATCCCCAAAGAAGGATGAAGAATGAGAAGAGCATTTGACATAGCAACATTGGAAGCTAAATGATAAAGGAGCAAGGCCTACACTCTGTCAGCAATGATTTTCAAGCCAGAACCCTGACTCCAGCCAAATTTTAAACCAAATGTCAAAGTAGAATAAGGATAGTTTCAAGCAGTCCAAGTATCAAAAAATTGTTCTGTCATGTTCCTTTTTGAAGAAAGCCACATAGAAACATACTCCATTACAACAAAGGAGTAAATCACAAATGAGAAAGATGTGGAAATCAGGAAACTGGAGGTTCCACACAGTTAAAGACTAAGGGAATTCTAGAAAGAAAAAAAAAAGTGGTAAAAGAAGACCCCAGGATGACAACTGTGCAGAAAGCCCAGAGGAAACTCAGTCCAGATGTGGGGCATGGAGGGCTCCAGGAGCTACACGCCAGCACCGCTTGGTTGTAATGAGGAGATTTGCATTTCATTTGGAGAGTTTAGCAATAGTACACAGAAACTAAGCAAACCCACAGAAAGGAGGCAAGTCTTAGCTCTAGCCAAAACAAAAAGTTGTACAAGAAAGGTTATGATACAATGTAGCTCAACTGTGAGCATTCTTTATATGATCGTAATTATATAAATACTGACGACTGATAAGATTAAGTATTGATATGATTATACTGAGGGAGGTGGGGTGTATTAATTAGTTCAGGCCACTTTAACAAATTACCATAGACTGGTTGGCTTAAACAACACACATTTATTTATCATAGTTCTGAAGGCTGGGAAGTCCAAGATCAAGGTGCCAGCAGATTTGGTGTCTGGTGAGGGCCCTCTTCCTGGTTTGTAGGCAGCCAGGTTCTTGCATCCTCACATGGGAAAGAGCAGAGAGAGCTCTCATGTCTCTCCTTATAAGGCCACTGCTCCCATTCGTGAGGGCACCACCCTCACGACCTAATTATCTCCCAAAGCCTTCACCTTCTAACTTCATCACATTGGGAGTTAAGGTTGCAACATACAAATTTTAGGAGGATGCAAACATTCAGTCCATAACACAAGGGAAGGAACCTAATTCCTATAATAGGAAATAATATCTAAACTAAAAAATTAGCAGTAGAATGTGTTAGTTAAATATGGAGACAGCAATAAGAGTTATGTGATTGCCTTAGAAGGATGAGGATGGGGATAAGGAAAAGTAGACAAGCATTATAAGTTGTTCAGTTGCTTTTTAAAACTAGAACTAAATATATTACTTTGATTAAAATAAAACTTTAAATTTAAATTTATAATAAAGGAACACAATCAAAATATATTTTCCTTCAGATTATTCAAACTATATGCTCATTTCTTTATGATTCAGAATTATTCACAAGATCTTTTTTCCCCCTAGTTTCTCATACTGAAATAGTAAAAAGTTTATTCAGGGCTGGTATTTCCCTCAGAAACAGGGTGGGAGAGTCTTCTCGGCTTGCAGTTAGAGGATATCTTCCAGATTTCAAGTGATGGGCTTTGGGCAATATCAATGACCCAGTAGCTTGAAGGACATAGGAACAGAGATGGGGGTCTGGAAATCCTGGAAGGTGGGGAGTAGGAGGTTTTAACATCAAGGATTTCTTCTTCATTTCTAGGAAAGCTCCTATTTCAGGGTTAAACCAATTGTGGGGCAGCTTCCTTCCAGGAGTGGAAATGATCTCCGTGATTGTTCGAGAAAAGGTTTCTTTACTGTCTTTGTTGGCCCTGTGCTTCCAATGCCCTGAAGCCTCTAGGCCCATTCCTCAAGAGCAACTCCACGCCTCATCAATAAATGAGCCCTCTTAGGAAGCTGCCTCTCTGTAACTACTGCCACTGCAAAAGCTGGCTTTTTGGTATTACTGCCCACATTCATGGATTTGTGGGTCAGATTTCTCTAGGCAGCTCCCTGCTGCATCAATTAAGACATCTCAGCCTCAGGAAATGACTTGTCCAGAGCCACTGCCACAGCGCCTCTGGAGGCTTCAGCTCAGTTCCTCCAACCACCCAGAACTCTGACCTCAATTCTGCTCACAGTCAGTGGGAAAGAGGATCCAAATTCTGCTTTCTCTGTCATCCTAAACTCTTGTCTACAGTATGGGTCTCTCTGAGTCCTAAAGTTGTCCATAAGCCCCAAGATTTCTTCCACTTGCTTGTCACAAAATCACAAAACGTCCTTATAGCATGCCACCGGGGGGTCCTTGCTTTTGACCACCATTGAATCCAGTAGGAATTCCTCAGGTTTTCTGACATTTGAATAGCTCTATTTCCCAGCTGTCAGTGCTAGTGAACAGGTTTTTTCATGAATTTTTAAATTTTCTAGATCTTTTCCACGGAGGAATAGCTAAATATTGTCAGCCTAAATCAGCATACAGCAAGTATCAGTTAAAATTAGGTTCACTCGCCAAGGTCGCGCCTTTGCGCTCCAGCCTGGGCAACAAAGCAAGACTCCGTCTCAAAAAAAAAAAAAAAAAAATTAGGCTAAGCAGTTGCATGTTACAGAAACTCAAAACAAGGGTACTTAAATGAGATTAAGGTTTACTCCCCCCTCACATAAAGAAGTAAGGAGTTCAGCAACCAGAGAACCAGAGTCGATGTAGTGACACCTTTTATATCATTGCTCTGCCATCCCTACGAAATGGTGCTTGTACTCATGATCCAAAATGGCTGCCAGGACTCCATCCAACAAATCTGTTTTCCGGGCAGAAGAATGGAGGAAGGAGCAAGAAACTGTGCTCACATTTCCTTTAGAGGACACCTTCTAGGGCCACATCCAATTCTACTTATTTCTCATTGGTCAGAGCTTCGTAATGTGGCTTCATTGAGCTTCAGAAGAAGTTGAAAACCAATATTGGAGTCATTAAAAATCCTTGGATATGAAATGAAAAACAGTGATTCTAAGGAAGCTAAATGTATTTGATAAAAAGTTTTTTTAAGGACAAAATAAAAGAAAAAATAGAAATTATAAAAAGTATGCGACTTCTGGGATTTACAGGCTTCGATCTCTCTATCACGAGATTAAACTACAGAATAAAATCAGACAATATAAAGAAAAGCAGAAAGAAAAGGGATGGAAAAAGTATTGCTTTCACAAGAAATCTAATCTTCTATTCTTAGTGTCTCTTCATTCTATCTATTTACATACATATTACATAATTTCTGTTAAACCCAATTCTCAATATTAGAATAATTTTTTACAACTTAGTGTCTCCCAGGCTTGAGCAAAAATCCTAGCACAAGGGAGAAACCTAGTAAGTTTATATTAAATGGACGGTTGGATAAGGGGATATATGACTGTCGACAGCATGAGTTTAGCAAAACACATTGCCATGCACTAGTTATCAAGTATTAACAAAGCTTCTATTGTATGCATATTATAGTAATGATTATGACAAAGAAAATAGAATCCATGGATTATGCTATCCTGGATCTTAAAGTAGAATCTGTGGAGTACTTTTAAACCAACATCAGGAAGCAAGTATAATCACCAGTCTAACTTTCTACCACCAAATGTCTGACATGAGCCAACAGCCAGCCATGAATCCATATTACATATAGGTTACAATGAATACATTATAGAATTCAATGGAAATAGAGAAGGTGCCAGAAAATGTAAAGTCTGTTTACTAACCTCTGGTTATTTTTTACAAGACTGATAGATTCTGATAAACTTCAACCTCATAGCATGAGACATCTGTAATGACTTTCTTATGCTGCACCCAGTTGTGGGGCGATTGCTGTGACCTTTGAGTACGCACTTAGATCCTAAGATGTTTACAATAGTTCTCAAAGATAAAGTTTCACAGCATAGGTTAATTTTATCCTTAAAAATTATTATCCTTCCTTTGATTTATCTTTCCTTGTACTCTCATTAAATGACCTAGCTCTTCACTGGCCCCAACAACATCTTAGCAGACTCAGGGCTCAAGCTTCATAGGTGAAAACCATCACCCTAACTCTGTGATGCACCTTATGAACTCACAAATCTCCTTTCTGCCAACTTATAGGAGCTAGGTGACAAAACTAGGAATAGAGACTTCTAGGAATTGAGACTTCTGAACAAACTAGAAATGGAGCCCGAGTCATCAGCATTTTCACCTGTGGCCCTGATAAGTGGCACCCTCATCTGACCCACACAGCAACCCAAGTACAGCATATGGGTCAACCACACTCTAGAAATGGTTTCTGCCTCTCCTGCAGCCTGATACTTTGATTGCATTGTGGTTGCTCTAAAAGCCCTAATACAGAGGTCTGTGGATTCTTCTCTTTACTATGCGGTTTGAAACTGGGCAGAGGGGAGGAGACTTCGGAAAGAAAAATTGCCCAGTGCGCCGTGACAGCTGTATAATTAGGCAAGGCAGGCCAGTGCTTACAGCATTTGTCATTCAGCAATTGTTCACACTCCAGGTTCCATAGCCAGGTGCTTCGAAGAATGAGGTGATGATAATGTCTTTATGTGACTTGAGCCCAAAGGACATTCAAGCTCACATAGGCGAAGCAGGAACCCCAGCAGAATAAAATGAGCACTGCTTTACTTTCTTAGTGTTCACCAGTCTATTTGTCATAAAAAGTAAATGCACTTTGGTAGGAACTTTTAAACATTACTAAAAACACGTTCAACCAAAGGAGGGCTGTAGGAAAGATTTGTAAACATTTGTTCCCAATTTTTTCCCCAAAATTTGAGATTTGTGATTTGTGACTCCCTTTGTGAAAAGAGGGATTGAATGCCAATGAATAGAAAGTGGACTGGAGGGATGGAATCTGCATAAGAGTTATTGAAGCAGCCTGCGCTTCTTTGGTCTTCTATTTATCCAGAAAAAGAGGAATCTCTCCCATTTTTAAAAAGCTTAAATGTCATAACTCTGACTGTTTCGTTAAACTGTACAATTCTCCCATGAATCGTGATCTCCTAGCACCCTGTGTACACAGAAGAAGACCTCGGTTTCTCACAGTTAAAATTCAAATAACCATGTCTGCAACACAGGTCGTTTTTACCCTAAACCATGTTATCTCTTGGACTTATTTTCAATTTGTTTTTTTAATGATGCTCATCCTTTTTATTGTCTACTGGTAACCAAGATTACCTTTCCTCCATCTTGCCTTCTTTTACTCTCAGTTTAACTGTACATCATGCAGTCATCCACTGAACTTTACTAGACTCCTTGTAGTAATGCCAGACTGTGCCTGAGGATCTGTGGATCACAGTGCAATTGTTTTGGATTTTAATCTGCGATTGACTCCTATTTTGAGAAGGAACCCAGCTCAGCCTCATCTCTTAAAACTGTCCTTCTCCACCTTCAATGGTAGGCTCACAACAGCCTCTGTTTTTACTATGTGAACTCTGACTCTCATGCCTGATGGGCATCAAATCCAAGGGTATGAATCAGGTTCTCTGGAAGGGAACTGAGGATGCTTGAGCATCTGAAATGAGACTGGAACTGGCTTATATAAATTTGGGAGCTGTAAGGCAGCCGTGCATGTAAAGATGCCGGAATAGCCGGTGTACTGAGAGAAATGATGAAGTGCAAATACAGGAGGCAATACAAGAGACATGCGGCCACAGAAACGCAAGAAAAGACCAAGAGGACGCTGACTAGGCTCTGGACTGCATTCCAGTTGCTTGTTCCAGTCCTTCAGGGCCAACCACTCTTCCTATTCATGAATTCTGAGAGATTCCTCTCTGATCTAGTAACAATATCTAAGGTTTTATTAATTCTACTTCAGTTAATTGGAGTAGGATGCCGTTGCTTCTTGTGACAGGGAGGTGAAAGTTTTATTATTTGAAAATTTCCAGAGAGGAAATTTTCTTTGTTTTGAAAAATATCTTGATGAACTGCTTGGACTAGAAGGTTAGATCTGAGGACACAGCAGGTGTTAAAGCAACAAAGGAGAACACTTAACTCGTCTGCATAAACAGGATTTTTTTTTCCTTCTGAAAGAGAGGGAATAAAGAGAAGAAGCAAGCAGAGGAAATAACAAAAATAACTAATAAATGGTTTGAGGCTGAATGACTTTTCAGAGTACGGACAATGAAAATTCCCTGGTGGTGGAGTTGTTAGACCATTTTAAGGATGGTGACATGTAATGTTCAGTTTGAAATTCTTTGTTGCTGCCATGAAAACATTCAATTTGTCTACATCCCACCCGCCTATCCTCTGCGCCGATGTCTGCTTTGTTTGCATATGAATTTTTGTAGAAATTGAGCAATGAGCTGTTTCATAAATGTTTATTTTGGTACAGAATGTGTATAGCAAATGGGAGAGCAGGGGCCCAGATGTATAGGTAAGCATGATCTCTTGTTCTGATCTTCTATTTTCTACATAGTGTGAAATAAAGATTAAAGACCATTTTATTAGAATGCAAGGGACTGATGGGGTTCGGGGCATGCCACCCCAAAGTATGGCACCTTGGCATTGGAGAAAACCACAGAAGCAGGAAGGTCTCTCTGACCTTCTCCTGCCCTCTCACCATAAAACTTAGAAAGAATTCTCTGACCTTCACCAGAAGTAGGTCGTAAGACCCTCATGTAAGAGCTGCCCACCCAGAAAAGAGGAATGTCCTTATCTCTGAAGACATGGGAACACAGAGTAGAATCTGAACAAACAGGCCTTGCTAAGTCCCCGGTGAAACCCCAGTTTATTATCGTTAGATCATACCCCTTTTATCCAAGCATACTTTTCCACAGCTCTCCACTTCATCAAACTTAGCATAAAAACATACTGGCTTTCCCATTTCTGTGGGGTCTCATTTTCTTATGGCTCCCACATCACATAAAATTTATATTAAATAAATTTGTATATTTTTCTTTTGTGAATCTGTTTTTTGTTATAGAGGGCTTGACCATGAACTTAACATGGGAAGAAAAGATACTTGTCTCTTAGAGGACTGTAAGTCCCTCGTAACCCTGCATTACATGTGCAACCCCAAGAATCTTGATTCAAATGTAGCCCCTCCTCTGCTCATAAGTTCATTTTGGATATGTAAATCTGAGTTAAATCTAAAAGCAACAATCCAAACACATTACTTGCAACGGCTTTTGAGGTCTTCAGGTGTATAGGGTGTAATCCGCTAGAGAGATAAACAAGATGAGTACCACAGTTAAAATACATTTACTCAATGGTTCCATGAACTTGGAGCAAAGATATGTTAGATTTGTGATTTCATTTCTTAAAAAAAGTTTTACTTTTGCTTTTCAAAAAGATTCAGACTAGCATTCCTTTAAATAGCAAACTCATCTAATGCATTTAAAATATGATTTAGTTTTGCAAAACGAATTTACAAGTAACTTTTCAGGCATCCATCTATTTACTAAAGAGAGGTATGTCTGTTATGAAAAGCACTGTACTTAAGTACCTTAAGGAATAATCCCAGTCCATTATTTCTTAGCCTATCTAGTGGGTGTTTGTATTTGTTTTATAGCTTTTTCCCCTCTTTGATTTACATTTACGAGACAACTGGAGACAGATGATGTGAGATGGTTTTTATTTTTATGAGCGAAAGGAACCACATCAACCACAAGTAGCAGAACACTGCCACGACTGAATTATGAAGGTCTCCCCAGCAGAGGGAAAATTAAAAGGGCATTTTGTCCCTACTTTCACTTGTTATGGTGAAATCATGCCCTACAGATGTCTACCAAGCAATTCAATTGTAAGTATGCAGCTGTGGTTGCATCTTCATTCACTTGCTTAAGTTACCAACACAACTTGAAACTAATTTAAATGTATTAAACTTCCATTCAGCTTTTGGGTGTTCATTTGTGATTATCTGCTGGCAACTGATATGGCTCTAATTAATCAGACAAAATAATGAATAATGGCCTAATTCATCTTTTTTCATGACTCCCTGAGCATATACCGTCATGAGACTATTGAGTTAAAACTTAGATATGCCCACCCTTCCTAAAATTAAAGTGGGCTTCGAAACTTACTACCAGCTACACAAAGCTAGGTACAAATATATTTAATTGACCAGAAAATCTAACCCCATAACTATTACTGCCCTATCTTGCCTACACACACACACACACACCCCTCCATTTCTCAGAGGGTGCTGATTGGCAGCACATGAGCCAAACCTAGCCCACAGATGAGCTTTATTTGGTTTGCATGTTAGAAATCACATTGTTATAAAAGCCTATGCATTAACATTTGAAAATTAGGAGATTTCACATAGAAATTCACATTTCTAACTTCTCTTGAAAAAAAAAAAAAGAAAATCTGGCAAGACTGGATTGGAATTCCACAGGGCAATTATCAGCTGGAGCTGAGACATAAATTCCCTCGGTTGGGACTTTAGGCTCTCTCAGCTTTGCCGCAGTCCCCCCATACTCCATTACCTTTCTTTCACCCAGTCCACAGCACACATTTACCCTCCTAGCAGATGTTTGAGTTTGTAATTCCTGTGCTACATTGTTCTCCTTCTCTGTGTTTTTGGAAAGCACCTTCTCTTTAGATGCACTAAATGCTAAACTGCTTCCCCCACCTCAGGAAATCTGAGCCTCCATTTTCACTTTCAGTGCTTTTACATATTTAAATAGGTATCCCTATATATAACTTAGCCTTAAAATTTAGGTGTGTGGGACTTTAACACACAGACTCTAATAATAAACATATTTAGGCATTTTTCTCCCTGCAACACAAGTTTTCATCTAATTTATGTTAATCGAATGAATTTTAAAAGTAGCATAATTGTTTAAAATTGGTCTGCTTGGGGAACTAACATTGAGGTAGAAAAAAAATCACTTCACATATAGCTGAACATCTCATTTGAAGAGTGTTGTTTCTGTGTGTAACAAAAAGTAAACATGTTTATTAAAAATATGTAAGAGGCCAGGAGCCGTGGCTGATGCTTATAATCCTAGATCTTTGGGAGGCCGAGGTGAAAGGATCACTTAAGCTCAGGAGTTATGCCCAGCCTGGGCCAACATAATGAGACTTCGTTTCTACAAAGAATTTTTTAAAATTATCTGAGCATGCTGGCACGTGCCTGTAGTCCCAGCTACTTGGGAGGCTGGGGTGGAAGGATCATTTAATCCCAGCAGTTCAAGGCTGCAGTGAGCCATGATTGTACCACTATACTCCAGCTTGGGCAAGACTCCATCTCAAAAATATATATATTTTTAATATATATAATATATACACACATATATATAATATATACTTATATATAATATATACTTATATATTATATATACACGTATATATAATATATACTTATATATTATATATATATTATATATATATACACGTATATATAATATATAAGTATATATTATATATACTTATTTATATATTTATATAAGTATATTTATATAAGTATATATAAGTATTATATAAGTATTATATAGTAGTACATAAGTATTATATAAGTATATATAATTATATATATATATAACCCTAACCCTAACCCTAAACCTTACTTTTATATATATATATACTTATATATACTTATATATATATAAGTATATATAATATATACGTATATATATTATATATAGTGAGTGAGACAGGAATGTATATGAATAAAAGAAATATATGTATATATATACAGGAATATAAGGAATATATAGAGAAACATATATGACTCATATATATATAAGAGAGGTCTGTATTAATAATAGTGCTATGTTTGGAAACTGATGGTTGTTATTTTTAGAAAAAACTCAGTGTATTCAAATGTTGGATATAGTCAGTGATGTTAGGGTTTTGAAGCTATACAATTATAGCTATGAAACACCTCTCCTATTGACATTCTCTGACAAAAATAATAATAACCTTGTCGTGGTGCATCTGAAATACATAATCTCCATTTCTTTCTTTTCCCATTGAAAGAATTGTCCTATGATATATGCTTTCCAGAGAGTTCTCTTATTGTTTCTTGGCAAAACAAACTGTATCAGAGGACATAGTTTGTATCACAAAAATGTTATTTTTACTCCAATTAAGGGTTGTAGTATTTTATGTCAAGATTGCCCTGGTATATTCAAAGTATGCCTCATTGAGAAAATTTTCTCTTTGCATAACTCTTCAGGTTGTTATGTACTTAGTAAAGTACAAGTGAATGACATAGCAGTATGTGAGGAACTCCAAATTCCCTAGAAACCATCTCCTTACTTTTTTGTCACCAGAAAAATGGTGAAATACACTATTACCCTCCTTTTTCAAATAAGACTAAGATTCTGAGTAATTTGCTGAGGTCATATGGCAAATTAACGGAGGAGACTGGTTCTCTGGCTTTAAGGCTCAGTGTGTGTCTAGATCTGGATCTTCGTTACCTCCTGATCTAAAACTCTTCATAAACCAGTCTTAAGTAAACTTGTCTGCTCCGAAGGGTTACAACTGTTGGTCCCATAGACTAATGCAGAAAAAATGGACTGTGTTAATGTCATCTCTTTAAGCTTCAGTACTCTCAGCTGTAAAATGGGTGTGATGATTCTTCCTTACTGTGGCAAGACTTAAATTTAAGACAATATACTTGTTAAGTCTCTTTGTTATAGTAGCCTAACCTTGCCCTAAGACAACAGTTAGAGTAGTTATTACCTACTACTAACTCACTCGTTCTCAAGCTTGAGCATGTGTCAGAGTCACCTGGAGGGCTCATGAAAATGCAGATTATTACGTTCCATCTCCAGAATTTCTAACTCAGTAGCTCTGGAATGAGACCTGAGAATTTTGGTTTCTAACAATTTCCCAGGTGACACTGATACATCCTAAGCACACACTTTGAGAATTCTGCCCTAACTAACATTGTCAGTAAATCGCTAAGTATAGCCTGGCAGTGTAGACCCTCACAAAACTCATCATCATTTCATTATTTATTGGCCATCCTATGCGCAAATACAAAATGACTTACGGGCCTTCCAAAGGAATCCTAATAAAAGTAAGGCTAAAATAGCAATATAAAAATGTACTTTAATCTCCGCTTTATTCAGTAAAGCATACATTTGGTGGAGTAATAAGTTATTAACTTTTCACAGCAATATATTGATTTCACCGCTGTTTTCTTTTTATCTATAGATAATTCTGTGAGTTCCCAATTCTAGTGATTCAATGAAACCCATAAAAATAGGTTCACCTATTTACTAAATATAGTTCTTTGATATAGATGATCCTTGATTGATTTTTATATTATATGAGAGAATAAGTAACTCTGGCATTCAGAAATGACAATATTCTCCTATCTTTGATCAAATTAGAAAGCCATGTGCATTAAAATGGGTTAAAAGGAAAAACTTGCATGTCTAAAGTTAAAGCATGACTAATGCGTTGAAGAAATTGTTCAACACAGTTCATCCTGGTAAAAATATTACTTCTGTAGCCAAGCCAAGGTTAGTGTCGGGTTAGGTTATCTGCAATTCAAGTGCCAGATGTGCGTGTGTGTGTGTGCACGCATGTGCGTGCTTGAGCACGTGTACGTGAACTTCCCACTAGAGGGTTATAGACACTCACAGGAATGACTTTACAGAAAGTTGTCCTTACATAGAGCTAAGTTTAATACTCTTTGGGTAACTTTGTCCCCACTTCATTTTTTCCCTATCTTCTCTTGACACTCGTCGTTGAGCCAGCTACTGTTTTTCTCCAACCTGCTAGGTTTTCAATAAATTTCCTGTTGTGCATTGGGATAGCAGTGTTCCTGGAAAATTGCTTTTCGTAGGTGAGCTGCACCAGTATCTCCCATATACACTTTTTAAAATAATTTAGAGACAAGTAACAAAGTGCTTACAGTGCAAAAATTTACTCCAGAAGACTCCAAACCATTCACTGACATTTTACAGTTTAATCCCAGCTTCAATTTCATAACTGGTGCTCAAAACAGAAGAGGCGCACTGAGGTGTACACTTGAAAAGACATTTAAAGCCTTTCATTTGGAGATTTCAAAAACATTAACCAACATACTCAAATGCCCTTAAAATTCATATGGAGAACTAATACACTATGTTCTTTAAAAAAAAAAAAAAAAAAAAAAAAAAACCTTGTGGAATTAGAGCTGAGAATCCTTCAATAACCAGTTGTGAAAGTAAAAAACATAAGAATCAGAATTGTCACGGGAGCCTGTGATTTGTAAGAAAACCTTGAGAGTTCAAGTAGTTCATTTTCTAGCCTTCAAACAGTACTCTATTAAAAAACTGCCAATTTTAAAAAATATATTTTTTGGCCTCTGTATCAAATTGTCTGATGGATGGTGTGTAAGCAAAATGACAATAATCATAGTTAGCACATAGACACCATTTTAACACTTTTACATGTATTTAATTCATTGAGGCTTCATGATACACCTGTAATTTAAGTGTATCCCCATTTTCCAGTTGAGGAAGCTGAGGCTCAGAGAAGTTAAGTAACTTGCCCAAGGTCACAAAGCATGTGTGTGGCAGAGCCAGGATATGAACACGAGCATTATAGGTCAAGAGACTCTTGCCATGGAAGCCTCTTGGGGAGTGGGGAGAAGAATCACAAAAACTCCTCCCGAAATTGCATCATGGAAAAAATAATCCGATACATTTAAAGTAACCCTAAAGCTCTAATTACTTCTTCGTTTACTTGATTGGTGATCAAATTCCCTTCTAGCCTTCTGGGGAGGTTACTAAGAAGCTATGACACAAACACCACCAGCTACCCACAATCTGTGTTTCCTTTGGTGACCAGTCAGCTTCTTTATATTGTCTTCTTAAGGCCCAAATAAGGGCAAGGATTAGAGGCCTCCTGGCCTCCCAGCTGCTGCTCTCATACTCCCTGTCCTCTGGATCTCACAGCTCTGGTGGTCCAGGAGCAAAGAGAGAAAAATCACAAAGATGAAATTCTTCCCTGAGTTGAGAATAATGAGAAAGGTGTTGTGTCAACAACACAAACAAGGAAAAGTTGCCCTGAATCCCATCATTTATGCCCCCTGAGATCATCTGTGTAGCTCACAGCATACAAAAAGACCTGATGTTGAGCTCAGTTCCTGCCTTTGATGACACACAAATAGAAGTCAATTTTACACATTCACTGATTCTCCACATATTTATTGACAGTCTAGGGTAGGCTGGGTACTAAGATGGTTAAGATCCAATACTCATGCTTGAGTTCTGAGTTTAGACTGCTCTATGCCTTGGTTTCTTCCAGCCGGAAACAATAACTCTATACCCCACTTCTCCCCAGAGGTGCCACTCAGATTTCTGAGATATGAAAAATGTGGGAAGGAAAGTTCCTGCAAAGCCCCAATCCTTAGAAAAGCAAACTTCGCCGCCACAGTACACAGCACACACTCCAGAGTCGCCCATTGCCAACAGGCCAGCCAAGACACAGACTCCACCGGAGCGCTGGTGTCTCCAACTAATGGCCCGCTTTCATTCCTCTCTTCCCTGAACACTTTTAAACTTTTTTCTGGAGTCAACCCAAACTCAGCAGAGTTTCCAGATCTGTGGAAGTACAGCATGCAAGCAGCCCATTTCCTGACAATGCTGCAAAGCTTCAGGGAACACATTTTGTTATTTCCACATTTATGAGTCAAGCTGAAGCCCTGAACCTGACTCCTGACCAGGCTGTCCCCCACCTGGGAATGCTGCAAAGCTGAGGGGGGAAGGAAAATGGCACTGAACATGCACAGAGAAGTTAATAAAAATAAATGTTCCAATGGCTGCCTAGACAAAAACATTGGCATCCAAGGGGTCTCTAAAAGGGACTGAGGTGTGAAGATCATTTTCTGAGCCCTATTCAGGTTCTTCCCATGATAACTTGTTCTGGTGTGATTGCAAAGAAAGCAAAGTTTCAGGAAATGTGGCTCAAACTAAATGACACATTCTCTAAATGAACCTTTTCTTTCTTAAAGCAACCTGAAAAATGAAGCAAAGGGACTATACATTATTTCATCAATAATAAAAATGTTTAAGCACTTAATATGCACACAGCATCATGCTAGGCACTGTGAATGGTACAAAGAGAAATGTAACCATTGAACAAATTATTTTCAAATACCTACAAGGTGTCAGACATTGTATTAGCTATCGGAAATGAAAACACAGGTAACGCATGGCTCTAGCCCATTCTGCAATTTTTAATCAGTTTTAAAGCAACAATGGGAAAAAGAAAACTGGTCATGCTGACTGCTGGTATTTAGGAATAAGGAGAAGTTCTTAGATCTACTATACTTTTTCCATTTTCTTGAGAAATAATGTTGATTGGTTGAGGTGGTTTGTCAAGAAAAGAAAGTCGTCTTTTAGTTGATAAGGTAATTAGGAAGGAAGGAGTCCACTCCACTTCCAAGCTGTAACTAAAATTTTCAGTGGAGGAAAACAAATTTATAAAGATGAGTCAAAACCAAAACTGAACACTGATAGAGTGCTGGTTCCTACTGAACTTCACTGCAACAATACAGCTGATGCTGTCAGTAAGGATGGTGCTGCCTCATATTGCAAGTTGGTGTTTGTTATAGATATGTAATGCAATGTCAAGTAGGACTTTTCTTGTTGCACTGACATTTACCTAAGACCCAATCTGAGCACCTGACAGTAAATTTATCACATTCTAATTTCAAGGAAATTCCCTAAGAGTTATTGAGAGGCACCAGAGCAGAGCCAGCCCTGCCAACAGCCACCTCTCTCTCCTCCCACTCTGGTTCCTATGAAAAGACGACTGAGAAGTGAGAAGTGTGGGACTTCCCACTCAGAAGTGGGAGTGCAGCATTACTCTATGCAGTTAGTTCCTCCCTTCTTCATTGCAAAAGGGTTGTGCAGTGCTACATTTTAGTGCGAAAGAAACCCCTTGCAGGAAGCTGTAAGACAGTGAATGGCTGAAGGGCAAGAGCTATTATGGTATATAGGAAAATAAGCTGGAATCAGAGTTCCCCAGTCAGGAAACTGTGGAGTGAGAAGCTTCTACAGAGACTCTTGAAGAACCACATAGGCAACCCACAACAGAAGGAACACTTAAGATATCTGCAACGCAGCCGGGTGCAGTGGCTCACGCCTGTAATCCTAACACTTTGGGAGGCCGAGGCGGGCGGACCACCTGAGGTCGGGAATTCAAGACCATCCTGACCAACATGGGGAAACCCTATCTCTACTAAAAATACAAAATTAGCCAGGCGTGGTGGCGCATGCTACTCGGGAGGCTGAGGCAGGAGAATTGCTTGAACCCAGGAGGCTGAGGTTGCGGTGAGCCGATATCGCGCCATTACACTGCAGCCTGGGCGACAGAGCGAGACTCCGTCTCAGAAAAAAAAAAAAAAAAAAAAGATACCTGCAACACAGAGAGGCCATTAATGGATACCATAATCACCCAGCGCCTTCCCACCTCCCACTTGGACAAGAGGGGAAGAACACAGAAGAGAAAGAGGTAAGATGATCTTATAATTTGTTGTGCATACCAAGACAAATGGTGAGAGTTGCTATTAATAACTACACCAGGACAACAGGCATAAACTGGAACTATCCCTGGAAAAGTGGCTGGGCGCAGTGGCTCATGCCTGTAATCCTAGCACTTGGGGAGGCCGAGGTGGGTGGATCACCTGAGGTCAGGAGATAGAGACCAGCCTGGCCGACATGGTGAAAACCCATCTCTACTAAAAATACAAAAGTTAGCTGGGCATGGTGGCGGGCACCTGTAATCCCAGCTACTCGGGAGGCTGAGGCAGGAGAATCCCTTGAACCAGGGAGGCGGAGGTTGCAGTGGGCCGAGATCGTGCCACTGCACTCCAGCCCAGGTGACAAGAGCAGAACTCTGTCTCAAGAAAAAGAAAGAAAGAAAGAAAGAAATACACAAAATACACAGTAAAAACACACAAACAGTAAATGAAGTTCAAAATCCATCCTTCTCTGCTTCTCAATGGGGGATCTGGAGTGAGCGACTTAACCTCTCTGAGCATCAGTTTCCATGTCTGTAAAACAAGAATCATATAATTGCCTTAGAGAGTTGTGAAGTGATATAAAAGCATCTAGAGAGATGCTTGACAACAAGGGCTAATTGTGTTGTGGTCAACAAAGGCTAGTCTTCAGTTTCCCTCTCCTCTACTCTGCCATCATAACACTCCAGAGTTCTCTGGAGAAAGAATGAGATGTGCTTAACAGACAAGACATAGCACAATGAACATTAATTTCTTTCCTACTGACCCAGATGCTGAGCTGCTGTGCAGCTGGACTCTTGACAGTGCCCAAACTCTGTGCCATTTCATGTCCATTTTTTGCTTTCCTACATGGTCTAAGACCTTTGAACCAAACTCATTGTGAATGTGTTTGTGTGTGTGTGCACACGTGCACACACACACACATTAGGGGCAGAGGAAGGAGAAAGTTCTAGGACCCCAAAAATTATACCCCCCCCCCCAATGCTCACACCCCCGCCCAACTCAGAAAAGAAAACAGGTGAAAATGATTTAATCTCAGGAATGGTAAGAATTAGTTCTTGTGGGGTTCAAGCAAAAGGAAATTCATATATGCTTTCTTTCTCCAACAAAATCTCAGGCACAGGCAAAATGGATTTAAAATAAAATCAGGTTGAGTATATAAAGAAAAAAAAAGGTAAGCAAACAAACAAGGCACAACGTTCAATCAGAGAACTATGTAGGGAAGAAGTAAATCCACCTTCCTCGTGTGGGAGATAGGAGTGGGTATTTATGACCACATAGTAATGAATGAGTCTAAACTCCTCTCTTGCATCCATGTGATTTCTTTAGACATTTCCCAGTAGAATATATTTGATATTGTGCAGTGGCCATTCACCTTCTCACCCAATAACACGTGTTGAGCAACCTCCATGTGCCAGACACTATACCAGGTGTTTTACATATTTTGGCACATTACAGTACATATATGGCATTGTAGGGCACAAGAGAGAAAATGGTTGACTGCATCAAGGTAGGATTTGAAGCAGAAGCAAATCCTAAAAGAAAGACCATTATAGTATTAAAAGGTGAGAAAACTTGGATTAATGTCTCTAAATTTTATGAGAAAAATGACACTGCCCAATTCATGCTCCTTCTTATTTTAAGGGTGTCACGGGTATTAGCAGGTTAAGGTATATTACTGTAGCAAATATTTGATGACCAAAATGGGACAATATTATCTGCTTCTGCATGTGCTTGTTTCTCTATAGCAGAAATGGGGCATAATAATAGGTGATTATGCGATGCTCTGCAGAACCCCACTTGGGCCTTGAGTAATGCCCATTCAGATAAGAAAATTGAGACCCAAAGAGGTTAAGTAATGCTAGCACAAAGCACTCTGAGATGAGATACAAAACCAGCCTCTTCTATTAATTCCCAAAACCTACTCCACTGGGAAGGTTGGTAAAAGTGTGGGGACATTATGGTCATCAAAACTGAAGCTGGGGATTACTATTGGCATTTAGTGAGCCAGGGCCAAGAAGGTCAAAACTCACGTTATGCACAAACATGCCCACATATCAAAGAAGAGAGATTCAAGGGAGAAGAAGTGTATGTGTTGCTCAAATGCCAACAATATACCAGATGAAGCAATAGGGGCATCATATATAATTAACTTAATATTTAAAACAACATGTGAACTCTTTCATTAAAAATGTCAAGAGCTCCCTGCTGAAATATTTTTCTGAGTTTTAATCAGCGTCCATGATCAGACTCTTTCCAATGGACTAGGCATGTCTGTCTCTCAAATTGATTTCACAGGACATTTTAATTTTTTAAAAAGTATTTAAGGGGAATCGTCTACTTTCACCATCATTTCATAAAACAACAAATGCTGAAACATCAAACAAGCAAGAAGAACATAATCTCAGGAAAAAAGACAGTCAGTATGGAATGCATTTAGTGTTATGAAAAGCTCACTCAGTTGTTCCAGTTCTTCTCATTCTACCACAGGGCACCAACAACCTCACCATGGGCTGCATCCAACCTGTGGATCAGCTTTGGTGACCACTGACCTAAACGTCTTGGGCAATTTGCTCTTGGCAAAACCACTTTTTAAAGAGTGGGGCCAAAAAGTCAAAGACTGAGCTATGGCTCAGGCAAAACAGGAAGATCCAAAACCAGTGACCCAGAGCAAAAGAAAGGGAGTTGAGAAGGAATGACAAAAGGCAAAAAGAAAGTAGCCATCTTTGAGAAAAGGGTATCTGAGGTTTCCTAGAGCTTTCCTCTGCTTTTTAATAGGATTAGTAGAATCAGAAACCCTTCTTTTGGAAAATCCATGCCTCAGGAGTACCATTTTCTTTTTTCTACACTTTGTCAGAAGCCTAAAGTCCTTCCTCTCACAGTCTTTCGTGATTTCCATTGGTTGGTTTTTTTCTTCCTTTTCTATTAGCCCTTTTGTTCCTCCCTCTTTCCCCAACATAATGGCAATGTTTTCTTGGCCATTTTGTGGTAATCTTCTGGCTCAGCAGTAGCTTCTTACAAGTCTGCAGTTTAGTGAGAGGTAGAACAGAGGTTACTAGCCACAGAATGGAAAGTTCACAGGCTTGGGAGTAAGTGGAGGAGGCTGGTTTTTCCTCCCAGCTGAGAATGCTTCATGGTAGCATTACTTAACCTCTTTGATCCTGAGCTTTCTTATCTGCAAGATGTGTTTAGCATTACCTCATCCATTGCAATGAATACTAAATAAGACTATAGATATTCAGCATAACTTGCATTCAATAAATGTTAGCTGCTTCTTCACCTCCCTTTTCCCTGTCTTCTACATTGTTCACAATCGTTCTGTCATTTGCCTGTGTGACAGGTCTTTCCCAGTCTTTCAATTGATTCTTCTGTCATTTTATACTCACTGTGACTGAAGACAAGCAGGCTACAATCCAAAGACTCACCCAAGACCCTCCATCTGTATGATTTTCAAGCACAGCTAACAACTCACAGTCTGCTTCCTCTCGCCTCTCAGATATTTTCCCACATGAAAGGTCCTCAGCTTCATCTCAACATACTAAATGATTGTTGTCAACGGTCCATTCAACCACAAGCCTCAGCTGACGTTGTCTCAATATGATTTTGTCTGGATTGACTTGTTGGGATTGTTTTTGTTTGGTTTGGTTTTTGTTTGGTTTTGCTTTCTTTTGGATATTGGATAAAACCTCATTTAAAAGAAATATCTATTAATTCAACCGAAGGGAACTAACTCTTCTTTCTGCCTATATTTCTTCTAATAAGAAGAAGTAAATGTATACACAGTTCTTATGGAGGGGAAGTAAATCTTGGCAGTTAGCCAGACTATATGAGTTTCAATTCCAGCTCCACCTATGTTACTATGGGAATTACTCAATTTCTCTCTGCCTCAGTTTTCCTGTCCATATTATAGTGATAATAATAGTATTTGACTTATGGAGTCACTATAAGGAATCAAAAGCTAATACAAGTGAAATGTTTAAGACATCACCTGACACGTGGCAGTGCTCCAAAATTATCACTATTATTAATCAGTAGCTTTTCAACAAACAATTAGTGAGTACCCACTAAGTCTTAGGCATAGTCCTAGAGACTATAAAAGATTAAAAATGGATCACCTCCTCTTCTTAGCTTTCAGAGATCTTATAACTGGGAAATAAGAGAACTTATTGAAGTTGAAGGCTATTTATTAGCTTACAAAGCACTTCTCACAGTCATGTGGTATAATTACTATCCTCATTTTTTGCAAGGAGCAAATTAGGTGCCCTGACCTGTGGCACTTAGCAAAAATGCATCACGCCAACACTGTTTCCAGGATATTTTACTCCAGAGACCCATGCTATTTAACTTCTAGAACATCAAGGCTCACAAGATGTATCAGAGAGTATCTCACATTTTTTTTTAAGAATTTACTTAGCTCCTAATAATTCAAGTAAAGCCATAGGACTTATGCAGATAGTATCTCTGTCTCCAATTAAGAGGGTCTAAGTAGGCCAGGGCATTCTCCCACTTCAGGAAGGAGTACCTGGAAACATGAACATTGCTCTTTCTGGAGCCACTAGAAAAAGCCCTCCTTGCCCACTCTCAGTGTGAAACTGCAATCAGCTTTCTAAGGGAGCTTTAAAAGTTTCAGATCAATATTAATATTGAATAATTGAGCCTTTACATGATTTCTCTCTATGGGAACACATACATGTATCTATGATGACAAAAGAAAACACCACTGATAAAACAGACAAGATCCATGGGCTGCTTCTTTTGGTGTCTCCAACAAATGTTTTTACCACCCTAGTAACTCTTGCATCTAGCACAGTGCCTGGAGCATAGGAAATGTTCAATACATAGTTGCTGAATTAATGAATGAATGACGGTGTTCTATACAAACTATTTAAAAAGGCTTTGAAAGTCAGTTTTTGACATTTATTAAAATGAGAGACATGGTGAACTTTTAAGAATCTTCGTGGAATTGCAATGGTTAATTTTAAACTTTCTTTTCTTTTTGTAACTGCGAACAGAGAAGAAGCATGGTACAACTGAGAGAACACTGGAATAGGTGTTGGAAAACCTAGTCTTCAAGCCCTAAAACTGGGTTATTTTGTGACATGGAGCACGTTAAGTTATCCTCTCAGGGTCTTGGTTTTCAGTTTTGTAAAGTGCGAAGAGCTGCAGTAGGTTACTTCAGCAATCCTTGCCTGTGCATTTCAAAATACCATAACTTTTATATGTGTATAACCTGAAAAATCGGGATGAAAAGTATTTGATGAAAGTGAGCAATAGGCAAATGATGTCCCATGTGCACCTCCATCCTTTTAAGGGCTCCTTCCCTTATGGAGTTGCCCTTCCTACCTGAGGTCCTTGCCCATCAAAACCTGCACTCATAAGGGGTTTGGTTTCACGTTAGCTATCAATTGCTGCATAACAAATTACCCTAAAACTTAGCAGCTTTAAACAACAAGCCCTTATACTCTCACTGTTTCTGTGGGCCAAGAATTTGGCACATCTTAACTGGGTGTCTGTGGCTCAGGGTCTCTCATGAGGTTGTCAATCAAGCTGTCAGCCAGGGCTGCAGTCATGTCAAGGTTTAACTGCAGCTGAAAAATCTGATTCGAAGATCACTCATGTGCCCATTGCCAGGGCTCAGCTTCTGGCTATGTGGACCTCTCCATAGACTGCCTGAATGTCCTCATGACATGAGAGTCGGTGTTCTGAGCGAGGAGAGTTTGAACATGCCCAAGATGAAAGCCACAGTTGTTACAGAAATAATCTTGGAAAAGACACTCCATCACTTCTGCCCTATCCTATTTGTCAGAATTGGGTCAACAAGCCCAGCATACACTCAGGGTAAGGGCATTAAACAAGGCAATACCAGCAGGCAAGGACCGGTGGGCCATCTTAGAGACTGCCTCCCATAGCTCTCACTTACACACTACTATGAACCCTAGACATGTGGTTCATCAGGAGGTATTCATTTTAATTGGGAGATATTAGTCTCCCAATTAAACAAGACATTAAACAAGGCAACACCAGGAGGCAAGGACTGCTGAGTCATCTTAGAGATTGCCTGCCACAGCTATCACTTACACACTCGTACGAACTCCAGATATGTGGTTAGTCGGGAAGTATTTGTTTTAATTGGGACATATCAGTCTCTGTCCACTCAATGAGAAAATTCAAGCCTATTTGATGAAAGGCAGAAGTTAGCTAGTAAGGTAGAAACAAAGGTGGAATGGGAAGAGAAAGGATATGGCTCACATTAGAAGGGAAACTGTGGCCATATATATTGAGTCCCATCACATGTTAATCATGGTGATGGGCACCCTGATGGCTTTGGCTGACCCAGCTCTCCCCATGTCTCACATATAACCTTGAGAATCACTGTAGAACGTGCTAAGAGTGCAACATGCTGAGCTAAGGAGAAACTGCCTGGAACAGCTTTGTTCCCACCCCTCCTAGAACATGATGTCCTACAACACTTTGGCCCAGTGATCCTAGTGTCCCCCCAGAGTATAAAAACCCAACACAGAATGCTTTGGAGATACCTCAGCTGCAGCATGATGTGGATCACATACAGATGAGACCCCATCTGCCCTGGGCAGCTTTTCTCAGCCTTGGGAAATGAGCGTGTGGTGAATCTGAGGCTTCTGTTGTTCCTTGCTGTTTAATCCGTGAGTAATAAAGTTGCTTTGCTTAGCTTGTATGAGAGTTCTGTCTCACCAGACTCATGTACGTGCTAGAGTAACCCGTACATGGTGAACCTGTTTCATAACAGGGTCAGATAAAATTTAGTATTCCCTGAGATACAATATATTTGTTGTTGGCTAGTTCCTGCAAACTTCCATCACCCTACAAGGAGAATTAACTGAAAAAATTGTCTCAACCTATTTGAAGACCAGAGGCAGGATATCATAGTGAATGGAGCATGGGCCCCTTGTCACCTTGCAATTGTAGATGTGTCATTTAAACTCTCTAAATCTTAGTTTCCCCACCTGAAAAAAAAAGAACTGTGTCACTCAAACTATCTATCTCACAGATGTATGATGGAAATGAATACTTATTTCTGAGAAAGTTCTTTACAAACAATAGCACCATCCAAGGGAAGAAGATACTATGATTATGCAATTTTTCTCAGGCACAGTGAGAGAACTAACTCTTGACCTCTCTATATTTTACAACAAATATGTGCAAATGCTTAGACATTTACAGAAACCATGTTATTGCTAAAAATCATGAGCCTATCAAGGATGCTTTACTCATGAGGATTAACTAAATTATGCTATCAAAACAATCCCAAAATTGGAGCCACTTAAAATGACAAAACATTATTTCTTTCTCGTACTATATGTCCATCCCACATTGACTGAAGCTCTGCTCTGTGACATCATAATTTGATGGTGGGTCCTGAACTAGTGAAGCAGCCATTGGCCCAGCCAGCCTGGAGAGGTGAAAATAGAAACATACACACTGGCTCTTAGGCAGCCCAGAAGCCGCATAACCCATTCCCTCTTTCACTTCATTGTCCGAAGCAAGTCATACAGCCAAGACTAATTTCAGAGAGAGAAAGAAGTACAATCTTCCCACGTACCCATGAAGAGAGGGGCTCTGTGAGCATCAGGAGACAGCAATAATGTCTTCCACAGTGCCTTCTGAGAAAATAGAAGGTTTGTGTTTTCAAGCCACAGGAGACAATTAACCCGTAACAGAGTTCTAATCTGTGGGCAGGGCTTCTAATTTATGAATCATTTAAGATTATTTTTTTCTGCAATGAGTGATTACACCAAAATTATTTTTTATTAAAGAAAACACAGGGCCTATTAGGAAATGTTATCATCAATACTTCCTGCAGTGTGTCTCTAACTCATATTTCTGCAGAGAGAAGTCTGAAGTGGTGCTGCGGTGCCTGTGTGCATTCATCTGTGAATGTGTTCTTGGGACACTGGGAAGTGGAAACACGTGATTGGCTTAAGGTCAAGTTTAGTCAATGCTTATAAATTTCTCTTTGCAAGGTTAATGACTTAGCCCCTTCTAATTTAGCTGCACTGAAACTTGTTATAAATTTGTTAGCTCAGTTGCGTCTGTTTTAGGTCGGCCTTCAAATTGCAGGCTGCTCTCACTCCTTCCCCAAGCTTCCTCCTGTAAGGTTTCTTTGCGCTACGTCAATCCAAATGAACACTGAATTTAGGCTTCATTAGTTCTGGCTTCTACTCCCAGCTCTTCCATTAGCTAACTGTATTGCTTTGGAAAAGTTGCTTTACCTCTCCAGGCCTTATCTGTAAAACAAGGGAGTTGGCAGGGAAAAGATCTTCTAGCTATAACTACGTGTGATTCTAAGTCATGCTGTGAAGGCAGATAGAGAATATGTTTGTTTCTTCCTCTTTTCTGAGTTTATCAACAACTGGAGGAGCTATCTCAGTGCGAGCTTGGCCTCCTAACATACAGCAAAATGCCTTTGAAGATCAGTCACATTTCAGCACCTCCCGATGCATTATTTCCTCGGTTCCCTCCTTGAGAGCATTGAAGTACAGACCTCAGCCATAAGGTGCAATTTGTATGCAGTGTACTTTTTAATACCCTTTTCCTTACTTAAAACAAAAAAGTATACACACAGGTTGCAAAATATTCCTCTACTTATATTATCTTATGCTTTTAAGGGTTTTTGCTAGGATGATGATGTTGTGGATTTTAACCACAGGTTAAGTAACTGCTCTAGCTTTTAATTACTCATCGTTCTTAACATTTTTATAGTCACATATGTAACATTCAATGGATTCAAACATTCTGGAGCACCAGCTAGGAAAACGGGGTCATATTCCTTCACATGGTTTTGTTGGTATGAGGCCATTGAAGAAATGATTTCAGTAAGAGAAAAGTGTTTCTCAGGTGCCCAACTATAAATAGCTTCCTAAAAAATGTCTTTAAGGACAAGTTAATGTTTCGCTTGGAAATGCCTTCAGCACCTTAAAAATGTTAATCTCAGATTCACAGTCTTTTCTGGATTTTCTCAGCTCCAATGAGTAACTTGGAAATCCTAAAGATTTTGAAGTCGTGTACATTTTGATTAAAACCCTAGTCACCGAGTAACCTTGAGCAAGTTATGTAAATTCTCTGAGCCTCGGTTTCTTCATCAACAAAAATGGAAAGGTACCTATCTAATGAATCGTTGTGATGGTAACTAAAAAGTAATCTGAGTATACATTATCCATGACAGATGACCAACATCTTCATTCCCACAAAACTGTTGGGATGAGGTTTGCGTTATGTATGTCAGTACCGAACTTACATCAAAAGATTAGGTCAGACATTTAAAAAGCATGAAAAACAGGTATAAATTGGTTTAGGCAAATCTATCTCATAAGTAAAGAAAATGATTATTTGAATTTTGTCAAAATTCAGCTGGAGTGTTGTAAGCTTCCTGGTGATCACTGAGTTAGTAATCTTCTCCTACGTTCTGCTTCATTCTTTGACTTTATTGTTTCAATGGGCTACACAGATCCAAAAGTGAGGATAGGAGACTTCTATTAGGCTGGCCAGCATGAAAAAATACTGCATATGCAACTCTTTTTATTTTATTTTATTTGAGACAGAGTCTCGCTGTGTCACCCAGGCTGGAGTACAGGGGCACAATCTCGGCTCACTGCAACATCCACCTCCCAAGTTCAAGCGATTCTCCTGCCTCAGCCTCACGAGTTGCTGGGATTATAGGTGTGTGCCACCACGCCCGGGTAATTTTTGTATTTTTAGTAGAGATGGGGTTTCACCGTGTTGGCCAGGCTGGTCTCAATCTCCTGACCTCAAGTAATCCACCCCACCTCAGGCTCCCAAAGTGCTGGGATTACAGGTGTGAGCCACCGTACCCAGTGTCTTTTTATAAATTTTATAAACAACTTTAGCAATCAAACATTTCTTCATCATTCAAATGACAACTCCAAGATATGTCCATCACCTGTTTATACCTATTATATCTGAATTAAGCCATACATCTTTTTATACTTTCAGTATTTTTAAGTAGAAATCTTGAGAAAATACTGAACAGAAGGAAATTATGCTGTACTGGAGTTCTATCTGTACTTCAACTTAGCATCTATAAAATGTTCTTTCTTGTTATCCACTGGTCAGTTTATAATTCAATTTTGTTTTTATTCTATGCCTATGGTTCTTTCCTAATATTTTTTTTAACTTTAACAATTTTCTGAGGAAAAGAACCAAGCTCACTTTTCCTAAGTTTCAGGTCTTTATAAAAAGCTCAATTCAGGTACTATTTCTGAGTTTCTCTTCATTCCCATGCATTAAGATTTCTTGATTTCTTCCTTCAAAAACAGTTGTCCCTCTTGCTGTTTTTTTGTTTTTTTGTTTTGTTTTTTTTTTTTGGCTCCTCTTCCCAAATTCAGTTTTATTTTCTCAGGCCCCAAACAAAGAACACAGAACCTTAGAGCTAGAAGAGATCTCACATATTATCTAGTCTTCCTGCTACAGATAAAGAAAGCAAGGCCCTGAGAAATTACATGAACTATCTTCTAGCTCCCAATCCTTTTCAGTATGAACCCCTCTTGACCCCCCTTCTTCCTGTCAAAATAGAAGAAAGAAGAAAGAAAAAATTAGTTGTTTTAACTTGGGCAAGTAATTTTGATTCTTCGAATTATTTTCTCATCTACGAAATGTGGGTGTTTGGGTTGATGGGCAACATGAAGAGGAGTCTGGGGAAATTAGATACATGGCCTATGAATCCTTTTCCAAGTTATAAAACCTACGATTAAGGTATAATGGAGTCATTTAATCTATCTACCAGGAAGTGGAGGGATCTGACAGGCTTATTTCCTTTCTTCCCAATGCCACCTTACAGCTGTGGTCTTGTGGTAATATGGCTGCTACAGTTAGAAACCAAAATTAGAAACCAAGCAACCACAAGAGGAAAGGCTCTGGAACAATTCTAGGCCCTGACCCAGCATTTCCAACCAAAGACACTGCAGGCGTCCACGCTTTGCTGCACATATGGTCTCTAGTCTGCAACTCTATGAACAGTGGGCAATCTCCACATACCTCAAATGCATACCTAGAAACCTTCATGCTCACTTAACTGAGACTTTTCAACAAATCTTAGAGAAAAAGAAAACTAGATAACCAGTTACTTAACTACGGACTATAACTCAACTCATAGCAGAGTATCATCAACAGTTCTGCTGCCATGATCCAACATCAGAGAAATACTCGTT
The DNA here is from genome assembly GCF_000001405.40 of Homo sapiens. Classification (NCBI taxonomy): domain Eukaryota; kingdom Metazoa; phylum Chordata; class Mammalia; order Primates; family Hominidae; genus Homo; species Homo sapiens. The sequence goes on from NC_000009.12 coordinate 13,975,363, forward strand.
TTTCATCAGAACCACTGATATGAGCTTCTCTGACATTGAGCTATGGATTTTATTGTTATTTTAAAGAGAAATTACTGTCAAGCACATGAATTTTATAACATCTGTTTTCATTCTGAAACCCTTTTTCCCAAAGAAGTTTCCTTTTTTTCTCAAAGAAGTAAGAATTACCATAGAAGACCCAAGAATTCTAAAAACTTCACAAACTTATACATAAAAATTAAACAAGTTGTCAAAGTCATGGATTTGGGGGTGAAAGGGAGGAGGTTGCAAACTAGTCATACTGATGACCTAACCTTAGGAACACCAAAAGAGAAAAGTACCCACTGGATTCTTCTCTTCCTATCCAATTATATAATAACATAGAGATAAATTCCAAGATTCACTTCAGTTTAGAATTCTTTCATGATGATTCCCAGGTTGTCTGAGGTATAAACCATTATGTTCATCCCCCAGAGAGCCACAAGGAATTAGAAAAATACAACAGATCCCTGGAGTCAAGAACTCTTAGCCCTTTACCCACAAATGACACTCAGCTGGGTCAATAATACTTGCTTTCTAAAAAAATACAGGGATGTGATATTACTCCTTTATTAAAACAACTTTTTGAGCTGGCCTGTTTATGTGATTTTTTTTAAAAAAAACAGTGTGTTGGTGAATTATGTTACAATTAGTGAAATTTCAGGAAGGAAACCACTCAGGACTCATATTTTATGACTGTGTCACTTGAAATATTATGGCTAGAGTCTGATTTATCAACAATCTGCTAGAGGGATGATAGTCTTCTTCTGTATTTTTAAGAGTGCAAAAGGAAGACTTGAGTAGTTATTATGTGGCCAGCAACTGATTTATATTGCTTCCCATTGCAGTCAAATAATCTTGAGCAAAAAGGGGGGAAAGGGTAATTGTAACAGTACAACCTCGCTGTAAAACATAGAGTGTTCTCTTTATACGGAGTTTCTCAATGTGAAGTTTTGTGTGACATTTAATATTGTGGCTGGACTTTCATGTCAGCTGAAATCAAAATTCTCACGTAATTACAAAAGGTACATCCTGTGGTTCTCAAGCCACAAAATGATGGCCTAGAACAGAAGGGAAAATATACCTGGGGGATGGGAACGTGTGAAATCCTTGCTTTTTTTTTTTTTTTTTTTTATCATAGCTAACAAGCAAAAGAAACACCACCCCGGCACCCATGGTTTTGACTCAAACATGTAATGTGTGGGTTCAGAGGATGCTACCGAAATCCCACTTATGTCTGTTGCCGATCATGTTTCTCTAATGGTATGTTTTAGACATAGAGCTCTATGACTAGGGACAGGCTTAACTCAAACTACACTGAGGTTTGGAAGAACATGCCTGCCAGGAGCCTAATGTACTTAATACAACAGGGCTGGGTCAAGAAAGTGTCATTTGGTATTGCTACAACGATAGGAGGCACAGGCTATTTTAAGAACAATATGGTTTGGGGTGATCTCTGTGAAGTTTATGAGTAGTCAGAGAAGAGAACATAAAACTTGCTCTACACATGTAATTAAAATACAGGGTAACTAAATTCATGTGCAAGTAATAGGAGAGCAGAGTGGAGCCAGGGGATCATAATCAGCATCCTGGTTGAAGTGAAAAGCAATTTGTGGTGGCGCTTTCAAATTCCTACTTTAGTGGACAGATTTGGAAAGCTCACGTATAGTCTTCCTGGCTGGGTGGGTTTACTATCATAGCCCTTTCATTTTAAAAATGTCTCTAAAAATAGCAGTTGGGTTTGGTTTTGTTTTTTTTCTCCAGGAGAAATCACACCATTTTATAAACAAATCACTGTTTCATAGAAGCAAACATCTAACAGCTAAGCTGCACAGTAATCGGTGTTTCTATTCTCCTTCTATGTGGGGTGGGGAAGGTTACTGGGCCTGAAACTCCAGCATTCAGAGATGGCCTCCCACACTTCCATGGGGCCTATCAAATTCCAAAGCGTATTCTACATGTGGATTTGTGAAACAGAGACAATAGAGTTGGGGAGGAGACTTTACGAAATAACAGATATTACTAACTACCCTGCAGTTGGCTATTCTGTGGTCCAAACATCTGTATGATGGACTGAATTATTCACTTTGTCCTGGAATATCAGGAACCACCCATCTCTCCTGGCCAGATGGGGCAGTTGGGATGGCTTAGACTGTTAACCATGCACCATGCTACTACCAATTGGCAGACTGCCTACGTGACCAAGACTTGGCTCCACACAGAAACGTTCAACTGTTATTCCTAATAAGCCCTATAAAACAGACCCCAAACAGCCACAGACCAGATTTATAAGGTGGTTGGGGACGGGGAGATAGTAGGATTTGAAGAGATCGTGAAAGAACAAAAGATCTTCCACATGGGTTTGGATTATAAGTGATCTGTAAAAAGAACAATCATGCACAGAATACTATCTGTGGACCATGGCCTCCAGAATGTCAACATCTAAACCATACATGCATATTTTGGGGAAAACTATCTCTCTTGTTTTTAAGTGAATTGTTAGCTTGTACCATGAACTATATCAACTTGCAGAACATTAAAGTGAAAAGGGTATTAGACCCCATCTTAATTAATGTCATCGTTTTCCCCTAAGGGGAAAAATGTCCAAAGACACAGCACAGTCAACTTTTAATACTGTGGACCAATCCTGTGTTCTGGAGATAGAGCATAAATGTGAAGAGACAAGCATGGGCTCTGGATCAGACAGATTCGGCATGGTGTCCCATCTCTGCCACATTCTAGACGCTACTTCCCCTCTTAGAGTCTCTGTGTCTATGCCTCCTAGGTCAGAATAAGATCAGATCGAGGTCAGCAATGGCTGCCTCTCTCTAAATGTGGCACTAGCCCCTGCTCAGGCAGCATTCATAACAAGAAGAGTGTTTGCATTAGGTAAGATGAGAAGATTCCAAGAAAAAAAAAATAACTTTTAGTGGATTGGCAGAAAAAGAAAAAAAAAAATCCATCAAATATTCTGGTGCTTAAGTTTTCCCTAGATCCCTGGGGCTTCTAGAGCCTACCTTCTAGGACCCACTGGGGCAAAGAGAGACTGAGGGGGTGGGATTCCAGGACACTCCTACCCACCTCTACTCCCACCTTCAACTAGAGCAGCTTTGTGTCTTTCTCTTTCACATATTGGGCTCCTCAGCTGTACCCCATTAAGAAATATGTACGTTTATGTACATATCAATTATCCTCCCACCTTCACTCAAAATGCTCGTGGTGAGAACAGCACAGAACTGAATATAAAATAGCTGGGCAGTCTCAGGCAAGTCACTTGCCATCTCTGGACCTTGTACATCTTATCCCTAAAATGGGAGGTTTGGATCAACGACTCCTCAGGTCTCCTTCTGGTGCTAACAGCCTCCCCTCCACCTGTCCTCCCCGTAATGTGCAGCCACCAGCATAGTGAGAGGAGGCATTTTCCTTTCCCTTTCCTGGTGCAGAGAAGCCATTCTCCTTCCCAGCGAACACATTAGACTTGGGCACGAGCCACTCCCCTTCTTCTTTTTCTTCATTTGAAGTTCCAACTTCTCCCAGGATAACAAGCCTCTCCAATCTGACTGACTTAAAAAACCTTTTCTGTCACTCACTTCTTCATGCTAGGGTGAAGTTTTTTCTGCGCACCTTTCTCCCTCCCCTCAAGGGTTGTGAAGAAAGGGAGGAGAGGAGTTCTTGTTTCTCGCTCGCTCTTTTTGTTTTGGTTTTTTGTTTGTTTTCGTTTTCTGTTTGTTTGTTTGTTTGTTTGTTTGTGACAGTCTCACTGTCACCCAAGCTGGAGTGCAGTGGCGTGATCTCAGTTCACTGCAACCTCCGCCTCCTGGGTTCAAGTGATTCTCCTGCCTCAGCCTTCTGAGTAGCTGGGATTATAGGCGCCCACCACCACACCTGGCTGATTTTTGTAGTTTTAGTAGAGACAGGGTTTCACCATGTTGGCCAGGCTGGTCTCGAACTCCTGACCTCAGGTGATACGGCCGCCTAGGCCTCCCAAAGTGCTGGGATTACAGGCATGAGTCACCACGCCCAGCATTTCTCGCTCTTTTTGACTTGCCCTAGTCTGTCTAATATTGTCCTGGCAAAGAGAAAAGGAAGCGGGGCTAACTCAGTGTGTTGGGGAGACAAGCGGTTTTAAGCAATCCTGACTACACTTGCCATAAAATGCCAGCTGTCCATGTTTGTTGAACTCTGAGACTTGAATAATATTGTGCACTTTATCTTTATGGCCTCTTTTATGCTAACAGGCCTAGGGGTAGCAAAAAAGGGCAATGTACTGTAGTCTGCTAAAAGCTTTGCCATTTGATTGCTTCATAATTTCACCATTCATCTAATTTGGAGTGCACATTTGTGCAACAAACCTGTCTGTCACCCTTAACAAGCTCTTTGGTACAGACCGGAACAATCTCCCATAATGTAAACAACCTTCTCCTTCAGCAGAGAAAGAAAACACACAACAGGTTTTCAACACTTGCAGAAGTAATTGCCTTGGACTTTCCCACCCCTGGTATTGGATTTCTCAAGTCCCAGGACTCTTCATCAAGGAATATCTTTTAAAACATTTTCCCCCTATTCTTTCTTCAAAGCAATTCCATACACATTTTCTTAACACCTTCTATGCATAAGCCCCCACACTAGGAAATGCAAGCTATGGGACCCTCTGTAAGATCTGGGCTTTGCTTCCTGGAGAAAGTCCCTTCTGTAGTAAAGAGAGCACATGCTTTAGAGTATGACAAATGTTGTTTTGACTTTGAGTCTTCCACTTGGTAGCTGTGTGACCCGGGCAAGTTAATCATTTTCTTCCAGCCACATTTTCTCATTTCCAAAATGAGGTCTAGATATTAGCTGCTATAGATTGGGGGACACCAAAAAGGACGTTAAATGTATGTGCATACACATAATTAATAATATAAAGTGAATTAAATACATTTAAGTGTCATCTACTGTCTGCTCACCCAGCCTACAATTTCCTATCTCAATTCCTTGAATCAGCCACCTTTTATTTATTCACATACAAATACACACAAACACCAAAGGAAAGAGAGAGTAAGGGAGAGGAAAAGAGATGTGGATTTCATTTCGCTTCTTCAGCAGCTTCCCTTAGGATAAAGACCTTTCCTCAATTAATGAAATTTTCTAATTTGCACAATGTAATAGCTGACACAATTGAATTGAAGGAAGGATAGAGAGTAGACCATGCCACATTTCCATCAATCTGTAGAAACATTTAAAGGTCTATAAGAATTGAAATGGTTTAAATTGAAGAAAATTCTCAAAAGGGATCTAACAAGTCACAAGAAGGAAATCTGGGGGCTACCATATCAAAAATGACAATGAACATTGTGATTTAAAGTTGAAAATAAGCTTGATTTTTTTTTTTACTGCTTTGACAAGATTGACTATTGGCTTTGATGTCATATTAAAAAAATTCTACAATAAAAATTCCATAAGAGTTATGGGACCATTTCTTAATTATAACCATCAAAAGTAGGTAAACAAGGCAAGCACCTTCTTTCTAAATGACTGAGTAGAAAAGCTAATGACAGATAACATTTAAAACATAAGGACCTGAAGAACTTCTTTACCTTCTCTTTTATGAAAGAGTTCAAGAGTGATGAGATAACGAGTGAGATAATGAGATGTGAAATGGATAAATTATAGGAAGGTAAAAAATGGCTAAAGCATTGTAGAGAAAAAAACAATATATTCTAATTAGCTGAGCCTGGAAGTTGGCATTTAAGGGAAGCTAAGGAGCTTATAGGGTTATTTATTTGGGTTTTTCATTTTGTTTTGTTTTAGATATGCTGAAGACTGCAATTTATAAAATTATGTGTCTGTCACTCCTACCAAACCATGAGGTCCTGGGGAGAAATGAGACACTATAATGAACCAGGGTCTTCAACTAGGCCCAGCCTACAGGATGCATTTAGTGATGATGATGACAAAGACAACAATGAAAGCAATAAAAAAAAAAAAAGAATAGCTAATGCAACTGGAATAATAACAGTTAACATGTATTCAGCTCCTACTGTGGCCCCAGACACATTTCTACGAATTGTATATGATGTATATACATATGTATATACATACATCCTAATTAAATACTTAGGTGATCCTCAGTAGAGACAATATTAGTTTTCCAACACATTTGCAGAATATCTTCTTTTTTTTTTTTAGAGACAGAGTCTTTCTCTGTCCCCCACGCTGAAGTGCAGTGGTGCAATCACAGCTCACTGCAGCCTGGAACTCCTGGACCAAGAGATCCTCCCACTTCAGCCTCCTAAGTAGCTGAGACTACAGGCATGCACCACCATGCCTGGCTAATTTATTACTTTTTGGTTTGTTTCGTTTGAGACAGGGTCTCGCTCTGTGGCCCAGGCTAAAGTGCAGTGGTATGATCTTGGCTCACTGCAATCTCCACCTCCCGGGCTCAAGTGATCATCCCATCTCAGCCTCCTGAGCAGCTGGAGCTACAGCGCACCACCATGACCTGCTAATGTTTCTATTTCCAGTAGAGACAGGGTTTCGCCATGTTGCCCAGGCTGGTCTGGAACTCCTGGGTTCCAGCAATCTGCCCCGCTCAGCCTCCCAAAGTGTTGCAAAGTGCTGGGATTACAGGTGTGAGCCACCACGGCCAGCCTCTTTTTGTTCTTAATAATTCATGATTCCTTGTCACTCCACCCTTCAAAGAGCCATGGCTGTCTAACTCAGATTACAGAAAGTCTTACGAGACAGAAGACCATGGCTCAAAGAGGATATCCCTGCCAGAGGAGAAGAAAAAGCTAGTCTGTTCAGCCCTGAAGACTGTGAAGCCAAAACTTCAATGGGGGCTATCCATGAATAGAGGGATTGTGTGCAATTTTACTTCTCTCTTGTGTACTTACTTATATATGCCTATATGAAACAAGGAACGTGTATTACTTCTAAAATAAGTAAAGAAAGACATTATGGAGCCATTTTTTTAAAGAGAATGATATGCTACAGTCCATGAAATGAATTTCAATCAACAATAAAATAGTTAATGCTAAGACACATTACAATCAGTATTACAAAAGAAAAACAAGAAGCAATGTCATTATGAACACTGAGTGTCACTTGAGATTTCTGTCTAGTTTGAGGCCTGAATGCTCTGAGCCCTGAAAATAATAATAAAAATGATTTTGAGAAAGTAAAACAGGACCTCTCTTGAAAGGTTAAGAAAGCTGGGATGAAAGAAGAATTGAGGGACAATTTATCAACAAATTCAAATTGTCATAAAAATGATATTGACCAGCTGTTCACCACCTCCATTTAGGACAAAACAAGACAAACATATATCAAATTGCCATGAGTTTGTTGTTCAACAGTAAAACAACCTTCTCGAACATAAATGTGATAGATACTGAAATTCATAGCTCTTTATCCCTGGAAATACTTCAAACTAATATATATGGGCAACTCTTGAGGGTCTGCATATACAGTTTTGCACAGAAGCTAGACAAGTTACATTCTTGCAAGTCTAACATCACTCTAATCCAATGGATTTAAACTATTTGAACCATGATGAGAGGCCTTCATGTAGTGCTGTATATAAAACAAAGTTTCTCCTATTGTATTTAAGTTAACTCAACCATAACCACACAACACCCAACTTATGAAACAGTTGACCAAAATTTAGGCTTCTCCAGAATATTTTCTCTAAAAGAAACTTTGCAGCAGACAGATTTTAGAATAATATTTGACCTCCACTTAGGTTTTCTCTCTTGCTAGACTATAATGAGAACTGGAATTATAATTGGACATGATGGAGTCATTCAACCTGAACCCATTAAATTGATGATGCCAAAACTGTGGTATTCTGGTTCCTTGGGGAGGGAAGGGGGTGTAAATTAAAAGAAGATCTATGTTCCTGTACCAATGAACTCAATAAATCTAGTTTCCTGTGTTTTATATTTATTATATTTAATATTTATGCAATGATTTTTCATTAAACATACCACAACAGGCCAAATATATATATGTGATACTTTACAGCACTCAAACTTTTCTATCTGTGCCCTTACCTGATCCTTGCAACAACATTAAGCAGGCTCCATATTTTATCATTTTAATGATTCTGGAACTAAAGTTCAGAAAAGTTAAGTGATTGGCTCACGTTTATTCAGCTAGTAAGCACTAAAGATTAAACTGGGGTCATATGACTAATCCTTCAAGTCTCTTTCTGTTTCACCATTCTTCTTTACATTCTCCATTCTTTAGAAGTTCACAGTATAGTTGGTGACACACAGTCAAAATGGTAAAGAGTATCAATATGTAAATAACCCCGTGAGGCCATGCAAAAGTCACAGGAACCCATATAATCAAAGAGCGAGATTGTGGCATAAGTTACAAGGGCTGCTAGAATCTAGACAACAAAGAAATCATGGTGACCAGAGGAGGCAAAGATTGATTAAGGAAATGACGTCATATGCTAAAGTATGGATAAAGTTTTTTAGACTAAGAAGGGAAGGAAAAACATTTCAGTTAAAGAGAATGGCAGAAGCACTAAGTGGGAACCTCAGTGGTAGCTTCAGAGGACTATGAAGAGATTAGCTGGAGTGCAGGGTCCACACAGAGTCAGGACGATGTATGGCAGGATCTGGGAGAACCTTGAATAGGGTAGAATTAATATTGACTAAATATCATTTTACTCTAGGCACTTTATAAGCCTGACATCATCTATTTCTGAAATACTCTCAGGGTAATTACCATCCCTATTTTCCAGATGAGGAAATTGATATTTCAGCCATGTTAAGTGGTTTGTCCAAAATCCTGTAGCTACCAGTGTGAATTACCAAAAAATGGTCACAATTTCCTGTCCTAGAAAGCATTCCCCTTTTCAATATGCTTTGCCTCTTATCCCAAACAGAAATGTAGACTATGTCTCCCACCCTTGACTCAGGACTGGACTTATGATAGAAATGTGTCAGGAGTAGCATGGTTGCCAAGGCTAGGACCTAAGACACCTTGCAACATAGGTTTTTGTCAACTGGGAATGCAGCAGCCCTGTGAGCACAAAGCAGCTGGCCTAGACTCCTGGAGGATGAGAGGCCACATGAAGGAGAACCTCAGTGCTACAGCCAAGAGCCAGCAGATACTGCCAGAGATGAGTGGCACTTACATCCATCTGGGATTTTCCAGTTGACCATCCCTCCAGCTAACTGCAGCTGCATCAGTCAGACTGAGTGAGACTGGCAGAGGAAACACCCAGCCAACACCCAGGATCATGAGAAGTCATCATTCTTATTTTCAGGTATTTCTTTTTTTTTTTTATAGCAGCATGATTTATAATCCTTTGGGTATATCCCCAGTAATGGGATGGCTGGGTCAAATGGTATTTCTAGTTCTAGATACCTGAGGAATCACCACACTGTCTTCCACAATGGTTGAACTAGTTTACAGTCCCACCAACAGTGTAAAAGTGTTCCTATTTCTCCACATCCTCTCCAGCACCTGTTGTTTCCTGACTTTTTTTTTATTATTATACTTTAAAGTTTAGGGTACATGTGCACAATGTGCAGGTTTGTTACATATGTATACATGTGCCATGTTGGTGTGCTGCACCCATTAACTTGTCATTTAGCATTAGGTATATCTCCTAATGCTATCCCTCCCCCCTCCACCCACCCCATAACATTCCCCGGTGTGTGATGTTCCCCTTCCTGTGTCCATGTGTTTTCATTGTTCAATTCCCACCTATGAGTGAGAACATGCGGTGTTTGGTTTTTGTCCTTGAGATAGTTTGCTGAGAATGATGGTTTCCAGCTTCATCCATGTCCCTACAAAGGACATGAACTCTTCATTTTTTATGGCTGCATAGTATTCCATGGTGCATATGTGCCACATTTTCTTAATCCAGTCTATCGTTGTTGGATATTTGGGTTGGTTCCAAGTCTTTGCTATTGTGAATAGTGCTGCAATAAACATACGTGTGCATGTGTCTTTATAGCAGCATGATTTATAATCCTTTGGGTATACACCTAGTAATGGGATGGCTGGGTCAAATGGTATTTCTAGTTCTAGATCCCTGAGGAATCTCCACACCGACTTCCACAATGGTTGAACTAGTTTACAGTCCCACCAACAGTGTAAAAGTGTTCCTATTTCTCCACATCCTCTCCAGCACCTGTTGTTTCCTGACTTTTTAATGATCACCATTCTAACTGGTGTGAGATGGTATCTCACTGTGGTTTTGATTTGCATTTCTCTGGTGGCCAGTGATGATGAGCATTTTTTCATGTGTTTTTTAGCTGCATAAATGTCTTCTTTTGAGAAGTGCCTGTTCATATCCTTTGCCCACTTTTTGATGGGGTTGTTTTTTTCTTGTAAATTTGTTTGAGTTCATTGGATTCTGGATATTAGCCCTTTGTCAGATGAGTAGGTTGCAAAAATTTTCTCACATTCTGTAGGTTGCCTGTTCACTCTGATGGTAGTTTCTTTCTAAGCTTGATTCTTTCTATCATATGACACCACTAGTGAAATTGAAAAATTTCCAGTTATTAATTGGGAGCTATTTAAAGTATTTGAGCTACAGAAAGAAATGAAGAGAATACTATTCTGAACAATGAAGTTGGCATCCTAAACTTGCAGAGAAGAAAGTTGAGGTACTTAGTAATTATAACAACTTGGGTTTTAGTTACTGAGTATCATAAAGGTGGTTTGAATTGAGAAGGCAACCTTCCCGCCTACTAATTTCTCTCTCTCTTTGTTAGTAATAAAAACCTCGTCAGGAAGAAGTGGCACTGTCTGTCCGTGCAGCTCTAGTCGGCTCCTCAACGTGGAGCCATGGGAGGCCTTGGGAAGAAGAATTATGAACGAGGCTCAGCCACCAACTACATCACCCAGAATAAAGCCCAGAAGAAGCTCCAGCTGAGCCTGGCTGACTTTAGGCAGTTGTGCATTCTGAAGCGCATTTATCCCCATGAACCCAAACACAAGAAGAAGGTTAACAAACGTTCTACAGCAGCCCAAACTTTTTACCTTATCGAAGACATCAGGTTTCTCCTCCATGAACCCATTGTCAACAAGTTCTGGGAATACAAGGTGTTAATCCGGAAGCTCCTGAAGGCCTATAGGAAGAGCAAGTGGAAACACTGTAGAGTATCTAAAGGACAATAAGCCCAACTACAAACTTGACCGCATCATCAAGGAATGGTACCCTACGTTCACTGATGCCCTGCGAGACCTGGACAACGCCCTCTCCATGTGCTTCCTCTTTTCCACCTTCCCACGGACTGGCAAGGGCCATGTGCAGACCATTCACCATGGAGTTCATGCACTACATCATCGCTGCTAGTGCCCTGCCACAAGGTCTTCCTGTCCATCAAAGGCATTTACTACCAGGTCAAGGTCCTGGGACAGCCCATCACGTGAATCACCACTTATGCCTTCTCCCATGACCACCCAACAGACATGGACTACAGGGTCATGGCCACCTTCACCGAGTTCTACAGCACCCTGCTGGGCTTCATCAACTTCCACCTCTACCAGTGGCTCAACCTCCACTACCCACTGAAGCTCGAGGGTCAGGCCCAAGAAGAGGCAAAGGCCAGTGAGGGCACCCATGCATTGGACTCTGAGAGCTCCATGGAGAAAATGGCTGCCCTCACTGCCAGCCTGGCCCGCGTGGTGGTGCCTGCCACAGAGGAGGAGCCCGAGGTGGATGAGTTTCCTGCCAATGGGGAGATGTCAGCACAGGAGGAAGAACGCAGGAAGGAGCTGGAGGGGCAGGAGAAGCACAAGAAGTTTTCTGAGGGCCTAAAGTTCTTCCTGAACCAAGGGGTGCCCCGTGAAGCCCTGGCCTTCGTCATCAGTTTTTGGGGGGAAGTGTCCTGGGACAAGTCTTTGTGCATCGGGGCCACCTATGACATCACGGACTCCCGCATCACCCACAAGATTGTCAACTGGCCTGGGCAGCAGACCTCCATCATTGGCAGGTGCTACATGCAGCCCCAGTGGGTGATTGACTCGGTGAACGCTAGGCTTCTCCTCCTCATGGCAGAGTACTTCCCTGGGGTGCAGCTGCCCCCACACCTTTCACCTTTTGTGACCAAGAAGGAAGGAGATTACATCCCACCTGAAAAACTGAGGCTGCTGGCTCTGCAGCAGGGAGAGGACCCAGGAATCCTGAATGCACCCGAAGAAGAGGAGAAAGAGGACGACAACAATGAAAATGATGGTGATGAAGGGGGAGAAAATGAAGAGGAGGAGGAGGAGAAAGATGCAGAGGCTGGTTCAAAAAAGGAGGAAGAGGCCCAGCTGGCAGCCCTGGAGGAGCAGAGAATGAAGGGGAAGACAGGCACCTTGAAGGTGGAGGATGAGCAGTGACTAGCCCAAGAGGAGGAGAGCGAGGCCAAGCACCTGGCCATTATGATGATGAAGAAGTGGGAGAAGTACCTGTACCAGAAGATCATGTTTGGCAAGAGGCGAAAAATCCGAGAGGCCAACAAGCTGGCAGAGAAGCGGAAAGCCCACGATGAGGCGGTGACATCTGAGAAGAAGGCCAAGAAGGCAAGGCTGGAGTGAGTGCCAGTGGCCCCTCACAGGGCTGAGGCCAGCTCCTGGCAGCTGGACGTGGCAGAAGCAGGCCAGAGGACCTAAGTGTGATGGACATAGTCGCTTCTCTCCTCCTCCTTTCTCCAGCCAGCCCTGACCCCTCATGCTCTCTGAGGGCAGCCCTGGCCTCTCTTGGATGGAGCTGCCCTGCCGGTGCCTAGGCAAAGAAGAGGCCTCTGTGCCCAGCCTGATTCTGTGCTCCCAGGAGCCAGTGACAGGAGGTGCAGGGGCCCACCCAACCCCTTACCTGCTGCCCCCATTCACCCTGGCTTTCCACAGCCCCCTGCCACACAGTTGGACCCATGATTCTCACGGTGCTGTGATGGGGTGAGGGTGGGGGGAGCATTTGTTATTAGATGACTGGATTTTGTGCCAAAAAAGAAAAAGAAAAAAAAACCTCAACATTTTCTGATGACATGGGCCATCAGGAATAAAAGCTACATTTCCAGACCTCCCTTGTAGATAGCAATAGCCATCAGACTAAGTTCTGGCAATTAAATCACAGCAACAGTGTTAGACAGGAGCATTTTTGCCTCATTTCCTTGTACTTTAATAGCACTTCCAGCCTGAAATATAGATATAAAGGCACATCCTCTGCCACCATCCTGGATCAGGAAGATAAGAACCACACATTAGATACAGTAGTGTTGAAAAATGCCTGCATCCCTGATGACCCCACGGTGCCACCATGCCGATCCTTCTACCTTTGCATTATTTTTGTGAAAAAGTGAACTATAATATTATCTTGATGAAACTACCATAATTTTGGAGTTTTTGTCACATTCAACTCAGCAGATAAATTGGTAATTGGTGCAGGAAAATTCTGGGAAGGAAGCATCAGAGGATTTGGTTCTCCCCAGGTACAGGAGACAAAGATGATGTCCAAAAATGAGAGAACTTTTTAGCCTGGATAATTCAAAACACTATAGTATTTTCCCTTTTATGTATTCAGTTCCCACTCCTCCCCTTAGCCAACCAACACATCAGGGAGTCTTGAATCATGGGAATTTATGCAGTCTTCTCATTCTGTAGTTTGAACCCCATGAGTACCAAGTCACACTAGTTGCCCATTCCAAAATGCAGCCAAGTAGGAAGAAATTCATAGTATGAGTAGAATGGCCATAAAAAAAAGGTTGGCCAAGATCAACACTCCAATCCTTCTCTTACTTGGAGTAAAGTTGCTCTTATCCCGGAAACACTATAAACCTGTACAACTGAAACCTGTACAATGAAAAAGTGTCATTTGGGATAGAAAGAAATGGTGCTCAAGATGCCTGGTATACATCAGTCAACAAACAAAAGACACAAAACTTCTGCCTTCATGGAACTTAGATTCTGCCAGGGAGAGGCCAATAATAGAAGAATAAATATAATCAGTAAAGTAAATGATATGGTATGTTAGACAATGATACATTCACTGTAAAAAGAGGAAAAGAGCAACTTGGGCAAAGCAGAAGTGTCCTCAGCAGGAGTTTGGAGGGAGCAATGTTCATTTCTAAGGATACATATTTCATTAGAAGGTAGGCTAGCTGGAGTATATAGAACTTTCAGGAAAAGAGGTTTGTAAACATCCACAAAAGAGATGAACTTACTGCAGATAATGTGTTCAATCCCTTTAGGTCGGTGAGATAGCCTGAGTGGTTAAATCAAATATGGGTGAGATCCACATATAATGGTTCCCAGTTTAGAAAACTAAGGAGCCCAGTAGAATTAACATTATCAACAGTACTGCTTAATAATTAAAGTCACATAATAACTATAATCAGTTGAACATAGCTCACATTTATTGAGCTTTAACTACATGCTAAGCACTGTGCAAATTGATTAAGAGAGATGAGCTCTCAGAGGAGATGGTACTTGAGGTAGAGGGAATCCTATTGAAATACTTTTTTTTTTTTTTATTAGACGGAGTCTCACTCCGTCGCCCAGGCTGGAGTGCAGTGGCACAATCTCGGCTCACTGCAACCTCTGCCTCCTGGGTTCACACCATTCTCCTGCCTCAACCTCCTGAGCAGCTGGGACTACAGGTGCCCGCCACCGCGCCCGGCTAATTTTTTTGTATTTTTAGTGGAGACAGGGTTTCACCATGTTAGCGAGGATGATCTCAATCTCCTGACCTTGTGATCTGCCCACCTCGGCCTCCCAAAGTGCTGGGATTGCAGACGTGAGCCACTGCGCCCGGCCTTGAAATACTTTTTAAAGAAAATAATCAGAAACATATTCCTAATTACCACAAAGAAAGTATGACTTGCTGTGTGTGTGTGTGTGTGTATGTGTGTGTGTGTGTGTGTGTATACTTGCACAGCCTTGTAAATACTGGGGTACTCTACATGCCCTGAGCACCTGAAAAATTTAGTAAATATTTAGACGTCAACTGGTTAAAATGACATTAACTAAAACCTTTTTGAACATGCTATTGGGATAGGGGATGGGTTATGGTATAAATTTACTGGCTGCTATTTAAATGAAAAGAATTACAATGCACTTAATGTTCATTCTAATCAAGTGATGCTAGAAGATTGAATTTCAGACTGTAAATGTGGTGTGCACATTTGTCTCTGAGTGAGACTTTGCATCCCAGCTGTTGAAACATTTGTGGGAAGGTGAAAGTTTTGTGGACTAATAGATTCCTGCAGTGGGGCACAAGCTTAATGCAGCAAAAGATGTTTTCACTGAAAAGACAAGTCATCTCATCCTTCATAGAGACACAGTCATTCTGGGTACACTTAAGCAAAACTTATTCTCCCAGGAAGAGTCTGTGACAGTAGAGAATATATATCAGTAAGAAAAAGCAGTTCATCCTTCTGAAACACAGAGGGTAACTTAGGAAAGTAAAATTTTGTACAACTCTCAAGATACTACCTGATGCTGACAGCTAGTATCTTGAGAGTTGTATAAGAGTTAATGTTTAAAACATCAATTGTTTATAAGCAAGTGTTTAATTATCATGAAATGTTATTTTTATGTATGGCAGGAGTAGGCAAGAAAGAACAAATGAGATTTTTAATAAATTGCTTGTTTCTTTAGATATTATGCTGAGTTAACCCTACCTTAAATTGTTATAGCATAAATATAAATCAATCCAAAATTTTAAGGAACTTACAAAAAATTCAAAAAGTTAGTAACTTCGAGAATTAGGATATGATCCCAGGATATCTGACCCTGAAGGCAGTGTGTTTAATCAGTGTCCTTGCCAATACACACACACACACGCACATACACACACACACACACACACACACACACAGAAAGAGAGAGAGAGAGAGAGAGACTTTATGGAACGGACCAGGTTACTTTGTTACTTTTGAGCTTATAAGACTCTTGCAGTGGATAATTTTTGGACTGTTCTTTGGATGGCCAGCCTCTGCTCCCTCTTCCTTTTAATAACAGCACCCAGACTTTTCTCTTAGAAACAACCTTCTCCCAAACGTTAACCCATGAACTTCAGACTGACTTCTACCCCAGGTTTAGGAATAGGATGCTTTTAGTCCTGGACAGAGTATTTCATTCCCCTGGCCACAGGGATTGACTCATTGTTGTGCATGTAAATCAATCTAAGCCAGACCCACTAAGACATTTTCTTGAGCTACTAGGAGAAAGACATGTTCTCTTTCCACCAGGACATGAAATTGGAGGGGATTAATTCGCCCATCATGCCACCATATGGAGCCTGAGAATGAAGCCAGACTTAGAAGAGCAGAGAAAATTTGGAGTCACTGAATTCAGCCATGTCCAAAGTCAGCTCCACCCCTACCCCACACATTTATGTGAACTCATAAAACACATTTTATGGAAGCCAATTGGACTATGTTTTCTATTGCCCCCAATACCAAGACTCCCAAGGGAATCAGTGTTCCTTTACAGGCAAGAGAGAGACAGGCTTGCTTGTATCAGCAGAGCACGGTGTGGAGCCTTAAAGACGGACATGTGGCAGAAAATGTGATTTCAGGAGCTGACAAAAACACTGTACTAAGTAATTCCTGAACCTTAGGCTCTTCACTGTATGGTGAGACCAGGCCTCAGCCCTGTCCCCATCATCTCCAGTTTTAGGTTCCTGGAGTTTCAGAAAACAGAACAGAGAACTCAGATATCCTTAGTGAGAAGATAAAGAACATCATCAAGAGGCAAGAGCTTTGTTTCGTGGCCCAAGACTTTTAATCTTTTCCTACTTCTCTCACTATCTCTTTCACTCTATCTCTCTGTCACTCTGTCTCTCTGTCTCTCTCTCTCTCTCACACACACACACACACACACACACACACACAAAACCATGAAACCCCTAGCCCCAGAGTCCATGATAAAGGAACTTTGTGAGGAGACGCCACACCTTTCCTGTTTCTCTCTTTTATCTCCCAATTGTACATAGAAAAATATCCCAGCATGAGTTGGCTGTAACATAATCCGGGCTAAATGCGGAAATTGCAAAACTGAGGCTTAAATAGACACCACATCCTTAGCTCAATCTCACTGAATCTCTTTAAAACAAAATAAAAAGGAAAAGACAAAGACAAATCATACCTGGGGGAATGATTGCCTAAGTAAACTCTTGAGTTTGGTTGGTCTGTCTTTTGTCATTTTAGGCCCAGACTGCCTGCACTGTCAATGTACTTTTGTTGGGAATTATCAATAGCTACATAAACAGAGCATATCTTTTCACAGCAGCAATAACACACACACACACACACACACACACATACACACATACACCTCCCCCACATTAATGCTTTCTGGTTTTTCTATTGCTCTGTCCGAGATGGAGACAAAAGATTTTTGAGGACTGGATGACTTAAAGGAGAAATGCTGCATTTCCTAAAATGAGGGCATTGTACTGCCTTTTCTGTCCCACTATTAGCATCTGAGCCTTCAAACAAAAACGCAGGCAAACAAAAGCCAAGGGAACCAGGGCAACCATCTCCCAAGGGTTAAAACTAGATCAAAATCAAATGGCACACTTCACCATGTCTTCTGCATGACTGATACTGCAATCGATCTGCAGCGGTTCATTTTCTCTCTGGAATCTCTGCCTACTGAGAACAAATACAAACACATGTGGAACCAATAGGAAGCAGACTAAGGGCTTTAAGAGTTCTGCGCCAACCTGTGTCAGAGAGCTCTCACTTAGCAGATGGGGCAATTAATAAAAGAGTCAAACGGTCCAACTGTGTCAAGGTGCCTTAAGTGCTAACAATCCCCTTTTGTCTTCCCACTGTAGAGTACAGATGGATTCCAATTCAGAATAAGAACTGTATTGTGCCGTAGTTTACTCTTGTACAGTGTCCCTGTATTAACAGAGGCCAGGTGTCCTATGTCTCCCATTTTAAAGACAAACATGATACTGATTTATCCCCCTGCCAGCATTTTAAGTGCTGACATGACCACTAATCTGGGGGAAATTAAAATTTATAAGTAAATTAGCCTTTCAAAAATATCTGAAAAGGAAGGATTTGCCATCAAAGTATTGCCAGTTTGTGTACAAGCCTTGCTGCTCATTGATTCTAATCACAAATATATGATTCTTGCCCTTCAGCCGACAGCTTGGGTTTATTGAAGTCACTCAAGACTGAGCATCCCGCAGGTGCTACTTTATTTTTTTAAGATCTAGAAAATGAAAGGTCAGGGTCAGAAGTGGTTGCAGGAGTCAGAAGTGGTTGTACATGGTTCTTTTTTTTCGAATATGAGCCTTAGTGTTCTGGTGAATTTTCAGCTCACTGAATTGCATTCTGCCTCAGCCCCTCACCCCGTCTTCATTGGCTCCCTAAGCTACTGCAGCCACAGACAGTAACCAGTGATCTTCCTCTCTGAACCAGGCCCAGAATAGTGGAAATGTGTCTGCCACTCCCAAGCCAGCTGCATGAAACTGAGAATGTGCTTCACTGCCCAAACTGAATGCCAACCCCGAGAGACCTGGCGTGCGCTAGTTTAAATGGGCAATCCCTCATAATTCTTTTCCCATAGACATCAAAATACCACGAGGAAAAGAGCACATTAGATGTTCCATTGTGTCCTCTTTAACTCTCCACCTTTGTGATATATGAGATAGACTCCAGGAGGCCATGGGCTGTGCAGGGGCCTTCTCTTGGAATTTCCCCTTCAATCATCGTTCAGTGAAATCTGCATCTGGAACAGGCAGATAAAAAGCAAGCTCATCTACTCACTTACATAAGTCATCAGAGGCTGTAGAAAGCTCACGTAGATGTTTGTTGTTGTTACTGCTGTTGTAATGTTAGGGGTGGTTTTCCCATGTGGGCTGAGGGTCAAGCAATGATTTACTTTGCTAAAATAAAAATCAGAAATTTAATTAAATTCAACAAACATTTCTTGGGCTCTAACTCTAGCTGGTTCCAAACTTCAGTTTCAAGACCTATTCAGAGTAAGTTAAGCTTTTAAGCTGAAGGGAAACTTCTAGATTATTTTGTCAAATGTCCTAATTTAGAAGTAAATTCCAGAGAAGCCAAGCAATTTGAGAAAAGTCATAAATCTAGAGGCAGAGCCAAGGCTGAGCCGAGCACAGTCTGTTGACTGGACCCAAATGACTCCAACACTCTTTCTTCTACACACCCGCATATGTTAGGTTGATGCAAAAATAATTGCGGTTTCAGGCCTTGAATTTTAAATCATTATAACTAGGCTCAAATACAACTTTGAATTGAAATAGGAACAATTACAGTCAACACATTTTTGCCAACAAGAAATAGGTTTATTTCTGCAGCATAAAAATCCATGCTTTGGGATTGGATGAACTCTTAGAAAGCATTTTTTGCATCCTGCTGGTTGCAAAAGTGTTTTCTCTGCAAAAAGTTGTCGAGATGCTTGAAGAAGTGGTAGATGGTTGGGGAGAGGTCGGGTGAATTTGGTCCCTTCAATTTGGTTGAAGCAAAACTTCATAGCCCAATTCATTACACTTTTGAAGCCTTGGTTGTACGACGTGTGGTCAGGCATTGTTGTGGAGAAGAATTGGGCCTTTTCTGTTGACCAATGCCAGGTGCAGGCACTGCAGTTTTTGGTGCATCTCATCAATTTGCTGAGCATACGTCTCAGATGTAATGGTTTTGTCAAGATTCAGAAAGCTGTAGTGGATGAGACCAACAGCAGACCACCAAACAGTGACCATGACCTTTTTTTTTTTGGTGCAAGTTTGGCTGTGACAAGTGCTTTGGAGCTTCTTCTCAGTCCAACTGCTGAGCTGCTCATCACCGGTTGTTGTATAAAATCCACTTTTTGTCGCATGTCACAATCCAATCGAGAAATGGTTCATTGTTTTTCCATAGAATAGGAGAAGATGACAGTTCAAAATGATGAATTTTTTTTAATCTTCATTCAGCTCACAAGGCACCCATTTATCAAGTTTTTTCACCTTCCCAATTTGCTTCAAGTGCTGCATGACTGTAGAATGGCTGACGTTGAGTTCTTCAGCAACTTCTCATGTAGTTGCAAGAAGATCAGCTTCGACAGCTTTGAAGAGAGTAGTGGTTCTCCCAGCACACAGCTTGAGATCTGAGAATGGGCAGACTGCCTCCTCAAGTGGGTTCCTGACCCCCGAGTAGCCTAACTGGGAGGCAACCCCCACTATGGGCAGACTGACACCTCACACGGCCGGGTACTCCTCTGAGACAAAACTTCCAGAGGAACGATCAGGCAGCAGCATTTGCGGTTCACCAATATTCGCTGTTCTGCAGCCACTCTTGCTGATACCCAGGCAAACAGGGTCTGGAGTGGACCTCCAGTAAACTCCAACAGACCTGCAGCTCAGGGTCCTGACTGTTAGAAGGAAAACTAACAAACAGAAAGGACATCCACACCAAAAACCCATCTGTACGTCACCATCATCAAAGACCAAACGTAGATTAAATCACAAAGATGGGGAAAACACAGAGTAGAAAAACTGGAAAATCTAAAAATCACAGTGCCTCTCCTCCTCCAAAGGAAAGCAGCTCCTCACCAGCAACGGAACAAAGCTGGATGGAGAATGACTTTGACAAGTTGAGAGAGGAAGGCCTCAGAAGATCAAACTACTCCAAGCTAAAGGAGGAAGTTTGAACCAATGGCAAAGAAGTTAAAAACTTGGAAAAAAAAATTAGATGAATGGCTAACTAGAATAACCAATGCAGAGAAGCCCTTAAACAACCTGATGGAGCTGAAAACCACGGCACAAGAACTATGTGATGAATGCACAAGCCTCAGTAGCCGATGCGATCAACTGGAAGAAAGGGTATCAGCGATGGAAGACGAAATGAATGAAATGAAGCGTGAAGAGAAGTTTAGAGAAAAAAGAATAAAAAGAAATGAACAAAGCCTCCAAGAAATATGGGACTATGTGAAAAGACCAAATCTACATCTGATTGGTGTACCTGAAAGTGACAGGGAGAATGGAACCGAGTTGGAAAACACTCTGCAGGATATTATCCAGGAGAACTTCCCCAATCTAGCAAGGCAGGCCAACATTCAAATTCAGGAAATACAGAGAACGCCACAAAGATACTCCTCGAGAAGAGCAACTCCAAGACACATAATTGTCAGATTCACCAAAGTTGAAACGAAGGAAAAAATGTTAAGAGCAGCCAGAGAAAAAGGTCAGGTTACCCACAAAGGGAAGCCCATTAGACTAACAGCTGATCTCTCCGCAGAAACTCTGCAAGCCAGAAGAGAGTGGGGGCCAATATTCAACATTCTTAAAAGAATTTTCAACCCAGAATTTCATATCCAGCCAAACTAAGCTTCATAAGTGAAGGAGAAATAAAATCCTTTACAGACAAGCAAATGCTGAGAGATTTTGTCACCACCAGGCCTGCCCTAAAAGAGCTCCTGAAGGAAGCACTAAACATGGAAAGGAACAACCGCTACCAGCAACTGCAAAAACATGCCAAATTGTAAAGACCATCAAGGCTAGGAAGAAACTGCATCAACTAACGAGCAAAATAACCAGCTAACATCATAATGACAGGATCAAATTCACACATAACAACACTAACCTTAAATGTAAATGGGCTAAATGCTCCAATTAAAAGGCACAGACCGGCAAATTGGATAAAGAGTCAAGACCCATCAGTGTGCTGTATTCAGGAAACCCATCTCACATGCAGAGACACACATAGGCTCAAAATAAAGGGATGGAGGAAGATCTACCAAGCAAATGGAAAACAAAAAAAGGCAGAGGTTGCAATCCTAGTCTCTGATAAAACAGACTTTAAACCAACAAAGATCAAAAGAGACAAAGAAGGCCATTACATAATGGTAAAGGGATCAATTCAACAAGAAGAACTAACTGTCCTAAATATATATGCACCAAATACAGGAGCAGCCAGATTCATAAAGCAAGTCCTTAGTGACCTACAAAGAGACTTAGACTCCCACACAATAAGAATGGGAGATTTAACACCCCACTGTCAACATTAAACAGATCAACGAGACAGAAAGTTAACAAGGATATCCAGGAATTGAACTCAGCTCTGCACCAAGCAGACCTAATAGACATCTACAGAACTCCCCACCCCAAGTCAACAGAATATACATTCTTTTCAGCACCAAACCACACCTATTCCAAAATTGACCACATACTTGGAAGTAAAGCACTCCTCAGCAAATGTAAAAGAAAAGAAATTATAACAAACTGTCTCTCAGACCACAGTGCAATCAAACTAGAAGTCAGGATTAAGAAACTCACTCAAAACCGCTCAACTACATGGAAGACGAACAACCTGCTCCTGAATGACTACTGGGTACATAACGAAATGAAGGCAGAAATAAAGATGTTCTTTGAAACCAACAAGAACAAAGACACAACATACCAGAATCTCCGGGACATATTCAAAGCAGTGTGTAGAGGGAAATTTATAGCACTAAATGCCCACAAGAGAAAGCAGGAAAGATCTAAAATTCACACCCTAACATCACAATTAAAAGAACTAGAGAAGCAAGAGCAAACAAATTCAAAAGCTAGCAGAAGGCAAGAAATAACTAAGATCAGAGCAGAACTGAAGGAAATAGAGACACAAAAAACCCTTCAAAAAATCAATGAATCCAGGAGCTGGTTTTTTGAAAAGATCAACAAAATTGATAGACTTCTAGCAAGACTAATAAGAAGAAAAGAGAGAAGAATCAAATAGACACAATAAAAAATGACAAAGGGGATATCACCACCGATCCCACAGAAACACAAACTACCATCAGAGAATACTATAAACACCTCTACGCAAATAAAATAGAAAATCCAGAAGAAATGGATAAATTCCTCAACACATACACTCTCCCAAGACTAAACCAGGAAGAAGTTGAATCTCTGAACAGACCAATAACAGGCTCTGAAATTGAGGCAATAATTAATAGCTTACCAACCAAAAAGAGTCCAGGACCAGATGGATTCACAGCCGAATTCTACCAGAGGTACAAGGAGGAGCTGGTACCATTCCTTCTGAAACTATTCCAATCAATAGAAAAAGAGGGAATCCTCCTTAACTCATTTTGTGAGGCCAGCATCATCCTAATACCAAAGCCTGGCAGACACACAACAAAAAAAGAGAATTTTAGACCAATATCCTTGATGAACATTGATGTAAAAATCCTCAATAAAATACTGGCAAACCGAATCCAGCAACACATCAAAAAGCTTATCCACCATGATCAAGTGGGCTTCATCCCTGGGATGCAAGGCTGGTTCAACATACGCAAATCAATAAACGTAATCCAGCATATAAACAGAACCAAAGACAAAAACCACATGATTATCTCAATAGATGCAGAAAAGGCCTTTGACAAAATTCAACAACCCTTCATGCTAAAAACTCTCAATAAATTAGCTATTGATGGGACATATATCAAAATAATAAGAGCTATCTATGACAAACCCACAGCCAATATCATGCTGAATGAACAAAAACTGGAAGCATTCCCTTTGAAAACTGGCACAAGACAGGGATGCCCTCTCTCACCACTCCTATTCAACATAGTGTTGGAAGTTCTGGCCAGGGCAATCAGGCAGGATAAAGAAATAAAAGGTATTCAATTAGGAAAAGAGGAAGTCAAATTGTCCCTGTTTGCAGATGACATGATTGTATATTTAGAAAACCCCATTGTCTCAGCCCAAAATCTCCTTAAGCTGATAAGCAACTTCAGCAAAGTCTCAGGATACAAAATCAATGTGCAAAAATCACAAGCATTCTTATATACCAATAACAGACAAACAGCCAAATCATGAGTGAACTCCCATTCACAACTGCTTCAAAGAGAATACCTAGGAATCCAACTTACAAGGGATGTGAAGGACCTCTTCAAGGAGAACTACAAATGACTGCTCAATGAAATATGAAATAAAAGAGGATACAAACAAATGGAAGAATATTCCATGCTCATGGATAGGAAGAATCAATATCGTGAAAATGGCCATACTGCCCAAGGTAATTTACAGATTCAATGCCATCCCCATCAAGCTACCAATGACCCAATGACTTTCTTCACAGAACTGGAAAAAAAAACTACTTTAAAGTTCATATGGAACCAAAAAAGAGCCCACATTGCCAAGTCGATCCTAAGCAAAAAGAACAAAGCTGGAGGCATCACGCTACCTGACTTCAAACTATACTACAAGGCTACAGTAAACAAAACAGCATGGTACTGGTACCAAAACAGAGATACAGACCAATGGAACAGACCAGAGCCCTCAGAAATAATGCCACATATCTACAACTATCTGATCTTTGACAAACCTGACAAAAACAAGCAATGAGGAAAGGATTCCCTATTTAACAAATGGTGCTGGGAAAACTGGCTAGCCATATGTAGAAAGCTGAAACTGGATCACTTCCTTACACCTTATACAAAAATTAATTCAAGATGGATTAAAGACTTAAATGTTAGACCTAAAACCATAAAAACCCTAGAAGAAAACCTAGGCAATACCATTCAGGACATAGGCATGGGCAAGGACTTCATGTCTAAAACACCAAAAGCAATGGCAACAAAAGCCAAAATTGACAAATGAGATCTAATTAAACTAAAGAGCTTCTGCACAGCAAAAGAAACCAGCATCAGAGTGAACAGGCAACCTACAGAATGAGAGAAAATTTTCGCAACCTACTCGTCTGACAAAGGGCTAATATCCAGAATCTACAATGAACTCAAACAAATTTACAAGAAAAAAACAAACAACCCTATCAAAAAGTGGGCGAAGGATATGAACAGACACTTCTCAAAAGAAGACATTTATGCAGCCAAGAAACACATGAAAAAATGCTCATCATCACTGGCCATCAGAGAAATGCAAATCAAAACCACAGTGAGATACCATCTCACACCAGTTAGAATGGCAATCATTAAAAAGTCAGGAAACAACAGGTGCTGGAGAGGATGTGGAGAAATAGGAACACTTTTACACTGTTGGTGGGACTGTAAACTAGTTCAACCATTGTGGAAGTCGGTGTGGCGATTCCTCAGGGATCTAGAACTAGAAATACCATTTGACCCAGCCATCCCATTACTGGGTATATACCCAAAGGATTATAAATCATGCTGCCATAAAGACACATGCACACATATGCTTATTGCGGCACTATTCACAATAGCAAAGACTTGGAACCAACCGAAATGTCCAACAATTATAGACTGGATTAAGAAAATGTGGCACATATACACCATGGAATACTATGCAGCCATAAAAAATGATGAGTTCATGTCCTTTGTAGGGACATGGATGAAGCTGGAAAGCATCATTCTCAGCAAACTATTGCAAGGACAAAAAAACCAAACACCGCCTGTTCTCACTCATAGGTGGGAATTAAACAATGAGAACACATGGACACAGGAAAGGGAACATCACACACCGGGGACTGTTGTGGGGTGGGTGGAGGGGGGAGGGATAGCATTAGGTGATATGCCTAATGCTAAATGACGAGTTAATGGGTGCAGCACACCAACATGGCACATGTATACATATGTAACAAACCTGCACGTTGTACACATGTACCCTAAAACTTAAAGTGTAATAATAATAAAAAAAATAAAAAGAAGATCAGCTTCGATGATTGCTCTCAAATGGTCGTTGTCAACTTCGGATGGCCAGCCACCATGCTACTCATCTTCAAGGCTCTTGTCTCCTTTGCAAAACTTTTGTTTGTTTGTTTGTTTTTGAGACAGAGTCTTGCTCTGTCACCCAGGCCTGATTGCAGTGGCCTGATCTTGGCTCACTGCAACCTCCGCCTCCTGGGTTCAAATGATTCTCTTGCCTCAGACTCCCAAGAAGCTGGGATTGCAGGTGCACACAATCATGCCCAGCTAATTTTTGCATTTTTATTAAAGATGGGTTTTTGCCATGTTGGCCAGGCTGGTCTTGAACTCCTGGCCCCAAGTGATCCACCCACCTCAGCCTCCCAAAATGCTGGGATTACAGGTGTGAGACACCATGCCCAACCTCCTTTACAAAACTTCTTGAACCACCACTGCATTGTACATTCGTTAGCAGCTCCTGGGCTAAATGCATTGTTGATGTTGTCAGTTGTCTTCACTGATTTACTACCCATTTTGAACTCAAATAAGAAAATTTCTCAAATTTGCTTTCTGTCTAATATCATTGCCATAGTCTAAAATAAACATAAAATAAACAGCAAGTAATAATTAGCAAGAAAAATATAACAAAAAATGCCCATTAAAATGATGTATAACATAACCACATTTATTTAAGAATGTATTCCAATGTCAAATGGAAACTTCCAACAATGCAAAAAACACAATTACTATTGCAGTCAATATTACCAGATGGTGTTCTACTTTTTGTAACACACAAAGTCTCATCCTGAGGCCCTGTCCCTGCATTTTTGGGAGTGGGAAGGCAGAGACTACTCTGATAATTCTTCTTTCAAGGAAAGGTTGAGAACAACTCACCCATAGTTTTTTTGGAAGGAACAGCATTCATTTTTTCCCTGAGATCTTTTCCCTTTGTGAGGAGAAAACAGGGATCAGAAACATTGCCCATTTTCAAACTAGAGATCACATCTGTTATGGAAGATACTGTGACAAAACAGCATTTCCACACAAAAAGTCATATTGTTGCTTGGCTGGCCTCACAATAATATTCTGTCGTATAAATGATTCACTATTTAATTCCTGCCCTACTCAATGGCTCCCCACAATTTTCAAAAGAATATTTCAACATCCTAGCTTAGCATTGTTTATACATGAAGTGAGTCCTGCTTTCTACCTTAGCCTCCTCTGCTTGGCTGGAAGTGTTGCCCATCAAAATCTGTTCTCCTTCTTCTATAATAACAGAGTTGAGGCTAGGGGCATAAGTTAGAGACTGTATTTTCTAATATCCTCTATATCTAGGACTAAGTTGTCCCAATGTGAGCCAAAAGGGTGAGCTTTAGAGCAATGGACATTTTCTCCTCCTATGATCTTTTCCTTTTCCCATAGGTGGGAACATAATGGGAAAACTTCAATCAATCAAATGAGGTAACACTCAAGGAAGAAGCGGATCAATGAGGAAAAAGGAGCCTGGGTTCTTGAATGACCTCATGGAGCAGAGTTGCTTGTGAGCCTAAACCATCTGGACTGTTGCATCGGAGAGAAATGGCATTCTCTCTTATGAAAGCTGTTTAATGCTTAGGTCTCTTTGATACACTAGCTTAGGCTTTGCCCCAACTCACACATACCCTTTTGTCATAGGTGGGGTTCCCTAGCAATCAGTCTCTGAGACTTTGATACATATGCATGCAGGTGGTTTAGTAGCGAGTGCCCTCCTTAGTATCATGGATAAGGACAGTAGGATTTGGCAGAGGGAGAATGTAAACCACTTGAAGTGGTAACAGAGGCCACAGATGACCCTAGAGGAAGTTTTAGATTTGAAATGGCCCTTCAGATTTGTTGAGGCAAGAAGGCCAGATAGTCATACCTCCGTAGTGACCAGTCATTATATACAGATGGCCTTGGCGAGGAGAGGAAATATGAGTGAGGACGCTGTCTTTGGCTAAGAGAAATACCTAACTAGGGGCTCAGTTGAGAGCCTAGAGCCATCAATATATCCAGTAGTTAGGGATGAGTTCCTCAGCCCAAAAGGGGATCTTGGTGACACACCACAGCACCACAGCCACTTCAGTTTACATCTTGAACTCCTCAGATCCACTTGATTCATATAATAATACATTCTTGAAACAGCAAATTGTGGATTCTGGTTGGCCTCTTTCCTCAAGGAAACACAAACTTCAGCCCCCACACTGCTGCTGGTGTCAGTGGTTGAAACTGGTTCACATCATTTCCTCCTCTATCACCTTTTCCAAATTCCTCTCACTCTCTGCAAACACCTCTGTCGATCTCCATCGCTTCCATAGTGGGATGACTCAGAACTTCAATCCTAAAAGATCCAAGCCCTGGTCTCCAGGCTGTCGTTAGGCTTTTGCTGTAGTACTTGTCCCTTGGCAGGGGAGTACCAAGAAATAGGCTTTTGCTGTAGTACTTGTCCCTTGGCAGGGGAGTACCAAGAAATAGGCTTTTGCTGTAGTACTTGTCCCTTGGCAGGGGAGTACCAAGAAATGCTCCATGGATTACGTGGGTGCAAAACATACAGTTTTCTTCACCCCTAAAGTAACAGCAGCCCTACCTCCACCTGATGATCAGGGTCAAGTATCCACGGCAGAATGGTGACTCCTTTTTTGCCTACTGGTTTGTTGGCATAATCAAGCCTAAGTGACCAGATGGCAATTCTTGCCTAATAATGGAACTTTTGTTATATCCTCCAGCGAAAGTGCTGGTTCTCGAAAACCAGAAATTGTAAACACACTGATCACAGAGTTGTGCAGGGAGAAAATGCAAATTTCCCAAGTGGGTCACTAAGAGTGACAGTAAGAGAATTCCCTTCCGCTTCTACTCTTCTGTTCCTGGACCAATGTATTCTTTCTATTGTGAACAAAACATTAAATCATCATTGATGTAGAGTAGATACCACATCGTATAGGATGGGGCCACATTCTCATGAGGTATCATCTCCAAATTGGTGCCCACTTCGACTAAGCCAATCAATAAGTTGATTAGGTTGGCAACTTCTGGGGTTGGTGGCAGGATCAATGGATTCCATGGCCATATGCCCACTACAACACTTCCTTTGCCAAAAAAAAGCCCTTGGTATTATATAGGATTCTTTGTTGGTGTACCATATACCCTAATGATGACAAAGACCTTGCATAAGTCAAATTCATACACAAATATACAAAAATAAGTGATGATTCCAATCAACATGAATAGTTGCTTCTCCCGGGGTGGAAGAGTTCTAATGTAATCAACTTGCCACCACTCAGTAACTGATCTACATAAGGGAAGGAACTATGTCAGCAGCTGAGCATTGATTGGGGTTGCTGACACATTAGAGATTAGCCAACAAAAGTAGCTAGGTCAGCCTTGGTGAGTAAGAGTCCATGATATTGGATCCATGAAAAGCCTCTTCCTTGCCATCATAACTACTCCATTATGCCAGCACTGAGTGGCTGAAGAGAGAGCTAGCTAATGTCAACTGCTGAAATCCTTCTGTCTATTTAGTTATTTATTGCTTCTTCCTTGATGGATGCTTTATGGAGGCTTTCACATGTGAAATAAGGACATTTACTCTTTTTACTCACTCCTGTAAGTTTTTACATATGCCTCTTCTCCAGATCATTTTGTTCCACATCTTCTAATATTTCTTCTTCTTGGCCCCTGATCAACCGATGAAGCTATTCACCACTATCCATGAGTTTTTCTCTATTTTTATATTGGACCACTTTTATTTTCATACAAAGTGCTTGTCTAGGTGTGCTGTTAGAATCTCCACTCATTGACAGAGTCCCCTCTTACTACTATCTCCATAAAGGTTATCCCTGAATGGGACTGTAATGCAGCTATGATCCATTTTTGACTTGCACCCACATGTTGAGCTGATTCACACATTAACCAAAATTGATCTTTTCCTCTGCTTTCAGCTTCTGTTGGAGATCTGGCATCTCTTTCAGGATTTCAGGTTCAGAAACCATCTGAGGTCTAGAGACTGGGCAAGGGGCTTGGCTGCTGTGTTCAGCCTTTTGATCATCCATCTTTGATTTCTTTTGATTGTGTAAACTGAGTAAGCTCTTGTTGGCCCTCACCCCATTTATTTTGCCCCCAGGGCCGCTGTAGTCTATTAACCATCTCTCAATTCCGTTTTTGTCTCCATTATGCCAGCACTGTTTTGGAAAAAAGAGCTCGGAGTCGCAGGGAAAACGAGCACTCAAACAAAAGATTTATCATGTCAACCACTAAAGTCCTTCTGCCTATTTAGTTATTTCTTGCTTCTTCCTTGATGGATGCTTTATGGAGGCTTTTACATGTGAAATAAAGATATTTACTCTTCTTGTGAAATGTTACTCCCATTCTATTAACTTGGCTCCCAACCAAGCTAACACTTCAACCTTGCCCCTCATTATAAAAAATATCCTTGCCTCTGATAGTCAAGGGTCACCACCTGACCTCTATTTCTTGGAATTCTATTACTCTCATTGTTATCAGTCTACTCAGTTTTCTAACAGCATCCCCTACCATCAGTCACTGCTGAGTTTCTCTGCCATGCTGGAACCTGTCTCACCAACGTGTTCCTGATCACTTAAGTAAAATGAGTATCCACCAGGTCATCCTGATGAAGATATTAGCCAGCAGGTTTCCCAGCCTTACAGAGTATTTCCATTTGAGCATGACTGCCTCTCTGAGCCTTATGTTCCCTTCTTGCACCATCTGCCAGGGCACAACAACAGTCAAAGGTGTAACCAAGAATCTCAGAAGGAGAAGTTGAGCTATGGTCCAGTTGTGTCAGAGGCTTCAGAAGACCTTACTGACATCTCTTGAAATGGGATGAATATTCAGAATTTTCTGCCTTAAATTAAGGGGAAGAGGTCTTTGTACCTTTATATTTTGGATGTATACTGTCCCAGGGGAAGGTGTGTAAACTTAGACAAGGCAGCTCCCTTTGGTTGAGGGCAATTTCCAAAAGAAGGTAAGCGGAGATTTCACAGCCATCATCACTCCCAGCAGCTGGAAGGTTGCGTGTTACAATCTCCAAGTGGCAGAGTGGGTCATACACTAGAGCACCCATCTCAGCAGTATTCACTACACTTCACACAAAGATGATCCTCAACAGCAATTGCCAAAATCATCCCCTCCTATCTTGGCACCTGCAGCTTTCCCATCTCAGCTCTTCTCCATATAGCTAACTCCTACTTACTCTTCAAAACAGCTCAAATATTGCTTTTCTGTCTTCCCTGACCCCTCTTAGCCTACTCTGCTTTACTGTCTCTCCTGTTTTGCTCCCACAGTAACTTTTATCATCATTTTATCACATTATATTGGAATAATTATTGAAACCCACTTTAAATAGTAAACTCCTTGAGGGAAGGGACAACTTCTTGCCCTCCTTTACACCCCTCAGGTTGACATGTTGCCTGGCATATAGCAGGCACACATCCAATGTGATTTATTAAATGTGTGAGTGGGTAAATGAATGACTGAATACATTAATGAATGTTCACATACGCTCTCATTTTATTTCCAAAAAGAATTTGAGGCAGCCAAGTTCCAAAAAACCCAACATACTGCAGCTTATGGAGTAGTAGCTCAAAATATGCGAAACCTGGCAGAAATGCACGTCTCACTCTATAGAATGGCACACTATTGGGGTATAAATATGAATCTTGGAAAAACCCTGATTTCAAGCTACAGATGCCCAGATTGGTGACAGCAGGGTATCTTCTCACAAGGACCAGAGATCCCAGCCAATAGCACTTTCAAGAATGTGCAAGCAAAGAGTTAACAGTCTCACAGCTGCCTTTCATTGGAGGTGTTAATGAGGTGACAGGGGGGAAGGATTTTAAAAAGAAATTGCCTTCAGTCATTCCAGTTAAATTCCAGTACAATGGAAAGGCACGAAGCTCTCTCCACTCCTCCTCTCTCTCGACCCCTCCCCTCATCTTAATGGGGTCTGACCTTAGCTCTGTGGTTGCATGCCTCAGTCCACAAAAGACTTGGAACGGCCCCCTTGGTTTCCAAACCTCAGGTTGCCTTGGGGAAGTTACTAAAATTTGGTTGCCGGAGATACTTAGGTTAGAGAAAATGAGTCAAAAAATAATGTGTGGTGAGACAGTCGTAGGATGTCATCTGCGAGAACA
Organism: Homo sapiens; assembly: GCF_000001405.40. Lineage (NCBI taxonomy): Eukaryota > Metazoa > Chordata > Mammalia > Primates > Hominidae > Homo > Homo sapiens. Next base: position 14,007,087 of record NC_000009.12, read on the forward strand.
ATCAGGAACCCAGGCATGAAGTCATTCCAATGTACTTTTTTACTTGTCTGTTTGGAAATTCTGTTTCTCTGGCATGAATCAGGAATAGACGACAATGTTTTAGAAGGAACGGATACTTTTCTGAGTCTTTGAAAAAGATCCCAAGCATGGCCAAAAGACAAAATGGCCACTCCAGCCAAAAGTTTTCAACGTCCCACAGTAGCCACCTCACAGTGAAGTTAGAGATAAAAGGATGCTGCAGTGGGTAGGTATGGATATGGAAGGGAAGTGCTGGGAAGGGCAGGGTGTGGTCCCTTTAAATGATAAGCCAGGGAAGTCCCGGGTAGAGGAGGGCGTGGTCCCTGGCTAGGGCTCCAACGGGGGGGGGGGGGGGGGGGGGAGCCCTGGGCCCTGTGCCCACGGACCTAGGTGAAGACAGGCATTTTTATTTGCATTTCCCAAGGCTACCCTGGCCTGCCACGCCCCCATCCTGGGCCTATGAAAGCTCGGAGACCCTAGCCGGCAGACACACAGGTGGCTGGACGTATAGAGGAGCACATCAGTGGAGGAACACGTGGGTGGCTGAATGTCAAGAGGAACGCCCAGACAGACACCGGCACGCGGGCAAGCCATCCACCCGGGGAATGAAGCAGAGTTGGGCGGGGCAGTCAGAAGAGAGCTCGGGCCACTGAGCAGCCCGATTCCAGGGGAAAACCTTCCCACTCCATCCCCTTCCACCTTCCCCCATCTGCTGAGAGCTACCTCCACTCAATAAAACCTTGCACTCATTCTCCAAACCCAGGTGTGATCCAATTCTTCCAGTACACCGAGGCAAGAACTCTGGGATAAAGAGAGCCCTCTGTCCTTGCGACAAGGTAGAGGGTCTAATTGAGCTGGTTAACACAAGTCGCCTATAGACAGCTAAACTAAAAGAGCACATGGTAGCACATGCCCACTGGGGCTTGAGGAGCTGTGAACATTCATCCCTAGACACTGCCCTGGGATCGGAGCCCCACAGCCTGCCCATCTGTATGCTCCCCTAGAGGTTTCACCAGCAGGGCACTGAAGAAGCCAACCACTACCCCATCACACGTCCTGCAAGCGGGACAAGGGAACCTTTCCCGTTTCGGTATTGCTTATGGCACCAATGATTTCAATTTCTGAGGAGACTACTCCCTTGAGGAAAACATCTATTGTTGACGCCTATATGATATATAGAGAAGGACGCAGGCTAGGGAGTCAAAGAGATACATGTGTGTATAAATTTGGGCAAGCAGAAACTGTCTCATTTCTCACCTGTAAAATGGGGCTTATGATCCTACCTTTAGGATTACTGCAAGGCTGAAATGTGATAAGATGTGAAAAATATTTAGCACAAGACCTAAGGACATAATCAAAATTATTATCAATGAGGAGGATTTGCCAAGGAATTCTCGGCTCGTGGCAGAAGATGTATGCTATTTATGTGTACAATACTGACATACCTTATGTACCATGAGTACAGGAAGAGGCTCCTTCATTTTCTTCGGACCTGTTAAGAGAAAAAATGAGAAGAAATCCTAGTTGTTCAACCAGGATGTATCACTGCGTTCAGAAATTACTTAATCTCTTTGAGCCTTGATTTCCTTCTCGATAAAATGGGGCTCTTATGACCTACTTCGCAGGGTGTCTATGACATTTAAATGAGTTAGCAAATTTAAGCAAATAGTACAGTCCCTGGCTCAAAAAAACCTCCAGTCGCTTACTAATGATTTGTTCCAATGACAAATAGCCTTCAATCTGACTTTTATTTTCTAGTAAACAGATTCATAATTATTAAACAATATCTATTCCAGCTCCTCATCAACATCAACATGTGTGAAGTAAAACTTTTTCATGGTCATCAAAAAATTTGTAGAGCTTAGGCATAGGCCAGAGCAACGGCTATGCAAGCAACATTTTGCACATTTTACAGAGCGGATCTGGATTCTAGAATGCTGAGAGGGGAGAGCAAGAAGCCTCTAGACCAGCTATTTGCTTTTCCATTTACTAAAAACAAACAGCATCAAGAACAATCCATAAACGTTTAGACCAGCAAAGGAAAAATATTACCTTTTTTTGAAATGGTGGATAAATCAGGAAATCCTTTTGTCGTATGTTAGTTTAAAATTAAAAATAGAAGAATTTCTGTAACTTCCATCCAATTTGCTGTGAACCTAAAACTGTTGTAAAAAAAATAAAGTCTATTTTTATTAACAGAAGAGAACTGGATCAGTTCAGGCATATTTTCAAAACAAAAATAGAACTTTAATGTATCTTATTTTTAAATTTTTGTATCAGATGAAAGTGTATTGAAATCCATTTAACAATAAATAGATACCTTTGAAAATAATAACATTTGAAAAGTACTTGCATAGTTAATATTTTATTTTGTCCTCATTACAATCCTGTGAAACAGCTATGGTGAGTTTATTATTCCCCATCTTTTTACAAATGGGACTTGGAAAGATTAATAATAGGACCAAGATAACAGCAAGTTGTCACAGTAGTCAAAATCGCCATTCACATCTCCTTACTTCTTCCCCCAGCAAATCACAGTGCATTTCACACAGAAGGAATATAATGTAAGGAATTGGCTACAAAGATACTGGAAGGGCTGGAGAGGAAAAATAGGAGAAGACACACAAGTAGAAAACGATGCGTATTCTTGTGGTTAAAATTATTGGAAGGAGAAAAGAAGAATGAGACTGAAAGAGAGAACGAGATGTTCTTAAAGTCTGGTGAGAGGTCTTGGTGCCAATTCACCATCCAAATATATGGTTTCTCAGGGAAACTTAATACCCACATCTTGTGACACTGGACCTAGCCTCATTATTGATTTTTGCCTTAGAATAAAAATACAGAAAATTAAAAAATTACTTTTAAAAAAACAACATAGCAACAGAGAACATACACAATTTAAAAGGCATTCCTGAGAACTAAAATCATTCATGGCCTCCTGTTTCGGTCTGGTGCTGCAATCCCATCAGCTCTCCTGAGCAAGCTGTGGTGGGCCCAAGCTAGGAAAGAGGACTAGGACCCACTGAGGTACATTGGGAAAGTGGGGGTCTCTGGATGTACCTTGTTTCAGGAGCTCCTTGATCTAGGAATAATGCAGTGTTGAAGGCCTGAGTGCTCTTAGTGAACCCATAAAACTGAAGTACAAATATTCTGGGTGTTAACCATATACTCAAGCACAGACTGAAATAAAAATTGTAGTCGTGATGTCATCAAATGACTGGGATTTTCCACAATTATAATTGTTATTTATTGACTTTACTATTTGCCAAATATTTTGCTGAATGTTTTCGTGTATAATCTCATTCGGTCCTCACCAAAACCATATGGGGTAGTTATTTTTACTATTCCCATTTTAAAGATGGGAAATTGAAGTTAAGAGGTTAAGTGCCTTTCCCAAAGTCACACAACTAGTGGAAAGAGGAACTGTGATATGAGCCCAGGCAGTTTAATAGTAGGGACACATTCATAACCAGTACCATTTTCTTTCTTTCTTCCTTCCTTCCTTCCTTCCTTCCTTCCTTCCTCCTTCCCTTCCTTCCTTCCTCCCTTCCTTCTTTCTTTCCTTCTTTCCCTCTTTCCTTCCTTCCTTCCTTCTTTCTTTTCTTTCTTTCTTTCTTTCTTTCTTTCTTTCTTTCTTTCGTTCTTTCTTTCTTCAGGGCCTTCCTCTGTCATCCAGTCTGGAGTGCACTGGTGCCATCAAGGCTCACTGCAGCTTCAACCTTCCAGGCTCAAGCAATCATTTTCCCGCCTCAACACACACCACCCCCACAACCCAACCAGTAGCTGGGACTACAGGTACATGCCCCCAGGACTGGCTGATTTTTGTATTTTTTGTAGAGACAGGATTTCACCATGTTTCCCAGGCTGCTCCTGAATCCCTGGGCTCAAGTGATCCACCCATCTCGGCCTCTCAAAGTGTTAAGAGTTACAGGTGTGAGCCACCACATCCCACCCAGTGCCATTTTTTTCCTTCATTGGAAGGGTGACTTTTCCTTCCTAATTCCTGTTCTAAACCCCTCAGTCCTTCTTGGCATGAAATACCTACTGTTGTTTGGCCAGGGAAAGTCATAAAGAGTATAAACAACAATTTGCTTTCCAAATACTTTATACTCATAGATATCCCATCAATTACAGTTCTTTATACCAAGCAATGGGTCACTTTCTTTTCTGCACACAGTGCACTGTTCTTTCCCAAAAGGGACATGGCACGTAACTGGCACAATTGACTCATGACCTTTTTAAATATTTTGTTTTGTTGCTGTTTTCCTCCTGGAGGAACTCACCCCTAAAGCAACATTATAGCTCTGACTTAGAAGTTTGAATTAGGGAATTTAAAATGTCATTTTATAAACGCACCTAGGGTCAATTCAGTCTTAAAAAAAATAGACACTAACATTAAGACTAAATAAAGGGTAAGATGGGATGGCAAGCTGACATCTCAGGGTGTGAACGCTTTCAACCAGCTTCACAGAGTCTTGTTTTGTTTTGTTTTTTATTTTGCTATCTCCATCTATGTTCATTTGTGTGGAATATTTAAACAGTAATACATTTCCTAAACTTTTGTTAATACAAAGGAATTTCTAACTCCTATCCAAAACCATTACAACAGTAACTAAGATTGTATTATGTCAATGAATGTGTTAGCTACAAATTATTAATTTTTTCTAGGCATAAATAATGGACATAAATTTGGAGAAATCCTATCAGAAAAGAAAACAGAAATTTAATAAAGGGAATATGCCACCTTCCATTTAATATAGGACATTTGCCAAAACAAGATAAGCATGCTAACCAGAATTTCAACACTTTCTAGGTGTTAGAAATGTTCACCTTTATTGCTAATATGTAAGTCCTCCTCTTTCACCTCCTAAGCTCATGCCAAGGCTGAGAGCTACACTGCAGTGATTGGGGAGCTACTATCCTGGCCTTGAAAGATAATCACCCTCTGCACAGCTAAGCATTTGGCAAAGCCATGGATTCAGGAGCACCGAAGAGCTCTGAAATAGTAATATTTTAATTATTGCTTTTTTAAACATATGCTTAAATTGCATTTTCCAGCTAAGAAGCAGTTTCAACTATCATTCATATCTCACTCACAAAAGAAGGTTCTCAGGCCAACTTGGCAGCTTTGAGCAATTCGGCTGATCTGGAAATCTTTCAGCTCCCCAGTTAGAATCCTTCATGTTCAAATCCAGGTGTCAAAACTTTTACTGAGTGACAGAACTACTGCTTAACGGCCACTCTCACCTGCTACTGTCACTGAGATATAACTACCACTATGTTTAGAGCTACCTCAGGAAGAGGATTGTCAAGCCATATGTTGCAAAGTCACTGCTACATGTCTCTTAGCTGTTTCAGTCAGTACAACTGTGAGATTTCTCACCCAGCAGCAGCTTTGAGTCCATTAGATAGATCAGTTAAACCAGGGATTTAGCTCAGGACTAACAGCACATTAGGCCAATCCATATACCTAGAGTGACCGCACACTCACTTTGCTGGGATAGCCCTGGTCTATGCGTATTGTCAAAATACAATTATCAATACTGCCCACTTCCACTGTCAAAGTTGTACCAGTTTGGATAACTATAATATATGGTCACTTGGACAATACCTATTAAAGACCAAGAGACCAGGTTGAGATATATCTTAATGCAAACACCCACACTAATAGGCTTCATAGCTCACCTCACCTCCCTCCTGGCAGTTGCCAGAAATTCCACTGTTAAATCTTCAAGCCATAGCGTATTGTACTTTAGTACTTATCAAAGTGTCTGACACGAAGTATTTATCCATTTTGTGAAATGGAAAATGTCAAATCACAAGGCATATTGCTCATTCATACAATCAAAAGAGTATTTATTGTATCTCTACTGTTTGCAGGCATTGCGCTAGGAGCTGGGGATCTACAATGAAGCAGGTATAATTACTGTCCTGAAGGAGATAACAGGCTCATGGGATAGTCTGATTTAAAATACAGTTTTAGTGAGATCAGTGGTATAAATCTCATGTACTGTAGGAGTATACAGAAGGGCCAACTCATCCAGCCTTGAGAAATCTAGGGAGACTTCTTGGAAAACGGGGACATACAACTAAAGGAGAGGAAATAAGATAGAGCCAGGTTCTTTTCTACATTTTATGTGCAAAGGCACATTAAGAGACCTGAAAGTCTTCAGCATGGCTGGAGTGAGGACAGAAGTAGTGAGGGATGAGGCTGGCAGCAGGAGGCAGAGGAGCACAGGGAAGGCCATATATGCCACATTAAGAAGATAGACTTTATCCTGGGGTCATAGAGAGCCAGAACAAGGTTTTACATAGAAAAGCGACTTGATCAGATTTGATCTTACAGTGGTATCTCTGGCTGCCATCTTATGACTATAGGTAGTATGTTTGCTCTTAGGCAAAGAAGAGGACATCACTTTTGTGTTTTATTTGAATGCTCTGAATCTCTATGGAGAACATTCTCCTTCATCAAGTCAACCATAACTCAATAGTGAGACATTCTGGAGCTCCAGGGCTTATTTTTCTGGTGCCTTTGGCCAAACCACACTAGGCTGACTTGTACCTCAATTTTCTAGTCTGTAAAATATGGACTGTTGTATTCATCTTTCACATGGGGTGATGTGAGGAAACGCTAATGAGAAGCAGCCAACTTAGAAAACAAGTATTACAGAAATGCTTAATAAGTCCAAATAGCCAAGAAAGATGAAATGTGTGTGTTCAAGTGTTCAAGTGTGCAGTAGAAGTGTTTCAACTATAGATTTAATGATGTGGAGGCTCATTTTCACTAGGGCTGTCTGTACCAGCTTAAATCTGAGCCTGGGGTGGCAGCCCTGCTCACCAATTAAGAGCAGGTGACAATCTGAAACCATCCTGCTTAAGATATTTCAAGAGACCAAACATTTAGTTTTAAAAGAGTTACCAATAATAATAGCCATCATTTATTGAGAGCTGGCTATGTGCAACATGCTGCTCTAAGTATTTTGCAAGCATTCACTCATTAGTTCTTTACAACAGAAAGTTATAATTCTTCCCCATTGTATTTTTTGTCTGAATACTTGAGTTTGAAGAAATTAAGTCTGCCCATCCAGAAAGCAACAGAGCTTGAATTATAACCCAGGCTTGTAAAAGTCCAGGTTTATTCTCATAACCTCTGCACTGCTCTGCTAAAAACTATTAAAAGGCCTCTGGCACTGCCATCTTCTTGCTGGTGTGTTCCCACTCCTACCCATCCCCATGGCTCATATCATCACTGGCATGTGAAGTTGCTGTTTCTAGAATGTGAGTCAGTCAAGATAGACAAGTTAATTTATTTTAGTGGATATGTGTCAGTGACACTATTTTTAAAAAGTACATCATGACAACTTGCACATAACACAAAATCTCTTCATTGGGCTGAACCAATATGACCCTGAAAGGGAGTGAGTGATCTGTCCCACTGTACATGTTCCCTCAAGAGTGCCCCTCAGCAATTGGTGGTTCACATCTGCATATTCAACAATGTAAGAAAAATTTAGCTACTTTTCTGAGAAATGGATCAAACAGTGGAGAACAGAAATATTACTTAGATAAGTCCCTTTGGGGCATAGATTGGTAAATCCTATCATTTCTTCTTGCCATATCACATACCAAAGAAAATTGATTGTGATGATTGTATTACCAAACAGTACTTTTTACATCAAGAGCACACCAACATTTAAAACTGAGCCCCATGCAAGTTCTACAACTATACTTCAGGAATTTCACAGATATGATTTAAATTCATTTTTAAATAGATTTCTTAAGGTATTTTAAGGCTTATTCTAATTAATTTTATCTAATTTATATATTTAATTATAAATAAATTAATAATTATTAATGTATTTAATTATGACTTATTTTTAAGACAATTCTAAAACATTCAAAACTAAATCAACTCAAAATTTAAATGACATTCATTAAATCTAAATTTAAATTAAATTAATTCAAAATTAAAAGCATATTCAAATTTATACACCCCCCACCACATACACACACCCATCCTAAACTCCAGGCTTATGTATCCAGCTGCCTACTTCAAATCCATCTTAACCACAATATGTCCAAAATCAAAGTCTTGATCTTCCTCACCCCTGCCTCCTGAACTTGTCTTTTCTGCAATCTTCTACAACTCCTTAAGGGAAACATCATGTTGCCAGTGTCTTAGAGTCTTTCTTGACTGATCTCTTCCCGCACATCTCAGATCCAAATCTAGCATCAAATGACCACTTCTGATGACCTCTACTGCCTTCACCCTATGCGGGTCACCATCATCTGTCATTCGGAGTGCTGCAATAGCTTCTTAATTAATCTTCCTTCATCTGACCTTTTTCCATGATAGTCCATTCTCAACTCAGCAGTCAAAATGATTCTTTTAAACCTAAGTCAGATCTTGCTTCTCAGATCGTATCTCTCAAAATCTTCCAATAGTGGGTCGTCTTCTGAGAAGGCTAAAGCCCCTTCTGTGACCTACAAGAGCTGGCCCACCCCTATCCCATTTGCCTTGCTGAATTCATCTTCCAGGGCTAGTCCATTTAGCCAGCTCCACCCCAGCCACACAGATCTCCCGGCTGTTGCTCAGACACCCAAGGCATGCTGCTGCCTTGGGGATTTTGCACTGGGGATATTTTCTGCCTGCTCTTCCCCAGAGAGGAGGTTTCTGTCACCTGTTTTGGGTCTTTGCTCAGTGAGGCCTACCCAAAACACACTATTTAAAATTGCAATCTCCCACCTCACACTCAGGAGGTAAGAGATTCTAAATCTATTCCCTGCACTATTTTTTCTCCGCAATACCACTAACTAACGGACTATATATTTAGTATGCATTTGTTCATTGTCCGTCTTCTCAACTAGAATTTAAGCTCCATGAGATAGGGGTGTAGATTTCTCTAATTCTACTATCGTACTTGCCAGCACAAGATGTGAGCATTGAGTAAATATTTGTAGATGAGGCCGGGCATGGTGGATCACACCTGTAATCCCTGCACTTTGAGAAGCTAAGGTGGGAAGACAACTTAAGCTCAGGACTTCAAGATCGGCCTGAGAAATACGGTTAGACCCCATTTCTAAAAAAGAAAGAAAGAAAGAGAGAGAGAGAGAGAGAGAGAGAGAGAGAGAGAGAGAAGGAAAGAAAGAAAGAAAGAAAGAAAGAAAGAAAGAAAGAAAGAAAGAAAGAAAGAAAGAAAGAAAGAAAGAAAGAAAGAAAAGAAAGAAAAGCAAGCAAGCATGGTACCTACACCTGTGGTCCCAGCTACCTGCGAGGCTGAGGCGGGAGAACTGCTGGGGCCCAGGAGGTCGAGGCTGCAACCAGCTGTGATTATACAACTGCACTTCAGCCTCGGTGACAAGAGTGAGACCCTGTCTCAAAAAAAAAAAAAAAAAAAAAAAAAAAGAAGGAAGGAACCACAGACAAAGAAAAAAAAAAAAGAATGTCAGATGTAAGGTTGTGAGTTTCATACTGTCATACCGGATTGGGTGGCTAGAATCCCTGTACCAAACCCTGGTTATGTAGCTAGAGGATGGGTTTAGTGTCCTCAAAAGCAGAGGGTACTTGCTGTTCATTTCCTAATTGGGCTCAGAGAGTTGAAGGACCCACCTGTCTCTAGCAACCAGAAAGGGCAGGAGCTGGAAGGTAAGCTACAAGCAATCTAGCAGAGTGGTCTTGGAAACATTTATCATGATGCTGAAGTGGTCAATTCAACAGATTGTTTCCCGTGTGCCACAGAGGGCATGATGACATGAAGAGAAGGGAGGGAGAAAATAGAAAGAAGTTGAGTCTAGAGAGGTTGTACAGGCACCACTAGAAGGAAGTGATGTGGGTGAACAAGAAACCACTGTCCAGATAAGGACATCATATCTCAGGGGAACCAGCATGAATGGTTGATAATGGGGGACCAGATGCCCCACCTCGCCTGGACACAACATAGCACCCAGGAGAAATAGACACAACCCCATGGAGAGGAGAGAAGACCCTGAATTGCCTGAAACTTATTTCAAGCCTCCTGGGTTAACAAGGGGCTTGAAATAAAAATAAGTCTAGTTAGAGAATAACAAAGATTTTTTATAGACCCTAATCATATGGAAAGTCTCATATGGGCTATGCATAAATGTTTTAGTGTCTATTGAAAGTCTGGGTCTTTTTTATCAACAATGAATATGAGCAATTCATCTGCTCTCAAATTATTTGTGATTCAATTTCAAAATAAAATTTTCCTACTACCCATCTTCAGGCTACTAGGTCAGTTTATTTGAAGTGTATCTTAAGAATTGCAAGGTAAGTTTTTTTTTTTTTAAGTCACAATCAGCAACTGCTTATCTGTGTGCACCAGGATTTTCTTGATATGTTGCACCCAAAATAAAATGTAGATATGAGCTGGATGCTGGCGTGGGTATGAGACCAGCACTGTCACCTAACTCCCATTTGACGTATTCATGTTCATCCAAACAGGTCCATGGTTCTCATCAACTGGCTTTTTAAACAGTTTGTATACATTTAGTTTTTTTAAAAATATATTTTAAATCATTTTAATATTATTTATGTATTTTATAAGTTGAAATTGTTTGAAATTTCATTTGAATAAAGGGCTGTTGCTGAAAATACTTACAAGCTACTGTTCTAGACAATATAAGGGTTTTCATTTTAAATACAATATTTTGAGAACTCTTTTGTTATATAAACTGTTTATATATCTTATTATTAATATATTCTAGCTTGAGGCTACTTACAATAACTATTTTTATCACTGCTCTGTCCAAGGAGTAGTACTAAGAATTTACATTGATTATCTCTTTTAGTAATCCTCTTGACTCTGTTAAACAAACCATACTGTTGTCTACACAATAACATTTAAGAAAACTGAGATTTAAATAACTTGCCCCAAGTCAGACAGGTAAGAACTGATGGAGCTACTTGGCTTCAAAACCTGAATCCTTACCCACTGCATAATTTTTTCAATAGACTCTCAAAACCTTATTTATGAGAAATAAGTGAAAAATTCAAAACAAGAAGCCCAAACACCAAATTAAGAATACAAGGCATGTGATATTGACTTACTTTAGAGAATACTGGCACTTTATCAAGCACTGTGAATCACACTTCAAAGGCACAAGGTTCCTCCCTCTTGGTTTGCCAGGGCTGTGGTGATCTCACAGAAGCGACTGTAGAACAAAATCTTCTCACACTTGGAAAGTAGAGGGATCTGAGTTTATCTATGGGATGACCAACAACGTAACCACATTGTTGATAAAGCATCTTGAGATATCAGAAATAAACAGAGAGCTTCTTTTATTATGACATTAGTGAGGCCAACAGAACACAGCTGGAAGAAAAAACTAGGTACTATGAAATAGGCTTGCACTAGGGTAAACTGTGGTACCCCAGATTACTCCTTCTGCACAAAGTGCCTTCTGCACAAGGGACTGTCATCTCAGGGTGGTCCACAGACCTTGGGGTTTTGTATCCATAGCACGCACTCTGTCCATGTTCTCACCTACATCTATTGCATCCCCACGTGTAACCAGCAGGTCTCAAGTTATTTTTTTTTTTATTTTTTATTTTTTTGAGACAGAGTCTCACTCTGTCACTCAGGTTGGAGTGCAATGGTGCAGTCTTGGCTAACTGCAACCTCTGCCTCCTGGGTTCAAGGGATTCTCCCAAGTTCTTTATGACAAGGAACCTTGAACAAATCCTGGAACATAGAACCTGTATGGCAGAAAAATTGATGCCATGAACTTCTGGAGGCTGATGATGGGCTTTGAATGCAGATAAGTCAGAGCAAGCCACTCTGAGCTTGCTTCTCTATTTGTAAACTGAAGATAGCATCACCTGTTACCATGAGAATTAAATGAGATATAATATGTAACTCTCTTGCTTTTCTTCCTTCTTCAGATCTCTCTCTCCCTCCCTCTCTCCAGGCTCATTTATCTATCTTCCTATTTGACATTCCACTTGGATATCTAATAGATGTTTCCAATACAATATGATTAAAAGTGAACTTCTAGCCTCCTCCCAAAATTGTGCTATATCTGTGAGCTTTACCATATCAGTTGATGGTAACTCATGACAAAAATCTTGGAGTCATTCTTATGTAAAAATAATTTCAACTTTTATTTTGGATTCAGAGGGTGCATATGCAGGTTTGTTACATGAGTAGATTGCATGACACTGAGGTTTGGGATATAAATACTCTTTCACCTACATAGTAAGCATAGTACCCAATAGGTAGTTTTTCAGCCTTTGTCCTCCTCCCTCCCTCCACCCTCAAGTCGGCCCCAATATCTATTGTTCCCCTCTTTGTTTCCATGTGTGCCAACGTGTAGCTCCCACCTATAAGTGACAAGATGAAGTATTTGGTTTTCTGTTCCTGTGTTAATTCACTTAGGATAATGGCCTCCAGCTGCATCCATATTGCTGCAAGGGACATGATCTCATTCTTTTTTATTGTTGCATAGTATCCCACACTGTATACATACCACATTTTCTTTATCCAATCCACTGTTAATGGACACCAAAGTTGATTTTATGTCTTTACTATTGTGAACAGTGCTTCAGTGAATATAAGTGTACATGCATCTTTTTGGCAGAATGATTTATTTTCCTTTGGATATATACCCAGCAATGGGATTGCTGGGTCAAATGGGAATTCTGTTTTAAGTTCTTTGAGAAATTTGGAGTTGTTCTTAACTTCTCTTTTCCTCTGACATCTTATGCGCAACCCCTCAGGGAATCTTGTCATATTTATTATTCAACACAGCATTCAAAGTCATACTTTGTGAGGCCAGGAGTGGTGGCTCACGCCTGTAACCCCAGCACTTTGGGAGGCGGAGGCAGGTGGATCACCTAAGGTCAGAAGTTCGAGACCAGCTTGGCCAACATGCCAAAACCCCATCTCTACTAAAAATACAAAAAGTAGCCAGACGTGGTTGCACACACCTGTAATCCCAGCTACGTGGAGGATGAGGCAGGAGAATTCCTTGAACCCGAGAGGCAGAGGATGCAGTGAGCTGAGATCATGCCACTATACTCCAGCCTAGACAACAGAGTGAGACTCTGTCTCAAAAAAGAAAAGTCTTTACTTTTTGAAACATGTATCAGATCATTGTCTTTATTGTGCTCAAAACCTTGCAGTACTGCTGCATTTCAGCCTCACTGAATGAATGCCCTGTAAGGCTTTATCAAATCTCTATCTCCTTTTCTCCCTTTCTCTCTCTCCCTCCCTCACTCCCACTCACACCAGTCACACTGGAAGCCTCAAGCACACACTCACCTTCGAGCTTTCATTCTGCCTATAATCTCTGCATGGAAGGCTCTTCTCTCAGCTATCTCTTGGCTGACTTCCCAACACCATCAAGTCCTTAATCAAGTATTACCTTCTCAATGAGGATCACCCTGGCCATCCTACCTAATCCCCTAAATTTATTTGCCTCTTGTTCTTCTAATCTCCATTATATTATTCTACTTTTTTTGTATTTCCACATTTACCACCTTCTAATTTGAGTGTTTATCATATTTTTTAATGTCTCATTCCCCTGCTAGAATGTAAGGTCCTAGAGGTCAGGAGTCTATGTCCGCATTGTTCTCTGATAAATGCCTAGAACCTAAAACAGAGCCCACAGAGTAGGTGTTCAACAAGTATTAGCTAAATGAATACCAAACATTTGAGACCATCCAATGAATGTTAACTCTCTTCTCCCTTCTTTGTTGCATAAAAGTTAGGTCAGTTGCCAAAGAGAGAACTAAGATATTCTTAAATCTCTCTGAGTAGCCATAAGAGCAGAATCTAGAAACCTTCTGATTCCTGAGCAAGCAAGAAGTTGGGGCAAAACAGATAGCTTAAAAATCATTAAAGGCATTTCCCATTTTAGGGAAAGGACCAAATGATAATTTGACAAGTGGTTGGGAGAAACAAGCACTCTCATATATGTTTTATGGGAGTAAAAATTAATTCAACATCTTTAAAGGAATATTTCTAATCTCTATCAAAGTTGTGAATACATATATGCCCTTTCACCCATCAATCACACATCTAGAAATTTCTCCTATAGATATACTTACATATGTAAAGATGATAAAAGGATATTCCTTTCATCACTGTTTTAATTGCTGAAGATTAGAAACAACCTAAATATCCATTGGTAGAAGACTGGTTCAAAAAGTTAGGGGACACTTGCAATGAAGTATTCTGAAGCCACCAAAGAGAGCAAGGCAGATCTGTATATACAGGTATGGAATTATGTCCTACAGAAAAAACAAGGCAAAAAGCACCATGCATCACAAGCTGCCATTTGTTTATAAAAGGGAGATATACATAGAGTATCTCTAGATAAATAAGCAAAAATACTAGTAACAGTTGTTGCCTCAGAGGAAGGAGACCCGGCTCTGGGGAGCAGTGCTGTAATGGAGGCTTCTTTTCACTGGGTACTTCCTGTGTTGTTTGAATATTTTTTCCAAATGGAAATGCTCCTTGTTCAAACAAATAACTTTTAAAAATCATATCACCCTTGAATACAAATTATTTTGGAGAACCCCTAATTCCTGGAAGTTTCTTTAGGCCAATATTTGCTTCTGAAAATTTGTCTTCTCAACTACTGTAAACCAGTCCTGTCGTGGTTCATTTCTATTACCATGGACGGCATGCTATTGGATTGGAAGTGATTTGCAATTTCCACCTTCACTGTTTTTAGTTTGCAAATGTGATGATTGATCCTGATGTTTCTGGTACTAATGATTAGTAGGATGGTCAGGATCTAGAGCACCTGGACAGATCAGGAGTCCATCTGGGACAGCAATACCAACTTCTTTTTCTAACTAGTCTTGTGAAAAAAAAAAAAAATCAAAACCTAAGTAAGTGAAGCATCATGTTTCAGAGGCACGGAAAGTACTTCTGGAGTTGAGATGTCATGGATTCTACTCTTTATTTCTGGGCCTTTGGTGATCTCACCCAAAACACCCCTGGCCCTGCCTGGATCTCTGTTTCCCTGTTTGCGAAGTAAAAAGTTTACACCTCCTAAGCTTACACAAACACTTTCAGATTATAAGCATAATTGCCAAATATAATATACACTACTATTTCTCAATCTCAACAACAAGCATGCCAAAACAGTGGCAGGAAACCACAAAGCTAAAAATGAAAAAAAAAAAAAATTAAAGGTCAAGAACTACAGCATTGACTCCTACTCAGTTTAGCCTTTGCTTTCTCAAAGGATGATGTCACTAAAACACTGTGGGCTTTGGAATCTGATAAATCAAAGTTCAGCCCACTAAGTGGCAAGTACTTTCAATCCAGGGACTGAGTATCATTAACATTGTGTCCTCGATGCCTCCAGGAGTTCCTGATTCAGCATCACTCCCCCATGGATCAGTTCTCCTCCAGCCACCTCATGCATGTTCATGACTTTCAAAACTACCTCTACATAGAGTCATAAATTCCTATCTTCAGGACAGACCTCTCATTTAAACTTCAGACATGCATATCCAAATTAGCATCCCATTTCAAGGTCTAAAATATACCTTGCAATGCATCTAAATCTGTTATAAACTTCCACCTCAAATCTGATTGCCTTTCACAGTTTCCTATATAAAGAATAGTCCTACACTTCAGCAAGCTTTGCAGGCAAAAATTCTAGTGTCATCTCTGTCACCTTTTCTTCCTCATCTGTATATCCAATCTATGAAAAACTCCTTTCAATTGGACAACCTAAACTACTTTCCAATCCATCCCTTTTTCTTCATTACACTCCCACCACTCTTCCTTTATTTACTAGTCCAGCTATTTTTGTTGATCACCATGACTGCTACGATAGCCTCCTGCTTGGCTTACCCTCTTCCACTCTTGCCTCACTTCCATCTGCTGTCTGCATTAAAATCATCATGTCATTCATAGACTGCAATCTCTTGAATGGATTCACTGTATTATTTATTTATTTATTTAGAAACAGAGTCTTACTTTGTTGCCTAGGCTGGAGTGCAGTGGTGCAATCACGGCCCACTCCAGCCTCAACCTCCCAGGCTCATGCAATCCTCCCACCTCAGCCTCCAAAGTAGCTGGGACTACACGTGTGCACCACCACACCTGGCTAATTTTTTAAAAATTTTTTGTGGAGATAGGGTTTTGCCATATTGCCCAGCCTGGTCTCAAACTCCTGAAGTCAAGTTATCTGCCTGCCTTGGCCTCCCAAAGTGCTAAGATTACAGTTGTGAGCCATCATGCCTGTTTTTAAGATAAATGGAGAAACAACCAGAAAGCCTTATATTTCTAGCCTCACACCTTATCTCTCTCTCTCACACACACACACAATCACACCCAGGCACACACACTCCAGCCACCCTGGAATCTTTCAGTCTTCCTTAGTTGCCATGCTTTTTCCTACCACAGGGCCTTTGCACTTGTGGGCCTCTCTCCGAATATGACCTTTTGCCTTTCACTTAATAAACTCTTACTCAGCCTACATATCCAGCTCAAGTATGACTTCAATAAGGAAATGTTTCCTTCCTTCCCTGAACAGGTCAAATACCCTATTATTATATACTCTCTTAATAGATGGATCTCTGTGTCCTAGCACTTTTCACATTTGCAGCTTCACATTTATTTAGGTGGTTGTTTGGTTTGCAGATATTTTCCCACTCACCTGACTACCATGAAAGCAAGCCCTGGGTAGATTTTGGCTCATCATTGTTTCTCTACTACCTGACACATGCACTCCAGTGAACATTTATTTCATGGCTATTTCAATGAATACATTTTTGTGGGGAAAAAAGATAACCAAGCTTTGACACATATTCTGTATGCTCCCAGGCAAATAGCACAAAACTTCTGAGTGAAATGTCTGTATCTGTAAAATGGATATAAAAATAATTAATTTACCATGTCTGGGAATACATTAAATAAGATTATATCTAAAAAATCTTATCCCTGTGCCTTATTATGATATCTTGTCAATAGATATCAGTTCTCTCCTCCTTGACCCCTCTTCTGGTAGTTTAAGTGAAGAAAATGATCTCTTCAATAAATAAACAAGTGATTTATTAAAGACATATGATTTGCTCAGATTACACAGTGTTTCAAGCAGCCAAGGAGATAAAAATATAAAAGAAAAGGTCCCAGCTCTTACGGAGACCAGGAGACAGTGGAGAATCTGAAGTGGAAAAATAAAATAATAACCTGAGTTCCACAACAATACAATAACAGCAAAGCAAGCTTTTTCAGAAACCTGCACAGGACAAGTTGCCAGGTAAGCTGGAAGTGCTAAGGGGGAGGCACTGGGAACCAGGTAGGGCCTTTTAAGAGGATAGACCGGAGGTAGGTAGAGAATGCGGTATATGTGGGTGTTGGTCAGCGCTGGTCGACGTAACAGCAGGAACAAAGAGAGTAGGAGTGTTCCAAGATCAAGGAGACTAGATTGCCTCAGACAAGGAGTCAGAGTAGATAATGCTGGGAGGTGTATGAAGTTTTTAATGCCAAATTATGGAAATTTGATTTTGTTCTCTAAACAGAAGTATTGAGAATGTAAACTTTTACAAATCTAGATGTATCACAACCATTTCAAATACTAAAGAAAATACAATATAACTTCCCCAATTTGGTCTCTATGATTCGCCAAAATCAGTACTTCAGAGGAAGAATAGAAAAGAAGAAGGAAGGGAGATAGGCACCTGGCAAGCAGCCTATGTCTCATGAAGGTTTCACGTTGTGTATGAACATATGGTTGAATCATATCTCCATGACTTCCCAGAGAATGTGGATAAACAGCAGGTTGGCGTGTAGTGTCTTGGGAGTGTCATCTCTGCTCCAGCGTCTGCCTCTGGCATGCTAGCCACTGGGCCTCTCCAAATCATAAGTTCTCTGCAAGGCTCACACAGCCAGAGAAGGCCCCATATGGGATGTTCATGTGAAAGGCTACAGTCCGTGAATTATCCCTAAGTATTTTGATGCATAGGATAATTCTGAGTGGGCCATTTGATCACCTCCACCACCTCCATTCCCATCCCTCATTTTCCCTCCATTATCAACAATCCTAAGAATATATAAAACAAAAAACAATTAGTCTTGCTGCAAATTGAAGGGAAGAGGTTTAATAAACAGACAATGATATATAACGTATATGTGTGTGTACATACATATATATCTATCACAAAAGCTGACCTTATATAGCCGTAGGAGGTTTTAGGGGGAATGCAACTTGAAAAAAAAATTCATGAATTTCATCATCAACTTTCAATGTTCTACTGTTTTTCTGACTGAGCATGAAAGAATATGAAGTGGGCACCTTGCTATTCTTTCCATTCTGAGAATAGGAGGTGTGCCCTTTTCTAATTTTTCTATTCTGAGATTTCATCATAGGAGCCGAATCTTGGCAGTGCCAAAAACAGAGCATTCTCTTATGAGACTGTTATCTCTCCTCCTCCTGATGGAAGAGGCACTCCCTCTGTACCTTGTCTTCTATGAACAAGAGCAACACCTCTTGCCTTTAAAGATTTAGTGGCAACCTGATCACTTTTCAGATCGATTTAACTCCTTTTCCTGAAAGTTCACTTTAAACTGTCAACCACCACCTACCTGTTCCTGAGACTAGGTCAAGTCCATCAGAATTAGGTTCATGTAGCCCCTTTGTCATTTTTTTAAATAGCATCTAGTACAATTCACGATTGTATATTTTGTGAGTTGTATTTGTAATGTTTGTCTTCCTCAATGGACCCTAACTCCACAGCAGCAGAAGAAGTGTGGGTTCTGCTCACCATTGTGTCCTCAGCATCTACCCTAGCACAAAACTCTTAGGTGATACTTAGTAACTATAGAAGGAAGGAAGGAAAGAAGGAAGGAAGGGAGGAAGGAAGGAAGGAAGGAAGGAAGGAAGGAAGGAAGGAAGGAAGGAAGGAAGGAATTAGACAGAGATTCACTTTTCCACTGTTCCTCCAATGTCTCTGCCCACCCTTTCTTCTTATATTAATTCATAAAGTATCGTAAGGAATCAATTGGGGACTCTCAGAGATAGAGGGATAGATCTCCTTCTATCAATGTTAGGATTGAAGCCTAACACTTGCCCAAATGGGCCACAATCAAGTCACCAAAAGATAGGTCTAGATTTTATGGTGATTTCAGTTATTGTTGTTCATGATTTAGTAATAACTAGGGATATTCAGATTCCAAGTAACATGTGATAATTATAACAGAGATAGACACAAATTACTGTAAGACTACTGTGTCAGGAAGGTACTGATCCTCCTTGGGAGAGTGAGAGACAGTAAGATACACGAGCTGTTTGAAGAAGTTGGCATTTGAACTGTACTTTGAAGGGTGCATGGTAGATTGTATTAGGGTGAATGAAGAGAAAGTCATTGTAGCAGAGAAGACAACATGATAAAGACCCAGAGATATGGAAATACCTGATGATTCAGACAATGGTGAAAGGTTTGGGAAGACAGGAATGGAAGATATAAATTGGAAGTTGTAGGAGACTGAGCTAGGGTGATAAGTTCTCTTCTATATATTCCCCACCAGGACTGAAGCAGAGAAAGAAGAGGGTAGGATTTAGACAAGTTTAGAGAGGAAATGTAATAGAGGAAAATGCATGGGTTTTGAGGGTCCAAAGGACTGGAACTCAAATACTAGTTGTGCCATGGTCTAAGTTTGTCACATTGGATAATTTTATTTAGCTTCTCTGAGCCTCAGTTTCATCTGAAAGAATTCATATAATACCTGCCTCAAATACCTGCAACAGGACCAAAAGCAAACACATATGCAAAATCCTGGCATATAGCTGGATTTCTTTTAAATGTTCATTTTCTTTTACGTGTGAGTTTCATTTCACTTCTTTTCACCCTTCCAGATCTCTCCTCACTTCTGCTCACTTCATCAAGCCCCATTCCACAAGGTGACCAGTGTTGGCTTTAGCTTTGGATGGCTCCTTTTGGCTCACTGCTTGATTCAAGCATCATCCCAGATCTCTGCATAGCTGTATCTTCCTATCCCTCAAGTTGAAGCATTATCGAAAGGTTTTGGTTGGTTATTTGTAATTGCTGGGTGGAATTCCAAGGTTCCTCTCACCTCCTGCCCAGCCCACATCCTCCCTAACCCCCACCACCCCAGTAGATGGGAAAAAGAAGGTGTGAGGCTCCCTGGGAGCTTGGCTATTGTTTGAGGGAACTGGAAGCCACCGTGCTCAGAGTGTCCATCCTCCCTCCTCCCAGCACATGCTGCTTCCTGTCAATCATCCTGGAACACCGAGTGCTGGGCCAGACAATTTTGTCCACAGGATGTTTGTTTGAAGGCGCTGCCTTGCCAAGTCTCAAAGCTCAAGACTTCCGCTGACAATCCAAACACCAAAATGAGAAAAGGGGAAAAACCTCTGGGCAGTTCTTTTAATCCCTAATAAGGCCTATTTATATTCAAAAATAGCAACAGGTTATCTGAACTTGCAGAGGCTGAAGAGGCTAGGAAGCTTGATCTTTAAAATCCTGAGCTCCAGGGAAGTTGAAATACAGGTTTCTAAGAGTGGACACTAAAAGCATGTCCTCAAAGCACCTTTAGCTTATTCCACAGTCAGCTTTCATAAATGATCAACTCCTGTTTTTATGGGCACACCTGACTGCACTGTCCAGAGGGTAAATGCCTTGCTACTAAGCCACAAAGCAAAAGAATTTGCAAGACATATATGGATATAAATTTAAGGTGCTCAACCCAAGCTACAGGATAAATCTAACTGTCTGGGGTCACTGTGTAAATTTCTGCTATCATTTCAGGGTTTGCACACAATCTGAGAAATGTTGGGGTCTCTCACTAATGATTAACCTAAAGCAAGAAAGTTTGGAAAATGACCTTAAAACATGTTATATTTTATTCAGGGAATAGGTAAAAGATTTTTCCTGGATGTAAATAATTAAAAGATTCCCAGTTGACTTTTGGAGACTCAGTAGTTGAGAGCCCTTGACATGTCTATTTCTACAGCCTCTGTAATTACCAAACAGGAATCTTGAGCCTCTGTGTATTTATCAACCATTATTTATAATCTCTATGTCTCCAGGCAAATGACTTAATCTCTCTGAGGTTACTTTTGTCTGTGAAAATGCATCGTTATCCAAACTCTATTGGATTGTAATAATGCTTAAGCGAGATCAAGTGTGAAATGTGCATGGCATGCAAGAGGTGCTCAATAAATGGTAACTTAGAAAATAGAAAACCAGGGAGAATTTGAGAGGCATTCCTAGGACTGACTTTAAAGTGACTTCAACTACCACTTTCACCTTCTCAACAAAGTATTAGGGACACATTAGCAGTAACCCTGATATGTGAAAGCAAGCCACAAAAGCCTCTAGTAGAAGCAGTTTTGAGATAAACATGATCCAAATATGCCTTATTGAGAGCATCCTAATCTCAACAGTCAGTGGTCAAATAAATGACAAGTTTGTGAGCAGAATCAGGAATAAAAAAGCAGTACACTCCAGTATATTCCTGAAACATTAACACACACCTGTCAGGAAATGATACCAAGAAGCAGGACTTTCACAGTCCTTGCGGATGACCTTGCAGAGGACCCCAAGTTACACTGATGTTTAAGTTTAAGGTACCCCAAGTTTTGGAACCATCTGTTCAAGTTCTGGCCAGATTTCCATGCAGTATGCAAATGTCCTAAGAGAAAAATTATTTCCCAGGTTACTACAAAGAGATGTATATTCTGAAATTTTTCCAAAGAAATTTCTGTTATACAGAATATGGGTTTGGGGAAAGGTTATTAAACCAAGCCACTAAACTTCAGCATTAATGGACTACATACAAGGGGAAAAATACATTGTTTTAATAATTAGGAACATATTGATATTAATTTTATTATTTTATATGTGTTGAAATGGCAAAGATGTAAAAAAAACTACCAACTACTAGAATATTGAAGAATTTGAGGATGAAATTCACATACACTCCACATATAGTGGTGGTAGTAACATATAGCAGAGACTTTATAAACCAATACAAAAGTATGTAGCAAGGTTATTAAAACAGATTCATAATTTCTGACCTAGTAATGCCAGTTTTGGAATATCTATCCAAATGAAGTAATAAGGAATATAGTCAAATATACATATTCACAGTTATCACATTATTTATAACAATATTTCCATTAAAAATAGAAATACCCTAAATATCTTATAAGAAAACAGGCACATGGTACTATTATTATAAATTATGGAGCCATTACAAACCATGTTTTCAGCCGGGCGTGGTGGCTCACGCCTGTAATCCCAACACTTTGGGAGGCCGAGGAGGGTGGATCACGAGGTCAGGAGTTCAAGACCAGCCTGGCCAACATAGTGAAATCCCATCTCTACTAAAAGTACAAAAATTAGCTGGGCGCGGTGGCAGGTGCCTGTAATCCCAGCTACACGGGAGGCTGAGGCAGAAGAATTGCTTGAACCCGGGAGGTGGAGGCTGCAGTGATCCCAGATTGCACAACTGTACTCCAGCCTGGGCGACAGAGCAAGACTCTATCTCATTAAAAAAAAAAAAAATGTGGTGACACTGAACAAAATAAGGATATAAAACAATTTGGAAAACCAAACGGGGTTATTGTACATTGTCTTCCATGTACTCTCCTGCACTTACCAAATTTTCTTCAGTGAACATAGACTTATTTTATATTTAGAAAAAAGCAATAAACATTTACACCAAAAAAAACCTCTCAGCATTCACAGACAATCAAAACAACCTGTAGAAATGCCACTAACAGTATCTTTGAAAGCCAAACCATCACACTATTCTTTGTATTGCAGTTACCCAGAATGCCACAGAGATTTTCATATGAAGGAGACTGGTTGCTTTCTTTTTTTTTTCTTTTCCTTTTCAGGTCCATATTGCTTGATCTGAGCATACTGCAAAGTGTCCTAAAAGCCATATGGGAGATAGACTTCTTCGCAGCTGCAAAGGAAACATTTGCAGAACAGAAAACACCAGAAATCACAATACATTCTTAGTCATAGTAAAATGGAACGCACGCGAAATATTGAAAACATGGAGTGGAGATTTCATTTTTAAATATTTTAATTACCAGAACAGAGCTGTTTGATTCTATTTCAGAGCTCGGTAGATGAGCAGCAGCGGGGGGGGGGGGGTGGCGGCGGCGGGGCCAGGGAGGGGAAATGGAGGAAAAAGAACAACAGCCACTCGGAGTGAAAACAATCATCAGTTAACAAATGGCAAAGAGAAATTAAGTCTTTCTAGCTGAACCGTGTTTTGTTTCTTACAGAAGTTTTACTGCTGTAAAATGTGGCACGTTTTGTACTGTATGTTCTCTCGGAAAAGCCAAACAGAAACCAGTCATCATGGTTTCCAGAGAGCAAGGCCTCCCCTTTCTCATGTTTCAACTACGCAGTCTCCACTTGGGCTGGGGACCGTATCATATATCATAAATCACTCTCTGATAGATATTTGGCAAGCAGTCAGCACCCCAGGCTATGCAACAAACTATAGTATGGAAAATTTTTAAGGTGGAATCTTGATTTTGTAACTTAAGGACTTAACAGCATCTCAAAACATTTTACTACTTCCTGGTACACACACACAAAAAGCCAAGAAAGCAGAATTCTCCATATGGTTTTCGGTTTTATAGGATATATACACAATAAGCCATACAACTGTAAACCTGGAGGCGTTCTCTTGCTGTTGTTACTTCAACTCCAGTGAAAATGAAAACAAAATTAGAGAGTTTTATCTCAACCTAGCCCATGAAAGAGTCAAGTCACCAGGAACTTCTAGAATCTGCTTTTTAACTATCCATCCCCCTACAGTTAACTGTTCCACACCTTCTTAGAAACTAGAGGAGGCAGCAGGACTAGGGGGTTGGGGACAGATTTTATTGTAAGATAATAACATGCTGTCAAAAGTACTGTCAGGGATTTCAACAGGAAGGCTTATACGTTGACAAGAGTCATAGAAACCCCAGTAGAGTCTTCCTCCTGATTTCAGGCCCAAATCCGAGTGTTTGAGAGTCCCTGAGCATGCACTCCCACCTTCTCAGATGTTGCAAACTCTTACTCACATGTTCTTCTTCAGGAGCCTCTTTCAACAAATCATGCTTTTCTTTTTTGAAACTGCAAACTGCATTTAACCCCCAAGTCACATCATCCCAGCCGACACTAGGGGCTGTTGGAATACCGCAGCTCCCAGCAAAGCTACTGCTAAGAAGCCAGTGAGCCTTTCTGTGCACGGAGGGGTTAAGTCCATGGTATTTGGACGTGCCCAAATGTTCTCAGTGTTCTCGGGCTGAGCAATTCTTAGAAGGGCTAAATAGAAACGGGGGAAATGTGGAGTGTGCGGTGTGGTATTGTGCTTTCTGTGAGAAACAATGCATGGAAAAACAAAAGAAAGAAACTGAATAAATCCTTTTTGAAGTTTAAAATAAACGCTGCTTTTTGGTTGTTGTTGTTTTGGTTGTTCACAAATTACCCATAGTTTGGGCAGGCTAAATATAAAATTTGCAATGTCGTTTATTTAAAGTGTTTCTGTCCAATCTCAATCAATTTGAAGAAGAAAATTAAAGCCAAATTTAGACAAAATGTATAAGTGGTTATATGTACATATGCTAATTCAGAAATAACATATATTCTAAGTATATTATGTGTTTCCTTCCCCACTCCACCAACCCCAGTTGTCACTGACCAATTCATTCTTGAGATTCTGTTAATTCCCATCAATGAAAGTCTCGCGCTTTGTACTGATGAAACTCATAGGCTCACAGGTCACCTCACAGTCACTTGTGACCCCACTTGCAGTTGATCATCAAGTTCCAGACTGGACCTGCCAACTGCTTCTAAAAGAAGAGAAATTTCTTTCTAAAGGAAGCACTGGAGTACGGTCCTGCCCAAGCCCAGCCAGCCTAACAGTCCTTCAGTATCTTCATTTCTGCCTCTCTTACATCAGTGGTTCTCAGGCTTGGCTGTATATGAGAATCCCCTGGGAAGCTTTTAAAAATTCCAAAGCCCAGGCTACATCCCAGACCAATTACATCAGAGTCTCTGTGGGTAAAACAGAGGCATCCGTACTTTGTGCAGCTCCCCAGCAATTCCAGGTGTAGCCATGTTGGTAGCCACCCTCCTGGCTGGGATTCCTGCATCCAGTCTTGCTCTCCTGTCAGTGGATGATTCTACTAAAACTAAGAGTGAGGTTACTCAAGTAGTATATATGGTCATGTTTTCTCCCTGTTTAACAGACCGCAAGGGTTCCTTCCTGCCTACAGAAAAAAATGTCCATATACCTTCCCATAACAGTCAAAGCTTCCTGGCCTCCATGTCCCTCTCTATCTTCCTGCCAATCCCTGCCTCCACACTCCCCAATCCTGTCTCATGGAGCCACCTGAACCCCCACATGCACCATTCTCTCACTCACATATCCAGGCCTCAGAACGGGCTGCTCCTTCCAGCTAGAAAATTCTCTTTCTCCCTGCCTAGTACATTTCAAATCTAAATTCTCCTCATCTATTTTTGGACCCAAGTCAGGTGTTTCTTCTTGGGAAATCCTGCTCACCAACACACCCAAGATGTCCAGCTGTCACCAACGCTAGTATGTCCCCAATATCCTAGACTTACCTGGAGTACAGGTAGAGAAGTTGCCCATGACCACTGGTACTCTTCCCAATTTTGAGTTTACCTATAGTACAGGTAGAGAAACTGTCCATTTACCTGCTTTCACTCCCACTAGTTGGTGACCACTTAGGACACAGAAGATTCCTTGCCCACCATTGTAACTTTGGTGCCTGGTTCAGCACCCAGCATGTGGTGGGAACACAGATTGAGCAAAAGCTGAGTGGTCCCAGCCAGCTGTAAGCATGGAGCTTCACTTTCCAATTCAATCAGGTATACTGTTTGTATTAGTCTGTTTTCATGCTGCTGATAAAGACATACCCGAGACTGGGCAATTTACAAAAGAAAGAGATTTATTAGACTTACAGTTCCACATGGCTGGGGAGGCCTTACAATCATGATGGAAGGTGAAAGGCACATCTCACATGGTGACAGAGAAGACAAGAGAGGTTGTGCGGGGAAACTCCTTTTTATAAAACCATCAGATCTCATGAGACATATTCACTATCATGAGAATAGCATGAGAAAGACCTGTCCCCATGATTCAATTACCTCCCACAGGCTCCCTCCCACAACACGTGGGATTTATGGGAGTTACAATTCAAGATGAGATTTGGGTGGGGGCACAGCCAAACCATATCATATCCCTGGCAGAGAACACTTCCCTGAATGTTTGAGTCAACATTAACCTATTTTTTCTAAGGTACATAGAAGTGTCAACGTTCTGTAGCTCCAATGAACTGGACACTGAGAAGTAGCTGGGAGAAGGTGGAGTTAGATTTGTTGTTAGGAATCAAAGGGTCTTGCAAGCTACATCCTCAAAAGTGAAAGATTTTTGCTGAATATATCAAGAATCAAATAATTCTAGTTGTTGACAAGACTTCCACAAACTACTTCCTATTTGGTTCTCACTAAAAAACGAAAATGCCACCAGTTGCAATTGAGCATGGGAAGACATGTAAACCATCAAATCACACTCTGCATTTATGATATCCTTGGGTTCAGCAACACTGCATTTATCTGTGGAAGAAGATCGCAGATAAATGCAGGTCTGCCTTCAATTCTGTTTTGTTTTGTTTTGAGGCAGAGTCTCTGTCAACCAGGCTGGAATACAGTGGCACAATCCTGGCTCACTGAAACCTCCGCCTTTCAGGTTCAAGTTATTCTCCTGCCTCAGCCTCCCAAGTAGCTGGGATTACAGGTACACACTACCATGCCTGGCTAATCTTTTGTATTTTTAGTGGAGATGGTGTCTCACCATGTTGCCCAGGCTGGTCTCGAACTTCTGAGCTCAGGCAATCTACCCACCTCAGCCTCTCAAAGTGCTAGGATTGCAGGTGTGAGCCACTGTGCCCAGCCTCTACCTTCAATTCTGAAAGGCTTACTCAGGGCAGCCACTCCACCTGCCATAGCAGCCAAGGAGAGGTGGCTAGACCATAGAAAAGAATGTTCCAAAGTGGCTTACTGAAAGCATAAAGCTAAGTTGATGAGAGACAGTTTTGCACATAAGGAAGAGAGGAGAGGCCGAGGAGAAAAAAAAAAAAAAGCAAAAGGGGGGTCAAGCACAGTGGCTCATACCTGTAATCCCAACACTTTGAGAAATCAAAACAGGAAGACTGTTTGAGCCAAAGAGTTTGAGGCCAGCCTGGGCAACATAGTGAGACCCCCATATCTAAAATTTCTTTTCTTTTTTTTTTTTTTTTTTTTGGAAATTAGCCAGATATGGTGGTGGGCACCTGCAGTCCTAGCTACTGGGGAGGTGGAGGTGGGAGGATCACTTGAGCCCAGGAAATAGAGGCTACAGTGAGCTGTGAATACGCCACTGCACTCCAGCCTAGGTGACAAAGCAAGACCCTGTCTCAAAAGAAAAAGAAAGAAAGAAAAAAAATGAAAGAAAAATGGAAAAAAAACCTTTAAAGAAAACTGATAAGGAAAATATAAGAAAAGAAAGGAAAGGGAATCAACAGGTATAAACTGCCCTCAACCTCTAGTAAGTGAGGATCCTTATTATTACTTTACACATAAGGAAAATGGGACACAAAGCAGTTAACATACTTGCAGGGGCAGGTGCGTTAGCTCATTCCTGTAATCCCAGCACTTTGGAAGGCTGAGGCAGGAAGATGACTTGAGCCCAAGAGTTCAAGACCAGCCTGAGCAACATAGTGAGACCATGTGTCTACGAAAAATTTAAAAAGTTAGCCAGGCACACTGGTGCAAACATATAGTCCCAGCTACTTGGAAGGCTGAGGGAGGGAAGATTACTTGAGCCTGGGAGTTTGATGTTGTCGTGAACTATGATCCTGCCATCGTACTTCAGCCTGGGCAACAGAGAGAGATACTGTCTCAAAACAAACAAACAAACAACAAAACGAACAACAACAAGAACAAACACACCACTTGCAGAAGGTGTGTATCCATTAAGTAACGGATGGAAAGAGGAAAGAAAGAAAGAGGAGTGGGATTCTGAAGAGTGAAAATGTATGAGGATGAGGGGAAAATGAATGTATAAAGAGAGGAAAGAGGAAGAAAGGCAAGCAAAATAATCCAATACTGTAATTCAAAAGGAAAGATTGCAACACTGACATTTCCCAGTCATTCAGCTATGAAGGCCCTGTTGCCCTGGGACCATACCGGGCTGGCCCTTCTCTGAGTATAGGGATCTTTCTTAAACACAAGCCCAGAAGGTCATCCACTGTGTGAACAGGTTGTATTCTTACTCTGTGGAATTTCAGGAACTGCTTCAGAGAAAGAATTTTCCTTCAAGTCCTGACCAATCCTTAGGTAGAATACTGTGGAGGTATAAAATGCCAGGACATACACAAGGCCAAAGAACCTGTACTTCTTCTTCCGTCCCAGATCTCAACCTAGACTCAGGTGGTCAGGCCGATGTCTCCCCGTTCATCCAACTGTGACAAAAGGTCTTTCTAACCGCCTCACCCCCACCCAAACAAAAAACATACCACTGGGTGAGCACTGCAACCTGGTTCTCTGGAAATTACAGACCAACTGTAATGTGTTTTGTCAGCATCCTTGCTTTGGGTTTTTTGGTGTGTGTCTGTCTATCTTTAATGTTAATGTGAGTTTAAGAAACCTCCTACCTTTTCCTCTTTTCTGAGCACAGAAACTCCTGTTGACACATAGGGGTCAGGGCTATAGAGAAAATCTGGCCAGCTAGCTAAGAGTGATAAATCCAGACTAGGGGTGAACAGCCCACAAATTTCTCATATTCTTCTTTTTGGTTATCAGCCATCATTTTTCAATAGGTTCACATAACCTCCCAGCTCTAACACACAGAGCTCCAAAACTCCAGCTCTTGGCTATGGGAATGTTATTAAAACAACAGAAACAAGTTGTAACCAAGTACCAAGTTATATCAAGCATTGTGGAAGCTAATAATAATATTGACTATAACTATGATAACAAATAGTATATACCATTCCTTGTTCACAGGTGACTTTCACATATATTGTTTCATTTCATCATCATTAGTAGTCCTGACAAGTAGATGAGGCAAGTATTTTTCACTGTTGCCTGGATAAACAACCTGAGGTCCAGGCAGATTAAGAAATGACTAGTGAGGGGAGGACATAGAATTGAAACTTCTAGTCCTGACCTTGGTCCTCTTTTCACCATATCATAGCTTTTAGTATATTCAGCTCTCTCTTGAAATAAAATTTGCCTATCTGCAACTCTCACTTGGTGGTATTATTTCTGATCTCTAGATTTAAACAGAAAAAAAAAGTTCCTATTGGTTTGTTTGTGTGTTGCATTTCAAACAGAACTTGAACTGGCTAATACCTTATGTAATGGCATCTCTTCTTCAAGCTAAGCATAGTCATTTCTTTCAAGCAGGAAGGTCCAAAGAAGTGAAAAAACAGAGATGTGGAGGAAAGATTCCTAATACACTTTCCTTCCAGGAGGACTCAGCAGGAACACTCTCTGGCTTCCTGGGCAGCAAATCCAACCAGGAGGATCTTAATTAAGAGTCTTGCTTTAAGTGTATATAGATTTAAATTTTAAAAAAGAAAGATATGTGTGTGTGTGTATATATATGTATATATACACACATATATATATATATATTTAAGTACATTTGCTCATGTATGGTTGCTGAAATGAAAATACCATCATGGGCCATGCACAGTGGCTCACACCTGTAATCCCAGCACTTTGAGAGGCCAAGGTGGGCAGATCACTTGAGGTGAAGAGTTCGAGACCAGCCTGACCAACATGGTGAAACCCCGTCTCTACTAAAAATACAAAAAATAGCTGGGCATGGGGGCAGGCATGGTGGCAGACATGGTAGGCATGGTGGCATGGTGCCTGTAACCCCAGCTACTCAGGAGGCTAAGGCACGAGAATCACTTGAACCCAGGAGGTGGAGGATGCAGTGAGCCCATATCACGCCACTGCACTCCAGCCTGGGCAACAGAGTGAGACTCCATCTCAAAAAAAAAAAAAAAAAAAAAACAGAGAAAAGAAAAGAAAAAAAAATACCATCATGTACTAAAGGTGTTTCCCAACTTATTAAAGTGAACTGACCCTTTTAAACCATCCGAGGCTTGCTGATTACTTCCAAACTTCATCTGATCCCTACTCCTTTCCAACTTTAGAAGATGGTGAGCAAATTATTCTTACTGGTGGTAGTGGCGGATTTAAAAATTATTATTATTATTATTATTCTCATCATTGAATAAGTGGTGACCACATATATTTGACTAATTTTTAAGATTGCTTTTATAATTCTTGAAAGTCCCTGTCTCCCATGGATACATCATTTGCTACGCCATGCCAGTATTGTCTCCACAAACATATTTTCATTATAATCATTTCCGTTTCAATCCTGCTTGAGAATAGCATTTCCTCATAGTAAGGAACTACCTGGGTTTCCCCTCACATTAGAGAAAAGTAAACAGACAAGTTACAAGCATGTAGGCAAATGAATTATAGTCAGCCATAACTTCTTCATTATGCCACCATTTAGTGAACTCTTGAGGTTAAGTGCTGTGCTTATCCATAGGAAAGAGGTAATAGTGAAGCCACGAAGCCCTGGGTTCCAATTTCTCTCTGTCACTTACTAGATTTGATCTTGGTTAAATCACATGATTTCCCCAGAACTCAGTTTCCTCATCTGGGACACCAGCTTTGAAGAGGTATTGTGAAGACTGAGTAAAATATGAATATTTAAAAGCTGACACAGAGGAAACAATAAATATTAGCTTCTTGTCCCATTATTCATCTTAGCATCCTCACAAGATGAGCACCCAATTATTTATTTGTTAAATTGCTCTGAGTACAGGCATACGTTGGAGATTTTTCAGGTTTGGTTTCAGACCACTGTGACGAAGCAAATATCACAATACAGCAAGTCACACAAACGTTTCGGTTTCCCACTGCATAGAAAAGTTATGTTTACACTGTACTATATATTAAGTATGCAATGACATTAAGCCCAAAAAAGTAATGCACATAGCTTAACTTAAAAATACTTCATTGATAAATAATGCTAATGATCATATGAGCCTTCAGCAAGTTATAATCTTGCTGACGGTGGAGGGTCTTACCTCTATGTTGATGGCTGCTGACTGATCAGTGTGGTGGTTGCTGAAGGTTGGGATGGCTGCGTCAATTTCTTAAACTAAGACATCACTGAAGTTTGCTACATCAATTGACTCTTCTTTTCGTGAAAGATTCTCTGTAGCTGCTGTGTTTAAGAGTATTTTACCCACAATAGAACTTCTTTCAAAAGTGGAGTCAATCTTCTCAAACCCTGCCACTACTTTATCAACGAAGTTTATTTCTATCCTAAATTCTTTGCTATCATTTCAATAACGTTCACAGCACCTTCACAAGGAGATTTCATGTCAAGAAACCACTTTTTTGCTTATCCATAAGCAACCCCTCATCTGTTCAGATTTTATCATGAGATTATAGAAATTTAGTAACATCTTCAGGCTTCACTTATAATTCTAGTTATCTTGCTCTTTCCACCACATCTGCAGTTACTTCCTCTACTAAATTTGTGAGCCCCTCAAAGTCATCCATGAAGACTGACATAAACTTCTTCCAAACTCCTGTTAGTGTTGATATTTGGCCTCTTCCCATGAATCACCATTGTTCTTAATAGTATCCAGAATGGTGAAGTCTCTCCAGAAGGTTATCCATTTAGTTTGCCCAGATCCATCACAGAACAACTATCCAGGGCAGCTGTAGCCTTAAAAATCATATTTCTTAAATTATAAGGCTTGAAAGTTGAAATTATTCCTTGATTCATGGGCTGCAGAACGAATGTTGTGTTAGCAGGCGTGAAACCATTCATCTCTTTGTACATCTCCATCAGAGTTCTTGGCTGAACCCGGTGCATTGTCAAATAAGCAGTAATATTTTAAAAGGAATATTTTCTTTAGGCAGTAGATCTCAACAGTGGGCTTAAACTATGCAGTAAACCACACTGTAAACATACGCTGTCATCTAAGCTTTGTTGTTCCACTTATAGAGCACAGGCAGAGTAGATTTAGCATAATAATTAAGGGCCTTATGATTTTTAGAATAGTAAATGAGCATTGGCTTCAATTTAATGTCACCAGTTGCACTGAGCCCCTAAAAAGAAAGTTAGCCTGTCCCTTGAAGGTAAGCATTGACTTCTCCTCTCTAGTTATGAAAGTCTTAGATGGCATCATCCTGCAAGAGAAGGCTGCTTCATCTACATTGAAAATCTGTTGTTTAGTGTAGACACCTTTATTGGTGATCTCAGCTGGATCTTCTAGATAACTTGCTGCAGTTTCTACATCAACACTTGCTGTTTCACTTTGTACTTTCATATTATGGGGATGGTATCTTTCCTTAAACCTCCTGCACCAATTTCTGTTAGCTTCAAACTTTTCTTCTGCAGCTTCCTTACCTCTCTTGGCCTTCATAGAATTGAGGAGAGTTAGGGCCTTACTCCGGATTAGGCTTTGGTTTAAGGGAGTGCTGTGGCTGGTTTGATCTTCTATCCAGGCCACTACAACTCTCCCCATAACAGCAATAAGGCTGTTTTGCTTTCTTATCATCCATGTGTTCACTAGAGTAGCATTTTTAATTTCCTTCAAGAATTTTTCCTTGGCATTCACCGTTTGGCTAACTTTTTGACACAAAAACCCTAGCTTTCTGCCTGTCTCAGCTTTCAACATGCTGTCCTCACTAAGCTTAAACATTTTTAGCTTTGGTTTAAAGTGAGAGAGATGTGAGTCTTCCTTTCACTTGAACACTTAGAGGCCATTGTTGTGTTATTAATTGGCCTAATTTCAATATTTTATGTTGTAGGGAATATGAAAATCCAGGGAGAGGGAGAAAGATGGAGAGCTGCCAGTCAGTGGAGCAGTCAGGACAGACATATTTATCAATTAAACTCACCATCTTATATAGGTGTGATTTGTGGTACCCCAAAAGAATTACAATAGTAACATCAGAGATCACCATAACAGATATAATAATAATAAATTTGAAATACTGCAAGGTTTATCCAAATATGACACAGAGACATGAAGTGAGCTCAAGCTGTTGGCAAAATGGTACACAGTAGACTTTCTTGACACGGGGTTGCCACAAACTTCAATTTGTAAAAAATGCAATATCTGTAAAATATAATAAAGTGAAGTGCAATAAAACAAGGTACCTGTATATCAAATCTCTGCTTTGAATTTTCTTATCTCTTCGTTTTTAAGGAGAAAAAAATGATTAAAAATTAAGGCCACATGATTCTAGATAGCGTAAGAGAATGTGGGGTGGAGAATTATGGGTGGGAGTAGCTGGGGAACAGGTTTGCCCACCTTCAAACTCATATTGCAGTTCTAGATATAGGGAGTGGTTTGTTATAATTTTGGAGTATTTTTATTTGTTTTTTGTTTTGTTTTATAAATGGAAGTTATAAAGCACAAAGTAAAATGAATGACATCAACCAACCTTATGATTCAGAGTTTTTGTTCTGTTTTTCAGTAGAAAAAAATAATTTCTATTGATACCCCACTGGCTGCGCCATCTGCTCCTGACATTAAGCTCCTTCTTCCTCTGCTGTTCCATCTTTCATGAGTGGTCCCATGAATGCTTTCCTCTCCTCCAGGGTCTGGAAGCCGCCATGGCCAACTTGGAGGTGGTGTTAGTGTTCTCCAGAGGACACTGCTCTGTACCAGCAAAGACTTGCAGAGGCTGAGCACTCACTTCTTGGTTCCCACCACACAGCCTTTCGGCATGACAAACTCATTGGTCACTTCACCATAGACAAAGCCATCCAGAGGATTGATGCTCTTGTCAGACAGATCATAATCAGTGGATGCATTGTTCTTAATCAGTTTGCCATATTCTTGCTGATCTCAGTGCAGTGGTAGCAGCCTTTCTGCCCGGTGCATATCACAGAGAAAACGACATGGACAGGATGTCATGCCCCAGCACAGGCAACCTTGTGCAGCCCTTAGTGGGTCTTCCAGGACAGTTTGTTGGTGTGCCAATGACTGGTGACCACTTTGTAGCCTTTGCCCTTGGTCACCCCAGTGACATTGATCATTGCATACTGCCCAAACACTTGGTTCACAGGTACTTGCTGCTCTAGACTCTTCTGGGACTACTCTCATTTCTCGGTCACAGTGCTTCCATTCATCTGCATCTCCATCAGGTGCCTTCCGGCATAGAGGAAGCAGGCACATCTGGGTGTGAGCAATGATGCAGATGACTTGGCAGTACTTTTTCATGCTGTTGAAGTTCTTCTCCAGCTGCTTTTCACCATCCTCATCCTGCCATTTCTTGCAGTACTCGGTAAAGGCCTTCTTCTCAGATTTATGCCAGTTCTTATAGAAGCACCTCTTGTACTAATCCTGGATGTGCTCAGCAAAGGTGGTCTTGAAGGTCTGGAAGCCTCAAGGAGTTTCCACATAGCCCACAATTCCTACAACCACCATGGGTGGCATTTTCACAATGGCCCAGCTTCTACTTCCCTCTTGTTCACCTTGGATCCTGGCCTACAGACTTCCCACACAATGTAGGTCATGCCAGCCTTGTAAACCAGAAATACCATGAAGTGGACTGACTGGGAAGGGTCAAGCTTGGAGAAGCTCTTCACCTTCCCATGATGCCTGCTGCCATGCCTCCCAGGCAGGAAGCTCAGGGACCCCTGTCTGGGAGCAGAGAACTTCCTGTGAGACATGTTGTCATCGAATCCCGCCAATAGAGCAGGAGTTCTTAATAGCTTGAGTGGATCCTCCTTTCCCAGAGATGCATTATATAATTAGCACCAAATATTTAAAACAAAATGCTTCAATTGTTTCTGTTACAGTGCGTTTAAAGTAGTGAAAAATTAGAAACAATGTAACATCCAATAACAGGAGTATGGCTATATAAATTGTAATCGCTCACACAATGGAATGGCACGTCACCATTATGAAGCAGACTTGTATTTACTGATACGTGAGTGAAAAATTCAGGATACAAATACACACACAGAGGAAATGGACACTTTTCAGTATATTTATAGGTAAACTTGCACAAACTTTCTGGCAGGTTATATAGTAAATTATCTCCTCTGGGTGGTAGCTTTAGGATGATTAAACTTACTTCCCTTTTACTTCTTAGTAAAATATATTGTACTTTCTCAAGAATATTCATTACTTCTGTGATTTAAAAAGGGAAGGATGAGGCACACAATTACTTTTTAAGAAATTCAGTATTTATCTACAGCCTCTTCCTCCTGATGGCCACTGCTTTGAAATAAGCTAGCCTGAATTAAATAATCTGAAGGACTCTAATTTGGTCAGCAGCATTTCATTCTCTATCCTAAATATATCTTTGGAGTTTTATTAGATAAAAATAAATATTTATTAGATATTGTGAGAGGAAAAATAAATAAACAGTTCCTACCAAACATGAAGTCTAATCAAAATTTTGAGTTTTTAATTATTTGCAGTGAATCTGCTTCTAAAGAAAAGATTGCAAAAAGGTCATAGTTTCTAAGGGAAGAATCACGGGAGGGTGGGACTAAGCAGCTATAAATGGGTGCTGAATAAAGAGACGAACATCTAATCATTTTCATAGTTCTATTACTAAGAAATTGATAACAGGTCAGGCACGGTGGCTCATGTCTGTATTCCCAGCACTTTGGGAGACTGAGGCAGGAGGATCACTTGAGACCAGGAGTCCAAGACCAGTCTGGGCAACATACTAAGATCCTGTCTCTCCAAAATATGTTTAAAATTACCCAAGCACAGCGGTGCATGCCTGTAGTCCTAGCTACTCAAGAGGCTGAGGTAGGAGGATCACTTGAGCCCAGGAGGTCGAGGCTGCAATGAGCTATGATTGCGCCACTGCACTCCAGCCTGAGCAGCAGAGCAAGACTCTATCTCGAAAAGAAAATTGATAACAAGAGGCACAGTTAAGCATCACTAGTAATGCTTTCTCTCTCTGTTGGAATCCCTGATATCTCCTCCATGGTGAGTTGAAGGACTAGAACCCCGTTTGAGCAAGTAGTAGATGGAGATTGTCTTTGGCTTTAAATTCAGAGAAAGGGAAATGAGTATTTGCCACCAGCTAATAATGGTCTAGGAAACAAGTTAAGTCCCCAGATGTTCACCTAAGGGGATCTGATGACCTCCAGGGAAAAGGACATAACAGGGCTGAACTTTTTACAGAGGGTCTGGTTGGTTCCAAGCCTGTGTACATGGAAGGAGCTGGAAACAAAATAGCTAATCATGGCAGAGTAGGATTCCAAGGAGTCCAAAAGCACCCCACTGAGAAAGCAAGAGAACAGTGCACACTCCTTGGTTGGAATCTTGATTCTACCACTTAAAGGGGCGACCTACAACAGTACTGCACAACATTGGCCCCCATTCTGGTGCCAGTCTACAAATGCATTACTACTGGACCACAACAAATACAGAAAGTAAAAGTAAGTATTTAGAAACAATTTGACTTTGCTGCAACATCCAAGACCATGATCAGGCAATAAATCTCCTTGAACAGTGTACAAACTAGCTGGGTTGTTGAAATTGCATGATGAATCACATGTGGTATGACATGTGACAACACTTGGCATTTTGTTAGTTCATTAACTGAATGCCAAAAGCATATAAAAATTTGTGGAACAAAGCATGTATTTACTTTTATAATTTGTTCTTTTGTAACCACTTTCATTTTTAATCAAGCTTATTTTTAAGTTTATGGTTCATCATTATTAGCTAAATTGGGGAAGTAATATTTATATTTTTATCCTTAATATACTAAAGTTAAGGTGATCTTCAGTGACATTTTGGGGGAAGGAGAGTCAAGAAAAGATCCATTTTTTTCTGAAAACAGTAGTAGTAAACTAAATAATGATAATAAAGCTGATACTGAGAAAATGAAGACTAAAAGGTTTAAGGCTTGTTTTACTCCAGAGTATGAGTCCTATATTGAGTTACTTTGTGTGACACAATTGATGGAGAAGTGGTAAGATCACAGTACAGTATTTACAGGAGATGTACTGGCTAGTAAAGCAATGAAACCAGCAAACCTTAAGCAGCATTTATATACAAAACATAAAAACATTCAAAACCAAGCAATTATATTTAAATATAGCCACCTAAAATGTAATAATTACTATCAAAATTAAAATCTATCTCTAAAACTAGAGTTAGCCCAGGCAACATCATGGGTATATATATCTAACTTTCAAAGGACAGATCATTGCTATATTGTATAATTGTTTCCAAAGCATAGAAAAAGATGGAAAACTTCCCAGCTCAATCCAAAAATCTAGTATAATAATCTTTATTTTAAAATATAAAGCCATTTATGCAAACGTGTAGAGAAAGATTTGGAGGAATCTTTCTCTGAGGCCAATCTCATTTGGTACATGAATAAAAAAATCTTTGGTGTAAGAAAATCTAATCCAGCATTGCATGAAAACAACAAC
The DNA here is from genome assembly GCF_000001405.40 of Homo sapiens. Taxonomy (NCBI): domain Eukaryota; kingdom Metazoa; phylum Chordata; class Mammalia; order Primates; family Hominidae; genus Homo; species Homo sapiens. Next base: position 14,044,601 of record NC_000009.12, read on the forward strand.
CAAACAGGCTTTTCATAGAGGTGTAAGGATAGTTCAACATCAGGGACTCCATTACTATAATTCTACAAAATTAATAGATTAAAGGAGAAAAATTGTTCGGTGATCTAAAAGATGGCAAAATTATTTAAGAAAAAGATAAATTTTCAAAGTTTCAAGAAGAAAAGACACATAATTAAAACTATTATAATGCAAGCTTACACAATTAGATTAATTAAATAGAATAGAGAGCTTCAGAGATAGAATCATGTGTCATTGAAATTTAATATACAAAATGCTATACTCAACAACCATAGAAAGGACTAAATTAATTTTTATAACCATGTTGAAATAATTTGCTATCAATTTGGGAAAAAAAGTTAAACTTATAATTCCTATCATATCCCCAAATAAACTCCAGATTACTAAAAAAATTCCTTAATATACAAAACAAAACAATAAAAATATTAGAAAAGCACACTGGAAAACATAGAAGTCACAAAAAAAGAACAAAAAATGAAAATTTAAACTTTTATGACAAGTGGTATCATTAATAAATTAAAACACATGTAATAAGTTGAAAAAATATTTGCAACATATATAAGGGACAAAAAATAAAGACTCAAAAACTGTAAAGAGATTTTAACAAATCAGTAAGAAGCAGACAAATCATCCAACAGAAAACAGGTGAAGGATATGAACAGGCAATTCACAGAAGAAGAAACGCAAGGATATATAGAAAGTATGTGTAAAATTTTGTTTCACTTCACTATTAACCAGTGAGTTATTTTCTCTCATCAAATGAGCCAAAATTAAATTTTGAGAATGTGCATTGTTGTGATGGTGTGGGAGAAAAGGCATTTCATGTTTCGTTGATGGGAGTGCAATTTGGAAAACCTAAACTCTGCCTTTGGGAGATAATTTGGCAATATTTATCTAATTACATGTAATAAATATTTGCTTGATCAATTACATTCTTAGAAATCTCTCCTTCAAAAATACTCTCACATAATTACACAAACCTTAAACAACCTAACTGTGCATCTATTAGTTGAAACATCTTTAATAACCTTAATAGTATATCTATTTTATGGAATAATATGCAACAATTAAGAATAATCAAATATGTTGTATTTACTACTCTTAAATGATCTGTAAAGCATGTTCTTAAGTTAACCAGCAAAATAAGGCAAGTTGCAGAACACAAGTACAGTATGATTACTTTTGTGGGAAAAAAACACCTAAATACTTATATAAACACATGAAAAAAGATGTAGAAAGATGCATTCCAAATGTTTCTCCAAGGAGGGGGAAGCTGGATGAGAAAGGATGAAGGAAACATTTGCTTTTTATTCTGCCTAGTTTAGTTTGTTTATTTGAAGAATATATATTTGGATTACTGGTATAACTTTTAAGTTCTTGAACATGCAGGGGAATATAAAGCAGAACAAGTATATACGAACATTAAAAGAAAAAATGCATCACAGCCACCTTTTTTTTCCTTTTTTTAGACGGAGTCTTGCTCTGTCATCAGGCTGGAGTGCAGTGGCGTGATCTCGGGTCACTGCAACCTCTGCCTCCCGAGTTCAAGCGATTCTCCTGCCTCAGCCTCCCGAGTAGCTGGGACTACAGGTCGCGCCACCACACCCAGTTAATTTTTGTGTTTTTAGTAGAGACGGGGTTTCACCATGTTGGCCTTGATCTCTTGACCTTGTGATCCACCCTCCTCAGCCTCCCAAAGTGCTGGGATTACAGGCGTGAGCCACCACGCCCAGCCACAGCCACTTTTTGACATGTCACATATCTCATTGGCAGAGTTAGGATATTGGAACACAGTAACTGGTGAACAGAAAACAATCATCCCATTCTCGCCTCTGGTTCCTTGTAACTGGCACCAATCACATTTGTAGACTTCTTTAGAGTTTACTTTATAAAATATTTCAATAATAATAACGCTTTGTATCTGTAAAATACAAAGCAATTTCTTATTTATTTTTGTCTTTGATCAGGAAAATTGAGCAAATATTATTATACACACAGTTTTCTAGGGAAGGAGATAAGACTCAGTGGAATGTCTAAAATTGCAGAGCAAGTATAGTCTTCATCCTTGCCTCTTGTTCCTACTTCCATTGCTTTCATACAACACCAGAGTGAAGTTCCTTGAATCAAAATACTGTAGTTAATAGACTTATATATTCTATGAGTTGAACTTATATCTGACAGCAGGAATATGGTTATTGATGAACAACAACATTCCTATTGGACATTTCTACACGTAACATTGTCCCAAAGTCTGAAATTAGCAACAAAATGCCTGTTCACATCCTCTATTGATATTCTATTGGTTTATTTGCCTGTTTTTTATTGATTTGTAATATCTCTGTATATTTTTTAGAACTTTATCCTTCGTCCTTTAGATATGTTGCAAATCGTTTTCTAATCTGTTACATGTATTTTAATTTGAACTCATTTGTAATAAAACGTTTAATTTTTATTGTTCTTGTTCTTTTTTTATATAACATATAAAATGTTTTCCAATATACTTTTCTTATTCTCTGGCAAAGCTAAGAACTCACATGACTTGCCCAATATCACATGGCTAATTAAGAGCAGAATCGAGCTTAGAACCTAGTTCTCCTGAACCCAGGGCCAGTAATCCCTCCACCACAGTATGTCTTACCTTCTTACCACAATCCTGCCACACAGTTCATCTTTATTTTTTGTATTTGAGGTATTGTGCGTACAGAATATGTGACCAGAGATGGATGAAATTTGAAGTTTAAGTTTCTTGGCACTTCCTCTTAAAAGCATTCAAAATATAAGAGATTATGATAAACTTTAGCCCCATGGCATAGGTACAGAGCCCAGGCTTAAAGGGATCCTAGGCCTGAAAAAGGCTTGGAGAAAATTCATTCCGGTGGATTTATCTTTTACATGAAGGAATAGAAGCCTAAGGAGGTAAAGAGATGTTTTTTCCACGTTCACTGCCAAAGTGTCGTAGATAGATGCAAAATGCTGTTCTCCTCCCATTTTCCTGTTCTGTCTCATAGATTAGATTTCACCAAGCAAAGGAATTCCGGGACAAGCTAAGAGAGGAGAGGATACTCTCTTAAAAATCTGGAAGAAGGGAAAAATCCAAATTTGAAAAACTACAAAAGAAGGATAAAAAAGCAGAACTATTGAGATGAAATTGGTCACAATCTCTATTTTATAATTGGAGATTAGTTCATTTATTTGAGTTTGAATCTGTCATCTAATACTTTTCTTTTTTCTACCTATTTTATGTTTATTTTTCATTACTTTCTGGCTTTCTTTTTAATTAATTAACATTTTATTATTTTATTTTCCCCCTTATTAATAAGCTTTGTTAGTTTACCCTTTTTAAAGTGGTTAAAAGATTACACTATGTGTCCAACAATGATAGACTGGATTAAGAAAATGTGGCACATATACACCATGGAATACTATGCAGCCATAAAAAATGATGAGTTCATGTCCTTTGTAGGGACATGGATGAAATTGGAAATCATCATTCTCAGTAAACTATCACAAGGACAAAAAACCAAACAACCCATGTTCTCACTCATGGATGGGAATTGAACAATGAGAACACATGGACACAGGAAGGGGAACATCACACTCTGGGGACTGTTGTCGGGTGGGGGGAGCGGGGAGGGATAGCATTAGGAGATATACCTAATGCTAAATGACGAGTTAATGGGTGCAGCACAGCAGCATGGCACATGTGTACATATCTAACTACCCTGCACATTGTGCACATGTACCCTAAAACTTAAAGTACAGTAATAATTTAAAAAAAAAGAAAATACAAAAAAAAAAAAAGAAAATGTGGCACATATACACCATGGAATACTATGCAGTCATAAAAAAATGATGAGTTCATGTCCTTTGTAGGGACATGGATGAAGCTGGAAACCATCATTCTCAGCAAACTATCGCAAGGACAAAAAATCAAACACCGCATGTTCTCACTCATAGGTGGGAATTGAACAATGAGAACACATGGACACAGGAAGGGGAACATCACACACCGGGGACTGTTGTGGGTTGGGGGGAGTGGGGAGGGATAGCATTAGGAGATATACCTAATGTTAAATGATGAGTTAATGGGTGCAGCACACCAACATGGCACATGTATACATATGTAACAAACCTGCACATTGTGCATATGTACCCTGAAACTTAAAGTATAATAAAAAATAAAAAATATATAAAAATAAATTTAAAAAAAAGAGAAACCTCTGATTGCAACAATGAGCATTTTTAACAAAAAAAAAAAGATCACACTATGTGTAATCTAGTATAAATTAGGAATCTAGTATAAATTAGTATTTTCTCCCATTCCAAACAATGGGTCTTTCAACATTTTTTTTTTTTTTTTAGGAAAAAACAGGGTCTCACTGTATCAGTGCAGTGGCATGATCAGGGCTCACTATAGCCTCAACCTCCTGGGATCAAACAATACTCCCGCCTCAGCCTCCCAAGTACACAGGACCACAGGTGTGCACCATCATGCCTGGATGATTTTTGTACGTTTTGTAGAAATGGGATTTTGCCATGTTGCCCAGACAGGTCTTGAACTCTTGAGCTGAAGAGATCTGCCTACCCTGGCCCCCAAAGTGCTGGGATTATAGGCATGAGCCACCACGCCCGGCCTAAACAGATGCTTTATGCTTGGCGTCTCAGCATTTCTCCCCATCCCCCTTATATATAAGTGCATATATCAAGGAGAAAAAGTTGCCTAGAATACCAGGTTTATCTCAATTTTTCCTTTTTTTTTTTTTTTAACAGTATCTTAAACCCACAAATACTGGCTGTCTTGGTAGAACTTTGTGGTTTAAAACAGTTTTTTATTCCCAATTACAAATATCTTCTTTAGTTATTATCACTGCAAAGTTGATCTACTTTCCAAGTCTGATCAACTGAGATGTTCAATCATTATCAGAAGCAGAACTTCTGTTGAAGAAGCTAATGTTAGAGAAAAACACTATTGATGTTTTGTACATGCCCCCAATACAAATTTCTTTATAGCTTTATTTTTAAAACACATTTTCATGAAGCTACTTATGGTATGATTACATTGAACACAGACACAAGTGAGTCTATGTATAAGGAGTGAAATCTGAAAAAGCTCTGTGGATTGTACCAATGGAATCGACTGGTTTTGGCATTGTACTATAGTTATGCAAGGTGTCAACACTGGAGAAGGCAGAGTGAATTGTCCTTTATCCAAGTTACAAAGCCAATGAAGTAGATAATTTATATAATTCTTTGCTAGATTCTTTTTTGCTTGATAACAATAGAAAATGTTTGCTTTTTTAATAAAATTGGAGTATTACAGAAATTGAAACATAGGAAATTAGACTTACTCAAGTACCATAATCCAGAGGAAATTGCTGTTAACAATATGACGCAGCTTTATCCGACTTTTTGAGGATAGTTGTGGTTTATGGAATAATTTTAAAAGTAACATTTCCTGATTCTTTTTTTGTGTCTTTTTAATAATGTGGGGTTTTTTTAAGTTTCTTTACAATAGCCTCAGGATGTATTTTAAGTTTTGAATTCCCAGAGCACATGACTCTGTTTTACTCATTTTCATTCTAACATTTTTAAATCCCCATGTACTCAGATTCTTCCATATTTGTTAGTTATCTTTTAACAATCTATTATTATTATTGTTGTTGTTATTATTTTTGAGACAGAGTCTCACTTGTTGCCCAGGCTGGAGTACAGTGGCGCGATCTCAGCTCATTGCAAACTCCGCGTCCCGGTTTCATGCAATTCTCGTGCCTCAGCCAGCCTCCTGAGTAGGTAGGATTACAGATGTGTGCCACCATGTCTGGCTAATGCTTTTATTTTTAGTAGAGATGGGGTTTCATCATGGCTGGTCTCAAACTCCTGACATCAAGTGATCCACCTGCCTCGGCCTCCCCAACTGCTGGAATTACAGGTGTAAGCCACAGCACCCAGTCACAATAATTTATTCTTAAGATGGTTTTCATCTACTATGTTCAGAGGTTTAATGCTGTCACTTGTTTTTCAGTTAGCACAATTAAATGTATATCATGTTATGTTTTTAATGTTCCTAGTTCTTGTATGTATTCATGTCTGCTCTTATATTGTGGCCAACAAATAGCCTATGGAAAACACATGGGAAAGTTTGTGTCTCTCTGTGCATTCCTTGGCAACTTCCAGTGAATATATAGTTATTTCAACATTGAAAAAAATACATCTTCCAAAAATTATCAAAAGAAACAGCATCTTTCAGAACTGTCACAGTTTTAGTCAAAATGTACCCTTCGAAACATAATAGGATAACATTTTGAACAATGCATCTAGATTACATTTGCTTTAAATTTAGAGTATTCTCTGCATAGACAAAAGGAAGAAACAATTTTCCTTTGCCATATAAATTAATGAAATTATGCCAGGGCCGTAAGTAGACTATGGGCCCTTCAAGAAACATTTTTTAAAGACAAAGATATTGGGTGAAGTTCACTGATTTCACAGATTCGTTGTTTGCAAGCATGCAAATTCAACTGGAGTAATTTCCTTTAGCCTATTAGAGCAAAGTTACAGAGAAGCCCAGTGTAATCTTCTGAATTTATGCTATCATCTGAGAAGGGATATTCTGTGACTATGAAAAGGTATAGTAGTTTGAGGCTATAGGGATGGGGGCAAATGGTATGATTACACTTTCTTTTGTGAATCAATTCCAGATGTGCCATTAGATTCTTTGAATGCTGAAGGAACAAAATATCAGTGCTAGAGAACCCATACTGGTAATCTAGTTGAATTTTCTCCTTTTACAGAGGAAGAAACTGAGACCTAGAAAGACAGATTGCCTGCACAAGTCATACAGTTTTCTTACAAAAACTAAAATACCACTTGAACCAGTGTATCATTCATATTTCAAATTAGATTAATTTGTCTTATCTTTTTAAAATGTTAATAAGATATATCAGTTCAACTTTTGTTTATTTTGGAACATTGGGGATGTTTCTTCAGTCTGACTCATCTAGAATGACAACTTTACAAACAGCCATTTCTTTTTCTTCCCTCCCAGAAGTACTAGAGTCTAGTCAGAATTTCCTCATACAGCTTAGAAGGCATGTTTCACATTTTATGAAAAACCATGCTGGAGTCTACATTATGGTGGGATAGACAAGGATGTGAGCTGGGGGTTGTGGGGAAGAAGGAAAAGAAGACAAAACCTCAATATACAGGATTATAATTCATTTCGATTCAGATATAAATTGCCAACTGATCCTCACTCAGGCTGTGAAATATAGATTACATCTGAAAAATTCTACTATTTCATTGTTACATCTAAAGAAGTAAATTGTTAAGTATTAATATGAAAAGCAAATATAGGAAAAACTCAATCTAAAGGCATATTTTGCAGTTCTACTTTGCTAAAAAGCAAACTACTTCTAACTCCCAGTTTTTAATGGTGATAGTAAAAGTCTAGCTCTTTCTTTAGGTCAAACAAGGTAATGCATATAAACGAGCTATTGAACAATAAGTAGACTGTTGTGGGTTTGTTGTATTGCTGCTGTTGTTGTTAACAGCAGCTTCTCATCTTGTAACTACAAAGTAGCTGCTTTAACGCCATAGTACTTATTAACATTCTCTCATTATTGTTAATAAAATCTTCATTTCTGAACACAGCAGGGCAGAGAAAGAGAACAGCATAAGGCAATGGCCACATCCATGCCATAGAATACACGTCAAGCATATACAATCATTTAAGCATTCAGAATGCCCAAGGAGAAATTGAATATCTGGAATTAGGTTTTAAAAAGATGTGGAAGGGGGCTGAGAGTTCATAAATTAGTATTCATCTAGAATGATCCTGTTACACTCAAAAGAAATCAACCTTTGGAGCTCACATGACATCAAGCACAAGAGGGTTTAAAAATAATACTCAAGTCAATACACATCTACGGAATGCCAAACAGTGTTACACAAGCAGTGCCATGGTGATTAAGGGAAAATCTGTGTTTAAAGCAGAATCTCTGAAGAGCAATTACCTCCTTTTCACCAAAGGTCTTCATCTGCCCCATACCCAGGTACCTAAAGTGAAAGCAAATACAACTGAAAGAAAGCAGTGGCTCTCAAGTTAGAGAATTTTAGCTAACAGACGAAACAGTCAAATATTTGCAGAACACAATTGAGAAAAGCTGTATCAGTCAGGTCAGAACAGGAAAGGTTATTCTGTGATAACAAACAGCCCACAAAAATCTCAGTGTCTTAAAACATATATTTATTTCTTGTTTAGGCAAAGTTTGCCGCCGATCAGGGAACCTCTCCAAGTCAGGTGTCCTCTGTGTTGTTTCAGCCTACCATTCAGCTTCAATCCTTCAGTCCCTCCACATCAACACATGCTCCCATGGTCATTGTAGCAAAAGAAGAGCAAGTAGAAGGGTTCAACAATGGCAATGCAATGCTATGCTCTGGCATTTAAGTGACACATGATTTTTCTACTCATGCCTCACTGGCTAGAATTAGTCACATTGCCCCACGTGACTGTGAGGGAGTAGGCAGCGAAGTATAATCCCACCACATACTGGTGAGTCTCCTTAAGCCTTTGCCAGAGAAGCTCACCTTCTGTAGAAAATAATTGAAACACTCTATACATAAACTGCAAACTTTGCCTGTAATCCCAGCACTTTGGAAAGCTGAGGTGGGCGAATCACAAGGTCAGGAGTTTGAGACCGGCCTGGCCAACATGATGAAACCCCATCTCTTCTAAAAATACAAAAACAAACAAACAAACAAAACGCTGAGCATGGTGGCTCACGCCGGTAATCCCAGCTACTTGGGAGGCTGAGACAGGAGAATTGTTTGAACCTGGGAGGCGGAGGCTGCAGTGAGCCAAGATCACGTCGCTGTACTCCAGCCTGGGCAACAGAGCAAAACTCTGTCTCGGGGCGGGGTGGGAAGTGTAAACTTTGAGCAGCTACAGAAATAAAACTACAACATCCTATTTTAAAAGGGCCACTTATTTAAAAAGGGCCACAACGTGAGCACACATTCCAACACAAAACATGGAGAGAGAACATCAAGGGACACACAGATGTTAAAGATGGTTATCTAAATTACAGAAGACACTGGCAATCATTTATTCCTACAAGAGTAAGAAAAAAGAGGAGAAAAAGAAAAAGAAAAAAGAGTAAGAAAAAAGAGTAAGAGTTCTTCTGTAATTCTTATTTTGTGATACTTGTACATCTTCAATAAATTCTACTGAAGGAACACTGCAGAATATTGTTTCTGTCATTCTCTAAATATCCTTTTTGTTGGTTTCATAAAGTCCAAATAAAAAAACTATCTAGATGTTGATCTAAATATCTTGATATTTAGATAACACCTATATTGCCAGATCCCTGGACTGGCATTATAACCAAGATGTTGGTATCCAGAAACAGCAAAACAAAGCGCATAGAAGCCCTTATAGAACGATGCCCATTTCACACCATCGAACTTAGTCCTTGAAATTTCAAAATGAATTAAACTTTAGCGGGAAATATGCCAGCACCTTTAAGCATTAGGCAAGAAAAGCTTTGTCTGATAAGTTTTCTCTCCTCCAGGGCTTACTCTGAAATAGGTGTCAATGTTATTTGCATTCTGAACACTCTGGAAACTTTTTCTTCTTGTTCCCTCCTGAGGCAACACTCCAAGAGCTTAAGGCAGGTTGAGGCTTTGATCTTTCTGTGCTCTTGTGAGTGAACAAAGAAACCAATGAACTCTTGTTTCTTAGGAAGAAATGGTGATAGAAAGTGCTCAACAGTCAGCATCCACCTAGGCGTATTCATCTGTTGCCATTTTAGGAACTAGCAAGACTACAGCTATTTACTGTTGCTACTTTTCCTGCTAATCAAAGAAACTTTTACCCAAGTTAACTTAATCAGGAGCTTGAAAGTGTAGTTTTGTAAGACAGGATTGTTAGAATCTTTAATCTAGTTAAAAGGGTTGTCAAAGCTCCTTTGAATGAAGGGTCCTCCCAAGAGAGACATAGCTAGGGAAGCATAGAAGGTTTTGGGGGGTTTGTGTGTGGCTGTGCGTGTATGTATGTATGTATGTGTTGTTTGTTTTTTGGCTTGCTTTCATAGTACAAATTTACAAGAACACTGAAAATCAGATTCTGGCAAATTAAATCAAAGGAGAGTATATGTTTTGGGAGGGGTAAGAAATTAAAGTGTGCTTTATAAAAAAGGTTTTGGAAGGGAAAACTGGACATTTTTTTTTTAAAAAAAAAAAGAGAATTGCCTTTACTGCCCAAATTTTAAAACTTCTCTGGCAATCTAGACTAAAGTATTTATTCAAACATGTATCCTTTTACGGTCAACTTTGTTACCTCTAAGAAAAAATTAACATTAATGTTATTTTTGGAAAAGGCATTAACAGTGTTTTTAGAGAGTCTCACAGATAGCTGATGGGTTTTACTCAATGACTTATAAGTAAAAGAAACAGCAGCATAATTTATAGATCAAATTTCCCCTTCTTTGGATCCAATGCCTAAACTCTTGACTTCATTTGATGTCTGTTAATGAAATGTAGAGAAAAACAGCAGGCAAGCAACATTCTAGTTTTCACTGACTCTTCCATAACTGGACATTTGTTTGGGGTAGTTAAAGAAACTAGTGTTAAACAGTGACCTGTAATATTCCTCTCAACAGACAGAGACCTAGAGTATTTTTTAATGTCTTCAGACTCTTGATAGTGGTTTTCAGTAAAAGAGGAATTGGATTATCTGTTAACATTATTCCAAACATATTTAGTGAAATATAAAAACCAAAGGAACTACAGACCATCTCATTAAATTCTTGTTCTCCACAAGTGTGTTAGTTTGCGCTGCCATCACAAATTGCTATAGGTTTGGTGACTTAGACAACAGGAATTTATTTCTCATACTTCTGGAGACCTGAAGTCCAAGGTCAAAGTGCTGGCAGGGTGGGTGGATGGTGAGGGCTCTCTCTTTGAACTACAGATGGCCACCTTCTTGTTGTACCCTCATATGGCACAGAAAGAGTGAGCTCCAGTTTGTTCTTCTTCTTTTAAGGGCATTAATCCCATTATGGGGGCCCCACCCCCATTACTTCATCTAAACCTAATCACCTCCCAAAGGCGGCACTTCCAAGGACCATCACATTGGGGGCTGGGGTTTCAACATATGAATTTGCAGGAGACACAAATATTCAGTCAATAACAAGAGATATTCATTGTTAATATATTTCTCTGTGATAAACAGAAGAGATCTAAGGCTCTAGGACTGCTTGATGCTCAAGTGTTGTGATTAGAGTAGTTCTCCAACACCACTTTTATGAAATTTCATACCATTTGCAAGGTTTTTAACTTTGCCAGAAATTGTTATTATATTTTGCATTTTATTGCTGGATGCTGTAAGAGACTGACCAATCAAGAGATCAATGTGAAATACGCTTGTGTCAAATGATGTTCAGATAGAGGCAGATTTTACATGTGTTGAGGATTGCAACTGTTTATTTTGTCCTTGTTGTCTGTTTGTTGCTTTCCCTTTCCATTTCCCTATACAACTTCTAATTTCAGGAAGCTAATTAATAAATTCTTATGTGATGAGGATTTTCTGTATAAATATATGCACACTGTCACTGTAGTGTTAGTTTTTTTCATTTAAAAATTTAAAAAGGACAAACCACCTCACTAGATCTGCTGAGTCTAGAGTAGTAGAAAGTCTCTGCTCTGGTTCTGTCCTAGGCTATCTCCTTTTGTCATCTTGAGAGGCAGGATTGCCCTGTGAATGACCTTGTCCGCATCAGCATCTCATATTGGACTCATCCTTTCTTGAAATCGGAGCTATCAACTAACTGCAGAGTTCTCAGTCATCCCACTGCAGCCACTACAGCTTCCTCAACACTCTATTTGCTAGTTTATAAAGCCACATTATGCAGGATGCTCCAAAGTTGTCACTTCTTCCAGGCTAAAAGTGTTTTGTTAGTTCTCTCTGCAAAATGACCCTTCCCATGCTGCTGTGAAGTAAGGAGTTTTGTAAATCTCTCAGGACTTAGGTGGGAAAAGACTACTTTCAGGCTGACGGCTTACAGGAAGACACCCCCATTACTCTGAATTCCTTTCCCCAGAGACTTTTCCTGACTGACTCCCTCTATCAGATATCTCCAGAAGCAGCTGGAACTAACCCTTCTCTACTCACTGCCTTGCTGAACATTTCCTTTTTAACTCTTTCCTGTCCAAGGATGTTAGCTCTGCACCAAATATAATGGGCCAAATTGTGAGCTAGCAAGAACCTAGCCTACAGTAAGTCTACTGTCAGCCAAGGGAGGCTCCATTGCTCTTGCTTCATACAGAAGATGTATATATCATGACCAGAACAGCATGGCATGAGTTATTCTTGTTGGTTTATAATTTCCATTTTCAAAGCTTATTCAGTTATGTTACATGCAAGATAAAAGTTTCCCAGGTCATAACAAACCAATGGATAGAAGAAGTCTTTATAGACATTTATATGTGGATTCAAATTTGAGTTCTCTCACTTACTAGGTTTGTGAATATGGCAATTATTTAATATTTTTGAGCCTCGGTTACCACATCTCTAAATTGGGGTAACAATGTCTTCCTTCTGAAGCCTCTAGGAGGATCAGAAAGTTTATACATAATGCACTTAGCACAGACCTTGGCAATAAGCATGCCCTTAACAATTGGCAACTATTCTTAATATCAACTTATATGTTCCAAGGCAAAAACAATTTTTTATAACAGTAAAAGCCTTAAAATTGTAACTAGAATTTTATAATCCAAGAGTGCAATGGGTCTCTCAGCCCAGGCTCCAGCTACAGTTGTTTTGAAGACAGGCTTGAAAACAGATACCTCACCCAACCTCTGCCCAATAAAGACACCATCCAATGAGCTACAGCAACAGAAATTCCTCAAACCTTGGACCTCGTGGGGCTTCACACGTTTCCCACTCAATCAACTTCCTCACTTAGGCCTATGGGCGAATACTTAAAAGAGATCAGTATCTCACCTTAAGAGGCCTATGACAACCAGTGAACAAATAACCGAATGACTCTTCAATCAGCACCCACCAACCCCTCCCACTTGACAAAATGTGAAAGCGCAAAACAGAAAAAAGGTTTTCCCCTCAAGAATTCCTGTTTGATATACTGCCTTGACCTGTACCTAACAGTTCAAATCATGAAAATAAGAATCTTTTATGGTTACTGGGAAAATTTATCATAGTTTATCATATTCTGTCGGCTGGAGAGGAAGAAAAGACTTGGCCAGGTTCCTGCGGGAAAGATAGCCTGTCATATTTGCTGAGATTTATGTATGAAAAAGCATTCAGGATGATACTGTTGTGCAAGATGTCCCCCTCCTGCTCAGAGCTCCATCCATGCAAAGCGAATAGGAGGGGCTTCCCAAACTGCCCAGAGCTGAAGGTAAAGGAGGAACCAGAACGGGGGTGGAGGCAGGGGGAGGAGAGAAGACACTCAACTGCCATCATTTAAACCTCTTGATTATTTAAACTTCTGCAGAATAATGATTGCATATTTGAAGGAAATACATCTGTTCCTTTCCCTCCCCACCCCCATGTGGTTTTCTAATCCCGAGGTAATTACGTTTTGACAAAAATTTATTGGGACATCTGTTTTTTCCCTTAGATCTGCAGGTCACTGTGCGACTCTAACAGCAGCCCAGCAGAGAGCTGTGCTGGAGAAACCGAGCACAATGGCTGGCCAGGTCCAGGGCATGCACGCTGAGCAGGGGTTGAGTTGGAGACAGAAAGGGCAGGCCCTTGGTGCCACCAAACCCACATCTTCTCATGTGTCACCTCGCTTGGTTCACCACAAGGGCTCAGCATGCGATTCTGGCCTAGGAGGGTGAAGAGTTCCAGGATATGGCAGAGGAGGAGAAGGAGGGGGGCTGGCTGGTAACAGGCTGGCAGTGTGCATCAAGAGCCAGGCATTTCCTAAGTTGGCATCCAATATAAAAATAATTGATGGAGGGAAGGGGATGGGGGTGTAATGCACAGGCCATATGTTTGAAACCCCTGCCCATAATGGCTGGCTGCGGTTACCAGCGTCTGGTGCCACCAACTACATTAAATTATGGTACCCTACGGAGGCACAGAAATCAGAAAGATTTCTCTTCCTTCCAGCATTTGTTAAAACATGGACCGACCTAGGAACTATACCCACACATAAAACTTCTCTTTAAAAAAAAAAAAGTAGCTTCATTTTAGTCTACTCATTTTGGTGACAAAATCACCCAAACTTGCTAAATTATCTTTTTTCACAAATCTCAGTTCCCATAGGAAATGCCTGTATCAGAATTCTACAGGGAACACCTTTTCTCCATGTTTGAGTCTTCATAAGTTTATTCTCTGAGGTGTCCAGACCAACATCTTGACCCAATGTTTGAAAAAGTGTCTGAGTGACTTGTCTTTGTGCCAAATGAAACTTTGAAACATTCTGAGATGTTTGTGCCATTAAGAATTTAATTGGGAATTTCAGCAATTAAAGTTCCATCTCCCTTTCCTCTGGCTTACTGATTAAAAAATAAATAGACAAAGTTATAACCCAGGTATTTCATTTTCATAAAGACACCAAGCAACAGTCAACTAGTTTCTTTTTCCCGAAGAGTATCAAATGATCATTTCAATGGTTACATATAAATATCTACCTCTCCACACCAAATTTAAGAAAATTAGATGCCTCTGGGTATAATAGAGCTTCTCTTCCACCAATGGATAAAAGACATGCTATTTCCTGAATTTCTTTACAAAGTACTAAGAGCAAATTCACAACTTTCAGATGAAAACACTGAGGCAGAGGCAAGTGCTTCCTGCCTCAATTGATCCTCCCACATCAACCTCTCAAAGTGCTGGGATTACAGGTGTGAGCCATCATGCCCACACAGCTTAAAATGAGTTTTTAAAGGGTGGAACTGAAGGATCTGAAGGGCTTTAAGAAATGCCCCTCCTTCCTAAGCCTCCTGAGTAGCTGAGACAACAGCTGTGTGTCACTGCACCCAGCTAATTTTTTTGTTTTAATTTTTTGTAGAGATACGGTCTTGCTATGTTGCCCAGACTGGTCTCTAACTCCTGGCCTCAAGTGATCCTCCCATGTCAACCTCTCAAAGTGCTGGGATTACAGATTTGAGCCATCATGCCCACACAGCTTAAAATGAGTTTTAAGGGGTGGAATAAGGAAGCTTAAGCAGGCCTCATTAAAGCTACGAGTCTTTTTTCTTTAATGTAAATTATAAGCTCAAAGGGAGTAAAACACTTTGGGGTATGTCTTAGCTTGGCCTGCCATAACAAAATACCATAAATCTGGTGGCTAAACAACAAACATTTATTTCTCACAGTTCTGGAGTCTGGAAGCCCAAGATCAGGGTTGTCAGCATGGCTGGATTCTGGTGAGGGCCCTGGATTCTGGTGAGGGCCCTGGATTGAGGGCTCTGGTGAGGGCCTTGGATTGCAGATGCCCACCTTCTGGCTGTGTTCTCACATGGCAGAGAGAGGAAGTTCTGGTCTCTCTTCCTCTTCTTATAAGGACACCAGTCCCATTATGGGCCCAACCCTCACGATCTCATATGAACCCAATCACCTCCTGAGGGCCTTACCTCCCAATACCATCACACTGGGGGTTAGGGCTTTAAAATATGAAGTTTGGGAGGACACATTCAGTTCATAACAAGGTGTTTAAACTTTCCAACTGCAGAATTGAGGTTCAAGAAACATTAGACTATGTTTCATTTTTGAACTTCGATACAATATCCTAAATTTAGGATATTCCTATATTACAATCTAGGAATATCCTAAATTGTATCATGGAACAGGGCACTCAAATTTTTTTTAAATAAATTTGTTCACTCTTTTTACACTATCGATTTTTTGCCAAAATATATAGAAAATGAATCATGGAAGCAGTACTAATCATGGTTCAAAAATTATAGAGGACAGATGTGTGTGTGTATGTGATGGGTGGTGGTGGTTAGTGTGTTCAATGTAGTTTGGAGGACGGCAATAAACATACTTATGGCTGTAACACTGGAAAATCAATCCTCAACACACACCGCTTATCTGCACACTCTAATCTGGGAGCTAAGAGTGTTGCATGCCTCATCTTCAGGTGACAATGTGCATGCATGCATTTGTGTACATGTGTGCTGTGTGTTGGGGTGGGGGTTACGTGGGATAGGAGTCTCCAAGACTCTCTTCTCTGTTGCTCTTCTAAGGCTTCACCTCAACAAAAGTTATAAACACTTCAAAATTAAACTGCCTAAAACCCATTGTTCCACTCTTTCTTACTGCATCATTTATTCATAAATACACTCACAAAGCCCTTTTTTAACTAATATTTTTTTCTTTGTTTCTCCTCCAAAGCAGAGAACTAGAACAAGAAGAAACTTCCAGGATTACAAATTTCAACTTTTTTAGGTTAGATCTTGCAGAAATACTGGGAGAGAGAATGGATTTTGACTTCTCACTTAAAAAGACAATATTAACAAGAGGTCCTAGAATCCATGCTATTTCTCATGCTGTTTCTTGACATGCCATGCTGTCTTCTTCCACCTCTTTCCACCAAAATCCTCTCCCACATCCCTTAAGAAACAACTTAAACATCTCTCCCAAAAGCCTTTCCTAGCCCTCTCCCCTTTAGGGCTCACATAACATTTTTAGCTACCTCTCTGTGCGTCGGTTTCATTTTCCATAACATGAGAAGAACAATAGTACCATGGCATAATGAGAAATCTGTGTACCTTACAGTCTCCCATGCTGGACTGTACTTCCCCGTTCCTCAAGACATGGAATAGTACCAGGAACATTTAGATATTTAACAAATGATGGTTTCGCTGACTTTAATAGAATATAACCAGGGAATTTCAAATGGCCAGGCAGATCTCCCCCACCCACCCTAATGGAAATGGCAAGGGATGCTGCTTATCCTTATCTTGGAGGCAGTGTGAGGACTAAGGAGCACAGGACTGAGAATTAGCAAAGTGAGGTTTCAGCCCTGCCTCGGCTTCTCACTAGCTGCTTGGCACTGGGAAACTCACTCCACCTCTCTGGACCTCTCTGGTTTATCCTCAAGATGAAGGGGTAGGGCTAGGTGATCTTGGGCTCTGACACTACAGGACTCTCAGATAATTAAAACACCTGAACATTTTCTTCCCAGAGGCAGTTGGGCAGTCAGTCCTGCGCATCAGAGGCTGCTGCTCCCCAGGAAACAGCCAGCAGCCCAGGGGAGAATACTTGGTGCACAGGTCCCCCATTAGCATTTAGGTAAATTACAGAAATCTGTGTACCTTACAGAGGAAAAAAATCTCCCGCTCCCAGATGAAAATAATTTGGTCCTTCTCAAGCCTATTTTCCTGTCGGTGACGTATTTGTAGTCACTGTTTCAATTTTCCATTTTGAGACATCATGGGGGCATCTTTTAACAAAAACAAGTTGCACCCAAACCCGCCAGCCTGCTTGGACGTGTTCAGATGCACTCACTAGAACCGATGGGGTCTGCGCATGCGTCTGAGTGCTCTCACGAGTTCAGGCACACAAAAAAGCAGCAGCTGGATGGATGGTCTGCGGAGGGCTGAGCAGAGGGCCCTCTGCCAAACCCTGTTCCTTTAATTCACCTAAACACTGACCTTGAAAAATTGCCCTTTATGGGATGTGATGAGGTGTGAATTCAATCTCCATCCTCACTTGGGTCCTATCATTTTCTGCGCTGTGATTGCCAGTTGTGCCAGACAACATCAACTGGACCGGCAGAGGGTTGGTGAGATTGACGAGGTCCTCCGGGGAAAGCTGAGAGCAAAAGGCCCTGCAAACTCATTTCAGTCATGGGCCTCTCTCTTGCCATATTTTTCTCCTTGGCTGCAATCAAACCAGCAAAGGCTGGTACTGGTTCAGTGGAATCACCCTTGCAGTTTAAGTATGCTGTCTTTGATTGTTGAGCAAAAGGAGTGTTCGTCTGAGACGAGGCTTTGGAAGGTTCTCTGTTCACCCCTTTCCTCCTTAAATTCTCAGGCTCATGACCCAAACCAACTCACTGCAAACTTACTCTGAGTGAGTAAGAGTGAGAGATAGGAGCAAGCATTCTGCAATTTTTCGTGGGCTCGAAGAATCAGATGCAGTCGATTTAACTTCATCAAATCACTGACAAGTGCTGATAGAGAAGATGGAAAATATGCAAGGCCAGAGAACAGCCAAAATCCTACAGTTTCTATCAGTATTAAAGCCAGATGTTCCACTGACTGTTCACATTTGATAAAACCCGATGACAAAGGCTTCTGCCTGGGATCTGTGGATCCCAGGTTCCATTCATCAGCGCGTGATTCATGTGGCTATACACCAGGCCAACTGGATAGCATTTAATGCAGCACTAGGCCTTCTGTGAAGACAAAACTGGTCCTGCTTTGTCTGTGGGCTTCTATAGGTTGTTGTGACTTGAACAGATCTGTTTACGCTACATTTGCTATGGCAACGTTTATCTGATATGGACAAAAGATTCTTGAATTAATAACACTTGACTCAGGCCTATGATTCAACAAGAGGTATTCAAACCGTTTAAGTGAAGGCAATGTTTTCTCTGAAGCCAATTAATACAGCAACAAACCTTTGGCTGAAGTGATCCAAAGTGCAGCAAGTGTTACCATGTTCTGTAAACCATCAAGCTAACCCTGCAGTGAGTGATTGAAGAGGGAAAAAAGAAATAAATGCACATTCAGTTGGCATAAACCTCAGATCATAGCCCAGGCAATTTCACGTTTTAAGAGGGGACTTGCAGAGGTGGCTTTTGTTCATTCTGACAACACTTTTTTACCTCAGCTATTAAAGTGTACCCCTGAACACAGAAATGACTGTGAATTCACCTTCCAACCTTCTTTGCCGCCTTGACAATTGAAGGCTATAGCTGGCCCAGTCCTCCTTCAACCTGTCCCTGAGCTGTAGCCCCTACAGGGGTCCGGTGGCTTGATTTGATGGCAGATCTTTTCTGAGAAGCAGATGTAGCCCCAGGGGCTCAGGTAAATGGCTTTCCCTCCTTTCCCCCTAAAGCTCCCAAACAGAGGTTTCCTTTTCTTTCCTCCATTGAAAAATTGCCAGCACTCTATACTGTACAGCTAACCCAAAAACAGGCAATGGAGAATGATGTTAATTTAAACTTCTGCCTTATTAAGTAACAAAACCCAGAAATAATGTGATCAAAGCCAAAAGACACAAACTTCTGCCATCTTTCTTGAGATAAAAGCAGTAAAACACCCATTAAATGAAGGAGGCTTGGACACTTAATAAAAATAGCTAATTAAGTGTTGGAGTAACTTAGCATTTTGCCTCATGAGTCCTGCAATACTCAAGACTAGCCTGTATCCCTTCCAATCTCACTCCTTCCTGCTGTGGTTCAGGCCATCACATAATTCTTTTTTCGTTCCCTTCATTATGTGCCAGACTGTTGTATGTACTGGGAGTACAAAAGTCAACAGTAGACCAGATTCTGGCTCTAGAGCAGCTTATACTAGTAGTAGTGGATTTGGTGAGCAGGACAGAACAAGCAGGTGTTAAATTCTTAGACAAAATAAATCAGCATAAGAAGAATGAATGGGGGTGGGAGGAGACAGGAGCTGCGTCTTGGCCATCTCATCAAAACCCTGAAATGCCCATAACCCCTCTCTTTTTGTGTGTCCTGTTACAGAGTCTATTTTTCAGTGGTGTGGGTGAATTCAGTGCTATACAAGTTTTCTTCTCTCCTCCTCCTCCTCTTCTTTTTCTTCTAGTCTGCAAAATTTTTGAAAGTGCCTACAATACGCCAAGTATACAAAAAATAAAAGAGGCCCAGTGCTCAACCAATGAGGGCCCACCATCTGGCTATGAAGGCAGAAGTTCACATCAATAACCCTGATCAGGATAAAGCTGTAGTTTCCTAACTTTGCCAGGTGACAGAGCTATGAGCGGTGAGTTTAAACTGCAGATGCCTGGAATCCACTCCAGATCCTGCCGAAATGAAGTAGTGTAGAGTGGGAGGGGGACAGAAACACTGGAATTTTAATCAACCCCCCCATTAATTTCAACGTATAACAAAAGTTGAGACAAAGATTGAGATCTACAGTATCAAGGAAAACACACTGGACTTAAAGGGCAGAAGTTACTAAAGCTCCTTAGGACAGACCCGCAGCCTTATTAGGTTTGGGATTCTGAGCTTAGAATAGTAGCTAGGCCCAGGTGCAACTCATTCAATGGAAACATTAATGAAAGAAGATATAAGTTCTAATCCAGAATAAATCTGGTCCAGGTTCCTGTATAATAAAAGAAATAGTATCACCTCTGATTAGTCTTGTGTAATTTAAATGAAATAAAATAAAATATGAAAGAACTATTATTGTATTTTGCACATAATAGATGTTCTGAAATCGACGGTTTTCACTAGCCTTGGCTTCTTTCTATAGATCTAGATCATTGTGATAAATGCTGCAGTGGGATTTGAATTTCACTCCAACTTTCCTTCAGTTTTTTTTTTTTTTTCCTATGAGCAGGAAAATATTTAAGAGAAAAGCATCCTTATTTCCCATTTTTCTTGCTAGTCAATACTAATGGATGGATTTTTTTTCTTTTGCCTCCAGCCAATTTGATGAGAAAAGCACAGATAACACTCATCACTAGAAGCTGACTATATACACACTGGTAGCCAGGAAAATCCTAGAAACATGGGCTAGATGGACTTTTCAGGATCAACTGACTCAACCCTTCTGTATTTTACATCACAAACCTGGGGGCCAGAGAAGGCAAGTAATTTGTCCACGGTCACAAAGCCAGCTAATGGCAGAGCTAAGACAAATACCTAATGAAATGATGATTTTCAGATTTTCTCTCTGTGGTCTTGCACCCCAAGGATCATGAAGGAGATAGGGAGTGGGTGAAAAGAGTGGCGGGGTCCCTCCAGTCTTACTTCAACTAGAGAAAGTCAGCTTTTTATCTCTTTTGTATAGTTAAATGTCCTCAGTATAATTTCATTTGAAGACACAATTTTACCACTAAAGAGAATTGAAAAACCCTGCACTATACCACCCTGGAGTTTTTGTCACAGGTTGTATTATTTGTTTCCTTCCTACTACCTAACTCATTGCAACCATTATAAGAAAGCAATAAAACAATTGTACGCATGGTGCTTGGAGCCTAGAGTTTCCATGTTATCTTCCATCCAAATGTCCTTCTTGCCTAAAATAAGATCAAAACATCACGAAGCTTTCACTGAACATGTACAAGAGAACAAATTAATACAAGAGACCCCATAGGTTTAAGATTCCAAGTGCTTAGGAGATAGTGAAAACCAAATAAGGGAAGTCTTCTCAAATATAGTGTTGTAGATTTGGAAATAATTAATTAGCTCTTCATTATTAGAAAAGTATTTCAAATCTGCTTATGGTTAGAAGGTTAAGTCTTAAGGTTCCCCTTAAGACTTTTTAACCAAGATAAGTAAAATGTCTAGCTAGGATTAAAGGTAGATGTGCCAGGGGCTGCTACTTGCTTACCCAATGGCCATTCTCTCCTTGTGAACAAACATCAGTTTTACTAAAGGAGGAAATGGGCTTATCCAAATATGTATCCAACCTCCCTTGCAGTTGGGGGATGTCACGTGACCGTATTATGAGTAATGTGATAGGAGTATAAATGAGAGAAGGACTCCCGAAATATCTCTTAAAACAAAAATTGGCACATTTATTTTTGCCTTTTACTCACCCAGTTTTTCCTGTGTGAACATGGACATGATTGCTGGCATACCAGCAGTCACCTTGAGAGCAGGAGGATAGGAGTTATGCCCTAGGGCTGGGCGTGGTGGCTCACACCTGTAATCCCAGCACTTTGGGAGGACAAGGCAGGTGGATCACTTGAACCCAGGAGTTCAAGACCAGCCTAGGCAACATGATGAAACCCTGTCTCTAAAAGAAAGGCAAAAATTAGTGGGGTATGGTGGCACAAGCCTGTAGTCCCAGCTACTTGGGAGGCTGAGGTGGGAGGGTCACTTGAACTTGAGCCAGGGAGATCTGATTGTGCCACTGCACTCCAGCTTGAACAACAGCGCAAGACCCTGTCACGAAAAAAAAAAAAAAGTTGTACAAATGGAGGAGCACAAAGCTAGAAAGGCCTTAAGTCTTTCACGGCCTCAGCCTGAGTGCCCATCTCCAAATGTGTTTTACATGAGACAAAAATAAACCCCTAATGTCTTCAAGCCACCATTTTGTCATTGTGGCTGTTGTTTGTTTTGCTTTCTAAGATTTGTTACTAGCAACCAAACAGAATTCATAGCTTCGTAGGCAAACCGAAGTACTATAAATGAAGCTAAGCTTAAAAGCATTTCCTATGTAACAGGAAGCATTACCTGCCAAAAATCTGCCCAAGAAAGCTTGTTCAGGTGAGACTTCCTGACTTTTTTATGTTTTTCCAGCACTGAAATGTTGGAAAGTGCACATGAACAGTAAAGTACATGGGCAGCTATCCAAAGAGAATCATTGTATGTTTACCCAGCACCATACAATGAACAGTGCTGGATACGTGTTGTCCATGTGTCTATATTCCTAGGACTCAACTGAATAAAAGAAAGAGAAAATTCAAATCGTTTTCAAGACAGACTTATGTGGCCATTTAGGCCACACCACTAACTTTGACAAGACCATTTTCAGACTTGCCATATGACTGTAGTATTAAATGACATCCATATTTACCACCCCTTTGCTTAGCCTCTGTATCAGTTCTCTTAGGCAATGTAGACTAAAAAGCATAAAACCACTGAGTCTCAAGTAGGGCTTCCAAAGCCATGACGAAGCATAGGAAGTGTGCATTGAACACATTTGTATACGTGTCAGGTATAGAGAACAGCAGAGTCAAACAGAGCATGCCTTTTGAAGTCCTGAAGTTGACTAATGAGCTGGGTAGAAAATGGCATTGCGAATGTTTCCCTCTGGCCTCTGCAAGACGGAGGCAAGCAGCCACCCTCAGGATATCTGCTCAGCAAGGCACTGGGAAGATCACTGGGGAGCTCAGAGGCACTCAGATACAGTTATCAGCAGACACAGCAGCAAACTGGAGAGCCAAGAGTGTGGTCATCTAAATGCCAGAAGCAGCCTGCCTCAAAGACCTTCAGTGGAGACCCCAAATAGGAAGGACCAATAGTGGCCAATGATGCTGATGGACACATAAAAGATTGTGATTTACCTAGCGGCATTTTTAATTTCTATAGGCAGGCAACACTCTATACTTACATAATAAGACAGATTATAAAGTGTGTAATTGACAGATATACAATATATTCTATGAGTTAAGACTATACTGACAGACACAACAGATATACAATATATCCTGTGAGTTAACCACAGAAAGTGAGGCTTACAGAGATTAAATAAGTTGTCCAACATCATATAGCTCATAAGTGGCAGCCAATATTCAAACTCAAGCCTGTCTGCCTCTAAAGCCCATACCAATAAATCCTATACCATGTAAGCTCTCTAAGAGGAAGACCTTCCCAAAGTTAGTGGCTAGGGGCCCTTACTGAAGAGTTGTAACTAAAGAAAGGGTCCTTTTGCTTCGATGAAAAGGTTGGTGCTAACCTTTTAAGTGGTGGTAAAAAGTGATGCACAGCATTGGAGTGTGGAAACGTCCTTGTGTTCTGAGAAGAACATGTGTTGTGTGTTGACTTCTCCAGTGGATGCATGAGGTATATGCGAACAGTGGGTTGGAAGACAGCCTGCAAAGCTTTAAACTCCAACCAAAGTAAATACATGCATCTTATTGGGGTTTTTTAGGGCAGTTGTGGCCATATATTAAAATTTGAACTTTGTGCTTCAGGAATGGGGAATAAGCACAGGGAAAGTAGAGGAAGCCATAATCTAGAAAAATAATGGAATTGCTTCATAGAGGGCACCACCAAAGCTTAACTATCTCTGTGATAGTGATAGTCAAGTGCATAATTTATTTCAGCTTATTGCAATGTTGAAAATACTTCATGAATCCCTTATTTCCATCTTCATGAATCTGCAAGGAATCTAAAGACTCTAAGTTGGAAAACAATGGGCCTGGGGAAATTCACTATGGGGAAAAGTGCAGAGGGAGAAATCACTATCACAGAGACAGTTAAGCTTTGGTGGTGCCCTATACCAAGCAATTCCATTATTTTTCTAGATTATGGCTTCCTCTACTCTCCAAAACCTGTGATTGTTCCCCATTCCTGAAGCATAAAGTCCAAATTTTAATACATAGCCACAGCTGCCCTAAAAAATCCAGTAAGAGCCGCTAGGTGCTGCTGTGGACTATGGGCCGCTGGGGTCGGTGAAGGATCCCAAGATGGCTGGGCAAAAACTTGCTCTAAAAATCATTGACTGGGTAACTTCTTGGGAGAGCATATCCCGAAACCAAAAGGCCATTGCTAATTCCCTGACATCCTGGAATGAGATTCTTACCTCCAGACTGGCTATTTTACCTGAGAATAAACCATCTATTGACTGGACTTACTACAAGGCCAGTGTGGCCAAGGCAGGCTTGGTGGATGACTTTGAGAAGAAGTTTAATGCCCTGAAGTTTCCTGTACCAGAGGATAAATACACTGCCCAAGTGGATGCTGAAGAAAAAGAAGATGTGAAAACTTGTGCTGAGTGGATGTCTCTCTCAAAGGCCAGGATTGGACAATATGAGAAACAGCTGGAGAAGATGAGGAACTTAATTCCATTTGATCAGACGACCACTGAGGACCTGAATGAAGCTTTCCCAGAAACCAAATGAGACAAGAGAAAGTATCCCTATTGGCCTCACCAACCAATCGAGAATTTATAAAGTTGAGTCCAGGAGGAAGTTCTGGCCCTTATATTACACATTCTGGACATTAAAAATAAAAATACTTATGTAGAAAAAATCCAATAAGATGCATTTATATACCTTGGTTGGAGTTTAAAGCTTGCTAGATATCTTCCCCCTCCCCCGACTGCCTTCATGTACCTCTTGTGTTTACTAGAGAAGTCAACACACAACACATTCTTCTCTGAACATAAGGACGCTTCCACACTCCAATGCTGTGCATCACTTTTTACCACCAACTAAAATGCCCTTCCTTGTCCCCACATGGCAAAATATTATCTGTTCTTAAAGGCCTAGCTCAAATGCCAACTCCTTCTAGAAGCTTCCTTCAGGCCTGATGCCCTACTTTACCTCCGCATTGCCCAAACTGAATTGCCCCAAGAGAATGTATTGCCCTTTCCCCTTTTCACTTTTTTTAGGTCTCTATTTGATACTGTATTGCTACTTCTTTCGCTTAAGTGTGTCTGTGAGCTAAGTACCATAATTTATTCATATATGAATCTCTAAAACTTTGCAAGTTTCTGATATATATTGAACCATGAAGATAGAATGCTTGAATAAATTTTTGTAATATATAAAAATTATATATATTTATTGAGTACAATATGATTTTTTTTTAAACAGAGTCTTGCTCTGTTGCCCAGGATGGAGTGCAATGGCGTGATCTCAGCTCACTGCAACCTCTGCCTCCTGGGTTCAATCGATTCTCATGCCTCAGCCTCCCAAGTAGCTGGGATTACAGGCATGTGCCACCATGCCCGACTAATTTTTGTATTTTTAGTAGAGAGAGAGTTTTGCTATGTTGGCCAGGCTGGTCTCGAACCCCTGGGATCAAGTGATCTGCCCTCCTTAGCCTCCCAAAGTGCTGAGGTTACAGGTGTAAGCCACCATGCACGCCCAATGTGATGATGTTTGGAAATAAGCATACACGTAGAACACTCAATCAAACTAACTTTTGATTGGCCAGGTGAATGTCTCGGGTATAACCAGTAATCCAGGTGCTCCCCTTTTGGCACTCACCATTCTGACCTTCGAGCACTGATTGCTGAACAGATGCTATGGTGTGATCTCATTCATTCCAACTTCAGCCAGCAAAAGGGTCTCCTGAATACTCGGTGGAAATGTGTCTTACTGTAACTTCTAACCCTTAGTCCAACTTGTGTTTCCTTGAGCCTAAGTTACATCAGTCTTCCATGTGATAGAAATTCAGTATTTTACACTAATGGATGACCCAATCCTTCCAGGTAAGCTTCAACAGTGTTATCAAGCTATCAACAGTGTTATCGAGTTCAGTTTTTCTTTATACTTATTGTGCCTACAGTAACTTTCACATTAGTTCTTCAGAGTAAAATAGAGCTTCCCAAAAATTGGGGGATGTCACAGCTTCATCTTTGCAACGAGAGTAGGAACTTGGTCAACCATTAGTGTTCAGGCTTCTGGTCACAGGTGTGTGGATTGGAGAGCATCTGCTTTTTCACAAAGAGCAGCTTAGACAATGGAGGCCTCACGGGAGACAATCATGTGTAAGGCTTTGTGTCGGGGCTAACTGACCAGTTCAGAGAAATAGAAGAGTCATCTAGGAAGGTTTCCTCAACTTCCCCTCATCAAGATATATTTAATACTCTAGATTATTCTCTGCTGTTTTTCCAGAAAAGAACTTAATGACTTTCTTCTTCCTTTTTCTTAAATTGGAAGCAAGAAATATACTACCTGAGCAATATGACCATACCATATTAGGCTGTGCTTGTTGGAATAAGGAGTGTCTACCTTTAAAAGTAAATCAATACGTGGTTTTAAAGGATGCCACAAGTTAAGCAACATAAATACTTACATTAAGCTTCAGTAATCATTTGGGATCCATCCGGGGGAGAACAGCACAACCAAAAACCTAAGTTTGCCTCTGCAGGAGAAGCTCCAAAAAGCTCAGGCTGGGTCTCAAACAGTGATTCTCAACTCTGCACATTTGATTCACCTGGGGAGCTGTTACCATTAGCCAGGCCCACTCCTTTATGAGATTCTAATGCGAAGCCAGTATTGAGAATCACTGGCATAGAAAGAAAATGGCGGCCTGTGGAAGTGGGGGTCACCAGAGAAGCTGGGAACCCCTCAGAAAGAGAGTCCCCAACATCAGCAGAGAGTAGCTAATTTTGCTCATTATCCAAGAGCCTCGGACCACTGTGCCTCTGGCCTCCTCGGGTGAATAAAACCCATATGTCCCTGGGTGACCAAGCCAGTCACCACCTGGTGGTGGCTCCAAGCCAAGCAGCACATTCCCTCTGCTGGCTTCTCCCTCATCAACTTCTTGGGCTGCCGGATTTCCTCAGAGGGAGCCTCAGGACACAAAACGAATGGGGAGGTCAAGGCAGCTGTGGTAATAATACCTCCCAATATTGTAGCCTTCCTTAACAATCATCTCCCACCCAAAACTGCACTCAGGAGGAGACAGAGCAGCCCAGTAATAATGATCACATTGATAATTAAGTATCTAAGTATCCGCTATGTGGCACCAAGCTAGATGCTTTATATATATTTTTGCAAAGGTATATTATCTCTATTAATGGGGATATCAGCGCTCAGAGTGGTTAACTTGCCCAAAAGGCTAGAACGAGCCCAAATCTATCTGGCTCTGTAACTCATGTCTTTCTATGCCATATTGCCAGTCCTTAACTCTTACCTTCTACAGAGTGTCATTATCTGATCCTGAAATTAAATGAAGTCAGCCCAAGAAAACACCTCGGGGACAGTGGAAAGGATGGGGCCAAGAGATTAGTGACTAGTGTCATTCATACTTCAATGTGTTAACCAGTGAGTGAGGAACCAGGCAGAGGGAGAGATCAGCTGGGATACTCTGGAGAACCAGAATTTGCATCCTATCAAGCACTAGGGAGGGAAGGGGAGAGGAGAGTGAAGAGGGGAGTGAGTGTTCAAAGCGATCAGATAAGGCCAAGGTAATTTAACACTATAAACTTTGCTTTTTCCCTCCTAAAACCTGCTCCTCCTCTCTGTTCCTGCCAAGGAAAACTCATTTAATTCTTGTAAGATTAACCAATAATCATGGGAATGCCAATAAGTCAAAGGCAGGGAATAGATTTCTAGTTTCATGGCTGCAACTTGAGAAGACTGATCAGGAAGTTGGTGAGAAAAAGAGGCAGAGAGGGAAGGAGGAGTGTGGTTTGGGGTCAAAGGTGTAATAAGAGGAAAAACAAACAAACAAACAAAAAATCCAAAGTTAAATTTTACTCTGTGCTGAGATTCCACTCTTTTTGGCCCTAGCCAGAAAAACAACCTTTGTCCCATGGCAGCCAACTGGAGGGCCAGCGCCTACATTTTAGGTTAAGCCAAGAAGTGAAAAACCTAACTTTTAGTTCGAGCGTGCAACATTCCCAAGATTGGGTTAAATTCTTCCCTGGTCTCCTCTTCTCTCATGCAAACAAGGGGAGGTGGGTGCTCGTGCTGACAGAAGTTGGGATTTCATCTCTCCCTGGAGACCATATCTGCACACTGCTTCTTAGGTCCCTCCTTTGGCATAATCAAAAGGCAACTGCAGGAAGCCAGTGGTCAGACGGACTTTCCCACAATACCAAGTTAGCACCATGTCAGGTCAGAAGAGTTCTCTGAAAGCCAATACAAACAGAGCCAGGCTTATTTCCCAGAGGGACATCCCCTTTTCTCGGGCAATGTGATATCCAGATTGTTTCTCAGATTGGCCGCTGCCCACACATCCAGGCTGGCAAGCCAAGCCCTAGGGTTGATTTTCAAATCTCCCCAAATGACAAGCCTCCTCCCTCAGCAGGGACTGAGAATGACGGTGATCTTGGGAATCAGAAAAGGGGAAACCCTCCCTGTCCTCTATCCCTCTATCCCTGTTGCGCAAAGAAAGAGAAAACTAATGCAGTGTGATGTGGAGGTGATGCCTGATGAAGGTGCACTGGAGGAAGGAAGGCTGGAATATGGTGCTAATCAGAGAGGAGTGTGAGAATTTTAAGAAGCTGATGTCTGTTTTTATCCCCTTGGAAGTTAGAACCTTAGGGGCACTAAGTGTGGCCTCAATCTATAGGGCTGCCCATAAATTCATCTATAAAAAGGTCAAGAGGAGAGAGATCCAAAACTGATCACGACAATGTCTAGCATCCTTTCTGGTCTACTACGTACCAGGCATAATTTTTTTCTTTCTTTTATTTATTTATTTATTTTTTTTTGAGACCAAGTTTTGCTCTAATTGCCCAGGCTGGAGTGCAATGGCCTGATCTTGGCTCACCACAACCTCCGCCTCCCAGGTTCAAGTGATTCTCCTGCCTCAGCCTCTCGAGTAGCTGGGATTACAGGCATGCGCCACCATGCCCAGCTAATTTTTTATTTTTAGTAGAGATGGGGTTTCTCCATGTTGGTCAGGCTGGTCTCAAACTCCCGACCTCAGGTGATCCGCCCACCTTGGCCTCCCAAAGTGCTGGGATTACAAGCGTGAGCCACCATGTCCGACTGTACCAGGCATAATATATGATCTCATTTAATTCCCCACAACAAACTTTAAGGTGGGTCTTATTGTTTCCTTTTCATAGATGAAGATACTGAGGTCTCGAGAGTCTTAGTAATTCACCCACAAATGTTGGCACTCCTTGGGGCATTTGTCATCACTTGCCTCATTTATTTCTATTGAACTCGTATTGCTCTCAGATTCTACTTAACCAGGAAACACTCATTAGAAGCCCTGCCCTGAGCCAAGGAAAAAGAAAGCTTGGGCCGATTTTGCTTACTCTTGTGTCCCCAGTGCAAATCCTGGTGCTGGCATAGTTGTTGTTAATAAGATTTTATCAGAAAATGAAAATGGTCCATCTTGGCTCCTGCTTAAAAGTGAACTATCTTCCCTAAGTTGGAATTCAAGAAGCCTGAAAAACTGATGTCCAAGACACTGTGTAGTGCCAGATTATATGAGATTCGTAAGTGTTTCATAAACGATCTTTCTCTCAAGAGTGTTTCAAAGCAAGACTGGACTACACTCCTATACCCTGCCCCTTTCTAGTTGGCTGGATGTATTTCCATGTCTGTGGCCTCTGCTTATAAGCTTTTGATTTGCAAAAGTGTCAAGTCTGAAGATGAAGCTTAGCCATGTGAAATAAGGCACTTAACAATTCCTCATTGAAAAATCACAGAAATGTTTTTTTCAAAGATACATTTTACCCTCTTATCTATATTTATTTCCTCAGAAAACAAAAAAGAAAGAAATAGGCTGAGTGTGGTGGCTCACGCCTGTAATCCCAGCACTTTGGGAGGTTGAAGCGGGCAGATCATGAGGTCAAGAGATGGAGAACATCCTGGCCAACATGGTGAAACCCCGCCTCTACTACAAATACAAAAATTACCTGGGCGTGGTGGTGTGTGCCTGTAGTCCCAGCTACTCAGAAAGCTGAGGCAGGACAATCACTTGAACTGCAAGGCGGAGGTTGAAGTGAGCCAAGATGGCACCACTGCCGTCCAGCCTGGGCAACAGAGTGAGACTCCATCTCAAAAAAGAAAGAAAGAAAGGAAGAAATCCAAAGATGTTCATGGGATTCCTTTTCCTCTTTTGCAGGAAAGGCAATTCAGATATACCCTCTTTAAAATAGTAAAATACATGTAATTTTCCACCTTTAAGACAAACAGTTCTCCATTTGTGGAGAGACTTCTGAAAATAGATGCATCTGCCCCAATGCCAGAGCTTTGACGCTGGTGTATCTGTCCGAACTCACAGATCAGTTTTTCAATATATTGTAGGTAGTCTGCTCTCCAGCGTGGCCATGATTAATTCTGTCAGCTCTGAGGAGGAGGCCATTTGAGATCCTGAACCCCCACCTGGGTACGCCTCACTGTTGACTTCCATACCTGCCTAGAGCAATATGCGTTGGCTTTGGCATGTGCAGGGCCAGGCATTGCCATCAATGGAGTTCATTGTTTTGCAGCAGGCACCTGCACCTGCACGGCAGGCTCAAACAATAAGTCCATACCCCAAACCCCTCCTTTCTCCTCAGGGCACCTACTGTGAAAGAAAACTTGTTGAGGCCTGGAAGCCCACTTTCATCATAATTAGGCTTCTGGGCCAACAGTTAACCACCAACGTCTCTTGGTGAACACATGAAGCTACTTCCAAATCTTGGGTACCTGCAAAGCCATGGGGCAAGGCAGAGTTAGTGTTGGCTCTGTGCTCCTCTTGCCTCTGAAGAATGTTAGGCTTGAAGAATGCAGAGCACTGCACATGCTATAATTCTGTCCTGTGACTTCTGGATGCTTTAGTTTTCACAAGGGCACAGAGCAATCTTAGGCATTCTCACAATCCTCAGATCTGTGAGAACACCATGAGTAAGAGACCTGGTCACCTACCTGAACCAGGTCTTAACCAGAGCCACAAGATAGCATCCCACACTGCAGTTCATGGCTTTCATATTCAGGTACACCTGGGTTTGAATCTTGGGGCCACCATATTCATAATGCATGAATTTGGAGTAAATTGCTTCATCTCTGAATCTCTCTTTTTTCATCTGTAAAATGGAAATGATTATGCTTATTTTTGAGAATTTAATTTAAAATACTGGCTGTAAAATATTAAGCACAGGTCCTAACCCACAGTAATGAGTCCTTAATAAATTATAGCTATTACTCTGCTGTTTCACTAAAAGCCCAATGATGAATTAAGTTTAAAAATATGGTGGTAGAATAACTGACAATATATTAAGTTTTGAATGTCCAGCCTTCACCAAAATGTACGGAAGGTGTATAATTTTGAAATTGAAATTGGTGACCAAACTATTACACATCACGCAAATCCCAGAAAACAGAGATCAATGGTTGCTTTGGTTTGTAATCAAAATGTGGGATTAAGAGTATTCCGAAATCTTCAAGTTCTATAATATTAAAAAAAAAAAAAGCACGTACTTCATTGGACCAAATTTTAAGACAAACGTTAAGCAGTTTAGGTCTGCTAGTCAGATGCTATTTAAACCTATTATTTCCTGCTATTTGTTGGGACAAATCACTTCGTCTCTCTGTGCCTCAGTTTTCTCATCTGTAAAATAAGAGTATTATCAGTATACTTCTCTTTTATCAGTCTTATGAGGATTAAATAAGATAATACAAGTGAAAGACTTAGCCCAGGGCATGACTCAGTAATAATTCAACAAATGGCAACTCCATTTACTCTTACATTGCTGCCAACAAAACTGTTTCCCTCTTATTTGAACTGTTTCCTGCCCTCTAGCATCCTCTGTGATGGACCTTCGTTACTGTTAATAGGAAAATCTTGACATTGGCGGCTTGGTGATTTCTAACATGTGCTATTAATTTGACTTATTTCTCCTCACAACCTTCCTTTAAACTCAACAGAAAATGTGCACTGAGGCTTCTCACCAGAGGGGCAGCCTGTGGGAATGGCACTGCATCAACAGAGAGCAAGAAGGGGAGACGCACCAAAGCCAGGGCGGCCCACATGGATGGCACTGGCTCAGGTAACACGCTCACGATTTGATCAGTATTCCCAGAAAGGACATAAGCTAGAACCTAGTTTGATTTCAGGCTACCCAGGCAAGAGATCAATGTGAATATTAATGTGATCTCTACCAGACCAATGGGTTTGTGTCTTCACAGGTGAGATTCCAGAACTTTCTGGATTTGGTGGTATACCTTTTATTCCAAACCTCAAAACATATTTGGGTATTTTTCTGCTTAAATAATAATCTTCTATGCTAAATTTTTATAAGGACATAAAATTAAATGTGCTTACAAGTTTAATTAAGTTAATTTTACAGATAAGAGTAGATATAATTGGAACTTCTCAGGAAAACTGAAGATATACGTATATGTTGTATTTGGGAAGGACACAAATGTATCAGAAAAAAAGTCAAGAACATTTAAGAATTGTTTCATCTCTACTGTATTCTGTCTAATCAGTTATTCAATTAGTTAAGAGCTAGCTATAATTCTGTGATGATTGTGGAGCTACAACTAAAATGTAAAATTGATAGGTTTATAAAAAAATTTGTGGTCTTAATTATTTCCTACTACCCAAGAATGTTATTTACATCTTTTTTTATCTTTTGGGTTTTCCCCCCTAATTTTAATATGATTCTTGCTTTTTCCAGGTTTTGTTGCACACATTAGAATATTAATATTTGGGTTCATTAAAGGGGGTTGATTACCTTCTAGTTTGTATATGTTTCTTCCAAAAGAAGAAAGCAAAGGCGACTATTACTTCCTTTCCCTTCATTTACCCTGCCTATGATGTCAATAGGATAGAAAGTACAATTAAAATTAGGTTTAACCCTACACTTCTTAATATGTGCGTTTTTCTGAAAACTCTGGAATGGAAAAGAGTGCTTATGTTTACAAATAGGGCGAGATATGTTTAAGTTATCATTATCTAATCTGAACACTAATTTGGAACTGATTACTTTGCTGGGTTATGAAACAATCTCAGCAGTTTCACAAATAAAAGTCCACAATAAACCCATATACTCCCACTTCTGCACTTTCTTGAAATCCAGTTTACATTGTCTTGCCTAGAATATGCTTTAATAGAAGTCAACATTTTTTGGCATAGAAAAATCAACGATTCTCGATTCAGTCAGTCTTCTGTTTAATAAATCAAGCAATAATTACAAGGCAGTTAAGAAATGGGGATATTTAAATCTACTGGATAATTTGGTAAGGTACTGGAAACACCAGGTTGTTTATGTGATTTTTACAAATAAGACAAAGAAGTGAGGTAGAAATGGATATTGTGCTGAAATTTTATTTTCAAATGTTTTAATTTGAATTTATTATGCCAAAGTTCCAACATCGTCATTCTTTTTTTTTTTTTTTTTTTTTTTTTTGAGACAGGGTCTTACTCTGTCACCCAGGCTGGAGTGCAGTGGTAGTGAAATCTTGGCTCACTGCAGTCTCAACTTCCCAAAGCTCATCTCCCACCACAGCCTCCTGAGTAGCTGGGACTACAGGCACATGTCACCACAACCAGCTAAGTTTTGCATTTTTTGTAGAGATGGGGTTTCCCCATATTGCCCAGGCTGGTCTTGAAATCCTGGGCTGAAGTGATCCACCTGCCTTGGCCTCCCAAAGTGCTGGGACTGCAGGCATGAGCCACTGCTCCAGGCCTGTCATTTCTGTTATTTCTCTGAATAGGTGTAAAGGCTTATAAGTTTTGCACTAACATAGAAAATTTTGATTCTGCAATATTGGATAAAAATCTGAGAAAGAGTAATTGGGAGAAACATGTGTGATAAGTACATGGTGGATTCCCTTAAAATTCTGTCTCTTTCTGGAAAGAATCTCTTTTCCCTCTGTACCTTGTGGGGTGCAGGTACAGGACACTGGTAGAGGTGGTGGGGATGGATCCAATAGAGCCATGGGCCATAAAACAATGCAGATCCCATGCATTTTCCTCAACAGTCACATGTACGAGCGGCAGTGAGGGCGTTCTGTAAAATAACAAGCCTCGTATGTAAAGGCAGCTCATGAGCTGCCTACAGCTCCAGCTGTTCTTGTTTAACATAAATGTCCCTTTCCAGGTCATCACAGCCTCTACCCTCCCATTGTTAACGCTGCCTGTTTAACCCAGTTATGTGGCGTGCCCCACCTCGTCTGTATCCAATTGTGTTTCTAACTCCTACAGCAAACAAAAACAACAACAAAAAAACAAGCAAGCACCAAGAAGTCTTCTTCATACGTACACAGAGGAATCATCTGTCTTAAAAAAATGATAGTGGCAATAACTTCATGCAAGGTTCCCCACCACCACTATGCCCTTAAGTCTATTATTCAGACCCTAGTGTGAGTGATTTCAATCCAATCAAAATCCACCAGTACAGGTACCCCAGAGTGGACATTTTGTTGATGTGGAGGAAAGGACCACTTCGGAACAAGAGATAGTGTGAGCATCATCGTAGATGCCAACTCAGAGTGAAAATGGCAATTTTGGACAAAGGACTAAGGATGGAATAGTGGCATTTGTGACCTGATGAAAGAGGAGTGAAAGACAATGCAGAAGAGGGGATTCCACAGAGGGAGGTATCCTGAAAGAAACAAACAAACAAAAAAAGTTTTGTTTCCTTTCTCGGTGGGAACAGCTGGTGTGTCCTGTAAAGACTCGGTGGGGCTCCTTGGTGTGAAGTTTGGAAAGTTCATATCTCAGCTTATCCAGTCTCTCCCAGTCCATTGTAGATTCCACATCCTTATCCAGTCCTCACCTTGGAGGGGAGAATGGAGTGTCAGGGAAGGGAAGGGAGGTGAGCCACTGCCCTCTTGCCTTGCAATTCCTCTTCCCCAGCTGCTTCGGTTTAATACCCATGACTTTCTCCATTTGAATACACGTCTATTCCTTGCAAATCCTAAGTGTCTCCTATAAAATAAAACTACTTGGAGAATTAATACACTTGAGAAATCAATGCTTTTCTCTCTTCACAAAGAAAAATACTGACAACATCTGAAGGGAAAGAAGGGAAAGTAAGACCACGTATGGGCATGCAGTTTCAGAAACGGTGTCTTGGAAGAAGTCTGCTGGAATACCTGTCAGGAAAATTCTGCTGGCTGACACAGAGTTAAAGCTAAAAGGGAAAGGAAGTCATGATCTCTGAACAGTAGCCATTCAATTATTTTTTAATCACAGTAAAACAAAACAAAACAAAAATGGCCAATAAAAATAATTCATGCCTTTATGTTCTTACCCCCAAAAAAAACGAATGAATCCATTCATTCCTGACTCATATATGTATCACATTGCCTAATAACATGTACCAGACACTGTGATAAAGGCTTTACATGTGCAATCTTATTTATCCTCTTAATAGTCTAATGAGACAGGTACTGTCATTAATATCTAATTTTACAGATGAGAGAACTGAGGTAAAGTTTATTTATTTGCTACACAGCTAGTCAGGGTATTTTCAGAATTTGAAATCAGGCAGTTTAACTTAAGGCATGGGCCTTCAATTGTTCCTGTGTATTCTTCCTTTGTAACTGCCATCTTTCTTTGATCCCTAAATATCTTTTTTTTTTTTTTTTTTTTTTTTTTTTTTTTTTTTTTTTTTGAGACAAGGTCTTGCTCTGTCACCCAGGCGCTGGAGTGCAGCGGCAAGATCATGGCTCACTGCAGCCTCAACCTCCCAGGCTCAGGTGATCCTTTCACCTCAGCCTCCTGAGTAGCTGGAAAAACAGACATGTACCACCATGCCTGGCTAATTTTTGTATGTTTTGTAGAGATGGGAGTGTCACCATGTTGCCCAGGCTGGTCTTGAACTCCTGGGCTCAAGCAATCCATCCGCCTCAGCCTAAATCTTGATCTCTGCCAATAGAGCCAAACGTTTTTAAAAAGGCAAAAATCTCTCTATAGGTAAAAGTTTTATTTCAATGATAATATTCTCAAACATTTCTTAAGAAATGTCTTCATTTTCTAAGAAATCCAATTACTGTCTCATACTTCCAGGATTCTCCAATTTTTTTTTTCCAGGATATTATAGTCCATCAATTTCCATACGACTCCACACACAGTGGTGGAAACCAGGGTGGTTTGGGGACATGAAAGAAACCTCAGCCACAAATCAGAGTTGGTCGGATCAGGCAGTCAGATCTGTCTCAGCAAGTCTTTGGTTGGGATAGTCAAATTCCAGGCATTTTTATCTCTATTTTCAATGAAGCTTGCATTATTTTTGCTTCATTTATGCACATCACTCAGATGGATCACAAAACCATTTAAGCTCATTCCTTTTCAATTAGCTATTATTGAACTCCAGCTGACTCCATTCAGAAATGCTGCTTTCAGTGAGGCTGGATTTGGGACCCGGTCCTCGGTTTTAGCCCTTGTGTATGTCTCCCTGTGAAAAGGGAACATCACCCCTGCTTGTGTTGAAAAGTAGCACTGCTTCTTGGAAACACAAGATGCTGCTCCTTTTCAGGCATTTGCAGGAAGAAATTGCTCTCCTGCAGTATTCATGTAACCACTAAACCCACAGCCACAGGGTGTCCCCGGGGCTTACCTTTTCTGTTCAGTGTTTGATGCCCTGTGGTTTTTCTCTCACAGAGACCACAGTCCAGTCATCATGGCACACATCGTCTTCAACGTATTGCTCAAAGGCCTTTCTCAGAGAGTGAGGTCTGCGATTCTATAACTGCACTTTCTTTTTTTTTTTTTTTACTGTCATTGTTTAGAAAGCTTGGGATGACTGTATTTATTAGGAACTGCAAGGAAGGATTATATAGATATACACAGATATACGGTTAAATATTGAACTGAAATATTAACTATCCCAGATGCTAATAATTAAATCAGTGCTACAAAACCCCCAAAGTTAAGGGCCAAGATCAATTTCTGGGACACTACTGACCCAACATTAATGTAGGCAGAACAGCAAGGAGACGATGAGGAGAAAAATAAAACATGAGGCCAGAGTCTGTAGCATAGCTCATTTTATTGTTTAAACAGTTTTTGCATAGGAAATATATCCGCTTCCAGTAATTGACTGCAGTATGAGCAGCTGCTAGCAGTATAGGCTGGATATAACAGTAACAATCACATTAAGTCAAGCTTGATTTACACCAGTTTAAAACTTGTGGCAATTGAGTTCATTTGCAACCCACAAAAAGTACCCAAAGAACGTTATCCTCCAACCGGGCACAATAAAACCTTCACTAACATTCTGGCCCAGTCTGGGGTTGATCCCAGAGGCCTGAACTCTAGAAATTAAGTAACTGTCGTATAATACATCCTACTGCTAAAGGTTTGTTACATGGAGATTGTGCATGTGCCTCCTTTTGTAAAAAAATTTAATTAAAATACAAGGTTCTGTATTTATGGCCCATGAGGACAAAATGCCAAAAGTTTTAAAATGGATCAACCCTGGTGTGTAGCTAGCAAGCAATAACTGACTACTCGTCACCTACAGTTGTACTAAATGTATCTAAAGAAACACACAGTCCTACAAAAGTTGTTCTCAGAGAAATATCATTGAGGTGGGGGCAGCTCTTCCCAGGATGCTAAAAGTTCTATATGATATAAGCACAAATTAACAGCTTGATGAAGACATAATCTACTGCAGCTTTGAGAAACCTATGCCTGGGATGTAGTTACCCCTCACATTCTACAATGTTGTAGAGATTTTTTTTCCCAAGAAAATGTCATTTGAAACATATTTACAACTGAACTCAACAGAGACTGTGAAATTGAACAGGCACTGCTCATTTGTTTGAGTTTTTTGGTAAACATTTTGCTGGTTTTTTTTTTTTGTTTGTTTCTTTCTTGTTTTGCATCAACTTTTATCAGTCCATGCAACTTCAATGCCCTCGATGAAGGATGCATAAAAAGCCATACTTCTTAAAAAAAAAAAAAAGAAAAAAAAAGACTTCCTTCTGCATAAAGAGATATATTTGCCACATCAGTCCCTGTAGCACAGTTTTCAAAACCATTCTGTCAAAAATACAGTAATACAAGACTGGCTTTAGTGTCACTAGCTTACACTGCTTTTCATGTATTTAGGCCACCTGTTGTTCCTGGTACTGTATCATGCAATAAGTCATCAAGGGCTTAGTCTAGTGTACCGGTAAGCTAGTGGCACTGAAGCGCTTTTCACAATCTCAACATACATTTGAATTGCAACACACAGATATTTCTAGAGTATTAACTAGTGAACCCTTTTATTATTAAAAAAAAAAAAAAACTACTTACAACCATTGAAGAAAAAATTGCAACAAAAAATGTAAAAATTGACCGTCTCCAACTTGTCCCCTTTACTATTAACAATGTGACCAACAGATCTGTGGCACGGACACAGTACAAAGAGTTGTCATGGCAATGAGTTTGGCTGATGCAAAGGTCATTGTGCAGGGTCAAAGGGCAAAATCAGTGGTCCATGTTACCCCCCAACTGCAGGGCTCCACTCCACCCACACAATTTTAGGGAATTAGAAAAAACAGGGGAACTACCAGAAAGTGCAAAATATGAAGAAGGCAGCTTTCAGCTCCTTCAGCATGGAGTAGAACATTCATTTTTGAGCTTTTACTATTGAACTTGAATAGCCTGCACATTAAAAAAAAAAAAAAAAAAAAAGTTTTCTATAGAAACCCAATTTCTTAAAGTCCAGAAAGCATGCAGCTGGTTAATGTTAACAAAAGACCTTGACAGGAACATGTAAACTATATTGAATGTCATGCTTGGGGCCTATCTGCCAGCAATATTGTAGAGTTGTTTCATTAAAAATGAATACTGTACACTGAATATGGGATAACTTTCTGCAGCCTTCATCATTTCACACAGTACATAGAATTTGAATCTAGGTAAAGAACATGTCCTGCTGTCACACCGCTGAAGATGTCCCTGTGCAATCTCTTTCGTTGAGTCCTTATGAAGCTACAAGTCACAAATCCAAGATTCTGCTCCCTGAGGACACGTTATGTGAGACATAGCACTGTTTTAGTTTTCTGCCTATCCTGAATGCTCTGTGAAACTTAACCTTAAATACCATCACGTAACAATCACAAAAACTTTTGCTAAAGGCCGTATATACTAATAAAAAGACAGTGGTGCTTCGACATTCTGAAATGCTCTGGAAACCAACTTTTCCAATACTAAATACAACAAAATAACCTTCATAAAATATAACTTTTCTCCATTTACACTTTTTTAAAGGATTAGTATCCTATGCTTTTCAAGCACAGGAATCTGTGAAATAACTCCTAACATGGACAGATTTTCTTTTTAATACATAACTTAAGAGACTGGAGAGTTTTAACTCAAGTCCAGTCTCTAAACAAGGAATATTCTTGTTTACTTTAAAAATGGAAACAACATATAGTTCCATTATAATTGTTAAAAAGTTAGCTTTACAAACATGGGAATTTTAATTTAAAAAAAATTCTTAACAAAACTATACAGTGTACAAATTACTGTCTACAAGGTAGGCGGTTCATTAAGAAGACCTTTCGCTCTTCTCGCTACTTGCAGCTTCACAGATTCATTCACATATTTTTTAATGGAGCTGCCCACCCGAACATTACCCGATAACTATATTGCTATAATTAAGATTTTTGCCATGTCTTTATGTACAGTCTCCTTCACTGCCTTTTATTTTTTTCCTTAGACAAGCCTCAAATGCTCACGTCACTCCAGGGGTAACACGCTTCAGAGGCACTGTGAGTGGTGGGTGGCAGGGCAGCACACAAAGGCTGAACAGTGCCACGGAACTGATGGTTGGAGACACCACTCCCTACTCATGCCCTTGGGTGACCTTCGCCATCCTGAAGCTCTGCAGTTCTGGGTAAGGGAGGGGCGTGCAAGACCTGCAAAAGTGGGGCCCTTCGTCAGAATATACTTCCTGGTACACGAGGAGGAGGCCGAAAAGTTGATTTGAGATTTTATATATATAGTAGTACTTTTAATAGTTTTATCTCAAAAAGGAAAGAAGAAAAAATTGATTTGAAATAAAAAAAGCAACACTTGAACTAGGCCTTTGTATTCAAGAGGCAGGCAGGAATACCCACAGTGTGTAACTTGGTTAGCTAGAACTGCTCACTGGCAAAAAAGAGAGCGAGTCTGCCTTTAAAAAATACTGTGTGTCCTGTGAGGTTCATTTGTTCACCTAATAGGTCAAAGATACATGAAGAGCTTGGCTGAGATGATCTGTTTGCTACCAGGGCGAGTATCACAGAAATGATTGGACTTACTTTTGAACTTGCACTGCTAGGATCCCGCTGTGCTGTTC
The DNA here is from genome assembly GCF_000001405.40 of Homo sapiens. NCBI lineage: Eukaryota > Metazoa > Chordata > Mammalia > Primates > Hominidae > Homo > Homo sapiens. The sequence continues at coordinate 14,085,152 of NC_000009.12, forward strand.
AGCATTTGGGCTATCAAACTGAATGGGCTAATCAAATACAATTCTCCAGCCCATAAGCATTGTTCTAAAGTATTCATTATTAAATGATATGCTGTGAGAACAATTGACAGTTTATTTTATTAGGCCATGGCCTAGGGGAAGGGGGCCAGGGGACTCCTTAAGACAGCCTACCATGTGTCACCAATTCTGAAAGATTTTCCTTCTAGTAATGAATACACTCAATGGGACTGGGCGGTGAGGGAAAGGCAAAATAAAACCAGCCTCCATTCAGCCTCTAGCCCTCAGGGGAAACGAAATCAAATATATAGTTAAGGTACCATTCCTTAAAAAAATCCCATCAGCATCTAATGGGTTTAATTCATCCACAGGAAGATTAATTGCTTAAAATTCTATATTTCCCTTCTGCTCTGGTTCTCAGTTTTAAAAGGGGAGATAAAATGAAAACAGGATTTACTTTTTTGTTCCTTAAAAATTGAACTTTGATTTTAATCTATCAGTCCAAATACATTCAACAATAGCAACCCTCTGTTCAATCTTCTGGATATTAAAAAAAAATCCAAGTGCACTGCCATCCATTTGAAGTAGTAAGTCACAGGTAAATCATATCCTATCATTAATGAAATGAAATGGGGACGAAAAGTGGCAGAAAAGGAATACGGGAGACTCCCTCCAACAGGTCTAATGTGTTTTCTAGGAGAAAGAATATTCATGTGTTAAACTCTCAAAAGTGTTAAACATCCAACATCCCCTATGTGGACATTTCAACAAATATTTTTGCCAAATATGAGACAGGCTCACTCTCCACTGTGGATCTGGAACTTTCAAGAAAAACTATCACCAAGCCAAGTCTGCCTTTTTAAGCCAAGTCTGCCTCCAGGAGAATTTGTTGTGTTTGCTTGTTCTTACTATTGTGTTGTTATGAAAACCAGTAATGAGTTCAGCTTGCAACCCAGGTGGGAAGTTAGAGAGGGGAACCTGTGTAAGTTGAAGTTTGTCACAGTAGGCAGAACAGTCGCTTTGCAGCCCAGGCCCATCTCAGGGTGCACTGCTTCACAGCTACACTGCAAAGTGTTAAAAATCCTCCCACCCACCCCAGAATATATATATATGTATATTAAAAAAAATCCCCTGTCCATCTCTCAGTACACAAAAGGACCTCATCACACTGCAAAAATAGCAGTACCCACTTTGGTCAATTAAAACAAACAAACAAACAAAAAAGCATACATTATTTTTTTTTTAAATCTGTGTACTTACCTATAATAACCAATACAGCTAAAAGCACTACCTACATAGGCAAAACTTGGTATTGCATAATTCGTATAAATTTGAAACCCCTCCCCCCCAAATATTAATTGGAAGATGAAAAACATGAAAGGTTAATAGAAAAAAACACCAAAATACTGAAAATATTGCTGGTCGATTACAATTTTTAAGCGGCAACTATACACAGCCATGATATGCTTTATAAATGTGAGATAAAGGTATAACTGTCTAAAAAATCCATGATGTCACACATTTTTCTTCGTCTGGAGTACAAAATATTTTGTCATAAAAATGGTAAAGATTTAAAATGATAATAAATGCAGCAAAACAAGTGTAGTGATGTCACTTTGTTGTATTTTTTTGTTTTTTTTTTTTTGTTTTTTGTTTTTTAGATTTCAAGGCAAGGCACGTAATGTGGACATTATATCTTCGTGCAAATTAGGATTACTGGAAAGAGTATTTTTAATTAAAATTTTAAGAGACATAGAGGCAAAATGTGTCTGCCCATGCACACTATGGATCTGTCAATACAAGAAATTTGTTGAACAAGGCTAATGTCTGAAAGCACCATGCAAGTTTTCAGCACCCTGATTACATTTGTTTTCTCAAGAGTGCGTTTTTATATCCTACACCCTGGCGTTCCCAGTTTGTAAACTGTAAGCTTTACCCTTGTGACATGGATTTGCCTGCCTCTTTGTCTCTATAATGCAGATTTTATAGAACCTTTTGTACACCCTATGGGTTCTTGATGCAACCAGTAATTTTAAATAAATAAATTCTACCTCCAAGGAGGCTGCAGCTAAACCAACATAAGTGCTGTGTTTTCATTAATTTTATTTTTCTCAAGCACATGATTTGTCTTGATTTAATGCCTTTTTAATGCCCTCAAAAACTGAGGGGAAAATAAATTCGTTCAAAATTATTTTAAATTCTTTTTAATCCCCTCAATTTAGAGTCCAAGGGCTGAAGGACTTATAATCATGATTCCCCTTTAGATATAAATTTATAAATTGCACTTGCCTCTGTTAAGTGTTTCTTTTGTGGGGAAAATATTATATTAATTTTTACTGTTGCATGCAGAGAGAACACTTCACCTACATAGAGGCATTTCTTCCATAGAGCCTTTGTGTTCAAACTGTTTTTTTCCTTTTTTCTTTTTTTCCTTTTTTTTTCATTTTTTCTTTTTTTAAGATTTCAAACTGGGTTACACACTGGAAAAGGCTGGGTTAAGGGCCGAAATTTAATAAATCTGTACTGATAACTAAAGGCTACAGAGATTTCATATATTTTTTTTAACTTTTAGAAATCAGAGTGCTTATAAAATGGCTGGCTCATGGCTCTGTCACCCAGCACCTCTGACGCCGCCTCCTAGCCTTCGTTGGTGAGATAACCAGGAATAGTGATTCCATGCGTAAACAACAAGAATACTAAACCAATAAAACTAGCTTATCATGCAAATATTAAGGCATCTAGAAAGTCAGTTAAAATATATTGTCATAGAGACAGAACATCTATTTCCCAGCGGACTTCATGTAACAAAGGCTACGTTGCAGGGGCTGCGATCTACCATCAGTGAAATATCATCGACCCTTTTTATGTCATTACAGTTTCAACCTTAAGGGAATTAGTGATTGTAAGTGCTGCAATTGCTGGTCTATTATCTTCTTTCTTCAGTTTCTTTCCTTTCTGCCTTTGTGTTGTTTTGTCCAGTCTTCCTCTTTTCCTTTTTTTTTATTTAAAAAAAAAATTTCTTAAACTATTGTTGTGTTTCTTTTTCCCTCAGTTGCTTGTTTCTGCTTGAAGGAAAGGTTCTCCAATTATGTTCAAACCGTAATTTTGGACATTGGCCGGTAAGATGGGTGTCCTATTTGACACTTGGAAAGGAACCAAGCTAGCCCAGGTACCAGGACTGTTGAGAGGAGAGAGGCAGCAGGGAGGGAAGAAAAAAGAAAAAAATACAATGTTAAAATCTACAACAATATGAGAAATATAAATTCCAGATGCATCAAATTATTGCTATCCCTATTTTCAAAATTACAGTCTAATATGAGATAAATGTGCCAAATTATACATGTTACACCTATCTAAACTCTATAGTCTATTTTTTAAATGAAAATTAAGACTAAAGTGAGGCAGAAAAATCCAGAGTAAGATATATAAACAATTATTGAATTCTAACCGATTGAGGATATTCTAAAATATTTTACATTAATCAATATAAATGCAATATCATTCTTTTTTGTACAGGAAAAAAAAGAAAAAGAAAAGCAGCAATCTGTTGGTACCAATATACTTTGCCAGTTACATTCTAATCTTATTTTACCTTTAATTCACAAGCAATTCAGTGGTCAGATGGGTTTCAATTTCTTACCTGCCTATTGGGTTGAATACAATTGAAAAGTACGGTGAAAGATATTTCTTTTCTCCTTACAACAGGAAAAAAAACTACATGTTTAAGGTAGGCCCATGCATAACATACAATTTGAAATGCCCAATTATCAAACATACCTTAATCAGAGTTTTTTAGTAAAGACCGAACAAATAAGAATCATAGAACCAAAATGGAACACAGCTTTTTTTGTTCTCTACAGAATACCCATCGTGAGGAAAAACATTTACAGGAGGCCACAAAGGTCTCTGCTTGCACTGATTAGTTCTATAGCTCTCCAGCAGTTTTCTTATTCTAACCCTCTTTAACTTACTTTTAGAGAGAGCCACAGCTTTTCCTTCCAATTCATGGTTCCCTACATTGGCTTGCAACAGAAGCCTGAGCATTTCCTGCTCCTCCCCATCAGTAATGATACCACATTTGAGCTGCTCTGCACTTGAGGAGTTTGGAGTGATAGATGGCGGGTTGGGGGTTGGGGGTGTTGGAGGCAGTAAATGATAAGATTCCAGCCTTACTCTCATCAGTTCAACTTTCGCCTATGCTGAATTACAGGCTGTTAAAAAAAAAAAAAAAAGACTGGAAAACAATTCTCTAATTGCTACTAGCATAATCTCCCTTTAAAAAGTATCATATGGAGGATAAAAAAAATCAGATCTACATATCATGAAACAACTCTACAGCACACATTTTGGGTACACTTAATCTAATGTATTGCCTGTTCCAACACTCAAATCCGAATGAATGTCAGTTAAGTAACAGCTGCATAAATAATCATGAACCAAGAAAACATCAAACTGACAATTCAGTACTCATATTAGTCATGGCCTAGCATGGAAACATACTTTCGAGGTTTTAAATTTCACTGAACATCCTTTGCTTTACTTTTGAAACCATGAAGTGAGATAGCACTATTGTTGTAGCTATCAATCTAGATATGCTCATTTGTTCATATTTGAATTCCAAAAGTACAAAAACCTTTACAGAATATCAACCTAAAGGAACAATTCTGAATTTTTTTTAAAACTTGATACATACTGTTTTTACTCTGGTGATACCTCGATACAAAATGTTGCTTGTTGCTACACATACATATTTCTGAGTTAACATTTCAAAACAATATCACAACGACCATTTGTGCTCAAGGGATTTTATAATTAGACTACAAACTCAATGACAGCAAAGTCCGTCTCTAGTAAAGTACCTAGCACATGGAAGATGCTCAATACCTTTTTAGACAAACAAATCAATTAATTGTTTCAAATCACACCCAGCTATATATTTTCAAAAGCTGTCACCCAAGATTACATATACTCATGAATATGTTGTGATTTGATCCCCTATAAAAAGAAAATAGGTATCTCTGAATTTAAAATTAGATCTACTTAGCATTAACAAAAATTGATTAAGCAGGAATAATCACATTCAAACTAAAAAGACACGTCCTCAAAATCTGATGAAAAATCGTAACTCTTAAGAATACTTGTTATTGAAACTTTTACTAAGCAGCTTAACTGTTTTCACATATTTATCTTCCCACACACATCTTCAACAATTATTTTTGTGCTTTGCACCATTGATTGGGAACAATGTTACATAATGAATCATGAAACTTATTTTACCCTCAACTGTGTTTCCACTGCACTTTGTACATGGTCCTGTTACAGCATTTATTACTTCATAAATATCTCTATCTGGGATTATCTTACTAACTGAAAGGTGAACTTCACAGAGAAAACGACCTAGTCACATCTATCTTTATAGAGTCTGAGCATAGCTGGTGCTATTTCTTAACAAATAAAATAAATTACAAAAATGGTTATACATTATTTTTAACTTGAAGTAAGAAGCATGTACCAAAAGCAAAAGGACTAGGTAAAGCAGATAATCCTTGACAGTAAAATACAATGTCAACAAGCAGCAAATTGCTTTGCAAAATTAACAAGAGTGCCAAATTAAGTGAGCTCAAGAAAGTCATTTGGAGATTGCATGCTTTAGGGATATAAAGTATATTTTAATGATTGAAAATAGATGTGGCTCCTTACATGGACAAGTCTACCAACTAATGGCAGAAAACTCAGGGTTTATTTTGCAATAGCTCTCTTACTCAGTTCTTTAGAAGAGACATATGTCATTATTCTTTGGAAAATGTTCAATAAAAATAAATTGATGCTAGTAACTAACAGGACTCTTGCTGCAGAATGCCTACCAAATTTAATTTAAATGTTTATTTAAATCTTTCAAACCGCCCATCCTACATTATGACCATATCAAAATTGCAGAGTGCAATATATTTGTCAATACTGTTTATGAACCTTTGGGGGAAAATAAATCTCAAACATTAACACTATGCAGACCCCATATATGAGTTTTACAAGTCTCTTATTGCCAATTTAAGTTCAGAACTATAAGGCACAGACATTTTTTAGAGCTATTTTTGGTAGTCCTGTTAAAAAAAAAAACTTGATAAAACTAATTCAATGACTGAGATAACAATGTAAATAAATATATTTAATTAAAGTAATACAGATTATTTAATTTCAAAAATGCAATGTCTAAAATTGCATACTTACTCAGGTAAAAATGTAATAGTGCTTTTTATACATCTAACTCTATATAAAAATCAATAATCACATGTATGGATAAAATAAACACACAAAAACAAATTAGTTACATGTAAAATGCTTAATAGTTTTAATTCATAGTGAGAATTACTATATGGATAATCTTATGTTCATTCCAACTATCTGCATTCCAATAAAAGAAATGAGAATATAACTGAAAGGATTTCAAAATATTCAAGCTCAAATTCAGCTACTTCAGCAATATATCTTTATAAGTGTGCATTTCCTTTGTTTTAATCAAATTTTTCATTACCAAATCACATTTGTTTAGGCAAAGAGAAGATGAGCATAGCTGAAAGTTGAAAGCACATCTTTAGAAAATATAAAGTAGATATAACCATTTAAAAAAGAAAAGATATAATTACTTTGCAAAAAAATCAAGCAGAAAAAAACACAAAAGAATTTGATAGTACCTTAACACAAAGTACAGCTCATCCTAATGACTATTACTATGCATATAATGAGATAGTTCATTATAAAATGAATACATAAGAGCTAAATCAAAATTCCAAAAATAAAATGTTTGATATCATGGATACTATTTTCTTGCTATTTTGACCAAATGTATGACATGGCTCCCCCCAAAAGGGAAGAAGCAAATGAATTATTTAGAGCTTAAGATGCATTACTGGTGATGGTCCTGCTTCATTTTGTTATTGGTAAGACTACCTCTGAAGTACTGTATTTCTTCTAGGTAGCACTGTGGAAGAAAACCTAACTTTATGGCATTTACTTATTGAAAAACTCACCAAATTATGTCATTGCAGAACAGCTAAGGGTAGACAGGGAAGATATAGCAGTTGATGTGGAAAGGAATGTAGACCGCTTAAGCATGCTTCAGGTTGTAGCAACAGCACAAAGGCAAAACTTCCAGACGATAGCCATGCTGAGGACTTAACTATAAGCATGGTACCATCTTTGGTGTTTTACATATGCTACACCACTTAATTTTCTCAGTGAGCTCATGAGATGGCCATCAGTATCTCTGTTTCACATATGAGGAAACTGAGGCAAGTTAAGTTCCTTGCCCAAAGTCTCCCACTTAGCCCTCAGTTATGACTCAGATCTGTCTGATTTCCCTGGCCATTTCACTATATTATATTGCCTACACAGGAAGTCAGATGACTTAACATAAGAAAGAACTTTTGAACAGAGTGGTCTGAAGGCAAAATTAATTGGCTTCAGGAGACAGTGAACTTTTCATGCACCATACAAGCTGGATTATAACCTAGCTAATGTTGCGAAAGAGACTAGTGCACAGAATATGTAGCTGGTCTAAGTGGTCAAATGATCTGAAATTCTATGTATTCATCTCCTCTGAAACAAATCTAGTTGAAGTTCTACTAGGGTGAGTTCTACAGCGTGAGGATTAAGGCGGAAGAAGATACCCACTTCTTCCTTTTAAAAAGATGCACTATTTCTATATGTCTTATCCTGGATAAACTGGGCAAAATAGTTCATCTTCGCATCTACCTACAAAGAGTAAAGAGCTATACCTTTCAGTGAAAGAAAGGCAGAAATTGCTCTCGGCAGCCATACCAACATTTTCTGGTTATGTTTTTTTAAAATTATGCATTATGGGAGTGTGTCTTCTAGGCCAAAAAGAATTGGGCCCTTACCTTTTAGCTCACTAACACCTAGGAACCACAGGGTGCCACATTAAACATGTATGAAGCCATTACATTGAGCCAGAAACCAAACAAAGTCAAAGACTTTACATCACCTATTATTTATTTGGAGGTGATGAAACAATAAGAGCTATTTTAAGAATGGCAAAAATCATTTATTACTAGCCTGTGTGTATTTGATAATGGATGAGATAACACACTAGTTAAACAGTTTATGAAATGTCTAAGTATCCAGTATACGAATATTTTTCAGGGGAACAATAGTATTGTCCATTTAGAATTTATATACTGGTTTAATCATGAGAAAATACCATATTTACTTAAAAGATAGTAAATACTCTTTCAAGAAGCTTAAAAAATATTACAGGAAAAAAGCACAAAGAGTTGTACATATTAATACATACCTCAACTGTAACAGTAGCCACATTATTTACAGATGGCAATAAAAATGAGCAATGGCCCAGAAAGCATGGGGAATAAATAAAATAAGTATTTTAATTTAAAAGAAGCATTTGCCTTTAGTTCCTTTGCAACATTTCCTGATCTCCCCAAGATGGAAAGGTTTTTACTTCCTTGGCTAAACACTCTAATTTTATTGGCAAAATATTAACACACAAGTATTAGCATTTCTTGTAAAATGCACAATAAACAGTTCTCCTTATTAATTGCTGAAAACCTGTTGGGAAAACTGTGCTGCCCTGGGTTGTACATGGGTGCATTCGGACTGGTTGCTTACTTCAATATAACACAAAGGCTGCAGATTACGTCTTGTGAAAAAAATGCTCGCTCAGACCAGTAGAAGGAACAAACACTTAAGTTGAATCTATTTATGTATTAGAACAAAGAAAATAGTACTTGATAAATATACCAGTTGCTAGCACTTATATAATGTGTATTATTTGCCAGGTACTGTTCTACATGCTTGACCTACCTTAAAACTTTTAATCCTCATAACAAATCTATGAGAAAGACCATTATTATCCTGATTTTACAGATGAGGAAACTGAAGCGAGGAAGTTAAGTGTCTTGCCCAACTCGTATTGCTATTAAATTGTAGAAGGCAGGATTTGAATTCGAGCAATGTCATTCTAGGATCTGTATTTCTACCCACTAAACTTTTCTCATCTCCCCTTCCTGTGAAGCATAGTTTACTTTTCTCACTGGACTAGAAGTTATATTATCACTGAATTATGCAAGAGACTTTGTGAATTGAGGTTCATATCACAATGAAATTCCTGTGGAAGTATAATTCTTGAGCCCAAAATTCAGCACAAATAACTGTGCTTTATTCCTCCAATTCCAGTTGCTTTTCAGCTGAATGCAGTATTTGCTTTTGTCTTACATATGTGCAGATGTGGCTGTATGTCAATAATTTGTTTGTTGAGTTCCACTTCAGATGAGGCTAGCCTGGAAGTGAAATACACAAAGTGTTTTATACAGGTCTTGGGTTTCTTCGATTTATTTTCACCGTTTTTAGGGATCATTATTGCCGTCGGAATGATCCTCTTTGCATGCAAGATGATTCCTAATGATTATTACTATTTGTAATAATCTGTATCAGAAAGCTCCCTGGCTAGCTCTTACCTGAACTGCAAAGTACTCTTGTGGGCTCTCTGGGAAACACCAAATATCATAAACTGCAGGTGGCTCATGGAATTATTCTAACTGCAAGCAATAGGACTTCACAGTAATGAAAGAGAAACATATTTGTTTCTTAACTAAGTAGGTAAATAGCCTTCTTTATTGCTACTCCTTGGGGACCAACGGTTTTGAAAATAGCATATCAAAATGGTAGCCCATCAAACCTCATTAATTTATATTCAATTGATTCAGAAGTTTTTTGTTCTTAGGGCACAGTGGATTGAATGTTAACTTTACCATGCGTGAGTGCTAGCACTTTCTAAGTAAAATAATAGCATCTACCATTGAAATATTTTATCTAATAAAGAGCACAGGGCAAGAAAAAGCCACTCCATATGGGAGCACTGCCACTAAATATTAAATGTGTTCCTTATAATTACTGCACTCGTTTAGTAAAAAACTCTTACATAATACTTGAAGCCTTCGATATAGCAACCTACACTTAAATAAAAACTTCCTTAAAATGTTCGGTTTAAACATAAATAAGAAAAAAGCTCTTCCTCAATTGGCCAAATTAAGGACTTATAAAAAAATTGTTTGATCTTTTTCAAATTTTAGAACTGAAAATGAAAGATGAAAAATTATTATGAAGATGACTAATTATAAATAAATTACAGTACACACATGCATACATATATAAGAACTCAGGTAGCTGTGGGAGGTTTTAGCCAATTAAAAATTATACAATTATCAGGCTCAGAGCAATTATTTTATCTCCTCCCACAGACCACAGCACAGTGGAGAAGCCCACATGTTGATTTCCAGCCTCTTTCTGTCTGTATTCCTCTCTACCCTGGGCTTCTTTTCAATGCTATTGTTAAAAGTGGTACTGCTCCTCTTATTTGCATATGTGATGCTTTAACAGCAGATAAAATTCTCTACAAAAATGGTGCTTCAAAATAGTGCCTTTCACTAGAGAAAATCACCCAAGGCATACTAAATCAAATAGAAATATAAGTTTTATACAAAGCAAAAAGAGATTCTTTTATAAATGATTTTCAGTTAAAAGCAAAAATCAGCATTATTTGCACAATTTTACCTCTTAAAGGTGAAACTTACTTGTATCAGAATGCTGAAGCATAAAATTACAAATGATTAAAGAACTGAACACATTTTAATATCATGCTTGCTACTCTGTTCACAAGGGCAAAAGATCTTACATGGGCAAAAGATCTTCCTGTGTGTGAAACAAAGTGAGCAAGAGAGAATAATTGTAACTTTCTGCAATTTCAGAATATTCAAAATTCGTGTTCTTCAATTACTTGACCTTAAGATTTTGCCATTTCTTTTATCATTTATTATGTTTATTATGATATTTATTCATTCATAGTCTTTGTTATTTAAGTAAATATGACTAAAAAAATCATCATATCCCTACTAACAGCACTAGCAAAAATGAGAACCAAAAAGGTAAGCTAATAAATGGTGCACTGGCTGTCGAGGGAACTGATTTCTTACGGACGAACTACATCTGTAAATATGGCACTTTACATAAAACATATTCAAATAAAGTAGGGGTTTAATATACTTCCTTTCACTACAAAGGGTTAATCAGCAAGGTTTACATTTGGGAATTTTCAGAATCACGCTCCTCCCTCTCCAGTAGCGCTGCCAAAAATCATCGACAGGAAACGTAAGATTAAGTTTGTCCTACCTAAGCGAACAAAGAGTGCTCTGAACAGGCCACCGGTTTACTGCAGAGCGGGAACTTTTCTAATCCTGCTGGAATCTGCAGTCCTGCTCAGAAAATATCACGGAAAAAAGTTGTTTTCTTTCCTCTAACATCTTGTCTCAGGATCATCTCATTTTGGTCACACTGCAGATCCTGCTGCTTCTCCCATAAAGGTTAACTTAAAGCTCCAAACATAATCATGTGGAAAATGGACATTATTGATTCCTATGGTCCATTGTTCCCCCAACCTAAGTCCCTGAAGTTCAAGTTCAATCTGGAATTACATCATGTCTGGTTTCTCCTGGTTACCAGACGGCTTGAGACGTGACCACAGCTACAGAAAAAACAAACAGCCTTCTTCACGCTTCGGCTCCCCTATCGATTCAAACGTAAACTTTTTTTCTTTCTCTCAAGTACGCTTCAAGTATGGAGCATGGTTAATTTAGAGATTAAGTTCCAAATTAGATTATCTAATGGCATCTTAATGGATTGCTGACCCATTTCCTGTGGGATGGCAGCATGCAAGTCTGGCTGGAATACAATTAATTTCTTAGGAAGTGTTCTGAAGAGTTTGCCTAGATAAAAAGGAAATGTCGTGTTGTACAAATCTTTCTTTATAAATGGAGAAAGTTAGGCAAAACTACGACAAATCCCAACATATTATTCAAAAGCCAGACCACAGATGTTGTGCGTCCGTGAAAACCATATCAAGATCATTTTTAAGAATGGTAATGTTTTTATTTTTGATTTCATAACAGGTGCAAATAATTTTGATGAGAATAGAGTAATTCCTTTAAAAAGAATATTCATATACAAAGACAAAAGTAGTTAGCAGCCCCTTTACCAAACAATGATCATGTGAAATTTTGGTTTTTGCAATTCTCCACCTTGAACCAAAGATTCTTCCATTCATCTACCATATCAGCATTTCTATCATAGTCCCAGAGTGGTGCTAGGGGCCCAGAATGGTGTATAAAAAGTTGAGGATTTGAACACACTTTAGAGCTGACAGCTGAAAAGGAAATTCAGCACTCGGAGAATAAAGCTCCCCCCAGGAACTCCAGGAACAACCCAGCTGTTGTACTGTAGTTATGTGTCAAGATAACAAACTGAGAGCAGGAAATGCTAACCTAGTGAATTCGCGGGGATGTTCTAAGTGTAATGTTGAAATAAAAGTTAACTCTTTATATTACCTAAGGACATACTGCCCTTATCATACGTATGCCACATATATGTGGAGATATACACACACACTACATACACACACACATATAGATGCATACACACACAAACACATATATGTAATACAAACATATGGTTTGCAACCCATTATTGAAAGTTATTTTTTGTTTAAATATTCATTCTTTTGAGAGCATACATTTTACAAAGAAAATGTTATGAACAAAGCAAGGAAAATGGCTGAGGTGAGTGTTATGCAAATTAAGTTACATGGATAAAATGAGAGCTATTACCCCCCCACACTTTTTTTTTCTTTCTTTCTTTTTTCTTTTTTTTTTTTTTTTTTGCCCTCCCTCTCCTGACCAACCAGATCCAAATAACCTTTACTGGCTGCTAAATTTCTCTTGAGAAATCAAGCAACTCTCTAGAATTGCAGTAATAAACGACAATTTCTTAGAAAAACATGTGTAAAGTAACTACAGAATGAAGTATTCAACCCACAGAAAGGAACTGCTAACACATGTAACACGGAAAATAGCTGATAAAAGTCTCTTTGGTGCCATTCAATTATGGCATCCGCAGAAACACAAAAATCCTCCCAATTATTTTAGTAAAATCTTCATTTATTCATTATTTCAGAGGCTGAGCAAATGGTTTGTGTAAACATATCCTTTGGTAACACGCGCATGTTTATTTTAGCCATCTGAAGACTTCTTCTATGTTTACATAAGCCATCAGACACATACAACCACTCACTTGTGGCTTTGCGTTTTCTTGAAAGGGGTGAAGGGAGAGAAGAGAGAATGAAACAATAAATTCAGTTTCTCTTTTGCATAAAGCACTCCCTCTAATGTTTTAAAATAGCTTATGTTTGTATTATTCTTGGATTGTCCTTCAGCTTTCTTTTTCATTCAATTATATTGATCTTTCATATCTGACAGTACAGGCTATATTCTGACTATCACTTTAAGAAAGCCAGCCAGTCAGGGAGTAACTGCTGTATATGTTTATGTCCACATAACTCACATATGCAACAAGGTAATTTGTCCACATGAGACAAAGCACAAACACAACAGTACCTACCTTAAGCAGTTCATCACCTATCATCCTCCTAAGATCTTGAGCCCATTCTGACTATACTAGAAGTGAGCCCTTCACCCAACCAATATTTTACTCTGGGTTAACTGCAGTTCCTGACCTTTCACTTAGGCAGAAAAATTGACTCTCTCAAGGTGCAAGCAACTCCTTTGCACATGTGTGTGCACACACACACAGTTCACAAAACAGTTCACAAAATTTTAAGGTCAAAACAACAAAACATCTTCAGGGTTGTAACCTAATAAGGCTGTGAAAACTTTCCCAAAGAGTCAGCTTTGGTTCCTAAGGGAATGCTTAAGCCTTGGGGTTGCGGGTGGATGGAGGAAATCTTCCAGCTTTGATTATACTTGCACAGCTCCCTTGGCACTGCCATTTTCAGTTCCGACAAGAGCTGCATTTGACATGGAAACACCTCAACAGGGCAATTAGTATAAAGCAGAAAAGAGGGTGACCATGGAAAAGTGATTGTACAAAGAAAGTAATGACAACAAACAACAATCAATCAAAATAAAGCAAAACCAAAACACCCGTTTTGCTTTGTCCTTTTCTACAACAGTCTCCAGGGATTGCCTTTTGTTAAAAGGCATCTACCACAACAAAAATAACCTGTGATATTTTATTTATTCCATCGTGACAAAGGCAAATTATTTAATTCTTTGGATGAACAGACCTATATTTCTTAAATATTTTCAACTTATTCAGATGATTCTAAAGCCATAGCCATGCCCTGAAGATTTTAGATGTCTATTATCTGCCTTAAAAGTGCTAGTGTTACAGACATTTATGACTTTTTTCAAAATTCTTTCAATGTTTTAAAAATAACCACAAGTCATAAACTAAAAAAGATGGATAAAGCTATCATGCCACCGACAAGGGCTATTTGTATTATCAAATATGAACTCTGTTGTGTCCATTTTTGAAAACTACAACAAAGCAAAGCAACCTATGTCATTTGAATTTATTTATTCTGAACTGCATCACACCTAGATTTTAAGAACTGTCAGCATTGGATTCACCACAGCATTTAGCACAGCTCACCATAAAGATTCAATAATATCTGTTCAATGTAGAAATGTGATGGCTGCCATTATCAATTATGTGCTTTCTGAATCAGGATAGAAAGAGAAGAAACAAACCAAGATACTGGCTGGGCATGGTGGCTCATGCCTGTAATCTCAGTACTTTGGGAGGCCAAGGCGAGCAGATCACTTAAGTCAGGAGTTCCAGACCAGCCTGGCCAACATGGTGAAATCCAGTGTGTGCTAAAAATACAAAAGTTAGCCGGGCGTGGCAGTGCACGCCTGTAATCCCAGCTACTCTGGTAGCTGAGGCGTTAAGAATCACTTGAACCTGGGAAGCGGAGGTTGCAGTGAGACAAGATCGTGCCACTGCACTCCAGCCTGGGTGAGGAAGTGAGACTATCTAAAAAATAAAAAACAAAAAAACAAAAAAAACCAAGATACCTTTTAAAGAGCTTTTAGGATCATTAAGACCATTCTACATGCCATTACCTACTAATCAAAAGAAAAGTTACAATTTTTGAGAGGGAAGAAACATTTTACCTAAATAAATTCTGTATTTTTTTCTGACTTACTATGACCTGAAACTGATTACCACATCAATTTTTCACCAGGAAGGGGATTTGTGACAGCAACAATACTGCCCTAAGAACTGAGTTTAATCATCAGATTCATTTCCTCCAATACATGTGTTCTGAGATTTATTGCCCACTCATCTTCTCTTTCCATGGGCTATCAAGTTTTTATTTAAAAAATTACTGTGGCCGGGCGCGGTGGCTCACGCCTGTAATCCCAGCACTTTGGGAGGCCGAGGCGGGCAGATCACGAGGTTAGGAGATCGAGACCATCCTGGCTAACACAGTGAAGCCCCGTCTCTACTAAAAAATACAAAAAAATTAGCCGGGCGTGGTGGCGGGCGCCTGTAGTCCCAGCTACGGAGGGGGCTGAGGCAGGCAGGAGAATGGCGTGAACCCGGGAGGCGGAGCTTGCAGTGAGCCGAGATTGCGCCACTGCACTCCAGCCTGGTTGACAGAGCGAGACTCCGTCTCAAAACAAAAACATTACTAATAACTAGGTAAAGTTACATTTTAAATCTCTAACAACTTACAAATATGCTTTAGAGGTCTATCCTATTTTTAGATTTAGTAAGCCAATCAATATTCCACAGAATTGGAAGTTCGCATAGCTATAGGTGCATTTACAAACATGAGTACACGTCATCTGGTTTGCAATTGTTATAAATATGGTAAGCTTGTACGCAGACATGAGTCATTTTGTTAACTGATAGAGCATGAAATATAAGAGAGTTATTCAATAAAATATGGAAATATTAGGTTATTAAATTCAATTACCTTTTATTAAATAACATATGGAAATATTAGGTCATTAAATTCAATTAAATAAACTTTAAAATGTATATTAATTCAGAATATTTTAATGAGATACTTTCACTTAATTAAGACTATTAATCATTAAGGCTATTTGGATAAGATGGTTACGTTGAGTTTATCTTCTTTTTATAAGCATATATTGTATTATTTTCAAAAGGGAGGATGAATACAATCTTGTTAAAAAAATCACAATATGTAAAAATGTATACCTTTTAAAAGTGGAGGTTATATCAATCTTCAAGAAGAAAAGTCACATGGTAGTGAATTAATAAAAAGTCATTGTTTTTAAAAACATAATCTGAATTATTTCCTTAATTTTTATCTGAATTAAAGTGGACATTTAATTATTTTGATTCTTTAAAATCTACTCTTCAGCAGTTTCTGTGAACCAATATGGAGATAGGCAGACGATCTACAACTCTATCTGAGTATGTACCTTTCTATAGACACTTTCCGTAAACGGAGGATTAACATCAGAGCAGGGTTGGAAAATTATGTCAACTCTATCTGGTGAACTCCTTCTGGGATTACCTCACTCTCTTCTGCCAATTTTTATTTCTTATTACTTATGATTATACCATGAATCTAATTATTTAATTTGTCAATTTGACACAATTTGTTCTTAAATAAAATAAATAATACATAAGCGCAGCTGACTTTGAAATACTTACTTTCTAAAGGCAATGCATGAAACAGTATCAGAACTGGTTTTGAAAATGAAGTTTTAGAATAGTTTTCTCAGCCAACCAAATAAGGTCAATCTTCCATGAATCACATCAGTATACAAACAGAAATTAAAACTTTAACAAATTCCTTCTTTAGTTACTGATTCCAACAATCTTCCTACTCCAAAATTTATGGGTGCTGTCAATAACAGTTAAATTGACTAACCAAAATTTTTTGCTATTTTTTTTCCCTACAACAGGGGAAAAAAATGAACAGTGAAATGGCTTAGAATTAGCAGTAGAGGAAAGAGTTAAAATAAGAAAAACCTACAATGTGAAAACCAATGCTTTATCCTCAGGTAGCTGAAAAATCTTCACTAAAGCTGTGATTTCACTTTTCAGGTCCTAAAATCTAAATGTCACATTCCACCCCCTCCCCCACCAAAAACAGTATAAATTGTAGAAAACATTTTATAGCATTTAAAAATTCCAATGATCAGTAAGCATATACTATAGTCCCAACTTAATTTGACGTTCCATTTACATAAGAAATAAAGGAGGAGGACAGGGAAAGAAGAATGGCATAGCCAAAACAACTAAATTTTTAACATATATTTTCTGTAAAGCTAGTTAAAAACAAACACTATAGCTCATGTAATTTTTAGGTGTAAGTGTAGGGTTGGAAATAATTAAAATGTTACCTTTGCCAAGTAATTCCCAATGTATCCTCACTGGTACTGGGGTATAAATGCCTGCCGTTTTGATTCATGGTCCAGTCACAAATCCTCAGCTGTCAATTGAAACCTAGCAGTCAGATATGGATCGAGCAGTACTACAGTTTTTAGTATTTAAATGAACACATGCAAACTAGTACTGTACATGGCATTAACCTTACTTTCCCAAGAGGCAACTTAAAGAAAAAAAAAAAGCAAAAAAAAATCTTATTCTTGAAAAGCAAAATTCCTAGACTCTTTTTTAGAAAAAGCTATTGCAATATGCTTCTCTATTAATTAAAGCATACAAGAGAAACAAGTGCTTAGAACATAACAATTAGCCATTATTAGAGCACAAATTGAGCTGGAATGAAAGCAAACGTTAATGTTCAATAGAGAGATATATTTTAGAAAGAAAATAAAAATGCTTTTTTTCTATGCATCACACCAAATAATCTGCACTGAATAAAATAATCAATAACTTTAAGCATGCAGTTTGCAAAACACAGAAGACATGCAGTTTAGAGGAGAAAAGGCCCACCTTACAAACATTCGCCCTAACTTGTGTTTAGAAGCATCAAGGTCTTCAGTTTTAACCTTTTACTAATTTTGTTTTGCTTAAACTGGCATTGTTTAGAAAGAGTTGATAAGCATTTCTAGTTTTATTTTAAACTCAGAGTAATGGCATTTAAAATACTTTACTACATCTGAAGAAAGTGAGGAATGCACTGAATACAAGCTGAAACAAATTCTTCCCAGATCTCCGAATCATCAGCTCTGCCCTTCAGAGATTGTTCGAGTAACCCTATCCAGCTCTGCTTGGTTAACAGCTGCCCTACAGTGCTAGCAGATTTATTGAAAAGATATATTGCTTATTTTTATTCTTAAGAAAGTAAACTTATCTGGGTTGGGGGGGGGGAAACACAGTAGAAAATCATCGTTTTTAACCTTCAGATGGCCACACTGTAAATTAACAGCATCTTACATTGAAAAGATGACTTCTTCACAGTAATCCACTAAACCTTGTTTGCTGCTTTTCAGTGAGAATTTCCAGATGATGACTGGAACCAAAGTACCATAAATTATCATAAACTTAAAATTTATGATAAACTATTTTAAACATTTCTGATAATGTTGTGGCCAAAGAAATAGGCTATTAAGAATCTTTACTTTCCCTTTTAGACTATCGAGCTTCTGCACACACTAAGTAATAGTGATTCAGGAGTTTTAGAAAGATAGTTTTTGCTCATTTTTCTATCGATCTATGAGGCTCTAAAAATACTAGCTAAAATTTCCAAACCACGTGTTTTAGTTATTTGCATATTTCAGGATTTCAAGTAAAAGTGATTTTATGATTTAAAGAACTGAAAAAAATTCCCTGCATATACATAGATAGATCAACAGATTGATAGACATGTAGATTCTGCTCAGGATATATGTCATAAAGAAGTCATAAATCAGTAAATAAATTAGAAAGAAAAATAAATATTCTTTTTTTTTTTTTGAGACAGTCTCACTTCATCACCCAGGCTGGAATGTAGTGGCACCATCTCAGTTCACTGCAACCTTCACCTCCCAAGTTCAAGCAATTCTCCTGCCTCAGCTTCCCAAGTAGCTGGGATTACAGGAGTGTGCCACCATGCCTAGTTAATTTTTGTTAGTAGAGATGGGGTTTTGCCATGTTGGCCAGGCTGGTCTCGAACTCCTGACCTTGAGTGATCCGCCCACCTCAGCCTCCTAAAGTGCTGGGATTACAGGTGTGAGCCACGGGTGCCTGGTCATAAATACTCTTAAAATGGACCAAAATACTCACATGAAGGAAAAAAAAGTACACTTTGCTTTGTTTTAAATCAGATGACATACTTTCAATATTTCAAAGAAGTAAATGTGTTCAGTCTAGCGGGAAGCAATATGGCAAGATTTCTTAAAAGTTCTCAAAATGGGTCGTCTAATCAAATTTAGTGTGATGGGGCAAATTGTCTTCTGTTTTTTTTTTACAGTTTTTTTTACTGTAAAAGTTTTAAAAGTACAATGAAAACAATCAAAAAACAGTTCAAGAAACTTGGCTTTGTATAACAAGAATGTTAATGATTTATCACTTACTGATTCTACTCTAGTCAATGAAAATGGAAGGGTTTTGTTTAATTTTTATTTGTTTGTTTTTTGAGACAGGCTTTCCCTCTGTGGCCCATGCTGGAGTTCACTGGTACGATCATGGTTCACTGCAGCCTCAACCTCCAGAAATCAAGTGATCCTCCCACCTCACTCTCCTGAGTAGCTGGAATTACAGGTTCGTGCCACCATGCCTGGCTAATTAAAAAAAAAAAAAAATTGTAGCGATAAGATCTTGCTATGTTGCCCAGGCTGGTGAAAATGCTAGTTTTGAATCAAACATTTGGAAGAGGGGAGATGTATATTTAGGCATAGTACATATTAATTATGTTAATTATTAACTTCAGATTAGTATCTATGGGGCTCTCAGCTTAGGTTGGAGAAGTTTTCAGAAAAATAATATGCTTTCACAAAGCCAGGGGAATCTAAATACCACTCACTGATTGCTTATTGTCCCACAGACAACTGTAGGACCACATCTCCTCAGAAGGATGTGTTGTAAATGAGTTAGTTTTTTTGTTGTTAATGTTGCTAATATTTTGTCTGTTTGTTTGTTTTACGACCCCCAAAAATGTCAAATGGGCTATCTTTGACCATATGCTGCACACATAAAAATGAACGTATTTTTGGACTTTTCTTTTCTAAAAGTAGTCCCAAAGTGGATAAACCTGACTACAGCTATTCATTATCATCTATTTAAGATATATGCAATAGAAATATTTTCTCCCAAACAGAAAAATATGCTTAAGTACATTCAAAATAAACAACAAATATATTTAGCAATAATTTAATGCCAAATAAATTGGCAATATATTAATTAGCATTGAATTTCCTTTTAGTTACTAAAAATGTAAAATATAAGAAACTAATTTATCTGTTTAGATTGTGCACTACCATTACAACATTTCTTGAACTTTCTGAGGAGACACGCTATAACTTAAGCCAGGTTACTTGAGCAAGAGCCTCTCTCTTCATGTTGGTTTTTTTCAATTAATAAACCTTCTTGGTCATAAAGCATCTTGGAACTAACAAAACTCCCTGATAAAGTGAAATTTTAAAGTGATGGTATGGGTGGGGGATGCAATTAAATCATTAAAATAGAAATCACTTATTCACCAAAGATTTCCATGATAGTAATTCCTAAGAAAATCAATTTCTAATCTTATTTGACCAAGATATTCCTGACCAAGCAAATTGTGAACAGACTCTATATATTAAAAGGTTAATACTACATGTATTTAAGCTTCTTTTGGGGTCATGTTACATATTCTTGCCTTTAGCATAATTCAGTTTTCCTAATAAAAAATAATTTTACATTAGGCTTTAAATAAGTTTAACATAATAGGTGATAATCTTTTTTGAGTTTGGGGTGGTGATTCCTTAGTTTCTGTCCTGTGACAGAATCAGTGTTAGGTAATTCAGCTGTAAATTCTCTTTTTTTATTTTAAAACTTTAATTTTAAGTGGCACATAAATACATGCCTTTCATTTATATAGAATTTTTCTAAGTTCAAAGCTTTAAGAATGCTGTAAGAATTTTTCCAAGTATTTTTTATTAAGAAATAGGAAATTGCTTTTTTCTCCCAATAGTAATCAAATTTAAAATACCAAGTGCCACTCAGTTTAGAAATTCAGTCTGTTAGAATTGTCTGTTTTCATGTGGAGGTGGGGAACAATTCTTATTTTTGTAACAATATAGACTCTCAAAAAGAACTGATCATATGCATATCCTTACAAAAATGCACACTCATATAAATCATTTTAATCCTTTAATTTATATGCACATACCAATATGAAATTCTATTGTCTAGAAAATGCCCAGAATTTCAAAACCAAATAAAAGGTGAACTAAGAAAGTAAGATTATCTTCCAAAAAAGCTATCAGTAAAGGGGGAAGGTTGGAACAGTTTAAACAAATAAGAAAGATGTGAAGGTGAAGTTTTCACTGCATATGTTCTTAGGGTGGAGTTCTGTGGTCTCTGGAAAGAGAACCTTGTTCCTGGCCCAGTTCAAATCAGATTGCTTCAAAGAAAAAAAGAAAAAGGATAGGGGCCATCTGGTTCCTCTCAAATGGCTACATAAAGGGGAAACACCTAAGATTTGGATCATTATCCTTTCCTAAACTACACTCAAATAATCATGTAAGTAGCAGATAGCCATAAAGAATTAATATTGCTTGTGACTTCAGACTAATAGTTTGTTTATTCAAATGGGGGTCCTCCTTTGTTATTAACAGGGTCTTTTGTTAAATACACAGCAATTAGCTTTGGGAACAAAAGAAAGAAGGTAAGCAAAATGTTCTATTTTGCTAGACTCAGCAAACAGGCTGAGGTACTAACAGTTCCTACGATGACAACAAATCTCAACTGAACCAATAAACCATTAAACTGTGAACAGAACAATCAACACAGGCAAATTTACCTTCTCACTTTTTTTTCTTTTTACGTTTACAATGGCCCTCAGGAGAACATCTTGAAAGGTATGTTTTATGTTTTCTTGTGTTTCTTCATTTCTCCAGACCCTCAATGAAACAGATTTTTAAGGGGTGAAGGCTCTTTTTGCGGTGGAAAACAGATGCTTAAAAGGATTAACACTCCAATATTCATACTTTGGATTAGGAGAATTTTATTTTATTGCTAATATTAATTACCTACATGGAGCAAATTAAATGGTCTCTGGATGAATAGCATGTAACCTCTGAAGGAATGGTATGAACAAGAAAAATGGTCAGAATAAAATTGTGTTGTATGTTTCACATACAACACATGCAAAAAAAAACAAACAAACAAAAAAAAAAGATACTCAAGATCATCCTCATATCTTAAAAGTCACTTCTAGTGCCAATTTCTGAAACCCATGTTTCTTGATATTTAATTTAATTAGCAGAAGTAGAATTAACTTAAATGAGTATGCATAGTCCATGAGCAGAATAAACATTATTAACCATAAATCATAAGATAAGTATTAGAAAATGAAAGATTTTGTTTTTAAATTAGAGGCTACTACAACTTGTAAATTTTAAGGTTTCAAGGGACTTTGGAGCTTATGTAGTTCAACCTCTTCATTTTCCTTTCCAAGGTTTAAGGACTTGTCCAAGGTTAGAAATGCCCTGTCACATCAACACTAAAACCCAAACCTTCTGACTCCTAATCCCTGGTTCTCACCCACTACACCAGTTGCCTGTCATTGTTCCTTTCCTACCCTGTCCCTTATGTGCAGTTCAAGAATATTTAATGCTAAAATATCTGTAAATAAAACCTTCAGAATTCCCTCTACCTCCCTGATTCAACTGAGATCTAAGTTAATATTTTCAGAAAAGAAGATAATTTTTTCCTTGTGTTTCTGTTGATTAAAGTTAACGTTACATAAAATGTAATTTTACTTTTACATTAATTAGAACAGCTTATCTGGATATTAGTCTTTGATTCCCAGTAAAGGTAAGTGAACAAACCAGGGAATGACAAAAGACAGACAATGGAAGGATTTTTTGAATTTAAGAACTAGCCAAAGAGCTAAACATTTGCATAGCCATTATTTCGACTGAAACTTCCTTTAAATGTGTTTCCTTTCAAGCCAGCATACATGAAAAGTGACCTCTTATCCACTTACATACCTACCCAGAAGTCATGTGATAGCGTTTTACGTCAAGCTGTCAATTATGATAACAGACACAATAAGAACAGCCCAAGTGTTGATAGCCTGCTTCCTGACTGTATTGAAAAGTTTGTTCATAGTCCACTTGTGTCCTTTTAATTGCTTGCCTCTAATAAATGACTACCTTTCCAATGGTAGTACCAAGCTTTGGCTTTGCCATTTGCCAGGACAAATATTATAAGAAGATTTAAACTAATATCTTAGTTTAAAAAAATCCTACAGAAGTAATTTCTTAAAAAGGCCATTTTGTGTAACAGAAATTTTCAGTGTAATGAGAAGTACTTTCAAATTCTAGTTTTAAAAACAAAAGTGTTATAAGAAAAGTGTTGAAACAATTTAAATATACACTAGACCAGTAATTGAAATTCAAATAATAGCATTATATAGTCATGCAAGAGATGTAACATGCTGAAGCCCAAGCACCAATAAAATCCATGCAACTGTGAGAAGTAATGCAAAGACCTGAATTGATCAGGCCACTGATTCATTAGCTCTTATTATAGGTAATATATATATAGTCAGGAGATTATAATTTTGAGATTATGAAAATAAGACCGATTTCTTATAAACTAGACTTTACTTGACTTTATTGTCTCACTTAGGGAAGGCAAAAGTGAGCTCCTAATTTATTCAGTTGAAATCTCAAATATACATCAAAGGTTAATATGTACTTCAATGGCTTGTTTGAATGGTGAACTTTTATTTCTAAACAAGAAGCTTCTTAGCTGCAAACTTTTTATTTCCAACTTACAATGAGATTTTTAAATATATGTTGATGTACAATAGTAAGAATTTAGGCTCTTATTATGACCTTAGACTCAAATGTAATGGTGATAATCAAATTAGCCAGATTCTCTTGTATTAATACTACCAAACTTTCTATGATAGCAAAGGAAAGAGGCCTGAAATTAGCAACTCACTATGAGGTAGACCAGATAAGAAACTGGTGCTAATTCAAGTAAGTTGTCTCTTATTATTCATCCATGCTAAAATTGTTAGACTGAATTATAAAATAATTTCTATATTTCCTAAGCAACATCCAACACTCTGATTGATAGTTCCCATTTTCTCAGGGAGATAAAATTTGGGAAACGTGGTTCCTTCATTGCCTATCATAACGAATTTGCACAATGTGTTCGTGAATTATAAAGTATGAGAGAGAAAAGGATATACTGCATTTTACTGAACTTCTATGAAGTTAAGTCGGGGCGGGGGGGTGTTCCACATTTCTGAAAATGTTCCAAACCATAAAAAGACATTTCTCAGCAGAGACTAATCAGTTCAGTTTGCCAAAGCAGGACCCATGAGTTCTTCAAGCCACCAAAACCATCTTCCAATAGAAAAGTTAAAGAAGAATGAAGCTCCAACTGAAGTTCTGATTTTAAGATTTCCCCCATGCCAATAGCGAATGCAATAACTAAACCAATAATCCCAAAGACAGACTAGTTCTAGACTTGAAAAGTATTCAAGATTGTGTTAAGAGATAAAGAAAAAGTCTAAAGTCAAATACTGATCAGCTGGTATGTGCTGACTATTGTGACTGATTAGAGAGGATTATTTTTAATGGCAGATTATCAACTGGTTTACATGAACCTTTTTGAAATAGTCTCCAGGACTATGTGAATTTATTTTTTAGATTCAAATGAGATATATTTTCAGTGATAGGTGAACTTTCTTCCAGTCAGAATAAACTAGTATTCCCAAGCAGTTAGCAACCAATGCCATCAGCAATAATTATTATAAAAAGGAACACAAAGATGTATAATTACTAATAACAATTGTCTGTGTACCAAGTAAATGATATGAAAGTGTATACTTTTAGTATTCAGATTTGACACTATGAATGTATTACTCTTACAGGTGAAGTACAGGGTTCATTTTAACATTAGAAAGCTTTTCATCTTAATTTGATAATGCTAGTAAGCTTATGTATTAGAAAATGACCAGATTGGAAACTCCACTGTAGTATCATCTTGTGGAAAGATTATTTATAAAATAGTCAAAATTACATGACCACTTTAAATTTATCATTAACTCTAATTTATGTAGGCTCTATTAAAGTTCTTTTCTAAGAAAAACAACACTCAAAACTACACATCAGTACTTTTCATAACCTAAAAGGATAAATCTTTATAAAGCAGCCACCATGAACTGAAGAATGTACCTGGTGACGATATTTATTCTTAAAGGATCATGTATATTAAAGGCTATAGGGAATGTTTAAAAGAACCCTCTCAGACTAAAGCACTGCCTTTCTAATTTTGAATTTCTCCTAGCTAATATAACATGATTGATTACCTTTATTTCATGTACCCCTTGATTTTCCTTTTCATTCATCATTGAGTGCTTTAAACCAAATGCATTTAGAAACTGCCTCTAGAAGAATGGTCTCTTTTAAATCTTTGTAAAGTAATGAAAGGACACAGTAAATCAATCTCATTTCTACTGAAGGAAAGAATAATCTTTACTGAAGTCATTTAAACTATTTCTGTTTCTTTATTCCTGGATAGTAAACATAAAACTTCATTTCTATAATTCTTTTAAAATTTGAAAGGCTAAAATGAATAGGCTTTTGACTCTAGCCTTAGTTTACTAATATACATCTATAGCATGATATGCATTTATTTACAGGTATTTTCTGCATGCCTCAAAACTGGAGTTCATTATAAAATAAAGCATATATGGGCTTCTTCAAATTAAAAAGCAGCACTAACTCTTTCATTACATAGAGGACAAATTATCTGTCTGCATGGTATTTAACATTTTCAGCTATAAAGAACTTTTTTTTGCTTCCAAAGATTAATATATATCATGTATCCCATAAGTATTAACTATAGTTGACTGAACAAAACGTATTCACATTGTAAGTGGTCTCGATTCAATGTTGTCCACTTAAATAAGTGGCTGTCTTCTTTGATTTTAAAATAGTTTATAGTTCTAGAACTCATAGTTTTTAAAATATATCATGTGCCAGAATGCTATCTACATTAAAATTCATATTTTCATGATGCTTGCTAAGTTTTCTTGATATATTTTTAGATATGTGAAAGAAGTAATTCTTATGTTAATGGACTTTAGTAATCATAATTACATGAGGCTTCGACATTTATCATAAGGGATAAGAAAATTAAAGCTGCCATAGGTTAGGGTAGTGGAGGAGGAAGGCTGCCTCCAAATACATGGAATTGGTCAGAGTATTCTAACTAGCATTTGGGGCTAAAGGTTTAAATAATGGAGGCATGTTTTATGCATTAAAAATTAACTGGAAATTAGAGATGTGTCATAAAGAATAATGCAAATCCCATGAGAAAAATATTCCTGAGAATATGTGTAATGATTTTTAAAAGAACAAGTTTCTAAACTTATACATCCTGCATATGTTTTTTAAAAAACACAATGGACACATACATCTGTCAAATAGAACCATATTCTAGTAATTATAACTCATTTCGTGTTATAACAATTTTAGAGGTGAAAAAAAAGCAACATTCCAGAGAATTATGTTGAGAAGCCAATGGCTGGCAAAACCACTAATTATTATTATTTGGTATTTTCATAACTGTGTACAGATGTTTTCAGTTAGTTCTCACTCTTTTGGTTTGTTTTGTTTTGCTTTTTTTAAACCTGGCAAAACATCAAGTATTCTGAATAAGCTATCATCTTTATGATTTTCTCTGAGCTCTGCATGTGGTGACCTCTAATATGCAGTCTGCCCCCTTGGGCTGCAACTGGAAAGGACTTGAGAACTCCACACCAAGCACAGTTGAGGTAGGTCACAACAAGGGTATGTGAGGTGAACAGATCAAGAATGAAGTAAGTGGGCAAAAGTATCTTACTACCTACACAAAAAGTCATATATATGCACAGGCAACTTATAAATAAAGAGCGAGTTAGTTAACACCAGCTCTTTATTATTTATTATAGCCTAATTTTCCCCTATGTAATATTTTGCATACTGTTAATTTCAAACTGCTCTGCTATCAAAACTTGAGAGCAGCAAACATATGCATCATAAAATATATTTAAATTCGGAACTGTTTAGAATTACGTCTCTTATCCTGTAACTAGAATCGTGGGATTTCTACATTGGTATGGTCCATGCTTTTGACTGTGGCTGATCTGTTTATAAGCCACCATTAATCCTGGCTGTATGTTTTCACAGTTTGGGTAAACACTTCATTTGCATTAAATTTACAGCATTAATGAGATGTGAAATTTAAAATGCTACTAGAAACATAAATGATGTAAGAAAGCAGAACCAAAAAAAAGTGTTTTATCACATCTGAAATCAGTAAACCAATTTAAAGCTATTAAAATAATAGGAATGAAGTGTCGCCTGAGATTTTAACTTCGTAACTCATCGTCTTGGACTAAAATACAAATGTGAGGAGCAAAACATCTGGAAAATAAGAAATCACTCAAAAACTCGAATTATATACTGCTTCTATTCTAGTTGGCTTTAAAACAGTTTGCAGTTTTTGTCTTTGAAAGCTATAGTCTGTAAGTTCTCAATAGCCAATGAGACTGAGAAAAATACACTTTGGCTGAAACACTATTACTCATGGATGTTATCAATATATGCTACAGAGATGGAAAAGGTCATGAGCCAATTTGAGAAACTCTACTCAAAGAGGTGAGAAACAAAGGATCAATGAGAAAAAATTCTGGGAAATGAAATGATCAGTTTTGGTCTCAGAAGCCCCGGGAGCCCCCTTCTGAGTCCGGATCTGAGAGGCAACATGGAGAAGCACGGAAGCGAAAGCGTGGCTACACCGTCACACCTGGGTGAAACTTGCCCACCTGTTGCTGATGTAGGAAGGATGGGTCTCTTGGGCTTAGTCCCACATATCGATTGGCTTGAGATGTGCCTGAGGCTGTGTAGGCTGATTAAGGAAGAACAAAAACAAAGATAAAAATTGTGAACTATCAGAACGAACACCCTGTCCATGTATAAGAAACCCAGAGAAGTGGGATTTGCAACCAAAAAAAAAAAGTGTCTTCATTTCTCTTCTCTTTTGTCTGAGTGAACACCAAGTGATAGAAAAGAAATAATAATTGACTTCAAATCAACTAGTTTATTCCCCCTAAAAAATCTATCCAGTAAAGCAGATCTCATACTTCAGTGTGGGTGTCTCACACTTACATGCTCTAGTAACTGTCCTGTGGAGGTACTAAGGATTGGATAAATAGAAGGGCCCTGTTCCTAGACGTACTTTTTCACCAGATAGTAGTTGTCTAATATAAAATAATCAATGATGGTATATGATTCTAAATGTAAAGCAGACTGAAAGTCCGCCAGGAAAAAGTGACAGCTTTTAATGATGGAATTTAAGCAGATGTTCTTAATGATATGGGATGGAAAATGTCTTTCTTAAAAGTTTTGCTAAAAAGGAAATCAAATCTTACTATCATGAAGGAGAAGCCTGTATCATGTAGAATGAATCAGCTCGGTATTTTACCTGTGAAAATGGCCTCAAGTCTGATAGGAATGTTTTTGAAAAAAAGTACTTCCCATAAGCACACATACAAAAATCAATTACTTGTAACTGATCCAGGAAGAAAGCTGATGCACCTTTAAATAGTTGGCCACTAGGTAGTAAGTATATATGGTGACTATTCCTTACATTGTTATAGTCTCATTTGCAAGTACTTTTTGTACAACTGCTTTTTGCTTTTTGGTATAGAGTAAATTTTTCACACACACAAAAAAAAAATGAATAGGGAGCTACTCCTAAAGACTTTTGTTACTTTTCACAAGGAAAGGACTGAGGTATCTTCCCAGAACTAGGCAATCCCACTGCTCCATATTACCATATATTACCTTTATTGTTCTGAAGAAAGCTACACTGTTTGGTTTAAAACCACCAGATTAATGAGGAATCCAGGCTTCATTTTAAATGAACTGGCTTTCTAAAACCAATATATTAATTCTGCCTTGTTCACTTAAAGGACTGCAGAATTTGATCCATGGAAGCTTTTTTAGGTCAACTTTTTAAAAACAGTGAAGATGCTCACAATTCATATTTTAATTGCTCCTGAATAAGGGGACATGCAAGGCAGCCATCAGCAACCAGTGACCCCTACTCAATCTCCAAGCCTCTGGAATTCACCACACCTCACAGACAGCCGGAGATGAGCCTCACCCTTACAGAAGAGCACCAAATCTATGCTGCTTTTTCTTTTCAACTATGAGAAAGAGCCTTCCTTGGCTTCTGTGTTTTCTTTGACCATAGTACTATATCAATTCAATGACCAGTTTTTTATTACTGGTGGTGCCTAAGAAGCTGGAGCTACAAGCTTGTTTATAGGAAAGAAAAACTACTCACTATGTTTCTTTTATGTAGGAGTGGAAAATGGACTGATGCAGCCATCTTTATACAACCAAGATACTCCTTTTGAATATTTTGTAATTTTACTAGTCAAATCAGATCCCTTTTTGAACAACCTGTATGTAAGTATAAAAACAATTCATTAACAAACAGGCTGAGGGTACTCCTATAAGTGAACTGTGATCATTTGGGTCTGATCCTCTCCTGAATCTCTTCTATTAATAACACCACAAGAGTAGGCATCAGAGTTTCTAGAACTTGGTTTTGACCATTTATCCTGTGATAATCTTTCAACTACTTAAAAAAAAATCTTTGTTTTCTGTGTGCTTTTATTTAAATTGCTGACATTGTTTGCTCAAAGATGTGAAGACATCCACTTTTAAAATGAGTACTTAGTGTTTTGGTGACTGTAATGCACATAGCAAACCTCTAGAACAAAATAATTTTTAGTTTTTCCTGAGTAGGTCGCATCCATCTGTGCATTCAGGGAAGTATTCTAAGCATTAAGAATTACTGATGGGTATTACAAGCCTATAGGAACTTATTAATTGACGGGGCTCATGAATTTTGAGAAAGAAATGCTGAATTCACTGTACAAAGTATTGTCCATTTTTCTTATAGGGTTCCTTCCTAGTCTTTCAGAAACCATAAAAAAAAAAGAGCATCTTTCCAATGGCTGAGAAAGAATGAGTGGTGCATGCCTCTGATTGTCTCTGATTCACATGGAAATTTCAAGATCATGGGGATTTTCTTGCTCTAAGAAAGAAAAAAAAAAGGTTTGAATTGAAGATATCTGTATAATTGGTGAGGTGCATGCTAATTCCACCAATTCGATAGCTTTATCCATTCTACTTCACCAATTTGTACATTCCAGCTCCAGTACTAAGAAGCTGACAGTTGGGTGAAACCACCTCAAAATTAATTTCTTCTATACTTCTAAGTATTTTACATGAAAAAACAAAGGAATGATGCGGCTTATTGGTACGTGTTAGGAAGGTTCACTGGCTAAATCTCTGACATTTAAATGTTATGGCCACACTAAAAAGCACAGTATTTGATGTACCAATGATAAGCAAAATAATCAAAAGGTTTTAAAAAAAAAGCTTGCAGATAGTGAAAGTACAGGTAGCTTACATGTGCCTAATACTAAGTTTTGAAATGTCCTCATCTGTTCCCAACCTTATGCGACTGTTTTTAACAATGACATAACCTACAATGATGTAAACATGCAATTACCTTACAGAGGCACTGATTCCATCTGCTTTGTGAAGGGGCTTGATTTCTATAGGAATGCTCCAATAAGTACCAATTACCTAATCTCTCTTTGGGTGATACGAAAACTTTGTATTCTGCGTTATGTTACTCAGTGCAATTTCAATGTATACCTTGAACAAGCAGGCATGACTTATTATTTTTGTTATAGCTGTTAACTTAAACAAGTGAGCTTCTCCCTTTTCAAATATGATTCACTGACTGGAATTTGAGAAGAGAGAGCCTGTGATAGCAGGGCCACATCCATGCCTGCTAGCTCCACTTAAATGAGAAATCTCCATCTGGTCAGGTAGCTGGAAAAATTGCCGTGTTTTCCACCTTGGATCAGATATCCAATGGTGCCTCTGATGGACATTTCTCATTTCCTATGGAAATACTTACTGGTTGCTGTAGGTGAAGCTGCCTCACCTTCAGTGGATGTAGTGATGGGTTTAGTATCTGTCATGCTCAGGGTCACAGGTCGCACTGCACTGGGATGGGGAGAGGGTGCCAAGACAGGAGTGAAATGGCCAGGCACTTTCCCTACTACTTGACCACTGCCGTTAGGCTACAAAACAAAAACAGAATGCCGGGTGAAGCAATCCAAAAGGCAGTCATCTTGTTCAACAAGTCCACTCAGCACACACGACTGTGTGGATCCAGCACACTGCGCATAGGCGCCACACAGGCCCTCTCGAGTCGGAGTCGGAGAGGCCAGTCAATGGTTGGTAGTAATAAGGAGCAGCAGCATTTCAAAGAAGGTTTTCATCTTCAAAGCACGTCATGGTATAGGTGAATTCCTCTTTACAGCACCCCTGAGAGCCAGGTAGACTTGATCCTTTCATGTAGTAGGCCAAGAAACTCAAGTGCAGACTTAAATGCTTAGCCCAAAGGCTAAAATGGAATTCCTTACTGAACTAGCTACAGTTGGAACCCAATGCTTCCTTATTCTCTGCTCTTCATTTTCTATAATGAGTCAGTTTTGGCTTTTAGAACACAATTTTCACCTACATGATGATATCACTGAAACAAAGGACACAAAAATATCTAGGAGATCAAATACAACGAATTCTGGAATTTTCATCATTTACAGTCAAGAACCATTCTCCTGCATACAAAACTCTAGCTCTCTTACACACAGGTGTGCTGAGATGCACACATTAGGCAATTTAGATTCCGAGATCTATGGTCAACTTTTGATGATTTACTAATACAAGAAGATAGAATAAGATGTAAAGCATCTAAAATTTCAGAGGTCATACAATGATATAAAATGCTGAGCTACGTTTGTCCTTACACCTACAAATAAAAGATTTCCAAAGTAAATTAAACTGTACTGAGGGGAAGCAGAGGACAAGCAAATGAGCATTGTTATTTGAGTTACTCTTACATCCATGGTGGTGCATGGAGAGTTACACAAAACATTTCTTGTTGACATTTGTGAGAATTAACTGAGAAAATCCCCTGGGCAATGATAGAAAAGATGTTACTATCTGAGTTTTAGCTCCTGGGTACAAAAATAGTTTCCGTGGTAGGAAACAAAATCCTAAGGATACACTCTTTGAAGAAATAGTGGAATATATTTTTCTAGACTGAGAATGTTATTTTTGATTATACCCATGTTGGAATTCTCCACTGCACGGTGTTCATCGCAATTTGCTGGGAGGCTATTCTCGGCAAGTATATAGTCTTTATAATCTGAACTGTTAAAGGCAAAAAAAAAATGAAGCAGAATATTTTTCTAAATATCTGCACATAAATTACAAGTAGACATTTATTTAGAGAAAAAGATGAACAGCTAATAACACTTAAATATTGTGACTTAGAGACATGAACTAAGTCTTCGGTTAGGCTCCTCAGAGGCCACATTATTTATTCTATAAAGAAAATGGACTTCCTGAATATCCTGATTATTCATCATGGGTAATTTTAAGTATTTAACTTGATGTCAGGAAAATTGACCAGAGTTTTCCAATATGGAAACCTATGGGAGAGTTACATCTTTAAACTAATTTTATTCAAAATATTCCATTGAATAGCATGACTGTCTCACTATAATTGGTGCAGCAGTAATGCAATTAATCTCAAAATTGCTGTGGGGAGGAAAAGGCATCTCAGTTGCTTATCTTAAAAATCAAAATCAGTGCAGTGCTGGAGAATATTGGGAAGCAACAGCTGACTAGAAGTGAATGGTGAAGGAATACTGATGTTTTTCCATTTCTAAAGCTAAAATGGTAAATACCAAGAATTCTAATTTGAAATGCAAATTAATTGGTTTTGAGTTGGAGTTAAAAATCAAAGCAGATACACTGTTCCTTAAAAAAAAAATCTGCAGTTAACTATAAAGACCCATTTTTCCTTTCAAAGGGAAAAAGTAGTTTGTTTCTACAGCAGGCCATCCATTTCTGGTTATCTGAACACTGGAAATAAGTGCTTTAAATATCTTAAGAAAGAAGACAGGTCTCATTTTATCATTGGTGGTACATTCAATGGTAAAAATGTTTCTACATACAGTGTTCACCAAAACAGTCTGAAAGTACCTACCTGGAACAAAATGTCTGGAGCAGAATGACAATAATTTCAAGGAAATGCTGCCACCAAATATATTATCCTACCCTGACCATTCTACAAACTTCACCTACTGGAATTGAACAACATGAACTAGTAGACACTTCTCTCATTTGAAAAGAATAAAGGTGACAAAGAAAGAATTCCCAAGTCAATGCAGACAACTTTCCTAAAACTCAGGGTGAGAAGAATTGAGGGCTATTTTCTCCTCAGTTTTCTACTGGTTCAAACAGATGAAGCTACACTAAAAATTTCTATCTTTTAAGGCTGTTAATAGATGAACTTTCATACTGTAGATAGAAAAGAGAGATGTCTTGTCTGAAGGTGAAGCTAACAGCATTAGGAAAGGATTATTCTACTTTATACACGGTTCCTATTATACAAAATCCTGAGAGTTTTTTTGTTGCTAGTTTTTCTTTTTCTTTTTTTTTTTTTTTTGAGATGAGAGTAATATGCTTCCTTAGAAGGTGATATGTATCTTGAAAAAGTGAAGAAAAACTGAGAACAATATAGGCAGATTATCACCTAATATGCCCTCTTAACTTATAAAGAAATTGAAATATACGTAAAACAAGCACTGAATAATTAAAGAAATGTGTAACACTAAGGGCCTGATTTTAATTTGCATAATTTTTCCCCTAACAGTGCCTAATTAAGACATCAGTTAAAAAAAAAATCCAATGGAACTCTAAGATTTTCCACACTGAATTAACGTTAAGGACTTTTAATGGATGTCTTAATTAGACTTTGTTATTCATGGAAATTCTACACAAATTAAAATCAGACCTTGTGTGCACTGTTCCCAGCTGAGTCTAGCAAAATGCTCTATGGAACTGAGACTTCTGAATCCATGAGCTGACAACAAATTTTATTTCTAAACGATATACTAAGATCCCACTCTCACTTAGCTGTCTTTAGTACTTCAGTCATGAAAAGTGCTACAACATTTTAACATTTTCTTCTAAAATACAAATAATAATTTTAACTTCAAATTCAAAATTCAATATTGAGTTTAATATCTCAGTCAGTCAAACTAAAAGTAATGATAACTTTTTAAGTAACCCAAAGGGTCCTGGATGCGTTGTTATTCTAAATTAAAAGTTCAGAAAGGACCATTTTGTTTCATTTTAACAAATTAAGACCAAAGGGATTTTTTTCTCACCTTTCTTTGCTAATTTAAATTGATAGACACACACTATTTACTAGCATTTCAGGAATGTTCCACCGTAGTAATGACGGAATGTTTGTGAAAATTCTCCAAAATATTAAAAGGTATAATAAGTGGACAGGAGTCTTAGAGGTAAAGCAGCAAAGCTAAATATCAGATCCTAATATCAAAATTACATTACATGTTTTAGATATTACAATTATTGATAGCCCCAGGTCTGGCACAAAGACTGTCTACTTGATTGTGGAAAATGCTCATATACCAAATTCCTATGAAGTAACCTCTTGGTAGAAGAAACCATATGTCTAGGGGAGTGAGAAATGCTCATGAGTCACTACACTTACAAAATGAATCCCCAAAACCACTGCACAATGTTTCCAAAAAAAAGAAAGACGCTTCTAGTAATGTCACTCATTATTAAATGTAAGTCATGTCTCTGCAAAGAATATTCAAGTAGTCATCAAACACTGAGAATGTTTACATTACCAAAGCTTATTTTAATACCTAATAGTTGGTCTATAAATACAACTGTAAGTTCTTTTGTGTGTGTTTATTTTAGCACATACCTTACTCCTGCCTGAAATAAGCACATTGTCTCTGTGTCAAACCAGGTATTTAAGAGGTGTGAACTCCAGCCCAGAGCTTTCCTGTCAATGTACTTTCTGCATAAACTTTCCCTTCAGTCAGTGAAAATCCAAAAACATTAAACCATCTTCACAAATGTACCCTTTGGGGCAACACACTTCCTACCTGTCATTCAGCCACCTTTAAATAAAAACTTATTGAGTCACCAAGCAACTTCCTGAAGATGGATTTCAAGGCTTGACGTTCTGCCAGACACACTGTCTGACTAACCTTTGTGTCTCAGAATTAGATCTGTCCCATCTCCCTTAGGTGCTAATCTTATTTTCTCTCTTATTTTTACCTGGCTGGTTTGTGGACTGGATGGGTCATAAGAAGGTACATAGTTCTTCAGAGTATCCTGAGGATTCAGGTGGGGAGGATATCTGATTGTTGGATGAGAAAAGTAGCTCGATGGGGCTGGAGGAAGGATAGCTTGTGTTGGAAATGGCAACGGTGAAGGTGGAGGTGGAGTTCGAGTTGAGATGACTGCAGAAGACAGAAAAGGAAAGATTGACTCATCAGCTGGTTACCTTATTGCTCCATTCTGATCCTGAAGAATGCTGTGAAACTACAAAACTGGTAACCATTCATTTTTGTCCCCATGATTTAACCAAGCTCTCCTAAATCAACAGTTACTTTTTCATTTTTATTCTCAACACCAGTACGGCTAACTACACAGAGATAAAACATCACTCTAGAAAATTAACAATCTTGCTTCCTGGCTCTGTGAGTGGTTACAAAATCAGTTTCTCTTTTATAGGTTATGTCAATACTTGATAAAACACTTCTTTGAGCAAAGATATATCCCGTTGAAAACATATTCTTTGATTATAAAATCTTTAGGCCGGGTGCAGTAGCTCACACCTGTAATCCCAGCACTTTGGGCGGCTGGGGCAGGTGGATCACCTGAGGTCAGGAGTTCGAGACCAGCCTGGCTAACATGGTGAAACCCCATCGCTACTGAAAATACAAAAAATTAGCTGAGCATGGTGATGGGCACCTGTAATCCCAGCTACTTGGGAGCTTAAGGCAGGAGAATCACTTGAATCCAGTAGACGGAGGTTGCAGTGAGCCGAGATGGCGCCATTGCGCTCCAACCTGGTGACAGAACCCCATCTCAAACAAACAAACAAACAAAAAACATTTTGTCTCATAAGCCCCATCTCAAACAAACAAACAAACAAAAAACACTTTGTCTCATAAGTCCAGAGCAAGTCACAGCATTAAGTAGAGGGCAAAAGAGCCAAAAATTTTCTACCAAAATTAAAAACAAAAGTGAAATTCAATTTCAAATAAAACGTTTCCCTGTACATCCTACCTGGCAATTGTTTAGAAGGAAAGACAATAACTAATACAACATCATCTCATGTCATTTATAATTGTCTGGTCATGGTATAAATGCTTATGAACATTGGAACATAGAGCTAGAAACTCTCCTAATGAAAATGTTTCTTTCAAAACCAAAAGAGCTCTATTCTGCAACTATTTTTCTTTCTACTTTAACTTTTACTATATGTAGTTTAAAAGATATTGTTAATATAAAACCAAGAATAAAACACACAGCAATGAAAATTTAAGCTTTCATATAGGTAAGTATATTACTTTACCCATATATCACATATTTTATAATAATTTTATAAAGGGAAATACTATATAAAACACATGCAATGTGGACAATGTTCAATTTTACTATAACTTCTCAACATTAGTATTCTTATAATTTATTGTTCAGTTTTTGAAATATAAATCTTAAGTTTGAAAGATGGAGAAAGAGTGTAATCGTATGATCATTATCTCTAAAATGTTGAGAGAAATAATCATAGAAATACAAATTAAAACTACCAACAAATATATGTAGAAGTGAAAAGTAAATGTCTTTCTATTTTAATATTTCCCAATTCAAATAATAGGAAATTATAAACGATAAATGTCTAATGTTTTATGAGACAACTTAAAGAATATGAAAAAAAATAAATTTTAGCCATAACCTACAAAGGGAAATCACCTAGAATGATTTATTTCCAACTTTGAAACTATGTGGGTGGGGGGGTGGGACCTATTTATGGGATGTATTGCTTACCTCTCCCAAAAAAAACTTTTTCAGAAGATATAAGAAATTAAGAATGTATAGAATAGAAAAAACATAAATTCAATTTTATAGTCACGACTTTGTTCTCTGAACGTCCAGAGCACTGTTTCTGAAATTCTCTGTATTGTTCTTACAATGCAGATCCCTTGGTCTACACACAGACCTAGGGGATCAGGACCTCTAGGGGTAAGGCACCAAAATGTATATTTTAAATAAGTGTCCATGTAATCTTCCTACATACTGAAGTTTGAGCATCCTCCATCAAATGTATGCATTTCAGAGAACAAATGCGTATTTCTTAAAACAAAACTCTTTACTGAAGTATTACTTTATTTAAGAAGTATACCCATTTGAAAGTATCATTTAAGGAAATACAAACATCTAAGAAAAACTGGGCATCTTTTACTTAGTGTCTAAATGCTCTTAATCTCAGCTCATTTTAACCATGATTTTTGCTCACATCTGTACACAAACCCTGGAAAGATATATACATAGTTCCATCTTGGGTCCTTTAGCTTTTGAGATTAATTTGGCCTTAATAGTTCTGGAGGAGATCTATTTTCAAGTGAAATTGCAGAAATCAAACCCGAACTCACATCTATGGGCAACCTGGCACTGTGCTTGCATGAGCTGTAGGTGGCCTGATACCACTGGGTAAAATGTCGTATTTCAAACTGAGAGTAAAAATGACTACCTTTTCCATAAAAGCCATTCTAGTCCTTTAAAAATAAGAAAAGCAGGCCAGGCATGGTGGCTCACGGCTGTAATCCCAGCACTGTGGGAGGTCAGGGTGGGTGGAGTGGATCACTTGAGGTCAGATGTTCGAGATCAGCCTGGCCAACATGGTGAAACCCCATCTCTACTAAAAAAAATACAAAAATTAGCTGAGCGGGGTGGTGAGTGCCTGTAATCCCAGTTACTCGGGAGGCTGAGGCAGGAGAATTGCTTGAACCTGGGAGGCAGAGGTTGCAGCGAGCCAAGATCACGCCACTACACTCCAGCCTGGAGTAAGACCCTGTCTCAAAAAAAAAAAGAAAAGAAAAAGAAAAAAAAATAAGAAAAGTAAAATACAAGACAAAAAGTTTTCCTTTATTATGAAAGAATACATACACATGTATGTGTATTTCTTGCATACATTATTGCAAAGCCTTATTGTCTTCTTTCCTTCAGTCTTGCTCCTTCCAAAACATCCTTTATAGTGCTATGTGAATTACTTTTTAAAAACACCATTATAATCATGTAACTTCTCCGCTAAAATTATTTCAGTGGCTTCCTACTGCTTCCAGAATAAAATCCCAACAGGTTTTTCAGTACACACAACCTCAGGTACTCTGAGACCGAGTCCTGGATCACTTCTTTGGCTTCATCTCTGGCCAGACGAAGATATTTGTGGATCCTTGGCTATATGGCAGTTGCCTGCTGCAATGGCCTCTAATGCACTGATACATGCTGTTGCCTCTGCCTCCTTTGCCTGCCAGTTTGCCCCTTTTCTTCCTAGTTTGCCTCTCTGCCTCCCAGTTTGCCCCTCTTCCTCTTAGTTTGCCCCTCTGCCTCCCAGTTTGCCCCTCTGCCTTCCATGTTGCCCCTCTTCCTCCTAGTTTGCCCCTCTGCCTCCCACATTGCCCCTCTTCCTCCTAGTATGTCCCTCTGCCTCCCAGGTTGCCCCTCTTCTTCCTAGTTTGTTGTTCCTTCTTGTGGTGAACTTTGCCATCACACTTTAGCTCAGAACACATATCTTCCAGGTATCTAAACCTTCTTCAGGTTATCTAGTCATGTTCAGATTAGATGCCCAGCCAATGACGTGGCCCCACTCTCTCCCCACTATATCCTGAACTCTTTAAGGACAGAAACGATCTTTCTGAACAAGATGCCTAACACAGACCCTAATATACAGATACAGAACAAATATCGGGTGAAGGACCAAGGTGGAGGGCTCATCTAGGTCTCTCCTGTTTCGTTATATAAAAATATACTGTCTACTTTTTTTCACGTTAGAAATAAGAATATTTTCATCAGGTGTCGTAACAAATGGGTGATTTGACTTCTCAGTTAATTCTGTCCAAATATTCAACATTACAAACCTATGAAACAGTTACTGATTTTTTCACCTATCTCAATGGTATAGGTAATAAATGCAAAAGTTCTTATACCACATTTAAGTTGTATAGTCCTCTCTCAATTTCGTAATTTTTTAATGATAGCAATAAAGGCCATGCATTTTTTTAAGTATAGCACCAACAAATATCAACATATACTTACAAACCAAAGCTAATAAGGACTTTATTTTAAAAGATGTTACATTGTTTGCATAAAGATTTAAAAACCAGATTCGATTAGTCAGAAGGATGAGGAAGTGCCTAACTATAAATTTAAACCAATAACAGTTTCACTATTAACATATTTATATATAAAACTTTTTCCACCTAAAATGCAGTCTACTCCTCTCTAGGTAAAAAGTACACAGTGTTAATTATTAGCTGTATCTCATTTTTAATTTTTGAAAGATTTGGTATTAGCTGTTGGTTAAAGTACAAATGTCAAATATTGGATTCATTTTCCTACTTAAATTAAGACATCAGACACAATATCAAGTGTACTAGCCCAAAGGATTTGGGCATATAAAACAAGTGTCAAAAAAAGTACCTTTTATTCTCTGATTACTCTCATATAGATAAATATTGATTTATATGTAGAAAATAACATCTACAGAAATAGTGCCTTACGTCTTAATGCCTTTAGAAACACTCTAAACTCAGCAACATAACTGAAATTCCATCTTTCCCTTAGTAAAATATCAGGACTAATCCTGAAGCTATAATGAAGATAGCTATGTACCCATATTTTCCACATTCTTCTGATAACAATCTTTTTGATTAAGGTAATTTTAAAACACATATTATAAATATTATTTACTTGTATGACTTTGAAAATCTTTCTTTTTTCTTTTTGAGATGGAGTCTCACTCTGTCGCCTAGGCTGGAGTGCAGTGGCACGATCTCGGCTTACTGCAACCTTTGCCTCCCAGGCTCAAGCGATTCTCCTGCCTCAGCCTCCTGAGTAGCTGGGATTACAGGCTCATGCCACCATGCCAGGCTAATTTTTGTATTTTTAGTAGAGACGGGGTTCCACCATGTTGGTCAGGCTAGTCTTGAACACCTGACCTCGTGATCCACCCGCCTCAGCCTCCCAAAGTGCTGGGATTACAGGCGTGAGCCCCTGCACCCAGAGAAATCTTTTCTCATAAATTGAGAAGAAAAAATACTTGATCGGATTGTGCCCCTCACCATATGGGTTGAGAAAATATGGTTGCCATAGCTCTATTTATAAACTTTTGCTCCGTCCCTAAGGGGGTTAGGCCCTACAGACAAGAAGGAGGCTTCTCCTCTATGCTTGAAACTCCTCACCACTGTGTGCAACTCCAGGTATTCCGGGATGGTGGTGCTGGGGGAAAGTGCTCAGTCTTGGGGAAGAATCCTGTGGAGATGCAGAGCTGAACAATGGCTTTTCAGGCTTCTTCATAGTAGTCGGAGAAGACATATCTGCGAGAAACAGAGAAAAACCCAAAGCTCCATGACTTTCTTAAGCTCTAAGGTTCATGTCAACAAATGACAGATCTCATCTTGCAACAT
Source organism: Homo sapiens (assembly GCF_000001405.40). NCBI lineage: Eukaryota > Metazoa > Chordata > Mammalia > Primates > Hominidae > Homo > Homo sapiens. Next base: position 14,125,857 of record NC_000009.12, read on the forward strand.
TTTAGTATTCTTATACTTTGGCTCTTTTACAAAATATATTCTGAGTGTCAACGATCCAGCTGTCTTGGAGCTCTGAAATATTTGTTCAATCTCCATGGAAGCTAGCAGAAGCCTTCATTAAAATTATCATCAGAATTATTCCCATTACTAAATAAATCTTAAACTTCTAAAAACCCAAAGTCTTGTTTCCTTTAGCCCCTTGGTTCACACAAAGGCCTTCTTTACCTCAGTATTTCATTCTGAGATTTATATGATTCAGAAGATTGTCTTTCGACAGAGGATAACTGCTGCAAATGGGAAAAACAACCTTCAGGTATGTTGGTCACGATATCACTGATTTCACAGCTTTTATGGAAAACTCATTCACTTGATTAGCAAAAAGTACATTCCTTAATTTACTCCTTCTGCAAACGTTTACTGGGTTTCTGTACTGGCCAGGTAAAATGAAGATGTCAAAGAAATTAAAAGTAATTCCTGCTCTAGGGATGCTCACTGTTGGTGAGGAGGAAAATGATTAGAAGAAAATGGTTGTGAATGGTTGAGAGGTACAATGTGTGTTGAGAGCAGGGAAGTTTTGGCATTTGCTGCTACATCGCCAGCTGCGATGTACAGGACAGATATCGTCTCAGTCTCCCCAGGATGAGGAAGGCATTTCTCATTGGTGCCATTTTCAAAATGTGAATGAGGATGACATTCTCAGAGAGGAAATACTCAGAAAAAAAGATGGCACAGAATACACAAGTAAACAGTGTGTGGAGTGGTGAAAGATGAAGAAGAGGAGCAAGCCTCTTGCAGGTCCCACAGGATGACGGGTCTCCAGCTTCCTGTACAAACGTCTGAATGCTTACCCTCATAGGAGAAACGCCATAGATGGGCAAAACATGATCACAATGACAGTTTAAAACAATTCCCCCAGAAACTAAATGGAGGGCGGACTGGCCAAAACAGAGACAGAAATCATGAAGACCACTTCAGAAGACAGATTCATCAATACATTCATTCCATAAATACTTGTTCAAGACCGAATGTATGCCACATGCTGCACTAGCCTGGGACACACTGGTGAACTGGACTCACTTTCGGCTCCTTTAAAGCTTAAAATCTAGTGAGGCGATGTGGACAAGTAAGAAGGAATTGCAAAGGTGCTGTGATAGGAAAAGAATTCAGAGATTTCGGGCTTCATTCACTCATTCATTTCATAAATATTTAATACTGCCAAAAGATAGATCATGAGAGCTTGAAATAAGAATCATGATAGAACTAATGCAATAAATATTTTAACAGGGTTCACCCAATTAAATTATTAAGCAATGTAGACTGTCATCATCTTAGTTGACTAAGAGACTATACCATGCAGTTTGTTGGAATAAGCAGGGAGTTGAGAGATATGCCTTGGTTTTAACATCTTGAGTGCTGTTGACTTTAATGGAAGTTTATCAACTCATAGTAAAATGTTATAAAAATGATGAGCTATAAAATTTGTATTTTATTATGAAAAATGTTAACTGTATTCACAAGTAGACAGAATTGTAATGAATCCTCACGTACCGATAACCCAACTTCGGCAATGATCAACTCATAACAAATCTTATTTCATCTTTATCCCCATCTACACTTTCTCTCCCTGTGGTACTTTGAAGCAAATCCCAGATATCATATAACTTTGCTTCTAAGTAGTTCAGCATGTATCTCTAAAAGAAAATAAATCTTTATTAAAAGAAAAAAACACCAAAACTTTATCACACATACAAAATGTACACAATTTGCATTTTTGAGTTTTCTTGAAATTAGAAAAAGACCTTATGGTGCTATTAATATGAGAAACTAATTATCATTACATTTTACCATTTGAAAAATTACCTAAGCTCTGGTAAAGGCATTCATAAAATTAAATATGCATTTTCAGCATGGTGGCATTTAAAGGATGAATATGCTACTGTAAAGGCAGTAGACATCACAGTCTACAAAAAATGCCAGGCGGATTTGTAGCTGTAAGCTACAATTTGTGACTAACTGGCTGTTGTGAATCTATCAGAACTTTGATGAGTCAGAGAACCATTTCTGTATATCTTTTTCAAAAAAAAAAAAAAAAACCAGAAATAAATTGTTCATAAAACCACAGCAATTAATGCCACTATAAAAAAAGAAAAAAAATTTAAACCATGGTTTAAAAAATAGACAAAGCTCATTTTGCTATCTTCAAGATGCCAAAAATAATACTTAATGTCGCATAAGAGCTATGTGATTTCAAAAGGTAATACTACAAATATAGGCCTCTAACTAATGGATGTAAAATCATAGACATACAGATTATTAAGAGGTGGAAAGAACCTCTATTCTGTCTTTCTTGTTATAGATGATGCAATCACTTGCCATTCCAAATTTTTAATTTAAAATTAACTGTTTGAAAAAGAAACTGGGAACTTTTTATTGATACTCTTCTGCTTTACCTATGTTTAAATATAAATTTCAAGTAAAATGTAACTGGGTAAATCAGTTTCTAAAAATTCCATAGAATAAATAATAAAGCATAATTATACCTCATTTTAAAATAATTTAGGCCGGGTGCAGTGGCTCACGCCTGTAATCCCAACACTTTGGGAGGCTAAGGCGGGTGGATCGCCTGAGGTGAGGAGTTCGAGACCAGCCTGGCCAACATGGTGAAACCCCGTCTGTACTAAAAATACAAAAATTAGCTGGGCGTGGTGGTGGGCACCTATAATCCTAGCTACTTGGGAGGCTGAGGCAGGAGAATCGCTTGAACCTTGGAGGCAGGGGTTGTAGTGAGCCAAGATAGTGTCATTGCACTCCAGCCGCGACAAGAACAAAACTCTGTCTCAAAAAAAAAAAAAAAAAAATTAATGTGACCACAGCTTGAGAAACAGAACAGTGTCGTTCTGGGTATGTCATTTCTGGAGAAGAGGATCAATTAAGGCAACTGCAACTACTGTAACTATATCAGACTTTTCATTAAACTCAGGCAAATTCATGGGTCTCCTTTTGTAAAGGGCACATAAATCAAGGGTGTTTATATAGAAGTTGAAGATGATTATGTAATTTTTAATGTAAATTATATAAATTTTAAGAAGCAAAGCATTTGTATTTTCTTAGCCAAAATGACACACTTGCTTTTACTGAGTAATTATTATGGGTCCATTTATTTTTTCAATTCTTTTTTGGGCATGCACCTAATAATAACGGTACGTTCATAGAGGATTATACAGACCAACACAGAAGAAACAGAATACAATTTGCTGTTCAAGTTGCAAAAGGAACCACAAACTCTTTCCTTAAACAACAAAAGTAACTTATAATAGTAAACATAAGAATGGGAAGGTTCACTGACCAAACTGAAAGGATTTGCTTTAGAGACAGGTGAAGAACGGTAGTATCAGAATATAGGTTTAATTGCCTTTGTTTTCTCATTAAATGAAATTAATTCTTGGCCCATTAATAAAAATACACTGCTACACAGCATGCAGAAGGCACTATGCTAAGAACTTAGGAAGATACAAAAGTGAATCCCCGCTCAAAAAAAAAAAAAAGACAAAAAAACAAAAAAAAAACACCCTCTCTAGACTAGAAGGGGAAATAAAAGATCAATTATCTGGGGAAAAAGTAAAGATAGAGTTTCTAGCTATTACATTTTAATCATGAACCAAACTAGTGTTATTTTAATTTTAATTTATTTTGAATGTCTACAGTCTAAAAGGCTTCATGCCAAGGTGAAAAATGATATTGTTTCTATGTGTAATGTGCTCATATGCTACAAAAAAAAGTTTGAAGAATGAATATATAGAAAAGATACTTTAAAGTGACCTTTCTGTGAAGAAAAACAAATACCACGCTTTACACAATCTACTGTCCCTCAAGCAGGAAGAATACTACATAAAAAGATTAAGTTGAAAATAAGTTGAATAATAATAAAGTTGAATAATGCATAAATATATAATAACTTGAATAATGCATACATAATAATGCATAAGTTGAATAATACATAAAATAAAGCAGCTGAAAAGAGATGCAAAATGATAGGCAAAGGATTAGCTGATGTTTCTACTGGTGGGAGGGAGGCAGGAGTTGCTGGTAGTTGAAGAGAAACAAGTAGAGGCCAGTGATGGCTTAAAATCAGACAGAACAATTTAAATTTGATTTAGAAAGTAATAATTTATAAATGAATTGATTTTAGAAGAAAAAACTTTCCAAAAATTTGACTTTTTTTTTCTGTTCTCACCGCCCTTTTCACTTGTACCTGGCTGAACCAAAAATTTTCTTCCTAGTCTCCTCCAGGCCTTCCTCTCCATGGCACTTTATAAAAACCAGCAGCTGGCATCGTATCCTTCAAACAGTATCTTTCTCATTGCAAGATCTACCACAGTATCACATTTTTAAATAGCTCTTTTTCTTTGTTATTCCATTTTGTTTAAACTTCAGTGAAGCTAATTTTCTTATGGCTTCCATTAGGAGCAGGAGAAATATGTTTTTAACTCTGTGCCATCCCTGATCTATGACATTCCCTTGAACTAGAAAATGAGGCATTTCCACTCTCCTTATTCCACGCATAGAACAATGTTTTATCCACTGAACAAACTTGTTTTCTCCTTAAGTAATCTCTCTTGGAAATCCCTGAGATCTAGATTTCATTAATGATCTTTTGTTTGTATCTTATATTGCTTGATGAATTTTTCATTGTTATTTACTTGTATCCACTGCGTATGCTTTTTTTAAAAAGGTGACTAATGGCTTACCTCCTAAGGAACATGCTTTTACCAAAAACACAAAAAGATGTAGAGGCTGGAAGAATATGCTACTTGGGAAGAGAATGAAAAAAAAAAGTAGAAATGAAAGAAAGAAGAGGTAAAGCAGGCACCGTGTCTAGGCAGCTTATTTTAGAATCTCTGGCATGTGAAAGAAACTGTATTATGAAGTGATGACTAGTAGTGCAGGATGAGAAAAATAACCATAGCCAGTATATCTTAAAATTCATGTTCCATGAATAAATATCACCAGATGAGAAGTAGCTGACTGTAAAGCAAAGAGAAAAGAAAATCAATCACTGAGATTCTAGTAAGTGTGAGGAACTATGGCTATGCATCAAGATGCCAAACAAAACCACGTGGTCCCTGTCTTGGTGATGCTCATGGTTTAGTAGAGAGGGCAGAAATTAAAGACAGAAATGCATTAAATAGTTGCAATCATAATAATACTGGATTGCAGAAAGAATTCTTCTTAATGACAGATTAGAGAGAATAATTTTTTTAAAAAGATTCACATTGATGGTGTTATTCTTCAATGTGTACACCCATGTTTACATTTATAACTGGAAAATTAGCTATGACTTTAGAAACTCATCGTGTAGTTGAATATGGAATAAAAGATCACCATGTAAGAAAAAAGTTCAAGTAGGCTACTGATAAAGTTGGTTCATTTATTCTTAAGCATCCCTTTAAATAAGTATTTTGCAAAATCAAATTATCACACGATTTTTCCTGACCATACTATATATATTTTTGGCACTGTAACATATATACATCCTAGGCCTTGATGTGTTATTTATTTCACGTCATCACTTCAAAGAGATAAGGACTTAAGCAAATAAAGAGTTAGATCAACTCATCTCCCAACAAGGTAATTTCATCTACAAAGGAAGAGAGTCGCTGTGAAACACAGCGTATGTACTCGACTCATCGGCAGCTTGCACAAATTGCGCTCCAGATGTATATCTGTTCAAGTCAGCCCAAGGCAACAATTTTGATCAATTCTAATGTGATAAAATGCTGCAGGGAAAGTGTGCAGAAACGTGTTTACGTCAGCCCTTAATTAAACTGTTGTTCACTTCCAAAGAACCTTAGGAAACACTAATGAGACATGAGTTTTGGCAATTTCTTCATCAAAGCAAAGACCCCTTCCTCAGTCTGTAGCAGCCTGTCATCCAAGTCGCTCCCGGGATAAATGTCACATGGCACTCCAATCAGTTAGCCACCTGTTAGTAGAACTTCATTGAAGTCAACTAGTGATCTAGGGCAAGCTCAAACAGCACCTTAACACCTGCCTGTCTGGGACACCTGCTCCTTTTTCACATATAGTAGAGCAATATGTTAGCTTTTCCAATATGCTCGAGTAGATTAAGGTTACAAATCAGACTACTAAAGCCTACATAGAAAACATACAATTTTCTTTTTTGAAAAATTCCTTTTCTTCCCTATAGTAACACAATTTTTAACAATTTCAAATTAATTATGTAAGAACACGCAAGAATTCTTGAATTTCTGGAAGCTATTATTTTCAGCAAACCATATCACTAAATTAAAATGTATTAACCATGCCAGTCCTATGATTTAGTCCTTTTTCTAGGATAGAATAGTCCTATTTCTATCTGGTTAACAAAGAAGTAAATTCCTTCAAAATGTTTTAAAAGTGTAATTATTTTACATATTCCTAAATTGTCTTCCTTATTTACATGCCATACTTGTAACTTGTAAACAAGTCTAAATGAACCCTATAGAGACAAGTCACCATTTGCTGGCTACTTTTATTCTCCAGTATTTAACGTTAAGGTTTGTTTTATTGCTAAGTGCTTATAAAGCTATAATCATTGTTAAAATATCTACATATTTTCTTTATTTTTCACATTATCAAGCTGCTAAACAATTTACAGGATTCCTCTTTTTCCTTTCTATCTTTTATTATTGTGTAAATTTCATTTATTTATTTAAATTTATTTAATTATTTTAGAGACAAGGTCTCACTCTGTTGCCCAGGCTGCAGTGGCACAATCATGGCTCACTGCAGCCTCAAACTCCTGGGTTCAAGCGATCCTCCCATCTCAGCCTCCCAAGTAGCTAGGACTATGGGCACACGATCACACCCAGCTAATTTGTAAATTTTTAGTAGGGACAAAGTCTGGCTATATTGCCCAGGCTGGTCTGGAACTCCTAGTCTCACGAGATCTCCTGCCTTGGCCTTTGAAAGTGTTGAGATTATAGGCTTGATTCATTGCATACGGTCTTCTTTTTTCCTTTCTTCCTTTTTTTCTTCATCTTCTTTTTTTGTTATTTTTTGGCAGAAGAAAACTCAAAGTGTAATGAAAACAGTTGCAAAACTTCTGTTAACTTTGACCCTCTGGTATGATACTGACCAGAGGAGTTTGATACAGACCAGAGAAGGAAAGAACATACATAAGCACACTTAGCTTAGAGACAGTCCAATGGCTGGGATTTGACAAGATTATATTATATTGACAAGTTTTATCAAGTTGATACACCCTCATAATTTTCAAAGTTCTTCATTTTTTGGACTTTTGAAAGTATTAGACTTTCATAGATTTTTTTTAAAAGAGTTTTCTAGATAAACAAAAACTCTGAATATTGAAAACCTCTTCAGAGACCAAATTCATTGCTGGGTGAAGGCAAAGGTGGTCAACACATCCATCACTCCATTGAAACTCTGTCAAGCAACACAGCACTGAAAGAGAAAAATGAGCTTTAGCTTAACTGGGATATTTCTGCTTTCCATTAAAATGTTGGGTGGAAGCTGGAAGACAACAGGAAAAAGAAAAGAACCATCTGTATAAGATAATAATGTTATTTAAAATAAATAAGGTAGTAAATGACAGGCTACCAAATCAAGTGTGTGGGATGAGTTTTGTAGCTGAAATCTGACATTTTTACTTCAGGCCACAAATCCAGAGTCAGTCCTGAGACAAGGAAACAGTTTGGGCTCTGTTCCCAGAGGACAAGGAGAAGGCAGAGAAGATGACTGCCAACTGAAAGCTAAAAAGACCACAATTTCTCTGCCTCTGTTTTTGCCCTGGGATAAACAGTGTTGAAGAGAGGAAAGTGTCCAGGTTATTTATAAGTGTATGAGTGTTATGTAGAATAAGACAACTATTAAGGCCAGATTGGGGCAGCATCTAGCCTGCCAGATACTTAAGATCCCAGTCCAAAGCTTTGAGGTATTTATTTCTAAGGATCTCCATGTAGAGAATGACAGCAATCCTTACTTTAACAGGTTTTACCTAATAAATAAAGGACTGATGATGGGTGAGGGTGTGTGTCCTGAAGGAGGAAGAAAGGAGAGAGAGACCAAGCAGGCTCTGCCTTTACTTGAAAGCTTTGTACAATCCTTTGTACAATACCCTCTCAATTTCTCCATTTTCTTCACAAATGGAGCTATCCTGGCTCATGGGGAGAAGACACATGGTGTGTTCCTTGATGGTTTAAATAAAATTCAAATGATAAAAAAGAGGTGCATGGGTAAAGTCACAGGGCCATAAAGAATGTTCTATAAATTTCTGTCAGAGGACATGCTTTGAAATTGCTTATAGAGCCATGTGCTACATTGAAATTATTACGGCTTATAACAATGGAGTTAAGCCACTCAGGCACTGCTCTAGGGAATGTAAATTGATAAGATCTATGCCAATATTTACCAAAAGCCTTAGAAATGGACATAAGATTTAACTTAGTAATTCTACAGTAGGAATGTATTTATTCCCGTAGCAAAATTTCACTGAACTTCTACTTGGTGACTTCATGCCAGGCAGTATGCTAGGGACTTGGGACAGTGAAAAGAACTAGACAAGAATCACCCAATCAGATTAGGCACAGAGTTACATGCAGTGATGTTCACTGTATCTCTCTTTATAATACAAAAACTCCAAAACTATCTAAATATTCATCAGCAAAGTAGATATTTAAAATTCTATGGTGTAGCCAAAGTGTGGCATATTATGTACTCATTACAAAGTGGAAGGCTGGATGGGGTGGCTCATGCCTGTAATCCCAGCACTTTGGGAGGCCGAGGCGGGTGGATCAAGTCACCTGAGGTCAGGAGTTCGAGACCAGCCTGGCCAACATGGCGAATCCCCATCTCTACTAAAACTACAAAAATTAGCTGGCCATGGTGGCGTGCATCTGTAATACCAGCTACTGGGGAGGTTAGGGCAGGAAGAGTTGCTTGAACCAGGGAGGTGGAGGTGGCAGTGAGCCAAGATCACGCCACTGCTCTCCAGCCTGGGTGACAGGGCGAGACTCTGTCTCAAAAAAAAAAAAAAAAAAAAAAAGGAAATTGAAGGATATGGTAAAATGCCATTAGATTATAAAGACAAAAAAACTTACAAAATAGCATATATCATATAAGCTCAATTTACTGCAAAAATACATTCATAGAAATAGAACGCACCGAAATGCAGAAAAATACATAGAAAAACAGGCTAGCATATATACAATGAAATACTAACAGAAGTTATCTTTATGTGATGAGATTACAGGTGATTTTTATTTTCTTCTTCATATTTGAAAGTTTGTTTTTTCAAATTCCCCACAAATAACTATTACTTTTACTGTAAAAACTGTAAAATAGATATTTTTGGGAAAATTGTTGCCTGTAGCTCCACAGAATACTATAAATAATTCCCAAAGCTGGGCTGACAATATTGAATCCTGTTAGGTGTCCCACATTACACTGCAAGAAGGAAAGCTTCATATTAGTTTAGGTACTGGATATTGCAAAACTGTAAAATGAAATGCTTCAATGTAACATTTGCAATTTAGTTGGCTACAGGCAAAACAATGTCTTTTGAAAATACAGTGAAGAAAAAAGAATATCTAAATATCTGTGTCTAAGGACTCCTCTAGATGTAAAATTTTATGATTGTGTGGCAAATGTGAACAAGTCCTTCCCACACACTCCAAGTTAACAAAAAGCTCTGAATGTTATGACAAGACATATGGATGTAATCCCACTACAGTAGTTTGATGATGATGCCAGATGATTCAAAAAATAATTAGCTGCCATGTTAAGAAAGTATCTCCTTATATATATATATTTACATTTATCACACTCTAAAATAACACTGGAAAAAATGGCAAGCTACGTTAAGAGGAGATAAGATGTCATCTTCAATTAGATTTCTCAACCATTTTTTTTAAATTTATGAAATCAGTTCCTTTTCAAATGAGAAAGTATGGTGGTCTTTGTGTTAAATAAATGAAATTCTTACTTTAATTACTGAGTTATTTAATCTTAATTACACTTGAGCATATTATTGTATTCCTCAGTAAAGTAAAATCTTTTCTAATAGTTTAAGTCTCTCTTGCCATATATTTTAGCCCAAGCACGGTTAAGTAGCATGTTCCTACAAGTCTCAATTTTATCACTTCGCTATAAAAAAGGTCTCGAGGCTACACCTACACCCAATACCAAGTTAAAGCAAACCTCTTTGAAGCTCACAAATGTCTTCCAGAGACACTTAAAAAAATCCTTTGAATAATGAAGAACAGTGCTAAAACAGTGAATATGGAATAAATGAAAACTACTTTTTAAAAACACTTCAAAATGCTTTTGTCCACTAAGCAATTTCATTTTAACAGACAGACAATGATAAAGGGTCTTGAGTAATGTGTGTAAACCTAATTTGAAAGAGAGAAAAAACATCAAACAATTATGCAGGACTTGGAGCATATTTTCGTCACTTATTAAACACTGGCATAGGTAAATAGCTGCTATTCACCATGCCTCTCGGGAAAACCTCTTGGCTATGGAGTCTTATTAATGTTAAGCATCTGAGAGCCATGGGCTATAAAATAAAATCAATACCATAACCTTAACTGTAAAAGTCAGAAAGATACTGGAAGGGCTCTAATTTAACAAGATTACAGATGAGTTTTCAGAGGAGAACATTTGGGGAAAAGCCATACATTTAAAAACATTTATGCTACAAGACATCTCAAGGTTTTTGTTGTTACTAATGCTGTTATTATCCACGCTGGTAATGGTTAGAGTTGATTTAACTGATGTGTTACTTTAGTGGATTTACAGGAAAGTCCTATAAATGATCTGGAACTTACTTCAAATAAAATCATTACACTGAGGTAGTAAACTAATTGCTTGAGAACAATTATGATTTGATGTGATTTAGTGTGGTAGAAAAAGAATTACAAAAATTTTAAGGTCATCAGTTCAGCAGCTCAATGCAAATATGATTACTCTGCACAATATTCTGTTGCTCTTAATGGAAAAGTAGTCAAAATTGGTATAAATTGTAGTGTTTAAGTTCAACCTAAATCTATATTTTTTTTCTCCAACAAATGTAAATGAAGAAAAAAAGAACATTCTGTCAATGAAATTACTATGATGGCATATTTATTATCCTAATGGTTTTAGAAATCATGTGAAATTCATCAGTAACAAAACCTCTATTTAGTAATGGACCAATTACATTTGTGAGATAATGTCAATGAAACCGAATATTGTCACAGGATAATGGTCTCCCATTGCTACATCCCTAGTCATTTAGAGAAAATAAATGTTGCTGTCTGGCTGAGTCATTTGTTTTCAAAGTAGGAGACACTGATTCCATAACAAGGTTCTGTTATAATAACTCAATCTCTATCAATCATTTGTTGCACCAGAATGGTGCAGGACAGGACATGCATTTGTGAGAACTGCGCATTCCTCAGGTATAAAGCAAAATATACGGGGCCTCCAAGCACATAAGCAGCCCAATTATTGTTATTCAATGAGAGTGTTTAAAATGAACATTCAAAAAATAATTTAAGAAACAGAAAACTTTCTGAATTTTCCAAAAGATCCATGTTAATGACGGCTTTGGAAAGACTCAAGTACTGAAGATCTTCAAATTCTTGGACTCCAATAGATTCAAAATCTAAAATATTAGAACACAAATCTTAGTATACAACTTTGTTATTTTACAGATGGGAAAACTCAAGAGTTACTGAAGTTAAGTGATTTGTCTAAGACCACACCAGTATTTAGAGTTTCCTAATCACAATTACAGTGCACTAGGCTTAAGGCAAAAAGACTAGAACAGAACTAAAAGAAAACATATGTATGATAATAAATATATACTTTATTTTTATATTTTGACAAATATAGCTCATTTTAAACTGGCCATATATCACACACTTCTACTAAAGACATTCTAGAACTTAGGATTATTTATTACTATCTTATTAAATGGAAAAGTGATTTTAACCTGATTTCAGAGCAAGGACTACATGCATGAATCTCTAAGGAGTCTACGAACCCCTGTGAAGTTATGTGCATTCATCTGTATTGAAGTTTCATGCATTAAAAAAAATTGTAACAGAGGTTTTATAATTAGTTTGCAAAATCATAAACATAATATCTCAATGACTTATTTGGGATACAGTATTATATAGCAATAACGAGCATGGGTTTCTTCAGCAAGAGAGCCAGGGGTTCCCATTCTACCTCTGCTACTTATGATCTGCATGATCTATGATGAGTTTCTTAAGCATGATCAGTTTAGTAAGCTGTAAAATGGGGTTTCTGTCAGGTTTAAAAGAAAAATAGATATAAACTTAGCCAAGCACCTGACAGAAAGGAAGGGCTCAATAAATAAATGACAACCACAAATGGCAATAGAATCTTGTTTTCCATGTTTCATTTACATGTGCTTGTTGAAGACAATTTTTAAATTTACATGCTTTCTTCAATAAATAAATAACACAGAAAAAGGAGGCGAATAATCAGTGTAGGCTAAAAAGAAGGTGAAAATACAAATATAATCTATGGACTAAATTTGAGTCCTGATTCAAACAAGACAACCTTTGAGATATTCTAGGGAATTTGAACATGGATTATATGTTAGATTATATTAAGAAATTAATGTTATATTTGTTAAATTGATAATAGTACTGTGATTATGTAAAAAAAAAAAGTTCATTGTTCGAAATATTCAGATCTATTTACATGCAAAATGACAGATATCTGGGATTTGCTTTAAAATACTTTTAAAAACTGGGAGATAGTAAATGCAATAAGACTGGCAAAGTGTTAATAACAGTTGAAGCTGTGTGACAGTACAGTGAGGTTCACTTTACAATTCTACTTTCAATATTCTCCAGGCCAAAAGACTTCTTAAAATTGTGCTTAAACATTCATTTCAAACAAACTCTTCCCCACATTTATTCTTCAAAAGCATTCATATCTTCAGTTTATTTTAGTTGAAAAAATTTTAATCCTGGCACTAATAATAATAGTTGATTTATGTGTGTGTGTGTGTGTGTATGTATATGTAAAATTTTACCATCTCAAAATTTTGTTTTGAGAATTCTTTCAGAACCCTGAAAACTCACAAATACACCTCTATTTTCTCATTCTAGTTCTGTTAGGTCTAACAGAGTCTTCCTTAAGCTTTCCAAGAAAAGTGTCCCTCTGGGAAGACTTGCGAAGCAGTGTTTAAATCTCCTAGGCCATTTGTAAGTTTACATACTGATTCCCTAGGCAGGCTGCAGGATAACAGAAAATGAAAAAAATCCCTTGAACAAAGATCTAGGCTCTGCCATTCATTAGTTGGGACAGGACAGCCTCTCTGATCCTTGGACTACTTAGCTGTGAAACAGGAGCTTGAATTATGTCTTACTAAGGGTTCTAATAATTTGTGATCTGTACCTGAAAAATCAATTTCTTATTGTATATGATATTGGGAGTCTAATAACTCAAATGACACTGGCTTTCCAAACTACTTCACAATAAGCTTAAACATGAACTCAATATGTAAAAAGATTTGAAATAAAACCTTTTCTTATGCAGAGAAACTTTGTATGGCACACTATGACATTATCTCCCATGGGTTTCCCACTTCCCTATTTTAAGCTGTGTTCCATCAAGCTAGAAACCCAGTATTAAATAGAAAGTTGTTATTTTTTCAAACTAATTATCTATTGTGGTTTTTCTGCAAAATGCTGTATTTTCAAATCTTTAAGCCTCCAGAGCACAGAAATATGAGCACGACTTTTCCATATTAATCAGTACCAGCCCTTCTAACATGTATACAAGTTTACCCCATCCAAAATGCTATTCTTGATTAGAACACATGAAGGGGGAACAAACATTCACTAATTAGGAGGCAATGTGGGGAATTCTGATGAAAGCCTTCACCAACAATTTATTGTTTTCCTTTCCATTTTGAAGAAGATCGTGTTGTGATTTTTCAATTACAGCAGTGTAGCAGTGTAGTTGAAGAGGCATTCCTCTTCAGGGTGGAAGCATCCTTGAAGTTTGCTTTCCAATGCCAGGGTAGTACCTAGAAATTCACTTAGAGTTCTTTACTTTTGATATTTTCCATAATAAGAAGCTAAACAAAGAAACTTAAAAATTGGGCTTGAACATCAAATTCAAACCATCTCTTCTTCACATTCATCCACCAAAAGCATTTGTAGCTCTCTTTTTTTCTGGTTCAAAACTTTGGTATTTGAATATTTGCCATTTCATCCCTGTGATACTAACTGCAGGAATATAAGGAATTGTTGGTGTTCTATTTGGTCCCCAAAGAGAACTTTAAAACTTCTTCCAGTATGGTTACTAAGCTGTCTGCACTGCCATTTTCTAGGACTTCATTTAATGTTAATGACTCCCAGATAGCAGTTATTCAACCATCTATGACAGCTGCTTATTCACTCAGCTCCCACAGCTCTAGAGAAATCTTGAGATTATATCATTTGTCAGACTGTGGTTTGGACTAGAGCACTGTGTTCCAAAGTTTGGGCCTAGGATTAATGCTCCCTATGGATTCTTTGATAGAAATAAAAGGTTCTGAAGTCACAAACTTAATAAACATGTTCAGTCAAGAGCCACTCCTGGATATTCACAGCACACAGTAGCATATTAAATATTCTGCATATTCATTTATGAATGAAAATAGTTGAAATTTTTGTTACAAAAAAACTTTGCAAATTTAGCTGACCACTCTTTTGTATGTAGCATATCTTTTCACATTCCTAAACTCACATTAGGAAATGCTGGGGAGCCTGGTGTGGTGCCTCACACCTGCAATCCCATCACTTTGGGAGGCCCAGGTAGGAGGATCAGTTGAGCCCAGGAGTTCCAGAACAGCATGGGTAACATAGTGAGACCCCAGCTCTACACAAAATTTAAAAATTAGCTGGGCATGGTGGCAAGTGCCTGTAGTCCCAGCTACCTGTGAAGCTGAGGTGGGAGGATCACTTGAACCTGGGGGGGTCAGGGCTACAGTGAGCCATGATCGTGCCGCTGCACTCCATCCTGGGCAACAGACAGAGAAAAAACAGAAATGCTGGCCTCTGATTCTGGTTCTGTCAGCATGCTATCACACTCTTATTTACTGTTACTTATTTCCTGATTGAGCACATAATACTAAACTGGCATTTTTACTCTCTAGCCCCCAGTGTTCCCTTGGGCCCTCTGGCTTAATGCGTTTGACATTTAATACTATATCCTTATAGAACTCTAGAAAGTGCAAACTGAAATTTAGCACAACAGTTAAGACTACCTTACTAATGAGAATATTTTCAAAATTATCAAAAATAAATCTCTAGGACTTGGAAACAAATTAAAATTTCAGAAAGACTTAACTGAGAAGACATTTATATAACAGAACTGGAGACTTGTATAAAAATTAGTAGTTTTATTTTTTAGTACCTAAGACACCAGAACACAATGCCTAAATATAGCTTGAGAGTCCAGTTTAATTTTTCAAACTACTCTCCAAATTGTAATAACATGCCAATATACCAAGTAGTGCTAGTTTTTGCTAACATGCCAATTTATTGATTTTATGTAAAGATTTACGGCTCATCGTCCTTAAAACTAAGCTAGCTCTAAAGCATGGAGTCGGTTCTCTCATAATCTTATTTATTTTAGTCCCCGATTTTTCTAAATAGTAAAAGTTACTTTTCCATTCAGGAGGTCAAGGGCTGGAAACTTAATTTATTCATATTTGTGTACCCAATGCCTATAAAAATTCCTCCAATATAATATAGACATTTGACAAATTGTTCATTGAACCAAATTATCTCAAATCCCATACATGTAGAAATTAATAACATTTTACTGCATAAAGTCTTTTTGAATTTATATTTTATCTAAGATTACAGGTTGTTTAAATACTCATCTGGCTGAAAAGCTGTTCAAATTTCCATTTAGAAATCCCCAGCTGAGGGCAACCCGCTGGGGTCCCCCTTCCACACTGTGGAAGCTTTGTTCTTTCACTCTTTGCAATAAATCTTGCTGCTGCTCACAAAAAAAAAAAAAAAAAAAAAAAACAACGAAATCCCCAGCTGCATACTGCAAATATATTTAACATATCATATTTTTTCTCATTAAATGTCTATTAAATGTTTTAGAAATTTTACATTCAGACTTAGATAAATTAGTGACTATTAGAATGGCAGTGGCAAAGTGACCTTATAAAGAATTGTTTTCAATGTTCAAGCATACTATTTATTTGTCTGTTAAATTACTGAGTGATATGGTTTAGCTGTGTCCCCACCCAAATCTCATCTTGAATTGTAACTCCCACAATTCCCACGTGACATGGGAGGAACCTGGTGGGAGGAGACTGAGTTATGGGGGCAGATCTTTCCTGTGTTGTTCTCGTGATAGTGAATGAGTCTCACAAGATCTGAGGGTTTTAAAAACAGGAGTTCCCTGCACAAGCTCTCTCTTTGCCTGCCACCATCCATATAAGACGTGACTTGCTCCTCCTTCCACCATGACTGTGAAGCCTACCCAGCCAATAAACCTCTTCCTTTTGTAAATTGCCCAGTCTCAAGTAGGTCTTTATCAGCAGCATGAAAATGGACTAACACACTGAGCAACGGAATACAACTGGATTTAGTCTCATGAGAGTAACTTGAATTAGACGAAAAACTATGACCTCTTATTTTTCCTCTTATATCAAAAGTTACAAAAGATTGCTCTAAAGAAAAATTTCAAAAAAAGTACATCAACTAGAAATTGAGTCTCTGAATTGACTCAGATGGAAAAAAAAATAAGAAAGACAAGATCTTAATGGAATTTTTTATGGAGGAAGTATTGGAATAAAAGAAATGTTCAACTTGCCTGTTGACAGTCTAATCTGGTTCTATTCATTAATCATTAAAATCTTAAATGAAGAAAAGCAATATCCAAAAAAGAAAGTTTTTAATAGAGAGAGAAGCAGTCAGGAGTTTAAGACCAGGATTTACAGAAGAGACTAAGCAAGGAGAAATATTCTGAAACATAGGAAAGAAATATAACAGTTGTTGGATACCCCTTTGCTAGTGACTCAGTATTATTTTCCTTTTCATTTTGTTCTGTATATATAAAATAATACAAAGTAAAAATATAAATACTACATAATATAGATGCTGACAAATTTAATTTTCATCACTATTCATCAGAAGAAGCAAATTATATAGCCCCCTACCAAATGCTTAACACTATTAAATTATGGTTAGTTTTAAAATATTCATGTCTATATTTGCAGAAGTATAAATTACAATTCTCTTATAATCAGGAAGTTGTAACTTTTTGTTTTGAAAAGAAATTACATAAGGACATAATTAATTTATTATTGTAATATGCTAAAAATACTTTTTCATTAAGTTACTAAAATTGCATGAACATATTATTACATAAACCTAGATTTTGTGTTAATATTTTGCCTGATTTATTTTAAGAACAGAATACATATAATAATTTGGTCATATTATATCCTTTATTTTTGCCTACTCAGAATAAATCTCAATGGTTTAGGTTGGTATTTCAGATTGAAAGGGAAAGCAGAATGCCACATATTGTCCATAATTTTGTTATCTTTGATTCTCATATTTAATAAATCAATTTTGCTAAGGGCTATGTCAAGAACAGATTTTAATGCAAATTTAACACTAACAGAATAAGGCATACCCAGGAAATAATTAATAGTAAATTTTAAGGATTTCTGCCCATTTTAAACACAAGCATATTTTAATTAACCAATAAATAGTTATTGAGTATCAATTAGTGCAGGGCTTTGTAGGAGAAAATATTATAAATACAAGACATGTCAAAGCTATTTCAATGACTGGAGTGGCACTCAATATGTGCTTTAGACAACTCCCTCCATCACAGGGAAGTGTGTCTAAAGAACATTAGAAGATGGACAAGAACAACCATTGGGCATTTTATTTTGCAAATTTTTAAAAAGCAATTTTCTAAGAACAAAAGGACTGCATTGGGCTTAGCAAATTTATAAAGATAGTACTGTACTGCCCGCATTTCTTCATTGTAGTTGAGTCTTCTTCCCACAATGGCTTATTGTGCACATTACGAAGTCTTCAGGGTCTTCAGAATTAAAGTGACAGAGTGTGTGTGTGTGTGTGTGTGTGTGTGTGTGTGTGTGTGTGTTTAAAATGCACATTTGAGAATGGAATATTCTTCCTTCCTCTAAACATAATATGCCTTTACAGACTCCTCCAATAAGTCTAGTCATCTTGACAAAAGAAAATCACCAAGACAATACAATGTTTTCACAAAGAAAAAGAATGACAGTTTCCCTTCTACTTTTCAAAAATGTTTCATAATATGATTTGAGATTGGCTTTATTCAGTAGGCTTAAAGAGGAATCAATTCTTACAAAGTGACACTCTCTATAATAAAGAACACCTACACTTCTGAATAACGCATCCATTCCCACACATTCACAAGGTTATTACCATTAAAATCTTCTCCAGAAGAATTTTCTGACAAGGAAAGTATGGCTTTGTTTAGAATAAGCTGACAATGTCAGTAAAACAAGCAATAAAATATAAAGGGTTGAGGGTTTTGTTTTTCGTTTCACTTCTGCAACTCTGGTAAAAGTCTCTATTATATCTTGCCTTCACTAATGAGACTGGTGTTCTGCCTATCAATGGTTCATTTATACAACTACTTATTGTACTCCTACTACGCACCAAGTGTGTGTTAAGTGCTGGTTACAGTAATAGTCAAAATAGACAAGGTCCCTTCTCTCACAGTGTAGACAGATTTAGACAACTAATCCCATAAATAGCTATATGATTACATATTATGAGTACAATGAAAGAACAGTACTGGGTGTTGACAGAGAAAACTAGGAAGACAGAATTTAGACTGAAATTTCTCAGTTTAAGCTGGGCTCTGAAGGATGGCAAAGAGTTTGCCAGATGAAGAGTTAGCAGAGCATTCCAGAGGTCATAACTTATAGGAAGGTCCCGGTTGTTGAATTCGCAACTTCAAGTAAAGCAGTGGGCTCAAGTGCAAGCAAGAGGAAGCAGAATGTCACCTGCCAAGGCTATGGCCTGTTGGTGATATGAAAAGATTCCCATTTTTTCCTGAGAGCAGTGGGAATTGACTAAAGGATCTGAAGTAGGGGAATAAAATGCTGTTATTTACATTTTATAAAGATGATTTTTACCTACTGCCTGAAAAATAGATTTGGTGGGGTCTCTCATGAGGGGAGTCTCAGAGACAAAATTCCGTCTGAGGGGGGGGTCTCACAGTCAAAACTCTCCAGTTGAGTTTCATATCCTTGCATAAAATGACCCTTGCCATCTCTATTATTTCCCTCCATGTGCACTGTGTCCAGCCACATGGCACACACAGCCATTCTCAAATTTGCCTCCCCACCTAACACAGGGTTATGCTTTTGTCTCAGTTCCCACCACCACCCTCTTCAGCCCCTCACTTCTTTACTAGTTAAAATCTCAAGGAGATTTAGATGAGATTTAGGAATCGAGCTTTGAGTCAGTTGTGCTAAAGGAGGTACACTTGACTCAAAGGCCAATGTCTCCATGAAGATTTTTCACTATTCTTTAAACTCCATGGCACTCGGTATAAAAAATTTGAGCAGCAAAGAAGGAGCACTGAATAAAGAACTGACTTTGGCCTTAACTGTTAAGGCCCAGAGTTATGTGTCTCCTAAGAGTACTCAACATAGAGTACCCCAACCCTCACCAATACACACCCAAGTCCTGGGCTGAAAACCATTATTCCTTTCTTTTAGACTTTTTTTTTTTTTTTTTTGAGACAGGGTCTCACTCTGTTACCCAGGCTAGAGTACAGTGGTGTGATCACAGCTTACTCCATCCTCTGCTTCCCAGGCTCAACTGATCCTCCCACCTCAGCCTCCTGAGTAGCTGAGACTACAGGCGCACACCACTATGCTTGGCTTACGTTTTATTTTTTTTTTGTAGAGATGGGGTCTTGCCACATTGCCCAGGCTAGATTTTTTTTAATGCAGAATTCTATTTAAAAGACAATTTAAAAATACATGTTTATGCTGCTGACATTAAGATCTTATTTGCAGACATGCTTACATACCAACAAAAACTTCAGTTAGCTAATTTTTCTATTTCCATGCTTAATAATCTCCCTCTGATTGTGGGGGAAAGCATGGATATATCTAATGAAATATAGTAAATCCAACAGACTTTAAGAAGAGCTAAGTCTCAATCCTTCCGGGTCTCAATACCCATTTCTTAAAGTTATATTTCTCCTCAAAGCTGCCCTAGAACTGGGTCACAGTTTTATCTAGAAAGCATAGCTAGATTGACTCCAACACAAAGTATCTTACATTACACTTTTCTTTATTGTATATGGTCTACCTACTTCCAAAAGGAATTGCAGGTTCCTTTAAATGACAACTTTCAGTTCCTGGCACTTGCAAACTGCTTAAAGTTTGGCTCCCTGCAACGCTCCATAGAGAGGAGCAGGCGGATCTAATTGAATCACAGTTTGTGGTTCTGCTGTACTCCAACCAACAAATGTAGACAGACCATAATCAGTCACATACATAATTGTGGGTTCTAAAATATCATTTTGTCTAAAAAAAACTCCAACGAAACATGTAAAAATAAGATTTTGGATAAATTAACTTTGACGACATTTGACTAACATTATCTCAAAAATAATTCTACAGGAATCATTTTATGAAAAAAATATACAATCCATATTGGTTTAATTATGAAATTTTGACTCAACGAAACTTAAGAAACGAGCCAACATTTTACTCATGGTCTCTAGAGGCATCTCCTTATTACTCACCTTGATCTCTTTCGTGCCATGTTCGACTTCCAGCAGCTGGTGAACTTGGAGAGGGGTAAAAGTCTCCTGTAGGACTTGGTTCCATATTTTCATCTATGGATATAGTTTTGGGTCTTTTGCTGTTAAAATATGGCAATAGTTATATTAATGGGATTTCTGGGAAGATGTGTACATTTTAAAGTAAATGATCTGAGAAGATCCTTACTGTGAAAATTTTCATAAGCACAAGTAATAATGGTGAGTATAATGGTGAGTATTGAAGATATCAATAGTAATAGCAAATATTTCTAGTTGCATATACCATTTATTAGACCATCTTATACCTAACCTGTCTAACAAATATGGTGTTCATTATATTTATCTTTCAAATGTATTTCCAAAAAAAATTCCACTAATAAAAAGTGAACTCTTAATGTTGTTTGCCTTCTAACATTAAAATTGTGTTATTGTGTACCTGACTCATTATTATTATCAATACTAACAATGTTCCTTTTAATAGCACTTGTCATTGACAATGCAATCCAAAGATAAGGTAATAAAGTAAAACAAGAGCTTTGGGGTCAAGACAGTCCTAGTATAAAATCTTGAGTAGGCCACTTATGAATTGCTAATAGTAAGCTCCTTAACTTATCTAAACTCAGTTTAATCATCTGTAAATTGGAAACAATAAAACCTAGTTCAAAGGCAGACGGTTGGAAGAGTAAAATGAGTTGTTAAATGTAAAGCTTTTAGTTAAGTGGCTGGCATTTAGAAGATACTTATCAAATAGTAATTCTTAGTAATAACCCTATCATTAATAATAAAAAATTATAGTATTTTACTGATTATAAACTATTTCATATATTATTCTTTACTTTTTCTTAAAACTTAGATTATTGATTCTTTATTCTTAAAATCGACTGTGAAAAAAAGAAGGCCACTGCCAAATTCAAACTTTTAAAATGATACTTTTTTTTTTTTTTTTTTTTTGAGACTGGGTCTCACTCTTTCACCTACGATGTAGTACACTGTGGCTCAATCTTGGCTCACAGCAAACTCCACCTCCCAGGCTCAAACAATCCTCCCACCTCAGCCTCCCAAGTAGCTTGAACTATAGGTGCCTGTCACCACACCCAGCTGATTTTAGTATTTTTTGTAGAGATGGGGTTTTGCTATTTTGCCCTGGCTGGTGTTGAATTCCTGGACTCAAGCGATCCTCCCACTTCAGCCTCCCAAAGTGCTGGGATTACAGGCAGGAGCCACTGTGCTCAGCCAAAATGATACATTTTAATATGGAAATATGACTCATCTCAATGAATAAGAAAGGTGACTATCCAGAACAAAGATTAAGAAGCTATTTTATACCCATAGTGGTTGATATACTTCTTTCATATGCCCCCACCAATAAAGCAGACAATTATGAAATTATGACTATAAAAGTGAATTCTTTTCTTTTTTTGTTTGTTTGTTTTTGAGACAGGGTCTCACTCTGTTGTCCAGGCTGGAGTGCAGTTGCATGACCACAGCTCACTGCAGCCTCAAGCTCCTGGGCTCAAGTGATCCTCCTACCACAGCCGCCCAAATAGTTAGGATCACACACACATGCCACCAAGCCTTGCTAATTAAAAAAATTTTTTGTAGAGAGGGAGTTGTCCAGGCTGGTCTTGAACTCCTAGGTTCAAGTGATCCTCCTGCCTGGGCCTCCCAAAGTACTGGGAATCCAGCTGTGAGTCACTGTGCCCAGTGAATATTTTTTCTTTAATTAAAAAAAAAATCTTATTCACACCTATGCTGGTAAAACCTTTTTAAAAATCTTCAAAATTCACTTTTCGCAGCAATAATAACCATAATGTTATAGGATTTCAGCATTGAAATTGACCTCAAAAATCATATACATAAACCAATCCCCTTGTTTTTACAAATGGGGAGACACATTTGGAGAGATTCAGTGGACTGTCCAGGGCAAGTTAATGGAAGCAGTCAGACATAAGGTAAGGACGTCTGACTTCCGCAAGTGTGCTCTTTCCACTGCACTGTGTTTCCAAGCCCTTGAATCATGTATATGCCTGAGTACATTTGTAGATACTCATGATTAATATTTGACTCACAATTCTCAGAGTATTAACGATGTAGAAGATGGCAATTTCTATCCATGCTAAGCTTAGTTTCTTCCCAAAGAATCCAAAGTTAGACCTTACATTTTAACTCTCTTTTAAACATATTCTCTCATCTATGAGTCAGCAGAAAATCTGCCTGAAAAACTTAAAATTGGGGACAAATTACATGCATAAGGAAGTACTAGAGAAATGTTTTTTAAACCTTGCTTACTCTGAAAGACAGTATCTTATATAAAGTAGTCAGGAAGAAAGATCTGTGTTGACAACAGTGATTTAGCAGACAGAATTTAAAAATTACTGCTCACATTTTAAATTTAGAAAAATCAAAGCATTTCTAAGACTTTGATATGTCAGAGACTATTTTAATAATAAACCAAATTATCTTGCTACACAATTTAACTATATGAAAATGGTTTAACCGGAACTGATATAAAATTGATCTTAGTTTATAAACATACACATGCCCAGTCCATAATTAATTCAAATTCAACGAACTTTCACTACTGAGAATACTTTAGAAAAATAAATATACAGGTATCCTTTTATTTTTAAAAAGTTGACATTGTAAAATGAGTGTTTTGCTCTAGAATTCATGTATGCTCTTATATTTGATTACACATATATTTAATGCTCTAGGAATGAGATGGGTCTTGAAGATCTAGCTCAAATAAAAAAAAATTAACACATCTGTAATCTTTATTCACCCTGACTGGCAATTACAATGAGAAGATCAGGAAAAAAAAAATGAGAATGTTAACAGAGAAGTAAAAAGCAAAGAGAACTCTCTCTAGCTGACCCCCAACATAGAATGGTTAAACCAAATCTCAGGGAAGGTAGTATTTTCATTGGTAACAGAGCGTTAATTAAATTAGTCAAAAAACATCAACTAATTGAAGAACTTGGCAAACTGTGGTCTTTAATTTTAAGGCTAGGTAAATGACACATTTTATTTTTTATGTTTCATTATCCTAAGCTTAGATGTAATATTTGGGTAAAAGTTACCAGGAATCAGTTATAAACCAGAGATCATTGCCACAGCAACATCATTTTTAAAGCCATCAAAAGATTTTGTTAACTTGTAGCATTTTAATATTTCCTACAACAGGACAAAAGTCATATTAATATATTTTCCTAGTTACCTGTCCCCCTGAAAAAGATTTTTAAAACTGCTGTGTACAACAATTACATTTAATTTGTAACAGCCAAATAAATTTAACCAGGAAAGATTAAAAATCTGTGTACTACCAGCAAAAATTATTTCCCATCTCTCTTTACCTACCTACCTATCTATCTGCCTATCATCCACCTACGAACCTATGTGTGTATCACTTGAGAATATGAGCAGCCCTTCTTTCAGTACCTGCTTGGTGGAGAAGACAGAGACCTCTGAAGATTGACCCCCGAGTTCATGTCATGATAGTATGGTTGGCTTGGGATTTCTCCAATTGGGAAGTTGACTCCAGTTCCCTGGGTTATGGGCGCTGAGGAATAAGACAAAGAAGCACTGGGAATGACATTCGTATTTCTGACCTCTATTCAAATGTAATAATCGAGAATCTTTCATGCCTCTGGTCAAAGATAGAGAGAACTTTCTTCACCTTAAGCCTCTAATACCCACCATACAACCTGGGTAGGACCTGAAAACTTGCTCACCTTAGCAACGTTCAAGCTTGGAAATTTGAGGCAATCAGATTATAATCACTGGTTACCAATTTCCCGAATCCTATTCCTCAACCTTCTTTACTCACTCCTTTATATTAGTTGACATTACATCTGTCACTCTGCTAGTTAAAAATGCCTTGGAGGAAACAGAATATACGAGTCCTATCACTCAGCAACACCAAACAAGCTGCTTTGCACTACCTAGGCTCTCGAAAACCAAATCATTGTTAAATAAATAAACAGAGAACCGTTTCACAAAAAAAAGCAAAAATCATTATTCACAGCCTCCCAGTTAGGATATGATAATAATTATTAATATCATGACTTCTAATCCACTCAAATATTAATGTTGATATTAATGTTGATAATATAGAATAATAATTTTTGGTTTGTAACACAAAGGATAAATGCTTCAGGTGATGGATACCCCATTTACCCTGATGTGATTATTATGCATTGTATGTCTTTATCAAAATATCTCATGATATTTTGTATAATTACATCTGTTCACATTTTTTAAATTTAATTTTAGATATCATGAACAAAGCTGTGAGGCAGCATATTGTGTTAGAATCAGCAGAGTCTTGAGAGATAAATAGCCTTTTAGTTTAAACTCCCTCTGTATTATAAGTTATGTGCCCTAGTTTCCTAACTGTAAAATGGGAGTAATAATAACCGGACACATAGGATTATTTTGAGGATGAAATGAAATAGGTAGTGATAAGAGCCTAGAATCATGCCTAGTGTATAACACGTGCTCAACCATTGTGAGTTCCCTTCCTTCTTTGCTTTCTCCTCCAAACTTCTTCCCTGGTAGACTGGAATGGTTAGCAAAGATGAACAGTTCAAAAACGTGTTAAAAGCAGAGGAAGAGGTATAAATGAACCTGTTCGCTGAAAATTTGTTCATTCAACAAATTACTGACTGTGTCCACTGCTGGCAGGTGTTGGCTGCAATGTGTACAAAATAGTCTCATATATTGCCCTTAATAAAAATATTGGGCAACAAGCTGGGTAAGTAAAACATTCATGCGAAACACATAAATACCAAAATAGATGAAAATGAAACTGTCCAAATTAATGACATGATCCAAAACTGCTGTAGAATTTCAAGGGAAAAAGAATCCAATACCAGCTTGAATTGTCCAAGAAGTCTGCGAAAAGCCATAGCTGGCACTGGACTCTGGAGAATGAGTAAGAGATTAGAGGGAGGTCATTCTAAACAGGGACTGCTGCAGAAGCAAAATCATAGGTAGAGATAATGTGCAAAGTGGAGACCAGGCAGGTTGGTGTCAAAGAACTCCTTAAGAATAGTTTCCATTTCTTTACCTGTCTTAATCAGCCCTTCAAAAGCTCACACGAAATTGTACTCTGGGGCTTTGCAACAAAATTCTAGAGCCCCTGAGATGCACTCTAAGCATACGTGGTCTACTTAAACTCCTCCTCTCTCCCATCTGCCTCAAGTTGAGTATAAAATTCCAAAGGGATTGCAGATTTTTATGGAAGTTTTCTTACCCCTCATTTTTAATGAATATTCTAAATGTGTTCACTACCCTTTGAATTGTATTTTAATATTAGGCAGGCTAAGATTAACTTAAAATATTTTTAAGAAAGTATGATTAGGAGGTACAAGCTTTATCACAGAGAAGTAACCACGGAATACACAATGAACATCTCCCTTTCTGGACTAAAAATTAAATACATCAGTATATACATGACTAGTAACAGCTCCAAACTTCTGGATTATCTATCAGCCTTCTGATAGATTGTTCATGTTATATAATACACTGTAACATCCTTTACACAGAAAATACTTGTATCCAATGAGTAACTAAGTGCCTGATGGCTTGAATTATTTGGACAGCTAAAATGTAGCTATGTCTGTTGTGGCTTGAGGCACACCAAAGGTTAAAAAAATGTGAGGTAAGAAATCCCACAGTAACCGCATGTTTTATAATTTATTATTAGAACCATGTTCTATATGACACTGGAAGTGGGGTACATGCTAGAAGGAGTATTTCAGGGGCTCAAGTGAAGTAAACAATCTGTCTGGCTTCCTATCACAGTAATGGATACAATTCATAGACCTGAGTTATTAACAGGAAACTTAGAGGTTCCACCTTACATAAACTATTTTCAATTTATTAAGCTCATGCAATATTTAGGCAAAGATTTATAGTTTCTATTGAATACATATGGCTCCATAGTTAACATAATTTGCTTACCCATAAATAAACTAGATGTAATTTGTAGTAAATGATAATTTTAAAATCTTCAGAAATTGTTTTTTTCTAAATTTTGTTCCAGAAAGATTATTCCGCAGTGTCAAGACAGCAATAAAAACGACAAATATAGCATGTTCTCACTCATACATGGGAGCTTAAAAAGTTGATCTCATCGAAGGGGTTGTCAGAGGTGGGGGAGGGTGGGGAGGTGAGGAGATGAAGAGAGATTGGTTAATGGGTAAAAACATACAGTTATAATAGACAGAAAGAATAATTTCCAGTATTTGATAGCACAGCAGGGTGGCTACAGTTAACAACAATATATTACATATTTTAAAATAGCAAAAAAAGAAGATTTGAAACATTCCCAACATGAAGAAATGATAAATGTTTGAGATGACAGATATCCTAAATAGCCTGATTTAATCATTATACACTGTATGCATGGATCCAGAGATCACATGGATTCCATAAATATGTACACATATTATGTTTTAATTTTGTAAAGATAGCAATAAAATAATTTGTCTACGGATTTATGCATGAGCACTGTAAAAATTTAGTATGCATTCTGACACTAAATGGGAGATACAGAAAGGAAAGTAGATTAACAAACACGGCCAAAGTACTAAAACAACACACATGGAAATTATTTAATGACAGAGTGTGTGGGAACAGCAAGTCTCAGTCAGATATTCCTGCTTAAGAGCCTCTGGAAGAACTTACATCAGACGCAAAGATCAGTGTTAGCGCCTCTCCCAGGGAGCTACAAGAAGGCTGAAAGCTGCAAATCATGTTTAAGAGGATGCCGATATCCTCTTAGAAATGAAGCACCAAAGAACCTCAGATTCTAAGGGTTAGAGGCCAACCTTTAATCTCCCTTATTGTTCTCCTCACTCCAAAAGCTGATCCTAAATCAACTTTTAAGATGGAGATAATATCATTCAAAAGAGAGATCACTATCCTAATGCTGAATGGCTTCATTAGCTAAAGTCAACATACACATCAGTGGGTCTTATGATTGTAAAACCCTAGAGGACTGAAAGCACTAGCATACTGTAAACCCTCAAGAAGTCAGAATTTGTGATACACACATAGTGTTGTGCTGAAGTTTATGTTTACTTAGCAAACCCCTATTTCATAAATAATGAAGTTTAATTGTGTAAACAAAGATTATGATGCGGATATATTAAAACACTTAGGAGGAGAACTTATCAGGCCTTTCAGAGACACCTATTTACATATGGAGGAGAAAATAAATGTTTGCTGAATAAATTACGTAATGAATATAGATAATTAATGTGCTAATTACAAATCAGTAATGTTTGTTATAACAAATAACCTAAAAGTTTCTAGGATATGACATTATAAGTTAAGAATGAATGAATGAAGTATATTAAATTTACCTTGGTTTTGAACTGTTCTAGAAAGATAATTTTCATCTTTGTTTTAATGTTTGAAATTCAGATTTTTCAAAATATCTATCTGGGCTTTTGAAGGTTCTAATGTGGTTCTCCTTTGACAGCCCTTAGCATAATATTACCTATCATGAGGTACTAAATAAATATTTTCTGACAGCTGACTCTACTGCCCTACTCCTAAGAAGGATGAAAATATACCATTGAACTTGAACTCAGAGAAGTACAAATTTAAGCAAATAATTTAATAAGCCTCCTAACTGGAGCACCATAAGCCTTTCCGCTAAAGAAGAGTATGGGGAAGACACACACACCCCTTCAGATAACCCCTGTCTTACCTGATGCTACAAAGTGCTACTGGTAAGTCAGGCATATTTCTTCCCAAATTAAAAGTGAAAACTTTCAAATGTTGGATACCTTTGGATATCACATATTGATCTGGAAAAACACATTAAGGTACACTGCCTTGGACAATCTCCTTGCCCATCGAATACACACCCTGGGGCTACCAGAATACAGGATATTTGTGTTTCTTCTCCTACACTGCCACCATGTAAAAAGACCCATGAGAGAAGTCTTTTGGGCATACATTTATCCACTCTAGAATTATACCAGAAAGGATAAACTACTTAAGATCTTAAACGTTCATATGTATCACTCCCTGCTATACATGCTATTTGCACTGTTCACTTTAGAAATGTGAGCTATTTGAGGAACTACGGTTCAAAAGACAGTCAGTGATAGCGTGAAGATTCCTTTACTGAACAACAAGACTCTAAAACACTGCTTATTCTTATCCTCAGTAACTCGATTACTCTTTGTTCTTTCTGGATCATCATAATTCTTATTCATGACCTCTAAATATGACCCAAATGAGAAACACAACTTAGGCAGGTATCAGAGTGTGACTACATCATCTGAATAACATCACTCCGAAGTGTGATGCATTCTATCAAAATGTCAGGTGAAAATATACCCTTCAAAGTTACATAAATAAGCTAAATCAGTGAAGGGAGTATGAAGAAAGGAGTCACCTTCTTTAACATAATTAGTACATATAGATCTGCATCTTGGATATGTTTGTACATGCTAGTAATAAGTAAAAGAGTTAATCAAGGTAACGTCCCCTTTGCTTAGGTAGCCTGCCAGGTGAGCTTAGCCTAGAAAAATCTGATCCAGCCTGCTAAGAATGGTGTCTCAGGTGAAGTGGCCAGTTAAAACAATTGGACATTGTTTTGGATAACAATGCTTTCTATCTATATCCAACTACAATCTGCAAAGTTAATTTCTGCATCCCTCTACACTCTGCACGTTAGTGTGTATATCCTGTGCATCTCCAACCCCCACCAAAATGTTAGTAAAATGAAAAAGCACTTATCTACAGGAAACTTATGTGGGTTATCATAACAACATAGAGTACATTTAATTAATCACACTTCCTTTGATATAAATGGCCATCTATGGTCATGCAGAGAACAGTGAATTAAATGAATACCAATAACATGGCAATCAGAAAAACCCCAAAATTATTTTTGTACAACAAAAAGTTTTGATGATTTGAATGCAAACATTTTAGAAAATCAAGCAAAATATATTGTTATTTCATCAAAGGTTTTAAGATTTTAATTCAAATTTTCCTAATATGTGGTCACTCTTTATACTACATTTAAGGTTCAAAATATAAAGTATTTTAAATCATACTGCATGCTTAAGTAGTAACAAAACAATTTACTTACTTCTGGATACTCTTACAAGTTCTGATACATTGAAGACTCCAGATTTTACAAAACTATCCTCAAGGTAACCTGAAAATAAATATTAAAGGAAAAATGATCAATATAAGCAGAAAGTAAAATAAATGATTATACACTAGAATTTAAGTGTTTTAAAGCCAATGGTTTGAACAAAAACCAAATATGCTTACAATAAGGACTTTAAAAAATGACTCTTAGGAATGCAAATTAGGTTTGTTTAAACAAAAATAAAAAGTTTAGATACCAAATAATCTCTTAGGAAAATTTTTTCTTCCCTTTCTAAAAGTACAGGTTTATTGATGCGGTTTGATTTGCCATGGCCCATGCATACAGAATGGTCTGTGGGCTCTCAGTGAATGCTTTTGACTCGGTAGCACCTGGTAGACTAAAGCGAAAAATGAAAGAAAGAAAAAGGAAACCACAACCACAATTAGCACCTTGCTGGAATAATGTCAAAGATCTCTTAAAGCCACCGTTCTTTTGTAAACCCTTCTCTGATGAAAGAAAAGTGAACTGCTGTTACCAGCACCCCGACCCTTGTTCCAGGGTCACTAATAACATAAAAAGCAGAACTTGTATATACAGCAAATACAGAACTTTGCGTTGACCTATTTCTGGGCATCTTTAATATACGTTGCACGATTTCACTGCTTTCCTCACCCTTGCTACTATTCCACTGGACTCCTTTTATTTCAAGAATTAGACAACTTTTCTGGCAAATGGTGGTGAATCCAGGCCTCTGGGAATGCCACATGACCCTTAAGTCACACCGGGGCAGGGTCCACAGTGGCCATGGAGCCTGCTTGCTAGCTGGTCTATGTCCAAAACTAGAGATGAGAACTCCCACAAACAACAGTAACCCTGCACCCAGCCCACCCCATTCTCATCTATGTTAAGGGGGTGTAATGAGTGTGAGGAATACCTTAGCAGGGGAGGTTATGGCCTACTTGCTTCTGTCCTAGGGTGAGAATAAGTTTGAAAATCCTCAGAATTGAAATACATCTGAGAAACAAACAAACAAAACTAGATTCTAAGAACTGGCAATTTGACTGGATTTTACATAAAGCTTCAGGGCTGACCAAGGAATTAGATGCAGTTCAGAGATGTGAAGCATGGGTAGTGCAGCAACATGGAGCACTGAAATCAAAGAGCTGGGATTTGAATCCTAGCCACAGATGACCAGTTATGAAATCTTGGCTAGGTTATTAGTCCTCTTTTTGCCTCAGATTCCTCACTTAACAAATTGGAGACAATAAAAATCACCTATCTTATAGAGTTGTTACTACTGGAGATAAAAATATAAACCCCATGATAAGCATGTTACCAACAAATTAAGATCTTAGGGCCAGTGGAACCTGCGATCAGCTATATACCGAATTACGCACACTGGCCTCCAGACAGTCCAAAATGATCCGCAAATCTTTATTCAGAAAATTTACCAGAACAAAAGGCACCACACTGCTTTTCAACCATACATAGCATGAAAAGACAGAAAATCATTCAATTAGCATATGTGTTTCACTGCTGTGAACTGAGGAGCCACTGATGTTTGACATCCACCCACCCACCTTCTTTAGAAACAGAATGAAAGAAGGAGTGAGAGGAAGTTGTAAGATCTCAGTAGGGAATAAAACAGGTGCCACATTAAGTCATTATTCTGAAAAATATATATACATTTTTAAGAGTATTATAACAAAATGTCCCAATTTAATGCACTTCTATTTTAAGAAACTCTTATTTCTTGAGCAATTAATTTTTACCAGGTTAAATTCATTTCAGTAATTATTGAGAAACTTCTAAGTAACAATCACTGTACAAGGTGCTAAAAGTCATGAATACAAAAAAGGACACTGACTGTCTTGCCTGGTCGGGGAAAGAGATGTTTTGACTCTTCTGGACCACTGTAACTTACTATCATATAGAAAGATTTTTGTTGCTTTTGTTATTGTTTATAGTTCATTATACTTTATTTTATATAGGGTAAACTTAATAAAGTAAATATATTAAGTACAAAACCTTCTTTATCTTGGGAGGCCGAGGTGGGTGGATCACAAGATCAGGAGTTTGAGACCAGCCTGGCCAATATGGTGAAACCCCATCTCCACTAAAAATACAAAAATTAGCCGGGCATGGTGGCGGGCACCTGTAGTCTCAGCTACTCGGGAGGCCGAGGCAGGAGAATCACTTGAACCCGGAAGGCAGAGGTTGTAGTGAGCCGAGATGGAGCCATTGCATTCCAGTCTGGGCGACAGAACAAGACTCCATCTCAAAAAAAAAAAAAAAACAAAACAAAACAAAAAAACAAAACAACCTCCTTTATCATGACTACAGCTCATATACTTAACCAGTCACACAAGATTATTTTTCATCACCCAATTGTACTTTGTAAATGCCTACCCTTCATATCTTCCTCCTGCAGCTCCCTGAGATGAGATGGCCCTCTTTCTACACACTCTAGTCTCATCCTTCAAAATCCAGCCCAACCACCACCCACTCTGTAAACTGCTCCTCCAACTCCTTCTACCACCCACTGGCCCAGCCAGAAATCTCCTTCCTCTGTACTTGTATAGCACCTAGTTTGTACTAATTTTATACTTTGTACTTTCAGATTTTCTGAGAGATCTGTTTTCAAGTCTTGCAGTCATTGCTGGATTATCAGATCCTTTATTTACAGAAGTGACTGGGTTTTGTTCATCTCTATATCTTCCTTAATGACTAACTCGTTGCCTATATATAGAGTAAGTACTAAATAAACACAGAACAAAATTTTAAAATTCAACTTTACAAACAGGGTCACACATTAACATCTTAGTCATTTTATTACAATGTAGATACAGATGGTTTAAGATTTATGGATAATTATACTAACCTCTGTTATTCCCTAGAACTTGTTTGCTGAAGAGTGTATTTAGGCTTTTGGGTCACATGAGAAAGAGTAATGATTAGGGTCGGATTGTATCTCTTACTTTGTTGTGTACTAATGTGTAATGTCAAGCATTTAATACAAAGTAACAACCAAAGAACTGGAAGTGTTTAAATAGTAAGAGCCCAAAAATATTTGTGAAACACATCGATGAATAAGTGATGAACATTTCAATGTATTTACATAAACTATATCAGAGGTAATACAAAATAACATTACAATATCTATGTGTAATCTGAAGTTCATTTCCTTATTACTCCAATGAGAAGTCAGAGATCCATCTGCTCCTAAGTCATGACCATTAAGATGGAGTGGGGTGTGAGCCTGTTGGAAGCCAAATCATGAAGAAGGGATGAGTCAGCTCAAGGCCAATTCTACCAGTGGGAAGACAGTCAGGCAGTCAAACACAGACAATACAATGACTATTGCAGCTATTCACAGAAAAAAAGAAGACAATTCAGAATGTAGCAGGGTGTTTCTCCACTCCCCACCCCCAACTTCCCAGGTTCTAAGAAATTGGAATCTACGGAAACAATGGAAAGAGGTAGTTTACCGAAACCATGAAAAGCATTGGAAATATATCAGAACTTCTTTGGAACCTACTGGATAAAATGCAAAAAACCACAGAGGTCCCACTGGGCTCTACTCCTGCATGGAGCCCAGTGAGACTTTAGTGGAGGAAGGTTTCCTGAGGATGAGTGATGATGCCTATTAACCATGTACCTATGGGAACAGGGACAGGTGAGAATCAGCCAAGTGGGGTAGCCTGGGAGAAGCACCGGAAGCAGATGGCTGCCACCTTCATGCATCTCTGCAGGCAGCATAGCCTTTGTAACGGACAGGCATTAACCAAGACGTGGCAGAGTGAAAAAGAAATCATGGATGAAATAGTACTCAGATACTTAAAATAGTACTTGGATACCTACTAGTGCTTACTCATTAGCATACAGAAGACAATACTTGAGGGCTGTAGCAAAATAACTGAGAGGATTTTGAAATGGGCAGGGGTCCTGCAGTAGGATAGGGGGTGAAACTCAGCAAAATGTCAGGTTATCTGCTGCTAACATAACCCCATCTGTAACCTCCAAGGTCCTTGGGCCTTTCAGGAACATGTTTTTCACATTTCATAGACCACTGTAAATCTAAATAGCTAATACAACAGCTAAAGATCTTAAAGCAATTTGGAGACATTCATATAGTAAATTCCCTTCGTCTACCAAAGGAAATATGAGCATCTCTGAGGCAGAGCAGCTGCTTAATGGTTACAGAGCAATATTACACAACAGCTTAATCCAGGAAGAAAAGAACAACTCTGCATTTGTGTGATGCTGTATTTACACTACATGTGTGCTTTTTAAAAAAAATAAAATTGAGTAGGAAATAAAGACTTCTACAAACTGAAAAGTCTCAAAGGCAATATCAAATTATATTATTTTACTTCTTTTTTATTTTTCTCTGACAAAAGCAACAGTAAATCACTACTCAGAAGTTAATATACTGTTTAACCTCCTTTACAAACAATAACAGAGGGACACAATGGCATATCTAACTGTTAATATCTCAAATTATAATCAGTACCATTTGAATGTTAAACAACATTTACATAGAAAATCCAAAGGAAGACTGATAATGCTCATTTTTACAGTCTACTGTGTTCTATTCTTGAAATTAAAAAAAAAGAAGCCACAGAAAGCAGTTATTAAATTCATGAAAGCCGTCTTCAAGTATTCGAAGGACTATTAATGTAGATGGTGGATTTGACTTATTCTGCATAGTTCCAGGAGCTGTTTTTTGGCTCAATAAACAGATTTGTCATCCAATGGGAACAGGCCTAAAAAGGCATGTGAAATTTTGCAAAGGTAGCATAACCAATATATTCCCAACAACTGTGATGACCTTCACAAGCAGGCATTAACTTCACGTTCACCATTATCTTATAAAATATGTCATATTATTGGTGTTGCCATTTTACAGATGAGGAAACTTTCATCTTACAGAGATAGTTTCTCAGTGGCTATAAAGACTCCCACTGGATATAAAAATTCTTGCTTTGTGAAGGAAATCTCAAAAAAAAAAAAAAAAAAAACAGAAAAAAAGAAGAAAGCATCTCAAAAGCCACTGCAACCCACAGATTCTCCCTTCTTACACAGATGTTTTCCTATGTTAGTTTTCTGGCATTGTTCATTTGGAGAACAAACAGGTGGACATAAGACATCTATAGGCATTTTCCAGCCCTATGATTGCAATTGTTCACTTTCTTCAACAGAGTTTAAAAGAAGGCTTAATTCTTTTTGTAAAGGGACAAGAAGAGATTACTTTATACTAGCTCTTTGCCAATCTTCATATAACTTCAGATACCACAACTAACCCATTGGTAATTTTCTGGTAGTGATGTTACAGGACATAGTTCTATCTTCAGTTTCTCAACTGACTTGAACTATCCATGGTTAAAGCTAAACTTGTGTTGAAGTTAAAGCTGAAACTGTGATTATAAAATAGAAATATTAATCATTGCAAAGACGGTGATTTTCTTCACAGAGATTAAATCTCAGCCTATAGCCCAGGTTAACATTCAAATATTAATTTAGAATTAAGTGTATCTCTCAATATGAAACGTAAACCCACGAGGATGATTTAGGTGATCTTGGAGGGAGTCAGAAATTTCCCAACTTTAACACGCCCTGATAGCATTATATTTTTTTCAATATTTCCTTCCAGTCCTTTAAACTTTTTCCGCATATATATATATATTTATTTATAAAATCAATATCAAATTTAAATATAGTTGTATCCAGCTTTTTTCCTATTAACATTGTATCTGTCCTTTTAGATAAAGTTTTTCAAAAGCATGATCTTTATGACTATATATTGCATGGCTGTATCATACTTTATATTAACCATTCCATTGTTTGGCATTTTAGGTTATTTCCCAATTTTTAAAATATAATAAACAAATAGCACTGTAATTAACATCCTCATACACAAATCTTTGTCAGCCATTCTCATGATTTCCTTAGGCTGGAGTTCCCAGAATTAGAATTACAGGGTCAAAGGACATAAACTCTTTTAAAACTCTTGGTAAAAACTGTCAAGCAGCTTTCCACAAAGTTGTTTTGCCAACTTACACTCCTTAGGGCAAGCTGTGAGCATGTCCATCTCACAATCCTGCTGCCAGACTTACATATTAGTAGGGATTTGTTTTTAATTGTGGCAAGTTGATAGAGAAAAAAGGTCATTACATTAATGTTACAACTTTCATTTATTTCATTTTAATAAAATGGACTCATTTCAGATATATGAGCATATTTCTTTCACCAGAACATTAAGAAACAAAACATTTTAAAAATCAGAACATTCATAAATACACAAACATTAAAAATATATAAAATAGAAATTGTGCTAGCAGGAAATTTTTTTCCTAATATCAATGAGATTGCATCTACAGTTTCACAATGAAAATGTTGGCTATGAATTTATCACTGATTTTTTTTTCTCATTATCTGAAAAAGTACTCACTTATTCCTAGTTTTCTCAGATTTTTAAAAAGTTTTCTGACGAGAATGGCTATTGAATATTATCAAATTCTTTTTTGGCATTAGTAGAGATTCTCCGGTTTTTTTCTAACAGCATTTATTGGTGTTATATATTACTGAATTCGTAGATTTAATTATCTTTGCTCATCCATGGAAGACAGTTCTTAAATTTACTGTTGAACTGGTTGGCTCAGTTTCTTCTAATATTTCTACAGGTAGCTGGAAAGCTTTTATGGAAATTTTTGTATTTTATTTGTCAAGTTTTTATACCAGGAGTATACACATGCTTCATAAAATGGTTTTGATCATTGTCCCAATATGTTTTATGCTCTGGAACAAAACAAAATATTATTTCATAAAAAGTTATTGAATGTTTGGAAAACTTTACTAGTAATATCATCTTCCTTGAATCTGTTGCAGAGAAGACTCTTAGATAACTCTGAATCGTGAATACTATTCTACTTTTGCTTTCTAATGTTGAGATAAATTTTATTATATATTTTCCAAAAAAATTCAATTTTTCAGATTTATAAATTTATTAGCACCGTTATTTTACAGTTTACTAAGTGGGCTATGTTTATTTTTATGGCATAATAAAATTAAATGTATGCCCTCTTATCTTTTTAATGGATGTGGAAGGTATGCCTCTCTCCAACGGTGTTAAAGCATACTAGCTAAAAAGGCAGCCCTGGGGCAAGACTATCACCATTTACTATGTAAACCTAAGGCAAGCTGTCTAACTCTTCTACACCTCACATTTCTCTTCCCTAAAATATAGGTAATAATCATACTACCTATGAGTAGATGCAAAAATTGCATAATCTTTTCAAGTAATAGTAAAGCAGACATCTCAAGAGCAGGAAAAGAAAAAGTAGAATTTCCAAATTAGCAAAGAGAAAAGAAAACACAATAAATAAGAATGCAATCAAGGCAGCAAAAATAAGAAAATAGGATGTAAAAATATATAATAATATGAAGTAAAATATAAGGGATAAAATAAAATACATAAATCACTACAATAAATGTATATGGACTGAATTTTCCCATAAAGGGAGTTTAGGTCAACTGAAAAATACAAAATCCAACTGTTTTCAAGAAACACACCTAACACAAAATGATAATAAAGAGAACAAAAAGTTGTAAATAAATGGGTAGGCAAAGAGAAATCAGGCAAATTCAAACAAAAAGGAAGCAGTATCAGCAACGGTTAAGAGAAAACTTAAGCTGAATTACAACAAAGATAATTATAAATGGATAAAAGGCACAATTAATAAAGAAGATAAATCATAAACCCCACATGCACCAAAAAATATTATGAATACAATCTATTAAAATACAAGAAACTTTATAAAAAATAAAGTCACAGTGAGAATTTTTACTATTAATGTATCTTTTTAAGAATTGAACATGACTGTTAGACAAAGACTAACTTCATATCATTCAAATACAAATTATATTTTACTGATATGTTCATGGAACTTCTAAAAACATCGATCATGTTTTTGACCAAAGAGGCAACTTTAACAAATCCCTAAAAGTACAGACTTTTAAGGCCATACTGTCTCATCTTTGGCAAATAAAAGTAAATAATAAAAAAATGACTGAATTATCTCAACTACCTAGAAATTAAGAAAATAAACCATGAACCAAAGAGAAAAATCAAAAGGGAAATTATAAACTATCTAAAAAGCAATGAAAAGAAAAAGAAGAAAGAAAGAAACCCATTACTTACCATAAAAGAAAGAACAGCATCACAACCACCCCAAAAATTAAAAAGATGAAATTAAACATAAAAGCTGAAATTAACAGAATAGAAAAAAAGAAATATTTAAAAAAATAAATAAAACAAATGACTCTCTAAAAAGACCAACAAGACAGAAAAACCACTTCCATGCCTGATTAAGGGAAAAAGAGAAAGTAAAAATATACAAGTATAGTCATGAATGGCTTAATGGCAGGGACACATTCTGAGAAATGTGTTAATAGGCAATTTCATGGTTGTATGAACATCACAGAGTGTACTTACACAAACCTAGATGGTATAACCTACTACACACCTAGGCTATATGCATGAAATTGCATATAGCTCCTAGGCTACAAACCTGTATAGCATACTACTGTACTGATACCGTAGGGGATTTTAAGACAATGGTATGTGTGTATCTAAACATATCTGAACATAGCAAAGGTACCATAAAAATATTATAATCTTATGGGACCACTGCCATATGTAATCTGTCTTCGACTGACCTATCATGATGTGGTACATGACATACAAATATAAAAAGAAGACATAACCATAGAAATCAAATACATTAAAACAATTATGAGAGAATAATACATACAACTTATTGACTACAACTTTGAAAACTTAAATGGGCAAGTATTAGTAAACTAAAAGTAACCAAAATTGAGCAGAGAAGTGTAAAACCTGAGTGGACCGATTATCCTAGTGTAGTGGTTGCCAAATTTGCTGAACACTGGAACCATCTGGGATTCTTGAAAGCAGTTTATGTTTGGCTTCCAACCCCAGCTATTCTGATTTAATTGATATGGGGTGAGACCTGGACATGAGAACTCTTTTAAAAGTTCCCCCAAGTGATTCAAATGTACAGCAAAGTTTGGGAATCACTATGACACCACATTCAGAATGTGGTTCCAGAGCCACTAGCACTGGCATAACTGGGGAGCTTATTAGAAGTGAAGAAGAATAGGCTCTACCCCAGACCCTCAGAATCAGAATCCACAGCTTAATGAGATCTGCAGGTGATTCATAAGTGTACTTAAAAATTTGACAATCCTAGAACATACTAGAAATGTGAGTAAGAACCACCTTTGAAAACAGCACCAGGTCCAGGCGAGTGCACAGCTGGATTTTATGTATCCTTTATCTAGTCTTTAGGTTCCAATGTTATTTACACTCTCCCAGGCCTTAGGAAATAAGACAAGCTTCCTCATGAAGAACACTTTCTTATAAGCCTCTATGAGGCCAGCAAAACTTGAATACCTAAATTTGTAGCCTCTCTCATCGAAACAAAACAATGAACCAACCAATGAAAGATCAAGCACACAAGTAAATGTGACTTCAAGATGCCTAAATAAAATATGAAATTGAATACAGCAATATTATCAAAAGAACAATACACTATTATAATCAGGGTTTATTCCATGAATGAGTGCAGCTCACTATGAGAAAAGCTATCATTACGATAGAGGAAAAAGTCATATGACCATATCAAGATGCTGAAAATGTACTTGACACCAAGAGGCAGGCTTACCTAATAATAAATCTAAGCACAAATAGA
Organism: Homo sapiens; assembly: GCF_000001405.40. Taxonomy (NCBI): domain Eukaryota; kingdom Metazoa; phylum Chordata; class Mammalia; order Primates; family Hominidae; genus Homo; species Homo sapiens. The sequence continues at coordinate 14,165,604 of NC_000009.12, forward strand.
GACAAAGCAAATAATACAGACTCTTCAGCAAAATTCAACAATAAATTATTCTAAAAGGGGAACACTAGTCTGTCATTCCTATTTTCCCAACCTCCCCAGCCTCCTCCTCTTTGCAGCCCTTAAAAATGTAATCTGGAAAAAAGCCAGTCACAAAAAGACAAATACTGTATAATTCCACTTACATGAACTATCTAGGGTAGTCAAACTCATAGAAACAAAGTCACATGGTGGTTGCCAGGGGCTGGGGAGAGTAGGGAATGGAGAGCTGTTATTTAACAGGTATTGAGTTTCAGTTTTGCAAGATGAAAAGTTTCTGGAGGTTGGTTGCACAATGACGTGAATACATTTCACACTACTGTATTGTACACTTAAAAATGGTTAAGATGACAAATTTAATGTTACGCGTATTTCACTAAAATTTAAAAATGCAGTCTAAAATTTTGGACCCAGATTGTTAACCACATTCTTGTTTACATATATTCAAGAACAATCTTTTACATTGACATTTATGTCTGTCATCTTATTTATAACAATTACTTGGTCATAATTCTCACCTTAATTGTTACTATTCTCATGATTAGTCTCTATCTATATTTTTATTCATATATTTATGGTTATACTTTCCTGTTCTTAATTTTTTTATTGAGTCATCACATTGCCAGTCAGAATAGGTATTCAAGTAACATTTTTGCAAATAAAATGAGGAACTCTATTTTTTGATACCATGAGTAATAAAGAATATATTTCCATTGCCTTTGACTGTAGGTGAAACTCCTTGAGTGAAAAACAATGTTTTTTCCATCACAATTTCAAGTATTCTCCCACTGTCTCCTGTTATTTAATGTCGATAAAAGGAAATCTAGAAGTAACTTGTTTTTCATCCAGGACATTTCAAAATTTTCTTCATCCACGAAATGTAAAAATTTCAACAGGATATATTTAGATACAAGCCTCTCATTATGTGGCTGGAATAGCATTAGTCCTTTTAATCCACATAGATAATTTTTAGCTCATCAAATTTTTCTCCATTTGTCTTTGATCCTACATCCTCCAATTTCTCCACAATGAACACCTAAATAAACCTTGAATTTTCTATTCTCTCATCATCAACCCTTTTCTCATCATCTTAACCTCTGTGTTTCCTCTGCTTCTGGAATAAGTATCTTGGGGTTGTCCTCTATATCAATGCTTTTTTCCACAGTATCAGTGCTGTTTCTTACTCCTCCGATGCAATTTTAACGCTATGAAAGCAATTTAGTTTTTCTTGATATTCTTCCTCATCTCACAGAATACCGCATTTATTGAAGCTATTCTTTTGTAGGTTCACTTTTCGTATAAGTCTTCTGGGTAAACATTTTCTCTGGAATTTTTTTCTAGTTCTTTATTTTCAAAGATATGTCCTCGTGGTTCTTGATCATATCCCATTTCCCTTGTTCCTCCATATTTTCTCACCAAGGGCATATTGTTGTGTGTGTGTGTCGGGGGGGGGGGGTTCCCCTTTTTAACATATTCAGTAATGTAAACTAATTGGAAGAGACAGAAAACAGATCAATAAGTCATCTGAAGATGAGGGTAGACGAAACCTTTGGGATTAGAGGAAACGTCATCATCCTTGAGTGTGGTACTGATTTCATGAGTATATGCATACGTCAGAACTGGCTGGGTGTGGTGGCTCATGCCTGTAATCCCAGCACTCTAGGAGGCCGAGGCAGGTGGATCACTTGAGTCCAGGAGCTTAAGACCAGCCTGGACAACATAGCGAAACCCTACATCTACTAAAAATACATAGCATGGTGGTACGCGCCTCTAGTGCCAGCTGCTCAGGAGGCTGAGGCATGAGAATTGCTTGAACCTGGGAGGCAGGGGTTGCAATGAGCCAAGATCACACCACTGCACTCCAGACCGGGCAACAGAGTGAGATGCTGTCTCAACAAAACAAAACAAACAAACACATATGTCAAAACTCATCTAACTGTACACTATATATATGCAACTTATTGTATGCTATTATACCTCAATAAAGTTAGCAAGTGACCTATAAAGAGTGGTTTCCAAATTTTCAAAAAGTGCTATTTCCACAGCACAAAAAGAATCACAAGTGAATCAGAAACATTCAGTGTAATCAGGAATATTTTTGAAGGTATGAATTACAACAGTCAGGTATTTTTTTGCAGCTTCTAGAATGTTATCTTACCAGGTTCCTCATTCATGGTCAAGTGAACTCTAAGAACACTGTAGTATACTCCCTAGTAAACAAAAGCACAAAAGCAGCAAACAGGACTTCTCTATAATTTGTCAAACTGGGAGAAGAGAAACTCTATCCACCTGAGATTAGTATTCTGAATCAGCAATTATATTGGAGTGCTACAATTCTCAGTCAGATACCTCTCTACAAAATTCATCATCAGTATGCTACATAAGATGAGGAGTTCAGAAAAATATTCCAAATAATCATGTCTAGGATGTGGTATACCTACAGGGCATAAGAGGATCACTGTAAGTATCTCCGCAGAAGTACCCGCTTTTTCTAGGCCTAGGTCAGGTTCTGAGTAAGGGAATGATCCCACACACTGCAAGAACAGGTTATTTATTTAGTCTATTATTGGTCTAAGCCTCTGCTTCATAAATCTTGGACATTGTCTGTAGGTAGGCATTGCCTTGGATGATAGGTATACAAAAAAGAAGAATGCAATACTCACCCAAAGGGGCTCAGAATTCATTAAGGGGAGTAGATGCGAAAATAGAGATAAAATAGTGCACTAAATGCTAGTACTGTAAAACAGCACTGCAGAGAGGCTCTGAAGAAGTCTCACTGAGGAGGTGACAAGGGAGTACAAGCATTCTAGGCAGAGAAACAACATGAGCAAAGATACAAAGAAGCAGCACACGGCTAACGCTAAAGGCATAGTCCATGTGTGCAACGGACAAATCATGAAGGGTCATATTGTATGTCATGCTAACGAGCTAGGCTTAGGCTAGAGTGGAGACCTTGGAACCATACAAGGAGGTGAATGAAATAATCAGATTTGCACATCACCACAGACCTGTAATGGATATATCAGAGGGATTAAGACATGAGGCAAAATATCGCTACAGAGATTAGGAAATGATTAAAATGATCTAGGTGAGCTAGTTAAAGAGGCAAAGTGTAAAGGTTTTTAAAGAGTTATTAAGATTCAGCATCAATTACCTTCTTTTTAAAACATTTTGCCCCTCTCATCAGCAGCCTGAGCCTTTGTATTCATTCCTCTGTTCTTTCTACATTCTTTCTCCCAAAAGCTCACAAGTACTCCCTTCTTCACCCATCAACATTATATAAGGTAACATTATTCATGTGGGCTATTTTTGGATATCAATTTGGACATGGTAAGCATAAAATAGCAGAATACTTTATCATGTCCCAACAGACATGATCATCTTCTAGTTCTATCTTACTTATTTAGAAAATACTGCTCTGCTTAGAAAGTACTTCAATTCAGAAAATGACAGCAGTCCAAAATACCAAATTTTAAAATGAAAAATCCATTGCATTGAAAACATTACTGCAAAATACACAATGGAGCCAGCATCTTACCATTCATCATGTCACTGTTTGTTTCATGACATTAACAAGTGGAAGTGATGATTTTAATAAGATCAAATCTGAAAGTCAAGTGGTTTTCCTGTCTTCTTCCTGCTGAATACTGCAGGAACACACATACATGCAAGGTATAGAGCACTGCGCAAGGGGAAGATATGTCTAGTGGAATCAGGAATTAAAATATCTCAGCAAAAACAGGAGTTTGGTATGAAAGATGCCAAGGTCCCTAAAGAGCAGAATGTAAGTCAAAAGACCCCAAAAAGATTTGTAACAACTTTGAAAACCAAAACCTGACCATTGTTTCTTAAATTCTTCTATGATCAATGACATTATCAAGCAAAAGCTAATAAGAGTCAGCTGGGTGTGGTGGTTCACGCCTGTAATCCCAGCACTTGAGGAGGCCAGGGTGGGCGGATCACATGAGGTCAGGAGTTCAAGACCAGCCTGGCCAACATGGCGAAACCCCACTTCTCCTAAAAATACAAAAATTAGCCGGACACGGCCCATGCCTGTAGTCCCAGCTACTCAGGAGGCTGAGGCAGGAGAATTGCTTGAACCTGGGAGGCAAAAGTTGCAGTGAGCTGAGATCATGTCACTGCACTCCAGCCTGGGCAACAGAGCAAGACTCCTTCTCAAACAAACAAACAACAGTCAAATTAACACACAAAAGTCCTTGCTTAAATTATTCATTACCTAGATACGCTTTCATAGTCACGGAGAAGGAAAGAAAAACTGAGACTTTAGTAGGAGATTTGTCCAAGATCTTTAAATCACATCCTTTAATCCTATAAGGTAGAAAAAGATTAAAACTCCTCGGGTAATTAGACACATATCTACTTAATATTTTATTCTGTTTGCAATATATTACTATAGAATTGTACTCTCTTTTTAAACATTATGCTTAAATATACAAGTGAGAGTTGCCTTAGTGCCTGGACAGTTTAGTCCAGCGAGCTTAACTTCTGCAAAGTTCAGTGATTTTAACAAGCCTAGAGCAAGTCCACTATATTTGTGATACAAAACAATCCCAGCTTTCCGTCTGTGAGGCAGAAAATGCTTTGCATTATTAAATTGTAGCTGTATGTGGCAAAAGCAGATCTTGTAAATATGGAGAGGGAAAGAATTTAAACTGAGAGGAAACTTTGGATGCAGGAGGCCACCGTAGAAGGAACCTGAGGCCAGGCATGGTGGCTCATGCTTATAATCCCAACACTTTGGGAGGCTGAGGTGGGAGGATCACTTCAGCCCAGGAGCTGGGGACCAGCCTAGGCAACATAGCAAGGCTCTGTCTCTACAAAAAAATTAAAAATTAGCTGGGCATGGTGGCACATGCCTGTTGTCCCAGCTACTTGAGAGGCTTGAGGTGGGAAGATTGTTTGAACCCAGGAGGCAGGCTGCAGTGAGCCATGACTATGCCACTGCACTCCAGCCTGGGCAACAAGGCAAGACCCCATCTCGGGGAGAGGGGGAGTTACATGAGATACTTGGGTAAAAGCCATCACTACAACACTGCCCAGAACAGCAGGTACCATCACAACCTCACCTAGAGGAATTTATGACTCAGACGTCTTTTCACATGAGGATTCTGACCCTCCCTTAAGGGGAACCTAGACATTCAACTAAGAAAAATATAGGTTATAGCAATAGCCTTTAAAATTTAGCAAATTACAAGCTATTTCTGTGCAAGCCCTCTTGGAAGTTTTCTGGAACTAGGTACAGTATTAATTAAGTGCCTACATCAATATATTAAAATTTTACTTGGATTCTATGTTACCTTATGACACCATTTCAGATAACACGAGACCTTAAAATACCGTTGTAAAGTTAAGGAAAGTTTGAACTAACTGTAGCCCATGAACGAGTCCTTTCTCTGACAGCATTGTGAAAGGAGAGTACTGTGTTGAAATTAACTCTTCTCCCCATTCTTTCTTTCTCTGACCTGTATATTAACACAAGTCATGAAACACAAATCTGACTTGCTGAAAAACCCCTGATGACTCACTACTTATGAACCTATATTCTATGTCACGGCTTTAAATGCTGCTCAAGCCTTGCTCAGACACCAAGTTCCCTTCCTTTCCCCTTCTTCCATGTGAAATGCTCTTTCCTCGGCTAGGACTATATCCACCCTACAACCTCTTGTTCATCCTTTTATCCAAACTGTTCCATGCATCTTATATTCCCTGGGAAGGGGTAGACATCTCTGACTCCACTATGACTGCTCCTTTAAATATAAACTTGTGTGCACACATCTCTTGCCCAGTAGGCAGTCACATTTTTTAAAGGTTTTTCCTCAATTTCAGGCAAGAAACAGTGTTCAGAGGTCAAATAAGGGTAATGGTAACTGAGAGGTAAAAGTAAATTCAAGAGACCTTTCAAAGTAGAATATGAATGAATATGTGGAGGATAAGGAAGAAAAAGGGTTCCTGGGAAAGAAATCATGAGCAACTCTAACCAAGGGTATCTAGATAGGATTCTGGTGACTCCAGGATATCTTAAAAAGGGAAAAAGCAAAAACAAAGAAAACAAAAAACCCAAGTCTGGTAAAATAAAATAAATTTAACTTTGGAAATGTTAAATTGGAGTTAACCATGAGACATCTAGGGAAACATGTCCGAAAAGTAGTTGGACACATAGGTCTAAATCATTAGGAGAGAGAGGTATTTCAAAGGTAAACATCTAGGAGAAAAGGTTAATATACTTTAAAAATCGCAAGGTACTGAAAACACAGAGAATTAAAGACAAAAATCTGATTAAGAAGACAGAAGAAATCACCATATGCAATTTTTAAACATAGGAAGGTTCCTGGATTACCAGGAGAGGTCCTGTTTTCAGAGGCACGGGCAAAGTTTTAAACAGAGCATGGCCAACTAAATCAAATAAATATTCAGGAATATGGAAGCAAGAACAGGACAGAAAGAAACCACTGGTCATGGATTTAATGAGAATCATTTCAGTGGGGACAGAAGCTGAGAAGAAATCAAGATGGAATTTCAGGGGAAATCAAGATGAGACTTTGACATCCTTCATGCCATGTTACGAAGAAGAAGAGAGAGAGATGAGACACTTGGTTAAAGGGGTTTGTCCAAATGAGGAACAAAAGATGTATGTTTTAAAATAAGAAATAAGTTGGTAGGTAGGAATCAGTGAAATAAGAGGCAGAGTAAGAGGGCTAGGAAAAGTAAAGGACAGACAGAAGTTTCAATAGACACAGAAAGTTGATGGCTTCATAAAGTAGAAACACCATGGAAAGGAAAGGAGGGGAAAAAAATTATACAATGTTAATACAAGCTTCTACAAGATAAATTCTTGGTAGGAAAAAAGTAATCTCTAAAGATACATTTGTACCTTTTCTCATGTCAATACTGAGATTTATGTAACAAAAGTCACTCCACCTTTCCTTTTATGCCAATAGGCTTATAACAACATTTGCTTTCTAAAAATTACAATTCTATTTCATCATGAGACTTGAAAGCATCTGTTTCTTTTGCCTCCTTTATAAAATCTCTAACATTCTATTCTTATGCATCTTCTGTAACTTCGGTATGTCATCTTAAGCCTTTAGAGAAGAGCAGTATAAAAATTCAACACTTTTTTTTTTTTTGAGACGGAGTCTCACTCTGCCACCCAGGCTGCTGTGCAATGACATGGTCTCGGCCCACTGCAACCTCTGCCTCCCAGGTTCAAGCGATTCTCCTGCCTCAGCCTCCCAAGTAGCTGGGACTACAGGCAAGTGCCACCACACCCGGCTAATTTTTGTATTTTTAGTAGAGACGGGGTTTCACTATGTTGGCCAGGCTGGTCTCAAACTCCTGACCTTGTGATCTGCCCGCCTCAGCCTATCAAAGTGCTGGGATTACAATTCAACACATTTCTATTTGATTCCACATCAAATGATACTTTCTGCAGGAAGCCTTCTTGATCAAACTAGCTGAAGAGAAAGTAGAATGAAAAAACCCCTCACTTTTATCAAGCACCTGCTATCTGTCAGGTGTGCTCCCCTATGTGATCCTCACAACTGGCATGAACATAATTGACTGCACAAAGCGGTTGGCTGACTTGCTCATTCTCCTGATGACCCTTATAATCATTCAAGGGAAAATTTTAATTCCAAAGTTCATGCTCTTTTCACTCCACCATGCCACCTACAATGGTGGGAAACAGTATTTCACAACTTTGAACTCCTACAAGACCTGCATCGTAACACTAATATTTAGTCTTTATCTTAAATATAAATACATATGTAATATACATTTCATATATTATAATTATGTATATATTATTTTGTAGATTTTATGAACAAAAACATTTGGGAAAAGCAAGGTTCATGTGTAACTCACATTTTTATCTTCTCCAGTATCTAGCCGAGTGTGATGCATACAATAGATGCTCAATAAATATCTGCTGGCTGAAAAATCTACCTATAGACAGCTCTTTCTGAATTGTTTATGGTTCTTGGTATAAAATGGTGTGTATTTTACACAAGGGCAAATGGCTGTCTCTGCTTCTAATGTTGAGCTGACTCAAATGTAGTATTTAATTGTTAACTCAGCAATCGTTAGGCAATTAATATAATTTGTTATCTGATAGAGTAGGTGACTGGGGAGACATGGAAAAATCTCCTTCTCTCAGGACCTTACAAGACATTCCTAAATTGTCCCCTTTTTTTGACTCTTTCACATTAAGTATTACAAATAATCAGGCTAGAAGCACTGTGGAGGCTGGGCATGGTGCCAACTGCTATGTAGATCAACCTTTCATGAGTGGGCTGTATACAAGTTCCCATAATGTACCCTGTAAAATTATGTAGCTGAGGGCTATGCGTTCTTCTGGCTTTTTAAGAGTAATTTGTGAAAGAAACACTTCCCTCATCCTCTCTTCCTTTACTCTGAATCCTATTCTAAATTTGAACATTTAAGAACTTTATTGAATGTGACGTCTCCAAACAAGTTAGAGGATAAAGAAGAAAAATGTTTTAAAACAAAATACATTAAAAAAAAAGTCCTTTGATTTTAGCACTGACCCATACAGACCTCATTCTCAAATTACTTAAAGGTTTTACCTACGATGTCAGGTCTTACCTGCCATTAACCAGTCCTTTCAGCATCTTTCTCCAAATATTTTTATGAATAGAGAGCCTATTTATAGTCGAATGCACATTGTCTAGTGCCAAAGTTTAAAATCACCTTTTAAGTATCATGAAATAGTGCATTTTTCCTCATTAAAAACATCTTGATCCTAATGGACACAATAAATGAGGACATGAGAAGGAATAGACATGAATTTATTAAGAAGTGAATGAGGCCGGGTGCGGTGGCTCATGCCTGTAATCCCAGCACTTTGGGAGGCTGAGGCGGGTGGATCACGAGGTTAGGAGTTCAAGACCAGCCTGGCCAACATGGTGAAACCCCATCTCTACTAAAAATAGAAAAAATTAGCCAGGCACGGTAGCAGGCGCCTGTAATCCCAGCTACTCAGGAGGCTGAGGCAGGAGAATTGCTTGAACCCGGGAGGCAGAGGTTGCAGTGAGCCGAGATCACGCCACTGCACTCCATCCTGGGCGACAGAGTGAGACTCCATCTCAAAAAAAAAAAAAAAAAAAGTGAATGAAATATGATTTGAAAAAGCCAGAGTAAATTTCTCTTTTCTTTGACTTTGACTTTGAACACCATATTCCAAGATAAAACGTGGTATGAGGTCCTCAAGGACCTATGCGAATTTATCTGCCTTTATGTACAGATTAAAAAGTACTAAGTTTGTCCTAAATTCTAAGATCTGAAAAATCAAGCAAATATCGGCTCTAGTGATCTCAACAGATGAACAAATGACAATGAATACTGAAGATTTTGAACTAGTTTTCCTAATAATTATTTGGTTTGTTTCTATTAGTTTTATGACAACCTTCTGTTGGCTTTGATTTCAGTATCTATAAAATAACATTGGAGAGAGAGCTATCTCAAAATTTTTATGACTTAAAGAATTTCTTTTTTTTTTTTTTTTTTTTGAGATGGAGTCTCGCTCTGTTGTCCAGGATGGCTGGAGTGCAGTGGTGCGATCTCGGCTAACTGCAAGCTCCGCCTCCCAGGTTCACGCCACTCTCCTGCCTCAGCCTCCCCAGCAGCTGAGACTACAGGCGCCCGCCACCATGCCCGGCTAATTTTTTTGTATTTTTAGTAGAGACGGGGTTTCACCATGTTAGCCAGAATGGTCTCGATCTCCTGACCTCGTGATCCACTCGCCTCGGCCTCCCAAAGTGCTAGGATTACAGGCGTAAGACACCACGCCCAGCCAGCGACTTAAAGAATTTCTTAAGTGCAAGATAAGCACATAGCTATCATTAATAGATAATCCTTCTTTGATTTACTCAGTTATTTATTTAGTGTCATCCTTGCTCCAGAGAGGATATAAGGTGGCTTACTTGAGGTACACCCAATATATAATCCTACTGGTTCCCAGAGGTGTTGCCACACTACATGCATAAGTCAACACACAAAATAGCACAAGCACCTATAAAACCTACAAAAAGGAAAGTAGCATGTTAAGTCCATGTTATTCCCGGTAAGAAAGTTCTGCTTAATGATACTAGAAAGGCCCCAAAAGTTTATATCATAAAATTTGCAAAAACTGCCCTAGCATTTAACATGTCTTCGTCATATTACCAGCAGAGAATTCCCCACAAAACTACCAGCCTTCCTGAACTCCAAAATAAGACATTAGTTTGGAACTGACTTAGAAGCAAAAATCTGAATTCTAGATTGCTATGTTTTCCTTGGATTTTACCCATTCTAGGATTAGTCAAGGGATTGAGATTGGGAAATCTTAAAGATCATAGTCCAAAGAATGTAGACACACAAAATAATAAAGCAAGTCAAAGCTAATTTCCAAAGATTACCATCCAATCAATCACACATTTCCTAAAAGTAGCAGTGGAGTTTTTAATTATTAAAGGTAAAAAGAGATTCATGTCTAAGTCCCAAAATTAATGGTTTACCCTCATTTGGTCCACAAGAGTTGTTTGCTATAACCAAGAGAGGACATTTTTAGTTCTATTGCTTAGGAGGGATTAACTTGTTAAAAAAAAAAAAAAAAAAACAAAGAAGAAGAAGTGAATATAAATATATAACTTCTGACTCTATCATAAACAAGGCAAATGTGTATCCCTAGAAAAATGAAGTGCTTAGCGCTTCTCAGCCAAAATTGCAATGCCATGTCCTTGGGTGCTATCTGAGTTGTAGAGCACCTTCACTCCAAAAAGATTACGGTGCCCACCCCTGCCACGTAACAAAGAATGCAAACAAAACATTTAAGTCACAAATCGTTTAAAGAAATACCATAAAGGCTACTTAAAAGCTCTATAAAATAACAAATGACAAAAAATTACTTAAATATTTTATAAAATAATATCAAATATTCCTTTCCAAAAATGCGTTGCCTTTGCTGCTTGTGCTTAAATACTAATTCCAACACAGAAACTCAAAGTAAGAACTAAAGGCCTATCTGTAGATGTCCATACTATAGTTTGAAGAGCTTTAGGGTCACCCTTCAGAAGTTCTAAGTCAGTAAGAAAGTAGTCTCAAAGTCAGACATTCAAGCCTGATGCTGGAGAAAAGCCAAGCCAGAGGAGGTGTTAAGTTTGTGGGTAGGCATATGCATCTGCACTTATAGGATGATCGGATGGGATTCCACCTTCAAGTCAACAGTGGGGAACAGATTTCAAAGAGCCTATATCTCCAAAAGGGCTTGAATTTTTGCCATCTCTTCCCAAGCTGTTGGGGAATAAACACAGGAATAGACGGTAGCAATTTCCATGGGTTGCACATCTCCCAGTGGAAAACTACCAGTGATAAGAAAGTGTTGGTATTCAAGGTGATCTTTTTCAAAAGCTTAGCTTGTATTTGGTATAACAATTCAAGCAGCAAAGTGATTTGATTGTTTCATTGCTTGTGGTGGTAGACTGAATTTTCTCATACATGGATCGTGCCTTCTCAAGACACAAAATCTCAATTTTGGAGATTTCATATTTTGGCCAAGGCAAGAATACAGAGATAAAAAGAGCTTCCTAAAGATAAATTATGTCCTAAAATACCAAATATGCTTATACTTAAAAAAGAAGCTTTTAATAGAAAGTATAATTTACTCCAGTTGACTACAAAACAAAAACCTTAATAAGTTCTAGTTGTTCACATTTAAAATTAGAAAACATTTTATATTCTAGGTTTAATTTATTTCGAAGTATTACAAAACAAACTCTTAAGCTCATAAAAAATTCTTTAATAATCTCTATCATTAAGTCCAAAATAGAATTCCTTAATAAGCCTTATGGTTGAGTTCATAGTATTATAATACACAAGGCATATTAAAGTCAATATTTTACATTCTGGATAATTAAATAAAATTCTAATTATATTCCATTTAAGTTGGGTATAATGTGTATTTTATATTACATTCTGGCTCTAAAAAAATAGAATCAACGTACGATTTACATATATACAATTTTCAACTAATCATAAAATGTATTTATCTGTAGCATCCCAGTTTCAGGACACAGTCTCAAAAAGGTTTGAGTTCCAAGGAAAATTTAAAAGGGAAAAAAATTAGAGGTGTTCTACCTTGGTTGTTTTTGTTTGCCATGTTATATGCAAACAGAGAAATAAAGAGATGCTACATCGAATGCAGCAAAAATGAAATTTTAACCAAGCTTCTTGACAAATATTGAAAAATTGAATGATGTTACATAACTATTCAAGGATTATTTATTCAGCTCAAGTAGAGAACAGTTTTAGGTGAGTATAATTCCTTCTGTACATGTTCAGAAATGAACTTCAAACAATAACTGCTTTATTAGTTTCAAATCAAGCTTTCATTCAAATGCAGAAAACATATCCGTTGTTTAGTCCGACTTATAATAGCTATCAACTCTTTTTCTACCAAAGGTTCCCCTCTTCTCCCACCTCATTCTTTGTAAGATGAGTAAGGAGACTTTTAAAAAATGTTTGGATAAAATTCATTTTGTCTATCATGCAACACAGGGAAAATATCAGTTAATTAAAAAGAAAAAAATCTTTGTAAAGTTAAAAGACCCTATAAGTTAATGAAATATTCTGAACTTCTGAAAATTTTTGACAAAATTTATTATATTCTAAGTAGCCTTTTTGGAAAGATAACTAAAATAATATCAATCCTCCATTCACACACAACAAAATAAAATAAATTTAACTGGGAATTACATTTTAAATTATTCTGTTTTTAATGTTTTGCTCTCAATGTACAGTAATATTTAAATGATTTATGAAGAAAATGAAAAATCAACTTAGCATACATTTTTAAACCTGTGTTTAATTAGAACTTTTTATCTTTGAAGTGTATACTACTTTTGTCAACAATATGATTTTGTACAATACAGAATTAATAAATATTTGGAAAAAGATAATTTTTCTGAAATAAAAAAACATAGGACTCAGAAAAATATAGTCTGTTTTGATTTTGCATTTTTACTTGTATATCTACTTGCTGTATCTTTCTAAAATCATTTTAAGACAAAATTGGTCTGATAAACTTTCTTGCAATTTTGGTGTTCTTCTGGTATTTCAGCCTCATATTAGCTAAGCACGACTTCAAGGAAGATCAAACGATGGAGGACCTAAAAACTAAGTCTACCTGAGGAAACTTTTCCTATTACTTCATATAAACTTTCTGGTTTATTTTCAACGAAAGGACAGATGAGATTGTTTGGGGAGGTGGGGGGCATGTGTAGCTGGTTCGGGGTTTTTGTGTTTGGTTTTGTTTTTGTTAGTTTATTCTTAGAGCACTCTTTTACTAAAGTCACCAATATAATTCACATTCTTTTAATAATGAAAAACTGCTTGTGCTAGTTTTATCTCATGAGAAAAAACACTGTTCCTAAATCAAAAGCAAAATGTTGTATGTTCAGAGCTATATGAAGACAGCCAAGTTATAAAAGCCCATTTTCAGATCTGGAACAACTTCTGAAAACAAAGAGGGTATTTGGGATACCTTATGCTAAAGAAAAAAAAAATCCTGCTTTCATTATTTCCTGATTCTGGAGATCCAATAAAAACTTTATGGAATAAAAAGTCTTGCAAAAATCCTTCAGTGAAAACACAACCAACCACTCCCACCCCCAACCCCCTTCTAAAGTAATGAGAGTTGATAAACTATAATTGCAGTATGGAAATTTTTACATTTTCTTATGAGTTTTAAAAGAAAGATTAAAAGGTTCATTGGCTTTTCAAACAGCAATTATTTTAGCACCTAAAAGATACACAACTAAAATATATGCGTATTTATTTTCAAAGAAACACCAACAAAAATTAAAACATTGGTGATTAGGTAAATACTGATGACGCCAATATAAAAGTATTTGCCACTGCAAAGGGCCTAAGCACAATCACATCTTGTCCCGATCATACCTGCCTGCCAGAACAAAATAGGCAGCTGACCAATTATGGGGTGTTTATCTATACAGTGGTACCTTTGTTCTCCAACAATGTCAGATTGCAAATGTCCTGGAACACATATTTACCTGGAGGATTCTTGGCAGGATCATTGTGGCTTGGACTTCCTGATTGTCCAGAATCTGTAAAGAAATCACAGAAAATGTTTTCTTTTTAATTTGTTTTGAAAGAATTTCACAATCCTCAAAGGACTCGAAAAAAAAATTTGAAGGTATAAAAATGAAGTTGAGTGCTTAAATAAAATACACTTTCCCAAGACTTTTGATAGAAACATTTTACTCATCAAACTACATGAATGCATATACATATTTCTATGTCAAAAGAAAAACACAAGTATTGATCTATAATTTTCTTGGGCTAGAGCAAGGTTTTTTTGAAACAAAAGATCTGGCTACAAAGCCATTGAAGATGGTTTGAAGGTTAGGCAAATATTGAGGCCTGTCAGTAGCAATATGAAATAAAGCAGATATATTCTCTTAAAAATGCAATCTAAGTGTAATTAAACGTGCATTTAAAAGCCTGAAAGTATGTTTTTATTCAATGAGTAAAATACACAGAAATGAGAGTCCGCTTTTCCATGATTTCACACACAAGTACACATACCCACTCCAATAATCTCCCAACCTACTGGATCCAGGCCCAGATTTATCTACATCCCATAATAGCAATCGATTTGCAAACAGCAAGGAAAGCATAAATTACTAGGTAGAAACCAACATGGCTTTGTGGAGAGCAAATGGTTGAATCAATTTAATTTCCATCCATGACAGATGGACAGACTTTGCAGGTAAGGAGGAAGAGATCAATGTCGTATATCTGAATTTCCTACCCCATACTATTCCTCATTGATGCTACAGAAAGAAACGTGGAAGACATACAACTGTTAGGCAACATGCCCTTTCGGACTGATCTGACACTGTTGTGTTTTGCTCACTCCTCTTCCCTCCTTGTACCCTCTCCATTTATCTGTGTCATTTGCCCCATATTATTATACACTTACTTGCGAGTTGCTTTGTAATCTTCTTTTATTGGTTCTAGCATTTAAGTTTTGTCGCCCCAACTAAATTGCATACTCCTAAGCAGAGGCAGAGATTCTGTCTACTTCTTTTGTGTCCTCCTCAGTGTGCTGTTCATGGCTGTGAATGCACTAGGCTTGCAGTAAACGCCGGAGGAATGGATGGCTCAGCTCCAGCAGCCTCTTTGCTTGCCTAGAAAAGGCAATTTTGAACTTGATAATGAATTTCAACAAAATTTGATAGGTGGGGCACAAATGACGGCTCTGTCATGTACTGCCATATACTGACAAGTCTCTTCCCCCAAACCTTGCCATTATACTTGAGCCAAGAAAGTGATTTGGTTAAGCAGGAAAATCATATGCTGGTTTTTTTCATCGGGGTTATTCTGTCCTTCCAGGTAAGTGATTAACATACTGAAATTGCTGCTTCTACTATTAAATGCAAGAACATCCTGTTAGTTTCTTCTCATATAAAACCTGGTTATTTATTTCTGCCCTTTGCCTCATGCCTGTTAGCTTAGATTTAATGCTGAAATCAGAATTTTACCCCTTCATCCCATTTCCTTAATTGTCTTTTTGGTTTTATTCTAGAACAGATTTCATGAGATCTTGGCAGGCATATTTAGTGATTCCCACATTTTCCTCCAATTGTTTCCTGATTTTTCAAAATGAAAGTAAAGAAACTAGAAATGACCATTCTTCATCTGGCTCGAGTCTCCTGAAGACAGTCAGAGAGCTGAGAACTCTCTGAAAATCTCTCTCATCTCCCATGAAGTCCTCTTATTACTTTTTCTGAAATCAAGGCAAGATTCAGTGACTTATAAATTAGGAGATCAATCTTCTTCGTTCTACATTCCTTTAAAAAACTGGTACAATATGGGCCACTTTCCAGGCCTGGAGTATGATAGCTACATAAAAATGATAAATCATAACTTTTTGCTATAGCATCAGCTATTTTTACCTTGAGTTCCTCTGACAAATGTCTCTCAGCATTGATATTACATTCCAGTTTAATTTCTCAAGCGATTCTAACATTTTTTAGGAATTCCTACTTATGTATAATACACCCACTGACCAGAGCCTCCCTATGTTTTACTTTCCCTCCAAAGCTATCTCACTCTTATGAAGGTCTAGACATGCACCCCTCAAGGTGGCTAATGCCAAGCTTGTGATGACACCTGAGATAGTTAAAGTTGTCAATTGTTGCAGCAGTCGCCTTATTTCAGGAGTTGTAGACTCTGCATGAGCCTTAGCATGTTTAGTTACAGCAACTTCAAAATGGTGCCGCAAAACTCTTTTCCATCATCTGTTGCTAAAATTTGGGTCCAGCAGAGAAAAGAATGAAAAGTCTCTTCCATTCGTAAGAAACTATCCAGCTAGAACAATGGCATCCCCTGTTACCACAACATCCCACTTGGGAAACTCTATTCTTTTCTGCTATAAATTACTTTTTCTTCTCATTTCCAACAACTGCAGACCAACTTCTTCGATTGAAAAAATATACTTACTAAAAAAACCACAAGCATTTGAGGGAAAGCTGAAGTAGACCCTAAATTTGAGGCACACATTGGCTTTTTGTAACAATTCCACTTTCTAAAATGATCTGGTGTTTACTGGCACACAATGACAGACTCCTTCATATGCCAAAGCCCATACCTTCTCATGAAATAAAGCAGTGTATACTGTGTCTCAGAAACATAGGAGAGGGCCCTCTCAGTGAGCAAATGATAGAGCATTTACTTTTCAGACTGTAAATTCTAACACTATAATCTACTCTTAACTCTTATGTCACCTTATATCGGTCACTTAATTCCAACTGCTGGAAAAGGAAGTAACCAGGGAGTCGTGGTTGGCAGAGAAACCAAAAATGAACTGTTATTGTGGTTGACTTCAGAGAAGGAATTATTCAGACCACATCTAAACCCCTTCCAATTCACCACCTAGGTCAAATTACTCTATACCCAAAGGTTTTATTTAACCACTTCCATCACTTTGCTCAACACCCCCCACCTCTCTCTCTCTCTCTCTCTCTCTCTGTGTGTGTGTGTGTGTGTGTGTGTGTGTGTGTGTGTGTGTGTGTGTGTGTATTTAATATGTTACAGTGAAGCCTGGCTCTGTCCCTCACTAGTGACATGATCTTGTACAAAATTACTTACTCTTAAGAGTCTTGGTGTCTGGATCTTGAAAACTGCAATAATATTATCTACCTTGTAAAATCATTGCAAGATTCTATCACATTAAGCACCAAAAGCATTGGGTCAGACACAGTCTACATTATCAGTAAATAAAAGATATTAATATTAAGCATAGAGCCACATTTAAAATGATTAATATATTTAATGGTTTAAACATATTAAAATGAAAAAATTAATCATTTTTAATGTGGCTCTATGCTTAATAACAACTAACTTTTAGGAAGAAAGGGAGAAAAGGGACATAACTAAGTTCTGTCCATCCCAACACACGCATCTGAAAATGACTGGTGGGATGACTAAGCATGGAGAAGTGTGTGCCTACCTGAGAAATCCTGTGTAAATGCTTTCACCCCTCATTCCCCAAAAGGGAGGAGTCCACTGCTCTTCAAGGCTCTTAGCAGCTGTCATGCTCAAAAGGCAGTAGATACCAGCCAGTTGATGAAAATTACCTTCCAGAAGGCTGAAGTCTTTGAGGAACAAGGCTGCTAAGAGTTGTGAGCTGCCCAGCATACTGGGTCTGGTGTCTGGGAAAAAAAATTTTTTTTTTTTTTTTGAGACAGAGTCTTGCTCTGTCACCCAGGCTAGAGTGCAGTAGCACTATCACAGCTCACTGAAGCCTCCACCTCCTGGGTTCAAGCCATTCTTGTGCTTCAGCCTCCCGAGTAGCTAGGACTACAGGCGCACACCACCACACCCAGCTAGTTTTTGTATTTTTTGGTAGAGACGGGGTTTCACCATGTTGGTCAGGCTGGTCTTGAACTCCTGGCCTGAAGCGATCCGCCTACCTCGGCCTCCCAAAGTGCTGGGATTACAGGTGTGAGCCACCACACCCAGTTTAGTGTCTGGAAAGATTTTGATGCAGTAGAGAAAAAGAGAGGAGTTTTTGGAGGCAGCCAACCAAAACCAGTCCTCCCTCATTCTCTTCCACCTCTCATTTTATCTTCCTCGATCTCAATCTCTATTTTCCCCATTCTTTAAGTGTGGGTTTCATGTTCCCCATTCTTTAAGTGTGGGTTAAACATATGTTTATTCTTCTAAAAAAAAAGTAATGAAGTTATTTCTAAATTACTATATTTTAAACTCAATCAGTTCCTTCTTCTCCAGGTTAAAGATTCTCCAGGAACAAGAAAAGGTTCACATTCATGCACGACCCTTACCAACTTTTCAATCCTTTCGTCCACTCCTTTTTTAAAAGCGGTCAATCTCTCGTGGCTCTTCTAATATCTAAGCTTACCTAAGGAGTGAGCAGTTTTTCCTATGACCCAATTTTATGGAAGATCCTAGGACACATAAGTGATCAAACGGCTTGTCCAAAGTTGCATAGCAACTATTAAAACTTATGTTCTCTATATGGACAGCCTATTCAGACACAATACTTCTTGAATCGTTATGATGCAATCCTAAAATAATGCGAAGCTAAATGATTTTTCAGTAGTTTAAATGTTTCTGGGAAACTTACCTTCCCCTAACCTCCCTCACCCTTCCCACCATTCACCAATACATTCAAAATCTTTTTCAGAATCTTTTTTTAAACCTTTAGCTATTTTCTATATCTAAGTTGGAAGCAATTATTAGTATCACTGAACTCTATATACTAATTGACGTTTTAAAGAGAGGCCAATTCTATAAATCAAATTTGTCTCCATTAAGCAAAGGAAATTCTAATGTTTTATGGACAATCTGGTGGAAGCTCTGTAAGATGTGTGTTAAATATATATGACAATAAATAAGTAATAGCCTGTAAAGTATTTCTTACTGAGCACTAACTTTCTGGAGTAGATACACTGCAACTATCTGAGGTAGATAAATCATCAAAACTGTCAAATTTTTTTTGTAGGTCATTAATGTAAACATCATTTAAATGTAAATCAATTAAGATTTATGCTCACGCCTGTAAATCCCAGCACTTTTGGAGGCTGAGGCAGGCAGATTACTTGAGGCCAGGAGTTTGAGACCAGCCTGGCCAACGTGGTGAAACCCCGTCTCTACCAAAAAATACAAAAAAGTAGCCAGGTGCGGTGGCACACACCTGTAATCCCAGCTACTTGAGAGGCTGAGACATGAGAATCACTTGGACCTGGGAGGTGGAGGTTGCAGTGAGCCAAGATCGGCTCATGTATTCCAAACACCTGGTAATGTTTGGAACACAGTAGGTGCTCTGTAATGCTTATTAAATTTATATTTAATTTACAATAATGACCTTTAAATATTGTTTTAAAAAAAGTATACTCTATGCCATGTAGAAGCTCAGAGGCTGCCTGAAGAGACAGAAATATACAAATAAAAAAATACATAAATCAAGAGGGGACAGATGATTCTTCCTAGGAAAGGTGGGCAAGGGCATATCATAAAAGATATCAAAAGAAGGTGACCTTAGGAACAATGCCGTGAAAAAACGACCTGATTTCCCACCTTTCTAAGACATATTTCACTCTTTTACCAAGAAGATCTTTATAAGACCCAAAACTGATTAAGCTAAACATCTGCTAAAACCTTTACATATATTCTGAAAATAGTATGCCATTCATGGCACCTTGATCTGGTCCCCATCAGCACCTGGGTCATACTTTAGCCTTTGGACTCCTTGTGTGTCTCCTGCATTTGATGTCTCCAAGTCTGTGCATAATGTTCCCCCTTTTTTCTCCCTGAAGTCCCCCAGGGTGAGGTCATCCCCTTTACATCCTCAACAATATGACACGAAGTCTATTATTGCCCTATTTAGCCTTATAGCCCTAATCTTTGGGATAGGGCCTGGCACATTTGGTTAAGTCAAATGAACAGAAAACCATCAGTCTATAAACTATAAAAGTGCACAAGAAAGAAAGACAAAGCATACCGCTCTGTGTAAAATCATACAGTAGAAGTCAAACAGATAAATTTCTTGTGGCAAGCCAGGGAAACAGACACACAATTCCCAGGGCTAAGTCTCTCAGTCTAATGTAAGGCTCAATCCTACTTCCCAACTTCCTGAAGAAATATTTGGAAACAAGATAGGGTGGATAAGACATACTATTTTGAGTTAGAAATTATTTTTTGTCCATCTCCTATAAAGAGAAGAAATGTTTGTTGAAGGTCCATGTCCCTACTTTGCAAGCACTGAGGCAAGAAAGTTTTAATGACCTTTATAGATAAACTTTCTACTCCTAGATGAAACTTCTTTTAGGAACTCTTTTTATTCTCTGACACCATGGCTTGAGGATCAACAGAAAAAGACAACTGGAAAAGCATAATTTTAATTTATAATGAGTTTGGTGCAAAGAAGGAGCTGTACAAGGTGAGTTTTCAGGTCCCCTGTGGCTCTAAAATTCTATGATTCCATAACAATATAGCTTTTATATCAAGGGATATCAGAGGAGTAAATGAAACCCACAATGTAACCTGTTAACCTACAGATAGCCTCTTGCTAGAACTAAACTTAGTCATCCTGTGATAAAGGGCCCTTTTGTCATAGTTCTTTGCCTTAAGCAGGTGAAGAAATAGCCCATTGTCAATGAAAGAATACCATGAGATTTTTTTTAAGGCTCAGAACAGTCTCTTTCTTTCTCTCTAAAACATTATTAATTGATAATATAATAAAACAGTATATTTTTACAATTAAATATATAGCATGCCAGAAACAAGACGTAACAGGTAAGAAACAAAAGCTTGACGGAAGGAATACAAATGCATGTATTTTATAGTAGGGAAATAAAAAGGTAAAACAAAAACATCTATATTATTAAGGGTAATGGAGAGCAAACTATTCTCCTTGGGCCAAACCTTCTTCTCTCTTCCCCTCTCTCTGCCCAAAGTTTTCTACCTCACTCTTTGCAGTTTACTGTCTCCCATGACTGATTCCTTGGGATTTACAGAACACTAGCTTTCCATAATCAAGTTTCCTATTACATAATTTGGCTTTTTTTTTTCCAGCACAGTTAAAACACCAGGCAGCTTCAGTTTTAATGGAAGGTTGCTTCATTGCTTTGGGTGACACAAAATTATAGTTCTACATTATTTTATTTTCTCTCTATTAGATGTGTATTAAAATAAGACAACGAAAGAACATGGGAAAACTGAGTGTTTTCCTTGCCTCTCATAAGCATGTAAATGTTTGGGAAATGGTTTCTCTCTCTCTCTCCCTCCTTCATTCTTCGCTCCTGTGTGTGTGTGTGTGTGTGTATGTGTGTGTGTGTGTGTGTGTGTGTGTGTGTGTGTGTGTGTGTGTGCCTGTGTCTCCCTTTATCTCCTGTCTCTCTCTGCTTCTGTCTCTCTGTCTCTTTTCAATAGGGCATTAAATTATTTGGAGTCCACTTCACTGCAAAACTTAACTTAACAAGCTGTTCATGAAAAGTTTTAACTTTATCACTTTGTTAATGGAATCCCTGATCTTGTTTGTTGTTTGTTTGTTTGTTTTTTTAGTGAATCCGTACTCCTCCTAAACCCAGTTCTGAGCAATAAGAGAAATTAGACCTCTCTGAATATTTTGGCAGAACCAATATAATATTTGGGAGATGCAGTTTCCTGCATATTTTAAACTATTTACTATTTCAAGTATGAAGACCTATATCTTCAGATCCCTCTTTCTGTTGTTTAACATTGATTTTAAAATATACGTTTGATTTAGCAAAACGCATAGTTTAAAAAGATGTTGCTACACTTAAGATCTTCATGATAAAGTAATTTCATTAACCAAAGAAAACTACAGAACAAGAGAGTAGATATACGATATATCCTGTTTCATTCCTGAACATCCCAGTTGTTTTATCATTAAGCTTTCTTTTAAAGAGCCACTTTTTTGCTTAACAAGGAGATTAGGTACAAAGAGTCATATCCCAAGGATTAAAATAAGGATTTGTTAGCGCTCAAGACTGAAATTTGTCCACAGGGAATTAACTGAAAAAATAGGCCACTGAAATTTAAGGTGGAAAAAAAATCATATTATCAAAAATCATATATCAAAAAAAATCAAAGCAAATCATTCTACCACAGGGGACTACTAATGAATCCCCTGCAAATATGAAACCCTGCACAAAAAGTGTTAAACCTGCCAACATCTCTGACCAGAGGGCTGTGGTACTTCATTAAGTAGTACCAACCCACCCCCCACAACAATGGGAAGCTAGGATAATCATATCTGACCTTTCTGCCCTAACCTAAGATTAAGTTCAATGACTTCCTACTGATCTAGGGATTGAGTGAACCAAAGGTCATAATCAGGATCACCTACAGTTCTTGCTTTTGAAGGCTTTAACCTACAGAATGCAAAAACACCGTACTGGTCATTGTCAAGATTGCTGACTTTCTACAGTGTGTTTTCAATTAAGTAAATAAAATGTGGTAATTAAATCAAGATTGCATAATATGTTTTTGATTTGTAATCTTATTTAAATTAATTAACTGACTCAATCCTTGCTTAGTTTTTAAACTGGTCGAGTTAGGGAAAGAGTCCCTGGGAGCAAATCCAGTTTTCTATCTTTAAAAACAAGGCAAAGCAATCTGGCATACTTAAAAATATACATTAAATGCACCAGCATAATATAAATACAGAGGCAAGGGTGCTAATGTAGAGGAGGGAAGAGTTTTATGGCACGATTTTGACTAAAAGAAATAGCTCTCGCACTAGAGAGAAATAAACTAAAACATTATTTATTCAAAACATTTCTTTTCGAATTTTATGAAGATTGCATATTTGTTGGAAGCAAAACATTTCCAGCTGTATTTTAAGTTTCTGAAGAGGGTTGTAAGATTTATAATCTTTCATAAATGCTGCCCATATCTTATAATATTAGATGAACACGCCACTGCGTACTTTGAGGAACAATTTGCCAACGCAGTTTGCCACATGAAAATAATAAAGTCCTTTCCAAAACCCAGCCAGATCCAGTAGGAAAAGATGAGATGAATGTTCTTTCTTTTCCATCTGGGAGACATTTTGGATTTCAGCTATACTATGTAATATACATTTTTTCCCCTTGGAAACCAAGAAACCTGCATTTTACAACAAGGTATGTAGTGCAAAGAAAATGCTGGTGAAATAAGAATCTGAAAATGAAAACCAGAATGTCATCAGACTCAAGAACATAATCATGAAGGCAAATCGAAAAATCAATGCAGAATTTCAACATAAAACAAATGCAATGTTTATGATCCTATTAGTCTTAAATTTTTCTCTTAAAAGGAAAGCATAGAAAAATAAGTGCTGTTTTACCTCCAAAGTCCTGAACAGCATTTATGTTACTACCTAGCACCATGACTTACATATCTGGTTTATCCTGGAGTCTTCACGCATTATTCTAAATCCCACACATACAACACTCCTGTGTACA
Source organism: Homo sapiens (assembly GCF_000001405.40). Taxonomy (NCBI): domain Eukaryota; kingdom Metazoa; phylum Chordata; class Mammalia; order Primates; family Hominidae; genus Homo; species Homo sapiens. The sequence goes on from NC_000009.12 coordinate 14,189,174, forward strand.
CATGGCCCCTCTGTGCTATGTCACTTCATGTATTTTCCCAACACTTAATATATCTAGGTTAAAATCAGACATAAGACTTTCTAATATTTCATTGGCAATCTTTCTTCTCAGGGAGCAGGACATGTTCTCTCCAAACTGCCTGGAGAGTCAGGACTCTGGGCTCTATCCGGCAACTGCCAAGCACTAGCACGCTGACTCTAAGCAAACCATTTCACGCACGAATCAGTTTTCATCTTGCCCAGTGGCAACTAGTTAATGAAAGGTAAGAGTTTAGTCTTAGTTGTTTTCAAAGGAATTAGAAATACTAGGAAAAAAATAATTTCACACAACAGTGAAATATGCACAAGTATTTTTGTGGAAAAAGGCTATGAGATATATATATTTAATGTTCTTTAAGGTTTAATTAGTACTCCTCCTCCCCCTCCTAAAAAAAAAAAAATCCCCACCTACTTGGTTGCACTGCCCCTTGCAAACGCTGACAACACAGGTAATTGAAGGGCTGGGTTAGAGTGCAACTCTTCTGCTACATTTTAAAACCCATGGGGTCAAGAAACATGTTAGTCTTATTCACTGCCCTAGCATATTCCTGGCACATACTAGATGCTCAATCAGTATGTGTTGAATGACTAACCACTGTTTTACAGAGAACAAGATGATGACTGGTAGCAGTTAAAACAGTTCATCTTCCTTAAATTACAAACAAACTGCCAGTAATACCAATCATAACTTTCAGTTTTTGATTATTATCTACACATATTCTAATTTTTAAGTTTCTACAACCTCTCTACAAATACAAATGTAGTGATTGACTCAATGACCAAAAAGTCATATTCTTATTTTTTCATTGCTCATTTTTTCATAGGCATATGTTCCTAAAAAATTTTTTAAATTGGATACAGATTTCTCTATCATGTTAGCTAAAAAGATACTTTGCCAAATCATTAAAATGTTTATGTTTATATCCTTATGTGAGCTTAGAGAGAAGAAACTGGATGGGTTTTTTATATCTTATGTTACTTACATGTGATTAATAACCAGTCCTTGTTTTATTATTAAATTATGGCTCTTAAGTCTGTGATACTATATTCATATAAAAATAAATGTATACATTTAAACTCAAGATGCATAGCAATTAACTGGATAACAGAGTAAGATGATGCATAGCCTACTTTCTACAAAGGTAAAGTAGATTTGTACGTGGGGTATTCATTACTGCTTCTGTTCATAAAATAACTTTATCAAAATATTAGAGGAAAAAAATCAGATAAGTCATCTGATGAACAGGAAGCTTGCTGATGTGGCAGATAATAGTATTAAATGTCCTAACAGTTCCTTGATAAGTGGTTCAAAGAACTTCTGTCCCCATGTTTTCAAGGCAAAAGTTAATATACCAGGAATAAAACTACTTGAATAATGCATCATTGAACCAACATTTTTGAAAAGGGATAAAATGAGGAAACAAATGAGGAGACAGTAATTTCCTCTTGCAAATTAAAACTGTGCAGGCAAAGAAAGGAACTCAATTATACTGATAAAATAAAAACAAAAAAATAGCTGACATGATTTTCCTTTTTGTAAAAAGAGAAGGTCAAGAATATTCTAATAAGTGAAATAATGGGTTTGAAAGAACTTTGAAAAGTTTACAAGCTCACAGAGACATGAAGATGGGGCATTTTATGGGGCAATATTCTTTCAAACAGTCACTTAAAGAGAACAGTTTAAAATACAGATAATCCTGGCCAGGCACGGTGGCATATGCCTTTAATCCCAACACTATGGGAGGCTGAGGTGGGTGGATAACCTGAGGTCAGGAGTTCAAGACCAGCCTGGCCAACATAATGAAATTCCATCTCTACTAAAAATACAATAATTAGCTGGGCGTAGTGGTGGGTGCCTGTAGTCCCAGCTACTTGGGAGGCTGAAGTGGGAGGATCACCTGAGGTCAGGAGTTCGAGACCAGCCTGGCCAACATGGTGAAACTCCACCTCTACTAAAAATACAATAATTAGCTGGGCATAGCGGTGGGTGCCTATAGTCCCAACTACTCGAGAGGCTAAGGTGGGAGGATCATCTGAGCCCTGGAGGTTGAGGCTGCAGTGAGCTGAGATTACATCACTGCACTCCAGCCTCGGTGACAGAGTGAGCCCCTATCTTGAAAAAAATAAACAAAAATAAAAAAAATACAGATAATTCTAACCAAGAATAATAAAGAATAACAGAAGCCCACCATGAAATCTACTACTCATCACTATGGTTATTTGGGAAATGGGAAAATAAATGATGACGGGCATGTTCACTTGCTATATCCATTTTAAAAAAGGGAACTGAGAGTATACTGGTGCAGAGCTATGTACCAGGTGCTCAAAATTCCTCCCATTTTGTCTTGTTACTCATTTTATCTTTAATAGAGATTCAAATCAATTCCTTATGATTCAAAAATGCCTAAGCCAAATCCAAAGAGTATGAAAAAATCAAGGTTCTGCATAATGTCCCATCCATATGCCTTAACCCTGAATGATATCAAACCTATGTAATCTTAGACATCAATGCCTTCCAGATGTGACAAAATTTTAACACAGACCAACTTCAAGCTTTTTACTGCAGACTCATCTCCCATGCTCATAAAGATTATTTTCATTGCACGTACCATTACATATGGCTAATGTTTAATTTTCCAAATTGATTATTATGCTGCCATTTCAAAACTGACATTGCCTTCCAATCCAATCAAAAAACAAACTATGCTGCATACTCAACCTCCAACAAACACATACACAAAAACAAGAAATCACATCATTATTTCCAAGTTCTAGATAGTGCTTGGTTACAAGACCAGTTGAACTTTTCCTTGTCCACTCTTGGTACCTCCAAAAGATGGAAAAGGGGAAGGAGGGATCATCCAATTCTTTGTCAGAGTTAATTGCCATAGGAATAATTTGAGCCTGTCACCTGTTGTTTTTGGTCTTAAAGATTGCTTCTAATCAGACAAGATCAAATTCTTCTTGACATTTAAAGCATGTTAAAATTCTAAAATTAACTAACAAGATTGTTCATGGATATTTTGCAAAACCATCTAACAGCAAGGCCATGACAGAAATGTATAAACTAAATTTTCAGATAGGATTTAAAAAATTAGTAACTCAACACCAGTAAGAAAAACTGGTGTGATAAAGCTTTGGATGATATTATGCAAACTTAATTCCCCTGCCCCAAACAATTGCTTTGAATCTTACCTAAATCTCATCCCTCCACCCACCCCCAAAATTAGAATTGCCCTGTAACGGTAACTTGTCCTCAGATCCATCCTGAACTCTGTTTCTGCAAACCACCTTTCCCAGCTCCATTAACTATTGACTTCAGGCTAGGTCCAACCAACAGGAGGCAATGGTAGGAGTTTGGGAATTTGGAGGGTGGGAAGAAAGGAGAAGGAGAGGTATTCCTTCCCTCCTCTGCTTTGACATTTGTCTCCAAACAGTGGTGAGTTTTCCTCTTGTGATTCTTGCTTCCACTGAACAAGTTCCTCCCTCTGTGATGCCCTCCCTTCAGGCAGCTCCAGCTCAATTTGTGTAGTAGATTCCTACTGATGCTAATGACTGGGTGACCTCACTGCCCATTCAGCTTTTCATCTATTCTAACATTACTGTAACTGGCCTTGCCCATGAAATTCCTCCTATTGGACTATCTGGTAGTTTATTTTACTCAAATCTGACAGATACATTTGTTTTTTTGAATTTGGCATATCTGTCACTCTAAAATACGTGTCAGGTAATAGAATTAAGCAGTATTAGACAAATATAATAACTTTTTTAAAAACCAATAGATTTCACGTGTTTGTTATGATTCTCATCTTTTAAAAAAAAGATGAGAAAGCACTGCCACCATTCAGTACTAAGTACAAAATTCTGTATCCCAAAGTTTTTTGTAATGCATACTGATACATAAAAATAATCAAGTTTTTAAAAAAGGCAACTAGATGCTCAATGCCATGTTCTAAATATATCTCTTCCAGGAGGTCTTCTGATAATCCTACCCATCCATCCAAGTTTACTTCTTCTTTTTATCATCTCCTAGTCTCTCTAACCAATTTTTAACAAGTTTTTTCTTGTGCATGTGTTTTTCCTTCACACATGACTGTATGCTCCTTGACTGGAACAATTATAAGTTTGATTATTTTTGTAAAATATGATACATTTACTTATATTTCATGCCACAAACAACTTCGAAATGCTTATCAATTGTCGGAATAACTAACAGTCTCATGGGGATAATCAAAAGGTTTTCTTAAATATGCACCACTATACATCAACGTAAGAATAATCCCTAACAGGAAAGAGAAATGACTTCAACATTACTCTGTTTCCTTTAGGAAATGGTTCATAAGTCCCCACTGGACATGAGGCATTTTACATAAGAAAAATTACAAAATAAGACAAAAGTATTTTTCCCATCAGAATAGTAACACTCTATAGTGTTTTGCTAAAACACTCTACGAACAGGAGAAAACAAAAATATTTATGTTCATACGCACAGGGATATATATGAACTCACAGTACCAAAACTTTAGAATCACATATGCAAACAGTACCAATATACTTAATGTTTTAAACTGTGCTAGATAACAGCCCGGCTAGAGGCAAGTGACATAACGGAAAAACATACAGCATCAATTCACATGTTGCCAACTTTTTTTGGATAGAACTAACAGGATGACACTGGTGATGGATGTGCACACTTAGCTGCCAGCATTGCACCCTATGCAATGTCCCTCTACATCCTCTCTCTCAATCATTTTGAACCCCCACCCCCAAGATTTATTTTATGTCTCTTTTTAAAACATTATTTTCCTAGTTGGTGACAGTCACCACCAAACATCATACAGAGATCATTTCAACTGAAAATACATGTTTATTATTTTTTAAGCCTGTGCCTGAAATGTATTTTAGTCAATCTATGCCACATAAGGCAAACTTCTAATGCACATTTATGAATTTAATTCAATAAATATTTACTGAAAAAAGAAAATGGGTTGGAGTCTAAATAGACATAAAGTGGCCATGAAGTAAGTCTAGCAATAACTTTCACTTTTTATGTTTTCCCACCACCCTTTACTTTCCCCAATGAGAAACTTATAGTGTGACAGGTAAGCTAAGAGACAATCTCCATAAATATGACAGCAGACATATTGCACAGACACTAAAAACCATAGGAATAATGCTGAGACCACAAGACAGAAATAGCCCTTGACTTTTTCTCGTAATGGCAGGTAGAATGGGTGGGACAGGGAGCCTAAAGCCAGATAGGAAAACGAATCCAACTTTTAACCAAATTTTTTATTACACACATACTATTTGAAACTTAAACTTTCATTCTAAGTTACAGTCAAAAAAGAAAAAAGACAATAAGAAGAAATAAAAATTATCCCAGTTCTTCCAATGTACTGTATATGTATATGCTATGATTTAAGAATTATGCCATAGGAATAGATAATTCAATTAAAGCCAAGATAAAACAAATGAGATACATTATACTAAGCAGATAGCAAATTATGATATAATTTGGCTGAGAAATAGGTTGAAACAGGCACTATCTTAGAAATGGGATGACAGCAAAGAACTAAGCTCCACCTTCAATGTATTTGAAGGTCTGTTTGGAGCCAATTTACACAAAATATCCACTTACCAATTTCACAGAAGATAGAACAAAATAACACTGAGATAACGTATTAGGAAATTATTTTTTAATATTGGAGGTGCACTCTACCACCTCAATCCAGCACACATTCTCTCTCTCTCTCTCTTTCACAAAAGAGAAAGAGATCCCGTAAGCTTCTCCACAATGTTCTATACCTGACCCTGGAAGGAAATCCTATTCTTCTAGGCTTGCTTAAGCCAATAAGGTCCCCAGAGAATGCTAACTGGGGTGGTTATGTGCCCAAGAATTGAACTGAAACCATTAATTTACTTCATAGGACCAATCAACTGGCAAAAGAAGTTAAAAAAAAACAAAAAACAAAAAACTTTTGGTAGAACTGACCTACAGAGAATTTAAACCGCCAGAGATGGCAAGGTTTGATGTTACAGCTTCCTTCATCCATCTGCAAAGCTCTGTCACTACCTAATAAATGCACAATGCTTCTCTCTCCTGTGGTGCTTTTAGGAAATAATGCTTGTCATTTTCCATCTTATTGACAAAATATTGTATTTTTTAGAAAACTCCATATCTAAGGAATACTTTAATGAAATAAAGATGGGTTAAAACATCAAGCTAATTTTGTGAGCACACGAAACAGAGAAATAATCTCAAAGAAAATGATAAATTCTAATTTTTATTTGAAAGTATAAAGCACATATGAGACGACTTTTATTGTGTTGCCACTTCATTCTTGTTTATTTAGGTTTCTTTATTCACTGTCGATATAAATGACTGCAGTGAAGCCAGGATTGCAGACCAAATCTGAATTTGGAAGTTTGGCTACAGCAATCTGGATCCCAAAGCCAAAGCTTCCTCCTCACATTAGACTCCCATTCAAAGCTATCACTGTGTTTTCAAAGTGACAACACTGTTCAACTTTCTTTTCACAGAGCAGGAATCTTTTATGGCATTAAGGGTATGTATGTCACACCATGAAAAACACAATGACATTGCAAACATAGACAAAGGAATCTAGTAAGGGCATTGGGAGGAAAAAGGGGGTGGGGTATTTAAGAAAATGTTTTTTAAACTTTTTTTTTTGCAAAAGAAAATGCATAATAATAAAATAATAACTGAAAGTTCCCTATTAATATCATCCAGCAATTATTAAAAATAGAATAAATTAGCTGATATGATCCAATCACCTGGTAGGGAACAGCATGTGTCTCCTTAGTCCATTGGCAGTGCTAATGGTGCTCCTAAATGAAGGATTTTTTTTTTCTATGTTCACGCTGGTTGAACTTAATTTTCCGTTCACCTGTTTACCTGGATTAGTTTTCAGCTTAACATTCATTAAGCATCAAGACATAACAAGAGGTGCAGTGATGATGAGATAAAAGTCTCAAGGCCATTACTCCTCCCATGAGGCACTCAGGGAGGATCTATAAGTGAAAGATAGCTTCACTCGCTTGGGTTAAAGTGAAAAAATATGAACCCACTCTAGAACTTTGAAAATCAAAGAGAGCTTTAAAAAGCCGTGTGTTTATGTTTTGCCTAATTTTTCACTTTTTCTCATTAGAAGGCAAGGTCTGACTAAATGTGGGTTATTTCTGATATCTCAGCTTCTAGTTTGCGGAAGGGGGTTCCTGTTTAAGGGAGGGAATGCTGCCACCCCCTACTCTCCCCAGCAGCAGCACACTGGACACCTGAGAAGCCAAAAGCGCTACACCAAAATATACCACCTTTAATCACAAATCAAACAACAGTAATTAGGAGCATCAAGTTAATTGTGTCTACTCCCCACAGAATGTGTCCTCCAAGGCTCCTTGAAATCAGGTTGAAAGATTAGTAGTAATTTTACTCCCAATTCTCTTATTCTAACTTAAAAAAAAAAAAAAAAACAGAGCCTAAGTTCATCACTCCTACCCTCAGAACTATGGAGTCTACAAGTAAAACCTTAAAAAGAAAAATCAGACTACTTAATTAAGTGTTTTCTTAGGCCGTTTATGTAATCAGAGTAACTTTGATCTTTGGCTTCTTAATCTGTTCAAAATTTGTTGTCAAATCGTATGGAATTCCTTTAAATCCAGAATTATAAATGTTATTTTCCATTTGTCTTTTATTAATGATTAAGACAACTTGGCAGTTTGAATCCAATCAATCAAGAATGTGCAAAATCCATTTCATATACATTGGTACAATTAGATACTGACAATAAGGCTCTTTCTTACCTTCCATTTGTACTAAATATGATAAAGATAGCAAGAATACCTTAGCTATTTTCGAGGCATTTTCATCTACATTACTTTGCAATCCCGAAATAGGTTGTGCTTTATTCTGACCCTTTACAATTACCAGAAAGGAATGCAGAGCTTGACAACTTGCAGAGTAATAGAAAAACCTTGATTTTTCATTGCATTTCCCCTTCTGACTTTCTTAGGATCTGAGGGACGACCCTTAACCTTTCTCAGTCTCACTCTCCTGTCTCAAACAAGCTATAATAAAACTTTATTCCAGTCCACTGGGGTATTAGAACAATGAATCTGATAGGATGTCCCTAACACACTGTACTGTGATCTCTATAGGGAAAGTTGCTATAAAAATAAAGACACTGTTGTTATTCTTCCAATTGAGTTATTTGCAAATGGATCTTCTTGATGGAGCCCAGCCCTCCGATATAGAAAAGAAAATTCTATCAGTCCTCTAGGGTACAATTGCCTTGTGGCAATTATACCCATAACCACATTTCCTTATTACTATTTATAAAAGACTGTGGAGTTCAAGGGGAGGCAAAAAGGGAGCTTAAGAAAAAATATGCTGTTTATTTTCAACAGAAGATGCTGAAGTTGCAAATTTGGAACTCAAGGCTATAGGTAAACTTTGACAGAACATGTGTTCCAAATTAGTGTGGTGTTTCTTAGCTGTGTCAGAAAGTCAGAGGTGTCCCTGAGGCTGCAGCGCTTTAGCAAATTTTGGAAATAACTTGGGGAAAAAAAAGGTAAATTACACAGTTAATCTGGTCCTCACTCTACGAATGCTACAAAACAATGACGAAAAGGTTCACGGCTAGACCATTCTCACCAAGAAAGACAGCATATCTCGAGGTACAAAAGGCACAAAAGAAAATTAAACTGAGCTTAGGAAGAAAGTGCTATGGACAATTTTACATGAAAAGCCAAAAGGGAATGTTGGGGCTACGTTGAACTTTCCTGGAGTCTACAGACAGAATACACGTTGCCCCCTATATTCATTACCAACAGCCATAAGAATTAGTAGGTGGCTCAGGTTTAGGCACTTTAAGAATTCCATATTCCTCAAATGGAATTTTTTCAAAGTAAATAATAAAAGCTTTGCTTTATGAAGTATTAGAGAAATGGGGTTTCCCTTCCATAACAGAAATCACTAGGCCCATCACACTGCACGTCTCCAAGGAGCATGATTCACAGTGTGGGCTACGGGGAGGGAGCCTTCTAAAGTCGTTTCGGATGTTCACTATGGCATTCTACGTGTCATTAAAAAAGCCTTATAAATCATCCTAAAATTTAGAGTTTAAACCTGGAACAATTACTTGGATAAAGTTTCTTATGTTAACAGGTTTTTAAAAGTTCAATTTTCAGAAAAGTGTTTGTTGTCAGTGGAGATCTGCATATAATCTAGATTCCAATTAAACACAGAGCTCCAAAAAGACCAATTAAAGGAGAAGTAGAACAGCTTGCCGTATCATGACAATAAATGCTACTTGCCTTATTGTCATTTCACAATCAGTGACATTCAGTCCACAAATTCTAGTGAGCATCAGATTCACCTGAGATGCTTGTTAGAAATTCAGATTCCTCGACCTCACCCGCAATGACTGGGACTCGTACAGCAATGCTGGGGCCAAGAAAGCGCTCTCAACAAGCACCCCAGGTAACTCCCGCACATTGTTCTCAGCCAGTGTACAAGGGACTTGGCTGCTGATGCTTGCTCACAGACACCAAACTGGAAAGCAAAAGGCAGTATGTGACTATAGAGTCCTGAAAACACAAACAAACAAAAATGCAGTCCTTAAGCCAAAACCAATCTCCACTTTTCTCCCTCTCCCTGCCATGTGATGCACCAGCTTTGGCCAAAAATCACATGTGTACAGTGAATCCTAAAAAGCAACTAAATCCAAATCCACACTGAACCATTCTGAACTCTATCACACTTCACAGAGCTTTAAATAGAATTCTACTCAAAACATCACACCCTGACTGGCCAAGGGATTCTTTGGGTTCTGTTGCTTTATCCAAGTGATCCAAAGTGACCCAGGTTCCATTCTGCAAGTTCGCTTCTACAGCTTTTTCCAAGTCGAACACAGAAGGATTAAAAAGAAAACACAAATATTGGCATAGGTGACTTGAGGTTACTTGACCTTTCTGAAGGAAGATTTTTTGGCAATTGTGTTCTGGCAGCTCCCTGGAAGGCAAGGCCAGGACACAAAGAGGAAGACAGGAAGCCGGGAGCTGGCCATGTGTCCTTGGCAGGCAGTAGTGCGGCAGGGTGAACCACCTCATCCCTGCCAAACCAGAAACAGTGGGGAAAGCCCAGCTAATTGGCAACTCACAGCCGGCTACAGTGTACATCCTCGGCTTTAGATGCCTGATAAAGTTAAATGGCCTGCCAGACCCTAATCTACTTAAACAGGATCCTCCTTTACTTTCAAAAACTTAACTCACCCATTTGTGTTTCCTTAAGGAAGTGGTAAGGCAGCATCTTAGAATGTTAAGAGCTGGAAAAATTAAAAACAAAACAGCAAAAAAAGTAAAGATGTGTTGGAGTCTCATTATGCTTATAGCCGTTTTACTTTGTGAAAGGGCCATGTATGTTTGTGCTTTTGGTTTTAGCTAATAAGACTTCCACTTGGTCATTTATTTTTATTTAAAAGAAATTCTCAAGTCAACATTGCAGACTGATTATGACTTCAGTTCATTGGAGGATCCAGGATCCATTTTTTTTTTAATTTCACAAAACTCCTGAAGATATCCAAGGAGACTGCAGAGTTGCACCCAGTTTCCACTCAGCTATTGTTTTTACTTACACATTAGTTGGCTCAATCATATTTGCTAAGGTATTTCTGTATGTACTAGCATAAAATCACCACTTTCTGAGTCTTTTACAGCTAAAATAGGGAATCACGCAGGGAGAACAGGAGCAGAAGGGATTGTCCAAATAAACTGTTCCTTACTGCTGCTGCTAACAGAGTGAATCCAGGGACCTGGAGCCTGGAGCATAATTTTGCCCCTAGGTCTGAAGGCCTGGTAAGAGCAATTTAAAGGGGTGTGCTCAGTAGTTGGGCATATTTCCTTCTATTTTCTGTGAAACTGTTCATGCCTTCTTCAAAACTCAAAGCAAAATTTCAAATTAGCTTCTCCTCCTTAAAATATAGTAGTCAATGGTGAAATTTGATGAAGAAAATGCAAATTTCCTCTCAGAACTGGTAGAAGAGAAAGATTACAATAAACATAATCCACTGTTTTCATCAGAAGTTTCTTAAAGTCTACAGAATATTCATCCTTTAAGCAACCCAGGACCCCAGAATCTGTTTCAGTGAAGTTAGACCAAGGAATAAAACACAATACCAAAACTCACATACTCTCTGATCACGATGTGAGATAAGAAAATAATAATCCTCATGCCCAACACTAGCTCTCAGGATCGGTAAGTCTAAGTATGTGTTTCAGCTCCAAAATTACTATTTTTTTTAAAACACGACTTGACTTTCCCAGACTCTACTTAGTTGACTTTTCACACTAAGTATCCCTAGCTTTTGGAAATTCTCCTTCCCTTTTCCTTTAGGGCACCACTCCTTTCTTAGGTCCAATCCTCTATTTCTGAGGGCTGCTTTCCTGTCTTGATGGCTATCTCCTTCTCTTCTGTTGGTCCCTTATATGTTGGTGATCCCAAAGACGATCCATCCAACTTGGCCATCTTCTTGTCTTTGTACATTCCCCCTCAGCAAACTCAGCTAGGTCCATGTTTACAAATACTACCCGTTTTTTGAGAACTCTGTATCTCCATATCTAGCCCTAACCTCTTCTTTAACTGCAAAACTCCTCCTGATGTTGCTAGTGCACAACCTTTGTACACTCTTGCCTCCCCGCAACCAATCCATATCTCAATTAATGGCATTCACAGCCATTCAGTTTCCCAAGCTGAAAATGCTCATTCCAGAAACCCCAACTCCCCAAAGCTTCACATTCAGTTGTCAGCCCAGACTCTATCTTCCTTTCAAGCCTATTTCCCCATCTCCATCCCAACTGGTGCTAAGTCCCTTATTGAGCTTCACATTTTTACCTCACAATAGCCTCAGCCTCCTCAGGCCATTATGATTCACTCTTCACACTATAACCAGACTCCATCCTCTGCATAGCCACCAGGAATCACAACACTTCACTCCTTAAAACACCTTGGTGGCTTCCAATTGCTAGCTAGGATAATCTACAACCTCCTTAGTACAGCATTCAAGGTGCTCCATAACCTGGCCCCAGCCTAGCCTCACTCTCACAGAAACCATCACCCTTTACCCTCCCCCTCACACCCACACCCAACTTCCTAATATTCTTCTTAACAGTCCTAGAATATGCCGTGCAACTGCAGGTCTGTGCCCTTGCTCATAAGGTTTCTATGCCTGGAATATCCCTTATTTGATGCAAGACAAACGCCTAATTCATCTTTAAAAGCTCTTGAATTTCGTCTGTTACAACCTTCCTGAACCTTATTGCCCCATCTAATGAGACCACCCTCTGGGGCCCACATGGTCTTGCTCACACTTTAGTGCAGGGCCCGACCAGTGCATTATAGTTGGTTGTTTATACATTACTTCTCTCCAAGATTGTGACCTCCTGTATCCCAACTTACCCTGAATAATTTTGGGAATCTATTTAAATGGCATACAAATTTATCTTGGATGTACTATCCATGAAGAAACTGAGACAAAGAGCATTAATTCCCAAAAGAAAGACAAAGTAACCTTAAAAAAAAAAAGTCATAATGAGCTATCAATTTATACAGGTAATTAACATTCAATATTCTGATTGTGACATATACAGATGATATTTATCCATTCGTTTATTTTTTTGAAAAGGACTGAACACCTACAGTGGTCCATGTATCATCCTTGGAACTCAGTCTACAACAGTCAATAAAAGATGATTTGTTCTTGTCTTCATGGAGCTTATGGTTTCATTTGCACAATGTTGACTTTCATTCACTTGCTAGCAGGTAAAATGTGCTCTCTATACAATTTACAAATAAGCAGAATCTGTAATCATTATATTTTGAAGATAAAATTGATACTTTTCACACACACACACACACACACACACACACACACACAAAGATTTAGCAGTGGGACAAACTTTTTCATTTAATTTTTGTTTATAGCAACTAAAACATGAGAGACTAAAAGCCACAGACTGCAAAAGCATTGTTTAGCTGTGATAAGCAGAATGTGTAAAGGTGGTATGATGGCACAACAGCTATTGCAGCATGAAATAATGAGACTATAAAATAATGAGACCACAGTTTTAAAATTCTCCGACTTCCATTATCTTTCAGAATAGATGAAAGGGGTCTACTGACTAGTTCGGGAGCTGAAGAGTCAAATACTATTTTAGGATGAAAATTACTTTGTGGTCACATCCCATTATAGAATATTGATGGAGCCACACTACATGAAAGTCTCAAAAGGAGTACTGAGAGAAAACATCGTTAAGAATTGGTTTTCTGCTACTCAAACCCATCCTCAAGAAAAAACAAAAGCTAATTTAAAAAAATCATCACCAAAGCAAAGTTTCTAAATGGAATGACATAAAAATATCGGTTCTACGTTTCTTGTCTTTTAGAAAAACGACCCATATGTGTAGTATTTTATATGGTTTTCTCTAACGTATCTGAGAAATGGGTAAGCAAATCTATGCAAAGAGATATCATGGATTGTGATGTCATATTTCTTATGAAAAAAATCACCTTCACAATGTCAATTAATACCAAATTTAGCTTTACAACTCCATGAACTCTACCATTTTTTAGGTTAGCTGAAAACGATCTATTGACTAGCTTTGTGAGCTGAACAGTTGAATGCTACTTACATAGAAAATTATTTCTTTCACTCCATAAGAATAATTATCATGGCGATCACACAATTATTACAATTACATCTGTAAGAACTGTTACTGGGAATTTATCTCTGAAACAGTCTCATGCCTTGCAGGGGACATTTATCTTTTTGAATGATCATCAACACGAGTGTCTTTTTGTAGCTATATAAGTGATTTTTACCTCCTTCTATTAATATCCTCTTGCATGCTTTAGAAGCCAAAGGAGACAGCCCCCACATTTTTTTTTTCCTAAAGCAATTGTTTCAGTTAAGCCAGGCCCATGGCATCTTTTGAGACAGAAAGCTACCCTTTCCATTCACGGCAACATAACATTCACAATGTGCTTTCCTAAATGGATGGAAAACCCCTCAAAAAAGCCCCTCAAATCTGTGTTTCATAAACTGTACTCTTAGCAATAAAGTTTATTACAGACCTAAAGTATCTGCATAAACCCGGTTAATTGAAAAGTGGGTGGAGAAGGCTGCCAAATTAAATGTTTACATTAGCACAGCTGTATTGTAAAAACATTCTGCCCCCTGTGCTTTGTAATTATAAGATATTTCTGGACTGTGTATCTCTACAAAGTTTATCTCCACTGCCAAGAGTGTCTTGGCACGGAGCGACTGCAGTTTTTGGCAGCCAGGAGCTCTCCGCGCGGGCAGGATCTAAAATGGCTGCCAAGCGGCCTCCTGAAATGTCGCCGGCCTGGGCCCGCCTCACCAAGGGCAAAGGCCAACCCTGCTACCAAGGCAGGGTCTAAAGTCTGTCTCACAGGAAGTCAAAATGTGTATTTCCCTCATAAATAAGACTTGGTACCACAACTTTTGTGTTGCAGTAGTTAAAGCTGCTTGAAAAACTAACTACAAAGGAATATTGGAATACTACCAGATAGAAAATGGTGACAAGGGGTCTTTTACGAAATTCTGCTGACCTCAACATTTCAATCACACATAATGCCCGCAATATTTTCTGCTGATTAAAGAAACTCATTTAATTTGTGGGGAAAAAAAAATGTTAAAAAAAACCTCAACAAATTCTGACCATATTAAAACATACTACAGAGAAGCATAAGCAAAGCCAACACTTTCCCATTTGCAATGGCATGATTTTGACATAAACTTATAATCTCTATCAAAGCATACGTGTATGAAAAATGAAAACCAAAAAATTAATTTGTTTTCTTCTCATCCTTTAACAGGCTATGTTTGTCTTACAACATTAAAATAACATTAACAAAAGAAAACCTTTTCATACCTTTCTATGGCACAGGCCTCAAAATTTGAGGAATGATCTCTCTTTTCCCGCCGTCCACTGCCCAAGATGTGGAAAGGAAAGAAGGCCAAGGGGAAGAAGGTGGCTCCGGCCCCTGCTGTCTTGAAGAAGCAGGAGGCCAAGAAAGTGGTCAACCCCCTGTTTGAGAAAAGGCCTAAGAATTTTGGCATTAGACAGGACATCCAGCCCAAAAGAGACCTCGCCCGCTTTGTGAAATGGCCCCGCTATAGCAGGTTGCAGCGGCAGAGAGTCATCCTCTATAAGCGACTGAAAATGCCTCCTGCGATTAACCAGTTCACCCAGGACCTGGACCACCAAACAGCTACTCAGCTGCTTAAGCTGCCCCACAAGTACAGACCAGAGACAAAGCAAGAGAAGAAGCAGAGGCTGTTGGCCCGGGCGGAGAAGAAAGCGCCGGCAAAGGGGACCTCCCCACTAAGAACACCTGTCCTTCAAGCAGGAGTTAACACCATCACCACCTTGGTGTAGAATAAGAAAGCTCAGTTGGTGGTGATTGCATACAACATGGATCCCATCGAGCTGGTTGTGTTCCTGCCTGCCCTGTGTCGTAAAATGGGGGTCCCTTACTGCAATATCAAGGGGAAGACAAGACTGGGACATCTAATCCACAGGAAGACCTGCACCACTGCTGCCTTCATACAGGTTAACTCAGAAGACAAAGGGGCTTTGGTTAAGCTGGTGGTAGCTATCAGAACCAATTACAACGACAGAGCCAATGAGATCCGTCATCACTGGGGAGGCAATGTCCTGGGTCCCAAGCCTGTGGCTTACATTGCCAAGCTCAAAAGGCAAAAGCTAAAGAACTTGCCACCAAACTGGGTTAAATGTACACTGTTGAGTTTTCTGTACATAAAAATAATACAAATTTCCCTTCAAAAAACATCTGAGGAATTAACTATGTCTGTGGCATAAAACTGAAAAAAACCGAGATCAGATACATAGTCTCTGTGAGTGAGTTCCAAGGGCTGACCAAAGGAACAAAAATTGGAAGGAAGGGAGGGGAGGGGAGGGGGAAAAAAGAAGGGAGGAAGGAAGGGGGAGGGAAAGCAGGGTGGGAGGGAGGGAAAGAAGAAAGGAAGGGGAATGAAAACGTGGGAGGGAGGAAATGATGGAGACACTGCATGGAACTAAAAATACATACTGATTTGTTCATAGTAGGAATATAAAAAACACTTGAAGAATTAAAAATACTTCATAAGTACACCTTCATAAGTACGATATATACACAAGGTATATATTGTCTCTGTCCTTTTTTTCTCTGTTAAACTTAAA
This sequence comes from Homo sapiens, assembly GCF_000001405.40. Taxonomy (NCBI): domain Eukaryota; kingdom Metazoa; phylum Chordata; class Mammalia; order Primates; family Hominidae; genus Homo; species Homo sapiens. Next base: position 14,205,493 of record NC_000009.12, read on the forward strand.
TCCCAGCTAACAGGCTATGTTCACAGCAGCCAAATACTGCATAATGAGGTCAGTGGATTTTTCTTTGAGACTGTTCCGCAAGTTTAAGCTCAGGTTGAGAGACACATTAGGCCTGGTGTACTCCTGTAATCATCATTGGCAGTGATTACTGTTTGGTAATCTAAGCTTCAACTGAATCCAACATTCTTGCCTCTGCTGAAAGATAATTCAGAGGTGAAAGATGAATTCCATAATGCTGACACAAACTGGTGGTATTCATCATAGTGCTTATTCACTGAATGCCCATTCTAGCTTGAATTATATGTCCACACACTCAGCAGAGCCACACCAATATTGTTTACTTAATTTTTTTAAGTCTCCATTTTAGGAGAAGAAAATCTAATGTCTCTTTAATCGTATATTTTGAATAATGTCTATTCTCCAGTAGTCACCTGAAAAACACACACACACACACACACACACACTTTTCCTGGACCTTTTTACAGCAGAATAATTTCTCAGCATTATTAATTATGTTTCTGCGTAAAAGACATTTAGGGACTTTTATCCTTTGTTTAATTAGTTATCAAAATAATCAGTCACACAGCTATTTAATAATGGGCCACTCTTAACAGACAGGTGAAACAGAGTGGTTGTGTTCAAAAAATATTTCTAGTTCACTAGTAACTTACTAACTCTCTCTCTCTTTTTTTTTTTTTTCTTCTTTGAGATGGAATCTCACTCTGCCACTCAGGTGCAGTGGTATGATCTCGGCTCACTCGCAACCTCCGCCTCCCAAGGTTCAAACAATCCTCCCACCTCGGCCTCTTGAGTATCTAGGACCACAGATGCACCTGGCTAATTTTTTTGTATTTTTGGTAGAGACAGGGTTTCACCATGCTGCCCAGGCTGGTCTCAAACTCCTGAGCTCAAGCAATCTTCCTGCCTCGGCCTCGCAAACTGCTGGGATTACAGGTGTGAGCCAAGCACCTGGCCCTTACTAACACTCTTAAAACTTGAGCTAATTTCTTTCCTTTCATGAGATTTTATGGTCTGACACTGCTGACTTATTACCTTTTCTTCCTTGAGAGTTTCCAAATACTAAAACAACAATCTGCTCAACAAACAGAAGAATTCGATAAATGTTGATTGACCATCTAGTACCTGCAAAGAGACCCTATGCTATCATATACAGAGTTATGAGATTCAGACAACATGCTTTACAAAAAAAAAAAAAAAAAAAAAAAAAACCTAAGGGATGGTTTCAGATTTTGCCTGTGTCTTAGTTTCAGTCATGTTTGGTATATATTGCCAAGTAGCTATATTTTATATCCCCAACTAGAATACAAGTTTTTGGAGATCATGCTCTATGTCTTACTGACTGCACAAGACAGTGCAACGCATATAAAATTGTCACCTACAAATGAAAGGATTCCAGTGAGGCTAAATGGTGATTAGCTGTGTAAAACCCCACTATTCCATACATTGTATGTGCTTACAATGTTAGCTTATCCTCCTCTTAGCAGCAAATATCTTCTAGGTGAACAGTAATAAAATAATAGTAAGGCTAACAGTCATTGAGTATTTGTTTACATGTCCAATACTGTTCTCAATATTACGGTATCCATAGATTTCGTCCTTGCGATAACACTAAGGGATGCTATTATTATTCCCATTTTCAGATGAGAAAACTTGCCTAAGGCTATCCAACTAATAACTGAAAAAGCCAGGAATTAAACCCAAGCCAAACTGACCCCAGAATCCAAACTAAATTACTGTCTTCCCAAATTAGAGGTGTCACCACTGGACAGAAAAAGAGATACAGTCCAGGTAGAGGTTGCACCTCTGCAATTACAGGGCTCCTTAGTCAATTTTTTCTAATTTTTGACACATACCTTCCCAATTTTCCTGGCAAAAGCCTCCCTTGAGTGGAGGCCACTGACTGTGGGGAGTTTATGTTGTGGTTTGGTAATGTGTACAAACTGGGAGGAGGATGAGACCAGAAAACCCCTTTTGCCCATAGCATGCCACAAATTGAGGACTAAGTCAGTGCATGCTGCTGACAGGCAAAGGGCCAGCTCGGCATGAGCAGCTCCGTGCAGGGACTGCATGTGACACCAGACACCATTTTCAAAGCCACTACCTTCCTCCTTCCCCACAAACCTCTTCATCTCCCACCAAAGTCCTGAAGCTTCACCACAGGATCAAGTAATCCCCCTCTAAGCCACATCTCGTAAATGAGAGTCTAATTTCTCCCACGTGTCATTTTTCACATGAATGTTACTACGGTCTTGGCTGTACTTAACCAGAGTTCAAGGTCTGATGGTTTATCTACAGAGACAACATGACCACAGAGAAGAGCCCGTTTCCATTGCCACCTGAAAGACAGATCCACCAACACAATGTTCACCACTTTCTCACACAGGGCTAAATGAGACTCAAGGAAAGAGCCCAAGGTCAAACATTTCCTTGGTTGAATTTAGGTGGTGGGTTCCCATACAGAGCACAGCACCATCAGATTCACAAGGCCAAATGCCTCAGCATGATGACTTGAAAAGATGACAAGCTGCACACAATGTTCAAAATCTAAATTCAAAGGTCACTTCCCACTCCCTAAATAGTTTTATACCCCAAAAGTCATTTTAGAATCATCTTTCCACTTTTATTCCATATTTGTAATCTGATTTTAATGACCTCAGGGTAGGCCATTTTTTTAAACTCCAGACAGGTTCTAATTCATCTATACAACAAAGCAATACGTGGTGTTAAAAAAAAGACTAAGAGAGTAAATCGATACGTGTTCAGTGTAGTGGCAGTTTAGATTTTTTTTCTTTCAATTGGCAATCCTTCCGACATCAAGGTTAAATTGTACTAAAAAAGAAAAAAATTACACCTCATTCCAAATTTGCTAATTCAAGAAGAACTGAATTATTCTCACGTCTACTTGTGGCAAAACAAGAAATTACTTTATGTCTCAAATGTGAGTATGAATTACGACTAAATTCATAAAAACAGACGTGACTTAAGTTTTTATTTTACTACTTTGAAGTTGTAATGTGTTCATTTTCCTGGTATTTTTACTTAAAAGAGCTTTTTTTTTTTTTTCCTTAAGGACTCTTCACAAGTACTTTTGATAGAGTGGTATAAAATTATCCTATTCCAATGACCATAATATGAAAATCATTTTGCCAAAAAACATCCTGGAAGTTTCCCTCATTTTAGGTACTTGGGATTATTCTCATAAACTGAGGACCATTCAACAATGTTTTGAAGATATACAGTATTCTATTCAGAGGACAAAGCATATATTCAAAAAAATGCAAAAATATTCATCTTTTCTCAAACAACTCCAGTATTAAATTCATCTAGACCCACTGATTCACTCAGTCTTTTTTTTAAGTTTAGTTTCCAATATGATATTATTTCTGCCCTCATCTCTTCCTTGCAACACCCCACCCATAAGGGAAAAGAAGAAACAGTCAGAGATGAAAGAACAACAAAAATGTACACAAAAATGAAATGTTTTCTGATAAGTAGCATGTCAGAGTAAACAAGTTATTTTTTTCCACTATCACTTTCTTACATGATCTACAGCAAAATTATGTTGCCTCTGTCTTATGAATCATCAATACATCACAGCCCAGCCTTTTTCATATATAGTGGGAAAAATGCTGCAGATTATAACTACTGTTTCTGACATGGAGATATTTTTAATTCATTTTTATGACATGCTTATGTTCTTTTCATCACTGAATAATTGCTCGTTTCCAATACTAAGCTGGTATTTCTTTAAAGTTCACGTAATTGCACTACTGGTAACTTTAGGATTTGGAAGGAAAAGGATCACAATCGATAAGCAAATGCAATGACGGGCACTGACAAAGACTCAACATTTATTAGAAGGCAATTGCTAGAGAATGTGGCTTTAATTGTGCATACATATTTTTATTCATTAAGATGAATAACCAATAAAATCCCACACTATGGTGTCCCAGCCTCATAACACATTAATAAAGTTTCTTAAAGGTTTTGGCAGGGGGCCAGCACAGTCCATTAACTCTTTGCAAGTTGTAAAAAGAAGTAAAGTCATTTCAGTTTGTTTTGTGGTTATGAATGAAACAGCAGGCAGCCTGTATGGAAACGTCACTTTGGATATGGTATTGGTAATGGACGCTTTGCTGCGCAATCAGAACAGTGTGGGGAGAAGTTAATGCATCCTACCACAACCCAAGCCCAGACGCACTGAAAAGCTAATTTACTTAAAAGTGGAGGGAAAAGAGCAGAGGACTACAAGTTTGGAAGATCTATTTATTTTGCTAATAGGCTGTCACACTGCCTCTGGGTAAACTTGCCCACTGTGAAACCCAAAAGTACAGGATACATTTTAAATGACTAGAACTGCTTTTCCTGATTATTTTTTTTTTTCCTAAAAAAAACCTGGTTGCTTAGGCATTCACTTGGTGAGGGCTGGATCATAAATTACAAAAATGCTTTTTATTTAATACAAGAAGCAAAATTCTATCCTTTCTACGTTTTTGTTTTACATACTTGAATTAAGTCATATAAATAACTACAACAATTGGTAGCTATGTATTTGTCTCCGACTTTGCCTAACAATTTGAATTGAAGCGCTACACATCTCCCCAAAGCTTTACAATGCCATCTGTTCTCATTTTTCATGACACTACAAACATTTTCCTTTGGAAAAAGGATTCTGTATTTTGCTTCCTTTTTAGAATGAAAACTGGAAAACTTGAATGAAACTAAATATATAGAGAGGCATCCAAGTTGTACGTGTAAAGTAGTAAATGTAGAGGGTATTTAAAACATTTTTTGTGGTTAAGATCTCTACCCTTTTCATCTGTTCCACTCTAGAGATAAAAGTTCTTTTTTACTTTAAGATTTTTGCAAAAAATAATTCAAAACTTTAAAAATAACGAAAAATGAACTTAAAAAGTGATTAAAACCCTTGAGTTTGAGAACACCAAAAAAAACAGAATTGCTTTACAAATTGTTTTTGGCACTTCACTTACGAAGAAAATACGCTAAAATGTAAGTATACATACACACATGTGCACACTCACACAAACACACACCCACACCCCTCCATTAATCCCTAACCAAATATAAATAGCATCGTTAGTCAATTACTTCTGATGGTTAAAACCACAAATTGGTTACAATGATCTGTCACTTTATATGGCCAAATAATAAAACTTCAAGCAGAAGAGATGATTACTATAAGTACAATAGAAAACATCATTCACTGTTTTAATTTGTTTTGAATTTTTACTGGAAAAAAACAGAAAGAAAATTTTTAACTTTCAAATGTAAACATTCATCACTGAGTCCTAAAAAAACTTCCCATTTCAAATTTCATTTGTGTCAGTGCTAATATGTATCAAAATAGCCGCATCTCTTGTACACTGTGGATTTTCTGGGAAGTTACTCACCTTTGATTATAGGAAAGTAAAGGAAAGTCTAATTAATAGGTTGAAACCGTACTGAATTTCTGCTTCTCTGTATACATGATCATTTTTGTCTCTGTTTGGACTGAAAGCCAGATACTCAACAATCATTCCCTAAAAATTTAAAGTATTAATTACATACATGTATTTGTACAATGTTAAGTATCACTGCAACCTGGAAAAACTTGCGGTAAAATTAAAATTTTTCATTTCAAAACAACAGTGCTCTTAGCTTAATCCTCTACAATATTGTATTCAAAAATAGTTTTTCTGTGTGATTAACAGTAATATTACCTGGGCTATTTTTAAAATCTGGAATTAGAATTCAATTTTAAAAACTGCACTCAAAAAACATCCTGGATTCAGATATGAATGGACCTGGGAAGTTTCTTAAAAGAAATACATTTTATCCTAGATCGATAGTAAGAAACAGCAAGGAAATGCACAGAAACAGGATATAGGGAATACATAAATTGGGTCTACACTGGTTAAGAAACAAAGTTAAAAAAATAATTCTACTCACTTTAAAATGACACTGTGCTGAAAAATAATGAGAATAGATAAAAGCTTTGACCACTCCCATTGTCTACCTTAAAAAAATACTAGTATAGTTACTCAAGGCACGGAACTGGACAAACTGCAATTTGAATCCAGAAGACAGAATCCAGAGCCAGGGACAAAACAAGTCAAAGGAGTTGGTGACCAGGGCAATGGCCAGAAGTTTACCCGTTTATATCAGATTCTGTGCCATCCACCCTGCGGGGCCGTCTGAGCTGTGCTTCCCCAGCTGGTGGGCCCCTCCACGTCAGCCCTCTCGTAGACTCCAAAAGGAAATCAGAGTTGAACAGTATAGCATATTGTTATTAAAAGTGATTTGAGTTGTGACATGAATATTGTACTTTCAATAAAGGAGGTATACACTTTAGAAAGCTCTTCAGCCTCTAGAAAGAATAGACATTTAAAAGATTAAAGCGTTTAAAGAATGATCTCTCCACTGACCAGAATACCCACATCAAAATAATGTACCACTGGGTTTTATTGGTAGCTGCAATTTAGCCCATATGAAATGGAATATGGCCTTAGTGTTAATGCAAATACGTTGCCATTTATCATAAAATAAGTGTCATCTCTAAAGGTAACTGGACTTTCCTTAAAAATGAACCATTCTAACATGAAAGAGGCATAAATTAATAAATCCCTGAGAAAGCCTAGCCTACGGCTGTAAGGAACATCTAACTGCTTAACTGGGCAACCAAAAGACTCATACAAATAATTAGAATACTTATTTCCAATTGATGAAAGCAAAACTACTCCAATTCACATTAAGGTTGATGAGTCACATAAACCACTCACTGACTTAATTTTACTTAGAAATTGCTCATGCACTTTTGTTGCTTTCCTGGAAGGTTATACAAATGATTATATACTCATTTAATTATTAAACTGAATGATCTCCTTAAGGGCAACATTAAACATACTAAAGTACAGTACACCATGTCACAATGTGCTTAAGTATCCCTACTAAAAATAAAAATTAAAACAAGGTTAGAAAACAACTAACAACTAGGTTAAATTCAATCCAAAATATAGATTTGGGAATTTCTAATAAAATTGTCCATATTGTTTGAATGGGTTCACCACTGAGTAATAGTGTGAATAATTTAGGTAATCATCTCAAAAGGTTATAATTCCTCTGGGAAAAAAAAAAAACATGTTTAAAACTCTACACTTACAATATTTCACATAATATAATTAATAAATGTTTGCTAGATGATTGGATTTAAGTTATATGATAAAAAAATACTGCTCACACTTATAATGCTTTAAATGCTTTACAACTTACAAAACACTTTCACATAAGCCACCTTACGCTAACAACTGTGTTAGGTAGATATTACTATCCCCATTTCATAGATAAGGAAATTGAGGCTCACAGAGATTAAATGTTTTACCCAAGGTCATAGCCCTAGTAAATTCACTGCTTAGAGAATAATTAGCTTAAGTTAAGATAACAGCTACTTCCTGCTTCCCCATTCCAGTCTCAGAGACACACAAACACAATATGCATCACATATAAAATGTGATAAAATCAAAAATTATACATCAATCATGTTTATGCACTACATTATTTGCCTATTTCCATTCGTATTTTTGTAAGCGCTGTTTCTGAAAGGTAATATAGCATATAATTACACCTTTCTTTTTAAAATGCTATGATAATCTTCTCACTGCCTGGGAAGTTTCCATGGCAGAAAGACTGGGCACAGTCAGGTAACTGGTATTTCTTGATTACCATCCACCAGTAGGTTGATCTTTGGAAAGTTACTTATCTTTGGAAAGTTACCTATCCACCAGCAGGTTGATCTTTGGAAAGTTAACGCGGGCCCCCAGGTTCCTTGTTAGTCACATAAGGGATCTGTAATAAACACTTCCTAAGTCAGGTCCACCATCCATTCTCCACAGCAGTGGTTCTTAAGCTTTAACATGCACAAGAATCACCCAGAGAGCTTGTCCTAACAGAGTTTCTGGCCCATCCTCAGAGATCTGATTTAATAGGTCCAGATAGGGCCCATGAATCTGCATTTCCCAGAAGCTCACAGGTCAGACCAGTGCTGCTGGTCGTGGGACCAAACTTTGGGAACCACTGCTACACAGTAACATGGGAAACCGAAATACTTCAGAAAATGAAAGTCTGATGTAGCTTCTCTCCAGAAGCCTTCAGTGGTTTCCCCATAGCCCTTAGCATAAAGTCCAAAGTGCTAAATGAATAACAGTATGTGGACACCCAGGTCTCCACCCAGATGCATTGCTCAGGATCTCTTTCTGGGCCTTTCCTGATACCCCAAGCTGCTGGGCTGAGTTTTATGTCCCTCATCTGTGCTCTTAGGAAAATGTGTTCCCTGTGTCCTAAAACTGTAAGGAACTGTTATCACATGCTTCCTTGCCTCTGTTCTCAACATTCCAGAAGTGGTTTGTAAACATACCCCCAACTCCCACTGCTCCAAATTTAAGGGGGGAAGAGTCCCCTCATTTCACCTCACATCATTTTACTTAAGAATCGATGCCACCTTCGGGCTATGCATCAGGTCTCGTTTCCAATATTTCTAGCAGAGCCCTCCTCAACCCTTCTTTATTACTCCCCACTCTGCTCCCCAAATAGGCCACATCCTAGCCCCCCATTAATTCCCCTTCCTGAAGAAGCGACAGAGATAAGGAAAGCCCAAAGAGAGAACCTGCACTTCTCTGAGCACATCCCTGAATGAGGCACCAACTTCCCCTTCCCCACCAGCCTGCTCTTCTCCTCACAGGTCCTGAGCATGCTCAAGGATCTCAAAGCACACAGGGCCAGTGTCAGGAGCATGGACCCATGCAGTCACATAGAGCCCCACTTACGTGGTCCCCATGCTTGGCTTCATGCTCTTCTGTCACCATCTTGAAACTCTTAATTTTTGAACAAGAGGCCCACACATTAGGGAGCTGGTCCTGAAGGCAAATTATGGAACTGGATACATCTCAGCTCCTCAGCAAGCACACATTACCACATCCCATTTTCACCCACACTATCTCAGCAGCACAGCTCCCAGCAGCCTAACAGAAAAGTCACGCTTTCCTCTAAGAAACTGCCATACTTCCTTCCTTCAGAGTAAAACAAAATCATATTATGGATTGTATCATGCTTTTTACATAACTACCAGGAAACTTTTTAAACACATGATGCTAATTTAGCAGCCAACATTTTTGAACTTCATGGTCTATAAATTTGTACTGTTTCCCATATTTTCAGTCTCTGTTTCTATTTTCTTGGTCCTGACTCTCTTTTCCATTGGAAATTCATCATTTATTTTACTGAATATGAATATCCTGCTGAGAGCTGTTTATCCCACAGTCCAGTACACACAGGAAGGAGGCACACACAGTGCAGAGAGCCATCCTATACAATTGGAATTTAAAGAGATCTGACTTCATAAAGTACGTGTATACACATGCATACCTATGCTTCCATGCCCATTAAGAAAATGTGGAAACAAGAAATTTAGGCTTGGGAGCAACGGCCAAAGGAGAAACAAGGAGAAGGAAGAGATTTACTTTTCACTTTTACCTGTATATAGTATTTAATTATTTTCTGTAAGTATATTACTTATAATTTTTCAAAGTAAATAGCTCAGTAAAATGATCTTCTGTCAAGCTCAACAATTGGGTGCTTAGCAGAGCAAGAAATGGAAAAATAATGGCTAAAGCAGCTTTTACGTAATCTCCAAAGACATCAACTTTCACATCAGTTTCTCATAGACTGTCCAGCATATTGGAACCGAAGAAAAAGAGCAGGCATAAATACTCAGAACAATAAACTTGAAAAATGTAACCTCTGGTATACATTTAATGGTATTAAATGAAAAGCAGTGAAAATGAAAACCTTAAACATCTGCATATACTAAGACTATGTTAAGAAGAAACGATTATTAAAAGTTAACTAATAAATAAGTAAAAGTTTGAGTATTTGGGGGTGAAAAATTGTCAGAAAGCAAATGTGTAAAAAGATATATGGTCCTGAAAATCCTCGCTTATTCTAAATTTAAAATGCACCTTGATTCTATTGCAAAGAAAGTTGAAAGTATGTCATCAAAAAGTCATTTAAAAAAACTACTACTTAAAAAGTGATCAGATAATTTACAAAGATTATTCTCAAGAAGTCAGATAAAGATAAAGATGCCCCATTTGTTAACAGTACTTTTTGTTCTTCTGGATAATGTACTGAAAACCAGTCTAGCTTCCTATGGTATGCATAACTTCCTCTGTAATACTCCAATTGTATTACCAAAAGCAAACATTACTTTTGTTATCAAAGCAAATTTAATAAAGAATTTTCAACTATCTTGCCCACTCACTTGCTTTGTAATTCAGATAAATGACTCAACATCTCCAAGCTTCTTTCATCATCTTGTAAAAGGCAAATAGCAATCTCTCCCAAGCAGCACTGTACTGAGAATTAACTGAATTGCTTTATGTAAATTCTCAGCACGATACCTTGTTCATGGGGGGTGGGCAATAAATAGGAGGTATCATCATCATCACTCTTGGTAATGACGATAAAGCTGGTATATTTTCAATTCTATTGCATACAGTAGAATTTAAATTTAGTCAAAAATAATGTTCAATATTAAGAAATAACAGACTTCATCTTCATAACAAAAGATAGGTTGGCAATGGCTACCTTAGAAGCTACCTAATTGCCTGGTCACAATTTTTTCTTTGTGTACTTTCCTAAAATAAATTTAATGAATAACAAACTATATAAATAATTTTAACTGATAATCATGTGCAAAGAAATACAATTTGGCACTCAGGCTGAGCTTATCCCACTGGAAAGGTGTGCATTAACATGGTGGCATGTATTCGTTTTTCAAGTCACTTTACTGGCCACTATTAAGTCTCTGTGTGGATGAAGTAGAAACTAAAAAAGGTCTGGTTTGAGAAAGGCCGGAAGCAGGAGGCAAGTGGGCTCTGCCAAGGTGCATCTGTATCCACAGGTAAGAAGGAAGGTTCTCCATTCTTTCTCTCTCTCTCTCTCTCTCTCTCTCTCTCTCTCTCTCTCTCTCTCTCTCCCTCTGTGTGTGTGTGTGTGTGTGTGTGTGTGTGTGTGTGTGTGTGTGTAGCATTGACAAGGGGGTAAGCCCCTACAAAAGAGAGTGAACCTCAGAAGAGAGATGCTGGAGAGACGCTGTGTCCTCCAAAGGACTCATGTCACCACAGTCACCATACCCAGGTCAGGTCTACCTAACAGCCACTTCAATTCCATCTTTCTCATGTGACACTTAAGGCTATGCTGACTTTGCCAAAATTGCTTTCAGCCAAATTTTCTAAAAGAAAGGAAAATAAGCATACTTTTCTGATGAAAACTGTTGTCAGACAGGCCTGTAACTAAAGCCATTTCATACAGAATATCCTGGCCAATGTTTAGCACATGGTGCTTTACACTGAAAACTTTAAAAGCTAGAACAGCTATCCATATCCATCTTCTAAAATAATGTTGTAACAGCATTAGTAAATGGTGAATAATGTTTGAACAGTGTCTACTAGGAAGGACTTAATGAAATAAAGTGGAAGATATGTGAAATGACTAACATTTGAATTCATAAGGATGTTATGCCCCAAAACCTTATTTTTGGTATCAAGGTGGCCATTTTGATTAATTTCCTGATGATACTTAAGAAAGAATAACATTAATTTCTAAAGCTTCCAGATAATAACTTTTTCCCAGGTTACAGCTTTTATATATGTTATATGCAACTCACACTAATTCACACTTAACAGCAGATAGAATCTAAATTAGATCTTCTTATAAATTATTTCCAGAATGGGCAAGAGCAACCAAAAGATAAGATATACATTATCTAATTATTCAATAATGCTAGGAAATTCTTTTAAAATATACAAACTAGGCTGGGCGCGGTGGCTCACGTCTGTAATCCCAGCATTTTGGGAGGCCAAGGTGGGTGGATCACCTGAGGTCAAGAGTTCAAGACCAGCCTGACCAACATGGAGAAACCTTGTGTCTACTAAAAATACAAAATTGGCTGGGCGTGGTGGCGCATGCCTGTAATCCCAGCTACTTGGGAGGCTGAGGCAGGAGAATCACTTGAACCCAGGAAGTGGAGGTTGCGGTGAGCCGAGATTGCAACATTGCATGCCAGCCTGGGCAACAAGAGTGAAACTCCATCTCAAAAAAAAAAAAAAAAAAAAAGACACAAACTAAGCAAACTCTAAATTTATATTATTTTGGAAGACTCATCAAAAATCCTGCTCCAAACACTCATATTGCTAATTATCTCATTCAAGATATTACTTCACCATGTCAATATTGATTTATTATTTTATACTTTGTTTCTTTCCCCCAAAAGACATGAGAACACTTACAAAAAATACTCCTGCCACTGAGATAAAATAGATAGGTAAGTAAATCTGGGTTAAGTCAGAATGAAGGTAAGAAAGTAAATATATATGGGCAGTGGTAGAGCACAAAAATGTAAGCTTTTAGGTCCCTGATCCTTTGCCAGTAAAGCTGTACTTTCCATCCCAGGCTCAGTTTCTTCCGTGTTTGCTGGGAGTTCCTGTATTACTCTGTAGATTTCATCGAACTTTTAAGAAGGCAGTGGTTGCTTTGCCTAGCAAGGGAATAAGAATAATGAGCTGAGAGCTCCAAGGTGGTATTTGGAAGGCATACTTTTTCCCAGAGGAAAAATACTGAAGAAAAAGGCCAGTTGTACAGGAAATAGGGACAGACATTATCACCATATTGAAGCCAAATAGAAAATAAAATGATTTTTTTTAAGTTTAAAATTCTTTTGTTTCCATGATATACTCAAGAGTCTGACTCCAAATAACAACCTCAAAACCTTGTTTCTGTTTTCAGTGCCTTCCTGAACTAAGTGTTTTCCCTCAAGTAGCACCAATAAAACCCAGATTCCACCCACTGGCATTCTGTCTAAGCCAACACAGCTTTTATCAGGTGCTTGAAAAAGACTTTGCATACAGTAATGTGAGACGCTGAAGGTGCATGGCAAACAGCAATGCACTGCTGTAGAACTCCAAGTTGGGCTTCTAACCTCCTGAGAGACTGATGACTATAGATGTCACCCAATCAATGAACAAATGAATTTTCTTCAGTATTTAATAGTGTATTTTGGTATCTGGATTACTGGGAATTTTACCAAGGGCCAAAAGAGCCTATTGCTACCAACCAGATTTGGTTGGGGGTTTGGCATCTGAAATGTACTCTTTTCCCCAGGAGCTGAAATTGGAAGTGGACTTATTTAAATGCATTGGCCTTGATCACAGTGGATGCCTAGATTTCTATTAACTTTTAGCCTTGTTAAGTCCAGGTAATTTCAGTTATTGATGTACCCTCCTTTTAACTTCTCCATCATCAAAAGACATTTATTAAGTACCTATTTGTTTACCTTACTCTTCGAAGTACCACATGGAGAAACACTTCTTGCCCTCTAGGGAACTTAAAATCATTCCTCTCATGGTCTCCTTCTGGCTTTAACTAGATACCATTAAATAGTTGCCTCATTCTCCTGCTGCAAAAACATTTCTTCAGTGCTGGCTCTTCATTAAGGGGTGGCTAATGAAGCTCATGTAGATCACCCAATTTGGTAGAAACTCTGATGGCTTTAGCCCTTCATCTCTCCTAAATGCTGCACCTTATGAAGTTTGGCACAGCCTCTCACAACTCCCTATCTGCCATGTTTAAAGGAGTTTTGCATTTGTTTGTTTTTGATTCTACGTATTTAAAACTACCAGTATTTTCAACAAGAAGAGCAAATCTAAGATGCAGATAAATTACGTTACTTTGAATATTAACTATTATATAGATTGACAAATATTGCTATTTTATCTCCAGAGAAACTTTAATATAGAGTCATCTTGTAGCACTAGGGTAAAAAAAAAAAAAAAAAAAAAAAGTCTAAGTTGAAGAGATTTTTCCAAATACGATGTAATTTAGGGTTACAATGTCAAAACTGTAAACCTAAAATTAAACTACTAACTATTTTTGTTTGCAGGCTTCTTTTCTCAAAATTACAACCGCATTACATTTGTTGCAAAAGAACAGATTCAAGCCAGGATTTTGTTCATTCACATGTTATTCCTGCTTTACACGTATTTTATGGAGGAGTTACTTTTGCTGGCATTTTGTTTTGTTTTGTTTCTTTTACTAAATGGTGAGCAATGTTAGAGATAAATGTAACTGTCTACAAACACTCCAGAGCAAAATTTGGAAAGAAAGCTTGAGCAAATAATACTACATTTGATGGGATATAAGAAATTAAGAGTTCTTCAGATGACAAGAAAGTGGCATATTCTTTTTAACACAATGGAATTAAAGCTATGGTGAATAAAGCAATATATTAAGAATCCTCTGGAAAGCCAATATCTTGAATCATTACATCAGAATCTACACTGGGACTCTTATAACAAAGCTTCCATCCCTGGGAAAATGAAGAACTTCACTATGAGAGGATGGAACTACACCAAAAAAACTTTTCCAACTCCAGTCTTGGGAGCGCATCAAAGCAACAGGCCCTCGTCCCTGGTAAACTGTAATCTAGGCGTACTACACTTTCTGCATGTTGAGCCAAGGAATTTCCTCCTAGCAACAGGCTGTGGTCTGATGGGCTCGTCCACCTCCTTTCCAAGTGGAGAGAAAGCAAAATCAGGAACAATATCCCCTGAATTCTCTTCATCAAGGATTATCAGACACCTGTTTTAAATTTTAATCTCATTAGTTATTATTGATAACAAGGACAATGTAGATCCATTGCAAAGGCTTATACCACAAAGAAAACACAACTCTAATTAGTACACGCTTCATAAACAAGGCAAAGGTGCCTATCTGAAGCTATTTTAAAGCCCTTGTTGTGGTTCATAGGCTTAGAGAGAGATGCTTTGAATTCTGCTTCCATGTATTGTACTAGGGGAAAGACATGGCATTCTCCAAATATTATTGAGAGGCATCTTTACCACAAGGCAGGATAGTTCTGGGCATGGGGCTCCCTTTCGACCATACCTAGAGCACCAAGAAACCAGGAGCCCCGCCTGGGAGCCCCAGTTTCTTCTCTGCTATCTCTCTGGATGCTGGACTTGCAGTCTCCTCAACAGTGGATCACAGCCCATAGCTCTCACATCTTTTTATACCCACCAATCCCACACTCTCAACCTCGTAAACTTCACCTCCCCTTCACTTTCTCCTCTTCCTCCTGCCCTCTCCCTTATTTCCCATTCAGAAAACCCCCTTCATCAAGGTGTAACTTCCTCAGGAAGAACTGCAAAGAATCAGCCCAGTGCAGATGAGGTTCCACCACCCGAAGTTTCTGCTCTATATCCAGTGAAATCAATCTCCCTACACACACACACACACACACACACACACACACACACACACACACCACATCCCATCTTCTTCCTATTCCTCTCACCCCCTCCCAAGGAGAGTTTTCTGCTCTGAACTACGTTATATCCTACCTACTAGCCCATCTACTCCCTCACCCGAAAAGTCTGAACTCCTCTAAGGCCTCCATCAGCAGCAAGATACTAAACTCTGCATCCTGAGGTCAAGCCAAGCCAAATGTTGACATACCAGGAGTCTCTGCCCCTCCGACCCCAGCTTCTAGTTGATATTCCCACATTTCACTTGAAATTCAACATCCTCTCCCTTACAACCTGGCTACTTCCCCATATCGCAAAGTAAAAGCCTTCTCCAGCTTTAAAAGTTAACCGCTCTACCTAAATTCCAGATTCCAAAGTTTCCTATTCCTTGAATAATATTGCAAATAGTTACTAAGATGCCATACTGATTAAGTGGCAGGAACTATGCTAGACATGCATTATCTGACACAGAAATCATAAGAACTCTATAAGGTATAAATAGATTTGGTTGAATCACACAATATTTGTAATACGCAGCTAGATTTAAGCCATGAAATAATTATTTTGTATTTATATGTGCATTATTATTAGCTCCATTTTACAGTTAGAAAAACTGAGGCTCATGAGACAAAGTATGTTTCCCGAAGTCACACAGCTCAAGTATATAAGACCCCAAGGCTCACAGCCACATACCACACTGCCCCTCAAGCTTATCTGACTCCCCAATTTTGCACAGAGCTGGTCCTGTCTTCTGACCTTTACTTAAGTAATGCTCATGTCCTCTCCATAACTTATTTTAACAGCCAGGGTAAGACCCACATTCTCCCATGAAGCTGTCCTGACAAATTCCAAGCCAAGCTGGCCCCAGCCTCCCTTGGAATCCATAGTATAATTGAGCAAGCTGCCCTTCTTATGCCCTGTATGCCAGCTAATCATTCTTTACCAGTGAGTCATCTCTTCTCAAACTAAACTGCATAGTTGGCAAAGCTTAGAAACTCTGGTAACTATGTCATTTTCCCTTTCTGAACCACCATATCTCAATTATTAAATGAGGGTGTTAGAAAAAGGCTGCCCTGTTTAAGAGAAAGCATGAAGAGCCTGTCTGCTTAGCACTACCCTTCATTACCTTTCCCTCCGCAAAGCACAAAGGAAGCAAATCTTGGCTTAAATTAGAAGGTAGCAAGTTGTCCTCTTTTTGATCCTTGGATCCCCATTTCCAATGCACTGGTGCTCTCAGATCTTTTGATATTGCAAAGACTTCCTCCCTTGTCAACTGTTTCCAGTTCATCTTTCCAAAACACTTTCTACATCCCACTAATACTAACTTTCAAGAACACAGCTTGGAACATGTAACTTCCTTTTTCAAACACTGGCAGAAACTCCCCATTATCTACCATGGAAGGCAGAATTCTAAGATGGCCCCTAAGACTTCCTGCACCCTCATCTACAAGCCCTGCACCTACTGAGGAAATCCATTGCATCAGATGGCATTCAGGGTCCTTAAGGGTCATTTCCTGGATTCCAGGCTCAGGTTACCTGACACTAATTCATGCACCTCAAGCTCCAGGTAAACTGGTAATCTGAGCCTTTGCCCAAGCTAATTTCCAGGTAAATCTGTCCCTTTATTCATTAAGTTTAGAAATCTGCATTCCAGGACCAGGCACAGTGGTTCACACCTATAATCCCAGCACTTTGGGAGGCCAAAATGGGAGGCTCAGTTGAGCCTAGGAGTTCGAGACCAGCCTGGGCAACAAAGTGAGACCCCATTGCTACAAAAAATTAGCCAGGCATGGTGGCACACACCTATGGTCCCAGCCACTTGGGAGGCTGAGCTGGGAGGATGGCTTAAGCCCTGGGAACTCAAGGCTACAGTGAGCCATGATCACACCACTGCACTCCAGCCTGGGCAACAGAGTAAGATCCTGTCTCAAAAAAAAAAAAAAGAAAGAAAGAAAAGAAAAAGAAATCCGTATTCCTTGCAGACCAGCTCAAACACCCCTTCTTTCCTACTCTTTGGACTCAACATTAATCCATTTCTTCTTTCCACTGCTCCCTCAAGACATTACCTGGAATTCTATCTAGTGGCTTATGCAGCTAAATCAGGGGTGTCCAATCTTTTGGCTTCCCTGGGCCACACTAGAAGAAGAATTGTCTTGAGCCACACATACACTAACACTAACAATAGCTGATGAACTTAAAGAAAAGCAGAAAGAAAAATCTCATAACGTTTTAAGAGAGTTTATGAATTTCTGTTGAGCTGCATTCAAAGCGATCCTGGGTCACATGCAGCCTGCAGGCCATGGGTTGAACAAGCTTGAGCTAAATAAAAGCTCAGGGAGGGTAGTTGCTATGCTTAGATGATAGAGCAGGGACTTCCTGACAGAAATCTATAGCAGGGGCACACTTATGATTCCCGCAGGTCACTGAGCTGATCTACTCTGACCTTGTCCTCGCCTTACTGATAAGTGACTACTACGTAATACTCCAGTTCAGACTCATGATACTAATAACTTCTCCACTGCATTGCTTTTCTGAATTGCAATCTATTTGTAATAATTTTAGCAAGTCCAATTCTCACCCATTAGAAACAAATTTAAATAGAACAAAGCTTAAAAATTAGCATTCCAATTTTTTTTAGGGCATTTGTCTATAAAAATGTAGAAACCACTAATTATTTAATAATTACACTGACTCTTTTTATACCTCAAGTTCTCCTCTTGTGCAATTCAATAGGAGATCAATCAAAAGTTAAATTTTTTGAGAAATCATGTTTTCCCTCAATGTGTAAAAGAGGAAGAAGAAGAGGGGAAGATGTGTTACATGACTGGTTAGAGGCCAATCTAATTTCAAGGAAATGCAAACGCAGAAAAATCTTATCAGCTCTAGCTCAATTCCTCTAAATATACTAAATCAAAATCTAAGAAGGAAATGGAAATACCTGTGATTGATAGAGAAGTACAATACTAGGAATCCACCTGGTCTCCTCAAGGGCAACGGTTTGTTTCCTTCTCAGCCACACTATATCCTATCAGCCACCCTAACCGCCCACTACACTCTAGTTGGCCAAGAAGTCACTGAGGGCTGTCCTGTGTATCTTCTCAAATTTTGTCCCTTGAGCAAACAGGATTCCCCCTGCCTTCCAAAATAATCTAAAACAATATTAAAAGAAATAAGGTCACATCAAAATAAAACAAACAGTAAAATGTCCCTCGTCCAATTACGCCTTCCAGTCCCCACACTTATTATGTTTGCCTGAACAATTAACAGCTTTTAAGATATTTCTGGCTGACCCAGAAGGCCATATTCAATACACAAAAAGGTGGAAAACAAGTGATAGGCTACACAGAAAATTGTGCCATCATTTGCTGAGGCTTCTGTTCACTAAGATCACAGCTATTTTTCAGTTTCCACATGATGTTCTGTGTAGAAACCATATATCCCTAATATTGGAAGACCATGATGATCTTATCACTAAAACATAACAGCTAAGAACTAAAGAGAATATTTAGATTGAAAGTGTCCTGAGAAAAATCAAGGTGTAGAGGATCACAGTTGGATGTTCTGCCCTATCTTAGTCTCTTCCAGAATGATGTACATACACATGGGCTCCGCATACATGAATTCAACCAACCATGGAACAAAAATATTCAGAAAACAAAAATTCCACAAACTTACAAAAAGTAAAACTCCAATTTGCTGCACACTGAGTACTATGCTGAATCCACTCAAATGAAGTGATATGTAGGCACTGTATTAGGTATTGTAAGTAGAGATGAATTAAAGTATATGGGAGGATGTGCACAGGTTACATACAAATACTATGCCATTTTATACAAGGAACTTGAGCATTATGGTGTTTGGTATCCCCAGTGGGGCCTGGGGTTGGGGCGGTCCTAGAACCAATTCCCCCAAAATACCATGGAACGACTGTATTTTCCATTGTCGTATTTTCTTTACCTTTAAAATAGGAATACAGTATCTTCCCTGAGAGGATAAGTGGTTTCTCAATTTTATAAATTTTTCTTTGAAAGAACCTGTTGGCTTTTTTACCTTTTCTTATAGGAGAGCACATGACATTTACTTTCTTAGCGAATTTCCAGTATACATTACAATATTGTTAACTATAGTCCTCAACTTTTGCATTAAATCTCAAGGCTTATTCATCCTACAAAACTGCAACTCTGTACCCTCTGACCAAGATCTCTGCATTTCCCCACCTCCCCACCTCAGCACCATTCTACTCTGCTTCTAAGTATCCAACATTTTAAAATTCCAGATATAAGTGAGAACAGAAGGTATTATTTAGAACAAAAACTGTAACCTCGTTTTTTAAATACATTTGCTTTGGATATCCAAGAATCTTCTTATCTCAAGAATGCTATAAAAAAATATATAAATCCCATTCTTAAGAAGCCAGTTATTGTTTGGTACTAGGTTCATCCTTACACTACATTCCTCCTCAAGAAGAAAATAGGTGCTACTTGGGAGGCTGAGGCAGGAGAATGGCGTGAACCCGGGAGGCGGAGCTTGCAGTGAGCCGAGATCCCGCCACTGCACTCCAGCCTGGGCGACAGAGCGAGACTCCGTCTCAAAAAAAAAAAAAAAAAAAAAAAAGAAGAAGAAGAAAATAGGTAATATGATAGATTTGAAAGCAATGATTGAGCTTGTGCTGAAATGAAGTGATGGATTGTGCCTGGAATTTTTTGGTTTAATGACTTTAGATTTAGGATAAAATTTCATTTTATAGAAACAACATGAAAAAATCATCATTGCTTATAATATTAAAGTCTGATATAGAAAGTAATAGTAAGTTTTCCAGCATAGGCATGGGGCTTAAAGGGAGATTTGACTCTATCAGAGTATCAGGATTCACTCTCAACTTTACTGTAATTCTCCAGAAGAGCCAAAAGAAAAAAAATCCAGAAATACAGAACAAAATATTTAAAGATCCAAGCCAAATGTTTTTTAATGATTTTTTTCTTTTATGCTGACTGTATATATAACATTTTGTCATTCTGATGAAATACATGTTATTTCCTTTTGAAATCTGAATGAATCACATTTCAGAAAAATTCATTGAAATATGATTTAGAACAGTGATCAGGTAAAATTTTTAACACTAATTCAGATTTAATTATTATAGTCTTTAATTCCCTGTCATTGTTAAATACAGCACTAACAGAATAATTAATTGGGAAGGTATGTACTATACATTTTAAAGAGCATTTTTTTTTTTCTAAAATCTAAATGATGACAATTTGGCTTTGTAACACAGGCTGAAAATATTTATTCATTGAGATACGGATCATCTCCCTTTTAACAAGCTAATAAACAATATTTGGATAACTTTTTTTTGGCTAAAGTCTATTAGGTAAAACGACCATCAACAAAAACAATGAGGCTAGGCACAGTGGCTGACCCCTATAATCTCAGCACTTTGGGAGGCTGAAGCAGGAGTATCACTTGAGTCCAGGACTTTGAGACCAGCCTGGAAAACATAGTGAGATCCCCATCTCTACAAAAACTAAAAAATTGGCCGGGCAGGGTGGCATGCACCTGTAGTCCCAGTTACTCAGGAGGCTCAGATGACAGGATCTCTTGAACGCATGCGGTGGTGCCTGCAGTGTGCCATGATCATGCCACTGTACTCCAACCTGGGCAACAGAGCAAGACCCTATCTCAGAAAAAAAAAAAAAAAGCAATGAATATATAAGCATATTAGTCTTAAAAAATACTTCTTATGAGCTTTATTAATATAAGCATATATTTAAAAATTAGTCCAGATAATTGCTAATCACATTTTAAAAATAAATATTAGACTAATACAGCCAAAGAAACCTTAGAAATAAAGAACTGTAGTTATTCTGGTAATTCTGTCTTTTCGATGGACTAATAATTAAAATCACCTTTTTTGTTTGGATTCCAAATGGTTTCCCAATTTATCATAAACTCACATGGGTGGGGAAGTTGTGGAAGAGAGTAAGAAATCTTGGCCAGGCACGGTGGTGCACACCTGTAATCCCGGCACTTTGGGACACCAAGGTGGGTGGATCACCTGAGGTCAGGAGTTCGTGACCAGCCTGACTAAGATGGTGAAACTCCGTCTCTAATAAATACAAAAAAAATTAGCCGGCCGTGGTGGTGCATGTCTGTAATCCGAGCTACTTGGTAGGCTGAAACAGGAGAATTGCTTGTACCCAGGAGGCAAAGTTTGCAGTGAGCCGAGATCACGCCATTGCACTCCAGCCTGGGCAACGAGAGCAAAACTCCGTGTCAAAAAAAAAAAAAAAAAGAAAGAAAAGTAAAGTAAAAGAAAAGAAATATATTCTAAACATGTGCAGAAAACTACTACCAATTTTAAAAGCTAATTTATCAGTTGAAAGATTTCTGCCACCTATCATTGTCTAAATGGATTCCCAGTTTGCTGGTGAGATCTTATTTTTAGACTGTGATATCCTTGAGGATAGAGCCTGTGCTTTTCATTTCTAGGTCAGTATAGGGCATGAAATATTAGGAAGTACTCAAAACTATCTGTTGAATAAACAAAGCATGGATGAATTTTTTAAAAACCAATGAATTGGAAAACATTGTTCTTGAATATCTCTCCATAGACTTGAAATATATCATACTATGGAGAAAGGCACACCTACTTTGGATTTTCATGAATTAGTTATTTTCCCTGAACCTAAGTAATATGAATACTGGCATGAAAATTTACAACGGTACTGTAATCATGGTTTTTTTAAAAAAAATTTATTTTCTCCAATGTTGTTGATGATAATAACCACCCCTTACATATGTCAATTGTAAGCAAGCTTTTTGTAACAAGATTCACAATGTTTCACTCTAATTCTCAATACAAATCATCAAGGTGGATACTATCATCAACTCCATCTTACAAATGAAGAAAGGGAGGCCTCAATGGGTTTAATAACGTGCCCAAGTTAATATTGCTGTTTAGCTGCAGAGAGGAACCTTCTGAACCTCTGGAGTCTAAGCTCCAGCCACTCAACCTCTCAGTATTTTGAAGTAATTCATGTCTTATTATGGTGTTAATTTAAATCAATTTTACATAATTTATTTTTATATACTTCAACATCATTTTCAAGTATCCAAGTTTTTATTTTTAACTCATTAATAATTCATTTACTCTTCCTTTAATCAGATGACTCATACAACTTTGCATTTTCTATCTTTTGAAGACATATAGTAACCAGTAGAAGGAATCTAAAGCTATTGTGTTAAACTACTGACTTTAAAAATAATTATATAGGAACAGAATCATATGCATCAAAGATATTAGATTATTGAAATAATAAACTTTATGATTCTTTTTTTTTTTTTTTTTGAGACAGGGTCTCACTGTCATCCAGGCAGGAGTGCAGTGGCGCAATCTCGGCTCACTGCAGCCTCCGCCTCCCAGGTTTAAGCAATTTTCCCACCTCAGCCTCTCGAGTAGCTGGGATTACAGGAGCACACCACCACGCCTGGCTAATTTTTTGCATGTTTAGTAGAGATAAGGTTTCACCACGTTGGCCAGGCTGGTCTCGAACTCCTGACCTCAGGTCATCTACCCGCCTCAGCCTCCCAAAGCCTCCCAGAACCGCATCCGGCCACGATTCTTAATAGTAATTCCCACATCTAAACTATACAATGTTCCACTCGAACCCATTTACAAAAGCCACACTCCATTTTAGTGGTCAAAACAGTAAACATTTAATTGTTCATTTAATTTATTTGGGCTATATTAATTCCACATAAATTCAAATTGCTTGCAAATTGAGGTATGCTTGATTTTGAAAATATTCTAATGAAAAAGCTTCCTTTCTAGCCAGGCTTTACCACTACGTAAGAAAGGATCTGACTGTTTGGCTTTTTCAGTCCATCTGAGATGTCTCTTTGTAACTGTATTTTAATTTTATTAGAGTGTGTTACTCATGTGGTTTCTCTTTCACATGAACCCAAACCAAAACTAATTTAATGCCATGTTCCAGGTGACTCAATATGAAATGGGGACACATAAAAAGATCTTATCTTTTTGGAATCTTAGAAATTCCTTTATCTCTTTTACTTCTTTTTAAATTTTCAGGTAGTTGTTTTTATTATAATCATTATTATATGTACCACCTACTTGTAAAAACGCTTTGGGCAGGTTTACAGGGAAAAAAAAAAAAACAGTAGTAGAGAAATTCACTTAAACTAAGTATGAGAAAAGAAGTGCCCTAAATATCACAGGAAAATCAACTACATACGATTTCATTTTATAATATTTCTACATTCACGTACAGGTAATCTCCAACTTACTATTGATTCGTGCTCTAAAAGCTCATCGGTAAGTTAATGGTCGGAACTCAATGAATTCTATTGAACCAATAACATATTAGGTGATCAGGTTGTTACACCAGCACGCAAAGCCCAATTCAATCCTGAATGCAACTCAACCATCATACCAATAGTACCAACAGGAATTCTGAGTCTAAAGACGATGGCCTTATGAAGAATTATGCCAAATGGGAGATCAAGTACTTCTACAATAAATTCATTCATTCAGTAGACATTAATTGAGCACCAAAAGGCTGCAGAGTGTCAGCTTTACATGTACTAATTCTGGAATTAAAAAGGCCTGGCTCCTAAATATAAACTGGAGATAAAATAATGCCTTAAATAAAATAATGTATGTAAAGTTTGTGGCACATAAAAAAATCTTTACTAATTTTAACTCTCTTCCTTTCTGCTGAGGAAGAAGAAGAAAGAAACAGAGTTCTCAGCTTTACATAAATTCTTGAAGGAAGCCAGGCTTAATTTCCTCATCATTTGCACTCCTCTCCACCTTCCCTTCCGGGCTTCAGGGCCCAGTGCAAGACCCTCACTGAGCCAACCATCTTAGACCTCTCTCTGTTCCAGGCTCTAAAAATATCCCCTCCCAACCTGACTTTTATTCCCATCCTGCAGCCACTAACATCTGCTAGGTGATAAAGAAAAGCAGATGCAATGGCGCGATCTCGGCTCACCACAACCTCCGCCTCCCGGGTTCAAGCGCTTCTCCTGCCTCAGCCTCCCGAGTAGTGGAATTACAGGCATATGCCACCATGTCCGGCTAATTATTTTGTATTTTTAGTAGAGACAGGGTTTCTCCAATGTCGTTCATGGCTGGTTTTGAACTCCCGACCTCAGGTGATCAGCCCGCCTTAGCCTCCCAATGTGCTGAGATTACAGGCGTGAGCCACTGTGCCTGGCCTGACCTGATGAATTTCTAATTAGTGGTATTTTTAAGACAGTATAAAAGAATGGTATAAAATAATTCAGGCAGAGTACAATTATAATATTTGGGGACAGGGAGAAAGCCATTCATTTATTAATTCATTCAGGTTCTATGAATTGCCTTCTATCTTCCTGGATAGACATATGTCAGAGATCATGTCCTCATAGAGCTTTGAGTTCATCAGGGAAGGCAGAACTTGTCCAAGCTATATGACTATTTCCAATGGGTATTAACAAATATTTGTTTAACAGAGTGAATAAAATGCTATGAAGAAACTTAGAGAGCAACAGAAATGCAAAATAAAGGGCGCTAACAGAATGGAATGTCAAGGAAGACTTCTTTGTTGAAGGCTTCTCCTAGAATGTAAGTCCCATGAGAGCAGAGATATAGTCTATATCCAAATGAACCCTGAATTTCAAGAACCCAGAATAATTTCAGGCACATAGTACGCACTTAACTAAAAATACATGAAAGAGAAAAGGAAGATTAGCTTAAGCTTAGACTTAAAGGGTGAATAAAAATTAGCTGGAGGAAATGGGATTAATAGAAGTGAAGGCATTTAGGTAGAAAAAAGTAGCACTTTTTGACAAATTTAAAGAGGAAGCAGGTTGTACAGACGATGAGGCAGAAGTTCCAGAGAGAAAAGTGAGAAACAAGTTTGGAAAGGTGGGTAAAATCCAGATCAAACTGGGCCTTTCACAATGTGCAAAGAATTGGAGACATTTTTCCTGAGACTGACTAGCCTACTGCCCTGGAAAGCCCAGCTTGGATTGAACTTTCCACAATCATCCCTCAGAACAGTTCTGAGGCAGTGGCATGTGGATTCTGGTGGCGAAAGGCAAAGGGGGAGCGGAGAAATGGAGTTCGCAAGATGAGTAACTGAGGATCCCAAGCTGTAGTGGCAGAGCTGCCACTCTGTCACTAGAACAAACCACTAAGAAATAAATACAACAGGGATATCTGAGTCCTTGGCCTACAGTTTTTCCATGGGGAAAAAAAAAAAAAAAATATATATATATATATATATATATATATATATTCGTTGAGACATTTGTTTGTAAGTTCAGATTGCTATCTAAGCATGCTGGGAGAATTCACTGGGAGAAAGCCCTGAAAAGAAAAACTATTTGCTCCTGAATTTATCTGTATGAGCAAGTATGTGTGAGAGAGACAGAGAGAGGGAGAGAGACAAGGAAAGGCAGAGAGAGGGAGAGAGAGGCAGTCCTGTCAGAGGGCTGACTGTAAAAGAATGGAGGATTACACACTTCACTGTTCAAGGGTGACAGAGGGAAAACGAGGCTGGCACCAAGCAGGAAGCCCAATCCTGCCTGAATAAAACACTGCACATTTATGCAATCCCGGGTACCAGATCTTTTATCACAAACTATTTTGATTGCATAGAAAGAAAAGTGCTAAGTAAAAATTATTTACTCCAGGTCTATTATGAAAAGAACAGATTAACTCCCTAACAGTTCGTTCTTTTTGAAGGTATATTTTCTACCTTGCTGGTATGATTTATATTAATGAGAGGTTTAAAACAGGTTTTAACTTAAGAATGATTGCTGATGGTGAAGTGCAGTAATTATACACCTTATGACAGGACACGTGAATGGCTCCTACAAGAGAACTGCATAACATGTCAAGCTAATCCTCCTTGCATAAAAAGAGAGAATACTTTGCAAGCTGGCCGATTTTAAGCTCCAGTTAACAAAAACCCTTTTTGTTGGAGTCTAAAACAAGAATGGGTTAACAAAAGCAAGGAGGAAAAAAATCTCATTTTTCCCCTTCTTCACAAAATATACTATTACAGGACTTAAAGGTTTTGAAAGGCCACAGTGTGGCTGAAAGACTTGGGAAAGAAACAAGGTCTTCGCCAACAACACCACACTCAAAAGATCCTAAGGTAAATCGCAGTCTCTTATCAGTATGGAACAGTATGATTTTACTCTAGTTTTTTGTTGTTGTTCTGTTTTTGATTTTTAATGAGTTAAAGGTGTAGCGAGGGAAGGAGCGACACCATGGCTAGGTAAGAATGAAATGGGTTCATGGATGTTAGGAAGAAAAAAACGTATGCCATGGTGGGCAAGTCAATAGTGTTTGTGCCTTTTCTGCATGGCTGCTTTTTCTCATACAAGAGCCACTTCTGGACAATAATGAGACCCCGTAAAGCATCTGCTTAGGGATTACGACCCCGTCACACTGGGAATGTTCAGTTAACACAGAGCAGCCATGGGCTTAACTCCGTGTGTGCCTGTCTTCCTGCTGCAAAACGCACCAAATGCACAGTGGTCCTGGATTCTTCTAAATCATTTGCCACCAGGAAAGAAGATACTCAGCTACTGACACACCACCTACCTGCTCAAGGAAAGCAAAAATTAAATAAACAAAAGCCATCAGATTTACTTCACATCATGGAACTTGTTAAGACAAGGGAGACAGGAAGACTAAAGGTTGCCAGGTGTGAGAAACGAAGTCTGGAAGTCCATTTTAAAGTATTAGAGGGCTAAGGATCAGCGTCAGTGTTAAATTCTTTTCTAAGAATTCTTTTCACCTTGGAAACTTTCAAATGAGAAATTTAAGGAGCAGAATCCTTATATTTTTCTATGACTCTTAAGTGATTTACAGAATCCTAAAGTGTAGCAAGTTCTTATAATGAGTTGAACTATTTAACTTATTTTATTTAAATGTTTATTTCAATTGTTTTGCCTATGTACTATAGTCTGTAACTATCCTAGTCTATAATCAAAGAAATCAGGAGTGCCCACCACCTATTTGCAGAGGTCTCTAAAGCAGAGTCCACAGTGGCCAGGGCCCATCTAGCAAACTGGCATGCTCAGTGGGACAGGTCAAGAGGGCGGGTCTGCCTCTGGCTTCCTCCTTCTTCTAACACATGCTGCACTTGCTCTTGATAGGATAGAGCAAAAAGTCACCACTTTTTAAGAAAACCAAGGCAAAGAACAGAAAGTTTAACTCGTGGTACCTCCTAAACAATTGATGTCATTACTGCTCTTCAAAAGATCTCTTACAGACATGTAGTTTAGCCATAAAGATAGTACGTTGTGTTGAAAATGCAAAATCACACAAATATTGCCTTAAATATTTTATTTCCAAATGTAAGTAATAGTTAAACTATTTATATCCCTTCATGAGAAACTGGAAGCTGAAATTTTCAGATGTGAAGGAATTTCTCAGAAAGTGATCCTAAAAATTTTCAGGAAAAACATCTAACAATTTAACCATAAAGAGCTTTGGTGAAGTCTGACACCCAGTATTTAGCTCTTTTGCTATTATTCTTTTTTTTTTTTTTTTTTTTTTTTAAGATGGAGTCTCACTCTGTCGCCCAGGCTGGAGTATAGTGGTGCGATCTCGGCTCACTGCAACCTCCACCTCCCAGGTTCAAGCAAATTCTCTTGCCTCAGCCTCTCAAGTAGCTGGGATTACAGGCCCAGGCCACCACGCCCAGCTAATTTTTGTATTTTGTAGTAGAGACCGGGTTTTGCCATGTTGGCCAGGCTGGTCTCAAACTCCTGACCTCAGGTGATCCACTCGCCTCAGCCTCCCAAAGTGCTGGGATTACAGGCGTGAACCACTGGGCCCAGACTTGTTTTGCTATTATTCTTTAATAACTGTTTGCAAACTACAAATATTGAAAGGTGAGCATATGTACAAAGACAAAATTAACTAGTAGTCTGAGCTGAAATATTGTAGCTTAATTCTAGTCTATCAATTTTGATCTGAAATAATAACTCTGAGGGCAGTTTTGTCACCATCAGCACTCATTCCAATATTCAAAAGGAAAATTTTTGTTTAATTTATATAACATCTTACTTATAGATGCTTTACTTATAGAAAGCACCTATCAATTATAATTAGCAAAACAGGAGTCAAGGGCATTGTTTTATTGTGTTACATGTCAAGGAAAGGAGACTTAGAGCTAACTTCTGTGACTCTTGGAAAATCCAGGATTGAAGCCTGCAGTCCTGTGACTTATTGAACAGTCAAACCTAGGAGAAATTATCCTAAGGTAAAATGTCAGAGGATTACTCTCTAGATTGGATGGCAGAGAGAGATTAGCATTCTCAGCATCAAAAACCAGATCACAAACCCATCTGCAACAGAAGTACATGCAATAAAAGTACTAGAACAAAAATCACCACATTTAAGAGAGAAGCTACCTCATGGTGTAGTAGGATAAGAAGGAATGAGATTGATAAGAGGAGGCATGTAGGTATATTATCATTACTCTTTTTTTTTTTTTCTTAATGGAGTCTTGCTCTGTTGCCCAGGCTTGAGTGCAGTGGCGGGATCTCGGCTCACTGCAACCTCCACCTTCCGCGTTCAAGCAACTCTCCTTCCTTAGCCTCCTGAGTAGCTGGGATTACAGGCACGCACCACCACGCCCAGCTAATTTTTGTATTTTTAGTAGAGACAGGGTTTCACCATATTGACCAGGCTGGTCTCAAACTCTTGACCTCTGCCCACCTCGGCCTCCCAAAGTGCTGTGATTACAGGTGTGAGCCACTGCACTTGGTCTACTCTTTTTTTTAACATTTTGTTAGTTATGCTTTGTAAAACTAGCATATTTTTAATTTAATTTACATCAATTTAACTAAAATTTTATTAAACATTCTTAAACTTGGTGGTGCTGGCATTTGTTCGTTGAAATTTTTTTTTTGGTTTTTTTTTTGGGTATGTTTTAACTATTTCAACATACGTTTTTAAAAACCAGATCCAAGAGGATCAGAATAACAATAGTGAGGTGAAATCACTGGATCAACCAGGGGACAAAAAAAAATAGCTTCACATATGCTCATTTGGTCTTTTTGAACAAATGTTGAATAACCAAATCTTTTAGACTTTTAAATCATTCATTATTCTTGCAGTTCAAATGTGGCAATCTTAACTATTTAGGGTTTCACAACTGGTAGGTACTTAATAAGTATATGCCTATAGAGGATAATGATAACTTTACTCAAATGGGACATTACAGAAAATGTTATACGATTGAAAACAAAATAAAGAATAAACACCAAGCTCAGAAAAAAAGACTTCACACTAATTCACTCCATCTCATTCCTTTAAAATTCAGGCTTAAAAATTTTTTGATAAAGGCGATCTGATGTTCAAAGGACATCATTTAAAACTTGGGAGGCAAACTGATAGAGGAGAATGCCTTTTGTGTTTAGGAACTCCCAGTATTGCCAGCCCCGACCTTGTTCCTCACCAGCTGTAAAAGCCTGTGTGAGACCTTAGTGCTGAAGGCCTCAGCTTCCTTATCTGTAAATGATTAGAATAGATAATAAAGGCAACAACCAAGTTTATACAGTTTGCCTGACAACTTTGACATATACTATCTCACCCTAAAAGATCCCTTTGGGTTTTCATGGGCTATCATCTTGGTTTTATACACAACTCTTATTTGGTTATATGTCACTTACCTAAGTCCAAGAATTACGAAGCACAGTTGTTCAGTTAATTTATTTCTTATTTTTAAAAAAAGCACTGTTGTACTGCTGTAGATAGAACAACTCTAATCTTCACGTACTGCTGAATTACAATTAGGTGCTAAATCACCTTCAAAGAATGAACAACCTTTTGTTTTGAGGCTCGTCCAGAAGCATCACTAGGACCTGATATGTACAAGAAAGAAAAAAATAGTAACCTGGGCAGTAAGAGTTTTGTCAGAAGGAATGCTTGTCCTTATCAGAAACACCACTTATCCCCAAGGCTTGAACTTTAACTATGAAACTTTACCCACTGGGTTTTTAACACAATTACTACTGCAAGCTCACCATTATGTATTTAAACTCACAATAAAGAATCAATGCCTGATATTGCATTATTTCCTAAAAGCAGATTTTGATGGAAGACAAGAGGCTGGGCTCCAGTATCAAGAGTGTACAGGATATTTTTTAAAGACATATTTAAATAATAGCATTGATCATAACACAATAATCACTATACCCTCATCTTCCATTCCTACAACAAAGCCCCTTAACAAAGACATGTGTACGCATTATAGCTACCAGTTTTATATGGAACTGCCCACTAATAGCTAAATTGGCATCTTTATGAATTTAAGGTTCTCTATAATGTTGATTATGGCTACTGCTTTTGACTGTATTTTTCAAAACTGACCACAAAATAGAAGCTTCTAACTTCTCTCTGCCCTTGTGTTTGCAATCTCCAGAGAAAGCACTCCTTAATTTCATCATAGTGGTCAGTAATCTTTAGTGATTGAGACAGAAATTAAAATTGATTATTTGAATTCTGACAAGCTGCTTATGTTTGTAATTACCATAAAACTCTACCACAAATGCCCTAGAGTCCACGGGTGTGAGTGAGGGGTTGATAGGAAATGATCCATTTTCATGTATCTAGATTTAGGACGATGCATGTGGAATTGTAGAGCCACTTAAGATCACACTCATCCGTGCTGGACTAACTGAAGAGGGAAGTCACTATCCTCTCTTAATAGACCAGACAGTCCTCACGTCATTGCTACAATTAAATTCCAGAGAATTTTTTGGATTCTATTTAATGAATAAGGATATATTTTTCATGTGGTGTCATTGTTTCACTACTTCCCATGTTTATTTGGACAGATTCATAGCACTGGGTAGGAAATGTATTGGTTGGCAACTTCAGTTTTGGAAGAGAAAGTAAACACATGCTGATTAGCAAACAGTAAACTCTACTGTGTTTAATTTTGGCTTCTCTTTAAAAAAAAAAAAATAAAAACACAAAAAAGCCACTATTTGGTGTTGTGTTCCAAGTAGGAGCATTTGTCCCTAAGTTCTTTCCTAACCCCTTACTGGAGGGCTTCCAGAATTGCTCTCATTTTTTTTTCTTCTTCCCCTAACACCAGTGGCAAACGCCAACATTATTTAAGAAAATACTTGTGCATATGGTATCCTCCTAGCACAGATTTGCCATCCAGTTGAACAGTAGGGCCACTAACCCACACAAACTAAACTGCAAAATTATGAACTGCATAAACATAAACAATTGAATTTAGCCCTAATAAATTCAAGGTAAAATCACACTTCTGAAATTCCTAAAAGGCTACGTCACTGAAAACTATCAGGTCTGAGAACTGAAGGTGGTAAATATGACAATCTAAAACTTCCAATGCTCTCTTTAGAGCCAATTTCTTTCATCTATCTCATCCTATTGATTTACTGTGACTCCCCAAATTATTCTCCAAGCTTTAGCCATTCTTAGCCCTCTTCTCATCCATCTTCAGAAGATCATCAAAATCCCTAACACCCAAAAAGTGCCGAAGGCCAGCACACACAGGGAAAAGCTTGGCCACCTAAGATATACCATTGCCCACTGAGCACAAAAGCTCTTCATTATGTCTATGTACCTTCTCATTAAACAGAGCTGGTGTCTGATCTTTTCACTGCTCATGATTACTACTCATTATTAATCAGACTTCCCAACATGCTTCCAAGGTATGCAAAATCTCGTCCCCACATACCAGATGGGAAAGCTGAGGCATCCAAAAGTTAAATAACTCCCAAATAGCCCAATATAAGAGGTCAGCAACATCTCTTGCCGATCTACATTGTTTCTTATTCAATAAACATTTATTATTGATCTACCAAGCTCCTCACCCTGCTAGGTATAACAGTGTGTGTGTGTGTGTGTGTGTGTGTGTGTGTGTGTGTGTGTGTGTGTGTGTAAGCTCCTCACCCTGCTAGGTATAACAGTGTGTGTGTGTGTGTGTGTGTGTGTGTGTGTGTGTGTGTGTGTGTGTATTCTACCATATTCTGGGTTCTGGGCAAAACAGCAGATTATCAAAGTCCTAACCCACATGAGGCTTACGGTCTAGGAGGGGTAAGAAACAGTAAACCAAGAAACAAATGAATATGAAATATGTGAGGTAGCTATGGGGCAAAGAGTACAGCAGGGTAAGGAGAAAAAGACCTGGGAAGAAGAGAGTGGTAGCTGGAGTGGTAGGAGATTTTGGGGGCACATGTAATTTAAGTCTTCCTCTGAATGAGGTAAGGGAGCAAGCCCTACCTACGATCATCTGAGAAAAAAACGGTTCCCAGCAGAAAGGACAGACAGAGCAAAGTGCCTGAGGCTCAGCTGTACTGGAGGGATGGTAGTATTGCTGCTACTGAAAGGGCAGGCAGAGTGACTCACTGGGGAGAGGGAGGCAAGGGTCAGATCACACAGCACCTGGAAGTCACCACTAAAAGTAGGGGCTACAAATATAAATGAGACTACTCAAGAGAGACAGTCTTGTGAAGAGTTTAATACGTAAGGTTACATTAAAAATTCACTGCATTAAAAGCAGTTGATGCTTTCCCTACCATCACATAAAAAGTATATGTGCACAAACAGACAGAAGGGTGCATGCGCTGAATTTTATATAGTCTAGGAAACATTTTCACATTGGTTGTTTCAGTCAAATACAAAGAAGTTACAGAACAGCATCGAGTACCTAAGAGAGACCAAAAGCATTTCCTTCTGTAAAGCCCTGCAGCTGAGGGCTTACATCCGCCTGGTCCAATCAGTTCATTTCCAAACAAAGGTAGGAAATGGCTGCATCCTAGTATTTCATTGTGGACTCATGACTCAGTGCTTTGGAACTTGGTATCTTTGGGAGTGAGTGTCTATTCTCCACGTCTCTTGCCACAGGGGGAAAAAGGTACAGATAAACAGTAACACAATTTCACCCAACCGAGATATAAATCTGTGGGCTTCTCCACCCTTCTCAAAAATAAATGAATGAATGAAGGAAATTCAGTTCCTGCTTTTTTTTCTTCCCTTCTCTGTTTTGTTTCCTAATTCCCAGGACTCCCTGGTGTCTCCTAAACAGCATAAGGTCAACTGATGGTGAAAGTACATCACATGATAATTATTCAAAAGCTGTTATGTTATACAATATAGTTTATAATAGGAAAAGGAGTTACATTTGATTCTGCAAGAGCAGTCGGTAATATGCCCATTACATAGGGATTCTAAGAAACTAAAATTAAGAAATTTGTCCTAAAGAACAAATTGATTCTCCTCCATCATTTAACCAAAAAGGTTTGTAGTATTTTGTATTCACAATGTTACACAGGAGAACAGTAACTTAACTTTGAAAACTGTTTTCACACAATGGTCACAAAGAAAATAACACATAAATCCCATTAGGTCTTTTTGTAAAAAGCTTCCATAATTTCCAAATCCACGGTGTAGAGAGGAAAAGAGGAAAATGGCATGTGTATATGTTCTAAGACTATTACTTCAAATGAATAAGGTTTAGAGGTATACTTAACATACAAACTGTTTCCTTCAGGAAAAAGTGCAGGAACTCCTGGATAGACACAATACTCATTTCTGATGAAAGTTACAGAAGAAACTACCAGTTGTGTATGATCTAATACTACAAGTCACTTATTATCTATGAAGGAAAACAGAAAGAGAAAAGATAAGAAAACAACATTTAAATAAGAATGAGAAAGGAATCTCTGTTCTAACTTAAAGATACATAAACATATAAATCCAAATATGAGCCAAATTATTTTATAATGATATCCATGTGATCAATGAGGCATAACCACAAGAACCTTACACGATTATAATGAGAGAAGCTTCGAAACAGGAAATTTCTATCTACAAAAAGTACAAATTATTTTCAGAATATTGGAGGAATCTGGGGTTTTCTACCCAGCAGAATAAATTATGAAAACAGTGAAAGATACCCTCCAGAGGGAGAGAGTGCAAGAGTTTATATGTTAAAGAGAACATTACATTTCACTTTTCCAATGTAGAAACAAACTGAAGAAAATTTAGAGGGGATGGTGAGGATGAAGAGAAATAAAATCATAAAAAGGAATGAGTAAAAAATGTAATAAAAGAAGAGGAATATGGTTTCCACTTATATTAGTTTTGTCCTTCCATTAAAAATTATACCTTAAAGTCCATTACTCTTGACTATATTGCCAATTTCTCAAATAATACACTGGTCAAGTTCCAAAATTTCATTAAATATATAAATTGCATACATAAAAGTTCCTGTGTAGCCTATGGAAACATTTTAAATTTTCTTCAGCAAAATTGGGCCTAAAGTTTGGAAAAATTCCTAGAGAGTGAAATTAATCTCTCTGTCCCCATCTCTCCCTCTCTCCCTCTCTCTTTCTCTCCCTCTCTCTCAATAGATAATATTACCCTACTATATATCCTGCCATATATCTTTATACTCCAATTTCCTACCTAGTCCCCTATTCAGACATGCATAATGCTTCCATTTTGAAGCATATGGCTGGGGAGCCAAAAGAATTTAAATTGCCTTCAAAATGTGCATCGCATTATAAATGGTGTGAAAAAAGATCTTACTATTCAGCTCTCAACTTGGAGCATAAAGCAAAGAAGAAGCAACACAAGACTGCTTCAAACTTTATCCAAAAACTCAACAGCTTCACTTGTTTATAGAGGTACAAAAAGTATGCGACACAGTTTATAAAACAAGAACGATGTACTGTATGCAAAAGTAAAGTTAAAAGCAAAGTATAGTAACAGCCCTATCTCGTTACAAACACTTGGCAGCATGTCTAAAGTACCATGGTCAAAAACATGATACCGTCTGCGTTGTACTTCTGCCAGAAAGCACTCCCTAAGTCCAAGTCTCTTTAGCCATCATCACCACCTCATTTGGCAAACTCTCCCAAGCCTCAGTTCATCTACTCAAAATTACTCCACAGAAAGCAGACAAACTCTCTAGCTTTGTAGGCTGCAAGTATCACAATGAAGTAGCATTGGCAAGTGACAGCGTAAGATGGAGCTCTGAGGTTAGAAAGCCAGGACCAACTAAACTGTATCCTCAAAGCTTATTTGCATATCAAGTTGAGCAGGGCTGTCTTCATTTTGGTAATTCAGGGTTTCTTCTCTACTCTCACAGTAATTCCAATGGGTCTTTCTGAATCAGCCGCAGCTGAGAAAGAAAGCACATGGCAAGAATACACTCAGGCACCGAATACCTTTTAGGCAAATGAGGGGCAAATGTATTCGGCAATTACCTGCCATTTAACCATTTCTGGCCAGGTCTTTTGAATAATTCCAGAACCTCAAAAACTGCCTCAATAGTTATGTATGCATAACGGACCAGGCCATTACCAAGGCTAAGTAAATACAAGAATATGCATCAAGGTTTAGGTAATAAGTAGATAAATAGACTATATCAGTATCAACATCCATATCTACCTGTGGCATTTATAACTAAAAAAACAGCAGTTCATAATACATAAGTATAAATGTGGCAGTGAAAAGATGACTGATAGGACAGAAGTAGCTGCATGAATTATTAATTTTCCTAGGGCACGTAAGAATTGGCTTCCAAATTTTTCTTTAATCGACTTTCTCCAAAGTAGCATATTACATAATTCAAAAAAAAACAGATATTGTCATCTTAAGTTTACAGCTTGCCATATTTCCTAGAAAATAAACAATAATTAACAACATATCTCATAGTTGTTCCCTCCCCACCTTTCTTCAAGAAACTTTACACTCTGAAATGTAGATACATAAGCTACTTTTGGATCAGGGCCCACAACCATATGCTTCCAAAGGAATAATATGTACAGGTTAGTCTGGTGTGTACCAGATGTTAAAAAAAAGCAAATTCAAAAACAGAAATATCAGTATTCAATGCAGAAATATATTTTAAATTAAATCCCATTCTTCCTCTCCTTATAGACACAGAATCAAAGAAAGCCAATTGTATGTCTAATTTTTTAACCTTTTTCCTGAACAAAAATCCCAATTTGACTCATGACTCTAGATTCTTTATATACATAAGATCACAAGACAAGAAATGGTCATTTATAAATTATCCTGTCTCAGAGTGAGCCTCCTACCATATGCTGATATTCAACCAGAAGAATTTGTTTGAAAAGGCAAAAAAAATTCCAGAAGTTAAGCCTATAAGGCAAACCAGCCAGCAAAAGGCGACAGAGTCCACATGTCTATCAGATATTTAATATGTTAAACCTCAATTACCAAAAGTTTTAAGATTCTCTGTAAACATAACTAGTGAGTCTTTATTTTTCAGATGATTCTGAATGCAAAATGAGCACATTATCTGCACATTGAAAGAATTTATGTGTTTTTTCCCACATATGGAAATATGCATGAGTATTAAAAAACAAATTACAAATATCCACTCTCTAGAAGTTTGAAAAGTCTAAAGTTTGGGCTGTATTTGCTTTTTCCATTGCAAACCTACAAGGATTCCTTCAGACTTACAAAAGTTATTGCAAGAAGTCCTGCAGGAAGAAACAGATTGGGGATTTAGATCACCCATGCCTAACTTTTTCAGGGCATCATGATCTCTCCCCTTGTTCTATACATCAGAGATGTCACTGAAGTGAAAGCCAAGTTTTACTTTAGAATTTAATAAAAATTGATTAAGCATCACAGAGCACAAACAAAGCTGCTCCATAAATCTTTCAGGCCTTTTTGTGCTAGGAAGAAAGCAAGCACTGTCTGCTGAAGCAGATGACAGATGCTGGCTTAAAGATAAGTATTATTTATACTTCTGTACCAGATTTCTTCTTATGCATATCTTATCATGCATGGGTATATGATCAACAAAGCAATTATTTTATATCAGTCAAAGACATTCAAATGTACCCTGGCTCCATAGGAATGCTTTAAAGAGTTCAGGTCTAGGGTTCAATTAAACCAAGATGGAGAGAAAAGAAAGTTTGGAAAGAAAAACAAATATTGAAATGGTTGTGATTTGAAATGTACTTTCACACACAGGCTAATGAATATATATGTACTGAAAATAACTTTGTTCTGAACATATGCCTATGCATTTTAAATAAATGATGCATGTTTGAAAGATAAGAGGGTTTACCAAATCTAAACACATCAAGATATATCTATATTAAACTGCATTTATTTGTACAGTATGTCGGTAAGGAAACAGCCCCCTGAAAGAAATCCAATAGTTATGTAAAGAGATAGCTGATTTAACCAAGTTTGAGAACATTTTAGTCATCAAGACTAGAGTTTAAAAATTTAAATGACATTCCTTCCCTCCCTCCTTAGAAAGACAGAATATATGAAAACCAATCACTTAATGAAAATTCCCAGAGGTTTCTTTATTGTTTTACTTCTAGCATATGAAGTGGAAAAAAGATAACTAATTATTTGAAAGAGAAGAAAAAGCAACTTATATTACCTTCTCAAAAAATATATAATATTCTGCATCATAAGGCATTTGAAGGTGGAGAAGCTGGCATGTGATTCCAAAACAAATCTGGATAAGTAAGAGAAATAAATCAGGTGGGCTGTCTTGACCATTTTCTTCTACCCCGATTCCTAAGTCCCTTGAGAATCTAGAAGAGGAGCAGGTTTGGGGGTGGAATTGTTTTGTTTTATTGTGTTTCATGAGGGAAGACAAACTGGAAATAAATGAGTTTTCAAGTCCAGCCAGAAAGTCAACCTATGGTTAGATTTACCTAATTGGGTATTTTTTAAAAAAAAAGTACAAAAACAAAAACCTGTGCTCATCCATTTTTTTATGGTATCTTATTGTATTTCATTTTTTTCTCAGCATTTTTCTTCGTAAAAGTTCGTCCTAAGAAATCCCAACCTCGTCTCAGATAGCCTAAAAGGCAGAAATGTTCATCCACTCAAAGACCAGGAAACCCTAAGCTGCATGACATCATGTGGGAGTAAAATGACTGAGTGAGCTCAAGCCAGGATCCTTGCTGCTGGAGGGTTTCCTGCACAAGGGCTAGCTGAAGCCACAGATATGGCTGCAACTGCATTAAAATGACATTGGTAGCAGAATTAAACTGTCTGGTTTCATGGAAATTACCGTATACTGTAGTTATCACGTGAGAATTAGCAATGCACTAAAATAGGACACACAAATCAGTACTATTATGTGGTAATACTAATCTATCATACGCAATAATTTTTCTTTCCTGAATTATATATGAAAACACATCCATAAGGGTGTAGCAATTATGAGCAAATATTTTCAAGAATGGCTATTGTGTATGTCTCTTTTAAGCATGCAACTCCACATAGAAGCACTAAACAAAGTAAGTGCTTAAAGATATTCAGGATTCTCTTTCCTATTTAAATAATCCTCTCTATTATATAAAAATTCAGTTTGTACAACATAAGCATAAGAAATTTGTAGAGGAAATGATAGGTCAGAATGGTTTTTAAATGACCTTATAGTAGAAAACAAAGTTAAAATATATACCATATACCAGTGCAGTCAGATATATTGGAGTCACTAATACATTCTGAATCTGCTGATTAAATGAGAGACATTCAAAATGAATGAAACTTACCCACATACTTTCTCATCCATGTAAGCAGGAAAGAATTACATTTCTTCTGAGCTAATGGGAATGAGTATAGTAAGCTTTACCGATAACTTTAATCTCCACAATCTCCATAGACAGATCCCCACCAAAAAATAAAATAACTGCTTAGTAACTTTGCAGCATATCAAAGTTCACAAACCATGCCCAGTTCCAATACTTATTAGCCGTTGGCCTTAGACAAATTACTGACCTCTCTGAATTTGAATTTGTATATCTATTTAAACAAAGATAATAGGCTCAAAGTTTGAAACAAATGGGATATGTAGAAAAAACATTGAGCAAAATGCCTGGAACACAATAAGTACTAAAAAAATAGTAAATACTATTATTGTTGTTCTTGCTACTGTTATTATTATTACACAGTACTTTCATGATAAAAGTCTCTGGCCATACATCAGCCTAGATTAGTGCAGCATGTGCCTAATTTCTCATCTCTGATTCCATGACATTGGGGTGTCCGGATTCTCCTCCTACTTATCTGACTTCTCACTATCATTCTCCTGTATTAACTCCAATTCTTCTAAAAGTCAGCATTCCCCTGGTTCTCTTTATCACCCTCTGCAACCTCAATCAAACTTTGGCTTCAAAGGTTTGGGATAACAACAGCTAAATTCAGACCTGTATTTTCATTTGCCTGTCAGACATCAACACTTGGGTCATGCCTACCCAACCTAGAAGAAAAAAACTGAACAACTCACCTCCAAACTCAGTGGTTCTTCCACTGCCTCTGTTAAGGAAACTAACATTTACCCAGGTGACGAAATTAGAAACATCACAGTCACACCCAACTCCTTCTCCCTACATCCATAATAATATGCCTCCTTCTTTCTATTCCTACCAGTACAAGCTTTCCTATGTCCTTCTTGCTGCTCTCCTGACTTTCACAGAAGTCTTAGCTTGGTTATGTTCAACAAACAAGAACACCTAAGATATGCCAAGCACCATATACTCTGAATGCAAACCAGGACAGAACAAAACAAAACAGAAAAAAAAAACCAACGGCAACAAAAAAAATGCAACCCTTTTGCTCTCAAGGTTCTTCAAGTAGTGGGAGAGATACGTAAACACATGATTATACTATAATGTCATACAAGCAATAATAAGTACACATGGCCGGGCTCAGTGGCTCACGACTGTAATCCCAGCACTTTGGGAGGCAAAGGCAGGTGGATTACTTGAGATCAGGAGTTCAAGACCAACCTGGCCAACATGGCAAAACCCCATTTCTACCAAAAATAGAAAAATCAGCAGGGCGTTGTAATGCACATCTGTAATCCCAGCTACTTGGGAGGCTGAGGCACGAGAATCGCTTGAACCCGGGAGGCAGACATTGCAGTGAGCCGAGATCGCACCACTGCACCCCAGCCTGGGTGACAGAGCGAGACTCTGTCTCGAAAAATGATAATAATAATAAGTACACATAAATTATAAAAGTGGGACAGAGGAGGGAGTGATTATTCCATCTAGACAGGTCAGAAATGAGTTTACTGTAAATATCCATCACTCTAGAGGAGTGTTTTGAAGAATGAACAGGAATGTGTGGTTGCACAAATGTGTGCAATGAACAGGAATGTGTGGTTTTCCTCTCTAATTCCTGAGAATTAGAGAGGAAAAGGCATTCTAGATATCAGGGACAGCGTGGGTTAGACTCTAAGCTCTCTAATCAACATGTTTACACTTAAAACTCGCCAGTCTAAAACCCAGACCTAATTTTAACACTTTCCCTTTTCCATAAGACCTTCAAGGGCTTTCCACTGCCTCTAGGATAAAATCCAATACCTTGCATTGGCAAGGCACTGGTATTCTAAACTCCGACCCATTAGATGGGAGGAAGCTCCCACTGCTCTCCACATCCCTTTGTCTTAGGTACAGGAAGTCACTACACCTTCATACAGGACTGTGCTCCAGCCAGCCACCAAAATGCCTCTCTGCCCTTCACCCTGCAAAATCCCATTTACCCTGGGATATCAAGTTTAATTTCACTCTGCTGAAGTCCTTCCTAATCAACCCTGCATTGTGTCCTCCTCTGAGCCTTCAGTCCCTTTGTTGATAGCTCTATTTCCACACATCTCATACATGGATTTGTAGAGTGAATGCCCATATGTTTGCCATATCATTTTTGAAGAGCTTTTGCTGTAAATGAGAACTTCAGTGAGTAATTTCCAATTACTTTCCCCCAAATTAACAGGCAAATATTAGGAAACATCCTATGCCAAACCCTCTTATTTGGTGCCACTGACAGTGCTAACAGGCTAGAGTGAAATATCAAGGTATATGTGTGGTTCACAGAAAACCACTAATATCACCCTGCTATTGACTGAACTGTGTCCCTGAAAATGCATATGCTGAAGACCCAATCCCCAGTGTAACTGCATTTGGAGACAGGGTCTTTATGGAAGTAATTAAGGTTAAATGAGGTCATAAAGTTGAAGGCCTGTTAAAACGGGTTTAGTATCCCTACAAAGAAGAGATGCCAATGTGCCTGATCTCTCTCTCTCTCTCTTGCTTTCTTTCACTATATCTCTCTCTCTCTCTGCTTTCTGAGACACAATAAGCAGGTGGCTGTCTGCAAACCACGAAGAGAGCCCTCACCAGAATCCAATGATGCTAATTCCCTGATCTCAGACTCCCAGCCTCCAGGACTGTGAGAAAAGAAATTTCTACCATTTAAGCCACCCAGTCTATGGTATTTTGTTATGACAACCCAAGCTGACTAGGACTTATACCATAGTCAAGAGAACTTGAACAGTCCACAATTAAGTGGTGAGACTGTCTCTGGTATGATGCACAATGTATTTAACTTTACAAACAGACTCATTAATCTCTCAAAAGCTTAACACTGTCACCATTTTACAGACAGATCCAGCTAATGGTTGGAGGCCTTCCATGCGCCATCCAATAATGCAGGGAGAGGCAGTGACCATGCCCAGAACAGGATTCTAAAGTCCTGCCTTTCAAATCCCTGACCTAGAAAAAAGGACTACTCCATTTCTCACAGGAAAATGTGCCAGTCATGGAGGCCTACATGGCACGTCTCTGCACTGCTCCAGGTCAGGAGGGCCATCTGACACTGCACAGGCACCACTGCAGGGCAAAAGGATGATCAAGCATCCAAAGGCCACCGCCACCACTGACTAGCTGAAAAACCATGAAAAAGTTATATAATTTCACTGGATATAAAATTAAAGCAAGATTTTAATACTTACCTTGTAGGGTCACTGTGAAGATCAGAAATAAAATACAGAAGTACATGGCCCACTGCTTGGCATACAGTCAAGACTCAGTAATTAGTGGGTACTCTGCATGCTTTGATGTCACCTCATTAACAGTTTCACTTCTACCTAAACTAAAAGCAGGAACAGGGTGTTCTTATTATTTTTTAAAATCTACAGTAGATATCTGCCCTGTTTGTTTAGGTGTTGTCTACACAGTATCTACTAATTTTTTCTTTTTTTCTTTTTTTTTTTTTTTGAGACAGGGTCTCTCCCTGTCACCCAGGCTGGAGTACAACGGCATAATCAAAGCTCACTGTAACTCTGAACTCCTGGACTCAAGCAATCCTCCTGCCTCAGTCTCCTGAGTAGCTGGGACTAAAGGCATGCACCACCATGCCCAGCTAACTTTTGAATTTTTTTGTAGAGATGGGGTCTCCCTATGTTGCCCAGGCTGGTCTTGAACTCCTGGCCTCAGCAATCCTCCCACCTCAGCTCTACTTCTTTCTTTCTTTCCTTCTTTCCTCCCTTCCTTCCATCCTAGCAATCCTCCCACCTAAACTGCCCTTCCTTCCTTCCCACCTAAACTGCCCTGCCCTCCCCTCTCCTCCACTCCCCTCCCCTCCCTTCCTTCCTTTCTTCCTTCCTTCCTTCCTGTAGCCTTGGTCTCCCAGGCTCAAGTGATCCTCCCACCTCAGCCTCCAGAGTAGCTGGGATTACAGGCATACACCACCATGTCGGACTAATCTTTTATTTTTTTGTGGGGATGGGATCTCACTATGTTGTCCAGGCTGGTCTCAAACTCTTGAACTCAAGCAGTCCTCCTGCCTTAGCCTCCCCAAATCCTGGGATTACAGGCATGAGCCACCACGCCCGGCCTCTATTACTTTTTGTTAGTAATAACAATAATTTTCCTCTGGGAAGCCACTCTTCCCCACTTTCTGAGATCATGTAGTTTGGGTGTCTCGTGATCCTCCTCTAGCTCCTCTCCAAGAACAGGCAGGAGACTTAAGCATAGCCAAAGAGAAGAAAGCACCAGTTCAGCAACAGGTTCAGGGGTAGTCCAAGGAGATCCAGCCCAGGAACGTCTGCAGGGACTAGTGAGGAAGGGAACATTTTCCTCCCCACTGGGTTTGCTTGGCTAATAGAATATAAGCCTTCACTGTGGAAAGAGACCCTCTTTGCCCGAGAAGTAAGGGAACAAAGAGAATGGCATAGGAAGAGAATCAGAGAAACATTCCCAGTTACATCATTTGAACACCTGAATCAAACTGTACCTGCAGATAAACTGGACTTTTAAATTACATCAGAGAATAATCTCCCTTTCTCACTTCAGTCTGTATAACTTCAGTTTCTTACACTTGCAATTAATATACAAACCAAATAGCAGCAAGAATTTGACACCTTTCAGTGACCAAAAGGACCACTGAAATAAGAACTTAGTGATAAGAAATACCTTTCATTAAATTCTCACTGTACGTCAACTAAATATTTCAAATTTAGTATTTCCAATTACATAAACTGAGGATGGGGGTAGATATTATTATCTCTGCTTTACTGATAAGCAAATTATGAGTCAAAGAGCTTAAACAAATTGCCCAAGTTTAAATAGTAAGTGGTGGAGATGAGATACTACCTAAGATTTAGCTTTTTTCTTTTCTTAAGTATTACCAAGAAATAGTATTACTCGGAAATCTCACATATTTATAAGATCCCTTTGTTTTATGCTCTTATAGCATCATGTGCCTTTTCACCAAATGATTCACCACAATTGTTCATTCTACTTTTTTTTAAGATTGCGTCTCACTGTTGCCTAGGCTAAAGTGCATTTTTGTGATCCTTTGATTTGGGAAATTGTTTTCTCCCATTATCTTATAAACTTCCTCAGTTTACGTCTATCATGATTATTGCATATCATTGTGCATTCACTGACAATAGTAGATACTTAGCAAGTACTGTAAAAAAATAGAAAGGAAGGAAGAGAGAGAGGGAGGGAGGGGAGAAGAAGAGAGGAAGGAAGGAGAGTAAAGGGAAAAGAAATGAGGAAGGAGGGAGAGGGCAGAAGAGAGAATGGAAAAGTGAGAGGGGAAGGTAATTCCACAACCCCTTCACCACCCTTAAGCCCTTTCTTGAGATAATTTAGGGCCTAGCAATAGACAGTGGTGACACTGTCCTCATGCAAAGGGATAAATAGAGGAATTCCGGAACAAGGCAGGAATATCATCATAAATGCCAAAGTCTTGTGGATACCATTTCTGACTCCCCCAAAACCCCACACAGTAGGAACAAACATGATAAAAAGTTTCACCTATTCCTAACTCCTTGTTCAAAACCCCTCGAGTCTCTTTCTTCTTTTCTTGATAAGTCTTAGGGTAACACACCAAGTTTTAAAACTCAGTTACA
The DNA here is from genome assembly GCF_000001405.40 of Homo sapiens. Classification (NCBI taxonomy): domain Eukaryota; kingdom Metazoa; phylum Chordata; class Mammalia; order Primates; family Hominidae; genus Homo; species Homo sapiens. The sequence continues at coordinate 14,250,095 of NC_000009.12, forward strand.
AATTTGCCCTTAACTGAGCATCTGAAAGGTTATCACGCAGGATTTTTAGCTCTAACAGGGAGGAGGGTCTTTTGAGTTTATGGCCTGTTGAGCACTTTTGTGCTGAGTCAAGGAAGATAAGAGGAGTGGGAAACAGGAAGAATCCATTAGACAGTGTCTGTGCATATAATATCTTTTTTTGTTTTCTTTATGTAAGTTCTCTGATGGACAATAATGTCCCCAGGTAGCTAATGTCACAAACCTCTTAAACATGAGAGAGAAATTGTACCATTTCTCAAAGGCAGCTTTTTGGAAGGGAAGATCAAAGAGGAGGCAGAATTAAAGCCTTAGCTCAAAAGGAAGACAGATTTCCAAAACTTCAGCTTTTGCCATTAAAACTTTCAGGTGTGTCCCAAGATAAATGATACATCATTGGCTACTACATCCCCACAGTGGCCTCACTACTACCTCAATTTGATTTTGTGAAGGAGTGCTGAAGCACTATCAAAGAACTTTGGTGTTCCCTTGCTTATGTCATAGTTACCTAGAGAAAAGAGAGTATGCCTTAGGAAATATTCCAGTTTAAAGCAACATTAAACATACCAAATTCATCACCGGGATTACAGTATATAGAATATTTTAAGTCAACCTGTATATCTCTGTCAATTATATTTTATTTTAACTATGTGAGAGAAGGAATAAAAGTTACTAAGGTATCACCTTTTCTAGTAAAAGATAACCAAATAAATCCATTGAGAAGTCACGTTTATTCAAAAGAATTGGTTTCTCTGGACTTATGACATTTGAGTATAGTACCTCCTTTCTTCTAGAATACTCTGAGTTAATAAAAGTTTTTTTGAAAATGAAATCCATGGGTATGTGTCATAATAAGTAAATACTAAATGCTTGTAGTTTTTCAGAGACTTTTCTTAGGTGATGTCTATTCCTGAAGTATGATCAGAATGCAACATCTAACATTTTACATAATTAAAGATTATAGTATTTTGTTTTAAAAAGCAAACTAGAAACCTCAAGAAAAACCTATCCACTGGCATTCCTTTGAAACATACATACAAAGAACTTTACGGTGTTTTTCCTTGCCTTTGGGTGTTTGTTTTACAAGAGAGGAACTCCAGGTGCAATCACTGAATGAGGAATTAGAACCTCCCTCCAAGCTTTCATCTGATTGCATACCAACACATAACGAAGGACATGATATATTTACAGTAGCTAAAGAGTTAATCTTTAGCAACTCTGCTTAAAAATCCTAATGGCAGACTGCCCATCATTCTTTTAGACAGAGCTTGTCAGAAAAACTAGGGCAGCTTGTCCAGCTCAGCAGTCAACTGATTACTAGTGAACTCAATGGGGCTCCCAGCCAACCCCTGAGATTGCTGCCAGCCCCTTGGGTATTCAAAGGCCAAGTTCCAATGTGGTTTACTTTGCCAGAATCACATGATGTCAGTGCTATTTTCTCCTGACCAGAATAACCAGTCATTCAGGTTACTGCAAGTGGTATCGGTGAACTAGGCATCACTTCACTGTTAGAGGTCACATACACACCAAGGCTCTGCTCCTTCTCACCACGGCCGAGGGGCCACTGGAGCCTCCTGCAGGAGGTCAGCTAATCCCAGTTTGTCAGTTCCAGCCACCCAAATCCTGCACGGGCATCCTGCACACCGCAGTCTGCTCCAAGGACCAGGAATTACACAGGCGTGCTGCACATGGCACACTTAGAGAACAAAACAAACAGGTCCAACTTTTATAAAGAACAAGCTGGAGAGGAAAACAACAGAAAACTGGTTTTGGCTTTCACTTATATTATATTACTCGAGGTTTAGTAGGCAAGCCACACAAATTCTGTGGGATTTAGTCACCGTTATCCACCTATGCCCACATTCTTTGCATGGTAGTAAGACATTAATTAATTTTTACATCTATCAGGAGATTTTTCAGTTGCTACAGGATTTGCAAGGGTACATGCATGTAAGGAGTAGCCAGTTTTTAAAACTGTGATTACCCTTATCTTTCGGTGAGAGAAAGTATTTCACTCCCTAATGCAGAGAATTAAAAAACAAGATCCACTTTTTAATCTTTCTTCCTCCAGAAGAAAATACAAACATCAGGAATAGCAAACGGGCTGATATGGCTGGTGGACTCTGTTTTCAAAGTCTTGAACATATTTCCCAATGCCTTAAAAACCTTGAAATATTTTTAATATTCCTCATTACTTCTATGGCACTTTGCATTTATTTATATGAATTCATTTTAAAAACTCACTTTAAAGAGACTAAATCTTTAAAATATGACATTTAAAAATACTGTAGATTTTCTATATCATTATATTTATAGTTTTTCATCCTTTCTTTTTTCTGTCAGTAAAGTAATAAAGTTTTAACTGCTGAGAAATAATGGGCAGCAAGGTAAAGAAGTGTCATGATTTTTAAACATTTGTATTTGTTAAAAAAAACAGAAACTGCTTCAGTTATAATATGTAAAAGAAAAAGAACTGTAATGACTGCAGTAACTACTATTACGTAAAAGACAATACATGTTTCAGAAATAATAGAGTCAATGAACTATCTGTTACTACTGGATACATCCTTATTAATATTACCTTGGGGAAACCTCTAAGCAAAGTGAGAACAAGATCACGAGAACAGGCGTCTTAAGATCTACTGATGCAGCTTTACATGTTCCTGCCATACAACTTTGTGGAGGAAAAAAAAATAATGTCTTTCCATCTCCTGCAGCAAAATATTGCACCCATGACGGTCACCCGTATTAAACTCAGGTAAACTTCTACAAGAAGTCCATCTGTCAAGGAAATTGTACAGTAAGAAAAGACTGGTGATGGATGCATGGAAGGAAGGAAAGGAGGGAGGAAGGAAGGAAGGGAGGGAGGGAGGGAGGGAAGGCAGGTTGGTTTCTACAAAGAAAAAAAAGACCAAAAACAATTATTTTTACATCAATGCTTCATAATTTTCATTCATTCCATCCATGAAGAAAGTTTAAGCAGATCTGCAACAACTTCAAAGCCAATGTTATCATGTTTTTCAATCAAAATCAGGTGCTACAGTTAGTGTTCCCTGATGGTTACAGCTCATCTTTGACTATTCAACATGTCTTTTGTCCTGGTCTTTTATTTCCTTCTCAGATGCATCATATCCTACTGCTAACATAACATCTTTAACGAACTAACAAATGTTTGAAAGAAAGAGACTTGCTAGATACAAGTTCTCTGGTGCAAAGGGACTGAGTGGTCACCACCAATTAGATTATAGCGGGATAATTTCACAGTTCTCGAGATGATTGTTTCAAGGAAGGCTGGAAATGTACAGAGGCAGAATAGCCTGGAAGTGTGTGGTTTTCTCTAAGCAGACCAAAACAGCCCACAAAACTCCCAGAAGGAAAAAAGCAAGTGAGATTTCGATCCTTTGGCAATGAAGAAATAATGCACAAATAAAATGTTTTAGCCTAGCACAGGGGCTCACACCTGTTAGTCCCAACTACTTGGGTGGCTGAGGCGGGAGGATTGCTTAAGCTCAGGAGTTAGGGACCACTCTGGGCAATACAGTGAGACCCCATTTCCAAAAATAATTTTTTAATAAAAAAAAGAAAAAAATGTTTAAAATGAAGTTGTCAGAAATACTCTTTTGAGACTACGTAATAACCTGGGTGCTGCCTCTAGGTATCTTTGCGGAATTGTTACAGTAAGTAAAACTCTCTCAAGCCAACATTCATGGCTCTCCATGAAGTAATCTCTATTTATTTTTTTCACGTGGCCTCCAGCACATCATGGGTCTTGTATTCCAGCTACACTGGATAACTTCTTGTACATTTTCCTGCCCTTTGACTTTTGCTCATGCTGTTCCCCTGGTCTAAATGCCTCCCCAGCACTTGACAAAACCCGTCTTTTAAAGTCAGTTAAAAACATAATTTCTCAGGCCAGTCATGGTAGCTCATGCCCGTAATCCCAGCACTTTGGGAGGCTGAGGCAAGCAGATAACTTGAGGCCAGTAGTTTGAGACTAGCCTGGCCAACATAGCAAAACCCCATTCTAGTAAAAGTACAAAAATTAGCCAGGCATGATGGCACACACCTGTAGTCCCAGCTACTCAAGTGGCTGAGGCATAAGAATCGCTTGAACCTGGGAGGTAGAGGTTGCAGCGAGCCATGATCACACCACTGCACTCCAGCCTGGGCAACAGAGTGACACTGTCTCAAAAAAAACAAAACAAAACAAAACAAAACAAAACAGCATTTCTCCATAAGATGCTCCCTCCACCCCTAGAACCAGATATGAGCTCCTCCACTGCATCTCAGTAGCTTCACATTTATACAGTACTTCTCTTAAACACTGACTTGATATGGGCTTGCGTTACTTACTGATCTTATCCCTCCACCAGACATAAGCACATAAGCATGGAGACACGCATCTTCAGGGATGTGCACTCAATAATCGTTTGCTGATTTGAAGTGAAATGATGAGGCTAATTTATTTTACAGTACTCCCGTGCACTGGTTCTCTAATAGCTGCTCAAAGGCCCTCCACTGATCCAAAAGCCCATCTGCTATAATATTAGTGTTAATAATGATACATAGGTTCCTGAGATAAATAATTTAATTATCACATGCTTATTAGGGTCTCACCAAGAGCAGAGCCATTTACCTCTTTATTTGAATAAGACTTCTGAAAAATGCTTTGTAGTTGGGATTCTGTGTGTGTGTGAATCTATGCATGTGCATATATGTGCATTTACAAGCAAGGTCTAGAGGCCTAAATAATAATAATGATCTTTTGCTCCTCTTCAGTGAACTTCAGACAAGTACCTTAAAGCTACAAGCTTTAAAGTATTAGCTTATGAAAGCGCCAACCATGCTTCCAAATTTCAAAACAAAATAACCTTCGCTAAGTCAGGAAGATCACTTGAGGATGGGAATTCACCACCAGCCTGGGCAACATAGCAAGACCCCATCTCTTCAAAATAAAAATAAAAATAGCCAGGTGTGGTGGCGCATACCTGTAGTCCCAGTTTCTTGGGAGGCTAAAGTTGGAGAATCACTTGAGCCCAGGAGTTCGAGGCTGCAGTGAGCTATGATCACACCACTGAACTCCAACAAGGATGACAAAGTGAAACCCTGACTCAAAAAAAGAAAGAAAGAAAGAAAAAAGAAACTTGGCTGAACCATGAGGAGTTAACACTTGGACATTTTTTGATTCTGCAACTGTAAAAGAATCTTGCTGAATTTGTTGAACTTGTGTCTCTAACAGATTACTGACATTTCCTTAATGTAAGATCACCTGGGGATTAAATCTCAACTGTAGCACATATCAATGACTGTGAGCATCTGACTTTACCTTGTTTTACAATTCTCATGAAATGGATGTATGGTCAATGACTGAGGGGATGATAAACTTTATATTAACCAAACATGATATAAAAATCCAGGGCATACTGATGACCAGATATGGGCTGGTAAGAATTAGTTCTAATATAACATGGACATGGACATGCTTCAGTTTATATAAATTGCTCTATAGGTAGTGACAGATTAACCCTCCTAACATCCTTAAAAAAAGATAATAAAAGTTATTATTCACTTTTATTGATGAAATACTTGGAGTGTTTAGACTCTCACAAGGTCACTATAAATAACCTTTTAACAATCCAGCTCACTGATGAGTCTTGGTGTGTTTTGTGAAGCACTCAACTGACTGTGAGAATCACATATAAGAGAAATGATCAAATAGCCTGAATGCCTTTGGAAAACATTGAATTCAACTCTGTCCTGCTCCAGAATCCACACACTATGCTAGCATAGTATTACTGAAGCGCAAAACACCATGCTAGCATAGTATTAGTGAAATACAAAACACTGTACTCAAGGCACCTAGTTTAAATCCACCACCTATTAGCTGTGTGATCTTGAGAAGTCCCTTAATTCTCCCTCATGTGCAAAGGGAAGCTACCAATGGTGCCTGCCCCACAGGGCTATTATGAGTATAAAAATGAGACATTTTATGCAGCTTCTGTTTTACCAAAAATATTCATTTTGACCCACTTTTTCTAGAAGCCTCTCCCTCTAACAATATTCATATGTAAAACCAACAAAAACACTAATCAAATTCCAGAGAGATTGAATTTCAGGGTGAGGGAGGTCTTACTGCATTTTTGCCTTAATAATCTCAGTTTCATCTTTCATTCCATACCAAAACATGGTTACAGGGAAACTATGTTCTAAGAAAAAAAATTATTAATTATATACCCATTCTGCACATTTAGAAATAAATAATTTTCCAAAAACTTTTACCTAGACAAGAACCCCTCCTTACAAACAGAAGTTTTCTCTTTAGACCAATTTCACTGCTAACCATAAAGAAGAAAACATATAAGTAGGATGAGATAGAAGAAAAATCAGAAAGCAGAGAAAGACTAATTAGAAGATAGAGAAAAAAAGGAAGAGGAGTGAAATATAATATTCATATTCTAGCTGCCAATCCACTAACTTCCAAAAAGGAAAGTGAATATGCCAGACCATTAAAATATTTCAGCAACACTAGCTTGTTTGGCAGTCAGAGTCTCAGAACCATGAGAATCACAGTTACTTAATCACTGTGAGCTCATAAAACTGGACCCAAAGTGACAAGACCATTGGGTGAGAAGGGTGAGAGGGAGCTGAGCAGGGTGATCTGCTCCAACAATGCACCAGTTCCAGAGGTCCTCTGCAGAACTTGAAGAGACAGCACAGCATCCTGAGGCCGTTAACTTCCTGACTCCTGCCTTTGAAATAGAACCAGGAACTGAGCTTCCATGGCCTAGTTTGACCTGGCTTTGTCACTACCCCAGTTCTGATGAGATTATGATCTGCTACCCTAGAACTAAGCAGAGGTGAGAGCCAAGATGCCTTTCTATGGCCTAGAGCACAAGAAGGGCCCACATAGTAACAAAAACACTGTCACTTTTATGGATTAGGCAGTATTGCCTAAAGGTTTAGCACCCAAGGCTTTAAAGCCAGACTGTCCTGGTTCTAAATCTGACTTTGACACCTACTAACTGTTTAACCTTGGTTAAGTTGGTTAACACAGAGGCTCAGGTTCCTCACCTATAAAATGAGGGGAAGTACGAGGTTACTCTGAATATTAAATGAGATACACATATATAAAACTGAGTATAGTCCTAGAACATGGTGCACACAAGGTGACAGCTGTGCCTTATTACAGCTACTGCACAGCTGAAAAAAACTGTGAAACACTGAAAGTCACTCTTCTACAAGCTGGATATTAGACTGTGAATTCCCCAGGACCAGCAAAACCCAGCATTCCCAATGCCTAGCTCAGTGCTGAATGAACAAGAGAGAAAACCTCAAAAATCTTTCAGTAATAGAAAGATAATTCTGGACAGGTGCAGTGGCTCACACCTGTAATGCCAGCACTTTGGGAGGCCAAGGTGGGTGGATCACCTGAGTCGGGAGTTTGAGACCAGCCTGGCCAACGTGGCGAAACCCTGTCTCTTCTAAAAATACAAAAAATTAGCCGGGCATGGTTGCGGGCACCTGTAATCCCAGCTACTTGGGAGGCTGAGGCAGGAGAATCGCTTGAACCCGGGGGACAGAGGTTGTGGTGTGCCAAGATCGCTTCACAGCACTTTAGCCTGAGCGACAGAGCGAGACTCCATCTCAAAAAAGAAAAAAAACGAAAGAAAGAAACATAATTCTAAGACTAAGACCAATAATGTGCCAGCTATGGTTTCCTTGTCATTGAATTTATTAATATAAGTAGGCAGAATTATTTGTTATCATGCTAAAGAAAAAATGAGATTTTTTTTTAACGGACAAGGTTTTCTTAAAGCATCATATCAGTATCTCAGTATCTCCTATAAATAGATTTTGTTTAAATAATACAATTTACTAAACTGTCTGAGCAGTGTGGACTTCCCCCATATTTATGTTTTTAGTGGCTGTAGCTGTTGTGGTGGTCAAACATTGAGTGTTCTTTTATGAACATAGTTAGCATAAAAGAACCTTTTGATGACTCGTATTAGAACATGAATTTAATAGAAGCAAAGGTACTGCTTATCATCACTGAGAACATTCATTCAGATCTACCACAGTTTTATAACTGCTCTGATCTAACAGAGCAATTTATTCCAACATGCAATTTAACCAATAGGCTGTTTAACCTTGGATACTTATTAGTAAGGGAACAATGCTTTCAGGATTATGCTGAATAATTCAGCCCTTCCAGTCAAAGAACTTTTGCTGGTGGGTGAGAACAGCATGTTGTCTAAGTATCTGAGAACATTTCTACACATCTGGAGTATGTGGCCCTGTGCTGCCTTTCCAGGCCTGCTCTCCCAGCCAGAACTTCTTCTGCCATGGGGCAAGACAGTGGAATAGAACTATCTTATAAACTTTTTTGAACAAAGACAGATGATGTTGCACTACTACATTCCCTGTGAATTCTTTCTGCTGCTGCCAACTTATAGTATTTTTAAGTTTGCTCCTAGGTGTTTTACAGTAGAAGCCATTCCAAATAAGATTTTGCTGAAGGTTCAGCATGAACTATGCAACTACTCTGAGAAATAATCCCATTATTTCAACTGTTTACTTTTCCATTATACCCCATTTCCAAAATACGTGCTTTTAAAAGTTTTACATCCTCTCTTCATAAATCAAGTTAGTAAGGATGTCATTCCTTTTTAAAGCATGTTGCATAGAAACATTATAAAAACAAAATACATAAACACACATGTATACGTGCACACAACACACTTGCTCAACTTGAAACTGAGCCCCAGGACTAACAAACACACAGTCCAGGGCTCTGGTTACTATGCCTTCTTTCTAGGATCTGGCTTCATTTGGAGGCTCATATCCCATACCAGTGCTCCTCAAACCACGTTCTAAGGTCCATGAAATATTAATAATAGTTCTATGGGGAGTGGGGGAGTGGTATAATCAAATTTGTGGTTTTGCCTTAGGACAAATCTGAATCATAAGCACATAAGGCTCGTGAGAATCTCTTTGGTATTGAGTGAACCCTGCCAACTATTCAACATTCACATCTCATTCATTGTTACATACAAAGCTCATGAAGTGATAACATTTCTTTGTTTTAAAAATAAAAGAGCACTGAAAAAAGAAGTCAATTGCTTGTGGTGGTGATGAAAGTGAAGAGAAAGTGAAAAGGCCTAAGGAAGTGATGGTTCTTGGAAGAATACAGATGTCTAGGAAAGAAATTATACTCCAAAGAGCTACCTGTAAATTTAGAAACTCATCATTATCTCTGGACAAATCTTTCATAAATGTCAAAGACCTGCTACATATCAAAATGGTCTAAGTTCCTAAGCATCATAGAAATAAACTGGACTTGACTGTGGATTCTACTTGAGCAAAAGATCCTATGGCTGAGTCTTGGGTATGAAGAGGGAGAAGTTTCTCACATAAGCATGGGCCCATGGGGCTTAGACTCTGGAAAGACAGCTCCAGGGGTACTGCCATACATTGATGTTGGCAGGATCTTCTGTTTAAAAGGTATTGGTGGCCGGGCGCAGTGGCTCACGCCTGTAATCCCAGTACTTTGGGAGGCAAAGGCAGGCGGATCACTTGAGGTCAGGAGTTTAAGACCAGCGTGGGAAACATGGTGAAATCCTGTCTCTACTAAAAATACAAAAAAAAATTAGCCGGGCGTGGTGGCGGGCACTTGTAATCCCAGCCACTCAGGAGGCTGAGGCACGAGAATCGCTTGAACCTGGGAGGCAGAGGTTGCAGTCAGCTGAGATAGCACCACTGCACTCCAGCCTGGGCAACAGAGTGAGACTCCATTTCAAAAACAAAACGAAACGAAACAAAACAAAACTATTGGTGAAAAACAGATATTTTAGTTGACTGGGGCTTAATGCTGAGAAGTAGGCCTCCAATACAACCTGAAGATGGATTCGTGGTGGTACAAGTTTGCCTTCTGTGAGGGTCTGGAGGAAGCACTTTTATTAACAGGTGCCAAGTAGAACTGCTGGGTCCTGAAAGAACCTACAAGACACTGGGGTGAGAACACGTAGAGAAGAGTCCAAGTGCACTGAGAAAAGTGAGGCGCACTGACTTCAGAGAATGGATCTAGTTTCTTTCCTGTCAGTGAAAACTGAAGCTCACTGGAGTTCTGAGACAGCCTCTGGTCTCCTGGTCCACCCCAGGATGGCTCAATATCTGTAATGCAGAGGCTGAATATGTATAAATGCAGAGGCCCAATCCAAGCACTCACTATGACTCACCAAGGACACTATGAAATGTGACCAAAGTCTTCCAGACAAAATTGCTTTTCAGTCATGTAAATATCCTTTTAATTCATGTTCTTACTTAGTTTATGTAGCTTATGTGAAACTCGTTTGTCACTTTCTAAAGATTTACTTTTGTCGGACTCCAGGAAGGATTGTCTAACTTTTCCCTAAATCTCATGGTGCTTCAAATAATAGGAACTTTTCCCTCCTCTACGGTTTTGATTTCCCATGGAAGACAGCCATTTAGGAAAGTTACCTGCATGCAGATATATGCACAGCTAAGGTAACATGGAGGTGTGCCAGTCGAGCATATCTGAACTGGCCACTGTCTACCTAGAGTGACAAACAAAATGTAGAATCTTGCAGGATAGCTCAGATCCTACCATCTTGACAACCAATCACAGATCTGTCTTCTATACTGGGTTCAGGCAAGGCAGCATGCTTATTGGCCTATATGGGGCATGGATTGGCCCAAAGGACCTGCTTTTTCTGAATTTGAAGGCACTCAGTTCAGGGAGCTACACAGATGGTGGCAAAAGGTAGCCACATCATTGGTTCTTGCCTCTCCATCACAATATGTCTTAGCTTTTTAATAGCAAGAAACCTGTAGGTATACTAAATTGGTGGAATCCAGGAAAGGAGGAGGGAAAAAAGTCAAGACAACAGCATTTAAGACTGAAAAGGGGCCGGGCACAGTGGCTCACGCCTATAATCCCAGCTCTTTGGGAGGCCGAGGCAGGCAGATCACCTGATGTCAGGAATTTGAGACCAGCCTGGCCACCACAGTGAAACCCCGTCTCTACTAAAAATCCAAAAATTAGCTGGGTGTGGTGGCAGGCACCTGTAATCCCAGCTACTCAGGTGGCTGAGGCAGGAGAATCACTTGAATCTGGGAGAGGGAGGGTGCAGTGAGCCGAGATCATACCATTGCACTCCAGCCTGGGCAATAGAGCAGGACTCCGTCTCAAAAAAAAAGACTGAAAAGGCAAACTTGATGAAAAGGAAGAAAGAAGAAACTCAAAAGCAGTCACATCTCAAACCTTTTGTTTGAAGATAATATATACCATTCATATCACATTTCAGCCCGTAATAAGGCAGTGTAGTTGAGTCCATTGTAGGGGCCAAGGGAAAACATCCCCTTTGCTCTCTAAAAGTTTGTTGAAAATTAACTCACAAAAGGCAGATTAAGAGGAGAAATGGCATATAAATTTATTAGTGTGCAAGGGGGAGAATGCAGGGATGACTGCCCCATATCCCAATGGGGTACAGATGCTTATATACACTCCTTCTTAGAGGAATGGGAGATGGGGAAGTCTGGATGGTTTTAAGGGGACAGTAAATGATTTTTAGGGGAACTTAATGAACTTAAAGTGGCCTGGGACAAAGTCTGTTGGGCCCACACAGCAGACAATGGTTTGTGACAAATGTCTGTCCAGATGTGTTGACAGGCTTCAGTGTTTCTTTACATGCTATGAGCTCAGTTAATGGAAATTCGGGGAAGGAACCAGAGATAATTGTTTTATTCTTTGGTGCATCCGAACTTGAGGCAGATAAGGGAACTTCAGGGAACAATTTCCTCCTTTGCTTTGGGAGAGACAGAGGATTGCAAGGCAGGAGGTGGAGGGGGTACAGTGTCAGAGAGACCTAAGGCTGCTTCTTCAGCTCAGCATGTCAAAGTGCCACATTTTGGTGTATCGGTTTCTGAGCCCTGACACTATCATGTCACTTTTCACTTATCTACACAGGGCACTAAGATGCACTGCACCGGCCCTCACCATGACTCCTCCCTCTTGCTGCCCTTCTCACTCCAGGCTCCTAAACACAGGCCACCTATTTGATGGGATATTTCAAACCTGGCTTTGATTGTGAGGGTCAGTTTGGCATACAGGTGATTTCCTTGTAGATTAAGAACATTTACTTTCTTCCTGCTGGATCCCTCCCAGAGATACCATCAAACCTCTACCTACGCAATTAGTTTTCACAGGTGGCTGTTTTGCCTCCAGTAAAACTACTTTCTTTCTCCTTCTGCAAGTCAAAGCACAGCGAATACACACGAAAACATTTCAGATATGAAATAAACATGTTCATAAAGGCAGCTATGATGTAATGTATCATTTTTGACTGATCCAAATTATGGAATGAACTCCCCACACCAGGATTAAAGTGAGAAGAATCATTTCTGGAAGAAGGAGCGCAATGGGATTGTGGTGGGCTGAAGGCTAGAAAAAAGGGTTAGAATTGAGACAAGGAAAAGGAGCCACAATTTATGCTGGCTTATAACGGCTAGGGTTTTCTGAGATGCCTTCTCCTTTCGTAAATTCTGTTACTGTTGACAATCCTAACTTACTAGAGACAGAACCGACAGCGGAGAAAGAAAAGATGTTCATACGCGTCAAGAGTCACTGGTAAGGCAGCTGTTTGTTTTTTGTTTATTTGTTTGTTTGTTTTTTGTTGTTGTTCCTGCTGCACCAGACCAGTTTCAACATGAAACTGGCAAGTTTTGAGATGTAGCTGTTTCTCTGGTCCTTTTTCTAGTAAAAGGCTCCCATTTTAGAGGCAGCCATTTCCAAAGGAAAAAAAAATTCAATGTCGACATAAATCCCTTGAACTAAACATCTGTTTAAACTGTTTCTAGGTCAGGAGTCTAAAACTGTGAAACACTAGGGGTGCAGACATGATTTCTTTCCCAAGGTCTCCAAGTACTGCGGCATGCACATATCCTGCCATATTGTTTAAACATCTGGCTCACTTCCCCCTAAAAGAAAAGGGCTGATAGGGTGGGTTGTTATGGCTTTTTGTCTTAACCTATAACATGATTTTGTTATTTGTACAGTCTCTAAAACAAACTACTGTTAAACAAGGTTTTTTTTTTCCCTTACTGCATTATTTAAAGGTGGATGTTTCAATGGCATTTGAATAGCATGAGGGGATTTTTTTTTTTTCATAAAAGCTACGAACTCAAGGATGTTCATGAAGAAATAGTTTCCTTCAGTTCTTCCCTATGAAGAAAAACTCTTCCAGAAGTTCCACTTTCAACATTCCCCTTCATTAACAAAACCAAGTACGTACTCTTGTTTTTAAAAGTCTGTTTCCATACCCGTATTTACCTGTGGAAAAAGACTGTGTTCAAAATATTAAAACATAAACTTATTTTAAAAAGATGCGAAGTGGAGAGAGTTCAAGTGCAGCTTTCCCAAAAGCCTGGCTCAAACCCTGTATACATATGGAATTCTGCACTGCGACCTCAGAAGGATCTGAGTGGCTATACACAGGTTTGCCATCTAGATTCTTCACCTTTACTACTCAAAATCACCCAAATAATTTGTGTGTGCATCTGTGACGAAGAACAGTTATGAGCCTACATTATCAAATTCAGAATTGGAGTTTAGGGATAGCAAAACGAAAACTGAGCTGCAGACAAATAAAGTGGCCCATTCAATAAAAGTGAAAGTATATGGCGTAATCCGTGAAACCCAAATATCAGGGTTTGTCCTCTGCATCTGGCAGTTACTTATCCTCCTCGTACAAACTATTACTGCTCCTGTGTTATGTCCATGTCTCTCCTAAAACTTGCTGGAGGCAAAAAAGCAACCCTGAAAAAGTTCCCAGTTTAAGTGAGAAAGAGTGATTTCACTGACAGGGCAGAACAATTGCCCATGGTTGTCAAATATAATAAAAGGATTAGAGTTTTGTTTTGATTTATTTTAATGTACAAAGGAAGAAAGGAGACAAACTTCAAAGGTTTTGCCTCTAGCCCAGACTTCTGGCCTCAGGGAAACAAATTTCCTAGTGAATATTACAGAAATATAGAAACGACTATTTAAAATTGACCAAAAAAAAAAAGCAAATAGATATCCCTACTAAGACTAGATACGTATTTCAAAAGTCCAATTTTATTTTTCCTTCCTCTCTGTTACTAAGAGAGGTGGTTCAATATCCACTCCTGGCCTTACTTCACCTGCCCAGTCAACAACCATTCTTTTCCCCATGGAAGGTTATTTCTATATTTAGGTCATTTGTTTTTTAATTCAAAAGTACGTGCCCAATAAATAATGTTCTAGGAATAAAGAAACTGACTAAAGGAAGATACTATTATAAAAATAGAAACCAAAGGAACCCCTACTCTCTGTGCATTTAAGAGCATTTAGGTGAGAAAAAGACATATTACTGTGGTTTCTTTAGGAAAGTAAAAACACTCAATGATGAATTTTTATCTATCTGAGGATTACCCAGATTACAGTAAGACAAAACTTTGCATTAACCATTCAAAGGGTCCGATCTGCTATATGTCCCCTACAATATTAAGTACATACTTCTTTCCTGGATCTGTTCTTATTTTCAACAGACTCTATTTCTAGAATGTAGAGGAGAAAAGGATTTCAAACAGTCTGGAAAATATCATTTTTAAGTTCCAATCAGAGAACGTTAAAGCCAATAAGGAACTTGAAAGGAAATCTGGGCTATCCCCCAACCTAAGGCAAAGCCACACTGATAGCAACCCAAGCAGATAATAATCTAATCTAACTTTAGGATAAGTTAGGTTCCGTGACTTCCCTCTTAACATGTTCCTGTGCCTGACACCCGTCTACTCATGAAATTTCTTTTCAAGCTGCAGCCTAAGCACATTCAGTTATTATCAACAGTGTTAAGTGAGTAGAAAGAGATTCAGGGGACAACATGAGACGCTCTGCAAGATCAGTCATGAGAACAAACCCAAAGACCTACTGGACCCGAATTTATTGATCTGGGAAAGGTATATCTAGGTCTCAGCAATGTTCTTTGGATCAGGATTTGGAGAAAAGGTTGTATCTACCACTATAGATTGGATATTATATCCTATTTGCAACTAGGACTATCTATCTCTCTATAAATGATGAACAGTATTCAGCTACAACGGAGGTGTTACAGACTGAATGTTTATGTCCCCCCAAAATTCACATGTTGAAGCCCAACCCCAATGTAGGCAGAACAGGGCCTTCATATTTGGAGATAAAGCCTTTACGGAGGTAATTAAGATTACGTGACATCATAAGGGTGGGGCCCTAATATGACAGAACTAGTGTCCTTATCAGAAGAGACACCGGAGAGCTTGCTTGCTCCGTCTCTGCCATGTGAGAACACAATGAGAAGGCTGCCATCTATAAGCCAAGAGAAGAAGCTTCAGAATAAAATCTACCTTGCCAGTGCCTTGATCTTGGCCTTCCCAGCCTCCAGTGAGGAAATAAATTTCTGTTGTTTAAGCAACACAGTCTATAGTATTTTGTTATGGCAGCCCAAGTTGACTACCATGAACACCAATATGTTGACCACCATATCCCTCTCTCTGAGACAGCATTCCTCTCCCTTCTAGGATGAATTCAGTTATTCACTTAACAAACATGTATTGAGCATCACCTATGCATCAAGCATTGAGCTACATGCTAGAGACACATTTTTCAATGAGTTTGCAGTGTAGTGGAGAGAAAGAGTTCATTTAGCAATAAGCAATTCTAGCATTCTGTAATCAGTCTTATGTTAGGGAAGTAGAAAGTACTACAAGAGTCCATAGGGGGAACAGCCAGCTTCAACAAGGGGAGATCAACTTACTGCAATACCAAATGTCTCAGATGGGCCCTGAAGAATGAATCAGAACTAATTAGCTGAAGGATGGGATGGTCAGGCAAAGGGAGAGGATGTTTGGTGTGATGACAGTAAAAAGGTCCTGAGGGCTGAAAGATGTGGGTTCCTCTCCCGTACTCACTCACTGTAGACCTCTCTCAAGGGTCCATCTGTAGCCCTCAGATTCCCTCAAGAAGCAATCCCTTCCTTGACAGCTCCACTGGCTTCTAAGTCTTCAATAACACCCAAATCTGCATTCCTAATTATAACCATTCCCTTATGCTCAAACACTCTTTTTAATTGACTACTAGCTATTGCAGCAGGGCATGTGATCTATGGCTTATTTAAAATCCAAGTCTTAGCCAATTGTGGTGACTCGCACCTGTAATCCCAGCACTTTCAGAGGCTAAGGCAAGAGGGTCGCTTGAGTCCAGGAGCTCAAGACCAGCCTGTGCAACATAGTGAGACCCCCATTTCTAGAAAAAAAAAATTTTTAAATAGCAGGGTATTGTGTCCCATGCCTGTGATTCCAGCTACTCAGGAGGCTGAGGCAGGAGGATTTCACGAGCCAGGGAGGTGGAGGCTGCAAGGAGCCACGGTCTTGTCTCTGTACTCCAGCCTAGACAATAGAGCAAGACCTTGTCTCAAAAAAAAAACAATAAAATAAAGTAAAACCCAAGTCTTCATGCTTCCCTCGGATCTCCTCTTCCTCTTATATGCCCCATTTTTGTGGCCCATCTCAGCATTGATTCAGTGATGCAGTCATCTTCCCCTCCTCCCTCTCCCTTACCCTCTACATCTATCATCACCAAGTTCTTTTTCCTCAATATCTCCAGAATCTATCCATTCCTGTTGTTTCTGTTCTCGGTCAGATCCTAAGCACCAAATCTGAAGAATGATTTTTATTGATTTATTATTACAAATAATGACTTAATACTTTAATTAATCAAAAGTTTCAATAATCCACTAATATAAAACAAAATGCAAAATCCAAGAGATGAAAGCAGACAGGCAGTAGAAAATTCACAGAATCAGAACTGGGGAAAACAGACAAATGAAAACAAATTTTGGGCTGTGAGCTTTCTAGCATACAGGGAAAAGAAGAAAACTAGATTGCATACACAGTTCTCATCATAAGATGAAAAGAGGCATGCCAACTTATCAGAAAAAGAAAATTTGTTTCCTGGAAGGGATTTTTCAGAGAAATATATTGCAGGGGAGTTGAATAAGGGACACTGAACACATAATAGGAAAAAGGTAGTTTTATACAAAAGCAAAGATCTGCATATGGATCTTTTACATATAAAATATTTTTAAATATTTAATTCACGGTGAAGCCAACCTAAGGTTAAATCATGATTCCACAAAAGTAGTCTATAGAGGAATACAGCAAAATGCTTCTTATAGATAGCTTTCTGATAATTATGAAAGGTTAACCTGTCCCTGAGGTTATCTCAATAAATGCAAATGGCTCAAAGGGCCTTTTAACCAAAGCTATATTCATAACTGACGTCACAAATGAGTACTGAAAGTACTAGGAAACTGGGTTAATTCTCATCTTTTCCTATTTCATTTCCTCAGAAAGACTTTCCCAAAAGACCTTAGCCAACAAAGACCCCCATACCCCATTTTCACTTTAATCTATGTATTATCTATGACCCTATTAGTTTTCTCATAGCATTTAACACAATCGGAAATGACTTGCTTATAAATTTGTTGAATTGATTTGTTGTTCCCTGTGAATAGACAGTGAGCCCCCTGAGGGCAGAGACCATGTCTGTCTTGTACGCTACTGTATCCAAAGCCATTAGGAACATCGGTGGTATGACAGGTGCTCATTTAAAACTTTACAACCTTTCAAATGAATAAATACGTAGCCTGTTTTAGGTTCTAAATATTCAGGGCTGGGCGCAGTGGCTCACGCCTGTAATCCCAGCACTTTGGGAGGCCAAGGTGGGAAGATCACCTGAGGTCAGGAGTTCAAGACCAGCCTGGCCAACATGGTGAAACCCCATCTCTACAAAAATACAAAAATGTGCCCGGCATGATGGCGGGTGCCTGTAATCCCAGCTGATACTCAGGAGGCTGAGACATGAGACTCACTTGAACCTGGGAGGTGGAGGTTGCAGTGAGCCAAGATCACGCCTGGCCGACATAGCAAGATTCCATCTCAAAAAAAAAAAAAAAATTATATACTGTACCCAAAAAATATGGAGAAGACAAAGATAATATTTTACATGAAAATTTAAAAGCCTGGCTTAAAACGACCTCCTCCCTTCACTCCATTTTCTTCCTTCATTCCATCCTCCACTTTGCTGTCAGAATTGTCTTCTAAAGGACCACCTAAATATAACAGCTTGAAAGCTTGATGATCTACCCTCTGGAAACTCTCTAATGTGGCATTTGAAGCCCTCAGCAACCCTACTCTTTCAGCCTAGTCTCTTACAACTCTCCTCCACTTCGCCTACACAGGCTAAAGTCTAGTCACCCTCCCCTGATGGTTCATGACCCCCAACTACCAACATGCTTTCCCCATCCCCAATGACTTACCTTTTCTTGTGCTGTTTCCTGCCTCCAGGACCCCCATGCCTCACATCCTCGTCTAACAAAACGGTGCTCATCTTTCAAGCTCATTTCTTGAGTCATGAGAACCTTCTTTGGATTCTTGTGAATTCTGAATTGCCTCCTCTGTACTCCAATAGCTCTTTTTATGTATCTGTGTGGCATTGTCTACTATCTGTTTCATATGAATTAGGTGCTTAGTTTTATGTTTCTGTTTCCACTGCTAGATTAGATTAGAAACTCCTTGAGAACAGGGATTACTTCATTGGTCTTCATATTTCTCTAACCTTTAGCATGCTCCTAGACATGTAGTAAGCACAAAACAAATGTTCACTGAATTAGACATACCCAAAATTAGAAGTACTAAAGAGATATTGATGGTGACGGCTTTGGGTTTCAATTGTAAACAGTTGAAGACCTAGGTACAGTACAACCATTTATTAAATTACAGATAGTATCAATCTCCACTTACCACTAACTGTGCCTTATTAGCAATTGTTTCATGTAGTCCTTGTTTCAGGAAACTTATTTATGTTCTAGTACATATGAGTAAATATACATTTTAAACTTTTTTTTTTTACTAACAGTGGCTCATGTTACGAGGTCCTCTACTATATTAAAAACATTTTAATAGACTTTGTCCACAGACTGAACTTTTACTTTTTAATGTGATATCACATATAATACCACATCTCATTCTCTACAGATTCTGAAATGATTCAGGGACTTTTAAATCAGCATTTGCCAATAAAAAGACAAATTTTTCAAATTCTGCATCATATGTAAAACTAGCTCTTTTTCCTTTCCTTTTTTTAACATTACAGAAGACCTAAAACCTTATATTTGATGAAGGTTCTAAGTACAAGGATCAAACTATAATCGTGTCATTTCTTCAATACTTTCAGTACTGCTCCCCGACCAGGATTTAGTTTGCCAAATTACGACATCATTTTCAAAGTGCTACTAATCAACAGAGAGGGCAATGAATGAATTCACCCATATACATCTGTCAGGCTATTGAGCGATAAAGCATGGTATTGAGACATATGTGTTCTTACCATCTGCACACATTACAGCAATGCACTGCACACATATATGTCTGAACCTAATGTTACACGTGAAAAAGAAAAGCATTCATGCCAACCCTCAGTACAATTCACATCACATCAGTTCTACAATTGGTGGCTTTATGTTACTCTACATATACCTATATGTCCCGATTTTTTTTTCTTGTGAAAAATGATTAAGACACAGAATCAGATATACTCTTTAGGAGATTAGCTTCAATCTTATGCTAACAAAATCGCAGTCACCCTCAAATGGAGTTATGGCAAGCAAATTTGCTTTCTCAGAACTCATAATTTTTACTTTACTCCTCTGAAAACTACAGAGCGGCAAGGAAGTTGAACTGAATAAAAACAAAATGGCAAGCTATATATATTGATTAATTTTACATTATATATTTTGGAAGGGCAAATTCATTATTTATACAGGTGCTACCTGACCTCCATCCAGCAAGTTATTCATTTTAACCTATTAACAAGCACACTATAAACAACAATGAAAGTTACATGACCTTACACAGCTGTCTCAAGCCACTGTACTTCCATCATTAAGGAAACTGTTAGATGACCCTGTTGTCAGAACACACTAAATCTGTCTGAATAAGGGAAAACAAAACTTTGTCTCCAAAGGGTAAAAAATAATAATAATAATCCTAGGCAGAGTTCCTGTTCACACTGTACAGTTACTATTATTATTTATCATTTCTTATTTACCTGTGTTTTTAGTATAAACATTCCTGGAAGCTTTTATACTGCTTGTGGCACATAGTCAGTTGCTTATTGCCAAGGGAAAGACTTTTTCCCCAGAAAGGCAATCTGTGCACATGCTAATTTGAAAGACAGGGTAGGAGCTGCAAGTGTTTTAATAGCCCATTATCAAAAATTATCCCTTGGCTATAAAATCCCCAGACCATTGGCTTGAGATCAGCTCAAAGAAAAATGAGATTACAGAATTTAATCTAGTGAAGGGGAGTGAGAGATGAGTTCTAAAAAGCCTTAGATCACAAAAAAAAAAAAAAAAAAAAAAAAAAAAGGCAGAGGACAGAAACAACATCAGCTTAGATTAAACCTTCCACACATTTACCTCCTACAAATCTGACATGTTCCAAGACTGATTTTAATTTTAAAAAGTAAGGTGTCTCTTTGCAACATTTTAATAAGTAGGGAATGCTCAGTGAAAAATTACATATTGAGGTGACAGGAAACAAAACAGCATTTTGTCTTAAATTTGCACAACCTAATTTATAGCAATAAAGCAGAACCTATGAGTTCTGGTAAATGTCAGGGCAGTCATGTCCATTACATATGTGGATAGGTATGAAGCTGAGTCTCCGTAGGCCCTTCAAAAATTGCACACAGCCGCCCTAATGCAAACCAGAAGTCTCAGGCTGCTGGATGAACACTCAGATTCGCTCCCATGTGGATATTTAGAGAGGGTCTCCTCCACCCCCATCCCCATTCTCACGTATGCATGTTTTAAGAGACCAACCAGAGGCCATAACCATGGAGGTGGCTCATTAGAAGAGACCTCCCACCCCAACAAAATCTGGCCCAACCCCCTGCAAAGAAAGCACCAGCGTCCCATAGAACCTCCCCCTCTCCCCCTAACCTCTACTCTCTTACTTCTCCTCCCCCTTCTCCTCCTCCCTCCCCACACCCCTCCCCATGAGCATCTGCCTGGCCCAATCTCGCCTGGGCCAGCTCCAATAACAACATCTGCTTGGCAGCTTTTCAAGCCCACGGATAGTTATCTAACTGAGGCTTTTGTGCTGTACTGTTTATTCTATGTGAAGAAATGCCTCCTTAGTTGAAAGAGTACTTTAGAAAAACTGTGCAGCTATTAGCAAGTGAAGCACAAGGCTAATAACCCCCACCTGCTCATCAAATTAATTATGACATCTGAGTCATTATAACTCAGAAAGAAAACACGACTGCAGATTTGTCACATGTAGGAATAAACATGTATTAGGACCGGGAAAAAAATCAGACCAAGAGACTCAGCTGGACGAAACACATGCTTCCACCTTTCAGAGACTGGAAATATGGATCCTATCTTTCCAAGTGAAACTGACGAAGAGGGATGAGGTGGTTGGCCAGATAACCACACTGCTGTTACATGGAGCAAAATGAGATAAAGTCAGGGATTAGGGAACCTCATGGAAAACACTGTAAGGTTGAATAATAATTTATTTAGAAAAACTAAAACTCTATACAAAGCCATTTCACAGAGCAAAACAAAACATACTGCCCACAATGAACGTGACCCTGTGTCATCTGGTCCATCTTAAAAACACTCATAAGAACTCTGGGTAGAGAATTTTTGTCCCTAGGTACAAAAGAATATTTTAAGGGTGCTAATAACTTTAGCAAAGAAATACCTTAGAAGTAAAAATAAAAACTTGTCATGAAGTTATTGCATTTCCTAACCATGAGTGCATAAGACTAGTATTTTTAAAAGGCAAATTCCATCCAGTGGCCATTAAAAAATTACATTTAATAGTCAGACATGTAACAGTATATCTCGTGATCAGTAACATTTTGCTAATATTTCATACTATTAAAAGGCGCAAGTTTCCATTATACGTTTTGAACAAACTTAAAATAGCTACTAACCTCTTTTTTCCCCCACATATTTCTGGAACTTGCAACTATAGCATACATGTTAAAATATCTTACTCCCAATTTTTCAATCTGGCTTTTTGTCGTAATTTTAAAATGCAAGTAAATTTTAATAAAGGTAAAATTATTTTAAATAGAACATGACTTAATAGGATGATGACCCATGCAATAGAGCCATGACATTTTTCCTTGCCATTATTTTAAAGGAAATAAATTATAACATGATATTTGCATGAATCATAAAATGCTATCATTTAAAAACACTCCTACTGAAAATGTTTGCAGCTATAAATTTAAAGCCTCTTCATCTTCCTGCAATATCTTTAGTATTAAAAGAACTTTTTAAATTCTTTTCTAGCATTTGTGCTGCCAGTTTCATAAAACATAAATCCTTCTATGAAAGCATATGACTCTTGCTAAATAACATCGGCCTGCTCCACTTTATCTTCTACCTCCAGGAAAGTCATCCACAGTAGCAACAGCTATAATCAATTCTCGCAAAAAAAAAAAAAAAAAAAAAAAAAAATTCTATCTTTTTATAAAAGCAAAACCCCCAGAAGAGTTAATTTTAAAACAGAACATGCTACATTTTTAAATCCTTTGAGGTTTAATATATTATGAAAGCAAATCTCAGGAAGCAATACAATTAGTCTTTTCTCTCGGTAAACAATTTTGTGTTAGAGTCTAATGCTGAGTTGATTTATGTAAATGTGTTACTTAGCCTCAACTTAAGATATAAATCCAGAGTAAACATAACAATGGCAATCCCGACAGTCTGCTTTGCCAAATCAGAAGATTTAGTCAGCCTAGACTAAAAATGAATTAAGATTATATTGAGAGTGTCAGTCCTAAGTCAAGAAAACATGCCCAGCCAGGGCACGCCAGGGAGAAAGAAGATCACTCATTAACGAGCCAGCAATGCTACAAAGCTTTTGCTCGTCTGGGAAAACATGTTCCCAGTTTTAAACTCCACAGCAAATCAAGGCACTCTTTTTAATAAGTACATTTTCCGTCTCTTTCCCCCTCATCAATCCCAAAAAGAAACTCAGCTTCTCTGTGTATTATCTGTGTAACTCTACATGTCAAACTACAATAGGCCTTGTATCCTTTAAGGTAACATGGGCCAGTGTCTGAGGTGGAGTGGAAGACTCGGGGCTGTGGGGAGTTAATGCCTCCCTTCTCAAAATAACTTTCAAGTTGTCTATTAACAACTAGTTCCCATAATTACATATTAAATTTCTTTACCATGATAGGTTACAGTTATACATCCCAAATAAATCTGACTGTGGAGTACCTGCCGGCAGATTTCTGTCTCTGTTTCCCCAGACACATTGACACACAGCTCAGAGACAAGCTGGTCAGGCACGCTACACAGAGGTCCGTCTGTCCTCGCCTAAAAAGTAAATAAATTATTTTGTGAAAAATATCCTTAGCAAGGATCAGTATTATTGTCAGTGTGACTTTAAAATTCTAAAGGCATGCCAGAAAGAGGGCTACATAAAATTCAGCAGTTTCCAGATCATACACAGTACAGAGATTCTCATACCCACTTAATCTCAGCACGCATCTCCACCCCTACTTCCTTCCCAATGGTATGTGGTCTTGAAAACACAAATGTTCACGTTTCCTGAAGCTGAGCTGCAAAGGAAAAGTCTCCTCCCAAGAGGCAGAGCTGTAGGCTTTTGGTGCCCCCGAAATTGTTCACTACAGTACAACATAATGTGACACTCACCACAATTAGCCACAGGGAAACAGTCTTTTTTTCACCTCTGATGTCATATAATAGATTTGAGATCACATCAGTGAGCAATGTTATCTACAAGTATTTTTGGAAGTCTTGTTAAAAGAGCCACGATACTGCAAGCCTAACTTGAAGTGTAAATGGTGAATGCTTCTCTATATCTCATCTTGACCACTACTTTACTGAAGAGTGAAAAATGACAGATGCAAATTATTTTTCAGAAAGTAGACATTTCCACTGGTAGTTCTTCCTCCTAAGTGATCTTTTCTTCTCTCTCATGCTCTACCCCCTTTCTCTCTCTAGCATTCTTCCTCCCTACACACACACACACACACACACACACACACACACACACACGAAGACATCCATTAATATTAAGAACAGTCTTCCGTAATGTTTTTCAGAATTTCTCAGGGGCTTAGGAGGGCGGCAGCCGTGCCAAAATTACAAGCTTTCCTCTAGTCAGAAGGGATGTCTTTTCAAAGCCCAGCCCTCATTTTTCAGTCTGATGTAAGTAAATTTACCTCTGTGTGCTGGGCTGAGCAGCTTTTCTTTGTCGTTTTTGTTTTTCTAATAGCTGCTGCTCTGGCAGAGCTATTCATTTCAAAGGGAAGTTAGAAGCATTCTTCACTCTTCCCCTTTTAGATTATTTGCAGTTACTGACTCTTCTGAAATCTTAGATTTGAACAGAAACCTAAAGCACAGCACCATTTTAAAACAGCAAATCACCAGCATTCCTGGGATCACATTTCTCTAGAGCAACTATCCAACATGAGGCACAAGAACTAAGTCGAACTGGGCTAAAATTGACAAAATTAAAGACAAAAGAATTATCTCTTTTAAAAATTGGGGCCTACTGTGCTCTGACAGCATGCTAAAGGACAACCATCGTTTGGAAACATTGTTTCAGAACCAGAGAAGAGGTGGTGGAGTTCTGTTTGCCAGTTAGCTAAATTAACTGATTTCTTAAGAAATCCAAGTGAACTGTATAGTAAGGTGGTCAATTTTTGGAAACATTGTTTAGGCAACAGATAAGAGATAGTGAGGTTTTGTTTTGAAGTTAATTTACTTCATGAGAAAGTCAAATCAACAGTCATAGACCATGAAGCTGATAAGATCTATGATAAAATCCAGTGGGCGAACTATCAGTAAGTTCTTAATTTGCCCACGTCCCAGTGTATTCAACGGGCTTCAGTTGGCAATGGCTGGACCTTGCTCTTGTTACTTCTGAAGGGAGTTGTTTTACGTGGACAAGGCCAGGATCATGGTCTCTGAGTGCTCCAAGGGGTTAACCTCTGTGAATTCTACTTCTGTGTCACATATTTAAATGAGTAACTTAGAGTTCAATATCTTTGTGTTCAACTAAAGTCAACTTCTTCTTTATCAGCCAACATTCTCTTACTCTAATCGTTGAACACACTTGAATTCATATCAGTTCTGGGATTTTCGTAACCATCAATCATAAAGTCATAGTAAGAAGAAGAATAAAGCGATATCAGTGCAGTTGAGGCAAACAGGGAAGAAAAAGTGCACGGCGCCATGGTTAGGATATCATGCCAGGCTAGGAAGACTCTCATTAACATCTCCTGAGTCATCCCATTCACAAGCAGTATCCTTGAAGAATGATATCTGTGTATATAAGTGAAAACCCTATCACACCCAGGGGCTTATATCCTTGGCATCTTAATTTCCTAGTTGTGAGTACTTATCTAAAAGGACATGAGTATAATGCTATCCTATATGGCATACTAAGAAACTGATGTAAAACTAAGTCTGCAGGAGAAAAGAGATGCTACATTCCTGTGGCAATTTTCAAATGGCACTAAAAATAGATAAATACGGCAGTAAGAACTAAGTCCCTCCTCCCTCACTTCCCTATCTCTATTTTTCTTTTACATTTGTGTGAATTCAGTAACCATAATCTATCTAATCCTATTATGCCAAAAGACTAAAAGTTGTTGATGTTCAAAACTCTACCAGTATACCAAAAACTCTGAAACTAGGAAGGAAAAAAAAAAAACTTTCTTACCCTTAACCAAAAATGAAGAGTCTCTCAAGCATATATGGATAGCTTGACAAATTACCAATTTATACTGAAATATGAGAAGATGTTCACTAAGAATTACATGACTAGATACTGCAGGGGTTTTTTGTTTTGTCTTGTCAAGCAAAAAAGGTCTAGGTTTGCCATACTCCATTTTTTGGTATGAGGTGGTGAATCAAGCACAAATTTTCTTTGGACTTAAAACATTTAAAATGCAGTGGAAAAACAGTTGGGGAAAAGATACTGTTCTTAATCCCCAGATCTAGACTATCTGTTGGGGTAGTTGCTTCCCAATCCTATTTTCTCAATTGTAAAATGGAAACAATATCTTATCCAATTGAAATAAATATTAAATAAGATACTTTAAACAAAAGATAAAGGTGCTTTACAATTTACAAGTATGAGGTATAACTTAAACAGCTAACTGGAAGACATTAACATAATCTACATAGAATGACCTTCAGAGCAATATGGTTTGCAATTTAAGGAATGAAAGGAAGATAAATTGTAATACAAATGTACCTTTCTCAGAGAAGGCTGAAAGGTACAACGCCAAAGGCATTATCTGCGGACTCAGGCTTCAGATTACCTTTGCCACTTCCTACATGTGAAATACTGGGTAACTTATTGTAAAATTCTGTGAGCTCTAATTTTCTCATCTTTAGATGAGTAATAATAATATCTATCTTGTGAAGGTTCCTGCAATATTTAAATAAAATACTACACATAGAAGTATCTGACTTTAAAAATAATATTCATGCGAGGGAAAGCTGATCACACGAAAGGTTTCTTAGGGACTGTTTGCCTTCCATATCTGTCTTATTAATATAGCTTCATGCAGTCACCTAAATATCTTCAAGTATTGTAAACTGAATTCAGATTATGTGCTTTTTTAAAAAGTACATCTTTTCTATATCAAGCAGAAATCAGGCCACAAAAAAATACTTCTGTAAAAAGCTTAGGAAAGAATAATTTTTCAATTCAGGAAATTTCTTCATGGTGCTACGAAGAACTTTTCTTGTACTGAACTGCTATTTGTGATCCACCTGTTAAAAAAAGCTCAAAACACATTTCAAAAACAAATAGAATGCTTAAACTTTCTTAAAAGACAGAATGTTTTACATGTTGTATTTTGAGGAGATTTTTTTTAAATAACAAGTTTTTACTTACTCATCTTTAAAATAAAAGAGAAAGTAACTGCCCAAGAAACAGCCTTATCTTTTGCTTTCTACAATTCAGAATTTTGAAAGAAATCCTCAAATCCTCCAAACAAGTGTAATACACATGGTTTGCTGGCAGAATTTATTCCAAGCATCTCCAGGCAATATGCATGTGCACCCGCGCACACACGTGCACGCACACACAGACACACACACACACACACACACACATTTTTGAATCATTAAGTCATTTGGAAGAATCTCCAGAAGTGTGCCGAGGCATGTTTTTGGTGTTTTGCCAAATTATGTGCTTCTGTTTGTGGCTTTCAAATATGGATTAGACAGACGCACAAGCATGTACTGTTTGGCAAGTAGCGACAATGGTCTAGTCTGAATTTAGTAATTTAAGCTTTTCATTAGTCCTCGTAGGTGAAAGAAAGAATTAACAACAACTTGTTTGAGCTCTATCTTTATATCCCTTTGTCATCCATTCCTGTTCACTTGCCATAGATTAGAAGCCAAAGGAATTTCAGATGTCCTCTGCAGATAGACCTAAAGTAAGGGCTTCAAACAGGGGGTTCAAATGTCAAGTACATTTAAGCTGGAACTTGAACTTTTACTCATCCTTACTCTAAGGCTATAACTCTGCTTTTCTGAGTTCCCCATTGTACTTGAACATCCAGTGTACCCTCCTTTTTTCTCACAAAAAGTACAGATAGAAATTACCTAAAGAGATAAAAGGTCACTTGAGATTTCTGTTTCTCGTGACTTGAAATTACCATGCACAACAGTAGACTTCTACATGGCAAAGCGCTCACAAAGATGTTTCTGTCTCCTGTGATGATCTCTGGGGGAAGCTATGTCCCTGCCACCCTGCCTCATGCTGTAGTCACTCTAAACTTCAGAGACCAGCATCTTACGACCATGAGTTTTGGTGCTAAGTTCAGAAAAATTAATCCTAAACTGTCACAACCATCCTGATGACCAGTATGTCTTTCTAATTAGAATCAATGCAGTAATCATTATAATTGGCAGTCCCTCCCCAGATCACGTGGAGAACACCATGGGAAGTGCAGTTGACTTGCAGTATTTGATATTTTCTTCTGTTGGTAGGTAAAAGTAATCTGATGTCCAACAGAAAAGTTCACAGGAACCATGAGGTAAAAAGGACCAAATGTTGACAGTGGTCCATTGTTAATTGAGTCGTGCGAAGCTACAGAAAGATTAGTTTATACAGCTGCTGTTATTTGTCATAACATTCCTAACAAGATACACATGTTCAATCAGTCTTATTTTGCACCTCCAAAACTGGGCCATCCAATGGTCTGAAACATGTGGAAATCAAAAGCAACAGTGTACAGAAGGAAGACCATGTATCCCCTCAGGCTGCCTCAATGGCTGAGGAAAGAAAAGAGGCGAGCCCCTGAGTGAGCGGAGCCTAGAATGTTTGGGTTTGGAGGTTAGTGAGTAAAACATGAACAATGAATGTGGGCGGGAAGCTGGGACAGAACCCTGTTAGGGTCATTACTAAGGTATAATGTTATTGACTGTTTTGTGGGGAATTTAGACTTTTAACCCCACCATGATTCAGAAGCAGTGACTTTCTTGGGACAAACTGAAAAACGAACTGGGGGAAAATAATTCCAGTCAGAGCACAAAGCTAACCATGTCACTTGTCCACTGTATTTTCCAGCAGTAGAACTTCACGCTACTTATAAACTACAGGCATACTGAGGGGAAAAAAATGTGTTAACTAACTTTAGGAAACTTTCACTCAAACACCTAAGCTGAAAGTCCACAATAGGTTCAATACAAAAACATTATCAGTACTATCTATAAAACAGGTGTTAAAAATAAGGTGTTTCTTATCCTCAGGAATTTTTCATTTTAGTGAGGTAGGGAGAAAAATATATGCATACACACACAGAGAGAGAGACGGACACAGAGAGAGTGTGCCTACAATTCACAAAGCCCTTTCACACACGTTATCAAAATTTATCCTCAGGAGTGATTGTTAACAATGCCATCATTATACAGACGGCAAAACCGAAGCACAAGTCCCAGTCACTGGTAATGGAACCAAAAATGGAAGCCCCGTCTTCCCATCATATCCCCTACCTTTTCTACGATAATAAGAGGATATTACATCTACTAATCACTATGATGAAAAAAGTACATCATGCCTGGAAACTGAATCCTGTTTTCAACACTGATAACTAGATTCTCCAAGTTGTATCCCCTTCCCACTACTTTCACACAAACATTTTACCTAAGACTTGACCACCTGAGATTGAGACCTTATTAAATCCTCATCAAAAAGGGAAATTAAGGCTAACAGTGATCAGACTGCTCCATAGAGAAGGCAGGTCAAAAGGTACGACTTCAAAGAAAGACCCTCAAGGCAACAGAGATCGATATAATTTACTTCAGACAATAAAACATAAATCTAATTTGAAGGATGTTGCTCATCTACAACTCAAAGCACCTAAGATATTTTCCAGGATGGATATTTATGGGCCACAACATGTACTGCTGCTAGTCTGTATTTGCTCCTTCTGCACACTCCTTTCACACTCTTCATCTCTGGTTCCTTATCTTATTATGAACTGGTTGAAGAGGCCATCTCAGACCTCAATAGAAGGTACACTTACCATAAAGCTCCCAAATGTAAACAATGGTCCTGTAATAATGATGTGAACTCAGAAGGTAAGAATGATGTTTAGATTCCTTTTGCATATTTCTCATCTAAAACAATTTTCCTTCCCTCACATCTTTCGTGCTTTGATTAAAGCACCAAAACACAATGACAACACAACCAGCGGGATTGCTCTGATAGCAGCTGAAGTGCCCATTCCAATCGTATTAACTTGATCCAAGATGGTACTTCAAAATGACACACTTTGGAAATGACAGGTAGAATCCAGGATTTTATTTCCCAGGAAGAGGAATTAATCTGAGTCCTGTATATCTAGTTTAGTACAAAGTCTGCTAAGGAGGTTAGTCCTATCCTGGATCAGCCTCACTAAGCCAGCTTAGGGGCTGATCTAAAATAATAGTTTAACAAAATGCCTGTGTCCAAAGGCTGATTCCACCACTTGCTAGTTGTGTGACCCTGGGCATAATTTTTCTGTTCTTTCGTTCCCTCACATGTACAAAGGAGATACTAATAGATCTTGCCTCATGGGGCTGATGTAAGGAATAGATGAAAATACGCACACACACACACATTCAAGTGTTTAAAAGAGTATCTACATTCACCACCCCCTTCAAGCCTTTACTTAAATGTTGCCTTACCAAGGAGGACCTATCCTAATCATTTTTTAAATACCTCAATCTTCTCTAACCCTACACTCACACTTTACTTATTTTAAAACTAGATTAGAGGCAGTATTTTCTATCAGATTAGTGCTCCTGTGGTCAGTATTCAATTTATAACACACCTTAAAAGAATAAGGCAATTCATTGACTAGTCTTCTCCTGTAACAAGTAGCTCCCAGGGAATTCCACTTCCACAGGAGACAACGTTAGGCAAGGGGGGACTCAGGATGACAGCTCAGTGTGGGTGCATAGGAGGTGTCTGTGGTTCCTTGGAGGATGCACCTATTTTGTAAATAATGAAATTTACTATTTTACGAGTAGTAAAATAGGGAAAAGAATCCTCAGGTATAGAAGGTGGCCAGGGAGACTACAGACCGAACTGATAACTGGTTTCCTTGGAGGAAGACTAGGATTCTTTTATATGTTATATAGTTGTGATCATTTAAAAAATAAGACTTTCTTATAATTTTCTGGAGATTCATTAAACTACAATACTTCATATGCAAAGGCAATTATGGCAATACATAAGTTACATAGCTCTTTGTGCCACAATATGTACGGTGAGCCAAAATGGGATATTATATTTTTCTAGAAAAATCATTTTTACCCTCTCAAATGGTTGTGAGAGCAGCAAAAATAAAAACCTAAAATCTGTATTGTGGTTGCTAACTTGAACCATGCCAATGAACATTCAAAAGATTAATCAAAGGCTTGACAGTTGTTAACAGTTCAACATGGTTCCCATAATTATCCAATTAAACATATAATGCAAATAATAGAAGTCTTATGGGTTCCATAGAGCATGAATATCAGGCTGCTTCAGAAAACTATTAACTGTAATGTACTGTCTGCTGAGTCTGAAGAAAGTGAAAGGAGAACTAGTACATTTATAAAGGAAGGCAAGGAGTAGAAAAATAGAGTGGAGAGACACGTAACTCAAGCACTCTTTATGTGGTCATATAAACACAACAGACAGTGGTAAAATCCAGAAAACAAAATTTAAGTAACAATTATTGTAAAACCAAAAGAATGTAGAGAAATGACTTTACCCTATAATTCCTACTGGCTGCACTATATCCACAGCATACTTCAACCACACTTTTCTAGCTTGCTGCTAAGTTAGAAACATGGATGTAATTACAGTTGTTGGCTTTTGACTCTGTCTATAAACCATGCAGAGATAAACTGCTATTAGTGAACATACCAACTCCATATAGTTGTGTTTTGACATTATAGGTAAAAACAATGAGAAGGAAAACTAACCACAGCAATTATAAACAGCATGCTCCAGGGCATGTCAGGTCACTTATGACCTTGACTAAATGATTATAATCCTTAGGTTGTGTTCTCACACGTTCACATGCACACACACACACGTGCACACCCCACACGTGTTTTTTTTAGGGAAATTAATTCAGTGAACATAAGAATGACTAAATCCCATATTTATAAATGCCCAGAGGAACAAAAAATGGATGCTGCATAGGTCAAATATCTGTACTTTAAAAAATCTTATTATATTTCAAAAAACCAATGTAAACTTTAAAGGAAAAACTTTGTGGTAAGTGTTCATTCTAAAAATATTCTATTCCACAGCTCTGTCTACTCAGGGGGCAAGAAGAATTGCAGAAATTTGATTCAGTACAAAAACTTCTGCTACTATATAAATTGGATTTAAGTTACATTATTTGGAGGGCAATTTTTAAATATTTAAACCATTCCCTTACACTGATAACATTTTTTCAGTAACCATTCAACTATTTACCTCATTTTATTTGCTACAGACAGAAATGCTGCATTCATTTCTTTTTGTAAAAGTCAGTCTTCTCCTCCCCTACTAAAGTGGTAACAAGCAATATCAAGAGGGCAATAAATATCCCATAAATATTATTAAAGCATGATGTTCTCAGATAAAAAATCGTATTGTGTTTAATGACTTTTCTTCTAATATACAAAATTATTTGTACAATCAGTAACAGTAGAGATGTGAAAATTAAAATAATGTTATATTACACATGGTGGACCACTTTGCAAAAGTCCAAATTACAAGTGATGTGACTTTCTAATGTGATTACTCACAGAAATGGCAGTTGATAAACATAGTCTTTAGAGTGTGCTAAGGTCATTAAAACAGTCTCATCTATTTGCGTATTTCTTCAAAGTGTACTTTTTTAATGTGCCTTTCTTATTTGGTCTTCTTAACAATCTGATCAGGAAGGCAAGAGTAGTTGTCCTTTTTACAGATCAGGAAACAGGTTCCTGAAGGAGGGCGACTTTCCCAAAGCTACCAGACTAATGAGTTTCTGAATTAGGCCGCACAGCCAGGTGAGCTCCTCATGCAGGGCTTCAGACCTGAACACCTGGGTTCAAATACTTGTTCCTCCTTTTAACCACTGTTGTATGAACTTCGGTCATGACTGGCTCTCTCTTTGTCTGAGAACTTTACTTTCCATGATTATAATAGCTTCCACATAAGTTAGTTGTGAGAATTAAATAAAACATGCTATGTGATGCCCTTAACACAGTCCCAGGCACATAGTAAGTGCTTAATAAATATTAGATGTTGCGGCTGTTGTTACTGTTACTATCATCTTAGAACTACTCTGGCTAAGTTTGGCAAGGTTAAAGGATTAAATAAATAACCACATAAATATCAAATCCAGAGATTAACATTTAGCAAACATTTTAGTGCACATTTTTAAAGAGATTAACATTTAGCACACATTTTAAAAGAAAACGAACTGACATAACTGGGTATCACTGTGACTCCGGACTAGGGGCTCTTGGGGAATGACTCGCATCAGCCATTCTTAAAGGTTTTCTAGCAAAACGCTTGTGTATTTGTATCATTGCACCACTCACTGGACACAGGTTGAAGGAATTTAGATTGAGAAAAACTATGCAAATCAAAACTGTGGTAAAATGCAAGCATACTAGTGTCTGTATCCACTTTATCTTGGGGATCAAAGTTCCTCTGTTTTAACTGCCACATTCCATCCTGGACCTAATAGTTTCTGTGTAACTAACTGGCAAGTCTAGCATCTTGACTGAAAGTTCACAGTTAAGGGCTCTGACATAATGTCCTTGAGGACAATGGACTCCTCTTTCAGGGCAAGAGCAGTCCTGATCATGCTCAGGGCTGCATGAACTCAAGTTGATTTGGCCTGAGCCATCACTGCTCTTTTTAAAGGAAATGAAATCAGAAGAGAAAAATATCCATATTCACGTTAGGGAGCAAATATATAAAGTCAGTATGTTTAAATGTTGTGCGTTGGCATCCAGGAACACTCAAGAAAGCTCTGTTGCTTGTAGCTCACTGAGGGACAGAGGAACAGTGTCTGTAGGACAAACAGATGCACATCTAAGCAAGTAGAAAGAAGAAACATTTACAGTAGACAGGAAAAGACAAACCATACAATTATTTCTTTGTCTAGGTAGGTAGGTAGGACTACACTGAGATCTCATGAGAGTTCTCTAACTCTGCTTCATACACACATTATTATAAAATGTAGCTTATAACCCTTGGAGATGCAGAGAAGACCCTTTTTTAAAAAATAGTTTTACTGGAGAAGTAGTGGGAGTGAAGCTGGGAATATGAGCTGGGAAGGGGCAGTCATGGGTTGAATTCTGACTCTGCCTCTTACTAGCTTTCGGATTGGAGAGTTATTCAAGATATTTAACCTCAATTTCTTTATCTATTATTTGATGAGAATACCTAGTTCCCTGGGTAACTGTAATCATTATAATAAATAATTAATGGGGGGAATGGGACATTTTGTTGTTTTTACTATTACTAATATTGCTACCAATTAATACTAACATAATTATAAAACAGTAATAATAAGGAGGATTGCTGTCTTTCAGAAGAGAAAGGGAAGTCATTTCTGGATCTTTCCATACATCTTCTTTCTCACTAAGATTCATAGCCTTATCTAAGAAGAAAATCAATCTTTGAAACCAAAAAAATGAATGTAATGTATAGGAATAAGGGGTGGCGGAATTTTTGTCCTGCAAACTTATGATGATTTACAAACCTCATAAACTCTTATCTAAATAATCCACAAAGTGAGCACTCAAAATTCAAAAGTTTTTGAATTAAAAATGGACTCTGTTTAGAAAGATGCAACCAAAAAACTTATGGAAACTAAAATATACGTTCTTTGTTCATCTATTTCCTTCAGAAAACTTTCATAACAGAAAGAGCCCAGAGTCCATTTACTCAAGTGTACATAGATATTTTATTTGAAAAATATCCCAACTTTTCAAATCAATAAGAAAAACAGAAGAAAAATTTATTCTAAGACTTCTAAGGAAAACCATTAATCTAGCATAGGGTGAGTGGGATAGGGAAGATCTTTATCATAAGTCAACAATGAAGACCATGATACCTATTCTTGAACAGTTGGATTCCTAAGTATGGCTCTTGACTTGCTTAATCCTCTCTTTAAGGACATTTTATTTGCCCTATGTAGCCTTTGTGGACTGCACAATAAACACATCCAATTTCAAGGTCTCCTACATAAGCAGCATAGAGCAAGAGAAAACAAAAAATGAGAAAGACTGCTTAGTTTAAAAGATTTGCTTGGAAATCACTAAGATTTTGTATATCAAAATTAATAAAACTGAAAGCAGTAACTCATAAATTAAAGATAAAACAAATGATTCTTTCCAATTTTCTTTTCTTGAGACAGAGTCTTGCACTGACACCCAGGCTGGAGCACAAGGGTGCAATCTCAGCTCACTGCAACCTCCACCTCCCAGGTTCAAGCGATTCTCCTGCCTCAGCCTCCTGAGTAGCTGGGATTATAGGTGCACACCACCACACCTGGCTAATTTTTGTATTTTTAGTAGAGACAGGGTTTCACCATGTCGGCCAGGCTGGTCCCGAACTCCTGACCTCAGGTAATCCCCCACCTCGGCCTCCCAAAGTGCTGGGATTACAGGCGTGAGCCATCGCGCCCAGTCCTATTTCAATTCTTTTTAGTGTGTCAATAAGTGAAATGAGTTTTTTTTAATATGTAGAGGTTATTTCAGACTATATAATATTTTCTTTTGTCTCTTTTACCCTACTGGGGCCAGAGGAAGTTCATTATCTAGAATTACAGTTAAGAAAGAAGTCCAGCGATAACTGCATGGATCAAAATTCTGACTCTGTCACTTAACTAGCTTGCCCTCAGAGTTCTCATTTGTGAAAGGGCAGTAAAGTATCTACCTCATATGGTTACCAGGGAATAAAGGAGTCAAACAGGTGACTTTGCAAACAATACCTGGCGCATAGTAAATGCTCACTAAATGTTAGCTAAATGGCAATGGTCACATGTGGAAAAGCACCACAGCTAGAAAATCCTACCCACCTTAAGTGGGTATCACTTAAGCATCAGGTCACTATGTAAAGCCTTAACTTGTAAGATTGGTATTATCTCCATTTTACACAAGAAGAAATGGAGCCTCTGGGACTTCAAAACACTTGCTGAAAGTTATACAGTTAAAAAATGGCAAAAACAAGATTTTAGATAGTACTCCTGATTTCCAACTTTTTGACTATTTCCAGGGCTCCTTCTAGCAAGTTCCAACGCCATGCACACCTAGTCACCGCCCCTTGATGATGGGACACCACCAGACTGACATGTTCACTGCAAAACCTGCAACAAGTCTGCTGACATCTGAGGAATTGGAGAAATTATTGGGTGTACCCCAATGCCACATTCTATTATTCTTTAATTTGTTCCATTAAGTGCAATCATCTTCAGGAAGCCTAACACATACTCACTATTCCTCCAAGTTTCATTACAGTTCTTGCTTACTCACTTTTGAATGGGAGGGTGCTAGGGCCACTCAGAACCCAATGCAATTGCTCCAGTTAGGAGCAGCGCAGAGTCCAGAAATACATCCTGACACATTTCCAACCTCCTGCAAAAAAAGCTACATGCTACAAGATGTCATAACAAGCATGCTTGTATGCTTGTTATGTATAACTACCATGTACACACTACAAAAATATTTTTTGTCATACAGAGAAAATTATACTTGTTCATCACAATAATCCATTCTCATGATCTCACTATTTTCTCAGAAGTTGTCACAAGTTTTCATGTCATTTCTTTCAGATGATGTTTGTATAATCACTACCATTACTCTTTTTATAACTTATTAAGCACTTAATGGGAACACTTAAGAAAAAAGAACAACAAAAATTGGGTAATTCTTCTTAAACTGTCTCTCACTACTATAAAATCTGTAAAATGTCTGTCTTCTCTATATTGCAATTTTAGGACCTGGCAGAGTGCCTGATACATAGTAGGTGCTCAGTGAATAGTTGTTGAATGAATAAGCCGCTTCACTGCAGACAGAATGGCTTTTAAATGCCATCATAAAGGGGCAAACTGAGAAAGATTTCTTTTTAAATGTCAGTGTTCATAATCTCCCTACATGTGCACAACATAATCAACACTGAACTAAAGAATCAACAAAACCCACTGTATATCACCTTATAAGAGAACAAGGGGAAGAGAAGTATGAAAATAAGAAAACCTGATCACTGTCATCTAAGAACTTTCATTCACTTTTTATTTGCCTGAGGAGATGGGGAAGTACAGAGGAACTGAGAATTTCACAAACTAGGTTCAAATCTATCTTTGGGTATATGATTTGTAACCTTAAAAGATTGAAAGCTACTTTAAAAGAGCTATTATAGGCCGGGCGCGGTGGCTCACACCTGTAATCCCAGCACTCTGGGAGGCCGAGGCGGGCGGATCACGAGGTCAGGAGATCGAGACCATCCTGGCTAACACGGTGAAACCCCGTCTCTACTAAAAATACAAAAAATTAGCTGGGCGTGGTGGCGGGCACCTGTAGTCCCAGCTACTAGGGAGGCTGAGGCAGGAGAATGGTGTGAACCCGGGAGGCGGCTTGCAGTGAGCTGAGATCACGCCACTGCACTCCAGCCTGGGTGACAGACCGAGACTCCGTCAAAAAAAAAAAATTGAGACGGAGTTCTGCTCTCGTTGCTCAGGCCGCAGCGCAATGGCGCGATCTCGGCTCACTGCAACCTCTGCCTCCCGGGTTCAAACGATCTTCTGCCTCAGCTTCCCGAGTAGCTGGGATTACAGGTGCGCACCACCAGGCCCGGCTAATTTTTTGTATTTTTTAGTAGAGACGGGGTTTCACCATGGCCAGGCTGGTCTTGAACTACTGACCTCGTGATCCGCCTGCCTCAGCCTCCCACAGTGCTGGGATTACAGGCATGAGCCACTGCGCCCGGCCCACAGTTTTCATTTTACACTTTTTTCTGCAATTACCTATGAGGAAACACCTATATTCTGGAAGAGGCATCATTTACAGAGAACAAAATATTTAAAGCTGGGTGTTATTTTATTGTTGGGTGTGTCACTAGATCAGCCCATTGCTTTTAGCAGCAAAAAAGTATAAATTTGCATCAGGTCAGATATTTTAGTCTGACAATAAAACATACCTCATCAAACAAAAACCATTTTTTCTTCTGCTGAGTTCAACAGCCACGCTTGATTTTTAAAATAATAATGATAGTCATGTAAACTGGATGCAAAACTCAACTCAGCTAACTTAAGAATATTTTTAAATACAGTATATTTGCAGAATATTTTGCTTTCTAGATTTTTTAATTGCCTATAGAATTATCTTCTCAATTCCAAAATATCTTAAAACAAATTATTGACACATGACAAATATATATTGACAATTTTGATTCAAGATTATATAACATAAACAATTGAAATACCAGAATTAGTTTTAAAAGATACTTTACGAAACATTTTAAGACAATGTGTATAGGACATACACTGAAATCTAAGAGCTAAACTATATTTAAGAATAATTTAGATATCAGAGTTCAATGTTACGATTCAATAATAAAAAAGAGATTAATCAATCAAAGCCATTTAGTATTAAATATTTTGGCATCTGTGTTAAAATTCCTATTAGATTCTTTTATTAACTTTTTTTTAACAGAACACCAAATTTGTCACCAAAACAAACATTCCCAAAACAGTATATATCAATGCCAAATGCAGTTAATTTATGTGAAAAGTAGACTCTTGGTTATCTGTTTCATTTTGTTTTGGTTTTGTTACATAACCCCTGAGAAAACTCTGCTTAACACTCACCTCCTCTCCGTGACCTTTCCATTGCAGTCACACAGGGTTCCCTCCCAGAAAGCTCCGCAAATCTAACTATATATAGTAGTTGGTGAGAGGGTTAGTTAGTTGTATACTTGTCCCACTATCTTTGGTATTTTTGTTTTTCATAAACACTGCAAGTGACCATGACCCTCTCATTTCTACTTGTAAATTACTCGGACAAGGCCATCAGTATTTCACCGTTTTTTCCTAGCTCCTTAAAATATTGAAAACAGTGCTCAGTACAGTGCTTCCACTCCATAAATGCATTTCTCATTTTTTCACCTTTAGTTCAAATGTTCTATATTTTCCTTGAAGGATATATTTTCATAAATCCACAAATGCCTACTTCTTTGACTATATGATGATACATACGGAATCATATTAAACACATACCAAAATAAAAGGATTTAATATACCACATATATATTATATCTTGTCCTTTTTTATTAGTCATTAGATTTTCCAAAGCGTGTGTGTGTGTGTGTGTGTGTGTATGTGTGTGTGTATATGTATATATATATATATATACATATATATATATTTGGTATGCCAAATATATAATATTTACCAAAATATATAATATATACCAAATATATAATTTGGTATACCAAATACACATATATATATGCATACACATACACACACACACATATACATGTACATACATTAATATATATAATCAACACTGAACTAAAGAATCAACAAGCCCACTGTATATTGCCTTATAGAGAACAAGGGGAAAAGAAGTATGAAAATAACACCTGATCACTGTCATCTAAGAACTTATGTTCACTTTTTATTTGGCTGAGGGGATGGGGCAGTATAGACGAACTAAGAATTTCACAAACTAGGTTCAATATATATTTGGTATACCAATATTTGGTAGTTGGTGAGAAGGTTATATTTTCCTATATATTTGGTATACCATATAGATATAGATAGATAGATATACACACACACACATATAAATACACATATATATGCACATACATATACATACATACATACACACACATATAAATACATATGCACACTTTGAAAAAATCTAAAGACTAATAAAAAATGACAAGATAAGGATTATTATCCAGGGACTTAATTATATTACCAGTGAAATGATTTTTTAAATGATGTGTCATTTTTAATGAATAAGAGAAAACAGTCAAAATTATTCTTCAGAGAATAATCTTACTCATAATATTGAGATATTTCTTCCAACCTTATTTGTGGGACTAAAAGTCAGTGCTATTGGAAACATAAAGGAAAAAAATAAACACATCACCATTCCAGACCATGAAAATGTTTGGGATTTTAAAGTCTTAGTTCCTTGCATAAATAAATACCATCACCTTGAACACTCCCCGCTAGGCAACAGTTACGAGTATGTTCACTTTTATCTCCCATTATGTTTGTGCCTGGGATTGTCTTATACCCAAATGAAAGACCTCATGAAAAATGGATAGTAGTAAAGTATACTGGATTGTACCAGGAAATTTATACAAGAATCTATCATGTCTTTGTACTCTAGGGAAGGTTATTTCCTTAAGTAACTCACAAATATTGAAACAGGCATTGTGATTAGCTGTGGCTCTATACCATTCACATTAGGAGTGGATTTTGAGACATTACATAGCAATTACAGTATTTAAATTTTTGCCATATACCTAGGAAACTGGAAAATTTGCCAAATTTAATATTTTTCTCCGCACTTTAGGCATAGCATTGCCCTTAACTTAAAGCTCTGCCCACAAAAGGGAGACCAAGTCTTCTGGAAAGCTCAGAGAAAGTATTGCACGTCTACAATACGGCAGGTGCGGCGGTAAGCACTTCACAAGTATTTTCTCAGTTTACCCTCACAATTGCCAAATAAAGTGCATGCCTACTCCAGAGCTCAGGAAACTGAATCTTAGAAAATAAAACTAATTTACCCAACTACATAGTGAATAGTATAAAACAAACATTAAAACTCACAGCAAGATTCCAGAATACGTGCTATTGCTAATACAGACCCTGTAATTCACATGGTTTTATTTTACTCATTCTTAACATTAAAAATATACACATAAAGTGGAAATGTATTTCTAAAACAGTGACCAATCACTAGTGCATATACAAAAGAAAGAAAACAAGCCTCAGTAAAAAGGAGATTTTCCTAGTTTGAGGAACTTTCTTGTGTTACCTCAGTAACAGTAATCTGATTTGCCCCTAATGTTCTATATTCAGTATAAATAACTTGCATGCATTCATC
The DNA here is from genome assembly GCF_000001405.40 of Homo sapiens. Classification (NCBI taxonomy): domain Eukaryota; kingdom Metazoa; phylum Chordata; class Mammalia; order Primates; family Hominidae; genus Homo; species Homo sapiens. The sequence goes on from NC_000009.12 coordinate 14,290,858, forward strand.
CATTCATTCAACAAATACATATTATCTATTTTATAGTATGCTCTCATAACATTTCTATTGATTGTGGTTTCCTGTACTTGCATTGTACCCATCTTTTGTTCACCTATTTTTCCATCAACAATTGTGCCTGAAAAACATGCTTTCAAACTTTCACCATATACTGTCAAACTAGAAATTAGCTACTAGAAGTAGCTGATATTAAACTTTTTCTAATACTCTAATATCTCTGTTTCAATGTGTTAATCTTTGCCTTATTCCAGAGTCTCTTGATATACATAAGCACACACAGGGCATTTCTAAAACATAAATTATAGACAACTCTTTCATTTTATAAAAGAATTCTTGGCCAGGCAAGGTGGCTCACGCCTGTAATCCCAGCACTTTTGGGAGGCTGAGGTGGGTGGATCACTCGAGGTCAGGTGTTCACAACCAGCCTGGCCAACACGATGAAATCCAGTCTCTACTAAAAATACAAAAATTAGCCAGGTGTGGTGGTATGCACCTGTAATCCCAGCTACTTGGGAGGCTGATTCAGGAGAATTGTTTGAACCTGGGAGGTGGAGGTTGCAGTGAGCCAAGATCACGCCACTGCACTCCAGTCTGGGCGACAGAGACTCTGTAAAAGAATTTCTACCTTAACAAAAAGATTCATTGAAAGTTGCTTTTTGAAATTAAATTCCCCTTGTAAATTTCATATGTTTTATTTACTAAATATTAAACTAATAAAAAAATTCTCAGAAACATCTCTTAAATAAAAGAGATATGGATGTTTGTTTTAAACTTAAAAAAAAATTCTTTAACTGAGATGATACATGCCACACAAAGGAAAAGGGAGATGTAGTAATTATCAAGCTAATCGGAAAATTACAAACACCCAAAAGCAGAACTTCTAACAGCTCCTCATAACTAGCTCTGACCTTTTCTTTAAAAATCTGACTTTCAGTTAAAAAAAAAAAAAGTTTTCTTATAACAAATCTCAATCATCTTTTCTTATGTTATTGGAAAATTGGCCATATATTTTTAATGGGTCCTTTCTGTTTTTCAACCAGCATCAAATTTTGGTATTAGTTGAGTGCAATTTAGTGTATCTTCCATCCACACACAAAAAAAGAGAAAGACCATGGCTGCAGATTGATTTCGTTAGAATACTTCCTATGAAAATGTATAAAAGAAAAAACCTAGTCTCTTGAATTAATTTATCTTAATTACAAATGATAATACAAGATGTTTAATCATTATTTTTCTTCTATTTTCCTTTAAAAATTGCTGCCATGTTTTCACGAAATAATAACCTTTCATTATTTTTTGATAATTTACGTTTATTTTTCCTCCTACAGCAGTAAAAGTAACGCATCCAAAGAAGCACTGGGCCTCTCTTAGACTCAGTATCCCAAACTGTAAAGTGAGAAGATCTGTAGGGATTTTCCCGGCTCTAAAATTCTACAAGTTAAAGACCTCTTTCTTAAAAAGTAAGCTTTTATCTACATTGAACCAAATGAGTTAACTATTGGACTTTGAAATGAGCAACATGAAAGTGTTACTCAAGAGTCAGGTTACACATTTTCTATTTCTCTTTAATAAATAAAATGTATTAAAACCCTAAATTTAACAAGCATGTGCTAAACTTTATTAAGTATTGCTTACTATGAAGAGGACTGCTCTCTGCCAAGATAACCAGAAACCAAATTCCTAGGATGCTAGAGCTAACAGGGATAGTGGATGTCCTCTAGGCCAATTCTCTTCCCTGACAGATACAGAAACTGAGTTACTGAGAGGGACAAAGTTTCCCAAGCACCTGCAAACAGTAGGACCAGCAATGTTTTTCTCTTCCACTTCAGCAAGCTGCTTCAATCACTATATGGCGTAGAGTGAATCTCTACATCAGTAAACAAAGGAATGGAAGAAGGTAATTCCATTATCAGGTCACTAAATAATTTAGAGTCTAATTTTTCTTTTTTTAATGTAAAGACCTTATGTTCAGAAACTTACATTTCAAAGTACATTAAGTAAAATTATGTCCATACGCAGATATGTCTTCTCCTATATGCATCTTAATAAACAAAAAAAATTATCGTCATCCCCTACAAAACAAAAACTGAAATTAAAAGAAAGAATAGAGTAAATCTAAATTGTATATTTTCATTCCTTCTAAAAGGATTAAATAACAGAATTCTAAATGGTTTGTTTGTACTTTCCATGCAATATGTAGATTAACCATGAAATTCTGTTTGGGACACTTTGACATCTGTTTTCAGTGCGTTACAATGAAATCTGGGGACTTGATACATACATTTGCTGTAATAAAACTGTCACTAATCAGTGTTTTCCAAAATATTGCCCATAACTATTACTATTCAGTAGTCTCATTTGCATGATCTAATATTGTTGCTACATCATGTTTTTCCCTGACAATGTGTTAGCTAGTCCCAGGCACATGGTCGAAAATGGCTGCAAACCACTCAATAATCCCAGCATTTCCATAGTACTCTGTATATATGCACGCAATCTGTCCTAGAATTGAACCAACACTTCATCCTTCATGAAATATTTTCTCTGTAACTGGAACACCCAAGGTTGAATTCACATCCCTGAGTATGAAAAACTCAACAATAATAAAGAAGCCCATGGTGAGGAGGAAATTACGCCTCATGGGCCTTCCACAACAGGAGACGCAAACATAATCCTTACTCAGAAGTCCCTTCAACAAAGCTGTAATGATGATGCTTTCTGAACATAAGTGCGGAGTCTATCATTAACTTAGACCATTTCTATGAACTAAAGAATAAGACTGGACTAGACTTTAAAACGGAGTCTACTTCCCTTTCTCTAGGATTAGTAGACAGCCTTATCAATGCCAGATACCAAGAGCCACAAGTTCACAAGATATTAACACAAACTCCTGGATATTAGATTGAAAAACTGTTTCCGTTTCATATTGCATATATCTGGTATGTCATGTACAAAATATGGATCTCAGGGGAAAAGTAAGTCTGACAGCCCAAACATGGTATTCACCAAAAAACAAAACCTTACTAAAAACAGTCTGTCTACCTATGTTGATTCTAAATGAATTCCGTATTTTATCAGTACTTGGCATTATATTCATATTGCTCAACAGTCCAAAATAATTTCATCTTGTCCTCCCATGAACTCATCTTAAACCCAAAATATGTTTCTCCATGCACATGTTTTATATTATACGAATGTTGGACACGAAAAGCAGATTAATTGTAGGCCCTAATGCTGTGTTTGTTAGTACTAAGAAGTCATTCCAAATGTTCCAAAAGGGATTAATGTAGTATAACAAGTCTATTTAATTACTGTAAGACCAGTGATCCTCATATTACTATAAGCAGCTTTTCCCTTATTTGGAGACTGTAAATAGAACAGAAATTGTTACATGATAACTATAAGTCATATCCTAAAATGTTGATGCTTTACCATCAGGAATAAAGAAATATGCAAGCATCTCTGAGAGGCTATGAAAGGCAACTAGAATTTAACAACCATGTATACGCTCCCACTTTAAGTGAACATCAACTTTAAATCATAAGTGTAAGCAAAGCTTTTCAAATACATTAGAAAGACATCATATCAAATCTTTCTGCCATCAACAGCAATCCCAGTTTACATATGTTTAAAAACTGTGGCTGCACTTTGTTTCATGTATATGATTTTCGAGTTTTGTGTATCCCATGAACAGAACTGCTACTAAACACCAGTGTGTTATCAAAAAGAAAAGGAATGCCACAGATTATTAAAAATTATGTGCCAGAATCCAAACAAGCTAATCAATGTACTGATCCTGCTTTCCGTACACCCTAGTTACCCTTTAACTAATGGACAAACAGTGAAATAACTTTTCCTATTAACTCCTGGCTAGAACCCCTAGGTACGTGATACACTTATTATAAAGTGCTCCATATAAGAATATGATGCCTTTTTACCCTACGTCAATGTGACACGTGATTTAAATTTTCCTAGTAGGGATTGTGGATATGAGCTAATCTCTCCACTTTCCAAACCTCCTGTGCAAAGTGAGGGGTGCAGTTCAGTGGCCGTAGGGAAACAAGCACCGAAACTAGTTCCTCCAAGGACCTCCATGGACACAACCAACCAGAGCTACTGAAGTCAAACACGGTGATCCCAAATCACAGTTTCGTAAGAAGTAAATGTTGTAACCATTCTCCACTTGGCTTCCAGTTGTTCTTAGCAAAAGTGAAGTCAATTTCAGTAATAAATGTTAACTTATTTCCTACGGAGCTCATTTAATTATTTAATTTTCTTAACACGATAGAAAAGGAGGAATGGGAAAGAGTGACTTAAAGGAGAAAAATTAAATGGCAATAAAATCAAAACAATTCATGCAACTGATTAAACGGTTTGAGGTTTTGACTCAACTAAGGGTCATTTTTAAATATGATACTTTCGGACTTTAAAAAGAGTCTGAAAACCAGCAGCATGCTTTTTTAAGGACAATCCAGTTGGCCGGGCGCGGTGGCTCATGCCTGTAATCCCAGCACTTTGGGAGGCCCAAGGCGGGCAGATCACGAGGTCAGGAGATGGAGATCATCCTGGCTAACACTGTGAAACCCCGTCTCTACTAAACATACAAAAAAAAAACTCAGCCGGGCGTGGGGAAGGGCGCCTGTAGTCCCAGCTACTCGGCAAGCTGAGGCAGGAGAATGGCGTGAACCCGGGAGGCGGAGCTTACAGTGAGCCGAGATTGCGCCACTGCACTCCAGCCTGGGCTACCCAGCCAGACTCCTTCTCAAAAAACAAACAAACAAACAAACAAACAAACAAAGCACTATCCCATCTAGCCACATCATCATCACTTCTGCCGAAACAAATCTAAAACGTAAGTGTAGTTCTCCCAAATGGTGGCAATTTAATTTTTTTGTACATGACAGTTTTACACTTTTATTGGAGTGCAGTGAATTACGAGTACTTGATAGGACACCCTTTACCCACACCAAAATTGAGTTATTTATTCAGAGAGCCACTAATAAAATTATTTGATTCCTTCCCTTCAAATATACCTAGATTGATCAATAAATTTAGTCTCTGGTAAATCTGAGACAAAAAGGCTTCTAAAACCATACAATCATTCTAATTTAAATGGGTTTTAAAACTACACACAACTAGCTAACTTCATGTGCCTACACAAAGAGTTTTCACTAACAAATATTCACGCGCACTACAGTGAGCAGGACTTCGATTTCCTCTTTGGTATGTCTTGTTACCTGAGATAAATATGAACTAAATGATGACCCTCTGCTTCATATCCAGTCATTCCTTTTTTTCACTACTGGATAGTCTCCCTGGCAGTCTACATTATGCTATTTTCCTTCATATATAGTAGTAATTGCTATTATTAACATTATTGCTTTTACTTACATGAATTATTTCATTTAATCCTAAAGCAACACAGTGAAGTAGGCATTTTAATCCTCGATTTACAGAACAGAAAAGCAAAGCACATGGAGCTGAAGTGACTTGACCAAGGTCACAAAGCAGATAAATGGCAGAGCCAAGACTAGAACCCCAAATGTCAAATTCTATGCACATGATTTTTGTTACAAAATGAATGTTTGGGTCTTCCCCAAATTCCTACGTTGAAATCCTAACCCCCAATCTGATGGTATTAGGAGGTGGGGCCTTTGGGAGATAATTAGGTCATGAGATTGGAGCTTTCATAAACAGGATTAGTGCCCTTATAAAAGAGATCCCAGAGAGCTCTCACTCTTTTGCTGCATGTACGGAAACAAGGAGAAGTTGGCACTCTGCCACCCGGAAGAGAGCCCTCGCTGGAACTTGACTATGCTGGCACTCTGCTCCTGGGCTTCCAGCCTCCAGAACTGGGAGAAATAAGCTTTAGTGTCTGTAAGTCACACAGTTTATGTTATTTTGTTATAGTAGCCTGAACTAAGACATTTTCTGTGCTCTACAAAAATGGAAAAGGCAGAAGGGGGATATGCTGAACGTCTTAAGCAATTCAAAATTCAAAGGATGACAGAATACTTTAATTTGCACATTATTTACTCTTCAGTCTAAGAATAAGCCATCTTTCTTAAGTAATTCCTGCAAGATCTAAGCCCCGCCTTTCTCTTTTTCTTCTAACTTCACTTCTTCAACTCCCTACAACACGTGTGTGCATGCGCACACCCCCTGCTCCCTGCCCACACACACACCCAAGTTGGATAACACACAAGTTGGACTAGAAACTTTAACTCAACAGGTGAGATCACCTTAAAATTCTTTCGATGTAGGAACTGAGGTAGACGTCTGGAGAAAACTAAAGAGATTTTTAAATCCTCTGGGCTGGCTGCTGTTCTCATATCACAGTCTCACTGTCATCTGACCCCTTAGCCCACCAACCACATCTAAAGCCAACTCCACATTGGCGCTGCCCCTGAGGATGCTAATGAACCGGCAGAAAGGCAAAAGAGATATTTTCTATTCTAGACTAGTTTTTACAGGAGAAGAGAGAAAAACTGAGGCCATGGACTAAAATGAGATTCAGAGCACTTCATTCAACCTTCCTCCTTTGACCCCTATGATTCTGGATTATCAACATGATTCATTCTGAAAAGCATTTAAATTCCTTGATCTTGTGAACATTCCTGGGGGAAAAACAGTTTAAAACACAACAGTAACAAACAAACAAACAAACCAGAAAGAAAAGAAAGCCTCTCACCTGCTATTTTCAGATATTTTCTAGATGGGAATGCAGAAATCTACTGCTTTTTTCCCAGGTTCTAGCGCCTGTAGCACATTGTCTCTCATCTGTCAGTGTATCTACACACATGTATAAACAGTACGCAACACGCAAGTAAGGAAATGTACATTTTAACTTAAACTTCCTTTTTTCCTCTAATAATTTAAAAATAAAATGTAACAGCTTGGATTTTAAATATTTAATCTGGCAAATATAGGAAAATCATGAACTATAATGTCATATTTGGCAAAGAAGAGTTTGGTAGGATAAAAATATCTGTGTTTTAACATTTTAGAAGGCTTTTCCAGTATTTTAAAAATAAAATTATTTCACTGCTTCAGAAGAGAAGAACGGAGGTAAAATTCGCTATTTTTGCACATGAGGTTTTCATGAAGAGTAGAAAAAAAACAATTTTTATATTCATTAAAATAAATAGTTATTTTTACATGCTGGCAAAAGTCCCCACAGAAATAAAATCTTCATATTTACTAATGGTTCTCTACTATGTCATGAAATTTAGCTATTTAAGTCACAAAAGATAGGATTCCCTTAAAACTATAACATAAGATGGTATATATAAAGTTACAACATTAACTCATTTGTAAAGAAAAAAATGTTGGTTTTACCCTACATGTTTAGTATACAGATTTTTTCAGTACTAGTCAAAGATTTATAGTGTTAAGTTCAAAAGTCAGTTGTTTTCACATCGGTAACCAACAGCATAACTAAATTTCCCACTTTTACCTCATATTATGACAATAAAATATTTTTATCGTAGCAGCTGAAAATGCTGAAAAGTAATTATTAAAGAAACCATAAATATAAAAAGCTGAAAAGTCAACCTCAGACGAGTGTGGAAAAGGAAATTGTGATATGTACCATCATAAAACAGAGAAACTGAAAATCTAAGCAGAAAAGATCTAAATCCCTCCAAATGCCAGAATACTATGCCCCACCTCTTGTAGCAAGGAGGGCTGCAAATTTGTCCCCATCACTGTCAGCAAACAAAAGAAAGTCACTTCTACAGCCAGACCATGTCAAACAGAAGACGTAGCTACTGCAGACGGACGCCTTGAATCCACTGGTGTGTAAAGGGCGGGCTTGGGCCTTTTTGTCAGCTATTACCATTAAAGAATAAGAGGAAACAGTGACATTATTACACAATAGAAAGGTCAAACAGCTTGCAGCCATTCCATGACCCAAACAAGTCAAGGTCAAGGGATTCAGGTAGCAACTTAGCCAGGGCGTAAGTTACAGCGCAAATGAATTGTTTTAACACATCAGCTTTGGTCAATTAAACCTAACAAGGCAAGTTGCATCAGGTAGCAGGGTTCCTGACACCAAGGCCAGAAGCTGAGACCGACCTCATAAAACAAGGCTTTTAACATAGCATAGCAAATTTAAGGTAATCCAACCAGAAACTGCAGATGTCAGAATAATAAAATACAAGTTGTCCTACGAAGGAACATTTTTTACACTTCAGAATTCACTAATAGAGGGGTATAGACTTCATATTGACGTGTCATTAGCATAGGCATAAATGTAATCCACCACTCACATGAATTACAGAATATACCCTACTTCAAATAACTTTTTCCTAATATCTGTGCTCATGATTAGATTTTTTGTCCCAAGCTCTACCATTCCGTTAGCACCAATACATTTATCCATGTATTTTTTTCAAAATGAGTATGAAAAATCAGGTTTTTAAAAAAACAGTTCATCTTCATTCAGCATGAGACTATATATGTGTCGCTTAATATTAATGGATGCTTGTTAAATGCTTTTATGTAGTTTTATGAGAGATGTGTACTTCAAAATTCAATGAATACTATTAAGTTGACTATTTTGAGAAATAGACTATTTTGAATGGAGTTGAAGCTAACTAAAATTTTAAAACTGCATGTATTTAACATGAAATAATTCTTTTCTTAAAGGTAATTCTTATTTTATTTCGCACTTGTTTAAACAAATTCCATTTTCAACTGGTTTATGCTTCATCAATAACTTACTACATGTTCTGAACTGCCTTAAAATAGGATTCTGAAAATACACAACCTCCAGGCAACTTTTGATAGTAAAATTACTTCATCCATCACCCCATATTTTTAATTATATAGTCCTTGTTCAGAGATCTTTAATTTGTCAGTGATTCATCAGTGCTGTCCTGTTTAAGCTATCATCATAAACAGAATATGTGTATCTAAGTGTTTTACTATAAACAATATAGTTATGCATGTAATCATCTGCTTTCCCATTTTAGAACAATTAAATTTTGAAGGTTTTTTAAAAATGTGTGGCTTTCAATTCAGCCTCAAGGACTTTCCACCTCACTTGTTAGCCATTTCTTCCAATTTTCTGAATAATATAACAACCAAAAAGCCCAACCATTCAAGTCCTATTAGTCTCACTCTAACGTTCAATCTAATACAAGCTAATCCCACAGACTCACTCCTTACTACAACGCACTTAGTTTTCACAAGTTCTCTGCAGTTTGATGATTTATTCTCTATGCCAAATTCTAACAACTAAATTCAGTTAAATTAACCGCATCACAAAACTGGAGTTCAAGGTCCCAAGAATTTACTTTAAAATGAGACAACATACCACGTTGCCACAGAAAAGTGAGCATGATCAGAAGGAAGCGTCTCTTCTTGCTATGCTTGGCACTGGGGCATGCAGCCGTAATAACTCAAGTTTCCGATCGCATAACCACTAGTCCTTGAGATTTCTAAAATTATTCCTCCTTCACAAGGATGGAGGGAAAAAGGCTGGAAAATTTGCTTTGAACATTATGTTGGCTAATCATTTGCTCCGCCATAGCACATACATAGGAAAACCCCTTAAGTGCCGCAAGTTCTACTTTCATCAACTTCAAACTGGAAAATGCTATTCTTTCATAAACCAAAGAGAAACATTTACCCAGAAGCTAGTTTCAGAGCCAGGGATCGCCTTTGCCCATAATTTTCAGGTATTTAATAATTGACCATTTTAATGAGTGTTTCATGTGCTCTTTGCACTCTTTGCAAACTTGGAGCTTCAAACAAAGCAATAACTACTTCTTTGATTATAAGTCCATTATCATGTAAGCCACCATGATAACAGAAATGAAAACTAACTTATCTCAATTTTTAAGAAATCCTGTGAATTCTGACATAACCTTCCGTTGGGTCCCTCTCTCTTCAGGTGCTGAAATTCTAACTGGCCAGCAGTGATGGCAAGAGCGCTAGTGTCAGAAAGCAAACGGTTTTATATAGCCTACCAGTCTAGTTTTTCAGTTTAATCTGGCTGAGTGAGAGCTTATGAGGAGAAAGACCTTGCTATATTGGGTATCTTGGATTGCTGTTTCAAATTTTAAGTGCCAAATTCAAAAGCAAAAAGTTAATGGAGGATTACAACTTTAACTTCCTTATGACAGCTTCTTCCTAAATTCCAAATTTAGGGAAAAACAAGTAAGTAAATGAAAAATCCTACCAAATCTATTACGAATCTTCATGTTTGGAAGTGCTTCTTAGGTACCACCTTAGAAAACAGTAACTTTAAAGAACTAAAGCTGTAGCAATAGATGGCCTCTCTCAATGGCTCCTACCCAGCTTTAAGTCTCCAGGCACAGGCACTATAACTGTGCCTATCAGGAAGGCATTCTTCAGGAGACCTGACCGTCACTCCTGTCACTGCAATGCACAGTCCTCTCCAATTACCACGATTCTCGAACAATGCATATTATTTTGGTTCTTACAAATATGGAGATATTTGGAATTATTTTACCACACAAGAGACATTGTGCACTAAATCTGTAAATCCAAATACATAATCTAACTATTTTTCATTACAAAATTTGTAGTGCTGTATATACAGGGTGGGGGGAAGGATGCCTAATGCTGTCAGTAGAATATTTTACCAACCTTTGCTGCCTCCAGAAAGTGGGGCACTATATATTTTTAAATATTTGAAAATCATAATTGATGTAACAAATAAGCGTCCCATCCCTCCCTCCCTCTCTCCTTCTCTCCCCCCACCCTTCCCTTTGAAAAATGAGATCATATTAACTGCAATGCAAGAGCTTAGTTTGCCATATCGGAACACAGATGCCAAGCTTCCCCAGCTGGCAACTGGGGCCTCAGAGTTTAACTCTTAAATTGTCTGTTAAAGCTATCTTGTGGCAGAGACCTCATGGCATAGAGGGTGAACTTCTGGTGGGAGACTGTGTTTTCTTATCAGTGAGAAAATTGCTAAGTATCTTATCTCACAATATATGTTCCCACAAAGGTCTCATTAAGCCTAGGAGCAAGACATGCCAATAAGAGCCCTTCTTTATCTTGTGAATTGTGTATGAGCCAGAATGCAAACAAATGTGCACTAGAGTTCACAAGTTCAGTCAAGGACAAGTTGCTAGATGGGAAAACTTAACAGTGCTCCCCTAAATCAAACATGCATACCAAGTATTTCTCCTACACACAAACTCTTATGTTCCCAGAGCATTTCACAGTGCAGACACACCAAATCATCCTAGAGAGCAGCCTCATTTTAATCAATTATGAAAGCTTATTTTTTCCCATAATGGGAAATACCTGCAGATGAAGTGAAATCTATTAAAATGTTAAAATACACTGCCAACTTGCAAACAATTATCTACTTAAGCTTTTCATAAAGAAATAATTGTTACCCAAAAGGATTCTGAAATTCAGTAACTGTAGGAAGAAAATAATTCTTAGCATTTGCTTCCTCACTAATGATATGTGACAACCAGGAAGGCTTCTATTTCAAAAACAGTAATAATGATTATGACTTCCCCTGTAAATAAGTCACATTTTTCACAACTTCAAAATGTACTTCAATTATTATAACATTTAACAATAAAGCAACAAAAGTGGCCACCCAACAAGAGATCATAATTTTAAGGGTTCAACAAGGCTAAAGGAAACTACTTTTTCAGGATAGCAATGAGGTTTCTGGGCTCTCTTTAACACTCCAAAACATGTTTAATAAGAGTGCAAAGTACAGTCCAAAAATCAGTTAGGGTGACTCATTTTAAACTCTAATCTGTTACATACACGACAACAGTTGCTATCTCTTGAGATCTTTAAATGTCTTGGTGTGTTGTGACCTCTCTCTTCAAAACGCTTTCCTGCCTCAGAGAAAGGCCAATCCCACTCCCGCCCCCCGACTCCCACCACCACCACCACCCCCTTCCTTTTTTCCCCTTCAGACAGGACACAGTCTGGCAACTCAAGGCCTCCCATAGGCCAGACTTCCTTCTGTGCAGCCCTTTGGGTAGAACTGCTAATCCTTCTTATTAATTAACGAGATAACGGTGGTTAACTGAAAAGCAATATTAACGCTAACTATCTAGGAAACTTTAACCAAAATTATTTTAGGCTTTTGGTTGATTTTCCCAGTGTACAAAATTGTGCACTGAGAATTTCGTAACAGTGTGGTGCAGAATCGAGAAATTCCAGAATGACTGATTTTACCTCAGACCTTAACGCATAGGTCTCCTCTTTAAAGTTTTCTCTCTCTCTTTTTAAACATGTATTCTGTTACACATTTCTAACTAGAGAGGAAAACTGAAGTCCTCTCAAAATGTTACTATAAAATTTGCAAGAGTGGCAAGTGAGGGAACTAGAAATTGCATAGCAAATAAGCAGTGATGTGACTGAGAGCAACAGTCAGTCATAATGAATGCATCACATATCATTACGTTAGGTTTGTCCTCCACACACTTGTCATAGCACACCCTGCATCCTATAGGACACTTACATCCCAGGAAGCTGTGCTGTGCAAGGCTTGCCTGGTTTTTGTTTGGTTTTGTTTTTGCTTTGCTTTCATGAATGCAGTAACAAAGGCAATATGGGGAATAGGTAACACCTGCCCAAGAATCATTGGACGTCTTTAATATCTTTGGGAAAATAGATACCATTTAGAGCTATTTTTTCTTTAATCTGTCCCAGTTTTTTTAGACAAAACCTAAAAAAAGGAAGAGTTTTATATTAGCTAAGATTTGCTGCAGCAAACAAGCAAGCAGCTTTCATTCAGGGATTGTCAAAAACTTTCCAGTGTGCCCACTGCAATGCGGATGCCAACCAACGAATCAAAGGCATTCAGCAACTAGACAAAGAGGGTCTGATGCCAACCTCGGTGCCACTGGCAACCATTATTGGCATCAAACACAGTGTCTGCCTTTTTTTTCCCCCTCGCCTGGCACTTCACAAACAAAATGGCGGTTCTTGTAGCAACGAAACAGCCGAAGCGCAGCCCTCTGAATCAATAACATCAAATGACTTTATGGATTTAAACGCAGTTACTCCCAAATGATGTGTACATTTTAGGTGAAGTGCAGGGAGACATTTAATTTTATAAACAACTATATTGAACATCAGCCTTTGCTAATATAAGGAAATAGCAAAATGGACTGAATTGCGGTCAACCAGACTACATGCATAGTAGCCGAATAACAAAGAGATTTAGCTTTAAATAAAATACTGCCTCATGGCCACGTGATGCAAAAGTCTAATGAACTATATATCAAAAATGATTTCAAAAAGCATAAATTTTTTCCCAAACCATATCAGATGCAGATGTAGCACTATAGCTTGTGTCAAAGCTCTGGTAACTCTTCCCACATTTCAGAAAGATGAGGCTGCTGGGCATGAAGAAGGAAAAAAAGTGTGGGTTGAACCAAAAGAGAAAGAGGGAAAAAAGAAAAGCATAGGAAGTTGGTCAACAATGAAACTTTAGTACATGTTGGTCTTTATTTCGTCTTCCAGAAGAGATGCAGTGTGTGATCTTGTATAAATAACCAAGAGGACTATTGACATTTCTAGATCTGGAAATTGTCAATATATTGTAACATCACTCCACACTGCAATGCGGATGCCAACTAACAAATCACAGGCATCCTGAGCTAAACAAAGAGGGTCTGATGCCAATCCTGGTGCCAGTGGCAACCATCTTTGGCATTCTCTCTGTTCTTTCTCATGTTTTTCTCCCAGTCATTTAGAAGTGGGGAGAGAGAAAAAGGGGGAAACGTAATTTTGTTGCTCTTTCTGCTGCAAACATTACATTTCTCTTTTCTGATTTTTCTTTCGTGTTTTCCTTTATACTTCTTTTCCTGATTTATAAAACAGACTTAGGTGAGTTATCATGTACTTAGAAGACAAATAAAAAGTCATCACTCGCGATATGCAGCCCTCTAACTGACCGGAGAATTATCTTTTAAAATCTGCCTTCTTTAATCAATTGCACTATAAAATGACATAATTAACCTACACTTGACAAAGAAGAATATATAAATTTTGAAAAGGGGAAAACACAAAAGCATCCTGACGTGAGTTTTTCAAAGGAAGAACCAACAGATGTTAAGAGAAGATGATGCACTGGCAGGTAGCAGAGGATACAAGTTATATACACAAGATAAAATAATGAAAAGTTCTTACAATAGAGATTGTTGAACCAACAACAAAATCAATGTTTTATCTAAAACCATGGTCTCTTAAGAGTTGCTTAAAACTTTATAGTTATCATGACCAGTGGTGCAACATGGAAGGCATTTATGCGTTTTTTTTCTTTTTTCAATCTATCTCTACAAATCTTTATTGTCAGTTCATCAAAACTAAGAGAGCTGGCTGCCTTCCCCAGGAGTAAATGTGCATGCAGGCAGGCACACCTCAAAACCTAGCCTTCAAGCAACTTAAAATGTGAGCAGTAGTGAAGTGGTTGCAAATCTTCCCTCCCTGCACTAAAAAGTTACATGACCCACTTTTTGAAACTTTACTTCCATCCTTGACTTTCACAACACAGTTACAACACATTTATAGTCAATCCAACACATATATACAGCCCACCTTAAAGTGTCACCTCCTAGACATCTGTCAATCAAATAAGTGTCATGTGTTACTGAGTTTTATTTTAGGACACATGGGACAAAAATATTATTTTCCCCAAACCATCATTATTTGGACTGTAATTCTTAAATGCATGGAAATATTAAATGCAATGTTTCATTTTTTCAGGAAAAGGTAATATTTCTAAAAGTGCAATGTCCAACACCATTATTTAAAATCAGACTAAAAATTCTAAAATGACACTTAAGCCTATCTCCAAAGCTACAAGAAAATCAAGACAAAAAGCACATAGTGAGGGCCTAGAATTCAGAGTCAAAAAAGTAATTTTGATTTTTTTGAATAATAAAGCTCATAGCAGTTTATTAAGTCCCACATTTATATAACAAACCTCAGGTAACAGTCTGTCACCTGGCTATCTGCAGGCCATTTTTCCTCCCACCAGGCCAAGTTTGGAAATGACCTACCATCTGTGACAGCTCAAACTTCAGTCTACTTTTGGTATGCGGCTTTGTAAAATGATTGTTTTACTATGGATTGTTGGTAATGCAAGGACATCTATATCTTGATGCATTTATTTGAAGAAAAGAAATTCTTACCTACTTAAGGAAAATATATTAAGAAAAATAAAAATAATAAACATTTCATTAACTCAAATATTCAGTAATAACATCATCTTTTTTAATTATTTAGGTAAAATGTATACCATTCTCCTTCTCAGGTATTTTAAATAATAGGTATGGTATGCAGTTTCTGTATTCTTTTTAAGATTTATCTTAAACCAGTGTAACCAGTCCACTTTCTGTTTTTTGTTCTGTAAGCAGCGCTGCGACTTTCCTCCTCGGTAAGTTTTATGAATTTACATACAAGTAAACTAACATTATTAAGTGTTCCCAAGTAACTCTGGGAACATACTATAAATAATTTAAATAATAACTCAATTCCATTTAATCGACAGTGAATATTGCACAATCAAAAGTGATGATAGAAATATTAAAATTAAGTAAATCTAGGTCTACGTAAGATATACTTTTGATATTATCTATCTTAAGCATTTTGTAATAGTAAACATTAGTTCTATTTTCAGTGCGATACCACTAAGTTCATAAACAAAGTCCCTCTACCTCATTAATTAATAAGGTTAATACAAAAATTATCTAGGATGGTTTGGCTATTCATAAATAAAGTTATATTTTCAAATCAGGAAAAGATTACTAGATTAGATGCAAAAATGTAGCCTACGACAGAAAGTATAGTGTAATGAACTATATTTGTTAGACTACCCTATGTCTTTGAAAAACAGTATTATTTTAAAGATACTTGAAAACGCACCTCTTTGTGGTCTTTCTTAAATATCCAAGCCTATCCAGGTACGAAAGCTCTGTGTCTATTTACATGGCTCGCACATGGCAGCGGACATGTGAGTGAAAGCGGACACCCTACTATACCCAGAGAGGGTGGAGGATATCTAGGGGCCTTGAGGACCATCTAACTCAAGCCAGATACTCTGTCTACGGAGATTTGTAGGCGGTGTTTGCCGTGCTAGAAAAAAGAACAATCTGCTCCTACCTTGCTCCTGCACGTAGTATGCCAAAAACAAATCAAGCTCCTTAACTGATACTGTGATATGATGTGGCTGGACACAAAGTGCTGGGTTTGTGCAATGTGGGGATTTCATGAGCCGCTCTCCATCGGTACTTTCCAAGGGGATGCCTTTGAACAGGATCACCATGACTAGATCCAGACGCCAGACTTTGTCTGCCTGTCGCAGGCAGTCGATTCTCCTAATCTTACCCTTCTGGTCGGGATTGGATAAGACACAGCACGGGTGCTTCTTGCCAGTCACGGTGAGCACAAAGTCCTCTCGATACTCCTGGCGAATATCTTTGCGCAGTTTGGCAAGGAGCCTGGATGCCCACTTCTGTTTGATTTCAGGCTTTTCACTGAGAAGCTCATCTTTGACTGCTCTTTCTTCATCCTTTGACATTCGCTTCTCATGCTTTTTAAAGTACTTGCGTTTTCGAGCCTGCAGGTTGAACCAAGTATAGGCAATTGCACGGACATGTGGAAGAAGTGCCTCGATGAATGGGTGAAATTCATCCTGTGGAAGACAGAGGGGTGAGGAAAAGATGTGCATAGTCAGTTTAATTTTAAAAGCTCAAAAAATAAGAAAAGAAGACCACAACCCGTTTCCAATTCAGTACAAAAAGTTATACATGAAAATAACATTCCTTTCTTATTTAAAATTATCAAAATAACAGGACAAGAAGAAAGTAAAGTATGCCCAGCTGTCCCCTTTCCACCAAAATTCACAGGTCAATTCTCCCTCCTATAAAGGAAATAAGGTTTATATTTTGTATTACACTCTGGCCCCATCCCCCTTGTTTCCACCCCAATGCCATGCATTCTACATTCTTTAAAATATAGGCAACTAACTAAGGTGCTTGGCACCTAATATAGTATTTCAATATTTGATTGACCAACTAACACTATGCAGTACCATTTTACAAAGAACACAGTGAGATTTTTTTTTTTTAATCGGAGTAGAGCTGTTCAGAAGGCAGGAGCGATGCCACAGTTCATTTCTCTTCTCTGTGGCACAGAAACACAAAGCATATAGATGCTCAGTGTAATGCCACACAGTTCCCGCTTTTGGAGCATGCTCTCAGCAAGAGGCTGCTGGTGGCACAAAGAGCATGCGCCATTAAACTTGATCCATTTTCTTATCAAACGTCCAACATTCCAACACTGAAACAGCACCATTCCAAAAGTGGTAACTAGAGAAACCGGTATACAGTGAGGGAAAGTGGGCAAAGGACACAGCTCGTCGTATCAGTGTCCTGAACAGAAGGTTTCCATACTTTGAGCAGTGCATTCTCTCCCCACACTACCAACGCCAGCTCCCAACACACACACACACACACTTGCACTCTCCTGCTTTCTCACACACACTCTTGCATTTTTAAATAGAAGTTTTCAAACTGGAAAACAAAAATTACATGAATGTTCTTCCATCAGCTTCCCTATAGAATATGCAGCCCCACAGAGTCCGTTAATTTGTTCACCGATCACATGAGTATAGCAATTATTCTAAACCTCTTAAAAATCAATCTGAGGTGAACAATGAAAAATGGCAACTTGGCACCAACTTTACATTCTTTGTGTCTCTGCATGCTGTGGTGGGGTGACACTGCTGGTCAGTTACTGCTTTTGTGGAATCTATACAATTCATTTGCCATGTAGATGAATTATCAGTTAGAACTGTGGGTGCATATATGCATGTGCATGTGAATTTGCAGATACATAGATTATAGAGTACCAATCTTTTGAATTAAGTAGTTTACCTTTAGGCTCCTGCATTTTTCCTGCCTGTTTCATCCAAGCCCTTTTTTTAAGGGAGGGGATCAGTGAGGAATGGTGGATAATCTTTACCTACAGATATTTCAAGTTACTTCCCAGTGCAGTCAGTTTCGTTACTTCCTGATTTAGGTAAAACCTGTCTTATAAGCTTAGGCCTATTACTGTTCAAAGAGAAAGAGCTTAACGTCCTGTACATGCACACCGCATGTACGCAATAAGCCAAGATTTGAAGCAAATGAGAACTTCCACCACCACCACTTTTCTGATCATATTGACTATACTGTCAGCCCAACGACAAAATAACTCTCTGATTGTATCCCAAGTTAGAATTTACATACTCATGTTAATCACCCTGAACTACGTGGAATAAATTCTATTTAACAGCAGACTGACTAATTAATTCCATTAGGTAAATATGATGAAAGTACAACTAATGACTCTTTAACAAAGAAGGTGTCAAAAATCCAATATAGATATGAATACATTTTGAAGAAGAAATTCGAAGTTTTAATGCTACAGACTGCAACATGTTAGCTGTTTGCACTTCAGATATGGAAGGAGTACATGTCCCATCCAATCAATAATGTAGTTATCAAGTGTTCTAACATTGCTGTAAGTGTTCCTTCACCAGAATAAGTATGAATCAAAATTTTATAACAATACAGAATGCTGATGATTACATCACAGCATGAGGCATACCCAAATGCCATAGAGGAAATCATTAAACCGATCAGTAGTTTCCAGCAGAGATTTGAACAATTCAGTTACTATGCGAGCACATTAAACTAGGCCATGGAAAGAGTTAAACCACAATCTGTTCTTTGTGTGGGAAGGCAGCCCTGCTCACAGCAACCACATCCCATGATAAGACCTCCCTATCTCCATACACTTTCTGATGCCATGCTTTTAGCTTTCACTGTAACTACAAAAACTTTGTTTATCCCCTTTAGGAATATATGCAAAAGGAAAGCCTGCTCAAGGAAATGTGGACTTAAATGTGCTTTGGAAACTCACTTCCTATAATCTTTTACTACGATTTATTGATATGACTAAAAAACACACATATATGCACTCACAAAACTAAAACCTTGAGAATGTAAAGAGCACATGAGGTGGAGTGGGTGGGCTCTGTCTCACTCATTTTACCCTTGCCATGCTTTTTAAAATGCAATATTATTTTATAAATATTAAGCCATGTGGTAACACGTAAGTACTTACACCTTAAGTACTATGTTCAGTGACATTTCATTTTCTTATAAAGACATCAAACACAGTTTTGATTAAATTTGAGTTTCAATATTTGATTATAAATATAATCTATCACACAAGAAAGCTCAAAATTTTAATGAGTTATTTTAAACAACCAAAATTCAAATTTGAAGGTTGAATTTGAAAATTCTTAGCAAATGCACACAGTTTTTAAACGTTCCTTTGACTTTGCTGTCAATGCTGCCAATATTGTTTTAAAACATGCTCTTTTTTTTGAGAAATAAAAGTAGCAAACTTTCTCAGGCTGCCAGTTTGCCTTATTGATATCGTTCAGGGTTTCACTATTATGTGAATTCAAGTGAAGCACTTATTTGACAAGGGGACATATCCTCCAAAAATGACTGTAAATTGAGGTTTGCTGTAAGTCGCATATATTTCTGTATTAACATGCCTAAATGTCATCTCCCAAGTGTGACTGTTTCCTAATGCTGAGTAACACTAGAGTCTTAAAGATTATGAGTGACATGAATATGGAACATAATAACTGTCCTGATACAAAAATATTTTTTTAAAAGGTGATTAAGGTTTTCAAATATCCTAACTAGTAGTGGATTATTACAATAGCATTAAGCAATCATAAATTCTTTAAAAAAAGCAAAACATATAAGTGATTTAAAACCAAACAACTGTATACAAAGGTAATAGGCAACTTTGCTCTTTCAGAATTTTTAGTAAAATGCATTGATGTTCAGTAATTCTCTTTTAAAACTTCCTTTAGTTGAACTAAATTGACAAAGTAAATAACAAAGTTACCAATTTCAGATATAAAAATAAAGAGTCTTAATTCCACTAGGCATATTTATTTTTCTTCCGTTTCCATGAAAGGGATGGATAATTTAGACCAACATAGAGGTAGAAGAGTAAATACTAGGTGCTCTTGGCGCATTGCTATATAACAACAAATCATGCAAAAAATGTACCTAAAGAACTTAAAAGCAACGAAAGAAAAATATATTTAATGCCATCATGCCAATTGAAAGTTATATTATTAATGGTTTACATTATTTTTAAACATATATTAAATCATATGATAGTTCTTAATTTTTCCTTTATATCTGATTTATACTGGTGTATAAATATTGGTTATTGATATGCTGATTTTGTAGCATACTATTTTGCTAAACATAACATTTAATGGTAGGTCCTTTTAAATTAAGATTTTTTTTCTAAAACCTAGATACCTTATTGCAACAATTGAGATACTTTTAAAAGTTTATAACCAATTAAGAATGATACTCTATTTTGCAATTTACATGTCCTGAGACATGTTTTTCTACAGCTACTAGGCTCTTGTGATACAAAACTACTGATCTGATACAAAAGTGACACTATTAATGTGGCCTCACTTTTATAACACCTATATTACCTGCAAAGTCACATGGAGCTTAGTGAAGTGAAAATTCTTAAGCTGAAATTCCTTCCCTGGTGTAGGCCTTGTTTTAATACATAAGCCTAGATTTATATTATTAAAATAGTAGAGAATATTAGTCATCACAAGTTATTGTTGTTAAGTGTGTATCTCTGAATACTAATGTGATAGCTGAATGATTATGCTGTATATGATCCCAACATTCCCTGTCTCAATGCTGCAATATTATCTTTAACTTACACAAATTAAGATAAAACTAGTGACTTTTCAATACATATTTGGAGGATACTAAAAATGCAATGTAATTGCTAGCAATGTTTCTGAAAAGCTGATGTTAGAAATATAGAGAAATGCACAATTATTCAATCTTTTACAGGTGAGAATAAGTGATGCTATACTCTGTAAGTGAAAATCTTGCTTTGATTTGTTTTATTTGATCACGGTGTAAAAATAATATCAAGTTAACACAGCTTATCAGAAAGAGAAAAATATATCCAGCCGATGGGTAATATTAATGGTAACTTTTACAAGTAAAGGCAATTCGTTATACCTGAAACAGTTTCATCATATTTATTGGCTATTATCATTCATGGCTTTTAAAATACAAATAGCTCAGCAACTCATTTTTCCAGTTTTGTTAAATTAAAGTGCGTGTTTACTTGCTGAAAATAGCCATATCTAAGTTAATCATACTCAGATGCCAAACAAAATATAAACAATAAAAAATGTGTCAGCCAAAAAGCTACAGGACTGTATCCAATCACTGAATAAGCCTTATCATTGTTTTCATCTTCATTCACAATTTATGAATGCCTCAGTCCTTTTGAATCACAATGGCTTCTAATTGTCATACAATTGAAATCTTAATTATTTGTCCATTATAAAAATGCATCATCGTGATATTAGATGTTTTTAAAATTTTAACACGCCCAAGACTGGCTGACACTTCTTTATATGACTAGTTTTCATGGCAATGTCAAAGAAAATAGTTATCAATTACCAATGGTGACACATCTTCCGAAAAGCTGAAATAAGCTGCCCCATACCTTTAGAGGTTTAAAATACTGCCTCAAATAACAGTTCTGGGCTAAGATATTTTAGTTACTTTGTCAGTTGTTAGTTCCCTGGGCAGCGATGAAAACTGCCCCCAGGTAAGTCTGTTGGGTCTCGCCGCTTTTCTATTTGACCGTCTGGCTTAAAGTGATACAAATCGTGTTTCTAAAAAGTATAAAACCAGTGTTTTATTTCATAACATTATTCCTAAGGTCTTAGGACAATTCTCAAAGTCGAAAAAAATGACCTTACTTCTACCAGCATTACTTAAAATGCCTTACGAGCTACGCCCAAATATCGTCAAATGAACAGGTTTCCACAAAAGGAACACGTTCTAAAAACTCCTTAACAATCACCAAGACCAACTAACTCGTGTCAACGTAAATACTGCCTTTGTGGTGCGGTCACTAGAAACCCCAAAGTGCAGCAGGTCACTATGGACCAGGGTTTCAGATCCCCAAATAAAGCAAAGGAATGGGTCCCCGGACCACAACCTCCGACTCGATTCGTCGCCCGCCCACCGCCTGCAGCGCAGTCCAGCGGCGCCCACACAGACTCGTGCTACAGTCCCCTCGCCCAAGTTCACTGGCTGTTTTTAAAAGCTTAGTCCCCCGTAAAGTCCTCCAAAGCCCGAGTCCACCTCAACGCGCGAGCTGCTGAGAGGGGCTACGGGCACCCCGGGCGGGGATGCCGCACCACAACGGGCACTTGAGGGGCCGCACGGGGCCTCGCACTTACAGGTCCCGGCCCTGCCCACCCCCCGGCGGCCTTGCCCGGCCCAGCGCCCGCGCTCCGTGCCCAGGGCGCGGGGCTGGGCGCTCGCAGTGGCCGTGGCGAGGGGCCGCTCCCGGCTCCCACGCCGCCCCGCGACGCCCGCTGCAACTCCGGGCCACTTCTCCAAGGGACGGGGATGTGCGGAGGTTAACTCAAGCCGCTAATTGTCCGCAACAAAACAAAACAAAGGCATTTCGGGCCAGAGAGAAAGCTCGAGAAAGCGACCGAGACATGTACCTGAGTGAGACAGATGGGAGAATACATCATGACTTCGCCTTAAAACGCACTTTCCGGGAGATGCCCAAGAAAATCTTCGAGAAGCAAGAATTTCATCTATTCATTTTACAGTCATCTGAGCCCCGCGATGCGATCAATCAGGACGGGGCTCTGCGCTGGATCACCGCAACTTCACAACAAACCCAGTCCTCCTTAAATAGCCAAAGATTCAAGTTCACTCGGCGTGCTAGATTTCCAGGGGTGAAATCCAATCTACACTTTTAACCCTCTTGCAGTCCGAGCGCGCTGGCCGTGCTTGCCGAGGCCGCCGCCGCCGCCGGTGTTGGCTGCTTTTCGCCTGGGTTTGGGGATTTGTTTTCTATTTTGCAGTTGTTGTTGTTGTTGGGGTGTAGGGGGTGCGCGAAGGTTCGGTGTGGGTTGGATTGGGGTGGTGGTTGGTGGTAAAATGCTTTTTCAAAAAAGGCGGGGAGGGGGGCGCGGGAGGGCGCAGGAGGGCGAGCGGGCGGGCGGGAGGGAGAGCGGGGAGAATGTGTCACCGCGCTGGGAAAGTTCAAGGTTACAGCCCCAAGCACTGCGGCAGGATCCCGGAGTGGTGATCGCAGGCGAAACTTTGCCGCGAGCCGACCATGTGTGTGCGCGAGGGGCAGCGTGAGCGAGTGCGCGCGGGTGGCGGGGCGCGCGCGGGAGAGGGCCGGGGTGGGGGCGGGGTGGGATGGGGGAGAAGGGAGAGGCCGGGGTGAGGGAGGGGGCGCGAGCGCTGATCTCTGGGGCGGAAGAGGCTCGCGGCGCGTGGTCCCCGGCAGCAGCAGCCGCCGCCGCCCGCGCCGGGTCTTCGGCGCCCGGCCGCCCGCCCGCCCGCCTCGCCCCGCGTCTGACCCGGCCGAGCGTGGAGGCTGCTGTTGCCGCCGCTGCCCAGAGCCCAGGGGTATCAAAACGATCTCCTGAAAAATTCCAAACGATAAATCCCGCTCTCCCGCTCGGCTCCAAACTCCTCTCTTTTCTGCTCTAGGCTCTTTTTTTTCCCTCCCTCTCTTGCTTTCTTTCGTTGCAAAACTTGGAAGTTGAAAAATTCACCGGTTCCACCCTCTGGACCCCGCTCGAGCTCTCTCCAAATCAGACTTAAGGATTGTTTTATTATTTAATTACACAATCATCGCTTTACTCCTCCTCCTGCAAACGCGCATTCCTTTTGCACCAGCCTCTCCACACCCCCCGCCCCCCCACCTTCCTCCTCCTCCTCCTTCTCCTTCTCTCCCCCCACCTCTCCCTCATTTGTTAAAGGTATCCTACCGGTGCTACAGAACCATGACTTTTTTTTTTTTTCCAAAATAGCTCTTCTTTCCGCTGCCCTCCCCACACCAGCACACACATACACACCCCCGAAAACCCGCCCTGGAAGAGGTATTTCGGTGCTCGCTGCGGACTCTTTTAAGCCGCGGGAACATCCGAGTGGGAGAAGCACCGAAACCGTCTGAGCCCGAGAAAGGAACGAGTGGAAAATTCCCTCACACCCAGGCCGCCCCCAGGCCGGGGCTGGGGCGCGGACACTCGCACCCGGGGCGGGCTCAGTCCGCGGAGCCTGCGGCTGCCGGGAAAAGGGGGAGGCCGAGCAGGCGGGGACCTGAGCGAACTTGGGCTCAAGTAGTTGGGGCGCGCCGGCGTGGACCAGGGGGGTGCGGCGCCCAGCCCCCGACGGCCCCGCCCGGAGCCCGGGTTCGCGGATAGGGAGGGGGTGCGGGTTCGTCCCGGGTCTGCCCACCAGGGGCCCGCACCCGAGGCAGTCGCGGCGCGCGGCGCTTCGCCGCGGTTTGCCGCCCTCCCCGGGGGTGCCCCGTGCACGTGGCCTCGCTCTGAGCGGGAGGACCGGGCCGAGCCGCCGCCGCCGCCTCTTGCTCCCTCCACCTCCTCCCCGCGCCCGGCTTCGCTCTCCTCCTCCTCCTCCTGCAGCCCCGCTGGCTGGCTCCCAATCCCCACCCCCCGGGGCCCGGGGCGCCGGCGGAAAGCGTCTCCCTACCCGCCCGGGTGCAGGCGGGGCGGGGCCGCGGCGCGCCCGGGGCTGCGGGGCGGGCCGGCGGGCGCGCGCGCGCCGCTGCAGCCCTCCAGAGGCTGCGGGCCCTGAGCCGCTCGGCGCCCGCGCCGGCTCCCCACCGCGGCGCTGCCCCGCCCCCACCCCGTCGCCCGTGCAGGCTCCGAGTGAATGAACTTGATTCCAGGGATTTTGAAGAAGGCGGTTCGCCTTGCACCCTTTCTGCACCCCCCGCCCACATACACACACCGCCCCCCAAATCCAGTTTTCTGCTTGGGGTGGATGGGGACGAGGGGGAAGCAAAGGCCTCCCAGACAATGGAGGGAGGAAAAGTGAGCGCCTGGGGCTCCGAGTCTACCTAGCTGGGGGATCCGGGGGGCGCTGGGGCTACCGGGTCCTCGCGGGCCCATCCCCAGGGCGGGGCCGCCCCGCTTCCACGGGTACTGCTGGGGCGTTTCGAGGCTCGCCCCCGATTCCCCGGTCCTCTTTCCACCGCTTCCCAGCTCGTGATCTGTCCCCTCAACTTTAGCCCCTCTCACTCCCTCTGGTTTCTGTCCACCGTCCCCTCTTCCCTCCCCCAGCGGACCTGGAGGAACCAGTGACTTTTTCCTTCACCAAGTGGGAGTTATCCACATCAAGCATTTCACAACGACACATCAAGAAAAGTAGGCAGGTTCAAGTCAACCATGAAATGGTCACTTTTTAACCCCGTCCTGTCCTCATTAGGGAAATGCTCAAACACAGTCCGTTTTCAAAGAGCGCTCTTAATGAGGCGAGCTTGCCAAGTTTACCAGCTGCAGCCCCCGTAAACCCAGAGCCCAAAGAAGAAAGGCGCTGGGGGGTGGGGAGTTCGGGAGGCCGGGGACGGGGGCTGCTGGGACTAGGAAGACAGGTAAAGTCGGGGAGATCGCGCGGACCCCTGCGAGTTAACCCTTTCGGCCACACGCCCTGGGAGCGGCCTCCCTGCGGTCCCCGCCCCTGCCCCGGCAAATCCTGGAGTCAGCGTTCTGACAACGTTAATTTCCTTTGTGCGGGTCATTTCTTCTTTTTGAAAAGCTGGGATAAAGTTGGCAGTCTTTATGGATGAAAGAAATGAGGTGACAGGGTTAATCCAAGTAAATACTCATTTCTCTCAGAAATTTTAGGCAACCTCATCTTAGATTAAACACACACAGACACACACACACAGAGAAACCACCAGCACGAAAGCATCACTTTGTATTGCACATTACACTGCATCCCCTTTCTCACCCTCACCAGATTCTGAGGGGAGGGGGTGGGGAAGCTCTACTGATAATACCAGCTTTAACTACTGCAGTTTCCCTTTGAACAAATATTCAATTTAACTGGAGTTAATTTACCATAAAAGACATTCCCCTTGGCAGGAATGCACTAATATCCTTGAACACACCTCTTTGAATGCCTGGACTCTCATAGAAGCCATTATTTCGGGGTCTCTTTAAAAATCGAGCGCCCATCTCTCCTTCTCTCCCTCCCTCCCTTCTTCCCTCCCTCCTCACCACACCACCCCCAGTGAAATCCTGGCACCCAGAGAGCACTCCTTTCAGCCTGAGAGCCCAGAACCAGCCGTTGTCCCCTGGCAAAAAGAGGCCCAGGGCTGAGCCCTGGGCAAGTGTCTCCCGACATCGCTACCCCTCCTCCCTTTATTAGTTTCCCTTTCCCAACAGAAACCATTTCCTTCTGCCACCAAAACTAGGTTGCATCCAAAAGTTTTTCACAAGCTTAAAAAAGAAAAACGAAAAATTGACAAGTATTACACAGAAGAGCCCACAAAAGCTTCAGCAACACCAAGGGCGAAGAAGCAGCGTCAGATCCAGGTAAGACCCCAGAGAAGTGAAGACGTCTGGGGCCTCCCAGGCCCATCACTTAGGGGTTCAAATCTCTTTCAATTGCCCCACGTTTGAGGGTGCTTATGGCTGGTTGCACTTTGATGACCATAGAGGATGCTTGATAGTTTTTGGTTTTGATTTGTTTCCCAGAAAAAGGAAAATGAGATAGGAGTATGGTGAGGCGAGGAAAACCAAAAAGGAATGAAGAGTGAGCAACAGAGACTTCCTGAAAAAGAAGGTTTATGGGGGTGCTCAGTTTCTATGGCTTTGACTGTCTTCTCAGGCCTTGCAGCCATGTGGAGAATGGCTGACACCCCCCAAAACACTTCTTCTTGTCCAGCCAATGCCAAGGTCATTGCAGGCCTTCCCTGGAAGAACTCTAGGGAGTTGTTTGGAAAGAGGGACTGGTGGATTTCGGTGCATGGGATGCCTGGCTTCTCTTAACACAACACTTGTCCACCACCTTTGGTTTGAAAATCTCAATCTTTTAAATCCCAGGTAGAAGGAGGAACTGAGAAAGTGCCTGCATTGTATTCACTTTCCATTTTTTCTAGCACGTCTGTGTCGTGGTATTAAGAGTGGAAATATCTCTGAAAAGCTTCTGATAGTATCAAAATGGGCCAAACACTTCTTAAACTTTGGTACTTACCAATCCTAAACTCTTCATCTCTCCCTCCCACACTGAGAGGGTTAAAAGCACTGGTGTGACAGGCCACTTTCATTCACCCCAAAACCTGGCTGAGGAGGCAGAAAGAAGTGAATGATTCTCTCAGCAACAGGAAACTCTGTTATTTCAGTATTCTTAAAGATCTCCTCCCTAGATCTCCTTGCTGCCTTATAAGGGAAAAAAAAAAGTTTCCTTTCTAACTAACAGAAAGTTTATTGATTTCTAAATAGAATGCCAGTGCTTCAGCTCACTGGATTTTTCAAAACCCAGTTGTATATTTGAAATAAGCAACGCTACCACATTTGAGCCTTTCACTACGGATCTCCAGAGAGGAGCTTGACATCTCAAGTATCTAATATTGTTTTTCTTTTAACCTTTTCCTTCCTAAAGAAATTGCAGCGACAGGTTGCAAATCCTGGGCAGTTTCATGAAAGATTTCTTGGAACTTAACAAAGCTGTCATTTCCAATACACTCGATGCCTTTTTTTTTTTTTTTTTTTTTTTTTGGCTCTTGCATGTGGTTTGCAAGAAGGTTCAACTATTCTACACACCCTGGCTGCATCACCAATATCAATATTTAAAAACTAAATGCAAAAGAGACAGATGACCTCCTGACCCCAGAAAGCAGGCCTGCAAAACTGCAAGTATCTACTGCACCATGCCCTGGGATCTTTCCTTTTTCCAAATGAACCACAAAAATCATACATGTGTAGTCTGGAAAACACAAATTTATATCCACAAGGAGGAACACCAAAAATCCACTCATAAATGCATATATAAACAATCAAGAAGTATTGAAAGTGCCTGTACTTGATGAGAATTGCAAAATCAATTTTACCAGCTCAGGTAATCAAATTACCCAGCTCTTAAACTACTACTGAGTACTACTACTACTGTCTACTACTCTTAAACAAAAAACAAAATCATACCCAGCCCTTAACGTACTACTGTCAAATTAGGGTAGTAATTTTTTCCCCACCAGAGAATTCACAACTGGTTAGTTTCCCCACCCCCATTGCTAGCCCTTTGCACTGAAATGAATAAATAACCTTGGACCTTTTTCTCCTCCTCTGGGAGCTATTTGGTGTCCCCTGAGGACAAAAGTAAATGAGAAAAATGACGCTGTTAATAATGTCACTGCCGAAATGCCTCTACTCCACTGTTTAAAAAAAAAAAAAAAGCATCCCACTAAGTGTGTCTACATTTCTAGCATATTTACAAGTTATAATACAGTTCTGATCTCAACACCAACTGAGCCAGATTCCTCCACTAAGGTTATCCGGTTTTCACTTCTCAACAGAGATGAGGCCAGTGCATCAACAGAGATTCCCAACACTGTAAGACACTTGCTTCACAGATTACAAAGTCAGCAGTTGCCCTGTAACTTTTGCATGATGTATTTTAAACTTTGAAAATAGAGGTAATAGTTGCCTCACTTATCCACAATGTTACAAAGGTTCCATATACTCTCTCACACAGTGTCTCTTGTCTGCTGATATTGAGAGAGTTGCAGTTATTGCTCTTTTTCAAAATAGCTGACCTATAAAGTAAAACTATATGACCATTTTATTTCTACAGGTAAACTGGCTTCTATTACCCATATACACATGCCTTGTAACATAGGAAAACAGATGGGTTTTTAAGACAGGTATAGAAAGCTCTGTCCAAAATGGCTAAGTAGTCTTTACATTCTGTATTAAGTATAAAAAGTGCATGGCAGAGCAACTCAAACTTTCTGCACCCCTTTCTCTCATTTCTTCTTTGAAAACTGCATAACAATGCATAACAACAAAATTTCAAAGTCAAAGCAATGCATAACAACAGAATTGTGCATTTTAATTTTCAAATTAAAATTTAAGAAACAATTTTGTAATTACAAAGAAAAAACACAAACAATTGGGCCTAAACAAAATATATGTTCAGTAAACTTTATCTCTGAGTGTATCTGAAATTTTAACTACACAAGCCAATAAATTTCAAAGCAGTAATATTATCAAATTGTGTAATGTCAAAAACTCCAAAAACAAAGTTACAGATGTTCATGACATCACATTCACTCAAAATTATGCTGCTGTTCAGTCTGACCATATTAAAATTAAAGGGATGCCTATGTCTGCTAAAGAATAAAAATTTATTTTGGACCTCAAACAATGAAACCGTCACCATTTCTTGTATGGAACACTCAGCTAATCAATTTCCTATTAAAATAGCTTTCAACAATACTTGGCTTTAAAATTCATCAGGGCCAGTAAAAACGTTTTCCCAGTGCACAAGAATGCAGTCCCAACCACCGATGATAATTACTGTTCTAATAATTTTATTGCCAAAGTACTTTTTCCTGTGTTCCTCATCACTTAGGCAGGAATCTGTAGTATATTGCGTCAGTGAGTTGGAGTGCTTGACCTTTGCCCACATATGATTTAATAGGGACTTTTCAGCGCTAGAGCTTTCTCCATCTCTCATACCATTAAATGAAAACATCAAACCTCAAATGTAAAACTGGAAACCACAACGTTTTGTGTTTCACAAACTCTTTGCAGTTTTTACTTAGGATGCTTAAAGGTCAGTTTCTTTGCCTCACAATGCTTTTCTTCATATTGTAAATACACTGGAAAGTCACACTAATTCTGATTTTGATTAAATCTTGAACTCCTCAGTCATATACACACATACACCCTGCTTATTTACACGTGCATTCTTTTCTAACCACATAAGCATGCGTGTGTTACTTTCTGGACTTATTCCATTTTAGGGCTGATTTAAATGTCTGTTCAAGTGTGGGATCAAAAGTTAACTTTTTCCCGCCTATTGGAAGTTAAAGTTACAAGGATGGTGCTATAAGATCCGTTCAAAGAAAGTCAGAGTTAATCTTGTGTATTTTGGCGCCTTTTCCCTGCCAGCTACTGTACTTGGGGGGTGGGGGAAAAATACTTAGAGATCTTGTCTGTCCTGTCTCAAGTTCAGTGGCAGTTCTTCCAACCCGAGCAGAAGATGGCCATGTTCACAGCCCTAATAATAATTCTGATCACGCCACTTCAGCATCTTGTGTCAAAGTCGAAACTGGCTTCCCCGCCCCCTTCAATCTGAAAGCTGCCAAGTCCTCACACACTTCACATTCAACCACAACTTAATGGATGGGATATTGTGCATTAAAATGTGTCTCAGACGTATTGGGGAAAAGAAGACAAGGAGAACGAGAGATAGAGACACACATAGGAAGAGGAAAAAAATCGGCAGCAAAAATAGCGGGGTTGGGGGGAAACTATTAACAGGAGTGGAAAGAAATCCATCAAAATCGGTTTTAAAAAGTTGGTGGGGGGTGCGGAAGAAAGGCTAACAATAGGATGCCACAAATTCAGGGATGAGGGGATGGGGGTTAGGACTAAACTTTAGAATGAATACTGACTTTAAACATTCCAACACACCAATCAGAGTTAAATAGTACTTCTTTCACTTAAAAATGTATTTTTAAATGAGAATATCTGTGAATTAAAATGGAGAAAAGAATGCTTCAAGAGGAGAGAATGGCCTACAAGGTAGAACTAAAGTATCATTTGAACAGTAATTTTTTTCCACCACTGAGGGGAGAGGGGCATAAAGCAGAGAGTTAAAGCAGAACAAAATGCTAGATTCTGCACCGTTTGGACCACAATGTTACTCACTGATTCCCGTCATAAGAGTGTGTCACATGTACTAAAGTTGCCAACGCTAAATAATAATGCATATTTGCAAATTAGTTCTGCAAATGCAGCACTATAGCCCACAACCTGTAAAACAAAAATGACATTTAGGAAAGGGGTAAAACAGCCACTTTGCAATCCACAAACAGGAAAAGAAAAACTGTGCCAGGGATAGGAGGGGGTGCAAAGAACGAATAAAAGAAGCAAACAAAACCCATCAGTTCAAAGCCACATACCATCGCACTGTATTGCATTAAATAAAAGAGATCTTGAGTCTGTAACAGAACCCTGGGCCGCTGACTTGACGTGTCTCAGGTACAGATTTGTGGATTTTCTCAGGGGTTGTTTTGGTGTCGCTTTTTGTGTTTAGTTAAAAAAAAAAAAAAAAAAAAAAAAAAGCAATCCGGGAGTAGTCTTATGTATTTTTTAATTGTAATTTCTGCACTGCCACAGTTCTTGGCCCGAGAAGAAAAGGCGGTCAAAGTCAAGTCTAAAAGCAGGCAGCCCTTCAGTCTGTCTGGATTTCCAGCTTTCTTTCCTCTCCCTTGCAGAAGGCTGTTTCTCGTGCTTGACTTGAACGCCGTCCAGGATGGTGTGTGTGTGTGCGCCCGCGTGTGCGTGTGTGCATGTATGTGTGTGTGTGGTGGGTTTTATTGTTGTTTTAGCGGGGCTGCTCCAGGAGTGGGGCTGCGCCGGTCAGATGCAGCCGGCACGGCCCCGGGGTCGCGCGATCGCCCCTTCCCCGCCCTCGGATTGGCCTGGCCCGCGGCGGGGCTGCCCCGGAACCGCCACCCAGCAGCGCACCCTTCCGCGCCCGGCCCGCGCTCCTCCTGCAGTCGCCTCCCTGGCTTTCTCTTTCTCCGGCTCGCGGCCCGCCCCGCCCCACCCTACCACGGCCGGCCTGGGCGCGCGGGAAGCGCGGCTCTTCGCTTCCGCCTGGCGGCGGGAAGGAAACCGAAAGGAGGAGCCGGGGGCGGGCGCGCCGCGATGCATATTCATCAGGGCGCCCGGGACCCGGGAGGCGGGAGCGGGCCCGAGTGGGTGTGGCGGCCTGCGCCGCGCGGCGCCCCTCTCGAGCGTGGGTGGGTGCGTGGGTAGCGGTGGGGCTCTGGTCTTTGTGCGGCCGCATGGGGCCGGAGAGCGGCGAGGGCGTGACCGTCTCGGGGGCTGCTGCCCAGGCTCCGCGCGCCTTTGTGCTTCCCGACCGTGTGTCTGCGGCGCGCCGCGGGCAAGGGGCCCCTCGCCGGCCTTCTGGAGCAGGAACCCGGCCGAAAACGCCGCGGAAAGACTCTAAAACAACAATAATGATAAAGAATAAGGAATTGCTGTTACTTCCTCACTTCCCGCCACGTTGCTGGCTTCAACTTCGCCAGGCCACGTTTGTTTCCGTGTAGGAGGACTCCCGAAATGTTCCTGGCTGCGCAGCGTTATCATTAAAGCAAAAGGACCAGAAAGAGCGCACTTTGACTTATATTGATAGGTAGTCACGCGAATATCAAAAAAATAGATCAGTAATTTAGAAGTGGGTGAAACAACCAACACCAAAGAGATAATACAACCCCGGAGTTCCCAGAAGTAAACACTCTAGAGGAGATTGGATAGTGAGTTAATGTTCATAAAGCAAGCAGTTTTGATCAGCATTTTGGAAACAAATATATGTAGGGGGATTTTTTTTTTCTTAGTTTTTGAGTAATGCAATTCTTTTCATGTTAAGTATCTGTAGTTATGTCGGGAAATAATGTTTAACAGTTTAAATTGTTATACAAGTATTAAAAGTAAAAATATAACACTAGCCCTAACATTTACTTAGTAGTAACCCACATACATTTAGAAAAGATTTTATTACAGAGATCCTGACTAATTATGTAATTGCACAACAGACGACGATAGCTTCAGGTATTCTCTAAAAACCCTGTTGAATTATGTGATTACCAGTGAGACTAGAATAGCTCCCGATGAATTATTCTTATCTCTCTACTAAATGTGAGCACGTCAGTATTTTAATCTCAATTATGTTTACCCTCAAAGTCCTAGAGAACTTAAACGACATTGTTCGGGTTCATACCTCCTACAACACGCAGTATTTTTTTTTAAAAAAAGGCATGGCCTTATTACCAAAAAAAAGTTTTTTCCCCTTGTATACACATCATACATACGTTTGGCTGTGTGTGAATAATATACATAGCTATTTTCAGTGATAATAAGTGCAAAACTAAAAGTGGGATTGGCCCAATTAGACTTTAGAAAATGCCCAACTTTAAAATAATTTGTCTAACTGCAAGTTTAACAGTTCCCAATTTCTCCTCCAAAAAAATTAGCATATACAGCTTGGAGAAGGGGAATGAATGACTGGGAGGGAGGGGATACACACATGTAGCTATCTCCACACTCAGCTATAACTTCCCAAGGAAAATTAATTTTTAATGTTTATCTTGCTCCAAGTTATTGTAACCACTTAGCGAGTATAGCTATAACTCAGTCTCCCCACTCAGTTCAAGTGGGTAACAAACAGATCTGTTTTCATTCTAGGATTTCCAAATAGTAGTTTCATGGTCAAGTAAATCACATTTAGTACTAAGGAAACAAATATAAAATATAAAGATTCTATGCAGCTAAATAAAAAATTTATTTAGAGTGAGAGGATAACACTTGACCAACAGAAGAATGATGGATATAGAAATAAGTAACATGTAAGTAACACTTGCATGGGCAGTGTTATCAAATACTAAAACTTTTATGTAAGTGTGCAACAGAAAGTCTTCTCTGTTATTATTTGAAGTCCGCAGCAGAATTACCAATCCCTCCCAATGTCATTACATGCAAAGGAGAAAGGACATTATAGAGAGAATCTAGATTTGTTTAGGAAATATTTTGAGACACAAAATAGGAAAAGGAATAGGGAAAGAAAGAGAAAAGTATTTCCTCCATTCTCATGATGACTTGGAGGAATCCAGAGTTTGTATCACCTGTCAAAGAATTTCTATCTAAGCATTTTATTTAGTCATAAAATGTACCATTGTGTGTCATGTTCAGGCTTTCATATATTATCTTTTTTTATTTGGATGTCTGTTTCTTTTGACATGTGAAGCTTATAATGATACTTATTCCTATATCCAGCATTCTTCTGTTGGTCAAATATGTACACATATTATCATTAGATGATACCTAAGGTTTATAAAATAGGGAGACTGATTTTCAAGCATGTCTTAGAGAAATTGGTCTTGCTAATTTTTAGTTACCTCAACGTGTTGTTGCTTCTAAATTTTTTAATTGGTAAATAGTTATGGTCTTTTAATCTACAACGTCGCCTGCTTTTCTGGTTTTTATATTTTGCAATGTAAATAAATATGCAAAAAACTGAGAAGTGTTTTGAAATAGATGCTCCTTTTTAAATGAAAATTATCTTGGTTGAAAGCCTTTCTAAGAATATAATTAAGGTCCAGTATCTTTTTATATTAATCTTTTGTTATAAATTATAAATAATTATTCATTTTTTAAAAATAGCACTGTCCAACACTAGTTAAGCATTTTGGGCCTCTGGCACATCTAACTGAGTGATTCCAGTGTTTTTAAATGACATTTTTTTCTGCCTTAAGTTGCAGGCACAATTCATTCCATAGAACTTACCAGAAGCTTCACAAATACACTTGCAGTTAAGATTTTTCTGCTTCTTCCTAAAGCCAATTAACTGGTAATGCAGTTTCTGTATGTTGTCTTCAAATTAAGAATTTTAAAAATGTACTAGCAACATCTGTGTATATTTATCTTTGAGAATAATCACTATATAATTATTTCTAAAAGGCTTGCATTATTACAATGCTTTATATCATAATTGAAGTAATTCCTCTACCCCATCTAAACCAGTAATTTTGAGTCATTACCCCAAAGGTGTTTATTTTGTCTTACTTTTCTATTTCTCAAAAATAGAGAAAGTGTGTTTTAATTTCTATGATTTTTATATTATTAAAGGGTACACACTGGTTTATTAGATTTTTATATTTAGTCCATTATTATACCAGAATTTGTGCAAATTTAAAGTATGTAATAAAGATAGTGGCATATTTAGGATGCAATACTAAATAAAACATATACCATCTTTTAAAACAATTGGATATTGAAAAATAATATTTTTAGAATTTAAAAAATACATAATGTATTTTTGAATATGAACATATAAACACATTCTTTTAAAACAATTGGATAACTATTTTTAGAATTTAAAATGCATATTGTATTTTTAATATAAATTTGGAAAGATTCATATTTTTTATTGCCTCAGGCAATAGTTTTAAATATTTCCTAATTATATAAAAATAGGGAGGCTTAAATTAGGACATTTATAAAGTGCCAAATGTTGGCATTTTGTCAGATTTCATTAGATGAGAGCTGTCCCTGCACTACTTTTATTCAGGAGAGGAGAGTGCATGTCTAGTGTATTGTCCTGTAAGAGGAAAACCCAGGCATAAATAACAAGTCATGGTAATAATTTGTATTATTCATTGGTTATAGCACTCTTCAGCTGTAATTCATTATGCCTCTTCTTTAGATATTGATGGTAAAAACAAATGCGATACCATTCCTACAAGACATAGTCGCCCATCATAAAGAATTATATTTGTGGAAAAGACTTCAAGAAATTACAAGATAGGCATCTGCAGTGGAGTTGAAACACCACACTGCCCAGGACAGGCACACTGGGTCATTTTCTAACCATTGAGAGTATGGGTACAAAAATAAATATACACATGCAGTGTTCCTTCTTTCACTAACTACATGCTGCACCTGTGCACACATAGATCTGATGACATCTTCTAACATAATAAATCTCAAGTGGTTTGTGGTGTCATCAAAAACCTGAGATGGTGGTATGGCTCATAGCCTTACCAACCCCCGGCTATGGCCTTGTTAAATTTCACAAGCTAAATAGAGACAGACTCAGACTTATTCCATGCACCAACCAGAGGTTTTCAAGAGCAGGTTAAAGTGGTTTACAGAAAAAAAAAAAAAAAAAAGCCTGCAGTTATGACTCAATGTGTGAAAAATCTGCTCTCTGATTCAACAGTGGTAAATCCAGGATGCCTTCTAGCTTTAAAAAATAATGTTTATTGCAATTGTTATGAATTCTCAGTTTGAAGTATCAACGATTTCTTAGCCTATTTATGTTTTTAAGACTTATAAAAATACTATGAGCAATTAATCTTCCTATCTTGCTTACTCACACTTTTGTGCAACTTTAGAATTTCAACCATCAAAATGCCCTTAAAAAGAAAACAATAAATTGGAATCAATTTCAGCTATAATGATTAAATTGAGCATAAAAAAGCAAGTGTTTTCTGCAAAAAATTTCAGGATATTTTATGCCATATTAAGGTTTCTGAAACAACAGAATTACTAAGGTATTTTTTTTTTAACCATTTTCAAAAAACAGAGGCATCTGGCAATCCAGAAATTAGTGAGGCAACAGGATGCACGAAAGCGCTAGACAGTCTACTGATCCTTCAGTATAGTCCTGGCAAAAGACCATCCTGCCTTTTGCTCAGTGAGGCCACATTCAAAAGAAAGTCAATGTTAATTCCCCTATATTCAAATCCTGTGGCCAAATGTCCCCAGTGTCACAGATTCCTGTTGGCATATCTAGAACATGTTGATATCATTTCAAGTTGCCTTTTACTTAAAGAAGATCAATAACTATATTTTGTGTCTATATTCCGTAAGTAAGAAATCGTAGGTGCAGCCCAGGGAGTAGAGGAGGAATTCATTCCTACTACAAACACACATTGCATGCTTAGCATGGGTCTGGACCTTGGGCTGGGTGCTGCCATACAAGTATAGATAGGTTTTTGAGGATCTCTGCATTCGTGATATGAAGGCCTTCTATTCTGTTGTGCTAATATTTTCCTCCAAATTTGTTTAGAAAAGAGTAGCCTTCCCATGGGGTGTTTTGAAAACCTTCAAATAAACTCTAAATAACAACCTGTGGTTTTCTGCTCACTTTGCAAGCAGCTGATGTGGGCTTGTAGAATGAAAATAGTGTTCATATAGAAACCAAAGAAAAATGTAATTAGGGATGATAAGTCAGCTGCCCTTCTCATCCCACTTCATCCACTAAAACAAAACAAACCAAAACAAAACCCTCCTATAATATATTCAAAAGTCAAACAAACAAAGTTGGGAAAATTTTGATACCACTATGGTTCATGATGTGAGAAATATTTTTGTAAACAGAAGAAGAGAGAAGGGAGCAGTGGTAGATGGAAAAATTCAGGCACATAGAATTTACCTAGCACCCAACCAGTACTGCTTTCTTTTACCAACTTTTTGTTCGAGGATGATTGACAAGCAAATATGGAGGTCAGAATAGAAATACAAGTTTTAGGAACATACCTAAAGTCACTGCCTCTGCTTTTTTCTCTTCATATCTGGCACCTTCTGAATTGCTCCCCGCCTTTTTTTCTTTTGTGATAAGGTCTTACTCTGTCACCAAACCTGGAGTGCAGTGGTGCTATCAGGGCTCACTACATCCTTGACCTCCAGACCCAAGGGATCCTCCCACCTCAGCCTCCTGAGTAGCTGCCACCACAGGTGTGCACCACCATGCC
The DNA here is from genome assembly GCF_000001405.40 of Homo sapiens. Taxonomy (NCBI): domain Eukaryota; kingdom Metazoa; phylum Chordata; class Mammalia; order Primates; family Hominidae; genus Homo; species Homo sapiens. The sequence goes on from NC_000009.12 coordinate 14,328,304, forward strand.
TGGCTAATTTTTTACATTTTTTTGTAGAGATGGGATGTAACCATGTTGCCTAGTCTGGTCTCAAACTCCTGGGCTCAAGTGGTCTTCCTGCCTCAGCCTCCCAAAGTGCTAGGATTATTATAGGCGTGAGCCATGGCATGGGGCCCTGAGCTGCCCTTAATATATATATATATTTTAACCATTATCTTTAATTTTTTTTGGTTATATGAACAATAGTAGAGATACTTTAAATGAACAATTAACAAGATAAAAAAGATATCCACCCACAGTCCCATCACCTAAAAAATTTGTTTCATGTGCATATATCTGGTATCTGCTTATATGTAATATATATATATATGATTGCATAGTTATAATCTTAAAATGAATATAATTTCATTTCATAATTTTTCCACTTAATTTTCTATTTGTATTGTTGATATTAGTGAATGGTCACAAAATTGTGAAATTAGTGACAAATGGTCACAGAATTGTAAAGTTGTTAAAATTAAAAGAGACTTTTGAGACCTGTAGATAAGAGATTAAGAAACAAAACTGGAACCAACTTTTGTTTTTTCCCTCCTAAATTTGTAATGTTGATATTTACTGTTAACATTTAAAACTTGATATATTTTGTTGAAAAATCTAGATATTTTGCTTTTTTTGAAAAAGTGGAAGGTGAGACTTTTTGGGCAAGTGTTGCACATAACACGAAGAGTTTGGAGTGGAGTAGCAACTGCCCCCTTTAGATGGGGCTTGGTCTCCACAGTCCCCTTTGCCCCTTCTTGTATCATATTGGCCTGCTTTCCTCACTTAGATTTCTGACTTGCTTTCTATACCCCTAAGTGTACAGTTCTTGATCTAGATCAAATGCTCTTCTTATAGATGAAAAACAAAGTTCAGAGAGGTAAAGTGACTTACTTATGGCTGCTAAGCTAGTTAGTTGCAGTGCCAGCATCCTAAAGGACACCTCCTGACTCTAAACAAGCACTCTTTGTATTAATGTTTTTTTCAGAGCATGTGGGGAAGGGGCTTCTGTGTGCCAGTATGAGCAGCCTCACCATAACTACTGTGACCACAAGCTCCTTTATAGACTGAAATGTCCCAGGATAGCCACTCATCACCTTTTATGCTCCAGGTCATAATTAACATTTGATGTCCACATGCCAAACACCTGACCCCCCTGCAAATCCTGGGCCCACTCACAGTGAGTGACTCCTTGTCTTTCTCTTTTTCTTTTTTTCTTTTTTAAGACGGAGTCTCACTCTGTCACCCAGGCTGGAGTGCAGTGGCGCAACCTCGGCTCACTGCAACCTCCACCTCCCAGGTTCAAGCAATTCTTCTGCCTCAGCCTCCCGAGCAGCTGAGACTACAGGTGCGTACCACCATGCCTGGCCAATTTTTGTATTTTTAGTAGAGATGGAGTTTCACCATATTGCCCAGGCTGGTCTCCAACTCCTGACCTCATGATCCACCCGCCTCAGCCTCCCAAAGTGCTGGGATTATAGGCGTGAGCCACCACGCCCAGCCATCTTTCTCTTATTAAAAACCCAGTAACAGGCCGGGCACAGTGGCTCACGCCTGTAATCCCAGCACTTTGGGAGGCTGAGGCAGGCGGATCACGAGGTCAGGAGATCAAGACCATCCTGGCTAATACGGTGAAACCCCGTCTCTACTAAAAATACAAAAAATTAGCTGGGCGTGGGTGGTGGCACAGGCCTGTAGTCTCAGCTACTCGGGAAGCTGAGGCAGGAGAATCACTTGAACCCTGGAGGCAGAGGTTGAAGTGAGCCAAGATCGCGCCACTGCACTCCAGCCTGGGCCACAGAGAGAGACTCCGTCTCAAAAAACAAAACAGAAAACAAAGAAACAAACAAACGAAAACCAGTAACAGAATGCAAGTGAGGGAGGATGATCACTTTATGGGGATAACATCAAATATGCTCTAATTGATAAAGGAAGTACCTAACTAAAAAGTTAAATACTTTATAATATTCTTATCTGACATACCTCACAGAAATGTGATCATGTGCTAAGACCCTAGTAGAGAATCATCATCCTAAAAAATATAAAGATTCCCTCTGTACAGAGACCATATTTTCCGATCACTAAATCAGAACACATGGTGCAACCAAGCATTTTTTTTTAAATGATTTTAAGATTTTGAAAAGTTTTGAAAAACGTTTTTTAAATAGTTTTTAACCGTGTTTTAATAAATCCATTCTATGAAAATAACAAATGTATACCATCTAAGAATGATGATCCATGTCTGTTGTAAAATTCTTAGAAATTTGCCTAGAAAATGGGATTTGATGACAATCACTGCCATTTCATCATCATAAGCATCCTGTGTAGTTTGTACTTGCAGTGCTTTGTTTTTTTAGACAGAACACCACTCTCTAGGTTTTGCTCCCAAATGGAGGTAGACCTGAGGACACACATAGAGTGCCACAGAGTCAACACGGTGAATAATTGAGAAGCTCGTACATTATGTACATGTTGAGTCTACAGTTACTCTCTTGGTGGGTGAAGAAGAGGTCCATATTCAATCAGGCTCCAGGCTCATTCATAGATGTGATCTTAATGGCCCATATTCTAATGAAAGCACCCTGTTAATTGGGCAGCTTGGGCTCTCTACTTCATATATAGGAGTCCAGCCCCTCTGTACTGAGTTTCCCCGAGGTCTAGATATGCAAGCTTTTTCGGGGGCATTTTAAGTGACTACCTACCAGCCGGATCTTCTCTTCTGTGACCAATTTAGGCCAATGGCAGCACTTTAATTAAGCAAGGCCTCCCTGGGGCAATGGTTTCTCCCAACTTTAGATTAAAAGTACCATCAAGACAAGTGATAATAATTACTATTTACTGAGGTCTCACTATGCTTCCGCCCTGTGCTCAGTACTGTATTTCATCTAAGCTCTTTTAAAGACGAGGCACTGGAGGTTTGGAAAGACTGAGTAACCAATTGAAGGTCAGAGCATTCATGATCCAGGTCATTCTAATTCCCAAGCCCGTTGCCATAGCTTAATAGTTTATGCAGCAAGGACATGAAACTACTAGATGAATGGGGCCCAGTCACAGGACTTGCCTTGGAGGCTTTCCACTATGCCTCAAAGCATTTTTATCACTCTTCTTTTGAAATTGCCTTTTAAACCCCAGGCACATTCTTCTAAATATTATCAATAGGGTAGATCTTCCTCCTTTGAGTGTGGATTTAAGTTTTGGATATAGCCAGGATTCATTCAATACCCTGTGGGGATTAAAGAACTTATCAAGCTGGGTAAACCAGTTTGGGTTGAAAACGAGGCATGTCAATGTAAGAAGGTTATATTCATTCTCCAGTATGTTCTGAAAGTAATGGAATATAGGCTTTCAACTTGGACCTGGAGGCATTGACTTTTTGGGTTCAAATCCTGACTTAGCCACGCAAAGGCTATGTGACTCTGGACAAGGCAGGTAATGATTCTTAACCACGATTCCCTTACCTTCGAAAATCATGCCTGCTTCAGTGTGGTTGTTTGGGGATCAAAATTTTTCATTTGTCAAAATATGTAGGACTGTTTCTGAAACATAGTCCTTTCTCAATAAATATTTTCTGAATCTATATATCGATTATTACTTTTCTTTGTCCTCGTTCTTCAAATAGGGTGAGAGATGATAAACAAGAATAGATATGGTCTGCGACAATGACCAGACTCCAAGCCTCTCTGAGTGCCCCTAGGCCTGTGATAGCATTTATTTGCAATTATAGTTTAAAAACCAAGAGGAAGCCAGGTGGGGTGGCTCACACCTGTAATGCCAGCACTTTAGGAAGCCGAAGCTGGTGGATCACTTGAAGTCAGGAGTTAGAGACCAGCCTGGCCAACATGGTGAAACCCCGTCTCTACTAAAAATACAAAAACTAACTGGGCGTCGTGGTGGGCGCCTGTAATCCCAGCTATTCGGGAGGCTGAGGCAGGAGAATCGCTTGAACCTGGGAGGCAGAGGTTGCAGTCAGCAGAGATCGTGCCACTGCACTCCAGCCTGGGCAACAGAGCGAGACTCCGTCAAAAAAAAAAAAAAAAAAAACACACAAGAAGAATCTCCCTAGCTCCCTGATGCCAAGAGAGATGGATATAAAGTAGACTGTGTTGTAGTTTGAAGTTTCTGGGGGGCAGTTTTATCTCAAGGTTGCTTTTAGGTTTTTCCTAGAAAGGTAAGAAATTTAACAGCATCTTGAGCAACTGCATGTTCATAAATATTTATGGAGCACCTCCCCTGTGCCACGCCCTGTGCTCAAGTTGAGACGGGAGCAGTGAGGACCGGAGCAGTGTCCAAAAGGTGCTTTGGTGACAGGCATTGAATGATGCTGCCCAAATGCTAAGAATTGAGAACATATCAGAACCTACCAACACAAAGAGTGTTAGTCATCTATTGAAGAAGACGTCGTCACTTATCAGGCAACAAGTGAATGCCTGCTGTGCCCAGGAAATACAGTACGAACAAAACCAGTGATATTCTAGTGTGGAGGAGAGAGACGGATGGGGAGTGGGAGGGGAAAATGAGGCTATAGCTAACAGAAACATAGAGCTTGTGTGCTGTTGTTCTGAGGCCATGAGCTTGCCAGTCTGTTCAATGAGGTCGGAAGGGTGGTCTGATAATTCTAGAAGTCTTGCAGGAAGGCTTTTATCAAAAGAAGGAAATGAGAAGTGTGCAAAGCCTTTCTACAGCCTACAGTCAATCAGGGGTATTCAGGGGTATCTAGAGAGGAGACAGGATAGAGCAGCCTCCAAGGAACGCTATTGTAGAGCTTTGGCAGCTGATCTGGAACCACCTTGGTCTCTCCTTGGCAGCACCCTGCAAGCCTGAATGCTTTGAGAGATGTATGCCCTTTCACTCTGGCTTATGCTCACTTTCACAACACTTATGAAATACATTATCTCATTTGATCCTCCTAATAATCCTATATTACAGGTGTAATCTTGTCTCTTGTTTTACAGATGAGAAGATTTGTGTGCATAGAGAATAAATAAATCACCCAAGGTCAATAGCTTGCAGGTATCAGAGGCAGGATTTGAACCTAGGAAATGTGGTTCTAGAGCCTTAGCTCTTAGCCATGAATTATAAGCAGACTTTTTCTTCACCCCTCTTTCCTCATCCTCCCACTCAACAGAGTGGCTTGTACCCACCCTTAAAATCTCTTCTCCTTCCCTTAGGGCTCATTCTAGGCCCCACAACTCCCTAATGGGGAGACATATCATGGGCACCTTTATAGTTCAACTACTCCACACTATAGCCTGGTCAAAACTTAGTCACTGAAAAGAGTCACTTCAGCAGCCTTGGCCTAAGTCTTTGGATCCCTAAAAAGTAAGACCTAAGTGACTGCCTTGTCTCTCTTCCTGTGCTTTCGAAAAAGAAATTGTCGTGTGGTCATACCATTGAATATTATATAACACCGAGAAGAACAACCTTCTATATAATGTGTATCTAGGAAAGTATACATCACGAGTGTATAGCTAAATGTATTTTCCATGTCACCACCATACATCTTAAGAGATGAAAAATTATTGGCAATGCAGAAACCGTCTCCCAATCTCAGCAAATTACTAGCCCTAATATTCTTCCCAAAGACAACCGCTGTACTGATTTCTAACAATACAAACTTGTACTGCCTGGTTTTGAACTTTACATAAGAAAAAGCATACAATATTTACTGTTATGTCTGAATTATTTCGTTCAGCCTTTCATGTGACATTCCTCTCTGCGATTGCAGGTAACCGTGTTTTGTTTTGTTGTTTCCACATTGCAGTATGGAATTCTATTGTATGCATACAGCACAGTTTATCTATTCTGTACCCAACAAACCTTGGGTTGTTTCCAGTTTGAGGCCAATATAAATAATGGAGATATGAACATTGTCTACATGTTTTCTATTACACATATGTATGCATTCTTTTGGGGTATAAGCCTATGAGTAGAATTTCTCAGTTATAAAGTATGCCTGTGGTAAATTTTCGTAGACAATGCCAAATGGATTTCCAAAGTGGATGTAGTAATTTATACTCCCACCAGCAGTATATCAGTTTTAATTGCTTCACATCTTCATCAAGACTATATTCCAACGTATAGCAATATTTCCATGTGGTTTTAATTTGCATTTTTCAAATGACTGATGAGGCTGAGCACCTTTTCATCTGCTTATTAACCTTTTGGATATCCTCTTTGAAATGTCTGTTCAAATATTTTTCCCGTTTTTATTTGCACTCTTCTACCTTTTTCTTGTTGATTTGTAGGAGTTCTTTGTATACTCTACACGTGAGTCCTTTGCCAGTTTATATCTGTTGCAGATTTCTCTTCCTACTTTGAGGCTTACAATTCCACTCTTTTAATGTTGCAATATTTTTTTTAAAAAAACATGTTTATTCAGGTGTAACTGCCATACAATAAACTGCACATGTTTAAAGCGTACTAATTGATAAGTTTTGACATCCATATACACCCATGAAACCATTACCACCATCAAGATAGGCAACATTTCTATTACCTCTAAAAATGTTTATATGCCTCTTGGTGATCCCTCTGTCCTTTTCTACCTCCCTTACAACCACTGATCTACTTTCTATCATTATAGCTTAATTTGCATTTTATAACATTTTATGTAAATGGAATCAAACAGTATGTACTCTTTTTCATCTGGCTTCTTTCTTTCAGCATAATTATTTTGATATTCATCCATGTTGTTGTAACAATAGTTCATTTCTTTTTATTACTCATTAGTACTCCATTGTATTGTATAACATAATTTATCTGTCACCTGTTGATGGACAATTAGGTTTTTTCCAATTTTTGGCTATTACAAATAAAGCTGCTATGAACATTCATGTACAAGTCTTTGTATGGACATGTACTTTCAATTCTGTTGGGTAGATATCTAGCAATGGAATGTCTGGGCATATGGCAGATATGGCAGGTGTCTGTTTAACTTTTTAAGAAAATGTCAACACCGTTTTCCAAAAGTGGCTGTATCACTTCACAATTCCACCAGCAATGTATGAGAGCTCCCATTCCTCCACATCCTCACCAGCACTTAGTATGATCAAGCCCTTTTATTTTTAGCCATTCTAGTAAGTATGTAGTGTATCCCATTATCACCGTAGTATTTGTCTCCTTAATAAATAATAGCGTTGAACATCTCTTTATGTGCTTACTTGCCATTTCTATATCTTCTCTGGTAAAATATGTATTCAAAACTTTTTGCCCATTTAAAAAATTGGGTTGTTTGTTTTCTTACTGAATTTTTAAGTTTTTTGTATACTGTGAATACAAAGCCTTTATTAGATGTTTGATTTGCAATATTTTCTGCCACACTGTGGTTTTGCTTTTCAGTCTTCTAACAGGTTCTTTAGAAGAGCAGAATTTTTAAAGTTCGATGAAGTCAAAATTGTGGATTGAGCTTTTGGCTTCATATCTAAGACATTTTGCTTAATCCAACATCATGAAAGATTTTTTCCCTCTGTTTTCTTTCAGAAATTTTATAGTTTTATGTTTTATATTGAGATCTATAATCCATTTTCAGTTAAACTTTGTATTTAGTGCAAGGTATGAGTCAAAATTCATTACTTTTATATGGATATTTAATTGTTCCAACACCATCTATTGAAAAGACTTTTTTCCCCCACTGAATCGAGTTCAAACCTTTGTCCAAAGTCAGTTTTCCACATACATGTGGGTCTATTTCTGTTTTTCTATTCTGTTTCATTGATTTATTTGTCTTTATCCATGTCAATTCCACACTGTCTTAGTTACCATTGTGTCGTTATAAGAAGTCTTGAAATCAGGTAGTGTTAGTTCTCCAGATTTGTGCCTTCAATATTATCTTTGGATGAACTCTTCTGGTATTTTGTCTTGTTTTTAACAAGTTTTCTCCAAGAAACCTTGAATCTGCTCAGACCATGTTACAACATGAAGCTGCAATTAGCACCTGTGGATTTTAATTCCTTTATTCCCTTGGGCCTAAAAGTCATTTTTATTCAAAGATATGTTTTTATAAATGTATGAGCCCTGAAGGGAGTGGGATTGTGGTGGTATTTAACCAAATTATCATCAGCTATTATGGTAACTGACCACCAGCTGAGCACCTGACATTTTTGGAAAATGACTCTACAGACTGACCTCATGGGCCTGGGGAAACCCAGGTGGAAGGTGGGAAGGAGGAGAGCCACCTATTTATGGTAATGCTTACAAGTAACCAGGCATTGCTGGGTGTTTTGTATATAGCAACTCACTTTTTCTAAGATGCTTATAATCTCACTTCTAGAGATATGCTCTGAAGCTGCGGTCCATAAGCCTTTTCTGTAAAGGACTAGATATTTTAAGCAGGACCAGCTTCATGGGCATGGACCTGCGCAGTGGCCCAGAGCCTGTGCTTAGAAAGCTCCTGTGCTTGGTTTAATGCTCTGCAGTCACCACATCGAAACACTTTATTTATTTATTTATTTATTTATTTTGTGCTTTTTTCCCTTTTTATCTAAGTAAGAAGCGCTGCTGAATTTTTCAGTTGAAACTGGGCATTTTGTAGCCATAATGCCCAGATTTTAGGTTTTGCAGGTCATACACTCTCCGTCACAACTACTCAACTCTGCCAATGTTATACACAAAGGGGCCACGGACAATATATAAACAATGAGCCTGGCTGTGTTTCCATAAAACTTTATATATGGATACTGAAATTTGAATTTCATAAAACTTTTCCATGTCATGGGATATTATTCTTCTTTGTTTTTGTTCTTCCAACCATTTCAGAATGTAAAAACCATTCGTAGCTCTCAACCCATATAAGAGCAGTTAACAGGTTCTATTTGGCTTGTGGGTGATAGTTTTCTGGCTGCTACCCTAGGGAGACTCCTGCACATGTGCAGAAGGTAACATATACAAGAAGTTCTCAGTAGAATAGTCCATAAATGCTCCAGAGGAGAAACAAGCAAAAGTTCCCTCAACCACAGAATGGATAAATGCATTGTATTATTTATATACAACACACGGTTGAAAGAAAGAAGCAAGTCATAAAAGGATACATGCAGTATGATTTTATTTATGTAAAGTTCAAAAACAGGCATACAAAAGTGCTGAAATCAAAATAAAAAAGTAAAAGCAAGGAAATGATGGTGAGAAAAATCATAATAATGGTTACCTCTCAGGAGAGGGAGGTGATGGGGTGCGGACCTGGCAATGTTATATTTCTTGACTTGGGGTCATTATTGCATTGGTGTTTACTCTATATTCTTTGAATTAGACATTTTATGTGTATACTCGGAAGTGCACATCTCCTCACTTTAAAATTTCAGTTCTCATTTTCTAACCCTGAGTTGGCATTTGGAGCCCCACTGGGGTGGCGGGGGACACATGCCCAGGCCACACGTTTCCAACTTCCTAAAGCTCCTTTGATGTCATTTTGAAGACCTTTGGCATCCATCTGGCCTCGGGCTCCACACTTCCCAAGAAGAGTCTTGGCTTTTATACATTCAGCTGTTTTTCTTTTCAGTTTACTTTTGTTTCAGACACTGATGCTGTCTGCCAAATTCCCTCAAGGTCAAATCCATATTATTATGGGTTCCATTGTCTTGAAACCTTTCTGCTTATGAATTCTATGTTTTGTAATTTCAAGATGTAATTGTAAATAATTCAATTACATTAGACTGGGCAGTAAATGCATGTACTGGCCACTTTCCCTTTGTCCCTCTGTTCCTCGGTGTTGATTCTTTTCTTAATATTTTTACCTTCTGGCTCTCTATGTGTAGCTGTATGTTGCCATTAACTCAGGCAGGGCTAAATTGAAAGAAAAGAAAATACGTAGCCGGGCGCAGTGGCTCACGCCTGTAATCCCAGCACTTTGGGAGGCCGAGGCAGGCGGATCACAAGGTCAGAAGATCGAGACCATCCTGTCTAACACGGTGAAACCCCATCTCTACTAAAAATACAAAAAATTAGCCGGGCATGGTGGCGGGCGCTTGTAGTCTCAACTACTCGGGAGGCTGAGGCAGGAGAATGGCGTGAACCCGGGAGGCGGAGGTTGCAGTGAGCAGAGATCGCGCCACTGCACTCCAGCCTGGGTGACAGAGCGAGACTCTGTCTCAAAAAAAAAAAAGAAAAGAAAAGAAAAGAAAATATGTATTTGCGGTTGGAAAGGAAATGAGCTTAGGAGTAGAACAACTGGAGTTTGAACCTCTTTGCAATCTATCAGCTGTGTGTTCATAGCTAGTGACCTAACATCTGAGCTTCCCTTTATTTTATCTACAGAAGTGAAGGCTAATAATGAATACTGGAGAGAGTCATTGTGGGAAGTAGATCAGCAAAGATTAAACCAGAAAACATGTGAAATATACCTAGCTCATCACCTCAGCTACCGTGTGACTTGTGGTAGACACACAGTAATACATTAGGGTTTTCTCTTCTTTTCTTCTTTTCTTCCTTCCTTTCTTCCCTCCTTCCCTCATTCTTGTTTCTTTCTCTTTCCTTTATGTTATTACTTTTTTCCTTCATCCATCCATCTATCTATCCATCTCCCTCTCCTCCTTTCTCCTGCCCCTCCTTCCCCCCTTGGATCCCCCTCCCTTCTTTCCTTTCTTTCTGAACCTTTGCGATAGTTTTCCGTCTACTGTCACCAATCACGTTAACCCAGCAATTGCCTAAATAGAGAAAAGATGGTAGGCAGGTTGGGGACAGGAAAAATCAAAGATGGAAACATTCTGCTCATGAGCCTGGGAAAAGAGGACACACCATATTCTCCACTTTACTTGGCCATCCCATTTTAAACTTCTTGTTTCCCCTGAAACTCACAGGTTTGTTCAAATCTAGAAATTGCAGATCTGTAGCAAGTATCCTGTCAGAAAATGTAAAAAGCCTAGAAGAACTGAATCATGATTTTAGGGACAAAAATTGCTTTCACGTAAATCACTTGGAACCCTGTCTGACCTATTGTAAGCACTCAAAAATGTTGGCTATTATTACTATTATTGTTGTTGCTGTGATTATTATTGTTGTTCAGGACAACATCCCAGTATGTGCAACGGAAGTTGTAAGACTATTAGCTGCCTCGTTTGCTAAACGCACACCCAGGTTACAAAGAATGGCGATTCTTTGATAAAAGAATGGCTGATTCTTTGATCATTTCCCAATTTCCCCCGTTGTTTCCCCCTTAAACATTTCATTCTGCCTTTTCCAGAACAAACATCATTATAATCACTTCTTGTTCACATCTCTGATATCCCCATGGCTCTTGCTGCTCTCACTGGTAGTAGCAACACCTCTAAATTTACTACCATCTGCAAATATCATTAGCTATTGTTTATTCCCTCTCCCACACTATTAATGAAGATGTTAATTAAGACCAGAACTAACACTGACCCCAGCAGCAATCCACTAGACATTTATCCAACTGGATAAACTTCTGTTAGTCATTACCCACTGCTCATAGACATTACCACTACTCCATTCTCTTCATCTGCTAATTTGTAAGAGACTAGGGGAGAGAATTAAGGGAGCCCAGGATTATTTAAAAATTAACACCCTGATACTTGGGGTTTTGGAAAGGGATTTGGTAAAACATCAGAAAGACAGTCGTCAGTGGCATGCAGGAGTAAGTGAGCCAGCCTCCCAAAGTATTTGGTAATTGCCTGGCTAAGCTTATGGGTTTCTAAGAATTTAGGAATGCACCGTAAGGCTGGAGTATATAGAGTTTTCAGTCCAGCCACTTCTTCTTACAGATGACCAGACTGAGGCCCAAAGAGGTCAAGTGAGTTGTCCAAAGTTCACCTTTCTAGTTAGTGACAGAACCTGAATTGTAAAGTGGGGCTCTAACTTTCAGTCCTGTGCTGTTTGTAAGAACTTAGAAGCACTCAATCTTGCTTCTAGAGGTTCTGATCTGCGCATTAGCATTTTCCTACCACATTTTAACTTAAGGAGCCCAGTGCCTACCGACTTCATCTTTGTGTCTTCAGCAAACTGTCTCCAATAATAGGAGTTCATTGCATACTTAGTAAAAGAATGGGCGTTCTTCACCAAGAGGCACTATTCTCTTAAACTATAAATTAGAGTTCTCAACCCTAGCTAAACATTAGAATCGCCCAGGGGAACTTGTAAAAAAGAATACCGATGCCCACACCACACTCGTAGCAATTCTAATTTAATTGGATTGAGGAGAAGCCCAGGCACTGGTAACTTTTTAAAGCTCCCCAGATGATTCTAATGTGCAGTGGGGTTGGGAGCCAACTCAGAGGATAAAATGTTTTTCCAAAGACTCCTAAACTGAGAAGTTTCTTGTTCTATAGAAGGGGTTCATACAGAATGGCTGTAACTTAGCAAGTAGAAGCAAACTTTTCTCTCGAACAGGAAACTGGCTGCTCTTCAAACCTTTTCGTTGTGCAGAATGTGAATTACATTGCCAGCTCAGAATGATGTGGTTTGGAATCTATTAATCTGGTGGTGGTATTTATGCCTGGCATTTTTTCCAAACTTAACTTTTGCTCTGTAGGCAGTTGTGCCAACTTAAGAGTAGGGCTACCTCTCAGGTGGTCCGGAAATGAGTTACTGACTTAGTATAAAAACTGGCCTACTAGAAGTAAAGTCATGGAAAGAACAGAGGACTGACCAGTGTCGGGGTTGGGTGGGAGCGGGTGGGCGGTGGCGGTAGTGGTTCTTATTTATACGTTAATACTCGTTGTACCCATTGCAGTAACAAATACCTGTCTGCCATTGGTATGCCAATGAAGCCTTAGTAGATGAGGAATGTAGGTCAAAGACAAGATAAAGAAACACAGTCTCCAGCTTCTTCCTGGACAAGAGCCCAAGAAGAATGCAAGACAGGGCTTTGGAAGGCTTCAGAATCTGCTAGTCTTCTGGCATCACACGTTGTGGTCTTTTCCATTTGAGGGAAACATCCCTAAATGACTAAGTGCTCACCAGCACTCACAGCTGTCAGAACTGGGGAATTTAGAGTACCCGTGCTTGGTTGTGCAGGTTGTGGACTGCCCATGGGTACCTGGTGCGTGGGAGTTGAAATCTGCAATGAGAAGGGGTGCTTCCAGGAAGGATGGACAGCTCTCTTTGTAGTTTACAGAAAGGAGCCACATGGAAACTGGAATGCCCAAGGAGGGAGAAAGATGAAACAGGTTTCCACATCTATGTCATAAGTAGCAGAGGCCCTCAATGAAAACAGGTAGGTAGTAAGACAAGCAAAGAGAAGGATCAGAAGTGCTGGGAAGGGACTGTGAGGGACTGGCCACCTCCCCAGCACAGACTCCAGTGTCAGTGCCGCTCACTGGTTGCCAAGGCTCCGATAAAACAGGAAAATAGGACAGGAAGCCAGTGAAATGTGGAAATGGGGTATCTGTAGAATAGACAATAAGACCCATGGAAAAAGGAAGTCTGAGGTGGGAACATTTTTTATGTGTTCACTCTCCCACCAATTGAAGCTGGGGGCTCATCCATGGCTCACGGGCTTGCCAGTTGCTGTTACAACCTGGTTCTGCTTCTGGGGAAGACAAAGAAAGAGAGGGAATCTCAGCAACAGTCGGGCTAGGACAGGCATCTCCATCAGTGAGTGCTTCCAGATGCACTGATGTCTCAGCCCAAAATCCCACTCAAGAAACATTGCTTAGCTAGAGAGTGACTCCTCGGGAGGAAAAAAAAAAAAAAAAATCAGTCATTTTGACAAGGTCAAAATACCAAGAAAACAGCATTCCCAATTGGGAAGTTGTGGGTCAGGACAATAGTTCATTGGAACATACTCTTTTCTGTTTCTCCCTTCTTAAGCTTTTTGGCCATGGGGCAATTTTTAATATGTCCCCGAGAGCAAAAGCTCTCTGGGCCTGTGAAAACGTATACATGGCTGGATTATGGGTAAGGGTCTCTCTCATTAACCATTTGAAAATAAAGAACCTAGATAAGGGGGTAGAATAATGGAGCCAAATAATCCCACCCAAGAACAAATTATTTCAGGCAGCATTTGGCTTAGAAAGAGTAGACTACTATAGGGTCTGCAGTGTTTCATTACTGGGACTCAAGGAGCAACAAAGTTTCCCTTAGGAACTGAAAACTGGGGCAAGTGGCATGAATTCCCTTTGCTTACACCTTTGGAAAGATCAGGGGAAAAGCCAGTGAAATGAGAAGGAAGGAAGGAAGGAAGGAAGACGGGAGGCAGGGAGGAGGGAAGGGAAGGAAAGAAGGAAGAAAGGAAAGAAGAGAAAAAAGAAATAGGGAGGAAGAAAGAAAAAGAGGGAAGGAAGGCTCGTTTATTGAACCCAGGCTGCATGCCAGACATTACTTTTGGCTTTTTCATATATGCAATGCCACTTAGTTCTAAAGAGAACCCCAACTGTGAGGAAGGTGTAGCGGGCTACACATAGTCACCTAGCTAATAAGTGGCCAATTATATTCAAACCATGTGTGTCTGATTTTAAAACTCCTCCCTTCCTCTCTTGACAAGTTGTCACTACCAACTAAATATGCATCCATATACACATGTGTATATGCATGTGCATATGTGTGTTTTATAACATCGATGCTTCTTCATACTGCCCTTATCACCAAGCAACCAAACAATGAGGGTACATTTCCTATTTCTGTTTTTCATACTCTTCTCAGACTAAATGAGTTTTCTCCCTTCAGAGTTGCCCCTTATGTTGTTTTCATATGTTTTTGTCTGTATATTATTAAAGAAAGGAGGGAAAGAAAAGGGGGTGAGGCCAACGGAAATAATTTGTCCTGTTTCTGTTGCCTAGTGAGCATGGCCGGGGGGGTAGGGGAGTGGGTGGCGAGGGGATGCCACCATTTTGCCAACCCTGTACCACCTGACTGTGGGAATTCTCAGATCTGCTTTAGATAAACAGTTTAGTCCTGTTTTTCCCACAATCTTCTGACAGTTGAAATTTCCCCTGTTACTGTAAGTCAACCATCCTTGGAGAAGTTTCGTTTCAAGTAACCATGCTATACTTCTCTTGAAGGGGAATTGAAGACCTCTACCCCGGTGCCAGAGAACCCCCTACTTTCTCATTTTTCTCTAAGAGGAGGTGGAAATGGGCTGGGGCGGGGGAGAGTGCTTATGACTGAGGCTGCAGCTGCCCTCCCTATTGGATACTCAGCCTCACCCTTGCAGCCCAGTAGAGAGACGTGGCCAGGTTTTCCCTGTAGCAGACACAGATGCTTCAGAAGGAGTTGCTATTACAAAGGGTTTATTAAAAAAAAGTGTGAAAGGGATGTGGCTGTTGGCAGGGATGCTGGTTCCATGCTACAGCCTCTGCTGGCTGCAGTCTGGATTCTTGCCTTTCCTCCCTTCCCACTTTACAAAGGTTTAGGTTCACTTTATAAAGAAAAGCAATCCCCAGGCAAAAGTGTGTACAGTATTTTATTAAAGTTTGGTGGAGAAGGGAAAAGGAAGAAAAAGGCTGGATTGGGAGACAGGGAGGAGGGGGCTGGCCACAAGAGAGAGGGAGTGAGAGAAAGAGGGCAGGCATGCATGAGAGTCCCAAGCAGTGCCAAGAAGCAGAGAAAGGGCTGCTTGGGGACAAGGGGGGGTCGGGGGGGGAAGTGTGCCAGAAACCTTATAGAAAGAGAGCAAAGAACTGAACATGAAGAATGGTTAAAAACTGAAGTGCAAATGGACTTCAGCATCTTCCTGGCAGAGAGTGCTGCAAACAAAATACAAAATAGGCCACCGTGACAACTGGAAGAAACAGAAGTTTTGAGGAGGCAGTTAGGAGATGCTACAGAAATGGCCTAGCAAATAAGTAAATAAATGCCAGAGTATGCTAATATGCTGAGGACCTTTAAAGAGAGGGAGAGAGAGAGAGAAAGAGAGAGAGAGAGAGAGAGAGAGAGAAACACTAAGGTGCCTGAGACAGAGCGACATCAAGTGAAAGCAAAAACAACAGAGACAGACACACACATACATAGCCAGACCCCAAGAGAGGCACACACAGAGAGAGTCACACAGAGAGAAAGACAGAAAGGGCCGAGAGAGGGGGGTGATGGGGGTGCGAGAGTGGGGTGAGAGAGAAAGTCTCCAGCCAAATGCGGGAGACTTGGCAGGTCGACAGGAGCAGCCGGGCCAGGCAGTAACTGCACTTGCTGTGTCTAGTCTATTGTTGTCTCAGAAGGGGGGGGTAGAGGGAGTTGTTTGTTTGTTTTGTTGTTTGGCCTCTTTGTCTCTTTTGTTCCAAGCAGTTAGTTTGCTTCTTTCCCAGACACTGGGCTGATGGAAGAGCTTTATGGATTTTTTCTTAAAGGGACAGAATAAGCTAGTTCACCAGTATTATCGATTTCTCAGTCCTAACCAGTTCTACCTAAATGACTGGGTTTTTTTAATAGAAGGATCCTATTAATAATTGAGAGTCAGTGTTTATACTGTTTTGTGTGTGATTAACAAGAATAAACGGGTCGATTTCATCCTCCCCACTGAACCTCCTCCTACAGGGTTGCCAAGACTGCAGGGTAAAGAAAGGAAAGACAAAAAGGAGAAAAAAAATCCGTAACTACAAACAAAAGCAAATGAAGGGCATACATACTAAAAGAACTACCAACATACATTGCTACTTTCAAAAAAGAACAACATAGCCATCAAGATTAGAAATACAATCTTGAGGGTTTAAATAACCAGCAGAAGAGGGGCTTTGAAGGAAGAGGGGTGGTTGGGGCATTCTTCCCACACCCCTACAGCCTAGGCACTGCAGCTTCCACCTTCGGCCCTTCCCAGCATCCATCCTAGAGAATAAAAAGCCCAGCTCCAGGGGTTCTGGGAGTCCGTCTTGGGCCACTCTCCTGAGCTCGGCCTCCCTGGGGGAACTGGCCATTAACACACTTTCGCGGCGGAAGTGAGCGTGTTGAAGGGTACAGTCACTAAATTGAAAGGAGAGCTGCTTTTTATTCATTTGAGTAGAGGTAAGAGAAAGGGGCATCTCCAAAGCCTTTAACTTTTTGTTCCCACGGAGACTCCTAGCTTCCTCCTGTCCCAATAATTTAAATAGGTTCTAGTGCAAAGGAGGTAGCTTCTGTGGGAAATGAAATTTTAAAACATCCCCAAATTCATCTACCCTCGATTTTCAATTCCTCTCTAACCTTGCCCTAGAACACAGCCAGCTCTTTTTCTTAATCCCATCTTTCTCCATTCTTGCCTTAAAATCTCCCAGTGAAATCTAGGGTACCGGAGCTTAAAAATAAATAAATGCAATCAAAGGGTCTGAGGCTATGCGAAAGGTGCAGAGGAGTGGAGTAGGGAAAGGGAAGCAGGGGTTCCTTTGTGAACGGGATCCTTTATCTTCGAAGCAAACGCAAATCAGAGCCGTGCTTCTGCGCTCCGAAGTGCGGCTGCCACATTTGGAGAGAGCGGGCAGCGGCTAGCTCTGCGGGTTTGGGGGTGCTTCTCCTCTGCCCCATCTCCGTGGAGTTTGGTACTTAAAAGCCCAGTGTGTCAACCGCTCAGACTTGAAGGTGGTTAGGTAAAGAGTTAAGAAGCGAGGCGGCTTACACCCATAACTTTATCCTCCCCCTCACCTGTATTTTTCTCCCCTCACACCCCTCCCTCTTCAAACGGCCTTTCAAAGATGACTTAGGGGTTCCACGAATGTCGCTGCACGGTTTTGCTTCTCCTCGGGTGCCATTTCGAGGAGCCTAGAAACTTCCTGCCTTTCTGGTTGACCCTCCGCAGGGCTTTCTCTGACACCGCCATGGTGGCAACATGGGCCAAGTGGTACAGGGACCAGCCTAGCGGGTGGGAGGCCTCGCCTGTGGGCTGAGGAGGCACGACCCTGATCCCCGGCGCGCACAGTAGAAGCGGGACCTGTGCTAAGCCACGGGAAGGGGGGCGCGCCGCGGGCGCGGGGGGCGCGTGGGGCACGTGTTCACCCCAGCACTGGAAAGAGACTTGCGGTGGGCGCCGGAGTCAAGTCTCCTGATGTTCATGCGGAGGGGAGAGGATTTGTAGCCATCTTTGCTCTGGGTGGAGATTTCATATCCGCAGTCACACGAGGTAACCGACACCCCCCCCCCGTAACCTGAGCTAAAGGTAAAGGTGATCCTGAAACCGCTTGCCCCTGGGAACGTCGCTCCGGACGGGCGTCATCTGCCACGTGTGATAGGAGCCGTCTGGCCAAGTGGAAAAATCTAGGCTAAGCGCAGAGCACAACCCTGGCAGGGTCAAGTCCGATTTCAAGCCCAACCCGATGGGATTCAGAAAAGCCCGCCCAGCGTCCCCAGGCCCAGCAGTCCACGCCACACCGTCGGCGACGGATTTCGTTTCTATTCCCCGCACGCGCCCCAGCAACGCAGAAGGAGATCCAGTTTCGCCACAACGTTCCCGTTGGCTTGCTGGTTTGAAAGTTGAAGCCCCGGGGTAGTAAATTTGGCTACAAAATCTCAAATCTCGTTAATCCTAGACAAAATAAAAACATAATAGGCCACAAATTAACTAGCTTGGGGCGGTTTCTGTGATGGTCACCTGGCGGTGCGCAAGGAGTTATAGAACCTTGAGGGGGGGATCTTTTCTATCTCTAATTACCTGTATGTGTAAAGAACTCAAGAAGACGTCAGAACAGGGTCTCCTATCAACTGCTACCTATTGCTGTCTCGCAAACATCCCCCTAAACCCGCTGCATCGACAGCTTCGGGTGAGGGTGGGGTAAGAGGCACTTACTGTGAGGCCGAGCTCCCGCACGAATTAGCCTCACAACAGGACCTAGGTCTCCTAGGGAGACGAAACTAGGCCAGCGAAATCGCGGCCAGGGAGCCCCTGGCCCCCACTCGGGAGACAACCCGCCCGGCGCGAAGGGTGCGTCTCCTGAGCTCCACGCCGGGAGCTGGAAGGCAGGCAGACGCGCGAGGCTTGGGAAGGGTGGGATCTTAAAAAAAAAAAAAAAATCTTAAAAAAGAGAAATAAATTTGAACAAAACTAAACTACAAGCCCGCAGTTCCCCGCCGAAAGCGAGGTGGGGGAGGAGGGGGCGGGAACGGTCGAGGCACTGAGAGTGGGGGATGAGAAACGAACTCCGTCCCCTGCACAGTCAGTGCCTTCGGGGGCTCCACCACCGCGCGCTCCCACCCTCAAGGTTTGGACTCCTAGGGGAGGGAGAGGACGGGAGGGAGAGGAGGATAGGTGGAGGGGGAAGAGGGACTCCTTTTCTCCTCCTGCCAGCGCCAGCTGGGGCAAACTTGAGCTGGCAAAGCGCGAGAAAACTTTTCTTTGGAAAGTTTAGGTAGCGCAGTTAGTGGCGGAGGCTCAGGGCAAGCTAACAGTGCTGGGGCGGGTGTGGAGGGAGTGAGCTGGGTGCGATTGGGAGAGGGGAGAAGGGAGAAGGGAAGGAGTGGCCAGCTCCCTAGGCGGTTGAAGATCCAAGTCTCTTCGGTCAGGTCCGCCCAAGGTCCCAGAGGCACTGGGGGGTCGGGTGACTGTGCGGAGTGTAAAAGACATTTCCTTAGGAAACAGACAAGGCAGGGCCAGGAGTTCCGCGGTTTTTTTTCCGTGCAGAAATCACTACCCGGCGACGGCTCAGGGCGGTAGAGGGCAAGTCTTATCTGCCAAGGCGGGATTAGATTCTCTCGCCGAGGGTCCCAGTATCCCGCCGCCCAGCAAGGGCCGAGCGCGCGCGCGCGCCAGGGAGCTTTGGAGCGACGCGCGTAGTTTCGCGTCGCACGCGGTGTCTGGTCTCCGCGCACCACGTGCGCTCGCGGTCCTTGGCGGGGACGTTGGTGCTAGCGATCCGACAGAGCACCCAGGACTAGGTTTTTGTGATGCCCTAACCTGGGCATTTATGCTGGGGGCGGAACGAAGTCGCCCAACCCAAGTTCTCCCTGCACCCTGGGAAGGAAATGTGGTGCGCCCTCTGGGGCGTGAGGCCGCCGCGGCCCATTCTACACACCTACTGGCATTCCGCTTTTCCTTACTGTGCGCCAGGGGAAGGCATAATTCAATTATATCATACAACTGCAGCGCACCCTTTTCCTTTTTTGCTTTGAGGGGAATTTTCCAATTCCCAAATAAATACCTATGGCTCTAAAGCCGAGTTGGGTTCTGTAGTAACTACCGGGGGTGAAAAAAAAAAAAGACCCCAAATTGGCTGTGAGTTTACAGCCTGAAGCAGCTTATTTAGGCTCGCTGAGCGCCGTTCCAAACGGCAGGGCTCACGCTATTTCGGGAGAAGTTGGAGGGTGGAGAGAAAACAAGGTTATTTAAAGTGACTCCCAGAACGCAGCTTTCGTTCCTAGACTCTTTAGGTGTCAGTGCTTCGGCTCCAGTTTAGCACGGCACAGGCGGCCCAGCCTTTGATATTTAAGCCAGGCCAGCGCCCGGGTGAAACTACCTGTTGGGGGATTCTGCCGCCTGGAACCCTTCTTCTTCTGCGCAATACTGGCAGCAGTGGGATGGCTCTGGGGGTGCCACGCGAAGAGAGAGGGCGGAAGAGCCGGGAGCAGCGGACAGTCAGCTGCATGTGGCAGTGCCTAGCGAGCTGCTCCCGCGCCTCTGCTCGCTCTTTGAAAACTGGAAACAGCCCCCTGTGCTCTGTGCTGGGCCCCTGGCTGCGGAGATGGGCCCAAACTCGGCACGATTCTCTAAGTTCGGAAACCACGAAGCTTGCGCCTTCATGCGTGTCTAACATTAAAAACAAAAAAACCTCCTGGCGGCTTCCTGGGCTCCCGCCCCCACCTTGCGCTCCAACACCCGGCACTTTTCCCTGTACCGAAATTCACTTTACTACTTCTTGAAATTCGGAAAACTCCACCGACGCTTGGACTCGCTGCAACCCAGGGGCTGCCTAAAGCTCTCGCACGAGTTGCTTGAGGGAAATCACTCTCTGCTCTTGCGAGCAAACAGATCTCTGTATTTTTAAACAATCTAACTGAATGGGGGAGCGAAGCTAGCGAGGACAATTTGAGCAGTCTTTGTAGCCTGTTGGGAGAATTTTTGGAAGCTAGCGGGGTGGGGGTTTGGTCTCGCATGCGAACCTGTGGGAAGGACAGTTCAGGCTGGGCCCTGGGGCTGGAAGTCTCATTTGAGGAGCACACGGTCCCGAGAATGGCACGTATTTAACAACCTTCTTTAGGGCAAACTCTGCAACGGAGCCCGCCCGACATTAAATTTAGGGGGTGTGGAAGCGTAGACTGGGTTCAACCGGGAAATTTTCCCCGAGACGCCAAAGGCATTCCGCGTTATGTTTCCCATGCGGGTTTCTGCTTTTTGATAGCGAACCCCACTCCGTTTTGGGAGCAGCGAAATTTTGGAGAGCCCCAAAGCAGGGCTCGTTTGGGGTCCAAAGGGAAGAAAAGACTTGATCTGTGGCTGGGGAACAGCGGCACTTTATTTCCTGGGGCATGCACTTACATTCCCTACGGCCACAAAGCACCCAGCTGAAAACGAAATGTGGGCAAATATTAGGTAACTACGGAGAAGGAGGGAAGTTAGCCTCATCTTGTTTAGGATACTCGCTTTAACAGCGAGGACTGATGGGCTATGCGGAAAAAAGAATTTATTAGTGACAATTTCTTGCATAGGGATGAGAGTTGAGACTTCGAGCTAAAAGACGGCTCAGAACGCTTCCCGCGCGGCAGTCCCCCGCCTCCCTTAAAAAAAGTCATCCTGTCAATATTGGCTCTTAAGTCACACCCCCATTACCGGTCCACAGTGGCATTTCCCTTCCCCGTGTGCCCCTTTCTATACCCACTCATCTGGGCTTTGGATTGCCCATGATCTCTCCCTGCCTGGAAAAACTCGTGCAAACTTGCCCTTCACCAGGCACGCACGCACGGGTGGGCTTTCCCCAGGAGGGTCGTTTGGCGGCCCCGGGGACCCTCCTGGGCCTGGGAAACCCGGAGTATTTTCCAGCGCTCAGCCTCGGTGCCTCTGTATTATTTCGGTTCAGTCCCAGGGGCCCCGACCCAAGGATAATAAACAATGCCGCTTATTAGAGATACAAACGGGCACAGAAAAGAACCACACGGAAAAGCAAAGCACAGAGGCATTTTAACAAGTGGTTAGGCATTCAGGGCAGCCTGCGAAAGTGACGCAAAATTAAAAACGAAGGGCGTTTCTCTAAGAAAAAAACAGACTTTCACAGAATGCAGATTTTGTTAAAACATGATGGTTGGAACTACGTTTAGTTTGGTTTTGCCTCTGGAGATCAGTCGGAGTTGTTGCTACCTGCCCTTGCCTCGCTGCAAATCGCCACCCCCGCTGCCCCCAATTCCTATAGGGCGAAAGACCTGGGTGGGGTGGGGGGGGAAGTTGGGGGTCTTCTAGCTGTTGGCATGCTCTGATACCGTTATTCCAGATCTCTCAAGAATTGAAAACACGACCTCCTCTTTAGGGAGGGACAACAGGGGCTTTAGGGGGAGATGTATAATATCAGGCGCTGCCAGATGATTCAGAGATACAAAAAAAATTCCTCTTTCTTTTTAAAATGTAAATGCAGATACCTTATGGGCGCTGATCGTGAGAGTGGGGGCTAGGGATTCCTCCCTGGGTGCGGGTGTAACCAATTTCTGGTCTGCCGATGGCCTTGGGAAAGGGCCTCCCATCTGCTTCCAACAACCCCCTTACAATGTCAGAAAATCTTCCTGCCTGCAAATATTGGCACAAAGCTGTTTCGACAGGCGGTGCTGCTTTAAATAGGAAGGAGACCGCGGGGCAAAAGAAAGTCGCGACCTTTCTACCCACTAGACTACCTGCCTCCTATCCCCCAAAGGCCAAGCTTTGGCAAAGGAGACTCGGAGGGAAATCTCCCGTTCTGAGTGGCGTAGGAAATGAATCAGCTGTGTGTTCCAGGAACAAATCTTTAGTTGGTTTTCAGGAGTTGGAGTGCATAAAAAATAGGTATCCCCAGACTAGCTGCTAAGCAGGGAGAGGATCATGTTTGGGCATCTGCACCTCCTATGGTCCAGTCTCCCCACTTTTTTTGGTTGTTGTTAAGATAAAGTTTATGCTGGAAGAAACTTCAGAGGTGCTTTAGCCCAATTCTCTTGGGCAGTGGGTTCCTTCTGACTTTGCCGAAAGTAATTTGTCCAAAGGGCAGCTCTGCTCCTGGATCTGCCTAGGGAGGCCTGGTCTCAACAGCGCCAGCCCTGTGCCCCATACAGAACTCTCATCCTAGGGAGCTGGGCTAGGGCTGGCTGTGTCCGGGCCAGGGATGCCTGGACCTTGAATCACACCCCTTCTGCCTACCAAGGGCATCTCCCCTGTCAGGAAATGATCGTGGTGCCAACTGCACTCAAGGAACACCTCAAACCTTCTTTTCTCACCTCCCATCCTACGCTGATGGCCCTATACTGTTCACACATTGTTTCCTGATTTAATTTCTGTACTTGCTTTAGAACTTATTCAGCTATCTCCAGCCCTTTCTGTCTATCCTAGATGACAACTTCTCCTAGAAAGAGTTTCTGTCTGATGAACTCAAACTTAAGAAGCCTCCCTTGCAAAGACTGTGACTGAATTTTAGAAGGTATCTCAGGCATTTTGGGTGGTGAGCATGTTGTCCTGTCCTTCTCACCATTTTTCAAATCAAGTGGCTTGTGTCTCATTGCTTTACAGATAAAGAAACTGAGGCACAGATTCCTTCCTATGCAGGCCTTTGAAAAGCAGCTACTATGTTTACATAGATTCCAAGGGACTTGACTTACTAAAAGGCATACATGGATCTGAGAGCAGAGTGTGCCACAGACCCCGGGTCTCTTGATTTGAGGTCCCATTTGCCCACAGTTCTGACGGAAGTATATAGCTAACAATAAACTACTGTTGAGTGAGCATCAACTGTGCACCAGACCACGTACCATGCCAGATATGTTACATAAGTCATCTTTGCAGCAACGCTAAAGAGCATCATTAACCCCAATAAAATTTTAAAAATAAAATCATAAAAGGAACACATGCGTAAATCCAGATACTTCAAATAATAGAAAACAGCATAAAATGAAAGTAAAAGTCTCCTACCCTGCTCCGTCTCCTGGAATTACACTGATTTTTTCATTTTTTTTTGGTGATGTATTTGTATATATAATAGATGTTATCATTATTTTATGAGTGTGGAGTTGGGAGGCTCACCACCAAGATAACAAACCATGGCTACCTGTCTCCGGGCTCAGCACTTCCCGGTACTCTACATTAGCTAAGATGAACGTGGAAATAAAGAAGTGAGCGAGGCCACAGGTAAAAAGAAGAGTCGGGTCAGAATTGACATCACCGCTTCTTTTGCACTGTTCCTCCTGCCCCTGCCTGGCTCCTGAGACCACAGGCTCCCTCAGTGTATGTAATCTGATGATCTTCTATGGTGGCTGCATTTCTTCCAGGCCTTGGTGCAATTGGACAAGCAAGTGTTTCCATGCTCTGTCACCCGGGCCCTCAGTGCTGTTTCTACGCTGTACTAGGTCTGGTCCTGAGGCAAGCCTCTAAGCTTTAGATTTCACTGCTTATCTCTCAGCGTTGTTGAGAGGCTCCAATAACAGACAGGGAAAGGACTGTGTAAACTTGGAATCTCTCTATGTAAACATACAGCTGCTTTTCAAAGGCCTGCATAGGAAGGACCCTGTAGCCTTTCCCTCTGGAACAGAGGAGTTTCAGGAGTCTTTGTGAAAGAGTACGTTTTTGACATCTGAGGGTTTGCATTGTGTCCGTTTGTGTCTATAGGGGCAGGGTTAGGAGTATGTCTTAAAGTAGAAGAGGATGCTCATTTATTACTGAATCTTTGGAATCAGGAGACTTTGGCAAGGGTCAAGTGGATTTCTTTCTGCTGGAGGGCACACAGAGGCAAGCTGGTGGGGTTACAAGGAGGCAGTTATCCTGCTTGGGGTGCACCATGGGTTGGTGAGAATGGCAGAGGTATGGTGAAGGTGCTGCAGCCTGTCCCTTTGGGTAGGTAGCTACTACCAAAGGCTGTCCTTAGACTGTAGGGGCAGACAGAGGGTGGTGAGGGATAGGTCCAGGCCGCGTGAGCTTCCCAGACATGTTATTTAATTTGTGATTGTTTTTGTGCGTGGAAAGGGGAGGGATATTAGAGGATAGATGTGACAGTTCTTCTGGGAAGCTGGTCCTGTTCTATAGGGTTCTTCATTCAGGAAGAATAGCCAAAAACATCCTGAGTTCAGAGGCCTGCAAGTGAGAACAAATGGTGGACCACTGCTAGGGTGTCCTTGGCAGAGCGGGGGAGCTCCTGGAGAGGGGTCTCTGAACTGCTGCATCCCTGCACCCTGAGAATCTGAGCATGAGGAGGAAGCAGAAAATGGCTTTAAGGCGAATGAAGGGGGCTGGGGAGTGGGCTGGTTCCAATGAGAGAAACTGAAAGGAGGGAAGTCAGATTTTTCTTGACGGCCCAGTCTGGCTTCATTCTTCAATACCTGTCAGGACAAAGGCTGCTGCGCCCCCTGGTGTCCGACTGGCCGCCGATGCCTGCGAGCTGACGTGGAGACCCGCAGGCGGTGAGACCCGGGGACCAGCTGGAGGAGTCCACGGGTCAGATGCCTTTTCTTCCATTTGCTAAGGGAGTTGAAGTTGAAATAGCCGTTGCTTTGTCCGTTCTAGAGTCCAAATAGAGACTCTAGTGGAGAGCGAGAGGGGTTTTGTCTTTTTTTTTTTTTTTTTTTGCATGCAATTGAGGCTGACAGGACAATGCCTGTTTAGAAGTAGCCTGGTGCAGTGGAAAGTACGCTCATCTGAAAGAAAAGACCTGCATTTTAGGTGGAGAGCTGATCTGGGGCAAATCACTTAAAATGTTCCAACCTCCCCTTCCTTCTCTAAAAACCAAAGGGGTTACAGTAAGATGTCTGTAAGGTGTTGTCTGAACTCTAATGTTGATTGGGATTGATTAAATCACTAATACACCGCACCCTATTTTCTCAGAGCCTTGCAAATTTGACATTATTTTTTCAATCTACAGGCAGGTGCAAATGTTATGTTTCAGCATCATGAGTTCCCTAATTGTGAGCAAAGATTTTAGTGTCTCCTTTCCTTTTAAAAATAAAAAAATAGCTCTTTTGAGCACAGAACCTCCCTCACCACCACCTTTTGTGGAGCCTCCTGCAAGAAAGCTGCAGAGTGAACAGGGCTTCAGTCTCTGCTCTGTTTCTTTTAAAAATAAAGTACTAAAGTATTGTGCTGGAAATTCTGCTACTAAGTGTTACATGTGGTAGGTGTGAATATATGCTTCAATAGTTCCAGGCACAAGACCAAAATCTTCCCCAGAATTAGCAGAGTTTTCAGCTATAATCTGGCTAACATTTTTCTACAAATAGGTACAAAGACCAATTTGAGAGTACGGTCTCTCTAAGGGGCTACATGGTTGGGTTTCCATTGAAATTTAGGGCCATCCCTTGTACAGTCAGGTGAATTTTTAAGTGGGATCAGCCCTGGGGAATAATTATGTAGTCGCTGAGGGTTTTTCTCTCCTAAAATCTCCAAATCTAGTTTCTGAGGTGAGCAGTCAGTTATACCTCATGGCAATTTTTTCCTTCAGCATTGCATTTAAATGGTTATCTCTATGTAATGGGTACTCTGTGTGTGTGTGTGTGTGTGTGTGTGTGTGTGTGTGTAGAAATGGATTGTCCCGTGAAGGATCACTTGAACAGCAACCTTAGCTTTACAGATGTGAAGGGAGTGTGTAGCCCTTGTCCTGTTGTGAACACTGTCACTATTCCTTGTGCGGCAGGGGAGGAGCAGGTCTCTCTAAATGAGAGAAGCGAACCAGAGGAAGAACAGCAGCACAAATGAGATGACCTATAGCAACCGACCCCTGCTTCAGGGATGGGGAGATGCTGTGTGTGTGTGAGCATGTTTGGGTTGGAGTAAGCACAGTGACTTGGAACACTGCACCCCTCCCCAAAGGGAAAAGCTGTGTTACAGGCTGAACTGTGCCACTCCAAAATCACCCTTGATACCTCAGAATGTGACTGTATTTGGAGATAGGGCCTTTAAGGGGGTACTTAAGTTATTATGAAGTGGGCCCTAATCCAGTATGACTGGTGGAGTCCCTGTAAGAAGTGATTAGGACACAGACATGTATAGAGGGAAGACCATATGAAGACGGAGTAGGTAGCCATCTACAAAGAAAGAGGCCTCGGAAGAAACCAACCCTGCTGACAACTTGATCTCAGACTTGAGCCCCTAGAATTGTGAGAAAATAAATTTCTGCTGTTTAAGCCACCCAATCTGCAGTATTTTGTAATGGCAAGCGCAGCAAACCAATACAACAAGATGATACTCTGCACCAGCCCATTATGTACAGCCATTTGGAGATGCAGACCCAGGGTTACCAGATTCTCTATTTGAAGAATCTTTTGCTTTTTAAATATTGGCAGCAGGGCTGGCTTCCTGGGTGTGTGTCCTTTGCAGTCACACGGGATCCCATACTTAGAAGTGCCCCACGTTGGCTTAAATACCCTGCTTGCCTGGCCGGCTGCAGTGGCTCACGCCTGTAATCCCAACACTCTGGGAGGCCGAGGCAGGTGGATCACAAGGTCAGGAGTTCGAGACCATCCTGCCTAACACGGTGAAACCCTGTCTCTACTAAAAATACAAAGAAATTAGCCAGTCGTGGTGGCGGGTGCCTGTAGTCCCAGCTACTCCGGAGGCTGAGGCAGGAGAATGGCATGAACCCGGGAGGCGGAGCTTGCAGTGAGCTGAGATCACGCCACTGCACTGCAGCCTGGGTGACAGAGCGAGACTCCGCCTCAAACAAACAAACAAATAAAAAAAAAAAAAAAAGGCCAATTTGCAATTCTTAAACTTTCAACAACGGGCTTGCATTTTTGCATTGCACTGGTCCCTCACAAACTGTGTGGCCAGTGCTAGCTGACAACTAGTACACGTTTTAAATAATGTGCATATTAAGATTATGGGGTCCCAAACAAAATATGCCTGAGGCTGGGGCAGCGTGAGACACTAGTACGCACTTTTTGTCACTAACTGGATTAAAACTTCCCATTCTCTGGTAGTCACTAGGAGGGAACTTATGGATCCCAGAGGTTTTCTTGAAGTGGGAAAAAGAAAGGCACAGATACTCCCCAGGATGTTATTTCCCAAGATTCCACATGAGCTAGTGTGGCTCGGACCAAGATTTTCTTTTCCCAGGGATGGATACTGAGGATTTCACAATAAGAATATCTTGAGAAAAGGCCCCACACGAGGAACTAGTGTTTGGGGTTGAGGGCTAAGTTTAGCCCTGCATGTGGCTGATGCTGGTGGGCTTTGGGAAGCTGGAGCTGAATATGCTACCCAGAATGGTCAGCAAGGCCCTGAGGGGCAGTGCAGCCCCGTGTAAAAACAGCACCGAGACAGAGCAAGAAACAACAGTGAGAGCAGGACTGATTTCGTCTCCTGTTTTTTGCCTGGGGTTTACGAGCAGGACTCCTCTCTTGCACTCCACCAGTTTCAGGATTATTAAGGGGTCCTCAGCTGGGGTGAGTTAGGAGGGCTGAGCTGGAGAGTAAAACTGGATGGTCTGAGGGTCTGGGTGATCCTGAGCACTTAATTATGAATAATGATACACTTCAGTTTTATAGTGCATGCCATACCAGTGGATTCTAATTTGGAAGGGAAACTTTTGCTCTTGCTGAAAGGAATGTCAGTCACCGGTGAGTGGTCATGGGGCTGTTATGGGGAGATCCTGTTTTTAAGGATATACACTGATTTATAGAAGCTCACTGAAAATATTATAGCGGAATGTTTGGTCAGGAGGTCTGCTTTTCTAGTTCTATTTCTGCTCAGTACTGGCTAACTGAAGAGTGTAAATTTTAAAAGAAGTAATTTCTTATGCACACTGTGCAAAATCCCTCAGGGGAATGAGTGAAAGACTGTTTGAAATGCTCTGAATTTCTTGGAAAAGAGTTGCTGTATAAATTAATATAGGGCCTTCTTTTTCATTGCAGGTCTGCAGGACACACCAAAGAACTCCTCCAAGTCACACAAGGGAGAAAATTAACTTCATTGGCTTCTATCAGGAAAGCTATTTTTTTTTTCCTCTTCTTTCCTGCAAGTTTCCCAAACCCCATGACTCTGATTTCCAGGTCAGAGACTAAGGTTTTATTTTTCTTACTCTGTATACTTTATATGTGGAGAGTCCCTGAAGGAACACTGTGATGGGCTGATTACTGTGAGCCAGTTGTGGGCCAGACCTGGCCTCAGGTGCTGCAAAGGGAATTCAGTCACCCCTGTGCAGTGATCTGTGAGCCCCAAGTCAGATCCAACTTTTTCCTGATAGACAGCACCCTCCTCCTCCCTACCAAGAAATAGCAGGGTTGGAGGTAGTGACCCAATATTCAAGAGGTTTGAAATTCTACATGAGATATTTCTGAGTTAACTCCTAAATAGCAGTTTCCTTAATCATGTGGAAAATAAGAACACTTACTAAAGAGACCATTGGTTTAAGAGAAATGGAAACTTATGTCCACGTAAAAACCTGTAAATGAATGTTCACAGCAGCCTTTTCATAATAGCCAAAAAGGGAAAGCAATCCACACGTCCATCAACCAATGAATGGATAAACTTAACGTGGGATATACGTGTAATGGAATGCTATTTGGTGAAGAAAGAAATGAAATATTAATACATGCGTTAACAAGGATGGACCTTAAAATATCATGCTAAGTAAGAGAAGCCTGTCACAAAAGAATATGTATTGTACCATTCTACTTATATGAAATTCCTAGAATAGGCAATTCTATAGGGACAGAAACTAGACTAGTGATTGGCTAGAGCTTGGGGAGAGTTTGGGGAGCCTGGAGGATGACAGCAAAGTGGTGCAGAGTTTCTTTTTAGGTTGATTAAATGTTGTAAAATTAATTGTAGTGATGGTTGTGCAACTTTGTGATTTTGTTAAAAACCATTGCATTTTGCCCTTTAAATGGATGAATTGCACAATGTGTGAATTAGACATAAGTTTATTTACATAATTAATATCTATTTATTGATATATAACTCATATATCAATAAATATATACTATATAAAATAATTTTATATTTATATAAAATGTGAATTATATATAAATACATAAATAAAACTGCTAAAAACTAAAAAATATATACTTTAAAAAAAGGCTGTTCGTTTCTTTCACATTTTCTGAGCACAATCACTTTGGGATAAATGTGTCCAGGCTTAAAAAGCCAGATTTTATGGGCTAACTAAAATGGAAATGTGAAAAACTGTGTTTTTTTCCATAGGAGGAGAGAGTCTGATTTGCAGGTACGTGCATACCCACAGCAGTCATACTTGTAATTCTTGGAAACTTTGCTGAAAGTTTTTTCCTAGCCTGAAATCATTAAAATATGTTGAAACAATGACACTGAGGACTGAGGTGGATTCGTTGTTTTTGTCTTCCCAATGTTACTTTCTCCTTCTTTAGGTAGTAGCACCCCAGTTTTCTCTAAAAGAAACCACACACCCTATTTCCAGTTCATGTGGTTTGGCTATTGCTGACCTTACACCCTAGGCTCTATGACTCAGGCCCCATCAGTCAGCGTATTTTATCCAGTGGTCTGTTGCAGCCAACTCATATCAACTCATCCAAATCAACTGGTAAATGTTCAGAAATTTCATGTGCCAGTTGTTAAACACTCACCATTAAAATTTAAAGTTCACAACCTTATAATTAAATTATGTTAAAAATGAAGGTAATGATACATCAACCTTATCATCACTTCCTAATCATTTGACTGCATTTTACTATTATTTATGCTCTTGAGTTTACTTACATCTGTTGGATCTGGTAGTAGAAACACCGGATAATGGCGTGCTGCTATACATCTCTTCCCAATTCCATGTTCATTGACTTCCCTTTGATAGCTTGAAGTTGGCCATGGTAGCAGCGTTTACACTACAGAACTGGGCAAATGCTACAAGATCAGGGTATACCCTTTCTTGCCAAGGAGATTGTTAAACTGGCAGCTGTAGTGGGTTGAATGGTGGCCCCTAAAAAGATATGTCCAAATCCTAGCCTGTGGAACTTGTGAATGTGACCTTATTTGAAAAAAGGCCTTTGCACGTGTGACTAGGTTAAGGATCTTGAGATGAAATCCTCCTGGATTATCCATGTGGGCTCTATATACAATCATGTGTACCCTTATGGGATAAAGGCAGAAGCAATTTGACACAGACACACCAAAGAGACATAAAGATAAGATGAGGAAGCAATGGCCACACAGGCCGAGATTGCAGTGATGTGGCCGGAAACCAAGGAATACCTGGAGGCACCAGAAGCTGGATGAGAAAGAAACAAAATCTCCCCCAGAGCTTCCAGAGGTAGCATGACCCTGCTGACACCTTGACTTTGGACTAGTGGCCTCCATAAATGTGAGATAATCAATTTCTTTTGTTTTAAGCCACCAGTTTTTGGAAATTTGTTATGGGAGCCATAAGAAACTATTAATAATACACCAGCTCACCACTGCAGCACTAGTGTATGGTTGAGGGATGGGCATGTGATACAAGCTAGGGCAATGGGAACTCAGCTTCTATGGTAAAACAAACACTCTCCTTCTCCCTGGGGTTGCTGGGTGGTTCCATCTTTGCTACTAGATATACCTATGAATGAAAGCAGCGCAGAAAGTAGTAAAGTTAGATTTAAAGAAAGACATTTAAAGCAGCACAGAAAGTAGTAAAGTTAGATTTAAAGAAAGGCATTGTTTAAGAAACTGGATCTATTCTACCACTAGATTTTTAAATATTACATATTATATGAGAAAATTATTTTTTTTCTTTTTAAGCCAAATTCCTAACCAATGTAGACATGCTAATTTTTGGAGAACTTTTGAAAGTGCTCATCTGCACAGAGAGCATTTTAAATACATATAGTTGTTATCACTTGGTCAGTTACTATTTAAATGAGGCATAACTAAAAAAGACAATCAGGAAAATATATAGCAAACAGTGAACAACTTAAGACCTACCTGAATTCAATCATGTTCATTTGTGCTACAAACACTTATATTAAGCCCAACCCTTATCTAAAGCATTCGATTCAGGACAGATATCCATCTATTTAAGAGCTTACAATTTATTTGCCAGTAAGAAATTTGGTATAGCCCCCATATTGAGGTCACTAGCAGTATGAACTTTTCATTATATAGTTTATAATTTTCCGAACAGTTCTAAATTCAAGTAATTTTATTATTTTTCCTAAACAGAATTTGGTTAATGCACAATTAAAATACTTTTAATTCTTTATGAGATTACATTTAACTACATCCACAAATTATAACAAAAAGTATTTTGGCAAATTGAATGATTTGGGTGGAAAAATATTATTATGGTGATTTTCTGTTTTTTTCTTTTTTTTTTTTTTGAGATGGAGTCTCACTCTGTCGCCCAGGCTGGAGTGCAGTGGCGCGATCTCGGCTCACTGCAAGCTCCGCCTCCCGGGCTCACACCATTCTCCTGCCTCAGCCTTCTGAGCAGCTGGGACTACAGGCGCCCGCCAATACGCCCGGCTAATTTTTTGTATTTTTAGTAGAGACGGGGTTTCACCTTGTTAGCCAGAATGGTCTCGATCTCCTGACCTCGTCATCCGCCCGCCTGGGCCTCCCAAAGCCTGGGCCTCAAGCCTGGGATTACAGGCTTGAGCCACCGCGCCTGGCCTTATGGTGATTTTCAGTGATGTTGTACCTTTGGTTAATTTTGTACCTTTTGATAATTTTTATTTGTTAGTGTGGAAGAGCACTTTTCTGAAAGGAACATGTCACAGAAAACCCCAGGGATAGACATATTTCATTAATTATTTTTAAAATAAAAATAAAATGATTTACATTCAGCATTTCTATCTTTAATGATTTTTCCAGGTTTAAGAGATTTCAAATTAATTTTGTCACCCATAATCCTGTTTGTTTTCCTCCACTTTCAAATACCTTTGTTTTTTGATGAGCACATTTTGGATGAATTCCCAGTCAACTTTTTAATCTAATTAAATTCAGATAAGTTTAACTCAGATAACATTTACAGTCAGCTCCTTGAGAGTTGATTAACTGGGAGCTCATCTTTCAGAATTCTTAAAAAAAAAAAAAAAAAGACTTTTGAGGATTGCTTTTTGCTAAAAGAGCCCATTACTAATGCTGATGTCACTGGCATCAGTAAACTAACACCCACTTGTCTTGGTTTAAAATGATAATAGGCTTTCAAATGCAAATATTCAAATATCATATTATTCTTCAGCACTTCTGTATTTGCTAGTAGCATTACTGATCAAAAAGAGAATTGTTCTGAATATTTTCATGAACAAGCAAGCAAACCACATCACATCACATACATGCACACACATGCATGCATGCAAGGCACATAAATGATTTCACTAATGACATATAGCATACATTAGTCAAGCAATTGTATTAATTCAAGTCTACTCTCTTTGTAGTCTAGAACAGTCTCCCTCTTTGCTACACAACAGTAGCCACTAAAATCTTTTGGAAGATTAGGATCATTCAATATGAAGTTAAAAGAAAACATGAAAAAATGAAAGCTTAGTTTTAGGATTTCCCATTTTTTTCTTAGCCCTGTAATAGCCTAAAATAAAACTTGGGAACAAATGAGGTTTACCAATGACAGGAGTAAACAGACTCAATGTAAATGTTTATAGGAAAGGCAAGGAAGCTAATTCCTTTCCATTAACAAAAAGGAGCTTTTAAATCTTACTCATTCTTGATAATGCTGGCTAATGAGAAGCCCAGCAAGTTTGCTTTTTCCTTAAAGCTGAAACAAAACTCAACACAAAAGGTGAAATACAAGGAACCAAAGAAAATCATTGATTTGTTCTTTGATGACAACTTTATGCCAGAGGTACTAGGGCCTCTCTACATTAATTGTTTTCTTCATAAGGAAACCACTATAGAAATTTAGGTGAATGGAGATAATTAAGTAGTTCTGTGGCTCCAATTCTAACATGTCTTTTTAAAAAAGAAAAAATCAAATACCCCAACATTTGCCCAGGAACCAGAGGAGAAAAATAGCCTTCTAAGAGTTAGGCCCTCAAGATATTTCAAAGCTGCCTGGACAATGACTTGGAATGACTACAATGGTGAACCATTCTGCCTTGGACCCAAATCTAGATTTATGACCTAATATATCTTTCCCAACTCTGCCTGCCATAGTTTTATGAACATCAAGAACTGGGTGTCTGCCACTGTCAACAAATAGAGCTTCTCCAGAGCATTTCCATCCACAGAAACTCAAGTATCCCCAAAGGAACATAGATCGCAGTCTTCCAAGGCTGCCTTGGGATGCCTCAGGATGCCTCTAGCTTTCACCACAAACTGTGGGGAAACTGTTTTGGCAGGATAATTCTTCAAGAAAAGGAAGAATACCTGTTACTGCCCTGTGTTTTCTTGGTTTAAGAACTTTTGGTGAGGCCAGGTCCCGTGGCTCATATCTATAATCCCACACTTCAGGAGGCCGAGGCAGGGAGGATCTCGTAAGGCCAGGAATTCGAGCCCAGCCTGGGCAACATAGAAAGACACATCTCTATGACAAATCTGAAAATTAGCCAGGCATGGTTCTGTGCACCTGCAGTCCCCGCTACTTGGGAAGGCTGAGGTGGGAGGATTGCTTGGGCCCAGGTCGTTGAGGCTGCAGTGAGCTGGGATCCTGTCACTGCACTCCAGTCTGCTTGACAGAGTGAGGCTCTGTTTCCAAAACACAAAAACAAACAAAAAAAAGGACTTTGGGTCAGAGTAGCAAGAATTCACTGAGAAGAAGCTAATGAAGCTTAGCTTAAGGGCTTCTCCTTTTTAGGGGCCTCTTCCAAACTCTTGTGCCTAATTTTATATTTGTAATTTTACATTCATTTTATTGAGTCCCTTTAATATAAGTATACACTCTACAAAATGGGGATCTGCTAGAGAAATTGCATCAAACTGAGCTAGAGAAGTTGCACCAAATTTTAGCTCAATAAAATTGTAAAAATTAAAATTAAACACAAACTCTTTGTCTTTTACGGACACTCCCTCACCCCCACTCCTGGCAAGTCACCACTGGGACTGAGACTACTCCGTTTGAGGCCCTGGTTGTCAGTTGTCCTTTCTTAACTGTGGCAGTGGTTCAAAAACTGGCTACAGTTTTCAGCTTTGCCCCTCCTTGGAAGAACACTCTACTGTGGGCTAATTATTACAATGGCTTATAGAATCTAGAGACCAGACAAGTTTCCAAGTGTGCTCCTCCTTTTGGTTAAGCGGTATCATTGTTCCGATGTCAACCAAGTTTTTGTTTTACAGTAAAGTTGATGGATTTGGACTAGGCTTCCATACTTTCCTAAGAGGTGTTTCTGAAGACCCAGCCATAGAAACATTTATTTTTTTCTGATTACGAAAGCAATGGCATGTATATGTGTGTACATATACATATATATGTGCATGTATATGTGTGTACATATACATATATATGTATATGTACACACATAAACATCTTTAAACTTTATAATATGTAGCATAGAAAGTGGAAATCCCCCGTAATCCCACACAGCTGAGAAAAGCAGTTAAAATTTTTTCAAGGCATATATTAACTTTTCACTTATTTTACAAAAAAATGGGATTATACTCTCAACTCAAAAGCATGCCGTTTTCTATCTAGCAATATGTCTTAGACATCTTTCCATGTCAGTTGGTAAAAACTTATCATCTTTTTAATCTTCTATTAAATAGCTCCATGAAATTGTATTGTATGGCTGAACCATACTCTCCTTAACCAATTGCCTATTAATTCACCTTTGAGTTCTTTCCAGTTTTTCCTGTAACAAATATTCTTGCAAACATCATTTTACTCTTAAACATCTTTGAGCAGTTGTAGAGTCTTTCTCTACAGTGAATTCCCAGGAGATGAATTATTATTGGGTCAAAGGGTATGAGTATTTCATTTTTAATAGCTATTGCCAAATTGCCCTCCAATAATTTTATACCCATTTACACTCACAGCCACAGTGTAAGAAATTGTCTGTTTCCCCACCCTCTTAGCAACCCTAAAATCGTGCAATTTGGGAATGTCTGAAGTGAGTTAGGAGTTAACAGGTTCAGCCTGTGGAGTTTTTTTGGCTTTGTGAAGTTTGTTGGCTTTGTGAAAAGCCAACGAAGAGATCAAAAGTCTCTCCCTTTCCTTGATGAACTCCCTGCTCTGGGTGAGCCAACTGCCCAGACAGACATCTAGTTAATGCGAGAGGTGAAAATTCTAATGCTTAATACTAGCGTCTGGCTGGATTTATTAGAAACAATTTGTCTCTGAATGTATAAGAAAATGTGTTAGTGAGAAAATACCTAATAATTATTAAAGAAATAGAAATGGGTCCTTACTTTTTAATATAACAACACATTTCATCTTACAGCATCAGAATGTTTATATCTGCACAATTCTTTGATTTCATTCCTACATTTATTGGATCAAAATAGTTTTAAAAATCTAGTCTTCAAAGGTGTGTGAAAAGTGACCCTGAGCCAGCCCTTTAAGGAAGAGCAAGGTTTGCCAATATCCAGTCTTAAAGAGCACGTTTTGACA
This sequence comes from Homo sapiens, assembly GCF_000001405.40. Lineage (NCBI taxonomy): Eukaryota > Metazoa > Chordata > Mammalia > Primates > Hominidae > Homo > Homo sapiens. Next base: position 14,364,747 of record NC_000009.12, read on the forward strand.
GTTACTATGGTTTACCTCTCCAGAATTAGGATAATTGGGCATTAGAATAAAAAGAAATTTTAGGAGTTTTCTAGTAAAAACATTATCAAACTCTGCTCCACATAAAGCCTCAGGGTTGCTTCAGAGAGATGAGAGGGTAATGGAGGAACAAGACAGCAGGGTGATTTAAGAGTTCTTGGTAATCTAACAGCAATTCCACCACATCAACCCCATTTTGATCTGTGCCATATAGTGGGCTGTGTATTATGTTTTCTGAGGCACGTTAATTTCTCATTTTCATTGTCTGTAAAATAGGCCTAACAATAGTTCCAATTTCAGAGTAGTGAAGATTAAATTAAATAACACTACCCATGTAAAGTGCTTAGCCCAGTGTCCTGCACATGCCAAGGACTTAGTAAATGTTGGCTATTTTATCTAAGATTTTGCTCTGAAACAGAATTCTGCTGCTAAAAAATAAATTTCGAGACCACCGTTTATGTTTGTCATCTCTAAAATAAGATGATTATTTCAGATGTAATGGTTTCACATTTTATTTGTTTCCTGCTTCCCAGTCCAATGGTCGTTTTCAGACCCTCTCATTCTTGGACCCCAGTCCAATTTTGCTGAGAATGCTAAAGGCTCTGAGGATAATGTGTCTTCCCACACCCCAGGAGACTCCACTCACCACCAAGTGTGGCCAGACCATGGCTATTCTGTCTGTGTTCCTGTTGATTTGTAGAAGAAAGATGGTAGTACAAAAGTTTTCCCTGCCCTGTGGGATAAGATCCCTGCAGGTAGACCAGGAGGAATAAGCATGACAGTTGTAAAATCTTAGAAATATTACTTAGCTTCCATCTTTTCCATAATGATGAGTTCATCTGAAGGAGTTCAGAAATAGATTCTTATACCTTCTAAGACTGGCTGGATTTTCTATTCTTGGCCAGACGTTTGTTCTAGGAAGAATTCATCCAACAAACATATGCTCTTATCAATTATTTTCTTAGGAAAGCTTGTCCTAGTATAGGGGAAGTTTTTAAGTTTTTCTAATGAATCACAGACATGAGGCAGGAGGGAGAGAGTATCAAGCGTGTTCCTTTCTGACTGATCTAACGTGAGACCAAAAACTATGGAGTAAGAGCAAAACCTCCCAAACTGTACATCTTTTCTACCCAGGAACTCCTTCCATGCCAGTCACTGCTGATGCCTGAGAGCCAGATGTGGGCTTAGGGATCAGTTTCTCTATGTCAGGGCCATTCAGAGTCTGTAGCTGACTTAGGAACAAGTAGATGTAAAACCTAGAATTAAAGGCTGAAAACAGCATTTAATGAAACCCCTCCCTCCAGACGCTCCTGATCAAAGTCTACCCTTGCACTAAGACAATTGATCTACAGTTGCATTATATAAAATTTTGGCAACACTCTGTCCTCATTGCTTTCAACAGAGGCTTTAGGCCCCTGAATCTGGGCATCGTCCCAGAATTGAGATCCAGTTGCATTACGCATACCAGAAGACACACCACCACAGCCGAGGCCCGTGCAACCACTTTCTTTTAACCTCGCGTCTGTGAAAAATTACTTTCCAAAAAATAAGTGAAACCCGATGTCTTCTCCGGGTGGTTATTTTTGCGCCTATGAAGTCAATAAAACTCTCCAGATTTATTAGACAGTCCTGCTGCTGAAGACAAGACCACTTCCTATTCCCTAGCGGATATGTGTGTCTTTCCTTTCTGTAACCTTCTGACCACAGATTTTAATTTTATTCTTTTTTTTTTTCTTCTTGAGACAGAGTCTTGCTCTGTCAACCAGGCTGGAGTGCAGTGACATGATCTCAGCTCACTGCAACCTCCGCCTTCCAGGTTCAAATGATTCTCCTGCTGCAGCCTCCCGAGTAGTTGGGATAACAGGCACGTGCCACCATACCTGGCTAGTTTTTTGTATTTTTAGTAGAGATGGGTTTCACCATGTTGGCCAGGCTGGTCTCGAACTCCTGACCTCTTGATGTGCCTGCCTCGGCCTCCCAAAGTGTTGGGATTACAGGCATGAGCCACCGTGCCTGGATGAATTTTATTCTTTTTAAATTTTTTTCCCAAAAAATCTGTCAGAACCCTCTAGGACAAGTGGCTTGGCCTGCACTGAAATTCCAATCTCTTGCACTGAAGAGTGATGAAATGAACACATTTCAGGCACCTCCAGCTTTTCTTCTTTACCTCCTACTTCAGAGGGCCCTGTTTTCTTTGCATCAGAATCAACAAGAGTTTTGGCTGTCTCTCCTTCCACCACTCTAAACGCTAAATGTAACACTTATCAACAAATTATACTCCTGTAAGAGTCCACTAACCCTGAGTTGATGACCATGATAATGACATTGGATTCAATTCTACTCAGTGCAACAGTATTTACTGGGCCCCTACCCTATGCAGGTGCTCTACTTGGGTATGGGAATGCAAAACTATAGAAGATAATGTGCATTCTTTCAAGGAGTGTCAGGTCTACTAGGGGAGACAAACATGTTAACAAGGAAACATTATTAATTGTGACAGTTTCCATAGTGAACTCAGAGTCTTGTGTGGGTACAAAGACTAAATATGGAAAGGCTAGGAAAGGCTTTTCAGATGAGATGTCTCTTGAGCTGTGTGTTTCAAGATGAGTAGGGGTTCATCAGGTGATCCTGGGGAAGACATGCCAAGCAGAGGGACTAGTAAGTGCAGAGGGATCAGAGGTGTGAAACAGAAGGGCACATCTGAGATCTAAGAAGTTGTGAATTGGGAATGAGGGTCAAAAGGTTGTAAGCAACCTGTGTTCCTCCATGAATATGGGTGTGTATTTTCGTTGATAGGGAAATGCTGAGGGGGTTTAAGCCTTAGAGCAATTGATACATGAGAGGGCAAAGACTTGGAAGCAACCCAAATGCCCATCAATGATAGACTGGATAAAGAAAATGTGGCACATATACACCATGGAATACTATGCAGCCATAAAAAAGAATGAGTTCATGTCCTTTGCAGGGACATGGATGAAGCTGGAAACCATCATTCTCAGCAGACTAACACAGGAACAGAAAACCAAACACCGCACGTTCTCACTCATAAGAGGGAGTTGAACAATGGGAACACATGGACACACGGAGGGGAACATCACACACCGGGGCCTGTCAGGGGGTGAGGGGCTAAGGGAGGGATAGCATTAGGAGAAATACCTAATGTAGATGACAGGTTGATGGGTGCAGCAAACCTCCATGGCACGTGTATACCTATGTAACAAACCTGCACGTTCTGCACATGTATCCCAGGTACCAAACATGGCACATGTACACTTATGTACACCTATGTACACCATGGCACATGTACCAAACTTGGGACATGTATACCTATGTACAAAACCTGCACGTTCTGCACATGTATCTTACGTGTAAAGTAAGTAAAGTAAGATTAAAAAAAAAAAAAAGAGAGACAGAGGGAAACAAGTGGCTGGATGCTGTCCTGAGAGAAATGAAGAGAGCTTGAACTAGGCCAATGTTGAGGGAATGAAGAGGAAGATTTAAGATGACAGCCAAGAAGCAGACATAAAGAGGTAGTAATATGGTAAAGATTTCCACCCCAGAATGACTTTAAGTAGTTTGTATTTCATTATTTATGAGTAAAAATTACTCCTGAAATGCTTTTAAAAGTTGTTTACTTACTAATAAATATTTTTCTGCACTTACTTCCAAAAATGATGTGAGGTAGGAAAAGAACTCTGTAGCTACGGACAGGGCCACCGTGTTTCACCAGGCAGACTGGTTACGGTGCAACTGCACACACAACTCCTTGGAGTGGTACAGAGTGGCAGCCTTGGCCATCTTGAACTGATAAGCATTTCTCGACCATTATCTTTGGTTCAGTCATCTGAATAACATTTAAAGAGATTTATACCAGTGCTATCTTGACTAACTTCAGTTTTGATTATCTTCATGTTAATATGCCATATTATCTCAATTTAACTGGCATCTTCTTTGGATGATGTCTTCTACTCCATTCCCTCATATTTTGGTGCTTTCAGAGAGAGAAGGTGCTTATGTCTGCATAGCTCATTTAGTTTGACAAAGGAAAGGAGATGTAGTATAGCATTTTGGGAGTCAGATGACCCTTATTGTTCCCGTGAACTTGTGCAAGGTACCTGAGCTCAGTTTTCCCAACTATATAGGGACAATATCAATGCCTACCTCACAGGTTTGGTGTAAAAATTAAATGAACCAAGAATAGAAAGTGATTGGCACATATAGTAAGTGACAGGTTTTTGGTACTGTGTATCATGCACTGTGCCTGATACATAATATCTCATTGCAATCTAGTAGTTTTACAGAAAAGGAAATTTAAGCTCTTTGAGGGTAGGGTTTATTTATCATTATATTCCCAGACCCCAGAATAATGTCTGCCTCAAAGCAGCTAAGCGAGGTTAAACAGTAACTCGTCCAAGGTCAAACAGCTAGCTAGTAGTATGACGATCAGCGTTCAGACTTGTGTCTGCATCATTTCAAGCACAGTGATTTCCCAATCTTATTGTATTAAAGAAGATGATGTGGAAGCTGGTCGAAGGGCTGTTCTGTGCCTTCTTTTACTACCAGTTTTCAAATTATCTAATTATCATCGGGTTAGGCTTCTCAGGATAATTAGTTTCCATCTGTATCATTAAAAGTCATTTGCAGAGTATTTCCACAGGGGTCCATCTCATAGCCAACAGTTCTTCCTTCTGGAGCCATGGTTCCATGTTGTTGATGCCTTCTGGGTAGATCTACCTACCAGAGTCTTCAGAAGGTGCTTCAGCTTTAACATCTCCAAGCCAGAACTCCTCAATCAGCCCCACCTCTCCCTTCCCCACACACACCCTCCCAAAGCTCTGCTTTCCCTCATGTCTTGATAGATGGCATTTCCATATATCTGGCACTCAAGTTAGAGATTTTGGACCCAACTTCTACTCCTTCTTTTCTCCTAATTAGTCACCACGTTTTATTGTTTCTACCTCAAAAAAGGTTTTCAAATCTAGCTTTTCCTTTTCATCACAGCTTCTACTCCTTAATTCAGTACTTCACCATCTTTGGCCTGATATATTTGGACAGCTTCCTAATTGACCTTCTTACTTTCAGTCCCTTCCATCACCAGCCCACTGTAGGTAAAATTAGACTCTCATAACCTAGAGCAGATCAGACATTCTCCATCTCTGAAAACTTTGGGGGCTATCTCTTTACCCCCAGGGTAAGACAAGGTTATGTCCTACTGTGTATGACTATACTTAAAACCAATCCCAGGCAGCTTTTCCTGTCACTCACCTTGTATGTTCTTGGCTTTAGCTATTTTGAACCATTCGCCATCTCCAAACACCCAGTACATTTTACGACTTTGTGCCTCCCTTCAAGCAGCTTTCTCTGCCTAGAATAACCTTCACCTCCTTACTGGCTCATTCCTGAAAGCCTAGCTCAATATCACATCCTGGGTGAAGCTTTTCCACTCTTACCCCCATCGGACTCAAGGACAATTAATGGCTCCCTCTTCGCATTTATCATAGCACTTCCAATATTTTTATCAAAGTTAGTTATTTGTATATTAATGGTCTATGGAGCCATAAGGTCAAGGACTACTTAATTCATTGATGTAACCCCAACCCCAACACAAGGGTAGTTAACTGTTTTTTTTAGTCAAGAAAAAATTGTACATTGGCTTTTTAAAAATTAAAGGAATAAGAGTGTAAATGATAAGAGGAAGCCAAATCACGTAGAAGGTGGGATAATAACAGATGTTTGAGAATGCTGGTCTAGCCCACAGTGTAAATATGTGTTAAATTTGTGAACATATCTACTTTATAAACACTTGACTTCACTGTAGGCACAACCTGGTTCCATAACAAAGGTAAGAAATAACCATGTAAAGAACAGATTCATCTCAGGATCACACGACACTGGAACTCCATAAAAATCAGATCCCTCCTAATAGTGAGGTTCCTTCAGACTTGGAGACTTTCTTACCCTGTTATGGGTCACCTTTGCCATAGGGCTTTTTTGACCCCTGCTCTTCTGGAAATGCTATCAATTTCTTTGTTTAAATGCTAATGTCCAGGCTGGGCACAGTGGCTCATGCCTGTAATTCCAGCAGTTTGGGAGGCCGAGGCGGGTGGATCACTTGAGGTCGGGAGTTCAAGACCAGCCTGGCCAACGTGGCGAAACCCCATCTCTACAAAAAATACAAAAATTAGCCGGGCATGATGGTGGGCACCTGTAATCCCAGCTATTCAGGAGGCTGAGGCAGGAGAATCACTTGAACCCAGGAAGCAGAGGTTGCAGTGAGCTGAGATTGTGCCACTGCACTCCAGCCTGGGTGATAGAGCGAGACCCTGTCTCAAAAAAACCAAACCAAAACAAAACAAACAAACAAACAAACAAACAAAAACACACACACACCAACTATATGTCCAACCTGCCAGAGGACCAACCTTTTCTTATAGCTATGCAAGGCCTCAGTCATCTCTGGAACTTTTCATATCTTTTCCATCATTATATGTTAGCTTTGGACATGAGGTTTTACTTTTATGTTGTAGGAGAAAACACTAGTATAAAGAACTGTAATACTAAAAATAATCTAAGTTCCTTCTTCTTAGGGTAGGCAGTCTAGAAATCCTTGTTGAAGCGTTTTCAGTGGTATTATAGGATTTGTTTTGAAGAAGGTCAGATCTCACTGGCTGGGGAGTCAGGGGCTATAGGATCTCATTCTGGTTCTGCCACTAGTTACTTGGGTGATCTCTGGGCAAGTCACTTAGACTTTAGTCCTCTCCTATGTCTCAGAAATAAAAAAGGTTGCAAATTGGGAACACCTAGGCTACATTTGGCCCACAGAAACACTTAGTTTGCCTGTAACAGTATTTAAATGAGTTGATAATTTAGTTGGGAAACTTTACATAAGAACATAGGTTTTTACTTTCCCTTGAGAAATCAGAAGATCTGGCCACAGGAGTGGCCATTCCTATTCATTTGGTAGTAGCTACCCCCTTTAACAGGGAAGGGGCTCTCCAGGGCTCCAGTGACTCCATCAATTCCTATTGCCCTTTTGGTTTGCCCTAAACAGAGACAAAATACCAACTGCTATTTGTCAATGTACTTGTTCTCAGCAATATTAAAAATATTTAACTACGAAGGAATGGGAACTGACTGATTGGAATGGACACTGACTTTTGTGCTAGAGCAGCTCCTGGATGCTCCCCACTCTGCTCCAATTGGTCATGGGGAGGTCCAAGAACTCTTGGAAGAGAAGCTGAGGATGAGCCTCACTCGGTGAGCTTAGAGCACCATCTCTACATGAGTTGGTAAGGACCATCCCAATCTCAGGTGCGCACCATCTGAATGTCAGCCCTGCCAAAACTGTTTTTTTTTTCAAAGTGGAGATAGATATTTCCATACCCATGGCTCTTATTGAAAACAAGAAAATGAAATAAAAATAGAAAAAAAAAGCAGAACGATTTTTCGTGCTCTGGCTTGCTTTGTTCATTTATGAACTGGCCTCTATAAACATCTGAGTTTGATTTCCTGGTACTAACCAACCTAAAACTCTCTTCCAGCTTAAGCATAAGGAGCCTCTAATTTTATCCATTTTATAAATGGAGTGAAAATTTTGCAAAACATGTTGAAGAGAGGGCATTATACAGAATTTATATAAGATCTAAACCACTGATCGAAATAATAAATCACCAATAAATTATCTCTGTTTTCTTATCAAGCTTTTCAATTTTAAAAGCACTTTGATGTTCTTTTTCTTTTTTTCATTTTTCATTTAGCTGTGGCTATTTTTCAAATGGAATTAATGACCAAAAGCTAGCCTTATTCTCTAATTACAGTAAGAGACACTAGACAGGAGTTGTTCCAGACACTGACCCATCTTGGCTCAGGGAGAGGCTCTGGGCGGTTTTACTGTGTGCTGGCTTAGTACCTGGGGCCAGGAAACATCTGTTATAACATGTGGTCCAGCGGGTGCCCTGCTTAATTATAAAATGGCATTGCAGTGTCCCTTTGAGTTGGCTGGCTGTAGCTTCTAATGCTATGCTATCAAGCAAAATGTAATTCTTGATGTCCTGTGAACTGAACCTCTAACTCAAGTGTTGAATCACTCAGAGAAGAATAAAAAAAGTTAAACCTTTGCCCTCAGGAAAAAGGTATAGGGAAAGACAAAACAAAGAAATGCTTTCTAACAGCAACTGAGAAGCTTAGATATGAGCAAGCATCCCTTATACAGGGAACGGTGGTGGGGGGTGGGGACTGATTCCAGAATGACTCACACTTCTAGAATGAGCTGTTTATATAGCGTTTCCTCCTCTTCATTCCAGGGATCCTGTTAGGAAGGTCAGGGACAATGACAATCAAGAAGCAAAGGGAACACTGGAGAAGGGTGGTGGGAATGCTTGGAACACCAAAAGATTCATTCACCTTGAATAAGAGGACAGATTTCTGTAAAGGGTTATGCAATCAGCTGTGGCCCAGGACCTAACAATTTATTGTTGGAACATGTACACCTGGGAATTCTTTTTACAGTGGTGTGAATCTCTTATTAGCATTTATGAGAACTTACCTTCCCAAATCCTCTTATATGCAGATGGGAGTATAGAGCCCATTGCCAGCAGTGTCTGCTTAGGAATATCTTTTGTCTTATAGCCTGTTGTAATCACTTCCAGACCAGTGGTATATTTATGATTTACATCATGTTACAGAGGAATAAGTCTTAAGGATTCTTTTCTCTAAATCTTTTTGAATTATTGTTTTAGACTCATTGCCAGGTTTTTTTTTAAAGGGGGAAGTTGATGAACTTTTAAATATGTCATTACATGCTCCAAAATGGCAACTCTTTGTTCTTTTACAGTTTCTTGTAGAAAGACATTTAAAGGGCTGTGTGTGTCCACATGAGTGTGTGTGTGTGTGTGTGTGTGTGTGTGTGTGTGTGGTGTTTAGAAACAGGTAGATAAAGAAAATGAGTGAAAAGGAACACCTGAAGTTCATATTTTGTGTTTTTGTTGGAATAAGATTTGGCAGGTTTGGGGGAATCTTATCTAACATTTGGGGAGAGTTTAGGAAGGGCAGATCCACATTCATTTTAATTATGTTTCAATCACCAGGGGCAGCAACTGAAGGGTTAAGCCCTAAAGCAAGGAAATATCTCTAAGTCAGAAAACAAAGGGAAACTTGCATATTTCTGAAGATGACATCGGATCAGCTTGTGGATTTCAAGCAATTATGCGATGTGATGATTCCCACTGAGTATGCGTTAGTTGGAATACTGTTCTTTTTATTTCTCCATGTCCTGGGGTTGTACACTGAAAGAGCCCTGTTCAACTTCGAATGTCAGGGTTTTGAAGGCAAAATTATAGTAAAATATGTTTTAAAACAGTGGGGCCTTATATGAGTGAATATAACATTTTCCAAGGCTTTCAAAAATCCTTTTGTTAAAAATACGGTTCTTATTTTGTTTCTTCTTTCCTTTCTTTCTTTTTAAATTATTTTCTTTTATTCAGGCTTTTGCCTCCCCTCCTTCCCAAAGAAAAGAAGAGAGAAGTTTCAAAGGATATCTATAACCCAGTCTACATTTAGGGCCTGGGGACACATAATGGAGTTATTTTAAATGGGACACCCCACATGGAAAATAAGTGAGAAAAGTTCATCTGTGTCTGTTACTTCAGTACCAGCAGCAATGGTGACAGTCATAGTATCTCAGTAAATGTCCCCTAGAGTCATCTTGTGAGAAAAATGATTATTAATTGAGGTTTCTGTGAGTTGAGAAATGGGTTGTTTACAAAGGAGAGAAACTTTTTTAGAGTACAAGCAGCTGAAGTCTCAGCTCAGGAGTTGCTCTAAAAGAAGAAATGTCTTTTAAAAATTGAATTAATTAAAAACAAAGCCAGGCACAGAGGCTCACGCCTGTAGTCCCAGCACTTTGTGAGGCTGAAGCGGGTGGATCACTTGCGGTCGGGAGTTCGAGACCAGCCTGGCCAACATGGTGAAACCCTGTCTCTACTAAAAATACAAAAATTACACAGCAATGGTGGCATGTGCTTGTAGATCCAGTTACTCAGGAAGCTGAGGCAGGAAAATCACTTGAATCAGGGAGGCAGAGGTTGCAGTGAGACAAGATTGCGCCACTGCACTCCAGCCTGGGCAACAGAGCTAGACTCTGTCTCAAAATAAATAAATAAATAAATAAATAAAGGAATTAATTAAAAACAAAACAAAAAGCAGGCATAGCAAAAGGCATAGTTTAGGAATGATGATGAATGAATGTCACGTTTATTTTATTACATGCTATGCTTCCTCCCAAAGGAGAGAAGTAGTTTGTTCAGTAAGGATTTGTATTTAACTGGCAGTAACAGAGACCAGACTTCAATGTCTTAAACATCCAAGACTTATTCCCAACATAAGAGAAACTCTACCTCTGGATGCACAGGGCTCATATAGTGGTTCCTCAGAGTCATCAGAGCCCTAGGCTCTTTCTATCTCTCTGCTCTTCCAGTCTTAGGCCATGATATCCCTCTAGTTATCATTTATTCTCTCCAATCATGAAAAAGGAAAAGAGGAAGGCAAAATGAGAACCCCTCCTAGCTTAGTTAGTTCCTTTTAAGGAGCTTCTCCAGAAGTACCTGGGGACAGGGCCAGGTGCAGTGGCTCATGCCTGTAATCCCAGCACTTTGGGAGGCCAAGGTGGGTGGATCACAAGGTCAGCAGTTCGAGACCAGCCTGACCAACATGGTGAAACCCCGTCTCTACTAAAAATACAAACAAATTATCTGGGCGTGGAGGTGGGCACCTGCAATCCCAGCGACTTGGGAGGCCGAGGCAGAAGAATCGCTTGAAACCGGAAGGTGGAGGTTGCAGTGAGCTGAGATTGCACCACTGCACTCTAGCCTGGGCAAAAAGAGCAAAAACTCCATCTCAAAAAAAAAAAAGAAAAACCTGGGAACATTTTCACTTACAGCTCATTGGTCAGACCTTTGACACACGGCCACACTTAGCTGCAAGGGAACCTGGTAAGGGAATCTTTTAAGAGGAAAAATTACTGTCCCAAATGAAGTCAGAGTTCTGTTACTAGTAATAACAGAAGAGCAAGTATGGGATGGGAAATTAAAAGTCCTTGTCATACTCACATATAACATCCTTAGAGCTGATACATCATCCAAGGCTTATTCACTGCTTCCGTTTGAATTATGTGGTGTTTAAGGCACTAGCTTGAGAACCCAGTCTGCTGTGCATTATCTCAGAGTACATGGCCAAAATAAATACTTTCACACATCACTGATTGTTTCTTCATTTGAGTAGTTTAAGCTATGGAACTTTTTAAAAAAAGAGATGGGTCTTGCTAAGTTGTCCAGGCTGGAGGGCAGTGGCTATGCACAGGCATGACCATAGCACACTACAGTCTTAAACTCCTGGGCTCAAGTGATCCTCCCACTTCAGCCTCCCAAATGGCTGGGACTACAGGGATGCCACCATGTTCAGTTTAAGCTATGGAACTTTTTGTGTGCATAACTAAAGAGCAGAAAATTCCACATTACTGTTGGAGCTTACAATCATGTTTTAAACATAATTTTTAAAAAAGTTAACATTTTGGAATATTTGTGGGCTTATAAATGAAAAAAGGAAGAAATAGTAAAGAGTAGCTTCAACTTAGAAGACACTATTTCCTGCAGGGATGACCACTGTACCCTCAAATATCTTCACTGCTTGAATATCTTCACTTCTCTCTTTCATACTGCTTAACATTCCACTGGTTAAAGAGCACTTCTAAAAGTGTCATTTTTTTTTTTTTTTTGATACAGGGTTTCACTCTGTCGTTCAGGGTGGAGTGCAGTGGCATGATCTCTGCTCATTGCAACCTCCGCCTCCCAGGTTCAAGTGATTCTCCTCCGTCAACCTCCCCAGTAGCTGGGATTACAGATGGAAGCTACCACGCCCAGCTGATTTTTATATTTTTGGGTAGAGACAGGGTTTCACCATGTTGGCCAGGCTGATCTCAAATTCCTGACCTCAGGTGATCCGCTCACCTCAGCCTCCCAAGGTGCTGGGATTACAGGCATGAGCCACTGCGCCTGGCTTAAAAGTGCCATTTTTTTTAAAAAAAGAGAGAAAGTTATTACTCATTCAAAAATCTGTGTCACTTACTTTAATCAGATTGCCTTCCTACAATGATACAACTTCACTGCATGGAAGGTGTTTATCTGTCTAGTTTTTCTTCTCATTTGAGAAATAAAATATACTCAAGGCCAAAATTTCAATCTGACCAAAAAGATATACTGTATAAAATAAATCACCTTTCACCCCAAATTCTGAGATTCTTTCCCTCCATGAAGCAATAATAAGTAAACGGTTTGTGGGTATTATTGAAGAGATATACTCTGCATGCTTAAGTATACACAAGTGTTAACACACATACACATACCCACAATGCAAATATATAAAAATTCTTTTGTTTCACCCAAATGAGCATGTAGTGTGTGTATTATTATGTGCCATTTAAAGACAGAGTCTCACTCTGTTCCCAAGACTGGGGTGCAATGGGATGATCAAAGCTCACTCCAGCCTCAAACTCCTGGATTAATCCTTACGCCTCAGCCTTCTGAGTAGCCAGGACTACAAGTGCACACCACCACACCTGGCTATTTTTTCTTTTATTTTTCCTAGAAATGGGGTCTTGCTCTATTGTCTATGCTTGTCTCTATTCCTGACCTCAAGTCATCTCCTGCCTCAGTCTCCCAAAGTGCTAGGATTACAGGCAAGAGCCACCGTGCCTGGCCTGGAGAATGCTTTTCATCAGCACCTATACCCAGTACATTAAAAGAAAAGACTCTGTTAAAGTAGAAGCTTTTGGTAGGGGAAGAGAATACTGTATTTTTGAAAGACGGAGCATTTTGTTTCAATATTTTATTGTGAAGGTTATAGCAGCCTAGGGCTTATAAAGGAAAATTTTAAGAGGAAGGAAAAGGGTGGATTGACCTGGAACTCTATTGACCTAATAGCTAGCTGTGCCCAGGCCCCAAATGTAGACTGGGTTATAGATATCCTTTGAAACTTCTCTCTTCTTTTCTTTGGGAAGAAGCGGAGGTGAAAGCCTGAATAAAAGAAAATAATTTAAAAAGAACTTCTGAATTTCCCTAAGACAATCCCCACTTACGCCTATTTTCCTATGATAGTTTTTAATAGTCCCCACTTTCATCCTCAAAGTGGTCCCAGTTTGGATGACAAATCTGTGATCACTCTAGTAGTGATCACTCTAGTAGTAACTAATGGACAGATTAACTAGCTAGGATCAGCTGAAAGGATTACAAAGGTGCTCCACACCAGCTGAGGGTGGGGGCTTGTCTGGATGAGACATTGGCTCACATTTTTATGAGTGGCATGATCTGATTAAGTTAATTAACTACTGTTTTCCTCAGTTTCCTCTGCTTTCCAAAGGGAATAATAATTGCTTCAGAATGGTATTATAAACATTTCATAAAGGAATGCACGTGAGAGATTTATCTGGTTCATATTTAGGCTCAATATCTGGTTCATATGTAGGGCTCAATAAATGCAGCTATTTATATTACTTATTATTTTCACATCCCTCCTTCCAACTACTTTATTCTTTTCTTTCTTTCGTTCTTTTTTTGTTTTGAGATGGAGTCTCGCTCTGTCACCAGGCTGGAGTGCAGTGGCGCAATTTTGGCTCACTGCAACCTCCGCCTCCCGGGTTCAAGCGATTCTCCTGCCTCAGCCTCCTGAGTAGCTGGGACTATAGGCACGCGCCACCACGCCCAGCTAGTTTTTGTATTTTTAGTAGAGACGGGGTTTCACCATATCGGCCAGGATGGACTCAATCTCCTGACCTTGCAATCCACCCGCATGGGCCTCCCAAAGTGTTGGGATTACAGGCGTGAGCCACCACACCCAGCCCCAATTACTTTATTCTTACACAGCACAAAATGTTATTGATTAGGGTTTGTTTAGGTGAACAGGCATCATCTGCAAAAATGGGTCATGGTACAGCCACTTAAGAAGAAAAAAATGAGGTAAGCATAGGACCGTGATTGTTACCTGGAGGGACCTATCCCATCCCTGCCCACCCTCCGGCCCTACAGAAGAGATAAATCAGGGTGTAGTTTGAAAACACAGCAGCACCTTGTACTTCTGATTTGATTTGACCTTGGTTTTGATGTGAAAAATTTTTAAAGTTCAGTAACATTGAGAAGGATGGAAGCCTCCCACAATTAACAAAGAAGAAAGGCATTTGAGATGATAGAGAGGCACGCATTGTTGCTATCTGTATTACACAAGCAGAGTTCACAGGTATTCACAACCTGTTGATGATGGAATTACCTCAAAGAGAGGGCTCAGAACTTATAACCAATCACCTCTCAGCATATCTTACCATCTGGTGTATCTCTCTTTCTACATTTATTACTTCACCCCATATCGTCCCTTCATGACTCTGTTTCTAATACCAAACAATGAATGACAATTGTTTGCTGAGACAACCTGAAACTCCTGAGGCCTTTTAGGGAAGGATAAAGGAAGCTTGACTGAGCAGGAGTGGGAGTGGAAAGACAGAGCTATTGAAAGAGCAGGAACAGGTATTTTACTTCATATTCATTTTCTTAAAATTGAATTATGTTTCTGTGAAAAGCTGCTGTGTAAAATAACAACCTCTTTATGGTTTCACCAGCTGAGACATAAAAGACTATTTGTGGTGTGCTGTAAGATCCGAATGCAGGTGAAAATTCCCCCACTTACTCGCTATTTTAACGAAAATAAGAATAATGTTTTGTAAATAACCTGACTCATAAGGATCTCAAAGTCCTTATGTCACTGTGGTATTATATCGTCACTTTGGCTCTGCATGAGAGGGTTACAAGAGAGCTTAATTTACAATCACACTGCAGAATTTCCTTCTTTTTCTTCTTAGGTTATCAGATTTTATTTATTTATTTATTTATTTTTGGAGATGGAGTTTTGCTCTTGTCGCCCAGGCTGGAGTGCAATGGCATAATCTTGGCTCACTGCAACCTCCGCCTCCCGGGTTCAAGCAATTCTCCTACCTCAGCCTCCCGAGTAGCTGGAATTACAGGTGCCTGCCACCACACCCAGCTAGTTTTTGTATTTTTAGTAGAGACGGGGTTTCACCATGTTGGCCAGGCTGGTCTCGAACTCCTGACCTCAGGTGATCCGCCCACTTCAGCCTCCCAAAGTACTGGGATTACAGGTGTGAGCCACCGCACCCAGTCAGATTTTTTTTTTTTAATTGAAGAAAACAAAGTCTCATTTGACCCTTTGGGAACAGGATATAGGAATATTTCTGGCTTCTGCCATTACTTCTTATTCAAATAATATACAATTTTCTAAACACATTTAAAATAATGGACTCAATCCAATAAATAGACTCACCTCTGCTGCTACTACAAGTTAGTGGAAAATTCTGAATGACAGGCAGCACCACAAAAACTCCCTTTTACCAAGGTCTGCAATGCTTCTGGGTCTTCCACCATGAGAAGCTCCATGGAAGCAAGGGAAAGCCAGTTCAACCACAATCACTGAGGTGATGAAGGGGTTTACAAAAGGGGAATTCAGAGCTGAGGGCTAAAGGCAAAATGTAAAAACAAACTAGGACTGATGCTTGCCTAATACTTTCACCAGAATTTGGCCCAATAAAATGGTGATGTAAATAGAAAAATGTATCGGCACAGGTTAAAACTAAAGGGAAATGTCTTCATTCACTTTGCATCAATTCCGAATTTATCCATATAGAAAACAAGGAAGTCACATAATCCTCCTAGAGTCAAGAACACTGAGTATACATGGGAAATGATTAGAGCAAGCTCTTCATTTATGATAACAAATTACAGGAAGCAGCTGTCTAATAAATCCAAAAAAAATGTTGTTCTTATCTTGCCTGGACACCCCCCGCCTCTATCCTTATGCCAGCACATTAAACTATTTTGGAGAGTAGCAATGACCAGGAGCATGGTGCTTTTTATACATGATCTCTCATCCACACAATCACTCTGCAGAGGAGCTATTGCCATCCCTGTTTCTTCTAAAAAGAGTCTCAGTGACTGCACAAAGCCACACAACCAGGAAGGGGCCAAGCAGGGATTCGAACTAAAGGTGGTAGAAGCTAGGTGCTGTCACTAATTCACCTCATCTGTTCTTCCAGCACTCAGATCTCCTCCATACTGAGTGGAGGCCCCTGTTCCCTAACCTTAAATTTTCCTCCTTCATTGTTCATCTGATTTCCTGTTCCGGGAGGCAAATGTTGCAGTGAGCCGAGATCGCGCCACTGCACTCCAGCCTGGGCAACAGAGCGAGACTCCGTCTCAAAAAAAAAAAAAAAAAAAAAAAGATAATTATAATAATGCCTATTTGTATACCTTCTGTATTTGGTGTGAATCTGTACACCATCATGGATGCAAAAAGCATTTTCTTGTGTTTCTTTCTTTTTCTTTTTTCTTTTTGAGACAGAGTCTCCCTCTGTCGCCCAGGCTGGAGTGCAGTGGTGCAGTCTTGGCTTATTGCAACCTCCACCTCCTGGGCTCAAGCAATCCTCCCACCTCAGCCTCCTGAAGAGCTGAGACCATAGGCATATGCCACCATGCCCAGCTAATTTTTTAATTTTTGTAGAGACGGGGTTTTACCATGTTGCCTAGGTTGGTCTTGAACTCCTGGGCTCAAGTGATCTGGTTGTCTCAGCCTCCCAAAGTGCTAGGATTACAGGTGTGAGCCACCACACTTGCCTGAAAAGCATTTTCTAAACTGTAACGATTTTTTAAATAGTAATTATCATTACTTTGGACCAATGTCTGGGAATTCTAAGGAAGTCATAGACATACATGATGCAAATACATCCAGGCAGCTGGTGTCATTTTGTGACTAAGAGCAAGTGTGCACTGTGTGGAAGAAGAAATTTTTTTACCTACGGCCTAGGACAGGCCAATAATATAATTGGGATTTGGGGCAATTAAGGCAACATCAGGCAAGAACAGTATCTGGAGAAGCAATGAAAGAACCCAGTGGAAATTCACGTTTACTAGAATGTAAGCTCTGAAAGGGCAGGGTACCAGAACCGTGCCTTGCACATAGCAGCCACTCACAAAAATATCGGTTGAATGAATGAATAAGGGTGAAACGTTTTGAGTGCTCCTAATTCAAGTCCCTTACAGAGGGCAACTAAGAGAGTGGTACCAAGATGTTTGCATAAAGCACCAGCCTTTCAGGTCTGGCTTAGCTGGAAAAAATGCTAAAAACCTGAGAATTTGTTTGTTGGTTTGTTTTTTAAGAGGGAAGTTAAAATAGGCCCTTGTAGTTTGCTTTCGACTAGCTTGTCTCTCCCATTAAAATCTAAGGTCCCTGAGGGCAGACAAAAAGGCAACTGGCCTCTAGTAGGTACCCAGTCACTACTAGCTGAATTGTTGAGTTAGCTTCCTAAAAAAGTTATAAAGTCTTGGAGATACCCTCTGGAAGGCAATTCTTTTCGAAGCAAAGAAGAGGCTTCTTGACGAGTGGATGAATAACTAGCTCATGTTTGAGAACACAGCAAGGAATGTGCAGCTTCTGTACAATTGTTGACGGCACCAGGGAGGCAGAAAGTGATGAGAGAGAGAGAGAGAGAGGGAGAGAGAGGGAGATAGGAGTCTGTCCATTTGTGGTTCTTATTTATTTGGAAGATGACCGATCCACTCTTCCCAGTAGAATATAAGTAAGTACTGTTGCAGTGTCAGGGGAGAGAGGTGACTATATTTTGCTGGCCACAGGGCCAGCTCAGAGCCTGACATGCAGCCTGGCTCAATAGGGAATTGTTTGGAACTACCATTTTGGAAAATAGTTTGGCATTATCTAGTAAGACAGGCACACCCTCAGTAAAAATCCTCAATAAGCTCTTGCACGAGGGTAGCAGGTTACGTGTGCAAGGAAGCTCCTAGCAGCACTGTTTGTAACAGCCCCCAAATGCAACCAACATGTGTCTATCAATAGGATAACCAAAAAAAGTCATATATTCACCCAAGGGACTATTACACATCAAGAAAGATGATTGGAATAAATGAACTGTAGCTGCACTACTAGAAAAATGCAACACATAGAGAATGAAAGTCCAGGAAGAAAAAGCAAGCAAATAAAGCAAGGGATGGTAGAAGCTTTTGCAGAAAAAACCATCCTGGTGATACTAGATGTCTTGAATATTGAGTTTCTCAGGCTGGGTATCTGGAAGCCTCCCAACAGAATACAGCACAATTTGGAGAGAAGTAGCTAACTAATATCAGCTTATCCTTGGCCTCAATAAAACCAGTGTGGAACTCTTAAGAGAAGGATTATTAGGCCAAAGGAATATGACAAAAAATTGAAAATGAAAGGTAATAGGTTCACTCTGTCTTTGAAACTCTTACCTACAGTTTAATAAAGAAAGCTCGGTAGCAAATTCAATGAGAAATAGCTGCAAATTATCTAATATGTGAAGTTTAACTGCTTAGTTAGTCTGTTTACAGCTTTATTCATAGGACAGTTATTGAGTAACTCTCAAATTAAACTCCTTGTTTGAGGGCCCAGATACTGAAATACAGGTATATCCTAGTACACTATTGATTATATTTTTGGTGCCCAGAAAGGGTGGATCTGTTTGCCTCCTGGGTTGAAAGGAAGGAGGTATTCTAGAATTAATAATTCAAATAGGGCTGTTACACCAGGAGGAGAGAAAAGAGTGTCAAGGCGGTGCTAAGAATCTGGGAAACCTGCCAGCATGGTTTGCATGATGAGTGTGGGTAAAAATATAAAGAGAAACATGGTCCAGTGGTTGATTTGTTTCCTCTTCCTTTATAAGGGTGGTTTACTTTTAAGCAAAATTATGTGATTCTTTTTCAAGTTCTGTTAAGAACATAGTTGATAACAGATCTCTTTTAAGACCAGAGTTTCTGCAAGCATCATGCCCGACCATAAGAGAATTTGATCACTTTGTGTTTTCCTGCACCTTTCATCATGGCAGAGAGCGTACTCTGAAGATTTACATGGGATCATCTCTTCTCTGGCCACCTTGTGGAATGCAAACTATATCGCCATATCTAAAGGGGAGCCCATTACAATTTACAAATTAAAAGTCAGTGGGAAAGAACATAATCTTGGCAACTGCCTCTTGGGAAATCTTACAACTGCAAGAGCGCCATGGAAGAGCGCTTTAAATACCATCGTGTTTCATCCAATCTCCTCACAATTGTATAGGAGGGCATGTGGCCAAGGCCTTGCAGAGAAAAGGCCGGGGTGCCCAGGCTCGTGATTGGCTGGGGGGCGTGATGCTTAAGCGAGCCACTTAGCCCGCTCTTGCTTCATGAGGAGCACGCCACATGCTTCTTTGCACCTTCTTTTAAATCCTTGTGTGGTTGGCATTTGGAAAAATATCGACTGCAACCAGAAGTCGCAATCCTGATGACAGCTCCCGAAATCTCATCTTTCTCGCAGCAACATCTACTGTCAGCTCCCCACCCCTGTTACAAGAGAGCCTTCCCCACCCAAGTTGTGCTCCAAATAGAAAGAATTTCAGATGTACATATTTGGCTCTCTCCTCTAGAGGCCTTGACAAATATTCAGGTAGTAAACAGCCTGAGAGAAATGCTGCGATAAAATTAGTTCAAATATTTCCCAGAAAACAAACCTGACACCACCATGATACTTGATAGCTCAGCCTCAGCACTTTCGAACCTTTCCAAACCCCTTTGCCTTCAAAGCCCAAATGTCCTGTTTTAAATTGCTTTTATTTTTCTCCTTTCCAAACCTGATCCTTGCTACTTCCTCCTCTCAAAAAAAGAACCATATGGTAATAGAGTAGATTGTCCAACCAGGGATTTTACATTACAAATGACTACGTTGAAGGTTAATATCCAAGGTCAGGTGTCATTAATATCTATTTGAATTTTGTTCTTCTGGTTGATGATATGATCTCAGTCACCTCATTGATTTATAACATGGTAATCCCATACCATCATTCATTTTCCTGAAATTCTATTCATGGCCTGGTATCAAACCCTCTCTTTCATACCCTTTTCGTTTTGTCTGATCAGTAGCTTTACAGTCCTTGCATTTATCTCCTTCCCACAGGTCACACTACACCTTGCATCCAAGATTGTTTGATTGATTTTCACCTTCTCTTTTTCCTAAATCTTACTGTAGAAAAAAAAATGTTAACCCTTCTCTTGAGTATTTTACAGTACTTCACTCTCCAAAGCCAGTTCACATCTTGATTTTCAGGTAAGTAGCCTCTGTAAGTACATAGGCTTGCTGATTTGTCTGTATCAAATATGAGGCATTCGCTCCAACTTAGCTAAAGTTCTTGGACTCAAACTCCTAGCAAGAGCTAACAATCCTCAGGGCTCACTATGTGCTAGCCACTGGGCTCAGGGCTTTGATGGATTCTTATCTCATCCTCACAAAACTCCTGTGGGGGTTTGTGTCATTATTTCACCCACTCAGCCGATGAGGAAACTAAAGTTCAGAGAGGCTAAGGAACTTAACCAAGATCAGGCCGCATAGTAACTGGCAAACTTGGGACCCAAGCCCCACAGTCCATCTATTTACAAACCTTGTGGATATCACTAACTTTCAAACTGCCTTCTTCTAACTATTAAAGTGAAAATTTGTGGCCAGTTATTATAGATGATACAGCCATCATACAGAGGGGGTTGGGAGGCCTTTGCAAAACACATATTATTTGTAAAATTATCTCTGCACCTGGCATACCTACATACAAATATTTTTCTTATACATCTAAACATAAAATTAACTTTTAAAAAGCATTTGAAATGTCGCATATGTTAATATGAATAACACAGACAATTCTTACTTAGAAGGAAGGAAAAAAACCCACCAATATTCCTAGCAACTCAGAGACCACCACAGTTAACATTTAGGTATACAGCCTTCTTGCCATTTTTCTGAGCATGAGCACAATTTATATATTTGTAATCTTTTATAAATCACTTCTTCACAGGTATTTTCTACTTTTATGGTTGTCATCATTTCTAATATGGGATCAGAGACACAGTGGAATCTTTTTTTTTTTTTTTTGAAACAGAGTGTTTCTCTGTTTCCCAGGCTGGAGTGCAGTGGTGCAATCTCAGCTCACTGAAACCTCCATTTCCCGGGTTCAAGTGATTCTCCTGTCTCAGCCTTTTGAGTAGTTAGGATTACAGGCATGTTCCACGGCACCCAGCTAATTTTTGTATGTTCAGTAGAGACAGGGTTTCGCCATGTTTTCCAGGCTGGTCTCAAACTCCTGACCTCAGGTGATCTACCCACCTTGGCCTCCCAAAGTGCTGGAATTACAGACATGAGCCACCACACTCGGTGACACGGTGGAATTTTGATAAATGTGCTGAATCATTAGATGAAATCTAGTCATTCATTAATAATTTCATTAGGTTTTTGAGTATATATTACATACACTTGTCCAAAATTTAAATGTAGCATAATATATGTAGCAAACATCTCCCTCCTACTCCTGACTCATAAGGATACCTTGCTCTCCAGAGCTTGAAAGCCTAAGTTCCCAAATATCTTAGTACCCACAACTTAGGAGCATATGCTTGGATGAGTTAGTTTCTTAAATTCTGAACCCAAAAGAACAGAGTCCATCAAGAAACTCTGCCCCTAGCAAAAGTCCAACTTCGAAGGTCCTGTCTCCTGCCTTAGGACTCCAGGTCCTCAGGTGAGTGACACACCCTTCTGAAGAGCACTATCTTACGCTACAGGACCCAAGAATTGATCATAATACCAAGCACCACAATAATTCCCACATTATTTAAGAGATGCTCATAAAGGGGGGAGAAATATTTTTATCATGCATTCTCACAGAGGAACTCATGAGAGCCTCTTAGGGGACAAAATCAATCAGTGTTATTATTTCTGCTTTAAGCCAGTGGAATCTCTTTACTATATGCCAGTGTTTAAAGTTCAGTATGATGAATGTTAGTGCTTCTATTTTTATATATTTATTAGATTGTATAGACAAAGTACCAGCCCAGGGGAAGACAGCCTTGGAGACTGGAGGGGAATATTTTTAAATGTAGAAATTCTCAAAGTCCATTCCATAGAATATCAGCTCCTTGGTGTGTTATTAGGTGCTCCATAGCAAAGGAGGGTTCCACAGACAAATATGTTTAGAAAATGCTCATTAAAGGAAAGTCGGTTGCATTTTTAATTGCAAGACTTAACAGAACTTTTAATATCACACTGTAAACTCTGAAATTTTAAGAGGAGAAAAAATGTAAAATGAAACTGACCACAGAATGCTTTTCAAGGACTAGGGTTCCACACAGCAAACTTTGGGAAATGGTGTGAGATTCTGACAGCTTTGGCACTAAAAAGGTGTATGACTTGGGGTTAGGTGACTAACTGTTCATCACTGTGTGTCAGTTTAATCAGGTAATTAAGTAACCAACATCAACAAATTATTTTTTATACTGGCTTTTGCCAGTAACTATTAGAAGCAGATATAGAAGACCTGTGAAATCTTGGGTTCAGACGAGTGTTCTTTTCAATCTTGCTGTACTGCTTTAGAGTAGCAAGCACGGTGACATCATTTGGTACTAAAATATTATTACTATGCAACCATGAGCCTCACATTTCTCCACTTGAAACATAACTAAAAATTAAAAGCTTTTGAGAAAAGTGATTCTAAAATAAAGTTAAATGTAAGCCAGGTATTGGAGTAAAATATTTGCAATGCATATAACCTACACAATATTAGCATCCAGAATACATACAGTCATTAAAAATCAGTGAGAAGAAGAAACAAACAACTCAATGGAAAAATGAGCAAAGGATAGAAATTGAGGATTCATAAGCTATAAACATATGCCAGTAAACATATGAAAAGACTTTCTAACTTATTAGGAAAATGCAAATTAAGACAAGATATCATTTCACATCTATCAGACCAGCAAAAAATTTTCCAGTCTGACAAGGTAGGCATGGGGATTGGTACAATAATTCTTAGAATATTTTAGCAATACTTACAGAGTTAATTAAGTGTGCTTACTCTACGACACAGGATGGCCACTTCTAGGTTATTTCTTGGGGCAGTATTTTCCAATTTCCCCATTATGACACACATAGAGAAAGATAATACTCATAGAGCACAGTGGGGTAAGCCGAGGAGGCTGCTCATAGCAGGAGGTGCCCATTTAGGGGGCTGTGGTCACCTCAGGTCCCACTTCTTCTACCCAACTGTGAGGCACTGCTATACAGAATTGTATATAAGCTCTGCCCTAGAGAAGCTTATTTCTGTGTGCTCAAGAAGATGTACAAAAATGTGTACCACAGTATTTTTATCATACCAAAAGCCAAGCAAAACAAAATGAGAAAAACAACTTAGATGCCCATCAGTAAGGGAATGCATAAAAGTATTATAGGATACTACAGTTAATATTAATAGCTTGAATTACAAGGATGAGTTGCAAAAGCATAATGTTCAGTAAGAAAAGAAAAATGCAGCCAGGTGTGGTGGTATGCACCTGTAGTCCCAGCTACATGGAGGAGGCTGGGGTGGGAGGATTAATTGAGCCTGGGAGGTTGAGGCTGCAGTCAGCTGTGATGACGCCACAGAATGAGACCTTTTCAAAAAGAGAAAGAAAGAAGGAAGGAAGGAAGGAAGGAAGGAAGGAAGGAAGGAAGGAAGGAAGGAAGGAAGGAAGGAGAGAGAAAGAGAGAGGGAGAAAAAAGAGAGAAAGAAAAAGAGAGAGAGAGAGAGAAAGAGAGAGAGAGAGAAAGTAAGGAGGGAAGGGAGGGAGAGAGGGAAGGGAAGGAGGGAAAAATGCAAAAGAATACATGTGCTATGATACTCAGTGTACAAAACCTTAAAACCATCAAAAGTCTATATACCTACATAGTAAACATATAAAAATTATGAATGGGGAGGATATGACCAACTTCTAGATAGCAATTGCCTCTGGAAACGGAGGAGAGGCAGTGGGATTTGATAGTGGATGAGGAAGTCTAAGGATATCTGTGACATTGTATTTCTTAAAAAATAAAAATAAAACAAATGTGGCAATAAGTTTATGTGTTCAATCTAGGTAGTAAATACATAGTTTTAAAATACATTTTCACTATTTGTGTATATGACATGTCTTGTAATTAAAAAACAGGAATAACTAGATCAATGGTTTCAAGCCTGGATGTATATTAGAATTACAAGGAAGTTTTTAAAATTTTTCATGCTGGGGCTGTATCAGAGACCAATTAAATCAGAAACTTAAGGGTTGGGGCCTGGACATTGCATTGTTTAAAAGCTTCTCCAGTGATCATAGTGTGTAGCTTTGGATCAAGAACTGCAATATTAGATGATCGCAAAGGTTTCTTTCAAACAACATTTTCTGTTTCTAAACATTTTAATTGCAGTTTCCTCATATGGCTTCATGTGAACACAATTGTGTGTAACATGAAGTTAGGCCCTGTTAATATTCACTGAGAACTTTCCTTCTGTCACAACCACTTATCTTTTCCTGGTGCTCATGATTCTTTTGTTTTCTAGAATCACATGTTTCTCCTCTCCCATTTAAGTTGTTGTTCATCCCTCCCCCTTTCTCCTCCCACCTTTCTGAGTCCATCCCAACAAGCAATTCATCCAAGCACCACAAATTTAAGCTCTGAGTCATTCATATGCATTGCTTTTGAACATATTAAATAGATCCATATGCTTATCTATACTAAGATATAGATTTTTCCTTCAGAAAATAGAATACAAAAAAATCATTCCAATGTGTACACTTTAAATATTTTAAGCAGGCATCTAAAACGAAGCAGAAATTAAAGTAACTTGGACCAGAATTTTGAACATTAAAACATTACAGCAAATTGGTAAAACATAAACCAAATATATAGATGTCTACTTTATATCCAAAAAAGTTACTCTTTCCCTGCCATACACACAGACAACTCTCATAATGGGTCCTCCTCAATTAGAGTTGGATCACAAGCAGAACAGTAATCAGTGTGGCCTTTCCCAGCATTTCCACCCCCAAAGACTCTTTATTATCCTTCCCAACTTCAGAAATTTCTATGACATCATCATCAACCAATCAGAGCTTCTAATGGTTTGAAATAACTGATGTAGCCAGACACATTGAGTTGATATAGAATCAAAGAAATGTGACATTCTCCTTAGTCTGGGCAGTTGTGTCATGGATAAACATATGATTTCCATTAGATTTCTCAAAACACGGAAAAATCGCTTTCAGACCTTAGCACTACCTCTGAAGATACTTATTTTAGATTAGAACTACTAACTAAAGTGCCATTGTCTTAAACCCTACCAAAATCTGATCTCAGGGACAGTAAGAAAAGGAATGCTGAAATACAATATATGTCAACAGACCAGGAAAACTTCCAGCACCACTTAAAGTTCATTGGAAAGCAGACTGATGCCCCCAAAGGAAAAAAAGGCAAGCAATCATGCCACAGTTATAACAACAGACAGATCTGAGTTTTATGTGGATCCTACAGTTTTCTAAGGCATGACCTTGGGCAGATTACTTTACCATTCTAAGCTTCAGTTTCCTTATATATAAAATGGAGAAAATAAAAATACTTCCATACCTGATGCCCAGATCTAAATGGCTAATTTTGGGGGAAAGGAATGTACAAGAGAAGCCTGAAGCATCTTGCAATGCCAGAAAGTAAGGAAGGACTAAAAAAAATTGATATGTCAAAGGAATATGAGGGTAAACTAAAAGAGTAAACTCAAGTGTAAGAGTAAACTAAAAGAGCTCTCAACAGACAAAGTTGTCATAATTTGATTTTTAAAAATTTGGTACTAAATGCAATAGACTGAATTTTTGTGTCCTCCCAAAATTCATATGTTGAAACCTAATTCCCTGTGTGATGTTATTTGGAGGTGAAGCTTTTGGAAGGTTATTAGGTTATGAAAGTGGAGCCCTCATGAATGGGATCAGTGCCTTTTTAAAAAAGATCCAGAGAGCTCCCTCGGTTCTTCTTCTATGTGAGAACACAGTGAGAAGATGGCCATCTATGAACCAAGAAGTGGGCCCCCACCACACATCAAATCTGCTGGCACATTGATCTGGGGCTTCCTGGCCTCCAGAACTCTAAGAAATAGATTTCTGTTGTTTTTAAGCCACCTAGTCTATGGTATTCTATTACAGTAGCCTAAACAGACTAAGACTTTGGATTATAACCAAAAGTGAAGCACAAAATTTCTTGAGTTCATACTGATATAACAAAATGATTGCATATATAAAGAAATGGGGGGTGGAATAGACACATTTCACATACAGAAGAATATCAATTTGTACAGATACTTTCCCCTCAAAAAGGTGGAATATAACTCCCTACCCCTTAAGCATGGGCTGTGCTTAGACATTTTCTTTTAAAGAGTAAAGTATAGAGAGAAGACAGCAGGAGAGTAACTTTTTAGCGGAGAAACCTGACAAATACTACCTTGTCATTGGTTCAAACTCAATATTATCAGTGATAAATCATGATGGTAGCAGGAATCCTTTATATGATGTGATGGACACTTTATCTCTGTGGTCTTGTTAGGGTAGGTAGTTAGGCAGACAAGACCAGTGCAGGAGATGCCCCCCCCCCACCCCCCGCCCGCTTCCAGGAATGTCAGGTGACCATTAGGTGATGATCAGGTGGTTCTTAAACTGTCTCTCTAAATTAATAGTTGGTCAGAGCTGGTACCAGGGAAAGGCAGTCTCCCAATAGATAGGAAGGAAACACCTGAAGCTGGTAATCAGCAGCTTCCTGATAAGATCTCAGAAGTTGGGTGAGCAGGCTCAAGCATGTGCACTAAGAGGATTTAAATGAAATATGACTTTTCTCCAGGAACCATGGACTGGTAAGGGAAAAATGCCTCGAGTGAGCACACGTACAACTTCAGTAAACACACTGTGCATGTGGCCCCTCCAAAGTGCTGACAGGCCACTGTGCATGTGCATAGCCCACCCCAAGGGAAGAATCAGGGGAGAAAAAAAACACAGACCCTGGAACCATGCCAATGTATAAAACCCCAAGTCCAGGGCTGAACAGGACACTGAGAACTCTCAAGTTGCCTACTTGGCCCTCTTCCAAGAGTACTTTGCTTCCTTTCACTCCTGCTCTAAAACTTTTGAATAAACGTTTACTCACTTCTGCTCTAAGACTGGCCTCAGTCCCTCCCTCTGCCTTATACCTACTTCTGGCCGTCAGCTGAATTCTTTCCTCCAAGGAAACAAGAATCAAGTTTGCTGAAGACCCAGGTGGATTCTCTGCTGGTAACAGACTTCCTCCCAAAAACCCATCACCCGGTATAATCATGAGAGAAATTAAATTAAGAAACATTCTATACAATACCTGACCAATATGCCTCAAAACTTACAAGGTTATCAAAAACAAGGAAAGTCTGAGAAACTGCCACAGCCAAGAGGAGCCAAAGAAGACATAATGACTAAATATAACGTGGCATCCTGGATGTGACCCTGGGGTAGAAAAAGGGTATTAGGTAAAAAAATGAAGAAATTTGAATATAGATGGACTTCAGGTGATCATTGTCTATCAACATTGGTTTCTGAATTGTGACAAAATGTACCATACTAAAGTAAGATGTTAATAATCAGGACAACAGAGTGGAGGGTATACAGAAAACCTTTATATTATCTTTACAACTTTTGTATAAGTCTAAAACTATTCTAACATAAAAAGATTATAGACTGGGCACAGTGGCTCAGGCCTATAATCCCAGCACTTTGGGAGGCCAAGGCTGATGGATTGCTTGAGCCCAGGAGTTTGAGACCGACCTGGGCAACATGGTGAAACCCTATCTCTACAAAAAGTACAAAAATTATTCAGGTGTGGTGGTGCACACCTGTAGTCCCAGCTACTCAGGACGCTGAGATCTATTGAACCCAGGGGGCAGAGGCTGCATTGAGCTGTGATTGTGCCACTGCATGATAACAAGGTGGCAGAGCAAGACCTTGTCTCAAAAAAAAAAAGAAAAAGAGATTATTAAGAAAAATGGTTACCTCATAGGGTGGTTATTCTCATAACACCAAACTTAAAGCGTTTAGCACAGCGTTTGGCACATAGTACATGCTAATACCTGGCAACTATTATTGGTTAGCATTATTAAGCAGGGTTAATCCATGAGCTGCTTAGCAATCCATCTCAAAAGCAGAATACTCATATTACTTGAAGAAAGATCCGATAACTTCCACCACCTTAAGTGTTTATTCATGTTTTTACAAATCAACGGTCTTGCGAATCTTATCATTGTTATCTTTGCTGGGCAAGTCTATTTTCATTACCATCATTTTTCCAGCATTATTCTGTATTTAAGATAAAACTCCAAGGAATGAATTGTATTATGCCTCTGGATTATTAAACTCTCTCACCTTTCTGTGTAGAGCTCGGTAATGTTCCTTCTAATAACTTTCTTCCAATCGTGTCTCCTTAGCCAACAAATTTAATTTGTAGTCATATGATCAGAAATGTGCTGCACATCCTCCCAGTGCACTGGAACATCTTTGTCACACTGCAACATTGGCTATGGCCTAAAAAAATACATTTCACCATCTGGTGTCTGCTCACCACAATATCTCCATGTCTGGTTCCTACTTAAACTTGCATTCCTTCTACTTCATTCATTAAGCCTCTTTGACCCTGCCCCCAACTCAGATTGGAAGTCGTGTTACCCTCTTCTGAGTGCTTTGAGTACTGGAAGCACAGTCCTATACTGAAGGTTTCTGCAGGCATTCTGTGTAATCTCTCCTAGTTTGTTAACTCCCTCTGGGCTAAAGCCAACTCTGCTGTACCTGGTAACCTTTTCCACATTTAGCTCTGAGTCCAGCACATCTAGGACTCCCAGTAAACATTTATTGAAGTGATGCTAATTTGAATGTCATCCAAAAAACTAACTCAAGCACTCAAATGAGCTTGCCTACCAGGAGGATTTATCTCACTTAGCAGAGCACTCCCGAATAGGCTTTACTGAGTTGTCTGCAGAGACCATTTCCAAGAACTGATAATAAAACAAAAATAAAAATAAATGCCACTAGTGACTGCCTTATTTTCCTATTGGTTTGTTTTTGTATAATTATAATTCTTCTGGTTTGTTTATCGGAGTCAGTCATCTTTTCTTTTTCTTATTAAGGCCAGTTACAGTATTTTTGGTAAATTAACAAATACAGAAATGGTTATCCCAACATGTTCCATTCCTTCAAGGTCATGAGAGGGAATGCTAAATCAGACAAATAGGTAAAATAAGACTTTTGTTATCTGTCCATCCACCCACTCATCCATCTGTTTATGTATTAACTTATCCATCCTACTTCAATAGTCATTTACAGATGCCTACCACATGCCAGGTGTTATGCAAAACACTGCAGATGCAGGGGTGAATAAGAAAGGCCTATCCCTCAAAGAGGTCCCAATCTAGTGGGGGAAAAACAGCCAAATAAATAAATAAGTACAAATTCAACATAACAAGTGCTATTATAAGGATAACATAGGACAGACACTCTAGTTGGACATATATGCTCATAGAGTAATGATTCTTGAGCCAAAACAAACAAACAAACAAATCCCAATTATATTAGTCTGTTCTCACACTGCTAATAAAGACATACCTGAAACTGGGTAATTTATAAAGGAAAGAGGTTTAATGGACTCACAGTTCCACATGGCTGGGGATGCCTCATAATAATGGTGGAAGGCAAAAGAGAAGCAAAGGCATGTCTTACATGGTGGCAGGCAAAAGAGCTTGTGCAAGGGAACTCCCATTTATAAAACCATCAGACCTTGGGAGACATATTCACTACCATAAGAACAGTATGGGGAAAATGCCCCCATGATTCAATTATCTCCACCTGGCCCTGCCCTTAACAAGTGGGGATTATTACAGTTCAAGGTGAGATTTGGGTGGGGACACAACCAAATCATGTCACCAATCATGGGTTGTTTCATGGATTCCTTCAAATGGCTTCCATGTCTTGTAGAGGACTTGGAAGACTGGGAATGAAGCCTCACCTCTGACATTTCCTAACTGTGATCATAAACAAGTTACTGAACTGCCCTAAGTCTCAGCTGCCTTCTCTGTACAATAGTATCATTGCAGTCCTTGTTTAAAAGTTCCTGACACGGGAGATGTGTGTAAACTCTAAAGGGCTGTAAGAATATAATTAATTAGTTAATGAATTGCAATTATTATTATTATATTGATTACAAGGCAAAGGAAAATATTTTTCCCTTATAACCTCCTCTGGTCCACTCAATCTCCGCAAGAATTGGAAATTTTTGGTAGGACCAGTTTTTTCTCTTTATCTATTTAGTCAAGGTCTACATTTCTGCTTTTACTAGACTGGTGTCTGGTGGCTTCCTCAGAACCCTGGGTGCCAAGATGTCAGTGTATGCTGTGACAGAGCACCTGGCAGATTGACTTTAAGCCTCCATATGTGTGCTAGCTACCCCATCGCTGCTCAGAACAGGAGGTCCAAACAGCAGTTTTGGATGCTGTGATTTTTAGAACTCAGGTTTTTAGTCTAGTCAGATATTCATTAATATTTCGGGACAGCCAAAAAAAAAAAAAACCTAAAAAAAAAAAATCAAGAGATGCAACATCTTAAGGAAGAAAGTTTGGATCCTGTTTGAAAAAAATAGTAGTGATTGGGGGTTGGGGAGAAGGGCAGTAGTGTCCCAATACCAGCTCTGAGAGCTGGCAGGGGCTTTGTGGCCTGGATGAATTCAAAGCAAACAGGCCTACAGGACATGAAGCCACATGTTTTTCTCGTGAGCCCCACAAATATAAAGCTCCCTTAATCCACACTAAAATAAAACTGAAATGTAAGCCGGCCCCGATCTGTATGCAGCATGACCTCTTCCACCACCCTACAGTTCATTCATTCTCCAACCCAGTGGTTGCCTTGCCACGCTAATTTTACCTCGTAAAAAATTCTTCCTCATCCCTCCTCATCCCCCTCCCATATTCTTTTGACTTTTTTTTTTTTTTTTTTTTTTTTTTTTGCCACCCAAACAGCATCCCAGAATGCCTCATTTGGTGACATCACAGATAGCCATGGGTTGCTTCTGGTGTCCCATCTGTTCCTGCAGGCCTTGCCTCAGTGCGGGTGAGATATGAAGGGAGTGTTCAGTTGAGGCTGGGGTGTGGGTGGGGGTGGGGATCGGGCCTTTGAAGCTGTTTTCTATCAGGGCACTGCAGCTGTCAGTGTTGGCTGCGGAAGCCAGTGATTGTCCTTGTAGCTCCCTGTTGCCGGCAGTGCACTGTGCTTGCGGATATTAATTGGGCTTTCATTATGTGAATGAACCCAGAGGCTTTTGCAGCCGATTCCTATATCTATATTGATTTATTAAAAATGCCAATAAATAATAGCTCTCGCAAAGCAGCTTTTAATGTATTTGATAATTAGTTGGTTTATGTTTTTTTCACCATTTTTCTCCCTTTTTTTTTCTTTTTACACATCACAGCATAATAGATCACAGAATCTTTGGGACAACGAACAGGCACATTGGCTAAATCACCTTATTACACTTCCATATAGTTGAAAAGAGGCTTAATGTTAAATTATGAGATCCCAGCTATTGTGGAAACCAAGAAAGAATAATGCTCCAAAATAACGACTGTGGCGCCTCTGTGCCACTCATTGTCCCAGGAACTGTTGGCACGCCTCCCATGGGAGCTCTCCATTGAGTCAGCCGTCCTCTGAAATGAACAGTGGGGCCCAAATTCAGGTGGGGAGCCTCTTTACTTTTTGGTGTATTATAGGCTATAAGATATCTTAGGACCTGGGCTTTGGGGAAAAAAAAACAAACCCAAAACCCTTATATTACATTTGTGTGTAACTGTGGGAAAAATTGGCACACCCCAAATTCAGCATGTCACAGGAGACTTCAGCACCCAGGATACTATATATTATCCCTCAAAAAGTGGAGACGAAAGGAGAAATTGCTCATTTGTTTCATTTCACTGAAACTTTTCAAAGGAAGAAAAGATGTTCATTAAAAGTTAACAGTGAGGCAGTTTTGCTGAACTCCTAAAGAAAATGTCATTGTCACAGGAGCCTGTGACCCAGTATCATTCTCTGTAGCTGAATCTAAGGTGCCTGTGGTCTTTGAGCCATTAATGGAATTGAAAAAGAAGAGAGGTGCCCCAAGAATGTGGGGATGCAGATGGATTTGGGAGGACCATTGTTATAGCCTGCATGTCATGACTTTATAGGAAGTAAATATAATTTGGATTCTAAAAACTAAGTAGGATAAGAGATCCTAACGAAGCTCTTCCTTTCAGTTCTGGGAAGAGGAGTTGAAATTGATTTCTTTATAATAAATGATTTATGTCCAATTCTCTCTCTCTCTTTCTTTCTCACTCTTCTTCTTTAAGTAAAAAGCCCACTGATATTAGATGGGCAATAGTGGAAATATGGAACAAATGAGAAAAAGCAAAACTGAACCTTAACAAAATTGCTGTTGTCATGTTCAACTATAGGTTGTTTCTGCAGTGTTACATATGGTTATTTCTAATGCAGTCTCTGAGAAAAACAAGCAAACAACTGTGTTTCAGGTAAATATGCAAAGATAACTGTGTATTTGTGCCATTGGACAAATTCTTCTTGAACAGCTTTATGCAGTTAACAGTTCAGTGATGACAATGGAACTTTAGGTAGCAAATATAATAACTAAGTGCTAATTTTGGAGAAAACAATCCTTGTTTCTGACTATTTAATATGGCACTTCTCTTTATAAACTGTAAAATGGGTAAAGAATAAAAGTATCCCTTTATCCCCCCCAAAAAGATTCAGAAATTATTCACAAGTCTTTATCTGGCCCAAAACTAAGGACCCAGGGTCATTTTAAGAAAACCATCACATTCCTATTCAAGACCATATGAAGTCATGCTTATTACTTTGTAACCATATTCTCTTTCAACTTAATAAGAGAAATAAAAAGACAGCCAGCAATATCATGCCTAACCTTTACCCCACTGAGGTGTTCTGACATAGTAGCTATACAAAGACACCATTATTAATTAAGGTATGTTAATAAGGAAGAAATAATATTCCATTCAGAAGGGTACAGAGAAGATATAATGGGTACGTGCTGCTTTTCAGAGAACCAAGATAAAACAGAAAAGTGACACATACGGAGGAGATGGCACCATACTGTCATTCTGGTTTTCTCATGTCGCCTGGGTGGTTTCCTCAGCAATATAACATTTGTAGTAATGGCCTCCATTCATTTAGTGCCCACTATGCTCCAGGCTCCATGTAATGTGCTCACATATATGAATATTTCCCATACTATTGAGTTATATTACTGGAAATGTCAAGACCAAAGGCTGCTTATTGATTTTTTTTAAGGGCTTAGAGTGGGGTAAAATAGTAGAGGTATAAAAAAACAAAGAAAGATACTTATCTTCATTTCGTGGATTATTTCTCAGTTTTCAGTTTAATTTCTCTCTCAACTAACCTTGCAGAAATTTAGGGCCTATGGGAAGGGGATTAACTTCATAATACCTATGCTGTTTCTTTTCCCCGAAACATCTACAATTTATCCCCCAGCTTCTGTATTATTTCTGTTACCATTTCCAAATAATCCTTATGCCAGCTCTGAAAGTTCACCTCAGTAGTCGCTCTACATTGGAAAACCAGCCCTGCAACAGGAAGGACCTTCTCTAGAGCAGCCATATTTTCTGAACCCCACACTGAGACACATTGTCTAAGAAGTTGGGACCTATTTGAAAGAAAAACTGGTTAAATTTGTGAAATTTAGACTCACAGAAAATCCAAAGCACAGAGTTGACATTCTTTTAGGAATCCCAGGGTTACATTTCAGAACTGCACAGCAGACAACCCAGAAGTCCACAGACACTGGGATTCTTTCCATACTCCGAACGGATTCCCGACAAGAAGCCTGTAGGCTCTGCTTCTGCCATTTGCGCTGTTTTAGAATGTTTGCTCCAGGTCACCGAGTACCTTAGCAAACGCAGCTTCATAGGAATGAACAGGCAGAAGGTCCGAAGAGTTTGAGGGTGACTGATGGATCTTTATGGAGCAGAGCAAGCTGTTAAAAACAAAATAGAACAAGAACAAAGGGGTCCTGTACACTCGAGGAGTTTACTCCACTAACAGTCTTGCTCCGACATGTGAATCTTTTAGATCGGTGTCAGCTCAACAGTGATATTCTATGAAGTCATTCAGTGTAGGCATTTGATCATCTAGACCTGTACTGCCCAATATAGTAGCCCCTAGCTACAGATGACTACTGAGTACTTGAAATGTGGCTTGCATGAATTGAGATGTGCTATAAATGCAAACTATATGGGAATTTCAAAAACGTAGAACACATAAAAAAGAACACAAAATATATAATGTACAATTTTTTATATTGATCACATGTTAAAATAATATTTTGAATATATGTTGTTGGAATTAATTTTACCTTTTCACTTTTAGAAATGTGGCAACCAGAAAATTTAAAATTACAAGTGTGACTCTTGTTTAAGGCTCACATTATATATTTCCATTGAAAGCACTGGTCTAGATAGTTGGATGGAATAATAGGACACGATGTTATAGGCCAAGACAAGTCTTCTGAAATTATCTTTGCTTTGTTCTTA
This sequence comes from Homo sapiens, assembly GCF_000001405.40. Lineage (NCBI taxonomy): Eukaryota > Metazoa > Chordata > Mammalia > Primates > Hominidae > Homo > Homo sapiens. Next base: position 14,399,365 of record NC_000009.12, read on the forward strand.
ATTTTGCAGCTGACATTAACACAGGAATTCTAAATAAAGTATGAAAAGATGTTTTATATGAATACTTTTTTTGGTATAAATGTATTTTTATTAGTGAGTCTCTCTTTTAGTTAAAAATAGGCAAAAAATTTGCAAGTAATCAAAATAACAGCTTGAAATAAAAAATTACAAATACCTACCCTTTGGTTTTTAATTTTTAACGTTGCAAAGAATTATAAATAATGATTGATTTTGTCTCCCTGCCCCCAGAAGAGTTAAGTTTACTTAGATTTGATTTTAAAATTCTTGAAAGCCAGAAGTCATGTTCAAGTGAAAAATAAAAAAGTCAGCATTAGGCATCTGGTTATTATAGTCTTTACTTTGAAAGAAATAAAATACTGCAATATTCAGTGAGAGTTGTTTAAAAGTTGCATATATCTTCTAGGTTGTATTGCTATTCTTAATAAATCAAGAAAGTTCTTGTGGTTTGAGTTAAGCAACTTGGTAAAATAAGTATGTGACATTTAACTTAAGCCACAGAGTATTGCCCAAATGCACTCTTGTCCCTGGCCATCTCTCAATGTTCAGATTCTTTTATAACATGTTGAAATCATCTTACATGACAATTTTACCTTGGAGTACGTAACAGCTAATCAGCTGTAACAAACAATACTAGATCAAAGGCAAAAACACACATTTTTCTTCACTAGTAAGTCCTGGACTTTAAAACTTCAATAGCAATTTTAAAGCATGTCTTCATAATGAATAGTGTATTGCAAGCAGCAGAATGCATTCTCAACAGTAGCTTTATGTTCTGTTTACTTAAAATCGTTCCATATGCACTTATGATAAATTACTTAATCTTTAAACATAAAATGTCTTAACTCAAGGATAAGATTCCCACTCAGTAAATGCACAGGGATCCTACTACTTCTTAATCAGAAAGCTAAAAATATGTGCATTCAGAAACGATGTTTGCTGAAGTACTTGCAAGCCTAAGCCTCTTCATTCTAAAAGGGATATATCCAAGGCTGACACCAAGGAGATGACTTTGCAGAATAAAAGCTACATGTTTTTCCCGTTAAATTTTGTTTTGTTTTGTTTTTTTGACCCAACTTTGGATTGTTGAGGCATCAGGTAAGAAGCTGTAAAAACATACATTCTATCCATGCTGAGTAATATACAGGTCACAGCTGTAACTCAAGTTAAGCCACCAGCTAAGAATAAAAGCACAAGAAAATAAACCAACCAAAATCGAAAGCAAACAACATGCTTATCACATAATAACTATTGAATAATGCAAATATTAACAAAGCAAACCAAGCAGGAGGCCTCCATCTCAGGAAGAAGAAAAGCCAGCAAATGGAAGGCAGTGATTGGGAAAGCGATAGGCTCTTCCTCCTCGTTCATTATTGAGAAAAAGTGGATCAGGACTGACATCTGCTGGCCTTGCTAATGGGATGTACCCATTGAAACAAGGGTCTTGGAGAACAAAACATTCTGGTGGGGTGATATTGCATCACTGGCGTAGGGAGGAGGCAATGGCTTGGCAAAGGCCTTTCTGGTGAGCCACTTCCGAAGTAGCCAATCAGCGACCACTCCTCGGGCCAGAGTAGCCTCAGTTTTTCACCCTCTTTGATATTTCACCCTCATAACCAGGAATGTTTTTCTAATCATCCCAAGAAGGGACAGAATATTATGTAGGTGGATTTCTACTTAGGATGACACAAGTTCCAAGAAGTAGTGGTTAAGTAGATGCTCAATAGATATGACAGACAATTCCAAGTCTTTATCAAAAGGCTCATTGGAGAATAAACTACTTGAAAAGGCTCATTGTGTGTCTACCCATTGACAACCTCAATAGCTTTCAGCAGTACCACACTAGGGATCAATCAGCCTCTTGACATTCACTGAGTCAATGTCCTGAATCTGTTCAACTTTTGTCAATCTCTCTTCTACCTGCTCTATTTTCTAACTGAAATCAATCTTGTGGCACAGACACTGGGTTTGTGAAATTTTGTCCTCGTGAGGCCTTGCTTCCAATCTCTGGGGTCTTAGTTTTCTAAGCACAGTACTATCCATCATTGGGAAATACCAGTTCACCATCGGCCTGGAAGCTACAAGAAACCTAGGGCAGCGTCTATCTTACTCAAGTCATCTTCTTGGCACCTAGTACAGTTCCTATCCTATAAATAGTTACTCAACAAGTATTTATTGACTTACTTTGAAAGTTAAGTATTCTATATTCCCTTATGTTGCTTTTAGGAATGCAATTTCTGTACCGTGGATCTAAACAGAGCCTAGTGGTCTAGTGTTTAATTAGAAACACTAGTTTTAATTGGAAATAAGCAGTGATGCTGAGTACTTTTTGGGCCTCCCACCAGTGCCCATCTCCATGTCATTTTAATCTTATCTCTTATGGGAGGCACATCCTAGGCTTTGTAATAGTAAGCTTAGGTCATGAGTTATACAGAAATTCTTTTCCAGAACAATCCCTAATGTGCTTCATTTCAATAATAAAAGTGAGACTGGTGGGCCAGAAATCTTTTCCCTACACCTTTTGCTTATATGAATGTCAAAGTACTGTCACAAGTATATATGACTGCTGTCTCTTTCAGTTAAATACATATGTATGCCTCTTAGTGTACGTGTGCATGTACCCCTGGACACAAACAACTTATTTAAAAAAATTCTTTTTACAAGGCATATGGAAAAATTGAAGCCTGGAAAATTTTCCCCAGAGACAGAAGGGGGAGAAAGCCTGAAACTTTGACTGCCAGAGCATGAAAGAGACATACTGATCACACATTATCTTTAAAAACACTTGCAAAAATCATCCGGCTTAGATGAAGCTGGATGAAATTGATCCAGCAAAGCTGAATTACATTGCCACCTCAAACTACATTTTGGGAGGCAGAGGCAAACTAGTGCATATAAATCATTAGCTTTAAGGAGAAAATTATTAGCTTATGTCAAAAACTCTGCAAATCCCATTTTCTCTTTTCACCTTCTTTGAGACTCTGTACTTTGCTTCCAGCTTAAACAAAAGAAAAATGAACAGTTTCAGTTTGCTTAAATACAGTTGAAGTAAAGGTCCTTTTTTTAATTATGAGGAAATAATTCTGAGTATTTTTTGTAGTCATTAATGTTGTAATGGGATTAATAGTTTATATATATTTGTAAGATTCTCTAAGCCTTAGGATTATTCTCAGATTTAAAAAAATTAAGATTGTAAAAGAAAACATCAGCCTTAAATTATTGGGTACTACCATCTCAATATTTATAACTCATTTCAACAGTTTTATTGAAAACATGTTCATTTACATTTGAAAAAATTTGAAGGGGGAAATAAAAATCATCCTGCTCAAAAACTTTGCAAAGCATTTTGCTTTTTATATACCATGGTAACCTAATAAAGACACTGTCACGTGGCAGATGGCATGGTATATTAGCCTTGAAATGAAACACTAGATGCCAAAACTATTAACTCCAACGTGCTCAGAAATTTAAAAAATAATACTTTTTAATAATTTTTTAAAGCAATTAGCTTGTCTTTCATCTTATCCTGCAACAAAAAGTAGTCGATTTCTAAAAAGGAAAAAAGCTCCAGTGCTTACTCAAATATGATTTGCAAATACAGTACCAGGAGGTATTTGAAATACTGAATCTGGACTGGAGCATCCAGGCTAATAGTCTCAGTCCTATTTACAATCATTTTGGCCGACATGTACAGACTCTCCACTTATGCATTGTTTGAGCAGAACATTTCTTTTGTCCTGTTCTTGCACCTTTATCCCAGCCCCTTTTCAAACACATAGTTTATACAGGCACCTGGCTCTGCACTCTTAAAATCTGAGCATCTACGGCTATGAAACGATGTAAAAGGGGTCTGATTCCTCAGGCCAAGATGAGCCATGTTCAGAATACAGCCTTGTCTCTTTAAGAGACGATAGGTTTTTGCAGGCAGCCTCAGCAGGCAAGGCAGGGCATCTGTGCCAGGTGGCCATGCTCCCGGATCCCTGTTTTAGGGTGTAATAGAAGAGACAGAATACCCCTTTCCCAGAAATTTCCCTTTTTTGTGGTGCCCAACATCCATATTTTGTAATTTTCAGACTCTTAATTCTAAATCTAAGTTATACTGGAAAAGAAAGCCAGATTCTCCCTCTCCTCCCCTCCCCTCCCCTCCTCTCCCCTCTTCTTTCCCATTTCTCTTTTTTCCTAAAGAGCTCATTGAACATATAACTTTTTAACCTCATCTAAATCAGGGCAAATAAACTGAGACATGGTAATGCATGCCATAGTTTTTCTTATGAAAATAATACAGGATGAAAGGAGATTTTCTTGTTAGAGAGGAAAGGATTAAACATCTTTACCCTGTATTAGTCGGTTGTCTTTTAAAATATTGTCATGTAATATCAGTGCCACTTAAAATCTTTGGAAAAGCAAATCTTTCTCTGTCAAAGAGATGCCATAATTCACATTCCCAGGAAGGAATTCTATAAGAAAAGGAAACAAACACAAATTCTTATAAGACATACTCAAGGCCACTAGCCTACTAAGGAAAAAGAAGCACCTCAAAGAGATCATTCCAAATATATGGACCAAGAACATGAATCTCTTTGGATAAAAAAAATTAACTTTCAGACTTAAATTTCAGTATATCCTTCTGAAAGATAAAATGGAGAAAACCTGAAAAATAATTTTTGGCAATGTGTACTGGTCTTTCCTCCTATCTCTGATTTTCATGGACTGTATTATATAATTAAAAGAATACTTCTATAGTCAGAAACTAGGCAGGAGACACTCCTGTGGTGTGGTCCATCTATCTAATATTGAAGCTCTTTTACTCTTATTCCTGTATTTAGGTTTAAACAACCCCTACCAGCTATCAAAAATGCAAGAAGGAACAGAAGCATAGGTGAGCATATCTACCACCCCGAGGATTCTTTGATTTGGTAAACATTTATTGAGTGACTACCAAGTATCAGGCACTATTCTTGGCAGTGGGATGCTGTGGTGAGCAAGACAGCTCTAGATGAAAGCAAACCTTCAGAAATCTTGATGGATAGGAATCAAGACCACATGCATATACATATACAGAATAAAGTCGGCCACCTCCTACTTGTTCAAAATACTCTTTCCTACCAGCTTGCCATTGTTGCTGAAATTTCCATCATGAAATTGTTTCCTTTGATTTAGTTTGATTCCCCATGTTTATTTGGAGACTCTCTCACCTTATGAGTTACGATTGAGGGCAGAGTCTACAGCTCCCTGTAGAAGCTAAAAATGCAGACTTGTTTTCCCAGGCTTTAGTGCAAATAAGGGAGTAGGCCTATGACCTAAACTCTACAAATCTGCTTTGGGCTTTGACTTGGGAGCTAGTGAGTTAAAGAGACTAGGACCATGGAGAACCTATTCTAGCGTGGATGGTGTGACAGTAGCAGCAAGATTGTCTTCTAAGGGGCAGCAACATAATGACAGTATCTTGTTTGGATGCTGGAGGCATTGGTGGTGCAAGCTTCCGTGTCCAGCCTCCAGCAGCAAAAGGGGTGTTGTCCTCACTCATCTGTTGTTTGGCATGATTTTGGCTGAGGTTCCAGTTTACGGAAGAGACTCCGTGTAGTTTTTTACCTATTTTCCTTTCCTGCTGGGCATACAACTGTACTGTATTTTTCAGTCTCCCTTTTGAGTTAGGTTTGACCTATTACCAGAGTTCTGGCTAATAGTTTGTGGTTGATAGAAATAGATATCACTTCAGGTCTGATCCATAAAGTCCTCCCACTGGATTCTCCATAATCTCTCTTCCTTCAACTATCAGCTGGCTGGTGATGCCCAGTCTAACCTTGAAGTCACATTTAAATATGGCACAGCCTTCATCAGCCTGAGTCCCTGAATGGTTATAGGGAGCAGAGCCTCCTCACCAATTAGATTTTAGTGGATGAGAAAAAAACTTCTATTGTATTATGTCATTGAGATTTCAGGAAATCCAAATAACAGCTAGAATTTCCATAACTAATGTGCACATTCATTCCAGAGTGTGGAATGTTGCCATAACAAAAACCTAAAATGTCTGGCATCAGCTAAGCAACGAGGATGTGAATGGCAGGGAAACTGACTTTGGAGGCTGGAAAGATGAAGATCTATGTTATGCGGTGGCAAAACCTTTGATAAAACTGCCTCTTGCTATAACTCAAAAGACAGGCCAAGTGCATGCTGATTCTTTAGCTCTAGGGAAAAGGGTTGGAAAACAGAACGTTAGTAGCAATTTCCAAAAAAAATGGATGAACTCAGGCAAGGATTGGCTTGTTTTCAAGCAAAAATGAAATGGAATGTCAGAAACTAGAGGTGTTGAAAAGTTGGAAAAATTGACTGCTTCCAAAAAAACAGTAGGAAATCAGAATGAATAAGACTCAGCCTTGCAGCTAAGAACAAATCAAGGGTGAAGTCTTCCTATTTAGCCCCGATGGGTTCAATACAGTAGACAGAGAATGAAACATGAAGACTTAGAAAGCAAGAATATAAATCAGGCCTAAGAACTATGACTAGGGAAGAACCTTGGATATGCTTTCTAGCACATGAAGTTGATTGGAAGTAAATATATTAGAAATCTACTAGGTTTTTGAGGGAATTGTACTGCCAAAGAAACCATAAAGTTAGACTAAAGCATACCTTTGATTATTAAAATAGGCTTTGGGCCACCAAAGTTATACAGCCTCCTAGGAGGGTGTATTTTCCTTCACTCATATTACAAGTGGCCAAGGAGGAAAAGGACAAAGAAGAAACTTTTACATAGTGGATCCAGGAGCTATGAAGACCAATGGACAAGGGAGTTTCTCTGAGAAAGCAGATCTAGGACCTATTCCAGAAACTTTCCTCACTCCCAGAGCAGGGTTTTCATAACGTCTTTCCCCCAGTAAAATATGACACCTTCACCAGTGACTGCTATGAGTCTTCTCTTTTTCACAAGGGTATGTTTACTGCAATTATTTTGTTCTTGTCCCACCACTCTAGAAGGGATGTGTTGGGGAGGAGGCAGTAGGTAATTGTCCTTCTACTTACAGATAGCTGGGCCATGGTGAGCCATGAATCTGGACCTGATGGGGAAGATGGCATCCCTAGAGAATCTGGACATAGAGCCTAACTCAGTGAGTAGACAGTGCTTTGAGTTCTCTTTCTTGGGGAGTGTGTGATTGTGCTGTGTGTAGAAGGAAACATGACACAGATCTTTGGCAACCAGAAGGATAGGCTGGGGCAGAGACAAGCTAGCTGTTCCTCTTTCTTACTAGGTGGTATTTCCTCTCTCATAGCTAGGTGTGGTCACGTGACTAATTTCTGCCCAATGAAATGTAGACAGAAGTGACGGAGGCTGCTTCCAGTCTTGACCTATAAAAAAGGTGCACATGGACTGTGTCTCCACTTGCTCTTTTCCCCTCATCTGGTGACAGAATATTCAGGTCAAGGTGATCCTGGAAGTCCAATGTTGAAAACATTTGTGGTCTTGTCAGTTTGACCTCTTTAGCGATTACGTAGAGCAAAGCCTCACCTTCTTTCCCTCAAACACCAATTGAACTGTGAGTGAGAAATACATATTGTTTTAAGCCATTGAGATATCATGGTTTATCTGTTAATGCAGAGATTGCATCAGTATTAAAATTAATAGTAGGGCTGCCTTATCTTTATTTCTGCCCATTTTCCAAGCCTCATTCTGTGGCCCTCTTGGCAACCCTGTGAGCTCCCAAATGAATATCCTTTCAATTTATTTATTTTCTATTTGTTACCCAGAATTGGTTTTTCTTGCTCGCAACTAAAAAACCTTCCTCGACACAGTCATTGTAAAAGTTAGGTTAAATAATGCCCTTAGGATAATGCCAAACATCTAACTAAATATTCTGCAAATATTAAACTTTCCTTTGCTTTAACTGGAAGAGCCAGTTTAATACTTTCATATGAGTCAATAATAAAGTCCATAATAGAATCAAATATTGTCTCAATGCAAATCAGACTGTTTTTGATTAACTGGCCAGTTATTTAGCATTGTCTTAAGGAAAATCTTATCTTATTGGTAAATTGTGATGAGACAAGGAGAGAAAGTCTGTGGTGTTACCGAACTGGGCATAGGTCTGAGGAGGGTCCATCAGGTGCACGCCTCTGTTCAAAACGGAGCTTAACTCAGATGAGAATGAGCAACAAAGGAGTTAGAGGATAAACAAACTTCATCTATGCAATTTTCCCCAAGGAAAACATGAATTAAAGATAATATATAAAAATTCAGATAGTGTGGAATAAACATTTCCAAAGGAGAAGGCCTGTGGTGTAAGTTTGTCTGCACCAAAAAAAATTTACTTTTTATTTTTATTTTTAGAGACAGGATCTTGCTTTGTTGCCCAGGCTGGAGTGTGGTGGTACAATCATAGCTCACTGTAACTTAAACTCCTGGGCTCAAGCAATTGTCCCACCTCAGCCTCCTGAGTAGCTGGGACTACAAGTGTGTACCACCGTGCTCATCTAATTTTAAAAATTTTTGCAGAGACAGGGTTCTCACTGTGTTGCCTCGGTAGGTCTTGAACTCTTGGCCTCAAGTAATCCTCCCATCCTTGCCTCTCAAAGCCCGGGGGTTACAGGCATGAGCCACTGTGCCAGCCCAACAAAAAAATTTTAATGCACAAAATATACCTGTAAATAAGTAGAATTATACCTTCACATTTGTATTCTAAATGAAAAGGTTTAGTTAGTTTCAGGCCTAGTTTCAAGAAATTGCCAATTATGTTAGCTCCAGTAGTGAAAGTATATTATAAAGATGCACATGGCAATAAGGGACATGGAATCTTCCAGAAATCCAATAACATGAGCCACGGGAGCTGGGCCTCATGGATCTGGAACTGGAAGATCATTAAGAGTCTAAGTTTAGCTCTCAAGCCTCTTTTTATTTATACAGATATACCTGAATCTGTATATCTTTATTTTCATTCTAAACCATGAACCTATTTCAGCCACTTTTTACATCTTTATTGTCATCAACTATGAGTAGTTCTTTTCATATTTGTATGTTCAGATTTCCATTATCCCTAGGGTATGACTTTCTTCCCCATGGTACCATATGGTGAGTAGAATTCTAGCCATCACACCCAAGTTTCAGAGACCACAATGGAGGCGGGAATACAGAAAAAAAGGGGACAAAGGGAATTTGCCAACTGTCACTTGAAGATTAATTTCTGGATGTGATTACATGATGCATCTGTTTATATCACTTGATCCCAATTTATTCATGGGAGGCTGAGAAATCTTATCTTTATTTTGAATGGTCATGGGTACAACGAAAGTTGGATGTTTTATTAGTGTGGAAAAAGAGTAGAAAAGATTTTGAGAGATAAGAAAAAATTACAATAGAATCAGAGGGGAAAAGTGGTTCTTAGAATAATTTTTATTTTATTTTATTTAGCAAATACACAGTACTTATTAGGTTTCAGGCATTTTTTAAAAGTGCTTCATAAATATCATTTTTTTAATCCTCATAGCAACCCTGTGAAATAGTTGCTATATTATCCCTATTTTGCAGGTGATAAAACTGAGGCACAGAGAAGTTAAATGATGTGCCCAAGTTACATAGCCAGTAAATGGCAAAATCTGGGTTTAAACCCAGCCAGTCTGGTTTAAGTACTGCCAAGAAATTGAGAAGTTACAGAAGTGTATGCCTAGTGATATACTGGTACATGTTTAAAAACTGGTTCTGTGGTGGGGAAGAAGCCCAGATTTTTAGTGTTTGTTGACATGCATGCTGTAAACATTTCCATCATGGATAAATAACCTCGAGAACATGAATAATAATAACATATAGCCAAATAACTAGGAAGTGATGAGTTTTGAGTATTTATTAGCTTGCTTTTCATATAATTTATTTAATTATAAGCTTATATAATTTAATTTTTAATAATGGCTGTTTAACAACTGGCTGGCAAATTTCCTGAAAATTGAACTATCTGTTCTTATGAGCAGGTGCAAGCCAGCCTCAGCACAGAGCTGGTGCTCCCTGTCTAGAGATGAAGGGTGTTAGGAGCAGGGGAGGGTTCACAAACAACCAGCCACACGGCTGGATTGCAGTTCTACAGTAGGATATCCAGGAATGCTAATGCCTGCCCATGCCATCCTTCACCCCTGGCCCAGGCAGCAGCAACAGACGGCTCTTTCTTTGAAGGGAGTACTTCTAGGGTTAGAGAAGACAGGGCAGTGCCCCATGAGGAAAGGGGAGCGGCAACACTCCGAAGGCCAGCCACTAGAATACTGTCTATGACACAGCTCACCTTTCCCCACTTTTGCTGAAAAAGTAGAAAGAAAAGTTAAGTAGCTTCTTCCTCTACTCCAACAACATAGTTGGGAAGGAGGAAGACAAACAGCAATCACACAAAGAAAAGAACTTATATCTCAAGAAACCAGTTAAAATAGAATTGGACTTGAAGTATAATTAATATCTTCAGTCTGATAAGAGAAGGTATTATAAACAATTAAAAGAACAGATGGTTAAGAAAAGAACTAATTAGGGATTTAGGATATGAAAAATTGATGTTAAAACCTGTTGCTAAAGCAAAAGAATGAATGTTCAATATTATGATTTGGAAACACAGATAAGTTTATCACCCAAACTTTAGTACTACTAGCCTTTTCATATACACTTGTATCTTTAACAGGAATGTCTTTTATGTGCTCTAGGGATATAGGGGGTGAGGGGCAGGTTTCTAAAGTCTGTAACCGTGTTAAGTCATTTTAACATTTAAAATTCAGCCATGCATCAAAATACAGTAAGTGACATGAGACAATCCTACCCTTCTCTGAGTTTCTTTCTTGATACCTACTATTTTCCAAAAAAAAAAAAAACTTTTCCAAAAAAAATCATTTTCCAAATGACCAAGCAGATTCTGGATATTGTTATATGTTTGCAATCTTTGCATTTTACTTCATAGCTCCATATTTTCATATTTTGCCCCACTGTAGCCAATATTTCAGTTGTCTGAGTCCTACTGTTGGGCTCTGTTATACCGTGTATCAATTGTCTTACATTTTGAATCATTTATTGGAAAGGGCCTAATATTAATGCAAAGGGCAGAGTAAACTACTATGCATAAGGTAGAAGAGGTTAGGAGATTTGGGAAGAGTTACAGTTCATCAGAGCATGATTACCTTTGCCTCTGGTAACCTCCTAAAAATAAAAGGGAAATGAAAAAGTACTTTAAAATCAGCCTTGCCTTAGATTGTGGTGGAAGAAAGTTGAGAGTGATTCAGAGAAAACAAAGAGGTTGAAGGTTATGAGCAGAGAGAAAGTACACTTGAGTCTTCTGATAGATGCTTTCCTGCTCTCCTGGGAGCATCATACTCCTTTTGCCACTAGTTTTGACACGAAACAACTCCCACTTTCCTAAACATGAGGTCTCTCCTGTGCTCTGGGGTCTACAGTGCTTGGCTCAGTGACCAAAGACCCAGACCACAAATGCACACAGAAAATGATGAATTTAAAATTCAGACTCATTCATTTCCTTCTCATTTCTATTGATACAGGGAATATAAATGTTAAAGATAATCAGTCTCTGAGATTAGTCTATTGTCAGAGTTCTGTTACCTTTGACACCTTGCAAAGGTCAGTATATTTTCCCTTGGAAGAAATATGTCAATTTTTACCAAACCCCACAATTGATGCTTTAAAAAAATCTCAATTAGTGGTAAGTAAAAAGTCAAATTCTTGTAAATGTGTTTCCATTTTGACATAGTTGTAAAAATGAGCAAAAATATTAAGATGTTATTTCATTTAGAAATCTTCTAAGAATCCCCAACCTTCAGACTTCCCACAAAGTCACTTCTTTTCCCACAAAGACAAAAAGAAGTTTCAGTGGACACACATTACTGGATATTAGCAATTTTGGTTGGTCATCTGGTACTTTTACTGACGTTGAATTTGTCTCTACATTGCACCAGTAATAATGATACAAATCCGGTACATTTATGACCCATACAATTTGTCGATTGATCTATTACAGAGGTCTTAGTCGAGTTCAGATAAAGCTCCTCATGCAGGGGGGTGTGGCTCAGAGTGGCCAAGGAATTTAGTATATTCTCATCCCACTTTCCTCCTGGCTTAGAAAATGATAGGTCCTGAGACTGGATGAGCCCAATATAAGGGCACCTGGCCATCCTAAGCATCCAAAGAAGGAAAGAGATCGTGTCAGGAGAGAAACCACCCCTTGTTAGTGGATTGAGAGCTACTGCAAATCTTCATGAGCCACGGAACAATACCAGGGCTTGAACTCTTTTCCTCCTGTGGCCTTCGTTTCTGTTGGGGTCCTTCTCTCATGCACCTAGACTGGATGAGGATGACCGTCTCCATGACAGTCCCCAATAAACCCCCATCCTGGTATTTATGCCCTGTGTAATTCCCTCCTACACTGTATTAAGGCTGGTCTGTTACCAATAGAATACAGCAGAATTGATGGGAAGTCACTTCTGAGACTAGGTATAAAAAACACTGTGGTTTCTGTCTGCTCCCTCTCTCTAAGGTTGCTTGTTCCGATGGGGAGGCTAGGGCAGGGCGTGTTGTGAGCAGCCCAAAGAGAGGCCTATGTGGTAAAGAACAGAGGCCAACAGCCACGTGAGTGAGCTTTTTTGGAAGCAGATCCTTCAGCCCCAGCCAAGCCTTCAGATGACTGCAGCCCTGGCTGACACCTTGACAGCAATATCATGATTGACTTTCAGCCAGAACCACCCAGCTAAGCTACTCCCTGACTCTTGACCTTTAGAATCTGTATGAGACAAGAGATATGTATTGTTTTAAGCTACCAAGTTTGGGGGTAATTTGTTATGCAGCAATAAAGTACTTACATATGGTCTTAGATTGTCCTATGTGTTCCCACATAATGTATTGTTCTGAATGGCAATCACTCATCCATGTGTCTGACTCTCCCATTGAACAATTTACGCTTTCAGAAAAGGGACCAAGTTGACTGTTGTATCCCTAATACCTAGAGTAGTGCTTGACACACAGTAAGGAATGTTATTGAACAAATGAGTAAAGCAAAATGCGATGGTTTCAGATAGCACCAGAAGACCTACCAGCTAAGGAACAAGTTGACAGTGTTCAAATTGGGTTATTCTCTCTGAGTGTGAGAGATTCAAAATGAAGGTTCATTCTTCTCCTGCTGCTGCGACTGGCCTCCCTACAACCCTCGCAAATTCCCCATGAGTCAAGTCCTGCTTTCTTCTCATCGGTTGTAGGGCTTCCAGAAGATGTGATCTGGAATGTGGGGCATGAGCAGGGCTCAGCTGTGGTGGGTTACTCCAGATCAACTCTCAGGGAGAAGGAAGGATTTCTTCAATGCCCCAGACCCAAGAGATGCAGACTGTGAAGGCACTCCCCAGAGGGGAGCGCTCAGGGCATGGGATACGTAATTAAACTAGACCCAGGGACAAAGCAAAAGTAGGGGTGGGGTATGGAGCTTTTACATTTTATTTAGGAGCTTTAAAAAATGTTTGTTCAGAGGAGGCTAAAAGTTCAGTTACTTCTCTAAGTGGGGTGGTGTCTGGTTACAAATACACTAGGAAGGGCGCCTCCACTTCAGGGCTCAGCCCTGCCCACTCCAGAAGAGCCACAGTACAAACCACCCCTCCTCCTTCCCTCAAATCACACCTCTTTAACTGGCACTGCCATCTCTAACTGGAAGAATATATGCGGGAGGCTTTCAAAGAACCCCTGGGTAGCTCTGAACTGCCTTCCCATCATGCTCTGTGCTCTCTCCATCTGTTGGATTTGTAATGAAACTTATGAGGAGCACAAAGCCTCCAGATCCAAAGGAATAAGTCTCCAGTGGCATGGATGGCAATGGAGGACACACTTGGGGCAGCTGGAGCCTTCCCAGTGAGCTTAAAAAATGCACCATTTTGGGGAACAGTATCAGGCATATTTAAATAACTTCTACTTACTTTTTCTGCACACTCCACAATGAGGAGTGGGGGGAAGCATGCATGGTCTAGCTCATGATCATTTGTCATTAAGAATCTTTTTAGAGGGAATACATAGCACTCAGTTTGTTATATAGTCAATAGGGCCTTGAGTGTGAAACAGGATAGCTTGATTTCAGATCCCTTATTGGTTATTTCTAATTGTTTAACCACAGAGAGTTTTGCTTTTCTGAGTCTCAGGGTTTTTTATCTGTAAAGTGAAGACACTAGTAATTACCTCCTAGCATTCACTAAAAACATGTTGGCAGAATCTGAATGGGGTTCTTAAGGCCAAAGGAAATAAAAAAGCTGCAAATAGAATTTGGGAATGCTTGATTACATTTAAGGCCTGTAGAAAAAAAGTAAATCATAGGCTTCCCACCAGCTTGGGACATGGTACAGCTATTTTTCCAAAGGTAATTTAATATCATTCCAGGATGCATAAAAACAGCATGACCTAAGACAGCCACAAAATGGTCCATCCATTGACCATGTCAGGCTCAGTCTTTTGTTTCTACATTTTCAAAATAATATTAACAAAATGAAAAATATAGTGAAAAAAGCCACTAAAATAGAGACAAATAGAAACAACATGCAAATAACTTGTCCAAAATGAGTGTTCCTGTGGAAATCCTACTTGGTTCAAGGGTTTGAACGTCTCAATTTCCAGCTTTATAGATTTACCGAAGCATTCACTTATGTCTACTCAGCACTTATTGTAATTATTAGTGAAAATAGCTGATTAATTTATATAGGTCCTCTCGGAAGTCTAGTGAGGCACATGCCATGTCCCGTTTTCATAATCTCTAGACATAATTCTAAAAATGAAGATATGGGCCGGGTGTGGTGGCTCACGTCTGTAATCCTAGCACTTTGGGAGGCCAAGGTGGGCAGATTACAAGGTCAAGAGATTGAGACCCCATGGCCAATATGGTGAAACCTCATCTCTACTAAAAATACAAAAATTAGCTGGGCGTGGTGGCATGTGCCTGTAGTCCTAGCTACTCGGGAGGCTGAGGCAGGAGAATTGCTTGAACCCGAGAGGCAGAGGTTGCAGTGAGCCAAGATTGCACCACTGCACTCCAGCCTGCGGACAGAGTGAGACTGTCTCAAAAAAAAAAAAAAAAAAAAGAAAACGTAATTGGACATAACTGGATACCAAAAGGCCAAAAGCCTTTCTCACGTTTTGTATTTTTTTTTTTTTTTTTTGGCAAATTTGTTTAGTGACCGTAAGTAGATGGCCTCATTTCTTGGTGTTTCAGCTTCCTTGTCTGTAAAACGGAGTTCATAATAGTGCCTACCTACATGCCAGTTAAGAGGATTAAATGAATTAGTATCTACAAAGCACTCCAAAGCATACAGAATGTGCTCAGTAAATGACAATTTTGTTGTTACATTTATTATTCATTTTAAAGGGAAAATAGCTTTTATTTAAATGTTATAGAATATCTTAAGCATGGTCCAAAATATTTACAAGTATATAAATATGAGGTATTTTATTGAGCCTGACACTTAGGCTAAATGTTTCTTTGGAGGCCTTCTCTCAAAAAATCCTTGTAGACTTCCCCACACACTGTCAGATAAGCCAAATCAAATGGCCATTCTATTAGTTTCCTCTTGCTGACTAATAAACCACCACACATTTAACAGCTTAAAACATCACCAAGTATTTATTATCTCACAGTTTCTGTGGGGCAGGAGTCAGAACACACTTCAGCTGGGTCTTTAGCTCAGGATCCCATAAGACTGCAAGCAGGTTGTCAGCCAGGCTGCATTCTCACAGGCAGGCCTGATTGGGGAAGAACCTGCTTCCAAGCTCACTCAGGTTCTTAATAGAATTTACTTCCTTGCAGCTGAACTGAAGGCCCCACTTTCTTGCTGGCTATTGATTAGAGACTGCCCTCAGCTCCCAGAGGCCACCATGGTTGCTTGCCACATGGACTTTCTCATCATGACCACTTACTTCATCAAGCCAGCAAGGAGAGTCTCTGGGGCAATTTCACTAGCAAGACAAAGTCTTGTATACGAGGCATAACCCACAACACATGACTTATACCATATACTATGTTACAATGTAACATAATCACATGAATGACATCCCATCACCTTTACAATATTCTATCAACTAGAAACAAGTCACAGGTCCTGCCCACACTCAAAGGCCGGTGACTGCACAAAGTGTGAATAGCAGGAGGCCACCTCAGAGGCTGTCTAATGCTGTCACCAAGAGGAAAAGGCATTGTCCAATTTCCCTTTGAATTTTCCAATTCATTTTCTGTTCTAGCCCAAGAGGTCTAGAAGTTTCATAATCTGTTAATTAGAGACATGAAGCTTAGGGAAGATGAAGGGAAGTAGAAAGAACTGCATTTAAGAGAAAGTAAAAAAGATAATCACTCTCTCCATATGGACTGTGGAAATGGTGATGTCGGTGTCCAACAATAGCTCCTTAAATCCCTCAAGTCCCACCAAGATGGCTTTGGGGAAGGTAATCAAAGGAGACACCCCCGTATGGTACAGGCCTAATTCAGCCATCTTTGGACCTAATGGTTTGAAGCCTTACAGATGGAAATTGGCCACTGAGCCATGAGCAAATCTGTCTGTCTGTGGGTTAATAGGGGAGATAACTCTAGTCTCCTTTAAATACATACAGGATTATTATTAAGACACCATCCGACTAGTCTCTATTCCTTCTAAAGAAGAACCAGGGAGAAATGGGCTTGAATTTCAGCAAGAAGAAATTTGTATAAACCTAAGAAAAAAAGTCTAAACAGCAATGGTGAGTAAGCACTGAAACAAGCTATAAAACAAAGCTATGAAGTACAGTCATGCACCACATAACCACTTTTAGGTCAATGTCAAACCACATATACCATAATGGTCCCATAGATTATAACAGAGCTGAAAAAGTCCTATCACTTAGTATTTACTCTACTTTTTATTGTTATTTTAGAGTATACCTCCTTCTACTTATTTTTAAAAAGTTAACTGTAAAAGCCTAAGGCAGGTCCTTCAGGAGGTATTCCAGAAGAAGGCATTGTTAACATAGGAGGTGACAGCTCCGCATGTGTTACTGCCCCTGAAGACCTTCCAGTGAGACAAGAGGCGGAGGTGAAAGATAGTAATAGTGATGACCCTGACCCTGTGTAGGCCCAGGCTAATGTGTGTGTTTGTGTCCTAGTTTTTAACAAAAAAAAAAATTACAAATAAAAGAAAAAATTAAAATACAAGAATGCTTACAGAATAATAATATAAAGAAAAAATTTTTTACAGCTGTACAATGTGTGTTTTAAGCTGCATTATTACTAAACGGTTAACAAGTTAAAAAAATTAAGTTTACAGGGTAAAAATGTTACAAGTAAGCTAAGACTAATTTATTATTGAAGAAAGAAAAAATTTTAATATAAATGTAGTGTGGCCCAAGTGCACAGTCTTTATAAAGCCTACAGTAGTGTACAGTAAAGTCCTAGGCCTTCACATTCACTCACCCCTCACTCACTGACTCACCTAGGGCAGCTTCCAGTCCTGCAAGCTCCATTCATGAGAAGAGCCCTGTATAGGTATACTATTTTTACTTTTTTTTTTTTTTTTTTGAGAAGGAGTCTTGCCCTGTTGCCCAGGCTGGAGTGCAATGGCATGATCTCAGCTCACTGCAACCTCCGCCTCTCGGGTTCAAGCGATTCTCCTGCCTCAGCCTCCCAAGTAGCTGGGATTACATGTGTGTGTCACCACACCCGGCTAATTTTTTGTATCTTTAGTAGAGACAGGGTTTCACCATGTTGCTAGGCTGGTCTTGAACTCCTGACCTCGTGATCTGCCTGCCTCAGCCTCCCAAAGTGCTGGGATTACAGGTGTGAGCCACCACACCCGGCCTTAAATCTTTTATACTGTATTTTTTACTGTACCTTTTCTGTGTCTAGATATGTTTAGGTACACAAATACTTACCATTGTGTTATAATTGCTTACAGTATTCAGTATGGTAACATGTTGTACAGGTTTGCTGCCTAGGAGCAACAGGCTATACCACAGAGCCTAGGTGTATAGCAGGCTACACCATCTGGGTTTGTGTAAGCACACTGTATGAAGTTCACACGATAATGAAATTGCCTAATGATGCATTTCTCAGAACGTATTCATCGTGACTGTATCAGTCTCCTGAGATTTTAAAAAATAAACTGGACACCTACCAAGATGATGGTCCAAATGCAGTGAAGTAGTTGGGCTGGAAGACCTTCCCCTATGCTCAGCACATGGTAACACCTCAAAAACAAATATTTATTAAAGATATTGAAGTTTCTTTGCTGTTGTTGATGACTAACCAGATAGAAGTATTTTAAACTGAGATCCTTAGACTACCTCTGTCAAAATCATCTGGGGTATTATTTAAAATACAAGTTGTTAGGTATAGTTCTAGGTGTCATAAATTAAAATCTCTTGAGTTAGGGCCTAGGAACAGTTTTTTTTTTTTTTTTTTTTTTTGAGACGGAGTTTCACTCTTGTTGCCCAGGCTGGAATGCAATGGTGCGATCTCGGCTCACTGCAACCTCTGCCTCCCGAGTTCAAGTGATTCTCCTGCCTCAGCCTCCCGGGTAGCTGGGATTACAGGTGCCCCCCACGCCCAGCTAATTTCTCGTACTTTTAGTAGAGATGGGGTTTCACCATGTTGGTCAGGCTGGTCTTGAACTCCTGACCTCAGGTGATCCACCCACCTCGGCCTCCCAAAGTGTTGGGATTACAGCGCGGTGAGCCACCGCGCCCAGCCAGGAACAGTTTTTTTAAACAAGCACCCCAGGAAGTGTTAATGTACTCATTAAAGTCTGAGGACCACTGTAAATGTAATATAATCTATATCAGAACTTCAATTTCTTTATTCACATCTTCTCGTCCCTGCACCCCCACCCTCAACCCCACATTTCAAAGAAATAAATACTGCTTCCTCCTTTGAGCAGCGAAAAAAGCATCTCACAGCCCCCTGGCTTTCATGCCTAAATACAGCTCAGCAACCAAACTATATGAACATCCACAATGGCTCCCACCATGCTGTTTCCCCAGGGAAGTTACATAATAGGTTTCTGGCACATACCACTGTTACTAGAATTACAAATGAACCCCCACCCCCATCTCTCCAGGAGTCTCGTGTGTTGAGTAAAACCACAACAATATATCTGCTGCTTAGAACCAGGGTGAAAAGAGTAGGGGTATGCTTGGAGAAGTGTGTGTGGTTTGCTGCATGGAAACTCAGTGCACCATCCTACCAGCTGCAGAGTCTGCGTGTGAGCCCTGTGTCTCTACATACTGGACTTGAATTTTTGCAAGACCCTATTAGGGTCCCCAGGAGAGCTCTCATATGAAGTCCAAGAAATCTGAGGAAAACGTGCAGCTTACATGATGGACTAATTTCATTTCAATAAAATTCCCATATTACATTCAATGTGCCTGGCTTTATTAAGTTTTGTCATAAACGCTGGGAACACTTCCAAATTTAGGCTTGCACAATTATTTTTATTGGTGCGTTAACTAAAAATGGTATATGCATAAGTCAGAGTGTACATTTGACTTCATCTGGGGAGCTAAAATGAGCTTTAGGTTGATTTATAGTCATTTTACCCCAGTAAATGAGATACAGGAAATAGGGGTTAGAGTTTCTGATCACAGCATTTCTAAATCCATCCCAGTTCCATCCACGGCTCTGCCATGTATCTAATGAATTTAAATTCCAAATGTCTATCGGCAACCTGCAAAGTCACCAAACAAAGAGGCTGGCTTACTTTCAGACCCAGAGCCATCCAAACTGGGCAAAAAAATAGAGGTTTGTTGCACTAAAGTGGGACTGGGGAGCTCTCGGTGCTTTGAAAGGTTTTAATTGCTATGGAAAAAATCCTTTCAAAGATTTTTTTCCCTCAACATGGGCCCCTTGGAAACTTTTCATAGGGGAACTGTAAAATATTTATACAGCTAGCAGCACTGTTAAAAAAAAAAAAAAAAGCAAGAAA
The DNA here is from genome assembly GCF_000001405.40 of Homo sapiens. Taxonomy (NCBI): domain Eukaryota; kingdom Metazoa; phylum Chordata; class Mammalia; order Primates; family Hominidae; genus Homo; species Homo sapiens. The sequence continues at coordinate 14,419,312 of NC_000009.12, forward strand.
GAAAGAAGCATAGCACTGAATGAAAAGCAGACTTGAAGTGAGCCTTGCAGATTCAGGGGACCAGGGAGGGGAGGTTGCTGTGATTCCAACCCCTGGAAACAGGATTAATCCCTACCAACCATGCCCACAGACAGGGCCCACTTCACCGGCATGTGACCTGGCACTTAGAAGCGTCCTGCGTCTAGTTGAATGCTCTGCTGTAGCCATTTTGAAATTTTTGATTTTTGAACAAGAGACCCCGTGTTTTAATTTTGCAACGAGCCCTGTTACGTTACGTAGCCTTGCATGTTACGTAGCTGGCCCAGCTCACAGAACTTCCCCAGGACCGCTGTCTTCAGACATTTCAGTATGGTCCTCCCACCCCTTCCTCCCTGTTGGCTTTTCTTTTGCTTTCTTTTTCTGGAGGTATCCACAACACCGACCCTTTGACAGTCCTCAGTGGCATCTGCTCCACTTCCCATCGGTATGTCTGGCTGGCATACACACTGCCCACGCAGCTTTGTCACCCCAGGACATATGAGGCGAACAATCCATATTCAAAACCCTAGAAAACATGAACCTGAGCTTGTGAATAGACCAAAAAGTATAGAATTTTGTAGTTTAAAGGAACTACAACATTCTTGTTTTGTAGAGTAAATTAGTCCTGGAGAGAGGAAGGAAATTTCCCAAGGCTACTTCATTTATTAATATCAGGTTGGGGACAGGACCTGATATACATGCTGCTAGCTCACTCTGCAGGCTCTATAAAAAGGGTTAAGATGAACAAGTATAGTCCCCAAACTGTCCCCAAACTCATGTGAACTCTGGCTTCAGTCTTTTCTCAACACTTCAATCAACAATGACGTTATTAAAGAGCCGGGCGTGCTGGCACACGCCTGCAATCCCAGCACTTTGGGAGGCCGAGAAGGGCAGATCACTTGAGGTCAGGAGTTTGAGACCAGCCTGGCCAATATGGCGAAACCTCATCTCTACTAAAAATACAAAAATTAGTGGGCTTGGTGGTGTGCGCTTGCAATCCCAGCTTCTTGGGAGGCTGAGAGGGGAGGATCACTTGAACCCGGGAGGTGGAGGTTCCGGTGAACTAAGATCACACCACTGTACTCCAGCCTGGGCAACAGAGCGAGACTCCGTCTCAAAAAAAAAAAAAAAAAAAAAAAAAGATGCTATCAAAGAAAGGCTGGAAAGATAATCATTTTCTCCACACCAACCCCCCAAATATTTTCATTCCTCCCACTCCTTATCTTTTACTGATGAAGATATTTGGTAGCAAAAACAACAGATGTAAATTGCATGACCTCTTCATGGCTCTAGCCTACCACTGATGCTGTCAACCTGGTAACCCTGTAGAAAGGAAGAGAAGAATCCAAGGGCCCAGAAAACCCGCAAAGTGGATAATTAACACCAGAGAAATCAAGATTTGGCCACTTCATCATAGCTAAAATACTAAGGGGCAGGATGAGACACAGTCCCGAAACTTCCTACCAGGGGAAATGGGTTGCAGAATTACTACTATCTCGTCAATCAGGAGGGAACCTCTTGTCTCAAGGCTGACTTAATTGCCATAATTCAATTAACATGCTTCCACTAATTATATAAGCTTTTAGATGACAGTTCAACAGTAGCACCACTGAGAGTAAGCCATTTTTTTTTTCGTTTTTAAACTTAGTCTTAGTTAATTATAAGTAAATTGCATTGGTTTCTTTTTCACATCCTGCCTTCAACTATTTTGTTACAAAATAATATCACATAATTTAAGAGCTCTGGATCTTTGGCAAAAAAAAAAAAAATAAGGCATGTATACCATGTGCAAAACTGTAGCATTCATAAAGAGACAAGCCCCTTCTTTTCTTTCTTCCTTCCTGTTTTTCTTCCTTCATTTCTTTCTAGATGCCAATTCTTATGAAATATTAAATGAGATAAATAACAATCATATTAATTGAAATGAACATCTATTTTATAAATTCTCAGATCTAGAACAATGTCTGGCTCAATACAGATTTGTTAAATAATTATAAATGTTAATTATTGGATGAGATACTTTGGGGCATGGTAGAGAAAGTCTGAGGAGGGCTAAAAGCCCTAAGATCTAATTTAACAGAGTGTATATGTTCTTTCATAAGATAAGATGTAAAAGCAGGAACACAACAAATCAGTCAAAAACTACCTGGAATTTGAAGATACTGAAGAGGAATGCAGAGTATACATCATGAAAATGGTAAATCAGATTAACTCTTCCATTGAGAAAGATAAGAAGATGGGTTTTCAATGTCAGTTATCTTATCTACATACAAATGAAAGTTGACAAATGTAAATTACTTGCTACAAACCAATGGACAGAGGATCCATCACAGTTGGATACATTTCGACAAAGCAAAGGATGCCACACTAGAATTGGCCCAGTGCTAATTTGCATAACAGCAAAGATTCATTTTGATACACCTTTATAGAGTTCATTTTCAATGAAAGTGCATATTCTTTGTACCAAAGCATACCCAATTCTTCTATATTTTCATGATTTATGATTGAGCAGAAATCTACAGGTATGTCAGAAATTTTAATAGATATTCAGGACTCCAAAGATAATTCATGAGAGCAGAATTAGAATTGCTACTTTTTTTTTCCTTGAGGGCTATTTTTTTCACTTTTCTACCTAGCACTTCATTTTACTCAGACCAAAAGTTTCTCTTATGTATTTTGATGAGGCCACAGGAAGTATGAAGAGTACAGAAAAAGTAATTATATTCCCACTAATATAATCATATAAACAGGCTAGTGTTAGCTCAGTTAGTGAGAAAAAGACATTTTAAAGTGGAAGCAGCCACCATGCTATGTAGGGTTAACATGACAAAGGAGACTCCGACCCAGGAAGATGAGAATAACAACTCCCCATCTTCAGGTCTCAGACTGTCAGATCCTTATGGAAACTTTCCTGCCTTTTCCCCAGATGTTAGGCCTCTGGTTATTGGCCACTTTTACTTGTAGAACACTGATCAGTTGAAATTCATTAATTATTAGCAGTCCATGAATGCTTGTTCTTCCAAAAGGCCTGAATGTCCCTGGAGTCCATGTTTGCTCACCATAATGTTTCTGGCCTGGTGCTTCTCTGCCTGCTCTAAGTATTCTTATGGAGTCAGGAAAAGAAAGTAAGGCTCCTTTCTCATTCTGCCAAAGCCCCCGTATTAGCTGGAACTCTTTCAATTGCACGTGATAAGCATCTAGCTTAAATTACTTTAAGAAGGCAATAAGGCTTAAAGGCCAACACACTTATAAAACCCAACCTTGAAAAGGCCAGTCTTGAGACAATATCCTTTCACTTTCCACTCAAGACACTCCAAGGAAGGATTCAGATTGGCTCAGCATAGGTCATGGGTCCACATCTTGGACTAATCTCTTTGGCTAGAAGAATATGGTACAAAATCCACCCAACCAGAATCCAGTGACCACTTCTGCGACTGAGGAAGGTGCAGAGTGCTGTGTTCCCAGCCCTGCCAGCCATAGATAGCCCTGTGTTGTGGGAGAAGTTGAAAGTAGCAAGAAGGGAAGGGTCAGGAGGATGCTGGGCATGTAAAACAAAGATGCACATGGAGGCCCCCAGCCTCCATCTAGAGGAAGATGAAATGTTTCTACAGTTCTGGATTTTCAATAACAACAGCCTTGATATGGGCAGCTTTTATTTTATTTCATTTTTTAAGAGCTATATGGATTCATAACAGTTCAAATGATCATTTCTATCTCTATTAGACCCTTTTGTAAAAAAAAGTATGCCCACATGCCAGTAGCAATATTTAACAATTTAATTCAGAGTGCTACCATTAGTTACTTTTGATTGACTTAGAAAATAATACATACATCATGTTTTATTTTGAGGAAAAGTCTGAGAGTAGTAATCAGATCGGGGCAAAACGTACTCATCTACTTCATTCTTAAGGATGGTTTATTGCTCCTATCCATGGGAGCACGGAGTGACCAGTAATATCTGATTCTTCTGGGACCCCAGAACTCCTTGCTGTTTTCCTGTGTGCTCAGATGTTTTCTCGTGCTAAAGCTATACATGTAAATCAAGCCCTCTTACACAGAGATGTGGACAAGGGGACTGATTTTTTTCTTTATGAGTTATACTTTCAGCCCACATGTGGCTGCACATGAAATATCAATTTTTTCCTCTTTTTTACTTAGCGTGACATCGAGCCTCTTCTCTATTTACACAGGACAGAAGAAAAGTTCGAAGAGGTAAAAGGGTCACTGGGCCCATTATCCTGGCCATCTATAGTTTTCTCCTGCCATTTCCTCTCATCCATCATTGTCCTCCCTAAAAACTCATCTATGTCCCTTGAGTTTTGATTATTTTTCCTTAGGTAATGCCCCTTTTAGGGAACCTATTTGAAGATCATTATATTCTCTGCAAAGTAGTTTGGCCAGAACTTTCCTGTTGATCCCAATTTTCTGTCTACTCAGATTCTGCTTTCCTTGTTCCTGCCATGCAGGGAATATTTGCATTCTTTCTGATTGTGGGGAACTGTGCAGTAATCTTACACCATATGTATTTTTATATTGAAAGTCATGAGATCTTTATTTTGCATTCCTTAACCATGACCCATCATCCATTTCCCATCCTTCACAAGGGCAACCCGGGTCGGCATGCATCTCCACCAGAGAATTCCCAGAGAAGCTCGGGAATTTGGTCCTTTTATCTCTCGCTTTTTTGGCAAGGGGTGGGGGCTGGGTATGCTTGCTTGTTTACATTGAGAGAAGCTCTTTTAAGTTCCAGTCTCTCCAACTGTCTAACCCCCACGTACTCTATGCTCATAACACCGATGCCATGATAGTTTAAGTTAAAAACTAAGCACAGACCCAAGGGAGTAAAGAAGGGGCCTAGATGGGAAATGAATCAGATATTGAAACACTTGTGCCTCAGCCACTCATCTTTTCTCCCTTACAGAAGAAGAAATGTAGTGATGGATGATTCTGGGGACAAAGGATTTTCAGCCTTTTCCATTGCTGTATTCTGCAGAACACTGTTTCTAGGAGATGTGAAAAAAGTGTTCGAGGGTCAAATAAGTTTTGGAAATAGCATATTGGAATTCACAGAACACATTAGCATATTAAAGACTCTGACAATTTCACATTAAATAAACCTGTTTACCTTTGTTTACCTCAGCATTCCCTAAACTTATTCGAGCTTGAAACATTTGCCCCAGTTTACGCGGGGCGACCTGCAGAACGACATTCCTCGGACTACCCAATTAGAAGACAAAGAAATACAATTTTATTATCTCAAAAGTGACAGCCTCTTTGCAGACATTAAGGACAAGAGTTTAATTTTCTTCCCCAGTTATTGTTCACTGCCTGCTCTCAGAGGCTGGAGCCATGGGTCTTATTGACTCAGAGGCAGAGCTCCGAGGGCGGGTTCTTGACATTTTGAGTGAGACAACAGGCAGGCGAAACAGGCTCTATGGAGAGGGAAAGGATTTTTAAAACTTTCTTTAGCTCCAGTTTGACATATCTGGGGATAAGTCTGGTGGAGTGGACAGAATTTTACATGAGGGACATCTAGGCAAGAAGAGGAAGTGGGAAGGAAAGCCCATTTCTTCTAGTGCTGGCAACATTAGGAGGATAATCGTGGCAAGAAAGGGTGGAAAGTGAATTGATCAGCTCTGTTCCAATCTCCCCCCCTGGGCCTTTGCTCTAGAGACAAGGAAGGAGTAGTGAGTAAATATGGAAGTACTCAAGTGCCCAATTCCTACAGAAGGCCTTGGGTTTAGCCGCTGGCATGGACAGCCAAAATAAGTGTTTGGAATTTCATTTTACTGCTCAGCTCTAGGCTTCTCTATGGCGTGGCTGACACCCACACATTCCACAGCAGTCAAGGGCAGATAAATTGTCAGCGAGCCTTGCTTGAGGCCAGATAGGTCTAGTGGTACTGCTCTACAGTGATTCTTAGTGTCACACAGAACCAGGATGAAGAGGCTGACTCAGCCACAAAGGGCCACTAGACCCTGATCAAGATGAGAGAAGCTGGTACACAAGGTCTGCCAGCCCTGCCTTTAGTATTTGTACCAGCAGGAATCGAGGGCAAAACAGGGGCACTGTGTGGTCTCTGACCACTCACTCCATCCTCTACAAGATCATGTGAGCCCTGCTGCTTGCCCAGCTGTGCACTTGATGCCCTGTTGTAGAGATCTGGGGAAAAGGGGCACAGATGATTGAGACATATATAAGGAAACATATATAAGAAACTATATTTTCTCTGCATGTATGAATTTTAGTGTGATTGAAATTTCAGCATTGCTACATAATTTTTTTTTTTTTTTTTTTTTTTTGCTATCCACTGAAGCTTAGATGGGACCACTTAATCTCGAGGTATTTGTTTTCCCTCAAACTGCAGGATTGCCACAGCAAACCCAGAAGTGTGGTACTGTGATTATTGATTGATTGGACCATGGGCTACTTCACTACAGAGACCTAGTTTCATTCATCTTTCTCCCAACACATAGAGTAGCACCTTAATATAATATGCATTCAATAAATGATAGTTGAATGAATGAATGAAATACACTTAGGCTCTGCACCTCAGTAGATGCTCTAGGGGGAACCTCACCTATGGATTCCTTTTGACTAAAGGAAGAAAAACGAGTCTTCCTTGGAGAGTTTGATGACAGCTACCTTTCTTCATAGGTCTATGTCCTTTCTTCTTTTCCTTACCTCTTCCATCTCTATTCAATTACTTTCTTTTTACTCTGCCTTTTTTGGAAATGCGTTGGAGATGGAGGTAGCTGGCAGAATGGAAGAGTGGTCCTGCCATTGAGTTTTCCCAAATCCTCCTAAACTGTCACTCAAGAAGATTCTTAAATTTCTATGGCAATTCTTGGCTTAAAGAAAAAAAATCAGAGCGCTCTGTTCATAGCATGATAATCTTACTAATCACTCCATGATTTTCCCTGTCTTTATCCTGCACTCTGTGCCCTTCCACCACTGTGAGCTCTACAGGCCAGATGCAGGTGGCATGGCTTTGTAGTTTTTATACTCTCCTCTGTGATCCCATGAGGCTTTTCTCATACTTTTATGATGACACATTTTGTTGGATTATAAGTGAACTGATTTGCATGTCTATTTTCTCCTATAGACTGCAAGCTCATTGAGAACCTTCGCTTTCATTGTTGTATCTTCATGTTTTATGGTGCTTCATACAATGCGGACATGTAATATATGTTTGCTAACTGATCAAACTGTATATCTTATGAATCTTTAAAAGCAGAAAAAAGGAAAAACTTACTTTCCCAATGTTTGTAAGTCTTTATATTTTTCTGTCCCAACCAGCTCATCAAGCCTACCAAACTTCTGCCCTTCCTCCAACCATTCCTCTAGCTGAACATGCCAGAATATTTCCAGGAGCACCCAGGAGGACATTCAGAAATAAATCCATTTGTATCCTCCTTCTCTGACTGCTTTGATATGGGCCCCTCCCATATCACATCGCTCAGGAACAGTCCTACTTCCCTGCCTGGGGAACCTCTGACAGCTCCTGAAGATGCAAAGCTCTCAAGTTGTAAAATGGTGCTGAGTTCCCTTCAGACCTCACTGCACTGGAGCCATACTGAGATCCAGCAGAAATATGAAGAAGATTCCCTCTTTTCTGCTTGTGTCCTTCCCACAAAAGCCAGAAAAGATGTGTGTTTTGGTAGCTGTCTCTGGAAAGGGACTACTCCATGGCCCCTTTCAGGTCTCAGTGCCAAAAAGAAGTCTTCTCTAGATTCCCAACTAAGGGTTAAATGCATATGTGTACTCTTATCATACTTGTAGCTTTCTTTTTCATAATCTTATCATGATGGATTGCAAGTGCCGATTGACTTAACAGTTTCTTCCATTAGCCTGACAGCTCTATGGAGGCAAAGATAATACATTGTTCATTCTTATACTCTCTTTACTCATCTTTATGTGTGGCATACAATAATGGTAATAATAGTAATAATAATAATACTCATAGTGAATATTTGTATTGTGCTTTCTCTGGACCAGATACTCTTCTAAGTGCTTTGCCTATATTAGCTTATTCAGTCCACGTGACAACCCTTTAGGCAGATACTATTATTATCTACATTTTACATGAGGATAAACTGAGGTACAGAGGGGCCAAGTAACTTTCCTAAAGTCATCAAGCAGGTAATTGGTGGAGCTTAAATTTAAACACAGGAATCAGTCACCAGAGTTCATGTGCTCAATCACTGGACTACACTCCACTATGCTACACTACACAACTTGATACATTGTTACTCTGGATAAGGAGCTCAGCTTGGAAGCCCACATAGACTGGGCCAAGGCAATCACCCTCTCCAGGGTGCTGAGGGGACTCCTAGCACAAGGAATAGAGAGCTTATGTTTATGGATGGGACGGGGAATGTGAACAGGATGCAGGAGTGGAGAAGGCTAATAGAAGAGTGACTGGTTGGAGAACCCAGAGGAGAGTCGGTGGCACACTTAGCAGCTGGTATAAGCAGGAAATTTGAAATAGACAAAGAAATGCCTAAAGGGGATTTTTGGGTAACTTTCTTTGTGGGGCAGTCTCTAAAATTCCCCTGCCACTTCTTCTAGAAAAGGTACAGATCTACATTATTCTTTAATTCAGTTGTTTTTTTTTTTTTTTTTTTTTTTTTTTGGCAGGATCTCACTCTGTCACTCAGGCCAGAATACAGCGGTGTGATCACGGCTCACTGCAGCCTCGACCTCCCCAGGCTCAGGTGATCCTCCCACCTCAGCTTCCTGAGTAGCTGGGACTACAGGCATATGCCACCGTACCTCGCTAATTTTTATATTTTTTGTAGAGATGGGGTTTCACCATGTTGCCCAAGTTGGCCTCAAATTCCTGGGCTCAAGTAATCCTCCCACTTCAGCCTCCCAAAGTGCTGGGATTACAGGTATGAGCCACCGTGCCTGGCCTAGCTTTTTCTTTAAGGAAAACATCTTGTTAAGACTGGACCAAGTGGAGTTCCAGAATTTGAATCCATTTTATAAGCAAGTAGTGAGGTGTGTGAGTTGAATGCTACAGCCTCAACTCTCTTTGAATCTCCTGGGGGAAGAATGAGGAGAAATGGCTCAGGTCGGAGCCTGAAGCTAGCTGTATCTAGGATTTCTGATCAAGTTCCCTTATGTTTTGGAGATTGGGGGGACGTGCATTCAAGAAACTGCAAAAGAGAAAGAGGGAAGGAAAGGTTGAGATGGTGCAGAAATAAGAACAAGAGAAAGTGAGAGAGGATGTAGAAAAACCTGCTTCTTTGATTTGCATGGTGTGATTTCTGAAATTGCTCCAGCCTCTACAGGATTTATGTGGCTTCATTAATCACACTTTCTTTTGAAATGGAATTTTCTGCCTCAAAGCCTTTGAACGTTGACATTCAAATACAGTATATTCTTTTAAAATCACCTCTGGATAAAGACAACACTGTTGAGGTAATTCCCCCAGATTGCAGGTGGAGTCTGGTCCTCTGATCTTGATAATACACTGAAAATAGGACCTCCCTTCAGAAAACAGAGACGTCTGGTAAGATTAGGATACTGGATGCTGACACCCTGGGCCAGGAATCCTTGGAAGAAAAAAACAGAAAGAAAGAAAAAGCCCCTGGTCTTTGATGAACGACAAAAAGCAGCGCCATCTAGTGGCAATTTCGCTTATCCCGGCGCGTCTTGACCGGGACCTCCCTGCCTGGCTCTTTGCTTATTATCAGAGGGACTGGAACACACAAGTTCACCATTCTAGGGGCCGCATGACCTGCAATCAAATGACAGAGCTTAGGTGAAGACATGCACGTCTTACAGCTGCTGCCAATCAGAGTGGCACAACCCAAGGCATGTTTATTTTTGGTTGACTTTGGTATGCTGGGAAGTCCGTACAAAGAACATAGAACAAAGATTATGGCTCTGGAAAGGAAAGGAAGGGAAGGGGAGTACTGGTCATCAGGATTCACACCAGATATACATCCCCTTACCTAATTCACATAATCTCTCCGGTTTGCTAAGAAACCAAAGTACAAAGAGGTCAAGTCCAAAGTCAAGGAGTCAAGAGTGGCAAAGGCAGGATCTGAATCCAGGTCTCTTTAGAAAAGCTTTGTCTCAGATTTAGCTTTTGTCAGAATTTTCCTCCCTGCAAGGCCCACATTTCCAGGCCTTGCCACAGATCTTCAGCTTTTAAGGGTGATGTTACTAGTTAAGTGATAACATAACAGTTAGGAGCACCGGCAGAATTGTCAATGTCTCATGCTTCCTATGGCTGAGCTACAGAGGGAAGAAATAGTCCCTTCATCATCCCTCAATTCTCGGATCCTGTGGATGAAATTGCAGCAGCTGTTGGTGGGTAAGCACTTTCTTTTCGCAAAGCCACCACCAGCTGACACTCTGGGTCCACTGCTGCTCCAGTGTCCTGCACCTTAGGAGCGCCGCCTCCCCACCACTGCTACCATGGGGCCTGCAGCAACAACCTCTCTGGCCAGCAGTACTCCCTGAAAGTGAATTCCATCCATTCAGATTCTGATGTAATAAATTATTTTCTATGCATTGGCATATTTTTATTGGAAAAAAACCACTTATTCTTCATAATTTGGGAATAGATGTTGGTTTTTAAATAAGAGAGTATTCATTGTATGACTAATTTACTTTGAATTCAATTTATGACTTAATCAGAAAATAAATGTTAATTTCCTTTATTTATGAAAGCTCACTAAAATGTAGGCATAGAAAATATTGTAATATAAACCCTTTCCAATTCAATAGGTTAATGGTGGAGATTAAGAAGATAACTCTGACCCACTATACTGGAGGGAGCAAGCAAGAAAGAGGCATTTAGGTAAAGCCATAAGCTTATGGTAATAAAGCAAGCATATGTAGTTCTGAATTTTTAATTCAGGTACTCAATTACAGTTACATGGGTAAAATTTTTTTTGCTTGAACAAACTCTAGTAGATCACTGACTGCTGCTACACCAACACGAGGGACAGAAAATAACAGATTATACAGCGAATTAAGACTTCTTCTTGCCATGGTAGTTGACTCTGAGGAAGAAAAGAAAAAAAAAAAGCTTTCCTGACTTTTCAATGAGCAAATGATGTTATAATTTGAATAAACGGATCCAGGGAATGACAATGCAACTGGTGAAAACTACAGTTGTCAAAGCCATGTGATCAAAATCAGGATTCTGTCCTTTTTCTAATGTTTCCTCATTAAAGACTTGTCAAGGAATCTAGTTTGAGAATGGCTTGCCTTTTCCCTGAAATGCTATTTATTTATTTATTTATTTATTTGAGACACAGCCTCATCCTGTCACCCAGGCTGGAGTGCAGTGGCACGATCTCAGCTTACTGCAACCTCTGCCTCCCAGGTTCAAGTGAGTCTCATGCCTCCGCCTCCCAAGTAGCTGGGATGACAGGCACTCACCATCTTGCCTGGCTAATTTTTTTATTTTTCGTAGAGAGGGGGTTTTGTCATTTTGGCCAGGCTGGTCTTGAACTCATGACCTCAAGTGATCCAGCCACCTCGGCCTCCCAAAGTGCTGGAATTACAGGTGTGAGCCACCACGTCCGGCCCTGAAATGCTTTATAATTGACATTTTGGAGAGACAGTTTTTGTAAGATTATATCATAGTCTCCCTGATGTTTCATGAACAGGTATTACGTTTGGTATAAAATATAGACAATATGGGCATGGAAATAATGGGGCCTTTGAGATATTTCTCAAATGATTCTACAAAATTTAAAAGCAGATAATTTCTCAATGTAATTCAAAATTAGAATTTTCTCTCATAACTTGGGCTTTAACATTTCTGAAAACTAACTCAATGTTGTGTTGGTTTTAGAGTAAAAACACATTTTAACAACAGCAAGAAGGAAACCCAATGTCAGCAAACTCTTTGTTGATGAAAACAACCATTGGTTATTATGACACTCAGTCACAATAACCTCATGAAGAGTGAACCAGGACTGCAAACTTGGACATGGATCTGGCCACTCAGTAGATCCTGACTCTTCTTCTACCCCTGGATTGTAGTCTACTTAATCACATTTTTTAAAAAAAAACTTCTGAAGTCAATGGTAAAGAGTCCTTTTGCTAATGGAAAACTCACTCTAGAGAGTCTATCAATGGAGGCTGGATGGTGGGTGAGTGCACAAGGCAGCCTTAAAATAGTAAGAAGAAATATGATTTGTTGCATGCCTGCCAGGCACCAGTGTTGCATTTCTACCATGTGCTCCTGTTCTAAGTGGCTTCTGTTTGTTTGTATATTATTCTTTTAATTATCAAGGTAATATCATCTCCCCTCTCTCCACCATTTTTTGTTTTGTTTTTTTTTTTTTTTACTGTGAGAGCTTAGATAACTTGCCCAAATTCAAGTTGATTTATTTGGTAGAGTCAGGAAGGTTTTGTGCTCTTTCCTAGCTAAGTTGGGAGCACTGTCATCCAGGGGAAAAAGGCCTCTCTTGGTGAGACAGAGGAGAGAAAACAGGAAGTGCTCCCCTGGTCCAAGCAGTTGCCCTGTGTCCCTATGCAGAAAGTTGAGTCCAGATTGATTGTCATATTCTGACTTCCCCTCCCCCACTGCTTTTCTTTTAAACAAGGCAGTAAATTTGTTAGTAGTTTGGCAACTGAACTCATGGGTTGGTGGAAGTAGCCACCAAATGGTGTGCCTGACTCATGCAGTGGGAAAAGCTTCTGAGGGAGACAACTGAGGTGTCTCTGGGGCTAGCAATGCTCTTACTGTGAGACTGGCCTCAAGACAATGGAGAGGCTCTCTTGTATGCTACATATATCTCTCCCCATGTACACAGTTGATTGGTCCAGTGATGGACACCTGACCAAAGGTAAGCCAATAAGATCCTTCCCTAGTATTTTTTGAGCAGTAACTAAGGTAATCTCCTGCTGGAGACAATGCTTCAGATATAAAAGGCAGGAGTTGCTGCTGGCTGCCATGTTTCTTGCCATGTAGAAGTCAGTCTCAGAGAATAAAGGCAACATTCAGAAAGAAATATGGGGTGAGATGGAGATAGTTGGTTCTGGTCATCTTTTATTCCCTAGTTCCAATTGTTTCTTAAGCCCCTGCTACACCCATTCCTGGGTACATGGTTCTCTCTAAATCAGTACATGTTGTTTCTTTAGCTTGTGACCATTGAATTCTGACCAACACAATCTCCTTCTTCAAATGAGAAATTCATTGCACTTTCAGCCTCTTAATACAAATAACCATAGATGGGCTTATTCTGTTTTAATGTAAGAACAATTGCAATTCAGCTGTCTTCTTGAAACAGTATTAGTACCAGGCAGCTGAGAAGGACTTGCAGACTTGAGGCAAAGCCTAGGTTAAACTCTTTGGAGAAGGGAAAGCACAATTTGTGGGGGATAAGGGGCAAGGGGTGAGGACTGGGGAATTTGCCATATTTAGGAAGAGGAGACCTCAGAGTAGAAAATAGTCTTGAAAGTGGGTATTGAAAGAGGACATAAGCACATTTTACTTACTTCATAATGCTATGAGGCCAATATTTTTGGGTCCATAATCAGAGACTGATCTTTTCTTGGAAAGGGAGAAGAGATATTTATTGCAGTTTTTCTAGAATATTACTTCTAAGAATTTGCTGGCTCTGAAAGAACTTGATAGATTCTGTTTCTAGTTTGTGCACATATTTTTATTTGAAAATATTTTTAGTATTACATAAATAACAAATATGAATTTTTGCTAGGCTGTCTGTGAGACAGGGGTTAGGGGCATTAAAAAACACCTTCTGGTGACCCCTTATTTAAAACATAGTGGGGTATAATTTTGGAGCAGTAAAACCTCATTATAACATACTTACAGTTGACATTTTCAGGCTGTATTGTCCATGTTTTTAAGTCCTGGAGAAAGGCCCATTAAAGCTGTGTTTCTCACATTAATTCGACATTTAACCACTTACAATACAAACCCCAGTCTTTTGGAAAATGTCATTAAAAATTTTTTTGCCATATATGGACATTATTTATTGTTTGAGCCCCATTGTCTACTTATAATATGCCCTTTATCAGACCCAAATGCCCACTTCAGAGATTTTCGTTTTGAGCAACAACTGGCTTCTTACATTATCCAATGATGCAGGAAAGTTAAATTACAGCCAGTTCATATCATAGAAACAAAATGTTTCCTGCAATTACTGATAAGGGACAGTTCATTTTCTCTCTGTCATCCTGAAAAAACCCTCCCAACAACAATTCATGCCTGGTTAAACAGGATTTCCACATCTACTGCTGACATCTTTCCAAATAATTCAGGGTTGTTATTACTGTATAGCCCTGGCAAGGCTCAAAAGCAAGCAGACTTGACGAGTCTGCTCAAAGCAGAACTTAAGTAGTTGTAATTAATAATAATTACATGCCCACTACACTCCAGTTTTATCATATTACCCATCAGTGCAAATAAAAAACCCCACACACAACACACTTGCAACAGGATTAGTGCATTAATAAAGTCACTCTGCATATGTCATCTCCCTGAAGTTGAAAATATTCATAATGCTTTCTGTTTTATTGATTTTCATGATTGCATGTCTGGTTGCAAATGTTGTTTAGATGTAATACAGCTTGGGATCAGCCTCGTTCTCTTCCAAAAACCTTCTCCCCTCCTGCCGTGACTCGGATTCGAACCGAGGTTGCTGCGGCCACAACGCAGAGTACTAACCACTATACGATCACGGCAAGCTACTGAAGAGCTGAGCACTAAGCTTTCTCTAAGAGCTATTGCAATATTAAAATTTGTGGAAACACTGCCATCTATTGCCTAAATACGTACATTTTCTTAATATTTGGAAAGAGAAGCTGTGTTCCCGTAATTTCTAATTATTTAGAGGAACAATAATAAATTCCTTGAAAATAAAATGAGCATTGTCTTCTGGGCTGATTGGGAAAGTTGTGATAGGAGAGGATTCACTGGGTTTGCTGTCCAGGAAATGGTGATGAAGGTAACAAGACTAAGAGATACCAGTCTGTTGACTCACACTTCCTATGTTTAATCAATAATGGATATGGATTTCCCACCCCAACCACCACCAAATAATGCTGCATTGAATAACATATGAGTCTGAGCCTCTTTTGTGCATCTTTTCACCACTAGCCTTATTTCCATTTGCTTAGGCAGCACAACAATAAAAAATATAGCAAGAACAAAATGGGGACTGCAGAGACTCAAAAAGACTTGCTTTTCCTACTAGGGGAAGCCAAAGTCAGTATATCCTGACTGAGGAAAGGATCCCTTTCAAACTCATTGATCCTTGAAGCTAGTTTTCTCCCCGCCAGAATAGCTATAGGCCTTAAAGCCAGAATCATCTCAGCAAGAAAAGCTTCCCAATAACATTAGTGAGCCACCACACAAAGAAACTGGAGTGTTCTATGCTAGATAAGTTTCAAGAGGAAATTGATTTTAGATTTCTTTGCTGTAAAACTTGAAGTAGTAAGTAGTCTACACAAGATATTCCAAGGGCTGAAAATCTTAAAACAAAATGCACAGGAATACCTAATCAATGGATTGTTATCAGGGTGCCTCCTTTAATTCCTCTATACAGAGAGGACCTGGGAACAGCTGGAGCTAGCTGGCACTGTATGTGGGTGGCAAGAACCTCATGCATGTATTGATTGGGTGCCCACAGCTCTAAGGCTTCTAGAAGGAGGATATCTCTGAAGAGAAAAGTTTCACATAAATGTTCACTCACTCACTCCCATCTGATCATCTATAGCCCCTTTTCTTTTTCTTCCATCTCTCACAAATACATCTTCCGTCTATGGCCACATAGAAGATTCTTGCTTGGAGTTCCTGCTCCTGAGCCATGCATGCCCTATGCAGGAACCAGGCAAGGCATTCTCTGGCCTGAAGAGGAATACATGTGGGTGAGTCTGGTGAAAGTTCACCTGTGGCAAGAGGGCAAACCAAATCTCCTGCTCGACAAAAGAGGACATAATTGTTTCCTAAAATATAATCATTCATGTACCACCTTCATAATTTTTGCTGTGGCCATGTACCAACTGAACCACAGGAGAAATAATATTTGTAAAAGATCAACTCATAGCATACAAATTGTGGAACCAGACTATCTGGATTTGAATTCTGGCTCTATCACTTACTAACTGGGGCAACTTGGGCTGCTTATTAACCTCTGTGCCTCTGTTTTCTCATCTATTAAGTGGAGATAAAAATAGCAACTACTTCATAGGATTATTATGAGGGTTAAACAGATAAGTACATGTCAACCTAAAATAGGTCTGTCACATAGTAAGCACAGTGGAAATGTTAGTTACATTACTATAATTTAAATACAAAATTTTCAAATGAAAGTTTACAACATTCCATATATTTAAAAACATAGTAACACATTCCATAAATAGAGGTCACTCTAAAACAAAATGTGAAAACAAACCAATAGAATTAAATCCTAGCAGACACTGTAAGCTCCGAGCTCAAGTTCTGCTCTGTGTTTAAAAGGAAGGTGGGCAGATCTGTTAAAACCTCATCGGCCTCAGAACCAGGCTTCTTCTGGACTCTTCCGAATGACCACAAAAGATTTGAAAAAGGAATAACTTTCTCTTCACAGATTTTAATACTATTAAATGCCACACCCATTAGGTAACTCCTTAAATTACTTCACACATTGGATCTGTCGGCTTAGGTCATACTATGTGACAATGTGCAAATCTTAGTGGCTTGGAATAAGGAAGGCTTTCCTTCCCTTGCGCTGATCCACATTTATTGCATGGCCCTGCTCTCTGTCTCCTCACTCAGGCAGCCAGGTTAAGGTAACAACCACTGTCATGAACTCTGCTCATTGCTTTGGCAAATGGAAAGAGCTCTGCAGATTCCTGAACCAGCAATGAAAATCTCTTCTTACAACTCACTGGCTAGATCTGGTTCCATGGCCTCAGCCTGTTATAAAAGTCCCAGGCAGTGCATCCCTGCCATATGCCTGGAAAGCAGAGAGCTGGAAATCTTAGGTGAACATCACTCAGGACTTCCAGCCATGCCACTAGTGGTGAATCTCAGCTTGGAGAACTCTGTGAGGCTGTGTGCCTCAAGACACACATGACTGGGGAGCAAAACCCTGACACAGAGAAGTGTTCACCAGGTAAGGCTTTCATTTGGCATCTGTATGGGCTTCTCCTTTACTTGATGTCAGTCATTGTGTGGATAGACTCTGAAAGGTTCTTGCCTGTTAGAGTGAGATGGACTTTTGAACAGTTACCAAATTTCTCCTGCACATTCACTGTCTTCTTAGGATACGCATTCAGATTTCTTCCACAGCGCCAAATACCTGTGACTCACTACAAAAGGAAAAACCCATGGGACCAAAACATGGTTTCTGATGGCATTTGCAACTTCTTGGCAACCTACCACCTGATTATTCTTTTTCTCTGATTGTGCTATATCAATAGTGACATTATTATCACTCTCCCACTAATTTATTCATGACTCACAAAGACTTGGGATCTACTATAGTTCAGTTATTTTTTCTGAATCTTAAGGATTCAGTGGAGAAGAAAACAGAAATGGATCATGATTTCACACAATTTATAGTCTAGTGACTGAGACACAGATGAATAGAGATAATATATGAGCTGGCACCCCGGAAGGAAATTTCCTTAAAAGTTTTCAAATGAGGTTGAAGTTGAGAAAGGCAGGAAGGCATTACGAGAGAGAGGGAGGAGAGAGAAAGAGACAGAGAAGAAAGTGGCCTGCTTTGTCTGGATTCCAGTTCTTTCTCCAACCCTTCTCTGTGTGTGACCTTGGACTAGTCACTTGACCTCTCTGTGTCTCTATTTCCTCATCAGAAAGGTAAGGTAAATTGGGCTAGATGAGCTTTCAGATTCTTTATGCCTCTGACATGCCATACATTTAATATAGGGAAATACATTTACCAACAATATCCAAATGTAAAAAGTGTGCAGGAAAAAACACCTATTCAAAGCAGGAGAATCTTATAGCTATTATAGTTATCTTTTATGTGTTTTCTGAAGTTCATGGAAGCTGTCCCTTTGTCGGTTTCCAAATGTTGTCAGCCTTATTTCCCTGCCTATGGCAACACATTTTAAATAGGGATCAGTCTGTTGTATGAGTGATTTAAGTTGGGTGTAAGCAAGAAGTTCCTGCTTGTGCGGGACATTAAACTATTGAATTCATCCCCAAAGATTGTTGACTTCCCCTTCCAGAGTTTTAAAAGTAAGATGACTGTTTACCAGGGGCTCATTGTTCCACGTGAGAGAGCCTGGCTTTCCTGCCTCTCCTCAGGCTTCCTGGAGCTGCTCTTCTGATGGAGTTGTTCCTCTCCCTGGTTGTTTATAATGGATTCTAACAGAGGAGCTGGGAGCTGACAGGAGGGCCCGGGACCGGAGGGGGTCCCCCACCTCCCCAGCTGAGTCCTATCTCCAGCATTGCCACTCCTACCTTTTTTCCCAGGCCAAGCTCTGTGTTCTCCTGCTCGTCCCTCTTCTCAGTGTGCCTCCTGCCTCGCTGGGGGTAGGGAAATGACAGTCGGATCCATCACTGGGCTGGAGGCCAAGAGTGGCAATCCGTGAGGCTGAGGCTGGCCCAGTGCCCAGTTTTCAGACAAAGACAGGTTGGGAACCCCCCTGCAATGAAGAATCCACGGTTCCCTCCTCCCAGAGTCCTGCCTCTTGTTTCTTGGGTACTTTCTAGAACACCACCCCCATCCTAGTGTGTGTGTGTGTGTGTGCGCGTATGTGCGTGCGTGTGCACGCATGTGTGTGTGTGTGAGATGGAGAGAGAGAGATTGGTGGGGGGTAGATGAGGGGGGACTGAGAAGCAGGGAGGGAAGGAGAGAAAGGCTGGACAAATCTCGTGCTTGTAAGGGTACCAAGGATTGCTCATATACTACACACACTCATGGAAATAAATCATGTTTTTAGGGGGAAAATAAGATAGCTGAAAGCAGAGGAAGCCCAAGTCAATTGCAGGTCCAGATTTCAAGCTTCCAAATACATCACCATCAGAAAGAAACGCTGGGTGCTAAATAGTCTTACGTGTGACCATCTCAACGCTTCCTGTGTGTATCAGAAAATCGTTGATCCTGAGAGAGCATGAAACACCAGAGAACAACGCATTATTTTCAGAATTCTTGTAACCACAAAATGTTTTAACAGTTTACATTTTCGAGAGTAAACTGCCTGGAGTGATTTTCCCCCTTGCTTATTAATGAATTCTATTTAACCAAGTCAGAAATCTTGCTGTGGGGAAAGCTGGAAAGGGGGTGGTGGAGGTGGAGAGGGGTTGTTGGTTGGTGGTTTAATTTTAATTTTTTTTGCCTGAAGGCACCATTAGAAAACTCCAGATGCAAAGCTTTCTAATAGAATTCCTCATCTGACACAGCCCCCTGGAATACACGGGCTTAACCTTTACGATCTGGTGGGCCAGGCCTCTATTTGGAAACCTCGTGAGCGGGGGCTGATCCATTAATGATAATGTGTAATAACAAAGAGCCGGGAGAACAGCTGAAGGCCTGGGGCGGCAGAGAATGAGGGCTCTGCATGTAGAAAGAGGGGTGGCAACAGGACGCCCGAGGAAGAGGGACATGGGGTGGAGAGAGGGATTGCTGAGTACTGGAGAGCCTGGGAACGCCCCCAATGACCACATTTTCTCTTACCATCACATTAAGATTCTGAGGTTTTAAGAAAGAAAAGTGTCGGCCGGAAGGAGCCCAGTTAGCATTCTGGATTTATGGCCAACAGGGTTCTAACCAATCCCTGTGGAGCTACTTTTTGTTAAGAAGTTTCAGGCTCGGCGTTGTGGCTCGTGCCTAAAATCCCAGCACTTTGGGAGGCCGAGACAAGAGGATCATTTGAGGCCAGGAGTTTGAGAACAGCTTGGGCAACAAAGTGAAATCCCCTCTCTACAAAAAATAAAAAGATAGCCAGGCATGGTAGCACAGGCCTGTAGTCCCAGATACTTGGGAGGCTGAGGTGGGAGGATCCCTTGAGCCCAGGAGGTCAAGGCTATAGTGAGCAGAGCTCACACCACTGCACTCCAGCCTGGGTGACAGAACGAGGCACAGGCTACTTGAAGGTCTGGGGCTGATAGCCTTGGACAAATGATTTAATCTTTCTGTGTTTAAATTTCCTTCCTAAAAAGGGGATAATAATAATACCTGCGTTATAGGGCTATTGTGAGGATTGAATAAACATACAATGTGCTTAGAAGAGTGTCTGGTACTTAGTAAGTGCTTAATAAATATTAGCTATACTTTGGCCACCCCAGATGTGGGAGTGAGCTTCCCTGAGCCTCAGGCCAGAAAGAGGGGGTGCCAGGAGAGCTGGCACATGCTGAGCCCCAGAAGTGGCCTGAGGTTGAGGGACTGGGCTCTGTTTATGAGAAGTGGTCAGGGCCAAGGGGTGAGTTGGACACCAGATGGGCCAGAGTGCCTCAGGGTCCGGACAGGTGGTTCCAATTCCAGAGATAGGGACATGATAGGGGCATGTGAGGAAAACAAGTAGAGAGGCAAAAACACGGTGTAAGGGTTGAAAACACCCCCGAGGCGGAAGCCGTTTGCCCCAGTTTTGGGTTGGCACATTGCCTTTTCTGCCCTATATGAACCAATATCTCAGTCAATTTCGTCAGGAGCTAAGTAGGCAGGGCAGGAGAAGAACTTTGGGGTGGGAATTGGAAGGAGAGGGGGTGGCTGAGCCACATGGGAGCTGGAAGTCCTTCCTCAAAGCCCTCCTCTGTAGAACGATCCAGGCATTTGGCTCACCAGGTGGACCTACTTTTTGTCTAGATTTGTTCTTATAGTGGTGACAATGAGCTTGCTCTGAAAATGGCTGAGCCCTCACATGCATGAGGCACCTGGTGTGAGCTGGGGTGGGGCTGGGGCAGTCTACCGCCACAGAGCTCTGCAAGGGGCCAGCTGTGTCTTCCTCATCTTGTCTCCCACATGCTTCACCTTAGCACCTAGGACAGAGCACACGCTGACTAGATTGAAATATTGAATTGGCCTGGGTGTGATCCAGAATCCCTGAAGTGCGGTCTAATTTTAGAGCTGCAGAAGGAGCTGATACCAATCGAAGGGCTCTTTAATTGGCCTATTTTTTTTATGGTTAGGTGTTTTGTTATTGGTGATTTTAATTTTGCCTCTTCTGAAGTACATTTCACAAATATACTTGTTGAATTACACAGGGTCTATGTCCAATTTCAACCTTCTCAATGAATGTCAAAAATCACTAGAGCCACAATCTCTCCTGATTAAAGCGGGGCTATGAAATAAACAAGCACATCACTGATCAGAAAGAGACTGCTGTCCAACTGATCAGACCTTGATAATCTTGTGATTCAAAAATACATGAAAATACTATTTGCATCCCCTGATAACAATGCCTCAGTCACTTGAGAGTGAGAGAGAAACCAGGGAACTGGATAATGCAATGAAATGAATAGAGAATTAACACTACATTACGTGTTCATGTTTCATTCTGCTTTGTTCATGATGAAGTTTATAATCTGGGAACATTCATTTATCCCCCTTTGCCTCATTGACTTTAAAAAGAATAATAAACCTGCTCTTTTTCTACTACACAAAGGTATTAAGAGAAAAATGTGAAATATGCAGAACAGTTTGAAAGGTGTTGTGTAGAACATACAACTGCAATTTTTCTTACTATTATCATCATTATGACAGCCATTCCTGATATGGAAGATAGATATTAGGTTTATAAGATGAAGCCAGATTTTTACCCTAGGTAGCCCTAGAACTATAAAGATATCTTGGATAAAAAAACCTGGACCCTTGACAGCTTTCCCTTAATTATCATCAATTCTTTGAGTGGGTTCAAAAAAAAAAAAAAAAAAGGAGAGAGAAAACAAAAAAAAAAATCGGACGGAAAACCAGCCTAATTGAATGTAGGATAAACTATTCATTAGCAAGCTAAATAGCTACGACATTTAATAACCTGTAGTGCCTCATGGAAAACCAAGACATTGCCAAAAGTAATTGAAGTTTGTGATTCTCCAAACTGTTATTTAAAGCAGGATTTGGCAAGGCTCAGTGGGTCTGCGCCGATTTTAATTGCATTTTTAAAATTCAGGATGGAGATTTCGTTTCTTTTCTCATTATTTGTGTAGTGAAGTCCCTTTATGGTGAACGTGCTTATAGTGAAACCTTATGCGGTGATTTTTAAAGTTCAAAGCATGTGGGATCCATCTATATCAAAACCCATACTTTATGTTCTGACCTTTTAACTGATTAATTCCCAGTTGCATATAGCCCAGAATTCTTTCTTTTTCTTCTTCCTCTTTTTTTTTTTCCTGCCTGTCATCTAACAAGGCAGTCTCAACCCTTATTACTATGACAAGCAGCTTCCTGGGGGGTCAAGATGGGCTTGACCTCAGGAGAGGGCCTCCTCCAGTGGTGAGTGAATGGGCCGTGGAAGAGAATCACCAAGTGGCCATGTCTGCCTATGGAATAAGCAGTAGTTGCTATCCATCCCTAGCCATAGACACCCAGAGACCATTAAATATATACAATGCATTTATTACAGACCCTTTGTACAGTACACTTACGAGAGGCAACTATGATTGTATTACCCTCAAGGGCTTATTACAAGGGCTTCTCTGCTCCCTTGTAATTTCCCATGAATGATTGTTTTAAAATAGCTACCATTTGTTGAGCACATAGTAATACGGCAGGCACTGTGCTAAACACTTCACAGGAATTAGGTCATTTCATCCTCAGGAGAACCTTCGGTATGATTTTCTTCATCATACCAAGGTGCAGAGTTGGTGAAGGAGCTTGCTCAGGATCACACAGGCAGAGCTGCCAGGGCTGGGACTGGAGCCTAGGAGGCTAACTCTGGGTCCACCTCGCTTAATCACCACCCTCTCCTAATCACCACCCTCTCCTACAATGCTGGTTAGTGTGCTGGGCCCCATGTGTGAAATTTTCTGATATTCTCCCCACTAAAATTTCTGTCTCCTGTGTCTTATCACACAGGAACATGCATCTCTGATTGCTTTAGTTTCCCACCTTGTAAAAGAGGTTACCTAATAATATCTTCCACAAGGGGTCGTTGAGAGGATCAAATGAGCAAGAGCAAAAAATGCATTTGACAAAATGTCCAGTAAAACACGGCCATGTATTAGTCCGCTAGGGCCGCCATAACAAAGCACTACCACTGGGTGGCTTCAACAGCAGAGACCGATCGCCTCACAGTTCTAGAGGCTACAAGGAGCTAGCAGGGCTGGTTCCTTCTGAGGGCTGGGAGGGAAAATCTGTCCCAGGCCTCTCCCCAAGCTGCAGGTTTGCTGGTAATCTTTGGCGGTCCCTGGCTTGGCATCACTCTAATCTCTGTCTTCATCTTTGCGTGTGTGTGTCTGTCTCCGTGTCAGACTTTGCCTTTTGATAGGACACTAGTTCTATAAAACTTGATTATCTCTGTAAAGACTCTCTGAATAAGGTCACATTCTGAGGATCTGGGGGTTCAAGTCCAACATACCTTTTTGAGGGGACACGGCTTAACCCATAAACCATGAGCTGCTATTTTTATTAGTAACAACGGTATCACTAATGTGTATAACTAGAACATGTTTTTCTATCAGGTATAGTGTTTGCAGTCTGCGGAAGGCTATTATGCACAAGGCTTTGACCCAGGGCCACACTTGCGACATGGCCAATCCCAAGTGTGGTGGCAGGCAAATCTTTCACAGATCTTTAAATCTAACCCAACCCCCCACCCGCCCCCCCGCCATGACTCTTCTGCCTATATGTGGTGTTGCTTCTGTCCTTCCCAGAGTGCAGGACAGTGGGAGGCCGACTCACAGAGCTTTGGGAAAGGAAGGTCAAGGTTCACAGCTAACTATGGCAGTGCTGAGGGTGATCAGTCGGGCAGTGCCAAATTTTTCTTCTTGTGTGTCATCTGAATGATCATCTCCGTTCTCCTTCTTGGCAGTCTCCATGCTACCCACCTCCATCCTCCATCCTCAGCTATTACTTCCTATAGATGGGCTTCCAAACCAATGCCTTCATCTGAAGCTTCTCTCAAAAAACATGATGCCATATTTCTAATTAGCTATCCAGCCTCTTCACTGACTGTCTCATAGGCATCTCAGGTTCACTGTCCAAACTGAAGTCAGGTGTCTCCCACCCACCTGCCCTTCTTCTTCCACATCACCTATCTCAGGTAAAGGCACTGCCATTCCTCAAGCTTCATGAGCCAGATGAAAACTGCGATGCCATCCTCAGTCCCTTTCTAAGCCATGCTTCTCCATTCCATTTATTCTAACCTGGCCCCAATTGCAATACATCCTCCTCTTAACACTCTCGGAGATATCTCTTCATCTTTACTTCCCAATTATTTTAATCCAGGCATTTGGCATTCTTGCCTTCCTATTTTTGCCTGTGGTCTCACCCTTTAATTTTCCACATGTACAAAGTTATCATTCTAAAATATAAATCTAGTGGCTTAAATCTCACAATAGACTGTAATATCCGTGAAGACAGAAACTGACTTACAGATGTGGACATATTCTCACTGCTGAGCATACTGTCTACCTAACATGTGGGAGGTCCTCAATTAATATTTACTGTATGAAAAAAGAACAGAAAATAAAAATTTCTGTCACTGTCCATTGTCCACAAAGTCCAAACTGTTAAACAAAACATCAAAGGCTCTTCAGTGTGTGTCCCCAAACTATTTTTCTGGTAATATTTTCTACCTCTGTTCAATCCCTCATACTAAGATCAGCTAAGCAAAATTATTTGTCATTTTCTAAGCATATTTATGATTTTCATGGCCCTAATCATGCGAAAGTACATATTTGATGTGTCAGTTTGAGATGCCAATGAAAGATCCAAATTGAGATATCAAATATGCTGTTAGGTACATGAACCAGGAACTCACAAGAGAGGCTTAGGGTTAGAGTAAGAGGTTTGGAAGCTGCAATATATAGATGATGTTAAAACCAAGACAATGAAAGAACACACCTAGGGAGAGAGTGTAGATTTTAGAAGAGTATTCAGAAATTCAACATAGATCATCAAACCAGATATAGAGTTTTAGGTAACGGTAAGTCATTCAAATGGCACTCTCTAGAAGGTAATGGCTAGAAAAAATTGACACTTGGGCTGCTTGATGGAAAGCAATAAAAATAGAGTTTTGAAAGTCATAAGCATAATGGTAATTGTTGAAACTCTGAGAATGGATGAGCTTCTAAATAAGAGTGAATTATCCCTGAAGGTGTTACTTATACTCATGCCAGAGAGAAAGATTTGTTTTCATGATTAGATGTTGAAAGACTCAGAAATGTATCGGGGGAAAAGAAAACGCAAGTCTTACGTGATATAGCCAACACTTCCTTATCCAGCCATTTAACATTTACCAAATTTTGTCCTTATCCCCGTTTACTCTTTGACTTTTAAAAAATTGTGAAATATGTCAGAAGAATATAAAAACATATGTACATCATTAATAATTTAGACAAGAAAAATAAGCTTAACCAAGTTAAAACAGAATATTACAAGGACTGTAGAGACCCTTTTTGTGCACTATCTGCCTTCTCCAAGAGGCAACTAATATCCTCACTTACATGATAATCATTCCTCTGTTTTTCTTTCTTGTCTTACCACCTATGTATACATTCCTCAATCATAGATTGTTCAACTGTGCTTGCTTTTGAACTTTATATAAATGGAACAATACAGTATGTGTTCTTCTGTGGCTCGCTTTCTATACTCATGATATGTTTGTGAGCTTCGTCCATGTTGATGTGTATAGTTGTAGTATGTGTATTTTCAGTGCCGTATGGTGCTTTCTGGCCCCAACTATTTGTTGCTGGTATATAGGAATGTAGTTGATTTTTCTGTATTGGTTTTTGTTTGGCAAACTTGCCAAACTCTTTTATTAATTCTGATAATTAACCTGTATATTTTGGGGGTTTTCTATTTTGATAATCATACATATCATTGCAAATAGTGATAATTTTAATCATTTCTATTTTTTTATTATTGTGATGGCTAGAATCTACAGTACAAGTTTGAAGGAAAGGAGTGATAGCAGGCATTTTTATCTTTTTCCTGATCTTCAAGAGAGTGTTCTTACCATTACTATCATTAACTATAATATTTACTGTAAGTTTTTATAGATGCCTTTTATTGGGTTAAGGAAGTTACCTCCTATTGCCAGTTGGCATAAGAAATTTTGATCTTTTTTAGAATTTAGATCATAAAATGAGTATTAAATTTTAGCAAATACTCTGGCTTCTATTTAGATGATCATTCAACTTTTCTCCTTTAATCTGTCAATGTGCACATTAATTTCCAAATTTACAAGTTTTAATTTTCAAATATTAAACCAAACTTGCATTTCTGAAATTAGTCTAATTTGGTCATTATGTTCTATTCTTTTGGAGCATTGCTGGTTTGGTTTTATGAAATTTTGTTTAGGATTTATGCTGTGTTCTCGAATGAGATTAACCTGACACTATTTATTGTTTTATATACCCAATACTTATTTCTATTCATTTACATATTTGTCACTTTTCATTCTCTTCTTTTCTTCTTGCATCTTTGATGTTTGATTGGGGAACATTTTCTTGATGCCTAAATAACATCCTTTAGAATAGCCATTAGAGAGTTTTCTGGTAACACACTGGCTCAGATTTTGTGTGTATGAAAATATATTGATTTAATCTTCATTTCTGAAGTACATTTCCACTAGGCATAGAATTCCAGGTTCTCTCAGCATGTTGGAGATATAATCGCACTCTCTTCCAGCTTTCATTGCTGAGATAGGTGCTTTCAGACTGATGCTCACCCGAAGAACGTGCCTTTGCTGTCTGGCTCCTTTTAAGGTAATTTCCTCATTTTGATTTTGGTTTTGTTTGTATGTTATGTTTTCAGTTTCACAATAGTGTGTCTAAGTATGGATTTCTTTTTAATTATACTGTTTAGGATTAACTGGGTTTGAATCTATGGGTTGGAACATTGTATCAGTTCTGAAAAATCCTTAGCCATTATCTCTTCAGATACTGTCTCTGCTTAATTCCCCTTGTCTTATCCTTCTGGGATTCCAGTCCAACCTACATTACGTGTTCTCATTACACCCCACATGTCTGTGTCTTGGTTTATTTTTACTATTGTTTTGTTATCTTATGCTTCTTTCTGGATAATTTCTACAGATCTCTTTTACAGTTCACAAATTTTCTTTTCAGCTTTCATTACTCTACTGTCAAACTCATCCATTTCATTTCTTTCCTGTAAAACATCTACTTTTGGTTTGTAGCAGCCAGTGAAAATTTATGTGTGTCATATATATAATAATATGACTTGAAAACAGTATAATCATACATTTTAAAATCATACTTAAAAATTATGTAGTGAACACTAACAATATCCGGGCCCATACTAGCTACATAAATATATTCTGTCTCTTAAATAAATGAACGTATTATTATGTAATTTTAAAGACATCACAAGAGTACAGGGAATAGTATTAATAAAAACAACTTCTGCGCATTACTCAACTTTAATAATCATCATTTTAACAATCTTATTTTATCTTTCTCTACCTACACACTTGGTAAACACATTTTTTCTTAGAAAAATTTTCAAACAAATCTCAGATATCACATAATTCCATCTGAAATAACATTTCCCCTGAAAATACCTTAGTAGTCATCTCTAATGGATAAGAACATCTATATTTATGCAGAACCAACATGCTTTTATCACATATGAATAAACCAACACAGAAATTCCTTATATGCTTGAGGTATTTTTATCATAAGAATCTTATATTTCATAGGTTCAATGTAGTTCTTTGAAAGTCTGTTTGGTTATGTTTTATAGTTTATTGTTTCTGTTTCATATTTTCAAGTTTGCAATTTATTTCTTTAATATTACACATAATTTTTTAATAGCCTGTGTCTGAAACTTCCACGACCTGAAGTCCTTATGAATCCATGTCTGCTCTGTTTGTTTTTAGCTATTGCTCATGGTGCATTATTTCCTTGTGCATTTAGTAAAGTTTTATTGCAGTATGCTCCGTATTCTCAGAATTGTATTCATGGGAGTTCTTTAGAGCTTGGAAAGAAGATGTGTTCTTTAGAGAGGATCTACATTTATTTCTATCATTCACCCGGTGGTACAATTAGTGTGGGGTCACTCTCCATTAAATTCTTGGCTTGAGGTTTTTAAAACCACTAAATGAGTGTGAATTCAGGCTGTAAATCTCAGACAAACTGTGGCTATAAGTTCTCAGTAGTGATTTCTTTTTCTATTCTCACCTTAACTCCGCATTCACCACATTCACCATTAAAAGCAGTATATTTTCTTTGTAGTTTTCTGGTTGAGAGTGGGAGTGAAGAGAAATAGCTGCATTATTTCTAGTTCACTTTTATTCTGAGAGTATAATTCTTTGGGATACAGGCATGTGGACTCCCTACCTTGGTGGGCTCTGGGATTTATGTCCCATTCCCTGTATCTTAGAAGTCATAAAAACAAGAGTTCATGTTCATTTGTTTCAACAAATGATCCCAGTTCCTAGGCTGAAAGTTCTTTTCTTTTTTCAGAGTTCATTGATCGATTTAAGATGATGCTTTTTCACATATTTAGACAAGTTTTTAAATTATGCATAGAAGGAAGGCTGATCAAGGTACCTACCCTGAAATTGGAAGTCCTCTATTGATACTTTAGCCTATACTGATCTGGCTTTCTATCAATGAAGTTATAGAAAACTTGACTGAGAATCAAAAAAGTATATAACTTGTGGTTTGACCATATATGTAACCATAGATGGGATTGAGAAAAAGTCTCGTTCTTTGCAAACATTATACAGTGTGAAAATATGGATCACAGAAAAGTGACTGTCAATTAAAGCAAAATCAATTCTTGGGGACTGAGCTCATTGTACACAAAATTAGTCACTTGTATTATGTATAACTTAACTATGTCATATGAATCTGTCTTAATGTCCTCAATAAACTGATGCTTCCTGGAAGATTTTTCATTCTTCATTAAGTTTGTATCTTGCGGTATCTATAGTGGTAGGCATAATTATTGGCTGAAATAAGGAACTAAATGATTGCATCCAAAAAAAATTTTTATTTAAAATCTGAATTGATTTAACTATTTATATATTCTAAGAGTTGAAAGGGATTGTCATAATTCCCATGAGAGTGGCAGTAATATTTCTCCAGTGCTTCCTTTTTCTTAAAAAACCTAGTTGGGATGGAGAAGGTGCTATTCAGAGGAAATGCTTTATTGTCTATCAAAGGATTTTAATGAATCTTTGGATTTGCAAAGGGAAAGCCAAAGCTAAGTGTGGGAATAAGGCTGGAAACAAATGGAGTGTACTGAATAAGACAAGGGTAGGACTTTTATTTTCTCTTGAAAGAGGGGCAAATAAGAAATAGAGTGGGAGCACAGAGCTGTGTACGGTGGTAACAGCACAGCAAGCAAGGTGGGTAAAGAACTTGTCATCCCATGGATAGCTGGTATCTAATACTCGACGTTAAGATTTTTATGTTTTTGCAATATTCCCATTCATTTTTCCAACCTCCAGCAATGTCTGCTACACCTGCGTAAATCTTGCATAAGTGAGGATTGGGAGATAGAGGGATATGCATACAAATCAAAGAAAGGGAGTTGCTCCCAGTTTGAGTCAATGCTAGGGTAGAATAAAGGAAGAGCACTATGAGACAGTGAAGAAAAGGAAGTTGCTGGGATGGATGATCAAAGATTGAAGGTTACCATGAAACTTTAAGTTCCTGAAAAATTTGATGCAATTTGATGCAATTTAATTCCCAGACCTTAAAGGGCAGGATATTTGTATATAATACTGTATCATTACTAATATTTTCTACTAATATTTAATGGCATCAGAAAGTTGCTTCAATGTTCAGAAGTCAGTCGTTAGTGTCAGGGTCCAACCAAAGTCTCATAATTCCCCCAACATTTTATTTCCCCAACTATGCTTCAAGCGGTGATTCTCAAACTTATATGCACATTGGAATCATTGAGAGAGCTAAAACCTACTGATGCCTATGCACCACTCCACATATTCTGATTTAATTGGCCTAAGATGGAACCTGGGCTTCAGGACTTTAAACATCTCCTCAAATGAGTTCAATTTGCAGGCAAAGTTGAGGATCACTGGCATAAAGCTATAATAGCATTCTAAAGACAGTCGGAAATATTCAAATGAGATGGTAAAAAGCAATAGAGAATGCATGAGTTGAAAGTGTGATCATAAAGGAAGTTAAATTTGTTGAAATGCATCATTTTTTATCATATAATCCCTGTTCATGCTGGGGCTGAAAAACAAAAGTCAAAACAGACAAAAATATTTCTCGACCGGGTACAGTGGCTTACACCTGTAATCCCAGCAATTTGGGAGGCTGAGGCGGGTGGATCACCTGAGGTCAGGAGTTTGAGACCAGCCTGGCCAACAAGGTGAAACCCCGTCTCTACTAAAAATACAAAAAAAAATTAGCCAGACATGGTGGTGCATGCCTGCAGTCCCAACTACTCCGGAGGCTGAGGCATGAGAATCGTTTCAACCCAGGAGGTGGAGGTTGCAAGTGAGCCGAGATCACGCCACTGCACTCCAGCCTGGGCAGCAGAGCAAGACTCCATCTTGATTAAAAATAAATAAATAAATAAATAAAATTTTTTTTAAAAAAAATTATTATACTCTCAGTTATAGGGTACATGTTCACAATGTGCAGGTTTGTTACCTAGGTATACATGTGCCATGTTGGTTTGCTGCACCCATTAACTCATCATTTACATTAGTTATTTCTCTTAATGCTATCCCTCCCCCAGCCCCCTACACTCCGACAGGCCCCGGTGTGTGATGTTCCGCTCCCTGTGTCCATGTGTTCTCTTTGTTCAATTCCCACCGATGAGTGACAACATGCGGTGTTTGGTTTTCTGTCCTTGTGATACTTTGCTAAGAATGATGGTTTCATTCTCATTAAAGTCCTCTGTATAACTGGGAAAAGAAAACATCTATACCCACTCAACCTACTGCTTACATCAACACAACTTTACTCTTCAAACTGCATTGACCTAACGTTACTTTTCCATGAACCTCTTGCCCAAGAAGCTGAAGTTGAAGATAATATTATAGTTCGTTTCAAGAACTTTCCCCAAGTCTATTATCCTGTCTTCATTTATCACCCTTTCTTAGAATAATAGATAATTTCAAAAGATCATTTATTCTGTACTTTGAAAACCTCCCCACTCTGTGTACTCCGATCTTTACTTATAACAAACCTTGCTCAGTTCTAACTAAGTGCCCCTCTACACTGCATTGAGAGACTCCCTTTAAATCAGATGTTACAGCACCCCTCCCCCCGCACCACAAACTCATAAATACTCTAACTTTGTCCTCCTGATTCCTGGGAACTACTAAAACACTTTCAAGGTGATTTTCTTTTCTTTTATAAGTGGCAAAAACTGGGCTTTGTTTTATTTATCAACCGGCCATGAAGTATCTATTTACTGTTTGTTCAGAGATTCTCATATATTTCAGTTGGGAAATGTCCAAATGTCTTATTTTAAAACATTGAAGAAAATAGCTACACTTTACCCAGTGCCAGCCGTGTGATTTACAGACATTGTCTGTCATGCTTTGAATACATTTTCAGGGTTGGTATCACTAATTATATTTTTCACAAACGAGACTCACAGAAATCTGGAACTTTACAGGGGGTCACACAACTATTTAGAGCAGGGATTTTGGTCCAGGTGCTGGCACCACATTACCTCGGTGAAGCCTGAATCCAGGTCTGCTCTAGCCAGCTGGAGGAAACATTTGAGGTGTTACCAATTTTAATGAGTTGACATCAGCTCCTACCCTCCCAGTGGGACACCACAAAGGTAGCCAGATAATTGAGGTAGAAGAGTCACTTTATAATTTTTCAGCAACATTTATATGTTTTAAATCTTCAGCTGCATGGTGGATAGGTAGGTGTTCACCAGTTTATTCTTTATTACATCTTTGTATACCTGATATTTCACAGTATTTCTTTCTTTTGAAATTTTATTGTGAAGCATTTTAAACATACAAATATAGAATAATATATTGAACCTTAATGTGCTCACTACCCAGCTTCAACATTGACCAACTATTGATCAACTCTTGGCCAATTATTCATAAACATTTTCGTTTGTGTTTCTAAAATATAAGGATGTTTAAAGTATGTATCTGTAAAAGGTAAGCACTTAAAAAAACAAAACAAAACAAAACCCACAAATACCACTTCAGGCCGAACATAAGTTTGACAATAGTTTCTAAGCATCATCAAATATCGAACTAGCATACAAGTATCCAGTTGCCACATACAAATCATAATATTTTAGAGCTTGCTTGTATAATATGATTAAACTTCAGTAACTTAAGAGGGCTTTAGTCTCCCATTTAACATAGAATATGAAAACTTGTCCTAATGGGAATATTTCTGTTGAAAGGCAGCTTGAGTTTCCCACTGTGGTCTCAGTTCTTAATGTTTTGATTTGAATTTTCATGAAAATGTTTATTTTCATGAAGCCCCATTTATTTAAAGCATGACCTTATTTTTTTTTTTGCAAGTTCTGAACCTGTCGTCCTGTTTTAATTTGTACGTCTGGACCACATAATATCTTTATGGTACTCAAAGCCCCTTGGGGCTGGGGCGAGGATGCAGTTAAGAGGCATTATCAATACAAGTTAATCCGGGATGTCTGCTCTCATTTTTCAGGTTTTCATGTTTAAGTCAATAACTACTTTGACATACAGATCTGACTTTTTCTCCAGCAGCAATTTGCATTTCTGGTCTCATAAAGCCTTTCTTATTCCTTTGTGGTTATTCGTGTTTCTAATGAGTAATAAAGGAACTGTCAACATTGATGTGAACCAAGAGGTAACACACGGAGGGGTGGTACAGTTAGAGGTATGAGCTACTAAAATTCCCCAAGCAGTTTTAATCAAAACCCACCCTTACTGTTTTCATTGTATCCATGATATTTTTTACATTAAAAAATAAAAGAAAGAAAAAAGAAGGAGGGAAAGTAGGAAGGAGGGAGGGTTGGAGATAAAGAAGGATGGAAGTAGGGAAAGACAGAGGGAGATGGAAGGAAGGAAGGGAGGGAGGGAGGGGAAGGAAAGGAAAGGAAAGGAAAGGAAAGGAAAGGAAAGGAAAGGAAAGGAAAGGAAAGGAAAGGAAAGGAAAGGAGGAAGGAAGTAGCAGGTGCTTTTGAAGTTAGGTAATGATACATCAATCTTGTATTTCTTTCTTCAGGAGTGGTACAGTCATCTACAGGTCATCTGTCAGAATATAATGAGAAAATCTCGACCCTGGGACTTCATATTTGGCCCTATTCCCTAGTAGACATGTCTGCTCCTGAAGAGGAGTCCCAACTTGGTAGTAGCTCTGTAAGCTAAACAAATATCTGCCAAAACATTA
The DNA here is from genome assembly GCF_000001405.40 of Homo sapiens. Classification (NCBI taxonomy): domain Eukaryota; kingdom Metazoa; phylum Chordata; class Mammalia; order Primates; family Hominidae; genus Homo; species Homo sapiens. Next base: position 14,452,745 of record NC_000009.12, read on the forward strand.
GGCAGATGGTTATCAAATGATTTTCACATTCCCTATGTGAAGATCACTGTGCCCTGCTGATGACAGGATTACATAGGGACTAAAACAAATTAACTGGAAGCAGGGAGGAGAAGGGGGAGAATCCTATTAGTTTGGACCACACATGTGGTTAAATAAAAGCAGGAACAATCACAGCATTGGGTTTTATTTAGATCAGTATGTGCTTTCTCAAAGGGATTGAAAGTATTTGGAATGTGATTTGTCTTTTTCCACTTTGATTGCTTTGTAACGTGGTGCCTCTTAAGAAACCTCATGGGTGCATAAGCCCACCACAGTGTGGCATTCTCTTTAGAACTCCCAGTGAGGTGGGTTCCCACCCTGATCTCAGAATCTTGTTCAGGGTATCTTTTGTGTATTTAAAGGACACTTGGTCTTCTCTGACTATCCCTGCTCAAAGACAGGATCACTGAAATGACTCCCAGCAAAGGATAAAAACAGACATGATCCAGTGTGTGTAATGTATAACAAACATTGGCAGGTTTCTCATTCTGTGTTTAACTTTGACATGAAGCTAGTCTGTCATGTTTGAAGATCAAATGAGATTTCTGCCAACCCACTCCTAGATAGGGAGGATTTATCTGCAACCACACTATGATGTTCCCTTAATACTTTTCAAAAATACAAGTGCTTACATCCTAATAGGTTTTTAGCTTAAGATCTAATCATCTACTCTTGAATTAAGATGCTTGAATGAAGCCAACTCATTTGGAACTAAGCACTTTAATGTCAACAGAGACATATGGTATGGAGACAGAATTACAAAGCCTCTCTTCTGAGGCATCCATTAAGAAAACAAGACTAAGAACACAGCATCATTATTAGTTTACTCATTTATTTCTTAGTAAATCATTGAGAGTAATATTGTCTTATGAAAGTAGAAATGGTCTAAAAATTACATGTTAGGGATAGGGTACATTCCCGTTTGAAATGGTGACATTATTCCCTTGCTCCATAATTACTGCCCACTTCTTTTGCAAACAGCAGTAAATTTTTATAACAAAAAGAAAATACAATATAGGCTGGGCACGGTGGCTCACACCTGTAATCCCAGCACTTTGGGAGTCTGAGGCTGGTGGATCACAGGGTCAGGAGATCGAGACCACCCTGGCCAACATGGTGAAACCCCATCTCTACTAAAAGTACAAAAATTAGCTGGGCACGGTGGGCACCTGTAGTCCCAGCTACTCAGGAGGCTGAGGCAGGAGAATCGCTTGAACCCGGGAGGCAATGAGCCGAGATCGCGCCACTGCACTCCAGCCTGGTGACAGAGCAAGACTCCGTTTCAAAAAAAAAAGTACAATATATATTACACATTTTGTACAAACATATAGGTAGTGTAAATATGAAGACTCACATGTTGCCATTTGTAGGAAAGTACATTCCAGTCCAAATACAAGTTGTCATTTAGGACTCCTCAAAACCAGTACAATTGTCAATACAATAATGTAATTGAAAAGTTAGACCTGACTTGTCAAATGAGGAAAATGTATTAATAAGGAATTGTGGAACAGTGAGCCTCTGAGAAGATTATGTTGCTATTTAGCTGCAGACAATCTGCAAAATAGAAGTGTGCTAATTCTGCTCATCTTGGTCAAATTAATACATCCAAAATGTTTGAATGACATCAAGTTATTCAAAGCATTTGACCAGGAGGTAACCCTCTCTCTTGCCTAGTTAATTTTTGTTAACTCTCACATATTTCCTAGTGGTAGTGAAAACAGGGTCTTTTAAGCCACCTAGACTATGTTGCCTTACCTATTTTATGTTTTCTTACCATTTTCTCTTAGTCCTTTGAAGCATTTGTCACAACTGGGTTATTATTTGGCTAATGTTTGCATTTTCTGCTAGTTTGTAAGCTCTGTAACATCAGTTCTATATTTGCCTTTTCCATCACTTTATTGCTGTGGTAATTGTTCTATTTGTTAAAAGTATTCTGTACCTTTCACTGCAGAATCCCTCTCTACCAGAATGTTATAGTACCAGTCCCAAAGCTTAGTCACATGCCTTGCTTTGACCAATAAAATATAAGTGGAATTGACATGTGTCATTCTGAGCAGAAGCTTTAAAGGTTTTCATATGGTCTCCCCATTGCTTTTCCCCTATGTCAAGACACCAGCATATCCCAGATAGGGCTGCTTCTCGAACCTGGAATGAATTGAATTCTGAAATGAAGATTTAGAGCAGAATCAAAGCTGAGTGGGAATAGGTATGTAATATGAGCAAAAAATAAACTTTTATGGTTGTAAGCCCCCATGATTGGGGGTTATTTGTTACTGCTGCTTAATTTGACTGATACAAATACCTGATGACTGTCAGGATGCCTGGCACATGGTAGGCCTGCAATACATATTTGGTGACAGACTGAATGAATTAATAGAGATATGTAATGGAGACACACAGGAATTTAAGGCATATGCAGGTGCAAAGTAGTAAAAATCTGAGTGTGTATCATTATTTCAACCACAGAAATTTGGGGTTTAATGTAATAAACATGTAATTATCTGCTTTTGAAACCTAAGCCACTCAAGTTAAATATGTGTGATATAACAAAAGTCATGCATTATTTACTATTAACTAGTGAGGTACAGCAGTGGTTCATGGAAGGGAGGGAAAAGTGGTATGTCGCAATAGCCAGGTGAGAGTTCACTTGAGGATGTGAACTGGATGAACAAGTGGATTTATCAAGGCTTTTAGTTAGTGGAGGGGTGAGAGGAGGACATGGCAGATTTCTAAAAGGAGAAAGATGAAAACAAAACTTGTGGATTAGGGAAACTCAGGGATATGATTTAATGAAGATGATGTTTAGGCAGATTAGTCAGGTGGCAGACTGCAGAATGAACGGATTAGAGAAGAGAATTGAGAGGCTAGAAACAGTTAAGAAGCTACTTCAGAAAATGTACCATCAAAAAAAGGGCAATTAACTCTCAGGGAAGCTATACATTCAAAGTGACCTTAACAAAAGTGTAAACAAGATTATCATTCGTTTTTAGGGAACTAGACTAGAAAATTCTAAATTCACTTGGAAAAATTTTTTAAAAAGAGGAACATTCTAAAAAAGAATTATGAGATATTAAAACATAGAATCTAAATAATTAATATGACATTTTGAATGGACAGGCAGATCAATGGGAGAGTTTTGAAAATAAAAAACATATACAAGTTCATTCGGAAAATTAGTGTCAAGAGGTATCATTAATAGTCAGTGGGAAAAGATGGATAATTCATTTGGATTGGCATCTGCAAAAACAAGTTGGACCTGACCTCATATATTGCAGAATAAATTCCAAATGGATCAAAGCATTGAATGTACTAGATTCGATCATAATACCATTTCTGTAGGTCAAAAATTATCAAATATTGGTGATTTCATATGATTCACCTAATAAAAACTGAAGTTACAAAAGTACCTGGAGTAACTACTTGGCATTTTTTTTTTTTTATCATTTAAGGCATGAAAGTGAATATCACTTGGCTTTTAAAAACATTCTTATGTTGGGAAAGACTTTTAAAGCTATGACACAGAATCCAAAGGCCTATAGCATAAAAGATGGTTAAATTCAACTACTTAATAATAAAGTTTTTCTGGAAGGCAAAAATCACCACAAACAGAGTAAAAAGACAAAGGACAAACCTGCAAAAATGTTTTCAACTTATATAGACATATAATTAATTTCTCTAATATCCAAAGAACTTCTACAAATCAATGCACAAAAAGCCAATAATGCACTAGGAAAATTAAAATAAAATATCAACACATAGTTCAAAGGACAAAGTATTAATTGGCTCTTATTCATATGAAAGGATGCTCAGCCTCACTCATAACATGCAGCCTCACTCATTTAATTTGAAAATTCAAATTAAAATTAAAGTAAGATAAAATTGTTTCAGCTATTAGATTGCAGAGATCCCAGAGTTTGATAGCACATTATGTTGGCAAATGGAAGCACTTCCGGTAGGGGTACAAATTGCTAAGTTTTCAATAGGGGACAATTTGCCCATATCCGTCAAAAGCACCGAAGAACATACTCTGACCCAGCCATCCCATTTTGGGAAATTTATCCTATTGATGCACCTGTACATGTGTGAAATGGCAATGGCAACATTATTAAATGCAGAATTGTTTGCAAAATCAAAAGTCTTAAAACAACTCGAATGCCCAGTTTTGGACGATGGCTAAATAAATTATAGTACAGGTCCATAATTGAACAATGTACAACCATAACAATGAATGAGACAATTCTAAATACTGACATAAAAAGACATTCAAATAAAATTGTCATGTGAGAAAGAAAAGGCCAAGGGCAATGTGTACTGTATGCTGCCATTGATCTTAAAAAGGCTAACAGAGAATATATGAACATACACGTAAGTACAGCATTTCTATGGAAAAACATATTAGGAGCTAATAACATTGGCTGTGGGAAGATGAACTGGATATCCAGGGAACAGGGTGGAAGTTACACTATTCACTGCATAGCCTTCGCACATTTTGAATTTTGAACCACTTTAATATATTACCTATTTACAAAATTAAATTTAAAAAAATGATAGTTTAGTTTGAACGAGTTGATGTCAACACCCTTTGAAAGAGGGCTATTTCTCACTAAATGCCCATAAGAGAAAGCAGGAAAGATCTAAAATTGACACCCTAACATCACAATTAAAAGAACTAGAGAAGCGAGAGCAAACACATTCAAAAGCTAGCAGAAGGCAAGAAATAACTAAGATCAGAGAAGAACTGAAGGAGACAGAGACACAAAAAACCCTTCAAAAAATCAATGAATCCAGGAGCTGGTTTTTTTTTTGAAAAGATCAACAAAATTGATAGACCCCTAGCAAGATTAATAAAGAAGAAAAGAGAGAAGAATCAAATAGACACAATAAAAAATGATAAAGGGGTTATCACCACCGATCCCACAGAAATACAAACTACCATCAGAGAATACTATAAACACCTCTATGCAAATAAACTAGAAAATCTAGAAGAAATGGATAAATTGCTGGACACATACACCCTCCCAAGACTAAACCAGGAAGAAGTGGAATCTCTGAATAGACCAATAACAGGCTCTGGCATTGAGGCAATAATTAATAGCTTACCAACCAAAAAAAGTCCAGGACCAGGCGGATTCACAGCCAAATTCTACCAGAGGTACAAGGAGGAGCTGGTACCATTCCTTCTGAAACTATTCCAATCAATAGAAAAAGAGGGAATCCTCCCTAATTCACTTTATGAGGCCAGCATCATCCTGATACCAAAGCCTGACAGAGACACAACAAAAAAAGAGAATTTTAGACCAATATCCCTGATGAACATCGATGCAAAAATCCTCAATAAAATACTGGCAAACCAAATCCAGCAGCACATCAAAAACTTATCCACCATGATCAAGTGGGCTTCATCCCTGGGATGCAAGGCTGGTTCAACATATGCAAATCAATAAACATAATCCAGCATATAAACAGAACCAGTGACAAAAACCACATGATTATCTCAATAGATGCAGAAAAGGCCTTTGACAAAATTCAACTGCCCTTCATGCTAAAAACTCTCAATAAATTAGGTATTGATGGGATGTATCTCAAAATAATAGGAGCTATTTATGACAAACCCACAGCCAATATCATACTGAATGGGCAATATCTGGAAGCATTCCCTTTGAAAACTGGCACAAGACAGGGATGCCCTCTCTCACCACTCCTATTCAACATAGTGTTGGAAGTTCTGGCCAGGGCAATCATGCAGGAGAAGGAAATAAAAGGCATTCAATTAGGAAAAGAGGAAGTCAAATTGTCCCTCTTTGCAGATGACATGATTGTATATCTAGAAGACCCCATCGTCTCAGCTCAAAATCTTCTTAAGCTGATAAGCAACTTCAGCAAAGTCTCAGCATACAAAATCAATGTACAAAAATCACAAGCATTCTTATACACCAATAACAGACAAACAGAGAGCCAAATCATGAGTAAACTCCCATTCACAATTGCTTCAAAGAGAATAAAATACCTAGGAATCCAACTTACAAGGGATGTGAAGGACCTCTTCAAGGAGAACTACAAACCACTGCTCAAGGAAATAAAAGAGGATACAAACAAATGGAAGAATATTCCATGCTCATGGATAGGAAGAATCAATATCGTGAAAATGGCCATACTGCCCAAGGTAATTTATAGATTCAATGCCATCCCCATCGAGCTACGATGACTTTCTTCACAGAATTGGAAAAAACTACTTTAAAGTTCATATGGAACCAAAAAAGAGCCCGCATTGCCAAGTCAATCCTAAGCCAAAAGAACAAAGCTGGAGGCATCACGCTACCTGACTTCAAACTATACTACAAGGTTACAGTAATCAAAACAGCATGGTACTGGTACCAAAACAGAGATATAGACCAATGGAACAGAACAGAGCCCTCAGAAATAATGCTGCATATCTACAACTATCTGATCTTTGACAAACCTGCCAAAAACAAGAAATGGGGAAAGGATTCTCTATTTCGTAAATGGTGCTGGGAAAACTGGCTAGCCATATGTAGAAAGCTGAAACTGGATCCCTTCCTTACACCTTACACAAAAACTAATTCAAGATGGATTAAAGACTTACATGTTAGACCTAAAACCATAAAAACCCTAGAAGAAAACCTAGGCAATACCATTCAGGACATAGGCATGGGTAAGGACTTCATGTCTAAAACACCAAAAACAATGGCAACAAAAGCCAAAATTGACAAACGGGATCTAATTAAACTAAAGAGCTTCTGCACAGCAAAAGAAACTATCATCAGAGTGAAAAGGCAACCTACAGAATGGGAGAAAATTTTTGCAATCTACTCATCTGACAAAGGGCTAATATCCAGAATCTACAATGAACTCAAACAAATTTACAAGAAAAAAACAAACAACCCCATCAAAAAGCGGGCGAAGGATATGAATGGACACTTCTCAAAAGAAGACATTTATGCAGCCAAAAGACACATGAAAAAATGCTCATCATCACTGGCCATCAGAGAAATGCAAATCAAAACCGCAATGAGATACCATCTCACACCAGTTAGAATGGCGATCATTAAAAAGTCAGGAAACAACAGGTGCTGGAGAGGATGTGGAGAAATAGGAACACTTTTACACTGTTGGGGGGACTGTAGACTAGTTCAACCATTGTGGAAGTCAGTGTGGCGATTCCTCAGGGATCTAGAACTAGAAATACCATTTGACCCAGCCATCCCATTACTGAGTATATACCCAAAGGAGTATAAATCATGCTGCTATAAAGACACATGCACACGTATGTTTATTGCAGCACTATTCACAATAGCAAAAACTTGGAACCAACCCAAATGTCCAGCAACGATAGACTGGATTAAGAAAATGTGGCACATATACATCATGGAATACTATGCAGCCATAAAAAATGATGAGTTCATGTCCTTTGTAGGGACATGGATGAAGCTGGAAACCATGATTCTCAGCAAACTATAGCAAGGACAAAAAACCAAACACCACATGTTCTCACTCATAGGTGGGAATTGAACAATGAGAACACTTGGACACAGGAAGGGGAACATCACAACCCGGGGCCTGTTGCGGGGTGGGGGGAGGGAGAAGGGGTAGCATCAGGAGATATACCTAATGTAAATGACGAGTTAATGGGTGCAGCACACCAACATGGCACATGTATACACACGTAACAAACCTGCACGTTGTGCACATGTACCCTAAAACTTAAAGTATAATAAAAAAAAAAGAGGGCTATTTCTGTTGCAGATAGTTAGATCTTACTTGATTTGAAAAAAGAAAAACACCCACACACAAAAATCCTGAACTCAATATAATAAATGACCATCAATCATATTCTATGTATAGACCTATATGTAATTATAATAATGAAATTTTAAATAAATTAGTATGCAGATAATCCATTTCCTACATTGAAATTAGAGTGAACTTTCTAAAACACAAATTTGATAGTGTCTCTCCCCTGCTTTAAATCCTTCCATGGCTCCTCATTGCCCTAAGGATAATGAAATCCAAATTCCTTAGTGTAACATACAAGGCCTTCCACTGCCCAGGTCTCTGCTTGTTATTCCAACTTCACTTCTTACTCCTTTCCCTATCTTGTTCCATTTATTCCAAATTTTCTATAGTCTTTAGGACCCAAGCTCCACACCAGAACTTTATACGTCTCTGTTTATCTGCAGCTTTTCTTTTGGCTTAGAGGATCGTACTTCTTTTCCCTTCCTCCGTGCACCCTCTTGTTCCTCAGTAATTAGATATCAAGTCTCCCTGACCCCCAAGGCTGGATAAGCTCAATCTTCTCCACAGTCCCATAGCATCCCACACTGTTCTCTGCAATTGTCTGTACACCACCAATTGGTAACTGATGCTTCATTTTTTTATCCCTCAGTAGATTGTGAGGTCTTGAGGGAACTGTGAGCTTGGCAGAGCAATCGGCACAGAGTTGATTAAATGTTTATTGAATGAGAACATGAATGAATCAATCCGTTGAAGAAATCCAACTATGAGGTGGCAATGGGAATGGAGGAACACAGGTGATAGGAAGAAATAATCCAAAAGAAAAGTAAACAGGACTTGGTGATAGATGTGTCATAGCCAACTAATTGACTTTGTAAAATTCAGCTCAGAATTGATACTCTCTGCCAAGCCTCATCTTACAAATCAGCCTCTATCAGCAGCAGGCAGGAGTCCTTCTGGCTCAAGTCTTTCTTCCACTGTGGAACTACTTGCAAAAATGTGTTGCTTCCCCTCCACATTTCATCAATCAGCTCACCCCTTCTGGATATAGTACTAACATAGCACACAGGAAACCAAATGCCATGCTCTGCATTCCAGCGTCGGCACCCCATTCTATCATCTCTTTTATGTATGGTAAGAATCCTGTGAAGTGGGCTGGGTAGTTTAATTCCATCTATTCAGCTTATTTTCCAGGTAATGAAGGAGGCACAGAGATCTCAAATTGTAAACCCTAAGTTGTGGAAACTTTGCCTGGGGCACTTATTCCACCAGATCTTAAGTGGGTGCTCTAGGATCACTGGAGCAGGTAAAAAGATGTATTAATGGCATTATGGTATCTTCCTGAAGAGTCCAAAGAGCAACCAGGGAATAGCAAAAGCAAGGGGAGAACTGGATTCAGATGGGTCTCGTATACACATGTTATTGATGATTTCTTCTGAGGCATCAAAGGCATTTCCCCTGAAGACACCAAAGGCAGAGAAGACTGATTGGGAACCTCCTGGGCAGAGTGTCCTAACACCTTTTCTTAAATAGAAATGGAAGTTTCGCATTCCAGCTCATAAGGTATCCCTAGTTATCTTAATATAGGTGTTTTAAATTATTTGCAAGTTAAATTAGTCAAAACATTTTAATACACAATCAGTGTTTCAGTCTGATGCATAAAATATATTCTTTGGTTTCTGCTGATCACCCCAGTGTATTGTGCTGAATCACGGTATGGTATTCTTTTTTCTTTTTTTTCTTTTTTTCTTTTTTCTTTTTTTTTCAGACAGAGTCTTGCTCTGTTGCCCAGGCTGGAGTGCAGTGGCGCGATCTTGGCTCACTGCAAGCTCCGCCTCCCGGGTTCACGCCATTCTCCTGCCTCAGCCTCCCCAGCAGCAGGGACTACAGGCACCCGCCACCACGCCCGGCTAATTTTTTGTATTTTTAGTGGAGACGGGGTTTCACTGTGTTAGCCAGGATGGTCTGGATCTCCTGACCTCATGATCAGCCCGCCTCGGCCTCCCAAAGTGCTGGGATTACAGGAGTGAGCCACCGTGCCCGGCCACCGTATGGTATTCTTGAATCCATCACTGGAGTCTTCCAGAGTGTGAGTAACCAGTAAGAGAAACACAGGACTATCGAATTCTTATCTCTGGGTTTTAGAGTTCTTAGTTAAAGTGACTATCAATTGGGGGAATTTTTCATAGTTAAAAGTGAGGCGTTCCTGACCACAGGGACTATGGGGCCTCTAGGCTCATATAATAGGTGTTCCCATTTATTAGAAAGTTCTGGGATTCTAGCACAAGGCCATAGCCAATCAGTTTACTGTATTAATTATGCTGTTAGTTATTAACATGTTTTAAAGTTATGCAACACTTCCCAAAGGCAGAGACAATGTCACATTCATTTGTTTCAAAGGCTGATTGTAGTGGTTCCTGTGTGCTGAATATGTGCTTCACGAATGTTACAATGTTAATATTCAAACAATGGTAGAGTTTTCACAAAACACAGGGAAGCTTGTCCATAATAAGTTCAATTTAATAAAATTTAATAATAAACAACTATAACATTTAATAAATACACATGAGAATTAAAATTCAATTAAATAATTAAATCATAAAATAATTATTTTGATTGTTTTATTAATTAATTATTTTATTATTTTATTTAATTGAAATAAGCTTAATTTAAATAAACTGCCTATGGTAATAGCAAGAAAAGCTGCAGCTACCCAGCAATAAATGTCAGAAAATATAAAAGACTTTATGGGCATAATTACTAAAAAATATAAAAGAAGAGTTGGATAAATGGAGAGCTATACTTTATTAGATGGAGAGATTCAATATGTAAAGATGTCAGTTCTTTATAAATTAATTTCTAAAGCCAATACAATTTCAATGAACATTTAACAGGATTTTTCCCTTATATATTTAACAAATATCCTAGGAAAAAAAAGCCGTTTCTGTCACCCATCAATGTCAGGATGGTGATGTTGTTAATAGCAAAGGAAATCTCTAATTCCTCCCCTCCTTGCAGAGTGGCATCGTTAAGTGAATTTTCCCCACATTTTATTAAAATCTGCATTTTCTGGGATGTAAGATGCTATTCGGATCATTTACATGACTGAAGTCATTTGATTTTCTTTTTTTTTTTTTTTTTTTTTTTGAGACGGAGTCTCTGTCACCCAGGCTGGAGTGCAGTGGCGCAATCTCGGCTCACCGCAAGCTCCGCCTCCCGGGTTCACGCCATTCTCCTGCCTCAGCCTCCCGAGTAGCTGGGACTACAGGCGCCCGCCACCAAGCCCGGCTAATTTTTTGTATTTTTAGTAGAGACAGGGTTTCACCGTGTTAGCCAGGATGGCCTCGATCTCCTGACCTCGTGGTCCGACCGCCTCGGCCTCCCAAAGTGCTGGGATTACAGGCGTGAGCCAGGGCGCCTGGCCTCTCCCTGCTTTTCTAAAAACACAATCTACGATGGGGTCTGAGGCTGCTTGTAACATGTAGCATTTTTACAGTTGGAAATTCTGAAATCAAGAAAAGAAAAACCACTTTCTCTCCAGCCCTACCGCTAGTGACTGGCTGTGTCTCTGACTGAACCAAATCTGGTAGTAGACAGAGAAAAGAAAAATGAAAGGAATAAAAATTGAAGATAGAGAGACCAGGATGATAATCAAACAATGCCTTACGTTTATGAAAAGTTTTCATTTCCACTATCTCATTTATGTATGGTAAGAATCCTCTGAAATGAGCTGGGTATTTTAATTCCATCGATTCAGCTTATCGTGCAGGTAATGAAGGAGGTACAGAGACCTCAAATTGTAAACCCAGTGCATGACATAGATATATTTTATTATCTCTTAGGCAGTGCTGTGTGTGGAAGGAGCCAGGCTTTCATCCAAACCTAGACGGTGCACATTTTCAACATGGAAAACATTAGGGAAGGCTTTATGGTGGTGGTAAGAAGTGGGCTTTGAACAAAAACAGAACCTGAAGTGTTGGAGGAAAAAGGGAGGGTGTTTCTCATGAGAAAACAGGCACACAGACCTGAAGTTGAGGAGGAGAACAGCTGATGGAGCGTAGCAAGGAATTGGCCTCAGGGGTGAGAGCTTAGGAGGAAAGGATCACAAGAATGATGCCAGGATGGAGGAGGTGGGGTGCTTGGCCGAGACCCCCCAGGGCCCCTTGGAGAGCTGTTCTGATGGACCAGAACCCTAAAGATCTCAGTGGGACGGTCAGCATGCTTTGGGACCTGACTGACCTTGACTCCTTTCCCACTTTGTTACTTGCTGGCTGAGCGACCTTGTGAAGTTATTTATCTTTTTGTCTCCAATCCCTCCTGTGAAAGATGGAGTTGTATTTCCCTATACAACTATTGTGAAGAATGAATGAGTTAATGAATGTGACACAGTACCTGTCATGTGGAATGTACTCAATAGATATTATTATTATTATATGAACATGGGAGTGCCATGATGACAGGCTACAAGATAAATGAGAACAGTCAGTTAAATTTTAAATAACCCATTAAGAATATTGCTTGGTTGGGAAACCAAATAATCTGTCATAAACAAGATGTGCTTTGCAAAGGCTTCACTGTAGAGACCTTTGTAGGACCATGCAAGATTTGCTCTCATTATGGTTCATATGATCAGAATTGGAATCTTAAAATTACCTTCCACCCCCTTATCCTCATCCCTTCAAAAATGTAAATGGAAGCATTATCTCTGAGCCATCCATCCTGGAACCTTCTAATGTTCTCTTTCCAAAAGAAGGACTGGGAAACGTGATGGAAGCTCTTGGAGTTTCCATTTAGGAAGAAAACAAACAGAAAGAAATCACACAAATTCACACTCAAGTGCTACTCTAAATGGGAAGAACATATTTCAAAAAATAAACACTCTGTTTGACTAATCAGAAGGAAATCTGCTCTCTGAATTCAAAGGCCTCTGCATAGATATTAACAACATAGAGAGAAGAAAATGGCTCATTAATGATTTATGAAAATTGTTGTCACCGTCAACCAAAGCATATTTTGTGATGAATGAAATGACTTGTTACACACACACACACACACACACACACACACACACACGCCCTACCCCCTGCAGCTATGGGCCCTTCTTGGCTGTCATAGTGTGAATCACCACTCGAGGGAGCCCAAGGTTCTCTGGTCCTGGGCTACCTACAGTCACCAGGATGCAATGGAACATGTTGGGGAGACATGTCCTTCTGCCACTCTACTGCAGGGTGGACATTTGGGGCCGAGACAATTCTTGGTGTGGGGGCCCATCCTGTGCACTGTACGATGTTAAGCAGCATCCCTGCACCCTACCCACTAAATGCCAGTAGCAACAATACTCCCTCTCCCAGTTGTGACAATCGAAATGTGTCCAGACAGTGCCAAATGTCCCCTAGGGGACAAGCCACTGCTCTAATGAAGCTCATGGAGGTCGTAGGCCCCCAACACTTTGGTCTCCAATAGAAAAGCACGGCAGGACTGAGAGAGAGTCGAGTCACCAGCTGTATTTGTCTCACTCTCCTGTGAGCGGCTTAGTGAGAAGCAGAATGCAGGAAGGAACGATCCAGTTCCCTGATGGCCTCACGGGTGTTCGGAGAGAGCCCGCATCTCAGCCAGCCTTTATGAAGAAAGGAAACACTGTCAAGGCCTGTCTGGGATGGTGCAAGCTGAGGCAAGGCCGTTATCTTCAGCAGCTCAAATGATTAGTTAATTATTCATTACTATTTGTCATAAAACCCTGAAGGTCTGCCAAGTGGTAGTATGCAGGCAATACTAAGGCAGCGGACGTGTCTTTTCTTATTTTCCAGTGAAGATGAGGCATGGAAAGACTGGGCTGCTCTGACAGCACACTCTGCACTGGCACTGGGGGTGTGCAGATGGAAGGTCTAGGAACACGGCACTCTGGATCGCACCATCCTCTGGGCTCTGCGTTTGACATTCTCCCCTCATACTTCCCACTCTGTTGGCTTCAGAGATCATGAGGCCAGAGGAAAAAGCAATGGAGGCGGGTGCTTCCAGCCTGAAAACAGTCGGAAGCTAGGAGCTCCCGTCTGTCAGCCTTCCCTCCTGCTCTCCATAGCGGTGGAACACAGTCCTACCAGCAAGGGGCCTTCTCTGCCCTTTCTCCTCTCTTCTTTCTCCTCTGCCCCCCAGGGTCTGCTTTGTGGTGTCTCCTCCCTCTCTATTCTTCTTTATGTCTGCCTTTGTTATTCATTTTAACCAGAAACAAGTATATGGTTTATGGTGGGGGAGCTGGGGCTGAGGAGACTGGAGACACAGTGCAATTTGCCCCAGATTTTGAAAACACCCAAAGGATGGCCTGGCTTTTAGCCCCACTGAAAGAAAACCAGACAGGCTGACCTCTATTTGCCTGAAAACAAGCCAAGGCTGGGGTTAGGAAATTAAGATCTAGAGTCCCAAAGATTCACCATTCCAGGACCACAGCTGAGGCTTCACTGCTATGCTGTGCGGGAGGGGGCTGTGAGATCCCGGCATGCCAGGGCAAGAGGGCAGGAGAACCAGCAAAAGTCAGGCTTCGCTCTAATGAGAGAGACTTCTAGGTTTCCCTTCGAGGTGTTGGGTGGTGGGGGAATAGTGGCTGTTTCCTTGACAACTGTCATTTAGAATCCAAATAGAGTTCATCATTTGATGAGTTTAGGGCACCACAGGCTGTCCTGATGTGAAGAAAAGGCTATTCCGTGCTAAAGAGAACTGGCTTCATTTTAATCCTTGACCTCCACCTTACCTGAGTCACTGAGAGCTGTTCCTCTTCCCAGCACAGCCAGCACACAGGGTCTGGCCAGGTCACAAGTAGATCCAGGCACATCAGCAAAGTTATTAAGAAGCCTATAAAATTTGGGGACGCATGAGTGGGTGAGACAGTGATTAGAGAAGCCAAGGAGAGGATGGAAGAGGATGAAAATAGGCTTAGGGCTGCCAACTAAGCCACCTGTGACTGCTGGTCTCATTAACAGCTCTTACTGGGGTGAAGGGATATCCTTTGTCCTGGTGCTATAGGGTTTTATAAACTGTTTATCCATTCAATATTTATTATTTATTTATTCAGTCAATTGGCATTCATTCAATATGTATTTATTCACTCAATATTGATTTACTCATTTAATAAATATTTATTGATTTGATATTCATTCAATAAATACTTATCAAACACCTACCATAGGCCAAGCTCTGTTTTAGGTGCTTGAGATACATTAGGAAAGAAAACTAAGAACTGTGTCTGTGGAGCCCTTGCAGGAGGCCAAACATCTTACATTTGATTTGATCCTCACAGTAAATGTATATGGAAGACACTGTTGTCCCCATTTTACAGATGAAAAAACTGAGGCTGAGTGAGATTTAATAACAATGTAGGTATTAAATGGTGGAAATGATCAAGCCCTGATCTGTGCAATTCCAAGTGTGTGTTCTTTTCAAATATGACTTTAATCCTGTGGAGATGTCACTTTACTCAAGGAAGAGTAATCAGCTTTGCATTAGATATTCGTTAGTCTATTTCTCCAGAATTTATGTGCAGAAATTATCCCTATAGGGGAACAAACCAACTTACACACAAAGTGCCAAATGTAGAAAACCAACCGATTTGACAAAGCCACTCACCAAGGATGTATGTTTGCTACGAAGCATGATGTCATCAGAGCCTGGTTGTATAAGAGAGTATTTAGCAAGACTTTAAGAAGAGTGAATGAATATAGAGCTTTCAAGGACTTATCAAACTTAAAGGTAACCAATGCAGACAAAATGCTTGTAAAATGCTAATTAAGGTACACCTCTTTGCCAGTAAGATAAGGTGAGGAGATGATATGATCTAAGGCATTCAGGGCAGTGAAGGGGAAGGGGGTCATTTCCAACATTTAGCGTAACATAAACACAAAAAATGCCCACTTATTAATGAATAGAGATGCATTCTTTGTTAGCTGGTACCCAGGTTGGGTAGAGGGGTGAGAGTGGGTATTCCATTTGGCTTGGAGGCTTTAATTTTGTTGCACTATTTCTGAGTGTGTAAAAATTGCTGCCCAAAGCAGCTCTAATTTGCTCCTCTTTCAGCTTCTCTCAGGAAAAGTCTGGAACACGAGATGATATTCTCCACTCGAATAAGATGCTGGCAGGAACTGGATAGAAAACTGGTGGAGATACAGTGGATGTATATGAAGAAGGAGCTATCTGTCACTTGTGAGGCATTTTGAATGCTAGGTGTTCTACATACATATTTTGTTAAATTCCAAAACAATTTCAAGAGGTAGAAATGATCACACTCACTGATAGGTGAGGGAACTAAGACTCTCACAAGTAAATTGCCCAGATCTCACAGGTAGAAAGGTACAGAAGACCACCATTTGGAATAAAAATAACTCCAGAAATACTGGTGGCTTCTCACTCTCATATCCTCTTTCCTCCCTCATTCTAATCCTAACCGTGTGCTCCACACTGACATATCCAGGTATCAGAAGTGTGTCTGGGACAGGCAGGCAGGCACAACAATGCCCACTTCGATTCCACACACTTCAGGTAGAACACCAGTGGTCCTGTGTCTACGTTCCTTTAACTGCCTTTGTCTCGATCAAGACTATTTTTTGATGCCCACTTCTTTTCCAGAGCAGCCAGGTATGAACACATTGGGATTGGGGGACCGAACTGTGCAAACTGAACCTAGTAGGGCCCCAAAACCCTGTAAGACTCAGTTTTATCATACGGCAAAAAGATATAAGCCTGTTATCAACTTGAAAAGTTACTGTGAAGATGACATGGGATACTGATGATCATTGTGGGTTTCACAAACTTCTCTGGTGATGAGAAGTGCCCACACACTTGTTGATGTATAGAGCTCTTCCCTGGAAATGTGGATTCGGAACCCATCTCTGGATTACTGTATTATTCTCACTGGTATGACTTAGGTATCAAATCAGTGAGTTTGCCTTTGCCCATCCTCTGGTTCTAAAATCTTCTCCCTTCCAAATTTGGAAATAACGTAATCTTGTGTATTTTACTGGCTTCTTCCCTCTGCATGCATGCTCCTAAATCCTTCAGCAGGTGCCTGATACGAATTGGTTGGAAGTGGGGCATGTGGGCTCTCCTGCATTTAACTAGCTAGGTTTCCATTTTCCTCCCTCTTTCTACCACTGTCTTGTATTCCCCCTTTCAGACATTAAATGACAAGAACATAATATCCAGCCTGCATTCCTTATAAAGTCCTCTCCTATATACTTGTTAATGGCTGTCCATCATGGTTCTGCCTGGGGAGGTCTCCAACTCAAACTAACCCAAGGAAGGGATTGAGGAAGAACATTAGAACCAAATCATATAAATGATTACACTGTGTCTAGGTGACTTTTTAATCAAGGCTTGAAAATTTCAAGTCCAATTTTCCCCAAATATTCTATTTGTGTTGTGGTTAAATAATTACATTTTCCATTGTGTGTGTGTGTTTTAAAGAACTATTGCAGAGATTCACACGGGGATGCAAACAGACTGGCAGGTACTAAAGCAGTGAAGGGAACTGTATGAACTTCAGCAAGCTAATTAACCTCTCTGTGCCTCAGTTTATTTATCTGAAATGAAAGATCACATTGATATTCACCCTATGGGTTGTCATGAGGACTAAAATGAGTTCATGCAGGTGAGGAGCTGGGAGCAATGCCTGGCACAGGTTGGAAACAGCTGTTATTGTCATTGCAGCAGAGCCATGTTGCAGAGTCTATGTGCAACTCTGTGTGTCTGCTCCATTTTCTCCTCTCTTTACTCACTGGCTTTCCCTGCTTGCTCCTGGTTCCTGTTCTTATACAACTCTAAATTGCATATGGTTTTGGTTTGCCATATTTGTGAGCTTTCAACTTACTCCTATTTCAGCTTCATGATCTCACTTCCAAATAGCAAATTCCTTCTGTTCCTTGGTTTGCCCCCCTGAAAAAGAGAATTTGAATTGTCCTATCTACCTTTTACCCTTCTATGGATGAACTCCATAAGGGCCAGATGGTCATCTCTGGACTAATTAACAATGGTGGGAGTAGAGGAGTCACATAGTACAAAACCTGGCTGCTTAGGCAGCAGGGGCTTGGGATAGGGGGATTTCCTCTAGAGAGGGCACGAGCAGACACGCAGGCAGGCAATGATTAGCATCTTGTAGTATAAATTCGAGACCACATGTCCACAGCAATTACATTCAGAGTTTCTTTCATGAACTCTGATTTCTGCCGAAACTAGGAGGAAACACCTAAAAGAAGACTGGACAAAGAGCCAGGGGAACGGAACCCAGACTCTAATCACAATTTGTTGTAAGACCTCAGTGTAACCCATTTCACCCTCATAGGCCTCAGTTTCCTCATCTGTCAAGGCAATGGGATGGAGAAGATGAACTCTAAATTCCTTTCCACTTCCAAGATAAAAAGGAAACAGAAATGATGAGGCAGGGTGCCTAAAAGCTGACCTTGGACCTGAAATGGTTAGATAATTGAACTTGATGCATAGTTTAAAGCATTAATGATCTGAAAAATTCCATATGTATTGATATTCTTGGAGACAATTATCTCTACAGTAAGCATATGTTGAATTAGCATAAGGTTACTATTAAAAAATACTGTGGAAATGAAATATAAACTTCTATAATCGTAGGAAGCAACAATCTCAAAATCACTGATCCAGTCTTTCACTTAAACAGGATTGATGACTAAAGCTCCAACTTCCTTCCTCACATCACTGATGTTACGCATGTAGGACATGAAGTCTGGATGAAAGGTGAATGGCTTCTAAATGGATTTGCCTCCCCCCTGAGGTCAGGCACCGGCTGGTCTTTAATCACTGTTGTCCTGTGCCTGAGCTTATTTATAAATAAGCTGCAGAGTCAAATGTGTACCACATGTGGAATGCCCCCCAGAAGCGTTGCCATCATATGGGCCAAATATTGATTTTATAGGAATAAGAATGTGCAGTAAGCAACACGTGGAAAAGAAAGACTACATTTGTTTCCCAATAACCAAGTTAGTAGAAGACTGCAAAGCTTCTAAAATCATAGCCACTATTTAGGAAGAATTGATCTTTGGATGGTGGATACCTTAGCCAGACCTTATCTACATAGTTCCCTTTACCAGTGGGGAGTAGAATTTAAGGTTTTTCTGGTTCCACTTTTTGCCACGTAAGTCACCATCTATTCTCTGTTTTTCCCTGTCACAGGGCCTTGGAACTCATCCGGGAAGTTTAGTCCATCACTTTACCAAGCTAATTTGCGACAATCAGTCTTAGGGTGGCCCTACAGAAACCACAGTTATTTCCAGTCTGAGCTGTTTCCCAGTTGGGACAAACAGGAATAATTGCCCCTGAAGAGGCCTCTGAAGTGATTGATCCACCTGTGTTAGGCAGGCATATAGTCCAGGTCTTACTGCTTCTAGCTACTTGGCACCCCTCCATTCTCTGCCTCCATCTCCGACCTGCAGGTTATATTTTTCCTTCAATGAGTTCCCTTGCTCTTTAGACTGCCCTTGGCACTCCTGTAATAGGCATTTTCACACATGTAGAAATAGGAAAGATGAGAGATCGCGCAGAACAATTTGTCTTGGTCAATGGATTACCTGTAGATCATCAGGTTGACTGAAATTTTGAGGTCTATGTTGTGTCCCTTGCAATATAATTTTAACACAGTATCTTTCTGATGATATGGTCATTTAAGTGAGCACTAGCAATGCACATGTTGCTGTGTGTGCTGAAATACTCCCAGACTAGGTCCAAGTTATGGACGAAAGTGTATTGTTCTCAACGACCTCTAGCCTGGTGCTACTCCAAGTGGTGATCCATAGACCAGTGTCCATCTACAAAATTTTTATTCCAGATCCACTTTGGAACAAGAACAGAAATTAAGAGCAAGAGTTTAGGAACATTAAGGCAATTGTACAGTGATTTTATGTCTGTTGAATCTAGTAATTAAAATGTGTAAAACAAAATAAAATGTGTAGCTTGTATTCTGTAAAGCTTTATTTTAAATTTCATTTTTCTAGTAATTCGTTTTTATTACAATTTATAAAAGGATTGGTCTCACGCCTGTAATCCCAGCACTTTGGGAGGCTGAGGGCAGGTGGATCACGAGGTTAGGAGACTGAAACCATCCTGGCTAACACGGTGAAACCCCATCTCTACTAAAAATACAAAAAATTAGCCGGGCGTCGTGGCGGGCGCCTGTAGTCCCAGCTACTCGGGAGGCTGAGGCAGGAGAATGGCGTGAACCCAGGAGGTGGAGCTTGCAGTGAGCCGAGATCGAGCCAACGCACTGCAGCCTGGGCGACAGAGCGAGACTCCGTCTCAAAAAAATAAAAATAAAAAAAAAAAGGATTGGTCTGCAACAGATTGAAAATAACAACCAAACCAAAGCTGGTTTTTCACCACAGACACTTTGAGAAGCACTGCTCTAGAATTATTTTAGTTATCATTTCTAGCTTCCACAAACCATATTAAGTGAAGCATCTTAACATCCAGGCTTTAAAAGGGGAATCCGATGTTCAGCATCCCATGATGTAGAATTTTCTTAAACCCCACACCCTACCTAAGGACAGGGGGTTTTATAGTTCTAGAGGTGAAGGAATGGACACTTCTTAGCTCTCAGAGGTCTGACGTGTTGCAGAATCTCCCTCAATATTGAGCTGCAGAAACACTGAAGGACAGGCTATGTTTCAGGAGGAGACCCTGGGATAATCCCATTGTATAGTAAATGTTATACATACAACCTTTTATCAAGGGATACAATTTTTGACCTGGGGTAGAAAATCAATGGTCATTTGACACACGGTGAAGATTCCAAGACTAGAACAAAAAGTATTCTTTTGGATCTTCTTATTGAATTATTTTCAGAGAAGAAAGCCATGAAGAGGTTCCCAGTTCTGTAGAAAAGTCAATTCAAGCTTGTAAAATGTGCTATTTGCAGATGTTGGTACTGTTTATTCACAGATTCAACAGGCCTAAAGGAGCAGGTTTCTCACGAATGGACATTTCATCACTCACCACTGTGTTGCTTCTCAAGCTTCCTCTCCCAACATCACAGCCCTGCAAGACTAGTCTCTTATCGGGCTCCCATTTCAATCAGGCTATACTGCCTCTCTCCAAGTCTGCATCCCACTCTGTGCTGATAATCCAGTTTGAGGACAGTTCCATGTGTATACTACAAGGCATTTGCGACACCTGAACTCCAATAGTATTACACACACACAAATGCACTTGCCTTTAATTGATTTTTAATTTATTTAGGCCCGCATGATTTTTTTATGTCTCCACTTTTGCTGAAAAACTCATAGATTTGTTTTCCAGTTATGCAAAGGGAAGATTTCCAACATACAAATGCATGGCTTATTTTCAGAACCATGACCGTTTTTCACCATCACCTCCTAAGTATTGACTGTGGCACAGGCTTCAGTTCACATAGAAGTCACTGTGCAGAGTCTTCAGGAAGCCGCTGGACATGGTGTGAGGACGGAGATGAACTGCACAACCCTGATATCAACTCCATACTACAAGGATTTTATCAGACATATGCTGAATAAATGTGTTATGTTTTCAAGGAGGATTTTTTCCCTTAACATTTACTGAGCATTTATCATGTTCCTGCCTTACATTGTTCAGGTGGCTTTAATAGAATATCATAAACTGGGTGGCTTATAAATAATAGAAATGTATTTATCATAGTTCTAGAGGCTGGGAAGTCCTAGATCAAAGTGCTGGCACATACACTGTCTGGTGAGGGTCCTCTTCCTGGTTCATGGATGGCTGCCTTCTTGCTGTGTAAGAGTCAAGGAAGTTCTCTGGGGTCCCTTTTATAAGGGCATGAATTCCATTCATGACGGTTTCATCCTCAAAACCTAATCACCCCCCAATGACTCCACCTCCAAACACTATCACATTGGGGATTAGGTTTTAACATACGAATTTTGGAGGAACAAAAATATTCCATCTATAGCATTCGCCCCGTTTTCTCAAAATTTATGTCCTCCCATTTGTTCCATCCTAATAGCATTTAAAGTCAAGCATCAACCTTAAAATCTAAGTCCAAAGTCTCATCTAAATATTGTCTAAATCTGATCTGGGTGGGACCTAAGATATGATTCATTCTGAGGCCAAATTCCCCTCCAGCTATAAACCCGTTAAACAAAACGAGTTATGCACTTTTAAAATACAGTGGGGGACAGGCATAGGATAGACATTCCCATTCCAAAAGGGAGAAATCAAAAGAAAGACAGGACTGACAGTCAAATTCCATTAGACCTTAAGGCTAGAAACTGGGGTGAGGGGCTAACAGTGTAAGTCCCAGTTCAAATCTGATGGCTCAAGAACCAGGAGCACTGATATCTGAGGGCAGGAGGAGATGGATGTCTCAGTTTAAGCAGAGAGGGAATTCACCCTTCACTCTGTCTTTCTATCTGGGCCCTCAATGGATTGTGTGCTGCCCACCCACATCAGTGAGGGTGATCTTCTTTACTCAGTCAACTGAATCAAATGCTAATGTCTTGCAGAAACTCTCTCACAGACACGCCCAGAAGTAATGCCTTACCAGCTATCTGGGTATCACTTAGCTTAGCCAAGTTGACACCTGAAATTAACCACAACAGTGCCCAACAGCTAATTTAATCCTCATAAAATCTTGTGAAGATACTAGTATTACCATCCTAATTTTAAAAATGAATCTGAGGCATAGCGTGCTAAGTGACTTGCCCATGGTCACAGAGCAGGGAGTGGTAGAGCTCAGATTTGCACCTGGGGAGCATGGCTCCAGAGTTTTGCTTCTCAAGTTCCCCTCAAGAAACAAATGCAAAATAGGATAAGAACCTTTCGACCATTAGTGTGATAAAATGAAGAGGCTATGGAGCCTGTGTTTTTAGCCTTAGTAAGTGAGGAGAGCCTTCCATGATGGACGGTACAGTTCAGGAAGTTAAAAACCTGTAGCAGTCAAGTGCCAAAGAAAGCATGAGAAAATGGAAAAAAGGCCAGCGAGTCTTGAATGCCCACTGCTTCCTGTCCTTCATTGCTCTCCTCCTTGACCCCTGCAGCGTCTTGCTGACAGCCCGTATTCCCCACACCCACATTAGCTCCCACTTTTTCCTGCTTTCCCACTCAATGACATGTCCCATCTCCTTGACCTTCCCCAACCCTTCCCAAGGGTATATGTTTCAGGACCTACCAACCCACCTGTCAAATTCACACAAAGCAGGGAGCATCTGAGCTTTCCAAAGACCTCTTCTCATTCTTTTTTGGCAAAATGATACAATTTCTCACAAAATTTATGGTTTTTACCTCACCATCCCCTTTACCATCTCCATGCCTAAATAACATAATTAGCGGGCTCCTTTTCTTCAGCTACAATACCACTGGGGAAAGGAATTCAATTTGGTAGATCTTCCCCCACTTTACTCACACTAACTCCCTGAGTTCCAAAGGACCTGGACCATAAAAAATAAATTTGACAATAAAAAAATTGGACTTAACAAATCCAAACTCAGAAAATACATTCCTGGACTTGTCAGAACAATAAGTCAATGCCACATGTCAATAGGAGGCAAATTTGAAACAGACAGAAAAGTGAAATCAATAGTCTATCTGTGAGAATTCTAACTCTACTCCCTAAACCAAATATTAGAAGTTCAAAAGGAAAAATATTTTTTTTTCTGATTGATTTGCAAATGACAAAGATAAGGTCGATTTCCTAGAGTTTTTCTAAGCTTTTTGTTTTTTTTTTTTTTCACCTGGGAAGATTAAATGGGAAAAACACTCAATTTTAGTTTATCTAAAAAAATGTAAAAACAGCTCAATTTTTAATTTATTTGTGCCTGTCAGATAATGGGGAGTACAGATGATGCCCAACTGAAGCATCTTGACTCACCTTCTCAAACTTGGACAGTGATGTGAGCCAGATCAGTGTTCATGCTCAGGCCTTGATTGACTTGTCAGCCTCTCATGCTTTCCATTAATAAGCTGTATTAATAGAGTATGTGGTAGGATATAAAATCCCCATACACTATTCTGTATAGTCCTTTGGCTACTTTCTAGATGCTTTTTATTGCTTCAGGATTATTTCTCCTTGTAAGATCATCACGCAAAATTCCTGACTTCTTTCTTAATATTAACATTACAAGGGAATTTAGTCATCTGTACAAACATTGAGAAGTTAAGCTTTCAAATAAAAAAACCAACAACCAACCAAAAGACAGCAAGAAAACCCGGTAATCTCTGAGACTAAAACCCTGGGGTGAGATAGGTGCCCACAATCTCTTCAATTGTTGAAAGACCAGGACCATTTCTCAGACTTAAACCTGGAATGTTCTTAGAAGAAATGAAAATGTTTCACATTCAGAATGATAGGAAGAATAAATATTTGTTAAAAATAGCATGTTTCATGGATTATAGCTCATAATGTTTGAGCTGATAAAGACTAAAGCTACTTCTTATTATATAAAGAATTTGAATCTCTTAGTACTTTAAATAAATACCAGAATATATATGATTTCTTTGCTTCTAGGAATACTTGTAATTGTTAAGTGCTCATCTTGAGTTCAATGAAAAGGCAGAGGATGTTTAAAATTTCTTAAAATAATAGCATCTAGCTGCAACCAGTTCCCCATATGACATTCCATTCTGCCTGAGGCAGTGTGTAGGGGATAGCATTCCATAAAGGTGTGGCATTAGGAGAAGTGACTGCTTACCAAGTATGGGACAGCATTTTCTTTCTTTGATTACAAAATAACATATGCCTATGATTAAAAAAAGAAAATAATAAAGTAGTATATATAAAGTGAAAATTAAAAGTCCCCCTCTGAAGTGACGGTAGGTATTCCAAATCTTTTTCTGGGTATATATAAGTGAATGTATATCTAAATAACAAAATGTCACCTATTCAGATTTCTCAATATCAGAACCATCCAAATAATGAGATTGGCCTAAAAGGATTTTTTTGAAATGCTTATCCATTTAAACTATCATGCCGAGTAATAATTGAGGAGTAATTCCTCATGGTATGTGGCATATGGTGGGATGTGCTGGTTGGTTGCCATGGAGATTCATTTGGTGGTATATTGCGAAGTGAGGTTGGTGGCTGTTCTGGTAATGCATGAGTTGGGCTGGTTCAGAGTTATTTCTATGTTGTAAAAGCAATAAAGTTTAAAGTACTGAAATGAAAGTATACAAATACATTACACATCCCATTCTTACTTCATAATCCATATAATGGAAAGTGGAGAACGTATTCAGAAGATGTATAGATTGGATTAAGGTTTTGTTTTGTTGTTATCATTGGGTTCTTTTGTAGGTAGAATATCTAGATTCGTTAATCTAGCCACATTGCAAGCATTTTGGCAAAAAATAGTTCTTCTACTGTATTTGTAATCCTGATGTTGGCTGATGTCTTCCAGACCCATAAGATCTAGATGAACAGCTTGAACCACCCCACCCCCCATTCTATGCCCTGAGGAAATCTAAGGTTCTCCTCAAGATTTCTACATATTTTCAAAGATTTGATGTGCTTCCAAAGCCAAGAAAGGCTCCCTATTCTCTGGCTGCTGTCTCTGTTCTGCATTGTTGACTTATATGGTCAACTTGGCCCCTTCCTGGATTTAGGCATGCACACACACCTACATATTCACACAAAGCATTAGTGACTTTAGTGACGATTTGAGGATTATTGGCCAGACTTCCTACTAGGAAGCACACAGCAAGCTATTTAAAATCACTCATTAACGACTTCACTTCTTAAGTCTTTTCCTCCATCTTGCTTCAGGGAGAGCTACACTTGCTTTTGCCTCAGATGCTGCTAGCCCCTCACCTTCTCTCTCTCTCCTCTCCTTATCTTTTCTGCTGTCATCTCCTTCCTTCAAACATACAGAACAGGTTAGACTTCTTTACTTCCTTCTGCAATAGCTGCATCTCCAAACATATTAAAGTACTGAGTAGAACACCATTTAACAGAGTCTACCCTAAAGAGATCTTGTATAAAAATGGGAAAAATTTATTACATTTATATAGAAATCACTTGGGTATTGTTATATTTTACAAAATGGGACAATATAATACATATTATTACGCAATTTGCTTTTTCAATCTCTCATCAGCATATCATGAATAACATTTCAGGGAACTTAAATCAACCTTACTCTTTTTAATGGCTGAGTATTACTCCATAGTGTATTATATTTAGGAATCCCCTCTATCAGTATATATTTAGCATTTCTCTACAATTTTTCACTCTTATAATGATGTAATGAATATCCTTGCACATGCATATTTTCACATTGCTATGAGTGATTGCTGCAGGAAAAGCCCTAGAAGTGGAATTATGGTCAAGACATAAGCATATTTAAAATTTTGATAGACTCTCTCAAATTGCTCACAAAATAGCATGTGTATTCATTCCCATCACCAGGGTGCACACTCACAAAGGATATTTGTAAAGCCTTTTAGAACAACTTTAAACAGTTGCTGGCATATTACATCATCCTTGCAGATGTTAAATAGTTGGGATTAGACCAAGAAATTATTTGTAAACACTGCCACCTAAACCCACTGCAAATCTACATGACAGGGAAAAAATATTGGAAATAAAACTAAATAGAGATCCCAGGTCCCTCACCCAGTGAATAAAAGAGAATCTAAGTCTAGTTAGAATTTTAGTAGGAAGCTAATCTTACAGACAATCACTGAGGAAAGGCACAGAAAAGCACCCTTGTGGGGGATTGCAGGGGGCTCTGGGAGTGCATGTAGATACCAGCAAGTAGCAGTGACATCATCTTCTTCTTTATATGGGAAACACCCTCATGGTACTGAAACCCATACTAGCAGACTTCCAAATGAAACTTCTTCGGAGAAACAGCTGTGGGTTTCACAGAGGGCCATCCTTCAATCTACAGGCTTGGGTATGGTGGAGCTTTTGGCCACATTGCTTCTGACAATCTGTCCATGTCCCCAGCCCTGAGGCTTAATGCTAGAAGCTACAGCCTACCTCATACACAGGACAGTTCCTTGCACATGTTGGCAAAGTTTCTAGGGTAAAGATGTTACCACTGAGTACTATTTGGGGAATGGAAACAGGAGATCTGAGATCTGGCTCAGATACTGCCCCTCACTCATGTTTTGTCCTTAGGTCAACTGTCATGTCTCACTTTCTTCATTTGTAAATTGGGTATTACAAAGGCTTCGCATACCTTCCAAGTAAAGATCATGTGCATTCACACATATTAAGGCAGTCTGTAGCACAAATTGGGTTTCAAATGTAAGGCTTTGTTAATAAAGAAGGTTCTCTTACAGCTCTTTGTAAACACTACGGGAAACAAACAAACCAACAAAACCCATTTCCAACAAATCAAAAGAAAAAGAGATCTGAAATTAGATAGCAGTGATGGGTTGCACAACCTTGTGAATATACTGAAAATCCCTGGTTGGAAAAAAAGAAAGAAGACAGGAAGGAAGGAAGAAGGAGAAGGAGGCAGGGAGGGAGGGAGGAAGGGAAAGAGACAGAAAGGTTTTTTTTTGTTTTGTTTTGTTTTTTGTTTTTTTTAATTGCAGAGATAATCAAAGGTGTAGGGAGGGAACTAACTTCCTTGGAGCATATTTTATAAGTCAGGCCCTCTTCAATTTTTCAGATATGGGGTCTTTATTTCATCTCCCCATAATTTGAGATGTAGAAATTATTGCCCAGATTTTTTGGGAAAATGAGAGTTTCAGTACCTTGACCAGGTCATAGGGCAATTACCTTGCCCAGAATTTGAATCTAACACTTCTTGACTCCTAGGCCTGAGCTTTTTAGCTGTACCATGCTGCTTCTTGACCCAGTCAAAAGCTCAAAGCAAGCATAAGATTTGCCAATGACATCAGACCCACATATTCAGACTCCCCTCAAGAGACTCTATGTGAAAGAACTTGAGAGATTTCCTTGATGCTAATCTCAAAAGTTAAGTGAAGTGCCCCTGACTGAGAAGGACAGTCCATTATGTGTCTAGTGTTTATACACTCATCATAGCCTTCCTGGGTCTATTTGTATTTTCATCCCAAAACCTTGTCTTGGGTTAATGAGCCCCACAAGTTCTCTAGCCAAACGTTTATTGGCTTCCAGCTTAACATAAGCTTGTACCTAATCAATGTAGCCGTTGAAACAAGTTCCACGCTGGCAAATTCCCAAAGCAAAAGGAGGTAAATGAGAACAACATGAATGAGACAAACAAGGGAGCCACCATGGAGGAACAGTTTAATCAACACTTAGAGAAACATGGCTGCCTCCTGCTGAGATGGAAATAAATCTGTTTTGTAGACATCCTGGTGCCTTTAACCATATCCTCTTCCTGTAGTATGAAGCCTTTCAGCTTTTGCATCACTCCTGCTGGAAATCACTTCATAACAAAAGAAGTTGAAAAATTTCAGATCCAGGCTTTAAAATTAAGTTCTAAAAAATAAAAACAGTAGCAGACACAGTTGGTGCCTTACCTATAACACCTTGGACATTTACTGTGAACCCCATGACTCACTGCCTGAGGATTTTGCCAGACTGGGGAGCATGACAGACCAGTGTGCAAAGCAAGTAGGAAGCGCTAGGCTGTAAACTCCCCCAGAAGTTGCTCTCATCCAATGGCTGGGTTCATGGATAACTAATTTGATGGACAAAGAGTCAAAAACTGAGTGTGTGTGTGTGTGTGTGTATATATATATATATATATATATATATATATATATGTAGCTTAGCATCCCAGCTTCATGGTTGGGGTAACTCAAGGTGTGTTTTGCTCTGTCCTCCAGAGTTCTTGAGCTCCATGTGCCTAGAGCAGCAACTGGTTTAATAAGGCTTCCTTTGTTGGCCTCCTTCCCTTCCCTGTCTCACTTCCCCATTTCCCTCCTGCTGTTTCCTGGGATTATCTCCCAAAAAAACCTCTTGCATTAAAATCTTTGTCTCTGAGTCTCCTTCAAGAGGAACCCAAAACAAGACAAGGGTGACTCACACTCTCTCGATGAAAATTGAAATGATCATTAAGAAAATAAGCTTTCGGCCTTTCTCTTTAGTCCTATTGACTTTGGATTTCTCTCATCCCTTTAGAACTTCTCCTCCGTCGACTGATTTCCCAAGGTCCCAAAATTTGCCTGACCACCTGCAAACTAAGTGTTTCCCCATCTCCATGGCCACTCCTGGTTCCATTCACTAGTTCTCTCCGGATATTACTACCTGGAAAGTTAAACCTGCTAACATATAGAATGTTAGAACTGGGCAGGAAGGAACCTGAGACCTGTAAGGCCTTGTGATCTGTCAAAGAGACTCACCCAAGGTAGAAATCATGCTTTTTGGTCCCCAACACCAGGTGCTATGCAGGTTCTTTCCTCTCTTTCCCCAGTTCTGACACAGTCTCTCCCCTCACTCCATTCCCTGCATTGGCACCATTTTTACCTTTGGTCCTCTCCCAGTTATTGGCCGGACTAAATGACCTCTGAAGCCCTTGAAAGTTATTTACCTTCAGTGACTCTTACCCTCATCTTCTAACTAAGGGTTGGAATGTTGGAATACTGAGACGATGCCCCACCCCCCCACCCCAAATGACCACCACCAGACCTTCCTGAAATGCCATGTTCTAGGAGATCACTTCTTTCTCCCAAAAACAAGGTTTTGGTCACTGAGCTAACAAATTAGTTTTCTTAGTTCACGAATCCCATCTCTGTTAAACTTCTTTGTCTATATCAAAAGTAGCTCCTCCATTTTTCTCCTCTCAAACAAATCCCTGCCAGATACAGTGCCCTGACCAAGGGCATAGTTAGCCATAAAATCATCATGCATCTGTCCTAAACCCATTCTAATGGCCCTGGGGCAGGAGGGGATATCGTGTTATGTCCCCTCCTCCTCAGCCATGCATCCCGCTCTCTGGAGTACTGCCAGCTCCCTTCACCAGTCCCCATTTGCAGAACCCCTCACCCCCTCACCATGTTCTTAGGAAGATGAATCAGGAGTGAACAGTTTAGACATTATTTAAGTTCTCTTTTGATCACATAGAACGTAAGTAAAGAATTCTTGGGACAAGTGATACACTGCATTCCTCAAGTATGTCTATCTGTGCAAAGCACCGAAGGGGCTGCATTGTTTACCTTAACAGTTACAGCCCCTGCTAATGATTACAAGGATGCTGTTTATATCAATATTTAAATATGCCATTTCTCCCAAATGAACCACAACAGCCTCATTTAATGTTATTTTATTAGGATGAGCAGATATTTGGGCAATGTTAAACCTGTATGCCACTTGCTATACAAACCTCTCTAATAATGCCTCAGTTTAGCATCTAAATACATATTTAAACAGTTTAAAAACACATTGACTACATAATTTGTATTTGTAACTGCTCAAAATAAAGGACTTTTTATTGAGTGTGCCAAATAATGTGAATTTGGATGCCTTCTGAAAGGATGCATTATTCATGTGGAAGAGAAACAAAATCAATAAATGAAAATTCGAATAAAAATAAAACCCATTATGTTGCTGCACCCAGACAATGATCGTCTTGTGCATTATTTACTCAAGGAAAAGACACAGGAAAATGGCCCTTCTGGAAGTGGGCTATGAAGTGAATCATAACCTCCTGCTTAGGCTGTTCGAAAAGAAACAGAACTGTATGTTTCTAACAGAAAGAATTGTTATGTTTCTAAAAGAAAGACTCAATTTCTTTTAGTTTGTGACTAAAATTATTTAAAAATTTAACAGCAAAATACATTTGGGAAATTGGTAAGATGTGAAAATGATTACATTCTATTGTTACCACATCACATATTTCATTGCTACCGGGATATATAGAATACATTAAAGTTCAGAACGGGATTCTGTGGAAAAGCATATCTTTGCATACACAGAATACTGGATATGTGTGTTTATGCTTGGTGAGGAGGACAAAAACAAAGCTTATTAACTCTGGCACATTTCAGGACGCTTCCCTAATTTTCACGGAGGCATCAATATTGGTCAAGAAGTCAGGCTTTGGGGTCAGACATCCTGAGTTAAATCTTGCCTCTTACACTACTAGTTCTGTGATTTTCATTATTTAACCTCTCTGAGCTTTGGTAAATGTGAGTTTGACGAGAGTACCTGCCTGCCAGGGATTAAAGGAAATTCTTAGCGCAGTACCCGGCACATGGAAGTTACCCAGTGAGTGTTAGCAATAAGAATCTCTAAGAGTAGCACTATCTTTCCTTACAGACATTTGATTGTCAAAGCACATGGCTATGGTTCCTCAACAATAATGCACAGGTGCACTTTGATTCTTTGCTGAAGAATATTATTTGAGACTCTGCTGCCTATTTTTTATCAAATGTTACAAGAAATAAACTTTAATGTTTCTTCACGGAACACTTGCCTGAAAACACATTTTATTCTTGGCACAAGGCAGATCATCAGGAAGCTACAACTGATGAACTTAAGGAAGTGATGTTACAAAATTTAATTTTGTTGAATTATATTTCACACCAACAGTTTATATTGAAGTGTGAAAAGAAAACAGCTCTAGGGAATTAAATAGTTTGTTGATCACAGGGATGTCTTGAGGATGTTACCTACTTTATTACCTAGTTACTCCTTTTGGAAGATCCTCCAGTGACTAAACTTAGGAAAATACTATATTTATTAATTCACTTAAAAAATGTAACTTACTCAGTTTTTGCTGAGCACTGTTCTGGGGCACTAGACATAGAATAGTGAACTAAACAGACAAAATCCCTGCCCTGAGTAGCAGCATTCATCTTCTAGCTTCTTGGCAACTGGTTTACTTTTATCTTACAGATACTGCAAATGTTATAACTGAATAGATTTAACTCTTTGCTTTGGATTCTAGCAGGTTGAGAGCCAAATGGTACAGATTCTTATGGCATATATCCTTGTATGCTAACTTCACTTGTGGATTTATCTTGCCCTTATACCCAATCTTCTCATCTACTTCTTTATTACTCTGCTGCAAAATATGTGTTTTTATAAGTAACCAGAACATTTTTTAGGAGAAACAAAATTAAGAATTTATAAATGCATCAGAGAAATAAATAAATATAGCAATACAAACATAGGTATGTGTGAATTCAGGTAACTATAAATTACAGCTACTACCATCCTGGATGGCCATTTGCTTTGCATCATGTTTCACCTCCAGCCTCAGAACAATGACTCCTGAAAGTTCATTAATGTAATAGATAATTATTGACCATCTGCAATACGCCAGACTCCATTCAGATTAGAGGATTAATGGTTAATGAGACAGATTAAGTCTTGGGGAGCCTGTATCTGTATGGAGGCTGTATTAGACAGCTCAAGCTGCTATAACAAAATACCATAGACTGGGGGGCTGAAACAACAGAAATATATTTTTTTCAAAGTTCTAGAGCCTGGCAGTCCAAATCAGGGTGACAGCTTGGTCAGGTTCTGGTGAGGGCTCTTTCCCTGACTCACAGACAGCCACCTTCTTGCTGTGTTGTCACATGACAGAGAGAGAGAGAAAGAGAGAGAGAGAGATTGATTGATTCCTTCCTCTTATAAAACCATAGTTCTTTTGGATTAGAGTCATGCCCTTAGGATCTTATTTAACCTTAATTACCTCCCAAGTAGGTATTTGACCCTATCCCCAGATACAGTCACACTGGGGATTAGAGCTTCAACAAATGAATTTGGAGGGGACAAAATTCAGTCCATAACAGAAACCTCATGACATCTTGTCCAATAGTCAAAGAGCTCTAGGGAAGGGATATTACAAATTTATTCCATAGGTAGTTCTTGGGTTGAAAGCCCCTCATTTATATTTAATCTAAACCCCAAATTGCAGATAAAGGTCAATTTACCTGATTTTGTCCTCCAGCAAGATTCAACTTTTAAAATCATGTTTATTTTTGTCATGAGATGAAGGAATGCAGCTCATATAAGAAGGTGTATCAGTCTTCACTGATTGAACTATACAATACACCACAAAGAATGGTATTAGTAGTTGTGTTGGCATCTACTTATTCAATAAACATTATGAGTCTACTAAATTCCAGACACTGCTAGGATCTGGGATGTAGTGATGACTAATACAACACAGTCCCTGCCTGGGCACGGTGGCTCAAGCCTGTAATCCCAGCACTTTGAGAGGCCAATGTAGGTCGATCATCTGAGGTCAGGAGTTCGAGACCAGCTTGGCTAACATGCTGAAACCCCATCTCTACTAAAAATACAAAAGTTAGTCGGGTGTTGTGGTGGGCGCCTGTAGTCCCAGCTACTCAGGAGGCTGAGGCAGGAGAATCACTCAAACCCGGGAAGCAGAGGTTGCAGTGAGCTGAGATCATGCCACTGCACTCCAGCCTGGGTGACAGAGTGAGACTCTGTCTCAAAAACAAAACACAAAAAAACAAAAAACAACCCCCCCCACAACACACACACAGTCCCTGTCCTTACAATGGAAATGGGACATATAGACAAATAAACAGATACATATAAAATAGTGCTATAAGTAGAGGAAGGAAAACAATAGAGTCTTACGGACACACACAGAACACACACTGACATGGACCTCGGGTGTCAATAAAGGCTTTCCAAATGCAGTCATGTCTAAATTGATATCTTCAAGATAAGTAAAAGTTCTCTTGGTCAAGCGTGTATGTGAACAGGGACAGAGTGGGGAATGTGACCTAGAAATAAGAAGAATATTGAAAGAAGGCTTGGAGATTAGAGAGGACATAGCTCCTTATGAAAACCAAATGTCCGGAGAGTGAGGAGACAGAAGATTCTAGGGCAGAACCCTCAAGAGTAGCCATCTTTTGAAACATTAGGAGGAAGAGACTAGATAGTCCATGTCATCAACGGAGACAAGGCCAGGAGGCAGGAGAAAGCCCAGGAGGATTCGTTGTCAAGGAAATCAAGGCAAGAGACTATTCTAGAAGGGGAGAATGGTGATCTGGATTAAAAACTGCTAAAAGGTGAAGTAAGGAGGAAAATATGCCTAGGGACTGAGCAAAATGCAAACGGAAGTACCTGACAAACTTGGTGCAATCAGTTTTAATGACTGGTAGGGGGAAGAGCTGTTGTTACACCTATTCTCATTTATCTTGCTGGCCCTGATGAGAAGGAATTTGGTTGGATAGCAGGCCTTCCCCAGGTGATGCCTTCCATGTTCAAAACAATAGCAGGTGTGTAGTATGTATGCATGTAAATACACACACACACACACACATACACACACAGAGAGTTAAGTGTGTATAAGACAGACCACAAAATATTAACTGGGGTATATAGCATGGTGGGGTATAACTGGATGGTGGGACAATAGGAAATTTGTCCTTACTTTATTACCCTTTTCTATATTTTATTGTTTTCTACATTGAACATCTATTATTTTAAAATTATAAAAATGATAAAACTAATTTTAGAAATGGACTTACATAGGGGATGAAGGCAGATATCCCAATCTGGATTGATTTACCTATGAACTAAAACATGGTGTATTTTAATTTTTGTGTCAGGTTATCCAAATGCTTTTTTCTTTTCTTTTTTTCACTCTCTAACCATCAACATTTTACATGTCTGGATACCAAGCAAGGCTTTGTCTGGATAAAAACAAACTGGTTTTATGAGCCTGAAAGACGTCTTCCAATTTTGGGTAATTACATTGAAAATTTGCCCTGGATTCAGACAAGGTTTGAGCGCACACGAAAACCATCCTTACCTTTGCCTTTCTTCCCTTCATGCAGAGCCATAGATTTAAGAAATAAATGGTTACGGTAACATTTATATTGCTGCCTTTCACTCAAAATTGGCAAAAGAGCAGAAAAAACAAAATAATCAGTTTGCATCCTGGTTACCCTTTTACAATTAATTTAGGGAAAGCATGTAACTGGCAGAGAGAAACACTTTTCAGATCTCATGGAACGAAATTGTCCATTAGAATTTAAGGTCTTTTGGGAAGCAAACTAGTAGCACACTCAAGCTTGTGGAGCACAGGCAGTTAGGCCCCTGCCGACTTAAATGGCCATAGTGTGGGATGCCCAGGGTCTTCCCTGACCCCACCCCCAAATTCCTAAGCAAATTCTCAAAGAGAGATGATAACTGGGTGATTTCAACTGAAAACAGAAAAATCAAAGAACTTGAGTCCCTTGCTCAAATCCATCAGGGATGTGATTAAAAAGGAAACTAGATTTCTTCCTTCCTTCTTTCTACACCCCACATACCTCCCACAGCTAACGCAGCAGCCAGCACCATGGCTTTCCAAGCTAATCATTAGTTCTTGCAAACCTTCAGACAAAAATATCTTCCTTTTGAATTTTCATTCACAGACAACCTCCTCAGCTATGTCAGTACATGCTCCAGACAGACGACGAAGGATTTCAGTCAGGGGCATGGGCAGGCACAGGAGGGCAGGGTTAGTGGAGACTCAGGTCCTGTGAAATGGGTTAGGTCAGAAGCCTCTGGTTCTGAGGCCAGAGGAAGTCTAAAGAACATGACACAGGCCTGCCTTTGGGGCTTTTAGATTTCCAGATAGGTTCAGAAAGGAGCAGCAGGTTCAGGAAGACTTAAATGTATCTGGATTTTAACTTACAAAAGAATCACCTAGGCCAGGCACGGTGGCTGGCTCGTGTCTGTAATCCCCGCACTTGGGAGGATTGCTTGAGTCCAGGAGTTTGAGACCAAATTGGGCAACATAATGAGACTCCATCTTTACAAAACATTAAAAATTAGCCAGGTATAGTGGCCCAAGCCTGTAGTCCCAACTACTCAAGGGGCTGCAGTGGGAGGATCACTTGAGCCCAGGAGGTAAAGGCTTCGGTGAGCCATGATCACACCACCGCACTTCAATCTGGACAACAGAGCAAGACCTTGTCTCAAAAAAAAAAAAAAAATCACCTGAAAAGTTTGTTAAAAATGGAGGTTCCCAGTCATCATCCATCCCCAATTCTGGTTCAGTTATGCCTGGGATGGGCACTACAAATTTGCTTTGTAAAATAGTATGCTGGGTTATTCAGAAATGTGTTCAGAAATGTTAGCTTATAATTTTCATGCCACCCTATGCTGGCACTGCTTTGATCAGTGGGCTCTGGGAAGCAAGAATAACTAGTTCCCCCAGTCCCTGGCTGGGGAATGTGTACCTCTAGGTGGTGTGTGGTGTGAAGCAAGGGCCACGTACTCATAGGCTACGCAGCCTCAACCTTCCTTGAGTAATGATTCTAACTGCTGGTCTATGGGACAACATTACTATTTTTATTAAAGCAAAGATGAATACACAATGAATACATTAAAGCAAAGATGAATACATGATTTGAGTGAATGTCAAAGATGAAACCTGAAACTTTTAAAAAATGAGCTTATGGTAGGCTGCTTTTGATTGTATCTCTCAGATTGGATATGCTTTCTCTGTTCTCTGTCTCCAGTGGAAAGTTTGAGAAGCTTTGTTAGCAGCTAGCAATCAGCATAACATACAGTAGTTTCCTCATTTGAAAATGACATAACAGCTGTCTCTTGAAATTGTGGTAAGGCATAAACAAGATAACACTATTTAAGCCCTAGGCCAAAGTCTGACATTCCAAAAATGTTCCATAAAGTTCATCTTTCCTCCAGCGGAAAGAATACTCCATTTGGTACCCTAGGTAAGTGAGGAATTGCCTCTTTCTCTTCAAGATCTGAATTGTAGAAGATCTATAGTTTTATCCTTGCAAATTTACTGAAAAGGGTTATAAGCAAAAGTAGTTTCATGTAAATGTTCATAATAATAATGAGGAAATATAACAGATTGATGGTGGATTTAAGTTTATCCAAACATAATACTGGACAGAAACTAAAAAGAGACATGTAGTTCATGAAGAAGTCCAGCAAGAAGATATTTTTCTTCTCTTGGAAACTTTCCCTATCACGTACCATCTTATCTTATGGCTATTTGTGTGCCTTTCTTTGTACCTTTTAAACTATAAACTCCTTGAATGTGGAGACCACAAATTGTCTATCTTTGTATTCACTCATTTTTTTTTCATTTAACTAAGATGAAAACAAGCTATAGGTAATGCATGCAAGTGTTAAAAAATGAAGCTACACAAAAGAAGGACATTAAGAGGAAGAAAGTCTCCTTCCAGGCTACTAGCCTCCTGGTTCTCCTCCATAGGGACAATCGCTATTCAAATTTTTTGTGTACATTTTCAGAGATAGTCTACAAAAATAAATCACATTTTATAAAAATAATAGTATGCCACACCCAATTTTTGGTAGTTTGCTTTTATATTTTACAAAATATATTTTTCATATCTATACACATATATTATTTTATACATATGTATTAAATATATTTCTATTTTTATATTTTAGAGAACATTCCATCTTAGTGGATATAATACTGTCCTATCCTTTCTAAACAGCTCCATAATATGTACCACAGTTTATCTTACCCCATTGATGGATATTCATGTGGTTTTCAATTTAGGTGGTTTTGCTTCAGTGAATGCTCAAACAATGCTAAAATGAACATCTTTGTACATAAGCCTCTGGGCGTATTTGAGATTGCACCTATAGGCTAAATTCCTAGAAGTAGAAATGGGTCATTTGTAATTCTGATAAGTTGCCAAATTGTTCACCACTAAAATTATACTAATTTACTCTTCTGCCAACAATAACTATTGACCCCAAATTTTACCCACTTTTGATGTGTTACCAAAATTTAACAATCTAATGAGTGAAGCATTTGCATTTCATATGAATCAAAGTGTTTTGATTGATAGAGCAAGGAGGAACTTTTGTTAGTTCTGGGATAATTGATTATCTAGTTGGACATACACATATAAAAAATCAAATCCAAATAGATTCTGAACTTAAATGTTAAAGGCAAAACTATAGAAATTCTAGAAGAAAATATGGGAAAATATCTTTCTGATCTCGAAGTAGAAAAACATTTCTTTAATATGACCTCAAATGTACTAGCCATAAAGGAAAAGATTAATACATTTGATTATGTTAAACAGCTTCTGATTGTCAAAAGATACTATGAAGAAGTGAAAAGATGCCAAAATATGGAAGACATTGTAACACTTACAGTTGACAAAGGCTTAGTATTCAGACTACATAAACAGTTCCACAACTCAATAAAAAAAGACAGCTCAGTAGAAAAATGGGTAGAAAACATGAACAAGCATTTCACAGCAGAGACAATGTGAAGGTTGAATATACATAGGGAAGGAATCTCAATTTCATCAGCATTTAAAGAAATGCACATTGAGATATCAATGCGATACCATCTTACTATCCAACGCTACCACGCACTGGCAAAAAATATAGGTTCTTTTACACTGCTGGTAGGAATGTACACCACTACTTTGGAAAGTCATTTGAGATTATCATTCACAATACTCTAGATATATATTTTGTAACCCTAGTTTTATACCCTGGAGAAAATCTCCAGTGCAAAGAATGTTCATAGCAAGTCTAGTGGTAATAGCAAAAACTGGAAACATCCCATATGTTCATTGACTAAAGAATAAATAATTGTGTTACATTCATTGAATGGAACACTATGTAGAAATTAAAAGAAGCCCAAATGTGGGCTTGGAAGCTAGTCCATGTGGTTTTAAATCCTGGCTTTCCCACTTACCAACGATATAATTTTGGACAACTACTTAATTTCTTTTCATCTCAATTTCCTCAACTATAGTTTTTATCTCTGTGGTGAAGATTAAATGATTGAGTGCATGTAAAGCTCTGAGAACCATATATGCACACAGTAAGCACCCTGTGTTAGCTACAATTATTGAAAGAGTGCACATAGGCTTTTGACATATCTAAAAAAAATCAAGAAACAGATTTGAACTAGATGGTGAAGGTACAAGGGAACACATAAACTGAGGATAAATAGGATGAATAAGGGCAAGAAGAAATTTCAGAAAGTGGCAACAAAATGTAAAATGTCAGGAAGTGTGGGAAAAAATCATGTACCAGGACAACTACAACCATTCTGGGGCAGAGAATGTGGGCAAGACAGACAGTAGAAGATAGGGCTGAGAGAAAGTCATGGGCCTGACCTGAAGCAGCATCAGTGATAGGTGGGAGTCCTCTCAAAATCCACAGCCTGTTAATTGCATTGTGGCATTCTCAAGACACTCATAGCTTTCTTTATTTTGAAGTAAGATGATCTAGAAGTTTCTCCTTACCTTGTGGAAATTACTTCTTATCTATTGAGTTTTTTCTACCTTCTTGACACAGAAGTTTAATTATAAATTCAAAGCCTCCCCCCTCCATTTTTTCTTAAAATCCAAAATAACGATGAGATGTGGCTTCTATTTGCCCTACAAAATCTATATCCATTTTTTCATAAAGGAGGCCCAAAATATCAAAATCATGATGATGAAGGGATAAATATAATCTGAATTCATGTTCTATGAATTGCTCATTCATTGCATGGTGTCTCAGAATCTCATGCATTGGCACCTCACAGTTTATACATCTTTTTCAAGTTTGTTACCACATTTAAGTTATTCTTCCCTGACAATGCTGTGAGGGAGGGTATTAGTTCATTCTCATGCTGCTATGAAGAAATACCTGAGACTGGGTAATTTAAAAAGAAAAGAGAGCCGAGCGCGGTGGCTCAAGCCTGTAATCCCAGCACTTTGGAAGGCCAAGGCGGGTGGATCACAAGGTCAGGAGATCGAGACCATCCTGGATAACACAGTGAAACCCCGTCTCTACTAAAAATATGAAAAATTAGCTGGGCGTGGTGGTGGGCACCTGTAGTCCCAGCTACTCGGGAGGCTGAGGCAGGAGAATGGCATGAACCGGGGAGGCGGAGCTTGCAGTGAGCCGAGATCACGCCACTGCACTCCAGCCTGGGTGACAGAGTGAGACTTTGCCTCAAAATAAATAAATAAATAAATAAATAAATATTTAAAAAATAAAAAGAAATAAATAAAAAGAAAAGAGGTTTACTTGGCTCACAGTTCTGCAGTTATACAGGACGAATGATGCTGGCATCTGCTCTGCTTCTGGGGAGGCCTCAGGAAAACTTACAATCATGGTGGAAGGCAAAGGGGAAGCAGCACTTCACATGGCCAGAGCAGGAAGAAGAGGGAGGGGGAAGGGAAGGTGCCACATACTTTTAAATGACCGGATCTCACGGGAACTCTATCAGGAGAATATCACCAAAGGGATGGTGTTAACCCATTCATGAAGGATCCACCCCCATGATACAATCACCTCCCACCAGGCCCCCCACCTCCATCATTGGGGATTACAACTGAACATGAGATTTGGGTGAAGAACACAGACCCAAACCATAGCAGGGAGGCCTTGCTAGGTCCCTTTTATAGGTAAAGAGGCTAAGGGCCATGATGTGAGAGGGGGTGTGTCCACTGTGGAAGAGCTTTGAACCTGGTCAGTTCTGAGTTGAAATCCTGAATCTGATACTTAGCTGGGTAAACTAACCTCTCTGAGCTTCATATTCCTACTGTTTGATGAGGAATGAGGAATAAGCCTCACTGGGTTTTGTTCACATTTCAATAAGGCTTTAGCCCGTGATGCTGTGCTCTAAATGGTAGCAGTGATTACTATTGCTGCTCAAGGGTAGAGCTCAGGTTTGAACTCACTCAGTTCTTCTCACTCTAAGGCAGTGCTCTCTCTCTTTTATTACAGCACAGATGTTCACAAGGCAGGGTGGAGGGCCTCCCAGGACCCACATTC
Organism: Homo sapiens; assembly: GCF_000001405.40. Classification (NCBI taxonomy): domain Eukaryota; kingdom Metazoa; phylum Chordata; class Mammalia; order Primates; family Hominidae; genus Homo; species Homo sapiens. Next base: position 14,493,186 of record NC_000009.12, read on the forward strand.
GTTAAGGCCATATTTGGCCTGGCTCCCATTCTTAGAGCTTATACTTTCCTACCATGTTCAGGAGATATTGTCATGATTTTGATGTAAAATGTCACACCACATGATATGATTGGCTAGCAGTTATAAATTCTGAGTTTTTGAATTACCAGGAATAAGCACTGGTAATTGAGGCAGAAGCATTTTTTTTTTGCATGCTAAATGTAATTTCACAGATTGTTAGAAAGGAAAAAGCATTTTTCTCTGTAACTCTATCATTAGATCTTTTAAAAGAGGAAAATTCCTGAATGTATTCCACTGTTAAATTCTCCCATAATAGCATCACCTTGATGCTTAAATAATTTATTTCAAGACTTTATTAGATTATGAAATAAACATCTTGAGAGCAAGGATGTCATAATTGCTTCATCTGTTCAATGCTAAGAACGGATACCTTGTGCTCCTACCCCACTCAGTGTAGGTGTCCATAACTGTTTCTTGCATGAATATTGACTCTTGAAGGAAAACATGGCTAAATGGACCTTTCCCAGGACCAGAATGTACTTTAGTGTGTCTGGCACAAATTACAAAATATGAAAGACTTTCTTTAATCTCCATGTGAGGCTATTTTCCTTCCTCCCTCCTTGTTCTTCTCCTTGTAGGTAAAGGTTGTTTCACAATATGGGGAAGGTCTTTTGCGGCAAAACAATTATTATTTATTTCTCATTAATGGAAGTGGCAGAATCAGAGAGGACTAGCTTTTCCTTTGAAGTAGATCAGTTCTTTTAAGTTAGATCAGGTTTCACATCAATTAAAGGCACCATCCCTGAGCATAACTGTGGAAACGTATCTCTTCTTCAAAAAGGTTCAGAGTTTGGCTGATACATGAGACATATTCTTAGGCGAGGGGGTTTTCTGGTTTGTCTTTTATTTTAAGAGTTCCTGGTGGGATGTTGGAGTGGAATTCACATTTTCAGTCCTCCACTCATTAGGCAAGTGGTATTTGTCCATTTGCCTATGGTTTAAATTCAGCAAAAACTAAAAACAACAAGAACAACAAACATTTCTTCCCTCATGTAAGGAGTTTGTATCCAGATAATAAACAGCAATCTTATACTTGATTCAACAGTTTCAAAGTTACTATTATGAAACTTTGAATTCCTTAAATGTTCTCTGGGCTTATTGTCAGACTTCTTAATTTCCCCTTTTGGTTCTCTATTGTACTGTATACATGCCAAAGACGTAAACATGACCTTTCTATTTTCCACCAGCACTGTAGATCCATTAAAGGGTCTTTTAAATGCTGCTGTATTGGGAGGTCCTTCTTAGCCTGGACTGGCTTCCTGAGGCCTCTTTTCTTTTTCGCAGATCCAGGAAATGTTACCAACATGGAGTGCTACGAAGCTGGCAGAGTATTTGTCATAGAGTGTATTTCCATGGTTCTTACTTCTTCTCTTATGGCTATTGAGACTTCTGCTTCGCTTTCATTTCTGAAAGAGGCGCTCAGCATGCCCACTCCTTCCTACCCAGTGATTTTACATCAGCAAATGTACCTGGGCTCTTTCTTCTAGGCATAAAGACTTATTGCAGAACAGGCACTCCCCTTGCTTCTCCTGCATGTTTGTGCCTCTGAAGTCCTTCAGACTGGCCACTCTCAATTGCCTAGGTCTCCATCCTATCCCAAACACCATCCACTCCGGGCCTTTCCCCACTCACTGCACTCATTAATTCACAGAATCTTCCTTAAAATCGTCACAACTGCAATACTCTTGTGCTTTAGTTTTCTGTTTTCAAATTCTGGCTGTGGCTGTCAAATTTTTGACAAGCCATTTACTCCGCTTATTCCAAACATGTTCTTAAGTCTTTAATTGGAAAAACATGTTTAAAAACTTCTGGTGGCATTGATGTAGTGCCTTTCAATGTCTTTGGAGATATAGGCAAAATGATCTGCTACTTGTTCCTTTCTCTATTCACAGCGTTCCTGTTTACATCCCTCTTCCTTTGAAGTAAAATCTGGAGAAGAGGATCAGCGGTCTAAGGAAGGTCACCCTCACACGTAGACCTCATCTGAAGCTTCTCAGAAATAAATCCCAGAGCAGATCTCCCACACCCCTGGTTGTGAGATAGTCCAGGAGAGCAGGCTGAGGTCGAGGTAAAGGACAAGTCAAGCTAATCTCGCACATTGCAACATATCTACGGGGATTTCAGATTTCAGGAACAGCAGAGCTACTCCGTGCTTTTGCCATCACCACAGCAGCAATAGATTGAAGAGAAGAGAAATGAACTTTTTTTTTTTTTTTTTTGTCTGAGAGACAGAGTTAGAGAGCAGTTTTAACTGCTGGACTATGTGGACTGGTCCAAGGCCTGATTTCCTGAATTCTTCACTAAAGACCTCTTGTCCTTTGAGGGCAACGCCAATCATTTCAAGCATCAGCTGGAAGCTAAGATGAATCTGTACATTCTTTCAGGTTTCCAGGTGCAGTGTAATTAAAAATAAGAAGGTCTGCTTGAACCAAGATGACCCTAATTATCTTTGTTAAAAACACAGATGGGAGACAATAGAAGCTTAGTGTACAAGAAAAGCCTCTTTCTAGACCAGAATTATATTTAAAGAAAAATCAAGAAAAATGGAAAACTCCACCATTGTTATATTCCCCTAAATTTAATTTTCTCACAGACTATCTTAAATCTATTCTGCTCTAATCCAGAAATTATGGTTTAGTGACTAAGGTTCTAGGATCAACTATCTAAGTTTCTGTTCCACATCTTCCAATTACTTAGTAACTTAGAAGTTACTTCAACTTTCTAAGTCTTCATCTCTTCACCTGTAAAATGGGAATAATAAAAGCTACCTCATAGGGCTGTTGTGAGATATAAATGAGACTATATGTCTAAAGTGCTTACTTAGTTCAGGGCGTGGCAAGTAGTAAGCACTCAATAAATACAATCTATTTTCACTCTTACATGTTGAGTATCCCTCATCTGAAATGTTTAAAACCAGAAGTGCTTCAAATTTTTTATTTTTATCTTTGGATTTTGGAATATTTGCATGTCTATAGTGAGACATCTTGGGGATGGAACCCATATCTAAATTTGAAATTCATTTACGGTTTATATATGCCTTATCTACATAACCTGAAGTTAATTTTATTTTTCCCTTGGAGACACTGAATAAACTGTGTTGTGTACCTACATTTGGACTGCAACCCGTCACATGAGGTCAGGTGTGGAATTTTCCACTTGTGGCACCATGTTGGTGCTTGAAAATTTCAGATTTTGGAGCATTTTGGATTTCAGATTTTCAGATTGAGGATGTTCAACGTGTATTTAATTTGGGTGGCTTTGGTTGCCTTCAGCAGAAGTGAACCTACAAGAGCCTCATCTTCAGCATCTGTGAGCTCCTGTCTCTTTTCTTTGCTCCATCTTAGTTGTCATTACATTGGGAACCCTTGGCACCTTGCATTTCGTAGTCCATCTAAGTCATTTCCCTGTTCCTTAATAAGTGAGGTACCCACACAGTTCCTATGGCATTTGCTGCTCCCCAGCAAAGAAAATGTCAAACAGAAACACTTAGGACTTCCCCTCTCAGAGCCAGATTTCTCCCCAAGAAGTATCCTCTTAGCCAATAAACACTGGCATGGACTTTATCAGACACTTGGGAAATAAAATACTAGCCATTGCATTTTCATTTGTTTTCTGTGAATATGAAATGGTCTACGCTTCCTGCTTAGTTTGTGACACACCAATAATGGGTCTGTGTATTTCTTTTTCTACAAATTGGCATGGTCACCAAATCAGAAAGGCTTAGTTCATTGTAGTCTTTTAGGAACAAACCACACAATGTTTCACACATTCAGATCTACTACTTAATATTTTCATAAGCTACAAAGTACTCACAAAGTCACGAGAACCTGCCTGTGAGTCCAAGCTGTACTACTTGAATAGAATGCCAATTTCTATAGAAAGATAATTTGAGGGTCTTAAGTTATATTCCAGGTATCTAGGTTTTTTTATCTTGTAAGAAGGCATCAATGTTGTCAGATGTTACTTTGTTCAGGATTATTTTATACTTACTACATTCTATCAATGTCACCCAATTACATTTTTTTTGGTAATACCATATAAGGTGAACATGGGACAGGTGCCAAGGGGGCTCATATGTGTAAATAAAAGTTATTACAGGAGTGCCTTAATGTTCAAATCATTTTGTCCAAGGCAGTCTTCGTGGCTCTGCCTAAATGGCAGTTCACCAGTGTCTAGGAGCTTATGTCCTAGAGAGTGGCTTAATTATGGTTCATTTTGGGTCCTATAGTTGAGATTCTCTGATTTTAAGAAGGAAGTAGGGAAAGGGAGGAGAAGAACTAAAGCCAAACATAATGTGTTCATCATTGTTTAAGACACTTTTCAAATGCCATCTTATAGCAAATGAGGCACTTTACAAATTGCCTCATAAGGACCCATTGAGGGAATTCTGTAATGAGTCTGATTCATCTTCCAGGATGCTTTCCATGTGGTAACTATCACTGTACACGTGCTTTATCCCTGGAGAGCTGTCTATAACCAAGTTCCAACTATCTGGCCACAGAGGTGGGTATTTGATCCAGGCTGGACAGAGTAGATTTCCTCTATGAACAATGCTTGCAGGAAGAGTGAGGGTCTTTTTCTTTTGATTGGCTGAGTAAAGGACTTGTCATGCCATTTCTACTGCCAACTGCTAACGGGAAGCCTCAAGATGAAGTAACATGCAGAGAAAAGTCAAGTTCAGAGATGGAGGAAGTACCAGAAGTTTCAAAGATTGTCTGCACTCCTGGATCTAAACTTGCCTGAAGCTGGACAAACTGTCAAGGATTTCCCACTTTGTTTTTGTATTAAGCTCATTTGAATTGGGTTTATGTCACTTGCAACTAAAAGAGTCCTAGACAAAAAGGAGATCTATTATGTTCATTTTATGAGTAAGCAAAACTAAGGCTCAGAGGAAGAAATGACCTTGCCCTGAAAGCAGCAGGACTAGGACTTAAATCCAGATCATTTTGTCTCCAAAGTTTGTGCTCTTTCTACCTTCATGCCTCCTTGGAAGGTCAGGAGAAGCTATGGAACTCTTCCCAAATGTCTTAATTCTCCAAGAGTTGTAATATGACTGAAACAGACAAGGGTTTGTGTGAATCTCACATTTGGTCTGAGCCAATACAAGCCTGATCAGAAAAGTTTACCAACAAATAGCTCTGGAGTGATTCCAACTGTCCTACTGGGTAGCGTGGACAACCAGTGAAAACAAAGACTAGCAGAACACTTAGCTGCAGCTGAAAGGAAAGTGGATATAACTCTTCTTTGAATACGATGGACAAAATAGGACAAAACCACCTTGAGATACACTCGAGAACAACATCACATGAGGAGAAACAGCTTGGACCAGCTCAGGATGCAGATCATTGGTGTACAGAGGAGCCGCGGCATAAACTTCAGAGGAAATTTGGGTGTCTGGAAGTTCCAAATCACAGGGAGTGTGATGAGCTTCCTGGTTAGGGGAGAAATACTGGGAAATAGTGGCTACAGTAGCTAGTCTAAGAACTGTCTGCAGCCATGCACAACGGAAACACTCATGGCCCTCCCTCCCTCCCTCCCTCCCTCCCTCCCTCCCTTCCTCCCTTCCTCCCTTCCTCCCTTCCTCCCTTCCTTCCTTCCTTCCTTCCTTTGCTTTCTTAGTACACATTTACTAGTCCCTTATGTGTAAGGCTCTGTGCTGAGCACTGGAGATTAAGTGATCAAGATGGGGTTCCTGCCTTCAGAGCTTTACAGTTGAAGGCTATGTATGGAAGTCATTGGCAATTGTGTGTATGTGTGTGTGTGTGTACGTGCACATGTGCACGTGTGTGTGTGCACGTGTGTACGTGTGTGTGCGTGTGTGGGTGTGTGTGTTTGTGTGTGTGTGAGAGAGAGAGAATGAAGCAGAGATCTGGAGTATTAATACTGAAGATTTCAGAACCACCATTTATGCCAGCAAATATATATTTTTTTCTTCTAGTGAGCCATCTACATGACAAATACTCCTAGGAGTAAAGCCTTATTTAACTGCACCTGTGCAAGGAGAAATTCTGATGTCTGGCTGAAAGGCTTGGGAATGAAGACCGGGATGGTGGAGGTAGCAGGAGAGAGGACCCAGCCCAAGGAGAAAAAGAGCTTCTTCAGTGGAAGCTGGGAAGGTGGTCAGGACAGCTGTGCCCCCTCCCTTCCTGTGTGAGGTGGCGTCTCACATGGTAACAGGTCTCCTTACTTGAATGGGGTGTTTAGCTTGGGCCCAGTAGGTTGACCAGAACAGGGGACAGGCAGAAGTCAACTCTCAATGAATACTGACTGGTCCCTAACATTGTGTGCTGCCTCCTGGATTGTGAAAATGGTTTCCATGTGCATTATTTCACCTGATCTCTATAGCAACTTGAAAAGGCAGCTGAGTATTGTATTCTTTGGATATGGAAAATAATGCTTGTGAAGGGGAATTGACGGGCCCAAGCTCACACAGCCAGAAACATGGCAGAAGTGGGACCTGAGCCTCAATCTTTTGAGTGCAAATCTCATGCCTTCCAACTAACTGCATTCACTTCTTCTGCTCCAACCCAGGGGACTCTGCCATTAGAAATGGCTGAGGAAAGAGACTACTTAATCAGAGAGCTATACAGTTGGCACAGTTCCTTTCTGAAGAAGACTCCTAGGCTGAAGGCAGTGTATTCAATCACCCTTAAAAGAGCACAATTGCATTTTACTCATTCGATAATTTGGTTAATGAGTGCTTCCTTGATGAGAAGCAACTCAGCTGAAATAACAGATACAAAGCTTCCAGTATAGTACCCGTCGGAGAGCGGGCACTCAATTATTGCTAAATTCAGGGTCTGCAACCTGCCTACCTCTTTAGCCACATCTCATACAACTCTCCTGCCAGTCACACTGGTCTGCTTTAAATTTCTCCAGCATATGTAGGTACTGTCATGGTCCTGTTATCACAGATGAGGAAACAGGCACAGAGAGGTTAGGTAACTTGCCTGAGGTCACACAGCAAGTCAGTAGGGCAGCGAGGATTCAAACCCAGGAAGCCTGGCTTCTTAGCCTACATTCCAGACCACTGCCTTTCCCTAAGACGTTAAGTGGGTGAATAGGAAAGAAGACTATTCCAGAAAGAGGCAAGAACACGTTTACCCCCACAGTGTTGTCTTGGGGCTTGTACAAAATTATATATGTAAAACAATTAGAAGATGGCTGGGTCAACTAACGTTAGCCAACGTTATTACTCTTCACAGAGTAATGAGACTTCTAGTGAGAGTTGCTCAGGGAAACCTCAGTTTCCATCATGTGGATCAGTTCCCTCTTTTACACCCTCTTATAAAGAGTCACACTGTCCTTTAGAGTACTTGTCTCAGTTTATAATTATATTAACTGACTGATTTAATATTTCATTTACTTTAGAATCCCAGTGCCCAGTCCCGGTAAAAGCAAACAAACAAACAAAAAATCCAACTCAATAAGTATTTCTTGAATGAATGGATGAGTGAATGAAACATTCCTTGCCGCCCTAGAGTCCTACATTTTTTCTCTTCTTAGTGGGAGGAGAATATTCGTCTTTGTTTCTCTTCATGCCATCTTGGGACTCTCACGCATTTCCCACAGCGAATCTACATGGTGTTTACAGGTGCCTTCTGAAAACCGCCCACTCCCTGGTTTCTAAACTCAGCTAAGCTATGTCTCTGAAATGTCAGCCTCTCTCGTTAAGTCTCCTTCTCAAAAGAAGCGAGAAATTCAGACAAGGAAAGTTTTCAGTTCCTCTCCTAGTCGTGCCAATTGTATAATGAATCTGTGGGATTGAGTTTATTTCCAAATTTAGACCCACTCTGAGCACAATGGAGGCTTCTAACTCATCGCAGTGGATCTCAAACCCACTTTTGACTTTTAAAGCTTACAGATTTTTCTGGATTTTGATGAGTGGTGAGTGGGAACAGAAAGTTCCAGAAGATACAGTCCTGTAGTTTCTGTTCATGTCCTGTTTTCCTTTTGTCTAAATGTGGTTCTTTAGAATCTGCCCTCTCTTTCCGCTCCTATGATCATACTATTTAGAGACAAATATTTTCCCTGCCCTTCAAAGAAGCTGTTTTATTTCTGGTTGCTCATAAAATAGACACAGAGTCCTTCAAATGCACCTTTCTGGCCTCTTTGGTATACAGATTTCTTGTGCTCTTTGCTTCCTTAATCTTAGTATTTTAATCTTCTTTCTTCTTAAAAAAATGTAATTTCCTTCTTACATGCATGAATTCATATGAATTTTAATCCTCACTTTGCTGTATTACCTTAGCTTTTTCATCTGTAAAATTGGCCCTTCCTATTTCACAGGTTAATTGTGAACATTAACAATGACGTAATGGATGTGTCACAGGGTAATCAATAGGATATTTCTTTGTTTCTGTTGGGACTCCGAAGCTAAGAATAATAGGTGGCCAGGGCCCCCTCATTCTACACAGGGATGTTGGACCATCTAGGCAGGATTTGCCCCAATGCTTCTGTGCCTCGAAGCCCATTTCCCCCTGCAGGGGTGCAATGAGAGCATCAGAGGGAAAGAGCACGGAGGGCACTACGCCCAGATGACAATAGCACCAGAGAATTTACCTTCCTCCTTCCTTCTCTCCCCCTGCCTTGGAGGAGTTGGAGGCTCCTGGGTGAGTATGGGAGAATGAGAGGGAAAAGTAGATGGAAGAATTATTACAGAACAGGCAGGGCCCAGGGTCACCTGCACTCTTCACATTGCTGTTCCACAGAACAAATGAACAGACCTCTGCTGGCCAGGGAGAGAAGATTTGAATTGGATGAGAAATGGAAGTTTTGATATTAGATATTAGAACATTAGCTATTAGTCTCTAATCTCTTACCCAAAACCCCTGGGGCCACATAGACTTCAGAATCCAGCACTTAATTGTGAGTTTTAGAAAGGACGTATGATGCAGATCCTGTCATCAGCTGGTGTAGGGCAGCACTCTGTAATCAAACCCCTTAATATTTCTGCAGCAAAATGTATTATTCTCCACACAAGGCAAAGGTATGTAAATCACTACACATAGCCTCACATATGTTTATGTATAGTTTTTCCACCTAATGTCTTTGTAGCAAACTTCAAAAAGTTTAGACTTCTAGAACTGTGGAGATTTCAGAATTGCAGATAAGGGATTGAGGTGAGAGTCCTGAAAATAAGAATATCTACTGATGCCTGAAAGTGACCTGAGAAGATTAAGAATCTGGCCAAATAATCTCCAGGGACAGGAAATCTAATAGTGCATTGGAAAGAAAGTGGTGCAAAACCTTTTTTGCTCAAACATCACTGGATTCCACTTGTCAAGAAATCAGTTACTTATATAAATGGGTACGTAAGTCATCTGTGCGTTTCTTACACAGCGGATGATTAACAAATGTTAACTTCTCTTTCCTTTTCCATCAGGTCCTCCACATCTTCATAAATACAGGCAGATTTGCTGGTAAGGAATCCCTATTGTTTCCTAGGGGGAAGTTTTATTTATTTTTATTTTTTAATTAATTTGTAAATTTGTTTCTATTTCAATAGGTTTTCGGGAAACAGGTGGTGCTTGGTTACATGAATAAGTTCTTTAGTGGTAATTTCTGAGATTTTGGTACACCCATCACCTGAGCAGTGTACACTGTACCCAGTGTGTAGTATTTTCGCCCTCACTCCCCTCCCACCATTTCCCCAAAATCCATTGTATCATTCTTATGCCTTTGTGTCCTCATAGCTTAGCTCCCACTTATGAGTGCAAACATACAATGTTTTCAGTTTTCCATTTCTGATTTACTTCACTTAGAATGAGAGTCTCCAATTCCATCCAGGTTTCTGCAAATGCCATTATTTATTCCTTTTTATGGCTGAGTAGTATTTTATGGTATATATATATATATATATGTGTGTATGTGTGTGTATGTGTGTGTGTGTGTATATATATAAAATAATATATATATATATCATTTTCTTTATTTGCTCATTGATTGATGGGCATTTGGGCTGGTTCCATATTTTTGCAATTGCAAATTGTGCTGCTATAAACATGTGTGTGCAAGTATCTTTTTCATGTAATGACTTGTTTTCCTCTGGGTAGATAACCAGGAGTGGGATTGCCGGATCAAATGGTGGATCTACTTTTAATCCTTTAAGGAATCTCCACACTGTTTTCCACAGCGGTTGTGCTAGTTGACATTCCCACCAACAGTGTAAAAGTGTTCCCTTTTCACCACATCCACCAACATCTGTTGTTTGTTTTTTTTAAATTTTTTGATTATGGGCATTCTGAAGTCTATGTGACATTTGATTATGGGCATTCTTGCAGGAGTAAGATGGTATCGCATTATGGTTTTGATTTGCATTTCCCTGATAATTAGTGATGTTGGGCATTTTTCCATATGCTTCTTGGCCACTTGTATATCTTCTTTTGAGGATCGTTTATTCATTTAGCCCACTTTTTGTTGGGACTGTTTTTTTACTTGCTGATTTGTTTGGGTTCTTTGTAGATTCTGGATATTAGTTATTTGTTGGATGTATAGATTGTGAAGATTTTCTCCCCTTCTGTGGGTTGTCTCTTAACTGCTGACTATTTCTTTCGCTGTGAAGAAGCTATTTAGTTTAATTAAGTCCCATCTATTTATCTTTGTTTTTGTTGCATTTGCTTTTGGGTTCTTGGTCATGAAGTCTTCGCCTAAGCCAATGTCTACAAGGGTTCTTCTGATGTTCTCTTCTAGAATTTTTATGGTTTCAGGTCTTAGATTTAAGTCTTTGATCCATCTTGAGTTGATTTTTTTATAAGCTGAGAGATGTCCAGTTTCATTCTTCTACATGTGGTTTGCCAATTATCCCAACACCATTTGTTGAATATGATGTCCTTTCCCCACTTTATGTTTTTGTTTGCTTTGTCAAAGATCAGTTGGCTATAAGTATTTGAAGTACTTGGCTTTATTTCTGATTCCTCTATTCTGTTCCGTTGGTCTATGTGCCTATTTTTACACCAGTACCATGATGTTTTGGTGACTATGGCCTTATAGTATAGTTTGAAGTCAGGTAATGTGATACCTCCAGACTTGTTCCTTTTGCTTAGTCTTGCTTTGGCTATGCTGGCTCTTTTTTTGGTTCCATATGAATCTTAGAATTGTGTTTTCTAGTTCTGTGAAGAATGATGGTGGTGCTTTGATGGGAATTGCATTGAATTTGTAGATTGCTTTTGGCAGTACGGTCATTTTCACAATATTGATTCTACCCATTCATGAGCATGGGATGTGTTTCCATTTGTTTGTGTCATCTATGATTTCTTTCAGCAGTGTTTTGTAGTTTTCCTTGTAGAGGTCTTTTACCTCCTTGGTTAGCTGTATTCCTAAGTATTTTATTTATTTTTTTGCAGCTATTATTAAAGGGGTTAAGTTCTTGATTTGATTCTTAGCTTGCTCACTGTTGGTGTATAGCAGAGCTACTGATTTGTGTACATTAATTTTGTATCCTGAAGCTTTGCTGAATTCATTTACCAGTTCTAAGAGCTTTTTGGATGAATCTTTAGGGTTTTCTAGGTATATGATCATATAATCAGCCAACAGGAACAGTTTGACTTCCTCTATACTGATTTGGATGCCGTTGGTTTCTTTCCTTTGTCTGATTGCTTTGGCTAGGACTTCCAGTACTATGTTGAATAGAAGTGGTGAAAGTGGGCATCCTTGTTGTGTTCCAGTTCTCAGGGGAAATGCTTTCAACTTTTCCCCGTTCCATACAATTTTGGCTGTGGGTTTGTCATAGATGACTTTTATTACCTTAAGGTATGTCCCTTCTATGCCGATTTTTCGAGGGTTTTAATCATAAAGGGACGCTGGATTATCTCAAATACTTTTTCTGCATCTATTGAGGTGATCACGTGATTTTTGCGTTTAATTCTCTTTATGTGGTGTATCATGTTTATTGACTCGTGGATATAAAACCATCCTTACATCCTTGGTATGAAACCCACTTGATCATGGTGGAATCTTTAGGGTTTTCTAGGTATATGATCTTTTTGACATGCTGTTGGATTTGGTCAGCTAGTATATTGTTGAGGATTTTTGCATGTATGTTCATCAGGGATATTGATCTGTAGTTTTCTTTTTTTGTTATGTCCTTCCCTGGTTTTAGTATTAGGGTGATAACTAGCTTCATAGAATAACTTAGGGAGGATTCCCTAGGGGGACATTTAATGAAGCTTGAGCTACAGCATCTCACTTTGCTGGAGCCTTTTCCAAGGATGCCAGGAGGAGGCAGCAGTCAGAGCCTTGAACTTGTGCATGAATCACTGCTCTGGTCTAGGGGTCACCCCCTGATAACTGGGGACTAGGGGCTGCTGGTGGTACAGGAAGAATACCAACACAAACCCCACTTACTCCACCCCATGCCCACAACCAAGAAGAATCTGTAGAATTTGCAATTCTGCTCCCACTTCAAAGCCCCCTAACCCCTTCTGTAGGACTTGGTAGGGAGAAGGGTGGGATTGGGGAGGGGGAACAGAGAGCAGCAGGAATGCCATGGAGCTGGACCACCTACAGCAGCTACCAGGGGCCCCCACCTGGGTATCAAAGGGTGGGAATTCTTCAAGGGCTTGGCGCTTGACTCTCACCAAGAAATACCTGAGCAAGAAACTGCAGAGGAAATTACACGTATATCATGACTGAAAACCATTTGTGACTTGAAACTCCTCTACAAAGTAAATGATGTATTTTTTGAGCCACTCTACTAGAAGCCTGAATGATCTTTCTATTATCTCTACAGAAATGGTATTACACAATCGTTATAATACAAAGAGGTAATAAAACATATGCAGCCAAATAGAAAGAAAAAGTCATTATAGAAACATGCTAGACAAAATAAAAACAATCATACAACTTTCTGGATTTTGTGAAGTTTGTGGTATTTATTAATAAAATGTTTGAAATTTGGTGTGTAAGTTTTACATCCTACAAAGTATGAATACACCCAACTTCCCATGTTTTATTACAATTGACATAAGTCTTGCATCTTAATTTTGGTTTATGCTGCTTGGGGGAGGGGAGATTGCCCACAGAGGGTTTTTTAGTGATTCACCCTCTGAAATGCATGGACCTGCCACCCATGAGAGCACCTGCCATGCACCAAACATGCTAGGTGCTCGGGAGGACGGAAAGATTTGCCAAAGCTTGAACTTTTAGAGAGGAACCCCTTGTCTCTAGAAGAAGGATAGGCTACTGCACGAGGTTTCACTGTCCTGTTTCCTAACTCTTTCTTGAGAAGAAACGAACAGGATAAGAATTCCAGAGATGGTAAAATAAAGGTTTCATAAGGACAATATAACATGAAGCAAATAATTAGGAGGGATTATTTTTGGAGGAGCTGTGAAGGAAAATAAATATGGAGAGATGCTGGAAGTACCTACATATTGAAAATGTGAGTATGTAGGTTAGGTTTATTCTAAATAGCCTCACCTTTCCTTTTTCTCATTTTCCATCCTTACTGTACCCCTAAAACTCCACCCTTAAAGGTTTGGTTGAATATTTTAGGTGAATATTTTGCTGTAAATAGCAGAGAGTGTGGGGAGGTGCTTGGCTGAAAGGGGAGAGCAGTTTTCTAGGAAGGTAGGTTTTGGCATGGGAGCTGTTGATAGGAGAAAACATACAGGCTTATTAGGTTTTCTTTCTTCTTTTAGAAAACACATAACTTATTAGATGGACTTAAAAAGTAACACAAATCAACTGTTAGGCGTGTTTTAAATACAGACTGTGGGTATTTTCTACCAAAGAACAGCATATCTACAGGCGACACCATAAAGATTTAAATGTTTTAAACAGTTTTTAAAGATTTTTAAATGTTTTAAAACTTATTAAAATCATTTAAAAAAGTTTTTAGAGCAATGCACAGTAGCTAACAATTGATAAGGAAATACCGCATAACTAATCCAACTGTGTCCTGTTACATTTCTTCACAATTCCACATAATTTTAAGGTTAAACAAAATCAGTCACTTTTTAGCATCCAAAGTTCTGAATTCTGGCTTTCAATCCTTTACTCCACTATCATGATCTTAAAATATCTGTCATACATTCTTTGAGGGAGCGTGATATAAAAGTTTTTATTTTTGCATAAGTGGAGCTTTAAAGATGTATTTTCTATATTATATCTGTTTCTTCACAGTCAACACGACAGTTGATTATTTTGAAACCTTTTAAAGCAACCATTTCAGTAGGTTTATTTTGTAAAGTTAAGCTTTCATTACTAATTCCTTTAGATATATGTAACATTTTTCTTTGTTCAAGTAAACATGAGAAAAATAATGGAAAGTGGGCAATTGTTTTAAGGATGTCCTTAGGTTAAACACTAAATACCGGTTTGGTTTGGAATATTTTTCCAACTCAAACTGTTTAAACTGGTATTCTCCAACAAAAGACCATTCTTGGTAATGGGAAGATAATGCAGATATATCTTAATCTTCTCCATGCCTAAATAGCAGCGCAAGGAACTGGCAGAGTGTTAGGTTTTTTGAGGAGAGTGAGAAGAAGAAAGAGGTTGGAATGCTGAAACTCACTCTTTGATTGGAGGTCAGACAGAAATAAAGCAACCATCAAAACTCTCTAATAGACATGATTTTCCTGAGGCTGAGTGTCAGCCTCCATCACACAGGCTGCCGGCATCAGAAATAGACAGGTGACAAAATTTTTCTTTCTATGTGACACAGGTTCAGCACATGAATCCAAAGAGGCATAAACACACACAGACACAGACACAGACACACACAAACACACACACACACACACACACATATATATATATATATTCATGTCCTGAACCTGTGTCACACAGAAGGGACATGAATATTAAGCACATGAATCCAAACAATTAGGCATATATAATATTAATATATAAATATACATGTTAATATTCATATTATATATTCATATTATATGTGTAAATATACAAGCATCACAGAAAAGCATCACTGCTTTTCTACATAAACATTATATATACATATATGTGTAAATATGTATATGTGTTTGTGTATGTGTGTATGTGTGATGTTTATGTAGAAAAGCAGTGATCACCTTCCATAGCAGGAGCAGCAGTTGAGTGTAGTGGACACTGATGAGATGATCTGCCTAGATGCCCCTCTTTCATTTCTGCCGGAAACCGCCCACTCCTTGTCCATATATCCCTTTTGGGAAATTTCAATGTCTCATACTACCTCATCCTTCTAGAAGTTGTTGTTTGATCTAGGGGTGAGGAGTTAGTTAAGCCAATCTAATGAGAATCCTTCTCAGCAATTTAAATACAGTCTAGAACTGACATCAATGGTTTCTCTTAGAGGGCGAGAATTATATGACATAAAGTCCAGGAACCACTGTGTCTTGTGTCCCATATCACGGAGAAAGTCTATCACCAGGGAGTGGAAATGAAGCAAACACTCAAGCTTGGAAGCAAGCCCGAATGGGATGTGGTGCTTGGCCTCTGGTGCCAGGATGGTCCGGCTACATGCCTCTTACTCCTACACGTTGGTTTTACACATTTCCTTGGACTCCATAAACCAAAAAGCCCCCCTTTTGCCTGTGCTAGTTCAAGCTGGTTTGGATCCCCTGTTAGCAAAGGAGTCCTAGTTAACATTCTGCTGAATTAAAACATTTGATTAATGGAGAACTGAATCTTCTTCTACTCTTGTTCACAAATTGAAACTTATTTGTTTGACATCCTGAATATAACAATATATTACTTCCTCTGGGTTGATACTCAGTATATCAGTACTTAGAGCAATGAGAATGAAGGTGTAAAGACATAGACGTACTGACCCCAGGAAATGGAATACATTCTGTTTATAATAAATGTTTGAAATGAGTTGCTTTCCTAAAATGAGTTGTTTCATTCAGCAAGCGTTTCTTGAGGACTTACTTGTGTTGGACACTGATGTTGGTGGTGACATTAGTCAGCAAAACAGACCAAAATCCCTACCCTTGTAGAGCTCATATCCTAGTTTCTACTATAGGAATAAATCAGACACTTTCTGGATAATTTAGAATGTCAGTTGTGTGCTAATTAATTGGAAGTTTAGGCATCTTTGTCATTGGCCAGACACACATGTTCTGCAGAATATGAATGATAATCTTTCTCCACACACTTTCCCCACCCAAGATAATATGGCAAAATTAGTTCCTTAAGTTCTGTCAGTGAAAACCATACCATTCCTTGCTACTGCTAAATTGAGCTCCATTTCATCAAAACTTCAATGGTGAAAAACTTAGATCTCCCATTTCCTTTTTTTCTCTGGTATTAAATACTTCCTAACACATATTTTTATCAACATCATACTACTATCATAAGCCAACAAACCTGGCAAGTTTCACAGATAGCCTGTACTTTGTAGGGAGCAAACGTATCAACAGTACTCCTTGCCCTCTCCTTTTCTCCAATTTATTTCCTTGGGTCCAATCTGGAAGTTATTCTGTCTGTCAGAAGGGCCAGGGAATGATGAAACAACCATCCCACCCCTGAAGCACCAGGACAAAATGGAGAAAGATAGAATAGGGTCAGAAGACAGAGAGCTGAAGGACCCAGCCCATGGTGAAATGGCCCTTCCTGGTTAAAAACTAGCAGGTGTGGTAAGTTCTTGGAGCATTTTTGAGAAAGCAGCTTCTTACAGTGGAGTTTATGAAGACTCATTTTATTTTTTACATTTTAGTTTCGTTCAGTTTTTGAGACAGAGTCTCGCTCTGTCGCCCAGGCTGGAGTGCAATGGCGCAATCTTGGCTCACTGCAACCTTCGCTTCCCAGGTTCAAGTGATTCTCCTGCCTCAGCCTCCTGAGTAGCTGGGATACAGGAGCATGCCACTACGCCCAGATAATTTTTATATTGTTAGTAGAGACAGGATTTCACCATATTGGCCAGGCAGATCTTGAACTCCTGACCTCAAGTGATCTGCCTGCCTTGGCCTCCCAAAGAACTGGGATTACAGGCGTGAGCCACCGTGCCCGGCCTTGAAGACGCATTTTAAATCTGAGATGTGATTGATTTAAGTTAAATGCTTTAAATTATCTGCAATTAGCAATAAGAACTCTGATAGAGAAAAAGCAATATCTTAGGGCAGATGAACATGGGCTGGGACAAAAATAAGGGGAAACAGAAAAGCTTAAGAAGGTACCCAATGAGAGACCAGAAATCCACCCCACACTAGAATAGACTCAATTTTCTTTGACACTCTTGGCTAAAGCATGTGTTTGTGTGTGTATGACAAAAGTTTTGTTTTAAACCAAAATCTTGGGGAAGATATTGTATATTAATATCAAAACCACATGTGTAATATCTGTAGCATTTTTGCATATAACATATTATAACTGCAGTGGAAAATGCATATAGATTTCATTTCATAGGGTAGTTTCAACTAATCTCTCTTTTGTTTTCCTACTCATTTAAAAGTATTTTTTATTTTAAAAGTAAGTTGAAAAACATATTTTTATTGCTTTCTTGTGTGAAATTGGAGAATTCAAAAAAGTACAACAACCTCAAAATCACATTTTAAGAAACCAGAAATCTTTATCTCATAATTGAGAAATGTCCACTATAAAATGTTTGGTGTACACCTTTTCAGCCTTCATTTCTATGTGTTTTTTTATGTTCTTAGTGACTGAACTGCAATACCTTTTTGAAAAGAAAAGAATCATAACCTTTTCTTTTTGCTTACTGGTAGTACATCATAAGATCCCCCCTACCTTCAAGTATTAATATTTCAGATATTTCCTCTTTGATGATGCTGCTTCAGTTCCTTGTAACCAAATTTGTGTCCCACATTAGGGATGATTTTGTCAATAAATTGGGAGGTTGAGGCTAAAAGATTTGCCAATTTTGGAGATTTTTGATAAATATTGCCAATTTGCCTTCCAAAGAGTTTGTGTTATACTTGCCAATTTATATTCCCACTAGCAATGCTTCTTTATCTTTCCAGTACTAGGAATCATGAATGTTTACCAATTTTATAGAAGAAAAAAGTAACTAATTGGTTATCAGTACATATTTTCTTATGTATTCATAGTTCGTTTATATTTTTTTGTGTGTATGTTTATTGCTTCTTTAAATTTTTCCCATATTTTTGAGGATTTTACACTTGATTACTTTATAAAAGAATCTTTATAATCTTTTCATTATTATGTAAATTTTTCATTTCCCTATCAAATTTATGTTTATATAATTTTAATTTTTATGTAATCAAATTTATTTTTTCATAATCATAATGGCAACTATTGAGTGCTTATTATATAATAGTTTCTGTATATTTTGAAAACATTATTTCATCACTGTATGTTAATTGTATGAGTTAAGTACTCAGTTACTTCTACTTTTTTACACAAGAAAACTGAAACTCAGAGAAGCTAAAAGGCTAGCCTGAGATGACACAGCCAGTAAGAGGTGGAGTTGAAATCAGAACCCACACACTATGACTGGTCTTGGCCACTATGACACACTGCTTTTCAAATGTATTCTGAATGCTTCTAGGTATTTTGGTTCTAATTCTGAAATTTGTATTCCACTACTTGATCTGTCTGATTGATGTCTTACCCCAAAGTCACACTGTCTTAATGTTTATACATTTATAATATGTTTTGATAAGTCAGAATATGTTTCCATTTTTTCTTGGATCTTCTTATTTCTTTTACCATATAAAGTTCAGAATCATTTCATCCAGTCAGAAAAAAACAAGGCCTCTTGGGTTCAATATAGTTAATTTGTAAGTTAATTGTGGCAAACCGATATTTTTGCACAATTAAACTGTTTTATTTAGGTATAAAGAACAGATTCTCTATCCTCAAGCCTTTAAAGAGATTCTCAGTACAATTTACATTACTTGTCTGGTTTATTACTAATTATTTTATATGTATGTTACTATTGTGAATGGAATTCCTTCGCGTTGTATTTTCTAACTCTGGGTTTCCCAAGATGTCCCATGAGTAGCGCTGGTCCCAAGATATGATTTGGGCAAAGGGTTCCAACGTCTACAAAGCTGAGGAAACACTTCTCAAACCCCAGGTACATGTAGCTGGTGAAACTTTTAGAGGGGTTCAGAGTATGAAATGCCCAAATTTATTTAGTACAGAAATGTAATTTTGAGGAGTATTTTTAGATTTTAAAGGGACTGCTCTTTCAGACAACACACTCTGTGAAAGTCTGTTCTGCAGACTTTCATTACTAAGTAATGATTTTTGCCTGTTTCTTTGAGACAGATATTTATAATCATAGTAATAAAGTATCTTCGTATTTCTAGGCATATCTTTGTTGGCATATAACTAGATGATTATATGGGTTTTTTTCTGTTTTGAATTATTGATATAATGGATTAAATAATAGAAGTCTTAACATTAACCCAATATGCATACAGAAATAAAAAACGTAATAAGTCCGCCAATTTATTATCATGCTTTTAATGTAGTGCTGAGTTCAATTTATCAATATTTCACTTAGCGTCTTGTACTCTTATTTATAAAGTAAATTTTCTCCTTTCTTCCCTCTTGTGTTTCTTCCCTTCCACCTCCCTTTTCTCTCTTCCTCCATTCCTTTTTTCCTACCTCCCGTCTTTCTTTTCTCTGTCACGTTTTTGAATCAGAGTTAAGCTACCTTTACAAAATGAATTGAATAGCTTTCTATAGTTTTTCTTTCCAGACATGGAAATTATTTGAAACTTCGAAAGAATTTTTCCATAGAATCAAATGTTCCAAAGCTTTTGAAAAAAAAAAAAAAAAGATTAGAGAAAATTCTGTTAACTTTTAAAAGAATTTTCAAGACAATGTAACTGCTTAGGTTTTGTATTTCTAGACCCAAGTTTTTGTAGCTTATCTATTACTTACAAAATGTTTATTCCATCTAAATTTTTAAATATACCCACACAGAGATGCAGAAAGTATTCTTTTATTAAAAATACCTCTTATTCAGCATATATTTATGTATTCGTTTGTTTTCTCTTTTTTCTTCCAAAGAGCAACTCTTTATTTTTCACCTCTATTGTTTTTCTTCTAGCTCATTAATTTCTGCTTTTTATAAAAAAGAAAAACTTGTTCTTACTCTCCTAGATTTGTTTTCCCCATCTTCCTGTGTAAAGGTTTAATTCACTTATTTTCATTTTAAATGAAACAGAAATGAAGGCCGGGTGTGGTGGCTCACGCCTGTAATCCCAGCACTTTGGGAGGCTGAGGCGGGCAGATCACTAGGTCAGGAGTTTGAGATCAGCCTAACCAACATGGTGAAACCTCGTCTCTACTAAAAATACAAAAATTAGCCGGGTGTGGTAGCGCATGCCTGTAATCCTAGCTACTCAAGAGGCTGAGGCCAGAGAATTGCTTGAACTCGGGAGCCGGAGGGTGCAGTGAGCCGAAATTGTGCCATTGCACTCCAGCCTGGGTGACAGAGCGAGACTCCATCTCAAAAAAAAAAAAGAAAAAGAAAAGAAAAAGAAAAAGAAAAAAAAAGAAACAAAATGAAAAGCTATAGTTTTTTTTCTTTAGTTATGGTTTTGATGATCCTATAAGTTTTGATATTGATTACAGCATGCTGGCAAATCCAGTTCCATCACTTACTCTCTTTGTGACCTTAAGCAAGTTACTTCACCTCTCTGTGCCTCAGTTTGTTTAACCTATAAGAAAAATATTAATGTCCACTTCAGAGTTTTAATGAGGATTACATGAGGTAATATATGCAAACTAATTTTAATAGTGAGTGACAGATACTAAATACTGAACAATGCCTATGATGCTACTTTTTATTTTCTTAACAGTCTATAATTTTAGTCTGAATGTCGCTTACCTCAGTTATTAGGGCCTTAATAATTTTTATCAATTGCTAGCTTTATTACATGGCAGCTAGAGAATTCAGCAAATAAAATTTGTGGCAATGTAGCTTTGAGGTAAATGAATGAATGAGGAAGGAAATTACATTTATTGAGCATTGTTTGACATTGTATTACACATTTCTGTTTGTTTTCAGAGCTCTATTATAGGAATGCAAGGATCTGATATATGTTGATCTGTTCTCCAACCCTGCAATTTTTTTACTGTGATACTCTACTGAAATTTCCTAACGCGTATTTTATCTTTGGAACACACACATACACATACATACATACATACACACACACACACACACACGCATCCACCACCTTTCTGGGCATGCACACCCGCTTGGCTCTTTTCCAAAAAGTAGTTTACTGAAAACAAGAGCAAGATGTTATGGAATTACCTAGGTACTAAAAAGATATTCCTAGTATTCATAGATTTGGTATTGGAAGAAGAAGTTGCTTTCTCACAGTATTTTTAATGACTTAACAAAGAAGGGAATCTTACCTCTAAAGCTAATTCCAGGAAGCATTTATCATGAAAAACCTAAATAATGGTATGTTAGAGAACTGAAGGAGATGTGGGTCAATATTTAACACCCATATTGCTTGAGAGATGGCTGAATTGATCTAATCTGGTGTGTGCTGAAAGGTCTTTTTCAGCTAAAATATTCTTTTTATTAGCCTCCTTGATTACTTTTTTTAGGACACGAATTCTCAGTTTGGGTTGCTCAGTGAGCAGCCCAAAAGCTGGCTGGGAATTTTTAAAAATATACCAATGCGTGGGTCTTCTCTCAACCAAATGAACCAGAATCACAGTGGATTTGAAAGACTTGGGCATCTTATAAAATGACCTCCAGATGACTCTAGTATGTAGCCATAGTTGAGAACCACTGGGCTAAGATATTATATCTCCTTAAAGTACCCAACAGAAACGGCATACTTAAACCATTGCACAGAATCTTAGCTATTAGCTTTGAGTCATCTGCCAGTTTAGCAGAGAATTGAGACTAAAAGGCTAGGCTCTGGGACAGATACACTTTATTGCACTGCAGCTAGAATTGGGGGCTGGGATGGCGGTTGTTAGAAAAAACTTGGAGATTGGAGACCTAGCCAGAAGGATAGAACTGGACAGGTACAAGCATAAGGGGCATTGGGAAGCTATCGCTAAGGTAGGGACATTGGGGCATAGGGAAGACCCCGTGGGCAGGGAATCAGATGGAGGAAGTGGGTTGCAAAGTGGAGAAGGAAGAAAAAGGGAAGTAATGTCTTAGCCAGGGCCTAAAATGCACAGGATGCTGTGCTAAAACCTTCTGCAGACCTGAGCTCTCCGAGTTCTCACAACAAACCTGTAAAATAGGAGCTCCATGTTAAAGTGGGGAAATTGGGGTTTAGAGCCATTAATCAACTTTTCCACTAACTCGGTAGGCAAGGTGGATTTCAATCCATGAGTGTTCCTCTAGCCAGGTGTTTCTCTAGTGTGGTGCCAGGAACCCTTTGCATCAGAGTCACCTGGGGCCTCACCTCACCTTCCCCAGACCTCCTGAAACTGAATCGTGGGCCCAGGAATGTGAGTTTGTGACAAGTTCTTGGTGTGATCATTCATTATGCCTCTGAACGTCTGAGGCCCAATGTCCTAGAACCCAGCTTTTGTCAAACTTGAATGAGCCTATGCATATCCTCGGGGCCATGCGAAAATGCAGAGGCTGACTCAGTGGGTTGGGGGTGGGGCCTGAGTTTCTGCATTTCCCACAAGCCTCTAGACGATGCCAAAGCTTTGGCCACCCAGAACACATTTTAAGTAACAAGTTCCTCTACCATGCTGCCCGACCTCATTCAGGCTAAGGCCAAAGCCTGAATCCCAAACAGTCAGGATTCTGCGAGCAGCTAGACTAGCCTGGACATTCAAAGGCTGTGACTGCTAATGGCTGCTCAGCTGGCTTCCCTCCAGGGGAGCGGCTCCGCTTGCTCATCTGTCAGAGGGAGAAGCCAAAGCCATTGGCGAGCACCTGCTCCGAGCCCTCAGGAAGCCAGCGCTGAATTTAGCCCCACAGCAGCCGAGCTGCCCAGAGACAGGATTTGCAGACAATTGCCTCGAACCACAGTCAGGCGCAGGCCCCAGCACACGGCCTGTAACCAATTCCACAAATGCCAAATGACTGGCCCTGGAAATTGCAAAGAAAATAGCTAGCCACCAGGAGGTGGGGGTTGAATCTTTTTATTATTATTATTTAAATCAGTACAACATTTGGGATCTATTACCAGTGATTTAAGGTTTGCCCAGTGTGTGGGCTTTATGGGATTTCCCCTTTATTTGGGAGTATTTCAGATTCAGGAGTTTAATTCTGTTACCTTCTTTCCTTGATCACAAAAACAAAGGCACTGACCGATAACTTGTTACTCCATAAGGAACGAAATTGTGTTTCTCTGTTATCTCAAAAAAAAGGCTTGGTTCTTTCTGAAAAATTAATCACCCTATCTTTTACACATTTAAGCTCCTTGGCATTGCATGGGAAATTATCTGTTCCACACTTGAATCAAGCAAAAGCAAGTCCATATGCCCGGTCCTTAATCTCTCTTAGTTTTCTTCCAATTAGATGCAATCTTTTTCCAATACTCTAATTAATACTTCCACATTAAATATTAGGCCTTGTAAGAGAAAAATCATCTGTAATATAGTCGTATCAAGCCAAACAGGATTTTCAAGCTCTTGCCCTTAATCCTTCTTTCAATTTTCTGCCATTTAGAAACAATTTTTCCCCAACACTCTAATGAATGCAAATAATATTCGTGATTAGTTAGTATTATGCTAATCTGAGCCTGGAATTTACCTAAATCTGCATGGTGTTGTCTGAGCACCAGATTGCTTTGGGTTTCTGAGGAAAATTACATTAGCCTGCCAGATGCACAAAACATGATAGAGTAGAAATCTGAGCAAATAATCAAGATTACATTAGTTTTGTTTCTTAATGAACAACTGTTGGCATTAGGGATTACAGACAAATTATGGGTTTCCTCTCTGAGCTCAAGCAGCTAAGCAGCTGTTGTGAAGGTCCCCTTTTTCTGACTACCCCTAAATAGATTGGGAGCCACTAGGGCAGGAGGAAAGCATCTAAAATTTCACATAATTTAATTTGTTCCATTACAAAGTAATCATCACTCCAAGGCCCACAGCTAACCTCCAAATTTCCCCCCACCAACCTCTCTCTGGAATGCAGGAGCAATTCAAGTGAGTATCTGGGGCAGAAACTCAATGTGTTTGTCTTCTCTCCTGACTTGCAGGGATGTGGGTTACATGCCTCCAAGGCGTACCTGCTTTCTGTACCCTTTGGGCCACTTTCCAAAAGGGTGCCTGCTTATTCCTGCTACTTGGATGACACAGATGGAATGCTGCTGATAAGGATTATGTAGGTAACACAGTACATCTGGCCACAGTCTAATAGGCTGGATAAACCAGAAACTTGCAGAAACAGCAGCCATCTGAGCTTAGACCCTTGTCCTATGTTACTTGATCTACGTCTGTGAAGTTTCACTATAATGAAATCCTTGTCCTGCAGTGGATGTGTGGTGTGTGGTAGCGGTGGTCGTGGTGGTGTATGTGTATATGTGTGTGTAGATAGGGTGATTTAATAGCCCATGGCCCTGTTCTTGGACCTTCTTTCTTTACATCAGTCAGCAAAATAGCAGGGCTCTTGGTGTGGATTTTTTTCTGCCTAATTTAAGTGCCCTCACTTACAGCATGATGCCTTTTTCCATGGGCTGTTTCCCAGTTCAGAGTCATGCTCTCTCTTGCCACTGGACCTTTGCATATGGTCATCCCTCTGCAGGAATTAATCTTCTGCTCTCTCTTATTTGCATCTAAAGAAACTGCACCAGCTTCAAGATGAGTTAGGTGCCTCTGTTATGTAGCTCCAAGTCAGGCAATACTGCAGCAACAAAAGACTTATTGCATTGTCTTCTAACTAGATGTAAACTCCACAAGGAAGAGCACTAAGCCTGCCTTGTTCATACAGCATTTGTTATAAATACACTATAAAAAATTTTGAATGGAATAAATATATTTATGCAGTTACAAATGCAGTGTTGATAAGAAACGTTTGGGTCTATATGCCATTGGAAATATGGATGGCCTAAATGATAAGACATTCGCAACAAGGTCATCATAAAGATATTTTTCTATAGAGGCTAGCGACTTCTCAATCTATGGCCATGGCCCTGTGTTTTGGGGCAAAGTAGGCAATAGAGGCTAAGTGTTTATGGATACAGGCAACTCATGACTTGCTCCAGCTGGCTGAGCAAGGTTACCTTGAGAACTGAGCTTCTTTTCCTGCCTTCTGTACCCATCTCTGTCACAATTCCTCACAAACTTATAGGCCCATTGCTGGTAAGAGTCTTCCTGATGAATGCCACCCATTATTGAACTAACAGCCCAGGATCCCCAGCTGTCATCATAATCTAGTATCCAGTGGTGAGATTGTGGATAGCCTAGTGGGAAACAAAAAACAGAGTGGATATGAGAAAGAGGAGTAGAAAGAAGTTATCTGTTAGGTCCACCTTCCATCCCTACTCCTAACACCACTACTTTTGTCCTGCAGTTTCTGGGCTCAAGACTACGGAAAGAAACTCAAGAAAAAAAAAAGAGAGAAGAGAAACCAAGTTGTAGAGGAAGGGAAGCTGAAGAACTACTCCCTCCTTTCCTTGCCAGCAATGGGAAAATGAAAGACAAATGGGGTAGAGAGCATGAGAAGTAGAGATCTCTCCTTCACCCTCTTTGCACTCTCCAGGAACCTCAGGCCATATTTCCAATTCCCAACTTCCCTCTCTGGATCGGAGCAGTGGAGTCTATGCTCAGCCACTGGGAGATGGGGGATTCCCACTCATCTGCTAAGAAGGGGGCTATTGGAAGGAGGAAGGGGAAAGTCCAGGCCCCAGTTGCCTGGAGCCATTATTGCGCCTGGTACACTGTGGGTGAAATCATCTTTGATGGGTCCTTTTGGACCCATTGCACTTATCACAAAATTGCTAATGAACAGCTCATTTTTAAGTTGTGTGTATGGTGGTGATGGTGGGGTGCCTCTGTGAAAAGCGGGACTGGCTTTATTTATAAATTCTGTGTCCTGGGCTCTCCAAGCACTAACAATGGGCTAAGAGACTAGAACTTAAGGCAAGCTCAACCTCGTTCAACAAGTCTGATGGTATCGGTGCTTGTATAAGGATATTGAGTGCCAGGAAGAGAAGTTGAGAGAGGAAATATAATGCTAAGTAAGATTGGATCTCTGCTTTCCAGAAGTTTATCATTGAGTTTAGGGGAAAAATGAAATTAATGACATAAGGAGTAAATACACTAAACAGGAGCTCAGAGTCTGGAAGAAATCATTTTCTCAGAAAGGTAAGCAAAGTCTTTGTGGAAATTGGTTGAGCCTAAAGCCACTGACTTAACTGCTAAGAATCACTTCTCCTAGTAGTAGTTTCTGTTGTGTGTTTTCTTGGCGGGGGGTTGGGAGGCAGGGGTTGTTTTTGTTTTGTAACCTTATTTGTGTCTTTTCTTATTTGTATACTTTATACTGTCAGGCATTTTACTGCGGTGCGTTGTGCTTATGCCCTACTTAGAGTTAATTACTATTAGCATGAGGACCCAATATATGCCTGGCAAAATGGTTTATGAATAAAACTCATCTAATCCTCACAACAATCTTACTAAGCAGATCCTGCTACTACCCCCACAAAACAGCTGAGGAAACTGAGTCACAGAAATGTTAACTCATTTGCTCAAGTTTACCTAGCTGGGCAATGGCATATTTGGGAGTTGAGCCCAGATAGTCTAGCCTTAGATGCCTAGGCCCTTAACCATAATGCTATTCTTCCTCTCTACATAACCTGAAACACTCTCCAAAAAGTATTTTTACATCCCATACTCTCTCCCATTTTAATTTTAGCTTCCCCTTAGTTCTCTACGTTATAAACATGATAAAATTCAGATTGGTGAAAATATGAAGTCCATATTCTAAAGAAACTATTTATAATGTTTAACTTTCCTTCATTCACATGAGGATATGTGAGGCACAATAGATATTATCTTACACTGCACCTAAGATTTCCTTCTACTAAAAATTTCAGGGAAAAAAATAACTCTTTAGGAAATACCCATTCTATCTATCTAATTGTAATTTTATCAAAAGGCCATTTCTTCATGTTTTCAATGACCAATTAAATAGTAATTATGAACTACACACATTTTTTCCCTGAAACTTTCCAATTTCATTCCATGACCTTATTTACAAAATAAGGGTCTGTCTTAATAGGTGCTATTTCCCTAATGATCTAAGATAAGAATTCAACATGCATTATGAACACAGACCCAGCCCGGCAGGCATTACTTACTCTGCACCCAACCTGTCCTTCTTCCAAGGGCTGACTGACTTGTACTTAGAGCAGCTCAGAGGAGAAACACCTCAGTGGAATGTTCTGCAGCGGTGCCACAGACCAAGATCACATTCTGCAAAACAGTCACTCTCTTCCAATGAGTATGAAATTCCTTTAAAAGGAGGGGCTGAAATAATGAAAGACCTCTAAACACAGGAATCTGAAGCACTTCTGTGCAGATATTAAATTTAGCTTCTACAGAGAACTTTTGCATTCACTCAGTATTTTCCAAACCATGTGTCATGACCCATTAGCAGGTCAAGATATCAATTTAGTGAGACAGCACCTTCATTTAAAAAGATGAAATAGAATAAAGTAGAAAACTAGTAAATGTGCATTTCAGGTACTAAGGGTAAGGCTGCTTCATGAATAGATTATTTCAGTTCTATGTATAAATGATGGAAGGCCCAAAAAGTGAGAAACCACTGACTTTCCTTTGCTTCATTTACAGTGGTTCAAAAAAGTAGTCAGGACTCAGAGGTTAAATGGCTCGCTTATGCCTACAGACCAGTTTAGGGACATCCATCTGGTTCTTTGGATGCTCAGCTGTTTTTCTACTGCCCCATTGATTCAGGACAAGAAAATGAGGCTGAACAAAAGCAGCAATGACACCCTATTCACAAAGTGGTGGATGATGCTTCTGCATTGACAGGAAGAGTGGCTTTAGTGAGCAGGACAAAGAAAGATTCAGAAGTTCTCCACCCTTTCAAATTTCTTGAAAGGAGATTGAATAAAATTATGCAGGAACTATTTTTTAATATTTCACAAATACCATTCGAAAATGGTAGGTTTATCCAGAATAAGGTTCTGTCCTCTAACTAAAAGGTCAAATCTCTTTGATTTGGGCTAGAAGTACATCAACTCCATGTGAAAACACGGCTTGTAATGTTCTGTTCAGAAGTCCTTTGATGTCTTTGGTTAATCATGGTGTTATGGGAAGTGCCAATAACCTGACTTTTAATCCTGGCACTGCCCATTATCAGCCGAGTAAGCTTGGACAAACTATTTAAACTCCCTGGGCCTCAGTATTTTTCTGCTGTGAAATGGGAATTACATATACTTTTCAAGGTTGTTGCAAATTGTTATTTAATAATAAGATAATATATGCAAAGTACCTAGCAGAGAACCTGGTACATCGGAGTTCTTTGTGGATGGTGATATCTGAAAAATGCAAAAACAGCTCACAGTTTAATACATGCAATTTGTTCAGTTAATGGAATCTTTCAAAATATAGGCTTGGGTGGAAAGATAATCAAAGAAGCACCTTTTGGGACAATGTTGAAAACTGTTACATTAGCAATCACTCAGTCCCTAAATGATGCCTGTTTGCCCAGAGATTGAGGTGCTATCCCTTGCGTGGGGAGATGGCTTTGGCCAAAAGGCTTTGAATGCTCAATAATTATTCACTCTACCCATTGGTAGTCCTATGGCCAGGAGTTTAGAGAATATTCATCAATTCCTCAGCAGTATCTCCCCATATCCATGCTATTGTTTGGAATTCCCTATGAAAGTTTAGGAGAAAGCCAATCTGGCACAAGCAAATGTTTTCAAAGTGTCTGATAAGAAGAGAACATGTGAGGGAAGTAAAGTGAAGGGAAACAGCCCAAACTGACAAATATGGCTGGCCTGCCTGGTCTAAGCTGATTGATTGATTTTTTAATTAATTTATGATGGCACAACAATAATTACAAGCTACTGTTTGTCAGCCAAATCACTTGCGATGAAGTCAAAGGTTTACATCTGTGCGAAGGTCCCAAGGATCAATGCATCAAATTAGCTCTGTTGGCTTTTTTCCCACTAAAAACTAACATGTGTCATCAATATTCCAGCGTTTATGTGTGTAAACTAATTGATTGAACATTCATGCTACGTAAACATGTGGTTTGTATTATGTGGGGTACCATTTATAAACATCTTTGGTGCCAATAAAATGAATAGCCTCACATACGATAATTAACATCTTATTGGAAAAATAAAATAACAATTTAGTGTTATTTCTTCTATGTATGGATAAAAAAAAGCATTGTTGTCTCTTTTAAAGTCTTTGTTATTATTGTATCACATAGGATTCCACGATTCCACCTAACAGGAAACCAGAGGAAATACTAGAGAAGGTGAACGAAGTTTGCGTGAGGTCATTTAGGACTATCGATAATAGCAAACTACCTGGAATTCTGGAAAATCACAATAACTATTATCCCCTGCAGTGCATGCTAGAGCATATATGATGTTACTTTGAGTCTCATATTCTTCCACCTTTATTGTTCAAAGTCCAAACTGGAGAAATGAAAGTTTATTTCCTTCCGCATAATTTTCATCAGATTAGCTGTCAGCATCAGCATTGAACCTTGAAATAGTAAGAACTGTTGAAGGTGAAGACTGCTTATCTTGTAGACACAGCTCTTTCCCTCCTCCTTCAAACCAGAGGCTCTGCTCTAGAAGGGAGAATGGTGCTCCTGGTTCTAACAGTGACTGGAGTGTTTGGGAGCAAAAATAATAATCCACAATCAAATTTTTCTCCCTTGTGTCTCTACCATCATTTCACTTTAAAATATCTGAAAATAAGCATGAGAGAGTTGAGGGAAAGAAAAGTTTCTGCTGGTATAGAAGGGTAGTGTCTGGCTGAGAGGGACCTGATTTTTTTCAGGGGCCTCCAGAGTACTCTCTCAAATTTACTTCATGAGAGCCCTGAGGAAAAGTGGGTCATAAGAGTAGGGCAGGTGACTTTTCGGGCTCTGGAGATTGGGCTGCAGAGTTTATAATACCTGAGCACACTTGGTGTTGGCTCAGCTTTCATGCAGACACCAACTTACAGTGGTCAAAGCAGGGCTGAATCCAAATGGAGTGCTTTTTAAACTTTAAATATCTCTTTCTCAAAATTATTTATAAGCACGTACTTCTTCACAAGTGATTGGATACTTTCCTACTCACTTTCCCACAAACCCACACCTCTCCACAGTCTACCCATTCTACTTGAGGTTTCTGTTATTCCTGCGTGTGCCTCTGAACTCTCACCCAAACACTGAATGTTAAAATGCCAGCCCATGCCAGAGACCTTCCCGACATCGCCATAAATGTAAGAATTATGGGGAAATGACTGAAGCCTTACACTGGAAAAATAATCAATCCTCTTAAATGAAACTTATTTCGTCAAAAATAACAAAATATACAAAAAGCTCATTTATTCCAAAGTCACTTTGCCTTGATCATTTATCCCCCAAATACATTAACCTTTTCCAAACTCTCTAACTTATTAGACCCCTGAACGATCTCAGTCAGTCCGATAAAAGAATTGCGACAGTTAGAGATGACGTTTGCTGACAAGGGTGACAGGTCCGTCTGCTGCCCTACCACTTCATACTGACTGAGCTTGTGTGCTTGCAGAGAAATACAAACTTATTGCTTTTGCTATGGGCCTTCTTCTTACTCTTACCTTCAGTTTTAAAACTTGGCTGTTAATTTCATCATAATTCCAACATGCCTCTAGTACATTTAAGTTTTATCTGGAAAAAGACGGCATAACAATTCATAACTTGGGCCCACAGATTTGAGTTCATTACCATTGATCAACCCAGAACTTGAGTGCTCATTGGATTCCCCTCTCTATTAGTAAAATGGGATAGCAGCAGTCTTGATGCAATTTAGCAATTATTCATTAAGGGCCTTTTAGGTACAAAATGCTGTTTAGGGCTAGTAAATAAGATGTGGTCCCCATCCTCTTGGGGCTTATAATTTTGGTTGCACACTTGAGCAACTAAATAATAGAAGGTAAATCTTATATTCACACATAATAAGTGCCATATAATACAGTAGACCCATTTATATTAAACATTCATACCTATAGCATAGAAACGTATCAAATGTGCTAGGGTGTTTTCTCTCAAACAGTTGCTGGTAATATTCTCTCTCACAACCTTGAAAATAACAGAAAAAAAATCCCATTTACAACATAATGTACTGTTCATCATGTGACCAGCTAAATCTTTCCCATTATAATATAAGCTAAGTGTGAGTTAAAATAATAATTTCATTTAAGAATGATTAAGAGTCTTTTGTGGTACAAGCTAAGGTGCAAACTTGGATCAATGAAAAATGTGAGTTGAACCGCAAAATGGCACAGGTGAAATTTTTAAGAATTTCATGCCTTCTCATTAAATGTACAAAAAGAGGTGGTAGATATTATCACTACTGTTACATGAGATGTTGGTGAACTAGCAGTGCATTGTTATCTGAAGGATTAATACTTTTGAGTTTAGCAGCAGAATTTGCAGATAGCATCATACAACGTTTTAGCAGCTGGCATTTCCTCTGTTGGCTGGTGAGAATTTACCATTATATCACACTCCAGAACACCGGCAAAATTCTGGAAAGCTTTTCTTCATCCACCCATGTTTAATATCACCAGATAATAATATGTATACCTTAGATTTGTTTTGCATTTTACAGTTTTCAAGTCGTTGACTGTGTATTATCTCATTGGAGCCTCACAAGAGCTCCAGGAGGTAAACAGATATCATCAAAACCTGAAAATGGAAACATTTTGCTTGCCAATTTCTTTCCAAAAAATTTCCCCCAGATGGCTTATGACTATAGCGAGTCTAATTGTCTCGAGGAAAGATGAATGGAATCGCATTTCCAAAGAATTCAACTACCTCCAATCCCAGAGCTCTACAGTTCTCAGACACAGCTCTGGAGCGAGTGTCCTGGCCCATTTAACACAGAGGGAGAGCTGAGCCCCAGAAAGAGGCATGAAATGGCGCTGGAGGGGCAGACTGATGTAAAGCAGGCAATGGTCAAACACCTTACCATGGTCACCAATAATTAGTTATAACCCAGATCATATGGGTGAAATAGTCAATGGTTGGGTTCTTGGGAAAGAGCAGAGAAACTTTATTTAAACTTTGAGGGTTTTCGTGTTCTCTCCTCTTCTCCCCTTATCAGTGGAGTGCATTTCAGCAAGTTGCTTAACCTTGAAGTCGAGTGGCCTCCCCTGTAAAGTGGTTCTGGTAATGTCTATGTTATTGCTCTGTGCTGAAGACTGAAGGAGATGATTTATATAAATTGCCTTCCAAAGTACCAGGCAAACACCTGGCAAAGAGGAGGCCCTCCGTAGTCATTGGTTTCTTTTACCCTTAAAATCATGGTATTTAATGATGAAAATTAAGCTAATGTGTAACATTAGCCATTGGATCTTGCTAACCATGAGAAAATATTTCAGGAGTCTCTGTTTTTAAGAAATCTGCTACAATTTGAAATGGAAAATCCTGAATTTTTATGATTCATTTAATGTATGCAGTTCCCACAAAAATGTTCATGTGAATTTTTAAAAACTCAACATGATTATGAAAACCCCATAGGAAATGTTATGGTTCCATTCAAATAACACACCGTGTTATTTGTGTGTATTTTGGGGCACCTACTAAGTGCTCAGACCTGAGACTGTATAAATAGCCACAATTTGTATTAGCCCCCTTGGATATGTGTCGTGGACCTTGTATTTACAAAGCATTCACCAGGTGCCTCGCCGACTCCATCTCATTCATCCTCACGACAGGTTGGAGCGACATGTAATGAGTATGATTATCTGCACTTTACAGCTGCCTCTACCAGCCGTGAGAGGAGCAAATTCATTTGCCAGAGGTCACCAAATCTACATTTCCCAGGATTCAGCCCTGTGCTCATAAACATATCCATTATGTTCTAACCTCAGAAAATGAACATAGTATGTGAGAAGTTAGAAAAAAAAAGCTCTCTGAATAAAGTCATATTTTTAGGGAGGTGCTGGGGTAAAATTAATGTTAGAACATTGAGAAATGGAAATTGTTATTAAAGCTGTTTATTACATGATATGTTAAATCTGTTCCATTTATAAAGCATGCTTAGTGTAAGTTGAAATAATAATAATGATCATAACGAACATTTCCTGAGTACTTTCTTTTCTCCTGGCTCTTTGCTAAGCATTTAAAATGCAATAAAATTTAGAATTCTTAAAAGTTAATAAAACATGTAGCATAGCTACATATATCCCTTAGCAGAACTTCTTGTGAAAAGAACTTTTGCACTGAATATCAATATCCTGACTTTTTTGCACATTGAGACGCAACAGGGGAATGTAATTCTCTTTTCCTGCCCTGCTAAATTTTCCTATTTCTGAGCAGACTTTCTCACCCCCTCAGAACAATATGTATTACAAATCACAGCATAGAAAATAACAATCTCGGGGAATTTTAAAATGCCTAAAAATAGTGATTGACATCATTCAGCCATGTTACAGAAATATGCTGTAGTTTCAATGATGTCGTGAGCATCAGATATCTCTCTTTGTTGACTAGTCTCTAAACTGGAAAATCAACACCAGCTTTCCCATAGATAGAAGAGATAACTCTCCTTGAGAACACGACCCTTTGCTTCCAAAAAAGAACTGGAAAAGAGGATAGGCAGGCACTTGTGTTTCCTTACTCTCTGATTAAATTAATAACCATCTAATCACTGTTTATTAAGATAGGATCTAAGGATACTTTTCTTTATCCAAAGTTTACATGTTACATTATGCAGGCACATACATGAAAATAAATCATGGAAAATGAAATAAAAGTCATTCCCACATAAGAAAGTATCTTGGAAGAAGATTAATGTATTTTACCACATCTTCATATAGTTCACTTGTATTTAAATATGCTAAAATGGTACCACAAATGAAAATGCAACACTAAAGAACATAGGTAAGGAAGACATGAAAGAAAAAAGTATAATTTCTCTGTGACAAAATTTGATATATTAAAAACGAATTACTATTATTTACAGATGTTAAAATTTTCTTTTTACTCAGATATCATCATCGTTGTTGTTGTTTTACTCAGAAACTAGTATTCGATAAACCATTATTCTTTATCTATGTCATTAATTGTACAGGAGATAGCTTAGAAGTAATAGTAAAATTAACATTCACCTATGGGTCTAAGAAAGGATACTGAAAAGATGTACTAATTACCATGACACTGAGTGATAAATCTGCAAAGGTATTATAATAGCTATATAGTTAGCAACATTTTAGAGAAAACAGAAATTATTCAGAAGCTTTCATTAATATGATGTCGATCACCCCCCTCCATAACACTGTGACATGGGTTTGATTCCAGAATGGGGCGATAGGATTGGTCTCCTCTGCACCTTAGAAAGAGCCTGGCATATAGTATGTTCTTTACAGGTATTTGTCAACTGAAACATAAATTTTATAGTTTCAAATTCTACAAATAGATCCAATATTTAGACATAATATCTTTAGACAACTAGTTGTTATGGTTATTATATGTATGGTATGGTATCTATTAGTTTCTACCACATTTCTACATTTCCATATTCAATTACATTTCTAGAAATTAAATACAATTTGAAATTAAATAAATATTGAATTTTGATTTTCAGATATATCTTTGCATGGCTGGTAGATTACCATAGGAGTCTAGCTGCGGTTATTAGGTTAGGCAGAAGTTTTCTAATATATATATTTAGCATATTTATCAGACTCTTTAGAAATTCTTTAGTTTTTAGTAAAAGAAAATGAAATACAGACCGTAACATATACTAGTTTCAGCATTTATCAGAGGATCTATTAATTTTAGGATTTTCAGTTTAAAATAGTCAATTATATATCTTTCACTTCAACTTCTCAAAGGCTTCAGAGAAATGTTTGCTGTGAAAACAATCTTTTCAATGTGGCCTACATATACTGATATTATTGCCAAGTTGTTTAATTAAAATTAACATTGAGAACAAAATTTGATTATTAAAACAGCCTAGCAAACAATTGATGGATTTAACACTTTTATTAACATTGTCTTAAACAAAATAAGATTATGTGAGGGTACTTGGTTCACTGTTTTAACACACTAACTTCTCAAAAAGTAAAAATGATTTTCTTTCAAGACAAATAAAAAGCACATTACAACTGAGCAGACTGATTGGTGTTCAACAAAGAATAACCTTGGATAACAGAGGATCTAGCCTAGTGTTTGTGCTTATATGCCCATTCACTGTGGTTACTATTTACAAGACTACGAGAATTTCAAGTTGCATAGACTGGCAAATTAATTTTCAAATTAATTTTACAGATTAATATTCAAATAATTACCCTTCATGATTAAAGTAAACTTACAAATGTTCTGGCCTGGTTCTGATGGGATCAAATGATTAGATTTATGAAAGTTGGAGAAAAAAATAATGTCTGGTGCATACCTGCTACTCTGAAGTTCCAAATAGCTGACAAAGAAGTTCTACTAAGTCTCACAGAGAGCTTTAAATGTGAAGTACAAAATAGAATGGAAAGTCCAAAAATTGTTTTTGGTAGTTTTATTTATGAGTGCTTTAAAAGGAAACATATAGCATCATCAATAACCATTAATGAAATAGTGCTGTTTAGGAGATATGTCTTTAATACATTCCAAGTGGTATTTTTAAATAATGTGAAAGGTCATCAACAGAACTCTAAATATAGCCAAGCAACGGTAATTTAAACTGCTTACGCGATTTTTCTCCTTGAAAGAAGTCACATACAAAATCATCTAAAGAAGTAAAATATATAAGGATGCGTCATTTTAAAAACTGAATGTAGGTAGATGATATTTAACACACACACAGGAGTTTACTCTTCGTGTACTTGTTTATTTTTAGCTGTCTCAATAAAATGTTTTTCCTCCCTCTGTTTTACTAAAACATGCCTGTCTAGGAAGGAAAACAGATGTAGAATTGGACAACTACGTCTTGTTTGGGCTTTTTCCCTGTCAAGTAGAATTTATGATCATTGTCACACAATAAGAGAATCTAACTGAAACAGACAATAAGTCAGGAAGCAATTGCCTGGGTACTTTAACACTGCAGCTTTGGAATTCAGGATCTGGTTACTAAAATTTTATTTGATTAAGCCAAAGAAGGACACAATATCCTTTCTTACACAAAGAGCCCAGAGTTATTATAAAAATAAAAGAATCAGTGTCACGGTGAGAGAAGAATCACAATAAACGAGTTTGTAAGAACCTTAAAACACATTTAAAAAATCTTCCTTACATCCACAACAGGGGAACCATGTAAAAGTAACCGCCATGTATTCTGTCTCTCTTCTAAATTCTCTCTCTTCCAATGTATTACTAAAGATAAGCAATCATTTAGTTTGATTAATTAGGTTTTCCACAAAGCATCTGTCATTCCAAGTTTTCAATGACACATTAAATAATAATCCCTTAAACACTTTGGTGCCAAAATAACAAAGTTTATTAAAACAGAATGGTCCCAATAAGAAACTTACGTACTCTTCATGTAACCTAATGAAGATTAAATACCAAAATAAATTACGCAATAATTTTTAGCCTAATATTTTACCTCTGAACTTGTCCCTGTACACACTCGGCATCTTCTCAGCAATAAAAGACCACAATTTCTAAAAACGAACAATCAGCTTATGCAAATCTTTAGTAATAATATTCACAGCCTACTTCTCTTGAGAAGCTGCAATCTGACTGTACAGAAGTAGAATGGTGAAATTTAATGTCAAAATATTAATAGTGATTGGCTTACTATACCCATCTTAATCCCAGTTTTTCAGTAAAATTGTAGAGAGTAAACCTTTTTACTTTTCCCCAACAGAAAATGTTTCATTTAGTAAGAATATTGATTTTAAAACTCACTTCTTAGAACAACGTAAAATGACAGTTAAGAGGCAGGGTAACTATTAAAACATCACTTCCAAGCCTTGGTATTGTCACAGAAAGCAAATCTTTTACACAAACATTTCACAGCATTTTTCCCCAAGCATCTGCCAGTTGATTTCACCATGTACACGCACAGTACTAAAGTATAGTAAGAGATACAACCATAAATAACAGTTTGCCACTTTAGAGTTTATATCACTTGTAAAATCTATTTCATCAGGAATAAAATAGGGGTGAGGGGAAAGAGAGAGGGAGAGAGAGAGAGAGAGAGGTTTCTGTCTCTCCTTGAGGAACTGGCCTTTCTTTCTGAGAGTACTCAAAACAGCAACAAGTAGCAGCGGCAGAAAAGTTCTCCTGCAGGTTTACACATCTCACATTAACGAGAAAGGGTGCAGAGAAGGACTCAGCTTCCAGGGAAGCTTCCCTGAACGTTGAGCTTTCACGAGACGCCTAGGATCAACAGCATAACATCCACCTTTCAGGAAATTCAAACACATTCATAAGAAACCCTCTTGCCTGGCAATGCCAGAAGCCAGGACTAATCAGACCAGGCTTCCTTCTGTCCGGGCACAGTGGATGAGCTGACCACCAGGGCTGGCCATACCCCTCCCCACCTAGAATAAAGTGCCCATTGTCTTCCACTGTACTAATTGTGAGAAAAACGGCCCTTGTAGTAAGCACAATAATTATCGAAGCAAACGAGTAAAAGCAATCAAGACAGAAAAGGAAAGGGGCAAAAAGAAGAAAAAAAAAGAAGAAAAAGAAAATGAGAAAAGAAAGTAAATGTTCAGATGAATGAACCCAATGACGAATTTAATAGTCATATGAAATGCTTGCCTGTGGAAAGGGTTCCCCATTCTTGTCACGACTATTGCATACAAGAGACCATTGTCCACACAACAGAAATCAGTATGTTGAAATTTATCATGTAGCACTTTTTGGATGTGAAAGGTTTTCTTTCCCCAAACTACTACCTCTCATCCCAGCACTCTGATTACAGAAAGTTACAACTTCTCTCTTCCCAATATTATGTTAAAAGTTGAGTCACAGGATTCACCAATATCCCTCCCTGAATTTCTATGCTCCTTTCCTTCTTCCCCACATTTGCAGCTGGACAAATATAAGAGGGGAAAAACAGCAACAACAAACCCACACACATTTGCCTGAGCAAAGAAAAATAATGAACTGAATATGCATATCCTCATTAACTAAATTTAATTACGCTGAGTGGCATAGTAATCAGTGGTTGCTCCAGTTACAGTATTCATTGAAAGGGAGGTGGATTCCAAATTAAGGCAAAGCGTGGGGGACAGTCGCATACTGATGAGGGAGCCGCACACAACATGATACAATACACTATCTAAATCATTATTCAGAGGAGCTGCAGAAAGAAGTACATTACTCTGTTTTAAGACCAATGCAAGAACAATTAGCCAAGAAGGCTCCAATCCCCTACTGACTGCCCCACCTCCATCTATTTCACAGCAGCCGGCCTGGGACCGACTGTACCATTTGCATTTTTCTTTAAAAAAAAAAAAAAAGGGAACAAAAACTCATGCTGCCTTTTTAAAAAGAAGGCCTATGCCCCCGGCCACAATAGCAGGGAAATCCTATCTAGCACACTGGTGTGCAGAGGCACCCCAGGGTCCCAAAACTTGAGCTTGAACTTTCCACAGGCAGCGAACTTTATAACACGTGCATGGAACAATAGAGGAGGAGCTCGAAAGGAAGAAGGGAGGGAAGTTTTGGGGGTGGGTGAAAAAAATGTTATTACGCCAAACTTACCATCCACCAGGTCCTGGCTGACATGTCATAACATAGCTGCCATTTTATGGAGCTGTCCGACGTTTTCCCAGCCATTATGCTGTCAGCAACCTTCATCAGATGCAGCTCAATGGAAGATAAGACACCTAATCAAGAAAACATCAGCGGTGGCTTGCTGGACTACATGTAGGCCAATCCTTATCACACTGCATCATGGGAGAAAGCTCCTTTATTAGCAGGAGGAACTGCAACCTCACAGATAGAAAGACAAGGATCAGTTCTTTTGCCTTTTTTTTTTTTTTTTTTTGGTCTGAAGGGATTGGTGAAAGTAGCTAGCGTTCTTTGTGTATCATGTGTACAAGAGTTAAGTATCTTGCAAGTGGGCGGCTAACTGCTTTGCTGGGCGATGCAGACTAAAGTTTATTTGCATTCTTCTCTGTTGTATATTGTTTGACATGGTCCATGGTCCTTGCTGAGCAGATGAAGGGAGGGGAGGGGGGTGGGAGGGAATGAGGAGAGAGGGAGCTGTAATTGCTCAGAATTCATATCTCCCCAACAAAGACATAACAGTTTCATTGACACAGTCGGAACATGGTTCAGATGTCACTGCACACACGGGCGTGCGGGTGTGTGTGAGAACACTCACACGCGCACACACACACAGTGGAACACACAGGTAGCAGCTGCAGCTGGATTCAGCTGAGGTTGCCAAAGGCTACAAACTCCATTCTCATGCTGGACATATGGAAGCAGTTTAACTCTTTGAAATCACTGTTAAAGAAGAGTCCTGCAGTCTGGAAGGATAAATCAGCCTTGAGAACAGTTTCTCAACCAGGAGGCAATGGGCCTGGTGCTTCCTTCCTTCTGAAGATGGCCTAGAAACATTATTTCCTTCATCTAGAGAAGAGCTGGTCAAAAATGAGGAGGGAGGAGTAGGGTGTGCCCAGAATCTATCTGACTCTGGACATGCTCCCTCACTTAGTCATTCTGTCATACTCTCGGGAAAAAAATTCTTTATCCCCTAAGCACTGATCATTTCTGTTTCTTCCTGGACTTTGAACTAGTCCTTCCAATAAGCACACACACAAGTCAGGAACTAACATTTACTAATAAAACAACTTGCTCTGAACAGCCTTTTTTTTTTCTTCTGAAGAGTAAAAACCTGAATACTGCAGGGAGAATCTTAAAGAATCCTGCCACTATAATAAGAAATCCAGACGAGGACAAGTATATTTATTCCTGCTTTTTTCTTTTGCTAAAATACAAAAAGGCAAACACATCTCTACAAATGGTGCTGTTGATTATTGGAGCCCCTATTGTACACCACGAAATCCAGGCAACCTTTTTTCATTGACACGTAGTCATTCTGCCTTCCGTATGCCCTGCTAATATTTTCTGAATGACTTTCAGGCTTAGAATTTACATTTTCCGCAGACAATTTAAAAGGACAAACTCTTATTTGATTCAGTCAAAATGAAGGGAAAAAATTGCTTTATTACCGGAGTTTTCTCTGTGTGTGAGGCAGAAGAGGCAACTTGTTTCAGCCTGTGAACTTCAAAGAAGAAAAGCAACCGCTGCCGAAGGGCTCTGTCCTTTG
Source organism: Homo sapiens (assembly GCF_000001405.40). Taxonomy (NCBI): domain Eukaryota; kingdom Metazoa; phylum Chordata; class Mammalia; order Primates; family Hominidae; genus Homo; species Homo sapiens. The sequence goes on from NC_000009.12 coordinate 14,533,523, forward strand.
GGTATTTTTATATTCACCTGGGGAAACATGTCAGCCACAGTCTCAGACAGGACAGGCGCTTAAGGTAGCCTGACTCTGGGCTGGCGGCAAAAGAACCTGCCCTTCACCGACCAGCTTATCCCCTCATGGCTGGCGATTCTTCTGTTTCTCCCTCCTCCGGTTTTTTTTTTTTCTTTTCTTTTTTTAATTCCCAGGCAGGAGGGGGTTTGAGGGGACTGAAATGCCCCACCCAGGTCTCTGCCTTTGAAGTACCCCATGCTCTGGGTTCCTCCTTTTTTCTCTCTCTCCCTACTCCATTCTTCACCTTATTTGTATTTTTTTCCCCCTGAGCAATGATTGGGTAGCGAGCCTGTTAATGTTGATCGTATTTTCCTGTTTTAATTTTCTCAGATGGCAGCAATGATGCTGAATGCCTACTATGTGCCAAGCATCACAGTAAACACTGGGGCTGTGAAGGGCAATGAGATACAGTCTGTGTCTCATCAATCTCACAACTACGTTCACCCAATGTCGTCACAGGCAGGAGGAAGTCCAGTTGCTGTGACAGCAGCCAGGGAAAGAGATGGGGCCAGAGACCTCCTCGGGCTGCTCAAGGCCAGCAACTCCCCAGGCACTTCCAGAGCTGCCTTTGGGGCAGCTCTCTGGCCTGGCGGCGAGGGCAGCGTGGCTACACACTTCCTCCTCTCCCTGCAATCAGCGCCTGCCTCAGCCTGGCTCCCTCAGGTGCTCTAGGTGGAAGGAGGATTCCCACCTGCCATTCCCTCCAGCACCGCCTTCCAAGAGCTCTCAGGAAGCAGAGGTCAACTTTGGGGTGCTGGCCTGAAAGCGCCCGCCCACCAAGGCTTTACAGATCCCCTGGGCATCCTCTCATCATCGAGGCACTCTGTGCAGCCCATACACACGCGGACCTGCTGGGAGGCTCGTTATCACTGTCACTGTGGGGACCCCTCCTTTTGATGAGTTGATTACACAAGCAGGAAATGCCGAAAGATGATAAGGGAAGCAGGGGAAGGAGCGGCCAGGAGAGAGAGGCTGCAGCATTTATGGAGAAAACTGGGATCCGCAAGGAACAAAGAGACGGGGACAGAAATGACAAACCTGTGCCCTTCCCCTTCTGTGAGGCTGGGGAACGCCAGAGGACAGCTGACCGGGGGTCACCGGCAGAGCTAAACAGGAAACAAATCCCGAACTGGGGCTAGCATTCCCAAAAGGCATGTCCAGGGGCTGAGCACTCCTCCGTCGGGGGCCTGCGGGGCGTCTTTCACTGAGAGTGAAACTTATAAGCATGCCGGTGTAGCCCATAACCTGGGGAGATCAGGCCAACGGGGCTCTCAGGTGGACGCCAGTTGTGACTGGCTTCATTGACTGAACTCATCTCACCTGATACCGTTCTAAAGGCTAACTGGATGTTTAAAAACACGAAGTAACTTCAAAAGCACTACTGAGGGCTTCATGTACACTTTGGGGGGTGATTACATCTTGCCTTGCTTAAATCCCTAAAATACCCCAAATCTCAGCTCTTCCTCTCCAATTCCTTTTTCCACAGCGTCTGCGCCTGCCTACAGTTCCACTTCCCCCACTTCTGCAGCCTCCCCTCCTACCCTTTAGCCATGGCTGCCTCTAACAGCCTTTTCCAACTTGCACACCTCACTAGCTAGAACAAATGTTTGGGAAAAGCCAGGTCTGTAGCCCAAAGCAATCACCAACTGTTGCTCAGGCATGCCCTGGCAGTGCTTTAATTTCCGTCACCACTGGCAAATAAACTAGTGATCTGCCTAGAGCTGAGCCTGAGGACAGTAACCTTCGCAGAGAGGCTACAATGCGTCTCTCACTGCCTTCAACTATTCACAGTCACCGCCTCTTCAACAAGCAAGATGGACTGTGGCCAACGGGCACTGTCCGAGAAGCCAGGGTCCAAATCACAGCGTTGTTCCCTACTAGTTGTGTGACCTCTGGGCAGGACTCTTAACTTCTGTGCCCATAAATAGCCCCAAATCGCATTGCTAATAACTAAGAGAGAATGAGAGAGAAAGCAGACAGGGGGAAAGAAGTCTCACTTCACCACGTAGAGGAGAAGGGGAGATATAAATATAATCAGAGAGGAAAACAGATATAGAGACCGAGAGAGAAAAATAGAGAGGAAAAGCAGAGTGAGGAAGTGAAAATGAAGCCATTCAGATGTCCTCACAGTCTGCTCTCTTTGCCTCTGCCCAGGGCTCTAGCTGGCTTCTCATCCATCCCCTGCACCTCCCCAGGCTCTGGGGCTGGCTTAACTCCCTTCCAGCTCCGTGGATAGGAGTGATCAGTGCTCAGGGATCTTGACCCATGGAGCCAACAGGTTTAGAGGCGATTTGGGGAATCATTTTATTAAGCTATTTTGTGATTTATTTTATTTTTAGCTTTTTAGCTCTGTCAATTCCAGTCTAATCCTGTACTGAGTCTAGGAGCCCTGTGCTCACAAACATAGTAATAGGTCATAGTACAGCACATAGAGAAACGAGCTCCCGTTTGGGAACTAGTCCTGAGTTCTGGTCTGCCACTTGCTAGCTGGGGGAGCATGCACAGGTTACTTAAACTTTGTAAACTTCAGATTCTTTACCTATAAAAGGGGGCTGAGAATAGTATCCCTCACAGGGTCGTCGTGAGGATGAAATAAGGTCATGCATGAATGTGTTTGGAGCCTTGATGGTGGCGATGGTTTCATGGGTGTATACTTACTCCCAAACTCATCAAGATGTATACATTAAACATGGATAGCTATTTATATAGCAATCATATCTTCATAAAGTACTTTGAAAATTACGCAAAGCTCCATTCCTAGCTGTAGCTAATGATTAGAATCAGTATAAATTTTAGCACTGGTATTACCTCCTCCAACTCCATTTTTAAAGTGAGAGAACTGAGATTTACCAGAACTCACACAGATAATCAGCAGAAGAGTTAAAATTAAGCCTTTGCTCCTTTGCCACTTCATATAGTGCTGCTTCTTTCTCCATACCATCAGGAAGAAAGATGAGATTAAGACTTGGGTTGAGGGTGGGGGTGTTTTCTTTTTAATGCGCTAGAGACCACAGGGAGGATGAACTGAGTTAGCAAAGCTGAGAACAGAGCAGTCTGGTGCGAAAGCTTAGGAAAAACAGATGAAGACTTTCTTTCCCTAAGCCACAGGCGCCATGAAGGCAGGGACAAGAAGGGCTGAGTTTGCTCATCATTCACGCCCAGAGGCTGGCGCACAAACACTCGAACATCTGTCGAGTGAATGAATGACCTCAGACCGTAGGGGTGGCCATAAAGAGTCATTAGAGTACAGAAGAGCGGGCCTTGGGTGTGCAGGCTGATGGAGAGAGGAGTCTGCAATGACTTCTGGGTTTCAGGCTCAGAGGTCCTGGTGGAGCCAAAATGCAAAGTGTGGGAGAAGGCAACTCCAGCTAACAGTAACAAGTGAATATTGCCCATTAAGAGCCTGTTTGGAGTAGTCAGACATGTTATCCAATCATTTCCCTGGACCTGGCAGAAACAGAGCGTCAGTCAGGGGAATTTAGGTGAGCCTTCGACTGGGCCCATGGTCAGCATGAGGGTAGCAGAGAACGTGTAGCAAGCCAGGTGATGAGACAGAGACATCTTCAATCCCTCTCATTCTCCTCCGAGGGAAGAAGTCGAGCTTTCCATTCTTTCTGAGGTTCAGGGAGGGACCTGTGGCCATTCTAACAGCTATTTCTCCTCAGCCTCTAGCACTGTTGTCATACTCTGCAATCTCCCTCCAGCCAGTGTCCTGAGGGGTCTGGATTTTGCAGAGAAGAGATGGATCCAACATTAAGACTACAAGGGCCTCATCTCTAGTACCTGAGCCCATCAAAATAGCCAGTAGCAATCCCCAGGGCCCCACCTTCACTTTCTGCCCTTGGTGATGCTGTCTGGAGGAGGCCTGGAGCGAGTCGGCCTCTCTTTTAAAAATAAGTCAGCACTGAGCAGATCCCATGCCACGGACAGTGCTTACCCACTAGGGAGGACTGGCTTCCCACCCACCTGCATGGTGGGTTCCGGTAGTCCTTCCCACTGCCTCCCTCGAGATCTCATTGCAACTGATCTCTATCATCCCTAAGGACTCCCGGAGGAAGGCCCTGAGTCTCATTCAGCATGCTGGATAAAAGGCCATTTTTGAGACAAGTAGCAGAATTTTTACCTTCCTAAACAAGAAGATTAAGCACTTAAGGGAATGGAAACAACTGATTATTAAAGTGGGAGACATACCGGTGATGATAAGATCCACCTCCAGCTTCTCCTGGAGAAGGTGTTTGTTTACAGACAAGGATAATTTGATTAAAACCACGAACAGAGTCTGAGAGTCTGAGCTTCCCTTAGAAAAGGTATTTTTTTTTTTTTCTTTTGAGAAGTCAGTCTGGAATTGCAGTGTGCTCATTCTTATACTAACTTTTCTTTCCAAAAAAATGCCATGTTTCCTAAAAATAAGGGTTTGAAACATTTTCTCTCTTATTATGTTGCTGTTTACAAGAATATACGGCAGCTATGGCTACCGACACAGAAATATTTTTTACTTTGATTCTGGGTAAGGAAAAGAAGTTTGCTGGACAGCATGATCCTGTTTTTGATAAATAACACAACCATATCCATATACTCATTTGTGCATAGGAAAAATATTAGAAAAATGTTGACTCAATTACTGAGGAGGAACATGCGCTTTTGTATACATTTGTACTCTTTGAAATTCCATAATGTTCATGTATCGCATTTGTAAATAAAAACAAAAAGTAAGATGAAAGGTGCGTGGCACCTCCCTGTACCTTTTTTTTTTCTTTGCAACTTCCTTTGAATCTACAAATGATTTCAAAATACAAAGTTGAAAAAAAAAAAGTAAATCAATACACTTTTCCATCTCAATGTTTGAATATCTGAACACTAAAGCCGGTGATAGGCAGACTCTAGAGGACTGCCTAGTGCTACAAGCAGTCCCAGTCCATGAGATCTGAGCAGTATTCTCCCTTCATGCTTTCAGAAGGCAGAGAATAAGATAAAAAATGAAAGCACTAGTGAAGGCGGAGTAATAATATACTGCCATGTTGCCCCTTTCTAACAAGGCAAATCTTGCCAAGCGATAGGCGGGTTTCACAAATAAGCCTCCTAAAGCCACTCAGGGAGGCTGGTGCAAGTTCAACACATGAGTAACACAGATAAACATGAAACCCCCAAGCCTTGATGGAAAGCAGTGATAGGTGGCCTGGAATGCCCTCCAGTGTGAAAGTTCTTATGAACAAACAAAGGCCGCTGCAGATTTCTTAATGACTGACAAAGTCTCTTACTGCTGGGCTCCTTAAGGGCAGGGTTATCTCTTTAAAGCTGCCATTAAGAGGCAAATCTCCCCATATGCCCACCCCCCCACCCTCCCAACCCCACCTCTTTCACTCCCCTTCTCAACGCCTTTGCCACACACACATGTTGTAAGACAAGTAAATTCTGGTGCCAATGAACTCAGGAAAACGAGAAGGAAAAAAAGAAGGCCCCCATAGGCAGTGTGGGGTGTGTGTGCATAGATTTGGAATTAGAGGAGAGAGGGAGGAATGGATAGCAGAGTTTTATGGTTTCACCTGCTTTTGTCAAAGTGGCAGCGGAACTGATTACAATAAAAATTTTCATTCATCAGGCAGTCTTCATTCTTTCAGCAAATATTTATTGCTTACCTGCCATGTGCCAGATAGTTTACTAGGTACTGGTGAGCAAAAATATACATGCTCCTTGCTCTGGAGGAACTTACAGCTCGGGGGACGGGGAGGAATGACATTAATCACACATTCACGTTGAGTATATACAAAATTACACCTATGATGGATGCTTTAAAGAAGTGCTATGAAAATGCGTAACTGGGAAGGCAGTTGATTTGTAAGAGTTAGGGAAATTGGGCCGGGCGCGGTGGCTCACGCCTGTAATCCCAGCACTTTGGGAGGCCGAGGTGGGTGGATCATGAGGTCAGGAGATCGAGACCATCCTGGTTAACACGGTGAAACCCCATCTCTACTAAAAATACAAAAAATTAGCCAGACATGGTGGCAGGCGCCTGTAGTCCCAGCTACTCGGGAGGCTGAGGCAGGAGAATGGCATGTAGATTTTTTAGGATTTTCTTTGTACACAAGTATGTCATCTGTGGAGAAAGAGAATTAGACTTCCTCCTTTCCAAGCTGTGTGCTTTTTACTTCTTTTTCTTTCACTATTTCAATGGCCACAATCTCCATCTACAATGTTGAATAACAGTGGTGAGAAAATACATTCTTGTTCATTTCCAATCTTAGGTGGAAAGCCTTCAATATTTCATCAAGGTTAATGTTAGCTATAGGTTTTTATAGTGGTCTTGATTAAAGAAATTCTGTCTATTCTTATTTTGCTTAGAGTTTTCTTTTTGAAAAAGTCATAAATGTAAATCTAATGTTTATCCTGCATCTACTGAGATGATCATAGACTTCTTCTCTTTTAATCTCTTAAGGTTGTGGATTACTAATTAATTTTGCAATGTTGAACGACTCTTGCATTCTTGAATCCTGCTTGGTTGAGCGTTTATTATTCTTTCTATAAATTGCTGGATTTGATTTGCTAAATATCCGGCAATTTGATTTGTCAAGGATTTTTGTGTCTATATTCATATTGAGTATTTGTCTGTAATTTTCTTTTCTTGGAATAGTCTTGTTTGGTTTTGCTATCAATGTAATGCTGGCCTCAATAAATAAGCTAGGAAGTCTTCTCTCCCTCTCTATTTTCTGACACAGGTTGTGTGGGAGCATTATTATTTCTTTAAATATTTGATAGAATTTACCAGTGAAGCCATATGAGTCTGGAGTTTTCTTTCTGGAAAAGTTTTAAATTATGAATTCAAAGTCTCTAGCAGCTATAGGCTATTCAGATTCTATTTCTTATCAGGTCAGTTTTGGTAAAATGTATTCCAAAAAGTTATCCATTTTATCTGCCAAATTAACTGACATAAAATTGTTTATAATATCTTCTTATTGTGTCAGTGTCAATGGGTTCTGTCATGATAACCCTTCTTTCATTCATTCCTAAAAGTGGTAATTCTTTTTCTCTTTTTTTCTTGATCAGTCTCGCTAAGGTTTTGTCAATTTTATTAATCTTTTAAAAGCTCCCACTTTTGACTTTGTTGGTTTTCCCTATTGCTTTTCTGTTTTATTTTTCATTTATTTTACATCTTATTTTTTAGAATTTCCTTTTTTAAAATTAACAGTTGATTGAATCTGCTCTTTGTTCTGTAATTACTTAAGATTGACCACAGATCACTGATTTCATCTACTTATTTTGTTCTAATATAGGCACACACTCTCTTCCAAGCCAGCCTCCTCTCTTTTCACACAAAACTGACTATTCTTTATCCATTGCTCTACTTGTGGCCGCCTTTGGTTATATAGAAATCGAATCCTTTCTCACAAAATTGTCTTTTCAATATCTGAAGTTGGCTATTATAATATCTCCCAATTTTCTGTTTTTCAGGCTAACCATGCCATGTGATCTTGGGGGAAAAACTAGGAGCAAGTCAAATATTCTTTTATATCTGAACTCAGGTATTCTTTTAAATTTTAAATCTTAATTTTGCAAAAATGTGAGCAAAACAAGAAGTTTCTTATAGAACAGCCATTCTGTGACTGAAAGCATCAATTCTGCATTCCAACAGACAGGTCATTCTGCAATATTTTAAAATGCCACAAATTGCAAGCTCAGAATGCCGTGAAGCTCAGGAAACTGACATGGTAGAGCAGAGCACGACAGTCTACAGTTGTGCTGCCCAATATGGTAGCTACTAACCACAAATGTGATTGGAGTCAGGCAGACTTTGGGTTCAGCTCCAATTCTACCACTTGAAAACATTATTTAACCTCTTAAAGTCTGTTTTTTTTTTTTGTTTTTTTTTGTAAAGTGAAAGTAGTAGAATTCACCCCATATAACCCATTCTTGTAATGAGTCCATGTGATTATGTGTGTTTAATAAAAGTAAATACATATACCTAATCAGAAGATGAGAGATTAAGTGAGAGGGCTAATAAGAAACATAAATTTGGGGCAGACCTTTAAAAACCTTTGCATTTTGTAACTGAAGCACCAACCAAAGCAATGATCACCAGTAGGTGGGGAGAGACTTTGCTGCCCTGCAAGGCCGCCAACATGGCCACAGACTCTCACTTCACATATTAAAAATGTACAGAAATAACGGGGTAGAAATGCTGAAAATTAGAGCAAGGCTGACAAGAGATAAAGCAATGCAATTAGAAGTGAAGTTGTGAGTCAGTAGGGCCACCCATGAAGGTGGGCATGGAGGCAATGCAAGTCGCCATCAGCCAGAAGCCACACAGGCCTGGCCTGCCAGCACAGAGGTCAGTTCCTATTTTGAATCTGTAAAAATACAATTGACAGGGACTCCTGATGCCCGTGCAGCAGCCAAGCTAAGGGTTTCTCTTTTTCCCAATGAATATTTTCATTCTACTGTTATTATTTGAGGTCCCTTCAGATAAATCATGTATGAGCCAACACTATGTCTTCCTTATACCAACATCATTTCTCTTTGACCAACTGTTCATGAACTAATTCACATTTACACACAATAGCAGGCCTGAACACTGAGGAAAAAGAACTGGGCTTAGAATCAAAAGAACCTAAATTCAAGCCCCGGCTTTGCCATTCACTAACTTTGACAACAGCACATTATCATTCAGCCTCTGTACACTGCAGGGTCCTCGCCTGCACCTGCTCCTGCTGTGTGGTGCTGGCGGGAGGTCTGGATGAAGACGCTGTGGAGGGCTGCACAAATGGAAGGGATTTCCCAGGAGGATGGCATTTGAACAAGGTTTCTGACAGGCTGTGCTTCAGCTTTCAAAGTCCCAGTAAGCTGTAGGAAGCACAGGTGTCCTCCTTCACTCCCATCTCCCTGCATCACCAAGGTACTCAGCCTCAAACGCCACCACCGCTGCCCTGTTCTTGCTGCCTTCTAGGGATCTCTGTAGCCTTGGAAAAGTACAAGGGATGCTTATCAAAGAACTCCACAGATGTCTGGGCCAACAGAGAGCCATTTTGTTTTTGACTTATGCACTTTACCATAAATTCTGCAAATGAAACAACACTTGAAAAACAAAACCCCAAAACCTCCTCTCCTGCCTCATCACTGTCCCTTCAGGCCGAATCCATTCATAAGTCCCATCTGGACCTCCTGCCTCTAAACAGAACCCCTGCCCTATTCATGGTGAAAGTCAGTGTTTCAGAATGGACCCACTTCCTCTCCCCTTCTCATTCCAACACAAGGAGATGGTGGAAAAGAAAGATGACTCAATGCTACTTTAAGTGCTTTGGAGACAGCAGGCCAATTTTACACTGGGTTTTTAGTGTCCGTGGCTGGAGATAAAGGGCTCTTTCTCTGATCCTGCTGCCCTTCTGCCTCCCACCCTTCTTTCTCCTCCATCTCCTCCTCTGCTTTCCCCACTTTGCCCATCTCAGACCATATTCACAGAGAAAGAATAGTAACCCCTTGCCCTACCAGACAAATGTCATTTCCACAAGTACAAAGGCAACGTGGCCATTCATTTGTTGTTTTGCAGAGTGGCACACACTAGACAAAGTCTAAAAGATGCTCAGAGAAGGCTGGCTTTTCAGAGGGCTCAGCTTCCCAGGTGTCATTGTGTAACTGGAGAAATGTGGACAGAGAGTTTGAAAGCCATGCTCCTTCTCACACAGCTGCGTGCACTGCGATAACAGACTTCTCCCCCATAGGCTTCCATCCGTTTCGTCTCTAATGTGGGGGCGGTGAGCAATATAATAATAATAATAATAACTATCATTTAATAAGATTTCACTATGTGCCAGGGATTGCACTAAACTTTCACATGTATTGCCCCACTAGTATTATCTATTACCTTTCTACTGATAAGGAAAACAAAGTTGAGTGTAGATGAGAAAATCTGCCCAGGCTCATGGAATAAGTTCTGTAGAAGTGTGATTTGCATCCAGACCTGCTCCAACGCCTGTATTGGAGGCCTCTGTGTCTATGATCACCATTTATTCTCTGAAGACCCCTTTGGCCTTCACCCACCTAAGTTGGCCAATACTTGCAATGCATACTTTCCTCTGTGATCTTCACGAATCACACTGCAATGCAGATATGCTTGCTTACCTGTGTCTCCAGCTAGACTCCAGCCACATCTTCATAAAAACAGGGCCTAGGACATGTGTATTCAGAGCACCCAGCACAATTCTTGGCACATAATAGGTCATAAAGATTTGAGGAACAATGAGTTCCTGAGCATCTTATTTGGAAGCACTAGTTCGACTTAGTAAACTGGTGCACTGTTCTCTTTTTGAATCTCAGTACTGACACCCACCCAGTCCCATAATACTTGTAATTCAGCCTCCAAACTTCTCTTTCAGGGAGGGGTAGAGAAAAAGGGGCATTTACCAGAGCCGTGAGACAATTTCTACATGATTTAAAAAGAGAGTGTTTAGCACAAACCACATTATTTTAGTCTTGCTGTCATATCTATCTGCTCCTTCAATATATTTAGACTTAAAGGTGATGTTACAATGAGAAACAGCCAGAAAAAGGCATAGGCCAATAAGATATGAATTTCCAATAAAGGATAGACAGTTGTGTACACATTTTAGAACACACATTGAAGAGAAATGTGCTTCAGTCTGATTATATATAGCTTTGAGGAATTTGTTCCCATACTTACTGCATGGTATTAAACAACCCAAGATAAATCTTTGGTGACTCCAAGAAAGAGGTTCGACTGTAATTATGGATTAACACACACCCACAGTTAATAATAGTTGCTTCAGTTTAGCATCAGTGCAACCATTTACACTGATAATATATTAAACACTACTTTTTTCTCCCAGGCACAGTGAATGACTACTAGGGCAGGATCACCTTCCACTAAGCAGATGTCATAGCTCCAAGCCTCTAATCATTTGTAACCATTAGGGAAAACATGGGGCTGAACCAATTAAAAAAATAAAAACTATCCCAAAGCTCACAAAACCACATAATTACATTGCATCACTTAGCATTTTGACTGACTGTTTGGAAAACCTGATACAAAGGCTCACAGGCTGCCTCAAATGCCTCATAAACGTGGTAACTTTACCTGTGTAAACCCACCTAAAAAATTTGTTTCCACATCATGTACGGAGGGAAAGGTGAATAAATACAGATACACGGAGATTGGTAGAAAAGTAGAGACAAACACTAGTGTTATTTTCCCAATCTGAGACTATTTGTTGTTACTTTTTCATCACTGATGTTTTAAATTTTCCATAGCAAAATGACATTTTACTTGTGGAAAGACCATCGGCATGGCCACGCCATTCCTTTCAGAATTCCTAACTGTGGAAGTTTAAAGTACTTAGCTCACTAGTAATAATCAGGAGACAGAGTTTAAAATCAGGTTTTCTTCTGTCCAAAGACATATCACCTAATCATTTTGGTAATCTGTTTTTCCATCACTAAAAAGGGATTGTTTATCTCAAGATTAGTCAGAATTTTACATACACTCTGGAAAGGATATTGAGCTATTTAATAAAAGTCATAATAAAAACACTACGCAGGCACTGGGGAGAATGGGAAGTGCAATGTGTTATCATTGCATTATGTTTTTACGTTGAGCCAGAAGGCATTTTTTCTCATGCACTAATTTTGCCGCCTCCCGCCACCCATATCAATACTATCCCTGGGCACTTGTAACGTTCTTTCCATCCTAGGTCTTCTCACATTACTTTGCCTCCTGAGAAGACAAAAGTACGTCTGCAGCCAAGTGCTCTCAGATCTCATTCACGAACACAGATCCTTCATGGGAACCCGAGTAGGATAGAAAAGGGCTGTGACAGAGGCAAAAAATTAAATAATAATGAATGTTTCATGGAGGCCAACAACCACAGAGAGGACAGTGGAAAGAGAGAGACACAGAAGCAGAGCCCATGGGCAGGGGTGCAAAAGAAGTCTCAGAAAGCAGAGGTGAGGGGAGAAATGGAAAGAAGACGGTGCTAGGGAGCCGGATGTATATACAGATGATGGCTTTTTAAAAAGCTAGTTCCCAAAGAAATGATAAATGTTGGAGATGATGGATATGCTAATATCTCTGATCTGATACATACATTACATATATCAAAACATCACTATGTACCCCATGAATATGTACAATTATTAGTTGTCAATTAAAATAAAATTGTCAGTTAATTAAAATATTACTTATAGAAATCAGACTTGATTCAGTATTTCTTCTCTTCAAAAAAAACCCAAACTCTTATTATTTCTTTTAATCCAAGTAGACAGATAAGACAACAGATATAAGCAAAAAAATTATTTTTAAAATTTAAGAAATCATCAAAAATAACCACTCTTAACATTAGAGTATAACCTGGCAGACACATTTATAGTTAAAAACAAAAAGAAATCATATTCGACATACTGTTTCATAATTGTCTTTTTTTCACTTAGCACATCAAGATGTTTTCTATGTCAGTAAATATGAATCCACATCATCATTTTTAACAGCAGTCTCATATTTCATTTGTATTAGGCCATCGTGCATTGCTATAAAGGAATACCTGAGACTGCGTAATTTATAAAGAAGAAGGTTTATTTGGCTCATGGCTCTGCAGGCTGTATAAGCATGGCACCAGCATCTGCTTGGCTTCTGGTGAGGCCTCAAGAAGCTTTTATTCATGATGGAAGGCAGAGTAGGAGCAGGCATGTCACATGGCTAGGGAGTGAGTAAGAGAGAGAGGAGAGGGAGGTGTCAGGCTCCTTTAAACAACTAGCTCTCCTGTAAACTACCAGAGCAAGAACTCACTCAGCTGTTCATGAGAGATGTGCCCCATAACCTAAACACCTCCCTCTAAGCCCATCTCCAACACTGGAGATTACATTTGAACACGAAATTTGGAGGAGACACACATCTAAACTATATCATTATGTCCCCGGTCCCCAAAATATCATATCCTTCTCATATTGCAAAGTACAATCATCCCTTCCCAGTAGTTCCCAACAGTCTTAACTCATTCTAGCCTCAACTCAAAAGTCCAAAGTCCCATGTCCAAAGTCTCATCTGAGACTGAGCCTGTAAAGTAAAAAACAAGTAATCTATTTCCAAGATACAATGGTGGTACAGGCATTGGGTAAACATGCCCTTTCCAAAAGGGAGAAATCAGCCAAAAGAAAGGAGCAATAGACCCTACACACATCTGAAACCCAGCAGAGCAGACATTAAACCTTAAAGCTCCAAAATAACCTCCCATGACTCCATGTCCCACATCCAGGCCACACTGGGGCAAAGGGTGGGCTCCCAAGGCCTTGGGCAGCTCCGCCTCTGTGGCTTTGCAGGGTACAGCCCCCACGGCTGCTTTCATTGGTTGAAGTTGAGTGTCTGCCGGTTTTCCAGACTCAGGGTGCACGCTGCTTGTGGCTCTACCATCCTGGGGTCTGAAGGGCACAGCAGTGTCCTGATGGGGACTCTGTGTGGGGAATAGGCAGTGTCCCAGTGGGGATTCTGTGTGGGGGCTCCAACCCCACATTTCCCCTCATGCCCTAACAGAAGTTCTCTGAAGGGGATCTGCCCCTGCCGCAGGCTTCTGTCTGGGCATCCAGGCTTTCTGATACTTCCTCTGAAATCTAGGCGGAAGCTGCCAAGTCTCCCTTAGTCTTGTATTCTGCATACCAAGTAGAAACCTCCAAGGCTTATAGTGGCTTGCGCTCTTCAAAGTGGCAGCCTGAGCTGTACCTTGGGCCCTTTGAGCTGAGGCTGGAAATGCAGCAGACTGGATGCAGCAGTAGCCTCCTGAGGCAGCAGAGAGCAGTAGTAGCACTCTGGGCCTGGCTCCCCAAACTGAGGGGCTGCCTCAGAGACTTCTGAAATGCCTTCATGGCCTTTTCCCCATTGTTTTGGTTATTAGCACCTGGCTTCCTCTTAGTCATGCTAATCTCTTCAGCAAGCGGTTGTTCCACAGCCTGCTTGGATTCTTTCTCTATCACATGGCCAGGTTGTGAAGTTTCCAAATGTTTACGCTCTGCTTCCCTTTTAACTATGAGTTCCAACATTAAGTCCTTTGCTCCCAAATCTGAATGTAAGTCGTTAGAAGCAGCCACCCCACCTCCTGAATGCATTTCTGCTTGGAAATTTCTTCCAACAGACACTCTAAATCATCACTCCTAAGTTCAACCTTCCACAAATCCCTCAGGCATGGACACAATGCGCCAGGTTCTTTGCTAAGGAATAACAAGGGTGACCTTTGCTTCAGTTCCCAATGACTTCCTCATTTCCATCTGAGACCTTGGTAGCCTGGTCTTCACCATTCATGTTTCTAAAAGCATTTTAGAATGCTTCACAACCACTTAACCAGGCTCTGAGAGGCTCCAAACTTTCCCTTGTCTTCCTGTCTCCTGAGCCCTCCAAACTCTTCCAACCTCTGCCTGTAACCCAGCTCCAAAGCTGTTTCCACATTTTCAGGTATCTTTGTAGCAATGCCCCACTCCTTGGCACCAATTTTCTGAGTCAGTTTTGAGTTGCTAAAAGGAATACCTGAGACTGGGTAATTTATAAAGAAAAGTGGTTTATTTGGCTCATGATTCTGCAGGCTGTATAAGTATGGCACCAGCATCCGCTCAGCTTCTGATGAACCCTCAGGAAGCTTTTACTCATGGTGGAAAGTGAAGAGGGTGCAGGTATGTCACACAGCGAGAGAGGGAACAAGAAAGAGAGATGGAGCAAGACAGAAAGAGGGAGAAATATAGACAAGAGGACGAGGTGCCAGGCCCCTTTAGAGAACCAGCTCTCACATCAACTACCGGAGCAAGAACTCACTCATTGCCATGGGAGGACACCAAGTCATTCACGAGGGATCTGTCCCCATAACCCAAACACCTCCCACTAGGCCCGCCTTCAACACTGGCGGATGTATTTCAACATGAGATTTGGAGGGGACACACATCCAAACTTTATCACCGTTGTATGAATTTAACCAACCTATATGTCTTTCTGGTAAACATATAGGTGGATTGTTGATTGGAAATTACAAATAATGCCTTATCAATTAGCTTTCACCGTGTAATAAACAACCTCACAATTTCTCGACTTACAAGAACAACATTTCTTTTTTTTTTTTTAGTTCATTATTCTGTGAAGCAACTAGGGGTCCTCTCTCCATGTGGTTTCTCATCCATAGTGGTCCAGCCTGGACTTCTTCACCAGTGGTCTCAGAGGCTTGGACAGCAAGCTCCAATGTGCAAGTGCTTGTTAAGCCTTAGCTTCTAATATACTTAGTAATGTCTTTTTGCCCAACCCAAGTCATCTGTCCAACCCAGAGTCAAAGGCTGAAGAATAGACTCCATTGCTTGGTGAGAATCTGCAACGTCACATTACAAGAAATATAACATAAAAGCATGAAGGAATTTTTGACATTTGGCAATCTTCCACAAATGCTATGCTAAATATCCTTTCAACTACTACTGTGCACACTTACCTGATTATTCATATGAGATAAACTTCTGGAAGATAAATTGTTCAGTAAAAAGTGTGACTATTTTAAGCTATGGATTTCTACTACCACAATTGGAATTTATACTCTCATCAACTAGTCTTTGAGTGATAAGAACTCAGTGCCTGGCATAATGTATAGTTTATTACACTATAAATATTGGTTAAATGAATCAATGAATGAATGAATGAAAACCGCATACAGAAATCAAAAAAATGAGAACAAATCGGTAGCCTGACTAATACTGATATTACCATGCTTTAAATATTTGCTCATTAACAGCTAAAAATAGAACCTTATTTTAATTCCTACTTTTTGCATTACTAATAGTGGTTATGTTCAATGGCTATGTGGTATTCTACTTTACTGAATTTGAATTGAGCAAATATCATTTGGTCTGTTTCTGGGTTCTCTGTATTTTGTTTCAGTCATTTTGTCTATTGGGCCTTAAAACTATCATATCTAACTTATTCTTTTCATGACTACAATACTCCAATGCATGGAAGTATCCTAATTTACTTAACTGATGTCTTTTTTATGGATAGATATATATTCCTAGTCCTTTGATATTAAAAGAAAGCTGAAATGATCATCCTTTATATGGCCTTTACATAGATGTCTTTGCTGTCAAGTGAAGGTATATCTTTAGGATAAGATATACCTGGTATGATAATTACTGGAAAAATAGTATGTTCATTTAAAATATTGATATTTGTTGCATAAATGCCTTCCAAAGAAGTTGTAGCAATTCTCACTTTTTTTTTTTTAATCAGTGGGTAAACGTGCATGCTTCCCTAAACTCTTACTAAAGCAACATATCCAAGCTTATCTGATGTGGAAAATGGCAAATCACTTTTTCAAATTTGTATTCCCATTTGAATTATAATAAACATCTTTTTATTAAGCTTATAAGCTACATTTCTTTCTTTCTCTTGGCAAACTGATTCAAATTTTTTGTTCTTTTTTTTATTGGGTTGTTGTTTTTTTTCCTTAATTTTAATAGCTCCTTATATCTTAAGGACATTAGTTTTAACATTTTCTGTTTATGTTATCCATGGTACTTCTCTGCAGAAGTGTTTCATTTTGATACAGTCCTATTTATTTACTATTTCTTTATTGTTTCTGGCCCTTGAGTCTTTATTCTAAAGGCCTTGCCACTCCACTCTCATAAAAAATTATCGCTCATATTTTTATTTGGTACTTTTATTTAGTTACTTACTAACTTACTTTAAGTTTACATTCTTGAGCTCTCAGGAACTTATTTTGGCATGAGGAGCAAAGTCTTAAGTTTCTTTTTTCCAGAGGGCTAGCCAATGCCCTCATATAATTTTTTAAAAAATTACATCAATTCTCCAGTGATTTGGAATACACTTTTATCATATAGCAAATTCACATATGCATTTGGCTCTATTTTTGAATTGTATTTTGTTCCATTCATCTGTCTGTCTACTCTAGCAACAGTACCAACCATTTAAAATTAGTTTTGAGAATACATTTTAATACTAGAGGTACCAATCCTCTTTAATTACTCTTCTTTCTTTTTTAAAATACTTTTTTGGGTATTCTCACATATGTATCTTTGATACACACTTTGGAATCAATTTATCTACTTTTGCAAAGAGTACATTAAATTTATAGATTTTGAGACAACAGTTTTACACTTTGAGTTTTCATATTTAGAACTACGCATGTCTCTCCAATTATTCAAATTTATTTTATGTCTTATGTAAAGTTTTAAGCTTTCCTTCACTCAAATTTTATAAGTTCTTGTTAATTTTATTTCTAAGTATTTTATTTTAAAAGTTATATGTAAGATTCACGATTCCATTACATTTTCTGAATAACGTGTACTTACAAGAATGCTCTATCATTTAAAAATCAATTCTCTTACCAGATACCTTACAGAATTCTCATTATGTCATCTGTAAAGAAGTAATTTGTCTTTACATTTCCAATTTTATGTCTGACTTTTATACTTAGGGAAAAAAGGTGCTCCCAACTTAAATAAATATATGGAACTAAAACAGACTTTCCTGTATGTATAATATGTATTATGTATTTGTATAATACATAATACATTGCCTCTCTTTTAAGTTGTGGCAAAATACACATAACATAAAATTTAACATCCTAACCATTATTTAGTGTACAGTTCAGTGGAATTAAGTACATTCACATCGTTGTGCTACCATCACCACCATCCACTCTTTCCATCTTGTTAAACTAAAACTCTACTCATTAAAAAATAACTCCCCATTCTTCCCTCTCCCCAGTTGTCAACCACCATTGTTTCTATGAATCTGACTACCCTAGGTACTTGCACATAAGCAGAATCATACAATATTTGTTCATTTGTGATGGGCTAATATATTGTCTCTTAATAGAATACAGAGATATTGGGGAAAAAGCATTCTACAATTCATGTTAACATTCACTATTTCTTAATTTTTCAACATGATCAACTGCTCATTGTTTCAGAAGTTAAATAATTTTTATTTTATAACCAAAACAAAGTCACCACTATATTATTCCACTCCTTGTTAAATTTATATGAATTTATCATTCCAAGTTCAATTGCTTATAGTTCCTTTACATCTGATAGACCTTTTCACATATGTGTATCATACAGAGTTGTCCTGAATGTGCTGTTTTAGACCTGAAGGTCAATTAGAAATAATCTTCTCTAATCCTCTTTTTCTTTTTAAGACAGAAATGCTGATTTCCCAAAACAGGACCAAACTTATAAAGAGGAAACGGAATCCCACCCAGCCCTAATGAACTATATTTCAAGGGCATTGAGAGAAGTGGAGAATATGAAATCAAAATCATTGTCAACTTTTTTTGTTTTTTTGATAAATCATACAAACAGTTAACACTCTAGAACACTGGGCAAAGCATATACCCCCATAACAAAAAAAAAAAAAAAAGAAAAAAGAGGAAAAAGATAACTTTGTGGGCAATTGTGTTATAAATTTAAGGCCAATCTTGATCACCTTCTTGTGAATATTTTAAAAAGTTGTGAAAACTTGAAGGCATCCTATGTTCACCCAAACATGTCATGTCAACTAAATTCAGTTATTTAATTACATTTTAACTATGTTCAAGTTCAATGGGGAAAACTAACAAGCACGGAACTGTTAACATATTTATAATATATATAGTAATATAACAATTTCCCTCTCAATCTTTTTAGAATGCATGCATATATTACACATAACTGTAATCAGATTTTATACAGTTTTATTTCCTACCCTTTCAACTTGATGTCAATTAAAACACATTCTCACTTCTCTACATAAATCGTATCTCTTATGCTGAGGGGTCTGTGTTACTCAGAGGGAGGATCTATTGAATGGGCAGAAGAGGTATATAGAACTCAAATGAATTACATGCGTAAATTCAGGCCAAATTACCCAAGTCTCCTTGGCCTGTGGAGAAAGAAGCCAAGCAGGGAGAAAAGCCACGAGGTGGGGATGCTTGGCTGGTCCCTGGCCTCAGGATTGAGGCCACAAGTACAGTGGAAGCTCAACTTAGTGGAGTTCAAGTCTCCAGGAAGGTAGAAACTGCATATATCTCATTTCTGGTCTGGTTATGTTAATTGATGTATGATAATAAAAACTGTATGCAATCTGGTAAACAGTATCAGAGGTACAGCCACAACTTGGTAGAGGTCTGAGGAGAACTTTGGAAGGATTGTACACTGAAAGCTCCCAAGGCTGGGATCCCAAGCTCCTAAAACAGGGTCCAGTACCTACAGGGCTCACTGTAGACATCTGTTAAATGAACAACTTCTAGTACTAGACTGATAGGAGGAGGAGGCCAAAGACATTGTATGCCTTAATTTTGATAAACAGCATATAAAGCTGTGATTATATCCTGTGGATAAAATGCACAGCTTGAGTAATAGTTCTATTACATGTATTTTTACCTGGTTGACAACTGTGTGTGAATAATTCAAGGTACATGCCATAGGGCACTTTTCCTTGGCTTTGTCTGCTTTAGTATTTTCAATGACAATTTGAGATTGTAGTTCTTCAGATTGATTCCTTGATGGACCCCCAGTGTTTGACTTGGTATTTTGCTCATATTATTATTTAAACATAGGCACACACAAGATTATAAATACTGCTTATGGCTTTTATACAATTACAAATCTAAAATATAAAAATAAAATGAAAATCTTATAAGAGTCCAATTAACAACATTAATGTGACAGGTGATGTTCTTTGGTTGACGTGAAATCACTGGTTTAACACGTGTCATCCTGACCTCCATGGGGCAGTTGCTTTTGAGCCCCTTGTGTTTATACTGTGAAGGGCCTGGTGACATCTGTGCAGTTATCATTCCATAGTCTGACACTGTTTTCTTGGCCTTAGCCTAGTACAAACACATCAGCTATATACTAGGTTGCCTAGTTTTCTTTTCTCATTGGCCTGTGCCATTTTGGTGAGCAGTTTGCATGCTATTGCAAACAAATGCACCAAGATGTCAGGTCAGTCCCAAGATGTCTAGAATGTTCAACTTTTTATATCAACTTTAAAAGAAAAACTGAAAATTTTGAATTCTTGCAGAGAACTCATTGAATAAATAATGGCTGAGCACTCACTAGGCACGGGGCAGTTGCCAGATGTGGCAGATCCAGCGTTGAACGAGACAGAGCCCATCCCTGCCTGCAGGAAGAACCTAAGGATGACTACTTGAATTTGCAGAGAACACCAGACTAGGAAGGAGATTTAATAAATGGAAATAGGATCTGGATTATCAAGGATTTTTTTGGCTTTTTTGTTCGTTTGTTTGAGACAGGGTCTTGCTGGAGTGCAGTTGCACAATCACAGCTCACTGCAGCTTCAACCTCCTGGGCTCAAGCAATTCTCCCCACTCAGCCTCCCTAGTAGCTGAGACTACAGACATGCCCCAGGCTAGTGTTTTGGCATTTTTTTGTAGAGATGGGGTTTCACCACATTTCCCAGGCTGGTCTCGAACTCCTGAGCTCAAGCCATCCACCTGCCTTGGCCTTCTAAAGTGCTGGGACTACAGGTGTGAGCCACTGGGCCCTGCCATAAAGGATCTTTATACTTGTACCTTCATTATAATACTTTGAAATTACTAAATCACTACATAAAACATAATTGTGAGTGAATCAGAAGGCTATACTCTAAAAACCGAAAACTTCCCCTCTCTGGATACACAGCCCCTAGTCTCACTCCCCAGTGGTCACACCTGTGCTAAATTGAACCTTCCAGACCTTTCCATGAGACTGAAAAACTAATTCTGAAAAAGTTCACTCAGTGAGCACAATTCCTTAGTTAACCTTCAGCCTTTTCCTCATCCAGTGGCATTTTCTAAAAGATGTCCTTCTTATGTGAGAGAATCCTCCTAGTTTGAAGCTAAAAGGGGTCACAGAGACTGGACTTGGGAAAAGGTTTCACTTTTGAAGATGCATTACCTTGTTCTGAGTGCTGTGAAAAGGATTAACGATATTGTATGTACAACACCTGGCACACAGTAGGCACTTAACAAATAGCAAGTGTTAATTATTACAATTTAACATGATGTGTGTTCTTGAATGATTACTGGCTTTTCCAGCATACTGTGTTTTGTTTATGAAGTGATGGCAGTTCTTTTTTTGACAATCTTTAAGAAAATAATTGTCCTTTAATGTGGCTGCCCACTGGGGATTATAGCTTTTCATAACCTTTGGAAAAGCCACATCTCAGTCACCCTTCCAGTGAGCATAATAACCCCCTTGTCTTCATGGAGGAGATGTCAGAGGAGAGGTGGAGGTTTGGTCATTTGAAGTGAGACAGGGTGTTAGTATCAGGACCATATTTCTTTTCCAGCTCTAAAATCTAATTTCCTCCAAAACTGAGTTTAACAGTTCTGCATTTACAGCTCAAGTTCCTGGCGTCCTACCCCCTCGCCTGTGATACATCACTTAGGTCATGCTTGGAAAGTGCTTTGAAGGAAATGGGCCCAGAAGTGCTAAGCAGA
The DNA here is from genome assembly GCF_000001405.40 of Homo sapiens. Classification (NCBI taxonomy): domain Eukaryota; kingdom Metazoa; phylum Chordata; class Mammalia; order Primates; family Hominidae; genus Homo; species Homo sapiens. The sequence continues at coordinate 14,555,041 of NC_000009.12, forward strand.
ATTACATGATGCGAGCGGACAGTGGGGAGCCATAAGAACAGATAAAATCTTCTGTCTCTGCTAGGTTTCATTTTCTCTGGTAGGTTTTATGGAAACTTCTCTGGTAGATTTCATGTTACACTGGAAATAAAGCAGGAAGTCACATTTTTATGAGTAATATGTATGTTGAATGTTGAAAAGAATAACAAAGGAGTGGAATGGAATACTTGCACTCAGTTGGGAATAATAAAAACAGTTAGAAATTCAGAGTCAGCCACTTTCCACTATGCAATATTTTAAATAACAACAAAAAAATGAATTTAGGAGAAGGTAAACCATGGAGGAAAGATTTGGGGAAAATTTCTTAATCGGAGAAAGTGGTTCTGGAGAATTTACAAGGTTCTTGGTCTATGGAGAAAGTTTACTTAAGAAAATTCATTCACCCATTCATTGATTTCTTTGTTTATTTACTAAGTAAACTTTTACTAAATACCTTCAGAGGTCCAAGCAGTGTACTAGGCACTTGTATAGAGAGCACTGATTCATGCTATAGTGGAAGCAGGATAAGTGGTGTCCCTGCAGAACATGGAGAAGGAAATCTTCTGGGAAAGTCAGGGAAAGTGTCCCTCCAGGAAGTGATAACTGAATTGTCCAAAGGGGTGAACAAGTGTTTTCCAGGAAGATATGGGGAGGGAGTCCCTGGCAGTGGAACAGCATCTGCAAAAGCACAGAGAAAGACATGGCAGAGTGAGGGAATGACTACAGAGTGTGATATCCTGGGACATGGGGTGTGCCCAGTTGGGTCTAGAAGTGAGACCAGAGAGAATAGTAACAGTATTTTGTTACTGTGTCCATTGGTACCACACCCAGTATACCATTTCTAAGATTCAAGAGTGGTACAGCACAGAGGAAGGTATGGGCTCTGCAGTTAGACTTCCTGAGCTCAACTCCTCAGTCCCGTAAACACTAGTTCTGTGACCCTGTGCAAGCTGCTGGCATTTCCTCCTCTGTAAAATGAGAGTACCCACAGTTTAATCTCTAGGGCTGTTGTGTAGACATAGCAGGCTGTTTGCTCCTGTTCTGTGACTGCTCTGTGTCCTTTGCAAGATCAAAACAGATATAATTTAGACATGTTTGTGCATAATCTTCCATAGGGTCATTATCATCATCACCAACATTGTCATCATCCCACAATACATTGATAGAAGAGGCTACATTTTATTTCATTTATTTGTATTTATTTATTTTGAGACAGGGTCTCACTCCAGTTGACCAGGCTGGAGTGCAGTGGCACGATCTCAGCTCACTGCAACCTCGACCTCCCGGGCCCGGGTGATTCTCCCACCTCAGCCTCCCAAGTAGCTGGGATCACAGGCCTGCACCACCATGCCCAGCTACTTTTTTGTATCTTCAGTAAAGATGGGGTTTCGCTGTGATGCCCAGGCTGGTCACAAACTCTGGGCCTCAATCAATACACCTGCCTTGGCCTCTTAAAGTGCTGGGATTACAGGCTTGAGCCACTGTGCCCAGATGAAGGGCTGTTTTTGTAAGTGCCTTCCAGCTGTGTGTAAGTAGAAATGAACTAGTCAGAAGGAAGACCCCAGGCCATGTAGCTCAAGAAGAGATGCAATACCTTGACGTAGGAAATAAACGGATTTGATGATTTTTAAAATAAAGTAAGTGGGGTTGACATCTGAGGAAAAGTGTTTTCTCTTCCTTCCAAATGCTAGAGTGCTGTACTTAGTATTTTGTTTCTGAGTGCATTCTCCTAACCTCATCTTCACTCCCCTCAAATTGAAAAATCGTATGAGGAGATAGAGTCAGGAGACGAATCCCAACAACATAAATAAAACAGATGGATTACATGACCTGTGAATATATTGAGAGAATATTTTAACTTCTGGCAACCAGCTTAGGACTGAATCACTGATTGGTATATAGAAAAGTAAACAATTCAAAGATCATGGCAATTATTAACGCATGGGAAAATAAAAAGTTGTTCAAGGATGGAAACGTTGTCTTGATATATAACATGGCTCAGTTGTGAAAAATATTCACCTAGTTATATTAATGCAGAATTTGAATGTTTCTATCAAAACTTACTCTATAATTATAGTGCAAGGATGTAGCAGGGAAAATGTATGTGTGTGAGTCAGATGGGCAGGAGAGGACAAAATACGTGTAAATGCTAAATCTGAGAACTCAAAAGAGGACATTTGAGCATGTTATTTAGAAATATGAAGGCAAACACCAAAAGAAAATAAAAAAAAGAAAAAAGAAAAGAAAAACAATGAAAAGAGTTGAAAATGGTTACTTCTAAAAGGGGCAGAAACAGAGGTTACTGTTTTTCACAGAAAACCTTCAAAGGTACAATTTTTTTCACCATAAAAACTATGCACACGTATGAATTTGATAGAAATAAACATGAAATATTTCAAAAAGCATGAAGAGAACAGTGTTCAGTTTGAAGTGTTTGAATCAAGGGCCGCATGGAAGGGAGTATCAAGGCATTAAACCAGTAAATTTTGGTTGAGCCCATTGTGTAGGGCTTCAGAGGCCAAGGAAAAGATGCACATTTTTAAGCAGGGGAGTCACAAGATCAGATTGTACTCTGGAAAAATTGGTATATAAGTTCACCCTGCAGGAATTAGGAAAAGTTTAAAAACAGAGAGGTGAGTGTGCAAACTTTTGCAAATAGTTCTGGCAAGCAATAATGTCTTGCAGAACCAAAGCAGTGGATATGGGCATTGAGATAACAAAACAAAACAAAACATAGATCTGACCGATACGTGTGAGGTGGGCTTGTCTTGTCTATTTGAGGAGTGAGGAGAGCAAAGTGAAGCCAGGTTCCTGGCTTAGCAGACTGGGAGGATGGGGGCGCCAATACTCAAAATGGAACTTCACAAAGAGAAGCAGGTTCTTAGAGGCGAGGCCAGGAAGGAAAAAATGGTGAGTCTGTTTCTATACATATGACAGGCATCTGAGGGACATCCAGAGAAAGAGCTAGTAAATGCCTACCAGGAGAGCAGGATGGAGAAAGGGCTGTTACCTAACAACCTGGGAGTCCCTGGTTATATGTGGTGATGGGTCAGGAGGCCATCACAATGCCCAGGTGAATTGTATGGGGTGAATCAGAGCAAATCTTGGCCTGGAGAATTAACATTTTAAAGAAATAATCAGTAGGACAAAGGTCAAAAAAGAGTGAAATGTCAGCAGAGAAATAGGAGAACTAGGAGAGTGTTGTCACCAAAGCCACGGCAGATGAAAAAAGGAGGGTGTGAATGGGTCCAAAGCCCTCAAGAGAAGTCAAAGATGGACAAGGAGGACATCAGTGACCTTAACAAGGTATTTGTAGAGATGGAAGGTGGGCCTGATTGAATTGGTTGAGTGAACAAAAGTTGATTAAGTAGATACACAAAGCATGGCAGTGCCTTCAATCCATTTGGTGGAAAAGAGAAGAAAGAAAATAAAGCACGTAGTGAAAATCCATTTATTTTTGCTGTCCAGTGCCCCTCCCTTCCTTCTGGCTACAGCAAGCCTGCCTTCTTTTGAAGAACTGCTCTACCCTCCACTCTTAGCACAGGGGTCTGAAAATGTTGCAATCATGGTACCCATCACAGGGTAGTGTGTGGCCCCAGAAAGTTTGATTGGAGTCATCCCCGAGGATGATTCCATTGGAAATAAAAGTTGGTCATTCCTCTCTGGTGGCAATGCTGAAGAGATATGACCCTGGGAGACACCCACAACCATGTTTCCAGATTGGTGGAGAAACAGTCCGGGTGAATGAAGCCACACAGAGAAAAGCAGAGATGTATAACACAAAGACAGGGCATCCTCTGGAGCCCCTCAGGGGCCTGAGCCTCGGCTGTCTTTCCTGAAGTCTGGCTGCTTGTTTGGCTTTCACTTCAGCTGTCTGAGCCACCCTGGGACCCATCCTACCGATTCCTCTTGCTTCTTAAATTCATTCAGGTTGCTTTTTCTGTCACTTGCTACCAAAATAAATAAAATAAAATAAAGCCTTATAGAAAATGGTAACTTGCAGGAAAGGCAGGTTGGGAAGATAGATAGATTAGATAGATAGATAGATAGATAGATAGATAGATAGATAGATAGATAGAAGAGAGAAAGAGAGAGATGATAGCTCAATCAATAGCTAGACAATGGATATATACTATTATATGAAGATATTTATATCTGTCTCTCTATATGTTTAGGTAGCTATAGATGTATTTAGGGAAGTAGCATTGTTTGAAAGCAGAGGCAAATGACTCAGAAAACGGAAAGGCTGATCATATAAGGAAAGAGGATGGATGATGGAGCTTCCAGGGAAAGTGGGATGAGATGGGATTGCAAGCTCAGGTGGAGGGGGTAGTCCCTCTAAGACAGAAAGCAAGAACAGAAGCAGTTTAATATGGTTTGGCTGTGTCCCCACCCAAATCTCATCTTGAACTGTAGTTCCCATAATCCCCATGTGTCATGGGAGGGACCTGGTGGGAGGTAATTGAATCATCTGGGCAGTTACCTCCATGCTGTTCTCATGATAGTGAGTTCTCATGAGGTTTTATAAGGTGCTGTTTCCTTGCTTCTCTCTGCACTTCTCCTTGCTGCCACCATGTGAAGAAGGACATGTTTGCTTCCCCTCCTGCCATAATTGTAAGTTTCCTAAGGCCTCCCCAGCCCTGTGGAACTGTGAGTCAATTAAACCTCTTTCCTTTATAAAGTACCCAGTCTCAGGTATGTCCTTATAGCAGTGTAAGAACAGACTAATACAAACATAAATTTAGTGGAGGAAAAAACTTGAAGAAATTCAGCCCCATGCTACATTTTCTGCAAGGTCATTTCTGAAAAGTAGGGGATGGTTTTAAGGTAAGTGAGTCTGAGGAGAGTAGAAATCACTTCAGACCACTGCCCTAAGCCATGAGAATGGGAGCTGGCTAGGAACAGGAATTCAAGTCTCAGTTTCCTCATCTTTAAATACCATACCATGGCACAGTGCAGCAATGTGTGTGAAAGTTATCATCTGCAAAATTGTGTGCAAGCTGTTATTATGTATAGGGTCTATTCATTTTAAACAAGAAGATAAGGGCATTTACATAACCAATTCTTGTTTATCTGAAGCAAGTTGGCAATTTTTTTTCTGTAAAGAACTACATCATAAATTTTAGACTTTGCAGCCCATATGAACTCTGCCATTGTAGCACCTTAAAAAGAAAGGAAATCCTGGCACATGCTACAGCATGGGTGTAATTTTGAGGACATTATATTAAGTGAAATAAGCCAGCCACAGAAAGACAAATGATGCATGATTCAATGTATAGGAATACCTCGAGTAGTCAAAATCATAGAAACAGAAAGTAGAGCGGCAGTTGCCAGGGGCTGGTGGGGAAGAAGATGAGTTATTTTTTTAATGAGTGTAGAGTTTCAGTTTTGCAAGATGAAAAGAGTTCTGGAGGTTGGTTGTACACCAATGTGAATATACTTAACACTATTGAACTATACACTTTAAAATGGTTGAAATGATACATTTATGGTATGTGCATTTCAACACAATTTAAAGCAAAACAAAACAAAATAGGCCACTGGCCAAACTTGGCCCTCAGTCTAGTTTACCAACCTCTAATTGAGAGATTCAGGAGATAATGACTATTGAAAAGCAAAAATAACAATTTCACCCATTCTAACTGCCTGTGAGTGCTTTAAGGGCAGGGCAATACTTGGGCCTCCCTGCATCTCTAGGACTTAGTCTTGTGGGAGGTAAATCATGGGTGCTCAATACGTACTCACAACTTGAACCATGGTTTCTCTATAACACAGGTGTCCAATCTTTTGGCCTCTCTGGGCTACACTGAAAGAAGAAAAATTGTCTTGGGCCACACATAAACACACTAGCACTAACAACAGCTGATGAGCTGAAACAAAAAAACCTCATAACATGTTAAGAAAGCTTATGAATTTGTACTGGGCCGCATTCAAAGCCATCCTGGGCCGCATGTGATCCACAGGCCACGGGTTGGACAAGCTTGCTCTACAGCAAACTCCTAGAGAAGGTTGAGCGTGGAGCAAAACAAATGTGAGGATGAGAAGGAAAGGAGTAATAAACATTATTTTCCTCAAAAGAAAACTATGTGCAATAGCACCAAGGCTCTCCCCAAAATAAAGGTTCCAATACCTTAAAAGTATCCTAAGTCCTGGGACCACTTAAGGATCCTCTGAAAAGCCATTGTGTGTCTGTACCCTCCAGGGAACTGCTTTCTTTTCAGTGTTGTTTTTTAAGGTGTACCTAAGACAATGTTACAAAATCTCTTGATTGAGGTTGAAACTGTCCTGCTACGCTGTAAATGCAAGATTTCTACCTTTCAAATAAAGAGAACGATGTTGTCTGTGACAGGAAGGTCCACATTATACACATTCTCCTGGGAGTGGGCTCTCTGAGGTGGGGTGGGTGAGGTGAGACAGGTGGCTCCACTGCTGGGCAGTGACTGTCCTCAGATATGGCATTGACCCCCATCCCTTTATGCCAGTTCTCCGTGAGGACCACCTAACTACACAGCAGCTTCACCCAACCCATTTCTGTAAAGGGCATCTCCCCCGAAGTCTGGAAATGGTTTTAGTGAGAACAGAGGACAACATAAGGTCACCAAATTATCAGGGGGCATCGTAAAGGGATTTCTGGAGCCTTCAGAACCAATGCCCAGTTCATAGCTTTCCTCTCAGAAAGCCAAACCCTGGGCAGGAAGCTGGGAAACTCTCAAATCCACCTTCAAAGTCGAGACCTGCTCATATTTTATAAGGTTAAATGTTGAAAGTGAAGGTTTGATTGTTGGCTCTGTAAAAATGGGAAAGGAAGAAAAGGGACCAAAAAATGTGGCTTTGCAGGGTAAGACTTTCATCTAAAGCAGGTACATTGTATGACTCCCAGCCGAGAAACAAAGGGAGCCTTGTGTACCTTCCCTCTGCAGGTCGTTGTAATGCTGTGATGAGAGTAAAGGGAGGCAGGGAAATGGTTTTTGTGCTCCGTGGAAAAGAAAGAGCAATTCATGAGAGCTGCAAACAGGAGGCTTGCTCCCAGGCGCACCGGCAATCCTGGCTTGACCAGTGGTCATGTTTCACAGCTAGGAAAGGAGGCCTGCCGGAACTGGGACCTGGGGGAGGGGAGGGTTCTCCCTGCTGCTGATCAGCTATGCACAGGAGGGAGGATGCAGCCTCTCCCCGAAAGCATAATCAGAGCAGGACACCAGGAGGCCCCTGCCCAGGTGGGCCCGGTGCCCTGTGGGGAGGCACAGGTGATTAAAACACCGGCCCCATGGCTTCACTGCCTGTTCTCTAAGGCAACCCCAGTGCAGAGCCCTGTACAATATGGCAACAACAGCCAGCAGCAGCTACTGCAGACTTGAAATGTGGCTGCTCTGAATCGAGATGTGTTGAAAGTTTAAAAAACACTATATTTCAAAGACTGAGTACAAAATGTTAAAATGCCTTATAAATAATTTTTGCATTGAATACATGTTGAAATCATAACATTTGGGGTATATTAAACGAAAGAAAATAAACAATTTTACCACTGCTTGTTACTTTTTACAAATGTGACTGCTAGAAAATTTTAAATTATATATGTGGCTCACATTATATTGCCTTTGAACTGTGCTACCTTGGAGAACACAGAACAGCTCTAACATTCTCAACTAATTTCCTTTCTGGTGTTTGGACAAATGAGAGAGTAAGATTGAGGAAATAAGTCCTAGGAATGAATGCACTTACAGCCCCAAAGCCTGTAGCTACTGCTGTAAGGTGGCTAGTTCCTACTCTAGCTTAGGGATGCTATGGATTCATCTACTCTCTTCTTGGCTGTCGAGACCCTGGGTCTGATTTACATTGCGTTCTCGGCACCTAGCCCAGCACCAAGTGGCCCCTGCATTTGTCCACAGACTAGATGTGGCTGTATGGGTGAATGACTGTGTTCATTTTGCAGAGATTTGCCTGTAGTTCTCCACCTCTTCCAAACCCAATTCACAAAGAAAGAAATTTTAAAATGAACAGGCAGTTACAATAGCTTATAATTACTGCACACCAAGTCCTGGGAAATATCTGTGTGGGAAAGACTGAAAACACAGGTAGAAATGGGGTGTCACCTCTCAGGAGTGGCTTCATTTTTGAAGTGATGGATTATGGTGAAAAGGGCTCCAATAAGGGATCCAAAGCTCTACATTTTTAGTGCAATGTCACCAACACTAGCCACATGACTCCGGGCAAGTGACTTAGAGATGCCACACCTTACTTTCCTTTTCTAACAAAAATGCTAACCTTTGTCCTGATTTCCAATTCAGGTAAAGAGAAAATGAGAAAACATATCCCAAAGCACAGGCTGGCATTTGGAATACGAACAAATTAATGTTATTTAGTGTTGAGTCTTATGAATTAAAAAACAAAAGGTCTCCGTGTTTCCCTCTGAAGTGAGCAATGGTACCCAGGACTGGTCAGAGGGCAGGAGAACCAACCCCAACTCTATCAGTCAGGCAAGAGCCCTGTGGATGATCTCACAGGGTCCACAGCCTCACCAGCTGCTGGAGGACTGAAGTGGTGGGAAAATTAGAAGTGTGTTCACTTCACAAATGCTGGAGCTGAAACCGCTCTGGGACCATTGGTGCTACACCCTTCTGTATCAGTAAGAAACACACACGAGAGACAGGGAGGTTAAAAGAACTGTCCTGGGTCACTCCACCAGCAGGTGCCCATCTTTATGTAAAATGCAGTCCTCCCAGTGCAGAGCAGAGCTCGTCCCATGGGGCCCCACGGGACCTCCTGCTAGTGAGCTTATGGTAGTGTGAGGGAGACACAATCCGCAGGTCATACCAAGAGGAGTGTGAGGCCCCTTGAAAGGCAACCATCTATCGGCCACCAAGCTGGTTCATCTGCAGACTCCAGCAAGGCTCCATCCAACGACAGAGAAGGAAGCTTCACTCACGGCCAAACAATGAGAAGACGGAGTTTGTTGTTGTTTTAAGTATGAAAAAGGCTACTTTTATTGAGATAAGATTATGTTGAAAATGAAGGACATTGTTAACAGGTTATTTATTTGATTGACGCTAGCTGAGTTCACAGTAAGTGGCTGCACGCTCCTGAGCACATTATGCTGAATGTGCGTTATCTCATAAATCACCCTAGCTTCACAATAAAAAAGTTAAATTAACTTTATTGACCCCTGCTGGTTTTCAAATCCTAAATAGGACTTAAAACCTATCTGCAAATTGTCCAGATTTGCTAATTACTGTAGCTGGGAGGAGCTGACTCCCCCAGTGCAGAGGGGAATCCAAAGAGACGGGTGTATTTAGTGCCAGACAAGGTCAAACTTTCAGGTCACCCAGCAACAACAAAGGGTGTCTCTTTCATCTCCCTGAGCCTGGCACTCTCCAGCTCCCAGGAGGCCTGCCTCTTGCAAACCCCACCCACTGTCCTAAGGCTGGGAACTACTTAGGTTTTGCCATCTGCCTTACAGCTTTTGTCCGATGTCCCAAGATAATTGTTTAAGGGATGGAGAGGGGGTATACAATATGGAGGCAGTTTATGAAAAATCTTCCATTTTCTCAACCCCTGCCCCATCACACACACACACACACACACACACACGGCTGGAGAAGAGACAGTAAGGCTTTGACTAATGCTTTGTATCTGATTCGAGAGATGGCACTACTGTTATTCATGATAAAGCTGTTACCAAGGAGAAACTCTAGCTGGGGAAACCTGGTCCTAAGGGAAGAGCATTCCAGATGGAAACGAGCAATGTCAAGGGCGGAAGACTAAGATCTTTTCGAAAAACTGGTTTTGAGAACCTAAGAAAACAACAGATTGAACAACGTATAACCCCTACACGAGGCTGCCAAAGAACACTGGAAATGTGCAGTTGATTACTGGGGAATCCAAAAGGCTACGGAATCAGTGGTTTCCCTTTAAGATTGAGGGACAATATCCAGACAGAATGCCCTTTTCTTTAATAATCAAAAGAGCTAAGAAGTGGATGTGGAAATCAGTGTTAAAAGCAGAACTATCACTAAGTTACACGCTTGATAACAAAGCTTGAGCATGAGCCTGTGGGGTTGGGGTGGGCTGGGAAAGCAGGGAGGTGGAAAGTGATCCAGCCCCAGTGGTGGGAGGCAGGCATGGAGGGACATTTTGGGAAGGAAACCCTGGCACCATGGTGGAGGCAGGAAAAAACATCTAAAGCCACAGCAAAACCAAGAAAAGGGACTTAAGCTCACAGGATTATTAACCCAGAAGGGACCTGGAAGATCTCACGGTTGTCAACCACTGGTGTCTGGTAAGCCTGCTGGCCTGGCTGCAGCAGAATCACCAGGGAAATAAAGGAAATTATAGATTTTTCATATTTATAGGATTGAGGGCAGAAGGATTATTTTCAACAAGCTCCTAGAGGGTTCACATATGCAAAGCAGCTTGAAAACCACTTATCTGGTCCACCTCCCAGTGCCTGTAATTTACAGATGGTGAGGCTGAGATTAAGGGACTTGCCCAAGGACACACAACTGGTTGGTAGCAAAGGAAGAACTAGAATCTGAACGTGTCATTTTAACCAGTATTATTTTCTTGGCTCCACAATGCCTCTTTAAGTTTCTATTTGGGTACAAGATTGGTTAGCTCCAGTTGAATAACAACCCCAAAATGTAGCCACTTAACCACCACATATCTAGCTCATAATTATGTGGGTTAGCAACTCAGCTGGGTGTTTTCTCTGGTCTCAACTGGGCTCCCACATATGTGTGGTCAACTACAAGTCAGCCAAGTGACGGCTTCTGGGTCTGCCTGACTCTCACCGGGGGCAATAGGGAATGACTGGGTCATATGTCTCTCACTCAAAGCAACCTAACTGAGCTTGTTCTGGTGGCATCTGGGCAGGTTCCAAAATGGCGAGTGCAAGATGCAAGGCCCCTTGTGGCCTAGTTGGAACTGTGTGTAATCAATCTGCCACATCCTATTGGCCAAAGCCATCACAAGTCCAGCCCAGATTCCAGGGGTTGAGGAGTAAACTTTCCTTTTTGATGGAAAATACTGCAAAGTATGCATGGAGGGAGGGAAATAATTTGAGCTATTTTTGCAACGGCGTTGTCTACTTTCCTTAGAGTCCCCCTTGCCATTATACCCCATGCTCCAGCCAAACTACAATCCCTATTTCCTAAACATGGTGCTCGATCCTTTTAGAAATCTACATTTTGGACTTGCTATTTCCTTGAACTAAAATGCCCTTTTCAGTCCACCATGCCTTTTCATCCCTAAATTGTCCTTTAAAATGTAACTTATGATTCCAAGTTCTAAAAGGCAAATTGAAGATGCCTTTTCTTCCACCTCATGAAAACTTAGTAAAATGACATAATGGGAAAATTTTTTATAAAGACGCATAAACTCACAAGGGCAAAGAGAAGAGAAGAAAAGATGACAGGTGATAAAATATTTCAACAAAACTTTGGGATGTGCAAAGCAGATATATGATATCCAGCTTAGCAGACCAAAAAAGGCTGAGCACCTGCAGGTGAGGGGAAGCCAAGCAATAAGGTGAATCTCATCACAGAACCCAGAGGACTCAGAAACTAGGAGTACTGGATGCCTAGGAAGGCAGGGGTGGGCGGTGTGAAAACAGGATTTGTTGAATGTATAAGAAGCGGTTGACACCCCTGGATGTGCTCAACCTCCCCACACAATCATGTGAATATCTTTCTCCCCCAGAAGCCTGGAGAGATTAACCCTGAGGAACCCTGCAGTTGGAAAGAGCATGCATAGCTCAGGAAAGGGGTGCCGTTCTGAAAACAGTAGGATAAAGGAGAAGTCTACACACCGGAAGGTGAAACTCCCATCTGCATGCCCAGCTTGGTTCTGGGAAAGCTGACAACTAAACATATACCTTCCAAGCAAGAGACTGCAGGGTTCCTCTTTAGGAAAATTAACCAGCCCTGCCAGGGGCGGATGCTCATGCCTGTAATCCCAGCACTTTGAGAGGCCGAGGCGGGTGGATCACCTGAGGCCAGGAGTTCGAAACCAGCCTGGCCAACATGGTGGAACCCCATCTCTACTAAAAATACAAAAATTAGCTGGGCATGGTGGCACATGCCTGTAGTCCCAGCTACTAGGGGGCTGAGATGGGAGAATCACTTTAACCCGGGAGGCAGAGGCTGCAGTGAGCTGAGATAGCGCCACTGCACTCCAGCCTGGGCAACAGAGTGAGACTCCATTTCAAAAAAACAAAAGAAAAAGAGAAGAGAAGAGAAAAGAAGAGACAAGACAAGAAAAGAAACAAAAAGAAAAGAAAAGAAGAAAAGAAAATTAAGCAGCTCAAGAGAGAAGACCTGAAAATATTGACATTTTTGGGCTGGATAGTTAAATGCCAGGATAACTGCCTGATTCCCCCATAGTGTGAATCAGGTGAAAATTATAGTGAAGCCTCCAGTCAACAGGCCTAGCCCTTCCAAACAGAGCTCTCAGGCAGCTTTATACAGGAACAATCTGACAAGGTCATGAGACCTTGGAGCACAGCCTCTGCTATAACAACAAAACCAAACACCCCAAAAAAGAAATGGGAAGTAGGGAGTGGAGGTCCAGTAATAAGAAAGTAAAGTCCATGTTTTCCATAGAGATAAACCAATACACAATATTTACCTTTGAAAAAAATCAAGAAAGGCATATTATTTAGAAAAATATTGCTAGCAGAACTAAAACCTAAAAGTGCTGGAAATCATTGTCTCTACAGAGTGGGACTCTAAGGAGGAGAGAACGGAGGTTGACTGCATTACTTTTGCTAGAGTAACTGTTTTTAAATAAACAAAATCTACTTAAATGTCCTCTCTTTGTTAAAGACTTTGTCTCACCAGCTAGTCCATGGCTCGCCTGTATGTGTTTTCAGGTAATTGTGCTCATAGGACTAGCTCATTGAAACGTGCATAAGTCAATACATTGATGAGAAAACGTTCATGCTATAGCCTTTAACTACACTCGATCTGTATTTTATTTTGTTTAATTGTCTGTCTTTCTTGCTAGGCTTTAAGCTCTTTGCAGTCAGCACTAAATCTTAATTTGGTGCTAGACATTCAGAAGATATTTCCTACATATGCGTGAGATGGGATAGCGGGGAGTGGAAAGAAAATTACAGCCAATTCAAAAGGCAAAATTTTCTCCCTTTATTTAGTGTGTTTCTATTCTATTTATTTTAAATTTCTCTGTTCATAATCAGCCTTGTTCCTAAAAAGAGTTTAAGTCACCTTACAGAAGCATATCCAAATTGAAAAGAAATAAGTGAAGAAATTAGGGTAAATGGAAGCCTGTTTTTTAAAAAAAATCACACCAGCACATTATTCAAAATGAGAAAGAGAGAGAGGGAAGGAAGGAGGGCGGAAAGAGGGAGGAAGGCTTTGATGTTTTTAATATAGAAATTTTTCATTTTAAAAATAGAATTGAATCTGTAGATTTTTCACTTGTGATTCCTTCTGCCCATCCATTTGTTGCTTTGGATCTCTGGATAGTTAGATACAAGCATCATTTGCTTTGTTTATAGTGGAGTTAATGCCAATCATATTCAGTTTATCATTTAAATAAACAGCATTCTAAAACTAGAGAAACCAGTTCATCCAAAAACCAGTTTAACTTAAGCCAATTCTAAAGCTCCAAGTTAGAAATTATTATTTTATTTTATTTTGAGACCGAGTTTTGCTCTTGTCGCCCAGGCTGGAGTGCAGTGGCACGATCTCAGCTCACTGCAACCTCCGCCTTCCTGGTTCAAGTGATTGTCCTGCTTCAGACTCCTGAGTAGCTCGGATTACAAGCACCCACCACCATGCCTGGCTAATTTTTGTATTTTTAGTACAGACAGGGTTTCGCCATGTTGGCCAGGCTGGTCTTGAACTCCTGACTTCAGGTGATCCGCCTACCTTAGCCTCCCAAAGTGCTGGGATTACAGGCGTAAGCCACTGTGCCCGGCCTAGAAATTATTTTAAATGAAGTGATGAAAAAATTTCATAATGTGCATTACTGATGCTGGGGTCAACCATAAAAATACATGCTATAAAGCTGCTAATTGTTCAGTTCATTTAACTTTTTAAAATCCCATTTCCTTTCCAGATTTTAGGTTCAGAAATTTGAAATGCAAGACTGACCTGTGACTCTTTTAATCATGAATTTCAATTTAATGGAGTCAAACTCATCATATGTATTTACATATAAAAACCTAAATGCTTTACAAGCTTGGGAATCGAACTCCAAAATGTTAGAATAAGAATTTGATATCGGCTGTGGGTATGTCATACATAAATAGCTCTTATTATTTTGAGATACGTTCCATCAATATCTAGTTTATTGAGAGGTTTTAGCACGAAGGTATGTTGAATTTTATCAAAGGCCTTTTCTACATCTATTGAGATAATCATGTGGTTTTTGTCATTGGTTCTGTTTATGTGATAGATTACGTTTATTGATTTGCATATGTTGAACCAGCCTTGCGTCCCAGGGATGAAGCCCACTTGATTGTGGTGGATAAAGCTTTTTGATGTGCTGCTGGATTCAGTTTGTCAGTATTTTATTGAGGATTTTCGCATCAATGTTCATCAGGGATACTGGCCTGATATTTTCTTTATCTATTTTGTCTCATGCCAGGTTTTGGTATCAGGATAATGCTGGCCTCATAAAATGAGTTAGGGAGGAGCCCCTCTTTCTCTATTGTTTGGAATAGTTTCAGAAGGAATGGTACCAGCTCCCGCTTGTACCTCTGATAGAATTCGGCTGTGAATCTGTCTGGTCCTAGGCTTTTTTTAGTTGGTAGGCTATTAATTATTGCCTCAATTTCAGAACTTGGTATTGGTCTATTCAGGGATTCGACTTCTTCCTGGTTTAGTCTTGGGAGGGTGCATGTGTCCAGGAATTTATCCATTTCTTCTAGATTTTCTAGTTTACTTGCATAGAGTTGTTTATAGTATTCTCTGATGATAGTTTGTACTTCTGTGGGATCAGTGGTGATATCCCCTTTATAATTTTTTATTGTGTCTATTTGATTATTCTCTTTTCTTCTCTATTAGTCTTGCTAGTGGTCTATCAATTTTGTTAATCTTTTCAAAAAACCACCTCCTGGATTCATTGATTTTTCAAAGGGATTTTTGTGTCTCCATCTCCTTCAGTTCAGCTCTGATCTTAGTTATTTCTTGTCTTCTGCTAGCTTTTGAATTTGTTTGCTCTCGCTTCTCTAGATCTTTTAATTGTGATGTTAGGGTGTCGATTTTAGACCTTTCCTGCTTTTTTCTGTGGGCATTTAGTGCTGCAAATTGCCCTCTAAACACTGCTTTAGCTGTGTCCCAGAGATTCTGCTACGTTGTGTCTTTGTTCTCATTGGTTTCAAAGAACTTATTTATTTCTGCCTTAATTTCGTTATTTACCCAGTAGTCATTCGGGAGCAGGTTGTTCAGCTTCCACGTAGTTCTACGGTTTTGAGTGAGTTTCTTAATCATGAGTTCTAACTTGATTGCACTGTGGTCTGAGAAACTGTTATGATTTCATTCTTTTGCATTTGCTGAGGAGTGTTTTACTTCCAATCATGTGGTCAGTTTTAGAATAAGTGCAATGTGGTGCTGAGAAGAATGTATATTCTGTTGATTTGGGGTGGAGAGTTCTGTAGATGCCTATTAGGTCCGCTTGGTCCAGAGCTGAGTTCAAGTTCTGAATATCCTTGTTAATTTTCTGTCTCGTTGATCTGTCTAATATTGACAGTTGGGTTGGGCAAAAGCTGGAAGCATCCCATTTGAAAACCGGCACAAGACAAGGATGCCCTCTCTCACCACTCCTATTCAACATAGTATTGGAAGTTCTAGCCAGGCCAATCAGGCAAGAGAAAGAAATAAAGAGTATTCAAATAGGAAGAGAGGAAGTCACATTGTCTCTGTTTGCAGATGACATGACTGTATATTTAGAAAACCCCATCGACTCAGCCCAACATCTCCTTAAGCTGATAAGCAACTTCAGCAAAGTCTCAGGATACAAAATCAATGTGCAAAAATCACAAGCATTCCTATACACCAATAATAGACAAACAGAGAGCCAAATCATGAGTGAACTCCCATTCACGATTGCTACAAAGAGAATAAAATACCTAGGAATATAACTTACAAGGGATGTGAAGGACCTCTTCAAGGAGAACTACAAACCACTGCTCAAGGAAATAAGAGAGGACGCAAACAAATGGAAAAACATTTTATGCTCATGCATAAGAAGAATCAGTATTGTGAAAATGGCCATACGGCCCAAAGTAATTTATAGATTCAAGGTTATCCCCATCAAGCTACCACTGACTTTCTTCACAGAATTAGAAAAAACTACTTTAAATTTCACATGGAACAAAAAAAAAGAGCCCATATAGCCAAGACAATCCTAAGCAAAAAGAACAAAGCCGGGGGCATCATGCTACCTGACTTCAAACCATATTACAAGGCTACAGTAACCAAAACAGCATGGTACTGGTACCAAAACAGACATATAGACAAATGTAACAGAACAGAGGCCTCAGAAATAATGCCACACATCTACAACTATCTGATCTTTGACAAATCTGACAAAAACAAGTAATAGGGAAAGGATTCCCTATTTAATAAATGGTGTTGGGGAAACTGGATAGCCATATGCAGAAGACTGACACTGGACCCCTTCCTTATACCTTATACAAAAACTAACTCAAGATGGATTAAAGACTTAAACGTGAGTCCTAAAACCATAAAAACCCTAGAAGAAAACCTAGGCAATACCACTCAGGACATAGGCATGGGCAAAGACTTCATGACTAAAACACCAAAGGAATGGCAACAAAAGCCAAGATTGACAAAAGGGATCTACTTAAACTAAAGAGCTTCTGCACAGCAAAAGAAACTACCATCAGAGTGAACAGGCAACCTACAGAACGGGAGAAATTTTTTGCAATCTATCATCTGACAAAGGGCTAATATCCAGAATCTACAAGAACTTAAACAAATTTACAAGAGAAAAACAAACAACCCCATCAAAAAGTATATGAAAGATATGAACAGACACTTCTCAAAAGAAGACCTTTATGTGGCCCACAAACATATGAAAAAAAGCTCATCATCACTGGTCATTAGAGAAATGCAAATCAAAACCACAATGAGATACCATCTTGCGCCAGTTAGAATGACAATCACTAAAAAGCCGGGAAACGACAGATGCTGGAGAGGATGTGGAGAAATATGAACACTTTTACACTGCTGGTGGGAGTGTAAATTAGTTCAACCATTGTGGAAGACAGTGTGGCGATTCCTCAAGGATCTAGAATTACAAATACCACTTGACCCAGCAATCCTATTACTGGATATATACCTAAAGGATTATAAATCATTCTACTATAAAGACACATGCACACGTATGTGTATTGCAGCACTGTTCACAATAGCAAAAGTTTGGAACCAACCCAAATGCCCATCAATGATAGACTGGATAAAGAAAATGTGGCACATATACATCATGGAATACTATCCAGCCAAAAAAAGGATGAGTTCATGTCCTTTGCAGGGACATGGATGAAGCTGGAAACCATTATTCTCAGCAAACTAACACAGCAACAGAAAACCAAACAACGCATGTTCTCACTCATAAGTGGGAGTTGAACAATGAGAACACACGGTCACAGGGAGGGGAACATCACACACCAGGGCCTGTCAGGGGGTTGGGGGCTAGGGGAGGGATAGCATTAGGAGAAATACCTAATGTAGATGATGGGTTGATGGGTGCAGCAAACCACTATGGCACGTGTATACCTATGTAACAAACCTGCATATTCTGCACATGTATCCCAGAACTTAAAGTATAATTTAAAAAAAAAAAGAAAGAAAGGAAAAGATTTTGAAGTGTTCTCAGACAGGAACTGAGAATAATAATAATGGAGCAATTCCCCTGGATCACATCTTCCCCTCCTTCCTTTTGCATCCTAGTCCTAGAATATTCATGACTATAGTTTTGAAATACAATGAGAACATATAGGTTGAAGGAGAAAACATATCCGAGAGAAGGAGAAAAGACTGAAGGAAATAAATGGAAGGAAGTACTCCAGCCTCGTTCATATGACCAGCATCCAATACGATGCATGGCCCACAGCAGACACTCCATGTTTGCTGAATATAAGAAGCTGAACAGCCCTGCTGGGAATGTACAGCCAACATTTGATTCAGCGACATCTTATTTTCTTATCTCCTAAGCTTCAATATATTATCAATCTTATCCTCCTCTGGTTGACAATCTTTCTTCAAAATATGCTTACACATTAAATATGATTATTGGCCAATTTTACTATTCTGGGAGCCATTCTGACAATATAAGTTTATATGTTGATTTCACAGCTTTGTCTTCTGATTTTCTTTTTTGAATTTCTAATTTTCGGTGTGCACCTCACTTTTGCTCTCCTATACTGCCCATGTGAGAAAATGGTATCTGTTTCCTCATATTGCTATGAGGAATATATCATGTAATGTAAACAAAGTACATGACATGTAGTAGGCTTTAAATAAATATTTGTCTAAAAGGATCGTAAATCTGAGGCATGCGTGCTGGAAATTTCTTGTGTCTGAAATAGGAGATCAATTGCTAAATGATCATGATACTCTTTCTTACTGAGATGAAACACACCCAGATTTCTATTCAGTACAACCACCGCCAATTGAAGAAAAATAGAAATTCAAATCTTATTTGCCATCCTCATTCCAAACTATGCAACCCATGGCATGATTCTGGGCTATTGCTGAAGTGAGTGGTCATCCCAGTTCCAACTCTGTTTTTAGTGAATATAGTATAATAAGTCTAGTAATCAAGCATTAGAGACACAGGGCCTCACTCTCCCACCCTGGCTGGAGTGCAGAGGCGTAATCATGGCTCACTGCAGCCTCAACCTTCCTAGCTCAATCAGTTTTCCTACCTCAGCCTCCTGAGTAGCTGGGACTACAGGTGCACACCACCACACCCAGCTAATTTTTGTACTTTCTGTAGAGAAGGGGTTTTGTCATGTTGCCCAGGCTGCTCTTGAACTCCTGGACTCAAGTAATCCACCTGCCTCAGTCTCCCAAAGTGCTGGAATTACAGGCATGAGCTACTGCTCCTGGCTGTCATCTTACATTGTACTTATATTTATACCCTTTATATACCATGATAAAAATTCTTCTCAGATTTCTGGAAGATGAAAGAACTGGCACACTGTTTAAGACAGATAAGTAGGCCTTTTCAAGGGTGACACAGCCTCTTTGTTTTAAGGGACTAGAAGAAATGTAACCAGGATACAGCTGGATTCAAGTCCAACCAACCAGTGTGTTTCCCTCGAGTGAATTGGTAAATATCAGTCTCCCAGTCAGCCTTCTTGACAAAGTAGAAAATCTTTGTGTCAGTCTCTAGGGTGAGGCATGGAGAGTGAATGTATGCTTTAGATAGAAATTGAAATGAAAAAGAATGCAAAGTTGTATTAGACTATGAGTACAATTATGTAATGAATGCACATAGCAAAAAAAGACTGGATGGAAATACATTAAAATAAAGATTGTGGTCTCTCTTAGGATGAAGTTATAGATAATCTTTTTCTTTTTTGATTTTCTATAATTTTTTCACAATAACATTAAAAATAATGAGGTAACTGTTTCACATTCTATACTTTTCTAAATAAAGAGAACACAAGAATAGAGCAAACAGGGCTCTCTCAATTTGTAAGGGACTGAAGTAGAGAGAACAGGCAAGTAAGCAATGAGCATTTTATTCATTTCCTGATTCTTGACTATGTACAGAAAGAAAGACAAACTCATCTAAAGGCAGCCACATGTCAAAATAATAAAACAATGAGACTTCCATATTCCCCAGGAAGAGAAGGTCTTGGCTACCTCCAAAAGAGTTAAAACTAAGCATTGGTTCTCTAACTGTACTATTTTAGCCTCTCTCTCTCTCTCTCTCTCTCTCTCTCTCTCTCTCTCTCTCTCTCACTCTCTCTCTCTCTGTGTGTGTGTGTGTGTGTGTGTGTGTGTGCATGTGTATGTGTACGTTTTGAACTCAGAGGTAAGTATGAATGATCTGGAATCAGAGTCTGTTCTTTGCATAATCTGGTTTTATCCAGAGGTACATGATAAAGTTATCACACCTGTGAAGAACTGAAAGTTTGTGTATCCTCTTCAAATACTCAGATATTGACTGTTTTGAAAAGACTCATTTTAATCTGGCCAACACTGTAACATGTTACAGAGATCTCAGCTTCCAAAAAAATAGTCATAATAATAATAAGGAAAAACAAAAGACTGTTGTCCTTTCATTGTAATATGTTGGAAGAGATGTATGCTTTGAAATGAAGCATTTACTAAGAGAACTCTGAACACTGTGTCACTATGAGGAAGCCGTCTTGTTTATCTACAAGGGCCCTGTGTAGCCAGGTGCATTACTAGCTATTTCCAGAAACTTGGTGTCTGAATTGGAAATAACGTTAGAATTTTTTTTCTCTCAGAAGCTATAGTTTTCACTCCTCTAATTACTAGTGAAATGTTGTATCAAAGCCAAAACTGTGATCTCTTCTTCAGTTGAAAATTCATTTCCATCCTGTGACACCTGTGACATTGTGACATTGTATTTTTCTTTTTCTTCTTTTTTTTTTTTTTTTTTTTTTTTTTTGGAGACAAGACTCGGTCTGTCACCCAGGCTGGAGTGCAGTGGCGCCATCTCGGCTCACTGTAAGCTCCGCCTCCCGGGTTCATACCATTCTCCTGCCTCAGCCTCCCGAGTAGCTGGGACTACAGGCACCCGCTACCACGCCTGGCTAATTTTTTTGTATTTTTAGTAGATACGGGGTTTCACCGTGTTAGCCAGGATGGTCTCGATCTCCTGACCTCGTGATTCGCCCACCTCGGCCTCCTAAAGTGCTGGAATTACAGGCGTGAGCCACCACGCCCGGCCTGACATTGTATTTTTCATTCATCTTCTTTAGAAGAACTGCCTTAGAAATCTCCCTCATGTTGATTTTGAATACTTTTCATTTTCTCCGTATCTTCTGAAAATACAGATTTGCATATTAACACAGCATATACCCCCTTTGACTTGCATGCAGTTTGCCATTTGACACTGCAAAATGGGATTGAATTGATCTTGTCTCTTGATGAGAATTTTACTGACAGATTTCCTGTGAGAGTTCACTGCCCATTCTTTCTGCCTGGTCCAGCTCACTCGCTTCTTAATCCTTTGCTTTCTTGATTTCCCGGATGTCAAGCCCTTCCTGCTCACAATCACTCCAAAATCAAACTTGCTCTTAAATGTTTTGTTCTGATTTCAACTTCCTTGACTATCTGTCACATTTCTTAATGTTAGTCATTCCTTTTACTTCCTTACCTCCTTTAAGAGCCCCTTATCATCTGCCTGCACTCTAAATATAGAAAAGCTCAAAAGTTGTGCCTTGTCTTTTTTCTTTACATGCCTGCTTCCTTGATAGCCTAAGCTACTATCACCTTCCTCTGACTGCCTCCCTTAACTGTATATTTGGTTGCATTGTTTTTCACTCGTGATGATGTACTTCAAATTTAATAAGTGGCTTCACCTCAAAGTGCCTTATTCCAAAAGGAGATCATTATCTCCTCACCTAAATTAACTCATAATCCTAAATTTCCTATTTTCATTTGTGACAACACAATTTTTTTAGGGATCTAGGCTCAAACGTAAATGATATTTGGTATCTCGTTCTTTCTGGCCCTGAACATCTAGACAGTTGTGAGGTATTGCTAATTCTATATGGCAGTATTATCTGAATTTTCCCCTTCTACATTTTCCACACTGGTTTATATTTTCCTTCTATCCCAAGGATCATTACAATGAGCTCCTCTTAGTCTCAGTGTTGCCTGCCACAAGAATCTTCCTTAAGTTGTGGCTTCATGCCAGTGCCTGCTCACATCATTCATGGGTTTGGGGGTCAACCTGCTCCACTTGCTGCACCTGCACCGGCACACACCACTGTGAGATCCTGAGTAGAGGCCTGTGCTGCCCACTACTGCCAGTGTTTATTCATGTCACCCAGGGGTCTGGGGATCAACCTGCGCCCTGCCCACCTGTGTGCAACATTTGGGGGCTGAGGACCTGCTTGCCCCACCATGGCCACCGCTGCCAGTGACTGCGTGTGTCATCTGGGTCAAGAAAGCAAGCTTGCCCTGCCCACTACCACTGACACCTATGCCTGAGTGCACTGTCCAGGGGCCTGGGGATTGATCTTCCCTGCCCACTACAGCTGATGCCTGCACAAACCATCAGGGGAGTCTGAAGACACCCTCCCAACACTGCCACCAGCACATATGTGTGTTGTCTGGGGACCTGGAAATGGACGTGCTCCATCCACCACTGCCAGCACCCATGTGCACTATCCAGGGGCCTGAGAACGGGCTCACTCCACCCACTACAACCAGCACCCAAGTGCACTATCCACTCTCCTAGAGATTGATCCACCCCACCTGCCACCACTGGTGCTCATGCATACAATCTGGGGACTTGAAGACAGGCCTACTCTACCCACCATCACCAACAAGGGTACCCGAGGATTAGCTCACCTGGCACCTTTGTCCCTAGCACAGCCTCACCATAGTATCAATAAATAATTGCAGTCTAGACCACTGAGGAACTCATAGGACCACTGATGCTGATTACAGCCAGAGAAATACAGAGACTGCTGTGTCCACTCAGAGTCAAAGCCAAAGCACCCAACCAAACCAACACTATATATATATAGTGTTGACTTTATATATATATATATATATATATATATATATATATATATATGAAAAACTCTCTCCCTGCAAAAGACTGCCACACCAGATACATAGATTTCATGTAATAACACACACACACAAACACACAAAACATGTAAAAAGCAAGGAAACATAAAACCTCCAAAAGAACTCACTAAGTCTCCAGTAACAGATCTGAAAGAAAAGGAAATTTGTGAAATGCCCAGAAAAGAACTCAAAATAATGATATTAAGGAAGATTAGTGAGATACAAGAGAACACAAGTAAACAATACCAAAAAATCAGAAAAACAATTCATGATCTGAATGAGAAATTACACAAAGAGGCAGATATCATAGAAATGAACCAGACAGAAATCCTGGAACTGAACAACTGAATGAATAAAATAAAAAATACAATTGAGTGCTTCAACAATAGACTAGATCAAGCAGAAGAAAGAATGTCTGAACTTGAAGACAGGTCTTTTGAAGAACACAGTCAGACAGGAAAAAAAAAAAAAAAAAACAAGGAAAGCCAACATTGACATATGGGACCCTATAAGGCAAAGAAATATTTGAATTCTGAGAGTTCTAGAAGGAGAAGAGGTGGCCAAAGGCACAGAAAACATATTTAATAAAATAATAGCTAAAAATTTCTCAAATCTTTCGAGAGAGATAGATATTCAGATACAGAAAGCTAAAGAATCCCTAAATAGGTTCAATCCAAAAAGGCCTTCTCCAAAGCACATTATAGTCAAACTGTCAAAACAGTTTGACAACAGACAAAGAGAAGATTCTGAAAACAGGAAGAGATAAGCATGAAGTCACATATAAGGGAGTCCTCATCATACTAACAGTAGATTTCTCAGCAGAAACTTTACAGGCCGGAAGAAAATGGGATGATGTTTTCACAGTGTTTAAAGAAAAAACTGTCAGCCATAAAGTTTCTCAGACAAGCAAACTGAGGAATTCATTATGACTAGAATTACCCTACAAGAAATGCTTAAGGGAGTCCTATATCTGGAAGTGAAAGATGATCTTTACCATCACAAAAACACATTAACATATAAAACTCACTGGTAGGGCAGACACACAAATGAGAAATAGAAGGGAGTCAAACTTTACCACTACAGAAAACCACCAAACTGCAATGATAAACACATGAGAAGAAGAAAGGAACAAAGGATACACAAAACACCCAGAAAACATTTAATAAAATGACAGGAATATGTCCTCACATACCAATAATAGCCTTGAATGAAAACAGATTAAATTCCCTACTTAGGAGATACCGACAGATTAAATTCCCTACTTAGAAGGCATCCCAACTATATGCTGCCTATACGAACACTCACTTCACTTGTAAAGATACATATAGACTGCGAGTGAAAGGACTGATAAAGATATTTCATGCAAATGGAATCCACAAGCCAGCAAAAGTAGCTATACTTACATCAGATAAAACAGGCTTCAAGTCAAAACCCATAAAAAGTGACAAAGAAGTTTATTATATAATGATAATGGTATCAATTTAATACAACAATTTTAAATATATATGTACACAAGCCAGAGCACCCAGATATACAAAGCAAGTATTATTAGACCTAAAGGGAGCAATAGATGCTAATATAGTAATAGTTGGGAAATTCAACACCTCACTGTCAGCTTGGACTGATAATCTAGATGAAAATCAACAAACAAACACTGGATTTAAACTGCACTATAGACCAAATGGACTTAACAGATATTTACAGAACATTTCATCCAATAGTGGCAGGAAACACATTCTTCTCACAAACACATGGAACATTCTCTAGGTCACGCTTGGGCACAAAACAAGCCTCAAAAAATTTTTAAAAATCAAAATCATATCAACTATTTGTTTGTTTGTTTGTTTGTTTGAGACAGTCTTGCTCTGTCGCCCAGGCTTGAGCGCAGTGGCGAGATCTTGGCTCACTGCAACCTCCGCCTCCCGGGCTCAGGTGATTCTCCTGCCTCAGTCTCCTGAGTAACAGGGATTACAGGCATGCACCACCATGCCCAGCTAATTTTTGTATTTTTAGTAGAGATGGGGTATCACCATGTTGTCCAGGCTGGTCTTGAACTCCTGACCTCAGGTGATCTGCCCACCTCAGCCTCCCAAAGTGCTAGGATTACAGGCGTGAGCCACTGTGCTCGGCCCAAGTATTTTCATGCACTACGATGAAACAAAAGTAAAAATCAATAACAAAAGGAACTTTGGAAACTGTACAAATACATGAAGATTAAACAACATGGCTCTGAATGACCACTGGGTCAAGGAAGAAATTAAGGAGGAAATCAAAAAGACTGAAACAAATGAAAATGAAAACACAACATAACAAAACCTACAGGATACAGCAAAAGCAGTCCTAAGAGAGAAGTTTATAGCAATGAATTCCGACATCAAAAAAGTAGAAAGGTTTCAAATAAACTACCTAGCAATTTCAAATAAATAACCTTAAATAACTAGAAAAGCAAGAACAAGCCAAACCCAAAGTTAGGAGAAGAAAAGAAATAATAAAGATTACTGCAGGACTAAATGAAATGGAGACTTAAAAACAATACAAAGGATTAACAAAACAAAAAGTTGGCTATTTGAAAAGATGAACAAACTTGAAAGACCACTAGCTAGACTGACCAGGAAAAGAGAGAAAACATAAATCATAAATGAAATCATATATGAAAAATGAGGCAATGAAATACAAATGATCATTAGAGACTAACATAAGCAACTATTAATACACACTAACAAATTGGAAAACCTAGAGGAAAAGGATAAGTTCCTGGGCACATACAACCTACCAAGATTGAATCAGGAAGAAACACAATATCTGAATAGATCAATAATACAGAATGAGATGGAGTCGCAATAAAAAGTCTTCCCACAAAGAAAGCCCAGGACGGAATGGCTTTGCTGCTGAATTCTACCAAACTTGCAAAGAAGAATACCAATTCTTCTCAAAGTATTTCAAAAAGTGAAGGTAAGAGAATTCTTCCTAACTCATTCTATGGAGCCAGAATTATCCTGACACCAAAACCAGAGAAAGACACAACAAAAAAAGAAAACTACAGGCCAACGTGCCTGGTGAACATAAATGCAAAACTCCTCAACAAAATACAAGCAAGCCAAATCCAACAACTCATCAGAAAGATAATACATCATGAACAAGTGGAATTTATTTCAGAGATACAAGTATGGTTCAACATACATAAATCAATGAATGTGATATAGCACATCAACAGAATGAATGTCCAAAACCACATGATCATATCAATAGATACAGAAAAAGTATTTGCTAAAATTTAACATCACCTCATAATAAAAATTTTCAAAAATTAGGCATAGAAGGAACATAACTCAACATAATAAAGGACATATATGGCAAACCAACAGCTAACATCATACTGAATGGGCAGAAACTGACAGCCTTTCCTCTAAGAACTGGAAAAAGACAAGTAAGTTTACTTTCAACACTTTTTTTTTTTTTTTTTTTTTGAGACAGAGTCTAGCTCTGTCGCCCAGGCTGGAGTGCTGTGGCGTGTTCTCGGCTCACTGCAACCTCCAGCTCCTGGGTTCAAGCGATTCTCCTGCCTCAGCCTCCCAAGCAGCTGGGATTACAGGTGCTCGTCACCACACCCAACTAATTTTTGTATTTTTAGTATAGATGGGGTTTTCACTGTGTTGGCCAGGCTGGTTTCAAACTCCTGACCTCATGATCCACCCGCCTCAGCCTCCCAAAGTGCTGGGATTACAGGCGTGAGCCACAGTGCCCAGCCTCCCCACTCTTATTCAATATACTACCGGAAGTCCTAGCCAGGGCAATCAGGGAAGAGAAAGAAATAAAAGGCATCCACACTGGAAAAGAAGGAAACTGCCCCTCTTTGCAGACAACATGATCTTATATAGAGAAAAACATAAAGACTTTACCAAAAAACTCTTAGAACTGATAAATGAATTCAGTAAAGTTACAGAATAGAAAATCAACACATAAAAATCAGTAGCATTTATATAAACCAAACACAAACTGGCTGAAAATGGGACACGAAGCTGTCCCATCTACAACAGTTACTCCCCACCCCCAAAATACCTAGGAATGAATTCAAACAAGGAGGTGAAAAACTTCTACAACGGAAAGTACAAAACACTGATACAAGAAATTGAAGAGGACAAAAACATGGAAAGACATCTCATGCTCATGGATTGGAAGAATTAATATTGTTAAAATGACCGCATTACCCAAAGCAATGTACAGATTCAATGCAATCCCTAACAAAATAACAATGACATTCTTCAGAGAAATAGAAAAACAATCCTAAAATTTGCATAGGACCACAAAGACCCCAAACAGCCAAAGCAATCCTGAGCAAAAAGAACAAAGCTGCAGGCATCAACTATCTGACTTCAAAATATACTACAAAGCTATAGTAACCAAAACAGCATGGTATTAGTATAAAAATGAACACAGGCCAATGAAAGAGAATAGAGAATGCAGAAATAAATCCAGGCATTTACACTCAACGGATTTTTGACAAAGGTACCATGAATGTACATTGGGGAAATTACAGCTTCTTCAATAAATGGTTCTGGGAACTGCGTACTTATATGCAGAAGAATAAAACTAGATCCCCAGCTCTCACCATATACAAAAGCCATTAAATTGAACTAAATGAATTAAAGACTTAAATGTAAGCCCTGAAACTATAAAACTACTAGAAGAACACATTTGGGAAATGCTTCAGGACACTGGCCTAGGCAAAGATTTTATAGCCACTCTTTAAAAGCACAGGGAACAAAAACAAAAATATACAAATGGGACTATGTTAAACTAAAAAGCTTCTGCAAAGCAAAGGAGACAATCACAGATTGAAGAGTGAAGTTGTCGAATGGGAGAAAATACTTACAAACATTCATCCAACAAGGGACTAATATACAGAATATACAAAGAACTCAAACAACTCAACAGCAAATAACCAAATAATCACATTAAGAAGTGTGATTATGTCAAAGGATTTGAATAAATATTTCTCAAAAGAAAATATACAAATGGCCAGCAGGTATATGAAAAAATGCTCAACATCCTAATCATTAAGGAAATAAAAATCAAAACTGTAGTGAGACATCATCTCACCTCACAATGGCTACCATCAAAGAGACAAAAACTAATGAAGGCTGATGAGGATGTGGAGAAAAGGGAACTCTTATACACTGTTAGTGGGAATGTAAATTAGCACAGCCATTGTGGAAAACAGTATAGAGGTGTCTCACAAAACTGATCCAGCAATGCCACTCCTGTGCATTTTTTCAAGGAAAATAAGTATATCAAACAAATACCTGCACTTTCATGTTTACTATAGCATTATTCACAATATCCATTACATGGAATCAACCTAAGTGTCCATAAATGAATGAATAAAGAAAATATGGTGTGTATACATACGCAATGGAATACTAAAATGAAATCCTGTCATTTGCAGCAAGATGAATGGGTCTGGAGATCATTACGTTAAGTAAAATAAGCCAGGCACAGGAAGACAAATATTGTATGTTCTCACTCATATGTGGGAGCTAAAAAAGTTGATCTCATGGAGGTAGAGAGTAGAATGATGGATACTAGAGGCTGAGAAGAATGAGCAAAAAGGGATGAAGAGAGGTTAAAGGATACAAACATACAGTTAGATGGAAGAACTCAGTTCTAGTGTTAGACAGCACAGTAGGCTGACTATAGTTAATAATAATTTATTGTATATTTCAAAATAGCTAGAAGAGTTGAAATGTTCCCATCACAAAAATATATGTTTGAGGTGATGAATATGCTAATTATCCCAATTTAATCATTAAATATTGCATGCATGTATTAAAACATCACTTGCACCCTGTGAATATGAACAATGATTATGTATCAATTTTTAGAATTGATTTTTGTTGAAAGTGTGGCCTTGACCATGACACATTCCTTGCTCAAAAACATTCAATGGCTCCCCATTCTCCAACAATGTAGGAGCTAATACTTCAGACTTGCACAGAAGCACACATAGCTTTCTAGACTCATGTCCCAACACCCTAGGTACACCTCATATTGTGGTAAATTAACACTAGCATGTTTTTGTTTCTGTACTATCCATGTCTTCTCATTTTGCTAATCCTCTTCCATTCATCTGAAATATCCTTCCTGGTTATATCAATTTCTGGAAATCTTATTCATCCTATTAGGTCCAGCTCACTTTCTTCATAAGCCTTTCCTGACCCCACTGGACCACACATCTGCCATTTTTCCTATTTTGTTGACTATTCTGCCTTTTACTATTGCATCTGTGTGCTTTATTGATCAGAAGTGTATCATCAGAAGATGGGGGATTGATTCCCAGCCTAACTGACATACTTAGGGCAAGCCCATAACCCCTTTGAGCCTTGGTTTCTTCATTAATTAGATACATATAATATTTTAGTATAACAGTGATTAAGATTTGGGGATCTGGAGGCAGATAGACTTGGATGTGAGTTTTAACTTTTGCACTGCAATAATGCTTGTAGTGGCCTTATCTATAAAATGGAGATGTGAAAATGATCTACCAGCTACGCTAAGGGTTAAATGAGACAATGTGGAAAACTCTTAGCATAGTGCCTGGCACATGGTAAATGGTTACTAAATATTGCCATCACTAGGATTGTCATTAATTCCTTCAAAAGATTATGATAAACATGTGAAGTAGGACAAAAGCACTCCGATAGCATCAAGGTCCCTACAAACATAGGTTATGATCAACTCTGTAAACGTCGGCTGGAATACAGGATAGGGCAGCAGTTACGGGATCTGTATTCAAATCAGAATGCAGAATGTAGACATGCATGCTGCTATAAACCACAATAGACTGTGTAAATATAAAACACCATCATTAGGTCAGACTCTGTTCCATCTTTATCTCTGAATCTTCTGAGATGGTATGGCACAGTGGAAAGAGGAGAGCCTGGGATTTTATAAATGCCAGAGCAACAAACTCTTGAGTCTCAGGGTTTTTATCTGTAAACTACAGCTAACCACATCCATTGCAGATATTAAACAGGGTGATTATGAAATTCTTACAATAGTATTTGGCATAAAGCAGCTGCTCCATAAAGGTTAGATTTATTTCCCTTATTTCCTCCTTTTACCAAAAGTGCCTCACGTCTAGTACGTATTTAACAAATATTTGTTGAAGCTAATTAAACTTAAAAAATACTAAGAGTATTTGCCTAGAATAAGTGTATTTGTCACAGGAGGATTGGTGCCTTGTCTACTATCAGACTGACTCCTGGAGAAGCCAAAGTAGTTCCTAAGATTTATTTTTTATTTTTAAATAAATTGTATTGATTTGAAAATAAAAACGTTTTATAAAATCTGGGTTGTATAAGAAAGCTTGTTTTTTGAAGGAGAGACATAAATCAAAGCAAGAATTAAAAGGAAACAATATACTGGCACTCCAGAGTAGCTCCAAAGGCTCTTGCTATGTAATGGCCAGATGTAGAGCAAGGAAATTTTCTCTGTTTTTCTATGTGAATCCAGCAAAACAAACCTCAAAGCAAATGTTCTTTCCTCTACAGGCAAATCATAACAATGTATTGAGAGATTGCTGCATCCTAAGTGTTTCACATGTGATAATTCATCTAATCCCCAAACTGCCCCATGAGGTAGATACTACCATCCCCATATCAGAGATTATGAAAATAAGGCACGGAGAGTTTAAGTGTATTGTCCAGGGTCACACAGCTAATAAGTGGCAGAGCCAGGTTTGGAATCTTAGTTCTAGAGAACCTTCTCGTAACTGTTACATACAAAGGATATATTTAGTGACATATTTTAGAAAGCACTAATGTAGTGGTTACACTGACCATAGCTGAACATCTCAATTGTTATGGATTGATACATGGATGCAAATTCCCATTTGACATGAAGCCCTACTGAATCAAATTCTGGTGAGTCCTGGCTGTGGGTACTTTCAGAAGCATCTGTGGAAATGATGTAAGGGTGGAGGAGAATGGCCCTAAAGCTTGGCATGCTGAGGCTAGAGCGAGAAGAGTCTGTGGCCACAATATATCTCTGAAGGTGGTTCTGAGAGTCCCATTTCCTCTTGCGGGCTTCCCCTAGAAACATGAAGGCATCTGAAATCTAGACCAACTTACCACATGCCCGCATCCTCTCAATGTGCAATAGTCACGCGCTCTGCAGCACTTGTAAGGGACTGAAGTCACAGCGCACAGAGTAAAAGGCCACCTTGGGCACTCTTATTATGCCCACATAAACCTTCTACTAGTGCTTGTACCAGCCAAAAAGGCCATGCCAGGTCCCTGAGAAATTCGCAGAATTCAGAAACCGACTACAGATGCTGTAAGGTGTACTTCTACAGAGGGCTGCCACCAAACAATCCCCCTCCTTGACTGTCTTTTCAGCTAGATGGCTCTGAGTGCTTTTCTGCTGGTTTGGGTGCCTTTTTCTCAGGGGGTGGGGAGCAAAACTGGAAAGGGTACTCATTTCTATATTGCTGCTTGCTGCTACAAAGAGGCAAAGTTGAGGGTAACTGCCAACAGCTTCCCCTTTCTCTTCTTTTTCCTCACTGCATCTGTCTGGACCAATGCACAAGGAAAAAAGGCAGCCAGAATGGCCCTCCAAAGTTACTCTGATTTAAAGCTGATAAAGGATGTGTTTTCCACAGCTTAAGAGAAAAATATATTATAAAGTACCTAAGCAATTAAACAAATGTTATTTGTAAACATCTGCCGTCCAGCACTGTTGCCTGTGTTCAAACAAAGCCTCACAGTCTCTTTGGCAAACCAGAGTGAGAAAAGCTGGGTGCCATTTGCTGAATGAACTCTTCCAGATTACAATTCTGTGGCCTGGGGGAATTAATTCAAATCCACATTGGGAAATTAATTCCCAGAGAGGCAGTTAGTCCCTAAAAGAACAACCAAAGAAACGAGGACCTAGAATAAAGTTGGCAGTAATTCAACAAACATTTTATTAACCTCTACTAAACCATATTTATTATTTATGGCCAAATCACAGAATCCTGAAGTTAGAGACTCCAAGGAGAAAATGACACTCCTGGCTGAGAATGACTTCTGTCTCACAGCGCCAGTGCATCTTCTCCAGTTCCTCCAATTGATACCAGCGAAGATGCACCTAAAGATGGAAACTCAGTAGTATCAATGCCCAAAATACATAATCTGGGGGGAAAACACCACTAGTACCTCAAAAGGCAGACTCCAGGTTTGAATTCTGGCTCTACTACAGAATAGCCGGTGACCTTAATTTTCTTACCTGGAAAATAGAGATAATAAGGGATGATTTCATAGTCCTGAGGATTTGAGGAGGTAATGCCTGTAAGGCTCTCAGTACCATGCATGGCATTTAATAAGAAGTCAGTAAATGTCAGCTACTAGTAGTATAGTTTCATGGTTGTTGTTGTTAGTATAAAACAGGATTTTCCCCATTGTCCTGGAATTGCAGCAAATGCATAAACTGATGGCACAAAATGTTCTAGGTTTACGGCAAGGTGCCGGTTTCCATCTTCCCCAACTCCAACACCAGCCAACCTATTAAAATTAAGGAAAAACTGGCAAAGGTGTGTTGCCTGTGAGTGAATATTCATAAGAAGAGTCTATAACCTCCCTTTTCCCATGGGGGAGGATACCTGATGCTTCTCCTCAAAGCTAAGGGAGAAAGACCCTAAAAGAAATTCTAGCTAAGTTCTGTAGGTTCACCAAACCCTCACTTTTCATTAACCAAGAGATTAATGGTCATCTTTCCTCTGAAAGCTGGTAAGGCACCAGGCCTGTTGAGTATGTGTTGTATTGTTTGGTCTTGGAGAAATGAGTGAGGAAGAGATGGTGGAGTTGAGAGAGCTGGCTGAGAAGCTGCTTACATTTCCACTGTTTTCATAGAAAGAATAAAATTTCCACGAGCTGGGTGGATACCACCTAGGGGAGGCTGAACATTTTTCATTTCACCTATACCTCAATAAAGAGCCTCACCTACCATGCAAAAGCATCCCAGCTACAAGATGTTGCCGGGTGGACTGTCTTTCACTGGAGTCAAAGGAGAGGAAAGAGGTCAAGTGGAAGCCTGATCCCTCAAATCAAGGGATCTGCAGAGGGGAGTATCTTTTGTCTCTCCCAGCATTCTCCAGAGAGATGATTAAAGAGCCAGTAAGAGGAAACTAACCACACAGAAGATGTCAACAGTCAGCTGGTGCCGGTAAGAGAAGCAGAAACAGCCAATAGGGAAGAACCTGGCTCTTGTCCTTTGGCCTCTTCCTCTTTCCTACTTGAATCTCTGCATGAGAAAGCAGCTCTGGAGTTTCAACTCTAGTCTGACTTAGGTGTAGGAGTGAAACAGGGCTTTGAATTGTACAAAAGATTAAAATTAGGCCGGGCGCAGTGGCTCATGCCTGTAATCCCAGCACTTTGGGAGGCCGAGGCGGGTGGATCACCTGTGGTCAGGAGTTCGAGACCAGCCTGGCCAACATGGTGAAACCCCTTCTCTACTAAAAACACAAAAATTAGCTGGGCGTGGTGGTAGGTGCCTGTAATCCCAACTACTCGGGAGGGTGAGGCAGGAGAATCGCTTGAACCCGGGAGGCGGAGGTTGCAGTGAGCCAAGATTGCGCCACTGCACTCCAGCCTGGGCGACAAGAGCGAAACTCTGTCTCAAAAAAAAAAAAAAAAAAAGATTAAAATTAAACATGAGCAAGGCTTAACTATCAGAATAAATGTTTTGATAAAGAAAAGTGACTGAAAAACATTACAGAATCTAAGCAAAATGTCATTAAGGGAGCCATCATCCAGTAGCACAAATGGGAGTTAACAGGGCACAATTATTTACAAAAACAGCTTTATATCTTTGCTCCAATGGGTTGAGATTCCTCAATAAAGTATAGATGATGATGGTGGTGGTAATGATGATGATGATTAGTTATAAGGCTGACGGAACAAGATCTTTTAAAAAGTATCTACAGAGGCTTCAATTCACAATCAACTCTGGCTTTATTTCATGTAACAGAAGCAGCCTGAGAAAAAGCATAAAGGATTCCATATGTTTCCACAATGAGCCCACTGACTCAGATGATCAAGCCGATATCAGTGAGGAAAATGGAGTACTATCCCTCGTGACCCATGAGAAATTGCTCTATAAAAACAAATTTATCCTATAGTAGTCCTCCTCATCATCCTCTTGCAACCAAGCAGGTAATACAATAAAAATACAAAAAAAAAAATTATGGCTCATAAATTAGAGAAGAAGCTGTGATGCTGTATGACATCTGCAGCACACATTCATAAAGCACTGGGGTAGGGGTCAATGAATGAGCCTCAACAGAAGTGCTCTCTAGTCATTGTACTTCTCCGTGCCCTCTCTTGGCTCAAACTGCCAGAGATAAACACATAATGAAGAAAAGGAGAGGCAACTGCAACTGCATTACTGTTTGAAAAGTAATGGAGGCTCCTGTAACAAGAAAGAATTGGAGAAAATGTATGAAACCACCATTCTCACACATTGGCTGACAGGTGGTATAGTACTACTATAATCCCTGAAAAAAAGGAAAATAAATGAGGTGACTCCTGAAATTCCCTTAGATTTCTGTTTGCAGTCACTTGGTAGACCATTGTATAAGAGGGGAATCCAAGCAGAGTAGTAGTTTCACTGAATTGAAGACACGGAGGCTGGAGTTTTCAGGGCACATAACCACAAAGGAAGGTATCCTGCAGAGCAAAAGTTTCAGAAATCTTCATGAGATCTCCAAGACTGTTGTTGGATACAGAGCCACACTTGAGTAGGATGAGACTGCAAGGCTGAACAAAAAAAAATTACTGCGAAATTGGGAGCTGAACAATTTTCAGAGTTCACACAGGGTTGGAGACATTCAAATTGAACACATGCCTTAGTTATAGGATAAAACTAAAACTAGGTTTTATTATACTTGAAGTAGCATAGCCTTTTCGACAAAAGTTAAAAACAAGTCTCAGAATGATCAAGCTGATTTGCAAGTAATTCAACTATCAAAACGAAGTCCAATACTTTTAAAGGCAAGTGCAAAAGCAGTCACTCCAAAATGCTAAATTAAAACAATCCAGCATCCAACTAAACTTTACTAAATATGGGAAGAAGCAAGGATATGTGACCATGATGAGGAAGAAAGTTAGTCAATAAAAACAGATGCAAAAATGACAGATGATGGAATTAACAGACAAGGAGCTTAAAACACAGCTGTTATAACCATGTTTAAGTATTTAAAGAAAAACATGTATATAATTAAAAGAGAAATGAATGATATAAAGAAAAACTAAATATGACTTCTGGAGATGAAAAATACAATATCTAAAATGAAAATTTCACGGTTAGCAGCAGGGTTAGCAGCAGATTAGACACTGCAGAGGAAAAGAGAGTGAACATGAAACATAGAAACTATTCAAACAAAAGGACAGGCAGAAAAAAAGCCTTGGAAAATATGAACTGAGTCTTAGTAAGCTAGGTGACAATACTAAGTCATATTACTTGTGTTTAGGAGTAAGGAATTGGACAAAATATTTGAAGTTATAACAACCAAAGTTTTCCAAATCTGATGAAAATAATAGACTCAAATTTAAACTCAAGTAGATAATCACAATGAAAACCACACCAAGACACATCATACTTAAACTACTAAAAACCAGAGATAATGGGACTATTTCTAAAATGGAGAAAAATGACATATTGAATAAAAGAAAAAAATTTCACAGACTTCTCACCAGAAAATATAAATACCAGAAAATAATAGAATGGAAGGGGCTGAATGTGGGGAGGGGACAAACTCCACCAACCTCAAATTCTATATTCAACAAAAATATGCTTCAGAAATGAGGGTGAAAGAAAAATTTTTCAGACAAACAGATGCTGAGCAAATTTATCATCAGCAAGCCTGAATCACAAGAAATGTAAAAGGAAATTCTCAGACAGAAGGATAAAGATGCTACATGAAAACTAGGATCTACAAAAGGAACGAAGAGCACCAGAAATGATAAACATATGGGGAAATTTGAAAGATATTTTTCCTACTTTTAAATTTTTTAAAAAGATAACTGACTGGCAAAAGAAAAGTAATAATAATGTATCAGGAAGTTTATAACACATATATCAGAAAAATATACAACAATATGCAATAGAACAAAGGGGGAAATAGAAGCAAAATGTTGTGTGTTTTTACATTATACTTGAAGTAGCACAGTAATATCTAAGGGTAGTCTGTGATATGGCATATTGTAATTCTAACAGAAACCATTAAAAATTAAAAGAGGTATACCTCATAAACCAATAGTGGGAATAAAATGGGGTAAAGGAAAATACTGAGTTACTCCAAAAAAGGCAGGAAAAGGGAACAAAGAACAGATAGAACACTATAATTTGAATGTTTCTGTCCCTTCCAAAATTCATGTTGATATATAATTCCTAACATAATGGTATTAAGAGGCGTGACCTTTAGGAGATTATTAGGTCATGAGGGATCTGTCCTCATGAACAGATTAGTGCCTTATTAGAGGATTGAGGGAGTAAATTTGGTCCCTTTTAGCACTTTTGTCCCTTCTGCCACTGAGAATGCAACAAGAAGGTCATCAAACACTGAATCTGCTGGAGCCTTGATCTTAGACTTTCCAGCCTTCAGAACTATAAATACATTTCTGTTCTTTATATATTCTCCAGTCGCAGGTATTTTGTGATAGCAGCAGACATGAGACGAATAATAATCAAACAGCAAGATGACAGACTTAAACACAATTATCATGAAGTTATATGAAATGTAAATGGCTTAAGTCAGCAGTTCTAAAACTGGTCCATGATCCCTTCATACAAATTGAGACATAACATCAGTCTTTACTAGTAATCATCGTATTGTCCATCATGAAAACTACAAGAAAAAAGCCAATTTCACTCACAAAAATACTTCATGAAACAGTAAAAGTTACTGATATAAAATTATAACCTTTCAGTATATCTCTTATAAAATATTCTTCTATCTAGTAATATTTCTTAGCTTAAAATCTATTTTGCCTGATACCAAGGTAGCTATTCTAGCTCTTATGATTACTGCTTGCATGATATCTGTTTTTTAATTTTCTTATTTTCAACCTATTTATGTCTGAATCTAAATTTTATCTTACAGACATATAGTTGGATCTTGCTTTTTATACAGTCTGAAAATGTTTGCCTTTTTATTGAGGTTTTTACTCCATTTACATCAAAGTATTATTGGTACAATTGGATGTCTGCATGCCATTTTTACAATTAGTTTTTCTGTGTCTTATATATTTTTTTCTCTGTTCCTTTCTTCCTGCTTTTGTATTAAACATCTATTTTTAGTGTAACATTTTAATTCCTCTATTGATTTTAAGCATATTTTACTGGCTTATTTTCTTAGCAGTTAGTGTAACAATTAGAATGTCCATTGTAACTCATCACAATCTATTCTGGATTTATACTTATTTAATTCGGTAAAATACAGAAACTTTGTTTCGATATAATTCCATTTCCTTCCTTCCTCTTTCTCTTTTAAAATATATATATTTATACATATTTACTGCTTCATGAAGGATTTTCTTAAGTGATATTGACTTGTACATGTATTTTCTGTTATAAACCCAACAGTACAGTATACAGTCAGGACCACATAGCAATTATAAATCTATACATACCTAACAAGAGCACTCTCAAATACATAAAGCAAAACCTGAAAGAATTAAAAGAACAAATAACAATTCAACAATATTTAAAGATTTCAATACCCCATTCTCAATAATTGACAGAAAATCTAAACAGAAAAGCAGTGAGGATATAAAAGACTTCAACAAACACATCAACCAACTGCCCTAACTGACATTTATAGAATACTGTAACCTACTACTATCAGAATACATGTTCTTCTCAAGCACATATGAAAAATTGTTCAAGATACATCATATGCTAATCCATAAAATAAATCCTAATAAATTAAAATAACTGAACTCATACAAAGTGTGTTTTACAGCCACAAAGGAATTAAATTAGAAATCAACAGCAGAAACAAATTTGAGACATCTCCACATTCGGAAATTAGACAACATACTTCTAAACAATCCATGATCAAACAACAGATCAAATGGGAAATTAAGATAGTTTTAATTGAATAAAAAAGAACACAGCATATCAAAATTTATGTGGTACAGCTAAAGTAGTACAGGGAGGGCAATTTATAGCTTTAAAAATCTATATTAGAAAAAATAAAGGTTTCAACCAAATAACTTAAGCTTCCATCTCAAAAAGTAAACTCAAAGCAAGTAGAAAAAAAGAAATAGGGAGGAAATTAGAAATCATAGCACAAACAAAGGAAATGGAAAATGACAACAATAAAGAAAATCAAGATAAAAGTATGTATTTTAAACAGATTAACAAAATTGACAAACCTTTAAGTACACTAACTAAACAAAACAAAAAAAGAAGATAGGTTTCCAAAATTAGGAATGAAAGAGAGGACATCACTACTGACACTACAAAAATTGAAAGGATTTTAAGGGACTATTATGAACAACTTTATGTCAACATATTAGATAACGTGAATAAAAGAGACGAATTCCTAGAAAATACATAAATTTCCAAAACAGGCTTAACAGGAAATACAAAAAATCTGAATAGATCTTCTCCACCCTGTGCTGGCCAGATGTCACACCCTACTCGGTGGTGGTGAGTGGGACGATGACAGTGGACTGGGCTGGGCAGGCAACCATCATGACACATGACACAATGTTTGCTCAAGGATTAAAGAGGAAATGCGTTGACTACAAGGAAGACATGAAAGGAGCCCTGATCAGTTTTGAGACTGTCCCTTTCTATAATCTTCAATGACAGTCACTTCTGGACATGTCCCTAGTTAAGCTACAGCTCTGCCACATGCTGGTCCAGCCCAACCTCTGCCACTGGGTCCTCATAACCAACACTGTCCTACAGATTCAAGAGAGATGACCCAGGATGGAAAATGGTGGATGGCGGTGCCCCAGGGTGAAGGGCAAGTGCTTCTAGACCACCTGGTCTCTGCAGAGATCCTGAGCCACTAAGTGGGAAGAGCTCCCTGAGCCACTAACTGGGAGCAGGAGGGGATGTACCCTGTTCCTGGCTTGGGAGACAGCTTGGGGAAACAGGGCCTAGTTTCTGAACTTTCCCTGGTCACCTCAGCACAGTAATCGAGGAACCCACAGAGCAGCATCTAAGAAATGGATAGCCCTCAAGCAAATAGAGGAAGTTTTCAAAAATTGCTAGATAAGATATTTGAAAATCTGGAGAATAAAAACCCCAGTTCCATGGAAAAGCTTTTTTCAGATGTAGATAGTTCCTACTATGACCTGGTCACGGTGCAATGGGCATGGTGAGCAGCACCAATGAGGATGAAATAATCCTAAAATTCATATGAAAATACAAAGGACCTAAGATAGGTAAAATAATTTTGAAAGAAAAGAACAAAGCTGGATGATTTATACTACCTGAACTCAAAACTTAATATAAAGCTACAGAGTGGTATTGTTATAACGATAAGAACAACAGAACATAATTCACATGCTAGAAATAAGCATTACATTACGATCAATTGATTATCAATAAATTTGCCAAAACAATTCAATGGGGAAAGACAGTCTTTTCAGCCAATGATACTGACACAACCGGATTATCTATATGTAACGAAACAAAGAAAACTTAGACCCTCACTTCACAGTATACATAAAAATTAACTCAAAATGGATCACAGTAGATATAAATGTAAAACCTAGAACTATGAAACTTCTAGATAAAAACCTGCATGACCTTGGGTTAAGCAAAGACCTCTTAGATAATATCAAAAGCATGATCACTTTTAAAAATGATAAATTGGAATTCATCAAAAATTTTGTGCTTCAAAGGATATCATTAAGAAAATGAAAAGACAAACCACAAACTAAAAGAAAATATTTGCAAATCATATATCTGATAAAGTCCTTGTATCCAGAACACATAATTCTTATAATAATAAGTAAACAATTTAATAAGTGGGCAAAAATTTTGAATAGACAGTTTATCAGAGAAGATATCCAAATGGTTAATAAACATACACATAAAAATACGTTCAACATCACTAGCCATTTGAGAATGTCAAATTAAAACCGCAATGAAATGCCACTACATATTAACTTGGATGGCTATAATAAAAAAGATAAGTTATTAGTGCAGATGTGGAAAACTGAAAAACTCATACATTTCTAGTAGTCAGGTAAAATGTGACATACACTTTTAAAACTAGTTAATAGTTTATTAAAAAATTAAATATAAATTTACCATTCAATGCAGATTTCCACTCTTAGGTATCTACCCCAGATAAATAAAACATATGTCCACACATTTTTATGTAAATTCAAAGCAGTATTACTCATAATAGCCAAAAACTGAAAGCAATCCACATGTTCATCAACTGACAAATGGATAAGCAAAATGTGGCATATTCATAAGACAGAGTTCTGTTCAACAATAAAAAGGCATAGATTACGGACACATGGTACAACATAGATAAACCTCAAAAACACTACATTAAGTGAAAAGAGTCAGACATAAAAGACTACATAATGTATGATTCCATTTATAGTAACTGCCTAGAAAAATCAAATCTATAAAAGCATATTAGTGGTTGCCAGAGTCCAAGGGGTCTTTCTAAGGTGATGGAAATGTTCTAAAACTGAATTTTGGTGAAGGTTGTACAACTATACATTTACTACAAAATATTCAATTGTGCACAATATAACAGGTGAATTTTAAGGCATGTAAGTAACAAACAGGAAGAAAATATAAATACATCTGACAAAGGAATGGTATCCAGAATATATAACAAACTCTTTTGACTCAGTAAGAAGACAACCCAATTAAAAATGGTCAAAAGATTTGAAAGCACATCTCCATTGGCTGCAAATGCCATGAAGGAAAAAAAAGAAGACATCTCCAAAAGAAGAAAATACAAGATCAGTCAATATGCACATAAAAGATGTTCAACATCATTAGCCATCAGGCAAATGTAAATTAAAATCACAACCAGATACACTAGAGTGGCTAAAACTTGAAAAGTCCCATAATACCAAGTACTGGAAAAGACACGGAGCAACTGGAACACTCATACATTGCTGGTGGGAGTGTAAAATGGCATGATCATGAAAAATTTGGTAGTTTCTTATTAAATCAAACATAAACCTACCATTCAACCCAGTAATTCTACTCTAAGGCATTTATCCAAGGGAAATGAAAACATGTCTTTACAAAGACTTGTATGTGAATGTTCATGGCAGTTTCATTTATAGAACAAAATGGAAAGCAACCCAAATGTTTATAGTAAATGAATCGATAACAAATTGAAGATTGGTAATACAATGGAATTTGGCTCAGCAACAAAATGGAACAGCAGAATGAGTATGACCCCCCGTGTCTTTTCACCTCATCCTTCAGTAGTGGTGGTAGCCACAGCATCACTCTTCAGTGGCAACATGAGGCTGCGCCCCAAGCAAGCCGCTAGGTTGTTGGTATGAAGAGGTGGGGCTCAGTGCCCTGAAGGAGTGTGTGTAAGATGGGTATGGCTACCTGGAAATGGGTGGCATCCCTAGAAAACCTTCCACATACCTACATGCTGCTTGTGTGTGTTGTTGGCCACCTCTCCAAGAGCAGA
Source organism: Homo sapiens (assembly GCF_000001405.40). Lineage (NCBI taxonomy): Eukaryota > Metazoa > Chordata > Mammalia > Primates > Hominidae > Homo > Homo sapiens. The sequence continues at coordinate 14,596,507 of NC_000009.12, forward strand.
GCAGTGAGAGTATTCACTGGTCCGGTAGGAAAAGCAGTGGGGACTGAGACCTGGTACCATCTCCTGGTCCTCCCTGCAGAGAAAAGATGAAAACTAGCAAGAGCTTGACTAACAAATGCCTGGATTCAGATAGGAAGACTTCCTTTGTCTATTGCTTCATTCCTGGAAATTGCACTGGAACTCTCTGATTAAGAAAAAGCAAATAATTCTGAAAGAAAAAAAAATAACAGAGAACAAAATATCCCAGAATTCCTAATAGAATAAATTACTGGCTGGTGGCTAGAGGTACGTGGCACTTGTCTCCTCCAGAAAGGGCCTAAACAGTGAGTAGAAGATCACACATTGAATACAGCATCTTAGAGAGAACATTGGAATTCAGCAGGGCAGTGTCAGAGAACTTCTGAGGCATGGAAGGAGAGAGAAGTGAAGCAGCCAGCATGGTTGGGATAGGCTCAAAGCCAGGAGAAACTTTCCAGTGCCGGGAAAAGGTAAGTGAGAGATCCCCCAGTACACTTTTCCATTGTGAACTCCTGCAATCTTAGCCAAGGTAGAGCCCCTCAGCCCTCACAGGCCCTGAGACTAGTATAGGGAAATGCCTGAAGTCCATGCAACAGCATTGTTCCAGAGAGGGAGTTTGTTTTGGATGTGTCCCACACACCCCGAGACCCAAGCAACTATAGCATGGTGCCATTTGAGAGCTCAGCTCCCACCAGACTACATTCTTCCCTAGGGCCCAACACCCTCTCTATCTCCACGTCCCTGGAGCCCTGCTGCCATTCCACCACATCCACCAAGAGGGCTGCAGCAGAACAATGCTGGCTGGACTCAGCAGTGTGGCTGGGTATCCAGCACTCTAGCCCAAGCAGTATCCTACATCCCAGGGAATGGACAGTGCAGTGGACCAGGGAGGCTGCTCTGGCACAAAGGGAGCTGAAGCACACACTCCTCAGAATCTGAGAGCGGCCTGCCTTGGGCCAATGCCACTGAGAACAACGCAGTCCCTTCCCTAGCAGCAGAGTCACCGCACACCTGCATGTGCTTTCAGGAGACCCAGGGACCAGCTTGCCCCAGTGCCACGCAGAGGCCTGAGGACAGGTCTGCCCCAGCCCTCACTGCTGGTACCTGCACATACCATCCGGGGGTCTGAGGTAAGGTCTGTCCCACCCACTGCTACTGCTGCCTCCATCCAAGTGCACCATCCAGGAGCCTGAGAACTGATCTGCCCTACCTGCCACCACTGGCAGCCACACACAGCAACACGAGCCCTGACAACAGGCCTGCTCTGCTCACCACCACCAGCACCTGTGCCTACCTTCTGGGGGTCTAAAGACAGACCCACCCAGCCTACCAACACCCAGACACATCATCTGGGTACCTGAGAATTAACCCACTCTACCCACTACCATCAACATGCCCTCCCCCTCCACACAACTGAGGGGCCAGAGAACTTGCCTGCCCAGCTCACTGCCACCGCAACTGGTGCCCACACATGCTGCTTGGGGGCCTGAGAGTTGGCCTACCACCACTACTGGCATTATCAAAGCCATGCATACTGACCAAAGGCCCAAGGGCCCACCGACCTCTCTGGCCCACTGCCTCCACAACCAGCCCAGAGCAAGCTGCCTGGAGGCTCAAGGATTAGTCCACCTAGACCTACTACTGCAGTGCCCATGTATGCTGCCCAAAGACCCAAGGGCCAACATACCTAGCCAACTGCCTCTACCACTGGTGACTGAGTACTAGCTCACCTGGTGTCCTCATCTCCAGCAAAGCCTCACCACAACTTTCACTAACAACCATAGCCTAAGCCACTGTGAACTGACAGACACTACTGATGCTGATTACACCCATAGAAATAATACGACGACTATACTACTGTGCCCACTCAGAATCAAAACCAAATCACCCTACCCAACCAACACTATAGATACATCTATAGGAAAAAGTATTTCCCTATGAAAGCCAATCCATAAAAAGGAAAAAGCAACTATTACATGAGATGTGCAGATATCAATGTAAGGACACAAGAAACATGAAAAAGCAAGGAAATGTGACATGTCCAAAAGAACACAATGATTCTCCATCAAAAGATTCCAACAAGAAAAAAATATCTATGAAATGCCTGGAAAAAATGCAGAATGATATTTAAAAAGCTCAGTGAAATATAAGAGAACACAATACAAAAAATAGAAAAGCAATTCATGATCTGAATGAGAAATATATTTTTTATTATTTATTTAATTAATGTATTTATTTATTTTTAAGACAGGGTCTCACTCTGTCACCCCAGCTGGAGTGCAGTGTGGCACAATCATGCCTCACACTGCAGCCTCAACCTCTCCCAGCACAGGTGATTCTCCCACTCCAGTCTCCCAAGTAGCTGGGACCACAAGCATGTGACATCCCAGGCCTAGCTAAATTTTTTTTTGTTATTTTTGTAGAGACAGGGTTTCACCATGTCACCCAGGATGGTCTCGAACTCCTGAGCTCAAGCGATCCTCCTGCCTTGGCCTCCCAAAGTGCTAGGATTACAGATGTGAGCCACCTCACCCATCCCTGAGTGTGAAATTTAACGAAGAGATAAACATAAAAAAAGAACCTGATTCTCTCTTGCTGCCACCATGTAAGAAGTGCCTTTATGGGGCTGGCAAGATGGCCGAATAGGAACAGCTTTGGTCTGCAGCTCCCAGTGAGATCAATGCAGAAGGCGGGTAATTTCTGCATTTCCAACTGAGGTACCCGGCTCATCTCATTGGGACTGGTTAGACAGTGGGTGCAGCCCACAGAGGATGAGCCAAAGCAGGGTGGGGCATTGCCTCACTTGGGAAGCACAAGGGGTTGGAGAACTCCCTCTCTTAGCTAAGGGAAGCTGTGAGGGACTGTGCCATGAGGGACAATGCTATCCAGCCCAGACATTACACTTTTTTCATGGTCTTCACAACCTGCAGACCAGGAGATACCCTCAGGTGCCTATATCACCAGGGCCCTGGGTTTCAAGCACAGAAATGGATGGCTGTTTGGGCAGACACTGAGCTAGCTGCAGGAGTTTTTTTTTTTTCCCATACCCCAGTGGCGCCTGGAATGTCAGCAAGACAGAATTGTTCACTCCCCTGGAAAGGGGGCTGAAGCCAGGGTGCCAAGTGATATAGCTCAGTGAATCACACCCCCACAGAGCCCAGCAAGCTAAGATCCACTGGCTTGAAATTCTTGCCACCAGCACAGCAGTCTGAAGTCAACCTGGGATGCTCAAGCTTAGTGGGGGGAGGGGCGTCCAGCATCACATCAAAAAGCTTATCCACCACAATCAAGTGGGCTTCATCCCTGGGATGCAAGGCTGGTTCAATATATGCAAATCAATAAACATAATCCATCATATAAACAGAACCAATGACAGAAACCACATGATTACCTCAATAGATGCAGAAAAGGCCTTAGATAAATTTCAATACCCCTTCATGCTAAAAACTCTCAACAAACTAGGTATTGATGGAACATATCTCAAAATAGTAAGAGCTATTTATGACAAAACCACAGCCAATATCATGCTGAATGGGCAAAAGCTGGAAGCATTCCCTTTGAAAACTGGCACAAGACAAAGATGCCCTTTCTCACCACTCCTATTCAACATAGTATTGGAAGTTCTAGCCAGGGCAATCAGGCAAGAGAAAGAAATAAAGGGTATTCAAATAGGAAGAGAGGAAGTCACATTGTCTCTGTTTGCAGATGACATGACTGTATATTTAGAAAACCCCATTGACTCAGCCCAACATCTCCTTAAGCTGATAAGCAACTTCAGCAAAGTCTCAGGATACAAAATCAATGCGCAAAAGTCCCAAGTATTCCTACCCACCAATAGCAGACAGAGAACCAAATCATGCATGAACTCCCATTCACAACTGCTACAAAGAGAATAAAATACCTAGGAATACAACTTACAAGGAATGTGAAGGAACTCTTCAAGGAGAACTATAAACCACTGCTCAAGGAAATCAGAGAGGACACAAACAAATGATAAAACATTCCATGCTGATGGATAGGAAGAATCAATATGGTGAAAATGGCCATATTGCCCAAAGTAATTCATAGATTCAAGGTTATCCCCATCAAGTTACCATTGACTTCACAGAACTAGAAAATACTACTTTAAATTTCACATGGAACAAAAAAAAAGAGCTGGTATAGTCAAGAGAATCCGAAGCAAAAAGAACAAGGCTGGAGGCATTATGCTACCTGACTTCAAACCATACTACAAGGCTACAGTAACCAAAACAGCATGGTACTGGTATGAAAACAGATATATAGACCAATGGAACAGAACAGAGGCCTCAGAAACAACGCCACACATCTACAACCATCTGTTCTTTGACAAATATGACAAAAACAAGCAATGGGGAAAGGATTCCCTTTTTAATAAATGGTGTTGGGAAAACTGCATGGCCATATGCAGAAAACTGAAACTGACCCCTTCCTTACACCTTATACAAAAAATTAACTCAAGATGGATTAAAGACTTACTGTAAGACCTAAAACCATAAAAACCCTAGAAGAAAACTGAGGCAATACCTTTCAGGACATAGGCATGGACAAAGACTTCATGACTAAAACACCAAAAGCAATGGCAACAAAAGCCAAAATTGACAAATGGGATCTAATCAAACTAAAAAACTTCTGCACAGCAAAAGAAACTATCATCAGGGTGAACAGGCAACCTACAGAATGGGAGAAATTTTTTGCAATCTACCCATCTGACAAAGAGCTAATATCCACAATGTACAAGGAATTTAAACCAACTTACAAGAAAAAAACAACCCCATCAAAAAGTGTGCAAAGGATATGAACAGGCACTTCTCAAAAGAAGACATTTTGCAGCCAACAGACACATGAAAAAAAGGTCATCATCACTGGTCATTAGAGAAATGCAAATCAAAACAACAATGAGATACCATCTCATGCCAGTTAGAATGACAACCATTAAAAAGTCAGGAAACAACAGATGCTGGAGAGGATGTGGAAAAACAGGAACACTTTTACACTGCTGGTGGGAGTGTAAATTAGTTCAACAATTGTGCAAGACAGTGTGGCAATTCCTCAAGGATCTATAACCAGAATTACCATTTAACCCAGCAATCCCATTAATGGGTATATACCCAAAGGATTATAAATCATTCTACTATAAAGACACATGTGCATGTATGTTTACTGCAGTACAATTCATAATAGCAAAAACTATGAACCAACCCAGTTGTGCATCAATGATAGACTGGATAAAGAAAATGTGGCACATATATATCATGGAATACTATGCAGCCATTAAAACGGATGAGTTCATGTCCTTTGCAGGGACATGGATGAAGCTGGAAACCATCATTCTCAGCAAACGCTCACAGGAACAGAAAACCAAACACTACATGTTCTCACTCATAAGTGGGAGTTGAACAATGAAAATATATGGACACACGGAGGGGAACATCACACACCAGGGCCAGTCAGGAGGTGGGGGAGCTAGGGGAGGGATAGCATTAGGAGAAATACCTAATGTAGGTGACGGGTTGATGGGTGCAGCAAACCACCATGGCAAGTGTATATCTATGTAACAAACCTGCATGTTCTACACATGCATCCCAGAACTTAAAGTATAATAATAATAATAAAAAGAACCTAACAGAAATATCGGAACTGAAGAATTCAATGAATGAAATAAAAAAATTCAATAGAGAGCTTCAACAATAGACTAGATCAAGCAGAAGAAAGAATTTCTCAACTTGAAGACAGGTCATTTGAAATAATTCAGTCAAATTTAAAAAATGAAGAAAGCCTACAATGACACAAGGGACCTCATAAAGTGACAAAGTATTCGCATCTTGGGAGTTCCATGAGATGAGATGGCCAAAGGCACAGAAAACTTATTTAATGAAATAATAGCTAAAAACTTCCCAAGTCTTGCCAGAGATACAGGCATCTAGATAGACAAAGTGCAGTGATTCCCAAGTATATTAAACCTGAACAGGTCTTTTCCAATGCACACACCATATAGTCAAACTGTCAAATGCCAAAGCCAAAGGAAATAAATCTAAAAGCAGCAAGAGAAGAGCATCAAGTCACATATAAGGAAATCCCCATCAGACAAACAGATTTGTCAGTAGAAAATTTATAGGTCAGAAAAAATGGGATGACATTTTTAAATTGCTGAAACGAAAAGAAACATACTCACAACATGAATGAATCTCAAAAATATGCTGAGCAAAAGCCAGTGAAAAACAAAGGACAAAAGCCAGGCACAGTGAATTGCACTTATAATCCCAGCCACTCGGGAGGCTGAGGCAGAAGGCCTGCTTGAGCCCAGGTGTTCGAGGTTACAGTGAAGTTATGATCATGCCACTGCATTCCAGCAGCCTGGAAAACAGAGAGAGAGACTTCATCTCAAAAAAAAAAAAAAAAAAAAAAAAAAAGGGAGAATTTCATTCATGCGAAATTCTGTAAAAGGCAAATCTAACTTACAGTCACAGAAAACAGGTCCGCGTTTCCTGGAGGGGTGGGAGTTGAGGGGGAGCAGTAAAGTGGCCTGAGGAAACTTTTTGGGTGATTGAATATTCCATATTTTGAATATGTTGATAGCTACATGGATATACATATTTCTAAAAACTCACTGAAATGTACTTAAAATGAATACATTTTGTTGTGTTTAAACTATCCCTCAATAAAGTGAACTTTAAAAATGGAAGACAGAAAATAATGTATTAAACTCCAAATTATATTTTTAAAAGTATGATAGGAAATAAAAACATAAATTCTTATGTCAAATAGGAGGAGTTACCTCCTATTTGAGGTACCATTTCTTACATGAATATTACAATTAGAAATATATAGGTAAATCCTCCTGAAATTTTTAAGATAACCACTGGAAGAATTAAATGCATGCTATACTTCAAGGACACAAATGACACTGCAAATCAGATGTGAAAAAATGTGCTAAACAAAAAATTGTTGTGGTATTTTTCCCCAGTGTGGTTTTTACTTCTATGAAGACCCAGTAACAAGCACAACCGTAACATGAAAGATTTGGATTCAACCACTTTTACATAAACGCAACCAAAGCTCGTTAATCTACCCTCATGTGATATATAAATTACTGAGCTAATCTTGATTTGCTAGATAAATAAAATATGAAAATAAGATCTCAACAGGCAATACTTATTTTTATAAGGACTTTACAAATTTATCTACCTGTGAAATATTTAGAAAAAGGGAATCGCTGCTCTTTATTAAGAAACAAATACAATCAAGTGGATCCTGAACTTTAGAGGGGTCGAACTCTAAGTATTCAGTAATGTGGTTTATCTCTGGCTACCTCATAAGAGCATAATTTTTTATTCATATTTATAGTCGTAGATGTTGACTCATCCCTTGATTTGCCTTAAGAAAATATATCCTTCATGAATTATTGAGTTATTAGAGTCATGTTTTTATTCACTTTTTCTCTCGATATTTACAAAGACTTTTTCCAGAAAATTACATTAGATTCCTGGCAAATCGATTGGACTGACAAATGATGCAGGAAGCAGCAAAAATATGTATCAATAACAAATAGGAAAAACTCATTACATAGGGTTAGTGAGGATGTGGGGGAAGATGAAACAATATATATGTTGGTTGGAGTGTAAATTGGTTTGACTAAAGAGCAATTTGGGAAAGCTTTTACAGTTGAAGATGCACATACCTTACCATTCCACTATTTCACTTCTCTTTGAACAAGTTAATAACAAAGGAAATAATCCACTTAGTGAATAATATATAAACTACAGTTTATTCAAATAATTGTTCTGTGGGATTTATAATGAATGGCCCAAATCTACATTAATAAAGATGTTTTGTTTAAAAAATGTGATGCTGATTAAAATTTACATAAATGTAAAATTTGAAAATAGTATCATTTATGGATGCTACATACATCATAAAAGCACAAAAACATTCATGAAAATAATTCACACTGACTTTAGGATGGCGGCTACCTCTAGGGAGGAAAACTGCAGGTTGAGGACTTAGATGTATCTGTAACATTGCATGTTTTTAGAAAACAAAGTGAGAAAACTGAAAAAAGCAAAACATTAGCATGTAATTAATCTTGGTATTTTTAATTACACAAATTTAGTAAACTCTCCAGTTATTATTTTTCATACTTCACATTACTTTTTATTGTGGCAAAAAGCACATGAGATCAATCCTCTTAGTAAATTTTTAAATATACAGTACGGTACTGTTAAATTTTAAGTATAGTGCAGTACTATAAGCATAATGTTATACAACAGAGCTCTAGAACTTTTTAAACTCGCGTGACAGAAACTCTATACCTTTTGAACAGCAGTTCCCCAATTCCCCCTCCCCACAGCAGCCACCATTCTACTGTTTCTATAAGTTTGACTACATTAGATACTTCATATTGGTGAAATCATGCAGTATTTGTCCTTCTGTGGCTGGCTTATTTCACTTAGCAAAATGTTGTCAAGGTTCAAGCTGCAGCATCTGACAGTATTTCCTTCCTTTTCTATGGCTGAATAACATTCCATTGTACGTATATACTAAATTTTCTAAATTCATTCAACCATCAATGGGCATTTAGGTTGTTTCCATCTCTTGGCTATTATGAATACTGCATTAATGAAATGGGGAGTGCAAATATCTCTTCCAGATCCTGGTTTCATTTTTTTTTTTTTTAATATCCAGAAGTGGGAATCCTGAATCATATAGCATTTCTAATTCTTCTGAGGAACTTCCATACTGTTTTTCAAAACAGCTGCACCATTTTACACCCCTAGTAACAGTACATAAGGGTTCCAATTTCCCCACATCCTCACCAACACTATTTTTTTCAAATGGCCATTCTAACAGTTGTGAGATAATACCTCGTTGTAATTTTGCATCTCTCTATTAGTGATGTTGAGCATCCCTTCACGTACCTGTTGGTCATTTGTGTGTCTTCTTTGGAGAAATATCTATTAAAGTCCTTTGCCCATTATTTAATCAGTCTTTATATGGATTTTTTTCTTCTATTAAGTTGTAGGAGCTCGTTTTGTATTTTGATTAACCTCTTAGCAAATATGTGGTTTGAAAATACCTTCTCCCATTCGATAGACTGCCATTTGATTCTATTAAGTCTCCTTAGCTATGCAGAAGCTTTTAAAGTTGATGCAGTCCCACTTGTCTATATTTGCTTTTGTTGCTTGTGCTTTTGGTGTTATCTCCAAGAAGTCAACAATGTTATGAAGATTTTCCCCTATGTTTTCTTTTAGGAGTTTTATACTGTCAGATCTTATGTGTTGTTAATATTTTGTCCATCTGAAATAATTTAGTTTCTCACTATACAATATTACAGAAACAAGTTTCCAAAAATGTACAAAACATTGAAGTTTGTAAAAATAAAGCTACACTGGGGTTTATGAAAATAAACTTCAAATGGATTCAAGGGCATAATAGTTAAAAAAACAAAAATATCAAAGTTTTCTTGAAAAATGAAGGAAAATACATAATCTTGATTTAGGAAAGACCTTTCTAAACAAGGTAATAAAACCCAGAAGTCATAATAAAAAGTACTAAATTTCAAGGTAGTTTAATTCTTCCATACAACATGATGATTGGGCAAATTTAATTTCCAAAGATGTCCTCAACAATATCTCCCATCCTATATACTTTTCCTGTGAAGTGTGACTCTGACACTCTTCCCATGAAATGGAATTATGTTCTCTCCCGCTGACTCTGGATAAGCTTGGGACTACAGGTTTGTGACTTCTGAAGCTAGGTGACAAAAAGTGACATAGTTTCTTTCTGGTTGTCTTGGGCCACTGTCTTCTAGAACCCAGCCATCATGCTGTAAGTAAGCCCAAAGTTATATGTAGAGGTCCATGTAGGTGTTCTGGATGATAACCCAAGCTGAGTTCTCAGCTGACAGCCAGCATCAACCATCAGGTATGCGAGTAAACGAGGCTTCTGTTGATTGCAGTTGCCAGCCATAGAATCTTCCAGGATCTTTCGGTCCTCCAGCTAAGACCTCAGACACCATGGAAGACAGAAAAGCTGCTGTGCCCTTTCTGAATGCCTGACCCACAGAAACTGTGACCATAAAAAAATGGTTGGTTTTTTTATGGCACTAAGTTTGGGATTGTTATATAGCAAAAGCAACTGGAACAATCACCATAAAGAAAAACAAGTGACTGGGCTAAATTTTAGAAACCTATTAAATAGATTAAAAAATAATACCCAGGAAATATATTAATAAAAAGTTACTAACATTTGACAAGCAAAGGTAACCTAGTCAAAAACCATAAACAAAGAATACACAAGAGAAAAAAAACCAGACGTTCACCTCTATTACTTTGCTACAAATTTTAAAGATTAATAGTATTCATGTGAGAATGTGTGTAAAGAATTTTGGAAGACATTTTGGTACTTCCTATCAAAATTAAAAATAAGTACATCCTCTGACTTGTCAATTTCACTTCTAGACTTTACCTACAGAAATACTAACAAATGGGCACAAATATTTCTGCACAAGACTGTCCTCCATAGCACTGTTACTAATAGCAAAAAAAAAAAAAAAAAATCTACATGATGCCCACTACAGAGGAATGGTTAAATAATAGTTTATTGATATGAACTGTACAGAAGAGGGTGGGCATGGTGGCTCATGCCTATCATCAAGCAGTTTGTGAGGCCAAGGCGGGCAGACTGCTTGAGCTCAGGAGTTGCAGACCAGCCTGGGCCACATGGCAAAATCCCGACTCTACAAAAAATATAAAAATTAGCTGGGTGTGGGAGGATGGCTTGAGCCAGGAGGTGGAGGCTGCAGTGAGCTGAGATTGTGCCACTGCACTCCAGCCTAGGTGACAGAGGCAGACCCTGTATCCAAAAAAAAAGTTATTATATGTTAATAGGGATAATCATATATCATTATATGATAGGAATATCATATATAACACATATGATAATGTGAAGGAAGGGGAGTGCAATGATGCACACCAAATTATGGCCAGTAGCTACTTTTGGGGAGGAGGGTGGGAGTGAAGATTTTGGTAACGGCAATTTTTTCCATTTTGTTCTAGACGGTGATAAGTGCTATGGGCTGGGGGCGGGGGGGAAGTAAGGACAAGAGATCAGGGCTGTTGTGGAAGGGTTATGTAAATTTTAAAAACTGATCAATTTTTCATGTTTACATAAAGTATAAAAACATCTATCAGTATGCTACATACCATGTTTAAAACAGCGTTCACCTCTGAGGAGGAAAAAGAAGACTCTACAGGGCTTTGAATACCAAAAAGTGAGGATCACTGAAGACCCTCTTAGAAGGTTCCTACCACAGCGATTACCCAAATTATTGGAGACTTTCAAACGTAAAAAATGTACATGAAAAATCAATGACAAAAATTAGAGCACTTCACAGCACAGTATCGTGCACTGACTGGATCAGTATTTTCCACATTGTGGGTACTTTTCCGTGATGAGAATATCTGAAATGCTTTTGAACACTGAAAAACTCGCTAAAAGCCAGACATCAAGTTACAAGTGCAGACCATCCAAAAACCCTTCATACTGGTTACTTCTAGACACCATTAAAATATGAACCTGTTTAACATAATGAGGATATGTGTTCTACAGCTACAAAGCTTACACAAGTTATAAAACAAATTTCATTAACTTGTTGGTCCTGACTTCAGCTAGGATTACGCATCTATAGTTTCAATGTGGAACTATAAAATCTCCATCTCGTACTAGGTACTCAAACATTCAGTTATGGCCAGTAGCTACTTTTGGGGAGGAGGGAACATGTCTAATTTTTTAAAGTTGTAAATTTCAATACTAAGAAAGATAAATATCACCCAAACCATGCTACAATTAAACTTACTACTAAAGACACACTCAAATACGTGTCTACAGTAGTATCTGAGTGCTTGGAATTGTATATTCCAAGTTCCTAATTTCCTCAATAGTCTGGCTTTCTTAAAAAATGCAAAACACACTGCTATTTTTATTGTGTTTGATCTTTAAACAGAGGTGCTTTCTTGTTTGGAGAAGGGGCCTAATTTGAAAATACTAGTCATCCAGAGGACATACAAAGAATGTGCTGTGACTGATACAAATATTTTTTTAAGTTAGCTTAGATGTATTTTTTTTTTTCAAGCTAACACATATCCTCTATCCTTCCTCAGTACTGTTTGCTCAGCTGGATGTCTACAGGGTCCAATTTTCCTTCCAATTGCTCTTGCACGCTAATATAATTGCTGCTCATATGGGTAATTGGTCAGCCTAGAGCAGCATTTGTATGCATTTGTTCATCTACAGTATCTGGCAACTTCTCAAATGATTTTGCACTCTTATAATACAATCACGTATTTTTAGTTTTTGCCTCTTTATAACAAGGCTAAGTAGGTGTGAATCTGTAAAGGATACATATTTTAAGTGTTCAAAAGCTGGAATATACAGATACACATTCCAATTATTTTTAGCAGTGGACGTTTCTTCTCACTTATCAGAGTCAATGAATCTAGTCTCAAATGTATGTTCCTCTGCTCCACCTTCCCCAATTGTTTCCTCCCCAAACAAAGCCAAATTAACTAGATTAAACCACACTATCGCTTAAAAAAGGTGACAAGCCATTTTCACTTAATACTGATGAAACAGCAAAAAACCATTAATTTTACTAAAGCTTGTTCTTGAGCACATTTTAAATATTGTTTGACAAAATGGAAGTACACATAAAGCACTTCAGGTGAATTCCAGAATTTAATTGTATTATTACTAAAGAAAAGCACTTGTGTGACTGTTTGAGTTGCAAGCTGAACTAGCCACTTTCTTTCATGGAACACCATTTTATACTTGAAGGAATGACTGACAAACCAGTTTTTCAGACTTGGGTATTTGGCAAGCATTTTCTCAAAAATAAGTGAAGGTAACCTGTCACTTCAAGGACAACTACTGACAGTATGTGGTTGCCAATAAAAAAATTCAAGCTTTCACATGAAAATTAGAATTCTGAAAAATGTAATCTGTCACCACAAACTTAACCGCTTCCCAGTACTTACTTTTCTGACAAGATCAGTGGTAATATTAATGAATTTAATTTTATTTTGTATGGCTAAAAGCAATACTTACTTTTCTGACAAGACCAGTGGTAATATTAATGAACTTAATTTTGTATGGCTAAAAGAACTTTCCAAAGTGAAAAAGAGACCAGTGGATTTTAAGAACACGAAAAGTTCCTTGGTATTGTTTCTGACTCCACATTGGAACTAACTAAACTTTAAGAAACCATCACTTGAGTTTTAGTGTAGTACCAGAGGAAAATATCCAGTTACCTGAAAAGATCAGAATACTCCTCCTTTTTCCAACTACATTATCTGCACAAGATCAGACTTCTCCAGATACTTCTAACAAAATAACAATTCAATTGGTCTAATGCGAAGCAGTATGAGATCCAACTTTCTTCTATGAAGGCAGACATGAGAGCTTTGCAGAAACATAAAATCATGGGTCTCTAAACAAAAATGTTATTTATGTTAACATGTAATGAGTTTATGTTTAAATGAATTAGCAACTATTTAAATTTTTTCCCATTTTGTTTCAAATTCTCCTAGATCCTAATCGGTTTTATTTTCTATTACAATAAATACTGATAAACATAACTTACATAAGCAAAAATTCTTTGGGGCCTGCAGTAATTTTTATAAATGTAAAGGAGTCCTGAGACCAAAAAGTTTGAGAACTGTTGTAACTTATCATCACTAAGAAAATATTATTATAAATGCTACTTAGAATCAAAACAAAGGAAATTGCAAAATAAACAAGATTAAAGATTTATAATCCTTAAAAGTTTATCAGAAGGCAAACTTTCGGACAAACCTGCTTTGACTTACCAATAAAGCAAAATTTATAGTTTTATTTGCAAATCTATCAAATAATTTATCACTAATCTAGAATATTTTTCAAAATTACTTTTCTGGTAATAAAATTTTTAAAAGAATTTAAAAAATAAAGTTAAACCTCTGTCTTTCAATCTCAGGGCAGTTTCTACTAACTCACTGTCTTTAAGACCTGCTGATTGATTTGTCTTTTCAGAGCTGATGATTTTTTTTGGCCAACTTCATAGGAGCACAGGCTTTAATTCAATATTGCCAGATCTAAAATAGTGCCTAGGTGTAAACTTAAAGTTTCTGCATTTTACTGTAAGTAAATTATTCCCCTCAAGAAAAAATACTGCTATAAAATAGTGTCTGCCACAATAAATGTTAAATAAATTGGGTGACTGAATCCAGCCATCTGCGTCATCTCTAAGATAAACATGCCTAACTAGAAATACTGCGTTTGTCAATTTCAGCCCTAGTATGTACACCTAGTTCTTTTTGAATACTTAATGAATTTTGTGATTATGGCAGAACAATATCCTAAGGCTAGTAATCATGAATAATTATCCACATTGTATAAAATTTTTAAAAGTGACCTATTACATTGGTAGTGCTGAAATCTAGAATTTGGGTTAATTTTCCTAAGTAAGAAAGGTAAGAGGATAAAAACAGTCCTACGTTTTTAAAAAATATTTATTTAAAAATAAGATTTCAAAAAATACAGTACTTAATACATTTTGAGAAGTAAAAATTCCACAATTTAAATTAAAAACAATCTGCAAAGAAAATAGAAATATTACGTGAAAAAAACTAAATCGCTACAATAAATTAAAAACAACAACATTGTTCTTAAGGTAGATACATGGTTTGATTTTCACATTAAGAACCAGTGTAGACTTTTCATCTAAACAAATACATCTCAGCTACATGGTTCCCACTTGTCATTTCACCCATTTTACTCACTCTTCTCAAACTATTCTTACATCTCTCAACTACTATTTTCCTAATTACCATCAACACTAGAAATATTGGTGAAGATTTTCTTCAAATTCTCTTAGGGGAAAGACAAGGTAAAAATAATAGACAATGCAAGGAAAACAGCACTCAGATCTATACATATTATGTACTGAATAATAAAATGCCTGACAAATTTAAAAACAGGATCTTCTTATGCCACTTGTAACATACCACTATTAAAAGCATTTTAGGGATATAATACTAGACAGAACTTGGGGTTCACACATAATTTTAGGAGCCTCAAGAATAACATAGATTTTGGCTATTCATTAAACTTGCCAGTTAGATCACACACAAAAAAACACTAATTCCAGGGACACAAAGTGAGCTCATACAGCATGATCCACGTGTGCTCTGTCCTTGCAAGAGCCTAGCTTTGTCCTCCCGTGTTAGACTCACAATTCACTTGTCGGAATATCTCTGATTCTGGTGGAAGTTTTTACTTTTGTATCATTTAGTTGCTTTATTCTTACATATATGAAGTAGAATTTTTTTTCTTTTATATGTTCATCTCTGGGAGACAGTGAATAGTGGTGAATTCTCTACTACTCAATAACTTGAAAAATTACTGCATTCAGCCACATGCATTTAAATCACGCATAAACAAGCCAAATTACTCAGAATCAATACAGTGGCAACACAATCTAGGGAATATTGTTGGCAGATTAGAGAGAGATAATGTTGCTTCATCTCATTAGGCTTTCAAATTTTGCTTTCACCTCTAATGATATGTTCATCTAGATTTCTACATATCGTTCAAATGATCTGAAGCCACATTTCACATAAATTTCAGACTTGATTCTTTTTTTCCATTCAGAATTGACTGCAAAACCATATATTGTATCTACATTCAAGGAGAGGTTGATTTTAGCTAACAATAATGCAAAATATTTTCAAATGTGAATGTCTGCCTTTCCAATATACACACTGTCACCTTCTTGCCAGAATGATTAACCATTTTAGCTGCAGTTGTAAGGACACTGAGTGTTTTGAGAATTTTAAAGGGAAAAATCTGGAACCCAAATAATATACATAGCAGCATTACATTTGGACAATTACATTTCAAAGGTGTTTTAAATTACGAGTACACTTAAAGGGTGTTTCTCTTCATTTTTGTAAAATTAACTACTAAGCAAAATTAGTTTTAAAAATCTTACTCTATGTAAAGTGAGTAACCATATCCAGACTTTTTTCTTTCATTAAGTTCAATTTTCTGTTATCAGTTTTGCTTAAATCAAGGTACATATGCATTTCCTCTTGGGAAAGCATCTCTCTCTCTGTCTCTCTCTCTGTCTGTCTGTCTCTCCGTATCTCTCTCTCTATATATCTACACACACATATGTACACATACATATATTTTAAAGGTGTTCTGTTATCTTTATTTGCAAAGTAGACAAATGGCAATATTATTCTTTAAAGCCACTAAAGATTACACACACACACACACACACACACACACACACACACACGCTGAACTCGATTTGTAATGAGAACGAACCTTAACTCTTCATCTTAGTATTTTGTTTCAGTATTCACTAAAGTGCCCAATAAGCTATATAGTTCATTTATATAAATTAGAGTTCTTACCTTTTTATTCATTGTTGCAGAAATAAAACAACTTGTGAAAAGTGCTTCAATTATCTTTTGTAATTTCAGCCTATCAAACTACCTTTTAAAGTAGCCAAGCTATATTAAAATACAAAATTAAAATCCATACATGCCTACCTAAAAAAAAATCCAAATGAGAAACATTTAAAATCCATTAAATTGCCAGAGCAGCATGCAAAAAATAAGATCTGTTAATCAAACTGTTCTTAGTAACATTAAATTCTACTTTATAAATACACAACGATGTGAGAAGAAAACTCAGTCAACCAAAAAGAAAATTAACTCTTTGGTACAGGAATTAAAAATGTCACTCAATGCTAAAGTGAATAGCACCAGGATGTTTTATAGTTGTTGAGGTTATAAAACACGAACTTCAGGCACCAGTAGGTTAAAATATCATCCAATGTATACTGGCAAGAATATATAGCTTGCAATACGCAGGTAAGCTTTCCCTTTAGTTAACAGCCTGCAAACAATTAAACCCTGTATTTGGTCAAACAGGCAGGCAAAGCCACAAAAAAGCCCACAACTTCTGTTAAGCTATTTTGTCCGCATCTTTGTTTATATATAAAGCTATCGATACCAAAAAAATCAGTGTTGAACTGTTATAAGAACGACATTACATGTTACAGATATTCAAAATACCAATAGAAATGGAGACCTTCGAGGTATCAAGAACTCCAAAATATCCCAAATGTTAAAGTGAAAGCCACCCTTATATATTGTTTATTTTTCCTCTGGTGACAAAATTTTCTATACACTCAGTATCTTTTCTTTGCAATAAGAGATTTCCAGAAAAGGTGCCAGTTTTTTCAAACTTTGGTCAACCTATTCATTTCTCCTCTGCATTAAATAGCTGAGTTTTCCACATTATTTTTAACACTTCACATGATCATACTCTACACAATTATATTTAAAACTAAAATATTTATAAAAGGCATCTGACCAACTGAAGAGAAACCGCAATATAAATTCTTTAAGTTAAATAATTCAAACTAAATGCTTATATGCACTAACAACTCTTCCCATAAAAATGGTATAAATAAGAGATAAGGCTAAAATGATTACAGCAAAGAGATTCTCTGATGTCAGAAACTGGCTCCAGTCAACTCTGTTGCTGAGATGCTGATTATTCATGCACCATCTAGCCTTCTCTCCATCTTAGTAAGTTTGTGGATACTCACTACTCATTTGTACCTATTCTCTAGGGTGGACAAGGCAAAAAGAACATAATAATAGTAAAAAATATAATGATAATGGAAAGTATCAGTAATATCAATGACTTTTTAAAATACCATTGTTATTTCTGTTTCAAATTAGCAGGCAGTATTGTAACATCTGAAGAACTGACAAAGATATAGTGAGTTTTGTTGCTAAAAATTGCACAATGATAATAAAAGAAGTCAGAAAAGTCACTTTCCTGAAGTTAAACCATCATCATCTCAAAAGGAGCAGAAATGCTAAATACTGATTAACATATAGAATTACAACACTGGTTCAAAATAGTTCAAGCAAGTTGGTTCTAATACTTTCTTATACTGTACTGTGGAATATTCTAGAATTCAACTGAGAATGACTAAATATAGAGCACAATGAAATCTGTGATTTATAATAAATTCAGAGGATGATTTCTAGAATAAAAGTTAACAAACTTGGGCATTAAATAACACATTCATTAATCATACAGTTAATACTAGCAAGTAGAACACATTAAATGTACATGGCTTATTTGCTACACTTACCAATACTTATATTTTTAAAGCAGTAGTAGAGTTGTGTGAAAATCTAATATTTGTATCTATTAGCAAACTACTCAATGTTTGTATGTGTGAATTTTATCAAATAAATTCTAGATATATCTATGTATATTAGAGGTCATGTCAGAAACTTATTCAATAAAGTAACTATAGGTTATTAAACTTGGTAAACTTGAGCTAAGTAATCTATTGATACAGGAAGCGCAAGAGAAGCAGAGACTAGAGAAAAGTCCAGAGAGAGACTAGCAGCTCTATTAATTAGTATTAATGGCATATTAAACCAGAGCTTGGTACATTGTGATTTTATAGCAATACATGTGAAAACACTCAAACTACCCCATGATCTAACACACAGAAAATTGTGTAGCTATAATCTAAATCAGTTCACACTTCCTGGTTTGAAGTGTTGTCCTAACTTAAGTCTTCATGATTAGCATTCAGAATTAATACACCCTTTGGAGTGAAACATATCACCCACTAGTTACTTGTATGGGAGTGACTTGAATGTGTAACAAAGAATAGTTATCATTAGCCATCATACTTAGAGAAAAATGCCTCTATGCATTGGCAAAAACGCACTGATGTTAATCCTGGCAGATGTTTTAACTCAGCTGTTATACTGAACATTACGTATTATGTTCTCTATTTCATTATTAAAAATAAACCATGCTTTTTTTCTGAAAAAGTTAATATGTTAACTACAATTTAAAACAGCTATTTCTAATGTTAAGCACAAATATTTGTAATACAACTCTTAAGCAAAATAGTATTTTTATTATAATGAAACATCAGCTAACTTGATATTTTTAAACTGTAAGTCTGGGTTACAAAGTACCAACTGCTCTGTAACTGAATGCCTACTGCTTGAAGGGTCCTGAACTCAGTCCATTTTTGCCTACAATCTTAAGCCTACATGAAGCCCATAAACATTTTTGTTTGCAGAAAACAACAATGACAAATATGATTGTTAAGGAGGTGTAACTTACAGTATCTAGGTAAAAACCTTTCATTTCCAGAAGGTCGACAAATGACTTTACTGATGTAAAAACATGCTTTAACATACATTTTGCTTAAAATCAAATAGAATGTTTATAAAGAAATACTTCAGTCCAACATACATATTACATCAGTAATCTTACTGCTCACAATTATTTTCTAATGCCCAACACCTTTAGTTGTTTTCAGTTATCCAGAATACATAAGAAATTGTTACTAAAACTATAGATATAACTCTGCGAAATGTAAAAAAAAGAACAAAGAAAAGGAAAATTATACAAAGAATCATTAATCTCTTAGTTATTTTAAGGCAATAGAGCCAGTAAAAAAATCATTTCAAAACTGAGTAAAATAAACTAAATGTAGTTTTTTAGATATTCATTAAAACACAGAAAATGCTTGGTTGTCTTTGTAGCTACAATACATTTCTATGTTTTGTAATAAATTGGTAATTTCAAAGTAACAGCTTTTCCAATTCTAAGGAATTACTCTGCCAAAATAAGGTTTAAAATAAAATACATAAAATGGCTTAGTTTATCCTAATCTGATATAAATTTGTGATTGATTGACAGCAAGAATATAATGGGAACGTACATAAATGAAGCAAAGCAGTCATCACATTCTTATGAACTAGAAATAACATCATAAAAACATGTTCATTTTCATAAAATTTTACATTTTTGTACATACACTCCTCCTAAGTTTGTACTTTTGATATGTTCAGAATGTGGCTATACTATTTACTTATGGGGCAGTAAATCTTTAGAGCCAGTATAATTACATCAATTAGCCAAAAGAGGGCGCAGAAACAACACCAGTAGATATGCTTAGCAAACTGCCAGTTGGTTTTTCTCTAGTAGTCTAATAAGAATTAACAAAACCCACAGGAGAGTTAGGTACGCTAACTGGGGAATACTGAAAGTTACAGTGTTAAGTATATATAGATATACTGTAATATACATTCTTATGTATATATACTGATAGATAGCATTTCTGCATTCAAATAAAATAAGTGTATGCTTTTCTAGTATATTAGTTTGTAGTCCAATAATTTAGGGGAACTGAGTACAGAGGGATCAGGACCAGGAAAGGTAAAGAGGAAGAGGGAAAAGAATATGCCCTAGATGAGGTAAATCTAGGAAAAATAAGAGCACAAATCATCAGAGTGGGAAAGAGACCCTGCCCAGTACCCACTGCTACTACATGAAGTATAAATTAGCCACAAAGTTCTTTAGGTGATCTTCACTTGGCTCTGCTGTTTTCTCAAGGTCTTTATTTGAAAGGAATGTATACAATATAAGGCATTCAACTGATATCTACCTACCTTATCTATATATTACTTCCTTATGAACAGTTCTGTCACCAGGCCAAATGTGGCCAAATTAGCTTGCACAAAATCCAAACCCTTGTGCCTGACATGAACATTCTAATTTTGTGTTTCACTAAGCTTTATAAATATATTTCTTCTATTTAATTTACTACGTCTCTTTTCAGTACCAATAAATATGTTCGTCTGCTGTATTTCTGTTCGTATTTCTGAGTTTGTAAGTAATAAAGTATTCTAATTAGAACATGAAAAACATGATATTAACATCTCTGAGAAGAACTTACTCTATTATTTCAGAATATGCTACAAGATATTTACAATTTCTGAAAGAACTAACCACAGTATAGCCAACTGGCTGACAATGGTAACCTTCTGTTTAATTATTTCCCAGGTATTGTTCCTTACTTTCAAAACTAGCTAAAAGGAAAATGTTAGCATGGTTTATGAACAGTAGACTTTTTCAATCTTCTCTTCAAGGGAAAGACTGTGAGTACATAAATTTTTTAAAAAGATATATGGGTTTTGCAGTATTCTAATGGAAAAAAACTAAAAGCTGAGTTTTTTTCAAAGCATACTAAATGTCTTTTCATACAAATGTTCTATGCCTTGCAAAAGAACATCACTATTAGTAATTTACATTTGTACAAGGCTAATGATAAACACAGATCATTATATTTTCTTATTTTAGGTTCACTTCCTAACACTAGCTACTAGTAAAAGGTCTCTCAATGCAAATTACAGCCAGCCAATTAAAATTTAATTTTAATTTAGGGATTATAGGTACACAAAGTTAGTGACTTTTTTTAGTAGTAGCTTCCTATAAATAAAATTTCTATATGAGTTGGCCAATATATATAAACCTTCAATGTGAAATTTTACATCTACTAGTACATAAATAAAAGTAAAAAGTATACTCTTTTCAAAAGCACAATATTCCTCTTTATACTGTACATTATATACTATCTAGTTATACTAGCATTTTAAAAACATATGCATTCTAATATAACTGCACTAGAAAAGGTAATTGTGAAGTTATTGCAAATTCTCTCCCCTTTTTGCTCATTAAAATCTTAGGATAAAATAGGAATACATGCCCACTGGTCAGGAGTTCTCCTGGGAGCAAATATTTTAATCACAATCAATAATTACAACAGTAATAGTGAAAATTGAAAAAATTATTGTGAAAAAAATTTTAACATTTCCTTTATAGTAAGGTAGGTAGTTGGTGTTTTACTTCAGTGGTACTTTCATGTTGGTTTTGGTGAAGAAAAAAGAAGAAAACGTAAGCAAGCCACTCCTAAGAAACCAATGCCCGTTTTGTGTTGCTGTTGTTCACTCCTATGCTGCTGCATTTTTAAAAACGTTGCAGCACATTTAAAAGGAAAGGTTATTTTAAATTGGATTTGAAAAAGAAAATTTACCTATACTATAAGAAGGTGTATCAACTTTTGTAAAACCTGAATAATTAAATTTAGATTTGGTTACTGTTTAAAAGTGAAAATTTTAAATAAACATCTGAAATTTACCATAAATTAGAATCTGTAACACTGTCAGTACTAAAATAAATTATGTACAATTATTTCATCCTAATCACTGCCTTTTGAGTTTAATAACAAAAGCATTTCAAGAAATCCCTGTGGAAAGCTAATTTGAAAGTAAACATGCTTTAAAACTTAAATATAGATCTTGTATTAGTCCCACAACAGGATCAAGATCACTATTAAAATAAAGCCTGGGGCACATTATGATGCCTAAGACTGGTGGGTGGATTTTAATTGACTTGAAGACTGTCATAGTTCTATTATCATAAAACCTGTAACGCATTGCCAGCATGGAGGACCCATCTGTGCCCACCATCCATCTGTTTAGACATGATTGGCAAAGTGGTAGGGAACTCGCAGTGGTTGCCTCTGCCTGAAAGGAATGAACCACAGGATCTTCCAACGAGTGCCAAAAACTTCTGAGAAGGTCTGCTGCCATGGCTTTCGGGGCCTCGATCTACAGAAGACAGCATTATTAGTGAAAGACAGCACTCCCATGGTGCACTTCAGTCAGCTAAAACAATACAGATTGGCTGGGGATCCATTACTGGACTCTGATGAATTGTGTCCCAGCATCATAAATACAGCTTTTCTTTCATTATGGCATGCAGCTGAGTTTTAACTCTGGATAGCAGATATTGTATCTGTGTCGTCAATCAACCGAGCGCAACTTTTGAAGCAGAGGAAAATCTCAGGATTAACAGAATGTGTGTCAACAACACAGTAGCAAATCTCTTTTGATGTACTTTCAGGACAAATAATTTAACTTACTTTAGTTAGACAAGGCACAAGAATGATCAGCATTTTAGTGTGAAAACTACCATGGCTGGAAAACCCCTACTGTAAGACTGGGGTAGCTTGCCTAGCACAGGCCTCAGACAATGCACCAAGAAAAAGCCATCATTATATTATCTATCTACCATATGCACATATTTCTCAAGTATGTCCAGTTCTTTCCAATTTTAAATAATACTATACACTTCAGTTTTATACTTACATATCTTCACAACAGTTTGACATCTTTTCAATAGATGTTGTATCCTATTAAAAATAAAAAATTATATTCAGATGTAAGAAAGTTATTAAGTCTTTATTCTGTATCCACTCTATCATGTTTTTAATCTTATTCCAAAAATATTCTATAGATTTAAACAGTTTATATATGAGTATTATGAATTTTAAATTATCTTTCATACATTGCTGGAATCCCCTTGGAAAAACAAAATCAACATTATACTATGCAAAAAAAAACCTATTCAAATACTAAAACCTCACAAAAATTATGACAGTATCACTTCATTAAAATATAACCTTTTATTACACTTGCTTTCTTGACAATTCCTTTGAAAGTCTACAATCTACTTTCAATTTAACTGTCAGTGAATATGCATTAAAAAATAAATACTAAAATGACATATGAAAGAAACTAATGAACAGAAAACTGCCTAAGAGTCAGGGTGCTACTGGTTCTGGGTTTCTGTAAACAACAACAAAACTCAACAAGGCAATCTATGAATTTGCCATATTACAACATCTATTATTCTGAAAACTAAACTGACCAGAGTTCTTTCTTAGCGGAAAAAATAACTTTTTTGATAATACAATTCCCTAATTGTATGCTTTCTGTAAGGCTCTAACACAAATATGTAAAAAAAAAAATTTCAACAAACAGAAGATTGCTTCCAGAAATGCTGGTTTCTGTTATCAGAAGACTTATCATTAGACTGGCAAATTGTTATAAGCAATAGCCAAATAATCAAAACACAAATTACACAATCTTATTTTTAGATATTTATTTGTATTTTAAATATATTTTGAAACAGTGCAAAAGAGTACATTCATTCAAATACACCAAAAGCTGGAGAAGTTTTCCTCTTTTTATCCCTTACTTTACCTTAACACTTTGTTTATACATAGGTGGACTTATTTAAGCAGTACTATTCATGCAAACTCTTGCAGCTACAGGTAAAATCCCAAGAACTTATTTGGCTGCAAAACTTTTCCAATGATGCTAATAAACAGCACCTTCACTCAAAAACAACTCTTTAGAGATGTTAATAGCTCATAATATTAAATTCTCATTAAGAATAGTTGCATAACTACAGTTAGCCTATGTAAGAGAAAATCAGAGAAAATGGATCTATTTTTAAGATAACTAATAACCAACAACATAGTTTCATTTACACATTTTCCAGGAATTTTTAAAAAGTTATAGATTAGCTACATATTCTATATTCATTAGTTTTCCTATCAAGCTGTGTAATTAATGGTATCCAGTGACAATTGTATTAATAATTAACCTTTCTCTGCTCCGTTGCAATTTCCTCAAAATGTCTTACTTTATGAAAACACAGTCTACAAACATATGAGAACACTGATTAGGGTCTTAGAGGAAATTTGGGCTTCAGGTTCCACATCTGTAAAGGAAGTAAGTCATTTTAATGGTTTCTTAGAGTTTTGATAGTAACACATTGTTCCAAAGCAATTAAAACAACTTACACAAAAGTACGAAGAAAAAGATGAGATAGAAGTCAACGAGAAAGCTGAAATAGAATAGCTATTAGGAAAGGTATATGAATGGCCTAAGATCACAGATGTGGACAACACTTAAAAACTATAAACTATTCCATGGTATATAAGGCAAATGAAAGGTCAGACTACTCTCACCAGCTAAGATTAAGGGCAATTTTTACTATGGAGAAATTACAACTTGTTTATAATCCTGAAGGATTTATTTGTGGCATTAAAAAAATCAACTTTAAAGATTTCAGATTTAGATTTCATACAGAAAAAGCTTTTATTTTCAAGTGTTTTTGATACCTTTCTTGAATCTGTTTTGGGAAATAACTAAAATACTATCTATTAAATCATCATAAGCATGGTTATTCTTTCAAACAATGTGATGCTTACCATTACTTTATGAGTAGGATTTGTGAGGCTGGCCCAAATAGGCTATTTTTTTTCCTCTAGAAATGGCAAATGCTCATCTGTCTGTAACTCTGTTATCCAGAATACTGTTATAAGTACAATTTGTATTTTAGCAACCAAACATGTCATCAAGTTTTTGCACTGGTGCTTACATATAACACACCCAGAGCAATACAAATTAGGTTATCACATTCACTAGCAGGACAGAAACAGCAAACTAGAAGAGGACAGGGGTTACTACTATGAAGAATATGAAAAACCACAAGTTATCCTCAAGTGTCAAATTAAGTTAAATATACTTTTGGAATTAAAAAAAACCACTAAAAAATATTTTGGTGCAGATAACTTCATTCAATACTAAAGACTCAACACAGTTAGTGCTCATCATGAAAGGACCAATAAGATAACTATTATCCTCAAGGAGTTTAAATACAAAATATAAGTCCTCAGTTATATGTAAAACTCAGCTATCCAGAGAAATTCACTTGTCCAGGAATGATAACAAACAAGTTTTTACTATGTGTCGTCTACCAGAACACTTTTATTTATAAATATTTACACCTCGATTACAGTCTAATGATCAAAATATCTAAGACTTTCCTCAGTCTACATGACCAAGAGATATATGAGGATGATTTACTATTTTAAAAACTGGATGTTCTTAAAAATAATGAACTAGAAACAGCAAGACATACAGAAATATAGGCCCTACCTATTTTATCTAATATTTTATCTTCTGATGGGTGATCTTACATAAGAAATTATTTTTCAGGTCTAGTCTAAAAAATTATGTTGACTATTACCACTGTATCCTAAGTAGTAAAATTATACCTGGAATGGGGGGGCGGGGAAGTTCCTAAGAGAAAAGGAGAAAGAGATATCTCTTGGCTTGATGTTAGGAAAATGAGAGGTTGCAGGGGGGTGGGATAAAGAGCAAGAATTTATCACCAGAGGTTTCCTGGTTAACAGACCTGAGAACCCAGTCCTCTTGGCATAGAGCGCTTGATGATACAATCCATCCAACTAACTCATCCTGTTTTGAGTTCATTCTCACCAAGCAACACTTTGCCACATATGTTGTCATACAGGAGAAAGAATGTGCTGAAGAGTCCTTTGGCACACCTGACAATCGCACATAAAGGAATAAACAATCTGTTATATGACTATCTCTTTTGAGTCTGGAAGTAAGAGCCATTGCCTCTGGACCTGTTTAACCCTGCAAACAATTTCAAAATGGAGTTTCTAGACCTGCCAAACTGCAGACCTGAGGAAAGTAAGAAAATTCTTTTCATTAGACTCCTTGAAGACAGTTCAATCTAACCTCAATTATCCCCTGCATTCTTTATTATTATAGGTCTTGTTGATGCTTCCAAGTCTGCTACACGTAGTTACCTAATGACTCTATGGTGATTTAATCTAGAGTTTAAAACACTGTTCTATACACACAATCTACTCAAAATGGATCAAAAACTTCAATGTTAAGACCTGATCCTATGAAACTACTGGAAGAAAACATAGAGGAAATGCTTTAGGACATTGCCTGGATAAGGATTTTTTAGGTAAGACATAAAAAAAAAAGGCAACAACAAAAAAAAAAACAGACAAATGAGATTACATCAAACAAAAAAGCTCTGCATAGCAAAGGAAACAACATAGTGAATGGCTGGGTGCGGTGGCTCACGCCAGTAATTACAGGACTTTGGGAGGCCAAGGCAGGTGGATTGCTTGAGGCCAGGAGTTCAAGACCAGTGCAGCCAATATAGTGAGAGCCTGTCTCTACAAAAACAAAACAAAACCTTTAAAAAATTAGCAGGCATGGCATGGTGGCATGTGCCTGTAGTCCTCGCTACTTGGGGGACTTAGGTGGGAGGTTTGCTTGAGCCCAGAAGTTCAAGGCTGCAGTGAGTTATGATCATGCCACTGCACTCCAGCTTAGGTGATAGAATGAAATCCTGTCTCTTAAAAAAAAAAATACATTGAAGAAACAACCTAAAGAATGGAAGAAAATCTCTGCAACTATACATCTGACAAGGGGTTAATACCCAGAATACATAAGGAACACAAACAACTCAACAGAAAAAAAAAAAAAAAGAGAGAGAAAACAAAAAAAATCTGATTCTAAAACAGAGAAAAGATTATAGAAATGACCAACAGGTATATGAAGAAATGTTCAACACCACTAGCCATCAGAGAAACGTAAATCAAAAACCACAATGGGAAATCATGTCATCCCAATCAGAATTATCCCAGGGTATTATCAAAAATACAAAAGGTAAATGTTGGCAAGGATGTGGAGAAAAGGGAACCCTTACACAGTCTGGGGAAGAACCTTTACTCTTGTTGGGGAAAGTGTAAATCCATGCAGTCATTATAAAAAACAGTATGGAGGCACCTCAAAAAGTTAAAAACAAAACTACTATATGATCCAGCAATCACAGCACTGGGTACACTGTCAGCCCTCCATATTTGTGGGTTCTGTAGCTGTGATTCAATCAACCATGGATCGAAAATACTTTAAGAAAAA
Source organism: Homo sapiens (assembly GCF_000001405.40). Taxonomy (NCBI): domain Eukaryota; kingdom Metazoa; phylum Chordata; class Mammalia; order Primates; family Hominidae; genus Homo; species Homo sapiens. The sequence continues at coordinate 14,624,094 of NC_000009.12, forward strand.
CTATTTAAAAAAATAAATAATAATATGAATTAAAATAATATAGTTTAACAACTATTTACATAGTATTTACGTTGTATCGGGTATTATAAATAATCTAGAAGATGAATTATAGTACAAGGGAAGATGTCCATAAGTTATATTCAAATACTACACCATTTTACATAAGGAACAGGAGCCTCAATGGATTCCGATATCCCTGTGGGGTCCAGAAATCAATCCCCCATGGAGAGTGAGGGACAACTGTATATTCAAAGGAATAAAATCAGTATGTCAGAGTCCCATGTTTATTGCAGCACTCTTCATAATAGCCAAGATATGGAATCAACCTGTGTCTAACAGCAGATGAATAAAGTAAATATGGTATATATACACAATGGAATACTAATCGGCCAAAAAAAGAATGAAGTACGATCATTTGTGATCACATGCATAAATGAAATAAGCCAGTTAAAGAAAGACAAATACTGACTGTTCTCACTCATATGCAGAATCTTAAAAAAGGTGATCTCACAGAAGTATGAATAGAACAGTAGTTAGCAGAGACTGGGGAGGGTAGAAAGAAGTGAAGGATGGGGAAGAGGATGGTCGATGGGTACAAAGTTACAATTAGAAAGGAGTAATAAATTGTGGTGTTCTATTGCACAGCAGTGTGATTACAGTCAACAAAGTACTGTACATCTCAGAATAGCCTGAAGAGAGGATTTCGGATGTTCTCACCACAAATAAATGAAAAACGTTTGAGGTGATGGATAAGTTAATTACTGATTTGATCATTACATTATGTATACAAATATTGAAGCATCACATTGTACCCCATAACTATGTACAATTATTATATATCAATCAAAAATTTAAAAATTAAAAACACTACTCAGGCAAGTTTTTCACAATTAGAGAAAAACTTTGCCTGCTTTATCTATTACTAATTTATATTAATTCTAAGAAAGACTTTCATTTCACTTCTTAGCACCTCTGATTAGTATATGAACAGTAGCTCATTTAACTTTAAATTTTTCCATAGCACTTAGCAGCACATACTGTACAAAATGGTCAACTTAATATAAATTTGCAGCACTAAACTAATTGGACATGAACAGAAATAGCATGATTCCTTATTTTTAGTTTTGTTTTCAATCAAAAGAGGGAAATGTCCTGTTAATCTTAGCTCTGTCTTCCTTCTACTTTCCTCATTTGAAATGAATGGTTCTTTAAGCACCCATTTCCAACAAAAGACCAGCTATGTCTTTTATCAGGGATCTGAAGTTCACATAAACATCGAATCAATCATAGAACAAAAGTGAGAAGGCAACAGATCTTATATTTATAGACACTGAAAATCTCTTTCCAAAATAATCCTCACACTTCTCTTAATCTTAAATGCCACTTTCTGACTGTATAATCTAAAGAAAATTGCTAAAACTCTATACCTCCATTTCCAAATAATAACGCTTACCTCATAGGTTTTTGTGGGGATTAAATGAGTTAATTATGTCAAAACCCCTTATAACTCCTCAATAAATGGCAGTCTTAAGATTTTAGTGATACTGCCTACTACCTACTTTTTGAGAGGGCTTGGAAAGAAATACCTCAATTACCTCAAAATGTAACTTTTCAACATTATGTTTAAACAAACAAACAAGTGGTTTTATAATGAAAAATAAAATAATAGGGACTACAAGAGACTACACATATAAAATCCTATGCCCTCTAAGAGCTTATAATCCAGTTGAAAAAACAAGTCCTAAATATGTAAACCATGATTCATTCATTCATTTATCCATCTATCAAAAATTTACCAAGTATCTATTATGACACAGTCCTTAGCATCATGGAACTTACAATCTAGTAAAAGTAGTCAAGTATACAGGAAATAATTATATAGTAACATAGAGAGGAAGCCAGCAAGGATGATTATATACAATAATGTTTTGTAGAAATAAGTCTCGCACTAATCAGAATATTTGGAACAGCTGAAAAACTGTTTATAATCAAAACTCAAATTTAACTACTCTTACACTTTTAACACCAAAATTATACTTTGATAAGATTTTTGGTTATTAGTAGAAATAAGATGGGCATTTAACATGCCCCTTTGGCTGAGATTCAGGGAATAATAATATATCAATAAAATGTACATAAATTATTGTGCCAAAATACCATAAGCAAACCATAAATATAAGATTTACTGCTTTCTGCAGTCCTATGTTTTAATGTCAGATTAAATATTTGTGTGGATTCAGATCATGAAATAATAAAATGAATATCTAGGAAAAATTGTTAGTAAAAGGAAAACCCATAAATGTTTAGTTTCCTTACGAACACTTTTTAAGCATCTATTTAATCACTCAAGCAATCAGTAGTGATTTAAGGACATATAAATAAATTATAGAAAAAGATTTCTTTTTAATTAGTTTTATCAAAAATACTTACAAGCAGTTTATTACACTGAGCAAACAGAAATTATGCAATATAAATATGCTTTTACATAGGAACATGCATATGCTAAAGAGTAGCCCAATTCCACACACCATAATTATCAAAATAATTTTGATAATTTTTTTAAAAGAGTATTTCATGTAAATATGAAATATAACTTGGTATTTAAGCAAATGCCCTTGGCAAGGGGGAACCTAGTTTTTTATAAACTTATCATATACAAAATTCTAAAAAATATTATACCCAATTTTACTATATGACATTAAAAGCATATTTAAAAAGAAGGGACACTTTAAATTTTAATTAACTTTCTAGGTTTTAAAAAAGCTATAAAATCTTTCATATAATATTACAATTGGGAATACTACATTAGAAATACATTTATTTTATTTTTATCAAGCAAAAATTCAGAGGAAGACAAAAATGCCTTACAGAGCTCCCTTTATAGAAGTATATGTGAGCTGGGGTCAGCATAATTAGCAATGATGTTCATGTCTGCAATGCTGACCTGGAGCTGAGTACATCAAACATAATTGTTATAAAGAGTGTACTGAATGCTATTAATTCAAAATAATTTGGCAGAATACTAGGCAAAATTTAACTATAGGAATTAATCATTTGAGGACTACACTTCTGTGTATAGATTAAAAGGCAAGTAAATCGACTGATTCGTAAAATGCTGTTTACTAGACAGTCTCCTTTAAACTGATTTCACACTTGGAACACAAGATACTTTTCAGTGAGTAAGGTAGCCAAGTTAAAACTGTCACCCCTGCATTTATGATTTCTCCTGTATTTATTTAAGTAAACATTAACTTGCTGAGTTAAATATGAGCCAGTATTTAGGGGGGAAAACATTTTCTTCTTAATTTGAAAAGCTTTGATTTAAGCTATCTTCAGCAATTCAAATAGAATCCAACAATAGCACCTGTGAAACCAAATGCAAAAATCACTATTTTTTTGTTTGAGAATTTAGTCTTTTACAAAATTGCAACTAAATACATCTGTCTCACCCTACCCCCAACCTCACCACAACTGAGAAAATCTCCAGAGACATCATCAAAAGCTTACACTATTATATAAACTCCACAGAGCCCAGAAAACAAAAATGCTTGTATATAAAAATTAGATAAACTGTCAGAGCAGTGTCATGGTACACAATAGCTCACTGTCAGAACCTCACCAGAATGCGCTGTACCAGCTGTTACAGCACTTCTTGATTAACTCTCTCCAAGCCCAGTGACTGAGAACATGACAAATACAATCACCCAGCACTATTAGTATTGGTGCTCATCAGAATGGACATTATTGTTGGCTATGTGTGAACTACTGCTCAATAATTCAGACAACATCAATTACATTAAATAACATCACTATCCATTTGATTCAGAAACAGCAAAAAAAAACCAAAAAACAGGCTAAACAGTCTGAAGTCTAAAAAATAATTTGACTAACCTGTTTCCCTTAATAAAAAATGCCTCGAAGTAGACTGATTTGAAAACATTTTTATTCCAATATAAATTGTAGTAAAAACGCACAAAAACGTATATTTAAATCCTGTTTAAAATTAAATCGAAAAATAATCACAGGTAATCCTTTTGAATTGGGCTTCAGATTAGTCTATTTAACAGAAACATCTGGTTGTGTTGAAATCTTTTAACCTTGAAAATGAGATTAGAATCCACTATTTTTAAGTTAAAGTAATTTCTAATTATTTTATCTGGGTCACAGATAATCTACTCTTGCTAGGTCTAAAATGACATCAGATTATCACTGCTATGATTATCCTGTTATCTTTCACTATCAACAGGAAGATGAGATAAATGATTTATTTATTCCAAGTAAAAATGAATAATGGTAAAAAATTACTGAAAAGTGATATGCTGCTTCCCTGAAACCTCAAGCTAAATCCCAAAGAGACAACACTTATTTTGCTTGTTTGATGTCTAGTAGGTCTATATTCAAGCTATGCAATAAAATAGTTTACGTAATGAAATGATATCCGTATCAGTAGTTTCCCAAAATGCCTCTAGGATCTTTAGGGTGCAAGAGTAGGGAAAAAGTAAGACTGCAATGGAAGGATTAAATTTACTGTGATTCTTTCTCCCACTTCTTTCTTATGCAACCTGACAAATTCGTCACTTAACACTGTAAAGAGAGATCCATGGATTCGAATTATGACAAAAACATGTGCAGATGTATAATTTCTTGTAATCTTAATTTTATCACAAAACAGCAAACTTATTTTATAAAGTAAGCATCATCTATATTTTAACTTAATTAAAATATTAAATAGTATTTAAGTGCTAATTTAATTCATTCGATTTAAAATTAAACACCGAATGCATTAGACTTTTAAATAATCAAGCCTCAAAGAATCTTAAATCAATGTGAGGAAGAGTATATTCTGGAAACCCTTTTTAATTTCTTTTTTAAACCCCAAAAGGGTAACGCTTGAGGTTCACTATGAAATCCCAGCTAAAGAGATTTAAAAATTCATTGTAATTCTAAAAAGTACTCGTATTCAAGAGAAAGTAAAGTGACTAAAGGTTAGGATAACAAATAGAATATATCCTCTCTCTTGCTTTCTCTTTCTTAACAATTCTTTTTTGATTGTTTTACAGAGGTGTAATTGCTATAGATACCAGCAGTGTCTGGTACAGTGCTCTGAGAGGTTACTACACATATGCAGAAAGAGATGAAACTTTTGGAGGGAGCATTATTCAACAAATGTGGTTTCCACTCGGTTTTAGAAATATCACCTCATAACCAAATCTCTCTACCTTAATAAAATGTAACGTTCAATACTACAGAAAAAAACCCTTGCAATTTGAGAATTAACATGTTGATAGAAGGGAAGAGAGTCAGAATCAAACCTGATACACAAAAACCATAAATAACTTACAGAAATACCTCGAAGATATTGCAGGTTTGGTTCTAAACAATGAAGCGAGTATTGCAATAAAGCCGGTAGCAAAAATTTTTCGGTTTCTCACTGCATATAAATGTTATGTTTATGCTATACTCTATGAAGTGTACAACAGCATTATGTCTAAAACACAATGTACATACCTACCTTAAATTAAAAATTATTTATTGATAAAAAATGCTAATGATCATTTGAACCTTCAGGGAGATGTAATATTTTTGCTGGTAGGGGGTCTTACCTCCAAGTTGACAGCTTCTGATTGGCCAGGGTGGTGGCTGCTGAAGGCTGGGGTGGCTGTCAAAATTAAAACAATAAACCGGTGGCTCACACCTGTAATCCCAGCATTTTGGAAGGCCGAGGCAGGTGGATATTGAGGTCAAGCGATCGATACCATCCTGGCCAACATGGTGAAATCCCATCTCTACTAAAAATACAAAAATTAGCTGGCGTGTTGGTGCACACCTGTAGTCCCAGCTACTTGGGAGGCTGAGGCAGGAGAATCGCTTAAACCCGAGAGACAGAGGTTGCAGTGAGCCGAGATCACGCCACTGCACGCCAGCCTGGCGACAGAGAGAGACTCCATCCCAAAACAAACAAACAAGCAAAAAAACCAATAAAGTCTGCTGCATAGGTTGACTCTTCCTTTCATGAACGATTTCTCTGTAGCATGCGATGCAATTTGATAGCACTTTACCCACAGTAGGACTTCGTTAAAAAATGTGGAGTCAATCCTCTCAAACACTGCCACTGCTTTACCAACTAAGTCCATATACTCTTCTAAATCCTTTGTTGTCATTTCAATAACGTCCACAGTATCTTCATTAAGGGTAAACTCCATCTCAAAACACCACTTTTTGGGCTCATCCATAAGAAGCAAATTCCCATTCATTCAACACTGATCATGAGATTGTAGCAATTCGGTCACATCTTCCACTTCTTATTTCTCTTGTTATTTCTAGCACATCTTTAGTTACCACCTCCACTGAAGTCTTGAACCCTTCAAAGTTAACCATGAAGTTTAGAATCAACTTCTTCCAAACTCCCGTTCATATTGTTATTTTGGTCCCCTCCCATAAATCGCAAATGTTCTTAATGGCATCTAAAATGGTAAATCTTTTCCAGAAGGTTTTCAATGTACTTTCTCCAGATCCATCAGAGGAATCACTGTCTACAGCAGCTATAGCCCATGAAATGTATTTCTTAAATGGTAAGACTTAAAAGTTGAAATTACTACTCCTTGATCCATGGCATGCATAAGGGGTGTAGCAGGCATGAAAACAACATTAACCTCCTTGTATATCTTCATCAGAGCTCTTGAGTGACTTGATGCATTGTCAATGAGCAGTAATATTACGAAAGGAACTTTTTTTCCTGAGCAGTAGTTCTCAATAGTGGGCTTAAAATATTCAGCAAGCCATGCTGTAAACAGATGTGGCTGTCACTTAGGCTTTGTTTTTCCATTTCTAGGGCAAAGGCAGAGTAGATTTAGCATAATTCTTAAGAGCCTAGGATTTTTGGAATGGCAAATGAGCACTGGCTTCAACTTACAGTCACCAGCTGCATTTAACCGTAACAAGAGAGTCAGTCTGTCCTGTACCTTGAAGCTTTGAAGCCAGGTATCGACTTCTCCTCTGTAGCCACAGAAGTCCTACATGGCATCTTCTTCCAATAGAAGGCTGTTTTGTGTACACTGAACATCTGTTGTTTTGTGTGGCCACCTTGATTAATCATCTTAGATCTTTTGGATAATTTGTTGCAACTTCTACATCAGCACTTGCTGCTTCACCTTGCATTTTTTATGTTATGGAAATGCCTTCTTTCCTTAAGCCTTAAGAACAAACTTATGCTAGCTTCCAACTTTTCTTCTCCAGCTTCCTCACCTCTTACAGCCTTCATAAAATTGAAGAGTTGGGGCCTTGCTCTGGATTAGGCTTGGTTTAATGGAATGTTGTGGCTTGTGTGATCTTCTATCCAGACCACCAAAAATTTCTCCATATCAACAATAAAGCTGCTTCACTTTCTTATCATTTGTACGTTCTGTGAAGTAGCATTTTAAATTTCCTTCAAAAACTTTTCCTTTGCATTCATAACTTGGCAATTTGGCACAAGAGGTCTAGTTTTCGGCCTGTCTCAGCTTTTAACATGCCTTTCTCATTAGGTTTCATCATTTGTAGTTTTTGATTTAAAGTGAGAGACATGCAACTCTTCTTTTCACTTAAATACTTAGAGGCCACCATAGGATTATTATTTGGCCTCATTTCAACATTATTGTATCTTAGGGAATAGCAAGGCCCAAAGAAGAGAGATAGAGGAATGGCCAGTGAATGCAGCAGTCAGAACACACACAACATTTACCAATTAAGTTTGCCATTTATACGGGCGCAGTTTGTGGTGCCCCAAAATAATTACAATAGTAACATCAAAGATCACCAATCATAGATCATAGTAACAGATATAATAATCATGAACATGTTTGAAATATTACAAGAATTACCAAACTGTGGCACAGAAACAACAGGTAAGCACACACTGTTGGGAATATTGTACCGAAAGACTTACTCAATGCATCATTGCCACAAACCTTCAACTAGTTAAAACACACACAAACACACACACACACACACACACACACTATCTACAAAGCACAATATAACAAGTATGCCTGTATAGCATATATACTGTGGATAAGAAATTAAGTGTTTATCAGAATATATTCAGTAAAAATGTATCAAAACTACTATCAAGCAACAGTAATTAAGAAAGTGTGGTCCTGGCATAAAGATATCTCTATGTCATAAAGATAGACATACAGATAAATAAAATAGAGTTAAGAGTCCAGAAAATATCTAGTTAATTTTCAACAAAGGTGTCAAGACTATTCAATGGTGGAAAGAATTGTCTTTGCAAGAAATGGTGCTGGGACAACTAGGTATCTACTGTAAAAGAATAAAGATGGACCCCTACTTCACACAATGTACAAAAATTAGCTCAAAATGAATCATAGTACTAAATATAAAAGCTAAAACAATAAAACCCTTAGAAGAAAATATAGGAGTGAATTTTGTTGACCTTGGATTAGGCAATGGTATCTTAGATATGACACAAAAAGCATATACTACCCAAGAAAAAAATAAATTGAAACAATAAAAAGTACTAATTTTGTGCTTCAAAGACACTGTTAATAAAGTGAAAATATAACTAAGAGAATGTGAGAATATTTGCAAATCACATATTTGCAAATAATATATCTGAAAAGGGACTTATACCTACAATACATAACCTTTCTAACTCAACAGTAAAATGGCAACCCAATTAAAACATGGTCAAAGGATTTCTCCAAAGATATACAAATGGACAACAAGCATGTGAAAAGATACTCGACCTCATTAGATCACCAGGGAAATGCAAATTAAAACTATGATGAGGTATTACCGTTTTTTAAAAGACAGGTAATAACAATTGTCACCAAGGCTGTAGAGGAATTAGAACCCTCAAATACTGCTAGTGGGAATGCAAAATGGTGCAGCAACTTTAGAAAAACAGTGGCAGTTCTTTAAAAGATAAATGTAGTTTCCATTAGACTCAGCAATTCCACTTCTATATACCCCAAAGAAATGAAAATGTACGTCCACACAAAAACGTGTAGGTGGGCTTCAAGATAGCTGACTAGAAACAACTGGTACTCACCTCCTTCACAAAGAAGAACCAAAATAGTGAGTAGATAATCACACGTAAAATATATCATCTAAGAGAGAACACTGGAAATCAACAGAGAAGTGAATGGAAACACCATCCTAAAGCAAGGACTGACAGGAAAGCAAGGCAGCCTGGTTAGTCAAAATTGGCTGGGGACATGGAGAGGCTCCCCAGTGCAGGAAAAGGGTAAGTCAGTGACCCCTACTGCCCAACATTCCCACTGCAGACTCCTGCATCCTAGCTAGAGGAAAGCCCCTAAACCCTCACAAGTCTCAAGACTAATGGGAGCTACCTGGAGAATACATGAAGGTACCGCTCCAGAGAGGAGGATCATGCTGGGTCCCGCACAGCCTTTGAGCCCTAAGCAGCTCCAGGAAGGCACCATATTAAGAGTCCAGCCCTCACCAGACTGTATCCTGCCAGTGAGCCCAACAGCCCCTGCATCTCCACATTTCTGGAGCCCCACTGATATTCCCTGCCCACAGCCACTGCTGCAGTTGGCTGCTACCACCAAGGCTGAAGCACAAACTACTGGCAAACACCCTGCTGATCCCAGCAGCAAATCCAGGGTGCATTTTCACATGCCCCAATGTCAAACCCCCACCCACAGCAGCCATTGTGGGCTGGCACTGCCAGGCTGAAGTACAAGCAAAGTGTGCAATCCCCAGCCCGCTGCATACAGCTGCAGCCACTGAAAGCAACCCCGTCCTCCCCAGTAGCAGGGCTGCAATGGATGCCATCCCCACCCAAACATTTTGCCTTGGGCCTGGAGATCACCCCACCAATGCCTACCACAGCCACTGGGTGAATGTACCACCAGGGGACCTGAGGCTAGGTCTCCCCAACCCCAAACACCAGTAGCTGAGGCTAGGTCTGCCCATACCCAAACTCCAGTACCCAAGCACACTGTCCAGGAGCCTGGGGACCATCTACAGCCCAGTCCACCATTGCTGGCACCTGAACACTCCTCTCAGGGGCCAGAGGTCAGGGCCACCCAGCCTGCTACTACCACCACAGCTGGCACCCACACATGCCACCTGCAGGTCTGAGGGCTGGCCCACCCAGCCCATTGCTGATATTGTCAACGCCTACACAAACCACTTGGGAGGCAGAGGTTTGTTCTGCCAATACTATTGCCATTACCCACGCCATGCCCATTTCCCAGGACCCGAGAACCTGTCCACCTGCCTGGCGCATTGCTGCCACTATCCACACCTGAACAAGCCACGTGGAGGCCCAAGAATTGGTCTGTGTGGACCTGCTAACAGCAGTGCCAATGCCACCCTGGTGCCCACGGACAGGCCCACTTGCTGCTGCCACCACTAAGGACTAAGGACAAGCCCACCTGGCAACCCGGTCCCTAGCAAAATTTCACCACAACATCCACTAACAACCACACCCTAAGCCACTGATGAAATCACAGATACCACTGATGCTATTCACAGCCAAACAAATCCTACAGCAACTATAATACTGCACATTCCCAGAATCAAAACCAAAGGGCCCCAACCAGCCAACACAAAGATACATGTCCAGGAAAAAGTCCTCTCCCACAAAAGCAAATTCAAAAAATTGGAAAAAACATCTGTTACAACAGACGCATAGATATCAACATAGGGACACAAGAAACATAAAAAAGCAGGAAATATGGCACTCCAAAGAAATACAATAATTCTCCAATAAAATATTACAATCAAAAAGATATATATGAAATCCCAGAAAAATAATTCAAAATAATATTAAAGAAGCTCATTGAGATAAAGATAATACAGAAAATATGAAGCAATTAGAAAAACAATTCCAGATCTGAATGAGGAATTTACTAAACAAATACAAATAAAAAAGAACCAAACAAACTGAAGAATTCATTAAATGAAATACAAAATACATTTCAAAGTTTCGATAATAGAATAGATCAAGGAGAAGGAAGAATTTCATTACTTGAAGACAGGTATTTTTAAATAACCCAGTCTGACAAAAATAAAGAAAAAAGCATTTAAAAAAAGAACAAAGACTACATGACATATTGAATACCATGAAGTGACCAAATACTTTAATTTGTAATGTCCCAGAAGATAAAGAGAAAACAACAAACCTAGAAAACCTACTTAAGGATATAACAGCTGAAAACTTCTCAAGTCTAGCAAGTGATCAAGACACCTAAGTATAGGAAGCTCAGGGATCCCCAAACAGATACAATGCAAAAAGGTCTTCTCCGATTTGGCACATCATAATCAAACTATCAAAAGTCAAAGACAGAGAATTGTAAAAACAGCAAGAAAGAAAGCATCAAGTCCCATATGAGGAATCTGCATCAGACTAACAGTGTATTTCTCCACAGAAACTTTATAGGCCAGGAGAAAATGGGATAACACATTCAAAGTGCGGAACGAAAAACACTTTCAGACAAAAACACTATTTCCAGCAAAATTATCCTTCATAAATAAAGGAAAAAGGCACGTGATAACAAGCAAAAGCTTTGGGACTTTATCATCCCTAGACTGGTCCTACAAGAAATGCTTAAGAGAGTCCTACACTTGGAAACGAAAGGATGATAGCTACCATCATAAAAACACATGAAAGTATAAAACCCACTCTTGGGTGGTTGAGGCACAAGAATTGCTTGAACCTGGGAGGTGGAGGTTGCAGTGAGCCGAGATCGCAATGCTGCACTCTAGCCTAGGCAATAGAGCAAGACTCTGTCTCAATTTTTTTATAAAAAATTAATTAAAAACCCACTGGCAGAGCAAACACACAAATAAGGAAGAGGAAGAACTCTAATGTTACCACTACACAAAACCATCAAACCACAATGATAAACAATAAAAGAAAAAGAAAAGTACAAAGCATATATAAAACAATCAGAAATCAATTAATAAAATGACAGGAGTAAGCCTCACATATCAATAATAATCTTTAATGTAAATGGATTAAACTCTACATTTAAAACATATAGACTTTCTGAATGGACTAAATAAACAAACAAACATGACACAACAATATGCTGCCTACAAAACATTCATCTCACCTGTAAAGACACATAGACTGAAAGTAAAGAGACAGAAAAAGATATTCCAAGCAAATGGAAACCAAAAGTAAGCTGGAATAGCTAGCTATACTTATATCAGATATGCAGACTTTAAGTCAAAAATAGTAAAAAGTTACAAAGCAGACCATTATATGAGATCAATTCAGTAAGAAGATATAACAACTCTAAATATATATGCACCCAACACCAGAGTACCCAGATATATAAACCAAGTATTAGATTTAAAGGGAAAGATAGACTCTAATACAGTAATAGTTGAGGACTTGGACACAGGATTCTCAGCATTAGACAGATCTAGTAAAATAGTTAACAAAGAAACATCAGATTTAAACTGCTCTCTAGACCAACTGGACCTAATAGATATTTACAAAACATTTCAACCAACAGCTACAGAATACACATTGTTCTCATCAGCAAATGGAACATTTTCCAAGATAGACCATAGGTTAGGACACAAAACAAGTCTCAAGAAACATGAAAAAAATCTAAATTGTATCAAGTATCTTCTGAGACCACAGTGGAATAAATCTAAAAATCAATAACAGGAGGAACTTTGGAAACTATACAAATACATGGAAATTAAGCAACGTGGTTCTTAACAACCAGTGGGCCAAGAAAGAAACTAGGTAGGAAATCACTTTCTTAAAACAAATGAAAATGAAAACGAAACATACCAAAACCTATGGACTACAACAAAAGCAGTGCTAGGAGGGAAGTTTACAGTAATAAATGCCTATATCAAAACAGTAGAAAGATTTCAAGCAAATAGTCTAATGATGCACCTCAAGGAACCAGAAAAGCAAGAATGAACCAAACCGAAAATTAGTAGAAGGAAAGAAATAATGAAGACCAGATGAGACGTAAAAGCAAAAGAGACTAAAAAAAATATGCAAAGAAGCAATAAGACAAAAAGTTGGTGTTTTGAAAAGATAAACAAGTGAATAAACCACTTTCAAGACTAACCAAGAAGAGACAGGACCCAAGTAAATAAAATCAGACATGAAAAAGAAGACATTACAGCTGATACCATTGAAATACAAAGATTATCAAAGATTATTATGAACAACTATATACCAACAAACCAAAAAACCTAGAGTAAATGATAAATTCCCAGACACATAAAACCTACCACAACTGAATTGGGTAGAAATAGAAAACTTGAACAAACCAATAAAAAGTGACAATATCAAAGTAGTAATAAAAAGTCTCCCAACAAAGAAAAGTCCAGGACCCAGACAACTTCACTGCAAATTCTACCAAGTGTTAAAATAAGTAGAACTAACACCAATTCTCCTCAAATTATTTCAAAAAATTGAAAAGGAAGGAACTGGAACTCTCAACAAACTAAGCACAGAAGAAACATACTACAATATAATAAACACCATCTATGGCCTTTTGTGTTGATGGTATCTTATATCAAGAAAAACCTAAAGGCTCTACCAAAAAACTCTTCAATCTGATAATTAAATTCGGTAAAGTCACAGGATACAAAATCAGCATACAAAAATCAGTAAATCAGTAGCGTTTCTATACACCAATAATGAACTGAGAAAGAAAGAAAAAACACAATCCCATTTACAATAGCTCCAACAACAACACTCTAAGAATAAATTTAACCAAGGAGGTGAAAGATCTCTATAAGGAAAACTGCAAAGCACTGATGAAAGAAATTAAAGGAAGAGACAAACAAAGGAAAGCTATCCCATGATAATGGATCAGAAGAATTATTGTTAAATGACCACACTGCCCAAAGCAATCTACAGATTTGATATAATCAGCATCAAAATACCAACATCATTTTTCATACAATTAGAGAAAACAATCCTAAAATTTGTAAGTCAAAAAAGGGCCCGAATAGTCAAAAAAATCCTAAGCAAAAAGGACAATGCTGGAGGCATCACATTACCTGACTTCAAAGTATATTATGAGGCTACAGTAACCAAAATAGCATAGTATCTGTATAAAAGCAGACACATAGACACACAGACCAAGGGAACAGAATAGAGGATCCAGAAATAAATTCATATATTTACAGCCAACTGATTTTTGACAAAGGCATCAAGAACATACATTGGGGGAAAAAAACAGTCTTTTGAATACATGAGAAGTGCTGGGAAAATTGGATATCCATATGCATAAGAATGAAGACGGAAACTGGACCCCATTTCTCACCATATACAGAAACCAACTCAAGATGTATTAAAGACTTAAACATAAAACCTACAACTGTGAAACTACCAGAGGAAAACTTAGGAAAAATATTTCAGGACTTGGTCTAGATGAAAATTTTATGGCTAAGACCTCAAAAAATGCAGACAACAAATACAGACAAATGGGACTCTATTAAATTAAAAAGCTGTATAGTAAACAATCAACACATTGAAGAGACAACCTGTAGAATGAGACAAAACACTTGAACTTTTTGCTTGACAAGGGACACTACCCAGAATATACAAGGAACTCAACAATTAAAAAAAAAAGGTACCATTAAAAAGTGGGCATAGGACATGAATATGCATATCTCAAAAGAAGATATGCAAATAGCCAACAGGTATATGAAAAGTACCATCATTAATCAACAGGGAAATGCAAGTCAAAACCACAATAACATATCATCTTAGAACGGCTTTTATTAAAAGGACAAAAAGTAACAGATGCTGGCAAACATGCAGAGAAAAGGGAACTCTTGTACACTGTTGGTGGGAATGTAAATTAGCCTAATCACTAAGGAAAAGAATACTGAGAATTCTTAAAAAACTAAAAATAGAACTACCATAAGATCCAGCAGTTCACTATTGGGTATTTATCCAAAGGAAAAAAAACAATCAGTATATCAAAGGGATGCCTGCACTTGCACGTTTATCACAGCACTATTCACAAGAGCAAGGATAGGAAATCAACCTAAGTGTCTATCAACAGATGAATGAATTTTAAAAATCTGGTATATATACACAATGGAATAATACTATGAGCCATAAAAAGAATGAAATTCTGTCATTTGCAGCAACATGGATGGAACTGGAGGTCATTATGTTAAATGAAACAAACCAGGCACAGAAAGACAAATATCATATTTTCTCACTCATATGGGAGAGCCAAAAAAGCTGATCTCATGGAGGTCAAGAATTGAATGAGAGATACAAGAGGCTGGAAAGGGTGCATGGGTGGAGCGGGGGACGAAGAGAGTGTGGTTAATGGTTATAAACACACAGAAGAAATAAGTTATAATGCTCAGTAGCACAGTAGGGTGACTACAGTCAGCAGCAATGTATATTTTAAAGTAACTAGCACAGAGGACTTGAAATGTTCCTAATATATAGAAATGATAAATACTCAAGGTGATGGAGACCCCAAATACTCTGATTTGATCATTATATATTATATGCATGTAACAGATACTCATATGTACCCCATAAATACGTAAGATACTGTGTATCAATAAAAAACTATAAACGTGATGTCTATAGTCATATAAAAACACTGTATTTGTTAGCTTTTAAAAACAGGATACAAAATTGTGTATACTTTGTACTTGATTATAACTACTTTAAAATTACATAGGCACATGAAAGTATTAAAAAGCATGGGTAATTTTCTCCTTTGATTTCTAAACTTCCTATAACTTTTGAGAATTACATTCATAATTAGGTAATATATTCATAAATGTTACTTTACATTAAAAATATACTTACTGTGATGATGCCAATTAGTTGAGTGTAAAAGAGTCCAGTTATTCCAACTAACATAGTAATGCCCATAAAGGCTGCTAGTCTCATTATGGCCAATTCATGTCTAAAAACAAAGAGGTCCTAAAAAGAAAAAGAAAGTCTTAAAAACCATTCAGAGTTGCTTACATTGCTTACAGTCGCAATAATAATCAAGAATTGAGCCATAACACATCTTCCTTATTATCTTAAAAGAACTACCTCTCCCTCTTTTATACTTCTATTGAAATCAATGTATAAATATTTTAAAATTTCAAAAATAGGTATTTTAATTTACAATAGCAAGCTGGAAAATACAGGAGTTTACTACTCTACTGCATCAAAACTCCTCAATCTTAGGTGCAAGTTAGCCTTGTTTGTTTTTTGAACCTATTTTGGGGAAAAAAAAAAAAAAAAAGAAAGAAAGAAAAGAAAAACCCAAAACAAAACAAAACACAGATGGTTGTACAATCTTTGGTTTACAAAAGGAATTTTATTATTTCTCTGCTAAAAAGTTTGAATACACAGCATGATTCATATTACTAAAGTTCAAGTGACCAAGATATCTAGAAATCATTAACGTGGACAAAATGAAGAGAAATCATATATAATAGGATCATAAGTACAGCTCTCTTCAAGCCTACTTCATTCATTCTTCCATCCAGTCACCCAACCACCATTGCCAAGCATTGTGTTACGTAACAGAAATGTATAAATGATAAAAATATGGTCCATGGCCTCAAGAAGTACAGTTTATTTAGAAAGAGAGCTCAACTTTGGAAAATTCCAAAACAATGTGATACATTTTATAACAGGGATGCATGCAGAGTACTGTAGAAACATAAAGGAATGCCTAGATAGGAGGGAGGAATTGAAATGCTGTGATTTAAAGGCAGGTCTTCTGGCTCAGAGATTGAAAATGAGGGTCCTAAAAGTAAACCAAAGACACTGTGGTGGGAAGACAGAAAAACAAAAAGCATTTCATTTACTCTCACTGTTACCAACCAACCAGACCAGAGGAAGGAGAGAGAGATGAAGAACTAAGACTTCTCCTGGAAATCTGCTGTTGCTAAGCTGTGGAATAAAACAACCACAGAAAATAAAAGCACCAAGTGGATGGAAAGGACACCCAAACACAACCACCCACATGCTTTCTTTTATACTGATTCATGTTAAGGATTAAAGTATCCTAACAGCAACTTCAAAAATAGGAAGGCCACCAGAGATAGTATGCTTGCTTGAAACAGAAGAACTGATACTTTTCTGTGTGTATTATATTGAGTCACCACCAGACTCAAGCAAAAATCTGATTCCACATCCACATTACTTATTCATTAGCCTGGAAAAACTTAGAATTCAGCAAGACACTTAAAACGTTATGTAGCAGGTAAATATTAGGCAATCATTTCAAAACTTCAGTAAAAAGAACCCAATATAGAATCCCTATAAAACATATAAAACCAAAATGATGGGCCTGTGGATGACATAAAAAATTAAGTAAATTCTGCATTAACACTATTTAAAAACACAAATTTGTTCTAACATAATTGATACATTAAACAAGTTTGACCATGGCAATCATTCTTATGCATACTTTTATCTGTGAAAAAATCCTAGATGAACACAAAAAATTGTACCCAGATGAACCAAAATATGTAGGAATACACAAAACACACTCACCCGTCAAACATCTACCAGCCACCTCAGTTTCTCTTCCATGCTATGAGCCACACCCACCCACAACTAGTATTACAACTTTCCCTCCAATTTCACAGACCCTCCCTTCCATCACTTCACAATAATTCACATTCTGCAACCCTCCTGATGCTCACTTCCATAAGAAAACTTCAGGTCTTTCTCAAGGTAAAGTGCCATGTTTATCATAGTATTTATGTATTTCTTAATCACGTAATATTTATATAAAAGAGTGCTGTTGTTTTTATTATATTCCTATCCTTTTAAGTGTCACAGACAAAGTTTCGGAGTGGTAAGCCCTGTGGTTTTAATGCACGGTTTTACACAGTGAGGTGATTTTTAGGAATGCACATATTGCATTATAGCAGAGCTTACTGTACTAAAATTACCATCTATGACCAAATAAAATCCATCCACTCTACTCCCAGTGAAAAGATTTTAAAATAATTTTTGGCCAACTACAATTTATAAATGTCAAGGATGGAGATGAGACTAAAAGATCTACTTATAATATTACATTTATTCATTTGGTTATACATTTATATTTAAAGTATTTATGTAAAATACAGTAGTAAAAAAACTTTAATCTAGAAATTGCTTTTTATCACTTTTACATTTTCAAAAAAACAACTGTATTCCAAGTTCACACATGCATAATTAACATCATCAGCACTAAATCCATATTTTGAGTCACTTAACACTGTTCTCTAGAGTACATCTTTACTTCTGTCTTAGATTTTTTTAGATTTAACACTTTTTGAATCCAAAAATTGGCTTAAAAATTTTTATCCAAATCACAGGAACCCATTTGCTATCCGAGATCTTTACTACATAATCAGTGTTATGGGCTCAATTAGGTCCCCCAAAATTCCTATGTTGAAGCCCTAACCCCTGTACCTTAGAATATGACTGTAGTTGGAGACAAAGCCTTTAAAGCAGTGACTAAAATAAAATGAGGCCCTTAGGGTGGGCACTAATCCAATCCAACTGGTTCCCTTATAAGAAGAGGAAATTTGGACACACTGAGAGACACCATGGATGTTCCCGGAGGAAAGACCATGTGGGGACAGAGAGAAGGTGGTTATCTGCAAGCCAAAGACAGAGGCATCAGGAGAAAACTAACCTGCTGACACCCTGATCTTGGAGTTGTAGCCTACAGAATGTGAGAAAATGAATTTCTGTTGTTTAAGCCACCCACTTTGTTGTATTTTCTTAAGACAGGCCTAGCAAACTAATATAATCAATAAATGTATTTCTTTATTGTTTACATTTCTTCCATTTTTGTTAAAAAATGTGCTCATATACAGATAAATTCATAAAACACATGTGTTCAGTTTAAAGAAAAGTAACACTGGGCTGGGTACGGTGGCTCACGCCTGTAATCCCAGCACTTTGGGAGGCCAAGGTGGGTGGATCACCTGAGGTCAGGAGTTCGAGACTAGCCTGGCCAACAGGCGAAACCCCGTCTCTACTAAAAAATAAAAATAAAAATAAAATAGCAGGGTACGGTGGTGCATGCCTATAATCACAGCTACTAGGCGGGGCTGAGGCAGGAGGATCACGTGAACCTGGCAGGTGGAGGTTGCAGTGAGCCGAGATCGTGCCACTGCACTCCAGCCTGGGCAACAGAGTGAGACTCTGTCTCAAAAAAATATATATATATAAAGAAGAAGAAGAAAAGTAACAGTATCCTCTCAAGAATTAGAACATCTGAAACCAAGTAGAGCCTCCTGTGTATTCCTTCCCCATTGCTGGCTCTCCCTCACCCCTACCCTAAAGGTAAAGGTTACTAACTCCTTCTTCATACATTTTGGATATTGCTATGTTTCAGCTGCATATTGCAAATATCTTCTCCTGCTCTGAAACTACCCTATTCACTCTCTTGATGGCACCTTTTTATAAACTAAAGTCTTAATTTTACGTAGTCCAATGTATCAATCTTTTCCTTTAGTGCTTTTTATATCCTATTTAAGAAATCTTTCCTGATGCTGAAGTAATAATGGCATTCTCCTATATTATCTTGTAAAGCCTTTTAAAAGCTTTGTTAAGTTTTGCCTTTCACATTTAGGTCACTAATTCACATAGAATTATTATTTAATTTTTTTGTGCACAGTGAAAGATAGGAATCTGAATTTACTTTTTGTATATGAATATTCAACTGTTCCGGAATGACTTATCTAAAAAGCTGTCATTTCTTCAGTGACCTGAGATCAAGTATCCATACATGCATGGGCTCTCTACTCTTGTTCCCTTGGTTTGTTTATCCCTGCAACGGTGACAAATGTCTTAGTTATTACGGCTTTGTAATAAGTCTCAATACCTGGTAGGCCATGTCATCCCATCTTACTCTTTTGCAAGAACGTCTTGATTATTCCAGATAATTTGTATTTGCATAAAAATTTTAAAGTTACATTTTCAAGTTACAACACATACTCATGCATACATTCACGTATAATATATTCTCTCCATTACCTTTCGTTAAGTTTCTTCTAAAGGACTTGCACTTTGTCAGATTTAATTCAGCAATTTCCTGTTTTTTGATTCTATTATAAATGGCATTTGCTATTAATTTCATTGTCTAAAGGTTTGTTTGTGAGCATATAAAAATAGATTTTTAAAAATATTGTTTCATAGTCACATTTTTTATACTTTCTTAAAAACCCAAAAGAATCTATAGATAAATCATTTATACAGTTACATCATCTATGTGTAATGACAGTTTTATTTCCTTCAGCAGTTGTACCTTTTCTTTCTTTCTCTTGTCTTACTGCACTGGCTAGAATTTCTAGTAGTATATTTAAGAATAATAATGGTGATAGTGGGGGCATCAATGCCTTGTCTCCAACCTGGAGGGAAGAAGTCAACATTTCATCTTAGCATGCTATAGTTGGTTGATTTTGTGTGTTTTTTTTTTAAGGGGGTCGGGAAGAAAGACCATTTATCTGATTATGAAAGTTCTCCTAAGTTCTAGTTTACTAAGAGTGTGTAACCTGAATGAATCCTGAATTTTATCTTTGTCTTCATACACTGAGATGCTCTATTTGAATTTTTTTTCTAATCTGTTAATGTGATAAAATATACTGACTTATTTTCTAGTGCAAAAACCACCTTTCATTCCTAGGATAAACTCAATTTGATCAGGTTGCTTATATATAACCACATTACATACTATATACAACTGGTGGGAGTTTATATATATACACACATACATATGTATACACACACACACACACACATATATATATATATTTACTTTGCTTTAGTCTGTAGAAATTGCTAAGCTGTTTCTTTATTTCATAGGAAAAAACAAACACAAAGAATACCATGAGGCTCATATAAACAGAGCAAGGTAGGAAAGTCGGTTCTACTGCATGTATTCTCGACAGGGCAAGTTTTGCTCCCAAGTGGGAGAAAACTGGTTCTTAGAGGGAGAAAAAAAGTCTTAGCTATCACTATGGTTTGTGGCTCTACACAATCTTATCTGACAAAATCTTTTTTCTTAGTATTTAACTTCACAGGGGTGGTGAGAGGAGAAAATTTCCATAGGAGGAAAATGGGAATTTAAAAAAAGGTTAAAAACTACTGTTCTACTAGATAACATTTCTTATAAAACCACAGTTGTAATGACAGTGTGGTATTGTCTCTCCACAAGGAGAGACAAATAGATCAACAGACTAGAAAAGAAACAGAAACAGACACACACACATATGAATCATGATTAGGAGAAAGATGGCACTACAGAGTGGAGGGGAAAGAATTATCTTTTCAATAAATGGTGCTAAATCAATTGACTATTCATCTATGAAAAAACTGAAACCCTGACTTCTATCTCATGAGAATCACAAAATTCAATTCCAGGTAGAAATGGGAAAGACAGAAAAATATAGTACCTAGATGATAATAAAGGAGAATTACATTGGTTTTAGAAAGGATAAAAAATATTTTATAAACTGAACCCAAAAAACACTACTCAAAAATGAAACGGTTGATAAGGTGGAGTACATTAAAATTTAAAACCTCTGTTTACCAAAAAATGCCATTAAGAGAGTGAAAAGATAAACCAAAGAGTGGAAGATGTTTACAACACATTCCAAAAAAAGGACTAATCTAAAACGCCCTACAATTACCAAGAAAAAGTCAAATGGGAAAAATACTTAAATAGGCACACTTTGCCAAATAGGCCAGTCATATAATCAGTAAATATATGAAAAGAGGTTCAGTATCATTAGTCATCAGAGAAATGTAAATTAAAACACAATGAAGTACTGCTCATACATACCAAATGGCTAATGTTAAGAAGATTTAAGTATTAGTAAGGATATGAGGCCATCAGAATTCATATACTCTACTGGTAGGAGTTTAAATGGGTGCAACTATTTTGGAAAACTGTTTAACACTATCTAAAGGAACATACCACTTAACCTTCGAACACCAGCACTTCTCGCTATACATCTAAGTGAAACACATGCACATGGACAGCAGGAGGAATAAACAAGGCTGCTCACAATAGCATTATTTATAACCTCCAAAAACTAGAAACAAAGTAAATGTCCATCAACAGAACGAATAAATGGCTTTATATTAAATGAAATATTATGAGGATTCACAACAATGAAAATAAACTGTATCTAAAGTAACAAAAAGGATAAATCTTCCAAATGTTGCCCAAAAGAAACACCAGGATGATTCACTTAACTGTTTTTATTTTTATGCACTCCTTCATATGTGTATCACATTTTACAATATAAAAGGTACAAAAAGTTGTAACAGTGAAATACAGAATATAAAAATACTTTTATTAATTTTAGAAAACCAAACTCTTAAAATACATATAAAACATAAAAGTTAGTTATAAATGGCCTATAAAAAACAGAGACAAAAATTTGTCAAATAAGACACAGAAAAGGATGTGAGAGACAGGAAAAAAGGAGAGGAAGAGTCAGACCACCTCTCTGATCTCATCTACCACTTTCTTCCTGGCTCACCTACAACTACACTGACCTCCTTGCTATTTCTCAGACATAGCTAGCGAACTTTCAAATCAGGACTGCTGCATTTGTTCTTCCCAGAAAACTCCCCAGACAACCACAAGCATACTCCCCTCACTTTCTTCAGGTTTCTACTTAAATATCGCCTTATCAGAGACCTTTTCCTTGACCAAATTACAGAAAATCCCAGTATTCCCTATTTCCTTGCTGTATTTTATTTTTTTCATAGTATTTATCTCCATCTGATATATATCTATTTATTTGTTGTTTTGTCTCTCTTAGCAGTATGCAAGTTTCTTGAAGATGGGGACTTTTGCCTGTCTTGTTCAATCATGAGTGCCTGGAATGTAGAATCAGCTCCAGCTCAACAAATATTTATTAAATGAATGAATGAAAACAAAGAAAATTGGACAAAGAACTGTCTCTTCCCTCAACATGTGAAGAGACAGAGAAAAGTATCTACAAGGACTGTTTCACATGTATAATAGCAGCAATAAACACAGAAAAAGAAACACATAGGCAACATGTACATAAACATACTTATGTCCTCACACATAAACCAGCAGAGGAGGAGAGGGTCACTCTCATGAAATATTAATAATATTCCTATACTCCTATCTCATAATCTTTTAGAACTGTATCATTTAAAAATTTTTAAATGTTACAAAACTAGGCAGTGGGGGGCACCACCTCTTAATGCAAGCTAAATGAAAAGAAGAGTCAGATTTGGCTATTTATGATCTAACAAATAATTAAATACTTGATCTGTGAATTCCTTCAGCTCATATCTTCCTATAAACTTATATCCTAATCTCAATTCAAATTCTAAGACTATATACTATACCTTATCATTTCTAAGAACTGTAACTCATAACATAATTACAATTTCAAGTATGTCACCTTATGAATACCACATGCTTTCTTTTGAGCTAACTCCCTGTTGACTATCAATGCTAACAAATTCTCAACCCCGACGGGAGCTCCAATTCCTTGGCCCAACCACCATGTCATTGGCTTTCCAGAATATATTCAACTCCCTACTTGTTTATATTCCACAGTCCATCATGATAATTTCTCTTTCAATTTACCACCACGTTTCTTG
Organism: Homo sapiens; assembly: GCF_000001405.40. NCBI lineage: Eukaryota > Metazoa > Chordata > Mammalia > Primates > Hominidae > Homo > Homo sapiens. The sequence goes on from NC_000009.12 coordinate 14,647,693, forward strand.
ACCCTCTCTCACCACCATTCTACTCGTGTTTCACTGGCTGCAGTCTTAGTCACCTTTCTTATTACCTTTCGTCTTTCCAACTTCAAAAACTGATGAGTGCCTAGTTTGGTCTTCAGAACTCTTTTCTTTTCTATTTCGAATTACTTCTAGGAAATCTCCAGTCAGTTTCCATGTCTTTAAATATCATCTTTATGCTGAAAGCTCCCAAATTTATTTATCTAGCTCAGACCACCCCATTGAAATCCAGATTTTTGTATCTAGCTGCTTAATTAACATCTGTCCCTGGAAGTTAAGCAGGCAGAGTAAACATGTGTAAAACCCAAATCTTTAACTTCTTCCCAGAAACTATTCTTCCGTCAGGCTCCCCCTCTCGGTAACTGGTATCTCCATTCTTCCAGTTGTTTGGGCGGTGAAGCCCTGGAAATATCCTTGACGTTTCGCATTCTATCTCACAGCCCACATTCAAATTATCACCAAATTCTGTTAGCTCTTCAAACTATAATAGACCACTTGTAAACGCTTCTACCACTACTAATAATCATTTCATATTTGGACGGTATTTTAGCAGCCTAGTAGCTGGTCTTCTTGCTATTATCCTTGTCCTTTATTTTTCATAGCAATCAGGTTTTTTTTACTAAAATGTAAATGAGATTGTGTAATGGCTCAAAACCCTCCAACAGCTTACAAAGTCCCAACCACTAACCATCTTAATAAAGTCTCCAGTCCAATCACAGCCCTTACTACTCTCAACTCATCATCTCCTATTGCTCTGTCCCTAACTCACTCCACTCAAGATACACTGGTCTCCCTACTGTTCCTTGAGAATGTCAACAACAGTGACTTGCTTGAGTTCCAGGTCTCTGTTCAAGCGTCACTAGAGAAAGGTCTTCCTTGACTATATCCACCCCTGTACCCTGCTTTATTATACGTCATAATACTCATATTGTTTACCATATATTTGTTTATTGCCTGTCTTCTCTAATTGGAACGTAAGCTCCTTAAACACAGGAACTTTGTTTTAGAGCCTAGACGAAGGGGAAGTGAATAGACACTCAATAATATGTACTGAATGACTTAATAAATGTTCCTCACAATTTATTAAAATAAAAAAACTGTGTTTTACAAATAAAATTTTATATATAAAATGACAATTTTCCTATCAATGAGTTTGAAGCAATTTTTATTTATAAACCACAGCTTATACGTACTTTTCTGTGTTTTTATAAGACTACTCTGAAAAGTAAAAATTTTTTTTTTCTTTGTGATCTTCCTCCTACTGAACAGTTTCTCAACCTCAGCACTACTGACACTCGGCTGGATAATGTTTTGTTACAGGGGACACTCTTGTGCATTGCAGAACATTTAGCAGAATCCCTGGCCTCCACCCACTAGATGCCAGTAGCACTCCCCTAGCTGCGACAACCAAAAACATCTCCAGACATTACCAAATGTTTTCTGTGGGGGAAAGTCAACCTCCTCCCAACTGAGAACCACTGTACCCACTGGTAAAGGATTTTGTTTTTCTCTGTTGTTAAAAGAATAGAAACACCTGGAGACAGTAAAAATCATAAAATTAAAAAATAAAAATAACAGAAACAGCTTAGATCACATCTGAGATATCTAAAGCATACAGATTTGAATTTTCAAAATAACTAAATAACCAACTTCACATGCTGAGGGTAGGTTCATAAGGCAAATACTCTCACATTAAAATAAGCAATCTTAATTTAATCCTAAAATAAAATCCCATGATACCTGTATGGGTATGAGCACTTTTTGGAATGACCCTTAGCTAAAGTTTATTATATTCTAAAACATAAGAAAAGAAGTTACAAGCTTATTCTACATAAAACCCCTCCACTTCCCAACCCAACGCTCAGGTAAAATGTACTTTTCTCAGTCTTATTACATCCTAATGGCAATTAATATCTAAAGTGAAACAAATAATTATTTATACCTCCCTAATGGCTGTCATTGAGTGTTCAGAATTATCTACTAAATTTTGGTAATCATATGTATGCAATTGTCTTACAGAGCGTATTTCACTAGCATCTGACTGTCAGGTTCATGGCTGAGGGTGAAGTATTCCAGAAAAATTATTTTGTCTGCCTGACCATATTTTAGCAGTAAAAATTCTAGAAAAGTTTGGGCAATCCAATAAGAGAACAGGATAACATACTTCCTTACTACATTCACCAATTAATGCAGTGCTACAGTGTTTGGTAAAAGTAAAAGAAGAGTAAGACAATAAAATTGCTGCCAGGTTTTAACCATTTAAATTCACAGTAACTGTAACAGTTTTACAGAGAAATAAAAACTGCTAAATTTTCTATGTTAAATGCTATTAATATTTATAACTGACTATGGAAACATGTTTAATGAGGACATATACTCAGTCAACCTGGTGTTGTAGGACAGGATTAAGATTTATTATAAGGTTTCTGTGTTCCATCTCTCACTAAAAGCGTAGAGATATACTGACAAATGGAATTGGCAATTGTTAGAATAAATAGATTATTCTTATTTCTTTAGAAATATAAACTATATCTGACATTATTCTTTTCAAGCAAAAAAAATAAAAAATGTTACTAAGGAATATCTCTAGTAGCATCTCAGGAAACAGGAACAAAAAAGCCAAATTACTTTTATATTAGCACTAAAAATAATTTTCATCTCATATCAATTTTAATTCCACAATACTCTTGGCTATTCTTGACTCTTGGCTATTCTTTCCAAAAATCTAAAAAGCTAAATGTGTATTTTAGCAATTTTTTTCCATTCTTCAGTGAACAAAATAAATGACCTTCTAGATATTAAGAAAATAAAAGTTATTATTAAGGCTACAATATTTTTTTAAATAGCAGAAGTACTCAGGCGACTTTAAAACAGATTACACAAAAAGATTAAAATAAATTATGAAAAGATTTACAAATATTCAAAGCTACCTGCAGCCAAGTCTTCTGGCTATTTCTTTTTTTTGTTAGCCAAAAGGCTAGGCAAATAATTCTGTAGGAACAGTTCTGACATCAAATCCCTAGCAACACTATTAGATATCAGCCAATTGGAATAATAATAATGTATCTTCCTAGCAGAAGAGTTGGCTAGGCTGCTAAACATTATTTATTTTCCTCTTCTGAATTTTGGCAGCATTTCCTTTATTGAAATTCTCTCTCCTCTCTTCCCCTTCTGTCACCCACTGCTCTCATAGCCTTAAACGCAGTTAGTATGCTTTTCCCCTTCACATAAAAATAAGTATACAACAATTAGAAATTATCAGAATCCACTTCATCTAAAAAGAAGCTAAAGGACATAATTTTAGAATTAAAGTGGTATACCATCAAAGATTAGCTGTATAATCTCTGACAGTAATAGCCACAAATTATTTTTTTAAAAACCTTGTATTTTCTCATGTAGAGAAATAGTAAACTTTGCCTGCAGCTGATTTCCAGCAGGAACATATTTAAAAAAATATTTTTAACCCACTGCGATGCCTTTATAAGATATAACAGACTGCCTCAATGAAAACAGCAAAATATTAATCTACCAATCAGGAGGTTCACTGAGCTTTCTCTGAAGAGCAGATATTATGATGTTTAGTATTTTTAAATATATTTAATATTATTAATCCTACAATAATATTGCTAAAAAATTCCTTGGGGGAAAAATGCAAAAAGTAGTATTGAATGGGAGTTTGAATAGGATTTAGTAATAGCAAGCACATGACTTAGGGACATGGGCCCAAATCACACCTCTGTCAAGTGGCAAGTTTGTGATTGGACAAGGTATTGAACTTCTCTGAATTTCAGTTACCTTACCTGTAAGATGGCAACCATACTATTTATCCCTTCAGAAATATTTCATAGGAGTAGACATTTTCCACTAATCCAAGTAATACACAAATCCAGAATAATATAAAAAGAAAACATGTTACCAATAAAATATTCATGGATAAACATACAATAAATTTAAGAAGGTATACTCTTTAAATACAGTGGTACTTTCCTTCATATTTAATTGAAAACCGTAATTTTCTAGTTTTGGTAAATAACCAGTATCCAATAAAATGAAATAGAGTTTCATAATATACCAAATGACTAGGCATCTGCTTATAAGCATTTAAAGTAACTATGTGAAATAGTCAAATATGGACCTTGGTAAAAAATGAAAGTTCATTTTCTTCAAAATCCATCTATTTTATTCACTTAAATGCCAAATCATTACCCAATCTACAGGTTTTAGAACCTAGACAATGATTTTCATGCCAATAAATATTTAAAGTCAAACATTACTTTCGAGAGGGGTTTTAAGTAAAATTCAACATTATACTGGAATGATAAATGCAAATGATGCAAACTAATTTAATGTCTAACATCTGAAAAACTTCTCCAAACATCTCAAAGTTTATAATCTTTATTGATTTAGTGATTCTAACAAAAAATGTTTAATTTATCTCCATTTATTTAGAAAACAAAACTATTACTCAAGTTTCTGCAATTTTTCTAGACATGCATTTTTTACACTGAGAATTTGGGGATTTTTTAAGTTACTATTTCTGATAAAGATAGTAAATACTAATTCTTTTTAGGTTCACAGGCCTTTTTTTAGTATAAGACTCAGAATATAAATCAATATCTATAGCTTAAAAAATAAATCCTAAATTTGGGCATTGATTCATGATAAACTATAAATTCCTTATCTCCTGCACATCTTAGTCCTTACTTCCTCAACAAAAGATAAATTCAAGTATTTCCTCAAAACTTCACATGGTAAAAACATATAAATCTTTGAACGTTCGTGATAAAAGAATATTTTAAAAGTAAAGATTAAGAAGAAATCTAAAAAGCATTAAGTTACTATAAAAAACAATGGGGCACTTGCAAAGAAATTAAAATAATCCAGCTCAGAAAGAGCTCTCCTGAAAACAGAAGGCGAGGAGAAGAGAGAAATGGAAGAAAATCAGGCTCCCAATCTGTTCATTTCCCAGAATTTGTGAACAACCTGCTTTCTCTCAACTGTCTTTACCATGAGCATAACATACAACGTACCAGTTTTCTACTGAATACAGGTTAAGTGCCATTACATCAATGGTCAAAGTGCAACTCATTTTTTTTGTTGTTGTTGTTTAATGAATAAACACTTTCGCCTTAAAAAACAAGAAAAGAAAAACAAGAAAGTTAACACTTTCTCTTCTGACCCAGGCAATTCCATTCAGCTTTGGAATTTAAAGATGGGCTAGAAAAGATACTATGCTGCCACCTATCTACGTGAAAGGGTAGAAAGAAAATGCAGACTACAGCTTTTGCTTCAGTCTGGCTGACAGAAGAACACAGGGTCAAAGTCCACCACATGCTTTAACTGCATCATTACTCCCACAAAAAATATGTATAATAATCATTAATGCAATATCCAAAGATAGTTAGGGACCTTCGGGGATCTTATTCCATATCCTGAATAATAGAAAGGATAATAAGATGAAGTTCCTGATACTGTCTTTATTCACACATAGTTTTATACACATAATCAACAGCTGGATACAGATTTTTGCTTGTTTTAGAGAAAAATGAAAGAAACACAGGAAAAGACTTGCAAAAAACACTGATGAGGCAGTATTTTTTGAAGAATATTCCACCATAAAACATTATTTTTTTAAATGTCAATGGTAATAATGGTGACTTTGGTTCTGAAATTATTGGTAATTTTTTTCTACCTTTATGAAAAACACAGTAAATGTAATTTACAAAAGAACTGCTGAAGTAAGAACATTATTTTATTATTTAGCTTTAGAGAAGTTTGTTATACTGCTGGAATTTTACTAAAGATTTGCCCTTAAAACCAATTATTCCAGTTACAGCCTCAAGGGTTTTGTTGTTTTTTTTGCCCAGCAATGACCTCCTTCATCTCCCCATTTGGTTAATCTCTATCTCACCTATGAAGTCCACCATGAGTCTCATTCCCTACTCTACAGCACTTCTCAGACCTTATGGCCACAGAAGTTTTGCACTGCACAACTCCACAGGATACTGTTTACATAGACTATGATGTGAGTGTTGCCTCCTGGAGTTATGCAATTAGGCAGCAATGATTAAAATCACCTGGGAAGAAATTTTTTAAACAAAATGCTATTGCCATTGACACCTATGAGGAAACAGTTCGTATGAGACCAACACTCACACCAAAAACACTATTAAAAGCCAGATAAAATCCAATTAATTAATAAATACACAGCTGTTTAAAGATACTGGCAAGTAGCCAAACTCCCCAGAACTTAAGAGGCCAAAATCTCAGAGAAAGTAGACAGGCGTTAAGGTGAGCCATATATTCTGCACTGCTTTTTATCTGAAAGTACCTGTCAATTCACATTCAGTACTGAATGAAAAGTCAAGTAGAACCGGAGACTCAGAACATCCTGCAAAATCTCCAAGGCCAGGAAAACAGTAACTGTAGGGCACAATCCACAATAAACACCTCAGTTTTTCAGCTGAGACCCCGAAGGACTAGACTATTGGAATAAAGGCAAATTGAAACTAGTCTTTCACAAAGACAAATCCAGCAATCAAGATTCCTTACAAAATACCAATAAATGCAATAAATAGCATCTTTCCAAAAACTGCTATATTAAGACCAATGTTCTGTTATTTAGCATTAGAAATTCTTGTTATACAAACCCCTGATTGGATAAAAATGAGGCTTCTCTTATATCCTATCAAAAAAAAAGAGTAAATCAAATCTGAGGAAAGAACACAATCACACTTTCTACAATTTGTCATGCAAAATGCTCAGTATTCTAACTTAGACATGTCAGAAGACAGGGCCAAATATCTGGAAATTGAGAAGAAAAAAAGAGTCAACAGAAACGGACCCACAAGGGGATCTCAAAGTTAAAGTTATCAAACACAGACATTAAAAACTGTGATTAACACGTTTAAAAAAATAGATGACAAAATAGATGATTTCACCACAGAAATTATCAATGAAAGAAAGTATCAAATGGAAATTCTAAAAGTGAAAAATATAATAACTGAATTAAGAACTCATTAGAAGGATTTAAGGGTAGGTTAGACATGGCAGAAGAGGTGATTAGTAAACCAGAGGATAAATTAATAGGAAATATCCAGAATGAAGCACAGAGGGGGAATAAAAAAGGAAAGTTAAGAAATAAATTCAGAACATATGCAGCACAATGAGACTTCACGTACATGTAAGTAGAATCCCAGAACTGCAGGAGAAAAAATTGAGCAGAGGTAATATTTGAAGTGACAAAGGCCAAGAAATTTCCACAACTTAAGAATGACATCAGGCCACAGATTCAAAGTTACATAAACTCTCCAACAGAAAAAAGTGCAAAGAAAACAATACCAAAGCACATCATAGAATCACAGAATAATTGCTAAAATACAAAGACCAAAAGAAATCATAAAAACAGCTAAAGAAAAACATATTTCATTGGAGTAACAGTAAGACCAACAACTGACTTTACAACAGAAATGATGGAAACCATAAGACAATGGAATAACATCTTTTAAAAACTGAACGAAAGTAACCACCAATCTACAATTCTGTGCCAAACAATAAATCCTTCAAAAATGAAGGAGAAATAAAAGCATCTTCAGGGAACCAACACTGAGAGAATTTGTTCCAAGAGACTTGCACTAAAAGCAGAAAAAATAAGCCTAGAGGAGGCTCAGGTATAAAGAGTACTAGAAAAAGCACCAATATGTAGATAACTCAAAACAAATACTGACTATAGGTAACATATAACTTGTATAACAATATAACACATAATGTATATGTAACAACAATAATGTCTTGTTATCATGTGATTTTTTTCTACATCTACCTTCTACCCCAAAATATGAAAAATGATGATGACAGAGGGTGTTCCAAGACCACTGCTTTCATTAGGTGCACAATGGTAAAGTACTAACTTATATTATACTTCAAAAAAATCAGAATAATGTTTTCACTTTTGGGGAAACTATAAAAAGAGTAAAAGAAAAAGCCATTAGAAATAGAAAATTGGAATTTTTTTTAAATTAGAAATTCCAAAACAGGAAAGAAAAGGAGAAAAATGGGAACACAGAACAGATGAAGTCAAATAATAAATAGGAAAATGACAAAATACCAGTTATACTAAGTAAATATTTACTAAATGTTTCATATTAAAAGATAATTTTTTAATGAAATATCTGCTGTCTGTAAGGCACATTATGAGACACAGTAATCAAGATAGGTTGAAAGTATTAAAGACAGAAAAAGATATACCATGAAAACACTAACTAAAAGACAACTGATATAGTTAAACTAATAACAGAAAAAAAATTTGAAGGCAAGAATCATTACTAAGAATAAAGAGGCATATTTTATAATGATACAAGAATCAATCCACCAAAAAGGTATAACGAAATTTGGATGTGTCTATAATGTAGCTTCAAACTCTCAACTTCTAAATCAATGAAATGACTGGAATTCATTTCAATGTATATTGACTAACTACTGAACATTCATTTGCTTCAGATCATTGGAATATTTAGAGCTACATAGATTATAAAATACTTTCTTCAAGTTTAGTTATAATTCTGGTCCTAGAATTTAGCTTTACTCTATTAAACTTAAGTAGGTTAGAACAGTGCTAATAAACATTCAATTTTATGTATTTAAATTTGTCTGTCTTTTCTTACAATGGGAAATACTGTGGTAAAGCTCTTCTCTCCATATACCTAACTTGATAATATGTATGAATTACTTCATTCATTGAGATAACATATAAACAAAACTAAAACATTGAGATAATATATCATAAACAAAACTAAAAATTACTCGATTCCTCAATAGGAAGCAAAATGGTCCTGGAAATTTCATAACATAATCTGAGTTTTCATTTCATTACTGCTAATATGGTGGTAATTATAAAAGTACACCGCTTGATACAACAAGGAAACCATAAGACTTAGGCTAAGAGAACGATTTCTGCTCAGCACTACTAGACACAAGTAACTGTCAGATCCCTAGAATTATTTATAATGTACTGCTTCATTCCTAAAGTAGCTTTCTAACAACCAACATAATGATTTGATTTTCATTTGCTAAAATGCTACTAACATATTATTATGATTTTTATTTAAAAAAATCACCTGCTTGCATCTACAATTGATGGCTCTAAGGAAAATCTGGTTTGACTTTTTAAAACCCACTTTTTATACTCACTTTTTATATACTTTCTTCTTCCTGATATTTTTAATCTCTTAATAAACATTTACTATGCTGCTGATCTTTTTCCAACATTCATTATGCATGTAAATATACACATATATGTCGTATATTCAAATATAACCCATAATCCATTTCTCCATTTTAAAAAAAGGTGACTGTCTAATTGCCATTAATTTCTCTCCAGTTTCTACCTTTCATTTGGAGAAGAAAATTAGTTTGTAATTTCAAACGTCTTAATACTTCATTTGATTATTGGAATTTCCTTAGTTGGTCATCAATCTTCCAGTAATAAATGGTTACTGTAAAACGGTCTCTAAAATTTTCATGAAAATTAATAGGCCAAAGAAAAATTGTTTCCTCCCTCTGAGAGTTTTCACTAAAATCAAATGTAACATAAATTGAATGTCTATTATATACCAGCTAAGTTTACATATATTATTTCATTTAATCTCATTATTATTCACATTTTCAGTGGAAGAAAATTACCATTCAGAGAGGTTAAACAATGTGTCAAAACTTATGCATGTAATAAGAAAAAACAGGCTTTAATCCTAGGTATGTCTGTTTACAAAGACAAGATCTTTCCACTACCAGAGGCTGGCAAAGTTACTGTAAAAGAGCCAGACAGTTAATATTTTAGGCTTTACAGACCATACAGTCTCTGCCACAACTATTCAGTTCTGCTCTTATAAAACAAAAGCAGCCATAGACAATATATAAACAAAAGAAAGTAGCTGTTTTCCAGTAAAACTTTTTTTTAACAAAAACAGGCAGAGGGCTGAATTTAAACCAAGGCCCATAGTTTGCCAATACTGCACTATACTACAATGCATTCGTTACCTCTTAGCCTGTCTTTGTTTTTCATTAACACCACTAAACTCTACTTCTCTGTCGCTTAAAAAAATTATTACCTTAATCTTACTGAGGAATTTTATTTTAATGCTTTTCTTATTAGGCTCAATTATTTGAAACAGATTACTCCAGGGAATATGTACATTCTTTTACATGATCTAACTTTAATGCCAATTATATCAGAAATTTATCTATAAATAAGATGAAACATTTCTAAAACTATAGTCCTAGCATGCATTATATTCTCAGTGGATAACTTTTTAAAGCATCCTGCAAATTCATGATATCATTACTGATGAAAGGCAGGGAGAAAAAAAGTTCTCTTTCTCAAGAACGTAACTATTTGAGAACCTTTAAAAATTACATTCTGCATTTTTATTCCTGAAAAGAAACAAGAACATTTTGTCTTTGTTTTTCATTATTGTAGATATTTTTAAACCAAGACACACGTATTGAAAGATTCAACGTGTTGCTTTCTAAGCTCAACACTAATAAATAACCATAAATGAATTTCATTAAAAGGAAATGTCAGACTAGGGCCCACTTTCTCAATCCCAATATAGTTCAAAATTCACCAATTTGGGAGTTTGCTTTTGTTGTTTTGTTTCCAATCTTTTGTTGTTTTGTTTCCAATCTTTTGTACTTAAAGGAACCACATGTTAATAATTGTATGCTACAACTGCTCTAATGTTAGTGGATATAAACATTTCTTTTTTTTTTTTTTTTTTTTTTTTTTGAGACGGAGTCTCGCTGTCGCCCAGGTTGGAGTGCAGTGGCGCAATCTCGGCTCACTGCAGGCTCCGCCCCCTGGGGTTCACGCCATTCTCCTGCCTCAGCCTCCCGAGTAGCTGGGACTACAGGCGCCCGCCACCTCGCCCGGCTAATTTTTTGTATTTTTAGTAGAGACGGGGTTTCACCGTGTTAGCCAGGATGGTCTCGATCTCCTGACCTCGTGATCCGCCCGCCTCGGCCTCCCAATATAAACATTTCTTACCAAATTACGCTTTTTTAGTGGAAGAAAATAGTAATAGTGGCAGAAAGAAAACATCAGTGCGTAGCAAGTAAGAAGTTCAGTGTAGAAACACAACTGCAGAAAGAGCCAATGATTATCTTCACCAACACAATTGTTAATCCTAAAGAAAAAAAATGAAAAAGAAACAATATTTTAAATTTCAAGAAGTTCACCTCAGGATCAATAAGACTAAATTAAAAACAAATAATATCACATATGCTTAACTTCATGGAGATATGCTATGGCCACTTGAAGGTAAAAACAAACTATACAGAGAAAACTATAAATATACCATCTTATATTTGTAAAGCACTTCACAAAGGAAGTCCACATATGTGATCCCCCTTCAACTCATAACAACTCAGCGAGACAGGAAGAGCAGACGGTAGTCTCCTGTGTCACTGATATGGAAACAGGGAACAAAGGAGCTAAGCCTCTGGCCAGAGGATGTAGAGTTAGAAGACATAGGGGCCAAGAGAGCAAGAACCCTGCTTCCCTGTATTTTGCTCTTCCTTTAGGGCATTCTAGCTGTGAAAAGCAATCTGAATGCCCTGAAGTAAACCAGCTGAAACATACCACTCTGACATAACTGCTAAGCATTCACTTTTCATTTTAAAAATCTACCCCTGGTTGCTGAAAATAAAAATGTATTCAAAACTATTTATAAATACACACAGCTATACTTCCACCAATACAACAGTGAACCCTAACTAGGAAAGAGGATTAATGTTACAATAAAAAATTTTCAAGGCTAATTTAAGCTGAATATTTTATTGTTCCAAATTTATTGTATCCAAATTGTCAAAGTATCCTAAAATTCCAGCAAAAAACCCTAGTTCAAGACTACAAATGACTTTGCACAAATGTTTTCATTTCAAAATAGTATTATACTGTCACTGAAAAAGAAACGATGTAACAGGTTTCGGTCCTAACTTAAATCGCTCTTTTTAACTTTGTCATTAAACCATTTTTTAAAGTCAAATACAGACCTGAACTGAAAAACCTTAGAGAGGCATTTCTTAAGATTTAAGAGTGCATGTTTTGTAAACAAGAAAATCTACTGTGCTTTGTTATTTGCAAGCAGGATTATAAGAGAAGTGTGCTTATGTATTAATATACACTCAAAAGTGCTCTTCAACAGCTGCCGATTGAAAGATGACTTATCATTGTTCCATCTTTCCTGTCCCCAGGAAGTTTGAGAAACAATGTCTATGATCACAGCATTCTTCTTAACCAGAACAGCTTTAAGAAGCACTAAGGTATTCAATCTATATGAGTTCTTTTTGTAACATCTGCACTACTTAGAAAGAATGATCAGGCCAGGCGCGGTGACTCAAGCCTGTAATCCCAGAACTTTGGGAGGCCGAGGGGAGCAGATCACCTGAGGTTGGGAGTTTGAGACCAGCCTGGCCAACATGGTGACAACCCGTCTCTGCTAAAAATACAAAAATTAGCCAAGCATGGTGGCATGCACTTGTAATCCCAGCTACTCGGGAGGCTGAGGCAGGAGAATCACTTGAGGCCAGGAGGCAGAGGTTGCAGTGAGGCAGAGGTTGAGATCATGCCACTGCACTCCAGCCTGGGCAACAGAGTAAGACTCCATCTCAAAAAAAAAAAAAAAAAAAAAAGAATGATCAGAGCCACAAATACAGAAAACCTTGAGGCAACGTGAGAATTGACCTCCAAACCTAAAAATGTCTTAGGCAGTTAAGTAGTGCAATTTCTGAAAACATCAAAAATTTTCCTTGCTTCCAATTTACACTGTACATTTCCCCTGCTCTCTGAACATTTCAGCAGTGCTCTATCAGGAAATTCAATGATAAAAATTCCTGAATCTCTTTAGGTCCCTTGTCTACTCTCCTTTCTGATCCTCCAATCCTTTGTACTTCCCCCTCACTGCTACCAACTTCTGAAAAGTTGACTAAAACTATGGAAGCAAGAGGCCCAGAAAGAGAAATCACCCCAACGTTAGAATTAAGGTTAAATAGCACCTTATTTGGTCACCAATAAGTGAGTCTTTCCTAGTTCTTTCTTACTACTGCATTCGTTTGAAAAAAAAAGCATCAATATCCACTTCCATCATGAACATTTGTATTTTAGTGAATAAGAAACTCTACAATAAGAAGCGCTTAAAAACTGAGCTTTTCTGTATGATCAGCAATTATCTGAATACATGTTTCACGTAGCTTTCTAAAAATCTATTACTATTGTGAGAGCAAACAGATCACTGAGCTTAAGAAAATTACTTGGGAATTAATCTTTATTCCCAAGTAATTCCCAAATAATTATTTACGTTTAAATTCAAGGCACAGTTTTGAATATCAACTATATGTCATACACTACTCTATCTTGTTGACAGATTTAGAAATTTTTAAAATTTTTATGTAGTAACAAAATGCTTTTATCGAAAATGCTCTTACTTTTTCCTATTTCAGGAAATTATCTTCTTTTTAAACAGTCTATGCAAAAAAACAAATTTCCACCAGAAGTTTGCTGAATAACTGTGCTATCAAAATAAGTTATCAAAAATAAAGAAAACTCTAAATAGACTAACATTAGAAAAAGCTAAACTCCACTTGCATCAATTTTAAATAAAAGCAATTATAAATTAAGAGGCTCATTATGTAAATTTGCATATATGCATGTATGTGTATACAAACATAAATACTACATATATGTATACAGATACATTTGTCAAATTCTACACTATACCAGTTTAAATATTTATACAGAGAGCCAATGCTAAGAAAACAGAATTAAATACAATATCTTGTTCACAGATTTTTGTGACAGCTTTAAAATGAGATACAATACAGAATTCACGCAGCATTTGTTTTCGAAGATTATATTTCTCAACTGAACATTTTCTTTAAATATTACAAGAGAGCCCCCTATTGACCAAAACTGTTAGCAGTTCTGCAGAATCAGCTAATTATCACTCACATACTTCCAACAAGTACATAATGGTAGTAGCTATATCCAATACATAATGCTTAAAAAGCTTTAAGGGGTAAGGAAGAGGTTATCAGGGTGTCTGAAATGTTATTAATTAAACAAATGAAAAGGGGATATAAACATTCGGATGCATATGGTTTATTACAATTAGAAATAGCTACCATTTAAGTACATCCTACTTGTCAGATATTGTAGTAAATGTTTTATATACATTGCCTCATTTAATACAACCACCTTAATCCTTTTGTATATCAGGCTGCAGTTAATTCTTACTTTTTTGGCTCAAATCTCTCCCTGTTAGAAAAGATAGGATTTCTGTGGAAAAATGACTTTGGGAGTTGACAGAACCATATAATCTAAATAAAGATATCCTTATTAAGATATTGTAAAACTATATAACTTTAACATAACTGTTGTTTAAAGCTGCCAAGTTGTAAGATTTACATTTTATTACCCACCCCTCTTTTCTTTGCTAGAAGTGAATTATTCTTACCATGGACAGTGATGATCCATTCTCCTCACACAGTGGCCGCAGCGGCTACAGTGATGGGAACGCTTTGGTCTCATCAAATTACACTTGTTACATAATTCCCAGAACTCCCTTTCTAAAGAAAAGAAATTAAAATCCATTTAATGAAGGCAAGTGGGTAATGCTGAAATTTACCAACAGTTGTTTAGAAGATTTTATAGGAAGCCTTCAACATAAAACTCTAAGAGATTTTTCTTCTAAGCCTTTGGTATAAATGTGTTTGCCATAAATGCTGCTGTTCTATTCTACATATGTCTTATTTTGTGTGTTTCTAATTTAAAAGACTAAAAAAATAAGACACTATTGTTATAGTCAAAGTAAGAGACAGAAAACAATGTATTTGGATTCTGGGTATACTGTGAGAATATAAGTAAAATCCAATGACAAAACCCTAGAGCCCAACCAAATTATTATACTAAAACAATTTTATTTAAACAAATTGATTTCTAGAAATTTCATTTTCTAAAGGCTCTAAAGAAGAAATAATGCTGACCCTGGTTTCAATTGATTAGTAAACTGAAATCAACCCTATAAACTCATCCGAAAAACAGATGGCATTTCCCTCCACATACACTTTCCCTAAATCATTTAATTTTAAAAAACATCAGTAGATTCATTTAAGAGTGTGTATGGGACAGGTTAGAGAAGGATGTCATATGGGTTTGGGAGGTATCAGAATAGTTTCAGTAGTGAAAAATGTTATAAGACAACTACTATTTTTAATGAAAATAAAGGAGTTCTTCATAAAACACTGAACTACCACCAACTAGCAATTTCCTCTAATCTGGAGTGAAACAGCACACGATTAAGCTCTGTGCCAAAAACACAAAGTTTGCATAAGAGAAAAGGCTTTTGTTTTCATTAAAAACTGTCCTAATTAGGTCCGCGAAAACTATGGAAGAGTCATCTTCCTAGAAAAGACAATTGCCTTATTATACAAAAATGTATCTTTTAAATATATTGGAATGGAATTTTTCTTTTACAAAATTCTTTTAATTTTCATCATCTGTGTTTATACTATCCCATAACCTCATTAAAAGTATGGACATAGTAAGATTAGCCTAACTCCTATATTCAGATTGAATTTTAGTACATGAAGAGTAGGACCCTAGCACATACTAGGTAGTCACTAAATGCTTGCTGACATATGAAAAGTCTAAAATCAAAAAATGAAAGATTCTAAATAAAAGTGAAAGATAATAGTAGACAATATTCAATTTTCTTTTTTTTTTCAGATTACAGATTTTTTTTTTTTTTTACCAATATTGATATTTTTATTTCTTTTTTTTCTCTTTTTTTTCTTCTTTTTTAAGATTCTCTGTTTGAATTCCATTACTTTAGTTGAATGGTCAGGAGCAACATCAACATGCTGGACTTTTATATAGTAAAGCGTTGGGAAAATACTCCCACTACAGACATCTCTGAAGAAACAAAGTATGAATAAAACCTACATCAAATTAATTGTTCCAATAATATGAAAGTTGAGAAATTATCTCTTATACTTGAAATCTTATTTTAAAAGAAAATACTTTTTCATCTCTTACAGTTATTTTAATGAAAATAAATCATGCAAGAGCAACAGTACTAAAGCTTAATTTACATAGTTAAACTAGTACTATTTACCTCTAAGTGAAATAAAAACTCATTTAATCTATAGCATATTACAATGTCACAAGCATATCATATTCCACTCCCCTACTTAGCTCAATGCTCCCAAACATCCCAGTGTTAAAACTTTGAATTCGGGGGGAGGAGCCAAGATGGCCGAATAGGAACAGCTCCGGTCTACAGCTCCCAGCGTGAGCGACGCAGAAGACGGGTGATTTCTGCATTTCCATCTGAGGTACCGGGTTCATCTCACTAGGGAGTGCCAGACAGTGGGCGCAGGCCAGCGGGTGCGCGCACCGTGCGCGAGCCGAAGCAGGGCGAGGCATTGCCTCACTCGGGAAGCGCAAGGGGTCAGGGAGTTCCCTTTCCGAGTCAAAGAAAGGGGTGACGGACGCACCTGGAAAATCGGGTCACTCCCACCCTAATACTGCGCTTTTCAGACCGGCTTAAGAAACGGCGCACCACGAGACTATATCCCACACCTGGCTCGGAGGGTCCTATGCCCACGGAGTCTCGCTGATTGCTAGCACAGCAGTCTGAGATCAAACTGCAAGGCGGCAGCCAGGCTGGGGGAGGGGCGCCCGCCATTGCCCAGGCTTGCTTAGGTAGACAAAGCAGCCGGGAAGCTCGAACTGGCTGGAGCCCACCACAGCTCAAGGAGGCCTGCCTGCCTCTGTAGGCTCCACCTCTGGGGGCAGGGCACAGACAAACAAAAAGACAGCAGTAACCTCCACAGACTTAAATGTCCCTGATAGCTTTGAAGAGAGCAGTGGTTCTCCCTGCACGCAGCTGGAGATCTGAGAACTGGCAGACTGCCTCCTCAAGTGGGTCCCTGACCCCCAAGCAGCCTAACTGGGAGGCACCCCCCAGCAGGGGCACACTGACATCTCACACAGCAGGGTATTCCAACAGACCTGCAGCTGAGGGTCCTGTCTGTTAGAAGGAAAACTAACAAACAGAAAGGACATCCACACCGAAAACCCATCTGTACATCACCATCATCAAAGACCAAAAGTAGATAAAATCACAAAGATGGGGAAAAAACAGAACAGAAAAACTGGAAACTCTAAAATGCAGAGCGTCTCTCCTCCTCCAAAGGAACGCAGTTCCTCACCAGCAACAGAACAAAGCTGGATGGAGAATGACTTTGACGAGCTGAGAGAAGAAGGCTTCAGACGATCAAATTACTCTGAGCTACGGAAGGACATTCAAACCAAAGGCAAAGAAGTTGAAAACTTTGAAAAAAATTTAGAAGAATGTATAACTAGAATAACCAATACAGAGAAATGCTTAAAGGAGCTGATGGAGCTGAAAACCAAGGCTCGAGAACTACGTGAAGAATGCAGAAGCCTCAGGAGCCGATGCGATCAACTGGAAGAAAGGGTATCAGCAATGGAAGATGAAATGAATGAAATGAAGCGAGAAGGGAAGTTTAGAGAAAAAAGAATAAAAAGAAATGAGCAAAGCCTCCAAGAAATATGGGATTATGTGAAAAGACCAAATCTACGTCTGATTGGTGTACCTGAAAGTGATGGGGAGAATGGAACCAAGTTGGAAAACACTCTGCAGGATATTATCCAGGAGAACTTCCCCAATCTAGCAAGGCAGGCCAACGTTCAGATTCAGGAAATACAGAGAACGCCACAAAGATACTCCCCAAGAAGAAAAACTCCAAGACACATAATTGTCAGATTCACCAAAGTTGAAATGAAGGAAAAAATGTTAAGGGCAGCCAGAGAGAAAGGTCGGGTTACCCTCAAAGGGAAGCCCATCAGACTAACAGCGGATCTCTCGGCAGAAACCCTACAAGCCAGAAGAGAGTGGGGGCCAATATTCAACATTCTTAAAGAAAAGAATTTTCAACCCAGAATTTCATATCCAGCCAAACTAAGCTTCATAAGTGAAGGAGAAATAAAATCCTTTACAGACAAGCAAATGCTGACCAATTTTGTCACCACCAGGCCTGCCCTAAAAGAGCTCCTGAAGGAAGCGCTAAACATGGAAAGGAACAACGGGTACCAGCCGCTGCAAAATCATGCCAAAATGTAAAGACCATCGAGACTAGGAAGAAACTGCATCAACTAACGAGCAAAATCACCAGCTATCATCATAATGACAGGATCAAATTCACACATAACAATATTAACTTTAAATATAAATGGACTAAATTCTCCAATTAAAAGACACAGACTGGCAAATTGGATAAAGAGTCAAGACCCATCACTGTGCTGTATTCAGGAAACCCATCTCACGTGCAGAGACACACATAGGCTCAAAATAAAAGGATGGAGGAAGATCTACCAAGCAAATGGAAAACAAAAAAAGGCAGGGGTTGCAATCCTAGTCTCTGATAAAACAGACTTTAAACCAACAAAGATCAAAAGAGACAAAGAAGGCCATTACATAATGGTAAAGGGATCAATTCAACAAGAAGAGCTAACTATCCTAAATATATATGCACCCAATACAGGAGCACCCAGATTCATAAATCAAGTCCTGAGTGACCTACAAAGAGACTTAGACTCCCACACATTAATAATGGGAGACTTTAACACCCCACTGTCAACATTAGACAGATCAACGAGACAGAAAGTCAACAAGGATACCCAGGAATTGAACTCAGCTCTGCACCAGGCAGACCTAATAGACATCTACAGAACTCTCCACCCCAAATCAACAGAATATACATTTTTTTCAGCACCACACCACACCTATTCCAAAATTGACCACATAGTAGGAAGTAAAGCTCTCCTCAGCAAATGTAAAAGAACAGAAATTATAACAAACTGTCTCTCAGACCACAGTGCAATCAAACTAGAACTCAGGATTAAGAATCCCACTCAAAGCCGCTCAACTACATGGAAACTGAACAACCTGCTCCTGAATGACTACTGGGTACATAACGAAATGAAGGCAGAAATAAAGATGTTCTTTGAAACCAACAAGAACAAAGACACAACATACCAGAATCTCTGGGACGCATTCAAAGCAGTGTGTAGAGGGAAATTTATAGCACTAAATGCCCACAAGAGAAAGCAGGAAAGATCCAAAATTGACACCCTAACATCACAATTAAAAGAACTAGAAAAGCAAGAGCAAACACATTCAAAAGCTAGCAGAAGGCAAGAAATAACTAAAATCAGAGCAGAACTGAAGGAAATAGAGACACAAAAAACCCTTCAAAAAATCAATGAATCCAGGAGCTGGTTTTTTGAAAGGATCAACAAAATTGATAGACCGCTAGCAAGACTAATAAAGAAAAAAAGAGAGAAGAATCAAATAGATGCAATAAAAAATGATAAAGGGGATATCACCACTGATCCCACAGAAATACCAACTACCATCAGAGAATACTACAAACACCTCTACTCAAATAAACTAGAAAATCTAGAAGAAATGGATAAATTCCTCGACACATACACTCTCCCAAGACTAAACCAGGAAGAAGTTGAATCTCTGAATAGACGAATAACAGGAGCTGAAATTGTGGCAATAATCAATAGTTTACCAACCAAAAAGAGTCCAGGACCAGATGGATTCACAGCCAAATTCTACCAGAGGTACAAGGAGGAACTGATACCCTTCCTTCTGAAACTATTCCAATCAATAGAAAAAGAGGGAATCCTCCCTAACTCATTTTATGAGGCCAGCATCATTCTGATACCAAAGCCGGGCAGAGACACAACCAAAAAAGAGAATTTTAGACCAATATCCTTGATGAACATTGATGCAAAAATCCTCAATAAAATACTGGCAAACCGAATCCAGCAGCACATCAAAAAGCTTATCCACCATGATCAAGTGGGCTTCATCCCTGGGATGCAAGGCTGGTTCAATATATGCAAATCAATAAATGTAATCCAGCATATAAACAGAACCAAAGACAAAAACCACATGATTATCTCAATAGATGCAGAAAAGGCCTTTGACAAAATTCAACAACCCTTCATGCTAAAAACTCTCAATAAATTAGGTATTGATGGGACGTATTTCAAAATAATAAGAGCTATCTATGACAAACCCACAGCCAATATCATACTGAATGGGCAAAAACTGGAAGCATTCCCTTTGAAAACTGGCACAAGACAGGGATGCCCTCTCTCACCACTCCTATTCAACATAGTGTTGGAAGTTCTGGCCAGGGCAATTAGGCAGGAGAAGGAAATAAAGGGTATTCAATTAGGAAAAGAGGAAGTCAAATTGTCCCTCTTTGCAGATGACATGATTGTTTATCTAGAAAACCCCACTGTCTCAGCCCAAAATCTCCTTAAGCTGATAAGCAACTTCAGCAAAGTCTCAGGATACAAAATCAATGTACAAAAATCACAAGCATTCTTATACATCAACAACAGACAAACAGAGAGCCAAATCATGAGTGAACTCCCATTCACAATTGCCTCAAAGAGAATAAAATACCTAGGAATCCAACTTACAAGGGATGTGAAGGACCTCTTCAAGGAGAACTACAAACCACTGCTCAAGGAAATAAAAGAGGATACAAACAAATGGAAGAACATTCCATGCTCATGGGTAGGAAGAATCAATATCGTGAAAATGGCCATACTGCCCAAGGTAATTTACAGATTCAATGCCATCCCCATCAAGCTACCAATGACTTTCTTCACAGAATTGGAAAGAACTACTTTAAAGTTCATATGGAACCAAAAAAGAGCCCGCATTGCCAAGTCAATCCTAAGCCAAAAGAACAAAGCTGGAGGAATCACACGACCTGACTTCAAACTATACAACAAGGCTACAGTAACCAAAACAGCATGGTACTGGTACCAAAACAGAGATATAGACCAATGGAACAGAACAGAGCCCTCAGAAATAATGCCGCATAACTACAACTATCTGATCTTTGACAAACCTGAGAAAAACAAGCAATGGGGAAAGGATTCCCTATTTAATAAATGGTGCTGGGAAAACTGGCTAGCCATATGTAGGAAGCTGAAACTGGATCCCTTCCTTACACCTTATACAAAAATCAATTCAAGATGGATTAAAGATTTAAATGTTAGACCTAAAACCATAAAAACCCTAGAAGAAAACCTAGGCATTACCATTCAGGACATAGGCATGGGCAAGGACTTCATGTCCAAAACACCAAAAGCAATGGCAACAAAAGACAAAATTGACAAATGGGATCTAATTAAACTAAAGAGCTTCTGCACAGCAAAAGAAACTACCATCAGAGTGAACAGGCAACCTACAAAATGGGAGACAATTTTCGCAACCTACTCATCTGACAAAGGGCTAATATCCAGAATCTACAATGAACTCAAACAAATTTACAAGAAAAAAACAAACAACCCCATCAAAAAGTGGGCGAAGGACATGAACAGACACTTCTCAAAAGAAGACATTTATGCAGCCAAAAGACACATGAAAAAATGCTCATCATCACTGGCCATCAGAGAAATGCAAATCAAAACCACTATGAGATACCATCTCACACCAGTTAGAATGGCGATCATTAAAAAGTCAGGAAACAACAGGTGCTGGAGAGGATGTGGAGAAATAGGAACACTTTTACACTGTTGGTGGGACTGTAAACTAGTTCAACCATTGTGGAAGTCAGTGTGGCGATTCCTCAGGGATCTAGAACTAGAAATACCATTTGACCCAGCCATCCCATTACTGGGTATATACCCAAAATGACTATAAATCATGCTGCTATAAAGACACATGCACACGTATGTTTATTGCAGCATTATTCACAATAGCAAAGACTTGGAACCAACCCAAATGTCCAACAATGATAGACTGGATTAAGAAAATGTGGCACATATACACCATGGAATACTATGCAGCCATAAAAAATGATGAGTTCATGTCCTTTGTAGGGACGTGGATGAAATTGGAAATCATCATTCTCAGTAAACTATCGCAAGAACAAAAAACCAAACACTCCATATTCTCACTCATAGGTGGGAATTGAACAATGAGATCACATGGACACAGGAAGGGGAATATCACACTCTAGGGACTGTGGTGGGGTGGGGGGAGGGGGGAGGGATAGCATTGGGAGATATACCTAATGCTAGATGACGAGTTAGTGGGTGCAGTGCACCAGCATGGCACATGTATACATATGTAACTAACCTGCACAATGTGCACATGTACCCTAAAACTTAAAGTATAATAAAAAAACAAATAAACAAAAAAAAACAAAACAAACAAACAAAAAAACTTTGAATTCACACATTGCAAGGAATATAGACAGGAAGGAGGCGCTCCACAACGAGCCAATTTTCACTAAAAGGCGATATAAAAATTTGTTTTTATCAGCCACTTAAAACATAAACACGGTGTATTCATTATTGGTAATTTCTGAGAAATCAGCATATAATATCCTAGAGAATAAATTCTTCATTTTATATCTAAAATGTATTCTCAGAAGAGAGCACTTGGCAATAGTTAGAGAAAGCCTACAATTTTGTAATCTAGACCACAGATACAAACTACAGTCTGCAGGCAAATCCAGTCTACCACCTGTTTCTGTATGACCTATGAGCTAAGAATAATTTTTACAATTTTAAATTATTGAAAATAACAATTTGTGACATGTAAAATCATAAAATTCAAATTTCTGGGTCCATAAACAAAGTTTGATGTACCCATCATTTACATATTGTCTATGGCTGCTTTTGTGTTTCAGTGGCAGAGCTGAGGAGTTGTAATAGAGACTGTATGGCCCATAAAGCTGAAAATATTTACTACGGGCCTTTATAGTAAAGAAGAATTTATTTGCTAATCTATGGTCTGGACCATAAATTGATTTAAAGAAAGAACTTGAGTCATTCCTTTGATAACATGAAGATATTACATAAGTATCTAAAATGAGAAATACCTGTAAAAACTCACAGTTTCACATATCTATATGAACACATACATATCTATATGTTTAGGGAACAGAGGAGAAATCACTATTGTCAAAAATCCAGCAATTTAATTGATCATCTAGAAGGTGCTTTTGCCTTGTGTAGCAAGAAAAAAAATCCATCCATCTTAACACACCCTACATATCTCTAAAGCCTTTCTTAGTCATTTCCCTTTCCTTCCTTTACTCATGTCCACAAAGGATCTTGGCGACTGATACATTCTGATGTCTAGTGATTTTTGTACTAGCCAAGTAATAATGTTTTTAAAAAGACTATGAGAAAAAGAATTCAACTGAAAATTTATGATAGCTTTAAAAAATTAAAAGCTAACAGATACATTTTTAAGGGAGAGAAAAATCAAAATATAAAACAAAACCAAAAAAAAGGCAAACTCCATGACTGAGGCTGTTTAATGTGAGTAAATACATCATTTTGTTTAACCTGGAGATTTACTAATGCTGTGAATGCTTGAATGAATATAATGCAATGCTTGGTTTGTTTGACCCTCAGAAAGGAAGGAATCACCTTCTACATGAGTCTTTTAAAAGACTCTCATTTTAAGGGACCCTCACTCAATTAATACATTTAAAATCACTATGTAATGCTTTGAGAAGAAAAACATTACTTGAAATTACCTAAATCAATACAAAGTTTGGGTCCTAACAGAGATTCCCTAACAAGAATCAGTTGTCAATGTAGGAAATAAATGTCAGTAAGTCTCTCACAGATCACCTTTAAAAAGCAATGTAAGAGGGAGGATCAAACTAAAACTATGAGTGAATACATGACCCTGATTACTGAATACAGGAATCCTTAGAGCTTGGGGTAAATTTTTGAGAGACTGCATCAAAACAGGACGCATTTTTTTTAACTTGAAAGAATTTCCACTGTAATGCTATGTCAAAAAACATGGCTCTAGTAATGACAAAACCACATGTCGAACATTCAAGTGAAAAACTCGATTAAAATGTTCTAAAGTTGATTGCAGTGATGGTTACACAACTGTGGGCATACAAAAACCCATAGAATTGTACACTCTAACTGGGTAAATTATATGGCATGTAAATTATACTCAATAAACCATTTTTAAACATAGTTAAGAACTTGAATAAAATTTCATAAAATATGAAAGTGATAAAAATATTTCTAACTGAAGGTGTTCATTTTGTTTTATTTCAAATACACACATGAACAATTCAAGTAATATAAACAAACATGTAACTATTTCATTTGACTGTTTCATCTATATGCTCAAAAGTTTATAAAGTCAAATTCTGGGAATCTTCTCATGGGAAAATGGAACATTTCCTTATATTCAAATTGCCTCATATTTAGTGGGTCACATATATACTGAAGTCATTGTGTTTTAAAAAAGCAGAAACGCATGTAAAATACTTCAGAGTAATTCAATAAAAAAATAGTTAAAATCACCAAAGTATTAGGACTTCAAGATCCCTTTTTTGAAGAATTCAGTTATATGAAACTGCTCAACCTTTAAACATTCCTGAATAAATGTCACTATTCTACAGTTTCAACTCTCTAGGCATTCAATATTATCTTTCACTGTTAAAATTTTGTATTTTTTTTTACTAAATTAAAATCATATTTACAAAAGAATCAGGTAACCAGCACCAAAAAGTACATTATGACTTAAGTTTTCCCCAGATTCGTAACAAAGGTGAATAAAAAGCTAAAATTATCTCTGTACATAGATCCATGGTAATAAGATGACAGAGACAAGGTTCTGGGTCTTTGGGCTGGATCGCACACCAACAACCAGATGTTTAACCCAGGAAGGACAATCTATGCTCCTGACCACCCAGCCTACCTACCTCATACAATTACCATGAGGATCATATGATATGTGATACAGAAGCCAAGAGATGGGGTGTGGTGAAACTGCCGGGGTGCAGGGGGAGCAGGGTTGCAATTTTAAGTAGAGAAGTTTGGAAAAGACACATACAAGCAAAGACATCAAAGTGGTGTTAGATGACATTTATAACCAATATATATTAAAGGCAATAAAATATGTAAATAAAGACAGTAATTCTGGCATCAGCAAAACTGATAAATCCAGAGTACCATACCTCCATGTGGGATCTTGGGGTTCTCAGGGAGTCTTCCTGGATCAGTTATGGAGGCCCTCACTAAGGCAACCAGACAGAATATGGAAATGCCATAGAATACTTTAAAATAAATAAATTAAATAAATTAGTCACTTACCCTTCAAAACATTTTATCAACAATCATATTTAAAGTTTAAAATGTATATTTTAACAAACACCATCAGGAGAAAAAATTTCAAAAGATTAAAAAATAAATAATTGATTTCACTCACCAAATAACACTGTCAGGAGGACTATCTTAAATAGTCCTAATTTTAATCATTACTAATTTTAATTATTATTTTACATGATAGTAACTCAAAGTTCTTATAAATCAGATCCCTTAATAACAGGGACTTCCTATTAATAATGGCATAAATGAATAGGCTCCCGTTTAATTACTGCATGTTCTATATTTGAAAGGATCAAAATACCATTTTAAATTCTACAACTAAACTTTTTCATTAACTAACTGGGTATCTTCAATATTACTCTGAATTAGTGATGTTCAACTGTCCCTTTTGATGGATCTTAAAATGATTAGTTTGATAATTAAGACTTAGAAACTTTTTAATTTTAAAATTAATAACCAGAAAACAAAAATAGTAAGGGAAAACAGATTTGGCCACCATAATTCTACATTTTTAAATTAGTAAGAATAGAGAAATTCTGTTGGGGCGATAAAAAAAAAAAACATACTGTACATGTAAAGGGAATAGTCTGAGTGCTCAATCCAGGACTGACTGCATAGTACCGGTCAGTTTTATCATATATATATAAAATTTCCCATGGTTCGTGTGAGGTCAAAATGAGGTAATGTGCATGAAAACTGTAAATGCCATGTACATGTAAAATATATAATTTCAATTTATTTTAATCATAAGCAAGCCATCACCAATTGACTAATAACTATCCAGAAGTTCCAAGTGTTATCATAATCAACTTCGTAATCAATACTTTTCTTATGAAATTCTCACTTCTCAGTAATGTATACTGTCTCTATTCTTAAAACATCTACATTTGTAATTAGGTACAAAACAGCAATAATAAAAATACAGAGAGACATGCAAGTTATCACTACTGTGTCAGTTTTCTATTTTTAACAAAATGGTCTTCATGCACTTTGCAGTTAAAAATGGAGATATCACTTTTATCTAACTGCAAATCTATAAAGGCCATTATTTCCATAAGTTCATAAATTAGTAAATAACTGAATATTGACAGCACTGCTAAAATACTAAATATATTAAAAGGAAAGTTATCATAGTGGCACTACACCCCAAAAACGTTTACAATGAGAAAAATAATTATACAAGAAAATAAAGATCAAGAAACTTACTTATTATTAATATGCCTGGAATATGTCCTTCTTCATAGTGAGGAAAGAGGACAATTTTGGGAATTAAAACAATATTGTATAACCAAACAAAGACAATCAAACCCATGCAGCACCAACCATGTGGGTCAACAACAAAGTGAATCCGGAGACCCATTTTGCAATCTTATAACTGCCTGCTAACCCACAAGGAAGGATGATCCTAAGGAGAAGGAACAAAGAAAATAATTACTTACATAGAAAAATTTGACTAAAACCTGTATTTCTGGCAACTTTTATAAAATGACATTGAGTTTTCTTTGCATATTTGACATTTTCTTTCTGTAGTTGATATATTTATTGATATTTCTTTGTATATATATTTTTACAATAAATACTTGGGAAAACAAACAGAAGTTTCAGGATATTCAAATTTTATCATAAGCTTCAAATAATTTCAATGTTTCACTATGAACTGCTATCACAGGTATAAACTGGAATCATCTACTGAATTTAAAACACAAGTTTGTCCTTAACCCAGCAACTTCCTGTGTAAACCCAAAAGAAATGAATACACGTGTCCACCAAAAGATTATGTACAAAAATTTTTAGTAGCTTTAATCAGAAGACTGATGGGTCACACAAGTCAAAACAGTGGTTACCTTGTGGTTGCAGGGGTGTATATTAACTGAAAAGGAACATGAGAGAACGAGGGGTTGGGAAACGTTCCATATCTTGACCTGGGTGGTACTTTATGTGTATCTACATATGTAAACATTCACTGAGCTGTATACTTCAGATTTGTGCACTCTAGTTTAATTTTAAACTACAATAAAACATTTTTTAAGTATTTTGAAAAATGACAATAAAAAGTGAAAACTAATTACAAATTGCCAAAAATACTAAAATTCATAGAATGAAGCCCAACAAATCTCATTATGATCAACTGAAGAAGACTCCTGTTTAAATGAGGCTTTTTTTAGTTGAGTGTTAACAATATGCCAACAGATCTCTCAATGAGACACTTAAGGACTTAAAATACTTCTATATAAATATGGTACCAAAAAAGTGACTAAAAATACATCCATACTTTGGTAGATATAACTTCCAAGGATGAAATAATAAATTGCTGTATAAAGTCTAGGGGGTACCTTTTACGTAAAATACAATGGTATAATAATAAACTAGGACAACGGTTCTCTAGCCTGTAAGAAAACCAAAAACACCTGGGGAGCTTTTTAAAAATACATATTCCCAGACCCCATTCTACATCTACTGAATCATAATTCTTCATAAAACTCAAAAAACAATAAAATGTTGTAAAATGCTCTGCAAGAGTCTGAAAACAGCTGACTGGTGTCTAGGAAGCACTGACCCATGAGCTTCACTAACACTTCAATGTTACCACAATGAGTTGAACTCACTTAGTTCAACAAATATTCACTGAGCCTCCACTACACACCTATCACTTGCTAGACACTGCAGATACAATGATGAAGAAGACATGGTCTTTGCTTAAAGGAACAGTCTAATGGGAAAAAGAATCAGAAAAAAGATTTAATATAATATGGTAAGTTCCAGATTTGAAAACAAAATGTTAGTAGGGGCACAGAAGATGGGACCAGTTAAACGAGGAATCAAGTAAGACTTACTGTAAGAAGTGAAACCTGAATTCAGTCTTAGAAGGTTAGTAAAAGTTATCTAAGCAATGAAAAGTGACAAGAATACTGCAAACAGAAGGAATAGGAGGAGCAAGAGTAGAAATTGTGGGAGGTATTACAACCTGCCATCACAAATCATAAAGCTTTCTGTGGAGAGTGAGTGCTAAGAAATATGGGCCTATATCATGAAGGACATAAAGATGCCATGTTAGAATGCTAAGACTGAATTCTTCGGCAATGGAAAGCTATTGAAGCAGGGGATTAACATGACGAAATGTGTACCGTGAATAAATTACTGAAGCTCTGGTGTGAATGATAAAATTAAAGACAGAGGTCCATTAGGCTAAGAGAAGGCAAAAGCCAAAATTAGGTTTGCAGAAAGGAGCAACTGCTAGAATCGAACCAGTGTGTTTTTCTGGTTGATTAGATATTAGGGGTTACAGGGGAAAGTGTCAAGGGTGATTCCCAGATTTTCAGCCTATATCCCAGTCTACTTCATTCTAAGAACAATTCATAATCAATTGAAAAGCCTCAGGGCACCATCCCTTAGAGGCCTTGCCCATGTTCTTCAAAGCTATAAAGCTACTGAAACAAAGAAAAAGAGATTAAGGAATACTTGATTTTAAAGGAATACCCCCAGTTTCTCATCCCTAGTTCCTGCAAATATTGGGGCAGCAGAAAAAAAACAAAAAACAAAACAAAAAAAGAACTCAAATGTAATACCACTTAATAGTTTAAATCCGGTATGTTCTAACTTGTGTATGAATTCTAAAACAGAAATAGTGCCCAGGCCACTAAACTAATAAAAGTTTCATTTATTTATCTTTTAATTTAAAAATCAAAAGACAGATTGGTATCATTAAAATGAAGAAAGTCAGACAGGATAAAGCATGCTATTTAATTTGCTAAGAATCATTTTAATAAAGGAATCTCAAATACAAATGGTAAGCTATCTACACAGTTAAAAAGAGAAACATTCAAGACAATGTTAATTTTTTAGTCTTGCCAATTATCAAGTGCTAAAAGAAATGACAAGTGCTCTCTCAACGTGTTCAATATTATTAATTTTATGTACCTTTCTTTCTTTAATTTTTCAGTTCTATTCAGGACTAAAAACAGAACATGAATTTCACTAAGTATATATGAGAGTAGCTTAAATTTATTAACATTAGAAGCAGAAAAGTACATGAGCCAGCAAAACGACTGGCAAAATTATCAAATATTAATTTTTGAACTCTATTTTTATTCTCCTCTACTAGAGAACAAATTTTTCTTCATCACTGGAAGAGATCTCTCACAGCAACAAAAAATTACATAGTGAAAAGTATAGTTTAAAATATGTCCATTTTTCCTGGATGTAAACATACATAGATGACACTCTCTAAAAGAGCAAGCATCCCTAAGGAAAAGTGAGCACAGGATAGAAAAATAAAACAACAAACAAATAAGATGTTGAATATATTTTTTTTAATACCTGATTGGTAAAACTTAGCTCCACATAATCCTCTCAATTGGGTCGTAGAACACAAAACAGTGATCTTCCAAGTGCTCCAAATCAGACGACAAACCACAAATGCATAACTGGAAGAGGTGCAAGATCTCTCCACTCAATTAATATCTACCAGGCGTGGCTTATGGCTGAAGAGAAACTATTACACATCCTGAGCAACAACCAAACTGAACACAATGCTGTTACTCGGTCTTAAGGACAGCATTCATAAAATACTTTCATTAGCTGGAGATTCTGACATACTAATTTGTATATTAAATGGTGAGCTCTTAACTCAAAACTCTGATTAAGTAACTAGTGGATATACTGGTACTTCAACATTTTTTAAGATTGCTATCTGGTAACTATAGTTGACTACAGTGACTAAATGATGTAAATTACTACAGCACAAACTTTAAAAACAATTATAATTTAACTCTAATAAACCAGACTGAGTAAATATTTATAATGTTCAACTTACTCCAAAGGAATACCACTATTTTTTGCCTTTTCAGGCAACTGTATTTCACCATATATTCTCCTCAAGAAGAATATTCAAGTCACCATGAAAATGACAGAAAACTATAACATCAAGATGTAGATTTTAGAAAAGCATAAAGATTAGCCAAAATAATTACCAAGAAATCTATCCGAACACGTATGTCTATGCTTACAGTTTTACGTGATTCTTCACCTTAGCCTAAGCGGTCCTGTTTACCACTGTTCGACGATATTCCATCCATGCCTCCTGTCTGAAATGTGCCTACCATTCTGCTTACTCATCTAAATTCAACTCAGACTTCAAGGCCAATTTGAATCTCACTCTCCATTTGAAATTTTTCCTGGCACTTCAGTTCACAATGATTTATCTTTTTCTTCTAAATTTCATTAAAAGGAAAACTATTAGAATAGCAAGTGGTTTTATATTCTTGGAATAAGGAAGGCCTTCACAATGAAGACCAATCAACCATGTCTGACCACATAAAAATTAACACATCTGAAGCCCAAAACACATGAAAAGCAAAGTTAAAAGACAAAGCATTCCTGGAAAAAATACTGCAACACATGACCGACAAGAGGCATACAACATAAATATATAAAGAAGCAATTCACAAAGGGAAAAAAATCCAATGGCTAATCATTACTGATTAGGAATTAACAAGGTACATTTTTCATCTACTGTATTGAAAAACTTTTAGAAAGATGATATCCAATGTTAAGAGGGCACAGAAAAAAAAGGACACTCTCATACATTATTGGTGGGCATGTAAGCTGATACAATCATCCTGGGAGGGCAATTTGGCAGTATGTATCAAAAGGTAAAACTCTTTTACACAGCAGTTTTATTTTTAGTATTACCTAAAAAGTACTCCTGAGACTGTATATATACAGACAAGGATGTACAAGGATACAGCACTTTCTGTAATCACAAAAATATGGCACAATCTAAATGTCCATGTAGAGAAAAGGGAATGATCAAATAAATTCTAATACACCCATAGTGTAGACTATTTCCAAGCTATTGCAATTTTTTTTAAGGCAGAAAAGAAGGCAGATTTAGATCTGCATATAACTACCCACAACATACTGCTGAGTGAATAAAGCAAGTGATATAGGCAAAATCCATTAGGAGTGGAGAGGGAACAGACCGTAACCGGTTTTTCTGGAAAGAGACAGGGATAGAGACAGACCAGGAAGAGGCATGAGGGAACTCTCTGTGGTGCTAACAAGCATGTTTCTATTGATAATGGAGTCTGAGTTACAAAGATGAATTTATCAAAACTCAGCATATGTACACTTAAGATTGTTGCATGTCATGGTACGTAAATTTACCTTTAAGAATCTGTAAACCAATACAGAGATCTAGTTAGCAATATGTATACTGAATTATGTAGAGAGGAAGCATACTGACATCTGCAATTTACTTTGAAATGAATCCCCCATATTAATAACATAGTGGACAGAAAGACAGATGAGTATGTGCTGAAATTTGTTAAAATGTTAGGTAAGAATCTAAGTCATAGGTATTCCGATGTTAAACAAAATTCTTCCAATGCTTCTGTTTGAAATTTTTCAAAATTAAGTGTTCGGGAAGCAACTTATAGAATAGTTTATATAACATTTTTGTTAGAAAAAATATGCAGGTATGTGCATAAGTAATTTCTGCACAAGTGCAGGAAGAAAAGACTGCAAGAAAACAGACCAGCCAAACTGTTCTCAATGGGCTGAAAGAGAAAGGAGTAGTGAAAAGGAAGGCTTTCAAATATTTATGTGTTCTTCTAAGTTTATCAACAACCATGTACTTCTAAATTCTTTTCAATTAACTTAAAAATAAAG
Source organism: Homo sapiens (assembly GCF_000001405.40). NCBI lineage: Eukaryota > Metazoa > Chordata > Mammalia > Primates > Hominidae > Homo > Homo sapiens. Next base: position 14,679,650 of record NC_000009.12, read on the forward strand.
ATAACCTAAGAGACACTAAACTTACAAACTAACTGTTTAATTTAGGCCTCTTTGTCACTATATATTATCCTTATAGTAAATGCTTTTAAAATTAATATTTTTAAAAATGAAGTACAGAAGGATTCGCTGTAAAGCCATATAAGACTTACGATTCAGAAAGATGTTTCTGAAACTCATATTATTTACAGATTATTTTTCTCTATAGAAAAAGTCTTATTTAAGAAAACAGGTTTGGTTAAAATTTAGTATAAAAACTTTTAAATAAACATAAAGTAACTACATTTGCTAACTGACAATTAAGTGCATCTAAGCATAAGACTCCAAGGATACTATGGCCCATAATTCCAAAATATATCACCATGTAAAATCAAAAGCAAACTTACCACTTGCAAATTCACTGAGATGTGCTGTAATTTTTCTGGAATCTGCATTTAGAGATTTTCTTTTGATTCATTTTTTTTAATTATATCCCACCAAATGGATCTCTCTTCAATAACAGTTCTCCATGAGAACCTATTCATGGTTTAACAAACAATGATTTCTCACAAAGAAAAAAACGATAAGCAACTAAATATTCTAACTGTGGAAATGCCAATGACAAACGTCTTAAATTTAGAAATAACAAAAAAGAAATTCAACTCCATTTGATTCTGTGCTTTCATATCCCACCCATCCCCTCAGAATTTGCATTTGATTACAATTATATCTGAGAGTCTTTTAAAACCACCCACTTCCCATAAAATCAAATAAGCATTATACTTCCCATAAAATCAAATAAGCATTATATGTCCAGTATTTGGACTTCATCACACACTTCCTTGACCACAAATCACAAAATAACGATAGATTCTGGTAGAAGAATCTAATCACAGTTCATAAACAGCTTAAAATGGAAGTTTTAATTTAAAATGCTTTAAGAAAGTTAATCCTCCTGTAATGAAGCCATTAAGAGAGTCAAACATAAGTCAGTTTCTACAATTCAAGCTTAAAAAAACATACTGTAAAGTACTGTATATAACATATACTAATTCACTATTTTATTAATTCAATCAACACTTAACTACTATACACTATACCTACTATGCTTTAACACAGGGTATAGATGAAAAAGAGAGGCTCTATCTTCAATGGAGGCAGACTAGCAAACAGACAAGACCAGTAAGACAAGTTAAGACAGAGAGCAAGGGGACAAAACTGTTATCTCATATGGTAAGGATACTGGTTCATAGGTTGTGTTACAAAATGTATTTCTTATGGTAAATAGCCATCAGGAAAAGATTCCTGAAGACAACAAACCCTGTGAGGTAGCTAGATGAAGAAGGCAGACTCTTCAGACCAAGACAACAGAATAAGCAAAGGCATAAAGGCAGGCAGAGAAAATCTGAGTAAACTGAAATAACAAGAATCACTGCATACAGAATGGGGTAAGATGTTCATCCTTTTGACCACAACCAACTCTAATAAATTTTATAACATTACTAGTACGCACAGATATATATGAATAACTAAAAAAGTTTAAGGAAGTGATATTTACCCTTACTACATATGACACGTGATGATATTGCTATTCTATTTTACTCTTTTTTATTTTTTCAGACTCGGTCTCACTATGTTGCCCAGACTGGAGTGCAGTGGCTATTCCCAGGTGCGATCCTAGCACACTGGGCTCAAGCAATCCTCCTGCCTCAGCCTCCTGAGTCACTGGCACTACAGCTGGGTACCACTGCAACCTATTTATTTTACTTTAATAAAAATGTACAATGCTGGTCATAGCCTACTAAACCAATTTCATGACCCACAGGCAGATCCTCAGATTGAAAATCACTGTTAAACCATGCCAGTGAGTTTGGATTTCACCTGGAACACAGTGGAAAACCACTGAGGGATTTTAGGCAGTAAAATGCCATGATCAAATTTGCATTTTAGGAGGAAAAGACACAATCTGAGGGCTGAATTTTGGTGGACTGATAAAGCACTGACATTGACTACATGCAACTAGGTAGGTTGACTGTTAACCCCGTGAGAAATGATGAGGGCACATGGAGTAAGCACCCCAAAAATGGTAACTTATAAGGGGAATGGTGTGTGTGTGTGTGTGTGTGTGTGTGTAAGTGGGTGGGGTAGTGACACTTAAGACAGGAGGCATACTAAAAATGGGCAGATCGAAGCCCATCAGACTAACAGCAGATCTCTTGGCAGAAACTCTACAAGCCAGAAGAGAACGGGGGCCAATATTCAACATTCCTAAAGAAAAGGATTTTCAACCCAGAATTTCATATCCAGCCAAACTAAGCTTCATAAGTGAAGGAGAAATAAAATCCTTTACAGACAAGCAAATGCTGAGAGATTTGGTCACCACCAGGCCTGCCCTACAAGAGCTCCTGAAGGAAGCATTAAACATGGAAAGGAACAACCGGTACCAGCCACTGCAAAAATATGCCAGACTGTAAAGACCACAGATGCTAGGAAGAAACTGCATCAACTAACAAGCAAAATAACCAGCTAACATCATAATGACAGGATCAAATTCACACATAACAATATTAACCTTAAATGTAAATGGGCTGAATGCCCCAATTAAAAGACACAGACTGGCAAATTGGATAAAGAGTCAAGACCCATCAGTGTGCTGTATTCAGGAGACCCATCTCACGTGCAGAGACACACATAGGCTCAAAATAAAGGGATGGAGGAAGATCTACCAAGCAAATGGAAAACAAAAAAAGGCAGGGGTTGCAATCCTAGTCTCTGATGAAACATACTTTAAACCAAAAACATCAAAACAGACAAAGAAGGCCATTACATAATGGTAAAGGGATCAACTCAACAAGAAGAGCTAACTATCCTAAATATAAATGCACCCAATACAGGAGCACCCAGATTCATAAAGCAAGTCCTTAGAGACCTACAAAGAGACTTAAGACTCCCACACAATAATAATGGGAGACTTTAGCACTCTACTGTCAACATTAGATCAACGAGACAGGAAGTTAACAAGGATATCCAGGAATTAAACTCAGCTCTGCACCAAGAGGACCTAATAGACATCTACAGAACTCTCCACCTCAAATCAACAGAATATACACCCTTCTCAGCACCACATCGCATTTACTCCAAAACTGACCACATAGTTAGAAGTAAAGCACTTCTCAGCAAATGTGAAAGAACAGAAATTACAACAAACTATCTCTCAGACCACAGTGCAATCAAATTAGAACTCAGGATTAAGAAACTCACTCAAAACCGAACAACTACATGGAAACTGAACAACCTGCTCCTGAGTGACTACTAGGTACATAACGAAATGAAGGCAGAAATAAAGATGTTATTTGAAACCAATGAGAACAGACACAACATACCAGAATCTCTGGGACACATTCAAACCAGTGTGTAGAGCGAAATTTATAGCACTAAATGCCCACAAGAGAAAGCAGGGAAGATCTAAAATTGACACCCTAACATCACAATTAAAAGAACTAGAGAAGCAAGAGCAAACACATTCAAAAGCTACCAGAAGGCAAGAAATAACTAAGATCAAAGCAGAACTGAAGGAGATAGAGAGACAAAAAACCCTTCAAAAAAATCAATGAATCCAGGAGCTGGTTTTTTATTTTTTATTTTTGAAAAGATCAACAAAATTGATAGACCGCTAGCAAGACTAATAAAGAAGAAAAGAGAGAAGAATCAAATAGACGCAATAAAAAATGATAAAGAGGATATCACCACCAATCCCACAGAAATACAAACTACCATCAGAGAATACTATAAACACCTCTATGCAAATAAACTAGAAAATCTAGAAGAAATGGATAAATTCCTGGACACATACACCCTCCCAAGACTAAACCAGGAAGAAGTGGAATCTCTGAATAGACCAATAACAGGCTCTGAAATTGAGGCAATAATTAATAGCTTACCAACCAAAAAAAAGTCCAGGACCAGATGCATTCACAGCCAAATTCTACCAGAGGTACAAGGAGGAGCTGGTACCATTCCTTCTGAAGCTATTCCAATCAATAGAAAAAGAGGGAATCCTCTTTAACTCCTTTTATGAGGCCAGCATCATCCTGATACCAAAGCCTGGCAGAGACGCAACAAAAAAAGAGAATTTTAGACCAATATCCCTGATGTACATCGATGCAAACATCCTCAGTAAAATACTGGCAAACCGAATCCAGCAGCACATCAAAAAGCTTACCCACCATGATCAAGTGGGCTTCATCGCTAGGATGCAAGGCTGGTTCAACATACGAAAATCAATAAACGTAATCCAGCATATAAACAGAACCAAAGACAAAAACCACACGGTTATCTCAATAGATGCAGAAAAGGCCTTTGACAAAATTCAACAGCCCTTCATGCTATAAACTCTTAATAAATTAGGTATTGAAGGGACGTACCTCAAAATAATCAGAGCTATTTATGACAAACCCACAGCCAATATCATACTGAATGGGCAAAAACTGGAAGCATTCCCTTTGAAAACTGGCACAAGACAGGGATGCCCTCTCTCACCACTCCTATTCAACATAGTGTTGGAAGTTCTGGCCAGGGCAATTAGGCAGGAGAAGGAAATAAAGGGTATTCAATTAGGAAAAGAGGAAGTCAAATTGTCCCTGTTTGCAGATGACATGATTGTGTATTTAGAAAACCCCATTGTCTCAGCCCAAAATCTCCTTAAGCTGATAAGCAACTTCAGCAAAGTCTCAGGATACAAAATCAATGTGCAAAAATCACAAGCATTCTTATACACCAACAACAGACAAACAGAGAGCCAAATCATGAGTGAACTCCCATTCACAATTGCCTCAAAGAGAATAAAATACCTAGGAATCCAACTTACAAGGGATGTGAAGGACCTCGTCAAGGAGAACTACAAACCACTGCTCAATGAAATAAAAGAGGAAACAAACAAATGGAAGAACATTCCATGCTCATGGGTAGGAAGAATCAATATCATGAAAATGGCCATACTGCCCAAGGTAATTTACAGATTCAATGCCATCCCCATCAAGCTACCAATGCCTTTCTTCACAGAATTGGAAAAAACTACTTTAAAGCTCATATGGAACCAAAAAAGAACCCGCATTGCCAAGTCAATCCTAAGCAAAAAAAACAAAGCTGGAGGCATCACGCTACCTGACTTCAAACTACACTACAAGGCTACAGTAACCAAAACACCATGGTACTGGTACCAAAACAGAGATACAGACCAATGGAACAGAACAGAGCCCCCAGAAATAATAGCACACATCTACAACCACCTGATCTTTGACAAATCTGACAAAAACAAGCAATGGGGAAAGGATTCCCTATTTAATAAATGGTGTTGGGAAAACTGGATAGCCATATGTAGAAAGCTGAAACTGGATCCCTTCCTTAAGCCTTATACAAAAATTAATTCAAGATGGATTAAAGACTTACATGTTAGACCTAAAACCATAAAAACCCTAGAAGAAAACCTAGGCAATACCATTCAGGACATAGGCATGGGCAAGGACTTCATGTCTAAAACACCAAAAGCAATGGCAACAAAAGCCAAAATTGACAAACGGGATCTAATTAAACTAAAGAGCTTCTGCACAGCAAAAGAAACTACCATCAGAGTGAACAGGCAACCTACAGAATGGGAGAAAATTTTTGCAATCTACTCATCTGACAAAGGGCTAATATCCAGAATCTACAAAGAACTCAAACAAATTTACAAGAAAAAAACAAACAACCCCATCAAAAAGTGGGCAAAGGATATGAACAGACACTTCTCAAAAGAAGACATTTATGCAGCCAAAAGACACATGAAAAAATGCTCATCATCACTGGCCATCAGAGAAATGCAAATCAAAACCACAATGACATACCATCTCACACCAGTTAGAATGGCGATCACTAAAAAGTCAGGAAACAACAGGTGCTGGAGAGGATATGAAGAAACAGGAACACTTTTACACTGCTGGTGGGACTGTAAACTAGTTCAACCATTGTGGAAGACAGTGTGGCGATTCCTCAAGGATCTAGAACTAGAAATACCATTTGACCCAGCCATCCCATTACTGGGTATATACCCAAAGGATTACAAATCATGCTGCTATAAAGACACATGCGCACGTATGTGTATTGCAGCACTATTCACAATAGCAAAGACTTGGAACCAACCCAAATGTTCATCAATGATAGACTGGATTAAGAAAATGTGGCACATTATACACCATGGAATACTATGCAGCCATAAAAAAGGATGAGTTCATGTCCTTTGTAGGGACACGGATGAAGCCTGAAACCATCATTCTCAGCAAACTATTACAAGGACAGAAAACCAAACACCACATGTTCTCACTCATAGGTGGGAACTGAACAGTGAGAACATTTGGACACAGGAAGGGGAACATCACACACCGGGGCCTGTCGTGGGGTGGGGGAGGGGGGAGGAATAGCATTATGAGAACTACCTAATGTAAATGACGAGTTAATGGGTGCAGCAAATCAACATGGCACATGTACACCTATGTAACAAACCTGCATGTTGTGCACATGTACCCTAGAACTTAAAGTATAATTTAAAAAAAAGAAAATAAATAAAAAAAGAAAGAAGAAATTAAAAAAAAGAGAAGGGGCAGATCTGGGAGAATTTAAATAAATAAAACTGACAGGACTTAGTGATCAATTGGGAGCAAAGGGCAGACTAGGATGGCTCCCAAGTTTCACACTTAGGCTCTAGGTGAAGGGTGGAACCATTCTCCAAGACAGGGAACAAAGGCCAAGTTACAAGTGTGTTAAGTGTGCTGGTTACCACAGCAACAGCAGACTATTAAATACTGAGAATGTAAAAAATACATCAAAATTATTACATTTCTTTTCCCTTTATACATTTGTGGGGGGCACAGAACCTGTATATCCTCCCAGGGTCAACTTTTCTATGGTCCATAGTTATTAGATCGTCAAATGAACTTTGTTTCTACTCTTAACTTTTTAAGCTAATTTAAAGTGGGCTCCTTGGTTGCACCTTTGCTTTTTAGAGACTAAACACAGAATTACAAAGTTAAAGTCTGGGTATAGTGGCTCATGCCTGTAATCCCAGCACTTTGGGAGGCCGAGGTGGGAGGATCACTTGAGGTCAGGAGTTCAAGACGAGCCTGGCAAACATGGGAAAACCCTGTCTCCACTAAAAATACAAAAATAAGCTGGGCGTGGTGGTGTGTGCCTGTAATCACAACTACTTAGGAGGTTAAGGCACGAGAATCGTTTCAACCCAAGAGGCAGAGGTTGCAGTGAGCAGAGACTGTACTACAGCACTCCAGCCTGGGCGACAGGGCGAGACTTCATCTCAAAAAAACAAAAAAAAAAACAATGTTAAAGAGCTGCTACCCCAATGGCAAATAAATGAATTATTTCAGAAAAAAATTCAAACAGAATTAAATGTGGTACAACCAAACATTTTTGAAAGATGGCCAAAAACAATAATGCTACTAAGTCTATGACTTGAGAGTGGCTTCCTAATGTTTCAGCAAAATAGTAGTTTCTGTCAGTAACGTTAGTAGGTTATAGCACAGGCCAATCACCCATGAGTCAAATCCCAGTCACTTGCTGGCTTAAAATCAAGAAAAATCCTACTTTACATTTATAGTTATCAGAGCTACACTGCAGACACAGCCTCTGAAATGAGATTCGTATTTCAGTACTAGATAAACACCACTACCTCTGAGAAATGAAATCTCATCTATGTGGTAATAAAAGTAATGCTGGGCCGGGCATGGTGGCTCATGCCTGTAATCCCAGCACTTTAGGAGGCCAAGGTGGGCAGATCATCTGAGGTCAGGAGTTTGAGGCTGGCCTGGCCAACATGTTAAAACCCCGTCTCTACCAAAAATACAACAATTAGCCAGGCATAGTGGCGCCCGCCTGTAATCCCAGCTACTCGGGAGGCTGAGGCACGAGAATCGCTTGAAGCTTGAACCCAGGAGGCAGAAGCCGCAGTGAGCAGAAATCATCGTGCCACTGCATTCCAGTCTGGGTGCCAGAGTAAGGCCCTGTCTCAAAACAAAACAAAACAAAAGTAACGTTGGGCCTAAACATTCAAAAAATTGGAACAACAAAACAATTTCAAAGTTTCAAAACTATAAAATGTCATTAAATATTTTTAATATTGCTACGCCTGAAAGAATACAATCTAACAATTTACAAGCTAAGTTTTCAAACATACCAATTTTTTTTCCACAGTGCCAAGAGAAAATGCTTATTAGATGAATATATGAAATTTTAAACTTATTAATTACAGCCAAATGAATTTAGAAAGCAGAGTTACAGCTGTAAACGTATTTATAAAACTTTTTGACTTCTGATATCATTCTACTCTGAAAATTAGTCAAGTGTGGCAGTTAAATAATTCTCCATAAAAATCAAGCTCTCATTGCCAATTAGGAATTCAATTTTTTAAATATCACATAGATATTCAGTTGATTATCAACAGATTAAAAAATTAATCTTCTACAGATGTTAAAAGAGAAATTATGACATAGTCTCTTATTCACTTTCCAAGCTTTAGTTTCTTTTCAAGCTTCAGTTTGACCATCTGTAAAATGGAGATAAAAATGTCAACTTACACAGTTGCTGTCACGCTTAAATGAGAAATTGACTGGCAAAGCAGCGCCTCCAAAATGCTAACTTTACAGGGGAGCGAAGGAGAGAGCAGAGGAAGGGAAAGTGAAAGATAAGTTTTACTTCTAGTTTTACAAACTCCAGAATGAAACAACGTTTCTAGGTCCCCATCATTAAAAGTAATGAAACAGTTTAACAATACCCCAGGGCCTGCTCTTGCCTGTGATCATACCATGTTGGGAGGTGAGTAGGGGTAGGATTGCTTGAGCTAAGGAGATCCACAGCAGCCTGGGCAACACAGCCAGACCTAGCCACTAGTTAAAAAACAAACAAATGGGGGCCAGGCACAGTGGCTCATGCCTGTAATCCCAGCACTTTGGGAGGCAAAGGCGGGTGGATCACCTGAGGTCAGGAGTTCAAGACCAAACTGGCCAACGTCGTGAAACCCCATCTCTACTAAAAATACAAAAATTAGCCAGGCATGATGGTGGGCACCTGTAATCCAAGCTACTCGGGAGGCTGAGACAGGAGAATTGCTTGAACCCGGGAGGCGGAGGTTGCAGTGAGCCGAGATCACCCCACTGCACTCCAGCCTGGGTGACAGAGCGAGACTCTGTCTCAAAAACAACAACAAAAAACGAACAAACAGAAAACCAGCCGGGTGTGGTGGCACATGCCTGTAGTCCCAGCTTATTGGGAGGCTGAAGTGGGAGGATCGCTTAAGCCAGGGAGATGGAGACCAAGGCTGCAGTGAGCTGTGACTGCACTGCACTCCAGCCTGGTCAACAGAGTGAGATCCTGTCTCAAACAAAAAACAAAACAAACACAAGAACAACAAAAAATGCCCCGTTATCTACTTTTTTAAAGTCTGTGAACTAGTCAAAAAAACTTCAAATATTACAGCCCTTCGGCTAGTATCATACTAGCTGAAGTTGTATTTCTACACGTTGGTTAGGGGGATCTTTAAGAAGAAAACCGAAAATAGAGATTTGATCTAAAATAGAATGAATGAACTGAAGCCCCTAAACTAAATCACATTCAAGTAAAAGCAGGACTGGTGAGCAAAGGAATAAAGTGTGAAAGAAAATCAGTACTTGATCTCAGAAGCTAATAAAGAATGTATAATGCAAGCAGGGATTCTGAATCAATTGCTGAGTTTTCCAGGAAGACTTTGTAAAAACGTGGGTGGACAAAGTGTCAAAGCATAAAATACTTGCACTATCAATGGTTTCAAGAATCCACTCTGTAGACTAAGTCTTTAAATTACATTCTGGGCAAAATTGAGCATAAGCTGTTGCTCTTCTCATAAATTTGTTTTTGTGTGCACCAGTCTCATGAGTGAAAAATAAATGTACATGACTGTATTAGTAGTACTACACTGCAGTATTAATACTGCTAACACTATCCTAGTAGTATTACTACTAGTAGTATTAGTACTGCTAATACAGGCATTTACCTTTATTTTTCCCTGCTTGCATTAACTTGCTTTAACTTTAGAGAAAGTAGATAACTGGGCCACTGTTTTTTGGGTATGTTTGTCTGAGACAGGGTCTCACTATGTTGTCCAGGCTGGAGTGCTGCAATCACAGCCCACTGCAGCCTCAGTCTCCATTCTCCCTGGCTCAAGCTCACTTCATTAGAATCTTCTAACAAAAAGTAAAAATAGCTTGGGAGGTGTGGGGTGATACGAATTAAAGACCACCAAATATTGTTTCAGTCAGTACAAAAGGTCTCTGTGGGAATTTTCATTAGGGAGATAGGAGTGGGAAAAGGGACTGAAAAGGCAAGATTAAATGTAGGATAGGGACAGGGATTTAAAAAGGTAACTTTTGTTCCAAAATCAGCACAAGGAAAAAACCTTCAGATACAGTAAAAGCCAGAAATGAAGAGGCCCAGGCTTTTCCTGGGTATGAATCAAGTATGTTCTTCCAAGAAGGAAGGGAAGCCTGCTACTTACCTTCTAGTACCCACCACACCAAGAGAGATTGGTGGGGGGTTGGGGGTAGAAGACTAAATTAGATTTCCTTCACACCAGGCTTTACCAAAGCAGCCATGATTTAAGAACACTAACACCATAAGAAAAATCTCTCCTCACCTGCTTGCTGAAGCTGAAAATCCTGCAGTAAGTGAAAAAGTTCTTCATTCTGTAATTACAGATAAAAAGCTTAAAATCAGAAGCTTGGTTGACATCACACTTGAGCATTTTAGGTTAGATTTAAAATAAAATTCACCAGTGAATGGTAAAATATCAATTTTACCCAACCTGCCCTTTTGTAGAAGGGGCAACACATCGGTTAAGAGAGTCTCTGAAATGGGGAAGAAGGTTAATCTACCCTGAGAGAAATAGCACAGAGGAAAAAGCAGCTTGAAAGGCAGAAGGCAAACTTCAAAAATGTCACAATTTTGCCTAGGTTAGGTCTAAAGAGCAAAACAAACACATAAAGTACCATCATACTAAGGTATTTTTGTTCAGGGACCTATCAATGAGCACAGTGATGATTCACATGTCTATGAAAATGTGCTTTTTAAACTAGTCTGACTTGACTTATCAAGAATTCTTAACAAATCACTTTCAACAATAAAAACTGTTTTACAATTTCACCTGTATTTTTACCTTTAATAAGAGTTATTTAAGCACTGATTATTCTACTAGATGCTAAATTGCCTATTATATTTAATGCATGTGAAAAGTTGAATCTGAGCCCTAATGTTTTACTAAAACAACATAAAAGGTTACATTCCTTAATATAAAAGTAAAACTGAATTTAGGGAACAAACTCTTGGCAATAAAAACAGCCTTTCCTCTGCCTTCCCTCTTTTGCCTGGTAGTATTGATACTGCCACTGTGTCACCTCCTATGCTAAAAAAGTTTTCACTGAGTCACATTCAATTACAATTCCAGAAAAACAGCTCCATGTTGAGACATTACTCAACTTCTCAAGCAGTTTCTTTACTAAACCACTATATAATAAGACTAGCAGGAGGACAAACAATAAACTGCTCCTTTATTGACCTTCTCACTCCTCTCCTCTCAACCCAAAGAGGTTTTCGGGAAAATGGCTTATGGATGGCAGCAGTTTGCACTTGTTACTATTCACTATAACAGGTCCCTGGATTGTAACTGCAGAGACCATTTGAGTTACGGTCTTTTTCAAGCTATATGTGGGTCACATTTTATAAAACCATTATTTTATTCATGCATTTTTCCACAGGTTCTGAATCGGTCATTACGAATTAAAGAAATGAGGCAGTAGGCAAATAAGAAGTACATGTTATGATTCATTGATTCTTGTCTCAGAACTTCCTGTTAAGCTGATTATATGTCTGCATTTTTAAATGCTTAGATTTCTCTTATTAAACAAAGTACCTCGTAGGCAAAAGTGACACGGTCCTCATCATTTTCTTTAAATGACGCTCTATTTCATTTATTCCAACTACAGCTTCTCAAGTATGTTAACAGAAATCTCAGTAGTGTCAAAGGATCTAATAGAATTGTTTCCATCGAAAATGATGAATTCTGGAAGAGTACTACACCAAAACAATTATGGAATTATACATTTTAACTTATATTTTCATATTTTACTAATACTTCGTATATGTTTTTAATGTACCTTCAAACCACGTTAAAGGGTCTTATTTAAAAACATTTTCCAAGTAAGCATGGAAAAGCTAAAATAAGCCTTAAATAATTTAGTCTGGCTCTCTGATGGTATAGAGAAAATAACATGGGTCATTGCCCTACCTGTAAACCCACAGCTGGATAGTGACAGAAATGGGACTAGAATCTAGTTTTTCTTTCCACGACACCAAATCTCATTTGGCTCTTTCTTTCCAGTGGATTTCTCACCTCAATTCTTCAAATATCTTTTTGCTTTTAAGAGATGGCACAAACTAAGGAAAAACAGAGCATCTCTCCGAATTTTACCTTTAAAATAAGTAAAATCTAAAGAGTTGGAAGAATTTAATATTACACCAAAAGCCTTTTAATCCAGGAATGGCGCATACTAAGCAGTCATCAAATGGTGACTGTTATTAATATTATTCTTACCACAAGGAAAGCAGTGAATTTTTAAAAGTGCATATATTAGCATAGTAGGCTGAGGACCTATTTAACACATCTTTTTAAATTGCACTTAATTATCCTTAGTCGCCTTTGGACTGTAACTTTACAATATAATTTATGACCCGCCCACAATGACCTTGATTTTTTTTTCTCTTCTACTTTTAGAGACTGCTATATTGCAATATTTTAAAGTAATAATTGGTCATGTCCTCTCAGCCCTGGTGATACAGACATCCACCCTGACTCTCAAGGGATCTTAAAATGTGACCCACATATAGCTTGAAAAAGACCGTAACTTAAATGGACTCTGCAGTTACAATCCAGCGACCTGTTACAGTGAACAGTAACAAGTGCAAACTGCTGCCATCCATAAGCCATTTTCCGAAAACCTCTTTGGATCAAGAGGAGAGGAGTGAGAAGGTCAATAAAGGAGCAAACTGTTTGTCCTCTCTGCAGCTTCACACCAGAAGTCTGGAATGAATGAAAAGCTCTGGAATAGCACAGAGAAACCCGGGATCCCAGTGCAGGTCTCCAGACGGGGGTGCGGGGAGAGAAACTGTAGTTTACAAGCGAGAAACTCAGGATACAGATTTAAAATAAATAAATAAATAACTAGCCAACATCGTCTCGACTAGAGCAGGAACCCCCCACCCCCAGTTGAGGGAGGAGCACTTAGCAAGGGGCTGTAGCTCTAGCAGAAGACGCTCTGAAAAAGGCCAGGCCTGGGGCGGGGAGGCACCGAGAAACCCCCGGGTTCCAAACAGAGCAGGTGCAGGGGGCGTGCAGGAACAGGTGAGGGCGTCCCGGCGCGGAGGAGCGGCGGGCGGGCCCGGCAGAGCGGAGCGGGGGCCGGGGATGGGGGTGGGGGTGCGGATGGGGATGGGGGTGGGGGCGGCCGCTTCGCCCCCGCGCCTGCACACTCACCGTCGCCGCTGGCTCGCCTCTCGCTGCCGCCGCTCTCCCGACCGCCAGCAGCTCTTTCCCCTCCTCCTGCCGCGCCACCTCCGCCTCCTCCGGCGCCGCCGCCCAGGCCGGGCCGCTCTCCCCTTCCGCTTCCGGGAGCCTGAGGGCCTGGACCGGCCGAGTGGGTGTCCGCATGCCCGCGCGCCCGCGTGGGGAGGGACGACTGCCGCCGTCGCCGTCTCGCTTAGCTCCCGGGAGCCGCGATGGGAGCCGCTGAGGGCCGAAACTCCTGCAATCGCGCCGCAGCCCCAGAGCCGCGGACCCAGGCAGACCGCACTCTCCAGAGCGCTTGCACCTGGCGCGCCTGGGCGCCTCTGCCCCTCCCCAGCCCTACTTGAGCCGTCCTTCTCATTGTCCCCATATCCTCACTGCTCACCTCTCCCGAGAGACAGGATGGGGGCCTTAGCTTAAAAGATTGCATGTATCCTTTCTTCGGGGGATGTGGCCAGCAGGCCTCTCTCCCCGCAGGTGTTCTGGGATGTCCCATGGTACCTTGCTTCAAAGCGCGGTCTGCAGCATCAGCATCCTCTGGGAACTCACAATCTTTGAAATGCACAATTTCAGGCCTGCTGAATCAGTACATGCACTTCAGCAAGATCACCAGGTGACTCCTGGGGTGCACCGTAAAGATGGAAAAGCATTGCACTGTAGTGCATGGTCTCGTCCACTTCAGACCCTCTATTGGGTTGCCTCAGACATCCCAGGATATTTCCTGTTCCTGTCCTCAACCTAAATCCACACCCAAACAATCTTTTCTTATATTTTGGGAGACCTCCAAAAGTTTCCTGCTTTCCCATCCCTGCAAAAGCCGACAACTTTTGGACTCAGCGATGCAAGTAATCCACCTCTCAGTCTAACTTGGTATCTTCACCAAACACCAGAGATCTACTAACTTTCCCACCTCACTCCGGCTGAACAGTATTTGGGGAAGGTTAAACCGTTTGCAGTAATGTGGAGCTAGATCTTTCTGCCCACGTGCCACAGGAGGAGACAGTGTGTTGGTGGAAGAAATATTACCTGTTGTATAAAATCTGTATTCCTTATAAGATGTGCTTAAAAGCCCTCCACAGACACATCCCTACCTACCTCTCCAGTCTTAGCTCCAACTAATTTGGTTCATTTCCCCATTCTAGAATGCCCTGCTCTCTGATGATCTTAACCCTATCCAGATTTGAGAGTGGAAATCTTGCCAAACCAGAGTTCTCTCACCACTGCCCTTATATAGTGCACATTGTTGCCTGTTTGGGGCCTCATATTACCTTGTATTGCTAAGGATTTTTAAACATGTTGTGTCCTGGTTTCTGAACTAATTATAAACACCTTGTGACCTTAAAAACTTTGGTCAGTGGTTATCAAAGTGGGATCCCTAGACCAGCAGCATCGGTATCACCTGTCAACTTGTGAGAAATCCATATTCTTTTGCCCCATCCCAGATCTACTGTAGTAGAAACTGTTTAGGTGTAGCCCAGCAATCCGTGATGTAACAAGCCTTTTAGGTGATCCTAATACACACTCAAGTTTTAGAATTACTGACCTAGATTACTAGATATTCCCAAAAGAACCCAGTGGTAGGAATTGATTTACCCATAAGCAGATTTTATTGCCTTTCAGGTTAACAAATACACTCCCCGATATATGCATAGCGAGGTTGAAAGACTAGTCACGATTGCTTTTGATAGAATTACCTTTATTTTTCATAAATCATTTGATGTAGTAGGATTTTTGTAACTTTCTCTGTTTGAAAAGAAGGAGATATTTCATATAAACAATCACTTTGAAGGAAGAGGAAATGTGGAATCCTCCCACCGGAATCCAGCTACCTGATTGCGTATTCAATGTGAATCCCTTCTACCCAAATCCAGCTACCTGATTGCATATTAAATGTGGACTCCTCCCTACCCGAATCCAGCTACCAGAATTGCATATTAAATGTAAAATCCCCCCCCCACCCAAATCCAGCTACCCAATTGCATATTAAAAGTAGAATCCCCTCCACCTGAATCCAGCTACATGAATTGCATATTATTTTGCTTTCTCTTCAGATACCCCTGTGAGAGGGAATAATTTGTGACAAGTGATCTCAAAACTGCCAAAATAAGAATTAGTTGACAGGTCCATGATTGCACATGACAATTGGAAGTGCATGGATTTTTCAGTCCCTTTTTAAAATAAGTTAGCCTGTCTTTTATCAGCCAAATCAATTCCACAGAGAATTTTTAAGCAAGGGAATAGGAGAGAAGAGGCAGGAGAAACATCCTTAAAAACATGAACCTTTTTAGCATGGGCATTTCATGAGTATAATCAAAGGCCTGCCTATCCCTTACACTGAAGGTCAAGTCATCTGGTTCTATCATTCATGCTAATCATTGGTTATATTGTATTGCAACCCATACATTCAGGCACCTGGGTAACAATAAGGGGGTGAGGGAGATGTGGCATCAGGTAATCTTTTGAAAAGATTTTCTATTTACTGGGTATATTATGGAAAGACGATATAGATCGTACCATATTTTTTCCCTCCAGAATTCTAATCTACTTCATGGGGCCTGGGACAAACTGAAATGTGATTATTAATCAAACTAATATTTATCTGGAAGTAGAAAAAGTAGACAAGGACAAGTAGCATTGCTGCCACTGCCAACCAAGCTTCTAACAAAGGCACACTCAGGGCATTTATGAGGGTAAACACAGCCAACTCCTGTGCTTCTGTGCCGTGACTAGGGAGGATCTGGATTTTAGTGCAATTTCCAAAAATCAGTGCAGTCCAGAGTTTAATCAGTACTGGCTAATAGCCCTTGGCAGCTTTGGATGGATGGCATTCTCCACCTGCCCAGCTGGGTACCATGCCTTAAGCACCCATATTTGATGCACATTCATGATTTCTTGGTTGCCTATAGTTGTCTCTCCCATCTGTTTGAGTGGCAGAGTGCCTGTGCCATAACAATCTAATATTCTAAAAGTTGTTCTTAACCTCTTCTCTTTTGGGTTACACATCTCTTTGAGTATCTGATGAAAGTTGTGGACCCCAGCAAAGTACACATATACACAAATACACACACACACACACACACACACACATATATACACACACACATACAGGAACATATATATTTATATATATGAAATTTATATATATGAAGTTTCACAAGTTGCCCCACCTTCCTATGCCTCCAAAGGATCACAGCGAAGCCAGGAACTTCAGGCTAAGAAATATCCCTAGAATGTAGAGAGTAGGTAAAATAAACATTTTTCCCCAAATATCAAGGAAAACTGCAAAACAAACAAACAAAAACGACTGTGTGCTTAGGAGAAAAAAACAATAGCAGTGCTAAACAGAGTTACAAGGAAAGTTTTATGGAAGTGCTAATGAAGAAACTAGTAATTTCCATGGGATAGTTCAAGGGTGGCTTCTTGGAGAATGGTTCCTGTATCAGGCAAGTGAGAATAGGATTTTGATTGGGGGAAAGGAGGGAAAGAAATTTCAGGACAGAGGAAAGTGTAAGCAAAAACATAGAGAAATGAAAGTGCAAGAATCCCTCTGGTGTGGCTCAAAGGTAGGATACATGGAAAGAGAGAGGGCTGGAAATGTGGAACAGATTCCAAGCATGGTGAGCCTCAGAAACAATGCTATTCCCAATGAAGAGTCCTTAGGCTTTTGGCAAAAGGTGATGACCTGCTCCAAGCTGGAAAAGACTATTAGTGAGGGCAGTGGTATTATCAAAAGGCAGAGTAGTGGGGCATCTGGAAAGGTTCTAAGTATACTACATTGGAACCTGTTAGGCCACATTGCTTTACCTCAACTTTGGATTGTTTGATGGTGGCTCTAGAAGTTTCTATTCAATTAAATCATGATGAACCTGAGATTCTTACACTTGGTTAAGTGCTAGTAGGAAAACGCATCCTAGTGAATGTTCTGATGAGTTGAGTCTAGGATGCTGAAAGAGTTAAAATCTCTTTTGGATTAAAAGAGTGAGAATCAATTTGGACTGAAAAGAGAAAAGAAGCCCTGCCACTAATCAGACAAGGAGGACAGACACAGATAAAGCCAGCTGCAAAATTAGCAGGAAACACTTTCTGCCAAGGTCATGCAGCAGTTATAAAGTGCCATAATGATCCCCTCTTTAGGTGATTGCTGACTTCTCACCAATGATGCCCCTGACTGCTGGCTATTTTCATTTATTACTAGAGATACCCAATTGCTCAGCCATCATCCCCTCATGACAGCATCCAATCCTGGCTAAATCTCTCTTTTCCTAATCCCACCTCAAAACAACCAATCCAAAATGGATACCTGCTTCCCTTAGATGCTCCTCAAAATTCTTCAATGGAAGTTCAATTTACAAAAGATGCCTCCTTCCTCCCTCTTGCCTAGGAGTGACATCTCTCTATGCAAGGCAATAAATATGAGTTTGTCAGGCTACAGGTGTAATCCTCTAGGTTTTAACAACTCATTTGATGATGAAAGTTTTCCACTCCCCAGGACTCAAAGTCAAGAAAGAGTCTCCCTTTCCGTGTCAATAGCACAATAAAGTAGCTTCCATTACAAGTAATAAGGCTCATAAGTTCACACAGGGACTCTTCCAATATGGGAGGAAGCAAGGCTTTGACTAGGTCATCCTCATCCCTCATCTTTTGAAGAAATGTGGATTGATGTAGAAAGCAGAGGAAACAGGTGCTTTCTAAAAAAAAATTGTGAGTAGAGTCTATTCACAACAGCTTAATTTAAGTAAATAGAATTAACAGAGTCCCAAGATAATAGGGAAGTAAAATGGGTATAGAAAAGTGATTTAAAAAGTCCTTCCCTATCAAAATATAAATAACATATTAAAAGTAGGACAATTTTGATGGTGCCAACCTCTTTGCATGAAGGACGGAGATTGAGATTTTTGTTGAGAGAGTTCATTATAAAGAAAATAGCAAAAAGGAAACAAATGTCCTAGCAATAGATAAATAAAGTGGGCGTCTATGGCTGAACTAGGGAAGCAAGTTCAAGGTTGCAATATGGCTTCAGGGAATCTCTGCCAGCAGGAACAATTGAGAATGTAAGAGTGGATTTGGTCACCAAGAAATGGGATGCAGTAGGAGAAGAGAGCGAAGGGCAGAAACAACCACAGTACCTTTAAGGATCAGATAGAGAAAGAAATGATTCAAGAATCTCCTATGTTTCAACTACTTCCAAGTCAATATATCCAGCCCTGCACTCTATTGGGCTCCAGAGCCATAAATTCTAGAAGCCCCACTACACACTTGTTATGATGGCTCAAATGGGTGCGAAGTCTGTAGGACCAGTCATGAAAAATAAGAGAGTACTGCTGTTCTCACACATATCAGGTTAAGGTTCTGTGTCTCCCTTCCTCTAAGAGACTACTTCTTGTTTGTTTGCAAGGAAAATAAAAAATATCTACTAATCTCTTGGATAGTGCCCCTTTTATTTTTAATCTCTTTGCCCCTCAAATATATATATATATATGTCTTCATTAATAACTTAGCGAGAAAGTTGTCACTTTGTACCCCAGATAAAGCAAAGGAAGTTGTAAATGGTTTTATCATTGGCCCACAATTTCTGCCACAGGAAGACTAAATGATTAAAAAAAAAAAATCAGAAGTTTCTGCCTTGACTGGGAAGTTATCAGGGACATCTCTGCAGAGATTTGGCTATAAGAACAAAGGTCATACATCTATCCTTGTTCACTCCCATACATGAAGGGAGAAATGACAAATTGGGGGTCTAGCGCACTTTGCATGCATTCTTTAAAGGATCAGATATAGTTTTGTTTGTTTGTTTGTTTGTTTTTGAGATGGAGTCTCTGTTGCCCAGGCTGGAGTGCAGTGGCATGATCTCAGCTCACTGCAACCTCCATCTACCAGGTTCAAGTGATTCTCCTGCCTCAGCTTCCCGAGTAGCTGGGACTGCAGGCGTGCACCACCATGCCTGGCTAATTTTTGTATTTTCTGTAGAGACAGGGTTTCACCATGTTGGCCAGGCTGGTCTTGAACTCCTGACCTCAGGTGATCCACCTGCCTCGGCCTCCCAACATGCTGGGATTATAGGCATGAGCCACCATGCCCGGCCAGATACAGCTTTAGCTTTGTGGTCTAGTCTTTGTTGCAATTATTCAGTTCTGTCATTGGATTGCCAAGTCGCCATAGACAATATGTAAATGAATGGACATGGCCATGCAACAATAACATTTTATTTACAAAAACGAGCAGCAGCCCATATTTGGTCCCCATGAATCAGAGTTTGTGAATTCCTGCTTTGTGAATGATTGGAAACTCTTCGCCTCAGAATGGAGGAGGATATAGTGGAGGGAGATTGCCTGGTTTTGTTCCCTGATTCTAACACTACTAAGTATGTGTTACTTAATTACTGATGCCTTCGTTTCCTCATCTGTAAAAAATGGATAATAATAGTCATCATATTAGATTGTATGAAGATCAAAGGAATCAATATATGTCAAGCACTTAAACCTGAATCTGGCATGAGAAATGACTCAGTAACTATTATGACAATTACCTTCAGGTGGAAGGCTGAAGCCAGTGGTGGGTAACATCTAAATATGATTTGCACATTGCTTTGGATAAGAAATAAGAGTATACAAAGGCCTTTCACTGGCTTTTATCTCTTGCTGTCCCACAAATTTTTACCTCATTGGCATTTTAAAAATCAAAAGAGCCCTATTCCAAAGCAAAGAGAAAATCCCAGTTATGGCAGGTCCCAGAAGAATGTTTCCACAAACCTTCAGACTCAACGTGTTCAAAAACAAATCTTTCATTACCACCCCAGCTCTATTTCTCCCCCTAGTATTGCAATTTCAGAAACATCTGTTGTCTAAGCTTGAAAACTAAGAAGTTCTGTCTCCTCCCTCTCAATCCATTCACACCCAGTCACCAAACTCGATCAATTTCACTTCCACAAGATCCTTCGAAGCCATTCATTTCTTTGCATTCCTACAGCACTGAGTTCAGGTTGTCATTATTTTTCACCTGTACTACAGCAGTAGTCATCCTATCCCTAATCTTGCCCCCAACCCATCTGTTTTGCACAATATCACTCATGAACTCTTTCATAAAAGCAAACCTAACCACTCTCATCACTCTACCCATGTCTTTATTGTAAAATGAAAGCTTAGCGTGGCATAAAAGTTCCTTAACAATCTGACCTCTTCAGTCTCATCTCTGCTGCCATCTCTCAACTCCTTCCTCTGCTTTTCCTTCCAGTGTATGTTACAGTAGCACTAAACTGCTTGCTGGCCCATCATTTTCCCTGCCTTCTCAGCTGCTAACTCTGCACTCCTCTTTCAGATCTCTGGTAGTCTCTTACTGCTGAACAACCAGACTAACTTAGGCACCTTCTATTGGGCTTCCACAGGATTCTCTTGACTCATCTATCACAGATCTTACCATGCTGTAATGATCTGTTTGCTTATAAATATTCCCCAGAAGACAGTGAGCTCCAGGAAAGAACATATCCAGTCTTATTTGTGTTTGTCTTTCCGTTGCTTCCCACAACTCTATATCCATTATAGGTGTCCAGTAGTTTGGTTGAATTAATATACAATGAAACTAAAAAGTACAAAGGAAGAATGAGAGTGATTGGCAGGCCCTTGGAGGAGGGATCTATATCTGGTCTTTGATACCAAAGGGTTTGCAAAAGTCCAGGGAGGGGAGGAAATTGGTGGAGGACAGGCAGGGATCTGAAAGTCTGAAGAAAGGTTGAACATAAGGCATGAGAAAAGACCATTAGATTTAGTGAGCAGGATTTTCCTGGAAAACTCAAGAGTAGATTTTTAATAACTAGGTAATTAAACTGAGAAGAGAGATTATTTAGAAATAGAGACAGTAGGCATAGCTGGTTTTGAAATGAGTTAATGGATTGTCTCCTGTTTGTGTTTTAGGATGAGGAAGCATGAGTTATCTCTAAGATAAGATCATAAAAAGAGAAGAAAGACAAGTTAGAATTAAGAGTTAAAGTATGGGGCAAGAGCACCAGTAGAATCAAGAGTCCAGATAAGAGGATTCTCTTTGCTAGGAGAATAGCTACTTAATCTTCAAAGTCAGAAGCAAAAGAAGAGCCAGAGAGTACCCAAGTGGGAGATTTTGAAAGAGTGAAGAGGAAAGCTGAGAGCTTCAATCTAATGGCTACCCTCAGCTACATGTGGACACAGAATGGGAAGTGCTGAGCTCTCAGAAAGTCAAAGGAAAGAGGAGAGTGCTGAGCTCTGGGAAAGGAGATGAAAAGGCAGAAGGAGACAGTACTTCTTCACTTTGCTCAGGTGAAGAGAATGTTGAATACAGAAATGAATCTCCAAGTCCTTCAAGGAAAATCCTGGTACCAAAAGTAACAAAAGAAATACTTTCTGTTATATCTTATGGCTCCAAAACACTTTATAGAATTAACTTTTGTTGGTTTACAAATATACTATAATAATTCAACATACCTGCTTTGAGTTCATTGTACCTACACCTAATAAATGGGAAAATTTAGGCCACCTGGAATTTCACCTTTTGACACATCGTGGGAAGCCTCAGCCTTAGGTGATAAAAAACATGGTTCACATGGATGCAACAGCAAATAGAGATGCGTGAGAAAATCCCATAGGCAATACGGGCTCAAAGTGTGGTGATGAATGGCCTGAGGCAAGCAAACACTATCAAAGAATTCAGTGGAATCAATGGTAAAAGATTGACCAACTACTTAGAAGACACTGACCACATGTGGGATTTATTAACTACCTATGCTGCTTCAGGTAGCAAGACCTACCAAACTCACACATATCTACATATTCTTTGTCAAGGAGTAAGTTGCACTACAACTGCATTACAAAAACAAAAAAGTCACTTCCAAATTCATATCTGCTCTAGCAGGCAACCTTCTTACTAACTCCTCTGTCTTCTTTCCCACTTTTTGCTGTTTGGGAAGAACCTGGAGATAAAACTCTACAAAACCACATAGGCAAATAACGACATGGGGTCAACCTCAGGTTTAGAAAACCCTGCCCCCAGAAATCATCCCCAGGCCTGGATTTGTGAAAGCCAGCATTCTGAGAGACTCTTTCCTAAAACCATCTGATCACAGTTGTACTGTCATTTATTAATTACCACGGGAACCACCAACTGTCATCATGAAATCTTTTATAGGCATACTGTAAATATTAAAAGAGCATATTAAAGTTATACCATATGCAGCAGCAGCTGATGCTATTTTATGAAGACAATATTAGAGAGTATGCAGAATTATCACACTACAACGCCCATGATCTCTATTTCTTACAGCTGCCCTGGAGCATGACGCTGGGCCACAATTTTAACTCTTTAATCACAGAGGGGAGTAATTTGACTGATCATTTACACTGAAGCAAACTTTATCACTTAAACCAGGGTATATAGTTAATTACATGGATGCCTTTTTGTACATTCACCAGTCAACTTTTTATTATGAAAATGAGAGCAGGAGGATTTTCTTTGAAGTTTCCTAGGGAAGGAAAGAGTGTTTCCCCTGTCTTATAGTTGAAATCAGTGTGTAGGAGTGGCTCCTAGAAGCCACATGACCTATCTGCGTTAGCTTAGACTGTGTGTCAAGTGCAGTGGCCATTCTGGCAAGATAGCACATTTGTCTGATGAACTTTGTGAAGTCAACCCAAAGCTAACTTGAGGCTTATTTGGGTTGTCTCATAAGACCTGCTGCTTGCTCCCCCAAAATCTTCCCCATTGGTCTGTCACAATATCTGAAACTTGTCCCACTGTACTTGAGAGAGAGACAACTAGGTCTAGAATCTTCTGTTAAAATGCAAAATATAGATGATAGTTTGGAAATACTGTTAATTATCTTAGGAGTGATTATAGTATTCTAATTATATAGGAGGATATTCTTATTCTTAGGAGATGCATGCTGGAGTATTAAAGTGGAAGTGTCAGCCAGGCGCAGTGGCTCATGCCTGTAATCCCAGCACTTTGGGAGGCTGAGGCAGGCGGATCATGAGGTCAGGAGTTCGAAAACAGCCTGGTCAACATAGTGAAACCCCCATCTCTACTAAAAAAAATACAAAAAATTAGCTGGGCATGGTGGCAAGTGCCTGTAATCCCAGCTACTCAGGAGGCTGAGGCAGGAGAATCGCTTGAACCCGGGAGGCGGAGGTTGCAGTGAGCCAAGATCGCACCATTGCCCTCTAGCCCAGGTGACAGTGCAAGACTCCGTCTCAAAAAAAAAAAAAAGTGGAAGTGTCTTGATATTTGAAATTTACTTTCACATGTTCAAACAATACAGAAATATGTAGTGAATACACATATACACTCATTCATACAAGTTGAGATATAAAGCAAATATGACAAAATGCCAACAAATTGTTGAATTAAGGTAGAATGTATAGAAGTATTTTTGGTACTTTTTTTCAGCTTGGTTTTAAAATCTTCATGACTAAAAAGGGAAAAAAACTCAGATATCTGAGCATACCCCCAAACCCACTGAATCAGCATCCTTGGGTATGGAACCCAGAAAGAGGCATTGCCAGTAAGTGCCTGAAGTAAGTTTTAGGGCCAATAATAGTTGAAAATTATTGAATTATAATGCTAAATACTGATGGAAGAATAAGTGTAATGACTACGTGATAAAAAGTGCAACTTAGAAGAAGGATGGAGCAAGATGGTAGAGTAGTACTCTCCAGTGATTGTCCCCCAACAGAGACATCAATTTGAACAACTACCCACATGCAAAAATACCTTCACAAGGGCTAAGAAAAACATATGAGAGATCACAGTGCCTGGTTGTAGCACAAAAATAAGAAAAGATACATTGAAGAGGGTAGAAAGGAGAGTTTTACATTACCTGTGTCACCCCTTCCCAACTCCAAGCAGCATAGCACAGAGACAGATACTGTCCACTTAGGGGAAAGAGAGGTAAATGAACTTAGGACATTCTCCCGGGCCCCAACACTGGGCCTACCATTGTAAAATTCAGTACCAGGAAGACTCCCCCACAGTCTTTTACACAAGACCCTGCAGAATGAGTCTCAGCACCAGTCATGTCCATACTACCCCAGATTTCAGGCTTGCATGGTGGACTCAATGTCTTTATCACCATCAGGCCAACTTTAGTGGTTCTGGGCTCCATACAGCTCTCAGCAGCAGGGAACCCTCAGTGTCCTCAGGCGTCTGGTGTGCCTCAGCACTACACCAACCACAGCAGGCCCCAGGCTTCAGGCAAAGCTGAACCAGCCATAGTGGGACTTGGGCTTCCGGCAGGCCAGAAGCCTGGGGTTTCCCAGTGCTATGCCAGCTGCATCGGTCCTGGGCTTCTGGTACACTGTAGCAGTGTGCCTGCTGCAAAACTTTCTCAGAAAAAGTCAGTTTGTGAAGACTGTAATAAGCACATATTTCTTCAAATGCAAACACATCAACACATGAGTACAAGGAATAAGAATAATCAAGAAAAGGCTGGATGCAGTGGCTCACACCTGTAATCCCAACACTTTGGGAGGTCAAGGCATGGGGATCACCTGAGGTCAGGAGTTCGTGACCAGCCTGGCCAACATGGTAAAACCCTGTCTACACTAAAAATACAAAAATTGGCTGGGTGTGGTGGCTGACGCCTGTAATCACAGCTACTTGGGAGGCTGAGGCAGGAGAATCACTTGAACTGGGGAGGTGGGGGTTGCAATGAGCCAAGATCACGCCACTGAACTCCTGCCTGGATGACAAGAGCAAAACTCCGTCTCAAAAAATAATAATAATAATAATCAGAAAAACAAGACATCATCAAATGAACAAAATAAAGGGTCAATGACTGACTCTAAAGAAATGGAAATGCATAAACTGCTGGACAAATAATTCAAAATAATCATTTTAAGGAAGCTCAGCAAACTTCAAGAAACAGAGAATCAATGCAATGAAGTGAGGAAAACAAGTGACCAGAATGAAAAATGTAATACAAAGACTAAAATAATTTTAAAGAATCAAACAAAATCCTAGAAGTGAAAAATACAATGAATGAAATGAAAAATTCAGTAGAGAGCAATAGGTCATAGACTTAATCAAGCAGAAGAAAGAATCTGTGAACTCTAAGACAGAGTACTTGAAATTATGCAGTTCCAGGAGAAAAAAAATGAAATGGAATGGAAAAAGCTTATGGGATATATGGGACATCAAAACAACAAATGTTCTAGTCAAAGGAACCAAAGAAGAAGAGTAAGATAAAAGAGCTGAAAGCTTGTTTAAAAAAATCATAGAAGTAAACTTCCCAAATCTGGAGAAATATATCCAGGTACAGGAAGGTCAAAGGTTTCTAATCAGATTCAATCAAAATAAGAATACCCTAAGACATATTATAATCAAACTGTCAAAATCCAAAACAAAGAGATGATCTTGAAAGCAGCAAGAGAAAAGATGCAAATAACATATAAGGGTGTTCCAGTATAGCTAGCAGAGACTTCTCAGCAGAAATCTTACAGGCAAAGAAAGGGTAGGGTGATATATCCAAATTACTGAAGGGGAAAAAAAAAACCCTGCCAATCAAGGATAATGTACCAGCAATGCTGTCTTTCAAAAATGAAGGAGAGATACTTTCCCAGAGAGACAAAAGCTGAGGGAGTTCATTGCCACCAGACTTGTCTTACAAGAAATGCTAAAAGAAGTTCATCGAGCTTAAATAAAAGAATGACAATGAATAACACAAAAACACCTAAAAGCATAAAACTCACTGGTAAAAGTTAGTACACAGTCAAATTCAGAATACAGATGCTCCTGAAACAATGGGCACATCATAACCACATCATAATTTCAGGAGCATCTGTATTCTGAATTTATGACAGGGTTACGATATCCCCATTGTAAGTAAAAAAAATTTCAGGTTAAAAGCGCATTTAATGCTGGCAACACAGCAGACAGTCCCTGACTCATCATAGTTTGACTTACAATTTATTGACTTTGCAACGGTGCTAAGTGACACACATTCTGTAGAACCCATAACCCCATCATAAGTCATAAGAAGCTCCTCAACTTGTGATAAGGTTACATCACAATAAAACCATCATAAAGTAAAATAATTGTTAGTTAAACCATTGTAAGTTGAGGACCATCTCTACTCTAATACTGTAATAGTGGTGGATAAATCATTTACATCTTTAGAATGAAGGTAAAAAACCAAAACTATTAAAAATGATAAGAGCTACAATAATTTGTCAAGAGACATGCAGTACAAAGAGATGTAAATTGTGACATAAAAAATTCAAAATGTTGGCGGAGTGGAGTAAAAGTGTGAGGATTTGTTTTGCTTTGCAATCAAAGTTAAGTTTTTATCAGCTTAAAATAACCTACAATAACTAGAAAATGTTTTTTTGTAAGCTTCATGTTAATCACAAAACAAAAACCTACGGTAGATGTACAAAAAATAAAAAACAAGGAATTGAAACATACCACTAGAAAAAATCACTTCACTACAAAGGAAGTGAAAGAGCCACAAAGCCACAAGTGAGGAAGGAAGAAAGAAAAGATCTAGGAAAAAAAAACTAGAAAACAACACAATAGCAGTAGTAAGTCCTTACCTATGAATAATTACATTGAATATATATGGATTAAATTTTCCGATTGAAAGACATAGAGTGACTGAAGGTATTTAAAAAAAACAAGACCCAATGATATGTCGTCTACAAGAAACTCACTTCACCGTAAGTGCACACATAGACCGAAAGTGAAGGGATGGAAAAAGACATGCTATGCAAATGGAAACAGAAAAAGAGCAGGAGTAGTTATATGTATATTAGGCAAAACAGACTTTAAGTCAAAAACCATAAAAAGAGACAAGGAAGGGCATTATATAATATTAAAGGAATCAATTTAGCAAGAAGATATAACAATTGTAAATATATACCCACCCAACACCAGAGCATCTAAATACATAAAGCAAATATTTATAGGTCTAAAGGGAGAGATATACTGCAATACAATAACAGTAGTGGACTTTAACACTCCATGTTCAGCAATTGACAGATCATCCAGACTAAAAATCAATAAGGGAACACGGAACTTCAACTACACTGTAGATCAAATGGACCCAACAGACATATATGAAACATTCCATTCAACAGCTACAGAATACACATTTTTCTCAACTGCACATGGAACATTCTTCAGTATAGATTTTACGTTAGACCATGAAACAAGTCTTAACAAATTTAAGAATATTGAGATCCTATCAACCATCATTTCTGATCACAATGGTATAAAATTAGATATCAATACCAGTGGAAACTTCAGAAAATTCACAAATCCATGGAAATTAAACAACATAATCCTGAACAACTAATGGGCCAATGATAAAGTTAAAAAGAAACTTACAAAGTTTCTTGAGACAAATGGAAATGGAAACACAACATACCAACCTATGGGATCCACAAAAGACTGTTCTAACAGGGAAATTTAAAGAAATAAACACCTACTTCAAAAAAAGAAGCAAGAACTTAAATACACAACCTAACATTACAACTTATAAAACAAAAACAAAGCTCAAAGTTAGTAGGACAATGAAAGTAACAAAGATCAGAGCATTATCAAATGAAGTTAAAACTTAAAAACCAATAGAAAAGATCAACAATTTTGAGTTGGCTTTTTGAAAAGATTTTTAAAAAATCAACAAACCTTTAGCTAGAATAAGAAAAGGAAAAGAGGACTCAAATACAACCATAAATTAGAAAGAAAATATTACAACTGATTCAGCAAAAATACAAAGAATCATAGGAGACTATTATGAACAATTACATAGCAATAAATTGGATAATCTAGGAAAAATGGATAAATTTCTTGACACATACAACCCACGAAGACTGAATTATAAAGAAATAGAAAACCTTGACAGACCTATAATGAGTAAGTAGATTGAATTGGTAAAAAAAATTCTCCCATCTGGTTTTTGTCATTAGTTCTGTTTATGTGGTGAATTATGTTTATTGATTTGTGTGCGTTGAACCAGTCTTGCATCCCAGGGATGAAGCCAACTTGATTGTGGTGGATAAGCTTTTCGATGTGCTGCTGGATTTGGTTTGCCAGTACTTTACTGAGGATTTTCACATTGATGCTCATCAGGGATATTGGCCTGAAGTTTTCCCTTTTTGTTGTGTCTCTGCCAGGTTTTTTGTATCAGGATGATGCTAGCCTCATAAAATGAGTTAGGGAGAAGTCCCTCCTTTTCAATTGTTTGGAATAGTTTCAGAAAGCATGGTACCAGCTCCTCTTTGTACCTTTGGTAGAATTCAGCTGTGAATTCGTCTGGTCCTGGGCTTTTTTTGGTTGGTAGGCTATTTATTACTGCCTGAAGGATCTAGAATAAGAAATACCATTTGACCCAGCAATCCCATTACTGAGTATATACCCAAAGGAATATAAATCATTCTATTATAAAGATACATGCACATGTATGTTTATTACAGCAGTATTCACAATAGCAAAAATATGGAACCAACCCGAATGCCCATCAATAATAGATGGGATAAAAAAAATGTGGTGCATATACACCATGGAATACTATGCAGCCATAAAAAGGAATTAGATCATGTCCTTTGTAGATCATGATGAAGCTGGAAGCCATCATCCTCAGAAAACTAACACAGGAAGAGAAAACTAAACACCACATGTTCTCACTCATAAGTGGGAGCTGAACAATGAGAACACATGGACACAGGGATGGAAACAACACACACTGGGACCTGTCAGGGGGCAGGGGGAGAGAGAGCATCAGGATAAATAGCTAATCCCATGTGGGGATTGATACCTAGGTGATGGGTGCAGCAAACCACCATGGCACATGTTTACCTATGTAACAAACCTGCACCCTCTGCCCATGTATCCCAGAACTTAAAATAAAAATTGTTTAAAAGTGTACCATCAAAAAGAAGCCTAAGATCTGATGGTTTCACTGCTGGATCTTATCAAATGTTTAAAGAACTAATAGAAACTCTTCTCAAACTCTTCTGAAAAATCAAAATGGAACAACTACTTTTAAATTCATTTCAGGCCAGCATTACCTTGACACCAAAGTCAGATAAGAACACAACAAGAAAAGAAAACTACAGGCCAGTATCACTAATGACATGGATGCACAAATCCTCAGCAAAATACTAACAAACCTAATTCAAGAGCAAATAAAAAAGATCATTCACCATGATCAAGCTGATTTATCCCAGAGATATAAGGATGGTTCAACATACATAAATCAATAAATGTGATGCATCACATTAATAGAATGAAGGATAAATCCATGTGATTATTTCAATGGGTGCAAAAAAGCATTCAACAAAATTCAACACCTTTTCAGGATAAAAACTCTCAAAAAGTTAGGCATAGAAGGAAAGTACATTAATAAAATAATGGCCATACCTGAAAAATTCACAGCTAACATCACACTCAACGGAGAAAATTTGAAAGCTTTTTTCTCCAGAGAGCAGGAACAAGACAAGAATACCTGTTCTCACCACTTCTACTCAACATATTACTGAAGGTCCTAGCCAGAGCAATTAGGCAAGATAAATAAATGAAAGGGGTCCAAATTGGAAAGGAAGAAATTATGTTATCCTTGTTTGCAGATAATGTGATCTTACATATAAAAAACCCTAAAGACTCCATCAAAAAAAACCATTAGAATTAATGAACAAATTCAGTAAAGTCTCAGGATACAAATCAACATATAAAAACCAATGTCATTTCTATACACTAACAGCAAACTATCTGGAAAGGGAATCAAGAAAATAATCCCATCTGAAAAAGCTATAAAAAAAAATACTTAGGAATAAATTTATCCAAGGAGGTGAAACATTTCTACATTTAAAACTGTAAAATGTTGATGAAATAATTGGAAGAAGAAAAATAAATGGAGAGATAATCCATGTTCATGAACTGGAAAAGCTAATATTGTTAAAATGTCCATACTGCCCAGAGATCTACAGACTCAACACAACCTCTATCAAAATACAAATGATATTCTTCACAAAATAGAAAAAACAATCCTAAGATTTGTCTGGAACCATAAAAGACACCAAATAGCTAAAGCAATCTTGAGCAAAAAGAATAAAGCTGTAGGCCTCATACTACCTGACTTCAAAATAAGCTACAAAGCTATAGTAACCAAAGCAGCATGGCACTGGCATTAAAAAGAGGCACATGGACAAATGAAGCAGAATAGAGAGGCCAGAAATAAATTCATGCAACAACAGCCAACTGATTTTTGACAAAGGCACCAAGAACACACAATGGGGAAAGGTAAATGGTGTCAGAAAAACTGGATATTCACATGCAGAAAAATGAAATTAGACCCTTATCTCATATCACATACTAAAATCAACTCAAAATGGATTAAAGACTTAAATGTAAGACTTGAAACTATAAAACTACTAGAAGAAAAGAGGGGAAAAGCTCCATGATATTGGTCTGGGCGGTGATTTATTTTGGATATGACCCCAAAAGCACAGGCAACAAAAGCAAAAATAGACAAATGGGTTTATATCAAACAAAAGCTTCTGCATAGAAAGGGAGCAATCAATTGAGTAAAGAGACAACCCACAGAATGGGAGAAAATATTTGCAAAATATATATATGTTAAAGGGTAATACTCAAAATATGTAAGGAATGCAAACAACTTAATAGCAAGAAAATGAATATAGTAGTCCCCCCTTATCTGTGGTTTTGCTTTCTGTGGTTTGTTACCTGTGGTCAGCCACAGTCTGAAAATATTAAATGGAAAAATTCAGAAATAATCAATTCATAATTTTTAAGTCATGTGCCATCCTGAGAAGTGTGATGTAATCTTGCACTGTCTGGCTTCATCTGCCCAGCATATGAATCATCTGTTTTTCCCACATAACCATGTTATATATATGCTACCTGCCCTTTAGTCACTTAGCAGCCATCTCTGTTGTCAAAATTTTAAAAATAGTATAAATAGGGTTCTGTACTATCTACTGATTCAAGAATCCACTGGGGATCTTGAAAAACATCCTCTGTGGGTAAGGGGGAAGCTACTGTAATCCAATTTAAAAATGGGCAAAGGATATGAATAGACATTTCTCCACAAGATATATGCAAATCTTCAACAGACATTTGAAAAAAAGACTCAACATCCCTAATCATCAGGGAAGTACAAATTAAAATCACAGTGAGATGTCACCTCACACCTAGTAAAACGGCTATTATCAAAAAGATGAAAGATAAGCATCGGTGAGGATGTGGAAAAACTACCACGTTATTTATTGGTGGGGATGTAAATTAGTACAGCCATTATGAAAAACAATGTGGAGGTTCCCTAAAAAACTACAAACAGAAATACTATATGACCTAGCAGTCCCGCTACTGGGTATATATCTAAAGAAAATAAAATCAGGATGTCAAAGAGATATCTACGTTCCTATGTTTACTGCAACATTATTTACAATCACTAAAATATGGAATTAAGCTAAGTGTACATCAATAAATAAATGAAGAAAGAAAATGTGGTATATACTCACAATGGAATACTATTCAACTTTAAAAAGGAAGGAAAGCCTGTCATTTGTAACAACATGAATGAACTTGGAGGACACTCTGTTGAGTGAAATAAACTAAGCATGAAAAGACAAGTACCGCACAATCTCACTCCTGTGGAATCTAAAACAAGAAAAGATCTTATAGAAGCAGTAGAATGGTGGTTACCAGGAGCTGGGATGGTTGCTGGGAACAGGTTGGGGGATGGTCAAAAGACAAAATTTCCCTTAGGAGGAATAGTTCAAGAGATCTATTGTACAACATGGGGATACAGGTAACAGTACATTGTATTCTTGAAAAATGGCTGAAAGCGTAAAGTATTCTCACCACAAAAAAAGGTAACTATGTGGGGTAATGTGTTATGGTTATTAGCTAGATTTAGTCATTTCACAATGTTATTTACTAAAAAACAATATGTTATAAACAGTAAATGTGTATAATTTAATGTCAATTTAGAAAATTGTTTAAAGAGCAACTTATTTTAAGGAGAAAAATCAACATAGGTAAAGACCCTTATTTCCTCTGAGCTAAAAATGCAATTAAGTTAATGGATAGGAGTAATGTCACTCCTTAATTGTGTAGAACTGAAATCTATAAGGGCCTGGAAGAGAGTTTCAGTGGAAAACAACAGGAGGATCAAAAAGGGTTAGGAGAACAGCACGATATTTTCTTTCTAGAAGAAATCTGCTCAGGAGTGCAGAATTCATGTGGTGAGAATTCTTCAGTGGCTCCCTACCTCACCATTATCTGACCTTGCAGCAAAATCACTTGTGAAGCTTTAAAAATATATAGACTAAGGCCTGCTGATCCCCAAAAGCCATCTTCACCCATTGGAACAGTCTCTCTGTGTTTTAAAAGCTCATAGGTAGTTTTAATACACAGCCAAGGTTCAAAAGCACTTGCCTATAGAATGAAACCCAAACTCTCAGCCAGGAAAATTCTGTCTTCTCTAGGGCAGGAGCCTGTCAGCCATCTTAGTACTCCAATAGGCACAGTGCTTGACACAATAGACTCTAAATAAACGATAACTGAATTAATACATCAATGGGCTGGATGGATGAATAGACTTAAATTAGGAGCCCTGAGGCATTAAAGATAATTTGAATATCCTGAAATGAGGATAAGAAAGAGAAGGGAGCCCAAGGGGGAGACCAGAGGCCAGAAGCAGGAAAAGTGAATGCCAAAGAAAATTCTACCCGATTTGCAGTTTTTCTTAGGGCTATCAAAGGATTTATAATCTCCTTTAAGGACAAGTGGGAGAATGGGGTATAGGGTCTTTTTTTTTGCTCATATATGCACATTTTGGAGCCCCTTCAATGATAAGTTTACACTATGTTTTCATAATCCTGTAAAGCTACAGGACATTATTTTTCAAGGTTCAAAGACGCTATTCAATCTGGTGGATCCCAGACCTGAAGAGGGCATGCCTTCAGTGATTTACCTGAGCTGGAGTAGGATGTTGGCTCTGTCTATCCATTTAAGTTTTCACCTATTTCTTGTCTTAGGTTTGGGCAGGTTGCAGATTTCCTTTTAATAATGTCATTGTGACTTATAAAACACGCTTATTGGAAATTCTTGTTTTTTGTATATGGGACATGAAAGAGGCATGTTTCCCTTAGTTGGCAGAAAAGAAGAAGTTGTCATACTTCCTTGAAAAACATTATTAACCAAGTCCCCACCCATAGGTGGGTCCTTGGTGATTATTTCTTTTGGAGGAAAGGAGGAGGAACAAAACAGTGTAAGAGGGAGGAAACCCACAAAATGAAAATCTGACTCTCCCCTGGAAATGTGGGTGGATAAATGAATCCTCGCTTTGGAAAACTAGTATTACAGGAAAGTCCATTCCTTTGCTCAGGGTACTATTACTCACTCATTTCACCACTGCAAACTCCTGCATGTGGGTATTAGATTCAACAAGGTGAACAGGACCCACTAACGTGTATTTAAAATTCATCCTCTGTTATCAAAATAGAAACCCAACTTTTCTGAGCTCCAATTGAAGAGGTTTATGCACATGATTTCCAAGGTTTCTTCCAGCTCTCTGGCTCAACTGGACTCAAGGCTTTCTCTCATTTATTATACCCGCTGGTAAAATGTTTGGCTCATGAAATTGTTTGAGAAGCTCCTCAAAATTTCGGACCTTCTCCCCTGAAGTATGCCCATACACACATCTGTGTACACTCCAGGGGGGTTCATGAGCCCCTCTGAAACTATTTTTATAAACCCATACCGGCTGGGTGCGGTGGCTTATGCCTGTAATCCTAGCACTTTGGGAGGCTGAGGCAGGCGGATTACCTGAGGTCAGGAGTTCAAGACCAGCCTGGCCAACATGGTGAAACCGGGTCTCTGCTAAAAATACAAAAATTAGCCAGGCGTGGTGGTGCATGTCTGTAAGCCCAGCTACTTGGGAGGCTTGAGGTAGAAGAATCACTTGAGGCTGAGGCTGCAGTGAGCTGAGATCATGCCACTGCACTGTAGGCTGGGCAACAGAGCAAGATTCTGTCTCAAAAAAATAACAAAAAAAAAACCTCATACCTTCCTAATTTGCTCAAAAACTCCCCATACATTCTTAAAATGTGCTGGCTGCTATTCAAAGCTTCCCACACTATGTACACTAACCCATCCTTCTAAGAGTGTCTCCCAAAATTCGTCCATTTAGCTTACATGTATTGAGCATTTACCCCTTTATAAAACATTAAAATCATGTTTTATGTATATGTGTATATGTTTATGTATGTATGTAAATATAAAGCATACAACATACAGCATATATTAGGAACAGAAGGGTAACAAAGATGTAAACTTTGTTAAGGTATACAGAAGTTATTATATAAAGACTTGCCATTAAGGAGTTTATAATCTAGAAGGAAAGATAAGACAGGTAAATAAATAATGATAAATTAAAAAGTGGGCCGAGTGCAGTTCCTCACGCTTGTGATCCCAGCACTTTGGGAGGCTAAGGTGGACGGATCACTTGAGGTCAGGAGTTCGAGAGCAGCCTGGCCAACATGGTGAAACACTGTCTCTACTAAAAATACAAAAATTAACCAGGCATGGTGGCGCACCCCTGTAATCCCAGCTACTTGGGAGGCTGAGGTGGCAGAATCACTTGAACCCAGGAGGTGGAGGTTGCAGTGCGCCGAGATTGTGCCACTGCACTCCAGACTGGGAGACGGAGTGAGACTCCATCTCAAATAATAATAAAAATAATAATAATACTTAATTAATTAATAAAAAAGTGGCAACAGCTGTGGCCTAACAGCCATTTGCTCTTTATTCCTTGATTTTGTTCCACTGCTCAATTATCCTAGACATAACTGATTTTATTTAGCTTTTTTAAAGGGATGGAAGTGGGAGAGACATTCGTGTGTGAATAGTGAAGCATGATGCCTGGAACTGCAGTAGCCATGTTGTGACTGAGAGGAGTTTTAGCTTGTAGAAGACACACTGAAAGTAAGAGAGCAGAAAGATGAAAGGAACCCGAGTCCTTGATGGAATGGTAGAGCTGCTGACTTGACCACCTAAGGAACTGGCTGCCTTCCAGACTTCTTGTTAGAGACATAGTACATTCCTTCTTAATTTAATACATTCCGAGCTGTATTTCCTGCTACTGGAGTTGGAAACATCCTCACTGTTATAGGTGCCGTAAGACAGGCATGAATAATGGGCTCTGGGAATCAGAGAGGGGATGGATTAGTATTAGGTCTTTAACTTTGATTTGTATGTATCTATATGCGTGTCTATATTTATATGTGCGTATATTTGCATACATATGTATACATAAATATTTATATTATATATATATTTCCATATTTGCTATCTTGAGACAATATAACTTAGTAAGAAAGAGCTTAGGCTTTGGAGTCATTCAGCTTCTCCTATTCCCTAACAGTGATACTTTGGAAAGTTTATTTATATGAGCCTTAGCATCTTTATCTATAAATATTCCTCATAAGGTTTCATGAGGATTAAATAAAATGATGTATAGAAAGTGTTTGGCACAGTGCCTGACACATGACATAACCTCAGTAGATGATACCTATTGATATTGTTTCTTTCATACAGACAAAAAATATTTATTGAGTACCTACTGTGTGCTGGCCCCTTCCAGACACTGATTACAATCCTGAAAGAAACCTCCTGCAATATGATACCTGTTTTCATGGACCTTATAATTTAATTAATGATGGCCAGAATAAAGATATAATTACAAGCTGATATGAGTGCTATAAAACAAAGGTTTCAGTGTCATGAAATCATGTTAGACGTGAACCCAAACTTGTCTGAGGGTTAAAGAAGGCTTCACTGGGATAGTGGTGTTTGAGACTGGGGGTAGGGTGTGATGGAGAGATCATCATTCTAGAATATATGGAAGAGTAAACAAGTAGCAAAAACATGCAGTTACTTGTTCCTGGACAGTAGGATTCTTAAAGTCAGGGATTATATTTAGATAATCCTCTACTCATTTATTCATATTCTTTGTCCCCAGCACAGTGACCAGGCTCATCATAGACATTCATAACTATTTGTGGACTGAATGAATGAACCCCTCCAACTCTCATTCTCCTTGTCAAAAAAAATGAGTAGAAAATATCCACTTCTAGGAGATAACAAATATAAAGCATCTGAGCACATAGTAAGAACTCAATAATTAGTAGTCCTTATAAATGTACTATTATCATTGCCTTAAAATTTGCATACATTATCTCTGCTACTACATTGTAAGCTCCAGCGTGGCAGGAAATGTGTCTTATTTATCTTGGAATATCCCAAGGTTCTTAGCACAGTGTCTTGCATAGAATAAATTAAATTATCTGTAAAAATTCAGAGGATAAATAAAAGTCTTATTTAGGAATTAAACTGACAGGTCAAAGAAATTGCGCAGATTGAGAAAATCAAAGCTAGGTTAGCTACTCTCTGTAAGGAATACTTAATTTCTAGAATGGAGATAAAATATAGATGGGAAAAAAACCTCTCAAAACTTTGTAAAAACAAACAAGAATTATGTGTGGTGAAAAATGCCATTATAGAACAATTAATAGAGAATATCATGTACATAATTCAAAACACATAGCTTTAATGTCACCGTCTCAGAGACCACTTAATCTAATCAATCTCTAGCATATTTTAATTATTTGCATACCACTTATAGCCATCTGATATTTTTCTTTTTGAATTGATTGATTGATGAATTGATTGATTTTCAAATTACATATCTCCCCCAATAGAATGTAAGCTCTATAGGAGCAGTGATCTTGTCTGACTTGTTCCCTTTTTGTATTCATGGCACCTAGAGCTGTATCTCGTACATAGTTGATGGACAAATAAATACATGCTGACTAAAGTAGTGCATATAAAAAATAATACTACATATTGTTTATGGAAGTATATATAAATTAGCAAAAATATAGAAGGGAATTGAAAGTATAAGCAGGAATTTTTAGTGGTGTGGTGTTTTGTAGGCAAAAGCTTAGGGAATAAGACTCAGTATTGTGGTCAGAAGGAACTTTACTTATATCTGAAATGGCTTATTTAAAAGAAGACTAGAAGCAAAAGATGACAAAATAGTAACTATTTATTTCGTTTATATGAATTTCAGTGTTATATTATTATTTGCGCTTTTCCGTGTGTTTTCAATTTCTCAAAACAAATTTAAAAAATAGAAGGTCTGAACGGAAAAGAATAAATTAATCCCTTGTAGTTTTACAGGATCTAAAGTTCTCTGAAGTGTTGTTATGTACACTTGATCATCACAATAATTTTGAGGTAATTATTACCAGCCTTATTTTATATGAGAGGAAAATGAGACCAGGATTTATGAAGAGGTGTGCCATGAGGACCAACGGAGTCAAGGAAATATTTGGCCGATAACCTGACCTAGAGATGATTTCTCTTTTGAGATATAACATCAAAATCCTTCAGATAGGAGAGCTAGGTAAGTGGTAAAAAGAAATTTGCTTTGAAGCCTATAGGCAAGAGACCTGGAAGAGTTCAATATAAACTGACAAAGAACAAATGAGCAAATATTTTAATCCAAAATAGAAAATATTCTCCAAATGCTCTTAGGCAAATTCTGAAACTTTTAAAGGCTTGCTTTTCTTACCCATAAAATACAGTGATAACCTACTTTATATAGTTTTTGTGAGGATTAAATTGTTAACTTCTTGTAAAAGACAGCACAGTATCTGGCACTTAATAAATGTTCAATATTTGTGTTTTTCCTCTTGGTTTCTTACAGTCTTACATATTATGTTCAACCTTTGTAAATTGCCTTTTTTGTAAGTAAAAATGATTGAATATGAGCAATTTTGTTGAATTTCATGCAATTATTCTATAAATGTAAGGTTTGATACCACTATCAACTATCCCATCTAGAATTTACATGCAAGGGAAGCGCAGACCAAAATTTGAATAAAACAGATCATTGTTTGGGGTTTGGGCTTGAGAGTCTATTTGCAAGGATGGATGAAACGGATTTACAAGCATGTAAGGAGGAGAAGGACAGTCCAATTGGCAGAGATAGGTTTTCATAATCAGGGTTAGGCGATTGCAATCATGACAGCTGTTTGATAGCTTTTGGCACCAAAATATATTGACCAGCTGAGATATCATTAATGCTTAACAATTTTATCCTTATGAGCATATCTTGGCCAGCTAGGTTGCCTTTGACCACCAAAGGGTATGATAATATATTCCAATGTAAATGCCATGTGTGCATCTGTGTAACTCACATTCATGTTGATGTGTTACAAAATATACACTAAATATAAATGCCTTTGCTTCTTTGGAATGTCATGTTAGATGGTGTGATTAAAGAGGAATAGAATTAAAATATAAATTGATTTATTTAAAAAAAACAGTTATTCTGGGAAATGTGTGTATGTGTGTGCACTAAAAGTAAAAGAAACCTAATTATTAAAATAATTTTTAGGAACAAAAATTTGAATAACTTAATAGAAAAAGCAGTCTGGCTGGGAAAAGGCAGTTCTGTACCATATATGTGTAAAAATTAACACAGACAGGAGAGAGGTGATTGAGAGACTTAAACAGAAGGCTGCTTACAGATCAGAAGAAACCCTTGGTCCAGTGTCATAAGTCTATGAAGACATTCCAGAAATGCTTCCAGCTAGGTTATCTCCTGATAGTACCTTTAAATTATGAGACAAAACAAGTAAGGGAAAAATATAAGAACATTTTTCAGAATGCTTCATATACTAAAATTTAATGCATTAAAATATCCAGAATATTTTCAGAACCTGTAATTTTGGTACTTGCTGAATAAAATTTATAATACAAAGTTTTATTAAATAGCAAAAAACAGTCATTCAAACATAGAAACCTTACTACCTAATTCAAAATGCATGTGAGTAAATAATTTTGCCTGAAGATTGAATTTTTGGGGGTTACTTTCATTAGCATCTCTGGATTGATCTCTAAACCTGGTAGTAGTCATGTATTTTTCCTTCCTCATAATATAGGTACTTGTTTGGCTACCAGTGATTGTTCCTCTTCCCTATATAAACTACTAAAATTAACATCACTGTTCCTTCTTCAAAGTCAGAGACCTGACATTAAGTACTTTATATGAGGAGTATTGTTAAAAAGGAGGCAACCAAGCAAGTTACTCCTTACATCTGTGGAAAGACTTAATCATCAGATAGAAGTCAAGTAAAACACTGTTTGGGTTGCAAAAGTAACTATAAGTATGAGAATCTTTCCTACAAATATTTCACGTAGCCTGCCTCCCTGCCTGCCTGCGTGCCTGCCTGCCTGCCTGCCTGCCTGCCTGCCTGCCTTCCTTCCTTCCTTCCTTCCTTCCTTCCTTCCTTCCTTCCTTCCTTCCTTCCTTCTTTCCTTCCTTCCTTCCTTCCTTCCTCCCTCTCTATCTTGCTTCTTTGCTTGCTGGTGATTTGACACACATTAAAGAAGCCCATTTTTATGGTCTCGCTTATTTCTTTTCCTTCTTTAGATGGAGGGCTTTTACCCAAACTTGGAGAAAATGCATCACGGAATATTAGTAGTGGAAAGGATTTTAGCAATCATCTAGGTCGGGTCCGTCATTTATAGATGAAAATCTTTAGATGGAGAAAGGTTTTACAACTTAACATTCTACGGCTAGTTAGTGGCAGAGCTGAGACAAGGTCTCAAACGTGTACCAATAACTAGACTAATATCATTTCCTCTATCGTTCTAATTTAAAACTACGTTTCAAGTCACCTTTCCCTGAAAATGTTATGTACCCACTTAACATTTTCAGACTGAATAATCAGCATCTTTGCTGTTGTGGTTTTGCTTTTCAAAGGTAATAGTGGGATAGCTCTTCAAGCTGAAACTCCTGGGATAAAGGAATCCTGGGAGCCAGCATGTAGGATGTGTCCATCTTCATGCTCCGTCTTCACCTTGCACTGGCACTCCTCCACCAGCATCACCACCTTGATCACGGAGGAAAGTTCAGTGCAGTTCAGTGGCAAGTGCATCGTGGTGAACTTGGCAGGCAAACAGTGAGAGCAGGAGGTATGGGAGTGCTGCGCGGCTCCAGGAAAATGAACAGACCCGCATTTCCCAAAGCAAAGGTTGTTCTGAACAACTACTTTTTCACAGCCTTCGTGGGTTATAGTCTAAAAAGCAAACACATTTCCATTACGTT
This sequence comes from Homo sapiens, assembly GCF_000001405.40. Lineage (NCBI taxonomy): Eukaryota > Metazoa > Chordata > Mammalia > Primates > Hominidae > Homo > Homo sapiens. The sequence continues at coordinate 14,720,416 of NC_000009.12, forward strand.
ATTTTGAATTATTTCTTTAACACACATAATGCAGAAGCTATGGACTGTAAATCTGAGGATAATTTAAAAATTTCAAAGCTTTCCAATTTTGGATACAATTTGCAATATGCAAGTGATGGTATCTATAAGGGCACAGAACCACCTCAATTAAATTTTCTTTATTGAGTAAATTATTAAACAGCCTTTAGGGAATCCCTAAGTTAACATAAAAAATATTTTACTCTACATTATTCGTGCAAAACCTTAAGCAATTTTGTCTAATTGGATGTGAGCGATTGAAAAATTCTAATGGTAATTATCTTACATAAGTAATGTGCCTTACTTTTTTATTCCTCACAGGGCTTTGTGCATAGTAGGCTCCCAATACATATTTGTTACATTGATCGTAGAATAGATCAGAACATTCTAGGTTTAATTCTATCCTATTCTGCAAGACCTGTAGTACATTCAAGTCTATGAAGTTGTATGCAAGCAGAGTTACAATGCATATGCCTGCAAATCATTGTATATTACATCACCTTTACCTCTCATAACTCCAAGCACCTAGCTTTATATGCCTTTCAAAATATGTAAGAGTCAAACATCTTAGTTTTAATTTAATTAGCAATAGAATTCAAAAGAAGAATTTCAAAAGAAATTTGATTGCCTGATTCTTAGGGGTAATTTTCTAATTGCACATGGCCAACAGAGTAGTCATTATTATTTGATAATTGACTTGCCATTGCTACATATCCTTGCCTTTTCAGGCAGAATACTTAACTGCCTTGAACAGTCAATTGCCCTATTCTATTGCTTGCTTAATTGGGTAGCATTACTCGACTATAAAATTTTACTCTACCCTGCATGTTTTTGGTTCAATATCTTCATGTTTAAGGACCTAATGCAAGTTCTCAATTTTAATTTAACATTTGGAATGTAGATATTGCCAGAGGAAGTAGACAGTAGGATGTCCCTTTGTCTTAATAGCATGGAATTGATCATAATAACTACAAATCAGCCAACACAACATGAATCAGGAGAAAGGTACTTCTAAGGGGAGGAGATATGATCTCACATCAAGATTGATTTTTTAAAAAGCTCATATGAGAAAATAAGTGAAAGAAAATCACTTTTTTGCTATCATAATACTAGAAATGATATGACAACTTTTGCCTGAGAACCTCAACGTACTTTGAGGTTGTGGGATAGCTTTAGCAAGCTATTAAAGAAGTCCCTCATAAACCTATAAAGTAATTAAGTATGGACTATGGGGATTAAGACCATCGTAAATGGATATGAGAGTATTTGGGAAGGAGTCCAATGCACCCCACTTTATCAACAAATGGAGTTGACCTGCTCATCCACATATTAATAGAGTGCAGAAAGATAGCTACAGAGGAGTTCTGGTGATTACTCTAAATTCTCAGTTTCCTAACTGAGGGTACAGTCTGACTTATATCTCTGAGTAGATCACCTCCAATGCAAAAATAAATAAATAAAACAGAGCTCTGTGTCTTCAGTGTGAATGAATGATTACTGATATTGACAGTATCATCATATCATTCTTGCAGCATTTCCACAATGCCAAGAAAAAATGGAAAGGCCAGAAGGAAACTTAATCTTTGCCAAATCCTATGATGAATGCCCAAGGACCAAATCTGTAGTTAAGCTAGAGTCAGGCTCCTGACAGCCTTTTCCCCTACTCTCCATCCATCCCAGCTGTCCACTACCACCTGCAAACTCTTACCTGCTCTCCCCCCAGAACACATACCTGGCTGAAGGGCACTGTCCTGCAGGTCTCCCAATGTACTTCATGGCTTTTGATGGGCAAGATGACCCCCTGAGAAGCCGGAGTTTTTCTGAACATGAAGTGGTGCCAGAATTTCTTGGCTTCTTCCCGAAGAGGAGATTTCTCCATTTTCATTCCATCTATCGGCTGGATGAGGGACTGGGTCCCAGGTGGGAAGGGCTCACTATCTGAGTCCCTGGATGGATGCATTTCTCTCTCAGGCTTCTTCCAGAACCTGCCAAATCTGGACAGCATCTTCTCTCTCTGCCTCTGGCCTTCCCCTGCAGGGCTGGTGGCTACAAGGTGTGGCACTGCGACAAACAGATCTGGCTTCTCCTCAGCTTCCTCATGGTTGCCTGTGGGAAGCTCTCTTTGATTCCTTGGCAGGAGTACGGGGGAAAGAGAACTCTGATTCTGGCGGCCATCCTGGTGCCGTGTGGTCTTTCCTAGAGGCAGGAGTACCAGCAGCTGAAATAAGAGGAGATGCATGCTGTCAGGGGCCCAAGCTTCTTTTGTAAATGATGAGGCCCAAAGGAGAGGCTCATTCTCTGCAGGACTGGGAAAAAGGAAATCGTATATATAGATACCTGCCTGGCGGGATGGGAAGGCAGGTGGTCAGTAGCCAGGCAGAATAAACACATTTATTGTTTGCTTGAATTATGTAGTGCTAATGGCCTCCTGCCGTCACTTTGGTTTTGTGTATTTTAAAAGGCCCCAGTGAAAGCCTGGGACCCAGGGGGTAATTAGCTAAGAGTTTAGCTATGTCTGGGGCTTAAAGAGCAGTATTAGCAAAGACAACACATTCTTTGCCTAAATTTCCCATGGCTGTTTTCAGAAGAAGGACTAGAGTCAGCTCACATTTGCTGTGCATCTGCCTTGTGCTGGAATAGAATAGACAAGACATGTTGCTGTAAGAGAAGTTTTTGGATAAAAATTAAAGGCATACATTTAGAAAAAGCCCAGGCCTTTAGGAAGGCTATTCACACACACACACACACACACACACACACACACACACACACACACACGAAGAAGTATATCAAAGTTGTAAGGAGAAGAAAGGAAGAGCTAGAAGGATGTTAATTTTTTTGAGCAAGGGACATATTGTTTCTTACTTACATGCAAATTGGGGTTATTGATTTTTGCACAGTAACTGAGTAAAGGGAATATGTTTTCCTTTCCACACGTAGAAACTCACAATTCCCAAGTTAATCCTCTCACATTAAGAATCAATTAATGGGTGCTAAATTTCACAACTGGTCAGTCATCAGATAAACTCTTCCAATTGTTCACATGTTCCTCAACAGGATACCACGTAATAGACTGACAGCTCATCAGTCTTCAATGAGGATAGGGAAATGTCTCCCTCCAGCCATCCTATTGATTTTTTTTTCCCTTTGAACAAAGAGCCAGACATGAGAACGTGGATTCTAAGAACCAGGTTTGATAACTTTGTGTGTGACGCTGGCTAGTCAGTTTCTTACCTTATTGAATCCACATCATCTCCCCTTGTTTTACACTAATTGATGGCCAGGCTAAATAAAGATTGACACAAATAAGAGTCTTCGGGGATCAAAGGAAAAATTGAAAAATAACTATCATTCAAAACTATCATGAATCAGCCTAGGATACGAAAAAGAAACACGTCCAGAAAACTGAAACCCCAGAATAGAGTCCGATCAGCCTACCACATGATTCAAACAGTATTTCCACTGGGAAGCAATGCAATATCTGCTTTTATTTCTCCCCTTTTAATTCAATCACTATATTCCTTGCTTTCAATAACACAAATAGTCCTGGAACATGTTCCCCCTTTTTTGTCAATACTGATTAAACTTTCTTTCCAAGAAGTGACCCACTGGAGTCTGTTTTCCAGGCATTTCTGTTCTTCTTGATAGCCATGCCTGATTTCTATGAAATAAAGCCTTAAGTAAGTCCCTTTACCCATGATAATGAGCTATTTTTAACATGGACCATCACTTTACCAGAATGCCATGAGTGGAGATATATTGTACTTGTACCAAATATCTATGGAACGTGTGCTAGTATTAATGAAAGGTGCTGTTGATATATAATAAATAAGCATGTGTATTTGCCATTGTTTTTTTTTATTTTAGGAAAAGGGTTCTGCTCTGTTGCCCAGTCTGGAGTGCAGTGGTGCAATCATAGCACTCTGTAACCTCAAACTCCTAGGCTCAAGCAAGCCTCCTGAGTAGCTGGGACTACAGGCACACTACCACACCTGGCTATTTAAAATTTTGTGTTGTTGTTGAAACAGAGCCTCACTCTGTTGCCCAAGCTGCTCTGAAACTCTTAGCCTTGAGCCACCATCTTGCCTCTGCCTCCCAAAGTGCTGGGATTACAGGCGTGAGCCACCATGCTATGTCAACATCTTTTTTTTTTTAATTGACTGCTACTTGAATTTCTTAATTCCCCTCAGCCATCCAATGCTATACGCTTTCCAGAGCTAGTCACTAGGCCTCCTGGTATAATATGGTGTGGAAGCCAGCTGTGATACCTTTCCTGAATCCTTTTAACTGTTACTTTTCAGTAACTGAAATTCCATTGTTATCAATCAGAGTATCTACTATTTCCCAAAACTAAAGACAATCTCAGAAATTCTATCTCGGGTCTCAGTTTGCTTGGCTCTGGAATTACTGAACATGAGATACAGTTGAGATAATTCCTGTTGAACTGCAATGTGTAGAAGACTCACTTTGTGTGTTAAGAATCATATTAGATACTGGTAGATAATTGAAAAATGAGTAAAACTTTGTCCCTGCCCTCAAGTAGGTTAGATAGTCTAGTGGGATTTCTTATGCATCATCTAACTTTATTGTATAAAATCATCTATAGGGATGTCAGTTATCCATTTTTCACTTTCCTTTAGTCCTAAACTTCCCTTCCTCTGATCCTAATTTGGGGCTTATAAGTGCCATTTAAAAATCACTCACAGAGAATATCCTTTTGCTGTTCTGTCACTTCTTTTGAGAAAATGTGCAAATATCTTGAAATATTCTCCCTACTCCCATTAGTAAATACTATCCGTGAAAAGTAAATCTAGCAAAGCCAAGCCTTCTGTGATGAGAACTATGAAACAAGCCTATCTCCAACCTCTGCCTTTTTCAGCTAAAGGCAATGACTATCACCTTTCACTATCGTGTCCATTCACCAATTCTAAAGCCATTGATACACTGTGTGTGTATAATTATGTGTGTATAATTATGTATGTATAACATGTAATATATGTATAATGTAATACATTATAATCTCTTAAGAAAATAAGTGAAGATTTTGTAGCTTTCAGCAAAAATATGCTGCCTCTGTTGGTCTTCAGTTGATACAGGCATCTAGTTACCTCCCAATTTGGATGAACCAAATGGAAATGGAAGTAGGTCTGCAGGAGGTCTCCAGACCCAGTAGGAAGCTTTCATGAGGAGACAGCATCGCCAATTATTAGTGCACTTAGTACCAAATGCCACAGTGAAGGGTGAGCCTGAGTTCATGTGAGTGAGCCCAAGCCTCCTAAGTCCACTTCCTGGGCCAACCCTAGACATGCATGAGAACCAGAGGGGCCAATCCCAGAATCCATTCATTTCCATTTACAGTTCAGGCTTTCAGCAGAATCTGACTGTTTTCAACTTGACTTGGGTTTCTTAGGCACTAAGATGTCTTCAGGAACTCTAAAGACCTCGAGAAGATACTTAAATAAAAAATGTTTTCATATGCTGGTGACACTTTTATAAAATGGACAAGAAAAGAGGCCCATGAGACCCAGCCGCTCAAGACACGTTGAGGTGGTTTGTCTCCTTTTCAGACCTCCCCAGTGTGCCTATGAGAGGACAGCAACAGCTACATTTTCTGTCCCTCTTACAGACTCTCAGAAGACAGTTAAAAAGAAGCCCAGTGCTCTCCAAGGGCGAACAGAGAGACTAAGTTCTTCCCTAAAAACCTATCTTAAATCAACAAAAGGTGAGAGGCAGTGTTGAGGTGGGGGGTGGACATTACAGTTAAACAGGACAACTGAGAGCTGGAAAAGGACATTTGGGTTGAAGGATTCAGGAGAGAAATCTGACTGGGGAGCATGCCACTGCCTCATCACTACCTCTCTTTTCAAAATACAGAATAGCAATCATGTCATGGCAGGTTAGATTATTTTTTTTTTAACTCAGAAGAAAACAGGACCTTTTTTCTTATTTTCCAAGGAACAAGGAAAAGGGAAAATTAGGATATATGATTTCCCCTTAAACTTTTAAATAAACAATTTACTTAATTATTCAAAATGTACACTCCCTCCTCCCCTTTCCATGGAAAAGACACGTGAGGAAGAGCCCCATTCCCTGAAGCTGCTCCTTTAACTGGACTAATTCTTTCATTCTTACAGCGCACACCTGAGTGCCAGCTCTGTTCTAGGAACTGGAGATAAGTGTTGAGAGTGTCTTTGTTCAGTTTCAGGTCTAGTGGATTTTGCAATCTATAGGGACAGCCTAGTATATTCAAAATAAGTTTTACAGGGAAAATTTAGGCCAGGCATGGTGGCTCATGCCTGTAATCCCAGCACTTTGGGAGGCGAAGGTGGGCAGATCACCTGAGGTCCAGAGTTCGAGACCAGCCTGGCTAACATGGTGAAATCCTGTCTCCACTAAAAATACAAAAATTAGCTGGGCATGGTGGCTGGTGCCTGTAATCCCAGCTGCTTTGGAGCCTGAGGCAGGAGAATTGCTTGAACTTGGGAAGTGGAGGTTGCAGTGAGCCAAGATCATGCCACTGCACTCTAGCCTGGGCGACAAAGGGAGACTTCATCTCAAAAAAAAAAAAAGAAAGAAAGAAAGAAACAAAATTTAGGCAGGCATCATTCCTGTACTAATCAGGGACTTTCAAGTAGAGCCAAATCCCAAAGATGCAGTGAACTGTATGCTTTATTTGTGCTAATTTTATTCAATAATAAATATTTGTTGAATTCAAGGAAGCACTGTAGACATGGTGCAGTACATTTCTTTTATTTTTGAGTAGGTAATAAATACGCATAGTAACAAAATTCAAATAACACACAAAAAAATGCACAACGAAAGGTTGATCTTCCTCTGACTCCACCCCAGGCTGCCTGTCCTTGCCATGGAGAGAACCATTATTATCAGTTTCTTTATTCAATCTTTTAAAACTGTCACCCAAAGATACCAAAATGTGTGACCAGTGGAAAAGGACAAATATCAAATGGTGTAACTGCCAACAAAAAAATCCCCATTTCCACTTCAAGGCACTGATGGTTAGATTGTCTTTTAAAGATTAGATTATTCTGTTTGTAGTTTCGGTGATCTCACTGCCCTCTGTTCAAAACACCCTCCAACACCATTGAGAAATAGTTTTCTGTATTCTGGGTATTTTGTTTTTTGCATCTGAAGATGTATCTACTACTGTGCACAAGTCATGGACAATATCTACATGTGTCTAATCATCTCCCTACCAAGACTGCAGAGAGGGCTCCTGCAAATCTGAGAATTAGGCCAAGGCAGCCTGAGCTGTCCCTCACCATGTGCCCCACCTTCCTACCTGTCCATCCATCTCCAATGCCTGTGCCTATACTTAGAGCCAGTTCAGGATGCAGTCACTGATGCAACATCTCTGTCCTGCTCCTTCTTCCTCATCTTTAAAATTTACCTTGTCTGTTTTTCCTTCTGTAGAAAGCTGATCTCAGAGCTAAGTAATGTCAGTGGAACTATCTCTGGACTTGAGGCCAAAAAAACTAAATCTGATTCCTCGAACTGCATTACAGCTTGTAAACTCTATGGCATCAGGCACTTAACTTTATGTCCCTGAATGTCTGTAGAGGCAATATTACTTGCCCTGTCTTCCTCATTTAGTCCACGGTCCTTCTTTTCACCCTGAATCTTACTATCATCCTGGGTGACTTCAGTGTCCATGTGGTTGGGTTTGACCATTAGCATTTCATCAGTATCCCATGGAAGTCCCATTCGATACCCTGGCTGAAATCTGACTGCTCTCATGCCAATTGGCCTCCCTACCCCGATTACATTCTGACCCCTGTTACTATCAAGAACAGCTCTACCTCTAAACTGTGAATTCACATTCCACTCTCTCATAACAATATTGTGTTGTTTCAGTTCCTACAGCATCTGTCCCGTACTTTATCTCTATCATAGTACTACCACCTTTGTCATGAAATAATTTTTGACTGAACATTTAACATCTGCCTCCACTTAAGATTTTTTTTTTTTTTTTTTTGAGACAGAGTCTCGCTCTGTTGCCCAGGCTGGAGTGCAGCGGTGCAATCTCGGCTCACTGCAAGCTCCGCCTCCAGGATTCACGCCATTCGCCTGCCTCAGCCTCCCGAGTAGTTGGGACTACAGGCGCCTGCCACCACGCCCGGCTAATTTTTTTGTATTTTTAGTAGAGACGAGGTTGCACCGTGTTAGCCAGGATGGTCTTGATCTCCTGACCTTGTGATCTACCCGTCTTGGCCTCCCAAAGTGCTGGGATCACAGGCGTGAGCCACCGCGCCCGGCCCAGATTTTAAAGTCCATAAAAGTGGGGTCTTTTTAGTCATCAGCTCAGGCTGTAGCACAGCCTTTCACATAGTAAATGCCCTAAAATATTCATGTAATAATAAATGAATAATGTAATTAATTGATTAACATATATAAATTCTTTGTCTTCATTTTCTTCCCTATCCCACTTTAATTCCATGGTCCATCACTTCAAACTTTTGCAATATTTTCCCTAGTCCCTTTTTTATTCTCTCACACACATCTAATAAAAGTCCAACACTGGGCCCGGACGTGGTGACTCACGCCTGTCATCCCAGCACTTTGGGAGACCGAGGGAGGCGGATCACCTGAGTTCAGGACTTCGAGACCAGCCTGGCCAACATGGTGAAACCCTGTCTCTACTAAAAATACAAAAATTAGCCAGGCACAGTGGAGCCCGCCTGTAATCCTGGCCACTTGGGAGGGTGAGGCATGAGAATCGCTTGAGCCCAGGAGGCTGAGGCTGCAGTGAGCCGAGATTGTGCCACTGCACTCCAGCCTGTGCGACAGGGCGAGAGTCTTTCTAAAACAACAACAACAACAAAAAGTCCAACCCTGAAAACACCCAGCTGTTCATCTTAACTGGGCCCACGCCTGGGATAGGGAGTGCTTTTAGAGACACAGACAAAATGGGCAAAAATGGATTCTATACAAATTTCCTTCTGTCTCAACGGAACCCTCAACTCTGCTCACCAATCCTTCTCATTCCTCTATTCAACTCACTTTTCATTTTCCATGTGGGTTAGTGAAAATCTTCTCTAATTACCTAAAACCTTTGACTGCTCTGCCTCTTTCCTCGTTTTTGATAGATGACCCCTTTTTCTGCAGAGAAAGATAGAACCCATCAGATAAGTGAGTCTCCTTACATTTGACCATCAAACCACACCAGTTCGTTTCTCCTTTCCACACTGCTGTTGGAATCACATCCTTTCCAACCACTTTACTCCATAGTCTACCCTGAATGGTCAAACTTTTGCACTCCACTGGATGCTTTTATATAATGTTTGATCATTTCAAATTTTCTTGATTCCATAGAAGTTTTCAGGTTCTGTACTTCAGTGTTGTCTTCTGCGTTTTCCAGTCAAATATTGGCAAGCTTTCTCCCAATCCAACCTCTACTTTCTCACATCCACTTCTGGATTTACAAGGGAGACATCTCCTCCATGTCACTGAGATGTATTTGGGACTCTGAAAAGCCAAGTTCCTTCTTGATTCGGCTATTCGGTGATTCCTCGGGCTTGTCTTAATTTGGGTACATGCATATCTTTCTAACAAGGAAGAGAGGATCCTCAAGGGCAGGGATTATGTTTGCTGGAGACTACATTGTCAGCAACTTTGAGAAAAGGGATTTTGTTTAATGCATTTTTCTGTTTCTTTTCCATTCCTGGTCCCTCAGTCTACATTTAGGAGGTGAATGGATGTTTGTTTTGACATACTGAGTCCAATAAAAATGCGAAAGGAAACTTCTGACATAGGCCCTTGTTGTGTTTTACTTTCTAAGAAGTATCGCTTTGTCCTGGATAACTTATACTTAATTCTCTGTGTTTAGATTCTATTTTAAAATCAAATTTCCATGGAATCTGGGACTAAACCATTCTTCATTTCCCAGCCTGGCCACAGTCTCAGAGCAGGCCTTAGAACATTGTCACACCAGCCACAGTTCCCAGGCATGTCTCCCCTGAAGGATAATCACACTCCTAAAAAAGGTAATTCATGCCAGAGGACTATATGTCTGTTGGGTAACTTTATGCAGCTTGTAAATTGTTTTACTCCAGTTGGAGCATGGGGGTGGTGTATCACCAACAGAAATGAGTGTAGGGGGCATCTGTCTGAAAACTGTTCCCCCACTGGCCACCTTGCCAGTTTCTGCTTATACAATGCAGGCAGCTTGGGGGAACCATATTGTCCCTATAAGCTCATAACACATGGACAAATGATTAAAAACACATGGAAAACAGTTCCACAGCTAAGCTAAAATTCAGATGGGAATGGAAAATCAACTTGCAAAGCTTTCAACTGACTCAGGGCCAAATGTAGGACAGAATGTGAGGAGAAGTTGCCAAAAGAGAGGAAAGTTGGGGAAAAAAGCAAGTCATGGATAGGAAACCTAAAACAATGACGCCTTGTATTGACAACGCTTCTCTAAGGCTCTCCAAGAGTAGTACCAAATTCAACTCTTCGGAAATATTAAGACCTTCACTTCATGAAAGAGTTTAGACAGATTTATATTTTCTACCCTCTATACACAAGAGTTGGCTTGACTATCTTGGCAACACCTAGGCAGAAACATAATCTTAAGTATCTTAAGTAACATAAATATTAAAAGATTACACATTTTTCCTCCGAGGTGTGGGAATTAAGTAACAAGGTGGCATGAGGCAAACTGTGAAAAATTGTGACAATAAAATGAAAAGCAAAGCACAATTTTCCGGTCAGGGTTTGCCTTCTGTTGTACCTGATGCTGGGCCCAGGTTTGCCATCAAGCTGGCAGGCCTTAGTCACATTCGCAAAAGTTCAACTTGGTTCAAATCTTAAACTCTAAGAAGCCTGTTATTTGTGTCTAGTCACTAAAATCACCTCAGTGATTCTACTGGGTAGGAAATCTATAAGCAAGAAAATAATTTACTGGGAGCCAGTCCCTGCTGGGCCATTCTGTGTAGCTTCTGCCCTGAATCCTTACTGACTCCCACATACGCTGAACCACCTTTCTCTCTGATGAGCAGCACTTAGACCTTCAAATGTTGATTTGGGGCATGATTTGCAAACAGTCCTCCTCAATATATGCAACAAATGTGTTCTTTCAATGCTGAATGTAAAAGGAAGTTTTGAAAATATGGCTCCATGGAGGAGCTATGCTCTTTGGGCAATAGAAAATATCACCCAAGTCCAATCCATTAACAAAGCAAATAGGATCATCCTTTCTGTCAAGTGAAAAACTATTCCCTAATTTATCTCTCTTTAGAATGAGATTTGTGTATCATTGATCACATCTGAAAGCAAGATGTCCTGGGGTTTTAGAAAGGACTCCCTTAGTCATGTGGATTCCTCTGAGAACTGAAAACACATGTTGAACACAAATGTCCTAGCACACAGGAAAGTTCTCACTTGTGATATGGCAACTTAAAACCCTAATTCTCCCACCCCCAGCTCCTCCTTCCTGCTGGGGTTGGTTACTGGTGAGAACAAGCACTGCTTGAAGTTGTCACCCTATTCCAAGTGTGGTCAATACTATTCCATTGTAGTCAAAAAACATATTTTGTATGACTTGAATCCTTTAAAATTTATGGAGACTTATTTTATGTCCCAGAATATGGTCTGCCTAGTAAATATGTCATGTGCACTTGAAAATAATGTACATTCTGCTGTTGTTGGATAGAATATGCTATAAATTTCAATTAAGTTAACTTTGTTAATAGTGTCCATGCTTCTATACTCTGATTTTTCTGTCTACTTATTCCCTCAATTATTGAGAAAGAGGTATTGACATTTCTGACTGTAAGTATAGATTTATCTATTTTTCTTTGAAGTTCTACCACATTTTGCTTCGTGCATTTTAAAACTTTGTTATTAGTAGGCAGGGCGCAGTGGCTCACACCTGAAATCCCAGCACCTTGGGAGGCCAAGGTAGGCGCATCACCTGAGGTCAGGAGTTCACCAGCCTGGCCAACACGGTGAAACCCTGTCTCTTCTAAAAATACAAAAATTAGCCAGGCATGGTGGCGGGTGCCTGTAATCCCAGCTACTCAGGGGGCTGAGGCAGAATAATTGCTTGAACCCAGGAGGCAGAGGTTGCAGTGAGCCAAGACCACACCGCTGCATTCCAGCCTGGGGCAACAAGAGCAAAACTCCATCTCAGAAGAACAAACAACAAACAAACACACAAACAAACAAAACTTTATTAGTACATAAATGTTTAGAATTATTATGTTCTCTTGATGTATTGACCTATTGACCCACTAACATTATGAAATAAGCTTCTTTATTCTTGGCAATATTCTTTGCTCTAAAATTTGCTGTGTTTGGTATTAATCTATCCATTCCAGCTTTCTTTTGATGAGTTTTAGTATGGTATATCTTTTTCCATTCTTTTACTTTTAATGTGTTTATTTATGTTTAAAGTATGTTCCTTGCAGGCAGCATATAGCTGGATTCAAACTTTTTTTTTTTTTTCTGTAGGATAAGTTGAGATTGACTGCTTTTGGAAAGCAAAAATACACATGGGGATAGAAGCGAAAGGTGAACTCATACGTCATTGCTTGGAAAAAGTGTTGGGGGTTACCATGAGGCCTTTAATGGAAGTGTTGGTTGATTTTTGTTCCTTTCTGTCTTAAGATAAACTAAACTTTATTGCCTAACAGAATATAAGACCTATAAAAACTGCTCAAAATGAAGTTATATGTGTAAGTTATGAGGATAGTATATTCATTTCCTGCACGATCCTGTTCTAAAGGCTTGTAAAATTAATTTTGAGAAAATCACGGTGTTCTGCACACTACAGACATCCAGACACACTTTGCCATTAGTAATAGTCCCCCCGTGATTGATAGAGAGAAAGGAGAGGAAGATCAATAAAACAGTACCATAAATTTAAAATATGTCAAATCAGCATTTTGTTCCCTTTAACTAACTATATAAACAAATAAACAAAAGCCCGGGTGAGACATGGGGCAAAGACGGAGTAATGTATCTTGGATAAGCAAGAGAAACATATAGCTACATCAACCCATTTATAGCTTTTTAAAATAAAATTTATATGGTGATTTTAATCACATTTTTATTGAGATACACTTCACATAAAATTTACCATTTAAAACAGTATACTTCAGTGGTTTTTAGTATATCCACTGTTTCTGCAACGATTACCACTACAACTATTATAACTCCAGAATATTTCCATCATCTCAAAAAGAAACTCCGTACCTATTGGCAGTTAGTCCCAATCCTCCTTCCCCGACCTGGAAATCACTAATCTATTTTCTGTCTTTATAGATTTGTCTATTCTGAACATTTCATATGAATGGAATCACAAAATATGTGACCCTTTGTGTCTGCCTTTTGCTTATGATAGTGTTTTCAAGTATACGGTGAATTTTATTATACTCATCATTCAAAGATGAGTATATTTTACTTGAATATAATAAAACTATCTGCTCAGAATGCTAATAGATATGTGGAATAATTAGAAAAGATTCAGCCTAAAATGTGGAAGACCTCAGTTCTAGTGCTGATTTCTTCACACAGTAACTTTCTCTGTTGTAACATAAGAGTATTAAATAAGATGATATCAAAGGTATCTCTCTTTAATTTCTGTTATTCTAGGAATCCCTAAAATACAGAGACATGTACTCATCATTTTGGAAAAAGTAGTTGTTACAAAATCAATTAACTAGATATAAAAACTTTAGTTCCTAACTTGATTCTGGAGACAGAAAATTTGAGACGGCTGCTATCAATAACACTTTGACCTGATTAAAAGTTAGGAAGTTAATATCAGTTTCTTAATCAAGAAAGAAATATAACAAAATTCAGCCTGAGCTGTTTGTATCTGTGTGTTTCCCTTCAATTAGGAAAAGGGATAATGTAATCACTGATTTCCACTGTGACTTCCTTCCTGATAAAAAGCTTGAGGTGTAAAAAGCTATTATAAATTTGCATATATATGCTATGCTTTTATACTTCTGTTTTTATCTTATTCCCTACAATAGCTCCAGTATCTGGAACAATGTCAGTTGCATGGTTGGCATGCCATGTTCAATATTTGTCAAATGAATGGTGGTTGGATGTATGGACACATGGAAGCGATACAACGAAAGGCTGGTCTGACCAATAAAGATAAAAAACATGTTGACTTTTCTCCTCCATCCCTTGCTAAATAGAATCACTAAAATCCAAAACCCATGTGCCCCCAGGAATAAGATAAAACGTTAAAAGCTAAAGGAAAGTGTCTCAGAACTTAAAACAAGTTTATTAATTTTGCTACAACACTAGATGTAGTACATTTAATATGCTGCTTTGTTGCAGAAATTAATCAGCACCAGTTTATGGTTTAAATTATACAGTACCATAATGTAAATTAAAATATGTGCATATCTTTTTGGTTGTATTAAAAATAAACAAAAACAGAAGTTAAATTAATGTCACCTGGTTCATTTTCACCACTTCTTGGAAGGAGATGAAATGATTATCATATGTTGCTTAAGTTTATTGTTAGCAAATAGATGCTATGTTTTTGTTAAAGACCAAACAATCAGAAGATTCTGAAAAGCTAGACACTATTGAGCTGGACTGACGCCCCTGGACACAGTGGGCCTTTTCCTGAGGTGGTATTGAAGTTTGGGGAGAAAAGCTGGGTACATTCAGGTCCTTCTTGACGCTTTCCTTCCTAGCTACCATCAGTTCCCATCCTCTTCTGTTCAACCCATCTCATCTCTCTCTCCCGTAATCTCTCATTCCCATTCTACCCATTACTCCAATTCCTTCCTTCCCACTCCCATCAGAAACTATCAATCAAGGCAGAGGGAACCTTGACAATCATTTACTTCTTTTCCCCCTGAGTCAAAGCTCAATTGTAAGAATAAAATGAAGGTTGTGATGAATACCGCCCATCACCCAAACTTGCCTGAATTTCTATTTTTATCTTCTTAAAATGACTTGGATTTTCTAATTTGATTAATGCTTTCATGATCAGGAATATTTTTAAATATTCTTGTAGCATTTCTAATTGTTATAAAAATCAAAACACTCTTTATGCTAACATTTGCAATTAGTTCAGTATCATTTATCATTTATATTGCAGAAATGTATAATAAATCTGCCATGCTGACAAGGTTCTACACAGTTGACATAGTTCTAGATTTCCAGTTTTAGATGGTTTATATAGTTTTAGAGTTCCAGTGGAAGGAGTGGCCCTTGAATCCCTCATTTCCCAAACTTCTACTTCCTTCCTAGGACTTAACCCTTTAGGTAAACAACTATTTTTTCTTTAGCCCAAATCTCACATTTCCATACTGCAAGAAGCCTGTGGACCAGAAGGAATTTGAAAGGAGCTGGTAAGAGGATAGGTGTGGCATCTTTTGGTTAAATGCCAGAAACTGCTTGTGTCTCACAGAGAACCTGTACATTATGCCAATCTGGAGCCCACCTGCGACATCTCAGGTAAGGACCCTCTGACACTATAATTATGTTTAGATTTAAGTAATAGACAGAATGTCTGGATCATATTCCAATATCTCTTTCTAAATGTTTCTATTAATTACAACCTTGATAAATGAACTGAAATAAAAAAAGCTTGCCATGTTTTTATATCCCAGAAACTGAACTGACTTTCTTCAAGCAGTTTTAGTGTCTACAACACTCAAGGTATTTTTATAATAAAACCAGCACCAGAGCTCTAGCCTACTTGATAACCCCAATTTGATTCTGAAGTTACATTGGTGCTCATAGAGCAAGTGACATTTGGCACAACCATATTTCTCAGTGATTATGAAAAGAGAAAAACTTTAAATAAATGTTTCAGACATTCTAATTTCCTATAACTGTTAAACCTTGATTTCAGAAGGGAGTTCTGGTAACGCTGCAACATACTTCATTGTTACAAAAATGTTCCACTCACCTGAGATTATAAATTAATAAGGTACCTTTCCGTTAGAGAATCTAGTTAACATGGCATTTCTGCAAATATTAAAGATTTAAGGTGGCTCAAAATTCCTCAAAATCCTTTCCGAGAATGTAGGCTTTCAGGGGCTCTGTTTTCGGTATTATTTTTCTCTGTTCATCAGCACAGTTCATCAGGACATTTCTGAGGAAGCAGTATTTTTCTTCCATGTGTCAACCATCATTCATATATACTCCTTATCCCAAGTGTCCCTGAGAAATGCTTGTCAGTACAATAAACACAGAGGAACAGATTATGTTACTTGAAATTTCTCATGACTCTGTAAGGCTGGGGAAACCCAATCATTAGCTTTGGGATGGTACAATGCCAACACTCAAATTGGAAAGGGAGATCTGTTTCATGAATAGTGATGAGTAGAACTCTGAGTACAGCCAGCCCCCCGAATTCTTACCTGAACTACAGCTTTGTAGATGAGCCTCCACCTACAAGATTCTTTCATCTAAAGTCTTTCTTTTTCATCATAGAAAATTCTCTTTTTCAACCCCAGCCTCTAATCTTAGATTTCACATTTAAAGGGCTCCAAAGGGACAACTTTGCGGTTCAACTTTGGTTTAATGAACTAGTAGAGTTAGCTTCACTCAGACTAAAGTGGTAGGAGCACCTACGATACATATTTCAGAATAAATTCATTAGAGGTAACGGGACCAAAAATTTTTTTTAAAAAAATCCAAGGACTATGAGACTGGTGCTCCCTGAGATTTGGAATGGGGTAAGGGTGAGGGTCTTCTGGAATAAACAAACCTTACACTTTATAATACTGCTGGCATTTATTTTAAAAGGTATTGAGATACAAAAATTGTATCTTATCTTGTAAAAAATATTTATTTATCAATCTTTCTGGCACTATTAAAAATGTCCCATTTTCACTAGACAGAATCACAAAGGTATACCCACTCAATCATAACAATTTGTTTTCTATGGAGCAATATTCACAGATCCTGTGAATAAATAGGTGACAAACTCCAGGTGGCCCCCTGTAGGGTCTGTTATATTTAGAGTTTTCTGGAACACACATAATTATGAGGTTTGGCTCTCCTACAGTCTTTTGTTTGCCATTTCCCTTGTCTTTGAACCAAAACACAGCTCTTTCCAAGCTTGGAGCGTTGAGAGGGCCCTCTTCTCCCATTGGTGAAGGCAACAGGTTCACCACCGATCCACTCCCAGTGGCCAGCATGCACTTGGTCGTTCAAACCTAATGTGAACCAAAAGAATGTACCAATTACTTTTATTGCGTTTATACTTAGATATCATATCCAGCTGTTGCTCTAAGCTCAGTTATCACATGCAAGTGTGGGCCCAGGTTCTAAAACAAGGGATAGGAACTTGGAATACTCTAAGACACAAACGGTCAAACAAATCCCAGTCCAATTCTAGCTCTACCACTTACTTGCTAGATGAGCATCTTTGGGCAGGTTACTTAACCTCTCTGAGTTTCAGTTTCCTCATCTAAGGAATGGGCATAAAAATAGTACATCTAGGGTTGTTTTGAGGATTAAAAAAGATAATGCATGTAAAGCTCTTGGCATATATAAGTGTTTAATAAATGGCAGCTATTATTATTATTCATATCATCCTACATGCAGAACTCCTATCACAGGGAAACAGATATTCTCTTGCATATTATTTTTCTTCCTCATTATTTAAATGTCCTGGTTTTCATATTTGAAAGTAGCTTACTATGTATTATTTTGAGTCTGGAGCTTAAGATGTTTCAATCTGCTACAATTCCAATAAAAAGCAGATTTTCTCGACTTGCCTCTCTACCTCCACTGGCAAATTTTGCAAATTACACTTTAATGTTGTAAAGCTTCTGTAATATTTTCTTAAGCATTCCCCTACTCACTCTCTTTCATAATAGAAATAAAAAAGAATAAAATGAGAAAGGAACTCCCTGCCATAGCATGATCCGACATTCCCCAAATCAAATTTGACCATGAAAACAGTCCTAGATACATAACATTTTACCTTCCCCAACTGTTTTTCAGTCTGTATTTTTGGGTGGAATGAAATGAAATACTTTTGGTTAGGAATGCCCTCCCTGAATTATTGATTAGTGACATTCTGCCTAAGCATATTGTGAGGACAGAGCCTTGCAGTGAGTCATTATGGATGTAGAGAAAACTTATCCTCCAGCTTGTCTCTTAATACTCAGTTCATTTCAGAATTTAGGGACCCACTGAGCACTGCAGAAATAGTGAAAGCCAAGAGAGGGAACTATTACAGTTCCCTCAAATACAACGCCTTTAAAGAGAAGTAGTGGGGATACTGACTTTGATGCGCCCTGAAAATTCTGTTTTTAAAGTGGTTTAAAAGATTTGTCATTTGGCCGGGTGCGGTGGCTCATGCCTGCAATTCCAGCATTTTGGGAGACCGAGGCAGGTGGATCACCTGAGGTCAGGAGTTCGAGACCAGCCTGGCCAACATGGTGAAACCCCGTCTCTACTAAAAATACAAAACTTAGCCAGGTGTGGTAGTGGGCACCTGTAATCCCAGCTACTCAGGTGGCTGAGGGAGGAGAATTGCTTGAACCCAGGGGGCGGAAGTTGCAGTGAGCCAAGATTGCACCACTCTACTCCAGCCTGGGTGACACAGTGAGATTCTGTCTCAAAAAAAAAAAAAAAAAAAAGATTTATTATTGTTAAAACTGTAGAAAATATTAAGACTTCAGAAAAGAGGGAATAAAATTAAAATCACCTATATTTATTATTATTATTATTTGAGACAGGGTCTTGCTCTGTTGCCTAGGCTGGAATGCAGTGGCACAATCACGGCTCACTGCAGCCTCAACTTCCTAGCCTCAAGCACTCCTTCCACCTCAGCCTCCCAAGTAGGTGGGACTACTGTTAGCTGCCACCATGCCTGGCTAATTTTTAAATTTTTCACAGAGACAAGGTCTCACTATGTTGCCTAGGCTCATCTCGAAATCCTGGGCTCAAGCAATCCTCCAGCCTTGGTCTCTCAAAGTCCTAGGATTACAGGCGTGAGCCACCATACCCAGCCTACCTATAATTCTTGACTGGAGGTAAGTCATTTCTAATTATTTGGAATATATATATATATATATATATATATAATTCATATATATATATTCATATATATATGAATATATGTATATATTCCAATATGTAAATATTATATATATTTATATATACAAATATAATATATATTTATATTTATACATACACCACATGCATATAATTGTTTTTATTCTAAATTATTTCATACTTTATATGGATGTGGACCCTGCATTTTCACTTTGCACCTTGCCATAAATGGAATACACTTTACATTTTATATGTAATATAATGTGCATCCAACATATATTTGTTAAATGAATTAATAAACGTAAGGCAATTTTTCATGTCTTTATTATTTAATGGCTTGCAAAAACATTAAATCTTACATATTCCTTCATGTGGCTGTACTATAATTTATTTAACCATTCTTTAGTTATAGCAATTTCTAATTTTTTGGTTTTAGAAATGTTATTGCATTGAATTCTCTTGCCTGTCAATCTGACCACATTCCTATTTATTTCTTTGGGATAGATGTCTAAAAATGAAAGTAGTGTGTCAAAAAAAAGGTTTAAGATGAGTTTTAAAAGATAAATGGCTAGATCTATTGGTTGCCTATTATTGTAAACCACTATCATTTAACCCATGGAAGGAAGTAGCAGGGTGGTGGTGCCTGTTTGTTTCATGTCCTTGCCTCCCTCCTCAGTGCAGCCTCCCTCCCAGATACTTGCCTATCCAAAAGGACTTTCTCCCACCAATGTCCCAGAGCCACCGCATGTGCTGCCTGGAGAATACAGTTACAAGGTTGCCCAGGTATCTAAATGCAAATGAAAATGAGAGTATCAGCAACAAGCAGTTAACATTTCTGCTGATACGAAATGCATAACAGAAATAAAAGTAAGTTTAAAATACACAAAAAAGTAGGTCTTTAAAAAAACTTTCTAAGATTTTAATAGTGCAGTTTTATTTAAAAAGTATCTGCAGGGTGGGGGTAGGTGACATCAAAGAAAGTGATGGTTTATTATAATATCTGGGCTTTACAGCAAAAAACATCGATAGGTTTTCAAACATAAACAGTAGGTTTCAAACATCTTTTTGGAAAATCAGCAACTGCCTACTTATAACAATTACTTATTTAATGACAAAATACTATTCTTCTCATAAGTGTATTTCTAGCTGGTATAAATTTGGCAAATACCAAGTTAATTTGATGAGTAAGTTAACCCAAACTAACTATTTAGATAAAATTACTTCAGGTTTAAATTTGGAGCTTAGTGGGTTTAGCCAAATAAACACATTATTATGACTTCATTATACTCAATGAAATGAGTATAGCCCCAACTGTCAAACCTTCATATAATGCACAGAAATTAAAGTGCTTGTTTTTACAAACATATGTAAAATATTTTTCACAAAACAGAATTTTTTATAAATTATTTTTGCAGCTAACTGAGTTATTCCTAGAAGCGATATTTGATTGTGCCTAATTCCCCAGCAGTGCTCATTAAAACCTCTTTAAAAATGCTTTAAGTAAGAAGCCACTAAGTAATTCTTTCTTCTTTAAAAATAAAAAAAACAGAAAGTTTCAAACAAGAAACAAATATATCATGTATACATGTATCATAACATTACATTGTACCCTACAATGTAATTTGTATTATTTGTCAATTAAACATAAAATTAAATTTTAAAAAATAATTTTAAACACTTAAAAAATCAAACAAGGAAAAAAATTAAATCACCATGATCTTTTTGCCTGGTTAATATCCATTGATATGAAAAGAAAAGTAGGAAACAAAATTAGCAACACATTCGGGCAGATAGCTGTTAAATTTAATTTTATTTATTTTGCCTATGTCTTTTCAAAATTCAGATCTATTTCTCTGCTTTTCCAGACTAGATATGGTGAACATAATTTGTCTATTTTTAAAGGATTTCCCTCTACTAATAACAGTATTTTGCTGCTGTCTGATGCAATGATGATTTCTAGGCCTTCTTAGATATATAAGGCTCTTTGCCCCTCCACTGAATGGCCTTAGACCGCTGGATTGGGTTTTGTGACTTGGCTCTGACCTCATTATTGACTCTCAGCTCCTGTCTGACAGTTACAGCAGGTATGATGAGGCATCTCCTCTCCTCCCCTCCCCAACACATCCAACACGCTCACTCTAAAGCGCTGTAGGCTTAGAACACACAATATGAAACTTGGGTTAAATATAAGCTGAGGGAGGGCTTGAGGGACTGTCCCAGTCACTATGACATTTTGTACAGAGCATGAGAGACTAGGATTCTACTTCCTGATTACCCCTTAATTCCCTGACTGAATTCCCTAATTCTCTTATTGAACTAATTTGCTTACTGAAATTCCCTAACTTTGCAGCCTCAACTTCAGCATCAGGATATAATGGGTTTTATTCAAGGATATTTAACATCTTCTCTAGCTTGAAGATTCCTGAAGCTATCTTTAAAACAAACTTGGTAAAATCCATTTTAGCTGCCCAAGTACAATTTCGGTTTTCTTTTTGACTCTCCAGAAAGCAAGAAGTTCCAAAAGAGTGAGATGGGAAGATAGCTCTGCTTCAAGACAGGTAAAATGTTAAGAGCATAGTTATTCGCAAAAGAAACATTTAGGTATTCATATGTTTATTATTTTAGAAAAATATCACTCCTTTTATTTTATGCTCACATACATATAAAATGTGGTGGGTATTATCTGTATAGGTGTATATATGGATATAAAATTATAAATAGGTACACATACACAAATATTTGTAGTATAGAATTAGAAACAGAAGCTTTAATTTTTCTGGCTATAGAAATAAACATCTACTTCTCTGAAAATTTTTGATTAAGTATAGGTAGACTTCAGGGTAACTCTAAGGATAGGCCAGCAGGGGTTCCAGACACTCCTGCGGGAAAACAAAATGGCTTCATAGATAATGCTCTATAATAATATAATTACCAAATGTACAATGACTGCCTGAGGAAATGAGCAGATGAGATTACAACATGTAAATTCAAGAAGTGCATAATCTAGGAGTCTGGCTCCTTTGACTTAGAAAAATAATAAAACACCACTGGGGAGGAAAGAAGACTAGAGATAAAGATTAAGTTGAGTTAGCAATCTGGTTAGGGACAAAGGATAAAGCAAAATTTGCTGTCCTTGTGGAAATATGGGTGTTGTGAATGACCCTCTGTAAAGGACTTTCAGAAATATTTGTTAAATGAATGTATCTATAAACTAGGAATTTGATCATACCTTAGGTTCGCCTTGAAAGGTTAGTTTGATTCAAATCCAGAGGAAACTTAGGATCCATAATTTAATAAAAATCTTATATGTGTTTGCAGTGAGAGAAAAACAATTATTAACACATAATTTTGAAAATCTACTTTGGGTTACCTCAAAACATAGTTAAAATAGACATACTTGTCAGTACACCTATGATGAGAAACCTGCTATACTTAGGGGACCTGTTTTAGAGAGTATAAGGATGAAAAACTAAATTCTATCTCTTTCATTTACTTCCTTGTATACCTGTGAGCAAGTGATTTCGCTTCCTTGAACCTCTTTTTAAAATAAATCCATAAACTGTAGATAAGAGAAGTGATGGAAGGATCCAATAAGCTAATGCATGTGAAACAATTTCATATACTATAAATATAAAAGTAAGACATTATTGACAAGGAGGCATGTAGAACTACAGTCAGGCTAATATAAAAGGGTCATGGGTGAAGGTGCTTAAAACCAAGCTGCAGATGAAATCTTAGATTAAGTGCATGAGAAAGTATCTATGCTTTTAAATTAATTTAGGCCTTAAGTTTATTATTGTGATGATCGAATGGTACAGTATTCATAGATACGTGAAGAACTCATTGCTACTCACCAATAGAACCTAGTCACAATTATTAATAGATGGAACAATAAAATGAAAACAAAAGATGATGGGAGACTGATGTAGGTTTGTCAACATGAGGGCATCGACAATGTTATAAGTTGCTATTATTTCATAAAAAGTAGTTTTTGACAATAAAAAGCTAGACTATTATAATCTCGTAATAAAGAACAGTCCTTTAAAAAAACACACTTGGCAATGTGACACCACCATCCATGACTGAATGGAAAGATATTTCTCAATACTTACTGTCCTTATTTTTCTCATACATTAAGAACCAATGAAAGCTTCATTATAGACCAGTTACTTGCATTGGCCTTTAAGAACCATTGGAAGATGAACAAAAGATAGCTTCTAAACTTCAAGGTGGGAAGTTCTGTTCATCTACATTTTATCAACAAATCCCAGCAATCACCTAACCTTGATAACTTTGGCTGGAGTATAACTACTCTTTCCCTTAATTTTGTAAGCAGAGACACCATAGTATTCTCCCTTTTGTTGCATACTGCAATCATCTTCTTGCTAGTTTAGATAGCTTTTGATCAACATCAAAGCCCTTTCCTCAAGGAGAAAAAAAGACCAATACCACTACTTCTACTGGAGCTTTCAGTGCATTACGACAAACTAAATGACATCTAGTTAAGATGTCATTTTAACAGCTTAACCATCTTAATGACGGAAGAATGTCTTATTTGTTCTTTAACATGTAGCACTAAGGAAATATATGTATTTAAAGCAATTATTATTTGTAAAAATTTTAATATTTTATCTTATTTGATACCACCAACTTATCAACCAAAAAAACCCTGAAAGCCACTGATTAACCTCTCTGGTGACTCTACTCACAGTTAAAACATGAAATACACCAGTAGAGAAAAAGGTGGTTTAACTAGTTTTTGAACACACTTTTAAAACATTTTATTCGCTTTAAAAAAAATCTGGGTATAATTTACATATAATAAAATGAATAGATTTTTAAATATTCAATTTGATGAATTTTGCCAATTGTATATACATCTATTTAATAACCACTTACAATAAGACATTGAACACTTCTCTTACTTTAGAACGTTACCTCGTGCTATTTTCTAGTCATTCCACAATCTTACCAAAGATAACAATTTTTTATTTCTAACAACATAGATTATATTATCTTATTTATATAAATGCAATCATATAATAAGTATTCTTTTGTGTAGGGCTGCTTTCTCTCTATGTTCCATTTTTGATTTATCTACATTGTTGGACGCTTCAGTATTTTATTCCATCACTTATAAAATAATTTATCAAAAATTTATTCTCTTGCTGATGGAGAAAATATCAAGTATTTCTAAACATCAATAACAAAAAACAAATGACCCAAATTAGTATTATTATGAATAAAGTTATTATACAACATTTTTATGAAGCTTTTTTAGTATGTATTTTTATTTCTTTTAGTTAAATACCTAGGAGTAGAATATGTTAGGTCATAGGGTAGATGCATATAACTTTATAAGAAACTGTAAGACAGTTCTACAAAGTGATTGTACCATTTTACACTTCTACCAACAACACATGAGAATTCTATTTGCTCTGCATCTTTAGCAACATGTGGTATTGTCCACCATGGAATACTATGCAGCCATAAAAAAGAACAAGATTATGTCCTTTGCAGGGACATGGAGGGAGCTGGGGGTCATTATCTGTAGCAAACTAATGCAGGAACAGAAAACCAAATGCTGCATGTTCTCATAAGTGAGAGCTACATGATGAGAACACATGGACACATAGAGGGGAACAACGCACAGTGGGGTCTATTGGAGTTTGGAAAGTGAGAGGAGGAAGAAGATCAGGAAAAATCACTAATGAGTAATAGGCTTAATACCTGGATGTTGAAATAATCTCTACAACAAACCCCATGACATACCATTTACCCAGGTAACAAGCCTGCACATTTACCCCTGAACTTAAAATAAAAGTTTAAAAATTAAAAACAAATTTGGATTGTCATATTTATACTTCAAACTATTCTAGTAGGTGTGAAGTGGTATTTCATTGTGGTTTTCATTTTCATTTACCTAATATCTAACGGTTTTGAGCAGCTTTTCATTTATTTATTGACCAACTGGACATCTACTCTTGCGAAGACTCCAAATCATTTATTATTGTTTGAATCGTCATTTTGTCATTGATTTGTTGAAGTTGTTTGTATTTTCTGGGTTTAAGACCTTTATCAGGTTTATGATTTGAGAACAGCTTTTTCTGAATATGGTTTGCTCTTTCATTTTCTTAATGGAGTCTTTAGATGTGTATAACTTTTTAAATTTTATGAAGTACGAGATCAGATCAATAATAACCAGAGACTTCCCTAGTCTCAATTTCCAGCCATAGGGCATATTAGTCTAATTGTGTTGTTTAGATAATATCCAGATTGGCAAACAAAAAGGAGGGTCAGGGATAGGTACATATGCATTTTTAAAGTCCTTCTGGACTACATACATTGGTTGTCATTCTCTGACCATAAGTTATCCTTTATTGAATGTTCTTTTACCCAGTGAGCCTTTGTCTTACTTGCCCAGCTTTATAATCATTGCTGTATAATCGCATTGCTAGAGGCCCGACGTTATAAGGCTTTTCATTACTATATACTTTCAATTAAATGGGCAGGAATTCTTATCACATAAAAAAAGAAACTGCAATGCTGCTGACTCAGAAAATCTTCTGATTTCCTCACAAAGACTGAGATAGGAAAAGAAAATAAAAGAAAAAGAAACATGGCAATGGTGCAGCTTTAACAGAAAAGAGCTCAGTCAAATATTAGGTTGGTGCAAAAGTAATGGCAAAAACTGCAAGTACTTTTGCACCAACCAAATACATTATCAAGGCCCATCACAAATCCATTCTGAACTAGGGAACTCCCTCAGGGCTCCTAAAACAAAGCCAGGCAGATATTAGGCACTCAATACTTGTTGAATGAATGAAGCAGCTCTCCGCTTCCATGAGCAAATAGAGAAATAGAGAAAAGAAAACACCAATCAAATGTGCAATAGGGTGCCTTACTGTTCCCTGCAAGCTTGGGCAGCCGCATTCCAGGTGCCTTTCTGCTCTGTGATCAAGATGTGACAGTAGCCTGAGTGCTGGTGCCACCCGGCTGGACAGGATTTGTCTTCCACATCCTGAAAAACAGTTGTCTGTGTTCATATCATAATGGTCTTTACAATCTGGAGTTGGTTCAGCATAAGGAGTCCTACGAGTTCCCTAACTTCAGTCAAGTAGTTTGGTTACCACAAAGGGAGTCAGCCCTAATCCCAATTCTCCATCTTGAGAAATACAATGGCTTCTTACAGAAAACACTACCACAGTCAGCAACGTTTCATTGTTACAACTTTGACACTCTGATAACTGAACAAAATAAGTAAACATCTTCTTAAATGGTATTGATTTAACTAACATATTTTGTGATTTTTAAAAAGCCACTTTGGGCCATTTTTTCCTCTTGGCCTTCAAGTTGTTAACAATGGCAGGAAGATGTAGCATGGGTTGAGTCATGCACCAGATGGTTCCCCTCTATTAGCTTATCATAGAGCACATTGCGAATAAAGGTGCTTGGCTGCTCAGCCTGCCTCCTACCTTGGTTTGGGGACTCCAGGCTTTCCAGGCGATCCCATTGCACTGATACAGCTTCTGGATGCCTTCTTCAAAATGGAAGAGTCCCTTTAATTCCAGAGTGCAGTTCTTTGGAAATGAGGGCAACTGGTCCTTTGGGAAGGAAAGGCAATTTAGCAATTTAGAATTGACTTAAGGAAAGTTGCTCACACATTCACCTCCTTTGGGTCTTCATTTGTTGGGAAGCATTTGTGTTGGGTAAACTATCCCCCCAACCTTGGAGGCTATTTTGTGAATTAAGTGTGTTTCTGGCCCAGCAAACAACTTGTTATAAGGTGAGTAAGAAGGAACAAAGATTTTCATACCTGTCTGGGGAAGTGTGAGTCAGTTGTGGATTCCACCTTATCTGCTTGAGGCAGTTCTGCCACTTTGATTGTCTTTTGTGGCTGACTAATGATGGATACTTTGGCCTTCCTTTTGTGAGTTGGGAAACTGTCATCCTCCAGTTTCAAGGAAACTATCCCATGATACTTGAGGAAACCAACAATCAACAACAATAAGGAAAAAACAAACATCAAGATAGCAAACAAAAAAATGAGCAATTCAAAAATTCAGTCAAAGCAAAAAGATAAGAGGATTTGTTTCTCTGAACACCCAAGCCTCTAATTTCAAAACAATTTTTTAAGAGAAATGTATAAATATAAAAAATATAAAATAATAGCTTCATTAAATACTTGCATCCATAAATATAAGAAATTTAGCAATTCTGTGACTACACTTACATTATAGATGATGTCTGTTCCATTTCTATAAACAGAGGATGGACGAACCTGAAATTGACAGAGAACAAAATATGAACAGAATTGGATTGACTAATAACTAGCAATAGGGTAAAACCACCAAGTAAGATCTTGCTAATGTCTGAACAATTACAAAACATATGTAATCTTAAGATTTCCCACGCCCAAATCATTGGAATTTCAAAAATCACTAGGCCTAATCAGAATTTATGATTGTTGTGTGGATTCACACATACAGAGTTCCAGTCAGGGAAAAAGTACATCTTTATTTTTTGGTATATCTATAGTACACAGGTCCAAGAACACACACACACACGCGTGTGCACATATGAGAGTATGCAATGGTTAGAATGCTGTGTTAATAAGGTCAAAGCCATGGCTTCCACACCCAATCGCATCATTTCATCTCACTCTATTTCAGGGTCATGGATCATTCCCTATTTGTCTTGGTCACAAAAGGAATCAAAGAAGAAATCATATGGATGAATCAGCATATCTATCACCTCAGTACAATTAAAGAAGCAAGGCAGCCTCAAGATCTTTGTATACAGAAGGCACTGCATAACTGTGCAAGGAACCATGGCCCCCACTCACTATGAGAATCAAAACAGCTTCTTCAGTGTTTCAGAATACTTATTAATATCTTCTGATCCTTTTAATATGTATTTTGCACATCATTTCCCAGAAGGTCCCCATCCTTACTGTTTTGCCATTCCCACGGGTCCTAAGCTTCCTTTGAGAAAGATCTGTAGAATCAAAGCCCCGCAGGGTGTCTCCCCTGATGACTGCTAGCTGCATGGAAGATGGAAGAGGTCTTCTTTCCAGATGAAAGGAACCAGAAGTGGTGGATGAGGAAGACCCTGGGGGCAGCAGATGCCAAATGCCCTTCTCCCATGTGCTGTGCTTGCTTTGGTTGGAGGAATATGAAGGATGGCATTGTCCTGGAGGCATGCAAGATGGCAGGCGGTCAGTTCATTTTACACAAACAGATAAGGTATCACATTGACACAGCTCCTGGAGCAGCTTGTCATTAAACCTAGATGGATGGTTTTCCCACCAGATGTTGCCTTTTTGCCATTTGCCAGAAACTCCTTTACTCTTCATCAGTTTACATCCAGGAAAGCTGTGCTCGTCTGCACATCTATTGAGTGATTATAAAGTCATGAAATCAATTTCATAAACCCCAAATGAAAATCACTGTTATGATTTTATTATCATATCATATACTGGGGGGAAAGTCTCACTTCTCTTATTATAGTATTCCCCAACATAAAAGTTTATTCACTGATCAAGCATTATTCCACAAGCACTTTAAAGTAATCATTTCCTAGAGGTAGAAACTGGAATTGTTTAAAGATGTCATAGAATTAAGTAGTATTTATAAAACTTTTCTCTTAGTTGCTGTAGAACAAAGACCCAGTAAATCTTAATAGAGCGGCTCCTATTGGAAACCTCACCAATTAGTATTTCTGGGAAGGCATAAAAAATTTGAGGGCAAAACCCTTGTCTGGGTATTTTATATTTCACATATAAGGTGTGTATATCATGTATTTTATGTACTTCATGTGACCAGAAAATTCTACTGGAAAAGAAATAAATTTGGTGAGGAAAGGTAGTGGGGAGAGATGTTGCAGAAACAAGGATATTATAAAGAAAAGAGGGGAGGTCCCATTTTTTTATAGAGTAGGAAAGAGAAGAGAAGGGAATAGATTCCAGGCAAGAAAAAAATATGGACCACAGGGCATGACAGGTATAAAAATGGGAGTGTAAGATTGAGTATGGTACGAACACTCGTCAAATGCTAAAAAGACAAGTAACTAAAAGGCATTTGGTGGAAAAAAATCAGAGCACCAAAGAGTCTGGCTGGTCTTTATTTTATTTAGTTCACAGGTTGTTCTTTAGCATAGACAATCCAGGACCTGTTTGGCGCTGCCATCCAAAGTCATTCATTAATATTCTCCAGCTGCTCCCAAATTCCCAAGCCAGCTGCATCTTTCACATCTATTTTTCTCCAATTCCTTCCTCTCTTAGAATTTTCCTGGTCACACTACAGTGGGGGCTCAGATTTTAGGCATTAAGAGTGCTCTTTAACAGAGAAAGATAATTATAGCTCTACAGACTCTGGGGAAAATAATTGTCGACAGATTCTCACCAACACTGTTTCCCCCTCGGTGAGAACAACAAACGGGTAGGAAAAAAACAACTACGGCACTGACTTGTTGCTTTTCTCAAGTGATCGTACTTAGCAGGAGGAAAACCACATGAAGCAGAAACCAGAATAAAGGGCCTACATCACGACTGAGGGTGCTTTCTTGACAAGAAATTAAGCATTTTGATTTGAAGGTGTTATCAAGCACGTTGGCTGTTGAAGGCAAGAGCTACAGCGCCAGGACCGCTCCTGATTTCAAGATGAGGATCAAAAGAATACCTCCTTTTGAGTCCAAAATTTTCACTGCAGCTTTTGTCTTTGTGCCAAGAACTGCATTCACAGGGGAGTTCAGAATTACTTCAAAGACCTCATCATCTTCCTCTAATCCGTCATAGGTAATTGCTATATTCCACATCTTAGTTGACATTCCTACAAGAAGTAAACATTTTAATTACTCTTTAATTGCTATTTCAATCACCTAGGTGTCAGAGAAATATATTAATTAACATGTCTACAGCTAGACTGCAGTAGCCCGAGTGAGCTATTGTACTGCTACCAACTCACTGAAGTCCTGCTGTTCTCCCAAATAATATGAAAAGACCACATTTGTTCCTGGACGATGATGTTTCCGTTTAAATGCAAACACTGTAACAAAAAAGTAAGCTGCAGTATGCAAGGGATAAAAAAAAAATGGTTATTAGATGAGATCCAAG
The DNA here is from genome assembly GCF_000001405.40 of Homo sapiens. Taxonomy (NCBI): domain Eukaryota; kingdom Metazoa; phylum Chordata; class Mammalia; order Primates; family Hominidae; genus Homo; species Homo sapiens. The sequence continues at coordinate 14,750,561 of NC_000009.12, forward strand.
ACTTAATTATTTTCCCAACCTGTCCCTTCTCTTCTGAAGAGTAAACAAGTATTGCAATCTCAAAATCTTAATAGTTTAAAAAATCTTAAGCTGTTGATGCAGACAGAAGTGATTATTGGATGGTACTTCATGCTATTCATGGAACCCTTGAAATGATTGATTTCTTAATCATTTCTAAAGACAGCTGCCTGCATCGGCTTCCCCACTTCCTGAGATCTTTCTAGCCCACAAATGCTTTTTCTGATGATATAATACTCAGTAGTTTGATATCCTCCTAGAGAGAATTTATGGGCTGGGGGTTCTAGAAATAAAGCCAATTTTTTCCCTCTTTCTGGCTGCCTCTATTCATGAAGTTACAATCAAGCTTGGTTCACAGTAACTTTGTGAACTTAATATTATACAAAACAGTTTTGACCTTACAAACATATCCCAGCCATCCTGTCAACACCAAGACTGGAAACAAAGCAACCCCAGATACACAAAATATTAAGACTGCAAGAAGAAACTTCTGAGATGATCTCATCCTGACCAGTTTCTATGATGTGGATCATAGGATATCCCCTGAGTTTACTTAGAAGAACAAGTGGTGGAAGGAAGTAAAGGGAATACTTTTAAGTGGAGAAAGAAGGCTCAACTTTAAGAGGAATAAACACAGTAAACTTATCGATTTAACTTTTCTTAGCTGAGATGGAAAAGCTTACTCTGCCATTTGCTCATTGGCTATTTGAGTGCTTTTACTCCTTTAAGCCCCTCTATATGATACAGTTAAACTTTTTAAAAAGTCTTCTCTTAAAAATGTAACTCTTGGCCGGGTGCAGTGGTAAACAACTGTAATCCCAGCACTTTGGCAGGCCAAGGCGGGCAGATCACTTGAGCTCAGGAGTTTGAGACCAACCTGGCCAACAGAGCAAAACCCCATCTCTACAATAAAACAAAAACAAAAACAAAAATTAGGTGGGCGTGGTGGCACGTGCCTGTGATCTCAACCACTCAGGAGGCTGAGGTGGGAGGATCGCTTGAGCCCAGAAGGTCAAGGCTGCAGTGAGCCCAGGATGTGTCACTGCACTCCAGCCTGGGCAACAGAGTGAGACCTTGTCCCCATCTCCAAAAAACGACTCTTTTATCTTGCAGATTGCCTTCTACAGACTTATACCTCTCAACTGTCCATCTATATGGTGGCCTCTTTCTTGAAGGTATGCCTCACATAGATCTCATGATCTAATCAGTCTCTTCAATCCTCAACAGAAGTCAATGGAAAGGTGAAGCTATCCACTTCTTCTACTTTTGGCTGGCTGCACTTAGAGGGGAAAAAATTAGGTGTACTTGGAATAAATAGATTTTATTCAAAAACAGGCTGACAGCTAATTTATTAAGCTTCCAGTACTGAGTTTTTAAACCAATTACGTTCACAGTCTTTGCAAAAGCAGAAGTTGAAGCATCTAGTATGTATAATAATACCATACAATTCCCATCTCATGGATGGATAAATCAATACATCAAAATATATATTTTGTACTTATGATATGCTTATCTTTGCATTAGATGCTATGGAGAATACCAGAGGTGTAACATAAGCCAAGCCCTGATCTAAGGGAGCTTAAAATCTTTTGGGGGAGACAGAAGCAAAACCAGAAAAGTCAAATAATTATTGAAAGCTATGTATGTTTACCTACTAAAAGATACAGAATAGATTGTAGAGCCTATATAAATGTGGGCTTTAGAAGTGAAAGGATTAGGAGGGAGGAAACAGGAAAACAACATAAGTAAAGACAGGAAGATAGCAAAGCAGAGGTCTTGACTCGGGAAGGGTGAGTGAATTAGCTGGCTGGAATAGAGAGGTTACATGGGTGGACAGGAGGCCATAAGGCTGCAAAGATTATTTGTAGCCAGACTGCAGAGAGCCCTGGGCACCTGGCCAGATTCAGACTTTACAACATAGGCAAGAGGGAAGGGTCTTGAACAAAGAAGTCACACACTGAAAGTGGATTAGCAAAATGAACCTGAGAGTGTTATGTGAGAAAGTCTGGAGATCCAGGCAGATAGACAGATAGGCTAGAAGTTTGAAGACCACATAGACAGCTGCTGTAATACAATTGGCATGAAAAGATAAGAGGTGGTCAATGAAGAAAGCATATGAATAATATGATTATTAGTACTTGGAGAACTGTTTTGACCCTCAAAGACCATAAAGTTAAGCATCATGTAAATAAAATCCAATACAGAAAATATTTCCAACTCCCAACCGACTCTCTGATTTTAAGGTTAATTTTTTAAAATTATAGTACCCCCCAAACAAACAAACAAACAAACAAAAAACAAAAAACTTAAGGTTTTTGTTGGACCTTACGGAGTAGAACCAGATGGTTAGGGGTTGGAGAAAATATCTTTTGAGTTTCATTTAAGTGCTTCTGATTTGTTTGTGTGCATTCCAACTTGGTTTCTATGCCTTCCAGGTGTGCACAGAGGACTAACTCTTTAGGTTAATGAGATTGGAAGTCAAAACTTTATCATTTTTTCCCTTCCTCTTTCACTTTCAAGGTGCAAAGTATTTGCTAAGTCCCTGAGATATACAAGCATTTTCAGAAGGCTTGGACTGGCTCCCTGTTCCCACAAAACAAAAGGTGCTGAAGAGAAAACAGAGGTGTCATTTTATGCAGACATATTCCACTTTACAGAGTAGGTGAGTTCCTGGATGTTTTCCTGCAAAGCAGATTTCTCTATTGAAAGACATTTTCTCAATATTTTTTAGTAAATGCCACATTAGAGATCTGTTCCCTTGGAAAACATTTTGACTCTAAGGAATGATGATCAATTAAGAATGCTGCAAGCCTTTCAATAATGCATATTTTAAAGGAAAACAATCATTTTCTTAGGAGTATTTTTATATCCACTCAAGACTAGTCACAATAGCTGAATGCAAAGTAGTTAGGGTTTGCTTTTGTTTGTTTGGTATTTTTTTGGTTTGGTAGCATAGTTGCAACTTCAAGGCAAGCTTCCTTCCAGCTCCCACGTAAGAGTTCTCAAACCTTACGGCATCCCACTGTCTTCGGTTTTTCACTCTGTTTCTTCACCCAATCATGGAAGCTGCCGTTTTAAAAGAAACAAATTGATTTCCCTTGGTAAAAGGGGTGGATATGGGGATGGGGACACCAGACCCAGAAGAGGCAAGGATTAACAAGATAGGAGTAAATATTTACTGGACCTGTGGACATGGAGAACTTCAAAATTCTCTAAAGCAAGATTTCAGTTTGCAAAACTGCTTCTGGGTTAATAAATTCTAAAACAATGAACAGCCAATTGTTTTTTTCTTAATTTATAAGATATGCTTATATTATTTCTTAAATTGTCTAAATAATATCTAAAATCATAAGATTATTTACAGCCCCCAGAAGTCATTAGTATCTACTCAAAACAGCATGTGAGCTCTTCTAGACAAATGGGTATTTATCTTATCCAGTGGAATCTCCAAGAGACAGATTTCAGAGTCTCTTGTAGTGTGACACGTTCTAGTTCCTATCAGTCCAAACAGAGCACCTGATGGGCTCCTGAAACCTACTAGCAGCCAAAATTACTCCTGATCTTGTAGCAAACAGACCTCAAATTATGAAGATGACATATGGCAAAGACTCAAGAAATGGAAAAGTTGGAAGTGCCTTAACATGAAGTAGGAAGGGACATGGCGCACATCATCTCACCCTTTCATTGTAGGGATTGTTGGGTTGGCCGCAAGAGCCTGTACCAGTGTGGGAGTAAACAGCACATAAATAACAGGAATCTTTCCCATATATAACAGGATCTCTTCCCACAAAAGGAGGTCAGCTGGAAGAACCAGCTTATCTGAGTTAGAATGTTAACTATCACAGGAAGGAGGCCAAAAACAAAATACAGATTTTTGCATGTCGAAGTGAAGGTTCACTGTTATAGGCTGAATGGCGTTTCTAAAAAATTCACGTCCTCACTCCCAGTACCTCTGAATGTGACCTTATTTGGAACTAGGGTAATTACAGGTGTAATTAGTTAATGTGAGGTCATACTGGAATAAGGTGGGCTCCTCATCCATTATGACTGGTATTGTATAAAAAGGGGGACTTGGCTGGGCACAGTGACTCATGCCTGTAATCCCAGCACTTTGGGAGGCTGAGGTAGGCAGATCACAAAGTCAGGAGTTTGAGACCAGTCTGGCCAATAAGGTGAAACCCCGTCTCTACTAAAAATACAAAAAAATTAGCCAGGTGTGGTGGTGTGCGCCTGTAGTCCCAGCTACTTGGGAGGCCAAGGCAGGATAATTGCTTGAACCCAGGAGGCAGAGGTTGCAGTGAGCTGAGATTGCACCACTGCACTCCAGCCTGGGTGACGCAGCGTGACTCCATCTCAAAAAAGAAAAAAGGGGCAGGGACTTTATAACACAGACATGCACACAAGGAGAACGCTACGTGAAGATGAAAGCAGAGATGCAGGTGAGGCAGCAGACACTAAGAATGCCAACGTTTGCCACCCAGCCACCGGAAGCATGGAAGAGAGGCATGGAATCGATTCAGAAGTAATCCTTCATGCTGACAGCTTGATCTTGGGCCTCTAGCCTCCAGAACTGAGACACTCGATGTCTCTGTTTCAAGCTACCCACTGTTTGATGCTGTGTTATGACAGCCTGAAGAAACTAACACAGTCCTCAAGCATCATGCTACTTGCAGTGAACTGCAGAGAGCCATTTCTTTTCTGTGTTTGACATTAAGATAGGCAATTTTGAGGTGGTGCTGGTACTTAGGCCATTTTCTTTTGCCTTTGCTCAACTCTTTATGAGTTAGTGGCAGATGATGTCAATAGTTCACACTTAGAGGAGTGTTCTCAGTATGCAGAACATCTCCTTGGCAGGAAAGCACAAAGCCACAGTCCTGTCTGCTTCTCCAGGCCCATTGTATTTGCCACTCCCAAGCCCCCACATTTGATTCAGATCCATCTCAAACCCCAGGGAAATAGAGAGTGGCATGCAGTGAGTGAGGCAGAGCTACCTGTCCCATCCACAGAAGCCAGGGAAAGATGGCCGGGCTCCAGCCTCAGCTTTAGGCACAGCTCCCCAAAGGTGTGTTGGTGCTTTTGTGTTAGTCCTTCATCCTGGAGTTTTCTTCTTCATCTAAATGCTAAAATACTGCCTCCCGTGGGAAGTCTTCCAAGATTTCTCTTAGCCTGAACAACAGCTCATCTTTTGGGTCCCAGTGCACTATCAGTGAGTGTTAATTCTTGTCTGTGTTTCTCACACAATGGAACACACTTGAGAGCAAGTACCAGCCTTTTTTATTTCCACTTGCACCTAGCAAAATTTTTCCACAAATTTAAAACAAAGTAAGTGCTACTTAACTAAATAATAATTTCCCCTGGAATCTCCTAATATCAACCTATTCCATGAGGGATCATTTAGAAATGCCCTTTAGGAATCCATATAAACATAACATTCTGAAAATTTTCATAAAATATCTGAGGCAATTAAACTATAACAGCTTTGTGTTAGAACTTCAAATAATTTCTAAGTGACTGTATTTTTTTCTGGATTGTCTTGGATGTTTGCTTTGATATCTCATATTTATTATAATCTTTCTTCTCATTTGAAATCAAAATTCATTTGTTACTAAAAAAAAATAAGGGCAAAACCTCAAATCCAAACACCTCTCTTTTAGAGTGAGGTGGTATGGCTCCCTGAGGAGTTTCTAGTTGGCTAAAGTTGTGTAACATTCTATCTTCTCTACAATCTCCAGACATGCCTACAAAAAAAAACAAAAAACAAAACACATAAAACAAACTGCAGACACAAAATGTACCTGGGTCAAACTGAATCAGTTTAGATGGAATCACGGTGAAATCTTTTCCAACTGCAGCTGACACTTGGTTGACCTTAGGAGGGAAAAAAAAATCTTTTTAAGATAAAAATAAATATTCTACAATAGAGAAACAGCTATTCTCCCTCATACTGGACTAAACTCATGCTCTTAAATCTGTTTTTAATATTAGGTAGGGTTTTTAAAAAAATTATATAAGCCATTTGGGATCCAGGCAACATGCATTTTCCTTAAAGTTGACTTTTTCCTAGGCTAATATCAATGGAAAGGAAAGCTTTTGTTTTGTTTGGTTTTTCCTTTATAAATGATTTAGTTATTGAAGAAAGGAACATGAATTTTAAACTATATTTTTGTCTTTGTTGCAAGCACAATTTTATTACCTTCCTTCTATCCCAATTTGGTTTTAAAATAGTCCCTCAAAAGAAAAGGAGGGAGAAAATTGATGAGGAGAAGAAAAAGCAGGTACCCCTGACAACCCATGTGATGATCTGTCAGCTAGCTTGGAGGTATCCTGCAAGCTCCAGGGCACTGAAAGCCTTTAGACTAGATTAACTCAAACACATCTGGTTCATTTTCCTGTCTGGATGAAGCCATTACTCTTCACAAACATGAAAGGAGAGTTTTGTGGAACCGGAAGACCTGGTGAACAACCAGACAAAGGAGATCCACACCCAAAACCAAGGACTTTCAAGGACCCCGTCAGGTAGGTGTTTTAAAACAACAACAACAAAAATGCCCTAGTCTAAGGAGACTATTGATACACCCCTGCTTCTCAGCTCCAGCCCCAAGACTAAAAACCAAAGAGGCGATTTTAGCGCTCTGAAGTCATGGCCTTGAATTCCACCCAAAGGGTGCCCAAACACATGTTAAGAAGTGTCCTTGAGCCGGCACGGTGGCTCACGCCTGTAATCCCAGCACTCTGGGAGGCAGAGGTGGGTGGATCACTTGAGGTCAGGAGTTCAAGACCAACCTGGCCAACATGGTGAAACCCCGTCTCTACCAAAAACAAAAAAATTGGCCAGGCATGGTGGCGGCCGCCTGTAATCCCACCTCCTGGGGAGGCTGAGGCAGGAGAAGAGCTTGAACTTGGGAGGTGGAGGTTGCAGTGAGCCGAGATGGTGCCATTGCACTCCAGCCCGGGTGATAGAGTGAGATTCCATCTCAAAAAACAAAAAAAAAGTGTCTTTGGCTGATTTGAAAAATAAGTCATCAAATGAGAACCGTGTGCAAGCATTTCTGTTACTTGTGTGTATTTTTTAGATGTTTAAGATGGTCAGGAATGTGGGATAATATATTTCTGTACCTTCTGACAAAAGAATGAAGTGCATAATGAAAAGCTGAAAAATTCCTACTTCTATGGCCTCAGACAATATGTCCATTTCAAATCAAAGGCCCCCTCATATATTAATTGGTTAGCAGTGGAAACATTTTGCTGGAAAAGGGGATTACCTTCCTAAGCTTCCATTTGCTCTTTGTCTACAATGCCAAGGCTCCTCTGGAACCACCTTTCATTGTGAAAAGGCAGCCCATTATACACCTGTATCCACCATATGCTGGAAGTTGCATTTCCCTGCATGGTTCTTGCATGTCCAATTACCTAGTATTTACTACCACTGAGTTTACAGAATCCTATGTGGGAAAAGGAATGGTCTGAGGCAAGGTGGTTGGAGAAATCAGTCAGGTGAAGGTGCACAATTCAAACCAGGGCAATCCACACAGGGTAAAAGCACCACCTCTTTCCCTGCTCCCAGTCAAGCAGCCAAGCTCTAGTGTAAGGCTGCAGGTTGTGCTCAGGGTAGAGTTGTCCTGAAAGACTCTGGGACTGTGCTTGATGAAGGCCTGCACACTCAGCTGGCACGTTTGTTGTGCACTTTCAGCATAAATAAGCATAAGGTTCCATGTAACACCATGCCTCTTCTTTCTACCTGGCAAGGTGAATGGTGGCGTGGCCCAAAACTCCAGCCTAGAGCATATGGTGCTTTCTATGGAGGACGGGAGGATTATTAGAAAACCATCCAGGCAGATTCTTCCTTATTCCATAAGCAATCTTCTGGAAAACTATAGGGCATGCCAAGTTTTCTCCTGTCTTAATAACAAAAAAGTAACCAACAGATCTAGGAAAAAGGACCTGTGTCCACTGGAAAGATAAATACTGAGCCTGGATATGGTCAAATTTATGTTCCCAGGCTTCTGAGAGTGATTTGAGTTCATTATTAAATTGAGACTTAATAGAAATGGCCTTTTCCCCAGAAGCTAATACCAGTGTCTTTTTCATCAGATGGTGGGGGGATGGGGTGGGGGGGAGTCTTTACAGCTCATTCTCCATCATTAGTGTGTACAAGTGTTTCATGCTCTCATTCTCTTGAAGCGCTCTTGTTATAACGACTCCTAAAAAAAATTCTTCAATTCTAGAAGCCATAGGTTGTGCTTCATGGGTCACATCAATGAAAAGAAATAGCAAGTTGACTGATCTAGAAGTGGTTAACTGAAAATTCTTCATATTTCAGGGTGCCTGTATTAGTATATGCTCTCCTAATTTTGTATGGCTTGGACAACTCTTAAGATAGATGGGTTTAAGCTGCCTATTTGCCTCATCAACTGAGCCCATGGGAAGTGACTGAGGTGAATACTAAGAGAAAGCCTCTTGGGACTGAAATTTGCTCTGGGTACCCCACAGAATGTCTTGCATACAACATCTCTTTCTAAAGCAGAGTTCAGCCCAAGTTCACAAAGTTGAATATAGCTCCCTATGAAATAAAACCTCAAAGTCTAAAGAGTTCATAGAAACAAATAACAGCTTTCAAAATTAAAAATGGATTTTAAAAATTAATATCTCAGCCAGGCAAGGTGGCTCACGCTTGTAATCCCAGCACTTTCGAAGGCCAAGGTGGATGGATTGCCTGAGGTGAGGAGTTCGAGACCAGCCTGGCCAACATGGTGAAACCCCGTCTCCACTAAAAATACAAAAATTAGCAGGGCCTGGTGGCAGGTGCCTGTAATCCCAGCTACTCGGGAGCCTGAGGCAGGAGAATCACTTGAATCTGGGAGGTGGAGGTTGCTGTGAGCCGAGATTGTGCCATTGCACTCCAGCCTGGGCGACAAGAGCGAGACTTTGTCTCAAAATAACAATAATAATAATAATATCTCTTGTGCTAGCTTCAGCAACACGTACACTAAAAAATCATATCTCAGAGTTTATGAACTTAGATGATGGATGGAGGGCCAAGGAGGTTTTGTGCTTAGAATCCTCAGAATAGTGGGATCTCCCTGCAATTTGAAATTTCCTTGGTCACTCTGAATTTTTCTAAAAAAAATATAATGAAAGACACCAAAGAACAACATAAGTTTTAGCTTGATAATTTACATTTCAGAGTCATTACCTTTATACCCACAAAGGCCGAGTCCATGGAATATCCCCTTCTGATAATTTCCAAGGGCAACAAACCCACATTCTCACAGACTTCATATTCGGTCTGTGACCATTCAATATGAGACCACTTCAGTTCCAAACTGTGTGTGAAAGGAAAAGAGAAATCATGAGAATGCATAGTATATGCCTATAGGGATTCTCTGCTGAGCGGACTAGTGGAAAAACGTGGTTGATCAACCTACACCAGTGATGGAAATTCCTTAAGACTTATTTGACACATTTTAGTTCACAAAGAATGTCTACTAACATTATCTCATTTGATCCTTACAACAACCCTGTAAGGTAGACAGAGCAAGGATTAGAATTCCATTTCACAAATGAAGAATCTAAGGTTAAAAGGCTGCTGAATGTCTCCCAGATATTTACAACTAAAAGGGGACTCAATCGTGAATGTTTTGAAGGGAAAGGAACCAGCAGTTGTTAAGTTCAAGGAGACATTCCTTTTTGGAAAAGACACTGATAGGAAGTCTTCTATCTTATCATTTAGATAAGGATAATTGGTACAACAAGAACAATTCCAGACAGAGATATTCTCTGAACTTGGGTTCAGTTTAATAACAAAATATTTTTGAGGATGTGCTTGGGAATTAAAATGTACATGTGTTTCATAAGTGTTATTTGTTTCTCTTTCTGTGCATAAAAAAAGGACTCTACTGGTATGAGGCTTGGATGCAACTATATAACTAAATAAACCTGAGAAATAGAGGATAGTCTTTCTTTCCACAATATATTTAGTGAGTCCAACATTTGGTGGAAACTGTCTTCTTTAATCTTCATCTAGAGAGGAACATTTTTTTTCAAAAACAAACAGACAAACAAGCTTCAGAGAGGTTAAGTAACTAACTTAAAGGCAAAAAGTCATGACAAAGCTAATAGCAGAGATGAAATTCAAGCATAAATCTAATGCCAAATCTTCCATCCAACCTCTACCATTTCTCTCCCCAACTGAAGTTCTTTGCGACTCTTTTGTGAGCTCAAGCAGAGCAATACGGTTTTATCTTTACCCAGAAACATTTTCCTTTTTGAGGTCTTGCCTTTTTTTTGCCATCTGTAACCTTACTATAGAGCAGGATAAAAGACACAAGCAACCTTCACTACGATTGTTAACTGCACCTCCATTGTTTTTTATTCAGTTGCCTTTTATTCTAGATTTACAAAATCCTTAGTGGTTGCCTTACTTGTACTTCCCAAACCTCTAGTCAGATTTAGACTCTTTCCTCTTTACTTTTAAGTTTATTTATTATAATTTCTTTCTTTTTTTGTGGAACTAGAAATTCTGGGTGCCACCATATGGAACATGTGTTCACATATTTCACACACTCTCCAGGCTTTCCTGGGGCCATTCATATTAGGGAGGAAGTTTGTCTTCAAATAACCACTGTGTCCACACTGATCATGTGTCATAATCACGTTCTATGGATTAAGCTCACGAGCCAGATAAACTCAACAGTGTAGGTTCATAGCTGAGCATCATGGGCTAGGGGGCAAGGGTAGGGTAAGAGCATGGAATTATTACAGGGGCTCATGAATCTATATAAACATACCTGTTTATTCAGTCAGATTTAAAATTTATTGTTTGAGTTTATTGCTACTTCATATTAATAGAATTTTAAACAAGAAAAGAGGATCCTTGTATTAAAAAAATTGGAAACTTTATGGGTCTCTGATGCAACTGAATTTAAATCTCGCATGAAACAGATCAAGAAACAGAAATAAATGACTACGGTAATCCCTCTTTTTCACAATTTGCTTTCTGAAGGTTTCAGTTACTTGTGGTCAACCGTGATCTGAAAATATTAAGTGAAAAATCCCAGAAACAAATAATTCATAACTTTTAAACATCATGCTGTTCTGAGTAGTGTGATGAAATCTCACATCATCCCCTGCTGTTCCACTTGGGGCAAGAATCATCCCTTTGTCCAGCACATCCACACAGTAGATGCTACCTGCCCATTAGTCACTCTGTAGCTGGCTTGGTTATCAGATTGACTGCCAGCCACAGTGTCACAGTGCTTGTGTTCAAGTCACTCTAATTTTACATAATCATGGCCCCAAAGTGCAAGAGTAGTGATGCTGGCATCCCATGATAGTTGTTCTATTTTATTAGTTATTAATCTCTTACTGTGCCTAGCTTGTACATTAAACTTTATCCTAGCAACGTATGTGCAGTACAGGAAAAAGCACAGTGTACATAGGGTTCAATACTATTTGCACTTTAGACATCTGCTGGAGGTCTTAGAACATATCTCCCACAGATAGGAGGGATTAGTGTGTGCCTAAAGAATTACAAGATAACAAACAACAAGGATATCATAAATGCCAATAGAAATATGTTGCAAAGAATCCCAAAAGGATCCAGTTGAATGAGAAAGAAAAAAAAAGTCAGCAAGATGGATTAGGGGAAAAGAGAGAAAGATGAAATGGGAAGGAAAGGAGGACAGTGGGAAAGAATGAAACAAATACATTTGCATGGATTTCAGCCATCAGTAGGGTTCAAATGAGTTTCAATGTCCAATTCTTCTGAGAATTCATCCATTGCTAATGCTAACCATGACAAGTAAAAATCCATCAATGTCATTCTGTAGATCCTGGTGACCTCAAGGCGAAAAGCTAAATGCAATTTGATTTCTGATCTAAATTCAGAAGGGAACCATTCAGAGGGCTGTTCAGCTTCAAGGTATAAAGGGTCTTACTGTTTGGGAATGTGCATGCATTTCCCTGATGCACCATTTGAATGCTGCATAACGTTTATAGGTCAAGGTGGTCATTACACAATGCTCTATTTTATTTTCTTAAAATTATTCGCTACAAATAATAAAGAGCTATTGAAAAGCCGTGAAATTTAAGCCAGGCTATATATTTTTGAGAAAAATATCTAAATAGCAAAGGACCTGCATACCCACAGAATATGTACAATATATGTTTTGAATGTGATTTTTTTTTTTTTTTTGCTTTTTGCAGTAGTATATTTGAGAAGATCTTTCTACGCAGAGACTGTGATTGCTTAAACTGTACACAAACACCTGGAAGAAAAATAAGAGATGTAGTCAATCACTTGGGAATTTTGCCTGCAAGAAGCCACACAGCTATATGCCTGGCATCATGTAAATGTCCAGATCCAGGAGCCCATGAGAGAAATTCGTAAAGTTCTAGATGTGTAGGTGTCATGTAGATAAGGATTGGTTCATATCTTCCCATTTTAACAGTGCTTCCAGTTTCCTGTCACCATTGAGTGACGCTCATTTTACAGTCAGAACTGTATGCCATGGACACATTTTATGTGTAACCCATGTGGCAATCGCTTCAAGTCATTTAGCAGGAGGGGAAAACTCCCTAAGCCTCTAAGTCAGGCTTTCCCACCCATTTTGGACCAGACAATTCTTTGTTGCGGGAGGCTGTCCTGTGTGGGAATGATGTTTAGCAGCACCTCTGTCCTCCTCGCATTAGATGTAGGAGCACCACTTCCCTCCAGTCACGACAGCCAAAACTGTTTCGGGACCTTGACAAATGCTCCTTGGGAGAAAAGTCACCCCCACTTGAGAACTTCTTCCATATGCGGTTTTAATGTGTTCATCACAATAGAAAAAGCTGGTTCACCTGGAGACAGAGGTTGCAGTGAGCCGAGATCATGCCACTGCACTCCAGCCTGGGCGGCAGAGCAAGACTCCATCTCAAAAAAAAGAAAGCAAAAGCTGGTTCAATGTGAAGATAAATTCGGATCCCTGAAAACCACTGTTGTAAGTGGAAGACATGGCATGGAGCAGTGGAAATAAAATTGGATTTGAACTTGTGAGGCTTCAGGTCCCTCTGTCACTCACCAGCTCTAAGCAGTCAGGTAAAGGAAATGTTGTTTAAACACCCAATTTAAAATCACAATGTCTTTCCCAAACACAGCACTTGCTGATCCCCCTGCTCCTGGTCAAGTTTTTCATTTTTCCAGAGCATGTACCACGTACAGCAAGCATGCTATCACATTGATTTAGATCCTATGTATGCTCCAAGGAAGCACAGGTCTTTGGTTCATTGTGATAACCCAGGTGTCTTGTAGAGCATCTAAAACATGGTGAGTGCTCATTAAATATCTGTTAACTGAATGAATGAATCTTGTTTATCCCACTGTCTCCTGAGCTAAGTTGACCATTGATATGGTTTGGCTGTATCCCCACATGTTGAATTGTAGCTCATCTTGAATTGCAGCTCCCATAATTCCCACATGTTGTGGGAGGGACCTGGTGGGAGATAACTGAATCATGGGGGTGGTTTCCACCATACTGTTCTTGTGGTAGTGAATAAGTCTCACGAGATCTGATGACTTTACGAGGGGTTTCCCTTTTCACTTGGCTCTCATTCTCTCTTGCCTGCCACCATGTAAGACTTGCCTTTTGCCTTCTGCCATGCTTGTGAGTCCTCCCCAACTATTTGAAACTATGAGTTCATTAAACCTCTTTTTCTTTATAAATTACCCAGTCTCAGGTATGTCTTTATTAGCAGTGTGAAAGCAGACTAATACAACCATCGAAAATATTTTTCTCCCCAACCTTACTAACATCATCTGTCACACACTTGGAAAAAATTGCTAGGCTAGATGATCCTCACATGTTTTCTCTAGCCCTGACTTATTCTGGATTCTTTGACTATTGTTAGGCTTTATTAGCATAGAGAGAAAGATGGCATTGATAAATGAGCATTCTAACATAATTCATAATTTCTTAAAACATATGTATGCTATTTTCTAAGGCATGCGTGTAATTCTTAACATTTGGCATTTTCTGGAGATGGTATTCGTTGCCACAACTGGGAAGAGGATGGTGCTGGCCTTCAGCTGAGAGAGGCCTGGGGTGCTGCTGAATGTTCTGCAGTGCTCAGGAGACTCCCCTGTGACACCGAATGGTCTGTTTCAAAATGCCTATAGTGCCAATGTTGAGACACCCGGTCCTGGAGTAATAAATATGTTCTTTCTGATATTTTATTTTCTAGCTACTTGATTCATTTATGATGAAACAAGAAGCTGAAAGAAATACCTGGAGTTAAATCACCAGTTTAGGAATTGGGGCATTAATCCAGGTTAACAAGAGTCTGTGAAAAAGATATTTAGCCTGTCTATGCCTCAGTTTCCTTTCTTCCTATAATAATGTCATTATTACAAAATGCAATAATGATAAGTCTGTACTTCAAAGGGGTTAAGTGAACCTTCATGAATTCTCATTAAGTATTTTGAGCTTCTCAGCAAAAGGTTTACAGAAGCTAAAATTGTGATTAAATTACTATCCTTATAACTATATCTTCATTTATAATCAAGTAGCATGTGACAAGAATTCCTGAAAATGTTAAAAAAATATTTTTTCAAGTATCCAATCTAAGACTTCTCAATTCATAGATGATGCTATTAAACTCCGTAATCGAATGCTATGAACACCTGTGTTTTCATTTTTCTCTTTTTCTCTTGATAATGGGGAAACAGTGTTTAGCCAAGAGGCAGCATAGTGTGCACCCAAAACAAGTGCTTTAGAATCAAGCACACCTTGTAACCACTGATTAGTATGTGATTTAGTGTGTGATTACGGTCAGTTACTCAGTCTCTCTGGGCCTCGGTTTTCATTATCTTAAAAATGAGGAGAATTACACTCATGTAAAATGATTAAAATTAAAATTAGTTAGTATGTATAAAGCACCTGTACACAGTGGGTGCCCAATAAATGCTATTTTCCTTCCCTTCCTCTGTGCTTTCCTAAGATCTAGTCTGAAGACAAAAACCTTAACTCCTGGCTTGCAGGTAATGTGCAGGTATTAGCTAGCCAAACACCTTCCCCTATCAGGTGTTTCATAAAAGCTGCTAAACATTGCAACGTTTGCCTGATGGAAATTCCTTTTAGTCTTCTGTCCCTTCTCTTTTAAAGCCAAAAATGGACAACAGAACAGTTAGAATGTGAGTTGCCAGAGGGAGGTGAAGAATCAGAGTGCAGAACCGGAGAAACAGTCACTGAATTATCAAAGACTTCTGCATTCAACATTGCTTTTGAAGTTCACTTTTCTCCAGTGGGCACAAGAAAGAGGTCCACGTAGAAGCTGTATTAGGAAAACAACTTTGGTCAGAAGTTGGCCACATTCTGTGGTCCACAAAAGTGCTTTTCATGAATGATGTGGGTCCTGTGTAACTTAGTTTGGGGCTTCTGCGGATCATCTTGGAGATTCAACTTGGACTAGAAAACAGGCACAAGCTTGTCAAGGGGTGCAGCCAGGGGGTGAGGCAATAAGATGCGCACTCACTTAGGTCTGGAGGTCAGGGTTCACTCTCCAGTGACTTCAGGATAATTACTTAAAAGCCTTGAGCTTTATTTCCTTATCCTCAGAGGATTGTGTTTTGCAGATAAAATTAGACAACTCATGAAAACACTTAGCACAGTGCCTGAAATGTAGGCACTTAGCTAAATCTAAATCTTTACGCAAATTTCCAAGGATATCAGCATTATAAAATAATTTCTATTTACAATAAAGTGACTCCCAGATGCATTCCATGAAAAATTGGTTCCCTGAGCTATTCTGCCTGTGTGTGGGGTGGCAGGTAGAGAGAGGTGATTCTATAGCCCAGTTGGGTTGAGGTTTGCTGCGTAGGCTTCATTTCTGAGAGATTCCCAATCCACACGCACATCTCGATGATTCCAGGATGTGATGCAGTTAAACAAGCACGCAAGCTAGCTAGCTGGCAGTAACTTGATGAATCTCACGAAACAAGCATTTCCTAATGCTTTTTAGAGTGGAGCATCTATTCATCCTTCAGGACTCCACAGGAATCCTGCAATAGCCAAAACTGACCAACAGTCAAGATTCTGAATTTTCCACTGAACATGGGTCCTTCCCGTGCTCTAAAACAGGTCCATTTCTGTTCCAGATGGCACCCCGCAGTCCCTTGAGCTTTATCACAGAGGTTTCACCCCTTCAAATATGGGGAATATGAATCTATTAATCCTGTCTAAGCCAAAGAACACCACAAAGTTCCACAGCGTTTAGCTCATTGATTAATATGCATATTGACTGTTCACTTTGTGATTCATCCCAGGATCAATTTCTAATTAGAGGCAGGCTTTCTAATCCACCAAATGTTTCCGGGATACTTCTTCAGTCAATTATTGTACCTACATGAATTAACTACAACAGTAATCACCACAAGTTGCATTTGTTAAGGAGTTTAAATACACAAGATGCTTTCATATACGTTACACATTTCTTTTGTTTTTCTAAACAAATTGTAGTATCGCTCCCATTTTACAGAAGAGATAACTAAGGCTTGAACAGTTACTAGATGAAGGGCAGAGCCAAAGCTCAAACCTTGTCCTCTAGCTCCAAGTTCGGTGGTTTATTATCTATAGTATAAATTCTAGTGTGTTAGATACGAAGTGCACACTAATATAGAGATCTATAATGTACATGTTAAAAAATCCCACTGAACTTTAAGGTCCTATATGAGTAAGTATTCCTTCTTTCTTGCTTGGGTGGCCAATGTCTGAAGAGAAAG
Organism: Homo sapiens; assembly: GCF_000001405.40. Lineage (NCBI taxonomy): Eukaryota > Metazoa > Chordata > Mammalia > Primates > Hominidae > Homo > Homo sapiens. The sequence goes on from NC_000009.12 coordinate 14,767,335, forward strand.
AAGAAGACAAGTCTGGTGTTCCATTCCCTTCAGGCCAGATTAGCACAGTCCTTAAAATGGGCAAGAAGTTCTTCAGTGTGCTGAGAAAAATCATGCACTCTAAAGCTGCATTTCCACTTAGAAAAGTCACTTTCTAGCTCTGTCCTCAGTTTTCTCATCTGTAAATTTCAGATTATGATGGTACCTGACTCATAGGTGGTTCTGATGATTAAATGAATAGCAATGAAATAGAGCAAACACCAATTATATTGCAAATGGCTGTAATTTATATTGTACCTGTAACTACGTTCTGCCTGGCTGTCTTGGGAAGATGAACCACTATTCATAACCTTGCTTTTTACTGGAAAATTGTGCACCTAGTTCCAATAACATCTGCTTACAAATGGGGTTGAGGACAACTATACCGTTCAAAAATGATGATGATAAATGCTGAGTAATTTTACCCCCCCATCGCTTATAAAGAAAATAGCCTAATATATGTCAGAACCAAATAAAACTTCTCTCTATATTACCCCTTGGTAGGCATATGCCACAGCATTTTGTTCAGTCATGAACAAATGAACAAATTACGTCAAGTTGAACTGGAAACATCTCCAGCACAGACACATGAAAGTTAATAGCCAACAAAAGCAGGAGGATATTTAAATGGCCTCATTTAAGGTTATAATTAAATTAAGCAAATTTTGCTGTAATTCTCATATGAATTTGAGAGTATATTTAAAAATATAAATCATCTTCCAAAAGCAATGTCCTTGATAGTGACAAAGATTGAAAGGGGCTATGGGTGAAGCAGTATCAGCCTAGCATCATTACTGGGGGAAGAAAATCCTCTGTCAGCTACACTGCGCTCACACATGGAGGACAAGAGGTGAGCATTAGGTCAGTAGCAAGTCTGATCAACATTCCTATGTTTTCTTACTTGAATTATTTTTAAAATGTTAAAAAAAAAAAGTGAAGTCCACGTATTAACATTTTTGGAGCAGGTTTTTTTTTTTTTTTTTTACATTTTCTTGAGAATTGGAAGATATTTGTCTGACATTGCAAGTACTTGACATATTTTCCCATAAAGATTGTGATCCTGGGAATTATTTGTCTTAGGCAAAGACAGTTTAATGGGTGGAGGTCATATGTTTTACATTTTGTAATCTCGAGATTACATTTTAATATCACGGGCCAGGTCTACTTTGCTCTAACCTATTCCCCAGCTCCTAGTACTGTGCACCTGGCATATAGTAGCCACTCGATAAAAGTCTGTGGAGTTAATAAATCTGGGCCAGGCTCTGCATTTTATCGAGGCAACGGAGTGGGACGCTGGGAATGTGTTTTGCTAAGAAAAGGAGGCTAGCTTTTTTCTGACAATGACTACTGTGACCTCTGCTGGTCAGATTTTAGAACTACAATTCAGGATCCAAAAGAAAATGCAAGAATTCTGAAGACTGCAGAGGAGTTTCTCAGCTTTCTTTTCTTAATCTATACTCCATCATAAAAGGAGTATAACAGAGCACAGAGCTGTATCACTTATGATGCTTAGTATGACTAGGATATGGTGACTACTAAAACAAGGATAAGTGAACAACTTTTCTTTGGGGTTTCTGGGAGGGTATCAAAAACAAACAAACAAAATGAACAAACAAACAAACAAAAAACAGCACAGTACCAGAATAACTGGACTCTGACCGACCTTTCTATGACTATCTGTTAGCTGGTAAGATATTCAAGGTCTACATTCAAGAAAAGTCTAGAGTAGGGACCCAGTCAGTGAAATTGCTGTGGTCTGTTAATCTCGTTAATTTTGAAGATTTGTTACTCTTGCTATTTTGAGGGTCATACCCTTTATATACCTTCCAAAGTCTAGTTTCCTCTTTACATTATATTTGTCTTACATGGGATAAGTTTATCACCTTATAAACATACTGTCAAGTAATTGTAATTTTCTTCATAAGAGAAAGAGAAGATGTTTGGCTAACTCTTCTTGACTACCTCATTTCCCCGACTGCAGATATTTTAGAAGGCTATAGTTGCTAACACGGTCCTAGAGTGACCTCTTGCTGCACAATTGCTACATGAACCTGCAAACTCAGTGTTGGATGCTAGTGAATTGGTAAGACAGAACCCTCCCTGTGTATAAAAGTGTGTACCTTGACATGCATAATATGAACGTCAACTTAGCTTTTTAATGTTTCTGTACTCTGTAAAGCTACTGGCTTTCCTATTTTCAAGCAGTAATAAAAAGAAAATTCATTCTCCAAAATAAATTCCATGAGCTTGTGAAATGGTCTATTAATTTATCTTCTTGGGTTCTGTTTTAAAAAGAACATTTCACTTTCCTAATATTCAGATACATTATGGATGTAACATATAGGACTACTGAATAAGCAAGAGAATTTACATTTGAGGAGTGGCCGAGTTCCCTGTGGGGTCCATGATTTGAAATTCCACGGTATCTGAATTTACTTCCAAAGATGGGTTTATGATGTAAAGAATAGTCTTACTGTTTAAGTCCTTTTGGCTAAATTTCTCATGGATAAATTCACCTAAAAAAAGAAATAAATGAATATCATGGGTAATCAAACAAAACATTAAATAAAAGCTAATAAAATTGTATGGCTATTTTATTTTAAACACAGCTTTAAAAAACAGCTAAAGTACATTTTAAAACAAGAAATTAACATTACTGTAACTATCTTAAAACTCAAATGCAGCGAGCTTAAATTAGGCATTAAGTTGACTGCTTCAGAAATATTTGCCTTAAAAAAATGAAAATAAAGAGAAGGAGAGTAGAAAGATACAGTAATAAAAATCTGTAACTTGGTGCCATCCTGTTTAATGATGTATTATGATCATTGTGCTCATAAAGTAGAAATAATATACAATCCAGAGAATCCATTAGGAAAAAAACCAAGAACTTTTAAAAAAAGATCTGACATCATTTAGAGTCATTTAGAATTCATGACAGAATAAAAAATTAGTCACAAATAGGAAATTTGGTCCTGATATTATGTTCCTTTGAATATATTATAATCAGCTGTTGAGAAAAAAAATATAAATAAACAGTTGTATATCAGTATTTGGTTCTTCCAGTCAGGATAAATTTAGGAAGGCTCAGCTTCAAACCCTCTTTAGGAGCAATATTGATTTATAAACTGCATCTATCAGTAAGCCCTGGGGAGTGTTTACCAAATGGGCCTGCACTTAATTAAATTACTCTCTAGCCCTGCCAGCCACTGGGTATTTTAAAATGGCAATTGTAAGGATTAAGGAGGCCAGTACCTGTTGTTGTGTTCTCCAGATGTCCATGTTTTGGGCCTTGTAGAATTTTAAAGATGATCTGATCGTCCTCAGTGTCAGGGTCTGATGCCTTCAACACGCGGGAAGTGATGTAAATCCCGTAGCAGCCATTTTTCAGGAGCCCCACTTGAGAAGGGGAATGCAAGAGTGTGATACGAGGAGCTGTTTTGTCCAATTGGTCTACCTGGATCATCAACAATGACATAAAATGTTGTCCAAAGGCCCCTCACCCCCATGCAACGTTGGGCTTTATTGGTTCAACAATGACACACTGTCCCACGTTTTGGATTCCTTATACTCCTCACTAGTGGATTCCTGCTAAAGACAGTCCTGTTCACAACAGCCTCAGCAAATATCACAGTGCTTGGAACAGAGGCCAATTTTCCACTGTAAACCTTGACTCCACTTTATCAATTTGTCTATTGCTTGACTGCCACTTAGGATACAAGTTCCGAGAGGGCAGGCGTCAGGTCTTTCACCGCCATGGATTCCCTGCACTTGGCACAGTGCCTGAACCATAATAGAAGCCCAGGGAATGTCTATTAAATGAATACACTAAAATTGACCCAAGAATTCTAGAGCAGACTTCATGTTAACTCCACAGAAGAACTTCTCCTATTTTCCTGGTATTTAGTGATTTACAGACACAAAATTGTGAGGGTTTACAAATATATAGAAATTTTTTTGGCATGTCTTTTTTCAACTGGCAAAAATGTTGAATAAAAATAGAGATACCTCAGTAAGGAAAAAGTGAAAGGTGATTATTTCTAGACATTTGCATATTTCTTTCATTGAAGATGAGAGCCAGGTAGCTGAACAGGTGGACCAGATTTGTGAAGATGGTGGATGACATCTTCACAACCTACACTGTAGGTTCAAACACAACAAAGGACCTCGTTCAGTCTGTACGGAGCTCAGTGCATCTTGCATTTGCAAGATGACTGTTGTAGGTTATGGATGGAGCAGGTTTGGATGGATTAGAACAGATCCACCACTGATACTAGAAAACATGTACAAGAATCTTCATTCCCCTCACTCCTAATCTCTCGGTTCTTAATTTCATTTACACCAACCTGATACTACTGTAAATCTTAGTTTGCCCTAGCAAAGTAAAGAATTCTTGTCAATGATAAGACCATGTATATTTTTGTGTATTATGATACAATGAACTACTCTGTAGCTATTCAAAAGAATAAGGGAGAAAATGAATTGATGATGAAAAATTTCCACAATTTTGTGTTAACTGAAAAACCCTAGCAAGTTGCAGAATAGAATTCGAATATAATTATAATACTATTTTTGTTAAAAATATATATTTATCTATACATAATGTTTGTATAGACATAGGCAAAAATCTGGGAGCATTTGCACAAATGTGTTCATTTCTTTTGGGGTGGGGAAAGATTACAACTCCTCCTCTGTTTATTTCATGAGAAATTTTGTCACAACCAACCATTTTTTCCTCTCAAATTGGCAAGATTCTTAAAAAAAAACAGAAATAATTATAACTCATGATGATAAATATGTGAAGAAACAGATATTTTTATATTTTGCTGGTAGGGGTGCAAAACAGTGAAAATTTTTCTGTATCTTGCAGAAACAGATATGTATGCAAAAATGATTAGATATATATTCACCAAAATACTATTTATAATAGCAATTTACAAAAGGAATGAAAAGTCCACCAGGGGATTTATAAACCATCTCGACCTGAGACTGAGTTCCATGCAGCCTTTAAAAATCATGTTATCAGGAATATGATTAGTTATCAAGAACTATCAGGAATAGTTAATGACATAAGGAAATGTTCATAACACATGAAGATGGAAACAGGCAATATGCATAAAAAATAGTATATATAATATCATCCCATTTCTAATTGAACAAAATAAAAGAAAGCCACCAACAATAGGTTTTTGAGTGGTATGGTTGTCAAGAATTTTTTTTCTTGTAGTTTATGAATTATTTACAATACATAGTTATTTTATAAACTGAAAAAGCAACTGACATTTTCAAAAGTCACAGTCATTCTTCTCCTCTCCTGAAGAGTATGGGTGGCAACTTTCAAAGCAATGAGATTGGGTATTAAATTGTCATTGTGGCCCGTGAGGGAAGAAGCTCCCACAACCAAGTGGCCAGTAAGAGAGATGGTTAGTGGAAGAAGAGGAAAATTAAAGTACTTCTAAGCCATATAAGAAATACCCAGAGTTGATACTAAATGAATAGTTGAATGTAGATGGTTGTTTTATTTTGGTTTTGGATGTTATAATTCCTTAAAAATGAAAGTGTTACAAAAGTAATAAATGCCTGTCGTGATCATGTGTTTTTAAAAGGACATCTAAACTCTAGCAACACGGTCCCGTCATGTCTCTGGTCACATTAAAATATATCCTAGATCTTATTCAACTTCTAGCTTTGTCAAAAGTAGATCTTCTGGCTTAGTATCCCAGAAGCATTTTTAAATATTGGGTTGCAAGATTTTTTTTTAAAGAAAGCTCTGTCCCCTGATAACTTGTGTTGTATTTACAGAAAATGCACAGAAAGCAATGGCATCACATTTTTCTCGCTCACCTGACCCCTTTAAAGGAGAAGTACAGGTTGCATCAGTTGCAATAATCTTGGTCAGACAGAAAAGATTTCCTACCAAATGAATGTCAGGTTGTGCCTGCTGGTATCAGTCAAATACACCTGTGTGTTGCAGCAGTTTTGCCCTCAATTACTCAGGTACCACCAGAAGAATAGTTTACCCATAGTTGGGAGACTTATTTGGGACAGTTTATCACTCAACGGTGATCAACATCCATATTGTCTTGGCAGAAAAAGCTCTTGAAGGCAAGACACTGAGTGTCATCTCTCCTACACTGCTGGTGGGGTCAGTCACTTTCTAAAGCCTCTTGACTTCTCTGCTCAAAGAGACTGAGGGTTCTGGGGAATTATGGGAGGAATTTTGAAGCTTACCTTGTGGGGTTTTTACACGTAATGATTTTTTTTTTTTTTTGCAAGGAAAGCCTTATACTTTTGACAAAAAAAAAGAAACTTTACAATATATGTCCAACATTTTCCTATCAGTAAATTCCACAACTTCCAATAGATAACTCTCTTACAATAGCCATGCTCTTTAAGATGAGTGTTGGTGTTGGGAAAGACCTGATTCAAGTTCTGGTACTTTCCCCAATCTCCATCCTCTTTTCCATCTGTGCTATGGAGTGTAGGAAGGAACTCTAACATCTGCACTCAGAATTTAGAATTCGTATGAATTTGCAGCCAAAGAGACCCAGAAAAGTATCCCTGGTTGGACAGTACAGAGACTGGTATCAACCTAGGTTAGGGGAGTTAGGAATAAAAAAAAGACACTAACAGACTGAAAAGGGAAAGTGACTAAGATCAATTAAAACATATGATAAAAATAAAAACAATAATTTTAATACAAAGTGCTTCTTACTGTGTTCACGATGTCAATATCTTCTTTCTTCTCCCAGTGCATTATCATTTCTTTGCATTTTTTGGACCTCCTGACTGCCAAGGACTCATCCAGCATCCACTCTATGATCTCAAGACTTCCCTCATAGATAAGAGTCTGTGAGGCTTCATTTCATGTGTCAACTTTGCAGGGTGTGTATTAGATGGGATTACGTTTACATCAGTACATTTTGAGTAAAGAGATCACCCTCCATAATGCAAGTGGGCTTCAACCAATCAGTTGTAGGCTTTAAGAGAAAAGACTGAAGCCCCCCAAAAAGGAAGGAATGTTGCCTCCAGACTGCCTTTGGGCTAAAGATTGCAACGTTAACTCCTGCTGAAATTTGTAGCCTGCCAACGTGCCCTGTGTATTTCGGACATGCCAGGCCCTAAAATTGCATGAGCCAATGAGCCAATTTCCTAAAATAAATCTCTCTCTCTCTCTCTCTCTCTCTCTCTCTCTCTCTCTCTCTCTCTCTCTCAGAGCAAGGAAAAATGTAACTATTTTACTAGTCAGAAAGTATTCTGAAGTGAGAGATAAATTTTATCTATTTTGTGTTTGGTGTGAGTGTGTAGAAGAGGGTGAACTACTTCCAAGGAGAGTAGATTCAAGGGTTTGAGAGCCAGAATATACTTGATGTGTTTTGACTTAAAAAAGAAAAACACATTATGCCCTCCAGGAATCCTTGTAACAGTCAACAAATGTGGCAGTGTAGTGTCATAGAAAGGACACAGAATTTGGGATCAGAAAGACTTGAGGCCTTTGTGTGTATTTGATCAAATTATTTAACTCCTGAACTTGTACCCTCATCTATAAAATGTAAATAACAAAACTTGCTTCATATGAGTTTTATGAGAATCAAATAAGATTTATGTGGAGTGGGTCTAGCTTGCAGTTAACACTAAAGGAACTGCAATTGCTGCTATTATTACCCTCATCATTATTATATGTGTAATAGTGTAAAGATGCTGCCTTGTAAGTTTCAACATCAAATATGTTTCAGGCCATATACTACTGCTTTGGATACCTAATCCTACTGAATTCTCACCACAATGCTGTAGGCATGTTTTTCAAAGAAGGAAAAGTAGATTCAGAAGAGTTAAAGAACTCTTTAAGGTCAGACGGCTAATACATTGCAAAGCAGAAATTCAAAGCTAGGTCTGTCTGACTCCAAAGCGTGTGGCTTTTGCTCCTTTCTGTGCTACCATCAACACTCACGGTCAGTCATTAGCACCTATGAGGGGACCATATCTCTTTCATTCATATTAATATTGCTGTTTTGCTGTAGATGCATAATCTGTACTTGAATGAAAGAGGAAAAGAAATTAAAAAATAGTTCTTGGCCAGGCGTGATAGCTCACGACTGTAATCCCAGCACTTTGGGAGGCCGAGGCAGGTGGATCATTTGAAGTCAGGAGTTCGCCACCAGCCTGACTGACATGGTGAAACCGTGTCTCTACTAAAAATGCAAAAAAGTTAGCTGGGCATGGTGGCACATGACTATAGGCCCAGCTACTCAGGAGGCTGAGGCAGGAGAATCGCTTGAGCCCAGGAGGTGGAGATTGAAGTGAGCCAAGATCACGCCACTGCACTGCAGCCTGGGTGACAGAGAGAGACTCCCTCTCAAAAAAAAAAAAAAAAAAAAAAAATTCTCGATGTCACTGTTTTCACATCTCTGGCAAATGAACTGTGTTTTTCATACTTGCCTGAATGGTGAATAAAACAGGTTCTTCCCACACTCTCCCATTCACAATAAAGCCTTGGTTTGTCCCATCTGTGGCCATGAAAGTAAAGCAGTCAGTCTGGGAGTCCCCTCCTGAGTGCCGATAGGCCACATTCTTGCTGTCCACATCCTGCTGGGTGAAATTGTGTTGAAGTAGCCCTGTCCCCCACAGGTAGAGCTGGCCATGCTGGGGGAGCTGAACCAAGAGGAAGGTGAGGTTCTCCGCAGGTGTATCAGGGTCGGTCAGCTGAAGGAGGTCAGGGGAAAGCAGGCCCACGGCCCCTTGGGCCAGTCTCAACCCCTTGTTCCTGGTTACCACAGGCAGGGCTCTGTCCACAGTCTCCAGTGTGATCTCAAACACCCCGTGCTCGGTCCGCAGTCCATTGCTGATGATGAATCTGGTAAAGAGAGGCAAGGCAGCCTTCAGCATGGATTCTTGTGTCACCATCTACTGGAATGAAATGATAACAATACACACCTTTACTAAAGGGTATTGTCGTGTTGTGACTCAAATGAAAAATCAAGGGCAGATCTTGCAGAAAAATCCCTATCATTAAACCAGTCACTAGAGTAATGCATAAATGGACCATTCTACACCCAAGAATATTTTCCCAACAACATTAATGACAGACCCATGTGATGGAACAGGGAAATTCTGACAATCATATTTCTCAGGCTCATCAGTGCTTAATGTGGTTCCTTGACGCAAATAAAAATTTCACATCCAATGAGACTCATCATACAAATTTGAAGAGTATACCCCCTTTATTTATTTATAATTTTTCAATTGTTTTTTTCTTCATTGGTGTGTAATAGACTAAAGTTGTAAGTCTGACAACTGGGAGGCCAATACAATAAAGTGCTAAATGAGTTGAATTTAGCTAATTCATTCTACTCATACGTTTTTATGGTAAATTTCTTAATAGCAGATCACATTTCTCAGACATGTAATCTCACTTAAATCATCTTCCCCTTCCAGGCCTCATTTCCATGGCTCTGAAAAATGAAGGGGATGGACCAGAAGATCATTAAGTACCACCCAACTCTAAAATATGACGGGAGGCTCTAATCTCTTATGGTTTACATGTGCTTCTGCACTTTCTCCCCCTATAAGACAGATGAGAGTTATGCTACACAAGGATTATTTTCCTGCTTCAAAGAAAGGTTCACAAAGTTGGTGGGAGATCATAAGGGCAGGTAGGAGATGAAGCTGAGACTAGAATGCAGGTCTTTTAATCCCTGCACCCACTACTCTTGCAGAGTTTAAAACAAATTCTGGTTTAGCAATCCACCACAAAAGAGTTGTGGTGCCTGAGCACCATTGCAAAACTATAAAAAGAAAGCTGAAATGATACACATTTGAGACAAGCAAAATCTTTCTTACAGTCTTAGGTTTGTGATATCTTAATGTGCTTTTGATTCTATTGATCATGAAATCACATTCTACCTACTGAAGCCAATTTCACAATAACACTGATTTAAATGATCTTTGTAGCATTACAATATGTAATTTTTATTTCAATAAGATTAAGAGTATCATGAAATTATGCAAACAAGGCACAATATTAAAACTCCAAAAAGTTAGGAAATCGTTACTATCCAATGGGACTGACAAATTCACTGTACACCAAAGAAATGTACTTAGAAATAATCACAGAATTGTGCCTTGTTAGCTTTTCTCCATGTACCATAGTTGCTGGAAATATTCGTAGAGGATGCACTCTTCTATTCCACCGATACAAAAACCTCTAAAACTAATGCTTTCGTAGAATGTATAAACTATACATAACATTTTTATGTATAAATTTTATATACATATATAAATTGTATATTTTCTTTGGAAGTTCTTTTTTAACTAGAGAAGGTATGGCATTTATATTTATTTTACAAATCTGGCAGATTTGACTAACAATCCCTTTATTCTTTGTGAAATGTGTCTTGTCCTTCAGGGTTTGAGCATTGATCCTTTTGAGCATGAAGAAACCTGAAGCTATTAGATAGTGTGAAAGCAACGAGTCAACCAGCCTGCCTGCGACCACGGACTCAGGGAGGGCAGTTAGACAAAAAGTAAAAAGAGATGAGTTTGGCTGAGTACTGATATTGCTTTGAAGGCTATGCTGAAGTTTTTTAGTTTTCTAATTATCTAGTTAATAAGACTGTTGACAAGGAAAATATATCTGATTTGATGCAAAGAAAAAGAAATCTATGTCCAAAAAGTTAAAATTGCTAAGTGAAATACAACAAATAAAGTAAATTTTGACATTTCACACACCTCGACTTGTAAAGAATGAAACCTCATACATTTCCCCCACAGCAGCATTTTTTACACCTTGAATAAAGGTATTCAGTTACCTTTAGAATTATAGATTGAGCAAAATCACATAATTTTCTCAAAACAAACCAATCAGTTTTCCTTTCATAAAATTAAACCTTTGATAAGTATATTTTTAACAAATTGGGCAATTTCATTACTGGATCATGAGGCATTTATAAAAATCAATTATTTATTAAAAAAAATAAAAGAGGCTGGTGCAGTGGCTCACACCTGTAAACCCAGTACCTTGGCTGGCCAAGGCGGGCAGATGGCTTGAGTCCAGGAGTTCAATATCAGCCTGGGTAACATGGCAAAACCCTTTCTCTACAAAAAATACAAAATTTAGCTGGGTGTGGTGCGTGCCTGTAGCCCCAGCTACTAGGGAGGCTGAGGTGGAAGGATCACTTGATCCTGGGAGGTTGAGGCTACAGTGAGCCATGAACGTGCCACCGCACTCCAGCCTGGGCAACAGACAGAGAACCTGTCTCAAAAAAAAAAAAAAAAAAAAAAAGAGGAAAGGAAAGGGAGGGAAGGGAGGGGAGGGAGGGGAGGGAGGGGAGGGAGGGAAGGGAAGGGAAGGGAAGGGAAGGGAAGGGAAGGGAAGGGAAGGGAAGGGAAGGGAAGGGAAGGAAAGGAAAGGAAGTCAGGCGCGGTAGCTCACGCCTATAGCTTGGACACTCTGGGAGGCTGGGGTGGGTGGAGCGCTCGAGCTCAGGAGTTTGAGACCAGCCTGGGCAACATGGCAAAAGCCCATCTTAAAAAAAGAAAAATAATTTTAAAAAAGAAAATAAAGGAACCTAGAAAAATATGTCTGTTCTTCAAACTTTTTACTTAGTCACCTTCACAGTTTCAAAAGTAAACTGATATACATTTTTAGGTATAAAATTATGCTTTATTTCTCAGGCAGAGCCTGAGAACAGAGTTATGCCTTTATTCTATTGTTTTTCTGTTACTTTTTCATATTCCCCCCAGATCCTATCATCTGACCCACAATAAAATAGGAAGGAGGCTAGGTGCTCCCTCAGTGCCTCCAAGTTCCCTTTTTCCCATTTTCCCCCTCCAGAAATATGTTTCACACCTCTCATTCTACCCTGTTTCACATTAAACTGGCTCTCTGTTCCTTACCAGATCCCTGTATCAAGTGTGCTCTGTGGAGAGTGTTAAATCAGCCATTGGTACCTTAGCGCAAATATAAGCCAAAGGACGTGTATTTTTAGCATTAGCATTAATTGTAGAGCTATAGACATTGTGCACTATTAAAAGTATGTCAAATATCAGCAGAGAAGGAAGAAGAAAGAAGGGGAGAGATGGGACCAGGAGCAACAAACCCAAATGCAAGCTTGAGTGAGTGCCAGGGACTCCATCAGAGGCGGCCATCTTGAATATCTAATTCTGACTTTCCTCCCTGCAGACTGAATTGCAAGAATGCCTGACGGGGTCCTCAAAGCTCATCTCAGGACGGCCACATCTACTCGATGCGTGCATGGCCTCTGTGAGGTCACCGCAGTTGTCTTATGATCCAGGCTGTCCATCTCAAACCCCTCCCTGCTGGAAGATCGTGATCTGCCCACGTTGGAAACAGGCAGCCTGCCATCAGACAGATGGGAGTGAGGGCACGCGGGCCACAGACCACAGAAGAGTAAGAAATATGTTTTCTGAGGCCAGCGCTCCTATCTGGGACACCAAGGCAGCTGTCAGTGCTGACCTAAAGCTAATAGGCCAGGGGTGAAAATGATGCAATTTCTAAACATGACTGGATCAAATAACATCATTCCACTTTCACAAGTAACAGTGCAAACTACTCACAGGCAGAGAGACATCATCAGAGAGAGGGACAGAATGAATGGTTACGGTTGAGTTCCCAGTCAAAATAAAGCTAGCAGTACACGTGAAAAAAGGTCAGTGCTGTTCATGTCTGGAAAAGCTGATCAATCAGATGGTCTTCCAAATACCCCCTCCCCTAAATCCTCCAAATACATTCTCAATGTTTAAAACCATAAAGCCATTGCTATGTTGGTATCCATTCTGAGGTGAAGAAGTTGGTGGTAGCAGCTCCTTCTGTGGATCCATTTTGTTTAATTTCCCTTGTTACATCCCCCTGAGAAGAGATGCAGCCAAGATGACCACCGCTCTCATGAAATTTGGGGAATAACTCTCAGATTTGACTGGGGTGCCTGCCTGGTCTGATTTCACCATTACCACGGTGCTTTCAAGCTTTCTGCATTGCCTGGCAATAGAGTTGGCTGAAGAAGCTGCCATCTGTCATGGCATTTAAGAGATAAAAATGGAATCATAAATAGCGCCAGCTCCTCAGAAAAAAAAAAAAAAAAAGTCCAGCCGGCATGTCAAAATGGAGGACATTAGCATGTTCTTTTAGTACCCGGCTGCCAGCAGCTGAAGTCAGCTTGCTAATCACTCGGTGTCATCTGTCCTAGAACATGCTGCCAAATCTTTCTTCCAGGCCAGCAGCACCAAACAATGCAGGAGAAATTTATGATTCACAAAATATTTTTGCAGAAGGTAAAATCTGACTATTAAACTCCCCCATTTAATTAATGCTGCCATAGCTTACATTAAAAATGGAAGGGGGAAAATCCTCTGCCACAGAATTTATCTCTTCTACCCAGCCAAATTCCTTGCCAAATTTAACAGCAAGCAACATAAATTTAGGTGATTAGATTGGTTGCATATATTTAATTTTTAAAAAGCACCATGATCACACTTTCATTAAAACAGGCTTTCAGCTTTGGTTTAGCGCCACTTGACAAACAACATAGCAGTCCGTGATTGGGTTAGTGAAATGACAAGATTAAAATTTGGGTCTTGGGCAGACGCTAGGCTCTTCCATTATAAATATGTAAAACTGCTGGCCAAATATCAGAATGACACATTGAGGAGGTTCCTTCACACAAATGCATATTCTCCACAAATTTTTGGTACAACGAGGTATAATGGAAAGAACCTTCTACTGGAAATGAGCTCTGAGCCCCAAATTCAGCAGTGATACTCAGTTATGTCAGTTTAGGTGACTTCCTTTGCCTCTTGGAACCTTGGTTTTCTCATGTGTACAATGGGAACACTATTGCATCTCTCGCAAGGTGGTGTCATAAGGCTTAAGAAAAATAACATATAAAAAAAGTCCAGGACATTCTCTGGTGCATTGCAGGTGTTCAGGCAATGCTAGCTTTCCTATGTGTAAATAAGGGATTGCACCAAATCAATGCTTTTCAGCCTTTATTGTTTATTTTCTCCCTAAAACCTTGTTTCCTAATCTTGAGTAATTGAAACCATATTTTTGCCATATGCCTGTACTATGTGTACTCTTATTATTTACTAGTTTTCTATCAATTCAATTTTTAACTTGAATCAATGTATTTAAAAGGAAACCTTTTAACTACTAAAAACTGAATACTTGCAAGCATAAAAAATTTGTTTTCTTATATTTAGTTTTATGGTATTTATAGTACTGTTTTTAGTATCAACACCCACACACACTCACACACAACACACACACCTAAGTTCCATCAGTACATTGGGCTGAAGGCCCCAGAATCTCAATCTCTGGGAGGCCCTAAAAAGGCTTCTATAAATTCTTTTTTTTGAGATGGAGTTTCGCTCTTGTTGCCCAGGCTGGAGTGTAGTGGCACCATCGTGGCTCACTGCAACTTCTGCCTCCCGGGCTCAAGCAATTCTCTTGCCACAGCCTCCTAAGTAGCTAGGATTACAGGTGCCCGCCACCACTCCCAACTAATTTTTTGTATTTTTAGTAGAGACGGGGTTTCGCCATGTTGGCCAGGCTGGTCTCGAACTCCTGACCTCAGGTGATCCACCTGCCTCGTCCTCCTAAAGTGCTGGGATTACAGGCGTGAGCCACTGCCCCAGCCTCAACTTCCATAAATTCTTGAGGCTCCTCAGAACAATTCAGAACAACAGACTAGACCAGACTATTGATGGCTAGTCCTGACTGCATCAGAATTACCTGAAGATATCTTTCAAAAATACAGATTTCTGGGCCTGAGACTGGACTTACCAAAGTTGCCTCTCTGGGGTAAGGCCCAAGAATTTGCATTTTGTAGTTCTCTCTGGCAATTATCTGAGGATCCAGAAATGTAGAAATTCCTGGGATAAATGATTTCTAAAATGCCATCTAATAAGACTTTCTCTGGATGCAAATTAGGAAATTTTTACAGTATTGCCAATCGTTTCATACGGAGGTTTTGTTCTTTATTCTCACCATTCGATTAATATCTAACCTTCATTTCTGAACATCTTTATGCATTCAGTCCTGTGTTCTCCAGCAAGGTCACTGGTTTCTTCAAGACAGTCACTAATGTCTTCAGCAGACTGTCCTGTGGGCATTGACGGAGGGAAGCAGGAAATGAAAGAAGCTAGAAGTTCCAGAAATGCATGTAAAATTAAAAGCCCTGGATCTGATACAAATGTATTAAGCCAAGAAGCACCCAGCCTTCATAAGCAAACAGGAAAAAAAGAACAATCATTGCTCCTCTTGGTAACTCCTTTCCTCCTTCAAGATCATACTTGGTGTTGTAAAGATTGGAAGAAGGTCGTCAAGGAAAGAATATAATGACAACAACAACGACAGTAAGAGTAGTAGCTAACACTTACTTAGTTCTTCCTATGTGCCAGGTGTTGTTCTACTAATACTTTACATGCATAAGCTCATATAAACCTCCCGCAACCTTGTGAGGCAGGTGCTACGAGCATCATTCCATTTCAAAGAAGAGGAAACAAGAGCACAGGAGGTTGTGTAACCTGATGATTGTCACAGAGTTGTGAGTCACTCAGGCAGTTCTTGCCCCCAAGCCTGTATCTTAACTTCACTACTCCATCTCTCAAACAAAAGAGCCAGCTTGAAAAGGAATCCCCACATCTCACATTTTAGTGAATGCCTAGCAACACTCAAAGACTGAACTAGTTAAAATATTGATCAATTAAATGATTACCTGCTTGTTAAGGGACACTTATCAAGAGAAAAAAATAAGATATTCGTTCCAGCTTTCTGGGATTTTTTGTTTTGTTTTGTTGGATTATCCAAATCAGCTTTCAAAAATCATTTTAATGCTAAAAAGGTGAGCAGCATCCTCTTTACTGACATCTAACCAGTGTTTATCAGAGCAGATATATTGAATTTAGATAGGTAAAAGTAAGATAGAGGACAGTGATATTCGAACATGGGTGTGACAGTGATACTTGATAGTTTATGGGAACCCATTGAATAATATAGGAGTATGCTCCATTTATGTTATTTTATAGTGCTCTTTAGAAGACTGTATTGTGACGTGGTGAAAATTGCACCAGGAACCAAAAGTGTGGGTGTACAATAGACAAACCAGTGCTCTCCAGGCCTCCTTCTGAACTGACAGAACTCAAAACTGGATTGTATACAATGGTTCGTTCAAAGTCCAACATTTCCCAGTTCTCATGCCCGGCCTGGGGATCTGTGTTTCTCTCCAGGACCTCAGGATCAACCAGCTTTGAGAGCTGCGAGATTATAGATCTTCTGGACTTGGCTCTTGCTTTATGTGACTTGAAACAAATTTCCATATTTTAAATGAATGTAGATTTTCATTAATGTTGTATCTTTGCCTTTTCACCAGATTGTTATTCATTCCAATGATTTATTTGATACGGAATTCTGGAACAGGTGCGCAGCCCCCAATTACAACATTGTTTCTATGGGGAAATATGATCTACTTTATGACAACATGATTTATGATACAGTTACCAGAACACATTGTGTCAAAAGGCAGTCTCTGTTTATGCCAAATGTTTACTAATAAATCCCTTTTCGTCAGACAGAAAAACATACTCCAAAAAGAGGGAAATGACTTTTCCAGATCTATCTTTAGCTGGGAGCCTCAGCTTTTCACATTTCTCCTCGTAGCAGAACTTGCATAAAGATCTGTTTACTGTGTATATTTTTCAATAACAGGCCCTAATTTCTTGCTTTGCTTCTGTCATTTTAATCGTGTGGCTTCACCTTACATACAACAAGACAGTAAAAGAAAAACACAGCTGCACCAGAGCTGAAAAATGACTCATTTTTTTCTCCTTTTCTTTCCTTTTTTTAAAAAACAAATTTCATTCTATAAATTTAAGGTATACAGCGTGATGTTATAAGATACATGTATTTTGTGAAATGGTTACTATAGTGAAGCACATTAACAGATCTCCTTTTCTGTAAGTATTAATCCAAAGAAGGGGTTTGAAAAGTTTCCATGGGGCTCACCTGAATCTGTCACTGGAGACAGTCACCTTGCTCTTGTGTACATAGCAAACTGTCTGCCCCACTACATCCATTTGGCTGAAGTTTGTAATGGGAACTCCAGGATAGTGAACATATTCGATCTGGCCATATCGCGGAGGGGAGGTGATGACATAGAGCAGTTCCTCAGGCTTGTCTGTTCCGTCCACAGCCAGGAGCGTGGTGGTTGTTAAGAAACCTCTATCACCTTTAGACACCACGAGTGGTTTTGTAAGGATGACAATATCACCTACATGACATAAGAGGTTATGGTCAATAATCATATCAAAAAACACATTATGTCCAAGGCAAAGGCAGAAGACAAAGGCCAAAACTGTGCAAAAATCAAAATTAATACGACATAGAAAGGTTTATATAACTATTATGAATAAAAATAATTAACCAAAAGGCATGAGCAGATATTTCACAGAAGAAGAAATTCACGTGGCCAGTAAAGATATTTTTAAATGCTCAAGCTCATTAGTAATTATGGAAATACAAATATCATGATAAATTGTCATCTCATAACTTTTTGATTGGCAAGGATGTAGAAGCCTGACTGTACAAAGTGTTGAAGACATAGCTCAAGAGAGTCTTGCATACAATTTTGGAAAGAGTGTAAATTGGTACAAGATTTGGCATTATTTTGTAAAGAGTCGAATGTTCACGTATACCTTGACCCAGCAATTCCACCCCAGCTATGTACTTGAAAGAAACACTTGCCCTGCTACGCTTGGAGACATGCACCCAAATGGTCATTGCAGTACTGTCTGTAATTGAAAGCATTACATGCAACCCAAATGCCTTTTCAAAAAGTGAATGTATACACAAACTGTGTTCTGTTCACACAACTGAATTTCATGCAGTAGTCAAATGAATGAACTACAGCTACATGGAACAACACAGATGTAGTTTATTAACATTCATTAGTTATATGAGCAAGCTGAGAAAATGATAAAAGTAAGAAGAAATACAAAATTTAGAATGGTATTTTTTTCTGGAGAACGTAGGAAGATGTCTATTGTTAATATTCCAGTCCTTCAATTGTGTGGTAGTTGCACAAATGTTCATGATATATTTTTTAAATGTATATTTATACAACCATATTCATATCAGGATTATTCACAATAGCCAAGAGATGCAAACAACTCAAGTGCCTCTCAACAGATGAGTGGATAAACAAAATGTGGCATATACATACACTGTAATACCATTCAGCCTTAAAAGGGAAGGGAGTCCTGGCACATGCTACAACATGCATGAACCTTGGGGACATTATGCTAAGTGAAATAAGCCAGTCATGAAAAGATATCCACTTACATGAAGTACCTAGAGTAGCAAAACTCATAGAGACAGAACACAGGACAATGGTTGCCAGGGAGGGGGAAATGAGGAGTCATTATTTAATGGGTATAGACTTTAAGTTTTCTGAGATGAAAAAATTCTGGAGATTGGATGGACAACAACATGAATATATTTAACACTATGAACTGGTACACTTAAAAATGGTTAAGATGGTACATTTTGTGTTATGCATAATTCACCACTATTTTTTTTAAATGTATGACTGAGGAAGGTAGAAGTGGGTCACACATGGACCAATGATGCAGTTTCACAAACTAGGGACCATAATTGAATTTTGTTCACCTGACGTCCATTACCAAGTGATCATATCTCAAATATAGGGCTTCTACTCTATGTCAGGTACAGAACTAAAGACCCTTACACCTTCACACTAATCTTGTGAGGTATTGTCATATCATATGCCCAAATTACAAATGAGGAAGCTAAGGTATAGAAATGCTAACTTACCTGCTTGTGGTTACAAAATTAATAAAACATTGAGTGAGAATTCGTACGCAAGCCATCTGAGCCCAGAGCACAAGCTCTTAAACACTGCATTATTTTGTTCCCTGTCTTTAATACCTAGGGAGCTCTTGTGAACTAATACTGAAAGGGTGAATATCCAAAAAGAAAAACACGTGATGTAAATGCCAAGCTATTTCTGAACTTAAAAACACAGTGGCCAAAAAAATTTTTTTAAAGATATTCAGCCTCATGAAGAAATAAGAAATACAAATAAACCATCAAAGTGGTACAATTTTAACCAGTGGTTCTCAACGACAGGCAATTTTGCTCCCCAAGGGACATTTGGCAATGTCTGGAGACATTTTTGGTTGTCATAACTGGGAGTTGCTACTGGCTTCTAGATTCAGAGACCTGGGATGCTGCTAAACATTTTACAATGCACAAGGGAGTCACCTGCAATAAAGAATCCTCCATCCCAAAATGTCAATGGTGCCATGATTGGAAAACGCTATTTCAGATTACTAAATTGGTCTTTTCATATACTATGCTTTTATCTCAAAATGCTTTGCAACTTCAGTCCTACGTAGAATCAAAGACCATTCTAAATTTAAATCAAAACCTTAGCCACAGATGCTACAGACAGAAGCAAGATGAATACATCAAGGAAGTAAGAAGAATGAATTAGGTGGGGGAAACACAAAGCACCCACGAGAGGTTTCACCAGGAGCAGGAAATGGACCTGAGGGGAGGAAGAGCAACCAGCTCTTGCCTTGATGCAAGTTTTCAGCACTGTAAGGGCAGAGTGTAGGTTAGAGTCAACTATAGACAATGTCCTCCTAAACTTATCTGAAAGATCTCAACATCATTTCTGCCACTGTGCAAATCAGAAAACACAGCAACACAGCAGTTGGGAAGCTTAATGTTATTTATAATAGCTCCCAAATGGAAACAACCAAATGCTCAACTTTAAGGTTGTGATTAAATCTAACTCTTTAGTATAGTCTTGTTTAGAGATAAACAATTATGGCTACAAAGTTATGCAGCAACCTGAAAAAACTCATGTTAAGTAAAACAAAACAAAACAAAACAAAACAAAAAACTGTACAGTGACAAAACACCACTTTGTAAGAAGAAACAAAGAAGAAAAAATTTGAACTGAAAATGTTAATAGGATAATGTGTCTACTCGGTATAGGTTTTCAAAAATCCTTTTAGAAAATAATCACATGTCAATTGCAGCAGAGTCTGGCAACGCACTGGCTAACTTTATTTCCTTTCTTCCTGGGTGCAAAGCTAAAGTTTCTATTGCCCAGCCTCTCTTAATGTGGCATGTGGCTGTGATTCAGCCACTGGAATGTGTACAAGAGAGGTACACAACCTTCACACCTAGTGCATGACATCCCCTAATTTTCTTCCATATCTCACTTCTTGAGTGACTCTAAGGCCTTCAGAATAAGGGAATGTCTAGATATAAAGAGTCCCTAGATGACTATGTGGAACAGAGCTCTCCTATGTCACTGTAAAGTTGTGTTGTGCTGAGCCAATGAGAAGGTGGCCTACTCTAATACACTAGTTGTCTGCCCTAATATATTACTTGTATTACGATTTGCCTGGACATACATTTATGATGAACATAGTTGTTTTGCAGGGAGAGATAAATGTGTACAGTAACATCTAGCTTATCTGAAATCACTCATTAGACTTCTTTAAGGAACACATTTACAACCAGGAAATAAGCAAATAAAATATATTATTACACAGCTCAATGTAAACATCTCAAGATCAAACTGAATTAATTTTTTAAAAATTTAGGACAATTATAATTCTGCCACACATAAAGCAAGATTTTTTTTTTATTATTGCACTTAAGCATTCAATTTACCTCTGAGCTTCCTGGCAGCCAAGGCAAAAAAAGGGAAGCATTCAGTCAATCAAGCATGTACTGAGGATCTAAGATTATGCTTCATCCTGGGAATATCTAGATCCTGGGATAATACAGATGAATGAGATATGATCCTCACATAAGCTGAAGCAAAATTACAGGGTAGTAACAGTTGGGTATCAAGAGCTTCTACTCTTCCTTGCTGAGCTTTTTAAACAAACTCTCCTCCATCTTCCATTTAACTCTCCCCCATTCACCACTTATACAACTGACTCTGCTTAATTAACTCACAAGAAGTTGATCTTATAGTGTCTTTCCTTGTCCCTAAAGAGTATATGTTAGCACTTTCAAAGTGAAAGAAGCAGCAACTTCCAGCCTTTCTAATGACAAAGTTTATCTTTATTATTTTTAAATTTTAAAATGTATTTTTCATTTATTATTTTATTGTTTTAGAAGTACTTTTCCTTTGAAACTCCATTTTCCAGTGATAGATCACTTCCTGAAGATAAAACTAGAGTTACACATCAACTTGGTAAAATTTTACTTAAAGCAAAAAAATCCTAACAGTTAAAGTAGCCTGTATAGCCATATTGTGTGCAAGGCTGAATTTCCAATAAACTTTTTAAAATAACGAATGGATTGGCTACTTCTGTGAACCACATAGGTCCCAGGCAAAGCAGGTGAGAAGCCAAAGGATCTAAACACAAATGATAGAATTTCAAAGATGAAGAGTGGCAGGAAAAAAGGAAAGAAGGGAGGGAAAGAGAGAGAAAGAAACGAATGTGGAATACTTATACCAGTTAGCAAAGTTGATCCCAGTAAACCTTGGTAGACGTGCTTTTACCTTTTTCCATGTCCTTGATGGTGATTTGACAGTCAAGAGCAGGGGACCTGTTGTTGCCATCCCAAAGGTAGAAGGTGAAGCTATCTTGATTCTGGGAATCCATTGCCCCGGTGTGTGTGTATCTCAGCAAGTTCAGATCCACTTCCTCCTGAGTGCATTTCATGCCAGGGGAGAGAGGAACCCAGTCCCTCCCTATCTGGAAGGAGCCAGAGTTAGTCAGCTGCTCATGGTTTTTTCTTTTCCCCCAACGTACGTTAGTGGACATTTTCTGTATCCCCTAAAAACCTCCAATATAAATAATATTTCAGGGAAATTCCAGACTACTTTTTGCCACTTTACCTGATTTTTTTTTCTTTTCAAAGAAATATATTAGAATAATTTGAGACCTTGGAAAAACACCGGCTTCAACCAAAGGGTTTCAGACGAAGTCAAACAATTCAACAGCATTGTTACTTCCAAGGTGTTCCTCATAAGCAACCATAGCTGATTGAATATTCCAATTAATAAGAGGAGGTGGGTAATCGAGCTCTTGGAAGGGATTCTTTAGAAATTAAATGTATTTCTTTCAGAGTTTCCATTTTTTAGTTCTTTTCATGTTCAACTAGTCAAATATACTTTTTTTCAACATGGCTCATTACTGGGCTTGTCTGAAGTAGACAGAACAAAAATAGAACAGATGCATTTACTCCCCAGTATGTTTCCAGCCTTACTAAAGAAAGAAAATGATGGGGATCACTATCACTACCTACATTTATATCCTAAGTCATCAAAAAATATAAACTGCAAATATCGTATATTGTTTTTATCAGAATCTTCTAAAAGTAAGCCAACATTATTTAAGCATATGTTTTGTACAGAGCTTGATGCAGAAATTGTGGCATTTTGAATTTAAAAAGGTTCTTATGCTGAGGGGGGTGGCTAACAACTGACAGTGTTAGAAAATGTAATCATAAATCTTTATTATCTTATTAATAATCCTATTATTGTTCATTTAAGGTACATAGCTTTCCCTAGGAATGGCTCATAAAAAGTCATCAGACATAATTTTTTAAAGTCATCTTAAAATTTATTATATGATATTATCCTGTGGTTTTACTGTCTCATTTAAGAGTCTAAAACAGAAATGTAAATCATTTACTTTTTATTCCCCTTGATACTTTGGTCCAAGACTTTGCCCATCTGAACCTAAACAATGGGGGCTCTGGTACAGCAAGGGGAGGTGGCACAGCAGTGGGATGAAGACACTGACCTTTCATCTTTTAAGTTCATGTCAGATAGAATACAGACTTCCAGATTCCACAGACTCCCAGTTCCTGGCAAAAGAGCTTTGTCCTCCTCTCTTGCCATTGTGCTACCACTTGCCTTTATGTCATTCTACTTGATAACGTTTCTTTCTCTTTAATATGTTTATCCATCTGATGTTTGTAGACTTATGTTCTGCCCTCACGCTCACTGGATGGAAGTTAATTACATCATAATAATTAAGCTAGAGTTTGTTTCCATAAGACCTATTTGCCAATATAATTTTTAAAACAGACTCTTTCAGGTTTTAAACGGGAAAGCCTGCAATTGTATTTCACATTTTCCCTTTTCTAATCTTGTCTAAGGAAGTAAGCACAGAAGAAGACATCTTTTCCTCTCTCTTGTCTCCATGTAATTCCTTACTTGCACTCCAAAATGTAAGACTGACTTAATAAAATCATTTGAAGACCCAGAAATAGAAAGAAAATAAAAGTCAGATTCAAGATGGCGAAAACTAAGAGAAGTCAATAAGAAAACGATAACTCTTGGGAGAGTCCAGGAGGGCTGGAGTCCTGGTCCTTGGTCTTGGAAAGACTCGGAGAACTGCTAGGGAGCTGGGAGAGAACTGTGTGGAGCCATACTGGGAACCTGGACCCATCTGCATTTTCACATATCCAAAACAGTTCCGTTCCCAAGCCACCCAAATGTGTGAGCTCTCACTGCATTTCTGCTTCATTACTCTTTGAAATGAAATAAGGACACAGCTGTACCTCAATTTAAATCAGTGATTGCTCTTCACTCTGATTCTCTATGGTGCCTACAATCTATGACAATCAAGCTGTTCCACATAGAATGAATTCTTGCTGCTTTTCTAGGACTGTGCCTCCACTAGATGGAAAGTTAAGCATTCCATCAAATAATTGCAATGGGGATGGTTGGTGGTTGTGGTTGCTAGTCTTAATCTACCATTGAAATAAACATTTGGACTGATTACTCAACTGACCTTCTCAGGTGACTGATCTATATAATTCACGTTGGGCTGATCCTTGGGCATCATGCACACAGTCTGAATCAGACTGAAATTTTGCTATTCTAGGCCTAAAGTGAAACAAGGACATTTTATCAAATCACAGAGCAAGCTATTGAGTTAGCAGTAAAACCCAGGTGACCTACCCCTAGAATCCTCCCTTTATTGTTTCCATGCTTATTTGCTTTCCATTAAAGCATCTAATTTTGAGAACATATACAATTCCAGGAATGTTAATTTACGGTGTCATGCAGTTCATGGGATTCAAATTTGGCAGTTGTTAAAATCTGTTATGCTAGCAGGATGGGATGACTCCCACGTGAAGTTTTCTCCCACACTGCCTTTTTGGTCCAAGACTTTGCCCATCTGAACCTAAACAATAAGGGTTCTGGTGCTGCAAGGGGAGGTGGGACTGCAGTGGGATGAAGACACTGAACTTTCGTCTTTTAAGTTCATGTCAGATAGAATACAGAACAATTTGGCATATTGTTTGTGGAGTAAGTAGTCTCCCTGGAGAAGACATAAGGATGGCCCCTGCTCAGCGACAAAGATGAGAATTGGAAGGAAAGAAAGAAAGATGCTCACTGTGGCAAATCATTGAGAAGGCAGGAGGTGATAATACTCAGATAATGGTTTGTTTTGTTTTGTTTTGTTTTGTTTTTTAAGACGGAGTCTTGCTCTGTCACCCAGGCTGGAGTGCAGCAGCACAATCTCAGCTCACTGCAACCTCTCCCCCCTCTCCCGGGTTCAAGTAATTCTCCTGCCTCCGCCTGCAGAGTAATGAGTAGCTGGGATTACATGTGTGTGCTGCCACACCCGGCTAATTTTTGCATTTTTAGTAGAGATGGGGTTTCACCACGTTGGCCAGGATGGTCTTGATCTCCTGACCTTGTGATCCGCCCACCTTGGCCTCCCAAAGTGCTGGGATTCAGATAATGTTTTAACAGAGACATTAGGGCCAGAGGAGCTAGAGGCAGCCCTCCAAGTTTCCTTGGACCTGATTATCATGAAAAAATAATGAAAGTTTTCATTTTCCTGAGAATGATCTAGAATTTAGCTGAAATACACACACCCACACACACACGCACACACACACACACACACACACACACACACAGAGAGAGAGAGAGATTGAGAGAACAAGAAAGACTGTAGACTTGAAGGAGTTTTATAATTGAGATGATGGATGCTAAAGAGGAAAGTTACATGAATCACAAGTCAAAAATCTGGTAGAAATGAAGATATCACAAAAGATCCTGGATTATCCTCAGAAAGCAGACAGCTTGGTTTACCCCAGTAATTCCCTCCCTCAGAATTTAGGGATAATCCTACGGGAGAGGGAGCAATGAAGAATCTTAATATTTGTTGAATTTACCCCATGTTGACAAAGACTTTAGAACAGCATGAATTCACCCTGAACTAGTAAAATTAAATTTTCTACTTCTAGGCAAATATATGTCTATCAGAGAATAAATCCCATCATAGAAATGTGTATATTGAGAAGATTTATACCTGCTACGTTAGTTTTGAAAAATAAAAGTAAGAAGTCACTAACCTTAAGCTGAAGTTGCCCATTTTGGGGAAGCCTTTCAAATACATAGTAAATCTTCTCCCTGGGTGAGTCTTCATCTATGGCTGAAAGAATAGCACTGGAAATAATACGAGTTTCACCCATATTCATTGCAATTTCAGCCTTCCTGTAAAAAGAAAAATGTCTGGGTTGATATAAAAATAGAAGATATTCCTTTAGTAGGGGACACTTATATTGACTATCACAGTTCCCAATCTTCAACAATTAAGGAATGACATTCAATATTCAAAGCACTGAAGATGACTAGTGAGAGGAATGAAACAGGCTCTCTACCCTCACACGTGAAAGTCTGAAAAGACAATGGGTCAGCCCTAATGAATGTGGGAAGAGGTAATTAGGCACTTCTAATTGATTACATGTACCAAACTTTACAATTTTGTAAGTTATAATTTATTCTATAAAATGATCTTGTTTCCAGTATTTCATTTTACACTCACAACAACAGCTCCATGAAGTAAGAGGGCTAGGTATGAGTGTTCTAATTTTACAGACAGAAACTCAATTAAAGAGATTCATTGACTGGCCTACAGATGTTCCAGTGCCATTGATGATATGCCATTCTGAGTTAGGTGATAGTTAGGTAATCTGGGACTCTCTAAATTACTCTTCCTCTTCTAAGTAATGTTCTGGGTAGTATGTGTTCTTGTTGTAGATTCATCTTTTCCCAGTGTTACAGATGCCAGGTCAGCTCCTGTCTTCTTGAACAGTAGGCTGGGGCAGAGCTGCTGCTGATCCTACCAGAGCCACCACTGCTGTGGTTTCTATAGCTCCTTTACTGTGCGGTGCTGCTGCCTTCACAGCCTATATGGCCATTGTCCCTGGTCTCGCCAAAGTGAGAAAGGGATCTCTTTCCACCAGGGTTTCTAGCTCTCAGTTGTGGTCATCATGTGGGGCCTAACTCTGTCCAACTTTACAGCTTAGTTTCTGAGAAAAATTGGGATGCCTGAATTTCTTGGGATTCAGATGAAGGATACTTGAGAACCAGCAACTGGCATCAACAGTGTTATGCTCCTCTGCGGAGATGCCAAAACCTGAACACCTCAGTTCCAACAACTTTCACTCAGGGTGAGTATCTTGCTACCCAGGGCTGACATCTTCCCTCGCAGTGGGTGGTGACATTTGCACACCTCTTTACTAGAGAATGGGAATCCCATTATTCCAGAAAGCTAAGCAATCAGTTGGTTGAGGGCTTATGGAGATTAGTGGTCAGACAGATTAATCAAAACGGGAAGCCAATGTCATTAAGAAGATGAAGAGTTTGGTAGGAAGAATTCAGAATTAAATTTCTGGTCAGAATGAAATGTTTGCAATTCAGTGTCAGAATTCAATGTCTGGAAGCCAAGACAGGACAAGGTGTGTCATAATCTAGGTTATCCTAAAAGGATCCTAGGACAAGGAAGGTAATTTATTTGTGAAGTGATTCCAGGAGGCAGGAGAGAGGGAGTAGGAGAGAAAGGGAAGGAGAAAAAGGCAACAAAGGGTGTTTTACTGCTATGGGGAATTGGGGCTCAATCCTGCTGGGTATCTTGAGGAACCACATAGATGTGATTCAAACTGTGCTCCTAATGGACAGGAAGCTGGAGCATTTATCTTATCTACTAGCTCCCGAGGTTAAGGGCTGTCCCCAGAGTGCTCTCTGCTGAGCATGGACATGGGCTGCATGAAAGCCCTGAGGCAGAAAAGTGGAGTGAGGCACTGCGGACACCTGAGGTGGGACACTGACATGGCAAATTCCACCACGATCAGGACCAGAATCAGAGATGGGCTGAGGGGCTGTGATCTGCAGGACCCAAAGCATCCTCTACAGTAGCTAAAAGGAATAGCAAAGAAATGGTGTTACATGCTCTCAAAGAGTCCAGGAAGGTTAGAAGAGCCATTAGATTTGGCGGGAAAGCCAAGAGTAACTTTTAAGGGAGCATCTTTAATAAAGTGGAGATTGGGCCGGGCGCAGTGCCTCATGCCTGTAATCCCAGCACTTTTGGAGGCTGAGGCAGGCAGATCACGAGGTCAGGAGATCGAGACCATACTGGCCAACATGGTGAAACCCCATTTCTACCAAAAATACAAAAATTAGCCAGGCGTGGTGGCAGGCGCCTGTAGTCCCAGCTACTTGGGAGGCTGAGGCAGGAGAATGGTGTGAACCTGGGAGACAGAGCTTGCAGTGAACCAACATCGTGCCACTGCACTCCAGCCTGGGTGACAGAGCGAGACTTTCTCTCAAAAAAAAAAAAAAAAAAATAGAAAAGAAAGAAAGAAAAAAATAATAAAGTGGAGATTGGAGAAAGTGGGCAGAAATGGAACTCTTCCAAAAAGTTCCTCAGTGAAATGAATGGGGGACTAGCTTGTCTTTGTATTTTTACAATTAGGATATCTGCTTGTAATAATAACAATAACACTTAGTAGCACTTACCACGTAGTAGCTAGTCTTTCAAGCATGTTTACATATTTTATTTAATCCTTGCAACAATCCTATTAAGAGGATACCACTATTGTCCTCATTTACAGAGAGGTTAACAGAGAGATTGAGAGAAGTTAAACAACATGTTCAAGATCACACTGTTGGTAAGTGGCTGAACTGAGTCAATCTGACTCCAGCATTTGCTCTCTTAACCACAATCCATATCCCTTTGTCTTGTTAACAGAGGAAATGAAAAGGGAGAGACTGAAGATACTGGAGGAAAAAATAATGGAGCAGTTTCCGGGAGAAGGAAAGAGGTGATATGCCCAAGGACACACATGGAAGAGAAAGAGAGTGTTATTACTTCCTATCCACAGGAGAGAAGGAAAGAGGAAGCACAGAAAAGGGAGGGTTTTTGAAGCAGGGTTGAAGGAGGTTTGATGATTCTGTAGATGTAGCTATTCCAGTGAGTTTAGTAACAAGAGCATGGCCTTTGGAGTCAAATGGAGTTGAGTGGGTGCCTAGTGTAAGCTCTTTTACCTCTCTGGTCTCAGTTTTCCTCAGTCAGGATAATAATATGCATTTTCCACAATTTTGGTGAGGATTTAATGAAATAATATATGTGAAAGAATCTAATATACTGTCTGTCCTATAGTAAGCACTTAATAAATGCCAGTTTTTACCCCTCTCCAGTGGATGCCCCGGGGCCCTCACCCTGCCAGCTTTCACCTCCCTGCCTCTTAAAATGAGATCATCAAAAAGGAGGTACTGTAATACTATGACAGCCTTCATATTTTCATATTTATAAATAAAGGCTATACTAATCCAACATATTAGCTAAGAAATAAGAAAATAGAAATTTTTTGGTGAATACTTTTAGACAAACTGATG
Organism: Homo sapiens; assembly: GCF_000001405.40. NCBI lineage: Eukaryota > Metazoa > Chordata > Mammalia > Primates > Hominidae > Homo > Homo sapiens. Next base: position 14,796,068 of record NC_000009.12, read on the forward strand.
TATGAGATGCAACCCTCCAAAAATCTATCATCAGTATTTCCCATAATGCTTTTTAAGAACCTTATCAGTGGCTCATAGGGAACAGCAGGATATGGGGCAGATAAGGAAGGGACTTGTTTGAGGCCCTCCTTTCTGCAGAGTGGAAGAGATTTGGGGGGTTTGGGTGCTTTCAGTAAGTTATTCACTCCCTGATAAAAACCCAGACTATCTACAACATGTCTCTTACTGTTGCACTATTGAAAAAAGAGGTGAAGTCATCAAGGAGGTTCCAAGAACCAGATGCTTTTTTACTTATAGCTCTAGAGAAGAGTTGGTCCCCTAAAACTCTGTTCAGTTCTGTAGACTGTGTACAGTTCTGTATAGCTGCCAATTGTAAAAGAAATGGCTGGGGCTATAGAAATAGAACTAATGAATACTCTATACCCTATGATCAAACTCTGAGCACTTACAGAGAGAGTGATATGGTTTGGCTGTGTCCTCACCCAAATCTCATCTTGATTGTAGTTCCCATAATCTCCATGTGTTGTGGGAGGGACCAGGTAGAGATAATTGAATCGTGGGGCAGTTTCCCCCATCCTGTTCTCGTGATAGTGAGTCAGTTCTCACAAGATCTGATGGTTTTATAAGGGGCTTTCCCCTTTACTGGGCACTTGTTTTTCTCTCTCCTGCTACCATGTGAAGAAGGATGTGTTTGCTTCCTCTTCTGTCATGATTGTAAGTTTCCTGAGTCCTCCCAATCCCTACAGAGCTGTGAGTAAATTAAACCTCTTTTCTTTATAAGTTACTCAGTCTTGGGTATGTCCTTATAGCAGTGTGAGAACAGACTAATACAGGGAGATACTGAGAAAGTTTACAATTGAATAATATCGCTCAGAATTTTAGAAAATGATGATTTCGATGTGAGGCGGGAGGGGGTGTTGACCCATATGGAACACAGTAGAGAACTGGTGGACAAAAAAGTACCAAGATAATGAAAGAAGTGGGTTGATTTATTTCCCTCCGCCACGCTTAGTTACAAGTTTCAGCAAATCTGTTGTAAGGACTGTCTGCAGTTAATGTTATTAGACTTTAGTTGAATCTATATATTAATTGCACTTTGGTAGGTGTGCAGTCACGTTGGTGTAAGTGCATGTATTTATATGTTTAGTAGATTGTTCATTCCATACTGTGTGTTCAGTCATTCTTATTCTTTACAACTAATTAGTATGTTTAGAAGAAAATCAAGTAATTAAACGGCTGATTGTTAAGGAGAGGTTACCTTAACTAACATTTGCACTAAAGGTTCCTCATGCCTGAGTGGCAGGGGCAAGCTGTGACAGGAGCTAGCGAAGACTTGCTTCTTTGGGAGACACACACACACCTGTACCTAGTATTGTAGATTTCATAGAATTGTATAGAAATCTGAAAGGGACTCTTTTCAGGTAGCTTACTTGCTCAGCATTGGTTTTTCATCATTAACTGGGATGACCTCTACTGAAATGGTTTTAAGTATCTTATGTTTCCCATCTGACAATTGGATTGTAAAATCATCAGCAAGGCTCTCTGAGTCATCATGCATGTACGTCAACCTCATTCCTGGAAGAAGGAAAAAAAATAAGTAAATCTTCCTTATGATTGAACCATCATGACATATGTCACAGATAATGTCTTAATTTTCAAGGCAGGGGTATTAGCAAGAGTTCATTTATCAGTGCAGTAGGGTGAAATTAAACTTGTTTTATGAAGTAAAAGAGTGCCTTCTTAGCCTATTAAAGACTTTTTATTTAAATAATTTAGTATTTGATTAAGGGTGTTATTTAAAATCAGTTAGGAAAGAATATATTTTTAAATAAACTATATAAACAAAGGTGCAGGGTATTTAAATAAAACTGAGAAAGTTAATTATTTGGGGAAAATTATAGAGTTATATCCCTACCTCGAGCCAATCATCAAAATGAATTCTTAATAGGTCAAAACTTAAATATTAACAATGTAACTGTTTTTTTTAAATCTACCTAACATTTAAATGGAAATTCAAGAGTCTCAGAACAGCCAAAACAGCCTAGAAAAAGAACAAAATTGGAAGCCTAACATTTCACATTTTCAAAACTTACTTCAAAGCTACTAAAATGCTAGAAGATGTGCACCCAGATTTATATAAAATGTTTACTGAAATATAAGTTTTAATATCAAGAAACTGAAAACTATCTGGATATTTTAAAGTTGTATAAAATATTTTAAAGTTGTATTTTAAAGATAGTTGTATAAAATTACAGCACAGGAGCCAGTACAGTGGTGAGCGCCTGTAGTCCTAACAACTTTTCGGGGCTCAAGTGGGAGGATCGCTTGAGGCCAGGAGTTCGAGGCCAGTTCGGAAAACATAATGAGACCTTGTCTTTAAAAGAATTTTTTTTTTGAAACACTAGCCAGGTGACGCCTGTAGTCATAGCTGCTCAAGAGGCTCAGGCAGGGAGGAATGCTTGATCCCAGGAATTTGAGGCTGCAGTGAGCTATGATCATCCCACTTCACTCAAGCCTGGGTGACAAAGTCATCTCTTTTAAAAAATTACAGCATAATAAGTCTATATGATGATTTTATAAGGTAATTATCAAAAGTTACGTTTTTAATAATAACAATTTTTTTTGTGACAGAGTCTCACTCTGTCACCCAGGCTGGAATGCAGTGACATGATATTGGCTCACTACAACATCTACCTCCTGGGTTCAAGCGATTCTCATGCCTCAGCCTCCCAAGTAGCTGGGGTTACAGACAGGTGTGACCACACCTGGCTAATTTTTGTATTTTTAATAGAGTCTGGGTTTTGCCATGTTGGCCAGGCTGGTCTCGAACTCCTGACCTCAAGTGATCCACCCATCCTGGCCTCCCAAAGTGCTGGGATTACACGTGTGAACCACCACACCCGGTCTCCATGTTTTAAAAGTAAGAAGAGGCCAGTTATGGTGACCTACTCCTGTAATACCAGCACTTTGGAAGGCGAGTGCAGGAAAATCACTTGAGCCCAGGAGTTCGAGACCAGCCTGGACAACACAGGGAGACCCTGTCTCTACAAAACTTTTTTTTCATCAGCCAGTGGTATGTGTGATGACTTGTGCCTGTGGTCCCAGCTAGTTGGGAGGCTGAGGTCAGAGGATCACTTGAGCCCTGGAAGTCCAGGCTGGAGTGAACTGTGATTGCACAACCACAATCCAGCCTAAGTGACAGTGCAAGACCCTGTCTCCAAAAAAAAAAAAGGTAAGAAGAAAAACAGATTACATAATATGGGAAGAGTTTTATAAACTTTGTATATTTGTTTGGGGGGATGTTTATGAGAATATGCTAAAGTTTTTAAAAAATGTAGCCATAAATGAACCACAGATAAAATAGAGGTGAAAATCTAATTTCTGAGAAAGTCTCCAAAATATCAACCCAAATACTAATTTTTATGTAGGAAATTTTTATTTTTTCTTCAAAATGACTGTGTCCAAACTGTACACAATGATCATATAATTCTTATTTAACTAGATAATAACCAACAAATGTTATTTTTTAAAAAATTGACTTTCTTGAGAGTAAAATTTGAATTATTATTATTTTTTCCTTGGTCAAATTTGAAAAAAAAATTTTAAACAATGTATTCTATTATTTGTAGCATGTGGTTTATTGATTTGGTAATATCATCATTTATGTCCTAGAATGTATTTCTTTGCAATTGATAAAAGCTGAGAAATATATAAATGCATTTTTTTCTTTTTTTTTATTATTATTATACTTTAAGTTTTAGGGTACATGTGCACAATGTGCAGGTTAGTTACATATGTATACATGTGCCATGCTGGTGTGCTGCACCCATTAACTCATCATTTCGCACTAGATATATCTCCTAATGCTATCCCTCCCCCCTCCCCCCACCCCACAACAGTCCCCAGAGTGTGATGTTCCCCTTCCTGTGTCCATGTGTTCTCATTGTTCAATTCCCAACTATGAGTGAGAACATGCAGTGTTTGGTTATAAATGCATTTTTTAAATTTAAACCTGAGATGATTTTTGCAACAATTACAAAAAAACCTTTGGGGCAGAAAGCTTACACACTAGTTGGGGAAACAAATAACTAAAAGAAGTTGGAAAAATGTTAAACAAGTGCTAAGATGAAACAAGCACAGAGAAGGAGTGGTTTGGAGACCTTGGGTGGGGCTCAAGCAGAGGTTAACAGAAAGGTGCGTTCTGAAGGCACAGCCTTGGCTAGCCTGGCAAAGGAGGGGGAAGGACCTTACAGGCTGGGAAAAGAAAACACCTAAGGAAGGAGAATGGGAGGAAGCAGTAATTCAGGAACCGCACACTTTTCTCAGATTTTTAAAAGTATTTTCATATGTGAAAAGTGGGATAAGATTGAATTTTTTAAAAGAGTAATTAAAAAATAATTCAGGCTGCTATGCAATGTGCCATTTCTCTAAAGAGTAAATTATCCCCTCAGAAAATAATGAGCATTATTATATGTGGTTCTATATTTGTTTCAACTGTGGAAATTTTGGCAGACCAGTCTCTTAAACTGTAGTTTCATGATCTCAATAGTTTTAAAAAGGATTTTTTTTACTATAGCATTAAATGTTTGAGTGAAAATACAATAAAAACTCAAATATCATTTTTAATGGTAGTCTAAAAGTGAAAGAAAACATGTTGTTGCCTTTTCAATTACCTACTACCTCTACCTAGGGCTTCCTGTCCTACATTAATCCAAGCCTAGAGAGAGCCCTTGAGAGACAAATGAATAAAGTAGGTGAATGCTATTTCTTCATCCCCTATTTCTGTGATGTATTATTACCTTTTCTAGGTTAAATTATTTTAAAATTTTTATTTTTTAATTGGCAAATAAACATTGTATATATTTATGATATATAATGGGGTGTTTTGATGCATGTATACATTGTGAAATGGGTTTATTTTGGTTTTTGTTTGTTTGTTTTTTGACAGAGTCTCACTCTGTCGCCCAGGCTGGAAGTCTGGAGTGCAGTGGCACGATCTCGGCTCACTGCAACTTCTGCCTCCCAGGCTCAAGCGATTTCGTGCCTCAGCCTCCTGAGTAGCTGGGATTACAGAAGTGCACCATCACACTCGGCTAATTTTTGTATTTTTAGTAGAGACAGGGTTTCACCATGTTGGCCAGGCTGGTGTCAAATTCCTGACCTCAAGTGATCCACCTGTCTTCGTCTCCCAAAGTTTTGGGATTACAGGCGTGAGCCACCAGGCCCGGCCACGCTGTGGAATGGTTAAGTCAAGCTAATTAACATATGCATTACTTCTCATACTCATTTTTTTGATTGGTGAGAACTCTTAAAATCTACTGTCTTAGGAATTTTCAAGTATGCAATATATTGTTAACTATGGTAATTATGCTGTACAATAAATCTCTTGAACTTACTTCTCCTGTCTAACCGAAATTTCATATCCTTTAACCAACATCTCCCCAATCCTCCCACCCTCAGCCTCTAGTAACCATCATTCTACTCTCTGCTTATATTAGTTTGACCTTTTTAGATTTCACATATAAGTATGGGTTAAATTATTCAATCAACAATAACAAATGCATGGAAGTGGAACATGCTATACCAGTCTTGAGGAGTTCCATGGAAAAGCTGTGAACAGGTGCATGTTTCTGGTGAGGGTTGGCTGGCTGCTTATTCTCAGAGAAGTCTTTGCTAAACCCCCTATCGATGAGGAGGCCATGGCGTGGCTTTTGAGTGATGCTGAACAGCAGGGCATCCTGGGGAATGTCCAGGTCCACAGCGCTGATGATGGAAGAGTCCAGCTCTTTCATCTGACCCTCACACACCTGAGCAAGAACACATGAGAAAAGTCAACAATGCATAAAAGACAACTTGTCTTTCTTTGGAAAACTGCTTAAAGAAATCACTTGAATATATCCTACTTCAAATTTTCTATGAGATTTATATAGGATGAGTCCTAAAAAGAAATTGCTGGTTTAATATGAATGTAAAGGAAGTAACAGATCTATTAATCTCCCTTACATTTTTTTCTGAAGATTTCAAAGCACTTTATTCATTTCCATGAAGGACAAAGGACATATAATTTTTAAAATATGTATTGTTCATAAGTCAAAGGTCAGGGGAAAAATGCAACCAAGACGGTGTTTGCTTTCAAGAAGTCATGGAAAAGTTCAGTTGTAAAACTGAATCTAGAACCTTCACCTTCATAAACCAATCCTCGTGGATCTCCTTGCTTCTACAAGTCTTACATTTCCATCTGCTTTATAAGTGATACAAATATTTGCTACATACACTAAGCATATTTGGTGGTTTTTATTTTTGTTATCGCAGTAAAAACTTCTGTATTTCCACTGAAATCAACAACAATGCCAAAGGATGCTACTGGATGCATAATTATGTATATTTTCATAATGGGTCCCTCATCTCCCTCCCATTCTTATACTTCCAAATTTCCTGAACTACTCTTCCCATTCCCTCTCACACCCACTTCAGGTTTCATAATCCTTTAAACACAAAGACAATTAAATGTTTATCATTTCATGTAGTATCTAGTCATTTAGAACTTGACAATATGTTACTTAGCTGATTCAATCTTTTTTTCTCACGAGGATTGAGAGAACAAAAAAGTATTTCTGTTGCCCATTTTGAAATATAGCAAAATCTAAATAATAAGAGTATATAAATTCTACACATGCATATTGGTAATCTGCAATGTTACTATGCTACATAGTATTCTCAACAACCCAAGTCAGGTAAGACTGCAAAGGTCCATCAATAACTATAACTCAAGGAAGAAAATGTCTAGTGCTGCTAGATATTCATAAACAAGAATCACAAAAGGGCAGAGATCAGGATGTTTTCATGACTGAGAAGGCAATTAAGCCTTGAAGGACATGTATGGTTTGAATTTGTGAAAACTTCCTTCCTTCCTTCCTCTTTCCCTCCCTCCCTCCCTTCCTCCCTCCCTTTCTTTCTTCTTTCTCTTTCTTTTCTTCTTTCTCTTTCTTTTTCTTTTCTTTCTTTCTCTTTCCTTCCTTCCTCTCTTCTTCTCTTTCCCTCCCTCCCTCCCTCTTTTCCTTTCCCTTTCTCCCTTTTCCCCTTCCTTCCTTCATCTTTCTTTCTCTCTTTCCCTCCTTCCCTTCCTCCCTCCCTCTTTCTTCTTTCTCTTTTCTTTCTCTTTCTTTCTCTCTCCTTCCTTCCTCTCTTCCTCTCTTTCTTTCCCTCCCTCCCTTTTTTCTTTTCCTTTCCCTTTCTCTCTTTTTCTTTTCCCCTCCCCTCCCCTACCCTCCTCCTTCCTTCCTTTCTTCCTTCTTTCCATCCTTCCTTCCTTCCTCATAGTCTTCTCTGTTGCCCAGGCTACAGTACAGTGGCTCAATCATGGCTCACTGCACACTCACCCACCCAGGCTTAAGCAATCCTCCCACCTCAGCCCCCAAGTAGCTAGGACCATAGGCATGTGTCACCAGCCTGGCTAATTTTTAAAATTTATTTTTATTATTTGTAGAGATGGGGTTTTGCCACATTGCCCAGGCTGGTCTTGAACTCTTGGGCTCAAAGGATCCTCCTGCTTCAGCCTCCCAAAGTGCTGGGATTACAGGCGTGAGCCACCATGCCTGGCCTAAAGCATCCTTTCATTTCACCCTCTCTTACTGACTTTGAAGGGCACCCTCCTGCAACCACATTTTATTGAACATGTGTTAACAAAAAAACACTTGCCATATATGATACTTGTGCTAAAAGGATGCTGATTTTCTTTTATCTAGCCCTACTTATTAAATATTAAAGTGGCATCATAGTTCAACTTACAATGGTATACTTATGAAAACATTTTAAATAGGACCTTGCCTTTTTCTCCAAGAACTTTAATAAAGCAACTTAAAATATGTTATAATATCCTTCTTCATAGAGCTTGACTAAAACGTGTGGTTGTTTCTTGCAGATTGAATAGATTATTGAGATTAGGACAACAAAAATTTTAGATCAATATACATAAAATGCCAAACCTGATTAGTAGACAGGTTTGGAATGGATTATAATAACTTAAACTAAAACCTCAAATCTTCTTGCAGCATAACTTGATGGAAGCCCAGCTATCTACAAAATAAATGCATTTTCTCACAAGAAAGCAAAATATGGTTATCTAAAAAAAAATTATGCGAAGCTTAAAGTCTGCTTGCCCGTAACACACAGGACTTCATATTTTTCACTCTCCAGTAGTCTCTCTAGGGAATGCAGGTAAAACCATGACAACTTTGGCTGGGTGCGGTGGCTCATGCCTGTAATCCCAGCACTTTGGAAGGCCGAGGCGGGCGGATCACGAGGTCAGGAGATCAAGACCATCCTGGCTAACACGGTGAAACCCCGTCTCTAGTGAAAATACAAAAAATTAGCCGGGCGTGGTGGCGGGCACCTGCAGTCCCAGCTACTCGGGAGGCTGAGGCAGGAGAATGGCGTGAACCCGGGGGGCGGAGCTTGCAGTGAGCCGAGGTCGCGCCACTGCACTCCAGCCTGGGCGACAGAGCGGGACTCCATCTCAAAAAACAAAAAACAAAAAAACCATGACTACTTCCAGAGAAGAGCAAGGGACAACTTCCCAGTGGTATTATTTCAGAAGCCCCGACCCTAGGCAAGATACAAGACAATGGAGGTAGGTATCGATGGAATCATCTGTAGATTTTTTTTCTCTCTCATAATTACTGAAGGGCTCTCCAGAGAAATCCATGTGCCAACAAAAGAGGAAAGGCAGGAAGATTAATAATTTTCAAATGATTGCATTACATAACATAGCCTTCCCCACTCCTCACCAATGCAATGTGTTAATGCACTTGGAGCAATGTAAATGGACTAATTGAAAATAAAAATCAAAATGATAAAAGAGAAATGGAACATTTGGATATGTTTCTTACAGTAATATTCTGCACTACAAAGTCAGGAGCTTCATCATTTGTGGGGTTGATTATAATAGAAAATGGTATCTCCAAGGAGTGATGCTTCCCATCTGTGACGTACACCGTGAACTGGTCGGCAGTTGGTTCTATCCTCAGATGCCTGGACTGCACATAGTTAATGTGAAAAGCGTTCATGTCTTTCCACTGAAATGAATCTAGAGCACACCAAGATGGAACAGATAAATAAAAAAAAAATTTTTCCAAGTTATTGGTCCTTAATCCTTAACCCAATAATAGTCAATTTCTCAGTAATACAAATAAGAGATCATAGCAGTTGACCTAAGTATCTTGCTATCAAGGGCTGCTACAACAGCCAACCATCAACATAAAGGCAGATATCCACAGATCATACAGAAGAATAAAATTTGCATGGAGAACCGAAGAGTAATACTTTTTAACCAGTATGCACAGGGACTTCAAGAATACTTCAGATACTTAGAATAAATGTCGGAGACCTTCCCTTGATTAAATGACTACTTTTGCATGAATAGTCTCTGTCACACTTGAGTATAAAAAGAGACCACCTCCGTCACGTAAACGCAAAACAAGAGTCAATCAATCATCTGCCTACTTGAAGAGGTACATATCAAGCAAGGTGCTGGATTGAGTGGAATTAGCTAACCTGCTGTTTTAGTATTTTGACATGGGCTTAAATCCAAAGAGAAAATGCTTAAAGATGTGCATTAAGTCACCAGAAAAGCTGAGTAACATTGAATGCAATTAATCTTATATTCAGTCTCTTTCATATTTAAAATGGACATTCTTCAAAAGGGGTTTGGAGAATCATTTATATGTCTTTGGAAGACTTTGTCTTTGCTTTCTGTTTTTGTTTTGGTTGGTCTGTTTTTGCCTGAAATACAAGACCTATTTAAGTATCTGGGACACGTTTTGGCTTTAAAATTAATGTCATCTGCTTCAACATTTCAGGCTTTCTCTCTGTTACACCCATAGTATATTTCCTCACCCTTTCCACCAATATCTATTCAAAATGCTAAAAGGTTGTGAGAATGAGACCTTGTGAGCTCCCGCTAGATTCACTCTCTCATGGTATCCTGTGTTGCTATGAGGGCCTTTTAAACCATTCTTTCTTCAATGTTTATTCTTGTATTTTCCATAAGTAAAATTCCATTTATTTTGAAGTAAATTTGCATGCAAGGGGGAAGTCAGAATAAAAATTTAAATGAAAAATGGTAAGATTCAAAAGCATCAGCTATAATAGTAATAATAATTCATTGAATACATATGGTGCTTTAAACTTTTTTTTTTTTTTTTTTGAGACGGAGTTTCCGCTCCTGCTGTCCAGATTGGAGTGCAATGGCACAATCTCAGCTCACTGCAACCTCTGCCTCCTGGTTTCAAGCAATTCTCCTGCCTCAGCCTCCCAAGTAGCTGGGATTACAGGCATATGCCACCACACCTGGCTAATTTTTTATATTTAGTAGAGAGGGGTTTCACCACATTGGTCAGGCTGGACTCAAACTCCTGACCTCAGGTGACCTGCCCATCTCGGCCTCCCAAAGTGCTGGGATTACAGGCATCAGCCACCACGCCCGGTGCTTTAAACATTTTGAAAGTCCTTACAAAGTTATTAAGCATGACCTGGCCAATCGCTTCCATAAATATAAGGAAGGGAGTCATTGCTGGTGACGAAGCTACAGCTTACCTATACTTATGCCAATATTGCTTTTTTCAAAACCCACAGAAGGGAGTATATTTTCGAGGTAGCCAAACTGAGGAGGAGAAACCAAAACAAATTCCAAGTCATCTGCTGCAGTGTCAGGGTCAGTGGCGGACAAATGGTTAACAGTAAGGGCTGTTGAGCAGCCCTCATCTACAACAAACACGGGACCTGCATACAAATAAAAACACAATTACAACTTAGCATGAAATCCTCTAAACAGACTGGGTAGGACAAAATGCAGTGACTGAAATTCTAGTTCAGAGAAGCCTCCCACGTGCAAAAACATTTCCATGGGAGATGTTCATTTTCTTTGGCATCATTCTCTTTAAAGTGAAAATCTTGAGTGGTAATGAGTGAATTTACTTTGACCTATGGAATTATATTTTTTTCTTGTCCAGGCAAGTCAGAAGATAACAGAAAGCCAGCAGAAATACTAACTGTTCCAGCACAGCCCTTTAGTCATTCTCAAGGAACTCTGGTTTCCCTTGTGTCTCTATGGAAGTGACAAATGAAAGTAAGAATTGCCCAACTGTTTTAATGTTAAGCCACTAAACGTAGTTTATGTACTCTTCAAGATCAGTTGGTACCTCTGTTTGTCAGAGCGTTAATTGCCTGAGAGCTATTATGAATTGCTCATAACGAAGAGTTTTTTCGTGGCTTGATGCTTAATTATTCTGCTGGGATAATGCTTTCTTTCCAGAACACTGCTTGGGAGGTAGTTTGCAAATTACAATAACATTCATACGTATGCTTATATTTTTTTCTGAGAGACAGAACATATACATAATGCCTATGAAAAGATGACTTTCTAAAAAGCAAATAAGGTTAAATGTATATAAATGGTCTCTCCGGTATACTCACTCTGTTCTAATAGAAATTATTATGGATAAAATAAATTACTCTCTCTTCAGCAAGCAAATTACATTTTCCCATGTGAAATAAAATCAGAATATTTGAGGATTGCAATGTTGTCCTTGTCCCAACACACACACAAAGACACACACACACACACACACACACCCCAACACACGTATTCTCTCTCCATACAGAAATATTAAAATTTTTAAACATGTAAATTCTTTTGCCCCATAATCTTAACAGATTTGGGTTTTCCACAAAATTTGTGTTGAGGTAATTATTGAAGGACAATTCCATATGGTGGTTTTCTTTTTAGACTATAAATGAAATGTATTATTTCACTGAACCACAGGTATGACACTAGGTCAGACAATAGTACTGGAACAAAAAAACACATTGTCACCTATTGCAATGGAAGGTGGCTGGTTGTCTACTGGGTATACCGTGATGTTGAGATCATACACTGGAAAGGACGCATGAAGTGGAACAGATGGATTGGGTCCATTGTAGCAACAGCCATTCACAAAAGGGCCAGCCTCTCCATCCGAAACCACCAATGTAATGGTGTCAAAACAAGGCATCAGGCCAATCTCGCCACCTGGAAGACACAACTATAGCTGAAACCTGCCTTTTAAAAAATATAGAATACCAAGATGAAATCTACTCACACCTCTTCTACAAGCATTGAAACAGCAAGGAAAAGAAGTTATGTGGATAAAATAAATGTAAAACCCAATTTTATCACTATGAAATTAAATATAGTCATGAAAATAATGCAAAAATTCTTGCCCATCTGTTGCCTCTGGTGAACTCCCTACTAGCCATCTATCATGATAAGGAGGGACAAAACTGGGCCAACAAGGGTCTGACAGTTTATGAATGAGCAAGGGCACAAAGCTTCACTAGTGAAGGTTTCATTCTTCCCTTATAATCATTTCATGTTATGACCAACCTCAGGGAGAGGGAGAAGGCAACCTTTTCCCTTTGGTAAGTGTCTTTCCATTTACATTAACCACCTTAAATGAACAACCATCAACCACAGAGCAGTTATGAGAAACGAGGATGTTGAATAGGTGAAATACAAAAGTAGGCCACATTTTTGCCATTTCTTTCAATATTCTTCTTATTATATATTAGCCAGGATGTTTTTAAAAATAGCAACAGTCTGTGGAAAAGAAGAGGCATTTATTTTCATTTTCTTCTTTTCACTGTTTAGGTCTTACATCTGTAGGATTCAAAATGTCCCCAGTTTAGACAGTGACAGGAAGAAGGAACAAAATGTCAGGATTAGACAGTTTATCAGCAACAGGGCAATCTGCTCTTGGGTTACCCACTAAGAGCGTGGAGTAAGAGTGCTTGCTATCCAGGACACAGAAAAGTTTTGCACATGTGCTGTTGGTAATTCTCATGCATCACCATGAAAATCTCAAGAAGGCAGTGATACGGTTTGGTTGTTCCCCCGCTCAAATCTCATCTTGAATTGTAACTCCCACAATTCCCACATTTCGTGAGAGGAACCCAGTGGGAGGTGACTGAATTTATGGGGGCAGGTCTTTCCTGCGCTTTTCTCATGATAGTGAATGAGTCTCATGAGATCCAATGGTTTTAAAAATGGGAGTTTCCCTGCACAAGCTCTCTTTGCTTGCTGCCATCCATGTAAGAGGTGACTTGCTCCTCCTTGCCTTCTGCCATGATCATGAGGCTTCCCAGCCACATGGAACTGTAAGTCCATTAAACCTCTTTCTTTTGTAAATTGCCCAATTTCGGGTATGTCTTTATCAGCAGCCTCAAAATGGACTAATACAGGGAGGAATTAATGCTTGGAGTTTTGATGAACCTAGGGTACAAAAGATCAGGGACATCCTCCCTTTTCAGCAGACACTCTGGTCAAATCTGCAGAGCTCTGTGGTTGCCATTATTTCCCGTTTAAAAATGACAAGGAAAATCTAGAGATTATATTATTGAGCAACCAAGTGTTCAAAGGATGAGAAAACTGGGCTTAAAAGGAAAAACCGAATTGAAGTTGAGAGAATTAGAAAGAAACAATCAGCCGTCAATGTGAGAAAGAGTCAAAAATAAGAGACCTCTCACCTATTCATATATCTAAAATGCAAACTGGCTTAAAAATGTGTTCATTAGTAATTCACTCAGTAAATATTTATTCAACACCTACTGTGTGATAATTAGTGTTTCCAGCACACCAGCAGAGAAAAAGGCACACATTTTGGAACTTTCAAAAGACATTTCAAAAGAATGTCAAATGTCAAAAGACCACACTATGCGTCAGGCACCGATACTGTCTAATGGTAGAGAAGGAAATGCAGTGTGGTTAGAATAGCACAGATGTATGTATGTATGTATGTATGTATGTATGTATTATGTAGAATCACATGAAATTGCTACTATTAAACCATTTTTTACCTGTTAAATGGCAATTTTATGTATTCCGGCCTGATCGTGTGCAAGGTGCTGAGGGTGAAAGAAGATGAGTTTTAGCTGACAATGGCGTAGGGGCAGGGCATACGTGCCAAGGAAAGTCAGCAAAGTTTCCAGATGCCTTTGCTGGCTTTGTGCTGAGCATTAAAGGATGAGTAAGAGTTTGCCAAGCAGATAAGGTAGAACATTGGGACAGATGGGATAGAAGATCTGTAGGGAGAGGCAATGGGGGAGAGAAATGAAAAGTCACTCTAGAAAGAGAAGACAGCTTTAAAAACAGAGAAGGCAAATTGCAAATTGAGTAACCACAATTTCTCTATAATGGAAGCATAGGATATATTTACAGAAATAGCTGGGAAAGCAGGCCAAATATTAAGCCACTAAAAAGCCTACAACATAGGTAGTGAAATTCTTTACCTTGAAATGGAATATAGCCTAAGGACATGATTGGTACTTAAAAATGTTAATCATAGTGTTATTAAAAAAAAATTTGAGGGAAGACAGGGTCTCACTCTGCTGCCCAGGTTGGAGTGCAGTGGCATGATCTTGGCTTACTCTAGGTTCCACCTCCTGGGCTCAAGCGATCCTCCTACCTCAGCCTCCAAGTAGCTGGGACCAGATAATGTTAATTGGGGAATAGCAAATTATTAATGGACTTTCATATAGTAAGATGTTATTCTATTACTAAAACATCTTTATAATAACTTTCTAACATTTAATATATATTTTAATAAACATTTCAGGTGATAATCTAAATGATAAAAGTAATCTGCAAAGCTGCATATGTTACAACATAATTGCAACTATGTTAAAATTATGGCCAGAATAAAGAGAATAAAATACTATAATACTGAAATGTGAACAGTGACTCTTTTAGATATGTAATAAGGTGATTTTTAAAAACTTCATTGTACTTTTCCATTCCTTCCAAGTTTTCTGCAATGAGTGTGTATTATTTTTATACTTATAGAAAGCAAATAAAGTAATGCTAATAAAATTATTCTTAGGTGGCCTCTAAATCAACACGTAGAAGCAAGAGAAGGGCCAGAAAACTCACTGAAACCTCAGATCCTACAATGCTGTGATTCTTTATCCTGATCTCAGCCCAGGGCTGGGTAACTACCAATTGAATAAGTGAGTAATCATTACAAGAAAACGTTAACATTCAAATACCAAAATACCCTTTGAATCGAGTATTCCTTCTAACTTAGTAACATAACCAAAAGCCGTCTATTTGAAATAATTTGCCCCAATGTCCTACTGGGTTTTATTTTAAAAAAAATTAGTTAATAGTCCCGTCTATGGCTGCTACACTACAGGAGATTTAGAAATTTGTATACCTGTTGTTTAGCACTTAGAACAAGGCACTGGAAAAGAAGACAGATTCTTCTCACCCCTAATTTACCTGTGCTGCATGAGCCTGCCAGAGATGTTAAATAATTAAGCAATAAATAACAATCATTGGTCTTTGGATCCCTTTTCTGCCAGTCTATTTCAGATCCACTGGGGAAATCAAAAATGAGTACCTAGTGGTGAACTCCTGAGGGACATCAAACATACGAACTACGCTCCTCAGGACAAGGTAATCACCCAGGAAAGCTTTCCTAAGACTAAACACAGATAAGAGGATAGAGAGATACCATTTAAAGAAAAAAGATGTCTGGTGAAGTGATTAAAATGTCCCGAGACATCTGGTGTTCCAATAAATCACTGTTTTCCAAAGTATATAGGACAAATATTATTTCAGAATGTTTTCTCCCATTTCTGAATTAATCCTTTGCTATCTCCATCCCTCCTCCTTGAATTTATTTCATGCCTCACTGCTTGAATCTCTTCAAATAAGAAAATGATTTGAATTCTGAAAGTTCTTATTTCCTATACCACTCACCTGGCCTTACATACTTGATCATACTTCCTGCATTGGAACTTGCAGTTTAAAGAGGCATATGGATGAGTAGACAGGAAATTGCACTACAGTACAGCAAAAGCCAGCAGATGAAATATGCAGCATTGTTACCAAGGAAGTTTCCCCAACCCAGACCTCAGAAGATGTGCAAGGTGAGATGATGTGATGATGTGCAGTGTGTCAGTGTCAGTCACACTGTCATCTTTGCATGCAAATGGGTTTTGTCTACCCATTTAAGTTCAAAGTCTTTCATAGCAGGGTCTAGGTCATATTCCTGTGTACCCCACAGTGCTTAGTGCTATAAGTTACAGATATCAGATGTTGAATTAATATTTTTTAGTGGAACAAATGCCACCTGGGTGACAACATAAAGCAATGCCAAAAATGTAACTGCAGTGCTAATAAATGAACATTTTCTGTACATCTAACCTGTGTTCACGCTGTCATTTGCTGTGGGCAAGTCATATACTGGGTAAGACATTATCGTTACTTTTCAGGAACTCAAAAAGCAGACCAGTTGCTTCTTAGGAGCTAGGTGGTGATCAGTAAGCTTTGCAAATTAATAATGTAATTACCTTAGGAGCTTGCTTCAGGCATTTCTGTCATGATTTATAGACCCACCAACTACGATGATCAAACTGACCAAAAACGCTAAGGAGAATCATAGGGTGAATGGAAGGTCTGTGTGGTAGCGTCAGGAACAAAGCAAGTAATATCTGCCTTTCTCCGCTGTTTGAAATTCGTTATAATAACACAATCAGAAATACTTCCATATATGGTGATCATGCTGGAAAAATGGAGGCCAGGCTGCAGCTGCTTCTTGTTTTTAATGGAAGTAACCATTCTGACTGTTTGATTATGGGAGCCCACACTGAGGAGTGGAGACTCTCATGTTGCTTGCATTCCCTCACTGGTCACCATGCTGCTGCTTACCTGTGTGTTTGTATGTCACGGCCTCTGAGATAACATCTCTCTGAGAGAACTGATCCACTGTGACTCCAGCTCTCCTCACCACCCCATGCTGAGGTTCGCGAGCAATCACAAACATCAACTTCAAGTTATCGCTGTCCACATCAGTAGCAAAAATGTATTCAGAGGTGATGACCACCTCTCCTCCCTCTGAGCAATTCATGACAGGCATGAGGTCAGCCTTTAAGACTGGTGGCTCATCGTTGACAGGGAATACCTAGGCAATGGAAAAAATGCATGTTTTCAGAAAAAGAAAGAAATGACAAATTCTTTGACAGGTAATCCATTGCTCATAGTCAGAATGACAGGCATTTTCATCTTACAGACACATGAAACAACAGCCGTGAAATTTGGCCAAGTAATCTGTGTCTTTTAACTTTTCCCATGTAAACCATCTTGCAAGAAATGCCCCATGTGACAGACATTTTAGGTAGGAATGGGGGAATATGGTTATGGTTCAGGACTCAAAACTCTCATTTGTTTCTAGACAGAAAAAATACAAATGTAATATAAGGCATTCTTCACCAAAGCCCCTATCCTCTTTCATTAAACTCACACATATTCCAGAAGAATTCTGGTCCTTGTGGTCCAAGGCATTTTCATTTACTGCATCAAAGTTATTTTTGTTTCAAATTACTTGGTGATTACAAAGCTTTCCTCCACCCTCAACTTCCTGCCACCCAGGAAGTTTCTCTGGACTTATAATAAGCAGCAGCTGCATTTCAAACAGTTTGAGTTAAATATGAAACTCCGTAACTATTCAATCAATGCCAGGTTTCATCCCGACAAAATGTTTTTCTCTCACTTTCACGAAAATAAAACTCCAAGTAAAAAGGAAAGAAAAGCGACATGGGATCACGCTGGCACTCTAAATTTAAAAAGATCGTGTAGAAATCTGGAAAAGCATATCTTCTAAAAGGGAGTGAGGACAACCCCCCTCTGAGTTCACAGCCACAACTTGGTGTGTGCTGCAAGGCTGCCACGTCTGCCCTGTGAATCCTCTCAACCCTACACCTTCTTCCCTAATGCTCAGCCAAAGTGATCTTTTTAACGTGTGGACTTTAAGTCACTGCCTTTCGGAGACCTTCAGTGGCTTCCCATTGATTCTGCTAGTATTTCTCTGGCCTTATCCCATGCTATGGGGTGCCTTTGCCACTCCACTCCAGTTTTATCCCGACACACATTCCCCACCATCACAGGGTCTCTGCATCATCTCTCTCCCCACTGCCCACGTCTCTTCCCCCTGGGAATTCTGTCCCCAACTCTTTGCTTGGTTAACTCCTCCTTCAGGTTACATGGGGATTCCTCAGGAAATCCTTCCTTAACTATTCAGCTAATTTAGGGGCTTCTATTATTTACTCTATTTTAGCATCCTATTTACGTATAGAACCATCTAAATTTTAATCAATTAATTATCTTGGTGATAATCTGTTTAATGCCTGTCTTCATCCCTGGCCTGTGACCTCTAGAAGAACAGTGACTTTGTTTGTCTTGTTCATCATCATATTCTAAATATCTGGCCTAAGGCTTGGCAAAGAAAGCACTTATTAAATATTTGCTGAATAAATGAATGAGTGAATGCAACTATGTATATGTGTCCTGACTACCTTGTTATTTAAACAGGCTAAAACTCTAAAACAAATATACATGAAATTTAATGGATAGAGGAATGGGTAACAAAAGCTCCAGGCTAGTTATTTAAAGACTTTAAAAGCCTATAATATTCTCTACTTTTCTATTGGCTTATTAAGAAAAAACCATCTTTGTTCAAGTCCCCTGAGTGAATTCATTTAAGACCTTCTCCAGTATTGTTCTTGACCCTGAGGAATATCACCAACAAATTCAGTGATGACCATCTTGCAGCCGTTCACAAAAGAGTCTCAGCTTTCAAATGAATAATAAAGTCCAAAGGCAATAGAATTAAGAATATTCCTTCTGGGTAAAAAAAAAATCACAAACACTTGTCAAAAAATTGGCTGTGCCTCTGTTTGGCTTTTAAAGACCATCCTCTTGTGTTTAAAAAGAAACAATAAACAGATTGTTTTCCCAAAATGCACTGCCTATTGTCATGGATGGAAGATAGGGTTGGGGTTTTTTCCCCACAAATTTGCTTTTCAGACAAAAAAAGTAACTCAGAAAGTTTTGTCTCTCTGTAAGTCTGCCAACAAAGAAAACTGTCCTTTTTGAAGCTGCAATAACATACTGCTCTTTATTCAGATCCCAAAGGCCATTATGAGGACTAAGTGGGAAAACGAAAGGAAGAGATTGCCTTGTTCCTGGCATAGAGAGGTGCACAGGAACTACTGGCCAGTATGATCATTATAATCACCTAGTGATGTAGAAGTGTGGCAGGGTGAGGAGGAAAGAACACTGACCTAGGTAACAAAGAGTGGAGATGCCAGCCCAAGACTACACTGTCTAGTCAATGATTTTGGGCAAGTCATTGAACCTTCTTGTACCTAAATATCCTTAGCTATAAAATGGGGATAACTCCTTCACTGCTTCTTAAAATTATAGATGTGAACATCCTTTATTAGTTACTAAAATATCTTACAAAGACATTATTACCAATATAGTAATGAGTTCATATCACAAAGATCTGAAAAATTCCAACAGAAAGAAAAATAATCTAGAACAATGAAAATAATTAGTGGCTCTTCAGGGAACATGGTATATTTTTCTTCAGACCTTCTTTTGTTACCAACTATAAATACCTGCAAATCCTCTGAGTTATGCTCTTGGACTTGCATGCCACTCAACAAAGAAATTCAGGGGGTTCCTGTAAGTCCCTTGGGCATGCATTCAAATTGTTTTTTTTGAGTCAGAGTCTCGCTCTGTTGCCCAGGCTGGAGTGCAGTGGCATGATCTCGGCTCACTGCAACCTCTGTCTCCCAGGTTCAAGCGATTCTCCTGCCTCAGCCTCCCAAGTAGCTGGGACTACAGGTGCAAGCCACTATGCCCAGATAATTTTTGTATTTTTAATAGAGACAGGGTTTCGCCATTTTGGACAGGGTGGTCTTGAAATCCTGACCTCAAGTGATCAGCCTGCTTTGGCATCCCAAAGTGCTGGGATTACAGGTGTGAGCCACCTTGCCCGCTCTGCACTCGAATTTTATGTGCAGATTTTTCATTTGTCAAGAGGGGGAAATATGATTAAATCCTCATGCTAGGACTATATGGTACAGGAACTCACAAAGAGGCACCACACACACATATACATGGCTTTATCTGTAAACAGGAAAACCCCAGTGATACTAGCCTAACCTGCCCCACTGCTAAACAAATATTTCTGAGTTTTATAGTTCAAAGATATTAGAAATAATTTATACATAGAATAAATTACTTTTAAAATTAAATATCTATGTTTGAAGTCAGAGTAATTCTACCTCTAAATAGATTAGAGAGAGACAATAGCATAGTACTACTACTTCATCATTACAACTTTGGTTTCTATTGGCAGGCCTGAGACATACAAGGATCGAAGCAGGTATCCTCTCACTTTGGAGGCCGTAGGTTTCAAGTTCTGTCAGGACCTGAGAGTTTTCCAACAAGATCCTCTATGTCTGTATGATTGCTATGATTTTAATGTGTCCCCAGAAAAGCATGCATTGAAAACTTGCAACAGTGTTGGGAGGTGGGAGGTTTATAGGTCATGAGGGCTCCACCCTCATGAATGGATTAATGCTGATCATAAAAGGCTCATAGCTCAGTGTCTGGCTCCCTCTTGCTCTTTTTCTGCCCTTCCATCATAGGGTGATGCAGCAAGAAGGCCCTCACTGGATGCAGCTACCCAATCTTAGACTTCCCAGCCTCCAGAGTCATGAGCCAAATAAATTTCTTTTCATTATAAATTACCCAGTCTGTAGTATTGTGTTATGGCAGCACAAAACAGACTAAGACAATAACCCAGGGAAGAAACTTTCTACCCACCTCAACATGTAGTACAAATTCTGCTGAATTTGTGCCATCGGTGACCTCCAAGAGTAGGTCATCCTGAAGAACTTCAGTTCCATCATGTTGATACCTGTGGGGATAATATTTGTCACCAACCTCTTAGGAACAGTGTGAGAGTAAATTGAGATGCATGATACATGAGCTCTTCCAAGGCTTTGGCCATGTGTTCACTAAATAAATAAATAGCAACAACAACAACAACAAAAACCCAGCATAATCCTGAAGTCACATATTTAACTACTCATACATCCTTGAATGTAAAATTGCTCCACCCTGGAAAAATGTGTTATATGCATTTCTAATTTGTCCTCAAATTAAAAAGCAGCCCTTCAAATGCCACTGTGACAACAGGAACCATTTGGTATAGGTCTGTACGCTTGCAGAATACACTGACTAGGGCCAGGAGAACCCTCAGACTGAGCAGTAGATGAGGAAAAGTGGGACACTGTGGATTTGATCTTTTTCTCCCCTTTTCTACTTCTAAGGCTAGGCTAATCCTTCCGCCTGTGCTCTGGATCTATTCAGCTTTTCTCTAAAACCTTGATCAATGAATTATGTATTGCCTCTTTCCTGTCATTTCTCCTCTTCCATTGACTAGCTATCTTCCTCTCAATCTATATAAATTCTTAAATCTCTTAGACTTAAAAAATACCTTTCCTTTGTCTAGCCTTAGCCCTATCTTCCACTAATTCTCAGCCACATTTCTTGAAGGCATTGTCTAATTATAGGCCCTCCACATACTCTCCAGCCCATTGCAGTGATGCTTGGAAAGTTCTAAGGAGCTGCTGAAGTGAATTGAGCCAAATTTTAAACATATCAATGAGTCCTAGGAATGGAAAATAAAAGTTGTATTAAAAAATAATATAATATATTGAACATGTATAATCTTTAACTATGGGGAAAAAGTCAGAGCTGAAAGGTATTTTACTGAGGACTAGTTTCACCCATAGGCAGGGTAGGAACTGAGGTTGAGGATTCCCTTCCTATGGTGGGGAAGTCCCACATCCTCCCCACCCTCCATGATCCTCTCACGCACTACCCGCTATGCTTTATTTTGCCATGCTCCCTGCAATTTTCATCAAAACTATATTGGTGAGTGATAATTCTTTTTTACTAATTCTATTTTACTATGCTAAAATCCCTAAAAGGATCAAATGGCCCTAAGAGTACACATCCAAAGGATGACTGGAGTCAAACAGATATTCTTTCAAAATCTGACCCCTCCATATACTAGCTGAATGAACTTGGGCAAATTCCTCAATCTCTTTGTGCTTAGTTCTTCAATTAAAATATGAGAATGGATACCTTGTCAGACTTGATTACTATGCAGATTAAATTTTCAAAAACCATAATTGTAAGCCTCTGACAGTATGCTTGAACAGATAGTTCTAGCAAATATTGGTACTGTTTATCCATCATTCACTCCGTAGCAAGAATTACCTAAACAGGGCTCTCTATCTAACAGACAGCTGAGAGCTGAAATCTCAAAAAACATTTTTTTAACAAGGATAGGAGTGCGAGTGCAAAGATCAAGATATCGTGGACTGTAAATCAATGGTGGAACTAAACTGTCAGGATTAAACTCATCTTCTTCTGTACAAATCTTAGTTTCTGGTCAACTTTCTAGTCAAGTGCAGAGCTAAGCATCTGATGTATAATATCTCCTATCATACTTTATCTAAAGGGCTAATGCTCCCATTTATAGCTTGAATTTACAGGTGAGAAGTGAGTGTGTGGGTCTACCCGACCATTGCTTTTGAATAGCTTGTATTGTTTTCCAGAGAAGTTGTTTCACTAGATTTTGTAGGAAAGTTTCTTACAGAACTGCATTAGGTAGAGGAAATGAAAGACCTTCAGGTAAGGGCAGTTTCTCTAGGACCATGAGGCCAGGGATTGTGCCATCCCTGTTGGAGACTCAAGTATTAGTTTACGCCCTGCCTACTCAGCTCACCCTGCTTGTTTGCCTGCAGATCCCTGCCCTAGTAGAACGGAATAAGGTTACATTAAGGACATTGATCAACAGAGTTCTATCCCAGAGTTTCTGGGTTATGAAATTTGCTTCTCTGGGACACAAGTTCAATTATGTACATTAGCCTCACAGATTATTTCAGTCTCTCTTTATCTAGTTTGACTATTACCTCCTGTGATATGTGCAGTTACTGCCAATTTAATATTCACGGCAATTAAATTTTTATTGTTCAAATATCCATAAAGTTATTTCCACTGGTATAGCAAGTCAGATGGAAATAAAATGTCTGGAGGGAAAGGAAAAATTGATCATTTGTAATTTTCAACTGACCCGTTGAGTGTGTTAAGTGGCATGTTGGTATCCTTTAAGAAATTGGACAAACTTCTTTCTCTTACTCTGCCTCACAACTGATCTAGATAAGAAACTAAAGCATGTAAATAAAAAAACCATGAAATGTTCTAACCTAACTTTTAAGGTATGGAGATCGCCCCAAGAAAATGTGCCCCCTGAATTTAGAGGAAATCCATTCAGCTCCACCCTTCCGTGCAGAGGCAATTCCCGCAGGGAGAGGTCAATATTGTCCAGCTTGGTATCTGCATCAGAAATTAGAATGTGCTCTGTGCTGATGATGCTTTGACCTCCCTCAGTCACTTTCAGAGGGTTGGTGAACGCCTAGAAAGAAGAAAGGAAGGAAACATTCAAAGCCTTTTTCCATGACCCCTGAAGACAGAGCTCATTACATCACTGTAAAACTTCCAGTATTATCTTCACATGCAAACTAATTTTTCAAGAATGTGGTAAGAGGATAAGTTCATAGCTAGACATTTTGACTGAAAAATTTTTTTTTACTATTTCTAATTCTAAGCATTAATGTGTTACAAGGAAACAAGGCAGATCTCTAAGATTGAAAGTATCTACTTTTCATTTATTGCATAGCCTGTATAGTAGAATTGGCAATCATTACTATCTGTGCTGCTAAACTGAGGAAATAATAATTTTCATCCTCAGGTCCATTCCCATCACTGTTCAATACACATACAGCTTAGTCTAAAAAATACACAAAATCTATGTCAAATTCCCCTGAAGGAAAGGTTTCATCTACTTTTCATCCTAAAAATTCTTAAAGGCTTGGGAAATGGATTGGAGCTTTAGAACTTCAGTCACAGTGAATATTTTAGAAATGGAAGTAGTGTGGCAAAATTGAAGATTCCAGAGGAAATAGATTTATTCAAACATTAGACTTAAATATTAAAGCCACAAAGATAATTTGCTATAATAGAAAAACTCACTGCTCGACTAATAATTCATTTGTAAGTTAAAAGCAAGTTGAATGGCTTGGGATATTTTATCACCTCATTGGGAGGGAGCAATAAGTGTTCTATGGCCAAATAAGTCTAGAAAAAAGTTACATAAAATATCCTTACCATGGAGGTTTATAAGGGACATAAGCATATTCAAGGCTCTGAGATCCTGCAGGAGGAAAACCTGCTAACTTTGTTTAACCTATCATTACCCCCACGCTTGTATTGCTACGCAGAAGTGAAAGCAAGCAGATACAGTGGGGTACCAAATCACGGGCTCTGAGGACCCCTCCCAGGTGGTCTAGTAAGGTGCCCTGTCCATGGGAGGATGCAGCAGTTCTCCTAGGAAGCACCTACTCTTCTCAGAGCAGCTGCTGGTCCCAGCAGGGAGGATGTTCCCTGAAGAAAGAGCTGGTAAAGGAGGATGACAACAAATTGGAAGAGGAAAGGGAAGGAAGCAAGTGAAGCTGCAGCCTCTGCTCAAGAGCCTGCTGTGTCCTTCTGGACACCACGGCACAGTGCTGGTACCAACTCCAGGCCACAGCCACCTGGGGCATTCATGGTGCCACAAGGGCAGCCCCTTGCATCATGGAAATTATGAGACCTACAATTCTGAGACCACTGCCTTCTATTCTTTAATCAACTACCAATGCAAAAACATAGACTTCTCTCCCTACAACTACCCCCACCCTGACCTCTCCCAAGTGTCTCACTTTCACTTTGCTAAACCTATATTTTCACTGTTTGTAGGAGAAAGAAAGAGAGGGAGCTCTTACTCAGAGAGGAGTGTTGTCTTCGAACAAAGGTCCATGCTTGCCAACCTCATTTTTCTGAGCTGTATTGAATTAGTATCCCAATATGGAATCTTCAATTTCCAATGTTTCAAGGAATATGCTTTGCTACATTAGGTGATTTTTTAAATATATATTTTAGGGCAACTTTCAAAAAAATAAAAGCATAAGGCTAATTTCCCCCGACTCATTAGTCATTAGCTTTTTAATTCTTGCCCAGATCCAGTGCTCAGGTTTCTGGGACTCAGGTTAGCATGGTGTCAACATCCTCCCGTGGTTATCACTTGGCCAGCTCTCTGCAGGAATTCTACATAAGGGATCAACTCCTGTGGTGGGTCTCACTGAAGCTGCTAATTTAATTTTGTTTCTAATATCCTCAGCTTTTTGAGGGACTATTTCATTTGCCCCATATACTGTAAAAAGTAAAAATAAAAAAAAAGAGAAGCTACCCTGCCATTCTTTCCTCAACTCCTCAAAACTATTCAGTGAAATTAACTTTTTTCCTTTACACTTTTTAGTTTCCTTCTCAGATCATCATTCTCCATCAAGAGGCTTGAATAACTTTGCATAAAGGAGCATTTCTCCATGATTGTTTTAGAGAAAACTTTGGCTTCTTTAGTGCTAGGCTATTTGATGGCCTGTATCTCATACATAGAAAAGAATGGTCTGAATAAAATCTAATCAAGTTGACTCCATAAGCATTCTAAACTATTTCACCACCGGGAATATGATCTGGTCCCTGATAGGAAAGGTGTCAAAGAATGGAGTTAGTTTAAAATCCTCCGTGTGAGCCCTTTGGCAGGTTTTCTACCAAAGATGGCAAGTCCACAGGTGTGGGAGGTCAGGCCAGTGATAGAAATAAGTGTGGTGAGTTGGATGGGGGCTTAGATGGTCTGGAGAGCACGCCCTATGCAATGGCTGCTGTAGGGTGTGCGGGTTAAATTTTATTAGATCTGCCAGAGTTTCAAGGGAAGCTAGGAATCAGCCTTGATGGAAAATCTTCTGATCTTTAAATGTTGGCAATTCATTATTTTCATATATTGTTTTGACCTCTTCACGTGGTTTGGCCATGTCCCTACCCAAATCTCACCTTGAATTGTAATAATCCCCATGTGTCAAGGATGGGGCCAGGTGGAGATAACTGAATCATAGGGGCAGTTTCCCCCATAGTATTCTCATGGTAGTGAATACATCTCACAAGATCTGATGGTTTTATAAATGAGAGTTCCCTGCACAAGTTCTCTTGCCTGCCACCATGTAAGACGTGACTTTGCTCCTCATCCCCCTTCTGCCATGGTTGTGAGGCTTCCCTAGCCACGTGAAACTGTGAATTCATTAAACCCCTTTCCTTTGTAAATTACCCAGTCTCGGGTATGTCTTTATTAGCAGCGTGAGAACAGACTAATACACCCATCAAAACTTCTGCAGGTTGGGCAGCCCTTTTAGGCCCTCAGGGTAAGACCTCTGCCCCACAACCTTGGGCAGGTATAGAGATGATGAGGAGTCAGGAAAGAGAACGCCAGTGCAGGCTATAGTCCAAGTAGGCACCCGGGAAAGTGACCTCTTTCCTTAAGGATGAGGCATGTGTAGGCTCTGGTCCCTTCTGGTTGATAATGAATGGGTAATGCTATTTTGTCTTCCTGCTTTTAAGGGAAATAATAAGAATAATAATGACCATACTAATTAAGCCTAGCATTGTGAAGGTGGGCAGGGGAACCGGGTAGGTATGGGACATACTCTCAATGCAAATCCCAGCTTCCCAGAAAAAATGCACAAGGTAGCAATGCCTTTGTAGTTCGGTTTTAATGAAAAGACCCAAGTCCTTTCAGGCTTACACAAACACAGGGCAGTGGGGCAAAGTATGACAGAAGGGTCCATCTTGATTCATTTTGGAAAATTAAAGAGCTTCTTTAGATTACAGAGCAGCATAGTTGGGCTGCAGTGAGGGTAAATAAGCCCTTCCAGTGGCTAAGAGACCCATAATTTAATCCCCTTCCCTTGATCAACACGTGAAACTCAGCAGAAAGAAGAGGAAGTGAAAAAGAATTTGATAAAGCTTTGAAAATAATGTTAAATTTAGTAGCTGAAAAATCTCACCTTTTACATAGAAAGTCCCATGGGAGTAAAAGACTCCCTTCTCCCTGCTTTTTTCTTCTTTTTTTTACTACACCATAGATGGAAATTTCTTTTATAAGTTTAAAAAACTAGCCTAAAGGAAAGTTACCATTTCTAGTAGGTCTTCAAGTCTCTCCTTTCTTTTCCTCCTTTTCATCCTCTATATAGAACATTGTACATACCTCAGGAACTTGATTGTCCACTGGGAGGATTGTAATGTTAAAGCAGATCCCATGCAAAGTACCGCCATGTTGGTTACTGACAGAAAATGTGAACTGGACATCTCTGCAATGGGGACCAATGTCTTGCATGGGGGGCATGTAGGCCACTTTCATATAGTTCACAGCATGCTGCAAAGTAAGTTGAGATGGATATGTGGGTGCTGACTTGCAAGGATCAAAAGCTTTTAGAGGTCCAAGAGAACCATCATGTTAATTGATATTGAACACTGTAAATGCCACCATCATCACTTTGAAGATTACCAAAAGCTCTATTTTTACTTCAATGGCAAAAACTGCAATAACTTTTGCATCAAACTAATAGAAGCAAGGAAGAATTCTCCTACAGGGTTTCAGAAGGAGCATGGCCCTGCCAACACCTTGATTTAAGACTTCTAGCCTCCAGGACTATGAGAAAATAAAGCTCATAGTCCTTTATGTCCTGGCAGTTTATTTTAAACCACCCAGTTCATGGTATATTGTTGTCAGCCCTTGGAAACTAATACAGTAAGATACTGAATAAACTGAATTTTGTGGAATAAAAACGTATACACCAGATACCCAAACTAGAGTCCTGCTGATGGCAAAACAATACAAAAGTCTGTTTTCAGTAAAATTACTGAAAAGATTGTGAAACCATATTCAACTTGATCAAGTACTTTGAAATAGATGCCACACACTTAATGGAAACATACAAGTAGCAAGTATAAAGATGTCAAGTCTTTGTGGATGTCAAAGACCAACATTCTCAGGCACAATACTAGGCATGCCATACCTTCTAAGGGCACACTTGCATCATGTTTGTCAGCATTTTAGCATATCCTCATACCTGAGTGAATGACCTCAGCTCCAGGGCCGTAGGATTCTTAACTACTTTTGGTATGCTGTCCACCATAAATAATTTCCCAGCATCCAAGTGTCTAAAGAGAAATACAGAGGAGCACATCAGCTCATTTTTAGGTAAGAAAAATGAAATCGAATAGCCCACAATCAAAAACTGAAAGACTTCATTGTGAGAAGAAATTGGGTGCTCTATCTTTATATTCTCTCTTTATGTTGGGAGATTCTAGCATTAAGTCCAGTTTCATCAACATCATCCTTGTCATGACTGCAAAAGGTATGTACAGAATCTTTTGCTTGGCATCATGTAAGGGAATTGTTACACTCATGTTAAAAATGGTTTCTTGCTCTCATGCATACGATACTAGCATAACGTATATTCATGCCATTTTTCTAGATTGAGATCATAGAATGTAACGATTTCATGGCAGTAATATGCAAAACTAATGTTAGGAAGACCTCAATAAATTGTACTAAAAGAAAAATAAGCATTGTCTTTCAAAAAGTGGATTAAAGACTGTTTTAAGCCTACCAATGCTGAAGACACTACAAGCTGCAGATCACTTACCAACTAATACAGCTTTCAAAGGGAGATAGGAAGTTGTTTGAGAAAAAAGTAAACGCTTAATTGAGTATAATTTCATGCCTGACCAATGGAGCAAGTAAACCACAGTACTATATATATATATATTGCTCTATATTGACACTTTCAACTTTGCAATCCTAGAACTAGTAGCCCAAATGGTGACTTTTCAGATACCTGTGGCTGAAGGAGAAAAATGGAGGAGTAGTTATTGTGTAGACCAGCTCCCTGTCATATGATTCTGAATCTATAAAATGTAGCTGTTTCTTAGTTATATAGGCCACCTCAGTTTCCTTGACAACCAAATGCCGAGAAACTCCAGGAGCCTCTTTTGGAAGCTGGTCATCCACTGGAGTTATATGGATTGTTGCCACCTGGAATAAAAATGTCTGTACCATTAATTTGAAATACCAAAAAAACAACAAAGAAAATGCCCCACAATCACCTAGTCACAGTTAAGATAATTTCTAAAACTGTCATTTATAATATACTTCTGTCAAATGATTCAGGAGCTATTAAGAATATGAGCCAAAAAATGGAAATCCTCTACTCATTTAATATTATATTTTAAGAATATTATTATCACAGGCCAGGTGCAGGGGGTCACCCCTGTAATCTCAGCACTTTGGAAGGCCGAGGTGGGCAGATCACCTGAAATCAGGAGTTCGAGAACAGCCTGGCCAACATAGTGAAACCCCGTCTCTACGAAAAATTCAAAAATTAGTTGGGTGTGGTGATGGGTGCCTGCAATCCCAGCTACTCGGCAGGCTGAGGCAGGAGAATCACTTGAATCCTGGAGGAGGAGGTTGCAGTGGGCTGAGATCACGCCATTGCACTCCAGCCTGGATGACAAGAATGAGACTCCATTTCAAAAAAAAAAAAAAAAAAGTATATATATACATACATATATATATATATGTGTGTGTGTGTATATATATATATATATATATATACCACAATTATAGTGAATCCAGTCATGAGTGCTACAGAATGGGCACATAAAACACAAAATATGTTCCTGGTTTTATTTTTACATCTCTCTTCTACCAACAACCTGTGCTTTCTTTAATACTTCCCTATATTCAGTCATCAATCTTAGAAACCTTGACATGAATTTTGGTTCCTCCTTCTCCACCCACATATAACACATCACCAAGTCCCAGACTTTCTACTTATAAAATTTCCTATGCAGTGACCATACTCCACATCCCACGCCCAAGTGTCATTCCCATTGCTACTGGCCTACCTTTCATAATTTCATCCTTACATTATTGCAACTGCTGCCTGTTAGCCCTAAATCCAAGAGCTAATCTAGACTTTTCATACCTCGTGTTATCTTCAAAAAAGTACAAATGAAATAAGTTAATTTACCCCTTCAAAAATCTTAAAACAACTTCTCAGAAAGTGTGGAATTATTTATAGAATATCCAAACTCCTTAGCATGGCATCCAAGACTTTCAATATACACTCTTTCTCAACCTTTTTTTTTTTTTTTGAGGAGTCTCACACTGTCACACAGGCTGGAGTGCAGTGGTGCGATCTCAGCTCACTGCAAGCTCCACTCCCAGGTTCACACCATTCTCCTGCCTCAGCCTCCTGAGTAGCTGGGGCTACGGGCTTCCACCATCACACCCAGCTAATTTTTGTATTTTTAGTAGAGATGGGGTTTCACCATGTTGGCCAGTCTGGTCTCGAACTCCTGACTTCAAGTGATCCGCCCTCCTTGGCCTCCCAAAGTGCTGGGATTACAGCCATGAGCCACCACCCAGCCACCTTTCAACATCTTTTACTACCTTTTAACATCAATCCAACACTCTAATTATACACAATGGACTGACCATGTACTGGTCCTTGACCACACTTCTAGAATGCTTTCCTCCTGTTTTATCCAGCAACCTGAGTCTTTCTCACCCTTAACGGCTCTTCTTAGACCTTTCTCCAATTTTTCAGTTGGAATTGTTCCTGAATTTTACTTACCCCTTGGTATGGTTTGAATGTTTGTGTTTTCTCTGGAATTTAAGTTGAAACTTAATTTCCAATACAAGATTAGTAAGAGGCAGGGCCATTAGTAGTGATTGGACCATGAGGTTGAATTCATGAGGGTCTAATTACCCTCATGAATGAACTTGTGCCTTATAAAAGGGCTCGAGGGAATGAATTCATCTTCTATCCCTTTCGCTGTGTGAGGACACAGCATTTGTTCCCTCTGGAGTATACAGCAACGAGGCACCATCTTGAAAGCAGAGAGCAGCCCTCATCAGACACAAAACATGCTGGCAACTTGGTCTTGGACTTCCCGGCTGCCAGAACTGTGAGAAATAAATTTCTATTATTTATACATTACCCAGTCTCAGGTATTTTGCCATAGCAGCACAAATGGACTAAGACAGAGTTAGGTACTGAAATACCTGAAAATGTGGAAGTAGCTTTAGAACTGGGTAATGGGTACGTACAGACTGGAAGAATTTGGAGAAGTAGGCTAGAAAAAGCCTATATTGCTGTGAATAGATCATAAAGGGCAATTCTGGTGAGGGCTCAGAAGAGGTGTGCTCTAGACAGAAGAACCTCAATCTTCTTAGAGATTACCTAAGTGGTCATAATCAGAACATTGGTAGACATACAAACAGTAAAGGCCCTTCTGATAAGGTCTTAGATGGAAATGAGGAATATCTTATTGGAAACTGGAAGAAAGATCTTCCTGTTATAAAGTGGCAAAGAACTTGGCTAAATGGTGCCTGTGTTCTAACACGTTATGTAAGGCAGAACTGAGCAGGGATGAGGTAGGATGCGTGGTGGAAGAAATAACTAAGCAAACAGTTGAGCACGTTGCATGGCTTTTCTTGACTTCTTATAGTAAAATACTAGAAGACAGAAATGAACTAAAGCCAGAATTTTTTGTCAAAGGGGAAGCAGAACTTAAAGATTTGAAAAATTCTCAGCCTGACCATATAAAGAATAAAAAAGCATCTTTAGGAGAGGCCACAAAAGGTGTGACCAAGTGCCTATATGATAGAGAGATTAGTATGAATAGAAAGAAACCAGCTGCTATTTATCAAGACAATGGAAAAATGACCCTGAAGGTATTTTAGACATCAGGCCACCATTCCCATCACAGGTTCAGAATGCCAGGGCCTTGAGGACAGAATGGTTTCAAGGGAGGGACCTGTGGGGTCTCTGCCCAGCACTGCCTCAAGTCTCTGCTCCCTGCATTCTGATGCAATCCTTGGCCATCCCAGCTGTGGCTCAAGCAGGCCCAGGAACCACTTGAGCCACCACTCTGGAGAACACAAGAAGTAGGCCTTGGCACAAATACCAACTCTGCTTGTGTGCAGAGTGCAAGAGCTGTGAAAACACAGCTGCCTCCACTTAGATTTCAAGAGATGCCTCAGAAAGCCTCGGGACTCAGGCAGAGAGTTGCCTCAGGTGCAGGGCTGCTGCAGACAGTACCCACTAGGGCAATGCCCAGCAGAGCCATGGGGTCAGGGCCACCCCAGAGACCACCAATGTGCAACGCCATCCAGGAAAGCCTCAGGCACCTGACGCCAACCTCTGACAGCTGTTGCCTGGGCTGTACCCAGAAAAGCCATAAAGGTGGAATTGCCTGGGGCCTTGGGGGCCCAATCCTAGCCTCAGCATGTCCAGAAGGCAGGACACAGAGTCAAAGAAGATTATTCACAAGCCTCAAGACTTAATATTGTTTGCCCTGTTGAGTTTTGGATCCTTTCTTCTTTCCTATTTCTCCCTCTTGGAAGAGGAATGTCTATCCTATACCTGTCCCACCATTGTATTTTAGAAGCATATAACTTGTTTGATTTTATTGTGCTCACAGCTCGAGGGGAAATTTGTTTCAGGATGAACTGTACCTAAAGTCTCACCCATACCTGATTTAGTACATAAATATGTACTAAATGAGATGTTAGACTTTATTTTTTTGCATTGATGCTGAAATGAGTTAAGACTTTGGGGGCTGTTGAGATGGAATTAGTATATTTTGTATGGGAGAAGAACATAAATTGTGGCGGGGCGGGGGAGGTGCCGGGGTAGAATGTTATGGCTTATTTATGTATAAATTTATTTATGGAAATAAATTTCTATTATTTCTAAATTAGTCATTTATCCCGTTATAGCAGATTAAACAAACTTAGACATCCCTCAACTAGCATACTTATTCTAATGTTTTGTATTGTTAGTTTACAAATGAGTCTCTCTCCCAGACTGAAAGTTCCATGAGGCCAGCATTACAATATGGTGTAAACCACATGGAATTTGACGGTACAGTTATAGTCCTGAGTATACCACTTACTAGCAGCTATTTAACCTTAAACAAGTTACTTAACCTTTTAGTGTCAATTTTCTTATTAGTAAGTTAAGCATAATACAACCTCACAGAGCTGTTATAAGGATCAAATATTACTATGTAGGTAAAATGTCTGGCACATAGTAGGTGCCCAATAAATACTACATTCGTCTCTGTATCTCCACAACATCTAGCACAATTTTTTTTGTAGGTAGGAGGCACTTTATTAATGTTTGCAAACTGAGTAAGTCATGTCCTGTTTGAGATTTTAAGTCTTAAAACTACACTTACAGGTTGGTATCATGCTAGAGGGTAAGGAGGACTTGCCAAACAGCTTTTATTATAACATTTCTTTTATAATAATCCATCATTGGTTGTGGAAAAGCTATTAATTACTGTCTGAAAATGGTGCTTTGCCTGGCATCATGGGTCTTTTCCACAGCCTGCTCCATGAACTTTTTCTATCTTGGTTGCCATGACTGTCATCAAATAAAGTCTCTGATATGAACTGAATGTGTCTTCCAACAAGCATATGTTGGAAACTTCATCACCAATGCAACAGTGTTTAGAGGAGGGGCCCAATGGTGTTTAGGTCATGAGGGCTCCACCCTCATGAATGGGTTAATGATCATTATAAAAGGGCTTGAGGCTGCAAGTTCAAGCTCTTGCTCTCTTCTCATCCACATGATGTTTTCCTCTGTATTATGATGTCATAAGAAGGCCCTCACAAGATGTAGTTCATTGATCTTGGACTTCCCAGCCTCCAGAACCATGAGCCAAATAAATTTCTATTGTTTATAAATTACCCAGTCTGTAGTACTCTGTTGTAGCAGTACAAAATGGACTAAGACAGCTTCACTCACTCAACTTGCTTTTGAAAAACATTTCCAACTCTATTCTACTTGGTAGACAGCTTTATAGACCTTAAGCCTTAAGAGATCTTAATCCAGGAGAGAGTAATATTAGAAGAAAAAGGGAGAATAAAAATAAGGATAGATGAGAGATGCAGAGAGAGGACCAGAAAACGAGGAAAGAATGGAAGAAGGTGACACAAAAGCACATGGGTGAAGTGGAAGGGAGAAATGAAACATGCCCAGAGGAGAGAACAGGTACCTGGGGGGTGCATATTTACCACAAGTCAGAGAAGAAAGTGGGTGGGCAAAACTAACAGTGTAAGTAGTTCCTGGGGGTGAGAAATAGCACTGGATAGTTTCAAGGGAAGATGCAAAAGAAAGAGCTAGCAGAAATCAAAGAATCAGGGCAGAGAAAGGATTAAGAACCCATTCCCACAAGAAAGTCAGATACCAGCTGGTGGAGTATTATATTGTGAGCCTGAATATGAAGACCAAGGCCAGGTTTTGTCATTTTGTGTACTGATTTATCACTTCATATTCTGATTCCTTATAAGTCTGTAGCCATAAGCAGGCTGGAGGGACACGGGGGAAGGCAGCAAGCAAGAGCCCAGCAATTGATTTGAGCACTAGTTTTCTACTGTTTGCCTGGGATTGGGTGTTTAATAATGCTTTTGTTACAATCAGATTTCAGTACATTGAGAACACTTTATTTCTCAATGGAGTTTGTTAAAATGGGACTTTTCTCACCCACAGAATAATAATTGTTTGAACATGCATAAATATGTAAAGACATATCAACTTAGGCCATCATAAAGCATGTTAAAAAAATGTGCCCACCGGAAGACCTCCTCCTCTTTCGGCTTTGGAGCTCCCCCCGCTCTGTTTCTGTATGGGGGAGCTTCTTCCTTCTGTCTTCTCCCTTCCTTCTTGCCTATTAAATGCTCCACTCCTTAAAACCACTCCACGTGTGTCCGTGTCGTTTTATCTAAACCGGCATGAGGGCCAAGACCCTTGGTGTTCCTTCACTCATCGAAGCCATATCACTTTGGTGCATTGAGGTACAGGAATCTGAGGTACAGCCTTCCTTCATCAGAGTGGCGACTGTGGGAGCAAGCTTAAAATCTGTTCTGTCATTCTGAGGCACTCTTCGCCTCTATATTAAAATAAATCAAATAACTCAACAGGCATCCATCAACCTAGTATATACGCTTATTGTTGGCTACCGTACTCAAGTCACGGATATAAGGCTTGCTGGGGAGAACTTGGAGAACCCCCCATTACCCACAGGTATTGGGAATGTTGGTCATGCTTGAAGTAGCTTCTTTTCACTGGTGACCTTGCCATCACGTGAGGCTGGGAAAAGTTCTGAGGCAACTGAGAATTTCTGGCCAGGTGTGATTCAAAGGCCTCTGGACCGGACACAGCCTCCAACAGCCCATTCTGGGTGTTGGCAGAGAACCTCAACTATCCTGTTGCAAAACTCTTCTTCCCTTTCTGTCCGCAGCCTCTTACTCTTTCTCTGCATGAAATGTGCAAAGATTTTTACAGTCTAGGAACAAAGTTACAGCGAGGTTACTTGATACCACTTCTCTGGCGAGCACATGGTATTTCTAAGCCACCTGGTAGAAATCAGGCTCTAGGCCTCTTCTGTGAATGGAAAGTTTCTGCTTTTAACAATTAAGAGTAAAACGTCTTCTGCAGCCAAATTTTAATCTCGATATTGTCCCACTGGCAGGAAAATGGCCATTTGGTTCCTACATTCCTTTAAGGCACCTATTTTGTCTCCTATTAAGACAGTACTTAATTAGGAAGGGTATTTTAATTCTGGAAGTTAACCAGAACCATTTTTCTATGGGTAAATGCTTTAGCCTGGGCTATAATAGCAGGATACAGAGTTCAATCTAGCTTGCTCCCTCCCTTAAAGGGGCCTTGCCCAATTACATGATTTTTCTTGGAATCTATTTTTTGGAAGGCACACAGGCCACGCAAGTCTAGGAGGTCAAAGGGAAATAAAAGGCAGAGAACTGATTGCTTGGGGACAGAGTGACTAAGGCCCAAAACTCAGTTCCTCTGGCGCCATGGCTCGGAGGGTCACGCCTGCAAGTCATGTGCGGCACATTTAAGCGGGTGCCGGGAATCCAAGAGCGACGGACAGAGAATAGCTGGGGGGACGCCCTCTACTGTTTTCATCTCCATCCTGGATCACATACCGAAAGGAAGGAGACGAAAACGACGCTTTTATTCTCACTTCTCTTTCTAGATGGGTAACAGATTGTCTTCAACATGCACTCCCCTGGAACATATTTTGAAGCACTGGGACTCCTTCGACCTTGAAACTTTGAAGAAAAAGTGGTTTATTTTCTTTTGCAGCCATATTGGGCAGGCCCAGGGAAAACAGTTTCCCAAAATTAAAAAGGTAACTTTCAGGGAAGTCATCTGAGGGTCCCCCTTATTTGGGGCCCCTTCAAGTTCCCTTCTCATTGCAGGACCTTAGGCAAGTAAAGGCAGACTTAGGCCGATTTTCTAACTACCCTAATAGGTATATAGAAGCTTTCCAAAATGTAACTTAGGTATTTGACCGTACACAGAGTTGGCAAACCCTCACTGCAGCTAAAACAGGCAGCTCTGCACGCAGAAGAGAATTTTGGAGATAAGCAATATGTCTCCTATAGTAGGCCAAAAGGGAAGAGAAAAAATAGGGAAGGCAAAGAAACAGGGGAAACACAATTCCCAATAGGAAGAGAGGCAATACCTCTTAACAACCCTAATTGAATTCCTTTCTACAATGCTTTTCCTTCTTTTGCAGTTTAAAATGGCTTCTATCTCTTTTATAATGTTCTTCCAACCTGGGAAAAACTAATTTTCCAAACCTTAAAATGCTTGATGTAGAGTTGAGCTAGCGGGGAGGGAACCCAGAAGCCTGATGCCTGATATGCTGGCAAAAGGGTAAAAATTTCTCACCAGTTGGGCTTTTGGCTTCTCTCCCTGTGCAAACCTGAAAAAGGGGTAATAAGGATCACTGCTTATGTTCTCAGTAAATGTATAATTAATAAAAAAAGGATTTGTAAGGTTGGTCTTAAGCTGTAAACAATCTTGTATGCTTTGCGTGTCTTTCTGTATGGATCTACCGAAGAAAAGGTATCTTAGGTTAGGATGCAGGCCCAGGACCCCATAGGCCTGCTGTTCCAGCCAGCCCAGCAGAACGGTCAGTAACAAACTTGGCTATGGGCCTCCAACTTGTTTCATGTCCTTAGGAACATAATCGGTAACCATGTGGCAATACTTTGTTTTAGTCTCTGCCATTTTACCGTGGTGGCTGTCTTCTTGTGCTAAGTCAGTGCCTGGGTAAGGGCCACAAAATCAAATAAGCCAGTTTGTCACTCTGGGTGGTGCCAGCCGATCCATCAAGGGCAGGGTTTATAAAATATCTTAAGCACTGATCTTAAGAGTGGTTTAGGGAGGGTCAAAATCTTGTAGCCTCCAGCTGCATGGCTCCTGGGCCATGGTTTCTAATCTTGTGGCTAGTTTCTTGGTCTTCCCCAGGCAAGAGGGAAGTATATCTTGGGAAGCGGCTGTTATCATCTTTGTTTTAGACTACAGCCTATAAACCAGGCTCCTTCCAAAGTCGGTTCAGCCTACACCCAGGGATGGTCGAGGAGAGCTTAGGGGCTAAAAATAAAATGGAGTTGTTTGGGTCGGATCTCTTTCACTGTCTCAGTCACAATTTTGTAATGGTAGTTTCAAAAGCTGCCTATCACTCCTTTGAAAATACCTTGCACACTCATGGTTAAGTCATAACCTAATTAAGGCTCATTGATTTCATCTGTGAGGTTACTTTTTTGTAACATTCAAAAGCTGAAAATCTTTACTGCTTGGTGTAGCTAAAGTCAAGTAACAAGGGATTTAAAAGGATTTTCTTAAAGAGTGCTCAGCTTAATTAAGAGTGGATATTCAAGTTAGAGGTATATTTAAAAGGCCTTTATGTTTTTCTTTTTTTGGATGTTGTTTTTCTGGAAAAAGGCTCTTTTCTTCTCAGTCAACTGAGTTATTTTTCTCCATTTTTTGTCTTACCACTCTTAATGCATGCCTGAAAGGCTCTAAGATAACTTCTGGTAGCATGGGACTCCTTGGGAAAAACAGAGGAGGTGCCACAGACCCCGTTTTGTGGGGCAGTTGGGGGGGATCCTCTGTTTTCCTCATAAAACCCCAGGAATTAAAAGGAAATTATCCCTCTCAAAATCAAAGGCTCTGTTCTGTTTTGCATTGTGTTATCTGATGGTTTTGAGTTTTGGGAGTATCAGAAATTACTTCGCATTATGAGAGAGCTTTGGTGAGTAATAACTAGGTAGAAAATACACTGTAAGAGATGGCTAATAGTAGTTATAAATCAGAGAAGCACGCTCTTAGCCACCTGGAAAATAAGGCAACATCTCCACCCCACACTGAGGGATGAGACTCCCATCAGGGATGGGCTGATTACAAAATAAGCCAATTGGCTTTGGGTTGCCTTGAAATGAAGTGCATGGTAGAAGCACTACACCTTCTTCTCCCATGGTATCTATATGGTCTTTTCTTAAATTAAGCATTGAAATAAAAGCATAGCAAGAAGGTCTTAAGACACTACTCTGTCCTTTAGTAAAAGGGTTACAAAAGGTTTGTAAAAATTTCACCTCATGGTCAAATTGATAAAGATAAAATGGAATAATCTATAAGGTTTCACTTGAACAAATAAACTAATGCAAGGGTAAAATTTAGCTTTAAACCGAATTTTCATATCATAGTAAAGACTAATAAAATGTTTTTGCCTTTTGAGTCATCATTTTGGCAAAATAATTTATGGCAATCTGGAAATTATCCTTCCTGATGCCTGGCTTTTTGAATGGTTCAGAGGGCCCCTGAAACATTCAGAAAAGAGGTAAACAGGATTATCTGACATATTTAGTCACATGAGATTGCCAAAATGATGTCCAATCTTTTTTAAGTTATATTTTGGTGAACACTAATATATGTTCAAAAATTGTATGGGTTTTCTAAAATTCTAATGCCTAAGTATGTGCTATCAATCATAATTAAGGGTAAAGTTATTGTAAACCACGAAGATAAATAAAGTTCTTTGCCAGTCATGTTTTTAACTGTAACTATCCTGGGAATGTTGCCATTCACAGACAATTGTTGTCTTGCTTTGTTCCTTCTCAAAAGATGGTTTATAATCAAGCTATATTAAGGACTTTAACAGGTGTTCTCAAATGCAGGTTTGTAATAGCTTTGAAGATTGTAACACTGAAATGGAGGGAGAATCTACAGGACTCCTAAAAAACTGACATGTTCACAAATATCAAGCAAAACAAAATTTAACTAAGTGGACTGCACTCACAAAGTTAAAGCAAACTTTTTAACTTTCGCTTGGAATATTGCTGATCCTTGTTTAGTTTTTCAGAGTCAAGGAAACTTATTTTAAACTATTTACAGCCTTTAATAATTGAGTAAGGTATACTCCTGTAAACAAAATTTGGAGCATGTTCATTTTTCTCCGCCTGATTCCTCTAGAATTTGGAGACTATCTGTAAGTACTCTTATGGCAATACAGTTGTTTGCATCAGTGCAATAAGAATCAATTTTTCTTTGTCAACAGGACACAGTTGGAAAACTGGTTATTTTATCAAGGCTTTGACTGAAGGGGTGTGTCTCCCTTTAAGGAATCAAGCTCGACATGTACAGCCAATTAAAGCCCCTTAGGGAGAACTGGCCTACCACCTTGTCTATACAGTTCCTAACCTGTGGTCAGTGAAGAATGTCACTTTCTAATAGGTCTGGAAGCTATGAGTTTATCTTGGGACCTCAAGAGGAAAGGATCACCCAACTCACAGGTATTAGAGGATACAAACCCATGGCTGGGCTCGGCTTTAAAAGTCTTACCTGAAATTCCTTGTGAAACAGCGTTTCATCAAAGCCAATCCAAAAGGCCTATGTAAAAATAACCATTCTTGCTGCACTTTATGCAAATAATCAGGCCAACTATAAGACTAAAGTTTACTGATAATTACTTTTTACCAAAAGTGAAGACTGAAGAGAAAAATTTTGCTCCAAAACTTATCATACATTTGTCATTAAATCCTAGTCTCTTGTTTTTCAGCTTTTTGCCTACGTTTTAGACGAACCCTGCTTATTCCTGTGAATCAACTGGTGATCTGCAGCTTGGAAAAAAGAAAAAAGGGACGGGTAACGTCAAAATGTGAATCAATATGCTAGTTCTGGGCAATTATCTTGCAACTTCTGCCGGGTAATGAAAAGTGAGTAAGGTGCCCATAACTCTGAGCTTTCTTTGTTTGGGAAAATAAAACCAAGGAACTTCATAGACCCCCAAAGGGGAGTTCTCTATCTTGGCAAGTAAAATTTTAGATGGAAATTATCTACCACACCACACTTGTGGGAATTGCTGTCCTCACTCTACTATTTGCAATAGGGTTATACACGGTAGCACCTTCAAACTAAAATATTGGACAGAGAGTTTTCATTGCTGTAGTATTTTGCTTAATTATTATCCTTATAACTGGGATAATAGTTACTGACAAAAAGAAAGCGTAAAAGTTTTACTATCACTAAGTCTGCTAGGATTTTTTATTGGATTTAGTGATGCACTTTTAAATGAAACATGCTGCTTTTGGATTAACACCTAGTAAAGGAAAGGAAAATCTACAGGTACTTAAAAATCAAATCAAAATTATTAACAGGCTCAGGGAAAATGCCGGCTTCAGCCCTGGGCGGCTACAATCCCTCTTTAATAAATTCCAGTCTTCTTTCTGGAATTGGTTAACCCCTTTATTAAGCCCTCTCTTGCTTATATGTCTTGAATTGATATTTGGACGTTGTATATTCAGTACTATGACTCAAATTGTTTCTTCTCGCCTAAAAGCAATCAAACTCCAAATGGTGCTGCAAACTGAACCGCATGTGGACATGCCATTCTTCCGAGGACCCTTAAATCAATCCCAGGAGGAGCCCTAACTGCTGTTCCCCATTCAACGCCCCTTTTAAGTAGGAAGTAGCCAGAAAGAGTCTTCGCCCAAAACCCCCTAACTGCAGTTAGTGTGATATTGCCGCAGGGAGGAATGTGGTAGGAGTTATTAAGAAAAAGAAATTATTTTATGCAGATAGAGAGGAAAAGGGGTCCTTGGGTAGTTTTCGTCTTTTAAAGCATATCCGGAAAAGTTTCTTGTAAAGCCCCAGCTCTTAGTCAGGTGGGCAACCTTTGATATGCAAATGCCGGCCATTAGAAACTGGGTCCACCCAACATGGCGATTCCCTTGGCCTTCTTGCCCTTGGCCCATATGCTCCTGGCAACATGGCCGCCCCCACATATCCCCACATGTGTAGAAATCAGGGTGCCCACATTTGCATATTAAAAGGCTAGGGTGGGAGGACCAGCTTTTTCGCGGGCTACATGAATGACATGCCTGGTCAAACCTATTTCCTGAGCCCTATGCAAATCAGACACCACCTCCTCCAGCCTCTGCATATATACCTGGCTGGTGTCCACCATACTTGGGGACCTCCTCTTTCAGCTTTAGAGCCCCATTCCCACCTCTGTCTCTGTACAGGGGAGCCTCTTCCTTCTGTCTTCTCCCTTCCTTCTTGCCCCGTCTTGTATATTAAACTCTCTCCACTCCTTAAAACCACACACACACACACATACACATACACACACACACACACAAATGTGCCCACTAAGAATTATTACAGGGGTATAAAAAAGCATGCTGTACATTCTTCTTACACAAAGAACACATTGGAGAATAAATTAGCATGGAAAATGGTCTCTTTGAAGGCACAATAACTATTGTTTCCTTATTAAATCCAGTTTTCCAATTAAGTGGAGCCTCACTGATCCACACTATGGCTGGGAAGTCCCACAGAGAATTTCTGAACTTTGTAGATTAGCGAAACACTGTAATTGGGGGGAAAAAATCATGACACAGACTGCAGGAGAATAGAAAAATGACTGCCATTGTGTTTATTTTGATAACCGGATTTAATTTTTAATTATTGAAATGCTTCATAATGGATAAACATGCTGTAAACTTTGGCAACAGTCATGAAAGGATAGAGACAGGGAATTAATTTATTGAGCACCTACTAAGTACTGAGTACTCACTGTGCTACTAGCTATCTTGAGTGATCCAGATAGCACTTCACTAATAATAGCCATGGTTATTATTCCCAATGTTCAGAGAAAAAAACCTGAGCCCCAAAGGGGTTAAATGATTTGCCCCAGGGAGCACAGCTTGTAGGTGGCTGAGCTGAAGTTCTAGCCTTTTTTATGTCATAGAAAAAGCTTAATCATAATTTAGTTTTGCTGTGTGTGTCAATTTCAAAAGGAATTCTCATCATTTTCAAATTGAGTATTCTGAATGCCATTGTTGTAGACAAAATTGGCATTGCTCATCTGTACTTCCATTACAACGTCAAAATAAAACAAAACCATGGAATATTCTGATCACGAAAGCTACCATCAAGTAATCATTTTATCTGGACTTCTAGTTGAGCAGCTGAAAGTTATGAATTTTGTTGAATATTTTAAATCTATTTTTATCTGTAGGACATGACTAGATACTTGTCCAAATTGAGAATGTAAACATCAAACAGACCAGGTAATCATTTGAGTTCCTCAAATATTGAAGTTTCACTGATATCGGAGTTTTAAATATAAAAATGCTTGCCAGCACACACACACACACACACATACACACAATACTTGTTTCATTGGCATGCACACACTTATTTCTAGAAACTCTGAATAAAGCTTTACACTTATTACCGCCCCATCTCACTCCCTCCCTAGTCCCTACCAAATGTTTGGGTCTTATTTCCTCCTAGTTTCAGTAAATGTTGAAAGAACCAGAATTCATTTGGTGATCAATAAGCAGTTTGTAAGGGTCTACAATGAGTCAGATACCTAGGTCTAGAAACATTGAAATGAATAATTCCGGGTCCCTACTGTCAAGGAGATCAGAGCTGATCCAATAAAAGAAATAGTGGTCTTACTTTACAGAAAGTTCAACAACAAAGATATGTGTAAACAGATGCCAGAGCATGTAAAAGGACAAGCTGATCCTGCCTGAGGGTTTGTGGAATGGGGTCGTCAGAGGATTCTTGGAACAGCTGATGTTAGAGCTGACAGCAAGTCCATAGTCTGGAGAGGGACTAAGACAAAGTTACCACCAACCAGAAGAGGGAGAATGGGAAAAACAGATGCTAGATTAATTTCACTAAGAATACTGCTACTATATTAATGAGTTTTAATTTATCGCAACTATAAGGATTTGGTTAATCACCTCTATTTGTAAAAGGCCATGGGAGGGGTTGAGGATAATCTAGCCCAGAAAAGATGAAGGTTGGAGCTGAAGCAATGGCAGTGAGGTGGGGAGGTAGAGATAGATCAGAAAAACTCGTCAAGCAGATTTAGTAAACCTGCTGACTGATTGGTTGTGCTGACATTAGAGAAAGGAGTCAGGGATGACTTCAGAGATTCCAGCTAGTTATTTTGTGCAAGTTTTTAGGGACACATGCTAGATGTATTTTGGTCATAAGTTTAAAACGCTGATGATACATACATGTAAAGATGTCAGATAGAGAGGTAGGACACACATCTGAGCTGGATAAACATTTAGGGGCCAAAGATATATGGTAATGAAGAGAGCAAATTTGTAGATCTCCCTCTGTCCCCTTCTCTTTCTCTTTCTAACATAAATTAAGAAGATGAAAGCAGAGAAAAACATGATAAGCATCTTTAGAAACCTATCCATCACAGGGAATAAACTTATAACTAGATCTACAGAGTTTAGTTTGACCAATTTGCCCAGATTCAGAAATAATTATGCTGCACTAAAGTTTTCATTACAGAGAAATCTGACATCTATACTTGTGTATATGAAGAGCATGATTTATAAAATATATAACAACGAAAGAAGAAAAAAGAAGTCCTGAATTTTTCATTTTTAAAAAGGCCCATAGGCCACTAAAAGTGATACGGTATCCTAGTCAGAAACATAACTCAGATTGGATAGATACACAGAAGACTTAGAAGTAAATCCTATTAACTGTTACCTTTTTGAACTATCAAATAAACTAAGGTTTCAAGCAAAAACTTAATCTAGAAATGACATATAATACATTGATAAAAAGAGGGAGGTGTTATTTGAAAAGGAATTGACCTGTTAGTCAAAGAGCAGATGAACTGAGTTTTCTCATTCATTCTCTATTCCTTCTTAATAGGGATTACCTATTGCCTTCCATTTCTGAGCTCTCTGGAATCATTCTTCCTGATCATCTCCTTCTGTTATACTCTTCTTAGCACACAGATGAATAGCTCAATCATCTATGCATTAGCTAATGTCAGTGTCTATGACATTATGGGAAGGCATTATGTGACAAATAGGACCCTTGCTTTAAGCAGTCATTCTAGAACAGGTTGGAAATTTGCTTGGATCCATATACAGGCTATCTTCCAAGATAATAGGTACAAAATGCCTAGCAAAATGTACGTACATAGTAGGTTTATTAGCCTGTTCTCACACTGCTGATAAAGACATACCTGAGACTAGGCAATTTACAAAAGAAAGAGATTTAATGGATGTACAGTTCCACATGGCTGGGGAGGTCTCACAATCATGGCAGAAGGCAAAAAGGATCAAGTCTCGTCTTACAT
This sequence comes from Homo sapiens, assembly GCF_000001405.40. Lineage (NCBI taxonomy): Eukaryota > Metazoa > Chordata > Mammalia > Primates > Hominidae > Homo > Homo sapiens. The sequence continues at coordinate 14,840,475 of NC_000009.12, forward strand.
GGATGGCAGCAGGCAGAGAGAGAGCGCGCAAGCTTGTACAGGGGACCACCCGTTTTTAAAACCATCAGATCCCGTGAGACTTATTCACTATCATGAGAACAGCACAGGAAAAACCCACCCCCATGATTCAATTACCTCCCACCAGGTTCCTCCCATGACACGTGGGAATTGTGGGAGTTACAATTCAAGATGAGATTTGGGTGGGGACACAGCCAAACCATATCAGTAGGTGATTACTTAATTTCAGCTGTCCTTTTTTAAAATCTCTATTATCAACCAGCCTCTCCTTTCAAGGAGTCTACTCTATTATAGTTGTCCAGACACTACCCTGACTCCACTTTCTGTAATTTCTATATGGCAATGTTTGCTTAAACTTCTTTCTGCATTCTACACATTTAAATTATATCCTCTAGTGGTAGAAGAGACTCTTAGATCTTTAAAGACAACAATAAATAATAGCTAATGTATTTATTGAGTGTTTCCCATGAACCAAAATGTTCTCAGTACTTTATATGCATTATCTCACCTTCACAATAACTCTAAAGGAAGGTTCTATTATTATCTGTTTTACAGACAAGGAAACTGGAGCATGGGTTGACCAGTCAGTCAGTGTCAAGATCAAGAGGGAAACTCATGCAACCTAACTCTAGAGCCTATAATTTAATCACCACATATAAAATAAATGTTTTCTTGAGTGTCGGGAGACAAGCAAATTTTGTGAGTTGCTCTACATAAAAGGGTCCCATAGTTAAATGACCTTGAAACACTGAATACATAGATATCTATAAAAGTCTTTCAAAAAGGAAACATTTGAGTAGTCCTATTGCAAAGAAATCTGCTTAATTTTGTTTAATCGATTGTTTTTCAAATTTTAAACCTTGAAACCTATTTTCATGTGGTTTCTAACCACATCTCCTAGAATTGACACCTGTGCACAAGACTTTGGGAAAGTGTTCAGAAACAGTCTCTTACCTGTGGCACTGAAAGATTTGGAGGTTCATGGCTGTCCCACAGGACAAATTGAAAAGAATCTTCAAAGATTTCTCCACCAAAATGACGATAATAAATGATTCCATTAAACAAATCCCTCTGAAGGAAGCCATGGACAGGATAGCCTATTGGGTCCATAAAACACCACATACTTTTGTACAAGCCTATCAAATATCGAGGGACAATGATATTGGACTTATCTTCAAAAGTCTTATCTGTCTAGTACATTCTATGTACCCAAGGAATCTGCATTAAATGTTTTCATCAAAGATAAATAATAAAGCAGAAAAATAATAAATAATAAAGCAGGAAAACTAAAGTCACTATATCTGTCTTGATATATGGAAAAATTAGCATTAGAAAAATATTTTCAAGAAACTTACTCTTATTTCAAATATACAAAGTAACACTAACTACTTACTTGATCCCTATTTTGTCAAACTCCGGATCTACCTACTTTAAGAAGTAGTTACAAAATGATTCTAACAAAATGTAAACAAATGTTATTCATGAAATTATCAATAATCTAGAATAGTCAAAAAATCTCCTTTTAGACTAATTTGTTCTATCACCTTGCTCGGCTGACTTAATTTTTCATAGTGTAATGGTTACTTTGAGGCTCAGCTCTGGAAATCTGTAGATGCACAACCTTGGACAGATCAAATTAACTTTCCTAAATCTCAGGCTTCCTCATTATGAAATGGGAATAAAAATACTATCTTACTTCAGAAACTTGATGTTCACCTTAGGACAAACTCGGACACAATTTCAGCAAACCCAGAAGGATGCATAGAAGGTTCTCTATGGAAGAGTGAATTCCATTCAAATGATCTTAACTGCCCAGAACTTACCTATCAGTCCTGGCCCTGGCTTCTTCATGATCTCCCCAGCCTGTGGAGGCTTTGTGATATTGAAGAAGATGTAGTCATCACTGGCGTCCACATCTGAAGCTCGCAGCATGGATCCCTGGATCAGGATGGTCTGCCCCTCCTCCAGTTCAATCACAACATTGGTTATGAGGAACGGGGGACTATCATCTTTGGGCAAGACGTTGATGGGGAATTTGTGACGGATGCTGTGATGGCCATCAAATATCCGGAAGACCACGAAGTCTTTGGTGGAGTCGCTGTCATCATGATGATAGCGAACAACTCCAGCCTGGAGGTCAGCCACGGTGAAGAGAAACCCTTTCCCCCCTGAGGGAGAGAGCAGAGATGGAGCAGATTGAGCAAGGGAGTGCAGAAGCAGCAGCTGTGGGGAAAGCATCAATACAGTAGAGGCTGCTAAGGAAAGTGTGCAGCCCGTATTTCCCTCACCTGGAAAAACTACAGATTGTTAGTGGGTTCTGGGAGAACATATCTAGTTTTGAATACTGGCTCCAACATTTATCAGTTGTGCAGATTTGAGCAAGGTATTTAATTTATGAAACTCATCTATAAAACATGGATAATACTACTGTGATGGTTTTAACTTTTTCCATCAACTTAACTGGGCTAAGGAATGCCCAGACAACTGGTAAAATATTATTGCTGGGTGGTTCTGTGAAGCAGTGTTTCTTGAAGTGATTAGCATTCGAATCAGCAGACTGAGAAAAGATCACATTCATCATTGTGGGCAGGCATCATCCAATCCATTGATAGACTGAATAGAACAAAAAGGAAGAGGAAAGGGGAATGCTCTGTCTCTTCTGGAGCTGAGACTTCCTTCCATCTTCTTCCCTCTGACACTGGAGCTCCTGGCTCTTGGGCCTTTGAACTCTGGAACATAAACCAGCCATCCTCTAACACCCTCATTTGTGCCTCCACCCTCCACCTTCCCTACCCCACTCACCCCTCTCCACTCCCCTTGCCCATCTTCTCAAGCCTTTGGCTTTGGACTGGGTTACACCATCAGCTTCCCTGGTTCTCGGGCCTTCAGACTAATACCCATGACTTCCTGGGCTTTCCTGGTTCTCCAACAGCCTAACAAGGAACCTCTCAGCCTCCGCAATTACATAAGCCAATTCCCAGAATAAATCACCTCATAGATAGATAGGTAGGTAGGTAGGTAGGTAGGTAGGCAGATAGATACATACATACATAGATAGACATTCTGTTGGTTTCATTTCTCTAGGGAACCCTTACTAATACAAATACTTACCTCATAATCCACAGCAAGAATGAGAGAACTTAAGCAACAGTAAGCCTACAATAAATGTTGGTTATTCTTCAGCTAATTGCTACCATCTTACATGGCAGCAGTTCTTAGAGGAGTGGTCTCAAACCAGCAGCCTCAGTACCATCTGGAAAGTTTTAGAAATGCAAATTCTCAAGCCTTACCCTGGACCTGCTGAATCAGAAATTCAGGGGTGGGTGGGAGGGAGGCAACAACCAGTGTTATCAAGCCTATTTGAAAATTACTGGCTCAAAGACCAAGAGCTAGAGCTCTAATATCTAACAGTCTGGGTTCAAATCCCAGTTCTGCCATTTTCTAGGTGTGCAACCTTAGATAAATCAGTTGTTCTAAGTCTCAGGTTACCCATTTGTAAAATGGGAATAATAATAGTATCTAATATCATAAAGTTGATATGAGATAACAAGTTAAAGTATACAGAATGCTTTCTACAGTGTCTGTCACAAAGTAAAGCTTAATAAATGATCACACTATTTTGTGTCTCCTCTGAACCCAGACCATCAATGCATTATGGTCTCCCACTCTCCATTTCATTGCTGTAGTATTAATAAACATTGCTTTGTTTTCTTCAGATACTTACAACTCTTCCTTTTTTTTTTTTTTTCTTTAGACGGAGTCTCCCTCTGTCGCCCAGGCTGGAGTGCAGTGGCGTGATCTCAGCTCACTGCAACCTCCACCTCCCGGGTTCAAACGATTCTCTTGCCTCAGCCTCCTGAGTAGCTGGGGCTACAGGCACGCACCACCATGCCGGGCTATTTTTATGTTTTTAGTAGAGATGGGGTTTCACCATGTCGGCCAGGCTGGTCTTGAACTCCTGACCTCAAGTGATCTGCCGGTCTCGGCCTCCCAAAGTGCTGGGATTACAGGTGTGAGCCACTGTGCCCGGCCAGAGACTTACAATTCTTAATGGCAGGTGCACCCCATTATTCTCTTCACACCACGTGGCTGTGTTAAAGACCTTAGAGGAATAAACGATTTAACACTGTCTTGACCAAGATCCACTTTATGCTTCTTCCTCACTACCAGAATCCTAGTTGTATTTGGCATAGCAATATGGTCATTTAAAAATACTCAGGCTTCCCGACTTGCTTGCACTGAGGAGTTGTATGTGACATAGTTTGATAAAGAAATCTAAGTGGAAATTGTTGTATTGTGCTCCTAGGAAAACTTGTTAGATACAGCAAACTTAGATCATGACTTCTTTCATTGTTCCTTCTGGGTCTTCAAGCCTCAAATACATGAAGAAAATAACTAATTTTCAAGCCACTACACTTGGATTTCTCTTACATACAAGCGAACACCCAACCTGACTGGTATACCCAGATTTAAACTGGCCTCCCACTGTCCTGAGATTAAGCAGGAGGATTTATCATACATTTATTATTTTGTTTTTGATTCCAGAATTCCCTGCTCACAAATGATGGTGAGAGTTATCTTTCTGCATTACAGTTAGGGAAACTAAGAAGATAATTGAATTAAATCCTCTGAGTTCATTATAAGGAATGACTTATTTTATCATAAAGTGTAAATATTACTTTTATTAGATTATTACCTTGTTAACTATCATCCCATAGAATTATAAATTTATTTCTTTTAAACCATGACAACTACTACTAATAACATAACATCATTATTACTAAAGTATTAATTAAGCATTAATTTTTCTTTTTCTTTTTTCTTTTTTTTGAGATGGAATCTTGCTTTGTCACCCAGGCTGGAGTGCAGTGGCGTGATCTTGGCTCACTGCAACCTCTGCCGCCCAGGTTCAAGCAATTCTCCTGTCTCAGCCTCCCAAGTAGTTGGGACTACAGGCGCCCGCCACCATGCCCGGCTAATTTTTGTATTTTCAGTAGAGACGGAGTTTTACCATATTGGTCAGGCTGGTCTTGAACTCCTGACCTCAGGTGATCCACCCACCTTGGCCTCCCAAAATGTTGGGATTACAGGCGTGAGCCACTGCGCTCGGCCTAATTTTTCAATATACTTCTTTGAAGCAGAGAAATAAAAAACATTCTGTCCTCCAACTGGGAAAAAAATAACTAGTTAAGGAGTATACTTACAAGAAGCCATGCATGGCATCCAGAAAGCAAAACTGAGGTTTAAACAATGAGCCACGTACAAGGTACCATTCATAAATGGTTAGACATTGATCTGAGCATTTGAACACAAAAGTCAATGATTTCAAGATCTCCAGATTTTCTGCATTTGACAATTTCATTGAGAAATTGGGCCCAAGAGATGCTACATATATCTGTTAAATATATCTACTTTTGAAGAAAATACTTTTGGATTCTTTGCTAGGTTACCAAGTTGGATCATTCACCTCTTAAAGTCAGCCATCCATGCTGCAGGCCACCAACGGTGACTAGCCGGACAGCACCAATGTCGTCATTGTCGACAACCTGAAACTGTTCCCAAGTGATGGCTCGAGACTGCCCCTCAAGGAGACTCAGACCTATGAAAGAAAGGAGAAAAGGGTGTTGGTATCATAGACTGGATAAAGAAAATGAGGCACATATACACCATGGAATACTATGCAGCCATAAAAAATAATGAGTTCATGCCCTTTGCAGGGACATGGATGAAACTGGAAACCATCATCCTCAGCAAACTAACACAGGAACAGAAAACCAAACACCACATGCTCTCACTCATAAGTGGGAGCTGAACAATGAGAACACATGGACACAGGGAGGGGAACATCACACACCAGAGCCTGTTCGGGGGTAGAGGGGAAAGGGGAGAAAGAGCATTAGGACAAATATCTAATGCATGAGGGGCTTAAAACCTAGATGACAGGTTGATAGATGCAGCAAACCACCATGGCACATGTATACCTATGTAACAAACCTACACGTTCAGCACATATACCCCAGAACTTAAATTTTTTAAAAAAAGATAAGAAAAGGGTATTGGCAAGTTCTATGACATGCCAACGTGCCTGCTTAAGAAAAGATGAGTGAATTTCCACTCATGAAACCATCTGAATATTGCATCTATAAAAGCTTTTCAAGAAACTGGAATGTAGCTTTTATTTTTAGTACTATTTTTATTTTTAGTACTATTAACTCCAATATTACAACAGATTACAGATAATCCTGAAAGGGAGCAGAGCAAGCTGGTCGAATTGCAAGGTAGCGTGCTGCTGGACTTATCTTATGCTTCTCTCACATCTGCCAGCTTCACCTGCCATCCCGGCCTCGACCAACTGACTGTTCTCTAGCTGCAGCCGCCCCATGAGGGTTCCCAGTCTCCAAAATTGTAAAGCCCTCCTGCCACCACTGCCTCATCTTCTGATGCAGCCGGCTACCTCCACTGCCCTCTAGTGGCGGCAGGACCAACCTTGTGGCTGATCAGGCCCTGCACCAGGGGACCCAGGAAGTGTGTGCAATGGCTGCTAAGAGGGGCCAGATAACACAATCTGGGCATGTGGGGAGTTAACAGCCAGTGAAGTAAACTTTAACCCATTAAACACAGGAGATGGGAAATAACTGACCATTAATAGATTGTTGACCTTTTCCCAACCCCACTTCCAACTCTTACCAGACACAGCAGTTGCATCTTCTCCCTGGAGACATCAACACTGCAGAGCAATCTGCTTTATCTTATTGTAAAGCTGTGACACCAGCTCAGCCATGCGTTTTTATTTGCTTCTCCCCTTACTCTTGCTTTTAGTATAGGGTTAGTACATCTGATCTGCCTCGGGGTCTGTTTTCTAGGGAAATTGGGCTAATACATATATAAAGGAGAGGGAGAGAGAAAAAGAAGGAAGGAAGGAAGGAAGGAAGGAAGGGAGGGAGGGAGGGAGGGAGGGAGGGAGGGTGGGAGGGAGAAGAAATGGACAGAAGTGCATAAGAAGAATCTCTGTGACTGGCAATAAGGGTTTGGAAGCCAGGAGTGCATAGGACAAGGCATCACGGAGCACAGCAGAGGAACAATCGAGAAGCCTAGAAATATATACAGCAAAATATTAACATTGGTTATATCTTCACGGCGAAATAATAATTTTAGATGCATTCTCCAAATTTCAACGATGGCACAGATCAAGTTCATAATAAGCAAACATTTATTTTAAAAGGGATTCTGATGTTCAAAGCAGCCAAAATGACATTGAGCAAACCTGGGTGTCACCGATCACACATACACGTACAGACTATTCCATCTCTACACTCAGGCAGGAGCCCATGCAACATGTGATTATTCCTAAACTTTAGGTTACTGATTCCATCTTTTCTCTCATTACCCCCTTGACAGAGGTACAGTAGGATGTATAGCCAGAATTATAAATCAAGGCTGCTCACCTGATGTTCTCTATCTCTGCTGAAACTCACACACATACAAACACATATCTATGTGTACACACACGAGGCAGCTCGTTTAAGCTGCCACCTGAGGATTTAAATCAGACACAGATATTTTTTCCTTAATACTATCTACCACCACTGCTTATAAGTATGTTTCAAATGGTATTGATGGGATCAGTGAGAAGGAAAAGATCTCCATTTACATTCCACATTTACATCTGATCAACATATACATATATATATCACATAAGTCCACTCAGAATTGAGAGGCATAGAAAGCCATATTTTAAAGCAGTTAAAGCTCTTATTTACATATTTTAGTTTCCATGCAGCCCAACATAAAAATAGACTATAGATTATAAAAGCTAAACCTTTCTCCAATCCCTTGGAACAATTTGAGTTGGAGATTTCAGTCCCACTACAGCTCAATATCACAAATAGTCAGTTTTTTGCTTCATTCAGTTGAAAAGTGTCCCTTTGTCTTATCTCCGGCAGAGGAAAGAACTTGGCCTCAGGACGCAGAAATCCTGGATTTAAATTTCTCACGCTGCCAGGAGGAATAAAAAAACAACAACAAAAGCTACTATGTGATGCCCTTAATCTGTCTGGGTTTCAGTTGCCACATGTATGACATAGGAATAAAACTACCTTTCTTTCCTGACCCATCTACTTTCTTGTATTCCCTTCAGGGCTATGTTGCTCTATGCCTTATATTGAGCTTTACCTGTATTCCAGGATACACGGGGGGCATTTGTATCTGCTGTTCTGATGGAGATGTGGACTGTCATAGGTGCACTCCTTTCAAAGAAGAAGTCGTATACCTCCAATTCTACCTGTAAACAAACAGAGGCAAAGGAGCCACACACTGAAGCGTTACAGGGTAAAGTAGCATTAATTCTGGGTTATACCCACACACAGTGGATTCAGTTTTCTGCGGGGATTCACATTTCTGCAGTTCCCACATCTCATTTAGACATCCTGATTTGACTTTTTCAGGTTCTAGATCTTGTTCCTTACTTTAACGGTATTTTTAAATTTTCTTCTACATAAAAGAATTTATTAATCTAAAATTGGTAATATGCTGGAGAAGTGTCTCTGCACTTGCTTAGGAGACCAACCCCTTCCCACATTCAGTCACTTAAATCTTTCTCAAAGGTGGAGGATCTAGAGAAGTGGTTTTCAACTAGGGGTGATGTTGTCCCACTACAGGACTTTTGGGAATGTCTGGAGGCATTTTTAATTTCAGAAGTCGGTGTGTGGGAAAATGCTATTGTCATCGAGTGGGTAGAGGCCAGGATACTAACATCCTACCGTACACAGGACAACCTCCCAAACAAAGAATTATCTGATACAAAATGGCAATTGTCGTACTGCTACTATCAAGAAACCCTGATCTAGAGACATGTATTTCACTAGACATATTTTTAAATATCTCAACTTTATTTGCTTTCATGAAATTCATAACTAATAAGTAAGTAGGGGCTGCGTGATAAGTTTTGATCTTTATTATGTGCTGTGTATGTATTGCACCAGATGTTGACAGAGAAGAATGAGGTATAACACAGAAATGCAAGGCATACTCCCTACTTTTGAAGAACATGTGGTCCATGGAAGAGGATAAGATAAATAATCAAACAGCACTATATCAGCAAACACTAAATAACAAAAGAAACTGATTCAAGGCTGCCAAAGCAACAGACTGAACAGGAAACTACATGGGCAGGAGGTGTCTTTTTTGGAGGGGTAATGCATTCGGTTGGGCCCTGGCCCAGGGCTTCCAGTCCACACAACCTGAAAACTGTGTGATCTCCACTGAAAAAATTGAGAGTTACTGTCTAACGAAAAAAATCACACATTCGCACAGGTTCTGCTTTAAGAGTACATTATACAATGCCAGAAACTACACACAGGAAGAGGCCAGAAAAGCAGTGCTCTAAGATTGGATGTGCAATGAGAAATTACTTCCTAACAGGGAAGGCATGGGGGGCCACAGACTATGATGAAAAGGGGGAAATAAAAGCAGAAGGCAAAGCATAGCGTTTATAGCCTGAAGTCCTTTGTCTTCCCTTGAGGCTACATGCTGAAAATGCCGAAATTACAATAGAGATAACCCCAGGGACGATCATTTTCCTTAATAAACCTGAGCTCAAGTCTCTATCAGTCTGCTCGTTTACAATTTCCACCCTGTTTGAATCAAGTTGCTGGTAGTTCTTTAAGCATGTGAAGCACTATTATGTGGAAGACTTTAACCAGCTGTCCTCCCCTCCCACTAACTACAAAACAGAGGAGAGAGGTGGAACCTGCAGCAAAAGGAAATTAGATAGAAGTAGGACCTTCCCGATGGACTGTGTTTCACTGTGAAATTAGTTATCAAATAAGACTACGGAATGTCCTATCCTGAGTCCGTGTTATTAATTAAAATTAAGGATTCCCATAAAAAGCTCTCACAAAAAAAAAGAATAAAAGAATTTATTAATAAAAGAATTGTGTGCTCACCTTGGCAGCACATATACTAAAATTGGAATGCTACAGAGAAGATTAGCATAGCCCCTGCACAAGGATGACACACAAATTCGGAAAGTGTTCCATATTTTGGGTGAACAACACACACTGGGGCCTGTCGGGGTTGGGGGTGGAGGGAGAGAGAACATCAGAAAAAATAGCTAATGCATGCTGGGCTTACTACCTGGGTGATGGGTTGATAGGTACAGCAAACCACCATGGACATGTTTACCTATGTAACACACCTGCACATCCTGCACATGTACCCCAGAACTTAAACACACCAAAAAAATTTTGTTAAAAATAAAAGAATTGTAAACAAAAGTCATCTCTAACTTCAATGGTCTCTGTGATTCAGGAAGGCTGTCGAAGGCTGCTGCAGTTCTCAAACTGGTGAGCCCTGGGTCAAATGTGGCCCTCAGAAATATTTGGTAGCTAGCACAATACGTTTCACTACAAGTTTTAATTGTTTTCTATATTCAAGAATTTAAGCATTTTACCAAAAATGTATCATTTTCCAATTTCTCTTGGCACATGAGTGCTACAGCAACAGTGGGCACACTTGTATCCTTGCAGGGCAGTGGTGGGCATGAGCTGAGTGGCAGCTGCTTCCTGAGGGGATGGCTCTTTCTTCAGTTTGCCACAGTGCCCCTCAGTGGGGTTTGCTCATTGACCCCACCTGCCTGGCTCCTCTGGGCAGTGAGTGTGCATCCTGATTTACAGTGATTGATTCTTTTCTGAGGCAATGAATGTACAAAGGAACCTGAGGGTTTAGGGTAGGGGGTTCTTAAATAACCCTGTGACTTCTAACTAGGCTGGAAGCTTTGTCTCTCCTTCTTACCTCATCATGTCTCCTCTCAGAATGGCTGCTGTTTGGTGGCTGATAGGCGATCTGCATGTCACTGAGATCTTTCCAGGTGAATGAGGAGATTGGTCTGGTGTGATCCAACAGGTGAGTCACATAGCCCTGGAGCGGGGCTTTAGTAATGTTGAACACCAGCAAGGGTTTAGGGGTCTCATCTTCTTCACAGTCCAGAACTGATGTAGTCAAGGAGGTCAGGATGAACTGATCCACTTCCAGAATAAACACGGCCATGAATGCAGCCTTTGGAATCTGATTCGGAATTCCAGCTCTGATATAGACAGGCAGCCACGCACTCTCTGACTTTTGAAGGATAGAGAAAATATAAAGGAGGAAATAATATGAATGAGGTGATATCATACAGGGCTAATAGCATAATATTTAATACAGCCACAGCCTAGCGTCTAGCAGTGACCTGAAGCCTGGCTGCATATTGGAATCACCTGGGGAGCTTTAAACACATGCTGGTACCTAGGATCTGTCTCCAGAGGTTCTTGTTTAATTGTTCCAAAAAGGGGACCAGAAAACCAGTATTTCTCGAGCTCCCTGGTGACTCTTACATGCAGCCAGGTGAAGAAGGGAGCACCTACTTTGGCATCAGAAGGAACTGTGTTTATCATTCTATCTCCAACACTTTTAATTTGTGTGATTTTAGACAAGTTACTTAACTCTTCAGTCTCATTTTCTTTCCAGCTGTAAATGAAAATATTAATACTAGACTACCAAGAATTAAGTGAGGACAAATGAAATAGCCAAAGTAGGCACTTAGCAATCTGGCACTCACCAACAACCTCCTCCAGCCGCCTTCCTCACCTCCTGTCATGTAGTTTTAAAGGGGGCAGGAGAAGGATGAAGGAAATATGTCTTTATGATTTGGTTCTCATGCAAATGAAGAATAGTTGCTTGGTTGTCTAGCTAGTTAAGACCCTGGATCTTCAAGCAAGGGTTGGGCATTGGGGATTGCAAGTGGCCACTGAGGCTAGGCATGCATCCTCCCAAAATGAGAGCACTATGAGCAAGAGACCCTCCAAAGAAACCATGAAATTGTGCCACAAGATCTAAGATCTCAACAAGTGCTATGGGCAGAAAGAATCCTCACAGGGTGAGGTGTGGTAGCTCACGCCTGCAATCCCAGCACTCTGGGAGGCCGAGGTGGGAGGATTGCTTGATGCCAGGAGTTTGAGACCAGCCTAGGCAACAGAACGAGACCCTATCTCTACAAAAAAAGTAAAAATAATAAAATTAGACAGGCATGGTGGTGCACACCTATAGCCAATTACTCGAGTGGCTGAAGCAGGAAGATCACTTGAGCCCAGGAGTTTGAAGTTATGGTGAGCTATGATCATGCCACAGTACTTCAGCCTGGGCAAGAGAGTGAGACTTTGTAAAGAAAAGAAAAGAATCCTCATAGCTGTAGATGCTAGTTCTCACAGGATTTGATCTAGCCCATTGCTGAGAGAACCAGGCTCAGTTACCAAATTCACATTAGTCCCATACTGCTGAACACTTGCCATTGGGCTAGGAGTTGTAATCTGTGTATAACAGAATGCTAAAGTTCCAATAAAAGAGATTAGATGTGCAACTGAATGTAAGACAGGTAGTAAAATATGCAGAATTTACAAAGCAAGTTGTCTGGAACTAATTCCAGACTCCAGAACTTTCTTGCCCATATAAGAATATAAAAAGATTGAGAAAGGTAAGAAAAAGATTGATTAGGAGAGAGGAGTGCTTTGCTGCGTTGTGTTCAGTCACTTTCCTGACCTTCAACACCAAACATTGGCACGGAGCAGGAAGAGCAGAGCAATGCCATATCTCCTGTCCCTTAAAATGTGTTTCTTGCAGTTGAAACACACACAGAGAGCTGATGCAGGGCTCATATCTGAGGAAGCTAACTGGCTGGAAGCAAAAAAAATGATGGCTGTGCCAAAATCAGTCTGTTCTTGTTTGTGGCAACAAGGGACATATAAATGTTTCCAGTTAAGGGCCTAGTGGGCAGAGGGCTGGTCTGGGATCTCCTGGACCCTGAACTTCAGAGTGCACTCTTGAGAGGACAAAAATCCAGTAGGAAAATGCTGGAGATAGAATCAAATCCTAGGAGCTGCAGGAGAAATTGCAAGTGATCACTCAGGTTAGAAATAATCCTCTTAAGAGAGCTATGAGTGATAGATCAATGAATGGGACTCTCCAGAGAAACCATAAATTTGTCCCTAAGACAAAGATGCAGCTTGAGACATCTACCAGGCTCAGAGAGCATGAAATCATATGTCATCAATGCCTGATCAAATAAGATCCCTCTCTCCCATTCCCCAAAACCACCCCTGCCACCAGTCTGAAAATTAAGAAACTAACCAGCAATGCCCAGAGAAAAGAGAATTGCAAGAGAGGAATAGAGGAGAAGACAATCAACCCCTTCCCTTCCCACTGCATGGTTGATGAAGGCAGGTGAACGATACTGAGATGTCCCAGGGTTTAGAGTATCTAATCTTCGTGTGTCACTGGGAAGAAGTATTATTTGAAGATGCATAATTAGAAAACTCAAGAGGGGTAAATTGTGATTTAGAAGGACTGGTGCTTAATGCTAAGACCAATTGAGTCTAGAGTCAAGTCTAAATAAGTACGTTATTTTAAACATGTTAATAAAGTGGATACAAATGATGAAAGAGCTTACTGCTTGTAATAAAGTATAACAATCATATGCTAGAACTGAAATTGCAAATTATATAAACAAAGCAATTGCCAGGAGAAAGGATCAATTGGATCAGTTATCATCATACATAGGAAGGAGCCAAGAGAGCTCACTTCATTTTTTCACCGTACATATTACAAATATAGGCTTAAGAATATTTTTAAGTTTAGAATTAAGTCCAAATAAAACATCAACTGTGATAAGGAATTGTCAAATAAGATAAAGGCAAAGAAAACATCATTTATTTTGCAAGACAAATTTTTTTAATTAGCAAGAAAGCATAAAACATGATAGAAAAAAGTGTATCTATTACTACCACAAATATAAAGTTTATATTTCCTTATTCAAGACAAATAGTCTGAAATTCAACAAAAATGTCCAATTATATGTACCTTACAAGAAAGGCACTTAAAATTACATAGAAAGATTAAAAGGAAAAGGGTGATACAAATTGATCATTAATGGAAAAAGCAGAGAGACCACATAATTTCAAAGATGAATTCAATGTGGGCAGTTGATAAAAGTAAAAAATATAAGACAAAGATTCTTACAAATAACATTATATTTAATATTGTTCTTCTCAAACCAGTGGGGAATAGAGCAAAAATAAGAAGAATAATTACAGGAAAAGAAAGAACAAAATTATCATCACTAGTGAAAGATATAATTATGGTCTTTAAAAGCCCAAAGAATTGAGAACTTCTTAAAATAATTGAATTCAGGAAAGAAGCCAGATAAAAGAAAATTATTCCAAAAATAGCTTTTCTGTTTATCATCAATAACCATTGAGAAGATATAATGGGAGAAAAATATTCTATTCACCATAGGTTCACAAAAACAAAGTGCCTAGGACTGGACTTAATAAGTATGCTCACCTTACATGAAGGAAACTACGAACTTTACAGAAACCTATAAAAGAACCTTTGTTCAATAAAGTGAGATACTTCATTTCTGGATGAAAAGACTTAATATTGTAAATGTTCCATTATTCTAATTTTCCCCAAATAATTTATAGTTCTAATTGGATACTGATAAAAATCCTTAGGGGCTTTTTTTTAAACTAACATAAATGATTTAATTATATTTATTTGGAACTAAGTCTAGGTGATAATGGCCATGAAAATTTTGAAGAGAAGTGATAAGGAAGAACCTGTCTGTAAGAAAATTATAGGCCTATTATGTTTAGAATAATATGAGACTGACAAAGAATAAGTAGGTAAATCTAAGAAATAAAAGAGCTAGCCTTGAAATTGTATACGTTATATCCTTATATACAATAGAAGATCATCTAAAATCAATGGGAAACAAGTTAATTGTTCAATGAATAGTGTTGAAAATTTGGGCTATTTGGAAAAAACTGTTCCTTGTATTTCATCATATAATAAAATTGTATTTGAGGTAGATTAAAAAGGCAAATGTAAGGAAGAAGACCTTTAAAAATCTAGAAGAAATTATGAGTGAAGGATCATTTGGTCACTTGATGAGAATTGACTGTACAACCATAAAAATAACAAAAGAACAAGATACAAAACTTCACATATAGTATAAATGCGATTCCATAAAACAAAACCAACTCTGGCATGCACTCATGCACATGTGTGTGTATGTAAAAATGGTAAAAATACAGCTATATTTATTTTCTTCTTATCTTGCTTTCTGTGTTTTTTTTAATATTCTCTGCAGTGAGCCTATTACTTTTATATTCATAAATGAATCTGTTTTATGACATGCCAAATAAGCTATGGAATAGGTTAATGATAAACAAAGCAAGAAGGTAAAGGGATAAACTCCCAATAAAACAGATTTTAAAATATAAACAAATAAAGGCGTATTCAATATAGTAAGAAAAAAATGAGAAAATTTGATCAAAAAGAAAAATGGCTCCAATTTTTTTTCAATGGATATAATAAATCATTAAAAGTGAAAGGAGTTTTGTGTTAAAACAAACAGAAAACATCTATTAGTTGTCTATAGACCTAGTGTTTAGGTCTGTATGAACAAGGTATGTCACTTCTCGGGGCCACCACTATAAAATAGGAAGCTTGAGCTAAACCCAGCCTGGTTTTGCAAACCTGGCTAATGAGTTTTTTACTGGGTGACTTTTAAAACCAGCAATATGCATAGTGCTACTATGTGCCAGGTTTTATGTCAAGCACATAATAAGTATTTATCATTTAATCCTCTCAGTTACTCTAAGAAATAGGTACTATAAACCCACTTTAAGTTGAAGAAAATGAGACCAAAAGTCACACAGTTAGTTAAGTGGACGTTTGAACCCAGGCAATCTGGGCCCAGCGTCCATGCTCTTAACTATTATTTGGACTCAGAAATTTATCCTTGAAAAGCTACCCAAGTGATTTACCTGATCAATTTGACTAGTCTGCCTCACAGTTTTTTTCCAGATCTTAATTCTATGATTTTGTTTTATCATTTCTTTATGATTCCTTGTCATATCAATTCCTTGGGGTAATAATGTTCAATATTTGACTGGGCCCCTTAGGAGAAATCCCAGTGAGAAGCCAGATTGTGAAAGATAGAAGTATTTCCAAACATCATCTTGGATCATCTTTCCTCAGCACAAAATCTCAGCTGTTTCACTTTGGGAGGGTGAGGCAGGTGGATCACGAGGTCAGGAGATTGAGACCATCCTGGCTAACACGGTGAAACCCCTTCTCTACTAAAAATACAAAAAATTGGCCGGGCGTGGTGGCAGGCGCCTGTAGTCCCAGCTACTCGGGAGGCTGAGGCAGGAGAGTGGCATGAACTTGGGAGGCAGAGCTTGCAGTGAGCCGACATTATTGCGCTACTGCACTCCAGCCTGGGCGACAGAGCGAGACTCCGTCTCAAAAAAAAAAAAAAAAAAAAATCTCAGCTGTTTCAGCAGGTGCAGTTTCCCCGGTTTCCCCAATAAACAAATTATAGAGTTCATGAATCAGCAGCACTGCATGTTAAATATTTCAAATAAATGGAATCCACTTTCTGTCATTATTTCAATATATAGAGATCAATAGGAGAAAAACAAGAGAATTAAAAGAGATTGGAAGACGCAGGAGGTCTTTGGGAGCCTGTCTCCTTGATGAGCTAGCCCTTCATCCCAAAGCCTGGAAGAGTGACAAATCTGTGACAAACATAACCATGGGACTGAGATTCTCCTCCCTCCCCCTAGTTTCCTGTGACCTTGCAGAGTGGACCCCCTGATTTCAAGAAGGACAAAAGGAAGCATCAAAGAGAAGGTGTTATAAAAGGTCAAATGACAAGCTGAAGAGTATTGGGAGTAAAGGAGGAAGAAGGTTAGCACGTAACTAGCCCCAGTCCTTCCCAAGTTGCTGTACTGATGGTGGACCTAGAAGAGAACCAGAGAAGGGAAATTTTATACAAAACCTACTGTTTTAAGCACTTACTAGCAGAACCAACAAGCCTGCAGTTCCAATGAGTCGCTGGCAGTTTTACCCCCAAAAGCACAGGAACTCTCCCTGGCATGGGGGCGAGCATGAGTAAGCCTGTGTAACTGGCTCTCTTACTGTGAATCCTGGGGGCACCCACACATAACCCCAAACTCTACCTTGTACACAATTTTGCTCCTGGTATCTGTGAGGTCCAGTTGGATGGAGATATAATCAATGTTGGGTGAAGGGGGATCCAGATGCTGATAACGAAGGCCCATCAGCAGGAACTCCTCACAGCTCACTTTGAGGCTTCCTATTTTCTTTAATCCTGGGGTACAGCTCCCACCTGGACACTTCAGTTTTGCTCTCAGTTCTAGAATGTACAGCACTGGATTAAGAGAGTCACTTAAACATAACAATTGTAAAATTTAGAAACCAGTACTCCGTCCCATGAATACTTATTCCCTCTCACTGCCTCAGGAACACTCATGTACCTTCCAATCATTCACTGAGTGGGTTGTCATTATTCTGAAAGCTTGTAGTTTCCTTTACTGAAAAACGGTTGACCAGTTGTCTCATCGTGCCCTCACCCACCAAAAGTTAAACTGAGAGAAAAAATAATAAAATATGTTGTCTGAGGCTTGAACATCTCTGACAAATAGACCAGTGACTCACTGCAGGCCTTCCACAGTCTAGCTCCAGTCTTTCCTTTACAGAATCAGCTTCCATGTCTCTATCATACAATCTCTACTAGGCTGTCTACTCACTGAAATCCCCTCCCCATGTGGCTATCACGCACTCAAATCCTGCGTATCCTTCCAGGTCCACCTGGTCTTTTTACTAAGCCTTCCCTTAAACATTCTTTGACCACCTGAACCAACATGCTCTTTCTCACTGAAAACCATAATTGTCTCTCCAACAGTCTTCACATCTCTAACCAAATGTATTTCCACTCTTGTTTAGTATATAATACTCATAAGCCACTTTCAAATTAAAAAAAAATTGTACAGATGAGGTCTTGCTAGGTTGCCCAGACTGGTCTTGAAACCCTGGCCTCAAGCAGTCTTCCTGCCTCAGCCTCCCAAAGTGCTGGGATTATAGGTGTGAGCCACCATGCCCAGCCACCCACTTTTTTTTTTTTTTTTTGGAGTCTCATTTCTCAGACGTACAAAATAGAACAAATGTGCCGTTAACTGTCATTCTGTCCAAAATTCAAAGTATTACTACTATTGCTATGATTATCCCTTATATTTCTTGGCTTCTCATAGTTTCTAGAGAGAACAGGAGGTGCCCAAAATAGGTTGATTGAGTGAATAGCAGAAGGAATGTTACCCATAAACTCTTCCTAATTTCGTCTATCACTGCTACCCACTAGCTTTACTTCAAATTTGCTCATAATCCAATAATACTCCATAAATGCACCAACTACTACTGTTGCTATTACTAATAACAGCTGACAATGAGTACCTACTGTGAGCCAGACACTGTGTTAAGTACTGTGTGTATGTATAACCTCATTTACTCTTATCCTTACCCAACCCTACAGGGCAGCTATTTTCCTTTCTCATTTTAGAGAGGCTTAGACAGGTTAATAACTAAAATTACACAGAAAATAAAGAACAGATGAAGTTCTCAAAACCAGGTCTTTCTGATTGTAAAGTCTGTGCTCTTAACCACTAACTGACACTGTTCAGCCAGCTAAAATGACTAGTTAACTAGAACTCTTCATCATGGTGGAAGGTGAGCATGCATGGATATTTTTGTCAGTTTTGGTAATACCCAGAAAGGCATTAAAAGACATCATACGGGACTCTGGGAAAAAACTGTGTGGCTGATCTCCACGAGGTTCTTCTGGTCGAGGCTCCCCGAGAACCATCTGGCCATGGGCTGGCAGCCGAGTTCTCGCAGTGTCCAGGCTGACGGTACATTCCAGGCTAGCCATCCTATCATAATCGAATCTGAGCAGATTTTTATCAATCGCTTGGGACAAGCCATTGAATTCAGGCACCTCCAGCACATTGTTACTCATATGGATGATGTTACAGTCTGGTTCCAGGAGATAGACCCACAGGATAAAAGTTTCTATGAAGGTATCTCTTTCAGTAAATCTGTGGAGAACACAGGGCAAAAGCAATATTAATTGGTGCTCAGGTATTTCTGATACCCATGTACTCAGCTGGAAGACTAAAGATTGGCCTTCACCAAATTTGTGCCACAGATTGAGTTTGGATTTCATTTCTTGCTCTACTCCCAGCCTCTCTGTTCTTTTCCCTTCATCTCTTTACCCTGGTGTCAACACCTTTTCCTGCCACTTCTTCCTCCCAACATCTTTCTTTCAACACCTGCTCTCAAACTCATCATGCACGTGGATATTTAATGACTGCTGAGATCTCAGAGTCTCACTTCTAGCACATGTGTAATTTAAGAGTCTCAAGCCTATATAATTTCTGGATTGACTTTTAATTCAGGAGTGAAGGGGTGAGTGGTTTCTGAAGCATTCAGGCCTTTTTGCCCTTCAGAAATACCACTACATAGGTGGTCATTTGCAGCCTAGTTTGGGTGCCCAGCTCAGTGCTTGGCATGTAAAAAGCATATTCAGCAATTGCCACTTCCATTCCCTCCATCCACTTAGCAACTTTAATCTCAGGTTGTTTGAAGAGTCTAAAATAGAGGGGTGTCATTTTTTTTGAAGGGAGAAGATTAATGAGTGATATGCATGCATCAATAATGCAGCTTCTAATTGATGTGCTCTTATTATGGCCCAGGCATTATGCTAAATTCTCTATGATAGTATATAACATAATCCTTATAAAAACCTAGGATATCCAGACATTGTTAATCCCATTTTATGGAGGAAGAAACTCAGGCATAACGGGCTCAGGTAGCTTGCCAAAGGGGCTGGAGAAGGAGAAGCAGTAAGAGGGGAACAAACATGCTCCCTGTTTTCTGCTGCCTACTCCCCTGAATATTTTATTTCAAATGTGCTGAAGACCAAGAGGGGAAGAAGCTCCTCTAACCCTGCATTTCATGTATACTCTTCCAGCCTCCCAGCAGCCTAGAAACCCAAGGAAGGAGTAGAAGAAGCAAGCATTCATCAGCTTTTTTTCTTTTTTAAATTTATTTTTACTTTTAATTTTGTGGGTACGTAGTAGGTATGTATATATATACACATATATATACACACATATATATACACATATATATACACATATATATACATATATACACATATATACACACATATATATACACATATATACACATGTATACATATATACACATATATACATATATACACACATATATACACATATATACACACATATATACACACATATATACACATATATACACATATATACACATATATATGCACATATATATGCACATATATACACATATATACATATATACATATATACACATATATACATATATACACATATATACATATATACGTATATATACATATATACGTATATATACACATATATATACGTATATATACACATATATACATATATACACATATACACATATACACATATATACACATATACACACATATACACATATACACATATATACACATATATACATATATACACATATATACATATATATACACATATATACATATATACACATATATACATATATACATATATACATATATACATATATACACATATACATATATACATATATACACATATATATAAACATATATACACATATATATACATATATACACATATATACATATATACACATATATACGTATATACACATGTATGTACATATATACACATATATACATATATACACACATATACATATATACACATATATACACATATATACACACATATATACATATATACACATATACACATATATACATATATACATATATACATATATACACATATATACATATATACACATATATACATATATACACATATATATACATATATACACATATATACACGTATATACATATATGTACACATATATATGTAATGGGGTACATGAGATACTTTCATACAGGCAAGCAATGTGTAATAATCCCATCTTAATAAATGGGGTATCCATTTATTGAGCATTCCCTCAAGCATTTATCCTTTTTTTTTTTTTTTTTTTTTGAGACAGAGTCTCACTCTGTTGCCCAGGCTGGAGTGCAGTGCTGTAATCTCGGCTCACCGCAACCTCTGCCTCCCAGGTTCAAGAGATTCTCCTGCCTTAGCCTCCCGAATAGCTGGGACTACAGGTGCCTGCCACCACTCCCAGCTAATTTTTGTATTTTTAGTAGAGATGGGGTTTTGCCATGTTGACCAGGCTGGTCTCAAACTCCTGACCTCAGGTGATCTGCCCACCTTAGCCTCCCAAAGTGCTGGGATTAGAGGCATGAGCCACTGCGCCTGGCCCTCTTAACCTTTTTGTTACAAACAATCCAATTATAATCTTATAGTTATTTTAAAATGTGCCATTGAATTGTTACTGACGGTAGTCACCCTGTTGTGCTATCAAATACTAGGTCTTACCCATTCTAACTACTGTTTGTACTCATTAACCATCCCCATGTTCCCTGCAACTCCCCACTACCCTTCCCACCCGCTCCGCGCAAGTTCTTTGAAGTTATTTGTTTTTTAACTCTAAAGTCTTAGAAAGATCAAATGGCCCTGTATGCTGATTTCATATCTTCCTAAGGAATCCTTGAGTGCCGCTTCATTTTCTCAACACAGCATTTTGTGACTCTCTTTTGGCGCTTGTTCTGCATCATAATTACCTGCTCATCTTTTGCCTTAGACTACAAGCACTAAAATAATCTGTGTATTCTCATCCTTTTGTTGATTATGCTCAACGTACAGCCTGGCCTGTAATAGGTGGTCATAAATGTTTGTAGAATGGTTCACTGTTCCAATGTCTTGTACAAAAGTCTTTTACATTAGTCTAATGCTTAAAGGAAATTCACACCAACATATCTAACCAAATATTCTTAAAAGCAATAAAAACCAAATAAAAAACCCTATAAAGGCCTACTCCACATACATCAGTTCTCAGTGACTTTTATGAAGTCAGATATACCATAATCGTGAGCTTAAATTTAAAATTAATTTTCACTGGGATATAATTCATATACCACAAAGTTCATCTTTTAAAAATATACAACTCAGAGTTTTTTAGTGTAGTCCCAAGGTTGTACAACCATCATGACTACCTAATTCCAGAAGACTTTCATCAACCCCAAAAGAGACATATTTCCCTTCCCCAGCCTCTGGCAACCACTAATCTACTCTCCGTCTCTGTGAATTTGCCAGTTCTAGACATTTCATACAAATGGAACAATACAATATGTGACACTTTGTGCCTGGCTTCTTTTACTTGGCATAATGTTTTCAAGGTTCATTCATGCTGTAGCCTTTATCAGTGCTTCGTTGTTTTTTTATGGCTGAATGATATTCCATTCCATGAATATACCACATATTGTTTATCCATTCATCAGTTGGATTTATTCCATTTTTTGGCTGTTATGAATAATGTTGCATTGAACTTTAAGTGCAAGTTCTTATGTAAAACATAAGTTTTCATTTTTCTTATATATATGCGTAGGAGAAGAACTGCTGTCTCCTACGGTCATTCCATGTTTAACTCCATAGTTGATTTTTAAAGAATTTTAGGCCAGTCATGGTGGCACATCCCTGTAATCCCAGCACTTTGGGAGGCGGAGACAGGCAGATCATGTGGTCAGGAGATCAAGACCATCCTGGCTAACACGGTGAAACCCTACCTCTACTAAAAATACAACAAATTAGCCGGGCGTAGTGGTGGGCGCCTGTAGTCCCAGCTACTCAGGAGGCTGAGGCAGGAGAATAGCTTGAACCTGGGAGACAGAGGTTGCAGTGAGCCGAGATTGCGCCACTGCACTCCAGCCTGGGTGACAGAGCAAGACTCCGTCTCAAAAAAAAAAAAAAAAAGGAATTTTAAATATTTAATATGTTTAAAAATGGAAGATATTGCACTTTCTGTAACTAAACAGCTGGTAACAAAAAAGAAGAATTTCATTCATTTTTGGAATATATTTTCTCCCTGATTTTCATTAAGAATTTGTAGTTTATAATTTCCATTTTCTACCATAAGTGGTGGGTTGGAACACCAGAGATACCTATATAAGGACACTAGAGGGAAACAGGATACGGCTAAAAATTTGCCACAGAAGAATCCTAGGGAAGATGACACAAGTGGAAATAACTGAAAGTTGGCTACAAATCTTGCCTGATCCACTCAGGCCTCCAGTTTCTGTTGATTACTTTCTTGTCTGGAATCTATTAACTCCCCTCATGACAATACATATCCACAAGAAAAGCCCTCATAAGAACACAGAATGGTTACTTGGCAGCAAATGAGCGATGTTCCCGTGCCGCTTACCTGTAAAGTCTGAGCTTCACTGTGTCTTCATCAAGAATTGGACAACCATTGTGAACATACTTGACTTCGTTGGGAAGGAAATGGCAGTCAAAGACCTAGTTCACATGAAGAATTGGATAAATATCTATGAGAAAATTGGTACAAGATTTAACATTTTGCCAGGAGAGCACTGCCTGGAGAAAATATGCTCTGTTAGTAATGTGTGTATGTGTGTGAGTGTGTGTGTCTTCACCACCACCACCTCTACCCTACCCCCATACCCAGTCACCATCCTACTTATACAGCTGTCTCTTGTTTTGAGAATATCTAAGTTGTGAAAACCAAAGCAGTTCAAGAAAATTAGTTAAGGGATGATTACGTCTCTAAATAAGTGTCTTTTTACCACCTAGAGTGCATTTAAAACATACTTTCATTTTTCGAAATTTTATTTACCCCTTTCAGGGGTTCACAGCAATTGAGTTAGAGAGTTCTTTCTGTGTGTCTGCATGAAAAGGCATGCTTTAACCCACCCACAAACACACTGTATTCTTTCTGTATATCTGTGTTCTCCTTTCATTTCTTTTTTTTTCCGAATAGTATTCTCATATTCAAAGATGAAGCCACTGACTATGGACACTACTGTGGTTAATCAGAGCCTAACATGACCCAGAGTTGTGTCTTGCATACTTGCAAAAAACTGCTTTCATTAGTTAGGCAATAGCAGAAATGGCAGATGAGAAAAACAGAAATCTAAAAGCAATTTCCTCTATTCAAATAAAATTATAATGAACTGTCTCAACTCACTCAGAATTATTAGGAGATTGTTAACTGTTATATTTTGGGAACCTGATTTTTAGAGGAAGAATCATCTCTCCCACCCATATCATGCCCTTCATTCTGCCCAATCTGACTCTGGTAGAGTTCTAATACCCTTGAGGTATGCACGCATGTCCACCATTGTGTTCGTGGTGTTTCGTCTGTACCTTTTCACAGCCTCAAACATTTTCAGACAACATAATTCACTCAGAGAAGACTTTACCACTAATACAAACGATTTTCTTTTCCCGCAGATATCATTGATTCCTCTTTTAAATTGACAACTAGGAAGGAGATAAAGCAAAGACCTTCCCCATATCATTGACAAATAGTCATGGTAATAAAGAGACAGTCTGCTTTGTTAAAAGAAACATCTGTTTTATGTTTCATAATATGTTTTCCTTTTATAAAAGGCGACAACCATAATTGTCCATAAATTTACTAACTAAAACAAAGGAGAGCTAAATCCTTTTCTAATTACTGTCTAGCTTTGTTTTTTTCCACTTCAACTGCTTTTCAATTACAATTTATAATT
Source organism: Homo sapiens (assembly GCF_000001405.40). Taxonomy (NCBI): domain Eukaryota; kingdom Metazoa; phylum Chordata; class Mammalia; order Primates; family Hominidae; genus Homo; species Homo sapiens. The sequence goes on from NC_000009.12 coordinate 14,865,139, forward strand.
AAATTGTCACACATTCCTAGCTCATTACTCACTTTAATGACAGTAAAATGGTTCAAAGTAGAGATACTTTCTTACCGCTATATTTCCTATTCAAAAAAGCAAGTTTAGTGCTAACCTGGGGTGCTTTCCACCCAGCAAATTTCTTGCTTTGGGCTAGGTGTGAGAAGTGCCATGTGTGAGGGAGTCTTGTCCTAAAACATGAGGAAAACATATTGCCATCAACCTCATCTAATTGACTATATCAAGAGGGTTATCTGAACAGAAGGCACTGGTGTGCATCAACTGAAATCCCTTTCCAAATATTCAACAGGAAAATGAACCTGTTGATCCTAAGACAAACTTCAGTAATGAAATGAAAACACTAATTGAACAGATGTTAAACAAAACATTTTCTGTGCAAGTCACATGAAACTGTTCATTACACAGCAGGGTGTTGTTAATACAGTCGTCTTGCTAGAAATGGGTTCACATAAGCTTGGCTTTCAGCTTATTACTAAGCTCTATTAAAGAATAATGTTTAGGCTGTGTGTGTGTGTGTGTGTGTGTGTGTGTGTGTGTGTGCACATGCACTTAGCTATGCTTAATTTCTAAAACTCCATAAGGAACGAACCCCTAGGGAAGGACTGAACCAGCCTGCGTTAAAAACCAAGCACAAATTCAACAAAACAAAACAGACTTAGGAATCTTGTTTTTGTTGAAATTATGAGAATAACAAATAGGAACAATCACCTGGCAGTTTGAGAAACAAAGTTCTCCCATGATATAGATTTCTCTCACACACAGTTTTAATATTTGGCCAAAAAAAGTACTGAAACTCCATATTTTAATGAACTCCTTTACCACAGAATAAATATTAGAAGATATAAATCCCATACCGACTTTAGAGGCTATAAATCCATTTGAGATGTCATATTTGCCTCTGGAAATACATACACTAAGTATTCATGACTTGATTCTACTTTTTCTTAATGAGCAATAGCAGGCTAGGGAATCAGTATATTCAGAGGTGTTTCTCAGCAACCAAGGCAATTTGTGGTTTCTCCTCTATACTGTCTTTCTAGTAACTGGAGTTTTACCTTAAAATCAGAGAGTGTGAGATGGAGATGACTTGCAGGCCTATTCCAATCCTTGATTCTTGTGAACAAATGTTTTTTACCTAGTTCTAGTCACTTGGATCCCTTTTTGCTCCTCAGTGCCTTGGAGCAGGCCAAGCAATCAGGACCATTAAAACATCACTAAAGATATATAATGGGGACAATTTTATTTCTCTCAGAGAGACTGCCATATACGGTAAGGAGTCATAGGCCATTTGAGGTAGGGAGAGGAGAGCTCTCAGAGGCTGGCTTAGGTAACAATAGATTATCTCCAAATTGCCTACTAAGGAGAATCTGGTCATCTGCAGGGCTTTTGTTTTGCTCAGTTGGGCATGCATGCTTGAGGTCCAAACTGGAAGACAGCTTAGACAGCTTGCTCCTGCGAGCTACCAGTGGGAATTTTCCTTCTTCTCTTTTTCACAATATACTCAGGCCCACTTCTAAATAAATGTTGAATGATTTTTAAAAATATATTGATTGGAAGAGGTACCATATTATCAATCACCAGTCTTTATAAGACACCCATATGTGCCAGTACAGCCCTGGGTTCCTGCTTTATCAAACACCCCAGTCCTCTAGGATCAGGTGTCCTATTTTACCCTCTCTCAAAACTCTACAGGCTGCATTTTCCTTTCTTTTTTTTTTCAGACAGAGTCTCACACTATCACCCAGGCTGGAGTGTAGTGGCACTATCTTGGCTCACTGCAACTTCCGCCTCCCGGGTTCAAGCGATTCTTGTGTCTCAGCCTCCCGAGTAGCTAGGCTTACAGGTATGTGCCACTACGCCTGGCTAATTTTTGTATTTTTAGTAGAGATGGAGTTTCACCATGTTGACCAGGCTGGTCTCTAACTCCTGGACTCAAGTGATCCACCCGCCTCAGCCACCCAAAGTACTGGAATTACAGGCGTAAGCTACTGCAACCAGCCTGCATTTTCCTTTCGACCCCAGTCCCTGTAGTTGGGTCTCTATCACCCACTCCTGAGCTTATTTGTATTGCTTCCTCATCCTATGTAGCACATTGGGGTTCTAGTATGAGCAATCCCAGGTATCTTCTTTTTCCCTGACTCGTAAGTGCCAATCAAAACACATTCAGAATGCAAGTATAATTGGGAGTAACTGAGGAGACACTGCAACTACCAAACACTTGGGAATACAATGGCTAATATGTGGAGCCATTGTTGAATTCTAACATGTTTTAGATACCCATCTAAAGCTCTTTGACTGACGATAAAATCTTACAAGCAACTAGGCAGAGACATTTGGTTACTACCACATCAGAAATACCTGCAAAGTGAGACCCTCTTCCAAAGAATTCTGATGTGTTTCAGAATGGGTCTATAACTTGAAGTGTGGTAAATGGAGTGTCTAGAGACACCAGTTGAGCTAGTATCCATCTAAGTCTTTTTTTCTCTCTCTGTAATACCTAGTACCACTTTTCAATAACCTCGTGGATTAGTTTTCTTTAGCCAAATGAAAAGGAAATAAAGTTCATAGTTCAGCAAAAGAGAATGGTCCATTTTTCCAGAAGCAGCAGCAGCATCTAGTGTTGAATATTCTCAAGATTGTTTGCACTGGGAGCAAAGTTACAGGACAGTGGGAACAAGTAATAAAATCAGAAGCAATTTTTTAAAATTATGTATAGTGGTAACTCCTACTTTAAGCAAAAACAGTGTTAGAGAATATAGACTTTTTAAACCCAATGAATTAGGAGGTAACTCTTCACTCTACAAGAAGATTGACAATAGAATACCCTTAAATATAAAGGTCTCCAAGATTTTGATTAAAAGGAAAAAAATTAAGCAGATAATTTCAAAGAACAGTGAATATTTAAAGTGAAGTATCTTCACATCTCTTTTCTACTTCTTTTCCCTTACTCAGAAAAAATGTTTAAGTGATGTTAATAGATGAAACATCTTCAAGTTTTACCTTTGCTATGCTAAGGTCACAGGTATGTCCTAAAAATGTCTTGAAATCTTGATCTCTTATCCAAAGCCACTCTGACTGGCAATGGATGTGATAACTCGGGGCAGGAATAACTCCAATGTAATTCTCTTACATGATGCTTTGCGCTTTTTCCTGTATAATTAGCTACTCTATAAGGTCAAGCAGCTGGTGAGATATACCAGAGTTATCTTCAGGAAAGAGGAGAAATTGGAAAGACTTACTGAAACAGTGCATTATTAAGAAAAAAATTACATGCATCCATATTAGTTTGAACCTGATTTCCTCTATAAATGTTATTATAATCAGGATTAAATCCTGCTGGTTTCAGGCTTGTAATCTGAAGTCAGCCAAGAATGTTTAAAAATAGGTTTCACCTCACATAGAAAAGCAGCGCAATACTATGCCTACTAATTGCAAGTCCACCATTTCAAATGTGAACATCTTCTAATACTCGTCTTTGATGGCTTGAGGGGAGACATTTTACATCTGTTCTCTGTCCCCCCACACATTTTCATACACTTGCATTCATACACACGACTGAACAGAAAATCGCAGATAGGACCTACCTGTGGAGTGAGTTTCCCAACCCTCTGGGTTATTGGCTCATTCATCACAACTTCCACTTTGCAGGCATCTTTCTCTTTAGGGATGGCAAACTTCAGGTCATCTCCTGACAGGAAGGCAGAGTGGCCCTTCATCACCCTCACCCCGCGGTTGATGCTGATGAAGGTGGGGCTGGCCCAGGCCAGGAGGAGCAGCAGCAGCACGGCATTCGCAGCCCCCCAACTCAGAGAGTTCATGCTGACAGGGCCCAACTCTTCTCTGTCCACCGGCGAAATCCCTTTAACAAAGGAGGGCTTCTGTGCTTCCTCCTGGAGGGTCAGCTCATAGTCCAAGGGGCAGGGTGAGGGGTCCTGACAATGTGCCCCGAGATCTTAACATGCCCCTTTCATTTCAAAGTCAGACAAGGGGGCCTTTCAGGCAATCCCAGGGCTTTTAATAAAACTCGCTGATCACTCCTGACAACGCCGGCAAGATTAATGGGCTTCCCAAGTGCTTTTCTAATCCTGCAAATGGGAGAAGGGGTTGGAGTAAAGCGAGAGAGAGACCAAAAGGTTTATGTGGCTATTCAAAAGATCGCTACCAACAAAGGGATCTTTCAACCAGCCTATGAGTTCAGCTAAATTAAAAACAAATAAACTAACTTGACCTCTAGACCCATCTGAAAGGCAAAGCAGCCATTTCATTACCCTGCTTATAGCTCCTGCTTCCGGACTTGACATACCGCTTCCGGACTTGACATATCCCAACCGGGATGTCAACTGTGTGGTCCAGGAGGAAACAGCCAGCCTTATTGCCAACAAGTGTGGCTTTTGTTCACTGAGTTCATAGACAGTTGTCAAACTCTTTGCTTCCCTTTCCTCATTTGTTAAATGAGGATTATAATCTAATTTTTTTCAGAGAGCTGATAGGATTATTAACACATTGTTTGAAAACATGATTCATTCTAAATCAGTGCTACTTGGATAAGAAAGAAGTTTAATGATTTATCACACTGGGCACACTTCTGACTTTGCTGGGCAATGAAGACACCTAAGAAACATTTGAGTGGTAATTACAGAAAATATGCTTTTTTCTAAGTGAACATTCAAGTTTCTGTTTATGTGTGAAAGGGACTACGAATGAGGTGACATAGCTTCAGCACGCACAGCTAATGACACAGCATATGGACATGCGTATTTATACTATCTACAATGCTAATTACATTCCCATGTACTCAACTTGCACAAATAGAGTCTTTGTTTCCACTTTATCCACTTAGAATTTCATGATGATTTCTCTGTGTTCCATAAGAAATGAAAAGATTTTATCTAAAGTAAAATGCACTGAAATATATCCCTAAATTCCCAGTATAATTAGGTGAACAAATAGTGGTTTGTTATGCCCAAAGAAAGGCCTTCCATGTTAATAATTTCAATAAATTTCTGTGCATAACCAGTAGATACCAAAATGAATGTTTGTCAGAAGGTTGTAGAAGAACAAATGCCTCCATTATCCACATCTAATCTATTTCCATTCCCTTGTCACTGTTTGCAACCTTTCACTTTTGAGGCAGTGCCTGACTTGTGTCACCTGATACCTGAGGGGTGTACACTTTACAGAGCAGCCTGTTTTTTATGGTATCAGTCCCAGAGTAAAACTGTTCTCACACTCCAACTGACTCTATTGTCCACAATCAAGCTGACTTAGGTTGGCTTATTTGGGCAAGAATGCACATCTGGTTGTTTTGTTTTTTGTTGCTGTTGTCTTTGTTTTTTTTCTTAAATTTAAAATGCCTTTTATTATGCTCTGCAAAATGTAAATGTCACACACTTGGTAATATTCCTGTTACATAATCAGTGTATCCTTTTATCAATAGAAAAAATACCCTTAGAAAGGCTATCAATTTAATATGGTTTCTTTTTTTTATTTTAATTCATTTTATTATTATTATACTTTAAGTTTTAGGGTACATGTGCACAATGTGCAGGTTAGTTACATATGTAGACATGTGCCATGCTGGTGTGCTGCACCCATTAACTCGTCACTTAGCATTAGGTATATCTCCTAATGCTATCCCTCCCCCCTCCCCCGACCCCACAACAGTCCCCAGAGTGTGATGTTCCCCTTCCTGTGTCCATGTGTTCTCATTGTTCAATTCCCACCTATGAGTGAGAATATGCGGTGTTTGGTTTTTTGTTCCTGCGATAGTTTACTGAGAATGATGATTTCCAATTTCATCCATGTCCCTACAAAGGACATGAACTCATCATTTTTTATGGCTGCATAGTATTCCATGGTGTATATGTGCCACATTTTCTTAATCCAGTCTATCATGGCTGGACATTTGGGTTGGTTCCAAGTCTTTGCTATTGTGAATGGAGCTGCAATAAACATACGTGTGCATGTGTCTTTATAGCAGCATGATTTATAGTTCTTTGGGTATATACCCAGTAATGGGATGGCTGGGTCAAATGGTATTTCTAGTTCTAGATCCCTGAAGAATCACCACACTGACTTCCACAATGGTTGAACTAGTTTACAGTCCTACCAACAGTGTAAAAGTTTTCCTATTTCTCCACATCCTCTCCAGCACCTGTTGTTTCCTGACTTTTTAGTGATTGCCATTCTAACTGGTGTGAGATGGTATCTCATTGTGGTTTTGATTTGCATTTCTCCGATGGCCAGTGATGGTGAGCATTTTTTCATGTGTTATTTGGCTGCATAAATGTCTTCTTTTGAGAAGTGTCTGTTCATATCCTTCGCCCACTTTTTGATGGGGTTGTTTGTTTTTTTCTTGTAAATTTGTTTGAGTTCATTGTAGATTCTGGATATTAGCCTTTGTCAAATGAGTAGGTTGCGAAAATTTTCTCCCATTGTATAGGTTGCCTGTTCACTCTGATGGTAGTTTCTTTTGCTGTGCAGAAGCTCTTTAGTTTAATTAGATCCCATTTGTCAATTTTGTCTTTTGTTTCCATTGCTTTTGGTGTTTTAGACATGAAGTCCTTGCCCATGCCTATGTCCTGAATGGTAATACCTAGGTTTTCTTCTACGGTTTTTACGGTTTTTACGGTTTTAGGTCTAACATTTAAGTCTTTAATCCATCTTGAATTAATTTTTGTATGAGGTGTAAGGACGGGATCCAGTTTCAGCTTTGTACATATGGCTAGCCAGTTTTCTCAGCACCATTCATTAAATAGGGAATCCTTTCCCCATTGCTTGTTTTTGTCAGGTTTGTCAAAGATCAGATAGATCTTTGTAGACATGCGGCATTATTTCTGAGGGCTCTGTGCTGTTCCATTGATCTATATCTCTGTTTTGGTACCAGTACCATGCTGTTTTGGTTACTGTAGCCTTGTTGTATAGTTTGAAGTCAGGTAGCGTGATGTCTCCAGCTTTGTTCTTTTGGCTTAGGATTGACTTGGCAATGCGGGCTCTTTTTTGGTTCCATATGAACTTTAAAGTAGTTTTTTCCAATTCTGTGAAGAAAATCATTGGTAGCTTGATGGGTATGGCATTGAATCTATAAATTACCTTGGGCAGTATGGCCATTTTCACGATATTGATTCTTCCTACCCATGAGCATGGAATGTTCTTCCATTTCTTTGTATCCTCTTTTATTTCATTGAGCAGTGGTTTGTAGTTCTCCTTGAAGAGGTCCTTCAGGTCCCTTGTAAGTTGGATGCCTAGGCATTTTATCCTCTTTGAAGCAACTGTGAATGGGACTTCACTCATGACTTGGCTTTCTGTTTGTCTTTTATTGGTGTATAAGAATGCTTGTGATTTTTGTATATTGATTTTGTATCCTGAGACTTTGCTGAAGTTGCTTATCAGCTTAAGGAGATTTTGGACTGAGACAATGGGGTTTTCTAGATATACAATCATGTCATCTGCAAACAGGGACAATTTGACTTCCTCTTTTCCTAATTGAATACCCTTTATTTCCTTCTCCTGCCTAATTGCCCTGGCCAGAACTTCCAACACTATGTTGAATAGGAGTGGTGAGAGAGGGCATCCCTGTCCTGTGCCAGTTTTCAAAGGGAATGCTTCCAGTTTTTGCCCATTCAGTATGATATTGGCTGTGGGTTTGTCATAGATAGCTTTTATTATTTTGAGATATGTCCCATCAATACCTAATTTATTGAGAGTTTTTAGCATGAAGGGCTGTTGAATTTTGTCAAAGGCCTTTTCTGCATCTATTGAGATAATCATGTGGTTTTTGTCTTTGGTTCTGTTTATATGCTGGATTACATTTATTGATTTGCGTATATTGAACCAGCCTTGCATCCCAGGGATGAAGCCCACTTGATCATGGTGGATAAGCTTTTTGATGTGCTGCTGGATTCGGTTTGCCAGTATCTTATTGAGGATTTTTGTATCAATGTTCATCAAGGATATTGGTCTAAAATTCTCTTTTTTGGTTGTGTCTCTGCCAGGCTTTGGTATCAGGATGATGCTGGCCTCATAAAATGAGTTAGGGAGGATTCCCTCTTTTTCTATTGATTGGAATAGTTTCAGAAGGAATGGTACCAGCTCCTCCTTGTACCTCTGGTAGAATTCGGCTGTGAATCCATCAGGTCCTGGACTCTTTTTGGTTGGTAAGCTATTGATTATTGCCACAATTTCAGAGCCTGTTATTGGTCTATTCAGAGATTCAACTTCTTCCTGGTTTAGTCTTCGGAGGGTGTATGTGTCGAGGAATTTATCCATTTCTTCGATATTTTCTAGTTTATTTGTGTAGAGGTGTTTGCAGTATTCTCTGATGGTAGTTTGTATTTCTGTGGGATCGGTGGTGATATCCACAATATCATTTTTTATTGCATATATTTGATTCTTCTCTCTTTTCTTCATTAGTCTTGCTAGGGGTCTATCAATTTTGTTGATCCTTTCAAAAAAACCAGATCCTGGATTCATTAATTTTTTGAAGGGTTTTTTGTGTCTCTATTTCCTTCAGTTCTGCTCTGATTTTAGTTATTTCTTGCCTTCTGCTAGCTTTTGAATTTGTTTGCTCTTGCTTTTCTAGTTCTTTAAATTGTGATGTTAGGGTGTCAATTTTGGATCTTTCCTGCTTTCTCTTGTGGGCATTTAGTGCTATAAATTTCCCTGTACACACTGTTTTGAATGTGTCCCAGAGATTCTGGTATGTTTTGTCTTTGTTCTCGTTGGTTTCAAAGAACATCTTTATTTCTGCCTTCATTTCGTTATGTACCCAGTAGTCATTCAGGAGCAGGTTGTTCAGTTTCCATGTAGTTGAGTGGTTTTGAGTGAGTTTCTTAATCCTGAGTTCTAGTTTCATTGCACTGTGGTCTGAGGGACAGTTTGTTATCATCTCTGTTCTTTTACATTTGCTGAGAAGAGCTTTACTTCCAACTATGTGGTCAATTTTGGAATAGGTGTGGTGTGGTGCTGAAAAAAATGTATATTCTGTTGATTTGGGGTGGAGGGTTCTGCAGATGCCTATTAGGTCTGCTTGGTGCAGAGGTGAGTTCAATTCCTGGGTACCCTTGTTAACTTTTGTCTCGTTGATCTGTCTAATGTTGACAGTGGGGTGTTAAAGTCTCCCATTATTATTGTGTGGGAGTCTAAGTCTCTTTGTAGGTCACTCAGGACTTGCTTTATGAATCTGGGTGCTCCTGTATTGGGTGCATATATATTTAGGATAGTTAGCTCTTCTTGTTGAATTGATCCCTTTACCATTATGTAATGGCCTTCTTTGTCTCTTTTGATCTTTGTTGGTTTAAAGTCTGTTTTATCAGAGACTAGGATTGCAACCCCTGCCTTTTTTTGTTTTCCATTTGCTTGGTAGATCTTCCTCCATCCTTTTATTTTGAGCCTATGTGTGTCTCTGCACATGAGATGGGTTTCCTGAATACAGCACACTGATGGTTCTTGACTCTTTATCCAATTTGCCAGTCTGTGTCTTTTAATTGGAGCATTTAGTCCATTGACATTTAAACTTAATATTGTTATATGTGAATTTGATCCTGTCATTATGATTTTAGCTGGTTATTTTGCTCATTAGTTGATGCAGTTTCTTCCTAGTCTTGATGATCTTCACAATTTGGCATGATTTTGCAGTGGCTGGTACCGGTTGTTCCTTTCCATATTTAGTGCTTCCTTCAGGAGCTCTTTTAGGGCAGGCCTGGTGGTGACAAAATCTCTCAGCATTTGCTTGTCTGTAAAGTGTTTTATTTCTCCTTCACTTATGATGCTTAGTTTGGCTGGATATGAAATTCTGGGTTGAAAATTCTTTTCTTTAAGAATCTTGAATATTGGCCCCCACTCTCTTCTGGCTTGTAGAGTTTCTGCCGAGAGATCCGCTGTTAGTCTGATGGGCTTCCCTTTGTGGATAACCCGACCTTTCTCTCTGGCTGCCCTTAACATTTTTTCCTTCATGTCAACTTTGGTGAATCTGACAATTACGTGTCTTGGAGTTGCTCTTCTCGAGGAGTATCTTTGTGGTGTTCTCTTTATTTCCTGAATCTGAATGTTGGCCTGCCTTGCTAGATTGGGGAAGTTTTCCTGGATAATATCTTGCAGAGTGTTTTCCAACTTGGTTCCATTCTCCCCATCACTCATCACTTTCAGGTACACCAATCAGACGTAGATTTGGTCTTTTCACATAGTCCCATATTTCTTGGAGGCTTTGTTCATTTCCTTTTATTCTTTTTTCTCTAAACTTCCCTTCTCACTTCATTTCATTCATTTCATCCTCCATCACTGATACCCTTTCTTCCAGTTGATCGCATCGGCTCCTGAGGCTTCTGCATTCTTCACGTAGTTCTCGAGCCTTGGCTTTCAGCTCCATCAGTGCCTTTAAGCACTTCTCTGTATTGGTTATTCTAGTTACACATTCGTCTAAATTTTTTTTAAAGTTTTTAACTTCTTTGCCTTTGGTTTGAATTTCCTCCTGTAGCTCTAAGTAGTTTGATCGTCTGAAGCCTTCTTCTCTCAACTCGTCAAAGTCATTCTCCATCCAGCTTTGTTCCGTTGCTGGTGAGGAACTGCATTCCTTTGGAGGAGGAGAGGCGCTCTGCTTTTTAGAGTTTCCAGTTTTTCTGCTCTGTTTTTTCCCCATCTTTGTGGTTTTATCTACTTTTGGTCTTTGATGATGGTGATTTACAGATGGGTTTTTGGTGTGGATGTCCTTTCTGTTTGTTAGTTTTCCTTCTAACAGACAGGACCCTCAGCTGCAGGTCTGCTGGAGTTTGCTAGAGGTCCACTCTAGACCCTGTTTGCCTGGGTATCCACAGCAGTGGCTGCAGAACAGCGGATTTTCGTGAACCGCAAATGCTGCTGTCTGATCGTTCCTCTGGAAGTTTTGTCTCAGAGGAGTACCCGGCCGTGTGAGGTGTCAGTCTGCCCCTACTGGGGGGTGCCTCCCAGTTAGGCTGCTCGGGGGTCAGGGGTCAGGGACCCACTTGAGGAGGCAGTCTGCCCATTCTCAGATCTCCAGCTGCGTGCTGGGAGAACCACTGCTCTCTTCAAAGCTGTCAGACAGGGACATTTAAGTCTGCAGAGGTTACTGCTGTCTTTTTGTTTTTCTGTGCCCTGCCCCCAGAGGTGGAGCCTACAGAGGCAGGCAGGTCTCCTTGAGCTGTGGTGGGCTCCACGCAGTTCGAGCTTCCTGGCTGCTTTGTTTACCTAAGCAAGCCTGGGCAATGGCGGGCGCCCCTCCCCCAGCCTCGCTGCCGCCTTGCAGTTTGATCTTAGACTGCTGTGCTAGCAATCAGTGAGACTCCGTGGGCGTAGGACCCTCTGAGCCAGGTGCAGGATATAATCTCCTGGTGCGCCATGTTTTAAGCCCGTCGGAAAAGCACAGTATGAGGGTGGGAGTGACCCAATCTTCCAGGTGCCGTCTGTCACCCCTTTCTTTGACTAGGAAAGGGAACTCCCTGATCCCTTGCGCTTCCCAAGTGAGGCAATGCCTCACCCTGCTTCGGCTCAAGCACAGTGCGCTGCACCCACTGTCCTGCGCCCACTGTCTGGCACTCCCTAGTGAGATGAACCCGGTACCTCAGATGGAAATACAGAAATCACCCGTCTTCTGCATCGCTCACGCTAGGAGCTATAGACTGGAGCTGTTCCTATTCAGCCATCTTGGCTGCCTCCCCTTTAATATGGTTGTTGAACTTTGACAAGATACAATATTTTTTCCATTCACATTTGGCATCTAACGCAACAGCACATTCAGGGAGAGGAGAGGCAAGAAGATAGGTAGATGTCTCCCAAAACTGGGAGGTAAGGGGGAATCTTTGCTTTCTGAGATTTAAACTAATTAACACATGGAGGCTGCAAGGACTCCACACTCCTGCAGTCCTCTTATCTCACTCTATCCCACTTTGTCTCCTTACCTGGTTCTTTCTAGACTCCCTGACTCTTTAATGCTGGGACCCTAGAGTCCAGTTGTAGGACCTGTTTTGTATCTACACTCATTCCTTAGTGATCTCATTCCTTGGCCTTAAATACCACCTATGTGCTAATGGACCTCAAACTTACACCTCTAGCCTGGACCCTCTTGCTTAACTCTAGATTTGCACATGCAACTGTCTGCTTATCATCTCTGGGTGGTGTATAAAAGACATCTCACACTTTATGAAGCCAAAATTGAGCTCTCAATCTTCCCTCCCTCAGTCTTCCTTACCTTAATTAACAGCAACTCCAACTTTTCAGTTGTTCCTTTCTTCATCACACATTCTAAATCTAGACAAAAAATCTTGTTGTTTCTTTATGGTAGACAGATCTTAGGTGACCCCCCAAATAATTCCAGTCTCCTAGTATCCAAAAGTTCCTTCCCCTTGAGTGCCAGCAGAATCTGTAACACTTCCAACCAACAGAATTGAACAAAGGTGATGGGTGTCACTCCTATGATTACATTTTGTTATACAGGAGACTCTCTCGGCAGACTGGAACCAGGGGCTCTCCTGCTGAACATGAAGAAGCAAGCCTCCATGGATTCTACTGTCACAAGGAAATGAATCCTGCCAACACCCTGAATGAGCTTGGAAGTGGCTTCTTCCTAAGTCAAGCCCCTGGATAAGAATGAAGGCCGTCAACATCTTGACTGCAGCCTGGTGGCAACCTAAAGCAGAGAACCCAGCTAAGCCATAATCTGACCCCAGACCAAGGGAAATTGTGAGATAAATTTGTATTGTTTTAAGCCACAAAGTTTATAGTGATTTGTTACACAAAAATAAAAAGTTAATACACTCTTCCTTCAAAACATATCCAGAATCCAGCTACTTCTTACTACCTCCATTGTGATCCCCCGGTCCAAGCCACCACCAAGTCTCTGCTGGATGATTGCAATAGCATCCTATTTGATCTCCCTACTTCTACTCCTGCCTTTCCTCTAGGCATTTCTCGGCATCACAGTCAGTATTTTGATTAAATGTTACTTATACCATGTCACTGCTCTGCTCAAAACTTCCAGTAGTGTCTCATCTTAGAATAAAGGTGAAGCCCTGGTGATGATCTAGAAGACAGTATGTGATCTGTTTCCCTCTTCTCTCTCTCAGCTCATCTCCTGTTTGTCTTCCCTTTGCTGACCCTGTCCCAGCCACTCTAATATCTTTGCTTTTCCTCAAACAAATCAAGATCCATTCCTCCCTCCTCTCTCCCCCACTAAAGCCTCTCACTTCTGTTGTCTCTGACTTGAACGTTCTTCCCCCAGATATCCCTCCCTCCACCTCTCTACTCTCAAGTTCCCATCAAATGTCACACTTGCAGTGTGGTCACACCTAACAACCCCATTAGAATTATGTCAGTCTCATCTCCTAGCATTCTTTACCACTTTCCTGCTTAGTTTTTAACCTTAGTGCTTTCTAACCACCTAATATAATGCATTTGATCCTTTATATTAGGTTGTTGCAACAGTAATTGTGGTTTTCACCATTACTTTCAATGGCAAAAAACCACAATTACTTTTGTACCAACCTAATATTAGTCACTGCCATGTCCCTCACGAAGATGTTAATTTCTATATTTTTTACTCATGGATTTAACCCTAGTGTCTAGAACAATGCCTGATATATCAATAAATATTTGTTAACTAAGTGAATAAATTGGAGAAAACAATGCCTTAAATTCCCTTATACTGATTATAGTTTAACCCAGGAATATTATTATATCTAAAAAGAAAAAACAAAAACAAAAAGGCCAAGCACGGTGGCTCATACCTGCAATTCCAGTACTTGGGGAGGCCGAGGCAGGCAGATCACCTGAGGTCAGGAGTTCGAGAACAGCCTGGCCATCACGGTGAAACCCCTGTCTCTACTAAAAATATGAAAATTAGCCAGGCATCGTGGCAGGCGCCTGTAATCTGAGCTACTTAGGAGGCTGAGGCAGGAGAACGACTTGAACCTGGGAGGCGGAGGTTGCAGTAAGCCAAGATTGCACCACTGTACTCCAGCCTGGGTGACAAGAGCAAGATTCCGTCTCAAAAAAAAAAAAAAAAGAACTGGCATCATAAGCGGGCACCATTAGCCATGGATCAAGATGCCACGTGAATTCCGTTACTGAGAATCTGTCACAAAAAGGCACATCATCCTGGGATATATGGAAAAAGTCCATTTTCTGTGCCCATAACACTGAGGTTGAGGAGGTTGAGATTCTTGACTCTGGAAAATGCCACACCATGAGACTTCCTGATGATTGGCCAACTAGTCTTTCCCAGGCAGCACCTCCAGTCAAACACCGAAAGAAGAAGTGAGGTAAAAATCAAAATCCATCACTGTTTGTTTCATTATTGCCACACAACACTGAGAATCTATCCAACAGAGATAAAAGCAACGTCTACAAGAATACATGAACAAGAATGTTGATTGCAGCAGTGTCCATAGTGGAAACTGCAAGCAAAGTAAATGTCAAGAAGGGGATGGTTAAATAGCGTAGATATACTTATACCATGGAATGGAATGTAACTTTTAGAATTTGAATTAGAGATAAATCATTCAATTTGACGGGATTTCTACAAGGTATTGTGGAGTCAGAAAAAATAAAATGGAGAAAAGCATGCTTCCATTCGGTAAAGCAACTCTAAAGGCTGCATCTATGTATATGCATACATGTAGATGGAGACATGTGTTGTATTAACATGTAATTAAATGGGCATGGAGAAAAATATGGACAGACAAGCATTAGGTTGTTGGTAGGTACAATATGATAGGGGCAATATAGTATAGATAGACTGAAGAAAGATGAGGGGGGTGCTATGTCTAGATGTTTGTGTCCCCTCACCAAATTTATATGTTGAAGCCCTGATTTCCAATGTGATGGGATTAGGAGGTAGGGCCTTGTGGAGGCGTTAGGTTTACATAAGGTCATGAGGGTAGAGTCCTCATGATGGGATTCTTACAAGAGGATGAAAAGATTACAGCACTCTCTCTCCGGCCATGTGAGGCTTACAACAAGAGGGTTTCCCTCTGCAAACCAGGAAGAGGTGATCTTGGACTTCCCAACCTTCAGAACTGTGAGGAATAAAGTTCTATTCTTTAAGCCACCCTGTCTACGGTATTTCTGTTATAGCAGCCTGAGCAGACTCAAACAGCAATATTTTTTTAAAAAAAGGAAAAGAAGAGCATGCAATTAAAAAATGCAACAACAGGTCAGGTGCAGTGGCTCATGCCTGTAATCCCAGCACTTTGGGAAGCCGAGGCGGGTGGATCACCTGAAGTCAGGAGTTCGAGACCAGCCTGGCCAACATGTCAAAACCCTGTCTCTACTAAAAATACAAAAGTTAGCAGGGCCTGGTGGCATGCATCTGTAATCCCAGCTACTCAGGAAACTGAGGCAGGAGAATCACTTGAACCCGGGAGGCAAAGGGTGCAGTGGGCCGAGATCGTGCCACTGCACTCCAGCCTGGGTAACAGAGTGAGACTGTCTCAAAAAAAAAAAAAAAAAAAAGTACAAAAATTACATATGAGATTCATGTAAAATTGCATGTGTGTTGACATAAACAGAAACTTTGAAACAAATCTTATTGTGTTTAAAGGCTTTTTAAATATATGTAGATAACTTGAAAATAAACATTTTTATGAACAAATTTTTTATGGACAAAACATACTAACTCATTAAAGATGCATCTTCTGACAGCCAGCGCAAAGCAATCCTATCTCAGAGGTAAATATGTCATCATGTAATTATGTTGCTTAACCGAAAATAAATTGAAGAAAGTCACCAATATAATTAGTTCCCTGGTACCAGCCCATCAAGGTATACAAAGGGCAGATATATCTTTCTTCTCAGTGTGGCAATCCACCTATTAATTCCAAATGAAACTGAAGAATGCAGCAAAATACAAAGGCACCGGTGGGATTTCACCCAACAGTTATCTCCAAATGGTTGGTCAGCAGTGTGTTTCAGGCTCTGCAAGAACAGTCCTTGGCAGAGGCAGGCATATGTATGTTGTCCTGGAATTCTCTTCTCCTGCCGCCCACTCAGCCAACAGCTGAAACAAATCTCCTTTGAAACCCCACGGATATCTTGTATTATGCAAAGGCACATAAAACGAAGACTTTGATTCAGAGTCAATTTCCTGGTCTTTGTACATGTTGTGTATCACTGGTCAGCCTGTCTCTAGACCAGCCACACCCCTTACCTTTTGTAATTGATCATAGCTCAGTTACTATCCCACACTTTTACAGCCAATCTGGGTATAAATAGGAATAAGTCAATCTCAACAGGAAAAAAAAAGCTATCTTGGAGGCTTTGCCATATTTTACAAATTTGTGTTTAATGAATTCAAATATGTTTTGGTTTAGCACTGACTTAAGAAAGGCAATGTGGACCAAAATGGAACAACTTGATCAAAATCTTCTATTTCATGTAAACAATTTAGAATGCCAAATAAGCTCCTCTCAGATAGATTGTTAAAATAATATAGCAAATGTTTCCTTCGTTTCACTTATGATAACTTAGTAACTCTCTTCCAATATCTATCTCTGACAGGAATGTCTATTTGTCCCACAACATCCAACCTCACCTTCCTCCATAGAAATAAAAATTTTAACTAGGTATATAGTCACCCAGAACAAAGACTATATTTCACAGTCTCTCTTGTAGCTATCTGCGGCTATGTGATCAGATTCTGGCCAATGGAATTGAAGAAGAGCAGTCACATGGTGTCTCTGAGAAACCTCCTTTAAGAGGTAGTTACGGTGTGCCTCTTCTCCCTTTTTCTTTATGCTTCCCTCCATCTTGTTGCCAAGATGGAAGGTGCTGCCTTGCACATGAAAAAATGAGGCTATGGCATAGGTTGGTGGAGCTGTGAGCTAGAAGGACCCTGGGTCTCTGGGCCATTTGCAAAGCAGAACCACCATACCAGTCCATTCATCCAGAATTTTACACAGGAGAGAATGTAAACTTCTTTCCTATTTAACTCACTGTTATTATTTTGTGTGTGTGTGTGTGACTCATGACTGAACTTAACTATACCTTTAATAATCACTTCTTCTTCAAGTTTTTGTATTAATTTTGTTTAGTCACTAATCAGCTAAAGATTTAACTTCCTACCTAACAGCATATGGGACAATAGTTCATTCTCTAATTATATCATAGTAAACCCTTAACTGAGAGATAAGGTCAAAGTCCAAGATCCTAATGTTTATCTGCCAGGAAGAGACAAGAGAAGAGAGGAGATATCTATTCTTATGGCTCCCTGCACCACAATGCTGTTGAAAGAATAGACTTGAATTTTGAATATCTGGATTCTAATCCCGATTATTATTTTTTTAATTTTCTTCTTATCTTTTTTTTTTTTTTGAGATGGATTCTTGTTCTGTCACCCAGGCTGCAGTGCAGTAGCACAGCCTTGGCTTACTGCAACCTCCTGGGTTCAAGCAATTCTCCTGCCTCAGCCTCCCTAGCAGCTGGGATTACAGGTGCCCGCCACTACGCCTGGCTAATTTTTGTATTATTTTTAGTAGAGATGGGGTTTCACCATGTTGGCCAGGCTGGTCTCAAACTCCTGACCTCAAGTGATCTGCCCGCCTCAGCTCCCAAAGTGCTGGGATTACAGGTGTGAACCACTGCACCTGGCCATGGATTCTAATCCTGATTTTTATGAACATACTTTCCTCTTTCAAAAATGGGAGGCTGAAGCAGGAGAATCGCCTGAACCTGGGAGGCAGAGGTTGCAATGAGCTGAGATCATGCCACTGCACTCCAGCCAGGGCAGCAGAGCGAGACTCCATCTCAAAAAAAAAAAAAAAAGGAATCACCCATCTTGCCTCCAAAGTTCCCCTGTCAGACCAATAATCTATGTGGAAATATTTTCTTAATTACAAACCCCCATACAAATGTTAACATTATTATTACAAAATATATCAAAGAGACAAGAAAGTAAAGCTTTCTCAGGAAAAACAGAGTAGAAGGAATTGGGCCTGGATGAAGGTGGCAAGGTGGCAAAATTAGGTTCAATAAATGTCAAATAGAGTCTGTTTTATTTACATTCTAATTTTTTCTTTCTCATAGTCTTACAACAGAATACATATTAAAAAACTAAATTTTGATATTTCAAAAACAACCTGAAGCAACACAGTTAGGAGGGGGGAAAAGTACAAGAGTAACAATTTCCAAATTCAAAATCAAACAAAACTCATCCTTCAATCAACTGAGCCTAGACTGAAGGCTGCAGAATTAGAAGCAATAAAGATCAAAAAGGGTATGCTTTGTTTGGTTTTATTTGCATTCTAATTTTGCTCTTGTATTTTTCTCTTGGTGTTGGGAAACACCAAGTATGTGGACATTCCATGGAAAATACTGCTCTTATTTTTGGCTTCAAGAAGGTGGCATGGGAGGGGAAAGAGAAAAGAATTCAGACGAGCAGACCGAGAAAGGGCCAGAAGAAAAACAGAACAACAGCAAAGCAAAGCAAAATTCTGAAGCAAACAAGATTTCACAGTGATGATGGGTCTTTTAACACCTCAAAATGAGACGGTAATAACTGTCTTGTCTCTGACACAAAATTACTATGTCCAGTGACAGCCAACTTCTACATGAAAAACAACACTCTAATGGGAAGCCTAGCACATCTTGAGAATTTTATTTTCTTAGTCCCAGCATAGGGCTAAGTCAGAGCCTCAGAATCCATCTGTCCACAGCTTGCTCTGATTGCTAGTATGGGCACCCTCAGGGTCGGCAGAATTATTGGGGGCAGCTAGAAGTGGAAGTAGAAAGGGCACCTGGCCATATTCCCCAAGGGAGCTTGTAAACTGACTTTTAGCCACCTCGGACTTGATTCAAATCCTTGAAACAAATCCTGGCGCTTTGGGAGGCCCAGGCAGGCGGATCACCTGAGGTCAGGAGTTCGAGCCCAGCCTGACTAACACGGCGAAACCCTGCCTCTACTAAAAATACAAAAATCAGCCGGGCGTGGTGGTGGGTGCCCATATTCCCAGCTACTTGGGAGGCTGAGGCAGGAGAATCTCTTGAACTTGGGAGGCGGAGGTTGCAGTGAGCCAAGATCGCGCCACTGCACTCCAGCCTGGGCGACAGAGCGAGACTCCATCTCAAAAAAGAAAAAAGAAAAAAAGAAAAAAAACAAGAAACAAATCCTGTCTTGGCTTGCTTGTGTGGCTCAGCTGTTTCTTAACATTTCGAAATCCTCCTGACATGACTGCAAATCAGTTCTGCTCTCCCTGACCATTTTCCCACCATTGCCTTTTTTCTTTACATGGTAATCATGTATTCTAAGTACAGTATATCTGTATAAGCCAATAAACGCCAATAAAGCTGTGTGAAAATTCTTTCTGAAATGTGAAAAAACACGCTGTTTTGAATTCTTATGAAAATTCATAAAGATTTCTTCAACCAAACTTTTTGGGAAATTTTTTGAACAGAAGAAAATAATTTAGTAACATAATTGGTGGAGGGGAAATGTGAGCTAGTATTTATTTCATAATTACACATTCAGCTTAACTATATGAGCATGTATTCTTCATGTTGATATAAACATGATACTCCTGTCACTAATTTGAGATAATCTGTGCACAACAAGAAAAAAAATGGATCTCAGCTGTACAGCTCTCAATGCAATGGAAATTCTTAACGGTCAATGGTAATGACGTGCCTTGATGAAAATAATATTTACTATTCTTCCTCTCTGGAATTTTGCAATGGTAGCTACCCAACACAAGGCAAGTGCCTTCCCCCTCCTATGCCCAGCATAGTTATCAAGATATCAATAATTCATCATAGCTTTTTTTTTTTTTTTTTTTTTTTTTTTGAGACGGAGTCTCGCTCTGTCGCCCAGGCTGGAGTGCAGTGGTGCGATCTCGGCTCACTGCAAGCTCCGCCTCCCGGGTTCACGCCATTCTCCTGCCTCAGCCCCCCGAGTGGCTGGGACTACAGCTGCCCGCCACCGCGCCCGGCTAATTTTTTGTATTTTTACTAGAGATGGGGTTTCACCGTGTTAGCCAGAATGGTCTCGATCTCCTGAGCTCGTGATCCACCCGCCTCGGCCTCCCCATCATTGCTTTTTATTTTCTTTGCTTTTTGCAGAATTCATATGTGGCCCAAAACTCTTCTCATTAGTGATCTAGGTAGTTATCACCATTTGACTAAAGATGACATAAGCAATGGAACATTTTTGTCTTCCCCAGGCTTGCAGTTATTACCCCTTGACTCACACAATTATTTATTGTTCGTTTTTACTTATTTTTAATTGAAAAATAAAATTGTGTATATTTATGATGTACAACATGATTTTTGTTTGTTTTAGAGACAGGGGTTTCACCCTGTCGCCCAGGCTAGCATGCAGTGGTGCGATGATAGCTGACTGCAGCCTCCAATTCCTGGGCTCAAGCAAGCCTCAGCTCCAGCCTCCCAGGTACCTGGGACTACAGGCATGCACCACCACATCTGGCTAATTGTTTTTTAATTTTCATAGGGATGGGAGTCTCACAATGTTGCCCAGGCTGGTCTTGAACTCCTGGTCTCAAGCTATTCTTCCATCTTAGCCTCCCAAAGTTCTGGGATTACAGGTGTGAGCCACCAGGTTAATGACTTAATTTAGCTGTTTTGCAATATATACATACACTGTTGTGTCATGATGTTTTGATATACATATACAATGTGAAATAGCTAAATCAAATAACTAACATATCTATTACCTTACATATCTTCTTTTTATGAGGAGAACATTTAAAATCTACTCTCTTAGCAATTTTCAACTATACAATACAATGCTGTTAACTATAGTAGTCATGTTGTACAATACATCTCCTTCCTTTGGACTAACTGAAATTTTGTATCCTTTGATCAGCACCTCCCCAGTCCTCCCTCCTCCCCAGCCCCTGGTAACCACCTTCTACTCTCTACTTCTATGAGAACAACTTTTTCACAACTTTAGGTCTTACAAGTACCCTAAAGTCATTTAAGAAATAAACTGCTGTGTGCGGTGGCTCACGCCTGTAATCCCAGCACTTTGGGAGACCAAGGTGGGCGGATCACGAGGTCAAGAGATTGAGACCATTCTGGCCAACATGGTGAAACCCTGTCTCTACTAAAAATACAAAAATGAATTGGGCATGATGGCACACGCCTGTAAATCCCAGCTACTCGGGAGGCTGAGGCAGGAGAATCGCTTGAACCCTGGAGGCGGAGGTTGCAGTAAGCCGAGATCGTGCCACTGCACTCCAGCCTGGTGACAGAGTGAGACTCCGACTCAAAAAAAAAAAAAAAAAAAAAAAAGGAAAAAGAAATAAAATACGCTAACAGAGAAATGGCATTTTAACTGAAAATAGCCACTTCAGGATGAACCCACCCAAACGGAAGAGATTTTTGAAATCCTCAACAAGATGGTGAAGAAAGCCAATGAAGATTTTCTGACTTCTACTCCACATTATAATCTTTAAAATGCTAGTCAGAAGCTAAACTTAGAAGTTATCAATAGAATGTACAGGGGCGGTGGCTCACTCCTTTAATCCCAACATTTTGGGAGGCCAAGGAAGGTGGATGACTTGAGCCCAGGAGGTCAAGACCAGCCTGGGCAATATGGTGAAACCCCACTCCTACAAAAAAAAATTTTAAATTAGGTTGGTGTGCTGGCACATGCCTGTGGTCCCAGCCACTGGGGAGACTGAGATGGGAGGATCACCTGAGCCTGGAGATCGAGGTTGCACAGAGTGACACTGCAGCCTGAGTGACAAAGTGAAGTGAGACAGTGAGACCTTGTTTCAAAAAAAAAAAAAAAAAAAAAAAAGAAGCTATCAATTGACTTTTTATGATGTATTTTTTTAAATCATCAAAATTTTCATACAAATGAATTTCCAAAGTTATTAATATAAATCAAATTTAAAGTTTTAAGCATAAACTTTTAGGTGAATATAGTTATCCACAGGACAACTGAATTGCATCCAAATCACATGTGCCATAAATTGATTCATCAAGGGGCAATGAACTGGAAATCAGAACTGTGTCCTCAGGGAACAACCAGCTGTCTAAACTTAGAGAAAGTGGTTCTCTTCTTTGTGTTTTAATTGAGGAAATCAAGACTTAGATAGTCTTTATCAAGACTTCAGAGCCATGGCACCTACTGACCTTACAACTCCCTGAGGTTATATAGGCAATAAAAAGTAAACATTCGAAGTGACTTGCCTGAGGTCCCAGCAGGAGAGCAGAGCTGTGGGAGAAACAAGCCTCGGGCATTCTGGCCAAGTGCCCTTTCCCCTGTATCCTGACAATCTCATGCCATTTCTTTGGTGGGCCCATACTACAAAGCAGCACTGGGAAGACACAACTGTAAAGCAGATTCTTCTCTTTCAAGAAGCCCATAACCTCTTATCGAGCTTTAATTGTTCAATTACTGTACAAAGATGGAAAGTCTTCGTGATCTTGCCAAACACAAGATTTTCAGAGTGAATGTTCTCAGACAGGGATAATAAAATCATGAGAAAGAGCCTGTGACTTCTAAGATTTTTTTTTCTTTAATAAACAATTTTTAGTCTCCCCTATGTGCAAATTCCTTCCTTTCTACTTTGCTTATTAATGTGCTTTCACTTACTATACAGAAGCACTGGGCTACATTCTTCCTATGCATCTTTTCGTTTATTTTTCACAACAAACCTAATTAGTTCTATTATTATTTTAATTTCATACATAAATATACAGTGATTTAAGTGACATAATGGAGTGCAGTGGCACAATCTCAGCTCACTGCAACCTCCACCTCCTAGATTTAAGGGATCCTCCTGTCTCAGCCTCCATAGTAGCTGGGACTACAGGTGCTCGCCACCATGCCCAGCTAATTTTCATATTTTTAGTAGAGACAGGGTTTCACCATGTTGGCCAAGCTGGTGTCAAACTCTTGACCTCAAGTGATCCGCCCTCCTCAGCCTCCCAAAGTGCTGGGATTACAGGTGTGAGCCACCACGTCTGGCCAAAACCAACATTTATACGTGTTTACTATATAGTAGGTTTTCTTCAAGATACTTTACATATATTATATTGTTTAATCCCTACTATGGTTTTAGGAGGTAGATAATGATTTTATAGATTTGGAAAATGAGACATAAAGAGGTTAAGTAACTTGCCCAATGTCATCAGCTTGACCTTGTCATCGCAATTAGAGCCTGGTTTTGTCCAACTCCAAAACCCTTGCCCTTAACCACTACTGTTATATATACACTGCTTCACATCACACCAAAACCTTATACTCTTTGCAATCACTTCACTAGCCCTAAAGTTTTATTCCTATAGTATGCAGGAAATTTAACAACTTCCTTTATGGTTCCAGACAGCAATAGATACTATTCCAGAAGTTAATGTTTCACTAGAAACAATGTTCTCTAAAGGAAGTAGCTGCTGCTTTAAGAGCAAATAATTAAGAGAGATACCCTGTCTACCAGCATCTTCATGTTCCAACTGCTTACACTACAAGCCCAGGTTAAAGGTCTCAAGTCAAATAGGCCACTTCATAATTCTATTTTAAATCAATTAAATGTGTGTTGACTCACATTTAAATCAATAAAATGTGTGTTGACTCTGTCTATAACATTCTGCTTCCTCTTCTCTACAATGTTTTCTAATCCATAACCTACATCACACAATGTATGATTTTAGGAGAAACTTTAGAAATCATCGAGGCCATATTCTTCAGTTCATTTATCAATGTATTTGCTTTTTCTGAAAATAACTTTTTTTAAAATATGAAAGAAAGGCATGCTCATTAATTAAAGGACAAAAACACAGAAACATATAGAAAAAAAATATCCTTTTCAATACCCCCAAAGAGTTGTGTAGTATCCCTTTTTATTAACATAATGTTCTATTGTAAGCATTTTCTGTATTACTAAACATTCCTTGCAATTGTGCTTTTAATTTGTGCATTATAGCCACTAGATGGGTGTACTATAGTTGCTATAATCATCTCACTGCTACATTGAAGTAGTTACTATGTCAAAGATTGTGATAAAAAAATCCTTAAGTATAAATCGGTCTGTTTCTCTAGTTTATGTCTTTTGATTGATTTCCAGATGTGGAATTGTAAAGCTGAAGGGTGAGAACTTACTCTGAGGCTCTTGATATGCATGCTTTCTGGAAAGCTGGTACCAATTTCCACCCTCACCAGCCTTCCTCACATTCAACATTGCCCCTTTAATCTTTATTCATCTCCCAAGTGAAATGTATCTGACACTGTTTTAATTTGCACTTCCTTTGTTTATGTGGAAGGTTTAGTTTTTTTCCCTTTTATCTTAATGTCCCTTAGCCATTTGTGTGTTCTCTTCTAGGAATTCTTTCATTTACATAAGAGAGGAAGACCCATGGTCGTTAAATGCCTACCAAGACTACACAGCTACCTGGAAACCAAGGCTGGATGGGAATCTCAGTTCTGACACTAGACTAGTGCTATGTCCATTATCCCAGGTGGCTTCCTTAAATCACAGATGCTTATTCCAGAAATATTCCTTTCAGCATTTCCTTCCCAGATCTTCAGGAAGCTGCCAGACTCAGAACTCTGGAGAGGGAGCCCTCCCTCAGGCTATACTGTCATGAGTAGAGGGAAGGGAAAACTCCTTTCCTTCTATGCTCTTAGGTTGTCCGGGGCCTTGTAAATTAGACTGAAAAGAGACAAATTAACAAAGGGAAAACATAAAATTTATTGAATATAAGTGCCATGTGACGTGGGAGCCTTCATTAAAAAAATGAAGACAGAAAGAAACATTAAGCGTGAGCATTTTTATCCTAAGCTTGATGAAGAGTGGAAAGTTATGGGAAAATGTATTAGGACAAAGATGTGTGAGCTGAGGGTGGTAAACTGGGGGAAAGTGAGCAAGACCTGCCTGTGCAGATTCCCCATTGTGTCCCTCCATTCTTGGAGCTAAGGATACTCCTTTCCTCTGGGTATCAGGAGGGCACTTCTCTCACACAAGGGTACTGTAACCTGCTGTTCAGGGGAGAAGGTCAGAGAGTCTTTCCACCACATGCCACTTCTCAAATTCCTCCAGTTCAAAATATTCAATGTGCCAAGGCACCCTATTTGGGGATACCATGTTCTGAACCCCATGATGACCAAGGCTGCAAAGACAGACATACCTTTGCCTACAACACAAATTCATTAGGTTTCCTTCCTTAGATTTCCAATAGCTCAAACTCTACCCTGCCATGTTTTGCAAACTGTGCTTGTGAAAATGAATATTTTGGAGACGTTAAAAGCTTGCCACAAAAAAAGTTCACCATACCCAAATACATTTGAAGCACAGAACGCTAAAATCACCTTCTAAAAATTCACAATATAATATGAGCATATTAAAGATTCTAAGAAGTCTTGCAGAAAGGAGCCTTTTTAAGCCCAAAGTCTGCAAACTTATGGAAAACGTTTTTTGTTCTTTTTCATTAAAACAAAACAAAACAAAACGGGTTCTTTGAGAAATCATTCAAGAGACTTAAAATGACTAAAATATAGAATGGCCAGAGGGTATCTAAAACATTTCTGGCCATGCCCGATAAATCTATACCTAATAAGTCTACTTCAGAAATTCAAATTCCAGGATATCCCTTGGAAACCAGACGTCTGCCTGTTTCTACAGAGGCCTTCTACTAAAACTACCTTCAAAGGTAGAGAAAACTGATTGCAGAGGGAAAAAATGTGTGCCCTCAACTTACAGTTCTGTTTTTAATGACTATCAAAGCCTCTTAAACCATCAAAAACATTTCCCTGAAGATTAGTTAGGAAATGGCCATAACTTAAAATCATGTTGCTTTCAGCCAGAGCGTTGTATCATACAATTTTCACAACAGGTTGCTTTAATTGAATAACTTAAGCAGAGTGAAAAACACTCACATTCATCATGGTGTGCCCCATTCTTCATCAGGGACCTACCGTGGGCATGTACCAAAACTCACACCTAGGGCCTTCCCCACCAGTGTCACGCCAACTGAAATTAATTTTCCTCTTCTTGAGTGAATTCTTCATTTCTTAATTTACAACAGAACAACACCAAACTGTGTAAAAGTGAGATTCTGTTTAAATTCGTATTAAATCATGTCCAGGAATTCATCTTTGAGACCAATTCAATTTTCAGAATGTATCTTGGCTTTTTGAGTATGACATATCATCTGTTCATTCATTGTACAAACAATTGCTGAGTACTCACTTAGGGACAAGTGCTACGTTAAGTGCTGGGATTGTGAAGACAAAAATGACAAAAAAAAATTCTTGCCCTTAGAGAGTGTACAGTGTAATTCAGAAAGACAAACATAAACTAATGATTCAAAACAGGCAGTAATGCCAAGCACAGGGGAACATGTCTGTAGTCCTAGCAACTGGGGAGGCTGAGGCAGGAGGATTGCTTGAGCCAGGGAGCTCAAGGCCAGTCTGGGCAACACAGCAAGACCCTGCCTCAGAAAAGCAAAACAAAACAGCAAGGGTGGTAAGTGCAGTAATGGTGAGATATATTTTATGGTATAGGACTAAATAGGAAGGCAGCATTTGACTCAAACTGGGCCTAGGGTACGCTTCCCAGAAGGGGAAAGAGTTAAATTTGAAAGAAAAATTAGTATTGAGAAAGGTGCATAGGAAAAGTAAGGGCATGTTTGAAGATGGAGAGAAAGAATGTAGCATAGTCAAAGAATCAACAAGTAGGTGTTATGTCAGAAGCAAGGAGTTTTTGTGAGAAAAAGTACAGGGGCACTGTGCAAGAAAAAGTTCAATAAGAGGTAACTTTAATCTTTAAGAGATTGAGGTCTTGTGGGAGGGAGATTTATAATCAGGTATTTTACAATACAAAATGGTATTTGCTGCCTGCTCTGTCTATGGAGTAGCCATTCTTTTATTCCTTTACTTTCTTAATTAACTTGCTTTCACTTTACTCTATGGACTCACCCTGAATTCTTTCTATCCTAAGGTATCCCTCTTTCTGAGTACCTAAGAACTTTCTGAGTACCTAAGAACTCTCTCTTGGGGTCTGGATTGGGACCCCTTTCCTGTAACATCTTTATGGTCACTACAGAAGGGACAATACTGAAAAAACCCCCCGACCCAAAGGCTAACTCTGGGTAAGTGGTGGGATCCAGTAACATTATTCTGCAAACCCCAAAGGGATGATACTGAAGAGGCTTCCAACCCAAAGGAAAATCATTTGCACACACAAATTGGCTGACTTTGGGTAGGTGGGGTGCATTTACCAGAGTAAATGACGGGATTGGGTTAGAAGCCCAACTAAGGAGAGTTAGAGTCTCTCCTAAGATAGAGTGGGTTAAAGGCCCCTCTTAATAAAAGGCAAGGACGCTTGACCGAACTTGGGTTTGAGACCCAACTTATGAAAGTTAGAGTCTTTCCTAAGATTTAGGGGGTTAGAGGCCCCTCCCAGTAAAGTCCCTCTCAGCTAAGAACGGGTTTGGCACTATAGGATGTTAACCACCATTTCTTTGGGTTAATCTGCCTTGCACTCTTTGCTGATGGCTGTGGGTGACAGAATTAGGCATGTACAGGATCATGGGACATGGGGACAAGTTTCCCCCTAAAGGGGAAACTTGAGAGCTGATGGAACTGCCATGAAAGATCCCTCTTCTACTGACAAGCTGCCGCCTGAACTTTTCAGTGTCGCTGCAATGGGTGGGTCTTTCTCTGGCCTCCCTGGGCTCTTCACCTTCCCCACTCTGCCCCAGGCAATGCTTTTCTCTCTCTCCTTTCCTTTTCCCGTCTTTACTATTACTCAGGGTGACCATCTTGCCCAGAGACCACGAGTTGAAATTCCTGGTCAGAGGTTGGATTAACAATGGCAGGGTCCAGCCGGGGGCACGTTTGAGCCTTGTCAGTTTGATACTAGGTGCTAAGCAGAGGGGCTAATGTCTGTGTTTTGTCACATGTATTTTACTCTGGCCTTCCTTCGTGTTGCGGCTTGGCCCCCAGAGCTGTGGTGCAGCCAGCCGGGTCAGTAGGGCCACTCAGAGAAAGGAAACCCTGAAGCCTGGCATGTCAGCAAAAGGGTAAGAATTTTGACTTCTCTCTTTCTCTCTCTCTCTCTCTGTGGTTGAATGAATGGTAAAAATTACTGTTTATCTCCTCTGTAAAGTTTTGATTAGTGGGAAAAAGAATTCGTGAGGCTAGTCTTAAACTGTAGTGAATCTGTTGTACTTTGTGCTATGAATTTGTCTTTCCATATCTTTCTGTCAGAAAGAGGGATACCTCAGGATAGAATGCGGGCCTAGGACCCCATAAGCCTGCTGTCTAAGACAGTCCAGCAAAACTGGTCAGTTATGTCCTTGGGAGCTTGATCTTGTAACCATGTGGCCCTGCTTTCTCTTTTCACATTGGTGGCCTGGGTTCAGGGTTCAATTCCTGGATCAGGAAATGAGTCCTTTGTCTTCTGTGTAGTTATATGTGTTGTGTGTGTAATATAAAAGAGCTTTTGTTAATTGGCTTAAAAATAATAGGAGCTTAAATGAAATATTTTGCTAGAAAAGTAAAAAGTGTAATGCCTTTTAGTTTGTGTGACTTAATTAATCTTTGGGAAATAAAAACAGTTTGACATGTAAGCTGTGTAAAGAAAGTAAAATGTGTTTTTGGTAAAAGACTATAAGAAGTCATGGAAATGTGGATTTTTTTGCCTAGATTAAAAGGTTAAAGGGTTGTTTTAAGTTAGATAGGATAAAGCTTTAAGCAAGTTGTGGAAGGTTTGTAAAAAATTAATTGTAAAAGAGATTGTGTGTGTGAACATATTGGCTAAAGCTAAAGGGGTATTAATCAGTTTTTCTATAAATTGAACATTGAAATAAAAGCACAACAGGTTTTTCTTAGAGCACTGATCTTCTCTTTCACAAATATTTTAAAGGGTTATAAAAATTTATGAGAATCTTACCTTATGGTTCAAACTGATTAAGATTAAATACATTGTCTATAAGGTTTTATTAAGAATTGGATTTAACATTAATAGTACACTAATACAACAGTGACATTTGGCTTATTTGGTATAAAAATAATACAGAAAGCATTGTCAAATATAAAACAATGTTGGCTTTCTTAGGGCTGTATTTATATAAATATGTTACTGGTATGTGTTCCAAAATAATGGAAAAATTCCTATAATTCTAATATGACTCAGCATATGTTATTAATGGCTATAATTGTTATGTAAAATTGTTGTATGCCACAGAAGTAAACAAAATTTCCTTGCCAATTGTGGCTTTAATAGTGGCTGCCCTAAGGCATTTTATCATCCACTGACAATTGTTGTCTTGTTTTAATCCTCTTCAAAAGGTAGCTTATAATCAGCTATAGGACTTTGACAGGTGTTCTTAAATGCAGGTTTCTAATAACTTTGGCAATTGTCACATTAGAATAGAGGAAAGCAACTTTCAGGACTCTCATGGAAAGCTGAAATGTTCACAAATATCAAGCAGGACAGGAGTTAACTGCATGGACTGAACTAATAGAAGACTGAAGTGATTTTTTTACTTTTTGCTTAAAACGGTGCTAATCCTTTGTTTTGTTTTTTTAGAACCAAGAAAACTTTTCTATTAAGCTATTTACAGCTTTTAACAATTGAGTAAAGTATACTCCTATGAACAGAATTTGGAGCATGTTTGTTTCTCTCTACCTGATTTTGCCAGAATTTGGAAACTAGTTGTGAGTATTCTTAACTTATGGCAATATAGTTATTTGCATAAGTGCAATAAGAATCTGTTTTCTTTTGTAACAGGACACAGTTGGAGAAATTGGTTATTTTACCAAGGCTTTGACTGGAATGGTGCGCTTTCCTTTAAGGAATTAAACTTGACTGGTAAAGCCAATAAAAGCCCTTTGGGAAAAATGGCCTCATACCTTGTCTACACAGTTTCTGTACAGGGTTCCTGACCTGGTGGTAAACAAAGAATGTCACTTTCTGACAGGCCCAGGAGCTCCAGGTTATCTTGGGACCTCAGGAGGAGAGGAATTTACCCAACTCACAGGTATTTGAGGGTACAAACCCATGGCCGGTCTCAGCTTTAAAAAAGTCTTATTTGAGATTCCTTACGGAACAGAGTTCCATTAAAGTCAATTTTAAAAGCCTATGTGAAAAATAATTATTCCTGCTGCACTTCATACAAATAATCAGGCCAAGTATAATAAAGCAAATCGGTCTTACCATGACTTGTCTTTAGTGAAAATGGGAAACTGGAGAGAGAAATTATGTTTCAAAAACTATGGTACACCTGATTAGATTCTAGTCTCATCAGTTGTTTTTTGAGTATTTTTCTGCAATTTAGACTGACTGCTTATTCCTGTGAACCAACCAGTGATCTTTGGCTGCTGCTCAGAAGAAACAAGAAGGATGGGTAATGTAAAAATCTGGATCAATATTCTAATTCTGGGCACATATTGGAATCAGCTAACAACTCCATATCTGCTTGGTTCCAACAGTTGCCCAGCTCATGAAAAATCTTCTAATTTAGTTTACTTGGGATAATTTACTTATTTTGCCTTACTGTTGTGGAATATATTGCTGTTGTACTCTTTGTGTAGAAATGCAGAATAAGCCTACTAGATGTTTTCTTAAACATTTATTAATCTTCTAGATATCACCTTTTGTTGGAACTCCAGAGTTATGAGTGGCCCTTGACATACTGACGCTTTCTGACTGAGCTCCTCTCTACCCAAATACAAGAGATCCTCATAGTTAGGCAGGAATATCATCACCCCTATTCAGCCTGAAGAAGTTACAGAATACAGATCTTCATCCCTCTACAACTCTTAAGATTAAGGATTCTCTTATAAAAGGGAGGGGGGAAATGTCAGAGGCATTTGAACCAGAGTAACTCCAACTTGAATAGGAGCTGGGTAAAATGAATCTGAAACCTACTGGGCTGCATTCCTAGATGGTTAAGCATTCTTACTCATAGGATGAGAGAGGAGGTCAGCACAAGATACAGGTCATAAAGACCTTGCTGATGAAACAGTTTGCAGTAAAGAAGCTGGCCAAAACTCACCAAAATCAAGATGGGGATAAAAGTGACCTCTGATCGTCCTCACTGCTACCCTCCCACTCCCACCAGCACCATGACTGTTTACAAATGCCATCACAATGTCAGGAAGTTACCCTATATGGTCTAAAAAGGGGAAGCATGGGCTGGGCCCCGTGGCTCATGCCTGTAATCCCAACACTTTGGGAGGCCGAGGTGGGCAGATCACGAGGTCAGGAGTTCGAGACCAGCCTGACCACCATGGTGAAACTCCATCTCTACTAAAAATACAAAAATTAGCTGGGAGTGGTGGTGTGCACCTGTAATCCCAGCTACTCAGGAGGCTGAGGCAGGAGAATTGCTTAAACTGGGGGAGACAGAGGTTGCAGTTAGCTGAGATCGCACCACTGCACTCCAGCCTGGGCCACAGAGCGAGACTCCATCTCAAAAAAAAAAAAAAAAAAAAAGAAGCATGAATAATCCACCCCTTGTTTAGCATATAACTAAGAAATAACCATAAAAATGGGCAACCAGCAGCTCTCAGTGCTGCTCTGTCTATGGAGCAGCCATTCTTTTATTCCTTTACTTTCTTAATAAACTTGCTTTGGCTTAAAACAACAACAACAACAAAAACCAGAATGGTATTCGCTGTGATAGCATAGGAGCAAAATGCTCTAATGATTTCATCAAACTCACCAGTATACACTTAAAGAAACTTCCACTATTCAGGGTGAAACACTTCATTGTGAAAAGGGCTGCTCAGACATTCAGAAAACTATTCAGCATTGCTCCTCAAGCTGTGAGGTAACCTTGATCATCTCATCTGCATTCCTTGCTCAAGATTAAAACTCAAACTCACAGATGTCTGCAGCAGAAAACAGATCAACCACCATGAATATTTTTGTAAAGAGGTCTGATGTAAAGATCTGCTTTCGATGACCTAAGAAATTTTATGGTAAATGACAAAAAGTGCCATGTTATTGGAGCCTAAGTTACAGTATATGAAAAATCATACAATTCTAGAATTAGAAGGAGCTTATCCAAATTTTACGTAAAATAACAATAATAAGCATGTATTATGCACTCACTTTGTACCTGGCACTGTTGTAACTCATTTAACCTTCACTACAATGTATGAACTCAAGTCTATTATTATTCCTATATTACAGCTAAGGAAATAGATAAATAATTTGTCTAAGGCAAATTCTCTTAACTAAAGTACCTCATATTCCAATCCCAGAAGACAGCTTGGGGAGCCCAGGTGCCTGAAACCATGTTCCTTGCTCTACCATAGGGTGATCAAGATGAGGAAACGGGGGCCCAAAGAGGCTAAGTGATTTGTCAAAGGTTAGACAATTGGTTGTTGCTTTACCCACTGATGCAAGCAAAGTGGGGAATGTAAAGCATAGTATCATATACTGAGATGTAGTAAAGAAAAAAAAAGCGCAACACCTAAAACCAACAAAGAGGCTTAATCGAACTGTAATGATAATTTTTTTTTTTTTTTTAAGAGACGGAGTCTTGCTCTTTTGCCCAGGCTGGAGTACAGTTCCTTCATCAAGGCTCACTGCCACCTCAAACTCCTGGGCACAAGCAATCCTCCCACCTCAGCTTCCTGAGTAGCTAGGACTACAGGCACTCGCCACCATGCCTGACTAATTTAAAAAAATTTTTTTGTAGAAACAGGGTCTCAGTATGTTGCCCAGGCTGGTCTCGAACTCCTGTCCTTAAGTGATACTCCTGCTTTAGCCTCCCAAAGTGCTGGGATTATAGGCATGAGCCATCAAGCCTAGCCAAGGAGTCTAATAAGAGTCTTAATGCTCTTTCCTGTTGAGGATCTTAGCACAATTTTGAGGTCTTCAGCTATGACTTACACACACTTCATTTTTCATAATTTTTCTTTCTTACAAATAACTTTGTAAATAATGTTATGATTCAGTAGTGCTAAAAAAGGAGGATGAGAGAGTTTAATTCTTTGATGCAGGTTTGGAGAGGAAGTGATAGAAAATCAGAGGCCAGCCTGTTAATCAGCTCTACCAGACCTGTGCACCTATCTTGGTTCCATAATTTCTTTGAGCAAGGTTCCTATTCTTCCTTGGGCTCTGTTTCCTCATCTACAAAATGAAGACAATAATTGACACCTTTCAGGGTTGTTACACTAGTTACATGTGATACTATCTGTCAATGTAAATCAAAGTTGCCAGCACACACATAGAGCAAGGCTCAGCCAAAGTTAGTTCCCTTCCTGCCCCTTTCTATTCCAGATCTATTGAAGAAAAATTTTTCTAAAATTTATTTTAAAAGCTACCACTGTGATGGTGGATATATGTCATTAAACATTTGTCAGAACCCATAGAATGCAGCCGGGTGTGGTGGCTCACACATGCAATTCCAGCATTTTGGGAGGCTGAGGTGGGCAGATCACTTGAGGTCAGGAGTTCGAGACCAGCCTGGCCAACATGGCGAAACCTCGTCACTACCAAAAATACAAAAATCAGCCAGGCATGGTGGCAGGCACCTGTAATCCCAACTACTCAGGAGGCTGAGGCAGGAGAATCGCTTGAACCCAAGAGGCGGAGGTTGCAGTGGGCCAAGATCACGCCACTACATTCCAGCCTGGGCGACAGAGACTCTGTCTCAAAACAAAACAAAAACAAAACATAGAATGTACAACACAAAGAGTGAACCCTATTGTAAAATATATGCTTTAGATAATAATAATTGCTCATCCATTGTAACAAATGCACGACACTAATGCAAAACATTAATAATAGTGGAAAGTAGGGGTTGGGAAGTGAGAAGGTATATAGGAACTCTGAACTTTCTGCTCAATTTTTCTATAAACCTAAAACATCACAAAAATTAAAGTCTACTAATTTATAAAAAGTTGTGAGTTGAGCCATCTTTTGACATGCCTCATGGTTCAGGCTGAATTGACTCTCCTGTGACACCCACACACAGCTAAAGAGTTTTCTCTAGAGTAGTGGAGGGCCATCAGTAACAAAAAGGAACAAGGCAAATCACAGAGAGTTTTTGTTCATCATGCTTCCGGGCTTTTGAGGACTGTCTCTTCTGGGGATCTCCTGACCCACAGCTACTCAAGGGCCACCCTGGTGGCTCACAGGCCATGTCCCCACAGTGAGACACCACATGTGGCTGCACACCCATGCCAGTGTGCCAGTGTCCATTCTGCTGCACATGCTGGAGTCTCTGATGCAGTGTTGCTCACTGAGCTTAATGGCA
Source organism: Homo sapiens (assembly GCF_000001405.40). Classification (NCBI taxonomy): domain Eukaryota; kingdom Metazoa; phylum Chordata; class Mammalia; order Primates; family Hominidae; genus Homo; species Homo sapiens. The sequence goes on from NC_000009.12 coordinate 14,899,342, forward strand.
TTAAGAAAAGCCAAACTTGATCTGCTCACTTTGGCAGAATTTGGGGGTGGCCTGTGGAGAATGCAGGTGGGAGGGTGTTCTCAGGCAGTGGGATTAAACGTGCTTCAAGTACTGGTTCAAAAACAAAATCTCCATAAACATCACAGGCTGCAAATAAAGTATCTGAATGTCTGATTAGATGTCTCATTTGTTGAAAAAATATGTGCAGGAGGATACAGCAATGTAGAAAATTACATCGTATAAGAACTGCAAACACCAGTAAGTCAGAGAAACATTTTAAAAGTGAAACCAGTATGGAACACACAAGCAGTCTTGGCTAAAATACCTTCTTAGAGTCTCCAAGACACAAATAGGCTATATTCAAAATATTGGTTTGCAAGAAATTTGTCTAGAGGTAGAAACGTATTTACTGTAGGCGCAATATCCAGATAGGCTGACAAATACAGTTCAAACTGTGATGTCCCTGAGCACGGCAAAAACTCATCATGGTGGAAGGTATTTCTGTGGAAAAACATACTAACTTATCTGTCCTTTACTGTGTTGGCCAAAGGTGATGAGACTCCTTTACTTGGTTTTGCTCAGTTCAGCACACCAAATTCCAGGGCACCATTTATGCTGTTTATACAGACCATAACGTGAACGGTGTTCCTGGAGTTGTGCAATGTGGGGGCTGAGTCCCATGGCCTGGGAAAAAGCACTGGCTGCAAATAAACTTCACACTCATGGCTTCAGACCTACTCCTCTGTCCTAGAAAGAAGCAAACCATTCTTATGAGGGATTACTGGGTCTGCGCTATTAATGAGAACGGGAAACACACCAAGATGAGTTGCCTCCTTCATCTAGAGGACCCCCTCTTCAGCTTCATATTACCATCACCCAGTCACCACTCCCAGAGTTTCTGATTTAATTTGTCTGAGTGGGGCCCAGGCATCTGAATTTAAAAGTACTCCAGGTGATTCTAATGAGCAACCAGGATGGAGAACCACTGCTGCAAATATTAACTGCATTAATAACTGCATTTTATCTTATTCTCCTCTAAGTATGACAAGAGGTAAAAGGAGCTTTGGTGTCCAAAGACTGAAGTTAGGATCTTTGGCATGTCTAAAACAACCCTCAGACTCAGTAAGTCTCTTAGTCAGGGTGGAACGCAGCGGTAGGACTAGGGCTGGGGATGCCGCCTCCAAGAACAGCACTAGGAAGAGCCCAAAAGCAAGACCCAGTGTGGTGGTGGTTGGTTGGGGGAGGGCTGGGAAGAGGAGAGGAAGATAGGATGGTCCTAGATAGACAGAGTCTGACACAAGGTAAAGAAAGACAGGACGCTCCAAGGGAGGCATCATGAGCAAACGTTTCATTGGCAGCCTAGCTGGGATGGCCATCCCTGGAAAGCCAGTCCCATGTGTGAGATGTAAGTACACAAGTCAGTGGCACAGAGACATTTCCTGATCTGTGGCTTTGTAAGTTGCTTTGGCGCCAGTCCCCTTATAGTGCATGGAAATCACAGGCTATGGGATTCTTTGGTAGGAGGACTCTGGGGTCCTTGCACATCCCTTCCCCAACTTTAGTTTTTTCCTATGTTGAGAAAAATCTTTGCTAAATTAGCAAAATTGTCAGAAAGGAAGCAAAGCCTAAAATGAAAGAAATTAACATAAAGTTTAGCTACTAAAATTTTGTGCTACCACTAATTTCTGTTGCATTTTAACTTTGTTCCTTGCTGCGACTCTTTAAAGACAAAGATAAGTCTATATATTATAACAATAAATTTTATTATTCATAAGGCTAAAGTTTTTCATGCTTGTTTTAAGACAAGGTAGAAGTGGATATTTAGGTTTAGGCAGTATGTAATAGATCTCTCTAAAACCATAAAATGCAAAATCATTATTGAGCACATTAGAAGGAGATTTGGGGCTATCTGCTTAATCATCTGCTGTAAAGAAGAAAAATTTAAACCTTCTGATCTGTAAATTAAAAGTCTCTCAAATCATTCTATAAGTGTAATTCCCCTCTGTGTTCCTAATGTGTCAATTACTTCTGTTAATTTTTCAGTGAAACAATGGCCCTTATCCCATACTCCTTATAACATTCTTTGACATGTTCATGGACCTCAATCTTGTTCGTTTCAGCCCATATTACTGCCTCCAGCTTTCTCCATGGGATAAACAGTCTGGCTTTTTCTACTCAATAACAAAAAATAAAAATCAATTTTTTGAGGGGAAAAAGGAAGTGACTCCTTTTTAAAAAATAAAATGGATTTTTTATATAAAGGGACAGTATGATAGTAATGCATGACACAGGTCACCTTTAGTTCACATGTCTTATTGTAGGAAGACCTCATTTAATCATCTGAACTAAAGATAAACACTTTAACGACTCACTTTTTGAACACTTTAGTGTCTGCAGAAAGAAGCTCAATCTACAATATAATTAAATTTGTTAAAAATTTCTCAGCCTTGAATTCATCATCTTACAGTGGGGATTCATAATATTGACTTTATGGGGTTGTGAAGATAGTTTTTATGTATTTTTTTTAAGAGATGGGGTCTCACGCTGTAGCCCAGGCTGAAATGTAGTGGCTTGATCACGGATCACTGCAGCCTTGACCACTGGGTCTCAAGTGATCCTCCCACCTGTCTCCTGAGTAGCTGGGACTACAGGCATCTGTCGCCATGCCTGGTTTTTTTTTTTTTTTAAGAGATCAGATCTCACTATGTTTCTCAGGCTGGTCTCAAACTCCTGGGCTCAAACTATCTGCCTGCCTTGGCCTCCCGAAGTGCTAGGATTACAGGCATGAGCCACCACACTTGGCTGTTGTTAATTAATATGGAATTTCAACTTCCATCACTCCTGGACAAGTCTTAGCTCTTAAAGTCTTAATGCCAGATCTCTCTGGCCACAGAGCTAACAATTCAGACTTGATGCCTCTGAGCACTGCTGTGAATATTCAAGCCTGCTGTGAAACACTATATGATCTCTGACCGTGTCTCCATTATCTCACATGGTTGATATCATTTGCCATTCTTAACATAGAAAAAAACTAAAGTGGGGGAAGGGATATGCAAGGACCCCAGAGTTTTCCCATCAGTGAATCCCATAGCCTGTGATTTCCATGCGCTATCAAGGGACTGGCACAAAAGCAACTTACAAAGCCACAGATCAGGAAATGTCTCTACTGGGGGTAAATGAAGACCAATATTTTCCAGTAAAGCAATTCAGCAACAATCCATGAGTGATGGTGAGGCCACATAGTATCTTGAATGCTAAATGGTACACCCAGTGCACTGCCACCTCCTAGCTTGAACAGTCAAATCAGCACCACAGAGGCTCTACGGACAAATGAGAAAGACAAAATTGGTTCCATCTGAGGTTTTTGAAAGATTCTGTAAAAGTGCAAAGCTAGTCCTTTAGTCCTGTCTGAGGAATTTTGTCACCCCATCCTGCTGCCAAACTCTAAGTCCAGAGTATATTACAAACTGATTTTTAAATGGGGGTTTATGTGGCTACATATTTTATTTTACTTCCTTTTGCTGTAGTAATGTCTTAAGAATTTGGAAGACCAGCTTACTGACACCAGGAGGAAGTCTTAACAGAATTACATGGTAAACAGGATTATGAATAGGATATAAATTGCAGTGTTAAACTCTTTGGGTACTATTTAATGTAATCAAATGGCCATTTAACTCCTATTCTTCTCTCACTGATAAATCACCCTCGAGTGACATTTTAATCACCAATCAGCACCTCCAGCAGCAGCTTTTTTTGATTGTTCCAAAATTTCTAAGAGCTTGAGACATAGACTATTTTTCAAAATTTAAGTAAAGTCATTTTTATAAAATGCTGTGTGGTCTCATTTAGATCTAATGTGTGAAAGTAGGTAGCAGAGGCCACAGTCATTCATGAGACCAAAGTTACTGAGCCATGACATGTGGTCAGCAGGAACCTGATATTCTTAAGATGAAGAAAATATTAAAAGGAAAGAAAATTATGAAGAATGACTGATGAGGAAAGCAAAAGGCATGTGTCTATAATTTGAAATGGATGGTTGATGGCTTGACTGCTGGGAAAGAGTGGGTCATTATATCACAGTACATTAAATGACAATGGATTCATGTTAAAAGGGGCTATTTTATATTGCCTGGAATGTCTTTGCTTCCATCCTTATTGAGATCCTTCCCATTTATTAACCCCTCAAGAAATGCCTCATTCAGGATTCCGTAAGACCTCATCATTTCATCTGGAAAGACTTCCTTCCTCCGATTGCAGGAGAATCATATTTTATTTAAACCCATCACAGGGCAGTTATCACATCCTACCTGGTAGTGTATATGCCTATGTGTTTTGAAGGCAGAAGGACAACACTGTCCGCTGCATGTAATATGAGTTCAACTTTTGTATAAATAAATGAAATTAGCAATTATTGTGCCTTAAGCAGTCTCATAAAAAACAAGAACACCAACACACATTGATATCTTTGAGCTCTTTCTATTAAAACTTAGACATTTCTGGCCGGGTGCGGTGGCTCAAGCCTGTAATCCCAGCACTTTGGAAGGCCGAGGCGGGCGGATCACGAGGTCAGGAGATCAAGACCATCCTGGCTAACACAGTGAAACCGCGTCTCTACTAAAAATACAAAAAAATTAGCTGGGCGTGGTGGCAGGCGCCTGTAGTCCCAGCTGCTTGGGAGGCTGAGGCAGGAGAATGGCGTGAACCTGGGAGGCGGAGCTTGCAGTGAGCCAAGATCGCGCCTCCAGCCTGGGTGACAGAGCAAGACTCCGTCTCAAAAAAAAAAAAAAAAAAAAAAACACTTAGACATTTCTGTGATTCTGGGTTATAGAGACTAGTGACTAGTTTCCTCCTTAAAAGGGAACAAAAAAGAGAGGTTAGGGACATCATTTTCTCATTAGAAATATTTAGAGTTGTGCCTTATAGCTCGTTTTTGGTTCTCTCTGGTTAAACATTTTTCTAAATCTTTAAACAAAGATATAGAAGACAAGCTTTATCCAATTCACAGAAAGCACAAATCCAAGAGGGTTAACTGTTATCACTGAGGACACAATCAAGATCCACAGCTTTGATAATCAGAGCCTGGAATGATGCACTGAGCCAGTAAGTTAGCTTCCAATAAGCAAAATTGTGTAACTCTACATTTCCCAAAAACAAGTGCATATGTATGGAAAAGAGCAGATCTGCTTTCGCAGCACTTTATTTTTTAAAATAGTCTGTCTTCAGATGTTTGAAGGGGAGTGACTTGATGGTTCCAGGGTGCAGAACCAGGGAGAATGTGTGAAAGTCTCAACTTTCAGAAAGGACTTTCCCTCAGTGCTGTCCAATAATGGCAAGAGCTGAGGTACAGACACAGAACAGGGTTGTTTGTTTCAGAGAGGGAGTGTGGATTAGGTACTTTCCGGGATCACTTTTAACTGTGTCCGACTGTCCCCTGCACACCTCTCCAACCTCTTCTTGCATGACTCTCCTCCTTGCCACTGACATGCTGGTCAAACTGGACTTCTTCCCATCCTTAAACTCACCATATTGCCAACCCCAGCTTCCAAGCCTTTGCAGGTTTTGTCCATTCTGTTCCATCTGCCATGAATGCCCTTCCCCACTGCCATCAACCACCTCATTTACCTGGCTAAATTCTACTCATCCTTCAGGCCTCAATCTCCCAAACCAGTTTTATCTGCTCACATGGAATCCTGAAATACACTTTGCCACATGTTGCATATCTATAAGCATTTTGTCATTATTCGCAGCCATTAAAAAAAAAAGTCTGCTGTTTCTCCTGGTCTATAAACACCTTGAAGATAATAACCATGACTGTTCTGTTCACCCAAGTTCTTTTAGTGCTGATCATTGAATCTTTCACAGAGAAGCTCAATAAATATCAGTTGAGTGACTAAATGCAAATACCAGACCTATTTTTTAAAATGGTGAGAGAGAGAGAGAGTGCACACTCCTCCACATGTTTGAATGAATATGTCCTTCCTTTGGTGATGGTTCGCAGGCTCACTACAGTGCAAGCCCAGAGTTTCAAATTCTCAAATAAACATTACCCCTGAGGGGCCCCTTGCTACAATGGAGCAAAATCTTGAGAAAAACAAAATGATGCATCTCCTTATGCATTTATCTAAAACACCTATATGAGGAGAATCAGTAAAAAATGAAGACAGAATGATTTTCACATTGCCCTTGATTTCTCAATACCAAACAATTTCATAGTCTTGAGCTCACGGATCTGTGTCAGGCTTTTGGTCTATAAGAATCAAGTGAGGGTCGGGGGCAGTGGCTCACGCCTATAACCCTAGCACTTTGGGAGGCCGAGGCTGGCGGATCACCTGAGGTCAGGAGTTCAAGAGCAGCCTGGCCAACATGGCAAAACCCTGTCTCTACTAAAAATACAAAAAAATTAGCCGGTCATGGCAGTGCACGCCTGTAGTCCCAGCTACTCGGGAGGCTGAGGCAGGAGAATGGCTTGAACCAGGGAGGCAGAGGTTGCAGTGAGCCAAGATCACGCCACTGCACTGCAGCATGGGCAATAGAGCAAGACTCTGTCTCAAATTTAAAAAAAGAAAAAAAAAAAGAATAAAGTGAGAACCAGGCTGCTGATCAGAGTTAAAGGCCACGGGAGTGGTGGGTTGAGATCTGTTCTCCCCAGACATTGGGATCTGGAATGTAACTTTATTTCCTGTTTCTCTTTTCTTTTCATCTATAAATTAAGTCGCTTGCCATGTTTGTTTTCTTTTCAGACATTATACTTGTATTAGCCGTCTCCCAAAGAAGAAATATTTATTAAACACTTGTACATCATGCTTCATAAACGAACATCTAGTGAGGTAAGTATCAATGACCTCATTTTACCCCTGAGGAAACTGGCTGAGTAACTTGGCCAACATTACAGAGCCAAAGAACATTGTAGCCTATGATTAGAACCCAGGTGAAATTTTTTCAAAGGCCATTATTTTTTCCTACTGCACCTCTCTGATTTAACATTCCGGCCCTTGCGTCAATACTGCCTTCTGGTTTTAAAACAATCACTAATGCTTATTGGGTAATATAGAACCATCCTACCATGTGATAATAAAAAGGGACATTTATGTAAAACAGAATTAAAGTATTGCTGTTGTGTTGTTGCTCTGTTGTCTTTCTAAGGTGTAGGATCACTTTAACAAAAAAGAAAAAATCTGTACTATGAAAGAGATTTGATAGGAAACGCCTAACAAATTTTAAATATTTGGGTGAATTTTCATCTGCGGTATCTATCCTTTCTGCAATCTTCCTAACTTTACTGTGGTTTGAGTTTGTAATTTACCAAATAAATCATTTTTATGCTAACAAGAAACGTAGGCCTTAGAATGAAGGTAGCATGGCAGTGGGTGTGGGCTAATGAGGCAAAGTTGTGGCTCACATATTTTAAGAGAAGAGTGCACAGAGCATCTGTAAGTACTAAGCAGCTGATAATGTTTGATAGAAAGCAGGGAAGAGTTCCAGGAAAGCAGAACACCCAGTAAAGGACTTGAGGCTCAGTCGCTCCCTGGGCATTTATCTGTCCTTTGTTGCTGGGGAGCCAGATAAGAAAGTTTCAAGGATAAACCTGAGAGTGAAAAGTGACATGCAATCTTAGCAGCCTTTGGATGATGCACAAAAAGAGCATTTTGGGCATCATTTTTTAATACACATTTTCCCCAAATATCATCACCTCCATAAATAGGCAGGTTTAAGGGAGAAACCAAAAACTATTTTTGGCTTCTGTAAAAACTTACCCATGAGAGGCAAAGAACATTTGTTTAAAAATATTCTAACTTAGCAAGATCCCTGTCCTCCAGTCAATAGTTTTCCACTCAAACATATTATCTTCAGACAGCTAGAGGCTATGTTGTCAAAAAGCACATAAATCACACCTATAATTTCTTATCTTGATGGCCAAGTTTTAGAGCCCTTTGAAATGGTGCCCCAGTCACTGCAGTGAGAGAAGCTGCATTACAGACAAAATATAGTATAGACAGTATTTCATTAGGGAGTGGGTTTTGCTTTGTTTTTTGTTTCGCTCGGCCCCTCAAAGATGTCTGTTTAAGCCTCTCACCTGGTAGCACAAAAGCTGTTGAATCACTTGAATGAAAGGGTCAGGTTGCAAGCTGTGCATGTGTGGAAGCTGTCAAGCCCTGTTCAGACCACCCAGCTCTCCAAAGGAGTAGCGACATCAGATTCAGACAAGATAAGAGGCTGCCCTCCTATGTAACCTGGCGCAGGGAAACAGCCTTTCCAGGGAGTTACGGGATCCCATTGTAAGGAATGGCTACATGCCCTGAAAAGATTACACTTGTCTAACTCAATATTCCTGTGGTCATGGTGCTTTGTGAGAGAAAAAAATACATCTGAAAATTTTTGAAGAAAAGCAATTAGCGAAATCTTTAGGCCTATTCTCAGAGTAAATGCTGAAAAGCTCTCATAGCCCATATCTGTGTTTAGAAGACTGAGTCATATCCATCAATGTCAGAATATCAGAGCTAGGAAGATACCAAAACTCATTTAATTCAACTTATTTTACTGATGAGGAAGTGAAGCTTTGAGGGGTTAGATGGCTCTTCCAAGGCTGGTTAGCAACAACTAAGATTTGAAACACCATGAGGACAAGGACCCTGCCTGTGCATGCCATCCCCAGTGGGCATTCTGAAATCCTTAAAAACTATCACAGAGCCTGGCATGTAGCAGGTGCACCTAAATGTTTGGAATGAGGAAAGAAAAGAAAGCAAGGGGCTCTGATGGCCATGTCCAGTTTTCTTTTTAATATAAATATTAAACGCCAGAAAATGCAAGGATGGGGATGGAAGCTGAGCTCTGACTTTCACATATTGTGAAATGAGAATTTTAACACCATGGAAGAATCATTTTCTGTTTCTTCTCATCCCTGTGGGATGGTCCAATCCAAAAATCATTTTCTAGGAATGAGGCTCCTGAACCATTCCATGAAATCAAGCTCAGTTTACCCAAACTCAGCCTCGCCCAACCCCTACAGCCCAGCAGCCCCAGGAGGCTGGGAAAGAATTAAGAACAGTCCTGGGTTTAAAGTTTCCAAAACAAACATTGCTTAGCCATGCGGGGGCAGATCAGGCCATATAGCCCAACATGTGAAAGCAGGGAACATGGTAGTCAGGTCCCTTTGCCCAACTCCTTTTTTCCCTCGTGGGAATGAAAAGGCAGAGATGAAAAGGGAAGCAAGAAAAAAAAAAGATGAGGTTGGTGGAAAACTGATTAAAAAGCCCTGGTTTGCCAGCCAAGCATGCAAAACCATGTTGCACATTAAGTTATGCTCAACAACAGCTCAAACTCAGGTTTCTTATTTAGATATAAGGTTTAATATTAACCAAGTACATGACAAGAATTTCATGTCAAGGACAATGTAGAGCAATGTTTACCCAAGTGTGACCCACCTGCTTCAGAATCACCTGGGAAGATTCCTGGCACCACTCCAGGTCTAAAATCCTTTGGGCCTGGGAACTGAGAACCTGCCTTTCACCAAGCAAATGGGGGTTCTTACACACAGTCAGTTTTGAGAATGCCTGATGGAGAGAAACAGCAAAGTTTCCTAGAGCTGCACTGAAGGCACCTTTATCAAATGTAAGCAGGGGGCTGAGGCACAGCTCTTCAAGCTTTACCTAGAGTCAGGAACAGCGGGTGTCAGTTTTCCAGAGCAGAAACCTGAAGAGCATTCGAATCACTAGCTCTGTTCTGTGAAGCAGCACCACAGAGGTTAATCTCTCCAGTAAGATTCCCAGGCTATAAACACCAATTGGCTCCCAGAAATGCTCTTTTTAAGCTTTGTAATGCACACCAAGCAACAAGACTGGGTGCAATAGTTTAAAAAAAAATCAGAAACTAAAATTAAATACCTTAAAAACAATAAACAATTTCCATAAGCCAAAAATTGTTTCCTGGATTTCAAAATAAAATGAAAAGAAACTCTTTACAACAGCACCAAAGTCTCTGGACCAAATCTCAGTACTGAGCAGAGAGAGCCTAAAAATCAGTCCAAAAACTTCAGAACAAGGCCATTTCTTTGCCTCCCCAGCACTATCTCTCTTCCCCACAATGAAACAGAAATCATGTTTTTGAAAATATGTCTCCAAATATAACTAAACTTAAGCAAAGGTATCCAGACATTATCTCATCCAAATTTCTCTATGTTTGTACCATGAGGATATTATCTGTTCTGTTCATTTTTGTGTCTTTTCCCTTTGCCATTTCATTTAGCTGAGAAGAAACATTCTAATTTCAGAGGAAACAATTACACAGTTAAAAAATGGTTATTTCATTGGCAAGTGCCAGCACGGATGGACTGAGAAGAGTTAGAAATTTGTGTCACGTAATAAAAAGAATCTCAGTTTTGGCATTTGGTTTGTTAACACTGCAAGTTGCCATCTTCTGAGTTAACAGGAGAGTTAAACTTTTGCAAGCCTACTCTTGCAGATGCTTTGCATTGTTACTTGGCATTAATGATATCACACAAACAATCTCTGGGGCATTCTGCTAACAGAACATTCACAGTCACAATGAAAAGAAACACATAAAACAGATACTTACAGGTAGTGGTTTTCCTTTCCAAGACAAAAAGTTAGAAACCCTTGGAACTGGCGGGCAGGATAAGAGTCACTGACACAGCAATCTGGTTTAAAGGGCTTTGAGAGGAAGGGGGAGGAAAAAGAACCCCGGGAAGGAAGAGAGCTGAAATTCCAGTCTTTCAGGTCAGCTGTGTTTGAGATTTCTTTTTACTAAAAATCCATTAACCCACCTCACAGAAAATACAGAATTGAAGTTCACATACACACTCCACTTTCTTTGCTGGTCTTCTCCAAGGCAGCTGCTGCAGCTTTGCAAACTTCCTGAGCGCCAAGCCTCAGGACTCCCTGTGAGAAGGGCATGATAAAGATGCCTTCTACTGTTTACACAGAGCCCGACCTCCCTGGCGGACAGCCACCGCTAGCCCCGTGCCTTCTGCTGGTTGGGTCCGCAGGGACAAAACTGAGCTTTTGTTAATGAGGTCGGTTGCCTCTTCCCAGTCTCTTCCCAGCTTCCTTTCTCACTACTAGTTTTGTACTAACTGCTCCGCCACTCGCCGAGCCAGAGCAGCCTCTCCCGCCTGCAGCACACAGGCACACACACACTCAGACACAGGCACACACACATTCACAAATGGGCACACAGTCACATACAGACACACCCACTCACAGAGGTACACACACAGGCACACATACAAACACGATAGACACACAATCACCACACACAGACACATACACAGGCAAATGCCTTCACATGCATGCACACATAGTGACCCACCCCACACATGTGCATGCATTCTCACGCATGCTCCACACACACACGGGGGCACACACATACGCACAGGCCGCACATGCCCACACCCACACATGTACATACTCACACAGACTCTTCCAACACACTTTTTTTCTGCCCTTCTTTTCTTCCAACACATTCCCATCTTCAAAGGTTTTTATTTAAATTTAGATGAGAAGCCCAGCATTCAGAAGGGACAGGGCCCGTTTTAACTTTTGTCATGGCATTTAAGGGAAAAGATAGGATGGAACTAGATCCTAAGGTGCTGTTTTTAAGTACCACCTTAGTTCTTCCATTTGTAAGGCTTTTTGTGTGTCTGGCTCTTTTCGAAAACCCATAAAAATCCCATTAATCTGATCCATTTGCATATAGTGCGTGATCCCAATAATGCAGATATATCACTGGCCAAGAACTGTCCTCTCAACAGAGATTCACATAGTTAACTTGTCAGTATTCAGTGGTCTGTGAAAGTCTTAATCCTTAACAACTGTTTAATAAAATGCTTTCCTGTATTTTATTCCCACCAGGAAAAAAAAAGATAATGGCCTACCATCTGGCCTTCTAAATTAACCATAAAGAGAGAATTTGAAGTATTAACTCACTTTGGGGGAACTGTTTATATTAAGACATGTCTGGCTATCCTAAACCTTTGCCAAAAATATAGAACACTGTGAATCCAATTCAACCTAGATGTGGTTTCCCGTAACAAGGTCACAACACCATATGCCTTTCTTTGGAAGCCATAAGGAAAAGAGAGAGGAAAATGAAAAAGGAGAAGAAAATTACATGAGGAAGGAAGAAAGAAAAGAGAAAAATGTAAAGAAGAAAAGAATGCATAAGAAGGGAGAAAAAAATTATGTATTTTAAAAACATGCTTTGTGGTTACTTTAGCAATGAATGGTGCATATACACTTACTCAAAGTCATCGGAGATTTCAAATCTTCAAGAATTTCTTGATTCATTTTATTTGCTCTGAGAATAAGTAGGTGAAAGTTAAGAATCACTAAGCTCTTTATAAGTGAACAGATATTATTTACTAAACACAGTTATTATTAAATAAATATAGTGACAATGTGTGAGTCATATATTAATCCTGAAAAGGCAAGAAATAAAGCCTTAATAATGACAGTTAAGAAACACAGCATAATAGACAATTTTATTCCCCAACTGATTTTCAAAATTGCCCAGGTTGTGAATATCTTACCTGCAAAGAAATGAAGATGGTTTTAGAAGCTGTTAGTTGAGACTCGGATTCCATTTGACAAAGGAATTGTATACTATGTACAAACGGTTGCATCAACATGCTTATTCTAACATCTAAATAAGGTTTATAGATTAGTCTAGAAACTAATAAGGTTTATAGATTAGTTTATAGATAGATTATAAAGTTTATAGATAGATTAAGAGCTAAATAAGGTTTACAGATTAGTCTAGAAACAGAGATAAATGTCTTTATATCACTTCTATGGGAAAAATAACTTAAGCATGCTAAGCAAAAAATAACAAACTTAGATTGTAAAGTATTTCAAAAAGTCCGCAGGAGATATAATCTTTCCAAAGTTAATTATATACATGAAGCTTGGCCTAACTGTGCTGAACATATTCTGAAATAGGCAGTTAAGAGTTAGATCAGTCAAAATGTCCTGAAATCTGAAGTACCTGTTTATACAAATGTCATTCCTTCTATCTGCCACAAATGAATAAGGGCCTGGAAATAATACAATTATCAACTTCAATCAATAAAATACTGTTTGAACAGATTGAAATGCCAAGCTAGGGAATTTAAAAAGAACTAGTCAAAGAAACAACAAAGAATTCTTCCCCTAAAAGCATGTGCTGCTGAACTTAGTGCTGGCACAAAATTCATTTTTAAAGAAATCATTTTACTTCTAGCCCTAGTTGGAGTGATAATGAAAAATATCAAATGTGTGTTGGAGATTGGCATATCATTTTGGATTGTAAATATGAATGATTTTTGTTGAATTGCTGTAGAATGTAGCATTCTCTGAAAGGCATAGCCAATGCCTTCACCAACAATTCATATAAAAAATTAGGAATGTGCCTATTAAATTTTGACGATGGCAGCAGACAGAAGTGTTATCTATTGCAACGTAAAGATAGTTTTCCACTGAGTCTCTAACACTAGATGGCCATGGGAAGCAATACTATGGCAAGAGAAGAGGATGAGTCCAGGAATAGAAAGGTTATACATACCACAATTGAAATAATAAACATGAAAACAAATAAATAAAGAAAAGCAATACAAACACCTCTGTGTACCAGAAAAGAGCAATAACACAGCCGATGAGAGGGTTTATAGGAAGAGCCTTGCTGACCTCAGACTTGGGAGCTGACAACGTGATTAGGGGTTATCAGGAAATAAAACCACCCCTGAGCAGGGCACAAGAGCAGCGTGCTCTGCTTGCCATGAGAGCGCTACCGGCCAATTTGACTGTCAACATGAATGCAAAATCCTAAATAACTAATTTACAAATCAAATTCAGCTCTGCTTTTTAAAAGACAACATGACCAATAGCGATGAATTTTTCTTTCAGGATTGCAAGGATGTTTCAAAATCAGAACATCTAGCAGTTTAATATATTAAAGAAGGAAAAAAGGCATGACTATCTTAATAAGTGCAGAAAAAAGACATTCAGTAAAATTTAATACTCATTCATTAAAAAACCAAAAACTGAAAACTATTAGCCAACTAGGTCTGGAAGGGAAGTTCCTAAATCCAATTAAAGACATCTTACTCCAATCTCCACAATTCAACATTGGATAGGAGATCCTAACCAACACAGTAAGTCAAGATAAAAAAATGAGGCATAAAAATTTAAAAGGAAAAATAAACCTTTCATTATTTGCAAAAGATAAGAGTCTCTGTACAAATATGCAAAAGAATTTACTGTTTGAACTATTCAAAGAGTTCAGCAAGTTTGTTGGACATAAGGTCAACATACAAAAATAGATGGCGTTCATATATACAAGTAACAACTAATTACTGAAAATACTTTTTAAAAGACAGCTTTTATAATAGCAGCAAAACTTTAATGAGCCTGGTAATTCATCTAAATTAATTAAATTTGGGTAAAATTTCATGAAGAAAATAAAAAATTAATAAAGGGCATAAAAAATCTAGATAAATGGGAAGATAATATCAAACTGGTTGAGAAGACTTAATAATGTAAAAATGTCAATTCTCCCAAAATTAAAATTTCAATGCAGTGTCAATTGGAATGCCAACAAGGCATTTTATATAAATATGTGTACACATATACACATTATGTACATATATGTTATATATGTATATTATATATACTATGAAATATATAAATTATATGTATTTATATATTTGTATATATTTTGTGTGTGTGTGTGTATGTGTGTGTGTGTATATATATATATATATATATATATATATATATATATAAAATGACAAGCTGATACTAAAATTTATCTAAAAGAATAAAAACCAGGAATGGCCAAGACAAATTGAAGAAGATACATTTAATGATTAATTTCCCTGCTAAATATTGATATTTTATATTATAAAGTTTTAACAATTAAGAAATTGTGGAATTTTCACAGTGATAGAAGGCAAAGAAAGAGTCTAGAAAAGCTTGGAAGCAGGTCACTCACATATAGCAACCTGGTGTATGACCAAGGTCAGAATAGAAGTCAGTGAAGAAATAATAGACAATCAATAATACGTTGACAGGACAATAGGTTATCCATATGGAAAACATAGCATCAGAACTCTACTTCATATCATATATCAAAAAACATTAGATCTTTACCTCATACTATACACCAAAACAAATTGCAGTTGATTTGAGTATCTTAATTTGATAACAAAGCCTTTAACTTTTGGAACCAAAAAAATCAAGGAATATCTTCTTAATATCAAGGGAAAATTTCTTAAGTGTGATACAATAAGTAAAGGCTATAAAAGAAAAACTTGATATATTTTATATAATAATTAAAATTTCCCATGGAGCAAAAACTTAAAAGTTTTTTTTTAAAAAAAAAAACAGAAATTGGGAGAAGGTACTGAAAATGAAAATAAATTACAAAATCTTTATGCTCAAAATTTAAAGAAGCTTCTGAAGCCTATACAAATCATTAAGAAAAAAATCTTAATATTCTCCTTTTATTAAAGGAGAAGACACACAAATGGCTAATAAATACATGAAAGCATCCAATTACACAAACAATCAGGCCAGTACAAATGGAGACTAAAAATGAGACTCTCTCAGATAAATAAAACGTTTAAAATCTTACAATAAATTAAATCTGGTAAATTAAATAAATTAAATCTGGTAAAAGATAAGCGGGGGGAAAACTCTTAGTTGCTACTGGAAGTTTTAAATAGACACAAACACTTAGAAAGTAGTCTGACCATTTCTAGTAAAAGTAAATATTCCAAAAACCTTAAATTAGGCATTTTAACTTCTAGAGTTACACTTAGATTCTCATATGTGTACAAAAAGTCTTATACCTGACATTCTTTGCCATTGTAATTGAAAAATATTGAAACAACCATCATCTAAACCAAAAAGATGTTGAGTAAAGAAAGCAAATTGCAGCCAGGTGCAGTGGCTCACACCTGTAATCCTAGCACTTTGGGAGGCCCAGGCGGGTGGATCACTTGAGGTCAGGAGTTTGAAACCAGACTGGCTAACATGGTGAAACCCCATCTCTACTAAAAATAGCAAAAAAATTAGCTGGGCATGGTGGTAGGTGCCTGTAATCCCAGCTACTTGGGAAGCTGAAGCAGGAGAATCACTTGAACCTAGATGTGGTGGTTGCAGTGAGCCAAGATCACACCACTGCACTCCAGCCTGGGTGACAGAGCAAGACTCTGTCTCAAAAAAAAAAAAAGAAAAAAGGAAATTGCAAAAGTACAGGAACATGCTTTAATAAGGATTACACTGAATCTGTAGATCACTTTGGGTAGTATGGACATTTTAACTATATTAAGTCTTCCAATCCATGTACATGGGCTGTCTTTCCAATTATTTGTTCCTTCTTTAATATTTTTATCAATGATTTGTAGTTTTTAGTGTACAGCGTATGAGACTTTCATCTTGATTACATTTATCACTAAGTAAAGAGGACTTTTAAAAAAAGTGTTTTTATAAAAAACTTTACATGGATTTCAAAAATTCTTTGCACCAAAATAAATCTGTACTAACTTGTTATAACATGTCGGAACGTCTAGCTTGAGGCACTAACAACTATAAGACACCAGTTTGAAAAGAACTGCTATCAGAGCAACATGAATTCTGCTAAAATTGAAATAAGAGCAAAGATCAAATTTACGGTGGAAGAATAGTGAAATCATTGGTGCTTTATGAAAAGTTTGTGGGGAAAATGCCCCCACAGAAATCAGCAGTTTGCAAATGGATAACTCATTTTAAGAAGAGATGAGACAATGTTGAAGATGAAGCTCACAGGGGCAGACCATCCACATCAAAATGCGAAAAAAAAATTCATTTAGTTCATACCTTAATTGAAGAGAATCAATGATTAATAGCACAGACAACAGTCTACACCATAGACACCTCAGTTGGTTCAGCTTACACAATTCTGACCAAAAAATTAAAGTCAAGCAAACTTACCATTTGAGTGGTGCCAAAATGATTGTGCTGTGATCGGCTGTAGACAAGAACAGAGTTTTCAATGGAAATTTTAAACAAGGAGGATCAAGATCCTGAAGGATTTCTTTAAATAATTACAACAGAAGATAAAACACTGCTTTACCAGTATGCCCCTGAAGACAAGGAACAATCAAAGCAATGACTACCAAAAGGTGAAAGTTGTCCAGCCAAAGCAAAAGCAGACCAGTCAAGAGCAAAGATCATAGCAAACTTGTTTCGGATGTTCAAGGAATTTTGCTTGTTAACTTTCTGGAGGACCAAAGAACGATAAGATTTGCATACTATGAGAGTGTTTTAAGAAAGTTAGCCAAAGCTTTAGCAGAAAAACACGCAGGAAAGCTTTGCCAGAGTCCACCTCCACCAGGACAATGCTGCTGCTCATTCCTTTAATTGAACAATGGCCATTTTGCAAGACTTTTGATGGGAAATCATTATACATCCATCTTACAGTCTCCAAATTTGGCTCCTTCTGACTTCTTTTTTTCCCCTAACCTTAAAAAGTCTTTAAAGAGAACCCATTTTTCTTCATCTAATAATGTTAAAAAGACTGCATTGATATGGCTAAACTGCCAGTATTTCCAGGTCTTTAGGGACAGACTAATTAGCTGGTATTATCATTTACAAAAGTATCTTGAACTTCATGGAGTTTATATTGAGAAATAAAGTATGTATTTTTTATTTTTATTTTTTAATTTAATTTTTCCACAATTTTTAAAAGTCCCCTCATATGGCATTTATTGTGTTTAGGTAAATTCCTTTTATACCCAGAAAAAAATCATCAAATTCATATGAAACCACAAAAGATTTGAAATGGCCAAAACAATCTTAAAAAAAAAAGAAGAAAACTGGAGACACAACACCTCCTGATTTCAAAATATAATACAAAGCTATATTAATCAAAACAGTGTGATACTGACATAAAAACAGAGATAGAGACCAATGGAACAGAATAAAGAGCCCAGAAATAAACCCAGGCATGTACAGTCAACTGATCTTTGACAAGGGTTACACAAATACGCAATGGGGAAGAGACAGTTCTTCAACTGATGGTGTTGGCAAAACTGAATATTCACATGCAGAAGAATGAAATTGGGCCCTTAGCTTACACAATATACAAAAATCACCTCAAAATAGATTAAAAACTTAAGTGTTACACATGAAACTATGAAACTTGTAGAAGAAAACGTAGGGGAAAAGCTTTATGACATTAGGCTTGACAATGATCTGTTGGATATAATACCAAAAATAATATAAGTAACATTGGAACAAGAATCACTGAGGAGGAAAATTCCAAAAAAAAAAAAAAAAAAAAAAAAAAAACGCCAGAAGTAACAAAAGCAAAATTAGACAAGTAAAACTACATCAGACTAAAAGTCTTCTGCACAGTAAACAAAACACTCAACAGATTAAAAGGTAACCCACAGAATAGGGAAAAATATTTGCAAATCATATTTCTGATAAGGGATTAATATCCAAAATATACAAGGAACTCCTGCAACTCAATTAAAAAATGGGCAAAATCTCAATAGACATTTTTAAATGGGCAAAAAAATTCAACAGACATTTCTTTAAGATATAAAAATGGCCAAAAGGTATATAAAAAATGCTTGATGTAACTAATCTTCAGGGAAATGCAAATCAAAACCGCAATGAGATATTATTTCACACTATTAAGATGGATATTACGTTATTAGTCAGAGTTCTCTAGAGGGACAGAACTAATAGGATAGATGTATATAAAAAGGGGAGGGGTTATTAAGGAGTATTACTCACGTGATCACAAGGTCCCACAATAGGTCCTCTGCAAGCTGAGGAACAAGGAAGCCAGTCAGAGTTCCAAAGCTGAAGAACCTGGAGTCTGATGTACCAGGGCAGAAAGCATCCAGCATGGGACAAAGATACAGGCTGGGAGGCTAAGCCAGTCTCATCTCTCCACATTCTTCTACCTGCTTTTATTCTGGTCATTCTGGCAGCTAATTAGACAGTGCCCACCCAGATTAAGGATGGGTCTGCCTTTCCCAGCCCACGGAGTCAAATGTTAATCTCCTTTGGCAACACCCTCACAGACACACTCAGGATCAATACTTTGCATCCTTCAATCCAATCAAGTTGATGCTAAGTATTAACCATCACAATTATAAAAAATAAAAGCAAAAGATAAATGTTGATGAAGATGTGGAGAAATTGGAACCCTTGTACCCTCTTGCTGAGAAGGCAAAACGATGCAGCCACTATAAAAAAAAGTGTGGTGGTTCCTCTAAAAATGAAAAATAGAACTATCATGTGATTCAGCCATCCCGCTTTTGAATGTATATCCAAAAGAATGGAAATCAGGATCTTGAAGAGATATCTGCACTCCAATGTTCACTGCAGCACTATTCAGAGTAGCCAACATACGGAAACAACCTAAGTGTCTATCAACAGATAAATGGGTAAAGAAAATGTGGTGTATATACACAATGGGATATTATTCGGCCTTTGAAAAGAAGAAAATCTTGCCATATGAGACAAGATGGATGAATCTGGAGGAAATTATGCTAAGTGAAATAAGCTAGCCATAGAAGGACAAATACTGCATGATTCCACTTATATGTGGTATATGAAATAGTTAAACTCATAGAAACTGAGAGTAGAAGGGTAGCTGCCAGGGACTTGGAGGCAGGAGAAACAAGGCGCTGTTCAATGGGTACAATGCTTCAGTTATGCAAGATTAATAAGTTCTAGAGATTTGCTGTACAACATTGTGCCTATAGGTAACAAGGGCACATTGTATTTAGAAATTTGTTAAGATAGATCTCATGTTAAGTATTCTTACAACAAAACAAAATGAAACAAAGCAAAAAACAAAGAGGCACAGGGAAATTTTTGGAGGTGGTCGATTTATCTATTACCTTGATTATCTATTATGTGCATATGTTCAAACTCATCAAATTGTATCTGTTAAATGTGTGCAATTTTTATATATCAATTATACCTCAATAAAACTATTTTTAAAAAGATGGACAGAATAATATGTAATTTTTAAAAACAAAAAACCAACACAATTGTTTATTTGTACATCTGTGGTAAAAATAAAAGGATAGATGAAAAAGATACATACCAATTTCAATTCACCAATTACCTCAAGGGCTTCCAGGCTGCTAGCAGGCTATTGTTTTATTTCAGACAAGAGGCAGGCTTTAAAGGAATCGTCTGCGTGAAGGCTTTGAAGAAGATGCTCCTGACTGGAGAGACACTGAAGGGACAGGCTTCCAAATACACACATGCACACATCGTGCAAGCATGTAGCTATTAACAACAAAGGAATCCTTCTCCTAGCACTTTGTTTTATTTCTGGAGCTAATGGTCCAGCTGGATCTGAAAGGATGAGGGATTCAGGTCCCCTAACTTTACAAGGGCTTATACTCAAATCATGTGCTTCAGTGAATCTATTTGCGCAAACATTTCCCATCCTCCATATTCAAGGCTATTGTGTGTAGATATGGAAACTTCAGGGTAAAAATTCTACTAATTATATTATCATTTCCACATTTGTCCACTAAATTCAGACAGGAAATCAGAATAAACTGACAGCTTCCATTCCACTCTGCCTTCACAACTGAAAATCAAACAGGCAAATGCTTGCATTTGGACACAGCTTCAAATGCTAGCATTAACTAGACATAAGAATTTTGCACATGCATTAAAAACATGAAAAAATCATCAGGAATCCTTTTCAGGAATCCTTTTTATCTCCACCTTTTACAGAAAAGGGGAAGATGCACCAAAGGCAACATAAAGAATTTAATTTTCAGATGTTTTCCATTTTAACAATCTGTGTGGGACTTGAGAGTGATTTAGTAATTTCAAAGCTTAGCACCAGCAGCAATTTTATTTTTCCAAGCATAACTCAAGGAGTTGGGAGTCTTTGCTTACTGACCTTAATTTTTTAAAATGTGACTCTAGAAAAATGTCCTAACTCCAGCTTTCTCAAAAGACATTTTGCATGATGAAAAATAAAAATAAAATCAGTTTTCGCACAAAAACATCATGGCAACTTAGCCTAAGTTAGAACACAATGAAATTAACAAAATAAAACCACAGGCAAAGATGCGTTCCACACATTAGGAGTAAATTTCACAATTCTACTAACAAAATCACAGACTGTTTGGAAAGCTGAAGCTGAAGCCACACACTGGTTGTGCCTCACAGAAATATGCTGATCCCTTCAACGAGGGTTACTGAACCTAAGTGTAGGCCAAGTGCTGAGTAGGACCTAGTGCCTGCTCTCAAAAACTTTACAGTCTAGTTGGAGAAGATAAGAATACATAGAAATATTATACATTGAGATATGATTGAGGACAGCAAATTATTATTGAACATATACACTCTTATGTACGTTTTTATTTACATGCATTAACTCATTTATTTATTTATTTTTTCACTGTTCAAGGTTTATTGGGGGTTTTAGTTGGTATAACACTTGGATAGTTAGCTGCATTGTTTACATGTAGATCTTTTTACATTATATGGTAATGTACACTGCTGATACATATAGTTCACAAAATAAGATCCTTTGGAACAATTATGCACAAGACATACGATATTGGATTTACACACTGGATCCCAGGATGTGACTGACTGGGAAAAAACGTTGGACTAGGCATGTTCAGTGAAGGAGCCAGGAAGTTATATAACACACGGTAAACATCCACCTGGCTCAAGGGGCAAATGCAGCATGTACAGCATTGGCAGTGGTGCATCAGAGGTGGCAGAACTACTTCACACTAACCAGTTTAGGACTACACAAGATTAATACCATCCAGCATCAGGATATAGCTGTGGATTTTACAAATCATTCCTATTTCTAACTTGAGGAGTTGATGTTTTTCCCAGTCCATCTTAAAATATTACTGCTTTAATCACAGATCAGATAAAAAGGACAGCATGTACAACCTCCAACTAGAATCCTGTTGTAGCCTAGACAGTAAAATGATATGACATCAGAAGACTTTAAAATTGCAGCTCTTTTTGGATCCCCCAAAGTGTATCTGCACTCTTCTTCAAACAGGCCTCTTCCTCAGGAGTCAGAGTCACTTTCACAAGGTCTGAGATTCCATTCTGTCCCAAAATGCAAGGAACCCTAAGGACGACATCATCCTTTATTCCATAGAGACCCTTAATCATGGTGAAAACTGGGTGCACCTGCCTAAGATTCTTCACTGTACCTCTGCCAAATCTGCTACAGAGAGTCCAATGGCCCAGGATGTGTAGCCTTTGAGTTTGATCACCTCATAAGCACTCTCAACCACCAGTTTGTGAACCTCTTTCCACTGTTCCTTATGTTTATCAGTCTCTAAATCTGGGTGCGGAGTCTTCAGGGAGACACCAGCAACATTCTTTCCACTCCATACAGGTGCACTGGAATCTCCATGTTCCCCAAGGACCCACCCATGACAGCTTAATGGGTGAACTCCCAGCCTTTCCCCCATCAGGTAACGGAATTGGGCTGAATCCAGATTGCAACCACTTCCAATAACATGGTTTTTGGGAAAACCACTTATCTTCCAAGCCACGTAGGTCAAGATATCCACTGGATTTGAAACAATAAGCAACTTGCAGTTCGGGCTGTATTTTACAACATTAAGAATGATGAACTTAAAGATGTTCACGTTACGCTGGACCAAATTGAGACGGCTTTCTTCCTCTTGCTGACATGTCCCAGCCATGATAATTACCAGTTTGGAGTTTGCAGTTCCATTATAGTCTTTGCCAGAGACAATCTTTGGTGTTCTAAGGAAAAGGCTGCCATGTTGGAGATCCATCATCTCTCCCTTCAATTTGTCTTCGATGACATCAACAAGATCAAGTTCATCTGCCAAGTCCTTCATTAAGATATTGATGGCACAGGCCATGCCAACAGCACCAACCCCAACAACTGTAATCTTATTCTGGGCGGTCTGTTCTTCCTTTAGAAGATTATGAAGCAGCTGATCCTTGAGAGTTGCCACATTGGACTTGGAACCAAAAGGAATCAGGAATGCACATCAGGCAGTCGTCGGGGCGTGTGGCAATGAGATCTGGAATCAGCGGCAGTGGCTGCAGCACTCCCATTATTAACTCATTTAACCCTGACAACAACCCTACTACCTTGAGTGGATCTAGGGACTTAAATAATAGCATCAGTTCTTTCTCTCTCTATCAGCAAGCTCTGTCTCCACATTACTTTGCATATTAACCTTATTTGCTCCTAGTGTAACACAGGCTTTTTCATGGGAAAGAAGAATAGCAGCAATGTAGGCCTGCATACCTATGACTTGTGAACCAAAAAGAAGAGAGTCATCGTTCATAACAGTTTTAGCAAAAAAAAAAAAAAAAAAAAAAAAAAAAAAGACAGAACAACAGGGGAAGGAGTGGGGGCTTTGGATGTGGACACATCAGAATCACATGGGGTGGGAAAAGATTTTAGAAATGGTAGCAGGGAAGAGGGATAGGAAAGCTGGTCAGGCACCATAACATATGTCTAATTCAATCTTTGAGGCAAGAGGGAGCTACTAAAGGGTTTTGAGTAGGGGAGAGACATAGCACTAATCACTCAGACAGTGAGTGAACCTTACCCCCAGCCCAGAATCTACAGCTCACCAGAGCTTTGCTATTCTCATCTAATGCATGATCTTCATTAATCTTCAAAACGAACATTTGAAGAAAGTACTCTTTCCCCCACTTTAAAGGTGAAGAAATTAAATGGTATCTTGAGAGACTTGTAAATGTCAAGTGTCTAATGTATGATAACCATTACGAGTAGTTCTCTAAAGATTTGTGAATGAATAGGTTGAATACTAATATCTATTACATTTCTGGCCTTATGTTAAGTACTGATTAGGGTGGAGAAAGTGATATACATTATGTGGCCCTCACTCCCAAAGAACCTGCAGTGCTGTTGAGGAGATAAGATTTATACACTAACACCTGCCACACAAAATAGAGAATAATACCAGGTAATAAATACAAATTATACCAAGAGATTTGTTGGCCAAGTAGGGTCTCTCTGAGGAGGTGACACTTTATCAAAACCCTGGATAAAGTGAAGATTCTGGGGATGAGGAAAGCCCAGGCAGTTAGCTGCTAAAAGGAGACTTAGAGATTTTCCAATTTAAATTATGGGTTTTGAATATTTTTTAAGCATTGAAATCATTTTGTAAATAAACATTTTGGTAGTATCCTAACACATAAAACAGAAATAAGTAGATCTCTTTGTTTGGAAAGTAGCGGTGGAGGACCAAGTGTCCCCGGCTCTTGGATTTTTGCATTCTGCAATTCAGGGCACCTCCTAGAATCTCCAAGATCCCAAGTAACACTGTCTGGGGGAAAAAAGTGTTTAAATATGAAATCCTTATTTGACAGATGGGTAAACCAAGACCAAGAGACTAAGTCACTTGCCTTAGAAATCACAGCTACTTAGTAGTGGTTCTGAGTACAGAACTCGTAACTCCTCCCTCAGAAAATAAGACTCTTTCTACCACACTCCATTCCTTCATTCCATAAGTATCTATTAACCTCCAACAATGCCTCAGGCACCAGCTTCATCACTGAAGAAAATGCAATGAGAAAAAAAAACAACATGCCACTGGCCTTATGCTGTATTCATTTCCTATATTAAAAAATAAGCACAAAACTAAATACTTAATTATGAATTGTGGTAAGTCCAACAAATAAATGTGCCCTAAAGCATCGTAATATGCCCTTCATAAGACTAGGAACAGAAAAGAGATTTATCACATGGGCTATAGGAAGGTTTTGTCTTAAGAATTTACATTCTTAGTAATAAGCCTCCCCCACGTGACATATGTTGACTCTTTGTATTTTAATAAAGACTTTTCATGATTGAATTCATGCTCACACATCTGCTTTGTCCATCACACTGAAAAGACTTTAACTTAAATCTAGCCACCAAGTCAGGTGCATTGATTTGAATAAATGCTGTGTACTGAAACGCCTTTCTTTTCCTGCAGTATTTACCCAGCATCTAACTATTGACATTTTTCTCTACTTAACATATATGGAGATGACCCTTCTCTCCTCCTTTCCTTAGGGAGTACACACTTTGCAATTGGAAGGAAAATTACATTCTTCAGTCAGATTGAAAATCAATGACATCGCTGGTCACAATCCCCAGGGAGTTTCTCAAGGAGAAAAGACAGTCTTAAGAATTCCACAAGAAGAAATTGGAACATCGTGCATTATTAGTGGGATTATAAAATGGTGATACTTCTGTGGAAAATAGTATGGAAATTCTTCAAAAAATTAAAAATAAAACTATCATATAATCCAGCCATCCCACTTCTGGGCATATAGCCAAAAGAATTAAAAGCAGTCTTGAAGTGATATTTTAACACCCATGCTCATCAGAACATTCGTCACAATAGCCAAGACATGGAAGCAACGTAAACATCCACAGATGGACAAATGGATTAACAAATGTGATTTATTCATGCAATGGAATATTATTCACCCTTTAGAAGAAAGGGAAGTCTTGCATATGCTACAATGTGGGAGAACCTTGAGGATATTATGCTAAATGAAATAAGTCAGTCACAAAAAGACAAATACTGTTTGATTCCATTTATATGAAGTGTCTAAAGTAGTCAAATTTATAGAAACCGAAAGTAGAATGGTGGTTACCGGGACTGGTGGGAGGCAGAGAGGGGTGTTGCTTAATGGGTATGGAATTTCAGCTTCTGCAAGATGAAAAAGTTCTGGAGATCTATTTCACAACAGTATGAATATACTTAACAAGCCTGAAATCACTTAGGATCTGGCATTATTTGAAGAATGACCAGCTATGCAATGAACTTTATCCTTGTTTCTTTAAAAACATGTCTTTACTTACAAGTACAGTTATGATAGGTTCCCAACTTACAGTCAACTCACTCAACCAAATATGTTTGAGGTAGGGGGTGGGAGTATGATAAAAAATGCTTTTTTCTAAAAGTTTCTTTGTTCAGAGTTTCAAATTATCTCTCATTACTTCTAGATCTCAAAGATGGGGTCTCACTCTGTCGCCCAGGCTGGAGTACAGTGGCGCGATCTCAGCTCACTGCAACCTCCGCCTCCCATGTTCAAGCCTCAGCCTGCCTCAGCCTCCTGAGTAGCTGGGACTACAGGTATGTGCTGCCACACCCAGCTAATTTTTGTATTTTTTAGTAGAGATGGGGTTTCACCATATTGGCCGGGCTGGTCTTCAACTACTGACCTTGTGATCTGCCCGCCTGGACCTCCCAAAGTGCTGGGATTACAGGCGTGAGCCACTGCACTGGGCCTAATTAAATATTTTTTTAAATAGATGACACTTCCCCATGTCTAGGAATCTTTTGGAGGTCTTCTTTGGAATTATATCAAAAATACTTCTCAAACTTTTTGTTCATAAAGTGGACTTGGCTCTAAACAGAAAGTAAAAGACAACTATAAGGCGGCTTCTCTAGAGTCTACAGACCCTTTCTCTAATTTTTTAGCTATAAGCAGTTGACCTTACATATTTTATTTCACCTTTTAACTTCATGACTAAGTTTTCCCGTATGAAATGGGGGTGAAAAAAGAATATACAATTTCAGAAAGCCACACCAGCACTTCAGACACAAATTATATACACTAAACCTTGTTCACAAGAGGCTGCAAAAATTTAGTTAAGCCTTTCTTTAATTTCTGCACTGTATACTTCTGTGTTTTGCACAGCCCATTTAGTACACTATGCTTTTAATGTTATCTATTTTTTAGCCCAATAATTCATAGGAATTATATAAACTATGTAACTTCAATTGTATGACACTTCTCACTGCATCTTGCCCTGGTAAGCATGTAAGAAATGGCATTGATGATGGTGCAATTTGGGTTCATGCTCTAAACAATGTCACAGAAGTATCTGAGCTCTCTTTGCTGGCATCAGTAAAAATGTAGTTAGGAAATAAACTCTGGAAGCCACACTAGACAACCACTGAAGACACACTGGAGATGGCTAAGCAGAAGCACAGGTGCCATTGAAAAGACATGGTCTAAGTGGACTGATCACTTTGGGCTGCTTTTCTTTGCTTTTATTCTATAGCATTAAGTCAATTCATTCATTCATCTAACATTTATTAAACACTAAGCATATGTTAACCACTACTTTGGTGCTGGAAGTAAAACAATGAATATAATGTATACAATGAACTATTAAAAGCCTGGGATTTTACCCTACTTGCAAGCTAACAAATTAGCTTGCCACATTTACTTGAATGCTGGCAGAAGACACAAAACTTGTGAGTTTGAGACAAAGAACAGTTTATCACGCGTAGCAATAGTAGCAGTAACCAGTGTATTAACATTTGCACCACTTACCTAAAATTCAACCACAGGACAATGTAAGGAAGGTCATATAATACCTGCATCTGCAGTAGTACGCATTATAAGATACCATGGGAGGATCAAGGATGGGCTAAGAGAAACATTCAGAGAAGGCTTCTCCGAGGACATAAATGCCAGGGCTGATGCTACAAGGAGGAATAGGAAGGAGCAGATACAGAAAACCAGATGGGTCATTTTAACCAGCAGTCTTTCTAAGACCACAGGCATGGGTATGTGAGTAGTTTGCTACAAGTAGAAAAATCACAAGCTGGGAGTCACTGAAGCTTAAAGCAGAAGGCCAAGGGTAAAGGAAGATGAAGTGAGATAGGCAAGCAAGACCTAGAGTTTGGAGAGCCTTTGATATCTTGCCAAAGAGCTTAGTCTTTTCCCTGTTGGCATTGGAGAGCCACTGGACGTCATAAGCAAATAGGTTTGCACTGGATAGATAATGCTAAACAGAAAGGCATCCATGTCTTTGGCATATTGCTGTGACTCTGATATGATATAGCAAGTCCCCAGCAATCTCCAGCAACCTCTGATAACACACAGCAAACGATGTGTGTGGTTGCCATCAACCATCCTTGTGCATTCTTTGATAATTCAGTAGGGCTGTTTGCACTTCTGAGTCCTGACAAGTGTGCTCTCACTCTCACATTCACCCTATGTCTCCAACAGTGTACCAGAGCTGTGTTTCTTGCAGCATACTTACCAACCCCCACTGTCTTCAGAGTAGTTTTATCTTGTTCCCTGGGGTTTTAACAGTCACTGATAAAGATATCTAATTCAGCATTTTTCTATAATCTAATTTCCTCCTCTGACAAATGCTGTCACTGAAAAATGATGGAGAATTTCCTGACGCCTTCTGTTTTCCTTACTGAGGCCCCTCTAGAGCATTTTGGCATGTGTTATTGATGGGGCCCCTGAATACTGGGAAGAGTGCTGATACCACAGTTTCTAATCATGGATAGAAACTAAGGCCTGGGTAGGGGGTCTTTTTAATCATCTATTTCCAAGAAATGGGAACGTAAATTTTTTTAGAATTCTTCGACTTAGATCCAGTGGGTCCTTTAATTAGACATCACCAGAAGTTGTTTGGACATAAAATATACCCTAGATACTTTGTCATCACTAAATGTTACAAAATGGCACCTAGATCTGTCACAACTCTAATTATGAGGGATCAAAAAGGCCTGACTTGATCTCAGAAACTTCAGCCTCCCAAAATTTCAAGACCAAAATTTATTCTGCAGGGCACTCCTTCCATGACACATTGAACCAGCATCCTTTTAGCAAAGTAAATGCTCAGTACTATAGCCAATGGAGTAGGAATTTATTACCTATCTTGTCCATGCTTTTCCATTGATCTGTTATTTTGCTCAACTTATGCCACCATATCTTGGAACCAAGCAGGTATTTGTCAAGGATTTTTGTCTTCTTAAGTAGAGAATCCTCTAGAAATTGACTTTTCAGTATCATCAGTAGAAATATTGAGCATATTGTAACCCTGGGTTCTTAGGGTGGCCCTTAGGATTTTAAAACCATAAACTGCATCATCCAATAGACAGCAGCACATCATCTGTAACCTCTGAAGTGATGATCAAATGTTACTAGATCAGTACATGAAGAGAGGAATGTGAGTGATCTAACCTACTCCAACATGGCTGATCTCAAATGAGTATTAATTACTCCAATTATCGCAAATTGCATATGTAATGCAATATTTCGTAGCCTTTTTCAATTTCCAAAGCTATTTCATAAACATTAACTTGTTTGATTATTATAAAACACTATGATTTTGGCATGACTGTGTTCATCTCACCCACAGAAGAATCAAAGACTTGTAGCTGCATTTTTGCAGCAAGAGGCTGCCTCTAAGGCTTGTATTCATAGAATATATTCACGGAGTTTCAAGGGATATTAGTGATGAACTGGCCATGGCTGAACTGGCCATTGGTCTTCTTTTTACAGAAGAGAAATTCAAAACCCAGAAATGTGCCCCAGTTCCCAGAGGTAAGGGTGGGATTAAACATAAGCTCAGGTCCTTTTTTTCCAAGCCAGCATTCCATGTTACGTGGCTTGTGTCTTTGCAATGTATTTCATAATTTCTAATTTCCCTGTGGTAGGGAGAAACCTACCAATCTTAGCATTTTCATCTGAAGTGATGTCAAGTCTTCAGTGTGTCAGGGTGTCCCTAATGCTCTAATCTGCTGGATCATGGGACAGCTTAACAACATTGCACAGCCCAGATCTAACAAGGCCCTGTTGTTGACTCTCAGGTGCAAGCCTATCTTCAGCATAAAATGTCATTTGTTCACAAATGAAGAACCTGCAAGAAAGTTAATATTTTGAATTCAGATCAGTTCCATATAATACATCTGTAAAAGAACAATGGAGTAGCTTGGTCATGCATGGAATCATGGGTAGCAGTAGTGGTATAGAGTCTGAGGCTCTGGGATTGAAGGAAGCCTTGGCATTTACAAGTTGTGTGACCTTGGAGAAGTGGGCTCATCTTTCAGAACCTCAGTTACTTGTGGATAAAATGAGGGTTTTTCTTTTAGACATCTCCAGGAGTTGACATAAATTTTAAATGGAATAATATTTTCAACGATAAATGTTAATTATTGAAGTTAATCATATTATTTATGTAGAAAATAGGACACTTCTGAAAATTTGAGCATAGCAAAATTTTTTCCACGTTGCAGATTCAAAATGTCCTCTAGAAAGAATACCAATTCTGGGGTTTTTAAAAAAACATATTTTGAGGTATAATATGTATAAAGTGCATAAAACACATTAATTAAGGGTAGAGCTTGATGAATTTACACATTCATTTACACTCATGTAACCAACCTCCAGATCAAGATATAGGACATTTTCTGCACCCCAAAAGTTTTCCTCATTTCCATGTCCAGTCAATACTCTCCGCCAGCACTCGGAGTTGAGCACTATTTCAGCCCCACTCCTGGTTCTCAGGCCTCTGGACTAAAACTGGAACTTACACTATCATCTCCTCTGTTTCTTAGGACTTCAGATTTGGACTGGACCCACACCACTGGTTCTCATGGGCCTCCAGCTTGCAGAGAGCAGATCATGAGACTCCTCAGTTTCCATAATTGCATGGGCCAAACCCTCATGATAAATCTTTTTCTATATATCTATATGTCATCTATTGATTCTGTAGATGAGTTTTGTTTTTCTTGAACTTTGTATACATGGAATAATATAGTTTATATTGTCATTTGTTTGTGAAATTTATCCATGTCTTTCACATACAAATAGTTTCTTCATTATGACTGCATATTATTGCATGAATATTAAATAAATTATTTATCCATTCTCTGTTAGTGGACATTTGGATTGTTTCTAGTTTGGGGCCATTATGAATAAAGTTGCTATGGACATTCTTGTGTATATCTTTAGGTGGACCTGTGTACTAATTTCTCTTTAGGTGGACCTATGTACTAATTTCTCTTTAGGTGGACCTATGTACTAATTTCTCTTCCGTATATTTTCAGGTCTGAAATTGCTATATCATAAACTGTTGTATGTTTTAGCCACAGCATTTTGAAACAGAGTTTTAAGTAACAGCATTAACTTCCAAGTCCAGTCAACCCTAGCCTGACTAAATCTGTGGATTTATTAGAGTCAATAAGCCAATAAATATTGGTTTAACACCTGCTATGTGTCAGGAATTGTGATTGTTAATTTTATGTGTCAACTTGACTGGGCTAAGGAATGCCCAAATAGCTGGTAAAACATTATTTCCAGGTTTGTGAGGGTATTTCTGGAAGACATTATCATTTGAATTGGTAAAAAGAGTAAAGAAGATCACTTTCACTAATGCAGGCGGGAATTATCCAATCCATTGAAGACCTCAATAAAACAAAAAGACAGAGGATGGGCAAATTTGCTCTCTGCTTGAGCTGGAACATTTATCTTCTCTGGCCTTCAGACACTGGCACTCCTGGTTCTCAGGCCTTTGGACTCAGACTGGGACTTACACTATCAGCTCCTCTGGTTCTCAGGCCTTCAGGTTTGAACTGGACCCACACCATTGGTTTTTGGGGGCCTCCAGCTTACAAGTGGCAGATCATGAGACTTCTCAGCCTCCATAACTGCATGAGGTGATCCCTCATGATAAATCTTTTTCTATATATGTATATATTGCCTATTGATTCTGTTTATCTGGAAAGCCCTGACTAAATACAGGACTACAACAGTGAGCAAGGCAGGTGTGAGCTTCTCTTCCTGAGGCTTATCATCTAATTAGAGGAGGACATCTAACTAGAAATGGGAACATGATGAGGGTCATGAGGGGAAGTGAAAGTCACTACAGGAGCATATAACAAGCATTCTAATGTGCTCTTAGGTTGAGTGCATTTCCCTATTTTTACTAAAAGTTGAGTTTTCCAACCAAATGGACAAGAATGAGTTGTGATCAAAGCACTTTGGGCTCCTTTTGCAGTTCTTCCATTAAGCTGTTTTGTGACTTGAGGCAAAACCCCTACCTTCCTGAGTCTCATTTGCAGTACGAATATCATCTTATATGTGCTTCTGAGCGAACTGCTCCTCTTAAGTTGTTCGAAGAAATGAGTTTGTAAAGTAGTCACTGGTTATGCAAACTAGACAGTAGAAGTCAGACAAGGAGTCCTGAAGCTTTTCCGACTACAAAAAGATATTTAATCCCCTTATATTCAAGTGAAGTAACAGAAAACTCGGTTTCTCTACAAACAATGTGTATCTTTAGCTATAAGAATAATTGTTGGGCTGGGCACAGCGGCTCACGCATGTAATCCCAGAACTTTGGGAGGCCAAGGTGGGTAGATCACCTGAGGTCAGGAGTCCAAGGCCAGCTTGGCCAACATGGCAAAACCCTGTCTCTACTAAAAATAAAAAAATTAGCCAAGTGTGGTGGCGCGCACCTGTAATCTCAGCAACTTGGGAGGCTGAGGCAGGAGAATCACTTGAATCTGAGAGGCAGAGGTTGCAGTGAGCTGAGATCACACCATTGCACTCCAGCCTGGGCAAAAAGAGCAAAACTCAGTCTCAATAAATAAATAAATAAATAAATATTTTTAAAAGAATAATTGTTAAAATCACAGGAGATTACTGTTAACTCATCATGTTTTTAAATGACAGCCTAGTAAAATCTGTATGATTACTAAATCAGATTCAGGTATCATTCTTCAAGGAAGTACCCTCATCACAACATAAAATGCAATATGTGTTTTTATTTTTTATTTTATTTCTTTATTTGAGACAGATTCTCACTCTGTCGCCAGGCTAGAATACAATGGCCCAATCTCGGCTCACTGTAGCCTCCCTCTCCCAGGCTCTAGCAATCCTCCCACCTCACCCTCTGGAATAGCTGGAACTGGGTGCACATTATTACCTCATCTGGCTAAGTTTTGTATTTTTTGTAGAGACATGGTTTTGCCGAGTTGCTCAGGCTGGTCTCAAACTTCTGGGATCAAGTGATCTGCCTGCCTCAGCCTCCCAAAGTGCTGGAATTACAGGTGTGAGCCACCATGCCCAGCCTCAATGTATGTTTTTAGTATCTTCTAAGCCAGCAATCCTCAAAGGAGTCAGGGATGACTGGTCTCTGAGACCATTTCAGGGGATGCATGAGGTCAAATTATTTTTATAATAATACCAAGATATTCTTTTCCTTGTTTGCTCACATTCTCTCATAAGTATAGAATGCAATTTTCCAGAGGCTACATGACATGTGACATCACAAGAGATTGAATGCAGGAGCAGATGTGAAGATCCAGCTGTTTTCCATTAAGTCAGACACTAAAGAGACTTGCAAACAGATAAAACAACACCACTTTTTCACCAATTTTTTATTTTCAAAGATAGTTATTTTTATGAAAATAATAATGTTTACATGTAATAAAGATATTGTTTCTTTCAAATAAATATTTCTGTTTTAATTTCTAACACAGTAAATATATAGATATAACTCACATATATAAAAGCTCTTTGGGGTCTTCAATATTTTTTAGAGTGAAAAGTAACCCTGAGAATAAAAAGTTTGAGAACTACTAAGTAAATGTCTTGCAAATGGTCTCAATCTCCTTATGTAACAAGCTCCTAGATTAGCAGTTTCTATCTCCTTATGTAACAAGATCGTCAATCAGTCTGGCTTTAGTCATGATTGTAGTAGCCAAGACTGAATCAAAGAAAATAGGGCTTATGGAAACTAAGAAACAATGAAGGGCTTATATATTCCGTCAAAGAATATTGGGAAGATATTTATTCTGTCTCCACAAATTGTGTCATGCTTCATGCTTCATGACTGTATATTTACATTCATGATTTTATTCAATGCTCAGAACTTAGGTAGACAGAAAAGGTGTTAGTCCAGCTACTCGGGAGGCTGAGGCAGGAGAATCGCTTGAACCCTGGAGGCGGAGGCTGCAGTGAGCCAGATAGCACCACTGCACTCCAGCCTGGGTGACAGAGTGAGACTTCATCTCAAGAAAAAAAAAAAAAAAAAGAAAAGGTGTTAGTCTCCTGATTTTACAGGTGAGGAAATTGACCTAGAGGAGCTCAGTGAATTGAGCCATGGCCACAAAGCTAACAGGCTGGACTGGGATTGGAACGTAGGTATCTGTGATGCCCTATCTAGTGCTCTTTCCATGTAGCAGAACGTAAGAATTTTATGTAAATATTCTCCAAGTTAACTTTGAATCTCAGTAGTTTGTAACTCCATAATTCTTAATCAATGTTATCCTCCTGGTATTGTTTTCTTCAAAAAAAGTCAACATCATTTTTTTTCTCTAAAACTTACTCTCACCAAACCTGAAAAGAGCTTAAGAGAAGCTAATTTTCTGGAAGCATCTTTATACTTGAAGGGTAGAAAAGTATCCATCTTGTCTTTACATTGACTAAAAGTAAGCATAGTCTAATGGGAACTAGAAGCAAATATATCTTCTGAGAAAGAACTAAGAGTTAATACATATTCCATAAAAAGGCTGGAGACTGTCTTTAGCAGACTGATAGCAGTTAAGTACCTTAAGAGAACCAAGTGAGTTTGTTTTTTGTTTTTTTGTTTTTTGTTGTTTTTTTTTTTGAGACGGAGTCTCGCTCTGTTGCCCAGGCTGGAGTGCAGTGGCAGGATCTTGGCTCACTGCAAGCTCCGCCTCCCAGGTTCACGCCACTCTCCTGCCTCAGCTTCCCGAGTAGCTGGGACTATAGGCGCCCACCACCACGCCGGACTAATTTTTGTATTTTTAGTAGAGATGGGGTTTCACCGTGTTAGCCAGGATGGTCTCGATTTCCTGACCTCGTGATCCGCCCGCCTTGGCCTCCCAAAGTGCTGGGATTACAGGCGTGAGCCACCATGCCTGGCCGAGAACCAACTGAGTTTTTAAATCAAAAAAAAAAAAAAAAAAAGCTTTTCGCAATCCTTTCCTAAAACCAGGTGTTGAATAGTTGTCTCATGATTTATCGATAATTTTCTGTTCTCTCTAAAGCTCTGCACAACTTGATGGATTTTCCTCCACAATTGGATTTATTTCTTAAACCCATTATTAAGTAATGTCTGACACTTCCATTTCTGCTTGAGATTAATGGCATGCCAAATTCTAATTTATAGAATCAACTAAAATGTCATATAAAATGCAAAACATGAATTGTTTACTGAGTAAGGTGGTCTGGTTTTAAGGAGACAAAGATCATAGTTTCAATTTGGGAGTGGCTAAAGAGATTAAAATCACAAAGACAAACTCTGTTACGGCTACATTCACAAGAATACCAATAATTTGAAGTAACTGAGCCAGATACTTAGAGCCAGGAGTACCTTTAAGCATGGTTGTTAGGTAGGCTTCAAAAATTTCTAAATATAAAAGCATTTTAATACTTATTAATGAATAATCAATCACTTTCAAAATATGTCAATGCCTTCTACTAAGAAGGAGCTTTTTTGACTGCTCCAAATAAAGCTTAAACAAATGAAGTATAAACTTCCAACTTTTGACTGGGTGTGGTTGCTCACACCTGTAATCTAAGCATTTTGAGAGGCTGAGGCAGATGGATCACTTTAGGCTGGGAGTTCAAGTATCCATTAGACCAACGTGGACACGCCATGTGAAACCCCATCTCTACTAAAAATACAAAAAAAAAAAATTAGCCAGGTGTGGTGGTGCGTGCCTGTAATCCCAGCTCTTTGGGAGGCTGAGGCAGGAGAATCTCTTGAATCTGGGAGGTGGATGTTGCAGTGAGCTGAGATCGTGCCATTGCACTCCAGCCTGGACAACAGAGCAAGACTCTGTCTCAAAATAAATAAATAAATAAATATACACATACATACATACATACACAAACAAACTTCCAACTTTTACATTTGAAAAAAATCATATGGTATTAGTTATTTTGTTATTAGTAGTAAAACTGTGGAATTACGGAGAAGGAGCTGGGTTTGAGAGCTGGAATGGTGAGTGAAGAAATAGTTTTTCTTTTGAAACTACCTCCTTAAATTTGACTAGAGAATTCTAAACCATCCCCCCATGACTGAAATGAAAGATCACAAATCTGCCAACTTTTGGTGTTGGAACTGTTTTTATAACAGAAGGATGGAAGGCTACACTTGCCAAAACAAGAGAGTGAGGGGGGAGAAATCCTTCCATTCTAAATGAAGATCCTTTAGAGTACCCGGGAATGGCAAATCAACACTAAGTTGTATTTTCTCCTAAGCAAGTCATCACATTTCAGCAGCAATTTAGCTTTAGCAAAAACAATAATAAATTCCCTTTACAAAAAGGCCAGCTACCATAGTCACAGGTTGGGCCGTATGGTCATCAGAGAATTCGAAAAGAAAGCAAGCTTTGAAAATGTGGCCTGCTGTGCTTTTGTACACTCCCAGACTACTGCCACAATAAAGCATTCCTGGACAGTTGCAGAGTTAGGGAGGCAATTTCCCCAGAATAGCTGATAAAATGCCCCATCTATTTTCATAAACTGCTGCAAACAAAGGCTCTTCACCTGAGTATTTTCAGGCATCACTGAGTTTACCTCTACATTAAAAAAAAAAAAAGTGTTCATCAATGTAAATTAATGGCCCCCATTATACAAATTGAAACTTGGGAATTTATTCCTGTTTTTTTTTTTTAACTTGGGAATTTAGAAAAGATGCAACATCCAAGAGGGTTCAGAATTTCTTTTTCTTTAAACCAAGCTCTATTTCTATGTCTATGCATCCATGCAATGGCACATTGCCTTTCTACTCCATATTAGAAATTTATAGCATATGTTTTCAAATTATTTACTAGTATACATAAATATTAATTAAATGGATGATTTCTTTTAAGATTATGTTTAATTGCAATGTAACATAAATCTTGGCCAAGTAAATATCTTGAGACATTTATGGCAGATTCTGCCCCCTAGGCAAAGGTTTCTTGAGCTCTGTTTTGTGGGAGTGTAGCATCTGCTTACTATCAAGAGGCAAGCAAATGCATTTTATGGTGACTGTTTCCTGAAGAAATAAACAGGGGGAAAAAACCTTAATTTTTCAACATCCATTGTTTTAAACCTTAAAAAACCTTAAATTTAGCAGCACTTTTACAACTAACGATCTGGTTTTATA
This sequence comes from Homo sapiens, assembly GCF_000001405.40. Lineage (NCBI taxonomy): Eukaryota > Metazoa > Chordata > Mammalia > Primates > Hominidae > Homo > Homo sapiens. The sequence goes on from NC_000009.12 coordinate 14,936,296, forward strand.
GCAAGAACCTAGAGCTGGGGGAACTCTATTTCCTTTAGAGCCACTTGAAAGTAGACAATTGCTCTGTTAAGTGGTCTCTTGGCAGTAGGATATGTTAGATATCTTTTCAGTCAAGCCAAAACTGATTTAAAGAATCTTGAAATGGCCACATCTCTTTAAACATGTCTGATTCATAGGTTATCTAAATGCTGTTTTATGGTATTTTATATGCTAAAAACCTGTTGATTTTGTTACTTTTAGAATCAAACCAAGTAAATGTTCTCCTCTCTAAAAAAAATCTTAGTTCAGAATCTAACTAGCAGGGGGCTGCTCTTTGGTGGTCTCCTGGGCGAATGTAATCGAGCATTTATGATGCGGTCATCTGGCAAACAGACCTTTGGTTCAGTTCGTTACTAAGCTACAGTCACTGGAGTCAAGGATTCTAATCCTAGGACAACTTTTAACCTCCCACAGAATTTGCTTTCTGTGGGTTACACTTTGGCAATACTTTTCTCTTGACTTACATTAAGGGACACTGTGTATACATGTAGAACACCCACTGTTTCATTTATTGTTAGGATTGTAGCTTTAAAAATATTGTTAATTACATCAGGAATTTTTAAAAACTAATATTTATAAGACATGTAGTATGCTACCACTTTGTATGCTTCACTTCATTTAAAATTTTAAAACTCTCAACAATACTGTGAGGAAAGCACTTTTATTATGATTTTGCCCATAGAGAATACAGGCTTAGGAGCTGTAAATGAAAAGAACAAAGAATAGAAGTCAGGTCTATCTAATGCCAAAAAAACAGCTATCCACAGCTATCCAGCATATGAGACCCTCATGGAAAAGCTATCTGAGGTCTAGTCACTCAAGGAGGCTTCTAATTTTCCAGGGTGCAGCATGCTTTTCTTTGTGGACAATGAAGAGCATGCAATCTGCATTGTATTCAGTTCTCTTACTTTGGCCACGACTAAGCTCTTCTTCTTTTTTTCTTTTTTTAATAGAGAATAGTACAAAGTAGAAAGTTTTTAAAACTAACAAAATTCTATCATCCAGAAATCCCTGAAATCAGCTCTTTCTGAAGATAAAAATAACTGATGATATGCAATGTTGGTGAGAGAAATACAAGACAGTCACATTTATATCCTGCTAGTGCAAGAGAAAAGAGGGGAAATCTTTCTGGAAAGCCATTTGGCAGCTAACTAAAGAGTTTTAAATGTCTGGTCCTTTGGCTTAGCAATATCACTTAAAGGACACTGTCCTACATCATTAGGAAAAGGAAAAAAAATTTATAACTTTTAAGTTATTTTATGAACGTATAAGTAATTTTATATATAATACTTTGATCATCACGTATTATTTATTTCTAAAAGAATAGAATTAGAAACAACAAACACCTAAAATTAGAAAATTTTTTAAATTGTGATATATACAAAAAATAAACTACCACACCTCTTTAAAATTCAAATTACTAGGCCAGGTACACCTATAATCCCTGCATTTTGGGAAGCTGAGGTGGGAGGATTGCTTGAGGCCAAGAGTCTGAAAAATCATTTCAGTTATGGTATAATGTAAGTGAAAAAAGCAAGCCATAATATGATATTATGTAATTAAAAAAATTAGTTATTTCAATAGGTAATATAGTGATATTACATTAATATTAGTACAGGCAGGATGCAGTGGCTCATCCCTGTAGTCCCAGCACTTTGGGAGGCCGAGGCAGGTGGGTCATTTGAGGCTAGGAGTTCGAGACCAGCCTGAGCAACAGGGTGAAACCTCATCACTACTAAAAATATAAAAATTAGCCAGGTGTGGTGGCACATGTCTGTAATCCCAGCTACTCAGGAGGCTGAGACACGAGAATCTCTTGAACCCAGGAGGCAGAGGTTGCAGCAAGCTGAGATCTCCCCACTGCACTCTAGCTAGGATGACAGAGAGAGACTCTGTCTCAAAATATATATATATAAAATATATAAATATATATATTTATGTATTATATATGTATTATACATATATATGTATTTAATATGAATGCATTGATGCTATTATTGATATAATAAATAAATTGATTGAATATTAATATAATATTGATATCAAGTATTTTGATGTATATGTTGATATTAATATATGTATATAAATTAACATATTGATCAAATATTAATATGTTGATATTATATTCACATTATTATTAATAGCTAAAAACCTGAGTTTTTTCCTCTATTCCAGGCTCTGTTTTAATCCCTTCTTATGGATTCTTTTATTTAGTCTTTGTAACAACACTGTAAAATAAACACTCGGTTTTTAAAAATAACTCTAAAAACTATTTTGAAATAACTTCTCACTTATAGAAAACTTGTAAGAATACTATAAAGAACTGTTCTACACTGTTCACTTGGATTTACCAATTAACAATTTGCCATATTTGCTTTATCTTTCTTTGTTTCTCTGTCTCTGTCTGTCTCTTTCTAGATACACACACACTTTCTGAACAAGTTGGGCAAGTTGTGTATATCTTGTTCTTTTATCCCTAAATATTTCACTGTATGTTTCCTTAGAAAAAGGGCATTTTGTTATATAATCACAGTATAAAAATTAATATCAGGAGATTTTACACTTACACAATACTTTCATGCTGTATTGTCTCAATAACATCCATCATAGCAAATTTTTTTGAGATCCAGGATTTAATCTTGGATCACTCATTGCATTCAGATGTTGTATCTCTTTAGTCTCTTTCAATCTGATACAGTTCCTCAGCTTTTGTTTTTAATGACAGTAAACTTTTGTAAATGCTTGGGCCATGCATTTTGTAGATTTCCCCTAAATTTCTGTTTGTCTTCATTTTTATGGTGTTTGCAAATTAGTGATCTTCTAACTCCATCATTCCTGAATTTCTCCTGTAAGAAAGAGATTTCTTTTTTCTTTTATTTATTTACTTATTGTCACTATGGACTCACAATTCTTACTTTATTCAGTGAGTTATAATCCTGTATTGTTGCTATTTATTTTCTTTTTTATAAGTCCTGTGATGGTTAATTTTATGTGTCAACTTAATTGGACCACAGGATGCCCAGATATTTGGTCAAACATGATTATGAATGTTTCTGTGAGGATGTTTTTGGATGAGATCAACATTCAAATTAGTAGGCTGAGTAAAGCAAATTGCCCTTTTAATGTGGGTGGGCCTCATTCAATTAGCTAAGGCCTGAACAGAACAAAAAAAGTTAGCTCTCCTTCACAAAAGAGAGCATTCTTTCTGCCGGGTGGCCTTCGAGCTGGGAGGTCGATTTTTCCTGCCTTCAGACTAACTGAGATATTGTTTCTCCCTAGGTCTTGAATCTGCTGGCCTTTGGACTGAAACAACACCATTGATTCTCTTGGTTCTCAGCCCCTCAGGCCCACATGGAAACTATACCATCAGCTCTTCCAGGTCTCCAGCTCGCCACATAGATCTTGAGACTTGCCAAGACCTTCATTATTGCATGAGCCATTTTTTCATAACACGTCTCTTGTTTTTTATTGACCCATTCATCCTATTGGTTCTGTTTCTCTGAAGATCCCTAATACAAACTCCCATTGTTTTTTAAGTACATCTTTACTTTTTAGCCAAGAATATGTTCCAGGCTTATCTTGGTTTTTCTCTTCCCTGGCCCTGGAATCAGTCATGAATTCTAGCACCACTATCTATTTTTAATGGGGCATGATATTTGTAAGCAAAAGTGCATTGTTGGTATTGTTGTTTGCTTCTAAGTCTTTTTAGCAGGCAGTTAGGGAATGTGTGTGTGTCCATAGATACATATAGATGTATCTGTATACACCTATAATAGTGTTAATGTGCATATATACATCTATAAGTGGACAAGCATATATACACATATGTGTGTATATAGATATACAGATATTCATACTAATACCTCTAATTACAATCCAACACCAAACACTACAGTGTTCCTCACAGCCTTCCTGTTTTTTATTGGTATCCTTGTTCTCAAACTATGAAAATCTGGTTGTCAGCATAATCAATATATTTACTCATTTGCTCAGTCCTACCATACACAGAAAGTAATTTCAGAATAGCTAACCCATACATTGTGGAAATCAAACCTAATATATATAGTTCAGCTTTGTCTTTTAGTGGACAATAGCCAAAGTTCTATGAGTTTGTTCTTTTTCACTGTTCAGTATGGTCATGTTATTCATTTAAAGGTTAGGTTGATCTACTTCTGTTTGTATTCCATTTTAGGGTTTTTCCCCTACACCCTTGTTGATCTAATTTTTTTCAGAGTGAAAAACATGAGCATGATGCCAAAAGTCAAAACTTCACTTTTGCCTTGTTCCTATCCATCTCCTGCAGGTAATCAATCTCGTTAGTTTCCGATTCATCCTTCCTGAGATGTATATTATCACTTTCGTTTCTTACAGGACATATAGCATACTCTATGTACTCCTATGCCTTTTGCTTTTTTCGCAGTAAATTATTTCATCTTTGTTTATGGAGATTTTTTAAGAATCTCCCTCTGTCACCAGGCTGGAGTGTAGTGGCTTAATCATGTTTTACTCCATCTTTGGCCTCCTGGGCTCAGGTAATCCTCCTACCTCAGCCTCCTGAGTAGCTGGGACTACAGGTGCATGCCACCATACCCAGTAAATTTTTAAATTTTTTGTAGAGAAACGGTCTTGCCATGTTGCCGAGGCTGGTCTCGAACTCCTGAGCACAAGTGATCTACCTGCCTCGACCTCCCAAAGTGCTGGGATTATAGGCATAAGCCACTGCACCCAGACTGGAGATATTTTTGCAGTTTTTCATGATGTGGATGTTCCATACCTTATTCAATAAAAATGTCCTATATTTGGGGATTTAGGTCATTTCTAATACTTTAAAATTATAAATAATACTACATTGAATAACCTTGTGCATATATATTTTTATATTGTTGAGATCTATCTTCAGAGTAAATTCCTTGAAGTGGGATTATTGTACCAAAATGTAAACACACTGTGGTCTGATTAGGCATTGCCACATTCCACTCCATACGGATGTACCATTTTGTGCTTTCACTAGCAATATGTGGACTTGCCTGTTTTTTTCCTGCCTCCCTGAAAAAGTATATTGTCAAGCTTTTTAATTTTTTGCCATTAGTTTGCACTTTTCTCATAACATTAAACATTTTGTATATGATTAAAATTAAACATTTTGTATGTGTTTAATGGCCATTTCAATCTTTTTTGGTGAGTTATCCCTCATGTCTCTTATTTTATAATAAATCTCTAGTAGAAAAATATTTTTCTCATAGAAGAACATTTGCCAATTTTTCTATTAGGTTTTTGCTATCATCCCTCTTGAGCATATGAAGCAACTGGCTCAAAGAAGAATAACCCAGGGCCATTCACGTAGGAATTGCTGGAGCTGAAACTGGATATTACCATATAAAGAGAAAATTGCACAACATAATTTTTGTTGTTCTTTGCACTTTTCTATGTGACTCCCAAAATTTCCTGCCAGAGTATTCAGATATTACTTTGATAATTAAGAGGAAAAATGAAGTAAATTTTTTTAAATGAAAGAAATAGAAGAAAACCCAGCTGTTCCTTAAGTCACAACAGCTTTCCACAGTCTGCCAGGAGAATCTGCACCTGGAAGGTGGGAGCAGCCAAGCATGCAGGCTGCCACCTGCCAAAGGCTAGAGGAGTTTACCCTATTTGTGTTTATTTTAAATGAAAAAGTAAAAACAAAAGGAGAAGTAAGTAGAAAACATTGATAAGGTGACATTTGAGATGAATGATGCTTCATACTGAACCCAAGCTGCAAGTGGGGAAGAGAGACACACCCTCTAAAATCCATGACTTGAGATTCTCAAGAGAAATAAGAAGGAGGGAAAGGAGAGAGCTCACCAGTAAGACATAAATCTCAGAGGCTGTCTGGGAGTCTCAGGAGTGGCTCGAGTGAGGTTTTCAGCATAGAGAGGAATGAAGAAGTTATGCAACAAATCTGCTACTTCGGAAAACTGAAAAACGGTGAAGGCTGGGGAGATGAGGCATACATCATTCGTCTGCTAGGCAGTGGATTTCAGTCCCGACCGTAATTAACATCACCAGAGGAACATTTAAAGCAAGCAGATGTTTGGGCCCCATCCTTAGAAATTAAATCAGAATCTCAGGGGTGGGATGCTAAGATCCTGTTGAGAACCGCAGGTCTAGCAAATGTACAAGAGGCACAGGACTTCATGGATGTTTTCAGAGTATCTTTCAAGGATAAGAGAAAGAGATCAGCTCTGGATTTTAACTCAACAAATCTACCTATCAGTGCAGATAAAGAAATTATGTCACCATTGTTCCCATCATTATCATCATCATCCTCATCATCGTAGCTCCCATTTAATAAACACCTGATTATGCCCCAGATTCTATGGTAGGTACTTTATACTCCTTACATATTTTATTCTTCACAGCAACTCTTCAGGATAGTTTCGGTTTATTTAAGAGTTGATGAAATGAAGGCTTAGAGAGATTAAAAAATTTATCCAAGTCAATTATTGGCATTTTTTTAATCCCATTCAGTACTGTGATTATATAACATTGGTTCATATTTATCAACTTCACCAACTATACTTTCTTTAAAATAAAGCAATTTCACTCCTGGATAATACAACCAAGAGAATTGTATATTAGGCTATTTTTGGTTTGCCATTAAAAAAAAACCTGAGACTGGGTAATTTATACAGAAAATAGGTTTATTTGGCTCATGGTTCTGCAGGCTGTAAACAAAGCACAGTGCCAGCATCTGTTTCTGGTAAGGGCCTCAGGAAGCTTCCAATCATGGAAGATGGTGAAAGGGGAGCAGACGTCTCACATGGCTAGAGCAGGAACAAGACGAAGGGAGGTGCCACATACTTTTAAACAATCAAATCTCATAAGAACTCACTCACTATCACAAGGACAGCACCAAGCTATTTGTGAGGTACCTGCCCTCATCACCCAAACACCTCCCACCAGGCCCCACTTTCAACATTGGGGATTACATTCAACATGCAATTTGGAGAGGACAAACATTCAAACTATATCAGAGTGCATATATCTGCAAAAAGACTTATGCAAAATAGTCATAGCAACTCTATTCGTAATAGCCACGACATAGAAACAAAACAAATGTGCATTAGCAGAAGAAAGAATAAACAAATTGGTATAACCATATACAACAAACTTCTAAACTTATATATAAAACAACATGGGTGAGTTTCTTTTTTTTTTTATTTTCTTTCTTTTTGAGATGGTGTCTTGCTCTGTCACTCAGGCCGGAGTGCCATGGTGCGATCTCGGGTCACTGCAACTTCCGCTTCCCAGGTTCCAGCAATTCTCCTGCCTCAGCCTCCCAGGTAGCGGGGACTACAGGTGTGCACCACATCCAGCTAATTTTTGTATTTTTAGTAGAGACGGGGTTTCGTCATGTTGGCCAGGCTGGTCTCAAACTCCTGGCCTCAGGTGATCCACCCACCTCAGCCTCCCAAACTGCTGGGATTACAGGCATGAGCCACCATGCTTGGCCCAACATGGGTGAATTTCAAAAATTCAAAAATTTTATTGAACAAAAGAAGTTAGATACAAAATAGTACACATTAAGTGATTCCATTTATATATTTTTTAAATACAAAATTAAGTCATAGTGCTAGAAATCAGAATAATGGCTCAAATTAGGGGAGGGGGATGTAGATGGTCATATTGGCATATAGGAACATAAAAACTTACTGACTTATACATTTAAGATCTGTGCATTTTACTATACGTAAATGAGGCCTCAATCAAGTTCTATAATTGAAAAATAAGTGAGTGGGTAAGGTGGCTCATGCCTACTGTAATCCCAACACTTTGGGAGGCCAAGGCAGGAAGATAATTTGAGCCAAGGAGTTTGAGACCAGCTTGGGCAACATAGTGAAACCCCATCTCTACAAAAAATAAGAAAAAATTAGTCAGGTATGGTGATATGTGTCTGTAGTCCCAGTTACACAAGAGTCTAAGGTGGGAGCATCACTTGAGCCCAAGATTTCATGGCTGGAGTGGGCTATGATCGCACTACTACACTCCAGCCTAAGTGACAGAGTGAGACTCTGTCGCAAAAGATGATAGATTAGCTAGCTAGATAGATAGATAGGTAGATAGATAGATAGATAGATAGATAGATAGATAGATAGATAGATATAGACAAATACATAGAAGCTTACCCAAGACCACAAAACTAGTGTCTGAGCCAAGAACAGAATTGAGGTTTATCTGAGAAAAACTTATGATCTATAAATAGGGCCACTTCCTTCTAAGTGTGTATTAACTGCTCCCATCCAAGTATCAATTACTCAACAGAAGTGAAAACAGCACAAATGCCTAACCTTATGACAATGATTAAGTAAATTATGATATGCCCCCCCCCAAAATGAAATATAATTCAGCCACTAAGTGATGATTATGAAGGTTTAAAGCAATACAACTAAAGGCTTATGATACAATGTATTTGAAATAAAGCAGAATACTACATTGTTTCTATATACATTATTATAGCAATGTAAGCATTAGGAATGCAAATACATAAGGACTAGATGGGAGCATTAAAACTCAAAATCTGTTATAATTGAGGGATTATGGATGACTTTCTACATTTGATTTTCATTATCATTACAATATTGTCTTGACAATGAAGTGGGTTGTTGTGATGAACACTTGGAATAGCATGTGATCCTTAGCAGGGAACATCAAAAAGGTGATGCAGGTTTGGAGAGTTCTCACCCAAAAGAGAAGAATAGGGCATTAGCGCCAAGACTTCCAGCCACAAGATGTTCAACGACTGCCAGAGGTTCCATAAAAGACTAACTAGGGAGGCAGAGCAAGATGTCCAAGTAGAAACCTCCATTGGTCATCTTCCTTGCAGGAACACCAAATTTAACAACTATTTACAGAAAAAATCACCTTCATAAGAACCAAAAATCAGGTAAGTGATCAAGGTACCTGGTTTTATCTTCGTATCACTAAAAGAGGCACTAAAGAGGGTAGGAAAGACTGTCTTGAACTGCCAACACCAACCCTCCACTGAGAATCTGTGCTCTTGGGGGAAAGAGAAAGCAGTGATTATGGGACTTCGCTTTGGAACTCAGTGCTACCAACACCAGGCAGAACTCAGCTGATGACAAGCCTCTCCACCATGGGGTAAAGTGCTCCGGGCTCCTATATAAACTTGAAAGTAAGTCTAGGCAAGTCCCAGTGTTGTGCTGGGCTCAGAGCCAGTGGACTTAGGGGTCATATGACCTAGTAAGATGCCAGCCAGGGTGGCTAAAGGAGAGCTTGCATCATCCTTCCTCCAACCTTAGGCAGTGCAGCTCACAGCTCTGAAAGAGACCCCTTCCTTCCACTCGAGGAGAGGAGATGGAAGAGTAACGAGAACTTTGCCTTGCAACTTGGATACCAGCTCAGCCACATTGGATAGGGCACTGGAAAGAATTGTGACATCCCCATTCCAGGCATTAGCTCCCTGACAATATTTCTAGACACACCCTGGGCAAAAGGGAAAACCACTGCCAGAGCACTTGAGCCCTGATCAGCACTGGTAACCAGGTAGTACACAGTGAAGGAAACAATCAACAAAGTGAAGAGACAACCCATAGAATGGGAGAAAATATTTGCAAACTAACCATCTGACAAGGAATGAATAAGCAGAATATATAAGGAGCTCAAACAACTCTATCGCAAAAAATCTAATAATCTGATTTTTGAATGGGCAAAAGATCTGAATAGACATTTCTCAAAAGAAGACATACAAATAGCAAACAGGCATATGAAAAGGTGCTCAACATCATTGATCATCAGAGAAATGCAAATCAAAACCACAAGGAGATATCATCTCAGCACAGTTAAAATGGCTTTTATCCAAAAGACAGGCAATAACAAATGCTGGCGAGAATGTAGAGAAAAGGGAACCCTTATACACTATGTGTGGGAATGTAAGTTAGTACAACCACTATTGAGAACAGTTTGGAGCTTCTTCAAAAACCTAAAAATAGAGCTACAATATGATCCAGCAACCCCACTGCTAGGTATATACCCAAAAGAAATCAGGATATCCAAGAGGCACCTGCACTTCTATGCTTACTGTAGCACCATACACAATAGACAAGATTTGGAAACAACCTGAGTCCATCAACAGATGATTGGATTAAGAAAATGTGGGACTTATAAACAACGGAATACTATTCAACCATAAAAAAGAATAAGATCTTGTCATTTGCAACAACATGGACAGAACTGGAGGACATTATGTTAAGTGAAATAAGCCAGGCCCAGAAAAACTTTACATGTTCTCACTTATTTGTGGGAGCTAAAAATTAAAATAATTAAGCTCATGGAGAGAAAGAGTAGAATGAAGGTTACCAGAGTCTAGGAAGGGTAGTGGGGGTTGGGGGGCAAGTGGAGATGCTAATGAGTATTAAAAATAGTTTACAAGATTGAATAAGATTAGGATTTGATAGCACAGTGGGTGACTATAGTCAATAATAATTTAATTATAAATTTTAAAATAACTAAAACAGTGCAATTAGATTGTTTGTAACATAAAAAAAAATGCTTTTTATAAAAGGTGACAGATGTCCCATTTATCCTGATGTGATTATTACAGATTGTATGCCTGTATCAAAATATCTCATATACCCTATAAATATATATATATATATCTAATATGTACCCACAAAATTAAAAATAAACTTATTTTTTTTAAAGACAAACTCTAAAAATAGGATGAGGCATTTGTTCCAGAGGCTTCATCCACGGAAAAGGGAACATGGACAGGAAGATCCATGGCCCAAACCTAGACAATGTCCACTTTTAGATATTAGAGTTGCCTCTGCAGGCAAAAGGGTTATTGAAACTCATAAAGGACGGTTTCATCATTGGCAACACCTAAGGAAGACACTAGGGCTTGTGCAGAGAGTTAATGCGAGAAAGAAAAGTGCACTCAAGGAGCAACTCAAGGACCCAGCAGAGCCCAAATATACAAATCCTTGTGATGACATGGCTCGCCACTTCTGTGAGTGAGGCAAAGGGCTAGGGGCCACATCCTGCAGCTTTCAAGAAAGACCTAAGAGTCTGAATGCTCTAAGCATGAATAAGCATTTCACAGAATCAGAAAACGCAAAACAACCTTTGAGGCAACGCTTTTCCCTGCTACCAAAGAGCCTATGTCCCCAGCCAGGGTTCAACAGCCTAGACCAGGAACACCAGTCTCTCAGGCCACGTTCACCATAGCCCCAGGGTCTGTCTCGGGGAGTGTGCTTCTCTGGTGAGCCAGAAAATTCTCCATTATTCCCTGCTTCCAGAAAAATCTCTCAAAGAAATGCAATTAGGGAAAATTAGTTCTTACATTATCACATCTTCTGAAGAGGTTGGTCTCTATTTCTCGTAACCAGAAATAATTATTTTCAAATCTATTTGTTTTTTCTAAACGGAGTGGTATCTTCTGTCTCTGGTGTGTGTGGAGCAAAAAATTTAAGGGAATTTCAATAACTTAGGCTTAGACAAAACAAGTGTTTGACTTTAGCTCTCAAGAGCTGGCTTTGGCTCCCAGAAGGTGACTAGGTTTAGGGACCAGGTTAGGGAAGGGAGTTGACAGGGACATGGCACACTTGCCACCATCCTGAATTCCTTCATTTTACCTGTGAAGATTATCCCATTTATTTTATTATTATTTATTTTAATGTATTATACTACTGCATTATAAATAAATACATACACCCACAGACGAACATCAGCCCTTATGATCATTCAGATATTTAAACAATTAGAAAATCCAATAAAGACCAAGCCCCAAGACCTGGACCAATCATTCCTTCCTCTGCCCCTTCATTGTCTTGAACATTACACAACTTTGGGGTGGAGTACAAGGGGCTACGCAGTCATCAAAGGGCCAAAAGATACCCACTCAGCCTCCAGAATACTTCACATATTCCCAAAATGGAACTGAAACCTTAGAGGTTGTGAGGCCTTGAGCTCAGAAGCACAAGGAGAAATCCCAATAACCCTAACTCTTTTAACAAATAGTTTCCACCTGCCCCCTCAAATCTCCTTCCATCCCAAGAGGCTGAGGAGATGTACTTAGCTTAGCCTTAATTAAAAGGTACCTCTTACTGCCACCTTACCTTTCCTCTCTCTTTGCAACTCAGCCACTGAAGTCAATGCAAAGATGGCAAATGAGTCCACATACCCTCCACATCTATGTTGTCCAGGTCATCGCCATTAAAGGGCCAAGTAAAGGGGATACTGGGAAAAAAGGAGCCACAACCAAATGGAGTCATCAAAGAAGGAAGCATCAATGGCTATGGTGTAGAGAAAGGAACCACTGTCTCCAACTATTTGCCCCTGCAACTCTTCTAGAGGGGAGGATAGGCAGGAGGGGTGTGGCTCATCCTAGCCCACTATAGTTTTCTCACTAGAAAGTTTAAGTTTTCTCCTTAGCTTCCAGATCCAGGGCCTAAAGAAGCAACTCTGATCTCCTACAAAGAACTTCAGACCTGCAGAGCAAGCAAATCCTGGGAGATTATTTTCTGCTTGTTATTACATATTTAATAATATACACATTCTTCTTTTTATTTGATTCCCCCAACTTGAAGTTCAGAGAGGCCTGGTAGTCCCCATGCCTGCCAAAGAGGCAAATGAAAGGTTATGGCTTTGTCACAAGTTAACATCCTGATTAACTTCAGGGGATCTCAGAATATTCTTTGGTTCAAAGAAGAGAATATCTGCACAAACTGATAACATGTTGATAGTCAAAGCCCTTTGGTTCTTTGTGTTAACTGAAAAATTTAGTTGATGGTCAAAGGGGGCTTCTATACTCTTCAGAGAAATGTTCAGGATTAGAAGAAGGCATTTGAAAAAAAGTTAGACCTATTGAAACAATTTAAAAGGAGAACAAAATAGTACCCTTAAAAAAAAAAGTAAGAAAGTAATCAACTTCCTCTATTCCAGCTTCTGGGAATTTCAGCTCAAAGAAACATACTAAAAGTGAATAGTAAAAGAGAAAAATGCAAAAGTAAGAAATCCAGAGAGATGTCAGAGATGTCCAAAAACAGGAAATCCAGAGAGATGTCACAACAATTTAGGAAAGAGGAAGAGGGTGGCTGGCAACACGGCTGAATAGGAATAGCTCCGGTCTGCAGCTCCCAGTGAGATCAGTGCACAAAGCAGGTGATTTCTGCATTTCCAACTGAGGTCCCCAGCTCATCTCATTGGGACTGGTTAGAGAGTTGGTGCAGCCCACAGAGGTAAGCCAAAGCAGCGTGGGGCATTGCCTCACCCGGAAAATGCAAGGGGTCAGGGAACTCCCTCCCCTAGCCAAGGGAAGCCATGAGGGACTGGCTTCCCTGTGCCATGAGCAACACTGCACTCCGGCCCAGATACTACCCTTTTCCCATGGTCTTTGCAACCCGCAGACCAAGAGATTCCCTCGGGTGCCTATGCCACCAGGGCCCTGGGTTTCAAGCACAAAAGTGGGCGACTGTTTGGGCAGACACTGAGCTAGCTGCAGTTTTTTTACACACCCCAGTGGTGCATGGAATGCCAGCAAGATAGAACCATTCACTCCTCTGGAAAGGGGGCTGAAGCCAGGGAGCCAAGTAGTCTAGCTCAATGGATTCCACCCCCATGGGGCCCATCAAGCTAAGATCCACTGGCTGGAAATTCTTGCTGCCAGCACAGCAGTCTGAAGTTGACCTGGGATGCTCGAGCTTGGTATGGGGAGGGACATCCGCCATTACTGAAGCTTGAGTTGCTGGTTTTCCCCTCACAGTGTAAACAAAGCCGTCAGGAAGTTGGAACTTGGGGGTGCCCATCACAGCTCCGCAAAGCCACTGTAGCCAGAGTGCCTCTCTAGATTTCTCCTCTCGGTGCAGGGCATCTCCAACGCAGCAGCCCCAGTCAGGGGCTTATAAACTCCCATCTCCCTGAGACAGAACACTTGGGGGAAGGAGCAGCTGTGGGCACAGCTTCAGCAGACATAAACGTTTCTGCCTGCTGGCTCTGAAGAGAGCAGTGGATCTCCCAGCACAGTGCTCAAACTCTGCTAAGGGACAGACTGCTTCCTCAAGGGGGTCCCTGACCCCCAAGCCTCCTGACAGGGAGACACCTCCCAGTATACACCTCCCAGGGGTTGACAGACACCTCATACCGGAGAGCTCTGGCTGGCGTCTGGCAGGTGCCCTTCTGGGACAAAGCTTCCAGAGGAAGAAACAGCAATCTTTGCTGTTCTGCAGCCTCTGCTGGTGATACCCAGGAAAGCAGGGTCTGGAGTGGACCTCCAGCAAACTCCAGCAGACCTGCAGCAGAGGGGCCTGACTGTTAGAAGGAAAACTACAAACAGAAGGGAATAGCATCAACATCAACAAAAAGGATGTCCACACCAAAACTGCATCCAAAGGTCACCAACATCAAAGACCAAAGGTAGATGAATCCGTGAAGATGAGGAAAAACCAGCACAAAAAGGCTGAAAATTCCAAAAACCAGAAGGCCTCTTCTCCTCCAAAGGATCACAACTCCTTGCTAGCAAGGGAACAAAACTGGATGGAGAATGAGTTTGACAAATTGACAGAAGTAGGCTTCAGAAAGTTGGTAACAACAAACTCCACAAGCTAAAGGAGCATGTTCTAACCCAAAGCAAGGAAGCTAAGAACCTTGAAAACAGGTTAGAAGAATTGCTAACTAGAATAACCAGTTTAGAGAAGAACATAAATGACCCAATGGAGCTAAAAAACACAGCACAAGAACTTCGTGAAGCATACACAAGTATCAACTGCTGAATTGACCAAGCGGAAGAAAGGATATCAGAGATTGAAGATCAACTTAATGAAAAAAAGCATGAAGACAAGAATAGAGAAAAAAGAATTAAAAGGAATGAAGAAAACCTCCAAGAAATATGGGACTGGTGAAAAGACCAAACCTACGTTTGACTGGTGTACCTGAAAGTGACGGGGAGACTGGAAAAGACTCTTCAGGATATTATCCAAAAGAACTTCCCCAACCTAGCAAGACAGGCCAACATTCAAATTCAGGAAATACAAAGAATACCACAAACATACCCCTCGAGAAGAGCAACCTCAAGACACACAATTGTCAGATTCACCAAGGTTGAAATGAAGGAAAAAATGTTAAGGGCAGCCAGAGAGAAAGGTCAGGTTACCCACAAAGGGAAGCCCATCAGACTAACAGTGGATCTCTCTGCAGAAACCCTACAAGCCAGAATAGAGTGGGGGCCAATACTCAACATTCTTAAAGAAAAGAATTTTCAACCCAGAATTTCATAGCCAGCCAAACTAAGCTTCATAAGCAAAGGAGAAATAAAATCCTTTACAGACAAGCAAAGGCTGAGGGACGTTGTAACCACCAGGCCTGCCTTACAAGAGCTCCTGAAGGAAGCACTAAACGTTGAAAGGAACAACCAGTACCAGCCACTGCAAAAACATACCAAATTGTAAACCATCGACACTATGAAGAAACTGCATCAAATAATGGGCAAAATAACCAGCTAGAATCATGACAGGATCAAATTCACACATAACAATACTAACCTTAAATGTAAATGGGTGAAATGCCCCTATTAAAAGACACAGACTGGCAAATTGGATAAAGAGTCAAGACCCATCAGTGTGCAGTATTCAGGAGACCCTCTCACATGCAAAGACACACATAGGCTCAAAATAAGGGATAGAGGAATATTTACCAAGCAAATAGAAAGGAAAAAAGAAACAGGGGTTGCAATCCTATTCTCTGATAAAACAGACTTTCAACCAACAACGATCAAAAGAGACATTACATAATGGTAAAGGGATCAATGCAACAAGAAGAGCTAACTATCCTAAATATATATGCACCCAATACAGGAGCATCGAGATTCATAAAGCAAGTTCTTAGAGACCTGCAAAGAGACTTAGACTCCCACACAATAATAGTGGGAGTTTTAACACTCCACTGTCAATATTACACAGATCAACGAGACAGAAAATTAACAAGGATATTCAGGACTTGAACTCAACTCTGGACCAAGCGGACCTAATAGACATCTACAGAACTCTCCACTCCAAATCAACAGAATATACTTCTTCTCAGCACTGCATCACACTTATTCTAAAATTGACCACAAAATTGGAAGTAAAACACTCCTCAGCAAATGCAGAAGAACAGAAATCATAACAAACAGTCTCTCAGACTGCAGTGCAATCAAATTAGAACTCAGTATTAAGAAACCCACTCAAAACTCTACAACTACATGGAAATTGAACAACATGGTCCTGAATGACTACTGGAAAAATAACGAAATTAAGGCAGAAATAAATAAGTGCTTTGAAACCAATGAGAACAAAGACACAATGTACCAGAATCTCTGGGACACAGCTAAAGCAGTGTTTAGAGGGAAATTTATATCACTAAATGCCTACAGGAGAAAGTGGAAAAGATCTAAAATTGACAACCTAACATCACAATTAAAAGAACTAGAGAAGCAAGAGAAAACAAATTCAAAAGCTGGCAGAAGACAAGAAATAACTAAGATGAGAGCAGAACAGAAGGAGATAGAGACATGAAAAATCCTTAAAAAAAATTCAATGATCTGGCAGCTGGTTTTTTGAAAAGAATAACAAAATAATTAGACCACTAGCCAGACTAATAAAGAAGAAAAGAGAGAAGAATCAAATAGACACAATAAAAAGTGATATAGGGGGATAACACCAGTGATTGCACAGAAAAACACACTACCATCAGAGAATACTATAAACACACCTATACAAATAAACTAGAAAATCTAGGAGAAATGGATAAATTCCTGGACACATACACCCCCCCAAGACTAAATCAGGAAGAAGTTGAATCCCTGAATAGACCAGTAACAAGTTCTGAAATTGAGGCAGTAATTAATAGCCTACCAACCATAAAAAGTCCAGGACCAGATGGATTCACGATTCACAGCCAAATTCTACCAGAGGTACAAAGAGGAGCTGATACCATTCCTTCTGAAACCATTCCAATCGATAGAAAAACAGGGACTCCTCCCTAACTAATTTTATGAGGCCAGCATCATCCTGATACCAAAACCTGAAAGAGACACACACACAAAAAAAGAAAATTTCAGGCCAATATCCCTGACAAACATCGATGTGAAAATCCTCAATAGAATACTGGCAAACCGAATCCAGCAGCACATCAAAAAGCTTATCCACCACGATCAAGTCAGCTTTATCCCTGGATGCAAGGCTGGTTCAACATACACAAATCAATAAACGTAATCCATCACATAAAGAGAACCAATGACAAAAACCACATGATTATCTCAATAGATGCAGAAAAGGCCTTGGATAAAATTCAACACCCCTTCTTGCTAAAAACTCTCAATAAATTAGGTATTTATGGAACATATCTCAAATAATAAGGGCTATTTATGACAAATTCACAGCCAATATCAGACTGAATGGGCAAAAGCTGGAAGCACTCCCTTTGAAAACGGGCACAAGAAAAAGGTGTCCTCTTTCACCACTCCTATTCAACATAGTATTGGAAGTTCTGGCCAGGGAAATCAGGCAAGAGAAAGAAATAAAGGTATTCAAATAAGAAGCGAAGAAGTCAAATTGTCTCTGTTTGCAGATGACATGATTGTATATTTAGAAAACCCCATCGTCTCAGCCCAAAATCTCCTTAAGCTGATAAGCAACTTCAGCAAAACCTCAGGATACAAAATCAATATGCAAAAATCACAAGCATTCATATACACCAATAATAGACAAACAGAGAGCCAAATCATGAGTGAATTCCCACTCGCAATTGCTACTAAGAGAATAAAATACCTAGGAATCCAACTTACAAGGGATGCAAAGGACCTCTTCAAGGAGAACTACAAACCACTGCTCAAGGAAGTAAGAGAGGACACAAACAAATGGAAAAACATTCCATGCTCATGGATAGGAAGAATCAATATCATGAAATTGGCCGTACTGCCCAAAGTAATTTATAGATACAATGCTATCCCCATCAAGCTACCACTGACTTTCTTCACAGAATTAGCAAAAACCACTTTAAATTTCATATGGAACCAACAAAGAGCCCAGAGAGCCAAGACAATCCTAAGCAAAAAGAACAAGGCTGGAAGCATCACACTACCTGACTTCAAACTATATTACAAGTCTACAGTAACCAAAACAGCATGGTACTGGTACCAAAACAGAGATACAGACCAATGCAACAGAACTGAGGCCTCAGAAACAATGCTACACATCTATGACCATCTGATCTTTGACAAACCTGACAAAAACAAGCAATGGGGAAAGGATTCCCTATTTAATAAATGGTGTTGGGAAAACTGGATAGCCATATGCAGAAAACTGAAACTGGACCCCTTCCTTACACCTTATACAAAAATCAACTCAAGATGGATAAAAGACTTAAACATAAGACCTAAAACCACAAAAATCCTAGAAGAAAACCTAGGCAGTATCATTCAGGACATAGGTATGGGCAAAGACTTCATGGCTAAAACACCAAAAGCAATGGCAACAAAAGCCAAAATTAACAAATGGGATCAATTAAACTAAAGAACTTCTGCACAGCAAAAGAAACTATCATCAGAGTGAACAGGCAACCTACAGAATGGGAGAAAATTGTTGCAATCTATCCATCTGACAAACGGCTAATATTCAGAATCTACAAGCAACTTAAACAAATTTACAAGAAAAAAAACAAACAACCCCATCAAAAAGTGGGAGAAGGATATGAACAGACACTTCTCAAAAGAAGACATTTATGTGGCCGACAAACATGAAAAAAAGCTCATCATCACTGGCCATTAGAGAAATTCAAATCAAAATCACAATGAGATACCATCTTACACCAGTTAGAATGGCAATCATTAAAAAGTCAGGAAACAACAGGTGCTGGAGAGGATGTGGAGAAACAGGAACGCTTTTACACTGTTGGTGGGAGTGTAAATTAGTTCAACCATTGTGGAAGACAGTGTGGCGATTCCTCAAGGATCTAGAACTAGAATTACCATTGGACCCAGCAATCCCATTACTGGGTATAGACTCAAAGGATTATAAATCATGCTACTATAAAGACACATGCACACACATGTTTATTGTGGCACTACTCACAATAGCAAAGACTTGGAACCAACCCAAATGTCCATCAATGATAGACTGGATTAAGAAAATGTGGCATATATACATCATGGAATACTATGCAGTCATAAAAAAGGATGAGTTCATGTCCTTTGCAGGGACATGGATGAAGCTGGAAACCATGATTCTCAGCAAAATATCACAAGGACAGAAAACCAAACACTGCATGTTCTCACTCTCAGGTGGGAATTGAACAATGAGAACACTTGGACACAGGGAGGGAAACATCACACAACAGGGCCTGCAGGGGGTGAAGGGCTAGGGGAAGATTAGCATTAGGAAAAATACCTAATGTAGATGATGGGTTGATGGGTGCAGCAAACCACCATGGCATGTGTATACCTATGTAACAAACCTGCATGTTCTGCGCATGTATCCCAGAACTTGAAGTAAAATAAAAAAAGAAAAGAAACAGAAAGAAAACACTAAAAAAACAAAACAAAACAAAAAACTAAGAATTTTTTTAAATCCACATATAAAACAATGACAAATCTTCTGAAAGGGGCAGAGAAGTAAAAAGCCAAATGTTATAGGAAAGAGGAAGGAGGAAAAAAAGGTCAAACTCACTGGAATGAGATAGCATTAGGAAGAGATGGTCTTCCTAACATCGATTGATAAGTTAGCAAGCAAACTGCTAATATAATAGCGGAAGTGGTTTCTAAGAAAGACTGATGAATGAAACAAAGAAAGAGAATGGAGAAAATAAACAAAACATAATTACCTAAGCTCCTCCAGTTCTTTGTCCCACACTTTCTTCTACTCCGGAGAGGGAAATAAGAACTGATATTTTAATAAAGTTCGCCTGAGCTGCCTGGCTGTTCCAGCCTCATGACCTTTGCCAGAACTTAAAACAGCCTCCAAAACATTTGGCCTTTATCAGAGCTTCAGTGGATTATAAAGCAAACCATGTGTCCTATTTCATATCTAATCACAACTCACATAGGCCTTTCAGCTAAATCATAGTATCTTGGAAACTTCCAATTGGAAACAGTCATTTGAACATCTTGTCTGGAGGCAGGGAAAAGTGCACACACCCTATATAGTCTAGCTATTTGCTATGTTTGGTCTTAAATGCCTCAGGGGATGTGATTTTTTATTCTCCTCTTTGAGATATAGTCTGTCATTATTAGGACCCACTGTCAGGAGATTCTTTCTAATGCTTGCCTTCTGCTGCTAATATCTCATATTTCTCATTAGTGAGTATCTCCACCACTCTTAGAGGAGGAGTTTCCCCACCAGGAAATAAGAAAGATACCATGACAAATGTGGCTGGGGATTCTGGGGAGAACTTAGAAACTAGAGGCCAAAATATGCTTGGAAATAAATAGGTTAGGTTTCCTCCTTGTTCTGTAGACACCTTACATTGACTCCCTCATCCCCCGGGACTTCTCACTTTCTCACCTTGCATATTCTATTTTTATGTTTATATTTCTACCTCTCCCATTAAAATGGGAGTATGCAGCAGTCATGGTGGACACAATATATGATAACTGTGTGTGATTGTGAAAAGAAACTTAAATTGCATTAGTATGGGGTTTTGCTGGGTAATTTTGGTTTCTAGACATGGAAAGGATAATTCATATCATAACAGAATCATTTTAGGGCCAGGCACCAGAGTGATCCATAAGTTACCCAAATATCAAACAAAGAGCCGTGTGTTATTCTGGCCAGAAAGCTGCAAGCAGCCATTGAGACTGTACCAGCCCCAAAGCTCTGACTCTTCAGACAGATGGACCAGGAAACTCTACTGAAACTTACTGATACCCCAGCCTTGCCTCATGCTTCAGTGGGAGAAGCCAAGCCTTCCAGCATCCTTTCGCCACCAAATTCCCAGCCCATCTGTGTCCATGGCTACCTCTTGTTACTTCCTTCCTGTTAAGAGAATCAAAGGCCACTTCATGCTTTGGGCCAAGATCCTATTCCCTCTCTCACTACAGAAAGCTCATTCCTTCAGTTTCTTGTTCCCCATCCAGCAGAATCTTCTCTGCTCCCCATCAGCATTGCATATGCTCCAGTATCTCCCAGCTCAAAACACATGCAAACCACCCCCCATTTGACCCCACAGTCCTGTAAGTGCACAGCCTCATCATCTGTTCTCTTTCTCAGACAGTACTCTCACAATATGTTGTCTGCAAACATTTTCTGCACTTCCTCTCCTCTGATTCGCTCTTCAGTCCTCTGCAAATCACCAAAAGGCACCAGAGACCTCCATTTTCTCAAATCCAATGAACAATTATTTTCTCAAAAAACAACCTTCTTCTTTATGAAACACTCTCTTCACTTCCTTGCACTTGTCAAAGAAAAACCAGAGCTGGATAGTAGTTGAAGCAGTAAAAACAGCTTTTATTCAGGACTATTGCAATAGGGGGAAAGGAATCTCGGTGTAGAGTTGGGCTCAATTCCAAACACAATATAGGCAACTGGGAATTCACAGCCAAGGAGCAGGGTGAGGGTCTCTGGATGGAAAATTACTAACAGGGAGCACTGGGGAAAAGGGGACTCTGGCTATACCTAACTAATAGGAATCTTGCTAAAGACAAAGGAAGGTGATCAGACATCACTTGGGGGATGGTGGAGGATAGGAGGATTAGATAGATATCAAGGTGATCAGATAGGGAGGACAGGGTGGAGGGGTTCTTAATAAACTGGCATGGAAGGGGTTTTGCTAAAATTGGACTTTATAATTACAGAGATGGGTTCAAACAAAGGTTCAGGAGCCGGATTAAAGTTTGGTCAAGCACATAATCTTTTCCACACTCTCTTCTTTTTTTTTCTTCGCATCTCTCAGATTCTTTGTCACTCTCAATTGCTGGCCCCACCTCTTCCACCCAAACTGTGGGAGTGGCTCAGGACTCAGTCCTACGCCTACTCCTTTTCTTACACTACCCTGTGCATAGAGAATTCCATCTAATCCCATAATTTTAAATAAATATGCCAATGCCTCCAAAAGTTCTATCTCCAGTCCTGATCCTCTGGGCTCCAGAACAATCTACAACTGCCCATTTAACATTTCCACGACTATATCTGAGAGATATCTCAAACTTTAGATGTCCATAACAGAACTCTTAATTTTCCAAGTCTTCCCCCAATGTTCACCCAACCAAGCCACTCCCCAGCCTTTCCTCAGATGCTACGGCCTCTCCCCAGTTTCTCAAGCCTGAAGTCTGAATCATTCTTGACGCCCTTCTTTTCCTACTCCCTACATCTAACTCAACTTCATATCGTGTTGATTTAAAATCCAAAACATATTTTAAAATCTGTCAACTTCTTTCCATCTTATATCTTGTAAATGGTCTCCTTGCACCCATTCCTGTCCCTTCTCATACATTTCCACACATCAGCCAGGTTATCTTTAAAAACCATCTGACTACATTAGTCCTCTGCTCATCCTTGTATTCCACATGGAATATTAATTCCTTACCACTACAGCCTTTCATGATGTGGTTCTATCTGCCTCTCTAACTTCCCTGTGGCTCCCTGCACTCTGGCTTCATGGGGTGCACTGCAGGAAAGCTAAGAACCACATTTCCCCCAATCCTCCTTGCAGCTAGAGACCAGCATGTGATTTAATTCTGCCAGTTAGAAGCACCTGTCTGAGACTTAGCTTTGGGCCTGAGTTTAGTAGGGGAAAGAGAGAGACAAGATGATGTGTACATTTTGTTGACCAGAATCAGTGTGGATCTGCAGTCATTGGCTTCCAGATTTGGTGGTTTGCTGCAGTATTAGCAGCTTTCCCAATCACAGAAGAAACAGTATGGTTCCAGGAAATGCTAAGAGCAGATTTTCTGGAAGCTCTGCCTACACTCTCAGCTTTAGGGTTTCCCCTCCTGCTCTTGCAATGGCTTAGTAAACCACTGAGTACCTGATAAATCTCTTCTTCCTGAAACTAGCTAAAATGGCTTCTATTTCTGCAATTGAACTCTAACAGATGAACTGACAGACTGAGTTATTTAACTGAACTAAGACTATGGTTTAGAAAGTAAAGTTTTTTGATCATTCTGCATGAATTTGAACCCCCATTCCAATACTTACACACTATATGACCTTAGATAAATTGCTTAATCTCTCCAGCTTCAGCTTTACTCATTTGTAGAATAGGAATAAAAATAGTATTTTGGCCCAGGCATAGTGGCCCACACCTGTAATTCCAGCACTTTGGGAGGCAGAGGTGGGATAATTGCTTGAGGCCAAGAGTTTTGAGACCAGCCTGGGCAACATAGTGAGACCCTATCTCTGCAAAATATTTAATTTTAAAAATTAACTGGGCATGGTGGTGTGCACCTGTATTCCTGGCTACTTGGGGTGCTGAGATGGAAAGATCACTTGAGCCCAGGACTTGGAGGCTGCAGTGAGCTATGATTGTACCATAGCACTCTAGCCTGGGTGACAGAATAAGACCCTGTTTCTAAAAAAGCATAACATTTACCCCAGAAAGTGTTTGAGGATTAAATGACATAATAATGGTAAAGCACTTAATATAGTATCTGGCATATAATAAGAGTTCACTAAATGTTAACTTTTATAATTACTATGATTAAGTATTATTATTTCCTTACCCTGGCCCTTGCAATTTGCTCTTCCTTATGCTGGGAGTGTTTTTCTGTCTGAACTACCCCAAGTTTACTCCTACTTATCCTTCAAGTTTCAGTTTATCTAGCACTTACCCAAAAATTACTTTCTTGGTCCATTTCAACTATACCACCCCCACTAGTTTTTTCTCATAATGGCGTTTTTCCCTCAGAGAACTCATGAAGATTTGCGATCATGTATTTTTTTGTATGTTCGTGTATCTACTGCTAATTCCCCCATGGAGCTACAAGTTTCAGGAAGAGGAGTCATGACTGCATGTGCCCCATCAGGTGCCAGCACCCAGCTTGACATTTTGCTCCATACGTAAAGGACCTCAGTAAATGCTTTTCAGATGAATGGCCCAGCCCTCCTGGTGGCAAATATAACAGAAATTGCTAATGATACAGAGAAATGCATCACCAACACATTCTAACATAAAGAACACAGGTTTTCTTTGCCATGAAACAGCCCAAAATAAACTCAAGGAACTATCTGTAAATATTCTTTATAATATTAAGCTACCTGTTGATAGTACTCTACAGTTTTCCAAGCCCTGTTACATGTATGTATGTATGTATGTATGTATGTATGTATGTATGTATGTATTTTGAGACAAGGTCTCACTCTGTTGCTCTGGCTGGAGTGCAGTAGTATGGTCACAGCTTACTGTAGCCTCAACCTCTTGGGTTCAGGTGATCCTCCCGCCTCAGCCACCCAAGTAGCTGAGACTACAGGCACATGCCACCACGCCTGGCTAATGTTTTTCATTTTCAGTAGAGACAAGGTCTTGCCACGTTTCCCAGGCTGAACTTGGCTCAAGCGGTCCTCTTGTCTCAGCCTCCCAAAGTGCTGAGATTACAGGTGTGAGCCACTGCACTTGGGCAGATATATTAATTCTTTTAATACTTATGACAAACCAATTACCTTTTGATTTCATCTTACAGAAAACGAAATGGAATCTCCAAAGGGTGTGAATCATGCCTAACATAACACAAATAGGAAGCAGCACATTTCATGAATCACCGACCCTGGCTTTGCCACTTTTTGCTGTGTGGCCTTGGGCAAATTGCTCAACTTCTCTGAGATGTTTTCCTCATCTGTGAAAAGGAAATAATAATAATACTTTTGTTGTGAAGATTAAAGATTATACGTAGAACATCTGAGATGTGCACTGGGTAAACAACAGAGAACCCAGATGTTATCATTATCATCATCATTGTTACATCGCTCAGTTTCACTCAGCAAGATGGCAAATCAGGTTTCTCTGAGGCAGGAGAATAGGATCTGGAGGCAGGGAACCTAAGGCCATTTCACACAGACTTCCTAGAACCAAATTGAAAGGAAAACCCTTACTTTCCATGCCTAAGTAATAAAAGGACAAGAGGCTACTCCCTTTGCAAACCCCCACCTTTGCTCCGCAGCAAATGGGAAATTGGCTGTCCACAACCAATCAGACTGACGGCAGGCCAACTCTTCGTTTGCATAGAAGTGCAGCTTTGTAACTTCACCTTACCCTGTGATTGATTGCTTTTTGCAGCCAATCAGATGTTTGCACAGGAGTGTGACCTTTGTAACTTTAATTCAGCCTCTCATTGGTTGCTTTGCACAACCAATCAGACTGACTGCGGGCCACCACTTCATCTACATGAGGTGACCACCAAGGGGCCAATGGGAAACCTGTAGAGGGTGTTTGAAGCCGAGAAGATGCTGTATCTTGGACCTTGAGCCACTGCTCAGGCCTTCTGCCACACTGTGGAGTGTACTTTCATTTTCAGTAAGTCCCTGCTTTCTTCTTTCATTGCTTCCTTCTTCCTTTGCTTTGCTGGGTGTTTTGTCCAATTCTTTGTTCAAAACACTAAGAACCTGGACAACTCGCAGTCAAGATCCTCTAATGGTAACATCTCCACAAGATCTTTAGATTCTAGACCATTGAAACCTTAGAATGACATGCATCCTTCACTTTGTTAACTGACAGAGTTAGTCCCCACATATCCAGCACAGATACACAAATCAGCTTGTTTCATCTCTGCAATTCGATTTTCACTCCTTGATTGTAGGGACTAGAAAGCCTCATTTTTCTAGGGTGCTTTGGATGTAGGTTTTGATTATTTATCAATGAATGAGTAATAAACAAGAAAAAAAATTGCTATGGACAGGAAGTCCAAAGAGCTTCAAAAAACCAGTCCTATTTCAGAAAGATTTCCATAAGGGAGATGATCCAAATCAGAGCCAAAGGTCCTGGGCCCCACGCTCAGAACTTTTTAAGCCTTAGGCCAGAAGAACCAAATAGTCCTGTGTTCTGTTTCTGGGGAGAAATCAACTCTCTGATGAGTACACTGTTAGGCAGAGTGCCACAAACAACAATTGCGGTTTTTGCTGTCACTCAGACTGACCTGGTTAAACCATTATGGAGCAGGTATGACTAGCACAGGGAACTCAGTGAAGAGAGGACAGGTGGCAAAAATTAGGAGACCAGGTAATAGGAGTGAATCCAGAGGTTCCCATTTTCAGCATCCTCTAGATACCATCTGCTATAACCACAAATAAATTGTACACAACAAATGCTTTCAAAGGGATTATGAGTGTTCCCGGTTCCTCCCCCAGGACTATGACTTCAACATCTTGAATATCCATATTAATAAGGATCCCTGGTTTTAATTCTACAAGATTGACCACAATATTTCCTGTTTGCAGCTCAGCTGAACACAATGGATGGGATTCAGAACTCCTACTCCCCCACGATACCATGTCTCAGGGCTTGAAGGGGCTTCCCATTGAGGTCCCAGGCCATTGTGTTTCCACACTGACAAGTGAAAACCCCTTCACAGTAGAAAGACTACTCAGAAATGGTGGAAGGCAGGGAATTTGTCACCTACATTATGACCTTAAACCAATCTCTGCTGTATTGCTTCAGAATTTCATATCTTAATCACAAAAATGCCAGCTTCTATGCTGCGAAATCAGTTAATGACTTAACATAAAAACAGCCTTACATTTTGCCAAGCACTATGCTAGATTTCAAGGAAATTAACTCCTTAATCTTTATCACAACCAAGTGAAGTAGGTACTATAATTATCTCTATTTTACAGATGACAAAATAGAGGCTTAGAAAAGTTAAGTAACTTTTTGGAGGTCACACAGCTAGTTAGCAACAGAAAGAATACTCAAACTCAGGTCAATCTGACCTCAAAACTATCCTTAGTAGATTTCTATACAAGGTTCTCTCATTTCCCTAGGCCACACTGGGGAGGGTCTGCAGCTTCACTCCTGAAGCCAGCGAGACCAGAGACCCATCGGTAGGAATGAACAACTCAGGACACACCACCTTTAAGAACTGTAACACTCACTGCGAAGGTCTGCAGCTTCACTCCTGGAGCCAGCAAGACCACAAATCCACCGGGAGGAAGGAACAACTCAGGATGCACCACCTTTAAGAGCTGTAACAATCACGGCAAAGGTCTGTGGCTTCACTCCTGAGGCCAGCAAGACCATGAACTCACCAGAAGGAAGAAACTCCGGACACATCTGAACATCTGAAGGAACAACCTCCAGACACACCATCTTTAAGAACTGTAACACTCACCGTGAGGGTCCACGGCTTCATTCTTGAAGTCAGCGAGACCAAGAACCCACCGGAAGGAACCAATTCCGGACACAATATCACCCCCTCTCCCTCCCTGAATATTACGAGCCATATGACAGGGGTGTGTCCACCCTCAGCCATATGGAGCATAATATCACCACCCTCTCCCTCTCTGGATACTATGAGCCATATGACAGGGGGTGTCCACCTCCCACCATATGGGGTGTAATATCACCTCCCTCTCCACCCCGATAAGGGGGGTGTTTACACAGCGTGTCTACAGTATTGGGAGTAATATCATATCCCCCTTTTGAAATTATGAACAATATGAGAGGAGGGTGTACAGCACCTGCGATATTGGGAGTAATATTATCCTCTCACTTCCCTAGATATTAAAACAAATCACAAAAGAGGCGTACACCCTCCACGATATTGGGAGTAATATCATCCTCTCCTCCCCTGGATATTAGGACAAATATCACAGAGGGGTGTACACCTCTTTCTATATTAGTATTAATATCACCCCCTCCCCACCTTGATATTAGAAGAACTATCACTGGGTGTATACTCCCGATGCTGGGAGTAATATTATCCTCTCCCCCCGCCCAGATATTAACAATATCAGAGGGGGTGTATACCTTTGCGATATTGGGATTAATAGCATCCCCTCTCCACCTGGATGTTACGAACAATATCACAAAGGGGATTGTACAGTCCCTGTGATATTGGGAGTAATATTGTCATCTCCCGTTTTAAATATAATGAACAGTATCACAAGGAGGGTATACACCCCTGCCATATTGGGAATAATATCCTCTCCTTTTGTAAATTTTAGGAACTATGTCACAGGGGAGGTGTACACCCCCTGCTATATTGGGAGTAATATCATTCTTTCCTCCCTGAATACTAAAAACAATACAACGGTGGGGATGTACACCTGCGATACTGGGAGTAATAACATCCTCTCCCTTACTGGTTATTAGGAAAAATATCACAGAGGGTGTGTACACCCTCTGCGATATTGGGAGTAATATCATACAGTACCCCCCTGGATATCAGAGACAATATCACAGGGGAAACGTACATTTACTGTGATATTGGGAGTAATGTCATCCTCCTTCCATTGGATACTGGAACAATATCACTGGGAGGGTGTACAACCCATGTGATATTGGAAGGAATATCATCCTCTTACCTCATGGTTATTAGAAACAATACCATGGGGGGGTGTGCACCTTCTTCAATATTAAGAGTAATTTCATTTTCTTCCCTCCTGGCTATTACAAACAATATCACAGGGAGTTGTACAGCCCCTGCAATACTGAAAGTAGTATCACCCTCTCCCTCTTTGAGTATTAGGGAAAACATCACAAGGGCGGTGTACACTTTCTGCAATATTGGAATTAATATCACCCTCTCACCCCTTGGATATTAGGAACAATAGCACAAAGGGGGTGTACACCGCCTGTGATTTTGGGAATCATTTCATCCTCTTCCCTTTGAATATTAGAAAAAATATTATAGAGCGGATGTACACCCCCTGAGATATTGGGTGTAATATCATCCTCTTCCCCCCTGGATTTCAAGAACAATATCACAGGGGCATGTACACCCTGCAATATTGAGAGTAATATCATCCTCTCCCCACCTGGATATTAGGAAGAATATCATGGGGGGGTGTACACCCCTGCGATACTGGGAATAATATTGTCATCTCTCTCTCTAAATATTAGGAACAATATTACAAGGAGGGTATAAACCCCCTTGTAATATCATCCTCTAGCTTTCTGGATATTAGAAACAACATCTCAAAAGCGGTATACAATCCCCTCAATATTAGGAGTAATGCCATCCTCTCCCTCCCTGGATATTAAAAACAATATTATGGGGGCAGGATGTAAACCCCCTGTGATATTAGGAATAATATCATCCTCTCCCCCTCTGGATATTACGAACTATATCACAGGGGAAGTTGACGCCCCATGCGATTTTCGGGGTAATATCAGGCTCTCCCTTTTGAATACTGGGAACAATATCACAAGGGGGTGTACAACCCCTGCAATATTAATAGTAATGTTATTCTCTCTCCCCCTGGATATTAGGAACAATATCACAGGTGGGGTGTACACCCTGTGCCATATTGGTAGTAATATCTTCTTCTCCCTTCCTGGATATCAGAAATGAAGTCATGGGGGGTGTACACCTGCTGCAATATTGGGTATAATAAATTCCTTTCCCCCCCTGTATATTAGAAACGATACCACAGCAGGGGTGTACACCCCATGCGACATGGGGAGTAATAGCATCCTCTCCCCTACTGGATGTTAGAAACAATATCACAGGGGCGGTGTACAGCCCCTGCGATATTTGGATTAATATTATCATTTTCCCCCATGAATATTAGAAACAATATCACAAAAGGGGTGTACACCTTCTGCGATATTTGTAGTAATATCATCCTCTCCCTCCCTGGATAATAGGAACAACATCACAGAAAAGGTGTACACCCCCTGCGACATTGAAAGTAATATCATCCTCTCTGCCCGTGGAAATTAGGAATATTATCACAGGGGGGTGTACACCCTCTGCGATATTGGGAGAAATGTCATTCTTTCCCAATCAGGATAGTACGAACAAAACCATGGGGGGCGGGGTGTACACCTTCTGCTATTTGGGGAGTAATATTATCCTTTTCCACCCTGGCTATGTAGAACAATATCACAGAGAGGGGTACACCCGCTGTGATATTGGGAGTAATATCATCCTCTCTCTTTCTGAATATTAGGTACAATATCACAGGGTTGTTTACCCCTTCTGCAATATTTAAAGTAATATCATCTTCTTCCCCCATGGATATTAGAAACAATATCACTGAGAGGGTGTACACCCCATACAATATTGTAAGGAATATCATCCTCCACCCTCATGGTTATTAGAAACAATATCGCATGGGGGGTGTACACATTCTCTAATATGGAGAGTAACTTCATCCTCTATCTCTCCTGGATATTACAAACAATATCAGACAGGGTTGTGCATACCCTGTGATATTGAAAGTAATAACCTCTCCCTCTCTTAATATTAGGAAAAATATCACAAAGGGGGTGTACACTTTCTGTGATATTGGAATTAATATCACCCTCTCAGCCCCTGGATATTAGAAACAATATTCCAGTGGGGGTGTACACCCTCTGCGATATTGGGAGTAATATTGTTCTCTCCCCCCACTCGATATTAAAAACAATATCACAAGAGGTAGTGGACGCCCTCTGCGATATTTGGAGTAATATCATCCTGTCCCCACCCCCACCTATTGGGAACAATATCACAGGAAGTGTGTATAACCCTTGCGATGCTGGGAGTAATATCGTCCTTTTTGCCCCTGTATATTAGGAACAATATCACAGAAGGGTGTAAATCCCCTGAAATATTGGGGGTAATATCATCCTCTCCTCAGAAGGATGTACACCCTCTGAGATATTGCGAGTAGTATCATCCTCTCACCCCACGGATAGTACAAACAATATCACAGGGGGGTGTACACACAGGGTGCTTACGATATTGGGATTGATATCATCCTCCCCCCTCCCAGATACTGCGAGCAATATCACAAGGGACTGTACACCTTCTGCCATATTTGGAGTAATATCATCCTGTTTCCCCCTGGATATTATGAACAATATCACAGAAGGGTGTACATCCCCTGCGATATTGGGAGAAATATCATCCTCTCCCATTCTGGATATTGCAAACTATAACACAGGGGGTGTAAATCCCCGGCAATATTTGCAGTGATATCATCATCCTCTTCCCCCCGGATGTTACAAACAATATCACAGGAGGGGGTACACTCCCTGGAATATGGAGAGTAATATTATCCTCTTTCTCCCTGGATGTTATGAACAATATCACAGGGGGTTGTACACCTGCAGCAATATTGGGAATAATATTATCCTCTAACCCCCTAGGTATCATATCCCTTCCTGGATATTATGATATCATAGAGAAGGGCACACCCCCTCCGATAGGGGGAGCAATAACATCCTCACTCCTCCTCAATATTAAGAACAATATCACAGAGGAGTCTACCCCTTCTGTGATTTGGGGAGAAATGTCATTTCCCCCTCCTCTGGATAGTACAAACAATATCGCTGGAAAGTGTATACCCCCTGCAATACTGAGAGTAATATTATCCACTCCCCCCTCGAATATTAGGAACAATATCACATGGGAGGTGGACACCCCTGCAATACTGGGAGTAATATCATCCTCTCCCGTTGGGAATCACTCAGGATGGTGGCAGAAATATTAAAGGGAAATATTAGAGAAAGTTACAGGGAAGAGTCACAAACCTTTTGGAAGGTCGAAAGGTTACCTAACTTGTACTAATTGAACAGGCTGAAGGCAGCCGGATCTCACCTTAGAGCATTAGGTCATAGGGCAAATACTAGGGACAACAGAGGCTTCCCCAGGTAAGTCTGTTTACCCTACCTCCATTAACTAACCTTTGAGCCAGATGGCCCTCTGGCGGGGAGGTAGACCAGGGAAACTGCCCCCGATGGTATTTACTTTAGACCTTGGTACCTGAGCTTTAAACATTTGTAAAACTACTCTCTTAACCATGTTAATTATCCACAAGTGTGTTTACTCAAAGCTTCTGTTGTTAATTCTATACTAAATAAATGCCTGGAGTATGAGCTCCTCAGGGTATCAGTGAATGAAGAACAAATTAATGAAAGAAAGTGAGAAGACAAGTTTAGGGAAAAAAGAGCAAAAAGAAATGAACAAAGCCTCCAAGAAATATGGGACTATATGAAAAGATCAAATCTACATTTGATTGGTGTACCTGAAAGTGACGGGGAGAATGGAACCAAGTTGGAAAACACTCTGCAAGATAATATGCAGAAGAACTTCCCCAACCTAGCAAGACAGGCCAACATTCAAATTCAGGAAATACAGAGAACACCACAAAGATACTCCTCAAGAAATGCAACCACAAGACACAAAATTCACAAAATTGTCAGATTCACCAAAGTTGAAATGAAGGAAAAAATGTTAAGGGCAGCCAGAGAGAAAGGTCGGGTTACCCACAAAGGGAAGCCCATAAGACTAACAGCAGATCTCTCGGCAGAAACTCTACAAGCCAGAAGAGAAGTGGGGGCCAATATTCAACATTCTTAAAGAAAAGAATTTTCAACCCAGAATTTCATATCCAGCCAAACTAAGCTTCATAAGTGAAGGAGAAATAGAACACTTTACAGACAAGCAAATGCTGAGAGATTTGGTCACACCAGGCCTGCCTTACAAGAGCTCCTGAAGGAAGCACTAAACATGGAAAGGAACAACAGGTAACAGCCACTACAACAACAGGTCAAATTGTAAAGACCATCGAGGCTAGGAAGAAACTGCATCAACCAACAAGCAAAATAACCAGCTAACATCATAATGACAGGATCAAATTCACACATAACAATATTAACCTTAAATGTAAATGGGCTAAATGCCCCAATTAAAAGACACAGACTGGCAAATTGAATAAGGAGTCAAGACCCATCAGTGTGCTGTATTCAGGAGACCCATCTCACGTGCAGAGATGCACATAGGCTCAAAATAAAGGGATGGAGGAAGATCTACCAAGCAAACGGAAAGCGAAAAAAAAAAAAAGCAGGAGTTGAAATCCTAATCCCTGATAAAACAGACTTTAAACCAACAAAGATCAAAAGAGACAAAGAAGGCCATTACATAATGGTAAAGGGATCAATTCAACAAGAAGAGCTAACTATCTTAAATATATATGCACCCAACACAGGAGCACCCAGATTCATAAAGCAAGTCCTTAGAGACCTACAAAGAGACTTAGACTCCCACACAATAATAATGGGAGATTTTAACACCCCACTGCCAATATTAGACAGATCACTGAGACAGAAGGTGAACAAGAATATCCAGGACTTGAACTCAGCTCTGCGCCAAGCAAACCTAATAGACATCTACAGAACTCTCCACCAAAAATCCACAGAATATACATTCTTCTCAGCACCACATCACACTTATTCTAAAATTGACCACACACTTGGAAGCAAAGAACTTCTTAGCAAATGTAAAAGAACAGAAATCACAACAAATTGTCTCTCAGACCACAGTGCAATCAAATTAGAACTCAGGATTAAGAAACTCACTCAAAATCGCACAACTACATGGAAACTGAACAACCTGCTCCTGAATGACTACTGGGTACATAACGAAATGAAGGCAGAAATAAAGATGTTCTTTGAAACCAATGAGAACAAAGACACAACGTACCAGAATCTCTGGGACACGTTTAAAGCAGTGTGTTGACGGAAATTTATAGCACTAAATCCCCACAAGAGAAAGCAGGAAAGATCTAAAATCGACACCCTAACATCACAATTAAAAGAACTAGAGAAGCAACAGCAAACAAATTCAAAAGCTAGCAGAAGGCAAGAAATAACTAAGATCACAGCAGAACTGTATGAGATAGAGACACAAAAAAACCCTTCAAAATATCAATGAATCCAAAATATCAATGAATCAAAATATCAATGATCTTTTTTGAAAAGATCAACAAAATTGATAGACTGCTAGGAAGACTAATAAAGAAGAGAGAAGAATCAAATAGATGCAATAATAAATGATAAAGGGGATATCACCATCAATCCCAAAGAAATACAAACTACCATCAGAGAATGCTATAAAAACCTCTATGCAAATGAACTAGAAAATCTAGAAGAAATGGATAAATTCCTGGACACATACACCCTCCCAAGACTAAACTAGGAAGAAGTGGAATCTCTGAATAGACCAATAACAGGCTCTGAAATTGAGGTAATAATTAATAGCCTACCAACCAAAAAAAGTCCAGGACCAGACAGATTCACAGCCGAATTCTACCAGAGGTACAAACAGGAGCTGGTATCATTCCTTCTGAAACTATTCCAATCAACAGAAAAAGAGGGAATCCTCCCTAGCTCATTTTTATGAGGCCAGCATCATCCTGATACCAAAGCCTGACAAGGACACCACAAAAAAAGAGAATTTTAGGCCAATATCCCTGATGAACATCGATGTGAAAATCCTCAATAAAATACTGACAAACTGAATCCAGCAGCACATCAAAAAGCTTATCCACCACGATCAAGTTGGCTTCATCCCTGGGATGCAAGGCTGGTTCAACATACACAAATCAATGAACATGATCCATCACATAAACAGAACCAATGACAAAAAACACATGATTATCTCAATAGATGCAGAAAAGGCCTTTGACAAAATTCAACAGCCCTTCATGCTAAAAACTCTCAATAAACTAGGTATTGATGGAACGTATCTCATAATAATAAGAGCTATTTATGAAAAACCCACAGCAAATATCATACTGAATGGGGAAAAACTGGAAGCATTCCCTTTGAAAACTGGCACAAGACAGGGATGCCCTCTCTCACCACTCCTATTCAACATAGTGTTGGAAGTTCTGGCCAGGGCAATCAGGCAAGAGAAAGAAATAAAGGGTATTAAATTAGGGAAAGAGGAAGTTGGATTGTCCTTCTTTGCAGATGACGCGATTGTATATTTAGAAAACCCCATCGTCTCGGCCCAAAATCTCAAGCTGATAAGCAACTTCAGCCAAGTTTCAAGATACAAAATCAATGTGCAAAAAATCAAAAGCATTCGTATACACCAATAACAGACAAACAGAGAGCCAAATCATGAGTGAACTCCCATTCACAACTGCTACTAAGAGAATAAAATACCTAGGAATCCAACTTACAAGGGATGTGAAAGACCTCTTCAAGGAGAACTACAAACCACTACTCAATGAAATAAAAGAGGAAACAAACAAATGGAAGAACATTCCATGCTCATGGATAGGAAGAATCAATATCATGA
Organism: Homo sapiens; assembly: GCF_000001405.40. Classification (NCBI taxonomy): domain Eukaryota; kingdom Metazoa; phylum Chordata; class Mammalia; order Primates; family Hominidae; genus Homo; species Homo sapiens. The sequence goes on from NC_000009.12 coordinate 14,971,526, forward strand.
AAATGGCCACACTGCCCAAGGTAATTTACAGATTCAATGCCATCCCCATCAAGCTACCACTGACTTTCTTCACAGAATTGGAAAAAACTACTTTAAAGTTCATATGGAACCAAAAAAGAGCCTGCATTGCCAAGACAATCCTAAGCCAAAAGAACAAAGATGGAGGCATCAAACTACCTGACTTCAAACTGTACTACAAGACTACAGTAACCAAAACAGCATGGTACTGGTACCAAAACGCATGGTACTGGTACTAAAACAGATATATAAACCAATGGAATAGAACACAGGACTCAGAAATAACACCACACATCTACAACCATCTGATCTTTGATAAACCTGACTAAAACAAGAAATGGGGAAACGATTTCCTCTTTAATAAATGGTGCTGGGAAAACTGGCTAGCCATATGTAGAAAGCTGAAACTGAATCCCTTCCTTACACCTTATACAAAAATTAATTCAAGACGGATTAAAGACTTAAATGTTAGACCTAAAACCACAAAAACCCTAGAAGAAAACCTAGGCAATACCATTCAGGACATAGGCATGTGCAAGAACTTCACGTCTAAAACACCATAAGCGATGGCAACAAAAGCCAAAATAGACAAATGGGATCTCATTAAACTAAAGAGCTTCTGCACAGCAAAAGAAACTACCATCAGAGTGAAGAGGCAACCTACAGAATGGGAGAAAATTTTTGCAATCTACCCATCTGACAAAGGTCTAGTATCCAGAATATACAAAGAACATAAACAAATTTCCAAGAAAAAAACAACCCCATCAACAAGTGGGCGAAGGATATGGACAGACAATTCTCAAAAGAAGACATTTATGCAGCCAAAAGACACATGAAAAAATGCTCATCACTGGCCATCAGAGAAATGCACATCAAAACTACAATGAGATACCATCTCACTCCAGTTAGAAAGGCAATCATTAAAAAGTGAGGAAACAACAGGTGCTGGAGAGGATGTGGAGAAATAGGAATGCTTTTACACTGTTGGTGGGACTGTAAACTAGTTCAACCATTGTCGAAGACAGTGTGGTGATTCCTCAAGGATCTAGAACTAGAAATACCATTTGACCCAGCGATCCCATTACTGGGTATATACCCAAAGGATTATAAATCATGCTGCTATAAAGACACATGCAAATGTATGTTTATTGTAGCACTATTCACAATAGCAAAGACTTGGAACCAACCCAAATGTCCATCAATGATAGACCGGATTAAGAAAATGTGGCACATATACACCAAGGAATACTATGCAGTCATAAAAAAGGATGAGTTCATGTCCTTTGCAGGGACATGGATGCAGCTGGAAACCATCATTCTGAGCAAACTATTACAAGGACCGAAAACCAAACACCACATGTTCTCACTCATAGGTGGGAATTGAACAATGAGATCACTTGGACACAGGGCAGGGAACATCACACACTGGGGCCTGTCGTAGGGTGGGGGAATGGGGGAGGGATAGCATTAGGAGAAATACCTAATGTAAATGACGAGTTAATGGGTGCAGCAAACCAACATAGCACATGTATACCTACGTAACAAACCTGCATGTTGTGCACATGTACCCTAGAACTTAAAGTATAATAATAAAAAAAAAGAGGAATATCATCTTCTTCTCCCCTGAATATTAAAAACAATATCACAGAAGAATGGACACCCTCTGCAATATTAGGAGTAATATCCTCTTCCCTTCTGGATATTACAAACAATATCACATGGAGTGTACACCCCCTGCGATATTGGGAGTAATATCATCCTCTTCCCCCTGGATATTAAAAATAATATCACAGGGGAATGTACACCCCCTGCTATATAGGGAGTGATATTATCCTCTACCCCCTTGGATATTATGAACAATGTCACAGGGGGTGTACATCCCCTGCGATACTGGAGGTAACACCATCCTCTACTCACCTTGATATTATGAACAATATCACAGAAGGGTGTACATCCCCTGTGATATTGGGAGTAATATCATCCTCTCCCCCCCAGATATTAGCAACAATATCACAGGGGCGTGTACACCCCCTGCGATATTGGAAGTAATATCATTGTCCGCCCCCCACCAGATATTTCAAATGATATCACAAGAGGGGTGAACACTCCCTGCGATATTGGGAGTAATATCATACTCTCCACCCCTGGATATTATTAACAATATCACAGGGTGGTTTACACCCCTTGCGATATTGGGAGTAATATCATCCTCTGCCACCCTGGATATCACGAACAATATCACAGAAAATGTACGCAAAGGGTGTTTACAATATTAGGAGTAATATTATCTCCCCCCTGGATATTACAAACAATATCGCAGTGGGGTGTACACCCCCTTTGATATGGGGAGTAATATCATCCTCTCCCCCTCTGAATATTACAAACAATATTGCAGGGGTGTGTACATCCCCTGCGATATGTGGAGTAGTATCATTTTCTCTCCCCTTGAATATTACGACAATATTGCAGAGGAGTGTACACACCCAGCGATATGGGGAGTAACATCATCTCCTCCCCCTGTGGATATTACAAACATATCGCAGGGCTGTGTACACCCACTGCGGTATGGGGAGTAACATCATCCCCCGGATATTACAAACAATATCGCAGGGGTGTGTATATTCCTTGCGATATAAAGAGTAACATCATCCTCTCCCCTCCTGGTTATTACCGACAATATTGCAACACCCCCTGCGATATCGGGAGTCATATCATCCTCTCCCTCCCTTGATATTACGGTCAATATCGCAGGTTATTTACAGGGAGTAACATCATCCTCTTCCCCTGCATATTACAAACAATATCTCGGGGGGGTGTACACTTTTTGCGATATGGGGATTAACATCATCTTCTCCTTCCCTAAATATTACAAACAATATTGCATGGGGGTGTACACCAATATCGCATGGTGGTGTACATTCTCTTACCTAAGGGAGATATTACTCCCAATATCACAGTAGGTTATTTGTAATAGCTAAAGGAGATATTACTTCTAATATCATAGTAGGTGTCCACCCTGTGATTTCATTTGTATTATCTAAGGAAAATATTACTCCTAGGATCACAGTGAGTTTATACACTGTATGTACACCCTTTGATATTATTTGTACTATCTAAGGAGGATATTACTCCTAATATTACAGTAGTTACACACCCTGTGATAATATACGTGATATTTAAGCGAGATATCACTCCTAATATCACAGTGGGTGTACACCCTGTGATATTATTCATAATATCTAAGGGAGATATTACTTCTAATTTCACAGTGGGGATACGTCCTATGATATTATTTGTAATATCTCAGGGAGCTATTACTCCTAATGTCACAGTGTGTGTACACCCTATGATGTTATTCATAATATCTAAGAAAGATATTACTTCTCATATCACAGTGGGTGTACTACACCCTGTGATATTATTCATAATATCTAAGGATTACATTACAGCCCAGGCTGTAATGCAGTGGCTCCACCTCGGCTCACTGCAACCTCTACCTCCTGCATTCAAGCGATTCTCCTGCCTCAGCCTCCTGAATAGCTGGGATTACAGGCACGTGCCACCATCCCCAGCTAATTTTGTAGAATTATAGTAGAGATGGGGTTTCATTTTGTTGGGAAGGCTGGTCTCGAACTCCTTACCTCAAGTGATTCACCTGCCTCGACCTTCCAAAGTGCAGGGATTACAGGCGTGAGCCACCACACCCAGCCTGACACTGAGCTTTTTCAAAAGCCACTTTTGCATATATGCCATCTCTGGTTGACCAGCACCCTTTTAAGAACAGAATCTGCCCAGAGACCAAGTCACTGGCCAAGAAGGAGGAGACAGAAGCACTGACATGCTCGCAGGGATGAGGAAGCCAAATAACTCACTTTCCTGTCCGTGTTTCTGCCTTCCAAATCAGATGGAGAAAAATGATTTGCTTTGCAACCACTCACTGACCACACATTGTCTACAATCATGACTCTTGGAAATAAATCATTTTCAATGCTCTTTAAAAAATTTTTTTTAATTAAATATGAAAACATTAAAAATTAGCTGGTCATACTAGTGTGTACCTGTAGTCCCAACTACATAGGAGGCTGAGGCGGGAGGATCACTTAAGCCCAGGAGATCAAGGCTGCAGTGTGTTGTGATCAGGCCACTGTACTGCAGCCTAGGCAATAGAGTGAGACCCTGTCTCAAAAGTAAATACAATTTTAAAAATAAAATAACACCTGATTCATTTCTCCTTGTACATTCTTTCAAGGCCTAACCCATGACCTTCCAAGGCATCCTGGGTCAACATCCAGTTCACAATGATCTCTTATGAATTTCAACATTGCTACTGTCCCAGCAGCCTTCGTAGTTGACTATTCCAACTTAACTCTAAACTCTAGGTTCATGGTGCATAGGGGCTACGTTTTCTTTCAACTTAGTCTCAACATCTCCTAAAAATTACTCAATAAATACTCACGTTAAAAATTAGCCTGAGCAAGGCCAGGCACGGTGGCTCACGCCTGTAATCCCAGAACTTTGGGAGGCCGAGGCGGGTGGATCACGAGGTCAGGAGATCAAGACCATTCTGGCTAACACGGTGAAACCCTGTCTCTACTGAAAATACAAAAAATAGCCGGGCGTGGTGGCGGGCGCCTGTAGTCCCAGCCACTCGGGAGGCTGAGGCAGGAGAATGGCATGAACCCGGGAGGCAGAGCTTGCAGTGAGCCGACATAGCGCCACTGTACTCCAGCCTGGGCGACAGAGCGAGACTCTGTCTCAAAAAAAAAAAAAAAAAAAAAACACATTAGCCTGAGCACATAATTAGGAGACTAAATTTTTGAAAGAAAATCCCCCAAACATAAGACATCTCAAAGTCCATCCTGCAGATTATCTAAACCTTTGTCCCCCAATTAAAGAATCCACCTACATTTTCTTTTTTTTTCTTTTGTTCTTGGGAGTGGGGGGCGAGTGGGGATGGAGTCTCATTGTGTTGCCCAGGGTGGAATGCTGTGGTGCAGTCTCAGCTCACTGCAATCTCCACCTCAGGTTCAAGCAATTGTCCCACCTCAATTGTCCCACCTCAGCCTCTCTGAGTAGGTGGGACCACAGGCGCGCACCACCAGGCCCAGCTAATTTTTTTATTTTTAGTAGAGACAGGGTTTCACCATATTGGCCAGGCTGGTCTTGAACTCCTGACCTCACGTGATCTGCATGCCTCAACCTCCCACAGTGCTGGGATCACAGGTATGAGCCACCGTGCCTGGCCCCAGCTTCATTTTCTTTAAATGGCCATACACCTGATAACGGTGGGACAGCAGATTGAAATCAAAATGTTATGAATTATTTAACTTCCATTTCTCTTAACAGGTGACTGACCTGTCCATTGTATCCACTCTTGGAGTTTACGCCTTGGGTAGAAAAATGTGCCTTTCCTAACAATGAAGGAGAGTGTGAGCAGGAAAAAAGTCCACTCTTCCCCTTGTACTTGGCTCATGGGACATACTTGGTTGGGTTCGTTCATTTACTCATTCACACAACATTTACCTAGCTTCTCCAAATGCCAAGCAAGTTAACAGGTGCTGGTATAACAGATCCTCACAATAGAGCTAAGACGGCACTGCTGCAGATTTGCTCCGCAAGACAGGAAAGACTAGCTGCAGGTTTTACTGACATGGGATAGAGCTTCAGGCTAAAAAAGAAGAAAAAACGTCATGGCTGGGCACAGTGGCTCACACCTGTAATCCTAGCATCTTGGGAGGCCAAAGAGAGAGGCTAGCTTGATATCAGATGTTCAAGACCAGCCTGGGCAACATAGTGAGACACTGCCTCTACAAAAAAATAAAATAAAATTAATTAGCCAGGCATGGTTGTGTGGGCCTGTAGTCCCAGCTACTTGGGAGGCTGAGGTGAGAGGATCACCTGAGTCCACTCGGTCAAGGCTGCAGTGAGTTATGATCATGCCACTGCACTCCAGCCTGAGCAAGAGTGAGACCCTGTCTAAAAAAAAAAAAAAGAGAGAGAGAGAGAGAGAAAGAAAGGGAAGGAAGAAAGGGAGGGAGGGAGGGAGGGAAGGAAGGAAGGAAGGAAGGAAGGAAGGAAGGAAGGAAGGAAGGAAGGAAGGAAGGGAAGGAAGGAAGAAAAAAAGTCACTAGTCTTCCACCAGAACGCTCCTAAGTGTAAGGCTAATCTTGTCTACCTGATCTGAGAGCATGGTTGGAAGGACAAGTAAGCTCTAAATTTTGTCTAAGCCACAAAGATCAGCCGGCTAGGTCAGCTCCTCCCCCTTGCTCTTCCGAGGTCCCTGCCCTGGGGACAGACAAATGGACTCTGGGGACCACTCCATGGGCTGGATCCAATCTCCGATGCCGCTGCAGCGCCAAGATCTCAAAGCATTCACAACACGATGCAAGAGACGGGCAGTCACTTCAGGAAAAGGGAGAGAGGAGAAGGTAGGTACAAGGGCAACGGCAGGCGGAGCTTTCCCAAGAAAGGTTCCCAACTGAAGACAAGGCATTAGAAGCTGTGTTATTTCTCCAGGAGGGGATGGGTGAAAGCAAAGACCCCTGATTGTGACCGCAGAAACGCAGCCAGGCCCTTAGAAACCCGCGGCTTGGCCCCTCCGCTGGGACCTGGACGTGGATCCCCCGCAAGCTGTGCCCTGCCGCCAACCGCGTTTCCAACAGCTACAGCGCGGAGGCGCCCAGCTCGCCCACCCACCCTAGGGGGTGCGTGGGAACCGCGGGGTTCGCTACGCGCACTTCGGAGTCCCTTCTGGGCGGCTCGGAGGCCTCATCTCGATCGCGGGCCCTCCAGGAGCTGCCCCGGTCCAGAGCAGGATAGGATGGGGGCTCCCCAAGGGAGGACTGCAGGAAGACAGAACGGGATTTCTTCACCTGCCCTTCATCGCCTAAGAGGGCCTAGACTCTAACCGGCTGTCTCTTCCATGCCGTCGCCACAGTCCCCATGTGCACCCGGTTTGCCCTCCCCTCTTCCTGCCCTGTGTCGCCTGCCCCCACTCCGCCTCCCTGCGTGACCGCTGGCCGTGTTGACCCTGCGAGGCCGGCGCCCTTAACTCTCAGGCCAGCCTGTCCTCCTCTCCCTGTGTGCACCCCAACGCCTCTCAGCTCGGCCTGGAGCATATATTAGGTTGGTACAAAAGTAATTGCGGTTGTGCAATTTTTTTTTTAATGGCAAAAACCGCAATAACTTTTATAACACCCATAAATAGGCAGGGGGAAAGTGCAAGAAAAGCCTTAGAGAAGGGGCCAAGATCCAACCGTGTAGCCCGCCAGGAGTATGGGTTGGCCAGAGGCATATGACATATTGAAGCAGGAAAGGAAGAAAAAAGATTAAGGAGACAAATTGTTCGTGATAAGGGATTTCCTGATAAACTCAGAAACAACAACTACCAGTTAGGGAGCACTTAAACTGACACTATCTCATTAATCCTCACAACGGTCCTGTACAGGTGGTGGTTTTATTTGTTTTTTACCATCTTACATGCCAGAGCTGCAGTTGGTATGCAACAAAGGCAGCATTTGAACCCTGGCCTGCTCATACCAGAGCGGGGACATCCAACTACGCCCACAAAGGACAATGGAGGAAGACTGTGTCATTTGTAATATAAGCAAATGGGGAAAAGACAAAACAAATACTTGTATTATGCCCAAGTTGTAAATTTATAAACATGAATGAAATACACATACAAGAGGCTAACCGTTTTCTTTTTTCTTTTTTTTTGAGACAGAGTCTCTCTCTGTCACCCAGGCTGGGGTACAGTGGTGCAATCTCGGCTCACTGCAACCTCCGCCTCCCGGGTTCTAGGCAATTCTCCTGCCTCAGCCTCCGGAGTAGCTGGGATTACAGGCGCGCACCACCACACCCAGCTAATGTTGTATTTTTAGTAGAGATGGGGTTTCACTACGTTGGCCAGGCTGGTCTTGAACTCCTGACCTCAGGTGATCCACCCACCTCGGTCCCCCAAAGTGCTGGGATTACAGATGTGAGCCACCATGCCCGGCCATGGCTAACCATTTTGTGAAAACAAAGAGAGTAAATGGGAAGTGTCCAAAAAAGAAATTTTTAAATTTATGTAGTTTCTTGTTGATTTGTAAAGGGTGCCATTTGTTTGAAATCATTCTTACACTCTTGGATTAAAACACCAGTTCTTTCACACACTTGTATTTTGAAGGGAGTATAAAATGTGATTCCCTCACACCCGTAATCCCAGCACTTTGGGAGGCCAAGGCGGATGGATCACCTGATGTCAGGAGTTTGAGACCAGCCTGGCAAACATAGTGAAACTCCATCTCTACAAAAAATACAAAAATTAGCTCGGTGTGATGGCGGGTGCCTGTAGTCCCAGTTACTCAGGAGGCTGAGGCAGGAGAATCACTCAAACCTGGCAGGCAGAGGTTGCACTGAGCCAAGATCGCATCACTGCACTCCACCCTGGGTGACAGAGCAAGACTCTGTCTCAAAAAAAAAAAAAAAAAAAAAAAAGATGTCATTCCATATGACACGAGTGTTAGAAAACAGACAAATGACAGTTTGCTGACTCCAGCAGGGAGTTACCTGTCGGGAGGTAGTTCCCACCACAGCCCAGGATGCCAATGTTTTATCTAGTTACATGTTAAGATCTCCATATCCAGGGCATCCCTCCTCAAACAATACTAGTCCTACACTGCTAAATGTTTACTGTATGGATGGATGAATGAAGGCAACATTCTTAGATGTGGGAATCCCATAGTGCTTGGTTCTCTAGATGAATCTCCGGGGGCCTCTTTTGAACTTGGTTCTTAAACCTCCTCAGTTGCCCGCATACTACGTCCTAGGGTGAGGCATTTCTCCAGAGCTCACTTATTACCTTGAAAGTGCCATACTCCCACATGTAGGCCTTGACATGCTAGGTCTTTTGCCTAAAACGCTCCCTCCTCCTCTCCCCGCGTTCCCCACCTTTCATCTACCTCTATCCACCCTTTTGCTCAAGCCAAAAACCTAGGAATTTTCCCATTACCACTTTGCTCCACTGCTATAACCAGAGGTGACAGTGACTTGTACCAAGGATACATACCCACCAGCAAGTGCTGGTTATCAGAAAAAAATTAAGAGTAAATTTGGTCACCGTGTAATGGAAATGCAAATCTAGTGATGGCAGCAGGGTTATCTTGACAGGAGATAGGAAGTTGAGAGCTTTGACCTGTGATCTGCCATTGTCAAAACTGTCCAACCCTGTTTCAGAGCAGGGTTTTGACTAGCTCCCTAAAAAAAACAATCTCCGGATATTCTCTCCTAGTATCCCAGAGAGTTCTGGGAGCATTTGAGATCAGTTGCAAACTAATGACAGAGTCATCGGTGATGTACTAGGGAATGAAAAGCTATCAAACTTCACTGGGTTTTGAGATCTGTGTAACACCAACATCAATTTGGGGTATGTTTTTGTTTTCTTTCTTTCTTTGTGTGTGTGTGTGTGTATGTGTGTGTGTGTTTTTTAAACAGGGCCTCACTCTGTCACCCAGGCTGGAGTGCAGTGGCACAATCTCGGCTCACTGCAACCTCTGCCTCCTGGGCGCAAGTGATTCTTGTGCCTCAGCCTCCTAGGTAGCTGGAATTATAGGTGCACACCACCACGCCCAGATAATTTTTGTATTTTTAGTAGAGACAGGGTTTCGCCATGTTGGCCAGGCTGCTCTCAAACTCCTGACTTCAAGTGATCTGCCCGCCTCAGCCTCCCAAAGTGTTGGGATTACAGGCATGAGCCACTGCACCCGGCCTGGGGTATGTTTATTAAAATATTCCTCTGTAAAATGGAGCTAGCTGCTTTGTAGAATTGTGAGAATAACGTTTAGATATGTACAAACATACATGTGTGTGTAACCTCAATTTATGTTCATGACAGTGGGGTTTTTTTTTCATGTCTACATTCTTTCTAATAAACTGTTGGAAGACTTCTTGGCTGTCCTTTTAAGTCTCTGGCTTACTGTAACTTTTATGTATTTACCATTTACTGGAATGGAGTTTTTCATTTTATTTGAGGAAGAATTTGGGATTATTCCTCTGTTTGAAAAAAGAGACTTGCTGTAATGTCACAGGAAACCTTTTTAAAGTGGATCTGTAATAGAATATTGTAGATGTACTTTGTAGAAGTTGGAAAAGAAAGTGTGGTTTGATTGAAATAAAACTAAATGTGTTGTCCTCCTCTAAAAAAAAGAAAAAAGAAAAAAGAAGCAGCTGTACTGCAGCTGTAGCCATGACAATGTGCTTTCCTTCTAAGAGCCCAGGGAATAAGCAGCCCTATGACAAACATATATTTCCTCCGAAAGAAAATAATGCCTAAAGATGGAAGGAACAGAGTTTACCTCTTTATTTTGCAGACAGCATCTGAAGCTATTGATAAAGCCATTTTCATCAATTTCATGGTGTAATTTACTAAAGAAAAAGATCTGAAATTCAGAAGCTATTTCAGCAGTGGGAAAATAGATGTACCTAAAAAAACCAAAACCACCTATTTCCATGACTCTAATTTCCCAAATGTAAAATAAGAAGAGTCTGTCATTTATCCAGCTCAAAAACAGAAAGAACAGAAAAAAATACTGTTCTAAACTTGCCTTATTTAACTGATGATTTCTCCTTGTTAAAAACCAGATTTCTTCTATCTTGTCTGTTAAGGAGCTATTTTGGTCTGTTTGTGTTTGTATAACAGAATACCTGAGACTGGGTAATTTATAAAGAAAAGAGATTAATGTAGTTTATGGTTCTGCAGGCTGGGAAGTTCAAGCACAGAGCCCTAGCATCTGGTGCTGCATCATAACATGGTGAAGAAGGTCAAAGGAAGAGCAAAAATGTGTGAAGAGGCCAAACCCAAAGGCTACCTCTTGACTTATAACAACCCACTTTGTTGGGAAAATTCCCATGAGAACTGATCCAGTCTTTAGAGAGTGAGAGCTCACTCACTACTGCAAGAATAGCACCAAGCCATTCATGAGGGATTTGCCCCCATAACCCAAACCACCCCAAGGCTGCACCTCCCAACACTATCACACTGGGGTTCAAATTTCAACATAAGTTTTGGGGAAGACAAATTCAAACTATAGCAGAAGCGTTCAAGGATCTGCTCATACATTTCCCATACACTGTCTTTATGTGTAACTGCTACCCTCTCTCTTACCCTCATGTAACAGGTAGAAAACTGCATGAACTGAATAATTTTGAAATCTTACCTCCTTCCCAGAAAAAGAGCTCCTGATAAATCTGCTTGGAGCAGACTACCATTGATTCTAGGTAGGGTGGGAAATAAAGTCCCTGGCTAGACAATCGCTTCCTACCTACCACAAATTCATGCTAAGGAAGGCTGAGCACATAACAGCCATCTGACTGTTCAACCTCAAAAGAAATACTAAACAAAACAATTAGCAAAGACTGTGTTTCATGACAATGCTATTTTGAAAAGAGCACTCTCAAGTACTGCTTCTAACTGATAAAAAAATTTTCATTCCAATTTCTTTTCTAACATCTTTATTTTACAGTTTGAGAAACTATGTTTCAGAACAATTGAGTGACTTCTCAAGATTTCTGAGCAGACAAATGGCAAGGATGGGACTAGAACCCGGGTTTGCCAATCTTTCGTCCAATCCATTTTTTAAAACCTGATCTTTAAGTTATAAGTCTGAAGGGGCTGAAGACAAGTAGAATGGAGATAAATCAGAGAAGCCTCTATTTTTTTATCCTACCATGCGTAGGTTATTTCCAAGTAGCAGTGCCCTTAACTCGTGCCAATGGGAAAATAACATACGCTCTTTTTGTTTCTATTTATTTATTTATTTTAAAACGTTTTTATTTTACTCTCCTTTTCCCCCAGCCTTATTGAGATATAATTGACCAATAAAAATTGTATACATTTAAGATGTACAACTTGATGTTTTAATATACATGTATTTTTGTGAAATAATCACCATAATCAAGCTAATTAACGTAGCATCATCTCACACAGTACCTTTGTGTGTGCATGTGGTTAGAACATGTTAGATCTGCCCTCCTAGCAAATTTTAAGTATGTGATACAGTATTCTTAACTGTAGTCACAATGTGATACGTTATTTTGTTTCAATTTCAAACTGCCTTGTTTACAAAGCAATTTGGGAATATGGATTATGACACTAAGTTTATTCCTATCTGTGGGGCCAGCAGTTCCTCTAAGAATCTGAACTAAGGTAATATTCAAAAATATTTTTTAAAACTTTATGTACAAAGATGTTGACCATAGAGTTATTCACAGCAATAAAAAATTATGACACATAGTAAAAACTTATGACTAAGGGAATAGTTAATTGCTTTATCAAACATTTGTCCAATGGCATATTTATGTAGCCATTAAAGTATTGATGGAACATTTTGACAATGTTTATTTGTTATAAAGCTTACTTATTAAGGCCAGTTACAAAATTTTATGTGTAGTACTATTTCATTTTACAAACTATAATATGATACATGTAGAAAAACACTGCATATACCAAATATTGTCTGAGGTTGCATCTGGGTGGCATAATATGATAATTAATTTTCTTTTTATTTTTAGATATTATTCAAATTTTCTAAAATTATTACTATTTTTTATAGAGACAGGGTCTTGCTATGTTGCTCAGGCTGATCTCGGCTTAAGTGATCCTCCCACCTCAGCCTCCCAAAGTGCTGGGATTACAGGAATGAGCCACTGCACCCAGCCCTAAAAGTAATATATAACTATATATTCAGAAATTAAACACATAACTTGGAGGGTGAGGAGAATGACCTTGTATAAGACAATTACTCAATAGTAATATCCTGTTGGATCCTTCTAGTAACTGCCCCCTACATTCCCAGCTCTTGTTTCCTTGGCTGTTCTCCATGATCTTGATCTCAGTTGCTGCTTTTGACATTCCCTTGTAACATCACCTAGCAAACTCCTCATATTAACTGAGCTTGCTCTCTACCATATCACCCTTTGTTGTGTCATTTCTTATTTCCTGGTAGTAACACTACTAGTTCAGAATTTTTGTCTGATCAATTCTGTGATAGTCACAGAGTAAAATGATTAGATCAGTTCTTTTAAAGAGACTACTCTGGAGCAATGTGTCTGGAAGACTGGAGTGTGATAAAGACTTACATAATTCTTACACCTCTTCTATGTGACTAGCAGAAATACTGACTGTACTTTTATAGGACTCCTCAGTACACTATAAGCTCCTAGAACATAGCAACTGTGTCATCTTGGTCTTTCCAGTGCCTAACATAGTTCTGACACATAATTGGGGCTTAATAAATGTTTTGAATGAACAAATGACTGAAAAGATGAAAGGATAGGTGAGTAACTATTTAATGATGGTGACTGCTATTCATTAAAGAGGCTGGTAAGTCAATTAATATTTATTGAGCACCCATTATGTGCCAGTTTGTGCTCAGAGCCAGATTCTAAGAAATTGTGGTAGGAAAAGAAATGAACTGGTGAATCAGCTGGACTTTTCATCCACTGTAAATATGAAGACTGGGGAACCTCTGGGGCCTTTCAAAGACGTGTTTGGATCATCTAGCTAGTGCTAACTAAAGGTTACATGGTCCCAGGGTAACTGATCTGGATTAAGCATAATTGGGCAGACCAGTTTCATCACCATTTAGCTGTATAATTTGCCAGAGTCAAAGTGGTCGAAGGTAAGGACAAGAGTGTGGTGTCAAAGATTAATGCTACAGCTCATTTGCAGCCCATCAGTAACAATGATAGGGGATCAGCTCTGCCTGAAGCTTCTGCTGACTTTTGGTACAGCAATTTAGACAAAAAATTTATTCTTCCCAAATCTGTTTCCTGTGTAATACAATCACCCATATGTCCCTAATTAGGTGGCCCACTATCAATAGCCCCTAAAAGAAGTCCTACTTTATAGCATATTTGGGAATCAGAATTATAATGCTGTGGGGGCTCTGGGCCTTCTCAAAGCTGATTTATCCTACGGGGTGGCCAACAGCCTGAGTCACAGGGACTCATCTCATTCCTGACTGCCAGAGTGAATGACTTTCATCATTTAGAACCTTAGAAATTCAATTGGCTAAGCCTATGATTCCTTACACATGTGCCACTCTATGTGGTTATCCTGCCCTGATACACTTTAATGCTGAGTGTCTGGCTACACTCCAAGTCCTGGGATCCTAAGTGGCATCCTGTCTTGTCTTTAATTTTCAGCAGCTCTCATAACAAATGCAGAAAGAAATGCTTAAGAAGCTAGCTATGACATCTATGGCCTTGAAAGTACACAAAGACTGAAAAGAAAAAAAACTTTTAAAAATATTCTTTTTTTTTTGAGACAGAGTCTTGCTCTGTTGCCCAGGCTGGAGTGCAGTGGCACAACCTCAATGCAGCCTCTGCTTCTCAGGTTCAAGTGATTCTCCTGCCTCAGCCACCCAAGTAACTGGGATTATAGGTGTAAGCCACCATGCCCGGCTTGGTGTATTGTATTTTTTAGAGACAGGTTTTCACCATGTTGGCCAGACTGGTCTTGAACTCCTGACCTCAGGTGATCTGCTCGCCTTGGCCTCCCAAAATGCTGAAATTACAGGCATGAGCTACTGCGCCCAGTGGAAAAACATTCTCTTTGATCCAGAGCTTAAATTTAGATAAATGCTAGAATCAGACGCTCTTAAAGAATACATAGGAATTCTTGCTTCCATTTTCTGTCTTTTATTAATCCATGTTTCACCAAGGACTACTGCCTGCATAGCAAACCCAGTAACTTTTAGATCTAAAACATATATATTTCATAGCTACTATTGTTGTGTGTTTTCTAAACCTGTGTTGTGATTAGGATCCTTTTCTTCTGTAGCATTTTATTTACAGAACCTCAAACCATGCCATCCTTACATTTCACTTATTTTACTTGTCACTCTAAAGTTCTGGTGGCCCACATCTGAATTCTCATTTATTAATATTCTACAGAATCACATTCTATGTATCTTGTTTGACATGGATTTCTATAAAAACACATATTTTAAAGTATCATATTATAATTATTAAGAGAAAATCAAAGGTGCTGGCAATCACCTATCAATTCTGCTTCCACACAGATCATTTTTCCACATAAGCTCACTAGCATCATCCCCAATGAAGACATAGATTTAAAAGTATATTGATGACAATTGTGTCACCACAGATTTGACAAAAAAGGAAAAATAACACAAACAAATATAATTTTCTCCCCAAGCAAAGCCAGCAACCTGATACAAAGCTTTGGACATATTATGGCTTAATTCCAGGGAGACTGGCAATTTTTAAAATTATTTTATTTTATTTTATTTTTTCTAATAAAACTGATATCCCTCTAGTTTTTTCTTTCTTTCTTTTGAGACAGGGTCTCACTCTGTCACCCAGGCTGGAGTGCAATGGCACAGTTTTGACTCACTGCAACCTTTGCCTCCTGGGCTCAAGCAATCCTCCCACCTAGGCCTCCTGAGTAGCTGGGACCACAGGCATGTGCTACCACGCCCAGATAATTTTTGTATTTTTAGTAGAGACAGGGTGTTGCCATGTTGCCCAAGCTGGTCTCAAACTCCTAAGCTCAGGCAATCCACCTGCCTCGGCCTCCCAAAGTGCTGGGACTACAGGCGTGAACCACTGCACCCAACCACCTTCTAATTTTTTCTTTGTTTCACTGAGAAACTTAAAAAAAAATGTCTTTCAAAGATACAAATCTCAAAAGAGGATATTATTTATGTCCAACTCACTAGAGGAAAATAAAACATCGGGAGGCTAAAAATTCTGCAATTTCAAACCATTCCCAGTGAATTTTATTTGAAAATTTCCCAGCAACCATAAAGACATGAGAAAAGCTCCAATTAGCCATAGTGGATAAGAAGGTAAGTTATCTTCCCAAAGTAGTGACAAAGAGATCCCCAATCAACTTAAAGAGGGCAGCAGAAAATAACTAAACATTGCATATCCTTATTTCCTCTTTTACTGGCCATTTTGAAAATGAGGGACCCACAGTTTTGTCCACTCTCTTGATTAAAGGGAGGTTCAGAGGATACCGTAAAACCTATGTATCCCGGTGGGACGTGGTGGCTCACGCCTGTAATCTC
Organism: Homo sapiens; assembly: GCF_000001405.40. Taxonomy (NCBI): domain Eukaryota; kingdom Metazoa; phylum Chordata; class Mammalia; order Primates; family Hominidae; genus Homo; species Homo sapiens. The sequence goes on from NC_000009.12 coordinate 14,987,620, forward strand.
AGCATTTGGAAGGCTGAGATGGGAGGATGGTTTGAGCCCAGAAGTTTGAGGCCAGTCTGGGCAACATGGTGAGACACTGCCTCTATTGAAAAAAAAAAAAAAAAAGATGCATCCTTTAGATACAAATTTCCTAAGTTAATTAAACTAGGATTAAAAATGCAAGTGGCTCTGTGAACTACAGATCTTATTCAATCTGGCTGATTGCTAGAGAGATAGTATTGCATAGTGTTGAAAGTACTCTGAAATGATAGACTATTCAGGTTTGAATCTTACCTCCAGTGCTTGCTGTGTGACTTTGGACAATTCACTTAACCTCTTTGAATGTTAGCTGCGTTATCTGTAAAATGGAGTAGAAATAGAAATTACCTCACAGGACTGTTATGATGCTTAAATGAGTTAGTCTTAAGCAAAGCACTTAGTACTATTGTGGTTTATTCAAAAATGCTCAACATCCTTAGGTATCACAGAAATGCAAATTAAAACCACAATGAGACAGTACCTGACACCTGTTACAATAGCAATAGACATTATCAAAGATAACAAGGGTTGGTGAGAATGTAAGAAAAAGGGAACCCTTGTACACTGTTGGTGGGAGTGTAAATTAACACAGCCATTATGAAAAACAGTATGGAGGCTCCTCAAAAAACTAAAAATAGAACTACTATATGATCCAGCAATTGCACTCCTGAGTATGTATACAAAGGAATTGCAATCAACATGTTAAAGAGATATCTGGGCATCTATGTTCATTGCAGCATTATTCATAATAGCCAACCTAAGTGTCCGTCAACAGATGAATGGATAATGTGGTACACATACAATGGAATACTATTCCGTCTTAAAAAAGGAAATTCTGTCATCATTGACAGTGTAGATGAAACTAGAGAATATTATGCTAAGTGAAATAAGCCAGTCACAGAGAGACAAATACTGCATAATCTCACTTATATGTGGAATCTAAAAAAGTTGAACTTATAGAAGTAAAGAGTAGGATGGTGGTTACCAGAGGCTGGGGGCTGGAAGTGGGTACTGCAGAGATATTGATCAAAGGGTACAAAGTTTTAGTTAGACAGAAGGAATAAGTTTTTCAGATCTATTGCACCACATAGTGTCCATAGTTAATAAAATGTATTACATATTTCAACATTGTTAGAAGAGATTTGAAATGTTCTCACTCCAAAAAATAATAGGTATTTGATGTGATGAATATGTAAATTAGTTTGATATAATCATTCCACAGTGTATACATATATCAAAACATCACATTGTATTCTATAAGTATACACAATTATCTGCAAATTAAAAATAAATATTAAAAAAGAATAGTACTGTTGCATAGTAAGTACTAGATATAAAACATTTATTAATAATAACTTTGTTTCAAAATGACAGACACTGATAACCTGAAGAAGTATACCAAATTTGGTCAACTCTACCCATTCCTTCAAAATCACTGTGGAGCAAACATACGAGCAGGCTAAAAGACATTAAATGTCAAATGTTTGAATTAAAAATTTCATTCACATTCTACAAAAGATGGTTACAAAATTATTATTCAGAGCAAAGTTTTAGTTCTGAACTTGAAATTGTGTATAATAAATGCAGTTTTACAGGTTACAACTGCAAACCTAGTGCTACTCAACTGAAAAATAGCAATAATAAATACTCCAGTTAACATACCTTGAAAACATCCACTTTCCTCCACTCCTTAAGAAGCCTCACTAAAACAAAGATAAAGAATGTTAAAAAGGGGGAAAGAGGGACCATATACTCATAAGAACAAAGAAAACAGGAGAAGAGACAACAGAAAAATGCCACAAAAGTTTAGAAATCAGTTGACGAGGGTTGAGTTGCATCCTCCCAAAGGATACATTGACTGTGACCTTATTTGGAAATAGGGTCTGTGCGGATGTGATCAAAATAAGATAAAGTGACGGCCGGGTGTGGTGGCTCACGCCTGTAATCCCAGCACTATGGGAGGCCAAAGTGGGTGGATCGCTTGAGGTCAGGAGTTCAAGACCAGACTGACCAACATGGTGAAACCCTGTCTCTACTAAAAACACAAAAATTAGCTGAGCATGGTGGTGTGCGCCTGCAGTCCCAGCTACTCAGGAGGCTGAGGCAGGAGAATTGCTTGAACCTGGGAGGCAGAGGTTGCAGTCAGCTGAGATGGCACCACTGCACTCCAGCCTGAGCGACAGAGCGAGACTCCGTCTCAAAAAAATAAAAATAAAAAAAATAATAAAACCATAAAAGTGATACTTGATTAGCATGGGCCCTAATCTAATGACTGCCGTCCTTACAAAAAGAGAGAAAGTTAGACACAGGCAGATGCACAGGGAGAACACGTAATGACAGAGGCAGAGAGTGGAGTGATTCATCTGCAAGCCAAGGAATGCCAAGAATTGCCAGCAGTCACCAGAAGCTAAGGCAAAGGCATGGCACAGATTGTCCCTCAGAGACCCCAGAAGGAACCAACCTCCTGATTTCTGATTTCTAGCCTCCATAACTGTAAGGGAATAAATTTCCATAGTTTTAAGCCACCCAGTTTGTGGTAATTGTATGGCAGCTTTAGGGAGCTAATGTACTGGTGAACATACGGACTTACCAGAGAAAACTGAAACCCAAGTGTTTTCGGAGGTGATGCCCGGAAGCAAGCTTACTGACACGCAGAACCTCACAAAGGCTCAGGAATTGGAAGTGCCATAGCTCTTCAGTGGGATGAGCTGAAAAGAGACCATTAAAAGTCCCAGAAGCAGTTAAGACTCCTAGATTTCCTCCCCTGGCAAAGTCAGGGAAACTTTCTCTAACCCTCATTCCCAACCTGAAACCTGCAAGATTATTTCTTTTGGGAGATATGGAACCAGGATATGGATTCAGGGACACCAGACACAGCTGAAGGTAAAAATGCTATTATGAAACAGTGCTGTAAGTGAAGGTATGCATGATAATTAGGTCTTTTTTTTTTTTTTTTAGACAGAGTCTCACTCTGTCACCCAGGCTGGAGTGCAGTGGTGCAATCTCAGCTCACTGTAACCTCCACCTCCCAGGTTCAAGTGATTCTTGTACCTTAGCCTCCCGAGTAGCTGGGACTACAGGCACGTGCTACCAAGCCTGGCTAATTTTTGTGTTTTAAGTAAAGACTGGGTTTCACCATGTTGGCCAGGCTGGTCTCAAACTCCCGACCTCAAGTGATCCACCCTCCTTGGCCTCCCAAAGTGCCGAGATTACAGGCATGAGTCACCATGCTCGGTGGAGAGTTAATTTTATGTGTCAACTTGACTGGACCACAGGATGCCCAGATATCTGGTTAAACAATATTTCTGAGTGTCTGTGAGGGCCCTGAGTAAAAGAGATTACCCTCACCAATGTGGGTGGGCATCATCCATTTCGGGTCTGAATAAAACAAAAAGGTAGAGGAAGGGAGGATTCACTTTCTCTCTGCTAGACTTCTTGAACTGAATTTTTGATCTTTTCCTGCCCTCGGTGATCCTGGTTTGCAGGACTCCAAACTCGGACTGGAATCTACACCATCTCCAGTTATCAGGGCTTTAAACTACAACATGGGCTTTCTGGGTCTTCAGCTTACAGACAGCAGATTGTGGGGCTTCTCAACCCCCATAATCACATGAGCTAATAGATAGATAGAGATATAGGTATAGATATAGATATCTATTCATTCTCTGTTTCTCTGGAGAACCCCAACTAACACAGGGCATCAGTGCATATAATGAAATTACTAAGTCTCCCAAACTCTTTCCCGCATTGGGCTCCAAGAAGGCTATATATTCTCAAAGCAAGTAATTAGAAGATTACTCTCTAGAAGAAAATAAACAGCTGGTCCTTGCCCCACCATCTTACACCTTGTCCCACCATCTTACACCTTGCCCCACCATCTTACACCTTGCCCCACCATCTTACACCTTGTCCAGCAGTGAACAAGCCTTGCCTATGTCCCCAAAGCACCTTTTTAGAGCATCACTTTTACATATAAATTGACAGCAGGGATCACTACACAAGATGAAGAACGCCTCTAGCAGAAACGACAGGGACCAAATATAAACAAACAAACAACCAAAAAAAACTCAAAGAATCAAAATCAATGCAGAGTTATGTAGAAAGTATTTTAAAACTCCTATAATTTACATCTTCAGAGAGTAAAGGAGGTATATTCATGAAACAATAATGTAATGCTATAAAAGAACAGAGAATAAAAAGGGCACTTAGAAATGAAGGTATAATAAAAGAAATAAAGTAATCTGATAATCATTTGTCCAATTAAGTTGAAAAAGTCACAGAGAAAGTAGAATAAAAAGATGAAGGGATAGAAAATAGGACAGACAGGTAAGAAAAAACATCAGCCAAGAAGGTCCACGATCTAAATAACAAATTTCAAAAAATAAGAGATAAAATAAGAGAGGGCGGAAAGAAACGATCAAATAAATAATACCAGGAGAATCCCCATAACGGAAGAACATGTGTTTCAGGATTGAAAAACTGATCAATAGGAATGAGAAAAGACCCATAAGAAAGACACTCGATTGTGTCTTAGAACGCTGGGTATAAAGAGAAGATCCTAAAGCTTCTTGAGACAAAACAAAACCGAAACCAAAGCGGGTTACATAACAAGAAATTTAGTGACCTGAGAAGGAGAAGGAAATGCAATGACGTAGAGTTTCTCAACAATTTTGGAAGCTAAAATATTGTGGAGCAAGCCCTCCAATATTCCGAGTGAAAGTTATTTTCAACCTAGAACTCAGCCAGAATAAAAACAGTTCCAGACCTGCACGCTCTGTGGGAAAAAAGACCTGGAAGCAACCTCCCTCAAGGAACTATTGGCGGATATGTTCCACAACATGAGGCTATATAATCAAGAAAAAGACACAGACTCAGGAAATAGGGAACTCACCTCAGGAATGAGGAATAAGACCTTCCCAGGATGGATGTGAAGGAGACCCAGGACATCAGTTGAGAGCTGTGCCTTCCAAATTTTGATGTGCATAGGAATTACCAGGGGATCTTGTTGCAATGCAGACACTGATTCAGTAAGTCTGGGTAGGGCTTGAGATTTCGCGTTTTTAACAAATTCCCTCAGGATGCTGAGGCTGCTGGTTCAGGGACTACACTTTGCATAACTGGGGTGTAGAGAAAAAATAGTCCGAACTGTACCAAGAAGACGATGGTACAGAGACAGAGACAGACAGACACTTATTTCCTTCTGGGAGATCATCGGGAATGAATTAGTGTAAGTCAATAACTGTATAGTAGGGGAGGGAGAGGGATGGAGGAGAGGGAGAAAAGGATTAATGTTTTAAGTAAACACAAATGAAGAAAAAACAAGGAAGGGGCTGTACTGAGGGCAGCCGCATACATCCAACCTTGCCTCTAGTAGACACCTGAAGAGGAAGGTTGGACCACCCTAACGGATTCAGATTCAGTAGTCTGGGGGGGTCTCTGGAGTGACCCTGGAAGATGCTCCAAAAAGCCTAGAAGCGGACCACAAGGACAGAAGACGCCCCTTCCCCATACCCAGCAAGGGAGTAAGCCGGGCCTCAAAGCGCCCGGCGCCAGGTCTCAGGGGGCGGGGCATGGGCGGAGCCTTTTCCCTAAATTGGCGCGCCCGAGCGGCGCTGGGATTCGCATTGGAGGCTTTTGAACCCGGAAGCAGTTGGCTGCTCTCGGAAGCGGCCGCGGATCCGGGAATTCGGCTGGCGCTGCAGCTGCAGAATGGTGGGCGGTGGCTGGAAGCGCAGGCCCGGCGCGGGGGCGGGGCCGCAGATACTGCCAGAAAGGCTGTGGGGGCTACGCAGGTGGCTTTGGATGACAGCCAGGGTACCAGGAGGCAGCGCGTTTCATTCATGCAGTGACTATTAAGCTTGCTGTGTGTCCGGGGTCTGCGGTTTGCTGCGGGGACCCTGCCCAGGTCGCTGTTTCGCGCTCTGTAGGGGATTGGACCAGGAAAGTAGCGCCTCTGCATTTTCTGCCCAGCTCCTCTTGGCGCATTTCCTGGGGAAACGGATTAAGCCAACCAACGTTTCATTCATTCGCCCACCCAGATAGATTGGGAACCGATTACATACCAGACATTGTGCGGGGCCCTGCGGATTTGGGGTCAACCCGCCTGCCCCTTCTCCATGTAGAGCCTCCGGCCTGGGGAGGAGGGGCACAAGCGAATATGCATTCTACTGTGACTTTTTTGTTTGGGATTATAATGCTGGTGTGTAGAAAGTGCTATGGAAACACTGAAGGAGGATTTAACAAGTCCCAGGGGGTGTTAAAGAAGACTTTTAAGACAACTCTTTGAAAATGGGTTTTGAAGGCAGAGAAGAGTCTGAGACGTAAAAGTGTAGGAGATGTTTGGGCATAGTGGAGCGTTCGGCTTGGCTGGAGCCAGAGAAATGGGAAAGTAAGAGGGACCTGATCATAAAAGCACTATGAGAGGGGAGGGGGGAAAAGTATGTGCATTATCTCATATTTTACTACGATTTCGGAAGTTCTGTAACCACTACAGTAGCAATAAGGGGAATCAGACAGGAAGGAAGTGCCATTGTGATAACTAAAGTTTTAGAAAACTTAGTCTGGCAGTGTTATAAATCGGATAGGGTGTGAGACATTCTTGGAGGGCTTAATTAACTAGTAAAGGGCCAGTTGTATAGGCATTCTTCATATTGGGTCATGCATTCTAGGAATACCAGGGTAAAGGAGAAATGCAGCCTCTGAAGGGGACAGCTGTCCTAAATTCTAGTTGTTAGGGATATGGAGATGCTGAACTAGTATGTGAGTTAAGGCAGAGCTGAAAAAATTCTCTTTGAAGGTTCAGTGAAGAACTGCTTTGGTGGCGTGAGGTGCTTAACTAGAAATACAATAGCAGAAATGAAGGCGAGTCTATAGAGGCTATAACCATAATGGCCGGCATTTGCATATTATGTGCTAGGACTGTTCTGTGTATTTTTACATATAATAACTTATTCCTTGTAACAACCCTATGATAGAGGTACTGTATGCCCTTTTTGCAGATGAGAAAACAAGGCACAGAGAGGTTAAGTAACTTGCCTAAGGTTGGAAATCAGCTGGAAATCAGTAGGGTCAGGAGTCAACCCAGGCAACCTAACCATTAAGCAAAACTGCCTTTCAGCAAGGCAGATTAAGCCTTTTCTAACATCTTCAGTTGGAGCCAGTCTTTGAAAGTCTGACCAAAGACAGTTATAAAAACAGAAGATAGGATAGCTCGGGACTTCATATGTTCCTACTGTTCTATATTTACAGTTGGAGAAGCAACAGGAAGTGGTTGAGAATCTGCTGTGGAGCCAGACTTAAACCTGAGTTTAAATCCCTTCTCTTCCACTTCCTAGTTAGGGACATAGGGAGGTTAACCTCAGCAGCTGTAAGATGAGGTTAATAGTATCTAGTGCATGAGATAGTTGAGGATTAAATGAGTTAATTCACAGAAGGTGCTTAGAACAGTGAAATAGCACAAGATAAGTTCTCAATAAGTATGACTTACTACTTGTTTTTACTATTATATTATCTTTACTATTACTATTTGCTATTGATACTCACTTTTGGATTCATTTTTCAACAGCCTTTTTGTTCAGCGTCATTCTTTTTTAAATCAGATGCATTATAATCCTTGGCACAATAAACTGTTACCATTGTTCAATTCATGATTGTTTTTGAGCTTATTTATGTTAAGTAATATAACAAACACCTGTGAACCCATTGCCCAACCCTAAAACTGAAACAGTAGTTCTACATCTACACATGTCCCTCTCCTCTCCCTTCAGCCTTCTTTCTGTCACTCATGTTCAATGTAGCTATCCTGAATTTTGTTTTCCCTTGCCTTTTAAAAATAGGCTCATCTCCTATGAATGTATACCTAAATAATATTTATTTTTAGTTTTTGAAATTCATAAAAAGGCTATCATGCTGCATATAATCAAGAACTTTTTTCCTCATTAAAAATATTTAATATAGATAGGTCCATATTGTGTAGCCATACAGTAACCATTTGGTAAATGAAGGAGATTGGTTCCAGGACTCTCACATATCCCAAAACCCGAGCATACCCAAGTTCCAAAGTTGGTCCTGTGGAACCCGAGTATACAAAAAGTTGGCCCTCTCTCTAAGTGGATTTCACATCCTAAGAATACTGTTATTTTCCAGTCTGCATTTGGTTGGAAAAAAAATTCATGTATAAGTGGGTCCACAAAATTCAAACCCTTGTTGCTCAAGGGTCAACTGTAATATTAAGTGTAATAGTCTATTGTTTGGAAGCCTTATAACCATTCTACCAATAGGCATTTGTTCTGTTTTGTTTGCTCTTTAAATCATTGCCATCATGATTATTCTTATGTCATCTGATTCATAAATACGTTTTGTAGATATTGAATGATACCTAACATAAAATTAATAAACTTCAGCCTACTGGGAAAATTGAAGAATATAAATACGAGAAACGTCTAGCTCAGAATTTCTCAACTTTAGCACTGTTGACATTTGGGGCCAGTAGTCTTTGTTGAGGATGCTTATCCTGGGCATTGTAAGATGTTGAGCATCCCTGGCCTCTGCCCCACTAGATGCCACTAGCACCCTTCTTCCAATTCGTGACAACTAACTAGGTCTCCAGATGTCCCCGGGCAGGGGTCGTGGGTTGGGGGCGAAAATCACCACCAGTTGAGAACCACTGCTCTAGGTAGGAAGAGTAAAAAAGAAAGAACTTAATACAAAAAGAAAGAATCTAGGTTCCTGGAAAGAAAAACAGATTGCATCTTAGAAAACTAAATGTATGTAACCTCCAATTAAGCATATTATCTTTACAGAAATTTATCAAATACCTAATAGGCATTATAAAACCTAGCACACTGAACCTATATTGCGGTGGTGCTAGAGATGATTATTGTAACCTAATCCTGGCCTTTTCTGAAATAATTGGATTTTTGGCCTAGAGTTTAGTGCTATTCTGCTAACTTTGTTAGGAATTGTGGATGTTTAACATTGTCACTAACCTTCCCTCTTTATTTGGAAAATCAAAAGGGAGGTATCTGTTTTTAAGGATGGGTAATGATTGTAGTGAATAGCTCAGACACCACTCTGGATGTTGCTGAAGAAACAGCTTTTTAACTGATGAATTGCTTATATCCAGTTACTTCTATTTGTTTCTGATGTGATCAACGAATCTGTTTAAAAGACCCACGTGGACCTTTAACCAAAAGAGGGCAAAACCTGCCCTTTCTTTATTCCTCTCTTCCTGCTCTTTACTATTTCATTTTTACCTTTTTGTTTTTTGTGGTTTCCATTATCTTAGAAAAATATATTTAAAGACTTGCTGTATGGATTCCTCTTAACCACCATATAAACTACTCTTTTTTTCTGTGCCCAAATTCCCAGATTTTACTCAATTACCATTTAGAGAGTTTTAAAGAAAACACATATACTATCTCATAGAGTTGGGTGAACAAGAGTGAGTGATACTGTTATGCAAGGAGAGTTACTGAAATTACTAAAAACGATTTGGAGAACTGAAGTTTTGTGTGTCAATTTTCAGTGTGAAAAAACAGTTGATGTGAAGAAAAGTAAATTCTGTGAAGCTGATGTCTCCAGTGACCTTCGAAAAGAAGTAGAAAATCATTATACGCTCTCTTTACCTGAAGATTTCTATCACTTCTGGAAGTTCTGTGAAGAACTTGATTCTGAAAAACCAGCTGGTGAGTTGCTCCAGAATCATTCTTGTATAAATGGAAAAAGTAATGTAATAGGAAATGGGCTGTGTGTGGCGGCTCACACTCTGTAATCCCAGCTGAGGGAGGAGGATCGCCTGAGACCAGGAGTTTGAGACCAACCTGGTCAACATAGCAAGACCTCTTCTCTACAAAAAAATAAAAATAATAAAATAAAAAAGCTAGGCATGGCTACAGGTGCCTATAGTCCTAGCTACTTGGGAGACTGAGATGGGAGGATCCTTCATTGAGCCCAGTAGTTCGAGGTTGCAGTGAGCTATCATCACTCCAGCCTCAGTGACAGAACAAGACCCTGTCTCTAAAAATATAATTGGCCAGGCATGGTGGCCCACGCCCGTAATCCCAACACTTTGGGAGGCCAAGGCAGGCAGATCACTTGAAGTTGGGAGTTCGAGACCAGCCTGGGCAACACGGTGAAACCCTGTCTACTAAAGATACAAAACTTAGCTGGGTGTGGTGGTGCATCCCTGTAGTTCCAGCTACTCGGGAAGATGAGGCACAATCATCACTTGAACCTGGGAGGTGAAGGCTGCAGTGAGCCGAGATCACACCACTGCACTCCAGCCTGGGCAACAGAGTGAGACCTTGTCTCAAAAAAAAATGTATATATATAAAATAATTTAAAAAAAAAAACTAACCAAGAATATAAACAGTTAATAGAAAAGGAATATTTTCCATGATGTTTCTAGTAAGAGAAAATATAGTAAGAAATATAGATTAATGCTATAGTAATGCCACTGTCACCTATTTTATTGGCAAAGTTAAATAATTTCATCACGTTCTGGGGGAATGTGAAGGAAGGTAAGCACTTTCATATGTTGTAGGAGTTTGAATATGATTTAACAGTTCTGCTTCCAAGAACTTGTCTTGACACAGGAAGGGGAACATCACACACCGGGGCCTGGTGTGGGGTGTGGGGAGGGGGAAGGGATAGCATTTGGAGATATACCTAATGTTAAATGATGAGTTACTGGGTGCAGCACACCAACATGGCACATGTATACATATGTAACGAACCTGCACGTCGTGCACATGTACCCTAGAACTTAAAGTATAATTAAAAAAAAAAAAAATACCAGTCAAGAAAAAAAAAAAAGAAAAAAGAACTTGTCTTATGGATTAGATAAACTAAGAATTATGTTTGAGGATATTTAAACAAAAAAAATGGGAAATGGCTTAAATGCCTACCAATGACACATCTCTTCAGTAGATCTTAATTGTTTTAAAAGAATGAGGCAGATTTTTAGGAAATAATAAACTATCATGCCTGAAATATGTTAACTGAAAAAGAAAAGTGTATAGATTATGCTACCATTGGTATTTTTTTAAAAAAGGGGAGTGGGGAGTACACACATATCCCTGTATACTTTTCTATGTGCTTACTTTGTCTCTGAAAGGAGAAAGAAACTGTTAATGGGCTGTGATCATTACTTTGCACTATATACCTCTTGTACTGTTTAAAATTTTTAACTAGTAAGCACTGTCATACACTACTGATGGAAATGTATATTGATGCATATTCTGAATTTTGCCAATAGATCAGAACAGAACTGTATAGCAGTTTCTTTAAAAATAGTCATGTCTGTACAAACATTAGCAAAGATGTTCACTGAAACATTTTTAGAACAGAAAAAAGAAATAGTAAATGTCCATCAGTAAGAGAATAGATGGTTACCTCTTTATAATGCAGTATCATGCCCTATTAAAAAATCATGTAAAATAACATTGAATAGCATGGAAAATAATCAAAAAATTTAAGTGCGTCAGGATGGAGGACAAAAGCAGATTACAAAACAATCCATCTGAGTTTGTTACATATTTGTATCTGTTCATGGGGGTGGAGAGTATGGAAATTTGTTACTGTATATTAGAGTATTAACTGTGTTATCTTTGGCTAATGAGATGGATGGTTTTAGTTTTCTTGTTGCTTTAAAAAATTAGTGTATGCTCTCCTAAGCTCCAGTTGTGCTGAACTATTTTTCCTGTCCAATTATCTCCATGCTTCTATTCATGTTATTACCTCTTACAGGAATTTTTTTGCTTTCCTCATCCTTGCCTCCTTATAAAACTGGGTCCTGCCTGGAGTGCTCCCCTCCCTCTTGGAAGCAGCAAGGACCCATTTGAAGTTATACATTGTACATTGCACAGACTTCATGTCTTTGTGGTTTAGTAACACTGACTGTGATCTGTGAATAGAGAAGGAAGATGGAATCATCTAGGGTTAGGGTTGGCCAAATAGATTGTCAAAGAGTGAGGGGAATCTGGTGTGATTAGCTGAGGTAGAGGAAAGGGGATATAAATGTTTTTTACTCTTTTTTTTTTTTTTTTTTTTGGAGACAAAGTCTCACCCTGTCACCCAGGCTGGAGTGCGATGGCGTGATCTCATTTCACTGCAACCTCTGCCTCCTGGGTTCAAATGATTCTCGTACCTCAGCCTCCCAAGTAGCTGGGATTACAGGCGTGAGCCACCACACCTGGCTAATTTTTGTATTTTTAGTAGAGATGGGGTTTTGCCCTGTTGGCCAGGCTGGTCTCAAACTCCTGACCTCAGGTGATCAGCCTGCCTCAGCCTCCCAAAGTGCTGGGATTACAGGTATGTGCCACCACGCATGGCTTGTTTTTTAGTACTCTTAATCCACATATTTTTGCTATCTTTCTTTCCCTTAACCTGTGTGTACTACAAGTATTTGAGGCTAATTGCAGTGTGGTAATGGGCCTACAGGAATACAAACCAGTCTTGCTTTGGCTAAAATAAGAAACAACAGGAATGTTTGAGATGTTAAGTTAATACAGTGGTAAATTTCAGAGGAAATCCTGTTTTCTGTTACTCTGACTTCTTTTCCATTGAATGTTTGTAACTGACATCTTCACACATAACTCAAGACTTTCTTTTACTTTAGAAAGTTTTTAAGACAATTGCTTAGAAATAGTTTACTCACTAAAAGCATTATTTCCTGTCTGTCTCCGGAAAGTATTGTCTAAATTTATTTTCTTTAGAGATCCACTTTCTGCAAGCCTTGGACTTCAATTAGTTGATCCTTATAATATCCTTGCTGGAAAACATAAAATGAAGAAAAAATCAACAGTCCCGAATTTTAACCTTCATTGGAGGTTTTACTATGATCCTCCTGAGTTCCAGACCATTATTATTAGAGATAAACTCAGTGCCACATGGGGTATTTCAGGTAAAGGATCTTTTCTTTGCCTCTAAAATACAGCTGCTGTCCTGCGAATGAGGATAAATAGTTATTCACTAGCCTCACCCAAGGTGAAAGGCATATTTTCCCCTGGATATATGAGCCATCTGTTGTTCTTGCTGTTACCATTTTAACCTTCCCTAGGATGGGTAAACTCTTTAGGTTTAATCTCACTGGTTTTTCCTTTCCTTATAAAATTTTTTTTCCCTTTTGGGTTCAGAATAACTCTTTTGGCCCAATAAAGCTAATTCAGAGCAGCTGTTGTGACTTGTACTTAATAAGCTATGTGCTTCCAGGTGCCAGAGTGGCAACTGGGAGCTAAGAGTGATCTCTGGAGTCACACTTGTCCTCCTGTTTATTGTCTGTGTGACCCTGTGTCATTAGTGACTGTGACTTTCTGTGACTCAGTCTTGTAACAATAGGAATAATAATTGTACATACCTGATAGGAATATTATGAGAATTAAATGAATGCATGCAAGATACTTAGTAGGTTAGGAAATAGAGAAACTCCAGGAGGAAAATACCTTGTCCGCTTGTACCAGTAGAGATGCTATCCTTTAAAGTGAAGATTAAATGTAAGGTAATAGAAGGAACGTGCCCAGGAAGAAGTACTGTAGTACAGTAGAATGCACATGGGGCTAGGAATTGATTGTGCTGTAGCCAAGGTCCTAACTTACTAGGACCTTGGCTGAGTAATTTAACCTCTCAGTATTTGTTTCCTCAATTTTAAAATAAAAGGATTGGTTATATACGGGAATAGGATCCTTTCATCTCTAATGTTTTACAATCCTTTTTCTTGTTTTTCCTTTTTTTGTATTTGAGTATAAAAGCAATTAGGTCCTAAGAATCTTAGTTTTAGGTTCCATTATATAAGTTAAGATTTATCATAGATGTTCCTAAGAAACTTGGAGCTTAAAACGATAAATTTGTTTCAATTTAAAAAAATTCCCTTATAAAAGAGGCCTTAAAAAAGAGGGGAAAAAAAAGGTGTAAGTTGTTGTCTGTAGACCTAAAATCCCACTTGCCTGATAATATAAATTATGGGCAGCTAAATTTTTAATGTCTTTTTCTCAAACAGGGATTCTCCTGATGAACTTCCTGTATATGTTGGTATAAATGAAGCAAAGAAAAATTGTATAATTGTTCCAAATGGAGATAATGTATTTGCTGCAGTCAAGTAAGAATATTTTATCTCAATTTCTCTTACGTTTATGTAGGTTTACAATGTTTATACTATATTAGTCCATTATAAAGGGGCTTTGAGGGGCTGGGCACAGTGGCTCACACCTGTAATTCCAGCAATTTGGGAGGCCAAGGTGGGCGGATTGCTGTGATCTGGAGTTTGAGACCAGCCTGGCCAATATGGGGAAACGCCATCTCTACTAGAAATAAAAAATTAGCCAGGGGCTTGGTGGCACACGCCTGTAATCCCAGTTACTCAGGAGGCTGAGGCAGGAGAATCGCTTGAACGCAGGAGGCGGAGGTTGCAGTGAGCCGAGATTGCGCGACTGCACTCCAGCGTGAGCGACAGAGTGAGACTCCATCTCCAAAAAAACAAAACAAAGCGGGTTTGAGGCAAGTCCATAACTGTAGATTTCTAAAGACAATTTCCATGACTTTTGCAGGTAGTCTTATCTATACTGTTATTTTGTCACTCTTCACTAGAAACTACACCTCTTATATAACTATTTTTCTTAATAATACTCGACCTCAGATGTTCCATGGCAAAATCAAAAGTTTTTTTAGACATCTGATTTTAAACACTTGTTAAGAGTTCATTACTTGTGTATAGTTCAAACAGAAAGGTTTAATAAAGTAAAAAGAGATGCTCATAAAATCCTTGGAATGGCTGAGGGGGCAGGCTGAGCTTCCAGGAATGACAGTTGTGTGGCTCACAGTGGATTTTATCTCTGCCACCATCAGGAAGCTGGGAAATCAAGAACTGCTGCCACAATGGGTGGGTCTAGGACCATATTACCTTTGGTATAACCTGTGCCAGGTAAATGGATGCCCTACCCTTTGCCTCTCAGCCCCTGTAATGCTAAGAACCAGGTGCTGGGATCTCAGCTACAGCTGCTGCAGAACTATCAGATGCCTCTACAGCAGTGCTCACTGATGGAGATCGTGGAAGCACAGCCTCCACCCGGTATCTCTTCTGCCTCTGAGATTTCAAACTATTGCAGCTGCTTGGAAGAAGCTAGATCCCATGTGGAGCCTGGGCTAAAGAGTAGTATGGGAAATGCAGCAAACTTTCATGGGTAAGGGGTTGGAATAGAGCTGAGTGAGCCGGTCTATGCTATATCAGCCACAGACGTGACTTGAAATGATTTCATTTGTCAGCGGCTGTGTAGTTTGCATTGTAATGAAGAAAGCAAACTTTACCACTTCAAATACAAGTAGATTATGTTTCGTTTGACCGTTTTTAGTACTGTCTCTTTAAAGGGCTTTTGTTCCCTGTGATTTGATAATACAAATTTGCAGTAAAGCAAATTCAAACTAAATCAACCTAGTACAACCACTAGACTGTGCTACGTACATACTACTGGTGTATCTACAGGGAAGCTACATTGTAGATGTCCAAAAATGTTCTTTCTTTTCTAATACCTCTCAGTTTCCTATAAAACCTTGCTTGGTATTTGTAATTTGTAAGTTCTTTTAAACTCTTTGGATTTATTATTCAATTTAAATTGGTGCTATCTTTATTAGAAACTGTTGCTTATTTTCTGTCTCTTGCACTAGCATCTAAGTTCCATGAGGGCAGAGGCTTTGTTTTGTGCACAGTATCTGCCCCACAGTAAATGCTCCATAAATATTAATTCTACAATACCTTGGCACGTAAAAACACCTAATTTTTTCAGGCTGGACAACATAGTGAGACTGTCTTTTTTAAAAAAACAAACCTAACTTTTCATTTGTATTATTAGCTATGTTTGTCTTAATAGAAATCTTTTTTAAAAAGGTAATATAATAGCGGTCATCTAACATAACCATAGACTCCTCTGGTATCCTTTTTTTTTAGCTAATTGGAGAACACAGACAATGAAAAAGAAAAAAAAATACATGATTGATAATATTTATAATTTAGGTGAAGATCAGCAAGTGACTACTTGAGGAACTACCTTCAATAATTTGTCTCAAACACAGGGGTAAAAAAATTATTTGAGATATAACTATTTTAGTAGTTTTAAAGTATAACGGTTTCAGTTTTTTGAGTGCCACCTTCTTAAATCAGCTAATCAGAACACTTAATTTCTTTATATATTTTAAAATTCATTTTTATGGCAGACAGAGTAAGGTCTTTCAAGGCAGACCTTTGATCAACAAATTTTTATGCCCAGAGAAAGAATTGTCTCTGCAAGATTTAATAGTAACTAAAGAAATGAAAATTAAGCCAGCAAAGATTTTTAAAGGTTAAAGAATGGTAATAACCAACGATGATTAGGATATAAGAACCCTTACTGATGTGTTAATTGGTAAAACCTTTGTAGAAAGCAGTTTGAAAAATGTTTAAAGCACCGTGTTCTAAGATTTCTTGACAGATGATATTGCCAGGTACCATGTGAAGTACACATTTATACCCTTAAGTTAACAATTCCACTTCCAGATATTCATCAAAGGGATTTTGGACAGGTACAGAAATATGTGTGTTTATTACAGATTGTTTATCAAATGAAAAATTGGCAACATATCCAGCAATAGAGGAGATTAGGTAAATATAAACTATCCATATACCATAATACCTTGGTATTGATTTGTTGAATTTGTTATGAAGTGGGCAAATAACAATAGTGTAGAATGATTCCATTTCATACTGTGTAATGCATATGGAAATAAACGCATTCAATTTTTAAATATCTTTGAACAAAAAAGTTGGGAATGATTTTTTTTCCTTCTGCCTTATTTTTTTTCCTAAAATAACTAGGGCAAATAGTTTTGACCTTGGGTCAGGGACTTTTAGGGTCAAAACTATTTGTGATAATAAATTATTTTTGCACCAACGGCACAAAGGTAATGGTGGATAATAATGTTGTCATCTTGGCAGGAATCAAGATAGTGCCACAAGAGTAGCAACAGTCATTGCATTATTCACAGCAGTACATGCAAAAGTATTTAAGAATGTTTGTGATGGAGCCAGGATGTTGAGGTGGGAGCGTTGCTTGAGCCCAGGAGTTCAAGTTTATCCTAAGCATCATAGCAAGACCCTGTCCCTGGAAAAACACGTCAGTGATGGAGTATACATGTGTTAGCTGTCTACCATTGAGTATATCTCTTTAACATTCTGTGGTGAAATAGGAAATACATAGAAAGCATTTCTCATACTGAAGTACTGTGGTTTGTCTCAAGGGAAAAAAAAGCACTTGTATGATTGAGTTTTGAGATGAACTTTTTCCCACTTTTAGAAAGACTGACTCACTGACAAAGTCTGGTTATTTGGGTCTAGATACTGGCAGAAATTTTTTCAAATGAACCAAAGAAAACAACTATTTTTTGCCAGTGATAAAATTCAAGGTTTCGAACAAAAAAAATAGATTGAGAAACTTGTAATACCACTGTAAGCTTGATAGCTTTTTTTTCTAATGTTATGTAATGGAGTGAATTTGATATATAAGCTTCAACATTTACATCTATATAATTTAGTGAACCACTGTTTCCAAAGGGCCATTGCATGATGCCATATAACATGCATGGGTACAAATTCTTTTGCATTCAAGGCATTCTAATGGATTTAAAGTAACAGCCCAAAATGTTCATGTTCATGGTTATGGCTTCAGTTGCACATTGCACCTTATCTTTAAGCATCACACAGCAGAGTGTTAGAGTAGGTTTAGGCACAGACAAAAACTTACAGAGATAGTTCATAATAATATCATATGTATGGGAAGGCAGCTACCAAGTGCCTTCAGTAGTGGCGGAGGTAAAAGAGGATATTTTATGTGGGCTTTGATGGATGCCTAAGAACTTACTAGAAAGAAACGAAAGAAGGATGTTTTAGGTAAGGGAGCAGTACGTGTGTGAAAGTGTGGAAATACACAGCATAGCATACTTGAATAGCTATATGCCATGCCAGAGTGTTGAGGATTGATTCATATAGGACTGACATCAAATTTGCATTTTATGGTTGATATAAACATATCCTCTAGACATACAGCTGGTAATAATTGAAAGTAAGATTTAGTATAACTGTGTGCTGTAATCAGAAGTTAGATTTTGGTGGCTTGGGTTTCTGTGGCACTTTATTTTTTTTTATTATACTTTAAGTTCTAAGGTACATGTGCACAACATGCAGGTTTGATACATAGGTATACATGTGCCATGATGGTTTGCTGCACCCATCAACTCATCATTTACATTAGGTATTTCCCCTAATGCTATCCCTCCCCGAACCCCCCACCCCCTGACAAGCCCTGGTGTGTGATGTTCTCCGCCCTGTGTCCAAGTGATCTCATTGTTCAATTCCCACCTATGAGTGAGAACATGCAGTGTTTGGTTTTCTGTCCTTGTGATAGTTTGCTCAGAATGATGGTTTCCAGCTTCATCCATGTCCCTGCAAAGGACATGAACTCATCCTTTTTTACAGCTGCATAGTATTCCATGGTGTATATGTGTCATAGTTTCTTAATCCAGTCTGTCATTGATGGACCTTTGGGTTGGTTCCAAGTCTTTGCTATTGTGAATAGTGGGTGGCACTTTAATCTACCAGCTGTACTGGTAACTCTACTGGTTTAATCCACTGGCTCTCTGAACTTGGGTAGGTTGATTATCTTCTGTGCCTTTTTTGTTTTCCTGATAAGTAAAATGAAGCTAAGACTATTATCTACTATAAATTTTCTAAGCCCTTTGATAACAGTGTTGTAGGGAATACTACAAACTCTCAGATGCTGGCAGTGAATAGAAGTGAATTTCTTCCTAGGAGTTGTTACTCCCTGCAACTTTCTTCCTGGGAGTCTGGCACTCCTTCCCACTCTTTACTCCTGACCTTTTACATTGATGGCAAAAATCTTAACCTGTTTACGATAAAATATAAAATTATTTCCATAAGTGGCATTAACATGCTGTATATTTACATGCTTTTGAAAACTACTTTGGATTATGCTTTTGTATAAGCTTATAATGTAGCTTTTCTTTCCTTTTACGTTTTCTAAATTTTTCTTAACACAAATTTCAACATTAAAAAAAAAAATCTATTGACCTTATTGTAACAGTGTCCTCTCTTTAAAAATGAAAAAAAAAAAAAAAAAAGGCTGGGCGCAGTGGCTCATGCCTGTAATCCCAGCACTTTGGGAGGGCAAGGTGGGCAGATCACCTGAGGTCAGGAGTTCGAGACCAACCTGGCCAACATAGTGAAACCCTATCTCTACTAAAAATACAAAAATTAGCTGGGCATGGTGGCAGGTGCCTGTAATTCCAGCTACTCGGGAGGCTGAGGCAGGAGAATTGCTTGAACCTGGGAGACAGAGGTTGCAGTGAGCTGAGACCCTGCCATTGCACTCCAGCCTGGGCAATAAGAGCAAAAAAGAATTTTTTTTTGAGATGGAATTTTGCTTTTTTTTTTTTTTTTGAGACAGAGTCTTAGGCTGGAGTGCAGTGACACAATCTCGGCTCACTGCAACCTCCGCCTCCCAGATTCAAGTGATTCTCATGCCTCAGCCTCCCGAGTAGCTGTGAATACAGGTGCATGCCACCACACCTGGCTAATTTTTGTATTTTTAGTGGAGACAGCGTTTCACCATGTTGCCCAGATTGGTCTCAAACTCCTGACCTTGAGTGATCCGCCCACCTCAGCCTCCCAAAGTGCTGGAGTTTTTTTTTGATGTCTACTTTTTTTCTGTTAGGTCAGACTTCTCCAAAGTAGTATGCCATATCTTAGTATCAAGTAATACAACTTAAAACTTGACTAATCTCAGCTTTGTAACTATTTCTTATATCTCTATTATAGACATTAGAGTGCTAATATAAATTTGAATAATATTTTCTCTGTTACTGGCAGTTTTTATTAATATTGCTTTTCTCTTATTTGAAGAAAACTATTAGGGATTTTGAGAAAAGTGTTGGTAAGTATTCTGTGGACTTATTCTTGCATGAAATTTGACATTTTTAACTTGGCTCAACTTCCAAACGTCTTTGTACTTAGTATAGTGGCCTGCAACATAATGAGGACTTTTACTTCTTTTTAAGATTATATTTGATGAAAAAACTTAAAGAAGTAACAGATAAAAAGAAAACCAATCTCTTCAAAAACGTAGATGAAAAACTCACAGAAACAGCCAGAGAACTGGGGTACTCACTGGAACAGAGAACCATGAAGATGAAACAGAGAGATAAGAAAGTATGACTCTAATCTGTTGGCCTCTGTTTTGCTATTTAGCAGATTTTTTTCCCCTCTTGATTCCTTCCCATCTCTACCCTGCCCTTCTTTTCTCTAGCCCTATCTTAGGAGCTGGATGCTGTCCCTTAGGGGTGCTAGGAGGATGGCACTGAAATGGGGGTCTGATGGCTCCTTTGGGTTGGTACACTGGTTGAATTGTATAACTGGTGATATCACTGCTGTGGTTGAATAACTCATGCCAGTATTTGCCACTCTTTTAATCTTGTTTTATCAGTTAATCACTTCATAAAGTTAAGTGAAAGCTGCTTTGTACATAATGAAATTTACATAGGTACGTTTTCTTCAGTAAACGTGTATATAAACAGTGCTTCTTCCTTTTTCCTTATTCATCTCATCATTTCCTTTTGCATCTCTCCTAATGTCTGCAGTGTGAGGGGAGTATTTTGTAAAGGAGCAAATACTTCTTAGTGTTGGATTCTTTTGGTTTTCTGCTATAGATTTCAGAGTAAGTTAATGACAAGCTGGAAGATTTCTGCTTTGGAGTAAATGAGAATTCTATAGGAGTTTGTTCTTATGGCCTCTGGGGGAAAAAAAAACACTTGTCACTGGAATGAGGGCTCCCCAGTCTCTTCCAGCCTCTCACTGTTTGTCTGCCCTTGCTGGTTCATCTGAATATTCTAAGCTAAATGGAGAAGTTGTTATTCCTTAATAAACTAGCACTGGTAATGAAGTACCTTAGTGTACTTAGGCATTAAATCCTACTTCAGTTCCTTCTCTGATCTTGATTCAGCTGCAAAGGTGATATTCTGATAAGTTCCAGGCACTCTTTCTTTAGTCCTATAGCCTGGAAAGTTTCTTAAAACGTACATTTTAATGAAACTCATTACAACATGGCATTTTAAAAGTTAAGATTTTATACTGCCATTTACCTTTCTGGTTATCATAGGAAGCGTCTCCCACCTTGTGACTAGGAGGAAGGGTAGCATTTGTAGACTAGTTAATGTATTCCTAATTTGTTTTGACTGAAGTCTGAGCATCAATATACATAATAGCTGTTAGCAAATTATTTTATCAGTCATATTTTTCTACCACAAGCTATAATTTATTTCAGAGGAGATTTTCTTAATTCTTCCCCATAAATAAGATATGATTCAGGTTTAAATTTCATAGATATTTTTGTCCTAGACCCCTCCCCCATGAAGTTTCATTTTAGTATTTGTTCTTTATACAGAAACAGCTGGTAAAAACAAAGACAAAAAAGAACTTACAAGACAATCATGTTTTTAATCCACCCCCGTTGATGATTATACTTTCAAACCCTTTTCTGTTATTGTAAGGTTGTTCTTCTATTGTTTTTGTGAGATCTTCATTTAATTCATATTTTTCTACTGAAGAAATAAGTTCCACTAGTATATGTGAGTTAGTGGCTTTGTCCTTGCGTGTAAGAATATATCCTCTCTAGTATGATAGAGTACTGTACAGCACACTAGAAATCAGTGTTTTTATACTGACAGTAACTTAATATACTTTGGAATGCAGAGTCCTTATATCATTTGACTCCCTACAACAAATCTGCAAAGTTGGGATTATCATCCTATTTTATAGATAAGTAAATTGAGGGTTATAGAGGTTTGTGTGTCTTGCCCAAAATCTTAAATGACACATGCAAAACCCAACTTCATACTTTCCATATTTAGCATTCTTTCCACCCCATCTTCTTATTAATTGGCTCTCTGCCACTTCACCTTTTCCATACCAATGTTCTTCATAAGGAACATTGGTTAAATATGCATAAAATGATGGTGTGTCACTCCATCCACCTGTAGTCTGATGCTTCAGGATGTCACCCACTCCTATACAGTTTTCCTAAGTTTGTAATCTTATTCTTCATAATCAAATTACGATTCTGATGACTTCTTAATTGATACCTCTTTATGGACAATTAGTAAGGTAATCATCTGTAAAAAATCTGAACATACATCTACCATGGTTCCTACTGTATGTTGTTCAGCCTGAGATGGCAACTATAGCACTGCTGTCTTTTTCTTTATCACTGCTTTATGTCTCACCTTTTACACTTATGAATATGTTATGTTTATCATTTCATATTGCCAATTTAAGATCTACCTCATAATTTTGAGTGGCTGCAGAATACTGTGCTTATGTTCAAAGTTTGGGTCGCTTAAGATTTTTCGCAAATACAGACAACCCTGCCATAGATATCCTTTTATACCTTTATTCGCATACTTACCTGGTTCTTTTTTTAGAAGAAATTCCTAGACATAGTATTACCAGGTCCAAAGTATTGTGTGTGTGTGTGTGTGTGTGTGCGCGCGCGCCTGTGTGTGGTTTTTCTTTGCTTGTTTCTAATTTTGTGGAGTTTTCTTTAGTCCTTTTGGTTTTTTCCATGCTGGTAGGTATAAAATTCTGCATTGTTTTAATTAGCATTTCTTTAATTATAAAGGATGTTAAATATTTTTTACTTTTGTTGCCATGGTATTTTTTTTTGACTGCCTGAACTCTGCCCATTTTTCTATCAGGGTTAGAATTAGTCTTGTTCTTACATGTGTTCTAACTTGGATGTTAGTGTTTTCCTTTGTTAGGCTTCTTTATAAAGACATTAATTTTTATTTACTGTTATATTTTGCAGATGTATTTTATCAGTTTGTCCTGTGTTCTTGATTTCACTAGTTTATTTTTATACAGTCAACTTTTTCTTCTCCATCACAAAATTATTTTTTAATTTACCTTCTAGCAGTTTTATGGTTTTATTTTTACATTTAATTCTGAAATCCAGCTGCAAATTATCTTGATATAAAGATTACAATAGAAGACAATGACTTCCTTTTTTCCCAAGTGGTAAGCAGTTGTGTAATAACTTTCTTTGAATAATCTGCCCTTTCTGGCAGCTTAATAAAGGGTGATGAAAGAAGCAAGAGACTGGGAGAATAGGGAGATTCAAGAGAAAAAGACTTTAAGATATAGAGACTTAGGTGAGAAGCCTTTAAAATTGGAGTTTGCTTTTTGGGTTATGTGCTTCCTCTGCCTTGGAAACTTTTCACTGAATTGCACAAAGAAGTGGAATATTTGTACAGATGTTTTGTTAAGGAAAGACCTAAAAATAGTGCCACTAACATGAATTAAAGGAAGAATGGAAACTGGAAGGGTTATGGTGGTAGTTGTAGTTGGGCCTGTTTTTGTCTTTGAAGACTAACACTTGATAAAAGCTCACTGGTTATGTGATTTGCCTCCGTAAAAGACACCACAAACCTAGAAACTGCCCTACTTTTGGGAAGTTTTCCAACAAGCCTAAATATTCCAGATAAAAATAGGGGGGTCTGAATTTGGCAGGATGGAGGAGAGGAGTTCTGTCCTACCATATCCTCTTGCTGACAAAAACTGTTTCTTACCGTCTTTCTTTTAGACCCAGGTTCTTCTGTGCTTTCTACCAAGAAGGTACTTTGACCTTAGAGGAAACTGATATTTTGGCTTGCCTTCTAGGATGTATTGGGTTCTTCCTTAACAAATCAGGATGCAGACTTCCAAGTGACTGGCACAATTAAGAAAAGCCAATTATTTAACTGTTCTGTGATTACTTCAAGTGTTTGACTTTTAGCTAGTTTTTGAGAAAAAAGTAGTGTTAAATTTTTACCCTAGAGTCCAAATTTACTGAAATAAAATGTCATTGAATGTTACATTTTGGCAGAAATGTTGAGGGTTTATGTATTTGGGTTTTTTTTTTAATGTCTATTTACCATGATTACATTTTATTCTTTTCTTTAACATAACATAGGTTGTGACAAAGACCTTTCACGGTACAGGCCTGGTTCCTCCAGTAGATAAAAATGTTGTTGGATACAGAGAGCTCCCTGAAACAGATGGTAATATATTTCATATGTAAACACATGCATATATGTTAATGCATATGTAGGAAAGTTTTGCTTATATTGGGAAGTAGGTATTTCCATATAACTTTTGTGAGACAGTCGCTAGACCTTGGTAATAAAGAGTAAGCTTTGGTTTTAGGGTCAGTCATTCCTGAATTAAAACTGAGTTCATAGCTGTGTGGCCTTGAACAAATTATTTAACCCCACGAAACCTTGTCTTTTTCATCTGTAAAATGAAGTTAATGATAATCACTTCATAGGGGAATTTGGGGTATAAACAAGTATTAAGATACTTAGCAAAATGCTTGCCTCAGTGCTCAAAATTTGGTAGTTATTTTTAAGAATTTAAAGAATTTTAACCTATTGCCTACTTTTTTGGAACTACTTCCAAACCTTTGACATTACAGTCAGCTTGCAAAACAGTAATTTTTGAAATAGTGTTTTTATGGTTCTTTGTGAACATTTTTTCATCTGCATGTAAAATGATTTAGCCTTCAGAAGCCCAAGATCCTGAACTACTTCATAAATAAGTATAAAAACGCTTTCAAAATGGACCACTGCACATAATCTAGTTATTGCCATCTTGAACATCGGGAATTAAAATCGCTTCTCAACTCTTTTCCCCTCATCTCCATTCCCTTATTGTGAACAGCCCTGTTGGTATTCCTTTATTGATCATCCTGTTCTGGGGGGATAAAACTTAAAGGGAAATCAAACTTAGCAACTTCTCAAGGAACCACGTATTCCTGCCCAACACACGTGTTTGGCCACCTATTTTTCAGAACAGAACTAACTAGCATTGGTAGTTACCAGTCTCTGGGGTTGTGACCTGGACACCTGCATTTAAACCAGTTCTCTAATGCAGTTCTTCTCAAATTTTACTGTGCAGAGTCTCCAGCCAGTAGAGAGAGATGTCTTAGATGGCAGCTA
Source organism: Homo sapiens (assembly GCF_000001405.40). Taxonomy (NCBI): domain Eukaryota; kingdom Metazoa; phylum Chordata; class Mammalia; order Primates; family Hominidae; genus Homo; species Homo sapiens. The sequence goes on from NC_000009.12 coordinate 15,012,700, forward strand.
TTCATATGGACTTGTTTTTGCTGTACCCCTGCCACTTAGAGCAGTGCCATAGGGAAGATGAATGTGGCTAAGCTGTCCAGTGTGATGGCCACTGAGTACCTCACATGTGGCTGCTGCAACTAAGGAACAGAATTTGTAACTTGTATTATTTATTTATTTTGTACTCTGTGTGTGTGTGTATGAGAGAGACAGGGTCTCACTCTGTCACCCAGGATAGAGTGCAGTGGCGCAATTATCCCGTCTCGGCCTCCTGAGTAGGTGGGACTACAGGTCTGTACCACAATGCCTAGCTAATTGGTGTTTTTTGTTTTGTTTTCCATGTAGAGACAAGGTCTCACTCTGTTGCCCATGCTGGTCTCAAACTCCTGGGCTCAAGTGATCCACCCACCTCAGCTTCCCAAAGTGTTGGGATTACAGGCGTGAGCCACTGTACCTGGCGTGTAATTTTGTATAATTTTAATTAGTTTAAGTATGTAAATTAAAACAGGATTAAATGTTTCTTGTATTGATTATATGTTGACATAATACTATTTTGGGAATATGGGTTAAATACAATACCTTAATTTCACCTGTTTTTTTTTTTTTTTAGCTCCTCCTCCCTGCCCCAGCTGTTTCTTTTTTCATGTGGATACTGGAAAAAATGTAGCCTGTATTATATTACACTTGGACAGGCTGATCTGTCCTATATCTCCTCTTTGAAGCCAGAGGCAATTAGTCTCTGATGGGACCAGTGTGGGCTCTAGCTACTGGTCAGTCTTCTGCTTCTACTCTAAGTCATCTTCTTTTCATGTCTCTGCTCACAGAGAGAACTTTAAAAAGCATGATTATTGTGTCATTTGGGAAAGGTTGGGCACATTTGTTGTAGAGATGGGCAGTCTCTAAAACTTTTGGGGTGATGGATGTTAAATTGTAGTGCCCTGGAGTAAAGCCTGTTACCCTACTGTAGTTGTGTTTCTGGGGTTTTATGTCCAAGTCTAATATTCTAGGAATTAGATCCTTCTGTATTTAGTTTTGAAGCAGTAGCAAAATGTAAGAATGAAGGACCTAATCTTGTTCTTGACTAGTGTCGTTTCCCAGGAGGTACAATTGACTGGCAGTTTGTTAATGTGACAGTGATTAGTAAATCACAACTAAGTTTGTTCTTAACCCTTTGAAGCTTCTTACAATAACACTGTAACTTAGCAAATAAGATACCTTTTATTGAGCAATTCTTAAATGTCAGTGTCATGATTCACTATAACAAGTGATGTACACATATTTAATTCTCACCCAACTCTTTAAAGTAGGTCTTATTCCCATGTTCACAAAGGAAATAGACCCAGCATGCTCAGCATTAGTCAGTAAGGGGCTGGTTTTCTTTTTTTTTTTGAGATGGAGTCTCACTCTTGTAGGCTGGAGTGCAATGGCAGGGTCTCAGCTCACTGCAACCTCCGCCTCCTGGGTTCACGTGATTCTCCTGCCTCAGCCTCCTGAGAAGCTGGGATTACAGCCTCCCACACCATGCCCAGCTAATTTTTGTATTTTTAGAAGAGACAGGGTTTCACCATCTTGATCAGACTGGTCTCGAACTCCTGACCTCAAGTGATCCACCTATCTTGGCTTCCCAAAGTGCTGGGATTACAGGCGTGAGCCACCATGCCCGGCTGAGGGCACTGGTTTTCATACTTGGTTTTCTGACTGTAGAGTGCATACTACTATCTGAAGTAAGAAGAGTTGCCTGCCTAGTTGCCTGATTTTTACCTTGACACAACCACTGTAGCTTAATTTAAGTATTCTAGTTGATAGTAGTGGCAGGGATATAGTAAGAATTCAGCAGTGAAACTCCTAACTCATTAATTGAGTATCTCGAGTAGAAACATTTAAGGCTTCATTTTTGAATAGTTAATTTAAGGCTTCACTTACGTTCTTTAAGTTTGGGCTTCGGTTAATTGAAATTTCTATAGAATATTTTATGGCTGGAAGAACATATTTTTCCTTGTACTGATGGTGAGCTGAATATTTTCATCTCTGTTCTTCAGTGTTTTTCTAGCTTAGTAATTCACATAAGTTGCTTATTCTTTTTAGTCCACATGTGACTTGGCATGTGTAAAAATGGAAACTGTGATACTGGAAAGTGATAAACTTTAAATTATTTGCTAACAGAAGACAAATAGGTCTTCACTTCCATACCCACCCTGATTTGTAGTGGCTGCCTGGGGCACTGTGAGAGAGATTCTAAGGGTCCCAATCAATCAGTTACACCCATGGGTGCAGGGAGGAACCACTTATTTTCCATCCTTAAGGAGCTTTTTGGAGAAAGCCTCATCTGTTTCCTTGAAATGATCAGCACTGACTTTTCTGAAGAAAGGAAGGTCATGAAGCTTATGTAAAACAATTTAATTTTTAAAAGGTTTCAAACCAATAAAAAACGTCACTACTGTTTAGAGATAGTTAGAAACATAGGTGGTGAAGTTTGCCATTCGTTCAACATGATACTGATCTACCAAAAGTGGGAAAGGGAAGAAAACACATTTTGTGACTCGGGTAACAGCATGTATTCTGTACTGTCATCAAGATTGAATCAAATGATATTCATAGACTGGGGTTAAAAGCCCTAGTATATAGTATATTTTTATAATACCATCCTTGGTAATCATTTTTTTTTTTTTGAGACAGGATCTTACTCTGTCACCCAGGCTGGAGTGCAAAGGCATGATCACGGCTCACTGCAGCCTGGACCTCCAGCACTCAGCCTCCCAAGTAGCTGAGACCACAGGTGCCCACCACCATGTCCAGCTAATTTCTCTATTTTTTCTAGAGACAGGGTCTCGCCACGTTGCCCAGGCTGGTCTCAAATTCCTGGGTTCAAGCGATCCTCCCACCTCAGCCTCCCAAATCCTCCCATGTTAGGATTACTGGCATAAGCCACTGCACACAGCCCATCCTTGGTATTATTATACCTTATATTTTTTGTTAGTATCATCAGAACATTGTACCTCATACATATAATTTAAAATCACGTATCATTCTTGAGTATAATTGTTAATGTTTTAACCAGTCTTCCTCTCCCCCAGTATAGCAGCCAGCTGTTTGGAAGTGTTTTGTTGGTTTGTTTGAATAATATCCATTCTTTTCATTATTATTCTCAAAGAAGTACAGTTTGTCAAAAAGGACATGTAATTTGTCAAAAGGAAGTCTAATTAGACATTGTTGACACTTCCATCTCATTTGCATCCTGAAATCTGATGCACATTAACATCCAGAAAGAATGAAAAAAATCTTAAAAGCCAAAATTGAAATTTAACTTTTAAAAATATATTCTTCAGGCAAATATTAGACATTGTCTCTCTATTCTTACCTCAAACGCATGCTTGCCATGGCTACTCTTCTCCCACTTTGGTGAAGGTTTTAAAGGTTTAATTCTGCAGTGATTCCTTGTCTCTTACATTGTTGTCTTTTTCTGTTTTAATTCACCACAAGTCAGTAATTTTCTAACAAATAAGGTAGGACAGGGCAAAAAGAACAAATTTTGCCTACTTGGATCTTTTTTTAACCCAGCTGTCTCTTAGTATCAGGACCTTGAAGGATACCCAGAATCTGATGCTCGAGTCCCTTATGTAAGTTGGTGTAGTATTTGCATAACTTATGCACATCCTCCTGTATATTTCAAATCATTTCTAGATTACTTAGAATACCTAATATAACATAGACACTGTGTAAATAGTTGTTATACTGTATTTTTTTAAATCTGTATTTTTTAATTTTTTTCCTGAGTATTTCAATCTGCAGTTGGTTTAATCTAAGGATGTAGAACTCTCAGATTCAGAGGCAACTATATAGTGCATGGACCAGGCTGGCAAACTTTCTATGTAGGGCCAGATAGTAAATGTTTTACACTTTGTGGGCTACATAATCTATCACATTCTTGTTTTATTTTTCAACCATTTAAAAATGAAAAAATATTTAGTTTGAGGGTAGTTAAAAATGGGGTGAGCCAGGTTTGGCCCAAGTTTGCCAATTCCTGGACCTGTCTGCTGAATCTTTAAAGCTTATGTAAAATCATGATTGCCACCATGGAATAGACTTTCAAAAAAAATCATGACTGTAGCCGGGCGCGGTGGCTCATGCCTGTAATCCCAGCACTTTGGGAGGCCGAGGAGGGTGGATCATGAGGTCAAGAGATCAAGGCCATCCTGGCCAACATGGTGAAACCCTGTCTCTACTAAAAATACAAAAATCCCCTGAAAATGGTGGTACGCACCTGTAATCCCAGCTGCTTGGGAGGCTGAAGCAGGAAAATCCCTTGAACCCGGGAGGCAGAGGTTGCAGTGAGCCAAGATTGCGCCTCTGCACTCCAGCCTGGAGACAGCGAGACTCCATCTCAAAAAAATAAATAAATAAATAAATAAAATTTAAAAATTTTTAAAAAAGACTAAATCCTGTGAAATAGTCGCTAAGAAATCTTTAAGCCATTTTTAAGCTTGAATCCTATGTAGAAAAATTACCAAATTGCCATTCTAAATTACAGTGCTGCAGATTACTACCCGAGGTGGCACAAGTTGTACTAGTACAAAAAGTCTTAGGAGGAAAAACCCTCTTTGTAGTTTCTTTACCTCTGAAGACTGATTCATTTTCTAACTGTGTAGATAATCTTCTATATTATTGATTTCTTTCAGCTGACCTCAAGAGAATTTGCAAGACAATAGTTGAGGCTGCAAGTGATGATGAGAGACGAAAAGCTTTTGCTCCCATTCAGGAAATGATGACTTTTGTGCAGTTTGCTAATGATGAATGTGATTATGGTATGGGGCTTGAGTTGGGAATGGACCTCTTTTGCTATGGCTCACATGTGAGTAAAAAAAAAAAAACCTCCACTTGCCACCCCCCACCACACCTCCCTCCTCTCCCCCTGACACATACACACATGAATACATGCACATTTATACCCCCAAATTCCAGCAGAGGTAAGATAGGGATTCAGCTTGTATTTCAAAATGAACTTTTTGAAGTGATTTTTTTTAAAAGCAGATGTCCTAAAAACCTGTGAAATTCATCTTACATTCTAGCAAAGGTGAATAGCCAAGATTATTTGCATTCAGGCTTATATTAAAGTGAATTTATGTATTAGACACATTATAGGGATATGCCTTCTTGCTGTGTGTATACATTTGGGGCTAAGTATGGGGGTGTGTGCATACACCTTAGGCTCCATTTCATTTCGACTGTGGTGGGGGTATTTGTTATTGTGCTTGAATTCTTAGATGAAAAATATACTTTAAATTATTTAACCTTTATAAGAGATGCTGTTTTACCATTAACTAATTGCTCATTAAATAAGAAAATTTTACTTAATAGCTAAACCAGTGCTTACTCAACCATAGCTGGCTGAAGGTCAAAGAGACTATAAGGTGTAGCCGGCATGACATGCTTATGGGGCTAAACTGGTTGTAAATCACATCTTCTCTAGTGTGTAGGATTGGGCAAGCTTTCCAACACCTTTGTTTCTGTTTCTTTACCTGTACAAGTGTATACCCATCCACAGATCATTTAATTCTCATTTAACCTACTCTGTAACCAAGTCACAGAGAGGCAAATCATCTTGCCTAGGTTCACACAAGTAGTCTGGTTCCAGAGTCAGTGCCTAAATCAGTGCAGTAATTCCCAAACTGTAAAATGCATGTGACTCACCTGCAGACATTGTTAAAGTGCACTCTATCGGTAGGTCCGGAATGCGATCTGAGACTGCATACCTGTCATGCTCCCAGGTGACGGTAATGCTGCTGCTCTACAGACGACACTGGGAGGAGCAAGACTAAACCAGTAGCTCTCCAGCTTTATCATGATCAGAGTCATCAGGAGGGCTTGTCCAAACATACACTGGCGCTCTCCCCACCCTCCCCAAGTTTGACTGAGTTACAGGGTGGGTCCTGAGAATTTGCATTTCCAACAAGTGAAGTTGATGCTCCTGCTCAGGGGTGTACATTTTGAGAACCCTGCTATAAACAATATTATACTACTTTTCTTTGCCCACCTCATAGATAGTTATCAGTAAAAATATTCAAAATGTTTAACAGCCACAATGACAGTCATTAACCAATCCGAGTAGTGCTTGACCTGCTAGAGAGGCCCTAGCCATAAATAAGTAGAGCCATAAGATGTGAACCAGTGAGTAGCAAACTTGATTGTTGTGAGAATGAAATAACATGTAAGAGTTATAAAAAGGTTTAGCACAGTACTTAACCACATGTTAAGGGCTAAATGTTTATTATGATCAACAAAAAGGTGGTATATGTAGATAACAGCAGTAATCTAAAATCTTTTGATAAACCTAAGGCAGTGACTCTTAACAGGGATTGGGAGGCAGTACCTGTTGGGGATGGGGGAGAGAAGGAATTTGAGGATAAAGGGAATATGGCCTGAAAACCCACTTTCGGCTTAGCTATTCTTACCTAATCAATGAAGGAAAATAAAACTTTTGACTGGGAATACACTGGAGAGAATAAAAAGCATTATGGGCATAGTTTGGGGTGAGAAAAAGTTGATTAAACTTAGGGGAATAAGGAAACTCAAATTTAACTTGATTTTCTTTATTTTCAAGGAATGCCTTTAGTCTTTTAGAGCAACAAGATTGCCTCTTTGAATGCCAGGTGCCTGTCCCTAAATTGTGTTCCCTAATCACTTGAGGGTATAGCTAAAATGATTTTGGAAGTAGCCTTTGTTAAACAAGTGCTTTGTTTATATATTTTTTGCTACTTATTAGGATATCTGCTATGTTATCTGCTTAATGTTATATTTTTATTTTTCAGTATTTTCATAAAGTTGCTGGCCAGCTTTTACCTCTTGCATATAATCTGTTGAAGAGGAATCTGTTTGCAGAAATTATGAAGGATCATCTGGCAAACAGAAGAAAAGAGAACATAGACCAATTTGCTGCATGAGTAAGGTGGTTTGTTTGGTGTATAATATTTCAAAGGACTAGTATTAAACTTGTAATTTTTGTTTTGTTTTTAAGGAATACAAAAAAATAAACATTTACTAAAAATGTTTATAAGGTTCTTCTGCCTGGTTTTCCTTCTTTAATGTGCAAGCAATTGGCAGTCAAATCATCTAAATGGTAACCCTAATCACATTTTGGAAGACAACTAAAGTCACCCTCTGATATGTCACAGGAAGCCACTGTCTAATTCCTGTGGCTAACTAGACCATCCTTACAGAGTCCTGTTTCGATATTTATCATATGGGCAACTAAGAATATTTCTTCTGAGTCTTGAGTTAATAGCTATAGCTTTAAGGATTGGGTTTATGGTGGGTGAGGGGGGGAACAGAAGGAAACTCATGACAATGATATCAGCACTCTTCCAGGGTGCCTGACCCCAACCTACCCAAACTGCATTTTGGGTAGTATCTCCAGGTGACTCCCAGCAAGTAGTCCAGTTATCCCATTAGGTATATTATTTTAAATCTTCTCTTGACTCTGTCATTTACTAATATAGCCTAGTATATTGATACATAGTATATAGCATTAGTGTAAGATAACAATCAGTATGCCATTAATTTAGATTTTAAAGTTTTTCATTGCAAATGATTTCACTGGATTTTTAGTATGAATCTGTGGATAGCTGTGTTTTACTAGATCCAGATTTTCCTTAAACCTGATGATATGCCCTTCACCTTAAAAGTAGAGGGCAGGGCCAGGCGCAGTGGCTCACGCCTGTAATCCCAGCACTTTGGGAGGCCAAGGTGGGCAGATCACCTGAGGTTTGGAGTTTGTGACCAGCCTGGCCAACATCGTGAAACCCCATCTCTACTAAATATGCAAAATTAGCTAAGCGTGGTGGCGCATGCCTATAATCCCAGCTACTTGGGAAGCTGAGGCAGGAGAATCGCCTGAACCCAGGAGGTAGAGGTTGCAGTGAGCCGAGATTGCGCCATTGCACTCCAGCCTGGGCAGCAAAAGCAAGAATCCATCTCAAAAAAAAAAAAGTAGAGGGCAGACCATGAAATGCAGAATAGCTAACTTCATGGATGGGGCTGAGGAGCGTATAAACTTTTTTCCCCTTTCTAAGAAGTTAAAGGTAGAAAAGCCCCCAAGTCATCTAGTTAAACCTCCACATTTTGTAAGATTGGCTTGATTTACTCAAATAACTTCTTGACTAGCCAGTAGTCCTCCAACTTACTGTCAGCCGTCTCCTTAAAATATATTTGAGGTACTTACTCTTTTTTATATAAGGGTATGGGTAGACAATTAAAAAACAACACTTAGAATTTTAAATATAAGTAGCATTCCTCATCTCCCCAAGTAGGCTGCAAGCTTCTTAAGGGCATATATTTTACGGATATAGATCCCCTTCAGTAACACAAACCTTTGGAATTGTACTTATTGAATAAAATGACCCTGTCAACATGTTTCTAAGTGCCAGACAGAATCAAACCGGCATGATCTGGGAAACTGATAAGATACCTGGGAGTTAAGGATTCTTGACTTCTCAGACAAAAAGTCTTCTAGGATCAAAAATCTCTGCCACAACCGAAGTCTGCTCCCTTTCTGCCAATGGCTCATGCTGCCTTTGGAGGCAGGTAAGATGCTTTCTTCAAAGTAGGCATATTTTGTATAATAACCAAAATGAAACTGAAAAGATCTTCAGCTTCCCTTTCATAACTATACAGGAACTTTTACAGCTCTAATGGGGAGGTCTCAGGTTTTAAGGAACTGCCATTTTAGTTAGGTAAGTAGCTCCAGGCCCTGGAACCATCTGAACTATTAACTTGTTTTATATTAAAACATTACAGTAACAATTAGCTCATACATATTTTATTAGAAAAGGTGACCAAATCACATTGGTCTTAAATAATTTTAGACCATATATTTTAAATAAAATTTTAGAAGTTCAAGCTTTGTTCCTCAGATTTCTTTAGTTTCTAAGGTGGTCAACTATTTCTAAATACTGCCCCTAATATTAACACATTTAAAAAATATCCAAATTCATGTATCTCCCACTAAAGATTTGTTTAGCTAGAAATATTAGATTCCTTTAATTTTGCCACTTGGTGATCCAGCAGTCTCAACTGTGTAGTTTGTAGGATTTTTTTATATGCCTTATGATCAGTAATATGGATTCCAGAAGGATTTCTTATCAAGGAACAAATGAAAGGGGACAAAAAATATGAATCGGCTTTTCATCCATTCCTTACAGAAACCTAACATTAATGTGTATCTTCAGGAAGCTGGGCATATCAGAGCCAAGATAGAAATTGGACACAAACCCTAAGAATATCGTGATTATAATTTGGATAATACAGTTGTGAATGGAGTTTCCTGAAGACGGTAACAAGAAATGTGGATTTCCAGTCTCAAACTCCAACCAATTGGGTCAGAGGGCTATTAATCTGTTTCAGGAGGTACTGATCTTCCAACTACTGAACTTTTTTTTTATTAAAGAGCAGGCTCCCTACAGGAAGATACCAAGCCTTCCTTACCTTGTTCCTTCACTAAAGGCATAGTCCATTTAAACCTAGTTAACTAAATATTACCTACCTAGGATCTGGTCACTCAATGGCTATAGTAGCTTCCAAATGGTGTCTGTATACCTCCATTCTCTGAGAACACAGTTTAAGTGCCTAGGCTCTTTCATGAATGAAGAACCTTGATCCAATCAGGATTTAACAGAAAAGCATTACCCAGTTCAAATTTAGCGAAGCTCACCTCTCAGAGTTCAGTAATGGAGTTTCCATATAACCTCTCAAACATGTATGTAGAATAAGACCCAAGGAAAAATGAAAGCTACAAAACAGATTGCTGTAAACTACTCGGCAGTGTCCTAAGACCTTTGCATTACCTCAAACACTGACCTTACCAGCTTAATGTTGTTCTGTCCAAAGTATTCCTATCATAATTAAATTTTAATGTCTGGATGGGAAAGGTGGCTCATACCTGTAATTCCAGCACTTTGGGAGGCCAAGGTGGGCAGATAGCTTAAGCCCAGGAGTTTGAGACCAGCCTGGGTAACATGGTGAAACTCTGTCTCTACAAAATATTAGCCAGGCATGGTGGTGCACACCTGTGGTCTCAGCTACTCAGGATGCTGAGGTGGGAGGATTACTTGAGCCAGGGAGGCGGAGGTTGCAGTGAGTTGAGGTCATGTCACTGCACTTCAGGCTGGGTGATGGAGTGAGACTCTGTCTCAAAAAAAAAAAAAAAAAAAAAAAAAAAAAAAAAAAAATATATATATATATATATATATATATATATATATGTAGGTGATCCCTACAATACTAGCCTCTCAGTTACTTGACTTACTCTTTCAATGATCTAGATTAGGGGTTGATTGACAAACTAGAAACTAGTACCTTCTCAGTACCAATAATGAAAACCTCCCAAATCTCAATTTCAAACATCCTACTGTCTTAATATCATCACTCATCCTTCCATCTCTTTCCCACTAGTACCCCAACACGTTTTCAACACAACAGTCCCCTACAATTCACAAATGTAACCACCTTTTTCATTCTTCACCCACTCCATTCCTGATCCCCTCTTTACCCAGCCTTTAGATTCTATTCCAGATCATTACAATCCCTCCTTACATTCTCCACTCCACTGCCTTTCTCTCCATTTGTTCTATTTATCTGTTAACTTTAAGCCAAATTTTTAAAACTGCCTATTCCTTACCTGAGTCTGCTCAGTATCAGGTAGCTGGAGAAAAAATGTAACCAAAGCAGCTCATCTTATTTTAACCTCAAGTTGGCCATGCTGGATGCCCATCGATCCTACTGTCTCATTTCTCAACCCCCAACCCCCACCCCCATCCTCAGTTTATTTCACTGAGAAAATAGAAGCAACCAAAATAACTTCAACAGAATCCCACTGCCTTACCAACTACCCTTTATTCTCTGCCTTTCCTACCCATTATACTCTGTCTTTCCTCCTTTCTATGAGGGTCGAATGTGTGTCCAAGACCCCATCCTCCTTTCCCTACTCAAGGAACGCTCTTCTATTTTTCCTCTCAAACATTTCTATCATTAACAAAAAAGCTGTAATTTCCTGCATCTTAAAATCCGATCAATCTCAGATTAATTTTCCTTGACAAACGATCAACAGCAAAAAAAAGCTATAATATCCTGCCTCCTAAAACTATCATGCATTACTTTTCTGAAAACCTCATAGGAAGAACTGCAATAGTTGTCTTAAATTCTTCTTCCAATCTCTGTCGGACCCACTCCTTTCAGGATATGGCTTGCCACCATCGTGCTGAACGTGCTCTGGGGGAAGTTATCAATTATCTCCACATTGGTCCATTTTGAGCCCTCATTTACTTCACCTATCAGCAACACATGACAGTTAATCATTGCTCCTTGAAACTATTACTCATTTGGTTTAGGGGACTACCCTTCTTTTTTGAGACAGGGTCTTGCTCTGTCACCCAGGCTGGAGTGCAATAGCGCCATCATAGCTCACTGCAGCCTCCAACTCCTAGGCTCAAGCAATCCTCCTGTCTCAGTCTCCTAAGTAGCCAGGACTACAGCCACTTGCTACCATGCCCAGCTCATATTTTTATTTTTTAATTTTCTGTAGAGACCCGGCCTATGTTTCCCAGGCTAGTCATTAACTCCTGGACTCAAATGATCCTGCCCCACTTAGCCTCCCGAACTGCTAGATTTATAGGCCTGAGCCACCACACCCAAATTATTTTTTAATAAATCCACCAGTGGAATACCCTTCTTTGAATGTCACTACTCCCAACCCAACCTCACTGGCAGCTCCCTCATTTGCTGGCTCCTCACCTCCCCAAATCTAAACATAAGCATACATCAGTGCTCGGTCCTTGTAACCCTTCTCTGTCTGCACTCAATCCATGGTACTCTCCTGTGTCAAGATGATGCTGCCCCTGTGTAGCTCTCAGGCTGGGCCTTTCTCCTGAATTCGAGTCTGATACATGCTAATGCCTATGTGACACCCCCACTTGGAAGTCTAAAAGACATTTAAAACCATGTCTAAAACCAAAATTCCTCTACACACAACATCCCACCCTCAAGTCTATTCTTTTTTTTATTATTATACTTTAAGTTTTAGGGTACATGTGCACAATGTGCAGGTTACATATGTATACATGTGCCATGTTGGTGTGCTGCACCCAGTAACTCGTCATTTAACATTAGGTATATCTCCAAATGCTATCCCCCACCTTGCCCCACCCCACAACAGGCCCCAGTGTGTGATGTTCCCCTTCCTGTGTCCGTGTGTTGTCATTGTTCAATTCCCACCTATAAGTGAGAACATGTGGTGTTTGGTTTTTTGTCCTTGCAATAGTTTGCTGAGAATGATGGTTTCCAGCTTCATCCATGTCCCTACAAAGGACATGAACTCATCATTTTTTATGGCTGCATAGTATTCCATGGTGTATATGTGCCACATTTTCTCAATCCAGTCTATCATTGTTGGACATTTGGGTTGGTTCCAAGTCTTTGCTATTGTGAATAGTGCCACAATAAACATATGTGTGCATGTGTCTTTATAGCAGCATGATTTATAATCCTTTGGGTATATACCCAGTAATGGGATGGCTGGGTCAAATGGTATTTCTAGTTCTAGATCCCTGAGGAATTGCCACACTGACTTCCACAATGGTTGAACTAGTTTACAGTCCCACCAACAGTGTAAAAGTATTTCTATTTCTCCAAATCCTCTCCAGCACCTGTTGTTTCCTGACTTTTTAATGATTGCCATTCTAAGTGGTGTGAGATGGTATCTCATTGTGGTTTTGATTTGCATTTCTCTGATGGCCAGTGATGATGAGCATTTTTTCATGTGTCTTTTGGCTGCATAAATGTCTTCTTTTGAGAAGTGTCTGTTCATATCCTTCGCCCACTTTAAAGTCTTTCCCAACTCAGCCAGTGTCCATTCCATTGTTCTGTCATTAATCAGCCAAAAATTTTGCAGACATCCTTGATTCCTCACTTACCACACTCCACATCCAACCCATTCACAAGTCCTGTCTATTCCACCTTCAGGATGGCTAGAATCCAACCACTTTCACCACCTCCACTTGTTTCAGTCAGGTGCAGATCTCCACCATATCTCACCTGAATTATTCCAAGAGCCTTCTAGGTGGTCTCCTGCTTCCACCCCTGCCCCCTTATAGTCTATTCCCAAAAAAGGAACTCTGAGAATGGACAGACTGCCTCCTCAAGTGGGTCCCCGACCCTGTGTAGCCTAACTGGGAGACACCTCCCAGTAGGGGCCAACTGACACCTCATATAGGCGGCTGCCCCTCTGGGATGAAGCTTCCAGAGGAAGGATCAGGCAGCAATATTTGCTGTTCTGCAATATTTGCTGTTCTGCAGCCTCCACTGATGGTAGCCGGCAAACAGGGTCTCGAATGGAATTCCAGCAAACTCCAATAGAACTCCAGCTGAGGGACCTGACTGTTAGAAGGAAAACTAACAAACAGAAAGGAATAGCATCAACATCAACAAAAACGTCATCTACACCAAAACCCCATCTGTAGGTCACCAACATCAAAGACCAAAGGTAGATAAAACCACAAAGATGGGAGAAGCCAGAGCAGAAAAGCTGAAAATTCTAAAAATCAGAGCACCTCTTCTCCTCCAAAGGATCACAGCTCCTCACTAGCAACAGAACAAAGCTGGATGGAGAATGACTTTGACGAGTTAACAGAAGTAGGCTTCAAAAGGTCGGTAATAAAAAACTTCTCCAAGCTAAAGGACAATGTTTGAACCCATTACAAGGAAGCTAAAAACCTTGAAAAAAGATTGAATAGCTAACTAGAATAAACAGTGTAGAGAAGACTTTAAATGACCTGATGGAGCTGAAAACCATGGCATGAGAACTTTGTGATGCATGTACAAGCTTCAATAGCCAATTTGATCAAGTGGAAGAAAGGGTATCAGTGACTGAAGATCAAATTAATGAAATAAAGTGAGAAAACAAGATCAGAGAAAAAAGAGTAAAAATAAATGAACAAAGACTCCAAGAAATATGGGACAATGTGAAAAGACCAAATCTAAGTTTGATTGGTATACGTGAAAGTGATGGGGAGAATGGAACCAAGTTGGAAAACATTCTTCAGGATATTATCCAGGAGAACTTCCCCAACCTAGCAAGACAGGCCAACATTCAAATTCAGAAAATACAGAGAACACCACAAAGATACTCCTCAAGAAGAGCAACCCCAAGACACATAATTATCAGGTTCACCAAGGTTGAAATGAAGGAAAAAATGTTAAGGGCAGCCAGAAAGAAAGGTCGACTTACCTGCAAAGGGAAGCCCATCAGACTAACAGCGGATCTCTCAGGAGAAACCCTACAAGCCAGAAGAGAGTGGGGGCCAATATTCAACATTCTTAAATAAAAGAATTTTCAACCCAGAATTTCATATCCAGCCAAACTAAGCTTCTAAGTGAAGGAGAAATAAAATCCTTTACAGACAAGCAAATGCTGAGAGATTTTGTAACCACGAGACCTTCCTTACAAGAGCTCCTCAAGGAAGAAATAAACATGGAAAGCAACAACTAGCACCATCCACTGCAAAAACAGGCCAAATTGTAAAGACCATCGATGCTAGGAAGAAACTGCATCAATTAATGGGCAAAATAACCAGCTAACATCATAATGACAGGATCAAATTCACACATAACTACATTAACCTTAAATGTAAATGGGCAAAATGCCCCAATTAAAAGACACAGACCGGCAAATTGGATAAAGAGTCAAGACCCATCAGTGTGCTGTATTCAGGAGAACCATCTCAGGTGCAAAGACGCACATAGGCTCAAAATAAAAGGAGGGAGGAAGATCTACCAAGCAAATGGAAAGCAGAAAAAGCAGGGGTTGCAATCCTGGTCTCTGACAAACAGACTTTAAACCAACAAAGATCAAAAGAGACAAAGAAGGCCATTACATAATGGTAAAGGGACCAATTCAACAAGAAGAGCTAACTATCCTAAATATATATGCACCCAACACAGGAACACCCAGATTCATAAAGCAAGTCCTTAGAGACCTACAAAGAGACTTAGACTCCCACACAGTAATAATGGGAGACTTTAACACTCCACTGTCAATATTAGACAGATCAACGAGACATCAGGTTAACAAGGATATCCAGGACCTGAACTCAGCTCTGCAACAAGCAGACCTAACAGACATCTATAGAAATATCCACCCCAAATCAATAGAATATACATTCTTCTCAGCACCTCATTGCACTTATTCTAAAATTGACCACATAATTGGAAGTAAAGCACTCTTCAGCAAATGTAAAAGAACAGAAATCACAACAAACTGTCTCTCAGACCACAGTGCAATCAAATTAGAACTCAGGATTAAGACACTCACTCAAAACCGCACAACTACATGGAAACTGAACAACCTGCTCCTGAATGACTACTGGGTACATAACGAAATGAAAGCAGAAATAAAGATGTTCTTTGAAACCAATGAGAACAAAGACACAACGTACCAGAATCTCTGGGACACAGCTATTGCACTATTTAGAGGGAATTTTATAGCACTAAATGGCCACAAGAGAAAGCAGGAAAGATCTAAAATTGACACCATAACATCACAGTTAAAATTAACTAGAGAAGCAAGAGCAAACAAATTCAAAAGCTAGCAGAAGGCAAGAAATAACTAAGATCACAGCAGAACTGAAGGAGATAGAGACACAAAAATCCCTTCAAAAAAATCAATGAATCCAGGAGGTGGTTTTTTGAAAAGATCAACAAAATCAATAGACCACTACAAGACGAATAAAGAAGAAAAGAGAGAAGAATCAAATAGACGCAATAAAAAAATGATAAAGGGGATATCACCACCGATCCCACAGAAATACAAACTACCATCAGAGAATACTATAAACACCTCTACGCTAATAAACTAGAAAATCTAGAAGAAATGGATAAATTCCTGGATACATACACCCTCCCAAGACTAAACCAGGAAGAAGTGGAATCTCTGAATAGACCAATAACAGGCTCTGAAATTGAGGCAAAAATTAGTAGCCTACCAACCAAAAAAAAGTCCAGGACCAGATGGATTCACAGCAGAATTCTACGAGAGGTACAAAGAGGAGCTGGTACCATTCCTTCTGAAACTATTCCAATCATTAGAAAAAGAGGGAATCCTCCCTAACTCATTTTATGAGGCCAGCATCATCCTGATACCAAAGCCGGGCAGAGACACAACCAAAAAAAGAGAATTTTAGACTAATATCCCTGATGAACATTGATGTGAAAATCCTCAATAAAATACTGGTGAACCGAATCCAGCAGCACATCAAAAAGCTTATCCACCATGATCAGGTGGGCTTCATCCCCGGGATGCAAGGCTGGTTCAACCTACACAAGTCAATAAATGCAAGCCACTACATAAACAGAACCAATGACAAAAACCACATGATTATCTCAATAGATGCAGAAAACACCTTCAACAAAATTCATCCCTTAATGCTAAAAACTCTCAATAAACTACGTATTGATGGAATGTATCTCAAAATAATAAGAGCTATTTATGACAAACCCACAGCCAATATCACACTGAATGGGCAAAAACTTGAAGCATTCCCTTTGAAAACTGGCACAAGACAGGGATGCCTTCTCTCACCAATCCTATTCAACGTAGTATTGGAACTTCTGGCCAGGGCAATCAGGCAAGAGAAAGCAATAAAGGATATCCAGTTAGGAAAAGAGGAAGTCAAATTGTCCCTGTTTGCAGATGACATGATTGTACATTGAGAAAACTCCATCATCTCAGCCCAAAATCTCCTTAAGCTGATAAGCAACTTCAGCAAAGCCTCAGGATACAAAATCAATGTACAAAAATCACAAGCATTCTTATACACCAATAACAGACAAACAGAGAGCCAAATCATGAGTGAACTCCCATTCACAATTGCTTCAAAGAGAATAAAATACTTAGGAATACAACTTACAAGGGATGTGAAGGACCTCTTCAAAGAGAACTACAAACCTCTGCTCAACAAAATAAAAGAGGACACAAACAAATGGAAGAACATTCCATGCTCATGGATAGGAAGAATCAATAACGTGAAAATGGCCATACTGCCCAAGGTAATTTATAGATTCAATGCAATCCCCATCAAGCTACCACTGACTTTCTTCACAGAATTGGAAAAAACTACTTTAAAGTTCATATGGAACCAAAAAAGAGCCAGCATTGCCAAGACAATCCTAAGCAAAAAGAACAAAGCTGGAGGCATCACGCTACCTGACTTCAAACTATACTACAAGGCTACAGTAACCAAAACAGCATGGTACTGGTACCAAAACAGATGTATAGACCAATGGAACAGAACAGAGGCCTCAGAAATAACACCACACAGCTACAACCATCTGATCTTTGACAAACCTGACAAAAACAAGCAATGGGAAAAGGATTCCCTATTTAATAAATGGTGCTGGGAAAACTGGCTAGCCATATGTAGAAAGCTGAAACTGGATCCCTTCCTTACACCTTATACAAAAATTAATTCAAGATGGATTCAAGACTTAAATGTTAGACCTGAAACCATAAACACCCTAGAAGAAAACCTAGGCAATTCCATTCAGGACATAGGCATGGGCAAGGACTTCATGACTAAAACACCAAAAGCATTGGCAACAAAAGCAAAAATAGACAAATGGAATCTAATTAAACTAAAGAGCTTCTGCACAGCAAAAGAAACTACCATCAGAGTGAACAGGCAACCTACAGAATGGGAGAAAATTTCTGCAATCTACCCACCTGACAAAGGACTAATATCCAGAATCTACAAAGAACTTAAACAAATTTTCAAGAAAATATCAAACAACCCTGTCAACAAGTGGGCAAAGAATATGAACAGACACTTCTCAAAAGAAGACATTTATGCAGCTAACAGACACATGAAAAAATGCTCATCATTATGGGTCATCAGAGAAATGCAAATCAAAACCACAATGAGATACCATCTCACACCACTTAGAATGGCAATCATTAAAAAGTCAGGAAACAACAGATGCTGGAGAGGATGCGGAGAAATAGGAACACTTTTACACTGTTGGTGGGAGTGTTAGTTAGTTCAACCACTGTGGAAGACAGTGTGGCAATTCCTCAAGGATCTAGAACTAGAAATACCATTTGACCCAGCAATCCCATTACTGGGTATATACCCAAAGAATTATAAATCATGCTACTATAAAGACACGTGCACACATATATATGTATTGCGGCACTATTCACAATAGGAAAGACTTGGAACCAACCCAAATGTCCATCAATGATAGACTGGATTAAGAAAATGTGGCACATATACATCATGGAATACTATGCAGCCATAAAAAAGGATGAGTTCATGTCCTTTGCAGGGACATGGATGAAGCTGGAAACCATCATTCTCAGCAAACTATGGCAAGGACAGAAAACCAAACACTGCATGTTCTCACTCACAGGAGGGAACTGAACAATGAGAACACCTGGACACAGGGAAGGGAACATCACACACCTGGGCCTGTTGTGGGGTGGGGGGCTGGGGAGGGATAGGATTAGGAGAAATACCCACTGTAAATGACGAGTTAATGGGTGCAGCACACCAACATGCCACATGTATACATGTGTGACAAACCTGCACGTTGTGTACATGTACCCTATAACTTAAAGTATAATAAAAAAAATTAAGGTATTACTTTTTTTAAAGACATAATGCTGTTGTACACATAACAGACTGCAGCATAGTGTAAACAGAACTTTTATATGCACTAAGAAACCAAGACATTCATGGGGCTCGCTTTATTATGATGTTCACTTTATTGTGGTGGTCTGAACCAAATCTATATCTCTCAGGTAAGTCTATTTATATGAATCAATTAAAAAGAGAAAAATATTTAATGATTAAATTTAATGAGGATAATAGGGATAAGAAGCACCATAAACAAGATCATTTAAAGACTACTGAAACAGGCTGGGCACCATGGCTCATGCCTGTAGTCTCAGCACTTTGGGAGGTCAAGGTGGGCAGATCACCTGAGGTTAGGAGTTCAAGACAAGCCTGGCCAACATGGCAAAAACCCATCTCTACTAAAAATACAAAAATTAGCCAGTCGTGATGGCACATACCTGTAATCCCAGCTACTTTGGAGGCTGAGGCAGGAGAATCACTGGAACCTGGGAAGTGGAGGTTGCAGTGAGCTGAGATTGCGCACTGCCTTCCAGTCTGGGCAATAAAGTGAGACTCTGTCTCAAAAAAAAAAAATAAATAAAAATGACTACTGAAAGAGTAATAGCTATAAACTCTTCTGAACATGAAATGAGCCAAACACAAAACGATGGCATGTTTGAGTCTACTAGGATCATTAAAAGGACACACAATAGAAAAAATCAAAGTGTGTTTTACACTCTCTTGCCAGGTACGATGATCCTTCAGCCAGAGCTGAGTTAAAGGTAGGACTTAACAAAAGCCTGCCAATTGCCTCCACCTTCTTGTAGTTGAACTGACTGTGAGAAAGTTGGGAGTTACAGAACACTTACTTATTGTAGAAAAAAAGAGCTTTAACAGCTCTTTTAACTTGATCCCCTAAGCAAAAAGGTAAAACTTTCAGGCTTTTCTATTATTATTACTATTATTTTATTATTATTAAGTTTTATTTTTTGAGGTGGAGTCTCACTCTGTCACCCAGGCTGGAGTACAGTGGCGTGACCTCAGCTCACTGCAATTCTTGGCTCACACCATTCTCCTGCCTCAGCCTCCCGAGTAGCTGGGACTACAGGTGCCCGCCACCATGCCCAGCTAATTTTTTTGTATTTTTAGTAGAGACAGGGTTTCACCGTGTTAGCCAGGATGGTCTTGATCTCCTGACCTTGTGATCCACCCGCCTCGGCCTCCCAAAGTGCTGGGATTACAGGCGTGAGACACCGTGCTCAGCCCAAATTTTGTTATTTTATAAATCCAAAAGAAGCAATGTCCTAGGGCGTAAGGCCCAGCTACCTTAATTCTCTGATGGAAAAAGACACGTATTTATAGACATAGTAATTTTACTAAGTCTGCAGTGTCCTTTCAAGCTAACACCCTATACTGGTACGAGGCAGAATAATGGCTCCTCAAAGATGTCCATAGCTTAGTTCCAAGAACCTGTGATTACATTACTTTACATGGCAAGGAGGAATTAAGGTTGCAGAAAGAAAGTTGCTGCCTTGAAAAAGGAGATTATTTTCTGATATATCTGGGTGGGCCTAAAGGAATCCCAAAGGTTTTTCAAATGTGGAAGGGAGATTTAGCAGAGTTTGCGTCAGAGTAATGAGCCAAGAGAAAGACTTGACCAGCCAATGCTGGCTTTGAAGATGCAAATAGAGGGCCAGGAGCCAAGGAATGCTGGCAGCTTCTAAAGTCAGAAAAGGCAAAAAAACAGACTGTCTCCTACAGCCTCCAGAATGCCCTGTGAACACCTTAATTTTAGCACAGTGAGATCCATTTCAGACTTCTGATCTCAAGAACTGTAAGATAATAAATTTGTTTGGCTTTTAAGCCACTAAATTGTGGTAATTTATTACAATAGCAATGGGAAACTAATAAAAGTGGTTTTAAAATATGATCACGAATTCTCTGACACTTGTCCCACTAAGTGTATGTCCTTCCTCTGAACAGGGTGGGCCTCTGTGACTGCCTCAATGAATAGAATTAAACAAGTCATGCTGCAAGACTTCTTTGGCTACATTAAAAACAGCCCGCTTGGGACACTTGCTTTTGGAACCCTGAGCTATGATTTAAGAAATCCAACTACCCTGAGGCCACCACCCTAGAAAAACCACAGAGAGAGAGAAAAAAGAAACAGAGAGAGAGAGAGAGAGAGCACGAGAGAGCGAGCATGAGAGAGACAGTATGCGTGACTGATCCCAGGAGCCCAGGTGTCTGAATCTTTTCAGCCTGGGTGCTAGTCATAAATGAAGAAGTCTTTGAACTATACTCAATAATAATTTGATTGTACACTTAAAAATAATTAAGAGTATAATTGGACACACAAAGAGTATAATTTGTAACACAAAGGATAAAAGCTTGAGGTGATAGATACTCCATTTACCCTGAGATTATTAAGCACTGCATGCCTGTATCAAAATACTTCATGTACCACAAAACTACGTATAAATGCTAGGTACTCACTTTTTTAAAAAGGAAATTTTAAAAAGGAGCTTTGAGATGATTAGCCCTTGCCATGTCTAATAACAACTATATGAAAGACCGCAAGCAAAAAATGCCAGCTGAGCCCTTCCTAAATGGCGACCCAATATCAAGAACAAAATAAGTAGTTACCTTAAGCTGCTAAGTTTTGGGAGTAATTTGTTAAATAGCAACAAATAACATGCTCAACAATATATGCTAAGGAATTATCTTTTTCATTACTTAAACTCAAAAGATAAGTACTTTTTTCAGTCATTTATGAAACAACTTCTCTCATTCCACATATGTTTTGAACATGCCAACATTGCTCAAATATCACCTCACATTAGTACTTACCTTGATACCAAAAGTGCATACTGTCATTATGATTTTAAATAGGAGTGCCAGGCATTAGTGCATTGAGCTGAATATACTCCAATGCCTACTGGATTATCAGGAATGTCATAGAAAATTTTACTGGCATTCATGTCATTTTGGTAGTCACAAAGAGAAGAGGATTCCAGGGGAAAACAGTGTGTAAAAAACTCTTTGATCAGTTCACTGGTGTTTACCCTGGTGTATGGATTAGGAAAGGCTATCACAGCCATAATGGCTGCAACGATAATGATTTCCAGAATGGGATACTTTCCAAATTTGGTGGACTTGTGTCGATGACACCAGGCAATACTTACCCTAATGAAAAAGGCTCCCCAAAGCCCTCCAAATACCCCTAGGAGAATAAAAGGAAACAGCTCAAAAATGTATGATGGTGTGTCATACTCCACATAAAAAAGGACCAGATGGCTGTTACCAAATGGATTGATGGACCTCAAAACAAATGCAGCCACTAAAGCAGCAAAAAATGATCTCCATAAAGTTTTGAGAGGAAAATAATAGCTAACCAAAAAAAAGAAAAGAAAAAGTAATGGTATCATTTTATAAGATGTTTCTGATATATTATAAATTGAATGGTAAATAGCCTAGCTCTAAATTTTGCTGTAGTTAGAATTTATACATAATGGATTTTACTGTAATAAGAAAAATTGATGTTATTATTACTTTTGGAGATGGTGATCATCATTACGAATTCACAGTATCAATTTATTATAAATGTCTAATAAATGTTTAGAATATCTAGCACTGTTTTATTTTCAAAATGAGTTTCACATTCATTTTAATCCCTAAACTTTAATCCCTAAAGTTTTGTTAAAGACATCTCAGCTATACTTCAACCTCTGCCTACAAACCACATTTTGGAAACAGTGGTGGAAACAAATTGCATCAGCACTCAGATTTCATTCTGCTATAACTTTCCAGAAGATCATGAAATTAAACTCAATTCAGTTAAGCCAGGTGAGAAACAGCATACTACTCATCTTACCGCAAATACATACCTTTTAGATCTAAAGTTCAGCTAAAATAAAATTTTAAAAATATATCCATATGTCATCATGTAAAAAATACACATATAACATCCTAAATTCTAGAATATTCTTTGTAGATCATAGCAAACTAATCATTTAAATGCTGTAATGCCACAAATAAATATCTCTGATTTTCTTCAATGTATGTCTACTTAGAAGGTTGATTTTACTAAATTATTTGATAATCATACTTTCATAATTCAAACCTCCCAATCTTGGTAATATATTAGTTTTAATAACTTGACTTCTTAGTAACTTTACACAGATCCTACTGCAATAACTATCACTTCTTTTCTACTACAGCTCAAATATATTTGCGTGACAATCCAGTGGATTTGTTATATGACTACGTAGTTAACTAATACAAAAGCTTCTTGAAACAATACTGCATTTAATTCTTTCTTGCTGCAATGTGTTGAGGATGGATCCATTTAATGCGGATGCAATCATCTAATATGTGATTAATTTTATAATTAACTGAATTGGAAACATTTTGCTGTATCAATTATTAACTCATCTTGAGACAAAGCAAGACTTAACTCTACTTGACTTATGATTAATTATGCCCGTGTTTTCCACCATAGACATTTATCCGTCTCTTCAAATGTTGTTTCATTAGATCCCCAACAGCACTTTTTGTGGTTGTACTACAATGCACTAAGGCAAACGCCCTCCTTTAAGTCAGTCATCCAGTCAGCAGTAATGCCTATTAATCTGGCCAAGGCCCCTGTAAAAATATGTTGGAGATGGTCAAGAAATAAGTCAACTTTTTGGGAGTCGAGAACAATCCAGTTAAAAGGCAAGTGGAAAGCAGGAGACTCCTAAAAAAGGGTCAGGGTCATTTAAGAAGTATATATAAATTTAAGATTTTCAAATTTTAGTTATAAACATTTATTATATTTAAAAACTGTAAGGAGTAATTTTTTACAATAAAATTACTATTTTTGTTTGGAATTTTTAAAAGTTACATCATTCAAATTAATTGTGAACCAAAAAACAGCATTTAAAAGATATAGAAATATCTTCAAAAGACAGCTACTTGACAGAAGGTTCACAAATCTAATTTTCAATCCATAATTAACAGACTTATAAGTGGTATCAATTTCATTTAAATTTAATGTTCATTAGAAATAATTATTGAAATTCATAGTATTCCTATTTATGGTTTTTTCTTAAATTACAGAAAACCATATATCAAGATTATTTTACTGTGAGAATATAAAAAAATACAAATTTATGGTCAAATCTGGGTCCTTCTTCTTATAGAAAAAGATCAGTGCGTTACATACGCAGAGGCCAGAACATTATTATGCATGCCAATTGGGATTATCAGTACTTACCTACATTCTCTACACAAAATTTAATTTTGTGGTCTTCTGAACACAATCTTCCATCATGGAAGCTGAAAGTGATTACAACTGGGCTTAATATTTGTTTTCAGGTCCTCAACAGCTATTTCTTAAAATCTCACACATTGGGACTTTGTGGCCACGCTGTAGAGCCGGGTGATGAAGGGGATAGGGTCTGGAACTCGACGGCTTTAATTCAGACCCTGGCTTGGTCACTTGCTAAGTTGTATGACCTTCGTCAGACTAAGTTACTTTTCTTCAGCTTCAGTCCCCTCATCTGTAAAATGGCGATAATGACAGCACTGGTATCATAGGATGCCGTGAGGTTTAAATACATGTAAACTTTTTAGAAGAGTGCACAACACATAGGAAGCACCCCATAAATATTGGCTATTTATTATGGTGTTAACATCAAAAGATACTTTATTGGTCACCTGATCCAAATCACTTATTTTACAGATATAGAAACTGAGCCCAGAAAGATCAACCAAGCTGGATAAACACTTAAAGTGACAGAGCCAAGACTAGACTTGGAAGCCTCTGCCTCCTAGTTTTATATTTAAGAAGATTTTATTAGTAAAGCACTCCTCAGCAAATGTAAAAAAACAGAAATTATAACAAACCGTCTCTCAGACCACAGTGCAATCAAACTAGAGCTCAGGACTAAGAAACTCACTCAAAACCGCTCAACTACATGGAAACTGAACAACCTGCTCCTGAATGACTACTGGGTACATAATGAAATGAAGGCAGAAATAAAGATGTTCTTTGAAACCAACGAGAACAAAGACACAACATACCAGAATCTCCGGGACACATTCAAAGCAGTGTGTAGAGGGAAATTTATAGCACTAAATGCCCACAAGAGAAAGCAGGAAAGATCCAAAATCGACACCCTAACATCACAATTAAAAGAACTAGAAAAGCAAGAGCAAACACATTCAAAAGCTAGCAAAAGGCAAGAAATAACTAAAATCAGAGCAGAACTGAAGGAAATAGAGACACAAAAACCCTTCGAAAAATTAATGAACCCAGGAGCTGGTTTTTTGAAAAGATCAACAAAATCGATAGACCGCTAGTAAGACTAATAAAAAAGAAAAGAGAGAAAAATCAAATAGATGCAATAAAAAATGATAAAGGGGATATCATCACTGATCCCACAGAAATACAAACTACCACCAGAGAATACTACAAACACCTCTACACAAATAAACTAGAAAATCTAGAAGAAATGGATAAATTCCTCGACACATACACCCTCCCAAGACTAAACCAGGAAGAAGTGGGATCTCTGAATAGACCAATAACAGGCTCTGAAATTGTGGCAATAATCAACATCTTACCAACCAAAAAAAGTCCAGGACCAGATGAATTCACAGCTGAATTCTACCAGAGGTACAAGGAGGAGCTGGTATCATTCCTTCTGAAACTATTCCAATCAATAGAAAAAGAGGGAATCCTCCCTAACTCATTTTATGAGGCCAGCATCATCCTGATAGGAAAGCCTGGCAGAGACACAACCAAAAAAGAGAATTTTAGACCAATATCCTTGATGAACATTGATGCAAAAATCCTCAATAAAATACTGGCAAACCAAATCCAGCAGCACATCAAAAAGCTTACCCACCATGATCAAGTGGGCTTCATCCCTGGGATGCAAGGCTGGTTCAACATATGCAAATCAATAAATATAATCCAGCATATAAACAGAACCAAAGACAAAAACCACATGATTATCTCAATAGATGCAGAAAAGGCCTTTGACAAAATTCAACAACCTTCACGCTAAAAACTCTCAATAAATTAGGTATTGATGGGACATATCTCAAAATAATAACTATCTATGACAAACCCACAGCCAATATCATACTGAATGGGCAAAAACTGGAAGCATTCCCTCTGAAAACTGGCACAAGACAGGGATGCCCTCTCTCACCACTCCTATTCAACATAGTGTTGGAAGTTCTGGCCAGAGCAATGAGGCAGGAGAAGGAAATAAAGTGTATTCAATTAGGAAAAGAGGAAGTCAAATTGTCCCTGTTTGCAGATGACATGATTGTATATCTAGAAAACCCCATCGTCTCAGCCCAAAATCTCCTTAAGCTGATAAGCAACTTCAGCAGTCTCAGGATACAAAATCAATGTACAAAAATCACAAGCATTCTTATATACAAATAACAGACAAACAGAGAGCCAAATCATGAGTGAAGTCCCATTCACAATTGCTTCAAAGAGAATAAAATACCTAGGAATACAACTTACAAGGGATGTGAAGGACCACTTCAAGGAGAACTACAAACCACTGCTCAAGGAAATAAAAGAGGATACAAAGAAATGGAAGAACATTCCATGCTCATGGGTAGGAAGAATCAATATCGTGAAAATGGCCATACTGCCCAAGGTAATTTACAGATTCAACACCATCCCCATCAAGCTACCAATGACTTTCTTCACAGAATTGGAAAAAACTCCTTTAAAGTTCATATGGAACCGAAAAAGAGCCCGCATCGCCGAGTCAATCCTAAGCCAAAAGAACAAAGCTGGAGGCATCACGCTACCTGACTTCAAACTATACTACAAGGCTACAGTAACCAAAACACCATGGTACTGGTACCAAAATAGATATATAAACCAATGGAACAGAACAGGGGCCTCAGAAATAACACCACACATCTACAACCATCTGATCTTTGACAAACCTGACAAAAACAAACAATGGGGAAAGGATTCCCTATTTAATAAATGGTGCTGGGAAAACTGGCTAGCCATATGGAGAAAGCTGAAACTGGATCCCTTCCTTACACCTTATACAAAAATTAATTCAAGATGGATTAGACTTACAAGTTAGACCTAAAACCATAAAAACCCTAGAAGAAAACCTAGGCAATACCATTCAGGATATAGGCATGGGCAAGGACTTCATGTCTAAAACACCAAAAGCAACGGCAACAAAAGCCAAAATTGACAAATGGGATCTAATTAAACTAAAGAGCTTCTGCACAGCAAAAGAAACTACCAACTGAGTGAACAGGCAACCTACAAAATGGGAGAAAATTTTTGCAACCTACTCATCTGACAAAGGGCTAATATCCAGAATCTACAATGAACTCAAACAAATTTACAAGAAAAAAACAAACAGCCCCATCAAAAAGTGGCCAAAGGATATGAACAGACACTTCTCAAAAGAAGACATTTATACAGCCAAAAAACACATGAAAAAATGTTCATCGTCGCTGGCCATCAGAGAAATGCAAATCAAAACCACAATGAGATACCATCTCACACCACTTAGAATGGCAATCATTAAAAAGTCAGGAAACAACAGGTGCTGGAGAGGATGTGGAGAAATAGGAACACTTTTACACTGTTGGTGGGACTGTAAACTAGTTCAACCATTGTGGAAGTCAGTGTGGCGATTCCTCAGGGATCTAGAACTAGAAATACCATTGGACCCAGCCATCCCATTACTGGGTATATACCCAAAGGATTATAAATCATGCTGCTATAAAGACACATGCACACATATGTTTATTGTGGCACTATTCACAATAGCAAAGACTTGGAACCAACCCAAATGTCCAACAATGATAGACTGGATTAAGAAAATGTGGCACATATACACCACGGAATACTATGCAGCCATAAAAAATGAAGAGTTCATGTCCTTTGTAGGGACATGGATGAAACTGGAAATCATCATTCTCAGCAAACTATCACAAGGACCAAAAAGCAAACACCGCATGTTCTCACTCATAGGTGGGAATTGAACAATGAGAACACATGGACACAGGAAGGGGAACATCACGCTCCGGGACTGTTGTGGGGTGGGGGGAGGGGGGAGGGATAGCATTAGGAGATATACCTAATGCTAAATGACGAGTTAATGGGTGCAGCACACCAACATGGCACATGTATACATATGTAACAAATCTGCACATTGTGCACATGTACCCTAAAACTTAAAGTATAATAATAAAAAAAAAAGATTTTTTGAAGAAGAGAAACACATGCTCTTAAAAATCCAATGGTACCTGGAAAAAAATTGAAGGGAGGAAGGAGGAACCATTTATACTTCTGTTAACTAAAAAAGGATTGCTTGAAAAATTTTCTTTACCTGGTGCCAATCCTATTAGTGTTACTACTAGCCATTTGTAACCTGACCACGCGTCATACAAACTTTTTGTCATTTCCCATGCTGATTCTTTATTTTTGCTGTTGATCTGAAATTAGAAACATTTTTGTTTCATTTTTCAAACTATGAATAGAGGCCACAATTCTAGAATCTAGCAATTTTTCTCATTTACCATATATAGAACAGTAATTTCTGAACTAAATAATGGAAAAGGTAAGTTTGAGGCAAAATCACTACATTGTAGACAGTTATTTTACCTGTAAACCAGATGACAAGTCTTTACCCAACATCTCCATTTTATTTTTTATTAAGAAGTTTTTTTCTTTTAATAATTGAGACAGGGCCTTGCTACGTTGGCCAGGCTGGTCTTGAACTTCTGAACTCAAGTGATCTGCCCGTCTCGGCCTCCCAAAGTGCCGGGATTACAGGTGTGAGCCACCGCACCCAGCCAAGATCTGCATTTTAATAAGAACCTTGAGATTTGAGTGCAAAGGGTCCACAAACTACATAAAATCTGACCTAGATTGTTTTAAATTAAATCAAATTTGAACTTCAATTGGTACACATAACTATATTTTATATATGTCTTCTGTAAGACAATATGGTTTGAATTGTCTGTCATTCTCTGATCCTAGCAGTTAAGTGGATTATAATGTTCTTTAAAAGATAGGATCTGTGTATAATAATACTATGCCCATAAATACAATGTGTTACAGAATAATCATGAGGACAAAGGGACCCCCTCAAAACTTATAGGCCTTTTAACATGCAGGTTTGGAGAGCGCTGATCCCATTGGTAGAGTCCAGAGGCTCTTTTTTTACTGTGTGAGGCAAAAGTGTCCTCTACTGGATATAGTGTAGGAAGTTAGGAGATTAACAAGAGAGTAATAGATTTGATCCAGATGAAGGTAAGTCTCACCTCTCTTACTAAGAATGTACTTCTAAACCTATCCCTAACTAGTCCACACCTCTTCTGTTCTACTAGGATTGTTGCTTTAAAAAGCCATATTCTCAGCCCAGGACTTCAGTACTCAACTGTTCTGAAGGAGGGCTACAGCTGGAATTCAATGACCCAGTCTATTTCAAGCAACAGGTCTATTTGAAGTCACAATGCTTCATTAAAATGACACAGTCAGTTCTAATTTGAATGAGGCAATTTTACTCCTTGTACCCTATAAGCAACCAAACACAGATATTATCCATTCTTTAGAAATAGAAATAGGTTATTTCTTTCAAAAATAATCACTAAACTCCTGTTGCTTTTCCTCAATAAAAATAAATGTAATATGTAAGAAAACATGATAATATTAAGTCATTTTCAGACTGAGTCACTGCTGTTTTCTTTATATAATTGCTTGCACAGCACCACAGTCAGGTCACTTAAGTAGTTGCTTGATAGCGTACCAAGTAAAAAAGATATATGTACAGAGAATTCAGTCATCACTTTCCTAACAAAAAATCTGGAAATCATTTAAATGTTCATCAATATAGCATCATATAAATAAATTGCAGAATATCTATGTAATGAAAAATTCTGCAGCAATTACAAAAGAATGAGATAGATGTAGTGTTATGCAGGAAAAGGGCAAGATGGCTGAAAGTATGCTAAAAGACAGGAATATATATATATATATATATATGCTTATATTTTTAAAAATCAGAAGATAAACCATAAAGTTAGAAATGTAAATTGTTACTTTAAGGGGAAGAGGACAACAGGTTGGATGGGACAGAGACAGAAACTAGACTTCTTTGAACATACCTGTTTTGTACATTTAACTTTGGAATCATGGAAATATTTCATATATTTATAAAAAAAAAACTAAATCTAAAAAGCAAACCTTAAAAATTGAAGTAAAATTAAACAAATCAAAGGTGCATCTAATTGGTAACATAATGATCCAGAAGAAACTATCCCAACGAACTTTACAACAAAGTAATTTGTATGTAAAACTGTGATGGAATAAATAAAGGATAGGCCAGATATAGTGGCTCACACCTGTAATCTCTGCACTTTGGAAGGCAAAGGCAGGAGGATTGTTTGAGGCCAGGAGTTTCAGACCAGCCTGGGTAACATAGCAAGACCCAGTGTCTTTAAAAGAAAAAAAAAAAAAATGGCCAGGCATGGTGGTGTGCACCTGCAGTCCCAGTTAACTGGGAGGCTAGAGGCAGATTACCTAAAATTTTTCAGTAGGCATACTGTTGGTGATGGTGTTGGTACTGTTATTCTGACAATGTCATATGTGTGTATTGTGGGGTAAGTGAAATGACTATGTTTGTGATGTTCAGATTTTTGGCAAGACTTAAAGGAAATGAAGATTTAAGAACTAGAGGTTTAGCCCTATAGTTATGAATTTAAACTAGAAGAGTCATATAAACTTAGGAGGCTAGAAACAATAGCCAACCCAGAAGTAACAAGTACCACCTAGTGCCCAGATTGTACCTATATTATATTTTGCTTCAATGGAATCAGAGCTCCTTGGAGAAACGGCTGATTCCAGGTTTGCTGCAGGAAATGTCTACGATGAATTAGGATTAGTATTAGGATTATCTAAGGGCATGACAAAGGACACAGATAGCAAACTAAATAAGCTCCCACTAATCTAAAATGGAATAACATGAACATCAATAACTATAATAACTGTGATGATTAAAACACAAATATACTTAAATCCATGAGTCCACGAAGACACAGAAACAACAACCAAACAAGTAAAAAATCTCATTGGTCAACTTTGAGGATGCTAAGGAACCTAGTATTTCAAGATTTCTGCCTTTCCTGTACCATCTGTACTTCAGGGAATGCAAATGGTTGATGTGGGGTAAACTCTCTATAGAAATATGCAAGCCAATAATTAAAAAAGGAACAACAATTAAACTGCAACCATTTTGTAAAATACTGAAATGGTAATATTTGAAATTACAGAATATCAATTTGCTTCAAATAATCTGGGGTAGGAAGGATACAAGTATAACAGAAGTTCACGGAACAAAAGAATTACATTGGGTATATGTACTGACATAGAAAGACTTTAAAATTTAATGTAGGCCAGGCACAGTGTCTCCCACCTATAATCCCAGCACTTTGGAAGGCCGAGACAGGCAGATCTCTTGAGGCAGGAGTTTGAGACCAGCCTGGCCAACATGGCGAAACCGCATCTCTACTGAAACTACAAAAATTAGCCAGGTGTGGTGGCACATACCTGTAATCCCAGCTACTTGGGAGGCTGAAGCATGAGAATTGCTTGAGCCTGGAAGGCAGAGGTTGCAGTGAGTTGACATCACACCACTGCACTTCAGCCTGGGTGACAGAGCGGGACTCTGCTCAAAAAAAAAAAAAAACAAAGAATGTTTAAAGAACAATAGTAAGAATATAAATGTGTGGAATTTCCTGGCTTTAAAAAATTTTGTTTATATAAGCATGGATCAAAATATCGAAAAATATTTGATTGGTCTAGATGATTAATAAAATTAGCTAGGATACATGTTGGCTACTTCATATGTTGCTATACTATTTGCAATGTTTTCAAAGACTGTAGACTAACCATTAACAGACTCAGAGAAAAAAGTTTTTTTGTTTTGAAGGGTGACAGGGTCTTGCTCTATCATCCAGGTTGGAGGGCAGTGATGCAATCATAACTCACTGTAACCTCGAACTCCCAGGCTCAAGGGATCCTCCTGCCTCAGCTTCCCGAGTAGCTAGGACTACACGCGCAAGACACTATACCCAGCTAATTTTTGTTTTTTTTGTGTAGAGATAGAGTCTCCATATTTGCCCAGGCTGGTCTCAAACTCCTGGGATCCAGCGATCCTCTGCCTCAGCCTTCCAAAGCACTGGGATTACAGGCATGAGCCACTATGACCAGCCGGTTTTGGTTTCCTTTGGTCTCAGTTTTCTCTAAAATTTTATGAATATAGTGTCATGGATATTCTCCAGGTACTTTAAAATATATTTAAATCCCAACTGTATTTACCTAATGATCATACAAGACACAGGATTTATAGTGTGTCTGAGCTAGGCACTTTGGATGAAAATAGTGATTTTCAAAGTACAGTCCACGGACACCTTGGAGGATCCCTGAAAACTTTTCACACTATAAATCCTGTGTCTTGTATGATCATTAGGTAAATACAATCATACTTAGAAGTATACATTCAGAGACATTATCAGTATTCAGGCTGGGATTTAAGTGTATTTTAAAGTGTGGTACCTGGAGAGTATCCATGATACTATGTTCATAAAATTTTAGAGAAAACTGAGACCAAAGGAAACCAAAACAGGCTGGTCATGGTGGCTCATTGCTGTAATCCTAGTACTTTGGAAGACCGAGGCAGAGGATTGCTGGATAATACTGTTTACAAAATAATACAAGACATTATGTGCCTTTTTCACTGTGTTAACATTTTTACTGAAAATGCAAAACCAATGGCAAAACTGCTGGCTCCTTAGTAAAAATCAGGCAGTGGCACTCAAATGTACTGGCAGTCATTACATTCTTGACTGCCATGCTTTCCAGTAAAATTAAATAAATAAATAAAATGCCAGTTTCAAATAAGAGCATCTTTGATGAGGAGTAAAAATTGCTACACCTCAATCACTGAGTATTTTTAATATTTTGTGTGATGAGAAAAGAACTATGCATAAGTAACTATGCAAAACTATACACGTCTGCTGCATATGGAAGCATGAGGTTATGTCCTAAATAAAAGCACTTGTATAATTTATTTGAGTTGCAAAATAAACTAGACACTTACATGGAATACCATTTTTACTTGAAAGAGTGACACCAAATTATGGTTTTTCAAATTTGGGAATTTGACAGGTACTTTCTCAATAATGAAACCAAGTAATCCTGTCCTTTTTAAGTAAAATAAATGTGTATTTGTTTCCAATGATAGAATTTGAGCTCTCCAGTAAAAATTAGAATTTTAGGAAACTTGTATCTATCACCGTGAGGATGATAGGTTCCCAATACTTACAGACTTTTCTGAAGAGATCAAAGGTAAAATTAACAAATGTGATTTTTAAAATATTGTATTATACAATAAAGGTGTCAACATTTAAAAGATCCACATAAATCAGTGAATCAATATTTTCCAGATGATCATTGCATAATGTTACGAAATCATATATTCCAAGTTCAAGGTTCAAAATCAATGGTTAATGTAACAGGAGACAAAGTTCATTGGTGCAGTTTCAAAGTACACCTTACAACTAATCTTTAAGAAATGAACGCTTGTCACTTTAGTGTAGTATCAAAGAAGAATATTTGCAATAATCTTAAAGACTATTAAAATACTCATAGCTTTTCCAACTATATTATCTGTGTATAAGGCTGACTTTTCTTCATAAACTTCCATAAAAGCAACATATAGCATATTGAATGCGAAAGCAGATATGAGAATCCAGCAGTGTTTTATTAAGCCAGACAACAATGAGATTTATAGCAAATGTAGCGCAATGTCATTCTCTCACTAAATATTTTTTGAAAATATATTTTTGTAAAAATGTTAGTTATGTTAACATGTAATGGGTTTTGTTACTGTTATTTTAAAATGAATTAGTTTTTTTAAAAAAGTCCTCAGTTTTAGTGTCTAATATGGTAAATATCTGTTGATAAAAACCACGTAAACCAAGGCTCCTTGGAGGTCTTCAATATTTTTAAAGAGTTTCAAGGGGATCTGACACCAAAAAGTTTAAGAATCACTGGATTAAAGCACTGATTTCATGTACTGTATTTTTACATATGCCCTAAAGGTATATATCATCTGATGAATCTCAGAAGCTCTACCTTTCATAAATAATGTAATGTAATTTCAATTTCAGGTTTCACACACGTATACATTAATATGGAAGCTTATAATTAATTTGTGTAAATAGTCATTTTCATTGACAAGTAAATTTCCAATACCAAAATTATGTAGGGCCTTTTGAGATTTGGAATTTTATTTTTCAAAAAGATTTTCTACTTTGGGAGGCTGAGGTCAGCGAATCACTGGAGGCCAGGAGTTTGAGACTAGCTGGCCAACATGGTGAAACCCCATCTCTACTAAAAATACTAAAAGTAGCTTGGCATGATGGCACACACCTGTAATTCCAGCTACTTGGGAGGCTGAGTATAAGAATCGCTTGAACCTGGGAGGCAGAGGTTGCAGTGAGCCAAGATTACACCACTGCACTCCAGCCTGGGCAACAGAATGAGACTTGGTCTCAAAAAATATACACATTTTTTATTTTTTTAAAAATGTATTTTGTATAAAAACTAGCCAGGCATGGTGATGCACGTCGGTAGTCCCAGCTACTCAGGAGGCTGAGGCAGGAGAATTGCTTGAACCCAGGAGGTGGAGGTTGCAGTCAGCCAAGATCACGCCACTGCACTCCAGCCTGGGCAAAAGAGACAAGAAAGAAAGAATGAAAGAACGAAAGGAAGGAAGGAAGGATGGATGGATGGAAGGAAGGAAGGAAGGAAGAAAGGAAGGAAGGAAGGAAGGAAGAAAGGAAGGAAGGAAGAGAGGGAGGGAGGGAGGAAGGGAGGATTGATTTTGGATTACATTAGCAGTAGGTCACAACCACAAACAAAAAGGATCCAGAAATTGTATTTTTCTACGTTAAAGGCATTTTTTTAAAAAACACTTAGTGAATCATTACAACACTCAATAAGCCTTATTTGGGATCCACGCTGAGAAATATCTCAGAATCGAATACTGGAAAAGGGGATAAAAGAAAACAGTAAAACCCCACAAAACTATAAGTAGATTTCTTCTTTTTCAATAGGTAAGAGTTATGCAATGAGTTTCCTTTTTTTGCCTTAGCTTCTGGGCTGCTCAGAATCAAAAATCATGCTGACCTCCATATCTTGGACTGGGCTTGTTCTTTCCCCCAACTCCTGTGCTGTATTTTTCCCTTTCCCTTTCCTTCTTATTTTGTCTTCTTACTGTATTTCCTTGTTTTTTAGCTACCTGAAATCCCTTCTGGAAATATATGGGGTATAAGTAAACTAAAAAAATTTAACACAGAAAAAGAAAAAAACATGTACCACCTATGAAATGTAGACATTTACTTATATTAAATGTAAACATATTTTGGCAGCCTGAGATCATTGACAGAAATACATTATTAAATGATCTAATTATGCACTATATTTTTTAAAATTACTAAAAACACTTACCCATCTATGCCTTTCTCTGTCTTTACATTTTTCTTGCACCCAGTCAATAGTATGGAAATCATCATATGTACCAACACCTGGAATTGGTTCATCCAAAAGATCCAGTAAATGTGTAGAACTGTTAATGCTGCCTCCATTTGTCATTGTATAATGAGTTCCTACAGAGGAAAAAAGGAAAGATGAATATGTTTTAGAAGAGACAATAGTGAGCTATGTGACCTGAGAAGTTCATTAAGTCATACAGAAATAACATCACTTGAAATCATTTCAATTAGAGAAAAATGTTAAGAAAAATTATCCAAAACTTGGAAATAAGGCCAAAAGATTATGACATGTCCCTTTAAAGTAAAACCCAAATATCAACAATTAGCCTGCATAATAGTCACCTAATGCTCTGGAAAATTTTAAATGACTATTTACTACTGATTAGGAAATAGATTCTGTATAGAAAATGATTTGTAAAAGATAAATTGAAAATAGTAACTTTTATCTGCTAAAATGCAAATGAATTCTGTCCAGTAGAAAAAATAACCCTTAGAGTTGTGGTTTTGTTTGTTTTTGCCCTGTAAGAATTTGCTTTCTTTCACTGATGATATACACTTAGTCTCATACATGCTCCTCTGAATCAGCCTTGTCATCAGGCTGGTTCCCTCACTAGAGTAAAATAAATCTTGGCTCATGTTCACTATATATCTTATATGAGTATCACAGACTTGAGAAATGTATCAGGAAGGACATTAAAAGATAGCTCAAGAAAAAGAAGTACAAATGGCTTTTAAATATGAAAATAAGCTCAATCTAACACATAAAAAGAAATGCAAATCAAATCAACAATATCATTTTCCTCTATCAGATTAGTAAAGATAAAGTGTGTGAATGCATGAAGTTAGCAAAGCTATAAAGAAAGAGGCCCTATCACAAAATTAGTAGTTTGAATATGAACTGGAATAATCCCTTTGGGAAGGTAAAAATTAACAAAATTTAATATACACAGAGCTCTTCAATCTAGCAAGTTCACTTCTAGGTTTTTTTCTTGCAGCTAGACTTGCATAAATCCTTGAATAAATCCATAAATTATGCACAATGTGGGCAGAACATCTTACTATGTGCTATAGAAAGAAAACAAAAACATATTAATGCCAAAGTGCTTATAATCTAAAACAGGTTGGCAAAGAGCTAGAGTAAATATTTTAGGCTTTGGATGCCACACGGTTGCAACAACTCAATTCTGCCATAGTAGCACAAAAGAAATCATAGATAATATGTACATGAATGAGTCTGAATGTGTTCCAATAAAACTTTATTTACAGAGCAGGTGAAGGACAGGATTTGGCACAGGGCTTGTAGTCTGTCAATCCCTGATCTAAAGTCTGTACAGCAGACTTTACAACTGAAGACTTTATTAAGAATTTTTTTTGTATAAATAGCACTTTTCTATACAGTGTCGGAGATACAAAGATAATAAAAAAAACTGTCCCTGACTTCCAGGTGCAATATAATATTTTTATAATGTAACAAATTATATTTCAAAACAAAGTTCAAATATTGAAATTCCCAGGTTCCAATATTCTTTGACTACCATTTTAGTCATCTTACCTATATTTAATTTGTTAAAAAGAAAGAAATCTTGGGACTGTAGTACCTGAAACTAGGTGGGATTAATCTAAGAAAATTTCCTTAAAAAATATGAATTTCAAATTGAAATTTGAAATAAATTAGGCTATGGTTTTACAATGAGAATTATACCTATACATGCCATGTTAGATATGCTTAATACCTATTTCTGAAAGAAGAAACAAATGATGTGAGTATAGTCTGTAAAAGAAAATTTATATTACTGTTAGAAAAAGAGATTTTGAGCCAGCCACAATGGCTCATGCTTGTAATCCCAGCATTTTGGAAGGCTGAGATGGGTGGACTGCTTGAGCTCAAGAATTTGAAACCTGCTTGGGCATCATGGCAAAACTCCGTCTCTACTAAAAATACAAAAAAAAAAAGTTGGGCATGGTGGTACGTGCCTGTAGTCCCAGCTACTCAGTGCTAAGTTGGGAGAATTGCTTGAGCCCAGGTCAGTCGAGGTTGCAGTGAGCCATGATAGTGCTACTGCATTTCAACCTAGGCCACAGAGCAAGATGCTGAGGAAAGGAAAAGAGAGGGGAGGGGAGAGGAGGGGAGAGGACAGGAGGGGAGAGGAGAGGGGAGGCGGGGGAGGTGAGGGGAGAGGGGAGGGGACAGGAGACAGGAGGGGAGGGGAGGGGAGAGGAGACGGGACGGGAGGGGAGAGGAGACGGGAGGGGAGGGGAGGGGAGGGGAAGGAAAGGAAAGGAAAAGAAAACAGTTTAGATAGAGTGTAAAAACAGGCTTGGTAAGAAATATGATAATCCCGAGTGAATATTATTAGACTTGACAGTGGAAGTAGAGATAAAAGCATTTTGGGAGGTGATTCGGAAATACCTATCAAAATATCAGGATTCTACTTCTAGGAATTAATGCCACAAGTGAAGAAAAGCTTAAATATTTTATTGAAACATTATTTGTAATACTGAAAAATTCAAACCAATGTAAATGTCTCATCTATTGGTAATGAACTAAATTATGTACATTTATGCAATTGAATATAATGCAGCAGTTAAAAAGAATAAGGTTGATCAATATATAGTGATACAAAAAGCTGGCTACAATATATTGCAGTTTTTTAAAAAGGGCCAGGTGTAGATCAGTATTTTAATATGCAAATTACTGTGTAAAATTTATTTTGGCTTAAAAATTATGCTTCATGTTCTAACACAATGCAGGGAAGCTAACAGCCTTGAAAAAAGGTTAGACAATTTGCTAACTAGAATAACCAGTGTAGAGAACATAAATGACCTGATGGAGCTGAAAAACACAACACAAGAACATGAAGCAAGTGTCAATAGCCGAATCGATCAAGTGGAAGAAAGGATATCAGTGATTGAAGATCAACTTAATGAAATAAAGCAAGAAGACAAGATTGGAGAAAAAAGAATAAAAAGGAATGAACAAAGCTTCCAAGAAATATGGGACTATGTGAAAAGACCAAACCTATGCTTGACTGATGTACCTGAAAGTGATGGGGACAATGGAACCAAGTTGGAAAACACTCTCCAGGATATTATCCAGGAGAACTTTCCCAACCTAGCAAGACAGGCCAACATTCAAATTCAGGAAATACAGAGAACACCACAAAGATATTCCTTGAGAAGAGCAACCCCAAGACACATAATCATCAGATTCGCCAAGGTTGAAATGATGAAAAAAATGTTAAGGACAGCCAGAGAGAAAGGTTGGGTTACCCACAAAGGGAACCCCATCAGACTAACAGCAGATCTCTCAGCGGAAACCCTACAATCCAGAAGAGAGTGGGGGCCAATATTTAACCTTCTTAAAAAACTTTCAATCCAGGATTTCATATCCAGCCAAACTAAGCTTCGTAAGTGAAGGAGAAATAAAATCCTTTACAGACAAGCAAATGCTGAGAGACTTCGCCACCACCAGGCTTG
Organism: Homo sapiens; assembly: GCF_000001405.40. Lineage (NCBI taxonomy): Eukaryota > Metazoa > Chordata > Mammalia > Primates > Hominidae > Homo > Homo sapiens. The sequence goes on from NC_000009.12 coordinate 15,051,420, forward strand.
CCCTACAAGAGCTCCTGAAGGAAGCACTAAACATGGAAAGGAACAACTGGTACCGTTCACTGCAAAAACATACCAAATTGTAAAGTCCATCGACACTATGAAGAAACTGCAACAGCTAATGGGCAAAACAACCAGCTAGCATCATAATGACAGGATTAAATTCACACATAACGATATTAACCTTAAATGCAAATGGGCTAAATGCCCCAATTAAAAGACACAGACTGGCAAATTGGATAAAGAGTCAAGACCCATCAGTGTGCTGTATTCAGGAGACCCATCTCACGTGCAAAGACACACACATGCTCAAAAAAAAGGGATGGAGGAATATTTACCAAGCAAATGGAAAGCACAAAAAAAGCAGGAGTTGCAATCCTTATCTCTGCTAAAACAGACTTTAAACCAACAAAGATCAAAAGAGACAAAGAAGGGCATTACATAATGGTAAAGGGATCAATGCAACAAGAAGGGCTAACTATCCTAAATATATACGCACCCAATACAGGAGCACCCAAATTCATAAAGTGGGTTCTTAGAGACCTACAAAGAGACTCCCACACAATACCAGTGGGAGACTTTAACACACCACTGTCATTATTAGACAGATCAATGAGACAGAAAATTAACAAGGATATTCAGGACTTGAACTCAGCTCTGGACCAAGTGGACCAAATAGACATCTATAGAACTCTCCAACCCAAATCAACAGAATATACATTCTTCTCAGCACCTCATTTCACTTATTCTAAAATTGACCACAAAATTGGAAGTAAAACACTCCTCAGCAAATGCAAAAGAACGGAAATCATAACAAACAGTCTCTCGGACCACAGTGCAATCAAATTAGAACTCAGGACTAAGAAACTCACTCAAAACTGAACAACTACATGGAAACCGAACAACCTGCTCCTGAATGACTACTGGGTAAATAACGAAATGATGGTAGAAATAAAGATGTCCTTTGAAACCAATGAGAACAAAGACAAACTGTACTAGAATCTCTGGGACCCATTTAAACCAATGTGTAGAGAGAAATTTATAGCCCTAAATGCCCACAACAGAAAGCAGGAAAGATCTAAAATTGACACCCTAACATCAAAATTAAAAAAACTAGAGAAGCAAGAGCAAACAAATTCAAAAGCTAGCAGAAGACAAGAAATAACTAAGATCAGAGCAGAACTGAAGGAGATAGAAACAAAAAAAAAAACCTTCAAAAAATCAATGAATCCAGGAGCTGGTTTTTTGAAAAGATCAACAAAATAGATAGACCACTAGCCAGACTAATAAGAAAAGAGAGAAGAATCAAATAGATGCAATCAAAAATGATATATGGGTTATCACCACTGATCCCACAGAAATACAAACTACCATCAGAGAATACTATAAACACCTCTATGCAAATAAACTAGAAAACCTACAAGAAATGGATAAATTCCTGGACACATACACCCTCCCAAGTCTAAATCAGGAAGAAGTCAAATCCCTGAATAGACGAATAACAAGTTCTGAAATTGAGGCAGTAATTAATAGCCTACCAACCAAAAAAGTCCAGGACCAGACAGATTCACAGTTGAATTCTACCAGAGGTACAAAGAAGAGTTGGTATCATTCCTTCTGAAACTACTCCAAAAATAGAAAAAGAGGGAATCCTCACTAACTCATTTTATGAGGCCAGCATGATACCAAACCAAAACCTGGCAGAGACACAATAAAAAAAAAAAAAATTTCAGGCCAATATCCCTGATGAACATCGATGCGAAAATCCTCAATAAAATACTGGCAAACTGAATCCAGCAGCACATCAAAAAGCTTATCCACCACTATCAGGCCAGCTTCATCCCTGGGATGATGCTACCTGACTTCAAACATATGCAAATCAATAAATGCAATCCATCACATAAGCGGAACCAATGACAAAAACCACATGATTATCTCAATAGATGCAGAAAAGGCCTTCGACAAAATTCAACACCCCTTCATGCTAAAAACTCTCAATAAACTAGGTATTGATGGAATGTATCTCAAAATAATAAGAGTTATTTATGACAAACCCACAGCCAATATCATACTGAATGGGCAAAAACTGGAAGCATTCCTTCTGAAAGCTGGCACAAGACAAGGATGCCTTCTTTCACCACTTCTATTCAACATAGTATTGGAAGTTCTGGCCAGGGCAATCAGGCAAGAGAAAGAAATAAAGGTTTTCAAATAGGGACAGAGGAAGTCAAACTGTGTCTGTTTGCAGATGACATGATTGTATATTTAGAAAACCCCATCATCTCAGCCCAAAATCTCCTTAAGCTGATAAGCGACTTCAGCAAAGTCTCAAGATAAAAAATCAATGTGCAAAAATGACAAGCATTCCTACACACCAATAACAGACAAATACGGAGCCAAATCATGAGTGAACTCCCATTCACAATTGCTTCAAAGAGAATAAAATACCTAGGAATACAACTAACAAGGGATGTGAAGGACCTCTTCAAGAACTACAAACCACTGCGCAAGGAAATAAGAGAGGACACAAACAAATGGAAAAATATTCCATGCTCATGGATAGGAAGAATCAATATCATGAAAACGGCCATACTGCCTAAAGTAATTTATAGATTCAATGCCATCCCCATCAAGCTACCAATGACTTTCTTCACAGAATTGGAAAAAACTACTTTAAAGTTCATATGAAACCAAAACAGAGTCCGCATAGCCAAGACAATCCTAAGTAAAAAGAACAAAGCTGAAGGCATCATGCTACCTGACTTCAAACTATATATACTACAAGCCTACAATAACCAAAACAGCATGGTACTGGTACCAAAATAGATATATAGACCAATGGAACAGAACAGGGGCCTCAGAAATAACACCACACATCTACAACCATCTGATCTTTAACAAACCTGACACAAACAAGCAATGGGGAAAAGATTCCCTATGTAATGGATGGTGTTGGGAAAACTGGCTAGCCATATGCAGAAAACTGAAACTGGATCCCTTCCTTACACCTTATACAAAAATCAACTCAAGATGTATTAAAGACTTAAACTTAAGACCTAAAATCATGAAAATCCTAGAAGAAAACCTGGGCAATACCATTCAGGACATAGGCATGGGCAAAGACTTCATGACTAAAACACTAAAAGCAATGGCAACAAAAGCCAAAATGGACAAATGGGATCTAATTAAACTAAAGAGCTTCTGCACAGCAAAAGAAACTATCATCAGAGTGAATAGGCAACCTACAGAATGGGAGAAAATTTTTGCAATCTATCCATCTGACAAAGGTCTAATATCCAAAATCTACAAAGAACTTAAACAAATTTACAAGAAAAAAATGAACAACCCCATCAAAAAGTGGGCAAAGGATATGAACAGACACTTCTTATAAGAAGACATTTATGGCCGGGCGTGGTGGCTCACGCCTGTAATCCCAGCACTTTGGGAGGCCAAGGTGGGCGGATCAGTAGGTCAGGAGATCGAGACCATCCTGGCTAAAACGGTGAAACCCAGTCTCTACTAAAAATACAAAAAATTGGAGCGTCAGGACGCCCGGCAACCTCCCCTGCCCTCATCCCCGCACCGCCGCATCTCCTCGCTGCCTCCCGGGCTTCGGACCCCCGGTCTCACCCCCTGAAACACGACTCGCGATTTCAAACCTGGAGACCTCATCTTCGCCAAGATGAAAGGTTATCCCCACTGGCCAGCTGGAGTAGATGAAGTTCTTGATGGAGCTGTAAAGCCACCCACAAACAAACTACCCATTTTCTTTTTTTGGAACTCATGAGACTGCTTTTTTAGGACCAAAGGTTATATTTCCTTACTCCGAAAATAAGGAAAAGTATGGCGAACCAAACAAAAGATTTTAACGAAGGTTTATGGGGACAGATAACAATCCAAAAGTGAAATTTTCAAGTCAACAGGCAGCAACTAAACAATCAAACACATCATCCAATGTTGAAGTTGAAGAAAAAGAAACTAGTGTTTCAAAGGAAGATACCGACCATGAAGAAAAAGCCAGCAATGAGGGTGTGACTAAAGCAGTTGACATAACTACTCCAAAAGCTGCCAGAAGAGGGAGAAAGAGAAAGGCAGAAAAACAAGTAGAAACTGAGGAGGCAGGAGTAGTGACAACAGCAACAGCATCTGTTCATCTAAAAGTGAGTCCTAAAAGAGGACGACCTGCAGCTACGGAAGTCAAGATTCCAAAACCAAGAGGCAGACCCAAAATGGTAAAACAGCCCTGTCCTTCAGAGAGTGACATCATTACTGAAGAGGACAAAAGTAAGAAAAAGGGGCAAGAGGAAAAACAACCTAAAAAGCAGCCTAAGAAGGACAAAGAGGGCCAGAAGGAAGAAGATAAGCCAAGAAAAGAGCCAGACAAAATAGAGTAGAAGAAAGAAGTTGAGTCAAAAGGAAAAATTTAGCTAACACAGGGGTTACATCAACCTCCGATTCTGAAGAAGAAGGAGATGATCAAGAAGGTGAAAAGAAGAGAAAAGGTGACAGGAACGTTCAGACTGCTCACAGAAGGAATATGCTGAAAGGCCAAAATGAGAAAGAAGCAGCAGATCGAAAACGCAAGCAGGAAAAACAAGTGGAAACTGAGCACCAAACAAGATGTAATCTACAGTAATAAAAAATATCTCATTTTGGGCTCAAAGCATTAATCCAGTTACTGAAAAGAGAATACAAGTGGAGCAAACAAGAGATGAAGATCTTGAGACAGACTCATTGGACTGAATTTCCCCCTTCCCCCCATTGATGGAAGAATGTTCCAGATTCTAAATGGAGGACTTCATTATTAATGGCATTACTGTGTTATGATTAACAAATTTCCTGTAAGGTACACACTACATACTAAGGTCGGCCATCATTCTTGTTTTTTTTTTTTTTAACCAAGCTTAAAATGAAGCTTTGTGTTTGAAAGTAATAACAAGCTCAGACGAAGATGGTGGTTGTACATTATTCATTTAGAAAATATAAAAGTTCATTTTGTTTTGAAGCTAGTTATTAAACTGGAATAGCAGTTATACCCCTAAGAATGGGGCCCTTCTCTTGACATTCTTTTGTTGTTTAATTCTTTAGAATCTTAATAAATGTTTTTTTAATCCTGAGAAATTAAACGGTAGTAGACTTGTTAAGAATGAAACTGTAACCAAAATTTTAAAATAAAGTTTTTTTAAAAAAATAAAATAAAATGAAATAAAAATACAAAAAATTAGCTGGGCATGGTGGCGGGCACCTGTAGTCCCAACTACTCGGGAGGCTGAGGCAGGAAGGAGAATGGTGTGAACCCGGGAGGCAGAGGTTGCAGTGAACCGAGATTGCGCCACTGTGCCCCAGCCTGGGCAACAGAGCAAGACTCTGTCTCAAAAAAAAAAAAAAAAAGAAGACATTTATGCAACCAACAAACATATGAAAAAATGCTTATCATCACTGGTCATCAGAGAAATGCAAATCAAAACCACAATGAGATACCATCTCACACCAGTTAGAATGGCATTCATTAAAATGTCAGGAAACAACAGATGCTGGAGAGGATGTGGAGAAATAGGAATGCTTTTACACTGTTGGTGGGAGTGTAAATTAGTTCAACCATTGTGGAAGACAGTGTGGCGATTCCTCAAGGATGTAGAACTAGAAATGCCATTTGACCCAGCAATCCCATTACTGGGTATAGACTCAAAGGATTATAAATCATTCTACTATAAAGACACATGCACATGTATGTTTATTGCAGCACTATTCACAACAGTAAAGACTCGGAACCAACCCAAATGCCCATCAATGATAGACTGGATTAAGAAAATGTGGCACATATACACCATGGAATACTGTGCAGCCATAAAAAAGGATGAGTTCATGTCCTTTGCAGGGACATGGATGAAGCTGGAAACCATCATTCTCAGTAAACTATCACAAGAACAGAAAACCTAACACCACATGTTCTCATTCATAACTGGGAGATGAACAAGGAGAACACATGGACACAGAGAGGCGAATATCACACACCGGGGCCTGTCACGGAGTGGGGGACTAGGGGAGGGATAGCATTAGGAGAAATACATAATGTAGGTGATGGGTTGATGGGTGCAGCAAACCACCACAGCACATGTATACCTATGTAACAAAACTTCATGCTCTGCACATGTACCCCAGAACTTAAGTATAATAAAAAAAAAGAAAAAAAATTATGCTTCACAGGTGTGCTCACGAATACAGAGAAAACAGTATGACCAAACATGAGACAATATATTAATAAAGGTTATCTCTGGGGACTAGAATTGTCAAATGCAGAAAATGAACTTTCATTTTCTACTTTGTACTTACAGGTATACATATATGTATAAGCACACACACAATATTTTCACAGGACCATGAATACAGCTATGAAAATAGAGAAATTCTAATGAATCCAATCATCATTTAAGTAAATAGAGCAACAAACTGTTACCAAAAGGCCCAGATTCTAGTTCCTGGACAGCTGAGTAACTTTAGATAAGTCACCTTTAAATATTAAGTATCTATCAGCATCCTTGACAACTATATGATATATTCTACAGCTTATAATAAAGATACATAAGCAAAGAAACATTTAAATATTTTCCAAAGCACTATAAACTTTGAAAGCCTCATACATAATTTCAAATCGGTGATTTTAGCATAAGTGATTATAAATTATACCGTCAAATTATGTTGTAATGTAGATCTTAATGCCAAAAATTACCTAGAGGTTACTATTGAAAATGTAACTAATTATGTGATATAGAATATAAGGAGTGGCATTCTATACTAATGTTTAAAAAAAATTTTAAAAATAAAACATGAGACTTTTTTTTATTATACGAATTTCAAGGAATGGAGCAAAATTCCCAGACTACCCTTGGAGTCTTTCTGGTTTAAACGAACTCATTCTCTTTTGTTTACAGATAAAGAAACAATTATATATGTTAAAGCCAGAGTCTGAACTTTTCATAATCACTATAAACATTCTTAGATTAGAGCAAGAGATCATTTGAAATCAACGTGGGGGGTAGGATAAGGGAGGAATGCACAAAGAACCACGATGCCAATACTATTAACTAATTTTATTACTGCTGAGATATGAGCCAAATAAACTATGGAGTAGGGTTCTTTTCAATAATTCTAAGAGGCAGTAAGAACAAGACATGAATATAGAAGGGGCTAATATTTTAACAATGTAAGAGTACTAATAAATGTTTGCTTCTACCAGGTCCAACACGTTCTCGCTTATCTCCCTATTTATTACATTTAAATGTCTGCCTTAGAAGCCGGGAATGGTGGCTCACACCTGTAATCCCAGCACTTTGGTAGGCTAAGGAGGACGGATTGAGCTCAGGAGTTAGAGATCAGCCTGGGCAACATGGCGAAACCCCGTCTCTACAAAAACTAGCTGGGCATGGTGGCGCACACCTGCAATCCCAGCTACTCAGGAGCCTGAAGTAGGAGGACTGCTGGAGCCTGGGAAGTAGAGGCTGAAGTGAGCTGTGATTGTGCCAATGCACTCCAGCCTGGACGACAGAGCAAAACTGTGTCTCAAAAAAAATAAAAACTGTGCCTTGAAAAGGTGTAAAACTTCTAAAAGGAGAGTAGTACACTGATTTGTGTGTTAGCAGAAGTACTCCAAGAATAAATAATTTATACCATTCTTGGCCAAGGGTTTAAAGGCCCAATCCCTGCATCATGATGCCCATGTTCATTTACATAGAACACATACTCAAAAGCCTAACCTCAAAGCTTTAATAAAGCTCTTCTCCGCCCACCCACACCCCATCCTAACTTTATGTAGTAACTTCCACTTTGTAAGAGCTACCTGAAAGGTCACACATTTTCTTGAGAAAAAGCAAATGGAGAATAAATATAACAGGAACATTTATAGTATCTTGACATATGTGAGAATCTCTGACTCTGCTTTCCATATAATATTAAAACTGATCATTTAGAAAATGCATTTCCAGGGAAGACTCAAAAGCCTCTTGTGGCTTTCTGGTAAGATGTACAGTACTTCTGTGGTATTCTGGCCAAAAATGCATAAAATTAATCTTATAAGGAAAAACCAGATACACCCAAACGAAGGGAAATTCTGCAATATAAATGGATTGTATTCTTCAAAAATGTCAAGGCTATGAAAGATAAAGAATGACTGAGGAACTGTTCTAGATTAAAAAAGAAGTGACAACTAAATGTAACATGTATCCCAGGATTAGCTCCTAGACCAGGAAAAAAAATCTTCTTTCTTTTGTACTAAAGGACATAGTGGGACAACTGGCATATTGGAAAATGGTCTGCAGATCATGTCATAGTATGGTATCAACGTAAATGTTCTGATTTTGAAAAGTGTAGAAGTGTACATTAGCTGCATAGAAGAAAATGTCCTTTCTTGAGGGAATATGCACTGAAGTATTTAGGAGTAAAAGCACATTGTGTCTGCATTTTACCCTTCACATGGCTCAGAAAAAAATATATAGTCATACATGCCCTATATCTATATAAAATGCTACATATTATATATTATGCATATAATGGCATATATAATACTTGGAGAATAGAGACATAATGAACAAATATGGTAAAATATTAACATTTCAGGAATCGGGGTGATGTGTATATGGGATTCTTTGTACTATTTTTAAACTTCTGTAAGTCTGAAGTTACTTTCAGAAAAAGCCTACTATGAAATATTTTGCAAACTTCATTTTCCTCCCTACATTTCCCTTCTCTGGGTAGAGCTGAAGAAACACGGGCTACTGATCTTATTACTCTTTGTGCAAAAAATAAAAAGTGAAACTTCTACACCCCTTAAGAAGTATCCATAATACATCACAAGCCCCATTTAAAGAATTTCCAGGCTACTTGCAGCATGAAGATAATAAGCAAACAAAATATACATTTCTCCAACAGACTTATAAATGACGAAGTAGAAAAGTACAGACTGCTGTTCTCATTTTTATGAGGTAGAAAAAGGTACAATAGTGCAATAAATATTTACATTAAGCATGTGCCTTGCTTTCAGTGCTTTCAAATAATTACTCTGTGGAAACTACTCTTAATATCTTAATTTACAGAATGATTCAGCAATTCAAAATCTCTGAAAACCAGAAAATTTTCAAATATTTAAACATTTACCTGAGTATGTGACATTTCAAATATTTTGTCTTACAATTTGTTCTACCAAACATAGAAATCTGAGTAGTATGAAGAAAGGGAAGAAAAGGAAAATTTCTATTCTAAACTGGACAGAAGACACTGTATTTCTAATGTGATCACAGAAATGCCTACATAACTTACATGAGAAGTAATTTCGAAGGTATTATGTTTTCTAACAATAACAATGGCTTTAAAATAATCCTATTGCACTGTTTCTTTGCATATAGTTCTCTGAAACCTAGATTTGTATAAGATATAACTTACACAGGCTAAAATGAGACAAATACAAAAAAATTATATATATGTTAAAATTTTTTAAAAGCAACAGTATAAGTTATCCAATTTACCTCTCAATTTCATCTTACGTATGAATAAAGGATTATCTTTTAGGTACTGTCCCAGCATAAATTAAGGTTCTCCTCTACATAAAGTGCATCTCCTCTTTTTTCCTATAATAATATTTCAAAGGCCAGGCACAGTGGTTCACACTTGTAATCGCAGCACTTCGGGAGGCTGAGGCAGGCGGATCACTTGAGGCCAGGAGTTCAAGAAGAGCCTGGCTAACATGGTGAAACCCCAACTCTCCTAAAAATACAAAAATTAGGTGGGTGTGGTGGCACACACCAGTAGTCCCAACTACTCAGGAGGCTGAGGTGGGAGGATGGCTGGAGCCTGGGAGGTGGATGCTGCAATGAGCCAAGATCACCCCACTGCACTCCAGCCTGGGCAACAAAGTGAAACCCTGTCTAAAAAAATAAATAAATAAATAAATAAATATATATATATATATATATATATATATATATATATGTGTGTATATATATATGTATATATGTATATATATATGTATATATATATGTGTATATATATGTAAGTTAATTAGGAAATGATAATATGGCTTTTCTAAAACTGATATCTGTAGGAAGTTCTACAAGACAAAGGAGGTCTTTAGGATGAAATAAAGATAGTAGTGAGACTGCAGCTTCCTTGATTATGACTTTCTTTCTCTCCTTAGTAAAAGCTCTTCTTACTGTTAGATTTTATTAACATGAAATGACAGGATTTACCCTGGACTTCCCATTTCTCAGAGAATATGCAGTTCTCACTTATCTGTGAAGACAGTAGTGGAGCTGTAGTGGAATACCTCTAGGAAAGACTAAGCAAGTTTCCTTAGTCCACACTACTTTCCTGTCCCCTCCAAACACCTTCCCCGCACCAATTCAGTCAAAGACATCCCTTGCCATAGGAAAAGAAATACACAGCAGAGCATGGAGAACACAATTTGATATTATGGCATCCTAGTTTCAAATGGAGGCTTCTGAAACCCATAGAAGAGACAAATCCTTTTTTTTTTTTTTTAAGTTCTGGGATACATGTGCAGAATGTGCAGGTTCGTTACATAGGTATACACGTGCCATGGTGGTTTGCTGCACCCATCAACCCATCATCTAGGTTTTAAGCCCCGAATGCATTAGGTATTTGTCCTAATGCTCTCCCTCCCCTTCCCACCCACCCCCCCGACAGGCCCCGGTGTGTGATGTTCCCCTCCCTGTGTCCATGGGCTCTCATTGTTCAACTCCCACTTATAAGTGAGAACGTGTGGTGTTTGGTTTTCTGTTCCTGTGTTAGTTTGCTCAGAGTGATTCCTTTCAGCTTCATCCACGTCCCTGCAAAGAACATGATCTCATTCTCTTTTTTTTTTTGAGACCAAGTCTCACTCTGTCACCGAGGCTGGAGTGCAGTGGTGCGATCTCGGCTCACTGCAACCTCCGCCTCCCGGGTTCAAGCAATTCTCCTGCCTCAGCCTCCCAGGTAGCTGGGACTACAGGCACGTGCTGCCATGCCCGGCTAATTTTTTATATTTTAGTAGAGACAGGGTTTCACCATGGTGGCCAGGATGGTCTCGATCTCTTGACCTTGTGATCCACCCACCTCGGCCTCCCAAAGTGCTGGGATTACAGGCGTGAGCCACCTCACCCGGCCGATCTCATTCTTTTTTATGGCTGTGTAGTATTCCATGGTATACATGTGCCATGTTTTCTTTATCCAGTCTATCACTGATGGGCATTTGGGTTGGTTCAAAGTCTTTGCTACTGTAAATTGTGCTATAATAAACATACGTATGCATGTGTCTTTATAGTAGAATGATTCATAATCCTTTGGGTATATACCCAGTAATGGGATTGCTGGGTCAAATGGCATTTCTAGTTCTAGATCCTTGAGGAACCGCCACACTCTCTTCCACAATGGTTGAACTAATTTACACTCCCACCAACAGTGTAAAAGCATTCCCATTTCTCCACAGCCTCACTCACATCTATTGTTTCCTGACTTTTTAATAATTGCCATTCTGACTGGCATGAGATGATTATCTCATTGTGGTTTTGATTTACATTTCTCTAATGATCAGTGATGATGAATACAACTTACAAGGGATGTGAAGGACCTCTTCAAGGAGAACTACAAACCACTGCTCAAGGAAATAAGAGAGGACACAAACAAATGGAAAAACATTCCATAGTCATGGATAGGAAGAATCAATATGATGAAAATGGCCATACTGCCCAAAGTAATTTATTGACAAATGAGATCTAATTAAACTAAAGAGCTTCTGCACAGCAAAAGCAACTATCATCAGAGTGAACAGGCAACCTACAGAATGGGAAAATTTTTTTGCAATCTACTCATCTGACAAAGGACTAATATCCAGAATCTACAAAGAACTTAAACAAATTTACAAGAAAAAAAACAAATAACCCCATCAAAAAGCGGGCAAATGATACGAACAGACACTTCTCAAAAGGAGACATTTATGTGGCCAACAAACATATGAAAAAACTAATTCTTAATAGCCAAAACTTCTGAATTCAAAAGATGGGTCTCTGGGTTTCAAAAAGCTTTAAGTAAACAGGCTTAGAGTTTCTGCAATAAGCCAGATGAAGAACCAATTTTATCTAACTACATGAGGATTGCTGGGGAGGGGGGAAAAGGGAATCAAGTCAACAAGAGGGTTAGAACAGTTAAACTGGTGACTGGCTTCAGGCTTTTATGTTTTCTATAAGTGAGATATAGGTAAAATCATACTAGCCACACTTTAATGTTGATTTTTTTCATTCATACTTTCTAAAAATTATTTCACATTATTAGATGCACATACACAACATTTTCAGTGACTTCAGATTACTATATTTGTCATAACATACTATAATTCATTCATTCTACTTTATTTTTTTTTAGAGATGGGGTCTTGCTCTGCCTCCTAGGCTGGAATGCAGTGGTGCAATCATAGCTCACTAGCTGACTGTAGCCCTGAACCTAGGCTCAAGCAATTATCCTGCCTCAGCCTCCCAAGTAGTTGGGACTGCAGGTGAGCACCACCACACCTGGCTACATACTACAATTTAAGCAAATCTTCAGGTTGGTTTGCCATTATGAACATTATCTAACATGGGTATCTGCTTAGCCATCCTCTTTTCCAATTAATTTTTATGATTTTAAGCCTTTTTTTATTCTCAACTTTTTCCCCAACCCAACTACCAGATATTCAATACTAATAACCAGTTATATTTCCCAACTTAAAATAATTATATTATCCATTTATTATTCTCACATTCGGGTTATTATTTATGTAATGGAACCTGATTGTTTTTGCCAGCTTGGTATCTGCTTCCTCTTCTTTCTATAACAGAACCCAATTATTTTAAGGAAACTTCTGTCTCTCACTGCATGCAGTCCTGGTGAAGGTATCAGTCAAGGTACGTTCCCCTCCCCAGCTAAAGAAAACGCACAGACCCAAGTTAGACCAATCAAACTCTGGCTACTGGAAATGTAAATCTTGAGCACAGTGATAATCAGAACCAATTAATTTTAACAACTGAACCTTCAAGAGGACATAGGATAGTTCCTGCTACCTGAATACCCAGCTCTTGGTTAAGAAAGTATGACTTGAAAGTTAGTAGCTCCCAAGTTTAAGACAAAAAAAAAAAAAAATCAAAAACTTTTTTGGAGGGCTGCCTACCAGATGCCAGGACTAACATTCTGCTACCTAACTGTACTATCGCCCGGCTGAAAAACAGTAACAAAAAAGACCGGAAAAAAAAAGATCACTTTTCTTCCAGGTGGCCTAGCAGAGAAATTTCATGACTTTAATGCACTTTGAGGGCAGAAAGAGTCAAATTTCAGCCCTGCCTCCCATTAGTTCTGTGACCCAGCACAAGTTATTTATTAGCCTCTTTGAGTACCTTGGTTTTGTTACCCACTTCTACTAGAGTATGGTATGTGGACTGGAGACAAATTATGTAAAACATTTAATACTATGCCTGACAAATAGTAGGAAAACAATAAACACAAGCTATTATTTCTGCTCAAATATTTGGGTATTTAACATTTCATCAGGAAAGCCAGGTGTGGTGGTACACACCTGTAGTCCCAGACAATCAGGAGGCTGTGGCAGAAGGTTGTGTCATTTGAGCCCAGGAGTTCAAGGCCAGCCTGGTAAACATAGTGAGACCTCATCTCTATTAAAAAAAAAAAAAAAAAAACCCCAAACTTCAGCAAGCTGCATTACATTACTCATATGACTAAGTTATAATACCGCTTAACCAAAAGACTAACAATATTACAAAGAAAGAAAAAAAATGTCTGGCCAGGCACAGTGGCTAACGCCTGTAGTCTCAGCACTTTGGGAGGCCAAAGTGGGCAGATCCAGGCTTCAAGAGCAGCCTGGCCAATATGGCCAATATAGTGAAACCTTGTCTCTATTAAAAATACGAAAATTAGCTGGGTATATTGGCACATGCCTGTAGTCCCAGCTACTCAGGAGGCTGAGGCAGGAGAATTGCTTGAACCCGGGAGGCAGAGTTTGCAGTAAGCCGAGATTGTGCCACTGCACTCCAGCCTGAGCGACAGAGCGAGATTCCATCTCAAAAAAAAAAAAAAAAAAAAAAAAGTCTTACAAATTTGGACAATGAGTTCTTCTACACCTGTATATTGAGCAAAAATCTGTATTTTTAACAGATAACTTAATTCATTATTCCTGGTATGGACACAGAAACAAATTCCTAAAATGCATGGTGAATGACAAAGATTTCCATAATGAACATTTCATAATTCAGATATCACCAATACTGAAATATCTCCAGCAAGCAGGAAAAAGTATCCAATTGATGAATTAAAACTGGCTAGTAACTTTCTTGCAAAAATAACTCTACTAAGAAGACTGTTTTGCCTTGTTTTATTTTGCCAGAGACAGAGAACTTTATAAAGATCAAGCCCACCTGTGGAAATAGAAATCCATTATTTCTTAATATGTGTAATCTAAACAAAAAGACTTAAATTTACCTGTAGGAAAATCATTTAAAATTATTCATCATTCTTTTTCCAATTGAGTGACAGCAGCTAAAAAGAAAAAAAAGTATTCATTATTCTTTAAAGAAATATTTTTCTAGTGAGGAAAGAATAGTCTGAACAAATGATGCTGGGACAACTGGGTATCCACATGCAAAAGAATGAAATTGTACCCCTACCTCACACCATATATGAAAATTAACTCAAAATGAATCCTAGATCTAAAGAGCTAAAACTACAAAGTACAGGAGTAAATCTCTATGATCTTGAGTTAGGCATTAGTTTTTTAGATATGACACCAAAGCACAAGAGACAAAAGAAAAAAATAGATAAACTGGACTACATCAGAATTAAAATAATCTTTCCCATGCAGAGGCCACTGTTATCTAGCTCATGTCTAATAATAACAGTAAGGACAACTCATTTTAATTAAGTAACTTAATGTGTGCCAGACATTGTTCTCAGGACATTACATGTATTAGTTCATATAATCCTCACAACAACACAATGAGACAGGTATTATTATCTCTGCTTTCTAAATTTGGAAAACAAAGTGCAGAGAGTTAAAGCAAGCCCAAGGTCACACAGCTAGCAAGTAGTAGAACAGTGATTCAAACTCTAGCACTGTGATTCTCAAGTCACTTCTCACCACTATGCATTAGTGCCTAAAAAATAATTTCATTGTTGATTTACATGTATACTTTAAGAAATGTGGACAACCTTCTCTCAGAGTAGGTTAAGAACTATTACGTGATGCCTTCTCCCAAACACATATGTATATGCACTTAGCCTGTGGACAATGAATTCAATCCTACCCTTAACCATCACCATCCCTCTTTGCCTTTGGTTCCAGTCCACTTGTTCCTGTATTACTTAAAATGCTGCAATAGAAAACTGCAGAAGTGGTGAGCACTGCTTTGCTCCCGGCACTCACATCCTTATGCTTTGGCACAAGTCTATGATAAGAATGCATCCCCATTCTCACCCTCAGTTGTTCCAGGCAACTTATGCCACAAGAAGCGTACCTTTACCCCAGCTGTACATACAAACTCGTTTTCAAACTTCCTTTTTAGCTTTTGAAATGTTTTTCAAAAAAAAAATTGAAAAACGTTTCTCACTGACATAGTATATAGATATGTACTTAAATAAAACCAAAGTTTAGTAAACAATATTTACTATTTGGTATATACTGATATTTTACTTTGTTTTTTTAATCTTTCCTTTTAAAATACTGGTCACAATTCAATTGGTTTCATGATCAACATGTTAAAACTTGAAGTTTGACAAACACTGAACTAGAAAAATACAGGCATTAATAAAATTGTCTGTTTTCCCATAAATACAAATATAAATTTACCCAGAAGCTTTTCACATATATTTGCTGAACTGAACTTAATAAAAAAAAAAACACACAACCTTAGTTACTGCACCTTAAACTGAGCTTATTAGTAAATATCACAGTGATATTTGAAGGAGCCTAAGTCTTTTCTCAAAGGGGTGCATCCAAATAAGAGTTTTACATAAAAAATGATGCATACAGTTATTTAATAAGAGTTACTAATTACCTCTGTGGTCAATCTCCAAAGATGTGAAATAGTGATCCTTGTCATTTAAGTTCATAACGCAGATTACTGTTACATAAGACACACACAAAACGTATGAACCTTTTTTAAAAAAAATTATGGAAGGAAGAAGGCAGAAATCCAAAATACTACATACTCCCTCACAACCTAATTGCTTCTGGATGTTAAGAGCAGGAAGTCTAGCCCCCAATTTTTTTTTTCTCCCTCCATGACCTTACTGATAAGAAGTGGCCATCCCGGTAATGGAGGGGAAAGTAAATGTTATAAATTGATAGCAGAAATTCCAGAATGTCGGCGGACTCCAAATCCAAGATTAAAAAGGTAATGGCAAGAATAGTGCTTCACATTTAGCAGGTGGTCAATTAAACCTCTACTGGGTAAATGAATTGTATAAAAGAAGCATACGCTATTAAAATTTGTTCAGCCATTCAGTCATATTTAGCTGTCTAAACTGCAAAGACTTGTAAGTTAGTACCAAATCCCAAAGAAGTTTACCAAAGTTACACAACCAGGCAGCAGCAATGCTAAGCCCATTACTCAATTCACTGTTTTCTTTTCTGTTCTGTTGCCACCTCAAAATAAAAAAACACATCCTTCGTTAGAGATGATAAAGTGGATATTAAGACATCTATGTAATTGGAAACAAGTTCCACATTCAATTATTACCTCTGCATATAAGATAAGCTGTATAGTACATGAATAAAAAGATTTATTAAATTTGCTAAATTTCATATTTAATAAATTTAAAATTTTATTAGAGAAATCAGAGTAAATCCATTTTATTACCTAATTAAAGTTGTAAAGGGCTACAAAGAAACTAGAAATTAAACATGTGTTAATTTAAAAACAAAAAACAAAACCTTAAAGTACAATTTAAGCTACCAGTCTCCTGCATAAACACAAGGCAGAGACCTCGATGCTGGGAAAATAGCCAAAATTACAAACTTAATCAATGTGGCAGGAAATCTGTTCACACTTTGAAATCTTGATACAAAGCATTTCTGACAAGCCATGAGATGGCATAAAATTAAATTATAATTATAATCGTAAGTTCTTCTATTTCCTATGTTCTTACGATGGTTAGAACTTACGATTATAACCATACTGAAGTATCAGTTATTTTTAGAAAATCAAGCTAAAGGTAGTAATATGAACCAGATTTTATTGAAGATTTGAAATTCAAATACTGTGGGCAAAATATATTTAAAAATAGGCTTTGTTTTACACTATTGTTGTAGAAACAAGGAGTTTTTGACACCGCATAAAGAATCTTTAGTTGTTCCTTTAATTTACAGACACTTAGATGAATTAATTTTTAAGAAGAAGTTTAATTTTCTAGTTGGATAAAATATTAGTGCTAATAAAAGTATAATAAGGATCTGAATCCTAAAATCACTTATAAAGAGCCTACAGAATGTCCCTCTGGCAATAAGAATATCATATAACACCTAGATTTTCAAATAATGTGCAAAAAATGCTAACTACTCATACTTTTCAGAGGGAAGAAAAAGGAAAAACATCTATTATAATAGAAAACAAAAAAACTTTATTTAGATACATTGCTGATCTAATGAATGTCAAGAAATAATTTCGGGAGAAACTTGAAAAAATAAGACCCCAAACTTTTATTTCAATGGCAAAGCTACACTTTGTGTGGTTTAAGCCCATCGTTAGTCCTCTAGGATCTGGCACTCTTCTAACTTCCACCTTTCTACTCTACCCCCTCTACTGAGTCACAACAAAACTGCCTTTGTTGTATCAAATTAACCCAAGAACAACATACTAGGCATTTCCTCCCATCACAGCATTTACTCATTTTATTATATGCATCAGGAATGCCCTATCGAGTTCCCTTGTGTATGTGAAAACAGTCTGCTTTGATAACACTTGTCAAAAGGAGACTCATCTCCTCTCCCCCTAAGAACTTTGGGACTTTAGGGGAAGAAGAGATTTCTATCATTTCTCTCATTCACTAGAAGTTTACGAACTTCCTCAGGATTTTGTTTCTTTGTTTTAAACTTCTTATGCCTCTACCAGACTTAAAACGCAAGTTCAAGACTTAAAACACAGTTATTATGAAGATACTTGTAGTGAGAAGCAGTTTAGCCTCATGATTAGAGTATGAGCCAAGTATCTGGATGGAATTCTGACTTTTCCTTAACATTTCCTCCTCTCAATCTTGTCGACTGGAAAATGGGGATTATAACAGTGCCTACTTCATCAACTTGTGATGAGGATTTAAATGATTTCATACATGTAAAGCACTTAGAACAAGCCAGGCACAATAGCTCACACCTGTAATCTCAGCTACTCGGGAGGCCGAGGCAGGAGGGCCGCTTGAGCCCGGGAGTTGGAGACCAGCCTGGGCAACATAGTGAGACTCTCTCTAAATAAAAATGTTTGTCTTTTAAATTAGCCAGATGTGGTGTTGCATGCCTGCAGTCCCAGGTACCTGGGACAGTGAGACGGGAGGATCTAAGCCCAGTAGTTCAAGGCTACAGTTTGCTATGATCACTCTACTCTTTCACCCAGGCTGCAGTGCAGTAAAACAAAAAAACCACTTAGAACAGTATTCAGCTAACAGGAAATTCTAATAAATATTAGTTATTATTAATATTACTATTTTTATCATAATTCTCCACAGCACCTAGTAGTGCTATATATATATATGTATATATGCTCACTTTGAATGAAACAACATTTAAATAATTTTTAAAGGCCCCTCATGGAGTAAATGGAGGCTCAGGCCCAAAAGATCAAATCCATTATAAAGGGTTGGTACAAGAAAGAAATTTGACCTCCAAAACTACTTAAACATCTTGAACAAATTAAGAAGAAAGTCAAAGTGTAAAACTAACAGTCCAAATAAGCCAAGTATTTTTTCCTGATAAAAAAGGAAGAGACATTTTGAGAGAGCTTGACTGTTTCTATATAGGAAATCTACCCCTAAAGATGGTTATTTCTGAAATGTCATCTTAATTTCTAATCTATCAATAGTATATCAAACTGATTCTATTTTGAATCTACTTATACTTCTAGATTTGACATTATTTACTTAAGTAGGAAGCTTCACTATTTACCATCTCACCTTGAAAAGTAGTATTAAATTCAATTTACCCAACAAAGGTAATCCCTGGCTATAGCACTCAGGGATTTAGTATACAGATCCATGTTTACTTTATTGATATGCTTCACAATTTTATACTTTATCTGCCTCTTCACTATCAGCCTGAAGATCAATTTTAATCATTATAGTTTTGTTCTTCCTCACAGGGAAGCTGATTCTGTTTTTTTTTCGATTTGTTAGCTGCCTGTCTCCATCAGTTCCTTTGTGTTGACCCATGGCTACAATGGGTCATAAATTATGGAAAACAAGTAACATCTTACGCATAGACACTAGGATACTACAGTATGTTTGAGGAAATACAGTACAGTCAAGCAAGCCCAATAACTGCCTTATCTCTTCTACAAATACACAATGTTACTTTCAAATAACAATGGCTTATATTAATAGATTAGTTCTCATCAAGTGATAAAGAACCTATCTGAGTTGCCAAGAGTAGGACTGATTTAGATCCTAAGCAAGATTCTTAAAGGATTATTTATGAAAGTATAATAGAAATAGAAAGCTTATGTTTTGATAATATCAGTAACCATGCCTACTCTCACATAAGTTTTGGCTTATTTCTTATTATTTGCATATTTTACACTGAGACAGTCCATAAGTAAGTTCTGTCAAAGACTGTCAAGCTTCACACAAAGAACTTAAATTTCTGAAGCCCAGGTATTCTAGTTTATCATCATTAACAACCAAATGTTGTAATAGCATGGGGAAAACATAGTCTGTCCTGTTTTACAGTTTAATTACTAATTAGCAAATAATGTGACATTTGAACACTCACTATTCATTCACCTTGCTTCCTGTTTAAAGAAATCATTACCAAAAAACTGATGATGAGAACACAGGAAATAGAAGAACTTAGGATTATAACATTAAGAAAAGAAAAAGCTCTCAGTGGTGTGATTATGAGAAATTATTTTCTCCTTTATGCCTTTAGATATTTCTTCCAAACGGAATGCTCAGTAAGCCTTAGAAGTTTGAGGTATTTACCTGTTCTGTGTGTAGTGACCATGGCAAATGTCTGCAGGTTCCTTTGGGAAGGTTAAGCAAAGTAGTCTCCATATGCATTTGTGATGTTTTTGAAATTTTCTTTCTCAAGTGTACCTGCCTCCTTTTCAAAGGACTCTGGGTCTAGGAAGTGACTCAGTCTAAAAATTGGAAGAACAGTCACAATTCTCTACATATTGACTCAATTCAGGCAAAAGCTTGAAGTCAATCAGGCCCAAATGTTTTCATATATACCAGCAATCTGGGTGAACTCCCTTTCAATTTCAATCTTTAGTACTCCATGATCAAACAGTCCCATTAAAATACCCCAGCAATAACAAAACAAAGTAAGACAAAAAGATCGTATTTCACCCCTAAATATTTTATCATGCCATCCTAAAAACAAAGGTCATTATAATACCACTACCACATCTAACAAAATTAACAAATTAGTATCATCTAATATCTAGTTAATATCAGTGTATCTCCTCCTTATCCCCAAAATAGCTTCTTACGATTGATTTATTACATTATATTATATTATGTTATGTCATAATATAGTACACATTACATTAAAATACATTAAATAGACTTCTGGTTTCAGCCCAGAGATGTAGAGAGCTGAAAAAAAAGCATCACTTACACCTTTACAACAAGAAAAAAGCTGCACAAAGCGGAAAGTAACTGCTTTTCTTGATCTCATCCATCAACTGAGATCACAGGGCAGACAAGTCATCTGCAATCTGGGAAGGAGAAATAGGATGGCAGCATTCACCAACGTGGGGCCAATGCCCCTCGAAGCCACATAATCAGTAAGAAGTTCCAACTAGAAACTCTAAGAATAAAATAAGCATCTATCAGCCCATGCTAATGTAAATCAAGGACAGAATAAATAAATAAATGAAAGAAAAGGGACAGCTCTTCCCTATAAAAGAATTCTCTTTAATAAATGCAGAAGGAATGAAAGTCATAGAAAATAACCCTTAGGACACCACAGTAATAACCGTGGCAAGATTCACAGATGAACGCTAAAATTATGGGCAAAACATTACAGAGAAACAGAATATTTACATAGCCTCAAAGTATCTTGCCCAAATATTTATTATTTTTAAAATAAGTACACAAATTCTTTGATAATCCACCCTTGGAGATGGAGCTTAATTCTTTTCCCCTTGAGAATGGGCTGCGCTTAGTGACTTGCCCCTCAAGAATAAACTATAGAAAAGGTAACGTAATAACTACACGATGGAGAAACCTGGAAGACACCACCTTATCCAAATGATCACATTTAACAGCACCAGTAAAAAGTCGCATTGATGTCAGGTAGCCTTTGATATAATGTGATGAAAAAAAATACTTCACCTCAGTGGTATCTTTCCCCAAAACCTGTAACTCCAAGCTCATCATGAGAAATCATCAGAAACCCAAACTGAGGGACATTCTGCAAAATACCTAATACTCTTCGAAAATGTCAAAGTCATTAAGAAAAGGTAAAACTATGAAACTGTCATAGATTACAGGAGAGAAAGAAGACATATAACTAAAGGCAGTGTAGTATCCTGGACTCATTCCTGGAAGAGAAAAAGGGCATTGATTGTAGAATGATTGGTGATATCCAAATAAAGTGTGTAACTTAGCTAATAGCATTGCACCAAAGTTAATTTCCTAGGTTTAGTAACTTTATCATGGTTATGTAAAATGTTCAAATTAAGCGAAAGTGGGTACGGGGTATGCAGGAACTCTGTATTGTCTTTACAACTCTTCTGTAATCTAAAATTATTTCAAACTGAAGGCTTAAATTATATATATTAACATTATGTATGTTCATATAAGTAGCTGTTGATCTGTATCACTATTTGTCTTATCTAATTATCTAACTAGACCTAGAGTGAGAGAGAAACAGAGAGAGAATTCATTTGGATGTATACATTCCAATGTGAGTCTTAAACCAGTCCTTCTGATTAATAGAATGACTTCACAACTCCATTTAGTAAGGCTCAGGGCATTTCCTTTTTGCTAAAGAACAAGAACTTGATCACAAAATTCTCCTATGAGAAGGGTAATAGAGAACTTCTCTCTCATTTTCTCATTGAATTCTGCTGTGGTCAGAGAACATATCCTTTACCATTTCAATCTTTTGAAGTTTATAAAAGCATTTTATCATACTGGTGGGGAATGTTCCCGCATGCATTTGCAAAGAACGTGTTCTGAAGTTGTTGGGTGGAGTGTTCTAAGTGACAATTTCATCAAGGAATTTGACAGATGATTAGATCATCCAAGTCTTGTCTTTTTGCCTATTTGTTCTATCAACTACCAAGAAAGGGGTGTTAAAGTCTCTAAGATGATTGTAGATTTGTTTGTTTCTCCCTCTAGTTCTGTCAATTTTTGCTTCATGTATTTTGGATCTCTGTTATTAGGTGCATACACATTATAATTGTTTTGTCTTTATGATGTATTGACCCTTTTATTAAATATCACAAATGGTCTCTGTCTCTGGTGAATCCTTATAATTAGGGCTACTTTGACATTAATATTGCCACTCAAGCTTTCTCATCCTTATTATTTGTATGGTATATCTTTTCCCATCTCTTTTCCAATTGCAATATATGTTTCACTATACTTAAAATATATCTCTTTAGAGAGCATATAGTTAGATCTTGCTTTTTTATAAAATCTGACAATTACTGCTTTTCAAGTGGAGTATTCAGTCTATTTATATTTAATCAATATGATTGTGGTTTAGTCTACCATCTTGCCATTTGTTTTAAACAATTGTCTTTTAATGAAATTAAGAAAAAAATTGTAGTATTTTGTATTTATCCACATAATTACCATTGCAAAGTGCTCTTTATTCTTTTCTATGGATTTGGTTTTCCATCTGGTATTATTTCTTTGTAACTTCAACCAAATCCTAAAGGATTTCTCACAGTTAAAGCTTACTGGTGATGAATGCTCTCAACTTTCATTTATGCTAATGTATCTTTATTCCACTTTCACTTTTGAAGGGTATATTCTCTAAATATAGAATGCTGGGTGGATATGTATTTTGAGGAGGTTTGTTTGTTTGTTTGTTTAGCACTTTACCAATACAGTTCCATTGTCTTCTCCCCTCCATCACTTCCATTTAGAAATTACCATAATTTGTATCATTGGTCCCCTCTATGCAAAGTATTTTTTCTTTACCTGCTTTAAAGATTTTTCTCTTTATCTTTGGTTTTCAGCAAATTGACTGCAATGTGCTTAGCTAGTGGGGTTTTTTGTAATCATCTTGTTTGAGTATGCGGAACTTAGGTATGTAAAGATTACATCTGTTACCAACTTTGAAAAATTTCAACCATTGTTTCTTCAAATATTTTTCCACTCCACTCCCTGCCTCTCTTCTCTCTTCTCTTCCTTCTCTCTGTCTTTTTCTCTCTTTCCCTCTCCCGCTCCCTCCCCAGTGAAGGAATCCCCAAATGGCACCCCATAATCTCCCTGTAGTCTAGTACCCTGCTGCGTAAATTCTAGGCACTTGAGCAGTCTTGAACTCTCACCTCTGCCTGCTCAGCTCAGAAAAATCACCATAATGTGCTTGACCCCTTCAGCCTATACTGGAGTCAGGCAGAAAGATGAGGGCAAACATAGTTCCCATCCTGTATTAGTCCGTTCTCACATTGCTATAAAGAACTACCTGGAGCTGAGTAGCTTATAAACAAAAGAAGTTTAATTGACTCACAGTTCTGCAGGCTGTACAGGAGCCATGGCTGGGGAGGCCTCAGGGAACTTATAATCATGACAAGGCAAAGGGGAAGCAAGCACATCTTCACATGGCAACAGGAGAGAGAGAGAGCAAAGAGGAGTGCCACGCACTTTTAAACCATCAGATCTTGTGAGAACTTACACACTACCATGAGAACAGCAAGGGGGAAATCCACCCACATGATCCAATTACCTCCCACCAGGTCCTTCCCCCAACATTGAGAATTACAATTCAACATGAGATTTGGGTGGGGACACAGAACTGAACCATACCATAACCCTTGTGTTTCCCTTCTCCCAAGCATCACAGTCCTGCACTGTCTATTGTTCAAAGCTTACAAAGAGATGATGCCCCATATATTTGTCCAGTTTTACAGTTGTTTCTGATAGGAGGAAAAGTCTGGTATGAGTTACTCCATCATGGTCAGAAGCAGAAGGACATCCTTCTCACAGTGTTAATAATAATAGTTAAGTCAAGACATAACACAATTGCCCACGAATAGTAAAGCAGTTAAATTATAATTGTATCATGGAAAACTAAGGAAAATGAAAGATTATATTTCATGGGGGAAAATGATGCAGAAATATCTGAGTCGCCTATTTCAAATTTTAAAGGTAGATTACAAAATGGACGTTTGTTAGTGAGGACACTAAGCGTTAGCCAGGTGAAAAAAATAGCCAGAGAGCTATCTTGGTCAGAGGAAACACTGGCAAAGAAGCACTGACTGTTGGACTATTTGGAGAACTGCAAAGAATTCAACTGAGCTAAAACAATGGATACAGTGAGTGTTTAACAGGACCTGAGGTGGGAGAGATTAGCAGAAATAAGATCAAGCAGGACCTTGTGGATGTGCTAAAAGATGTCTCTCCTTAATTATTCAGCCTTGAAAAGGAAGGAAATTCTGACACATACTGAAACATGGATGAGCCTTGAGGACATTATGCTAAGTGAAATAAGCCAGTCACAAAAAGACAAATACTACATGATTCCACTTATATGAGTTTAACCTAGAGCAGTTAAACTCATAGAGACAGAAATAGAATGCTGGTTGCCAGGGGCTGGAGGGTTAGGGGAATGGGAGGTTGTTGTTCAATTGACATACAATTTCAGTTTTGCAAGATGAAATGAGTTCTGGAGATTGGTTACACAACAGTGTGGATGTAATTAACACTACCGAACCACATATTTTTAAATTGTTAAGGTGATAAATTTTATGTTATGTGTATTGTAGCACAATTAAACATTTTTAAATTGAAAAACGATTTTTCTATCTGAAGACAATGATTGCTAAAGATGATTGTTAAACAGAGTGACATAATCACATTTTAGTTTAAGAGAGGGTGCCTAGCTGGGGAGATAGATTAGAGGTTGATAGGCAAGGAGGACCTGTAGAAGGCACTTGAGCTACTCAAAGTGAGAAATGATGAGAATCTGGACCAAGGGAGAGCACGGAATAAGGGGAGAGCCAGTAAAGAGACAGCCATTTAAGAGGTAGACTTGACAGATTTCAACAATCAATTGGGGAAGCAGGGGAGAGAAAGAAAGAGAAACCTCAGAGAACAACCAGAATTCCAAGCTGGGAACTCAGGGAGTGGGAACATTGAACCAAGAGGAGATAATGTGAAAAAGACCAAGTTTGGGAGATCAAATTCAACCTAGACATATTGCGGATAAGGAGCAGGGATGTTCAGTTTATGTCAAATGCAAACTTAAAATTGTTTTGGCTCTAAACATTACCTTCAATAGACATTACCATCAATAAAATTGAAGAGAAGGTGTTGAGTAATATAGTTGTAAGTATGCAGTCTTTAAAATTCAATTGAATTATCAATAAAATCAAAGGGATACAAATCTTTCAAATTTGATGAAAGTTTTTCTGAGTCAGGCTTGGACCAAGATATATTTTATTTCCATGGATTACTGGATATCATAGGCTATTAAAAGTTTCTAATACTGTGGTAGTCAAACAGGCTCCATTGACCCTTAAGTGCTCCAGGACCCTAAAAGAGAAGTTCTAGAAGCTGTTTCAAAGGCCACATAAAAACATTAAGATGAGCCTTCAAAGCACATATATGTTTACACAACAAAAAAAAGGACCAGGTATTTATTATTCCTCAATATTCTAAATGGTGGGGTTTTGAAAAATATATTCCAGTATTAACTTCAATGATATGGAGTTTTTTTTTAATATGGCATGACCACAGTAGGCCCTATTTGGTTTTGTTGGCCCTCAGGGCAATTAAAAGCCATCACTTTAAGCAGTAGGTCCCAAATTAGTTTTATAGGTATTAACAATGGGAAAATTAGAAGATACATATGAGCAAAAGGAAGAAAATGAAAATCACTACTTGTAAATATCTTTTTATATCAATAAAAGTTATTCTACAACATTTTCTGCTCTCCATTTAAGCCATTAAATTTTCCCTAAATATGATTCATAGGTAGAATATAATGTTTTAAAGGTCAGTGGAATGACAGCTACAACACCGTAAATTGTTGATTATAGTATCTGCCAAAGTAGATGCTTTTAAAAGCAAAAATAAAATTCATAGGAAGACACTTTACTGTACAGTACCAAATTAAGCAGTTTTAATGATCTTCTCTTAGGGTCTTCGCAAAGGCCACATTTGCACAATTTCTCCTACTCCCATTGACTCCACCCCCAACCCAGGAAATCCTATATCAGAGAAGTGTCACTAAGGAATTAAGGGAAAAAATTTTTTTTAATTTATGGCAAACAGCTACGTGCTGTTATTATACTCAATCAGATAATTATATCTCAGTTGCTTACACAAGCTTAGTCCCAAACAAACATATGTTAACTGATAAGTGAATAGCTGAGGAAGTCAAGAAGGAAAACCATGACCTGCTTTTGCTGCACAGCTTGAAAAATTCAAGTGAAAGGAGAAGAAAGAGTATTGTTTCAGTATTTCTCTTTCATACCACGGTGGAAAGTCAGTACATGGGAGGCTATATGTATGCACTCCCTTTTGATCTTTAAAATAAATATTGTTTTTTCTTAATTGCAAGAAAACAATTATTATCTACAGTAATAAGTTTGCTAAGAATTGAAAGGCAAGATAAGGCATATCGATAACGGAAACTTACAGCAATGGTGGTGACTCTTATACAAGTGTGTCTTGGAAGTACATGCTCTGTTACACAATATACGGCAAGCTCTCCCTGCCACTTACAGCCATCTTGAGTGGAGTGGAAGGAGGTTCATGATACTCTGCACGGGTATCCATAAACTGGACATACACAATCCTCAAATAACACAAACTCATAAACCTTATGTTTGGAAGTGGTCTCAGAATTTAATCTTTTCAATCTACCCAACTGAGGGAATCCCCTTAATACAATGCCTAGGAGTTGGTATTCATAGAAGTCTCTGGCAGAAAAAAAAAATGTATGAAAGAGTTAGCAGGGTGGAAAGAAGATTTCGAGAGCTTAGAGTAAAGCTTCTCCCCCATTTTCCCTGAGGAAACCAAGAAAGTTTATAAAAATGAGGTTGGAGAAAGATTTTAAAGAAAATTAGAAAATCATTTAGCCTTGAGAAAAGACAATGATAGTGAACTTCAAGATAATGTTTTTCTCTCAGGGTATGACCAATTTTTTAAATATCCACAAGGGTCACAAAAGGAAACATTTTAAATCATAAACCATTTCATTCTCCTTTTCATTCTATTTAAATTATAAAGCACAGAAATGTCCTGAAAAGGAAAAGTTAAATGCCACAGTGGGCTTCTGAGGGAATGTGGCTAAACTCATTCTTTGGAGATATTTGAAAACTGGATTGACTTAAGTGTAGCCCAGGGTCGGGCATGGTGACTCATGCCTGTAATCCCAGCACTTTAGGAGGCTGAGGTGGGTGGATCACTTGAGGTCAGGAGTTCAAGACCAGCCTGGGCAAAATGATGAAACTTGTCTCTACTAAAAATACAAAAATTAGCCAGGTGTGGTGGCGAACACCTGTAATCCCAGCTACTCAGGTGCTGAGGCATGAGAATTGCTTGAACCTGGGAGGTGGAGGTTTCAGTAAGCCAAGATTACACCACTGCACTCCAGCCTGGGTGACAGAACGAGACTGTCTCCAAAAAAAGAAAGAAGGAAAGAAAAGAAGAAAGAAGAGTAACACAGGATAATTCCACTTATGAATGACGAAAATAAGGTGTTAAGTGTAGCCCAAAGACAAGAATGGCTGGATGACCTCTTGAAGACCCCAGCACTGTGGTATCAAATGCACTGCCTCGGTGTTCTCTGGTATCTTTCATATGCCTAAGGAAGAATTCAGGAAGTTCATTGACTATGGAGGTCAAAGTTAAGGAGTCCCAGAATTCTGCAGCATTGCCAAGAACCTCGGAGATTATTAATGATTTTTTAGGATGAGTGAGCAGCTTCATGAAGGAGAGAGAAAAAGAAAATGCTTTGGTGAAAACTCAAGCTTTTTCAAAACAGTTCTGCAAATTTTTCGATTCATTTCCCGTTCAGTTTGGGATTTGATTTTAACCTATCTACAAGTTAATAAGGTAGCCCAATATTGTTTCATGGATGCTGGCAGGAGACACAGGACCTCTAGTTTGGAAGCAAAGGACTTTGTTGCTCATGGTACAGCAAGCAGCTCATGCATCAATATGTCTGTGTCAGTTCTACTTGCTCTCCAATTCTCACAGGTCCTACACAGAGTAGGCTGCTCTATAGGAGAGGAACACTGAGCTTGGGGGACTCAACATTTCATAACAAGCAATAAGCAAGGTGACTCTTTGTCCCAGAAGAAGATATTACTTCATCCCTCAAGGTTGTCCACTGCAAACACAACCTTGGGAAATGGCCTGGGTGCAAAGCATTGTTGGCCTTGCATTCTTGGCATACTCAGCAAGATGTGTAGGATTGCGAGATACCTATGTGACAGTGTCCCTCCCACTATTTTCTCTCATTATCTTACTCTCTTGCCTAACCCTCCTCCCCTCCTGAAACCGTGGGGAAAAAGGAAATTCTAGTATGCGGTCTCAGATTCTTCCCATAGCCTAGCTCATCACACCTTTGAGGTCTGTGGCCTGAGAAGAACCCCCCAACACTCAGGAATTCTTATACCATTTCAGATTCTGAGAAATAAATGTCATCATCTCCATAATCTCTTCTATGCGCACCCAGGAGGTAAGTGGGCTGTTCCTGCTTCTCTTGGCTTCCTTTATGCCTCACTGCCCACAGTTTTCATCTCCTCCCGCTTGGTGTCTAACTTTCATCTCTGTTTGTTGTCTCAACAACACTCAAAACATCTTACCATACTCCATGTACAGATCCCCAAAAGTTCAGTTTTCCTTTTTTTTTTTTCCTTGCCCTGTCACCCAGGCTGGAGTGTAGTGGCGTGATCTCTGCTCACTGCAACCTCCACCTCCTGGGTTCAAGTGATTCTCCTGCCTCAGCCTCCTGAGTAGCTGAGACTACAGGCACGTGCCACCAGGACTGGCTAATTTTTTGTATTTTTAGTACAGACGGGGTTTCACCTTGTTAGCCAGGAAAAAGCTCAGTTTTCTTAGTTCTGTCCCTCATTGAGGAACTGTATCCATAGTTATTTCTGAGAAAACATTGAAGCAAGTGTTTGGTAAGAGAAAAAGAATTAACATTTACTGAGTGCCTACTAGGTACGACTAGATACTGTACAAGGCAATTTCACCTATGGTATATCACTTAATATTCACAATCCATAAGGTAGGAATTATTATTTTTTTCACATAAGAAAATAGACTCAGTGAAGCAGTTATCCTACCAACACCACAGACCTGTTGGGAAGAATCAGCAAGATGTAAACAGAGATCCACGTGGCCTATTGTACTACAGCACATTTGCTCAACCATACCAAAGGGTTTCCACAAGTCACACAAGTGATTTGCAAGTATTCCTCATTGCTCTGAGCTGTGTTACGATATATGAATGCCAAGGCAAACTGACCATTTGCCCAAAAGAAGATATTTGGCCTTCTTACCACACACACACACTCTTCTCTTGAATCAGAATTTTGGATCCAAAATAACTACACATTTTTGTTAACCATTTGCCCTTTTTTTTTTTCTCAGCTATGCTATGTGCTCTCTCCTATGTGACAATGAGGGGTGGCTGTGGAGCCACCTAAGGGCCTAAGGAGTATGTGGTTTCCAAGGTCTCTGGCCGGCGTCACAGGAAGTTAAACAATAAAAACAAAATGAGGACAAGGTCAGGCATCTGGGTTGATCACCATGAAGCTACCTGCAGCATTCAGTTCAGAAACAGAGCCAAGTTTCCCTACAGCTTATCACAGTTTCATGGTCAGGAGTAATCTATGAACAAAGCAGCCTGAGGGTCATTTGGAAGCTTCTGCTTAACTAAGGCAGAGAAGTTCAGAGCTCCCTGTAAGCCTCAAGTTTGCCGATCAACCCTTAACCCAGCTTCTGTCTTAGTTCCATTATTGTTGGTGTCTTCCGGGGATATAATAGAAAGTACACAGATTTTTAAATCAATGGATTTTAAAGCCTAGACCTATTCTATGACCTTGAGCAAATAATGTGCTCTGTCTTGCATGTAAGCCCCATAAGGACATAGACTATATCTGTACTCACAAATGCCAAGTATATATTAGGTGCTTGATCAACATTTATTTATCAACAATAAATTTCTCTGGAGGATACCTGTATTAGTCTGTTTTCATGCTGCTAATAAAGATATACCTGAGACTGGGTCATTTATAAAGAAAAAGAGGCTTAATGGACTTACAGTTCCATGTTGCTGGGAAGGCCTCACAATCATGGCAAAAGGCGAAAGGCATGTTTTACATGGCAGCAGACAAGACAATCTGTGCAGGGAAACTCCCCCTCACAAAACTATCAGATTTCGTGAAACTTATTCACTCTCATGAGAACAGCACAGGAAAGACTCACCCCCATGATTCAATTACCTCCCACTGGGTCCCTCCCATGACGTGGGAATTGTGGGAGCTACAACTCAAGATGAGATTTGGGTGGGGACACAGCCAAACTGTATCAATACCCACCTCAGATTGTGGTAGGCATGCAATGAGCTAATGCATTGAAACCTTCTGGCAGTGTCTAACTTAGTAGAGATTCTTAATAGCTGCTAGTCACCTGCGTCGTTCCTCTCCAGACAGCCTGATAAAGCGTGCTGAGGAAGGTACGAACACCTGCACACCTCTCTCTGCCTCTACCACCTTCCTCCTAAATTGAACAAGAAGCCAGCAGAAGACATTCACTTCTCAGAAGGAGAAGGCAAGGATGCAGGACCTTCTTGTTTGTCTATGTTTCAAGTCAAATTAAGGTCTTAAAAAGTACGCTTTAAAAACTGCAGTTCTTTAATAACGGGGGATTTGGAAGCACAAGAGTCTTTTATTTTACTAATCTCCCTCTGCCTCGGGGAATAGGTAATTCTGGCTCTACCTTAGAATCGCACTGGCTCAATACATCCCATTTTCTTCCAGGTTTAACTTTATAGAAAGAGTTCCCAACAACCATGACCACTGATACTCACTTCTTGGATCAGGTTAAATTCTCACCTGCCAGCAATAAGGCCACCTTTCTTTTCGTCACCCACGAAGTCATAATGGCAGCGAGTAAAAGTGATACCATATAAAGAAAGTTTAGAATACATCCTCACCTATTTGGTTAGAAAGTAAACCATTTGCAAGCTTGACTACTTTACCCTGATATTACTATTAAATTGCTGGTGAACCAGCTCACAGCTGACAACCCAGCTCACAGCACTGTGGTGAACACTGATAAATGATTAAGAACTATTGAAATCTTCAGAGTGTAGATAATACAAATTTTCGCAAAAAGTATTTCCTGACTGGATCTCTTTTGACCTCAGCATTTTTAAGTTAATTTGGAGAAATTAACCTAAAAAATTATTAAGAAAATGTAACTGACCTTTTTAAAGATGTGGGGCATTTCAATTTTTGTTCAGAGAAGGGTTTCATTCCATTAGCTTATGACAAACACACACACACACTCACACACGATATTGTCTTGTGTAACCTTACGCCTGCCAAGAGACAGTTTATGGCATTTGCTTGGCTTCACCACCAACCAGTTACTTGTACAATATATGTGGTTGGTGGGGCAGGAGCAATCCCAGAGTCAGGCCTTCTTGCAAAATGTTTACAAAAGAGTTAATTCAGCAAATGATAGGCCCACTATTTCTCCTAGCTCTATACTGGGAAGCTCCCAAGTTTAGTCACTCAGCTATCAAAGAGGAGATATATTCTCTGTCACTGTTCTTTCTCTATCTTAATATCTAATGCTCTTTGATCTCTCTGATTTTGACGTTCCCCAACCATACTCATTATTCATGGGCCATACAGAGGTAAGAAGGAAAATCTTTCTCCTTCATATTTAATCAGTAGCATTTCCGTGAGAAAAATCCCCTATAGTGGGGGCACCATGGCTTTATGCTGCCATTTATCAGATCTTACCTTGTGTGGGCATTATGCTAAGAGCTCTGTCTGCTTGGTTTCATTTAATTATCACAGCAGTCCTCTGAGTGTTTCCTAATAGATGAGGAAATGGATACTGATAGGTGTAAATGTCTTGCCCAGAGACGCCAGTGTCAGGCTCCAGAGCCCATGCTCTGTCTATGACCATAACGCTATAAAAGAAGGTAGCCTTGTTGCTGGAAAGGGGTCTCAATCCGGAACCCAAGAGAGGGTTCTTGGATATCACACAAGAAAGAATTTGGGGTGAATCCATGATGCGAAAGCAAGTGTATTAAGCAAGTAAAGGAATAAAAGAATGGTTACTCCACAGGCCCACTTTTATGGTTAAACAAGGGGTGGATGATATGCTGATGATATGCTAAACACGGGGTGGATTATTCAGGCCTTCCCTTTGTAGACCATACAGAGTAAACTTCCTGACATCGCCATGGCATTTGTAAACTGTCATGGCACTGATGGGAGTCAGCAGTGAGGACAACCAGTGGTCAGTCTCATCGCCATCTTGGTTTTGGTGGGTTTTAGCCAGCTTCTTTACTGCAACCCGTTTTATCAGCAAGGTTTTTATGACCTGTATCTTGTGCTGACCTCCTATCTCATCCTGTGACTTAGAATGCCTAACCTCAGGGAATACAGCCCAGTAGGCCTCAGCCTTATTTTACTCAGCTCCTATTTGAGATGGACTCACCTATTTGAGGTGTTTTGGTTAAAACACCTCTGACAGCCATTTTCTAGAACCATTTTCTAGAACTTACAGTGTTACTACAAGGAAATCATTGTCCACTTGTTCTCTCTGCTAAGGCTCAAACAAAAGAACATGAGCATAAGTTACATGGAAAGAAGAGTTGCTCAGACAAGTTGATCATGATCCCCTGAAACAGAAAGCTAGGGGATGGAGTGGAAGCTCCATCCTTCAAAGTGACTACAGGGCCAGGCGCAGTGGCTCATGCCTGTAATCCCAGCACTTTGGGAGGCGGAGGCCGTCGGATCACGAGGTCAGCAGTTCAAGACCAGCCTGGCCAACTTGGTGAAACCCCATCCCTACTAAAAATACAAAAATTAGTCGGTCGTGGTGGCAGGCGCCTGTAATCCCAGCGACTCAGGAGGCTGAGGCAGGAGAATCGCTTGAAACCAGAAGGTGCAGGTTGCAGTTAGCCGAGATCACGCCACTGCACTCCGGCCTGGGCAAGAAGAGCAAAAATCCATCTGAAGAAAAAAAAAAAAGAAAGAAAGAAAGTGACTGTAAGATGCCAGGTGCGATGGCTCACGCCTGTAATCCCAGCACTTTGGGAGGCTGAGGCGGGTAGATCACGAGGTCAGGGGATCGAGACCAGCCCAGCCAACATGGAGAAACCCCTGTCTCTCCTAAAAAACACAAAAATTAGCTGGGCGTGGTAGTGCACACCTGTAATCCCAGCTACTCGGGAGGCTGAGGCAGGAGAATCACTTGAACCCAGGAGGCGGAGGTTACAGTGAGCTGAGATCACGCCACTGCACTCCAGCCTCAGCAACAGAGCGAGACTCCATCTCAAAAAAAAGAAAAAGAAAAAGAAAAAGGAAAAGAAAGTGCCTATAAGAGAAACAGTAATTGCCTGTCTTTAGTGGTTAGGGAAACATAAGAAACTTTTTTCTTTCAGGGTTAAGTGACTCAAAGAGGAAATTTTAATCAAAGGAATTCTCATGGCTAAGATTTAATGTGGTGCTTTTTCTGTGTCAGACTCTATTCAAGTGCTTTATATTAGGTAATGGAACTGAGATCAGAAAAAATGAAACACAGTTTCTTCCTCTGAAAAATAAACTGTCTTCAAACTATTTTTAAAATTACAAACAACAAAGCTCCATTTCACAACTACTATCAGAATAATATTTCCGCTCCAAGGGCAATAAAAAAAATTGGTGAGGTGGAGATGGGGGAGAAAAAAGAGAAAATAATAAGTAAAGCAAAGGTAGGTAGCGGCGAGGAGGAAGTAAAGAGAATATGAAGGAAACATATTTAAAGGTGGGGAAGGGGAGACGAGAAAGAATCAGAAGGAAAGGACAGGAGAGAAACTGAAAGGTAAAGATAAAAAGCGGAACAGCTGAAGGAGAGGAAAGCTTTATACGATTATTTTTGCATCACGCTCTGCTATTCATTTAGGTCATAAGTGGACTTTAGGCCAAACTATCAATGGGTTCTGTTACAAGAAAACTTCAGACAAGTTAAATCTGATGGAGTTTAATTGAGCAAAAAAAATAAAAAACAATTGGTGAATTGGGCAGCCTCCAGAATCACAGCAGACTCAGAGAGACTCCAGGGGTGCCTTGGGGTCAGAATAAATGTATAGACAAAAAAGTAAAGTGACGTACAGGAATCAAAATCAGAAGTGAGGTACAGGAACAGTGGGATTGGTTACAGCTGGGGTTTGCCTTATTTGTACACAGTCTCAACACTTAGCAGTGTATGAGTGGTGGAGGTGTGGCCACTGGGATTGGCCAGCATTCAGCTATTGTTATGGTTGCATACTACTAAGTGAGGTTTTCAATCTTGTCTGCCTATTAAGCTAAGGCACTGTTTGTCCACAAGGACTCAAATATAGAAGTATGGAGTCCTTCTCCGGCCATATTTAGTTGGCTTTAACAGTTCTTTCCTTTTACAATGCCTAGTTAACTGTTCAACCATTGTTCACAGGTTTTCAATGTCTCTTATCAAGTTTTCAAACTCTTGGCATGAACTGGGGTAATACCAGTAGCTATCGGGAAAAGTTACCACACAGGCCACGCTGCAGATAGCCAGGGACTGTCGTTTTCACACTGAACGAAATCAAAATGAAAACAAATTGATCCTTAAGTCAGAAGTCACTTTAATATTCTCTGAGAAAATTGATTGGACTACATGGTTTACATTTCAGTTCAATGCCAAAAAATAAAATAAAATCTATCTACAAACATAATACTGTGAGAAGCATTCTCAATGGAAAAAGTCTATCCTTGGCTGGACTCTAGATTTCCTCTCTCTGTGGAGCAATCCCTTGCTACATCTGTTCCTCAAGCTAGTCAAAGAATCTTCCTTCTAGTCTAAAAGTTCTGTTGGCCAGTCTCATCACCTCCTCAAAGAAATTCTCTGAGGTGTTTCCTGTATCATAACAATGCGTGAAGTGACTCCTCTAGCCTCATTCATCTTGGCTTTCCATTCATCACTATGTTCTACCCCAGCTCAAGAAATCAGGAATAGTAGCACATTTTTCAAGTTAAGTTGAAAGTTTTCCAAGTTCCCTAAGTCTCCACAGACAACTTTACAGATTTGTATAACACAAAATGGAATTCTGAAAGCAGAGTGAAGCTGTTTGGAATAATCAGAAAGTCACCAGATGTTGCGGTTACAGGGCATATGAAATGCTTTCTTCTAAATGTGCATGTGATTAAATCTTGCGGAACTACTCTATCATTATAGTAATGGATTCTTTTCCTCACAAAGTTGCATTTTTTCTACTCAAAGTCTCTTTAGACTAAATGAATTTCATATGTGTAATCAAAACATTATGTATGTCATTGTACTTGGAGTTAATTTGAGCAATTTTTATTAAAAATTACCCACATGGTAAAACACTTTGAAAACACTTTCATGAAGGAGACTTTTTAAAGTTATTATTTTAAACATATCCATGCATCTTTGCTTTTGCTGCAGCATTTTTATTTTGTTTTTGTTTGTTTTACCAAATGGGTGTTCTTAGATACAACGTGTTTTTACATCAGTGCAGACATTATATTTTGATGTCGAGCAATAACTGGAAGGTTATGTATTACTATGCAGGAACATTTAAAACTTCAAAACTTACTAGAAGGAAAAGGAATTTACAAGTATATTTATTAACAAAAATGATGTTCACAGTACAGTAAGAACACAGGTTACAAAGAGGGTTAGAGTATAATTTTTATTTAAAATGTAATAGTAATATAAGAATTAACTATTATTGAGGATTCACTACAGGTAGGAATTGTACTAAGTATTTTGCATTGATTATTTCATTTTAACTTCATTACAATTTGGTACAGAGCTTGTACCGAATTGTAATAAGGATACGTTGTAATGTATGTGAGAGAATGCGAATTAAGGCAAAACAATATTAATTATTTTGCTTAAAGTCACACAACTTGCAACTGGATTTAAACCCAGTTAGTTTGGCTCTAGGGATGACTTGATCAACATGCTGTTCTGACTCGGGAGCTCTGGACTCAGACTTCGTGGGTTCAAATCCAGGCTATGCTAATTGCCAGTCATGTGATCTCAAGCAAGTTATCTAACCTCCCTAAGCCTCAGTGTCTTCCATTATGAAATGGAGAAAACAATAGCTGACTTATAACATGGTGCTGACATGTAGATAAAGTGAGAAAATCCATTTAAAGTGTTTAGCACAATGCTTGGCACAAAGTAAGGATTCAATAAATTTTCATCATCATCTTCAAATTCTGAAAGAATATACGGTCATGCACCACATAACAATGTTTTAATTAATGATGAACCACATATATGACAATGGCCCTGTAAGACTCTAAGATATAATGCAGCTAAAAAATTCCTAGCACCTAGTGATGTCATAGCTGTAGTAATGTCATAGCACAACACATTCCTCATGAGTTTGCAGGTGTAAACAAACTTACTGCACTGCCAGTTATATAAAAGTCTAGCATGTGCAATTATGTAACAGTAAATAATACTGATGATAATAAACTATGTTCCTAGTTTATGAATTTACTGTACTATTCTTTTTATTCTTATCTTAGAGTCTACTCTATTTATTAAAAAAAAAAAAGTTAACTGTGAAACAGACTAAAGCAGGTCCTTCAGGAAATATTCCAGAAGGCGGCATTGTTATCATAGATGACAGCTCTATGCCTGTTACTTCTCCTAAAAACTGTCCAGTGGGGGCTGGGCATGGTGGCTCACTCCTATAATCCCAGCACTTTGGGAGGCTGATGCGGGCGGATTGCCTGAGGTCAGGAGTTCGAGACCATTCTGGCCAACATGGTGAAACCCGATCTCTACTAAAAATACAAAAATTAGCCGGGGGTGGTGGCGCGTGCCTGTAATTGCAGCTACTCTGGAGGCTGAGGCAGAAGAATTGCTTGAACCCGGGAGGCGGAGGTTGCAGTGAGCCGAGATGGCACCACTGCACTCCAGCCTGGGTGACAGAGCAAGACTCCGTCTCAAAAAAAAAAAACTGGCCAGTGGGACAAGATGAAATGAAAGACAGTGATATTGATGATCCTGACCCTGTATAGGCCTAGGCTAATGTGTGTGTTTGCGTCTTCGTTTCTAACAAAAAAGTTTTAAACATTAAAAAAAAAAACCTAGAAAAATGTGTATAAAATAGGAATACAAAGAAAGAACGTATTTTTGTACAGCTGTACGATGTCTGTGTTTTAAGCTAAGTGTTATTAAGAGTCAAATTTTTCTTGAATTAAAAGGTTTATAAAGTTAAAAAGTTATAGTAAGTTAGGGTTAACTTACAACTGAAGAAAGAAAAATTTTATATAAATTTAGTATAGCTTTAGTGTACAGTGTTTACAACATCTACAGTAGTGTACAGTAAAGTCCTAGACATTCATATTTACTCACCACTCACTCGCTGATTCACCCAGAGAAACTTCCAACCCTGCAAGCTCTGTTCATAAGTGCTTTATATATGTGTACCATTTTTTACCTTTTATGCTGTGTTTTTACTGTACTTTTTCTGTTTAGATATGTTTAGATACAGAAATAGTTACCACTGAGTTACAGTTGCTTACAGTATTCAGTACAGTAACATGCTGTACATGTTTGTAGCCTAGGAGCAATAGGCTATGCCATGTAACGTAGGTGTGTAGTAGGCTATCCCATCTAGGTTTGTGTTAGTACACTCTACAATGTTTGCGGGATGATTAAGTCTCCTCAGGACACATTTCTCAGAATGTATCCCCATTGTTAAGCAACCCATGTCCATATGCCCAAATAGTAACAGTGGTAATATCTAGGAAATATAATTACAGAAAACTTTCCTTTTTTTCTTTTCACTTAACAGTGTGTTCTACTTTTTCTTTTCTTTTTTATTTTTTTGAGACATGGTCTCACTCTGTTACCTAGGCTGGAGTGCAATGGCACAATCTCAGCTCACTGCAACCTCCACCTCCTGGGCTCAAGTGATTCTCCCACCTCAGCCTCCTGAGTAGCTGGGACTATAGGTATGCGCCACACCATGCCTGGCTAATTTTTATATTTTTAGTAGAAACAGGATTTTGCCATGTTGGCCAGGCTGTTCTTCAACTCCTGGGCTCAGCGATCCACCTGCCTCAGCCCCACAAAGTGCTGAGATTGCAGGTGTGAGCCACCACGCCTAGCCTACTTTTTCTATGATAAATATATGTTGTGTGTTTAACAAAACTCCTGGTTATAAAGTAAAATTCACATTACTTAATTGTTGCATGCTACAAATAAAATAATATCTATAGAGAGAGGAGTCACAGTGCTGAACTTTTACCAATCACATACTGTATATCAGGCATCATCGTGGCTTAAAAAACACAAATATCAATAAGACATGGAATAAACTCTGACACAGTTTGCAGTACAGCAGGCAAAAATGACACGTAAAGGGAGAGCTTTCAAGACAACAAGGTAATATTTCAAGAGAGACATGTGCACTATGTTATATAAGCCCAGAAGGGGCTGGAAAGCTCTCCAGGAAGCAGGAGAAGGCTTTGCACTGAAGGGGAAGGGAGTATCAGTCCTTATGGCATCAGGAGATGTGTCCTCCAACTTCTCAGAGAAAAAAACTAATTATTAGTATAATATGTTAGAAATGTCAGATGTATCAAAATCAGCTGCATAAACTGTAAGCCAGAAGCCACATGTTTATATGGGACTAAAATTTACGAGTACCACATCTAAGGATCTGTGTGCTCCCCAGCAACCAAGTCACTGCCCAACATGCTCACAGGTAAGTCTAATGTCCTGAGTCCTGAGAATGAGTAGGAAATCTCCAAGTGGATAAGTGGGTCAAGAGCAGAGGAGACTTTTCTGACCAAAATAAGTTAGAGTAGAAGCAATGGCAGGGACTTGTTAGAGGAAAGGTTTGGAGGAAAAAGGAGAAGCTCACCCCATGAGAGGTATCCATGCAGGAGGAAAACTGGCAGGAAGTCAGGTGACAGGACCTACTCAAATTCCCAGAAAACAACAGTGAGAGAAAGGAAGACTCGGCAAGATAGTGGAGCCTGCATTGGATTTTGCGCTGATGGAGACATGAGCCTGTAAAATATGGATTCCTTATCTCATTTTCATACACTTACCACTCTCCAAGAGACCCGTATTTACCTGAAACTCACCTGATCTGAAAGAGTCAGCTAAGCCCAGGGATAACATTTGATTACCAATGGGGAAAGTCAATCTGATGTATTATTTGGATGCTGCTGCTCATAAATTGCCATTCTTCCAATTCCTGGAGACAGGCTATTTATTTTTAAAAATCAAACCAAGCTTTTATACTCTCTTAATAAATTAAACATAAAACCTTCAAAGTTGCCAGCTGACAAAAAATCTCAACATAACCATAAGAGTTGGAACTACATTAAAGGCCTGATACAAATCATTAAGACAAATGAGAACCCTCCCTATAAACTGAATGTTTGTGTCCCCCTAAAATTCATGTATTGAAACCTAATCTCCAATGTGATGGTATTAGTAGGTGGGAACTTTGGGAGTTAGGTTATGAGGTTGGGAGCCCTCATGAATGGATGAGCGCCCTTATAAAAGAGGCTCCAGAGTACTCCCTTGCCCCTTCCACGAAGGAAGGACACGGCAAGAAGATGGCAGCCTATCAGGCATAAAGCAGGCCCTTACCAGCCACCAAAAGCCATCGGCATCTTCGTCTAGGACTTCCCAGTCTCCAGAACTGTGAGAAATAAATTTCCATTATTTATAAGCCATCCAGTTTATGGTATTTTGTTATAGAAGCCTGAACAAGCTAAGACAATGCCCAAAAGTGAGATGTGTAAAAGTCATGGTCAAGTAATTTATACACAAAAACAAGGGCAAATGACAAATACACATACAAAGATGGCTATTCTTCTCTATAATAGAATAAATTCTAATTAAAACAATTAAGTACAATTGTTTTTTGTCAAACTGAAAAATACTTTTAGAATGAAAAAGCTAATATTATTGTTTAGGGAAACTTTCAGAACTGTTTGATAATAGGCACATACTTTAACCCAACACTTGCACTTGCACTTCTAGAAATGAATTTTAAGGAAATAGTTAAGGATATGCAAAATTTGTGGCAAACATATTCACTGTAGAGTAGCTCAGGCAAGGCATGGTGGCTCATGCCTGGAATCCCAGCACTTTGGGAGGGCAAGGCTGGTAGATCACTTGAGCCCAGGAGTTTGAGACCAGCCTGGGCAACGTGGTGAAACTCCATCTCTATAAAAAATACAAAAATTAGCTAGACATGGCAGCACATGCCTATAGTCCCAGCTGCTTGTGAGGCTAAGGCAGGAGGATCCCTGGAACCTACGGTAGGGGATGGAGAGCTGAGATGGGTCCACTGCACTCCAGTATGGGCAACAGAGAAAAACTCTGTCTCAAAATTAATTAATAATTAATTAAAGTTGTTCAAAAAACAATTTAGAAACAATCAAAATGTTCAACAATCAGTGATTACTTAAATAAATTATGTCATTTTTAACTTTTTATTTTGAAATCATGTTAGACTTACTGAACAGTTGTTTAATAGTACAGAAAACCAGCCAGGCATGGTGGCTCATGCCTATAATCCCAGCACTTTGGAAGGCCGAGGCAGGCGGATTGCCTGAGGTCGGGAGTTCGAGACCCGTCTGGCCAACGTGGTAAAACTCCATCTCTACTAAAAATACAAAAAAATCAGCCTGGCGTGGTGGCATATGCCTGTAATCTCAGCTACTCGGGAAGCTGAGGCAGGGGAATTGCTTGAACCAGGGAGGTAGAGGTTGCAGTGAGCCGAGATCACACCACTGCACTCCAGCCTGGGTGACAGAATGGGACTCTTCCCAAAAAAAAAAAAAAAAAAAAGGTACAGAAAACCCCCATATATCTTTGTGTTTGTTTTCTATTGTTGCTGCAACAAATTAACACAAATTTCGTGTCTTAAAATACCACAAACTTATTAACTATCAGCACTGTAGGTCAGAAGTCCAGCATGGATCTCACTGCGCTAAAGTCAAGGGCTGTGTTTCTTCCTGGAGGCTTAGAAGCAGAATCCATTTCTTTGTTCACTCAAGTTGTTGGCAGAATTCAGTCTCTTGTGGTTGTAGCCCTGAGGTCCCCATTTTCTTGCTGGCTGTCAGCTACAGGTCGTTCCCAGCTCCTAGAGGCCTCCTACATTCTTTGGCTCATGGACGCCTCCTTCCCTCTTCAAAGCCAGCAACCATAGGCTGAGACACCCCCACATTGAGAATCTCTGCTGCCTCTTTTTTCATCACATCTCTCTGACCAGCTCTTCTGCCTTCCTCTTCCACTTTTAAGGGCTCATGTCATTACATTGGATAATCCAGATAACCTCTTTTCAATTTAAGGTCCAGAACTTTAATTCCATCTGCAGTGTTCCTTTTGGCATGAAATGTAACATTCCACAGGTGCCAGGGATTAGGACATGGACATCTCTGGAGGAGGAGGGAGGATCAGATCACTATGCCTACTACAACCCTTCACTCAGCTTCTGCTAATGACAACGTCTTGTAAAATATAATTAAAGCCAACAAATTACCTTTAATACAACACTAGAAATTGAACTACCAATTTTACTCAAATTTTACCAGTTTTTCCACTAATGACCTTTTTCTGTTCTAAAATCCATTCCAGGATCCTACACTGCATTGATTGTCCTCTCTCCTTGGTGTCTTCCAATCTGTGGCAATTCCTCATTATTTCCTTGTTGTTAATGACTTTGACATTTGTGAAAAGTGCTGGTCAGTTATTTTGTAGAATGTCGTTAATTTGGGCAACATAGTGAAACTCCATCTCTACAAAATACAAAAATTAGCTGGGCGTGATAGTGCATGCCTATAGTTCCAGCTACTTGGGAGGCTAGGCAGGAGGATTTCTTGAATCTGATGTCTTGGCATGATTAGACTGAGGGTATTATTCATTTTGGGCAATAATACCACAGAAGTGATGTGCCATTTGCAGAATATCACATTAGGAAATATATGATGTTGATATGTTTTATTACTAGAGATGTTACCTCTGATCATTTGGTTACAGTGGTATCTGTTGGGTTTTCCCACTGCAAAGTTACTATTTTTCCCTTTGTAGTAAAAATATCTAATAAATAATAAATAATAATATCTAATAAGTACATCATGGGAGATACTTCAAAACCAAGCAAATATCCTCTTTCTTCTCAAACTTTCACCTACTAATTTTAGCATCCCTTGAAAGATCTTGTTTGAAGGAACAGTCACTGCATTCCACTGCTGATTTCCTAGATCCTCATTTCTTCTGGATTCATTTATTAATTGAAATTGTTCTGTAAAGAATAGCTGTCCCTTCTGTATTTTATTTACTCTATTACTTATTTATATCAGTTTGGACTCATGGATATTTATCCTATTTTATGGGTTATAATCCAATAATATGATTATTTGCTTTGTTGCTTAACTTGTTCCCACTTTGGCCATTGGGAGCTCTTTCAAGTTGGCTCCTGTGTCTTTTTGACAGCCTCCCGTCTTTTTCCTTCTACCTTTTTTTTAAGCTCTTCTTTACTCTCTGGCACAATAAGACGCTCAAGGCTCATCTTGTGTTTTCTCCACATCAGCTCTAGAATGAATCACTTCTCCATAGAGCTCTGATTCCTATCACAGCAAAATAGTACTTAGACACCAAGATCTGGGTGTTATATGAGCTCACTGTTCTTGAGAAAACATTACTTCTAGGCCTTCTCAATAGACGGAGTTTGGAAGTATATATGGGTATATTAACCCATTCTTATACACATTTTTTTAACCTTTCCGTGTGTGTGTGTGTGTGTGTGTGTTTGTGTGTGTGTGTGTGTAGATTTAAACTGATACCTCTGATTTCTAATTCTACATCAATGGTTTCTTCTAGCCTTTCTCTTACCTTTTTAGGTAACTGTCTTTTCTTTCTTTGTCCTTCTTTGACAGTGAGAAATCTGGTTTTTGTTTTCTACTATGTATTTGTTTATTTGTTCAATCTTAGTATACATTAAAGTCATCTCAGAATTGCCAATCCATAACCCTCTAGGAAATAAATTCACTAATTAGAGTATAGTATTTATATACAGTTCTTTTTGTCTTTAGCCCTACAGTGTCTAGCCAGAATACTATTAAAGAACTTCAGTTCA
The DNA here is from genome assembly GCF_000001405.40 of Homo sapiens. Taxonomy (NCBI): domain Eukaryota; kingdom Metazoa; phylum Chordata; class Mammalia; order Primates; family Hominidae; genus Homo; species Homo sapiens. The sequence continues at coordinate 15,095,194 of NC_000009.12, forward strand.
TTCTTTTCTTGACTGCTGCCTTCAATGTTATTTGTAATACAGTTAGGTTCATTTATTACTGTATTCCATTTGGATTCCCCCATATTCTGACTGATTTTAAAAAATATTTTACCTACAGAAAACTTCATTTTCTGTGACACACAGTCCTATGGATTTTGACAAATGCATAGTCCTGTATCTACCATCACAGTTCTGCTACAGGGAAGTTCCATCGCTCTAAAACTTCCTTCATACTGCCCCATCTAGTCAATCCTCACCTATTCCCTACTCTTGGCAACCACTTTTACTTTTTATCCTTCCAATTATGCCTTTTTCAAAATGTCACATGAATGGAATTATACAATGGTAGCCTTTTGGGTCTGGCTTCTGTCAATTAGTAAATGCACTTAAGGTTTATCCACATTGTTTTGTGAAACAATAATTTATTCTTTATTGCTGAGTAATATTTCCTTGTATGATGTTTCACAGTTTATCCATTTACCAATTGAAGGGCATCTGGGTTCTTGCCAATTTTTGTCAAGTATAAATAAAGCTACAGGTCGAGCATGGTGGCTCATGCCTGTAATCCCAGAATTTTGTGAGGCCAACATGAGTGGATTGCTTGAGCCCAAGAGTTTGAGATCAGCCTGGGCAACATGGCGAGATTCCACAAAAAATACAAAAATGAGCTGAGCCTGGTGATGCACAACTGTAGTCCCAGCTACTTTGGGGGTTCAGGTGGGAGGATTGCCTGAGCCCAGGAAGTCAAGGCTGCAGTGAGCTATAATCATGCCACTGCACTCCAGCCTGGGCAACTGAGCGAGAGCCTATCTCAGAAAAATAAATAAATAAAGTTACTATAAACATTTACAGTTTGCATACAGCTCTTTGTGTGAACATAAGTTTTCATTTCTTTTTGGTAAATATCTAAGAGTGGGATTGTTGGGTCATATGGTAAGTCTACATTTAACTGCATAAGTCTACATTTAACTGCATAAGAAATTGCCAAACTGTTTTTCACAATGATAGTACCATTATGTATTCCCAACAGTAACACATCATTTCAAGGGGATACTATATGGCCACATAAAATCTTGTAGATGAATACTGATGAACAAATAATATATTCACAAAACATTATGTTTAAAAAGCAAGCTATGAAACATTACCCAATGTGCATTAACATGTCATTTTTCTTCAAAAGTCATGATTTTAATTACTTGCATAATATTTCATTAAATGGCTACATCATTATTTTACTAATCCTCTGCTATTGAATATTCAGGTTATTTCTAATTTTTCACTAATATAAGTAAAAATATGATTAAAATTTTGTATATAAATCCATATACACACTTCTGGTTATTTTCTTAATAAATTTCCTTGGAAATGCAGTTACTGGGTGAGAGAAAAATCACTATTACCATTTTTAAGATACATTGCCAAATTCTTCCCAGAACTTCCTAACACAGCACCGCATTGTGGTATTTTAATTTAATTCCTGGTCTCTAACCCTTCCAGGTAATCCTCCTTCCCCTTCCCCTAGCCAATCCTCCACTCTTTCCCATTCCTACCTGGGAACTGGGCCTCCCCGCCTATCTATCCAGACTGACTTCCTCAGCAGATTAGAGGGAAGTTCTGCATTCCAGCGAAGTTCCCACTACAGTGATTAGTTCTGCACAGGTTGATCCACAAATTCCTGTTTTGGCAGCTATTCCACATCTGTTAACCTTCAACATGTCGCTCTACTCTCCCCATTTATTTTTGAATCATTAGTTATGATTTCAACTTATTTCATACAGTCAGTAAACTGACTATACCTCATAATCTTTGTTCTGACTTTTCAGCCAGCTTTGGATGTTTTACTGAGCCATTAAACATGTGGTTCACTTCAGTCTAAGCTGATGGTTTTCAGGTATTACATTTAAAGGCATCAGAGAGACATAAAGTATTAACAGTAATACCCAGAATCTCCACTGGGATCACTGATCAACCCTTCAGGGAAATTCCATATAAACAGCATAATTACATGTACTCACTTTCTAATCATAAGAGACTGGATAGGCTTCTGTTTACATGATTCTACCCGAGAAGCAGAAGAGAAGCAAAGATTTACCTAAAATTTTTCACCAAATACACTCACACACATCCGCACCTTCTGAATACTGAAGATTATTCTAAAGCAAAATATACCCACAGTACAGATGCAGGGAGGACCACGACCTCATAGGGAAGAATGGTGAAATACAGTTATACTTTAATATGGATTAGGGATATAGGCAAACCAAACCCTTCCTAAAGTCTAGATATGACTCACACACACCACCACCACACTCCCCCAACTTGGAGAAACCTGTGCTTCTCCGTGGAAGCAGAAAAACATTTTAGGGAATTACAGTCCGGGGAAAATGGCAAGGAAAAAAAAATTCCTTTATCATCAGTAAATAATTCTTACAATAACTTTGGAACAAATTTAGATTAAGCCCACAGAACATTTTAGTACATGCCTTCTAAGTGGCCAAGGGGAACTGCTCCACCAATTCTGGAACTTTTTTGCAAGAAGGCTGTGGGTAAGGTGCCCTCTGTGCAAGCTTAGAAACCCAGTGGGTACATTGACTTTGACCAAGCTAATGTAAGACTACAAGCCCCCACATTGCTGATGGCTTAATTACAACAGAATGTTGAGTCTCCATCTCCTGTCTGTAGAGGAAAGCTAGAGAAACACAGATAATCTAACAATGTTCAGATAGAATTTTTTTATTTTTTATTTTTTTATTTTTATTTTTATTTTTTTGTGAGACAGAGTCTCACTCTGTCGCCTAGGCTGGAGTGTAGTGGCGCGATCTTGGCTCACTGCGACCTCTGCCTCCCGAGTTCAAGTGATTCTCTTGCCTCAGCCTCCTGAGTAGCTGGGATTACAGGCGGGCACTACCACACCCAGCTAATTTTTGTATTTTCAGTAGAGATGGGGTTTAACCATCTCTACGGAAAGGTGGCCAGGCTGGTCTCAAATCCCTGACCTAAAATGATCCGCCCACCTCGGCCTCCCAGTATGCTGGGACTACAGCCATGAGCCACCACACCCAGACCCAGATAGAAATTTTGAAAAGCATAAACCAGTGAAATTGATGATCAATGCCCAGGAAAATTCTAGAACTGACTACTACTCAGAATTGAGGAAAATGTAAGAAAAAATAACATTGGCCAGGTGCAGTGGTTCACACCTGTAATCCCAGCACTTTGGGAGGCCGAGGTGGGCAGATTACGAGGTCAGGGTTTCGAGACCAGCCTGGACAACGTGGTGAAATCCCGTCTTTACTAAAAATACAAAAAATTAGCCAGGCATGGTGGCAGGCGCCTATAATCTCAGCTACTCGGGAGGCTGAGGCATGAGAATCGCTTGAACCCAGGAAGTGGAGGTTCCAGTGAGCCGAGACCATGCCACTGCACTCCAGCCTAGGCAACAGAGCAAGACTCCATCTCAAAAAAAAAAAAAAAAAAAAAAAAAAAAAAAAGAAATAAAGAAAAAATAGCAGCAGCATTATGAGACAATATAGGCTCACAAAAATTAGTCAGACTAGATCACTCTCTTTGACTTTTGTCAAAGGGCCCCAAGATTCATAGAATAAGAAAATGCCATAAAGAGACATAGAGGATTTTTAAAATATACATATCTGTGATCAGTAGATATTCTGTCCATTGACCCACTGAAGCACTTATCATATTTTATTAAATGTATTTGTATAAATGTGGCGCTCATTATTTTCTTTATATCCCTTCCACAATGCCCATGTATAGTAGGTACTCAAAAATGTTTGCTGAATTGATTTTAAATGATGCTATACTTTAATTTTCTTTGGAGATTCCAGTAAACTTTTCAATGAAAGGTTAGCATTTCAAGAAAAGATCCTAAAGATAAATGTGAACAAAGGGCTCTGGTTTTCTTTAGCAGACCAAAGGCAAATAGATTTTCCCTCTCAAGTTCCCAGAAGAGAGGAAGAAATCCATTTGTTGGTGCTCATAAAACAAACACTTGGAGTCCCATTAAATTCCGTTTGTCCTCAACTACTACCCATGAGCCCTTATTTTCAGTCCCAAAATCTGAATGGCCACTAACCCAACTCTTTTTCTCCAATGTCCTTGGAAGTTAATTTTTCAAAATAATAAAATTTAGCATGACCTGAGCTATACCAAAACAGTAAGAGAGCTGAGTAGTGAGAAGGAAGGCACATGATACAATAAGATTGGGTCTCACAAATCTTCTAAGAAATGTCCTTTCCTCATTTAGATAACCAGCTTGGTTAGTTTTTCCCTCATTTGCTTACGCTGTTTTAGACTGAAGTTAAGTATATGTTTACATTTCTAAAATGCTGTCATTTCAATAATTCCATCTCAGTACCAGAGAACACAAGTCTTGACTTTCCAACTGCCTCCCTGGTGCTTAAAAAATTTGTAGGAATTGAACTTTTAGAAAGAAAGAGAGAAAGAGAAAGAAAGAAAGGAAGGAAGGAAGGAAGGAAGGAAGGAAGGAAGGAAGGAAGGAAGAAAGAAAGAAAGAAAGAAAGAAAGAAAGAAAGAAAGAAAAGAAAGAAAGAAAGAAAGAAAGAAAGAAAGAAAGAAAGAAAGAAAGAAAGAAAGAAAAGAAAGAAAGGAAGGAAGGAAGGAAGGAAGGAGGGAGGGAGGGAAGGCAGGCAGGCAAGAAAGAAAGAAAGGAAGGAAGAAAGAAAAGAAAAGAAAAGAAAGAAAGAGGGAGAGAGAGAGAGAGAGGGAGGGAGTGAGGGAGAGAAAGAGAGAGAATTCAGGTCTCTAACTAAAAGGAAAGAGCAACTCTTCCTAAATGTTTAAGTTACAACATAAATTACAGGTAACTCCCACCATAAACACAGCTGCACTATCTCCTTTCATGACATTAATGACAAACACTGTTCCATCAGGATCTCAGGAAAAGCAACAGAAGTCTGCCTTTGTAGAAAGCAAATTAAAACAGTCCTGTTGGCATTCCACAAAACACAGCGCATTTGAAGATGTGGGCAAACAAACTAATCCCTCCCATCCACTCTCTCTGGCTTTAGATAAGTAGGAACATTTTTTTAAAACAGCTTCTAGATGAAAGGAAAGACTTTCCAGCTGGAATGGGAGCCTGTGTGTCAATGACAAACACATGTACCGAATGTCAACAACACAACCGTATGAAGCATGACAGGAAGTGCCTCAAATGACTCTTTCCAATGTAGGCCTGACTGGCCGTGCTGCTGAGACATTATTTTAAAGGGTCCACAGACACAGCTATGGAATGGGAGCCCCATACAATGAGAGACTGAGCTGAAAACTTCCAAGGAAGTAACAGAAAAAGTAGCTCATTCTTAAGTAACTGAGATAATCTCAGTGCCACTGAGACAGTTTCAAAGCTCCTAAGGACAATAAAAATAAAAATGAGGAGAAAATATTTTGCACTTATTTTTACATAGAGCTATGGCTTTGACATCTGTAAATAGAATAGAATAGCTAGAAATAGAAGGAGGGAGGGGGAATGGAGGGAAGAGGAACAGAGGAAGAGGGAATGATGAGGAGATAATCCTACCAAATCTTGGGTTGAGTCAGAATTTTAGAGCTGGATAGAACTTTAATGTTACTCAGTGGTTTTCAAGCCCAACTGTGCCTCAGAATCAGCTGGGGAACTTAGGAAAGGATGAAATAGATAAATAGACAGTCACCAAATCACTCATCTCCAGACTCTGATGGATCTGAGGTGTGCTAAGGCTAGGGTACGAGTTATTTTTAAGCTCCCGGGGGGAGAATTCTCTAGGAAAGTCAGGGTTAACAAATATTGGTCACACGAAGTATGTTCAGGGCTAAGAGACCAGGGGTTCAGGGTGCTATCGAATCACAGACAAGGAACCCCTGCTCCCATTTGACAGGCTGGAAGGACGACTGATGGGCTGCTAAAATTGAACCTTAAAGGATAAATTATCGGACAAAGAAAAGAGAGGCAAAGATGAAACTGAATAAGTAAGCAACGTACATATAGCATGCTAAGGAGTTTGGCAATTATCCAAAGACATTTAGGAACTGTTGCAAGACTTCGTACATGGAATGTCATGTACATCTGCTGTGTTTCCCTGCCAAGGCTCCCTTCCCCCTTCGGCTGATAACAGAACCAATTCATGAGGTTTCGGTGGGGCTGATTCTGTTCTCCAAGCTACAGCGGGTGGGTGTATTACCCAGTCTGGCCAAAGAGAAGGCTTAAGCATTAGCAAATGATTCAGGAATAGACCAGTGATCCTCAATGGGACCTTTCTGCCAAAATCACATGGGAAGAGGTTCTCTTTTTGCTGGATCTTGCAGCTGGTAGGGTCTCAGTGCTGATCTGCCAGTGGCCACCATAACCAACAATGCATATGTTTGAAACTCTGTGTCAAGCTGGGCCTGAAGTCAAACCTATCTCTTGGAATTCTCAGAGTTGTGGGTCAAATAAATCCCCTGATTTGTTTAATACAGTTTGAGCTGGATTTCACTCACTTGTAAACAGAAAAGCCTGACTAATACAGAAACACTATTTTATTTTAGAAAAGCTATGTTCACTGGAAGAGAATGGCATACCATTTGAGAGGCTACCGCAGTAATGGAGGGGAAAAGTAATGCAGGCCTGACCCAGGCATGAACAATGGGGGTGGTGAGGAAGTGGAGAAAGAGGGAAAGAAAGAGAGAGAGAAACTGCCTGACCATGGTGTTTGGAAGATGATACATAATAATTACAAAAAGAAATGATAGATGTGGCTAAGTGCAGTGGCTCACACCTATAATCCCAGCACTTTGGAAGGCCAAGGCAGATGGATCACTTGAGGTCAGGAGTTTGAGACAATCCTAGCCAACATGGCAAAAACCCTGTCTCTACTAAAAATACAAAAATTAGCCAGGCATGGTGGTGCGTGCCTGTAGTCCCAGCTACTTGCCAGGCTGAGGCACGAGAATCGCTTGAACCTGGGAGGCGAAGGTTGCAGTGAGCGAAGGTTGCAGTGAGCCACTGCACTCCAGCCTGGGTGACAGAGCAAGACTCTGTCTCAAAAAAGCGAATAAACAACAACAACAAAAAATGATAGATGTATGCATTCATTTGACAAATGTTTATTTTAATGCTTACAGTGTAAAATAGAAATAATATTTCATGAGGAAGTTGTGAGGATTTGAAGAGTCAATGCATATTAAAAGCATGCCAGATGGGTGCAGTGGTTCACACCTGTAATCCCAGTACTTTGGGAGGCCGAGGTGGGCAGATCACAAGGTAAATAGATCTAGACTATCCTGGCCAACATGGGGAAACCCCGTTTCTACTAAAAATACAAAAATTAGCTGGGCTTGGTAGCGTGCGCCTGTAGTCCCAGCTACTCTGGAGGCTGAGGCAGGAGAATCACTTGAACCCAGGAGGCAGAGGTTGCAGTGAGCCGAGATCGCGCCACTGCACTCCAGCCTGGTGAAGAGCGAGACTCCGTCTCAAAAAAAAAAAAAAAAAAAAGAGCATGCCTTTGTAGACATTGAAAATCAGGGTAAGTACCAAAGACAGCTTGCTATCATAGATATTTTGTTGGTATCTTTGAGTCTAGATTTCCAGTCATTTTCTATTCCAAATCTGTCAACAAGATATCATTATATATTGCCAGTAAGATATTAATAATGATTTTATAATTTGGAGGAAATCTGATATTAATACTTTTTAAAACAAAGTTTTATTAACTTAAGTTACCATAAAGTAACACCCCAGATTAAAACAACCAAGCTCAGCACAAATTATGTGTTTCTAGTGATTCTTGCAGATCTCATTTTTAAAATACGAAGGGAAAGACCATTCATGCCTGTCCATAGATGAATTCAGTAGCAGAAAATTAATGAACAGAAATATTGGATATTTATCAAAATAAAAAGACCAACTTGATATGAGAATAAGGCTATTAAAATTTTGAGGTATTCAAAGAAGTCTATTTCAGTGAAATACAGGCAATTACATATGATAGATAGATTACAAAGCCTAATGCAACGACTGAAAGAGACCCCAAGAGAACTAAGATTATCCACCAAGGACATAACATCAGTGATGGAGTCCCAAAAACCAAGTCTCCAGTTTTAAGTAACAACTTTCTACAAGTTTAATAAGCTATGCATCATTCTACATAAGCGAAGTTATTCTGAGGCTGACAGCATTAATGATACACTGCAACGTGGTACATATTGGCAGGAAATGTTTGCTTTAATGTATGCCAAGCCATCTCTATCATGCTGCTTGATGATCTGCAGAGTCTTAAATGTGATCTGTGTAGGGAAATACAAGAGAAGTTATTGTTTGCATCTATTTAGCCCCACATATCCTCTGTTATTCAGTAAGATATTGTCAGCCACTTCCTGCATGTGGACAGAAAGCCTTTATAGTCTGTGAAAATCTGTCCACAGTGTATTGATGTGTTATGTACACACATACACAAAAAGAAGTACAGAGGCAAAAACCAAAAAATATAACCTCCGAGTTTTAGCTGAATCCATCAGGGCTGTGCCATGCAGATAGATATTTCTACCTGGGGAAACTGAGTATTTTTTCTTGATGTGTTTCATTACCTCTTTTTCAACACTGCATGGTGTTCTAAATGTTATAGCCCTTCCACTGATTTTAGCTTCCACATAAAATGATCAGGAATCAGAATCCTTCACCAAGTTCATACAAATTCAGACCCAGATAATTTTAAGACAGCTTAATAGGTGTACTTCCATCTAGAGTACGAATTCTTCCACATCTCTGTCAATTGATTTCTCTGTCTCAGCTTAAATACTTCCGAAGATGGGAATCTCTCCAACCTATGCTATATTCTGATGATACCTTTGACATTTTGCTTTTTGATAGAACACGGTCTATCTCCTTAGATATTTCCTTTTAGGAGACATTCATTTCCTCCAATAAGCTGCTGACTAAAGAGGTGCTCTTCAAATCTCCCTTAGCACAGATGTCACCTTGATCTTGTGATCACCTGGATAGAGCTATAGGCAGCCTGATACATTCTCAGATCCACTGAAGCAGATCCTTCAGAATCCCCACTTCCTGGATATCAAATGAATCAGAGTTCTTTGCAGGTTTTTCTAGAAGCTTCCCCTATGAACTGCTAGAAAAATTGCCTACTTCTCCAGCTGTTCTCATTCTCCCTGGATTGAAAATTCTTTTCTACCTACTTGGTTCCACTCTCTAGGAGCCAAAGCCTCTTCACTATAGATTCCATGGAGAAACACTGATGCTCAATATTTTTTATCTTAATTCATGTAGTAGACATAGAGGCACTGTTTTTTAGCTGTAGTCAATATGACTTGATAATCACCTAGTGTTTTGATTCCTAAATGTCTGCAGAAGAAATAGGTGTCAGAGTGATGTTAGCAAGATGATGGACTAGGAAGCTACAGGCCCTTCTTTCCCCTACAGAGACACCAAGTTAACAACAGTATATGGACCAGAATGCCCCTGTGAGAACTCCAGAGACCAGGTGAGATGCTATAGCACCCAGGCCATTGTAAAATGAAGAAAGGATTCCAGAAAAGGGGTAGAAAGCCTTATGGCAGTTGGTGCACCAGTTCATGCTTCTGCACATTCACAGTATAGTATGGAGAAATTGGGAGGAAATCTTCAAACTGAGGGTCCTTCCTCAGAACAGAAACAAAAGAGCAGACTTTGCACTCAAAGTTCTGGCATGTAGGGGGGCTGTCTGAGAGTCTGGTTTTGCTTGACTTAGAGCAGAGGCAGGATCAGACGCTGCTGAAAACAAAGTCTAGCAGCACATTAGATGTGCAGTTCTACAGGCAGATGCCAGGGGGAGCAAGAGATCAGAAAAGGTTTGAAAGGTGCTTGAACAGATAAGTAGACTGACTGGTGACGGGTTCCACCTGAACAAATCCAGTATGCAGACTGTTAGAGGTGGGTGCTTTTTCAAATGCCCAAATCCCAGCCAAAAAAGAAAAAAATTTACAAGATGTACAAAGAAACACGGAAACATAACCCAATCAAAGGAGCAAACTAAAACTACATAAACCAACCCTAAAGAAATGCAGATGTATGAGTTATTTGACAAACAATTTAAAATAACTGTCATAAAGATACTCAATAAACTAAAAGAGAACAGATAGACAACTAAATGAAATCAGAAAAACAACATATGAACAAAATGTGAATATCAAACAGAGATAGAAGCTATACGAAGAACAAAACAACAATTCAGCAGTTGTATGTCAATAAATTGGATAACCTAAAAGAAATGGATAAATTCCTAGAAACACACACCCTACCTAGACTGAATCATGAAGACATAGAAAATCTGAAGAGATCAGAAACTTGTAAATTATTGAAACAGTAATCAAAAATCTCTCCACAAAGAAAAGCCCAGGACCAGATGACTTCACTGGAGAACTCTACCAAACATTTAAAGAAGAATTCAAGTCAATTTCAAGAGAATTCACATCAATTCTGAAACTCTTCCAAAAAATTAAAGAGGAACACTTCTAAGCTCATTCTATTAGGCTCTGATACCAAAACCAGACAAAGAAATTACAAGAAAAGAAAACTACAAACCAGTATCCCTAATAAATATTGATGTAAAAATCCTCAAGAAAATACTAGCAAACTGTTCAACAGCACATTAAAAGGATTATATGCCATGACCAAGTGGGACTTATTCATGAAAAGCAAGGAGAGTTTTGCATACAAAATTTAATCAATGTAATATACCACAATAACAGAATGGAAGACAAAAATGACATCATCATCTCAATTGATAGAGAAAAAACATTTGACAAGATTCAACACCCTTTCATGATAAAAATCATTCAATAAACCTGGACAGGAAGGAAACTACCTCAACATAAGAAAAGCCATTTATGAGGCCAGGCACAGTGGCTCATGCCTCTAATCCCAATGCTTTGAGAAGCCGAGGCGTGTGGATCACTTGAGGTCAGGAGTTCGAGACCAGCCTGGCCAACATGGTGAAACCCATCTCTACTAAAAATACAAAATTAGCAGGCGTGGTGGTGCACACCTATAGTCCCAGCTACTCAGGGGGCTGAAGCAGGAGAATCACTTGAACCTGGGAGGCAGAGGTTGCAGAGAGCTGAGATCCTGCCACCGTACTCCAGCCTGGTCAACAAAGCAAGACTCTGTCTCAAAAAAATAAAATAATAATAAAAGCCACTTATGAAAAGCCTACAGCTAACATTACACTCAATGGTGAAAGACTGAAAGCTCTTCTTCTAAGATAAGGAAAAAGGCTTAATAACTGCTCTCCCCACTCCTATTCAACATAGTATTGGAAGTCATAGCCAGAACAATTAAACAAGAACAGAACAATTAGGAAAGAAAAAGAAATACAGACGGGTGCAGTGGCTCACGCCTGTAATCCTAGCACTTAGGGAGGCCGAGGCAGGCGGATCACGAGGTCAGGAGTTGGAGACCAGCCTGACCAACATGGTGAAACCCCGTCTCTACTAAAAATACAAAAATTAGCCAGGCGTGGTGGCATATGTCTGTAATCCCAGCTACTCAGGAGGCTGAGGCAGGAGAATTGCTTGAACCCAGGAGGCAGAGGTTGCAGTGAACCGAGATCATGCTATAGTACTCCAGGCTGGGTGACAGAGCGAGACTCTGTCTCAAAAAAAAAAATAGATAAATAAAGAAATACAAGAAATCCAAATTGGAAAGGTGTTAAAATTATCACTGTTCACAGATGACACGATTTTATATGTAAAAAACTCTAAAGATTTCGCACCAAAAGAAACCTTGTTAGAATTAATAAATTCAGTATAAATTGCAGGATACAAAATTGACACAAAAAAACCCATTGTATTTCTATATACTAACAATGGACAATCTGAAAAGGAAATTAAGAAAACGATTCCATTTATAATAATATCAAAAAGAATAAAATGCTTGGGAATAACCTAACCAAGGAAGTGAGAAGCTTATACATTGAAAACTAGAAAATATCACTATTACTAAATGAAATTAAAGTTGACACAAATAAATGGAAAGGCTCCCAGTGTTTGGGGATTGGAAGATTTAATATTGTTAAGATGGACATACTACCCAAAAGCAATCTACAGATTCAAAGCAATTCTTATCAAAAAATACAACAGCATTTTTTGTAGCAATAAAAAAATTCATCTTAAATCATCTTAAAATCAATATGGAATCTCAGGGGATCCCAAAAAGCCAACACAATTTTGAAAAAGGAGGAGATATTTGGAGGACTCATACTTTTGATTTCAAAACATACTACAAAGCTACAGTAATCAAAACAGTGTGATACTGGCATAAAGACAGACAATAGACCAAAAGAATAGGATAGAGAGCCCAGAAATAAATGCTCGTATATACAGTCAAATAATCTTCAACAAGGGTGCCAAGACCACTCAGTGGAGGAAGGACAGTCTCCTCAACAAATGTTGTTGGGAAAATTGAACATCCACATGCAAAAGAATAAAAATGGGCCCTTATCTTACACCATACACAAAACTTAACTCAAAATAGATTGAAGACCTAAATGTAAGACCAAAAATAATACAATTCCTAGAAAAAAAAATCTTCATGATTAGGATTTGCCAATAATTTCTTAGATATGACACTAAAAGCACAGCCAGCAAGAGCAAAATAGGCAAATTGGAATATATCAAAGTTTAAAACTTTTGTTTATCAAAGGACACAATCAACAGAGTGAAAAGGTAACCCACAGAATGGGAGAAAATCATTGGAAATCATAGATCTAATAAGGGGTTAATATCCAGAATATATAAAGAATTCCCACAACTCAGCAACAACAACAACAAAAATACAAATAACCCAATTAAAAAATGGACAGGCCAGGCACAGTGGCTCATGCCTGTAATTTCAACACCTTGGGAGGCTGAGGCAGGCGGGTCGCTTGAGCTCGGGAGTCTGAGACTAGCCCAGGTGACACGGCAAAAAGCCGTCTCTACAAAAAATATAAAAATTAGCTGGGTGTGATGGTGCACACCTATAGTCCCAGCTACTCAGGAGGCTGAAGTGGGAGAATCACTTGAGCACAGGAGGTTGAGGCTGCTGTGGGCCGAGATCACACCACTGCACTCCAGCCTGGGCAACAGAGTGGAACCCTGCCTGAAAAAGAAAAGGTGGGTAGGGGTAAAGGATTTGAATAGACATTTGTCATAAGATGACATACAGATGGTCAACACACATGTGAAAAGATGCTCAGCATCAGGGAAATGCAAATGAAAACTTCAATGAGGAGATCACCTCACACCCATCAGAATGACTACTATTAAAAAAAATAGTAAGCGCTGGCAAGTGCTATGGTTTGAATATTTGTCCTCCAAAACTCATGTTGTAATTTAATCCCCAATGTGGTAGTATTGAGAGGTGGAGCCTTTAAGAGGTTATTGGGTCATGAAGGCTCTGCGTTCATTAGTGGATTAATGGACTAATGGATTAATGGGTTAGCATGGGAATGAGACTAGTGGCTTTATAAGAAGAGGAGGAGAGACTTGAACTAGGATACTCAGCTTCCTTGCCAGGTGATGCCCTGTGCCATCTTGGGACTACAGAGAATCCCCGTCAGCAAGAAGGCTCTCACCAGATGCAGGCTTTTGACTTTGGACATCTCAGCCTCCATAACTCTAAGAAATAAATTCCTTCCAGCCTGGGTGATGGAGCAAGACCCTGCCTCCAGAAAAAAAAAAAAAGGAAAAAGAAATTTCTTTTATCCATGCAGTTTTAGGTATTCTGTTATAAACAACAGAAATCAGACTAAGATAGCAAAACATGGAGAAATTGGAACCCTTGCACATTGCTGATAGAATTGTACAATGATGCAACCACTATACAAAACCATATGGAGATTCCTAAAAAATGTTAAGATAGAACTGCTATATGAGCCAGGAATCCCACTTCTGGGTTTATATGCAAAAGAATTGAAAGTAGGGATAGCCAGGTGCAATGGCTCACACCTATAATCCTAGCACTTGGGAAGGCTGAGGCAGGAGGATCACTTGAGCTCAGGAGCTCAAGGGCAGCCTGGGCAACATAGTGAGACCTCATCTCTACAAAATTTTTAACATTAGCCAGGTATAGTGGTGCATGCCTGTCCCAACTACTGAGGAGGCTGAGGCTGGAGGAAACTCCTTGAGCCTGAGAGGTTGAGGGTGCAGTGAGATATAATCATGCCACCGCACTCCAGCCTGGGCGACAGAGCAAGACCCCATATCAAGAAAAGAAAGGAAGGAAGGAAGGAAGGAAGGGAGGGAAGGAGGGAGGGAGGGACAAGGAAAGGGAAGGGAAGAGTCTCGATGAGATATTTGATGCCCATATCCACAGCAGTACCATTCAGAACAGCCAAGAAGTGGAAGCAACCCAAATGTCCATCAACTGATGAACGAATAAACAAAACATAGTATATACCTACAATGAAATATTATTCAGCCTTAAAAAAGGGAAGTGGTGTCACATGCTACAACATGAACGAACCTTGTGGACATTATGCTAAGTGAAATAAGCCAACAACAAAAAGACAAATAGTATATGATTTTACTTACATAAGGTACTTAGAGTAGTCAAATTTATAGAAGCAGAAAGTAGAATGGTGGTTAACAGAAGCTAAGAGGAGGAGGAAAAAGAGTTATTTAATGGGTATAGAGTTCAGATTTGTAAGATAAAAAAGTTCTGGAGATCTGTTTCACAATAATATGAATATATTTAACACTACTGAACTGAACATTGTTTAAATTGTTAAGATGGTAAAGTATATGTTATGTATTTTTTTTACCACAATAGAAAAAAATTCTGTGGAGACCTTCAAGAACCTAATGAAAGTTATGCCCCTAACCTTGCCAGAAAAATACATAGACATTGTATATAATTTCAGGGAGTCAAAGGACATCCACTGGGAGAGATGCATAGGTAAGAACTGCTAGGCTAGGCTAAGCTTTATACTTGAAAGATAAGAAAAATAAGGAACAGAGAAGGCAAATTATTTTCTCCAAGATCTCATTGCTCAACAGTAACAAAGCTTGCTTTAGACCCCGGGTATTCTGATTCATGATCTGGTGCCTTTTCTACCGCTGCATGTTGCTTCTTATATTGGGGGCTATATAACCACTAAAAATTGGGCAAAAAGTCGAACTGAAATTCATTTGCAACAAAGGCCTCAGCTGACCCTATGAGGAGCTCTGGAGCTGAGAAGGCCAATCATAGTTGTCTGAAGTTGGAGAGGGGCTAGAAAGTGGGATCAGGAGTCTGGTCCTTCTTTCTTACCCATTAGCCAGTCAATAAATGCAGCTGCTCAGAAGGCATGTGACCTTGGGCCAGGAAGATCTCTTCAGGACCTCAGTTGAGACCCATCAGTCATCAATACTCCCAGCAGGACAGTGGGATGTATACCTGGATCCTGGGGAAGGGGGAATTTGGGCAAGGCAGGATTACTTCCAATACAGTGGGTATGGGAACACTTGCAACAAGCCTTCTCTTCCTTTTCAAATAACCTCAACATTTTAAAGTCATATTTTCCTCTTGTTTCTTCATGCTTCTTGAAGAACTAAGGACAACCCATAGATTATCAAGAGCAGAAAGAATGCAGCTATGATGACTCAAGCTTATCTGCGAGGCATCTGAGGACTCCTCTAAACACTGTAATGACAATTGACCTTGACAAAATTGGGGAGTCTGTTTCCGAAAATAGTCTCTGGGGGATCCCAAGAGTAATGGGATGAAATTGATCGAGCAATGCACTGCTTCGCTTTATAGGCTTTCCATTTGTCACACAAATTATAATGAATACTTATTGCTTGATTTACATTTCGGCCTTCACACTCTTTGCAGCTCCTGCCATGTTTACATGCACCATCTGGAAGAACTAATGAGTCAAGAAGCACCAGAAATTATAATTTGCTCTGACTAAACCTAGAAGATTTTTACTGGCAATAAAATGATTTTGCTTTTTATTTCCCCTGGAATTGCAAGGAGATTAAAACATGAGTTTCACTGAGTTTAGGGCAGAAATATGCAAAGCAAATTTTAATAGAATGAACCTGCAGGCATCTGGCATTCCTTATCAATTCAGAATAATTTAGTCATTATAGCAACAGTCTCATGATAGAAAGTCTCCTCTGACACTGGAATTCTTAAAAATGATTACCTAGCCTGTACTCAAATGTCACAGTGGGTCTCAGTGGGCATAAGAGGGAACACACAGGAATGCTAAGTAGCTTAGAGTTTAAGAACTTGGTCTATGTCTCCCATGGCCTTACAGCTCACATCTGGCATTTATGATTGATATGACACTGGACAGGTCACCTAACCTCTTTATATATGAGGTACTTTGTATACAAAACAGAGATAATAATAGGAACCATATAATGGGGTTATTGTGAGAATTAAATGAGATAATAGAAGGAAATTACACTAAACTTTAGGCATGATACTAAAGCACTCAATAAACAGTCACAGTTATTTCCCAAAAAATAAATTACTCTTTCAAAGGAAATTTAGTCTCTCTTGGGTCAGAATTGCCCTGCATAGAGAGTAACTAAGGATAATATGGATGAGTTAATTAAATACATCCATAGTTTAGTCGAAGTGTTCATTTTTATTCCACGACAGAGTGTGAAGGAGTTAGCCCTGGCCTAGCAAGGCTAGGTCCAATGGACTCTAGGAAATGTAAATGAAGATGCAGATGGGGTCAACTACTTGGAAAACATTTCACATTCTAATTCTTCCTAAAAATTAAATTTAGAAAAGGAAATAAATGACTGTTCTAGTCATTTCTGTTGCCATAGCAAACATCTCTCCCACTGGCAAAGTGAAGGAAAGAGGTAAATATTACGACTACCCAGTAAATCCAAAAGGACATAATTATAATCCTTGAAAGGCTCTACTAAAAATAATGTGTTCAATTTAGCATGCTGGAATTAATGTAATTTGTACAGGTTTTATAAAATAGTATTTGTTATTTCTGTTTATAAAACAGAAAATTTTGTATTGTAGAAGATTAATAAACTACATTAAACTTCTGAAGAAGATAACAAAAATCACCCAAATTCTACAACTCAGAGATTAAACACATAATATTAATGGGTTTCCTTCTAGTTTATTCCTATGCACAAATATGTTGGGTTTTCTTTTTTCAGAATTATGATCGTACTATCTGTTCAATGTTTGACCCTACTAAGATTTACTGTTTAAAAGTAAACACTTTCTACTGTCATAGTTTTTGAAAATGTGATTTTTAGCAATGTGTAATATCCTCTTATATAGATTTCTTGTAGGAATCATTAGTGATTTTTAACTTTTTACTTTAAAAAATAAAGCTGCAGTAAACATCTTTGCTCATTAATCTTGCTCCAAATCTTTGCTTTTTTAAGATAGATTCCTAGAAGTGGAATTATTACAAAGACTATATTTTAAGCCAATTAATGCCAACCAATTGCTTTCCAAAAAGACATAAGATGATACCCACTTACATTTTTATCAGCAATGCATGAATACTCATCTTACCAAACCTTCGCCAGCACCAAATTTCTTAACTCCTAAAATGGAAAAGTGTACTTCACACAAAATAATTGATATCTTGACAATAAGGTTATTTTGTCTACTTCTTGGTTAAAATTTGAATATTAATTTATGATAATTCAGTCAAAGTTAGTTATTATATAATCTCTATTACGGTCAGTCTTGTGGTTGAATTGGTTGTGTATTCCTTTATCTGTTGCCACCATCACTGGTTTACGAGCCTCTGGAAAGCAGCAAGGGATATTATGTACCTCCCACACCACCTAGAACAGTATCTTGTACACAGTTCATGTTCAACAATTATTTGTGGAGTGGAATTGATTATGCTATCTAGCCTTTAGGAATATGTCAGCCAATCTTGGGAAAGGGTGAGATATAGATTTCAATAGACAGATGCCTATCTTCTAGTCACCATAGTTTTGTTAAGATCAGGGAAAAATAAAAACAAACCACAGAAAACCATCTTGGCAGTGACAACACTGGCAAACCTTATACTAGATCAAGATCTTTCAAATTTTTGGCCCTGACCCAGAATAAGAACATTTACATGACTCAGCACACACATACATCTATAGAGATCTATAATTAAAATAAACAGTTTATTCTTCTCTATGCTACCTGTGAAATAATCTACTGTTTCCTTTTCTATTTCAATGTTTAAGAAATGTTCAATTTTTAAGGAATTTTTAAGGACTAAAGACAACATTTCCCAACTCCTTTGTAGGACCATTCACAGGTTACAAGAATAACCAAATTATTTCACAATAGATGGTTTGGAAAACAACTCATTTGAGCAAGATCATAATTGACCACTAGTCCTGTGGCAGCCTTATAGGCCAGCTGCTTCCATACCTATCAGAGGTTGGGGAGACCTTCCTTGGCTTTCACCTTTTCTTTCCTACACATGCAAGTCTACAGAGGCTGCCTTGAACCCATAAGGTCCCACCAGTGGGCCCTTGTTTTCTTAGACTACAGCTCCAGGCAACAGTTGGTAAACCTACACTAGTGTTGCAGACTGACCTGTGTCTCAAGGAAGTTCAATGTGAATAAATCTTTAATTGTTAAATGTAGAACTTGTACAATGAAAATAGACGGCAATATTATAATCAACTTAAGTGGATGAAAACACTTAGGAAGGAGGAATAGATTTCACATTTAGTCCTCGGATTCAACTGATTTTCTCTAGAAATCAGAGCAACTCAGAAATATGACTTCAGCTTTTTCAAATTCCAAATGTGAGTTTTCATCACAGGTTGCTGAAGGCCACAATAGTTTTCACAAGGTTGAAGAAGCTGCCTTTTTCCTTCTTAGAAGCTCTAGCAACCATTTTCTGACCCTGAGATTCACAAGCAATCAACACCTCTACTAATTTCCAGAAACTCGAGTCCCGAATCATGGCATTTCTGATAAAGGCTACAAATGAGGCAATTCTTGATAAGATGAAGGGGGAAATAGCAAAGACTCACAGCGTGCAAGGTCTCCAATACCCTCACAAACCCTCCAAGTCCAGCTCTTCATGCCAGCAGAGAAAACTCTAGGTTGACGCAAAATGCAGATCACTTTGCCCTTGTGATACAGTCAATCATCTCCTGGGGATAGAGCTATAAAACAAATATACTAGCTAAAAACAATTGTTTAATAAAAACTACCCTAACAAAAGACAAGCATCCAAGTAAACCTACTACTTTACTCATAGTTATTTGAATAGTTATGTCCTAAGTACCATATTAAAAGTCTTACAAGAATTATCTCATTTTCCAGATGGAGGAGATGAGACACAGAAGATGTAAATAATTCATCTGTGCAAGAAGGCAGTTGTCTCCTAAAATCTATTATCCTCTTCTTATTTTAATAATAAACCTCTGAGTTTTAGCTGGGCACATAACCACCAGACTAAAGACAACATTTCTCAACGCCTTTGTAGGACCATTGTCTACAATGGCATTGTCTACTATGGCAGCTTGAGCTGCCATAACAAAATACCGTAGACTGAGTGGCTTAAGCAACAGAAATTTATCTCTCACAGTTCTGGAAGCTGGTAAGTCCAAGATCAACGTGTTGGCCAGTTTGGTTCCTGGTGAGGGCTCTCTTCCTGGCTTGCAAATGGCAGTCTTCTTGCTGTGTCCTCTCACAAGGCAGAGAGAGATGGAGAGACAGCAAACTCTCTGGTTTCTTCCTAGAAAGGAGCTAATCCCATCAATAAGGACCCCACTCTAATGACCTCATGTAAACCTAAGAACCTCCCAAGGTTCCACCTCCTAATGCCATCACTTTAGGGGTTAAGGCTTCAGCATATAAATTTGGATGGTGGACACAAACATTCAGTTCATAACAGCCATAGAGTTAAGTCTTAGGCAATGGGCTGTGACTGAAAGTGACCCATTGACTTGTCCCATAAAGAGACATGCTCTCCACTTCTCTTCTTTCCTTCCCAGTGGCTGAGATGCAGATTTGGTGATGGGAGCTGGAGCTCTGCTTTGGACCACAAAACAGATGCTGTGGGTTGAAGGTGGAAGAGCAATGAGAAACTAGATACTGTGAGGTTGTCACATAAACCCTAATGTGTATAGGGTGATACAAACCTCTATCCTATTGGAGCCACTTTACTTTGGCCTTTGCTACAACAGCTGAATCTGCATCGTAACTAATTCATTATCCAGGTCGCAACACTGATAAATAACAGAGCCTGTTATTTGAACTCAAATCTGTGTAAATCCAAAGCCCAGTCTCTTACTGACTATACAGTACTGCCTGCAAAAACCAAAAGGTTAAAGTATAACAAAAGGAGGTCAAGCTGACACCCAGAGAAAGTGCTAAATGCAAAATAATTTTAGCTCTTTGAGGTCTGAAACAAGCCTGTGCCACTTACACTAAAAGTTCACGTGTCCCAATTGTGAATAAAAACACTAATAAACATTCGGAAGAATGGAGGAGCATGCCGCAAAACTGAACTACCCAAGTACAATTCTGACAGTGGCAGATAAGGGCTGGATTCAGGTTTACTGTGGGAAGCAACAATTGTAAACCACCCACGGTGATAACACCATATCAGGGACACTTCCCAGTTGAAGTCCACTGTGGTAGCACCAAGGTTCTTTGGTTGTGGTCACCTCTCACCCCACTCACCTAAGGCGTTTCTAAAGCCCAGCTCCCAGTAGCACCCTAGAGCCTGAAATTGGAGAGCAGTCACTTGGAGATCTACACTGTGAATGAATCAGGTCTGGTCCTACAGGCTAGCCCACTCCGAGAACCTAAGCAGGCATTTCCCCCTCAGCAGGAAAGCCTCCGTTTCCATCCCAAAGCCGCTCTGGGAACATTCATTTGATTTAGTTGAAATGGACAAACAAAACCTAAATCATCTGGTTTTAGACCTGAAAGATTTTCAAATCCAGCAAGTAAGCACTCTTTACGCGTTTTTCTATCTACACCCCACCCCTGCCGATGCCCTCACCACCTCCTCCCTGCCACCTTGTGACACAAACACTGTGAGAAAGCACTTTAATGCAAACAGGAGGATTGTGAAGAAACTGTGCCTGTTTCTTTCATTTCTGAAGACATTACTAAAATCCATTCTGACCCAAATGCAGAGCTAGGGGCCACATCTCACAGCCAAGCAACAAGGATTCCAAGCCAAAACAGCCCCAGCTTTTTGTGACTGTGGAAGAATGTAGTCCAGAAATGGTTTCCAGCCTGCCCAGTGGCAGAAACCGAAATCCGACACCCCAGAGAGAGTCCCAATTCCCTGTAAACAAAGAAGGGAGGAATCGTTTACTACAGCCACTGAAGTCTTAATGTAAGGCTCCAAGTATGTCAGGCACACCAAACAAATTTAGCTTCACCACCTGTTCCGGAAAAGAAACGCCCAGCCAAAATCCCCCCAAAAGTGCACAGATATTCTCAGTGTGGATTAGCTGGGAGTCTTTTCAAATATATTCTATATTAGAGTTTGTAAACTGGGCACTTGATGTATACCACATGGCTGCCGCGTAAGACGTGAAGTTTTTGTTCTGTGCCTCAGAAAATCACACTCTTTTGCTCCATAGTTTTCAGATAAAATTTTACAAAATGGTAAGAAATCCTAAAAAAGAAAGAAAAAAGAAAAAAAAAGAAGAAAGGAGCTTACAGTCTTATTGGAGGAAAAACACACGTACTTGAAAAATTCCATTATCTAAGAGGTATGCAGACAGTGTGGTTAATTGCCAAAAAAAAAAGTGGGCTAGGTGATAATTGATAAAACACAGATGTGTAAGCATGTCAGGGCCAAGAGGTATAAAATGCCATTGTATAGACAGGTGACAGAAAAGTAATGCCTCAGTTAAGCCATGCAAAGGGTCAAAAAAATAAAATCAGGGCAAATGCCAAAATCTAGTTCCACTCAACATTTACTTGCAAAGCACCTTCTAGTCTATGGATTCTGATAGATCAAATTGAGAATGCCTGTAAATTGTTTAGGAAAATGCCAAGCACCTGCTAAACTTTCAACAAATGCTCATTGCTCCAGTTGCTGTTAAGACAAAACTACGCACCCAGGGTATGCTGCACCTCCCATGAACTTGCTGAACTTCTATCCTTCCTTTAAGACTCAACTCAAACCTCCTCTCTGAAGCTTTCCTTGGCCCCAGGTCCCCTCCCCAGGCAGTGTTAGGAGCCCCTTTGTCAGTGCTCCCAATGCACAGTCTTATATACACAGTCCCCCTAGAGATCCAGGAAGAACTTAAAAGTAAGGCACAAAAACTATATATCTATGAATCTAATGTCTACTTTGAAGCATTCTTGAAGAATGAATGAGCGCTGAGTGCTAGAAGGAAAGAAGGCAGGAAAACAGGTCAGTGAGAAAACCTGAATATGCCCCAACCTCACCAATCTCCAGATACATATGAGGTCTCACCAACATTAAATCTCAGTGTGAGAGCAACAGACCTACTCATATTACTGACACAGGAACCCAATCCTTTCCAAAATTGCCCTGAGTTTCTTCTGAGGTTCTCCAGAAAGTGTTTCTCAGGTGCTCACGAGTCAGTTCTGCCTACCACTCCTCATTTTCCTTGGGAACTCTGAGCCCACTCTTTGCCCCATAACACCACTGCCTCTACAGCTGTACCATAGCATTGGGAGCAGCAGCTCTGCCCAGGCCCAGATCCCTGCGGAGTCGCCCAGGCACAGGCTCTCTTTTCTGGCTGTGCGTCAACAGCTGGACTGTCCCATGAGAAATTAGAAAGGAAAGGTACGCGCTCTATCCACCACAGAACTCAGGAAATGGACTGCAGCTGAGGGTGGGAGCAGGCTAAATCATCAGATAGCTGAAATGGGATTTTCAGGTAACACACACAGCAGCCATTTCTCTCCTTCCCCACTGGGTGCCCATGGGTATCCAGAAAAGCAGAGTTAGAGTGGGAGCAAGTGCCAGAATCCTCAAGCCCTCCTGCTGAGTCTGAATGGGGGTGGTACCCACTCCGCTTCTTTCCCCAACAGGAAACTCTCGAAGGGTCCTGCCTCAGGGTTGTTTTATCCACTAGCTGCTCTAGACACAGTGCCTGTGGCCTTCCAGCTATTCAGTCAACAGCATATGAAAATGGTGAGACCTACTATAAAAAGTATTTATTCCAAAATTTTTTTAAAAAAATACATAATTGAAATGAATAAATATTTATCTAAAATGATTATCAAATGTAACATTACATCAACTCAAATACTATTTCCTTAAGGACATTCATCACCATAACGTGGGTGCATTTGCATTTGTTGGAATGATATGGGATGGCGTCTCCAAAAGTAAGATCCCTGACAGCCTCTGTAGTCAAAACAGGTGGCTCCTCCCTGCAGTCTGGTTTCTCTGACCGTCGTCAGCCTCCTAACTCTGCCAAGCCTGTCTAAAAAGACTGCAACCCGATTATAGGTACACTTCAATTTTCAAAAAAAATTGTTATAGAAATGTTTGACTATACAGAAAAGAATACTATCAACCCATATGAAGCACTCAAGACCCAGCTACAATGTTCATGAACCCACAGCCAATGCATACCTCCTTTCCCTCCAGCAAATTCCAGATATTGTATCATTTCATCCATAAATATTTGATATATATATTTACATATATATAAAATCTTTAAACCTTTTTCAACCTACATACAATAGTATTATCATACCTAAAATACTGTAATTAATAATTTCTAATACCATAAAGTATCCAGTAAGGATAGAATCTAATTTTTACTTCTTCCTTAGCCTTCAGGTAAGTCAGTCAATGGAAGTAGTTTGGTTTTGTTTTTGTTGCTGCTGTTGTCGTTTGGAAGAGGTCACTTTACCCACCATCTGCATCAATCAATTTCCAGCCCAGGAAAACTCCTAATAGGTAAGACTGAAAGAGAAGAAATGAAAAGGAAGATGGGGCTGGGGGCAGTCACTCATGCCTGTAATCCCAGCACTTTGGGAGGCTGAGGCAGGCGGATCACTTGAGGACTGGAGTTGGAGACTAGCCTAGCCAACATGGCGAACCTGTCTCTACTAAAAAAAATAACAATACAAAAATTAGCTGGGTATGGTGGTGCACACCTGTAGTCCCAGCTACTTGGAATGCTGAGGCAGGAGAATCCCTTGAACCCAAAAAGTGGGGGTTGCAGTGAGCTGAGATGGCGCCACTGCACTCCAGCCTGGGCGACAGAGTGAGACTCTGTCTCAAAAAAAAAAAAAAAAGGAAAAAGAAAAAGAAATAAAGAAAAGGAGCTGGAAGGAGGGAGATATCTCTATTTGACCACGGAAGGGATTTACGGCAAGGAGAACTGGGAATTTTGGAGAATGAAAGAGGGTCTGGAAAGAAGAAAGGCAAGAGATAGGTGGACGCCAAACACAAACATGCCTGTATGCTGAGGGTCTGCGCTCTCATTTAGCAGGTATGTCTGAAACATGTTCAATCCTTCTGTTACAACAGCCAGCAGAAGAGGTCTCCTCACGCTGAGGGAATCATTGATGGTGGTCTTTGACAGCACTAGCAGCGTCTCTGGGACTTCACCAGCTGAACACAATAAGCTTCACAAGCCTGCTCCTCTTGAAGAGAAAATAGTTTTTAAGTGGATTTTATTTCAAGGCAGGCTGGCAATTCAACAGACACAGGCAGGCAAAAATGTTACAGAGCCAACAGCAAGTTTTGTTTTAATTCACATTATGCAAAACAAATGAATTTGAGGTACTTAAAAAAATGTTCTCTTCACCTCATTCTCATTGAGAAAGTAAAAATTGTTCTCCCTCTTTCTGCTAAGAACCATAATTATTATAAAACCACAGGAGGAGCTCTGCGACACTGTAAAATGTTTTCATAGTTAAACGATTGTATCTTTCTTTGTTTTTTGTGGACAGTCATATCTGGGAGATGTCCCTCTGTCTGTGAAGAAAACTCCAGTCTCTTCAGCCTGGAATCCAATCTATGCCCACCTTACCTAGCTGATCCCAAGAAATACTTCTCTACCATAGGTCTCCCTCCTTCCTATTCCTCACTCTCATTCAACCCATTCCCACAACTCCAGCTTTATCCAAAACCTTCTCCTCACCTGGTGTTTCCAACCTCTCTTGCTCAGGCACAGTTGAAGTTCTAGTTCCCTCTCAAAAGCTTTTAATCTGACCAAACCATCACATCCTTCTCTTCTCCAAAATCCTACAACACAGAGCTTGACCCCACAGCTTAGTCCTTAAATATGCTTTCTCATATGATCTAAAAATTGTTTCTACTTATATCTTATTTCACTAATATGATTTGCAACTTCCCTGAAGCAAAGGACTGTGACTCATGCATCTTTTATACCCAGAACGGTACTAAGCACCTGGTAAACATGTGGTGCCTACTATCTTAATTTGCCTTGAACTTTTAGATCTAATGTGGGAACTGTCATTTCAGCTACTTGTATGCTTACCAAATGGGATTTTATAATTTCACAAATATATATGGAAAGATTTGGATGACACTATGGTATAGTGGCATCTTTTCATCATAGACGATTTGACATGGCTCCCTTTAAATAAATTACCATTGCCACTTTGACAAGTTCATTTGTTGGAAACATAAAGGACTCTATTAATATATGGGCTGACCTATATGTATATCTTAGCATTTTCCAATGAGTGAACACTGAGTTTTCCTTTTTGTTCTTCATGTCAATATCCACTAATGTACTTCTAGCATTCTAGTCAATGTATACCAAAAAGAAAGAAGACAGAGAATAAACATTTTGTAATTTATCACTAGTCCAATTTAAGATGAGGTAGGAAAAAATGTATTATTTTAACAGTTGCACCATGCCCTCCTAGGGATGGAATAGGTTCTGAAAAACGCTTTGACGAGCACTTGCAGTATAAATTGAGACACTGAGCATCTGGCCATCAGAGAAACACTTGAAACTGCTCTGAGGACAAGGAAAGGAATTTCTTTGTTGTTTAAATGAGTCGAGGAGAGGAAAGAAAAGTAGGAAAAGAGAGCAGAACAAGCACAAGACCCTATGAAGAAACCCTTTCTCCCTTTTCCATCTGGAAAGAGCCATGGGACGACCCCAAATGGAAGGGCCTTAAAGGGTTTTGGAGAGCTTAATATAGACTTTTAATTTCTTATTCTATGTAAATGGAGACCTCTGTTCCTTGTGCCATCCAAATCTCCCACCAAACTCCTCAACACTTTCTCTGAAGTACTCAGTCTTTGTAAAACTCAATCTCTACATAACTCAGCACCTTCTCAACACAACCTCTACGCAACTCAAACTCTACTCAAGCCAACTTCTATGTAACTCATTCTCTACCCAAATCAATCCCTACTCAAATCAAATTCTTCTCTACTCAGTTAAAACCCTTCTCAATTCATACTTGAATCAGCTCCAACTCAACCTAATTCAAACTCTACTTAAGTAAACTAAACTCTACTCAACTGAGTTTCCTAAACTAAAATTCACTGTGCTTACAGATGCTTTGTGTGGGTGTAGTTTTTGGAAGAAATTGAAGAAGTCTGCATCTTACATCTACAGGCTGTGGTTTCAAGCCACTTTATCTTAAACTTTATCTAGACATCAGAACAAAGGCTCCCAGCTGATGTAAGTTACAGACATTGTTTAAAGCTTTGAATATGCGTATGTAGACTACATGAAAGTAGGAAAATTTTTTCTGGACTGAAGGTACTCAGCCCAGAATGCACGGGTTAGAGAGCAGAACTATGGCACTGAGCAAGTAGAAAAGGAAGCCATTATCAGGTAGCAGGTGTTAAACAAAAACCATAGGAAGTCATTGTTTTGAACTGAGCTCCTGGACTAACAAAACAAAACAAAATGGGGTCACACATGCTAAAGGCCCCATCATCAAACTGAAACTTTTTTTTTTTTTTTTTTTTTTGAGACAGAGTCTCACTCTGTTGCCCAGGCTGGCAGGCTGGAGTGAAGTGGTGCAATCTCAGCTCACTGCACCCTCCACCTCCTGGGTTCAAGCGATTCTCCTGCCTCAGCTGCCTGAGTAGCTGGGATTTCAGGCCCAACAGGGCAAAACAAAACAAAATGGAGTCACACATGCTAAATGTCCCATCATCAAATTGAAACTTTAAGGAAGCAGATAGATCCCTTAACAGACCAGTTTTTCCTGAAAACAGGAGATTCCAGTCTACCTGAGTCAGCATAATAAACATGTCCCATCAGGCCGGGTGCAGTGGCTCACGCCTGTAATCCCAGCACTTTGGGAGGCCGAGGCGGGTGGAGCACCCTGAGGTCAGGAGTTTGAGGCCAGCCTGGCCAACATGGCAAAACTGTGTCTCTACTAAAAATACAAAAATTAGCCAGGCGTGTTGGTGCACGCCTGTAATCCCAGCTACTCGGGAGGCTGAGACAGGAGAATTGCTTGAACCCAGGAGGCAGAGGCTGCAGGGAGCCAAGATTGTGCCGCTGCACTGCAGCCTGGGTGACAGAGGGAGACTCTGGCTCAAAAATTAAATAAATAAATAAATAAATAAATCCCATCTGCTTTAATCTTTACCAAAATAAAGTAACCTGAAATAATCTGATGTTAAGAAATCAGTTTCTTAGATGTTGTTCTCTTTCCTTGTTCTCACCTTACAAAACTCACTGTTCTGCCATTGCCCAGTCAGAGCTCTCATTCTGTTTTGCAGAATGGAGGTTGTCCCAATTCATGAATCATAACCAAAGGCCAATTAGGTCTATAACTAAATTTGTTGTAATTTTCTTTGACACAGGTGATCAGTGATAGGCATTTTACAAAGCATACTTTGGATATCAAACCTCTTTAGAAATAGCATTTTTGAAATGTTTATTGTTCAAAGCAGTGGAAAAGAGTACATCTGGCATACCAGAGTGAAATGAAGAGGTGTAATTGTCCATCACCTTTTGAAAGGCCACTAAAATAAATTAAAGGACTTTAAAATGCACATACCCACAAGGACAAAGAAAAAAAAGGAGAGGAGACACCTGCCAATGAATGATGTCAACAAATCTTCAAAGATGGAAAACAGACAAGGGAGTAGTAGCAACTCTAGCAAAGGGGTCTAGCATCTGAGCACAAAGAAAAATAATAATGCATGGGGCCATAGCACCTGCAGCACCAGGAAAGGCTCAGGAATGGAAGTACCAGGAACCAGAAGGCAGGATGAGACTAGGAAGGAAAATCTGTATACAAAGTAGAGAGTGATCAAATACTATGGACCCTTTTACTTTCCTCAGTTCCTTGCAGCCAGGCTACTGGCTTTCTCCCCATTGCTTAGGAGAATGGAAATGTGGTCTCTGGAAAAATATGGGCCAGAGAGAGTCAAAAGTAACTAGGAGTACAGAGTTGGTCTGAAGCATGGAGCTCAAAAGGGTGGGATTAAGAACGCCTTCAATGGTAAATGTTGGGACTACATCTTCTTACCCTGCAGCTGGAAACTATATTCTCTCTAGGAAATATGTTAAAGTATTCTTGTCTAAAGAAAGTGAACAATGGGCCGGGTGCGTTGGCTCATGCCTGTAATCCCAGCACTTTGGGGGGCCGAGGCGGGCGGACCACGAGGTCAGGAGATCCAGACCATCCTGGCTAACATGGTGAAACCCCGTCTCTACTAAAAGTACAAAAAAAAAAAAAATTAGCCGGGCGTGGTGGCGGGCGCCTGTAGTCCCAGCTACTCGGGAGGCTGAGGCAGGAGAATGGCGTGAACCCGGGCGGCAGAGCTTGCAGTGAGCCGAGATCGCGCCACTGCACTCCAGCCTGGGCTACAGAGTGGGACTCCGTCTCAAAAAAAAAAGAAAAGAAAAGAAAGAAAGTGAACAGTATGAGAGGGGGAAGAAACTCTAAAGACATTGATATTAGAGGATCTCTTAATGAAAAAGTCAAATCACAAACCAAAGCCCACATACTTTCCTATCAGCTACCAATATGCTTTAAGTATTATTGAGGTTGTTTGTTTGTTTGTTTGTTTTGAGACAGAGTTTCGCTCTGTCGCCCAGGCTAGAGGGCAGTGGCATGATCTCGACTCACTGCAACCTCTGCCTCCCAGGTTCAAGCGATTCTCCTGCCTCAGCCTCCTTAGTAGCTAGGACTACAGCCGCGTGCCACCACGCCCAGCTGATTTTTTTTTTTTTTTGTATTTTTAGTAGAGACGAGGTTTCACTGTGTTAGCCAGGATGGTCTCGATCTCCTGTCCTCAAGTGATTTGCCCACCTCAGCCTCTCAAAGTGCTGGGATTACAGGCATGAGTCACCGCGCCTGGCCAAGTATTATTGTTTTAATGAGAAGACAGAAAATATCCCCAAATATCTGACCAAGTTGGTAGCCTTACACTACCTGACTTCAGGACTTTTGATAAGCTGTGGTAATGTTGCTATAAAGATAGATATATGAAACAATGAAATGGAAATAGAACTGTACATATACAGTCAGTTGATTTTTAACAAACATGACAAGGTAATTCTCTGAGGAAATAACTATCTTATCAGCAAATAGTGCTAGAACAACAGGATATGTATATGAAAAAAACTAATCTCACACTATGCACAAAATTAACACGTAAAAGCTAAAACCATAAACAGGCAATGACTTTTCTTATAAAAACAAAAAATACCAACTATTAAGAGATGTTAAATAAAATTTATGGGAGGCTATTGTTATGGAATGAGCGCCTGCACTGGGCCCCAACAGATCAGACCAAACCACAATGAAATCACTTCTGCTAGGTGCCACGTAATCATGCCAAACTTTAAAAGAGGCCTGTTTTCAAAAACAACAGCCTGTCCAGGCACAGTGGCTCACACCTCTAAACCTGACATTTTGGAAGGCCGAGCCCAGAGGATTGCTTGAGCCCAGGAGTTGAAGGTTGCAGTGCACTATCATCACACCACTGCACTCCAGCCTGGACAATAGGGTGAGACCCCAACTGAAAAAAAAACAAAACAGAAGATTTACCATAATCAATCAAAAGGGGCCCAATGAACCTGAGCTGGCATGATAAGGAAGCCCCCTCAGCTGTAATTCATAGAAGGGAAGTAACTTGAAGTAACCTGGTGTTAATCGATCTCCTTTTTAGACTATGCTGTTTCCTTGTTCCTGCTTAAGCCACCTTTAAAAACCAACTGTTTTGCCACAAATGGAGGAGCTCTTGTTTATTTATAGACTGAATGCTGCCGGTTCATAAATTGCTGATAAAAGCCAATTTGATCTTTAACCTCAATTTGTTGAAATTTTGCTCTTTGACACATAAAGAATATTAATAATATATTTTGTTAAAAATGTTTAAACTTTTTCTGTATAAAATGTCCATTTATAGGTAATGAATAAACAAGGTAATATATCTATACAATAGAATACTACTCAACAGTAAAAAGAAGTAAGAATAGACATGCTGAGTGAGGTGGCTCACCCCTGTAATCTCAGAGCTTTGGGAGGCTGAGATGAAAGAATTGCTTGAGGCCAGAGTTTGAGACCAGCTAGGCAAAAAACCAAGACCCCATCTCTAAAAAAAAAAGTTTTAAAAAAATCAGCCAGGCATGACGACACTTGCCTCTGGTCCCAGCTGCTCAGGAGGCTGAGGTGGGAGGATCGCTCGAGGCCAGGAGTTCAAGACCAGTCGGACAACAAAGTGAGACCCCATCTCTGCAAAAACAAAATTTTTTTAATTAGCCAGGCATGGTAGCATGTGTCTGCAGTCCCAGCTACTCATGAGGTTGAGGTGGCAGGATCACTTGAGCCCAGGAGTTCAAGGCTGCAGTGAGCTATGATCACAACTGTGCTCCAGCCTGAGTGACAGAGCAAGACTTATATGGTTTGGCTCTGTGTACCCACCCATATCTCCTCTTGAATTGTAATCCCCACGTGTCAGAGGAGGGGCCTGGTGGGAGGAGAATGGATCATGGATGCAGATTTCTCCTTTGCTGTTCTTGTGATAGTCAGTGAGTTCTCAAGAGATCTGATGGTTTAAAAGCATGGCACTTCCCCATTCACTCTCTCTGTCCTCCTCCTGCTCTGATCACATACGATGTGCCAGCCTCCCCTTCACCTTCTGCCATGATTGTAAGTTTCCTGAGGCCTTCCCAGCCATGTAGCAATTAAACCTCTCTTCTTTTCTTTTTTTTTTTTTAAGATGGAGTCTTGCTCTGTGGCCCAGGCTGGAGTGCAGTGGCACGATCTCGGCTCACTGCAACCTTCACCTCCTGGGTTCAAGCAATTCTCCTGTCTCAGCCTCCCAAGTAGCTGGGATTACAGGCGCCTGCCACCACGCCCGGCTAACTTTTATATTTTTAGTAGACACAGGATTTTGCCATGTTGGCCAGGCTGGTCTCGAACTCCTGATCTCAGGTGATCCACCTGCCTCAGCCCCTCAAAGTGCTGGGATTACAGGTGTGAGCCATCGTGCCCAGCCATAACCTCTTTTCTTTATAAATTACCCAGTGTCAGGTAGTTCTTATTTATAGCAGTGTGAAAACAGACTAATACAAAGACCCTGTCGAAAAAAAAAAAGGAGAAAGGAAGAAGAAGGAAGGAGAAGGAGGGGGAAGGAGAAGGAGGAGAAGGAGGAGGAGGAGAAGGAGGAGGAGAAGGAGGAGGAGAAGGAGGAGGAGGAGAAGGAGGAGAAGGAGGAGGAGAAGGAGGAGAAGGAGGAGGAGACGGAGGAGGAGACGGAGGAGGAGAAGGAGGAGGAGAAGGAGGAGGAGGAGAAGGAGGAGAACAAGGAATTCAAGATGGTATAAACACCCATCAGGTTCTTCCTGATCACTGCACAAACCAAATCAATTCACAGAAACTATGGCACTGCAGTAAAGAAAGAGTTTGGCTGACACAGGGCCAGCCATACCATGTGAGAGATGGAGTCATTCCTCAAATCAATCTCCTTCAGCATTTGGGGGCTAGAAGCATTTTCAAAGGTAGTTAGCAGGGAAGAGGTGGGGTGGCTAGGCAATAGGTGGAAAGGAGGAGGAGAAGAGACACAATAACATGGATGAATCTCAAAAACATAGATGCTGAACAAACAAGTCAGACGTAAAAGACTGTAAGTGTATGATTCCATTTATATGAAGTTCTACAACAGACAAATCAAACCCATAACAACAAAGAAAATCAGTGGTTATCTGGCACTGGGGATGGGGGCGAAGGGATTCACTGCAAAGGGGTATGAAGTAACTTGGGGGGTGATGGAAATGTTCTAAAGGTGGATTGTAATGATGGTTGCTCTGGTGTAAACATTTACCAAAACTCATCAAACTGTCAATTTATAATGGGTATATTTTATTGTATGGAAATTATACCTCAATATATAGTAGTTAATATTTTCTAAATCTCTTGGTATCACTTCTTCCTCCAACTTCTGTTCTATTTCTCTGCTCCTGTTACAGGTATGCTCTCAGAAAGATTTGTCTACAACCGCTAACTCTATTTTTTCTCCTCTTATTCTTAGGGGTCCTAAGTCAGGCTTATAACCACACGATACACCAAAACTGTTATTGTTAGAATCATTAATGACTTCAAATTTCCTAACCCAATTATCAATTTTATACAGTTTCTCACTCCTTCTTCATGATATGCTTAGAGACACACCTAACTCTTTTTTGGTTCTCCTCCTACCTCACTGCCTGTTCCCTGTCAGTCTGCTTTATTGGTTACTTGTCATCTTCCCAACCTCTGCTTGGAGTTTCTCCATGCTTAGTAATCCTCTATTCTTTCTCTACGCTCATTTGCTGGGTGATCCCATGCGGCCTCTAGCTTTAAATATTATATCTAAATGCATGGCTCCCAAAGTTGTATCTTTATCTCAGACCTCTTCCTGAACTCTAGACTCACATACCAGCTGCGACTTGATATTCCACTTGAATGTCTAAGAGGTATGTCAAACTCAAAACATCTACAGTATGCCGAATAATGGCCTGCACAGCTATCCAGATCTTAATCCCTGGCTCTAGTAAATGTTACCTTCTGTGGCAAAAGAAACTTTGCAGATGTGATTAAGTTAAGGTTTTTGACATGGGAAAATTATCCTGAATTAGCCGAATTGACCCTAATTATCATCTCAAATGTTCTTATAAAAGGGAAAGGACTGCAGATGAAGGCAATCACATACTGACTAAAGTTCTCTAACATAAAAAGCTGACTTTGAAGATGGAGGAAAGGGCCACAAACTAAAGAATGAATGCAAGGAATGCAGTTCCAAAAGATGGAAAAGGCAAGGAAACAGATTCTTCCTTAGAGTCTCTAGAGGCAGTGTGGCCCTGCTGACACCTTGATTTTGGCCCAGTAAAACTGTTCTCAGACTTCTGACCTCTAGAATTGTAAGGGAATACAGCTGTGTTTTTCTTGTTTGTTTGTTTGTTTTGTTTTGAGACGGAGTCTCACTCTGTCACCCAGGCTGGAGTGCAGTGGCACAATCTTGGCTCACTGCAAGCTCCCCTTCCCGGGTTCACGCCATTCTCCTGGCCCAGCCTCCTGAGTAGCTAGGACTACAGGCATCCACCACCACACCCGGCTAATTTTTTGTATTTTTTAGTAGAGACAGGGTTTCACCACGTTAGCCAGGATGGTCTCGATCTCCTGACCTCGTGATCCGCCCACCTCGGCCTTCCAAAGTGCTGGGATTACAGGCGTGAGCCATCGCGCCTGGCCAGCTGTGTTGTTTTAAGCTGCTAAGTTTGTGGTAATGTGCTACAGGAGCAGTAGGAAACTGATACCACGTCCTGAAGTGAACTCCAATCTCTTGCCTCCAAATCTCCATACCATTCTCATTCTCAGTAGATGGCTCAGGCCAAAAAACTTCTAGATACACATTCTATAAGGAAACAGACTTTGTTTTATGCACTGCCATATCTCTAAGCATAAAATAATGCCAAAGTAGGAATTCAACAGTCATTTGCTGAACAAATAAATGAGTGCAGAAAACAGAAGATCAATATAAAACTCTCCTTAATAACTACTTTTGCATCCATGAAACAGGACTGAAGTAATGTAGTATTAAAAATCAAATATTAGTACAAAGAGGTCTTTAAAACTAATATCTTTGCTAAAGTTTTTAAAAATGCAACATAAGGGAGGGAAAAGTAGAATGAAAAAGCTAAAGACAATACTATAGCAGACTAAAAAATTAGGATTGACTGCTAATTCTTTTTCTTTCCCTTTTTTTTTTTTTTTTTTTGAGACAAAGTCATGCTCTGTTGCCCAGGCTGGCATGCAGTTGTGCGATCTTGGCTCACTGCAACCTCCACCTCCTGGGTTCAAGCGATTCTCCTGCCTCAGCCTCCTGAGTAGCTGGGATTACAGGCATGCGGCACCATGCCCGGCTAATTTTTGTATTTTGAGTAGAGGCGGTGTTCCACCATGTTGGCCAGGCTGGTCTCAAACTCTTGACCTCGTGATCTGCCTGCCTTGGCCTCCCGAAGTGCTGGGATTACAGGCGTGAGCCACCGCGCCCGGCCCTTGACTCTAATTCTAATCCAAAATTACAATCGAGGCCCATGATCCAATTAACAGGCATTCCAGATGGAGAAAACAGAAAAAGGGAAGAAAGAAAATTACTAAAGAAAATAAAAGAATTTTCAAAGCTGAAGGACATAGGCCTTCATGTTGAAAGAACTCATGAGCACACATAAATTATGAAAGGACTACATAAAGGCAAGTATATAGAAGAAGATATAGAAGAAGAAAATTTTCCACAAATATAAGGGCTGTGGCACAAGAGAATGTCATCCCTCAGTACCTAGCGCTGCGCGGGACCAACAGAGTGAGGACCGCGGGGAAAGGAGCCAGTGGGGTCAAAGAGAGACCACTTTCTAGCAACACCTGGCTCAGAGAGTTCACTAGTCCTCTTGTGAACAGGCTGTTGGAAACTAATAACGCCATACGTTGCTTTGTTGTTTTTAGTTTTTTGCACATGAAGTTTTACCATGGAGAAATGTGCTTATGGTTCTCGTAAACACTAGGTTCAATCATTCTCAGCAACTATCCATATCCCCCTCAGCAAGACCTGAAGTCAAGAGCCCTTCAGGTATGTCACAGTTAGAAATCTGTACTGGCCAGGGCATGATGGCTCACACCTGTAATCCCAGCACTTTGGGAGGCTGAGGAAGGCAGATCACTTGAGGCCAGGAGTTCGAGACCAGCCTGGCCAACATAGTGAAACCCCGTCTCTACTAAAAATACAAAAATTAGCCGGGAATGGTGGCAGGCACCTATAATCCCACCTACTTAGAAGGCTGAGATAGAAGACTTGCTTGAACTCGGGAGGCAGAGGTTGGAGTGAGCCAAGATCACGCCACTGCACTCCAGCGTGGGTGACAGAGACTCCATCTCAAAAAAAAAAAAATCTGCATTGGCCAGAACCAAGGGCAAGTTTGACACAGAGGTCCTTTGACAGAAAGCTAAAGCTAACATTAACTGAGTCATTATTTGAACCATTAAAACACACATGCACGTGCACACACACAGACTCAGTGTGTGTTCTCGAGAGGAAATTTCACCATTGTCTTCTGGCTTTTCTCACTCACTATTTGCTGTTCCTGTCTTCCTCCCTTCTTATTATGGTTGCTGCATGACTTTTTTAAGACTTCATTTTTTTAGAGCAGTTTTAGGTTTACAGCAAAATCAAGCAGAAGGTACAGAGATTTCCCATGTGCCCCCTGCCCCGACACACACGGCCTCCCTGACTTTTGACATTTTACATCACAGCAGTCCATTTGTTACCATGAATGAAACTACACTGACATATCACGAACACCCAAAGTCATAGTTTACATTCTATGGGTCTGGACAAATGTATAAGAACATGAATCCACCATTAGAGCATCATATGGAATAATTTCACTGCCCTAAAAATCTGGTAGCACCACTTTTTAATTGAACATCCACATTCAACTTACCTAGAACAATGATATGTAAATTGCATTGTGTGAGCTGAGCAAAAGGCACAGAATACTGTAGTACATAGACTGGAAACAACAAATTATAATAATGCCAAAACTGACTATAAAAAGAAACCTATTAGCTGGGCATGGTGGCTCATGCCTGTGATCTCAGTGCTTTGGGAGGCTGAGGTCAGAGGATTACTTGAAGCCAGGAGTTTGAGACCACCTGTGCAACAAAGTGAGACATTATCTCTACAAAAAAAAAAAATGTTTTTGATTATCCAGATACGGTGGCATGCACCTGCAGTCCCAGCTACTCAGCAGGCTGAGGCGGGAGGATCGCCTGAGCCCAGGAGTTTAAGGCTGCAGTGAGCTATGATCACGCCACCGCACTCCAGCCTGGGCAACAGAGGGAGATCTCATCTCAAAAAAAAAAATCTAACTGAAAATTGTTCTAATCTAATCTCAAACATATCTGAAAATTACTCTAATTTAAAAAGATCTTGCTATGTTAGAAACTTCTTAATGCTAAGGCTGTGTAGTTTATTGATATATAGCAACATCTTTATAAACATATTTTCATTGTTTATAAGGCCGCCAGGCTTGAGGGTCGCCTGTAGTCCACAAATAACCTTTGACCAAAACAAATAAAAACCCTTTGTTTCAAAACAATGCACAAGTACTTTTTTAAAAACTCAAATTACGTTCAAAGAGTTGTTTGTGTAACCCAGAGGTAGTGGGGACTAAATAATTAAATGGCAAACCCAGTCTCTGAGCTTACACCAAATACCCAGAAAAACCTAGCTAGGAAGAAAATAGGTGGTAAACTATTAAACACAGATGGAGGTACTTCTAAATAAAATGGGAGACTTCTAAGAAGTTCCCAAGTTGGTTTTTTGTTTTTTTAACCTAAAATCTGGGAGGTTTCTAAAACTTCTCCTTTCACAGTTACACAAAAAGCATTTTGCAATAGGTGTAATCAGAGCCTGTCCACCATGAAGAAGAGTCCCAGGCAACTTCAACGTTGCTGTGGCCCTGAAACACCATTTCAGTCATTTCTGGCCAGTAGCCTGTAAAGAGATATTGATGGGTAGTACCAAAGCAACCTAGTGAAGCCTGTGCCTCAGGAGGGGCTGCTTCGTGGGTATGCACATGTATGTCTTCACACACACAAAATTGCTCAACCGCATCTGGCTAGTTACCGTGGAATGAAGTGGCTATTACGTAGTTGGTTTTAGAGTGTGGGTTCAACTCTTTAGTGAGAGCATGGAATTATGGTTCAAGCCACACACCCTGGCACTTAGTCAACCTGGAGTCAAATCCAGCCCAGCCACGTACTTGACCTTTCTGTGCTTCTGTTTCCTTCTCTATAAAATGAGAATGAGGATATCTCTTTTACAGAGTTTTGTGAAGATTAAATGAGTGAATAAACATACAACACTTAGAACAATGCCTGGTACAGAAGAAGTGCTATATTAAGGACTGGCTATCACTACTATTCTTGGCATCTGCATTTGTTATCATAAAGTCTAAGTTAAAGAACCCACAGAAGGATTCTCAATAAATGGGAACTGAATCTGGTGGATGCAATGAAACTTGAGGCCAAGACAGTTGTGTCCATGTTAGGGTGCCCAGGTAAACTGCAGCTCTAGGTTCAAATTCCAACTCCTCCATCTTTGCACTGGGAGCAATTCTTAACATTGTTGAGAATAGAAATTACTTGAGTTACACTCAACCTGAAAAATCGAGAGGGGTAAGTGAATACTATCAATATTTCACTTAGTAGCTGACACGTAGCATGTGCTTCCTGAACAGCATTTTACTTTCCATGCCCTTAAAGTGGCAACCTACTGTTCAATAAGCTCCACTGAGACTGAATCACATCATGGGCCTTGTTACCTGCCGTTATCAGTAGTGCAGTAAATAAATGATTGCAGTGAGTATGTGCTCACTTAATAGTGGTTGTATGAATGCATGAATATACCTATTAACCAATTATTGATTAATAAATGAGTGACTACTTGCAAAGGATATATTTCTGTGAGGGCATACCATTCCTTACAAACTGGTGTTCAAAAAGAACATTTAACTGAATTGATCTGCCCTAAGCAATAGGTATGGATGAAATTTAACTGAAATGGTGTTGGGGGTGACCAAAATGACTATAATAGTCTCAGAACCAGGGATATTGTGAAAAAATTAGAATTAACCTAAAAATTGTACAATAAATGAGATTTGAGTCAAAATACTCTCTAATAAACACTCTAATAAAATATGACATTTCCATTGAAAGGATGGCAAAATTAAGAATAGGGAGAGATTACAGTGATGAAAAACATTATTTTGTTGTGTAAATTAGAAACTATGTTTCTAATCCTGAAGATGTCTGGCCTTGGAGGTAGGTGAGTCCAACAGGAATTATTCATTTTCAGGTAAGATACCAACGCTTTAGGGAATACATTCTTCTATATAGAAGGTACAAATGAGAGAATACTAGAAAACCATCCTGAGAGAGGGTAAACAAGAGGATATTAGGCATTTGTTACTCCTGGGATGATACAAAGCTCACATGATAAATGCCACCTGAAGAGCACGAGAATGCAAAAGCATACACAGAACTGAGGATTCATGGAATGGCCCCAGAACGGACCTTGTCCCATTGCAACAAGCACTGAAATAAGACCAAAAGAGGAGTTTGGAAATGTTTTGAGTCACCAAATCATTATTAAAAGAAATGCCTGGTACCCCACAGAGATTTCTTTGAAGAGCACAGTGTCTATTTAGAAGTAGATATTTCTATTTGCTTGCTAAAATTCAGTCTCTTTTTTTTATATTACACTTGAAGATGATTTGAGGGAAAAGTAATATTTATTAAGGGTTGCATGATCCAAGGAAAATTTCCCACAAGTAAAATGCACACTGGTGACCCAAAGTTCTGGAAGGACACAAGAAAAGGAGTGCACTAATTTTCCAAGCAAGATGCCTTAGGAAGTGGCAACAAATAATTAAGATGTGAACTCGGGACCGGGCGCAGTGGCTCATGCCTGTAATCCCAGCACTTTGGGAGGCCGAGGCGGGCAGATCACCTGAGGCTGGGAATTCTAGACCAGCACGGCCAATATGGAGAAACCCCATGTCTACTAAAAATACAAAATTAGCTGGGTGTGGTGGCAGATGCCTGTAATCCTAGCTACTCAGGAGGCTGAGGCAGGAGAATCATTTGAACCTGGGAGGCAGAGGTTGCGGTGAGCCAATATCGCGCCATTGCACTCCATCCTGTGCAACAAGAGTGAAACTCCGACTTAAAAAAAAAAAAAGATGTGAACTCGGAGAAAGAGTAATCTCAAGTACAATAATGCCTGTGTCATCACTCCAGAAAATGTATTCCAGAAATGTCTGTATGCCAAATGTATCCATGTTATGTGCCAACTTCTCCATGTCAGAACACAGCCAATTCTCAAATATTTTTTTTAAAGGACAGAATTCTGAATAATATACCTAATTGTTCATATACCTTTGTTTTCAATTAGCAGTCTAGCCTTGGGTTTTTTGTTTTTTGGGTTTTTTTGTTTTTTAAATTCTCTCCTTCTCACTATTGTTAATGATAAAAACCCCATACAAGGCTGGGCATGATGGCTCAAGCCTGTAATCCCGGCACTTTGGGAGACCAAGGTAGGCGGATCACTTGAGGCCAGGAGTTCGAGACCAGCCTGGGCAAAATAGTGAAACCCCGTCTCTACTAAAAATACAAAAATTAGCCGAATGTGGTGGTGCACGCCTGTAATCCCCGGTACTCGGGAGGCTGAAGTGGGAGGATCGCTGAGCCTGGGAGGCAGAGGTTGCAGTGAGCTGAGATCACGCCACTACACTCTAGCCTGGGCAACAGAGTGAGACCCTGTCTCAAAACAACAACAACAATAACAAACTCCATACAAAAAGTTTACATTATTATCATCTTGTAAAAAGAAAAAACCACATACTCAAATTTTTTTTAAATCTTGATTTCTCCCAATTCTTTGAGGGGAAAAATACAAAGAGGAGCATTGCTTTGATATCTTCTGATCTTCTACACACAAGGTGGCTGGGAAACGGAGTCACTTAAATAACAGCTCAGACTGCTTTCCCTCACAAAACAGAATAATAGTAGGAACGTTTCTGTGCCTCCAAGAAAGCAAATGTTTCTAATTAGTGAATAAGCTCAGCAGCGGTAGCTGCTCTGGGTATCAGCGCCTCTCGTTAGGGGCTCTATCCTGTTGACAAGCTAAGCAACAAAATCGCCTGAATTCTGTTTGTGAAGGTTGCCACCTACTGAAGAACATGCAGTACTACAGCTGGCTTCACGGGGAAAGAATGCTAGGGGAGTAAGGAAAAAGCAGTTGGTAATCCTGGGAGCACGAGGAGTTTCCACGCCAAAGAATTCAGAAAGGGGGTATGAACCGACCTGGCAGGGCACAGCTACGGGTACGGGAGGGGTGAGTCTGGAAGGCTTTGTGTAGAGCAGGTACTTAACTGTGCCTTAAGGAGTCTTAGGGTTTGGCAAAGGAGTGAGGGTTTTATACAAAGTGGAAGCATTTGGGGCTCAGACACCGCAGAGAGAAAAGCCACCATAATGACAGGGTCCAGAAAGCAGATGTCACTGGCTGTAGAAGATCGTCTGCAATGGAACTTACGGGAAATGCGATTAGATACTGAGGGCCTTCGATTGATGAATTAGGACTTCTATTAAGGCCTCGGTAAACGACCCTTAATTCAGAACCAACGGAATAGGGAAACAGCTCAGTTAGAAATTACTGCATGGATTGCACACCTTTTTTTTTTTTTTTTTTTTTTTTTTGACAGGGTCTCGCACTGTCGCCCAGGCTGGAGTCTGCAGTGCAGCGGCAGGATCTCGGCTCACTGCAACCTCCGCCTCCGCCTCCCGGGTTCAAGCCATTCTCCTGCCTCAGCCACCCGAATAGCTGGGATTACAGGAGCCCGCCACCACGCCCAGCTAATTTTTGTATTTTTAGTAGAGACGGGGTTTCACCGTGTTGGCCAGGCTGGTCTTGAACTCCCGACCTCGTGATTCGCCTGCCTCGGCCTCCCGAAGTGCTGGGATTACAGGCATGAGCCACCGCGCCCGGACTGCACACCTCTTGACTCTTTGGAAATTGCCTCAAAGGAAACTTCAGAGTAAAGATTGAGATGAGAACTTTACAGGTAACCTGCACCCTGGGCAACCACCCTCCTCCCAGCACTCAGAGCTACAGCAGCCATGGCTACCCCAAGATCTGTCAGTATTGGAGCCCCAACCCTGCCCCCCAGGACACCAAAGCCTACAAAGTACCTCAGTACTTCACTGCTTAACAAGTAGAACATCAACTGTGATACTAAGCAGCATTGATTAATGATAAAGATGACCCTTGGTTGGTAAATTGCATCTGGACTAACCAACTCCATTTTGCTTCTAACCACCAAGCTGTCCTTGTTCATTCCTGGGCATAGGCTGAATTAACTTTGAGAGGAACCTGTTTATAGTTTATAGTTTAAAACAAAGATGATAACAGGCTTTTCCCAGGGAAAATCTCCTTCTTGCCTGGGGACTAGACCGCCTTCGCAGGACTAAGAAATTAGCCACAAGATTAGAAATTTCGGTTTAGGAGTCATGCAGCTGGAGGCTACAAGATTCTGACACTACCTAAGCTGCTCCTAAGAGCAGTGCTTGAGATGTTTTGCAGACCCAGCACTTGAAGGATCAGGTGACACCACCTGGACCAATAAACTGGCTCATCTGATCTTGTGCCTCCCACCCAGGAACTGACTCAGCACAAGAAGACAGCTCGACTCCCTATGATTTCACCTCTGACCTGACCAATCAGCACTCCCGGCTCACTGGCTTGCCCCCCAACCACCAAGTTGTCCTTACAAACTCTGATCCCCAAATGCCTGGGGAGACTGATTTGAGTAATAATAAAAGTCCAGTCTCCCGCACCACCGTCTCTGTGTGAGTTACTCTTTCTCTATTGCAATTCCCCTGTCTTGATAAATCGGCCCTGTCTAGGCAGCTGGCAAGGTGAACCCACTGAGCAGTTACACTATTAAGTTGTTAAAAAAAGTGTTTAGCCACTGTGAAGTTTGAGGCCTCCAAGCCATGTGCCTGCCTAATGTGTTTTGCCTCTCCTTGTACCACATCTGTACTGGCACAAGAACTCACACTGAAAAGGAATGCCTGATGCTGCCCTGTAGATGCACTGTGGTTCCTGTCTGACACCTTCCACGGCAGCCTGGGCCAAATGCATCCTCTGATAGTCTTGAGTCTCAGTGTTTAATTGATTCTAACAAGTCCCCCTTATAGGCATTGCAGATACATAAACACACATTTATCTATCTTTACAAAAAGTGAATCATCCCATAAAGTCTGATTTGGAGTCACTTTTACCACTTAAAATATCATCGCCATTTTTCTGCTGTTAAATATTCTATATTATTTATAATAATTGCATAATATCTATTATGAACATATAATTTACTAAACCTGGTATTGAACATGAAGACTGTTTTTTTTCCTTTTTTTGTTTTTTTTTTAAATTTCAAACCACACTTTAAGAAATATGGGCTGGGTGTGGTGGCTCATGCCCACAATCCCAGCACTTTGGGAGGCCAAGGTGGAGGAGAGCTTGAGCTCAGGAGTTTGAAACCAACCTGGGTGACATAGCAAGATGCCGTCTCTATAAAAAAGAAAGAAATACATCTGAGCTCAGTGGTTCATGCCTATCATTCCAGCACTTTGGGAGGCCGAGGCAAGAGGACTGATCACTTGAGTTTGAGACCAGCCTGGGCAAGACAGCAAGATCCTGTCTGTACAAAAAATTTAAAAATTAGCTAGGCATGGTGGCATATACCTGCAGTCCAAGCTACTCAGGAGGCTGAGGCTGGAGGATTGCTTGTGCCCGGTAATTCAAGATGGTATAAACACCCATCAGGTTCTTCCTGATCACTGCACAAACGAAATCAATTCACAGAGACTATGGCACCGCAGTAAAGAAAGAGTTTGACTGATACAGGGCCAGCCACACCTGGGAGTGGGAGATGGCGTCATTCAAATCAATCTCCCTGAGCATTTGGGGGCTAGCAGCATTTTCAAAGGTAGTTTGGGGGAAGAGGTGGGGTGCTAGGCAATAGATATCTGCTGTTGATTGTTTGGGGGTGCAGTCCTAGGGGTATGGGAAGTTGTCCCCCTGCATGCTGAGTTGCTTCTGGGTGGGGCCACAGGAGAGACT
Source organism: Homo sapiens (assembly GCF_000001405.40). Lineage (NCBI taxonomy): Eukaryota > Metazoa > Chordata > Mammalia > Primates > Hominidae > Homo > Homo sapiens. Next base: position 15,138,309 of record NC_000009.12, read on the forward strand.
GGCAAGTCCAGGTTGAGCCATCAGTTTCAGACATGCAAAAATCCTGAAAAGATATCTCCAAAGGCCAATCTGAGGTTCTACAATAGTGATGTTATCTGCAGGAGTAATTGGGGAAGTTGCATATCTTGTGACCTGCAGAATAATAGCTGGTAATTGTTTATGTCTACCCCTTAGCAGAATTCAGGCTCCTCTATCCTCCTAGCCTGCTGGTCTCTCATTAGCTTTACAAAGGCAGTTGAGTTTTGCGGAAGGGCTATTACCATTTAAATTATAAACTAAATGTCTCCCGAAGTTAGCCTGGCCAAAACACAGGAATAATTAAAGGCAGCTTGAAGGCCAAAGGCAAGATGTGAATTGGTTAAATCAGATCTCCTTTAACCGCCATAATTTTCTCACCATTACAATTTTTGTGAAGGTGGTTTAGGCAGCAATGATCTATGATAGTGCCACTGCACTCCAGCCTGGGTGACAGAGCGAGACCTTATTTTAAGAGAAAAAAGAAAGAAAAGAAGAAATATGTGTAAGATGTCAAATAATTTAATATATCTATGATTATTTCAAGGATATGTTCACAGAAATGAAAAAGTCATATATATTCTGCTTGCATTCAGACTAATTTTGAAATTTCTACAAAAACCTTCTGTGACTATTTCTTTTTTTTTTTTTTTTCCTTTTTTTTGAGACGGAGTTTCGCTCTTGTTGCCCAGGCTAGAGTGCAATGGCGTGATCTCGGCTCACCACAACCTCCACCTTCCAGGTTCAAGCGATTCTCCTGTCTCAGCCTCCCGAGTAGCTGGTACTACAGGCATGTGCCATCACGCCTGGCTAATTTTGTATTTTTAGTAGAGATGGGGTTTCTCCATGTTGAGGTTGGTCTCGAACTCCTGACCTCAGGTGATCCGCCCCCCTCAGCCTCCCAAAGTGCTGGTGAGAGAAGAGAGACAGACCCTCTCATATTGTTTTATATTGTTTTATACTCAGAAAAGAAAAGAAAAGCAAAACAAAATGCAGGCAGCCCGGCGCCTAAGAACCAGACCCGAAACCAGGCCTGGGCCTGCCTGACCTAAGCCTGGTAGTTAAAGATCGACCCCTGACCTAACCGGTTATGTTATCTATAGATTCCAGATATTGTATAGAAAAGACATCATGAAACTTCCCGGCCTGTTCTGTTTCACTCTGACCACCGGTGCATGCAGCCCCTGTCACGTACCCCTTGTTCAATCGATCACGACCCTCTCACACGGACCCTCTTAGAGTTGTGAGCCCTTAAAAGAGACAGGAATTGCTCACTCGGGGAGCTTGGCTCTTGAGACAGGAGTCTTGCCTGATGCTCCCGGCGGAATTAAACCACTTCCTTCTTTAACTCGGTGTCTGAGGAGTTTTTGTCTGCGGCTCGTCCTGCTACACTAGGATTACAAGGCATGAGCCACCGTGCCCGGCCACCTTCTGTGACTATTTCTTTGATATAAGTGCTTTTTTCAGCTCTTAATTCACTAGGTGAAGACCTTATCCATATCTATTTTTCAATGATCTAGTATTTATAATGTAAAATATGTAATAATTATTATTTTTCAGAGATTTTCCATAAAATAAATCCACTTGATAATGGTAAGTATACTGCTTTATAAATCTAACAGTCATAGTTTTTTGGTTAAAGAATAAAATGAATTTATAGCCTATACATTTCTTTTTTCTTGCCAGTGAAATGGAGACAAGAAGTTTCCTCAGTTGCTGAAGCATGTTTATAAACCTCTTCTAAAATTAGAAGTAATTTATGAGTAAATGTTCTGTGTGATACAGCTGTGTATCCATCTGGCCCTGGTGCTTTATTACCTGCTATGTCTTGTAGGGCAATTTTTAAACATTTCTTTTCATCCACAGAGCATATTTAATTTCCCTTTGCGTCTGGCCTCAATAATTCCAAAACTCTATTTCATCCTCATAGCAAATACACAAAAGAAATCCCATAATCCTACATGTTATTTTCCAGGGGTTATACTTGTAAGGCTCATAAATCAATGAGAAGCTTCAAAAAGGAATTTTCTTAAAGTCTATTTAGAATTTGCTTATCTTGTCCATGAGACAAACTTTAAAAAATATTGAAAATCAGCTTTTATCTCATCAGTATATGTCCTTTTAGAATCACAGACATATCTATAAAGAAGTTGCCAATGTCCTACAGAATTTCTTTTCAAAGAAGAGACCATTTCTAGGGAGTTACTCATAATATCTCAAAGGGCAATCTGGATAAGTCAATTAAACAAGCAATTGGTAGGCCTTCTCTGACTTTAGACTTGAGAGTAATGAGGAAATAATGGTTGCCTTTGTTGGATCCCAACAAAACTAATATGGAGGGCTATCTCCTGAGAAGACTGGGAAACCTGAGCCACAGCTACCAAGGTGTATGCTGTGGTTAATTATGAGAGTGGAGCCAGGTGAGTGCCTTTCGTCCAGGGTAAGTATCTAGAGAGAGATTTTGAGGGCCCTCACTCCCATACTCCACTGCATCTGAGACTTCAGGGCACAACCAAGACAGAGGCAATGGGAGGGGATTATTTTTAATGTCCTTTGTATTAATAAGTCCAAATAAGGGGAACCCCATACCCACTGTGAATGTAAAAAGGCACGATGCTTGTGAAATGGCATAACCTGGATACTGAACTCAGGCAAATCCTGAGAAAATTGCACTGATGTCCTTGGAGAGGTGCTGGGTCCAAATGAGAGAGTGAAGGCAAGTCTGTGACCTGCTCAAGTCACTCCATTGGCCACATCTCCAACAATAAAACCAAATCACCAATTGGCCTTGATGCCAAAGATCACAGTGATGATCATAATGATCTCCCCTTAAAAGCAGATGAGTTCCCCAAGTTTAGGAAAGAGGAGGGTGTGGTGGGGTGCTTCCCATAGCTCTGGGGTACAAAGCCGCACTTTCTACAGTGAACGTTGATCACAAGATTGAAAACCATCTACTTGAGGTTTGTTTTTAGTCTTCTTAGGAGACATGGCAAAGAAGTTTGAAGGGTCTAAATTATCTACGATGCTCTCTTCAACTCAAAGCATTTAACTAAGTACCTAACACTGCCTGCTATTACTTACTTAAGGTAGTACCTGATTCTAGAAACAGTGCTAAGCATATCACAGGTAACACACTCACTTACTAAATATCGGATGTAACAGAGTATAAGAATTAAGTAGCATAAGACCGTAGGATTTGCATCTACATTTCCTTTTCATCAAGAATGATGTCTTATTTGTCTTTGCATCCTTGGGAGAGTACTGGGCACACAATGGGCACTCCACAAATATGAAACAATCTAAAGCTATAACTATTTCAAGCAGTGAGAAATTTTCCAAAGAGAAGAAAGCCTTTCAATTTTTTCAGTAATTCAGCATTTATTTTTAGTAATGTAAATTATACCCCCAAAAAGTTATATCACCTATGTATTATTCTGTTTGCTTTAAGTATGACATTTCAGAATACAAAAACCAAAGCCTAGGCCTGTTCTAGAAGAGGTTTGCCTCCTTGGTGAGAGTGTATTTACAAACCTCTCCTGGAGCAGCAACAGCCCCCAAAGTATTCCACAGAGCATCAGTTCTGCAGGCCACTAGGTCATGTGCATAATCAGCAACGGCATTAAAGTGGATCTGTGGTCAAATCAGAGTAGGGGATACTGGGCTAAGAAAGGGTAAACCAGTTTCTTTACAGGAACGCGTATTAGAACCCTGACTGCACTTCATACCTTGTAAACCTCCCTCAAAGAGCATATGGGCTGTGGCATTTCTCAAGTCCACTTTTGCATGGAACTGCTTCTTCATGATATGTCTTCAGGAGCAACCGTTTACTGAACCCTCCTGCCTACCCATGTCTCCAGTGGTTTGCTTTTGGTTCTGCTTTTCCTCCTTGCCATCAATTTTTAGTAGGTGAGACTCTTCTTCTGTTTGTGGTCTAGAACATTAGGAGTAGAGGCAAGAAACCAGGTTCCAGAATCCTAACTTCTAGATCACCAATTGCTCCTGATGGAACTAAGAAATGCCTTCAAAGCTACTTGGAACTACGGGTAAAGGTGAAAAGATAATTAAGGCAAAGAAGAAAGAAGGCAGGGGATACAAGAGAAGACGAAGGCAGAGTAAAAAATAAAAAGACAACACAAGAAGAAATACATGGTGAGAAAGGATGCAAAACCACAATTAACACTCCACCTTCCACTTTAACACAAAAACCTCAGAGAGGAGTCAAATTCCAACCATCAAGGAGGTAGTATTCCTGCAGGAGTAGTGGACCGGTGACCTGAAGAGCAGCCTTTTTCTGGGTCCTCAGCCTCTTACCCTCGTTAGCCAAGGGAAGTTATCCAAGCACACAGCAAATCTTTGCCATCACTCTGATGTATTCTTAATGTTTCTCACCATTAGGGTTTCTGCTATTTTGAATGCATAATATACTGTCTACTAAAATTCTTTGATCTTAACAAAAACAAAAGCACACAAATGTTGAGTGGTGGGCAGAGACCATCTCTATTTGGCTTAGAATCACAGATTCACAGATGTTCAGAGACTTAGAGACTTTAGAGGCAAGGTTGTTTTGGTGACTGTCTTGCAAGTAGCCCACAGAGATGTGTGTTTTTATAAACCTTGCTCTCTTTTCCAGCAGTTCATTAAAAGTAAACCATCCAAGTCACCTGTTCACTGTGGCTTCCTGTCAGGAGGGACAGTTTAGATGACTTCTTGGAGCCTGTCAACTCGTACTGCACTGATGGTATCAGATGCAAGCTGGGGAATTTGGAATGCTATCTGCAATAGTGACATCTGGTGGCTTCTAAGTTCTACTGCACCTCCTTAAGGCAGGAAAGCAAGCCTGGCTTTTAAGCAGTATTTGTGAAAAAATAAAGGAATTACATGAGTTCTGGAAAAGGACCTCAGAAATGGTATCATTTAACAATCTCCACTTGAACGCTTATGTTACTCACTATATTAAAAATTATGGTGCTTGTTTCAGGAGCACACAGACTAAAATTTTGAAAACTACAGAGATTAGCATGTGCAAGGATGACACACAAATTCGTGAAGTGTTCGATATTTTAAATTTTATATATGTACATTTTTTTGAGACAGGATCTCACTTCTGTCACCCAGGCTGGAGTGCAGTGGTGCCATCATGGCTCACTGCAGCCTCGACTTTCTGTGTTCAAGCGATTCTCTTGCCTCAGCCTCCCAAGTAACTGGGACTACAGGTGTGCACCACCACGCCTGGCTAATTTTTGTATTTTTTGGTAGAGACAGGGTCCCACTATGTTGCCCAGGCTGGTCTCAAACTCCTGGGCTCAAGCGATCCTCCTGCCTTGGCCTCCCAAAGTGCTGGGATTATAGGTGTGAGCCACCATCCCCAGCTTATGTAATTATTTTTAGAAAAGATAAAAAGAAAAAATTATGATGAAAGAACTATTATGAGATGAATCCTTGTTTCTAAAGGAGAAGCAGCTAGAAAAATATTGAATTATTTGGATTGCAAAGGGTCTTGCATGTCTCTGAGTGGGGTTTTGAGTTGGTTTTCCATGTCTGCTCTGTGGTGTCCCTCATCCACACACCTGATAAATGGGTGATGAGCCAGGCAACCCCACCTTGTACCCCCTGCACCATGATTTTAAAAATGAAATGAACAATAAACATTCTCTTTTAAGAATTCTGAAATTGGGAGAATCAAAGATATTGTTATTTATCTAGAGAATTGAAGGTGGCAGTATCCCATGAGGTAGTGGGGTAACAAAAATGGACCCTCTACAAGATGAAGTTTTGAAGAAGCAAGAATCTATGAAGACACGAAGCTGCCTTCTTCCAGTCATGAGAAGAATGGAATAAATGTGCAAAGACAGGCCACGAAGCATGAAGGAAAGATAGGGAAATCAATGGAGAGGGAGGCAGAGAGTGAGGCAGACGGTGAGGCAGTGGGGCTTGATCCTGGGGCTAACTTGGTTGCTGCCCTTCCTTGGGCTTAATTGCTCTTTAATTGAAAAAAGAAAAAGTCCCAGGGGACACCTGAGTGATTTCCTAGACATAAAAACAGACTTGACTACTCCTAATTAAAATATCAAGTTTTTTCACAAATCTGAATTTTGCTTTTCATACTGCACTAATTCCTAAGTACTCATTGCCTGTTTTCTCTATTTGTCAGTGCTCAGCAGCCCTGACAGAGGGGGCTTCTGGATTGAAACTATATTAGACATGTTGCTTCCACATTTATGCATTAAAGGCTTGGCCACCTGGGAAAAACATAACCTGTGGACTCCTTTGTCTTTTACTCTTCAGCACCGCACAGGTGCCCAATTCAGTTCTGCAGAGGTGCTAGCTTAGAGTCAAACTTGATGTGTTCAACTCGGCTTACTCATCATCCCCACTCATCCTGCCAACCCACTCATCCCCGTATCGCTGACTTTCTTCCAGGAACCTGTGCCAAAAAACTGGGAGTCATTCTAGTCCCTCTTTCACACCCCAGATCAAATTTCGTGTCACTAAATTTGTTTAACTTAAAATTGCAGAAGCACAATCTTAGCCATCAACTTGCTTTGTGTAGTTTCCTTATGCATTGCTTCATTCCTTTGGTCTGAATTAGAAATGCTTCTTAAAGAGTAAACACATTAAATCTAATCAACTCTATTACCATTGTTGACAGTCAACACCAATGGGTGTTTTTTCCTATTGTAAACTGGTTTGGCAAAAAGTCAAAATTGTTTTAGTCCTGAGTCAACACTTACTTCTCCAACAAATACTTTGACTAAATAATACATGTTGGGGACGCTGCTGGACAGGATAGAAATGTGATTAACTTAAATAACTTAACTCATGTTTTGAAAACACATACTTTCAAATTAACTGTAAGTAAATGATATGCATATTGTAATACACAGATGGAAAATATCAGGTAACAGAGGAAGAAATAAGGAGTCTCACCCAAGGAATAGAGATGTGAAAACTATATGAACCTAGTCAAGTAAATATCACAAAACAAAATGTAAAGAATATAACTGTGCCAACTGTTAAGAAATAAGGAAAAATTCGTAATACACAATTTATGTATAAATAATATTTGACTACATTCAAGTAAACATTACTTCCAAGCTTTTTTAGTGCCACCTCATAAAAACAGGAGCAAAACAGGGATGAGATCTGGCTTTCCCAGGAGAAAGGTGGTATGGCCAGTAAGGTAAAGTGGTAAGGCCAGTAAAAAAATTCTCAAAATTCTTCCATCACCAGGACAGGAGGCAGAATGGATGGGGCATGTGCTGAGCTGGCCTCAGGTGCTACACCCCTACCCCCACCCCCACCCTCACCCCCACCCCAGCCTGGGCCCATGCCAAAATGTCTCCGATGTTCATATGCCCATCATAATAATGGACAGAGAATTTAGCAACCTTGCATAAGGATGGAGGTGTACAAGAAAAATCTGGCCCACTGACAAAGGCAGAACAAATCACTTGAGAATCTTCTCATGAATTAGAACCACAGGGGACAAATTGCCACTGCCAAGCCATGTTTTCCTTGTCGGGCAGTTTTGTGTGAAAATGGACAGCAAAGCAAAAGGACACAAAGAACACAGTATTTTGCACCAGGAGTGTTTTCTCAGAGGAACAGACAACTTACTGACCTCCACTTTCTCTCACCAGGTTCAAGGGCACCTCGGTAGGAGGGTGGCTTCCTCCTCCTTCTTCCAACAGGCCCAACATGGCGGGTTCTTTACCTGTTCCAAGATCGCAGTTCCCAGAACAACATCAAAAGCAGTAATGTAAAGTCTGTTTTCTTTCTAAAAAGAAAACTCAGGAGGTAAGGAGAGGCAAGACCTCAAAAGCCTCCTTTATTTGGAATACTAAATTGCACCTGAGGCATACTCAATTGAGACTTTCTCTCCCACCTTTGGAGATCTTACTCCGTTGGAGTGGGAAGACGGCAACTCACATAGTAATATGGAATTTGAATAGAAAATAAATTGTGCTGAATCTCACGTATGATGTCCTAAAAGTGTCCAAAATGATGTCATTAAAAAGGCAGGGAGGGGGACTGCAATTAGATGGATGAGGAAGAGGCAGTTGAGAAAACAGATTAATGATGCCGTTGACACAATCAGCCTGTGAGGAATACTGGTTTCTATGACAACCAAACCACTTAACCTCAATTAACAAAGCTGTTCAAAAAGAAAAACTTGAAAGATGGGGAGGGGAAAAGCCAGCGGATCCTCTTTGGGGGAATGAAGTAGCCTGTCCCCTCAGCGCCTGTGAGACAAGCGTGTATTAACTACATATCCGCAGGGTGCGTATCCTCTTACACTCTCCAGTTCCCAGTAATTAGTTTTCAGAAGCAGCCCAAAGATGTTGAGAAATTGCAACTCATTAGCGCGGTTTTCTGACAGAAGAGACTTATTATCCTGATTGAGCTTTAACTAAACAGCACGGACAGGAGGAGACAAAAGGCTACCTCTTGCTTTTCCCAAACTCAGTGTTGCTGTTCACACACACCAAGTTCCCAGCATCTTCCAGGAACCCCTTTCTGAGAATTCGGCAGGTCAGGCTGGATTCTGGACTTTAGTTTGTAGCAGAGAATAGTTGTTGTTAGAACGAAACACCCAGGCCGTTCACAATAAAACAATGTCAAAATCAAATAACCGAAAATTTATGCAGTTTAACGTCCTCCATGTAACGAAGGGAACTGGATTTTCCAGAGTCGCTCTTAAGTCAGTGGAGAACTATCTTCATACTTTCCTGGGTCTGAGATGCGTTTGTCTGGGTTGCAATGGGCATGAATAAAGTGAGTCTAACAGAAAGGAGGTGGGGGGAACAGCAGAAGGGTTCATCTTTCTTAGCATGGCATCCATTACCAATTCCTACACCGCTCCGTCACCCTCTACAGACCCTGAAAGTGGTAGGAAATGGAGACTTTTGTTGGAGTGCCTCTTGATTGTTTCTGATGAAAATATATCTAGTTATTGATATTCTACTATCAACACAAATAGGAAGGACAAAAAATAGAAACCCTAACAATATCAAGAGCATTGCCAGTTTTAGCATTTTGTATAGGTGTTTCTTGCCGGTTTTATTAGAAAAAAAAGTAAGTATTATAAGGAGAAATTAATTTACAATGAACCCTTGTTAACATACGTTAAATTTTGTAAAAAACTAAGAATACATTGGAGTTATAAAAAATAAAACCAGTTTCTATCAAGCTAAATTTTAATAATTAAATCTAAAAGGCAAAAACATGCACCTTGAAATTTTTTAAAAAATATAAATAGCCACACACATCTACATAGGAATATCTCCTGTTTCACAACTTTGTTGTAAATTTTGACTCATATTTTCCCTCCGATGCTGGGGATGTAAAAAAAAGTCAGCCTGACTATAAATAGAAGCACTGACAGTCTGACAGAAGAGTATCTCATAGTTTAAACTTTGTCTTTTACTTTTCAAATGCTAGTGATGATGGGCTGGGTGCGGTGGCTCATGCCTGCAATCCCAGCACTTTGGGAGTCCAAGGCTGGCAAATCACTTGAGGTCAGGAGTTCGAGACCAGCCTGGCCAACATGGTGAAACCCCATCTCTACTAAAAATACAAAAATAGCTGGGCCTGGTGGTGGGCGCCTGTAATTCTAGCTACTCAGGAGGCTGAGACACGAGAATCACTTGAACTCAGGAGGCGGAGGTTGCAGTGAGCCGAGATCATGATGCTGCACTCCAGCCAGGGTGAAGGAGCGAGACTCCATCTCAAAAAAATAAAAATAAAAAAGTTAGTGATGATGCATATTTCTTCTTTCTTGAATTGCCTATGTCCATTTTTTCCTGCTAGAGTTTTAGAATTTTTCTTACGCTACTGAGATTTTGAAACAGAAAAACTATTAACATTATTCTTGCCATATTTATGAAAAATACCATCCTAGATTATTACTTTTAAATTTTATGATGTTTTAGCATACAAAAGTTTTCTTTTTTTGTAGTAAAATCTGCTAATATTTTCCTTTGAGGTTTTACCTATTACTTTTATCCATTGAAACTTCACAGTCTGGCCAGGTGCAGTGGCTCACGCCTATAATCCCAACACTATGGGAGGCCGATGTGGGTGGATCACTTGGACCCAGGAGTTGGAGACCAACCTGAGCAACATGGTGAAACCCCATCTCTACAACAACAACAACAACAAAACAACAACAAAATAAGTTAGCTGGGCATGGTGGCGTACACCTGTAGTCCCAGCTATTCAAGAGGCTGAGGTGAGAGGATCACTTGGGCCTGGGAGGCAGAGGTTGCAGTGAGCTGAGATCTTGCCATTGCACTCCAGCCGGGGCGAAAGAGCGAGACCTTGTCTCAAAAAAAAAAAAAAGAAAGAAAAAGAAAACAAAGAAACTTCACAATCCTCAGAGCAGCTCAATATTCATGTACATTTAATGTAAGGATTTATGTCTCTAACTTGATATGATTATCTGCATAATCTATTTTTCCAATACTTTTTTTTTTGAGACTTAATCTCACTCTGTCATCAGGCTGGAGTACAGTGGCACCACCTAGGTTCACTGCAAGCTCCACCTCCCAGGTTTAAGCGGTTCTCCTGCCTCAGCCTCCTGAGTAGCTGGGATTACAGGTGCATGCCACGACACCCAGCTAATTTTCGTATTTTTGGTAGAGACGAGGTTTCACCATGTTGGCCAGGCAGTACTTGATCTCCTGACCTCGTGATCTGCCTGCCTTGGCCTCCCAAAGTGCTAGGATTACAGGCGTGAGCCACTGAGCCCAGCCCAATACTTTTTTATTGAGCTATAAATGTGCACAATGTAAAATTTACCATAAATTTTTTTTTTTTTTTTTGAGATGAAGTCCACTCTGTCACCCAGGCTGGAGTGCAGTGGCACGATCTTGGCTCACTGCAACCTCCATCTCCAGAGTTCAAGCGAGTCTCCTGTCTCGGCCTCCCAAGTACCTAAGATTGCAGGTGCATGCCACCATGCCTGGCTAACTTTTTATATTTTTAGTAGAGACAGGGTTTCATCATATTGGCCAGGCTGGTCTTGAAATCCTGACCTCAAGTGATCCACCTGCCTTGGCCTCCCAGTGTGCTGAGATTACAGGCCTGAACCACTGTGCCCAGCTCATAAAATTTTGAAGTGTTACAATTTAATGATTTGTAGTAGATTCACACAAAGTTGTGCAACTATCACCACTATCAAATTCCAGAATTCTTTTCATCATCCCCAAAAGAAACTCTGTGCCTATTAGGAGTCACTCCCCATTCCACTGTCCCCTCATCTCCTGGCAACCACTAAGCTACTTCCATCTATTCTGGGAATTTCCTGTTAATGGAATCATTTATGTGGTCTTTCATATCTGGCTTCTTTCACTTAGCATAATGTTTTCAAAATTCATCCATGTAGCAGCATGAATCAGTACCTCCTGACTTTTTTTTTGGCTAATATCCCAATGTATTAGTACACTGTATTTTATTATCCATGTATCAGTTGATGGACATTTAAACATTCATGTACAAGTTTCTGTGTGGATGTACATCTTTAACTCTCTTGGGTATCTACCTAGGAGTGAAACTCCAATACTTTTTGTTTAATAATGCCTTTCCCAGTGATTGATGATTCTTTCTTTATCATACATTAAATTCCTTGTTTCAGGGCTTTCCCATCTGTTCTGCTGTCCTGTCACTTCTTTTGCAAATACAAGACCTTTCCAGTTTTAGTAGATGTATGTTTTATGCGCTCATAGGGCAAGACACCCCTAACTTTCCTTTCTTAAATTCTCTTATTGCTGCTTATTCTTCCCTCTCAGCTTTAGAATCTATTTGTCATACCACTGGTATTTTGACTGGAGATGGGAAATTGATTTGGGAAAAACTGATATATTTGCAATATTTTATCTTTCTATCCACAGATATGGTCTCTCTTCTTTTATTCAAGTCTTCTACTATACCTCCCACTAAATTTTGTGACTTTCCTCATACAGGACTCACCCATTTTTTGTTAAAGAATAACTAGATAATCTAGCCTCTGAGGGGGTGACAGCTGGACTCAACTGATGAGAAGAAGTGAACCAAGCAAAGACTTGAGGGAAGTCAACTCCAGGCACAGCAAAGGATGAGTGCAAAGGCTATGAGGTGAGCCCAGTTGGCAGGAATAGGGAGAAGGTGAGTGTGGCTGGGACAAAGTGATCAAGGAAGAGTAGAAGAAGTTGAAGTTGGACTTAGGCAGGCCCAGATCAAATAGAGACATAGAGGCCACATGATGAGCTTAGACTTTTGCCTTATGCAAATTGAAAGCCATGGGAGACTTTAAAGCAGGCACTGACATGGACTTGCATGAGGGCAACTACCCCTGGTCTAGCTAGGAAGTTGCCCTCTCAATGTGACCATGTGGCTTCCTGACCTGTGGTCAGTGCCAAGACCTAACAGACAGACAGGAACTTGAGACAGCTAGAAGAAGTCAGTCCATAAATACCTGTGAGTGGCTCATCAGGATCACTAACCCCACAAGCCACACACTTATTGTGCTAGAGGCTGGTCCTGAACTCACCAGCACCACCAAAGGGAACTGGAGGTCCCAGAGAAAGGCAACCCTAATTCCCCATCTACCTTCACATGCCTACAAAAAAGCCCACATGATGACTGTAGCCATGAACACTTCTGGAGAGAAAGTAGCAGGCAAATACCCTCCTCCCACCAGCCTGCCCACCCTTCTCCCTCAAAGCTGCTACCAGAAAAAGTGTTGTGGGACGGGCATTTCCAATACCAAGGAAGGTGCCAGGAGTCACCAAACCACCCACAAATCTTAAGGGGATTGCCGTGGCCTCTTAGTCACCCAGCCGGAAGCTGCTATCTTCCTGGCAGGAATTGCCTCCCCCTCTACCCCTGCTATTGTGCCAGATGTTCAGGTTGCCTGAATACGTCTGCCCTGGTGGATTACTTCAGGCACCCCTGCCCAAGAACATTCATGGATGCCACACCTGGAACCTACTTGACCAACACTTCTAATGATTTTGTAAGCACCTAATTTCCTGTATTAAATTCTTTTCTTCTTAAAGTACCTAGAGTGATTTCTGTTGAACACTGACTAATATTCAAATAGCAGCACCAACACTCTGCCATGAGAGATGCAGCATGAGTTTGTGTCCTCAGCAATCTCTATCATCTTCCACTCCGTCTATTCACCTTGCTCTGTGAAACCATTCTGCCCAGCCACTGTCCTGGTGAGGCAACTGCCTCCACTTGCAACCTTCCCCTCTCTATGCTAAGGCCGAGTCCTGTGTTAAACCCATAAGAATCTTTTAGATTTCTTTTCTGTCTATTCTCTGTGGCCCTCCCAGAAGGCAACACAACCTGAGGTCCCCAGCAGAGGCAAGTCCACGAAAGGACTTCTGACACCAGCAATCCACGGGTTCATTCAACACATACTGAAGGTCTATGTTTTGCCAAGGCTGTTTGCAAGAGACCACAAAATTTCTGAAAGTCCCTGCATCAGCAAATGATTGATATAAAGGTAATCCTGCAGGGTACCAAAAGGTAGCCAAATTGTCCTTTCCAATCAACTTTCCATTGACATTTGAAAAAGGAAAAGAGGGTTGGGCACAGTGGCTCACGCCTGTAATCCCAGCACTTTGGGAGGCCATGGTGAGCAGATCATGAAGTTAGGAGTTCGAGACCAGCCTGGCCAACATGGCAAAACTCCGTCTTTACTAGGGATACAAAAATTAGCTCGGCATGGTGGCGGGCACCTGTAATCCCAGCTACTCGGGAGGTTGAGGCAGGAGAATCACTTGAACCCAGGAGGCGGAGGTTGCTCCAGCCTGGGCAACAAGAGCAAGACTCCATCTCAAAAAAAAAAAAGGAAAAGAGGACGTCAGTGTTTTGCCCCTGCTGCAGCATGCCAAGTTGTCTGGAGTACAGCAGAAAGCTTGGCAAAGTGGATTGAAGCACTTGCCTGAGCCTGCTGCTCCTGCAGCTCCAAAACCAAATGGGAGATTTTCAGTGGGGCAGACCCCTCTCATGGACGAACTTCACACAGGTGGAAGACAAGGTGGGAAAGTGGGAAAGCGGGAAAGCTCATTCAATCTTGAAACAATCAGAATATTTCTGCACAAGGCAAAGAGACTTGTCCTTTGTGTGCTGTGTGTGCATACAAGAACACACACACATATATACACTGCCTTGGTAGTCTTGGGGGAAAGCAATCTCTCGTGGTGCCTTGGAACTTCAAGCAAATGCTACCTGGTGCTGTGGATTTTGCCCTTTGGCCAACAGACTGTCTTCTGAATTGGTTCAAGTCTACGTAGGGTTTAGTATACAAAAAAAAAACAAAGATATTTTATTGGTTAAAGTGCAGTGAGTGGAATTTCATTTAATTATTAGTGAAACTGGTTTTTTTAGTACTTTTTTTGTATTGGTCTGCTCCAATAAAGCCTAGCCACTCTACATAAGTGCTCTGACTACCCCCAGTCAGCCTCACTCAGAAGGAGCCTTTCTCTGGCCTTCCCCTGGGGCATCTGGAAACAACAGACTCTGGTCCACGCTATTATATGATCTGCCCAAAGTCCCACCAGCAGCATTGTTATCCCTCCTGAGCAGATGGGGCTGACAGTGCCCACCTCTGAGGTTTGCAGCGTGACAGCCACCCTCCCCAGACAGATCTCCACAATGCAGTTCTTGGCCTTGAAGCATGAGTGCCGGGACCTTAATTCCCTCCTTTTTCCCTTTCCCCACTCAGTCAAAGGGTGGAGGTAAATGGCTATAAAGCTTGTTTTCTTGCACTTATATCTAATAAGCTGGGTTCTCTGAATTAGGCCTACTTAGAAAAGAAGTTTTAGAACTTAGACACCTATGCCCACTGGAAATGCACAGAAAATGTTGCATGAGGGCCTTTCCCCAAACTAAAGAATGGAATGTCCTATTGGCAGACTTTCTACTCTTTTCTTAATATTTCATTTTTGGTATCTGTGTTTCTTCCATTAATTGCCATTTTCATCCTTTTAATTTTGTATAATTGCCTACCATTTAAAACCCTTCCTATTTCAGTAGGTGCCCGGTCATTGATACTCAACATTATTTGAACAATTTGGTATAACAAAACAAATAAAATATACCATAGAGAAGAAAAAAGTGTACATTTGCTTGGAATAACAACAAAAATGACATCCATTGCAATCATCAATCGTCCACATTACACACGAACTGAGGTCTGAACCCAGAGACTTCAGAATGGGATGAAAGGCCTAGGAGGTTCCCAGCTTTCCTTCTATCTATCATTCTCAGCCAGTGAAGACTGAAAGCACGACATACCTTCCTGAGTTTGCCAAGGAAAAGTCCAACAGAATCTCCTTTGGTCATTTGAAATCCTGTTTTAAGGCTAAACAAACGTCCAAGCCACAAACCAGGATAAAGAAGCACAACCTCAATGACTGTCCCAGGTGACAGCTTGGAAGCCCAACCTGAGTTTAATCTCCAGCTCAAATGTGAATTACCTGTGTTGTTTTATTGCAACACATCCAACAAAGATAGGGAACAACGCAGCCTTAGCCTCATCTCCAGGTCCTTCCCAAAAAGGGGCTACTGTCAGAAGAGCTGAAAGTGGCTGGAAAGCTAGAGACTGTTAGCAGCATCCATAAGAGAGTCAACAAAAGGCTGTAACAAGAGGCCAGTTGGTGGCTGGCTGGCTGCTAGAGGCCACGTGGAGGAAGAAATTTGCTGGCCTTGGAATAGGAGTCTTTTCCTTTGGACTAAGCTTTAAAGAGTCTTCCTTTGGAGAGCAGAAGATTGCTCAAATAAAGAAAGAAACCAGCTTTATTAAAAAAAAAAAAAAACAGGTGAGAAAGGAACAAGATGAAATCAAATCTATTATGCTTCCTAAGATTTTGGAAGACTTCCAGGGACCAATGTTAGGGAAAATGAAAATTGAGCATCAAATGTTAATGGAAAAATCACTATCGGGGATGTGGAAAAATAAAGTTAATCTGGAAGGAAAAATGGAACAAATGTTGAATGTGTGGGCTTCCCAGTGGCTTGTATAAGAGCCACGAAAATGGATTTTAAGTATAGAAGATTCTGTTGACCTGGTATTGACTTGTTGCTCCATGACCAAATGGGGGACACAGGGTTTTAGCATCAGTTATTGAGATTTTGTGCTCCCTCAGTCCCCTCATTCGCCCCAACAATATCGCCCAAGAATGATTATCCAGCCAAGGATTATTTTGATAATCAAAATCATGGACACTTACTATTTTTTGTGTGTTTGTGTAAACTAAGTCTAGGGACACAGAGCTCATCTAGGAAGATGAGGAGGAGGGCATCCTAAAGGTACATGGTAGTGCTCCAATCTGCAATACCGTCCCTCCCCGCACCCTCACGCCATCTCACTTTCTGCTTAGACAGCAATAACAGGTGCCTCTCCACCTCGTCCTCCCCATTCCCCGAAAAAAGATTTGTAGAATTTAAGATGTGAAAAGCTGGGAACCACTGCACTAAACCACACTGTATCCAGTACTCCATACACAGATTGCCAAATGGCTGAAGAACAAGGTCTAGCCCTTAAAACGAATGAAGCTGGATGGCTAAAAGAGCATTGCAACAGAAATCTTTGTTCTACAAATGAACTGAACCTACCCAGACGGTCCTAACCATAAGGCCTATGGCATCCTTTCTAAGAGCCACAGTTTTGTTGACAAGGAACACCATGCTGCTATTTTTAAAGGAAGCATTCATCTTTCTGACAGCTAGTCAGTAAGTCACCTTTTGTGGTCAAACTTTGCGTGATTTGGCCTTAGGAAGCTCACCTGGGCGAGAAAGGGTAGGGGAAGAATGTGTCCTTCTTCCTACTGGATAAAAGCTATGCATAAATCTCAGACAAAAATTAGAGAAAAAAAAAGAATCCCCCATGGCGCTAAAATGTCAGAATATACATTTCCTAATAGATTAACAAGTACTATAAATATTTACATGATCTGCTGATATACCTAACTTGTAGGGGGAATATGGGAACAGGGGAAGAAGCAGCCAGATAAATATTAAAGCGTATTTTTAAAATAATTATGCTGTAATCATTTTTTTTTAAATCCATTTTCCTGAAATAAGGGATTCCGTCTCTTTTCGGAGAAGCCATTTAATAGCCAAATTAAAGAGAGGTTAGCTCCATCACTACACCGGTTCCCTTATCACCACTCTAATCTCCATGGTCACCCAGAGTTTGCCAACTAGAATTTTGGATGAATTAAGATTTGCTTATTTAATAATGTAGAGGAGATCAGGAAATAGGTGGTGTCTCAAGACTTTAAATGAACACATGCCTTCAGTCTGGGTTTTAAGAAGTTTTATTGTTATAAGTAACTTCAGACACAGAAATAAAAAGAAAAAAGAGAAATGTTTTTCTCTTTTAATAAAGAAAAATATAAAGCCTCCAACATATTATTAAAATGACTTTGCTTTTAATTTCAACATAGAAGTTCTCTGTTTAAAACTATTAATAGTTTATTAACATAAATCTTTAGTGAGTGAAGAAAAAAATGAGATGGAAAACTTTCAGGGCTGGAATGAGCTCTTATTTTCCATTTAATATTTGGGTAGGAACAATTCTTGGAAATGATCACAAACGCAATAATTACTGGCTTAATCCTAAATAGATTTGCAGCCGTTCCTTTTCGTGTTATTTTTGGCATGCTGGCTGTGGCATGCTGTAATGTTGACATAACTGGTTTCTCAGAAAACAAGATTTGTGACAATTTGCTCCATTCTGCTCCAAAGACAATCAATCTGAGGCTTTCAAAGCAGGGCTAAAAATGCACACAAATCTCCCCCCTCGCAGCTGCTTCTTGTTTAACATTGTCAAATTTTCTTAATTAAAATTTGAGATTTTATGCTTGGCTTCCTCTCCCCTTCCTCTAAAGCTCAAATGACACTTTGCCTTTTTTAGCTATATGGAAGTCTACAAAAAGCCAGACAAAGGCCCTAATTGTTTTATCAGAAGACCTCATTTTTAAGTTTGTGCTTAGTATTTTTCATCTATATTACATTTTATCCAATCTGAATCTTAGCAGGCTTAATTCAGCTTTGAGGGTGAACAGAACATGTATTTCACCCAAAATCATAATTACTGATGAAATATTGGAGGCATTTCCTGAGGTTTTCTCATAAGTCTTCAGTCACATGGCTTTCAATGCCATCTGCATACCAAAGACTCACAACTTTTTATCTCAACCCAAGCCTCTTTTCCAAATTCCAGTGTCATTTATCTAATTGCCCTCTCAACATCAAGATGTCTTATAAGATCCTTAATAAGGATCTTAAACTCATTATGTCCATAATGCCTTCTGAGCATTCCTCCAAAACCTGCTCAGTCTGCCACTTTGCCCATCTCAGCTGATGCAACTCCACCCTTCTGGTCATTCAGGCCCAAACCCCAGACATCATACTATGGTCTGGGTCACTGTGATGGCCTCGTCTCCTGCTTCTACCTCATCCACCTCACTCTACCCTCAATATCCAGTCTTTTCAAAACTTGTTAGCCCATGCCACTCCTTTGCTGAAAACTGCAATGGTTGCTCATTTCAGTCAGGGTAAAAGTCAAAGTTTTTTAAATGGCCCCATTACATTCTGAAGATTACTTATAAACCTGCCATTCAGAGACAATATTATAGGTCTCTTGCTTTTCTGCATACCTCAAAGAAAAGGTACTGACTGGCTTTGTTCCAGACTAGCTTTTCAAAACTGTTTGGAATGAGCAGCTTTGTAAGATATAGTGTCTCCCCCCAGAGAAGAAGGCAGGTTTGCTTACTGTTCAGTGTGAGGCAAAGAGAATGTCTATCTTCCGAGGAAAGGGCAAGAAAGTTTGCTTGCAGTCTGTTATAAAAGATTCAGGTTTGGCCAGGCGTGATGGCTCATGCCTGTAATCCCAGCACTTTGGGAAGCCGAGGCGGACGGATCACAAGGTCAGGAGTTCGAGACCAGCCTGGCCAACATGGTGAAACCCTGTGTCTACTAAAAATACAAAAATTAGCCAGGTGTGGTGGCAGGCACCTATAACCCCGGCTACTCGGGAGGCCTTGGCAGGCAAATCACTCAAAACCGGAAGGCAGAGGTTGCAGTGAGCCCAGATTGCACCACTGCATTCCAGCCTGGGAGAAAGAGCAAAACCCCATCTCAAAAAAAAAAAAAAAAAAAAAGATTCAGGTTCCCTGAGAGGCTCCTCTGCTGTGACACAAACCCATTGAGGGTGCAGCAGCCACCTGAGCCCCTCCACATCACCCTTGTGGGACTTGGCAGGCAAGGGGAATTGACACAAATGTGCCAGTGTTCATGACGCTTGTTGTGCCATGAGTAATAAAGCATTTTTTTCTCTGACCCAGGATTCTCATGTCTTCTGCCAGAATCCACAAAACTGTGCAGGCTAACCTTGTTAGCTTGCAAGAAGAGTAAAATCTGACTTTCGTCAGTACTTAACCACCTATGTGACTCGTCTCCTGCTACTGTCCCCTCAGTGCCTCAGGCCAGCCACATGGTCTCCTTGATGTCCTCAGAACACATTTGGCACACCCTTTCTTAAAGCCTTTGTATGGGCTTTTGTTTTCTTCCTGAAATGCTCTTCCCCCAGATATCAATTTAGCTCCCTCCCCTCTGTCAAGTCTTTGCTCTAACTTGACCTTCTTGATGAAGCCAGCTGTAACCATCTTTTTTAAAACTACAACTGACATCCTTCCCCACCTCAGCATCCCCAGGTCCCCTTACTTGGATACCTTTTCTCTTTCCAAATGCACCTATCACCTTCTACAGATTATTTAGGGGTCAGTGAATGTTTTTTTAACAAGTCAGATAGTAAATATTTTAAGTTTGTTTGCCTTAGATATCTGTTGCAACTATCCAACTCTGCTGGTGTATTTTGAAAGCAGCTGTAGATAATATGCAAATGAATGGGCATGGCTGTGTTCTAGAACACTACTTATAAAATAGGCAGTCTGCCTGAGGGCCTTAAATTGCCAACCCCTGCATTATATAATTTACTTATCCCATTTATTGTGTAATGCCTGACCCATCCCATTAGAATATAAGCTCCAAGAAGGACACAATCTGTTTATTCACCAGTATTTTCCAAGTGCCTGGAGCCGTCTGACAGGAAATAGTAGGAACTCAATCAACATTTGCAAACAAAAGTGTCATCAGGGAACATATAGTTGTGGATCACTTTTCAAGTAACCTAAACCAGAGTTAGATTCCAAATGATAGATGATATTTTGGGGGTAACTTACCTGGGTTATAATGACCACTTACCCTTAACTATCCCACTCACCAGTCCATAGGGTGAACTTCCAGCAGCCATGTTTGTTCCAAATGACCCTGTTCTCTTAGTTACAATTGTTTGAAGGGAGGGTCACCACACCTCTCCCAAGCTAGGCCAATAAAAACTCCCCCTATGAGGACTTGTAACCTGTACTGAGAAAGAGGGTCACAGAATTCTAATATGTGAACTCAGAACCATGGATAGATGGGTAGAATTGTACCTACCTGTCTCCTTGAATCTGGGCATAGCCACATGACTTGCTTAGACCAATGAAATATGGATGGAAGTGATCCATGTGAAAATTCTGGATGGAAGCTTTAAAAGTCAATGTGATTTTCAATAAATGGTGATGGGACAACAGGATATCCACATGCAAAAGAATGAAGTTGAACCTCTACCTCACATCATATACTCAAATTACTTCAAACTGGATCAAAGATCCAAATTTAAGAGTTAAACTATACAACTCTTAGAAGAAAACATAGGTATAAATCTGTATGACCTTGGATTAGGCAATGGACTTTTAGATATGATACTAAAATCACAAGCAACCAAAAAAACAAAAACAAAAACAAAAACAAAACAGATAAATTGGACCTCACAAAAATTAAAAACTTTTATGTCAAAGGACACTATCAAAAAAATGAAAAGACAAATCACAGAACAAAATATTTGCAAATCACGTATCTGATAAAGATGTAGTAAGAAAACCAAATTTTAAAATGGGCGAAAGCTTTGAATAGCTTTTTCTCTCCAAAGCAAATACATAAATGGTCAAAAAGTACGTGAAAAATGCTCAATATCATTAGTCATTAGAAAAATACAAATCAGGCTGGCGTGATGGCTCATGCCTGTAATCCCAGCACTTTGGGAGGCCAAGATGGGTGAATCACCTGAGGTCAGGAGTTTGATGCCAGCCTGGCCAACATGATGAAACCCTATCTCTACTAAAAATACAAAAATTAGCTGGGCATGGTGGCGCATGCCTGTAATCCCAGCTACTTGGGAGGCTGAGGCAGGAGAATCACTTGAACCCGGGAGGCAGAGGTTGCAGTGAGCCAAGATCACACCACTGCACTCCAGCCTGGGTGACAGAGCGAGACTCCATCTCAAAAAAAAAAAAAAGAAAGAAAGAAAGAAAAAAGAAAAATACATATCAAAAACCACAATGAGATACCACTCATTATCTTGTATTTTAATACAAAGTAAATTTTGTATTAAAGGCAAAATTACAGCTGTAAATAGGTCAGTGTTTTCCTGGGCCTAAGAGGTTGAGTTTAGGGATTGACAGCAAAGGGACAAGAGGGAACTTTTTGAGGTGATAGGTGCGTTCTAAAACTGGATTATGGTGATGGCTGCACAAAAGTACACATTTACTAAATGTAGACCTGTTTTTAAAAGGAGTAAATTTAATGGTATTTAAATTATACCTCAATAAAGGCATTCTTTTTTTTTTAAAGCCAGTATGCAATTTGCCAAACTTCTCTTTGCCATGGCAATGAGTATAATCCTAGATGGTGAGGGTCCAATGGCCTCCACAGTGCAGAACAAGGTTCTCTACTGACCAAAAATGCACATGTAGTGTGAGCAAGAAAAAAACTGTTATTTTAAGCCGCTGAGACATGTGGGGCTGTTTGTTACTGTTGCATATGCTAGCCCATTCTAATTAATACAGAAATCAGTCCA
Organism: Homo sapiens; assembly: GCF_000001405.40. NCBI lineage: Eukaryota > Metazoa > Chordata > Mammalia > Primates > Hominidae > Homo > Homo sapiens. Next base: position 15,160,282 of record NC_000009.12, read on the forward strand.
GAGATGGTATTGGCTCAAGTTAATATTAAGTTTCATTAATTAAGGCAACAGGAATGAGTAATGTCTTAGACACACTGTGGTGTGGTTATTTGGCATATGATGCTGTATCAAATAGAATAAATTTTTTAGAAAATTGTACTACTGAAGAACCACCTGCACTGAAAAAGGCTGACTTTTTGAAACTTAAAATGATCCTTTGGCCCCAGTGTGAGGCAGGAAAGGTTGAGAAAGTTGTTCTGCTCCTGGGGAGGGCAATTTCTTTGACAGTCTCTTCAGATATGGCAAAGAAAAATCACAGAAAATAAAAAAAATCTCTCAGAAGGTGAACCCAGATGCCACAGAGACTAATGAACAAGAGCACTACTCCAGGAAATGGGCTCAAGGCCCAATCAAAGAACATTCTCTATTCTCAAGATATGGAAGCTCAAAACATGAGATTTCAGAATCATTACAGACCAGTGCTCACTGTGGTTTCCCATGCTTCACTTTTCATCTTCTAAATGGGAGTGTTCACTGTGGTTATCCCACTTCTGTTCAATCAGTGTCTTAGTTCATTCTGTGTTGCTATAATGGTATGCCACAGACTTGTAATTTATAAACAAATTTCTTCCTTAGTCCTGGAGGCTGGGAAGTCCAAGGTCAAGGGGCTCGCATCTGGTAAGAGCCTTCATGCTGTGTCATCCCAAAGTGGAAGGCAAAAGGGCAAGAGAGTGCAAGAAAGCAAGAAGGAAAGAGAGCAAGAGAGGGCCAGACTTGCTTTCACAAAAACCCACTCCTGCAATATCAAACCCTCTCCCAAGATAACATTAATCCATTCATGAGGATGGGCCCTCTTCACAGTCCTACCTCTTAATACCATCACTATGGCAATTAAATTTCAATGAGTTTTACTGGGCACATTCAAACCACAGAAACCAGTACATACATTGTGTGTTGAGGGCAAATAACTGTTAAGCCCACGGTGTCCAGATCAATTGGAGCCACATTTGGATTCAAAATAAGACAAGAGGGCATGCCACAGAGATGTTACAACCAGAAGGGATTTTTTTTCCCCAAGATGGAGTCTCACTGTGTTGCCCAGGCTGGAGTGCAATGGCACGATCTCAGCTCACTGCAACCTCCACCTCCTGGGTTCAAGCAATTCTCCTGCCTCAGCTTCCCCAGTAGCTAGGATTACGGGCACCTGAAACCATGCCCAGCTAATTTTTGTATTTTTAGTAGAGACAGGGTTTCACCTTGTTGGCCAGGCTGGTCTCGAACTGCTGACCTCAGGCAATCTGCCCACCTCAACCTCCCAAAGCACTGGGATTACAGGCATGAGCCACTTCGCCTGGCCCCAGAAGGGATTTTTGTTGTTACATCCCTTGGTGGAGAAGTGAGCGTATTTTGTGTGTAGGAAAAAGAGTGAATCAGATATCTGGCAACCAGAAAGATAGTCATTTGTGCTACTCACCATCTACTTCTGGTGCTTCTTCCAGACACATTAGCATTGTACTTTCCTGCTCAGTTGAAGTTAGGTAAAGCTGTGTCATTTGCTTTGGACATGAAATATATGTCACTTCCAGGTGGAAGCTGTAAGACTAAGACAGCCAGTTAAAAGGGGTCACTGGAGAACCTCCAACCAGCCTGGGCACTGGGAAGAGTATACAATGGGGTGGAGCATACACTGGGGTGGAGCCTCGGGAAGTTCACGCTATTTGCAGTGGGGAAGAGCCTGGCCTCTCCTGTTCCGAGGTGGTACATGGGATTCAATCTGTGAGGCGGGAAGCCTGCTAGCAGGACTCTTGCTTTGCCAAGCATCCCTGTTTCCTCTTTTTTTTTTTTTTTTTTTTTCCTTTTCACCTAATAAACCCTGCCGTTCTCACCCTTCAAAGTGTCTGTGAGCCTAATCTTTCAAGGTAGTGTAACAAGAACCCGGCTTTTAACAGAACTAAGGAGAAAGTCCTACAACAAGACCATTTTATATACACCATGCCTCCTTCCTCTTCTCATTCTAGATAGTGGAGTCTCTGGCAATCCAGGGCCCTGTGTGAGGATAATATGGAGCTGATCCCTCCCTGGCCTGAAATAGAGATGGAGCATGAGAGGAAAATAAGCCTTTGCTGTTGTGGACATATTCCTCCCATCAAGTCTCTTCAGGAAGCACAGGAGAGACAGAAGAAATATTCTCCAAGTCTCTAAAGCTTTTCTATTCTGAATTTAAATACTTCCTGAGTATCTCCCACATTCTTGCCCCTGAATTCCACAGGCACCCTTTATCCATTTACTAGATAGCTGTTCAAGTTTTTGTTTTTAAACAAGCTCAAGTTGATTACACTGAGTTGTAACTGATGCATTCATAAATCTATCAAGCTTCTCATGCCAAAGAACAAAGGAAAGACAAGCAGGAAGGCATGGGACACATTGGGAGAATCACAGTGGACCCAGCCCAAGTGGGAATGTGGCAGAGACAAGCTAACTGTTCACCATACCCATTGCCTCTTTTTCCTGAGCCCATGGCTAGACTATATTCCTCTGCCTCTTTTGTCATGAGGCAAAGCAGTGACTGAGTTCTAGCTAACGGAACTTAAACAGATATGTACCACCTTCCTCACACACCCCTCCATGCTTTGTCCCCTTCAATAGCTTGATGCAAAAGACCACAGTGACCTTAGCAGATGTGTGAAGACAGCAGAGCCACAAGACTGAAAGAACCGCGATTACTGAATCACATCATGAAAACCCACCCTCTGACAGAAACAACTGGTTTGTGATGGACATCTGTTTGCCTTATCTCACATAGGGGAGGAGGGGAAGAATTTAATCTTGGATTAGCCCTTTGTGGTTTTGCATACCCCCTTCTCTGATCCTCCTTAGAGGTGAATAAAGTAGTGGAATGGTCCCCATTTTACAGCTGTGTTAGGCAAAGTTCAGAGAAGTTAATGGCTAGGGAGGGGGAGCACAGGCCACAGTCTAGCCAAAGCCAGCCTCAAATATAGATCTCCTGATTCCCAGAGCCTATTACTTCTTCCACTGTGCTATACCCTGAATGCTGAAGATTCCTCCTTAAACTGAACATGTCAGCAGCTAATCTTTGAGCTATTAAATAAATTACAAAAAGATGATATAAAAGGCAATCCTTCCTTGAGACAACTGTACCATCCCATTTATCTCTTCATGCCCAGGACTTGGGCAAGAACTTGGTACCGAGAAGGGCCTTCATAACTGTATGTTATGATTTTTAAAAAAAGTCTTACCAAGAAACAAAAATTCAAGTTTATATCACATTGACAACTAAAGACCAGCAAAACAGATGTCGTGTACTGCTTCCACATGTAGACCAACCAGAATAAGACTCCAATTCCATCAAATGTAATTTATTTAAATAACAATTCAATTGCATGTTAAGTAAACCAGTTGTAGCAATATAAAAATACAGAATTTTGAGAAAATCTGGCAAATTAAACCTGTATCTAAATGCAGCATATTCTGTGATACTACGGAATGAAAAATAAAATGTGTTGACTTTCAAGTCAGGATGATTTATTTGCACTTAAAAATATAATTTCTAAGATGACATCTGTTTTCAAAAACATCCTAATGGTAAAAACAGGCTACAGGAATTGTTGTCATCATGTTGAAATTTTAGATTTTATATTAGCATTAGCTTAAAAATCATAGACAATAACATTAACACAAAATCAGCAAGAGAACACTCATTGGGAACAGTTTTTATGTTAAAAATATCAGAGGTTCACAGTTTTCTTCTTTTTTCTTGACTTACATTGATAAAATGCTTTGATAGCTACAATCAATTTCACCTTCTAGTACCAGATCCAATGCCTCCTTGATCAGCAGATGGATGTTACTAACACATTCATTTTATATAGAACTCACACATATTCAGTTTCTAAAAATGTTTTGCTCTGCAAAACTGTGACTGCTGAGAGTGGGAAAGATTGGAGACTAAAATGTAATGAGAAGAGAAAAAGATAAAATGCTGACAATTTTTACTAACAGAACATTAAATTATAAAGTACATACAGGTAGCTTTTATGATTCAACAAGAAACTTCACATTAGTTTACAAAGTGCTATGGACTCTAATTTTATTTTTGTTTAATCCAAACAAAAGTGAAAACCACACATTATCAAAGAATTCTGAACTCCTTCTACATGTCAAGTTAACAGAGGTTTTGAGGTGGGCAGACCACAAGACAGGTTTATTTTGTATGTTTTAAGGCAAAGCAAAATCTCCCAAATGAAACATCTACAAAATACATTTGCTTTGAGAATAAATTTCAGTAATAAAAAAATACTTCTCATTTATTAAATATACATATTTGCCTTTACATTTGATTTAGCAATGTGAATCAAAAAATGCAAGTGTTCTGTGAACATCTGCAAATCAATATTTTTAAACACCAATACAGAAATGAGTCAGTTTTCATTCAGGTGTTTGGATGTTAACAGTCAGCAAAAGAAAAAAAAAAATAGACTACTTATGGAATTTTCCCTAACACAATATGAGAATGCAACATATTTTTGAGAATTAAGTAATTTTTCTGGACCATACATATCAGTGAAACACATATGTTCTCCTTCTGCAAATATTAATTAAAGAGAACCCAACAGTGCTTAAACCATTAAATTTAACCAACAGCCTAAGATTTAAAATGTTTACCATAATCTCTGTTTATGTAAATTATTTTCTTAAAGAAAAAACAAAACACTCTATAGAACATAACTGTCTACTTTGAAGAATAAATCACTTTGGGGAAAAAATGTGAATAAAAGCTGAACTCGGCCAGGCATGATGGCTCACGCCTGTAATCCCAGCACTTTGGGAGGCTGAAGTGGGCGGATCACCTGAGGTCAGGAGTTCGAGACCAGCCTGACCAACATGGAGATACCCTGTCTCTACTAAAAATACAAAAATTAGCCGGGTGTGATGGCACATGCCTGTAATCCCAGCTACTTGGGAGCCTGAGGCAGGAGAATTGCTTGAACCCAGGAGGCAGAGGTTGTGGTAAGCCAAGATCGTGCCATTAAACTCCAGCCTGGGCAACAAGAGCAAACTCTGTCTCAGGGAAAAAAAGAAAAAAAAAGGGTGAACTCATTTATTATCCCCAAAATTGCTACCTGGACGTTTGTCTACATTAAAAATAGGAATGACTTAAAATGTCTACATGATTTCCAAAGCAAAGAGTGTCATACCTTCAAATTGATTAAGACCATTGTATTAGTCCATTCTCACACTGCTATGAAGAAATATCTGAGACTGGATAATTTATTTAAAAAAGAGGTATAATTGACTCACAATTCTGCATGGCTGAGAAGGCCTCAGGAAACTTAGAATAATGGCGGAAGGCAAAGGGAAAGAAAGGCACCTTCTTCTTCACAGGGCGGCAGGAAAGAGAAGTGCTGAGCAAAGGGGGAAAAGCCCCTTATAAAACCATCAAATCTCGTGAGAACTCAATCACTATCATGAGAATAGCATGGGGAAAACTGCCCCCATGATTCAGTCACCTCCCACTGGGTCCCTCCCATGTGGGGATTATGGGAACTACAATTCAATAAGAGATTTGGGTAGAGACACAACCAAACCATATCAACCACACAGCACTTCAAAATAATACAATTCCTTTAAAAATGAAATAATATTCTTTATTATACTTATTTTTTATTCAAAGTTTTTGGCTACAAGTCTGCTACACTGAGACCAATTTATTTCTTTCCCAAATGGTGCCCAACAGACTACCAATAATTAAAACTAATTTACTAGAAAATACTAAGCAGCAATAAAACTGAAGGTGTCACTGGGATATGCCAGCACCCCTTAAATTTGTTGTTTAAATTAGTGTTTCTAAAAACTATGGCATTAATATACAAGGTATATTGTATGTTAATATTCAACAAGTTTCACATAATGAAGTTTGTTATTAAAGTGCCTTAATTTTCCCTATTAAATATCCAATCTGTAGGCATTCTTTTCAGTTAAATACAGTGAGCCAGCTGCTTTGATTTTTCCATGTGATGTCCTGTTACAGTATTACTGTGCTAAACACATATCATGGGTACATTGTAAGCAGAAGGGAATGGGGTGTAGACTTCCTCTGAAGCTAGATCCACCTATCTCCTCTGGATAATTCAGGCCAAGAACCTGCTCAGCCATCTCAGTCCACTAAACAGTCCTTGCATCATTTCTTTCTGCAGTTATGAAGTTACAAAATGACTAGAATGGACTTCAACAGTCCTCTAAGAGGACAGTCTGTCAAGATCAGATAGCAGCTGCTCAACATAAAAGATATCTTCCCTGATGATAAATTCTGATGTGTCCTTTTCATTACATTTCAAGTTCAACATTTCAAAATAACTAAATCTAACAGCAAATGTGTAAAAGACAAAACTACCAACAATAGGCAGCAGAAACAAGCAATCTAACACTTAAAGACAAAAATATGTAAATAACTGGACTCGGGGAGGAAGGACTAGGATAAGAAATCCTGCATTTCTTTGGAAAGAACTGTATAAAACAATGTCTATTTATTATTTGTAAGTAGTTTTGTATATAGCTATCTATAGATACATGTATCTTATGAAGAAATATCTGAAGAGATTTAAAATGTCTTAATTATATATATGCATATCACTTAGGTATCATACACATTCAAAAATAAATTATTCTCTAAATGGGTAACATGTGTCCACAAACCTTTATTTTATATATATATATATATATATATATATATATATATATATATATATATTTTTTTTTTTTTTTTTTTTTTTTTTGAGACAGGGTCTCACTCTGTCACCTGGGGTGGAGTGCAGTGGCATGATCTTAGCTCACTGTAGCCTCAAACTCCTGGGATCAAGCAATTATCCCACCTAAGTCTCCCTAGTAGCTAGGACTACAAGTGCACTCCACCATGCACGGCTCATTTTTTTTTTTTTTTTTTTTTTTGTAAAGACAGGTTCTCACTGTATTGCCCAGGCTGGCCTCAAACCCCTGGTCCCAAGTGACGCCCCCCAACTTTGGCTTCCCAAAGTTTTAGGATTACAGGCGTGAGCCACCATTGCCAGCCTCTAAAAACCTTTAAATAGTAATACTGGCCTAGTTGAGAAAGTCAGTGTTGAAACATTAATAACAAAGCAATGGAAAAGATTCCACTAGATTTCTCAGAATAATTTTATCTTAGAAAATATTGGGCCAGGCATGGTGGCTCACGCCTGTAATCCCAGCACTTTGGGAGGCCAAGGCGGCCAGATCACCTGAAGTTGGGAGTTCGAGACCAGACTGACCAACATGGAGAAACCCCATCTCTACTAAAAATACAAAATTAGCTGGGCATGGTGGCACATGCCTGTAATCCCAGCTACTTGGGAGGCTGAGGCAGGAGAATTGCTTGAACCTGGGAGGCAGAGGTTGCAGTGAGCCTAGATCGTGCAATTGCACTCCAGCCTGGGCAACAAGAGCGAAACTCTGTCTCAAAAAATATATATATTAATCATGAAATCTATCTTCTCAAAGATGTGAATCACTCTTCTATAACTCTAACAACTGTACTTTGTAAAAAAGAATGTCTGTAAAATCAAATTAAAATCATCATCTCAAAAATAAAATTTCTTAATCTAGTACATAAGGAGTTTGGCGGAGGGAGGGCAGAATAATGTTCAAATATGCCAATGACACTGACCATCTGCAGATAAACACGATCAAATGAAAGTTTAAGGGCACTTTAAATAGAAAAAGCAAACTTCACAGATATGTATGTGAAGCACAAATCAGGTGATCATAGTAGACAGCAAGTAAAAGCCAGAACTCCGCAAAGCAGGCTATTGGGAGGCCTTTAAGAAGTGCAGCACGTATGAGTGAATGCTTCCTCAGCATTCAGCACCATTCCCACATGTGCTGTAAGCCATTCCGGGTGCTCCGCAGCCATGTGTGGCGAGGGGCTACTGTACTGGACAGAGCAAGACTGAGGGGAAACAACACGGTTTACAGGCTCATGAGGGCAAGGTAATTTTCTAAGATCCATTCCAGGCCCAAGGAATCACAAAATCTTAGGGTATTAAAACATCACTGGAGTCTTCGTCAACTCATTTTAACTAAATGTATTTGAATTTAAGATTTCTAAATATGCAGAGTATAAATACAAAAAAAAAAAACAGAAATGGAGGGAAATGAATGAAGCATTAGATAATTCCAGAAGATTTTCCAGTTAGCCACAAAGATCTTTTTAAAAATTATTTTTAATGTCCAAGCTGGAGGAAAACCCTCCTATTTATGAAGATCAACAGACTAGACTCACTTTAAAAAGGAGTGGATCACGAGTTCAGGAGATCGAGACCATCCTGGCTAACACGGTGAAACCCCGTCTCTACTCAAAATACAAAAAATTAGCCAGGCGTGGTGGCGGGCGCCTGTAGTCCCAGCTACTCGGGAGGCTGAGGCAGGAGAATGGCGTGAACCTGGGAGGAGGAGCTTGCAGTGAGCAGAGATTACGCCACTGCACTCCAGCCTGGGTGACAGAGCGAGACTCTGTCTCAATAAAATAATATTAAATTAAAATAAAATAAAAGGAGTGGAAAGTATTAACACCGGGGATTGTTAGTGTCTATCACAACTACCTCTAATAGTAGCTTTGAAAGAGAAAACATTCACTTTTATTTGAAATGGTAGGGGGGGAGCATTTTTTCTTTACACACTCCCTGCTGATTTGAAGCCCTAATAAAAGAATCATAGAGTGACCTCAAAGTTCAACTAGTCTAAGCTTGCAGGACAGGCAGAAATGACAGTCACATTAGCCCTGCTTAAACTCACCCCTTTGCAGAAGAACTGGTTATTGATTTTAGACTGTTGGGTTTTCCGATAATGAAAAATCTTCCTCGGCACTGATTAATCTGGAATTCAGCTTCCTACAGCCTTTATCCACTTGTCTCATTTCTGCCCTCTGAGGATAAAGACAGGATCAATGGACTTAATTTTCCTATATAACTTGGAAACTTCTTGTATCAGGGAGCATAGAAAACATTAACATATATGTCCAGATAAGAGCTGATACAGTTCACCTTTCATTCCTTGTCAGGGGGAAATCATGCCTTCCTTGTCACCATTCCTACAAAGCACAAAGTTACTTAAATTTATACAGCACCAATCAGAACCCTGCCTCTCCATTAAGGAAAAAAAAAAGGCAATTATGCCAGGAACTACATGAATTGCACTGTCAGACACAATGGCAACCCAACCCCATCATAAATGCCCCTCAAAAAACTAGATAAAACTGTCACTTCAGTATTCATTCTTCACAGAACACCCTAATGACTCCAAAATGCAATATTAGCTGATGCCCAAGAAGTTGGTGCCACTACAATATCTTGAACATAGCAGGAAACATAAATATTTGTAGCATTTTGATATTACAGTACTAAAAGATCCACTGGATATACTGTCCATAGTATCAGGTAACTGCATAAAGAATAGGAAACAAAAATAAAACAAAATATAAATAACAAAAAAGATTTTTAAATGGAGATGAATTTCTTTTATATTTGTTTAGTAATGCAGAGTTAAAATAAAAATGGCCACTCTAAGCTTAAAACTGTTTCATTTTATCCCCAAAAGAGAATTTGTTACTGACTTGCAGCACTGACTTGCAGCTTCTCACAGTAACAATGTAAGAATATATGCTCAGTATACCCACAGTCACAATGTGAGTGTGCGCTTTCAAAAATAATGTTACCAAAGCTCTTCTAAGAGCTTTTTTCCAAAAAGCTTTTTTTGGAAAACTTTTTTCCAAAGCTATACACAAATAATTTTTAATGTATTTTCCACTACTAATTATAATGACAGTTAATTTTATTTTCTATTTTGTCTGTACCTAAAGTTGTATTACTAATAACACATTGATATCTACCGCCATTGATATCTATCTTTCATTGGATATACATCCTCAGTGTTGGTCAAGAATCAGTACCTTGAAGAAAACAAGCCACACACTGCTTGATACAGGTCCATGTGGCAGGGAACGGCAGGAGCAGGTTCATATAACCTGGGTAGCCTACTGTCAACATCAAACACATGAATACACAGTAAGGTATTTGAATTTCTACACTTCTTTCATTTTACAACACAAACCACAGTATCAGCCAATACTTTTGTGTTGATACTGTAATCCAGACATAAAAAACCATAATTATTATAATAATTCATACTTTTGTATAGCCTTTTACAGTTTACAAAAAGCTATCATATGTTTTATCTAATTGAGCCCTCACAAGTACCAAATACCACACCGCTATCCATAGTGGGGCAACTGAACCCCTGAAAAGCTGAGCTACGTACTCCGTGTCATGGAACTATTAACCCACAGAGATGAACTCGTGACTCCCAATATGTGGCTCCTTCTGTTAAACTGCAGAGGCTTCTATGACAAGTTATTCTTCAAAATGGAAATAGAAATAAGGCCCAGATTCATCAACTCATAAATTGTCTTTTCTCACTCTGGATGCCACAACACATACATGTGGGGAGTTGGGGGCAATGATGATGATTGAAAAATAAAACACTCCAAGTGGGAATGGTTTGCATTCGACATTTTAAAGTCATTTGTTGAAAATAAATACCTAATACATAGACTCACAGTTATAAAACTGAAAAAGACCTTGAAAGTCATCTGTTCTTTAATCTTGATTTCACAGAAGAAAATGTGGTGACACACAGGGCACAGTGGACTCCCTAAAGGTCTCCTCACTAATCGCTAATGGGTAGCAGAACCAGGACCATATGGAGTGTCAAGCTCTCTTCTGCTCTATGCCCTGATTCTGTTTCCCAACTAAAGGACTAAGCAAGGTCCAGATTATCTACAAGGAGACATCACAGTGCTAGAGAGATTAGAAAACTAGGTCTTACCAACATCTTAAGTGTAAAAATTATTGATATTTTACATATCATTTAAAGCAGCAGGAAATTTACTTCCTAGAAGAAAAATAATCCATGTATGTATTTTAGGCTCTCATTGCTAAGGTTAAGAAAAATTCCTAAAATATGACACTTCCTTCCCTTTAGATACACAGGGGTTTTGAATTTTGTTATTATAATAGACTTAAGTACATTCAAAATCAGTCTCTCCAAAACGTCACCACCTTTAATCAAATGAAGAGTAAAAAACCACTAACTGAATACTGCATCATCCTTTATAGAGAAAGGTCTCTTCAACCCATGAAGTACATTATATCGATCCGTGTTCATGTTCTCAGACTGTCTTTTTCAGAAGTCTTCTGAAGGTCACTGTTAAGCTATTTTAAATGCAATGATATTTATTTATCTTCTGAAATTTAAATACAGGCAACAAAATATCTCTGAAGTTTAACTACCCAACAAATCCAAAATTGGCTCAACTTGTAAGCTATTTGCTAAACAATATTAATTTTCACATTAAAAAAATAAATAATCTAATTAGACTATTGCATCTGCAAGTCTTTCAAAAGACTTCTTCGCCCCCTAATTCAAATAATATGAAATTCTTTTGGGGGAGGCAAAATATAAGAATTTTCTAGATAATATAGAATGCCATTCCATAGGAAAAAAAATTATGTAGACCAACAGTAAATCTCTCAGATGATAGAAAATATTGACCAAAAAAACTGTTTTTTTGTCTCTTATTCACAAGATCATTTTTCCACTTTAATATAAGGTTGAATCTATAGCAGATGCCGATGCTAATTGAGGAAAAATTCCATCCTTCAAGTTCTGATCAATCTGAGGAAGGTTTTCTCCAGAGGTGAAGAGCTGCCTGAATTCTGAAGTGTAGTCTGGACTCCAGGGAGTAATCTTTGTAGTTGTTCCTGAAGACAATAACAATAAAATTGTACAGTCAAAATTTCCTTATATACCAGGTACCACCACTCTCCCATTCCTCTCTCTGATCTACTTACTTACTTTCAAACTCTAATATACATAACCGTAGATCTTAGTAAAATGCAGATTCTGGTTCTGTTGGGGGGTTTTGGGGGGAACTGCAATAATCTGCATTTCTAGAAGCTTCCTGGTGGTCATCTAAAGGTCATACTTTGAGTAGCAAGGTTCTGCTTAATTACCAAATCATTCACAAGCATAGCAAGAAGTTGTGAGAAGGGCTGTACAAATTTTGTGAACTAGTCCTAAATAATTAGACTTCCTTTTTTAAATTGGAAAATTTTAAGGTAGGTGCATATAAACATGGTTAGCATGATCACATGATCGATCACTCAAGAAACTCAAATGAAACAACTGCAACAAAGGCAGCAGAATTACTTAATGACGTCAAAATTACTTATTCCAATTCTCACATGTAAATATCAATGGTTTGGCCAATAATTACATAAGAATTAGGCCAATGTCTTTAAAGGGGGCCATAGAAATCCAAAGATTATTTAAAACCTGCCTAAGAGCATTTATGTTGACCTCCCTTTACCAGAATTGTTAAGAATCAGAAAAATGGAATACTTTTACATACTGCCTTGGCCCATGGGTGAGCTATAACTGCTTTCTTTACAGTGGCACTTATTTCTATAGCCCTTCATTTTGAACAGGTATAAGGGCTACTCACTGGTAATCTTGATGTGGGTTAGTAAAATGTATTATTCATAAACTAAAATCAATATGTTACTGGAGTTTACCGACAGATGGAATTGAGTATTTTCCTAAATGCCACCAATGTGGGCAACTTTGCAAAGCTCCTAATGCATAAAGGGAAAGTGCAGATAATAGTCTTGGAATTACTGGGAAGTATCTTTATGTTTGAATTGTCAGTATTGTCTTGAGTTAGTGGAGGCTTTTCATTGCTTTTTAGCAGTGAGTTACTAGTCTTTTATTTTTATCTTATAAAGTTGCCTTATTATACATTGTATATTCAAATAATGAATATTTGGAACAGCAGCATTTATAATCCATAATTTTCCAATAGCTGGATTTGAAGATATCTATATCTAACACATGAAATATTGGTCATACTCCCAACAAATTAACTTTAAAAGCAACTTGCTCTCATATCACCTATATATAAATATTTTAAGGAAGCCCTTCTTGGCTCTACCATGCCCGTAAAGCTTTTGCCCCATTACGATGTTCTATTCACAGCAAACATCCTAAAAGAGTTGCCTAAAGTAGCGGACTCCATTTTGTTTGTCACCTCATTTGTCAAGGTCACCAATGATACTCATGCTGCCAAATTCAGCAGCCACTTTTCTGGTCTTAACTTGTTTGACCTCTTAGTTGCTGCCCTCATAACTGACCATGCTCTTCTTTTTGAAACACTATTTGGTTGGCTTTCCTAGATGTCTTCCTAACTCTCTTAATCTTCTTAATCTTATCATTTAATGTCTAAGAAGATGGCATATCCCAGACATTGTGCTAGACCTCTTTCTCTAGCTATATAACATTCACAAAATGACTTCATCACACGCCATTGCTTTAAATATTACTGTCTCTGTGCTGTTGACTGCAATCTCTACATTCAGCCCTGACCTTATCACTGAACTTCATGCTAAGTATGAACGCCAACTTGCCATCTACCTAATATGAGTACCTAATAGCCATCTTAAAGAATCATGGTCTGAACAGAAGTATGTTTCGTTCTCTCCCCAAATACATTCTTCTAAGTATTCCCCAGCACAGCAGAAAGCATCATCATTGACCCAGTGGCTCAACCTCCTCAATGCAGATGTTCACTAACTGTGACTTCTGTCAGGAATGCTCCCTACCTAGTTGGTTGATTTCTGATGACTGATCTCAAGATTGGCTTTAATTATGCAAATCTCAGCTACAATATCATTTCCCCAAGGAAATATTTCAGAATCAATCTATCCTGAAGTAACACCCAGGCACCATGTATCATATTATAAATCTCAGCAAACATATACCACTGATATTTTTCTTGTCTATTTAGTATCTCCCTCTGGCTAACAGAGCAGAAGTATTGCCTGCTTAGTTTATAGTTGTCTCTCTAAAGCCTTTACTAGTAGTGTCTGACACATAATAGGTGCTCAGTGAATAACTGCTGAATTTGAATAAATGGACAAATCACTGTTTATGACCTAGAGCTAGTCTGGCATTCTTTCTCTACTGCAGAAAGTGTTCAAGGCAAACAGGCCACAGGGTTTTTGCCTTACCTAAGTGATCCATGACCACAGGTCTAAAAGCTATTGTCTACCAGAATTGATAAAAATACTTTGAAACTGCCGCAATAAACAGAAAAAACAGAGTCTGGGTAAGATCTGCAAGCTTCACAAGATCAATGGCTCTTCAAGGAAATAATAGGTATGGCTGAATACAATGAAGGTTGGCAAACTAGGACCCAAGGGCCAAATCTAAACATACCCATCTGTTTACATATTACCTTCTATGACTTCTTTTGATATAATGGAGTAGTTGCAATGGAGACTTTATGCTATAAAGCTAAAAATATTTACTATCTAGCCATTTACACAAAAAGCTGGCCAACCCCTGATATAGAATAAAATAAGTTAGAAATCTTTCAAATAGATGCCCATAATCATATCTGTAAACAGTCACAGGGTGAGGCAGTAAGAGGGTTGGAAACAGCACAATTACAGCAAAAGCCATGAGCATAAATCAACCAGAAGTTAGCAAAAGTAGCATTATTACTAATTTGACATTGTTAATTGTTAAGTATATAATGTTACTGCTGTTGTTAGAGCAGTACTGACATTTCTGACTCCATAACAATCAAGGAAAAGCTGCCTTCAACACTTACCTTGCAGTTTCTAGGAACTTTATGGCCTTGTCAATTTCCCCCTGGCTTTTATACAAAGATGCCAATTCAAATAGAGTGAACGGCACTAGGTAGTGGTCATACTTCAGTAGCTTTTCACTGAAAGAGCAGAGGAAAATCAAGTAAATCTTAACAGAACAAGAAATACACATTTTTCTAAATATATATTATTCCCATTCTTCAGAAAACATGTGCAGCACTAAGTCTATTATCATAGAAAGGCGGCCATTGTATAGTTATGGAACTCATTAAACTATGGCAATAAATAATGTTCTTTTCCTATATTAATCTTTTATTCCTTAATGTAAACCCAGCACTGATGGTTGATCGCTGTCTCTTAAGTAAATCAGCGCATACGGATCTTTAAAGATTAACCCTAGAAATGGCAAGATCATCTTTCTGAACACAAATGTGTTCAGAAAATGACTCCATTTAGAAATAAGAAAGTTGTATTATTTTTAAACTAAGGTTCAACTCCCTTTGTATTTTAAAGTCTTATAATACTTTAAAAGGCCAATAAAGAAATGGTCAACACTTCTGTTTTCAGCACTATTAGGAGAACTCTCTGGTTATAAAACATGTAAAAGCAATGAAAAAAAATACAACTAACACCATTTCAAATGCATAGCTTAGCTCACCAGAACATAAGAAAAAACCCTCAAGTGCCAAAAACAGCTAGAATTGAAAAAGTGAGACTCTACATATGTGGGATGATGCTGAATGAGCCCTGTGGTCTACCTCCAACTGAGTCAAGGGCTTTGTATCCTAATATCCATGCAGGAGATGAGGCCTTGGGCCCACAGAAAGCAGGGAGCTGAAACTGAGACCTCTATTTAAAGCTGGGATCCTTACAGGACTACTCCTTAAGACAAAGGCAGGTTAGAACAAACCCACTCACTGGCAAAGGAGGAAGACAAAGACAGTTGTCTCCTTGGCCAGCACTTTCAATGAGAAGAAAAAAGAATTCCTTAGGAAATCAATAACCAATAGGCCTGCCCACATTGAATGTGCAATTCAAATTTACATTGTCTAAATGATCCAAGAAGTAAGCAATGAAATTAACATGAAAGAGGCCCTGGGCAGAAAAAACCTTTAGGGTACCTGACAGAAATAAAATGCAAAATCACTGTAGAGCAACTCTTCTTCAGTATAGCCTCATGGGAATCTCAAGAAAAAACTCCAATGAAGGTGAGTTCACAATCCACAATTATAAAGCACATGAGCAAACAATTCACTATGAGATTCACATACAAAAAAACAGCACAATAGGTCATCCTTTTGATCATCCTTTTAATCCTTATAGAAACACTAATAAAATAGAATTCAATAGATATTTCTTTAACATGTTTACTAATTACAGAATATTACTAAAGACAGTACATTTGGGAAGTAGATATTTTCTCTTTATTCTTACAGGGGCACAAGTCCTCCTATATTCCCATCAATACTGTCAGGAAGAAGGGGATCAGGTGGCCACGGATGGAAAGGCACATGACACAGAGCACAGGATGTCCACCAGCAGTCTATAGCTGTGATTGTTTTGGCTTGCAGAATATTTTCAAAAAATTTGAGCCAATATTTTAAAATCAGGTGATTTTACATAATATCCAGATTCCAGGCTTCTCGTGAAAAATGGTAGGGATTATTGCTATTGGGCCCACACTGTGCAAAGCAATAATCAAATAGAGCTGAGGAGTGTGGCTACACTCTTCAGAGAAAACACCCTGACCTATAGAGCCTACCAATCCTATTCCTGCCACCACTCAGCCGGCCTTATTAAGTAAGGTTACATATCTGGCCCCTGTAAATACTGCATTTGTGATACAGAGAAAAGGGCCAGGCATCAGTACCCTGATTCAACTCTATGGTTAGTAATGGAGCAGGACATCATCATCAATGCTACTGAGGGGGAATAAAACCAGAACAAAACTCAATTATATACAGAAGAACTGCCCTTTGCCAAAAGAGAGACAGAGTGCTCATCACATGCCTCTCTTTACTGCCAAATTATTATCACGGTGATGGCAAGTCTGTTTACTCAGCTCTGAATCCTTAGAATCCAGCACAGTCTCTGGCATATAGTGGGTGCTCAAATATCCATGGAATAAATGAATGGACAAATAAATGTATGAATTAAATTAGTATCAGAAGCCAGGCATAGTAGTGCACACTTGTAGTCCCAGCTACTCAAGAGGCTAAGCTGGGAGTATCTCTTAAGCTCAGGAGTTCCAGGCTGCAGTGAGCCATGATTGTACTACTTGCACTCCAGTCTGGACAACAAGGAAAGTCTCCCATCTCTTAAAAAAAAAGAAAAGAAAAGAAAAACTAAAGAAATATGTAAAAAACAAAAAAATTAATGAGTAGCAGAGATTCAGTATGATGCTGCCAGAGTTTGGCTAGACACCTGTTAGTTGAGCTATAAATACAGTTTTTGTAAGTCATCTTTAAACATCAAGTAGAAATACATAAAGTCATGTTCCACCCAGACCATAATTTTGTTCACGAGGAAGAACAACAACAACACACTACTGGATTTTCTTTCTGGTAACACCAAGTAAGAGTTTAGCAGTAAGAGATAAAAGCATTTTGCATCACTTTCTCACAGCAATTCCCCAGAAACCACAATTTGCACTTGGGCTGGTTTTATTGTTTGGTCTTACCTTTCCACAACATGATTGTAACATAGTTCAGCTTGCAAGGGCCGCTGTAAGTTCTTGAGGCAACATCCTTTAAGTAACTTCACTAAGCACTCATCATCCACAGAGAAGCTGTTAAAATCTTAAAACAAAAAACATACAAAGAAAACACACAAAGAAAAATACTTTTTAAGATCTTTTTTTTTTTTTTTTTTGAGACGGACTCTCGCTCTCTCACCCAGGCTGGAGTGCAGTGGCGCAATCTCGGCTCACTGCAAGCTCCGTCTCCCGGGTTCACGCCATTCTCCTGCCTCAGCCTCCCGAGTAGCTGGGACTACAGGTGCCCACCACCACGCCCGGCTAATTTTTTGTATTTTTAGTAGAGATGGGGTTTCACCGTGTTAGCCAGGATGGTCTCGATCTCCTGACCTCATGATCCACCCACCTCGGCCTCCCAGAGTGCTGGGATTACAGGCGTGAGCCACCGTGCCCGGCCTTAAGATCTTAATTAAGAGAAAGAACAAAGTTTCAGAGGGATCATTTACAAATAAGGAAAACTTTTTAGCATTTGTTATGCCTCACTAAATAAAATACAATGAAATTATTTTAAATGAAAAGAACTGGGCACAGTGGCTCACATCTGTAATCCCAATGCTTTGGGAGGCCAAGGTGGGAAGCTCACTTGAGCCCAGGAGTTCAGGACCAGCCTGGGCAATACAATGAGACCCCGTCTCTACAAAAAAAAATTTTTTTAATTACTGGGCATGATGGCACATGCCTGTAGTCCCAGCTACTCAGAGATAGAGGCAGGAAGATCATTTGAGCCCAGCAGTTGGAGGCTGCAGTGAGCTATGATGGCGCCACTGCACTGCAGCCTGGGTGAAAGAGCAAGACCCCATCTGATATACACATACATTCCTACAGTGCTGAATTTACTATATCAGAACATCATTTTATTAAGGAGTTCACTCTATTCACTTTAAAATATTCTTCAGGTGGTCACGCTCTGAGCTTTGTGACCTTAGATACAACAACCGAAAATCTGAGCTCTAAATAAAGAGCTTTATTAATTCTATAAAAGGTAAAGCCATGAGGAACAAGAAGGCTGCCTCCTCCTGTTGTTTGGCTTCTGTGTTGGCTTCAATACAGGAGAGGATAACACTTCCATATGGAGAAGCAGATGGCCTTATCCCCATTAAAAATTCAGGAAGTAGAATACCCTCTCCAGATCATTATGTTTACAACTTATCAATTCTCCCAGGTTGTGTTCTTTTTGGGGAAAACTATGCCATAAGATTTAACAAAACGGTTCTGAAGTACATGAAAGGCACCTAAAATCTCCACAAACTTCTAACTGCTTGAGGAAAATGTCAAGGATTTTTTCACCACTTTTTCCCTTTTGAAAATGCTCTCTGCCTTCTACAGCCCAAGACAAATGTGTGTTAAACAGAAGGAACCATATTACGTGTGACATCTATCTGACAAAGGTAGCCATTCCACATTTACACTTTTGAAATTTTTTTGCAAGTTACAGGCAAGTACAACGTTATTCCAAGACAGAACGACAATTTACACATTTCAGGCTGTGACAGTAGAGAGGACGGCAGTAAAGGGAACATACGAGGCCCTGGGAGTCCCTCCTATTGAAATCCTCCTGCTTTCAGCACAAACCTCAGAAATCATCATTAACACATGCTGGCAGTTAAGATGGTAAACCACTTGACTATGGAGATTAACAATGCTACTTAACCAACCAGAAAGGGGTTACTTCTTAGGTGCTGAAAACTGAATATTCACCTCTAACTTTCAAGCTCTGATAGGTCATTCACCCAGAAAACCACGGGTATCAATAACACATTACCTTTTCTATTATTTATTTAGAATCATTTTTCTACCAAAATAAAATTCTATCCATTGCTTTTAATCACGGATGTTAAAACAGACATTCAAGAAGTAATATCTTTTAGGACCTAGAACCAAAACCAAAGGGTCCATATTGGATGCTAGCTTGTAGTATCATTTTTGTGCATTCTACTGAGTTTCCTGTAGCATTGTATCGACAGTTTGTATTATGACAACATTCTGGTGCTCTGTGAATGATGATTTTGTTGAGGAACAGACGTAACATCATGGGAAGTTAAAATACTAGTAAAGCCGCATGTAACTTCTATGACGAACTTGAGTTAGGCATACGGCGACTGGGTTCAAAAATACTATATTCCTCCAAAAACCTTAGATGGCAAAATCATTATTTCCTCCGACTACAGACCATTATCTAGCAGATGATTATTTTCCCTTGAAGTATAAATGCTTTGTCATGATTTTCAACCTCATGAAAGTGTTCATAGATGAACATTTCGACACACAACACACATGTAATATGTTTCCATTTAACATTCAAAGAAAATTACATGATAAAGCTACTAGAGTACAATTTTACGACAAAAGATCCGCTGAACTTTTATGGTGGATAGGCTGAGAAACAGGGAAGTTTGAAGCCCAAACTACAAAAAGTATCTATGCTGAAATTTTTAGAAGCTAGCTGAAATGGCCCCAAGAGAAAAATCTGAAAATAGATTTAGAAAGTAAAAAGTCATAAAGTCAGTATCACTTTCCCTTTTACATAACTCTCATAATGTTTGCTATATAATTTCATTAAGCAAATTAGTCAAAGTGGAACTTCTGGTTACATGTTGAATTTAGTTAGATTTCAAATGAAACACTATTGGAATTAATACCAAATGCTGACTCCAGGGATGTCACCAAATTCTGTTCTGTCTTCAAAGTTCTATCTTTTGTATCAATGGCCAGCATTTAATAACTATGGCCAGAGTATTGCAGAGTAGATCAGTTGTATCCTCTACCATCTTTTACTTTAGACACACTTGCAAAGCTAGGAGAAGCCAATACACATCCAGTTTCCAATAATGGGGGTGGGGGATGGGGTGGAAGATGATGTAACCTCAGGTTTACAACTTCTCCCCATTTTCCAACTTCTCTCCATTTTCCAACTTCTCTCCATTTTCCAATTATGGACTTTTTCTTCCCTGCTCTGAAGGATAGGAGCTTAATTACTAAACCGTCCTAACAGTTCAAGGTGGGAAGGAGAACAGGAGATAATCTTGCATAAAAGAAGTCCTAGAAGAGGTCATCATAAGTTTCACATGAAATATCTGGCAAAGGTGATCTTCAGAAAATAAACTAATTATTTCACCCAGAGAGAGGACACACAAAGCCAAAACTGTAGGTAAGTATGGCATGTCTGTCTGTCTGTCTGTCTCAGTATCCCCCGCCCTGCTTAAATATCTCTAAAGCCTATCATCTCAGCATGTCATTAAGAGAAAAAGGAATGGGTGGAGGAGAGTGACTTGGTTTTCCAAATTTCCACTGCATTTTACTAGCATAGTCTGATAAAATATATTTCCCCTCGAATTTTGCCCCCAACCAATGGGGGGCTGGGGGTGGTGAAGAGCTTGCTCAAATAGACAGTAGGCTGGGCTCCTGGAGTGCCCATCTTTTTACAGTTAACAAAAATGAGTTAACTGTTAAAATGTTTCCCCACCATTCCTGAATTTCTATGCCCTTTACCATGTTTAGCATCACAGAAGTTTTCATTTTACTTATGTGGTTAGAATATTACAAAAGACCATTTCTCTTGGGGTAATACCTAAGTGACTTGGCATTGAAAAGAAATACAACAAAGGCTATCACTTATGGCATGGTTTACCCCTCTTAAAAATACAGAATCAAAAAATGTCAGGGCAAGGAAACAACTTTGGATAGCATCTGGTCCAACACTCCTCCCACTTCACGAGAAAACAGAGGTGTTACCCAGAGTCTGATGGCAGAGCTGGGACTATAAGCCCAGACTGCCTGATTCTGATACTCCTTTTACCACATCAGCTGCTTCCGGTAAACTGAAATGTGGCCTCTAGCACAACCAAATGTAATGGGTAGAATAAATCGTGATAACATTTCACCTTGAAAACTATTCCCTGTGTCTGCAGAAACACACTAATGGTTAGACAGCAATAAGGAGGCATAGAAAGAGTCACAGCAAACTCAACCCAGAGGGAAGTGCACGTTTCCTTGTGCTGCGCTAAAATTCCAATGCTGGGCTTCCTCTCTTCATCTTTTTTGTCATAGTTTTAAGATACAGTTCACATGCCATACAATTCACCCACTGAGAGTAACCATTCAATGGTTTTTAGGATATTCACAGAGTTGTACAGCCATCACCACAGTCAACTGTAGAACACTGTCATCACCTCCCTCCCCAGAAAGCTATCATAACTCCTAACTTCCATACTCCATCCCTAGGCAACCACTCATCTGCTGTCTGTCTTTATAGATTTCCCTATTCTGAGTATCGTGTAAAGGGAATCATATAATATGTGGTCTTTTATGGCTGGCCTGGCCTTTTTCCCTTAGTAAGCTGTTTCCAAGGTTCATGCAGTTGCAGTGTGTATCATTCCTCCCTGCATTTGACTGCAATCACCCAGACCCCTGCAGCTCAAGCTCTTTGTCCTTGGGATGTACACAAATTAATGTTGGCAGATGTGCACAGGGAAAAGACAGGAGAGCAGTCATGGAGCAGAGACAAAGGCTCCTCGGTGCTTACTGTGTATACTTACTTTGACTTTGTAAAGCTGCCTCAGCTTTTTCAACAGTTACTAACAGATTTTCAGAAAGGTCTTTTCTTTTGCTCACTATTGAAAAACCATTCCAGACATACATCATTTCCTAATGAGGAAAAATGAAAACCATTTGCAGTTATATGAGGTTATTCAATGTCCTTTATGATCCCCAAACAATGTTCATGTGTTTTGCTTCGGTTTCTAGGAACCTCAGGACAATATTTACAGATCATTTTCCTTTGCTTTTGCCTTTTATACTGTGAAGCAATTCAGTATATATATTTTTACCAAAAATTTAAACTCATTCATATAACAAATATTTATTAAATATCTACAAGCATTTAATTCTTTTGGAAGGTAATAGAATACAGATACAGAAATAAATATTTTAAACCGATACTATGAATAATAATTCTGTTTAATGTAAACTTTTGTTGTTACTTTTAAGTAAAGAAAAATATTTTTAAATGTCTGCCAGTTGTTTACATAAAATGTTTCCAAGAATATCACTGGATATAAACACTGGAATATTTCACTGGGCTTAGGATCTTTCATACAATTAGAAACATGTGACGGTCCAGTAATGTAATCCAATATGCAGAAAACGTATTCATTTAAAAGCCATATGGCTGAATGACAGCTCCTAAAATGTAAACTAATGATTTCTCATTACAGATTATATTTAATGGGCTACCAGATGAGAATTTTTTTGGATCAAAAGCAAATGTGCTTTTGCTTGAAAATATTTTTCTAATGTTCCTGATAGTGCAGTTCGTATTTTGAAGGGTATGAAGTAAGCAGGGTAATTAGTATCTTCTTGGAAATAAATTTTAAGATATGATAAAAATATAGCTTGAAAAGCCTCTTAGCAGGAGGTAGTGGAAATGAGGACGACACACTCAAGTAGAATGGCAGCAAAGGTATCTTTATCTTATGGCACCGAAAACTAAGATCATGACACTCTACCTTCAATTTTACATGTAACAATTTATTGCTGCTAATAGAGCAAGAGTTCAATTCAATAACAGAATCTTTTTTAAATTGATGATGATCTTTTAAAAATTCCTTTTATTGATAAAATCTTTTTATCAGAAGAGGGCAAGCTCATATCTGAGACTTTATGAAAAACAGGCTTTTGGTAAAATTCCTAGGTACAAAAAAAAAAAAAAAAATCCCAGTACTAACATTTCAAGCCAATTTCCTGTACATTCTACTTCCATAGACCTGGAGAAAGAAGTGCAGGGAGTTAACCTTCCCTATGGTTCTTAACAGTCAAAGCAGGATACACTTACGTATACACTGGTATCTAAGTATTAAGGCAAAGAAAGATGATAGTCTAGAAAATTTTCTGTAGAGTTCTGTGAGACAGAAAAACCTTCCCAGTGCAAATCACTTAATAAAAATGAATCAGGCATGGAGCTAAGGCTCTAATTGGTTAAGCAACAGAAGGCTCTCATGTGAGCTGGGAGAGGGAGATGTTTGGTTATTTGTGTGATTTACACAGTGTTCTTGTTTTTATTTGTGCTCAGACACGATTACAGAGTGGTCATATTTTTGTCTTGCTCCGTCACAGTCACAGAATGGGCCTGTCTGATGCTGAAGTTCTCTGAGTTTGTGTTAGGTAGGAAACACCTGGACCTAGGTGCTAGGCGCAGGCTAACTCCTGTCTGACCCCTGTCAGGGAGGGGCTGCATTGTTCTTTCTCATAGAATGTATAAAAGGCTCCCATAAGTCACTAAGAAAACAATCAACAACCCAATGAAAAATTAGGAAAGAATATGAACAACAATTTACAAAAGAAAAAATAAAAATGAAGAAACACATGAAAAGATGCTCCACCACATCCACAAGGAAATGCAAATTAAAATGGTAAAATACTATCAGTACTTATTTAAATTGGTAGAGCTTTTTTTGAGGGGAATTTAACAATATCTACCAAAATATTAAATGTATATATTCCCTTGAACCAGGAATTCCATTTTTAAAAAACCTTTCACAGAGAATTATATGCACATGTACAAAAAGAGGATATTCATTGCAGTGTATAATTGTAAAAACTGGAAAAATCTAAATAACTGTCAAAGAGGAATGATGAAATAAACTCTGAATTTAAAAAAAAAAAAAAAACTCAGGAAACCCCAGAGTGGAGGACTGCAGACATCGGTTACACTGAACAGCTTTCCTGTGCTGACTATCTATATAAAAACTAAAGCACCAGAAGAGTCATAGTAACTTGATATATTCAGTATTTTTTGAAGAACACTTCATTAAGAAAATTCAAGTTGAAATTGTGTTTTTCACAGAAGCCTTGCCTAAATGGCATAAAGTTTAAGAATGTGAGCTGGAGCTAGAATACAACAGCCAGCAGCCAGTTATGGCTCTTGAGCACTGGAAATACAGCTAGACCAAACTAAGATGTCCTCTAAGTGTAAAAGACACACTAAATTTCTAAGACTTGGTTCAATATGAAAGAATGTATATATCTCATGGATAAGCTTCTATTAATTACATGTTGAAATGACAAAATTTTGCATATACTGGGTTAAAATATATTCTTGAAATTCATTTCTATTTCCTCTTACTTTTTTAATGTGGCTATTAGAAAAGGTAAAATTACATAATGTGGCTTGCATTAGAATTCAACTCAACTTCAATGGAATCAACTTCTTTCTGTCTAAATTTCTTCACTAAAAAATGGGGCTAAGAGTTAACTATACTCAAAAAGTTATAAGAATAAAATGATACGTTTTTAGTAGCCTTTATCGTAATGCCTGGATCATACTAACTAGTCAAAAACCATTAGCTACAGTTTTTATTTATTAATTATTTATTTAGAAATGTTCAACTTACAACAAAACCTACAATGGTTTTTAAATGAGCTAAACTTCATAACCAAATTTAGATATGCTCCCTGCTGCTGTGAGTAGGTAATTTATTTCTAGTACATGAAAAGAAAATAAAAGCAGATACCAGGGCAGGTAAGATGAGCTTCACAGGTGCAGGTAAGGAGGCGGAGTAACGCCGAGCCTTCCTCACAGCAAACTTCTCAGTAGGGATAGATTTCCCGGCAATTCTCTGCTTCAAGCTGTCCACCTGTCTGTGAAGAACCCCAGCCCAGCCCCAGAGAAAGGTCATGGCAACACATACATTATTTGTACCTGTGGTTTTCACAGTGAACTTCACAGACCACCAGCAGCAGCAGCAGCATCACCTGGGAACCTATTTGAAATGCCAATTTTCAGGCCCTACTCTAGACCTACTGAATCAGCAACTCCAGGGCCGGGGCCGAGCAATCTAGATTTTGATAAGCCCTCCAGGTGATTCTGAGGCACACTCAAGATTGAGAACCACTGACTGACACATATTTCTTTCCAGTCAACTTAGCTAATGTCTTAAATCTATCAAACACAGTCCAGGAAATCTAGGTATACAACTGGCGATTTCTACGAGTAAGCAGGAAAGAGTCCAAAGTATTTACTTACGTTGTGGATACTCAGGGAGAGAGAAGAGGGTACACTGGTATATGGCCTATTCCTATTTGCAAGTATTACACAGATCTATAAAATAATATGGCTCAAAAGACAGCCAACAATTAACGTATAATTTAAGAAAATGTTTCCCAAGCACAGGTTGTTTGGGAAATAATCAGCTTAGGATGTGTACCATGTTTAGAAACTTCCTTTTAAAATTCTACAGAATTCCAATTATGAAATTCATAAGCAGGTAAAAATGACAGTAGGATGGGGAGACTACATGTTCCTGGGAGCACTTTCTTATGCATAATTTTATGGATGCATCAAACAAGTTGCTGAGAAAGAATTCAAGGCAATACTCAATTACATCACTGAAAGAAAAAATAACATGAAATAATATGCCTCCAATATGAGTCAAGCTTATGTTAGGTTAATTCCGGGCAAAATATGGAGCTATGGATTTTAAACTACAGTGTCTCATCATTTTTGTTCATTACCGTCAGTGGAAAAGGCAGTGGAAATGTGAGGTGGGGGTCAGAGGAAGGGGTCAGAAGCATGTCTCAGACAGGAACCCTTGTAGTTTAAAGGTAACAGCATCTTTATGAAGAGACCATTCATTGTTAGAACTCTCATTATCCCAACAACCTAGAAGCTATGACAGAGCAAGACCTCAAAGCTTTCTCCTGAAAATAAAAATGATCACATCTTTCACATAAACTGTTTTGATATGGAGAAAACTTAATCTGCAGTGGAAGAAAGAGAAGGAGATTTAAAAGATTTTAATGTATCTTAATACTCCCTTCCATTAATTGTTGTTTCCGTAAAATAAGGAAATGAACTTTACAGTAAAAAGTGACATTTATCATGCCATGGCTTTTACTAATGTTGATGTTGATGCTACAGTTAATATACATGGTTTTTTTTTGGAGACAGAGTCTCACTCTGTCTGTCACCCAGGCTGCAGTGCAATGGCATTATTTCAGCTCACTTGCAACCTCCACCTCCCAGGCTTAAGCAATCCTCCCACCTAAGCTTCCCAAGTAGCTGGGACTACAAGCACATGCCACCAGGCCCAGCTAATTTTTTGTATTTTCAGTAGAGATGAGATTTTGCCCCTTTATACCCTCAGAGCCTTTGTTATAGGAATAGTGTCTCACATACCTGAATAAAGTTACCACATTCTCATTCGTTGCTACTACATCCTCCTCTGGAAGCATACTCAAAATTGCTGCTTTCAAGAACACATAAGTTGCCTTGAGAAAAAGAAGGAGCTTATTACAGAACATCCCTAGGTAAATGACATTTCTACCTTTCAAATCAGGAATGACCAACAAGTCTTCCAGATATAAAATTAGAGGCATTAAAGAAATCAGAGGAAATGAAATCTTATATTCCCTGTTCAAAATGACAACAACTCTTTTCAATTACCCATAATTTAAACCATTTTCCTATTATACAACTACAGCATTCATAGGTGAGAAAGTGGACAGAATGAACAAGAAAAAATTATCTCATTGCCCTCCAACTTCTCATAAGTGGATCAGAATTAATTTTCATTATCATGAAAAGCCTGGGCATCAGGGCACTGGAAAGTCTACACAAAATTATCAACATGATTAAGATTTCATAACTTTATAAGTACAACTCATTTTCAGAGATAAAACCTCATGTTTAAAATAACTCTTTGTTGTTGTTTGAGACAGGGTCTCACTCTGTCACCAGGCTGGAGTGCAGTGGTGTGATCATAGCTCACTGTAGCCTCGAACTCTTGGACTCAAGCTATCCTCCTGCCTCAGCCTCCCACGTAGAAGGGACTATAGACATGTACCACCATGCCTAGCTAATGTTTTTATTTTTTGCAGAGATAAAATCACACCATGTTGCCCTGGCTAGTATCAAACTCCTGACCTCAAGCCATCTTCCTGCCTTAGCCTCCCAAAGGGCTGGGATTACAGGCATGGGCCATCGCATTTGGCCCTGAAAAGAACAGTAGATGGCTTTTAAAGCATGCAATGCTGAGGACAGTACCTATAAATAGTGGGTACTTAAGGCACATTTCCTCCTTTTGTGGATCTCTAAGTTGAGAAAACACTGTGGTATCATACTACTGAGCAAACAGTCCTAAATGAAAATCATCCTGGCCATGTATTAGCAAACAGATGACATTAATGAAAGTATTGCACTTTACCTTGGACCATTTACTCTCTTTGCAAAGCAGATCTGAATAGTAATATGCCTGCATCCAGTTTTGTTGGAAAACATTAATCCACATTAGCTCCCAGTAGCAGAGATGGTGAAACTGTTTCCATTCTTCTTGAACTGAAATGCATTTTTGAAATACTTCTTGTGCCTGTAAATCAAGTACACAAAGTTGATCGTCCAGATATTAGACAAGGAGATAATAACCTAATGGAAAAATACATAAAACACTTAGTACAAAAAGGACAAAATTATCACTCATTAAACCTCTCAATATGATGATATGTTCTTTTCCTTACAGGCAATGATACAGTTAAGTTCTGCCTCTTTCTTTAATTTTGTGAGAGGGCCTTGACACTTTGTAATGTGGGAGTGGGGAGGTTCCATTCCAAGGAAGATATCAAATGCAGAAATCATTTAAGAAAAGACTGACAATAAAGTTAGAACTTCCATAGGACAAAACACTGTAGGCAGAGTTACAGGCAACAGACAGGAAGAAGATGTCACTATCTACGTAACTGGCAAAAGGTTAACTCTTTTATCATTCATCAATTTAATAAAATTCTGTAAGAAAAAGAAAACTCAACAGGAAACAGGCAAAGATGTAAATAGGCAAATCAGAAAAAAATATATAGATGACAGATATACATGTGGATAAATTTGTAAACTAGGCAATATAAACTTAAAAATTAGATTCTCATTTTTAGCCATCACGTAATGTCCTGAGCCAGCAAAGAGCATTGGAAAAAAATATTTTTATATGTTTACTGGAGTTTACACTGGAACAATCTTAAGTGAGGAGGACAATTTGGCTGGATTTATAAAAATGCAACCACCTTTTGGCCCAGGAATTCTACTAATCATAATCTGTCTTCTATAAATGTACCTGTGCACAGAAATATACATACAATGATGTTCACAACAGTTTGTAGTGGCCAAATGTCTATGGACCACTTTAATAGGTATAGTATATCCATCCCATGAAATGAAACCCAGCCATCAAAAAGAATAGGAGACATTTAGGCATACTGATCTGGAAAGAGATCCAAGACATATTGTAAACAGTGAAAAAAAAATCACAGAAAAATACATTTTGATCCCATTTGTGTGGAAAAAATGGTTTGTGAATGTATATACATAAATGGCTCCTTACTTTTCTACTTCTGACCTCGACGCTTCGTTTTTGAGGGAATTCGTTTTTTGAGGGGTCCTTTGATACGGAGCCCACACGTAGTAGACCTGCATGTCACACAGGGGCTAGATTCCAAAGTCAGTGTGTAATGCAGAAATTGGTAACAGTCACAGTTTCTTGAAAATCCCTGAGCTTGTTATTTGGTATATATTACCCTAAAGTGCTTAATGTACTCTATGTATAAATGTAGACTATATTCAGTAATCCACTGCATAGATTTTATATAATAGAATGTATATACAAGTTAAAAGTTTTGGCTTTTTACTTATATATTTTTTTCTTTATTTTTGTCTAGTCCATATAGCCAAGTTTACTTTTGTTGAATAAGTAGGTCACAGCGACTCATGTAGGAGTCGCCATACAGACAACTCCCCCAAATAATTCCCACCTAATAAATTACCTCTTCAAGATTCCCTTTCAGCAACTCTATTCGGGCATGATAAAACAACACGAGTGAGCCCTGCAGAGCAAGGAAGAAAACACACTGTTCAACAGTCAACACTGGCTGATTAATTATGGTTGAAACATACACTTTGAAATACTGAGCGTACATTTGGAAACTGCTGGAGGAAGGGTGCCAGGAGACGCTCTGCTTCCGCAACATTCACTTCTCCTGTACCTAGAAATTTAACAGGAAAAGACTCAGTCTTCATAAGACATGGGGATATTTATAACCAGCTCTCCAAATTTCATTAACATACAGTAAAGACCTACTCATGGAAAAGATGAAAACTATTATTTCATCATTTTTATATCTGGGGAATAAAATAAAGACCAGTCTCACCTATAACTTTAGTTTAAGAAAGCTCTAGGACACACTAATTCTTAAGAATGCAGGTGGCTGTCTCAGATTCCTAATTGGAATTTCTGGTTTTAACAGCAATATTAACTTATTTAGCCCAAAATTTCATTTTCTGCAAAGAAAAAAATCTCATATATGATAAAATAGATCACCTTAATATAGAAATTTTAGCTGAGAACAGATGAAAATTATTTAATGAAAGAAACTACCCTACTCCTTCTGCTAAATGTCACTATGACAAAGGACACTATTTTCTACCTTTATTCAAAAAAAAAAGTAAACAGATATGAACTACTAGCTCTTGCTGATCTTTCTAAATTTTTACTTACTCAGA
Source organism: Homo sapiens (assembly GCF_000001405.40). Taxonomy (NCBI): domain Eukaryota; kingdom Metazoa; phylum Chordata; class Mammalia; order Primates; family Hominidae; genus Homo; species Homo sapiens. Next base: position 15,190,310 of record NC_000009.12, read on the forward strand.
TTAAAAATAATCAACTTTATGTTTTGTCTTGTTTTGTTTTTTTTAATTTAGAGACAGGATCTCGCTCTGTGGCCCAGGCTGGATCCAGTGCAGTGACGTGATCATAGCTCACCGCAGCCTCAAACTCCTGGGTTCAACTGATCCTCCCACCTCAGCCTCCCAAGTAGTTGGGATTACAGGTGTAACACACCATGTCTGGCCAAGACAATCAATGTTCAATGAAACAATCTAATCCAGATCTTACCAAGTATTAGGGAGATGTAAGTATGAAAAGCTAAGATGGTTAAGCAGCACAGTGCAGACCTCATGCTCCTTCCTGAAGCACCTTCACGTAACTGCAGGAGGCCCAACTCCTATGGGAATTAAATGCATTTTTAGAAAGAGAACAAGACTGGAAAATCATATTCAGAAACTTTTTAAACATTTTTATATATTAGGGGGGTTACAAGTACAGATTTCATATATTACGCTGTGGTGAAGTCTGGGCTTTTAGTGTCCCTATCACCGCAAGAGTGAACATCATACTCAACAGGTAGTTTTTCAACCCTCTCTTCCCCCACCCCTCCCATCTTTGGTCAACTATTAAGAAAGCATAGGAAACCACGTGAGAGTAATAAGATCTAGCAAGAAGCAATATTAGCAACACATAATTTTTCATCCAAGAATTTGGATAACAAGGGTGAACATTTTTAACTTTCATCAGAAAAACTATGTCTAAGTCCTGAAAAACATGATCAAGAATCAAAGGCTTATTTTCTGTCCTACAAACAAATTGCCAATAATTATCAAGGTAGTTATGCAGACATGTTGCATTGCCCTCATGTTCAATAAATACTGTCTTATCTTCCCTGTCAAAATTAACATAAAATTAAATTTGTACCCTATTCCCAGAAAATCCAATAAATTCTAGTAGTCTGATAATCCTTGCTGGTAAAAGGGACAGCATCTGTAAGAAAAAAATATACAGTGTACTTATGTGTTAGTGTTTCTAACTGCAAACAAATCTAAACTAACAACTTACAGTTTTAATGCTTCAATAACATGAGAAATTGGGAACAAGTTTTAACCACCAGATATTTCTGTTACCACATACTGTAACAATCATTTATGAATTAATTTCATTTAGCTAAGACAAGGAACCTTTAAAAAGTTTTTTTTAAGCCTGGTCTTTCCAGGGTTCTCTATAGAATACTGGGACCTTTGATGTGGTGTGATGAAGTGACAAGAAGGTAACCCCTCAAAGCCCACATCCAGGCAAGGTTTCTTAGTTTCCTTTCCCAGAAGCAAAAATCAGTCATAGTCTGTGTGATGTGTAGACACCACCCAGAAGTGGACAGCTGCAGCACTACCACTTCTCTCTGGGATATTCCTGAAGGACAGTGGTGAGGGAATATCCTTCCAGTGGGCAGAACCCTGGGCAGTGCACCTGGTTATGCACTATGCTTGAAAGGAGAAATGGCCAGATGTGCAATTATATGCTGATTCAGGGGATGTAGACAATGGTTTGGTTGGAAGGGCAGGGGCTTAGAAGGATCATGATTGGAAAATTGGTGACAAAGAGGTCTGGGGAAGAAGTACGTGGTCAGATCTTTCTGAATGGGCAGAAAATGTAAAGATATTTGTGTCCCATGTGGATACACACCAAAGGATGACCTTAGCAGAAGAGGATTTTAACAACCAATTGGATAAGATGGTCCATTCTGTGGGTACCAGTCAGCCTCTTTCCCATTTATCACCCCACAGGCTATAAGCAAAGTGGCCATAGTGGCACATTCACTCATGTGTATACTTCTCTTGATCACTTTATTTTCTCACTAATTCCAGTGAACCATCAATAAAATTTAAAAATCTCTTAATCACATATTGGAATTTGACAGATTACTACTCAGACTTCCATCTCCTCAGGAATCATCAAAAATCATTCCTCAAGTTATACTGGTCCCTCACACATTTTCAATTCCAGAGCCGTCATTGTCATTGCAACAATATTTCTGCTGTGGAAATGGAAATGGATTCCACTGTTCCTTGTTACCAAAAACCTTACTAGTCTATTCAGAGTACCACACGCTTCCCTTACATTTTACAATCCAAAGCTACTCTGAGCATGTGTGGAACTTTATAACACACTGGGTCACAATGCCAGAAAACTGATCCCACTCTAGCTGTTTGTCAACCAACCCAAGGAAAGGTTCAGGATGAGGTTCAAATGCAGTGGAGAAGGCACAGAAAACCTTAGGTTCTTCTACAAAAGTTCTGGTTTCTATACAGTGATTTCCTTACCAAATTAAAGGCCCCACTGCCAAGCTTGACACCCCCTTCAAACTCATAGAAGAATTCCTGCTGAAGTTTGTTCTTCTGAATTTCATGCAGGATAGAAAGACATTCTCTGGGTTGAAGAAAAAAAGTGACAGCATAAGTTGACCATGACTCTGAAAATAAATATTAAATCAAATTTTACACTTATGTGCTATAAAATAAATGTCATTAATTAAAATACCATCAAAATTTTAAAGGATGATGCTGTGCTGAGTTTACTCTTAAGGATACTAGGTAATAATCATCAAAGAAAAAGGAGATGCTCATTTTTACAGTGTCTAGCAGGACCAGTGTTTCTGGGCTTAAAGAGAGGGTTCATCCATTGGCAAGCACCAGCCAGGAGCCGCAGGACCACAGGCTGCCATCCCACAGCTTCCGGCAGCATATCACAGCGGACTCCCTGCAAGCGCTCAGCTCCTCCACCACTGCACACACTGCAGCAACCTGAGGAAATGAAATGCTACTGGCAAGAAGATCTGAATTTCAGTGTGACTGCCATCGTCTCAAACAGACCAAATAAATTAGGGCTTGGGACCAGGACAGACTGAAACAAGAAAGCAAAGGCCATCACAATGGCCCCATCTGTCCTCTGCTTTCTTCCTGCTCCAGCCATGAAAATCTTTCCAACTTCTCACTTTACTTTCTATGTATTTCTCTCTTGCCTGTTCACATCATCTTCAAAAGGCAAATATTTAACCAAAGAAATACAAATTAAAACAATGACAAAAATATAAAAATTGATAATACCTGGGAATTGCTTATTAAATTGGCAAATATATTTTTAATAATAAGGAATAATGAGATATCATGAATCACTTGGTGTGATGCAATTATAAAATGTGCAACTACACTTGTGATCCAGTCTAGCCAAATATTTTTAATCTGAATCTAGCAAGCCTATAGACCTAACTTCCAGTTTACAAAAAATGTAAGGGTTTAGAGAGTCAATTCAGATGCCTACAAGCATCCCCTGCTGTCATTTCCCCTGGGTCATTTATTTTTTATTATGGTGCATTTTGCCAAGATAAAATGATGAATGTTTATTTGGTCAGCTCAATCAATTTCTTCTGATTTCTGATTTTATGCCATAGTTAAAAGGCCTTTGAAACTGACATCATGTACCTAATGATATCATTTCTAAGGTATTTTTGCCATAGAGTCATAATCTGAATTTAATCATGAAGAAACATTAGAAAAGTCCATATTGAAAGATGTTTTACTAAATAATTGGCCAGTTTATTCTTTTAAAATGTCAACATCATTAAAGACAAAGACTGAGGAACTATTCCGAATGAAAAGAGACTAAGGAGACATGACAGCTAACCTCGATATCCAGGATCCCGGGTTGGATCCTGAGCCAGAAAAAGGGCATTGATGAGACAACTGGAGAAATGTGAGTAAAGGCCATGGAGTAAATATGAATACTGTATCCATGTCAGTTTCCTCATTTTAATAATTGTACTGTGCTTCTGCAAAATATTAATATTTGTAAATCTGAGTGACGATTTACAATCTTCCATACAAGTGATGGAAATTTTTTGTAATAATTTTCAAATTATTTCAAAGTGAAAAAATAAAAAACAAAAAAGTTTAAAGCCTTTATATTTAAGAATTATAAAAGTACTTTCTTATGTTTCCTGCTAGAATTCTTTTTAAATCTTTTAATATTAAACCTATATGGACTTTTTTCGTCTTAATGATTTTTCTATAAAATGAACAATTTTCCCAAAAACATTTACTAAAGTACCTATCTTTCTTCACTGTTTTGAAAGGGCCTATCTATATAAAGGAATTTAGTATATTTTGAATTCCCAGGTAAGTATGTGCGTGTGTGTGTAAGTCCATGTGTGTGCACACACACACATGCTGTCTCTTTCAAAAAACCCTGTGGTTCATTTCACTGATATGTAAAGGCATACCTTGTTTTACTGCAATTTGTGGATACTGCATTTTTTACAAATTGAAGATTTGTGGCAACTCTGTGTTGAGCAAGTCTATCGATGCCATTTTTCCAACAATATGTGCTCACTTTGTGTTTCAGGGTCACATTTCAGTAATTCTCATAAAATTTCCAAACTTTTTAGTTATTACTGTATCTGTTAATGGTGACCTGTGATGGGAGATCTTAAATGTTACTATTACAGTAATTGTTTCAGGGTGCCCTGAACCACACCCATATAAGAGCGAAAGTTATCAATAAATGTTGTGTGTGTTCTGACTGCTCTACTGATAGGCTGTTCCTCCATCTCTCTCCTCCTCAGGCCTCCCTATTCCCTCAGACAAAACAAAATTGAAATTAGGCCAGTTGGTAACTCTACAGTGGCCTCTCAGTGTTCAAGCGAAAGGAAGATTCGCACCTCTCATTTGAAATCAAAAACTAGAAATAATTAAGCGTAGTGAGGAAGGCATGTCAAAAGCCAAGACAGGCTGGAAGCTAGGCCTCTTGTGCCAAACAGTTAGTCAACTTGTAAGTGCAAAAGAAAAGTTCTTGAAGAAAATTAAAAGTGCTACTTCAGTGAATGCACAAATGATAAGAAAACAAAACAGCCCTGTTGCTGATATGGAGAAAGCTGTAGTGGTCTGGATAGAACAAACCACCCACAACACTCCCTTAAGCCAAAGCCTAATCCAGAACAAGACCCTAACTCTTAAACTCTATAAAGGCTGAGAGAGGTGAGGAAGCTGAAGAAAAAAATGTTGGAAGCTAACAGAGGTTGTTTCATGAATTTAAGGAAAGACACCATCTCTATAACAAAAAAGTGCAGCCGGGCACGGTGGCTCACACCTGTAATCTTAGCACTTTGGGTGGCCAAGGTGGGCGGATCATGAGGTCAGGAGTTTGAGACCAGCCTGGCCAAGCATGGTGAAACCTTGCCTCTACTAAAAATACAAAAATTAGCCAGGCACGGTGGCGCACACCTGTAGCCTCAGCTACTCGGGAGGCTGAGGCAGGAGAATCACTTGAACCTGGGAGACGCAGGTTGCAGTGAGCTGAGATCGTGCCACTGCACTCCAGCCTGGGTGACAAAGGGAGACTCCATCTCCAAAAAAAAAAAAAAAAAAAAAAAGTGCTAAGTGAAGCTGCAAGTGCTTATGTAGAAGCTGTAGCAAGTTATCCAGAATATCTAGCTAAGATCACTGACGAAGGTGGCTGCACTAAACAACAAATTTTCAATGTAGACAAAATGGCCTTCTATTGGAAGAAGATGCTATCTAGAACTTTCATATCTAGAGAGGAGAAGTCAACGCCTGGCTTCAAAACTTCAAAGGTCAGGCTGACTCTTGTTAGGGACTAATGGAACTGGTGACTTTAAATGGAAGCCAATGTTCACTTACCATTCCAAATATCCTAAGGCCCTTAACAATTGTCCTAAATCTACTCTGCCAGTGCTCTATAATTAAAACAACAAAGCCTGGATGATAGCACATCTATTCACAGCATGGTTTACTAAATATTTTCAGCCTACTGTTGAGATCCACTGCTCAGGGAAAAAAACATTTATTTCAAAGTATTATTGCTCACTGAAAATGCACCTAGTCACCTAAGAGTTCTGAAAGAGATGTATGCAAGGATTATATTGTTTTCATGCCTACTAACACAACATCCATTCTGCAGCCCATGGATCAAGAAGTAATTTTGACCTTCAAGTCTTATTATTTAAGAAGTACATTTTATAAGGCTATTGCTGCCATAGTGATTCCTCTAATGGATCCAGGGAAAGGAAACAGAAAACCTTCTGGAAAGGATTCATCATTCTACCTATCATAGAGAACATTCGTGATTCATGGAAGGAAGTCAAAATGTCCACATTAACAGGAGTTTGGAAGAAGTTGATTTCAACCCTCATGGATCATTCTGAGGGGTTCAAGACTTCAGTGGAGAAAGTAACTACAGAGGTGTTAGAAACAGAAAGAGAACTAGAATTAGAAGTGGAGCCTGAAGATGAGACTGACTGCTGCCATCTCATGATGACACTTTAATGGATGAGGAGTTGCCTCTTATGGATGAGCAAGAAAGCAGTTTCTTGAGATGAAATCTATTCCCGGTAAAGATGCCACAAACATTGTTGAAATGACAACAAAGGATTTGGAATATTAAATAAACTTAGCTGATAAAGCAGCAGCAAGATTTGAGAGCATGGATCTAACTCTGAAAGAAGTTCTCCTGTGGGTAAAGTGCCATCAAGTGGTATTGCATGCTATAGAAAAATCTTTTATGAAAGGAAAAGTCAATAGGTATGGCAAACTTCACTGCTGTCCTTTTGTAAAAAATTGCCATAGCCACCCCAACCTTCAGCAACCACCACCCTGAATGTCAGCAGCCATCAACATGGATGCAAGACCTCCACCAACAAAAAGATTATGACTTGCTGAAGGCTGAGATAATTGTTAGCATTTTTTAGCAAAAAAGTGTTTATCAATTAAGGTATGTATATTTTTTAGACATAATGGTATTGGCAGACTTAACAGAATACAGTACAGTATCAACGTAACTTTTATATGCAGCAGGAAACCAAAAAGTTTGTGTGACTCACTTTATTGCAATAGTCACTTTATTGTAGTGGCCTGGAACCCAAAATATCTCTGAGGTATACCTGTATGTCTTTGCCTCTACAGTCCTATTTTAATCCTTTAGTATTTTTAGGTTTTGATGACTAAAACAGCAATTAGCATTGAATTTAACATTCGTTTATACCTTCTAAAAATATTTCACAAAGAAATCTATACAACAGCATGTCAGGTACCCAAGATCTACCACCCCCTTCCAGGATTTTGAATGAAACACAGTTTTGTGAAAGGATTTTCAGTGAAAGTACCTCTTAAAATACTAAATTTTGGTTCTGCTACCAGTAATGGTAGGGTAGCTTATGTCAGATTAACTTTCCCACAAGTAACTATTACAAATTGTGGAAAAATCAAAATATACATTTAAAACATATTTTTACACAGTGGAAAATGAAGGGAAAAAAGTAGGAGTCTCAGGAGAGAAGAAAGTAAGAATGGGGCAGAAAAAAAAAGTTTGAAAAATTATGACCACAAATTTCTCAAAACCACACTTAGGCACATCATAGTCAAACTACTGAGACCCAAAGATACAAACTAGTCAATCTTCAAAAAAGCCAGAAGAAAAGACACATTATATATAGGGGAACAATAATACAAATGAAAAACTGAACAACACAGGCTTTAATACAATAGGACGCCAGTTTTAAAGGGCTGAAAGAAGGAAAAAAAACCCATCGACTCAGAATACTATAGTTAGCAAAAATAAGCTTGAAAAGAAAAAGTAAAAAGTAAATATATTTTAAGATAAATGAAAACAGAATTTGTTGAAAGCTGACACCCTCTAAGAAATGCTAAAGGAAGTTCTTTAGTCTGAAAGTAAACAGGAAATATATTTACCATTTTGAATAAGAATATGAAAAATGGTAAGAATATGGGTAAAGAGAGAAGACTACAACATATAACTGATTAAAGAGAAAGTCTGACACCGCATTGTAGGGTTTAAAATATATGTAAATCTGCTATACATCATAAAAATAGCACAAAGGGCCAGGCGCAGTGGCTCATGCCTGTAATCCCAGCGCTTTGGGAGGCCAAGACGGGTGGATCACGAGGTCAGGAGTTCGAGACCAGCCCGGTCAATATGGTGAAACCCCGTCTTTACTAAAAATACAAAAATTAGCTGGCCGTGGTGGTATGTGCCTGTAGTCCTAGCTGCTCGGGAGGCTGAGTCAGGAGAGTTGCTTGAACCCAGGAGGCAGAGGTTGCAGTGAGCTGAGATCACACCACTGCACTCCAGCCTGGGCAACAAAGCAAGGTCTCGGTCGCAAAAATATATATATATATATATATATATATCATAAAGGGCAAAATGTGGTAAATGAAATTACACTTTTGCAAACTTCTTATAATTTATGTCCAGTGCTACAATATTAACTCTAAGTTGACTGTAATAACTTAAAAACAATATTATAAACACTAGAGCAACCACAAAAAAATTAGACTACAGCTAAGAGAACAACAGTTCTAAAAATGTTATTAAAGCAAAAGAAGACAGGAAAAAAGGGGGAGAGAACAGATGAGGCAAAGAGAAAAAGCAAAATGGTAGTCACAAGTGCAAACATTCAACTGCCCAGCTATGTGAATCTACAAGAAATACAATTTAAATATTTAAAAATACAATTTAAATATGAAAACAAAAATAGGTTTAAAGTAAAAGAATATATCCCATGCAAAGACTAATTATAAAAAGCATGAGTGCCTATATGAATATTAGACATAACAGATTTCAAGACAAGGAATATCACCAAAGTTAAATAGAGACATTTCAAGATGATGAAAAGGTTAATTCATTAGGAAGACAGAAGAATTATAAATACATATTATAAAAGCCTAACAACAGAGCTCCTAAATATATGAGGCAAACACTGACAGAACTAAAGGAAGAAAGGGATGACTCCAGATTCAAACTTAGAGCCTTTAACACTCTCAGTAAATAACAGACAACTGGATAAAAATCAATAAGGATATGAACAACGCTACAGCCACCTCAGCTGAACATTTCCATCTATTGCAGAAAGTTCTACTGGGCAGTGCTGCTCTGGAGTCTGAACCAAAGATATTACTATAATTTTAAATTTATAAACTGTTCTAAGGAGAGAGAAAACTAAAATTATCTAATCAGAAATTATGTCAGTAGCTTTATTTTCAGCTAGCTCTTAAAATTGTATTTAAACTTAAATTCTGTTGTCCTATAACACTGAATACACACTCAACAAAAAATTAAGTTCATTTTTACCAACACCAAATAAAAAATCCTAGTCAGGCCAGGCGCGGTGGCTCACGCGTGTAATCCCAGCACTTTGGGAGGCTGAGGCGGGCGGATCACGAGGTCAGGAGATCGAGACCATCCTGACTAACACAGTGAAACCCCATCTCTACTAAAAATACAAAAAATTAGCCGGGCGTGGTGGCGGGCGCCTGTAGTCCCAGCTACTCGGGAGGATGAGGCAGGAGAATGGCGTGAACCTGAGAGGCGGAGCTTGCAGTGAGCCGAGATTGCGCCACTGCACTCCAACCTGGGTGACAGAGTGAGACTCCGTCTCAAAAAAAAAAAAAAAAAAAAAAAAAAAAAAAAAATCCTAGTCAAACTTAATTTAGGAGAACTGTGAAGAACAAAGGAGTACACAGCACAAAATTATTTACAAACCACATCTTACTTTTTAACTTACTTATATATTTGGTAACTTGTTCTAATTTTGAGTCCACCTTTGATGAAGTTGATCATATTTTCATCCTGAAAATAATTCAGTTAAAAAATTAGATTATTTAGCAAAAAATTTTAAATTGTCCCCACAGTTGTGTGTTTGTGTGATTAGAAAAACAAAAACAAACAAACAAAAAAAAGTATTTTGAGGACATAATTTTGAAATTAACACATACTCTTGCTTTACATTTAAAAGTTTTTGGGGTAATTTTTCTTCCACATTAGAGGACAACAAAAAGAAAATACTTGTAAAATCCTTCGATTATTTTATATTACTAAGGAGGTAATCCTCACCAATTAGGGGCCATATGCGGTCCAAATTATTTTAATAAACATTGACATCTACTGAGCAATTTTCTTCTGGGTTTAACAGAATGTAAAATGGATGACTTTAACAATCTGCTCTAAGGCCAAACCTTCCAGTACATTACACCCAGTAAATGGGACAATGGTCCTTCTTTCACAGAGTACTTTAGCAGTCAGAGTCTTTTTAATGTTGCGAATTTTACTCACACACATTTCTAGGCCCAAAATAACTGGTCTGGTTTCTGAAGTGGCTGTCACTACTACACAATTTTGTTTTAGGAAAACAACACCACTTCAATTCTGTTTATCTGATTGTCATCGACCATAAAATTGAGGCTGTTGGCCTAGATGAATGGCATTTTCAGGGTCAGCATTCTAGGATTCTAAGACAATAAATTACATCAAATAACCACTTGAAGGAAGTTACTCTAATAGATGGTACTAGTGGAGACAGTCCTACGTTTTGCATATCCAGAGAGAAAGTTTTTCTAGTCTATTGATATCAGAAAGATGCTCTGGCTGGGCGTGGTGGCTCACGCCTATAATCCCAGCACTTTGGGAGGCCGAGGCGGGTGGATCACCAGGTTAGGAGATCAAGGCCATCCTGGCCAACATGGTGAAACCCCGTCTCTACTAAAAATTCAGAAAGTAGCCGGGCATGGTGGCGGGTGCCTGTAGTCGCAGCTACTCAGGAGGCTGAGGCAGGAGAATCACTTGAACCTGGGAGGTGGAGGTTGCAGTGAGCCAAGATCGCGCCACTGCACTCCAGCCTGGTGACAGAGCGAGACTCCATCTCAAAACAATAAATAAAAAGAAGAAAAAAGAAAGATGCTCTGATATGTATTTCTCGTGTACTTAAGCATCCTTCTGTAGCAAAAGAAAAACTGAATTTCATTTACTAATTTCATTAATTGCTTAAATATTTAATGTTCTAATTATTATAAGAATCAATAGATATGAAATTCAATGTTTATCTTCTTAAATTAAGGAATCTTATGATTACATAAAATCCAATACCAACCAGAAAAGAATTTCTTAAATTAGCTTGAAATATACCTCAAAAAAAAAAAAACAAACATATCTCATTTCAGGATTCATCAAACTTAAACTTAATGCCTATTTTATACCAGGCACCCAAATGCAAAAACAGATGAAAGTAATACAATATGTTAAGGGAGGGCGTCAAGCACGGGGAGGGAGCCATGCACGGGGACGGGATCATGCATGGGATGTCATGAGAACACAAAGTAGTGGCATGGAAAGGGCCAGACATGCCTCCTGGAAGCATTGGTGCTTTAAGCACAAAAATAATTAGAAACTGGACAGGTATAGAAAGGCAAAGCAGATGTGAATTTTGTAAGCAAAGTAAAACTCAAGTGGAAAGACAGGGTGGCATTAAGGATCATGATGGGTTTGGCCATGTGTGCATATGTAATTCCACACTGCTGAAGAATCTATTGCAAAGAGAATGACCAAGGAGTTAAGAAAGCTACCTCCAGCCATGCTACTCAAGTATGCAAACCCGTCAGTGGCTTTCAAGGACACCTGTAAGGTGCGGGGGGCGGGTAGGGAACATAGAGAGGAGGTACCAGTTTTGTTTGAAAAAGTACCCCCCTCATTTGTGACATTCTGATACAGAATACTGCCATACTCAATCAATCAGAGCTACTGAATGCTGAAGCAGAGAAGTGACCAGGTCAGAGACTCATTTTTAAGAGGTTACTCAACCCTCAACTGCAGAATAGGGAATGAGCTGAAGGTAAAAGAAATTAGAGAGGGAGAGTCACTAGGTTGCTGTGCAGTCCAGAAAAGAGTAGATAAGCACTTCTTCTAGAACAATGATAGGAAGAGACGGAGCTGCACAATCTTTAAAAGGCTAAAGCAGCATGAATATAAAGGTGACTGGGTGGGAGTCATGAGGAAGAGGGGACAAACATGGATATCTCTTTAATTTCAAATCCCCAAATATAAAATAAGCCTTCAAATCCCAGATTTGATTGCCAAATCCCTGTTTGGAAAACAGAAAAAAACTTGGGCCTCCATGACTATCATTATGATGCTTACTGAGGCAGTAAGACTGTTGTTATCAACCAGTCTTTGTAATGTCTGGGTTTTAGGAAACAGGGTCATGGGCTACAGTGATTCCGTTTTACTAAACCAGAATCCAACCCAAGAGGTAAACCTCCAGGAAAAGAAAGAAGCAACTGTCAAATAATTCAAAAGATTGTGGCTGGGCGCAGTGGCTCACGTCTATAATCCCAGCACTTTGGGAGGCCGAGGTGGGTGGAACACCTGAGGTCAGGAGTTCGAGACCAGCCTGACCAATATGGTGAAACCCTGTCTCTACTGAAAATACAAAAATTAGCCAGGCATGGTGGCACACGTCTGTAATCCCAGCTACTCGGGGGGCTGAGACAGAAGAACTGCTTGAACCCAGGAGGCAGACGTTGCAGTGAGCCGAGATCATGCCACTGTACTCCAGCCTGGGTGACAGAATGAGGCTCCAACCACCCTGCCACCCCTCCCCCACCAAAAAAAAAAAAAAAGATTGTGAGTGAGGGAAGATTTTCCATTTCACAGCTGAATTTCTTTCTGATTTCTTACAATCTCTACCCCACCTCACCCTCACTGTAGCCATCACTACCACCCATGAAGCCATTATGTGAAAGTTTATGTTTTACAGAAGCATTGGAAGATACAGAAATAGGCAAGGTACTGACTGTATCAGTTCCCAGAGGTGAAATTAAAATGGATCATAAGAAAAGGATTGTTTAGTGACTTCTAAAAACTGCTCTTCCAAAGGAAGAAATAAAAGAAAGGAGAATGAGAATATAGAAAGAAGGGGAAAAATAAAATTTGAAGTATACATGCTATGCATGCATAACTGAACTTGACTGAGGCAAGTGGTGTAACAGGGGACACTTCCTCTGCCCGGGCCACTCCCATGTGCGGACTCTACCAGTAGAAAGCGCAAAGGAGAATACTCTCCCGGTTTCCACACAGATGCATCTTAAAATTAGATGTGACGGTTGCAAAGCAGTTTCTTTAAAGTTTCTTTTTTGTTTTTGAGACAAAGTCTTGCTCTGTCACCCAAGGTGAAGTGCAGTGGTAGGACCTCGGCTCACGGAAATCTCCACCTCCCAGGTTCAAGTGATTTTCCTGCCTCAGCCTCCCGGGTAGCTGGGATTACAGGCGCCCGCCACCATGCCTGGCTAATTTTTTTTTTTTTTTGTATTTTCAGTAGAGACAGGGTTTCACCATGTTGGCCAGGCTTGTCTCGAACTCTGGACCTCAGGTGATCCGCCCACCTCAGCCTCCCAAACTGCTAGGATTACAGGCGTGAGCCACCCTGCCTGGCCTAAAGTTTCTTTAAAGACACAGTCTTTAAAGGGCAATGATTCCCAGTGGAGTGCAATTTGAAATAGATTCTTAAGTGCAGTAGAGGAGGAACAAAGCTCTCTAGCATCTTTTTTCAGCCAAAGTTTATCAGAATAACAAATATTTGCCATTACAACTCTAAGTCAAAAGAACTGAAGCTTTGACATAGAATGCACCACATTTTTCTATGCAGCACTGGCAGTCTTCCCAGCCAATACGAATTCCAAGCCAAATATTCATTACCTGCACAAACGTGAGTGCAGCTTTCTGTAGGAGACACTCGGCATAACAGATTTCAGCATGCATTTCCTCTACAAAAAACAAATAAAATTATATTAAGTAAAATCACACATCCAAAGTGATTGCTCTGTGATGTTCAGGAAAGACTGGCAGAAAAATGAACCCAAGAGAGACCCCAAAACTTAGATTGCCCTTGTGCTTCCACAAAAGTGGAATGATAACCCCAGTTCTCACTTTGTCAGGAAGATTTTCCTGGAATGTGTGAAGTGTTCAGGGAAGTCATCCCCATTCAAATGTAACTGCAAAGAGTCAGTCACTTCGTATCAGAGACGCAAACTCAACTCACAAGGGGAAATGAACATTTAAAAGCACTTTTTTAAAAAAGGAAACCACTTATTTTTTAACTTAATTAGTAACATAAAACTTTGGCTGTGCGTGGTGGTTTACGCCTGTAATCCCAGCACTTTGGGAGGCCGAGGTGGGTGGATCACCTGAGGTCAGGAGATCGAGACCAGCCTGACCAACAGGCAGAAACCCCATCTCTACTAAAAATACAAAAATTAGCCAGGCGTGGTGGCACATGCCTGTAATCCCAGCTATTCGGGAGGCTGAGGTAGGAGAATCACTTGAACCCGGGAGGTGGAGGTTGCAGTGAGCCGAGATTGCGCCATTGCACTCCAGCCCGGGCAACAAGAGTGAAACTCCATCTCAAAAAGAAAAAAAAAAAACAACTTTCACACAGTTTTAAAAGTTGAAAAAAACTAAATTAAATGTATGAATGCTAGCTTCTAAAATATGAAGGTATGGTAACCATGACACTAACCAGACACATTAGCTACCTGAAAAGAAAGCAGCAATTCTCTAGAGCTCGGTGAAAAAGAAATGTCCTGCACGGCCACGTTAAGACTCCTCACACATGAAGACCTGATATAGAAAGAGGTAGCACTACCCCAGTTTCAGGCTAATTTGATCATGTAGATGTCTAGCACAAGAACAAGGTACTCACAAAAAGGGGTTAGGTGGGGCTCTGTGCATCCCAGGGACCTGCGGAGTACCCCAAAACACACACCCTAGCTTCCCAACCAACCATTATACTTGCAGAGGATGGAGAGACAAACCTTTACTTTTTTCCATACACAAGTCAGCAGATTCTTGCTCTATCCATGGGATGCAAAGTGGCATGATATTTAAGTAAACGAGCCTGGGGTATTTAGGAGCCTGAGCTGCTAAAAAGGCTCTGCCATGTACGAGCTATGGGACCTCGTCCCCTCTCTGCTGGTTTCCTCATTTATAAAGGCCACTAACGCCGCCTCTAGTTCACAGCTGAAGGATCAAATGAAGTGCTGCACATAGAGCTCATGATACAGAGTAAGCACTGGATCAGTGCTAACTACGTGCACTGAGATTACTGCCCATGATCCGTGTCACTGCTTTTTGGTAAAAGCTCAGAAAGAAGAAAGCATTTTTATGTGGACTGTGACTGAAAATAGGGTATTTCTTATTATTGGGATTAGTGCTAAATAGACTTAGATGACAACAAGTACTTTCTTGCACTTATACACATAGATGCCACCCCCACCCTACACACACATACAACCCACTGGTTCTCATAAATTGGTTCAAGTTCCTGCCATGCTCATATTCCAATGTTTAATTTACAAAGAAGCACCTCTGCAGCTAAGGTCTTCAACAGTACACAGAAAGATGGGGCCAAAGCCATTAACAGACCAAACTTGAGGAGTTAGAGCCTGCACATCCACAGTCAGGGTCTCAGTCCTTCAGAACACCTCTCCTCAAAGTGTGCCTAGTGATTTTCTAGCTGTGTTCAGCGGGATACCAACTGGTAACTTATTTTTACCCAGTCACCTGAATATCCTCTTCCTAGGTAATTCTGTAACAGAGTGAGAACCAGGAATTATGAGCTATGAAAGTCTGCTCAGGAATACAGATTGCTGGCTTGGGGTACATGCAGAGGGGATGAAGTCCGTGGTGGTGATGGCAGCGGTGGGGGAGCCGGGGCGGAGGGGACTGTGCTGGTAACAGGAGCAAGGAAAGCCAAGAGCACCTTCAGGAAAAGCCAGTCAAGGGAGGAGACATCAATGAGGCTGGAAGGGCTCAGTCAAGGCTCAATTATAAGTGGCCTTGAATGTTAGAGTCTGCACTTGATTCAGGAAGCAACAGTGAGTCAGTCCCTGCAGAGATCTGAGCAGACGGGTGGGCAGATCAGGGTTAAGTGAAAGATGAACAAAGTTAAGAGCAGCATGGGGATGTGACAACAAGGCAGACAGAAAAGGCATGAGAGTTTGAACTTTGTATTCTGCAAATAAGTATCTGTCATATTAAATCCCTTTCACATCCCAGGCACTCATTGCATTTAAATATCTGTTTGTAAAGGCAATTTGAAACCCATTTGGGGCAATCCGCCAGCCACAAGAGAAAAGAACTAGTATGTTCCACATTAAAACCATGAAAAGTTTAATGAAATATACTCACTCCTGTAGACAACCAGACACTCAAGGATGTAAATGAAAATTACCAAGAGGAAAAACAAATCACACACTAAAGCTACAATGTTTTGACATGCTCCCTTGAACACAAAGTCTGTTTGGGTTGCAGTTGACAGCCAAACTCACTAAGAATAAAATACAGCTTAATTTATAAAAGTCTTATTCTTTCACTGTGGTTGATTTACATTGCATAGTTCTTTAGTTCTCAAAATTAGCCATTAGGCACTTATGAGTAGGTAACTACCAGAATATCTCTTAATTATAAATTCCTTAGTCCACAGGAGTAAATATCTTCATGATGCACTGAAATAATGTTAGCTAAGCTAAATAAACTTAGCTAAATAAGCTAAGTTTATTTAGATATGAAAGTCTAAATAAACCTGTATTTCATAATAGGCTATAGTCACAAGTTTATTAGTTTATTTTTTTTATTTATGTAGAGACAGGTTCTTGCTCTGTCACCCAGGGTGGAGTACAGGGGCATGATCTGCACTCACTGCAACCTCTGTGATATGGTTAGGCTTTGTGTCCTCACCCAAATCTCATCTTGAATTGTAATCCCCATAATCCCCTTGTATCAAGGGTGGGAACTGGTGGGAGATGTTTGGATCATGGGGGTGGTTTCTCCCATGCTGTTCTCATGACAGTGAGTGAGTTCTCACGAGATCTGATGGTTTTATAAGTGTTTGACAAGTTCCTCCTACACGCACTTCTCCTTCCTGCCACCTTGTGAAGAAGGTACCTTGCTTCCTCTTTGCCTCCTGCCATGACTTTAAGTTTCCTGAGGTCTCCCCAGCTATGCAGAACTATGAGTCAATTAAACCTCTTTCCTTTATAAATTACCCAGTCCTGGGCAGTTCTTTAGAGTAGTGTGAAAATGGACTAATACATTCCACCTCCTGGGCTCAAGGGATCCTCCCACCTTAGCCTCCCAAGTAGCTGGGATTACAGGCACAAGCCACCAGGCCCAGCCTACTTTTTATAATTAGTAAAAAGTAATTTTCTACCTTATTCCAGATTTCCTAAAGTGCCATTGTTCAAAGACATTATAAAAATATAACAACACAGTATCATCTATTTTCAAGATGACTAACACAGAAATAATTCATTATTTCCTTCATCCGTATATGACACATTTCATGCCCTTCTCTACTTGCCTATAGGAGAAAGTGTGGGTTACAGTGAAAGAGTTGTGGCTTAGGGAAAGGCAGATGATCAGTTAACCCTACTCTGCTAGGTGGGGAATCCTGGCCATTTGTTTATAACTCTGATCAGTTCCAAGTCTACAAAGAGGAGGTTAGATTGGTTAATGTTAAGAAAAGCAACAAGGACAGTATATAGCACATACAGGATGCTTTTTAAAAATGGAGGATTATCAGCTGGGCACGGTGGCTCACACCTGTAATCCCAGTACTTCGGGAGGCTGAGGCGGGCGGATCACAAGGTCAGGAGATTGAGACATCCTGGCTAACGTGGTGAAACCCCGTCTCTACTAAAAATACAAAAAATTAGCCAGGCGTGGTGGCGGGCACCTGTAATCCCAGCTACTCGGGAGGCTGAGGCAGAAGAATGGTGTGAACCTGGGAGGCGGAGCTTGCAGTGAGCTGAGATCATGCCACTGCACTCCAGCCTGGGCAACAGAGTGAGACTTGGTCTCAAAAAAAAAAAAAAAAAAAAAGGAGCATTATCATCTTATTTTTCAAATTATTATTATTATTTTTGAGACAGAGTATTACTCTGTCACCCAGGCAGAAGTGCAGTGGCGCGATCTCGGCTCACTGCAACCTCCACCTCCTGGGTTCAAGCTCCCGCCTCAGCCTCCTGAGAAGCTGGGACTATAGGTGTGCGCCACCATGCCTGGCTAATTTTTATATTTTTAGTAGAGACGGGGTTTCACCATGTTGGCCAGGCTCGTCTGTAACTCCTGACCTTGTGATCCACCCGCCTCGGCCTCCCAAAGTGCTGGGATTACAGGTGTGAGCCACCACACCCGGCCAAATTATTATTATTATTTATACTCATACAAAAAATACCATGTCATTCATGCCAAAATGCAGCTAAAAAAAATCTCAAATATCAGCCTTCATACTAAAAGGAAAAAGGGAGGCAGAGGTCAATGGGCCACTAGAGGGAAACCATAGAGAGAGTAACAGAAAGGAGAATACAACAAAAAGGTTCAATTTCTTTTGGGCCTATTTGATTTCTCATTAACCCATTTTAGTGAACTTTAGGTCTAACGGGACTAATTTACATAAGCAGCTCAAAGATGGAAAATATGCAGACACATTCTATCCGAAGTCAAGAGGATAAATACATTCTTACAAATAGTTGGAGGTCAGTTTCTGGAGAAAAAGATGATGGGTTTCAGCTGCCTAGAATGACCAATGAAATGCCATTCTGTTTGACCATGGTTTTGGGGTCAACATCATGCCCCTTTGAAATAAGTCCCAAAGATGTGAAATGTCTCATAATTCCTCTCCTATAATCAATACTCTAGCTTCACATCATGCAAATGTTCCCAAGTTCTCCAACGTCCATAACAAGTTGATAATACTCATCTAACAAAATAAACAAAACTTCCTAATAAAACACACTCAAAAATATGTCTGACATACACTTGACCATTAGAAACTACTCTGACAGCAATATCCAGAATTGCTCTTGCTCTAATCAGCCAAAGCTACTTCTAGTAGCTTTGTATTTTGTGTTCTCTAGTATGGTATATTCTAGTATTTTGTGTTACCTCTTCAGAGAACATGTTTGACAATGGCAATACAGGCACAGATTCTCCTGGGATGGCAAAAGCTTTATTCTACAATAGTGACATTTGAAGGACTTTTTTTTTTCCTTCTACAGGAATATTTAGATGCTCCTTTCTTGTAAACTATTGTGGACTAGAGTGTAACACTGAAAAGACAGAACTGATCATGAACCTTCTGCCCTAGTCCCAGGGGGCACGTCAAGCAATTGACAGCAACAGGGGTCATTTCCTCCCATCTATCTGATCAGGGTGCCGCAGCCAGCCATTCCTGGATTCTTGAATATTCCTAAATGTCCACAAACCAAGCATCTTCCATACTGTGAAACATTATCATTTTTAAAAGATATCAAAATTACTTTCACTTTGAAAAAAATGTTTAATAGCTTGTGGAAAACTGAAACTCTCAAAGATGAATGCTAAGAATATAAACTGACCTATATGTAGAAAAAAACTGGGAATACCTATAAATATTGTAAGTTTTCAAACTGTCAGTCCTGGTTCTTCCACTTTTAGGAATCTATCTTATGAAATAACTTTTTAAAATGCATGAATCCATATGTATAAGGATTCTAGGACACCATTATTCATATCAGTGAAAAAATAAAAACCATAGAGAAAAGCCAAGTAAAGTACAGTATATCAATCCTATGGAATACCACACAGCTGTTAAACACTCACATGTAACGATCTGGGGAAGTGTCAATGTCAAATTCACATTGTAGGACAACACCTATTATGTGATTCTATGCTTGCAAAAAAAAAATGAACAATCCATGAGCAACAACAAAAACCTTATGTGTACCTTATTTATGTATTTGAGTATGTACACAGAAAAGGCTTCAAAATGAACTATTAACAATGATTTCTTCCAGAGGGTGAGTATGATAGGGAAGAGAAAAAGACATTCCATTTACTTTATATACTTCAGGATGGAATTTTATGAGATGATCATTTAACTATTAAAATCAAGGAAAAAAGTGATCTTTTAAATGACTTTTACCTTCACTCAGTTGCTCCAGGGATCCTCTAGAAAGAAGACTTGAGAAAGATTCTACAACTGTGTATTTTTTCCTGTATCTACATTGAATAAATAAAAAGGGAGATAGAAAATAGAAAAAAAAAATCAGGCTGAGCTCATTTTCATTTGACGTTCATTTCAGTCACTATCACACCAAAGAGTCAAAAAGCTGAAACTCTAAACCCTGAAGTCTATAGGACACAGATCATCCTTTTCCAACACTCTACATGCAGCACTGGCTAGCCATTTGTGGGAACTCAGTCTGTGCTACTGAACACCACGTGGGGAAACCCACACACACCAATGAAAACTAACCTCCAAAGTACCTTCCCTTATCCCTATAACTAAAATCAGTATTTGTGGTAAAATTCTCCACAGGTTAAAAATGAAGTTAAAGTGCAATATTTGGAAGCTCTCTTCATTTGAGGAGCTTACAACACAATTACATCAGGATGTAATTTCACCCATGTTAACCTTCTGATCATGAACCTTCTGCCCTAGTCCTATGGGGGGCACATCAAGCAATTGACAGCAACAGGGGTCATTTCCTCCCATCCATCTGATCAGGGTGCTGCAGCCAGCCATTCCTGGATTCTTGAATATTCCTAAATGTCCACAAACCAAGCATCTTCCATACTGTGAAACACCTATCATTTTTTAAAAGATATCAAAATAACTTACCCCTTGAAAAAAATTTTGATAGGGTCTTCCTATACACACAAAGTAAAGCTTAAAATAAAACTAAAAATCTATCTCATTTTCACCAAACAAAAGTGTTCAAAAACAGGTCCTTCTTAAACAAATAAAACATTCCCTCATGAATTTGCATCTCCCACTTAAAACAAGAATGTTCCTTGTGTGGCTTGGTTTGGCATGCAGTACCTAATGTCATCTACATTGAGAGATGCTTGCTGCTAATCCCACTGAAATCCCCCCGAAATCCCCCCCAGATCTCTGTAGCTCAGACCCCAGGCTATCAAAAAGAAAAGTGGAATATGTAGATGCCAAATGGGAATCCTTCAGCTTCGAGGCTGAATTTCTTTTCTGTAACTGTGGCCAATTTCAAACACAGAGCTTTTGGTCAGGCAAATGACATTATTTTTGTCACACAGGCATAAAAGTTTGCAGTCACATCTTAAGTATTTAATGACTCGTCATACTTTTGGCAGGTTTGTAAAGCGTCCTTCATGGCAGAAATGCCGTTCTGGATGTCCTGTTGCTCGAAGGTCAGGACAGCCTGCAACACCACAATGGTACTGTAGCCCAAGGCATGGTACATACTCTCCTTAGCCCTGGGAAGAACACAGGGAATTCAGACATTTTAATTCAATGGAAATACTGATCATAAGAAATCCTAGTAAATGCATGTCCTGACTTGCACAGTAACCTTTATTCCTTCACCATAATCACTGAAATTATATGGGTGGTGAAAAGTAACCTCTTAAAAACTCAAGTACCAAGGACTTTCCAATGTAAACCCACACAGGCAGAACAAAATGTTCCAGGTTGAAGGGGACAATATGCATTTCCCTATTTCAACACAAGAGGGCAGCCTGCAGGCAGATTGCAAGCAAACTGTTTTCTGTTGAAAAAGGGGCAGCACACGGCCTTTGGCTCTGAAATAAGTGCTAAAATAAAGGCCGCTGGAAATGTATTTTTTGACAGAGAGATTCTGATATATTTTTTCAAAAATAAAGGCTTATATAAAATAATCCCTCTCCTCGCCAGCCAAAGGCCAAGAGCAAACAAGATTTTGGAATAAGTTAGGCTGGTCACAAGAGCCATGACCAAAGTAGTTGTCAGACCTTGTATCTAGTCTAATCCCATTATCTGAAGTTCCTGATTAAAGTTCTTGATATTTCAAATCATCAAGTTACAGTGAGAACTGCTTCAGGATTCTTAAGGATGTTAACTAGAACTAGTCCTAATAGATGGCAGACATCCAGATTCTCGGGCTATGAGAACATCATTTATTTTCTCAAAACTTCTTAAGCTGTATTAATTATTTATAAGGTTTAAAATGGTAATGCATGGTTTTGTTTTTAATTTAAATATTAATGCATAACAGCCTGCTGCCATGCAAAACAAATGCAAGCCACATTATTCTTTGCCTCCATGGAAATAGTCTAAACATCCTTTGGTAATTTGCAGCTTGTCCTGAACATTGAGGGCACTATCTGTTCAAAAGAACCACAAGGAATCAGAGCAGCCCAAAGTTAATCATTAATTGTGGTTTCAAACCTCACATTTTTAACTGAAAGCTCTTTCAAGAAGCAAAAAAAAAAAAAAAAATGATTCAAGTGAGGGAAAAGTATTTTTATTTATTTAATTTTTTTTGAGACAGAGCTTCGCTCTTGTTGCCCAGGCTGAAGTACAATGGCACAATCTCGGCTCACCACAACCTCCGCCTCCCGGGTTCAAGTGATTCTCCTGCCTCGGCTTCCCGAGTAGCTGGGATTACAGGCATGCACCACCATGCCTGGCTAATTTTTTGTATTTTTAGTAGAGACAGGGTTTCTCCCTGTTGGTCAGGCTGGTCTCGAACTCCCGACCTCAGGTGATCCATCTGCCTCGGCCTCCCAAAGTGCTGGGATTACAGGCGTGAGCCATTTAAACACTGAAACATGTACAAAAATCGGAGACTAACCTGACTGAACACAACACTAAATCACCTATTTTCATTCCATGTTATGACCAGCTGTGTGTCAGTGGCAGAGAAAGACTCGTTTGAATAAAAATCAAAGGAGATAATGGATACAAAAATACAGTTAAATGGAAGCAATAACTTCTAGTATTTAATAATAGAGAAATTATAATTAACAATAATTTATCATTATTTCAAAATAGCTAGAAGAGAATAATTATAAATGTTCCTGACACTAAGAACAGATAAATGTTTGAGGTGATGGATAACCCAGTTAACCTGATCGATCACTGAACACTGTATACAGGTAAGGAATTATCACATGTACTCCAAAAATAGGTACAACTATGGCTCATCAATAAAAGCATTTAAAAACCCAAAGAAGACAGGCAAGTAGGCTGAGAAAAGAGAAGGAGAGACTGAGAGAGGGAAAGACAAGCAGACAAAAGGAGGTAGAGACAGGAGACAAAGAAGTCTGAGGGACAGAGGAGGACAGAAGGAAAAAAGCAGAGGACAGGCAAGGTGGAGATTGTGAGGCAAATATTGAAGACAACACTGGAAAATTTCCTTAGACTACAGGGCTTCATTATCGATTTCATCATTTGTTCTTAACCTGTGAAACAATAGCTGACCCATCTTGATTACAGCTATTCTAAATCTTAACACAATTACCATAGCAGCTCCTCAGCAGGTCAATCAATCTCTAAGATTCACATGACCAGAGTCCAGTCACCCTGGTAACCACTCAAAGTAAGGAACGAGATTGCCGACTTTTATGCCCAAGTAATCTTGGAAATTATCATATGAGGTCTAAGCTTCATCTAAGCAAGTGTTTGAGGGCACAATGTACGATTATTCTTGTCAAGACAAAGGCCGAGTAAACAGGCAAGCACAGGTTTTATTGCCACATCTGAAAACTTAACAGGTACTATTAATTGAAATTAAATTGCTTGTTTTTCGAACAAATAGAGAACCCCAATAATAGTCTTCTTATCTTAAATTTCTTAATAGCATTGAGATCAGCATATTCTGGTTTTTCCCCTCCCCATTTCAAAGGAAAATTTTCTCAATAATATTTAAAAGGAACAAACATAAAAACATTTCACTGAAGAAAGCAAAATTGAAGCCTTATAAAACTACTTATAAGATGACAATATCTGAACAAGAGAGATTAAAATATGCAAAACAATCAGAAATTTTCTATTAATTATATTTGAAAACTCAGATTTCTAAATTGAATTTTAAAAGTGACCAAAGTAAAGAGGTCTGAACTAAATTAGCTTATCAATATTCAGATGGGAACAGCTAAATTAATTTACAAGCATGACATCAAAGAATCATCAGAAACATCTGAAAGATATTTTATCTAAAAGAGACAAAGTAAATTACCAGGGGCGAAGCAATTCTAAGGCGTCTGTAAATTTGTTGCTTAGAAATAAGTTCAATGCCACAGCACATTCTTCGAGGCCACTCTTGAGATCCACCTTGGTTGATGATGAACTAAAGATCAAGAAAAAAGCACAGAGAATTTCTATAGCTTTACGATCAGCAAGTTGTCCGAAGGGAGTGTGTGTGTGTGTGTGTGTGTGTGTGTGTGTCTGTGTGTGTGTGTCTGTGTGTGTGTCTGTGTGTGGATTCTGGAGACAGGACAGGCTGGTTATACATAGGAAAAAAATGTGCTTCATTGGAAAACCATGCACTGTTGAGACTCTAGAGGAGACCTCTACAGGTAATTAGATTCTGATTCTCAGGGAAATTACAACTCTGTAAATCGTAGGTAACTAATAGCAGTGCAAAATAACTGTTGTCTATAGGCATGTTAATTTTGTCCTGGCCAGTAGAGGTTCAACTAACTTCCCTCCCCGACCGTGGAATAAGTTAGTTTTCCTGAATTTGCATATTAATTTCAACAGTACTTTACTTCACAGAAATTTGTTCTGTTTTGATTTCTCCTTTGAACCTGTTATAACATCTGCCAAATGTCCTCATCTATAATTAATAATCAGTGATTAAATAAAATCCTTAACATGTTCATTTTTGTATCTATATGAGTCATGATTTTATCCTTTTTTGAAAATTATATATTAATCACTTATGATTGACAGAGATTTTGTTCTTTAAAGCCATCTCTAAAATGTTTTGTGTAACGACTTGCAAAAGGGAAATATTTCAATAAGTAAATGAGCAGTAGGATGATTTGGCAAACAAAACTGCTGATAAGAAATAAACCAGCACGCATGTTTGGCTCATGCCCGGCACTTTAGGAGACTGAGGCAGGAGGAATGCTTGAGGCCGGGAGCTCAAGACCAGCCTGGGCAACAGAGTGAGCACTCGTCTCTATAAAAAAGTTTTTTTAAATAGCCAGGCATGTGGTGTGTGCCTGTAATCCCAGCTACAGGCATTGCAGTGGGAGGATGCTTGAGCTCAGGAGTTTGTGGCTGTAGTGAGCCATGATCACGCCACTGTACTCCAGCCTGAGCGATAGAGACTTTGTCTCAAAAAAATAAAATGAGGCTGGGTGTGGTGGCTGATTACAGGCTCAAAGTGCCTGTAATCTCAGCACTTTGGGAGGCCAAGGCAGGTGAATCACTTGAGGTCAGGAGTGAGAGACCACCCTGACCAACATGGTGAAACCCCGTCTCTACTAAAAATACAAAACTAGCTGGGTGTGGTGGCACATGCCTGTAATCCCAGCTACTCGGGAGGCTGAGGCAGGAGAATCACTTGAACCCAGGAGGTGGAGGTTGCAATGAGCCAAGATTGCACCACTGTACTCCAGCCTGGGCGACAAGAGTGAAACTCCATCTCAAAAAAAATAAATAAATGAGACAGGCACGGTGGCTCATGCCTCTAATCCCAGCACTTTGGGAGGCCGAGGCAGGTGGATCATTTGAGGTCAGGAGTTTGAGACCAGCCTGGCCAACATGGTGAAACCCCGTCTCTACTAAAAATACAAAAATTAGCTAGGCTGGGTGTGGTGGTGCATTCTTTATAATCCCAGCTACTCAGGAGGCTGAGGCAGGAGAATTGCTTGAACCTGGAAGGCAGAGGTTGCAGTGAGCCAAGACCATGCCACTGCACTCCAGCCTGGGCAACAGAACGAGACGCTATCTCAAAAACTAAATAAATAAATAAATAAAATGAAATAAAAATAAATAAACTTGGTAAGTATTTGAAGTTGAGCTTCCATCCCACCAACCTCTTCAATTTCATTCTTTAAAACATGAAAGCAAAGTGCCCCTTCAGTGACTCTTCTAGCACGAATAGGTTATGAAGGCAAGGCCAGAACCCCTCTCTCCTCGCAGGTCTTCTCAAGGCTCCTTCTTGTTATTCAGATCTAATCTAACGCAGAGCAGCCTGGCTGACCCCATCCCATCCTGTCTCAGGGTTTTTTCTCCCACCATTATTACCATCCAAAAGTATCTTGTGCATGTAGCATTTGTAGACATGCTTGTCTGTCTTTCCTCTCTAGGACATAAATGCAAGGAGGTTGTTTTAGTCATTCCTGTGCACCAGTGCCTTCGACAATACCTAGAACATATTACGTGCTCAAAAAATATGTTGAGTGGTAAATGGGTGGATGGACGGGTACAACTGCTCTGAGTAGAAACAGAGACTTCTTCATGCCTAGAGTTTGAGACACCTCCTCTAGGATGGAGTAGAACCGAGGCAAGCTCTTGATGGAGGGCTAAGAATTGCTTTGCCCTTAAGTTTCCAGTGAATGAAGAGATCATGTAAGAATGCTAGGAGTTCATAAACCTCTCACGGCAAGATTTTTCACAAGAAAGTTGCCTGACACCTCCTATAACAGTCCATCACGAAATTTTGTCAGTGTTACATTCTGAACATCTCTTGAATTTATCCTGTCTCATCTCTACCGTCCAGTCCAGGTTGGTCACTGTGTGTTGCCTGGGGTCTATAGACCCATTTCTTTCCCCATCGCCTACCTCTGTCCCCCTCATCAAATATTTGCCTAAAGCCCTTTCAACTAATATTTATGCTAAATATGTGCCAGGTACTCTTCTAGGTTCTGGCGATACAGCAATGAACAAGACACACAGGAACCCAGGCTCTCAAAGAGCTTTCATTCTACTGGAGAAGGGAAGACAGATTTGCACAAGTAGACCAAGAACTGACCAGGGTCATCCCTGATTGGGATAAGTGGTCTGGAAGAGAACCTAGTTTTGGTGGGAGGCAGGGGTGAGGAGAAGGCCCAACATTACTGAGGATGGTCAGGAAAAGCTCTCCAAAAAGGTGACATCCAATTGCTGTATAATGGAGCCAGCGATGGGAATATCTAGGTTGAGGGCAGAGGGGGGATTCTAAACTGGGAATGTGATGAGCAAGGCAGAGAATGAGAGAAAATGAGGACAGAAAACAGGCAAAAGCCAGAAACCA
Organism: Homo sapiens; assembly: GCF_000001405.40. Taxonomy (NCBI): domain Eukaryota; kingdom Metazoa; phylum Chordata; class Mammalia; order Primates; family Hominidae; genus Homo; species Homo sapiens. The sequence continues at coordinate 15,217,148 of NC_000009.12, forward strand.
TAGTGGCAGAGAGGATGTATTTTATTCTTTGAACAAAAGAAAATACATCAGCTCTGAAATCCTCACTCTTTTTCTCAACATCCGTTCCCTTCGAATATTAGGTGTTCCCATTTTAACTCCTGCCAATTCTCGCTAAGGTTACACCTCATCCTTCATTACCAGGAAACAGACTGTGAACAGATACTAGTCCTCTTGCCAAACATCCACCTCTGCATCTCAGCTGGCCACACTGTCACCTGGGAGGATACACTATACACACCCCCACTTAGATACACAAAGTGGGAGCTCAGCACCTCCGAGCACATAAACTCAGCTCTTCTGAGTGGTTTACGATGATGCTCACCTGGAATTAACACCCCTCTCCAGCACACTAGGGCTACCATGGGTTCTGTAAGGAATGACCAGGAGAGCAACTTTCACCATGGCCAAGACTTCTGTCAAGTATCTCTCGGACACACGTGTTCCTCTTCATTTCCACTGCCATCACATTAATTGAGACTCTCATCACTTCAGATCTGAATTCTGAAATGCTCTCCAAGAATGCCTTCCTACTACTGCTTTGACTCCATGGTTCTCAAACTCCAGCACACATCAGACACACTGGGATACCACTCTCAGGTTACTCTTCTCTTCCTAAAACAGATGCTCATCATTCTGCCTCCTCAGATTAAGAACCTAAAGTAGCTACCCACACCTACCACATGAACTGGAAATTGGCTCACCATACCTGTCCAACCAGACCGGAATGATGAGCAAGGCAATTTAAAAACAGCCCAGTATAGCCAGGTGCGGTGGCTCACGCCTGTAATCCCAGCACTTTGGGAGGCCGAGGTGGGTGGATCACGAGGTCAGGAGCTCCAGACCAGCCTGGCCAACATGGTGAAACCCCGTCTCTACTCAAAATACAAAAATTAGCTGGGCATGGTGGCTCACACCTGTAATCCCAACCACTGCGGAGGTTGCAGTGAGCTGAGATCGCGCCACTGCATTCCAGTCTGGCAACAGAGCGAGACTCTGTCTCAAAAAAAAAAAAAAAAAAAAAGCACTCCAGCATTTTTTGCAAGAGGCTCATCAGCATAGCATCCCCCTCAAGTATAGCATGATGTAAATAATGAAAAGATTCCTGGACTGGAAATTAGAAGTCAGCCAAGCCATTCTCTAGCCTTGTGACCTTCACAATGTCCCTTAACTTCCCTGAGTCCCTAGGCTCATCTTTGAAGTGCTCTCACTTCACAATGTCTGCAGAAGCAAAGGCAATGGTTGTTATGAGTGTGTTTTGTGAACTTTCAAGCCCTATGCAAGTTAACAACCATGTCTAACTCTCCAAAAACTGTGGTGCTCAGCCCACATATTCATATTCCTGCCCTGCTAGAGACATGCCCGAGTGCCCTTCATAATATATATCTTCAGTGAGGTGACGACTCCTCATGTTTCTAATTTAAAAGATATGTTAAGTTAAGGCAGGATGAATTTTTTAGTCTATTTTAAATATATATATATAATGAACACATAACTTATAAAAATTTGGAACTATACTATATCATTATCACTTACATTCCAATTCTTACTTTAGTAATTACTTTATAAGCTTGGTTACAAAAAAAACTTCATAGTAAATGAGCATCTGGGCTCTGGAATCAGATCCTTTTATTCATTTCCTGACTCCCTTTTGCCTCAAGAGAAGTCAAATGTTTCCCACAATATATTGGTTCCACTGAAACTGTGATCCTAGAGAACTAGGCTGCAGCCTCCCAAGGCCATTTTCTATTACTTTTCTGGAGGTTTTGTCTCTTTCCTCTAGCAATCATAATTTTTACTCGCTTATGTTAGACAGGGAAATAACTGGTGACTTTTTTCTCCTCTTTCCAAATTATCTGAACTCTGCTCACATTACTTTTACAATGAAAAACTGATTTATAAAAATTTTGAAACATAAAAGTAGTATTTTAAATAAGAACAAAGGAAAAGTCTTTTCTCTACCACTTCCCAGTTCTGTAACCTTGAACAACTCACTTTACCTCTGTAAGTCTCAGCTTCCTTATCTGTAAGATAGGGATCATTAAGTCTGCAGTTACTACTATAAAAAGTAGTTGTAAAGATGGAGGAAGCTCCTGGAATTAAAAGTATAAGCATTTATATATATTGAGGCATTACTACAATTCTCCAGAAGTGTCAACCTGCCCCAACTCCCCTGCTAAGAACCACATATGCACACATACATGGTGACCTGGCAGTTTCTCTGCACTTTGCTCATAATCTGATGACCTTCTACTATTAATATATCTGATTCATAAGATCTATTGATTAAAAGGTAAAAAAGGGATTTTATTGTGTTACAATAAATAAAAGTCTACAAAACCAATATATAATAATCATATCCCCTCACCCTTCTCCCCTGAAGCAGGTGACAAGACCCTCATCCAAGAGGTGCCCTCCCTGTACCCTGAGGAAAGGAACATCCTTATCTCCGACACCTCGGACTTCCCTGAGTAGGGACTTCACTAGATGAATGCTCCTGGACTTTCCTCTCCCTCCTCCCCTCTTCATTCCTCCTCTGAGAAAGGAATTAATTATCTGATTGGTGAGTTGGAAAGAAACACAGGGCATAAATGGCCCAGCCCCTTTCTTACAGGGAAAGAGGGTGCAGAAAAGTCTATTCTCTCAGCGATGCAGTGAGCTAGTAGGGCAGGCTCTACTGCCCCACACCGCCCAACCATGACCCTCACAAGGGAGGCCTGCACTTTAGGGCTGAAATTCCATTCAGAGCTATGTCAAAAAGAAGCCCATTTTTCCACGCATCTAAGCTATAATACATTCTCCAACATAGTCTTTGTGAATAACGAAGCTGAGAATTTGATCTCCATACGTCTGACTCTTGCATCAATATTTCAACTTAGGCCAAAAAGGAACCTTTTTTCCAAAGTGAGAACTAAACACTTAGAATCTGTATGCACAGAATGATGGGCAGACAAGTTTACTCTTCAGAGACTTTTACTAATTTGTGTGGAAGTATCCAGGGTTCTTTTGCAAGCCAATCCAAATCCAAGTCCCCTGCACCTGTGGACTCCAGACCTCCCTGCCCTCAAGAGCTCCATGGCAAGAAGTCTCAGGTCTATTGATTCAGCTGTGTGGAGTCCAGAATCTCAGAAGCAACTGTGGCTGGACAGCCAGACTACAGAAACTCCTGCTACCATTTCTCATTAGTTATCCAAGGGAGAGGAGGGACCCCATAAGCTCATAGTCTACAGTGGGCTGTGTTAGATGGCGAGACTTCCAAGAAAGTCATTAACCTCTCCAAATCTTTGTTTCCTCAGCTATGAAAAGTATATGAGGATATGACAATATCCACCCAACAGGTATTATTAACATTGCCGTTATGAGCATCAGAAAAGATAAAAATGCAGATGTAAAAGGTAAAAATGCAAATACATAATGCAATAAAAGGAATGATATAAATATTACATCTAAGAAAGAATAATAGGGTGCTCATCCTTCAGACTCAAATGGGGAAGCAGAGTTTTTTTTTTCTTTTCATTTCCAAATAATTTCAGGCTTCCAAAAAGTTGGAAAAATAGGACAGAGTTTGTATAACCAGTTCCCCTAGATAACATCTTACATAACACTTTTGAAGGGTGCTGGCAATTATTTTGTAGCATGGCCCTTTGGTCTGTCTGATGTTTCCTCATGATCAGATTCAGGCTACACATTTTGGGCAAGAGTCTACAGCCACATCACCCTGAACACACCCGATCTTGTCTGATTTTGGAAGCTAAGCAAGGTCGAGCCTGGTTAGTACTTGGACAAGAGACATTTTGGGCAAGAAAACCACAGCAGTGATGCCGAGTTCTCAGTGCATGATATCAGGGCTACGAGCTGCATGCACATATCTGGTGATGACCGCATAGCTAGGGTGGTGTCTACTGTGAGGTTACTACTGTTCCCTTGGGAGTCACTAAGCATCTTCAGGGGAGGTTCTCAAGACTCTGCAGATACCCCGTTTCACAACACACATTGCCCCCTAACTTTAGTGTCCACTGAGTGTTCTTGTCTGTACCCATTACCACTGTGGTTTGTCAAACAGCAATTTTCCGTTCCCATCATTTCTTCTACATTAGTCAGAATGAGTAGGGAAGAGCTCTCCCTCCCACCACTGACATGTTTACCCAATTATTTATATACTATGAACACATTCATATTAATTGATTCTGTGGGCTATATAACTCATTACAGTCATTATTTATTTTCTTTCTCAAATTGTCCCGGATTTGGCAATTGGAAGCTCCTTTATGTTGCTCCCATGTTCTTTCGACAAGCCCTGTCCTTTTTTTCAGCAATTCTTTACTTTCTGGCACAAGATCTTCTAGGTTCATCTTGTACTTTCCCTGCCCTGGTGCTGGAATGAGCCAGGAGCCTTGGTCTCTTTTGTTAGAGAATGGCATCAGAACTGAGGCCTTGGGTGCCAGGGGTCTCTGCGTCTAGGCCCTAGAAGAGCAGAGTTCTGACCCAGAGCCACCCCTGTGTGCCGCAGTGCTTCAAGCTATGTCTACTTTAGTAGATCTGTTAATTAACAGAAAGAGTTGGGTTTTGTTCATTTTTTTAAAAAAGCACTTAGTCTACATAACCAAAACATGATATATAAATTCCTTTAAATTATTATACCTTAATGCCCCTTCTTCCTATCCTGATTTGTTAATAAGCACAATTATAATAAGTTGCTTTTCAGTATTGCATTGTTACATATGGTAACACTTTTACATTGCCCAATATGTCTCTAATAAAAATAGCTTATTTTGAAATGGCTTCTTGGCAAACACTGGTAACTACTCTGGTTAAGCAACTAAGCCAGATCATTAGGTGAAGGCTAAATGAATTCGGAAGAAGCAAGAAAGAGTAACGTAAGTACAGTCAGAAGGTGGGATGTATTCCCAAAAACCTGCCTCAGCTTTCCCGAGCTCAGTCAAGGGTTTCTTTTGTCGTAGTTGTTAAACTAAGAGGGATCGTTCCAAGAGGGAATGGTACAGATGTGATAATGGCATGGAAAATACACCTGGCACTCTTCTAACACAAAGGAGGTAAAAGCTAGACTTTATGTAATAACAGCTGGGAAATCTGTCCTGCATTCTTTTTTTAAATTGTGGTAAAATACACATAGCATAAAATTATCATCTTAACCATTTTAAAGCACACAGCTCGGTGGTGTTAAGTATATTCACACAGTGTGAACCACACAGGTGTGGTTCATCACTTCAATCTTTAGAACTTTCTCAGCTTGCAAAACTGAAACTCTGTACTCATTAAACAACTCCCTCTATCCTACATTCTTTACTAACCAATCCAAGGGAGAGTCACCCTCTTCTCTCAAAAGCCCTTGGCCAACATTTTGCCGTAACCTTCATGATTGAGCCATTTGGACAACTCATCCCACTAAACCAGTCTCTGGAACTCAGTCTCCGGAGCAGCCAGAACTCCCTGTGTAATTCTGGGATTTCCCAATGCCAACCTTGATTTGGTAACTAAAGCTACCAAAGTTCTGTACCCACACTGGGCTGACATATCTAGGCTTGGTAAGTGAACTACAAAGAAGTCTATGAAAGGTTTTCTCTCCGTTCCTTTAATTCTAAGGCCCTAGACCCCTGTTCTGTTTTGATGACTTTCTCAAGTAAATAAAAAAGACACACTTTCTCTTAGAGACTGTAAATTGAGTAACCTTGTGTTCAGCCCATTTCCTATGGAAAAATACATATTTGATGAGCCAACAACAGGTCTCCCACCTCTAATGAAGAGATGTGGTAAGAGGAGAAAGTAAAGTGATGACAAAGCTCTGGCCAGGGTGCAGAGTCTTTCCTCATTTTTCCAGGGACCTTAACACAGTTGTTTCAACAACTAGTTTGTAAACAGATTTGAAGTGATGAACACAAAACTGTCAAATGTCTTAAAGTTTGTCACTGGTGCCCTTTAGGACAATGGCAGGAAATTCTAATTCCAAGAATTTGAGAGTGACAAGGCATTTTAGCTGATCATGTACTTCTCTGGATATGAGGATCCTTTTGTGGGAAGATTCTCTCTTGGCTCTTTCAAGGTTGGAGGGAGAATCGCAAGAAACCATGGTTGTCAAAACACTCTGTAAGACTAAACAAGTGAAAGGGATTACAAGTAAGGAGGCAAATGAGTTTCTTAAAGGTGCACCAGCCCAGAAATTAGAAGGTGGAGCATCAAGATGTAATTCCACCACTGCCTGGCTGTTGCACTTGGCTATGTCACTTGACATCCGGGGTGTCTCACTTGTTAAATGGTGACCCAAACTCTCTCCTTGGCTGCCTCACAACTTTGTGTTAAGAAGCAAATAGCTAGTTGTGGAATGAGGAGTACCAGGAGGAGTAACATATGAGGTATGGCGCTATCATTTTCTGTTCAGACTAACTCCATAAGAGCCACACTTCTTGTCCACATCCAAGCTTCCTCCACTTTGCCAAGTGTCATTTTAGGCTGCTTCACATTATGTTTATTCTTCAACACATGCATTAGAAGACCTATCAATTAAAAGGCAGAGTGAGAATGTCTGTTGTTTAGTTTTTAAAAAGAAAAAGACTATGAAAACTGCAAATGTGAGTACAGGTTGAGCATCCCTAATCTGAAAATCCAAAATTGAAATGCTCCAAAATCTGAAACTTTTTGAGCACCCACATGACACTCAAAAAAAAAAAAAAATGCTCACTAGAGTATTTTGGATCTTTGGATTAGGGATGCCCACCCTGTGCTATCATGAAAACACTTCTCAATTATTTCTTATATTTCACCTCCATTTCCTCTTTTATATAACTTTAACCTCTTCCTCTCTTTGACTCCTTCCCGACTCAGAAATATACACAAATCTCATTCATTTCTATTTAAAGTAAAACTAGCAAGAAAGATAACTCCCTCAATCTTGCTTTCTCTCCTAACACACCCTTCTCCCACTCCTTCTATTCACAGGCAAGAGCTTCAGAAAACAAATGATGCTCACTCTCCCTACTTCCCCACCTCCCACTGACCTTTAGCCATGCTGCCTGACTCCTGCCTCAACTTCCCTAAAACCTTATGAGCTAAAGGTCTCCAATGACCTAACTATGAAATGCAAAGGATACTTTTCCACCTGTATCCATGAAGACCTCTTTGCCACACCTGGCTCTGCTGACTGCATTCCAGAACTCACCCTTCCCCCAAGTCCCTTGCCTGTCCTGTGGCCACCAACTTGTAGTCTTCCTCTCTCACACATCTATGTAGCTCTTGTTTGAACGGTCACTGTCTCAGCCATGCTTCAATGTTCTGTGTTCCCAAAAGGTTCCTTCCTCCATTCTCTTCTCTTTTGTTATGGCTCTCTGGGAAATACAGGTGTGGTTCATCACTTCAACAACTACGTGCATGCTAAAGACTTCCAGTCTACAGATGCAGCTTGTTGCTGCCTGTGCGTGTCATGCCCTTATTTATTAATGCTTTCAGTAATTTTTATTTATTTTATTAGAGCTTTCAAACTCAGCATTATAAATGTTGATACAGTAGTTACTTAGGAAACTATCGAATGAGTTAGAGGATAACTATGAAGGAAGAGCACTTCTTTTTGAAGAAAACACAAAATTCCATGAGCAGGAATTTTACACACACAGTAAAAAAAAGGATATGGAAAACAAATGCCTTAAGATCCTTAGAAGTTATTTTCACTTTATCTCCATTCTGTAACCTTTTCTATATATTGCGAGGGTAGAATCCTAAGACAAACTACCAAACCCATGAGTATAAAGAACACACGCATAGCTGAAATTTCAAATGCAAAATCCAAAATGCTAAGTAAAGGATCTGCTGTATAATTCTAAAAGTTTAATAAACCTCTAAGGATGGATGAAAAGTACTTTCTCATGTACTAGAACAGCTTTAACAGAGCTGCCTTAATAACTCATAAAAAAAACCTTCATGTTCAAAGAGAGAATCTGTTAATTCTAAAATGATCTGGAAAGGAACAAAAATTAACCAAGTATGATACCACAGAAAAATATCTAATGGAAGGGGAAAATATCACGATATATTAAATTTTAAGAAGTAGATTACTGAACAGTATATTTAATATGATTCCAATTAAGAAAAAAATTTAATATCTCTATATTTGAGGAGAAAAAGAATACACACAAAAATAATCAGGATTATAGTAATACATATTTCATTCTCTTTGTGCTTTCTATAGCTCTGAATTTTCTACAATGAACACTTCTTAAAATATATTTTTAAACCAAGATTATGCAAAAAATGTAAGAAAGAAATAATCATAATATAATATTTGACGAAAAAATCTATTATGGTTACAACTGTATCAAGAAGCACATGCCTAGGAAAAAGACTGGAAGGAAATACACCAAAATTCTGTGTTCAAGTGATCATCATTATGGTTGTTTCTCCTTTCCTCCATTTTCCCCAATGTTTGGCAGTGTGATTTATTATTTTATAATAAAAATAATAGCTAAAAATATTTAAAGATAAAAGCGACTTGAAAGGGAGTTGTGCCCCAAAGTTGAATTTTGTTTTGCTTTCATGTAACAGTGCCACCTATTCACTGAGTCCCTGAGCAGCCACCGTATCTCCTTCCCTGATTTATAAAATGGGCACTCTACTTGCCTAGGCCTCTCCTGACCTCATTGGTTTGTCAAACGCAATGCACTATGCAAATATCAGTATTATATTCCTTCAAGGGTGGGACTGTCCTCCCCTCTTCCCCCAGGAATGCCCACAACCCTTCCTGACCTGCTGACAGTAGACGCTCCGCGCTGTCTGGGCGCCTGTTGTGTATCACATGATGCAAAGTGAAGGCTGCTTGTTGCCATATCTGAGTGAGAAGATCTGTTAATTAAAAAGGCAGAGCAAGGTTTTTTATTTCTTTGTCCTGTGAGAAAAGTCTACACCAGTGCAATTACACAACATAAGTCTTCCAATTATTTTTATACATCTTACCTCCATTTCTTATCAATTTTAAAAATCAAGTAACAAAAATCTACTGTTATGTGTCAAACATTCCTGAAATACAGCCCTAATAACTTTATTTTTTCATTCTAGTACACAAAAAATAAGTTAACTGAAATTACTCCACAGGTCTCCACCCAAAGATAGGATTGTATCTTGTATATATCCGTCCAGGTTTTTTCCCAAGTAAATCTATACATATTTTAATAAAACTTTATTAAAGATACTTATTATAATGGGTTATGGTATACAGTATAATGGATTACATATAGGAATTATTCTGAATCTTTTCTTCTCAATAAATCCAGAGTTGCTTTATCATAGCATCTGCAACATGCTGCTGACTGGAAATAATGATAATTTGTTACCTGTCCCTCATTTTCAGGCATGTAGGTTACTCCCAAAGTTTTGGCATTACAAACTACTGTTAATAAGCCCCTTTACTCACTTGCCTAATTATTTCCAAAAAATACATTCCCGAAGGCAATGGTACTTATTTTGTAAAGTACTTTATTTTTAATAAACTGTCTAATTTCCCACTAAATACACACCACAGAAAGCTGAAGTAACATAAAGAAGGTAAGGACCAATTTGCCTTGCAGAATCTTCGGCCAGTTTGTTGACCCACAGATATCTGACAGGCACACAATGGGGGCAGGTCCACTCAGAGAAGGAAATTTCCAGAAAGAGTTTAAGAGTAAGTCCTGCCCTGTATTACAATAGAATTGCCAATCTCCTTCCATTTCCACTCACCTTAACAGTACACATTTCACAGAGAAGAGCTAGAGTCATTAAAAAAAGAGGTAAAGTCATTAAAAAAAGAGGAGAAGTTTTGCGTGTTTTTTTGTGGTTGTTTTTTGTTTTTGTTTTTGTTTTTTAATTCTAAGATGTACAATGGGTGCAGTGGCTCACGCCTGTAATCTCAGCACTTTGGGAGGCCGAGGCAGGTGGATCACCCGAGGTCAGGAGTTCGAGACCAGCCTGGCCAACATGGTGAAACTCCGTCTCTACTAAAAATACAAAAATTAGCCAGGTATCGTGGCGCATGCCTGTAATCCCAGCTACCCGGGAGGCTGAGTCAGGGAGAATCGCTTGAACCCAGGAGGCGGAGGTTGCGGTGAGCCAAGATCGCACCATTGCACTCCAGCCTGGGCGACAAGAGCAAAACTCCATCTCAAAAAAAAAAAAAAAGTGCAGTGTCCTCAATTAAGTGGAGTTTTGTTTTTTGTTTTTTTCCCCCATTGGAAGTTCAGACTTCCCAATGCACTCTAATATTTTACACTAGACATTCATTTTTATCTTGGATATATCAAGTTCCCTAAATTTTTCACATCACATAGGGGAAAACTGAAGTTGTTCTTACAAGGGTGGTTAGGTGTGGGTGGTGGGAGGGAAGAAAACTCCACAGGTAAGGGAAAATGTCATTAGAAGACAAGTTATTTCCATCACAAAAACTTCTTATTCTGAGAATACAGGTACCACTTCCATAAATAAGACTCTGGGCAGTGACCATCAGCTCCGTTTACAAGCAGGGAAAGAGGAAGTGACCGACTGAAAAGGCTATCTACCCATTTGGACCATTCTTGCCCATCTGTTCATTTACAGACTCATTTTCGAGGGCTAGAAACACACAGTCTCTGAAATGTACTGTTAAAATATCCCCTTTTCACATTTGCCTTTAGCTTTAATAAAAGTCTCCCCAATATTGAAATTTTTACTTAGTCGTAACTATCACCCTTTTCTTTAACATTCCTGATTTTGAGGGCATACTTAGAAAAACCTTCCCTCTACAAAGATTATATAACATAGTTTTACCTGTGTTTTACTTTTTAATATGTTATATTTAATCGTTTATAATTTAAATAAATGGTACAAGATAGTGCTGTGTAATTTTTTCCCTAATCTTTTGCCATGTTTCCCAAGATTGTTTTTAAAAAAACACATCTTTTCCCCCAATGATTTGACATGCCATATATAACACACTAGATATAAACATAAATTTGGTGTGCCAGGTAAATATTATATGTTTCAAAGTGCTAAAATAATTGGGACTGGGCACGCTGGCTCATGCCTGTAATCCCAGCACTTTGGGAGGCTGAGGCAGGCAGATCACTTGAGGTCAGGAGTTTGAGACCAGCCTGGCCAGCATGGTGAAACCCCGTCTCTACTGAAAATACAAAAATTAGCCAGGCGTGGTGGTGGGTGCCTGTAATCCGAGCTACTCAGGAGGCTGAGACAGGAGAATTGCTTGAACCCGGGAGGCGGAGGTTGCAGTGAGCCAAGATTGCACCACTGCATTCCAGCCTGGGTGACAAGAGTGACACTCCATCTCAAAAAATAAAAACAGTAATAATGAATTGGGAGGCCTTCAGCAAAGATGGTTCCTATACGAGCAAATGGAAACTCAACTCACCGTAAACAGTAAAAACAAAACTTAAGCTTAGCCAATCAGAAACCGCCAACTCACCTCTAACTAAGAACTTCCCACTTGTTCCAGTCAAGTATTTTATTTGTCTTGCTTCTTTAAATACTTCATAAGTTTCCCCCTCCCACTCCTTAAGTAGAACACTGAACTGCTTGTGTTCTAATGATATTCAATTCAGGAATCACTTATGCTCAAACAAACTAGTTAAAATATTACTGTGCCTAAATTAATCTGTTAATAAAAGCTAAAATTATTGTATCTTTACCTGGCACAACAGACTTGACTTTAGCAGAATATAATAATTATTAACAAAATAATGTTACATTTTATTCATCTTTTCTGAGGTATAAAAGATTAGATTCAGATTCTTCAAGTTCTTTATGTTTGTATACACATGTACACGAATTCATGGAAATTCTACAGTATTTCTAGATTTATGTTAATATCACAATAAGCATATCATGCCACAAACTAATTTTTTTATTAAACAGGATTTTTTTAGATATAGACATAACCCATTTATTGAAAGTACTGTCTAGTGTTTTAAGAATGCATTTTCTCATTTCATTAATAAGAAATGCTTCAAATACATAAAGTAGAGAAAATACTATTGCAAACACACAAATATAATCTAGAATCCATTTTTGTGTACAGTCTGAGCTACATTTAATTCTTTCCTGCATGGATAAGCAAGAAATAACTCATCTACTTGTTATAAGAGCTTGGAAACAAGGCAAAAGGAAGACTGCATGTCCTCTCAAGGTCACCTTGGAGCACTGTCTGACAGGCCCACCCAAGGAACATTTAATTCCCTAGGGAGTATATATCTTGTTTGGCTTGCTATTTACTATTAAAACCTATACTCTGTAAAATTATGTTAACTTGTAGATTTTTTAATCTGGTAGATATGCAAATAATTTCTGTGTGGTAAGATTATGGTTTTATTACCTTGCCGGAGGTTAACCAGTGTTGTGCATAACAAACCTTATTTCAACACTTTTTCTTTCCTCAGTTCTCCAAATGCTGTTACCAGGTTTACCATCTTGCTGATTTCCTCACTGACATGCGTTGATTCCATAATTATGATACTTTGACATACTGGATTATTCTGCAATCTCTTACACACAGCAATTTTCCATACGTGCTCAGGTCTGTTTCTGGGCATTCTTTTGTTCCATCACATATTTGCCTCTCTCTGCACTAGTCACACCGTTTTTATTATCATGGCTTTCCGAGACCTGTAAGCCAACTGGGGCAAGTTCTCTACTTTATTAAACACTCTTTTTGTGGGGTTGTTATTATTACACCTACATTCTTGTTTATGAATTTCAGAGTTAGTCATTATAATATTACAAGCAAGTCCTGCTGGAGTTTTGACTGGGAATTCATTACATTATTAGGAAATCTACAGAGAATTGTTGTCTTTATAACATTGCATCTTCACATCTTTACACATTTATTCAGGTCTTCTCTTATTTCCTTCAATAAAGGCTTTTAATATCTGAACACTGCACTGATATGCATGTACCCTTGCAAAAGAGCCATGCTAAATCTTTATACTGGAGGCTACGAAAAATAACACACCAAACTTCAATTACAGCTATTAGTACATTGGAATATATGCCCTTATTTTGCCCTATTTTAACGGCTCTAACTTTTAAGTTTTTAAACAGCTTTATTCAGACCTAATTCACAGACCATAAAATTCACCCAATTAATGTTTACAATCAATGGTTTTTAGTATATTCACAGACTATCACCACAATCTAATTTTATAATATTTTGTCACCAAAATGTATCCATATATTAGCAGTCACTCCTCATTCTCCACTCCACCTCCTCTAGTCCTAAACAACCACTAATCTACTTTTTGTGTCTATAGATTTGCCTATTCTGGACATTTCATATCAATGGAATCATAAAAAGTATGGTCTTTATGCTTGGCTTTTTCAGTTAGCATGTTTTCAAGATTCATTCATGTGGTATCATGTAACAGTACTTTATTCCTTTTTATTACCTAATATTATTCCATTGTATAGCTATACCACATTTTGTTAGTCATTTGTTGATAATATATGAATAATTTGCATTTTGTGGCCATTACGAATAATGCTGTTATGAACATTCATGTACAAGTTCTTGGCCAAGGCATGGTGGCTCACTCCTGTAATCCCAGCAGGACTTTGGGAGGCCGAGGAGGGCAGATCACTTGAGGTCAGGAGTTCAAGACCAGCCTGGCCAACATGGCAAAACTCCATCTCTACTAAAAATACAAAAATTAGCCAGGCATGGTGGTGCACACCCGTAATTCCAGCTACTCGGGAGGCTGAGGCAGGAGAATTGCTTGAACCCGGGAGGCGGAGGTTGCAGTGAGCCAAGATTGTGCCACTGCACTCCAGCCTGGGTGACAGAGTGAGACTCCATCTCAGAAAAAAAAAAAAACAAACAAGTTATTGTGTGGACATGTATTTTCATTTCTCTTAATTATATATCTAGCATTGCTATGGAATGCTAAATTATGGTATGTGGAATTGCTACATTATGTGGTAACTTTATGTTTGACATTTTGAAGAACTACTAGACTGTTTTCCAAAGTGGCTGTGTGATTTTTCCGATTTTTTTAATTTTTATTTTTTGTAGAAATGGTGCCTTGCCATCTTGCCCAGGCTGGTCTTGAACTCCTAGGCTCAAGCAATCCTCCTACCCCAGCCTCCCAGAGTGCTTGGATTACCAGCATGAGCCACCATGCCCGGCCAGCTATGTGATTTTATATTCCCACCAATAATGTACTAGATTCCCAATTTCTTAACAGCTTGGCCAATACTTGTTTTTGTCCATGAGATATGGTGGTATCTCACTGTAGTTTTTGGTGTGCATTTGCTTAATGACTAATAATGTTGAGAATCTTTTTTAAGTACTTAATGGCCAATTGTATGTCTTCTTTGGAGTAATGTCTATTCAGATTATTTTCCCATTTTTAATTGAGTTACTTATCTTTTTATTATTCATTTGAATACTGCTCTAATTTTAATCACTAGGTACAACTATTTTCGAGGGTAAAGCTTACAGCTATCTTTGTTTATACTTTTTCTCTCAATCAAATCATAGATAGCAGAGCCAATTCAAATTTAACTTCCCCAATAAATCCAACACAATATGTTATGTTCCTGCGCAATGAGATAAAAGCTAGTCCATATTTAAAACTAAAATAAAATTTCAAAAATGAATAAAAATATGTCCTTCAAGGTTTTCCATCAACGTTAAAATCTCTCCTTAGGGGAGAAAAGGAATGAGTGTAGATAGGCCAACTGATGTGCTCTGGAAGCCACCATGTTTGTAATCTAGAGTCGAAATGGTATCCATCAAGCCAGTGGAGCCCTCTCAAATCCTGCAGAGACCTTGGCACATCTCACCAGGAGCTCCCCCGAGTCACCCCCACCAGGGCTGGAGCTTGAGCTCGTCACTGTGATACTCATGGGCAAGCTAGGGAATCCAGTTCTGCCCAGCTATGTCCCCCCTCCCCAACCTGAACAAGAACCTCAAGGCACCAGGCACTCCTCTGTCCAGCTCATCACCTGAAACAACAGAGGTCTCATCACAGTAAATAAAAATCAAGTATATACCCATCTGCTTGTGCGGCAAATGGCTCTTACCCATAGGCGCCACCTACTGACCTCCAGGTCAAACTGCACAGACCAATATAAAACCTGCAGACAGAATCGCGCAGGGCCTTAGAAGCGAACCCAAAAGACCCTACCCAACATACTAACGCTATAGTTACACCCCTAGAAGAGGTGGAAACGGGAGGTGGGGGGGACGCCCATCTAAATGAAAATAAATTCAAAAAGAAAAAGCAGTAGCCTCTCTAGATGAGAAGAAACCAACATAAAAATTCTGGCACCATGAAAAATCTAAATGTTGTGACATCACCAAAGGGTCACACTAGCTGTCTAGCAACAGACCTTAACCAAATAAAAACTCAGAAACGGCAGATAAATAATTCAGAGTATGGACTGCAAGCAAGCTCAATGAGATCCAAGAAAAGGTTGAAAACTCAACACAATGAAACCAAGAAAGTAATCCAAGAAATGAGGGAAGAGACTAATATCCTTTAAAAAACAAAAACAGAGCCCGCCTAGCTGAGGCGCGCAGGCAGCAGCCGTTGCTGCGACGCCTCTGGTGTACTAAATCTGGAGGGGAGGTTGGGCCCTCGAAGAGAAGGAGAAGACCCTCAAACCTTGGCTAACGGCGACGTAGCTGGCTTTTTGGAGAGGCCGCCTAACGTTCTGCCACTTCATTGGAATCAGCCTCCGCCCTTCTCAACTGGCTGCTGCAGGGCCAGTGGTGCCGGGAGACGACGGCGGCCGCTCAGGCACGGTTCGAACACTCTGGGGACTCTTTCCCTGAACTATAAAAATTCTCAAACACTGCATACACAGAGAGGATAGGAGACATGGCATTTGTGGATAGGGAAAGAGGAAATTTTGCGATAGGACAGCTGTAGATCCTGTTGCGGACACCCAGCCGGGCAGTTGGAGGCGGGGTCAGTCCAGAAGCCTTCAGATAACACCAGGGTGTAGCCCTGGCGAGAAATCTTCAGTTGCTTCAGGACCTTTTCTAGCCCCACGCGACGGCTAGGTCCTCCGTGAGAGAAAACTGGTTCGAGAAGCATGGCCAACATTCCCAATGATCCGCAGATGTGGTTTCCACCTGGCCGGTGCCATGACACCGGAACACACGGCGACAAGGAGAAGGGAGAAGAAAACCTCGCCCTCTCCCTCTCCCTCTCCCTCTCTCTCCCCACGGTCTCCCTCTCCCTCTCTTTCCACGGTCTCCCTCTGATGCCGAGCCGAAGCTGGACTGTACTGCTGCCATCTGGGCTCACTGCAACCTCCCTGCCTGATTCTCCTGCCTCAGCCTGCCCAGTGCCTGCGATTGCAGGCGCACGCCGCCACGCCTGACTGGTTTTCGTATTTTTTTGGTGGAGACGGGGTTTCGCTGTGTTGGCCGGGCTGGTCTCCAGCTCCTAACCGCCAGTGATCCGCCAGCCTCGGCCTCCCGAGGTGCCGGGATTGCAGACGGAGTCTCGTTCGCTCAGTGCTCAATGGTGCCCAGGCTGGAGTGCAGTGGCGTGATCTCGGCTCGCTACAACATCCACCTCCCAGCCGCCTGCCTTGGCCTCCCAAAGAGCCGAGATTGCAGCCTCTGCCCGGCCGCCACCCCGTCTGGGAAGTGAGGAGCGTCTCTGCCTGGCCGCCCATCCTCTGGGATGTGAGGAGCCCCTCTGCCTGGCTGCCCAGTCTGGAAAGTGAGGAGCGTCTCTGCCTGGCTGCCATCCCATCTAGGAAGTGAGGAGCGCCTCTTCCCCGCCGCCATCCCATCTAGGAAGTGAGGAGCGTCTCTGCCCCGCCGCCCATCGTCTGAGATGTGGGGAGCGCCTCTGCCCCGCTGCCCCGTCTGGGATGTGAGGAGCGCCTCTGACCCGCCGCCCCGTCTGGGATGTGAGGAGCGCCTCTGCCCGGCCGCGACCCCATCTGGGAGGTGAGGAGTGTCTCTGCCCGGCCGCCCCGTCTGAGAAGTGAGGAGTCCCTCTGCCCGGCAGCCGCCCCATCTGAGAAGTGAGGAGCCCCTCCATCCGGCAGCCACCCCGTCTGGGAAGTGAGGAGCGTCTCTGCCCGGCAGCCACCCCGTCCGGGAGGGAGGTGGGGGTCAGCCCCCGCCAGGCCAGCCGCCCCATCCGGGAGGGAAGTCGGGGGGTCAGCCCCCCGCCCAGCCAGCCGCCCCATCTGGCAGGGAGGTGGGGGGGTCAGCCCCCCGCCCGGCCAGCTGCCCCATCCAGGAGGGAGGTGGGGGGGTCAGCCCCCCGCCCGGCCAGCCGCCCCGTCTGGGAGGTGAGGGGCGCCTCTGCCCGGCCGCCCCTGCTGGGAAGTGAGGAGCCCCTCTGCCTGGCCACCACCCCGTCTGGGAGGTGTACCCAACAGCTCATTGAGAACGGGCCATGATGACAATGGCGGTTTTGCGGAATAGAAAGAGGGGAAAGGTGGGGAAAAGATTGAGAAATCGGATGGTTGCCGTGTCTGTGTAGGGAGAAGTAGACATGGGAGACTTTTCATTTTGTTCTGTACTAAGAAAAATTCTTCTGCCTTGGGATCCTGTTGATCTGTGACCTTACCCCCAACCCTGTGCTCTCTGAAACATGTGCTGTGTCCACTCAGGGTTAAATGGATTAAGGGCGGTGCAAGATGTGCTTTCTTAAACAGATGCTTGAAGGCAGCATGCTCCTTAAGAGTCATTACCACTCCCTAATCTTAAGTACCCAGGGACACAAACACTGCGGAAGGCCGCAGGGTCCTCTGCCTAGGAAAACCAGAGACCTTTGTTCACTTGTTTATCTGCTGACCTTCCCTCCACTATTGTCCTATGACCCTGCCAAATCCCCCTCTGTGAGAAACACCCAAGAATGATCAATAAATAAATAAATAAATAAAACAAAAACAAAACAAAACAAAACAAAAAACAGAACTTCTGGAAATGAAAAATTCACTTAAGAAATTTCAAAATACAGTTGAAAGTTTTAACAATAGACTGGACCAGGCAGAAGAAAGTATTTCAGAGCTTAAAGACCTCCAATTCATATCACCAACTAATAATTTTTTAAAAAATAGCTTGAAGACCCATCTTTCAAATTAACCCAAACAAAAATAAAGAAAAAAGAATTTTTAAAAATGAACAAAGCATTTCAGACATACAGGATTGTGCAAAGCAACCAAACCTATGGCTTATAGGCATTCCTGAGAAGGAAGAAGAAAAAGTAAGCAACCTGGAAAATATATTTGAGGGAATAATTCAGGAAACTCCCTAATCTTTCTACAGAGGTGAACATACAGATACAAGACATTCAGAGAACACCTGCAAGACACTATGCAAGACGAACTTCACCAAGGCATATAGTCATCAGACTATCCAAGGTCAACACTAAAGAAAAAATTTTAAAGGCAACTAGAAAGAAGGGTCAAATCACCTACAAAGGAAAACCCATCAGACTAACAGCAAACTTCTCAGCAGAAACCCTACAAACCAGAAGAGATTGGGGTCTATTTTTAGCATCCTTAAAGAAAAAAAAATGCCAGCCAAGAATTTCACATCCTGCCAAACTAAGCTTCATCAATGAAGAAGAAATAAAATATTTTCTAGACAAGCAAATACTAAGGGCATCTGTCACCACAAGACCTATCCTACAAGAAATGCTGAAGGGAATTCTAAACATGGAAATGAAAGGACAATACTCACCATCATAAAAGAACACGTAAGTGCAAAGCTCACAGATCTTATAAAACAACTACACAATTGAAACTCCAAAACAACTAGCTAACAACACTATGACAGGAATAAAACCTCACATATCAATACTAACCTAAATGTAAATGACCTAAATGCCCCACTTAAAAGATACGGAGTAGCAAACTAGTTTTTTAAAAAAAATACAAGACCCAACCATCTGCTGCCTACAAGTGACCCACCTACTGGCTAAAGATACCTTTCGACTCAAAGTAAAAGGGAGAAAGAAGACATAAAATGAGAATGGAAAACAAAAGTGAGCAGGAGTGACTATTCTCATATCAAGTAAAACAGACATAAACCAACTAACAGTAAAAAAAGACAAAGAAGGACATTATGTATAATGATAAAGGATTCAATATAACAAGAAGATTTAACTATTCTAAATATACATGCAACCAATACTGGGGCACCCAGATTTATCAAACAAATGCTACTAGACCTAAGAGAATAGACTGATATCAATACAATTATAGTGAGGGACTTCAACACCTCCACTGACATCACTAGACAGATCATCGAGGCAGAAAATCAACAAAGAAACTTGGGACTTAACTGGGTTACAGACCAAATGGACCTAAAAGACATTTATAGAACATTCTACTGAACAACCACAGAATATATATTCTTTTCATTTGTGCATGGAACATTCTCCAGAATCAACCATATACTCAGCCACAAAGCAAGTCTCAATAAAATCAAATAAATGAAAATCATATCAAGTATTTTCTCATACCAGAGTGGGATGAAATTAGAAATCAATCCCAAGAAGAACTCTCAAAACTATACAAGTACATGGAACCTAAACAACTTGCTCCTGAACAACTCTTGGGTAAACAATGAAATTAAGGCAGAAATAAAAAAATTCTTTTAAATGAATGAAAACAAAGACACAACATACTAAAACCTCTGGTACACAGCAAAAGCAGTGCTAAGCGGAAAGTTTATAGCATTAATTAAACGCCTACATCAGAAAGACAGAAAGACCTCAAATTAACAACCTAACATCACAACTCAAGGAACTAGAAAAACAAGAACAAACCAACCCAAAGCTAGCAGAAGAAAAGAAATAACAAAGATCAGAACAAAACTAAATGAGATTGAGACAAAAAAAAAAAGGCAAGGACTCAATAAACTGGCTGGGCACAGTGGCTCATGCCTGTAATCCCAGCACTTTGGGAGGCCCAGGCGGATGGATCACCTGATGTCAGGAGTTTGAGACCAGCCTGCCCAACATGGCGAAACGTCATCTCCATTAAAAATACAAAAATTAGCAGGGCATAGTGGTGCATGCCTGTAGCCCCAGCTACTTGGGAGGCTGAGGCAGGAGAATTACTTGAACCCGGGAGGCGGAGGTTGCAGTGAGCCAAGATCATGCCACTGTATTCTAGCCTGAGCAACAAAGCAAGACTCCATCTCAAAAAAGAAAAGAATAAATGAACCGAAAAGTCGGTTCTTCAAAAGGATAAACCAATTGGCAGACCATTAGCTAGACTAACCAAGAAAATAAAAGAGAAGATTCAAATAAGCATAATCAAAAATGATAAAGGTGATATTACAACCAATACCACAGAAATACAAATGATCATAAGAGACTCCTATGAACTCATTTATGCACACAAACTAGAAAACCTAGAGGAAATGGATAAATTCCTGAAAACATACAAACTCCCAAGATTGAAACAGAAAGAAAAAGAAATCCCAAGCAGACCAATAATAAGTAAGTAATGAAATTAAACTAGTAATAAAAAATCTTCTGGAAAAAAAAAAAAAAGCAGCTCAGGACCAGATGCATTCACAGCCAAATTTTACCAGACATATAAAGACAAGCTACTACCAATCTTAGTGAAACTATTACAAAAAATTTGAGGAGGTGCAATAACACCTTCTGTGAATCCAGGATCACCCTGATACTAAAATCAGACAAGGACACAACAAAAAGAGAAAACTACCAACCAATATCCCTGAGGAACACAGATGCAAAAATCCTCCACAAAATACTAGCAAACTGAATCCAACACACATCAAAAATATAATTCATCACAATCAAGTGAGCTTTATTCCAGGTATGCAAGGATGGTTCAACATATGCAAATCAATAAACTAAAAACAAAAACCGTATGATTATCTCAATAGACACAGAAAAAACAACTGATAAAATCCAACATGCCTTCCTGATAAAAACCTTCAACAAACCAGGCATCAAAGAAACATACCTCAAAATAATAAGAGCCATATATGACAAACCCACAGCCAACATCATATGGAATTGGGAAAAGTTGAAACATTTCCCCTAAGGACTGAAACAAATGAGGACACCCACTTTCACCACTCTTATTCAACATAATACTGGAAGTCCGAGCCAAAGAAATCAGGCAAGAGAAAGATATAAAAGGCATCCAAATTGGAAAAAAGGAAGTCAAATTATCTTTGTTAATTGATGACATAATCATATACCTAGAAAGCCCCAAAGACTCCTCCCAAAAAGACAGAAAACCCCGAAGACTCCTCCAAAAGACTCCTAGATTTGATAAACAACTTCAGTAAAGATACAAAATCAACGTACAAAAATCAGTAGCATTTCTATATACCAATTATGTTCAAGCTGAGAACCAAATCAAGAACTGAATCCCATTTATGTTAGCCACAACAAAAATCCTTGGAATACATTTAACCAAGGAGGTAAAAGATCTCTACAAGAAGAACAACAAAACACTGATGAAAGAAATCACAGATCATACAAACAAATGGAAAAAACATCCCATGCACACGGACTGGAAGAATCAGTATCATTAAAATGACCATATTGGCTGGGTGTGGTGCCTCATGCCTGTAATCCCAGCACTTTTGGAGGCTGAGACGGGCTGATCACTTGAGCTCAGAAGTTTAAGACCAGCCTGGGCAACACGACAAAACCCTGTCTCTACAAAAAATATGAAAATTATCTGGGCGTGGTATCACATGCCTGTAGTCCTAGCAACTAAGGAGGCTTAAGTGGAAGGATCACTTGAGTCTGGGAGGCATAGGTTGCAGTGAGCCAAGATCGCACCACTGCACTCAGCCCAGGTGACAGAGTGAGACCCTGTCTCAAAAATAAGAAAGTATTTGCAGACTATGCCTCTGACAAAAGACTAACATCCAGAATCTACAAGGAACTCAAACAACTCAACAAGAAAGAAACAACACCATTAAAAACTGGGCAAAAGGCCTGAACAGATATTTCTTAAATAAAATAATACAAGAGGCCAACAAACACATGAAAAAAAAAATGCTCAACATCACTAATCATCAGAGAAACACAAATTAAAACCACAATGAGATATCATCTTATACCAGTCAGAATGGCTATTATTAAAAAATCAAAAAACAACAGATGTTGGATTGCTTATGGAGAAAAGGGAACACTTGTACACTGTTGGTGGGAACAAACGTTGCTTCAACCTCTATGGAAAACAGTATGAAGATATCTCAAGGAGCTAAAAATAGTGCTACCATTTGAGACAGCAATCCCACTGCCTGGTATCTACCCAAAGGAAAAGAAATCATTATATAAAAAAGATTCCTGCACTCATATGTTTATCACAGTACTATTCACAATAGCAAAGTCATAGAACCAACCTAGGTGTCCATCAATGGTTGACTGGATAAAGAAAATGTGGAATAGATACAGAATGGAATACTATGTAGCCACAAAAAGGAATGAAATCATCTTTGCGGCAACTTGAATGGCTAGAAGCCATTATCCTAGATGAAATAAGTCAGAAGCAGAAAATCAAATACCATGGGTTCTCACTTCTGAAAGCTAAACAATAGGTACAAATGCAAATAAAGATGGAAATAACAGACACTTGGTACTCCAAAAGAGGGGAGGGAGGATGGAGGTGAAGGTTGAAAAATTACCTTTTAGATACAATGTTCAATATTTGCGTGATGAGTACACTAGAAGCTCAATCCCCACCATTATGCAATATACCCATGTAACAGACATGCACATGTACCTTCAAATCTAAAACTTTAAAAATAAAAAATGGTATCCACTAGAATTATGAAATGCAGGACTCTGACACACCACTGGAAATCTATTGCTTAATAGTATTAGCTACATAGACAACATTTGTCTTTCTTACTAAAAAAAACTGCTTCCCAGACCAAATTCTGCCCAAGGATGATTCCTCAAAGAGCTGTTCTCATGGCCGATGATCAGAGGAAGGAGGAGGTGCTGCTGCTGACAATGAGAAAGCAAGAAGAGCCCAAAAATAAAAAGATACTCCCCAAGTATCATTTTACTGCCAACTCCAATCCCATTTTGCCAGGCCTGTCACCAGTGCATTCAGAATCAAAGGAATATACTTTCAACTTTTTCTCTCCACTCTGGCCCTGTTCCTCACGAAGGAAAAACAGCTGAAAAAGGCCAAAGGGCAAGCACCAACAAAGGATATAACTGTTCTATTAAACGAGAAACTGGCGAATAGATAAACTAGATAAACTTCTCCCTAAATAATCTATGCTTAGACTTCTTACAAAGCCTTCCTCAATCAAAACTGTAACCCTTAGTATTATTTGTAGGGCGTGGGTAATCTTTAGATTCTTTGTACTTTTCAATGTTTTTTTTTCAATTTTTTCAAAAATGATAATGTACCATTTTAACAATAATGAAAAAAGTTAAGCATATATTTTGAGTAATTTAAGTCTATATTCATGAAGGGAATATTCAAATATTAATTTAAGGAAACACCCTCTGATCATCCCTTTTTATCACACATAACTCAAAATAGTTATCTAAGAAATATGCAAGAACAGTATAATTTATTATTTTTGGCCCTCTCCACATGAAGAAGTCAGAATACATCACTACTCAATGTGTTTCTCATGTTATTTTAGACCTTTTAGAAGTCTTCCAACCTTTCACTACTTTAAAAAAGTCAG
Organism: Homo sapiens; assembly: GCF_000001405.40. Classification (NCBI taxonomy): domain Eukaryota; kingdom Metazoa; phylum Chordata; class Mammalia; order Primates; family Hominidae; genus Homo; species Homo sapiens. Next base: position 15,240,822 of record NC_000009.12, read on the forward strand.
TTCTTGAATGTGGTTTTTCTAATTTTATCTTTTCTATTTCCTGCATTGATAACATGCTTCAATAGGTCTACTATTATATTCCTGAACTGCTTTCAAACTTATTACTTTATGCATATTTACCATCTCAATCTGGTCCTTCATGCATCTACCTTTGCTAAAAACGAACAATGATTCATGCCTTATTGAAGGAATCAGCCCTCATAGGAAGCTAAGAGATGGCGCTCTCACGAGTTCTCTAATACCAGCCGTGTTTCCCATCTTTGGCAGATGAGAAAAATGTAGCACATGAGGCCCATGTGAATGTGATATTTGCCAAGTGTCCCTTAGCTCTGTATGGAAAATGGGGAATGACAAGCTCATTCAAATAGATGGATTCATAACTGTTTGAACAGCTTCTCTCAAGAGGTACTTCCCTTTATCATGTGTTTTACATTTGTATCAGAAACTGGGATTAAAATAGAGAATGCAAGGTTAAAAAAAAAAAAACTCTGCAAAACAATGAAACTGGAAAAGATAGCAGTGAATGAACCATAATTTAAAAAGATAATGCTCTAAGTGGATGACTTATATTTAGTAAACTAAAATTTAATTTTTATCCATAAACATTTAGGAATGCCATATTCCAGGCATGGTATCAGATGTTAAAGCACAAAAAATAATAGCATGCCTGCTCTCAAAGATGATACCTGAGTGAGAATAAATTATAAATTCCTGAATTTATAATTTATAAAATCTAACTGAATAAAAACAGGATAAAAGAGATGTGACTTAAAAACATTGTAAAAAGTTGTGAATTATTTTAAATGAATTTGTGAACACAACAGAATATGAATCCTGATACAACTTAAGCTGTATTAAGAAAACTATAGCATCTAGAATGAGGAAAATAGTAATCTTTCGTAAGTTTCTTTTAATTAACTCTTTTTTTTTTTTTTTTTTGAGACAGAGTCTAGTTCTGTCACCCAGGCTGGAGTGCAGTAGTGGGATCTCAGCTCACTGCAATCTCTGCCTCCTGGGTTCAAGCAATTCTCCTGTCTCAGCCTCCTGAATAGCTGGGACTACAGGCACATGCCACCACCACACCTGGCTAATTTTTGTATTTTTAGTAGAAACGGAGTTTCATCATATTGGTCACGCTGGTCTCAAACTCCTGACCTCAGTTGATCCACCTGCCTCGACCTCCCAAAGTGCTGGGATTACAGGCATGAGCCACCGCAAGCAGCCTAATTAACTCTGACTTAAAAATATAATTATCTCTTAATCAGAGTACAAACTTCATAAAGGCAGGATTGTATCGCAGCACCTAGTACAGTGTCTTGCAGGTAATGATCTTCAATACCACTGTGCTGGTTGATTAAATAAATAAACAAAGGAGCAAATGAAGGATAACATCATTCTCCTCTAGTCAGACCAGTCACACCTGGCCTATCTGATGGTCTAGACATACACTTTTAAGAATATCAACAACGGGAAATGCAGGCTGGGCACAGTGGCTCATGCCTGTAATCCCAGCATTTTGCAAGGCCAAGGCAGGCGGATCACTTGAGTCCAGGAGTTTGAGACCAGCCTGGGCAACATAGGGAGACCCCATCTCTACAAAAAATACGAAAAATCAGCCAGGCCTGGTGGTGCATACCTGTAGTCCCAGCTACTCAGGCGGCTGAAGCGGGAGGATCGCTTGAAACAGGACGGTTGAGGCTGCAGTGAGCTGTGATCATGTCACTACACTCCAACCTGGGTGACAGAGCAAGACCCTATCTCAAAAAGAAAGAAAGAAAGAAAGAAGAATTGGAAGAAAGCAGAGAAAAGAAAGGAATATGAAAGCTCCATTCACTAGAAAGATTTTGGTTCATCCTTCTAGACCACCTTCTCTGGAGCAAAATCCTATTCTCAAATGACTCAGAAAATACCTAATAATGTATATACATAGAATAATAAAACAAATATGGCAAAATGTTAAAACTGAATTAAGGGCATTCAGAAGTTCTCTGTGTTATTCTTGCACTTTTTCTGTAAGTTTGGAATTATCATAAAATAAAAATGTTTTTTTAAAAGACTGCTTATTGGCATGATGATTCTGTAACAAAGGGCAGAGACAGCGATTAAATGTGAGTGGCCGCTGGATCTCAGGAACCTGTGGGCCAACCAATGCCAGTGGAGAATGCCAAGCCCTTGGGCCACAGGCACACCAACAGTCCAGAAATCCTTTGGTGGCAGAGGCAGCAAGGAGAGAGGCCAATGCAAAGACAACAGGATGGGGCCCTCTACCAGGCAGCAGTCCCCAGACAGGGGCCATCTGTACACCACCTCTTCCTGCACCCAACGCCATGTCAGAAGGAGGAGAGAGAGGGAAAACCTTTTAAGAAGGAAGATATAAGCCTGATACAGAGTTTAAGTTTTTACTTAACTGGGCATTTACCCCTCCCACATCTCCCAGAAAACCTGAGTCACTCCAAAACAGACTGCTGGAAATTTGAACAGATGATGTAATTTTTAATTGACCACTTAATGTGCTTTTCTGTCCTCAATGGGGATGAAAGTTCCAGAGTAAAGGAGAACAGTTGAAAAGAATACAAGTACATTTTCATATACAATACAAAGCATGATTCAGACCCTACTCATTAAGGGGCAGAGCAAGATGGCAGAATATAAGGCTCCACTGGTCATCGCCCCTGCAAGGAAACCAATTTAACAACTGTCTACAGAAAAAAAGCACTTTCGTAAGAACCAAAAATCAGGTGAGCACTCATAGTACCTGGCTTTAACTTCATGTCAAAGACGCTACTCACTAAGAAAATGGAAAGCAGGCTGGGTACAGTGCCTCACACCTGTAATCCCAGTGTTTTGGGAGGCTGAGGCAGGAGGATCACTTGAGCCCAGAACTTCTAGACTAGCCTGGGCAACATAGCAATAGCCCATCTCTACAAAAAAATAAAAAATTGGACGTATGTAGTGGCATACACCTGCAGTCTTAGCTACTCAGGAGGCTGAGAGGACAGCCTAAGCCCAGGAGTTCAAAGCTGCAGTGGGCAGCACTGTGAAGTGCACAGGCTGTCGCCCAGGCTGGAGTCTCTAAAAACATTTTCTTTTCATTTAAAAAAAAATTTTAGAAAGAAAATGGAAGGTAGTGCTTACTATCTCTTTCAGCAAAAGAAACTACTCCAACAGCTGCTGTTTTCCTTGCCCATAGTCATAGCAAATTACTGACCAAGTTGGAAACTTAGAACCAGAGCCTGTATCTTTTCAAATTCTTTCCTTAGGCAAGCAAATCAGACTCCTTCACATTATTTAAAACAAACAACAATGGAATGTTGGATTGGCAAGAGATAGGCACAGCTCCTGTTTCATTTTGCTAGTTTTCTTTGCTGATTTTTTAAATTAAAAACAAACAAAAATCCTTTCCCTATTGGAGGGTTCTCTTATTTCTGACTGAAAACTTCTTACCTAATCTATGAATTATCCTCTCTTACCACATGACTGGAGCGTGATTTAGGAGAAGGCATGCTGGGACACATAGCAGACCACTGTGTTCCTGTCCTAGGTACGCCAGTCACTGGCGGGCAGTGTGGCTTTGCGCCACTTCCTCACCTCAGTGGGTCTCAGTGTCCCTATCTGCAAAAGCAAAGCAGCAATAACAACACCTGCCCTATGTCCCTCCCAGAGATACCACGAGGAAAGAACGTGCTCCATTTTGTAAAATCGCTTTTTAAACTGAAACATCACATAAATGCAAGGGAATGAAGTGGTGCTGATGTTATTAGAGGAGTTATAGAGGAGTATAGTGGTGCTGATGTTATTAGAGGAGTTATGGGAGCCAAGAACTTCCCATTAGACAGACCATTATATTCCTGCTATTCAGCAGTTCTGCTTAATGCTTCCTGCAGTCATGGGGCAGAGGCCACTGAGGCAGCATTTGCCATTTGCATTGCATCGCTCCACGTTGGAATGCAGATATTTTCAGATGTAGAGCAAATACAGGTTTTCAGTGGGACACTGAATGGGGGGGACATTGTCTTTTCTTTTAAAATATCACCACCTAAAACAAAGAGTAACAAAGTTTTTCTAAAGACAATTCTGACAACAAGTTTTCCTTTTATTTGCCTCATGATCCATGGAGGAAGAAAAAAAATAAAGGCTTCCAAAAAGTCATTTTCTCAGGCTAGATAGTATGTTTCTTCTCTGGGTTCTCTGGTTGGAGTTTACAACTCATAGTATAATTATTGGTCTACTTTTCAATTACAGTGAGTAGCTTATGAGCTTCTTAAGAACAGGAACTATCTGTTTCTTAATCCAGAGATGTTCAATGACTGCTTGATGAATGAATGACATTCTTCCTGATGCAATTAGCCCCTTGCATCAAATTCAGTCTTCCTACTTGGCATTTTATGTCACATATGTAGATCATGAAAAGTACCCATGAATATTTCATCACAGAAACCTTCATTCACAAACAAGCAGCTTTCAGTAGATATAAGGGCTCTCCCTACAAATATCTATTAGTAGGAAAAACAAACAAAACTGAAGAAGGAGCATATAAATATTCGAGTAATTAAACTCTAGAGTTTTTCTTTAGTTCTTCAATATGTGGCTGTTTCCATAGTTAATGTGCTGTATTTATTCAGCCTGTGGTATCAAGCAGGCATATGAAATGGTTTTGCTATACAGGGATGCTATTACTTTAAAAAATAAAAACAAAAACACCTAAGCTAATATTAAGGAGGGGTGATGGCAAATAAACGCTATATATTGGGTCCTGGATTGCTGGAATGAAGGGCTCAAATTCTGTCACAACTACTAACTAAGAAAACAATGACTACAGCCCCAAACCACAAGAGAAATTCAAGTCTTGGTTTCATACTTTCCTGCTTTCTAAATTACAGCCACCTATAATAACTCAAAATAAAATATTCTATAACCCATTAATCTAAAATGATCACCGAAGAAATCCATCCATACCACTTGGTCACTAAAGACTTTCCACATCTGTAGACTGACGAAACATCAAAAGAAAAGTAAACCATGCATGAAATTCACATCAAACTCATGTTCTGTTTGCTCTTCTGCAATTACCACCTAAATTTCTCTGGCTAAGTCAGAGAACTTGGGTAGAATGGCACTGTTAAGTCATTTCTTACCCAAATAAATCACCAGGCCGGGCGTGGTGGCTCACACCTGTAATCCTAGCACTTTGGGAGGCCCAGGCGGGCAGATCACCTGAGGTCAGGAGTTCGAGACCAGCCTGACCAACATGGAGAAACCCTGTGTCTAATAAAAATACAAAATTAGCTGGGCGTGGTGGCACATGCCTGTAATCCCGGCTACTAGGGAGTCTGAGGCAGGAGAATTGCTTGAACCTGGGAGGCAGAGGTTGTGGTGAGCCGAGATCACGCCATTGCACTCCAGCCTGGGCAACCAGAGTGACAGGAAACTCCATCTCAAAAAATAAATAAATAAATAAATCACCAGAGTCACATAACATTTTGGTTAATGTCTTGATGTTAGTCTGCAGAGGGGTATCTCATTAAGGTGAGGAGACTCACCTTAACAAAAATTCAAATCTAACTCTTGGGGTTTTAGTTGAGGAGTTTAAGGTGTATGACTCAGCTGGAAATAGAGAGAAGGACAGAGACCAAAAATTTGGCAAGTGTGGTAGATTATAAACGGCCACAAATTCTTTGTCACCCTTCCTGTCAAGAAGTGAGGTCTATGGCCCCACTTCTTGAATCAAGGTGGTCTCTGTGACTACTTGACCAATACAACACTGTGTTAGTTTGGGGTCCAAATCTTAAAGACTAGCAGTTGCTACTTCTTGTCATTTGGAATACTAAAGCTCAGAACCACATTGCTATGCTGTGAGGAAGCTCAAGCAACAACATGGAGAAGAACAAAGCCCCTGACAACAGTTCTAGCTAAATTCCCAGCTGACAACCAATACTAACTGGCCAGCCAGGTAAGTGAGCCATCATAGCAATGGCTCCTCCAGCTCCAGCTGAGCCACCCCAGGTGATTCCAAGTGGGCAGAGATGAGTCATTTCCTCTGAGACCTGCATAAACTTCAGATTCATAAGCAAATAAATGATTGTTATTGTTTTAAGTCTACTAAGCTCTGTGGTGATTTGTTACACAGCTATTGATATGCAGCATAGGAAACATTAACAGAAGAATAACATTACTGCATCATGAGAAACAAATGACCCATTTGCACTCTTGGCTGACCAGACAAAACTAGAAATAGTGTCCAGTTTTGGTTGTAACCATCTAGAAACTATGACAGGTCAAATTCAAAGAGATCAGAATGGAGAGAAGCATGAAATATGTCACAGGAGAGAGAAGTGACATAACTGAGGATGTGTAGCTTGGATATACGAAGATCCACCAGGGACTGGTAGGGAGAATATTTTACATATTTGAAAGACTACTTTGTAAAAACACTAGAGTGGTTTTATCTTAAGATCAGTGGGTAGGAGGCTGTAGAGAGGTAAAGTTCATCTTCGATAAGGAAGACTTCATTCTAAGGAAGAACATTCTAACAGTCATTCAGAAAGGAAATGGACAAATGGCCTTTAGAATCAAGATGTGCTATAATATCTCTCCTGAAAAGTTACTCCCTACCCTCAATTTTCAAATTTGCAAGAATTCCAACTCATTACAGGAGACAAGTCCTGTGTACAACTCTGAACATGGCGGCCCTATAGGGAATTGCTGATGTTGGTGAACAGCATTCTGGACCTAAAATTCAAGAAACCCTTGATTTTTCCATTAGCATTCCTCTTCTAGGGTGCATGTTTTCCACGTTCCTTAACTGGCCTGCCACTGAAGCATAATCTGCCCATAAGTGCAATCCTGTCCTTTCTAAAGTGAACCAAAGACATAAATGTATATGTGCTGTTAACAGGTGGAAAGCAAGTACAAAATGTTAGGAAGACCTCTGGGCATGAGGCAAAAAAAAACTATGCATTTTCCTGTTTCATAATAGCATGATATTTAGGAGTGCACTGTGGCTTTAGGAGAAAAAAGAAGAAGAAAAAGGAAAAAAAAAAAACGAGGGGGCTCCCCCAACCAACCTATGACTAAGGGACATAATCCAGCAGCTTCAAGGAGCACAGAGTTGCCAACTTTTAGCATGATGGAGTTACAATCAGGATTCTGAGTGACCCTAGGCAACTGAGTTAGTCTTTGTGCACCTCGTTTTCCTCATTTGGAAAATGGGAGCATTAAGGTCAATCAACATGGTTGCTGTTGAAGATTTTTTTTAAAAGCCAAAAACAGATTTACCATAGATACTGGGCCTGGCACATAAGACATTTTAAAAATAATCTAGGTTGTTTCTTCTCCAGTAAAATGGGAAATTGATGACAGAACATTCTAACATAGCCAATTTCCCTTCCTCTTCCACTAAGACTATGAGCTCCTCCAAAGCAGAACCATTTCTCACTTACTGACCTAAACTCAGCACTTACTATAGCACTGACCACATGCTTGCTGAACCAGTTAACTCATTTCCAACATCTCTTTCCAGCTTAAGCATTCTAGGGATCTGTACCTTCAGATCTGGGGCAGAATTAGTTGCAGGTATTTATATGTCCTATATGTTTGGCCACAAAGTACTTACACTTCTACAGGTGAAAAATTACCACAATTTTAATGAAATTAGGTAATCAGTTTTTTAATGCCCTCTTCATCTGCTAAAAATATCTGCTCCATGAGGGAAGATACAATATTTTGTTCAGCATCATATCCCCAGAGCCTGGCAAGAGCTTCGTAACAGATGTAAACATTTTTGAATGAATGAATGAATGAATGAATGAATGAAATGAATGAACGAATATAAGATCTTTGCAAGTTTAAGTAAGGCAGAATTTCCTAATTTTAGCAATCCTTCCTAATTAAATTCAAAGTTGCTGCATTTAGGTATGACAAAATGTTTAAAAATAAAAACAGCAGATGTTTGATCTCTGGGTGGTAGAGAAAATTTCTTTTTTTAAATCCTTGATTTATTTTACCCTGCAGGAAGTCAACCAAAATACTGGCACCCAAAAAGCTCCTATAATATGTCAGCCTAAGTCAAACATATTCTGCATCTACAACGATGACTGTTACCAGTTGGTGTTTAAAAGTATTTTGACTACTGATCTCTGAACATATCAACTTTTAAAAATCATTTCAGCTAATGTAATTTTAAGATAAAGGAACAAAATCAGTAGCCAAATTATATGAATCTGTTCAATAATATGACTTTTATTCAACAAAGACAAATCAGGAACATATGGGGGTTATGGTGAGAATCAAAAATTAACTTATCTTTAGAGAATGCTCAAAACTCACTCACTAATTCAGCAAGGATACAATTCTAACGTCCAGGAAATTCCAAAGGGGGAAAATGGGACACGATGACTAAGGACAGATGTTTAGACTCCAGGGTCTGCGTCACACACACAAAAAAAATACCCAGCATTGATTCTGATGCACAATTTTAAAAGGTGGCCATACAAAGGTCACTTTTTGGTAGCTCACATTTACTGTAATCTGCTACAAAGAGACCACTAAAGCCAGCACAGCAAGGTCAGAGGTGAGAGTCTAGGACAATCAACACATGCTATTTCTGAGGACAAGCCACTTTACTAATCTCTAAGGTTCTAATTACCCTAACAAAACAAAACAAAATGCTATAATGAAACCAGCAGAGGACATAAGACAAACAGTAAATACAAAGTGAACCAGCATCATCCTGCCATTGTTCTGCAGCAGGAGTCTCAGCCGCCCAGACGCACACCTTGCAGCAGCAATAAACCAGCCATGGCATCCCGGGAAGACCAGATCCTCCTCCGCAGCAAGTCACACTATTTTCTTCAATTTCAGCACTCACCTTAGGAAGTTTTAAAAAGGTTGGGGGGAGGGTCAGAGGGGAAGCCAAGCAGGCTTGACATGAAGCTCTTAATGAAGACAATGTCATCTAACAAAAACTGCAGGTTCCAGTGAAATTTAACTGGAGTTTAAAAAATTTACATAGCCTTCCTTAAATTAAACCCTCATAGATTTAAAGAGAACATTTGAATCATAAACCCAGGAACTGCTAAATAAATATGACATACTCACAGATTTAGAGCAGCTGTAACTTTGGAGGAATGAATATAGTCCCACTATGAAGATGTCTTTCCCTCTCTTCTACCAGATTTTTTTTTAAGCCAACTAAAAGAAGAGACAAACCTCAATTTTAGAGCCAACAAAAATCCTCAATTTCTATTTTATTCCTTGGTCTCCAGTGAGACTCTCAATTCTCAGGCACAAGCAAAGTAGTTGCCGAGGCAGCTGACAGCATCCCAGGGCTTTCCAGGGCAGAATTTAAGACATGTCAGTTAAAGTGGCAGCTACACTCACTGCTGTAGCGGATGCTTCTGCAGGAAGGGATGCCGGGAGATTTTTTTTCCCCCAATCTCTGCTGCAGCCTAATTCTAATCCATCACTGTTTAATTATCTAGAGAAACAGGCAAGGAACATACAAATGGCCTGGATTTATAAAAACCACAGAATATTTTCATGATTTTTCACCTAATCCAGGGATTCATGTCCTATCTAAAAAGGGACAATTAAGAAAAAAAAAAAAGAATGATCCCTTTTGTCTTAAGGAAAAATGTAGGCTGTTATTGCCGACTGAGACGCAGATTTTATATCATGGACTTTAAAAAAATACTAAATAAGAGAAAATCAACTTTTCCCCTAAGTTTTTAGATTAATGCACAAAAGTTAAATTAGCAAAGGGAATTAAACACATATATGACATGACAGTCATACCAAGATAGTTGGAAAACTCCACTTTTAAATTGATAATTGATCAACAATATTTGAAGTGGTTTTGATGAAACTAGAAGATAGTAGGCATAGGAAATACTAGTTCAAAGACCCTAAGATAGAACATAGTTCTAAAGTTCAGCTATACTTTTTTGGTTTAAATAGATAAAAGCTCTCCTGGGGAATAAGGTGGTCGTTGACTTCACAAATTTCTTATCTTGCCTCAAGGGCTCTTGCACATGCTAGAATTGAAACGTTTTTAGTATAGGACTCACTAATTTTTCTAATTATAAAAGTAATACCAGGGCTAGGCGCAGTGGCTCATGCCTGTAATCCCAGCACTTAGGGAGGCTGAGGGGGGCAGATCACAAGGTCAGGAGTTCCACACCAGCCTGGCCAATATGCTGAAACCCCATCTCTACTAAAAATACAAAAATTAGCTGGGTGTGGTGGCTCACGCCTGTAGTCCCAGCTACTCGGGAGGCTGAGGCAGAAGAATCGCTTGAACCCGGGAGGTGGAGGTTGCAGTGAGCCAAGATTGCGCCACTGCACTCTGCCCTGGATGACAGAGCGAGACTCCATCTCAAAAAAACAAAAAGTAATACCAGGTAAAATATTGTGGTATTTCCAAATTATAAAATAGTAAATTCCTTGGAAAGAGCTAAAAAACAAAGAAGAAAATTAAAGACAGCCTGTAATCCCAGCACTCTGGGAGGCCAAGGTGGGTGGATCACCTGAGGTTGGGAACTCGAGACCAGCCTGACCAACATGGAGAAACCCCGTCTCCTCTAAAAATATAAAATTAGCCAGGCGTGGTGGCGCATGCCTGTAATCCCAGCTACTAGGGAGGCTGAGGCAGGAGAATCACTTGAACTGGGTAGGTGCAGGTTGCGGTGAGCTGAGTAGCGCCATTGCACTCCAGCCTGGGCAACAAGAGCAAAACTCCATCTCAAAAAAAATTAAAGCCAGCCATAATCTCATAACCCAGAGATAACCACTCTTAATGTTTTGCAATAATATACTTCTAGTTTTCTTCCTCTCTATATATATACGCGCATACACACACACACACACACACACATACATATACATATATATATATATATATATATATATATATATATATGTAGTATATATGGAGGGGACAAGACAGCTAAATGTATTTTTGATACTACTATTTTAAATTACCCTTTTCACACAGAATTGTTATGATTATTTACCCAAAAATGTACCCTATAGTTAACCACTCATATTTCTAAAAGTTCAAAAGAGCATATGCAATGACAGTCCATTTGTATCTGTATGCCTACTATGCACCAGGCACAGGGGATATAGCAGGGAGCAGAGCCCACAAGGTCCCTGCTCCCCTGGAGCTCTCAGTCCAGTTGGGGAGCCAGATATTCACCAAACGACAGCAAATATCATGTGCGCTGTACTACAAAAGAAAACTATAGATTCTTTAGAAACATGAAAAGACCTGGTGTTGTGAAGTTCAGGCTTTTTCAAGGAAGGAAAAGAGAACTGCAAGCCCAAATGCAAAATTATTAGTAAAGTACATTTCACACCTTCATTTTTCCATCAATATAAATATCTCTCATCTAATTTTTCTTTTTTCCTTTCAAAATTAATTAAGTCCAGCTTCCAACTACATTTTTGTGGATAATATGTAACATGTAAGAGAATAATTGATGTAATGTGTACAGATCTTAAGTATTTAATCAATTACAACATATCCTTTAAGAAATTACAAAAGGTGGGCCGGGCGCAGTGGCTCACGCCTGTAATCCCAGCACTTTGGGAGGCCGAGACGGGCGGATCATGAGGTCAGGAGATCAAGACCATCCTGGCTAACACGGTGAAACCCCATCTCTACTAAAAATACAAAAAATTAGCCGGCCGTGGTGGCTTATGCCTGTAATCCCAGCTACTTGGGAGGCTGAGGCAGGAGAATGGCTTGAACCTGGGAGGCACAGGTTGCAGTGAGCCAAGATGGCGCTATGGCACTCCAGCGTGGGCAACAAGAGTGAAACTCCATCTCAAAAAAAAAAAGGATATTAGGTGAAACCTAAGGAAATCTGAACAAAGTATGGACTTTAGTTAGTGATGTGTATCCAAAATGGTTCATAAACTGTAACAAATGTACGATACTAATGTAAGATACTAATCGTAGGGGGAACTAGGTATAAGGGTCTGTGGGAACTCTACTACATTTTCTAGTTTTCTGTAAATCTAAAATTGTTCTTACAAAACTGTCTATTAAAAAATCATCTTTCCAAGAGTTTCTTAGCTTTTTCTGATCACTAATAAAATACATTCCATAAAAATTCTGACAATGCAAAACAGTTATATAAAAGGAACTTTTCGAAAATTATAAATACCCTGTAATCTCAACACACTGAAATAATCCCAAACATACCATATGTATGTCCTTGCACAGGCTTCATGCATACATACACAGATAAACATATGTGTATCGTTCCACCCCACATGCTATTTGATAGGTGTGGTAGTCTGAATAATGGCACCCAAGGTTATCCAGGCCTTAATACCTATGAATGGTACCTTATATGACAAAAGAGACTTTATAGATATTAGGGATCCTGAACAGAGTCATTATTGTGGGTTATTTGAGTGGGCCCTAAAGGCAATCACAAATTTCCTTACAAGAGGGAGGTAGAGAGACACAAAAAAACAGAAGGTGGTGGGACCATGGAAGGAGAGTGATTTGAAGATGCTATGCTGCTGGCTTTGAAGATGCAGGATGTGGCCAAGAGCCAAAGAATGCAAGGAATGTAGCTCTAGATACTGGAAAAGGCAAGGAAATGGATTCTCCTCTAGAGCCTCTCAAGGGAGCACGGCCATGGGACACCTTGGTTTTGACCTAGTGAAACCCACTTCAGACATCTGACCTCCAGAACTGTAAGAAAATAAACCTGTATTATGTGAAAACACCAAGTTTTAATCTGTTATAGCAGCCATAGGAAATTAATGTAGCAGCCTGACGGACCTGTATTTCTTCTTTTAATTGTCTGCTTATGTCCCTTTGCCAATATTATCATCAAAGTATTCTCTTTCTGGGTCTGTTTGCAGTGTTAACCTTCTTTCATATATGTTCAAGTATTTTCTCTTTGAAATGGGCTTGTAAGGGTTTTGTCATAACAATCAAAACTATCACTCTTTTTTCCTATTGGTGCCATGTTTGAAACAGACTTCTCTACCCAAAAAAAGATAGAATTATATGCCTTAATTTGCTCTTAATATTTAAACAATAACATCTCCAACTATTGTCCTTTATTACTAAGAACCATACAAAGCAACACATCCCTGCACATGTGAACCTCTCCCCTTTGCACCCTGGCCCCTGGCTCAGTGTCAACATTGAGACTTGACTGGAGAAAAAATGTGGACTCGAGACTTCCTGGACACTCCCATTCCATACCCACATCCCCTTTGTCAAGTCTGTCCCCTTAAAATAGCTTAATGCTTGATGTAAAGGATGTGTTCAATAAAGGCTTGTTAAACCTGGGGTGTCTATAAATTCATAAAACCAGCATTAAAAAAAAAAAGAACCATGCAATGAAGGCATCCTCTCCTTCCTTTTCCCTGTTTTGATGGAGTAGGTCTCAGAACTGGGAAATGACCAGGGATAATTTTATTTCTTAGATATTTGTTAGATTTTTTTTAATGTGTTCTTTTTTTAAATCTTTAAAAAGTGTTTTTATAGTTTAAGGTAGCCATTGTGAGACTGTATGAAACAGCTATATGAAAATGTCTTACATCATGAAAGAAATAATGCTTTTACAAAAACAGCAGTGCTCTTCAATATATTATATGTATATACTATGTTACGTTTGCTTTACGCTTTGCAGTTTTACAAAATGCTTTCAAATAAATTATTTTGTAGGTTAAATACATATTACCAAATAATTTTTACTTCTATGGGATTGTCTGAAAAGGTATCCTTATACAAGTTTAGTAACTAAGTTCTGCTGAAAATACAGGACCCATCTACTGTACCGAGACAAAGAGAATGTATCGTTTAAAATACACTTTTTAAATACCAATCACAGGCTTAATTTTCTTACAGTGATTACATAAAATTATTTTAATCAAAGCAAACTACACATTATGGGTATAACTTCTTTCAAATTAAGCTGAAATTTTTAAATGGCAAAGAATCCCTTAAGCCAATGGGAGATCTGACACACATAACTTTATACACACACACACACACACACACACACACACACAAACACACACACTTTTTTTTTTTTTTTGCTGCATAAAAGTCAAGTTACGCTTGCAGAAAACTTTCCTAACTACTAAAATAAATAAAAATCAAAAGCTTATAGCTGTATTGCCTACAGGGGAGACCAAATACTATGCCCACACCTTTGAAAAGGTTAATTCATCAGAGCTATATGGAGTTTTAACATTTTTCATTCTAACTATAACATTCTGCTCATCAGGTAATTTTAAAAGACCGCTGCTGGTATGAATATTTTCATTCTAGACAATAAAAATAAAATAAATAACATAGAAATTACTTTATACAATAATAAAAGTTATATGTAAATCCCCAAATATCTCTTCAGTTTTAGGCAATTTCAGGGTTCTTCCAATTTGTTGATGGCTATTAAGTCTTCAGACTATTTATTAGATGTGCATCATGCATGGTACTGAACTATACACTATTCAAAAATGTACCTAAACCAAATATCACTATGCCTTTGAGGAGTTCTATTCTCTGGTCGTAGAATAATGTTCCACAAGCAGAGACAAAAGGGGGAAAGAGGGAAGAAGGAAAAAGAAAGGAGACCAGAGAGGCTGATGATTTTCGGAACACAAGCAATGAAGAAGTTTGGCGCATTTCAAAAGACAAAGCTCCCAAGTATATGCTTTTGGGTGTTTTATTAGTCATCTTAGGTTCCTATTTTTATCGTGAGGTAGATGAAAAGGGAATGGATGAAGGCGTCAGAAAAAAAAAAAGGATGTCAGGTGAAACAGGGTAAAAAGTTAACAAAAGGCAATGAGCTCACTGTATCCTTTAAGATTCTGACACTCATTTATGCAAACGTCAAGTGAAAACTGAGTCAGCCCTTCAGAGAAAAATGGCAATGGAGACACCAACAATTATGGATAGTGTTTACTATGCCCAAACATTTGGACTTTATTTAATTATATATGCATTTGAGTTTATGAACACAATCAGCCACAGTCTTTTTTTTTAACTGTGTATTCCAAAAGATCCCTTAACTAACCATTTGAATAATCACAGCAATTATCACTGTGCCCTATACTCATTAGGAACTCAATGGTGGCTACATTTTTTTCTTTAATTTACTGCAAATCCTAGCAGTCTACTCTGAGGATCCACCTATATTTTCTTAATAGTACATGCTATGGTTTAATGTTTGTGTCCCTCCAAAATTCATATGTTGAAACCTAACCCCCAAAGTGATGGCGTGGGGCCTTTGGAAGGTGATTAGGTCATGAGGGTTCCACCCTTGTAAATGGGATTAGTACCCTAACAAAAAAGCTTGAGGGAGTCTCTTTGCCCTTTTTCCTTCTTCTTTTTTTTTTCTTTCCCCTCTTTCCACTATTTTCTGCTTCCTTCTACCACGTGAGGACACAAAGAAGGCACCATCTATGAGGAATGGGCCCTCACCAGACACTCAATCTGCTGCCACTTTACTCTTGGACCTTGCGGCCTACAAAGCAGTGAGGAAATAAATTTCCATTGTTTATAAATTACCCAGTCTAATGGATTTTGTTACGGCAGCCCAAATGGACTAAGACAGTATATTAATTTCACACATTCATTTTTTCAACACATATATACTGAGCACCTACTATGTGACAAGCATGGTGCATAGGTGCCAAGTACACCATGACAAGCAAAGTAGATCAGACCCATCGTTATAGAACTTGGAGCTCAAAAAAACAGATGATCAAAAAACAAGTAACAATTAACTGCAAAATGAGAAATGGAGTGATAGAAACAAACAAGATGCCAAGACAGAGAAATGGGGGAAGACTAACTGTTTTGGTGGAGTCACTGAGAAAGTGGGAGGACACGCCAGCTGAGAGTGGAGGATGGCCAGCAAAAAGCCCTCAAAAGAGTGAGGGCAAACACGCTCCAATCCGGAGCAGCACAGGGTTTACTCTCACAAAAAACTGTATAAGGCTTGTGGCTGGAGGGTCATGCATGAGGGCAAGAGTTGCCCTCGATGAGGCAGAAGCAGTATGTGGGAGCCCAACCACCTCAAACCTTATGAACAAAGGTAGATTGGGTCTTCAGCTTTAGACAGGAAAACTCATGGATGGATTTTAAGCAAGCAGTGACATCATCCCATTTAATTTCTAAAAGGATCACTCTTGTCCTGATTCACACAAACATACTGTTAAAAAAATAAATGAGACAGTCGGAGAAATTTGAGCACTGACCAGTTACTGGACGGATATTATTATGTTTTAGGTGTGACAACAGTCTTGTGATTTTTTAAAAAGCGACCTTTGCAAGCTAAATACAGATAAAATGATGTCATATAAAGCATACAGATTAAACTATAGCTCTATATCAATGTTAATTTCCTGATCTTGGTATCTGAATGGTAATTATGAAAGAGACTGTCTTTGTTTTGAAGAAATATATTTTAATATATTTAGAGGTAGAAATAAATTATCATGTCTAGGATTTGATTCCAAATAATCTGGGGATAGGATATGGATGAAATAAGATTGGCCTTGAGTTGACAACTATAGAAGCTAAGTGATTAGTATATAAGGTTTGGTTTACTATCCTCTTTACTTTCTGTAGATGTTCAAAATTGGTCATATTAAAAATTTTTTTTTTGAGACAGGGTCTTACTCTATCACCCAGGCTGGAGTGCAGTGGCACCATCACAGCTCAACACAGCCTCGACTTCTGCGGCTCAAATGATCCTCTCATCTCAGCCTCCCAAGTAGCTGGAACTACAGATGTGTCACCACACCTGGCTAATTTTTTGTATTTTTTATAGAGAGGGGGTTTTGCCATGTTGGTCAGGCTGGTCTCAAACTCCTGGGCTCAAGCAATCCACCCGTTTTGGCCTCCCAAAGTGCTGGGATTACAGGCATGAGCCACCGTGCCTGACGCAAATTATCTTATTTTTAAAAATAATTTTAGGCCAGGCACGGTGGCTCACGCCTGTAATCCCAGCACTTTGGGAGTCCGAGGTGGGTGGATCATCTGAGATCGGGAGTTCGAGACCAGCCTGACTAACATGGAGAAACCCCGTCTCTACTAAAAATACAAAATTAGCCGGGCACGGTGGCGGGCGCCTGTAATCCCAGCTACTCAGGAAGGCTGAGGCAGGAGAATCGCTTGAACCCAGGAGGCAGAGGTTGCGGTGAGCCGAGTTCGTACCACTGCACTCCAGCCTGGGCAATAAGAGCAAAACTCCATCTCAAAAAAAATAAAATAAGATAACTTGGGCTGCTGTATGGAGAGTAAGTGGGGTGCAGTTGGAAAAGTAGAGGGAGAGAACAAAAGAAGCGGGAACACACATTAACCATTAGCCAGCTCTTAAAGTAGTCCAAGCAAAATCTTATAGTCACTTAAGCTAATGTAATAGAGCGGAGAGAGAGGAAAGTGAACGGATGGGAAATATATATTGGAGGTAGAAATCATCAGACTTGGTAATGTGGAAATTAAAAGAAAAGAAAGGAATCAAAGATGTCTCCCAAGCTTCTGACTTGAACAAATGGGTGGATGGTGGGTGGAGACATTTACAGAAAAGGCAAAGTTTTCAGATAAACAAAGGAGGTGGATACCAAGAGTTCAGTTTGGGACATAAAAATTAATGTGTTTGTGAAACATCCTAGTGAGTGATAAAAGAAGCAATGATTGGACCTCTTTCCCATTACAACTACCAAAATAGCCCAAGACAGCAGCAGGGAGCAGCAGCCATGTCAAGAAGGTTACTTATGGAGGAGGCAAGGAACTCAGTGTAAGAGCAAAGTCCTGGCTTTCAGACACAAGCTGAGCATTGCTACCAGGGCTGAGAAAGTCAGAGAGGACACTGAGCCTGCAGAAAGGCAACCACAGTCACAAAGATCCTGCTCATAGGGGTTCACTGGTCATTCACTTTGCACCAGCAACACCCCAACCACGACTCAGTCTTCCATCTCTGCTGGGACCTCCTTGGTAAGATGAGATAATTGCACCAAAGTGTTGCTAAGGAGCTTTCCTTCAGAGGCTTTCCTTCAAGTGATGAAATCTTGTCACTCCTCATAGTGAAAAGCAGCATTTATAGGATCTATATCTTAAAACGTGTACTACACACATTCTCCTTCCCCCTGTGAATTTATATGAAGAACTTCACAGTGGCAGGTCTAAACACAACAGCAGACCATTAGAGTAGATCTAACAGGACAAAAGAAAATACAAAGAGAAGCAAGCCCAGTGGTAACAGAAACAAGGAAAAAACACCAGGAATGCTGTTTACCTTGAGCTTTTTAAAGAACTTTTATTTCCATTTACTATATACCATTGACTCTATGACACACAAATTTTCATCATGGAATATCCCTAACCCCAAGATACATCTTAAAATTGACAGCAACTTTGACTGCCCTAAATCAAAGTTATGTTCTTAGGGAGAGGATCTGCATTTGCTTCTGCCAATTACCTGAGGACACCACCAACCTGATCCACTTAAAGTTAAATAACCTGCTTGAAGTTGTTGGGGGTTACACCATTTATATGTATTCAGACTCCAAACCAGCTTACAATTCAAATTCTAAAGGGCATTAAAAAGTTAAACATAGGTTCACCATGCAACTTACCAATTCCACTTCTGTGTCTGTATGGCAGATAATTTAAAACATGTTCATACAAAGACTGTACACAATTGTTTATAGCAGCATTATTCACAATAGCCAAAAACTGGAAAAGACTCAAATGCCCATCAACTGATGAACAGATAAATAAAATGTGATATATTCATATAAATGAATATTATTCAGCCATAAAAAGGAATGAAGTGCAGATGGTCCCCAACTTAGGATGGTTCAACTTGCAATTTTCCAACATTATGATGGGTTTGTCAGGGTATCCAATGCATTTTCACTTACTATATTTTTTATTTATGATGAAGTTATCAGGAGGTAACCCCATCATGAGTCAAGGAGCATCTATCTGTACTACACATTCTATGACATGTGTAGACACAAAATAATACATATTAGATTATTCCATTTATATAAAATATCTACAAAAATTAAATTAGTGGTTGCCCCAGCCGAGGGTGACAGAAATTAGATTAGTGGATGCCCCAGCTAAGAGTGGGAATAGATAATGACTATAAAAAGGCACAGATTTCTTTTTCAGACGATAAAAATGTTTTGAAGTTAGATTGTGGTGATGGCTCTATAATTCTGTAAATACATTAAAATGCATTAAATTGTATAATTAAAATAGGAATATATATGAGATATAAATTAATATTGCAATAGAGCTGTTTAAAAAAATTCTCTGAGTGGAGAATCTCATTAGAGGGTTTTTTTTCCTTCCCTACCTAATACCAAGATTGAAATATACACATTTCCTTACTGTGCCTTCC
Source organism: Homo sapiens (assembly GCF_000001405.40). NCBI lineage: Eukaryota > Metazoa > Chordata > Mammalia > Primates > Hominidae > Homo > Homo sapiens. The sequence goes on from NC_000009.12 coordinate 15,260,216, forward strand.
TGCAAGATGATTTTATTTTTCCTTTCCTTTATGCAAGGTCTCCTACAAAATTCCTCATTGTGTTTTTTTTTTTTTCCTTCCTTAGGAATATATAAGATAACAATATGAATGGCATCTTAGATCCAATAAAATCACTGTCGACTTGGTTAAGAAAATCAAATTAAGAGAGGACAAAACTCCCTTTCCAGACTTGAGTAACATTTATATTACCTACAGGGGAAAATTGGGGCCAAAAAAAACAGCAGAGAAAAATGAAAACAAATCTAACTCTCCCTGTAGTTACTATTTATAACTTAACCACTCTGAAGAAAAATATCAGATGTTTTCCAACTATCATTCACCGATATTCACCCTTAATTAAAACAGGCAAAACTATTGTATCACCAACTGATCTAACCTAATGAGGGGAAAAAAAAAATGGCCCTAAAAGCCTTACTTCACTCTCATCTACAATTTATGGTTCGAAAGAGAAGGTGTGGAGAAGGAAAAAGTTTGTGAGAAATGTTATAAAACAAAATATTTTTATACTACACTTGATCTTAGACAAAAGGCCAAGAAGCGATCAAAATATTTTTATTTCTATTGTAAGCTTCTAATTACCTGGCTAAAAAAATCTGCCTATTTCACCTTCTACAGGTAAGTACAAATTCAGAGCAGTTCTTGAAAATAGACACATACATCCCCACTGTATTCACACCACCTCAGGATTCCATTGAACACATATGAGTTTCTATGTAAGGATAAATTTGAAATTTCCGTAAGATGCTCTGGAATATGAAAGACCACTGCTGAGAATATATTAAACCTGCATCTGTTCTAACAGTCTTTGAACATAAGTTTGATCTGTCTCCCCTGACTTCTCTAAACTACCATGAAAAGAAAATCTTAATTAATCAGTGCCCAACCAGGACTCCCGGTTAGATTTTTGTCCCATTGCCCACAGTGGTTTTTATGAGAAAGAGGTTAATCAAAAATACCACCAGCCAGGTACAGTAGCTCATGTCTGTAATCCCAACACTATGGGAGGCAAAGGTGGGAGGATCACTTGAGTCCAGGAGTTCAAGACCAGCCTGGGTAACATAGGGAGACTGCATCTCTACAAAAAATAAAATTAGCCAGGCGTGATGGCACCTGCCTATAGTCCCAGCTACTTGGGAGGCTAGGTGGGAGGAGCACTTGAACCCAGGAGTTTGGGGCTGCAGTGAGTTGAGAACGCGCCACTACACTCTAGCCTGGGAGACAGAGTGAGATCCTATCAAAAAAAAACAAAAACAAAACACCAAATCACGATGACTGTAAGTGGTTAGTCCATTCTCCCCACTAGACAAGACCAGGAATCCTCCATGACCCAACTTCATTTGTGTCCAGGGCCCCACTGGTGTTTCAAACCCACTGCTCTGTGCTCTGGCCACTGTCCTCAGAACTGTTCACCCAGCATGTCCCCACCTCTGACCCTCTGCACTGCCTCTACCAACTGAAATGCCACCCATCCCTCAAAACCCAAAGCAAATGCCAGCACCCCCATCTCCCAACCAAAAGATAGCTTTCTTTTGGAATTCCCAAAACACAATATTTACTCTTCACATGCCATATCACAGTTAATTATCAACAGATTTATTATACCCACCACTACATTGTCAGAGATGGCAACTGGGCACTAACACTGAGAAAAGGGACACTCCGTCATCAGAGCACTAGAAGTGCAAACCAGCATGGAACTGTTAAATAAGGAAGCAAGAAACTATAGCTAATCTAGAACTGCATGTTATTTGTGACAAATTTCTATATATCATGCAACAGGTCCTTAAGAGGTCACCTCCTTATGCCGAACAGGTCATAAAGTTCACAGACTATTTTAATTTTTATTTTTTATTTTATTTATTTTATTATTATTATTTTTTGAGATGGAGTCTTGCTCTGTCACCCAGGCTGGAGTGCAGTGGCACAATCTCAGCTCACTGCAACCTCGGCCTCCCGGGTTCAAGTGATTCTCCTGCCTCAGCCTCCTGAGTAGCTGGAATTACAGGCATGCGCCACAAAGCCCAGCTAATTTTTGTATTTTTAGTACAGATGGGGTTTTGGTATGTTGGCCAGGCTGGTCTCAAACTCCTGACCTCAGGTGATCCACCCACCTCAGCCTCCCAAAGTGCTGGGATTACAGGCGTGAGCCATAGCACTTGGCCTATTTTAATTTTTAAAAAGAACATGGTCAATGTACTACTAACATTTTTGTACATCTCTAATTTTTCCTCCAGTTCTAAATGGTGGAGATTTTTGTATGACCTACCAGTTTTATTTTAACAGTTTTATTTTATTTTATTTTGTGTTATTTTAACTATTTTGAGAAACTGCCAGAAAAACTAGCAATTTCTCAAAATAGTTAAAATAACACAATCGTTACCACAAAGATCCAGAGGTAGGAAAAATCTGTGTTGAGAGTGGTAAATTCATTAGGCAGAAAAAGAAAAATAAGAAACTATTTGCTTTGTGGAAACAATTTAAGGCCTCCTTCATCTGTTAGTGTGAATCCTTTCATTAGGCATTCAAGAGAAAATACTCACTGGAAGAAATTAATCATCAGGTTGGCAAGAGCACTGCATCTTGATACAGAGATTGAAGCACTTGCTCTCTGCACCAGAAACATAAGATCAAAATATATGGTTCAGTAAGTGTAAGGAAAAAGAACTCTACTAAGTTTTGCAGAATTCACAAAGGGAATGTTATAGTATCACCAATTTAAGAGGAAATGTGAGAAATATTGACAAACCCTGAAATTAGGACAAACAAAAAGTTCACATAAAAACAACTGAAGAAATTTTTTACAATTAACATGTATTTATAATCAGAGGCCTCTGACTTGGACTAGAAGTCCATTACTTCTCCTGTGTCTCCAGCTTGCCAACTGCAGAACTGGGGACTTCTCAGCCTCCATAATCACATGAGTCAATTCCTTACAGCAAATCTCTTCATATATAGACATTTTATGTCTCCTATTGGTTCTATTTGTCTGGAGAACCCACACTCTTACAAGGGAGAGCAGAAAAGTACCGATGTTCACTGAGCACTTACTATGTGTTTTACTCCCATTATCACATTTAACTTAAATTTCATTTAATCCTCTCAATAAATCTATGAGAGGAGAAAACAAGCTCAGAGAAACTGCCCAGGCCTCCCAGCCAGTAAATGGCAAACTGGGACTACAGTTCAAGTCTGACTGTCAAGTGTGGTCAGTCCCGTCTCCCCAGGAAGATACATGTAGTTGTGTGCATGAAGGCAAAATGAAACCACACCGCTGTGCTTTGGAGTTTTATGGCTGTGTGTAATATTTTCTTTGTTCTCTCACTGCCATTTTTTGTCATCACCAACAAGCTCTGCTTCGGAAACAACCCCCCTTACAATACCTCTCAGAACGCTGTAAGGCAAAAGTACGCACAAGACCAAAAGGCAAAGTTTATTAAAATCAGATCAAAATCAACTGCAGACTCTGAATGGAGGCCTCTGCTACAAGATTCTTCGTGTATGGACTCCAGCACCTAATCTGGCTACCCCTTCTGATTTTGGGCTCTATCTCTCTCTATTAGGAGAAGGGTTCCTATAATGTGTTGCTATAACCAAGGTGAGAGGAGTGGAACAATTCAGCAACATTGAAAAGGACACACAAACGTTTAAGCGACAGTCTAAAGGACACGAGAAATAATGCACACCAGAAACCTAAAAGAGCAAGATACATTCTAAAATGGGGAAACCTTTGGATTTGTTAAACTGAGCAGGACAGGGAAGTTAAAATTAGACAAGAGGAAGAAACTGCTGGCAGATAAATACAGCCACAGAGAAGTTCTGGAGGCAATGAAGGGAGAATGCGTGGTCATTAGAAACTGAGGCAGTGTTAAGGAGCTGCAGTCTTCAGGATGAGAAAAACTATAACAGAGTTGACAGTAGAATAAAAGACACCAAGACAATGCTTCTCGAATTCCCCACTTTAACAGCACATGAAGGGGTTTCTCTAGCAAATATGAAGGATGAACAAGCTAAAAAATCTAATGTACAACATGAGGATTATAGTTAATAAGAAATAGTACACTGTATTCAGGATTTTTGCTAAATTAAATTAGATTTTTCTTCCTTGCCACAGGAGGAAAAAAAATGGGTAACTAGGCCAGGCGCAGTGGCTCATGCCTGTAATCCCAGCACTTTGGGGGAGGCCAAGGCAGGTGGATCACCTGAGGTCAGGAGTTTGAGATCAGCCTGGCCAACATAGTGAAACCTTGTCTCTACTAAAAATACAAAAATTAGCTGGACGTAGTTGGCAGGCGCCTATAATCCCAGCTACTTGGAAGGCTGAGGCAGGAGAATTGCTTGAACCCAGGAGGCAGAGGTTGCAGTGAGCTGAGATCACACCATTGCACTCTAGCCTGGGCGACAGAGCGAGACTCTGTCTTAAAAAAAAAAAAAAAAAAGGGAAACTATGTGAGATGATAGATATCGTCATTTGTTCTTCTATATAACAATTTTACTATATATATATATATATATCTTATAACATCATGTTGTATACCTTATATATACACAATAAAATTTATTTTAAAGCAAAAACAAAAAGTACACAAAGGGGTTTCTGATAGTCACGAATCAAAAGCATCTCCATCACAGGAGTCATTTTGGATGATGTTCTGAGAACCAGACAATGCTAATATTAAACCATCTAACTCGGTTGAACAAAAGAGTTGTTTTTGTGCAAACACAGGCATCTAGATCAAAGGAACTGAATGGAAAGCCCCCAAACAGTGTGTTATTATTTTAATGAACTTATTTGACAAAGGAGGTATCAAATATAAATTGTTTCCCTCATGGACCTAACAAATGGTGCTGGAATAGTGGGCTAGCAATTTTAGGGCTGGTGTGAGATAGGAATCTAAATTAACTTCAGCTGGGTTGAATTTAGGGCTTTTGTTTATTTCTGTGGTTTGATTTTTTTAAAAACTAATAGATGTTAAAAAAACTGCTTGCAATGCCTTCCTGAGGTCCCAAAGGTAAAGCCACTACCAGCCTACTGAAGCCAGTGGGAGCTCAGAGAAGCACAAGCATCAATGTGCACTGCTCAGGGGTCACACTGCTCCCACTGGTCAGTGAGACCCGTCCTCCTCTGTGAGGTCTGCACCCCTCTCTGTTGTGTGTGGCATGCTAGCTCCCGCTGGGAAAAGCAGTGTCTCCTCTGGTGAACTCCAATCACCAGCCCCAAGGCCTGATCCTTTTCCATCCCCTGGACTGTGATCACCTACTATAGCCCAAGCTCAATTCCTGCCAACACCAAGGGAGGAGCAGGGTTGAATAATTATAAGATTTCTGAATGGCGATCACTTGCCCACCATAGAAGTGATTTCTTAAAAATCACATAAACAGATTATCTTCCAAAGAGTACTGTATAAAAAGGGAGGAGGGGAAAAAGGGCAACTTCACAGTGGAAAAACCTGACAAACACTACCCATGCCATGTGACCAAGTTCAACATCGGTAGTGCTAAGTCACATTGATATCGTGGATCTTTGCTATGATGTGATAAGAATGGCCCTTTCCATCTGGGGTCTTCTTCCCAAAAACACATGACCACAGTCAAATCATGAGGGGGGAAAAACAGACCAATCTCAATTAAGGGCCATTCTACAAAATAACTGACAGTACTCCTCAAAACTGTCAAGGTCACCGAAAACGAGAGTCTGAGAGACTGTCACAGCCAAGAGGAGCCTAAGGGGACATGACGACTAAATGTAAAGTGGTATCTTGGGTGGGATGCTGAGGCAGAAAAAGGACACTAGGTACAAACTAAATAAATCTGGATAACGTATGGACTGTAGTTAACAATAATATATCCATATTGATCATTAATTGTGAGAAATGTACCATGCTAACTTAAGAAATTAATAATAGAGAAAACCTGGGTGGGGTACACAGGAATACTCTGTACTACCTCCTCAATAATTCTGTAAGTCTGAAACTGCTCCTAATTAATAGGTTAATCCCAATCACAATTAAGTTTTTTTTTTAAAAAATCATATAAACATGAAACTTTTGGACAAAATAAAAATGTATAATACTAAAATAAAGAAAAATTGCAGTCTGGAGGAAATATCTATAGCAAATATGACAAAAGATTAGGGTATATATAATTTAAAGTCCATAAGTATGTTAAGAGAAACATTCTGAAAAAAGCTAAGAGACAAAAGAAAATTAGAAGTCATACAAAAGATGCAATGTATTTTTAAAATAATTTTTAAAAATACTAAAGTAGGTATCATTTAAGTTGCAAAACTGTTTTTGAAATAATACCCAGTGATGATAATGTGACAGTTTAAACCACTTTGCTTACATAGTATTGGTAGCCAAGTAAATTGATAATACTCCTGTGGAAGTACTGTAAAACAAACGGTGCCCCTCTACCCCCACCTGTACATGCACATGTTCAAGCCCAAACCCCCAATGTGATGGAATTTAAATATGGAGCCTTTGGGAGACAATCGGATTTAAATGAGGTCAGGAGAGTGGGGTCCTCAGGATAGGATTAACACCCTTATAAGAAAGGACATCAGGCAGGGCGCAGTGGCTCACGCCTGTAATCCCAGCACTTTGGGAGGACAAGAGGGGCAGATCACGAGGTCAGGAGATGGAGACCATCCTGGCTAACATGGTGAAACCCCGTCTCTACTAAAAATACAAAAAAAATAGCCTGGCGTGGTGGCGGGAGCTGTAATCCCAGCTACTTGGGAGGCTAAGGCAGCAGAATGGCGTGAACCTGGGAGGCGGAGCTTGCAGTGAGCCGAGATCGTGCCACTGCACTCCAACCTGGGCGACAGAGCGAGACTCCGTCTCAAAAAAAAAGGACACCAGAGAGCTTTTGCTCTCACTCTCTCGGCCATGTAAGAACACAACAAGGAGGCAGTCTGCAAGCCAAGAGGAGAGCCCCTACCAGAATCCCAACCATGCTGGCACCCTTAACTCAGACTTCTAGCCTCCAAAATTGTGAGAAAATAAATTATTGTTGATTAAGCCACCCAGGCTATTGTGTTTTGTTATAGAAGCTGAAGTTAACTAATACAGGAAGGCAATTAGAGATATACAAAGAACAATAAACATATTCATCCCTTTTAATTCAGTAATCCTACATTTGTTATGTTAACCTTTAGAAATAATTCAAAATATAACAAAGCTATACACATGTAAAACTTAGTTCTACATTTCTAAGCCAGTGACAACCTAAATGTCTAACAATGGAGAAGCAGGTAAGTAAATTGTAATATTCCATTTGATCTAATATGATTTAGCAATTTAGAATTATTACAAAAACTATATAGGCTTACAGTGAATGCTTTTAATAAAACTAAGTGCAAACCAAACACAAAAATCTACAAAATGAGACTGACATAAATATGAACAACTATTAAAAGAGTTAGCTATAAACAAATACTTTGTTGAGAAATATTTTATTTTGTTACAAGAAATAATACTCAGAAATGTATCTGAAAGTATTAGATAGATCCTTTCTTAAATATAATCACATCCTCTTTAATTATAGAAAAGTGACTTTTTTTTTCTGAAAATAGCCATTGCCGTACTCTCCAAAAAATGAGAATGAAATATTTACTTTTTATGTAAGACAACCATCAATTTTTCCTTACTACATACTTTTTATTATGTTATTACTTACATTGAGATGGTTTCCAAGGCATCTTCGAAAACGTCCTGGGGGAAATAAAAAATACAATGAGTTTCTCAAGAATTCTCAATGGGTTTCTCAAGAATTCTAAAAGAGAAAATGAATACACGCATTGGGGAGAGTGGTCCTGGCAGGAAGGTATAGCAGGCAGTAGAATCAATCAACTTAACGCTTATGGAATTCTGTTTACAGAAATCAAGCAGATGCATTTCAGTGACGTTTAATTTTTTTTTTAATAAGGCTGGTAAAATACTCAGCAAGTGATCAAACTGGCCTAATTTAAAGAGACTATGACGTCTTTTATGAAGTTACCTTTCACTCCTAAATCTCATTCTTCCCAACTATAGAGTAAAATAAATAAGAGGACTTGCCCGATGTAGTCTTTTCTTTCTCCATGGCTAGCCAAGTGAGCATCCTCTGGGCCTTCATTTCACATATTGCACCACCCTCTCAGCTCGTCTCCCTGCCACCAGCCTTTCCCCCAGTTTACTCTGTGCCACACAGGATAGCCCTTTGCTTCATGCCACTGGCCTGATCACAGCTGCAACAGGAGAGAAACGCACACAGTCATATGCACTCAGAAGACCACACACACACTCCACACTCAGACACAGTGACTCACACACAATCTCACAGTCACACATACAAATACACATGCACTCACTCAAAAACTCACACATTCACAACAGCTCCCTCACAGCTGCAAAAACCAAACCTAAGCTCCTCATCCAGGTATCCGGGGTCCACCACAACCCAGCTTAATCTTCCAAGCATCCTTCTCTGACATCCCTACCACTCTTACCATAGCCCAAGCCACGAGACCTCCAAAGGGCCACCTCACTGGTCTCCCTACTCCTGTGCTTGACACCCTCCATTCAATTCTTCACATGACAACAATATCATTCTTTTACTTCATGTTTTTGAATAAGCATACACCATTCCAGTTTTCTAGACCTCTTCAAGAGCTTTCCATTGCATTTAGAAAAATCCCAAACTCATTCTCCCTATCTACAGAGCCCTAAAACAGCCCCGCCAGCCTCTGACCACATCCCCTTACTCACTCGACTCCAGCCACAGGTCTTTCTTTCCGTTCCTTGGACAAGTCAAACATCCCACAGCTCTCTGCACTGTCCCCTTTCTTATAATGTCCTTTGCTCAATTATTCCCATGGCTGACTCATTCTCATCCTTTGATTTTCAGCTTAGAAAGCCACCTCCTCAAGAAGAACATCTCTGATCACCCTAATTAAAATTACTAGGAATAGCAGCTTACATAAAGTTCCTCATCATTTCATTTGTTTCATTCATAGCACTTATCATAATCTCTAATGATCTTCCTTGTTTACTTGGTCACCCTCTGTCTCCATCAGAGCAGGCTCTTACATACACAGAAAAAACACCAGGGCTTCGCACCAGGGTTTGCTCAATAAATACTTGTTGCCTAATGAATGAATGAATGAATGAATGGAACCTGGACCGCCAAGGGACTTACCGTATCACACCTCATTTAGAGTTATGCACAGAAATGAGGAAAGGGGGCTAGGGATCTTTTCCCTTGTGTGGCCATTAATACTGAACAAGGTTTAGACCATACTGGATTCTGCGGTGAGGCAGAAAAAACAAAAGTGTAAATACTAAAAAGAAGAACCTGGCCAGGCGCAGTGGCTCATGCCTGCAATCCCAGCACTTTGGGAGGCCGAGGCGGGTGGATCACAAGGTCAGGAGTTGGAGACCAGCCTGGCCCACATGGTGAATCCCTCTCTCTACTAAAAAATACAAAAAAATTAGCTGGGCGTGGTGACATGCACCTGTAATCCCAGCTACTTGGGAGGCTGAGGCAGGATAATCGCTTGAACCTGGGAGGCGGACGTTACAGTGAGCCGAGATCATGCCATTGCACTCCATCCTGTGTGACAGAGTGAGACTCCGTCTCCAAAAAAAAAGAAAAAAAAAAAAAGAAGAACCGACTGGACCTGGTGGCTTACACCTGTAATCCCAACACTTTGGGAGGCCAAGGCTGGTGGATCACCTGAGGTCAGGAGTTTGAGACCAGCCTGGCCAACATGGTGAAACCCCATTCCTACTAAAAATACAAAAATTAGCCAGGCATGGTGGTGCATTTCTGTAATCCCAGCTACTTGAGGAGGCTGAGGCACAAGAATCACTTGAACTCAGGAGGCGGAGCTTGCAGTGAGTCAAGATTGCCCCACTGCACTCCAGACTGGGCAACAGAGCAAGACTCCATCTCAAGGAAAAAAAAAAAAAGTTGTAAACAGTGGCAGAACTGAGTTTGAGTTTGGGACCCTGACCTATTAATCTACATTAATATCATACTCCATAAGGGAGGTAAAATCAAGGGCCAGCACACAGGTTATCATGTGAGTAGTTACAGAGAAGGGAGGAAAACGTATTCTCCAGGAACCCAAATCTCACTATGATAAGCCCAGCTCATAGTCCCTCCGGCAGCTCTGCAGACTCCCTCTGCACTTACCAACAATAGGGTACATGGACAGCCCACTCCTGGGAGCCTTCTGTGCCTTCTCCTCCTCCTCACAAACCTCAGCATGGACACTAAAATACTTACTGAGTGAGCGACGCAAAGGATAACTTGGGAAGCCAACCCTCCGTGTAAAGAAGATAAGACTAATATTTTCATCTAAACAAGAAGTATTCCCACCCCTCCATCAAAAAAAGAAAAAAAAAAAAAAGAATATCAAGCCAGGTGGTGCACACCTGTAGTCCCAGCTACTCGAGAGGCTGAGGTAGAAGGATGGCTTGAGTTCAGCATGGACAGTATAGTAAGACCCTGTATCTAATAACTTTTTTATTTAAAAAAAAAAACACGATTTCAAGAATATCGAAACTCTCCATTTTGTTGAAACAGTAATCACGGGGCAGAGAGTTTTCTAAATAAAGCATATGTGGTCTATAAAGGCCAGACAAAAGGTGGAAGTGTCTTAATTTTAAAAAAGGAAAGGTGAAGAGAAGAACTAAGATTTACTGAGTACCTATCATGTGCCAGGCACCTTACAACCTTACAAAAGCTATTTCATGTGTTCCTCCCAACATACAGCAAGTTAAGCCAGTTGTAGTTTAATTACTTGCCCAACATTACACAGTGAAGAAACTGGGGTTCAATCTCAGGCTTAAAACCAAAGCATTTTATTAATGTCAATACAAACTATCTAAAACTTGGAAATTAGACAGTTGGGCAGGATGGGGAGGGGGTGGGAGATGAAGGGGTGCCATATCCTCTCAATGTAATATGGTAGCATTGTTTTACAAGCCTCCCAAGGATTATTTAACTCTCTAGAAGAGTGTATTTGTGTTTAATTTTGCCATCTGCTGTCTGATTGGAGTCCGCACACTGTGAAGTTACATGTTGACTTACAGGATTTTTAGTGGCGAAAAAGACTACCTCAAAGATTATGATTTTGCTGCTCAGTGAGACAGCAGTTCCCAACCTTTTTGGCACCAGGGACTGGTTTCATGGGAGACAATTTTTCCACAGATGATGGGGGACAGTGAGGAGATGGTTTCAGGATGAAACTGTTCCACCTCAGATCATCAGACATTAGATTCTCATAAGGAGTGCGCAACCTAGATCACTTGCATGCACATTTCACAGTAGGGTTAGCTCTCCTGAGACTCTCACGCCACCGCTGATCTAACACGGGGTGGAGCTGTGGTAATGCTCGCCCGCCCACCACTCACCTCCTGCTGTGCAGCCTGGTTCCTAACAGGCTACAGACCAGTACCAGTCCACGGCTCAGGCATTGGGGACCCCTGCTTTAAGGTATTACCCAGCTTTATGTATAACCTAGCAATCTTAATCTAACATTCTTCCTTAAGCTTATAAATACTAGTTCCTCAAATACTGTTTGGATCAATTTACCATTTCACTGGTTTCCTAATTGGTGGATGAAATAAAATTTTGACATGCTCATTTATATCTTTATGAGACTCTTATTTCCAATTCTGGGAAATTATACTTGGACCCGGAGATGGCCAACCGCTCTCTCCCTGGGTACCAGCAAATACAGTTTCCTGCATCCTTGGGAAAAGTGATGTGGGGTCCACGTGGAGGATGAAACACCAAAAGGCAGAGACTGCTCATGCATCTGTTCCATATCCCTACAGAAAGACCAGTGCTTCCTTTCCCTCCTGTCTGTCTTGGTCCCCACACTCAGTTCAAATTCTATCCCTTTTCTGCTGCTGCCTCAGGAAGCTCCTTTTCCTTGTGTGAGATTCCCATCAGGGCCCCTAGGTTTGGCACTGACAGCTATTCCACAGTCTCCCACCTGGCCCTCAGTAGTCACGCATGTATTCTTCATGTAGCAGAACTAGATGTTTCCACCAAAGTCTCTTTGCTTCTCCATACTCACCATAAATTTCCTAGTGCTCCTCCAGTGTTGGTTTCCCTTAGCTCCCCAGTACTGGTGGGCTCACCGTGTGCCCTCCAGTTACAACACGCACACTCAGAGGAGCATCCTGACTCCTTCCAACATAAGTAAAGTAAGACAGGAGAGCTCACACTGCCAACAAATACAAAGTGTTACAGGAAAACCTCGGTGTTTAGTTCCCTCCTTAAAGGCAGCTGCATTTGCCTGCCCTACTCCCATACCAGGGCCAACCTTGAAGTGCTACTACTGTAGGGCCTGGTGTAACAGATGTTTTCATTGAACCACACCTGGCTCCCAAATAATACACTGCCTCCAAACAGTATCTAACTTGTTCAAGAGCCTATCTTGACTCTCTAGTTGGAGTCAAGCACCATTCTATTCTTTATGAATCTGCTTTCCAGCCCAGCACAGTACTCTGTACTTCATGGACTCTTAGCAAATCATGGTTAGCTAACTAACTGGCTGAGCACCCTTGTCTGGAGGTGGAAGGTCCTCACCTTGAGCAGTTTCATTTTGCACGTTAAAAAATGGGCTCACCTGTTAGTTGAAGGATTCCCTAGGTGAGCTGACAGATATAAGGCCAGCACCCAGGGCCTGCTGCCTCCTGGGAGATCAGCCTGAACCCTACCTCTGCCTCCAGATCATAGAAACTGCCATCCTGATCGTAGAACTGACACAGAGTGAGGAAAGCTGCATCACCTACTAAGGCTTTTCCAAACAATTTCCATCTTAACTCGCTAGCTTTGTCATATTCTGAGTAGCAAAAATGCATGCAAGAACATTTGAGTGGAAGAGCAGGTTCTTGATGTTCATTTAAGAATCTTAATGAAGATATTAATGACAAAAGTGTTTACATTATTTTTATCTCTAGAGAACAAAGAGTAAAGATGACAAATATGCTATTAACAGTAGTAATGTCAATACTCTCCATTAACTGCCAAAGAGACCAAATAGATTTACAAATTTTTCAGGCCTCCCTATCTGATTTTTAATTCACTTCGTGGTTTGAAAAGGAATATGTGACAAATATTACTGCAAGAAGGAAAAGGAAGTAGGAAGTAACATGACAAAAAATAACGCCAGGTACTGTAAATCCACAAAGCTGTATCGCTTCTCTAGAACTCCGTTCCTCCCTCCTCCTCCACATTCCTCCCTCCTCCTCCGCGTTCCTCCTCCTCACCCTCAGCCCTGTCCTCCATTTTACCATCTTTCTCATAGGGATGACTTCACAGGCCTGAGAACAGATTCTACCACGCTCATTTAACCACCGCACTTTAGCAAAGATGACAAGGTTTGAGAGGGCTTGCAGATACCTTCCTCCTCAATGAAGACCACAGGTGGGCAGGTGCCCACCCCCACACAACCAGGCCCCTTCTCACTGGAGCTTTCCCACCCAACATTCCATTCCACTGACCAATGAAGCTGTGTGTTTGGTATCATGGACTCAAAGAACGCTACAACTGTTGAGAACTCTGGCAAGTCATGAATTCTTTTGGGGCATATCTGGACCATTCCCATGGAGATGAGACATGAAGAGGATGCCCCAACTTCCCCCCAGGACTGAGGCAGGGACTAAGAGCCATGGGTATTAGGTTCTACGGAATACAAACACGTGTCTACATGGCATCCACTCCTGTAAATCAAGATGTCCAAAATGGGAAACCAGACTGACATCAGAAGCATTATCATAGTGACTGACACACCTGGAGGATTCCTCAAATATTGAATTTCTCTCATAAAGAGAAACAGCACATTCCTAGTTAAAGGAATCATATGAGAAATGCATAAACTCAAGTCACATCACTCCCTATTAAAACTTGAATAAAGTACTGATTTTTCTAAGTCAGAATTAATTTAAAATACACCTTTATTATTGTGCAAAATTCATTTTAAAAATATATACGTACCCTGAGCTCATCTGTTAGGAATAATTTTTCATTCTGCTCACATTTATCATCCAATTCTCTGTAATCTATTTGTCAAGTTCAAAAAGTAGTCCATGGCCTTCTACAGCATTTAAACTCTCCAACTAAATCCCAAGGACTACCAACTAGTCGCATCTTATCTGCAGTGCCACATTTTTTTAAGTTTCATATTGCATGAAAGAGCATCAATGTTCTTTGATGGCAAATGTAATAATCAGCTTCAGCTCCCCCATAACTGGGTTTGCAAAGGACAAGCACCCCTCATACCCTCCTTAAAGGATTAGCATCAAAGCAAGTCCTTTGTGAAACCTTAACTGACCTACAGAATTCTTAATCAAAGGGAAAGAAAGCAATAGGGGCCCACACATTAGACACACTCACATTCCAAGTCCCCACCTGTAACGACTGTTGTTGGTCCTTGCAGGGAACAAAACATGACCTTCTCAAATTTCAAGTATCACACCTGAAAAAAAACTAACACTAAGTTTATCTTCTTAATTTGTCCAGGTTTGTCAAATTCCAGGCAATAATTTTTTTAGATTTTTTTAATAGACTTAGAAAAAACTGGAGATTTTCAAACATTTTTTCAGAAATAGGGATTAAAAAAATAATAACAGCAAAACAACAGTAAAATCATCTGCCAAAACATAAAGCTCATGCTTTAGAAATTTTTAAACATTCATCAGTTGAGATTAAAAATAATTTTCCATGTTCTCCAGGTGTAGGATTAATATAGTTCCCTGGTTGCTCTTGTGCCAGGTAAGTGCTCTCATATAATCCCACGTAAATTCTGTTTTTTTTTTTTTCCTGAGATGGAGTTTCACTCTTGTTGTCCAGGCTGGAGTGCAATGGTGCGATCTTGGCTCACTGCAACCTCCGCCCCTCCAGTTCAAGCGATTCTCCTGCCTCAGCCTCCCAAGTAGCTGAGATTACAGGCATGCACCACTACACCCAGCTAATTTTGTATTTTTAGTAGAGACGGGGTTTCTCCAGGTTGGTAAGGCTGGTCTTGAACTCCTGACCTCAGGTGATCTGCCCGCCTCGGCCTCCCAAAGTGCTGGGATTACAGGCATGAGCCAACGCTCCCAGCCAGTTCTGTGTTCCTTTGTATTGCTTTGTTTCTCTAGGCCTTAGGGTTGATGAAGTAAGGTTCTATGTTTTTTAAAGCTTCATTTTTACCAAAAAATCACAGATCTAATAGTAGAAACTGGGGATATGGAGTAACGGGCATTTTAATGGGAAAGATTACTTTCTATGCATTTAGGAACTACCAGCATCGATACGCCAAGCGCTAGTGAAACTGCAGCAAAAGAGTCCTTGCTTTAAGGAAGTCTTCTGGGAGAAGGAGGATACGCCCATGATGAAACCACCAGGTAAAGGGACCTCACTTCATCAGGAGATAGAGGAAGGGAGGACATAAGGAGCTTGGTGGGGAAGGAATTAGGCAGGTGGAAATGTATAAGGTAAGGCCCCAAGGTAGAAAAGAGTTTACTACAGTCATGTTGTCTACAGTTGAGAGAACAATAATGCCCACAGAGCTCACTATTATGGATTAAAGGAGCAGAGGAGAAACGGAAACATAGTCCATCTTCACTCACAGTGTTTACAAAGTGCTAGTAATAAAGCAGCCTAAAAGTGATCTACACACAATGCCTTTAAGATCTTTTTTTGAAAAAATTTAAAAAGACCTCAGGAATACAGGAGCATTTTCAATGTCACATTTGTAAGAAACAAATGCTGATATATAAATACCATGGAACCATGACTGACTAACCAAAGTCCCCTCTGGGAGCAGGTAGTTTGCTAGTATAAAGGGCCCTGTGCCTTGATTTCAACTGTCACTATGTGGAAAAATTTAAGAAATTTAAGAGGTTATTAGTAGGACATCTTACTTAGCCTATAAAAGTCCTTTGGATTTGGCAGCAGGGTTATAATGAACTTGAAGAAAGGAGTGGGTTAATTGCACCTGCCTGGCTCACCATGTGGTTTATCAACTTCAGCATGGGAGGGCCAGATACAACACGAGTGTGCTTCAGGCCTGCTGTTCACCCATTCTCTCCTCCTTTTTCTTCCTTAGTATCCCTATAGAAAATCCTTTCCCCCTTCCACTCTGGAGTTATCTTCTGTAAATTAGAGATGCCCATAGCACCCACCCTAGGAAGCTGTTGGGAGGACCAAAGGAGATCAGAGGGGAAAGTGCCTGGCATGGAGCCAGTGCCCATCAAGGTAGTCATGACTTGATGACATGAGCCCTCCCTTCTCTCACAAGCACAAAATACTCCTGGATGTGTCCACATAGTCACAATACAAAGTCCATGTCATGTGCTCAAGTGTCTAGGAAGCAAATCTGCCTCTACTCCCTAAGTACTACGCACTATAAATAAATACACAAGTGATTTTAATTACACAGCCTGTGTAGTAGAGCGGAAAGCATAAATTTAGGCTTGGAGGTTAGACCTGTCTGGGACTGAATCCTGGCTCCACCTCTGACCCTAGGTGAGTCCAGCCTTTCAATCCTCTACTTCCTGTTGTGTACAATAAAGATTCCAGCCGCCCACTGGGATTGTAAGGATGTGAGATAACTCACAGAACAGGTCCGACTTAAAACAGGCTCAATAAATACAACTTCACAGGATATTAAATTCTCAGATATGGGACCAACCAGTAGACTCAGGAGATGGGGCTGGGATCCCTAACTATACTTCCTCAACAACTCTTTTTCATGTCAAAGATGCTGAGCCTCTTTTGGATGAGAGAAAAGCCGGGTGTGGGATATTTACAGCAAATAGGTAGTGAAAAATGTTAACTCCCTTTGCCCTCTAGCCTTTACCCTCTAGCCTTTCACTCCCAGACCTTTCTTACTAGTGGGTTGCCCAGCATAAAAAACATAATTTATGGGCTGGGCGCAGTGGCTCATGCCTGAAATCCCAGCACTTTGGGAGGCAGAGGCGGGTGGATCACCTGAGGTCGGGAGTTCAAGACCAGCCTGACCAACATGGAGAAATCCCGCATCTACTAAAAATACAAAATTAGTTGGGCGTGGTGGCGCATGCCTGTAATCCCAGCTACTTGGGAGGCTGAGGCAGGAGAATTGCTTGAACCCGGGAGGCAGCGGTTGCAGTGAGCCAAGATAGCCCCATTGCACTCCAGCCCGAGCAACAAGAAACTCCGTCTAAAAACAACAACAACGTAATTTATGAGCACAGAGCCCAATGCCACACTGCTCCCTGGTAGCACAAAACCCATAAGTTATGGAACCTCTGCTCACCAAGAAGCAGGTGACCTTGGCCAACATGGTGAGACCTTGGCCAACACAGTGAGACATTGCCCAACACAGTGAGACATTGGAAGACACAGTGAGACCTTGGCCAACACACTCTATTTCTCAGGGCTCCAGCCTCCTCATGAGTAAAGCAGAGAGGCTGGCACAGATACCATCCCTTATTCAAAATCCTAAGTTCTCTGAATTAAAGAGAAATCCTTCCCAAGACAGTGTTCGCCCATCACAAATTCTAAAATGTTCATTCATCCAAGGAAGGCTGGTGTTCCCTTCAGAGAAGGGCTGCGTCCAAATGGAGCACTGAGGTTTTCAAAGTTCAAGCCACGTCAATGGGACTAACTTGATTCTCAATAGCTAGCTAGTGTTAAATGCCAAGCGAAGCAGTTCACACAATGATTCTTCGGAATTTCCAACAACCAGCCAAGCACAGAGAAATCACGAGAATTAAAAAGGAACCACCAGATGTCACTGTCACAAAAAAAATTTGAATTGTATAGCATTGCTTTAGTTTCTACTAACACATAGATTAGAGAGCTAAAAAAGAAATGAAAAGGTTAATTAATTATCGGTTATTTAATTTATGGAGGTGGGAAAAATGTTCCTTTTCTGCATTTCATTATAGAGTTGAGCTGCAGCTTAAGGCAGGGGTTAAGTCCTAAGGTCAGTACTTAAAAGAAAAATCGTGTATATAGTCAATCTTAACATTGAACAAATACTTTAAGTTGCCATTATCATAGAATACTCACAGTTCTGGACATAACCCCACAGAGAAATAAGTATATACAAAAAATATGCATAGTGATATATGGTATATAATAGAGTGCATATGTAAAATAAAACTTTTTTACAATTAGGTTATCACTGAAATTTAACATAAATGAGCAAATTATTTTACTCTCCTGTGCATATTTCTAAGTTACTGCTTTTATGGCTGTACAATCCACCTTGTAAATCATTTACTATGTCAAGCATATCTATCCTCTAGTGCCAACTCTATCCAATCTACCTAATTTACAGTAAACAGGAATATCTGGGGCTGTTTTTGCAGGGAGCAATTTTACCCAAAACAAACAAAAACAAACAAAACCAAGAGACTGACTTTTAATATTTTAATGTTTAATTTTAAAACCATCACCAGTGGAGGTATTTTTAAATTAAAAGGAACAGAACTTTACACAGTTTCTTCCTATAAATAATCATAAGTTCCATCTATTAACACCTAGGCACTATGTTGAATACTCACGTGCTTATTTCTAATTCACAAATACTCATAAAAAGTGAGCATTTCACCTCTACAATTACTACTATGTTCTAATAATAACAGCAACAATAACAGGTAACACTATTGAGTGCCAAACATTGCTCAGAATCCTTAACATGTGTTAACTCATTTAATCTTCATAGTGACCCTAACAGATAGGACTATCATAATGTCCACATGAGGAAACTAAGGCTCAGAGATTTAAATAACTTATCCATAACTGAGCCTCAACTTTTCCATCTGTGCAATGGGAATAATACCACTTAATTTACAGCATTGTGAGATTTTAACCAATATTATATATTTAATGCACTTAGCACAGTATCAACAAAACAGACACTTAATAAATCATCTCTACTGTTATTAAAGTGCTTCTGCAGTTGAAAGTCTCTGGTGTAGACCAGGGATGAGCAAAAAGAAACCTCCTGCATGATCTTGCTCCACCCTTGAACTATCCAGCTGTAACAGAAAATTGGCAGAGTTAGCAGTCCTTTACTTGTAGCTCTGCTCCAAAATAAATGTCTCAAAAAGAGAACACAGAACCTTATCCACTCAATATGAGTGTTCGGAAGAGGCAGTTCCCAAAGAGTAAGGCTTCAAAGATGATCTCAAACTGAGAAATCCTATAATGGGGGAGAGAGAAGGTAAAGGGACTTGAGCTCACAAGCTTAGAACCACTCTATCTGGGTTCAAATCCCAGTTTCACCACCCACTGGCTCTGTGACCTTGAGCAAGCTATTTTCCTTAGGACCTCAATTTCCCATGTCACTCAGCTGTCCATAGATTAATGTCAGATGTGAAAAGCACTTAGAACAATGCATCCAGTAGAAAGATGAGTTATTATCACTATTATTGTTGTGCCTTGAATCTCCTAAAGGTACTCGTGAGTGGCACTGTGTGCTGCAGCCTGGGAAAGGTTAGGAAGTGGACCACACACAATGCTTGGCACTAAGAATCCTAAGTCACCTTCTCTGTGGCTGACATGTCCTGATGTCCCCAAATAGATCAGTCTATTACTATTGGTGTCAGGAAACTACAAACAGGGCCAAATTCCACCTGCTGCCTTTTCTTTTTTTGTAAATAAAGTACTTTTTTTCTTTTCTTTTTTTTTTTTTTTTTTTTTGAGACGGAGTCTCACTCTGTCACCCAGGCTGGGGTGCAGTGGCATGATCTTGGCTCAGTGCAACCTCCACCCCCCGGGTTCAAGCGATTCTCCTGCCTCAGCCTCCCAAGTAGCTGGGACTACAAGTACATGCCACCAAACCCGGCTAATTTTTTTGTATTTTTAGTAGAGACAGGGTTTTGCCATGTTGGCCTGGCTGATCTTGAACTCCTGGCCTCAAGTAATCGGCCCACCTTGGCCTCCCAAAGTGCTGGGATTACAGGTGTGAGCCACCGTGCCCGGCCTGTAAATAAAGTGCTATTGAAACACAGCCACAACTCAATCAATTGACATATTGTCTAAGGCTGCTTTCCTGTAACAGTCACAAACTGCATAGCTGCAACTGAGATCACAGAGTCCTCAAAGCCAAAAATATTTACGCTGTCCCTTTACAGAAAAAGTTTGCCTACGTTTGCGCAATGAATGAAACATCAGGTTTCCTTCCCTACCGCATTGGATGCTTTGAGGATAGAGTGAGAAACAAATGTTAAAAATCTATAAAGTTCAAAGGGTTGGCAAATACGAGAAATTATTTAGCCCAAAAAACTCACTGCCTTCAAGATTTAAATTCAAGGGAGAAATAACACTAAGAACAAAGACTGCAGAGTCCCGCTATCAGCTCCATCACTTACCAACTATGTGTGGCCCGAACAGTGATGATGATACCCCGCTTTTGCTTAGCTGAGACCACCAAGCAGCCTCCTGGCCCTTGGTATGGTTGCTGCAGCTAGCTGGCGGAAAAGGGGCCAGCAGGGGAGTTTGCTAGAAGAGGGTCAGGAGAGGCAGTGGGTATCCCTAAAAGTTAATATATTGAGAACTTAGCTTGAGTCTGGTCCTTCCCAATTCCAAAAGTAGGAGGAGTAAAGAATGCGAATGCTTGCAGTGGGGTTTAGTAGAATGCCTCTCTCAGGGCTCCCCCTACCATTCTAGAGAGTCGAGGCACCAGCCATTCTTGCCAGTCTCATCACAGTGCTTCCCAAAGAGGCTGTTTTGTGTGTTGAAAAGATGAAAACAATGCAATTATCCCAAACAGTATTGAGAAGAATAATTTATTTCTTTTTTCTTTCTTTTTTGTCTTTTTTTTTGTTTAAATCATCAGTCCCTATTCTGGAAGAGGTACATCCCAGCATCTAGCCCAGATGTCCTTTTATGCAATAGTTATTTTAACAAACTTTCTTTATTTCCTTCCTTTTCTCTTTCTAAACTAAAAGGAAAAAAAATCTAAAAACAACAACAACAACAACAAAAACCCACTGTGTGTGGTCTTGGGCAAGGTACTTCTCTAAGATTCTTATTCATCACCTGTAAAATGGGAATAACAGTGCCATCAAACTCATGGGGTTGAAGAATTAAATGAGATGTACGTAGGCTTTAACATGATGCCTATTCACAGTAAGTACGAAATAATGTCAGCTCCCATTAAATTATTACTTTCATTATGATTACTGCAGGGAAAAGTTGTGTGTCCAAATACTGGACCACTCATACAGTGCCCTCCCTCTCTTGGTATCTATCCTTATAGGTAATTTTGGTATTAGCAAAGCAGAGATGCTGAGAAGTTAAATCTGTCCTTTTGGGGCAATCTAAGGGAGAAAAGCTTAAGACTTCTACATATTAATTTCTGCTAAGACTAAATTATCCTCCACTCCTACCAACATCCCCCCTGCAACAGCAAAAAAAAAAAAAAAAAAAAAAAAATGGCAAAAAGCTAAATGCCTCTTCTGCATTTTTTTTTTCTTTTTGAGACAGGGTCTCACTCTGTCACTCACGCTGGAGTGCAGTGGCACAATCTAGGCTCACTGCAATCTCCGCCCCCAGGTTCAAGCAATTCTCCCACTTCAGCTTCCCTGAGTAGCAGGGACTACAGGCACATGCCATGTAGTCCGGCTAATTTTTGTATTTTTTGGTAGAGGTGGGGTTTCACTATGTTGGTCAGGCTGGTCTCAAACTCCTGACCTCAAGTGATCCACCCACCTCAGCCTCCCAAAGTGTTGAGATTACAGGCATGAGCCACCACACACAGACTTACCTACATATTTTATTATGTAGGAAAACAAACTTTCAATTATACCGTAAAACAAATTAACTTGTTTTACAGTTAAAAGAAATTTAACTATAAATTAATTTGTTCACCAAATTGCTTGGTGAACCAATACTATCATAAGTAAAATGCTGACATTTTGGTTTCTAACAAGAAGCAATTAAACATAGACACTTACTCAAAACTCGCAAAAAATAGAGACTGCCAGAAGTGATAATTAGTATAACAGACCATATAACTAGTATCTCAAATTTCATATACATTATCCACCAAAAAATGAATTAAAAATTCTAAACATGTTAAAAGACAAAGACTGACACTCTGGTAAAACAAATGCAGTAAAAGGAATTTGAAATGACTGCAGAGGGATAGATACCAAGGAACCCTGGGGGCTCATGGAAATATTCTGCCTTAGTTGTACTGGGGATTAAATGGGTGCATACATTTATAAAACTTAATCTTAACATGGTGCTACTCTTAGCACGTACTCTTAACATGGGTTTACTGCATGTAAGTTATACCATGAGAAAGGTGGTCTTTAAAAGAATTTGGGAAAAATAAATAATTCTAAAATTCCATATGAGGTGTTAAAAATTTGGATGCTAACGAAGTCACAATAATGGCTAACACACCCTCTACAACACTCTATGAGCCAGACACTGCTCCACAAACTTTTACATATAACAACTGATTTGCTCTTCATAAAAACCCTCGGTAGTGGCTTCATACTCTACTCAGTTTACATATGATGAAACTGGAGCACAGAGAGGTTAAGTAACTCACCCAAGGTCACAAAGCATGTATAAGTGGCAGAATCAGGATTTAAACCCACAGAGTCCAGCTTCAGAATCTGATCTACACTCATTCTCATTAAAGCTTTTAAAATGATGTTTGAGAAGCAAATTTTGTAAATTCAACAAACTGAGCTATTTGACAAAGTGAACTTCATCAAACTGAGCCAGAGCTGTACAGACACTGTAACTTTTCTTCACACCGTATTTCTCAATCGTAATTACAAAATTAGGTACAACTATTTGTTTCACGTCTGCCCTCCCTCCAGGCGGCATTTACCATAAGGCATATCTATAAGCTCTATCCACAAGCACCAAGCGCCACGCCTACCCACAGCAACCACACCAAGATACTACTGGAAGGAATCAATAAAGAAATAAATGAATGAGTACAGGAATACACTAATGTGTTTATTTATGTATCAAGTGGAATATCACTAAAGACAGAAATTTTATTCACATGTGTATATAAGTATGCTATTTCTTAAATGAATGCAAGGCTATTCTGATTAATAAGCTATAACACTGTCACAGAACATATCATTTCTCTGTCACTATGGAGATATACATAATATTTTGTAAGCATGTCTGTACACCAAGCATTAGCTTTTGCACCTTTATGCATTGTCTCATGTAAACTTGACATTTCTGTAAAACAGGTGCAATTATCATTCCCACAGCTAACAACTGGTTTATACACAGGCCTATTTGATTCCATAGCCTGAGTTCCTTTTCATGCCAGGAGAACTTTTTACATACAGAGAACTCAGTCAATAAGATTCGCAGCAGAACTCTCAGTGGAACCTGACAAGTAGTTCTAAAGTTATCAAGAAGGAAAAAAAATTGTAGGATTTGCCCTGAAAAATTGAAACTATGGAATTGGCACAGGAACATATATACAGATCAATAGAACATAATAAAGAATACAGACAGGGATTCCTGTGCATATCGGAATTTTATTATTCAGTTACGATTTTACAGTAGAGAGAAAATATTTAATAACTGATGCTAAGGATATTGGTTGTCTACTAAGACAAAAATGAAATTAAACCCATATACAAGTTTCCATATAAAGAGATAAATATAAAAATTTTAAAAAATGGGTATTTTTTAAAATAATCTTAAAACAGGGACAGTCTTTCTAAGCAAAACACAAAGACCAGAAGCCTTAAAGAAAAGAGTAAAAGATTTTGCTACATAAAAATTTTAAACTTCTAAGACAAGCAACTGGCTAGGATAAAATAATTAAGGCACTTTAACAGGCAAAACAATTACTATTTAGAATAAACAAAGAACACTCCTACAGGTCATAAGGAATAGACAACCAAAAAGGACAAAAGATAAAGGGTGTGACATGCACTCGTACACTGAAGAAGAAATCCACTAGCCAATAAATGTGGAAATGTGCACGTAAAAAGTCATATTATTTTTGTCCCTGTGATTGGCAAAAATTTACAAGGTTGATAATATCCACAGTTGGCAGAGATGCCGGAAAATAAGCATATACTATCATTACAGTCTGTTTAGAAGTCCGTTTTGCAGGACCTATTAAAAAATTTAAACACACATACATTGACACAGCAATACTACTTCCAGGATGCATTATTAAAATTTTCATGTACCACGGTTTCATGTACCAAGATTATGATACACACTGTGCTGCGAAAGAAATTAGAATTAGACCCAAATGATCTTCAATAGATAATTAAATAAATTATAGTACAATTACCCAACTCTCTTCAGACATTATATAAATAAAGCAAACAGTGAAAACATATCTCTAAAATATATTAAGTGAAAAACGTAATCCTGGGAAAGGTGTAGGGTACAAAATCCCATTTATTTTAATAAAAGCTGGATTTGCATTTATTTAACAAAAGCCAGATTTGCAGATTTCTATGACTAGAAAGTCACAACCAAATTCTTACTTAAGCTGGTCTCTTCTGAGGAGAGGAAGGGAGGGAATATAGTAAAGGCAAAAATCATGTTTGGCTTCTGAAGGATTTAAATCTTTTACAGTGAGAATAATTTTATGTATTACTATATATGTAAAAATAATGAACAATTTAAATAATATTAAAAAGGGTAAAGTATTACTTCGAGACAAGCAAATCGAACGTACCTAGAGAAAAATTCAAGCCAATTAAGGTAAGACAACATTTCAGCTAAATTTGTTTTATAACTAAGATCCTTTCGGCCGAGCTCGGTGGCTCACACCTGTAATCCCAGCACTTTGGGAGGCCGAGGCGAGCGGATCACGAGGTCAGGAAATCGAGACCATCCTGGCTAACACGGTGAAACCCCGTCTCTACTCAAAATACAAAAACAAAATCAGCCGGGCGTGGTGGCGGGCGCCTGTAGTCCCAGCTACTCGGGGCGGGGGCTGAGGCAGGAGAATGGCGTGAACCCGGGAGGCGGAGTTTGCAGTGAGCCGAGATCACGCCACTGCACTCCAGCCTGGGCGACAGAGCAAGACTCCGTCTCAAAAAGAAAAAAAAAAAAAAGATCCTTTCATGCCCAGTGTATTTGTTTGTTTACTTTCAGTCTCTAGACAACTTTTTAAAAACTTTTTATTTAGAAATAAGTTCAAACTTACCAAAAAGTTGCCAGAATAAGAATATACACACAACGAAATGATAAATGCTTGAAGTAATAGATACCCCAATTACCCTGATGTGATTACTACACATTGTATGCCTGTAGCAAAATATCACATGTACCGTATAAATGTATACGCCTATTATGTACCCATAATTAAGAATTGTTTTAATTTTTAAAAGAATATACAGGCCGGGAGCGGTGGCTCACGCCTGTAATCCCTGCACTTCGGGAGGCCGAGGCGGGCGGATCACGAGGTCAGGAGATGGAGACCATCCTGGCTAACACGATGAAACCCCGTCTCTACTAAAAATACAAAAAAATTAGCCGGGCTTGGTGGCGGGCGCCTGTAGTCCCAGCTACTCAGGAGGCTGAGGCAGGAGAATGGCGTGAACCCGGGAGGCGGAGCTTGCAGTGAGCCGAGATCGCGTGACTGCACTCCAGCCCAGGGGACAGAACGAGATTCCGTCTCAAAAAAAAAAGAATATACAAAGGACACCTGTGTGCCATTTACCAAATTTATCTATTGTGAACACTTTGCCCCATCTGCTTATAATCTGCTTTCTCACCCTCTCCACCTCCTTTTCCCTTCCTATCGATCAATCAATCTAGCCAAACAGTATTTTTTTCCTGAACCATTTGAGAGCGAATTGTAAACCCTGTGGTCCTTTACCTCTAAATACTTCAGTGCATGTTTCCTAAAAATAAGGATATCCTCTTACATGGCCACAGTGGAGTTCTCTACTTGCATAAATTAAACTACTTTACACTATTGCCCACAATCCAATTCTGTCAACTGACCCAGCAATGTCCTTCACAGCATTTTCTCCCCTACAGAACAGGAATCAGTCTAGGCTCAGCTTTCACATCTGGCAGTCACAACTCTTTAGCCTCCTTTAATCTGAAACATTTTCACAGCCCTTATGTTTTATGATACCAGCAGTCTTGGAGACTACAGCCTTTCTCTCTTTTAAACAGTAGTATCTTCCTGTTCCTCATTTAAAGCTTCTCTGATGTTTCCTTGTGATTCGAGTCAGGTTAGACGACTACAGAACAGACAGTGTCCTCCTAAGGGCATTTATATCCAGAGGCACAGATGTTCATCTCCTTCCACCTGTGATGTTAATTTTGGTCACCTGGTCAAGGTGTTGTCCTATTTCTCCACTGCATAGTTACTGTATTTGTCTTGCAACTAATAAGAAGTCTCCGGTGAGATAGTGTAAGATAGGTAAACATCATGTTCCTCACCCAAAGTACCCCTAGATTTAGCACCTAGGGTGGTACTGCCTGACTCATTATTTACAATGACGCTGAAACTGAGCTTCCAACCTCAGCACTCCTTCCATTCCTGCCAATCTGTCTCTGGCATTCTACTAAAGCAAAAGTCTTCCATCTCCCTCATTTAGCTATCTAGTTATTTCTTTATCATCCATATGCACTCAAGGATTCCTATTACTTTCTATGGCCCGTAATACTCCACTGTTCTTAATTATTTTGTTGCTCAAATTGTCCCAAATTTGACCTGGGGAACTTTTAAATTTCTCACAATTTATCCCATCTCAGAAAATTCTAATACCTAGAACTAGCTTATTATGAGAATTCTGTTTTGTCAAGGAATCTTAGAAGGCTAAGGAATAGCTAAACTTCAGCAATAAGACTAAATTATTTTTCTAATTCTTTTTCATTCCAAAATGGACTTTATTAAAATGAGGATATTGGGGGTCTGCTTGATTTGCCATTCTCTAAAGCTGAGTTTCATTACTAAATCTTAATTGATCTGTTTACTCTTTGCTCTAAATGCTTGGAGGGGAGCCCAAAGGGCCATCAGTATTTGTATGACAATAATAGCGTACATGGCTAAAACACTATCTCTTAAAATCATTTCTCATTAAGAGAGAGGGAGAGAAATCTATAGTGACATCTGACAAAGCTGAATGGTCAATCTGAAAATAAAGAACTGCCAAAATTAAGAAAGCTGAGAAACAGCTAGAGACAACAGAACAGGTCAGTCGTAACAGAGTTACGGAAGAGATGATTGTCTCCAATTGCCACAGTTGAAATGGAATGCTTTGTGGTCTTTAACAAAGAGATAAGAGTTCATTAGGCATGTCACATGTCCCTCTGTCTTAAAATGTCAGAGCCTAATCTATTGCCATGTGGTACTCGCTTCCCGGAGCTTACAGACCTGAAGTACCCTCTTGGACTGGACTTGCATATATCAAACAGGGGCACCTTCATTTAAGTTAAAATGTAAGCTCCTCTGCCATAAACTGTAAAGGGAGGTAAAGACAAGAAAACCTTTAGGGAAAAAAAAATGATTCTTTCTGGCTGGGCGCAGTGGCTCACAAGGTCAGGAGATTGAGACCATCTTGGCTAACACGGTGAAACCCCTTCTCTACTAAAAAATACAAAAATTAGCCGGGCATGGTGGCATGGGCCTGTAGTCCCAGCTACTCGGGAAGCTGAGGCAGGAGAATGGCGTGAACCCAGGAGGCGGAGCTTGCAGTGAGCCGATATGGCGCCACTGCACTCCAGCCTGGGCGACAGGGCGAGACTCCATCTCAAAAAAAAAAAAAAAAAAAAAAAACATAAAAAAATGATTCTTTCTAAGCTAGTACCTTTCCTTTGTAAATTTCAAATATAATTAGCTATACAATTAAGCTTATGGAACCCGACACCTTAATAAAGTCATTTCTACCATTTGTGAAATCAAACTACATTTTGATAGATTGCCAGATGAAAAAGCATACCAAGAATCTCAATGTTTTCTATCAAAGTTGTGAGAAATACCAATACATCCATATGATATGGACAGGAGACAGGGAAATACTGGATAGAAGAGAGCAGTTCCCCAGCAAAGGCCCCATTCTCAGGCCTGGAAACCCGCAGCCCTAAATGAGAATGGGCATTCCTGGTTTTGCACCCAAAAGTTATCTTTCGGCCCACCACATCCCCTATCCTGTACCCATATAAACGCCAAAACCCCGGCTCCACAAGGAAATGAACAGAAGAGCAGAAGAATGGCAGAATGGCACAGCAAAGAGAAGAGAAGGAGTATCTGAATGTCGTCGAGAGGAGTTCAGCTGGGGATGGTTGGAGAGGAGATTGGCTGCTGGACAACCACACTCCAGGGGAAGATCATCTTCCCACTCCATCCCCCTTCCAGCTCCCCATTCATCCCACTGAGAGCCACCTCCACCATTCAATAAAGCCCCCACATTCATCCTTCAAGTCCATGTGCAACCTGATTCTTCCTGGACACTGGACAAGGGCCTGGGTACCAAGAGGACACTATGCTGGTTAACACTTAAGCCATCCACGGATGGCAAGGTTAAAAGAGCGCACTGTAACACAACACATGCCACTTGGGCTTTGGGAGTCACAGACACCCACCCCTGGATGCTGCCGTGAGGCCGGAGCCCAGGGGCACTTGCCCCAGCTTCTGCACCTGCCCATCTTTGTGCTCCCCCACCCATAAGGGGTTTGAGCATGCATGGCAGCCGAACAGACAAGCCACACCCAGTCACACATCCCATGAGGGGAGTCAGGGAACTCTCATAGGCTATTATTACTAAATAAGCAAGTTGTTAGAAATGTGAACACCCCAGACCTCTAGGAGCACTTAATTACACGCTTTTAAAGTATAATTATCCTTATTTTTGTGAATGTTCCTTATCTACCCCAGGTAGCAAGTTGCATACATTATATCATTTAGCCCCACTGTATAAGTGAGGAAACTGTGGCTCAAAGTGCCTTGCCCTTGGTTACCTGGCTTCAGCCAGTCCTCCAAAAGGACATTTACCAGTGTTGGTATTTTAAAATAAAAACAAAACCTTTCCTCCCAAAAATAAAATGACTATCAGTAAATGAATATTTAATACCAAAATGTTCAATATGGCTAGTTGCAGTATTTTAAATAATCTTATTATGATTCTTTCCTGCTCTGTAAAACTCTAGTCATATGAATGTACTTACAAAAAGTAAACTTTATACACAAATGCTAATTAAATTAATGGATGCAAATAAGTATTTAAAGTATGCCAGGCACTGAGGCACCAGAGCTGCACACAGCCACTATGAGGCAGACATTAGAATCCCCATTTGCTTGGTCAGGAGACTGAAGCTCACAGAGAGGTTAAGTTACTTGCTCAAAGGCACAATGCCGGCAAATGGCAGAACTCCATGTGTCTGCTACCTCGCAAGCCTACCTATATTCTTTCCTCTCTCGCACATGTCTTGCTAGGAACAGATACCACAAATCTGAAATTCAGGTATGCCGGGAAAGAGGCTGATTTTTTTTTATTCTTTGTCCTACTTGAGACTTTGGATCCAGTGATATTTCCTTTTGTTCACTCGTAATGGCTTAGAAATGCAACTGTTTTGCATACTTCCAGCAGGAACCTAAACATGTTGGACAAATAGCAGCTGCCTTAAGGAATGAATAGAAAATCAGGAAAAGTCATCATCCATATGAACTACATATCATCTGCTTTCTTGCAAGTGGAACAAATTATTCATGTGGGCAGGAGTAATTCATACAGCCCTTGACCCCCCTGATGATGTCCAGTGTGAGAGCCAAAGCCAAACACTGACCCAAAAGCACCCGTGCTCTCCCGGTCTTGATTTGTGACACCTAACACTTGTGCTTTATCCTAATCATATATAATGACTGCTCATTTTTATTTCTGTCTGGGAAACTTTACTTTCTCCTGGTGATTTTTAATTTTTTAATTATTTTAAGTATTACAAGTGTACTAAAGTGAGAAAAAAATGGTTAGAGAAATCCTTATAGGATGATAGAAATGTTCTTAAATTGGATTGTGGTGATGGCTATGCAACTCTGTAAATTTACTAAAAATCCACTGACTTGAACACTTACATTAAAGGAAAATAAAATCTCGGGACCTAAACTCATCATGCCAAAGAGAAAATTTAAGCTTGGGAACTGAGTCACACAAAAACTTCCTCCCTTCTGTTCCTAAACAGATAGCTGCAATGATAGAAGGCCACCTATCTCCCCAGGTGGTCTCCTTCACAAATTGCTCACAAGGAAATGCCTTGTGGGCCCCAGAATCTTTACCATAAAACAGAGTTCTGTTCAATCTCACCCTGAAAATATAACTTAACAACTTATCTTCACAGGTATGGGACAAAGACAAGACTAGAAGTCATCCTACCATCCACCCAGAGACAAATGCACGTTTGACGTCTTCCTCTACTCTATGTTTACTTTGTTTTACGTAAAATGCAGATTTAAAATGCAGAATGCATAACTGACTGTTCCTCTACTCCCTCCTTTCACATGTAACATGTGGATCCAGTGAACGCTAATCAAAGCCTCACAAGAATGTGACCCCTTACCTCACTGCATA
Source organism: Homo sapiens (assembly GCF_000001405.40). Lineage (NCBI taxonomy): Eukaryota > Metazoa > Chordata > Mammalia > Primates > Hominidae > Homo > Homo sapiens. The sequence continues at coordinate 15,290,755 of NC_000009.12, forward strand.
TCTACCTCTTTTTTTTCTTTCCTGCTTTCCCCTTCTGCCACTCTCCCCTTTAAATGTTGAACTCCTCAAAATCGTCTTTGGAAAATGCACAGGGCACAGATCCTACTGCAACTGTGTCTCCTTCCCAGGCGTATCCTCTATCTTGGCAAAATAAACCTCTAAATTGAGATCTGTCTCAGACATTTTTTGGGTTATACGTAAAAGGAGTAATGCAAAGCACACCTTAATAAAGCTGGGCGTGTTTAAGTGTATTGAGATAATGCTAATGGATTACCGAGGTAAAGTCTCCCTCCTGAGAGGATAAAACTCTCACATTGTTAGACAGCATTAAAGGAATTCCTTTGCTGCTTTCTATGGTGAAGAAGGGCCACCCTCTCTTGTGGAAACACATTGTCCACATGAATAATTTGTTCCATTTGTGATATGGTTTGGCTGTGTCCCCACCCAAATCTCATCTTGAATTGTATCTCCCACAACTCCCATGCGCTGTGGGAGGGACCCAGTGGGAGGGAATTGAATCACCAGGGCAAGTCTTTTCTGTGCTATTCTCGTGATGGTGAATAAGTCTCATGAGATCTGATGGTTTTAAAAATGGAAGTTTCCCTGTACAAGCTCTCTCTTTGCCTGCTGCCATGCACGTGAGACGTGACTTGCTCCTCCTTGCCATCTGCGATGATGGTGAGGCCTCCCCAGCCACAGTGAACTGTAAGTCCATTAAACCTCTTTCTTTCATAAATTGCCCAGTCTCAGGTATGTCTTTATCAGCAGCATGAGAACGGATTAATACAATTTGCAAGAAAGCAGATGATATGTAGAGTTCATATGGATGATGACTTTTCCTGATTTTCTATTCATTCCTTAAGACAGCTGCTATTTATCCAACATGTTTAAGTTCCTGCTAGAAGGATGCACAAACAGTTGCACTTTTAAGCCATTACCAGTTGAACAAAAGGGACCGTCACTGGATCCAAAGTCTCAAGTAGGACAAAGAATTAAAAAAAAAAATCAGCCTCTTCCCTGACACACCTGAATTTCAGATTTGTGGTATCTGTTCCTAGCAAGGCATGCGGGAAAGAGGAAAGAACATGGGCAAGCTTGCAAGGCAGCAGACACAGTGGAGTTCTGCCACTTGCTGCCAATGTGCCTTTGATCAAGTAACTTAACCTCTCTGTGAGCTTCAGTCTCCTGATCAATCAAATGGGAATTCTAATGCCTGCTTCACAGTTGCTGAGTGCAGCCTGGTGCCTCAGTGCCTGGCACCCTTTAAATCCTTATTCGTGGCCATTAACTTAATTAGCAAATATGTGTAAAGTTTACTTTTTGTAAGTACATTCATAAGGCTAGAATTTTACAGACAGGAAAGAATCATAGTTAATGCCCACATCCCATTCCTGTTGGATGCCACAGCATGTATGCCAAAGAAGGAATAGTTCTTCTCAAGGCAGCCAGGAATGCTAAATACAGACAAAAGCCGTGTAACTACAACAGGTCAATGATGGACCACATACACCACGGTGGTCCCATAAGATTGGAGTGGAGCTAAAAAGTTCCTGTCGCCTAGTCACAGCCATTATAACACACAGTGCAATGAGTTACCTACATATTTGTGGTGATGCCGGTATAAACAAACCTACTGCACCAACAGTTATATAAAAGTATAGCACATACAATTATGTATAGTACAGAACAATAAAAACAACTGTTACTGGTTTATGTATTTATTATACTGTACTATTAATCGTGATTTTAGAGGGTACCCTTCTCCTTCTACCTATTAAAAAAAGAAGAGTTAACTCTAAAACAGCCTCAGGCAGGTCCTTCAGGAGGTATTTCAGAAGACGGCATTGTTGTCATAGGAGATGACAGCTCCAGCCATGTTACTGCCCCTGAAGACTGTGACATTGGTGATCCTTACCCTATGTAGGCCCAGGCTAATCTGTGTGTTTATGTCTTAGTTCTTAAAAAAAGTTTACAAGTAAGAGTAAAAAACTTTTAAAATAGAAAAAAGCTTGAATAAGGATATAAAGAAAATATTTTGTATAGCTGTACAGTGTGTTTGTGTTTTAAGCTAAGTGTTATTGTAAAAGTGCCAAAAAGTTTTAAAGAATTTAAAAGTTCATAAAGCAAAAAAGTTCCATTAATCAAAGGTTTATTATTAAAGAAAAAACATAAATGTGGTGCAGCTTAAGTGTACAGTGTTCATAAAGTCTATACTAATGTGTAATAATGTCCTAGGCCTTCACATTCACTCACCACTCACTCACTGACTCACCCAGAGCAACTTCCAGTCCTGCAAGCTCCATTCATGGTAAGTGCCCTATACAGGTGTACTGTTTTTTATATTGTATACCACATTTTACTGTGCCTTTTCTATGTTTAGATACACAAATACCATTGTGTTATAATGGCCTACAGTATTCAGTACAGTAACATGTTGTACAGGCTTGTAACCTGGGAGCAATAGGCCATGCCAGAGAGCCTAGGTGTGTAGTAGGCTGTACCATCTAGGATTGTGTAAGTGCACTATGATGCTGGCACAATGATGACATTGCCTCATAACACATTTCTCAGAGAGCATATACTCATGTAATGACATATAACTAGTTGCTGAGCACCTGGAGGTGGGCTGGTACCTGAGGGAGGTCTGAAATGATTCAAAAGAATTGTCCAGGTGGGGGAACAGTGTATGAAAAAGTTGGGAAGAAATGACCACCTTTTAGGAAATTGGGCATGAGAAAAGAAACCACAAGCACATCAGAATGGCTGATGTTAAAAGTCCATGTTAGGAATGCAAGATCCTAGGACCTACTGAGCAAGAATCGCTGGCGGTGAGACACAGGGATGTGCATTGTAACAGGCCACCTGTACCCCAGCCAGGTGATTTCTATGCACACTAAAATATGAGAACCACTTAGGAAGATGCTAAGAAAGGCCTTACATGTGTTAAATCAAGTTTAGCCTAAAGCTGCCTCCTTACATATTTTAAGTTTGGCCTAAAGGTTTCTCTGTACATCGTGAGCTACAAGTGGAGGTGTAAACAGACCTTACCTACACTTGTGCCAATCACCGAGTTTTGGTCCATCAAATGTAGCCAACGGTTGGAACCGTGTTCAAATAAAGCAAACTGTGGGCTGTAACCAATCCAGCTGTCTCTGTACCTCACTTCCGTTTTCTGCACGTCACTTTCCTTTCTCTGTCCATAAATCTTCTTCCACCACATGGCTGCACTGCAGTCTCCGAGCCTGCTCTGGCTCCAGAGATCGACTGATTCACGAATCTTTCATTGCTCAATTGAACTCCTTTAAATTTAATTCTGCTGAAGTTTTTATCATATGTCATGCTAAGGTATTTGCATGTTACTTTAAAGGCAATGAGAAGCTGTGCACAGATTTTAAGAGGCAAGGCGAAAATGGACTTGCATTTTAGAAAGAGCAGTCTATTGTCAGCTGCTAGCAGCTGGAAAAAAAAAAAGCAGTCTAGCGCAGTACACTGCTTTAGGGCACAGCAAGAACCCTAGAGTCCCTCCAGGGCTCAGGAATGCTTGCACACTCTTACTTCCTTTACCTTTTAGCCTCTTACGTTCAGTAACTGAACACAAACATACCTTTTACAGGCCATAGTCTCCTACCAACATCTAGGTGCTACCTGAAAACCCTGTAAGAACTTTATGACATTGACCAAAATGTTTGGAGAAAACAAAGGTTACAACACCATTTATGTGTCAGCGACCAAATGCTGTTTCCAAAATATTGCTGGCATTATCACCTCCCTTGCTGACAAATATTAACACTTTTCAGTTTTAGATAGAGCTGGAACAGATGGCCCTTTGAGCCCCTGTTTACTGCTCTCTTTTGTGTGAAGTGGTTTCCCCTCCCACTCAGGAAAGGAAAGGAAAGGTGGGAGGATGTAAACTTGAAGAATTTCCCAGCTGGAGTCCTGGGTATTAGCCTGAGAGGTGACTTATTTATCCTACAGGACTCCATCACAGAGGAAGGTTTTTCTGCAAGACTCTGGCTGGGCCAATCTTTACACAATGCCTGTGAGCAGCCACAGAGTGCAGCCTTGACAATGCCACAAGCCAACTTCTGGGCCCCCCACGATAAGCGCTGCATAGGCCTCCCTGAACCCTCACAACAGGTTCTATTATCGCCATTTCTCTGGTGAATATGGAATAGATAGATTGAGTTAACTTATCCCAGGTTATACATGGAGGAGCAGGGATTCAAGCCCACGTCCAACTGACTCCAGAACTTACAACCAAACCAATTAATGGGATGTGTCAAGTAATTTTCTATTTTTCCTATTTTTTGATGCTTACATGCACATGAAGGAAACAAGCACATTTAATTCATAAGGCTTACAATACATTACAAACAAACTTAAACACCCCAGAAGGTCAGAAGTTTGCTGACCACCTAGTACCAGGGTCAGCAAACTTCCTCCATAAAAGGCATATAAATATTTAGGCTGTGTGAGCCACACATCTGTTTCCCAACTGTACCACAGTAGGGCAAAAGTAGCCATAGGCAACACCTAAACAAATGGGTATGGCTGTGCTCCAATTAAACTTTATTTACAAAAATAGGCAGGAGGTGGGCAGGCTGCATTTAACCTCTTAGTCAAGTTTGAGAAGTTTGTGGCTGCTTGACCTAGTGTAAAGGGCAAAGGGTTTAGAGTTAGGGAATCTAGCTTCTAACCCTGATTCTGTGCCTAAGCCAGCTGAGTGACCTCGGGCCAATCACTTCCCTTCTGCTTCTTCTGTAGAATTCTCTTTTCAATTGACTGCAAAAATAAGGTAAAAATATATTTCAACATACTGAAATGTTAGCTGCAGATTCTTCATTAAATCCATAGATAATGAACCAGTAGCAGCAAGACTTTAAAAGCATAAAGAGAAAGTAAATTTGCATTTTAGTAGTACCTTCTATGTGTCAGGTGCTTTATAAAATATAATCTGACTTCATCCTTCATAAATGAAGAATGTCAGAAGTGAAATCACATGTTCAAAGTCAGAGAGGAAATGGGAAGCCAGAATCTAAGCCCAGCTGGCCACTCTCTCAGAAACTCAGTGCTGCTCTGCACATGGAGGACCTGGTATGGGTCAATGAGCCCTTGATTGATGATTCTGCACAGGGGGTGACATATGAGTACTTTTGGGGGAGGATTTTGGAGTCAGGCCTCACTTCCCCCTCTTGAGGACTCTCCCTCTCTGTCCTCATCTGTCTTGTCTACCTCCTCTCAAAAAGATAATACTCCATTTGGTCTGAAAAACAATGTGAGACTCTGAGGTTTGTTTCCTTTGGTTCTGAGTGTAAGGACTGTGACTCATGGTTGTCCAGAATGCCAGGACAAAGTGGTCTGAGAAAACAGGGAGGGAAAAAAGGAGGACCAAGCATTTCCTCAAAGAAGCTGTGACTGGTCCTGCTGCCCACACGAGCACCGTGGCTCAAGTTGGTTTTCTATCTCAGAACTTAGTCCGAAGGTAAAAGTCTATGTGATGAAATATAAACCTGTGAAATTACCCAAGTGCCTCTGACCTTGTCTGTCTCCTTAACCACCCACTGCATTTCAGTTTACAGGCATCCGTTTAAAACTGTACCTTAGAAATGGGGTTGGGAAAGGGAAAGTGAAACCAAACAAATGGAAATCATTATTGTTGCTTCCTTTACCCCAAAAGAAGAAGAAAAGCAAAAATATTCCCCAAATACAGAAGGGTGCATGTGTGTCTCCACTGTCAAAAAAAGCAATTTTTTTTTTGAGAAGGAATTTCACTCTTTTTGCCTAGGCTGGAGCTCAATAGCTCAATCTCGGCTCACTGCAATCTCCGCCTCCCAGGTTCAAGCAATTCTCCTGCCTCAGCCTCCCGAGTAGCTGGGATTACAGGCATATGCCACCATGCCCAGCAAATTTTTGTATTTTTAATAGAGACTGGGTTTCACCATGGTGGCCAGGCTGGTCTCAAATTCCTGATCTCAGGTGATACCCCCCTGCCTCGGCCTCCCAAAGTGCTGGGATTACAGACATGAGCCACTGCGCCTGGCCAAAAGCAAATTTTTTTAAAAGGCAGGGCCAGGCATGGTGGCTTATGCCTGTAGTCTCAGCACTTTGAGAGGCCAAGGCTGGGGGATCATGCGAGCCAAGAGGATCCCTTGAGCCCAGGGGGTCAAGTCTGCAGTAAGCCATGATCACACCACTCTAATCTAGCCTGTGTGACAGAGCAAGACCCTGTCTCTTTAAGAAAAAAGAAAAGAAAAGAAAAAAGAAAAGCCAAACTCGGTAGCTAAGCATTCAAGGCCAGATTCTGATCAATCTGGCTGGAACACACTCACAGCAGCTCTCCTGCATTAATCACTTAAAGGGGGCATATACTGTGCTCCAACCACATGGCCTCCAGCCTACTTCACCACGCCTGAGGAGCGCAGTTCCCCTGCTGTTCCCTCTGCCTGAAGGAATGAGGGGTGATCTCCTCCCTTGCTGCCTGCTGAAATTCCACCTCATGAAGCCCAGGTCGAATGTCACCTTCTAGAAGACACATGTCAAAAACTCAAAGGAACTTTTACAGACAGATCATCAGTTTCAACTCCTTCGTGTCGCCTATGAGGAAAACAAGGCTCAAAAACATTAAGGGACTTGCTCTAAGTCACACAGCTAGTCAGTAAAGACTTGGTCTGGAAACAAGTCAGCAGGTGGGGTGGGCAGCAGGCAGGAGAGAGAATGTCCAGGTGGACCACCCTGTGACAGCCCTCTTCTCCTTGGAGCACAGGACACTTGAACCCTCTCTAGACTCTACCCTGCACTCCAGGTTACAGCTGTCTGTGTCCATATTTCTAACTGCCTTTTTCAGAGGGATCCACACCATATCTTACCCATCATGTTGCCTTAATTATTAGGTACCCTTGGGTCGTCAGTGAGTCCCAATAATCATTCAACAAACAAAACAAAACACCAGCCTCCGTCACTCTGGGCTTGTCTACCTCCAATCAGCCTCCACGCCTTGCCAGGGAGCCACCTAAAATACTGCTTGCTCCCCACCACTCCTCACTGAAACCCGCAGATGCACACCATGATCTCCACAATCTGACATGAAAGTCTCTGAACGGCCCTTCTTACCTGTGATGGTTAATTTTAGGTGTCAAGTTGACTGGATTAAGGGATACCCAGATAGAGAGAACAGGTAAAGATTTTATTTATGGGTATGTCTGGGAGAGTGTTTCCAGAAGAGACTGGCATTTGAATCCATGAACAGGGTAAGGAAGACCTACCCTCACCCAAAGTTTTGGGTACCATCCACTCAGCAGAGGACCCAGATAGAACAAGAAGACAGAGGAAAGCCAAATTTGCTTTTTCCCTCTTCTGGAGCTGGGAAGTCCTTTTTCTCCTTCTCTTGGACATCAGAACTCAAGGTTCTCCAGCATTCGGTCTCCAGAACTTGCACCTGTAGTCCCCCAGGTTCTGAAGCCTTCATCCTCAGACTGAGTTATACCATCAGCTTCCATGGTTTTGAGGCCTCTGTGCTTGGACTGAGCCACGCTACCAGCCTCTGCAGCTCTCCAGCTTGCAGACAGCATATGGTAGGGCTTCTCACGCTCCATAATTGTATTAGTCCATTTTCATACTGCTGTGAAGAAATACCCAAGACTGCATAATTTATAAAGAAAAAGAGGTTTAATGGACTCACATTTCCACACGGCTGGGAAAGCCTCAAAATCATGGTGAAAGATGAAGGAGGAGCAAAGGCACATCTTACATGGCAGCAGGCAAGAGAGTGTGTGCGGGGAAACTGCCCTTTATGAAAACATCAGATCCCATGAGACTTATTCACTGTCACAAGAAGAGCATGGGAAAACCCACCCCCATGATTCAATTACCTCCTACTGGGTCCCACCCATGACACGTGGGGATTATGTGAGCTATGACTCAAGATGAGATGTGGGTGGGAACACAGCCAAACCATATCAATAATCATGTGAGACAACTCCCATAATAAATCCCCTCTCATCTATCTATATATTATGTCCCATTTCTCTGGAGAACTAACAAAGTACCCTTCCAGCCTTGATTCCTGACACTCCACCTGTCCAGAGCACCACAGGATCTTCCTCACCTCTGCACCTTATCCCGCTATTCCCTCTCCTGGAAGACACTTCAAGAGCTCCCCCTTCCCCACATCACTTCTCCATGGCTAACCCCTACTCATTCTTCTTGACTCAGAATGTCTAAGAAATGGCCTCCTCCAGGAAATCATTCCTGACTACCCTCTCTCCCAGGAGAGGTGCCCTCCTCTGTGCTCACAAAGTACCCTGGCATCCCTCCTCCACCAGGTGGTTCTCAGAACACACATGTCCCCACTCTCCACTAGACCATAACCTGAGGCAGGAGCTGCATTTGCTTGTCCAGCACCTAACACAATACTCAACACATTAAGTCAGACTGAAAATTGTCACTCACTAGTTACCTTCAGATCCAACAAACATACAATGTATCATTTCACCAAAATATTTTAAAATACGTAGGCCCTATGTATATGACAGCATAATATCAGCAGTACCAAGGGGACACATCCACAGATCACAACAAAAAGCATTTACTACACACCTAGTCTTTAAATAAAGAGCTGAAGATGCATGATGGCATTAGGAACTGCCAGGCACTCCCCACTTCAGAAGTCCCTTTAGAGAGGTGTGATGACATCACCAATACAGCAACTGGCCGCGGTGGCTCTGGGTATAAACGGACTTGGTGCATCAGGAGGCAGCACAGATCCACGAAGCACAGGGGGAGAAAAGGAGAGTGCTGACTAAGGTGGTGGCCAATGGGAGGCTCAAAAAAGGAAAATCTCTCCCCCAGGAAGCCTCAAAAGCACCCACAGGAGTCCCCAGGTACTCATCTTTGGGAAGTGAATACAAAGTAACTTCAGGAGACTCCGCCTGAGATGCTACTGGGGCATCCAAGACTGGAGATTGGTCGGCTGTCAACAGATGGCTAGATGGAAACTCTGAGCTTCACTGAACTCACAGTATCAGATTCACACTAAATGACTGGTAACAGCACCCATGGGCAGGAAACTGAGATAAGAAGGCAAGCAGCTAGCACAGGAAGAACTGATACTTGTCTGCAGAAGCATATGTGTTACCCAGACTTGAAGGGAAGGAAGTGGGTATCCAGGTACAGGGGGAGGAAAAGTTTCACTAGAAAAACAGCTGTCAAAAAACAGGGTTTCAAGAGACTCAAGATTGAACATTTCAGGAAACATTTCAGGAGAATGTCTGTTTGTTAACCTGAGCTGGAGTTGGGACTGACGGTAAAGTGATGCTGCTTCCCTCCACTAACTTGCATTACCAATTTACAAACACCCTTTCTTAATTCTGCCCAAATGCATACCCTCATGAACAAATGGCCCATGCTCCGCAATCAGAAAATTCAGTGAGGCATAGGGGTTAGTTTCATCTGCTTGCTGTCCTTCCCCATCTCCTACCCAGCTGAAAGGAAACAGGAATAAACTCTACTCCTTCTCCTTAGGGGACAGCACCCCTACCCAGCCACACAAGGAACCCAGAATTATTACTCAATGGCTCCTCCCTCACTGCACCACTGACCCTCAAACTGGGGGACAGGCCACCAAGTCAAGTCCTCTTTCACGTTCTGAGAAATCCTTTAACTCTGGCCTCTTCTGTCCAATGCCACAGCCTCTACTCTACTTCATTACTCATCATCTTCCACACTAACTGTTGCAACAGCCTTTTGTCCTCCTTCTGCCACCTCCACATCCTGGCTTCATCCACTTCACCAGATTTATCTTCCTAAAATCAGCAATCTTACAACAATTGCCTCATCAAAAACCTTCCATGTGGCTGGTTGCAGTGGCTCACGCCTGTAATCCCAGCACTTTGGGAGGCCAAGGCAGGTGGATCACCTGAGGTCAGGAGTTCGAAAGCAGCCTGGCCAACATGGCGAAACCCCGTCTCTACTAAAAATACAAAAATTAGCTGGGCGTGGTAGCAGGCACCTGTAATCCCAGCTACTCGGAACGCTGAGGCAGGAGAATCGGTTGAACCCAGGCTGTGGGGGCAGAGGTTGCAGTGAGCCGAGATCCCACTACTTCACTCCAGCCTGGGTGAAAGAGTAAAACTCCGTCTCAAAAAAAAAAAAAAAAAAAAAAAAAAACCTTCCAGGTTCCCATTTTTTAGGAGATACAACCCAAATTCCTTAGCGTGACATTCAGGACACAATGACTCACGACCCAAGTCAGCCTTTTTGGTTTCTGCCCTTGACACTCTCCTTCCCACTGTACCAAGTGCTCTCTTATTCCCGCCCATCTCAACTTCCCCCAAGGCCTTCCCACTGGGGAGCCCAACACAATCCCACTTGCCCTTTGAAACCTAGTTCAAATACCATCTCTCCTTTCAAGTCTTTGCCGGACCCTAAACAAGGGAAGCCAATCATCCCTGTTTGTACCTGTTGTCTTAGTGCAATTACTGAAAGCGCTCATTTACTCAGAGTGCCCTGCTTTGAATGATAAATTATATGACCTTCCTACCTAAAACCTACCCTAACCCAAAGATAGAAATAGTACAGTGACTTGTGTTAAGTGTTTTGCTTGACGTTGTGCTCCTCAAGGGTAATAACTGTCTTGTTTTAGTGTGTACATCCAGCATTTAAAGACTGTTAGGACCTGCCAGGCGTTCAATGAACGTTGGTGGAATGAAAGAATAAATCTCAGCTGGGAGCAGTGGCTCACGCCTATAATCCCAGCACTTTGGAAAGCCCAGGTGGGCGAATCACCTTTAGTCAGGAGTTTGAGACCAGCCTGACCAACATGGAGAAACCCCGTCTCTATTAAAAATACAAAAAATTGGATGGTCGTGGTGGTGCATGCCTGTAACCCCAGCTACTCGGGAGACTGAGGCAGGAGAATCACTTGAACCCGGGAGGCAGAGGTTGCCGTGAGCTGAGATCGTGCCACTGCACTCCAGCCTGGGCAACAGAGAGAGAGTCCATCTCAAAAAAAAAAAAAGAAGAAGAAAAGAAAGAAAATTGTGGTAATGAATTTTATCAAAACTTCATCTAAACTTCCAAAGAGAAATTAGCCAAATCAGAATTAGATCTAAAAATTCCTGGGCCAAAAAGCAGGCGGTAAAAACATGTCACATAAGCCATTTATTTCCTAGTCAGTGTCTTAATTTTTTTCATTATCAACCCTCAAAGGAGCCTAAGTATAAAGCTTACTTTTTTAATTCAATAACAGGATCAGAATGACTCAATAAATATTTTAAAAGTTAAGTGTAAGGTTGGGCACGGTGGCTCACGCCTGTAATCCCAGCACATTGGGAGGCCAAGGCGGGTGGATCACTTGGGGTCAGGAGTTTGAGACCAGCCTGGCCAACATGGTGAAACCCCATCTCTACTGAAAAAAATACAAAAATTAGCTGGATGTGGTGGTGGGCGCCTGCAATTCCAGCTTCTCCGGAGGCTGAGGCAGGAGAATCACTTGAGCCCGGGAGGCAGACGTTACAGTGAGCCAAGATCATGCCACTGCACTCCAGCTTGGGTGACCAAGCAAGACTCTGTCTTTAAAAAAAAGGCCGGGCGCGGTGGCTCACGCCTGTAATCCCAGCACTTTGGGAGGTCGAGGTGGGTGGATCACAAGGTCAGGAGTTCGAGACCAGCCTGGCCAATATGGTGAAACCTCGTCTCTACTAAAAATACAAAAAAATTAGCCGGGTGTGGTGGCACATGCATCACGCCACTGCACTCCAATCTGGGTGACAAAGCGAGATTCCGTCTCAAAAAAAAAAAAAAAAAAAAAAAAGCCGGTGCAGTGGCTCACACCTGTAATCCCAGCACTTTGAGAGGCCGAGGTAGGTGGATCACCTGAGGTCAGGAGTTCGAGACCGGCCTGGCCAACGTGCTGAAACTCTGTTTCTACTAAAAATACAAAAATTAGCTGGGCATGGTGTTGGGCGCCTGTAATCCAAGCTACTCGGGAGGCTGAGGCAGGAGAATCGCTTGAACCCGGGAGGCGGAGGTTGCAGTGAGCCGAGATCATGCCATTGCACTCCAGCCTGGATGACAAGAGCAAAACTCCATCCCCCACCAAAAAAAGAAAAAAATGTTTAAAAAGCTATGAACATTTGGCCGGGCGCAGTGGCTCATGCCTGTAATCCCAGCACTTTGGGAGGCTGAGGCGGCCGGATCACGAGGTCAAGAGATCGAGACCATCCTGGCCAACATGGTGAAACCCCGTCTCTACTAAAAATACAAAAATTAGCTGGACGTGGTGGCACGCACATGTAGTCCCAGCTACTTGGGAGGCTGAAGCAGCAGAATCGCTTGAACCCAGGAGGCAGAGGTTGCAGTGAGCCGAGATTGTGCCACTGCACTCCAGCCTGGGCAACAGAGGGAGACTCCAACTCAAAAAAAAAATCTATGAACATTTAACTTTATAACTGTATTTGCTGAGTGACTTTTAATATAATGTTAAATATAATGCATCAAATTATATATACAAATTATCAATTTCTATACCTACATAATAGCAATGTAATCAACTTTTCAAAAAACATTCAAAACTGTTATTTTCCAGCAAAAGTAAAACTATTGAAAAAATCATTTTCTGAAAAGTGATTTTTTTTTTTTTTTTGAAACGGGGTCTGTCACCCAGGCTGGAGTGCAGTGGCATGATCAGAGTTCACTGCAGCCTCAACCTCCTAGGCTCAAGTGATCCTCCCACCTCAGCCTCCAGAATAACTTAGGACTACAGGCGGGCACCACCATGCCCAGCTAACTATTCATATTTTTATTTTTGTAGAGACAGGGTCTCACTGCGTTACGCAGGTTGAAAAGTGATTTTTAGTGAACTTTTGTTTCATATGAGAAAAATTTTTTTTTTTTTTCTGAGATGGAGTTTTACTCTTGTTGCCCCCGCTGGAGTACAATGGTGCGATCTCAGCTCATGCAACCTCTGCCTCCCAGGTTCAAGCGATTCTCCTGCCTCAGCCTCCCAAGTAGCTGAGATTACAGGTGCCCGCCACCACGCCCAGCTAATTTTTTTGTTATTTTTAGTAGAGACTGGGTGTCACCATGTTGGTCAGGCTGGTCTCGAACTCCTGACCTCAGGTGATCCACCCGCCTCAGCCTCCCAAAGTGATGGGATTACAGGCATGAGCCACCACACCTGGCCTCATATGAGAAAATTTTTAACTTAATTAGCTGCTAGATATTAATTCAAATACTGTCAATGTTTTCCTTTTTGGCACTTGAGATAATTATTGGTGAGCTGAATAATCTTAATTGAATTAAATAATAAAATATAAATGATTTTCATTCAATTCTCAAATCCTTATATTTGAGGGCCAAATATAAGCAAGCCACAAGGCACCCAATGGTAGCCCATAAGTATGTGAAGGTAACCAACTAAAATGACTTCAAGATCAGGCAACTAGAGAGAAAGTCTTCCAACCACAGCCATCTCTACGTTATAAATTTGTTGGATTGACCTTGAATATATTCTGTACATCTTCCATGAATCCATTATCAATGTTGCTAGTGTAATACACAAGAAAACCCAATGAGAGAAATTCAAATATTAAGAAACAAGCTTTTGTTGATTGAGCTTTAAATGGCCACACACCATTATAATATCTAAGATGCTTGTGCTCCCCAATAACCAATTTTTGCCTCCAATGAGGATGCAAGTCCTAACTTCTATGCTCCCGAATTTATCATACTAGCACCTAAAAAACACAAATTAAAAAATCAATTTAGCCAAGAAAACCTCCATCCCACAGCTACCATGGGAGCTTCTCTACCATTATCATTCATTCCTTGGGTACTTTTAAAGAAAAAGATTTCCATATTATTAGCCCTTCTCCCAAAAGAAACTCCCTCTTCCCCAACCTCCCCCCCGACCCCTCTCCCCCATCTCAATAAAAACCCAGATCTTTAGAGCTGGAAGAACACTTAGGGCTAATCCAGCCCCTCCTTCTTCAGATAAGGGAACTGAAAGAGCCCTCTGAGGTTGACAGACTTGCTCAATCAAGGTCAACAGTCATGGGAAGGACCTTGTCTGTCTTGTTCACTGTTGTACCTCCAGGCTAGTACAGGGCTTGGCACCTAGTCAGCTGTTTACACACATAAGTGATGAACAAAGAGAAGAACCAGGTTACCTAAAAACCTAACCTGGTACTTTTCCAACTATATCACTTTGTCCCTTTTAACTCCCCCAGAATATCAAATAATGGCCATTAAAAACTATCAATATCAAATAAAGACTATCAGACTCTTCTTAAATACGTGAAAAGCTTCCTAGCTGAAATAAGCTATTTGCGCACCCAGTAAAATTGAAGAGCAGGGTCTTATGAACTCGAGGTTAGAGTTCTTCAAGCCCATTTACGGTAAGGGACTTTCTACAAATAAATCAAGGGTATCCAGTCTACAACACACTACTTCTTACTTGCTTACATTTACTTGAGCTCCTTTTTAGAGTTCTTGTACCCAGGTCATATCTCCCTAATCAGACTGAGAACCATAAAGAGGCAAAACTATGCCTTCTCTAAGGCACCTACCAAGTTTGAGCCCAAAGTAAATGCTCAATAAACGCTTGCTCAGTTTATAGCAATGGAAGTGGTAAACTGTGAGGGACAAAAGTAAATTTGGCATGAACAAAGAATTCAATTTGTATTTTGCTCATCAACTAGGACTAGTACAGTACCTAGCATGTAACAGAAGCCTAATAGTTAATGAATGAAGAAAAATAAATGAATGATATGGCAAAAACTGAGTTGTTATTAAGCAACATCTTTTCTGCAGTCTTTCATTCATTCAACAAATATTTATTTACCAAGTATCTGTGTGCCAGGCTCTCTGCTACTCTGAAACCTAACTTCCACCCAGAGTTTCACCCACAGAAACCTAACTTCCCTCCTCATCGGCTAATGCATCTCAACCGTTCATCTAGTAGGCAGTGAGCATAGCTGGGGTGACCATTTGTCAAAGTATCTCCGAAACAGTCCCAGTTTACACCTATTATCCCAGTGTTAATTAATAATAGCACCGCCTCAACAATGCCCTAATCTAGAGAATTACATAGTTCTAAGCACAGCAAATCTCCTACAAACAGATCGGGATTCAAATATTTCATTCTACAGTCTTGGGATCCTCAATGCAAGGGACAGGCTGTAAGCAAGGGTCTGGACAGCCCGGCTTGCCCTCTTGTCTCTCTGTCATGCAGAGGAGCTGTAGTTCAGTTTTTGTTTTTTGTTTATTTTACGGAGCACATTTAAAGTATAGTCTTCCTTGTCAGGAGATTCCTGGCACTAAAGAGATGGACGGGAAACTTAACCGCCTCCTCCAGATCGTCCACTATTGCATCATTTGAAACCAAAGCCTTCTAAAGGCAGCGACTCGCACAATTCAAGTCAGGTAAGATGGCAGGAACAGCAGCTGTGGGTGCTGGCTGCTGCTGGAGCCTCGGTCTCAACTTCAAGAGCAGGGAGAGCGCTGTCTCTGGAGTTGCCAGGTGCTGAAATGAATAGTCAATAAATCAACAGGTCCGGCGCGCTAGCCCCTGGGTGCTCAGGCCCGGGCGCGCCACGACTGAAGGAGTGGCTAATTACTCAAACACAGTTGAAACCAAAGGAGGCCGGAGTCGGTTCTCAAAGTGGTTTCCCTCCGGCCACCACCGACTCTGAGGACCTGCTAGGGGAAGTGTCCCGGCCCCGTGGAGGGAGAGGGAAGCACCACAGCCTGGGCTGCGGCTCTAGCCCTCCAGCCCCAGCCCCTGGCAGCCCTGCCCTGCTGTCGCGGCAGGTACCCCTCTACTCATTGTTCCTCAGGCTGCCCCCTCTTTTCATCAATCGTAAGCCTTTCGGTTCTGCCACCAGGAAACTTCCATAGAAGGTGAGATTCCCAGGTCGAGGGATGATTCCACGAACACCCAGAGAGCCAGTGCCAGGACTTCAGGGTCAGACTTCGTAAAGCCCAGGCGTCGCTGGGCCGGCCCGGAACAGCTCAGAGCTGCGGGTCCTATGGTCCCGCGCCCTCACGCCCATCCAAGTGCTGGCAGGACGTGGGTCCTCCATCCCCACGACTCGCGGGGCCGGCGCTCCGAACCTCGGCACTGCGTCCGCTCCGCGCGCCGCAGGGACCCTCCTAGCTCCAGCGGGGACAGACCTACCAAGGCCGGGCGCCCCCACCCGGCGCCCGCCAGCCCACCCCAGAGAGGGGACCAAGGGGGCGGGGCCTCGGCCGTCCTAGCCGGGCTCACTCTTCTCTCCCGGACTCCTGTCCAGGGCTTCAGGGGCCGGGCCCGCAATCCCCATCGGATCGTACCTCGTCCGCTTCCAGCTCCGCTCGGCTGCCTAAGAGCGCCATATTCCTCCTCTGGCTGCTGCCACCCAAAAACCAAGCAGGGAACTCAGAGCCGACTCCTGCTCTCGGCTCTGGGCTCAGCCCAGCGCAAAGGAGGGCAAAAGGGGACGGCCCGGCGCTCCCTCCGGGTCTCGGGCGGGGCCTGAGTGCAGCTACTCGATTTCCCCGCCCCCGGAGCCGGCAGGCCAGCACAGCATCCATTTCCTCCCCGGACGCCGCGCCGCTGGCCGGGCCACTTGCCCGGCCCCCAGCGGGCGGCAGCCCCGCCCAAGTGGGTGGAGTCACCTCCCAGATAAAGTTTCCCGGTCTGGCACGCCCTCTGGGAGGGTTTCCTAAGCTTTCCTGCCGCCTGTTCTCTGCGGTGGCTGGGCACACCTGGAAAGAAGCTAGAGAGCGCGGGCATGACGAAGCCAAGGTCAAAGCAGCGCCCCACCTGGGGTCCGTGGAAGCATCCACCTGGTCTTTGGTCCGGTGCCAGTCCTTTTCCCTCGCCAGGTGGCCACCGCATCTCGCAGATGGTGTGGCCTGAGGGCAGCCTTGGGTCACGGTCACTGGTCCCCGAGAGGCCTCTGACACACCACCCACCTGGACTGTAGGTGGAAGGACTCTGCTTGCTTCTGTGTTCAAAAAATAGAAAAAAACGCGGGACAGAGATTTATACATATTGGAACTCCTCTACTTCCCCCTACCCGGACAGTGTATTCTCCCCATAGCATCCTGTATTTTGTAACTCCAAACATAGGTGTATAATTCGTGCTTGAACTATAAACTCCATGGGGGTAGGATGCTATCTGTCCTCTTCAAGACTGTATCCCCAACACCCAGAACAGTGTCTTGCACATCGTAGGTGCTCAACAGATATTTGTTGGCTGAGTTTAGAAACTGAACCTTGCTTCTGACATGTAAAATAACTGGAAAATTAAAAGCTAGATCTTTAAGAGTTTGGGGGAGAGAGGTCAGATTTACTTTACATACAGAAAAATGCACCAAGTTAAATGTGTGATTCAGTGACAAGTGTTTACAAAGCATCCCAGTCATAATATAGAACATCCTGAAAAGTTTTCTGTGACCCTTTGCTGTCAATTTCCTACCTCCGCTCCCTAGCCTCTGTCAATCACTGATCTGCTATCAACATCGATTTGCCTTCTCTAGAATTTCATATAAATTTAATTAGAGCATGTGGTCTTCCATGTCTGGCTCATGAAAGGCTATTTAATAGTCATCCAGTGATAACTGTAAAAACAGCTAATAGTTCTTGAGTCCTTACTATGTGCCAGGACTCTACTGAACCTCTTGCATATAGTATTTCATTTATTCTTCATAACCCCATAAAGTAGGGTGCTGTTCTCTTTCAGATGAGTAAACTGAGGCTCAGAGAGTTCAAGTAATATGCCTGAGGCCAGACAGCAGTTAAGTAAGTAGGGATGCCAGCATCTGAACCCCAGCAGTCTAACTCTAGGGCCTAGCTGATAACCATTGCTTTGTACTGTACTGGCTCTAGCCACCCTCCCTCTCTTTCTTTCTGTGTCAGTAGAGCAGTTGTCTGTGCAAGTCCATTACATACATTTTCAGTGAGTCACTTTGCATCCTTAATACTTGCTGTACAATTTTAATGGCTTGGCATGTACTTTTGTACTAGAATAATAAAATGGTTTCTACAGCAGAAACATTGAAAAAATGGGTTAGATCGTGTGATGGTTGCTCAACTCTCTGAATTGTCTAAAAATCCTTGAATTGTGTACTTACAATAGGTGGAACTTATGATTATGTAAATTATATCTTAGTAAAGCTGTTTTAAAAAAACTAGCTGACACAGGCTAGGTGTGGTGGCTCACGCCTGTATGGGATTACAGCACTGGGAGACTGAGGAAGGAGGCTAACTTGAGTTTAGGAGTTCGAGACTAGCCTGAGCAACATAGCAAGACCCAATTTCTAAATAATAATACTTTTTTTTTTTGAGAGACAGTTTCACTCTCATCTCCCAGGCTGGAGTGCAATGGCTCGATCTTGGCTCACTGCAACCTCCGCCTCCTGGGTTCCCACTAATCTGTAAATTGCTTAGAAGGAGGCACTATCTTATTCATCAGTGCAGGTACTCAATAAAAAAGCTCCAGGTGCAGTGGCTCATGCCTGTAATCCCAACACTTTGGGAGACCGAGGCGAGCGGATCACGAGGTCAGAAGTTCGAGACCAGCCTTACCAACATGGTGAAACCCAGTCTCTACTAAAAATACAAAAAGCAGCTGGGCATGGTGGTATGCGCCTGTAATCCCAGCTACTGAGGAGACTGAAGCAGGAGAATTGCTTGAACCCTGAAGGCGGAGGTTGCCGTGAGCCGAGATCGTGCCATTGCACTCCAGCCTGGTGAAAAGAGTGAAACTCCGTCTCAAAAATAATAATAATAATAATACTTTTATTATTTAGAACACATGCTCTGAACACTTAGAATCAGATGGACCAGAAGAGACATAGAGTTTGTTTAATTCCAATACCCTTGAAAGTTTCCATTCCTTCCCAGACCCCCAACCCACTCCTACCTCCTCCTATGTTTCACTTTCTGAGGCTAGAATTCCTATCCAGGTCCAGATTCTACTCTGTATTACTCATGCATGGTTCTGTTTTTCAAAGTTCATTGGTTCCTGAATTGATAGCACATCCTTTTGACATGAAGCCATCTCACTGGTAGCTTCTTCTCCCATATGCTGTTATTCTGCCTTTGGAATTTCAACTCTTCAAATTTTGAAGAGATCCAAACAAACTTCGCTCTAATTAGTGACAGAATTATGTTATAATGAAAATCGAGTACAATTTTTCAAAAATCTATACTTATAATTGAAGCTTGATTGGTGTTTTTGTTGTTGAATTTTTTACATATCAGGGATCAAACCTGAAGTCTCGTATGTTTTAAATTCACGGCAGGAGATAAGCAACATTCATGTTTCAATTATAAACACTGAATGAATAAATGTATTCTAGCCACTGGAACGTCTAATCAAATTTGCTTTGCTCAGGGCAGCTGTCAGCTTTGCCTATACAAGAGTGATTTTATCGTGAATCACAAATATAAAAGTTTTTCTTCAAAGAACAATTAGAATGGATTTGTTTTTACACAGAATTCCCCTTGCAAGTTTGCTGATAATGTTATACTCTAGCAGTCAAGTGAGATTACTCAGATATTCCATATCCCAGAAGTAATTAGCATAGAGATCAAGCAAGAGGGTATCTGAATCATTTCATTTTGAAGCCACACCTACTGGGAGCTGTTTGTGTTTCAAAATAAATCTAATATTGTAAACAATCTAATCTTCAGTATTCCTGAACATGTTACCTTTAGCTGATAGTTTTTTGCTGGTACTTGATTTAAGTGAAAATTGAATCTTCATGATTTGTGTGGTAGGAGAAGCTCAAATCCATGAAATAAGTGCTCATTGTAAATCATGTGTTTGTCAGTGACTTTGTCTCACATTCGTGTCTTAGCTCTTCAAGGAAGACGTCCCCTTCTAAAGCAGTCCCTCCCTCTCAGTCACACTCTACCACATCCTCCTGCTGTATGTATAGCACTGTTCACTACCTGGAACTTTCTCGTTCACTTGTTTACTGGTTTATGAGTATGTCCTTCAACAATGGCACCTCACACACACTATAATACAAGCTCCATGAGGGAAGGAACTTTGTGTTTTGTGTCTACAGCAAAAACCCGAATGCCCAACACATAATGACTACTTAATAAATGGCTATTGAGTGAATGAATGAAAGTATAAAAAGTTCATAGTACATTAAGCATTATTGTTTAGACCTAGCAGCCAATGTTTTAGCATAATCCAGTAATAATGAGGGAGATTTAAAGAATGCAAATCACGTGTAGTCTAAAATGTAAATTGTTTCCTAGGGTAATGTAACAGGCATGAAGATTATCTTTAATGCCTACTCAGTTTTTCAAAGTTACATAAGAGCTAAGCACTTAGAGGTCCCTCAGTGACCTAAGAAGAATAATTCACCTCCCTGGGAGAGGTTGCGATGCTAAGGGGAAAAACCTCATCATTTAGTGGAAGCTGAAATCTTCCCTTCAGAATATCCTTTTTCCAGGCACTTGGGGCTGGGTAAACATTTATTTTGCCCCACCTATTAGTTGTTTGTTAACTTTTTTGATATATATATATATATATATATATATATATATATATACACACACACACACACACATATATATATACACGCACACACATATATATACACACACATCAAAATATATATTATATATATATATAATCTTTCCAATTGCCTTCCTGTTGATTTTCATATCTCTTTAAATTTGATTAATATCGTTTTTTCAGACAAAGAAAGTAAAACCCAAAGAAGAGAGCAACAACATGAAGAGTAACTTTGGCTATATGCAATCTCAGGGCAGAGTGTCAAAGATTTAAAAACCAGACCAAGCAGGCATGGAGGTACACCAGTAGTCCCAGCTACTCTGGAGGCTAAGGCATGAGGAGGATAACTTGAGTCTAAGAGTTTGAGTCCAGCCTGGGCAACATATCAAGACCCTCATCTGAAAGGAAGAAAGAAAGAGAGAAGGGGAGGAAGAAAGAGAGAAAGAGAGAGGAGATAGAGAAAAGAAAGAAGAGAGAAAGAGAGAGACAGAAACAAAAGAAAAGCAATATCAATAAAAATAAACAGGTAATTGGCAGCTTGTTGCCACCTGCTGTTCATTCTCCCATAGCTCCATCCATAGGAGCAACTGCCTAGCTGAAAGACTACATTTCTCAGGACTCCTTTGCAATTAGGAATGGCCAGTGTAACTAAATTCTGGCCAATGAAATTCATTTGACATCCGGGAAGGCTATTTGAAGGAAAATGACTCAACTAGGGCATGGGCCCTTTTGCCATTATTCCAGTGAACATATGAATAATAAGAAAGCAAAACAGCCTTATTGCTGATATTAAGAAAGTTGCAGTAGTCTGATCTAACCAGCCACAACATTCTCTTAACCCAAAGCCTAATCCAGAGCAAAGCTTTAACTCTTCAATTCCATGAAGGCTGAGAGAGGTGAGAAGGCTGTAGAAGAAAAGTTGCAAGCTAGCAGAGATTGGTTCATGATGTTTAAGGAAAGAAGCCATCTCCAAAACATAAAAGTACAAGGTGAGGCAGTGAGTATTGATGAAGAAGCTGCAGCAAGTTATCCAAAAGATCTAGCTCAGATCATTGATGAAGTTGGCTACACTAAACAAAAGATTTTCAATGTAGACAAAACAGCCTTCTATTGGAAGAAGATGCCACATAGAATTTTTGTGGCTACAGAGGAGAAGTCAAGGCCTGACTTCAAAGCTTCAAAGAATAGGCTGACTCTCTCATTAGAGACTAATGCAACTGATGACTTTAAATTGAAGCCAATGCTCATTTACCATTCAAAAAATACCAAGTCCCAGCCGGGCGCAGTGGCTCACGCCTGTAATCCCAGCACTTTGGGAGGCCAAGGCAGGCAGATCATGAGGTCAAGAGATTGAGACTATCCTGGCCAACATGGTGAATCCCTGTCTCTACTAAAAATATAAAAATTAGCTGAGGGTGGTGGTGCGTGCCTGTAGTCCCAGCTACTCAGGAGGCTGAGGCAGGAGAATCGCTTGAACCCGGGAGATGGCAGTTGCAGTGAGCCAAGACTGTGCCACTGCACTCCACCCTGGCAACAGAGCAACACTCCATCTCAAAAAAAAAAAAAAAAAAAACCAAGGCCCTTAAAAGTTATATTAAATCTACTCTGCCAGTGCTCTATAAATGAAACAACGAAACTTGGATGATGGCACATCTGTTTACAGAATTGTTTACTGAATATTTTAGGATCACTGTTGAGACCTATTGCTCAGAAAAAAGATTCATTTCAAAATATTGCTCATTGACAATGCAGCTAGTTACCCAAGAATTCTGATGGAAATGTACAAGGAAATTAATGTTGTTTTCATGCCCACTAGCAAAAAATCCATTCTGCAGTCCATGAATCAAGGTGTAATTTTGACTTTCAAGACTTAGTATTTAAGAAATACTTATTTCCTAAGGCTATAGGTTCCATAGATAGTGATTCCTCTGATGGATCTGGTAAAGGTATATTGAGAACCCATAAAGGATTCACTATCCTAGATGCCATTAAGAACATTTGTAATTCATGGGAGGAGGTCAAAATATCAACATTAACAGGAGTTTAGAAGAAGTTGACTCCAGTCCTCATGGATGACTTTGAGGGGTTCAAGATTTCAGTGGAGGAAGTCACTGCAGATGTGGAAGAAATAGCAAGAGAAGTAGAATCAGAAGTGGAACCTGAAGATGTGACTAAATTGCTACACTCTCATGATGAAAATTG
Organism: Homo sapiens; assembly: GCF_000001405.40. NCBI lineage: Eukaryota > Metazoa > Chordata > Mammalia > Primates > Hominidae > Homo > Homo sapiens. The sequence goes on from NC_000009.12 coordinate 15,313,476, forward strand.
AATGGATAAGGTGGTGGTTTTTTTGGTTGGTTTTGTTTTGTTTTGTTTTGTTTTGTTTTGTTTTGTTTTAGAGATAGGGTCTCACTCTGTCACCTAGGCTGGAGTACAGCAGCATAATCATAGCTCACTACAGGCTCAGACTCCTGGGCTCTAACAATCCTCCCACCTCAACTTCCCAAGTAGCTAGGACAACCAGCAAGCACCACCACCACACCCAACTGATTTTTTTCCTGTAGAGATGAGATCTCACTATGTTGCCCAGACCAGTCTTAAACTCCTGGCTTTAAGCAATTCTCCTCTGTTTTAGTCCGTTTTCACACTGCTGTAATGACATGCCGGAGACTAGGTAATTTGTAAAGGAAAGAGGTTTGACTCACAGTTCCACATGGTTGGGAAGGCCTCAGGAAACTTACAATCATGGCAGAAGGGGAAGCAAGCACATCTTACATGGCAGCAGGCAAGAGAGTGAGCGTGTGTAGGAAGAGGAATAGTCAAACACTTAGAAAACCATCAGATCTTGTGAGAACTCACTCACTGTCACAAGAATAGCATGGGGAAACCTCCCTCATGATACAGTCATGTCCCAACAGGTCCCTCCCTCAACATGTGGGGATTGTGGGGATTTTGGGGATTACAATTTGAGATGAGATTTGGGTGGGGACACAGAGCCAAACCACGTCATCCTTCCTCAGCCACCCAAAGCACTGGGATTACAGGTGTCAGCCACCATGCCTAACCTGGAATTGTTTCTTATGGATGAGCAAAGACAGGGTTTTCTTGAGATGAATGTACTCCTGGTGAAGATGCTATGAACATTGTTGAAATGACATCAGCTAATTTAGAATATTACATCAACTTACTTGATAAAGCAACAGGGTTTAGGAGGATTGACTGCCATTTTGAAAGAAGTTCCACTGTGGGTAAAATGCTATCAAACAGCATGGTATGCTACAGAGAAATCTTTCTTAAAGCGTTAACAGATACCAGGCATGGTGGTTCACGGCTGTAATCCCAGCATTTTGGGAGGCTGAGGCGGGCAGATCACCTGAGGTCAGGAGTTCGAGACCAGCCTGGCCAACATGGTGAAACCCTGTCTCTACTAAAAATACAAAAAATTAGCCAGGCGTGATGGCACATGCCTGTAATCCCAATCCCAACTACTTGGGAGGCTGAGGCAGGAAAATCACTTGAACTCAGCAGGCAGAGGTTGCAGTGAGCCAAGATTGCACCATTGCACTCCAGCCTGGGTAACAAGAGCAAAACTCCATCTCAAAAAAAAAAAAAAAAGTTAACTGGTATAGCAGATTTCATTGTTGTCTTATTTGACTAAGTTGCTGTGGCTTCCCCAGCCTTCAGCAATGACCAACCTGACTAGTCAGCAGCCATCAACAACAGGGAAACCTCTTCCACCAGCAAAAAGATTACAAGTCACTGAAGGCTCAGATGGTTGTTAGCATTGTTTAACAATAAAGTATTTTTTAATGAAAGTACATACATTTTTAAGACATAATGCTATTGCATATTTAGTAGACTACAGTGTAGTATAAAGTTATCTTCTATGTGCGCTGGTTAATCAACAATTTTGTGGGACTTACTTTATTGAAATATGTACTTTATTACAGTGGTCTGGAACCAAACCTGTGATATCTCCAAGGCATGCCTTTATGTACCGCCTCTGTCCTGAGGAGACCTCCCCAGGTCTCTGATTCTGTTGTGCGTTTTATTCTGGCATCTTTCTTCTCATATTGCTAGGATCTTTTATTGTCCCACAAATCCAAATATTCTCTACTTTTTGGAGGATACTAGCATCTTTTAAAAATGATATTCTCATTGTATTTCCTGCATAGTTTAATAAACCAGTAATTATTTTGACCATCTTCAGCAATTCTACTCTCACTGCCTCTTTTAGGCCTAGCATTTACACTTCTGATTGGGCACTTTGGGTTTATATTAAGCAGCTCCTAAATTCACCTACCTATAGAAGGAGTCACAGATACAAACCTTTGTAAGAGTTACTCATAGTAACATTTATATTCTAAAATCATTAGCTGGGTGTGATGGCACGTGCCTGTAGTCCCAGCCACCTTGGAGGCTGAGACGGGAGGCTTGCTTGAGCCTATCAGTTTGAAGGGCTGCAGTGAGCTATGGTCACATGACTGCCCTCCAGCCTGGGTGACAGAGTGAGACCCTGTCTAAAAAAAAACAAAATACAAACAAAAAAAAATCAGTTATGACTCAGCACTATAATGATTAGTTCTAAGTGTCTCTAAAAAACAATGTTTCGTTGCCAGGTGCGGTGGCTCACGCCTGTAATCCCAGCACTTTGGGAGGCCGAGGCGGGCGGATCATGAGGTCAGCAGATCAAGACCATCCTGGTTAACACGGTGAAACCCCATCTCTACTAAAAACACACACAAAAAAATTAGCCAGGCGTGGTGGCGGGCGCCTGTAGTCCCAGCTACTCAGGAGGCTGAGGCAGGAGAATGGCGTGAACCCTGGAGGAGGAGCTTGCAGTGAGCCGAGATCGCGCCACTGCACTCCAGCCTGGGTGACAGAATGAGACTCTGTCTCAAAAAAAAAAAAAAACAAAACAATGGTTCGCAAGCTTGAACACACACCTGGAACTCGTTAAAACACAGATTTTTGGCTCCAATCCCCAGGGTCTCCAATTAGGTCAGTCTGAGGTAGGCCCCACTTGCTGCTGCTGCTGCTGCTGCCGCTATGCAATCACGTTTTGAGAACCACTGTTCTAAATCATGGCAAGCAATTTGCACCCTTTCAAGCATAAGCAGCCTACCTGGCTTCCAGATGTAGCCCATCAACTACGAGTTCAGGAGGAAAGACTAGAAAAGTACTTTTGTGTTGTGCTATGGTTTGAATGTTTGTGTCCCCCTAAAATTCATGTTGGAACCTAATGCTCGATGTGAAAGGATTAAGAAGTGGGGCCTTTGGGGAAATGATTAAGTCATAAGTCATGAAGTCTCCATTTTTATGAATGGGAGTAGTGCTCTTATAAAAGAGGTTGAAGGGAGCTGCCTTGCCCCTTCTACCATTTGAGGACACAAACCATCTCTAAAGCAGACGGTGGGCCTTTACCAGACACTGAATCTGTTAGCACTTTCACCTTGGCCTTCCCAGCTTCCAGAACTGTGAGAAATAAATTTCAATTATTTATAAATTAGCTAGTCTATTTTATTTTGTTATAGCAGCCTTCACGGACTGAGACATGTTGCTACTTAGCACATGTGGTCTAACCTAAATGAAAAGCTGTAACAATTTTTCCCTTGGTATTTTTCCTTCAATAAGGAAAAAAATCTAAGCACTGATCTTAGGAGCAGTTTAGGGATGGTCAGAATCTTGTAGCCTCCAGCTGCAGGACTCCTAAACCATAATTTCTAATCTTGTGGCTAATGTTAATCCTACAAAAGCAACCTAGTCCCCAGACAAGAAGGAGGTCGGTTTTGGGAAACGGCTTTCGTCATCTTTGTTTTAAACTATAAATTAAGTTTCTCCCAAAGTTAGTTCAACCTAAATCCCAAAGTGCTGGGATTACAGGCATGGGCCACTGTGCCTGGTTAAAGTGAAACAATTTATGTGACTTTTTTTCATGTGACTCAATAAAACCACTTTATTTTCATAAAATTTTATTTTGTCTGATTGACTGATAAATATACGTAAAGCTTGGTTCTCACTGCTCCAAGCCACAGCCTGACTCCACACAGATAACAGACCATCAGTAATAAAGCCGCATCTCCTAGTCCTTGAGACCTGGGTTTCTGACCTTGAACAGTTTACTTCCATTCTTTTCGTGCCCTGTGTGTGTGTGTGTAATACAGAATGAGGGGTTAACATATATAACCTTCCATATCTTAAAGACTATGGTTCTGGGATTCTAGAGATTAGACTGAAGGAAGACCTTCTTGATCCACAATTATAATGGAAACTGGGATGTGGTGACTGGAATTAGCCAAGAAGATGATTTAACACATTCCTAAAATGACAGATATCTTAAGTAATTTCCCCCAAATGTCATGCTAGCTACTGTGTTGGGAAGAGAAGTCTTTTTTTTTTTTTTTTTGAGACAGAGTCTCGCTCTGTCGCCCAGGCTGGAGTGCAGTGGCACAACCTCTGCTCACTACAGCCTCCACCTCCTGGGCTCAGGTGATCCTCCTATCTCAGACTCCTGAGCAGCTGGTACCCATAGGCATGTCCACTAAAGCCTGCTAATTTTTGTATTTTTTGTAAAGATGAGATCTTGGCATGTTGATCAGGCTGGTCTCAAACTCCTGATATAACTGCCCAAGGGGTTCACCTTGCCCACTGCCTAGACAGAACCAATTTATCAAGACAACGGAACTGAGATAGAGAGTTATTCACACAGAGCCAGCTGTGTGGGAGGCCAGAGTTTTATTATTCCTCAAATCAGTCTCCCTGGGCATTCAGGGAGCAGAGTTTTTAAGGAAAACTTGGTGGGTGGGGGTAAGCCAGTAAGCCGGGAGTGCTGATTGGTCAGAAATGAAATCGTAGGGAGTCTTCAGGCTACACGTGAGGCCCATAATCACATGTAATCATAGCTGTCTTCCTGCACTGAGTCAGTTCCTGGGTCGGGGCCACAAGATCAGATGAGCCAGTTTATCCATCTGGGTGGTATCAGCTAATTCATCAAGTGCAAGGTCTGCAAAATATCTCAAGCACTGATTTTAGGAGCAGTTTAGGTAGGGTCAGAATCTTGTAGCCTCCAGCTATGTGACTCCTAAACCGTAATTTCTAATCTTGTGGCTAATGTTAGTCCTACAAAGGCAACCTAGTCCCCAGGCAAAAAGGAGGTCAGCTTTGGGAAAGGGCTGTTGTCATCTTTGTTTTAAACTATAAATTAAGTTTCTCCCAAAGTTAGTTCAACCTACTCCCAGGAATGAACAAGGACAGCTTGGAGGTTAGAAGCAAGATACGGAGTCAGCTAAGTTAGATCTCTTTCACTGTCTCAGTCATAATTTTGCAAAGGCGGTTTCAATGGGCTCAAGCAATCCACCTGCCTCAGCCTCCCAAAGTGCTGGGATGACAGGCATGAGCCATGCACTTGGTGGGAAGACATAAGGTGAAACATATTTATTTATTTATTTATTTTTTTTTTAGGGATGGAGTCTCGCTCTGTCACCCAGGCTGGAGTACAGTGGCGCAATCTCAGCTCACTGCAGTTCAAGCGATTCTCCTGCCTCAGCCTCCCCAGTAGCTGGGATTACAGGCATGTGCCACATTACCCGGCTATTTTTTGTATATTTACTAGAGATGGGGTTTCACCATGTTGGCCAGGCTGGTCTTGAACTCCTGACCTCAAGTGATCTGCCCACCACAGCCTCCCATAGTGCTGGGATTACAGGCATGAGCCACTGTGCCTGGTTAAAGTGAAACAATTTATGATGTTCTATATACTTTATACCATGTACATACATTAATGTCTTTTTTTTTTTTTTTTTTTTGAGACGGAGTTTTGCTGTTGTTGCCCAGGCTAGAGTGCAATGGCGTGATCTCAGCTCAGGCAACCTCTGCCTCCCAGGTTCAACTGATTCTCCTGCCTCAGCCTACCTAGTAGCTGGGATTACAGGCATGCATCACCACGCCTGGCTAATTTTATATTTTTAGTAGAGACGGGGTTTCTCCATGTTGGTCAGGCTGGTCTTGAACTCCCTACCTCAGGTGATCCGCCCGCCTCGGCCTCCCAAAATGCTGGGATTACAGGGGTGAGCCACTGTGCCCAGCCATTAATGTCTTTTTTAAGTTTCTGGCTAACTCGAATTTCCCTATTAGTTTCCCAGCAGAGAGATTTATCTGGAAACACATTTAAAAGTTGGAAAGTAGACACCAGGTTGATGGGCCTCACATGTGGCCTGAGAGTCTCTGATCTGGCTCAGCAGTTACTGCTGGGCTCAGAAGAGTGTCATTTCTGTATGGATGATCTGTTTTATTATTTTCTTAGCACTTTTACAACAATCCTGTGAGATAGGCAGGGCTTACATCTTACAGAAGAGGAAACTAAGGATGCAAGATGTTACATGACTGCCAAAAGTCATTACTGAGTGAGGATAAACATGTTAAGACCCTTTTATGAAGGATATTTTATAAAGGATATAACCTTGGTCTGGAGATCATTTTTATTTTACTTTATTTTAAAGATAGGGTCTTGCTCTGCTGCCTAGGCTAGAGTACAGTGGCACAATCTAGCTCACTCTAACCTAGAACTCCAGGGCTCAAGCGACCCTCCTGCCTCAGTCTCCTGAGTAACTGGGACTACAGGCATGCATCACCACACTCAGCTAATTTTTTTTCTTTTTTTTTTTTCGAGACAGAGTCTTGCTCTGTCACCCAGGCTGGAGTGCAGTGGCGCTAACTCGTCTCACTGCAACTTCTGCTTCCTGAATTCAAGTGATTCTCCTGCCTCAGCCTCCCAAGTAGCTAGGACTACAGGCACCTGCCACAACGCCTGGCTAATTTTTTGTATTTTTAGTAGAGGTGGGGTTTCGCCATATTGGCCAGGCTGGTCTCGAACTCCTGATCTTGTGATCCGCCTGCCTCGGGCTCCCAAAGTGCTGGGATTACAGGCATGAGCAACTACACCCAGCCTTTTTTTTTTTTTTTTTTTTTTTTAGCAGATACAGGGTCTCACTATGTTGCCCAGGCTGGTGTCAAACTCCTGTCCTCAAGTGATCCTCCCTCCTTGGCTTCCCAAAGTGGTAGTATTACAGACGTGAGCCATTGTGCCCAGACTGGAGATTTTTTTTTTTTTTTTTTTTTTTTTGGAGAGACTAGGAAAAATATAGATACCCTCAAAGCTATCTAGTACAACAGACATATCCCAGAAGCTTGTGAGCTTCTTCTCTACCACTCACCTCCCACCATAACTTAGTTTGTTTTGTCATTATAAGGCAGTTCTTTTTTTTTTTTTTTTTGAGACAGAGTTTCACTCTTGTTCCCAGGGTGGAGTGCAATGGCACAATTTTGGCTTACCGCAACCTCTGCCTCCTGGGTTCAAGCGATTCTCCTGCCTCAGCCTCCCAAGAAGCTGGGATTACAGGTGTGTGCCATCACACCCGGCTAATTTTGTGTTTTTAGTAGAGACGGGGTTTGGCCACGTTGGCCAGGCTGGTTTCAAATCCCTGACCTCAGGTGATCTGCCCTCCTTGGCCTCCCAAAGTGCTGGGATTATAGGCATGAGCCACCACACCCGGCCAAGGCAGTGCTAAGATCTTTGAAGCCATAAACTCTTAGTGGACTGAAAATTTCTTTTTGTGGCAATGCTGACACACAGGGAATCTATAAAAATCATAGATGTTGTACTGTGAAGAAGGTTGAAATAATTCCAGAAAAGTTCATCAAATACCAAAGCATTCTTTGGAAGAAAAGATAAAAAATGTTTAGTATGTGCAAAAAGGATAGAAAACCTATATTAAAGAGAAGAAAGATCTCAAATAAATAACTTAACATTCTGCCTTAAGGAGCTATAAAAAGAAGACTGAACTAAACCAAAGCTAGCAGAAGGAAGGAAATGATAAAGATAAGTGTAGAGAGAAATAAAATCATAAATACAATATAAAGAAAATGAATCAAACCAAGAGTTGATTATTTGAAAAGATCAACAAAAGTGACAAATCTCTAGTTAGCCTAAGATGAAAAAGAGAAACAACTCAAATTATTAAAATCAGAAATGAAAGTGGAAACATTACTAATGACCTTACAGAAATACAATTATAAAAGGATACTATGGGCCAGGCGTGGTGGCTCACGCCTGTAATCCCAGCACTTTGGGAGGCCAAGGTGGGTGGATCACGAGGTCAGGGGATCAAGACCATCCTGGCTAACACAGTGAAACCCTGTCTCTACCAAAAATACAAAAAAATTAGCCAGATGTGGTGGCGGGCACCTGTAGTCCCAGCTACTTGGGAGGCTGAGGCTGAGGCAGGAGAATGGCATGAACCCAGGAGGTGGAGCTTGCAGTGAGCCGAGATCGTGCCACTGCACTCGAGCCTGGGCAACACAGCGAGACTCCATCTCAAAAAAAAAAAAAGGATACTACAAACAATGGTACATCAACAAACTAGAAAACCTAGGTCAGTGTTTTGTACACAGAAAGCTACAAAACATTGCTGAAAGAAATTAAAGAAGACCTAAATAAATGGAAAGATATCCTATGCTCATAAATTGGAAGACTTAATATTATTAAAGTGTCAGAACTCCTCAAAGTGACCTACAGATTCAATGCAATCTCTATCAAAATCCCAATGGCCTATTTATGCAGAAATGGAAAAGCTAATATCAAAATTCATATGGAATTGCAAAGGGCCTTGAATAGCCAAAACAAATGATATGGTTTGGCTGTGTTCCCACCCAAATCTCGTCTTGAATTGTAGTTCCCTTAATCCCCACATGTTGTGGGAGGGACCAGGTGGAGATAATTGAATCCTGGGTGTAGTTTGCCCCATCCTGTTCTCATGATAGTGAGTTAGTTCTCACAAGAGCTGATTGTTTGTTTGTTTTGAGACGGAGTCTCACACTGTCGTCTGGGCTGGTGTGCAGTGGTGCCATCTCAGCTCACTGTAACCTCTGCCTTCTGAGTTCAAGTGATTCTCCTGCCTCAGCCTCCCAAGTAGCTAGATTTATAGGCACCCGCCACCATGCCTGGCTAGTTTTTTTTGTTTGTTTGTTTTGTTTTGTTTTGTTTTGTTTTGTTTTGTTTTATTATCATTTTATTTTTAGTAGAGACAGGGTTTCACTATGTTGGCCAGGCTGGTCTCGAACTCCTGACCTTGTGATCTGCCTGCCTCGGCCTCCCAAAGTGTTGGGATTGCAGGTGTGAGCCACCGCGCCTGGCTGAGCCGATTGTTTTATGAGGGGCTTCCCCCTTCTCTGGGCATCATTCTTCTTGCTGCCACCATTTGAAGAAGGACATGTTTCTTTCCCCTTCCACCATGATTGTACGTTTGCTGAGGCCTCCCCAGCCCTGCAAAACTGTGAGTCAATTAAACCTCTTTCCTTTATAAATTACCCAGTCTCAGGTATGTCCTTATAGCAGCATGAAAACAGACTAATACAGTAAATTGGTACCAGGCAGTGGGGTGCTGCTGTAAAGATATCTGAAAATGTGGAAGCAACTTTGGAACTGGGTAACAGGCAGAGGTTGGAACAGTTTGGAGGGCTCAGAAGAAGATAGGAAAATGTGGGAAAGTTTGGAACTTCCTAGAGATTTGTTGAATGGCTTTGACTAAAATGCTGATAGTGATACAGATAATAAAGTCCAAGCGGAAGTGGTCTCAGACGGAGATGAGGAACTTTTTGGGAAATGGAGTAAAGGTCACTCTTGCTATGCAAAGAGACTGGCAGCATTTTGCCCCTACCCTAGAGATCTGTGGAACTTTGAACTTGGGAGAGATAATTTAGGATATCTGGCAGAAGAAATGTTTAAGCAGCAGACTCCAACAGGAAGCAGAGCATAAAAATTTGAAAAATTTGAAGCCTGACAAGGCAGTAGAAAAGAAAAATCCATTTTCTGGGGAGAAATTCAATCCAGCTGCAGAAATTTGCATAAGCAATGAGGAGCCAAATGCTAATCACCAAGACAATCGGAAAAATGTCTCCAGGGCATGTCAGAGCCCTTCGCAGCAGCCCTTCCCATCACAGGCCCAGAGACCTAGGAGGGAAAAATGGTTTCCTGGGTTGGGTCCAGGACCCCCCCTACTGTGTGCATCACTTGGTGCCCTGCATTCCAGCCATTCCAGCCATGACTAAAAGGAGCCAAGGTACAGTTCAGCCCATGGCTTCAGAGGGTGCAAGCCCCAAGCCTTGGCAGCTTCCACATGGTGTTGGGCCTGCGGGTGCACAGAAGACAAGAATTGAGGTTTGGAAACTTCTGCCTAGATTTCAGAAGACGTATGAAAATGCCTGGATGTCAAGGCAGAAGGTTGCTGCAAGGCTGGAGCCCTCATGGAGAACCTCGGCTAGGACAGTCCACAAGGGAAATGTGGGGTCAGAACCCCCACACAGAGTCCCCACTGAGGCACTGGCTAGTAGAGCTGTGAGAAGAGGGCCACCATCCTCCAGAATCTAGAATGGTAGATCCACTGACAGCTTGTGCCATGAGCCTGGAAAAGCCACAAACACTCAATGCCAGCCTGTGAAAGCAGCCAGGAGGGAGGCTGTACCCTGCAAAGCTATAGAGGCAGAGTTGCCCAAGGCCATGAGAGCCCACTTCTGGCATCAGTGTGCCCTGGATGTAAGACATGGAGTAAAAGGAAATCATTTTGGAATTTTAAGGTTTAATGACTGCCTCATTGAATTTTGGACATGCATGGGGCTTGCAGCCCCTTCATTTTGGCCAATTTCTCCCATTTGAAATAGGGCGAATTTACCCAATGCCTGTACTCCCATTGTATCTGGGAAGTAACTAATTTGTTTTTGATATTACAGGCTCATAGGCAGAAGGGACTTGCCTTGTCTCAGATGAGACTTTGGGCTTGAACTTTTGAGTTAATGCTGGAATGACTTAAGATTTTAGGGGACTGTTGGAAAGGCACTATTGTGTTTTGAAATGTGAGGACATGAGATCTGGAAGGGGCCAGGGATGGAATGATATGATTTGGCTGTGTCCCCACCCAAATCTTACCTTGAATTGTAATTCCCATAATCCCCACATCTCATGGGAGGGACCAGGTAGAGAAAATTGAATGCTGGGGGCAATTTACCCCATCCTGTTCTCATGATAGTGAGTTCTCACAAGATCTAATGGTTTTATAAGGGGCCTTCCCTTTCACTGGGCACTGATTCTTCTTCTCCTTGCTGCTACCATGTGAAGAAGGATGTGTTTGCTTCCCCTTCCACCATGATTGTAAGTTTCCTGAAGCCTCCCCAGCCCTGCAGAAGTGTAAGTCAATTAAACCTCTTTCCTTTATAAATTACCCAGTCTCAGGTATGTCCTTATAGCAGTGTGAGAACAGACAAATACAACAATCATGAAAAAGAAGAACAAAGTTGGAGGACTCATATTTTCTGATTTCAAAACATACTACAAAGCTGTAGTCATCAAAACACTGTGGTGTTGGCATAGAGATTGACATAAAGACCAATGAAATAGAATTGAGAGCCAAAAAATAAACCTATACATCTAAGGCCAATTGATTTTTGACAAGCATGCCAAGACCATTTAATGGAGAAAGAATAGTCTCTTCAATAAATGGTACAGGGACAATTGGACATTTACATCCAAAGAATGAAGTTGGACCACTAACAACGACATACATAAAAATTAACTAAAAATGCATCAAAGACCTAAAAGTAAAAGCTAAAATTATAATATCCTAAGAAGAAAACATGGGGCATATCTTCAGAACCTTGGATTTCACAGCTTCTTAGGTATGACACCAAAAGCAGGAGCAATAAAGAAAAAATAAATGGGACCTAATCAAAATTTAAAACTGGGCATAGTGGCTCACACCTATAATCCCAACACATTGGGAGGCTAAGGCTGGATGACTGCTCAAGCACAGGAGTTTGAGACCAGCCTGAACAATATAGCAAGATGCTGTCTCTACAAAAAAAATTTAAAAATTATTCATGGGCCGGGTGCAGTGGCTCATGCCTGTAATCCCAGCATTTTGGGAGGCCAAGGTGGGTGGATCATGAAGTCAGGAGATCGAGACCACCCTGGCTAACATGGTGAAATCTCGTCTCTACTAAAAAAATACAAAAAACTAGCCAGGCACGGTGGCAGGTGCCTGTAGTCCCAGCTACTCAGGAGGCTAAGGCAGGAGAATGGCGTGAACCTGGGAGATGGAGCTTGCAGTGAGCCAAGCTCATGCCACTGCACTCCAGCCTGGGCGACAGAGTGAGACTCCATCCCCAAAAAAAAAAATAAATTTATTAATCATTCATGGTGGCAAGTGCCTATAGTCCCAGCTACTTGGGAGGAACACATGAGCCCAGGAGTTCAAGGTTACAGTGAGCTATGATTGTGCCACTGCATTCCAGGATAGGTGACAGAACAAGACTCTGTCTCAAAAAAAAAAAAAAAAAAAAAAATTAAAATTTTAAAACTTTAGTACATCAAAGAACACTACCTAGAAAGTGAACAGAAAACCTACTAAATGGCAAAAATAATTTCAGAGCCTGTGCAGTGGCTCACACCAATAGTCCCAGCTACTCATGAGGCTAAGTTGAGAGAATTGCTTGAGCCCCAAAGTTTGAGTCCAGCCTGGGCAATATAGTGAGATTCCTGGCTCTAAAATAAATACAATAAAATAAAAATTTGTTTAAATTATTTATAAACCATACATCTGATAAAGGTCTAATATCTGAAATATTTTTTTAAGCTGTTACAACTGGACAACAATTAGACAACCCAATTCAATAACAAGATAGAACATGAATAGACATTTCTCCAAAGAAGCTATACATGGCTAACAAGCACATGAAAAAGTGTTCTACGAAGTCATGTCTCTCACAACATGGATGGCACTGGAGGCTGTTGTCCTAAGCAAATCAATGCAGGAAAAGAAAACCAAAAACCGCATGTTCTCACTTATAAGTGGAAGCTAAACATTGAGTATACATGGACACAAAGACAAGAACAATAGACACCAGGGCCTACTTGAGGGTGGAGGCTGGGAGGATGGTGAGGATTGAAAATCTACCTATCAGGTACTCTGCTTATTACCCAGATGACTAAATAATCCGTATACAAAACACCCATGACACACAATTTACCTATTGTATTAGTCCTTTTCATGCAGCTAATAAAGACATACCAGAGACTGTGCAATTTACAAAAGGAAGAGGTTCCAAAACACCAAAAGCAATGGCAACAAAAGCCAAAATTGACAAATGGGATCTAATTAAACTAAAGAGCTTCTGCACAGCAAAAGAAACTACCATCAGAGTGAACAGGCAACCTACAACATGGGAGAAAATTTTCGCAACCTACTCATCTGACAAAGGGCTAATATCCAGAATCTACAATGAACTCCAACAAATTTACAAGAAAAAAACAACCCCATCAAAAAGTGGGCGAAGGACATGAACAGACACTTCTCAAAAGAAGACATTTATGCAGCCAAAGAACACATGAAAAAATGCTCATCATCACTGGCCATCAGAGAAATGCAAATCAAAACCACTATGAGATATCATCTCACACCAGTTAGAATGGCAATCATTAAAAAGTCAGGAAACAACAGGTGCTGGAGAGGATGTGGAGAAATAGGAACACTTTTACACTGTTGGTGGGACTGTAAACTAGTTCAACCATTGTGGAAGTCAGTGTGGCGATTCCTCAGGGATCTAGAACTAGAAATACCATTTGACCCAGCCATCCCACTACTGGGTATATACCCAAATGACTATAAATCATGCTGCTATAAAGACACATGCACACGTATGTTTATTGCGGCATTATTCACAATAGCAAAGACTTGGAACCAACCCAAATGTCCAACAATGATAGACTGGATTAAGAAAATGTGGCACATATACACCATGGAATACTATGCAGCCATCAAAAATGATGAGTTCATGTCCTTTGTAGGGACATGGATGAAACTGGAAACCATCATTCTCAGTAAACTATCACAAGAACAAAAAACCAAACACCGCATATTCTCACTCATAGGTGGGAATTGAACAATGAGATCACATGGACACAAGAAGGGGAATATCAAACTCTGGGGACTGTGGTGGGGTGGGGGGAGGGGGGAGGGATAGCATTGGGAGATATACCTAATGCTAGATGACGAGTTAGTGGGTGCAGCGCACCAGCATGGCACATGTATACATATGTAACTAACCTGCACAATGTGCACATGTACCCTAAAACTTAAAGTATAATAAAAAAAAAAAAAAAAAAAAGAAAGAGGTTTAACTGGACTCACACTTCCATGTGGCTGGGGAGGCCTCACATTCATGGCAGAAGGCAAGGAGGAGCAAGTCATGTCTTACGTGGATGGCAGCAGGCAAACAGAGAGCTTGTGCAGAGAAACTTCCATTTTTAAAACCATCAGATCTCATAAGACTCATTCACTATCATGAGAATAGTGCAGGAAAGACCTGCCCCTATAATTCAATCACCTCCCACCAGCTTCCTCCCACAACACGTTGGAATTGTGAGAGTTACAATTCAAGATGAGATTTGAGTGGGGACACAGCCAAACAATATTATTCTGCCCCTGGCCCCTCCCAAATCCCACGTTCTCACATTTCAAAACCAATGATGCCTTCCCAACAGTCCCCCAAAGTCTTAACTCATTTCAGCATTAACTCAAAAGTCCACAGTCCAGCATCTCATCTGAGACAAGGCAAGTTCCTTCCTCATATGAGCCTGTAAAATCAAAAGCAAGGGGATGAGTGTGGTAGCTCATGCCTGTAATCCCAGCACCTTGGGAGGCCAAGGCAGGTGAATCACCTGAGGTCAGGAATTTGAGACCAGCCTGACCAACATGGAGAAACCCCATCTCTACTAAAACTACAAAATTAGCCAGGCGTGGTGGTGCATGCCTGTAATCCCAGCTACTGGGGAGGCTGAGGACAGAGAATCACTTGAACCCAGGAGGCGGAGGTTGCAGTGAGCCAAGATCATGCCATTGCACTCCAGCCTGGGCAACAAGAGCAAAACCCCATCTCAAAAAAAAATAAATAAATAAAAATCAAAAGCAAGTTAGTTACTTCCTAGATACAATGGGGGTACAGGCATTGGGTAAATACACCCATTTCAAATCAGAGAAATTGGCCAAAACGAAGGGGCTACAAGCCGCATGCTAGCCTGAGATTCAGCGAGGCAGTCAAATCTTAAAGCTCCAAAATGATCTCCTTTGACTCCATGTCTCACATCCAGGTTACGCTGATGCAAGAAGTAGGTTCCCATGGTCTTGGGCAGCTCCGCCCTGTGGGTTTGCAGGGTACAGCCCTCCTCCTGGCTGCTAAATAAAAGTTGGTAGGAAAAAGAGGAACAAATAAAAGAAAAGATGTTCTAGATTATTAGTCTTTATAGAGAAATGCAAATTAAAGCCACAATGAGATAGCATTTCACACCCATGAGAATGGCTATAATTTTTTTAAATGAAAAATAAGTGTTGGCAAGAATGTAGAGAAATTGGATTCATCATACGTTGCTGCTGGGAATGTAAAATGGTACGGCCACTATGGATAACACTCTGGTGGTTCTTCAATTACTTAAACATAGAATTACGATATGACTCAGCAATTCTGCTCCTAGGTATATATCCAAAAGAATTGAAATCAGATATTCAAACAAATACTTATACAGGAATGTTAATAGCAGCACTATTCACAAAAGCCAAAAGGTGGAAAAAAAACAAATATTCTTCAACAGATGAATGGATAAACAAACATGGCATATTCATACAATGGAATCTTATTCAGCCATAAAATAAAACTGATAACATGCTACAAACATGTTTTGAATGAACTTCAAAAACATTATGTGAAGCAAAAGGTCACATCTTGCATGATTTCATTTATATGAAATATCCAGAATAGGTAAACTCATAAAGGCAGCAAGAAGATTAGTGGTTGCTTGGGCTGGGGGAGAGTGGGAATGAGGAGTGACTATTTAATAGTATAGAGTCTCTTTTGAGGGTGATGAAAATGTTTTAGAGCTTTTAACAGATAAAAAGCAATGATTGCACAACATTGTAAATGTACTAAATGCCTCAGAACTATATCATTTTAAATGGTTAATTTTATGTTACATTAATTACCCCTAAATTAAAAAAAAAAGACAAATTGGACTTGCTTCTATATTTTCAGAAAGGCAACTGTCTTCTCTTCCCAGATCCAGTAACAAGATACAAGACTACATGGAACCTCCGTGCTTTCAAAAAACACCTGCGGCTGGGCGCGGTGGCTCACGCCTGTAATCCCAGCACTTTGGGAGGCCGAGGCAGGAGCATCACCTGAGGTCGGGAGTTCGTGACCAGCCTGACCAACATGGAGAAACCCTGTCTCTACTAAAAACACATAATTATCCCGGCATGGTGGCACATGCGTGTAATCCCAGCTACTCGGGAGGCTGAGGCAGGAAAATCGCTTGAACCCGGGAGGTGGAGCTTCCAGTGAGCCAAGATGGCACCACTGCACCCCAGCATGGGCAACAAGAGCGAAACTCCGTCTCAAAAAAAAAAAAAAAACACTTCCCTACATGTATAAAAAATGACTTCATTGATTTAGCAACTACTCTGTGGAGCTGATATTCAGCTCAAACCACTATTATGGATTACACTGGTGCTGAAATGCAGGAATATTTCTGACTGGCTGAGCATTTTTTTATGCCTGTGCTATACTGGGGTTAAATACTTGACATCAGCCTGGTCACTCTGTGTCAGGCTCTGTTCTGAGCACTGAAGATATGGTAATGAACAAATCAGACAAAACTCCCAGCCCTCCTGAAGTTTACATGCCAGTGGGGGATGAGAGAAAAGAAACAATGAAAAAGTAACTGTAGCATGTTAGATATAGATAAGTTTTAAGGAGAAAAACAAATAGAAAAGGAGATAAGAACTGTTAGAAATTATGTTCCCAGTCATGGCAGAGGAGCTCCTATGAGACTAATCCTGCTGCAGGTAACAACTGTAAATTCTGGACCAAAAAAAAAAAAAAAATCAGGCCGGCGCGGTGGCTCACGCCTGTAATCCCAGCACTTTGGGAGGCCGAGGCGGGCGGATCACGAGGTCAGGAGATCGAGACCACGCTGGCTAACACGGTGAAACCCCGTCTCTACTAAAAATACAAAAAAAAAATTAGCCGGGTGTGGGGGCGGGCGCCTCTAGTCTCAGCTACTCGGGAGGCTGAGGCAGGAGAATGGCGTGAACCTGGGAGGCGGAGCTTGCAGTGAGCCGAGATCGCGCCACTGCAGTCCAGGCTGGGTGACAGAGCGAGACACTGTCTCAAAAAAAAAACAAAAACAAAACAAAACAAAAAAAAACCCAAAAGCAACCAGACTGGAGAGAGACCCAAAAAAGGCACATTCTGAGGGGTTTGAGAGCTGTGCACCAAGGCACAGACCAGGTGCAGTTTATTAGTTCAAAGAATCCAAGGACAGAGTTCAGAGAAACCATAGCAGCTGGAAACTGAGAAGAGAAATCCAGGAAAAGGGAGAGGTAGAGAGGAGAAGCTTCAACTTCTCTGGGTATTACCCTTTCGCTGAACCTGGCTGACGTCTGAACCAGGCACATATGCCAACTCCAAGCTGCCCAGATAAGGTTAAAATAACCAAACTAAAATTCTGCCACTCACTGCAAGGAAAAAAGTGAAACTGTTGTGTTCAGCCAAGGCAACCAACTGATTTATTTAAAAAATAAAAATAAAAAACAATACTATTCAGAGGCTCTAAAAGAATCCAACTCAAACTCCGGTGTGTTAAAAGCTATCTTCCTACCTACTGCACCTTACCTCTTTACAATCTATTTAATCTCTTTTTAAGCTTTGTTAGATGGGAATGAGAAAATTAGCACATCTTTCTGGAAAACACTGTAGCAAAAAGTAACAAGAGTTTAAAATTGTTTGTACCTTTTATCCTTCCTGGGACAAGAGGACACCTTTACAAATTCACTTCTTGCTTTTAGGTAAGTAAAGGAAGGGCAGAGAACTTTTCTTGTATCTGCTTCCTCTCAGTTGCCTTCAGCTCAAAATAATCTTCATGCCAAAGTGGCATATTTTGGGTTTGCATATTCTGCTACTCTTAAGTTTTTAATCATAGCACTATTTTTCATTTGTAAAATTGCATATTACCTACGAGACAGGGAAAGATTTAAAAGTTTCATAAAATGCTATGTTGGAAAGGCTTATTGTTGATATTGAGTTGTTGTTGTTGTTGTTGTTGTTGTTTTTGAGACAGGGTCTCACTCTGTCAACCAGACTGGAGTGCAGTGGCATGAACACAGCTCAGTGCAGCCTCAATCTCCTGGGCTAAAGTGATCGTCCCACCTCAGCCTCCCATATAGCTGGGACCACAGACATGCGCCATTACACCTGGCTAAGTTTTTAAATTTTTTCTAGAGATGGGGTCTTGCCCACACCAGTCTTGAACCCCTAGACTCAAGCAATCCTCCCATCTCAGCCTCCCCAAGTGCTGGGATTACAGGTGTGAGCCACTCTGCCCGACCGATACTGAGCTTTTCATTGCAACAATTCTAATGAGGGCAATTTAGCAATAATCAACCAGAATTACAAATTTCCTGCAATTCCACATCTGGGAACTTATCCTACAGATATACTCACATATATGTGAAACTACCTATGTGCAAGGTTACTCATTGCAGTGATATTTTTAACAACGCAAATTTGGGAACTACTGAAACCATCCATCAGTGAGGGATTGGTGGCCAGGTGTGGTAGTTTGTGCCTGTAATCCCAGCACTTTGGGAAGCCAAGACTGATGGATGGCTTGAGTTCAGGAATTCAAGACCAGCCTGGGCAACATGGTGAAACCCCATCTCTACAAACAAAGTACAAAAATTAGCTGGGCATGGTGGTGCATGCCTGTAATCCCAGCTACTTGAGAGGCTGAGGTGGGAGGCTCGCTTGAGCCTGGGAGGTGGAGGTTGTGGTGAGCCGAGATCAGCCACTGCACTCCAACCTGGGTGACAGCATGAGACCACATCTCAAAAAAAAATAAAAGAATTGTTGATACTATAAAACAATGGAGTATTATTATTCAGCCTTAAAAAATAAAAATAAAAATGCCAGGTGCAGTGGCTCACGCCCATAATCCCAACACTTTGGGAGGCTGAGGTGGGCAAATCGCCTGAGCTCTGGAGTTCGCGACCAGCCTGAGCAACATAGTGAGACCACCGTCTCTACAAAAAATACAAAAAAAAATTAGCCAGGCATGGTGGTGCATGCCTGTAGTCCCAGCTACTCGGGAGGCTGAGGCATGAGAATCGCTTGAACCCAGGAGGCGGAGATTGCAGAGAGCCAAGATGGCACCACTGCACTCCAGCCTGGGGGACAGAGCGAGACTCCATCTCAAAAAAAAAAAAAAATTAAAATTAAAAAATAATAAAAATAAGGATTCTCCTTAAGTACTAACATTGAATCATTGCCAAGATATATAAAGTAAAATAGGCAAGGCACAGAACAGTATTAATTGTTCCCTATTATTCTTTCTCCCTTCTTCCAAAAGTTTTAGCCAGACACATGACCATCAGGAGTAGACTACATTTTCCAGTGTCCCTTGCAGCTAAGAGTGGCTATGTGATTGAAGTCTCCTCAGTGAGATATGAGCAAAACTATTATGTGGCAGCTTCCAGGTCCCTTCCTTAGACAGAGGTATTATGTGGCCTTTGTTTCTCCATTGGACACATTCTTCATTGGATACACTCCATCCTGCTCCCGGGAAAGTAGTTCTCTCATCTTGGTTCATGATTGAACTGGAAGAAAACCAAGTCCCTTTTGGAGCTCACACACATCACAACTCTGGACCACTCTTGGAATTTCGCATGACAGTGATATAACCATCTTTTTTAAACCATTATTATTTGGGGTTTCAGTTATTTGAAGCTGAACCCAGACCTATCTCTTACACAAGTATAAATTTTGCAAGACTTATATCTGGCTAAATTGCCTGCAGAAAGATTGTGTCAATTTGTGCTGCAATAAGTGCTGTATAAATGTGTACAGAGCTTTTTTTTGCCACACTGTGCCATCTCCTGGATACCAGATGCCAACTGCTCGCTGGATCTAGAGACAGGTAAAAAGAATCTACAAATGTGACCTGGATGCCAGGACAGGCAGAGGCACCAGTACCAGCAAGAAGCTTCAGAAATAGAGTAGTTATTAAAATGACCATTTGCAGTGAGAAAATAAATCACTACAAACTACCAACTACCAGAGGCTAGGAGATTCAGGTCCCTTACTTGTGACATCTCTTTAGGCAATTTATCATAAATGCTTTTATATGGATGCATCCTGCTTACAATCTGGCTTCCCCTTCCGCTTAGGTCACCCTTTAACTCTCTGTAAGTCCCAGCACCCACAGAATCTGAGCAAGTGAAGGACCAGGAATTTTAAACCTCAGTAAAGTCCACCGTGCTGTTAATGTTAATCTGCCCTGAGCAGACACACCTTGTAAATACTCTGAGAATAAGGTTCAAAGTACCAAGGGCACTTGAGGAGGACATGGCTTTGCTTCAGTCAGGGAAGATTTCCTAGAAAAGTTAATGCTTAACAGAAGCCAACAAAGAAATGAGTGAAAAACGGAAGAGGAACTAGGATTTCTGCCCAGTTGGGAATTTTGGCGTTTACAAAACACCATTGAAACACTGACTCAATTATCATCTTCCTCCTGGAAAGACAGAAGTCTTCCCTATGATGTTAAAGAGGACACATTTTCTTTTTTTTTCTTTCATCTAATTCTCAAAATAGTTTCTTTCTTTTATGTTTTAGATTCACTTTTTCCATCTGTTTTTTAATCTTTTCAGTATAATGCCCATTCTTAAAGACCAAGAGATTAAAATTGAACACCAGCTTTCATTAGCATCCAGGTCAAAAATATATATTAATATGTGCATTTCTAAAGGTAAAGTTCTAGTTAGGTCATGCTCTAACCTATAGACATGAACACTCATAAAAGGGAATTTGTTAGGAGGCCAAGGTGGGCGGATCACCTGAGGTCAGAAGTTTGAGACCAGCCTGACCAACATGGTGAAACCCCATCTCTACCAAAAATACAAAAAATTCGCCAGGTGTGGTGGCAGGCGCCTGCAATCCCAGCTACTTGGGAGGCTGAGGCAGGAGGATCGCTTGAACCCAGGAGGCGGAGGTTGCAGTGAGCCGAGATCGTGCCACTGCACTCCAGCCTGGGTGCGACAGAGCGAGGCTCCATCTCAAAAAAAAAAAAAAAAAGAGAATTTATCATAGCTGAGGTCCGTGTTGTCATGGAGACAGAGGTAAGGGCTCCTCTGACAGATGTTCTCGTTCCTTTTGATTCCTTACTCTTCATTCTCTTTTCTTCTCTAACTACAGGATTCCATATATACCTCCTCTGACCTAACTCCTAAAGTTTTTCTGACTTGACCCTTTTCTCATTCCATGTGCTATCTCTCTGGATCATCTTATCCACTACCCTTGTAAACTGTTATCTTTAAATAGAGGATTTTCAAGTCAACGGCTCCAGCCAGACTTCCACCCAGCTCCAAGTCTATGTTTCCATCGGCCACCTTGACATCTCCTCTCACACTTCTCCTGGTGCATCAAACCTCTCCCAGTCAGACTGCGAGAAAACTCAGTCATTATTGACTCACTCCTCTTCCTCATCACCATATTTGATCAATCACCGAGTTCTATCATTTCACCTTTGCAATGCCTATTCTCTTCATCTGCCCAGAATATGGGTAAGCAAGCCCCAATCATTTCTCACTCGACTTTTCAGGAATCTTGCCAACTCCAATTCCTTGCCTCATCAATGGATGCTTTTCGTTAGGGAGGCAAGATGGCACAAAGTGGCCAGGTTCCAACCAGGGTCAAATAGAATCTCTGCTCCCCTGCTTTGTGCCTCCTAGCAAGTCATCTCCTCCAGCTAAACCACAACTGCTTTATGTAGAAAATGGGGCAATAACTCATAAAGATGTGGTAAGGAGTACATAAAATAATCTATGCAAAATGTCTAGTACATATAAGTACTTAATATATTTTACCTGGTTTTTTTATTTTGTTTTGTTTTTGTTTTGTTTTTGTTTTTGTTTTGAGATGGAGTCTTGCTCTGTTGCCCAGGCTGGAGTGCAATGGCACAATCTTGGCTCACTGCAACCTCCACTTCCTGGGTTCAAGCAATTCTCCTGCCTCAGCCTCCCAAGTAGCTGGGACTACAGGCATGAGCCACCACACCCAGCTAATTTTTTGTATTTTTAGTAGACACGGGGTTTCACCATGCTGGCCAGGCTGGTCTTGAACTCCTCGCCTCGTGATCCGCTCACCTCAACCTCCCAAAGTGCTGGGATTACAGGCATGAGTCACTGCACCTGGCTTTATTTTACCTGTTACAGCATAACTCTTAACGTCTAACACATCATGAAGCCTGTATTTGTATAAATACAGGCTTCACCATGTGCTAGACATCACTAGTGCACACTAGGGCTTCTCGCCTTTGGGGCACATGGAAGACTTCACTTCCTAACCACCTTCCAGTTAAGTGGGACCATGTGACTAATTCTAAAAAATGAGCCAAAATGTAGATTGGGTATGAGATTTTGATGAGTTTTTTTCTCCCATTTGATGACCAAGAAGGCCATGTGTTCCAGGTGGCACTTCTACAAGATGGTAGAGGCTCCTCAGCCTGGGTCTCAAGTTGCAATAGATACCAAGTATGAGCAACTCAGATTGGGGAGCTGCTATTATCACAGCAAAGCTTAGCAGGTGGTATCCCAACTAATACAGGACATCTCATTTCCTACTTCTCAATCCTGGGGATAGGCCCTAACACGTGTAAGATTTCCTAAAACAAATGAACTAGCAGACAGCAAAAGTTCTAGTTATTTAGGGACAAAGGAATGTCTGCAGTTCTCATTTATTTTCCAAAGTTATTACATCTGTATATATTTACTTATAAGTGATTTTAAAAACCAAATGAGGCTGGCATAAGCAAAATAGGAAACTGATTAACATATGTAAATTAGATGTCCAAGAGCCGACAAGTATTGGGCATGCTGGATGCAGGGGCTTAAGGTAGATATCAAGGATTCATTCTTGCCCTTTTCATAGCTCAGGTCTCTTTTCTTTTGTGATAGACGCATTTGCAGACAAAGTCTTCTCTTTTATTGGAAAGATGATTGCCAGCAGCTCCAAGATTACGTTGCTTTCTATTAGCTCTTACAAGTTTTCTAACTTGAGCACGAAGAGTGATTCTTTCTCCCAACCATTCTGGTAAAAAGTCCTGGGATACAATCTAACTGGACCAAAGTCAGTCATATACCCAGTGCTAAACCAGTAAATATGACCAGAGAAATAAGATATTCTGATTGGCCACTCTACACCATGTGTCTAGCCCTGATTCACAGGGTAGGGCCATCCACAGTGAAGCCACATGGACTAAAACAGAGGAATGGAGGTTCCCCAGGAAAATCAAGGAACTACTACCAAAGAAGACAGAATCGACACAGGGTAGCTAAAATGATAGATGTTCACTACAGACATTAATACAATGCACCTGGCAATGTTGGTGAACTATGTAATCAGTTAAGGAATTTTATGAAGTCCTGAGTATAAGCTTAAAACCTACTATGTCTGCCTGACCTTCAAAGGACCATCTTCCTTCCAAGTATTAGGTTGGTGCAAAAGTTAATGTGGTTTTGCACCAAAGAAATACATTGCAAGGTTCAAAATAGCCTGCTGGCTGGTCGCAGTGGCTCACGCCTGTAATCTCAGCACTTTGGGAGGCTAAGGCCGGCGGATGGCTTGAGCTCAGGACTTTGAGACCAGTATGAACAACATGGTAAAACTCCCATCTCTACAAAAAATACCAAAAAAAAAAAAATTACCTGGGTGTGGTGGCGGGTGCCTGTGGTCCCAGCTACTTGGGAGGCTGAGGTGGGAGGATCACTTGAGCCCAAGAGCCATAGGTTGCAATGAGCCAAGATTGTGCCACTGCACTCCAGTCTGGGTGAGCGAGCCAGACCCTGGGAAGAAAGAAAGAGAAAGAGAGAGAGAGAAGGAAGGGAAAAAAAATAGCATGCTTTCAGCTATATACCACTCTCGTTACCCCCATCCCCATCTTAGTAGGCTTCTAAAATTATACTGGAAAACAATTTTAAGGATCATGGCATAGAATAGACTTCTTAGTCGAAGCTATTGTGATTTTAGATCACCTTTACATTACTTATGTTCTCAAATGTGAGTGAAACTTGAAAGAGGTGCAGCAATACATCTGGTTTTCTTTTCTGTTGTTGTGCATGTTTGCATTTTCTTTTGTTTTGTTTTTTGCCTCATGGGTGAAACTCCCATATCAGCCATTCCAGCCTCTACATCTCTCTCCCAAGCGGGTGTTCCTCTTGAGAGTTTCTGGCTTCAGCAGCTCAGGTGATGCAGTAACAGGTACAAAGTCGTATGTGAAGAGAATCACTCTCTGTCGAATTAATCTGCCTCTTTCAGTGAGTGGGGTCTTAAGAGGAGAAATGAGCATCAGGAGAAATTGAAATGGGACACTACTCTTTGACTTATCCACAGCTTGTGCAAGATGAAGGGATTTATGGATAAAACCATCTGCCCACTCAGGGTTGTGAGCTCTTCAAGGACTTAGCATGTGTCTTTTTGACATCTGTCTCCACAGCACCCAGTACTATGAGGGACAAAGAGGTGACGGACTCTGCCCAGGTTGTTCATAGTCTAGCGGAAATATTAACCTGGCATAGGAGTTACCATAATATAAGATGGAGAATATGGACTGACACTCGAACCACAGGCAAAGAGTTTTGGGATTTCAAAGAAGAAAGTGATTACAGCTGAATGGATAAGCAATCTTTAACAAGGAGGTAGCTTTGAAAGAGGTAAGGGAGGGATGAGCAGAGCTGGGGGCAGGAAGTGCCAGGCAGAGGAACCACTAGTAAAAGAAAACAAAAAGGTGACATTTTCAGCTTAATCACTAGTACCAGAATAGGAGAGGACATTCTTTGTTTGGAAAAATATTTTGGTGAGCTACTAGAATTTAGGGTGAGAACTTTAAATTCATGAACATGGGCCCAAGCAGAGTCATGATCCCTGCACTGTACTGGATAATACAAGAAAGGGGCTCATGCGTAGCTAGATTTGGGGACATATACCCTCCTATGTCACAATGGAATACATTAAGCATTTGGAGGAATGGCAAGGAGTTTGGAAAGGGCTGCAAATTTTAAAGTTTTTATCATTTCAAAAATGTTATATAAGAATTAGACATATGTTATTTTAGGGTATTGACTGTTTTCACTCAGAACAACTTCCTTGTGATTCATCCAAATTCTCGCATGTATCAATAGATTGTTCCTTTGTTGCTAAGTAGTATTGGGGGAATATATCTACCCTGGTTGTTCAAACATTTACCTGTTGAAAGATGTCTGGTTTGTCAATTACCCTGGAATAAGAAAAAAGGACAAGGATATCTGAGCTATTTTCAATTGTTAGCAATTACAAATAAACCTCTATACAGGTTTTTGTGTAAGTTATAATTTCTCTGGGTTAAATGCCCAAGAGTGTCATTCCTGGGTCACATGGTCATTGCATGTTAATTTATAAGAAAGAGCCAAACTGTTCATCCAAGTAGCTGTACCGGTTTAAATTCCTCACCAGCATTTGGCATTTTCACCATTTTTTACTTTAGCCATTCTGAGAGGTGTGTAGTCATAATTAACTATACTTTTAATTTGCCTTCCTCTGTGGGTAATGCTGCTGGACAGCTTTCCATGCACTTATTTGCCTCCATAGATCCTATTTGATGAAACATCTGTTAATGCCTTTGCCCCTTTCTATCTGGTTTGTTTGTATTTTTACTCTTGGGTTTTGAAATTATTCTAGATACTTGTCCTTTGTTGTATATGTCATTTGCAATTATTCTTTTCCGCTCTGTACCTCGTCTTTTCACCCTCTTCTCATGGGCTTTTACCAAAGTTTTTAATTTTGATGATCTCAAATTGATCAATTTTTGTTTCCATGAATAGTGCTTTCATAGATCATGTATCAAATTATTGCCTAGATCTAGATACCAAAAGTATTTTTCCTATAATGTTTTTCTCAAGTGTTTATTTTATTTATTTTATTTTATTTTTGAGACAAGTTCTCACTCTGTCACCCAAGCTGGAGTGCAGTGGTGCAATCTCTCTCACTGCAACTTCTGCCTCTCAGGTTCAAGCGATTCTGTGCCTCAGCCTCCCAAGTAGCTGGGATTACAGGCGCGAGCCACCATGTCGGCTAATTTTTGTATTTTTAGTAGAAACGGGGTTTCGCCATGTTGGCTGGGCTAGTCTCAAACTCCTGACCTCGGATGATCCACCCACCTCAGCCTCCCAAAGTGCTGAGATTACAGGCATGAGCCACCGCGCCCAGCCAAGAGTTCACATTTTACATTTTACATGTAAGTTCATGGCTCATTTTGTGTTAATTTTTGTATTGAGTTTTGTTTAAGTCAAGTTTCATTGTCTGATCACAAATGTCTCATTGTTCCAGCGCATTTGTTGGAAAGGCTACGCTTCCTGCATTGAATTGCTTTTGTACCCTTGTCAAAAATCAACTGGGTGGATTCTTATGGATCTATTTCTGGGTTCTCTATCTTGTTCCGTTGATCTGTGTGTCCAACCCCTCACCAATATACCACGCTGTCCTGATTACTTCAGATATAGAGTAAGTCTTAGCATCAGACAGAGTAATTCCTCCCACTCTGTTCTTCTTTGTTAATATTGTTTTGGGTATTTGGGAGGCCCATGTCTTTCCATATAAATTTTGGAATAACCTTCTCTCCATCTTCAGAAAGTTTCCTAGGATTTTTACAGAAATTGCATTAAACCTATAGATCAATTTGGGAAGAATCAACATTTCTGTTATGTTGACTCTTCCAAAATATAATATAGTACGTCTTTCCATTTATTTAGGTTGTCTTTAATTTTTTTAACCAGTATTTTGTAGTTTTCAGCACACAGATCTTGTACATGTTTTGTTGAACATATACCTAAGTATTTTGTTTTCTTTAGAGCAATCAAATGGTATTGCATTTCATTTTATTTTTATTACAGCAATGCCAGCCTAAGAAGGTATTGCATTTTAAAATTCAGTTTCTTCCTTTTTTTCTTTTTTAGACGGAGTCTTGCTCTGTCGCCCAGGCTGGAGTGCAGTGGTGCAATCTCCGCTCACTGCAAGTTCCACCTCCCAGGTTCACGCCATTCTCCTGCCTCAGCCTCCCTAGTAGCTGGTACTACAGGTGCCCGCCACCAGGCCCGGCCAATTTTTTTTGTATTTTTTAGTAGAGACGGGTTTCACCCTGTTAGCCAGGTTGGTGTCGATCTCCTGACCTCATGATCTGCCCCCTTCGGCCTCCCAGAGTGCTAGGATTACAGGTGTGAGCCACCACGCTTGGCTTAAAATTCAGTTTCTATGTGTTCACCGTTAGTACACCGAAATGTGATTGATATTTGTGTTGATCTTGTATCCTGTGACCTTGCTTAACTCACTTAGTTCTGGCAGATTTTTTTTTTCTGTAGAATTCTTGGCATTTTCTATGTTGATAATGATGTCATCTGCAAACAGTTTTATTTCTTCTTCTGTTCTTTTTTTTTTTTTTTTTTGAGACAGAGTCTCGCTCTGTTGCCCAGGCTGGAGTGCAGTTGTGTGATCTTGGCTCACTGCTAACTCCGCCTCCCAGGTTCACACCATTCTCCTGCTCAGCCTCCCAAGTAGCTTGGGACTACAGGCGCCCGCCACCACGCCTGGCTAATTTTTTTTTATTTTTAGTAGAGACGGGGTTTCACTGTGTTAGCCAGGCTGGTCTCGATCTCCTGACCTTGTGATCAGCCCGCCTTGGCCTCCCAAAGTGCTGGAATTACAGGCGTGAGCCACCGTGCCGGGCCTCTTCTTCTGTTCTGATATGTATGTCCTTTCTCTTTTCCTCCCTCCCTCTCTTCCTTCCTTCCTTTCTTCTTTCTCTCTCTTTCTTCTTTCTTTCTTTCTCTCTCTTTTTTTTTCTTGCTTACTGCAGGGGCTAGAACTTTCAGTACTATGTTGAATAAGAGTGATGAGAGCTGACATCCTTGCCTTGTTCCTAATCTTAGAGCAAAAGCATTCAGTCTTTCACAATGAAATGCGATCTTAGCTGTAGGATTTTTTTTTTTTTTTTTTTGAGACAGGGTCATTCTCTGTTGCCGACCTTGGAGAGCAGTGCCGTAATCGTGGCTCACTGCTGCCTCAGCCTCCCAAGAAGCTGGTACTACAGGTGTGCACCACCACACCTGTATAATTTTGTTTATGTTTTATAGAGACAGGTCTCACTTTGTTGCCCAGGCTTGCTGTAGGTTTTTGTAGATGCTCTTGATCAAGTTGAGATAAATCTCTGCATTTCTAACTTGCTGACACTTTTTTTAAAATCATGAATAGATATTAGATTTTGTTAAATGCTTTCTTTGTGATATGTTTATGTGACTTTTCTTCTTTAGCTTGTTGATATGGTAGATTAATTACATTAATTGATTTCTAATGTTGAGCTGGGCTTGCATGCC
The DNA here is from genome assembly GCF_000001405.40 of Homo sapiens. Taxonomy (NCBI): domain Eukaryota; kingdom Metazoa; phylum Chordata; class Mammalia; order Primates; family Hominidae; genus Homo; species Homo sapiens. The sequence continues at coordinate 15,341,696 of NC_000009.12, forward strand.
TGGACTAAATCCCACTTGGTTGTAGTGAATAATTCTTCTTATACATTGTTGGTCCACATACCTTTAAAATTGAGAAACTTGTGTGTCGTGCTGAACATTTCCCTCTCCCTCTCCCTCTCCCCAACATTGCCATTGCCATGACTTTTACCCCCATTACCCTCTAGTCAAAGCCTCTACCCCCATTCACCTGTTCTACTTCAACAGCCTCCTGCTCCCCCTGCATTAATTTTTGCTTGCCTCTAGCCATTCTCCACACAGTCAAGGGTATTTTCAAAACACAAATCCAATTCTGATGCTTCTTTTCTTAAAATCCTTCAATGTTTTCATGCCACTTTTAGGTTAAAGGCTCACAACTTTAATGTGGCCTACAAGCCCCAGGGTGATGTGACCCCGCTCCGCCTCTTAAGCCTGCTAAGCCCCACTCTGTGCATCTGCATGTGCACCTTCTTGATTCCCTCAGCATCACCTGCCATCCACCTTGGAGCCTTTGTGTGTGCGATGCCCAAACACTCCTGCCCTGCTCCTTCGTCAGGATGAATCCTTCAACTGACAAATTGCTTTCCCAGGAAAACGCTCCTGGACCATCTAGCTTGGTCAGGTCCAAGTATTTATCATAGTTTCCTAATACTTAGCATAGCTTCATAGTATTTAGCATAGCTTGTGGGTTATGCTTATTTGTATGGTTATTTGATTAGTAGTAGTTTCTCCTGAGACTGTAAAAGCTTCATCAGTGCAGGGACTATATCTGTTTTGCTCAACAAATGTATTTTGAATTAGCAAATGGAATCAACTGTCCTACTTAGTTAGTTCATCAATATGTGTTTACTGACCATCATATATACCTTATCACGTATATTAGGCCATTCTGGCACTGCTGTAAAGGAATATCTGGCCAGGCGCAGTGGCTCACACCTGTAATCTCAACACTTTGGGAGACCAAGGCAGGAGAATCACTTGAACCCAGAAGTTTGAGACCAGCCATAGTGAGACCCTGTCTCTATAAAACATTTAAAAATTAACTGGACTTGGTGGCACATGCCTGTAGTCCCAGCTACTCAGGAGGCTAAGGTGGGAGGATTGCTTAAGCTGGAGAGTTTGAAGCTACAGTGAGCCATGATCACGCCACTACACTCCAGCCTGGGCAACAGAGTGAGACTCTGTCGCAAAACAAAAAAAGAAAACAAAAAAAAACAAAGGAATACCTGAGACTGGGTAAGTTATAAAGACAAAAGTTTTAATTGGCTCACGGTTCTTCAGGCTTTACAGGAAGCATAGTGCTAGCATCTGCTTAGCTTCTGGGGAGGCCTCAGGGAGCTGCCAATCATGGTGGAAGGCAAAGAGGGAGCAGGCACATCATACGGCCAGAGTAGGAGGAAGAGAGGGAGAGTGAGAGGTGCCACACACTTTTAAACAACCAGATCTCGTGTGAACTCTCTCAGCACCAAGTAGATGGCAGTAAGCCATTCATGAAGGACACACCCTCATGATACAAACATCTCCCACCAGGCCCCACTTCCAACAACAGACATTACATTTCTTTTTTTTTTTTTTTTTTGCGAAGGACTTTAGCTCTTTTTGCCCAGGCTGGAGTGCAATGGCGTCATCTCGGCTCACCACAACCTCTTCCTCCTGGGTTCAAGCAATTCTCCTTCCTTAGCCTCCCGAATAGCTGGGATTACAGACGCCTGCCACCGCACCAGACTAATTTTTTGTATTTTTAGTAGAAATGGGGTTTCTCCGTCTCTACTAAACCCAGCCACAGGCTGGTCTCGAACTCCTGACCTCTGGTGATCCTACCTGCCTCAGCCTCCCAAAGTGCTGGGATTACAGGCATGAGCCACTGCGCCCAGCCCAAGATTACATTTCAACACGAGATTTGGCAAAGACACACAGATCCAAATCATATAATCAGGAGAACAATAACTAAGGAGAGTGAAAACAAGGGAGCACAAGAGAGCAAGAGAGAGAAAAAAAAAAGAGAGAACAAATGCTTACTAGGTACTATTACATATACGCGAAACAATCCTGTGCACTATGTCATATAATTTTATTAGGTATAAGGATATTTTCTGCTAATTTAATTGGTAAAAGAATTACTAAGTAGCTACAGTGGTCAAAGTCATCTCTGGGTGGTAGGATTCAAAGTAATTTTTATTTTCTTCTTTTTATTTTTTTTTTGTTTTTTATTTTTTTTTTTTTTTGAGACAAGGTCTCACTGTGTTGCCCAGGCTGGTCTTGAACTTCTGGGATCAAGTGATTCTCCCACCCCAGCTTCCCAAGAATGGGAGCCACCTTTGCAAAAATGATAGCAGTGAGAGAAATCTAACATAACTGATTCCATCTTGCTTCTAACTTCACAAGCTAACTGTGCTTGCTCATTCCCAGGCATAGGCCAAGCTAATTATGGGAAGAATTTAATTTATAGCTTAACCGTAGAGCAAGGATGATGACAGCCCTTCCTAAAATTACCCTGCTCCTTGTTCAGAGACTGAAACTGCCCTTTGTAAAGCTAATGAAAGGCTATAAGGTTAGAATTATGGTAGAGGCCTGAATTCTGCTAAGCCCTAGGCATAGTAAAATAGTAACTAGTCATTGTCTCCTAACTTATGTAAGTAGAAGTCATGTAGCCAGAGGTCACAAGATTTGTAACTTCTCTAATGGCCCCTATAGATAACATCACTGCTGTTAAACCTGAGACTGGTGTTTGCAATATTTTTCAGATTTTGCATTCTGGTGGGCTAACACATCTGGACTCACGACCCACACAAAGGAAATGACCTAACTGGCTCCCCACTCAGAAACTGACTTAGTCCATGAAGACAATTTCGAACCCCTATGATTTCATCCCTAACCCAAACAATCAGTCAGCATTCTCCATTCCCTAGTCCCCTGCCCACCAAACTATCCTTGAAAAACCTTAGCCTCCGAACTCTTAGGGAGGCAGACTTGAAAAACATCTCCTGTTTTCCTAGCTTGGCTAGCCTTGCTATTATTAGACTCTTTCTCCACTGCAACTCCTACTGTTCTTAGTGTCTTGGCTTTTCTGGGCAGTGGGCAAGAAGAACCCAGTTGGAGTATTACAGTCGCTGGGACAACAGGCATGTGTCACCACACCCAGCCTTCTTTAATTTGTAAGATGAACACATATTATTAGTTTATTAACGAAAAAACTATAGAGCACTCTTGAAAAATGTTCACACTTCATTCACCTTTCTTCAAAATACATAAACAAAACAAAATTTAAAAGATATAACAGGCTTGGCGCGGTGGCTCATGCCTGTAACCCAGCACTTTGGGAGGCCGAGATGGGCGGATCACCTGAGGTCGGGAGTTCGAGACCAGCCTGACCAACATGGAGAAACCCCGTCTCTACTAAAAATACAAAGTTAGCCAGGCATGGTGGTGCATGCCTGTAATCCCAGCTTCTTGGGAGGCTGAGGCAGAAGAATCACTTGAACCCGGGAGGAGGAGGTTGCGGTGAGCCGAGATCGCGCCATTGCACTCTAGCCTGGGCAACAAAAGGGTAACTCCATTAAAAAAAAAAAAAAAAAAAAGTTATAACAAAAAATTATATTATTAAATGTTAGTTCTTGAAATAATGATAGGCTATTAAGAATTTATATTTCTAACGATCATTTGTGTCAAAAATACTATATTATGCTTGAATTATATTGTATAAAATCCTAACACCATATTACAATTCAGAAACACCAGAAGAATACACACACACCAAACACACACACAAACACACACACACACACACACACACACCCCCCATGCAATTCATTCTGCTGACTAGGATGAGATTGAATAATAAAGTTGTGAACCAATTATAACACTTAATTTGCACTTTATAATATCTATACTGTGTTCATACTATCTACTTGAATATATATTGTTTTCATATTTTTAAACAAAACTACTTTTCAAAAATGCATTTGGAGATAATTTTTTAGAAAAAAACAAATGAGTCCGGGCGCACTGGCTCATGCCTGTAATCCTAACACATTGAGAGGGTGAGGCAGGTGGATTGCCTGAGCTCAGTAGTTCCAGACCAGTCTGGGCAACACAGTGAAACCCCATCTCTACTAAAATACAAAAAATTAGCTAGGCGTGGTGGCGTGCGCCTGTAGTCCCAGCTACTCGGGAGGCTGAGGCAGGAGAATTGCTTGAACCCGGGAGGTGGAGGTTGCAGTGAGCTAAGATTGCGCCACTGCACTCCAGCCTGGGCGACAGAGTGAGACCCCATCTCAAAAAAAAAAAAAAAAAGAAAGAAAGAAAGAAAAAACAAATAACCTGGATCCCTGTCACCCTCCCCCACACCTCCCCCTTGTTAGCCACATTCATCAACCATCGCAAACACACATAACCACATTGCAGGCTCAAATGGAGCCATTCTATTATTATACATATGCTATAGGGGAGGAAAAGCTTTATCTCTCTATCCTTCTAGGGTCTCCCACTGGGGCCCTGAAAATTAAGCTAATAAAAGACAGATTAACAAGAGAGGCCAGACATGATGGCTCATGCTTGTAATCCCAACACTTTAGGAAGCCAAGCGGGCCTATCACTTGAGCCCAAGAGTTCAAGACCAGCCTGGGCAACATGGTGAAACTCCATCTCTACTAAAAATACAAAAAATTAGCTGGGTGTGGTGGCAGGCGCCTGTAGCCCCAGCTACTCAGAAGTGGGAGAATCACCTGAGTCTAGGAGGTCAAGGCTGCAGTGAGCCAAGATCACACACCTGTACTCCAGCCTGGGTGAGAGTGAGACTCTGTCTCAAAAATAAATAAATAAATAAGAGAAAAGTTTAATTACATATGTATGCAAAGGAGTTTCAGAAAGAAAAGTGACTCAAAGAGGTGGCCAGATAAGTGAGGCTTATTTATCATCTTAGGCTAAACAAATTAAAAGGGGTTTGGGGCTTCTGAGTCGGGGAGGCACATTATGGGAGAGAGAGGAGCGGAAATATGTAATAAATAAAAGTAGTCTGGTTATGCAGCTAAGAGTCTCAGGTGATAAGAGTTGTCTGCCAGAGTACCTTTCTTCCTGGTACAGACATACCTTTACAAATAGAAATTTTCTTTATAAATGTAAATGTATTTTACAAAAGGGGAAATGAATACTCCACTTTCATGCAGTTAGAGGGAGGTAAAGAGCTTTTCTGCATCTGCTGGTTCTCAATTGCCTTTAACTTAAAGTAATGCATATGACAAAGCAGCACACTTTGAGGAGGCATATTCTGGCATCTTTCAATGCCAACCTCAAAAACAGTAAGAAAGTGACTTCTGCTTCCCAGTAAGATGGAGTAACAAGGCCCAGGATGACGGACATGACTGAAAAAATGGTGTGTAAACAATGGTTTTCAGACATTGGACATCAGGCAATGCAAGAAACTATTCCCTGAGTGGTGAGAAACAAACCAAGTGAACCCAGAACTGCCCAAGCTTATTGCCTGGAGAGATTTACCAGGCTGCAGTTTAGGGTGAGGGAAACTAGATGAAGCCCAGCCCAGCTGAATTGAGATGGTGGAAGTTCAGGGAGGCCAAGGCAGCTAGAGTTCACAGGGCACAGTACTGGAGAGGAGAGAGTTGCAGAGACAGATAAATCTGGAGATCTGTGAAAGATCCCTCTCCAGTCCTCAGCTAATTATTTATCAGCACATGAGTGATTAGAGGGAACAGTCCTGGGAGATCACACAGATCTGGTATGTGAATAATTCATCTGCCCAACAGACAGACCAACTCACCGGACATTAAGTGGAGTACTCAGAAGAGTATTCTCTCAGTAGCGGGGCAAAATTAGCCCTTGACCAAATCCTGTTCCAGTCCACTTAGCAAAGCTTAAAAGCAAGATCCAGAAGGATACAGACATTTCCAAGTAACTAACAGTGTCCCAGAACAAAGCTAGAGAATAATTAAAAGAATATTAAAATATACAGCACTCAACAGGATAAAATTCACAATTTCTGGCATTTTATCAAAAAGTACCAGGCATGCAAAGAAGGAGGAAAACATGATTGTGATGGTTAATTCATGTGTCAACTTGATTGGCCACAGGGTGCCCCAATATTTGCTTAAACATTACTCTGAATGTGTCTGTGAGAGTGTTTCCGGATAAATATCAACAATTGAATCTGTAACCTGAGTAAAGAAGATTGATCTCCCCAGTGTGAGTGGGCCTCACCCAATTCAGTGAAGGCCTGAATAGACAACATAGTTGAGTGACGGAGAATTTGCTCTCATGACACGACTGTCATCAAGCAAGAACATCAGTCTTCCCTTGCCTTTGGGCCCAGACTAGAACTGGAATTTACATCCACCTCTCCTGATTCTCAGGCCTTCAGACTTGGGCTAGAACAATATCGTTGGCTCTCCTGAGTCTCCAGCTTGCCAACTGCAGATCTTGGGACTCTTCTCTGCCTCTCTAAGTGTGTGGGCCAATTCCATAAAGAAATAAATCTCCTGTTTTAGCCGGGTGTGGTGGCACGCACCTGTAATCCCAGCTGCTCAGGAGGCTGAGGGAGGAGAATCGCTTGAACCTGGTAGACGGAGGTTGCAGTGAGCCGAGACCGTGCCATGGCACTCTAGCCTAGGCGACAGAGCGAGACTCCGTCTCAATAAATAAATAAATAAATATCCTGTTGATTCATTCTTTTTCTTTTGAGATGGAGTCTCACTCTGTCGCCTAGGCTGGAATGCAGTGGCATGATCTCGGCTCGTTGCAACCTCCGCTTCCCTGGTTCAAGTGATTCTCCTGCTTCAGCCTCCTGAGTAGCCGGAATTACAGGCCCACGCCACCACACCTGGCTAATTCTTGTATTTTTAGTAGAGATGGGGTTTGCCATGTTGGCCAAGCTGGTCTCCAACTCCTGACCTCAAGTGATCCACCCGCCTCAGCCTCCCAAAGTGCTGGGATTACAGGCGTGAGCCACCACTCCTGGCCTCCTGTTGATTCTTTCTCAGCAGTACCCTGATTAATAATAAAAAAGTTAAATGTATTATTATCACTTCTATTTTATGTAAAGAAGAAATTGAGGCCACTAGAGATGTAACTGGTCCCAAATCAGACAGCTAATACATGGTGAAGGGAGGACTTGAACCCTGATTTTGGGTTTCTACATTCTGTGTCCCGCCCACACTCACTGTCATCCCTGGTTGAGTGTGATTGTGCAGCTCTCATGCTCTGGCCCTCCCTTTTTTTGGCACTGCATTATACGTTGCATCTATTGCAACTTCATATTGTAGTTTCATGGAATTATTATTATTGTCATTATTTTTAGAGACGGGGTCTTGCTGTGTTGCCTGTGCTGGAATGCAGTGGCTATTCATAGGCACAATCATAGCACGCTGCAGCCTCGAACTCCTGGCCTCAAGTGATCCTCCTGCCTCAGCTTCCCAAGTAGCTTGGACTACAGGTGTGCACCACAGTGCCCAGCTTTCATAGCGTTATTCTTAAATCCCCACCTGGCCTGCAAAGCTGAGAAGAAAGTACATGACTTCCGGAGTTAGACAGCCTTAGGTTTTAATCCTAGCTCCCTCGCCACTTGCTCATTTTAAGACCTTGGGCAATAACAAGAATCTCCAGTGTTTATTGAATGCTTAGTATGTTCAGTGATGCTAAGAGCTTAATATGTATTAATTTCCTCTAACCTACACAACAACTCAAGGAGGTAAAAACAATTAATATTCCCATTTTGTGGAAGAGGAAATTAAGAGAATCCATTTTCTCTCTCTCTTTTTTTTTTTTTTTTTTTTGAGATGGAGTTTTGCTCTTGTCACCCAGCCTGGAGTGCAATGGCACAATCTCAGCTCACTGCAACCTCTGCCTCCGGGGTTCAAGCGATTCTCCTGCCTCAGCCTCCCAAGTAGCTGGGATTACAGGCACGGGCTACCACGCCTGCTAATTTTTGTATTTTCAGTAGAGACAGGATTTCACCATGTTGGCCAAGCTGGTCTCCAACTCCTGACCTCAGGTGATCCATCCACCTTGGCCTCCCAAAGTGTTGGGATTACAGGCAGGAGCCACCACACCTGGCCGAGAATCCATTTTTTGTGTGACAACAGTCACATCTAATTTACTAGGCTATCATGAGGATTACATGAGATAACACATAGAAAGTGTCTAGAGGGTAAGAGTGGCTTTGCAACTCTTCCTCCCCTCCCTGTCACCTCCTCCACTGAGGGCAAGGACCACATCTCTGCTGCCTCTGCTTTCCCTAGTAAAGGGCAGGGGTGAGCAAGTAACAGGGGCACCAGAAATGTTATCAATGATCAATTTGAAGATTGGAACTCCCCTCGCATTTGACCTTAATTCCTCTTTCACCAAAAACACCAAACATATAGATGTCATTTGCTCTGCCTGCCACTATCCACCCAACAAATACAGCTCATGGAGCAGCTAAACTTTGCTGGTAATAACAACCACTTGATATGTTCCACCATCATGTTCTGAAACCAACTGACTAAGGAAAACATACCTGGACTGAATAATGACCACCTGCACGTTGGGTGTAACTCAGCACTTTGCTGACTGTTGTATGCCACTTTGGCTACACAAAGAATCACCCAGGATCTCTCTGAAAATACTGACGCCTGGCTCCACGCCAGAAATCATGATTCATTCAATCTGAAGTGATGCCCAGGCATTAAAAATGCTTAAGTTCTAGAGATGACTCTAATGTGTCACCAGGATTACAAATAGTTGATTTACCTATATACATGAAAGGGAAATTAATTTTAGCCATTCTAATTATTATTTAGGATGGCAAATCTGTCTCTTTGCATGTGTTATTCAGACTATAACCAAATATTATAGCATGGTGCAGTAACCATACAAGGAAACTAAAAAAAAAAATTATGGTATAGACTGAGATCAGCAAATACATGGCTGCCCCTCCCTGTGTCCACAATTGCAACACTCATCTGAGTCCTGGTCTTGCATCCTTTCCCAAGAGAGCATCTTGGTGGTCACACGAGATGGAGCTTAATCTTGCACAAGGTATACACACACTTAAAAAGCTATTACGGCCAGGCACAGTGGCTCGCACCTGTAATCCCAGCACTTTGGGAGGCTGAGGCGGGCGGATCACCTGAGGTCAGGAGTTCGAGACCAGCCTGGTCAACATGGCGAAACCCCGTCTCTACTAAAAATACAAAAATTAGCTGGGCATGGTGGCGCATGCCTGTAATCCCAGCTACTGGGGAGGCTGAGGCAGGAGAATCGTTTGAAACTGGGAGGTGGAGGCTACAGTGAGCTGACATTGCTCCATTGCACTCCAGCTTGGGCAACGAGAGTGAAACTCCATCTCAAATAAATAAATAAATAAATAAATAAATAAAAAGCTATTACCAGACAGTATTTACTGTATTTATTCAATAAATATTGATCAAGAACCTACTATATGCCAGGACCTGCGTTAGCTACCAGCAATACGAAGATGGATAACATGTGGTTCCTGGCCTCAAAGAACTCAGTCTGTTGGAGGAGAGAGGATGTGGTAAGTGCTTTGTAGAATATGTACACAATGCTGTTAAAACAAAGAGAACAAATCAACTATTCATGCCTGGGAGAATCAGGAAAGATGACAAGAATTGTCAACTGTGTTGGATCATAAGGGATTGAGTAGGAATTCACAAGGCCCCATTCAACTGAACCAGTATTCTAGTGAAGGATTAGCATGTATGACTGCAGTAATATGAAATAGCTGCTGTGTTTAGTCTACAAGTGGTGTTAATAGTGTGACTGTGGCCAAAGATGAGCATGAGGGATTGACAGAAAGTCAGGCTGGAAAAAGAAGTATCAGGGACTTTGCATGGCATTTTGGTGTTCAGGTGACAGTTAAGACTGTCCAGTGAAATTTCTGTGATGATGGAAATTAAGGGGGTAGTTCAAGCAAGAAAGAGTATAGGAATTCCAAGAGTGAACCTAAACTCAAAGGGAAGGTCTTGCACTTACATCAAAAGTTTGGGAAATCAACATACTTGCATGTTTTGATCTAGATAAAATTCTTTTTTTGTTTTTTTGTTTGTTTGTTTTTTTGAGACGGAGTCTCGCTCTGTCGCCCAGGCTGGAGTGCAGTGGCTCGATCTCGGCTCACTGCAAGCTCCGCCTCCCGGGTTCACGCCATTCTCCTGCCTCAGCCTCCCGAGTAGCTGGGACTACAGGTGCCTGCCACCATGCCAGGCTAATTTTTTTTGTATTTTTAGTAGAGACGGGGTTTCACCATGTTAGCCAGGATGGTCTCAATCTCCTGACCTCATGATCCGCCTGACTTGGCCTCCCAAAGTGCTGGGATTACAGGCGTGAGCCACTGTGCCCGGCCCTGATATAGATAAAATTCTTAAATTCCACTTGTCTTTTAAAAAATAATTATTCCCAATTCTCACAAAGTTTTTGTCTTCATAGACCAATCACCAATCCATACAGCTTCATTTCAGTGCCACAGCTAAGGATGTGAAGATACTGTTTATGCCACGACGTTTACTCAGCAATACAATTCACCAGTACTTAAAGGAAAGTTGCTACTTCCACCCACCATTAATAACTCACTTTTTTTCTTTATCGTCCCACTTTTTTTATTTACTTTTAAAAAATGTTTTAAATTTTAATATATTTAAGAGATACAAGTACAGATTTCTTACAGGCTTGTACTGCATTATGGTGAAGTCTGGGCTGCTAGTGGACCCATCACCCAAATAGTGAACATTGTCCCCAATAGCTAATCTACAACCCTTACCCCACTTCCACCTAAATAACTCACTTCTGGTCCACTCTTTTCAACCGTGTGTTCACTACTTAGCCTATGTTGGTTTCAAATTTCCCAACCACCAACGTTGATCCTTGTTTCCAGTATTTGTCTTTGCTAGTGCTTTGGCCTCAGTGCTCAATCCTGTTTTTCCAGCTGCAAACTCAACTTTATAGTCAATTTCTCCACCTCGCTGTGTAGTCATAGGAAAACAATCTTCCTACTTTGGATGGGTCTGAGAACCACCTATCTCAGGGCCCCCTTTACCTGTGATCATCCCACCAGGCTGGCTTCAGTTTCTTAAGAAGGTCAGAGAGAGCAAGAAAGGGAATCTAGACCAAAGCCTAGGACACCTGAGAGGAAACACTGAAGGACAGATTTTGGGAGGAAGATAATGAGTTCAGTTTTAGGTGTGTTCTTTTAAAAATGTTTCTGTACCATTCAAGTTGAAGCTACCTTTGCAAAAATTATAACAGTGAGAAAATTATGACAGTGCAAGTGATCTGACCTCACCAATTCCATCTTGCTTCTAACCTCTAAGCTGCCCTTGTTCATTCCTGGGCATAGTAGTGTATTGTTGAACCTTGAAATAAAGATGATAGATAATAACCCTTTCCTGGAACAAATCCTCTTCTTGCCTGGGGATCAGACTGCCTTTGTAATGAGAGAAGAGAGACAGACCCTCTCATATTGTTTTATATTGTTCTATCCTCAGAAAAGGAAAGAGAACCAAAACTAAAGGCGGGTAGCCTGGCGCCTAGGAACCAGACCCAAAACCAAGGAACCAGACCCAAAACCAGGCCTGGGCCTGCCTGACCTAAGCCTGGTAGTTAAAATTCGACCCCTGGCCCAGCAACTGATGTTATCTATAGATTATAGAAAGACACTGTAAAACTTCCCGGTCCGTTCTGTTTCACTCTGATCACCGGTGCATGCAGTCCCTGTCACATACCCCCTGCTTGTTCAACCGATCACGACCCTCTCATGCGGACCCCGTTAGAGTTGTGAGCCCTTAAAAGGGACAGAAATTGTTCACTCGGGGAGCTCGGCTCTTGAGACAGGAGTCCTGCCGATGCTCCCGGCCGAATAAACCTCTTCCTTCTTTAACTCGGTGTCTGAGGATTTTTGCCTGCAGCTTGTCCTGCTACAGTAAGACTAATTAACCACAAGATTAGAAGTTATGGTTTATGGCCGGGCATGGTGGCTCACGCCTGTAATCCCAGCACTTTGGGAGGCCGAGGTGGGTGGATCGCATGGTCAGGAGATGGAGACCAGCCTGACCAATATGGTGAAACCCCGTCTCTACCAAAACTACGAAAATGAGTAGGGCGTGGGGTGGGCGCCTGTAGTCCCAGCTACTCGGGAGGCTGAGGCAGGAGAATCGCTTGAACCTGGAAGATGGAGGTTGCAGTGAGCAGAGATTGCGCCACTGCACTCCAGCCTGGGCGACAGAGCAAGATTTGGTCTCAAAAAAAAAAAAAAAGAAGTTATGGTTTAGAAGTCATGCAGCTAGAGGCCACAAGATTCTGAACTTCCCCAGTTGCTCCTAGGGATAACATCACTATTGTAAAACTTAAGACTAGTGCTTTGAGACCTTTCCTACTGATGCACCAGCTGCAGCCACTCAGACCGGTAATCTAGGTCAACGAGTTCTGCAATCCCATCCAGGAACGGAAGGCAGCAAAAAGAACCCATCTTGATCCCCTATGATTTCATCTCCCACTTGACCAGTCAATACTCCCCCACTCCCTGGCTCCCCTACCTGCCAAATTATCTTTTTTTTTTCTTTTTGAGATGGATTCTGGCTCTCTTGCCCAGGCTGGAGTGCTATGGTGCCATCTCGGCTAACTGCAACCTCTGCCTGCTGAGTCCAAGCGATTCTCCTGCCTCAGCCTCCCAAGTAACTGGGATTACAGACACCCACCACCACACTCAGCTAATTTTTGTATTTTTAGTAGAGACGGGGTTTCACCATGTTGGCCAGGCTGGTCACGAACTCCTGACCTCAGGTGATCCACCCGCCTCAGCCTCCCAAAGTGCTGAGATTACAGGTGTGAGCTGCCACACCCAGCCAAGAGTTTATATTTTATATTTTACATATAAGTTCATGGCTCATTCCATGTTAGTTTTTGTATTGAGTTTTAAGTCAAGTTTCATTGTCTGATCATGACATATCATAAGATACTTGAAGAGATTTATTCTGAGCCAAATATGAGTGACCACGGCCCATGACACAGCCCTCAGGAGGTCCTGAGAACATGGGCCCAAGGTGGTCAAGGTGCAACATGGTTTTATACATTTTAGGGAGGCATGAGACATCAACCAAATACATTTAAGTATTACATTGGTTTGGTCCAGAAAGGCAAGACAACTCAAAGGGGGTGGCGGACAGTGGGGGAGTTCTAGTTAAACATTTTCTGGTTGACAATTGGTCGAGTTTGTCTAAAGACCTGGGATCAATAGAAAGGAAATGTTCAGCTTAAGATAAAAGATTGCGGAGACCAAGGTTCTTTTGAAGTCTCATAGTGGCTGCCTTTAGAGACAACAGATGACAAATGTTTCCTGTTCAGACCTTTAAGTGGTGCTAGACTCTCAGTTAATCTCTTCAGGATTGGGAGGGCCTAGAAGAAAAAGATCTGGCTATGTTAATAGAGATTCTTTACAGATGCAAATTTTCCCCCACAAAGGGCAGCTTTGCAGGGCCATTTCAAAATGTGGCAAAGAAACACGTTTTCAGGTAAAATATTTTGATTTTCTTCTTTGTCACGTAATATTATGCCAAAGTCAGATTGGAAAGTAGTAACAATATATAGGTCTAAACAAAACTCATCTGATGAGAATTTATGGTTTGTAGGGCATGACTCCCCAAACCCCTTAGATAGGGAATTTGGGCAAGATAAGAAAAACAATCTGAGCTTAGTCCTCAGTTTGGATAAGAAAAACAGGACACTTTTGCCATAATAGGAAGAAGCGAAAGATAAGTTTTAGAGATGTTGCTCCTAAGAAGCAAGCATGGTTTCACACCCTTTACTAAATGAATTTAAGGGTTGATGTTTCACTTTTATTAAGAAATGTCCTAAGTTGGCTAAACATACGTTTGACAAGCTAAGTCAAACTCAAATTTCTCCTGACTTGCTTTCAGGTTTACAGGCACAATGAGTACAGGGCTCACACCATTAGTACTCAATAGACATTTAATCTTGCATTTGGGAAGCTCCTGGTTAGTAATTACAGAATGAATGAAAGAATAAATCTGTACAACAAACCCCCAGGACACAAGTTTACCTATGTAACAAATCTGCCCTTGTACCCCTGTAAATCAAAAATAAAATTCTAAGACCCTCCCCTCGCCCCAGCCATCTGAATGCACTACCTCCTCCGCGTGAAAATTTAACCTGAAGGACTGGCTCAGGCCATGGCTGGAAGTGAGGGTCAGACAGGCCTCATTATACCTCCCTGGCATTAACATCAACACAGGCCTTAAGTCTGATAAGAAGCATTTGCAATCTATTCTCTCTGGAGCCTGCTACCTGAAGGCTTCGTCTGCACAATAAAAACTTTGGTCTCCACAATTCCTCATCTTTTTTTTTTTTTCGTTTCGCTCTTTTTGCTGAGGCTGGAGTGTAATGGCGCGATCTCGGCTCACCGCAGCCTCCGCCTCCCAGGCTCAAGCGAATCTCCTGCCTCAGCCTCTTGAGTAGCTAAGATTATAGGCATGCACCACCACGTCCAGCTAATTTTGTATTTTTAGTAGAGACAGGGTTTCTCCATGTTGGTCAGGCTGGTCTCAAACTCCCAAGGTGATCCGCCCACCTCGGCCTCTCAAAGTGCTGGGATTACAGGCGTGAGCCACCGCGCCCAGCCCACAATTCTTTATTTTAACCAGAATATTTCCTTTCTATTGATCCCAGGTCTTTAGATAAACTCAACCAATTGTCAGCCAGAAAAATTTTAAATTTACCTGTAACCAGAAAGCCCCACCCTTCAAGTTGTCTCGCCTTTCTGAACTAAACCAATGTGTTACTTGAATGTATTTGATTGAAGTCTCATGTCTCCCTAAAATGTATAAAACTGGGCAGTACCCCGACCACCTTGGACACATGTTCTCAGGACCTCCTGATGGCTGTGTTATGGGCCATCGTCACTCATATTTGGCTCAGAATAAATCTCTTCAAATATTTTACAGAGTTTGACTCTTTTTGTCAATACCCCCGAACTTAAAATAAACGTTAAAAAAAAAAGAAAAAAAGAAAAGAAAGGATAAATTAATGCAGAAAAAACACCTTTTAACTTGCCCAGGGAATATATGCACTAATGGCAGGAAGTCAAAAGATAAACCTTTCCAAATTAAAAAGATGTACTGTAACCAACTCCACATGCTTATTTCTCTCATTATTACCTCTAAAAACTGAAGGAACCAGTGTTTTATTAACTTCCTAAAAGCCTTGAGGAGTCTTTTAAATGTTAAAAGGCCAAGACCCATTAAGTATTAGTAGATCATTTCTTAATATAAACTAATAAGTAACACAATGCAATAGGACTATCTACTGAACTTAATAGCCATGCTAACACTTTGCTACTTGGTTCACCTGCGAAAAATTCAGGAATATAATGTAAAATTAGTTACAGAGGGATTTTTATTTAGTCATTTTTCTTCTTCCTCTTTTTTTTTTTTTTTTTTTTGAGACCAGTCTCACTCTGTCATCCAGGCTGCAGTTGCGGTGGTAAAACCATAGCTCACTGCCGCCTCCACTGGGCCCAGGTGATCTTTTTGCCTCAGCCTGGCAATTAGCTGGGACTACAGGCATTGCGCCACCACGCTCAACTAATGCAGAAGGATTTTAAAACAAACTTTTTCATATTTTTTTGCTCTGACTATGTCCTTTAGTTACTCTCTAGTTTGGTTCAGATTCTCCCAGTCATTGGTCTCATACAGCCAAATAGAGCAAGAACTTAACTTACAAGGTAATAAGAGGTCATATTCAACAGAAAACCCAATCCACCTGTTCTCAGTTGACCTAGGTTGCTACTATGGAAACAGATAAACCCACAGATACAAATAAACCACTGTGCTCTACTCAAGAATAAGAACCCCCCTACAATTCCTTTTGCTGAGACTCTTTTCTGATTTAATGTATTAAAATGTCACTATCAAGTGAATGTAATGTTGTTCTTGTCTTATTAGCTTTTTAAAAATTAAAATAACAATTGTTCTTATTACAAAATCAATACTTTGCATTACAGAGAAATCTGAAAATGCAAGATATTCAAAGAAACGAAAATTACAGCAGGTAATTGGGCTTCCTGTTAATAGGTCAGTTGGGACTTCAGTGATTAAATAAAAAAAAAAAGAGAGAAAAACATCTAGAGATAATTACTTTTACACTCAGTATATGTAAGTGATTTGCAAATTTTTCAAACTTGCAAAACTTCTTTAAATGAATCTTATGTAGGTTATCAATATGTAAAACATACAATTAGGAGGTGGATGCCTGAAAACGCAACAGTTTGGTCTGCAAACACCCGCCAAGTTGAGTCCCGAAGCACCTTCTTGGCACCTCACAGTTCTTCAGAATGAAGTTTAAAATCCACTGGGATCTATTATTCTAGAAATTTTTCCTATGAATAATATTCCTATGTATCACTTTATAAAAAGATCATACAATGTATGCATTTTTACAGAGGGGAATACTATTTTCACTGCACAATATTACAATTCATAAACAGCTTTCCCACATCAAGATATTCCCTTCTAAGGGTCACTAAGGGTAAACCTCTTTGTCCTTAGTCAGGTCATAATTTTTTTTTTTTTTTTTTGAGATAAGATCTCACTGTCACCCAGGCTGGAGCACAGTGAGGAGATCACAGCTCACTGCAGCCTCAACCTCCCGTGCTCAAGGGATCCTCCCACCTCAGCCTCCCCAGTAGTTTTTGTTTTGGGGGTTTTTTGTTGTGTTTTGTTTTCATTGCCCAGGCTGGAGTGCAGTGGCATGAACACCGCCCACCACAGCCTCAACCTCCTGGGCTCAAGTGATCCTCCTGTCTCAGCCTCCCAAGTAGCTGGAACTATGTGCTCATGCAGTCACGCCTGGCTAGTGGTTTTGTTTTTTGATTTTATGTTTTTTGTAGAGACGGTATCTCGCCAAGTTGCCCTGGCTACTTTCAAACTCCTGTGCTTAAGCAATTCTCCCTCCTTGGCTTCTCAAAGTGCTGGAATTACAGTAGTCAGCCACCTCTTCTTGTCTAAATTTTTAACATTTAGTTTTAATAGTAAACACTGTTACTTGTTCATATGCCCTTCCTATCTCCTTGGTGGTTAGGGAAAGGCACTATTTTCATCCTTGCTTTAAAATTAACCTATAAACTAAATTCCTCCCATAGTTAACATGGCCTATGTGCAGAGATAAGGAAGGAAGTTAACCTAAAATATATAATTGGGGAGGGTAGCATTAGGAGCAAAATGGAGTTAGTCATGATAGGCCTTTTTTTCACTGTTACAATAACAAATTGTTTCAGTATCATTTATGAAACAATCCACCAATCAATTTACAACACTAACCCTATCACATATAATATTTTCATGCATGTGGATCTGTTTCTAGGCTTTTCCCCATTATTTTAGTCTGTATAATATTGTGCCAATATTATACTTTCTTGATTACTATAGCTTTGAAATAAAACTTGACATCTTGAACTTGGGAGGACAAGTTATCCCATCTTCTTCAAAGATCATTTTGCAAAATTTTGATAGGAAATCAACTGCTCTACTCAGATTCCAGTCTGGAGTTTTGCATTGCATCAAGTGTTGTGAATTGTTTCTACAGAATGTAAGAGAATTGCCTCTTTATTGTCACTGAATGTAATGTTTATAGATAACCTGCAAAATTTTTCTTCCATTTTTCAAAGGATTCCAGTAACAGGAATTTACTGCTCAATTTCTCAGGACAAAAGATTTTTTTTTTTTTTTTTTTTTTTTGAGACAGAGTTTCACCCTGTCGCCCAGGCTGGAGTGCAGTGGCATGATCTCGGCTCACCGCAACTGCCTCCTGGGTTCAAGCAATTCTCCTACCTCAGCCTCCTGAGTAGCTGGGATTACAGGCACACGCCACCACACCCGGCTAATTTTTTTATTTTTAGTAGAGATGGGTGCTGAGACCAGCTCGGTCAGGGAGACCCTAACCCAGCAGCGCTAGAGGAATTAAAGACACACACACAGAAATATAGAGGTGTGAAGTGGGAAATCAGGGGTCTCACAGCCTTCAGAGCTGAGATCCCCAAACAGAGATTTATCCACATATTTATTAACAGCAAGCAGTCATTAGCATTGTTTCTATAGCTATTAGATTGACTAAAAGTATCCCTTATGGGAAAAAAAGGGATGGGCAGAAATAAAGGGATGAGTTTGGCTAGTTATCCGCAGCAGGAGCATGTCCTTAAGGCACAGATCGCTCATGCTGTTGTTTGTGGTTTAAGAACGCCTTTAAGCAGTTTTCCACCCTGGGTGGGCCAGGTATTCCTTGCCCTCATTCCAGGTAAACCCACAACCTTCCAGCGTGGGCGTCATGGCCATCATGAACATGTCACAGTGCTGCAGAGATTTTGTTTATGGCCAGTTTGGGGGCCAGTTTATGGCGAGATTTTGGGGGGCCTATTCCCAACAGATGGGGTTTCACCATGTTGGTCAGGCTGGTCTTGAACTCCAGACCTTGTGATCTGCCCGTCTCAGCCTCCCAAAGTGCTGGCATTACAGGCATGAGCCACCGCGCCCGGCCACACTAAAGACATTTTTAAATTTATTTTTTGCATGAGTTATTCACGTGGTTCAAAAACCAGGAAATATTAAAAGGCATACAGCCTCCCTTCTATATTTGTCCCCATTTGCTCAGTTCCCTCACCTCCATAGGTCATTCCTTTTCTTAGTTTCTTATGTATCTTTCCAGACTTTCTTTATGCATATATAAGCAAACATAAATATAAACCCTTATTTTTCACAATTTTTTCCAAAAACGTGTTCTCCATCTTGTCTTTTTCATGTACAATATATTTTAAGGCTTTTGCATAACAGCACATAGGCGGCTTCTAAACTTTTTTTTATTTCATTTTATTTGACATATGTATATAGGTATTTAATGAATCTGCCACTGATAGACCTTTGGTTGTTTTCTACCCTTTGCTTTTGCAAGTAATGCTGCAATAAGTAACCTCGTACAGATACTTTCTTAAACATATGTAAGAACATCTGTCTCATATATTGCTAGAAGTGAAATTTCTGGGTGAACGGCTGTGCTGGTAATTTTGATAGCTATTACCAAATTCTACCCATAGACATTTTACCAGTTGGACTCCCACCAGCAACATACAAGAATGTCCAGTTCCACACAGACGCATCCATAGAATGTCATTGCTGGTGCTCAGAAAACAATACACCAAAATGAAGGCCTCAAAAGCAAAAGTTCTTTTCTGACCTTCTCCTACCCTCCTATCTCTCAGTCCCATTCTCCCTCAAGACTAGAATTCTAGAAAACTAGAATTCTAGAAACTAGAATCCTTCTTCCCCAAGGTGGGCCATAGAAACCAGTACCCCTTTTCCCCATAGAAACCAGAACCCTTTTTCCCCAATCAGCCATAAAACCTAAAAATCTTACTCTAAGTTTCCATCTGCCTTTCTTTCTAAAATCTGGCCATAAAAAAAATTATCTGACCTACCTTGTTTGACTGTAGGCCCAAAGGCCCCCAATCCAGAGAGATCTTTCCCCATACTCAGAAGGAAGGAATGCATGCTCAGGAAGGCCGAGAAGAATCTAGACAGAGAGGCCTTGCTGGGTTTCCCCACTCATTCTATTAGCATTAGATTAGACCCTTTTTGTCCAATCATTTTTCTACATGGCCGATCATACATTGTTGAACCTAAGCATAAAAATGGGCAGTTTCTCCTCTTTTCTAGCTAGAACCATAGAGGGTGTCGAAGAGAAGCAGCAGCAGCTTCCCGCTGTGTCAGAAACTTAAGAAAAAACAAAGGAATTTCGCAGAACTGAAGATCAAGCGCCTGAGAAAGAAGTTTGCCCAAAAGATATTTTGAAAGGCAAAAAGGAAGCTTATCTATGAAAAAGTGAAGCACTATCACAAGGAATATAGGCAGATGTACAGAACTGAAATTCGAATGGTGAGGATGGCAAGAAAAGCTGGCAACGTCTATGTGCCTGCAGAACCCAAATTGGTGTTTGTCATCAGATTCAGAGGTATCAATGGTGTGAGCACAAAGGTCCGAAAGGTGTTGCAGCTTCTTTGCCTTCATCAAATCTTCAATGGAACCTTTGTGAAGCTCAACAAGGCTTCAACTAACATGCTGTGGATTGTAGAGCCATACATTGCATGGAGGTACCCAAATCTGAAGTCAGTAAATGAACTAATCTACCAGCGTGGTTATGGCAAAATCAGTAAGAAGCAAATTGCTTTGATAGAAAACGCTTTGATTGCTCAATCTCTTGGTAAATATGGCACCATCTGCCTGGAGGATCTGATTCATGAGACCTATACTGTTGGAAAATGCTTCAAAGAAGCAAATAGCTTCCTGTGGCCCTTCAAATTATCTTCTCCAAGAAGTGGAATGAAGAAACTGACCATCTATTTTGTAGAAGGTGGAGATGCTGGCAACAGGGAGGACCAGATTAACAGGCTTCTTAGAAGAATGAACTAAGGTGTCTACCATGATTATTTTTCTAATCAGGTCAGTTAATAAACAGTACTTGCTCTCAAACTGAAGAAAAAAAATGAACAATTTCCCCTGTATTTTTTTTTTTTTTTGAGACGAAGTCTCACTCTGCTGCCCAGGCTAGAGTGCAGTGGCGCCATCTCTGCTCACTGCAAGCTCCACCTCCCGGGTTCAAGCTCCCATATAAACATGTTAAATACATTTGCACGCCTTTTATCCAAATAATCTGCCTTTTGCAAGTTAATTTTTCAGCGAAACTTCAGAGGGCTCTTGGCCCCTAAATTGTCCAATCTTAGGATTTTTGCCAACCTTCCAGGTGTACACATTCTTTACTCATTACTTAGCTGTTGTTCTTACAGAGACAGAATATGAGTTGCAAATGTGATTCCCCAGTTCTTTTTATTTTATATACTTCTTTTCCCCGCCTTTTCGTTTTATTTTTGTGCTAGTTTCTGTTTTATATAGTCAAATTTATCAAGCTTTTCTTTTGTGACTTTAGGATTTTAAGGCATAGTTGCAAAGGTCTTCCTAACTGCAAGATTTTAAAGGTATTTCTTCTGCTTCTTTCAAGAACTTTTAAGTTTACAATAATAACTTATGCAAGTAGTGATAGTTTTACCTTCTCCTTTCACAATTTTTATACTCCTAGTCTCTGTCTCTTGTCTAATTGCATTGGCTAAAACCTTCAGCACCTTGTGAAATAATAGCAGTGACGACGGACATCTTTTATCTTATTCCTCACTTTATTGGAAATGTTTATAAATTCTGGCATTAAGCACGATGTTGAGCTGAGATCAATTTATCTTATCATGTTAAGGAAATATCCATCTATATCTACCTAAGTCAATATTTTTATCAAGCATGGTTGTCAAATTTGGCCAAATGTATTTTCAGCATCTATGGAGACCATTTTATGGTTTTTCTTCAGATCTACCCATATGATCAGATATATTAATATATTTCCAATATCAAAATATCTAGACTAAACCTCAGGGCACATTTCATTTCTTCATGCTTTCTGGCCATCTTCTTTTTCTCACCATCTCCTATTTTTGTTCTTTTTGAGACAGAGTCTTGCTTTGTCGCCCAGGCTGGAGTGCAGTGGCACCATCTCGGCTCACTGCAACCTCCTCCTCCTCCCAGATTAAAGCAATTCTCCCGCCTCAGCCTCCTGAGAAGTTGGGACTAGAGACACTATGTTTACATTAAAAAGTCCATATATATATATATATATATATATATATATATATATATATATAACTTTTTTTCATTAAAAGGATGCTCATGGCAGGGCACAGTGTTTCACGCCTGTAATCCCAGCACTTTGGGAGGCCGAGATGGGTGGATCACCTGAGGTCAGGAGTTCGAGACCAGCCTGGCCAACATGGTGAAAAATGCTACTGAAAATACAAAAATTAGCTGGGCATGGTGCTGGGTGCCTGTAAACTCAGCTACTCAGAAGGCTGAGGCAAGAGAATCGCTTGAACCCGGGAGACAGAGGTTTCAGTGAGCCAAGATGGTGCCATTGCACTCCAGCCTGGGCAACAAGAGTGAAACTCCATCTCAAAAAATAAAAAAAGAGATGCTCATATAATTATTTTCATGTTGTTAATGATATGGGGAGGGTAGTAAACAGTAGAGAACTTTTGCTTTCTCTTACAAATGGAAATAAACTTTTTCCTTACTATAAAGTAAAACAGTTTAATTTTTTAAATGCAGACAGTATAAAAAGTGTTGACTCTGTAACCCCACCATGAATAAAGAAGTTATTGCTACTTATAAAACTTTTGTTCTAGGTTTCCAAGTTTTTTTTCTACCCTCATCTCTACTCAAAGTTTTGTTCTAAGTATATACAGTCATCTGTTGGTATCAGTGGGGCTTTGGGTCCAGGACCTTCTCAGACATCAAAATACACAGATGCTTATGTTCCTGATATAAAATGATATAAAATGGCTTAGTATTTGCGCGTAACCTATGCACATCCTCTCGTATACTTTAAATCATCTCTAGATTACTTATAATAACTGATGCAATGTAGAGTTGTGTAAATCATTGTTATATTTCATTGTTTTTTGTTTGTTTGTTTGAGACGGAGTCTCACTTTGCTGCCCAGGCTGGAGTGCAATGGCACTATCTCTGCTCACCGCAACCTCTGCCTCCCGAGTTCAAGTGATTCTCCTGCCTCAGCCTCCCAAGTGGCTGGGATTACAGGCATGTACCACGATGCCCGGCTAATTTTTATATTTTTAGTAGAGATGGGGTTTCACCACGTTGGCCAGGCTAGTCTCAAACGCCTGACCTCAGGTGATCCACCCACAGTGGCCTCCCAAACTGCTGGGATTACAGCATGAGCCATTGTGCCTGGCCAATATACCTTATTGTTTGGGGAATAATAACAAGAAAGAAACATCTGTGATGGGCATGGTGGCTCATGCCTGTAATCCTAGTGTGTCCAGAATTGGTGGGTTCTTGGTCTCGCTGACTTCAAGAATGAAGCTGTGGACCCTTACCATACATAAAGATGGTATGTCCAGAGTTTGTTCCTTCAGATGTTCAGATGTGTCCGGAGTTTCTTCCTTCTGGTGGGTTCGTGGTCTCACTGACTTCAGGAGTGAAGCTGCAGACCTTTGCAGTGAGTGTTACAGCTCTTAAAGGCAGTGCATCTGGAGTTGTTTTTTCCTTCCCATGGGTTCATGGTCTCGCCAGCCTCAGGAGTGAAGCTGCAGACCTTCGCGGTGAGTATCACAGTTCATAAAGGTGGCCCATAGGGAGTTGTTGGTTCCTCCCGTCCGGAGTTGTTCGTCCCTCCCAGTGGGTTCGTGGTCTCGCTGGCTTCAAGAGCGAAGCTGCAGACCTTCACCGTAAAGTGTTACATCTCATAAAGGCGGCGTGGACCCAAAGAGTTAGCAGCAGCAAGATTTATTGCGAAAGGCCAAAGAACAAACCTTCTACAGCGTGGGAGAAGACCTGAGAGTGTTGCTGCTGCTGGTTAGGGTGGCCTGCTTTTATTCCCTTATTTGGCCCCACCCACATCCTGCTGATTGGTCCATTTTACAGAGAGCTGATTGGTCCATTTTACAGAGAGCTTATTTGTCCGTTTTGACAGAGTGCTGATTGGTGTGTTTACAATCCTTTAGCTAGACAGAAAAGTTCTCCAAGTCCCCACCGATTAGCTAGGCACAGAGTGCTGACTGGTGCATTTACAAACCTTTAGCTAGACGCAGAGTGCTGACTGGTGCATTTACAATCCTTTAGCTAGACAGAACTAATTTCTCCAAGTCCCCACCCGATTAGCTAGGCACAGAGCGCTCATTGGTGCATTTACAAACCTTTAGCTAGACAGAAAAGTTCTCCAAGTCCCCACCGGACCCAGAAGCCCAGCCAGCTTCACCTCAGACACCAGCACTTTGGGAGGCCGATGCAGGTGGATCACCTGAGGTCGGGGGGTTCAAGACCAGCCTGACCAACATGGAGAAACCCCGTCTCTACTAGAAATACGAAACTGGCCAGGCGTGGTGGCACATGCCTGTAATCCCAGCTACTCGGGAGGCTGAGGCAGGAGAATCACTTGAACCTGGGAGGCAGAGGTTGCAGTGAGCCGAGATCATGCCATTGTACACCAGCAGCCCGGGCAACAAGAGCAAAACTCCATCTCAAAACAAAAACAAAAACAAAAACAAAAATTCCATCTGTACAATATGTACAGACGGTTTTTTGTTTTGAATATTTTCTATCTGTGCTTTGTTGAATCCATGGATGCAGAACCCATAGATACGGAGGGCTGACTCTACTAACAAATTATAAGCACATTCACATGTATTAAAAAAAAATACAATCATAGCACGTCTTCTGTTTCGTAGCCTGCTTTTCCACTTATATCACGGCCCTCTTTTTATTTCTTTTTTTTTTTTTGAGAGGGCCATGGTGGTTTGCTGTACCTATCAACTCATCAGCTAGGTTTAAGCCCTACATGCATTAGGTATTTGTCCTAATGCTCTCCCTCCCCTTGTTCCCCAGTCCCCGACAGGCCCCTGTGTCTGATGTTCCCCTCCCTGTGTCCATGTGTTCTCATTGTTCGACTTCCACTTATGAGTGAGAACATGCGGTGTTTGGTTCTCTGTTTCTGTGTTAGTTTGCTGAGAATGATGGCTTCCAGCTTCATCCATGTCCCTGCAAAGGACATGAACTCATTCTTTCTAATGGCTGCATGGAATTCCATGGTGTATATGTGCCATATTTTCTTTATCCAGTCTATCATTGGTGGGCAATGATACATATATATACCTATGTAACAAACCTGCATGTTCTGCACATATATTCCAGAACTTAAAGTAAAATAAAAATTTTAAAAAAATTAGCCAAGCATAGTGGCCCAGGCCTGTCTCTCTCTTTTTTTTTTTTTTTTTTTTTTTGAGACAAAGTCTCTCTCTTGTCCCCCAGACTGGAGTGTAATGGCATGACCTCGGCTCACAGCAACCTCCGCCTCTCAGGTTCAGGTGATTCTCCTGCCTCAGCCTCCCGAGTAGCTGGGATTACAGGCATCTGCCACAACACCTGGCTAATTTTTGTATTTTTAGTAGAGACGGGGTTTCACCCTGTTGGCCAGGCTGGTCTCGAACTCCTGACCTCAGGTGATCCGCCCGCCTCAGCCTCCCAAAGTGCTGGGATTACAGGTGTAAGCCACTGTGCCCGGCCAGGACTGTCTCTTAAAAAAAAAGAAACTGCAAATATTGGATGTAATCTTAAATAAATGAGGATTTATACCTATGGGTAATTTCTGTTACCCCAGAAAAAACATTTATTTTACATTTTAGCCATGAAGTACTTATGTCTTTCTGGAAAAGCAGTGATTTGTTAGAACTGATTTCCTTACCAAGTCTTCCAACAGAATAGGTGAGATTATAACAGTGATCATAATATAACTGTTTTTTAAGTCAAGTTCTTTGAAGTATTATTTATATTCAGTAAAACTACCATTTTTAGTATATAAATTTATGAGTTTTGATTAATACATACAGTCATGTAACAGTAATCAAGATATAGAACACTTACACCACCCAAAAAATTCCCTCATGGTCCTTTGGTGGCAATCCCACCCCTACTCCAGCCTCTGGCAACCACTGATCTACTTTCTATCTCTATACTTTTGGCTCTCCCAAAATTCTATTTAAATACACTCATGCAGGCTGGGCATGGTGGCTCATGCCTGTAATCCCAGCACTTTGGGAGGCCGAGCCGAGTGGATCATTTGAGGTCAGGAGTTTGACACCAACCTGGCCAACATGGTGAAACCCCATCTCTACTAAAAATACAAAAGTTAGCCAGTCATGGTGTACACACCTGTAATCCCAGCTACTCGGGAGGCTGAGGCAGGAGAATTGCTTGAAACCAGGAGGTGGATGTTGCAGGAGCTGAGATCACACCACTGCACTCCAGCCTAGGTGACAGAGTGAGACTCCATCTAAAAAATAATAATAATAAATACACTCATGCAGATTTATTTCATTCATTATGCAGGCTTATTTTATTCAGCATGATGCTTTTGAGTTTGATCCAAGTAGTGGTGTATACCAATAGCCTGCCCATTCCTTTTTATCACTGAGTAGTATTCCATCACATGGAAGAACCACAATTTGTTCCTCCATTGAAGGACATGTAGATTGTGTTTCCATCTTGGGTGATTATAAATAAAGCTGGTGTAAACATTAACGTACACATCTTTATGTGACTATAAGTTTTTGTTTTTGTCTTTGTTTTTGTTTTGAGCTGGAGTCTCACTCTGTCGCCCAGGTTGGAATGCAGTGGCACAATCTCTGCTCACCTCAACCTTCACCTCCCAGGTTCAAGAGATTTTCCTGCCCCAGCCTCTCAAGTAGCTGGGACTACAGGCATGTGCCACCATGCCTGGCTAATTTTTAAATTTTTATTTATTATTTATTTATTTATTTATTGAGATGGAGTCTCGCTCTGACGCCAGGCTGGAGTGCAGTGGTGCGATCTCAGCTCACTGCAACCTCACCTCCCAGGTTCAAGTGATTCTCCTGCCTGAGTCTGTCAAGTGGCCAGGACTACAGGCACACACCACCATACCTGGTTAATTTTT
The DNA here is from genome assembly GCF_000001405.40 of Homo sapiens. NCBI lineage: Eukaryota > Metazoa > Chordata > Mammalia > Primates > Hominidae > Homo > Homo sapiens. Next base: position 15,368,258 of record NC_000009.12, read on the forward strand.
GAATTTTTAGTAGAGATGGGGTTTCACCATATTGGCCAGGCTGGTCTCAAACTCCTGACCTCGTGATCTGCCCACCATGGCCTCCCAAAGCTGTGGGATTACAGGCGTGAGCCACCATGCCTGGTATAATTTTTGTATTTTTAGTAAAGACGGGGTTTCCCCATGTTGGTCAGGCTGGTCTTGGACTCCTGACCTCAGGTGATCTGCCCGCCTCAGCCTCTGAAAGTGCTAGTGTTACAGGCATTAGCCACCATGCTCGGCCAAGATCTGATAGTTTTATAAAGGGCAGTCCCTTGCACAGATTCTTTTACCTGCTGCTATGTGGGACATGCCTTTGTCCCTCCTTTGCCTTCTGCCATGATTGTGAGTCCTCCCCAGCCATGTGGAACTGTGAGTCCATTGAACCTCTTTTTCTTTGTAAATTGTCCAGTCTTGGGTATGTCTTTATTAGCAGCATGAGAATGGACTAATACAGAGTTGATGCAGTTTTGAGTCCAAAATCTACCAAGGAGGCCAGGAGCCTGAAAGGTCAGGCAAGGTTTCTGTGTTGCAGTCTTGAGGCAGAACTGCTTCTTATTTGGGGAACCTTAGCTTTTGCTCTCAAGGTCTTCCAATGATTGGATGAGGCCCACCCATCATTAGGTGAGATCATCAGCTTTACTCAAAATCTACTGATCGTAAATGTTAATCACATCTTTAAAATATCTTCATAGCAACATCTATACTGATGCTTGACCAAAAAACTGGGTACTATAACCTAGTGAAATTGACATATAAAATTAACCATCACATATGGGCCAGGCACAGTGGGCTCACACTTGTAATCCCAGCATTTTGGGAGACTGAGAGGGGAGGATGGCTTGAGGTCAGGAGTTCAAGACTAGGCAACATAGTAAGACTCCATAGATACAAAAAAAAAAAAATTAATTAGCTGGACATGGTGGGATGCATCTGTAGTCCCAGTTATTTGGGAGACTGAGGTTGGAGGATCTCTCAAGCCTGGGAGGTTGAGGCTGCCCTGAGTCATGCTCACACCACCACATTCTAGCCTGGGTGATAGCACAACCCTGTCTCAAAAAAATAAAAATTAAATTAGATCAAATTAACCATCACATATGGTAAGTGTGTTTAACTGCCAAATTGTTTTCCAAAGCAGCTGTCCCCTTTTCATTCTCACCTCCAATGTATGAGTGTTCATGTGAGTGATTACTTATAAACATTCTTGTAGCCAAAACTCTTAGAGTATACATTCAATTTGCTATAGCATTGGGATATTTAAAAAAAGTCAATCTTGCTGTACAAAAGGGAAAATAATTTTCTCTCTATCCTTTGTAGTTCTTGGTTGGGACAGAGTGACAGACATCTGTAGCCAAAGACAGATTAACAAACAGGTTTATTAACATGTGTACATAGGAGATATCTGTTGAAATTGGTAAATCTCAAAGAGATGGCTTTAAATTTAGTCTTAAATACCATCGTGTGCTGAAACGAGAAAGAATGATATTGGGAAGGCTGGTTATGTGGAGATGCTCAGGAAAAACAAGGGTAAGGTTTGTTATGCAGATTTCAGCCAGTGCCTTCTCCATTTATACACATCTTAGTGACTTTGTCATCCATCTCTTCCTGGTACAGAGAAGGAGGCACTCTTACAAATGGAGATTCCCTTTATAGATATAAATTTCTCTTACAAAACGATAACTTCTAGTACTCTGTTTTCAGAATTTCTCCTGTGTCTGCAGTTTCTCAAAATAATCAGCTCAAAATAATCCTTATGCCAAAAAACCATTATTTTGGAGCAGCATATTCTGGTCCTCAGCACTGCCATCAGAAATTTGTTTGTAAACAAACATCCAGTATGAGTGTTTTGACTTTTAAGTGTTGACCTTAGGAGGAAGTACATTTATTGTAATGTAGCTTAAAAAGGGTAAGTAAGCTGTTTCATGTTACATCACTAATAAACTGGCTTACTAGCTAATATGTCTCATCCTTCAAAGGCTGGCAAGTATTTTAAAATCTAACCTACCTTACGCATGCCCTCAGCAGAAACCAATATCTTAATTAGAAACAACAAATCAAAAAACCTAAATGGTGTTAAAGAGCACCCGCTTCCCAGACATTTGTTCTTAATTTCCTCCCCAGTAGGAGACGTTAGCTCTTATTATTTTAAATTTGCTTTTATTTTTTTAAGAGATAGAAGTCACAGCTCAAGAAGAGAGAGAAAATTTGCCTTCCTCAATCCTTTTGTATGTTTGCTTTTAATGAAAAGTGAGGGGTTTATGTAAATCGGCTGTGACTCCTCAGGTACAAGTAGAGGCTAAGGATAGCTACTCCTGTTCTTCAGTAGAAAGATGCTTAGCTCCATCTACACTCAGCTGGTCATCTCGTTACCATGGTAACACCATCCCTCCTCCTCACTCTCGGGAGCTTTGCCTGCCTCTGCTGATGGAAGGGCATTGCCACATTTGCATCAGAAATTAAATAATACTTTCCAGGACAGATCGTACACAAGGGCTGGGGTCACAGGGATCACCAGTATGGCCTTGATAGAGGTGAGCAGAATTAGTCCAATGGTTACAGTATTTCTCTTCAGCATCATTTCCCAAAAAAGAATAGAAAATTGATGACTCAGAACTTAGTAAGCTTGTTGATTAGCAGGGTACCAAGTGGGAGTATTCTCTCCAAAGTAACAACAAAGAGCGGGAGCTTTCGGCAGCAAGCCTGCCAGGTTTTCAGGACTGTTTCCCGCTGTGCCCCTCAGTGCATGGCCCCACACTGCCTCAGAAACCTTCTTACATTGTAGGCAGCTGCTTGTTCGGGATCTGTCTCTCTCTCTCTCTCTCTCTGGAGCCCACCTCCATCTTCTGCCTTCATTCTCGTCTGTTGGCCTGCATTTCTTCTTAGGCTTGTTTTACAGTGACTGCTTGCCCAGTGATCAGTTCGTCCTGCTGGTGGACTTTGCCCCAGGATCCTTCCCCTACCCCGACCCTATCACCGGAGGTGGTTGCTGCGGTGTCTGGGAAAGGAGTCCTGCCAATTCCTCTTCCTGGCACTCGTTCTCCTGGTTTCTCCCTTCCTCTTGTCCTCTTCCTCGTTCCCTACTCCCACACTTCCTTTTTCTTTCTCTCTCCTGTTTTTCCTTTGCTTCTCCTCTTCTCAACCTAAAATTTAGCACCCTCCAAAACACAGCCACACATATTTCACCCTACTGGTGACACTGTAAATCAAAAATACAATTCTAATGCCCCCCAAAACCATCTGAATGGACTTCCTCCTTGGCCAGGGTACATGTTCTCAGGATCTCATGAGGGCTGTGTCACAGGCCATGGTCACTCATATTTGGCTCAGAATAAATCCCTTAAGTAATTATTGTTGACTCTTTTTGTTGACAGTAATTTGGTGCCTCAGAGAAGACTCAGGACCCTGAAGGAGTTAGCCAAACTCGGAGCTAAGGTACTAGCAGGGAACCATTGAAGCCTCCCTGACTTCGAGCTTCTCCAACCAGTGGAGCTGACAAGTCCTCCTGAGCCCTGGACCTCCCTTTGGTCGACGGTCCTTAATTTGTTCTGAGCCGATTTTTTCCTCCGAGGAAGTTATTGTTTAGGATTGTTTTTTTTGAGACAGAGTCTCACTCTGTCGCCCAGGCTGGAGTGCAGTGGCACGATCTCAGCTCACTGCAAGCTCTGCCTCCTCCGGAGTTCATGCCATTCTCCTACCTCAGCCTCCTGAGTAGCTGGGACTACAGGCACGCACCACCACACCCAGCTAATTTTTGTATTTTTAGTACAGACGGGGTTTCACCTTCTTGGCCAGGACGGTCTCTATCTCTTGACCTCAAGATCCGCCCGCCTCGGCCTCCCAAAGTGCTGGGATTACAGGCATGAGCCACCACGCCCGGCCTGTTTAGGATCTTACTTCTAGTTCGGAGGTACATTCTAACGGGGCTTCTCCATTACTTTTTCTTCCAAAAGTAATCTTGATTTGGCTTGCCTGTGCATATTTGCCTTGGGAACTGAAATGTTGTTTTCATAGGTAAATAAGAGACTGAGTTCCCTCAGCTCTGAAGAGAAGGCCATTTTGTTTCTCCCAGCCAAAAAGAACCCCTGGGTGACAGGGGGCCACATGGGAATGTCTGTGGGGTTGACCCCCGTGACATGCGGCGGCCTTCAGGGAACCCCCAACAAAATTAGTTTAAAAAGGGCTTGTCCAGGAAGTGCATATAGGACCTGGTCACTCCGTGCTTTGAGCCCTCCCAGAGGTGCTTAGACCTCTGGAGAGAGAAACTGAGACATGTAAGAGGGCGTCAAGAACTCTGTGGTGACACGGTGGAGTCCAACCCACAACCAGCACACTTAACCCACCACACTGAACTCTAGACCACAGCTCAGCCCCTCCTTTTCAAGAAAAAAAAAGTGGGCAACAAATAATCTAAGAATGAGGAAAAAACAAGAAGAATGACAGCTTTCAGGCGCTCTGTTGGTTTTATGGTGCCACTCCTTGCAAGTGTTTGTATAAAATGAACATATTATGGTCTTTCTGCACATTTACGTCAAGGGAAAAGAGCCCAAAGTTCGAAATGTAATTATAGGGTTTCTAAGTTCTCTTTTTCTCTATTTTCTTTTCTGCCTTCTTTAAATCCACTGTTTTTTTTCTTTTTAAAAAAATTTTAAAATAATTTATTTTGATATAGGGTCTCACAATGTCACCCAGGCTGGTCTTAAACTCCGAGGCTCAAGCAGTCCTCCCACCTCAGCTTCCCAAAGTGCTGGGATTACAGGCATGAGCCACTATGCCTGGCCTGCTGTTTTCTACTGAGATAAAAACCACTGTTTGGAGCCAACCATTTTTTGTTTGTTTCTTTGTGTGTTTGCTTTTTGCAAGCCTGTGAATTTGTATTAATAACTCATGGCTAGAGTTCTGAAGTAAAAGCTATAGAATCGTGTGTGTGTGTGTGTGTGTGTGTGTGTGTGTGTGTGTATTTAAAAGGCCTTTTTGTTTTGTTTTGTTTTTCATTTTTTTCTCCTATGACCATGTTCTTACTGAGAAAGTTTTTTTAGAAAAATAGTGTCTAACATCCTGGGATTCCTTAAAGTAAACAGAGAAGTTACCAAACTCCTTTTAAGGAAGAAACCTCTTTTTCCCTGTTGAACCCCAAGAATGTAAACAAATGTGTTTTCTCTCAGATCTTAAACTGCTTGCTTCTATATTGTGTTATCTGATTTTTTTCCAGCTAAAATAGTTATTACAACAGAGGCTACTGTTTGATGTTTAAAATAAGGAAGAATGTAGTTTAGACACTTAGAGAAATGTCTTTGTAAAAAAAAAAGTTGCACTGTAAAAGCATCATCTAGCCTCATAATTCTCTTTTTGGAGATCCAGTGCTCAGAGCTTAAAAGAAGACTTAGGGCCAGGCACAGTAGCTCACACCTGTAATCCCAGCACATTGGAAGGCCAAGGTGGGCAGATCACCAGAGGTTAGGAGATCGGGACCAACCGGGCCAACATGGTGAAACCACATCTCTAATAAAAATACAAAAACTAGCTGGGCATGGTGACGCACACCTGTAGTCCCAGCTACTCGGGAGGCTGAGGCAGGAGAATCACTTGAACCCAGGAGGTGGAGGTGGCAGTGAGCCAAGATCATGCCACTACATCCAGCCTGGCAACAGAGCAAGACTCTGTCTCAAAAATAAAAAAGAGAAGACTTAAATTAGAACTAATGAAAAATCGTGGATAGGAGACAGGACTAACATGCAGCTCCTGCTTGGACAGACAGAACAGTGTCTGGAGACTCACATTGTGAACTTTTGCTTCAAGAACCACTGCAGGAACATACCAGGAAAACCAAAAGAATTCAAAGACCCTTTGAAAGAAGTGGCTTGCCGTTGCAAACACCACAAGACAGCCAAAAAACTGTGAGTTCCCAAAGTGTGAGAGGAGGAAAAGAAAGCCTCCAAACACACATCTTCACTGGGGAAACTGAAAATCCAGGTCACAGGAGAAGGATTTAACCTTACCTACAGCTGAAACAGATTTAGGGAGCTGAGTGAAATATAAAAGCAGAAGAAGCAGTGGGAAGATCCCTGTAGGCACTCCCAGTCTCCAGCTCAAGCCTAGTGAAGCCATTCCTGGCTTTATCTCACAGAGGTCTTTGGGGAAGTGAAGACAGCCAGTGGAACTGGGGAGGAGCCACAGAGAGAAGAAAGCTCCTAGCTGAACTTTGTAATAATTTTGACTGAGCACTAATTTTTCTGAACAGAATCAGGTGGGGCAAATGGGGAAGTGCCGATACAAGCGCAGAAGCCACAGCCTACAGTGCAGGCAGGTGGGAAGGGGTGAAGCCTGAGAGCCCTGTTTGCTTTCTCAATAGGGAGGCTTGTACCCTGGGGCAAGATCTCACCCCTGCATGCGGGCTGCTTGGATATAAACTCAGTGCGGTTGGTGGGAGCATGGTGGGAGTGAGACTGGCCCTGCTGGCTGCATGGGAGCTAGGTAAGGCCTGTCACTGCTGGCTTTCCCCCACTTACCTGGCAACCTGTATGATGCAGCAGAGGTGGCCATAATCCCCTGGGAACATAACTCCATTGCTCTGAGAACCACTCCCCTACCCCCAACAGTGGCCATAGCAAGCCCCACCCATGGGGAGTCTGATCTCAGACTCACCCAACCCTGCCCCCACCTGATGGTTTTTGTCTACCCACCCTGGTAGCTGAAGACAAAAGACATAAACTCTTGGGAGCTCAATGGCCCCACCCATCGCTTGAGAAACCTGAGAACTTATCCTGGCCAATATAGAACTAGCCTATATCTCCCTTCTACTATCACAGCTGGTGCTCTCTTAAAAGTGCCACCTCCTGGTTGGAGGCCATCAACTCAAGCCATCACAGTAACACATAACAGAACGACCCGGCTCTAAAGGAGAAAACAACAGCTAATTCCACTGCCTGCAACACCCTAGCTAACCAGAGGTCCTGAGTCTGTCCACGTGACAACTTCACTGCTAGTATAATCACTATTCAAGAAAACCAGCACACTAAACAAAACTACAACCAAGGACTCGCAGAGTCCAGTTCACTCCCCTTTCTTTCTTTTTTTTTTTTTTGAGACAGAGTGTCACTCTGTCACCCAGGCTGGAGCACAGTGATGCAATCTCGGCTTGCTGCAACCTCCGCCTCCCAGGTTCAAGTGGTTCTCCTGCCTCAGCCTCCTGAGTAGCTGGGATTACAGGCACGTGCCACAACGCCCAGCTAATTTTTTTATTTTTAGTAGAGATGGGGTTTCACCATGTTGGTCAGGCTGGTCTTGAACTCCTGACCTTGTGATCTGCCCACCTCAGCCTCCCAAAGTGCTGGGATTACAGGCACGAGCCACCATGCCTGGCCATCCACTCCCCTTTCATCTCCACTGGAGCAGGTGCTGGCAGCCATGGCTCAGGGAACTAGAGATGGATCACATTACAGGACTCTTTGCAGACCTTCCCCAGCACCAGCCTGGAGCCTGGAGCTGAGTGGCTAGACCCAGAAGAGCAATAAAAATCACTGCAGTCTGGCTCGCAGGACCCCATCCCTAGGGAAAGAGGGAGTGCACCACATCAAGAGATCAAGAGCGACAAGAGCGAAACTCTGTTTCAGAAAAAAAAAAAAAAAGAACAGAGCCTCCAAGAAATTTGGGATTATGTTAAATGACCAAACACATGAATAACTGGTGTTGCTGGGAAAGAAGAGAAATCTAAAAGTTTGGAAAACTTATTTGAGGGAATAATTGAGGAAAATTGCCTGGTCTCACTAGAGATCTAGACATCCAAATACAAGAAACTCAAAGAACATCCGAGAAATTCAGTGCAAAAAGATCATCACCTAGGCACATAGTCATCAGGTTATCTAAAGTCAAGAGGAAGGAAAGACTCTTAAGAGCTATGAGACAAAAGCATCAGATAACCTATAAAGGAAAACCTATCAGATTAACAGCAGATTTCTCAGCAGAAACCCTGCAAGCCAGAAGAGATTGTGGTCCTATCTTTGGCTTCCTCAAACAAAATACTTACCAGGCAAGAATTTTGTATCCAGCAAAACTAAGCTGCATAAATGAAGGAGATATAATTTTTTTCAGACAAACAAATGCTGACAGAATTCGCCACTACCAAGCCAGCACTACAAGAAATGCTAAAAGACGTTCTAAATCTTGAAACAAAACCTTGAAATACACCAAAATAAACCTCCTTAAAGCATAAATCTCACAGGACCTATAAAACAATAACACAATGAAAAAAAAACAACAAGGTATTTAGGCAACAATTAGCATGATGAATAGAACAGTACCTTACATCTCAATACAAATGTTGTATATAAATGGCCTAAATGCTTCACTTAAAAGATACCAGGCCAGGCATGGCGGCTCACGCCTGTAGTCCCAGCACGTTGGGAGACCAAGGTGGGCAGATCACATGGTCAAGAGATTGAGACCATCCTGGCCAACATGGTGAAACCCCGTCTCTACTAAAAATACAAAAATTAGCTGGGCATGGTGGTGTGTGCCTGTAGTCCCAGCTACTCGGGAGGCTGAGGCAGGAGAATTGCTTGAACTCAGGAGATGGAGGTTGCAGTGAGCTGAGATTACACCACTGCACTCCAGAGGCCAAGCATAGTGGCTCCTGCCTATAATCCCAGCACTTTGGGAGGCCAAGATGGGCGGATCACCTGAGGTCAGGAGTTTGAGACCAACCTGGTCAACATGGCGAAAGCCTGTCTCTACTAAAATTACAAAAATTAGCCAGGTGTGGTGGTAGGTGCCTGTAATCCTAGCTACTTGGGAGGCTAAGGCAGGGAGTATTGCTTGAACCTGGGAGGTGGAGGTTGCAGTGAGCCAAGATCATGCCACTGCTAATGACACCTTTGAGAGATCTCTAAGCTGATCTCAAAGGTGCTATCACCCAAACCTAAACCTGATGCCAGAGCAGGCTGACCTCTGCCTCCATCAGTGCCACAAGCTGCAACCAGGTCCTGAAGGCCCAGTTCTTCACATCCTCAAAGTCTCTCAACAAATCAACTCCTCCAGCTTCAGGCTCAGCCCAGGCCAGAGATCTGGGCAGGAGCACACACCATACTCATCTCTGGTCTGTGTCCCTCTCTCTTCTCTGCCCCCAAAACTCCTCTCTTCTTTAATTACAAGGTAAAGTCGTCTTGTATTCACTTTTCCTTTTCCCTAAAAATTTGCAACAGCAGAAGCATTCATGGAAATCACTTACACTTAAATAAAAATAATCCAAATAACCTTAAATACCAAATTCCAGACCTCTCCTATAATATTCATGGGAATGCCCAATTGTAAAAAGGGCTAGAATTGCCAATTACTGTACTAACTCTGGTGGAAGAGGTATATCTGTGAAAAGAAAATGAGATCTCAGGACCCCAAACTCACTATGCCAAAGGAAAAAGTTAAGCTTGAGAACTGAGTCAATGCGAAAACTGCCTTCCTTTCATTCCCAAACACATAGCTGTAATTTCACATGCTTATTTTGTCTTATGTGAAATGTAGATTTACTGAGCCAAGAGGACTGCATAACTGACTCCTCCCCTTTCTCTTCACATGTAAAATGTAGATTCACAGAGTGCTAATCAGAGTTTCACAAGAATATAACCACTTGCCTCATTGCCTACCCCTCCTTTTTTTTTCACTTTCTTCATCCTCCTGTTTGCTCTTTCCTATTTAAATACTGAAGTTTCCAAAACTCTCTTGGAAAAAAGCACAGGACACAGATCCTACTGTGACTTGTGTTTCTTGCCCCCCAGCCCCAGGCACATCCTCAACCTTGGCAAAATAAACCTCTGAATTGATTGAGATCTGCCTCGGTCACTTTTTGGTTTACGTGTCTATGAGAGCCTGAAAGTGTTTTTGAGCAATTTGAAAGTTCACACTGTCTTCTCTTGCTAAGAACCGATTGTATCAGAGCAAGGGTAGAAAGCATTAAAAGGTTTCTCAGTTGGTTCACCTTTTTTTCCTTGAATTTTGGTCTGTCACTTCACTGATCTTGTTATTTTCCAGCTGGATTCTTTCCATCTTAAGAAATCTCTTTTCTTGGCTGGAGAGAAACACACACTAGAAGGTTCACAGTAGCTCTCTCATGGAGGAGGAATTTGGAATTGTTACTTCTTCTTTATATGTTCCTGTAATTTCCAAAGTTTTTATGATGAGACACATGAAGTGCTGAAAATAGAAAAATGCTGTTTTTAAAAAGAAGAAAATCTGTTTTCATTTTACATTTATCTTTATTAAAACCCAATTCAAATAATTGGACATTTCTATTTTTTCCTTCCTGGATGAAAAAATTAATGTCTAAGCAGCTTGCATTCATTAATACCACTAACATGATGATTATTCTCTACCCTCCTTAACACTGAAGAAATTCCCTCCACATTTTGCATCCTAGTTAAGTTAGATTTTTAAAGAAAGTATGAACATAACTTCAGCAATCTAAATCATAGAATTAAAAATAAAAATTCTGGCTCACGCCTGTAATCCCAGCACTTTGGGAGGACAAGGTGGGTGGATCACAAGGTCAGGAGATTGAGACCATCCTGGCCAACATGGTGAAACACCGTCTCTACTAAAAATACAAAAATTAGCTGGGCGTGGTGGCATGTGCCTGTAGTCCTAGCTACTCAGGAGGCTGAGGCAGGAGAATTGCTTGAACCCGTGTTACGTATAAAGTTTCAGTGCCACAAAAGAAATAGCACTCGAATATAAAATTTTCTTTTTAATTCTCAGCAAGGCTAGGTACTTCTATAGAAGGGTGCGCCCTTACAGATGAAGCAAAGGTGAGCACGCACTTGGACAAGGGAGAGGAAGGATTTTTTTTTTTTTTTTTTTTGAGACTGAGTCTTGCTCTGTCGCCTAGGCTGGAGTGCAGTGGCGCGATCTCGGCTCACTGCAAGCTCCGCCTCCCGGGTTCATGCCATTCTCCTGCCTCAGCCTCCCGAGTAGCTGGGACTACAAGCGCCCGCCACCACACCCGGTTAATTTTTTTGTATTTTCAGTAGAGACAGAGTTTCACCGTGTTAGCCAGGATGGTCTCAATCTCCTGACCTCATGATCCACCCACCTCGGCCTCCCAAAGTGCTGGGATTAAGGGCACGAGCCACCTCTCCCAGCCAGGGGAAGGGGTTCTTATCCCTGACCCACGTGGCCCCTGCTGCTGTGTTGTTCCCCTATTGGCTAGGGTTAGACCACACAGGCTAAACTAATTCCGACTGGCTAATTAAAAGAGAGTGACAGGGTGAGTGGTTTGGTGGGAATTTTGATTATGACAGAGTAGGTAATAGGAATGAGTCAGGGTGGAGCAGGTGATTGAAATGAGTCAGGGTGGAGCAGGTAATCAAAAAAGCTTGCTTTATGAGGAAGTTTAAAAGTAGAAGGCAAAGAATTGAACATACTGACATATTGATTCTTTGAAAAGAAATTTAGAACTCATATCTAACACCCAGGAGGCAGAGGGTGCAGTGAGCCAACATTGCACCACTGCACTCCAGCCCGGGCAACAGAGCAAGATTCCCGTCAACATGCATCTGTATGAAGAGACCACCAAACAGACTTTGTGTGAGCAATAAAGCTTTTTAATCACCTGGGTGCAGGTGGGCTGAGTCCAAAAAGAGAGTCAGCAAAGGGTGGTGGGATTATCATTAGTTCTTACAGGTTTGGGATAGGCGGTGGAGTTAGGAGCAATTTTTTATGGGCAGGGGGTGGATCTCACAACGTACATTCTCAAGGGCAGGGAGAATATTACAAAGTACCTTCTTAAGGGCCGGGGAATATCACAAAGTACATTATTGCAAGGGCGGGGAGGGTGTATTGTCATAAGGTCAGTTGATCAGCTAGGGTGGGGCAGGAACATCACAATGGTGGAATGTCATCTTTTATGGTTCTTCAGTTGCTTCAGGCCATCTAGATGTATATGTGCAGGTCACAGGGGATATGATAGCTTAGCTTGGGCTGAGGCCTGATAACTCCGTCTCAAAAACAAAATAAAAAATAAATAAATAAATAATAAAAATAAAAATTCTAACACCAGAAGAAACAGCAACTAAAATAAGAAAATCAATCGGAAAAATAGCTGTCAGATGATAACCTGGAGAAGCTGAGCAGATGACAACATGAAACAGAATGGGCTTATTGTAAGACTGCCCAGGCAAATTTTATTACAATAGAGTTTTTGAAATCAAGAGAGAGAAAATAAATGTGTTGAAAGCCAGCTGTCTATACTGCACAGTACACTTAACATCTTGTGGGTATGAAATAACACTTGAGTTTATTTGGAATCATTTTAGAAATACTGTCTAATCTCTCTTTCCCTCAGTTTCCTCCTCTGTAAAGTGGGATAGTAACACCAGTAGAGGTGTTATCAGAATTAAAGGAGATGTTCATTCATTTATTCAACTAGTAGTGACTTAATTTTGATGTGAATAGTTGAGGAATTGATTAACCAGTTTAAAGATTTCCCCACCCTTTTGTCTCTCACTTTCCCCCCCTCCTGTCTGGCTTTTGATAACTTCAATCCCTTTCATTTCCCCGCCTCAGTGTGCAGATAGGGGTATAAAAGGAAAATCAGTCCATTTTGTTTTCTATTTCAGCAGCTTCTGGTTAGAAAGTGCTATTGAACAAATAAGGGCTTTAATTGACCAGTCTTCAGTTTCATTATCCATGCTCTCCTGGTCTTTTCAACTCTGGGATTCTTTTTTGTTTTTGTTTTTTAAGACAGAGTCTCACTCTGTCGCCCAGGCTGGAGCGCAGTGGCGCAATCTCAGTTCGCTGCAACCTCCGCCCCCCAGGTTCAAGTGATTCTCCTGCCTCAGCCTCCCAAGTAGCTGGGATTACAGGCATGTGCCACCACACCCGGCTAATTTTTTGTATTTTTAGTAGAGACAGGGTTTCACCATGTTGGCCAGGCTGGTCTCAAACCCCTGACCTCAGGTGATCTGCCTGCCACGGCCTCCCAAAGTGCTGGGATTACAGGCATAAGCCACTGCGCCCAGCCAACCCTGGGATCCTTTTTACCCAGAATACTGAACCAGAATATTTGTTGGTTAAAAAAAAAAACAAAAAACCAAGGTCTTGCTAAAGAGGCAGCAGCTCAACTGACTAGAGCCCAGAGCTGGGGGTGATCTCGCTGTCCCGTCTGCCTGTTCCAGGAGCTGAATTAAAAGCCTCAGAGCTACCTTTGGCTCTTCAGGCCAGAGATCACCTCAGCCGCCAGCCCAAGCCTAAACCTGTTAATAAAGATTGATCCCCTACAATGTACCTATATCCCATCTACTCTTCCACTAATCTTACCCATTTACCCTTTTCATATGAAATTGCCATTTCTGTCAACCAAAAAATGGTTGAATATCTGTAATTTCATATGGTCCATATCTGTCATTATTGGTATGCCCATTTTACAGATGAGGAAACTGAGGCTCCTAAAAAAGCCCTAGATCTTTTCACTATTGCCTCCTGAGCCACTTGAAGGAAACAGTCCAGCCTGGGAAACACCATTTATAAAGGGAGGCCCCATTCTCACCATGTTAACCCCTTAACCACTGGCCCTCAGTCCTGCTCCTTCTTGCTCCTTCCAGCACCTTGTTGGCTTCATGACTTAGTCAAAAGTTGGAAATGAACATTCTGAATTAACCATTTTTAATCTGTATAAAGATCCACTTCAGGGGTGGGTCATGGTGGCTCACATAATCCTAGCATTTTGGGAGGCCAAGGCAGAAGGATTGCTTGAGGCTAAGAGTTTAAAAAAATTAGCTGGCCACAGTGGTACATACCTAGATTCCTAGCTACTTGGGAGGCTCAGGTGGGAGGATCGCTTGAGCCCAGGCTACAGTGAGCTATGATCCTGCCACTGCCTAGGTGACAGACCAAGACCCTGAATCTAAAAAAAAAAAAGAACCACTTCAAAGCCTTCTTATTTTCCTCTTAAAATGTTTTCATTGGTACCACAACAATTAATAGTAAAATAATTTTGATCAAAGTTTATTAATGCCATATTTCCCCCACCTAGAATAAAAGTAATTGGATGGTTATACTTCATGTGTCCATGTATCTAAATTTGTTTAATTCGCAAATGTGTGTATTCTCTCTCTCTGTTTTTTGGAGGACATTCTGATGGCATCCTGCTCAATGAACAAAATATGATTATTCTATTACTTGTTAAGAAAATTGTAAGTCTAGAAATCCATGTCAAAGCCCACTGGTCTTTTCTCTGAACTTGTGTAACACTTATTGTGTTGAATGAATAAATCTATTCGTTTATTTATGCAACAAACATTTATTAAGCACTGTGATGATCAGTTTATGTGTCTTCTTGGCTAGTCTATGGTGCCCAGTTGTTTGGTCAAAGGCTTGTCTACATGTTGCCGTCAAGGTATTTTTGACCAAGGTATAACAATTACTATCAGTTGACTTTAAGTTAAGCAGATTATTTCAATCAAGCTTCATCCCATCAGTTGAACGCTTCAAGGGCAAAGACTGAGGTTCCCTGAAGAAGAAGCAATTCTGTCTCAACAGAAAAATCCTACCTGACCTTCCAGGCTGCTGGCTTCCCTGAGATTTTTCAACTCAAGGCTGCAATATTAGCTCATACCAGAATTTCCAGCCTGCAAGTTTCAGACTTGCCATCCCCCACAATGATATGAACCAATTCCTTGAAATTAATCCTAATAGTTCTGTTTCTCTGTAGAACCATAAATAATATAAGCACCCCCTATGTGGTATGCACTATGCTCATCAATGAGGACCCAGACTGGCCAGGTGCAGTGGATCACATCTGTAATTTCAGCACTTAGGGAGGCTGAGGTGGGAGGATCGCCTGAGCCCAGGAGTTCAAGACCAGCCTGGGAAACATAGTGGGACCCCCATCTCTACAAACAATTAATTAAAAAAAAAAATTAGCCAGGTGTGATGGTGCATGCCTGTGGTTCCAGCTACTCAGGAGGAGGCTGAGGTGGGAGGATCCCTTAAGCCAAGGAGACCAAGGCTGCAGTGAGCTATGATCGAACCACGGCACTCCAGCCTTGGCTACAGAGTAAGACCCTGCCTCAAAAATATATATAAGTAAGTAAATAAATATGGACCCAGATAAACCTATTCAGGAGATGACCTCCCTTCAATGCAGAAGGAACATGTTAAGAGAGAAATCAGGATACCTCAAGTTAAGGGCTATGAGAGTAAGAAAAAAGTACTTGAGGAAATAAGCAAGGAGGTGGCTAATTCTGCCTGGGGGACCAGAGAAGTTATACCTAAAGAGGTGATATTTTATTTGGAACTCAGGGTGAGTAGGCATTCCCAGGGTTGATTAGGGGTAGAAGCCATTATAGGAACCAAGCCCGGAGCTTTTGTAATTCAAGAACATGTCCTAAGACCTAAATATTGCAGGAGCACATGACAAAACGCTGTAAGACCAGGATGAAAAAGATCAGGACCAAGTTGTGAAGATTATATTGAAACTGAGATGCCAACAGCTGAAAACTTTTTAGCTAACGTTGGTAGGGAAGTCTAGAATTAAGTGCTAGCTGGGACGTAGAAAGAAAAGGCAAAATAAACGTCATTTCAACATGGGAGAAAACTCTTCATTTTGTAGATAAAAGAGACTATGTCAAGAGAATGTAGCTCGTCATTCAAAAAACATTTAGTGAGTATCCTGGGCCGTGAAATGTTTTAGAGACTGGAAATATAACCATGTATAAGATATAGTCCTTAGGTTCAAGGACCATGTTGTCTAGGGGCCAGGCAGAAAGTTAATACATGCACCCCACCCACCCAAACCTGGAAAAACAGATTGCATTCCCAACATCATCCATCTCCTTGTAAAGTTTCCTGGTTATTTTTAGGAACCTCAGTAGTATCTATTATTCTCTCCATGTTTGGGTCCGGTTCCTGTCAAAGCTGTCTGCTATTGAGGTCTCTGATACCAGGGAAATCTGCCTGTGGCCAACCCCACTGCTCCCACCCACCTCCACAGGGCACCCACCTTCAATCCAGTGTCCCAGGTGGTGGGTTGACAGACGTATACTATATTTAAAAAATCATCAAGCTGTTGTATTAGTTCTCTATGGTAGCTGTGAAATATTGCAGCATTTTAGAATTAAAATGATGAGGCCGGGAGTGGTGGTTGAAGCCTGTAATCCCAGCACTTTGGGAGCCCGAGGCGGGTAGATCACCTGAGGTCAGAAGTTCAAGACCAGCCTGGTCAATATGATGAAACCCTGTCTCTACTAAAAATACAAAAAATTAGCTGGGCATGGTGGCAGGCGCCTGTAATCCCAGCTACTCAGGAGGCTGAGGCAGAAGAATTGCTTGAACCCAGGAGGCGGAGGTTGCAGTGAGCCAAGATCACACCATTGCACTCCAGCCTAGGCAACAAGAGCAAAACTCCAACTCAAAAAAAAAAAAAAAAGAATTAAAATGATGAATAATAAGTATTGGCAAGGATATGAGAAATGAGAACACTATTGGTAGGTGACTCCTACGATCATTCTGGGGGCATAATATGGCAGTACTTAATGAAATTTAACAAATGTGTTCCCCATGTTCCAACAACTTCCTCCTGGTAAAATATACACGAGACATTCTCACATAGATGTGCATGAGGCTACGTGTACAAGGATGTTCACTGCAATGTTTATGTGGTAAAGGGAAGTTCAAAATCCTAGGCCTGAGGCAGAAACACCTTCATGCAGCAGTTCTTAGGTTGGTGCAAAAGTAATTGCAGTTTTAACAATGAAGTACTGGTGAAAATTGCAATTACTTTTGCACCAACCTGAAATAAATGCAACTTGCTTTGATATATAACAATATAGACTTTTTAAAGGTTAGTGCTGAGCTTTTAAAAAGATAGAAAAGAACGAGATCCCTGGCAAAATACTAATTATGTGAATTTAAAAACATACACACAAAAATACTATGTATTTTATAAGAACACATTCAAGTTCAAGGTAGATATTAACACGTGAGAATTAGTGTCTACTGGAAGGAGGAGGAAATGGGAGTGCAGAACTAATCAACCAAAGGAGGTATTTCAAAAATGAAGTTTAAAAAAAAAAAAAAGGCCCAATTAAGGCGTCTCATGGCTGTAAATCCCAGCGCTTTGGGAGACCAAGGTGGGTGAATTCCTTAAGCCCAGGAGTTTGAGACTATCCTGGGCAACATGGTGAGACCCCTTTCTCTATTATTTAAAAAAAGAAAAAGAATAAATAAATAAATATCTTTTCATTAGCACATGTAACATTCTCCAGAGACCATATTTTAGGCTACAAAACAAGCCTATTGCATTCTTTGTGATCTAAGATAAGGTGTCATTTCTTTAAAATAATTGGTTATATCTATAAGATGTTCTTTGTAAGCCTCATGGTAACTACAACACAAAAACCTATAATAGATTCACTAAAAATAGGAAGCAGCAAAGTATACAAATGAAGTTTGTATTATATTGTAAAGTTGCAAACAGCAGAAACTGACTCTGGTTGATTTAAACATAAGAGGAAAAAAATTAAAGGCTATTGGGTAGTTCATCAAATCACCTGCAGAGGCTATGCAGTCAAATCACTATCACAAACCACACCCCAGAATTGGTAGCATAAGGACACCACAGTTGTGGTCTCTGAAGACTGGACTATTAGCACTGCCTCAACAAAAGAAATGCTCACTTTAGGAGGCTGAGGCAGGCGGATGATTTGAGCCCAGGAGTTCAAGACCAGCCTGGCCAACATGCCATAACTTTGTCTCTACTAAAAATACAAAAAATTAGCCAGGTCTGGTGGCACACACCTGTAATCCCAGCTACTTGGGAGGCTGAGGCATGAGAATCACTTGACCCCAGGGGGCAGAGGTTTCAGTGAGCCAAGATCACGCCACTGGACTCCAGCCTGGGTGACAAAGTGAGACTCTGTCTCAAAAAAAGAAGAAGAAAGGAAGAGAAGGGATGAGAAGGGAAGAGGAAAGGGAAGGGGAAGGGGAAGAGGAAGGGGAGAGAGAAATGCTGCTATCACGTTATTCACTGTCGGAGAGAAGCCAGCTCTCCCCGATTCTTTGCATTACCAAGTATGAATTCCATGCCTGGGGCAGGTATATCAGAATGGCCAAGCCTAGGTCATAAGCAGGGCCCTAGTTGCAAAGGAGGCTGGCAATGCTGCTCTTTTTAACTTCTATAGTGAGATACAGTTTTTACCTCCCCTAAGACACATGAAGTGGGGAAATCATGGAGCATCAGAAGAAAGTTTTATGCTGAGCAGTCAAAAGGATAATAAAAGTCCACTAATGAAAGTGTGGCCAAGAGTGGTAACTTCTGCATTGAGATAGAACAGTCCATTGACTTTTCTAACTAGAAGGCCAACGATAACATTTCTCAGAAGAGTTTCATGAAAAGCTGGGGGTGGGGGTGGGAGTGTGGGAGGAACAGGAAGTAGATAGTAGTGATATGGTTTGGATCTGTGTCCTGTGTCCCCACTGAAATGTCTTGCTCAATTGCAATCCCCAATGTTGAAGGTGGGGCCTGGTGGCAGGTGACGGGATCGTGGGGGCAGTTTCTCATGAATGGCTTAGCATCGCCCTCTCGGTGCTGTTCTCACGATAGTGAGTGAGTGAGTTATCCTACCATCTGGTTGTTTAAAAGTGTGTGGCGTTGGCCGGGCGTGGTGGCTTATGCCTGTAATCCCAGCACTTTGGGAAGCCGAGGTGGGTGGATCACGAGGTCATGAGATCGAGACCATCCTGGCTAACACGGTGAAATCCCATCTCTACTAAAAAAAATACAAAAAAAATTAGCCAGGCTTGGTGGCGGGCACCTGTAGTCCCAGCTACTTGGGAGGCTGAGGCAGGAGAATGGCATGAACCCGGGAGGCAGAGCTTGCAGTGAGCCGAGATCGTATGTGGCACCTCCCTCCTCTCTCTCTTCCTGCTGCCCTGGCCATGTGAAGTTCCTCACTCCCCCTTTGCCTTCCTCCATGATTGTAAGTTTCCTGAGGCCTCCCCAGCCATGCTGCCTGTACAGCCTGCAGAACTGTGAGTCAATTAAACCTCTTTTCTTTATGAATTACCCAGTCTCAGATGTTTCTTTATAGCAGTGTGAGAATGGAGTAATACAAACGGTAAGTTGGAGAATGAATGGAACGTGAAGAGCGAGCTAGTAATGAGTATAGACTACTAAGGAGTTTAACTGTGAATGGAAGGTTAAAGGGGTTCATATGTAGAGGAAAATGTAGAATGAAGGAGAGGCTTTGTTTTTAGCCTGTGAAGAAGGAGCTATCAGAGAAATGTTGCCATGGCTAGAAAGAAAGGGAATGATTTTTAAAAGCAACAACCTAATTAGAGCCCAGGTAGAAGGATTAGCCTTAGAATGGCTCCTCTAAGAGAGGAGCAAAGCAGCTAGAATGCATGTGGCTGGGAATGTTTTCAAGCTGGGAAGTGGTGGGAAATGAGTGTGCGTGGATGGCCTCTATTTTATCTAGGAAATAAATAGCAAGATCATCAACTGAGGGAGGCAGAGTTGGGGGTGAGCTAGAGGCCCTGAGAAATAGTGAAATTTTCTGCTAAATAGGAGGGGAGCTGACCATGTTCAGGTAAAGGAATTATTGAAAGATGAGTACAGATAAAATGGAAGATTATAAATTTGAAGTGGTTGCAATTTGCTTAATGGTTGTTTTTCCTTTAGCAGTACTCTGCCGCCAATGTGGAAACAAGAAAGGCCAATACTGGTTTGGCCCCATGGATGTGCAGGGCAGATAGATACAGAACTATAAGAAACAAGCAAGAGAGAGTGGTTGAAGTGCTAGTCCATCTGGCTATGGATTATGTAAGGAAGGAAATACGGCCAGGAGGTGTTAGATAGAGGGATCAAGGTATTTCAAATTTTCTCCGAAACTGAGAGTTAGGAATTGTAGGAAAAAAAGGAATGATAACTGGAAGCATGGGAATTTGTAGTCAGAGTGTGAATCTTTAGAGTTTTAGGTTTTAGAAGTGAAGCTATTTAGGTCCAAGATGTGATGATTCAAAAGCAATAACCACTCAGGCGCAGTGGCTCATGCCTATAATCCCAACACTTTGGGCTGCCAAGGTGAGAAAAGTGCTTGAGCCGGGCGCAGTGGCTCACGCCTGTAATCCCAGCACTTTGGGAGGCTGAGGTGGGTGGATCACGATGTCAGGAGTTTGAGACCAGCCTGGCCAACATGGTGAAACCCCGTCTCTACTAAAAATACGAAAAAAAATTAGCCAGGCAATGGCACATGCCTGTAGTCCCAGCTACTTGGGAGGCTAAGGCAGGAGAATTGTCTGAACCTGGCAGGTGGAGGTTGCAGTGAGCCGAGATTGTGCCACTGCACTCCAGCCTGGGTGACAGAGCGAGACGCTGTCTCAAAAAAAAAAAAAAAAAGAGAAAAGTGCTTGAGGCCCGGAGTTCAAGACCAGCCTGGGTAACAAAGCAAGACGCTGTCTCTACAAAAAAATTAAAAAATTAAGTGGGTATAGTGGCATGCACTTGTAATCCTAGGTACTCAGCAGGCTGAGGTGAGAGGATCGCTTGGGCCTGCAAGTTCTAGGCTGCAGTGAACTATGATCAAGCCATTCACTATACTCTACCTTGAGTGACAGAATGAGAAATTGTCTCTAAAAAAGGAAAAAAGAAAAAGCAATAACCTTTGATATTAGGTCCAGAGGACAGAAAAAAAAATTAGAAAAACCACCTGCAGAGAGATAAACCAACTGTCCCTCTGTTTGGAAGCCTGCAATTAAGAAGTGTTGCAGTCAGCACAATGAGTCCTGGAGATCCTGCCTCCCATCTGGTAGCCATGGGTGGTACACATGGCCAAAAACAAGGATTCCCTAAGAAGTTGGTGATAAAGGAAAAATGACTGCCCCAGATAGCTAGATTATATTGTAAGCAAAGAAATAATTGTATCAGAGATAGGCAAAGTTATGGTAAAGAGATGGATGGTAAGATTCCCAGGCCAGTAAAGTGTAACCATAACTTGAGGTATCTTTAGGGTTATCACCCCAATAGAATGTGTCTATCAGGTTGCAACTGGGTTTGTAAATGAAGCATGAAAGAGAGTTAAAGACACAGACATTGACTGTGTGCCTCTAGCATGAGTCAGGGCAGTGAGTCCCTGGCCCATGGACACAGATAGCCTGACACAGCCAGATTCCTATTATTTATCATACCCAGATGATATCAGCCATTAAAGTCATCAGTTGATTCTGCTTGTGTTCATTCTATGCTCACCAAGTAAACTCTTCCTATTAGATTCTGGCTTCCCACATAGGTTTCACAGATAGGACAAGATACATTAATCAGCAACGCAACACCTCTGGGTGACCTAACAATTGAATTTCAGAAACTAAAAAGCTAAGCATTATCTCCCGGAAAGTGGAGCTCACAAAATACAGCCACCATCTGAAGTTGGATTGGGGTGACAAGCAGTTGTTTCCCAGGCATTGCCTCTCTGACCCACTGCCCTCCTACAGATCCACCACTGACTTCTGCATGTACTCAACAGTGGCAACAACACTCATGTGATCTTTCTATCTAATCCAAGAGTACAGACCAATAGTCAAACTAATAAAGTGGGATATTATGGTCATTTGTCATGTGGTGTCATGTCATGTGGTTGCCATATAAGAATAAAAATATTATACAACGGCAGGTATATAATAAAAATTATGCTAGGGCACAATTTGGAAGGCCGAAGAGGGTGGATCACTTGAGCTCAGGAGTTCGAGACCAGCCTGGCCAACATAGTGAAACCCCATCTCTATAAAAATACAAAAATTAGCCAGGCGTAGTGGTGCACGCCTGTAGTCCCAGCTACTCAGGAGGCTGAGCCTGGAGAATTGCTTGCATCTGGGAGGTGGAGGTTGCAGTGAGCTGAGATCATGCCACTGCACTCCAGCCTGGGTGACAGAGTGAGACTTCATCTCAAAAAAAAAATTATGCTAGGGCAAAAAAATGGGAAGAAAACATCCTCTGGTCATAAAATGTTAAGGAAATGAACAAGTTCATTGCCAACCCAGTATGACAAGGTTGATGATTTAGTAACAAGGCTAGAGCCAAGTAGGCATGCAATTGAGACCCACTTCCAAGACCTTTGCTGTGCAATTAAGTCTTTCCAGAGCTGTTAATAATTACTCATACACTGGAACTATGTAAGCATTATATTGAATAGCCTGCTTCTGGTATGTAATAAAGCAAATTTATTTGCTTCTTTTAAATGTACTCATTGGGGCTTGTTCTTCCTCTTCCCTCTGGGTAAGCATTATAGCAGGCCCTATGGTTTTTCTAATTATCCATAGTTAACGCAAGGTCTTCCGGTTAATTTTTAACATATCGGCCACATGTAATAGTTCAAACTTAGAACTTCATGTGAAGCTGGGTTCTCTCCTCCTATCCTCCCAGCTCTGACTTATTGCCAGATGTTACCAGCTTCTCTCTACCACTTAGGGCTTTTATTATTCCACCTCCATCTTGCTAGCTGTGTTTCTAATGTTTTCAGGAAAATTACTAGGGAGTGGGAAAATTATTACTTGTACTATTGTGGGTAAGTAGTTGGCACTCTTTGGAAGTGCCAGATAATTAAAGCTGTATCTTTCTCTAATGGGTGCATTTGAGAGTGTTTTGGAGACCCTTGATCAGTCAAGGTCCTAGCAGAAACTACATTTGCCCTAGATGCTTCAAACACAGAGACTCTAATGAAGGCACTGCTTATAGAAGTGTGCACAGAGTTGATGGCATATAGAAGGGACGGTGTCACATACAGATTCATAGCAGTGAGAAGCCATTACCACCCACATATAAAAGGGCAAGGGAAGGAAACAGTAATACCAGGGCCCAGTGAGGGCTGAGAGGGGAAGGAGTTGCCTGTAGTCCTGGATGGATGCAAACACTGCTAAAGACACAATGCTAATGCAGGGAGGGAATGCCTAGACTTCCCTCCATTTGCTCTGAGTTTCTGCCAGTGCCTCACACTGGCCAAACCCAACTGGTACCCAGCTAGCAAGGGAGCTCAAGCAATAATGTTGTCAGGAGAAAGCCTCCTGAGAAGAAAAATGGATCTGGGAGACAAACAGAATAACCCCGGCACACCACCCTCACTGGGGATCTCTCATCTCTACTTCCCCTGATAGAAGCAAGTGCATCTCCATTATGCTTACTGTTTCTTCACTTTCTGGGAATTAATCCTGTAATTTTTTTTGTTTTGGTTTGGTTTGGTTTGGTTTTTGTTTTGGGACAGGGACTCACTCTGTCACCCAGGCTAAAGTGCAGTGGTGCAATCACAACTTACTGCAGCCTCAACCTCCTGGGCTCAAGCGATCCTCCTACCTCAGCCTCCCAAGGAGCTGGGACTACAGGTGCAAGCCACACTGCCCAGCTAATGTTTGTATTTTTTGTAGAGACAGGGTTTCACTATATTGCCCAGGCTGGTTTCCAACTCCTGGGCTCAATCCACCTGCCTCAGCCTCCCAAATTGCTGGGATTACATGCATGAGCCATCATGCATGGCTAATCCTGTAATGTTGACAATTTACCTCTGTAGAGGTCCACAGAAAATATTCACACATCCTTTACATATAACATTTGCTATTTAATGTATTTAGCACCATGTTAGATATAATATTAACTGTTCACTGAGCTACTTGGAGACAGGCATTGTGGTAGGAGTCCTGCATGCTTTTTTTTTCAAACCTCACAATGGCACACCAAGGCAGTTATAATTATTGTTAATTAAAGAGAATAATTGGCTGGGCGCGGTGGCTCATGCCTGTAATCCAAGCACTTTGGGAGGCTGAGGCAGGTGGATCATGAGGTCAGGAGTTCAAGACCAGCCTGGCCACCATGGTGAAACTCCGTCTCTACTAAAAATACAAAAATTAGCCAGGTGCGGTGGCGGGCACCTGTAATCCCAGCTACTCAGGAGGCTGAGGCAGGCGAATCACTTGACCCCAGGAGGCAGAGGTTACAGTGAGCCGAGATCACCCCACTGCACTCCAGTCTGGGCGACAGAGCAAGACTCCATCTCAAAAAAATAATAATAAAAAAATAAAGAGAATAATTAAGGAAGAGAGGAGGTAGAGAGAGAATCCAACCCAGAGTAGTTAAAGTGACTTATTCAGGCCACAAAACTGCCTTTCGGTACTAATTTGCCTCTGGGAACAGAGAAAATAATACCTCTTGACATATCGTTTGTTTTTC
Source organism: Homo sapiens (assembly GCF_000001405.40). Taxonomy (NCBI): domain Eukaryota; kingdom Metazoa; phylum Chordata; class Mammalia; order Primates; family Hominidae; genus Homo; species Homo sapiens. The sequence goes on from NC_000009.12 coordinate 15,392,469, forward strand.
TTTTTATCACCCTACCTTTTCCTTGAAGCTGATATCAGTATATTTAGCTTGGACACTGGAAACAACTGAGCCTGTCTCTGAGCTCTGAGATTTCCGCTGGGAATTGCTTTGCGTCAGGCTAGCCAAAGAAACCAAATCCCATGTGTTCTCCTTAATTGCTGGTTCATACTTTTAGCTCTTTGGTTGTTTTATTTGGAGCCTTTTAATGAACAACTGGTAGGGCTGGGTGTGATGGCTCACACCTGTAATCCCAGCACTTTGGGAAGCCAAGGTGGGAGGATCGCTTGAGGCCAGTTAGAGACCAATCTGGACAACATAGTGACATCCTATCCCTGCAAATACAAAATAATTAGTCAGGCACCTTGGCATGCACCTGTAGTCCCAGCCACTTGGGAGGCTGAGGCAAAAGTTCCATGCTGCAGTGAGCTGTGTTTGTGCCACTGCACTCCAGCCTAGGCAACAGAGCTGGACTCTGTCTCTTTAAAAAAGAAAAAAAAAAAGACTTAATTTAAATACTCCCAAAGTGTATGAGCAACATATGGTATAACTATTTTGTTCTGGAAAATTCTGAAATGGTGGCTCTTACCAAGAGACTGGTTTCTATTACAAGCTATCTTCTTTTTGGATAAGATCTTTAGTGAAGCTAAATCTGGGTCCATGTGTTCCATCCTTCAGGAGCCCTTTAGAGCCAACCCAGGACTGAACATAGCCTATGTTTCCACTTAGAAGTATGTTCTCTTGGGGCTATTCCAGGTGTGGGGGGATACCTGGCAACCCTCTTCTGATACTTTAATTTAACCAAGACATGCTCTGCAAGAGCAAGGCAGTCACCTTGACTGCCAGGTGTTGATAAATAACCCTCTATTGAAAATTCAGGGAGCACACGCCTATTGTGTAGCCACACCTGTTGATCAATTCCCAGGTGCCTATCTTCAAGCCTCTTACTAGTAAGTATTATAGAGTTTTACTCCAAGTATTATTAAACATAAATGGAAGCTTTCTATAATCATTTATGTTTCTGCCTTTCCCTCCCTCTCTTCCTTTCTTACGTCCTTCCTTTCTTTCTTTCCTTCCTTTGTAAAAGCTATAAGGTGCTTTATTTAATAAGCAAATGAAAGGTACTCCTTGTAAGGGCAATATATTTTTCCTAGAAATTGATTTTACTGATATATAATTTACATATATATATTTTGTTTGTTTGTTTGTTTCTTTGAGATGGAGTCTTGCACTGTCGCCTGGGCTGGAGTGCAGTGGTGCCATCTTGGCTCACTGCAACCTTCACCTCCCAGGTTCACGCAATTCTCCTGCCTCAGCCTCCCGAGTAGCTGGGATTACAGGCACACGCACACCACCATACCCGGCTAATTTTTCGTATTTGTTTTTAGTACAGATGGGGTTTCACCATGCCGACCTCGTGATCTGCCTGCCTCAGCCTCCCAAAGTGCTGGGATTACAGGCGTGAGCCACCAAGCCTGGCCTACTTTTTTTTTTTTTTAAGAGAGACAGGGTCTCAGTCTGTGGCACCCAGGCTGGAGTGCAGTGGTGTGATCATAGCTCACGGCATCCTCAAACTCCTGGCCTCAAGCGATCCTCCTGCCACTGCCTCCCATGTAGTGGGACTACAGGCACAAGCCACCATACCCAACCAACTTTTAGATTTTTTTTGGAGAGCCAGGGTCTGGCTCTATTGCCCGGTCTCGTCCTGAACTCCTAGCCTCAAGTGATCCTCCCACCTCGGCCTCCCAAAGTACTGGGATTACAGGCATGAGCCACTGCTCCAGCCAGTTTGATAAGTTTTGACAAATATATACTGTCTCATAATCATGACCAAAATCAAGGTATAGGACATTCCATCATGCCAAAAAGATTTCTCTTGTGAGCTTGCAATCATTCCTCTCTCCCAGCCCTCAGGCCCAGGCAACCACTGATCTATCACAATGGTTTTGCCTTTTATAGAATTTCATATGAATAAAACTCTTGTTTTGCTTAGGAAGCTTTAATTAATATTATATTAATCAATATTTTTGCATGTATCAGTAGTGCTTTCCATCTTATTAATGACTAGTATTTTATGGAATGGAATTATCACAATTTTTTGTGATTTTTAAAAATATCCCAATATGGCCAGGCACGGTGGCTCACGCCTGTAATCCCAGCACTTTGGGAGGCCAAGGCGGGCAGATCACGAGGTCAGGAGATGGAGACCATCCTAGCTAACACAGTGAAACCCCGTCTCTACTAAAAATACAAAAAAAAAAAAAAAAATTAGCCCGGCGTGGTGGCAGGCGCCTGTAGTCCCAGCTGGTGGGGAGGCTGAGGCAGTAGAATGGCGTGAACCCGGGAGGCGGAGCTTGCAGTCAGCTGAGATCGCGCCACTGCACTCCAGCCTGGGTGATGGAGCAAGACTCCGTCTCAAAAAAATACATATATGGCCGGGCGCGGTGGCTCACGCCTGTAATCCCAGCACTTTGGGAGGCCGAGGCGGGTGGATCATGAGGTCAGGAGATCGAGACCATCCTGGCTAACAAGGTGAAACCCCGTCTCTACTAAAAATACAAAAAATTAGCCGGGCGCGGTGGCGGGCGCCTGTAGTCCCAGCTACTCGGGAGGCTGAGGCAGGAGAATGGCGTGAACCCGGGAAGCGGAGCTTGCAGTGAGCCGAGATTGCGCCACTGCAGTCCGCAGTCCGGCCTGGGCGACAGAGCGAGACTCCGTCTCAAAAAAAAAAAAAAAAAAATACATATATACACACATATGTATGTATATATGTATATATGTGTGTGTGTATATATATGTATGTGTGTGTGTGTGTGTATATATATCTGTATATATCTATCACAATATGGCCTGGGCACAGTCACTCATGCCTGTAATCCTAGCACTTTGAGAGAACAAGGCAGGTAGATCACTTAAGCCCATGAATTTGAGACCAGCCTGGGCAACATAGCAAGACCCCTGTCTCTACAAAGAACTTTTAAAAAAATTAGCTGGGGCCAGGAGTGGTGGTTCACACCTGTAATCCCCAGCAGTTTGAGAAGCCCAGACAGGTGGATCATCTTGAGGCCAGGAGTTCAAGACCAGTCTGGCCAAAACATGGCAAAACCTACTAAAAATACAAAATTAGCTGGGCATGGTAGTGTGTACCTGTAATCCCAGCTACTGGGAGGCTGAGGCTTGAGAATCACTTGATCCTGGGAGGCAGAGGTTGCAATGAGCAGAGATCGCACCACTGCACTCCAGTCTGGGTGACAGAATGAGACTGTCTCTAAAATTAAAAAAAAAAAATCAGTTGGGGGTAGTGGCGCACACTTGTAGTCCCAGTTCCTTGTGAGGCTGAGGTGAGATCGCTTAAGCCCAGGAGTTTGAGGCTACAGTGAGCTATGGTAGACACCACTGCACTCCAGCCTGGATGACAGAGCAAGACCCTGTCTCAAAAAAAAAAAAAAAAAAAAAAAAAAAATCACAATGTGTTTAGCCATTCAGCAGTCTGTGAACACCTGGATTTTTTCTAGTTTTTGGATGTTGTCAATAAAACTGATATGAACATCTTAGTACAGAGTTTTGAATGGATAAATGTTTTCATGTCTTTTGGGTAAATACCTAGTAGTGAGATTGCTGGTGCATATATCAAATGTATTTTAACTTAAAAAAAAACCAACTATTATTCAGAGTAGTAGTTGCTTCATACCCTTGCCAAAAATTAGTATCATCACTCATTTAATTTTATCATTCTACTGCTTTGTAATGATACCTTATTGTGGTTTTATTTGCATTTCCCCAATGAATAATGATGCTGAGTATCTTTTCATATGCTTATTTGCCAGTTTTAAAATATTGTTTGGGGCCGGGTGCGGTGGCTCATGCCTGTAATCCCAGCACTTTGGGAGGGTGAGGCGGGCAGATCATGAGGTCAGGAGTTCGAGACCAACCTGGCCAACATGGTGAAACCCCGTTTCTATTAAAAATACAAAAATTAGCTGGGCGGGCATGGTGGCACACACCTGTAATCCTACCTACTCAGGAGGCTGAGGCAGGAGAATTGCTTGAACCCAAGAGGCAGCGGTTGTAGTGAGCCAAGATTGCATCACTGCACTCCAGCCTGGATGACAGAGCGAGACTCCGTCTCACAAAAAAAAATAAAAATAAAATATTCTTCCATGAAAAGTCTATACTGTTTTGCCCATTTTTAACTACATTATTTATTGAATTATAAAAGATTTTTATATATCCTAGATACAAATCCTTCATAAGATATAAATTTTTAAATATTTTCGCTGTGTGGTTTGTCCTCAGTGTTCTCAGGGTGTCTTTGGAAGAGCAAAAGTTTTCAATTTTGATGAAGTTCAACTTATGGATTCTTTTTATGGCTAATGTTTTTGTGTCCTAAGAAAACTGCCTAACCCAACATCACAAAGATTTTCTCCTTGACTTTCATCTGGAAATTTTACAGTTTTAGCTCTTATTTTTACATCTATGACACATTTCAAGTTAATTGTTGTAAATGGTATGAGGTAAAGGTCATGTTTTTTATGTATATGAATATATTCTCATGTTGATCCAGCATGCTTTAAGATTATACTGCATTGAAGCTGGGTGCTGTGGCTCACGCCTGTAATCCCAGCACTTTGGGAGGCCGAGGTGGGCGGATCACTTGAGGTCGGGAGTTCAAGACCAGCCTGACCCACATGGAGAAACCCCATCTCTACAAAAAATACAAAATTAGCCGGACTTGGTGGCACATGGCTATAATCCCAGCTACTTGGGAAGGCTGAGGCAGAAGAATCGCTTGAACCTGGGAGGTGGAGGTTGCGGTGAGCCGAGATTGTGCCATTGCACTCCAGCCTGGGCAACAAGAGCAAAACTCCATCTCAAAAAAAAAAAAAAAAGAAAAAGAAAAAAGAAAAAGATTATACTGCATTGAACCTTTAAAATCAATTGACCATATATAGGTGAGTCTAGTTCTGACCATGGTATTCTGTTCAATTGCTATCATTATATGATTATACTATCTTAATATTGTAGCTATCTCGTAAGCCTTAAAATCATGAAGTATAAATCCTCTGATATTGTCCTTTTTCAATATTATTTTAGCTATTCTAGGTCCTTTGCATTTCTACATACATTTGAGAATCAGCTGGTCATTGTCTACATACAAACTGCTGGGATTTTAATTAGAACTGTAATCAATCTATAAATAATTTGAAGAGTGGGAGCATAATTAACATCTTAAGAATATGGAGCCTGCCAATCTCTGAATATGTATACATCTCCTAAGTAGGTCTTTAATTTCTCTCAGCAATGTTTTATAGGTTTCAGTATATAGCTCTTACAATTATTTCATTAAATGCAATCCTAAGGGTTCATGTTTTTGGTGATATTTTGATTTTTTATTTTAACTTCCAATTATTTTTTGCTATAATATAGAAATACTGTTTATTATTTATCTTTTGTCCTGCAACCTTGCTAATTTACTTATTATTTTTAGTCATTTTTAAATAGATTATTTAGGAATTAGTATGCAGGCAATCACGTTGTTTGTGACATTTTCTCTTCTGTTTTAATCTGTAAACTTTTATTCCTTTTTCTTGCTGTATTAAACAGGTGAGGACCTCCAACACAATGCTGCCTAAAAGCAATAGAAGTGAACATCCTCACCTTGTTCACAGTCATGAGAGAAAGCATTCAGTCTGTCATCATTAAGTACAAAATTAGCTATAACTTTTTGTGGATGTTCTTTATCAGATTGAGAAAATTCTCTACTGGGTATGGTGGCTCACACCTGGAATCTCAGAATTTTAGGAGGTCCAAGCAGGCGGATGGCTTGAGTCCAGGAGTTCAAGACCAGCCTGAGCAACATGGTAAGACCACATCCGTACAAAAAAAAAATACGAAAAATTAGCCAGGCATAGTGGCACAAACCTGTAGTTCCAGCTACTCAAGAGGCTGAGATGGGAGGATGGCTTGAGCCAAGGAAGCAGAAGTTGCAGTGAGCGGAGATCACTGCACTCCAGCCTGGGTGACAGTGTGAGACCCTGTCTTAAGAATAAATAGGCCAGGCGCGGTGGCTCACGCCTGTAATCCCAGCACTTTGGGAGGCCGAGGCCAGCGGATCACGAGGACAGGAGATCGAGACCATCCAGGCTAACACGGTGAAATCCCGTCTCTACTAAAAATACAAAAAAATTAGCCGGGTGTGGTAGTGGGCGCCTGTAGTCCCAGCTACTCAGGAGGCTGAGGCAGGAGAATGGCATGAACCCGGTAGGTGGAGCTTGCAGTGAGCCGAGATCGAGCCACTGCACTCTGGCCTGTGCGAAAGAGCAAGACTCCGTCTCAAAAAAAAAAAAAGAAGAATAAATACAGAAAAAAGAGAATTCTCTTTTTTTCACAGTTTGCTGAAATTTTTCAAAAATGGATGTTGGATTTTGTGAAATTCTTTTTCTATATCTATGGAGATATAATTTTTTTCCTTTATTCTGTTAATGTGATGAATTATATTGATTGATTTTTGTTTTCTTTTGTTTGAGACAAGCTCTCACTCTGTTACCCAAGCTGCAGTGCAGTGGTACAATAATGGCTCACTGCAGCCTCAACCTCCCAGGTTCAAGTGATCCACCCACCTCAGCCTCCCAAGTAGCTGAGGCTACAGATACGACTGTGCTCAGCTTGAGGTTTTGTAAAATTACAAACTCAATTTATTTAGTAGTTATGGAGTTATACATATTTTCTATTTATTTCTGCATCAGTTTTTGTTAAATAGGTTTTTCTAAGAATTTGTACATTTTCTCTAAGTTGTCAAATTTATTAGCATAAAGTTCATCATAATATTCCCTTATTCCCTTTCTTTCTATAGGATTTCTTGTGATGTCCCCTTTTTGACTCCTGATAATTTTAATTTGTCTCTTCTCTGTTTTTTCTTTATCATTTTCCCTCAATTTTATTAGCCTTTTCAATGAATTAACTTTTGGCTGTAATAGTTTGATCTGTCTTTTCTGTGATTTATCTTTCTTATTTCCATTCTTATTGGTTCTTCTACTTACTTTTTGTTTATTTTTTTTTCTAGCTTCTTAAGGTGGAAACTCAGAGCCTTAATTTGAAGGCTTATCTATTTTCTAATATAATCAATCATTTTAGACTATAAATTTCCCCCTAAGTGCTGCATTAGCTACATCCCACAAATTTTGATATGTTGTGTTTTCATTATCATTCAGTTTTAAATACTTTAAAATTTCTCTTGGAATTTCTTTTCTGACCTGTAGGTTGTTTAGAAGTAGGTCATTTGCCGGGCACGGTGGCTCACGCGTGTAATCCCAGCATTTTGGAAGGCCAAGGCAGGCGGATCATGAGGTCAGGAGATCCAGACTATCCTGGCCAACATGGTGAAACCCTGTCTCTACTAAAAATACAAAAATTAGCCGGGCATGGTGGCGCAGGCCTGTAGTCCCAGCTACTCAGGAGGCTGACGCAGGAGAATCACTTGAACCCAGGAGGCGGAGGTTGCAGTAAGCCAAGATCACGCCACTGCACTCCAGCGTGGATGACAGAATGAGACAGTCTCAAAAAAAAAGAAGTATGTCATTTAATATCCAAAATATTTGGGCTTTTTTGTTTGTTTGTTTGTTTGTTTGTTTACTAGAGACAGGGTCTCACTCTGTTACCCAGGCTGGAGTGTAGTAGCACCATCATGGCTTACTATAACCTTGAACTCCTGAGCTCAAGTGATCCTTCCACCCCAGCCTTCCCAGTAGCTGGGACTACAGGCACATGCCACCATGCCTGGATAATTTTTAAATTTTTTTGTAGAGACAAGGTCTCACAATGTCGCCCAGGCTGGTCTCAAACTCCTTAGCTAGAGCTATCCTCCCGCCTCAGCACTGAGATTACAGGCATGAGCCACCATGTCCAGCTTGGGTTTTATTTTTTTTAAAGATATCTATGGCAACTCATTTCTAGTTTTATTTTTCAGTGGTCAGAGAACATACTCTGCATTACTTCCGTTTTTTGAAATTTGAGACATATTTTATGGCCCAGTATATAGTTTATCTTGCTGAACATTCCGAGTGACTTGAAAAGAATGTACACTCTGCAGTTCTTGGGTTAGTGTTCTCTAAATGTTAATTAGTCCAAGTTGACCTAATAGTATTGCTCAAATGTTCCATATCCAAGATTATTTGTCTTTCTGTTCTATCAATTATTGAAAGAGTAGTTAAAATCTTCAGCTATAATTTGAACTTAGCTACTTTCCCTTTCAGTTCTTCAACTTTTTGCTTTTGCTAGGCCTTGCAGATCCTTGCCTTACATACACGCATTTCAGCCTCAGCCAAGAAGCCCACAGGAGCTACCCCACAAACATTTCTGGCCCCTTTCTTCTCCATTCTCCTTCAAGTGCAGAGCCCTCTCAGTGGTTCATTGTCCCACAAATTCCAACTCTCTCAGCAGCTTCAGAAGCCCCTTATTCTCTTCTTGGGCTCTTTACTGTGCAGTCCAGAGAGCTCCGGCAGATAAACTTGGAGCTCACCTCACTAGTTTCCCTTCTTTAAAGGATTATAGCCCGTATCTGTCATCCTGAGCCTGAAAATAGTAGTTCCATATATTTTGTTTAGATATTTTTAAACTTTATTTTATCTTTTATAAATAGAGACAAGATCTCTCTATGTTGCCCAGGCTGGCCTCAAATTCTTGACCTCAAGCAATCCTCCTGCCTCAGCCTCCCAAAGTGCTGGGATTACAGGCATAAGCCACCAAACTCAGCTAGGACTTTGACATACAAAATATATCAATAACAAAAACAAAACCAACTCATAAGGAACAATATAAAGAAGAGTAGAAAGCATAACTCGCTACTAGTTGCAGGTTTTTGTAGTTCCAGTGACTAAATCCCTGTCCGTCATGGTTTTGGGTGATGGATCCCCACCAGGTTACTTAAGGGTGTATGTCCACTCCTTGAGCCCTGAAGGCTGGGCAGTGAGCCAAGGCCGTGATGACCAGCTGAAAAGAAAGTGTCCCTAAGAACCTAAACATTCCAGAGCATGTCTGGGAACATACCAAAAAAAACAGTCTCGTCGCACGCAGTAGGCAAAGGGCAAAAAAAAAAAATAGCTTAAAAGCAGTTTACAGATGGGTGGTAGAGCAGTTCTCCGGAGATGTCCTGCTGCTGCCCAGGAATGCCCTGTCCGTAAGTCCTAATTAAGAATAACTAGACTTCTCTGGGTCATTCTTTGGTCTCTTGACTCCTTCCCAATTTGAAAGGATGTTCTTCTGTACAGTCCTGTGTCTTTCCCGTAACACACAGGCAGCCATAGAGAGCAATCACTGGGTGAGAAATGGAGTTTGGAGTCAGGCAAATCAGAATTCAAGTCCTACTCTCAGCATTTGCTCCTTGGATAACTTGGTACAAATAATGTGTATTTTCCCCAGGGTTTAGTTTTATCATCTTGAAAACAGAAATAATAATAGGACCTAATTCCTAGAATAGTTTAGAAGATTAAATGTACCAGATATATTGCCTGGAACCCGGAAGCACTTGATAAATAATAGTTTCTGCTTTCAATGAATTAGTTTTCATGGAATCAGTCCTTTTCCTTATTTTGTACCCCTACTACCCACCCTACACAAACAAACAAAATGCCCAACTTACATAAGGGTGTTAGTGTATGTAGCAGACCAAGTGAGGAAATGGGCAGGATTTAAATCACAGAAACCTAACACCTTAAAATTGAATATTAGACACATCTACTCCTATAAAGGTCTTTCCATTACTTCCAGGAACCTTGAGATCTAGCCCACCACTCTGTTGCTGAGCCCTCTCTACCTATTTCTATGCCATCCCTCTACCTTCACAATTCTGTTAATTTCTTGTGCACATAAGTTTGCCTCACATTCTATCCATAAAGGTCTTTTCAAATACAAAAATTTTTCCCAGAAGGATATTTTTTCTCAGTTGTTGATATAACTTTCTTTCTTACTCATTTACATTTGGTTTACATTTTGGAATTCTGAATAAGTACATCATTTGAAAAAAAAAAGGTTTTCATTTCCAAAAATTGGGAGGAGGGTAGTATAAAAACTTCTATAGACCAGAGAAGTATAGAAGACAATATGCCAAATTATACTTTAGAAATTATAGGGGCCAGGCACAGTGGTTCACACCTGTAATCCCAGCACTTTGGGAGGCCGAGACGGGCGGATCATGAGTTCAGGAGATCGAGACCATCCTGGCTAACACGGTGAAACCCCATCTCTACTAAAAATACAAAAAAATTAGCCAGGCATGGTGGCGAGTGCCTGTAGTCCCAGCTACTCGGGAGGCTGAGGCAGGAGAATGGCATGAACCCGTGAGGCAGAGCTTGCAGTGAGCTGAGATCGCACCACTGCACTCCAGCCTGGGCGACAAAGCGAGACTCCATCTCAAAAAAAAAAAGAAAGAAAGAAAGAAAGAAACTATAGGTAAGTTGCAAGTTTCCTTGGGAATCACACTGGTGTGGCACTCAATTCTGCTTCTTTAAATCTCATATTTTATGTGTAAAAAAAAGCAAAGAAGTAGAGAAGAATGTCAAGGATACTGGCATATTTTTGTGGAGGCTAACAAAATGTGGCAACAGTATGGCATAGATCTGCAGACCAAATTAAAGCTCTCTAAGGCAGAAGTGATCTCTAATTGCCTTAAAGGCTGTAAAACCAGAGGCAAGGCATTTTTAGAGCAATGGAAGAGCCTAGATGTCATCTGATCAATCCCTCACTTTACAGATGAGATACGAAGCCACCAGCTAACTAACAGCACAGCTGAGTTAGAGTGGAGGGTTCCTGACTCCAAGTGCATTCTATTGTCCCTGATTGGCTGGCTTGTAGTCACTATCAAGACAGGTACCATGGGCCCTGTGTGCATGTGATAAGACTCAAGAGGACCTAGAGGGCGCTGTGATAGGGAAAATGTGATCACTGGAGGCTCAGATAATTTTGTTCATGTTACTTTACCTTCCTCTGCTTAAATTAATTTATCTATCAAAAGAGACCTAATCCTGGAAGGAAACTTTAGGTGGTGGGATATATTTATGGCGTAGATTGTGGTGATGTTTTAACGGGTGTATACTCATCACCAAACTCATTAAATTGTATACATTAAATATGTACATCTTTTTGTGTGTCACTTATACTTCAATAAAGTGTATTTTTAGGCTGGGCATGGAGGCTCATACCTGTAATCCCAGCACTTGGGGAGGGCAAGGTAGATAGATCACCTGAGGTCAGGAGTTCGAGACCAGCCTGGCCAACATGGTGAAACCCTGTCACTACTAAAAATACAAAAATTAGCCAGGCATGGTAGTGGGCGCCTGTAATCCCAACTACTCGGGAGACTGAGGCAGGAGAATCGCTTGAACCCAGGGGGCAGAGGTTGCAGTGAGCCAAGATCACGCCACTATGCTCCAGCCTGGGAGACAGAGCAAGACACTGTCTCAAGAAAAAAAAAAAAAAGTGCATTTTTTTAAAAACATGCTAAAATTTGCCCTCAAATGGCTATTTTGGGGAATAAAAATGTAATAATGTGTATGAGATCTGAACCACTAACTCTGTCTAGAGCATAGTAGGTGTGAAATAAATGCTAGTACCCTCCCCTGTCTCAGTCACACCAGCATACAAGTTGGATTCAAGGTCAAATAACATGAACTAAAAAAAAATAACAAGCACCAGTAGTTAGCAGACAATGAAATACATAGATGTTTAGTTGGTATATTTTGTGAGGATTAAGGCAGGCTGCCCCTGTCCTTCATAGTGGTGATGGGTGAATTTAGATGCATGCATGGATAAGTCTGCTTCAAGTTCTGTACCAAGAAACGATGCATGCCAGGCCCAGGTTGGCTTCCAAGCTGAACACTCATCTCCCAAGGGCAGGCTCAGTCTTCTAGTTCCCAGAGCCAATCTTGACCTGGGGCCAGATGTGTTCAGATGACTCCTATTCCACATTTGGCTGCCAGTCTAATCCCAATCTATTGCTAACCTTTTGGTGGCTGGACTTCTGCTTGCTCTCCTATCTGAGTCCCTGCCCCATTAACCTGCTTTCTACTTTGCCCTGGCTTCTTTGTGACTCTACCACACATAACCAATAGGAAGCCCACCTACTTGTCACCTTGGCACCTCTAGTAGTTAAAAATTGTAATGGTTGCCCAGCACATAGTGAAGCACATCTGTCCTTTAGCTATGCCTAAATGAGCCAAGGGAAGGGGCTGCTGACCTATCTGGCTCTTTCCTGAGAATTTTGAGAACCTAATCAGAGACAGGAAACAGTAAGAGCTGAATTGCCTCCAGAAATGCTCAGAAAAGAAGCCCACAAGCTCTTTCTGTTTCAGAAGCCCTGGCCTTGTTACCATTCTTCCTGAGACTTGGCTGTTCAAGCCTTCTATTGTAAGCTTCCACAATCAAATTTTTGCTTAAGTGATGGAAGATCCATTTCTGGTGTTTGCTTCCAACATGAACCTTATCCAGTACTTACCTGAGCTCCTGTGTCCTGCTCCTGGTTCAGTACCTCTGAGTCAACTCACCCAGGTATCCCAAACACTAAAGCATAACAACACACCTGATATTTAACATTGACACCTGTCCCAGGTTCTCCAGAAAATAATTTTTGGAATTTACCCCAGTCCTAGTAATGTCATTGGCTGTATTCATTTATTCATCTATAATCCATCCATGTATCCACCTAGCCATCCATATTGAGCATCTACAATACACTGGGCACTGTCTGTGGTCCTGGGGTTACAAAAAATATAGCAGACAGCATCCCTGCTTTTCAACACCACAGACCAGTAGAGGAGACTGCTGTACCAACAAGTAATCTTAGTACAAAGGGCTAAGAACTATAATGGAGCTACAAATATGGAGCAATGAGAGAACAGAGGTGGGAACAAGCCTCACAAAGAAAGCAAGAAAGTCTTCAACAAGTAGCTAAAGTGAGTATTGGAGAATGAGGAAGAGTTCACGAAGAGAAGAAGAGTAGTATTGCATTTTAAACACACACACACACACACACACACACACACACACCACAAGAATGACAAATTTGTTAACTATTAAACCCAAGAATGCCATTTCTGGGGTTTATTCTACAGATGTATTTGTATATATAACAAACAACTTATGCATCAAATTAAATATTGAAGTACTGTTTGTGAGAGTAAGAGACTGAAACCAATCCAAATGTAAATTAATAGAGCACTGGTTATGTAAATATGGTATATCCACTTGATGGAAAACTATACAACTATAAAAAAATGGGGAAGATCTCTGTTTACCAACATGAAAGATCTTTAAGATACAATGCTAAGTTAAAAAAGAAAGGTTCCCTCTCCCTCTCCCCCTCCCTCTCCCTCTCCCTCTCCCCACGGTCTCCCTCTCCCTCTCTTTCCACGGTCTCCCTCTCATGCTGAGCTGAAGCTGGACTGTACTGCTGCCATCTCGGCTCACTGCAACCTCCCTGCCTGATTCTCCTGACTCAGCCTGCCGAGTGCCTGCGATTGCAGGCTCGCGTCGCCACGCCTGACTGGTTTTGGTGGAGACGGGGTTTCCCTGTGTTGGCCAGGCCGGTCTCCAGCCCCTAACCGCAAGTGATCCGCCGGCCTCGGCCTCCTGACGTGCCGGGATTGCAGGCGGAGTCTCGTTCACTCAGTGCTCGGTGGTGCCCAGGCTGGAGTGCAGTGGCGTGGTCCCGGCTCGCTACAACCTCCACCTCCCAGCCGCCTGCCTTGGCCTCCCAAAGTGCTGAGATTGCAGCCTCTGCCCAGCCGCCACCCCGTCTGGGAAGTGAGGAGCGTCTCTGCTTGGCCACCCATCGTCTGGGATGTGGGGAGCCCCTCTGCCTGGCTGCCCAGTCTGGGAGGTGAGGAGCGTCTCCGACCGGCCGCCATCCCATCTAGGAGGTGAGGAGCGCCTCTTTCCGGCCGCCATCACATCTAGGAAGTGAGGAGCGTCTCTGCCCGGCCGCCCATCGTCTGAGATGTGGGGAGCGCCTCTGCCCCGCCGCCCCGTCTGGGATGTGAGGAGCACCTCTGCCCGGCCACGACCCCGTCTGGGAGGTGAGGAGCATCTCTGCCCCGCCGCCCCGTCTGAGAAGTGAGGAGACCCTCTGCCCGGCAACCACCCCGTCTGAGAAGTGAGGAGACCCTCCACCCGGCAGCTGCCCCGTCTGAGAAATGAGGAGCCTCTCCGCCCGGCAGCCACCCCGTCTGGGAAGTGAGGAGCGTCTCCGCCCGGCAGCCACCCCGTCCGGGAGAGAGGTGGGGGGGGTCAGCCCCCCGCCAGGCCAGCAGCCCCATCCGGGAGGGAGGTGGGGGGGTCAGCCCCACGCCCCGCCAGCCGCCCCGTCAGGGAGGGAGGTGGGGGGGGTCAGCCCCCCGCCAGGCCAGCCGCCCCGTCCGGGAGGGAGGTCGGGGCGTCAGCCTCCCGCCCGGCCAGCCGCCCCGTCCGGGAGGTGAGGGGCGCCTCTGCCTGGCCACCCCTACTGGGAAGTGAGGAGCCCCTCTGCCCGGCCAGCGGCCCCGTCCGGGAGGGAGGTGGGGGGTCAGCCCCCCGCCCGGCCAGCCGCCCCGTCAGGGAGGGAGGTGGGTTCAGCCCCCCGCCAGGCCAGCCGCCCCGTCCGGGAGGGAGGTCGGGACGTCAGCCTCCCGCCCGGCCAGCCGCCCCGTCTGGGAGGTGAGGGGCGCCTCTGCCCGGCCGCCCCTACTGGGAAGTGAGGAGCCCCTCTGCCCGGCCACCACCCCGTCTGGGAGGTGTGCCCAACAGCTCATTGAGAACGGGCCAGGATGACAATGGCGGCTTTGTGGAATAGAAAGGCGGGAAAGGTGGGGAAAAGATTGAGAAATCGGATGGTTGCCGTGTCTGTGTAGAAAGAAGTAGACATGGGAGACTTTTCATTTTGTTCTGTACTAAGAAAACTTCTGCCTTGGGATCCTGTTGATCTGTGACCTTACCCCCAACCCTGTGCTCTCTGAAACATGTGCTGTGTCCACTCAGGGTTAAACGGATTAAGGGCGGTGCAAGATGTGCTTTGTTAAACAGATGCTTGAAGGCAGCATGCTCATTAAGAGTCATCACCACTCCCTAATCTCAAGTACCCAGGGACACAAACACTGCGGAAGGCCGCAGGGTCCTCTGCCTAGGAAAACCAGAGACCTTTGTTCACTTGTTTATCTGCTGACCTTCCCTCCACTATTGTCCTATGACCCTGCCAAATCCCCCTCTGTGAGAAACACCCAAGAATTATCAATAAAAAATAAATAAATTTAAAAAAAAAAAAGAATGGTTAAAATAAAAAATAGCAACAACGCTAAAAAAAAAAAAAAAAGAAAGGTTTAGGCCAGGCACAGTGGTTCATACCTGTAATCCCAGCACTTTGGGAGGCTGAGGGAGGCAGATCACAAGGTCAGGAGTTCGAGACAAGCCTGACCAACATGGTGAAACCCCGTCTCCACTAAAAATACAAAAAGTAGCCAGGTATGGTGGCATGCATCTGTAATCCCAGCTACTCAGGAGGCTGAGGCAGGAGAATCCCTTGAACCCAGGAGGCAGAGGTTGCAGTGAGCCGAGATCGAGGCACTGCACTCCAGCCTGGGTGACAGCGAGACTCTGTCTCAAAAACAAAACAAAAAAAGAAAAAGAAAAAGAAAGGTTTAGAACAATACTACCT
Source organism: Homo sapiens (assembly GCF_000001405.40). Classification (NCBI taxonomy): domain Eukaryota; kingdom Metazoa; phylum Chordata; class Mammalia; order Primates; family Hominidae; genus Homo; species Homo sapiens. Next base: position 15,408,142 of record NC_000009.12, read on the forward strand.
GTTGTCTTAAATAGGGTAAAATATAAATATAATTCTTATTTGTTCACTTTTATCTTAAAAGCTATAAGAGTAATATACACCTGGTAAAAGTGGTTCCTATTAGGTATGGGGTGGTGAGAATTAAAAAGTGAAAAAAGTGAAAGTGAAAATTTTCACTCAATGCTAACATTTTTAACTTTTGAACTAAGTGAGAATACCATCAATTAAAGATTGTTTTCAAAGAATACATTGCAAAGAAACACCGAAGTTAGATGCAGGACTCAGAAGACAACACATTTTAAAGACTGTATGATGAGTTAGGAACTTGCTGGCAAAAGAAAGTAAGGGAGAATGTTCTGCTTCACCTCCCTCTCTTGTGGGCAATAATAATTCTAATAGCTATCTGTTCACAGCAATTACATAGTATGAGAATGGGCACCTTTAGAAATACAGATATGAGTGGAGATCTGAAGCTGATGAGAAAGAGATATATTGGCAGGGAAATCTATAATACAGATTTGGAAGCAGAATTTTTATTTCTTCTTATGTGAGTGTATTCATTCCATTTAAACAACACTTTCTGCCTTATTCCTGAAAAGATGCGAAGACTTTTAATTGAAAACACTAGGAAAAGAAAACAAATAAAACTGCTTTCTTACTCTGGAGCTGCCATAACAAAATAATATAGACTGGGTGGCTTATAAACAACAGAAATTTATTTCTCACAGTTCTGAAGTCTGGGAAGTCCATGAGCAAGATGCCTGCAGATTCCATGTCTGGTGAGGGCAGCTTCCTGCTCCACATATGACACCTTCTCTCTGTGTCTTCACCTGGTGGAAGGGACAAGGCAGCTCTCCAGGGGCTCTTTTTTCTTTTCCTTTTCCTTTTTTTTTTTTTTTTTTTTTGGAGACAGTGTTTTACTGTGACGCCCAGGCTGGATTGCAGTGGCATGATCTGGGGCTCAGGTGATCCTCCTACCTCTGCCCCCAAGTAACTGGGATTACAGGTGTGTGCCACCATGCCTGGATAATTTTTGTATTTTTAGTAGACATAGGGTTTCGCCATGTTGCCCAGGCTGGTCTTGAATTCCTGGCCTGAAGCTATCCTCCGCCTTGGCCTTCCAAAGTGCTGGGATTACAGAGCCACTGTGCCTGGCCTTGGGGGCTCTTTCATAAGGACTCTAATCCCATTCATGAGGCATCTACCCTCATGACCTAATCACCTCCCAAAGGCCTCCCATTTCCTAATATCTTCACATTGGTGAGTTTCAACATACAAATTTAAGGAGGAAACAAACATTTAGACCATAGCAACTGCATACCCTAAAGTCATCTTGCAACTTAAAAATCTGAAATTTTGATCTTTAGAAGCCTCCCTTGTAGAGAGTATAAGATACAAGGCTGAAAAGTAATTACCTTCCCCCAAGCAATGGGCTTGTGAATGTTATTAGACAGGATCCGCGTTTTTGTTTGTTTTTTATTTCATAGGTTATTGGGGAAAAGGTGGGGGTTGGTTACATGAGTAAGTTCTTTAGTGGTGATTTGTGAGATTTTGGTGCACCCATCATCTGAGCAGTATACACCGCACCCAATTTGTAGTCTTTTGTCCCTCACCTTCTTCCCACTCTTTCCCCCTGAGTCCCCAAAGTCCATTGTGTCATTCTTATGCTTTGCATCCTCATAGCTTAGCTCCTGCTTATGAGTGAGAACATATTATGTTTGGTTTTTCATTCCTGAGTTACTTCATTTAGAATAATAGTCTCCAATCTCATCCAGGTTGCTCACTGCAAAAGCCATTAATTCATTGCTTTTTTGGCTGAGTTGTATTCCATTGTGTGTGTGTGTGTGTGTGTGTATATATACACACATATATATATATTACATATGTATGTATATATATAATGTATGTATATATAATATATTATATATAATTATATTTTATATATATAATATATATATTATATATATTATATATATAATATATAATTATATTTTATATATATTTTACAGTTCCTTTAGCAACTCACTGATTGATGGGCATTTGGGTTGGTTCCACATTTTTGCAATTGCAGATTGTGCTGCTATAAACATGCATGTGCAAGTATCTTTTCTGTGTAATGACTTCTTTTCCTCTGGGTAGATACCCAGTACTAGAATTGCTGGATCAAATGGTAGTTCTACTTTTAGTTCTGTAAGGAATCTCCACACTGTTTTCCATAGTGGTTGTACTAGTTTACATTCCCATCAGCAGTGTAGAAGTGTTCCCTGTTTACAGCACACCAACCTCTATTATTTTTAAATTTTTTGATTATGGCCATTCCTGCAAAAGTAAGGTGGTATCACATTGTTTGATTTACATTTCCCTTATCATTAGTGATGCTGAGCATTTTTTCACTTCTTTGTTGGCCATTTGTAGCTCTTCTTTTGAGAATTGTCTATTCATGTTCTTACCCCACTTTTTGATGGGGTTGTTTGTTTTCTTCTTGCTAACTTGTTTGAGTTCATTGAAGATTCTGGATATTAGTCCTTTGTCAGATTTATAGATTGTGAAGATTTTATCCCACTCTTTGGGTTGTCTGTTTACTCTGCTGACTGTTCCTTTTGCCATGCAAAAGCTCTTTAGTTTAAGTAAGTCCCATCTATTTACCTGTGTTTTTGTGGCATTTGCTTTTGGGTCCTTGGTCATGAAATCCTTTTTTAAGCCAATGTGTAAAAGACTTTTCCCAATGTTATCTCCTAGAATTTTTACAGTTTTAGGTCTTAGATTTAAGTTCCTGATCCATTTTGAGTTGATATTTGTATAAGGTAAGAGATGAGGATCCAGTTTCATTCTCCTACATGTGGCTTGCCAATCATCCCATCACCGTTTGTTGAATAGAGTGTCCTATCCCCACTTTATGTTTTTGTTTGTTTTGTCGAAGATCAGTTGGCTGTAAGTAATTGGGTTTATTTCCAGGTTCTCTATTCTGTTCCATTGGTCTATGTGCCTATTTTTATACCAGTACCATGCTGTTTGGTGACTATGGCCTTATAGAATAGTTTGAAATCAGGTAATGTGATGCCTCCAGATTTGTTCTTTTTGCTTAGTCTTGCTTTGGCTATGTGGCTCTTTTTTTGATTCTATATGAATTTTAGAACTGTTTTTCTAGTTCTGTGAAGAATGATGGTGGTATTTTAGTGGGAATTGCATTGAATTTGTAGATTGCTTTTGGCAGTAGGGTCATTTTCACAATATTGATTCTACCCATCCCTGAGTCTTGCTCTGTCGCCCAGGCTGGAGTGCAGTGGCACGATCTCGGCTCACTGCAACCTCCACCTCCTGGATTCAAGTGATTCTCCTACCTCAGCCTCCCGAGTAGCTGGGATTACAGGTGCCCGCTACCACGCCCAGCTAATTTTTGTATTTTTAGTAGAGATGGGGTTTCACCATGTTGGCCAGGCTGGTCTCAAACTCCTGACCTCGTGATCCACCCGCCTCGGCCTCCCAAAGTGCTGGGATTACAGGCGTGAGCCACCACACCCAGCCAAGAGTTTTAATCACAAAGGGATGCTGGATTTTGTCGAATGCTTTTTCTGTGTCTATTGAGATGATCATGTGATTTTTGTTTTTAATTCTGTTTATGTGATGTAACACATTTATTGACTTGTGTATGTTAAACCATCTCTGCATCCTGGTGTGAAATCCACTTGATCATGGTGGATTACCTTTTTGATATGTTGTTGGATTTGGTTAGCTAATCCTTTTCTTTTGTTAAGGATTTTTGCATCTATGTTAATAAGGGATATTGGTCTGTAGCTTTCTATTTTGGTGACGTCCTTTCCTGGTTTTGGTATTAGGGTAATAGTGGCTTCATTGGATGATTTAGGAAGAATTCCCTCTTTCTCTATCTTGTGGAATAGTGTCAATAGGATTGATACCAATTCTTCTTTGAATGTCTGACAAAATTCTGCTGTGAATCCGTCTGGTCCTGGACTTTTATTTGTCAATAATTGTTTTGTTACTATTTTAATCTTGCTGCTTGTTATTGGTCTGTTCACAGTATCTAATTCTTCCTGATTTAAGCTAGGAGGGTTAAATTTTTCCAGGAATTTATCCATCTCCTCTTAGAGGTTTTCTAGTTTATGTGTGTAAAGGTTTCATAGTATCCTTGAATGATCTTTCAAAGTTCTGTGGTGTCAGTTGTAATATCTCCCATTTCATTTCTAATTGAGCTTATCTGGATTTTCTCTCTTCTTTTTTTGGTTAATCTTGTTAATGGTCTATCAATTTTGCTTATCGTTTCGAAGAACCAGGTTTTTTTTTCATTTATCTTTTGTTTTTTGTTTGTTTGTTTGTTTCAATTTAATTTAGTTCTGCTCTGATCTTGCTTATTTCCTTTCTTCTGCTAGGTTTGGGTTTGGTTTGTTCTTGTTTCTCAAGTTCTTTGAGGTGTGAACTTAGATTGTCTGTGCTTTTTCAGTCTTTTTGATGCAGGCATTTAGGGCTGTGAACTTTCCTCTTAGCACCGCCTTTGCTGTCTCCCAGAGGTTTTGACAGGTTGTGTCATTATTGTCACTCAGTTTGATGAATTTTTTAATTTCCGTCTTGATTTTATTTTTGACCTAATGATCATTCAGGAGCAGGTTATTTAATTTCCATGTATTTGGATGGTTTTGAAGGTTCCTTTTGGAGTTGATTTCCAGTTTTATTCCACTGTGGTCTGAGAGAGTGTTTGATATAATTTCCATTTTCTTAAATTTATTGAGGCTTGTCTTGTGGCCTATCATACGGTCTATCTTGGAGAAAGTTTCATTTGCTGATGAATAGAATGTATATTCTGTGGTTGTTGAGTAGAATGTTCTGTAAATATCTATTAAGTCCATTTGTTCCTGGGTTTGATTTAAATCCATTGTTTCTTTGTGGAATTTCTGTCTTGATGACTTGTCTAGTGCTGTCAGTGGAGAATCGAAGTCCCCCACTATTATCGTGTTGCTCTTAATCTCACTTCTTAGATCTATTAGTAATTGTTTTATAAATTTGGGAGCTCCAATGTTAGATGCATATGTATTTAGAATTGTGACATTTTCCTGTTGGACAAGGCCTTTTAGCATTATGTAATGTCCCCTTTTGTCTATTTTAACTGCTATTGCTTTAAAGTTTGTTTAGTCTGATATAAGAATAGCCACTCCTGGCTGGGCATAGTGGATCACGTCTGTAGTCCCAACACTTTGGGAGGCTGAGGCGGATGGATCACAAGGTCAGGAGATCGAGACCATCCTGGCTAACATGGTGAAACCCCATCTCTACTAAAAATACAAAAAATGTTAGCTGAGCGTGGTGGCACATGCCTGTACTCCCAGCTACTCAGGAGGCTGAGGCAGGAGAATGGCATGAACCCAGGAGGCAGAGCTTGCAGTGAGCCGAGATCGCACCACTGCATTCCAGCCTGGGCAATAGAGCGAGACTCCATCTCAAAAAAAAAAAACAAAAAACAAGAATAGCCACTCCTGCTTGCTTTTGATGTCCACGTGCATGGAATGTCTCTTTCCACCCCTTTATCTAAAGTTTATGTGAGTCCTTATGTGTTAGGTGAGTCTCTTGAAGGCAGCAGATAGCTGGTTGGTGAATTCTTATCCATTCTGTGATTTATATCTTTTTTTTTTTTTTTTGAGATGGAGTCTCACTCTGTTGCCCAGGCTGGAGTGCAGTGGTGCGATCTCAGCTCACTGCAAGCTCCACCTCCCAGGTTCACACCATTCTCCTGCCTCAGCCTCCAGAGTAGCTGGGACTACAGGTGCCTGCCACCATGCCTGGCTAATTTTTGTACTTTTAGTAGAGACGGGGTTTCACCATGTTAGCCAGGATGGTCTTGATCTCCTGACCTCATGATCCGCCCTCCTTGGCCTCCCAAAGTGCTGGGATTACAGGCGTGAGCCACCGCGCCCAGTCTAATTCTATATCTTTTAAGTGGAGCATTTAGGCCATTTACATTTAATGTTACTATTGAGATGGGAGGTACCATTCCAGTCATCATGATATTTGTTGCCTGTATACCTGTATACCTTGGTATCTTTGGCCAGGCATGGTGGTTCACGCCTGTAATAGCAGCACTTTGGGAGGCCAAGGCGGGTGGATCACGAGGTCAAGACATCAAGACCATCTTGGCCAACATGGTGAAACCCTGTCCCTACTAAAACTATGAAAATTAGCTGGGTGTGGTGATGCACGCTTGAACCCAGGAGGCGGAGCTTGCAGTGAGCCGAGATCGCGCCACTGCACTCCAGCCTGGGCAACAGAGCGAGACTCCGTCTCAACGGCTGGAGCATAGTGGCGCTATCTCAGTTCACTGCAAGTTCCGCCTCCCAGGTTCATGCCATTCTCCTGCCTCAGCCTCCTGAGTAGCTGGAACTACAGGCGCCTGCCACCATGCCTGAGTAGCTGGGATTACAGGCATGTGCCACCATGCCCAGCTAATTTTTGTATTTTTAGTAGAGATGGGGTGTTGCCGTGTTAGCCAGGATGGTCTCGATCTCCTGACCTTGTGATCTGCCCACCACGGCCTCCCAAAGTGCTGGGATTACAGGCATGAGCCACTGGGCCTGGCCTTATTTTTTTTATTTTTTATTTTTTTAATTCTTTTTGAGACAGTCTCTCTCTGTCACCCAGGCTGGAGTGCAGTGGTGCAATCTTGGCTCTGTCACCCAGACTCAAGCGATCCTTCCACCTCAGCTTCCTGAGTAGCTGGGACTACGGGCATGCACCACCACACCAGGCAAATTTTCTGTACTTTTAGTAGAAAAATACTAAATGCCATGCTGCCCGAGCTGGTAAAAATAATTTTTATAAATCTAGACCAGGCCGGGCGCGGTGGCTCACGCCTGTAATCCCAGCACTTTGAGAGGCCGAGGTGGGCGGATCAAGGTTGGGAGTTTGCGACCAGCCTGACCAACATGGAGAAACCCCATCTCTACTAAAAATACAAAAATTAGCCAGGCATGGTGGCACATGTCTGTAATCCCAGCTACTCGGGGGGCCGAGGCAGGAGAATCGCTTGAACCCGGGAGGCAGAGGTTGTAATGAGCCAAGATCGTGCCATTGCACTCCAGCCTGGGCAACAGGAGTGAGACTCCATCTCAAAAAAAAAAAAAAAAAACAAAAAAAAACTAGACCAATTCTACACTCAGAGAAAAAGAAACTGAAGCCAGAGAATAATAAAATAAATGATGTATCTATAAGAAAGATTTAGACAGTAGGGGAAACTAGCTGGAAATACAACTTGGATAGCCAACATTGAAATGGTGGGATACACACATGACCTCAATCCCGGTGAGGCTCCCAGGTACCTATAGCCTTATTACAAGAAGGAAGGCCCTAGGGCAGTGGCAGAATTACTTTGGAAAACAAACTGAAATAATTTTACATGTAGAATTGCATAAATTGGGAGCTGGATGGATTTTAGAGATATAATAGTTCAGAAATCACAGTACGGATCAGCGATCACAAACACCAGATGCCTGTGAGTTGTGTTTGGCTTGAATACTGCATAACGTTGTTTTTTTTAATTAATTAATTTATTAATTTATTTATTTTGAGATGCAGTCTCGCTCTGTCACCCAGGCTGGGGTGCATTGGCATGATCTCGGCTCACCGCAAACTCTACCTCCCAGGTTCAAGTGATTCTCTTGCCTCAGCCTTCCGAGTAGCTGAGATTACAGGTATGCACCACCACACCTGGTTAATTTTTGTATTTTTAGTAGAGACGGGGTTTTGCCATTTTGGCCAGGCTTGTCTCGAACTCCTGACCTCAGGTGATCCACCCACCTTTGCCTGCCCAAGGTGCTGGGATTACAGGTGTGAGCCACTGTGCCTGGCCTATTGTTTTAATTTTTTTTTTTTTTTTTTTAGAGACACAGCTTCACTATGTTGCTCAGACTAGCCTGGAAGGAAATACTGTGTTTAAATTTTTTATTAATTAATTGCCAACATTTTAAGATCAAGAGATTTCACACTTCAACAAATTGGCTATCTGGCTTCTTTTGAAATTCTTTTTTTTTCAGACCTCTATGGTTTAACTCGGGGATCTTTTGAAATTCTGAAAACTCTGGTAGGCGAGGCCCGCATTCTCACGTGGCACCATCACAGCTGCCCCCGTTAGACAGAGGATAGAGTACTCCCCAGTTTCCCACAGTCCCCACCAGCCAGTGTTTCTCATTTTCATCACCTGTGGAGCCCATATAAGTATCTCAGGTGAGGAAGCTGGTTCAGAGGCCAACTGTAAGAGTTCGTGGCCCCTTTTCCTACTCCCCAGTTTTTAATATTTTCTTCAATAAGCAGAGTTGGGAAATCAAGAGCCAGATAACACTCCATAATCATCTTGGTTTGAGCCACTACTCAGTATTCCTGATTCTAAATTCTACACCACTACCCCAACCTAGTGGTTGGGTCCAATAACCATAATCAGAAAAAAATAGGGGTTTTTCCCCCAAGAATTATAGAAAGCTCATCCAGAATTTTAGGGACTATACTTATCCCAGGACCTTGGAATCTTTCCACTTCTTTGCTGCTATTACTAGTGCCAGGCCTACAACACCCCCATCTTTTGCCAAATTTGCCACTGAGCTAGAAGTTGCCTTTGCCATGACTTTATCCCAACGAGGGCAGCTGCTAATATGATTATGGTTGCTTCCAGGAAGGGGCGTTACATGGAGGCTAAGACCCAAATGACTGCCATGTTGTTGTGACTGCTGCTGATGCTCACCATGAATTCTTCTTTCCCCACTGATCCCTGCAATTCCCACCTCTGAAGCTGCTGCTCCCAAGTGCTACTCCTCAGGGTGACAATGAACCACCTCCCTTGGTTACAGCCATTCTGATCCTGCCCTTACCCACTGCTGCCCAGGAACCTATGTGGTCACCACTCCTGAAGCGAATGCTACTAAATCGCCAGATAATATGTTAGACCAGTTCTACCTGAAAGATGACCTCATTCTCTGGAGTGAGGGTGCCCCCTGTTGAGGAATTTGGGTCAAGTATTTCAGGACCCAAGATTTTAGGTTGCAAGAGAATCCAACTCAAACTATCTTAAGATTTAAAAAATAAATAAAAAGTTACTAATGAAGGAGTTAAGAATATGCCACCCCAAAGTAGTGGCATACTATTTTCAGTTAAAGGCACTTGTGTGGTAGGAGTTATTATTTTTTACAATTTATTATTATTATTATTTTGAGACAGAATCTCGCTCTGTCGCCCAGGCTGGAGTGCAGTGGCGCGATCTCGGCTCACTGCAACCTCGACCTCCCGGGTTCAAGCAATTCTCCTGCCTCAGCCTCCTGAGTAGCTGGGATTACAGGCGCCTGCCACCAGGCCCAGCTAATTTTTGTATTTTTAGTAGAGACGTGGTTTCACCGTGTTGGTCAGGCTGGTCTCGAACCACTGACCTCATGATCCACCCGCCTCAGCCTCCCAAAGTGCTGGGATTACAGGCGTGAGCCACTGCGCCTGGCCGAGAGTTATTAAGAAATTACTGTAGGCAGATAGAGAGGAAAAGGGGCCCTTGGGGAGTTTTGGTTTTTAAAGCATCTCCGGAAAAATTTCTTGTAAAGCCCCGGCTCTTAGAGCCAGGCCGGCAACCTTTGATATGCAAATGCAGGGCATTAGAAACTGGGTCCACCCAACATGGTGATTCCTGCGGCCTTCTTGCCCTTGCCCCACATGTTCCTGGCAACATGGCTGCCCCACATATCTCCACATGTGTAGAACATTCAGAGTGCCCTGCATTTGCATCTTAAAAGGCTAGGATGAGAGGGCCAGCTTTTTCTGAGGGCTACGTGAATGACATGCCTGGTCAAACCAATCCCCTGAGCCCTATGCAAATCAGATATTGCCTTCTCCAGCCTCTGCATATATACCTGGCTGGTATCCGTGGCAGGTGGGGACCTCCTCTTTTGGCTTTGGAGCCCCCCTCCCCCTGTCTCTACTGGGGACCTTCTTCCTTCTGTCTCCTCCCTTCCTTGCCTATTAAACTCTCCGCTCCTTAAAACCACTCCATGTGTGTCCATGTTGCCGGCACGAGGACCAAGAACCCTCGTGTTCCTCCACTCATCTGAGCCGTATCACTTGGGAAACAGCAGGTGCAAGGAGTTCACTCTGACTTTTCTTCTGTTTCTTAAAAGCAGGAGATGAAATTCCCATGTGAAAGGTGTCCTCCCTATACCCAGAAGGAAAACATCATTCTTATCATCAAGGACAGGAAGTTGAGGCTAAGGGAAATCTGTACAAACCAACCTTGTTAAACTAACTCTTAGCTTTCTAGTCACTTCTCCACTCAATTAACTACCCTATCCTTGTATGCTTTGCCTTGTCACATTTTCATAATTCACTAACTCTTTATCCAATTCAGTTTATAAGTGTTCAATTGTAACTGTTTCTTTGGGTCTTCATTTCCTTATGAAGGATCCTATGCCACATAACACTTGTATGAAATTAATTTGCATGTTTTTCTCCTGTTGCTCCATCTTATGTCAATTTAATTCTCAGGCCCAGCTGAAAAATCCTAAGAGAGTAGAGGTAAAATTTTGCCTCCTTTACATAATGGCAAATACAGGAGAGCAGATGGCCTCAGCCCCAGTAGCTCCAAGTCACTTGACTTCTATCTTCTCCATTTTCTGCCTTTGCTTGTTCAAACTCTTGCCTCTGTTCCTTCTAACTCTTCCACTGGCAGGAACGGTCTGTGTCTAGGACACATTATTAGGTCCTTAGAATGGATAAAGGGCTTCTTGGTTTATAGATAAAACCCCACAGGAGGATTCCGATTGGCTCTATTTGAGACACTTGATCATCCTTGGACCAACCACTGTGGCCAGATTGGGAATGGTTCTATGACTGGCAGCCCCAGGAGGATCAAAAGTAGTAGGGAAGGTCAGCTCTAATAAACAATACTAGGCTGACAAAAACGATAGATATTTCCTACAACAATGTACTGATAAAAACCAGGGCTCCAGCTGGGCATGGTGGCTCATACCTGTAATCCCAGCACTTTGGGAGGCCAAGGCAGGAGGATAACTTGAGCCCAGGAGTTCAAGACCAGCCTGGGCAACATGGTGAAACCTCTTCTCTAAAAAAATAAAAAAATTAACTGGATGTGATGACAGCGTACCTGTAGTCCCAGCTACTCAGGAGATTAAGATGGGAGGATCACCTGAGCCTGGGAGGTCTACGCTGTGTCACACGCGTCAGTGTGAAGAGACTACCAAACAGGCTTTGTGTGAGCAATAAAGCTGGGTGCAGGCGGGCTGAGTCTGAAAAGAGAGTCAGCAAAGGGTATGGAATTATCATTAGTTTTTTCTTTTTTTTTTTTTTGAGACGGAGTCTCACTTTGTCGCCCAGGCTACAGTGCAATGGCGCAATCTCAGCTCACTGCAACCTCTGCCTCCCAGGTTCAAGCGATTCTCCTGCCTCAGCCTCCCAAGTAGCTGGAACTACAGGCACCTGCCACCACGCCCAGCTAATTTTTGTATTTTTAGTAGAGAAGGGGTTTCACCATATTGGCCAGGCTGGTCTCGAACTCCTGATCTTGTGATCCTCCTGCCTCGGCCTCCCAAAGTGCTGGGATTATAGGCGTGAGCCACGGCACCCAGCCTATCATTAGTTCTTATACGTTTGGGATAAGCGGTGGAGTTAGGAGCAATTTTTTTGTGGGCAGGGGGTGGATCTCACAACGTACATTCTCAAGGGCAGGGAGAATATTACAAAGTACGTTATCGCAAGGGCGGGGAGGGTGTATTGTCATACGGTCAATTGATCAGTTAGGGTGGGGCAGGAACAGATCACAATGGTGGAATGTCATCTTTTGTGGTTCTTCAGTTGCTTCAGGCCATCTAGATGTATATGTGCAGGTCACAGGGGATATAATGGCTAAGCTTGGGCTCAGAGGCCTGACACGCTGCGGTGAGCCTTGATTGTGCCAGTGCACTCCAGTCTGGGTGACAAAGCAAGACACTATCTCAAACAAACAAACAACAACAAAACAACCAGAAGGCCGGGCGCAGTGGCTCACGCCTGTAATCCCAGCACTTTGGGAGGCAGAGGTGGGCGGATCACCTGAGGTCAGGAGTTCTAGACCAGCCTGACCAATATGATGAAATCCCATCTCTACTAAAAATACAAAAAAATTAGTCAGGTGTGGTGGAATGCACCTGTAATCCCAGCTACTCAGGAGGGTGAGACAGGAGAATCGCTCCAACCCAGGAGGTAGAGGTTGCGGTGAGCCAAGATCGCACCATTGCACTCCAGCCTGGGCAATAAGAGGGAAACTCTGTCTCAAAACAAAAAAAAAAAAAAAAAAAAAGAAAGAAAAAAAAAACCAGAGCTCCTATGGAAACACAATAACTTTATTTAAAAATTGGTAAAGAACTTGAATATACATTTCCCCAAAGAAATATGCAAATGGTCAATAAGCACATGAAAACGTGTTCCATCAATATAATTAGGGAGATGCAAATAAAAAGTCATGAAACACCATTTCACACTCACTGACACGGTTATAATAAAAAGTTCAGATAAGTGTTGGCAAGGATGTGGAGAATCCTGCTGGGGAGGGGAGTAAAATGGGACAGCCACTTTAAAAAAATCTGGCAGTTCCTCAAATAGTTGAAAATAGAGTTCCATAAATACAGAAATCCCTTGGTATCTGCAGGGTGGACTGTTTCGAAGACCCCTGTGGACTCCAAAATTGACAGATGCTCTTCTTGCAGTCAGCCCTGTGGAATCCGCCCATAGGAAAATTCCTCTTATCCTCAGGTTCTGCAACCTGGGAATACTGTAATTTTTGATATGTGGTTGGTTGAATTGGAGGATGCAGAACCCACAGATAGGGAGGGCTGACTGTATACTACTGGGCACATGCCCAAGAGAAATGAAAACGTATTTGCACAAAAATGTGTACATGAATGTTCATAGCAACGCCAAAAGGTAAAAACTTTTTGATAAATAAAATGTGGCATATACATACAATGCAATATTATTCAGCCAAAAAAGGAATGAAGTACTGACACATACTACAAAATGGATGAACGTGTTACAGGTGGCAGGTATCCAAGTTACCAGGGCAAATCTGTATGGGTCTGCAGCAACTTCAGTTCTTGCCTCCTCAGAAGAAAGAATTTGACCGAGGGGCAATAAGGCACAAAAAGAGACTGAGGCAAGTTTCAGAGCAGGAGTGGAAGCTTATTTAAAAGGCCTTTAGGAAAGAAAGGAAAGCACGCTCGGAAGAGTCCCAAGCTGTCACTGAGGTCAACTGTGATATTGACCTCGATCCTAGGACTTTACAGGCTGGCTCCTTTCCCATGATTCTTCCCTTAGGGTGGGCTGCCTCCATGCGCAGTGCCCTCCTTACCCTTGGGAAGTGAGCACAGCGCAATATGTATGAAGTTGTATGCGTGCCCATCTGAGGCTTTCTTCCCTTTTCCGATAGAGTCCCCCTGAAAGGTCATACTCCCCGATTTTGTCTCTTAATGCATATGCCCAGGAAGTTGCTTCTCCCTGTCACCTGCATTCAACGAGCACTTTAGTGCAACAGGTGTGGGCCATCAGGAAATGGCCTCTCCCTGGCACCGGCTGCCAATTTATCACTTTTAGAGGCAATGTGATAAATGCCTAAGCATCACCCCACATTCCTAGTGGGTGAGGGAAGAGCCCTCTCCTGCCCTGCTCATGCCTAACTACCTGTAACAAACCTTGTAAACATTAAGCCAGCCACCAAAAGACCATATAATTCCGTTTATATTAAATGTCCAGATTAGTTAAATCTAGAGAGACAAAGTAGGTTCTTGGTTGGCTAGGGCTGGAGGAGTTGGGAGGATCAGGGGTGATAGCTAAAAAGTACAAGTTTCTTCTTTCGAGTGGTAAAAATGCTCTCAAATAGTGGTGATGGTTGCCCAAGCCTGTGAATATACCAAAAATCACTGAACACTTCAAATGGGTGAATTATATGGCATGTGATTACAGTCTAATAAATAAATAGTATGTCCTGCTGTATCCTTCAGGGCCTCTGAGAAATGGAGAGAGCTCCATCTGAAGCCAGACTGAGTTCCGATCCTGCTTCTATTTTCCCCGCAGGTAAATCCTTCCTCAACAGCAACACGGGGTGATACGCCCTATCCGGAAAGGTTGTTGTAATTTTTAAAAACATTAAAAACATACATTAGGGTTAATCATGTAGCGTGTGATACACAGACGCTCTGAAACACTACTGCACACGCACACCAACATGGGGCCTCTGCGGAGCTTGTGAAAGAACCAGATCTGGAGGGCTGGTCGTGTCCCTGGTCTCGGCCCTCGCCCTCCTTGTTTCTTAGGCTCTAAAGCAATCAGGCAGCAGAGCAGTCCTTGAACCCCAGTCAAGAAAAAGCCCTGCACCCCTTAGTCCGAAAGCCGCAAGGAACGGGGCCTAAGCGCCTGGCGAGGCCGCCCTACCGGGCAGAGACAGTTGCTACGTAACTCGGGGACCAGAAACCCAGCCCCACCCGCTGCGGTTAACCGACAGCCGCAACGGTTCCCGCACCGCCCGGGTCGGAGAACAATGCTGCGCCCTGCACGTAGAGCCTCGCGGTGCCGCGCCCTGGGGCGGGCCTGCCCATGGCCTGCCGGGAAATGTAGTTTCTGATGCCCTGCCCGCGCCGCCTCGCCGCTCGCCGGCCGGGCGCCCCAAGCAACTACAACTTCCATCACGCTCTGCGAGGCCTTGATCTGCAGGCTTTTGCAGGGGAAGGAGTGGGGCGAACATGGCTGAAGGAAGCCGAGGTGGCCCTACGTGTAGCGGGGTGGGTGGCAGGCAGGACCCAGTCTCCGGCAGTGGCGGCTGCAACTTTCCAGAGTATGAGCTTCCCGAGCTAAATACGCGCGCTTTCCATGTGGGCGCCTTTGGGGAGCTGTGGCGGGGCCGTCTGCGCGGGGCCGGGGACTTGTCGCTGAGGGAGCCGCCGGCATCCGCTCTGCCTGGGAGCCAGGCAGCTGACTCCGACCGGGAGGATGCCGCGGTGGCCAGGGATCTGGACTGCAGCCTGGAGGCGGCGGCTGAGCTGAGGGCGGTGTGCGGGTGAGTGCGGAGCAAAGGGGCTCTTGCAGCTTGGGGTCAAACAGGGTGCAGCCTTGCTCGTGCGCTCCTCTGGGACTCATCCCTGAGAAGGGCCTGTGGTTTAGACCTGGGCTAGGAGTATTACCCTTTAAAGCTTTCAACCCGCTGGAGCCTTCCTGGGACACCAGGAGAAGTCCTGGGACCCGAATGCACAGTTTCTACGAGTTGGAGCAAAGGGACAAGACAGCTGCATCAAAGACTAGTTTTTCCATTTGCTTATTCTAAGAGTGCTTGTTAATAAAGAAAAGCAATCAGGGCAACAGCGACGTGTACCTGCCATTGACAGACACTTTGACAATGGAGGAACCTGAGTAATGGTGAAGCTGCGGGAGACTTCATCAGAGGAGTGTTAAAACCCCGACTAACTGGTTTCTTTTGGGGACCTTCCGGGTATTCTGTTACTGAAATATTTCTTAAAAGTGCCTTATTTGGGGATGAAAATATAAAAATAACTTTAATCTCTTTCTCCATTTAACAGTACTGGCTGCCTTCATCGGCCTTTTCATTATAAAATATAATCACAGAAATCGTTGTCTTAAGTTCTGGCCTCTCTGAGCCGCCTGCTGGATTTTATCTGACTTCGTAATTCAGTAATGTATTTAGGAAAACAACCCTAACTCGCTGTGAACCAGATGCAGAGTCGACCTTAAAGTATTGCTTTTCCTTTTTGTTTTAGCCTTGATAAACTGAAATGCCTTGAGGACGGTGAGGATCCAGAAGTCATTCCGGAGAATACTGACCTGGTGACTTTGGGGTATGGAGGACTTGGTTTTTATGACCTATTTATTTAAACATTTTTTCAACATTATGTTTTGAAAAGTTGAAAGTGCAGTATTGATTGTTGTCTGTATACCCACCCCTTAAATTCAGCTGTTCTTAATATTTGACCATATTTACTTTAGCCGTGTGTATGGGATGCCTGCTGTGTGTTTTTTCATTTTGCTATCCCCCATTCAGTAAGTTAGACATGATAATTTACCCGTAAATACATAAGCATATAGCTTCTAAAAGTATCATTCTCCTACATAATTATTGTGGTATTATTATACCTAAGAAAACCGTAAATACATAATCTATAATATTCAGTCCATATTCAAACTTGTGTTTATTTTTTAATATTTTTGAATGTTTGTTTATAGAGGTAATCTACTTAGATCTGGGGGGCAACCTAAATACTCTGACAGTGTTTTTCAAACTATTTGTGGTAAAGGACAGTTCTTGTTTTTAAAAATTTTTAATCTTTGACAGATTTATGCTTTGATAAAATACTATAAAAAGAATTACTAGAAAAATGGAATTAAAAAAGACAAACACAATATAAGTTCAAATTTTTAATTAAATTCAATAGACAAAATTATTCAATGATAATGGAAGTTTCTAAATGCTTACTGTCATTTTCTGTACAGATTGGTTAACAAATAGGTCATAGATGAATTCTGGTCTGCCTACCACTCTTTGAGAGGCACTGTTGTATGATAATATAGAGAAATTGTGCATGTAATAGTGAAATTTATAATTTCCAATTTATAGTCCACTTATTTCATACTACCTCAGCTATGTTCTGTCGTTCTTGATCCTACGCTATTATCCCCCTCAAATATTCAGGCAGTCATTTCAACTCTACTTGGGTTTTCTTTCATAATAACTGCTAAATCTGTTCCCCTGGTCCCTACTGCTGACTTTTACAGCAGCAACACCTGGAGCACTGTGCAAGGTTCTTAAGTGTCTTTGATAAGTACAGTCATTTCTCCCACTGATTTATCCATCATGCTGTCGCCTGAGCAAGCCATTTTGCTTAAAAATGGTCTATGGCCCTACATCTCCTATATGGAAAAATTTCAAACTCCTTAGCTAGACATTTGAAGCCTTCCACATATATCCCAAATTTGCCTTTCCAGATTTATTTTCAACCACTTTCTCTTTCAGATGGCTCAGGATGCATGTGGCCTCTCTCCCATCTGAAACATACCACTTCTATGTTATGTTATGTTACGTTATTTTTTTGAGATGCAGTCTCACTCTGTTGCCCAGGCTGGAGTGCAGTGGCGTGATCTCTGCTCACTGCAACTTCTGCCTCCGGGTTCAAGCGATTCTCCTGCCTCAGCCTCCGGAGTAGCTGGGATTACCGGTGCCTGCACCCTCGGCTGCCTAACTTTTTTGCATTTTTTGTAGAGACGGGTTTCACCATGTTGGCCAGGCTGGTTTCAACTCCTGACCTCATGTGATCTGCCCAACTCGTTCTCCCAAAGTGCTAGGATTACATGCGTGAGCCGCCACACCTTGCCCATACCACTTTTTTAAAAGCCCAAAGATTCCTTTCCAGATTACCACAACCCATCTTTCCCTTAGGAAACAGATGCATTTATACTGCCTTAAACTCTTAACATTTCTAAAGTCCTTGAAGGCTCAATGAGAGTCCAAACTCCCATCTGTGTATTGTTCTCAAGCCTACTATACTGCCTTGCTCCAATTGGTGCTCTGTAACTATTGTTGATTGATTAGTTGTATTTGTCTAAAATGCACATCTGATTGTCACTCCCTTGCCTAAAACCTTTTGATGTCCCTTAGGCTGAAGTCCTGAGTCTGTAGTGGCTCACAAAGGCCTCTAAGGAGTGGACCTTGCTGTTTTCATTTTGTTTTGTTTTTGAGATGGAATTTCACTCTTGTTGCCCAGGCCTGAGTGCAATGGTGCGATCCCGGCTCACGGCAACCTCCGCCTCCTAGGTTCAAGTGATTCTCCTGCCTCAGCCTCCCAAGTAGCTGGGATTACAGGCATGTGCCACCACGCTTAATTTTGTATTTTTAGTAGGGACGGAGTTTCTCCATGTTGGTCAGGCTCCATGTTGGCCAACCTCTCGTGATCCACCCACCTCGGCCTCCCAAAGTGTTGGGATTACAGATATGAGCCACCGCACCTGGCCCGACCTTGCTGATTTTTTTTAAGCTTTCTCTCTGCAGTGTTCCAGCCACACTGCACTGTGTTTCAGTTCCTCGAATATGCTCTCTCACTCCAGGCCTTTGCCCAGAACAGTCATTCTTGCTTATCTCCTGACCTTGTTGACTTCTACTCATCCTGCAAGTCTTAGCTAAAGGACTACGGACTCCATTTAGGTCATCTTGTATGCTCATGTAGCACCCTATGCTTCCCTATTGAAATGCTCATCACATCTGTAATATACGTGTTTAATTTTCTGTCTTCTTAGCTACACTTGAAAGTTCCTTAAGTTACATCTGCCACACTCACTGCTATATTACCAATTCCTAGAACTGTGGTGCATAGTAGGGAGCCAACAAATATTTGTAGAATGAGTGGAATAAATGAAACTTTCAGAAGACTCAGGAAGTGATTTTTAGAGATAGACTGAAAAAAGAACGTTGATGATAATCATATTAAAGCAGACTCTTTTTTGCTATAGTTAATAATGTATTCATTGATTTATAGTAATTTTGTTAAGCCATGTTAAATAGTAATTTTAAGACTGCTTAAACATTATTTCCCTTGACTACTTTGCACTACTAGGTCAACTAGATCTCTTTGGTTTCTTCTAGTCCCTCCAAACAGGATTTGTGGGTAGAATTATATATAATCTAATGTAAATCAGTACGGTATTCTTCAACTGGGGTTATTTTGATATACTGTGAAGCTAGTGTATTTAATACATGACCATTGTTAACCTTAATGGTCCTGCCAAAAAAAAATTAGACTTGTGGCAAAAGCCTAAATTTGTATCTCTATGCTTTATCTTTCTCTGAACCTTCCTTTTCCTCACCAATAATTTCACATTATTATATTATAAAAATAAAACATAAGTACATCATTTCTTTATTATGACATAAAATAAATTTCTGGTACTTTTTCTTTCCCACATCAAATGAAAGAGCTCGTTTTATGCATATAAGGGACCAAAGGTAGTTGGTAGATATTGATTCTTCCTTGATACATGTTGCTCCCTTAATCTATAGCAAACTACATAGCTTTGGCAGTTTTGACATTTTTTTTGACTACTTAGTTGGTTTTAATTCCTAGGAATAGGAGAGATAATTGTTAATACATGGGTGCTGCTAAAACTTACTTGTCATTCCAAAAGCTTCAGCAACATCACTTATTTATTTGTTTATTTATTTATTTTTAGACAGAGTCTCACTCACTCTGTTGCCCAGGTTAGAGTGCAGTGGCTCAATCTCTCCTCACTGCAACTTCTGCCTCCTGGGCTCAAGTGATTCTTCTGCCTCAGCCTCCCAAGTAGCTGGGATTACTGGCGTGTGCCACCATGCCTGGCTAATTTTTTATATTTTTAGTAGAGATGGGGTTTCACCATTTTGACCAGGCTAGTCTCAAACTCCTGACCTCAAGTGATCTGCCGGCCTTGCCCCAAAGGGCTGGTATTACAGGCGTGAGCCACGACGCCCAGCCCTTCAGCAACATTACTTTTAATACAATAGAAATTTTAGATTATTCTGCCCATCCCCCTCACTTTTGTGACCAAGAAAGCACTGTTTACAGGTCCAGGATGTACTGTTTAAAGGTTAACAAAAGGAACTTACAGAGTCCTGCAAAAACAAAAAACAAAAGAACCATGAAATTGGAGAACTCAAAACTCCTATTCCACCAAACCAACCACAAATGATTTTTTAAAAAAACTTAAACAGGGTGGAGTGCTTGAGGTCAGGAGTTCAACAGCAGCTTGGCCAATATGGTGAAACCCCACCTCTACTAAAAATACAAACATTAGCTGGGCGTGGTGGCACCCGCCTGTAGTCCCAGCTACTCGGGAGGCTGAGGCAAGAGAATCACTTGAACCCGGGAGGTGGAGGTTGCAGTGAGCTGAGATCGCGCCATTGCACTCCAGCCTGGGTGACACAGCGCAACTCTGTCTCCAAAAAAAAAAAAAAAAAAAAAACTGTCAAACAGCTCTCATATATCTGAAGTTGGCTAGAATGACAGAAAAGAGCACCATCAAACTGGGAATCTTGTAAACTATCACTGTGCCCCAGATGTTACAAAAATGAGCAAGAGGAAATAAAATCTAACGAGAGCTTGTTGCAGATAATCAGGAAATAACTGTTTATACAGATCAACTTTGGAGACTACCTGTTCCACTCGGAAACAGGTAAAGCCTGTTAAGTCTAGCCGGTCGTGGTGGCGGGCGCCTGTAGTCCCAGCTACTTGGGAGGCTGAGGCAGGAGAATGGCGTGAACCTGGGAGGCGGAGCTTGCAGTGAGCCGAGATCACGCCACTGCACTCCAGCCTGGGCGACACAGCGAGACTCTGTCTCAAAAAAAAAAAAAAAGAGAAAGCCTATAAGTCTGTACTCCAAACAGAATTGAATATACTCAAATAAGCATTTGAGGGTATAAAAATGTTTACCTTGGCTTAGAATTTTTAAAACTATTAATAAGAATGGAAATGATGACTAAAGGAGAAATGAAAAAAGAGTTGATGAAACAAAGGGAAGAAATGGAAGAAAAAGACAATTACCTCATAAGTGAATAAATTGTAAGATACCTAAGGGAAAATAGACTGAAATGAAAGCAAGAGGCAATGAAGAAAGGCATAAAAACAACGAAGAGAATTGAAAATGACAAAGAAAAAAGTAAGATGAATCCGAGAAAGTAGGGAATGGTAGGTAGATAGGCAAAGACATAATATTCATATTATCAGAGTCCCTGAAGAAGAAAAAGAAATGGAACATAATTCATGTTTAAAAACATAATCCAGCAAAAGTTTCCAGAAATTGAAAAAAAAACTAAATCTAGAAAGGGTTCCCTAGGTACCTGGAAAAATTAACCCAGACTTATTGACTTTTGGGATATATTTTAGTACAACTATTAGATTTCAGAGATAAAGATGAAATCATCAAGTCTTCTGTGCAAAAAGAACATATAACTTACAAAGGCAAACTTACAAAAAGCATCACATGTTGAAAAACTGACATACAAAGCAAGGCAACATAGAGCAGTGTTTTTTTTTAAAGCTCAATGAAGGTGTGAATTGAAGGATTTTATATCTAACTGAATGTTCTCAAATGTCAAGGTTATAGAAAAAGAGTTTTCGACATAACGAAAACCTGGGTAATTTCTGTACCTGCTGGCCATTTCTGAGGAATATACAAGAGAATGAGCTTTATCCAACCAATTGATGACTGGAAAATTTTCAGCAAAAGGACTAATACAGAGAGGATGAGGGTGGAAGATTTGTGTAACCGTTGGGTATTGCAACAAAGTACAGTATTGCAACTAAAATGATGGAAGGAGAAAAATGGATAATGTGTGGGCAATAGATGGGTTTTAAAGACTACTGCAGAGGAAAAAAAACCTGACACACCAGATAGTAAAGTGTTAAATAAGAAAATGGGTAACTCTAGGATTTAAAAAATGTGAGTAGAAAGGTAACCAGTAGAACAATAATAGAAATATCAACTCCCCCTCAATTTCTAAAAATTAAATGGAAAAGAAGGGTATGCATTTCATAATGAAAAACAGCTATTACAACAAAATACAAATAATTAGAAAATATTGTGATAGAGTTGAGACCAAATACATTAGTCTTAAGCAACCTATTAAAAAAGGATTTTCAATTTGGCTTGTAAAACAAAAATCTTGGGATGACAAGAGACACATCTAAAATAAAATGATTCCGAAAAGCTAAAAATAAAGGGTTAGACCAAAGTATACCAAGTAAATGGAAACAAAAATCAAGCAGGAGTAGTGATGCTGATATCAGACAAATAGTATTCAAGCCCCAAAGTATTACATGTGATAAAGGACACTTTTTAATTTATATCTTATGGAGGTACGTATACATAAAATTTGCTCCCTGCTAATGAGAACTGTATGACATGTTCACAAAAATTGATTATGTATTAGGTCACAAAGGAAACATCAATGACATTCATAACATAGAATATTACTAACAGGTTGCGTGCAGTGGCTCATGCCTGTACTCTCAACACTTGGGGAGGCCAAGATGGAAGGATTGCTTGAGCCCTCGAGTTTGAGAACAGCCTCGGCAAGATAGGGAGAACCTGTATCTACAAAAAATAAAAACAATTAGCCAGCTGTGGTGGCACACACCTGTGCTCCCAGCTACTCAGGAAGCCAGGGTGGAAGGATCACTTGAGCCTAGGAGATTGAGGCTGAAGTGAGCCGTGATTTTACCACTCCACTCCAGCCTGGGCAACAGAAAAAGACCCTGTCAAAAAAACAAAAAGAAAATAAATTTCCAGCTCAGAAAACAAAAAAAGAACAACAAAGTAAGTGAAAAGAAAATACTAGAAAGGAAATAATAAAGATAACAGAAATTAATGAGGAAAATAATACTTTTTGTCCGAGCAATCCCATTTCTAGTAATTTATACCAAAGGTACCCCTCCAACAATATGAAAATACATGTGTTCAATACTTACTAGTGATGTTTAGCTTGTTTCTGTCTGCTTGTTATTCCTTGCAGTATTGTTTGTAATTGCAAAATATTTGAAATACCTTAAATATACAGACGTAGGAGAGGAGAGTGTTGAATACGCTATGGGAAATCCACACGGTAATATTTTGCAGCTAGAATAAAGGATGAGGAAGGATTAATTCAGAGTAATTTCCAGTACATTCTATTAAGTGAAAAAAGCAAAGTCCCAAAGTATATGCCACCTTTCATGTAAGAAAGGTGTGCCAGGTGTAGTTTATTGGCTCTCATCTTCAAATTTACCTCTTTTTCCTGCTCTGTAAAAATGGACCTTGGCCTTTTAAATACTTTTCTTTTGCCAACTAGCACATCCTTAAGCTTTGTCAGTGAAGGGCAATGGAGAGACTTCTCAGGAGTCTCAAAGGTTTTGCTTCCTGATCTGATGTGCTGGCTCAGCAGGATCCTGCAGTGCACACAGCTTCCCCAGTGCCCAGCTCCTGCAATACACTGCAGTCTGAAGCACCCCGCGCCCAGCAGCTTTCCTGCCAACCCCATTTCCCTCCACAGCTCCCCTGAACAGGTTTTCCTAGTGCCCTTGAGGGTGGATTTCCAGCAAGTTCCACTGATGCAGTACCATAGCAACTTCTTTCTCCAGCTCGTCTGGATCTCTGTCCAGGAAGAAAAAAGGACTTCCCTGCGCTCTTTCTCAGCCCTAGGGGTAGGGTGCTCCTTCTGTTTGCTATTATTCTATACTTCAGTGTTCCCTTTTACTGCTTCCTTGCCAATCCCTCATTATTCCAATCCTCTGTTAAAGTTATTGAATCCTTAACCTTTGTTCAAATTGCTGTTCTTTTTTTCTTCCTAATTGAACTCAGATTGATACAGGAGATAACAGAGTATACACAAATATCTGTTTATTTGAACAAAGGAAATGGAAAGGACAAACCAAAACTATAGAGACTGATTGCCTGCAGGGGTGGGTGGGAAAGGGGTGGAAAGAAGGGAGGGAATGGGAACAGGTTAGTAGGAACAAAGAGGGAGTGACACTTTTGACTCTTAGGATCATAGTAATGTGTCACATATTTTTCACACACCCCAAATGTAATCAGACAATTAAAACCAACTAGGATGTAGGGGGAACCCAAAACTGAATTCAAAAACTAAAAAATAAGGCTAGTTGTATTACGGATGTGTAATATAACACCACTGAAAAGGGTGGGGAAGAAAGAACTAAAGTCTGTATTAAAGCCTGTCTTTTTTTTTTTTTTTTTTTTTTTGAGCACTTCATGAATTTGCATATCATCCATGCACAGGGGCCGTGCTAATCTTAAATATATTGTTCCGATTTTTAAATAATAAAATGCTACCAAAAGCGTATCTTGATATAATGTAAAGGTGAAGACAGAACTGTTTATAATTTAGTGTTTCTCACAGGGGTATAGGTTAGCAATTCTGTAACTATTTTATGTATTTACTAGAATTGAACAAATCATAGGTTGCCAACAGTGAAAGCTGGATTTCTCACTTGTGGAGAAAGACGTTATAAACAAGGAAATGTTAAAGGCTAAAATGAATCCTGTGGTTTTAGTTTGGGATCAGAAGTATCAGTATAAACTCATAGTTTTAAATGTATGACAGTAAAATACAGAAATACAGATATTTATACATGTATAGGTTAGTATACATACATATATTTCCTGCCTATCTCAGCTGAGAGGCCTAGAAGCAGTGACTCCAGTAACAATGAGAACGCCTAGAACCCAGATACTGGTCTCTAAACACCTTTTTCCAGTAAAGGAACTAGGGCTCTTACAAGTGGTTGATTCCGGGGACGAGACAAGAAAAATATAGGATGGGCCTTGAGCATCTTGTGGTGCCGGAAAGTAAGGGAATATTAAAAAAATAAAAAATAATTTTAAAAAGGAGAGGACTTGCTGAAAGAACGGGAGCTCCTAATGATAAAGCTGTACCAATTTGAACAACAAAATAGTGATAGTATTAGATTTTAACCCCAGAATAAAACAATTATCTGTAGGTTCATACTAATAGAAATGATGAAATAAACAGATGGGAGGAAAGAGGCAGGTCTTCCTCAAAATATAATTCCAATGAATAAATGTAGAAGATCCAATGAATAAATGTAGAAGAAAGTAAAGACAGAATTGCTATTAGGCATACAGCACAGTAATAAATGTTGCAGACATAATCTATCAGTGAATGCTAAAATTCATGGGTGAAGTTTGAGGAGAAACAAGATTTGCATAGTGTCAAAGTATCTCCCCCAAAATATTTACCAAGTTCATAGAAAATAAGGTGTCTTTCTGGTGCAGGAACCTGGCAGACAGAAACAAGCTAAACATCACTAGTAAGATGTCATATTAATATCATGAACATCTTGATATGATATAATGAGAAGGGCATCATTGTAGTATTCTTACCAAAATGCTAAATTTATTCCTATCATGAGGAACTAGCGGTCAAACCCAAATTGAAGGACATTCTATAAAATAACTGATTAGAGCTCTTTGAAATTGTCAAGATCGTGAAAGATAAGGAGAGACTGAAGTATTTTAACAAACTCAAGGAGACTAAGGAAAAATAACAGATGCCATGTGGGATCCTGGATAGGAATCTGGAACAGAAAAAAAAAAAAACGAGTAAATTAAAAATTGTGTGAAATTTTAAAAAGGCGTATAGCTAATAATATTGTGTAAGAATTTATTTCCTGTTCTTAATTGTCTCATGATCAAGTAAGATGTTGACATAAGGGAAGCTGAACAAGAGATAGAAGGGAACTTTTTCCTGCTTTTGCTACTTAAAATTAGTTCAAAATAAAAAAACTTGAATGTTAAATATGTTTTTGAAGCCCGAATAACAAATGTTGAACTTTGATTTTTTTTTTTCTTTTACATCTACAACAGGGTTAGAAAAAGGTTCTTGGAACATCGGGAAGAAACCATTACAATAGATCGAGCCTGCAGACAAGAAACATTCGTTTATGAGATGGTAATTAAGAGTCTCATCTTTTTCACCCTTTTCTCTTAAAACAGTAAACCGACATTGGCTGAGGGTTAGTAATGACAGTATGGTAGCTTTATACTGGATATGCTTAGTTGAAAACAAACTAGAGAAACTCCTTTGAGTCTGGGAACTAGTGAGAGAAGAGGACCCTTAGAACTCAAGTGACCACATGTTTGACTTTTTCAGATCTCTGCCTTTATTCTTGTTTGGTTTTATCTTGCTTTCGGTATTAGGCTAAATTTATGCCTTTTCACTACCCTATTTCTGGTCTTTTTGTTCTGCTCCTGATTTTGGTTTAACCACATTCTCAATCCTCATCTATTATCTCTTGTGTAAAACTTTGGGAAAATTTAAGATGATGACTCTTGAGGAATTAGGAGCTAGTAGACACGATAGGTTCAGAATCAATGTGCTAGGCACTGTGCTGGCACTTGATCATGCATACGGGCACCTATTGTCTCTCCCACTTATTTTACTTTTATTGTGGTAAAATTTACATAACATAAAATTTACCATTTTGACCATTTTAAAGTGTTCAATTAAGTGGCAATAAGTACATTCACAATGCTGTAAATCATCACCATTTCCAGAACTTTTTCATCATCCCAAACAGAAATTCCATACCTGTTAAGCAATAACTCACCAGTTTTCCCTCCTGCAGCCCCTGCTAACCTCTATTCTACCTTCTTTCTCTATGAATTTGTCTATTCTAGATATCTCATGTAAGTGGAATGCTTTTTTGTCCTTTTCTGTATGGCTTTTTTTTTTTTTTTTGAAACAGAGTCTCGCTGTGTCGCCCAGGCTGGAGTGCAGTGGCGCCATCTCGGCTCACTGCAGTCTCCGCCTCCTGGGTTCAAGCGATTCTCCTGCCTCAGCCTTTTAAGCAGCTGGGATTATAGGTGCCTGCCACCATGCCTGGCTCATTTTTGTATTTTTAGTAGAGACGGTTTCATCATGTTGGCCAGGCTGGTCTCGAACCCTTGACCTCAAGCAATCTGCCTACTTCGGCCTCCCAAAGTGCTGGGATTACAGTCGTGAGCCACAGCACCCAGCCTATGGCATATTTTACGTAGCATAATGTTTTATAGGTTCATCCATATTGTAACGTGTATTAGAACTTCCTTCCTTTTTATGGCTGAATACTATCTATTGTATGTATACACCACGTTTTGTTCTATTTATCCGTTGATAGACATTTGGGTTCTTTTATCTTTTGGCTATTGCGAATAATGCTGCTATGAAAATTGGTGTACAGATATCTTTTTAAGTCCTTTTTCATTTATTTTGCGTCTGCCCCTAGGAATGGAATTGATGGATTGTATGGTTAATTCTGAGAAACCTGTTTTTCATAGCAATGATACCGTATTACATTCCCATCAGTAATGCATGAAGGTTCCAATTTCTCCATGTACTTGTGAACATGTGTTTTCTAGCTTTTTTTTAATAATAGCCATCCTTGTGGGTGTGAAGTAGTATCTCATTGTGGTTTCGATTTGCATTTCCCTAATAACTAGTGATGCTGAACATCTTTTTATTTGGTTTTTGGCCATCTGTATATTTTCTTTGAAAAAGATCTATTAAAATATTTTGTCCATTTTCAAATTGGGTTGTTTATCCTGTTGAGTTATAAAGAGTTCTTGGCCGGGTGCCATGGCTAACGCTTGTAATCCCAGCACTTTGGGAGGCCGAGGTGGGTGGATCACCTGAGGTCAGGAGTTCCAGACCAGCCTGACCAACATGGCGAAACCCTGTCTCTACTAAAAATACAAAAATTAGCCGGGCGTGGTGGCATCCCCCTGTAATCCCAGCTACTCGGGAGACTGAAACAGGAGAATTGCTTGAACCTGGGAGGTGGAGGTTGCTGTGAGCCAGTATCATGCCACTGCACTCCAGCCTGAGCAACAGAATGAGACTCTGTCTCAAAAAAAAATTAGCCGGGCGTGGTGGCAGGCGCCTGTAATCCCAGCTACTCTGGAGGCTGGCAGGACAATCACTAGAACCCAGGAGGTGGAGGTTGCAGCGAGCCCAGATTGTGCCATTGCATTCCAGCCTGGGCAACAGGAGTGAAACTCTGTCTAAAAAAAAAAAAAAAAGAGTTCTTTGTATATTCTGGATTCTAGACCCTTACCATATAAGTAATTTAAAAATATTTTATCCCATTCTATATGTTGTCTTTTTACTTACTTTTCTTTCTTTTTTTTTTTTTTTTGAGACAGAGTTTTGCTCTTGTTGCCCAACCTAGAGTACAATGGAGCAATCTTAGCTCACTGCAACCTCCATCTCCCAGGTTCAAGTGATGCTTCTGCATCTGCCTCCCAAGTGGCTGGGATTACAGGTGCCTGCCACCATGCCCAGCTAATTTTTGTATTTTTAGTAGAGATGGGGTTTCACCATGTTGGCTAGGATGGTCTCGAACTCCTGACCTCAGGTGATCCATGCGCCTCGGTCTCCCAAAGTGCTGGGATTACAGGCGTGGGCAACCACAGTCAGCCTTTTTACTTTCTTGATACTGTTGCTGGATGTACAAAAGTTTTTAAATTTGATGAAGTCTAGTTTATCTTTTTCTTTTGTTGTCCTTGCTTTTGATGTCATACTTAAAACATTGCCAGATGCAGCATCATGAAGATTTTCCCATATGTTTTCTTCTAGGAGTTTTATAGCTTTAGCTCATAAGTTTGTCTTTGATCCACTTTGAGTTGATTTTTATATATGATGTAAGGTAAGGGTTTGATTTCATTCTTTTGCATATAGCTGTCTATTTTTTGCAGACTGTCCTTTCCCTAGTGAATGATCTTGGCCCTTTTGTCCAAAGTCAGTTGACCATATAAGTTTCATTGTTACATTCTATCGGTCTAGATTCTAACCTAGAACTACACTGTTTTGATTACTTTGGCTTTGTAGTAAATTTTGAAATCAGGGAGTGTGAGTCCTCCAACTTTGTTCATGTTTTTCAAGATTGTTTTGACTATTCAGAGTCCCTTGAAATTCCCTATGAATTTTAGGATGGGTGTTTCTATTTTTGGAAAAAATGCCATTGGGATTTTGATAGGGATTGCATTGAACCTGTAGATTACTTTGGGGGAGTATTGAGATCTTAATGATACCAAGTCTTCCAATCCATGAATGAGATTTCTTTCCATTTATTTAGATATTTAATTTCTTACAGCAGTTTTTTTTTTTTTTTTTTTTGAGACGAAGTTTTGCTCTTGTTGCCCAGGCTGGAGTGCAATGGTGCGATCTTGGCTCACCGCAACCTTCGCCTCCCGGGTTCGAGCGATTCTCCTGCCTCAGCCTCCTGAGTGGCTGGGATTACAGGTGCATGCCACCATGCCCGGCTAAGTTTTTGTATTTTTAATATAGATGGGGTTTCTCCGTGTTGGCCAAACTGGTCTCCAACTCCCAGCCTCAGGTGATCCGCCTGCCTCGGCCTCCCAAAATGCTGGGATTACAGACGTGAGCCACCGTGCCCAGCCTATCAGCAGTGTTTTATACTCTTTATGTATACAACCCTTTCACTTCCTTGGTTAAATTTATCCCTAAATATTTTATTCTTTTGAATGCTATTGTAAGTGAAATTGTTTTCTTAATTCCTTTTTTTTTTTGAGACAGTCTTGTTCTGTCACCCAGGCTGAGTGCAGTGGCACAATCTTGGCTCACTGCAACTTCCGCCTCCCGGGTTCAAGTGATTCTCATGCCTCAGCCTCCTGAGTAGCTGGGACTACAGGCGCCCATCACAATGCCTGGCTACTTTTTGTATTTTTAGTAGACACAGAGTTTCACCATGTTGGTGAAGATGGTCTTGAACTCCTGACCTCAGGTGATCCACCCACCTTGGCCTCTCAAATTGCTGGGATTACAGGCGTGAGCCACCGCACCCGGCCCTGTTCCTATTTTCTTTAGTGTTTTTATCATGAAAGGGTGTTAGATTTTGTCAAATGCTTTTCTGTGTCAGTCGAGGTAATGATCTGTTGTTTTTTTTTTTTTTTTGCCCCATCATTCCATTAGTGTGGTGTATTATATTGATTGACTTGCTAATGTTAAATTACCCTTGCATTTTGAGGATAAATAAATTCCACTTGGTTGTGGGATTCAATAAAAATTGTAATCATAAAAAGTACCTTTTCTTATCATAACTGAATGACATTAGAAATCAATAACAGAAGAAAAGTTGGAAAATTCACAAAAATTAAACACATTTGACAAAAGCCTTTTCATATGCTTCTGAATTTGCTTTGCTAGTATTTTGTTGAGATTATTGCATTCCTATTTATAAAGGGATATTGGCCTGTAGTTTTCCTGTAGTGTCTTTGTCTCACTGTGGTATCAAGATAATGCTGGCCTCATAGAATGTGTTAGGAAGTGTTTACTCCTTTTGAAATTTTGTGAAAGAGTTTGAGAAACTCTGGTATTAATTCTTTTAATGTTTGGTAGAATTTACCAGTGAAGTCATCTGGTTCTGGGCTTTTCTTTGTTGGGAGGTTTTTCATTGCTGATTCAACCTCCTTACTTGTTACAGGTCTATTTAGATTTTTTATTTCATTTTGAATCAGTTTTGATAGTTTGTATGTTTCCAGGAATTTGTCCTTTTCATCTAGGTTATCCAATTTGTTGGCAAACAGTAGTTCATAGTTTTCTCTTCTAATCCTTTTTTTCCTGTAAAATCAGTAGTAACGTCTCCACTTTTACTTCTCATTTTAGTAATTTGAGCCTTCTTTTTTCTCAGTCAGTGCAGTAAAAGTTTGTCAAATTTGATGTTTTCAAAGAACCAGCTTTTGTTTTTATTGATTTTTCTGTATTTTCTATTCTTTTTCACTTATCTCCACTCATCTTTATAATTTTCATTTTTTTTGCTAGCTTTGGGTTTAGTTTATTCTTAATTCCTTATCTAGTTATTGAGATTGTTCTTTTATATAAAGTTATACAGCCATAACTTTTTAAAATCACTCTTTTTACTATATCTCCCTAAGTTTCCTATGCTGTGATTTTTGTCGAGTGTTGTTAAATTTCCACATACTTGTGAATTTTCCAATTTTTCTCCTGTTATTGATTTCTAATATTCACTTAATGATCAGAAGAGTTACGTTTATTACTTTAATTTTTTTTAATTTAAGATTTGTTGGTGTATCCTGGAGAATGGTTCACATGCACTTGAGAAGAACCTGTATTCAGCTGTTGTTTGGAGAGTTCTTTGTATATCTGTTGGGTCTAATTGTTCTCGTTGTTCAAGTCTCCTGTTTCTTTATTGATCTTCTATCTAGTTGTTCTACCCGTTATTGAAAGTGGGGTATTAAAGTCTCCAACTATTACCATAGAACTGTCTATTTCTTCAATTCTGTTGGCTTTTGCTTCATATATTTTATTTTACTTATGTTTTTTGAGATAGGGTCTTGCTCTCTTGCCCAGGCTGGAGTGCGGTGGCGCCATCACTGCGCATTGCTGCCTCAACCTCCTGTGCTCAAGTTATCTTCCCACCTCCACCTCCCAAGTAGACAGGACTGTAAACTTGCGCCACTATGCTGAGTTAAGTTTTTGTATTTTTTGTAGAGATGGCGTTTTGCCGTGTTGCCCAGGCTGGTCTTGAACTCTTGGACTCAAGCAATCTGCCCACCTTGGTCTCCCATGCTTCTTATGTTTTAGAGTTCTGTTGGCTTTATATAAGTTTATAATTGTATATATCTTCTTGCTGGATGGCATCTTTTGCCAATATATAATATCCTTCTTTGTCTATTGAAACCTTAAAAAATTTTGTTTTTAGAGGTGGGTCTTGCTCTGTTCCCCAGGCTGGCCTCAAACTCTTAGGCTCAAGTAATACTCCCACATCAGCTTTCTGATAGCTGGGACTACAAACACATGCCAAAACATCTTATTTTTCTGTAACTTAAGGATTACTTTGTTTTTTTTGAGACAGAGTCTCACTCTGTCACCCAGGCTGGAGTGCAGTGGCCCGATCTCGGCTCACTGTAATTTCTGCCTCCTGGGTTCAAGTGAATCTTGTGCCTCAGCCTCCCGAGTAGCTGGAACTACAAGCACCCACCACCACACCCGGCTAATTTTTGTATTTTTGTAGAGGCAGGGTTTCACCATGTTGGCCAGGCTAGTCTGGAACTCCTAACCTCAAGTGATCCACCTGCCTCAGTCTCCCAAAGTGCTGAGATTACAGGTGTGAGCCACTGTGCCCAGCCAGGATTACAATTAAATCTTAAAATTGAAACAACTTACTTTTAATTATACACAGTCCTCAACCTACTGTGGTTTGACTTAGGATGTTTTGACTTTATGATGGGTTTATTGGGGTCTTAAATGCATTTTCCACTTGTGATGTATTTTATTTATGGGGTTTATTGGGGCATAATCCCATCATTGTTGAACATTTGTGTCAGTTTTGTTTCTATAATATTCAAATACTCTGCTTCCACATCTTTGTCTGTCCCTCTTTGGGTTGTCACAGATTATGTCTTTATATATTGTGTGTCCATTAACATAACCTTGTAAGTATTGTTTAATCCATTTATTTTGCAATCATATAGGAAAAACAGAAAAATCGTAGAGGAGTGAGTTACAAACCAAAAGTACAATAATACTGGCTTCTATATTTACCTGTGTTGTTCCCTTTAGCAGTATTCTTTATTTCTTCTTATGGCTTCAATTTACTGTCTAGTGTCTTTTCATTTCAGCCTGAAGAATCCTCTTTAACACTTCTTACAGGTCAGGTCTGCTGGTAGTAATTAATTCCCCTAGCTTTTGTTTATCTGCAAATGTCTTAATTTCTCCTTCATTCCTGAAGGATAGTTTTGCCAAATACAGAATTCTTGGCTGACAGGTTTTGTTTTTTTTCTTTCATGGGTTTAAATATGTCACCCAAAAAAGAAAAACAAAAGTAAAAAAATTTAAAAGCTGAACACAGTGGTGGGTTCCCATAGTCTCAGTTACTGAGAAGGTTGAGGCAGAAGGAGCACTTGATCCCAAGAGTTTGAGGCCAATCTAGGCTACATAGATAGATAGATTTAAAAAATCAGGGCCGGGCGCGGTGGCTCACGCCTGTAATCCCAGCACTTTGGGAGGCCGAGGCGGGCGGATCACGAGGTCAAGAGATTGAGACCATCCTGGCTAACACAGTGAAACCCCGTCTCTACTAAAAATACAAAAAATTAGCTGGGCGCGGTGGCGAGTGTCTGTAGTCCCAGCTACTTGGGAGGCTGAGGCAGGAGAATGGCATGAACCCGGGAGGCGGAGCTTGCAGTGAGCCGAGATAGCGCCACTGCACTCCAGCTTGGGCAACAGAGTGAGACTCCGTCTCAAAAAAAAAAAAAAAAAAATTGGTCAGTCAGTCCATCCGTCTATCTGCCCATTCTCTGGTTTCTTAACCTCCATGTTTTCTGATGAGAAAACTCCTGTTAATCTTATTGAGGAATCTGATTTTCTTTAAGTATTTGGTTTCCTTTAGCTAACTGAACACATTTTTAAAGTTGATACATAATGATTGTACAAATTTCTGGGGTACTCATTGAGCACATTTAAGTCAGTTGCTGTAACGTCTTTTTTTTTTATTTAACGTTATTATTATTTTTTTAATTTCATTTTCTTCATTTTATTTCATTTATATACCCTGAAGTGGGATGACTGAATCATGTAGTAGTTCTACTTTTAATTTTTTGAGAGACCTCCGTATTGTTTTCCGTAATAGCTGTATCAATTTGCATCCTTGCCAACAGTGTGCAAGAGTTCCCTTTTCTTTTTTTTTTTTTTTTTTTTTTTTAGTATTTATTGATCATTCTTGGGTGTTTCTCGAGGAGGGGGATTTGGCAGGGTCATAGGACAATAGTGGAGGGAAGGTCAGCAGATAAACAAGTGAACAAGGGTCTCTGGTTTTCCTAGGCAGAGGACCCTGCGGCCTTCTGCAGTGTTTGTGTCCCTGGGTACTTGAGATTAGGGAGTGGTGATGACTCTTAAGGAGCATGCTGCCTTCAAGCATCTGTTTAACAAAGCACATCTTGCACCGCCCTTAATCCATTTAACCTTGAGTGGAGACAGCACATGTTTCAGAGAGCAGGGGGTTGGGGGTAAGGTTATAGATTAACAGCATCCCAAGGCAGAAGAATTTTTCTTAGTACAGAACAAAATGGAATCTCCTATGTCTACTTCTTTCTACACAGACACAGCAACAATCTGATTTCTCTATCTTTTCCCCACATTTCCCCCTTTTCTATTCGACAAAACCGCCATCGTCATCATGGCCCGTTCTCAATGAGCTGTTGGGTACACCTCCCAGACGTGGTGGCGGCCGGGCAGAGGAGCTCCTCACTTCCCAGAAGGGGCGGCCAGGCAGAGGCGCCCCCCCACCTCCCGGACAGGGCGGCGGCCAGGCGGAGGCGCTCCCCACCTCCTGGATGGGGCAGCTGGCCAGGCAGGGGCTGCCCCCCAACCTCCCTCCCGGACGGGGCGGCTGGCCAGGCGGGGGCTGCCCCCCACCTCCCTCCGGGACGGGGCGGCTGGCTGGGTGGGGGCTGCCCCCAACCTCCCTCCCAGACGGGGCGGCTGGCCGGGCGGGGGCTGCCCCCCACCTCCCTCCGGGACGGGGCGGCTGGCCGGGCGGGGGCTGCCCCCAACCTCCCTCCTGGATGGGGCGGCTGGCCGGGCGGGGGCTGCCCCCCACCTCCCTCCCGGACAGGGAGGCTGGCTGGACGGGGCGGCTGCCGGGCAGAGACGCTCCTCACCTCCCAGACAGGGCAGCTGCTGGGCGGAGGGGCTCCTCACCTCCCAGACGGGGCGGCTGCCGGGCGGAGGGCCTCCTCACTTCTCAGACGGGGCGGCTGCTGGGCGGAGGGGCTCCTCACTTCTCAGACCGGGCGGCTGGGCGGAGACGCTCCTCACCTCCCAGATCGGGTGGCGGCCGGGCAGAGGCGCTCCTCACATCCCAGACGGGGCGGCGGGGCAGAGGCGTTCCCCACATCTCAGACAATGGGCGGCCGGGCAGAGACGCTCCTCACTTCCTAGACGAGATGGCGGCCAGGAAGAGACGCTCCGCACTTCCCAGACTGGGCAGCCAGGCAGAGGGGCTCCTCACATCCCAGACGATGGGCAGCCAGGCAGAGACGCTCTTCACTTGCCAGACGGGGTGGCGGCCGGGTACAGGCTGCAATCTCGGCACTTTGGGAGGCCAAGGCAGGCGGCTGGGAGGTGGAGGTTGTAGCAAGCCGAGATCACGCCACTGCACTCCAGCCTGGGCAACATTGAGCACTGAGTGAAGGAGACTCCGTCTGCAATCCCGGCACCTCGGGAGGCTGAGGCTGGCAGATCACTCGCAGTTAGGAGCTGGAGACCAGCCTGGCCAACACAGCGAAACCCCGTCTCCACCAAAAAAATATGAAAACCAGTCAGGCGTGGCGGCGCGCACCCGCAATCCCAGGCACTCGGCAGGCTGAGGCAGGAGAATCAGGCAGGGAGGTTGCAGTGAGCCGAGATGGCGGCAGTACAGTCCAGCTTTGGCTCGGCATCAGAGGGAGACTGTGGAGAGAGAGGGAGAGGGAGACCGTGGGGAGAGGGGGAGAGGGAGAGAGGGAGAGGGAGCTAACGTCTTTGTTTAGTGGACTTTTATTTATGTGCGAATGTAACTATTGCCTGTAGGAATAATTAATTGACACTTTGACTAGTAATTCCAATGTCTGGGCTTCCTCAGGGTTGGTTTTGTCAAATTCTTATTTTCCTAAGAGTTGTCCATACTTTCCTCTTTTTTTGTGATTTATATGTTTTTTTGAGAACTAGACATTCTAGGTATATTTTCTCTTGTGCATGGCTGGAGCTGCCTGTGACTTTTCCAAACGATTATTGTAGCACGTGTATTACTTGTTGTACGTGGTCACTGATGTTTCTGTTTCATTCTCTCTGCGGTCAATCAGTGATCTGACAAAGATTTCCTTAAATACCTGGCTCCAAAAAGAAAAAAAGCATCTTGTCTGTAAGTCTTCCAATATAGATCCTGCTGGGGGAAGCTGCTGCCACCAAGAGGGTCAAAACCAATGCACGTACCTGGACCAGGCACTCGGCATCACCAGACCAACCAAAACATAAAATCCTCAGTTCTTAGAGAACAGGTCCCCACTGCCTGCCTTGGCACCAGCCAGCTTCTCCAGGAATTCCAGCTGCCTGTCTCATCGGCGAGGGGCGAAGGAGTGAGGGTGGTAGTTGATTTGCACACAGTGCTTACTAATGAAAAGCAGCAACTTCTCTCGTCATCAAACACTCCCCTGATTGTTGTAAGTGTCCCATCAGGTTCCAGAGTTCCCAAATAGTTTATTCCAGTCTCTCATTCCAGCTTACTGGTTGCTTCTGTTAGAGGGACTAGGCCCTGGAGCTGCCTACTCTATTTTGTGACATGATTCCCACTTATTTTTAAAACTCCTGCATCTAAACCAGTTCAGCCTGGCCCCTATTTTATATTAATTTAGCACACATAAAAGATCAAAATATATTAAAGATGTCATGGTGTTATAAAAAGCATAGGGTTTAGAGCCAAACAAATCCGTATTTGCGTCCTAACTCTGGTATGACCTTGAGTAAATCACTGAACCTCTGAGCTTTATCTGTAAAATAGCTTTCACAGGAATATTTGATAAGGAATGTAAAAATGTAACTGGAAATGCCAGTGTTATACCAACATTAGTTGATACTCCTGTTTGCTCATCAACTGCTAAGTACTCAGTACCACACATCTTATCAGATGCATTGTGTACACATTCCCAGCAACAGTACAGTAAGTATTTTCTGGTTCTGTTTGTTTATTGAAAGAAGATGAAACTAAAGCTTAGAGATGTCTTAACAGTTTTCCCAGAGTATAATTAGGTGTCAAACCCAAGGCTGCTTGACTCGATCCCTTGCTGATAGCCATTGTACCACACTGCATCTTATCTGAGTTATAGTATCTGATTTCAGTGTCTCTTTTTCTTTCTTCAGGAGTCACATGCCATAGGAAAAAAGCCTGAAAATTCAGCAGACATGATTGAAGAAGGGGAGCTTATCCTATCTGTGAATATCTTGTACCCTGTTATATTTCATAAGGTAAGTAGTAAAACCTTTTGGATTTTATGGATAATAGTAACTTTTGTAAAAGTGTTTAATTATTTGAAGAGTCATATTCCTATGCTTACATTAAAAATAAACACTCTGGGAGTGGTGGCTCATGCCTGTAATCTCAGCACTTTGGGAGGCCAAGGCAGGAGGATCACTTGAGGCCAGGAGTTTGAGACCAACCTGGGTAACACAGTGAGACCTTGTCTCTACTAAAAATCAAAAAAATTAGCTAGGCATGGTGGTGCACATCTGTAATCCCAACTACTTGGGAGGCTGAGGTGGGGAGATCACTTGAGCCTAGGAATTCAAGGTTGTAAGCGAGCTATGATTGCACCACTGAACTCCAGCCTAGGAGACAGCGTGAGACCCTGTCTAATAAATGCAAGCATATGCTGCCTATCTGATGTCTTATTTTTAGAGTTGACAATCTATAATCTTGTGCCATCTGTTCTAATAAGGAATATTGGAAATAAGGTCAAATTTCAAACAATCTCTCGATCCAGTAGGATTACAGGTATAGTATTGAAATATATGCCTGATTTCTGCACTAGAAGCAACTGAAAGTATATGTAAATCCATAATGATTCTAATTCTACTAATTCTTGAGGGATTTTTGCAGAATAGGTGGCTAATGGAGGAATTAGCCTATGTTCACTAATTTAGAATACTTGGGAAGTTATTGAACTAACCAGAGACAGCTCTTCTTTGATGAAAATACAGAACATTATTAAGTCAAGGGTATCTAGGAATCTCTTAGGAGAAAGAACTCTTTCCTAGGCCAGAGTGTATATATTCTTGATTCCTTAAATAGATGTGTCATAAATTCTGATGAGTTGTCATTGAAATATTAATATATATATAAGTTGCACTTATGAATAAATAGGCTTTTACAAAGCATCTGGGATGTAGTTAATACTAATCTTATTTGATTAAGATCTCAAATTGCTGGCTGGGTGTAATGGCTCACACCTATATCCTCAGCACCTTTGGAAGGCTGAGGTGGGCTGATCACTTGAGCTCAGGAGTTCAAGATCAGCCTAGACAAAGTGGCAAAACCTCATCTCTACAAAAAATACAAAAACTAGCTAGGTGTGGTGGTGTGTGCCTGTAGTCCCAGTTACTAAGGAGGATTGCTTGAGCCCGGGAGGTCAAGGCTGCAGTGAGCCAAGACCATGCCATGGCACTCCAGCCTAGGTGACAAAATGAGACTGTCCCTCACCGCCACCCCCTTCTCCCCAGAAAAAGATCCCAAATGACCAATCATAAAAAGAAACCAAACCAAAGTATGAATCTGGGTTTATAACCTCAGGTTACAGTATAGATTGCCTGACCTCAATGAAGTAACTTTTAGGAAATTTTAAGACAGTCTTGCTAAATGAAGTTACATTCCAGTGGATCTTAATGCTCATGTCAGTTTGGTATCATCTTGATTATAAACTTCAGTTTAAACCAGAAAATTTCCATGGCTGAGTATGTCAGTTGTACCCATGGGATTTTTGTTGGTTTGTTTGTTTTTGAGACAGGGCCTTGCTCCATTGCCTAGGTTGGAGTGCAGCAGTACAATCATGGCTCACTGCAGCTTCGCTCGAGCAATCCTCCTGCCTCAGCCTCCCAAGTAGCTAGGACTACAAGCATGTATCACAACGCCCAGCTAACCTTTAAATTTTTTGTAGAGATGGGGTTTTGCTATGTTGCCCAGGTTGATCTTGAACTTCTAGGCTCAAGCAATCCTCCTGCTTCGGCCTCCCAAAGTGTTGGGATTACAGGCATGAGCCACTGTGCTTGGACATTCCATGCTATTCTAATTTATGGAGATGACTGAGTGATGACATGGAGAGGCTATAATGCCTTTGAAAGGAGATTTTTATTACATTTCCTTAGAGGAGGGGGCACACCATGTAGGGCCACAGGAAGAAGCATCATTCTCATTTAGGAGGCTGAAAGGGGAGAGGGGAAGGCATAGACCACAGTTTTTATTGGGGTTTCTGTGGGAAAGACAAGGTAGGGAAGAGTAAACAGTTTAGGATTGGCTAGTTCGAACAATTCCAGTAGGTTTGGTGGCAGAGGGGCTGTCCCTTGTAGCCTGGTGCTTGGCCCTGGGTGGATTGAGGTTGAGGGAATACCAGGGGAAATAGTGGCTTGGTGTGTAATAAAGGAGGTGGTTTCAGAGTGGCTCTGGATCACAGGGGAGATGTAAACAATTTTGACCATGAGTTTGGCCCTATAATTATTGGATGTGAAAATACAGAGCATCAAGTTATGGGGACAATTTAAAATTAAGAAAACCAGCAATTTAATTTTGATCTAGTCATGACAGGATTTGTAGTTTTATCGCTTTGTCTCTAAATGAACACTTATTTATTCTTTGACTTTTAGCACAAAGAACACAAACCATACCAAACAATGCTGGTGTTGGGCAGTCAAAAACTCACACAACTGAGGGATTCAATTCGATGTGTCAGTGACCTCCAGATTGGTGGTGAATTCAGCAACACTCCTGACCAAGCCCCTGAGCACATCAGCAAAGTAAGGTGATTTCCTCCCATAAAACAAAAGGAAATAACAAGCTAAGAAAATAGCGATTACTCTAGCTGGTTCATAAATGTCCCAGTAAATCCTTTTCTTCTCCTGCGGGATTCCATCAAACTACACTATCTCATTCCTTCCCTTTATCACCGGAACTTTTCCAAAGAAGAGGCTAGACTCTGTTTTGATTTCTTCATCTCTCATTTGTTTCTAAACTATTGTATGGAGACTTTTCCTTCTGGGCTAATAGTGACCACCTAATTTTCTTTTTTGTTTTTTTTTGTTTTTTGTTTTTTTGAGACAGAGTCTCGCTCTGCCGCCCAGGCTGGAGTGCAGTGTCGCCATCTCAGCTCAATAGTGACCACCTAATTTTCTAAGCAGTTGGTCACTTTTCCATTTTTATGTAACTTGACCTCACTGTAGCATATGACTTTGCTGTTCATTCACTCGTTTGAAGCTCTGTCAGAGTTGTGATCTGTCATGATTGTGCCCAGCAAAAGGCTGGAGTCGACCTGAGAGCCTCAAATAGTTAGCACCCATTCTTCACCTTTCGCTGCCCAAGGACCAATACCCAACAAGGAGAGAGCATATGAAGTTGGTCCTTGCTGGTGTTTCCCCAATGTGTTGCTCTCAAAAGGAAAGAGAAGCCCTGCATACCCCCTGGATAAGGATGGAAAGAAGCAGTGTGGTAGACTGGCTACCCACAATGTTTTCAGAAAGGATCATTTACCTAATAAAGCAGGAGGGCCTTGATCCCTTCCACATTTCATCATAGGGCAGGATTGAACTAAACCTGCTACAACTCTGGCAGAGGGCCTCAGGTTTACAGGGCCATTTCAGGGGAGGGATAGCATCTCCTAGAGATAAGTAAAAAGATATTTGGAACAACAAGGATGGAGATAGTGTTTGGACAAGAACCAACACAATCTCCTTTTTTCCTGGGTCCTGTTCCACCAGCCACATAAATGTTGGTATAACTGAGGTTTCATGTTAACTTTTTTTTTTCTCCCTAGGCTGACATATAAGGCCTTTTATAATGATGCTTCCCAAATTAACTTTCTGAACTGTTTACTTGCTGCCTTTACACCTCATTCATCCATAGTGAATTTGTGTATTTTCATCAGTGTACCATACTTTTTCATGTCTCTGAGTATTTGAACATGGTAGGAAGCCCTTTCCCTACTTCATCCGTTTTGTGAGTTCATCCTCAGATTTCCAAACCCAGCTCAAAACTCACCAATTATATGCAATTTTTCTTGACTCCTTTCTTTGTTACCCTGGCACCTTTTCTTTTGTCCATTGTAGTATGTATTTCAGTATGCTGATTCAGTGTAATGTGTGTCCGTCTGCTCCACAGGCTGACTATATTCGTTTTTGGTGACTAGTGTGGAGACTAGCATATGGCTCACAT
This sequence comes from Homo sapiens, assembly GCF_000001405.40. Taxonomy (NCBI): domain Eukaryota; kingdom Metazoa; phylum Chordata; class Mammalia; order Primates; family Hominidae; genus Homo; species Homo sapiens. Next base: position 15,448,656 of record NC_000009.12, read on the forward strand.
GTAGATTTCACTTAAGTACCTGTTGAGTTATGCTGAAAATGGTTTTTAGATATTTAGGTTCTTCAGGGTTGCCATCTCAGTGCTTTTGGAGAGAAACAATAGGATAAGAAAAGTAGAATTTCAAAATTTTACGCGGAGCAGGAAATACGAGATTTATCTTTTTCTTTCTTTTTTTTTTGGATGGGGCTCTGTTGCCCAGGCTGGAGTGCGATGATGCAATCTCGGCTCACTGCAACTTTCACCTCCCAGTTTCAAGTGATTCTCGTGCTTCAGCCTCCCAAGTAGCTGGGATTACAGGTGGCCCCACTGCGCCCAGTTAATTTTTGTATTTTTTAGTAGAAACGGGGTTTCACCATGTTGGCCAAGCTGGTGTCGAACTCCTGACTTCAGGTGATCCACCCGCCTCAGCCTCCTAAAGTGCTGGGATTACAAGGTGTGAGCCACCGTGCCTGGCCAAGATTTTTCTTTAAAGCAGCGGTGGCAATCTTCTGCAAAGTTTTTTAACCTTGTCAAAAAAAACGTAAGATGTAACTGTTAAATAATAAGATCAGTCTAAGAAGAAAAATCTGAATTTACCCTCTTCACTCCAACCATCTGAACATTGCTCAAAGCAGTTTGAGTCAGATCTGGGAATCGGTCTTACCTTCAGGAAACCCTGGAGAATGTTTGTCTGTCTGTTTTTTAATCAAGTCCAGTCTGGGCAACAACTCACTGTGTTGCCCAGCAGAAGGTTTTAACCAGGCTTTGTCAATTTACTTGGTCTGTACATTGCTGCTGATAGCTTCGGAAGTTTTTTAAGCAGGGATTAAATAACCCATAATTGTATTTTAAAATGTTTACATATCTCCTGTTATATTGTTTCTGTCTCTTCTATTATTATTATATATATATATATATATATATATATATTTTTTTTTTTTTTTTTTTTTTTTGAGACAGAATTTTGCTCTTCTTGCCCAGGCTGGAGTGCAATGGCACCGTCTCGGCTCACTGCAACCTCTGCCTCTCGGGTTCACACGATTCTCCTGCCTCAGCCCCATGAGTAGCTGGAATTACAGGCATGCACCACCATGCCCGGCTAATTTTTGTATTTTTAGTAGAGATGGGGTTTCTCCATGTTGGTCAGGCTGGTCTTGAACTCCCAACCTCAGGTGATCTGCCCACCTCAGCCTCCCAAAGTGCTGAGCCACCAGGCCAGTCAGGGAAGTTTATTAGTGGATGACTTTTGATTTAAATGGAAAACATTTTTGTTCTTTTAGAGTTCACCTTGTAATTAATAATTATGCCAAAAGATAGTAAGTTGCTTAAATCACCTAAGATGAAGTTTTATGGCAGTGTTTTGTAAAACACATATATATTAAACTTCATTTTGTTTCCAAAATAATAGTTATTTTTTTAGAACCTTTATTTTGGACCCTGCTTACCTCTTTGAGGGTGTAGAAATATATTAAGTGGCAGATTTTGTATTGTAGCAGCTAGTCATATGACATTAAGTACATTATACTTAATGTACATAATCTCCATAACAACCTATGAGGAAAGTAAAGGCTTTACTCACATTTTACATGGGAAAACAGTGTGAGTGAGATTTAGTGACTGGTCCAAGAAGAAACAACATAGCCAGTCTTGCAGGAGTGTCTGATGCGAACACAAGATAATCTGTAAGTGGGGGAATGAAGACAAGAAAGAAAAATGGAAGCTTCAAAGAACTAGGAGAAAAATTAAAATATTACGGTAAAATTATTTTAGTACCTGAAACATATCTCCTATACATAAATTGCTTTTGATCTTCACCACAATCCTGTAAGACATCGTGGCAGATATTATTATTCTCATTTCACAGATGAGAAAACAGGTCTGAGAAGTGATTGCTACATACCAAAATCACAAAGCTAGTAAGTGGTAGATTAAGGAAAAGAACTCAGGTCTTCTGACCCTCATTCAGGAGTCTAAATAGAAGGTGAAGGACCAGTTTAACAGAGTGCTTCTCAACTCTGGTTGCATGTTTTTTTCTAGAGAGCTTTGGAAAAATACTGATCCCCAAAGATTCTTAATTAATGAGTCTGAGTTGACACTTGTGTTTGGTGTTTTTGTGATTTGATTTTGCAGTCAGGATTGAGAGCCACTCCTTTGACGGACACTGTGGTAGAATGAGTTAAGAACCCTTGAAGGTTCCAACCAGTTGTGGTACAACTACAGTACCTGGGGCAAGATTGCTTGAGTAAAAATAGAAATTCAGATTCTGTCTGCCTAAGAGTTACTGAAAATATAAAGAGAGAATTTTTGTAAAAACATTGCAAATACAAAAAAATGCCAGAAAAACATAGCTCGATGATCATTGTTACTACTGGGGAAACATTAAAGATAGGACTTTGTTTAGGTTTTAGTTCTAGTATCCAACACTACTTACTGCTCTGTAAGTATAATAAAATAATGATGTTTATTTGATTTCTAATTGGGTTCCTTTCATGAATCTCAGGAGAATATACACATTTAGATCAAACGTAGTGATTATAACAGCAATAGGGTAAAATTGAAAATAGTAGCAGTTTTTTAACACATATTAGTGTGATTTTATGATATATCTATTTTGAATTAATACTTAGAGCAATTTCATCATTGTTAATAGTTGATTTTCTCTCAATACAATCTGTTTTCTTGTAGGACCTATACAAATCAGCCTTCTTTTATTTTGAAGGAACATTTTATAATGATAAAAGATACCCAGAATGCAGAGATTTGAGCAGGTATAGTTTCCAAAAATCTTCTCAAAGTCTTTCCTATTTCTAGTTATCAAAGTAGTGTTATCTCCACAAATCCTATTATTGGCCTATTAAGGACCTTTGCCAAGGAATTATTGATAAATCTTGTCTTTTGCATTACATACATCCAAAAAAAATTAGCCAGACACAGTAGTCCCAGCCACTCCGGAGGCTGAGGCAGGAGAATCTTTTGAGGCCAAGAGTTCAAGGCTGTATAGCATGCTATAATCTCGCCTGTGAATACCCACTGCTTTCCAGCCTGGGTAATATAGCAAGACTCTGTCTCTAAAAAAAAAATAAATAAATCACCTTAACATGCATTATTAGTCTCTGGCCTTTACATATAAGTAATAGTGGCAAATTAACCTTTCACTATTTTTTCTGCCTATCCAGCATATACTATTGTTTGCCCTAGGTGATGGTGATATATATATATTGCTTAAGTACATAATATAGGAAAAATCTGTAAGCTCATTTTAATGAGACCATACTTTCATTATCAATGTCTTAACAATTACAGTATACAAGTATATATATTATTGTTGCCCTTTTTAAAAAAAAAAAATGAAAAAGTCTCGTTCTGTCACCCAGTCTGGAGTATGGTGGCACGATCTCAGCTCACTGCAGCCTCTGCCTCCCAGGTCAAGCCATTCTCGTGCCTCAGCCTGCCAAGTAGCTGGGACTACAGGTGTGTGCCATCATGCCCAGCTAATTTTTGTATTTTTAGTAGAGACAGGGTTTCAACATGTTGGCCAGGCTGGTCTTGAACTCCTGGCCTCAAGTAAGCCGACTGCATCGGCCTCCCAAACTGCTAACGTTACAGGTGTGAGCCACAATGCCCAGCATATTGTAGCCATTTTTAATCTGTATTCTAACCCAACAGTTCAAACCTATTGGTTTCAGCATTTTTTTTTTTTTTTGAGACAGTTTCGCTCTTGTTGCCCAGGCTGGAGTGCAATGGCGCGATTTCGGCTCACCACAGCCTCTGCCTTCCAGTTTCAAGCGATTCTCCTGCCTCAGCCTCCCCAGTAGCTGGGATTACAGGCAGGCACCACCACGCCCGGCTGATTTTGTATTTTTAGTAGAGATGGGGTTTTTCCATGTTGGTCAGGCTGGAGTCGAACTCTGGACCTCAAGCGATCCGCCCACCTCGGCCTCCCGAAGTGCTGGGATTACAGGTGTGAGCCACCATGCCCAGCCTTGCATTTCTTTATACTATAAATAATTGAAGACCCCAATGAGCTACTGCTTATGTGGGTTATAACTATCACTATTTATAATATTAAACATTGAAACTAAGAAGTATTTGAAATATTAATCTCATTACATACTAACATTTTGTGAAAAATATTTTTCAAAACACAATGAGTGGCATTGTTACACATTTTGCATTTAAGCTAAAGTGATGCACATCATGTAACCTGCAGAAAACTGATCCCTTATGAAAATTCAGCGTTCCTAATCTCAACATGTGTCAAACATTTTGGTCTTCATCTCAAGATGGCAACTGTCCAGTTAGTTGGGTGAGCTAGGTTAATGTGAATTACTGCAATCACAAACTGTTTTCTGTAGTTTTTAAGTTTTTGTGGAAAAATGATATATCCTTGCCTTTTCCCCCCTCAGAACTATCATTGAGTGGTCAGAGTCCCATGATAGAGGCTATGGAAAGTTTCAGACTGCTAGAATGGAAGATTTCACCTTCAATGACTTGTGTATTAAACTGGGTTTTCCTTACTTATACTGTCATCAGGGAGACTGTGAACATGTCATTGTCATTACTGACATAAGGTAGGTGACAGCACTTAAGACATTTTGTTACCTTTTTTTTTCTTTATTTCAGAGTACAAAACCAGAGATAGTTTTTTTAAAAATAAGAGGAGTAAAAGTAATAACCATTGCAACTTGGCTTGGGAGCAGCAAAAATACTGTCTTCTTTCCATGCAAATACCAACTCTTTCCATCCATTTGCATCCTCTATTGTTCATTATTTTGGAAAATCTTTAAGAAATACTTTACTATTAGACGGTTAAAAATCTGTTAATACTTTAAAAAGTATCTCTATTTTGTATTAAATAGCTGTTATTCAGATATAGTACTTATCCATTTATATATAACATTGCAACTTTATTTTTAGGTTTGTCTTTTTGCCAAAATTTGAAGAAGATAAAAGGGAATTGGAGGAAGAGTAATTCTAATATTTGACAAATGTGAAGTCTTAATGCTTTGACAAAGATTTAAATTGGGAAGGAGCTAAGATAGTCTAAAATAAGACTTAGGGATGAGTTATAAATTTTAGACAGCTAATAGCTCTATTCCATGAATAAGGCTATTCATTTCCTCTTTATTTAGGAAATCACAGTTTAAGAAGGAATACTATGTACGAATAAACCCTGCTCCATTGCTGGTTTGATTCCTTATGAGAGACCATTTAAAAGTTTTTTGTGGAACAATAATGTACCTGTGTTTGACCAGTAATTAGAAACCAGTAATTACTGGTATTAATTAGTAATTTATTATACCACTAATAGAAACTGATGCCTGCCGGGTGCAGTGGCTCACGCCTATAATCCCAACACTTTGGGAGACTGAAGTGGGCAAATTGAGCCCAGGAGTTCGAGACCAGCCTGAACAATATGGTGAAACCCTCTCTACAAAGAATACAAAAATTAGCTGAGCATAGTGGTGTGTGCCTGTAATCCCAGCTACTCAGGTTAAAACGTGAGGATTGCTTGAGACCAGGAGGTCAAGGCTGCAGTGAGCTATGATCATGCCGCTGCATTCCAGCCTGGGTGACAGAGTGAGACCTTGTCTCAAAAAAAAAAAAAAGAAAAAAAGAAAGAAGCTGATGCTTTCAGAAAGTCCCTGCTTCCATTTTTGGTCTTACTGACTCTTCTCCAAAATTTTGTATCCCATGCACTCCATCTCAGGAAACTATCAGAAGATGTAAAAGTGCTTCACAGAAAGTGTAAACCATGAACAAGAAAGACATGGAATGCAACACAGAATAGGTTAAATAGACATAAAAGGGATTCTCAGAATTATGGAAAAGTGAAATCCCAGTGTGAGAGCTTTACACCAGACCCAGAGATTTGATCAAGGGTCTGGAGCCAGGAGCATACAGAACTCAGGAAGGATGTCTGGGAGGAAAAATAGAACTGGTAGACTCCCGGTTGTTCACTGTTCTGTCAGAAAATAGGGGACTGAATTCGTGACAGGTACACTGAAAATTAAGCAAATGGGCCAGGCCCGGTGGCTCACGCCTGTAATCCCAGCACTTTGGGAGGCCAAGGCGGGCAGATCACGAGGTCAGGAGATCGAGACCATGCTGGCTAACACAGTGAAAGCGTCTCTACTAAAAATACAAAAATTAGCCAGGCGTGGTGGTGGGCACCTGTAGTCCTAGCTACTCGGGAGGCTGAGGCAGGAGAATGGCGTGAACCCGGGAGGTGGAGCATGCAGTGAGCTGAGATCGTGCCACTGCACTCCAGCTTGGGTGACAGAGCAAGACTCCATATCAAAAAATAAATAAATAAGAAAATTAAGCAAATGCAAATGGGAGAGAATTAATAGATTAATAGCTACAAAACAAAATGTCGTCCAACAGATGTCAACTGTGTGGCTTAGGTAGAAGTAGCAGTAATTCGTCCTGAATTAAATATCTGTTTAACCAAAATTATGGTAGTTCTGTGGTGAGAAGTTGAGGAGCTAAATTCTAAACAAACAATTAAGAATGGAAAACAATTGCCCCTAGGGAAGAAGAATGGGGAGGCAAGAGCCAGAAGAATACATAAACCTTGGATTTATATGACTTTTAAAATTATAGACAGTACATTTATGTCTTTGATGTTATTAAAATTTTATATCAGCAGCCTGGCATGGTGGCTCATGCCTGTAATCCCAGCACTTCGGGAGGCCAAGGTGGCCAGATTACTTGCAGTCAGGAGTTCAAGACCGGCCTGGCCAACATGGTGAAATCCTGTCTCTACTAAAAATACAAAAATTAGCCAGGTGTGGTGATGGGCGTCTGTAGTCCCAGCTACTTGGGAGAGTGAGGCACGAGAATCACTTGAACCCGGGAAGCGGAGGTTGCAATGAGCCAAGATCGTGCCATTGCACTCCATCCTGGGTGACAGAGCAAGACTGTATCAAAAGAAAAAAAAAATTATATAAGCTGTTCTGCCTGCTCTTCCTTTCAAATGTGGGAAAATGTGCTGGCCTTGTAATAAACATAAGATGGAAGGCAATCCCCTATTCTCTCTGATGGCCTTATTTTTCATATATTTTTCTTTTTTTTTTTTTGAGACGGAGTTTCGCTCTGTTGCCTAGGCTGGAATGCAGTGGCATGATCTCAGCTCACCGCAACCTCTGTCTCCTAGGTTGAAGCAATTCTCATGCCTTAGCCTCCCAAGTAGCTGGGATTACAGGCACGTGCCACCTTGTCCGGCTAATTTTTGTATTATTTATTTATTTTTTTGAGACCGAGTTTCGCTCTTGTTGTCCCAGCTGGAGTGCAGTGGCGTGATCTCGGCTCACCACAACCTCTGCCTCCCAGGTTCAGGCAATTCTTCTGCCTCAGCCTCCCGAGTAGCTGGGATTACAGGCATGCGCCACCACGCCCAGCTAATTTTGTATTTTTAGTAGAGACAGGGTTTCACCATGTTGGTCAGGCTGGTCTCGAACTCCCGACCTCAGGTGATCCGCCCACCTCAGCCTCCCAAAGTGCTGGGATTACAGGCGTGAGCCACCATGCCAGGCCTAATTTTTGTATTTTTAGTAGAGACGGGGTTTCACCATGTTGGCCAGGCTGGTGTCGAACTCCTGACCTCAGGTGATCCGCCCATGTCGGCCTCCCAAAGTGCTGGGATTACAGGCAAGAGCCACTGCGCCTGGCCTTTTCCGTACATTTCTTATAGTGTAGGCCTATTTCTATAAACAACGTGATTCCAAGGCTGAAGGATAAAAACATGACCATTAAACTCATGGTAACTTCTTGATACAGTGATCAACAAAAGAAACATGATTTGTTTGAGTGTCAAAGACAAACAATTTACACTTTTTTTTTTTTCTTGAGAGGGGATGTCACTCTGTTGCTCAGGTTGGAGTGCAGTGGCAAAATCATGGCTCAATGCAGCCTCAACCTCCTGGGCTGAAGTAGTCGTCTTCCCTCAGTCTTTCCCATAGCTGAGATTATAGGCATATGCCACCATGCCTGGCCAATTTTTCTATTTTTTGTAGAGACAGGGTCTCACTTTGTTTCCTAGGCTGGTCTTGAACTCCTGAGCTCAAGCGATCCTCCTGCCTTGGCCTCCCAAAGTGCTGGGATTGCAGGCGTGAGCCACCACATCTGCCCTTTTATTTTTTTAAATGGTTTACATTTATTAAGAGTATGCAATGTAGGGCTTTTTAAAAGGCCATTTATAGAAGTCATTTTTATCTTACAGGTGGATTTAATCATTCATTGCCATTCCATAATACCAACTATCAAAAGGTTAATTATTTTCTGATGGTGAAAGTTTTAATTTTAAAAAAATCAAATTTTAGAATTGTTAGAGACCTTTAGAACAATTTTGTGTAGTCCTTTCATCTTTCAGAAGAATCTGAAGTCTGTCATCATTTAAAGGATTTACCCAAAGCCATGGAGCTGATTAGTGGCAGAGTAGAGATTGACTTCCATTTCTTTTTTAATAAAAATTATGAAACTTCTTAAAGGTTTCATAATTCTGATACTTAAAACTAAGATTCTACCAATTCATATTATGCCAGGAGTCAGAATTAGATTTTAATAAAGGAGACATTAAAAAAACAAGAGGCACATTGTAACAACCAGTTAATCTAGGTAAAATATCACTGAGTAGCTTTGCCCAAATTATGTTTCATTACAAGGTACTAAATGTTAGCCAGGTGTCGTGGCTCACAGCTGTAATCCCAGCACCTTGGGAGGCTGAGGTGGGAGGATCGCTTGAGACCAGGAGTTTGAGACCAGCCTGGACAACATAGTGAGACCGTGTCTCTACAAAAACTTAAAAAATTATCTGGGTGTGGTGGTGCATGCTTGTAGTCCCAACTACTGGAGAGGCTGAGGTGGGAGGACTGCTTGAGCACAGGAGTTTGAGGCTACAGTAAGCCAAGATCATGCCACCGTACTCCAGCCTGGGTAACAGAGTAAGACCCCATTTCAAATAAATAAAAATAAAAGGTACTAGTGTTAAGCAAAGCAAGGATTCTCTGGTAGAATACATTCAAGAAATGCTCTACATAATAACTCCCTCTTAAGGGGGGATCACAGTGTACATTACCATAAAGGGATTTGAGAAGCCTAAGGAAAGAAAACCTTGTTTAATCCAAAATGCTCTTGGAGAAAGTATTTTGTGGAACAGAATTTGGTGAAACATGGCATAACAAGTAATTCAGCAACATCTTGTAAGCAAAAATTGAAAGTATCTATTTTCCTAATACTCAGGCACAGATATATTTAATAGCTCATAAAAATTTGTCACTTAATATTTGTCACCTTAATATCTTTATTTTCCCACGAACAAAAGGCTTGTGCATCATGATGACTGCTTGGATAGGACATTGTATCCCCTCCTTATCAAGAAGCATTGGCTATGGACCAGAAAATGTTTTGTTTGTAAAATGTATACAGCCAGGTGAGTGATAATGTATTTTTTTTTTTCTCTGAGAAATGGCAGTTTTGACTTTTGGTATTTTGTTTTCCACTTTGGATCTAAGAATATTTGTACTTTAGGTTATAAATATGAAGTATCATCTAGTAGGGAAGTGCCAGAAAATCAATTTAGTGAGTTAAAACTAACATTCTTAAATAGTCAGGAAATATTATATGTACACAAGTCCAGGGATAGGTCAAATTTCAGGCTTGTAAAATGTATACAGCTAGGTGAATAAAAATAAAAGTCACTAGTGTTAAGCAAAGCAAAGAATTCTCTGATAGAATACATTCAAGAAAAGCTCTGTACAATAACTCCCTGTTAGAGGGTCACAGTGCACATTACCATAAAGGGATTTGGGAAGTCTAACCAAAGAAAACCTTGTTTAATCCAAAATGCTCGAGAGCCATGTTCTTTCTGCCTCTTGTCCACATAGTTTACATAATCAGCTTCATCAATAAAACTTCATCAATAAAACCACAGTACATCACATGAAGTTAAAATATAGTTTTATAAAATTTTTACTTTATGTGATTCTACATGTTTAGATTATAAGGCATTTCTTACTGTGGGTCAGTAAAAAAAAAATTTGTTGCTTTTGGAGGCTGAGGTGGGAGGATCGCTTGAGGCCTGGAGACCAGCCTGGACAACACAGCAGTAACTATAAAAAACATATAAAAAAAATCTGAAAGCCACTCAGAGGAAAGGAAATTTAGTACAGGTTGAGCATTCCAAATTTCAAGATCAGAAATCCAAAACCTGAAAGTGTTTGAGTGGCAACATCTGATGCTCAAATGATCATTGGAGCATTTTGGATTTCAAATTCTCAGTGGGATGTTCAACCGGCAAATATATGCATAATATATTTAAAAATCTGAAAAAAATCTGCAATTTGAAATACTTCTTTTTGATCCCAAGCATTTCAGATAAAGGATACTCAACTTGTATCTTCAGTTTGTTTTCGCCACCCCACCACAATATTCTTTTCTGAAAGATCAATAGGAAAACATGATAAATCAAAGTGAAAATAATGTTAAAAGCAAACATTCCATGAGATGCAGAATTCAAACATACCATACAATAGCATCTTCATGCCATTCAACATTTTGGTTGAATAATGTTGCCCATATTGCTATTTGTATATACTTTATAACATAATCTTGAGTTCTAGGTAAAAAGAGTTATATAGTTTTCAAATTAACCAGTACTCATTTATCAGTTAAGAAGGTATATTAAGCAAAAGTCTATCAGATTTGTAGCATCTAATTTTGCCATGGTTTTTCAAGATGGTCTGTTAGAAGAAAATGACTATATTCGTACTTGGAGGATAGGTATGTCGTGGCAAATGTGTGATGCTTTCAAATAGATTTATATTCTTCCTTTAAGGGTAAGTATTACAGAGAAACAGCATTCTGCAGTGTTTCTTAATGTTAGATGCCCTTTCGCTTTGTAGAGAGAGTATTGGTGGTGATGTATTTGTATCTATGTATACAAAATTAAGGGATTATTATGCATTAATAACAGACTGATAAGGAAATAGAATGTTATATTTACATATTGCTACAGGTCATAAAGCATGTTAAGTATGGCAAATTTGATTGTAATGATGTACTTCTTTTTTTAAAAACTACAGATGGGTGACGAACAATGACAGTTTTGCACCAGAGGACCCATGCTTCTTTTGTGATGTTTGCTTCCGAATGCTGCACTATGATTCAGAAGGCAACAAACTGGGGGAATTCCTTGCTTATCCTTATGTTGATCCTGGAACCTTTAATTAAGAATAGCTACACTCACAAAAATACCCCCTCATGAAATAACTGTTCTCTTGGATGGTTACCTTATTTCTAAGAAACGCCACTGAGGAACAGGATCCACTTTGAACAGTCCGCTAAAGCTATCAAAAAAAAGTCCAAATGACAGATTTTCTTATAATGATAGTATTTAAATGTTTATAACATAGTTTAATTTTATATTTATTCCAGATAGTATTTAATTTAGTGCTTTTTACCCATTTTGAGTTGAGTTGTAGTACTTTATATATTCTGACTTTAAATCCTTTGTCAGACACACATATTCTTTCTCCCAATCCATGCCTTCCCTATTCATTCTCTGTCCAGAGTTTTTTGCTAAAGATAGAATTATTAATGATACATCAAGTAGTGGAAGTGTTTTGAAAATTCTTTGAAGAATGTGAGAGCTACACCTTCTACCATGAGGCTTCCAAGGTAAAGATCCTTCAAATAACTGTAATGGAAACTAGGGAGAATGAATTATTTACAAATAAGACAAAATTAATAGCTTTGGGATTATTTATTTTTTGAGACAAAATCTCGCTCTTGTTGCCCAGGCTGGAATACAGTGGCGCAATCTCAGCTCACTGCAGCCTCCGCCTCCCGGATTCAAGTGATTCTCCTGCCACAGCCTCCTGAGTAGCTGGGATTGCAGGCACCTGGCACCATGCCTGGCTAATTTTTGTATTTTTAGTAGAGACGGGGTTTCACCATGTTGGCCAGGCTGGTCTCAAACTCCTAACCTCAGGCGATCCACCCGCCTAAGCCTCCCAAAATTTTGGGATCACAGGCGTGAGCCACCGCGCCCGGCTGCTTTGGGGGAATTTAATCTTAGTGTGCTGTTTAGTAATGTTAGGTTTTGTTTTGGAGGAAACTAGGCATACAAGACATGTTAATAAGACTATGTGAATAATGAATTTAAAAAGATCTTGAGTATATACTCATAACTCCAGAAATAACATTAACTTGAAGCTTTATTTCTTGACAAAAGCTTTATGAATGTTATGAGTTTAAAATATGTCAATTTAATACTATGATTTAAAAAACAATAGCAGATTTCGTATGACTGTGGGGACATGGAAAAATCAAGATCCTATTGATTGCTAGCTCTGGCTCACTTATTCTCCGGTAATGATACTATTGGATATATACCAAAATTATATAAGCAAAAAGAAAAAAAATAAGTTTTCCTGGCCCAGGTCTTCCATTCTTCTGGTCCCCTTACTATAGTAATTCTAGTTACTCTCATCTTATTCTGAGGAAAAAAAAAAAAACCAAAACTTTTTAAACTTATTTTTTGACATAGGGTCTTACTGTGTCACCCAGGCTGGAGTACAGTGGCGTGATCTTGGCTCACTGGAGCCCTGACCTCCCTAGGCTCAGGTGATCCTCCCACCTCAGCCTACCGAGTAGCTGAGACATGGTGGCACAGGCCACCATGGCGGGCTAATTTTTTTATTTCTTGTAGATACAGGGTTTCACTATGTTGCGCAGAATAGTCTCGAACTCCTGACCTCAAGTGATCCATCCGCCTTGGCCTCCCAGAGTGCTGCGATTACAGGCATGAACCACAGCGCCCAGCAAAATAAACTTTCTTTATTTTCAGGTCTAGACCATCAGATAGATTTATTCAAATATTTTCTGGGAACCTTTATGGGTAGAACATTTAATACTGTTTAGAAGACTTTTAGGAATACTATAGATTTCAAATGCATCATTTAAAATAAATAAATTCCACTTTCTCTCTCCTAGGTTGTATTTAAATTTGACTGAATATCTGGATGGCTAAGAACAGACATTTATCTTACACATGGAAAACTGACGAAACCTATAAGCCTATGTGTTTGACAGTGAAGTATGTTTTATGGACTTAAATGCCACAAACAGTTAAGTCCATTGGCTTGGAGATGACAAGCACGAGTTTCTGGTATGTCTAGTGTTCTCATTCACTGATTCAGTCAGTACACAGATAATCAGTATAGAGAACTTAAGAGGCTGGCTTATGTTATACCTAAATTTTTACTTTCTTGTATACAACAATGCTAAAATTGAGCAGATTGATAACTGCCAGCAAACCATAGATTTAAGATAAATGAATGATTTACCCAACCCTAAAATTCCATGGGTAAAAATTTTGATTCCTTTATTTTCAATACTGCGTTCCTTATAGGTCTTACATGCATATGCAAGGATATTTTATCTTATTCATTCATTTCATACTCTCAAAACACCAAACTTCAAAAAGTTAATTATTGTCATAATGCATTATTCCATGTGTGGTGTCAATACATTTTAGCGGACAAAGAAGAAACATGCCAGTTAAAACATTTCTGCTACTGGGATTCTTTATTAATTATTTGAGAATGTTATTTTGCTAGTTCTTAAGGTTAAGTTTTTCATCAAAGACTCAGGTACCTATTATTGTTCCCTGGTGAAACTGAGGAGAAAAGTTAATCAACCAGGTTACTCCCACAGTTTGCCCGTGTGTTATGTATCAGTTATACAGGTATCCCACCAAGTTCAAGTCAAAAGAAATTCCTAACTTTGTATATTTCTGGAGCTATAAAACCCCTGATTTAAGACAGCTTTTCTCTTTTTTCGAGGCAGCTTTTCTTTATGCTTATTTCAATCAAATGTAACACGCCTGTCAAATTACATGTAACACATTAGCTAATGAAGATAGGCAACTGAAAATGTTGTCATGAACATGTCAACCTGCTTGGTAGTTGAATTTGACTTTTATATAATAGTGGATACACATGCACAGAAGTTACTAGAGAAGCAATAGCTATTTCTTTAAACATTCTTCAGGCATCAGTACCATTTAAGGACAATTAGACATTCTAGTTTTACTAGGAGAAAGGTCAGTCATCTCTAACATTGTGTTGCAGAATTACACGACACAAACATAAACACATTTCTGCCTATTAAACCAGTTTCTTTGTTTCTAAAGAGTTTAATGATACAGGTTTGCTATTTCCATTAGAGCATCCTTTTTCTGGCCAATCGGACAAAATAGAGTTAGCAAAGCCCTCACAGCACCCTATGAAAAATCTCTGCTCTTATACAGGATTAGATGCAGACCTCATCTTGACCTAACATCTGTAACCAGGTAAGTGTATGAGTAGGAACACAGACAGCAGTACTGTATCAGCAAAATCTATCATATTATTTGAAATCACTGGATATAATATTAATTATAAAGTGTATGGTTCTCTCCAGTTGTTCACATACCAAATCCCAGTCAGTTCTCAGATTCAGATAGATGTATCTGCAATTTCTCCAAGCAGCTAAGAAAACCTTCAATGGTCAGTTCTGCTTGGTCATGGTATGACTCTTTTTTTTTTTTTTTTTTTTTTTTTTTGAGATGGAGTCTTGCTCTGTCTCCCAGGCTGGAGTGCAGTGGGGCAATCTCAGCTCACTGCAACCTCTGCCTCCCGGGTTCAAGCAATTCTCCTGCCTCAGCCTCCCGAGGAGCTGGGATTACAGGCACGTGCCACTGCGCCCGGCTGATGTATGACTCTTTTATCCAGTAATCAAAACACATACGTACATACACACACATACCAGCCCAAAAGAGGTGTTAAAACATACATATTACACGTACTTTTTGGAGGGGTGGGGTGGGGTGGGGTGGGGTGGGGTGGGGGTTATCTATCTCAAAATTACCTTTTGGTGCCTTGTCAAGCTGTGGAGTTTTGACCACACACACAAATTGAGCCAATGAACAATTTCAATGATCCTGAAAGTTCTTAAGTCTTATGAATAATTATCAAGAGTTCTGAGAAGTTATCTGTAAATCAGCCTATGACACCATTTCTTGAGAGTTATGATTAAAGAAACAGCAATTATGCTTGAAGCGAACATACATCAACTAGTTAGAGCAAGGTCAGCCTGTACAAGCTGACATAAATTATGAGAATGATGCTCTATCTCTAGAATTGGAATATTCTGTGGCTTCTTTGTAAAACTATAGATCTGGTGGGTCATGGGAAGAAAGGGAGGGTGAACAAAAGATAAATATTACCTTTATTTTTTATCATCTTGAGCTTACTGTTTAGTTACCCCGTTTCCCAAAACAGCACAACCTCTGTGACCAGTTAACTAAGAAATTATTTCCTTGGCAGCAAACCCAGAATTCCATCACTTACTCTTGTAAATAGCAAGAAAGTAATTTACTAGCAGAGTTTGATAGAAAAATTCTTTAATGAAAACAAGTTTACACGTTGAACTTATGGCTTAACTAGAATAAATCTAAGTAAGTTAAAACTGTATAAGGACCAAACAGATAATGACTGGTATATATGCAGGTTCTCTCAAAACGGTGATTCCTAGTTCCATTATAAGACCTCTTTAAAAGCAAAAATGCAATTCTGTAGATGAAAACAGTTATCTCAGAGGGTCAACCACACAATGTCATACAGAGACGCTGGTCTTAAGCCATTTTTTTCCATATTCATATAATTTCAAAACATGAGAAGTATCCTACTTGCTGAGAAGTGCCAAATGACCCTAATATTCAAAATATCTTAGAAATGCTATCCTTTAGTTAACATACCCTTAAATTTTGTAACATTGATTTTACCCTGGATTTAGTCCATACACGTCAATGTACAGACTTATCAAAGTACAATGCTGGAACAACTAGTGTTTGTATTTTTGGAATCTAGAAAATAAAAACAATATAGCCATGATTTCAAATAGGTGAGTTTCCTTATATAACATTTATTCA
Source organism: Homo sapiens (assembly GCF_000001405.40). Taxonomy (NCBI): domain Eukaryota; kingdom Metazoa; phylum Chordata; class Mammalia; order Primates; family Hominidae; genus Homo; species Homo sapiens. Next base: position 15,464,611 of record NC_000009.12, read on the forward strand.
TATTTATTGTATAAGCATCATGATTTTTTCTTCCAATTAAGTTTTAGTGACTTCCTAAAGACATTTTTAACAACATTCCTCAAAAATAAACTTACTTAGTTTTCAGTTTTAGTTACTAGTGCCTGCCTATAAAAGGACCTTAAATGATTTAACCCTAAAGCCAGATTCATTCCTATATATACCCAGTCAGTTGTCTGCAAAGAAGTCCTAAGACTTCACTGAATGCCCAGCCACAAAACTAAATTACCTTCAAAAATTAATGTTTTATAGTTTGTAGAATTCTCAGTTCCATGTCAGTTGCTTAATTAGTTGTCATACCAAAAAAAACCATACAGAGCACACATTGTTCCAAAGAAGCTGGATAATGTAGCACAATGTAGACTGTGAGATTAAAATTAACTTTTGATAAAAAGGGAGTGAGTACTTGTATAGAAGTAACATTTTATCTACCATAAAAATGTGTAACTTCTACAAAACCCACAAACAGTGAAAAGACAGTCTGGTAAATCCAAGGTTTGTAAAAACTATGCACAAAACCCACAGTATTTGGGAAAAGAGGCAAGGTTTATACAAGTAGCAGTTTTAAAAATGTAACTTTGTTCTACTATCAATTACACATTAACATACACACACTAATTGAAAATATGCTACAACCATGTCTGGAAAAGCAGTTTAACATTTTCTAAATGGATTTTATCCCACATTTACTGTATAATGTAGCTGTTAATACTGCACAAGTACACTTAGCGATAATGTTTACTTTACTTTAAAACAAAGGGATTTTCTCCCTCAAAACAAGTTTTCAACATCAAACCTATGCTTATAAAAATTTAAAACTTTCAGCAGTCTATTTCAAATGAAAACCATTACAAACTTCTCAAGTGTTCTCTATATTCCAGGTATGTCAACCTAGTTATCTAGTGTAGAATCCTTCAGAGATATTTCAGTCTCTCTCTCTTCACTGGATGGCCTGAAGAAAAGGGGGAAAGGTACAACTGGAATTAGGATTTTCTCCTGATGAAGGAAAAAAAGACATTAAGTCTGCATTATATTTTTAAACCCATGAAAAGACTGAAACCAACCAAACAAAAGAAAAACTTGACTTGTTATTAGAACAGTCATTATTATTTTTTTCTTCTTCAAAACTGTTATTTTACCATGTTGTATCTTCTTCCCAAAGTAATATGCAGATGAAGCAAAATAACTCAGCAAAGTGTCATGGACCAAGCCCTTTCCATCATTTCTAGCATAAAAGTGAATTCTCTTTAAAGAACATGAGAATGTTTTATATCTGTGATACCAACATATTTCAAAATCTTAATAAAAAGAGAGGTTGATACACACATAGACAACAAGATTTCCCTCAATTTCAGAATTAGAAGGGATGCTTCTATCTAACTCCTTCAGATACACAGTGGAACAAAGCAAGACTTCAACTATGGCTCCATAGCCTATTTTAGGGTGGGTATTAAAAAATAGCCTGTGATGGCCGGGCATGTTGGCTCACAGCTGTAATCCCAACACTGGGAAGCCAAGGTGGGTGGATCACCTGAGGTCAGGAGTTCGAGGCCGGGCTGGCCAACATGGTGAAACCTCATCTCTACTAAAAATACAAAAAATTAGATGGGCGTGGTGGCAGGTGCCTGTAATCCCAGCTACTTGGGAGGCTGAGGCAGGAGAATCGCTTGAACCCAGGAAGTGGAGGTTGCAGTGAGCACGATCGTGCCATTGCACTCCAGCCTGAGCAACAAGAGTGAAACTCTGTCTCAAAGAAAAAACAACAACAACAAAACTGTGATTCTCCATCTAACTTTTTACAATTATCCTTTCACAATTCAAGAAAGTGTGAATGCAAGTCATTACTAACAGTATCTCAGTAAAAGTAGTCCAGGAGCAAATATTTTCTTTTTAACTGGGTTCCCAGCTAGTTCCATTCCCTTGAATTCAGTGGCAAAGTCACTGTCAATAAAAGGTTTTTACTCTTCTTCCTTTTTGAATTGTAACTTGCTTACTGAATTCAGGAATTGGGTGATCAAAAGATAACTGCTTATTATAGTAAGATAACCTTGGAACAGAACTGTGATTAAAAACCTGAATAATAAAAAACACACAAGACCCATTAAAACCTATTCCTCACTTTTTCTTCGTGCTGGCTTCATGGTTGTCTTTGCTGTCTTCATTGCTCTCCCCGTTATGTTGTGGCTGATTACCATCTTGAGCATCAGATCCTCCATTTAGAGTCTTTGACCCTTGCGAAGGAATCCAATGGAAAAACTTTGTTAAAGCTTACAAAACAATAATTGAAGGTGTCCACTAAAGATCCAGAATCAAAATACAACATGGCCATCGTGTTTCTACTACTTAATGTCTTTTATTTGAAATTACATTGTAATACAGCCCTCTCTTGAATGTTAGAATTGGGTTTTGATGGCTTTGTCAAAAAGGGGAGCAGATGACCACCAGAGGCTTTGGGTAGCTAAGGCACCATAAAAAGCAGGTTAACTATCTATGAGTACAGGAAGTGGATTATTAATCTGATTATTCTGGTTGTTACTATTACCAGGAATACTACAGGGTGTTGTAATTCTTAGCATATTCATTTATTCTACCACGGAAAAGCAATGTGAATCAAATTTTAAAATTTACTATTTTAGAACAAAGTGCTAAAGGAGTATTTCCTAATTGATATTTTTGTGCCTAATAAAGGGGGTTTTCCTGTAAGTCGTATTAATAATTCTCTAAGGGGACCCATGTCATTCCCCAATAAAGCAACAAAAACAAAAAACCAACCGACTGCTTTTGAAATGCCAGCTTTTACCTTAAGCAGCTGCCACTAAGATGTTTAATAACAAGACTGGAGGAGCTGATAATGGTACTATGATTCTGTTTTAAGAGTCTTTCATACATTCTGAAATGTTTATGAGTGAAATGGTATGTCAGGGATTTTTCGTAAAACAACTTTCAAGAGGGGCATAGAGAAAGCTTATGGGCTACAAAAGCACAATGATCATAAACTGAACTGCCAAAGCTGGATGACAAGGACATGAGAAGTTATTTCTATTTGTATAAGTTATAAATTTTTCCTAATACAAATGAAAAGAAAATAACTACTGTTAGTAATAAGTACTAGCAGGATTTAACTACTGCTAAAGTTAGTGAAAAAAGTAGAAGCTAAGGTTCAGTGCCTTACATATATGCTACACATCTAAGTGCTTTGTAAGACTTTATCACCAGGCGCGGTGGCTCATGCCTGTAATCCCAGCACTTTGGGAAGCCACGGCAGGTGGATTACCATAGGTCGGGAGTTCAAGACCAGCCTGACCAACATGGAGAAACCCCGTGCCTACTAAAAATACAAAATTAGCTAGGTGTGGTGGCGTATGCCTGTAATCCCAGCTACTCTGGAGGTTGAGGCAGGAGAATCGCTTGAACCCAGAAGGTGGAGGGTTGTGGTGAGCCGAGATCACGCCACTGCACTCCAGCCTGGACAACAAGAGCGAAACTCCATCTTTTAAAAAAAAAAAAAAAAAAGGACATGGCATTAATACTGTGAAGTCTGTTCAGGGTAACTCAGCAGCATCATCAGAATACCTGTATCAAGTAATGGCAGGTGTAGTCTCCACCTATGAGGCTGTGTTTTAATTTAAAAGGCTACTGTACGCTATTTTACTTTTTAGGTGAGAAGAAAACAGAAGCAGCTGAGCAACCAGGAAGTGGGTACTCTAGGGATTAGGAGGCATTGTGATGGATGGGTTTTTAAAAATTGTTTATCCAGAGTCATCTGCCTCATGAGCAATGGTTTCTGCCTTAGAAGTCGAATATAAACTGACATGATTTTTTGTTCTCAATGCACACTGCTCTAGTCCTTCAATAGGCCCATCAGATTTTCACCATTTTGCCTTTGTATACTTTTTCTGTGGCGTATACACAGTGAAACTATGTATGAAAGCCATTTTTAAAAGCAGTCCTGGCAAATGGTTTAAAAACTGGTGTGAAATTGTTGGCTTTTTACCACATACCTGTTTGTTCCTTCTCTAGCTTTTTGTTTGGCCCTTTCTTCCCTTGATCTTTGGTTTTATTCGCTTCCTCATGCTGTCTTTGTTCAGCAAGAGATTTATTCAGCACTTGGGTGATCACGGAATCTCCTTCACCAACCAAGAACATGTTCTTAAACTTGTTATACAACATTGTAGACTTTTCCATGATTACCTGACTAACTTTGAATCGCCGTATCTGAGAAAACAATATACATTCATCATAATTGTTTTCCTAATTGATTTTTTAAACAATTTTTAAATGAAGTAATGACAAAATTCAAAGAATCCACATGACTTGAAATCACTTACTTTTTTCAGTGTAGTAATCATCTCTGTGTGTTTCTGAGCTTGTTGCATTGTGACCTGAAGTGAAGCAAGTTCATCCAAGGCCTCAATGCATCTGTTCACATCCTTCATGACAAAACAGTAATTTCATAGCTGTTAATTATCTTAACACTTAAACAATCTGTTTCTAAAGATCGTTTCCAAAAAAAAAGAGGTAGTGCAAAATGACCAGTAATTATCCCTTAAATTTACATACTCATAAGATCATGTGAGAAAATAAAAGATGAAGCTATAAATGCAGTACTGAAGTATTAAATGAAGTTAAACACTTACAAGATTATCAATTTTGAGTGAATTTTTAATCTCAGCATGTATCCTTTGAAGTCGAGAATCCATTGATGTTTCTACAAATTAAAATATGTGAAAAACAGTGAACAGTTTTTCCAAAACCAGTATTTCTATATACAGGCTAAGTATAATGAATTAGTGGACTTAAAAAAAAAATGTTCTTAGTAATCTTTACTAAGAAGCTCAAAGATATGCACAATAGCTTAACTAAGAATAAGTACTTATTGCCATTTTTAGTGGTTGAGAAAAGCAACATGCAGTGTAAAAGCACAAAACCACCACTTGGCTGCGTTTTTCCTAAAATAAATAGTCTGCATATGATAACTCCTCTGCTCTCCAGTCCCCAAACACCTGCTTTTCCTTATGTTTAACCAAGGGATTTGTCTGAAATGGGAAAGCATCCAGCTTTCAGCAAGTGTACTAAAATTTGACACCATCAAATAATTAATGAGCATTAAACATAAACAACTCAAGCAAGTTCACTTGATTATGCTTAAAATACAATGCAATTTATATAAAGCCCATTAGGGATTTGAAAAATTCTATTTGTAGGATATGAGTATAAAATTATTCCAAAACCAATACATGAAAAGTTATGTCTATATAACTTCTTTTCCATGTATAATTTTATGTATCTTAGAAAGTGAAATAACTAACCTCGCTTCTTCTCCACTTTCTTAACTTCTGGCTTCTTTCCTTCATCTTTATTCTGCCTATCAAATGTTAACAAAAATATTTCAACACATTGGAATTTTGTGACTAAATGCCCACAATCCCTATGTAAAAGCTAAAAATGTTTTCCTTAAAATAAGTCAATAGCCTAGACTGCAAAGGAACTGACTGTAGCTCTTAGAATGGTGCAGTTCCGTAGCATAAATATAAGCAAAACTCTAATTAACATGCTAGATTAAATCATATCTGGCTTTTCAGTGACATCACAAATAGTGTGTTGCTAGAAGAGCAATTTCAGGGTCACTGGACAAACAGGCCACAATGGGAAGATGACACCTATAAATGTTTAATGGCTTCTACATCCATTCTTTTTTAAAGCTGCATCTTAAAATAGACCAATTTAATCATTGTGCATGTAACAAGCAGATTAATGAGTTCTGAAGTTAGCTTTAAAGTTAAATAGACTTAAGATAACACTGTTTTTAAAATTTTGGCCAATTCATCAAACTTGAATGACGTCCAGTAACATTCACTAACATTTCACAAAAGGTACCATTTTATTGTCAATCACAAAAATAACCACTTAAAATTGAAATCTTAATTTCTAGTACCTTGGCTTAGAGTTCAGGCCATATTATGAACCAATTCAAATAGACAAGAACAAAAAATATCTAAAAATCAGGTTTTTTTTTTAAAAAAAACTTTATTTTAAAATTTTGGTTACAGTTTCATTCTTAACAAGTCTACTACTGTTTAATCTCTCAGGATTAAAAAAACATTTATTAAGATTCTAAAGAATTAAACAACAAAGGAATGTCAAGAGAAGGGCCCCATTCTCAGGGATATAACTGCTATTCCAGTTTAATAACTAGCTTCAAAACAAAATGAATTTTTATATTTTCTAGATGAATAATGTACAACCACCATCTTCGTCTGAGCTTGTTATTACTTTCAAACACAAAGCTTCATTTTAAGCTTGGTTAAAAAAAAAAAAAAAAAAAAAAAACAGGAATGATGGCCGACCTTAGTATGTAGTGTGTACCTTACAGGAAATTTGTTAATCATAACACAGTAATGCCATTAATAATGAAGTCCTCAATTTAGAATCTGGAACATTCTTCCATCAATGGGGGGAAGGGGGAAATTCAGTCCAATGAGTCTGTATCAAGATCTTCATCTCTTGTTTGCTCCACTTGTATTCTCTTTTCAGTAACTGGATTAATGCTTTGAGCCCAAAATGAGATATATTTTTTATTACTGTAGATTACATGTTGTTTGGCTGGGAATACAATACAATAAACTTTATTTTGCATAATGCATTTCACACAAGCTGCATCTGAAATGCTTTACAGAGCAAAACTGTCCAAGTACAAAGTTTTGTAATAACAGGAGAAGGAAAGAAAACACAAATATTAGAATTTGAGAAAGTTACATTGGAGGACATTCAAAAGAAACTGAAATACATAAAGATAACTTTAAGATACTAAAGAAGGGTTGGGCTACATATACTAGTAACAACTAATTTTATATCTTAATTTTGAGATCACAATAAAGTCAAAAGCAACAAACAGTCCAACAGCTTTTCAGTGAAAAGATAGAATAGAAAATGATAGGTGACAAAGAATAACTTAAATATTTACAGAAGTGCTTAAAGTCTAACATTAGAGGGAATAATATTTTTGAGCTTTAGATAAGTTATTTAAATTACTCCCTCAAGGAGCTAAAACTACTTGTATATCCTCCAAACTAAGAAAGCAGAGTAAAACGCTGTACTTGTCAAGAAAGACTTTGGCTTACGGATATATTATATAAAGAAAAAAAGTACAAAATTGTTCAAGAATTGTTTTACTGCTCATCATTAACTTTGTCTTATTGACCTAGAGCATGTTTTAAAAATCACCTCACTAAAACAACAACAAAAAAACAAAATTTAGTCAGAATGTAAGACGCTTCACGAGAAAAGAAAAGCATGTCAGAGAAAGAACTCAGAAGTGACAGTCTAAAGGTAACTAGGAAAGCAAATGTAATAAAGACACGAAGTCTGTTCATTATTATCATTGCTATTACTTTTCCTTCTAGTAATAAAATTATATAGTAAGGGGAAAGAAATTCCCCATGGCAAGTCCTGTCTCTATAAGTATCAAAATTTAAGAGAAAACAGCTTTGAATTTGATTTATATTGCACATACATAATAATGTACACCCTGTCAGCCTTTAGATTTACTTTTACTGGCTTCCTGGGTTTCCAAATGTGCTTTTGTTACTTTTGCTGGTCTTTAGGGTGAGGCCTGCTTGGTGGTGTGATGAATAAGGGCATTTCCTGCATTCTTTGTCTACCAGTATATTATCGCCCCTCTATCTATATGTATTATATTATACAAACAAATGGTTGAGGATGAGTACACTTCTTGCAAAGCCAGTATCAATTAAATCCTATCTGCACTTCGTTTAAATTCAAAAATAATTCACAGAGTGACTGCCTCAGTCAATTTCATCCTCTCAGAAGAGAATGAAGCCTGAAATAAGATCATCATCATATATTGAAGATTTTTCTAACACATGGGAAAAGTCACTTCTTCAAAAGGCTTCATAAAGTCTGGAAAATGAAAGTCTATTATTTAAAAATTCCATGCTAGCCTTTAAAAAGAACCCAAAATTTAGAAAAAAAAAAATACTTACTGCTCAGTTTCCATTTGTTCCTCTTGCTTGCGTTTTCGATCTGCTGCTTCTTTCTCATGTTGGCCTTTCAGCATATTCCTTCTGTGAGCAGTCTGAAAGTTCCTCCCACCTTTTCTCTTCTGTTTTGAGAATTAGGATGGTTTTATTTAACTATAAAGTCAGTGACTAGTGCTTATGGAATTATAATCTTGGGGGAAAAGCAGCAGCTAGTTTTTAAAAAAGGGATGAATACTCAAATTAGCAACCTAAAAATAGTCTTTGAATTACACCTATCTCTGCAAGTTTAACTTTGATTAATGACCGTGAAATAATCATCTTGTTTTATGCCCTGCTATAGGAGTGATGTCCTTTGGATAAAATATAGTATGTCAGTCTGTTTGCCTCTCTACAGAGTGATTTGACTTGAGTACTGACAAGCACACTACATGACCTATCCAATTTAAAATGTTTGGTTTCTAAAAGATTAAGAAATGAGCCAAAAATCAGATGAAAGTAAACAAAAGATTTGCATGACCTGAATCTGTAAATCTCTAAGGCTATACACAAAATTTTATTTTTCTACACAAAAGGATACACAGCTTTAATGAGGTTCCCAACAACTATGGCGTCCAAATAAATTTACATACCACTGATAAAATGTACAATAGGCCTGAAGGGTGTTAAGAACTTCTTGGGGGTAAATAACAAAAATCTCTATATAAATCCACCTCTTTTAACATTTGTCTTCACTGGCCACAGCCTATTTCATCTACCTTTTCTAGACAGATGGGGTTATTGGAAAGGTACTGTTTACTTAATTTCCAGATCATAATTGTAAAATAGATGAATTTAGAGAACAGATAATAAAGGGACGTTTTCAATATGCTTTGTAACACAGCTAATTCAAGTCTATTCAAAAAGGTAAACAAATTCATTTTAACTGCCACTGATATTTATAGACTTCCTCCAAAATATTAAAAGCTCTTAAACTGGGCAGATTAAGAAATACATAAATGGCCAGGTGTGGTGCCTGTAATCCCGGCACTTTGGGAGGCCAAGGTGGGAGGTTCACCTGAGATCAGGAGTTCAAGACCAGCCTGACCAAGATTGCAAAACCTTGTCTCCACTAAAAATACAAAAATTAGCCGGTAGTGGTGGCACATGCCTGTACTTCCAGCTACTCAGGAGGCTAAGGCTGGAGAATTACTTGAATCCAGGAGGCAGAGGTTGCAGTGAACCAAGATTGTGCCACTGCACTCCAGCCTAAGCAACACAGCGAGACTCCATCTCAAACAAAAAAAAAACAAAAAAAAAAACAAAAAAAAAACAAAGAAAAAACAAAAAATATATATATAAACTAAGAATAGAACAGCCATTTTATATATGTAAACTTTATACCTTTTCACCTTCTTGATCATCTCCTTCTTCTTCAGAATCGGAGGTTGAAGTAACCCCTGTTTTAGCTAAATTTTTCCTTTTTGATTCAACTTCTTTCTTCCCCTCTTTTTTATCCGGCTCTTTTCTTGGCTTATCTTCTTCCTTCTGGCCCTCTTCATCCTTCTTAGGCTGCTTTTTAGGTTGTTTTTCCTCTTGCCCCTTTTTCTTACTTTTGTCCTCTTCAGTAATGCTATTTTAGAGAACATAACAATGTATACTTGTCATTCAACTATAATAGTATTTTAGATATCAGTAAGCTATAATTTTTAATTTAAAGGCAAATCTAAAACAAAGTAAAAAGAGTGTCTTCACTATCCAATCATAAAAGGAATTCTGTCACAGAACATCCTTTTGGTATAAATTAGAAGATAGAAGATGGGCAGATCCCTGGCTCTTATGGAACTTAAATTCTACATATTTGTAAGAATAAATTATGTTTAAAAAGTAGACACACTGGGACAAATGGAATTGCGGAAGTGAAATCAAATACGGTCGTTTTAGAACTCAAATATTCTTTGCAGGGTAAAAAGGTCCCAACTTAAGCATATGATAAATATATAGCCAATTAAGCATGTTTTCAGACAGTGCTGTGCTGACTAGCACCTAAGTATTCCCATCACCACTGAATTTCACAGACACCACTAAAACAAGAGAAACTACCTAAACTGCTCAATAATCCTAATTACTGCTGCATATTTATGCAAGTTGGTACTACAGAAATAGGCTCTAGGAGAATCAAATAATGCAAATACTAACCACGTAATTACTTTTATGGTTGATATATATTCTTCTAAAGCAATTCTTTTACAAATAAATACTTCATTTGAAGCTGGAATAAGCCGTTTAAAAACTGTAACCTTTTAACTGTCCAAAGAATTTCATTGAGATTTTCGCAAATTATTCAATTAAATCAATGAATTTGAGAGCTTGAAGAGACTTCCTATCATTCAGTTCAACCCCTTCCATTTGACAAATGAGAAAATGATGATGCAAAAGGTCAAATAACAAGCCCAACATCTCAATTCCAAATCCATTAACCTCTTTCCAGACAAGTGATTCCCTGACCACTTAAGAACTATTAAGTTGGAAGAGAAGAAATTTACTTTTGCCCCTTTAGAAACTTTTTATTATATAATTATCATTGGGTATGCTTATTTTCTAATGGTCCTATGGTTTTTATCCTTTTAACTTTAGCCTCTCTGGGATTAAAACCATCCTTTACTTTTAATAAATGAAAGTAAAAGCATGCAAGTGAAACTATTTGCTTTCTTCAGGATTTCCACTGATGTAAATATTTTGATAATCAGTTTCCTAAAAATGGGACTAGAGTCCCATTTAAAAAGACATTTCTGTGTCTCTTAAACAATACTGGCCAACTACTTCTCCCAAAATGTTACACCTGTATGGAAGGAAATAGCTATTAAAAATACAAATACCATTTGACCCAGCAAATCTGCTTCTAACAATGTATCCTAACCAATATATTTGCATTATGTACAAAAGAATAGATGACAATGTTTTTAAAATCGTCTATCCATACATAGGATAGATCTTAAGAATTATAAAACATACAGTGGGATACCATGCAGCTGGTCTTTAAAAAGTGACTTTAGGGATTTATTTTAAAAATTTATCCTAAGGTCATAAAAAAGATTATTTCAAGGTGTGAAATAATCTTTGTGCCAAAACAATTTACATAAACATGACTATCACTGCTTGCTACCAATGAGTCTTTTCCCAGTGGTTCTTCCATGAAATACAGACTTGTGACAACTTCCCTTTTTAGCAGGTAAGGGATATTAGCAAAGTTGTATTTGTAAATTTCTTAATCTTTTAATATATGTTAATATAAGCAAAGACTAATGCAAACACAACCCTAAGAGCTTCAGTGGGCTTTAACAAACATTTCTGAGGATTATGAGTTGGTTTTTAGCTCTTCTGGGCTCTATTCTACTGTTGTGTCACATCAGTACCCGTGACAAAGAAGTAGACGCTAAGAGATACATGGTGTTCTAACGGTGAAGAGCAGAAGTTTAAAAAGAGCTTATACAGTTTAGTTCTGCACTCCACTGAGTGTGTGCCCAGATACACAGCCAAGAGTAGTTACAGCTCACACTCAGCCTACGCACAGCATGAATAAGAAATAAACGTTGTAAAGGCTACTGCTATTTTAGGGTTGTCCATTGCCTCAGGAAAAAGCTCACTAATAGAGAAACTGACACCAGGACCAAAAACCTAAAACATGTAGTCACTTGCTTTAGGGCTGGGAGACTGGAAACCCTAATACGTTATTATACAATGGGTAAAACTGTTGGACCGCAGCAGAAATAAGAAAATATATTCAATCAACTTGTGGCTTTGGGTGAAGAAGTTTCAAAATAGAATACTGGTAGCGTGAAATGACTATCAAGGTGAATTTGATAGTGTTCAAGAAAGATGTGTTCAAAAAAGATTAGCCTATTTTCAAGTGAGGATGTAGGACTTTCAAATTGGGTGATAGCCTGGGTCAAAGACCCAATAAAGGGTATAGCTGCAATCCTTAAGAATTAAAATTGGACTTCATTAATCCTTCAGATGGACAAATGATTCCTGAGGGATGGTTTCTCACAAAAACCTATAAACTCAAAGTATCTGTTATTAAATATAAAAAGACGAGCATGTCTGAGAAAAGTCTTAACAATAATTGCATAGGAAGCTGACCAGAATTAAACACACATACAAAAGTATTACATTACCAAAAGTGACACCAGACTCCATCAAAAGAAAGTAAGTGAGATGAGGATAAGTTCCTAAAAAGGTACACTGGGCCCTCAGATCACTATGGTCCGAAAGTAGGCTGAGAAAGCTGCTCAGCTGATGAGGAGGGCAGTATTTTCCAATGACCTTTTCAGATGCAACAAAGGATGATACTGAAAAAGTAGAGAAGTTCCAGAGGAATCAGCCAAAAGCCAAGAAGACAAACGGAGTGGGAAGCATACTCCGGGGGAAAACTGGGACCTAATTAGGGAACACTAATTATATCCAAAACAGAGGGATCTCACAGTATTTTCCCAGCAGAATTTCAGATTTCCTAGGGAATAATGACTGCCAACTCACCTGTTAAGTATCCAATTTCTTAATTTCACTATAATAGTTAAAGTATGTTGTATTTTTCTGCCACTATTTTTAAAAATTGACAGGTAAAAATTCTATGTGTTTATGGTGTGCAACACAATGTTTTGATGTACGTATACACTGTGGAATGGCTAAATCAAGCTATTTACCATACCACCTCACATACATATTTTTATTTTGTGGTGAGAACCCTTAAAGTCTACTCTCTTAGTAATTTTCAAGTATATGATATATTGTTATGTGCCACTATTTTTGAAAGTAAATACAGACTGGCAGTGAAACTCTTTAAACATATTTTGGTTGAAACATACCAATTCTCTAATAGTGTTCTACAATTAGAATTTTCTATAATCAGTTCATTCAAAACAATGTAAATCTATGCTTAATAGACATACCCCACTTAAGCCTTTCAAATCTTCAAACACAATAGCCACAAAAAGTTTTTCTCCCCCTTTGTCTAAATATACTCTCTATTCCTTCTGGCAAAGATTCCCCAAAAAAGCCAAAGTAAAAAGGATCCAAGTAGAAAAGGCAGCAAGGGAAAAATGCAAAAAACCAAAAAACACGCACAATTTCCTGGATAACTGAATAGTTATTCTGAAATGCTTTAAAAATTAAATTTACATACAAAAATTATTTTAGCCCTATTTTTAAATAAAGCACCTATTCTAGAGGAGATAAAAAAAAGATTTGTAGGCTAGGCACGTGGCTCACCCCTATAATTCCAGCACTATGGAAGGATGAGGTGGGAGAATCGTTTGAGCCCAGGAGTTTGAGACCAGCCTGGGAACGATGAGACCAGTCTCATCAAAAAAAGTTAGCCAGGTGTGGTGGCACACACCTGTGGTCCCAGCTACTTGGGAGGCTAAAGTGGGAAGAGGCTCCTTGAGCCCAGGAGTTTGAGGTTACAGTGTGCGATTGCAGCACTGCACTCCAGCCTGGGCGACAGAGTGAAACCCCATCTTTAAAAAAAAAAAAAAAAAAAAAAAAATTTGTGACATTACTTCAAATATATTCTAAAATTCCTGAAACATACCATCTTGCCCAATTTCTCTATTATATATTTTATGTTGTATTATCTAAGTATCTATATAAATTGATATACCCAAGAGTCTTAATTAATGAAATGATAAATAGCCATTCCTTACCAATTTTTACTTTACAAAATTTTCCCAGTTTTTCCTGTAATTTTAAGAAAGATCAAAATAATAACAAACATCCTGTAAGAGAAAACTGATAAAATCGCAGAGATATGTGCTTGTTTAAAGTCAAATGTCTCATTTATTGCATAATTATACATTAAAAATAAACTCACATGTCACTCTCTGAAGGACAGGGCTGTTTTACCATTTTGGGTCTGCCTCTTGGTTTTGGAATCTTGACTTCTGTAGCTAATATACACATGGAAAAAAAATCAGTAACTACTAGTTTCTATTTAAGATACAAATCTCAGATATAAATATTAGAAATGATACATACTATTTAAGAATATTAGTAGCTTATTACAGATACAATTATTGCTAAATTGAAAAAATAATACCTCCCCCACCATGGTTAAAATGAGCAACAACAAAAAATTTATAAAGAGGTAAACAGAGTAATCCTCAATTTGTCCTTATTATGACTGAGAGGGCTTAAAACATTTTTCACTATCGTTTTAACAGTAATGTCACAAAATTCAACTTTTAGAATAGGAAACAGCACTTATATTTAATATTCATATACATATTATATTACTTATGCAGTTACATATCTTTGGAAGTTCATATCAAAATTCACTGAGTTTCCCTAGCACTATTAATTTTATCCACTGCAATATTAAACTCCAAAATATATAAATAAAAATCTTTTTTCTTTTCTGGGTATTACTCATCTTACCCCCCATTTTCAGTAAGAATCCTATTAAAAAGTAGAAAAAAAATTCACTCAATTTTGGTTTTGTTTTACGAAGATTTTTCCAAAATATTTCCAATTTGCCAAATTAAGAAAATACTTTTAAATAGGCAATGCTGAAGAGAGCTGCAAACTGTAAAAATCAAAATCCCTATCAATAAAGAACGCACAAATTTAAAATATTAATGACTTTAATCAAATGCTATTTCTCATTCTCTGATTATAACTCCATTTTGAAATCTTACGACTCTTAAGTGAAAGGTAAAATAAACCCATTATTCATGATAATTTTAACCTCCCCACAGCCTCTCTTACCACTATTTAGGGAAAACATAACAGAGATAAAGCAAAGTTTATTTCAAATTTAAATACTTTGAAACAGAGCACAAATCATGTTTATCTCCTTTGAAATCTGTATGTTACACATAATCAATTGCCTATTTGCTTCATTCCAAAATATTTGAGGCAGCAACACTTTAAATGGACTGGAATATTAATCACAAGCCAAACAGATATTTAAACATCAGTAATCCTACCTGCAGGTCGTCCTCTTTTAGGACTCACTTTTAGATTAACAGATGCTGTTGCTGTTGTCACTACTCCTGCCTCCTCAGTTTCTACTTGTTTTTCTGCCTGAATTACAAAAATTTAATTAACTTATTTAGCAAATAGTAGGCACTCAAAGTTTAATTCGATGGCAAAAATATGCCAGTCTATGGTAACGTTGAGTTCAAGTATAGATATAACCTCTATATGATCTTTTGTTTTTTCAACAATCAACTCAAGAGTAACATCTTCAAACTTAGTTTATAACTCTAGTGAACAACTCTTAAAAAAAACAAAAAATTTCTTAGAAATGAAGTCATTTGTAAAAATAAAGCTAATATTCTTGATGCGATATGGAGAACAAAGTATGTGATTACACTGCAACTAACACAATGTTATTTCTAATTCTTCGTTCATACAGACACATTTTATTTCTAAACTGAGACTGTTACCTAACAGTTCTCCTTTAGGAGTTATTCTTATTTCCCGTAAGAAAGGATTTACTACAACAGAGAGTAAGGAATCCACTGACCATTTGCAAACTCTAATGCCCTTTGATAACTGCTAGTATGATTCTCCTGGAGAGAATGGCCCCAAATGAGAATCAGTATTATTGATTTAAGCATTAGAATGGAACAAAGGTTAAGAACACAAATTAGAAACAAAATGTAAACATGAGGCAGCAGTTGGTACTGATCATAACTGCAAAAGGAGGAAAGAGAAAGACCAAAGGAGGAGATGGGCTCCTTCCCCAACTCCCCCAACTATTTAGAATTCAGCATTAACTGTATCACTAAAGATAAAAACAAGAAGGCATTCAAAAACATGCATAATCCAATCTCATTGATTAAAAAAATTAAAAATTGCCTTTTCATCAATGATTTGTAAACATAATGCCCAGTGTTGATAAGCATGTGGAGAATCATTCATACATTGACTACCAATGATCAATAAGCTGGTATCAATAAACTGATACTTTATGAAAGCACATAATTATGAATGAGTATTGGCAATATAGAATGTGCAAATCTCTATATAGGGCTGGACACAGTGGCTCACGCCTGTAATCCCAGCATTTTGGGAGGCCAAGGTGAGTGGATCACTTGAGGTTAGAAGTTCATGACCAGCCTGGCCAACACGATGAAACCCTTTCTCTACTAAAAACAAAAGATTAGCCAGGCTTGTGGCGCACACCTATAATCCCAGCTACATAGGAAACTGAGGCAGGAGAATTGCTGGAACTCAGGGGGCAGAGGTTGCAGTGAACTGAAATTCATGCCACTGCATTCCAGCCTGGGCGACAGAGCAAGACTGTCTCAAAAAAACAAAACAAAACAAAAAACCTTTATATGGCAATTCCACTTCTACGAATGTATCCATTTCTTTATTAGTTTTTTAAACATTTCTTTAAATAACTGAAACATAATGAAGCATATTAAAAGTATTATTAAAACTCATCTAAGGTAACCCTTGAGTTGTTCTCAGAGAACACTGAAAATTCCTCCCTGAACATTATTAGCTCAGGTTTTATTTCTAGAATTTTAAGAACTTACAAAGTTGCCCTGCCCCAATCCTGATTCAATAGCTCTGAGTCAGGGAACCAGGATTCTGTGTTTTTATAAAGCTCCCCAGGTAACAAAGCTTAAGAACTCAAGACTGAGAGCTCTTTTCCTACTGAGGAGTTAAGAGGGCATAATTTGTCTAAAATTCAGTTATAACTGGTCAATTCTTTGGTGCAAAGAAGACTCTCTCCACTTACACTTTCTGCTTTTGGAAATAAATCAAAACACTGAATAAGAATTATAGGTAGGGTTGGGTGCAGTGGCCCATGCCTGTAATTCCCACTCAGCGCTTTGGGAGGCTGGGGCTAGCAGATCACGAGGTCAGGAGTTCGAGACCAGCCTGGCCAACATGGTGAAACCCCATCTCTATTAAAAATACAAAAATAAGTCAGGCACCTGTAATCCCAGCCACTCAAGAGGCTAAGGCAGGAGAATCACTTGAACCCAGGAGGCAGAGATTGCAGTGAGCTGACATCCTGCTACCACACTCCAGCCTGGGCAACAGAGCAAGACTCCGTCTCAAAAAAAACAAAGAATTATAGGTAAAAGAGATGGTTTTTAAGGAGGTACCAATAAGTGTAACAAGTTCATCAATAATAATTAAAACTATATTAACACTAATACTAAGAGATCAGCCCTACCATGCACGTGTGTTCATGACTATTATGGCAAAATCATGCAAGTCAGAACCATTCCTCATGAAAATAAAATCAAAGAATAATAAATATTTTATCTAAAGAAAGGACCAATGAAGTTATACGAAACATATATATTTAAAACTTTTCCACTCTTAGGATATGCTTAAATATTTAAACATCTTAAATGCTAATATCTTAAACTACTGACTACAGATTTATTTCTTCCATATTTTACTTGCTCTGAGACATCTAACCCTCATTTTCTCTTCATTTTTTACCCCTTTCTAGCTCTACCAGCTTCCTTGATCTTAACTAAAAACACACCACTTCACACACACACAAAAACCTCATGGGATTACTATTCAAATGTATTCATAAGTCCTCCACATCCTTGTTTTGCTGTATCTGTCCCACAAATCCTCAAGAGAGGTTACTATACAATTCTACCTTCTCTGTTCTATTATTCCCAGCTGCTGAAGCCTGCTGGGAAAAAAAAAATGTACAAACATGCATTCATTTTATGCAATCTCAGTTGAGATCTCAAAGTCACTTTACCCTATCTGATCAGGCCTCCTCCTCCCACCAACAGCTGCATAATTTACTCAATCTATTCTTCCCGACTTGTACCACATCCAAAGTCTTGCTTTGATGTGGATGGGGCAGAAGGGAGTAAGGGCTGTAGAAAGGAATTCCCTTAATTTCCTAGTGTCCCAAGAAATTTTCAGAGCCTCCTCCATCCCTCCCCTTCAGTGTTAAGAGACTGAAACATCCATCTCCTCCTTGTTAAGTCAGTTCCTTCAAATGTCCCCTCCATTCTCTCATCCAACATGTATTTACATAAAATAATTTATACTGACTCCACATCTTTGATCTTTCCTAATTTTGCAGAGAAAAAGTGTTAAGGCATTTACTGTCTTTTGTCATTTTAACACTTTCCCTTAGCTATGAAAATCCCTATTATGTTGCCACATTCTCCTTGCCTTCAAAGATTTAAAAAGCACAGTGTAACTTTACCATTAACATTTATTCTCTAACCCCTTAATCTAGTTTCTGTCCTTACCATTCAACTAAATGGAGTTCACCTGAAAGTATCCTAGAGCAGCCTATGTGGCAAGTATCTTACTGGTACCCTCTCTAAATCAGGACATTACTGACCACTTCTTCATTCTGGACATTCCCCCTTCCCTTGTTTAGCTTGATACCCTCTTAGATTTTCTCTTGACAGTTCATTCTCAGCCATAATTTCACAGAGCAACCTTTCCCCCTCTCCATTATATTCCTTCAGGATTCTGGTTTCTGCATCCTCTCAATAAACCGTTCTCCTTTGACCTCATCTATTACCCTATCTTCATGCCAGAGACTGCATCTGTAACTTACATCTTCTCCCTCTTTGGTGCCAGAACAATATATATATCTCTTCACTCCAGTTCCCACAGGTGCTTCACCTTCCCCTTACTCATGCCTATGATTCCAAACCAACATCCTCTGCACTCCCAATAACTAGCTTATTCAAGTAAAGACCTTAGAGCCACCTTAGATTCTAGTTCCCTCCCCCGCCCCCTTTACCATCCACTTCTCATCAACCATCAACTTAACCTCTTAAAGTGCTCTTAAATCCCATCTCTCGTCTACACCACTTAAAAAATCTATAAGATCCTTGTCCTTCCAGTCTCATGCCAACTCCTTAGAAAGGCCTTTTGTAGCCTAGTCTGTTGCCAACTCATTAACTCCCCATTTAAACCCTCTTATTTTAAATATTTATTTTTTGTCTAAAAAAAAATGTAAGTTCAATGGAAACAAAGACCTTGTCTTCTTTACTGACTACTCAAATCCATGCCAAGTCCAGTAAAGTTAGTACTAAAATTCTGAATGAATTTTACAGTGAACTGGTCTCACTGCCCCAATCCAATCCCCATCGTTCACACTGCTTTAAAAAAATGACGCATTCTTTGGGAGGCTAAGGAAGGCGGATCACAAGGTGAGGAGTTCAAGACCTGGCTGACCAACATAGTGAAACCCTGTCTTTACTAAATATACAAAAAATTAGCTGGGTATGGTGGCGGATGCCTGTAATCCCAGCACTTTGGGAGGCAGAGGTGAGCAGATCACTTGAGGCCAGGAGTTTGAGACCAGCCTGGCCACCATGGTGAAACCCCATCTCTACTAAAAATACAAAAATTAGCCAGGCGTGGTGGTGCACGTCTGTAATCCCAGCTACTCAGGAGGCTGAGTGAGGCAGGAGAATCGCTTGAACCCGGGAGGTGGAGGTTGCAGTGAGCTAAGATCATGCCACTGCACTCCAGTCTGGGTGACAGAATGAAACTCTGTATCCAAAAAAAAAAAAAAACAAATTTATATTTAAAAAAAAAAAGAAAAAAGAGGCATCAAGTTGTGTACAGAGGCTCACATCTGCAATCCTAGTGCTTTGGGAGGATCACCGAGGCTGGGAGTTAGAGATCAGCCTAGGCAACATAGCAAAACCCCATGTCTATCAAAAAAAAAAATATATATATATAGGCCAGGCCCGGTGGCTCACACCTGTAATCCCAGAGCTTCAGGAGGCTGAGATGGGCAGATCACCTGAGGTCAGGAGTTCGAGATAAGCCTGGCCAACATGGTGAGACCCCATCTCTACTAAAAATACAAAAATTAGCTGGGCGTGGTGGCTCACACCAGCACTTTGGGAGGCCGAGGTGGGTGGATCACTTGAGGCCAGGAGTTCAAGACCAGCCTGGCCAACATGGTAAAACCTCATCTCTCCTAAAAATACAAAAAAATTAGGTGTGCATGGTGGTGTGCACCCGTAATCCCAGCTAATCGGGGGGCTGAGGCAGGAGAATCACGTGAACCTGGGAGGTGAAGGTTGCAGTGAGCCGAGATGGCGCCACTGCACTTCAGCTGGGGCAACAGTGTGAGAATCCGTCTCAAAACAAAAACAAAAACAAAACAAAAAAATACAAAAATTAGCTGGGCATGGTGGTGCATGCCTGTAATCCCAGCTACTTGGGAGGCCGAGGCAAGAGAATTGTTTGAATTCGGGAGGTGGAGGTTGCAGTGAGCCAAGATCGCACCACTTCACACCAACCTGGATGACAGAGCGAGATCCGTCTCAAAAAAAAAAAAAAAAAAAAAAATTAGCCGGGTATGGTGGCACACTTCTACAGTCCCAGCTATTAGGGAGGGTAAGATGGGAAAATCCCTTGAGCCCACAAGTTTCAGGTTGCAGTGAGGCATGATTGTGCCACTGCACTACTCTAGCCTATGTGACAGCATGAGACCCCATCTCTTAAAAAAATTTTTTAAAAGGAGGTATCTAAAATTTAAAATAATTCAATCATTTCCCATCACTTCTGTAAGTTCCAAGGTCTTTAGGACAACATCAGGTTTTTTTGGTACCCATTTCCCTCAGACTTTATGGTGTGTTAATAATGAAATACAATACTCAAGATGCTTGAGTAGGAATTTCCTCTATGTGAAATGGCTTCATGTGTCCTTCCCTGCTCCTTCATCCGCCTGACAAAATTCTGCCTGTATTTTAAAATCTTGTTATCACACCACTTCCAACCCATACTGCACAACAAATAAGCCACTGTAATTATTTATTTTCATAGTTTACCTCCTCATGAGATACTGAACTTTTGGTTTTCTTTGCATCTTTGGTATATGATAATAATTTGAGACATAAATAGGTCAGAAAAGGGTGTGAACAAAACTTCGTATATGGAAGGAAAATTTCATATTAATTAAAAGCCTACTATGTACCTAACCTTGCACTGTCACTCACACTCATTTCTCACAACGTGAAGTAACAACAACAACAACATAATGGACAACACTTATATAACACTTA
Organism: Homo sapiens; assembly: GCF_000001405.40. NCBI lineage: Eukaryota > Metazoa > Chordata > Mammalia > Primates > Hominidae > Homo > Homo sapiens. The sequence goes on from NC_000009.12 coordinate 15,485,651, forward strand.
CTAGTGTTTAGGTATCAGGATTTAGCATAAACATTTCACATATGTTAAATCATTTAATCCTCCACAACCTTGGAGTATATATTTCTACCCAATTTAGAGAAAACTGAGGCACAGTCATTAAAATGAATGAAAACTGGTGTATTTTATTTCCTTTACCACTCAAGTTACTTTAAGGGTGCTATATCACTAAGAAAGAAACACAGATAGTTTTGCCAAGTAAAACATAACCCATAAAAAATTAAAGGGTTTAGAATAAAAGCTGAAATTTAAGGTTTCATTGTATCTACTCTCCCTCAACCCAATTAAAATAAAAATTCTTTTCAGATCCCCATGGTTGGTAAGTCAGTGAAATTACCTTTCTCTTTCTCCCCCTTCTGGCAGCTTTTGGAGTAGTTATGTCAACTGCTTTAGTCACATCCTAAAAAAGAAAAAAGAAAACTGAATACTGAATAAATTATTCCAGGAATGAAAGAAACCTTGTTAAACTAAAAGTTACAAGCACGTTTAACTGAAAGCATTGGGGAAATCTGTTTTGCTCTGTAGAGTTCTGAAATTAAAAACATTGTGTCTCAACATTATAAAGTGAGAAAAATGCATTTCCACTGTCAGATCAAATGTAAGTCATGGTTGCTGGTACACCAGGAAGTCTGTCTATTTAAATTTATAAAACTACTTTTTCTACACTAGAATTCTGAATTATAGGGGTGGATAAATTTGAATTGTGAATTTTAAAGGGTGGCTGGGACATTGAAGATCATCTAACAACCATTTCATTAGGCCTGGAAGGGCTAAATGAGTCATCTTTACACACAGATCATATACAGTTGGACATCAACCTAGGTTTTAAAAAATTTAGTCTAATGCTGTTTCCAGTACATCCATCCTACAACACTTCTCTTTAAAAAAAATCCTTAACACTACCGCACCCTACAGTTGGACTTCATGTTTTACATATAAAAATAACTTCAAATAATAACAGGTATGCATCTTAAAGATGCATAAGTTGTTTGACAATACTGTATTTAATATTTACACAAGGAAATAAGCCTTAAATATTTTCTAATTCACTTTTGAAGTACTTTAAAAATTACTTACTAATTAATCATGGCCAACTCATTTCATTATTTCTTCCTTGAAACAAAATGGGTTTAAAATGTTAGGAGAAATAGAACATACCTCATTGCTGGCTTTTTCTTCATGGTCGGTATCTTCCTTTGAAACACTAGTTTCCTTTTCTTCAACTTCAACATCAGATGATGCATTTGATTGTTTAGTTGCTGCCTGTGAGCAATCAACTCTATTAATTTCAAAAAATAAGTTTTTATCCCAATAATATATACAATTCTTTATTTTTATTTTTTTTTTAGAGACAGGGTCTCACTCTATCACCCAGGCTGGAGGCAGTGGCGCAATTATGGTTCACTGAAGCCTCAATTCCTGGGCTCAAGGCATCCTCCCTCCTCAGCCTGAGCCCAGGAGGTCGAGGCTGTAGTGAACCATGATTGCACCACTGTACCCCAGCCTGGGCAACGCAGTCTCAAATAATAAAAATTAAAAAAAACTCCAAGATTATATGGTGACAAGGCTTGGCAATTTGGAGGATAAAAAAGACCATAAAGGTGCAATCACAGGACAAATGATCCAAGAGAAATTACAAAACGTAGTTGGGCACTGTGGCTCACACCTGTAATCCCAGCACTTTGGGAGGCTGAGGCAGGCAGATCACTTGAAGTCGGGCGTTCAAGACCAGCCTGGCTAATATGGTGAAACCCCATCTCTACCAAAAATACAAAAATTAGCCAGGCATGGTGGCACGCGCCTGTAATCCCAGCTACTCGGGAGGCTGAGGCACGAGTATAACTTAAAACCCAGGAGGCAGAGGTTGCAGCGAGACAAGATCAAAATTGCACCACTGCACTCCAACCTGGGCGACAGAGCAAGATGCTGTCTCCAAAAAAACAACAACAAAAAAGAAATTACAAGACGTTAAGTTTCAGATAACAATCAATTCTGTCTCTTTAGACAGATGTCTTCCCATCACACAGTCAAGGCAATAATGATAAGAAACCATGTAGCCATTCAACAAATATTTAGTGATTAGCTATTCTTCTCACACGTGTACATGCTGGGCACACAGGACATAAACCTTTGTTCACAGAGGCAACATAATATTCTGTAGCAGGTACAGACAAGTACAGAAACAATTATGATATGGTTCGATGAATCCATTAACAAGTAAGTACTGGGAAGTAATAAAGTCACTAATCATTTAATGTGGCCTTGGAGCAGCAATGAAAGATTTATATGTTCCAGATAGAACAGTATCTAAAAAGTTCTCCAAGGTAAAGCATGGCACATGTGAAGAAATAAAATTTATCGGTTTAAAAGTAAAAAGCTAGGCCGGGCACAGTGACTTATGCCTGTAATCCCAGCACTTTGGGAGGCTGAGGTGGGTGGATCACGAGGTCAGGAGTTCAAGACTGGCCTGGCCAAGATGGTGAAACCCCATCTCTACTAAAAATACAAAAATTACCCAGGCACGGTGGCAAAGCGCACACGTAATCCCAGCTACTCAGGAGGCTGAGGCAGGAGAATTGCTTGACCTGGGGGGCAGAGGCTTCAGTGAGCCGAGATCACGCCACTGCACTCCAGCCGGGGTGACAGAGTGAGACTCCATCTCAACAACAACAACAAAAAAAAGAGTAAAAAGCTGCAGAATTTCCACTTTGTTGCTACCTCGCTTCTTTAGATTTACTCGTGCTCTTCCTAGTTTTTGGACCTCAGGTCTTAAACAGAGGACGTTTATTGATGAAAGAGAAACTGTCCCAATTATCTTCATAAAGACCTCTCATAGCCCTCTGATCCTATTATAAAGCCATCTGTTTATTTTAAATCGTAAGAGTTCTGGAACATTCATTTGGGAATATATGCAACAATTCAAGAGTGCAATCGACAATATAAAAAATTTTTCTAAGCCTATAATCCCAGCACTTTGGGAAGCCGAGGTGGGCAGATCACAAGGTCAGAAGATTGAGACCATCCTGGCTAACAAGGTGAAACCCCGTCTCTACTAAAAATACAAAAAATTAGGCTGGACACAGTGGCTCAGGCCTGTAATCCCAACACTCTGGGGGGCCGAGGCGGGCGGATCACAAGGTCAGGAGATCGAGACCATCCTGGCTAACACGGTGAAACCCCGTCTCTACTAAAAATACAAAAAATTAGCCGGGTGTGGTGGCGGGCACCTGTAGTCCCAGCTACTCGGAAGGCTGAGGCAGGAGAATGGTGTGAACCCGGGAGGCGGAGCTTACAGTGAGCCAAGATAGAGCCAATGCACCCCAGCCTGGGCGACAGAGCGAGACTCCTCTCAAAAAAAATAAATTTTTTCTAAATCACATCAATACCAACACAAAGGAGAAGTAAGAGAACCAGTGTTTTCTGTAGGATAAAAACAATACAAATTGGATAAAGGCAAACCACTCCATGAAAATTTACTATAACATATAAATTAATAAAAGCTCTGGACCCATGGGAAAAACCACAGAAAAGAAGGTATAAGGTGGCTGCTGACACCAATAAATATAATTTGCATAGTGCTGTAAGTACATTTGTCACATACCAATTTAACTCATGAGGTTCATATTCCAATACAATTCTATGGATTTAGAAATTAAAGGCTGCGCGCAATGGCTCTCATCTGTAATCCCAGCATTTTGGGAGGCTGAGGTGGGTGGATCACCTGAAGTCAGGAGTTTGAGATCAGTCTGGCCAACATGACAAAACCCTGTCTCTAGTAAAAATACAAAAAGTTAGCCAGGCGTGGTGGCGGGCACCTGTAACCCAGCTACTTGGGAGGCTGAGGCAGGACAATCACTTGAACCCGGGAGGCATAAGTTGCAGTGAGCCAAGATTGCACCATTGCACTCCAGCCTGGGCAACAAGAGCGAAACTACACCTCAAAAAAAAAAAAAAAAAAAAGAAATTTAATTAATTAATTAAAGAGAATAAGAAAACTTAGGCATACACCATGTAAGTCGCAAAACCTAAATTTAGAACAGTACATACAGCTTTATATTCAATGACGTATTAAACCCTCTATCAGGAGTTAAATAACTGAATAGTTCCCAGTTTCTTGAGATCTGTTTAACTACATAAAATAATGATTTTGTCAATTCATTTTGATATAAAATGCCCAAGGTTCAACCTCACAAATAAGAACACAACAAACTAGTATGAAATTCCCAAGGCTTTTAGTATTTACTTTCCTACAGCTAGGATAGTGATTATTCCCCAGGATTAAATAAGTAATATCAAATTTTATGTAATATGACTTACCTGTTGACTTGAAAATTTCACTTTTGGATTGTTATCTATCTCCCATAAACCTTCATTAAAACCTTTTCTTTTATTTGGTTTGCCATACTTTTCCTTATTTTCTGAGTAAGGAAATATATCCTTTGGTCCTAAAAAAGCACTAAAAAAGAAGTGGGGAAGATGTGAGTGCAAAGCAAGCTCAAATACATAATTTATTAGATAAGACACCCTATTACACAATTATCAAAAATACAGAACCTAAACTGCATTACAAATCTTAAATAAGTTAAAGGGCAATTAATAATTCCAAATACTTTTATTAAATTCAGTAACAAGCTACTATTTAAATCCATAATCCTATTAAGTAAAACCACAGACGTTGCACAATGTGAATGTACTTAACACTGCTGAACTATACACTTAAAAATGGTTACATCGCCATGCGTGGTGCCTTACGCCTGTAATCTCACCACTTTGGGAAGCTGAGGCGGGTGGATCACTTGAGGTCAGGAGTTTGAGACCAGCCTGGCCAACATGGTGAAACCCCATCTCTACTAAAAATACAAAAATTAGCCGGGCGTGGTGGCGTGCACCTGTAGTCCCAGCTACTTGAGAGGATGAGGCAGGAGAATCGCTTGAACCCGGGAGGCGGAGGTTGCAGTGAGCTGTGATCACGCCACTGCACTCCAGCCTGGGTGACAGAGTGAGACTCTGTCTCAAAAAAAAAAAAAAAAAAAAAAAGGTTAATTCAATAAATTTGGGTTTTTTTAAACTACAAACTTTGACACATTAGCATTAATCAACACATTTAACTGCACCCCAAATATAGTTTCACTTCAAAATAACTTCGTATATTATACAACTCACAAAACTATCGTGTTTTTAAAATAATCAGTGAGTATGTTAAGAATTTTATTTTACTGAATGAGGGAATCAGACATATTATAACCCATTCATTCATATATGTACTATCAATTTTTGCTATCTGTGGTAGTAATGTTCTATAAAGTCACTGTGAAAACTGAATTAGCAAATACACAACCATTGCTCCTAGGGGAAATACAGGGTTAGGTTCCTGTAATCACAAGGTTTTCATGAACCAATCAATACATAAATTCATTTTATGTGTGTTTCTGTTTAAAGACACCTTATTTAATACAGACTGCTAACTCATTAACACTGAACTCATAGCCAACAGCGTATGTAACATGCGCTTTCTCTGTAAAGCACATTATAACCTTCTCGCACTTAGCAACATGAAAGAACACTTTAGCATTATGCTTGGGAGCTAGTTTAAATAGCAAAATGACCAACAAAAGCAAAAAAATGCATGGCAATAAACAGACTGCAAAAAAGATACTTGCTTACAGTATGAGTGCTGAAAAAAGAAGGCAAGCATTCCCTTGTACAACCTCAGCTAAGAATGTGTTGTATCAGGAGACTCAAGTCTTTCCACTACTCAGTGCATGTTTGTGAATGACCTGTACAACAAGTACTACTGATCTGGGCTTACAAATAATTTTGGTGAGTAGGTACATTCGCAAATATGGAATCCACAAATAACGAGCCTCAACTGTTTGCATATGTGTGTACATATATACACAGATAGTTCTTAATTTACTAGGAGGTTATGTCCCAATAAGTCCACTGTAAATCTAAAATATCTGAAGTCAGAAATCCATTTAAGTAACCATGAAAAACCCACTCTAAAGTCAAAAAATCTAAGTTGAACCACTATAGGTGTGTTAGTCCATTCTCACGCTGCTATGAAGAAATACCAGAGACTGGGTAATTTATAAAGAAAAGAAGTTTAATTGACTCACAGTTCCACACGGCTGGGGAGGCCCCAAGAAACTTACAATCATGGCAGAAGGCACCTCTTCACAGGGCCACAGGAGAGAATGCATGCAAGCAGGGAAAATGCCAGACGCTTATGAAACCATCAGGTCTCATGAAACTCACTATCACAAGAACAACATGGGGGAAACCACCTCCATCATTCAATTACCTCCACCTGGTTCCGCCCTTAACACCTGGGGATTATTAGAATTCAAGGTGAGATTTGTGAGGGGACACAGAGCCAAACCATATCATTCTGCCCCTGCCCCCTCTCTCAAATCTCATGTCCTCACATTTCAAAACACAACCATGCCCTTCCAACAGTCCCCATCCCCCAAAGTCTTAACTCATTCCAGCATTAACTCAAAAGTCCAAGTCCAAAGTCTCATCTGAGGCAAGGCAAGTCTCTTCCACCTAGGAGCCTGTAAAATCAAAAGCAAGTTAAGTTACTTCCTAGATACAATGGGGGGACAGGCATTGGCTAAATACACCCATCCCAAATGGGAGAAACTGACTAAAACAAAGGGGCTACAGGCCCCATGCCAAGTCTGAAATCTAATAGGGGCAGTCAAGTTCCAAAATGATCTCCTTTGACTGCATGTCTCAAATTCAGATCATGCAAATGCAAGAGGTGAGCTCCCACAGCCTTAAAAAGCTCTGCCCCTATGGTTTTGCATGGTACACAACCCGCCTCAGGCTGGTGTTGAATGTCTGCAGCTTTTCCAGGTGCATGGTGCAAGCTGTCGGTGGATCTACCATTCTGGGGTCTGGAGGATGGTGGCCTTCTTCTCACAGCCAGTGCCCCAGTGCGGACTCGGTGTCGGGGATGCAACCCCACATTTCCCTTCCACACAGTCCTAGCACAGGTTCTCCACGAAGTCTTCGTCCCTGCAGCAGACTTCTACCTGGACATCCAGGCATTTCCACATGTCTTCTGAAATCTAGGCAGAGTTTCCCAAACCTCAATTCTTGTCTTCTGCACATCCGCAGACCCAACACCATGTGGAAGCTGCCAAGGCTTGGGGCTTGCACCCTCTGAAACAACAGCCTCAGCTATACCTTGGTCCCTTTTAGCCAAGACTGGAGCAGCTGGGACACAGGGCACCAAGTCCCAACGCTGCACGCAGCAGGAAGGCCCGGGACCCAGGCCAGGAAACCATTTTTCCCTCCTAGGCCTCTCGTCCTATGATGAGAGGGGCTGCCAGGAAGGTCACTGGTATGCCTTGGAGGTGTTTTCCCCATTGTCTTGGTGATTAGTGTTTGGCAGCCTGCTTGAATTTCTCCCTAGAAAATGGGTTTTTCTTTTCTACTGCATCATCGGGCTGCAAATTTTCCTTTTATGCTCTGTCACTTCCTAAATGCCTTGCTGCTTAGAAATTTCTTCTGCCAGATACCCTAAATCATCTCTCTCAAGTTCAGAGTTCCACAGATCTCTAGGGCAGGGGCAAAAAGCCACCAGTCTCCCTGCTAGAGCAGAGCAAGAGTGATCTTTACTCCAGTTCCCAACACGCTCCTCATCTCCATCTGAGACCACCTCAGCCTGGAGTTCATTGGCCATATCATTATCAGCATTTGGGTCAAAGCCATTCAACAAGTCTCTAGAAGTTCTCAACTTTCCCACATTTTCCTGTCTTCTTGTGAGCCCTCCAAACTGTTCCAACCTCTGCCTGTTACCCAGTTCCAAAGTCGCTTCCACGTTTTCAGGTATCTTTACAGCATCACCCCACTTTCTGGTACCAATTTACCATATTAGTCAGTTCTCACACTGCTATGAGGAAATACCCAAGACTGGATAGTTTATAAAGAAAAGAGGTTTAATTGACTCAAAGTTCCGCATGGCTGGGGAGGCCTCAGGAAACTTACAATCACGGCAGAAGGTACCTCTTCACAGGGACCCAGGAGAGGGAATGAGCGCAAGCAGGGGAAATGCCAGACACTTATGAAACCATCAGATCTCATGAGACTCACTATCACCATAACAGCATTTGGGAAATTGCCCCAATCATTCAATTACCTCTACCTGGTCCTGCCCTTGATGTGTGGGGATTATTACAATTCGAGGTGTAATTTGGGTGGGGACACAGAGCCAAACCATATCAGTAGGTCAGGGACCATCTGTACATATATATTTAGATACATTATCCAGGATGGACCCTGTACATCTCCTCCCCACATCAGTGAGTCATATAAGTCTGTCAGTTCTATAAAGCTAGACGTAAGTATGTTGATAATTTTACTATGACAGCTGATATACATATACTCCCCAAAGCAACAGGAAAATGGAACTGATACTTATTTCCTCTAAAATGTACTAAATTTTAAAATTATTACTATCATTAGATACATATCATAAATTCCTGATCTGCTAAAATTCTTTAAGAATTAGGGAACTAATGAGTACAGTTAATATTCTAGTTAGAATTTTAAAAAGGCTCTAAAATAAAATTTCAATTAAAAGACTTAAGAGTTCTATTTAAATATGGCTGGGCGTGGTGGCTCATGCCTATAATCCCAGCACTTGGGAGGCCTAGCAGGGCAGATCACCTGAGGTCAGGCGTTTGAAACCAGCCTGGCCAATGTGGCAAAATGCCGTCTCTACTAAAAATACAAAATTAGCCAGGCGTGGTGGCACACACCTGTAATCCCAGCTACTTGGGAGGCTGAGGCAATAGAATCGCTTGAACCCGGGAGGCGGAGGTTGTGGTGAGCCAAGATCACACCATTGCACTCCAGCCTGGGCAACAAGAGCAAAACTGCATCTCAAAAAAAAAAAAAAAAAAAAAAAAAAAATACACACACACACATATATAAAAAATCAGGGTATATAAAAGTCAGCTTTATTATTTAAATTCTGTAACATTCATTGTATCCATGTATTTTAACTGCACATCCCATTTTCAAAGTAATATTATTATGCTAGGATTAAGGCAAACCAATAATTTACCAAATTTACTTTGGAGTTAAACTGAAATCATCTCATTCCATCAAAAACTGAAGATTTTACTAGACATCATTAATTCCTGTCCATAATCTCAAATTAGAAAAATTAACACATTTAGCTCTAACAGTATAACATTCCTCTTATGTAACAGGTTTCAAATTCCAAGTAAATGACTTGAGTTAAACCTCCATGAAAACGTATTTCTGGTCAGAACAAACCCAATTCAACACAAATTCTCCCTCCTGAAAAACCAGAAAAACAACAGTAAAGAGATTATTTTAAAAGTATAAACTCTTAAAACCAAACAAGGCAAAAATAAAATTTGGAAGCTAAAAAGACAACTAAAGAAGTTGAATCTTAAGCACCCTCATTTACAATTTAAAATCCCCAAAGGGCTCAAAATTGGGGTGACCAGGAACTTCAGGAGTAGGAAAAGACCTCAAAAATAATTACAGGAAAATGTTTTAAAACCTCAAATATTTATTTTTTTTTAAAGATATGGCTCTAAGTCTAAAAGCCACAGAAGACTGATCTACCACAAAGTTACTGTATAAAAGATAAATTTTTTTACATGAATCATTTTTCTTAACCTCAAAAAAAGCAGTTCTTAAAAAGGACCATGCAAGGCAATCTTAATAATCAATGGGAAAAGTTACGATTGTTCTGTGACCTTTAAAATTTGTCAGAATATTAAGTAGTCTATTACTGACGGTTATGTAAATGCATAAGGAAATGAAATAGTAAAACCAATACCAACTTAGTATGCTGTAACTTAAAACATTAGGAACACTGATATTAAAGTGTATCATTTCTTTGTATTAAAAAAAATCTATCAAGAATAGTTTGAACAGTGCTTGCCTTCTTCTAGTGATATTTATTATGATATGGAATGCGTCTATCTTCTATGCCTTGGCAAACTGTCATACTCCTAAGTTTAGATCACATTCCAATATTTTATCCTTCATGCTTTCAATGATGTGAAATATCCTCAATGTTTTTTGTTGGTATCACTTCTATTAATAGGATATCTTCATATTTTCCATTACAACTACCTTTTTCATTTATGTTGATAAGCTTGCCTTCACTAAGTTTCTCTGGCTGGACAATTAGTGTCTCTCCAACTGCAAACCATCTATATTCACAAGGTAAGCTATTTATTCTATTATTCCATTTATGTTAAATTCAAATTTCCCATCTAGCATTAGGATTTTTGCTGCACTATCATCTTTGTTGACCAATTTCCTTGTTTATTTTGGTAAACTGTCACATGGGGACATCATTAGGAGACAGAGGCCAACTATACATCCGACTGTGCATGATTTTGAGAAACCAATGCATGGTGACCAATCACCAAGAAGCTTTAAAAGTGACATTATATGCACCTGTCATTTACATCTTAATTTGTAGGTTGAAAGACTAGCAGCAAATGTTGTAGTTTATACAATTAGTTAATATGGCAGGGTAGGTGAAATTTTAACCATGTTGTTAGTGGACTGTTACTTAGCTAAGTCATGGCAATTGAAATTTGTGCCTACAGGAACTATGTAAAGCTAAGGACTGCCTATATATACCCTTCTCTCTTCAAGCTTTGAGTTTAAATTCCACTTTTAACAGACAGCAGTATTGCCATTCCTGCTTTCTTTGTGACATTGTATCATTGCTTGCTCTTGTTTTGTTTGAGCTTTGTCTCACAAAATAAGACATAGCAAAGTGGTTTATTAAAACAGAAAGTCTTAACAGAACTATATTCATTCATAAAATGTAATGTTTACATTTAGTTTTATTCACACCACCTCATTTTACGTGTACCTTTTCACTACAATTGTTTTTTATTCTTAACTTTGCTAAGTAGGTTTTTAAAAAAATTCACCCCTTGCTCCTACTCCCAGATTCAGATTTACAAGTTGTACCTTTCATTATTAACCATAATGGTTCAACTGATGTCATACATAAATTCACGTATCTTAATATACCAAAAATTAAATAACTATGTTCTTCCAACTGAAAAGACTTTTACAAATGTAAATTCATGTTAAGTACAGAAGATTTTTAAATTCGCACACTTTTTTTTAGTTCACATAATTCAACATCATTAAGTTATCCAGGAAATGTAAATCAAAAATCACAATATACTACCGTCACTCCCACTCAGACGGCCAAAAAATAACAAATAATAACAAGTGTTGGCAAGGATGTGGAGAAATTGGAACCCTCCTACAATTGCTGGTGGGAATGTTAAACGGTGCAGCTGATTTGGCAAGTCTGAGAGTTTTCTCAAAACGTTAAACGTGAAATTACATCTGACCCAGGAATTTTCTCCTAGAGAAATGAAAACTTATGTTCACAAAAAAACTTGGACACAAATGTTCACAGCATTATTCATAAAAGCCAAAAGTAAAAATAACTCAAATGTCTATCAAGTGATGAATAAATATGGTAAATCAATATAATGGAATATGTGACAATAAAAAGTAGAGTAGTAATGTACTATCACATCCAGGCTAGAGCATGGATGAATCTTGAAAAACATCATCCTAAGTGAGAAAAGCCAGCCACTGAAGACCACACGTTCTATGATTCCTTTTTTTTTTTTTTTTGAGACAGAGTCTTGCTCTGTCACTCAGGCTGGAGTGCAATGGTGCTATCTTGGCTCACTGCAACATCCTCTGCTTCCCAAGTTCAAACAATTCTCCTGCCTTAGCCTCCCAAGTAGCTGGAATTACAGGCATGTGCAACCACGCCTGGCTACTTTTTATATTTTTAGTAGAGATGGGGTTTCACCATGTTGTCCAGGCTGGTCTCGAACTCCTGACCTCGTGATCCGCCCACCTCGGCCTCCCAAAGTGCTGGGATTACAGGCGTGAGCCACCGCGCCCGGCTGATTCCATTTATATGAAGTGCCCAGAATAGGAAGAAAGTAGGTTAGCTACCACCTAGACCAAGGTGGGAAAGAAGATTGGGTAGAAATGGAAAGTAAATGCTAATGAATACATGGTTTCTTTTTGGAGAAATGAATTATATTTTAATAAAGCTGTTAAAATTTTTTGACAATAACATATCCTATCAAAGTAAACTAATCCACAATCTCACCAACTAAATCTACTGTTTTCAGCCCACTTATTTGTATATATACATATATAACTATGCAATTTCAATGTATATGATACAAACTTACTCAAAAGTAGACCTCTTTAAATTAAAATGAGTATCTTTTTATGTCAACAATTACTTAACACCTACACACTATTTCACTGAATAGCTAAACCTATTGTTGGGCCATTTTCCATGTCAAATTTTATATTATAAAATCACACTGCTATAATAAACATATTGCTCAATCTCTGCACCTATCTTCACAATAAATTCTAAGAATAAGTGGGTCAAGCCGGGAATGGTGGCTCACATTTGTAACCCCAGCCCCAGCACTTTGGGAGGCCAAGGCGGGCGTGTCACCTGAGGTCAGGAGTTCGAGACCAGCCTGGCCAAGACGGCAAAACCCCATCTCTACTAAAAATACAAAAATTAGCCAGCCGTGGTGGCGTGCACCTATAATCCCAGCCACTAGGAAGCCTGAAGCAGGAGAATCGCCTGAATTCGGGAGGCGGAGATTGCAGTGAGACAAGATCGTGCCACTGCATTCCAGCCTGGGTGACAGAGTGAGGCTCCGTTTCAAAACACAAAACAAAACAAAAAAACAAAGAGTAAGATATGCTCAAGACTGATGAACTCTTAATGAGACTCAAAAATGACAGCAGATGGAAAAAAAAAAAAATCTTCCTTGGGCACGCAGTCCGACAGGTTTGGTGAACAGGGACCAGATTAGTTTTTCGACGGACATCACTATACTACTTCCCAAGGGTACAACCTTGTGCAGCTGTGGTTCTGATTCATTCTTCAAGGCATTCCACTTTAAAATTACATATAAAAAAATCCTTAATATGCTAAGTAAATGCAGGATATAATTATACATAATATCAAATACCAAAAAATTGTAAGTCAGTCTGAAATACATCAAAATGTTAACAGTAGGTCTGACTGATTCATTCTTCAAGGCATTCCACTTTAAAATAACATACCAAATGCTTAACATGCACACAAAAGCAGGGCATAACTATATACGACAGAAGCTCCTTTAAAAAATGCACAGACAAGTTTGAAAAAAACACGTCAAAATATTACCAGGTTTAGGGGTTATTTCTAAAAAATAGGAGTAAAAAGGATTTGTTTCCTTCTATATTGTTTTTTAAAATTTTAACAAGAAAAGATACACATTCAAGGTAACTTACCCACCAAATTCCAGAGCTGAAAGGAAACTGAGGGATCACCAAAAACCTCATTTTAAAGATGAGAAAATTGAAATTCAAAAAGACTGACTCAGGCAAGGTCACCTACCTATTAAAACAGCAGAGTCTCAACTTGCAGTGTTCCTTAAAGAGGTTTTGGACTTTCCTTTAACCATTGTAATACAGTCTTTGAAACATCTCCTAATAAAATATTCATGCTATTTCTCTATATGTACGAACTCAGACCTCAAATACCAATGTCAAAGCTTGTAAGAGTCAAGACTGATGTAAAACATTCTAAGAAAACAGGAAATCATTAACTGAATTCAATACTAGTTTTATAATACTGAGGCAGCTCAAATGCTACAATGTGTTTCTTACATGGCACACACGTTGAAGCCCTAAGTGTGTACATGTGCATTCCAATTTTCCTAATGGTATATAAACAAAGACAAGCAGTTCTCTCTCTTAATTCACTTTTTGTGAATAATATGAATACCCACAAGAACACACACAAAAATTCAGTTGTTACACAACTAGAACTCTTAAAAGAAACAAGTCACAGGCCAGGCACGGTGGCTCATGTCTGTAATCCCAACACTTTAGGAGGCTGAGGTGGGAGGAACATTTGAGCCCAGGAGTTCAAGACCCGCCTGGCCAACATGGTGAAACCCCATTTCTACTGAAAGTACAAAAATTAGCTGGGCTTGGGGGCGCGTCCCTGTAATCCCAGCTACTCAGGAGGCTGAGGCAGGAGAATCGCTTGAACCCGGGAGGCAGAGGTTGCAGTGAGCCAAGATCACGCCACTGCACTCTAGCCTGGACCACAGAGCAAGAGACTCTGTCTCAAAAAAAAAAAAAAAACCGAAGTCACATACACAAAACAGGAAATCAGAGCCAAATATATGAAGCTCAAAACTCATTTAAGTGTTGCCAAGTAATATTGCTAAACAGAAAAATTCCATTTTTAACAACATATTGATTCTAACTTGCTGCTTCATTTCTACATTACTAAATCACAAAATATGAAAGTTTATTATAAATATTTTATATTTTATAATAGCATGTATTAGTCTATAACAGAAAAATTATTCAACAGACAACTGAATATGCACGCACTATTTCTCATGAACCTGCTGGTAAAGAGAGATCAATAGGGCTGGGCGTGGTGGCTCACGCCTGTAATCCCAGCACTGTGGAGGCCGAGGCAGGAGGATCATGACGTCAGGAGATCAAGACCATCCTGGCTATCACGGTGAAACCCGGTCTCTACTAAAAACACAAAAAATCAGCTGGGTGTGGTGGCGAGCGCCTGTAGTCCCAGCTACTTGGGAGGCTGAGGCAGGAGAATGACATGAACCCAGGAGGCAGACCTTGCTTTGAGCGGAGATTGCGCCACTGCCACTGCACTCCAGCCTGGGAGACAGAGCAAGACTCTGTCTCCAAAAAAAAAAGAGATGAATAAACAGTTCATCTCATTATTTGGTGTAAAATTTAAGAGAAACCATACAAGTCCCACACCAATACGTGCAGCTATGAAACTTGTACAGAAGAACTAGTGTAGAAGAAAAAAATCCTATCCTAAGATTCATTACTTTATTTTCTTCTTGTCACCACTATCAGTACCTCTGCACTGACCTTCACTCCTAAAACTATAAATTAGACGGGTTTTAAAACAGCCTGTGATGTATATTTAAAGTTCCTAAAACTGAGCACCCAACTTCTTTGCATTAAGACAATTAAGAGCAGTAAGGAGGAAAAAACAGCAAAATATCTTTATTTAAATTTCCTAGACTTCTAAGATACAGAACTAGGTAGGAATAGTCCCTGAATTAGCAAAGGTAATTAGTCACCAAAACTCAAACTGAGCTTCATTTCAATTTAATAAATACTACTAGAAGTCTTGGAAAAATGGGTAAATCCCCACAACTCTTGTTCCCAAAATGAAATAAAAGTTTGCCAAAGCTGAACATTTTAAATAAATAATAGCCAAGCATTGTTCTAAGCATTATTCATGTCATGTCTTATTTGCATCCCAAGATTCTGAGGCAAGATAATATTATCCCCACTTTACAAATGACAAAGAAAAAAAACACAAATATAAGTAACCTGCCCAAGGTTATATAGCAGGTAAATGGCAGTCAGTATTCAAAAACAAACTTCTGATCTAGTTGCTCTACATAAACGTTGGCTAATGGACAGCAAATGCATAATCAACAAATGACTTTATCTAGTGCACAAAGCTTTCAATCACCAAATATTTATTTAACAGCTACTAAGTGCCAGGCACTTAAGTTAATGATGACAAGATAGACAAGGTCCCTGCTGATCCAGCTCTTCGAGTGTGGGTGAAAAAAAGAGAAAAGGGGAAAAAAAAAAATTCAGTCACTGTTGCAGTGGGGAAAATAAACACGAGGAGGAGGATGTGAGCTAAGATCTAAATGACTTCAAATATCCGAAGGCATAACCTTCCCCGCAAAGGGAAAACAAAAGACCTGAGATAAGATGAGGCTTATTTTTACAATAGAAAAAAGCGGTGAAAAATGTAATGAGGCTGGAGAGGTAAGCATGGGCTAGTTCGTATAGGTTTTTATAAATATCATTTGTAGGTAGTTTTTGGTTTTGATTCACTGCTAATGTTAAAATAGGGAGTCACTGAAGGTTTTCAGTGAAATGACATGATCTGACTGAGATATAAAGATCTCTTTGACTAGACAGTTGTACCTCCGTATCCGTAAGACTGTGGATTATCCTTCCTCGACCCCTGCAGATACCAAAATTCACAGATGTTTAAGTCCCTTATATAAAACAGCATATATATATATATATATATATATATAAAACGCACACCCTCCCATATACTTTAAATCTGGGGTCTCCAGCCCCCTGGCCAAGGACCAGTACCCGTCCGTGGCCTGTTAGGAACCACGCTACACAGCAGGAGGGAGGCATTACCACCTGAGCTCTGCCTCCTGTCAGATCAGTGGCAGCATTAGATCCTCACAGAAGCACAAACCCTACTGTGCACTGCACATGCAAGGGATCTAGTCTGAGTGCTCCTTATAAGAATCTAAGTAATGGCTGCTGATCTGAGGTGGAACAGTTTTCATCCCAAAACCATCCCCCCAAACCCCCGTGGAAAAAACTGTCTTCCATTGCTGCTTTAAATCATCTCTAGATCACTTATAATACCTAATACAATGTAAATGCTATATAGTTGTTACATTGCATTAAGGTAATAATGACAAAGAAAAAAAATCTATACATATTCACTACAGACATAACCATCTTTTTCCCCCAAATATTTTCAATCTGTGACAGGATGACTCCATGGATACAGAACCCACAGATACAGCAGGCCAACTGTATATGAAGAGTGGAAACTGAAACCAACATAGAGTAAGCGCACTATTTTTAATTTTTTTACCCCCCAAGACAGGGTCTTACTATGTTACAAGCCAGATTTGAACTCCTGGGATCAAGGGATCCTCCTGCCTCAGCCTCCTGAGTAGCTGGGACTACAGACATGTCCCAGTGTGCCCAACTTAGGACATTATTTACAGAAGTAATTACGCATGGACTTGAATTATACAAAGATGACCAAGAGCGGACAGATCCGAATACATTTGAAAGGCAAAGAACAAGATTTGCTGACTGACTAGATGTAGAAAGGAAGGGGAAAGACTATAACATGTAATCAAGGATAATACCAAGACTTGGCTTCAGTAAGAATTGAGTCTATGTCATTCCCACTTACTAAAAATCTGTCTGAATATGTTAGGTTTAAAATATCTAGTACATGGTCACAGTTAGGGCTCACTGTCTAATATTCAAAACTTGATTGCTGAACATTTACTATGAATGTCCTAAGTAAAATCAGACGTCTGTAGGCCAGGAAAAGAATGCAGTTACAAAAGAATTCTGCTCTAAATTAACAATTAAAAAACCTTAATCTATAAACCAGTTACGAATTAGTACAATTTCCAAATATACCTTTCTTCTAGTTTAGCAGACTACTAAACTATTTATGCAAAATCCAAACTAAAAAGTTCAAACAGGCCAGGCACAGAGGCTCATACCTGTAATCCCAGCACTTTGGGAGGCCAAGGCAGGTGGATCACTTGAGGTCAGGAGTTTGAGACCAGCCTGGCCAACATGGTGAAACCCCATCTCTACTAAAAACACAAAAATTAGATGGGTGTGGTGGCGGGTGCCTGTAATCCTGACTAGTTGGGAGGCTGAGGCAGAGGAATCACTTGTATCTCAGAGGTGGAGGTTGCAATGAGCCGAGATGGTGCCACTGCACTCCAGCCTGGGCAACAGAGGAGACTCCATCACAAAAAATAAAAAAATAAAAAAATAAAGTAGCCTGTAATCTCAGCACTTTGGGAGGCTAAGGCAGGAGGATCACTTGAAACCAGGCGTTGGAGACCAGCCTGGGCCATGTAGCAAGACCCCATCTCTAAAAAATAATAATAATAATAAAAAATACAAAAATTAGCAAGCTACTGCAGTTATCAGCTACTTGGGAAGTTGAGATGGGAGGATCACTTAGGCCCAGGAGTTCAAGGATGCAGTCAACTATGATCGCCGCTGTGTTCCATCCTGGGCCATGGAATGAGACTCTGTCTCCAAAAAAAAAAAAACTTCAAATAACTACCCTCCCAAATTTTGAGGGGAAAAAAGATCATCAGAGACCTAGTTTCCAAAAATTAGTATTTTTTTGTTTGTTTTTTAGAGACAGAGTCTCACTCTGTTGCCCAGGCTGGAGTGCAATGGCACAATCTCGGCTCACCACACCCTCTGCCTCCTGGGTTCAAGCAATTCTCCTGCCTCAGCCTCCCAAGTAGCTGAGACTACAGGTGCACACTACCATGCCAGGCTAATTTTTGTATTTTCAGTAGAGATGGGGTTTCACTATATTGGCCAAAGTGGTCTTGAACTCCTGACCTCGTCATCCGCCCGCTTCAGCCTCCCAAAGTGCTGGGATTACACGCGTAAGCCACCGCGCCCAGCCCAAAAATTAATCTTAAGTACAAAAGAAGTCACCACCAGACCAACATACATATGGGGCAGCACTGCTTTTCCAAAGATAAATGGTATAATCATAAGAACACTAAGGCAAAAACCAAGTGCATTTTGAAATGAAAATTCAGTATTGTCAGCTTAACTTTAAAGTTAAATTCATTTGAATTCCTTGAATATATCCTAAATTCTTGAATATTAGTAATTCACTGTCTTCATTAACTATCTAATTACCTATTAACCAAACAACAGTTTAGTTATTTAGTTTAGTTTGTTTTGGTTTAAAGTGTACATATATTTATATATGAAAATCCTTTTAAATGCAGGAGAAGGGATAATCATTCCTCTTCTAAATTTAAAATAGTAACGTAAGAATGGACTGTGTATTCTGTAAGACTATCAGGATATATAGAAGTATAAAATCGGTTCCATTCCAGCACTTTAGGAGGCCGAGGTGGGCAGATCACGAGGTCAGGAGATCGAGACCATCCTGGCTAACACGGTGAAACCCCATCTCTACTAAAAATACAAAAAATTAGCCTGGCGTGGTGGCAGGCACCTGTAGTCCCAGCTACTCGGGAGGCTGAGGCAGGAGAATGGCGTGAACCCAGGAGGCGGAGCATGCAGTGAGCGGAGATCATGCCACTGCACTCCAGCCTGGGCAACAGAGCTAGACTCGGTCTCAAAAAAAAAAAAAAGAAAAAACCTGTTCCATTTCAGACAAAAATCAGAATTAAAGACTTTTAAGCTTATAAAACTGAAAAATGCTAAGGAATGTCCACTCACATTACTACAGTATTTCCAAACTTCAACGTAAATCAGAATCATCTGGAAGGCTTGTTAAAACAGGTCTTTGGCTCCACACTCACAGCTTTATTCAGTAGGTCTAGAATAAGGCCTAAGAACTTTTTTTTTTTTTTTTTTTTTGAGATGAGGTCTGCAGTGGTGAGATCTTGGCTCACTGCAACCTTTGCCTCCCCGGCTCAGGTGACGGTTCCACCTCAGCCTCTGGAGTAGCTGGGACCACATGTGTGTGCCACCACAAACGGCTAATTTTTGTATTTTTTGTAGAGACACAGTTTCACCATGTTGCAGGCTGGTCTCCAACTCCTGAACTCAAGTGACCCTCCCGCCTTGGCCTCCCAAAGTGTTGGGATTACAGGTGTCAGCCACCACACCCAGCCAAGAACTTACATTTTAATTAAAGTTCGCAAGAGATGCTAATGGTGCTAGACCTGACAACACACTTTGAAAAGCCCTACTCTAATATACACTGCACCATTTTCCATTAAAAGATACTTTTGTCCTCTATTAAATTTACTGAAGAGTTTCTTTAAAGTATCCCATGGAATCAGAAACTTATCACTTCTTAAAAATTATATTGTTATATATAGAATACACTTGAACCTAACTCTAATTATGATGAAGGCCAAACCAATTCTGGATCCAAAGTTGTATTTTTTTAAAAACTTATTATGAAATATTGTATGACACCATTCAAATAAAATGTCCAGAACTGGTAAGTCTATACAGACAGTAGACTAGTGGTTGTTTACGGTTGGAGAGGGGAAAGTGATCATCAAAAGGTTATGATAGTCAATATACTAAAATCTACTAAATATACTAAAATCTATTGAAAATCACTTTAAGCAGGTGAACTTCTTTGTATGTAAATTCCATCTCAATAGAGCTATTAAAGACATTGTGTGAAAGTTTATACAGTAGCTAAGCAACTTTAAACCAAATATTGCCATTGCAGCCACTCTTAGGAATACATAATTCTAATCAGAATAGCAATAGTTTTGTTTCTCCTCATCCCAGGTAAACAAGACTACCAAAATTATGACAGACACCAAACTTCAAGTCCAAAATCAACCAGATTATATAGTATTTCTAAGGCCATTAAATTATAGGTACATAGGAACATTCTTCGGGAAATTAACGGTAGCCTCCTGAGTGATCCCATGCACTTGGCAGTAACATACGTCAACATTCAGCTGCAATTTTTGAAAAATTTGCTTCACATCAGTTCTCTGCCCACATACCCACCAGAGGCAGCAGAGCTTCAGGGACCATATAAACACATGGAGGGAACTAGCTAGACTTCCTCTTCTCACCTTCTCCACAATATACACAGTTTGCATATCTGATATCATAAAACCAAAAATTAGGTACCAACTAGTCCTTATAAAAAGCACTTATTTTACTGTATAGGAATATCAGATCACTTATTAAAACTTTCCTTATGTATTTTCATCCATCAATCATTCTTATTGCTCAGAGAATTTCTACTTTCCTTTTTGGTTAAGGAAATATCAATTCCAGTAAAAAATAAACCTATAGCATCTGTAAACGCTACCTTAAAAATAGAGACTTAAAGACTCTTTCCAAAGTTCAAAGATTTTAAAGTTTCCTATTACGTTACGATTTCCCCCTTGAATTAATGTCTACTGCCTAATAACCCTGTTAAATTAGCTCTGATTTGCCTTTAAAGCTAACAGGACTTACGTCTCATGAGTTCCAAAAAAGAAAATGGGTAGTTTGTTTGTGGGTGGCTTTACAGCTCCATCAGGAACTTCGTCTACCTAAAAGAAAAGTGAGAAAAATTAAAATATTTTAAATCATACACACCTCAACATTTATCTGAATAAACAAGAGCACAACATCCAAAAGGGTTCTGTTATAAAATGGGCCAGTTCTGCAGGCCCATAATCTCCTATCCCCAAATCTGAAACCCAAGAAGCTCTGAAAACCAAAATTTCTGTCAAAACTCATTTGGTGGCAAAACCTGGACTGACATTGAGGGTATCAGTCATTTCTTTTATCCACCTGTTTCCACTGTTGTTTCTTTGCAGACATATTATTATGTGCTATTCCAGACCGCACCAGCAGCAAAATATATGGCATATGTACTCTCCCTGCCTTCCTAAAATCCCAGAATTCTGAATTGTTAATCATATCATTTCAGGTAAGGAGTCTGAACCTATTTGACAACCCTAAATGTTAGTTCTGCAGGAAATCTATACAAATAACAGACTAATGTAAAAGCAGACATTGACAAAAGTTTAAATCAGTACCTCCCAAAGTCTGAAAAACTTACTATGAAAAGATCCTTCACTGATGTGCCTGAATCACATGAGGCTACCTGTTCCTTTTTCACTGCTCTTTCAACCTTTTAAATTATGTAAGGAAGAAATCATCAGGTGCTGTCACGTCTAATATATCCATAATACTTGTTACTTTCCCTCATCAATAAAGGAAAAGCAGACCTCAGGACTAAAGCAGTACTATCTAGCTAGAATTTAACAACATGTCGGCCAGGCGCGGTGGCTCACACCTGTAATCCCAGCACTCTGGGAGGGCAAGGTGGATGGATCATGAGGTCAGGAGTTCAAGACCAGCCTGACCAATATGGTGAAACCCGGTCTCTACTAAAAATACAAAAATTAGCAGGGCACGGTGTCAGGTGCCTGTAATCTCAGCCACTCCAGAGGCGAATCACTTGAACCTGGGCAACAGAGGTTGCAGTGAGCCGAGATCATGCCACTGCACTCAAGCCTGGGTGACAGAGTGAGATCCTGTCTTTAAAAAAAACAAAAAAAAAGAATTTAACAACATATCTATTTTAAATGTCATAATTTTCATAATTTCAAAAACACTTCAATTTGAAAATCAGCTGACTTTGTTAAGAAGGGGGTTGACCATCAGAGGACCTACTATCCTCTGTAAGCATTATGGTGTTGCAGAAGAAGACCATCAGGATGACTGAACTGATTTGTGAGGGAAGTCTAAAGGCTTTCACACACCAACAGAATCATTACCACCCAATATCTCTAGGGACCTATTTCCCCACTTATATGATGAAGATCACACCTGTTATCTCAACTTTGTGGGAATGTCCCGATAATTGCAAAAATCCTTAATCCCTTAAGAGATCATTTCTGTTAACCCAGTTCATATGCCTCTTTCTGCTAGCAAACAGCTTAAAGAGTTTATGCAAATACCTAGCACCTATAGCCTTTAGCAAATGCCGGGCAAAATTTAAGTTGATTTTTTAAATAATTATTACTGGTAAACGATTATGTACATGAATGTTTAAGACTTAAAAATTAATGAAGTTTGGGACATGTAGACAGAAATGTTAAAGCAAAAATTGCAACAAGAGGTGTCACCTTTACGGCTCAGACTTTAAATATGGACTCTAAACTCTACAGCAAAGATTTCAAATTTTTAAGAATGAAGAAGACAGAAAAAGGAATGTAACTGTTGGACACAGAATACACCAACACTAAATGGAGGTGTTTCTCAGAAAAAATGATGGGGAAAAGGGAAAAGACAAACACTTCCCTTCCAATCCAAATGAACTTGTTAAATGTAGAACTTGTTAAATAAGGAAAACACTCTGGTCTTCCAAAGGCTACCCTATTTTATTTTCAGTAGCACTCTTAGTCACTTAACATATGAGCGTGGGGAGGGTGATTTGGGAGATTTTTTAAACATTTCCTTTGGCTTTTAACTTCACTGTGGCATGCAAATCGGAATATAGATCTATTAGACAACCTCATATTTTCAAACACCTCAAAATAAACAAGGATACCTCGAAGACCATGAAAAAGTATATCAGAGGGGCCTTAAACCTGATCAGTTTCCCTAGGCTCCATTTGAACGTGAATTGTGTTTTATAGGTGCATCATATATACTACGGACTATGGAGGGTATAAACAAATTCCATTTAAGGTTGTTGCCCTCGGTCTCACAATATATTTGGAGGTCAAAGCATACACAGAGTTAAGAATTAAAACAAAAGATTATCACGAAAGGAATAGATTAGAATGTAAAATATACAGACAAGGATTATGACTAAGGATTGTTCAAGTAAGACTGCACCGAAAAGGCAGACTTTATAGGCAAGGAAAAAAGCTTTGGAAGGAAACTTGTGAACAGGAGTTTACGTAGAGCAGCTAGATGGAAGAAAGTCAAGGAACAGTGATCGTTTTACACTTGGATGGCACTCTCAGCTCCTAGACAGGACTCCGTTATCTAATGGGTGTTTTCCACCATTCCCCTGCTGACATAACTAAAACTACAGAATTTAATTATTTTTAAGAAATACATTTTCAAAGGACAGTAAATTAGTCGAAAATAAATGGCTTGGAAAAATAAAACTTCAGAACCCCATGTAAGTATATTTTTAAAGGATCTTGAGTTTACCTAATCTAATTGATTGCAACATATCTTAGGTCCTATCTATCTCTGTTTGAGAGCCTGGGTACCACCATAAACAAAAAGAACCCTTTTTCTAAAAATGGAGCGTAGATCTTTAAACAGTCTCAATTCCTCAATGTCACAAAACATCCTGGGTCCTTAATCATTTCTCTGTACCACTAGATGTGAACTGAGGAATCTGGTCCACACCTCCTTTTTGCCTATTGGAAACAAAAAGGTAAAACAACTTCTTCAAGGTCATAAACATCTCAAATAAAAAAGGAGAAATGAATTTTCTGGCCCTTCCTCGGTACTAAACTACTGTAATACTTTCAAGAATATCCAGTCCTGAATCTGTATTAAACAAGCAAATCCAGAAGGCCTCATCAAGTACAAGGTATTTTTTTTAAAACCCTGTAAATCCAATTTAATCACATACGCACTTCTCTGACATCCAAGTGTTTGTGTGTAATCTGCACAAATTCCATTGATATTTTGTACTTGATCCAAAACTATGGAAATGTCAATGTTTCACTAATTTTTAAACAAAAATTCACTCTTCATTATTTCACCTACAATGGAATATTAACTAGCAACGCATTTAAATATTTCCTAGGAAGAAAATCTGTCCAAGTCTGCCAATAAACCATAGGGAAATACACAGGTATGTAGAAACGTCTGGATTTTCATAATTACACGGGAGATTATTGGGCAAAAAACTAAAATGAAAGGTCAGGTTACAAATGAGACTAAAGCGAGGGAGAGAAAGGACAGAAGAAAAAATAAAGAGACACGGTGGGCAGCAGGCCTCTGGAGAGGAGGGTAGCACTGCTAAGCGCGAGGGCTACAAATCACTTACTCGAGCTGGCCAATGGGGATAACCTTTCATCTTGGCGAAGATGAGGTCTCCAGGTTTGAAATCGCGAGTCATGTTTCGGGGGCGAGACCGGGGGTCCGAAGCCCGGGAGGCGGCGAGGAGATGCGGCGGCGCGGGGATGCGGGCGGCGGACGCGGGCCCAGCTACCGGGCCCGCGGGCGGGGGAGGATGCCTCGGGGCGTCCCGACGCGCCTGCTAGGGAGAGCACCGAGGGCGGTTAAAGCGAAGAACCCCGAAGGGAGGGGCCGCAAGGGGAGGGGGAGGGGAACCGGCGGGTGGGGGTGGGAGAGCGAGGGGACGGCCGCCTCCCGCTCCTCCCCCGCCAGTGCGCTGCCTCCGCGCTGGAGCAGGTCCTCCACCCCGCCACCGAAGAGACGCCACCACCTGAAGCAGGGATGCTGCCCGGCCAGAAATCGCCCGTCTGCCCGCCCCATCTTTCTCCGGGCTTTTTCCACCGAGCTTAAGCCCCAAAAGGGAGGGGGTGCATGGGAGAGAAAAAGGCAGGGATTCCGAGAAGCGAGCGGCCCCCTTCCGCCCACGCAAGGCCTCCCCCGCAACCTGCTGCCCAGCGGCTGCAGCCTCGGCCCCCTCGGCTCCCGGGCGGGCCGCGTCCACTTCCCCGCTACAGCCAGGAGCGACGCCACCGAGGGGGGGGCGGGGCGAGTCCCCGTCGCCCGCTCACCTGCCGGGGCCGCGGGCGCCGACGCTGCGGTTGCTGGCCGGTCGCCTCTACCCGCGTCCACGCAAGCCACCTGCGCCACCAGCTGCCGCAGAGGCGTCTCAACGGCTCGGAATCGCAACCGCGCCGCCGCTGCCGCCGCCGTAGCTGCGCTGCTCCCGCGCGGCTCCCGCTCGGCGCCCGCTAGCACTGGGGCGCGACCAACTGTTTACCGAGAGAGGGGGGATGTTGCAGCACCCGGCGAAGCTGTGTGGCTCCGAAGCGGATTTTCTGGAAACCCTACGTCCCCAAGTTCGCTTTCATGTAACAGGTGCATGCAGATGGAGAGGAAGACGCAAGCGAAGAAGAAAGGACTGGGCGAAAATAGCTCGGCCTGCCGCAAGTTCCCCCTGCGGTTTGCGGAGTGGTCGGGCCCGGCCCGCCCCTGCTGGCTTCTCTGCGTGTGTGTATTTGTATGTGTACTGTATGTAAAAGGCGGGGAGGGAGGAAATGATTGTTGTGGACGCGGTTTTGGGGGCGGGTATCCGGGCCTCTCTCCCTTGGCTGCGTGTTAGGGAGAAAGTGGCAGTAAAGATTCATGTTCTTGTATCGTTTCCAGGGTGGGGAGGTTTGAATGCTGCTTTTGCGCGGTTTGCATCATCCAAAAAAGAGGAGCTGTACGAAAACCCTAAGATGAAATTGGAGCATGCGGCGGTTGCAGGGTGTGCTGCATCTAGGCCTCTTGCACCTCGCTGAATGGGCCTCGTAGTCTCCTTTTCCTTGAAATTGTAGTATGAGAGAGCCCTATTTCATTTCTTTTGCATTTGCATCACCAAGAACTATTAAGAAAAATGCAACCCTACTGAATGCAAAATGCGAAGGGTAGAAAACAATGACAGGAAAACAGAAACCTTTTAGATAGGATGTGAGTTTGGGCCCTAACTAAATTTTAGCTGCATCTAAATTTTATTTCCCTAGTAGAATAGGAGCTGGTAGGTGGTACAATGTGTAAGTGTTACTAAACCTCAAATATTTTCTCTCTTAAAATGCTCTTCAAGGGATTTTAAAGGTTAATTTTTTGATCCTTTAGAGAGGCTGAAAATATTTTTAAAAAGAATGTTAAGACATATAAAAATAAGAATAATAAGACATATATTAGCACCTAGATAATACTGTTTTAAATACGGGACTCAACTGGAAATGAATTAGGAAATTTTTTTTGAATTGGTAAAAATTGAGAATTTTTTGAAAGCGATACAGCATGTCTTTAAAAAGGAATGAAAGAAGACAGTCCCAAAGTAAAATGTCCTGTAAGGAGTTTCGAGAAACTAAGTATACCTGGGCAATATGCAGAGAGTTCCAAGTGGAGCAAAAAGAGAAATTGGCAGAGGAGAAGGAAGGGTTGGTGAAATGTCTTGAAGCTTCTCATTCTGAATATGAATTTAATGTGTGTAGTAGGAAGCTACTATAGGTTGCTCAGCAAGAAGGGGGTAAAAATGATTATTTAACCAGTTCTTGATGTTTCAAGGTAGATGTTAGTAGAAAGAGGCTGGGGGTAACTGGAGTACTCATGAAATGACGCATTTCTCAGTGAGAATGGTGACTAAGAAAAGGGAAGGAAGAGCACAACTAAGTAATTACACAAAGGAATGATTGTCAGGTGTTGGCTATAAATTATGCATAGGAAAAGGTGGAAAAAGATGTATTGAAGAAAAGCTCAAGATACAGAGTAAGAGAGACCAAAGCAGCATCCAGCAATCATTTTTTTGTGTGTATGCACTTTATTTGTTCTAAACCCTGTAAGGCCTTGCTACTTCAAGTGTGGTCCAAGGCCCAGCAGCAAGGGCTTTACCTGGGAGCTCAGGTAAAGCTCAGACCTTCCCCAGGCCTTCTAAATCATAATCTGCGTTTTAACAGGATCCCTAGGTGATTCTTACGCATATTCAAGTTTGAGAAACTGCTTTAGAGGATACCTCAGACTGTAAAAACTTCAAACTAAGAAAAACAGATATATAACAAGTTATAATTAACGTTAAAGATAACTTTTTATTAGTACTAATGGTAGGATTAACAGGTAAAGAGGGGGTAGTTAGTGTTAGAGGGGACCTCAGAAAAGAAATAAAAAAGGGAAAATGGAAAAGCATTGATGTTTTACTATTAGTATTTTCTGTTGTTTTTGTTGTTTTAAAAAAAGGAAGTACCATACTTAGCTCCTGCTGCCTTTAAGTTTTGTCCGCTTCAACCTGTGGTAGTTTGTGAACAACAGGAGATACCCTTTAAACAATAAAGGCAAAACAGGTGGTGGTTTAAGCTTCCAGAGAACAAAAGCCCAGGATCCCTGGGAGCAACAGTTCTGAATCTGCGAGGAAAGGGGGGGGGAGGGGAGGGGAGGGGAGGGCAGGGAACGGGGAAGGAAAGCTGGGCACATCCTAGCCACTTGGGAGAGCTTTTCTGTGCTCTTTTCCAGCTATGCTTGGTGCAGCCCTCTCCCATAGTCAGCCTTCTTAGTGGGGATACTTGAAAAAGTATACCAAAATGGAGATCAGAGGAGCAATGGGAAAGTTATAAGGAGAAAGAGTGTAATTTCCAAAACAACTGAAGCAAGGGGAGGGGGCAGGAAAATCCAAATGAGTTGAGGCAGGAACTTGGCCTACATTATCTCATTTAACCCAAGTGCCACTATCCCCATTTCACAGATGAGAAAATAAGCTCACAGAAGGTAAGCAGCTAGCTTGCCCAAGATCACACATCTAGTCCAGGGGCTGAGGCAACATTCTAGCCCCTCTGGCTACTTGCCCATGCCATTTTTGTGATCCCACATCGCCTCTAGGTGGGGCAGGGAGGCAGCAAGGCTGAAGGAGGAGTGGCTTATAATTAGAAAAGATGCTGGAAGGAAAAGCAGCCCAGTACTTACTCTTCCACCTTCCACCTTTGGGCTTGAAA
The DNA here is from genome assembly GCF_000001405.40 of Homo sapiens. Taxonomy (NCBI): domain Eukaryota; kingdom Metazoa; phylum Chordata; class Mammalia; order Primates; family Hominidae; genus Homo; species Homo sapiens. The sequence continues at coordinate 15,513,736 of NC_000009.12, forward strand.
GTATTCCCAGCTTCAAATTTCCTAACAACCTCCCTCCACACCATGCCATTCCCCAGCTTGTCCCCAGCACGAGACCATTCTGTTTAACTCCTTCTGGTCCTAAAAAACTCAACCCAAAAATCACCTCTGGAAAAGATGTGACCTAATCTTAGAGTAACATAGTTTCTTATTTACACTCTTTCCTACTAATCTGTAAACTGCTTAGAAGTAGGCACTATCTTATTCATCAGTGCAGGTACTCAATAAAAAAGCGCCGGACGCGGTGGCTCATGCCCGTAATCCCAGCACTCTGGGAGGCCAGGGCAGGTGGATCACGAGGTCAGGAGTTCAAGACCAGCCTGGCCAACATGGTGAAACCCCGTCTATACTAAAAATACAAAAATTAGCCGGGTGTGGTGGTGTGCGCCTGTTAATCCCAGCTTCTCAGGAGGCTGAGGCAGGAGAATCCCTTGAACCTGGGAGGAGGAGGTTGCAGTGTTCCAAGATCACCCCACTGCACTCCAGCCAGGGTGACAGAGCGAGACTCTCTCTCAAAAAAAAAATTCCTTTTCAAAAATATTTATTGAGTGAATGAGAGGGAGGGGCAAGTGAAAAACCCCAACAGACTCATTAATCCTTTAGGATGAAAATACAGGTAAGTATGACACATGGAAGTGTTTTTGTTTTGACTTTATGAATTTTTCTTGTACAGTACTTAAAGGTTAACCCTTTAAGAGCAGTGACATTTTTCATTCACTACAAATACATTCATTTTAACTATTTTAATGAAAATCTTTCTAAATGAGATCTTTATTCTAAAAAATTAGCAACAATCTCTTCCTTCGTATCTCTTGCATAATTTCCTACCTTAATACACAGTGTTAGTGATGCACCTTCAATTTATTGGTATGAACAGGTATTGAACTGTTTTCTCGTGTTGTATGTTAATCCTTATGATGGGGAAATAGTGGGAAGTTAGCAAGAATATGGGGGAAAATAAAGAGCATTAATCAAAGAGCTAGTTTAGTTGGGGATGTCATAAATCCAATCTAGGTCTTGCTTCCCATGAAAATCAATAAGCATTCAAAGCTTTGACTCCCAGGTGGGCAAAAACCAAGAAGTACTAGCTTATGAGCTGGTAGCTAGGTTTACTGCTGAGCTGGTTTACCAATGTTTAGAGGAGAGTTGTTTTCAGCACATGAGATAAGAGAAGTCTTAAGGAATCTGAGTGCTCCTTAGAAAGACTAGAAAGAAGCAAGGCAAAGATAGAGTTTGACAGTTGACCTGTGAGTACTATTAGTGCCTTTTGTGAAGACTGCCTAGACTGTGGGCCGTTCCAGTGGGAATTTTTTTTTTTTTTTTTTTTGAGACGGAGTCTCGCTCTGTCACACAGGCTAGAGTGCAGTGGCGCAACCTCGGCCCACTGCAACCTCCACCTCCTGAATTCAGGCAATTATCCTGCCTCAGCCTCCCGAGTAGCTGGGATTACAGGTGCCCACCACCATACCTAGCTATTTTTTTTTTTTTTTTTGTATTTTTAGTAGAGACAGGGTTTCACTATGTTGGCCAGGCTGGTTTTGAACTCCTGACCTCAAGTGGACCATCCACCTCGGCCTTCCAAAGTGCTAGGATTACAGGAGTGAGTCATGGCACCCGGCCTTTTTTTTTTTTCTTTTTTTTTTTGAGATGGAGTCTCACTCTGTTGCCCAGGCTGGAGTGCAGTGGTGCAATCTTGGCTCACTGCAACCTCCACCTCCTGGGTTCAAGTGATTCTCCTGCCTCAGCTTCCCAAGTAGCTGAGATTACAGGCATGTGCCACCATGCCCGGCTACTTTTTTTGTAGTTTTAGGAGAGATAGGGTTTTGCCACGTTGGCCAGACTGGTCTCGAACCCCTGATCTCAGGTGATCTGCCCTCCCCGGCCTCCCAGAGTGCTAGGATTACAGGCGTGAGTCACTGTGCCCAACGTCCAGTGGGATTTTTAAAAAAAATCACTAGATGACCTGATTACTTCTCATCTCAGATACTTGGTTTGCTTCTTTCTTACATCTCCATCTCCAGTCTTGGTTAAGGGTTCTCTTACCCACATGTGTATATGCCATACTCCTCTTTGACTCTGCTGCCTGATTTTGCCTTTTTCCCTGCTTCATCTTATTCCTTTGTCTACATTCTTTCTCATTTTCCTCCGTGTTCTTACTCCATGATTTTGGTGTGTGAAGTGTGTAGCTTTGAAAGTAGAATGATGTCTTGCTCTGGTCAATAGACCTACCAACCTACTGATGTCTTTTATTGTCTTTGTACCATTGATTCTTCTAGGTCAGCTTTCTCAGAGTGTTTTATGAGAACAGTAGTATAGCTTGAGAAGTTAAAAGGCCTAAATTAGGGAAAAGGAAATTCTATAGACAAGTGAATTTGAGAAACGCAGAGTCAAAGTTGCATGGCTTTCTTTAAAGTAAGACATCTCAGAGCTGTTAATATATTAAATTTGCTTTATGAATTTCTAAAATGGGTTTTTAGCCATCAGTCCAAAGTTATTTGATAATGGAACTCCCCTTTCTTTTTTCCTGGAAAACCGTCACCTAGGACTAGTGATGGTAAATATTGTACCATGCAACATTTTGGCGATGTGCTTTCTTATGAGCTTATTGATAAGCAGGGGATGTGAGGTTGAGCTCTGATAGCCAGACAGACACCAGAGGCTTTACTTTAAATGCAAATTTAATGTATCTTAATATTTAGAAAAAGTAACTCAGGTGCTCGATGTTCAATTACAGAGAAAAAACTAATAGTTACCACTTTGATATGACATAAGAAAAGAGAGCACAGACTTTGGAGTCAAGCATGAGTTCTGATCATGGCTCTGTCACTTTCCATACGTGCTATTAGGCAACTCTTAACTTCATGTACTTATTTTCTTATCAGTGAAATGTGAATAAGGACACTTGCCTTGGAGGGCTATTGTGAGGATTAAATTAGATCATAAATATATAATGTGCATGATATTAGTATCTTAGCCATGTTTACAACCTAGGGGGAGAAATAAGTAATTGTCTTCCATGTATGTATAGGATTATGCTATGACTGGGTCTAAAATCCAACTAGATGTAGAGGGAAAAGTTCTGTATGAAAACTTCACTTCTAAGGACTGCTGGATGACAAATTACTGGTTTGACTTTGCTGTTTGGGGATTTTTTTCTTCTTCTTGGATTGGTCTTTTATAATTATTATTATTATTATTATTATTATTATTATTATTATTATTTGAGACAGGGTCTTGCTCTGTTGCCCAGGCCGCAGTGCAACGGCCTGATCTCGGCTCACTGCATCCTCAAACTCCTAGGCTCAAGTGATCCTTCCCTCTCAACCTGTGGAGTAGATGGGACTACAGTCGCATACCACTATCCCCAGCTATTTTTTTTTTTTTAATTTTTTGTAGAGACAAGGTCTCCCTATGTTGCCCAGGCTGATCTCAAACTCCTGGTCTCAAGCAATCCTCCTGCCTCGGCCTCCCAAAACTGTAGGATTATGGGCACGAGCCACAGTGCCTGGCCTGGTTTGGGTTTTTTTGTTGTTGTTTTTTTTTAAGATTTTATTTTTTGAGAGCAGTTTTAGATTCACAGCAAAATTGAGAAGATACAGATGTATCCCATATGCCCTCTACCCCCACACATGCATAGCGTATATCATTATCAACATCCCCCACTAAAGTGTTACATTTTTTACGATTGATGAAACTACATTAACATATTACCCAATGTCCATAGTTTACATTAGGGTTCACTATTGCTTCGTGCATTCTATGGGTTTGGACAAATTTATAATGACATGTATCCGCCACTGTAACATCATACAGAGTAGTTTCACTGCCCTCAAAATCCTTTCTGCCCTGCGTATTCATCCGTCCATTCCCCAAGTCATGGCAACCACTTATCTTTTTACTGTCTTCATACTTTCCCCTTTTCCAAATCATACAATATGTAACCTTTTCAGAGGCTTCTTTCACTTCGTAATCTGCATTTAAGTTTCCTCCATGGCTTGATAGGTAATTTCTTTTTAGTTCTGAAACATATTCCATTGTCTGGACATATTTTGTTGGTTCGAATATTCACCTACTGAAGGAAACTTGGTTGCTTCCAAGTTTTGGCAATTATGAATAAAACTGCTATAAACGACTATGTGCATGTTTTGTGTGAACATAAGTTTTCAACTTATTTGTGTAAATACCAAGTTCTGTAATTGCTGATTCATATGGTAAGAATATGTTTCACTTTAAGAAATTGCCAAACTGTTTCCCAAAGTGGTTGTACCATTTTATATTCCCACCAGCAATGAATGAGAGTTCCTGTTGCTCCACATCCTCATCAGCATTTGGTGTTGTGTTTTGGATCTTGGCCATTCTATTAGATGTGTATTAGGTATCTCATTGTTATTTTATTTTTTATATTATAGCTCATAACTTATTAGCTCCTCCACAGTGGTTGGTAGAAGATTTCTGCTTAAGTATGTTTTATATGTGTCCTTTAGTGAAGAAAATATTTGTTAAGATATCAACCTAGAATAATATGGAAACCTAAGGTGGCTTGGAGAAAACAGTGTTTATGTACAGATTACAAAATATTTCGAAAATACAAAGTAGTAGCAATGAATTTTTTAAATTTCCATACCCACAAATTACCCTGTTAAAATGTTTGTGAATTATCTTCCAGTCTTCATTTGTATAGATTTTTTTTTTTCAGGCAGGGTCTCGCTCTGTCGCCCAGGTTGCAGTGCAGTGGCACAATCACACCTCACTGAAGCCTCACCCTCCTGGGCTCAAGCGATCCTCCCAGCCGGAGTAGCTGGGACTACATGTGTACACCACCATGCCTGGCTAATTTTTTATTTTTTGTAGAGAGGAGGTCTCTGTGTTGCACAGGCTGGTTTTGAAAGCTGGGCTCAGGCAATCCTCCTCTCTTAACCTCCCAAAGTGTTGGGATTACAGGCATAAGCCACCACACCTGGATTTTTGTATAGATTTTTAAACATAGTTTGTAAATATTGTTTTGAAATAAACTTTTCCTTTTTGAATAATTTTATTTTATAGACAAGTTACCAAGATAGTACAGAGGGTTATTTTATACCTTTTGCTAAGTTTTCACTCTTGTTAATATCCTATATTAGCATTGCAAGGGTGTCAAAATTAAGAAATTAACATATCTACAACACTGTTACCTAAACTACTGAGTGTATTTGTATTTCACCAACTTTCCCATTAGTGTCCTCCTTCTGTTATAGTATCCTGTCCAGGATACCGTATTATTCTGAGTTGTCATGTCCTCCCGGTCTTTTCCGGTCTATGGCAGTTTCTAAGTCTTCCATTGCTTTTCATGATCTTGGCAGTCTTTTTTTGTTTGTTTGTTCTTGTTTTTGTTTTTGTTTTTGTTTTCTTGAGACAGTCTCATTCTGTCACCCAGGCTGGAGTGCAGTGGCGCAATCTTGGCTCACTGTAACCTCCACCTCCCAGATTCAAGCGATTCTCCTGACCGTGACAGTCTTGAGGAGTTCTGGCCAGATACACTGTAGAATGTCCCCTAATCTGAATTGGTCTGATGTTTTCCTCATGGTTACACTGGTGATGTGGGATTTCGGAAAGAATACCCCAAAAGTAAAGTGTCTTTCTGGTCACGTCGTATCAGCTATATGATATGAACATGACACCACGCGTAATGTGAACCTTCATCACGATTTTGGTGATGTCTGTTAGGTTTCTCCACTATAAAGTTACTATTTTTCTCTTTCCCTACTTAGTCTTTGGAAACAGTCGCTAAGTCTAGCCTACTCCCGGGGGGGTCAGGGGCACCCAGAAATGAAGCTTCACCTCCTAGAGAGGGGAATATCTCTCTATATATATACTTTGGAATTCTTCTATATAAAAGATTTGTTTCTTCCCCCTTATTTATAAATATTGTTTTTAGTGACTGAATTACTGGCTATACTATAGTTTAGCTAAATAGTCTTCAAATGTTGCACATTTATGTGGTATACAATTTTTTACTTAGAGAGTTTTGTATTAATAATTTATAATCATATGATGGGTTTTTTAAATTTCCATTTTTTATCTGTAGTGTTTTAAACACATTCCTTGCTCCAAGGAACATATATTTATAATTTCAAAAAATCAGTACCTCTTGAGCATAGGCCTGCATATTTTATTTGACTGAGAACTCTTTTATCTCCAAGATTTTAAACTTGGAGCTTTCTGCTGTGATCGTAATCCAGGCAACTCTCCAGCACTGTTCTATCCATTGAACCTCTTTTTCTCAGTTAACTTGACTTTAGTCATTTTTGCATCCCACTTCACTCAGCATATCCCACTTTCCAGCCTCACATGATGCCTATGACAACAGTCTTCACATTTTTTTTGCTGCTATAGTTCCCCCTGCCAAACATTTTAAGTTGAAATATAACATTTTTTCAACATTTTAATCATTCCAAAAGATGCGGTTTCTAGCACATTAGAGATACTTTAAAATAAAAATGTTACATGAAGTGTAGTATAAATACCCACAGTGATTTCATAGCCACTATTATTCATTTTCAGAAAAACGTGAATAAATACATCTTTATTCTAAGGAATAAAGAATTCTTGTTCTTTAATAAAAATTTATTAGCATTTAAATTTTTCCATATTTGCTTATTCTCCTTGAACTCTAATTTCCATTCTACTTGTCCTGTAGAATTTTGTTGTAATCCAATACATTTTATATTTGAAAGTACTTTAGGGCCAGGTGTGGTGGCTCATACCTATAATCCCAGCACTTTGGGAGGCCAAGATGGGCAGATCACCTGAGGTCAGGAGTTTGAGACTAGCCTAGCCAACATGATGAAACCCCGTCTCTACTAAAAATACAAAAATTAGCCGGGCGTGGTGGCGCGTGTCTGTAATCCCAGCTACTCGGGAGGCTGAGGCAAGAAAATCACTTGAACCTGGGGGGCAGAGGTTGCAGAGAGCCAAGATCACGCCATTGCACTCCAGCCTGGGTGACAGAGCAAAAGTCTGTGTCAAAAAAAAAAGAAAGTACTTTATTGAACCCATCATACTTCTCTATAACAGTAATATGTATATAAATTGAAATTATCAAGTGCACTTTTTTCTTGTGATTATAAGACATAGATTTTTTCCTCAGATTGTTTTTCATTAAAATTAGTCATATATAGTTGACCAAATCAACATATATTACACATTTTAATACATTATTCATTATGAAAATTATATTGGAAATGTTTCTCTTAAGCAGATGAGTCATGATCAAATTTTTTCTAAGTATAATATTTAATGAAAGTGAAAGGCATAGATAGTAAATACTACTCAGTCTGGCAGTTGCTAGATATTTTAATTTTTTCTTACTAGGAGGTAAAATTTTTTAACATTTTTTTTTTTTTAGAGATAAGGTCTTGTTATGTTTCCCAGGCTGGATTCAAACTCCTGGGCTGAAATTATCCTCTCGTGTCAGCCAGGATTACAGGCACGCACCACTGCCTAGCTTAAACATTTTATAAGATAAAGAAAACTAGAAAAAAAATTACGTGATGATAGGTTCTTGAAATACAGTTGGCTCTCTATCAGCAGTTTCTACATTCGTGGATTCGACCAATCCCAACCCTGATGGAGAAAACAGTACCTGCATTCTGCATTGGTAGAATCCGCGGATGCAGAATCTGGCACCTCCTCACCGCACCCCCTCCATCCCACCTCCCCCTGTGAGTGCTAACTAAGGAACTTGAGTATCCATGGATTATGGTATCCACGGGGGTTCTGGAACAATCCCCCACAGATAAGGAGGGCCAACTGTGTGTTATTGAATAACACGTTCAATTTAAGAGAATCACTTAAATTTTTACCCTGGATTTTAATCAGTGTATCTGGAAATATTTAGTATTCATGGGAAACTTTACAGTTACATTTTAAGAATCAAGTTTAACCAGTTTATACCACTTCATCTGTGCAAAGATGATTTATTTACCAGCTCTAATGACAAATCTTAGAGATGAGTAGTGAGAATATCTAAAAAGAATTGGCAGGGCACGGTGGCACGTGCGGTAGTCTCAGCAACTCAGGAGCCTGAAGTGGGAAAATCACTTGAGCCCACCATCACTTGAATTCGAGGTTACAGTGAGCTATGATCACCACTGTACCGCAGCCTGGGTGACTGAGCAAGACCCTGTTTCAAAACAAACAAAATTGTTTGTTTGAAGGGAGACTGAGAAACACTTTAATGTTCTATATTTCTTATCAATGCTACGTTTGTTTTGCTCCTGTGGGAGTCTTTCTCGCTCTTTTTATACAATTCAAAAGATAGAAGAGGCAGAACTGGGCCATTTCTGCTTTCTCTTTCCTAGGCCACAAGTGTTGCTAAAGAATGCAGCAAAATCATGTAGGTCCCTTAAGTTAAAATTCATATTAATGTGGCAAGTTTGAATCATATTTCACAAAAGCAGCTATATAAGAAACATTTTATCTATTATGACAAATAACTCTGACTTTAACACTATTGACTAGCAGGAAATTCAGTCTCACTATAGGGTTTCCTTCCTCCTCCTAGAAGTTCACAAGAAGTAGGCTGATGTGCTGCGCTGGGTACATATGAAAGCTTCCTCATCTTCAGACCATCCTGATTGGATGATCCCTTGCATGTCTTGGTAGCCCTACAGATAGCAAAAAAAAATGTAGAGAATCAGAAAGATTAATATGGCTCAATAAAGTATCTTACCACTTTTCCACTGAACTCGTAAGATCACTCAACTGGTCCTTCATTAAATTTTGTTTCCTCTCCATTGTATAACCCATTATGACTCTTTCAAGTCATGTCAATACTACTCAAGTTCACACTTAACCTTGAATCATCCTCAGTCTTAGCAGATAACCTTTTCCCCACAGAGAAGATCTGCCATCAAGCTCTTCTCAAAGTAGTACCTGTCTTTCTTTGTCCCTGCTACCTTGACGGAAAAGTAAAGAATTTCCCTCATACCATCCAAAGTTAATTCTTTCTATTTTGGGGAGTGGGGGAAAGGCAATGCCCTGTATTGCGGAGGATCGTGTATTTACTATACCTTCGTTTTCACAATACAAACTCAAGGAAATAGAATTCTGAAAAAAAACTTCACTGTGGGTGTATGAAGAGAAGAAAATGAAGCGTTGTAGGGGCCATGTGTTAGAAAAAAGGCCGAGTAAACACTGCAAATATTGTATTTCTCTCACTGCTGGTCCTTTTCTCGATACCTTCATAATATCTATAAACAAAGCAGATTTTCCTTGCCTTAAACAAAAACTTTCTCTTGAACGTACGGTGAATAGATCTGTGTTTTTTCACTTTTTATTTTGAAATAATTATAGATTCACAGAAAGATGCAAAAATAATCAGAAAGGTCCTTTGAACCCTTCACTCATATCCTCCAATGGTTATATCTGAATTATAGTATAATGACAAAATCAGGAAATTGATCTTGGACGATGTGTATGTATAATTATCTGTCACTTATGACACGTTGTAGATTCCTGCCACCACAATCAAGATACAGAACTATTCCACCACCATGAAGACCCCTAGTGCTATCACTTTAGAGTCATTTTCTCCTCCTCCCAATTCCTAACCCTTGGCAATCACTAATCATTTCTCCATCCCTATAATTTCATCATTTTGAGAATATTATATATATTAAATCATACAGTATGTGGCCTTTTGAGATTGGCTCTCATCACTCATCTTAAAGCTCTTAAAACCTATCCAAGTTTTTCTGTGTATCAATAGTTCATTGTTTTTTATTTCTGAGTAGGATTCCATGGCATGAATGTATACAATTTGTGGAACCATCCACCTATTGAAGGACATCGTGGTTGTTTCCAGATTTCCCCTATTACAAACAAAGCTTCGATGAACATTTATGTATAGTTTTTGTGTAGATGTAAGTTTTTATTTCTCTGGGTTAAATGGCCAGAAGTATCATTACTGGGGTGTATGGTAGTTGCACACTTAGTTTTTTAAACTGCCAAACTATTTTCTAGAGTGGCTAAGCCATTTTACATTCTCTCCAACGATGTATGAGAAATGTAGTTTTTCCTCATCTTCACCAGAATTCGGTATCGTCATTATTTTTTCTTTACACTATTCTAACAGCGTGGTCTTAATTTGCATTACCCAAATGGTTAGTGATATTAAATATCTTTTCATGTGCTTATTTGTGAACTGTACATCTTCTGATGAAATGTCTCTTCATGTCCTTTGTTAGTTTCCTAACTGGAGTGTTTTTTTACTGTTGAGTTTCAAGCATTCTTTTTTGTTTTTGCCACAAGTTGTGTTTTATTTTCATTATTCATACAAATAATTTTCATACATTTATTTATTTATTTATTTAGACAGAGTCTCCCTCTGTCACCCAGGCTAGAGTTCAGTGGCGCCATCTCGGCTCACTGCAACCTCTGCCTCCTGGGTTCAAGCCATTCTCCTGCCTCAGCCTCCTGAGTAGCTGGGATTACAGCTGGCTAATTTTGGTATTTTCAGTAGAGACGGGGTTTCACCATGATAGGTTGGTCTCAAACTCCTGATCTCAGGTGATTCACCTGCCTTAGCTTCCCAAAGTGCTGGGACTATAGGCGTGAGCCACAGCGCCCGGCCACAAATAATTTTCTATAATATCCTGGGGCAAGCCAGAGAATTTGGCAGTCCCATTGCGGGTCCCCTCGGAGACTCACAGGTCGGTGGCATGGTTCGGAGAGCCCAGGTTCACAGCGCAGCTTGTGGGGCATGTCCACCTTGCAGGTGGCTGTTCCTCCACATCTCAAGTCGGGGCTCACAGATGACAGTCATAGAGAATCCTCGAGGCTCTCAGGAAATTTCACTCCACTTCTCCTGCTCTGTGGTCTCTTTGGTCATCAGAGTGTTCTTCTGCATCTCTGTGGCCTTCAGCTTGGCCTTATCCAAGCTGGCAATTTCTTCCAGGTCTAGTTTGTGTGCCATTTTCTTACCCACTTTCCCATTTGCCCTGAGAATACTCTCCAGCGGGGCTTGTGGCTGCAGCGTTTACCCACAACTTTGCCACAAAATATCTCACTTTTATTACTATTTTCACGTGGTTCTAGAATATTGACTTTGGAAACAAAAGACATCACTCTGTTCATAGCATTTTGTTTTTAGTAGTGCTATTTCCATTTGCAAAATATAGCGATTCTCAATCACTGAAAATGCCAGATCCTAGAAAACATAGCATTCCTACATGGGATGTGAACATCGTTCTCAAACAGTTGTTGCCCGAAGATTGATTTGACAAATCCGGTTTTTCCGAAATAGATGATTCTGATGATTCAGCCTATTTTTATGTTAGTTCTGTTTAGAAATAACTTCAGGAACGGTTTTTATATTTTATTTTCACATCAAAAGTCAGTCAGATTTGCTTCAGCCTCAAAGAGCCTGTTTCTGTAAAATTAAATGAGCACTGGCAGTGAGCTGCCCTTTTTTGTTCTAAACAGGAAAAGGGCTAAAGCAATCCATGGCATCCTGTTCCAACCCTGGGTTCCTGGTGCTCCCACTCATGTTGCTGTGGCAGGCGACCCAGTTTCAAGCATTCCTTATATATTCTAGATAAGAGTTCTTTGTCACACACGTGATTTGCAAGTATTTTCTCCATATGTGTAACTTGTCTTTTTGTCTTCCCTATAGGTCTTTCACAGACTAAAAGTTTTACATTTTGATGAAGTCCAACTTATCAGGTTTTTTTCTTTGATGGATTATCCTTTTGTTTTCATGTCTGAGAACTCTTCATTAAGCCCTAGATCCCAAAGATTTTTCTTCTGTTTTCTCTTTAAAACTTTAGCGTTCTATGTCTAATATTTAACCCTGTGATCTACTTTGAGTTAATTTTTGTAAGGTTTAAGTGGAGGTTCATTTTTTTGTCTATGGATATCTGAATGCTCTAGCACCTTTGTTGAAAAGACTACTCTTGTTTTCTTGAATTGCTTTTTCACCTTTGTCAAAAACTTTAGAATAAGCTTGTTTGTATCTGTAAAAGTTTTGCTGGGATTTTTTTCTTTTTTAAGAGAGGAGGTCTCACTATGTTGCCCAGGCTGGAGTGCTTTGGGTACTCACAAGCAAGGGCCCACTACTGATTAGCATGGGAGTTTTGACCTGCTCCATTTCCAACTTTGTTCAATTCACCACTCTTTTGGCAACCTGGTGGTCCCCCACTCCTGGGAAGTCACCATATTGACCTTGGACTCAATGTGGACACCTGATCACTCAGCATAGTGCACTATAGCCTGGAAGTCCTGGGCTCAAGCAGTCCTCTTGCCTCAGCCTCCTGAATAGCTGGAACTACAAGTATACACCGCACCTAGCCTGCTGGAATTTTGATAGGTATTTAATTTATAAATATATTATAAATTTAATTATATATACATTTCTATATTACATATTATATAGAATATATAAACATAGAAATATATTATATATTTAATTATATATAATTATATATGATATAGAAAAACATATCATATATTTATATATAAATTTGAGGAAAATTTAGGTCTTTACTCGGTTGAGTTTTCTAACCCTTGAACACAGTGTATCTGTTAATTTAGTTCTTTCATTTCTTTGATTGGCATTTTGTGGTGTTCAGCCTACAAGTCCCACACATGTTTTGTTAGATTTACAACTAAGTATTTTATTTTTTGGAGTGATTGTTTTAATTTCAGTGTTCATTGCTAGATATAGAAATACGGTTGATTTCTTACAGTTTAGCTTGTGTCTGAGACCTTGTTGAACTGACCAATTAAATTTAGAAGGCTTTTTTTCTTTTTCTTTTCCTTTCTCTATTTTTTGTAGATCTGTTGGGATCTTCTACATAAACAGTCATATTATCTGTAAATAGGGACAACAAATACACTCTGTGTGATTTCAATATTTTTCAGTTTTCTGAGGGCTTTTCTGGCCCAGGATATGGTCTATCTTGTAGATGTTACTTGGGTGCTTTAAAAGATTGTATGTTCTGCTTTTTGTTGGATGGAATATTTGATAAATGTCAATTAGATCCTTCTAGGTGATGGTGTTGTTGAGTTCTTTTTTTTTCTTTTTGTATAAAGATAGGGTCTCACTATATTGACCAGGCTGGTCTCAAACTCCTGAGCTCAAGTGATCCTCCCACCTCGGCCTCCCAAAGTGCTGGGATTACAAGCACGAGCCACTGCACCTGGCCAGAATTCTTTTTTTTGGGCGGGGGGGGGGGGGGGGGGTACCAAATTTCTTTATTTGAAGGAATGGTACAAATCAAAGAACTTAAGTGGATGTTTTGATACAACTTATAGAAAAGGTAAAGGAAAACCCAACATGCATGCACTGCCTTGGTGACCAGGGAAGTCACCCCACGGCTATGGGGAAATTAGCCTGAGGCTTAGCTTTCATTATCACTGTCTCCCAGGGAGTGCTTGTCAAAGAGATATTCTGCCAAGCCAGATTCGGGTGCTCCCATCTTGCACAAGTTGGTCACGTGGTCACCCCATTCTTTGATGGCTTCACCTGCTCATTCAGGCAATGTGTCTCAATGAAGTCACACCAATGGGGGTCATTTTTGTCAGTGGCCGGTTTGTGCAGTTCCAGTGGTGACTGATACACATTTTTTTCCAAATGTAGTGCACACTCCATCGCATTCAGCCCACTCTCCCAGTCATCACAGTCTGGTTTCTTGATATCCTGAAGAAGGATTCGGCCACCTCGTTGGTTCTGCAGCTTCAACAGTTTCTCAGCATGTTCCCTCTCCTCATGAGATTGGTGAAGAAAGTATTTGGCAAAGTTCTTCAAAGCCACATCATCGAGGTCAAAGTAGTAAGACGTGGACAGGTAAAGGTAGGAGGTGTAGAGCTCCAGGTTGATCTGGCGGTTGATGGCGGCCTCTGAGTCCTGGTGGTAGTTCTGGCGCACCTGCGAGGTGGACGCGGTCGTCATGGCAGTGACTAAGGAGAGGCGGCGGCGGCGGCTGCTGCGCGGCGCTGGAGCTGCGGCGGGGGCCTTGGGGCAGTCCCAGGGCGCGGTGAAGAGGTGACGGAGGGCTGGCTATGGGCGGCTGGCCGGGGTAGGGGACGAGGGCTGGGTTCCATCCAAGCACTGTTGAAGCAGGAAACCCCAACGACTCTCGGCGAAGAACGTCTCTTTTTTTTTGAGATGGAGTCTCACTCTGTCACCCAGGCTGGAGGGCAGTCGGCACAGATCTTGGCTTACTGCAACCTCTGCCTCCCAGGTTCAAGCGATTCTCCTGCCTCAGCCTCCTAAGTAGTTGGGACTACAAGTGTGTGCCACCACGCCTGGCTAATTTTTTGTATTAATCCCAGCTACTCAGGAGGCTGAGGCAGGAGAATCGCTTGAACCCAGGAGGTGGAGGTTGCAGTGAGCCGAGAAAGTGCCATTGCACTCCAGCCTGGGCGACAGAGCAAGACTCTGTCTCAAAAAAAAAAAAAAAAAAAATCCCTGTAGCCCCAAACCTACACTACAAATAGGCTATGCTTGGTCATTCCTAAGGGCAATAAAAGCTTTCCTCTAGCGTTGAGAAGAGGGTCGGAAAGGTAAAACCAAAAAAAAAGTGAAAAGAAAAAGGAAGCATTTTTGTTGAAGGCATAGAGCAACTTGTCTGAGATCTATATACTCTGTCTTCTTGAACTCCACTCTGAAATCTTCTTGGTCTTTGGGACAGGGCAGCACATGTTCTCCTTTAAGAAACCCATATTATGTCTAATTCCTGTCTATTTGGAAACATTGTCTGTCCCATTTTATAAAATTCCTAGGTAAGGCCCTGGCCTTAGACAGGGAACTCCTTTACTATCTTCTGAACCATAGGATGTAGGATTAGTCTTAACTTTTCAGGCCTCTTAGAAAGCATAACATGAAGAGCCTTTGTGTAGAAGAAAGCAGTCAAAAATTCCCCTTCAGTTTTTAGGTTTTGAACTCAAATCAAGGCCCAGATTTCCTCCTTATTGAATTAAATTATTTAAAGATGTTTAGGGGCTGGGGAATGGAAATTTGTTGATGAAAATGAACCTTAGGTGATATCAGGGCCTATCCTGAGAGCAGGCATCAGTTGGTCAAGATAACATATCTGTGTCCAATATGCTAGTAGCAGTTAGTTTTTGCCCCATCAATTTAACACTAGGTACAAGGGAGCAACCTTGTTTTTGGTGATAATACCCCTATGGAGTTACCCCTATGTTGTCAGATGGTGAGGTAATATTTTGCAATGTTTCATAAGTGTCGTTTGGTGTCAAGAAATGATATTTGTGATAAAGAAATCACCAGGTAGGTCTAAAGCAAAAAACGGCTGGGTGCAGTGGCTCGTGCCTGTAATCCCAGCACTTTGGGAGGCCAAGGCAGGAGGACTTGCATGCCACTGCACTCCAGCCTGGGTGACAAAGTGAGACCTTGTCTCAAAAACAAAAACAAAAACAAAAAAAAAGCAAACACAAAAAGGCTAGGGGAGGCCGGGTGCAGTGGCTCATGCCTGTAATCCCAGCACTTCGGGAGGCCGAGGCGGGCAGATCACGAGGTCAGGAGATCAAGACCATCCTGGCTAATAGGGTGAAACCCCGACTCTACTAAAAAAAATACAAAAAATTAGCAGGGCGTGGTGGTGGGTGCCTGTAGTCCCAGTTACTCGGAAGGCTGAGGCAGGAGTATGGCATGAACCCAGGAGGCAGAGCTTTCAGTGAGCTGAGATCGTGCCACTGCACTCCAGCCTGGGCGACAGAGTGAGACTCTGTCTCAAAAATAAATAAATAAATAAATAAAAATAAGGCTTGTGCTTAAGCCCACTAATGTGCTTTTCTTGTAAGATCAGTAAAAGTGAAATTATCTTTGAATACACCTCATCTGTTTAAAAATCCTTTCCAGGACTGATTTCTTTTGGTTGCAAAAGCTGGCTCCTGCAAGAGTTTTCTACAATGAGTTTGTCAAACTGCAAAGTCTGTAGGCACAATTCTCCACAAGACTGCCTTTACTTCAGTTAACAGCCACAAGTTTGGGGGTTCCCAGGGCAACTCTCACTTCTGACCAGCTGGCTATAAATTCATGGGTTCCCACAACCACTCTCAGGTTTGATAATTCACTAAAAAGGTTCACTGAACTCACTGAAGTTGTGTGTGTATTATAATTTTATTACAGCAAAAAGATACAAATTAGAATCATCCAAAAGAAGAGATGTATCAGGTGACATCTGGGAGGGATCCAAATGCAGAGCTTCCATCGTCCTCAAGGATGTGTTATCTGCCCAGCATCAAAGTGTGAAAATAAGGCATGCTGCCAGCCGGGGAAACTCACCCAAGTTTCAGTTCCCAGAGTTTTTATTGAGGTTTCATTACGCAGGCATGATCGATTGAATCATTGTGTATGTGGTTGAACTGAATCTCCAGCCCCTCTTTCTCAAAGGTCAAGCTGATACCACATGGCTCAAAGCTCCAACCCTCTAATCACATGGTTGGTCTTTCTGGCAGGGCTAGCCCACATCTGAAGCACTTCACTAACAGAAATTATCAGGTGTGATTTGAGGGGCCCACAATGAATGACAAAGATACTCAGATCACTTGGACAACTCTAAGGTTTTAGCAATTAATCTCCCAGGGCCAGGAACAGTGGCTCACGTCCATAATCCCATCACTGTGGGAGGCTGAGGTGGGCGGATTGCTTGAGTCCAGGTGTTTGAGACCAGCTCAAGCAACATGGCAAAACCTCATCTCTACAAAAAATACAAAAATTAGCTGGGTGTGGTGGTGTGTGCCAGTAGTCCCAGCTACTTGGGAGGCTGAGGTAGGAGGATCACTTGAGCCCAGGAGGCAAAGGTTGTAGTGAGCTGAGATAGCACCATTGCACTCTAGCCTGGGCCCTGCCTCAAAAAAGTGAGACCCTGTCTCAAAAACAAAACAAAACAAAACAACAACAACAACAACAACAAAAAACAAGGAGGGCCAGGTGCAGTAGCTCATGCCTGTAATCCCAGCCCCAGCACTTTGGGAGGCCAAGGCAGGCAGATCACTTGAGGTCAGGAGTTCGAGACCAGCCTGGCCAATATGGTGAAACCCCATCTCTACTAAAAATACAAAAATTAGCCGGGCGTGGTGATGTGCGCCTGTAATCCCAGCTACTCAGGAGGCTGAGGCAGGAGAATCACTTGAACCCAGGAGGTGAAGGCTGCCATGAGCCGAGATCATGCCACTGCACTCCAGCCTGGGCGACAGAGTGAGACTCTGTCTCAAAAAAAAAAAAAAAAAAAGGAAATTATTTCCCAGGAGCTGGGGACAAAGACCTGCCAAATTGCCAAATTTTTTATTACATAGTCCCTGAATATTGTTTCCATAGAGGGGAACATGATGGGGGATTTTGTATTTCTGGATGTCTGACCTGTTGTGTTACTCTAAAAAAAAGTCACTTCGTGGTTGACTCCAATTACCAGGAAAGTATTTATTTATTTTTCTTTCTTTCCTTTTTTTTTTTTGTCAGAGCGGAAGAACTTGACTACTGATTTATTACACAGAACTAACATAAAAGGAAAATGAAGGCACCTACCTGTAAAGAGAATATAAACCCAATAGTTAGTTTGATTTTGTGTTTTAGCCAAATTATGAAAAATTATAGCCAAGCATTAGACTTTTACCAAGGAGTGATTAAGGAGACAAAACACATTATTAAGGATAAGGACCTTATAGGTATCAAAGTTAATAATCCAAAACTTCAAGGAAACTAGAAAGAAAGAAAATAGCTTGAACAATAACAAACAAAAGCCTGCTGATGCAAGCCTGACGATCTGACTCCAGTCATCTAGGTCTTATTTCATGAGTCTCTGATGGAAGCTGTCTACTTCATGCAGTCATCTTGATCTGAAAGTCTTGGGTGGAAACTGTCTCCTCATGATCTTGTGGTTTCTGGCCCATTGGGCTTTCTTGTAACTTAAGGATGAGTAAATTTCTTTACTTGAGAGAAATGGTTGTAAGCATCAACACCCTAGAGTTTTGTTGTAGTGTTAGATGTTTATAGCAACTTATATAGGTTCTTTTCATCAAGGCTCAAGGGCTATTTTTCTCTGAGGTCTCTTCCACAAGATGAAAAATATCAGAACATCATCAAAATAGAAGACAGTTGAATGATTTCTTGAGGGGTAACAGAAAATTAATATATAAGCATATAGTCAATGATGATCCTGGGAATAGGAGCATAAAGAAATTACATTACCATTTCCTGTTATAACCAAGATGAATGGAGGACACATTATAAATATGAAAGGCCATATTTCTTATCATGACCACAGCCATCATTCTTTTAAAATCATATTTATTTGAAAATACACCTGTACAGCTGAATAAGTAAATAATTTAGTTTATTGATTGATATTAGTTCCATAGAGCCAAATGGATTCCCAAACTCCAATGAGGGCTGCTAGGAAGAAAATAACAGAAGCTACAGCATCAACCAACAAATGTCTATTACACATTGTTTGGCTAAATCTCCTTCTCTTTTTTCCATAGCAAGTTTATGACTTTTATTTTTATTATTATTTTTTTTTGAGAGCAACCATAAAAAAAACACATAAAATAAAAAATTCAACAAGCAATTACAAATTCTCTTGAAACAAATAAAAATATAGAAATTCTCAGCAAAGAAATAGTGGGTATTTAGAAAGAACCAAATGGAAATGACAGAAGGAGACTCCAGGGCTTTTTAATTTGTGCCACAAGGTATATTACAGTGGTCCCTGATCGACAAAGACATTGGAACTTAATAACCTGATACAAAATCTTTTTGGAGACAATTATTGTACCAATCTTTGTACATGAAAAAACTATATTTCTAAGATATGTCAATCAGGGACCAGACAGGAAACAGAAACCACATCAGTTTTTTGAACAGGGAAAGTTTAATATAAAGAATTATTAACTAGCAGGAGGTGAGTGAATTCAAAAAGGAGTAAACAAGGACTCTAAAGAATCCAGAAGCAGCAAGTGCGGAAAAACAGCGCATCCCTCTAGGCTGAGGAAGAATGAACGATAAAGAGGAGAAAGGGCTCCTCTCAGCAACCACCACCCCAGGGCTGAGATTCAGACCTCTTCAAAGAAGACATGTTTATTTATTTATTTATTTTTTCAGACTGAGTCTCGCTCTTGTTGCCCAGGCTGGAGGGCGGTGGCGCGATCTCGGCTCACTACCGCCTCCGCCTCCCAGATTCAAGCGATTCTCCTGCCCCAGCCTCCTGAGTAGCTGGGATTGCGCCACCACGCCCGGCTCATTTTTGTATTTTTAGTAGAGACGGGGTTTCACAATGTTGGCTAGGCTTGTCTCGAACTCGTGACCTCAGATGATCCGCCCGCTTCGGCCTCCCAGAGTGCTGGGATTACAGGCGTGAGCCACCGCGCCCCGGCCAGAAAGACGTGTTTACTACAAACACAGCCACACAGCCTGGCAATGGTGAAGATACTTGCTAGAGGGGCCTATAAAAGTGATTCACCACTGCTGGTGGGGATAGGCAGGCTGGGCCAGTCTGCAGGAAGGGTCAGCTGTTGCCAGAGGATATAGGTAGCTGGACCTGGTCTAAGGTCGCCTTAAGAAGAGGGACTATACAGACTGAGGGCACAGCTAGAGCTACTTTGTTAGGCTCGTGTATTGAAGATTATAAGAGGGCTGGAGTCCAACCGAAAAGTGTCTTTCCGTAGCTGTGGCCATGCAGTGTCACTCTAGCGCCCTCTGTCGATGAACCATAACATTTTATCTGTTGGCAAAAAAACGATTGTAGGGTTCAGGACTGATCATGAATCAGGGCAAAATAGTGTAGATTTGCAATGGAGCGATGATATTAAATTGGTAACTAGCACATAAGCATTCACAATCATGAAACAATATTAATAATTTTTTTATTCCAAATTTTATTTTATTCCAAATTTTGTTTCCAAATTGATTCCAATTTTTTTTTTTTTTTTAGACGGACTCTTGCTCTGTCACCCAGGCTGGAGTGCAATGGCGTGATCTCGGCTCACTGCAACCTCCGCCTCCCGAGTTCACGCGATTCTCCTCTGCCTCAGCCTCCTGAGTAGCTGGGACTACAGGCTCGCCCCACCATGCCCAACTAATTTTTGTATTTTTAGTAGAGACAGGGTTTCACCATGTTGGCCAGGTTGGTGTCAAACTCCTGACCATAGGTGATCCTCTCGCCTCAACCTCCCAAAATGTTGGGATTTCAGGCGTGAGCCACCGGGCCTGGCCACACATAATTAAAATTTAGAGAATGTCACACATGCCTAATTATTTCTACTATTTTTCTTTTATAAATTGAGAAACTGACTTTTTGGCCGAACTGGTGGCTATTCCAGTAAATTCAAAGAAAGTTTTGATTTATAAGAGAACTTTACAGGCCAGGCATGGTGGCTAACTACATCTGTAGTCCCAGCACTTTGGGAGGCCGAGGAGGGTGGATCGCTTGAGCTCAGGAGTTCGAAACCAGCCTTGGCAACATAGTGAAACCCCATGTCTCCTAAAAAATACAAAAATTAGCAGACATGGTGGTGCACGCCTGTGGTCCCAGCTACTCGGGAGGCTGAGGCAGGATGATTGCTTGAGCCCAGGAGGCAGAGGTTGCAGTGAGCTGAGATCACACCACTGCACTCCAGCCTGGGTGACAGAGCAAGACCCTGTTTCAAAAGAAAAGAAAACAATAAAATCTTAAATAAAAAAAAAAGAAAAGAAAATTTTACAGTCTGATTATTCTGAATTAGAGAACTGAATTTGGAACACACATAATCAAGAAGAGTTGTCAGGGGACATAAGACATACGCATAAGCCATTTTATTCAAAGGCTATACATGGTTGTAACAAATAGGAAACACAACGATAAATAATAGCTATTACTAGTAATTTTTATTTTTATTTTATTTTATTTTTTTTTTTTTTGAGACAGAGTCTCACTCTGTCACCCAGGCTGGAGTGCAGTGGCATGATCTCGGCTCACTGAAACCTCCACCAACTGGGTTCAAGTGATTCTCCTGCCTCAGCCTCCTGAATAGCTGGGATTACAGGCGCATGGCACCATGCCCAGCTAATTTTTGTATTTTTTTAGTAGAGACGGGGTTTCACCACGTTGGTCAGGCTAGTCTCGAACCCCTGACTTCGTGATCTGCCCACCTCGGCCTCCCAAAGTGCTGGGGTTACAGGCATAAGCCACCGCTCCCGGCCCTTGATTACTAGTAATTTAACTTTAAAAAATTTCTTGCCAAAATGATTCCATCATATGTAAGAAGTCTAGAGAGTTAACAGAATATTTTGGGAATAAAAAAGAATTTCTGTTTATCTGAGCATGAATAACTAGGATGTTACGGGAAGAAAATGCAGATCTTAATTTTACTTTTTGTTTTCAATCCATATTAAAATTTACAGTAAAAGATATGTAAGCCTTCAAATTTGTCTTTTGTCTTTTAAATTTTTATTTATTTTATTTATTTATTTATTTATTTATTATGTTTTTATTTTTTTGAGACGGAGTCTCGCTCTGTCGCCCAGGCTGGAGTGCAGTGATGCAATCTCGGCTCACTGCAAGCTCCGCCTCCCAGGTTCACACCATTCTCCTGCCTCAGCCTCCCGAGTAGCTGGGACTACAGGCGCCTGCCACCATGCCTGGCTAATTTTTTGTATTTTTAGTAGAGACGGGGTTTCACCGTGTTAGCCAGGATGGTCTCGATCTCCTGACCTGGTGATCCGCCTGCTTTGGCCTCCCAAAGTGCTGGGATTACAGGCGTGAGCCACCGTGCCCAGCTAAAATTTTAAATAATTCTTTTGAATTTATTTTTATATAACTCTATAGATATGCATTGAGACGTACACAAATATGTAAATATGCCAGCAAGTGATTAAACTAAGGCTTTAAATTGTAGCTTTAAAACATATTTAACTTACAAAAAAATTTAACTTAAAAAAATTTAACTTTATCAGCATATTAAATAAAACAAAGTATATATTATGTTATTAAATAAACATCTTTATACACTGCAAAGATACCCTTAAAAAACAGTTAGGCATACCTTATTTATTGTTTTGAATGCATACTCCTATTTCTGTTTAACGGTTCTCATTATTACAAACTGCAACCAAAGTAATCTATTTTGGATTTTTCAGACACAAGATAAATTAAAAGGTAGAATACCCAGAACTATATTGGTAATGTTTTTTCCTTTGAACAAATATATATTACTTTAATACATTTTAAGGTGGCTGAATAATATATATGCATAAATAAAGACACATATATATATACATATATGTAATCGTTAAAAAAGATTTGCACATCTTGCTAATCTATAGCCAGTCCATACATTAAAATAAGGTGTAAGATTATTTATTTATTTAATTTTTTGAGAGGGGTCTCCCTCTGTCACCCAGGCTGGAGCGCAGTGGCGCAGTGGCGCAGTCTCGGCTCACTGCAACCTCCGCCTCCCCTACTCAAGTGATCCTCCCACATCAGCTTCTGGAGTAGCTGGGACCACAGGCGCACGCCACCACACCAGGTTAATTTGTTTTGAATTTTGGTAGAGACGAGGCTTTGCCACATTGCCCAGGCTGGTCTCGAAGCCCCGAGCTCAAGCAATCCACCTGCCTTGGCCTCCCAAAGAGCTGGGACTACAGGCTGAGTCACCGTGCCCGGCCTAGAAATAATTTAAAGTTATGCTTAGTGTTCAGTGTTTTGTTTTCTTTTTTATATAAAATGATTTGGCGCTTGAACTCATGAGACAGAAGTTGCAGTGAGCCAAGATCACGCCACTGCATTCCGGAGCGCCAGGGCAACAGAGTGAGACTTAGTCTCCAAAAAAATAAATAAATAAATAAAATAAAATAATTTGGGTAATTACAGTATATTTGTTAATTTATTTTAATATTAGTTTAATGTCTTAAAGTTGATTAAAAATCTGGAAATTAGAATTTAGGTCAGGCCATTGAGTCCTTATCATTTGTATTATCAGAATCCATGAGCTGGCTGGGTGCGGTGGCTCACGCCTGTAATCTCAGCCCTCTGGGAGGCCGAGATGGGCGGATCACGAAGTCAGAAGATCGAGACCATCCTGGCTAACACGGAGAAACCCCATCTCTACTAAAAATACAAAAAAATAGCCGGGCGTGGTGGCGGGCACCTGTAGTCCCAGCTACTCGGGAGGCTGAGGCAGGAGAATGGCGTGAACCCGGGAGGCAGAGCTTGCAGTGAGCCGAGATCGCGCCACTGCACTCCAGCCTGGGCGACAGAGCCAGACTCCGTCTCAAAAAAAAAAAAAAGCATCCAAGAGCCTGTGCTCAGTGACTCATGCCTGCAATTCGAGCACTTTGGGAAGCTGAGAATGGCTTGAGCTCAGGAGTTTGAGACCAGCCTGGGCAACAAATTGAGAACCCCCATCTCTACAAAAATAAAAACTAAAATTAATAGAAAATTAAAATATTTTAAAAATTCATTTAATTTTTCTTAATTCAAGAATTTTAATTCTTGATAAATCTATTATTTCATTCAGCTAAATACAATTTCATGTTTGTAATCTTAAACCATCTGTAAAAATGATAACTTACTGGGCTGATAGGATATTAATCCTACATTAGTAGAAATTTTAGAAGTTTAAATGAGAAACGAAACCCAAGTCTTGCATTAAACAAAATATTGGGTCAACTTTTTATTTTCTGAAAAAGTCAGGGAGAAGGCATAAAGTTGGTTTTAAGCTAAAATTTTATCACTATAAAATGTTCAAAGAATCATCTATCAGTAATATTACATAGACTTCTAAAATTATAAAAAAAAACCCTCAGTATTTACATATAAAACATTTTCAAAAAAGACTTTTGAACTCATCATGCCAGGAGCTCTAAGTATCTAGCTTTTTTTCTTGTCTAGGTATCAAGGCCATTACCTAAACCTACCTCAGTAGTTCTTTGCAGTGAGGAAATTAGGAAAAGGCCTTTAATAGGGTGATTTTTCAGGTGAATTTTGCTTGTAAGAAACTTGTTGGGATAGTTGGATTGTTGGGAAGAGGAAGATATCAAGGCAAGTTTTAAAGAGAAAGCTGTTAGTCTTGATAAATAAGTTGTTTAGCTGGTTCACAATCTTATCTTCAAGAAATATTTTCCAGAGCAAATAAGCTAGTTATTTTTGCTTGGTGTCAATATTATTTAACATAGGGAATGAAAGCATGTTTGTCCCCATGGATGTAGGATTATGTTGGTTTCAGTTATCACTTGTGTCCCCTCACTAAAATGCAAGCAATGTGAGAGCAGATATTTTTGGGTGTATTTTTCACTTTTCTATGCCTAGCACCTAAAACATCTAGGAAATAGTAGGTGTTGGGTAAATATTTGCTGAATGAATCTGAATTAATGGATGCATTAGAATAGCCAAGAACATTTTTAAAAAGTAAGGACAGACAATTTAGCAGTTAAAAGAGGTACTACAGTCAGGTGCAGTGGCTCATGCTTGAAATGTCAGCACTTTGGGAAGCCGAGGCAGGCAGACTGCTTGAGCTCAGAAGTTTGAGACCAGCCTTGGCAATATGGTGAAACCCTGTCTCTACTTGAAAAATGCAAAAATTAGCCGGGCTTGGGGGCCTGTGCCTGGAGTCCCAGATACTCAGGAGGCTGAGGTGGGAGGATAGCTTAGGCCAGGGAGGTCGAGGCTGTGGTAAGCTGAGATTGTGTTGCTGCACTACAGCCTGAATGACAGAGCAAGACCTTGTCTCAAAAAAAAAAAAAAGAAAAAAAAAGTACTACAAAGGTACAGTAGTTAAAACAGTGCGGTATTGGAACATAGATAGATCCATTGAACAGAATAAAAAATCCAGAAACACGTACACACACGTCTATTAAACTTTCATTCCACTTTAAAGGAAATGTCAACCTTCTCAAGTATATGTGTTTTTTGGGTTGGGGGTCTTTGTTTTGAGAGAGGGTCTGGCTTCATCACCCAGGCTGGAACGCAGTGGCATGATCATTGCTCACCACAACCTCCGGCTCCAGGGCTAAAGCTATCCTCCTGCCTCAGCCTCCCAAGTAGCTGGGACTACAGGCATACACCACCACACCCAGCTAACATTTGTATTTTTAGTAGAGATGGGGTTTTGCCATGTCAGTCATTCTGGTCTTGAACTCTTGGACTCAAGGTATCTGCCCCCCTTGGCCTCTCGGAGTGCTAGGATTTCATGGGTGAGCCACCGTGCCCAAACCAAGTATATGTTTTAAAAGGAGAGGAATTTTTCTCATAGTTGCTTCCAAGTTGACCACTGCTTCTCTGTCAGTGATCCCTCAATCCCTCTTTGGTTGCACTGGTTACAATCTAGAACTCATTAACTGTGATTTCGTCTTACATCAATGCTGACAACTCCACAAAAGCTTCTATAGACTAAAAGAAGGTAACATGAGGCCGGCTTAGCTTGCTTCATAGATTGGTCCTCACTTCCATCTACAGCTCCAATTATAAAGCTGTTAGTTGCTCTAAGAGGAGTTAACATGTGAAACTATAGACCAGATGTGACTTTTCGCAAAGTTGGAAGCAAAGGTTCCCAAGAAGTTATACACTGCCCAGGGCTCCATTATAGACTCACTTGGCTCTTAACTTTTCTCTTCATTCCTTAGGTCTACCCTCCTTTCTGTAATAGTGCTTCCTTTTTTGGAGAGGAAATCCCACCTTCTAACCACTGTTAGATGGTCTCACTGTAGGAGACATTCTCCTCTCCAGGAGTATGGTTCTTTAAATTTGAGTCATTTCTTCAAGAGCAATGGCTCAGAGCAGCAACAAGGAAGTCTAAGGTAAGCTTTAGGAGATGAAGTCCTGTCTTGCAGTCCCATGCGGGCCAATAGCAAATTTGGACCTCTTTCAGATCTTCTCACGAGAGATAACTGCACATATCTTTTTAATTTTGTTTGGAAGTCTATTGGGTAGGTAACTATTGGATTAGAAATATATACACTTAAATCACTTGAGGAGCCTGGCGCGATGGCTCACGCCTGTAATCCCAGCAGTTTGGGAGGCCGAGGCGGGCGGATCACAAGGTCAGGAGATCGAGACCATCCTGGCTAACACGGTGAAACCCCGTCTCTACTAAAAATACAAAAAAATTAGCCAAGCGTGGTGGCGGGCTCCTGTAGTCCCAGCTACTCGGGAGGCTGAGGCAGGTGAATGGCGTGAACCCGGGAGGTGGAGTTAGCAGTGAGCCGAGATTGCGCCGCTGCACTCCAGCCTGGATGATAGAGCGAGACTCTGTCTCAAAAAATAAAATTAAATAAATAAATAAATAAATAAATAAATAAATAACTTGAGGATAAATACTGGAGAATGCTAGTCTAAACTTGAAAGAGTAACACTTTCCTATTGCCCGTAATTTGCAAGAACACCACTACTTATATTGGAGTCATTACATTGCTATACATACTGATTTTAGTGTCTTTCTTCCACCATTGCCCTCACTCCTACTCCTTAATTTTTGCTTTTCAATTATACTCTGTTTAGACCCGCGAGGAGTAATAATAAATAGGCTCAATTCTTAACAATAGGCTTATGTAGGGGATGTTACCTTGCCTAGTGAATCTTGGCCAGAGCATTTCAATTATTCATTGTAAGGTTATAAGCTAACATCTTAGACTTGGTACAATTCTCCTCTCTAATTTGTGATGGCAGTGGTGGTGTAGTAGTGATTTCGTGCTTCCAGTTACATAAAAGTGTCATTTCTAGATATTACTAAACTTCATTAATAATCAGATAAATGTAAATTAAAAGGACAATAGAATAACGATATATCACTTTTTGCTTATCAGATCGGAAAGGTTTCGATACTGAGAAAATATCTAGTGGAGAAGGAAGTGGATACTTTCACCCAATGTTATTATTTGTTTAAGTTGATACAATCTTCCTGGAAGGTAACCTGGTAGTATGTTTAAATAATTAAAATATGTTGTCAAATAGTGACTCCTCAAAAGCTCATTATAAAAACTGTTGATTAAGCAAAGTTAAGTGTATTAGATTTATTTCATTAAGAAAGTATACCACCTTGACTGAGCCTTAGCAGTGTCTCAAAACAGAAAATTAGAGTCAATTATTTGTAGAGTTTTAGAGCTTGGGCTGAATACTTTCAGGGAATGTCAGAAATACGATGAGGATTGGGCACAGTTTATGATACAGTAGCTTGATATTGGTGGGCACAGTAAGGGAATTGTTGTAAAGCATTTCTTTTCTTCTTCTCTTTTTTTTTTTGGTACAGTATGTCACTCTGTCACCCACACTGTAGTTCAGTGGCTCTATCACGGTTCACTGCAGCCTCAACCTGGTTCAAGCCATCCTCCCAACTCACCCTCCTAAATAGCTGGGACTACAGGCATGTGCTAGCATGCGGGTTAATTTTTGTATTTTTTGTAGAGATGAGATCTCATTATCTTGCCCAGGCTAGTCTTTAACTTCTAGGCTCAAGTGATTCCCCCCCTACTCAGCTTCCCAAAGTGTTAGAATTACAGGCATGAGCCACCATGCCCAGCTCTTTACTGTCATTTTTTTTTTACTATCATTTTAAAGAGACAAATATGGCCGAGCATGGTGGTTCACGCCTGTAATCCCAGCACTTTGGGAGACCAAGGCAGGCAGATCACAAGGTCAAGAGATCAAGACCATCCTGGCCAACATGGTGAAACCCCATCTCTACTAAAAATACAAAAAACAAAACAAAACAAAACAAAAAAACAAAATTAGCTGGGTGTGGTGGCGTGCACCTGTAGTCCCAGCTACTCGGGAGGCTGAGGCAGAAGAATCACTTGAACCTGGGAGGCAGAAGTTGCAGTGAGCTGAGATTGCCCCACTGCACTGCAGCCTGGTGACAGAGCGAGACCCCATCTCAAAAAGAAAAAAAAATAAAAATAAAAATAAAAAAAGACAAATATGTGAAATATACGTAGACAGACAGTGTTTAATTTTTTAAATAAAAGGAATAAGTTAATAAACATCTAAATGGATAAATTATGGGCATTTATAAAATAGGTCATTATGCAGTCATAAAAGGGTATTTTTTTTCATATCAACATAGAAATGTCTATGCTTATTAAGTAAAGAAAAAGTATAGAATTACAATGCATATGTTAGCATTTGTTTGGCTTTAAGCGGTGATGTGCCAGAGCTGGTTCATATTTGCTTGAGAGAGCACAGGGCTCTTGAGAGCCAAATGTGCACATTTCTTCACAAGTGCAGTCAAGCTTCATGTTGGTTGTTTAAAATTGGCCATAGTGAGAGCATTTAAAGTATTTACATCAAGGAAGTCAGCAAAGACTACAAATCAGGGGAACTTTTTCCCTCCCCCAGAGCTAGTTTACTAGCATGCCACTGGCTTCAAGTAACAGAAAACATGACTAGCACAGGCTTAAACTCTAAGGCCATTTATTGCTTACTACAAGGAGATCAGGGGAGATCAGCGGTAGTAGGCAGTTCAGGAAAGGGTCAGCAACTAATTATGTCATCGAGGATCAAGGCTCTTTTTATTCTTATCTCAGTAAATGTGCCCTTATATTTCATTGTTCAGAACTGTTCACATAGCCAACCCTAGCTACAAGGGAGCCTGGGAGCGCCAGGAGCTGGCAGCAGGAAACGGGATAGCCAAGAGTCGAACATGCATCTTCTGGAGTCGTACCTATAACTGCTACAAACAAATCAGGGTTTATCAGCAAGGGTGGGGTAGGGAATAGATAAGCAACTAACAGTGTCTGCTACTAATGTGTATGTGTGTACATGTGAATAAATATAGCAATAAATAAATAAATGCTTATTATTTTAAAAATATAGCTGGGTGTGGTGGTTCATGCCTGTAGTCCCAGCTACTTGGGAGACTGAGGTGGGAGAATCACTTGAGGCCAGGAGTTTGAGGCCTGCTTGGGTATCATAGTGAGACCCCCTATCTGTAAAAAACAGAAGTATTTTTTGTTTTTGTTTTTGTTTTGAGACAGAGTCTTGCTCTTGTGACCCAGGCTGGAGTGTAATGGTGTGATCTTGGCTCACTGCAAATTCCGCCTCCCAGGTTAAGCCATTCTTGTGCCTCAGCCTCCCAAGAAGCTGGGATTACATGCGTGTGCTACCACACCCAGCTAACTTTTGCATTTTCAGTAGAGACAGGGTTTCTGCATATTGGCCAGGCTTGTCTGGAACTCCTGGCCTCAAGTGATCAACCCACCTTGGCCTCCCAAAGTACTGGGATTACAAGCATGAGCCACTGTGCCTGGCCAAAAATTAGGTATTTATTTATACATCAAAATATCTATAAAGAAATAAAACACATTCTTAAATGTTTTTAGATCTGGAGTAGAGAAGTTGGACTTTGAGGATATTTTACATATTTTTATGTATATGTATTTTTATTTATTTTTTTAAAAGACTTTAAGAGCAGTTTTAGGTTCACAGCAGAATTAAACAGAAAGCACTGAGATTTCTCATACACACCCTTCCCCCACACATGCGCAACTTCCCCTGTTTTCAGCATCTTCCACCAGAGAGCTACATTTGCTGCAATCCATGAATCATCATAATCATAATCACCCAAAGTCTGTAGTTTACATTAGGGCTCACTCTTGGTGTTGTATATTCATGGATTTAGAGAAATTTATAATCCACCATTACAGTAGCATACAGAGCAGCTTCACTGGCGTAAAAATTGTTCGTGCTCTGCCTATTCATCCCTTCCCCTACCAACATCTTGGCAACCTCTGATCTTCTTGCTTTCTTCCTAGTTTGATTTTCCAGAATGTCATACACAGGTATACCTTGGAGACTTTGCAGGTTGAGCTCCAGACCACCATAGTAAAGCAAACATTGCAATACAGTGAGTCACACAAATATTTTGCTTTCCCAGTGCATATAAAAGTTATGTTCACACTATTCTGTAGTCTATTAAGTATGCAATAGAGATCTGGCAGTGGCTCATGCCTATAATCCCGGAACTTTGGGAGGCTGAGGCAGGAGGATTACTTGAGCCCAGGAGTTTGAGATAAGCCTGGGTAACATGGTAAAACCCCATCTTTACAAAAAATACAAAAATAGACCTGGATGTAGTGGCACAAGCTTGCAGTACCAGCTACTAAGGAGGCTGAGCTGGGAGGATTGCTGAAGCTCAAGAGGTCGGAGCTGCAGTGAGCTGTGAGCATGCCATTGCACTTCAGACTGGGCAACAGAGCGAGACTCTGTCTCTACAAAAAAATGGGTGTGGTGGTGCACACGTGTAGTACCAGCTACTTGGGAGGCTGAGGTGGGAGGACTACTTGAGCCTGGGAGGACAAGGCTGCGGTGAGCGGTGATCATGCCACTGCATTCCAGCCTGCGCAGCAATGTGAGACCCTATGTCAAAAAATAAAATAAAATAAATAAATAATAAATTCTTGTCATTTCAACAATGTTCACGGCATCTTCACCAGGAGCAGATTCCATCTCAAGAAACCACTTTCTGTGCTTGTTTCAGCAGCACATATACTAAGACTGGAATGATGTAGAGAAGATTAGCATGGCCCCTGAGCAAGGATGACATGCAAATTTGTGAAGTGTTCCACATTTTTTGACAAATGGGATCTAATTAAAGAGCTTCTGCACAGCGAAAGAAACTATCATCAGGGCAAACAGGCAACCTACAGAATGGGAGAAAATTTTTCCAATCTACCCAAGTGACAAAGGTCTAATATCCAGAATCTACAAGGAACTTAGATTTACAAGAAAAAGAAACAAACAACCCCATCAAAAAGTGGGCAAAGAACATGAACAGACACTTCTTAAAAGAAGACATTTATGCAGCCAACAAACATGCAAAAAAGCTCAACCTCACTGATCATTAGAGAAATACAAATCAAAAGCACAATAAGATACCATCTCATGCCAGTCAGAATGGAGATTATTAAAAAGTCAAGAAACAACAGATGCTGGTGAGGCTGTGGAGAAAAAGGAATGTTTTTACGCTCTTGGTGGGAATGTAAATTAGTTCAACCACTGTGGAAGATAGTGTGGCGATTCCTCAAGGATCTAGAACCAGAAATACCATTTGACCCAGCAATCCCATTATTGGGTATATACCCAAAGGAATATAAATCATTCTGTTATAAAGATACATGCACAGGTATGTTTATTGCAGCACTATTCACAATAGCAAAGACATGCAATCAACCTTAATACCCATCAATGATACACTGAATAAAGAAAATGTGGCACATAGACACCATAGAATACTACGCAGCCATAAAAAGGAAGGAGATCATGTCCTCTGCAGGGACATGGATGAAGCTGGAAGCCATCATCCTCAGCAAACTAACACAGGACCAAAAAGCAGACACCGCATGTTCCCACTCATAAGTGGGAGCTGAGCAACAAGAACACATGGACACAGGGAGGGGAACAACACACACTGGGGCCTGTCGGGGGGCAGCGGGCAGGGGGCAGGGAGAGCATCAGGACAAATAGCTAATGTATGTGGGGCTTAATACCTAGGTGATGAGTTGATAGATGCAGCAAACCACCATGGCACACGTTTACCTATGTAACAAACTTGCACGTTCTGCACATGTATCCTGGAACATAAAGTAAAATAAAATTAAAAAGAAAAAAAAAAGAAGCCACCTTCTTTGCTTATTCATGAGAAGCAACTCCTCATTTGTTTAAGTTTTATGATGAGATTGCAACAATTCAGTCACATTTTCAGGCATCACTTCTAATTCTAGTCCTCTTGCTATTTCTACCACCTCTGCAGTGATTTCCTCAACTGAAGAATTAAACCCCTAAAAGTCATCTATGAGGGTTGGAATAAACTTTTTTCAAACTCCTGTTAATGTTGACATTTTAGCTGCATGCAGTGACTCATGCCTGTAATCTCAGCATTTTGGTACGCTGAGGTGGGAGGATCATTTGAGCCCAGGAGTTTGAGACCACCCTGGGCAATACATGAGAATTTGTCTCTAAAAAAACTTAAAAAACAATTAGCCAGGTGTGGTAGTGTGGTGTGTTCCTATAATCCTAGCAACTGGGAAGGCTGAGGAAGGAGGATTGCTTGACTGCAGGAGTTTCAGGCTGCAGTGAGCCATGATCACACCACCACTGCACTCCAGCCTGGACCACAAAGCAAGACCTTATATCACTCTCTCACTCTTTTTTTTTTTTTTTTTTTTTTTTTGAGACAGAGTCTTCCTCTGTTGCCCAGGCTGGAGTGCAATAGCATAATCTTGGCTCACTGCAACCTCCACTTCCCAGGATCAAGCCATTCTCTTGCCTCAGCCTCCCAAGTAGCTGGGACTACAGGCATGCATCACCACTGTGGGCTAATTTTTCTATTTTTAGTAGAGACAGGGTTTTACCATGTTGGCCAGGCTGATCTTGAACTTCTGACCTCAAGTGATCCACCTGCCCCTGCTTCAAGACCCTATCTCTTAAAAAAAAAAAAAAAAGTGACATTTTTTACCTCCTCCCATGAATCACACATGTTCTCACTGGCATCTAGAATGGTAAATTTTTTCCAGAAAGTTTTCAATTTACTTTGCCCAGATCCATCAGAAGAATCACTATCTATGGCAGCATAGTCTTATGAAATGTCTTTCTTTTCTTTTTTTTAAAATTAATTAATTAATTTATTTTTATTTTTTGAGATGGAGTTTCGCTCTGTAGCCCAGGCTGGAGTGCAGTGGTGCGATCTCGGCTCACTGCAAGCTCTGCCTCCTGGGTTCGTGTCATTCTCTTGTCTCAGCCTTCCGAGTAGCTGGGACTACGGGCACCCACCACTACGCCCAGCTAATTTTTTGTGTTTTTAGTAGAGGTGGGGTTTCACTGTGTTAGGATGGTCTCGATCTCCTGACCTCATGATCTGCCCTCCTCGGCCTCCTAAAGTGTTGGGATTACAGGCATGAGCCACCGTGCCCGGACTCTTTTTTTTTTTTTTTGAGATGGAGTCTCATTCTGTTTACCAGGCTGGAGTACAGTGGCACGATCTCAGCTCACTGCAACCTCCGTCTCCCAGGTTAAAGCGATTCTCCTGCCTCAGCCTCCTGAGTAGCTGGGATTATAGGCATGCACCACCATGCCCAGCTAATTTTTGTATTTTTGGTAGAGACGGGGTTTCACCATGTTGGCCAGGCTGGTCTCAAACTCCTGACCTCAAGTGATCCACCCACCTCGGCCTCCCAAAGTGTTGAGATTACAGGCATGAGCCACCGCTCTTGGCCAAAATAGATTTCTTAAATAATAATACTTGGAAGTCAAAATTCGGCTGGGCACAGTGGCTCATGCCTATAATTCTCCTTTGGGAGGCCAAGGCAGGTGGATCACCTGAGGTCAGGAGTTCGAGACCAGCCTGGCCAATATAGCAAAACCCCGTCTCTACTAAAAATACAAAAATTAGCTGGGCGTGGTGGTGTGTGCCCGTAATCTCAGCTACTTGGGAGGCTGAGGCAGGACAGTTGTTTGAACCCGGGGATGGAGTTTGCAGTGAGCCGAGATCGCGCCACTTCACTCCAGCCTGGGCAGAAGAGCGAGACTCTGTCTCAAAAAAAAAAAAAAAAGAAGGTCAAAAATCTTCACTGATCCATGGGCTGCAGAATGGATGTTGTGTTAGCAGGCATGAAAACAGTATCAATCTCCTGGTACATAGCCATCAGAGCTCTTGGTTGACCAAGTGCACTGTCAATGAACAGTAATATTTTGAAAGTAATCTTTTTTTCTGAGCAGTAAGTCTCTACAGTAGGCTTAAAATACTCTGTAAACATGCCATAAGAGATGTACTGTCATCCAGGCTTTGTTGTTTCATTAACAGAGCACAGGCAGACTAGATTAGTGTAATTTTTCTTTCTTTCTTTCTTTTTTTTTTTGAGACGGAGTTTCACTCCTGTTGCCCAGGCTGGAGTGCAATGGCGTGATCTCGGCTCACTGCCACCTCTGTCTCCTGGGTTCAAGCGATTCTCATGTCTCAGCCTCCTGAGTATCTGAGATTACAGGCGTGCACCACCACGCCCAGCTAATTTTGTATTTTTAGTAGAGATGGGGTTTCTCTATGTTGGTCAGGCCGGTCTCAAACTCCTGACCTCAGGTGATCCACCTGCCTTGGCCTCCCAAAGTGCTGGGATTACAGGCGTGAGCCACTGCGCCTGGCCAGATTAGCCCAATTTTTCAGGGTGCTAGGATTTTTGGAATGGTAAATAAGCACTGGTTTTAACTTAAATTACCAGCTGCATTGGTCCCTAACAAGAGTCAGCCTATTCTTGTAATCTCTGAAGCCAGGCATTCACTTCACTTCTGTAGGGATCATCTTCCGATAGAAGGCTGTTTTCTGTACATTGTAAATCTGTTGTTCAGAATAGTCATCATCAATGATCTTAGCTACATCTTCTGGATAACTTGTTGCAGCTGCTACATCAGCACTTGTTGGTTTACTTTGCACTTGAATGTTACAAAGAAGGCTTCTTTC
The DNA here is from genome assembly GCF_000001405.40 of Homo sapiens. Lineage (NCBI taxonomy): Eukaryota > Metazoa > Chordata > Mammalia > Primates > Hominidae > Homo > Homo sapiens. The sequence continues at coordinate 15,548,173 of NC_000009.12, forward strand.
TTTAAAACTTATGAACCAATTTCTGCTAGCTTCCAACTTTTCTTCTGCAGCTTCTTCACCTCTCTCAGCCTTCGCAGAATTTAAGAGAGTTTGGGTCTTACTCTGAATTAAGCTTTGGCCTAATTCAGGGAGTGTTGCTGGTTTGATCTTCTACCTAGACACTACAACTTTCTTCATATCACTAATAAGGCTGTTTCACGTTCTTATAATTTGTGTGTCCACTGGAGTCTCATCCTGTCACCAAGGCTAGACTCAAATTCCTTGCCTCCCATTTTAGCCTCCCAAAGTGCTGGCATTCCCCTGCCTCAGCCTCCCAAAGTGCTGGGATTACAGGCTTGAGCCACCACACCTGGCCTAATTTCCTTCAAGAATTTTTCCTGTGCATTAATACCTTGGCTACCATTTGGCGCAAGAGGCCTAGCTCTCAGCCTGTCTCGGATTTTGACATGCCTTCCTCACTAAGCTAATCATTTCTAGCTTTAGGTGTGTCTTCCTTTCACTTTAATGCTTAGAATTAGAAGTCATTGTAATTTGGGGGACACATTCAAACCATAGCAAATGTGAAACCCCTTAGTATAGTGCTTGGCACATATTACATGTTTAATAATGTTATTTGGCTAAGAGTGGTGGTTCACACCTATAATCCCAGCACTTTGGGAGGCCAAGGTGGGCGGATCACTTGAGATCAGCCTAGGCAACATAATGAAACCCTGTCTCTGAAAATAAAAAACATATAAATTTAAAAAACAAACACAAAATAATATTATCTGGATTTAAATCTTGTATATTAACCTATGTATCTTAATACTTTTAACACAAGCCCATGCCTACCTCTTATTACATTTATTCCCAAACATTTTGTGTTTTCTTTTGCTAATGTAAGAATGAGAAGGAAGATTTATTGCAAGGTCAGAAAAAGCAAGTCTGGAAAGGCGGGTAGGGAGATTAGGGCCCTTGACTGACAGCAGAAAATCTGGGTTTTATCCAGGCAGCAATTGAGGGGCCACCAAAAGAAATAATCAGTATAGTAACATAATCAGAGTTATGCTTTAGAAGGATATTTCCGTTTTAGCATATAGAAGGAGCATAGGACCAGAGCCACTGAGAGCAACAATTATGGCAAGGCCTTTCAGTTCTACGAATTGATACCAAGGCAGCATAATAATCAAGAAGCTGTGGGGTGGGGGGTGGGGGGTGGGAGACTAGGGGAGGGATAGCATTAGGAAAAATACCTAATGTAGATGACGGGTTGATGGGTGCAGCAAACCACCATGGCACATGTATAGCTATGTAACAAACCTGCACATTCTGCACATGTACCCCAGAACTTAAAGTATAATTAAAAAAAATAATAATCAAAACCTGGTATTTAAACCTTCTAGGGGAGGTTACAGAAGGGTCAAAAGAATGTGGTTCATCTGGTGCTTTAAAACTCTGAGGCTCACATACGTACAATCAGTTTATTACACTCCCCTAGTTTCATAAAGATACAGGTGTTCTTAGACCTGCTTTTGATTTTTTTCTATTTTTTTGATCCTCTCTTCTTATATATGCCAGTTTAAAAATGCCCTAGATGTTAATGGTCAACTTCTAAAAATGTCAAGAATTTGCACAGAAGGGGAAGGTGAGTGACTTGCATTGGGCCACAAGGAAGGTCCTAATTATGAGTGTCTCAATAGGAAGCAATAAGGAAACAGACAAATGAAGTTGCTTAGTACTAAGTAGGCACAGAAAGAAGACATGAGGTTTAGAGAAAAAGTAGGAATCCTGCATGCAGGAAGTGAGAGTTTGAGAGAGAAAGACGCAAACAAAATTTTTAGGGTTTTTCTTGCCTGGGTGTCTAGGAGATTAGAAGTTTTATAAACAGGTGGGAGAGTAGTTTAGAGGATTCCCACAAGAAGTTAGAAAGATAATTAAAATTTAGTTATATTAAATTAAGTATTTCCAGAAATTAGAGTGGCACTGTTCAAACCGGGGTTAAAAATTCAAAACTAGAGCTCAGGAGAGGTCAGAGATGGATATAAAGAGTTGAATATTGGGGATATGGAGTTCATACTTGCAGGAATGGATGACATCACTGAGGACGCTTATCTGGTACAAACGATGGGAAGGTTGAGGGCAGAAACTGAGAAAATATCACTTTGAGGGGCAGGAAGGGAAGAATGGTTTCCTGAGCAGCAGCAGAAAGTTCAGAGAGTTGGAGAAACAATGGAGTATAGAGTCTCACCTTTGCTGGAGAGGCATCTGAGGATCAACATGTGTCAGCAAAGTCAAGGGGTCTCAGATTTGGCAATGAGGTCACTACTGACTTTGGAAGCTATTGGTAGAGTGGTGTGAATGAATGAATCTAATCATATCTCAAAAGGATTGGTAGAAAGAAGAGAGAGAAATGAAGTGATGTTGAGGCCAAAAGATAAGCGGGTAGGAGAACATCTCTTTATATAGCTTTTTTCAAGTAGTAGTAGCATGTTAAGCAAATAAAAGACAACAGAGAATCTCCACGCATTTTGAAATGGTCTGATTTATTGTGTAATTTTTATATTTTTTCTGCTTAAAACCCTTCATTAGCTTCATTGCTTGATAAACTCCTAAGTATGATGTAGAAATTCCTCTGTGATCTGGGTTCTGCATATTTCTCTAGCCTCATCGCTCACACCTCCTTTGCACAGACAGCTTTTTCCAGCTTTTCAAATGTCTGGTGCTGGTTCTTATGCTGGTGTTTGCAGCTTCCGTGTCTTCCTTCTAGTTCCTTGTTAGCTTCATAAATCTTTAACGGTCTTCTTAAACTAAGCTCAAAGTTCTTTTCTATGAATCATTTCTGGGAGCTCAGGGTTGATATCAATATTCCCCTGTATTTCTATCATCTAGCTCCATGTTGGGTACATAGTCTGTATTCTGTAAATGCTGAATGAACAAATAAATGAAAACGGGTCTTCACATCACATCCATTTTTCATTTCAAAAACATACAATATAGTACATAGCATTTATTCTTGCGATACAATATTCACTTTTGTGACTTTGTTAAAACACAAATAATTTTTTTTTTTTTTTTTTTGAGACGGAGTCGCGCTCTGTCGCCCAGGCTGGAGTGCAGTGACGCAATCTCGGCTCACTGCAAGCTCCACCACCCGGGTTCACGCCATTCTCCTGCCTCAGCCTCCCGAGTAGCTGGGACTACAGGCGCCCGCCACCACGCCCAGCTAATTTTTTTTGTATTTTTAGTAGAGACAGGGTTTCACCGTGTCAGCCAGGATGGTCTCGGTCCCCTGACCTCATGATCCGCCCACCTCGGCCTCCCAAAGTGCTGGGATTACAGACGTGAGCCACCGCGCCCGGCCAACACAAATGAAATTTTAAGTAGTTCCAGCTACTCAGGAGGCTGAGGCAGGAGGATGGCTTGAGTCCTGAAGGTCTAGGCTGCAGCGAGGCGTGATTGTGCCGCTGTACTCTAGCCTGGGCAACAGAGAACAACCCTGTTTCAAAAAAAAAAAAAAAAAAAAGAAAAAGAAAAAAATAAAATTTAAAAATATTTTTTAAAGCTTGTAACATAAAAGTTCTAATCTCATTAGTCAGTTGTAATTTTCCATTTCATTTCTAAACTTTAGAGTGGGCTATTTTTTCCCTTTATTTCCTCTGGAGCAATTGTCCTCTTTATGGCTCTAGTAAAAAGAATCAGGGACAGGCCTCCGTTTTAGATGTAAATGACTAAAATCAAACCAATTAAGGTTTCAGTGCTACAAGAATCAAGGAGGTTTTAATCTCAATTTGTGTTTGCATTTATGACCGTTGGCTCTCCCATGGGAGAGAGAAAAGACGGCCCCTACACCTGGTTTCAGGTTGATTACAATCAACAAGGACCCAGTTTAGTATAGAAGGCTCGTTTTGCATTAAACACCTTTTTGTGCAGAGGAGGTGGTGGTGGTGAAGATAAAAATCTTTGACCAAATCCTGTCAATTTGCATTGTTCTCTGGAAGAATAGGCTTTCAAAAGTTAAGGAACAAAAGAGGAGTTGGTTTTCCAGTCTCCCTTAGGCGGCAGCAGATTGTGAAGCAGCCACCGGGAGGAACCAAAGTATAAATTATCAATAAGAGGACGGTGTGTGTGTGTGTGTGTGTGTGTGTGTGTGTGTGTGTGTGTGTGTCAGAGAAAAGTGAGAGAAGCGAGGAAAGAGATAGGGAACACACATGCTAAGGCTCCGAGGCGTTTTCCACGATGTGCCTGGTTACGTAATGTTGATAATGAAACGCACTGCAAGCAGCATCAATGCATTCTTCCGACCCTGCTCACCACTCCCAGCTGGGATACAATGGGGACGGGAAGAGGGGACAGGATGCCCTGTGCAGGCAGAGAGCTGTCCAGACAGAGGTAAACCAGGCAGTTGGGCAGAACCCGAGCCCAGAGAATTTCTCCCCAGGCCCCGGGACCAGCCCACCGTTGCTGTGGCTCTAAAGATGGGCAGAAGAACCAGTTTCAAAAAGCAGGATCTGGGATCCGACCTCTTAGGTTTTTATTCAGCAGGCAGGGAAAAGGGGTTAGAAGCTGGAAATCTGCATTTCCACTCGGCTCTGGCGACTGAGACAGGAACGCGGACACCTCACGCTGAAAAGCCACAGCAGCGCGTGGGCAGGGCGCACCCCCGCGCGGGGACGCGGAGCTCCTGGAGCGAGAGCGCGTGCGGTCGCGAGCCCGCCGCTCCCCAGCAACGGCGCATGCGCCCGTTCGTCCCTCAGCGAAGGCGCGCTGCTTGGCGGGCGGGCTCTTCCAATCCGAGCCAGCGTTCTCGGAGTACGTATCCAGGAGCTGCAAGCTGAGGGCTGCGGGAGGCGGGAGGAAAAAGTGGGGCCGGGCCTGAGTTGGGCTGACCTGTGAAAGTCTGGGAAGGTCTGCGAGAGAAGCGGAGTGTTTTCAGCTCCGGAAGTGGCAGTTGTAAACTTCACCTCCCGGGGGCTCTTCCCCTTCTGTACCCCTTTGCTGTTTGTCCCCCTCCTCCCGGGTCCTGGAGTCCGTCGTGTTCCAACAGTTTTTGCTCTTATTCCCGTGGGCTGCCTGGGCCTCCTTTCACCCGTGAGACTTGGAGCGGCCCCTGGGGTCTTGGGTGTGCAGCACGGATCACGCGAGACCCCTGAGGTAACCGCACGGTGTGGGGGCTTCGAGGCGGACGACTTGGGAGGGAGGTGTTGAGAGGGTTGTAGGGGCCCCTGAGTGAGTTTGGGGCGGCCCTGGGGCTGTTGGCGTAGGCTTTGGGGCACGCCTCCAGCTCCCTGGGCTGGGTCTCCCCGCCCACCTGGAGGAAGATCTCCGTGGAGCATCCTAGCCAGAGATCGCTGAGGCTGTACCAGAGCGCCGGATGGGGACCAGAGGGGAGGCAGAGGACCGGGATTTGGAGCTTCTTAGGGTTACTGCTGCGGAGCGCTTTCGTTCCCGAGAATCAGTAAGCCCCTCGAGGATAGGGACCACGTCTTTCAGCCCGCTCTCCCCTTTTTAAATGCCGGCCACACACTAGACACTCTACAGATGTTTGATAAACGGGAATGAGTTGTGCTAGACTGTCACCTGCAGCTTCTACCTACCCTCCAGGACTCTGAGAGACTTAGAATCTGAGTCAGCTGTGCGTTTTCCCGAAGCTGTAAATTTTCTGCAGAAATGGAGCCGACTTTTTGAATTTTTTTATTCCATTATGATATTGATCCTAAGAAAATACATATTTCATGTATACATTTTAGGTAAATGAGATAAATACGTCTTTATTTTGTTTATTAGAGTTGGTGTCCAGCTCTTTTGAATACATGACATACCGATGTTTTATGGTTTTCATAATATTGGAGAAAAGAACATACGATTTTGTCACTTTTTTTTTTTTTTGAGATGGAGTCTTGCTCTGTCACCCAGGCTGGAGTGCAGTGGCGCGATCTCGGCTCACTGCAAGCTCCGCCTCCCGGGTTCACGCCATTCTCCTGTCTCAGCCTCCCCAGCAGCCGGGACAACCGGCGCACGCCGCCACGCCCGGCTAATTTTTTTGTATTTTTAGTGGAGACGGGGTTTCACTGTGTTAGCCAGGATGGTCTCGATCTCCTGACATCGTGATCCGCCCGCCTCGGCCTCCCAAAGTGCTGGGATTACAGGCGTGAGCCACTGCGCCCGGCATGTCACTTATTTTATTTAACTGTTAGTTCCTACTCTCAACAAAACAGTGGTAGAGCAGAAGATGAACATGGTTTTTCATAAAATGCAGAGGAAACAAAGGCAGTGCAACCTGCTAAGAGGAAAGATGAAGGGCATAGTCTTAGTTTGTAGCTTTCTGTGTTAGTCTTGGGGCTCAGCCATTTATGAGCTGCGTCCCCACAGGCAAACCACCTAACCTTCCTAGGCGTTAGGTTCTTTATCTGTCAGATAAGGAGGAAGGACTTAGTCTCTAAAGTCTCATTTGATTCTAAAACGTTTTGGTTGTCTCAGTCCCTTGGTCTTGGTCTTGTTTTGATGTAAGAACCAAACTTCCCCTTTAAAGGTTGATTATGTACCTATGCTGAGAAACACTTCCAACACAGGTGTGGTTACTAATGAAGACAGCACTGCGTAGTGAAAGAGGATGGACTTAGCCAGATGTGGATTTGAATTCTCATTTTCCGGCTGAATATTTTTACACAAATTATTCAACATCTCCAAGCCTCAGTTTTCTTATCTGTGAAATGTGCATAATCTCATAGAGATGTTGGGATTAAATGAGATCAGGAATGCTGATCTCAGTATCTGGCATATAGTAAGTGGCTCAATAATAGGAATTTCTATTTTTTCATCCACCCATCCCTCGTTTTTCCTCTGATCTGTGCAGACACACTGAAAGATGAGTGCATTTGGGATGACCAACTGAAGGACTCAGATGTAAGGTAGAAAAATTTTTTACCAGTAGTGGCTCCGAAATCTAAAGTAGATTCGCCTTTCTGGCTGGCACCTCCTCTCAGGATGTCGGGATCACTGATCCCTTGGCCTCAATTACCCTTTTATCTATTTTTAAAAATGCTTCTCATTGATGAATGATACACATAATATCCCATCATCTATTTTAGTAGGAATGGTGAGATTAGTTCAACTCCACTATCAAAAAAAGATTAATCTATTAATACATTAACATAAAAAGCTAATTTGAACCTTGCCTTTCTTTATCTATTACTGCTACAGGATGGCCTGGTTTTGGTCCAGAACTGTGAAGGTGCTATCTGGATTGAGAATCGACTGAAGGTCTGAGTAATCTTTTGTTGAGAAGGCCATGGCTTGTCAGTTTCGATACGGGGAAAAATGATATTTTTAAGAAATCTCCAGCAAAGAGCAGAAATGCTTCCCTGATAAGTGAGGTCTTACATGCTTCCCTGACTGGGATGAACTGTGTCTTGAGGGCCAATAGCAAGGCACACAGCAGAGCTCTGGAGTCAGCTAACTTGGGTGTAAATCCTGACCCTGTCACTAGAGATGTGAGAGATGTGACTTTAGTCAAGTGACTGAGTATCTATTTTTATTTCTTTTATTATTATACTTTAAGTTATAGAGTACATGTGCACAATGTGCAGGTTTGTTACATATGCATACATGTGCCATGTTGGTGTGCTGCACCTGTTAACTCGTCATTTACATTAAGTATATCTCCTAATGCTATACCTCCCACCTTCCCCCACTCTCTGCCAGGCCCCGGTGTGTGATGTTCCCCACCCTGTGTCCAAGTATTCTCGTTGTTCAATTCCTACCTAAGAGTGAGAACATGCGGTGTTTGGTTTTCTGTCCTTGCGATATTTTGCTCAGAATGATGGTTTCTAGCTTTATCCATCTCCCTACAAAGGACATGAACTCATCCTTTTTTATGGCTACATAGTATTCCATGGTGTATATGTGCCACATTTTCTTAATCCAGTCTATCATTGATGGACATTTGGGTTGGTTCCAAGTGTTTGCTATGGTGAATGGTGCCGCAATAAACATATGTGTGCATGTGTCTTTATAGCAGCATGATTTACAGTTTCTGCCGAGAGGTCCGCTGTTAGTCTGATGGGCTTCCCTTTGTGGGTAACCTGACCTTTCTCTCTGGCTGCCAGTGATGGGATGGCTGGGTCAAATGGTATTTCTAGTTCTAGATCCTTGAGGAGTCGCCATACTGTCTTCCACAATGGTTGAACTAGTTTACAGTCCCACCAACGGTGTAAAAGTGTTCCTATTTCTCCACATCCTCTCTAGCACCTGTTGTTTCCTGACTTTTTAATGATCGCCATTCTAACTGGTGTGAGATGGTATCTCATTGTGGTTTTGATTTGCATTTCTCTGATGGCCAGTGATGATGAGTATTTTTTCATGTGTCTGTTGGCTGCATAAATATATTCTTTTGAGAAATGTCTGTTCATATCCTTTGCCCACTTTTTGATGGGGTTGTTTGATTTTTTCTTGTAAATTTGTTTAAGTTCTTTGTAGATTCTGGATATTAGCCCTTTGTCAGATGGGTAGATTGTAAAAATTTTCTCCCATTCTGTAGGTTGCCTGTTCACTCTGATGGTAGTTTCTTTTGCTGTGCAGAAGCTCTTTAGTTTAATTAGATCTCATTTGTCAATTTTGGCTTTTGTTGCCATTGCTTTTGGTGTTTTAGTCATGAAGTCCTTGCCCATGCCTATGTCCTGAATGGTATTGCCTAGATTTTCTTCTAGGGTTTTTATGGTTTTAGGTCTAACATTTAAGTCGTTAATCCATCTTGACTTAATTTTTGTGTAAGGTATAAGGAAGGGTTCCAGTTTCAGCTTTCTGCATATGGCTAGCCAGTTTTCCCAACACCATTTATTAAATAGGGAATCCTTTCCCCATTGCTTGTTTTTGTCAGGTTTGTCAAAGATCAGATGGTTGTAGATGTGTGGTATTATTTCTGAGGGCTCTATTCTGTTCCATTGGTCTATATATCTGTTTTGTTACCAGTACCATGCTGTTTTGGTGACTGTAGCCTTGTAGTATAGTTTGAAGTCAGGTAGTGTGATGCCTCCAGCTTTGTTCTTTTTGCTTAGGATTGTCTTGGCAATGTGGGCTCTTTTTTGGTTCCATATGAATTTTAAAGTAGTTTTTTCCAATTCTGTGAAGAAAGTCATTGGTAGCTTGATGGGGATGGCACTGAATCTATAAATTACCTTGGGGAGTATGGCCATTTTCACAATATTAATTCTTCCTATCCATGAGCATGGAATGTTCTTCCATTTGTTTGTGTCCTCTTTTATTTTGTTGAGCAGTGGTTTGTAGTTCTCCTTGAAGAGGTCCTTCACTTCCTTTGTAAGTTGGATTCCTAGGTATTTTACTCTCTTTGTAGCAATTGGGAATGGGAATTCACTCATGATTTGGCTTTCTGTCTGTTATTGGTGTATAAGAATGCTTGTGATTTTTGCACATTGATTTTGTATCCTGAGACTTTGCTGAAGTTGCTTATCAGCTTAAGGAGATTTTGTGCTGAGACGATGGGGTTTTCTAAATATACAATCATGTCACCTGCAAACAAGGACAATTTGACTTCCTCTTTTCCTCATTGAATACCCTTTATTTCTTTCTCCTGCCTGATTGCCCTGGCCAGAAGTTCCAACACTATGTTGAATAGGAGTGGTGAGAGGGGGCATCCCTGTCTTGTGCCAGTTTTCAAAGGGAATGTTTCCAGTTTTTGCCCATTCAGTATGATATTGGCTGTGGGTTTGTCATAAAGAGCTCTTATTATTTTGAGATACGTCCCATCAATACCTAATTTATTGAGAGTTTTTAGCATGAAGTGTTGTTGAATTTTGTCAAAGGCCTTTTCTGCATCTATTGAGATAATCATGTGGTTTTTGTCATTGGTTCTGTTTATGTGATGGATTACGTTTATTGATTTGCGTATGTTGAACCAGCCTTCCATCCCAGGGATGAAGCCAACTTGATCGTGGTGGATAAGCTTTTTGATGTGCTGCTGGATTTGGTTTGCCAGTATTTTATTGAGGATTTTTGCATCAATGTTCATCAGGGATATTGGCTAAAATTCTCTTTTTTTGTTGTGTCTCTGCCAGGCTTTGGTATCAGGATGATGCTGGCCTCATAAAATGAATTAGGGAGGATTCCCTCTTTTTCTATTGTTTGGAATAGTTTCAGAAGGAATGGTACCAGCTCCTCTTTGTACCTCTGGTAGAATTTGGCAGTGAATCCGTCTGGTCCTGGATATTTTTTGGTTGGTAGGCTATTATTGCCTCAATTTCAGAACCTGTTATTGGTCTTTTCAGGGATTCAACTTCTTCCTGGTTTAGTCTTGGGTGGGTGTATGTGTCCAGGAATTTATCCATTTCCTCTAGATTTTCTAGTTTATTTGCGTAGTGGTGTTCATAGTATTCTCTGATGGTAGTTTGTATTTCTGTGGGATCAGTGGTGATATCCCCTTTATCTTTTTTTATTACATCTTTGATTCTTCTCTCTTTTCTTCTTTATTAGTCTTGCTAGTGGTCTAGCAATTTTGTTGATCTTTTCCAAAAACCAGCTCCTGGATTCACTGATATTTTGAAGGGTTTTTTTGTGTCTCTATCTCCTTCAGTTCTGCTCTGATCTTAGTTATTTCTTGCCTTCTGCTAGCTTTTGAATGTGTTTGCTGTTGCTTCTCTAGTTCTTTTAATTGTGATGTTAGGGTATCAATTTTAGATCTTTCCTGCTTTCTCTTGTGGGCATTTAGTGCTATAAATTTCCCTCTACACACTGCTTTGAATGTGTCCCAGAGATTCTGGTATGTTGTGTCTTTGTTCTCATTGGTTTCAAAGAACATCTTTATTTCTGCCTTCATTTCGTTATGTACCCAGCAGTCATTCAGGAGCAGGTTGTTCAGTTTCCACGTAGTTGAGCGGTTGTGAGTGAGTTTCTTAATCCTGAGTTGTAGTTTGATTGCAGTGTGGTCTGAGAGACAGTTTGTTATAATTTCTGTTCTTTTACATTTGCTGAGGAGTGCTTTACTTCCAACTATGTGGTCAATTTTGGAATAAGTGTGATGTGGTGCCGAGAAGAATGTATATTCTGTTGATTTGGGGTGGAGAATTCTGTAGATGTCTGTTAGGTCTGCTTGGTGCAGAGCTGAGTTCAATTCCTGGATATCCTTGTTAACTTTCTGTCTCATTGATCTGTCTAATGTTTACAGTGGGGTTTTAAAGTCTCCCATTATTATTGTATGGGAGTCTAAGTCTCTTTGTAGGTCTCTAAGACTTGCTTTATGAATCTGGCTGCTCCCGTATTGGGTGCATATATATTTAGGATAGTTAGCTCTTCTTGTTGAACTGATCCCTTTACCATTATGTAATGGCCTTCTTTGTCTCTTTTGATCTTTGTTAGTTTAAAGTCTGTCTTATCAGAGATTAGGATTGCAACCCTGGCTTTTTTTTGTTTTCCATTTGCTTGGCAGATCTTACTCCGTCCCTTTATTTTAAGCCTATGTGTGTCTCTGCACGTGAGATAGGTCTCCTCAGTACAGCACACTGATGGGTCTTGACTGTATCCAATTTGCCAGTCTGTGTCTTTTAATTGGAGCATTTAGCCCATTTACATTTAAAGTTAATATTGGTATGTGTGAATTTGATCCTGTCATTATGATGTTAGCTGGTTATTTTGCTCATTAGTTGATGCAGTTTTTTTCCTAGGCTCGATGGTCTTTACAATTTGGCATGTTTTTGCAGTGGCTGGTACCGGTTGTTCCTTTCCATGTTTAGTGCTTCCTTCAGGAGCTCTTGTAAGGCAGGCCTGGTGGTGACAGAATCTCTCAATATTTGTTTGTCTGAAAAGGATTTTATTTCTCCTTCACTTATGAAGCTTAGTTTGGCTGGATATGAAATTCTGGGTTGAAAATTCTTTTCTTTAAGAATGTTGAATATTGGCCCTCACTCTCTTCTGGCTTGTAGAGTTTCTGCTGAGAGATCCGCTGTTAGTCTGATGGGCTTCCCTTTGTGGGTAACCTGACGTTTCTGGCTGCCCTTAATATTTTTTCCTTCATTTCAACTTTGGTGAATCTGACAATTATGTGTCTTGGAGTTGCTCTTCTTGTGGAGTATCTTTGTGGCGTTCTCTGTATTTCCTGAATTTGAATGTTGGCCTGCCTCACTAGGTTGGGGAAGCTCTCCTGGATGATATCCTGAAGGGTGTTTTCCACTGGGTTCCATTCTCCCCGTCACTTTCAGGTACACCAATCAGACGTAGTTTTGGTCTTTTCACATAGTCCTGTATTTCTTGGAGGCTTTGTTCATTTCTTTTTACTCTTTTTTCTCTAAATTTCTCTTCTCTTTTCATTTCATTCATTTGTTCTTCAATCAATGATACTCCTTCTTCCACTTGATCAAATCGGCTACTGAAGCTTGTGCATTCGTCACATAGTTCTCTTGCCATCGTTTTCAGCTCCATCAGGTCATTCAGGGATTTCTCTACACTGTTTATTCTAGTTAGCCATTCATCTAATCTTTTTTCAAGGTTTTTAGCTTCTTTGCGATGGGTTTGAACATCCTCCTTTAGCTCGGAGAAGTTTATTATTACCCATCGTCTGAAGCCTTCTTCTCTTAACTCATCAAAGTCATTCCCAGTCCAGCTTTGTTCCGTTGCTGGTGAGGAGCTGCGTTCTTTTGGAGGGGGAGAGGCGCTCTGATTTTTAGAATTTTCAGCTTTTCTGCTCTGGTTTCTCCCATCTTTGTGGTTTTATCTACCTTTGGTCTTTGTTGATGGTGACATACAGATGAGGTTTTCATGTGGATGTTTATTCGTTTTCCTTCTAACAGTCAGGACCCTCAGCTGCAGGTCTGTTGGAGTTTGCTGGAGGTGCACTTCAGACCCTGTTTGCCTGGATATCACTAGCGGAAGCTCAGTTGGAAATGCAGAAATCATTCGTCTTTTGTGTCGCTCACGCTGGGAGCTACAGACTGGAGCTGTTCCTATTTGGCCATCTTGGAACCTCCTCCGTGACTGCTTATCTTTAAGCCCTGGTTTCCTCATGTATAAAGTATGGATATTAGTATTATCTTCCCCTTGGGGTTGGTGTAGAGTGAAATGAGACAATATGTAGAAAGTTTTTAATACGATGCCTGGAGAAGGGAGTTTTGTGACAGTTGGAATGATGACAGCAGGGAATGACTTTGTATCATATAGTTTGTTCACAAGTAATGATCAATTGAATGTTTTCAAATGGAAAGTAATATTTAGAGTTCAACAAATATTGAAGAAGAGAAAGGCTGATTTTGATTGCATGTCATGAGGAATTTTTAATCACTGACATAGTTTGACCAAATTGTGTATTTTAACTTTGTGGAGTTTCACAGGGAAGTTCCAAGTAAAGCTAGAAATAAATACTCTTTAAGGGCACTGTAGTTCTTTAACTTAACTTTGTATTCCATTGACATTTTCATTACTATCCTGTAACTCTGAACTTGACTGTCCTCATCATTCCTTGCCTTTTTACCTGGTGGAAGAAGAGGGAGGAGATTTTACTGCACCTTCTCTGCCATGCTCGATTGCATGGGAATCCCATCATAGTTCATATTCAGCCACTGACCGTATCAACTTTGGTCCTTCATTGATTTAGTCTTCCTAAAACACACAGAGAAGTAAATCCTTGTTCTCTGTGTCATCAGGGGCTGATATCAGCGAGGAAGATGAAGAAAATTAAAAAAAAAAGAAAGACTTGATAAAAGACACACAGGCAGAGCTGGTGTGGAAACCCATTTTCCTTCTTACCTGCCTGTTACTCAAGATTTTTTCACCTTAGGTCCAAGATGCTGCCTGCAGTTCTTTGCCATGTGGCTTCTTCCATGGGCAGTTCACAGCATGACATTTTGCTTCTTTTTTTTTTAAGATGGAGTCTTACTCTGTAGCCCAGGCTGGAGTGCAGTGGCGCAATCTTGGCTCACTGCAGTCTCCACCTCCTGGGTTCAAGCGATTCTCCTATCTCAACCTCCTGAGTAGCTGGGATTATAGGCGCCCACCATCACGCCCAGCTAATTTTCTTTATTTTTAGTAGAGTCGGGGTTTCACCATCTTAGCCAGACTGGTCTCTACCTCCTGACCTCGTGATCCACCCACCTCGGCCTCCCTAAGTGCTGGGATTACAGGTGTGACCCACCGCGCCTGGCCTGACACTTTGCTTCTTTAAGGTCAGCAGGAGATTGTCATTCAGTCTGCTAAGATAAAAGTCTTATATAATGTAATCATAAGAGTGGCATCCCTTCATCTTTGCTGTATTCTCCTGGTTATATATCAGTGAGCTAGAAGTAGATGAAACTTGCTTCTGAGCTATGGAAGATGCTATCTCTCTAGAGGACCATTCAGATTTGAAGATGTTAGGTGCCAAAATAATGCACTGAAGTATGATGATTCCCTTTAACTTTATTGAAACAACTTTATTAAAAGTTTCGTAACCTCTACTTGCCACACTTCTCTGCCCAATATACGAAAACATGATTAAGGCCCTAACTATCTGAAATTATTTTCCTAAGAGGTAAATAGAGGTCTGTTTATGCCTGTTGTGCTACCTCTGCATATGTGTATTTAAGCTTTTCAACAAAACAGGAACATTTCATGTATGTGTTTTTGTGCCTTGGACATTACTCTTAAATACAGAAGGGTCCATTCCTTCTGGGTTCTAACTCTTACTTTCATTCTGAAGGAAGTTTCCCTGGGGTCTGACCTTCAGGAGCGTGGTGATAATGTGACAAGATTTTGGGACAATATCTGAAGAGCTTGATAGACTCCTTGGTGCCCCCCACTTAATAGCTGAATGGCTTTGGGCAAGACAGTTGAGCGTCTCTGAATCAGATGAGTTTTCTTATAAAGTGAGGATAATAACCCTCACGTAAGATAACTTATAGTTCAGGTTTATGTGTCATCAGTGGCCTGTTAGAAAGAACTTGAACTTCAGTGTCAGAGAGTTATGAATTGGAATCTTGGTTCTGTAACTATGTGACTTTTTCAAGTTACTTCTTTTTTTTTTTTTTTTGACACGGAGTTTCTCTCTTGTTGGCCAGGCTTGAGTGCAATGGTGCAATCTTGGCTCACTGCAACCTCCGCCTCCCAGGTTCAAGCAATTCTTCCACCTCAGCCTCCTGAGTAGCTGGGATTACAGGCATGTGCCACCCCGCCTGGCTAATTTTATATTTTTAGTAGAGGTGGGGTTTCTCCATGTTGGTCAGGCTGGTTTAGAACTCCCGACCTCAGGTGATCTGCCTGCCTCTGCCTCCCAAAGTGCTGGGATTACAGTCGTGAGCCACCGCACCCGGCTCAAGTTACTTTTAATCTCAGTCTTGGTTTTCTTGGTAGAAAAATGGGATAATCCTTACATTGCAGTGTTGTAAGGATCACAATGCTATATATAAAATACCAATTACAGTGCTTGACGCTGTAGTAGGTGTTCAGTAGATGAATGACGGTGGTATTCATTTGTCTACCACTATTTCCAACCTAGTCTTTCAGGTCCCTGGATAGATGAGATCTCCCCATTCCCACATCATCTTGGCCAAAATTTCAACCTCTGTCCTAGGTCAGACTGTTCAGTCAGCCACGTGAATCACTGTTGTAAAGATCCTTTGGATCTATATGTAGGAGCTGTTAGTCATTTCTCAGCACTGAGATACAGTCTCCATCTCAGTCTGCTTATTTGAGTTCCTTTTCTTTTGGTGATCTTCTGAGGTCTAGATATCTCTATACACCTACAATTTCACTTATCAATTATTACATCTTTCCAAAATAAACCAAAAAACAAGAAAAATCTCCAATAGTATCAGGACTCAAACTGCTATTGTATCATTTACTATTTTAACAGACCTCAAATCATCTAACGTGAAGCCACAGACATCTTGGGCAATTTTAATCATCAAGAAAGAAATATGTCATTAAGAAATAGCAGGGTATTTTGAAAGAGTTGGAAAACATCATGAATTTGAATACTTCAAGTAATACTGGTGATACCCAAAGGTAAGCCTCTAGTCTCTTCTTTTAGTTGATGAACGTTTTTAGTTGCAAGGAACAGGGAGAAGTCAGTGGTTGTAGAGCTAACTGTAAGAATTCTCATGGGATGGTAAGGGGAGTAGAAATTCTGTGGGACTGAAGGAGCATGAATGAAGCCTCATAAGAATTGGAACTGATTCTAGAGACTTTATGGGGATTTTGTGCTCCTCTGTTAATTTGGACCACAAAAGTCTGTGTGTCTGAACTTTGTCCTGTTACTAGAGACTTGCTTGTTCTTTTCCACTACTTTAAATGTTTCCCTTGTATTTTTTATTTATATTTCTGTTTTGTTTTCTTTAACCTCTGTGGCTTTAATTCCTCTTTCTTCATTGGCCCAGCTCTAATTCATGGCTACTGCTTAAGCATTCATTTAGTCTTAGCTCCTGTTGCTGTTTCGCTTCCTTACTTGGTATCTCTCAGTTTACCCTTCAAGACGTAACGCCTAATTGCTGTTGCTCATCTTTTTTGTACCATTGATTTCTGCCTTTGGGCGTGGCGCCTACCTTTAGTTCATTCACCTTTGGTGGGTGGAGTCTATAATACAAAACTGGACCACATAGGGCAGTGCCACTCTCTCCTAAGTGTGCTTTACAAAGAAATAAGTACTGAAATTAAAAGTAAATGTTTAGAAACTTTTATAGTCATGTAACAGAGTAATATTCTGTCTGCTGAATCTAAGAGTAAAACATTTGGGGTTGTATTCTGTCTGTTTTTAAAATTTCTTTAAAAATAATGCATTAAATGTATTTTACAAAATCATCATGGATGGGGTGAAGATAGTCCTTCCTCATATTTAGTTTGAGAAGGACTGATCTAGACTGCCTTTTCAGCAAGGATGTGTGGGTGGGACAAGTACCAAGACTAACATGTAATTTACCCGTAAATTTGTTTTCCACTTAGCTTTTGAAGCTACCCACCCCCCACTTTTTTTTTTTTTTTTTTTTGAGACAGAATCTTGCTCTGTCGCCCAGATTGGAGTGCAGTGGCATGATCTTGGTTCCCTGCAACCTCCGCCTCCCGAGTTCAAGTGATTCCCCTGCCTCAGCCTCCTAAGTAGCTGGGATTATAGGCGCCTGCTGCCACGCCTGGCTAATTTTAAATATGTATTTACAAATTAGAATATTTCACCTTATTTAGTATCCTGCTTTTTCAATTTTGGGGAAACTTCTTACCACATCAATGTATCAAAGTTTTTAAATTTTTCTGAAGTGGGGTCTTGTTATGTTGCCCAGGCTGTCTGAGAACTCCTGGCCTCAGGCAATCCTCCTGCATCAGCCTCCCAAGTAGCTGGAACTGTAGGCACGCACCATTGCTCCGGCTTGTCATCATTTTTAATGGCTGAATTACTTTTTATAATTAGAGAATCTGGATACAGTTATTTAAAATCTGCTACTAATCTACTTTCTGTTTCTATAGATTTGCCTTTTTTGAACAATTCATGTGAATGGAATCACATAATAGATGGTCTTTTGTGGCTTCTTTTACAGGGCATATTCCTGAGTTTTGTAAAGTTGTAACACGTAGCAGCCCTTCGTTTCTTTTTATTGCTGATTGTATTCCATTGTATGGATATGCCACATTATGCCCATCTGCCAGTTGACAGACATTTGAGTTGTTTCCACTTTTTGGGTACTATGAATAATGCTGCTGTGCATGTTTGCATATGTCTTTGTGTTGACATATGTTTTTGTTTCCCTTAGGTAGATTCTTAGGAGCAGCAATGCTGTATCATATAGTAAATTTATGTTAAAATTTTCAAGAAACTGCCAAATTGTGTTCTGAAGTGGCTGGGTCATTTTATATTATCACTAGCAATAATTGAGGGTTTTAATTTCTCTATAACCTGACCAATACTGGTTTTTATCTATTTCAATTTAGCCATTTTGGTGAGTGTGAAGTTATATGTTATTGTGGTTATAATTTGAATTTTCCTAATGATTAACGATGTTGAACATCTTTGCATGTGCTTTTTGGTAATTCATGTATCTTCATTGGTGAAATGTCTCTTCAGATCTGTTTATTTTTAAATTGTGTTTTTTTTTTTTATGTTATTGAGCTTTAGGAGTGTTTGTATATTTGGAATGCAAGTCCTTTATCAGATACATGATTTGCTGGCCTGGTGCAGTAACTCATGCCTGTAATCCCAGCACTTTGGGAGGCTGAGGTGGGTGGATTGCTTGAGCCCAGGAGTTCGAGACCAGCCTGGCCAATATGGCGAAACCCCATCTCTACAAAAAAATACAAAAATTAGCCAGGCGTGGTGGTGTGCCTGTGTGGTCCCAGCTACTCCAGAGGCTGAGGCATGAGAATTGTTTGAAGCTGGGAGGCGGAGATTGCAGTGAGCCTAGATCATGCCACTGTACTTGAGCCAGGGTGACAGAGCGAGACTTTGTCTCAACAACAACAACAACAAAAAATAAGATATATGATATGCAAACATTTTTCTCCTGTTTAGTGGCTTGACTTTTTGTTTTCTTAATAGTGTCTTTGGAAATGCACAAGTTTTTAACTTTGATGAAGTCCAGTTTATCAGTTCTTTTCCTATAGGAGTTGTGCTTTTGGTTTTGTATATAAGAAATCTCTGACTAACCTAAGGTCATGAAGATTTTTCTTCTATGTTTTCTTCTAGAAGTTTTATAATTTTAGCTCTTATATTTAGTGCTCTATTTTAAGTTACTTTTTGTACGAGGTAAGGGTCTAAATTTGTCTCTTTGCATGTGCGTAGCCAGTTGTTCCAGCAGCGTTGTTGATAAGAGTAACATTTCCCCGTTGAATTGCCTTGATACTTCTGTTGAAAATTACTTAACTATTTAAGTATAGGTTTATTTCTAGAGTCTTAACTCTGATATATTGATCTACATGTCCTTTTTTTTTTTTTTTTTGAGGCAGAGTCTCACTGTGTTGTCAAGGCTGGAGTGCAGTGGCGTGATCTCACTGCAACCTCTGTCCCCCGGGTTCAGGTGATTCTCCTGCCTCAACCTCCCGAGTAGCTGGGATTACAGGCACCTGCTACTGTGCCCAGCTAATTTTTGTATTTTTAGTAGAGACGGGGTTTCACAATCTTGGGCAGGCTGGTCTTGAACTCCTGACCTTGTGATCCACCGGCCTCAGCCTCCCACAGTGCTGGGATTACAGGCGTACATGTCTGTTCTTAATCCAATATCACATTGTCTTGATTACTGTAGCTTTATAGTAAGTTTTGAAATTAGGAATCAAAAGTTTTCCCATTTGTTCTTCAAGATTGTTTTGGCTATTTTGAATTCTTTGTCTTTCCATATGAATTTTAGGATCAGCTTTTCAGTTTCTGCAAAAATGTCTGTTGGGGTTTTAATAGGGATTATATTGAATATGTAGAATAATTTGGGGAGAATTGCCATTTTAATAATATTGAGTTTTCCTTACATGAATGTGAGTATGGTGGAATGTCTTTCCACTTGTTTAGCTTTTCAACTCCTTTGAACAACATTTTGTATTTTTCAGTGTAAAAATCTTTCACTATTTTTTTTTTTTGAGACAAGGTCTTGCTCTGTTGCCCAGGCTAGAGTACAGTGGCATGATCTTAGCTCACTGTGGCCTCAACTCCTGAGCTCAAGTGACCCTCCTGCCTCAGCCTCCTTAGTAGCTAGGACTACAGGCATGTACCACCATGGCTGGCCAATTTTTTTTATTTTTGTAGAGACAAGATCTTGCTATGTTTCTCAGGCTGGTCTTGAACTCCTGGCCTCAAGTGATCCTCCTGCCTTGGCTTCCCAAAGTGCTGGCATCAGGCATGAGCCACCATCCCTGGCCTTGCATTTCTTTTGTTAAATTTATTTTATTCTTTTTGATGCTGTTATAAATGGAATTGTTTTCTTAATTTTGTTTTTGGATTGTTCATTACTAGGATATAGAAGTATAATTGATTTTTGTTTATTGATCTTGTATTCTGTGACCTTGCTGAAATTGATTTTAGTTCTAGTCTGTTTTTTCTTAGTGGATTTCTAGAATTTTCTTTCAGAATCATGTCCTTTGTAATTAAAGACAGTTTTACTTCTTCTTTTCCAGTATGCATGCCTTTTATTTCTTTTACATTGCATGATTGCACCATCTACATCTCCAATACATCTTTTTTTTTTTTTTTTTTTTTGAGGCGGAGTCTTGCTCTGTTGCCCAGGCTGGAGTGCAGTGGCGCGATCTTGGCTCGCTGCAAGCTCCGCCTCCCGGGCTTAGGCCATTCTCCTGCCTCAGCCTCCGGAGTAGCTGGGACTACAGGTGCCCGCCACCACGCCTGGAGAATTTTTTGTATTTTTAGTAGAGATGGGGTTTCACCGTGTTAGCCAGGATGGTCTCGATCTCCTGACCTCGTGATCCACCCGCCTTGGCCTCCCAAAGTGCTGGGATTACAGGCGTGAGCCACCGCACCCAGCCTTATTTTTTGACTTTTTGATAATGGCCATTCTGACTGGTGTGAGATGGTATCTCATTGTGGTTTTGATTTGCGTTTCTCTAATGATCACTGATACTGAGCTTTGTTTCATATGCTTGTTGGCTGCATGTATGTCTTCTCTTGAAAATTGTCTTTTTATGTCCTTTGCCCACTTTTTAATGTTTTTTTTTCTTGTAAATTTGTTTAAGTTGCTTATAGATGCTGGATATTAGACCTTTGTCAGATGTATAATTTGCAAATTTTTTTTCCCATTCTCTAGGCTGTTTAAACTGTTGATAGTTTCTTTTGCCACGAAGAAGCTCTTAAGTTTAATTAGATCCCATTGGTCAATTTTTGCTTTTGTTGTGATTGCTTTAGGCATCTTCGTCATGACATCTTTGCCCATTCCTGTGTCCAGGATGGTATTGCCTAGGTTGTCTTTCAGGGATTTTTATAGTCAAACATATTTGTTAGTCTTTTGTATAAAACCTATTTATTTCTCTCTAGACTTTGGAGGAACTACTTTTTTGTTCCTTGTTTTCTGAAATTTCCATGCATTTAACCTGGGCTCTTTTAATAGGCCTTTTCGGTTTGAAACTTATATCCTTCGGAATCCGCCTATTTCCATGGATTTGTTTCTGTAATAGTTTCCTCCCATTCAGAGAGACATTGTAGTGCAGTGGTTAAGAGGATATATCATGGAGCCAGGGTTTCAGGGTTTGAATTTCAGCTCTGCCTCTCCCTCACTAGCCCTGTGAACTTGGGTAATAGGGGGTCATAAAAGTACCAATCTCATGAGATTATTGTGAAGAATAAATAAGTTTATATATGTAAAATGCTTAGAACAATGCTTACAAAATAACAAGACTATTTAATGTTATAAATTTATTGTTTTTCATTCTGCACCTTTTTTTAGATTTTGAACTTCTTGGACAGTCTTCTAATTTAAAAAATTTTCTATTTTTCGGCCGGGCGCGGTGGCTCGCGCCTGTAATCCCAGCACTTTGGGAGGCCGAGGCGGGCGGATCACGAGGTCAGGAGATCGAGACCATCCTGGCTAACACGGTGAAACCCCGTCTCTACTAAAAATGCAAAAAATTAGCCGGGCGTGGTGGCGGGCGCCTGTAGTCCCAGCTGCTCGGGAGGCTGAGGCAGGAGAATGGCGTGAACCCGGGAGGCGGAGCTTGCAGTGAGCCGAGATCGTGCCACTGCACTCCAGCCTGGGCGACAGAGCGAGACTCCGTCTCAAAAAAAAACAAAAAACAAAAAACAAACAAACAAAAAAAAAATTTCTATTTTTCATCTCCATCTCTTTTTTTGCTTTATTTTCTGGGAGATTTTTCTTTTATTTTTATTTGTTTAGTTTTTCGTTTTCTTAGTTTGTGTTTTTGATTACTTTTCTTTTTCTTTTCTTTTTTTTGAGATGGAGTTTTGCTCTTGTTGCCCAGGGTGGAGTTCAAAGGTGTGATCTCTGCTCACTGCAACCTCTGCTTCCTGGGTTCAAGGATTCTCCTGCCTTTGCCTCCCAAGTAGCTGGGATTACAAGCATGAGCCACCACATCCAGCTAATTTTTTATATTTTTAGTAGAGGCAGGATTTCACTATGTTGGCCAGGCTGGTCTTGAACTCCTGGCCTCAAGTGATCTGCCCGCCACAGCCTCCCAAAGTGCTTGGAGGCCAGGCGTGAGCCACTGCACCTGGCTGTTTTTGATTTTTTAAGAGCTGTTTTTTTTTTCTCTGAATATTTCATTTCCTATTGCAGTCATGGATGTGACATATGGATGATATACTCCTATTTTTTTTAGTAGACAATGTTAGTTTTTTTTTTCCCCTCTTCTAAGTTGTCATCTTTCTGCATAGTCTTTCAAGGCATGCTTCTTTTCTATGCACCATATTTTTGGTCTCTGCTTATCATATTAGATGCTTATTAAACTTTTGGTGATTGTTGGCTGTCTGCTTATATTGAAAAGTAGGGGCTTAACCTAAAAAGATGACTGGAAGCTCAGTGTGTGAGACTTTGTGTTTGTGGCATGCTCTGTAGGGTTATATGGTTAAGCTGTTTTTCTAGAGAACCACTGGCATCAGTATCTTTAGGTATTTTTCACCTGGTTGCTTAGGTTCTGTAGGGAAGACACTTCCAATTTCTGCTTGACTGCCATCGTTCTGGCAAGAACATTCTGGCAAGACAAGTAGTGTTAAAACTCTAGAGCGCTCTTTCCTTATATAACTTTTAACTCAAGCTTCTTGTATATAGTATGAAAAACTTAGGTCATTTGTATCTAATGTCTTCTGATCCAGAGACCGTCTGTTTTATCCTCTCCAGGGAATAAACCCCTAGTGTTTTTCTGCCAGACTGGGAAAGAGATAGGTACCCAGTTGTGTGGTATAGGGGATGGGGATCTGAGGATGTAATTATTTTGTTGGCAGACTTTCAAATAATTCTCCTGTTTTCTGCTCTACTTTTACCTCCATTTTCAAAGGTGTTGCCAATTACTGAGCTTTTGGGGGTTATCAGTTACCACTTGTCCACATGCATTTCAGCTTCCAGTAATTGGTTGCTATTATCTCATCTTTTGTGTTCTCTCTCTTGTGAGTTTATACCTCTAAATTCTGTTTGCTGTTATTTTAATTTTTAATTTTTATTTTTGGGAGAGAGTAGGGTGCTTTAGTCTGACATTTTTCTTTTTGTATTATGTATTACATTTGCAGTAAACAAAATGTATTATTTACAAAGAAAAAAAGTGGGAGAACCCAGTCTCTTCCAAAATTATCCAGCTTGTGATATGATCAGACAATTTAAGTAGCAATCTTGAATAATGTGGTAATTTCCCATTAGACAGTGGTTTGTTGCTAGGTATCTATCTATATATATATACTACTTTGTATTTCTACATAGCTTTTGCAGTGGACATCTTTTACTAGATTGTGAACTCTAAGTCAAGAACCATGTCATGTTCTCTTTGTTTTTTGAAAAATAAGTTATCAAAAATATCAGAAATGCTCTGAAATGTGCTTTATGAGAAGCATATACATTTTACTGTAATCTCATTTTAAAGGTTGAAGATTGCCTCATTGGATGTAAAACAAATACTTAAAAATGAAACAGAGTTGGATATTACTGATAATCTCAGGAAGAAACTCCATTGGGCTAAAAAAGAAAAGTTAGAAATAACAACCAAACACAATGCAGAGGTACGATTTATTTTCCTCTCAAAT
The DNA here is from genome assembly GCF_000001405.40 of Homo sapiens. Lineage (NCBI taxonomy): Eukaryota > Metazoa > Chordata > Mammalia > Primates > Hominidae > Homo > Homo sapiens. Next base: position 15,571,784 of record NC_000009.12, read on the forward strand.
AATGTTAAAAGTTGAGTTTGATTTTTTAGATTTATTTCATATGAAAAACTCCATGTTTAACCTTTATAACTATACCATTCTTGGGCTTAAAAAGGAAATTGTAATAAAGGAAACATAATTTTAAAATGTAGTGTAATTGCATAAGTGTTAAAGTAGAACTTTAATGAATTATGTTTATTTGTATGTTATCTTAGATTTATTTTAATTAATGGGTTCAATTGATTAAAATTATTTATGAACATGTTTGATGATTAAAGGATTTGTAAATCAGACATTTTTGAAATCATAATGTAGGTTCCTTTAAGGTCTCCATTATGGAGCAATCTCTTTAAGTAAATTTGAGTATGGAATTTTTAATCATAGTTCAGTTCATAAATTGTCTTAGTTTATAAGTCATTATTTCTTTTATTAGTATGTATGTGTGTGTATATATATTTCATATGTATATGCATATAGTCCAAGATAGTTTTCCTTCCCTTCTAAGATAATTCATGAGTCATATCTTTATGCCTCTTCTCTCTGCTGTGTTTTTTCTCCTTTTTTCTCTGATAAGTCTTATTTATTCTTAAAACTCAGTTTAGGCCACCTGGTATAGTGGGAAGAATATCAAATTACACAGAGCTCAATTTATTCCTGGCCTTTCCATTTACAAGATGCGTCATCTTGGGCTACTCATTTATCCTGTACACCATTGGTTTCTCATTGTGAACTGCTGGTCCCAAAGGGTTGTTGTGATAATTAAGTGAAATAAAATTTGGAAAGTGCTTGTGTACTGTAATAGCTGTAATTTATTGACAGTTAAGTGTAAACAGTATGTTTTTCTTCCCTTTTTGCTAAGTTCTGCAGTTCTCATGTTGGGAAACCTTTTAATGTCTCTCTAAGTGAAACTGGCTACTACTTTGTTCTTCCACAACATGTTGCTGTTATAGATATTTTAGAACTAAAACATTTATATCATGCTTTCCTGCTCTTCTTTAGTTTGTAAACCCCCTGAGAGCTGAAAACAGTGATCACACTTTGTCTCCATATTGCTTATGTTTACTGGCACATAATAGGCCGTCAGTAGTTGTGTATTGAATAAATGTATGAAAAGGGCCAGGTGTGGTGGCTCATGCCTATAATCCAAGCACTTTGAGAGGCCAAGGTGGGTGGATCACTTGAAGTCAGGAGTTCGAGATCAGCCTGGCCAACATGGTGAAACCCCATTTCTACTAAAAATACAAAAATCAGCTGGGCGTAGTGGCACACACCTGTAATCTCAGCTACTTGGGAGGCTGAGGCAGGAGAATCGCTTGAGCCCTGGAGCTGGAAGGTTGCAGTGAGCTGAGATCGTGCCACTGCACTCCAGCCTGGGCAACAGAGGAGAGTATGAAAAGATGATTTTTTTCAGGATATCTAAGGAGCAGTGGTATTGCTGATTGAAATAACAAGAGATGAATACATAATAATTCTCTTTGTATTTTTTTAGTAGCATTTGAGGTAATATTATTATCATAATTTTTCTTTTTTTGAGACGAAGTCTCGCTCTGTCACCCAGGCTGGAGTGCAGTGGAGCGATCTCGGCTCACTGCAACCACTGCCTCCAGGTTCAAGTGATTGGAGAATCACTTGCCTCAGCCTCCCCAGTAGCTGGGACTACAGGCACGTGCCACCATGCCCGGCTAATTTTTGTATTTTTAGTAGAGATGGGGTTTTACCATGTTGGCTAGGCTGGTCTTGAACTCCTCACCTCAGGTGATCTGCCCACCTTGGCCTCCCAAAGTGCTGGGATTACAGGCGTGAGCCACTGTGCCCCGCCCAATTGAGGTAATTTTTAAGTGATAATTGAAGTAATTGCTTCTATTTACATTGTAATAATCATATAAAGTGGTATGTGTTAAATGTGTGCTAATTATTCATAAACTCTAAAACTTGTTTTTTTAAAACCAAATGCACATTTTACTTGAGAGTATTAGTGTGATGATAATCATTACTCTATTAAATAAATTCTCTCACAGCCAGGTGTGGTGGCTCATGCCTGTAATCCCAGCACTTTGGGAGGCCAAGGCAGGAGGATTGCTTGTGCCCGGGAGTTCGAGACCAGCCTGGGCCTGTGAGTGAGACCCTGTATCTACAAAAAATAAAATAAAAATAAATATATTCTTTCATAATATGTTTATAGTTGTCATTAGATTTCTCAGCAGAACACACTGTTCTCTTTTATTTGATCAAAATGTTTTGAAGTATATGTTCACATTAAGGAGATAGAAATTATCTTAGGGAAGGAATACAGTTTTCTTAAAACAGGAAATTATAATTGGTTCAACTCCAGATTTATATTACTAATTATTATTTTTTCAATTATTTCTTTTCTTTCTCTTTTTCTTTTTTTTTTTGAGACAGAGTCTCACTCAGTCTGTTGTCCAGGCTGGAGTACAGTGGTGCTATCTTGGCTCACTGCAACCTCTGCCTCCCAGGTTCAAGCGTTCCTCCTGCTTCAGCCTCCTGCGTAGCTGGGATTACAGGTGCCTGCCACTGTGCCTGGCTAATTTTTGTATTTTTAGTAGAGACGGGATTTCACCATCTTGGCCAGGCTGGTCTCGAACTCCTGACTTTGTGATCCACCCGCCTTGGCCTCCCAAAGTACTGGGATTATAGGTGTGAGCCACCGCGCCTGGCCAAATTTTTGTATTTTTAGTGGAGACGGAGTTTTACCATGTTGGCCAGGCTGGTCGCGAACTCCTGACCTCAAGTGATCCACCTGTCTCGACCTCCCAAAGTGCTGGGATTACAGGTGTAAGCCATTGAGCCACTGTGCCTGGCCTTCAATTATTTCTTTAGATGATCATACTTGTATTATGTAGTTAAATTTTTTAGCCATATAATCTCCAACTGTACGCATCAGGAAGCAAGGCAGAGAGGAATGCAGTGATTTAAAAACTAAGGCCATATTTGCCTTATCAGGTATTCCTAATGCGAACACAAATGCACGGTGATTGGCACAAAATATCTTTAAAGACTTCTGTAGGAGTTTTATTGTTGGAGGATCTTGGGCAAGTTAATTTATTTTTCTGAGCTACAGGTTTCTTTGATAGGTATTCAAATAATAGATTACTGTTGAAAGGATTTATTAGTAGACAGAGGGTACAGGGAGAAGAATTGCTTATAGACTCATACGTTCCAGATGAGACTGAATTGCATTGATGTAGGTGATTGGGATGGGAAAATACTGTAAGGTTTTTAGAATCATTTGAGCGTAACAATACTGTTGTGGAAAATAGGACAAGAAGACCGTGAGGCTATTCAGATATCTCATTGGCCCAGATAGTGATAACAGAGCAAGAAAATCCAGATAAATTAGAAAGAGAGAGGGTAAAGGAGAGTGACATAACTACTTTTTTTTTTTTTTTTTTTTTTTTTTGAAACAGGGTCTCGCTCTGTCACCCAGGTTGGAGTGCAATGGTGTGATCTTGGCTCACTGCAGCCTGGTCTCGAACTCCTGGACTCAAGTGATCTCCTACATCAGCCTCCTGAGGAGCTGGGACTACAGGCACGCACGTGCCACCATGCTTGGCTAATTTTTTGTATTTTTATAGAGGTGTGGTTTTGCCATGTTGTCCAGGCTGGTCTTGAACTTCTGGGCTCAAGTGATCCACCCACCTTGGCCTCCCAAAGTGCTGGGACAACAGGTGTGAGCCACCGTACTCGGCTGACATAACTTCTTTTAGCCAAAAAATACTGGAAACTTAGGACTAATCAGTAGGCTTTATGGCTTGAAGATATTGTCTGACCCAGCCAGTACTCTTGAGAGCAGGGATTCTTAAGCTGGAGTCCTCAGAGAAATCAGGGAATCTGTGAACATAGATGGGGAAAACTTATAATTTTATTTTTATTAACCTCTAACTGATATTAAGCATTTCCTTCAGTTCTGAAAGGCTTGACCCAGCCAGTCCTCCTTTTAACAAGTCATAGTAGTGTTAGCAGCACTTTTGAGTATCATCAATAGAAATCACAGATACATATCACATTTTAGAAATTATAGTTACAGGATGGGTGCCATGGCTCACGCCTGTAATCCCAGCACTTTAGGAGGCTGAGGTGGGCAAATCACTTGAGGTCGGGAGTTTGAGACCAGCCTGGCCAACATGGCGAAACCCTGTCTCTACTAAAAATGCAAAAATTAGCTGGGCGTGGTGGTGCGCACCTATAATCCCAGCTACTTGGGTGGCTGAGGTGGGAGACTCACTTGAACCTGGGAGGCAGAGGTTGCAGTGAGCCGAGATCATGCCACTGTACTCCAGCTTCGGCAACAGAGCGAGACTCTGTCTCAAAAAAAAAAAAATTATAGCTACATATATATCATATTTCAGTTGTGTGTGTGTGTGTGTGTGTGTGTGTATATACATGTATATATATTTGTTGTTTTAAATCTTTTTTTAGAGACAGGGTCTTGCTCTGTTGTCCAGGCTTGCATGCAGTGATGTGATCATTGCTCCCTACAGCCTGGAACTCCTGGGCTCAAGTGATTTTATGCTGTAGCTTCCCAAGTAGCCAGGACTGTAGGTGTGTGCCATCACACCTGGCTAATTTATTATTATTATTATTTGTAGACATGGGGTCTTGCTGTGTTGCTCAGGTTGGTCTCAAACTCCTAGCCTCAAGCAACCCTCCCTCATCAGCCTCTCAAAGTGCTGGGATTGCAGGAGTGAGCCACCGCACCTGGCCAGCATTTTAATTTTAAGTAATGTACTTTGTGCCCTTGAAGAGGATGTAGTCAAGGAAAAGGGAGGCTTGGTTTGCACAAAACCACTCCCGTGTTCTTAAGTGTTTGTATTATGCCAGGAAAGTGCTAGTATTTTGACCTTATGAAATGATTGTAGGCTAATGTCGAATTCAATTTTCAGTCAGCCATCCAAGCAAAACTGTTAAGAGTTAACTTAGAGACGATATCCACGTCGATCTTGTACACGTTCTCCAAGTTCCTGTGAATACCAGATTAGCAAGAGCTTTCAGTTCTTCTGCTATATAAGCTATTTCCTCCTGGAGCAGACTGCATTTTTCCTTCTGTAGCATACTGAGATCTGAGTCAATCTGTGGTGAACAGAGCGGTGTAGGTGGCTCTTGCAAATCCTCCTGCAAGGCAGCTGCTTCAGGTGTGGTCATTACTAATTCTTTCAGCAAGGAAAGGCTGGTTACCTCAGTCAGAAAGGAGAGGCTGCTTTTTTTTGGTAAGGAATGTTCAGTGGGGATTTGAGAGTTCATAGTTTTTAGGTTTGTTTAATTCTGAAAGTCCTCATCCTATGTTCTTCCTACTTAATATCCAGCTGATAGCATCTTAACAGAAGAAACCTGGTGAAACTCTTCATTGAACTTGTAATTTTGCATTTCCCATAATTAGATTTCCAGGTTTGTTCATAACCTTATCTGCCCTGGGGCTGTACTAAATAAGCAGTTATTTTAAAGTCACCATAAAAACTCGTTTTTCTGACTGTCTTGAACTGAGATTCTAAAGCTCTGAGATTATCATTTTGTGTTTGTAAATTCTCTAGTATAGTGAGATTTACCCTTTCTATCCCTCAGGCCTTGTAGTAAATCAATACTGGCATCATAGTTAAGTGCGTTCATTACTTCATTTTCCGAAGGCTTATTTTCAACTGGCACTTCATCCTAAACAACTGCACACCATAATTTAAAGAACTGTGATCCCACTGTATGCTGTAGATCACTAGAATCCCATTTCTACCTGCAAAGAGGCTTTCACTGTGTTCAGGCTTAAATATATTAGCCAGCCAATATTATAAACCCATCTTGAGACAATTTCTGATACCAAGAGCAATATTACTGGGTGTTTAGTTAGGAAAACAGAAACCATTCTAAGTCTTAAAACAAAGGGACATTAATAGCGGGTATTGGTTACACAGGTACCAGAAAAGTGGAAAAGACAACTAGAGGAGATTAAGACAACCCAACATTAAGAACTGCTTCTATTCCCAAGGTTGATTAGAGCTAGAACTGGACAAAGCAAGGCCCATGGAAGGAGGGACTATCCATAAGGATTTGCAGCCACAGGCAAGAGAGGGATAACTGCTCAAGGTAGATCTAGAAAGGCAGAAATAACTTGGCATCTTCACTTCTCCTGCTGTCAATCATTCCACATGTGCCTCTCATTGATCAAGCCTATTGAGAAGCCAGTTGTCTCTGACCTTCTGTCATGCTACTTTGGAAGGATCACAAATTCGATATTCGTTCATTTAAATCCCTGCAAAATTGGCACTTTTATTACTTTATGATCAGTGATATCATAATCAAGAGAAATAATACAGACAATATTTATTAAACTATACTTTGATGCAATTTGTTTATTGGTTCCATTTAGGGAATAGAAGGAGGAGAGGAAAGAATGAATTTTTAAGTGCTTAGTATGTATCATGCATTTTTTTGTTTGTTTGTTTTTTAGGTATGAATATTTTCTTTTCTTTATTTTTTTTTTTTTAGACGGTCTTGCTCTGTCCTTCAGGATGGAGTGCAGTGGCATGGTCTCTGCTCACTGCAACCTCTGCCTCCCAGGCTCAAGCAATCCTTCCATCTCAGCCTCCTGAGTAGCTGAGACTACAGGTGCACACCACCATGCCTGGTTAATTTTTGTATTATTATTATTATTATTATTATTATTATTATTATTATTATTATTGAGACAGGGTCTGCCCATGTGGCCCGGGCTGGTCTTGAACTCCTGGGCTTAAGTGATCCTCCTGCCTTGGCCTCTCAAAGTGCTGGGATTACAGGAGTGAGCCACCGTGCCTGGCCAAGGTGTGACTATTTCTGATTAAAACGTAATTTATCTTTAATTTTATAAAAAGTTCTTATAAGATTTTTTTTTTCCTCTAGTGGATTCTCTAAAATAAAAAACATAATGGGTGTCATTTTGTAAGGTAGTGCTTTCTTTCCAGTGATTCAGAATATATAAATTTATAAATTTTTGCCTTGTATATATTATGGAAACAAGTTTCTCTAAGAAACTTAAATGTTTGAGTGTATGATCTCATAATCTTTGGACACATGTTGATATCAGGAATCTGTTTTTAGCTGGCAAGCTATGAGAGCCAGATTGCCAAGCTACGGTCCGAGGTTGAAAAGGGAGAAGCATTGCGACAAAGTCTGGAATATGACCTAGCTGTTGCTAGAAAGGAAGCTGGTCTTGGAAGACGGGCTGCTGAAGAAAGATTAGCCGAGGCACATAGGATCCAAGAAAAACTCTGTGGTAAGACTGTTTCTATTTCTTCCCAAGTTTAGGGTTGTAACCTGATTGTATATCACTCCTCGCTGTTGTGTGTACATCCCATACAGGGTCAGAGGTAAGATTCTGATTCGTTGACTGACTTTTGATGTACAGACTTAGCTGGGTATGTATAAAAAGTCTTCTGGCAATTTTGTGAACATTTATCTACTTTACATTGATTTTTTTATGCTGTGCATATATGGAAAAAGGAGTTCAAAATTCTCTTAAGTCACTTTTTAGAAGCACTTCTTCCATGAATAATCAACAGAATCACAAAGGGATTTTTGTTTGTCTTAAACATATACTCCAGGCTCCCCATCACATATAATATGAATCCAAATCTCTAGCTTGAGAATCTATATGTTCAAGAAGCACTGCCTCTTTCATTGATTTTGCCAGGTTTAGAAATCACTGGGCTAGAGTGTGGTGCCTGGAAAAGAAAAAGTCACTGGATTTAATCTTCAAAAGCTATGTGTTATGTAGCCCTTGGACTTAAATAAAGCCTTTCTATTTACATATAATATATAAAAATAAATGTGCCTAGATAGCGATATCACTCATAACAAGCACCCAGATGAGGGACCAGAAAATGATCAAAAGCCCTTCTACATGGATGACTACTATACTGGTTTTTAATAGTGTAGATTAATTTTGCCACTTTTTTGTACTTTATATGAATGGAATCATAAAGTATATATTCTTTTTTTTCTGGCTTTTTTCCTCCAACATTATGTTTTTGAAATTCATGCATATTGTATGAGAGCTTTGTATTGATGTGTAGTATTGTGTAAACATTCCACACTTATATTTATCCATTTATTATTGATGGGCATTTGAGTAGTGTCCAATTTTTGATTATTAACAATAATGTTGCTATGAACATTCTTGTACACAGCAGGTTTTAATTAAGAGAACACTGAATGTGAATTCAGATTTAGATTTAGGTCCTGGTTCTACATGGTACTGGTATAAAAACAGGCATGGAGACTAATGGAACAGAACAGAGTACCCAGAAATAAAGACAAATACTTACAGCCAACTGATCTTTGACAAAGCAAACAAAAACATAAAGTGGGGAAAGGACACCCTATTCACCAGTAGTGCTGGGATACTTGGCAAGCCACATGTAGAAGAGTGAAGCTGGATCTTTATCTCTCACCTTATATAAAAATCAATTCAAGATCAAAGACTTAAATCTAAGTCCTGAAACCATAAAAATTCTAGAAGATAACATTGGAAAAACTATTCTAGACATTGGCTTAGGCAAAGAGTTCATGACCAAGATCCCAAAAGCAAATGCAACAAAAACAAAGATAAATAGATCTTTAAACTAAAATTAAACTAAAAAACTAATTAAACTAAAAAGCTTTTGCACAGCAAAAGAATAGTCAGCAGAGTAAACAGACAGCACAGACTGGGAGAAAATATTCACAAACTATGCATCTGACAAAGGAGTAATATCCAGAATCTATGAGGAACTCAAATCAGCAAGAAAAAAACAAATAATCCCATCAAAAACTGGGCAAAGGACATATATAGACAATTCTTAAAAGAAGATATACAAATGGCCAAAAAACATATGAAAAAATGTTCAATATCACTAATTATCAGGGACATGCAAGTCAAAAGCGCAATGAGATACCACCTTACTACTGCAAGAATGGCCATAATTTAAAAATAAAAAAATAACAGATGTTGCATGGATGTGGTAAAAAGGGAACACTTTTACACTGCTGGTGGGAATGTAAATTAGTACAATCACTATGGACAATAGTATGGAGATTCCTTAAAGAACTAAAACTGGAAGCATTCCCTTTGAAAACCGGCACAAGACAAGGATGCCCTCTCTCACCACTCCTAGTCAACATAGTATTGGAAGTTCTGGCCAGGGCAATCAGGCAAGAGAAAGAAATAAAGGGTATTCAAAAAGGAAAAGAGGAAGTCACATTGTCTCTGTTTGCAGATGACATGACTGTATATTTAGAAAACCCCATCATCTCAGCCCAAAATCTCCTTAAGCTGATAAGCAACTTCAGCAAAGCCTCAGGATACAAAATCAGTGTGCAAAAATTGCAAGCATTCCTATACACCAATAACAGACAAACAGAGAGCCAAATCATGAGTGAACTCCCATTCACAATTGCTACAAACAGAATAAAATACCTAGGAATCAACTTACAAGGGATGTGAAGGACCTTTTCAAGGAGAACTACAAACCACTGCTCAAGGAAATAAGAGAGGACACAAACAAATGGAAAAATACTTCACGCTCATGGATAGGAAGAATCAATATTGTGAAAATGGCCATACTGCCCAAAGTAATGTATAGATTGAATGCTGTCCCCATCAAGCTACCACTGGCTTTCTTCACAGAACTGGAAAAAACTACTTTAAAGTTCATATGGAACCAAAAAAGAGCCCATATTGCCAAGACAATCCTAAGCAAAAAGAACAAAGCTGGAGGTATCACGCTACCTGACTTCAAACTATACTACAAGAATACAGTAACCAAAACAACATGGTACTGATACCAAAACAGATATATAGACCAATGGAACAGAACAGAGCCCTCAGAAATAACACCAGACATCTACAACCATGTGATCTTTGACAAACCTGACAAAAACAAGCAATGGGGAAAGGATTCCCTATTTAATAAATTGTGTTGGGAAAACTGGCTAGCCATATGCAGAAAGCTGAAACTGGAACCCTTCCTTACACCTTACACAAAAATTAACTCAAGATGGATTAAAGACTTAAACGTAAGACCTAAAGCCATAAAAACCCTAGTAGAAAACCTAGGCAATACCATTCAGGACATAGGCATGGGCAAGGACTTCATAACTAAAACACCAAAAGCAATGGCAACAAAAGCCAAAATAGACAAATGGGATCTAATTAAACTAAAGAGCTTCTGCACAGCAAAAGAAACTATCATCAGAATGAACAGGGAACCTACAGAATGGGAGAAAACTTTTGCAATCTATCCATCTGACAAAGGGCTAATATCCAGAATCTACAAAGAACTTAAACAAATTTACAAGAAAAAAACAATCTCATCAGAAAGTGGGCAAAGGATATGAACAGACACTTCTCAAAAGAAGACATTTATGCAACCAACAAACATATGAAAAAATGGTCATCATCACTGGTCATTAGAGAAATGCAAATCAAAACCACAATGAGTTGTCATCTCACACCAGTTAGAATGGGGTTCATTAAAATGTCAGGAAACAACAGATGCTGGAGAGGAGATGTGGAGAAATAGGAATGCTTTTACACTGTTGGTGGGAGTGTAAATTAGTTAAACTGTTGTGGAAGACAGTGTGGCGATTCCTCAAGGATCTAGAACTAGAAATACCATTTGACCCAGCCATCCCATTGCTGGGTATATACCCAAAGGATTATAAATCATGCTGCTATAAAGACACATGCACACGTATGTTTATTGTGGCACTGTTCACAATAGCAAAGACTTGGAACCAACCCAAATGGCCATCAATGATAGATTGGATAAAGAAAATATGGCACATATATACACCATGGAATACTATGCAGCCATAAAAAAGGATGAGTTCATGTCCTTTGCAGGGACATGCATGAAGCTGGAAACCATCATTCTCCACAAACTAACACAAGAACAGAAAACCAAACAGCGCATGTTCTCACTCATAAGTGGGAGTTGAACAGTGAGAACACATGGACACAGGGAGGGGAACATCACACACTGGGGCCTGGCAGGAGGTGGGGGGCTGGGGGAGGGATAGCATCAGGAGAAATACTTAATGTAGATGATGGGTTGATGGGTACAGTAAACCACCATGGCACATGTATACCTATGTAACAAACCTGCACATTCTGCACATGTATCTCGGAACTTAAAGTATTAAAAAAAAAAAAAAAGAACCAAAAGTAGAACTACCATTTGATCCAGCATTCCCACTACTGGGTATCTTCCCAGAGGAAAAGAAGTCATTATATGAAAAAGACACATGCACACGCAGGTTTACAGCAGCACAATTCACAATTGCAAAAATATCGAACCAGCCTAGGAGCCCATCAACCAATGAGTGGATAAAGAAAATGTGGTATAGGCTGGGCGCGGTGGCTCACGCCTGTAATCCCAGCACTTTGGGAGGCCGAGGAGGGCAGATCACCAGGTCAAGAGATTGAGACCATCCTGGCCAAGGTGGTGGAACCCCGTCTCTACTAAAAATACAAAAATTAGCTGGGTGTGGTGGCGCACGCCTGTAGTCCCAGCTACTTGGGAGGCTGAGGCAGAATAGCTTGAACCTGGGAGGCAGAGGTTGCAGTGAGCCAAGATCGCACCACTGCAGTCCAGTCTGGTGACAGCGAGACTCCATCTCAAAAAAAAAAAAAAAAAGAAAATGTGCTATATATACAGCAAGGAATACTACTGAGCCATAAAAAGAACGAAATAGTGGCATATGCAGCAATCTGGATGGAGCTGGAGGCCATTATTCTAAGTGAAGTAACTCAGGAATAGAAAACCACTTATAAGTGGGAGCTAAGCTATGAGTATGCAAAGGCATAAGAATGATATAATGGACTTTGGGGACTCTGTGGAAAGGACGGGATGGGGGTGAGGGATGAAAGACTACACATTGGTTACAGCATACACTGCTTGGGTGATGAGTGCACCAGAATCTCAGAAATCACTACTAATGAACTTTTGCCTGCAACCGAACACCATCTGTTCCCCAAACTATTGAAATAAAAAATAAAATGTGAAAAAAATTGTCCTTGATTAAAAAAAAAAGTGTTTTTGTTAACTTCATGGGGCTAAAGAAATGTTAAGATATAATTTTCTTTTTTTCTTTTTTGAGATGGAGTCTCCCTCTTTCGCCCAGGCTGGAGTGCAGTGGTGCGATCTCGGCTCACTGCAACCACCGCCTCCCGGGTTCAAGCAATTCTCTGCCTCAGCCTCCCGAGTGGCTGGGATTACAGGTGCCCACCACCACGCCCGGCTAATTTTCTTGTATTTTTAGTAGAGACGGGGTTTCACCATCTTGGCCAGGCGGATCTTGAACTCCTGACCTTGTGATCCACCCGCCTCGGCCTCCCAAAGTGCTGGGATTACAGGCGTGAGCCACCGTGCCCGGCATGTTAAGGTATAATTTTGTAACTGTTAAGATCCTTAGTTTTGCTCAGCTGTCTGGGGTTATTGATATTGGTCAGAAGTATTTTTGATTATGTAGAGAAGAAAAAGTAGTATCTTTTACTCACCCATGCAAGGTTTACAACTGACAACCCTATAACAAAACACAGGTTAACAAGAGAAAACCATAACAAATTTATTTAACAAAGTTTTAGATGACATGGGAGCCTCCAGATATGAAGACGCAAAGAACCAGGGAAAACCGTATTTTTGTGTTAAGTCTGATGAAAGAAGTGGATAGTTGTGGAGAAATATGACTGGACAAAAGTATATGTTCCAATGTAATAAACTGAGTGGGAAACCCAGCAAGCCTGTTTGTTCAGTAGCATTTCTTTCTTCCAGGTGATAGATCACATGAGGGCCCCATGACCTACTTTCAGAGGTAGTAGGTCAGAGAGGCGACCTTTCTAGATTTTATATCTTGCTTTGGGGAGAAAGAAGGGTAGAAGACAGGAAGTCAGAGTAACCTTCCTTCTGAGGCCCTCCTGTCTTCTGCAAGTGAAAAATATTCAGCATACCAAGCCACCATAATTGGGGGTATTGTGTTCTGAGCCCCAGTAATTACCTTTGGTGTTTAATAATAGTTACACGACTACCTGGAATTTAGGAATATAAGAATTGGAAGGCACTAGATATGAAAGTTCATGACTTTCATTTAACCATGAGGAAAGTGAAGTCCTGGAAAGATGGGAAGTTACTTGCTCAGAGTCAAACAATTTCAACAGACATTCTACAGAGTAAGATAGAGAGATGACTATTAATCAGAGGAAAAATGCGTAACCTCACTTATTGTCAGGGAAATGCAAATGAAAACCATAGTAGATGTTACTAAACACCTATCAGGTGGCTCTAATTGAAAAGATTGTCAATACCAAATATTGGTGAGGATATAGAGCAACAGGGACTCATATTTTTTGTTAATGGGAGTGTAAAATGATACAGCCACTTTAGAAAAAAACCTGGCCGTTTCTTTTAAAATAAACATGGATTTATCTTATGAGCCAGTGGTTTCACTCTTTATTATTTCCCCATGAGAAAGAAAAACTTTTGTCCAAAAAAGACTTGTAAAAGAATTTCCTAGCAACTCCATTCATGGTGGTCCAAAGTTGGGGAAAAAGACATTCATTAACAAGAGAATGAAGAAACAATTTGTGTTATATAATGAAATGCTACTCAACAATAAGAAGAAAGCAACCACTAACGTATGCGGTAACATGAATGAATCTCCAAAACATGCTTAGTGAGAGAAACTTTACACTCAAGAGGACATCCTGTATGGTTCCATTAACATAAAGTTCTAGGATAGGAAAAGCTAATCATTGGTGAAAAAAAGAATCTAAACAGTGATGGCCTCTGCAGGGTGGGTTGGCAGTGGATTTGACTGGGAAAGAGTATGAGGGTACTTTTTGGGTTGAAAGAAATGTTCTGTATTTTGATAGGTGTTTGGGTTACATGAATGTATTTATTCATAAAATCTCTTTGAACATTGGCTCACACCTGTAATCCCAGCACTTTGGGAGGTGGAGGCGGGTGGATCGCTTGAACCCAGGAATTCAAGACCATCCTGACCAACATAGTGAAACCCCATCTCTACTAAAAACAAAAACTAGCCAGGCATGGTAGTGCACGCCTGTAATTTCAACTACTCAGGAGGCTGAGGCAGAAGGCTCACTTGAACCAAGGAGACAGAAGTTGCAGTGAGCTGAAATCGTACCACTGCACTCTAGCCTGGATGACAGAGTGAGACTCTGTCTCAAAAAAACAAAACGAAAAACTCCTTGAACAGTACACTAAAGATTTGTGCATTCTACTAGATGTACATTTTATCTGTAAAAAAATAAAACTATATTACATTCTAATTAATGATATACATGCTGAACTATTTAGGAGTGAAATGTCCTGATGTTTGCAACTTGCTTTGAAATGCATAAAATGTATGATGGACTGCTGGGTGGATAAATGAATGCATGCATTGAAGGATGGATGAATATCTGATAAAGCAAATATGGCAAAATGTTAACAATCCTAGAGTCCAGGTTGTAGATATATGGATGTTCACTGCACAATACTTTCAACTTTCTGTGTTTTTAAAATTTTTATAGTGAAATGTTGAGGGTAGTGTAAAAAGCCTAATGCAGTTATGAGATAATCCCATAACAATGGAGAGAACAGGGGGTGTGACAAGAGAGAAAATTTTGGAAGCTGGAAAGCAAATGGATGAGGAATAACTGAGTTAGAGAGATGTTAAAATCCTAAGTCAGGAGTGGGGAAAACCGAAAGAGAAATTCTTAGTCAAAAGGCTTATAAACTGGAAGCACCAGATACCATTGGAATTATGTATGGGAGTAGCAGTAGTGAGTAAAATAAGTAGGGTTAGATGAAAGCTGTTTGAGAGGCAGATAGGTCCTTAGATTTCCTTCCAAGAGCATGCTACTCTGGGATTACTTAAGAATTGCTAGTGGAAGTCAGGAGGTTTAATCCCTGGAGATGGCGAAATAGAGTCTTTTGACTGGCAAAACCAGGAAGATTCTGAATGCTGAATATTGAGGAGCCATTCCTTCCAGCTTCCCTTTAATTAATTAATTAATTATTATTATTACTTTTAGAGACAGAGTATCACTTTGTTGCCCAGGCTGGAGGGCAGTGGTGTGGTCATAGCTCAGTGCAGCCTTGAACTCCTGGGCTTAAGCCATCCTCCCACCTCAGCCTCCTGAGTAGTTAGGACTATAGGTGTATGCCACCACACGTGACTAATTAAAAAAAATTTTTTTTTGTAGAGACTAGGTCTTGCCATGTTGACCAGGCTGGTGTCAAACCCTTGGCCACAATCAATCCTCCAAGCTTGGCCTCCCAAAATGCTGGGATTACACGTGTGAGCCACCATGCTCAGCCCCCAGCTTCCTTTATATATTGACTTCCCCAAAAGCTAACACCTGGATTTCTACACTCTATGCCGGATGTTGGAGGACTCTTTTGTGTATCACCTGACCAAGCTGATATAGTTTGGCTCTGTGTCCCCTCCCAAATCTCATCTTGTAGCTGTCATAATTCCCATGTGTTATGGGAGGGACCCAGTGGGAGATGATTGCATCATTGGGGTGGGTCTTTCCCATGCTGTTCTTGTGATATGGGTCTCACGAGATCTGATGGTTTTAAAAATGGGAGTTTCTCTACACAAGCTCTCCTTTTGCCTGCTGCCATGCATGTAAGATATGACTTGCTTCTCCTTGCCTTCTGCCATGATTGTGAGGCTTCCCCAGCCATGTGAAACTGTAAGTCCAATAAACCTCTTTCTTTTGTAAATTGCCCAGTCTCAGGTATGTCTTTATCCAAAAAAACAGACGAATACAAAGCCAGGAGGAAGAACCTAATGATACTGATGTTGGAGGTTTCCCAATAAATGAGCCATCCAGATCCTTCTCCAGCGAAGACTAAAGTTGTTAACGTCCACCTTGAAGCTCAGATTCTAGGTGGTGGGTATATTAGTGTATAAACTGTATTACATTTATAGTTTCTAACTTTTAATGAGAGTAGACAACCAAGAGTTACCAGATATATGAGGAAACCCTTTAAAATGGAGAGAAGAAATCAACTTAGAAGAAACAGAGGCTCTGCAGGGAGAACATTTAAAAGAAGTAGCATTAATTTCCTCAGATCTGAAAGAATATATTTCATCTATGAAGTAAGAACCAGGTGTTATAAAAGATGAAATCTATTAGAAATTAAAAATATGAGGCCAGGCGCGGTGGCTCACGCCTGTAATCGCAGCACTTTGGGAGGCCGAGGCAGGTGGATCATGAGGTCAGAAGTTCAAGACCAGCCTGACTGATATGGTGAAACCCTGTCTCTACTAAAAATACAAAAATTAGCCAGGCGTGGTGGCAAGTGCCTGTAATCCCAGCTACTCGGGAGGCTGAGGTGGGAGAATCACTTGAACCTGGGCGGCAGAGGTTGCAGTGAGCCGAGATTGCGCCACTGTACTCCAGCCTGGGTGAGAGAGTGAGACTCTGTCTCAAAGAATTTAAAAATATGGAAGCAGTGGGAAGAAGAGGCAAGAAGGACCCCCGGACTGACCAAAGCCCACACGCCATTGCATCCCTGCATCTGGTGCTACGTCTTAGCAGCATTACCACCATGCCCAAGAGAAAGCCTGAAGGGGATGCTACAGGAGATAAAGCCAAGCTACAGAGAAGATCTGCAAGGTTGTCTGCTAAACCTGCTCCTTCAAAGCCAGAGCGCAAGCCCAAAAAGCCTTCTTTGCCCCTGCAAAGAAGGGAGAAAAGGTACCCAAAGGGAAAAGCTGATGCTTACAAGGAGGGGAAGAATCCTGCAGGAAATGGAGATGCCAAAACAGACCAGGCACAGGAAGCTCAGCGTGCTGGAGACGCCAAGTGAAATGTGTGCATTTTTGATAACTGTGCACTTTTGGTGACTATACAGTTTGAAATATTTTTCAACCAAGTTTTATGAAGATGCAGACTTTTTTTTTTTTTTTTTTTTTTTATGAGACGGAGTCTCACTCTGTCACCCAGGCTGGAGTGCAGTGGCACGACCTCGGCTCACTGCAAGCTCCACCTCCCGGGTTCACGTCATTCTTCTGCCTCAGCCTCCTGAGTAGCTGGGACTACAGGTGCCCGCCACCACGCCCGGCTAATTTTTTGTATTTGTTTTGGTAGAGATGGGGTTTCACCGTGTTAGCCAGGATGGTCTCGATGTCCTGACCTTGTGATCCGCCTGCCTCGGCCTCCCAAAGGGCTTGGATTACAGGCGTGAGCCACCGCACCCAGCCGTGTTTTTTTTTTAGAGCTATGTTGTTGCCCCACAGAAAACGTCGTTGTTTTTTGAGGAAGGGACATGTGTTACTACTAGAATGTCTCTGAAGTGGATTGATGGGGGGAAAACACGTTTCCCTTCTAGTTTTGAGAGACTTCTTCTTGGCTTCCAGGAGGAGAGATTCCCTGATATTGACACACATAGCCACCTTGGCACAAACACCTTGTGGTGTGGAAAAACAAATTTGTTTTTATGTCCTCTTCTCCCTTCCATCCTCAGCATAGACTTAACTCCCTTAAGCCCAGACATCTCTTGGGATTGACTCCCAGTAATTGGTTGCCAGTGTATCAGGCAATCTGGACTTTCCAATGACACCACTGAGATGGCACTCCTCAAAATAGCAGCCCTTCTGTTTCTAGATTGTAGATCTTTAGATAAATCCTGCCATTTTCATTTCACTTCCTAAAAGTCAGAGTCTGCTTGTGAAAAGTTGTTAAACAACATGTTAATGTGAAATGTCAACCCCCACTCTAAACTCTCTGTTGAGAACATCAAATGAGGACTTCATTGGGTTTATAGTGGCTTTCTGATTTTGGTAGTCCTTTGAAGAAGAGGGTTTGAAAGTTGTATACTGTTAATTGAAATACCTGCCTACAATACCATTATTGTTTGTGAAAAATATAATTAATAAAGTTGGATACAGTTTGGCTTGAAAAAATTAACAAATTAAAAATATGAAGGCAGAAATGAAAAATGTCCCTAGAAGCACTGGAAGATGAAGATGGAAGAAACCTCCCAGAAATTAGAATTAAAAAGACAGAGGTAGAAAAATAGGAGAGAAGAGATGAAAAAATTTGAGGACCAATTTGAATAATAGGGAATAGTGAAAGACGTAAGAGAGAAAACAGAAATGTATGATAAATCATCAATGAAAATAACTCAAGATAACATCTCAGAACTAAAGGACATGAATTACCAGATTGAAAGAGTCTATTGAATATTTACCGTTATGGAAAGAAGTAGACCTACTGCAGGCATAGCATTATGAAATTTCAGAAAAATAAAGACAGAGAAGATTCTAAAGCTTTCACGAGAAAAGAAAAATAGGTCAAATGCAAAGGATCAGGAGTCAAAATGGCCTCAAACTACTTTCCTGCAATGCTGGATGAGAGACCATGGAAGAATGTCTTCTGGAGATGGCAGCTGAATGGGAGGGGGACTTTTAATGTATTTCCTTTTGTACCTTTTATACCTTTGTATTTTGAACATTTTGAATGTATGATTGATTCAAAATGCAAAGAAATATAATTTAGAAATACTGCTAATATAGCTGTGGCATCTTTTAACATGTGTTTTTATAAACATTTCCTCATTTTATCTTCACAAAAACTTAACTAGGGACATTCTTATTTCTAGTGAGAATCAGAGAATCAGGGAGGTTTAATAAGTGGCAGGTGATGGAGCCAGACCTGGAAGCATTTCCTTCTTTTCTAGGTGCTGAAACAGAGCAGCAGTGTTAGTGTGTTGATAGGTGTTGGTTATTGTTGAGGTAATCGGGTAGGAGGTGAGTTGCACCTAAATCTGGCAAAGTAAATAGTTACAGTTCTAAGGGTTGGGGTAGTGGTTTCCAGCCTCAGCTTTGTGACCCTTGTGTAAGATGTGTTACAACTAGTTTGTTGTCAATAGTCAAATATAAAAATTTGTAATCTACTCTTTTTAAAAACTTGCCCTATATATCACAGTCTTAAAAATAGATTTTTTTCTTCTTTCTTTCTTTCTCTTTCTTTCTTTCTTTCTTTCTTTCTTTCTTTCTTTCTTTCTTTCTTTCTTTCTTTCTTTCTTCTTCTTTCTTTCTTTCTTTTTTCTTTCTTTCTTTCTCTCTTTCTTTTTCTTTCTTTTAAATCTGAGAGGAGGTCTCCCTATGTTGTTCAGGCTGGTCTTGAACTCCTAGGCTCAAGTGATCCTCCCGCCTCAGCCTCCAGAGTAGCTGGGATTACAGGTGTGTACCACCACACTCAGCTGGTTTGTTTTCTTGAATAGGACAAAAACCAATAGAGTTGCAGCTGGTGCTAGAAGTGCACCTAAACTTGGATATGCCTTCAGAAATATGTCACACTGTTTCATAGCAAAATCATCATTGTCTGAAGGGGAAGAAGAGATCGAAAATTATAGAATAGATTGATTTAGAGACTGTGAGCTTTTCAAGAATTTACCGGAATGGAAAGGTTTTCAAGAGTTTACTGTAATGGAAAGGTTAAATGTTTTATCCTAAGATCATGCTGTAAATGATGTCAACTCCAATGCCTAGGTTTTGGGGCTCCTTGTTATTTAATTCATGGTTGTAAATGTACCTATTATTCTATTCTTAATAGCACAGAATTCAGAACTTCAAGCAAAGACAAATGAGACTGAGAAAGCATTTCAGACTTCTCAGCAAAAATGGAAAGAAGAATGCAGAAGATTTGAACATGATTTGGAGGAAAGAGACAATATGATCCAAAATTGCAATCGAGAATATGATTTACTTATGAAAGAAAAAAGCAGACTAGAGAAAACTCTACAGGTAAAATAGTTTTTATAAAGGAATTTTCCGATATGTAATATTCACCGAGATGTGTTGTACATTACTTGAAGTTATCCTGGATTTCCTTCCTTCCTTTTTCCTTCCTCCTTCCTTCCTCCCTCCCATTTTTTCTTTTTTAGGGGCATATTTGCTGGTCTCTTTTGGAGTATATTAATAGGTATACTTTTTGGGGTGAAAAACGGTTTGCGGTCGCTAATCAAAATGTTAAAAGCCAACAAAGCACTTATATGGGCATATTGTAAGAAGCTAAGAATCTACAGCTCTTTTTGTCTAGCAATATGAACATTTGGAATTTTAGAAATATGGGCCCTGGATTTTGGTCTGAATATACAATAAATATAGAAAAATATTTGTATGTTTGATATGAGCTTCATTATCTATGTAGAGCATGTTTTGTATAAACATGATATGTAACATATTTAACTTCTCCTAAAATTGTGAGCTATTTATTCCCTCATTTTTTGTTCTCTTTTTACTCCCTAAAGTAAAAGTGATATAAGGTTGAAGTTGCCAGTGACTTAAAAGGTAGATTTTGAGTTGTCTATATTTGCCATTTTTTTTGAAGTAACAGTTTAAATGAAAAAAAAAAAAAATTACATGACAAAGCCAGGTATGGTGGTGCAGGCCTGTAGTTCCAGCTAGTAGGGAGGTTGAGGTGGGAAGATCACTTGAGGCCAGGAGTTTGAGGCCACAGTATACCATGATTGGGCCTATGAATAGCCACTGTACTCCAGCCTGAGCAATATAGTGAGACCCTGTCTCCCCCCAAAAAAGCAAAAAAACAAAACAAAGAAAAAAAAACGGTGATAAAAATGTTCTACCTTTACCATTGGTGTAAATGGCTTTTTTGAATTCTGGAAATGTGTCTTTACTAAAATTAATTACACAAAAGCATTTAAAAACTGTAAAAGTTTTCGCACAGTCATTCCCAGATGTTGTCATTGTCAGCAAATTTACTTTTGATTTCTTCCACATCAGTAGTCATAGTTTGTTTCTTTTGTTTACTACTGTATTCTTAGACCCTGGAACAGTAGCTGGCATGCAGAAGGGCTCCATTAGTGTGTGAATGGGGGAGGTTTCGGTGGTAACTGATATTACAAGTCCTTGGATGGGCCTGTATAACCTTCCCCACATAAAATGTTTTGGAGTTATGTGGAGAGGAGGGTGATGGTGGCAGTATTTCTTCAGCCAGTCAGCTTGCACCTGAAGGTAGAAGATTTTGATCTGATCTCAATTAGCTACTTAGGAGAATTGTGGTTTGATTTTAGGCTATTGGCTTTTTTTGTTTTTATTTTTATTTTTATTATTATTATACTTTAAGCTTTAGGGTACATGTGCACAATGTGCAGGTTAGTTACATATGTATACATGTGCCATGCTGGTGTGCTGCACCCATTAACTTGTCATTTAGCATTAGGTATATCTCCTAATGCTATCCCTCCCCACTCCCCCACCCCACAACAGTCCCCAGAGTGTGATGTTCCCCTTCACTAATCTGCACAGAGACCCTTGGGACAGTTTGGAGTTGAATCTGAGTCACTATTTAGCCCTTGGGGGAAAAAAAAGCCTCAAGGCTCTTTGTGAAAGCTTTCTTTCTATAAGTTAGGAGGGTAGTATTTGTTATACAGATCCATGCTACCATTGTGTGGACATGAGAGGCTTTCTTTCTCTCGCATGTAAACTATAGACTTTTTCTTCTGTTAATGGGAACTTAATTTTAAACCCTATAGTTAGAAAATTGGGCTTCTCAGCAAATTGCATTTTATGTTTTTAAGATACTAAACCGAATTAGATCTTGCAGTACACCTCAGAAAACCCAAAAGGAAAGCATTTTTTCAAGTATTGTTTATCTATAGAACTAGAAATTAAAGTCCATACTTAAATTTCTTGTTTTTTTGCTTTTCAAATTTTTAACATTCTAGAGTTTCCTTATCCTAATTTGTTGCACAGAATTCTTTTCTTTGCCCCTTTTTCCCTTTTGGAAATACATTGCTCGTGTCAAATTTATATATAAATTATCAGGGATAATCCAAATGTTTTGATCACAGGTAGAGATTTCCATATTAAATGGAATCTACTTTGTTTATATCTATCATATGATATCATATATTGATATTTTGTTCAAACCTCTGAAGTTAACATTTTTCAGAAAAATTGGGTCAAATATATCCCTATATAATAAACAGGTATATACAGCCTGTTGCTTATATATACATATTATATATAGGTAATAGGTAAATATATGCCTATATAAACAAGGTATAATCTGTTGTTTAAATAAACATAGTTTCTCAGATCTACATTCTATTGATCAAATTATAGTTTTATTAATGATTTTAACATGAATTATGATGAGTTTTAACATCTATAGGTAAGGAGAGCCTCTTTGTACATTTAAACTGGGGATGAAGGAAGATAACTTTTATTGATCTAACAGTAAAGCAAGATTTTATTTATATAAAGGAAGCGTTGGAAAAACATCAACGGGAGAAGAATGAGATGGAGTCTCATATCAGGGAGACAGCATTGGAGGAGTTTAGATTACAAGAAGAACAATGGGAAGCAGAAAGAAGAGAATTACAATTTATAGTACAGGTATTTTAAAAATAATCAGTTCCTTAAATATATATTTTTAATGCTTATGATATTCAAAATTACATTAGTGGGATAACTGACTCGCTCAAAGGGAAAATAATTTCTAGTTTTGATTCTGGAAGGCCACATTTCATTTGCTGTTACATGACAATAGGGCAACTGTTACCAACAGATACCATTAGTGTTTAGAGTTCAGTGATTTCCATTGCATACCTTATGTGATTTTTAAGAAGGATGTATATATATTTGGTATTTTATTTTTCCAATTTAAAATTTGAGACTAATAGCTGTTTTGAATAGGACAAAGAAATAGAATAATAGGATTCTGGATGTTAAAGAATCCTTACAAATCATATAGTGTAGTAATTTTTGAACTCTTTTTAAGAAGTACAAATTCTTAATTATCCTCTATTCCTCCACCCCTGAAATACGCAGAATCCCCGAGGCTTCTATAGTCCAATTTGAAAATTACTGATTACATCTAATCCCCTTTATACATGAGCAGATGGAGATTTGGAAGTTACTGACTTAGGTTATAGACTGAATGATTAATCTGGGAAAAGGCTGCAGGTCTCTGAATTCTCACTCCAGTGTACTTTGCATTTTTTCAGGAGATTATATGTATTTATTTTGAAGGAGAGGTAGGAGAAACTCAAACTAGTGTGTTGTGTGTTTTAAAGGAAATTTGTGAAGGTAATCCTCTTTAAGAAAAAAACCCATGAATCAACTAACTTAAAACTTCAAATACATTTTCAGCACATCTTCTAGTTATTTTGTGATAACACAATGTGTTTTATGTATTTTTTCGACACAGAATGACAAATTGAAATAACCTTTCTATAGATGTCAAAGATATGCATTTTTCACAAGAATGAAAAATATCCACATATAATACATTTTGGAGTAATTATGTCTCACAAACAACTTTGTAACACAGAAGTTGACCAAAAATATGCAGAGAATAGAAGCCACTTAATTTTTTTTTTTAATTATACTTTAAGTTTTAGGGTACATGTGCACAGCGTGCAGGTTTGTTTCATATGTATACATGTGCCATGTTGGTGTGCTGCACCCATTAACTTGTCATTTAACATTAGGTATATATCCTAATGCTATCCCTCCCCGCTCCCCTGACCCCACAACAGGCCCTGGTGTGTGATGTTCCCCTTCCTGTGTCCATGTGTTCTCACTGTTCAATTCCCACCTATGAGTGAGAACATGTGGTGTTTGGTTTTTTCTCCTTGCGATAGTTTGCTGAGAATGATGGTTTCCAGCTTCATCCATGTCCCTACAGAGGACATGAACTTATCCTTTTTTATGGCTGCATAGTATTCCATGGTGTATATGTGCTGCATTTTCTTAATCCAGTCTATCATTGTTGGACATTTGGGTTGGTTCCAAGTCTTTGCTATTGTGAATAGTGCCTCAAGAAACATACATCTGCATGTGTCTTTATAGCAACATGATTTATAATCCTTTGGTATATACCCAGTAATGGGATGGCTGGGTCAAATGGTATTTCTAGTTCTAGATCCCTGAGGAATTGCCACACTGACTTCCACAATGATTGAGCTAGTTTACAGTCCCACCAACAGTTAAAAGTGTTCCTATTTCTCCACATCCTCTCTAGCACCTGTTGTTTCCTGACTTTTTAATGATTGCCATTCTAACTGGTGTGAGATAGGTACCTCATTGTGGTTTTGATTTGCATTTCTCTGATGGCCAGTGATGATGAGCATTTTTTCATGTGTCTTTTGGCTGCAGAAATGTCTTCTTTTGAGAAGTGTCTGTTCATATCCTTCGCCCACTTGTTGATGGGGTTGTTTTTTTCCTGTAAATTTGTTTGAGTTCTTTGTAGATTCTGGATATTAGCCCTTTGTCAGATGAGTAGATTGCAAAAATTTTCTCCCATTCTGTAGGTTGCCTGTTCACTCTGATGGTAGTTTCTTTTGCTGTGTAGGAGCTCTTTAGTTTAATTAGATCCCATTTGTCAATTTTGGCTTTTGTTGCCATTGGTTTTGGTGTTTTAGACATGAAGTCCTTGCCCATGCCTATGTCCTGAATGGTATTGCCTAGGTTTTCTTCTAGGGTTTTTATGGTTTCAGGTCTAACATTTAAGTCTTTAATCCATCTTGAATTAATTTTTGTATAAGGTGTAAGGAAGGGATCCAGTTTCAGCTTTCTACATATGGCTAGCCAGTTTTCCCAGCACCATTTATTAAATAGGGAATCCTTTCCCCATTTCTTGTTTTTGTCAGGTTTGTCAAAGATCAGATGGTTGTAGATGTGTGCTATTATTTCTGAGGGCTCTGTTCTGTTCCATTGGTCTATATCTCTATTTTGGTACCAGTACCATGCTGTTTTGGTTACTGTAGCCTTGTAGTATAGTTTGAAGTCAGGTAGCGTGATGCCTCCAGCTTTGTTCTTTTGGCTTAGGATTGACTTGGCAATGTGGGCTCTTTTTTGGTTCCATATGAACTTTAAAGTAGTTTTTTCCAATTCTGTGAAGAAAGTCATTGGTAGCTTGATGGGGATGGCATTGAATCTATAAATTACCTTGGGCAGTATGGCCATTTTCACGATATTGATTCTTCCTACCCATGAGCATGGAATGTTCTTCCATTTGTTTGTATCCTCTTTTATTTTGTTGAGCAGTGGTTTGTAGTTCTCCTTGAAGAGGTTCTTCACATCCCTTGTAAGTTGGATTCCTAGGTATTTTATTCTCTTTGAAGCAATTGTGAATGAGAGTTCACTGATGATTTGGCTCCCTGTTTGTCTGTTATTGGTGTATAAGAATGCTTGTGATTTTTGCACATTGATTTTGTATCCTGAGACTTTGCTGAAGTTGCTTATCAGCTTAAGGAGATTTTGGGCTGAGACGATGGGGTTTTCTAGTTATACAATCATGTCATCTGCAAACAGGGACAATTTGACTTCCTCTTTTCCTAATTGAATACCCTTTATTTCCTTCTCCTGCCCGATTGCCCTGGCCAGAACTTCCAACACTATGTTGAATGGGAGTAGTGAGAGGGGGCATCCCTGTCTTGTGCCAGTTTTCAAAGGGAATGCTTCCAGTTTTTGCCCATTCAGTATGATATTGGCTGTGGGTTTGTCATAAAGAGCTCTTATTATTTTGAGATACGTCCCATCAATAGCTAATTTATTGAGAGTTTTTAGCATGAAGGGTTGCTGAATTTTGTCAAAGGCCTTTTCTGCATTTATTGAGATAATATGTGGTTTTTGTCTTTGGTTCTGTTTATGTGATGGATTACGTTTATTGATTTGCATATGTTGAACCAGCCTTGCATTCCGGGGATGAAGCCTACTTGATCATGGTGGATAAGCTTTTTGGTGTGCTGCTGGATTCAGTTTGCCAGTATTTTTTTGAGGATTTTTGCATTGATGTTCATCAGGGATATTGGTCTAAAATTCTCTTTTTTTGTTGTGTCTCTGCCAGGCTTTCCTATCAGGATGATGCTGGCCTCATAAAATGAGTTAGGGAGGATTCCCTCTTTTTCTATTGATTGGAATAGTTTCAGAAGGAATGGTACCAGCTCCTCCTTGTACCTCTGGTAGAATTCGGCTGTGAATCCATCTGGTTCTGGACTTTTTTTGGTTGGTAAGCTATTAATTATTGCCTCAATTTCAGAGCCTGTTATTGGTTTACTCAGAGATTCAACTTCTTCCTGGTTTAGTCTTGGGAGGGTGTATGTGTCCAGGAATTCTTCCATTTCTTCTAGATTTTCTAGTTTATTTGCATAGAGGTGTTTATAGTATTCTCTGATGGTAGTCTGTATTTTTGTGGGATCGGTGGTGATATCCCCTTTATGATTTTTTATTGTGTCTATTTGATTCTTCTCTCTTTTCTTCTTTATGATTAGTCTTGCTAGCGGTCTATCAATTTTGTTGATCTTTTCAAAAAACCACCTCCTGGATTCATTGATTTTTTGAAGGGTTTTTTGTGTCTCTATTTCCTTCAGTTCTCTTCTGATCTTAGTTATTTCTTGCCTTCTTCTAGCTTTTGAATGTGTTTGCTCTTGCTTCTCTAGTTCTTTTAATTGTGATGTTAGGGTGTCAATTTTAGATCTTTCCTGCTTTCTCTTGTGGGCATTTAGTGCTGTAAATTTCCCTCTATACACTGGTTTGAATGTGTCCCAGAGATTCTGGTATGTTGTGTCTTTGTTCTCGTTGGTTTCAAAGAACATCTTTTTTTCTGCCTTCATTTCATTATGTACCCAGCAGTCATTCAGGAGTAGGTTGTTCAGTTTCCATGTAGTTGAGCGGTTTTGAGTGAGTTTCTTAATCCTGAGTTCTAGTTTGATTGCAGTGTGGTCTGAGAGACAGTTTGTTATAATTTCTGTTCTTTTACATTTGCTGAGGAGTGCTTTACTTCCAACTATGTGGTCAATTTTGGAATAGGTGTGGTGTGGTGCTGAAAAGAATTTGTATTCTGTTGATTTGGTGTGGAGAGTTCTGTAGATGTCTATTAGGTCCACTTGGTGCAGAGCTGAGTTCAATTCCTGGATATCCTTGTTAACTTTCTGTCTCATTGATCTGTCTAATGTTGACAGTGGGGTGTTAAAGTCTCCCATTATTATTGTGTGGGAGTCTAAGTCCTTTTGTAGGTCTCTAAGGACTTCCTTTATGAATCTGGGTGCTCCTGTATTGGGTGCATATATATTTAGGATAGTTAGCTCTTCTTGTTGAATTGATCCCTTTACCATTATGTAATGGCCTTCTTTGTCTCTTTTGATCTTTGTTGGCTTAAAGTCTGTTTTATCAGAGACTAGGATTGCAACCCCTGCCTTTTTTGTTTTCCATTTGCTTGGTGGATCTTCCTCCATCGCTTTATTTTGAGCCTATGTGTGTCTCTGCATGTGAGATGGGTCTCCTGAATACAGCACGCTGATGGGCCTTGACTCTTTATCCAATTTGCCAGTGTGTGTCTTTTAATTGGAGCATTTAGCCCATTTACATTTAAGATTAACGTTGTTATGTGTGAATTTGATCCTGTCATTATAATATTAGCTGGTTATTTTGCTCATTAGTTGATGCAGTTTCTTCCTAGCCTTGATGGTCTTTACGATTTGGCATGTTTTGGCAGTGGCTGTTATTGGTTGTTCCTTTCCATGTTTAGTGCTTCCTTCAGGAGCTCTTTTAGGGCAGGCCTGGTGGTGACCAAATCTCTCAGCATTTGCTTGTCTGTAAAGTATTTTATTTCTCCTTCACTTATGAAGCTTAGTTTGGCTGGATATGAAATTCTGGGTTGAAAATTCTTTTCTTCAAGAATGTTGAATATTGGCCCCCACTCTCTCCTGGCTTGTAGATTTTCTGCCGAGAGATCCGCTGTTAGTCTGATGGGCTTCCATTTGTGGGTCACCCAACCTTTCTGTCTGGCTGCCCTTAACATTTTTTCCTTCATTTCAACTTTGGTGAATCTGACAATTATGTGTCTTGGAGTTGCTCCTTTCGAGGAGTATCTTTGTGGCATTTTCTGTATTTCTTGAATCTGAATGTTGGCCTGCCTTGCTAGATTGGGGAAGTTCTCCTGGATAATATCCTGCAGAGTGTTCTCCACTTGGTTCCATTCTGCCCGTCACTTTCAGGTACACCCATCAGACGTAGATTTGGTCTTTTCACATAGCCCCATATTTCTTGGAGACTTTCTTTGTTTCTTTTTACTCTTTTTTCTCTAAACTTCTCTTCTCACTTCATTTCATTCATTTGATCTTCCATCACTGATACCCTTTCTTCCAGTTGATCGAATCGGCTACTGAAGCTTGTGCATTCGTCACATAGTTCTCTTGCCATGGTTTTCAGCTCCGTCAGGTCCTTTAAGGACTTCTCTGCATTGGCTATTCTAGTTAGCCATTCGTCTAATCTTTTTTCATCTTCTTTGCCATGGGTTCGAACTTCCTCCTTTAGCTCGGAGTAGTTTGATTGTCTGAAGCCTTCTTCTCTCAACTCGTCAGTCATTCTCCATCCAGCTTTGGTCTTTTGCTGGTGAGGAGCTGTGTTCCTTTAGAGGGGGAGAGGCACTCTGATTTTTAGAGTTTCCATTTTTCTGCTCTGTTTTTTCCCCATCTTTGTGGTTTTATCTACTTGTGATCTTTGATGATGGTGATGTACAGATGGGGTTTTGGTGTGGGTGTCCTTTCTGTTTGTTAGTTTTCCTTCTAACAGTCAGGACCCTTAGCTGAAGGTCTGTTGGAGTTTGCTGGAGGTCCACTCCAGACCCTGTTTGCCTGGGTATCAGCAGTAGAGGCTGCAGAACAGCAGATATTGGTGAACAGCCAATGTTGCTGCCTGATTGTTCTTCTGGAAGTTTTGTCGCAGAGGAGTACCCGGCCGTGTGAGGTGTCAGTCTGCCCCTACTCAGGGGTGCCTCCCAGTTAGGCTACTCGGGGGTCCGGGACCCACTTGAGGATGCAGTCTGTCTGTTCTCAGATCTCCAGCTGCATGCTGGGAGAACTGCTACTCTCTTCAAAGCTGTCAGACAGGGACATTTAAGTCTGCAGAGGTTTCTGCTGCCTTTTGTTTGGCTATGCCCTGCCCCCAGAGGTGGAGTCTACAGAGGCAGGCAGGCCTCCTTGAGCTGCGGTGGGCTCCACCCATTTCGAGCTTCCCGGCCACTTTGTTTACCTACTCAAGCCTCCACAATGGCGGGCGTCCCTCCCCCAGCCTCGCTGCCACCTTGCAGTTGGATTTCACACTGCTGTGGTAGCAGTGAGCGAGGCTCCATGGGTGTAGGACCCTCCGAGCCAAGCGCGGGATACAATCTCCTGGTGTGCCGTTTGCTAAGACTGTTGGAAAAGTGCAGTATTAGGGTGGGAGTGACCCGATTTACAGGTGCCATCTGTCACCCCTTTCCTTGGCTAGGAAAGGGAATTCCCTGACCCCTTGTGCCTCCTGGGGGAGGCGATGCCTCGCCCTGCTTCGACTCACGCTCAGTGCACTGCACCCACTGTCCTGCACCCACTCTCTGACAATCCTCAGTGAGATGAACCCGGTACCTGAGTTGGAAATGCAGAAATCATTCGTCTTTTGCATCGCTCTTGCTGGGAGCTGTAGACTGGAGCTGTTCCTATTTGGCCATCTTGGCTCCACAGCCACTTCATTTTTTTGAGAGTAAAAGCTGGTAGTGAACATTGGAAATTCTGAATTTGTTATATATGTCATTATTGAAAATACCAATGAAACCACAGCTTTTCCAAACCTTCAGTCTTTGTGCAGTGCTTTTCTTCCCATTACCTCTTCTGTAGAATCTGGAAGGACAGTACAACCACGCTTTAGACCTCTTGTATTCTGTTTGTAGTTTGTGTAGTTAATTAGTTCATTAGTTCATTTACTCGTTCATTCATTCTCTAAGTACTTACTGAGTTACTGCTCTGGATACTGAGGCTGTAAAACTGATTAAGACCTGGTTTCTGTCCTCGAAGATATTTCAGCGCAGAGACATGTAAAGGGAGAAAATATTGTTTGATAAAATTTTAAATAAAATGCTGTAGTGCCACAGAAGAGAAGTTGATTAGCTGTCTGGGAGACTAAGGAAGACTTTGCAGAGCCTACAGGATATTTAAGTTGTTGATAAGTGTCTTAAAGGCTACTTGGAATAAACAAGCAAAATAAAGTAAATTAAAATAGCTCTTTTATTTCTAAACACTCAGCCAGAGGTCTAAATTTATAAAATATAATTCAAAGGCCTGTGTATAAATATGTGGATGATGTGATTTTGGTCTCATTTCCAGATCAGTCCTGTAAATCCTAAATGAAACATTGTGGTTATACCAAAGTTTATATGTGAAGTACTAAAAGAATTTAAAATTAGGCATCTGTCTTTCATTATGAGGTGTACAGAAAAATGTGGGAATATGCTCCCTAGTTACTACGAACAGTAACTTGCTTTGCTGCTTTTGTAAGGTAAATTTTACTGTAATTTGTAACTGGAATGTTTAGAACTCTGTTTCTCAATTTCTTGTCCTTTTTTTAATTAACAAAAGAAAATAGCTTTTCCTTTTATACATCAATCTTAAGAAACTGTTGTGACTTTATGTTAAAAAAAGTTTTTTAAAAACAACCTGAGGGATAGAGTGAAATTTTCTTCTCTGTTGGCTGTTGATGGGTTTAGTTTTACATACTATAATTAGGTGTTAGTATCTCATAGTGTTCTCTTTGTGTAGCTCTCTAAGAGAATTCAGTTTTTTAAATAAGTTATTTTTAAACCTTCTCAGTGAAACCCCATCTTTAATAGACAAAACTTGTTATAATATTTCTCTCATCTGGGCTTTAGAATTCAGACCCACCATAAAAAGAAAATCTCAATTTTATGCCATATTCTTTTTCTTTCTTGGAGATTGGAGCACTAAATAGAGGTGTCCTTCTCTGGAATATTAACATGAGTGAATTCTTATTGGTGTTACCCAAAAAGTTACCTCATTTTAAGATAGTGTTTCTCATTTCTTTTTTTTTTTTTTCTTTTTTTTTTTTTTTTTTTTTTTTTTGATACAGAGTCTCTCTGTGTTGTCCAGGCTGGAGTGCAGTGATGTGATCTCGGCTCACTGCAACCTCTCCGCCTCCCGGGTTTAAGCGATTCTCCTGCCTCAGTCTCCTGAGTAGCTGGGATTACAGGCACGCACCACCATGCCCAGCTAATTTTTGTATTTTTAGTAGAGACGGAGTTTTGCCAGGTTGGCAAGGCTGGTTTCAAACTCCTGACCTCAGGCGATCTGCCTGCCTCGGCCTCCCAAAGTGCTGAGATTACAGGCGTGAGCCATCTCGCCTAGCCTTATTTAATTTTTTTAATTTTTATTTATTTATGTATTTTTTTGAGACGGAGTCTCACTCTGTCACCCAGATTGGAGTGCAGTGGCGCGATCTTGGCTCACTGCAACCTCCACCTCCTGGGTTCATGCTATTCTCCTGCCTCAGCCTCCCGAGTGGCTGGGCCTACAGGCGCCCGTCACCACGCCCAGCTAAGTTTTTTTTGTATTTTTAGTAGAGACAGGGTTTCACCGTGTTAGCCAGGATGGTTTCGATCTCCTGACCTTGTGATCTTCCCGCCTCAGCCTCCCAGAGTGCTGGGATTTATTTTAAGTTTTTGGGTACATATGCAGGATGTGCAGGTTAGTTACATAGGTACACATGTGCCATGGTGGTTTGCTGCTCCTGTCAACCCATCACCTAGGTATTAAGCTCAGCTTGCATAGCTGTTTTTTCTAATGCTCTCCCTCCCTTCACTCCACCCTTGACAGGCCCCAGTGTGTGTTGTTCCCCTCCCTGTGTCCATGTGTTCTCATTGTTCAGTTCCCACTTACAAGTGAGAACATGCGGTATTTCGTTTTCTGTCCCTGCATTAGTTTGCTGAGGATAATGGCTTCCAGCTCTATCCATGTCCCTGCAAAAGACATGATTTCATTCATTTATGGCTGCATAGTATTCTATGGTGTATATATACCACATTTTCTTTATCCAGCCTATCATCGATGGGCATTTGGGTTGATTCCATCTCTTTGCTATTGTGAATAGTGCTGCAATGAGCATACATGTGCATGTGTCTTTATAGTAGAATGATTTATATTCCTTTGGGTATATACCTATTAATGGGATTGCTGGGTCAAATGGTATTTCTGGTTCTAGATCTTTGAGGAATTGCCACACTGTCTTCCACAATGGTTGAAGTAATTTACATTCCCACCAACACTGTAAAAGCATTCCTCTTTCACTGCAACCTTGCCAGCATCTGTTGTTTCTTGGCTTTTTAATAATTGCCATTCTGACTGGCCTGAGATGGTATCTCATTGTGATTTTGACTTGCATTTCTCTGATGATCAGTGATGTTGAGCTTTTTTTCATGTTTGTTGGCTGCATGTATGTCTTTTTTTTTGAGAAGTGTCTGTTTATGTCCTTTGCCCACTTTTTGATGGTTTTTTTTTTTCTTGTAGATTTGTTTAATTTCCTTGTAGATTCTGGATGTTAGACCTTTGTCAGATGGATAGATTGCAGAAATTTTCTCCCATTCTGTAGGTTGCCTGTTTGCTCTGATGATAGTTTATTTTGCTGTGCAGAAGCTCTTAAGTTTTTAATTAGATCCCATTTGTCAATTTTTGCTTCTGTTGCAATTGCTTATGGTGAGTTTGTCATGAAATCTTTGCCCTGCCACAAGCTTTTCTATTGTGGGACAGGCAGTGATAAAGCTTTGTTTCTAAACTATCATGCCCCTCCTTTGTTATTTTTCCAGTTAATTTCACGTATACTTTATCAGTGGGATTGAAAACATTTAGAAGATGAATATATATGTTTTCATTTTTATTTCATTTCCAAAATTCTATACCTCAACCAGGGAATACAGTTATCCTTTCCTTATTCATCGACTAAATTTGGTGTATGTGTCTAGTGATTGAAGCATGGGGGAGTTTGTGACGGTATGGGAAGTGTAGCTTGAAAATAATTCCATGAACTATAGAAAGAGGAGGAAGAGTAGGGAGGCAGTGAAGAAAGTTATCAGACCACCCTTAGTAGGCATGGTCTGATAGGCCTTAAGACAATCCAGGGATTGGGGTGCAACATATCAAAAGCTGACCCAGTAAGTATGATTGTGATGTAGTGACAACTCGGAGGAAGTTACGTGAAAAGAAAGTGTTTTTAGGAATATCCACGTAACAGAATAGTATGCAAATACACACAGAAATAAGATATGAACATCAACAGATGGATGCAAAATATTAGGAATATAATTTTATTTTGTTTTATTATTTTATATTTTTGAGACAAGGTCTCACTCTGTTGCCCATGTTGGAGTGCAGCGGGACTATCACAGCTCACTGCAGCCTTTGCCTACCTCAGCCTCCTTTGTATCTGGGACCATAAGCATGTGCCACGAAGCCTGGTTAATTTTTAAAATTTTTGTAGAGATGGGGGTCTTCCTTTGTTGCCTAGGCTGGTCTTGAATTCCTGGGCTCAAGTGATCCTTCTGCCTCAGTCTCCCAAAGTATTGAGATTACAGGAGTGAGCCACCACACCTGGCTTATAATTTTATTTATGTAACACATTAACATATGTTGACATGTATGACAGGTAAACACCTTAAGGAAGTTTACCTTAAATAATCAAGGGCAGCAAGGAGCATTTCTTTTCTTCTGGAAAACTATGTACTGGTATCCTATTAACAAATGGCATAGAAAAGGACTCTGACACTGATAACTTTGTTATAAAAATGCCCCTAATTTGGCCGGGCAGAGTGGCTCATGCTTGTAATCCCAGCACTTTGGGAGGCTGAGGCGGGCAGATCATGAGGTCAGGAGATTGAGACCATCCTGGCCAACACTGTGAAACCCTGTCTCTACTAAAAAAAAAAAAAAAAAAAAAATTAGCCGGGAGTAGTGGCACGCACCTGTAATCCCAGCTACTCAGGAGGCTGAGGCAGGAGAATCGCTTGAACCCAGGAGGTGGAGGTTGCAGTGAGCCAAGGTCGCACCACTGCACTCCAGCCTGGGCGACAGAGCGAGACTCTGTCAAAAAAAAAAAAAGAAAAAAAAAAGTCCCTAATTTAGGGAAATTTAAAAGCAAGAAAGTAAGGGTCTTGCCCCTTTCACCTCTGATTTCGCTCCTCATGTCAGGATATAGAAGCATTACGTTTTTACATAAATAAAATGATACACCTCAATAATATTTTGCCTCCATCTTTTGATGTTCATACCTTATTCTTTTAGTATTTGCATGGCATTCTGTCATGTGGATTTTCCTAACATACTGTAGCCTTTCCCTTACCTGTGGGGCATATGTTACATGACACCAGTGGATGCCTGAAACTGCAGATATGCTGTGTTTTTTTCTATACACACACATACCTATGATAACGTTTAATTTATAAATTAGGCGCAGTAAGAGATTAACGATGTAACTAATAATAGAACCATCATAACAAGATACTATAATAAAAGTAATGTGAATGTGGTCTTTCTCCCACTCTAAATATCTTATTGTACTGTATTCACTTATTTTTGGACCTAGGTTGACTCAGGGTAACTGAAAGGGAAGATGAAACCGCAGATAAGAGGGAATATTGTATTTCAGTAATCTCTTATTGATGCACATTTTATTTCTTTCAAAATTTTTAGCTCTAATTAATGATTCACTAACATTCTTGTCCATATCTTTGAGCAGTCATACAAATGATTCTTCGTGTAAATGCCTAGAAATATAATTGTTTCATTTTCAAGCTTATGGATTCACAATTATGATAAATGTTATACAAAGCACCAGTTTATGCTCTATAGCAACAAACACTTTGTAATTGTAGAACTTTGCTAGCCTTGGGGACTTAGAGAGGAGGAACTTGTTCTGGGTCTTTCAGGAGATAATAATGTAATAGATTAAGGTTGTAGTTAGCTATATTGATATATTTTATAAGCTAGAAAAGAGGAGTACATTTAACTCTGATACTTTTCTAACTAGTGTAATTCTTCAGAATTGGAACGGAACTGTATTTTGGATTCTGAGAAATGTTGTTTATATGAGTATATATAAAGAATTATACTTTTTGGGCTACGTTTCTGGAAGATGTGGAAAGAAAGCAAGTTTATTTTCTAACAGCCAAATGTAGTTTCCTGTGATATTAAATGTCAGTTCAAAAACAAGCCTCATTTTAAAATATTTTAAGTTCAACAGCCCCCTCTAGTGGAAAAAAGAAGAACTTCCCTCAATTTCCAGTGTCCTTAATATGATTTTATTTCACACACACAGACACACATAATAAAGATGCAGGTAGCTTTTGGTGTGATTGGAAAATATGTTCTGTAACAAAAATTTTAAAGTTACATTTATTTGGGATGAAGGCAAGTTTTTCTGTAAATTGCATGAGGTATTTTTGTAGTTTTTTTGGATTTTCTTGAGTGTTACATTGCATCTCAGGATTGGATGATATTGATAAAGCCATAAACTTAAAGCAAATATTTGAACATACAACCCCCCCAGGGATTTATATATACTCAATGCCCAATATAACCCAGCAATACCATTAATGTAACAAATGCTACCTAGATCATGTTAGTGTGTGTTATGTTTACTGGAACTGGAAACAAACAGTAAATTGTTATATCATTGAAGACAATTCTGAGTCACTTCCCCATCCTGCCACAACTTCAGCCCCAAAAGAATAACTGCCATTCTGAAGTTGGTGTTTAATTTTCTGTCTGTATACATTGACAGTATATTGTATTATTTTAGTATTTTTGTTTTAGGATATATATTAGAATATCATACAGGATGCTTCTTTGTCAAACTTATATTTTTCACTTTTTTTTTTCTTTTAGACAGGGTCTCACTCTGTCACCCAGGCTGGAGTGCAGTGGCGCGATCTTGGTTCACTGCAACCTCTGCCTCCTGGGCTCAAGCAATCCTCCCACCTCAGCCTCCTGAGTAGCTGAGACCACAGGCACGTGTCACCACACCTGGCTAATTTTTGCATTTTTTAGTAGAGACGGGGTTTCGCCATGTTGGCCAATCTATTCTTGAACTCCTGAGCTCCAGTGATCCACCCGCCTTGGCCTATCAAAGTGCTGGTATTGCAAGTGTGAGCCACCATGCCTGGCCTGCTTGTATTTTTGAGGTTTGTTAAAGTTAATAAAATAGCTTCTGTTCATTCAGTTTAACTGCTGTATAATATTTTATCTTGTGCGTGTGCCATAATTTACTCATTACCTGACTGCCTTGTCCATTTTCTGTTGTTTATAACAGAATATATGAAGCTGGTTAATTTATAAAGAAAAAGAATTTATTCTTGCAGTTCTGGAGGCTGAGACATCTAATGTCAAGGGACTGCATCTGACGATGGCCTTCTTGCTGATGGGAACTCTGCAGAGGTCCAAGGCTGCACAGGGCATTGCATGCTGGTGGGCTGAGTGTGCCAGCTCAGGTCTCTCTTTCTCTTCTTGTAAAGCCACCAGTTCTACTGCCATGATAACCCATTAACCCATTAATCCATGATTGGATTAACCCATTCACAAGGGCAGAGCTGTCATGACCCAGTCCTCTCTTAAAGGCCCCACTTCTCAAAACTGTCACATGGGGGATTACATTTCAACATGAGTTTTGGAAGGGACACACATTCAAACCATAACACTGACATTGAGATTTAAGTTCTTTGCAAGTTTAAATTATTACAGACAGTGATTCCATGAACATCACATCTTTTTATGTGGGTATGTATTTAGTGCGTATAAAATATGTGCCAAATTGTTCTCTTAAGTGGGTGTAACAATTTCAAAGAAGAGTTTCTCTTCCTTTACAGCCTCTTGGTATTTTTCAGATTTAATTTCTTTTGAAATAGGATATGTGTGAAATTGTATCTCATTCTTGCTTAAATTTCCACTTCCTTGACATTGACCATGTTACGTTTATTGGCCATTCACATTTCTTTTTTGTGAAGTGCCAGCTTATATTTTTTGCCTTTTTTCTTTTGGATTTTTGGGTATATTTTTATTGATTAATAGGAACTTTTGGCTGGGGGTGGTGGCTCCTGCCTGTAATCCTAGCATTTTAGGAGTCTGAGGTGGGAGAATTGCTTGAGCCCAGGAGTTCGAGACCAGCCTGGGCAACAGAGACACTCTCTCTATGAAAAAAAAAAAAAAGTATATATATTAGCCAGGCGTAGTGGCATATACCTGTGATCCTGGCTACTAGGGAGGCTGAGGTGAGAGGATTGCTTTTGCCTGGGAGGTCAAGGCTGCATTGTCCTATGATCACAGCCCGGGCTACAGAGCAAGACCCTGTCTCAAAAAAAAAAAAAAAAAAAAAAAAAAAAGAGTGGTTTTTTTTTAAAAAATATATTTAGTAACTAACCCTTGGTTATGTATATTCCTTTTGCAAACATCTTTTTCTTCTTTGTAGAGACAGAGAGGCAATTTACATTATGTATGATGAACAGTTTAAAATTTTTTTTTTTTTTGGACACGGAGTCTCGCTCTGTCATCTAGGCTGGAGTGCAGTGGTGTGATCTTGGCTCACTGCAACCTCCGCCTCCCGGGTTCAAGCGATTCTCCTGCCTCAGCCTCCCGAGTAGCTGGGATTACAGGTGCCTGCCACCATGCCCAGCTAATTTTTTATTTTTTTTTATTTTTAGTAGAGACGGGGTTTCACCATGTTGGCCAGGCTGGTCTTGAACTCCTGACCTCAGGTGATCCACCCGCCTTGGCCTCCCAAAGTGCTGGGATTACAGGCGTGAACCACCGCACTTGGCCTAGTTTTAAATTTTAATGTAGTTGAATTTATCAGTATATTTTTTTATAGTTGTGATTGTTTTGTCTTAGATAACCCAAAGTCATAAAGATAATGCGTATATAGCATGAGATGGGATCTAATTTTGTTTTTCCAAATAGATAGCCAAGTGTCCCTGTACTAGTTATTCAATTGTCTGTTCTTTTACCGCATATTGATTTATAGTGTCATTTCCATCATACATCAAGTTCTTTTATATCTAAGATTTTGTTCTTGGGTACTCTGTTCTGTTTCACTTACATGTTTGTTTCTGCATCAGTACTAAATTGCTTTATTCATTATACCTTTAGAATAAGTCTTGATATCTGGTAGAGAACTTTCCTCTGTCTTTATTCTTAATATTTTTTAGGGGTGAGGGAGGGGTTATTCTTGGCTTTTTACTTCCCTATGTGAGTTTCAGGAATGGCTTATTGTATTCCATCAAGAGACCTTCCTGTAATTTTGATTAAAATTGGATTGCATTTATAGATCATTTTGACATAAAGTTGACATCCTTATAATGCTTATCTCTTCTATTTTCCATCTTTTTATATTTTTACTCTTATTTTCTGAGAGATTTTCTCAATTTTATATTGCAGCCTTTCTATTACATTTTATTTCATCTTTTGGGTTTTTAATTTCTAAGCTCATTCTTGTTATTTGATGATACCTTTCTTAGTATATTCTCCTTGTTTCATGTTTGTAATGTCTTAATTTAACTCTTTGAGGATATAAGTCATACTTATTTTGAAGGTGTTTCTCCCCCCACCCCTCCCTTGATGGTCTTGTCTTCTTTTCTTTTCTTTCTTCTTGTTTTTGAGACTGGATCTTGCTCTGCTGCAAAGGCTGGAAATGCAGTGGCTCGATCATGGCTCACTGCAGCTTAAACCTCCTGGGCTCGGCTGGGCGCGATGGCTCATGCCTGTAATCCCAGCACTTTGGGAGGCCAAGGCGGGTGGATCACCTGAGATCAGGAGTTCAAGACCAGCCTGGCCAACATGGTGAAACCCCATCTCAACTAAAAAAAAAAAAAAAAAAAAAAAAAAAAAAAAAAAAACTGGGCGTGGTGGTGGGTGCCTGTAATTCCAGCTACTTCGGGAGGCTGAGGCAGGAGAATCACTTGAACCTGGGAGGCGGAGGTTGCAGTGAACCGAGCTGGTGCCATTACACTCCAGCCTGGGTGACAAGAGTGAAACTCTGTCTAAAAAAAAAAACAAAAACCTCCTGGTCCCAAGCCATCTTCCCACCTCAGCCTCTCGAATACCTGGGACTACAGGTGTGCACGACCATACCTGGCTAATTTTTTCTGTTCTTTGTAGACACAGGGTCTCACTGTGTTGCCCAGTCTGGTCTTGAACTCCTGGACTCAAGTGGTCATCCCGCCTTGGCCTCCCAAAATCCTGGGATTACAGGTGTGAACCACTGTGCCCGGCCTGGTCTTTATTTTCTCTGAGTGTTTGGCTTCATTTTGTAGTAGCCTCTGAGTTTCACATGAGAAGTGATATATTTTGGATGTGTGTCTCTGCCCAAATCTCATATTGAAATGTAATCACCAGTGTTGGAAATAGGGCCTGGTGGGAGGAGATCATGGGGGCAGATTTCTCATGAATGGTTTAGCACCATTCCTCTTGGTACTATCCTCATAGTAGTGAATGAGCTCCACGAGATCTGGTCATTTAAAAGTGTGTAGCGCCTCCTTCCTCCTGCTCCTGATCTGGCCATGTGACGTGCCTGCTCCCCCTTCACCTTCTACCATGATTGTAAATTTCCTGAGGCCTCCCCAGAAGCCAAGTGATGCCAGCATCATGCTTCCTGTACAGCCTGCAGAACTGTTAGCCTATTAAACCTCTTTTCTTTATAAATTACCCATTCTCACATATTTCTTTATAGCCATGCAGGAACAGCCTAATACAAGAACCTTTCCGCAAATGTCCGGTGATTCTAGACTGTGTGTTTATATTTAAGAATGAGGCACTAAAAAGATGAGAAGAAGCTCTTTGGATGTGGAGCCCTTGCATTGAATTAGGGAACCTTACGATGTCTTTTTTCTTGGCCTGGTAGTTTCCCTAGAAAGAAATCTTTCCGTCTCCTCCTTATATTGCTATGAGTGTAGGAGTCAGTGCTCAGGGCGCTGTGAGGTCTAACTGCCCACTATGCAGATGTTGCTTAATCTCCTTATTTTTAATAAGGTGTCTTACCCCAACCCCCAGTTGTGTTTGCTTTTCATATCGTCAGAACCTCTTTTGATCAACCTCTAGTTTGTAAACTCCTTCCTTTTACCAGGATATGGAGGGGGATTTTTCAGGGAGGGAGCTGGCAGAGGCAACCCGAGAGTGTAAAGTACTGGTTATAGAGGCTTCCAACAATGCTCCTGTATTCATTTTTACTATATAGCTTGGCTTCAAGGTTAGCTGTTTTGCTAGGGTCTGGATGTTTGTGTCCCTCCTAAATTTGTATGTTGAAACCTAATTGCCATTGTGATGGTATTAGGAGGTGGGGTCTTCAGGAGATTATTAGGTCTTGATGGTGGAAACCTTAAGTAGAATTGGTGCCTTTATAAGGGACTGAAGAACCAGAGTTCTTGCCTTCCACCATGTTAGGACACAGATAGAAAGCATCCTCTATAAACTAGAAAGTAGGCTCTTGCCAGACATTGAATCTGCCAACACCTTGATCTTGTATTTCCCATCTTCCAGAACTGTGAGAAATACATTTCTGTTTTTTATAAACTGCCTAGTTTATGGTATATCTTGTTATGGCAGGCTGGATGGACTAAGACATTGTGCCTCCAAATTCTGAGCTTTTGTGGCTGTAAATCAGCTTGCTACTAGGCTTCTCTTTTTTTCCGCATTTAGAAAAGATGAAAAAGCTGAAACCTAAGTCATTATCACTTGTCAGTTTGCTTTCTGTCTTCCAAATTTGCTCCTGACATCTTTTGTTGGCTATCATTTTCTCCACCATTCATTGTTTCTGCCATTTGTTTTTATTTTTTACTTTCATTTAAGTGGTGTTTTAGGAGAGATGATTAGCTATGTTTAATCATATCTGTTTAGTGGTCCCCTCTTGGTGTTCTTTTTAACTTATGATCTTCTGATAGAACTGCAGTCTCACTTTTCATCTCATATTTGAATTCTGGTTTTACCAAATGTTTTTAGTATTAAAAGTATTTTGTAGTGTGAAACTGTTGTGTTGAGTGTGCCCCTGTTCTTGAGTTTTGACTATTTTCTTGGTTGGGCACATTGCCTTTTGTGTGCTTTGTTCATTTCTACCTTTGTTATTTTTTCTTTTTCTTACTTTTGAATAGTTTGCATATTTGCATAGTTTCCATGCCATTCTTTGCAATTTCCTGATACTTTGGTGGCTTTATTTTGATCTTCTATTTATAAAAAGAGTTGGAGTTCTTACCTGTCTTACTAGTTTGTTTTTCCCACTGAACATCTGTTTGAGGACTGAACTTCTGTATTTCTTAACACTTTTCTGCAGGTTTATGTAATGGTGACAGGATGGTAGATACTCAACTGATGTAGTGGGTGGTCCTAGGCTCTGTCGCCTATTTGAGATTTATTAAATGCCATAGACTGTTTTGTTGGGGGTTCTATATACAAATTTTTGTGTTGACATAGATTTTCTGTTCTCTTGGGTATATACTCAGTATTAGAATTTCTGGGTCAAATAGTAACTTTATGGTTAGCTTTTTGAGGAACTGACGGACTGTTTTCTAATGCTGCTGAATGACAGTATGAGTAATGTTTGAGAGTTCCAGTTTCTCTACGTCTTTGCCATCACCTGTCATCATCAGTCTTTTTGATGATAACCATCTTAGTGGCATGAAATAGAAGTCCTCATTTAACATCATTCATAGGTTCTTGGGAATTGTGACTTTAAGTGAATGACGTAGAATGAAACCAGTTTTAGCATAGGTTAATTGATATAAATGAGTTAAGTTCTTGGAGCATATTTCTGGTAAAAAAAATCACTAAACTTCTAAATAAAGACTCAAAACACTCATATTAAACATTGAAATAAATGTTATCTATACATACATTTAAGAAAGCTTAATAAAAACAAATGGTTTTGATTTGCATTTTTCTTTTTTTCTTTTCTTTTTTTTTTTTTTCAGATGGAGTCTCGCTCTGTCGCCAGGCTGGAGTGCAGTGACACGGTCTTGGCTAACTGCAGCCTCCGCCTTCTGGGTTCAAGCGGTTCTCCTGCCTCAGCCTCCCAAGTAGCTGGGATTACAGGCATGCGCCACCATGCCCGGCTAATTTTTTTGTATTTTTAGTAGAGACAGGGTTTCACCATGTTGGCCAGGCTGGTCTTGAACTCCTGACCTTGTGATCTGCCCGCCTCGGCCTCCCAAAGTGCGGGGATTACAGGCGTGAACCACCGTGCCTGGACCTTGATTTGCATTTTTCTAATGACTAATGATGTTGAATACCTTTTTATATTGTTGATTGTGACTTTTCTGTCTAAATCTATAAAGTGTGTATTCTTTGTCATGTGTGGCCAATGAAATCTCTACTTGGTTTGTAGATGGTCAGCTAATGAATGGACAGAAGATTTTCTTAAATGCCGTGAACAAATAAGTCTTCTAGCCTTTGCTGAGTGGTTCTTTCTTTATGTTGGAGTATGCATTCAATGCTTTTGTGGGCTGATCAAAACTCTGCCTTAGCCTTTGCTTCCTACTTGCACAGAGCCTTAAGGTCAGCCAGAGATGAGAGACTGAGGCCTTCTCAGGGACTAGGCTTATATATAGACTTGCACTTGCATGGTTTTCTGATGCCAGGAATATGTCAGAGCTTTTCAAAGGCTATATATGTGCCTGGTTCTCTGTGGCTGGGGCTTTTGGGGAGCTCCAACTCTGTTCTTCTCTCCTTCCCCACAGTGCTGGCTAGGCTGCTGGATTCCATAAGCTACTACTATTCTGAGGCAATTGATTTTTGAAGCAATCAGGAGCTGGTGGGGTGGGGATGAGAATAGTACAAGTTAAAATGCCACATATCTCACTATTCTTATTGAGATTCAATTGATTTCCCTGAATAAATGCTTTTTGGATTACTGCAAGTTTTTGGTTAATTTAAAGAGTTAACGAGAAATTAGATTCAGATAATTTTTGCCAGCATTCTTGTTGCTTTTACGAAGGAAAGGATTTTTGGTGCTACCCCATTCTGGAGCTGCTTATGTTCTTTGAGGATATTTTGAAGTTTTCTTGTTTTTAAATACCCATTTCTCTTAGGTTGCCCCTCCCCCTTTAACATTATTTGATTTAGATTTTATCTTCATGTTGGATAATTTTTAAAAATATCATGTTTTCTCATTTTAAGAGTGAAGGACTAAAAAGTTTCCTAGAAACTTTGAGTGTCTGGGTGAGGCTTTTCAGCCATGATCTTTACTATAGGATTGTTTGGCTAGATATAATCCTTCCCCCTTCCCCATCTAACTTAAGAAGTAGAAAATAGAAAAGCTGAATACTATGGATCATTAAATAGATTGAGTCAATGTCAAAATTGCTGGCCCATATTGTTTTACCAATGAATAAAAAGAAACATTAAAGGAGCTAATAATTCCAGTTTTATGTAAACTCCTCTACAGAATGGAAACATCTTGATAGCATAATCTTGATACCAAACTGACAAGGATAGAAGAAAAGATAATTATAGCTAATCTCAGTTATGAATATATATGCAAAAATATTATACAAAATATTAGCTAACCAAATGTAGCAAGATTTTAAAAAGATAAAATATAAAAGACTTTATACAATTAATGTCAGGCGGGTTTAACATTAGAAAATCAATCAATATAATTCTAACTCAATGTAGTCAGTTAATTAATGTAATATAACTTTTCTTCATATAGAATTTCTAAGTATCTCTACTCTTGAGTAGAATTCCTAAACATCTCTACTATTTTAGGAAAACATCTTTTTCCGTGAAAACATGTTTGTGTGTTTGTATGTGTCTATATCTGTGTGTGTATTTATATTCATATCCAAGAATACAATAGAAATTATCATATAATATTAAGTGACTACCAGACCTCTGCATTGAAAATGTGATTGTTAGGTCAGAATTTTATCTAAATCTTGAAATACTCTTAAATAAAAGCC
The DNA here is from genome assembly GCF_000001405.40 of Homo sapiens. NCBI lineage: Eukaryota > Metazoa > Chordata > Mammalia > Primates > Hominidae > Homo > Homo sapiens. The sequence goes on from NC_000009.12 coordinate 15,615,534, forward strand.
ATTTGGCAAGTAATATTAAATATAGATCAACTATCATAGCAGTAATATAGTAATATATCACCAAAATAAACATCATAAGCTCTAACTGATTGGCCTTTGATTTTCCAGGTTCTTTTTTTTAAAAAAGGATTAAATTTAAACTTGGTGGAATAGTGGGCATACTCTTTGTTTATTGCAATGGGATTTAAGTGATTATGTGTTGTGTTTCTACATGATTTGTCAGTAAAATGGGAATCACGTGTGATTTTTTTTTTTTTTTTCTTCAGACAGGGTCTCACTCTGTCACCCAGGCTGGAGTGCAGTGGCATGATCTCAGCTTGCTGCAGCCTCTGCCTCCTAGGCACAAGTGATCCTCCCACCTCAGCCCTCCAAGTACTGGGACCACAGGCATGCGCCACAACGCCAGCTAATTTTTGTTTATTTATTTATTATTTTGAGATGGAGTCTCGCTCTGTCGCCCAGGCTGGAGTGCAGTTGTGTGATCTTGGCTCACTGTAACCTCCACCTCCTGGGTTCAAGCGATTCTCTTGCCTCAGCCTCCCGAATAGCTGGGATTACAGGTGTGTGCCACCACACCTGGCTAATTTTTTGTACTTTTAGTAGAGACAAGTTTCCACCATGTTGGCCAGGTTGGTCTCGAACTCCTGATCTCAAGTGATCTGCCCCCTTTGGCCTCCCAAAGTGCTGGGATTACAGGTGTGAGCCACCACGCCCAGCCATTTCTGTTTATTTTTTAGGGATGATGTTTTGCCATGTTGCCCAGTGTGGTCTTGAACTCTTGAGTTCAAGGGATCTACCCACCTTGGCCTCAAAGTGCTGGGATTACAGGAGTGAGCCACTATGCCTGGCCTATGATTTTCTTTTATAAATAAATCTCATGAGACTTCCTAAATAATTTATTTTACTATTTTATTTATTTTACTATATAAAATACTATATAAAATAGTTTCGATCAACTAGGATATAAGCATCTTTTTGTTATAGACTCCATTTTGTTATTATTTCAAATTATTTGGTTTATGGTTAACCATGTAAATTGCTATTTATTTACTTTAAAGTAGACAAGTATGTAAGTCAATGACTGAAAGTTGGAGATTATGTATTTGTAATTTAAGAAGGCATATAATTTAACAGTGACTGAATTAATACTGGGGCTATTGAGTGATTGAAGGAGGAGGACCTATCATATAGAATAATAGTCTTTTATACTTAGGTAGTATAGTGCATAATGTTCTTAAAAGTGCTTTCATATATGAAAGTACTCTTATGAAAAAATGAGATTACATAAGGTTGTTCATAATACTATTTGTATTTGGCCATTCTCACATTGCTATGAAGAAATACTTGAGACTGGGTAATTTATAAAGGAAAGAGATTTAATTAATTGGCTCATCATTCTGTATGCTTTACAGGAAGCATGGTGCTAACATCTGCTCGGCTTCTGGGGAGGCCTCAGGAAGCTTACAATAATGGTGGAAGGCAAAGGGGGAGCAGGCATGTCACATGGAATTTATGTTCCTCTCTATACTGGTTATTCTAGTTAGCAGTTCCTGTAATAACCTTTTATCAACGTTCTTAGCTTCTTTGCATTGTGTTAGAACATGCTCCTTTAGCTCAGAGGAGTTTGTTCCACCTTCTGAAGCCTACTTCTGCCAATTGCTCAATCTCATTCTCTGTTCAGTTTTGTGCCCTTGCTGGAGAGGTGTTGCGATCATTCGGAGGAGAAAAGTTATTCTGGCTTTTGGAATTTTCAGCATTTTTGTGCTGACTTTTCCTTATCTTTGTGGATTTATCTACCTTTGATCTTTGAGGCTGATGACCTTTGGATGGGCTTTTTGTGGGAGGGTTTTTTTTTTTTTTTGAGATGGAGTCTTGCGCTGTCACCCAGGCTGGAATGCAGTGGCGTGATCTCGGCTCACTGCAAGCTCCGCCTCCTGGGTTCATGCCATTCTCCTGCCTCAGCCTCCCAAGTAGCTGGGACTACAGGTGCACGCCACCACACCCGGCTAATTTTTTGTATTTTTAGTAGAGACGGGGTTTCACCATGTTAGCCAGGATAGTCTTGATGTCCTGACCTCCTGATCCACCCGCCTCGGCCTCCAAAAGTGCTGGGATTACAGGCGTGAGCCACCACGCCCGGCCTGTGGGGGGGGTTCTTGATGTTGATGTTGATGTTGTTCCTTTCTGTTTGTTAGTTTTTCTTCTAACAGGCCCCTCTTCTGATGGTCTGCTGCAGTTTGCTGGACTTCTGCAGGTCTGCTGCAGTTTGTAGGCCCTGTTTGCCTGGGTATCACTAGTGGAGGCTGGAGAACAGCAAAGATTGCTGCCTGCTCCTTCCTCCGGAAGCTTTGTCCCAGAGGGGCAGCAGCCTGATGCCAGCTGGAGCTCTCTTATATGAGGTGTCTGTCGATCCCTATTGGGAGGTCTCTCCCAGTCAGGAGGCAGGGGGGTCAGGGACCCACTTGAGGAGGCAGTCTGTCCTTAGGAGTGCGGGTGCGCTGTGCTGGGAGAATCCCCCTTGTCAGGATCAGCCGCTGTCTTCAGAGCTGACAGGTAGGAAAGATTTAAGTCCACTGAAGCTGCGACTGCAGCCGCCCCTTCCCCCAGGTGCTCTGTCCTACCAGGATGAGAGTTTTATCTGTAAGCTCCTGACTGAACTGCTGCATATCCTGCAGAGATGCCCTGCCCAGTGAGGAGGAATCCAGAGAAGCAGTCTGGCCACAGCCACTTTGCTTTGCTGTGGTGACTGTGCCCAGTCCAAACCTCCCAGTCTCCTTAGCACTATCAGGAGAAAACCACCTACGAAAGCCTCAGTAATGGCGGTCGCTGCTTCCCCCACCAAGCTCGATCATCCCAGGTCGACTCCAGACTGCTGTGCTGGCAGTGAGAATTTCAAGCCAGTGGTTCTTAGCTTGCTAGGCTCCGTGGGAGTGGGACCTGCTGAGCTAGACTTCTTGGGTTCCTGGCTTCAGCTCCCTTTCCAGAGGAGTGGACGGTTGTCCTTTCTCACTGGAGTTCCAGGTGCCACTGGCATACGAAAAAACTCCTGCAGCTTGGTGTCTGCCCAAACAGCCGCCCAGTTTTGTGCTTGAAACACAGGGCCCTGGTGGCATAGGGTCACGAGGGAATCTCCTGATCTGCGGATTGCAAAAATCCATGGGAAAAGCGTAGTACTCAGGGCGGGTAGCACAGTCCCTCCCCACTTCCCCTGGCTGGCTGGGGGAGGGAGTTGCCCTAGCTCCTTGCACTTCCAGGGTGAAGTGACGCCCCACCCTGCTTCTGCTTGCTCTCCGTGGGTTGCACCCAGTGCCTAACCAGTCCCAGTGAGATGAACTGTGTACCTCAGTTGGAAATGCAGAAATCACCCACCTTCTGCGTTGGTCTCGCTGGGAGCTGCAGACTGCCGCTGTTTCTATTTGGCCATCGTGGCCCCTCCCCGCCCTGTCCAGTGGTCTTTACGTTACTGCTATTGTAATTGTTTTGGGGCACCATGAACCATGCCTGCATAAGGTGATGTACTTAATTTATAAATATATGTGTTCTCACTACTCCTCTGTCCAGCCGTTCTTCCAACTCTCCCTCTCGTCTGGCCTTCCTACTCCTTGAGACACAACAATGTTGAAATGAGGCCAGTTAACTCTACAGTGTCCTCTAAGTGTTCAAGTGAAAGGAAGGCTCACACCTGTTTCATTTTAAATCAAAAGCTAGAAATGATTAAGCTTAGTGAGGAAGGAATGTTGAAAACCAGTACAGGCCAAACGCTATGTCTTTAGTGCCGAACAGCCAAGTTGTGAATGCAAAGGAAAAGTTCTTGAAGGAAATTAAAAGTGCTACTTTAGTGAACACATAAGTGATAAGAGAGCCAGCCATTCTTATTGCTGACATGGAGAAAGTTGTAGTGGTCTGGATAGATCAAACCAGCCACAGCATTCCCTTAAGTCAAAGCCTAATTTAGAACAAGACCCTAACTCTCTTCAATTTGATGAAGGCTGAGAGAGGTGAGGAATTTGGAGAAGAAAAGTTGGAGGCTAGGAGAGATTGGTTCATGACTTTTAGGGAAATAAGACTTCTACATAATATAAAAATGCAAGGTGAAACAAGTGCTTATGTAGAAGCTGCAGCAAGTAATCCCAAAGATCTAGCTAAAATAATCGATGAAGGTGGCCACACTAAACAACAGATTTTCATTGCAGACAAAACAATCTTCTACTGGAAGGTGTCATCTAGGTGTTTCAGAGCTAGAGAGGAGAAGTCAGTGCCCAGCTTTAATGCTTCAGAGGACAGGATGACTCTCTGGTTAGGGGCTAATATTGCTGGTGAGTTTAAGTTGAAGCCATTGCTCATTTACCATTCTCCAAATCCTAGGGCCCTTAAGAATTATGCTACATATACTCTGCCTGTGCTCTATAAATGGGACAACAAAGCCCAGATGACAGCTCATCTCTTTACAGAATATTTAACTGAATATTTAAGCCCACGGTACCTGCTGCTCAGAAAAAAAAGATTCTTCTCAAAATATTGTTTGTTAACAATGCACTTGGTTACTGAAGAGCGCTGATGGTTATGTACCAGCAAGTTAATGTTGTTTTCATCCTTGCTAACACAACATCCATTCTGCAGCACATGCATCAATGAAGAATTTTGACTTTCAAGTCTTATTACTTAAGAAATACATTTCATAAGGCTATAGCTGACATAGATAGTGACTCCTTTGATGGATCTAGGCAAATTAAATTGAAAACTTTCTGGAAAGGATTTGCCATTCTAGATGCCCTTAAGACCATTTGTGATTCATGTGAGGAGGTCCAAATGTCATCATTAACAGGAGTTTGGAGGAAGTTGGTTCCAGTCCTTATGGATAACTTTGGGGGTGGGGGCAGGTTTAGACTTCAGTGGAATAAGTTACTGTAGGTTAGAAATAGCAAGATAATTAGAATTAGAAGTGGAGCCTGAAGATGTGACTGAATTGCTGCAATCTCATGCATTCATAAAACTTGAATGGGTGAGGAGTTGCTTCTTATAGATGACCAAAGAAAATAGTTTCTTGAGATGGAAACTCCTCCTGGTGGAGATGCTGTGAACATTACTGAAATGACAGCAAAAGATTTAGAATATTACATAAACTTAGTTGCTAAAGTAGCCATAGGGTTTCAGTTTTGAAAGAGGTTCTACTGCTAGTAAAATGCTATCAAGCAGCATTGCATGCTACAGAGAAACCTTTTTGAAGAAAGAGTCAACCAATGTAGCAAACTTCTTTGTTGCCTTATTTTAAGAAACTGGCACTGACTGCCCAGCCTTCAGCTGCTACCACCCTCATCAGTCAGCAGTCATCAACAAACATTGAGTTAGGACCTTCCACCATTAAAGATGATGACTTCCTGAAGGGCCAGATGATGGTTAGCATTTTTTTTTTTAGCAGTAAAGTATTTTAATTTTATTTATTTATTTTTGAGACAGAGTCCTGCTCTCTCGCCCAGGCTGGAGTGCAGTGGCGTGATCTCGACTCACTGCAATCTCTGCTTCCTGGGTTCAAGCGATTCTCCTGCCTCAGCCTCCCATAGTAGCTGGGATTATAGATGTGCGCCACCACATCTGGCTATGTTTTGTATTTTTAGTAGAGATGGGGTTTTGCCATGTTGGCCAGGCTTGTCTCAGATTCCTGGGCTCAAGTGATCCATCTGCCTTGGCCTCCCAAAGTACTGGGATTACAGGCGTGAGCCACTGTGCCTGACCTCAATAAAGTATTTTTAAATTAAAATAAATATGTTTTTATATATAATGCTATTGCACACTTAATAGATTACACTATAGTGCAAACATTACTTTCATTTGCAATTTTTTGGAAACCAAAAATTGATGTGACTCACTTTATTGCAATATATGCTTTATGGCAGTGGTCTGGAACTGAACCAGCCATATCTCTAAGGTATGCCTTTGTTAAGAAGTCTGTTACCTGAAGGAAGTAATTATTAAGAGTTCATATATAGCCTGCTATAGAATAGTAATCTTATGAATAAGGGGATTCATAAGAATAAGAATAAGGAATTGGAATCTCAGACCAGTCAGAATGGCTATTATTAAAAAGTCAAAAAATAACAGATGCTGGCGAGGTTGTGGAGAAAAGGGAACACTTATGCATTATTGGCAGGAATGTAAGTTCATTCAACCATTGTGGAAAACAATGTGGCGATTCCTCAAAGAACTAAAAACAGAACTACCTTTTGATCCAGCAATCCCATTTCTGGGTATATACTCAAAGGAATAGAAATTGTTCTACCACAAAGACACGTGGCATGCATATGTTCATTGCAGCACTATTCACAATAGCAAAGACATGGAGTCAACCTAAATGCTTATCAGTGTTAGACTAGATAAAGAAAATGTGATATATATACATCATTAAATACTATGCAGCCATAAAAAAGAATGAGGTAATATCCTTTGCAGGAACATGGATGGAGCTGGAGGCCATTATCTTTAGCAAACTAACACAGGAACAGAAAACCAAATACCACATGTTCTCACTTCCAAGTGGGAACTAAACAATGAGAACACATGGACACAAAGAGGGGAACAACATACACTGGGTTCTGCCTGAGGGTGGAGAGTGGGAGAAGGAAGAGGATCAGAAAAAATAACTTTTGGGTTCTAGGCTTAGTACCTGGGTGATGAAATAATCTGTACAACACATCCCTGTGACATGAGTTTACCTATATAACAAACCTACACATGTACCCATGAACCTAAAAAGTTAAAAAAATAGAAATAAGAAATTGGAAATATGAAATAAAAGTTGAATTTAAAATGTTTCTTCATCTCTTCACTGTGGACTTAGGATGCTGGGTGTTTTTCAAACTAGAATCTTTGATAGAGAATTATATTTGATGTTTGTAACATACTCAGATTCTAATGGTATCTTTTGAGTGGCTAGGTATTCTTGGAAGCATATATAAATATTCATGTGTGTTTGTCCATGAATAACATTACTGTGGTGAGGGAAATGTGGGAAAGAGGGCTTTGTTAAAGGCCTTAAATGACAACAATGAATCTAGATTAGTTACTGTGGAGAATGCCTTTGATATTTGTGTTAACTTTACTTTTGAACTTTTTCAATAAAATTCAACTCCCATTTCTGTGTTTAGTTGGGAAAGGGGATTGAGAGATTTTAGTATAAGACTACCTGAAGTTATTTCTTTTTCAATAGCTAAGCAAAGATTTGAAAGCTTTTTGAAAATCCAAGAGGAAATGAAACACAGCCATCTAGTGGATGCAATTTTAAAAGCTGTAAGCATGTAATTTAAGTACCGTGAGCTCATGTAAGCATTATAAACATTATTAGGCATTCAAGTTAATCATTTCTTATTATAAAAAGGGCAATATACATTTAAAAATTTTAATGAGAAGGGGAAACATAATATATGATAGTTGAACTACTGCATTATATAAATACCTTCAGAGGTCAGTTAAACTAATGTAACTTTCTCATATGCTATAACATTTTCCGTTGTAATATTAATCAGAGTTTTTGAATTCTAAAACTTCAGTATTGCTTTTTAAACACATGGACATTCTGAAACATTGATGGAAAATATCTAGGCCTCTTTTGCCTATATAAATTAACCTATTATTATAGTTGAAGCACAGATTTAGTTACTCACTGTCTTCTATTGGAGTGACTCTTAGTCATTGATGGCTTATAAACTTTATTGATGCAAAAATGAATTATTTTCCAGGAGCAAGATACTGCTGTGCAAAATATGCATAAGAAAGTAGAAAAATTAGAAACAGAACATATGGACTGCTCTGACCTTTTACGGCGACAAACAAGTGAACTTGAATTTAGCACTCAACGAGAGGAACGCCTTAGAAAAGAATTTGAGGTACATTTTCTCATTCCTTTATAATATATATGCGTACAAACTTTCACATATGCGCGCGCGCGCACACACACACACACACACACACACACACACATAAAACCCATTCCGTGATTTAAGATTGGAGAGTTTTACTCTGTGATAATATATAAAACTAATTTTAGGGGCACTTATTTATAATGTATATTTGGCTTCTTTGAAAATTTTTGTATCTGAGTATTTTCTGTTTTGCCCTAGTTTAAAAAAATCTGTTCACTTTTGAACAATTAACTCTCATGGAATATTTGGGAAGTTTGAGAGTAATTGTTTACATTATTAGGTTGAGAAAGCAACACAGGAAAAGTTTTGGTGTACATAGGTTCTAAATCATAAAAGTAATTTTACATTTTAATTTTGTAGTTTGAATCATGTATGGTTTTGTGGAATGCTTTTCAGATGAGACTTTACTTGGGAAAGGAGCATCAATTTACAGATGAAAAACAGGATTTTTATTCGTGAATGATACTGAAAATAACTTTTAATCTTAAGAGAAATGTAATTGATTTGTTAGTTCATCTTTTTAAAATTTCTCTTTGCTTTGTGGGAAATGAAATATTTAAACAGATAAAGAAGTTTTGTCCTAAACATAATTTGTAATCTTTATTAGGCAAATAAATACTTATGAAGAGTATTTAATGGCAAAGTACTAGAGTTAACACTTATTAAACTCACTGTGTCACTTAACACTGTTAAGAACAGCAATAAGGATTATAACTTTTGGGAGGAAGGAAGTGTGATTCCTAATATTTTTAGATGATATGTAAATAAAATGAATAGTAAAATCAACTTTGAAATTATTGACACTAGTAAAAACATTCAATAAGGAGGCTAGGCAGAGAATAATATATGACAATTTTTTAAAATTAATTAATTTTTTATTATACTTTAAGTTCTAGGGTACATGTGCACAACATTCAGGCTTGTTACATATGTATACATGTGCCATGTTGGTGTGCTGCACCCATTAACTCATCATTTACATTAGGTATATCTCCTAATGCTATCCCTCCCCACTCCCCCACCCCATGACAGGCCCCGGTGTGTGATGTTCCCCATCCTGTGTCCAAGTGTTCTCATTGTTCAATTCTCACCTATGAGTGAGAACATACGGTGTTTGGTTTTCTGTCCTTGCAATAGTTTGCTCAGAATGATGGTTTCCAGCTTCATCCATGTCCCTACAAGGGACATAAACTCATCATTTTTTATGGCTGCATAGTATTCCATGGTGTATATGTGCCACATTTTCTTAATCCAGTCTATCATTGTTGGACATTTGGGTTGGTTCCAAGTCTTTGCTATTGTGAATAGTGCTGCAGTAAACATACGTGTGCATGTGTCTTTATAGCAGCATGATTTATAATCCTTTGGGTATATGCCCAGTAATGGGATCACTGGGTTAAATGGTATTTCTAGTTCTAGATCCTTGAAGAATCGCCTCACTGTCTTCCACCATGGTTAAACTAGTTTACACTCCCACCAAAAGTGTCAAAAAGTGTTCCTATTTCTCCACATCCTCTCCAGCACCTGTTGTTTCTTGACTTTTTAATGATTGCCATTCTAACTGGTGTTAAGATGGTATCTCATTGTGGTTTTGATTTGCATTTCTCTGATGGTCAGTGATGATGAGCATTTTTTCATGTGTCTGTTGGCTGCATAAATGTCTTCTTTTGAGAAGTGTCTGTTCATATCCTTCGCCCACTTTTTGATGGGGTTGTTTGATTTTTTCTTGTAAATTTGTTTAAGTTCTTTGTAGATTCTGGATATTAGCCTTTTGTCAGATGGGTAGATTGTAAAAATTTTCTCCCATTCTATAGATTGCGTGTTCACTCTGATGGTAGTTTCTTTTGCTGTGCAGAAGCTCTTTAATTTAATTAGATCTCATTTGTCAATTTTGGCTTTTGTTGCCATTGCTTTTGGTGTTTTAGTTATGAAGTCCTTCCCCATGCCTATGTCCTGAATGGTATTGCCTAGCTTTTCTTCTAGGGTTTTTATGGTTTTAGGTCTAACATTTAAGTCTTTAATCCATCTTGAATTAATTTTTGTATAAGGTGTAAGGAAGGGATCCAGTTTCAGCTTTCTACATATGGCTAGCCAGTTTTCCCAGCACCATTTATTAAAGAGGGAGTCCTTTCCCCATTTCTTGTTTTTGTCAGGTTTGTCAAAGATCAGATGGTTGTAGATGTGTGCTAATATTTCTGAGGGCTCTGTTCTGTTCCATTGGTCTATATCTCTGTTTTGGTAGCAGTACTATGCTGTTTTGGTTACTGTAGCCTTGTATTATAGTTTGAAGTCAGGTAGCGTGATGCCTCCAGCTTTGTTCTTTTTGCTTAGGATTGTCTTGGCAATGCGGGCTCTTTTTTGGTTTCATATGAAATTTAAAGTAGTTTTTTTCCAATTCTGTGAAGAAAGTCATTGGTAGCTTGATGGGGATGGCATTGAATCTATAAATTACCTTGGGGAGTATGGCCATTTTCACGATATTGCTTCTTCCTAACCATGAGCGTGGAATGTTCTTCCATTTGTTTGTGTTCTCTTTCATTTCATTGAGCAGTGGTTTGTAGTTCTCCTTGAAGAGGTCCTTCACATCCCTTGTAAGTTGGATTCCTAGGTATTTTATTCTCTTTGTAGCAATCATGATTGGGAGTTCCACTCATGATATGGCTGTTTGTCTCATATTGGTGTATAAGAATGCTTGTGATTTTTGCACATTGATTTTGTATCCTGAGACTTTGCTGAAGTTGCTTATCAGTTTAAGGAGATTTTGGGCTGAGACGATGGGGTTTTCTAAATATACAATCACGTCATCTGAAAATGGACAATTTGACTTCCTCTTTTCCTCATTGAATACCCTTTATTTCTTTCTCCTGCCTGATTGCCCTGGCCAGAACTTCCAACACTATGTTGAATAGGAGTGGTGAGAGAGGGCATCCCTGTCTTGGGCCAGTTTTCAAAGGGAATGCTTCCAGTTTTTGCCCATTTAGTATGATATTGGCTGTGGGTTTGTCATAAAGAGCTCTTATTGTTTTGATATACATCCCATCAATACCTAGTTTATTGAGAGTTTTTAGCATAAAGGGCTGTAGAATTTTGTCAAAGGCCTTTTCTGCATCTGTTGAGATAATCATGTGGTTTTTGTCTTTGGGTCTGTTTATATGATGGATTACGTTTATTGATTTGTGTACGTTGAACCAGCTTTGCATCCCAGGGATGAAGCCCACTTGATCATGGTGGATAAGCTATTTGATGTGCTGCTGGATTCAGTTTGCCAGTATTTTACTGAGGATTTTTGCATCAATGTTCATCAGGGATATTGGTCTAAAATTCTCTTTTTTTTAGTTGTGTCTTTGCCAGGCTTTGGTATCAGGATGATGCTGGCCTCATAAAATGACTTAGGGAGAGTTCCCTCTTTTTCTAATGATTGAAATAGTTTCAGAAGGAATGGTACCAGCTCCTCCTTGTACCTCTGGTAGAATTTGGTTGTGAATCCATCTGGTCCTGGACATTTTTTGGTTTGTAGGCTATTAATTATTGCCTCAATTTCAGAGCCTGTTATTGGTCTATTTTGGGATTCAACTTCTTCCTGGTTTAGTCTTGGGAGGGTGTATGTGTCGAGGAATTTATCCATTTCTTCTAGATTTTCTAGTTTATTTGCATAGAGGTGTTCATAGTATTCTCTGATGGTAGTTTGTATTTCCGTGGGATCGGTGGTGATATCCCCTTTATCATTTTTTGTTGCGCCTATTTGATTCTTCTCTCTTTTCTTCTTTATTAGTCTTGCTAGCTGTCTATCAATTTTGTTGATCTTTTCAAAAAACCAACTCCTGGATTCATTGATTTTTTTCAAGGGTTTTTTGTGTCTTTATCTCTTTCAGTTCTGCTCTGTTCTTAATTTTTTCTTGCCTTCTGCTAGCTTTTGTATGTGTTTGCTCTTGCTTCTGTAGTTCTTTTAATTGTGATGTTAGGGTGTCAATTTTAGATCTTTCCTGCTTTCTCTTGTGGGCATTTAGTGCTGCAAATTTCCCTCTACACGCTGGTTTGAATGTGTCCCAGAGAGTCTGGTATGTTGTGTCTTTGTTCTCATTGGTTTCAAAGAACATCTTTATTTCTGTCTTCATTTCGTTATGTACCCAGTAGTCATTCAGGAGCAGGTTGTTCAGTTTCCACGTAGTTGAGTGGTTTTGAATGAGTTTCTTAATCCTGAGTTCTAGTTTGAATGCACTGTGGTCTTAGAGACAGTTTGTTATAATTTCTGTTCTTTTATATTTGCTGAGGAGTGCTTCACTTCCAACTTTGTGGTCAGTTTTGGAGTAAGTGTGATGTGGTGCTGAGAAGAATGTATATTCTGTTGATTTTGCATGGAGAGTACCGTAGATGTCTATTAGGTCTGCTTGGTGCAGAGCTGAGTTCAATTCCTGGATATCCTTGTTAACTTTCGTCTAGTTGATCTGTCTAATGTTGACAGTGGGGTGTTAAAGTCTCCCATTATTATTGTGTGGGAGTCTAAGTCTCTTGGGTTAGACCCTAAGAATCATGGGTTTAGGGAAGCCGTATTGTGTAGGGTGATAAGGAAATGTTAAAAGGTTTCACTGGGGAGGGAGCCAAGATGGCCGAATAGGAACAGCTGCTGTCTACAGCTCCCAGCGTGAGCGACGCAGAAGACGGGTGATTTCTGCATTTCCATCTGAGGTACTGGGTTCATCTCACTAGGGAGTGCCAGACAGTGGGCGCAGGACAGTGGGTGCAGCACACCGTGCACCAGCCGAAGCAGGGCGAGGCATTGCCTTACTCGGGAAGCGCAAGGGGTCACGGAGTTCCCTTTCCTAGTCAAAGAAAGGGATGACAGGTGGCACCTGGAAAATCGGGTCACTCCCACCCCAATACTGCGCTTTTCCGACGGGCTTAAAAAACGGCGCACCAGGAGATTATAACCCGCATCTGGCTCAGAGGGTCCTGTGCCCATGGAGTCTCGCTTATTGCTAGCACAGCAGTCTGAGATCAAACTGCAAGGCGGCAGCGAGGCTAGGGGAGGGGCGGCTGCCATTGCCCAGGCTTGCTTAGGTAAACAAAGCAGCTGGGAAGCTTGAATTGGGTGGAGCCCACCACAGCTCAAGGAGGCCTGCCTGCCTCTGTAGGCTCCACCTATGGGGGCAGGGCACAGACAAACAAAAAGACAGCAGTAACCTCTGCAGACTTAAATGTCCCTGTCTGACAGCTTTGAAGAGAGCAGCGGTTCTCCCAGCACGCAGCTGGAGATCTGAGAATGGGCAGACTGCCTCCTCAAGTGGGTCCCTGACCCCTGAACCCTGAGCAGCCTAACTGGGAGGCACCCCCCAGTAGAGGCAGACTGACACCTCACACGGCCGGGTACTCCTCTGAGACAAAACTTCCAGAGGAACGATCAGACAGCAGCATTAACGGTTCACGAAAATCCGCTGTTCTGCAGCCACCGCTGCTGGTACCCAGGCAAACAGAGTCTGGAGTGGACCTCTAGCAAACTCCAGCAGACATGCAGCTGAGGGTCCTGTCTGTTAGAAGGAAAACTAACAAACAGAAAGGACATCCACACCAAAAACCCTTCTGTACATCACCATCATCAAAGACCAAAAGTAGATAAAACCACAAAGATGGGGAAAAAACAGAGCAGAAAAACTGGAAACTCTAAAAAGCAGAGCGCCTCTCCTCCTCCAAAGGAATGCAGTTCCTCACCAGCAACGGAACAAAGCTGGATGGAGAATGACTTTGACGAGTTGAGAGAAGAAGGCTTCAGACGATCAAACTACTCCGAGCTACAAGAGGAAATTCAAACCAAAGGCAAAGAAGTTGAAAACTTTGAAAAAAATTTAGACGAATGTATAGAATAACCAATACAGAGAAGTGCTTAAAGGAGGTGATGGAGCTGAAAGCCAAGGCTCGAGAACTACGTGAAGAATGCAGAAGCCTCAGGAGCCGATGCTATCAACTGGAAGAAAGGGTATCAGTGATTGAAGATCAAATGAATGAAATGAAGCAAGAAGGGAAGTTTAGAGAAAAAAGAATAAAAAGAAACGAACAAAGCCTCCAGGAAATATGGGACTATGTGAAAAGACCAAATCTACGTCTGATGGGTGTACCTGAAAATGACGGGGAGAATGGAACCAAGTTGGAAAACACTCTGCAGGATATTATCCAGGAGAACTTCCCCAATCTAGCAAGGCAGGCCAACATTCAGATTCAGGAAATACAGAGAACGCCACAAAGATGCCCCTCAAGAAGAGCAACTCTAAGACACATAATTGTCAGATTCACCAAAGTTGAAATGAAGGAAAAAATGTTAAGGGCAGCCAGAGAGAAAGGTTGGGTTACCCACAAAGGGAAGCCCATCAGACTAACAGTGGATCTCTCGGCAGAAACTCTACAAGCCAGAAGAGAGTGGGGGCCAATATTCAACATTCTTAAAGAAAAAAATTTTCAACCCAGAATTTCTTATCCAGCCAAACTAAGCTTCATAAGTGAAGGAGAAATAAAATCCTTTACAGAAAAGCAAATGCTGAGAGATTTTGTCACCACCAGGCCTGCCCTGCAAGAGCTCCTGAAGGAAGCACTAAACATGGAAAGGAACAACCGGTACCAGCCATTGCAAAATCATGCCAGACTGTAAAGACCATCGAGGCTAGGAAGAAACTGCATCAACTAATGAGCAAAATAACCAGCTAACATCATAATGACAGGATCAAATTCACACATAACAATATTAACTTTAAATGTAAATGGGCTAAGTGCTCCAATTAAAAGACACAGACTGGCAAATTGGATACAGTCAAGACCCATCAGTGTGCTGTATTCAGGAAACCCATCTCACGTGCAGAGACACACATAGGCTCAAAATAAAAGGATGGAGGAAGATCTACCAAGCAAATGGAAAATAAAAAAAGGCAGGGGTTGCAATCCTAGTCTCTGATAAAACAGACTTTAAACCAACAAAGATCAAAAGAGACAAAGAAGGCCATTACATAATGGTAAAAGGATCAATTCAACAAGAAGAGCTAACTATCCTAAATATATGTGCACCCAATACAGGAGCACGAAGATTCATAAAGCAAGTCCTGAGTGACCTACAAAGAGACTTAGACTCCCACACAATAATAATGGGAGACTTTAACACCCCACTGTCAACATTAGACAGATCAACTGGACAGAAAGTTAACAAGGATATCCAGGAATTGAACTCAGCTCTGCACCAAGCAGACCTAATAGACATCTACAGAACTCTCCACCCCAAATCAACAGAATATACATTTTTTTCAGCACCACACCTACTCCAAAATTGACCACATAGTTGGAAGTAAAGCTCTCCTCAGCAAATGTAAAAGATGAGAAATTATAACAAACTGTCTCTCAGACCACAGTGCAATCAAACTAGAACTCAGGATTAAGAAACTCACTCAAAACTGCTCAACTACATGGAAACTGAACAACCTGCTCCTGAATGACTGCTGGGTACATAACGAAATGAAGACAGAAATAAAGATGTTCTTTGAAACCAACGAGAACAAAGACACAACATACCAGAATCTCTGGGACACATTCAAAGCAGTGTGTAGAGGGAAATTTATAGCACTAAATGCCCACAAGAGAAAGCCGGAAAGATCCAAAATTGACACCCTAACATCACAATTAAAAGAACTAGAGAAGCAAGAGCAAACACATTCAAAAGCTAGCAGAAGGCAAGAAATAACTAAAATCAGAGCAGAACTGAAGGAAATAGAAACACAAAAAACCCTTCAAAAAATTAATGAATCCAGAAGCTGGTTTTTTGAAAAGATCAACAAAATTGATAGACAGCTAGCAAGACTAATAAAGAAGAAAAGAGAGAAGAATCAAATAGATGCAAGAAAAAATGATAAAGGGGATATCACCACCGATCCCACAGAAATACAAACTACCATCAGAGAATAGTATAAACACCTCTACGCAAATAAACTAGAAAATCTTGAAGAAATTGATAGATTCTTGGACACATACACCCACCCAAGACTAAACCAGGAAGAAGTTGACCTTCTGAATAGACCAATAACAGGCTCTGAAATTGTGGCAATAGTCAATAGCTTACCAACCAAAAAGTCCAGGATCAGTTGGATTCACAGCCGAATTCTATCAGAGGTACAAGGAGGAACTGGTACCATTCCTTCTGAAACTATTCCAGTCAATAGAAAAAGAGGGAATCCTCCCTAACTCATTTTATGAGGCCAGCATCATTCTGATACGAAAGCCGGGCAGAGACACAACCAAAAAAGAGAATTTTAGACCACTATCCTTGATGAAGATTGATGCAAAAATCCTCAGTAAAATACTGGCAAACTGAATCCAGCAGCACATCAAAAAGCTTATCCACCATGATCAAGTGGGCTTCATCCCTGGGATGCAAGGCTGTTTCAATATATGCAAATCAATAAATGTAATCCATCATATAAACAGAACCAAAGACAAAAACCACATGATTATCTCAATAGATGCAGAAAAGGCCTTTGACAAAATTCAACAACCCTTCATGCTAAAAACTCTCAATAAATTAGGTATTGATGGGACGTGTCTCAAAATAATAAGAGCTCTTTATGACAAACCCACAGCCAATATCATACTAAATGGGCAAAAACTGGAAGCATTCCCTTTGAAAACTGGCCCAAGACAGGGATGCCCTCTCTCACCACTCCTATTCAACATAGTGTTGGAAGTTCTGGCCAGGGCAATTAGGCAGGAGAAGGAAATAAAGGGTATTCAGTTAGGAAAAGAGGAAGTCAAATTGTCCCTGTTTGCAGACAACATGATTGTATATCTAGAAAACCCCATCGTCTCAGCCCAAAATCTCCTTAAACTGATAAGCAACTTCAGCAAAGTCTCAGGATACAAAATCAATGTACAAAAATCACAAGCATTCTTATACACCAATAACAGACAAACAGAGAGCCAAATAATGAGTGAACTCCCATTCACAATTGCTTCAAAGAGAATAAAATACCTAGGAATCCAACTTACAAGGGATGTGAAGGACCTCTTCAAGGAGAGCTACAAACCACTGCTCAACAAAATAAAAGAGGATACAAACAAATGGAAGAACATTCCATGCTCATGGGTAGGAAGAATCAATATCGTGAAAATGGCCATACTCCCCAAGGTAATTTATAGATTCAATGCCATCCCCATCAAGCTACCAATGACTTTCTTCACAGAATTGGAAAAAACTACTTTAAAGTTCATATGGAACCAAAAAAGAGCCTGCATCGCCAAGTCAATCCTAAGCCAAAAGAACAAAGCTGGAGACATCATGCTACCTGACTTCAAACTATACTACAAGGCTACAGTAACCAAAACAGTATGGTACTGGTACCAAAACAGAGATATAGATCAATAGAACAGAACAGAGCACTCTGAAATAATGCCGCATATCTATGACTATCTGATCTTTGACAAACCTGAGAAAAACAAGCAACGCGGAAAGGATTCCCTGTTTAATAAATGGTGCTGGGAAAACTGGCTAGCCATATGTAGAAAGCTGAAACTGGGTCCCTTCCTTACCCATTACACAAAAATTAATTCAAGATGGATTAAAGACTTAAACGTTAGACCTAAAATCATAGAAACCCTATAGGAAAACCTAGGCATTAGCATTCAGGACATAGGCATGGGCAAGGACTTCATGTCTGAAACACCAAAAGCAATGGCAAGAAAAGCCAAAATTGACAAATGGGATCTAATTAAACTAAAGAGCTCCTACACAGCAAAAGAAACTACCGTCAGAGTGAACAGGCAACCTACACAATGGGAGAAAAGTTTTGCAACCTACTCATCTGACAAAGGGCTAATATCCAGAATCTACAATGAACTCAAACAAATTTACAAGAAAAAAACAAACAACCCCATCAAAAACGGGGCAAAGGACATGAACAGACACTTCTGAAAAGTAGACATTTATGCAGCCAAAAAAACACATGAAAAAATGCTCACCGTCACTGGCCATCAGAGAAATGCAAATCAAAATCACAATGAGATACCATCTCACACCAGTTAGAATGGCAATCATTAAAAAGTCAGGAAACAACAGGTGCTGGAGAGGATGTGGAGAAATAGGAACACTTTTACACTGTTGGTGGGACTGTAAACTAGTTCAACCCTTGTGGAAGTCAGTGTGGCGATTCCTCAGGAATCTAGTACTAGAAATACCATTTGACCCAGCCATCCCATTACTGGGTATATACCGAAAGGACTATAAATCATTCTACTATACAGACACATGCACACGTATGTTTATTGTGGCACTATTCAGAATAGCAAAGACTTGGAACCAACCCAAATGTCCAACAATGATAGACTGGATTAAGAAAATGTGGCAGATATACACCATGGAATAGTATGCAGCCATAAAAAATGATGAGTTCATGTCCTTTGTAGGGACATGGATGAAATTGGAAATCATCATTCTCAGTAAACTATCGCAAGAACAACAAACGAAACACCGCATATTCTCACTCATAGGTGGGAATTGAACAATGAGAACACATGGACACAGGGAAGGGGAACATCACACTCTGGGGACTGTTGTGGGGTGGGGAGAGGGGGGCGGGATAGCTTTAGGAGATACACCTAATGCTAAATGATGAGTTAATGGGTGCAGCGCACCAGCATGGCACATGTTTACATATGTAACTAACCTGCATATTGTGTACATGTACCCTAAAACTTAAAGTATAATAATAAAACAAAAGAAAGCAGAACCCAAACACACAAAAAAAAGAAAAATAATTTAAATTTTTTTTAACTTTTAAAAAAATTAAAGATATAATTTGAATAATAAAAAAAGTTTCTTTGGAAAATTTTTAAACATTACAATCTATAGGTCTTTTCTCTGTATTTCTTTTATTTCTACAAAGGGATATCTGCTAGTTTCAGGTTTGATGGTTAGAAAATGGAAGAAGGAAATGGAGGAAGAATCTGGTTATGATGCTGTTTAATGTGCAGACATCCCCCTGATTTTGGTCTGGTGCACCCCTCTTCCTCTCTCTCCATGTGTATTTCTGTGTTCAGCTTCTGGTTCAGATTTATATTCTTCAGATAATAAACCTTTGTGTGAGGGCTAGGGTAGGGTATTTGTTTGGCTACTTGGGGTAAGGGTGGATGCCTTGAAGTCTAACTTCTTACAGCGATGAGTAAAAAAAACACTTTATAGAGATGTAATTTGCATATTATAAATTTGTCCATTTGAAGTGTACAATTCAGTGGTTTTTAGTGTATTCACAGCATTGTGCAACCATTACTATAATCCATTTTGGAACATTTTCATCACACAATAAGAAACCCTGCTCATTAGCCATCACTTTCCTATTCCCCTTTCCTCTCATCCCTAAGCAACCACTACTTTCTGTCTTTATAGATTTGCCTATTCTAGACATTCCTTACAAGTGGAACTACAATATATGGTCTTTTCTGACTGACTTCTTTCACTTAGCATAATGTTTTCAAGGTTTGTCCATGTTGCAGCATGTATTAGTGCTTCATTCTTTTTTATGCCTGAATGATATTCTGTTGTGTAATATATATTTTGTGTCTCTGTCCATCAGTTGATGGACGTTTGTGTTTGTATTTGTCAGGGTTCTCTAAAGGGACAGAACTAATAGTATATATGTATATGTGAAGGGGAGTTTGTTAGGAGAATTGACTTACACTATCACAAGTTGAAGTTCCACAATAGGCCATCTGCAAGCTGAGGAGCAAGGAAGTCAGTCGAAGTCTCAAAATCTCAAAAGTAGATAAGCCAGCAGTGCAGCCTTCAGTCTGTGGTCGAAGGCCTGAGAGCCCCTTTTTATCATTTTATGTGCTTATTAGCCATTCATATATCTTCTTTGGAGAAATAGCTATTTACACCCTTGTCCTTTTTAAAAATGGATTGTTTGTACTGTATATATATATAAATCACAGTGTAAGTCCAAGAGTCTAAAAATTGAAGAACTTGGAGTCTGATGTTCCAGGGCAGGAAGCATCCAGCACAGAGAAAGATGAAGGCTGGAACACTCAGCAAGTCTCCCCATTCCACTTTCTTCTGCCTGCTTTATTCTAGCCATGCTGGCAGCTGATTAGATGGTGCCCACCCAGACTGAGGGTAGGCTGCCTCTCCCACTGCACTGACTCAAATGTTAATTTCCTTTGGTAACACCCTCACAGACACACCTAGGAACATTACATCCTTTAATCCAATCAAGTTGACACTCGGTATTAACCATCACAGTGTTGTTTCCACTCTTTCAGCCATAATGAATAATGCCACCATGAACATTCGTGTACAGGTTTTTGTGTGGATATGTTTTCAGTTGTCTTTATGATATATCTAGGAGAGGAATTGCTGGGTCACATGGTAACTATATGGTTAACATTTTGAGGAACTGTCAGTTTGTTTTGTACAGTGGCAGCATTTTACATTCCCACCAGCAAGGTATAAGGGTTCTAGTTTCTCTAGATCCTCACCAACAGCTGTTATTGTCACTCTTTTATATTACAACCACTGTAGTAGGTGTGAAATGGTACCTTATTGTGGTTTTGATTTGCATTTCTCTGATGATTGATGATGTTGAATATCATTTTATGTGCTTATTAGGCATTCATGTATCTTCTTTGGAGAAATAGCTATTTAGACCCTTAGACCCTTCTCTTTTTTAAAAATGGATTATTTGTACTATGTATATATATATATATCTATAAGATGCTAACGATGGAGGAAACTGGGTATGGAGTAGGTAGATGGACTTACCAACAGAAATGCCAAATATGAACTTGGCAAGGATAAACTTCCTCATACTCTAACCACACATGGGTTATTTTTTACAAGATTACAGAAGGAATAAAAATATGAAATTATATTTGAAATAGTATTTTAACATATTGTCTTGTGCTGAACATCTTTTTAGGCCAATAAATTCAGGAATTCATTATATTTTATATCATCATTTTTAATACTATGGTTTGTAGATGGCTTACTAAAAAAGGATTAAGGGCCAGGAGCTGTGGCTCATGCCTGTAATCCCAGCACTTTGGGAGACAGAGGTGGGCAGATCACTTGAGACCAGGAGTTCAAGACCAGCCTTGGCAACATGGTGAAATATCATCCCTACAAAAAATACAAAACTTAGCCAAACATGGTGAAATGTGCCTGTAGTCCCAGCTGCTTGGGAGGCTGAGGTGGGAGGATCACTTGAGCCTGGGGAGTTTGGGCCTGCAGTGAGCTGTGATCGTGCTGCTGTACTCTAGCCTGGGCAACAAAGTGAGACCCTGCCTCAAAAAAAAAAAAAAAAAAAAAAGGTTTAGGATAGAGTTAATGTTCTGAATATTAGAATTTAAAAGATCACTTAGAAGTCACTTAAGGATGCTAGAAAACTCTATCATCACTAAAAACATTTTATTAATTGTGTTATAGTTGTGAGGCTGTACTATGTAATAACGAATTTTTTTTTGTTTTTAGGGTTCTTGGTAAGGCAGTTTTGACTCAGTTAAGAAAATATCGGCTGGGCGTGGTGGCTCATGCCTGTAATCCCAGCACTTTGGGAGGCTGAGGTGGGCCTATCACTTGAGGTCAGGAGTTTGAGACCAGCCTGGCCAACATGGTGAAACCCCATCTCTATTAAAAATACAAAAATTAGCCAGGCATGGTGGCGCTCGCCTGTAATCCTAGCTGCTCTGGAGGCTGAGACAGCAAAATCACTTGAACCTGGGAGGTGGAGGCTGCACTGAGCCGAGATTGTGCCACTGCACTCCAGCCTGGGCAACAGAGCAAGACTCTATCTCAAAAACAAAACAAAAGAAAAAGTAATAAAATGCACACAAAAAAGAAAATATCTAAACCTAAACTTTAAGGTGTGGTTGTGCACAACCCGGTATTGACTTTTTTCTGTAAAATACTTAATTTCCTCAATATCTGTTTTTATTGGTTGATGTTATAGGTATAATATTATTATAGACTGGTTTTATTTTTACTTTTTAAAATTTTTTTGTTTATTTTATTATTATTATTATTATACTTTAAGTTTTAGGGTACATGTGCACAATATGCCGGTTAGTTACATATGTATACATGTGCCATGCTGGTGTGCTGCACCCATTAACTCGTCATTTAGCATTAGGTGTATCTCCTCATGCTATCCCTCCCCCCTCCCCCCACCCCACAACAGTCCCCAGAGTGTGATGTTCCCCTTCCTGTGTCCATGTGATCTCATTGTTCAGTTCCCATCTATGAGTGAGAACATGCGGTGTTTGGTTTTCTGTCCTTGCGATAGTTTACTGAGAATGATGATTTCCAATTTCATCCATGTCCCTACAAAGGACATGAACTCATCATTTTTTATGGCTGCATAGTATTCCATGGTGTATATGTGCCACATTTTCTTAATCCAGTCTATCCTTGTTGGACATTTGGGTTGGTTCCAAGTCTTTGCTATTGTGAATAGTGCCGCAATAAACATACGTGTGCATGTGTCTTTATAACAGCATGATTTATAGTCCTTTGGGTATATACCCAGTAATGGGATGGCTGGGTCAAATGGTATTTCTAGTTCTAGATCCCTGAGGAATCACCACACTGACTTCCACAATATTTTTACTTTATGTTTTTTTCTTTACTGCTGTGTAAATACTTTTGATAATACCAGGTCTCTGCTTTTGGAGAACTTGAAGCTTTGAAGGTAGTCTAGATAGTCTTTATTTTTCTTCTATTTGTAAGAATTTTACAAGTGGAGAGCTTTAGTCTTCTAAGTTACCTATGATTTCTCATATTTAGATTCTTTTTAAAAGCTTTGCTTTATATTATATATCATGTGTTGTATATTAGTTAGTATATTTTATGTTGGCTGTTTGACCACATAGTGACATAATGAACAAGAAGTTAAATTTCTGGAGAGCATTTTATGTTAGTTTTACACTCAATTGCGGAGACAATCACTACCAGTAATACTAGGTACTTAAGTAATTGTTAGTGGTATTTTTAAGAGAATTAAGGTAAGATGGGATAATAATAAAGAAGAAGTTGTTAAAATTTTAATTTAATAAAGTACATTATTTAATATCAGCAATATCAAACTAAAGCAACTAATAAAATAGACATTTAGCCTAATGAATGTTTTAAATTCTAGTGAAGCTTTTTAACAGTTGCATTTCTTGAAAGGTGATTTTTTTATGTGCCTGAGCCAAAGAAGTTTTTATATATATGAAACATAAATATAAAAGAATTTAAAAATCTTATAAGCTTTATATCACTGTGTCTTAATCATCTTAACATGGATCAATGCTTTCTTAGATTAAAAAAAAACAAACAAACTCCCAATCCAATTTTATAAATGCAGTACTGGATACCATAGAATCAAGGGAAAAGCAAACTGGAAAAAGAAATATCCATGGCTTTTATAAACCTCTTTACAACTAGGGGAGTTTATTATCATGGGAAATAAGCTTAACTCAATAAGAAAAGAGAAAAGAGAAGATGCAAACCTAATTCTGAGAGAACTGAAGAATCTTCTGAAGATTATGGTAGAGAGAGAACAGTCTTTGCAAATAAATTCTGAATTGCTTCTGTCAGTCATATTCTATATTATAGTAACATAAAAAAGGGTAAAAGGTAGCATCTTTCTCTAAATGCGTACTATCTTCAACTGAAAATGGAAAAGTTGTATTTTACCTTTCATAATTGTTGATAAAGACCACCTTGTATGATTCATCTTTTTAAAGCCATCATGTGTTTGTAGGAATCATTTTCAAAGGTCCATTTGCATAGATTACTAACTATAAAATAGGTAAATGATGAAATCACCTGTGTTATACAGTCATAGGTATTACACATTTAAATGCAGCATTTTATGTTTATAATAAATTTTAAGATTGGAACTTCAGTTAAAAATTTGGTAAATACTCAAGTTTTTTTTGCCAGAAAAGGTAGAGATAATTTTTAAAGAAGGTAAATCAGTTTATTATCATGTTAATCAGAATTTGCGACCACAAATTCTGTTCCTGATATTTCTTATTTTTATTATCTGTGGGTTTTTTGATTATACCTAGAAGTAATAAAACTTTTTCTTCATTAAACTCTTTTATAATCTGAGTGGTATACTTCATTTCTTGCTGAATAAAAAAATTACAGTGTTCTCCAGTTTATTTCTATTGTCAGCCTATTGTCCTCATATATCCCTTCTGAAACCGTTAAGGCTCTGTTACCATCCTCAGTGACTTTAACTTTGAATTTTCTACCTTCAGAACTGCATAGTTAATCATGATCAAGATGACTGGCACAGAGAACTCTGAATCTTTCTATGTTCTGCTATGCTTTATATGAGCCTGTTTATGTAAAATAATCTAGGGGATTCTGGAAAACAAATATGTTTTGGCCATTAATAAAACAGTTACAGATGAATTGTAGTTCAGAGAAGTAAGTAGAAGGAATATCCTTTAGCGACAAATGAATTTTTGTCTACAACACAGGTCTTTTGCTTACTCCTAATGGAAATGCTTATAGATGTGTCAGGACTCGTTTTGGCCTTTGGGCCAAGGACCTAGTATGGCATCTGGCATATAGTAGGTACTCTATAAATGTTCCATTCTGCTTTTTAGTTGACCTATATAGTAAAATAAGTATCAATGAGATCATCATGAAAAGTTATAAACCTATTCATTTGTTTTTAATAATCTTTTGTTTTTATGCAGTCACATTTGTTTAATGGGATTGAATATAAATGTAAAATGTTTGGACTTCTATGAGGGTACAATAAAGTGGATAGGACTTCCTGACCAATTCACTTCCAAGACCAGTTGGACTTCCTTCCTCTTCTCTTTTACATGGCAGTTCCCGTGTTCTGAGTCACAAAGCAGCATTAATTTTGTCTCTGAGTTGTTTTTCTAATGTACTGTGCTGGCCACATGGAAAGTAGGAGAGCTACTTAAAAAAAAACACCACCTTCAAATTAGAATGCCTTATTAAGATTTAAAATATTATGTATCATACGAGGCCCCTTATGTAAAATATATCATGTTATTTTAAAAGTCAAATGAGAACATACACGAGAGTTCTTTGAAAACTGTAGCATATTAATATTTAACTCTAGGCATAATCTCCTCAGTGACATTAATGTAAATACACTCTGTCATGTAGAAGTGACATTAGAAATATAAATGCTTACATTTAAAAAGCCAACATTGAAGGTCAGACTAATTGAATAATATTATTGTTTCTTAACATGTTTGATTAGAACAAGGATGATAAATAGTAAAGGGCTTATAGACAGTTCTTAATTATGACCCTTCAATATATGACTCTAGCGATTAAGTGATTTAATACTGTGATGCCTGTTTTACAAATACTTATCAAATACTTGGAGACTCTGACCCTCTGAGGCATCTTTTTTGGTAATAAAAATCCTTTGAGACCTTCTGTTTAAGGGCTCAAAAGATAGTATTAACAAGTGTGCCCCCCTTCCCTGCCCAGGTAAAGAATAAGTGTTATATTTAAATATTAACATGCATATAATAAAATATTAACAGCTATTAAAATGTAACAAAATAAAATACACTTATCATTAAAATAAGCATCGTAGAATTAATCAGTCTATGATGATTCAGTCCCTTGGAATCACCTTTTTGTAGATGGATTATTACTATATTTATTACTTATGAAAACATCTATTAAAGGGAATTATCAGGTGATAAAATCTGGAAAAATAATCATTTTCTATTTATACAAGTTATTGATACGTTTGGGGTAAACTTTGTGCAACTAATGAGGAAACTAACATACAACACACTCCTGAGGAAATCATTAACTAGTATGTACTCATGATAATTCATCTCATTTTTCTTGATGTCTATTTTGGTGGACTAAATTTCATATCTCAGTTTTTCTTCTTGACTAATTGTTTTAAGTTCAAATCCTCTAAGCTGAATATATTTGGGGATAACAGAATGTAGTAGAAACTGTTTTGTTTACTCAATCTTTCAGCACATTCATTGTACACATATGTTTTCATAACTTTTGTGAAACTTTTGGAAGAGGCCCATGGAAACCATAGAACCAAATGTGACGTGGAGAACATCTGGGTATGTTTGGTTAGTTCTGCTGCTGAATTGGAGTCTTCAGCTCATTCCTGGTTTATAATAAAGTAACATGTATCAAAGGGTTGGATAGGAGACATTCTTCTCTATATTGCCCTCTTGAAAGACTGAAAACCCCCTTTTCTTAAGTGTACTAGATGATCTAATTGGGCTTAATATGATTTAGTGAGATATAAATTACACCAAAAAAGAGGTAGAGTAACACCTACTATTTACTAAAATAAAAATCTCTTGGCAGTACATTGCTGTAGGAAAGGACATGGCAGTCAGCTTATAAATGACAAAATATGTGATAACTTTGTGTTACATACAGAACTGTTGTTTGGCTAGGCGTAGTGGCTCACGCCTGTAATCCCAGCACTTTGGGAGGCCAAGGTGGGCGGATCACTTGAGGTCAAGAGTCCGAGATCAGCCTGGCCAACATGGTGAAACCCCATCTCTACCAAAAATACAAAAAGTAGCTGGTCATGGTGGTGTGTGCTTGTGGTCCCAGCTACTCAGGAGGCTGAGGCAGGACAATTGCTTGAAACCAGGAGGTGGTTGCAGTGAGCTGAGATTGCACCACTGTACTCTAGCCTGGGAGACAGAGTGAGACTCTGTCTCAAAAACAAAAAAAAAGGACTGTTGTTCGTAGTGTATAGTACATAATACAGTGTAATACCTGTATTATAGGCAAAGCTGTATATAGTTAAATTAACCTGTAGTATATATATGAACATATATGTGTGTGTGTATATATATACACATATGTATACACGTATATATATATATACACGTGTGTGTGTGTATATATATATATATATATATATATATATATATATATATATGCATTTTAACCAGAATTTTGTTCCGCTTTCTGCCCTTTCTTTGTTGATTACATTAGGATTGGATGCCTATGAAACAGTTTATGAATGTTACACTAGTTCTCCTAGGTGGTATTGGAAAAAATTTTTTTGAGCAGCATGTTGATGTTCCTCTAGCACCCTCTGCTGGATTTGAGAATTAATTCATTGGACTAGAAGATTTAAAAAAATTATTAAGAAGGCTTAAATTTCATTATGTCTATCAACAAACCCTACTCTTGGAAGGAGTTTGTTTAAAGATTTGAAGATTTTTTGCTGTCCTTACTGAGTAATTGATAGTTTCAGTAATAATAAGCACCTTATAATTTTCTGACATTTCATTTAAAATGAGAAGTTGTGAAAATAAAGACATGATCTCCAGTTTATTATTTCAACCCCCTGTGTTTTGCTCTAAGCAGGAAAAACAGAACCTCTTTTTGATTTTTGGAGTGAAAACTAGATCATTAATTAACTAATTAATATATATACAAGAAGTGAAAACTTGAATTTTCGATTCATTATAGAATCACTGAATATTCTGCATTTAACAAAATATATGACTATCATTTTGATAAAGAAGCATATATGCTTTTTGGAATCTGAGAAAATATTTTAAAATTGTTAGCCTTGTTTTTTTTCTCTCTGTGCCCTTTATTTGCTTTTTTTTTAAAAAAATTTATTTCCATAGGTTTTTGGGAAACAGGAGGTGTTTGGTTACATGAGTAAGTTCTTTAGTTGTGGTTTGTGAGATTTTGGTCCTTTGCTAGCTTTTAAAATCATTTATTCTCAATCCTATGGGCTATTTCCTTGTGACTGGCTAGACTTTTTTTTGACTTACAGAAACTAAAATGAGTATACTAGGTACTGAGAAAACTGACTTCAGTTCTTTAAGGGCAAGAACCTTATCCTTTATACTTTCTTAAAGAAAAAATTAGCATTGGGCCCATCTGGGATAATGCTCATTCTGGTGTGGGCTAAACATAATAATTTCTCTGCTACAGTATGCATCATGCTTTATACCTACAACCTCTGGGGGACCCTTGTTCTAAGGCTTCAAAGTCAGCATTTAGAAATAACTTTTTTTCCACAATGAGAATCAGAAGTTTAATTTAGGTGGCTGCCACTTCTTGACATTCCAATCAGGGATTCTTTATTTTTCAATTGAGATATACTTCACATATCATAAAACTCACCCTTTAAAAGTATACAATTCAATGCTTTTAATATATTCACTATACTGTGCAACTATTACCACTATCTAATTCCAGAGCGTTTTCATCACCCCACTAAGAAATTTCATATACATTAGCAGCTACTGCCCTTTTCGTTCTCTCCTTCTTCCCTATCCTCCTGCAACCACTTAATATACTTTTTGTCTCTGGATTTGCCTATTCTGGACAATTCTTATCAATGAAATCATACAGCATGTGGTCTTTTGTATTTGACTTCTTTTACTTTTTTTATATATGCTTTCAAGGTTAATCCATGGTATCACATTTATTGGTACTTCATTCCATTTTCTTGCTGGATAATATTCCATTCTATGGATTCACAACATCTTGTTTATTCATTCATTGGTTGATGGACATTTGGGTGCATTCCATCTTTGGCTGTTATAAAAAATGGTGCTATAAACTTTTGTGCATAATTTTTTGAATCTGTTTTCATTTCTCTTGGGCAAATATATAGGAATGTAATTGCTGGGTCATATGGTAACTCTATGTTTAATTTTTTGAGCAGCTACCAAGCTGTTTTCCACAGCAGCCAAACCATTTTACATTCCTATCAGTAATGTATGAGGTTTCTAGTTTTTCCAATTTTCTTCCAGTATTTTCTGTTATTTAAATTATAGCCATCTGGTTTTGGTCCAAGATGGCCGAATAGGAACAGCTCCAGTCTACAGCACCCAGCGTGAGTGATGCAGAAGATGGGTGATTTCTGTATTTCCAACTGAGGTACTGGGTTCATCTCACTGGGGCTTGTCAGATGGTGGGTGCAGGACAGTGGGTGCAGCCCAGTGAGCGTGAGCCTAAGCAGGGTGAGGCATCGTCTCACCCGGGAAGTGCAAGGGGTCAGGGAATTCCCTTTCCTAGCTAAGGGAAGCTGTGACAGATGGCACCTGGAAAATCGGGTCACTCCCACCCTAATACTGCACTTTTCCAGTGGTCTTAGCAAACGGAACACCAGGAGATTATATCCCGCACCTGGCTCGGAGAGTCCCATGCCCACGGAGCCTCGCTTATTGCTAGCACAGCAGTCTGAGATCCAACTGCAAGGCAGCAGCGAGGCTGGGGGAGGAGCGCCCACCATTGATGAGGCTTGAGTAGGTAAACAAAGTGGCAGGGAAGCTCAAACTGGGTGGAGCCCACCGCAGCCCAAGGAGGCCTGCCTGCCTCTGTAGACTCCACCTCTGGGGGCAGGGCATAGCCAAACAAAAGGCAGCAGAAACCTCTGCAGACTTAAATGTCCCTGTCTGACAGCTTTGAAGAGAGTAGTGGTTCTCCCAGCATGGAGTTTGAGATCTGAGAACAAACACACTACCTCTTCAAGAGGGTCCCTGACCCCTGAGTAGCCTACCTGGGAGGCATCCCCTAGTAGGGGCAGACTGATGCCTCACACGGCTGGGTACCCCTCTGTGACGAAGCTTCCAGAGGAACGATCAGGCAGCAACATTGGCTGTTCAGCAATATTTGCTGTTCTGCAGCTTCCGCTGCTGATATCCAGGCACACAGGGTCTGGAGTGGACCTCCAGCAAACTCCAACAGACCTGCAGCTGAGGGTCCTGTTAGAAGGAGAACTAACAAACAGAAAGGACATTCACACCAAAACCCCATCTGTATGTCACCATCATCAAAGACCAAAGGTAGATAAAACCACAAAGATGGGGAAAAAACAGAGCAGAAAAGCTGAAAATTCTAAAAATCAGAGCTCTTCTACCTCTCCAAAGGAACTCAGCTCCTCCCCAGCAACAGAACAAAGCTGGACAGAGAATGACTTTGAGGAGTTGAGAGAAGAAGGCTTTAGATGATCGGTAATAACAAACTGCTCTGAGCTAAAGGAGGATGTTCGAGCCCATTGTGAAGAAGCTAAAAATGTTGAAAAAAGGTTGGACGAATGGCTAACTAGAATAAACAGTGTAGAGAAGTCCTTAAATAACCTGACTGAGCTGAAAACCATGGCACGAGAACTACGTGATGCATGCACAAGGTTCAGTAGCCGATTTGAACAAGTGAAAGAAAGGGTATCAGTGATTGAAGATCAGATGAATGAAATGAAGTGATAAGAGAAGTTTAGAGAAAAAAGAGTAAAAAGAAACGAACGGAACGTCCAAGAAATATGGGACTATGTGAAAAGACCACATCTACGTCTGATTGGTGTACCTGAAAGTGACAGGGAGAATGGAACCGAGTTGGAAAACACTCTTCAGGATATTATCCAGGAGAATTTCCCCAACCTAGTGAGGCAGGCCAACATTCAAATTCAGGAAATACAGAGAACGCCACAAAGATACTCCTCGAGAAGAGCAATTCCAAGACACATAATTGTCAGATTCACCAAAGTTGAAATGAAGATAAAAATGTTAAGGGCAACCAGAGAGAAAGGTCGGGTTACCCACAAAGGGAAGCCCATCAGACTAACAGTGGATCTCTCAGCAGAAACTCTACAAGCCAGAAGAGAGTGGGGGCCAATATTCAACATGCTTAAAGAAAAGAATTTTCAACCCAGAATTTCTTATCCAGCCAAACTAAGCTTCATAAGTGAAGGAGAAATAAAATCCTTTACAGACAAGCAAATGCTGAGAGATTTTGTCACCACCAGGCCTGCCTTACAAGAGCTCCTGAAGGAAGCAATAAACATGGAAAGGAAAAACTGATACGAGCCCCTGCAAAAATATGCCAAATTGTAAAGACCATCCATGCTAGGAAGGAAGAAACTGCATCAACTAATGAGCAAAATAACCAGCTAACATCATAATGACAGGATCAAATTCACACATAACAATATTAACTTTAAATGTAAATGGGCTAAATGCTCCAATTAAAAGACACAGACTGGCAAATTGGATAAAGATTCAAGACCCATCAGTGTGCTGTATTCAGGAGACCCATCTCATGTGCAGAGACACACATAGCCTTAAAATGAAGGGATGGAGGAAGATCTACCAAGAAAATGGAAAAGAAAAAAAGTGGGGGTTGTAATCTTAGTCTCTGATAAAGCTGACTTTAAACCAACAAAGATCAAAAGAGACAAAGAAGGCTATTACATAATGGTAAAGGGATCAATTCAACAAGAAGAGCTAACTATCCTAAATATATATGCACCCAATACAGGAGCACTCAGATTCATAAAACAAATCCTTAGAGACCTACAAAAAGACTTAGACTCCCACACAATAATAATGGGAGACTTTAACACCTCACTGTCAACATTAGACAGATCAACTGGACAGAAAGTTAACAAGGATATCCAGGAATTGAACTCAGCTCTGCACCAAGTGGACCTAATAGACATCTACAGAACTCTCCACCCCAAATCAACAGAATATACATTCTTCTCAGCACCACATTGCACTTATTCCAAAATTGACCACATAGTTGGAAGTAAAGCACTCCTCAGCAAATGCAAAAGAACAGAAATTTTGACAAAGTGTCTCTTAGACCACAGTGCAATCAAACTAGAACTCAGGATTAAGAAACTCACTCAAAACCGCTCAACTACATGGAAGCTGAACAACCTGCTCCTGAATGACTGCTGGGTACATAACAAAATGAAGGCAGAAATAAAGATGTTCTTTGAAACCAACGAGAACAAAGACACAACATACCAGAATCTCTGGGACACATTCAAAGCAGTGTGTAGAGGGAAATATATAGCACTAAATGCCCACAAGAGAAAGCAGGAAAGATCTAAAATCAACACCCTAACATCACAATTAAAAGAATTACAGAAGCAAGAGCAAACACATTCAAAAGCTAGCAGAAGGCAAGACATAACTAAGAGCAGAACTGAAGGAGATAGAGACACAAAAAACCCTTCAAAAAATCAATGAATTTAGCAGCTGGTTTTTTTAAAAGATCAACAAAATTGCTAGACCACTAGCAAGACTAATAAAGAAGAAAAGAGAGAAGAATCAAATAGACACAATAAAAAATGATAAAGGGGATATCACCACCGATTCCACAGAAATAGAGACTACCATCAGAGAATACTATAAACACCTCTATACAAATAAACTAGAAAATCTAGAAGAAATGCATAAATTCCTGGACACATACACTCTCCCAAGACTAAACCAGGAAGAGGTTGAATCCCAAAATACACCAGTAACAGGCTCTGAAATTGAGGCAATAATCAATAGCCTAACCAACCAAAAAAAGTCCAGGACCAGACGATTCACAGCCGAATTCTGCCAGAGGTACAAGGAGGAGTTGGTACCATTCCTTTTGAAACTATTCCAATCAATAGAAAAAGAAGGAATCCTCCCTAACTCATTTTATGAGGCCAGCATCATCCTGATACCAAAGCCTGGCAGAGACACAACAAAAAAAGAGAATTTTAGACCAATGTCCCTGATGAACATTGATGCAAAAATCCTCAATAAAATACTGGCAAACCGAATCCAGCAGCACATCGAAAAGCTTATCCACCATGATCAAGTGGGCTTCATCCCTGGGATGCAAGGCTGGTTCAACATACGCAAATCAATAAACGTAATCCATCACATAAACAGAACCAATGACAAAAATCACATGATTATCTGAATAGATGCAGAAAAGGCCTTTGGCAAAATTCAACAGCCCTTCATGCTAAAAACTCTCAATAAATTAGGTATTGATGGGACGTATCTCAAAATAATAAGAGCTATCTGTGACAAACCCACAGCCAATATCATACTGAATGAGCAAAAACTGGAAGCATTCCCTTTGAAAACTGGCACAATCCAGGGATGCCCTCTCTCACCATTCCTATTCAACATAGTGTTGGAAGTTCTGGCCAGGGCAATCAGGCAGGAGAAAGAAATAAAGGGTATTCAATGAGGAAAAGAGGAAGTCAAATTGTCCCTGTTTGTAGATGACATGATTGTATATTTAGAAAACCCCATCGTCTCAGCCCAAAATCTCCTTAAGCTGATAAGCAATTTCAGCAAAGTCTCAGGATACAAAATCAATGTGCAAAAATCACAAGCATTCTTATACACCAATAACAGAGAAGCAGAGAGCCAACTCATGAGTGAACTCCCATTCACAGTTGCTACAAATAGAATAAAATACCTAGGAATAAACTTACAAGGGATGTGAAAGACTTCTTCAAGGAGAACTACAAACCAGTGCTCAACAAAATAAAAGAGGATACAAACAAATGGAAGAACCTTCCATGCTCATGGATAGGAAGAATAAATATCATGAAAATGGCCATACTGCCCAAGGTAATTTATTGATTCAATGCCATCCCCATCAAGCTACCAATGACTTTCTTCACAGAATTGGAAAAAACTACTTTGAAGTTCATATGAAACCAGAAAAGAGACCGCATTGCCAAGACAATCCTAAGCCGAAAGAACAAAGCTAGAGGCATCATGCTACCTGACTTCAAACTATACTACAAGGCTACAGTAACCAAAACAGCATGGTACTGGTACCAAAACAGAGATATAGACCAATGGAACAGAACGGAGCTCTCAGAAGTAATACCACACACCTACAACCATCTGATCTTTGACAAACCTGACAAAAACAGGAAATGGGGAATGGATTCCCTATTTAATAAATGGTGCTGGGAAAACTGGCTAGCCATATGTAGAAAGCTGAAGCTGGATTCCTTCCTTACACCTTATACAAAAGTTAATTCAAGATGAATTAAAGACTTAAATGTTAAACCTAAAACCATAAAAACCCTAGAAGAAAAGCTAGGCAATACCATTCAGGACATAGGCATGGGCAAGGACTTCATGACTAAAACACCAAAAGCAATGGCAACAAAAGCCAAAATTGACAAATGGGATCTAATTAAACTAAAGAGCTCCTGCACAGCAAAAGAAGCTACCATCAGAGCGAACAGGTAACCTACAGAATGGGAGAAAATTTTTGGAATCTACTCATCTGACAAAGGGCTAATATCCAGAATCTACAATGAACTCAAACAAATTTACAAGAAAAAAACAAACAACCCCATCCAAAAGTGGGTGAAGGATATGAACAGACACTTCTCAAAAGAAGACATTTATGCAGCCAACAGACACATGAAAAAATGCTCATCATCACTGGCCATCAGAGAAATGCAAATCAAAACCACAATGAGATACCATCTCACACCAGTTAGAATGGCAATCATTAAAAAGTCAGGAAACAACAGGTGCTAGAGAGGATGTGGAGAAATAGGAGCATTTTTACACTGTTGGAAGGACTGTAAACTAATTTAACCATTGTGGAAGACAGTGTGGCAATTCCTCAAGGATCTAAAACTAGAAATACGGTTTGAGCCAGCCATCCCATTACTGGGTATACACCCAAAGGATTATAAATCATGCTGCTATAAAGACACAGGCACACGTATGTTTATTGCGGCACTATTCACAATAGCAAAGACTTGGAACCAACCCAAATGTCCAACCATGATAGACTGGATTAAGAAAATGTGGCAGATATACACCATGGAATACTATGCAGCCATAAAAAAGGATGAGTTCATGTCCTTTGTAGGGACATGGATGAAGCTGGAAACCATCATTCTGAGCAAACTATTGCAAGGACAAAAAACCAAACACCGCATGTTCTCACTCATAGGTGGGAAATGAACAATGAGAACACTTGGACACAGGATGGGGAACATCACACACCGGGGCCTGTCGTGGGGTGGAGGGATGGGGGAGGGATAGCATTAACAGATATACCTAATGTAAATGATGAGTTGATGGGTGCAGCACACCAACATGGCACGTGTATACATATGTAACAAACCTTCACGTTGTGCATATGTACCCTAGAACTTAAAGTATAATAAAAAAAAGAAAAAAAATAAATTATAGCCATGTAGTGGGTGTGAAGGTATCTCTTCATGTTTTTAGTTTTCATTTCCCCAGTGACTAATAGTTTTGAGCATTATTTCGTACAGTTATTGGTCATTTACATATCTTTTTTAGACAAATGTCTAAGTCCTGTACTCATATTTTGAGTTGTCCTTTTATCGTATGATTTCTTTTTTTATTCTGGATACTAGAACGTGCTCAGATATATGATTTGTAAGTATTTTCTCCCATTCTTTAGGTTATCTTTTCATTTTCCTAATAAAGTCCTTTGATACACATGTTTTTTGTCTTTTAGTTTTAATTTTGTATTGTTACATAAAATTTATATATATTTATGGGGTACATGTGTTTTTTTTATGTGCATAGAATGAAATTATCAAGTCACTAGTTAGGCTATTCATCATCTTGAACATTGATCATTTCTATGTGTTAGGAATATTTCAAGATCTCTCTTCCAGCTATTTTAAAATATACAATACATTGTTGTTAACTGTAGTCACCCTACTCTGCTATCTAACTTTAGGACTTATTCCTTCTAACTGTATGTTTGTACCCATTAGTCAATCTGTCTTCCCTGCCACCCACACCCTGACACCCTTTCCAGCCTCTGATAACTATCCTAACTGTCATTCTACTCTCTACCTCCTTGAGATTAACTTTTTTTACTTTTATTTTTTAATTTTTTAGAATTTTTTTTTTTTTGAGATGAAGTCTCACTGTCTCACCCAGGCTGGAGTGCAGTGTGCAATCTCCACTCACTGCAACTTCCACCTCCCGGGTTCAAGTGATTCTCCTGCCTCAGCCTCCTGAGTAGCTGGGATTACAGGTGCCCGCTACGACACCTAGCTAATTTTTGTATTTTTAGTAGAGACAGGGTTTTGCCATGTTGGCCAGCCTGGTCTTGAACTCCTGACCTCAGGTGATCTGCCTGCCTCGGCCTCCCAAAGTACTGGGATTACAGGCGTGAGCCACCGTGCCTGGCCTATAGTTTTTTTTTTTTAATAGAGATGAGATCTCACTTTTTTATAGAGATTTTGCTCAGACTGGTCTTGAACTCCTGACCTCAAGCAATCCTCTCACCTCAGCCTTCCAAAGTGCTAGGATTACAGGCATGAGCCACCATGCCCAGCCGAGATTAACTTTTTTAGCTCTCACATACGAGTGAGAACGTGCGATATTTGTCTTTTTGTGCCTGGCTTATTTTACTTAACATAATGACCTCTAGTTCCATTCATATTGCTGCAAATGACAGCATTTCACTCTTTTTTTTATGGCCAAGTAGTATTCCATTGTGTATATATAACCCACTTTCTTTATTCATTTGTTGATGGACACCTAGGTTGATTACATACCTTTGCTATTGTGAATAGTGTTGTAATAAGTTTTTAATTTCTATGAAGTTGTTTGTTTGTTTGTTTGTTTGTTTATTTATGCTTGTGCTTTTGCTATCTGAGAATCCATTGCCAAATCTAAGGTCATGAAGATTTTTGGATTTTTTTTGAGACAGGGTCTTGCTGTATTGCTGAGGCTGGAGTGCAGTGGCATGATCTCAGCTCACTGAAGTCTCAACCTCCTGGGCCCAAGCCGTCCTTTCCACTTTAGCCTCCCAAGTAGCTGGGACCATAAGTGTGCCTCACCACACCCGGCTAATTTAATTTTTTTGTAGAGACCAGGTTTGACTATGTTGCCCAGACTATAAAGATTTACCCCTATGTTTTCTTCTAAGAGTTTTATGGTTTTTAGCTCATATATTTAGGTCATTGATCCATTTAGAATTTATTTTTTTATATGATATGAGGTATGGGATCCAAATTTATTCTTTTGCCTATTTATATCCAATTGTCTCAGCATCATTTAATGAAAAGATGAATCTTTTCCATTGAGTGGTGATGGCACCATTGTCAAAAATAAATTGACCACCCATTCATGAGTTTATTTCTGGACTGTCAGTTCCTTTCTGTGGATCTATATGAATCTATATGTGTATCCTTTTGCTGGTACCACATTGTTTTGATTATTGTAGCTTTTTTTTTTTTTTGAGACAGAGTCTGGCTCTGTCACCTGGCTGAATCTTTGCTTACTGTAACCTCTGCCTCCCAGGCTCAAGCCATTCTCTCACCTTAGCCTCCCTTGTAGCTGGGTTTACAGGTGGCCACCACCACACTTGGCTAATTTTTGTTTTTTGTTTTTGTTTTGATAGAGACAGGGTTTTACTATGTTGCCCAGGCTGGTCTTGAACTTCTGTGCTCAAGCTGTCCACCTGTCTTGGCCTCCCAAAGCACTGGGATTACAGGCGTGAGCCACCATGCTCAGCTGATCACTGTAGCTTTGTAGTGAGTTTTGCAATTATGACATATGTCTTCCATCTTTATTCTTCTTTTTCAAGATTGTCATGTTAACGTTTTGATAAGTCTTTAGTAAAGAAAATTGTTTGGCTTAATTTTGTGTTTCTCACATGCTTCTGATGATGTAATTGCTTTTTTATATAATAGCTAAGAACATCCTGTGGGACTGGTATTCTGTGGAAACATTTTTTGAGAAGGGTGGGAAAAAAGTGACTATGTGGGGAATATTTTCTTTGCCTTATCTTATCACGTCAGCAATATATGTAGGAATAGTTTGAGTTAAACTCCCACTTCCCATTTACTTTTTCTGTTTAGTCGTGAAAGTCTTAATTCATTCTAGTGGTTTTTTGTTGTTGTCATTGTGAAAATATATACCTATATATTTTTAGCTGGGGTCTCGTTCCTCTTGCCTAGGTTGGAGTGCAGTAGCACCATGACAGCTCACTGCAGCCTTGATTTCCTGGGCTCAAGTGATCCTCCCACCTCAGCCTCCCAAGTTGCTGGGACTACAGGTGCACATCACCATGCCTGGCTAATTTTTGAATTTTTTTTGTAGAATTGGTGCTTCACCATGTTGCCCAGGCTGGCCTTGGACTCCTGGGCTCAAGTGATCTCCCTGAGTTGGCCTTCTGAAGTGTGGGGATTACAAGTGTGAGCCACTGTGCCTGGCCTAATTTTGTTAATTGGGTAAATAATGATACCATTGCCATACTACCCCCTTAACTTTAATAACTTTGCTTTTGTTGTTTAAAAAATGTTTCTCAATATGGAAAATTTCACACATACATGAAAGTAGAAAGAATATTATAGTGAACCAAGTGCCTATGATTTAGCTTCAACAGTTATCAGCTTATGACCAATCTTATTTTATGAACACTAACCCCCACCCCTAACTCCCAGTTTGATTATTTTAAACCATATCTAGACATTATATAGTTTCATCCCTGAACACTTTAGTATGTATTTTTTAAAAGATAAGGGTTTATTTTATTTATTAATTAAAAAAATTTACTTAGTTAATTCTTTTATAGAGATGCAGTTTTTCTCTGTTGCCCAGGCTGGTCTCAAACTCTTGGCCCCAAGCAGTCCTCTCACCTCAGCTTCCCAAAGTGACGGGGGCCACTGTGCCTGGCCCAAAGATTGGGGTTTAAAAAAATTCTAATCATTATCACACCTAAAAAGTAATAATAATTCCTTAGTTACATCAGATATCCAAATGTCCTCATTTCTTGGTTTTCAGAGTGTTTTGAGTCTTCAGACAAAACTGTGAATATTTACTAGTTTCACCTTTCAGCGGAATGCCTGTTATTTTTAAATACTCTAGTAGTATAAATTATAAATGTCAGATTTTATTCAAAGTATTATTTTATCCTTTGGATTTAAATTACCTTGAGACCCAAAAGGATCATATTTGGATTTATTGCTTTCTGTAAAAAAAAAAAACCAAAACTATTTTCTAGTATAATAGCTCATTAAGAAATATTTTCCATAGGGTTGTAGAATCTAAATAAAGCAAATAGTTCATTGTAAAAGAATATTTTGTGATTTTCATGTTTGCAAAACACAGAGTGATTATATCCTGAAGCAGGATTACTCCATGACTGTGAAGGCCATCAGAACCAGGTGCATCTACAAAGGCCTCTAGAGAAGAAGGGATGTTTGTGTTTATGCTCTGCACTATGATAGTCATTATGGGAATGATTTGCCCAGAAAGAAGTATAGTCATTTCTAAGTTATTCACAGACTGCTTGATTAGTTTGTGGATTATTCAGTTTTTATTTCTATTTCTTTTCATTGTGATCCATTACCATCTTTGTCTGTAAACAAAAAGAAATGGTGGGAGAGAAGGAAAGTCAGATTAATCAAGTTGAACATTAATAAAAACTTGGCTAAGGGGGTGGAGCCAAGATGGCCGAATAGGAACAGCTCCAGTCTATAGCTCCCAGCGTGAGCGACGCAGAAGACGGGTGATTTCAGCATTTCCAACTCAGGTACTGGGTTCATCTCACTGGGGAGTGTTGGAAAGTGGGTGCAGGACAGTGGGTGCAGTGCACTGAGCGTGAGCCGAAGCAGAGTGAAGGATATGAACAGATGAGTTCATGTCCTTTGTAGGGACATGGATGAAGCTGGAAACCATCATTCTGAGCAAACTATTGCAAGGACAAAAAACCAAACACCGCCTGTTCTCACTCTTAGGTGGGAATTGAACAATGAGAACACATGGACACAGGAAGGGGAACATCACACACCGGAGCCTGTTGTGGGGTCGGGGGAGCAGGGAGGGATAGCATTAGGAGATATACCTAATGTTAAATGACGAGTTAATGGGTGCAGCACACCAACATGGCACATGTATACCTATGTAACTAACCTGCACATTGTTCACATGCACCCTCAAACTTAAAGTATAAAAAAAAAAAACTTGGCTTAGGGTAAATGGTTTAGTAAATATAATGAATATTAATTTATTTTTTCGCCAAATTTCATCTAGGAAGGGAAATCAAATTAGTAATGCCTTTTTCTGTCCCTATTGAACTACCCCATTGACAGATAGGACTCTAGGCATGGCTTTTCTTTGCTACTGTTATGTTGAGACATGCTGGATGTTCCCATAGTTCTGTTTTTCTGTCCCGAACAGATTCTTGGTCATGACCGATTCCCTTTTTGGGACTAGTAATCCGCTACTTCCCAGGGGTGCATTTTCTGAACAAAAATTGTATTCAAAAATAAAGATCTTGACTTCTGCTTCTGTCCAGAAACTGACTCTTGCCTGAAAAACTGATAAATTAGACTTCATCATAATGAAAAGTTTTGGTTTGCAAGTGATACTGTTAAGAGAAGGAGAAGACAGGACGTAGACTGGGAGAAAACATTTGCAAATCATGTATCTAACAAAGGACTTGTTTTCAGATTGTATAATGAACTTTTAAAGCTCAGTAATACGAAAATAAACAGCTCAATTAAAAAATGGTGAAAATATTTGAACATATACTTCTTCAAAGAAGATACACAGTTGGCAAATAGGTACATGAAAAGATGCTCAGTGTCATTAGTCATTGGGGCAATGCAAATTAAAACTAAAATGAGATAACCACTACATGCCTATTTGATTGTCTATAAAACCTCAAGAAACCAAAAACAGAAAATGACCGTAGCAAGTGTTGGTGAGGATGTGGAACAATGGAAAATTTCAAAAATTGGTGTTAGTAATCTAAATTGGCACCATCGCTTTGGAAAACAGTGTGGCAGTTTCATAATATTCAATATGGCTGGGTGCGGTGGCTGACGCCTGTAATCCTAGCACTTTGGGAGGCCGAGGCGGGCAGATCACGAGGTCAGGAGATCGAGACCATCCTGGCTAGCACGGTGAAATCCCGTCTCTACTAAAAATATAAAAAATTAGCTGGGCGTGGTGGCCGGTACGTGTAGTAGTCCCAGCTACTTGGGAGGCTGAGGCAGGAGAATGGTATGAACCCGGGAGGTAGAGCTTGCAGTGAGCCTAGATGGCGCCACTGCATTCCAGCCTGGGTGACAGAGCGAGACTCCGTCTCAAAAAAAAAAAAAAACAAATCAATATGTACCTGTCATTTCACCCATTCATTCCATTCTTCACTATTTACCCCAGAGAAATGAAAGTGTGTGTCTCTACAAAGTCTTGCACACAAATGCTCATAGCAGCTTTATTTGTAATTGCCTAAACTGGAAACAAGTCAAATGTCCATCAGTAGGTGAACAGATAAACCAATTGTGGTCTATTAATAAAGTGGAACACTATTTAACAGTGAAAATGAATGAACTATTGATGCATGCAACCACATGGATGGGTCTCAAAATAATTATGTAAGGGGAAAGAAGCCTGGCAATAAAAAGCATAATATATGATTCAATTTATATACAACTCCAGAAAATGCAAACCTCTCTGTAGTGACAAAAAGCAGATTCGTGATTACTTGGGTATGTGGTGGGGTGGTGAGGGCTGGAGGAAGGCATTACCAAGAGACATAAGGAATCTTTTAAGAGTGATGGAAATGTTTCCTGTATTGATTGTGGCAGTGATTTAATGGATGTGTACGTGTTTGTGTGTGTGTGTGTATAAAAATTTATCAAAAAGTATATTTTCACTATGTGTAGGTTATTATATGTAAGTTATACCTCTATAAAGTGTAAAGAAAAAAAAGCAGGCTCTGGAAGCATTCTTCCTGAGCATGAATTTTACATTCCATTCTTGCAAAGAAAAAAAAAAATGAGGCTGCAAGTCCACTAATCTAAAGTGTTAATTATAATGCTGGACTGTAGTGATCCATATCTTCTTTAAATACCAATGTTTATGAATTTAAACTTTTAATTTGTTTTCAGGCAACTACTCTAAGAGTGAGGAAATT
Source organism: Homo sapiens (assembly GCF_000001405.40). Classification (NCBI taxonomy): domain Eukaryota; kingdom Metazoa; phylum Chordata; class Mammalia; order Primates; family Hominidae; genus Homo; species Homo sapiens. The sequence goes on from NC_000009.12 coordinate 15,657,153, forward strand.
AGAAGAAAACATTGAAGCAGAAAGAGCAGCGCATTTGGAATCAAAATTTAATTCTGAAATTATTCAGGTAAAATGTAAACAAATATTTTGGCCTGCATTTTCTTAATTTGTGTTATAACAGCTGGGAAAAACAGCACTGTGTTCAGAGAACGAAGGTGTGCATTGAGAATGGGTAACATATTGTTATGACACTCATTATTGTATATAAGGTTAGGATACAGTTGAGATATGCTACCTTAGTGGAGGAGTTGGCACACTATAGCCTACAGGCCAGGTCTCACCCACTGTCTGTTCTTGTGAAGTTTTGTCTTGTCCATAGCTACTTTTGTGGCAGAGTGGAGTAGTTGTGACAGAGAACTTACCTGGCAGTCTGCAAAGAAATTTGCAGATTGGAGTGTTCTTTTACGGCTGTGGGATGGATTTCTTTTTGAGAACGTTGAAAAAATGTGCATGTTATTTATTGAGTGCATATCCTATGCATATCACTGTATTAAGAGCTGAAGGTGTAAAGATGAATGAGCTCCTTTTGTAACTTACATTTTGTTGTCAGAGATACTATATATCTATCTCCAGATATATAGATGCTTACATAGAAGTACAAAATACTGAAATACAATGGGAATATAATAAAGAAAAGGATTAAATCTGGGAGGGGAATTAAATGGAGGCCTCCTAAGGAAATTATCCTTTTTGCTATGCTTTAGAGAATGAGAAGGAATTTCTAAGAGAAGTGAGAGCAGGGCATTTTATTAGGGGTTGGCACACTACTGCCCATGGGCCAAGTCTGACCTGCAGCCTTTTTCTGTAAAGTTTTATTAGAAGATAGCCATGCCCATTTGTTTACATATTGTTTATGGGTGCTTGTCGAGACAGACCTTATGGTCCACAAAAACTGAAATATTTACTCTGTGGCCCTTTACAGAAAATGTTTACTGACCACTGTTCTGAACAACTGCTTGGATAAAGCCACTAAATAAAATGTACTTGTTTATTTTTGAGGAATACTTGCAGTGTTGAGTGGTAGAGCTTAGGGAAAAGTTTGGAGATAATGGTGGGAAGGCATGATGAAGACTAATTATGGAAGTCCTTTTTCGTGCTAAGAAACTTAGACTTATTTTGAAAGCAATGGAAAGCCACTGCAGCTTTTGGGACAGACAGATATGAAATCTAAGTTTAGGAAAATAACTCTGGTGCCATATTGGTAGATAAAGGAAGGGAGTGAAGATAGGAGGCTGGGTGAAGAGATGATGAACACCTGAATCAAGACAACGACTGTAGCAATGGAAAAGAGGGCTCCTGTGGCAGAATAACAGTCCCTCAAAGATGTCCACATCTGCCCTTATCCTCAGAACCTGTGAATATGTTACCTTACATGGCAAATGGGACTTTGCAGATGTGATTTATTTGAGGATCTTGAGATGGGAGTTTGTCCCAGTTTATCTAGTTGAGACTGATGTAATCATAAGAGTCCTTATAACAGGGAGGCAGGAGGGTCACAGTCAGAGGCAGAGATGTGATGACAGAAGCAGAGGTCAGAGTAGGTCACCATGAACCCAGGAATGTGGGTGGCCTCCAGAAGTTAGAAAAGGCAAGACAAGATTTCTTCCCTAGAGTCTCCAGAAGGAATGGAGTCTTGCTGACACGTGACTTTAGCCCCAGAAGACCCATTTCAGAATTTTGACCTCCACAACTGTAAGATAATACATTTATGTTGTTTTAAATTGCCAATTTGTGGTAATTGGTAATAGCAGTGATTGGAAAGGTACAGGGGACAAACTGAGAATGCATGATTTTAGGTAACTAATTTGCAGTGTGAGGGGAGGGAAGGAGCAATAGAAGAGAACACCAAGGTTTGCAGTATGTGTGAAAGTGGGCAGATGCAGTTGACTGTCAAACTCTGAAGTCTGAAGAGAGACAATGGTAAGTTTTGAACATGTTGACTTTGAGGAGCAGTTTAAGAGGTTCATAGTGCCCTTTGAGGATATGGTCATGCAAAGTTACCTGAACAATGTACATTTACTCTTGACATCCTGCTTTTTGTGAACAGATCCTTTCTTTATATTCTCTCAAGCAACTGCCGGTAGCTTATCTTGGATCAGCCAGTTTCCCAGGTGTTAGGAAAGTTAAGGAAATTACATAGGAGGAGATTTGTTGGACCTGCTACTTTCTTGATTTTAATATTTTATAGACAGTTATGACTTTTCGCTTAAATGTTTTCTCAGCATTTGATAATATGCTTTAAAATCTAATAAATATGGTATTTGTTATGCTTCTGTTAAAGAGATTAACTTTAATGAAGATTGTATACCTATAATAGTATTTTTGTTTGCTTAAATCTAGGAAGGTAGAAAGTATCTTTATGAACTTAGATTCTCAGTATAAACTGTTAAGATGTTCTTATTTCATGTTATTTAGCTGGTCAGTTATTACATTTGAGCACTACTTTGTGAACAAATGTAATAGACTGTATGAAAATAAAATATATGCACTTATTTCCAGAAGAAAAAGTAGTTTTAAGCTTATTTGGCTTTAGCAAGTTTGAAAATCATCTCACTTTATTTGTGCTCTTGAATTTCATATCAAGTAGGATGGTGGGATTGCCAAAATCAGTAAATGAAAAGTAGCTATAAGCAGATAGATTAAAACTAGTTTAGACTAAAAAAGTTATTGCCTTGATTTAGGTGTTTATTATCTTTTCACCCAACCTCCTATCACCACTCCGTTACTTTATTTGCCAATGTTAGTTACCAGAATTATTTTTCTAAAACTTAGATTTGATATCTACATCAAAGGCTACTTATATTAAAAGCTACTGCTTTCAATATGTCTAAATTACTTAATTTAATTTACATTTTTAAAGACTTACACTTTTTTCCTATCTTGTTTTAATTAATGCAATTTATAGTGTTTTACCTTATTGTTTAAAGAACTCCCAATGTAAGATACAACTGTATTTGTAAAGATTTGGTATTAAAATTTATGTTTTTACTTTTGACTTTAATGAAATGTTCTTTTTACCTAAAAATTCTCAGATCCCTATATTTGAGCATGTCTGTTTGTTAAAGCAAACTTACATACTTTTCTTTAAGATCAGGTCACTAAAGTGGCATCAATAAGTAATAAGACTGAAGTTTTCTTTTTCTTTTCTTTTCTTTGTTTCCTTTTATGATTTCAGCTTTTATTTAGATTCCGGGGGTACATGTGTAGTTTGTTACCTGGGTATATTGCCTGATGCTGAGGTTTGGGGCATGATTGATTTTGTCACCCAGGTATTCAGCATAGCACCCAATTGTTAATTTTTCAACTCTTGCCCCCTTCCTGCCCTTTTCCCTCTAGTAGTCCCCAGTGTGTATTGCTGTCGTCTTTATGTCCACAAGTATCCAGTATTTAGCTTCTACTTATAAGTGAGAACATGTGGTATTTGGTTTTCTGTTCCTTTGTTAATTTGCTTAGGATAAGGGCTTCCAGCTGCATCCATGTTGTAGCATAGGACATGATTTTGTTCTTTTTTATGGCTGCGTAGTAATCCATGGTAAGTATGTACCACATTTTCTTTATCCAATCCATCATTGATTGATGAGCACCTGTGTTGATTCCATGTCTTTGCTATTGTGAATAGTGCTGTGATGAACATAAAAGTGCATGTGTTTTTTTGGTAGAATGATTTATTTTCTTTTGGATATATACCCAGTAATGGGGTTGCTGGATCAAATGGTAGTTCTGAGTTCTTTGAGAAATCTCCACTCCACTTTCCGCAGTGGCTGAACTAATTTACATTCCCACCAATAATATATAAACATTTCCTTTTCTCAGCAGCCTCACCAGCATCTTAACATGCTGTTTTTTTGCCGGGCGCGGGGGCTCACGCCTGTAATCCCAGCACTTTGGGAGGCCGAGGCGGGTGGATCATGAGGTCAGGAGATCGAGACCATCCTGGCTAACACGGGGAAACCCCATCCCTACTAAAAATACAAAAAATTAGCCGGGCGTCGTGGCGGGCGCCTGTAGTCCCAGCTACTCCGGAGGCTGAGGCAGGAGAATGGCGTGAACCAAGGAGGTGGAGGCTGCAGTGAGCAGAGATTGCACCACTGAAATCCAGCCTGGGCGACAGAGCGAGACTCCGTCTCAAAAAAAAAAAAAAAAAAAAAGTAACATGCTGTTTTTTGACTTTTTAGTAATAGGCTGAAGTTTTAAATTCATGAAAAAAATGTAATTTCAAAATTAGGTTTTTCATTGTAGTTGTGATACATCCCTGGGAATATATAGTTAATTACTATAAATAAGAAAATTATTACCTATTTTTTACTTATATGGTTTAAAATTAATATTTGATATCTCAGTGCTATGACTTAGAAAAAGTGAAAAGTTTATATTTGAATCATAAATCTATAAATATTTACAAGTATTTTCAATGAGGTACATCTACTACCTTTCGGTTTCAGAGCAGTTTAATGGAAAGTAGAGTACTAAGTAGCTATAACTAATCACCATCTTATAAACTACTGTTGAATATGTATTTGAAATTTGTTATTGTTTGTATATTTTGGCATAAAAATGAGAAAGCAGACTTAAAAGAGTTGACTCAAATTTGTTATTTTGTAGTCTATTTTTCTTTCAATTGATTGGTTTACCATTTGTGATTGAGTGTGCTTATTTTCTAAAAGAAGGTAGCAATGTAGACAAGAAGAAAATATTCCCCAGATTTACTGTTTGGCTTACAAACATTGGATTTAGACAAAATAACAAAGAAAAATAGAGTTTAAGAGGTACAATTAAAAAATTTAAATCGAGTTGTATCTACCTATTTTACTCCCTTAGTTTAGTATAAGAATAAACGTTTCATGCCAGGTGCAGTGGCTCACACCTGTTATCCCAGCACTTTGGGAGGCTGAGGTGGGCAGATCACTTGAGGCCAGGAGTTCCAGACCAGTCTGGCCAACGTGGCGAAACCCCGTCTCTGCTAAAAATACAAAAGTTACCTGGGTGTGGTGGCGCATGCCTGTAGTCCCAGCTACTCTGGAGGCTGAGGCATGAGAATTGCTTGAGCCTGGGAGGTGGAAGTTGCAGTGAGCCGAGATCGTGCCACTGCACTCCAGCCTGGGTGACAGAGTGAGACTCTGTCCCCATCCCCCCTCCCCCCCAAAAAAGAATAAACATTTCAATTATTCCAGAAATTTTGGATAATTAAAAATAATTCTGGTGATTATCATTTTTATGGATTAATGTTGAAACATTTTCATAGTGTCTTAGGCTTCATTTCCTGGTGAGTTTATCTTTCTTAACTCAGGTTGTGTGTTGCCATTCCTGTGACGCTTGCCTCACACAGAGTTCCGTAACTTTTCTCTGAATTCAGGACCTTTGTGCATGCATCTGTCACAGGAAGCATATACCATATTATTTCGCAGTCTATGTTCTCTTAAAACCTATCAGCTCCTCAAGATCTAAGACTGTGTAGTTTCATTATTGTATGTATCTTGAGCATTAGGATATTGACTGGCATATATTAAGTACTTAATAAATATTGATTAAATAAACATTGCCAGTTGGACACGGTGGCTCACACCTGAAATCCCAGCACTTTGGGAGGCTGAGGTGGGCAAATCATTGGAGGTCAGGAGTTCGGGACCAGCCTGGCCAACATGGTGAAACCCCATCTCTACTAAAAAAAAAATACCAAAATTAGCTGGGTGTGGTGGCAGGCACCTGTAATCCCAGCTACTCAGGAGGCTGAGGCAGGGGAATCGCTTGAATCCAGGGGGCGGAGGTTGCAGTGAGCTGAGATTGCACCACTACACTCCAGCCTGGGGGACAACGCGAGACTTCGTCTCAACAACAACAACAACAACAACAACAACAACAACAACAACAACAAATTGCCTGATTAGATCCTTGTAGCCACCCCGCAAAGTAGATAGTCTAGTTGACATTATTATTATTCACTATTTATAGATGAGAAGCCTCAAATATTTGGAGTTTTAGTAATACGCCCAAAGTCGCATTAGTTAATTTTGTAGATCTGGGATTCAGCCTGAGTTTTGTTGGTTTGTTTGTTTTATTCTAATATCTGTTATGTTTGCACAGCGTCAAACCCAAGTTTTATGGTTCTAAAGCCCATTTTCTGTCTAATGTGAAGCATTTTTTTTCTATCCCCACCCCGTCTTTAAACTATTTTCTAAAAAGAAACTATTTTTCTTTTAAACTTTATTTTCTGAAAAGGTAAACTATCTACAGAGTTAAAAAATTAAAACAATATTAGATCAAGAGTTCTTGCTTTATTCTTGTCCCTCCCATTCCTCTACCCTCCTGCCTGCTTATTTTTATTCTTTTCACTTATTTACGCCAAATGTAGCATACTATATACGCTGATGTGGAACCTGCTATTTTCAACATATGTTAGCAATACATTGTTCTTGAACACTATGTGGAGAACTACATAGAGAATTTTCTTTTTTTTTCTTTTTTTTTTTTTTTGAGAGGGAGTATCGCTCTGTCACCCAGGCTGGAGTGCAGTGGCGCGATCTTGGCTCACTGCAAGCTCTGCCTCCCAGATTCATGCCATTCTCCTGCCTCAGCCTCCTGAGTAGCTGGGACTGCAGGCGCCCGCCACCACACCTGGCTAATTTTTTTGTACTTTTAGTAGAGATGGGGTTTCACCGTGTTAGCCAGGATGGTCTCGATCTCCTAACCTCATGATCCGCCTGCCTCGGCCTCCCAAAGTGCCGGGATTACATGCGTGAGCCACCGCGCCCGGCTGAGAATTTTCTTTTTAGTAGTTGTTTTGAAAAAAGAATAAACTCATGTATTTTACAGCAACATGGATGGAACTGGAGGCCATTATCTTAAGCGAAACAACTCAGAAACAGTCAAATACCACATGATCTGACTTAGAATTGGGAGCTAAATAATGTGTACATATGGACATAGAGTGTAGATTAATAGTCACTGGAGACTCAAAAGGGTGGGATGCTGGAAATGGGGTTGAGGGATGAGCTATTACTTAATGGGTACAGTGTAAACTATTGGGTGTTGGTTACACTAAAAATCCAGACTTCACCACTATGCAATATATCCAGGTAACAAAACTACACTTTTACACCTTAATTTATTTATTTTTGAGACAGGTTCTTGCTCTGTAACCCAGGCTGGGGTGCAGTGGTGCGATCTTGGCTCACTACAGCCTTGACTTCCCCAGCTCAAGTGATCTGCCCGCCTCTGTCCCCCAAGTAGCCGGCATTACAAACGCGTGACACCACGCCCAGCTGATTTTTGTTTTTTTTGTAGAGATGGGGTTTCACCATGTTTCCCAGGCTGGTCTCAATCTCTTGAGCTCAAATGATCTGCTCACCTTGGCCTCCCGGAGTGTTGGGATTACAGGCATGAGCCACTGTGCTTGGCCTGTAGGCCCTTAAATTTATACACACACACACACACACACACTCACACGAGTTGTTTTGTAGCCTTTTTACAGCTACATATAATTATTTTGTTGGAATCTCTTGTTTATTCATCCTATGGTTGGTGGACACAGGGAATATAGTTTTGTTTTTTTTTTTTTTTTTTTTTGAGACGGAGTTTCACTCTTGTTGCTCAGGCTGGAGTGCAATGGCGTGATCTCGGCTCACTGCAACCTCTGCCTCCCAGGTTCAAGTGATTCTCCTGCCTCAGCCTCCCTAGTGGCTGGGATTACAGGCACGCACCACCACGCCTGGCTCATTTTGTATGTTTTAGTAGAGACGGGGTTTCTCCATGTTGGTCAGGCTAGTCTCGAACTCCTGACCTCAGGTGATTTGCCCACCTTGGCCTGGGAGTATAGTTTTAAAATGTCTTTTTATGTAGAATTTCAAGTATATGCAAAAGTAAAATAGTAAAATGAACTTCCCACATACCCATCGCCCAGCTTCAATACTTTACTCACGTCAATGGTGTTTTATCTCTTACCTCCTGGAACTCTCCCAGTTTCAGACCTAAACATTTTTTTTTAAATTTTTTATTTTGAGGGAAGGTCTCACTGTTAATCAGGCTGGAGTGCAGTGGTGCAATCACAGCCCACGGCAGCTTCTGACTCCCTGGCTCAAACGATCCTCCCTCTTTAGCCTCCTGAGTAGCTGGGACTACAGGCGCCGGCTGCCTCCAGACTATTTTGAAGTAAATCCCAGATATCAAATAACGATAACCATAAATATTTCAGTCAAATAGTATTGTTTGACAATAAGAAGATCACTTTTCTATAGTAAGAAATCTCAGGAATAAAAAGATCTGTTAAATTTCTTAGGCTTATAAAGATACTCATGTAATAATGTTTCTTGTAAGAGAGGAAGAATACTTCCCTTTAGTTTTCAAAAACCAGGCCAGGAGCAGCGGCTCATGCCTGTAATCTCAGTGCTTTGGGAGGCTAAGGTGGGAGGATCACTTGAAGCTAACAGTTTAAGACCAGCCTGGGCAAGATAGCAAGGCCCTATCTCTACAAAAAATAAAACAATTAGCTGGGTGTGGTGGTGTGCACCTGTAGTCCCAGCTACTTGAGAAGCTGAGGTGGGAGGATCACTTGAGCCCAGGAATTCAAGGCTGCAGTGAGCTATGATCACACTACTGCACTTCAGCCTGGGTGACAAAGTGAGACCTTGTCTCTTAAAAAACCCAAACATTTAATTTATTATATTTTATAAAAGAAGTATCTGAATGGATTAGTAGGTAAAAATTTGAAACTTTGAAAATTTAGATTGAGTTGTATCTACATATCTATTTTTCTTTGATAGAATGGGTTATATTGTACCAGCCTATCTTTCATAACACAGTTAACTCTTCATTCTTCTACTCTTTCTCCTTTCATTTAAACATATTGAGAAAGGGAATAAACTGTCTTTTATTTATTTTTCTTTTTTAAGCCAAAGCAGAAAGAAAGAAGTGCTTGGATGAATGATAATCTGTTACTGACAAAGTATTCTACTCAATTTAAGATTGATGCTAGCATTTCTTAGCTTGATTTAATTACTTGTCTGTCGTCCGGTAGTTACGGATTCGAGACCTTGAAGGAGCTTTGCAAGTAGAGAAGGCCAGTCAAGCAGAAGCTGTTGCTGATTTGGAAATTATCAAGAATGAATTCAAAGAAGTTGAAAGTGCATATGAGCGAGAAAAGCATAATGCACAAGAGAGCTTTGCAAAACTAAATTTGTAAGTATTCTATTGTAAAATTCTCTAAATTAACATAAAGATTTTAAAAGAGCTATATAAAATATGAATGTATACTATGTATTTTAGATATAGCTCCCATTAATGTCAGTGGTAGACTGGGGCAAGTGACTTCATAAAACATAACTATACTTTCCTGTATAGGTAAAAATGGAAATGCTCTTTTGGATATTGAAGTATATTCCAAGTAGCCCAAGAAATTGAGTAATAAACTAGAAAGTAAATACATTAATGTAGTTTGTATTATATGAGTGATGTAACGCAATATCTTTAAGTATCAAGACCAGCTTGGGCAACATAGTGAGACTTTGTCTCTACAAAAAAAATAAAAAAATTAGCCAAGTATAGTGGTGTGCACCTGTAGTCCCAGCTACTCGAGAGGCTGAGGTGGGAGGATCACCTGAGCCCGGGAGTTCAAGGCTGAAGTGAGCTATGATCTAAGGCTAAGATCTGGGGCTAAGATTTCTAAGTCACATAAAATGGTCTATATGAAGATGGATAATATTTGACATTTTCTCAAACTACAGAAATAATAATAATAGCAGTAACACTACTACTAATAGTGGCCAACATGCATTGTGGCTCACTTCATACCTAGCATTGCAGTTTCATTTGTCTAACACCGTATGAGGAAGGTATTTTAAAAAATCTCTTTTACAGATGTGGAAATTGAGGCTAAACAAGAGTAAGGACATACAGCTCCTAAGTGGCAGAATTAGAATCTTTCTGACTCCTACTGATTTTAACCTTTTTCAGTTTAAAAGCCTTTCATCTTCAAAATTCTGTGAAATGATTTAAGAAGTTTATAATGCATTAATATGTTTCCAAAAATAAGTCAATAGTAGACATTTTAAACCATTTCCCCCCCCAGAGGGTGAAATTCATACTACCATTAGTATGTGGCATGATAATACATTGGCATATTAGAATTATATTTTAATCTTAGTTTCTATTTATGGCAAGTAGATAATGGTTTTCCATTTATAGCCACAATATAAAGATCCCTTTTAAAATGCTTTATTGGCTGGGCACGGTGGCTTACACCTGTAATCCCAGCACTTTGGGAGGCTGACGCGGGTAGATCACCTGAGTTCAGGAGTTCGAGACCAGCCTGGCTAACATGGTGAAACCCTGTCTCTACTAAAAATAAAAAAATTAGCCAGGTGTGGTGGCGGGCACCTGTAATCCCACCTACCTGGGAGGCTGAGGCAGAAGAATCACCTGAACCCGGGAGGCAGAGGTTGCAGTGAGCTGAGATCGCGCCATTGCACTCCAGCCTGGGCAACAGAGGGAGACTGCATCTCAAAAAAAAGAGAAAAGCTTCATTTATTATAAGAAGTGAGTTAACTTAAGTGAAAGTGTGATTTAAATAGCGGTAATTTTTGTGAGTGTGACAAAAATCACGAAGATTGCACCTGAAAGACTGAAAACATTAAAAACTCTTAAACTGTTTGTTTCTTTAATTAATAATGCTTATAATATTTTAAACCAATAATTCTTAACTGAATTTCCTTGCTTCCCTCTAGTATGACTTAAATGACATTCTGTGAATGTTATTCTAAGGACTTATTTATCCTTTATGTTCTTTGAACCATTGCTTGAATGCATACATTTAATACATTTGAATGTATTCAAATATTATTCAAATATGTATTCAAATATTATTCTGCATATAAATCTATTTGAAAGGCTTTTATGTAGAATATAGTGCAGATTTCTTTACTTTTGCTTTAAGGTAATGATTAGGACCTACAAGTAAAACTGTAAGAAGTCAGAATGAGCTCCCAATAATTAAAGCTTTCTAGCAATGAAATAATAGACATCTTTCAGGGAACTAGTGAGTTCCCTGCCTTGGGAAATTCAAAACACAGAGTGGATGATTCTCTGTCATGGATGTTGAAGAAGAGAGTCTTATAAAGATTGGACTGGAGGAATTTTAACCTACTTGCTAACACTTAAGCTCTGAGTCTAACCTATATACTTTCCTAATTGGACCCCAAAGCAGTTTTTTTCCTTAAGTTTTGTTTTGCTGTTATTTGTATTTTGGTACTTGAAAATTTTTACTCAAATTTAGTATTCCAGTAAGCACCAACTGACAATTCTAAACATTAGTTACATATTCCAACTAGGCACTAGCTAACTAACACTCCTAATGCTTTAACATAATGTCCCTTATATCTTCTTCATCTGTATATAACTGTCATAATAATACAAGTTAAATAATAATAAATAAATAATGACAAGTAATAACTAAACCCAATAATCACTGAAAATTTCTGTGACTTTCCTTTTCCATCCCATCTTCCTTTTCCGTGTATGTGAAATGAAAGCCACTTCCATCCCTACTATCTGTAGTATAAGAAGGAATGATGTGACTTGAGGGATCTACCTGTACTTCCATTTTCCATTTTCTGCCTGTACTTCTGACCATACTTCAGAATCATCTTTAAAAAACCTTTTTTAAAGATGATTCTGAATTTTTTAAATATTTTTTAAAGAAGATTCTGAATTTCTGAAAAAAATTCTGTTGTTTCAAAGTAGTTCTAAGTTTTGGTTAATGTATTCCAAATAGAGAATTGATAGATTTTAGGTCTTTAAGGTAAATAATACCTTTAACTTACAACTTTGAGAATGTGGAGTTTTGGAGCAGTATATTGTTTTACCTGTTGTGAACTGACGTAGCAGTTTATCATGCTTGAACCTGCCATTGGTTAAGGTTCTTTAAGCTTCTGTTTCTTGCCAGGCAGACCTCGGCAGGATCTCACTAAAGGCAGGAGAAAAAAAGCTGTGTGTATATTGCAGAGTTATAGTTTTGGTCCATAGTTTCATAACAGTAGACATTCCTACATGAAATTATTTTAGATGGAATGTATATATTCCATAATTCTATAATCAAAATTTCTTAGAATAAATTTTTTTCCATCTAAAACTTGCAGTATGAAACCAAAGCTTTTCAATAATCTTTTGTTTTCTTTTTAAACATTTTTTATTTTTAATTATGGGTAAATAATAGTTGTACATATTTATGGGGTATGTGTGATATTTTTATACAAGCATACAATGTGTGATGATCAAATCAGGGTAATTGGGCTATCCATTAACTCAGGCATTTATCATTTATTTATGTTAGGAACATTCCAATTCCACTTTTTTAGTTATTTTGAAATATGTGATAGATTATTGTTAACTATAGTTGCCCTGTTGTGCCACCAAACACTAGATCCTGTTCCTTCCATCTAACTGTATTTTTGTACCCATTAACCATCTGAATTTTCAAATATAGTAAAGTCTTCATTAGCTGTGACAACTGATTGCTGGGCAATAGTAGGGAGAAAGAGATCATAGTAATCCTTAGGTATAGTTGAAACATAAATTTAATTTGAAACATCATTAGTCAAATATATCATGCTGAATGGACTGCATCTAAATTTATTTCTTAGACTCAATATTTAGGAATTTATTTTTCTAAATATATCACCCAAAAGGATAAACATATCAACGGTATTGTAACTTAGTAGCATTATTTTTGTTTACATTATATGTAAAACATAGTCCAAAGATGGCTATTTGTTAAAATACCCTGTTATTGTCAAATTCTTAGCTGAAGTCTTAAAAAAAAAAAAAAAAAAAAAAGAATGGGACTCCAGTAGGAAAGAAGGGATCCTAGCTACAAACTTACTTCTCCTCTCTTCCCTTTCTTGCCTAAATCCTCCACCTTTTAAGTCCTGGCCCTTTCCCATCAGAATTCAGAGACAAGGCATCTCCTTAACCTGCCCTACTCTTGCTCCACTTACTCCTTCTTGGTTGGGAGTTTAGCAGCATGGTAGGAGCCAGCTTTTTTGTCCGCCAGAATGCTCAACAGCAAGGTGTGTTCCCCCATTTCAGTGGACACAGTTTGGCCTTTATTTATAAAATAGTACCAAAAAAAAAGCTGTGTGTGTATTGTGTGTGTAATGACAGATGCACTTAATTATCTATTTTTTGAGTAACAGCAGTTTTTAACTAAAATCTTGATTTTATCAAATTAATACATGTACACAGTCTAATGAATAAAATGGTACTGTTAGGCTCATGAAAAACAGCAGTTTCATGCCCCATTGCTCTCTACTATCAGTTTCTACTCCTTTGATGCATCTACTTTCAAATCTTATTGCTGGTTCTTCTGATATTTGATTTCATATTTCTAAATAACAGGCATAGTATGCCATTTTTTTCAGTTTCTACCTTTAAATATCTATTGGCTTCTACTTATATATCTCTATTATATGCTTCTCCCACACCACAGACACTCCTTCCCTCTTCCCATCCTTTCCATAGAGTTATATTTTTGGGTTCAGCATACTTTATTTTTTCTACAGTTTAATTTTTGTTAACCCATCTTTTTTTATAGCACATTTTATTGTGTTCTTTGTTATTTATTGTCTGTCTTATGTAACAAGAAACTTTGTTTTGTTTATTGCTGTCTTGTCAGTGCCTAGAAAGGTACATAAGAGCTGCTAAATAAAGATTTATGGAATTGGGCTGGATGTGGTGGCTTATACCTGTAATCCCAGCACTTTGGGAGGCTCTGGTGGGAGGATTGCTGGAGGCCGAGGTGGGGGAGGATTGCTTTTGGTGGCGCATGTTTGTAGTCCCAGCTACTTGGGAGGCTGAGGTATAAGGATTGCTTATGCTGAGTAGTTCGAGGCTGCAGTGAGCTATGATCATGCCACTGTACTTCAGTGTGGGCGACCAAGTGAGACGCTGTCTAAAAACCAAAACAAAACAGAAAATACTTGCAGAATCAACAGATGAGAATAGTTAATAATTGCCTCATTTTAAACTGTATTAGTTCATGTGATTAACCAATCACTTATTAAATTATTTGTAAACACTAACAGAACCGAAAGTCTCTCATGTTCCTACACCTCAGAGACGCTATCATTTTAAATTTCTTCTAAGAGATGTTCCTCCTGGACTCTTCTGTCTACTTTTTCCAGTCTGGAAAAGTTTTTTTTTTAAATTTATTTTTATCTTTATTTTTTGGCCTTAAGTTCTAGGATACATGTATACAACGTGCAGGTTTGTTACATAGGTATACATGTGCCACGTTGGTTTGCTGCATCCATCAACTCGCTTACATTAGGTCTTCACATTAGGTCTTTCTCCTAATGCTATCCCTCCCCCAGCCCCCCACCCCCTGCCAGGCCCCAGTGTGTGATGTTCCCTGCCCTGTGTACATGTGTTGTCATTGTTCAATTCCCACCTATGAGTGACAACATGCAGTGTTTGGTTTTCTGTCCTTGTGATAGTTTGCTCAGAATGATGGTTTCCAGCTTCATCCATGTCGCTGCAAAGGACGTGAGCTCATCCTTTTTTATGGCTGTATAGTATTCCATAGTGTATATGTGCCACATTTTCTTAACCCAGTCTATCATTGATGGACATTTGAGTTGGTTCCAAGTCTTTGTGAATAGTGCCGCAATAAACATACATGTGCATGTGTCTTTATAGCAGCATGATTTATAATCCTTTGGGTATATACCCAGTAATGGGATCGCTGCGTCAAGTGGTATTTCTAGTTCTAGATCCTTGAGGAATTGCCACACTGTCTTCCACAATGGTTGAACTAATTTACACTCCCAACAGTGTCAAAGCATTCCTATTTCTCCACATCCTCTCCAGCACCTGTTGTTTCCTGACTTTTTAATGATCGCCATTCTAACTGGTGTGAGATGGTATCTCATTGTGGTTTTGATTTGCATTTCTCTGATGACCAGTGATCATGAGCGTTTTTTCATATGTCTGTTGGCTGCATAAATATCTTCTTTTGAGTAGTGTCTGTTCATATCCTTTGCCCACTTTTTGATGGGGTTGTTTGTTTTTTTCTTGTAAATTTGTTTAAGTTCTTTGTAGATTCTGGATATTAGCCCTTTGTCAGATGGATAAATTGCAAAAATTTTCTCCCATTCTGTAAGTTGCCTGTTTACTCTGATGATACTTTCTTTTGCTGTGCAGAAGCTCTTTAGTTTAATTCAATCCCATTTTGTCCATTTTGACTTTTGTTGCCATTGCTTTTGGTGTTTTAGTCATGAAGTCTTTGCTCATGCCTATGTCCTGAATGGTTTTGCATAGGTTTTCTTCTAGGGTTTTTATGGTTTTAGGTCTTACATTTAAGTCTTTAATCCATCTTGAGTTAATTTTTGTATAAGGTGTAAGGAAGGGATCCAGTTTCAGCTTTCTGCATATGGCTAGCCAATTTCTGAACACCATTTATTAAATAGGGAATCCTTTCCCCGTTTCTTGTTTTTGTCAGGTTTGTTGAAGATCAGATGGTTGTAGATGTGTGGTGTTATTTCTGAGGCCTCTGTTCTGTTCCATTGGTCTATATATCTGTTTTGGTACCAGTACCATGCTGTTTTGGTTATTGTAGCCTTGTAGTATAGTTTAAAGTCAGATAGCGTGATGCCTCCAGCTTGCTTTGTTCTTTTTGCTTAGGATTGTCTTGGCAATGTGGGCTCTTTTTTGGTTCCATATGAACTTTAAAGTAGTTTTTTCCAGTTCTGTGAAGAAAGTCATTGGTAGCTTGATGGGGATGGCATTGAATCTATAAATTACCTTGGGCAGTATAGCCATTTTCATGATATTGATTCTTCCTATCCATGAGCATGTGATATTCTTCCATTTGTTTGTGTCCTCTTTTATTTCCTTGAGCAGTGGTTTGTAGTTCTCCTTGAAGAGGTCCTTCACATCCCTTGTAAGTTGTATTCCTAGGTATTTGATTCTCTTTGTAGCAATTATGAATGGGAGTTCACTCATGAATTGGCTGTCTGTCTGTTATTGGTGTATAAGAATGCTTGTGATTTTTGCACATTAATTTTGTATCCTGAGACTTTGCTGAAGTAGCTTATCAGTTTAAGGAGATTTTGGGCTGAGATGATGGGGTTTTCTAAATATACAATCATGTCATCTGCAAACAGGGATAATTTGACTTCCTCTTTTCCTAATTGAATACGCTTTATTTCTTTCTCTTGCGTGATTGCCCTGGCCAGAAGTTCCAACACTATGTTGAATTAAGTGAGAGAGGGTCTCCTTGTCTTGTGCTGGTTTTCAAAGGGAATGCTTCCAGTTTTTGCCCATTCAGTATGATATTGGCTGTGGGTTTGTCATATATAGCTCTTATTATTTTGAGATACGTTCCATCAATACCTAGTTCATTGAGAGTTTTTAGCATGAAGGGCTATTGAGTTCTGTCAAAGGCCTTTTATGCATCTATTGAGATAATCATGTGATTTTTGTTGTTGGTTCTGTTTATGTGATGGATTACATTTATTCATTTGCATATATTGAACCAGCTTTGCATCCCAGGGATGAAGCCAACTTGATCGTGGTGGATAAGCTTTTTGATGTGCTGCTGGATTCAGTTTGCCAGTATTTTAATGAGGATTTTCGCATCGATGTTCGTCAGTGATATTGGTCTAAAATTCTCTTTTTTTGTTGTGTCTCTGCCAGGCTTTGGCATCTGGATGATGCTGGCCTCATAAAATGAGTTAAGGAGGATTCCCTCTTTTTCTGTTGATTGAAATAGTTTCAGAATGAATGGTACCAGCTCCTCTTTGTACCTCTGGTAGTATTTGGCTGTGAATCTGTGCAGTGCTGGGCTTTTTTTTGGTTGAGAGGCTATTAATTTTTGCCTCAATTTCAGAACCTATTATTGGTCTATTCAGAGATTCAACTTCTTTCTGGTTTAGTCTTGGGAGGGTGTATGTGTCCAGGAATTTATCCATTTCTTCTAGATTTTCTAGTTTATTTGTATAGAGGTGTTTATAGGTGTTTATAGTATTCTCTGATAGTAGTTTGTATTTCTGTGGGATCGGTGGTGAGATCCCCTTTATCATTTTTTATTGTGTCTATTTGATTCTTCTCTCTTTTCTTGTTTATTAATATTGCTAGCAGTCTTATCTATTTTGTTGATCTTTTCAAAAAACGAGCTCCTGGATTCATTGACTTTTTGAAGGGTTTTTTGTGTCTCTATCTCCTTCAGTTCTGCTCTGATCTTATCTATTTCTTGCCTTCTGCTAGCTTTTGAATTTGATTGCTCTTGCTTCTGTAATTCTTTAATTGTGATGTTAGGGTGTCGATTGTAGATCTTTCTTGCTTTCTCTTGTGGGCATTTAGTGCTGTAAATTTCCCTCTACACACTTCCTTAACTATGTCCCAGAGATTCTGGTATGTTGTGTCTTTGTTCTCATTGGTCTCAAATAACATCTTTATTTCTGCCTTCATTTTGTTATTTACTGAGTAGTCATTTAGGAGCAGGTTGTTCAGTTTCCATGTAGTTGAGCAGTTTTGAGTGAGTTTCTTAATCCTGAGTTCTAGTTTGATTGCACTGTGGTCTGAGAGACAGTTTGTTATAATTTCTCATCTTTTACATTTGCTGAGGAGTGTTTTATTTCCAATTATGTGGTCAATTTTAGAATAAGTGCAACGTGGTGTTGAGAAGAATGTATATTCTGTTGATTTGGGGTGGAGAGTTCTGTAGATGTCTGTTAGGTCTGCTTGGTGCAGAGCTGAGTTCAAGTCCTGGATATCCTTGTTAACCTTCTGTCTCGTTGATCTGTCTAATATTGACAGTGGGGTTTTAAAGTCTCCCATTATTATTGTATGGGAGTCTAAGTCTCTTTGTAGGTCTCTAAGGACTTGCTTTATGAATCTGGGTGCTCCTGTATTGGGCGAATATATATTTAGGACAGTTAGTTTTTCTTGTTGAATTGATCCCTTTACCATTATGTAACGGCCTTCTTTGTCTCTTTTGATCTTTGTCAGTTTAAAGTCTGTTTTATCAGAGACTAGGATTGCAACTCCTGTTTTTTTTTTTTTTTTTTTTTGCTTTCCATTTGCTTGGTAGATCTTCCTCCATCCCTTTATTTTGAGCCTCTGTGTGTCTCTGCACGTGAGATGGGTCTCCTGTATACAGCACACTGATGGGTCTTGACTCTTTATGCAATTTGCCAGTCTGTGTCTTTTACTTGGGACATTTAGCCCATTTACATTTAAGGTTAATACTGTTATGTGTGAATCTGATCCTGTCATTATGATGTTAGCTGGTTATTTTGCCTGTTAATTGATGCAGTTTCTTCCTAGCCTTGATAGTCTTTACAATTTGGTATGTTTTTGCAGTGGCTGGTACCAGTTGTTCCTTTCCATGTTTAGTGCTTTCTTCAGGAGCTCTTGTAAGGCAGGCCTGGTGGTGACAAAATCTCTCAGCATTTGTTTGTCTGAAAAGGATTTTATTTCTCCTTCACTTATGAAGTTTAGTTTGGCTGGATATGAAATTCTGGGTTGAAAATTCTTTTCTTTAAGAATGTTGAATATTGGCCCTCACTCTCTTCTGGCTTGTAGGGTTTCTGCCAAGAGATCCGCTGTTAGTCTCATGGGCTTCCCTTGTTGGTGAACTGAACTTTCTCTCTGGCTGCCCTTAACATTTTTTCCTTCATTTCAATCTTGGTGAATCTGACAATCGTGCATCTTGGGATTGTTCTTTTCGAGGAGTATCTTTGTGGTGTTCTCTGTATTTCCTGAATTTGAATGTTGTCTTGTCTTGCTAGGTTGGAGAAGTTCTCCTGGATAATATCCTGAAGAGTGTTTTCTAACTTGGTTCCATTCTCCCCGTCACTTTCAGGTACACCAATCAAATGCAGGTTTGGTCTTTTCACATAGTCCCAGACTTCTTGGAGGCCTTGTTCATTTCTTTTTACTCTTTTTTTCTCTAATCATGTCTTCTCACTTCATTTCATTCATTTGATCTTCAGTCACTGATATCCTTTCTTCCACTTGATCGAATTGGCTATTGAAGCTTGTGCGTGCATCACGAAATTCTCGTGCTGTGTTTTTCAGCTGCATCAGGTCATTTAAGTTCTTCTCTACACTGCTTATTCTATTTAGCCGTTCGCCTGACCTTTTTGCAAGGTTTTTAGCTTCCTTGTGATGGGTTAGAACATGCTCCTTTAGCTCGGAGAAGTTTGTTATTACCGACCTTCTGAACCCTACTTCTGTCAACTCGTCAAACTCATTCTCCATCCGGTTTTGTTCTGTTGGTGGTGAGGAGCTGTGATCCTTAGTTGCAAATGCAGAAATCACCCATCTTCTGCGTTGATCTCTGTGGGAGCTGCAGACTGGAGCTGTTCCTATTTGGCCATCTTGGAAGCGCTCGAGCTGGACAAGTTGTTTTTTAGGTTCCCTGTACACAGTCACCCAAGGACTTCCCTTTAACATCATCCTTGGAATTCCCTCTAATTCTCTTGTATTTTGGATCTCTTTTTGATAATCTTGTGCCTTATTCTTTATTTGATTTTCTCCATTGGAAAGTAGCTATTTGAGAAATTATTTATCAGAGGAAAATTTAAAACTTGCATTCTGAAAGTTTTTGATCTTTATCCTTTTTCATAGTTCAGCTGGCCGTTCATTCAGTTTTAGTGTTTGAGAAGTCTGAAGTCAGTTGAATCCTGATCTTTTGTATGTAGTCCACGTTTTCCTCTGGAAACTTAACACAGAGTGGCCATCAAGTCTGGAATCTTTAGGTGATTATATATGAAATGGTTTACTTATGTTACATTATTATACATGATAAAATAATAATACGTGTGTTTCCATACTTGATGGGCACTCTGTAGAATCATTTTTTGTTCCCAGTGTTCTGAAATTTCATGATGATGGGCCTCACATGGATTGTTTTTCTTTCATTTTGCTAGGTTCTTGTCGAGCTCTTTCAATTTTAGAGACTGGAGTAATTAATTTTTGGGAAATTCTCATTGCTTTGTTTATTCTTTGCACCTTATTCATCTTTCTCTGGACTCCTTTATATGTTGGGACTCCTGGATTGATTTTCTTATCTTTTTCTACTTAGACTCATTTTTATAGTTTAGTTCTACTTTGAGAGATTTACATAAATGTAGCATCCAATCCTTTTACACGTGTTTATTTTAAATTCAAGCTACTCTGCCTTGGAATATTCCTAATCTAAAGGAGAATATACAAAAAAAGTTAACACTAGAATTGTCTGTGTTCCACCCCAGAGAAAATAATGTTGATTGCTCAGAGTAAGGTCATGTGCTACTCAAAAATTACCTCTTTATTTGATTATAGTAGTAATTTAGACTGCATTATACTGAGCCACCCTGTCTCCTGCAATATAATTTAATCAGGGGAAACAGGTCTACTACATTTTTAGGAAGATCTCAGATTTAAAACAGTGACAACATTTAAATTTGAATTAAAATTATTCCTTTGGTAGATTATCTATAGAAAATTTTAAATGAAAATACTTCGAAGCTACCTTTCATTATATGTTCATACAGAATGTAAACACAGTTTAATACTAACCTGAACAATATACATATATATTTTTTCTCCCATATATATGTGGTGTGTATTTATATACCTATATGTGTGTGTGTGTGTGTATATATACCCCATCTCATATATATACACACACACACGCGCACACACACAAATGGCTGTGTGTGTGTGTGTATGTATATATATATGTGTGTGTGTGTCATATATATATATATATATATATATATATATATATATATATATATATAAGAGATGTGGTCTCATTCTGTTACCTAGACTGGAGTGCAGTGGCACAATCATAGCTCACTGCAACCTTGAACTCCTGGGCTCAAGCAATCCTCCTGCCTCAGCCTCCTGAGTATCTGGGACTACAGACACACACCACTGTGCTCGGCTGATATTTAAATTGTTTTGTAGAGATCGAGTCTTGTTTTGTTGCCCAGGCTGGTCTTAAACTCCTGACTTCAAATGATCTTCCTGCTATGGACTGCCAAAGTGCTGGGATTACAGGTGTGAGCTGCTGCACCTGGCCTATCTGAGCAAAATTTAAATAGGAAGGCGAATCCTTTGAAAAGAAATTCGTATGTCTTCAAAGTGAATGTGAATTATTTTTGATTATTTTTCCTTTTGGATTTTCCATGCCACCACACTGGTTCTACTTGCATGGACATTCAGATGTGAGACATTTGTTCCATTTCTAATGTTGTATTTTAATTTTAAAGTTGTTTGGTACTACTGTTTTCTCAGTCTTGAGATAGTCTCTGAGCTAATTGAACTACGGTAGGTGGGTTTTGCTCGTCAAAAATGATGGTGAATCCAAATCAACAGTAACCAAATCTATTTTGCTTATAGCCTTGGGCATACTACAAATACCTACTATCAAAGGGAAAGTAATATTGCTTTGAAGTTTTTCATTTAAGAATATTCAGTACTTTTTGTTTGAAAAAGGAGTTAGCCTTAAAAAGTCTTTTAGCATGAACACATGATATGTAGTACATCTGCCATATGTATTAAAGGTGTGTAATATCAGTTGATGTAAGCATGTTTGAAAAACCTGCTCTGACACTTTAACTTTTCAGATTAGAAAAAGAGTATTTCTCCAAAAATAAGAAACTAAATGAAGACATCGAGGAACAGAAGAAAGTAATTATAGACCTTTCAAAGAGACTCCAGTATAATGAAAAAAGTTGCAGTGAATTACAGGAAGAACTAGTAATGGTAAGGATAAAAAAGAAAACCCTATGGAAATCACTTTATTAGGTCATATTGGATGTATAGCAGGGTTTTTCCTCACCACATTCCATGAGATAATAGTATGCAAGTTATTTTAGTGACATTGATAACAAAATTTCCAAAACTGGAAATGCTGATTACATCAAAGATACACATAATGAAACCTCTCTGATTTGGAATAATTGGGGGAAACTAACTGAACTAGTAAAAACTGAATTATAGAATTTTCAAAAATGTATTCAAATGTTTTTTTTTTATCGTGCATAAAACAGTATTACTTAGATTAAGGGTGATTAGGGTTTGTAATTAATACATCTGATGATTTCAAAGACTTCCTTTTGTAATTGTTTTGTACCTGATCACTCTCTCTCCATTCCCCAGTAATCTAGCTTTTACACCATCACCAAGTTTATCTTTGTAAAATATTGATCTGTTTTTGTTAACCTCTCTTTATTTAAAACTCATCAGCATCTCGATGTCTCCCTGTTGTTTTCAGAATAACGGCCAGCTTCTTGTTGTATAATCTCAGGACCTTTTCCTTTTGTCTTCATATTAACTTTTCTACCCTCTTATTTTGCCTTTGCCCTCTGTCTGTCTTGCTTTAGCCATATTAGAGTGCTCCTTGTTTTCTACACACATCTTTTCTTTTCTTTTTGAAGATGAGGTTTCACTCTGTTGCCCAGGCTAGAGTGCAGTGGTGCAACCCTAGCTCACTGAAATCTGCAGCTCCTGGGCTCAAGCAATCCTCTTGCCTCAGCCCCCCGAGTAGCTGAGACTGCAGATGTGCCACCTTGCTTGGCTAGTTTAAAAATTTTTTTACAGAGATGAGGTCTCGCTATGTTGGCCAGGCTGGCACCAAACAAGTGGCCTCAAGTGGTCCTCCTGTCTTGGCCTCCCAAAGTGCTGGGATTAAGGCATGAAGCACTGCATTGACCTAAACACATCTTTTCATATATTCTTATTTTTATTCAGGTTATTCATTTCTTTTACCTGCAATGACTAAAATGCTCCTTTTCTTTTCCATTAACAGATTTCTTTACATCCTGTGATGCCCAGCTCTGATATCTTGCAATCTGTGAAGCTTTCTGTGATTCTATCTTCTCCACTCTCATCCACCTTAAGTTAAAATTCTGTGCCTCCTCAACAGTATTTCTTTAGTACTTAGTTCAGCATCTTTATCATAATACTCACCGAAATTTGATGTGTATTATGTCTCCCAAGAGGATATGAATGCATTGAGGTTAACTTACTTCATTTTACATACCTAGATTCCACTATAGTACTTGGCTCAATAAACATTTGTTCGATGGATTTATTTGGTTGATGCAGAATCCTCTTCTCAGCAGTTTGCTGGGGACCCCACCATGGAGGGTGTAAAGTTTATGGTAATACTGTATTACTTCTTTGTTTTGTTCTATACATACATACTTTCCTCAGAGGCTTGACTACTTCACTTTCAGTTATATTCCAAAAGTTTTAGTGATTTAGTTATTGAGGACAATGGATATTATTTTCCTCAAAAAAGGTGGACCCTGGGTTATACTAGGAATTGGTCACCAAATCAGTGCTGCCCATATCGAAAGCTAATAATAGGATATAGTTAAAACTCTTCAGTGTTTTTTCAGATGATCCAATATTATATACATTTTCCATTTATCTAAAGATGTTTGCTGTGTTCTGATTCAGGGAACTGATATCATTGCTTGTTCTAGAAATCAGTTTGCAGTTTGGTATTTTGAATGTGATGTTTTAGAAAGTTAAGAGCCCTCTGTGTAGTCTACTGTAGCATCTGTTCACTGTAATGTTATCTTAAATTTCATGGGCTGTTTTAACTCTTACCTCCTAGTTCAGGAGGTTGAATCAGTAGTGGAGAAAAATATATCAGGGTCATTGAGCTGAGTACTGCATTTGGTTCGCTTGCTTATTAGATATTGTACTCAGTAGTTTGGAAAATAAGCCAGGGTTATAACTAAAAATGCAAGAGTTAAGACATAATCACCAATATAGGTTGCATGAATTTTCCTAATTCTGGTTTTCTAGCACTTTAGTGAGTAGATACAAAATAAAATGAGACTGGTTTAACTCACCACAGAGCATATTCATATTTAGTGATTAAAAAATTTTACTTGGTACCAACAGATTTTTTTTTCTAAAACATTTACAGAGTGATATATGGCCTAAAATAATGCAAGTGGCAGCTCACCAGCAACCTTTGTTTTCCTGTTGGGACCGTCTGCACTCGTTGTATTCATTGTATTAACCCATTAAACACTACTGTTTTGATAATGATGCTGAAAATTGTAGGCTAATTGTTTCTTCAAAGCTTGATGGATTGCTAAAAGCAGTTGCAGATCTGTAAATAATCTAATAGTTCCTTGCCGAATGGGATGTTCGAAAAACTTACTCAGGTTGCCAGATTAAGTGATGTACAGTTGATGTGGCTCAGACTGTTAATATGTTCCTCTTAATTTTTTCATCTCTCTTAAACTCATAGCTTTGCGTCTTATTTTCTTCCATCTTCCTCTTCTTTCTTCTTCCCTGTTAGCTTTCTTTTAACTTTTTCTGTTTTATGCTTATTAGAGCTGCTGTTCTCTATTTCTTTACCTGACCATAATATGAAATTTAAGACCTGTTTAATGAAAATGTCTTTAAATAGTAAGTACAATGTTTTTCTTTTTATAAATTACTATTCTGTCACTTTTCCTAAATATATTCTTTTCTTGTACATATTCCTTTATTGACTTTTCTCGGTAGATTAGTGGCCTTTGGGGGAAAGAAGGCTTGCAAAGTTTCTCTTGAAAGATGTTTCTCCCAAATTAAAATTTTAAGCCATAAGAAATGAAGTTTTTCTAGTTCTGCATTCACAGTCTGGCTGTTATTTGTGCTTTCAATTCATAATTGTTGTTGACTGAAGACAGAATGACTTATGAGGAAGATTTTCCCTTTTGCTTTTGGAAACGAAATTGTTTTAATGACATGCCATGATTTTACATACCCTAGTGTGTCTTTTCCACAATTATATTTCTTTTGAGCATAATAGTTTCAGTATTTTACAGACTATGGATGGGAAGCATAAATTACTAACAGGTAATTTTTCTTCCCTTTTGAGGTACCAGATTGTTTTCTAGTTTAGGTCATGTTCATGGTCATTATTTAAATCTTGGTCTTTATTTTCTCTGTTACATTGGAAAAGAAAGTTAAAGTCACTATCCTCTATAGGTTTACTCGTGAGATCAAGGTGTTATTAATAAGATACAAAGACTTGAGCAAATTTTGAGACTTACAAATAACTTTGTATGTGTTAGTACAGCATAGCCTTATGCTGTATCCTGGGCTAGATACAGCAGCAGAGCTGTTAGAGGCTTTAGAGATCATCTAGCCCAGGATACAGAAAGTCTTAATAAACCAGTTGGAAAGTGATAGCTCCCCTGTTTTGAGAGAGATATTATATAAATATAAAACATAATTTTGGAAAAGTCTAAACTGAGTATGTTGTCTTTTGGGGGTATTTAATAAATATAAACCAGCTAAATTTAATTGTACTTTATTTATTTTTAATTGACACAAAATAATTGTATTAATACATATTTATATGGTACACTGTGATGTTTTGATATATACAACATAAAGTGATCAGATGTGGGTAATTACTATCTCAAACATTTATCATTTCTTTTTATTCTAATTATACTTTTATATTAATGAAATTACTTCAATTTATAGATTTAAAAGATATAACTAATAAATTAATGGTATATAATTATTGTTTTGAATGTCATTGAATTAGTAGGTTTTCAACATAGGACATCCAAGGACTTAACAAATTTATTTTCATGTTTACATGAAGATGTGAACACAGAATATGAAACTTGACAGAATTTGACTATAAAAAGTTTTGATTGGAAATTGAGCTTTTAGTTTCAAAATCTATGAATTTAATAATGATTTAATCAACTACTAAATAAAACTGAATTTCTAGTTTAAGATGCTGACTGATCATGCTTATTAAAGTCCATCTGAGGCTCAACAGATCCAGCTGGGTCTTTTAGACATTACTGTGAGTTTTTATATCTGCTTCTCTTGAAGCAGGGGAGCTTTCATTTTCAAATTGGTATTATTAGAACTTGCTCTGTGCTTTCTTCAATGAAATTTTCTTAAGTCCGTCATTTCTTGAGATTTGTTTTCCTGCCACTCAGTAATATTTAGTTACAGCTCTAGGAGAGACTTTATATTGAAAAGGGAATTCTAGTTCTCAGGAGGTTTTGGTCAAAGAATGTTTTATTCTCTAAAGAACTTGTGATTGAAAATGGTCAAGTGTATATTTTTTCCCCAATACTTTTGGGGGTTTAACTGATTATATAATAGTAATGATTGCTAGCATTAAATATGATTTTGGAAAGTGCTTTGATGGTTATGCTTTGTGGTGAAGGTAATATTTCTTGATAATATTTTTACTTCCAATGAACTATTAGGTTTGCTTTAGAAGAACATGTTTCTGATTTTGTAGGAGGTTTTCAAAACTAATGGGCTAATAAATATTCTATTCTGATTTTTTACTAAAAAAAGATTGATTCTTGTTTTTCACCAAGAATAGGAGTAGTATTTATACATGGGCATTGTTTTTGCTAATATAAATATCACTTTCCGTTTCTCTTAGTGGCCCTTAAATTTTAGTTCTAGTAAATAATATTCATCGCGTAAGTGTCTTTGTGTATTTAAATATTCCTTTTAGGAGGCTGACTTCCTAAATTTATGGTATAGGCATAAAGCTTTTGCATTAAGCCTTTTGAAATTTATTTCTATGCAAATTAGTAAATTTTGAAAATCCAAATCTCATTTTTCACCTGGGAAAAATAAAATGGTATTGTGTATGTATGTGTGTGAGAGAGACAGAGAGCAAGAGATTGCGAGAGAGATGTTTATATGTTAAGGCCCATGTTCAGATTGAAAGGTAGCGTCTACTGAAAAATAAACTGATTGTCAAAGCTAAGTAAAGAAGGGTAACATTTCATTATGTGAGATAAGCAAGTGGGGTCATGGAATACTGACATCCGTGGAAGTGGCATAGGTAAACAAGGTGGTAGGGAACTAAGAGACTAGCTATCATTAATATGATTAGGGAAAAGCTGCTGATGGTGATGATAACAAAAGCTACTCAGACCTCCTTAAGCCCATACAAATGCATTGTGCATATAATGGTAACTAGGTACAAGATATGATGAAAAGGTGAGCTGTGAGGGTAAAAGTATGTAATGAAGATTATAGGCTTTGATGCTTCCTCGTTTTTACTTAGAATTTCTTCATAATTGCTTAACATATATTTAAATAAAAAACTTAAAAGTTTTACTTGAGTTCAAAAATGTTCAGAAATTATAAGAACTATATATTAGTTGCAAAAGTTCAACCTATGTTTAAAATGCTTATTTCATTAAAAAAACCCATTGACTAAAGGCTTTTTTTAAACCTGTTTGTTTTTTCTATTATTTTTAACCTTATTAAAATTGGCCTTCATGGTTTTTATTGTTATTTATGACTTGAGTCAACTTTTTCCATAGCAGATCAGCAAGACCCATTTACCAATTTTCAGATATAAATATTTATATATAGTTTTTATATGTTTCTTCAAGGCTCTCAATCGAAATTTTTATTTACGTGCCTTTCTATTTGTGGTACTCATGTTGAGTGAGCAAAAAAGTGAGCATGAGGTTTTGAAGGATCATAAAAAAGAGAAGATGATTATGAAACAAACAAAAAAGAATGACATGTTAGATTAAGCCAGAAATGCATTCAGTTCAGCAGTGTGAGAGGTATAGTATCCCAAGGTGCATATAAAGGTAGTTTGTTATCTCATTTTTCTTTCTGGTTAAAGATATTTTTTAACCAACATTGACTCCTCTTTCATAATACATTAAGATTTGTCAATCACAACATTTTCTGAACTTTCTTTGAATATTTTGATATTTTTAGTCCCCTGTTTACACTGGTTGTAGATTCATCACAGCATTTAAAGTAGTCCGTGGGTCATGTTGGGTGATGAGTAAATGTTCACCTAAACATCATCTGCTTAGCCAACATAGCATTAAGGGACCTTTAATCCTAGGGCAACAAATTCCATATGTGAGTTTTGTCTTGAGGCAAATAAGTGAGTCCCTTTATCTTACAATTCTTTTAAATTTCTGGGGATGTTTAGAATTATAGCGTTTGTTGAGTCAACAATTTATCATTAACCTAAACTTATTCTTTATGTCACATGACAAAATATGTTAATAAAAAATTAGAAACAATATTTTATCTTCAGTTAGTACTTTGTTTTCAGCTCAACAGTTTTGTTTATTTAGCTAATGGATTCTGTTTTCATTCTCAAATTCCTTGTATATTAAAAGGTTGTTAAGAGAACTACCAGCTTTGGAAACAAAATTTGAATATAAGCATAGACCAGATATGGTGGCTGACACCTATAATCCCAGCACTTTGAGAATCTGAAACGGGAGGACCATTGAGCCCAGGAGTTTGAGACCAGCCTGAGCAACAAACGTAGTGAGACTCCCATATCTACAAAAAAATTTAAAAAAAATGAGCTGTGCGTGGTGACGTGTGCCTGTAGTTCTAGCTACTTGGGAGGCTGAGATGGGAGGATCACTTGAGTCTGGGAGGTTGAGGCTGCAGTGAGCCATGATTACACCAGTGCATGCTAGCCTGGGGCACAAAGTGAGACCCTGTCTCAAAAAAAAAGATAAATGCAACCACAATCCAGCATTTAAAAAACAAAACAAAATCCTGACACTTTTACTGTGTGAATGAAGAGTGGAATCTTCATTAATAAAACTGAAACAATTTGTTAGGAAAAAAAACTTGTCAACTGTAAAACAAGTTAATAATGTAATTATTAAATTTAAGCTAACTTTCTACTGGCTATATTATTTGTAAGACTATTAGCCAGACATCTCTGTAGAATGATGTGAAAATTATAATATTAATAATTACAAATGTAATAGTAATTTTCAGGTAGATGAACATTAGCTTCTTTTTAAGCCTGATGAGTGAGTAAATCTCTTTTTTGCTCTTTGAAAAATTTTACACTATTCAATCTTTTCTGCCTAATTTGACCCTAATTTTGATCTCATATTGTAATAGTGTGGAAATATTAGCTCATATTTTAGTTAAGATTGAGCTCTATACTTGAAAGAGAATTATTTTTGAACTAGGAATTTAATTGAACCTTGATATTAAGCTCACTCCAAGTATGCAGTTTATCTGGCTTTCTATAGATATATTCCTGTAAATTTTTATACCTTGATATTAATGGGGACTTCAGTCAGCTGGCATAATAGAAACAACATAAATTTTGGAGGCATATTGATCTGGGTTTTAATCCCAGACCCTATCTCATTTTAGTTGTGTGACTTTAGTGATATTCTTCCTCTGGATCCATTTGCTCATGTGTAAAATGGTGCTAACAATCTTGGTCATGCAGGGTTTTTGATGATCATTAAAGATAATATATGTATCGGGAGAATGGCGTGAACCCGGGAGGCAGAGCTTGTAGTGAGCCGAGATCGCGCCACTGCACTCCAGCTTGGGCAACAGAGTGAGACTCCATCTAAAAAAATAAAAAAATAAAAAAAAGATAATATATGTATCAAAATAGCAGAGGATGGAAAAAATATACCATGCACCCAATAAAAAAAAACTGGAGTGGATATACTGATGATAGACAAAATAGACTTTAGAATAAAAATGTTACTAGAGATAAAGAGGGACATCTCATGTTGTTAAAAGGGTCAATCCACCAGAACGATCTAACATTTATAAACATGTGTACACCTAACAACAGACCTCCAAACTATTTGAAGCAAAACCTGACATAATTGAAGGGAGAAATAGACAACAATAATATTTCGGGGCTTCAGTACCCCACTTGCAGTAATGGGTAGAACAATGAGGAAGAATATCACCAAATAAATAGAAGACTCAACAGTACTGTAAACAAATTAGACCTTACAGATATCTATAGAACACCACACCCATTAGCAAAAGAAGATACATTCTTCTCAAGTGTACGTGAAATATTCTTGTGGATAGATCATATGCTAGGCCATGAAACAAGCCTCAATAAATTTAAAAGGATTGAAATCATACAAAGTGTCTTCTCTGACCATAATGAAATTAAATTAGAAATTAATAACAGAAGGCAACAGAGGAAACATTCACAAATATGTGAAAATTAGATAACACACTCCTAAATAACCAGCAAGTCTAAAAGAAATCACAAAGGAATTAGAAAACACTTTGAGATGAGTGAAATAAAAAGACAACATACCAAACTTTGTGGGATGCAGCTAACACTATGCTTAAGAGGGAAACTTACAACCATAGTCATCTATATTCAAAAAAAATACTGGGGCATGGTGGTCCATGCCTGTAGTTCCTAGCTACTTGGAAGGCTGAGGTGGGAGAAGTTTTTGAGTCCAAGAGTTTGAGGTCAGCCTGGGCAACACAGCGAGACCCCGTCTCTTAAAAAAAAAAAATCCTCAAATCAATAACCTAACATTTCACGGTAAGAAAAGAGAAAAAGAAGAGCAAACTAAACCCAAAACAAGTGGAAGAAAATAAACAGTAAAGACTAACAAGGAAATAAAAGAAATAGAGAATTTTAAAAAATAGAGGAAATCAGTGAAACCAAAAGTTGATTCTTTGAAGAGATAACTCAATTGATAACTTTAGCTACACTCATCAAAAAAGGAGAAGAGATTCAAATTACTGAAATCATGAACGAAAGGGGGATATAACTACTGACCACGCAGAAATAGAAATAATTGTAAGAGAATACTCTGAAAAACTATATGCCAACAAATTAGATAATTTAAAATGGACAACTTTCTAGAAAGACACAAATTACCAAAACTGGTTAAGAAGAAATATAAAATCCGTTGGGCGCAGTGGCTCGTGCCTGTAATCCTAACACTTGGGAGGCCAAGGTGGGCAGATCATGAGGTTAGGAGTTCACGACCAGCCTGGCCAACGTAGCGAAACCCCGTCTGTACTGAAAATACAAAAATTAGCTGGGCAAGGTGGCGCATGCCTGTAGTCCCAGCTACTTGGGAGGCTGAGGCAGGAGAATCGCTTGAACCTGGGAGGCGGAGGTTGTGGTGAGCTGAGATGGCGCCATTGCACTCCAGCCTGGGCAACAGAGCAAGACTCCATCTCAAAAAAAAAAAAAAAAAAAAAGAAAGAAAGAAATAGAAAATCAATGCAATAGCAGGATGTCTTAGAATATCAAAATACAAAATAAATCAAAAGAGATTGAATTAGTAATCAAAAAAACTCCCACAAAGAAAAGCCCAGGCCTAGATAGGTTCACTGGTAAATTTATTTAAATGTTTAAGAACAATTACCACCAATTCTTCATAAATTCTTTCAAAAATAGAAGAGGAGATAACACTTCCCATATCATTCTGTGAAATCAGTATTATTACCTTGATACAAAAACCAAATATACTGAAAGAAAAGAAAACTACAGACTAGCCTCCCTTTTGAATGTAGATGCTAAAATTCTCAAAACTATACTAGCAAGCTGAATCCAGCAAGATATAAAAAAGATATTACACCATGATCAAGTGGGATTTATCTCAGGAATGTAATACTAGTTTAACACCTGAAAATCAGCTAATGTAATAAATGATGGAAGCCTAATGATTATCTCAATAGACACAGAAAAACATTTGATAAAATGCAGCATCCTTTTATGATAAAAATGCTCAACAAACTAAGAATACAAGGAAGCTTCCTCCTCAACCTCAAGAAGAGCATCTATAGAAAACCTACATCTGACATTACATTTAATGGTAAAAGACTGAATACTTTCACCATAAGATTAGGAATAATACAAGGATGTACACTCTCACCATGTCTGTTCAACATTTTACTGGAGGTTCTAGCCAGTGGTATTAGGCAAGAAAAAGAAATAAAAGGCATCAGTTTTGGAAAGGTAGAAGTAAATTATCTATTTGCAGTTGACATAATCCTGTATATATTAGAAAATCCTAAGGAATCCACACATGCAGAGAAAATTATTAGAGCTAATAAAGTAGTTTAGCAGAGTTGTAGGATACAATACAATATCCATTTAGGAAAGCAGTTGTATTTCTGTAACTAGCAATGAGCATTCCAAAAATAAAATTAAGGAAACAATTCTATTGACAATAAAATAATAAAGAATATAATACTTAGGAATAATTTGACAAAAGAAGCATAAAACTTGTCTGCTGAAAACTGCAATTTATCATGGAAAGAAATTAAACAAGGTCGAAATAAATGGAAAAATATCTCATGTTCATGTAATAGTTAATACTGATGTTAGTACTCCCCAGATTGATGGTTTAATGCAATCTCCATCAAAATCTCAGTTGACTTTTTGGAAGACAGCTATGCTTACCACTGTACCACCAATGAACTTTTAGTTGTCTTTTTGCAGAAATTGACAAGCAGATCCTAAAACACATATGGAAATATAAGGAGGCCCAGCACAGTGGCTCATGCCTGTAATCCTAGCACTTTGGGAAGCCGAGGCGGGCAGATCACTTGAGGTCTGGAGTTCGAGACCAGCCTGGCCAACATGGTGAAACCCCGTCTCTACTAAAAATATAAAAATTTGCCAGGTGTGATGGCGCGTATCTGTAGTTCCAGCTATTCAGGAGGCTGAGGCATGAGAATCACTTGAATCCAGGAGCCAGAGGTTGCAGTGAGCCAAGATCACACTACTGCACTCTAGCCTGGGTGACAGAGTAAGACTCAGTCTCAAAAGAAATATAAGGGACTATGAATAGCCAAAATAATCTTGAGAAAGAACCATAAAGTTGGAGTAGTAACACGTTCCAATTTTAAAGCTAACTACAAAGCTACAGTAGTCAAGATAGTATGGTACTAGCATAATGATTTACATGTATATCAATGGACCAGAATTGAGAATCTAGAAAAAAATCCTTCATGATTATGTTTAGTTGATTTTCAAAAAGGGTGTTAAGTCAATTCAGTGGGGGAAAGAATAATATTTTTCAACAAATGGTGCTGAGAGAACTGGCTATCCACATCCAAACACCAAAGAATGAATTTACCTCAGCCTGGGCGACAGAGGGAAACTCCATCTCAAAACAACAAAAACAAAAAGAAATGAGAATGGTGATTCTTTAGGCCTGGGGATAGTGGTGGGAGAATGGGGAGTGAGAGCCAGTGGGTGTGGCACATCTTTTAGTAGGGACAACACTGTTCTAAATCTAGATTGTGGATATGCTTGTACAACCTCGTGAAAATACTAAAAACATTAAACACTTTAATTGGGTGAGCTGTATGTTATGTCAATTATGTCTCAGTCAAGTTTAAAAAAAATATAAAGTTACCACAATTAAGAGTTTGGTACTGACAAAATAATGAAGAAAGCAATGAAACAGTAAGGAGTTCAAAAATGGCTATCAGTATGTATGAGAATTTAGTATATGATAATGTTTGTATGCCAAATCAATGTTTAGAGATAGATTATCTCACAAATAGTTTTTAGACAACTTGTTATGTTATAATGATAAGTAATATGACTAAAATTTACTAAACAAATTTTAGATTGATCAAAGAGCCATAAAAGAAGAAAATGAAAAAGCACTGGAAGAAAAATGGAATTGTTTTGTCATCTTGGAGTAAAAGGAAAATATGACATAAAAATCAGAAGTCCTAAAGCATACTATTGATTTGCACACTTGATCACTTGAAAAATATAATTTTGTTTTAAGAATATATTATAGTCAGATGGCAAATAGAAATGAGAAAAAATGATTTGCAACATGTAACAAAAAGAGATTGCTTTTATAATTTATGGAGCGCTTTTATAAACCACTAAGGAAGAAATGAATGATATAATATAAAAATGGGCACATGATATGAACAGGCAATGCACAGAAAAAAATACAGATGGCTAGTGAACATGAAAGGATGCTAATCTTAATTAAAATGAAGTAAATGCACATTAAATAAGTTGATAATGCCTACTATTGGATAGATATTGGCAAATGGATGCTCATACCGTTCATGGTAGTGTACATTGGTATAACTGATTAGAGAGTAATTTGTTAACAATTGTCTGAAAACAGTGTGTTTCCTTTTGCCTCATTAAATCTATTTCTAGGAATTTATTGAGTAGATATACTTAACGTACATGCAAAATATAAAAAGAACATATGTAAGAATGTATATTGTAGTGTCGTCACTAATAGCAAAAAAAACTGCCAGAAACCTAAAAAATATTAACAGTAGGGGGGACTGGTTAAGTTAATTTATGGTACATCTGACCAATGGAGTACTATACAGCTAAAAAAGTTTCTGACGTGGAGAGATGTGAAACATACTATGAGTGGAAAAGAAAGTAATATAATAGTATGTATTTTATGATCCTATTTGAATTAAAAAATTATAGATAGATATTTCCTATAATTATAAAACACATTGTGAATAAAACTTACCTGTGAGAATTGAATTACCTTTTATTTTTCTCTATTTGTTTTTTTTTACTCTGAGCATAATATACTCAAAGAATTTAATAGAATATTTAAATATTTAATGATTAAAAATACCTGTAAATATATGTTTTTTATATATATATATATATATATATATGTACACATAAACTTGGTGCTTTATAAATACTGTGTTTTTTAAGGTAGACTTTGATTGCCATTAGCAAGAATATATTTTATTTAGACTTATTTATGTTGTATTGTATTTACCTTATTTTATTTTTGAGGCAAGGTCTTGCTCTGTCGCCCAGGCCGGAGTGCAGTGGCACAATGATGCTCACTGCAGCTTTGACTTTTCGGACTCAAGCAATCTTCCCACCTCAACCTGCTGAGTAACTGGGACCTACAGGCATGTGCCACCATGGCTGTCTGGTTTTTCATTTTTTTGTAGAGATGGGATCTCACTATGTTGCCCAGGCTCACCTTGAACTCCTGGGCTTGATCCTCTTGCCTTGGCCTCCCAAAGTGCTGGGATTACAAGAGTGAGCCATTGCACCCAGCCTTTCACTGACCTGTGAGTCTGTGCTTTGCTAATTTCCAGAAGTCTCTATCTGGACTTCTTGAGTATTTTATAACACAGCAACAACTTGCATGTATATCTGCTATGGAAAAGTGATTTTTTGGTCAGGTGTGGTGGCTCACGCCTGTAATCTCAACGCTTTGGGAGACCAAGGTGGGTGGATCACTTGAGGCCAGGAGTTCGAGACCAGCTTGGCCAATATGGTGAAACCCTGTCTCTACCAAAAACACAAAAATTAGCTGGGCATGGGCACACACCTGTAGTCTCAGCTCTCAGGAGGCTGAGGCATGAGAATCACTTGAACCCAGGTGGTGGAGGTTGCACTGAGCCGAGATTGTTCTACAACCTGGATGATGGAGCAAGACTCTGTCTCTTCAAAAAAAAAAAAGACAAGTCATTTTTTGTTTGTTGGCTTATTTACTTTTTACTCTTTTTTAAAAATCTAACTTTTTGATGATAGAAAAAGGTTCTACAATGAAAAATGAAATCTCTCTCTTAATCATCCAGATTCTCTTCTCAGAGACAACCATCATTACTACTTTTTTTTTTTTTTTGAGACAGAGTCTCACTCTTTTTCCCAGGCTGGAGTGCAGTGGCGCGATGTCGGCTCACTGCAAGCTCCGCCCCCTGGGTTCACGCCATTCTCCTGCCTCAGCCTCCCAAGTAGCTGGGACTACAGGCGCCCGCCACCATGCCCAGCTAATTTTTTGTATATTTAGTAGAGACGGGGTTTCACTGTGTTAGCCCGTATGATGTGGATCTCCTGACCTCGTGATCCACGCGCCTCGGCCTCCCAAAGTGCTGGGATTACAGGCGTGAGCCACAGCTCCCGGCCATAGTTACTCCTTTTAAAAATGATTCTAGGCCGGGCATGGTGGCTCACCCCTGTAATCCCAGCACTTTGGGAGGCCGAGACGGGTGGATCACTTGAGGTCAGGAGTTCAAGACCAGCCTGGTCAACATGGTGAAACCCCTTCTCTACTAGAAATACAAAAATTAGTCGGGTGTGGTCGTGGGCACCTGTACTCCCAGCTACTTGGGAAGCTGAGGCAGGAGAATCGCTTGAACCTGGGAGGCGGAGGTTGCAATGAGCTGAGATCATGCCACTGCACTCCCGCCTGGATGACAGAGCGAGACTCTGTCTCAAAACAAAACAAAACAAAACACCAAAAAAACAGATGCTGTGTAGAAATTCTCTCTGCGTTTACAAATAGGTACACACAGACACACATGCACACACACACTTCACACATATGGCAGTATATTAAACATACTGTCAACCCACTTCCCTTTTTGTTTTTAGCTGAACAAGATAACTTAGATATGTTTTCATTGATGAAGGGCATCCTCCTAAAGTCTGTGTGGATGAATCCTAATTGATTTTTCTGTTGATAACATGCTATAATTAACTAAACTACTTAACACTTATTTTAGAAACTAGGTGTTGCCTAGGGGAAACACTGGGGATACACTGGTGAGGACAAAAAAAAAAAACAGACATTTACTCCCTTCATGGAGCTTAAATTCTATGAGATGGGCACATTAATAAAAGACCAACTCAAATAAAAGTGAATCATAATTGTGATAAGTGCTGAGATGAATGTGATAGAGAGTTGATATAGTCAGGGAGGTAAAGAACAGTTTTTCTGGGGAAGTGATAGTTGAGCTGACATGTAAACAAACATCAATTAATTTTACATATTTTAAGGATGTAAGTTTGTCTTATAATATCTATTCTTCCATTTTTTCTGTATCTATAAACATACCTTTAACATCAATCTTTAAATGTGCTTAAGTTTCTCATATATTAAATAAAAACAAAACTCTTCTCTGACCCTTCCCTCCTTTCCAACTACTGCCCTTTATCTCACCTTCCTTCTTACCAAGAGAGTTGTCTAAACTTCCTGTTTCTATTTACTCATCTCTCACTCAAGAAAAAAAATTCAGGCTTACTCCTTCTTTAACCTATTCCAGTCTGTGTTATAATTATTATAACACAGTGAAACATCTCACCAAGGTCACCAATGACTTCCAAACCCAGGAGACACTTTTTAGTCTCCATTTTGCTTCAATTGGCATGATTGACAACTCTCTTACTGAACTTCTTGAAATGTTCCCACATCTTGTATCCCCTTCTGTTTTTCTTCTTCTTTTTTTAGTTTTGTTTGCTGACTTCTTTTCTAACTATTAAATTGCTGGAGTTCCATAAGACTTGTCCTAGGCTCTTTTCATTTCCCATCAAACACTTTAAGGCAAGTTTCAGACAGTATCTGTAGATGATTCCCAAACCTATACCTGACCCTGCTTCTAAGATTTACACCAATTATATTCAGCCACCTCCCATATTTTTCTACTTTATTTGTCATTTGTTCATTCACATATATTTATTTGGGACCTGTTATTTGACAGGCATTGTGCTGGTGTAGAGTGTCTTAGGTATCTCTAGTGGAATATGATTAAAATAGAATTCATGATTGATACCTCCTGCCAAAAAGAAGCAAGCAAGTAAACAAACAAAAATAGCCAAAACGAGACCCTCTCTACCATCATTATTCTGATTCAACTACTGAAATCCACCCAGTTCATCTAACTTAAATCTTGGGATCAGTCTCAACTCTTCTTTTTCTGCGTACTTCCCTTATCCTCATCCAATCCAATCCAGTTCAATCCAGTCCAATCAGTGTGGTCTAACCCAATGCAGTTTTACTAAAGTCTGGCCATTCTACCATCTTAGTCTCTGTCCAGTGCTTCCATTCCCTACCCCTTCTTCCCCTTTCACTGTCAATACCCTAGACCAAAGTACTGTCACTTGACTGCTGCAGTAACTTCAAATTGGTCTTAACTGTCTTCACTTTTGACTGCCATCTGGCAACTTGCCATATGACTGTAGTCATGATTTTTTAAGTGTTCCATAATTCCTCTGTCTCAGTTTTCTTGTCTCTAAAATTGGGATAATAATAGCCTTTCCATCATAGGGTTATTGTGAGGATAAAATGAATTACTATATATAAAACACTTAGAATAGTGCCAGGCACTAACTCCTCAGTAAATTGTTAATAAGACCTTGTACAGTGTTACATTAAGCCAAGTAAAAGGTATGATTAAGAGAGAAAGATGGTTTATTAATAATATATTTGAATGGAATCATTATCTTGTTTATACTTGTGTTATATATGTTCACACTAAAAATATGCAGCTCTTATAATACGTGACCTTATGTGTAATTTTTTTCTTAATTAAAAGGCTAAGAAGCACCAGGCCTTCCTAGTAGAGACATGTGAAAATAACGTGAAAGAATTGGAATCGATCTTGGACAGCTTTACTGTGTCGGGCCAGTGGACATCAGGTTAGTTGAAGGTATAAAATGACAGATGCATCTGTCAATGTTCCAAAGTCACTACATTTTGGGAATTCTGCAGATGCCTCTTGTAGTCCCTCATCTCAACATGTTTTGATTTGATGACATGATAAGAGCAGTTCTCACAGCAGTCAGTTGGCCTAGCTGGCTGAGAAAGGGTGACGGAATATGGACCTGCTGTTGTCCTCCCAGAACTTGATTTACAAGTGTTGGGGTGTGTGTGATTGGACAGACAAGGGCTCACTTGCTGTGTTCTGAATCCAACTGAGAAAAAAGTCCTTACAGTATACCTGCAAGGGGAACAGATGTTTCGATCAAACTGAGCCAAATTCTGAGGCAACCTTCAGCAACTTAAAGGTCATGCATTTAAAAGGTTATGTAGGACACAGGCTGTAGCATAGCGCATGTTCTATACTTTCCAAGCCGGTTTTCTAAGCTGGTTTTCATTTCCTACTACCATATACATATACTGTCCAGATAAGAATGCTTAGGTAGAATATTTTAGTTGTAGTTATTAGCCCACTTCATATGATAAAGAGCTATAAAATTATATATTAATTAGGTAGACATATTTTGAGAACTAGCAAAAGCAATGGCTGGCTAATGAATTCTGTTCACTATTTCTACTTTCTTAGTGTTTTGTGTTTATGTTATTATGTGTGCTATAGTAGCTTTGACATAAATACTTTTCTACCTCAGTTTTCTTTTGCCCTGCTTTCAGCCCTGAATTATTTGGTGGTCTTCTAACACAATTCTATTCTTCAAAAGGCACATAAAATTAAATTTCTCACTCTTAAAAATTGAGAAATTTAAGAAAACATTTTTAAAAGGAATCTAACAGCAATTTGGCAAATAAGTTCTTTAGAGAGCTCTTAAGTTCAGGAAGTTTTTGTCCTTGAAAACTTGGAAGGACCTCATCAAGGTTCATATTTTGCCTTGTGGATCTGTAGATTTCTCAGTTGGTAAGCTATTAGAAATGTAGTGTGCTTTGCTATTGTCTATGTTTTAAGTCTCTGTGTTTTTAGCTTTTATGAAATTAATGTGTAACTATCTTTGTTTTTATGTAAACTTTTCCCAAAAGCATTACTGTATCATAATCATAATTTGTTATCATGGACAAATCAAAAGATATAAAAGTGTCATAAAAGTAGGTGCAGGTATCCAGTTTCAATTATATTTGTTACAGCTTTGGAGGAGAAAATTTTCCTTTGCACTGGTACTTTTTTATTATTGAGATGTATCAGTGGTGTTTAATGGTGTTAGGATCTTTAAAAATTGTTAAATATTGTCGCAGTATAGCATATGCCTCAATATTATTTTAAATATTTCTTCAGAGTTGAATTAGAAAAGCTAAGAATAATGTGGTCATGTCTCGTTTGAGTTTTAAAGTAAAATAGTTGGTAACAAAGCAACTCAGAAGTTATTACTAAGCCTACAGAATTTTCTATTAAAATTTTAATTTTTATTCTTTTATTAACCATCCTTTTTTATCTTTATCTTCCTAATTTTCTGTATAGATGCATACTTTGTGTATTCCAGGGAATGTGTTCCTGCGAAAGGACTGTGCACTGAATTAGTGATTTTTGGATTGTTACAGAGTGGTAACATGTTTCCATTTTGTGCTGATTTTTCTCTCCTTTACACCCTTCTCCCCTTGCTGATCCATTCTCCTCTGTTCTGTTTTGCTGTGTGCCTTGGGAGGCTGCCTTCTGTGGATCTGGGCTCCTTTACCTTCTGGCTTCTGGTTAGGTTTGGACAGTAGGTGCACCCACAGGAGATTAAGGGAATGACAGAATAAAGCAGTCGAAGTGTTTATTTCCTCTGCTTCCTCTGCTCCACTGCATTTTTGGCAGTGGCTTCATTTTTCAGCAGCCACAGTGCCTGTTGGGTGGGCCCTCTTTCATGGCTGTGGCTCTTGTTAGACTATGGTGACATTCTCTCCACTTGACCTTTTAAGCTAAGACATAATATTAGTTTTCTACTCTTGCTTGCTTTTGGTGCCTCATCATACCTTTTGGGATCTGTTAACCTGTACACATTTCTGTAGTCTCGTCATTAAACTATCTTGCTGATGACCTCTTCTGAGTATTTAATTTACATCCTGATTGATTTACATAACTCCTTGGGATCTGGTTTCATTCCTCCTATTGGCTTGCATAAAACAGCTCTGTGCCTTTATAATGGACTCTGTTTCTGCTCAGATTGGGTTTTTGTTACATAAGCAAAAAAGTGAGTCACGAGTTTTTCGGCTTCCCAGTA
The DNA here is from genome assembly GCF_000001405.40 of Homo sapiens. NCBI lineage: Eukaryota > Metazoa > Chordata > Mammalia > Primates > Hominidae > Homo > Homo sapiens. The sequence goes on from NC_000009.12 coordinate 15,697,609, forward strand.
TGTTTGAATGTTATGTTTATACTATAGTGTAGTCCATTAAGTTGTGAGAGCATTATGTCAAAAAATCCACATACCTTAATTAAAAAATACATTATTGCCAAAAAATGCTGATGATCATCTGAGCCTTCAGTGAGTCATAACCTTTTTGCTGGTGGAGAGTCTTGCCTTGATGTTGATGGCTGCTGACTCATCAGGGTGGTGGTGGCTGAAGGTTGGGTTAGCTGTGGCAATTTCTTTTTTGTTACCTAAAAAATGGATACAGAATAATTTTACATACTTTCATACACATTTATGGGGTGCATGTGATATTTTGATACATGCATGAAATATGTGTAATCATCAAATCAGGGTATTTAAGATACCAGTCACCTTGAACATTTAGCATTTCTTTCTATTGGGAACATTTCAAATCTTCTGGCTATTTTGAAATATAAAACGTATTGTTGTTAACTGTAGAGTTCAATACTGTGCTATTGAACTCTAGAACTTATTTCTTCTAACTATATGTTTATACCCATTAATCTACCTCTCTTCAATACCATCCTCCACACTGCCACTAGTAACCACCATTCTACTCTCTACCTCTGTGAGATCTGCTTTTTTAGCTCTCATGTGTGAGTAAGAACATAAGGGCCAGGCGCGGTGGCTCACGCCTGTAATCCCAGCACTTTGGGAGGCCGAGGGGGGTGGATCACGAGGTCAGGAGATTGAGACCATCCTGGCTAACACGGTGAAACACCGTCTCTACTAAAAATACAAAAAATTAGCCAGGCGTGGTGGCGGGTGCCTGTAGTCCCAGCTACTCGGGAGGCTGAGGCAGGAGAATGGCATGAACCTGGGAGGCGGAGCTTGCAGTGAGCTGAGATCGTGCCACTGCACTCCAGCCTGGGCAACAGAGCAAGACCCCGTCTCAAAAAAAAAAAAAAAAAAAGGAACATAGGATATTTGTCTTTCAGTGCCTGGCTTATTTAACTTAACATAATGACCTCCAGTTTTATTTACGTTGCTACAAATGACAGGGTTTCATTCTTTTTTATGGCTGGATAGTATTCCATTATGTGTCTGTATGTGCGTGTATATGTATGTATATACACACACACATCATATACTCTTTCTTTTATTTTTTTAGAGACAGTGTGTTGCTGTGTTGCTCAGGATAGCCTAGAATTCCTGGGCTCAAACAATCCTCCTGCCTCAGCCTCCTAAATAGCTAGGACTTTAGGTATGGTAGCATCTGGCTTATACCACATTTTCTTTATCCATTTATCCATTGCTAGACACTTAGGTTGATTCTATATCTTGGTTATTGTGAATAATACTCTAGTTTATATGACAGTGCAGGTATCCCTTTGATATACTGATTTTCTTTCCTTTGGATAAATATCTGTAGTGGGATTGCTGGATCATATTGTGTCCGGAATTGGTGGTTACTTGGTCTCACTGACTTCAAGAATGAAGCCGTGGACCCTTGCGGTGAGCGTTAACAGTTCTTGAAGGCAGCGTGTCCAGAGTTTGTTCCTTCTGGTGTTCAGATGTGTTCGGAGTTTCTTCCTTCTGGTGGGTTCTTGGTCTCGCTGGTTCAGGAGTGAAGCTGCGGACCCTCGTGGTGAGTGTTACAGGTCTTAAGGTGGCGCGTCTGGAGTTGTTCGTTCCTCCCGGTGGGCTCGTGGGCTCGCTGGCTCAGGAGTGAAGCTGCAGACCTTCGCGGTGAGTGTTACAGCTCATAAAAGCAGTGTGGACCCAAAGAGTGAGCAGTAGCAAGATTTATTGCAAAGAGTGAAAGAACAAAGCTTCCACAGTGTGGAAGGGGACCCGAGCGGGTTGCCACTGCTGGCTTGGGCAGCCTCTTTTTATTCTCTTATCCGGCCCCACCCACGTCCTGCTGATTGGTAGAGCCAAGTGGTCTGTTTTGACAGGGCACTGATTGGTGCGTTTACTATCCCTGAGCTAGACACAAAGGTTCTCCACGTCCCCACCAGATTAGTTAGGTACAGAGTGTCGACACAAAGGTTCTCCAAGGCCCCACCAGAGTAGCTAGATACAGAGTGTCGATTGGTGAATTCACAAACACTGAGCTAGACACGGGGTACTGATTGGTGTGTTTACAAACCTTGAGCTAGATACAGAGTGCCGATTGGTGTATTTACAATCCCTGAGCTAGACATAAAGGTTCTCCAAGGTCCCACCAGAGTAGCCAGATACAGAGTGACGATTGGTGCATTTACAAACCCTGAGCTAGACACAGGGTGCTGATTGGTGTGTTTACACACCTTGAGCTAGATACAGAGTGCCGATTGGTGTATTTATATTCCCTGAGCTAGACATAAAGATTCTCCACGTCCCCACCAGACTCAGGAGCCCAACTGGCTTCACCCAGTGGATCCCGCACCCGGGCTGCAGGTGGAGCTGCCTGCCAGTCCCGTGCCGTGTGACCGCACTCCTCAGCCCTTGGGTGGTCGATGGGACTGGGTGCCGTGGAGCAGGGGGCAGTGCTCATCAGGGAGGCTCCGGTGCACAGGAGCCCATGGAGGGGGTGGGAGGCAGGCATGGCGGGCTGCAGGTGCTGAGCCCTGCCCCACGGGAAGGCAGCTAAGGCCCGGTGAGAAATCGAGCACAGCGCCGGTGGGCTGGCACTGCTGGGGGACCCCGTACACCCTCTGCAGCCGCTGGCCCGGGTGCTAAGCCCCTCATTGCCCGGGGCTGGCAGGGCCGGCCGGCTGCTCTGAGTGTGGGGCCCGCCAAGCCCACGCCCACCCGGAACTCCAGCTGGCCTGCAAGCGCTGCGCGCAGCCCCGGTTCCCACTCACGCCTCTCCCTCCACACCTCCCTGCAAGCTGAGGGAGTGGGCTGCGGCCTTGGCCAGCCCAGAAAGGGGCTCCCACAGTGCAGCGGTGGGCTGAAGGGCTCCTTAAGTGCCGCCAAGGTTCGAGCCCAGGCAGAGGAGGCGCCGAGAGCAAGCGAGGGCTGTGAGGACTGCCAGCACGCTGTCACCTCTCAATATGGTAGCTTTATTTTTAGTTTTCTTTTATTTATTTTTTTTATTTTGTATTTTTTTTTTAACGAGTTAGACTCTTGGGATGTTGCCCAGGCTAGTCTTAAACTCTTGGTCTCAAGCAGTCCTCCCACTTCATCCTCCTGAGTAGCTGGGACTGCAGGTGCATGCCACCATGCCTGGCTTATTTTTAGATTTTTTGAGAAATCTCCATACTATTTTCATAATAGCTGTACTAATTTACATTCCCACCAACAATGTATAAGAGTTCTCTTTTATCCACATCTTCCCCATTATTAGTTTTTTTTTTTGTCTTTTTGCTACTAGCCATTCTAACTGTGGTGAGATGATATCTCATTGTGCTTTTGATTTGCGTTTCCCTAATTTATGATTTGAGCATTTTAAAATATACTCATTGGCCATTAGTATGTCTTCTTTTGAGAAATGTCTACTTATGTCCTTTGCGTGCTTTTTACTGGGATCGTTTGGGTGTTTTTTTGCTGTTGAGTTGTTTGAGTTCCTTGTGTATTCTGGATATTAGTCCCTTGTTTGATGAATAGTTTGTAAATATTTTCTCCCATTCTACAGGTTGTCTCTTCACTCTGTTGATTGTTTCCTTTGCTGGGCAGAAGCTATGTAGTTTAATATAGTCCCTTTGGTTTATTTTTGTTTTTGTTGCCTGTGCTTTTGAGGTTTTAGCCATAAAATCTTTGCCTAGATCAGTGTCCTGAAGGATTTCTCATATGTTTTTTCTAGTAGTTTTGTAGTTTCAGGTCTTATGTTTGAGTCTTTACTCCATTTTTAGTTGATTTTTTAATACAGGAAGAGGGGTCTACTTTCATTCTTCTACATATGGATATAATTTCTTAAGATGACAGTGATGAAGTTTGCTCCGTCAGTTGACTCTTATTTTCATGAAAGAATTCTCTGTACCATGCCATGCTATTTGATACCATTTTACCCTCAGTACAATTCCATTTTTTTTTTTTTTTTTTTTGAGACAGAGTATCGCACTGTTGTCCGGGCTGGAGCGCAGTGGCACGATCTTGGCTCACTGCAACCTCCGCCTCTCCGGAGTACAATTTCTTTTAAAATTGAGGTCAATTGTCTCAGACTCTGCTGCTGGTTTATCAACTACATTTATGTAATATCCTAAATCCTTTATTGTCATTTTATAAGGAACTCCTCAAAGTCATCCACGAGGATTGGAATCAACTTCTTCCAAATTCCTGTGACATATTGACTTACTCCCATGTATCACAAGTGTTTCTAATGGCACCTGGAATGGTGAATTCTTTGCAGAAGTTGTCAATATAATTTGCCCAGATCCATCAGAGGAATCACCATCTATGGCAGCTATAGCCTTATGAAATGTATTTATTAAATGATAAGACTTGAAAGTAAAAATTACTTCTTGATCCATGGGCTACAGAATGGATGTTGTGTTACCAGGCTTGAAAACAACATTAATCTCCTTATACATCTCAGAGCTCTTGGGTGACCAAGTACATTGTCAATGAACAATAATGTTTTGAAAGGAATCTTTTTGTGAGTAGTAAGTCTCAACAGTGGGCTTAAAATATTCAGTTAAACATTCTGTAAAGAGATGAGCTGTCATCCGTATGAGCTGTTCCAACTTGTCATCCAAGTTGAAGCCAGTGCTCATTTACCATTCAAAAATCCTGTGGCCCTTAAGAATTATGCTTTATCAACTCTGCCTGTGCCCTGGTAGCTGGTAATGTAGCTTGTCAGTTTAAGTTGAAGCCAATGCTCATTTACCATTGAAAAAATCCTAGGGCCCTTAAGAATTATTCTATATCTACTCTCCCTCTGCTCTATAAATGCTCTATAAATGCATAGGCAGAGTAGATAAAGCATAATTCTTAAGGGCCCTAGGATTTTTTCAATGGCAAATGAGCATTGGCTTCAACTTAAAGTCACCAGCCACATTAGCCCCTAACAAGAGAGTCAGCCTGTCTTTGAAGCCTTAAAGCCAGGCATTGACTTCTCCCCTCTAGCTGTAAAAGTCCTAGGTGACATTTTGCAACAAAAGACTGTTTAGTCTTCACTGAAAATCTGTTGTTTAGTGTAGCTACCTGCATCGGGGATTTTAGCTAGATCTGCGGATAACTTGCTACAGCTTCTACATCAGCATTTGCTGTTTGGCCTTACACTTTTGTGTTATGCAGAAGGCTTTTTTCCTTGAACTTCATAAACCAATCTCTCCTAGCTTTCACCTTTTCTTCTGCAGCTTCCTCACCTCTCTCAGCCTTCATCAAATTAAAGAGAGTTAGGGCCTTGGTTTTTTTTTTTTTTTCCCTGAGACGGAGTCTCACTCTGTTGCCCAGGCTGGAGTGCAGTGGCGCGATCTCTGCTCACTGCAACCTCCCTCTCCTGGGTTCAAGCGATTCTCCTGCCTCAGCCACCTGAGTAGCTTGGACTACAGGTGTGTGCCACCACACCCAGCTAATTTTTTTTAATTTTTAGTAGAGACGGGGTTTCACCATGTTAGCCAGGCTGGTCTCGAACTCCTGACCTTAAGCGGTCTGCCCGCCTTGGCCTCCCAAAGTGCTGGGATTACAGGCCTGAGCCACCACGCCCGGCCGGGCCTTGTTTTTAATTAGGCTTTGGCTTAAGAGAATGTTGTGGCTGGTTTGATCTGCGCAGACCATTACAACATTCTCCATATAGGTAATAAGGCTGGTTGTCTTTCTTATCATTCATGTGTTCACTGGAGTAGCACGAATGTGAACTAGAAACCTTCTAGAAAGGCGAATCCTTGTTTATATCCATTAATATATCTCTCTTCATTACCACCCCACCACCAGCCTCTGATAACCACCATTCTTCTCTCTACCTCCATGAGATCAATTTTTTTTTAGCTCTCATGTATGAGTGAAAACATGTAGTATTTGTCTTTCTGTGCCAGGCTTATTTCACTTAACATAATGTCCTCCAGTTTCATCCATGTTGCCACAAATGACAGGATTCTTTTTCTATGGGTGAGTGATATTTCAATGTGTATATATCCCACTTAAAATATCCCTTTATCCATTGATGGACACTTATGTGGATTCTGTATTTGGCTATTGTGAATAGCACTGCAGTTAACATGGGATTGAAGATATCTCTGTGAGACACTGATTTCATTTCTTTTGGATACATACTCAGCAGTGGGATTGCTGGATCATATGCTAGTTCTATTTTTAGTTTTTTGAGAAACCTCCATACTAGAGCATACAACATTTATTGGTTAAGTTCACCATCTTCTATGGGCATGGTTTGTGGTGTCCCAAAACAATTACAATAATAACATTAAAGATCACTGATCATAGATCACCATAATATATATAGTAATCATGAAAAACTTTGAAATACTGCAAGAATTACCAAAATATGACATGGAGACACAAAGAGAGCACATGCTGTTGGAAACATGATGCCAATAGACTTGCTCAAGGTAGGTTGCCACAAACCTGCAGTTTGTAAAAATCGCAATACCTGTGAAGCACTGTAGAATGAAATGCAATAAAACAAGGTATGTTAGGATATCTTTGAGGGAAAAATCTACTTTAAATAGTGACATTTGTGTGTATTTGTTTGTAGCACATTCTTAGAATTTGTAACAAAATTAATTCATTAATCAAGTGCTAGGTGTGCACATATGGTCCCAGCTACTCCCGAGGCTGAAGGAAGAGGATTACTTGAGCCTAGGAGTTCAAGTCCAGACTGGGCAACATAATGAGATCCCATCTTTAACAAATGAATAAGTAAATAATTAATTCTGTTATCTTGGGAAGAATTTTCCAGAGATCTTCTCTTTTTTAGCTACGGCAAGAAGGCAGTGGCGCTTTACCTCCTTTTTGTCTCTTGACATACCTTTCAGTTTAATACATGCTTTGTATCTAACCTCTATTTCAGGAAAAGTAATCCATGGTAGAAATTTATAGGGACAGTAGCAAAATTGTTTTTTGGGCTTGCTTTTCAAAATGAAATGAATGAAAACTATTTTCTTGAATTAATCTTAACTTAGAGCTGGCAGAAATTCTCAGATTTTCAATTCTCTGTCTCCTTCAGATTTTGTAGTTTTCTACATTAAGAAACTTTCCGATGCACATGTCCCACCAGCTTATATTCAGGTAGCAGATAAGTGAAATTTCAGTAAGTCCAAGACGTTCCAGAAGTTATTTACCGAGAGGATTTAACTTGATCTCCTCACCTGTGATCAGTGTAACAGTTTACACCTTGTTTCCTAATGCCTCTAACCCTGGCCTTCTTGTGACTAATGGGGTCTCTCTGCTTCCACCTTTGCTCCCCCTCAGTCTGTTTTCTCTGTAGCTACCAGAAGGACCATTTATGAGCTTAGGTTACAAACTTACAGGTATAGAGTAAGTTCTGGGGATCTAATGTACAACATGGTGACAATAGTTAATAATGCTGAAATAATACTGTTTACTTGAAATTTGCTAATAGATCTTAAGTATCCTTACGACACACACACACACACACACACACACACACTCTCACTCACTCAGATAACTAAGTGTGGTGATGGACGTGTTAATTAACTTGGTTGTGGTAATCATTTCATAGTGTATATGGATATCAAGTAATGAAGTTTTGCACCTTGAATGTATATAATCTTTTTTGGCAATTATACTTCTGTAAAGCTGGACGGAAACTACAACAACAAAAAACCTAAGTTAGAGTGTGTCATTCCTTTGCTCTAAACCTTGTAAGGTCCTGTGCTTTACTTAGAAGCCAAAATGGTATCAATGGCTTGCTTATTTTTCATTGCTTCTTTGGCCTCACCTCCCACTACTCTCCCCTCCTTCCCTATGTTTGGGCCACTCTAGCTTCTTGCCATTTCTTGAATATGCCAAGCATGCTTTTGCCTTAGATGCCTTTGTACTGACCATTCCTTCTACCCAGAAAGCTTTTTACCTAGTGTATCTGTATAGCTCTCTTTCTTGTCTTCCTTCGGCCTGTGCTCAGATCTCACCTTGTCCATGAAGCTTGCTTACTTCCCACTCCTATGTTATTTGGGCTCACTGTGTCTCTCCCTTGCATGCTCTACTTTTTTCCCCCATAGCACCTATTGCAGTCAAACATTTCTATCATAGTATATGGAACATTTATTATTATATTTCAGTTCCATGAGGATGAGAATCTTTGTCTCCTTTAATCATTAGTGTATTTTAAGCAGCTAGAATAGTACTTGGCACAAAACAGTCACTCAAAAAGTATTTGTCGAATATGAATAAAAATATGAATGAATTAATATCAGGTTGAAGGTCTATTTTACATTTTAAGTTTTGAAGTTATAAAGGTGATCATGGAATCTCTTTCTAAATTACAGCAGCTCTTTGGGTAGCATCCATAAGGAGTCACCAGAAAGATTGACCTCCAGTGGAACAGATGTACAATCTTTCATGGATCATAGAAATGCCATCTTGATTGCCTCTATCATTAGGGACATTTATTTCCTATTTCTGCTTTCTACTATCAACTAAAATTGAAGCACTACAGTTGCTCCTGTCTCATTTCTTTTCAGGTAGAAATTCTTATAGTAGGATGTGTGTGGGGAAATCTTTTTCTGCTTTGAACCCATGTAGTCTTCCTTCCTTCCTTCCTTCCTTCCTTGCTTCCTTCCTTCCTTCCTTCCTTCCTTTCTTCCTTCCTTTCTTTTTCTGCATCTTTTCTTTTCTTGGCAGGATCTCACTCTGTTGGTTGGGCTGGAGTGCAGTGGTGCAGTCATGGCTCACTGCAGTCTCAACCTTCTGGGCTCAAGTGATCCTCCCACCTCAGCTCCCAAGTAGCTGGGACTACAGCACATGCCATCATGCTTGGCTAAATTTTGTATTTTTTATAGAGATGGGATTTCACCATGTTGCCCAGGCTGGTCTCCAACTGCTGAGTTTAAGCAATCCTCCCACCCCAGCCTCCCAAAGTGCTGCGATTATAGGTGTAAGCTACTGTGCCCAGCCCCATGTAGTATTTTTGCTGTGAGTATTTCTTCTAATAGTTTCACTTATGCCTGAGGGTGTCAGCAAACATCAAGAATGTGACTTTTTCTTCTTAGGATTCATGAAAGAAAGTCTTCCTTGTGGCTCAGTCTTGAATTTTTTTAGGGTGGTTGACTTTCATGTTCACTGAGACTCCAACTTTCTTCAGCTTTCCTTGAGGAAATAATTTGTAATACTCTAGAGGTGTTCTTTTCCTTTTTACTTAGAGAGGCTGAAGGATCCCAGGAAATAAAAGCAGTAGCATTTGATTCCTTTGGGCATGTATGTGTCACCCAGGAATTGGGCAGTCTCAGGGAGTGCTCTTGGGAAAATCAAGACAACAAATTGGATTTTTCCTCCCCCCTTTCCTGCTTTACTTCTTTCATAAAGGAATATTGCCTACACCTAGTATCCTCTTGAGAATTTTTAATTGTTCTTGTGAACCTTGTAGCTGGTATCTTTTTAACTAGAGTCTCATGGGTGGTTGAGGAGCTGAGGATGGCTGTAGGAGCAGTACACCGTTTCCTCTGTTGTCATTTGCAGATTTTTTCTCTCTGGCTTCCCTTATCTCCTAATTCACTGAGGTTTACAAACCAAACTTGCCGCACTTCATTATACTCATAGTTTCAGTTTATGAAATCCAAGGGAGTAGCTTTACTGAGTACTCAACATTTTGTAATGAGGTCATTAATATATGCCAATGTACATTTTTTGACTTTTCTTAATGCAAAGAATGCTTGTAAATGTCAGAATATTTTGTTTCAGGCATAGCTACTTTGGTTACGATTTGATAACAATAGAAACTCATTTCTATTTTGCTTCATCTATTCAGAGTATGTTAAAGGTAGTTGATAGTTGGAATAAAGTGAGACTATGCCATTTAACTTTATGCTAATCACTACTCATTTCCAACCATCTTTTGTAGTCTTCTTGTTCTCTTCTCTTTGGATTTTCTGCCTTCTTTTTATTTATCCACTTTCTCCCTTCCTTACTTTACAGTTATATCTCAACTTCATAGACTTTCCTAGAAATGGAGTGTTATCATTCATCCCAAAGTTTAAAAACATACTATTATTCTCCTTCTCTTTCCTACTTTTTCTGGAGACGTGAATTTTAAATGACGGAACTGAAACAATTCATTGTGTTTCATCTTGTTATCCTTATTTCTCTTTAAGTTTTAAATTGTTTGTAGAGAGTATAGTATTGTATAAAGAAAACATTCAGATAATTAAAAATGCTGATTATTAATATTATTATTTTGAGATGGAGTCTTGCTCTGTCGCCCAGGCTGAAATGCAGTGGCATGATCCTGGCTCACTGCAACCTCCACCTCCTGGGTTTAAGCACTTCTCCAGCCTCAGCCTCTCAGGTAGCTGGGATTACAGGCATCCAGCACTACGCCTGGCTAATTTTTGTACTTTTAGTAGAGATGGGGTTTCATCATGTTGGCCAGGCTGGTCTTGAACTCCTGACTTCAGGTGATCTGCCCGTCTTGGCCTCCCAAAGTGTTGGGATTACAGGCATGAGCCACTGCACCCCCAAAATACTGATTATTAAGCATTTCTTCGTGCCTATGTTGTTATTTATGATTTGCAAACAATCAAGTTTAAAGTGTCAACAGCCTGGTAGCCTCCTATAAAATAGTTCCACACTTTCATACTAATGATTGCACAGAAATGTTGAAAACACATAGTAATGCTGGAAATCAAATAAATATTCACCCTCCCTTGGGGAGAGTATATATAATACGTAGTCAATAGAACTGGAATGAAAGTACAATCAGCTTCCCTTTGACTTATCCTATGACAGTAGACAGACATTTTGTTCTCCTGCCACGGTATCCTCCCTCTTTTGGAAATGGAGGGTCTGTACCAACTAGAAAATTGGGAAGCTATCTTTCTACTGTGTAGGTGCTGCTTTCTGAGGCAATAAGAGTATTCTCCCCATCTTTCTTTCAACTCCCATACCATCTCCGTGTAACTCCCAGAATACAGCTAGCCAGGAATGACCCACGGATTGGAGGTAAAGTTCTGAGAAGTCTCCTTTGTATTATCTCTAGGAATCAAGACAAAAAAAAAACATTGGTAGCAGTTCATACTAGAGATAAAATTTTCCCTATAGTCTATCTAACTATATGTGCCAGAAGTCCAGGGAGTAGATTGGGAGATGATACCACCTAAGTTCAGGGATTGCTGCTTGCTGAAAAATATAATAGGAACTGTGTACACTCATGTAGCTTCAGATATTGATCTTAGAGGGAGTTTTATCACCATGTAATTGATTCAGAGTAGAACTTTGGAGAATTTATACATACAGTCTTTTTTCAAACTTTCTAAATATTGTTAGGGTTTTACTCTTTTTTTTCATTTAAAAATTAAGGAAAACTAAATAGAATTTGTGAAAAACTAAGCACCACAAAACGAGGGGAAAGGAACAGTACCTGGTACATTTAGAACAGAGTGGTGAAATGATTCACCATGGAAATTGGAATAAAATTTAGAAGCTATTTGGCATCCACAGTAGGCTACAAAAAGAAATGACCTTTTTCAAATGGGATTAATAAGGAAAGAATAGGCTGAAATAGAAAAAGGTTAATTCTCCTCCTACTCCGAAAAAACCCAGTAAGATTAACAGGTAAAAGAATGACATAAGGAAGGAGTCTAAGGAAACTAAAAATAGGATAGTAGATTAAAATTGTGAGTAGCTATGACAGAATTGACATTAGAAAATCTACAGTCTACAATTAACATTTTAGATTGGTGATTTGGAGGACAAAATGTAGAAAAAAGAACACAGATAAAATGCAGAGGAAAAGAACAAAGAATTAAAACAGATAAGGAAAGAAAAACAGAGGGAAAAGATGATAATATGGAGTACCAATGAAAAGATTGTACGTCTTTCTAAGGCAAAAACTAGAGTAAATGAAACAAATGTAATAATTGAAGACATAATTCAAAAATACTTGTTTGAGATAAAAAAGATTGTAGCATGCCAGATGAGATCACTGCTTTACAGGGAAAAATAATCAAATAACACCTGCATTTAAATATATTTTTGAAATTTTTAAAACTATAAGAATAAAGGAAAAATGTGTTACCTATAAGAGCAGAAATATGTATAATGAACATGTTTTTTCTTACTCCCAAGAGAAACCTCAGTAAAGTTTACTTCAAAAAAGATAAGATCCTCCTATGATCTTTCTTCCTTCAAATTCATCCAGTAATTAATTGCATATCTTTTTTTATGAAAAATTTCAAATATGTACAAAAGGAGGCAGAATAGTGTAACAAAATCTGTTGCCCTCATCACTCAGATCAACATTTATCAACTTAAGAACCAATTTTGTTTCATCTACTTCCCCTCTGCTGTATTATATTGAAAGCATATCCCAGCTATTTCTGTATTATATATCTGTATAATACAGATATCTGCTGTATTATATTGAAAACATGAAAATATGTTTAATTGTATTCATAAATATTTAACTTTGACTCTAAAAAATGAAGTCTTTTAAAAATATAAATATAAGATCATTATAATATGTAAAAAGTTAAAAATTTCTTAGTGTCATAAATTTCAAAGTTTCTTGTATATCTCATATAATATCAGTTAGTTTAAATTAGTATGCAGAGAAGGTCTAGATATTATGGTTGGCTGATTTTAAAAAATCTGTAGGTTCCTCTCCTCTTCTGTCTCTCTCTCTCTCTCTCTTTCTTTTTTGAGATGGAGTCTCACTCTGTCACCCAGGCTGGAGTGGCGCCATCTCAGCTCACTGCAAGCTCCACCTCCCAGGTTCATGCCACTCTCCTGCCTCAGCCTCCCAGGTAGCTGGGACTGCAGGTGCCTGCCACCATGCCCCGCTAATTTTTTTGTGTTTTTGGTAGATGGGGTTTCACCATGTTAGCCAGGATGGTCTCAATCTCCTGACCTCATGATCCGCCCGCCTCGACCTCCCAAAGTGCTGGGATTACAGGTGTGAGCCACTGTGCCAGGCCCTCTTTCATTTTTTTGAGATGGAGTCTCACTCTTCTCCAGGCTGGAGTACGGTGGCACAATCTCAGCTCACTGCAACCTCCATCTCCCAGGTTCAAGCGATTCTCCTGCCTCATCCTCCCGCGTACCTGAGACTACAGGTGTGCACCAACACGTACAGCTAATTTTTGTATTATTTAGTAGAGATGGGGTTTTGCCGTGTTGACCAGGATGGTCTTGAACTCCGGACCTCAAGTGATCCACCTGCCTCGGCCTCCCAAAGTGCTGAGATTACAGGCGTGAGCCACCGTACCCGGCCTTCTGTCTCTTTTTATCATTTTTGTTTGAAATTTATTTGTTAAAAAACTGTTTCATTTGTTCTAGGAGTTTCACAGCCTGCATTTTTCTGATTGCATCCCATTGTATAGTTTAACATGTTTTTTTGTTCTGTAGATTTTCTCCCAATTGGTAATGGAATCTGCAGTAATGGAAATGTTCTGTATCTGTTGTTCTAGTATAGTAGACTCTAGCCACATGTGGCTATTAAGTGCTTTTAATATTACTATCGTGACTAAGGAATTGAAAATTTAATTTTAACTAATTTAAATATGAATACGAATAATCACTGTTAAATAAATTTTACTATCCACAGATTGGACAGTACAGAATTGAAGGCTTGATTAAGGCTTGGCCTCTGATTTTCTTTAAAATTGTATATTTTTAAAAATTCACTTTAAATTCTTCATCTTGTACACTTCTTTTTTGAGTTCTATAAGTCTTTGACCTATATCAGTTTGAATTTTCAATTTTTGTTTCTCAATTCATATCCTGTTTAACACTATCATATTTGTTATGATAGGTTTAATTACATTTTGCCTTTACTAGGCTTGTTCTTATTATTTCTCTTTAGGAGAAATTGTAGACTTTTTTTCCATTTTAGTGATAGAATATTAAGAATTATAAATATAAGAAGTAACTGTGAAGATCAAGTGTGCATTATAAGATAAGAACATGTAAAGCTAGAGTTTGATTGGGTAGTCAGAACCACTATAGTATTTTTGAATAAGGAATTTGTTGTAAGAATTAGACCTTATGCAATTGTGGGAGGAGCTGGGAAAGTAAGGTCAGATAAACCCATTGTAAGTCGAGGAGCATATTGAATGTGTATTGCTTTGGCACTATTGTAAAGTTGAGAAATCTTAAGTTGAATCATTGTAAGTTGAGGCTGTCTGTACTCTGTACTTAGTCCTTCTTTTTCTATCTGGTCACATGTAACTGGTATTTTTAACTTCCTTTACTACCCATACCCTATTGCTTTGCTGTCAGCAAGCATCTCAGCTGGATATGGTTCCATCTCTGGCGAGGTGGTCCACACCTGTATTCCAGGAGGGTCTATTATCCGGGAGAGCTGTATGGTTCTAGTCTGAGTTTGAAGTCCTGAGAACTGGGAGAGCTGATGATGTAAGCTCTGGCAGGAGTCTGAGCCTGAAAGCAAGAGAAGATTGATGTTGCAGCCCAAAGACAGCAAGGCAGAGAGAAAGCATTCTTTCTTACTCAGGGTTTTATTCTCTTCAGACCTTCAACAGATTGGATGAAGCCCACTCAAGTTAGGGAGGGCAATCTGCCAATTCAGATGTTAATCTCCCTTGCAGACATACCCAGAAATAGTGTTTAACCACATATTTGGGCACCCAATGACCCAGTCAGGCTGATAAAAAATTCACCATCACATCCCCTTTTCTCCTTCCTCCTTGTCCCTGGTAACCTCCATTCTACTTTCTTTTCTATGAATTTGACCACTTTAGATACCTTATATTAAGTGGAATCATACAGTGTTTGTGTTTTTGTGATGAGAAACATAGTAAGACCAGTGAATCCTATGGAAACAATCTTATTTCCACACTTCATTTGCTGTAAAATGCATTCTCTGATCAGAAGCAATGCCATTTGGAATACATGATGGTGAATTAAAGTATTTTGTGTACACATGGATGGTAGTTTGGTCAGAAACGTTATGGTTAGGGAAGGAAAATCCGTATTCAGAGTAAGTGTCTATCTTAGTAAGAATAAAGCATTGCCCATTCCATGATGAAAGTTACTCAGTGTGATCAACCTGCCACCAAGTTGCTATCTCATCCTCCCAGAGGATGGTGTCATATCATGGTCTCAGTGTTTGTTTTTGCTATTGGTGAATTTGGCACTCAACAGGAGTTGTAACCCAATCAGCCTTGGTGAATGGAAGTTCATATTGCTGAGCCTGTGTATTACCTCTGTCCTTGCTGCTATGACTCTTTTGTTCAATTTTGTAAAGACAAAGATGGCTAGGAAAAAACATTGGTTGATATCCATAGAATACTTCATTTTGCCCTCCTGATTATTAAGATCCTTGTCTACTGAAGTTGATCTGGGCACAGTGCCCATTTGAAGAAGTCTGTCCACATATTCTTCCCCAGACAACCTTGTTACCAATTTTCTATTCACATTCTTTCCAAGTACCTAACCATTCAGCCAAACAGTTAGACACCACACATGAATTGGTGTATATTTGTATATTTGGTCTTCTCTCATTCTAGGAAGAATGATAGTCACATCCACTACTTGACGTTCTGCTTACTGGAAGGATTCTTTTTACCACTGTTCTCCCGAGCCAGCCTTGAGTGGGGCTGTAGTGCTGCTGCAGCTGCCTATTTTTGAATCATGTCACCATAACATACAGAACCATCTATAAACCAAGCCCATTTTTTTTTTTTTCTATTTGTGAGCTGGTCATAGAGAACTCTCCATGCATCCAAGGTGTGGGTTAAGAGAGAGAAAGCAATGTAACAGGAATAGGGCCCATGGGAATCTGGACTACTTGCTCATACAACTTATTTGTGCCTTCGGGACTTTTATGCCACTTTCATTTGATGATAGAGTGCTCTTGTGTATGCCAAAATTTATGGATTGGTGGATCACACAGTAACCGTTTCATGATGGGCACCCTCTAGTCACATGGTGAATTGTTGGCCATGTATTCAGTATCTGCTGAGGACCAGTAGCAAGTCCAAAGCCCATTTTCAAAAGGAGAATAGTTATCTGTAGTGGATGACTTACTTTGCTTCTAACTCCTAAAAGTTTACACTATGATCCACTCATAAGGACCTGTGAAATGCTATATACATCTTGAATTTGAGTAGTTGCTACTTTCTGTTCATCAGGTGCATTCAGAATGATGCCATCAATTTAGTAGAGAATGAAGTGGAGCATGTGAGATCTTTGGTAATGGAGAGTTGATTAAGATTTCTACATACTAGATTGTGATAGAGAGCCAGAGTTGATATAGCTCTGTGGTAGGGCGGCAACAAAGGTACATTGCTGGTCCTGCTAGATGAAAAAAACTGGTTTTGGTGGTCTTTACTAAGGGGGTAGAATGAATAGCTTCATTCCAATTGCCAGAAAATGTGTTGATTTGTTTCACAATGAAACTGCATATTTAATTGCAGCAGCAATTGGAGTCATATTGATTAATTCACTGTCATTCTGTAAGATCCATCTGTATTCTGCAGCGGCTGAGTTAGGTGAGTTGAATGCTGATGTGGTAGGAATCACCATGCCTTTATCTTTCAATCCTTTAAAAGGCAGTAATCTCTACAGTCTTGCCAGGAGTGTGGCATTACTTTCAATTTGTGTTTTGGTAGGTAAAAGTTCCAGTGATTTCCTCTTGGCTTTTCCACTTGATTTTCCTCTGTAATATCCCTCACTCTATAGGTCAGGTAACCACTGTGGACACTGTGCCAGTTGCTGCATCTGTCCTTTCTAAATATGTGTTCCAAACTCGGAGAATAACTATGGGGTGGGTTCAGGTACCTACTGGACCGACTAGAGAGAGGCCTCAGCTAAAACTCAGTTAATTACCTGACCTCTGTAAGCTCCTACCCTGACTACAGAAACCACAGTAGCACATTTTATGTCTCCCTGAATTAATGGCAGTTCAGATCCAGTGTCCAGTTATCCCTGATAAGTGTAGTTAATTCCTCCCCCCGGTACAGTTACCCTGTTAGATGGTTGCATGTTTCTTTGAGGAAGGTTAGGAGGAAGATTTACGGTATTTTTTGGCACTATGTCAGGATTGCTAACAGAGACCCATCGTCTTTATTCACAGGTCCCTAGGTCTGTGAATTAGCTCAAGTCTGAGAAGTATTTGAGGACTAATTCTTCCTTTTTTGTTTACTTAAGTCCTGCTTGTGGTAATCAGAGCTAGGACTTTTCTACTTATGCAAACCAAATGAGACTTAACTATGCTGCCCATTTATTTTGGTTCTAGGAACACCATGATCAGTTAGCCAATGTCAGTGATCTCTGTAGGTCAAACCATTTTGTTTATTGCTTTGACTCCACTACCCATTATGTTAAACATGTCCACTTTGTCTCTGGAAGTTAATTGCTACCATTTGGTCTCTTGTTACCCAAGATCCAATCACTTGCACTAAATTCAGGGAACCCATTTTGATGGCACCAGTGTTTGCTGTTAATCTTTGCCTTCTAGCCACATGGAGCTTATCAAGCTACACAGAACTCATCAACGAAGCAGGGACTTCCGTTACTAATATATTTCTCAAGCTTTGGTAAAGGAAGTGTTTTTTGAATTCTCCCAAGAGACGTAGTTAGAGAGTGAGAAGGACTTACATAATAAATACTTTCCATATGTTAGAAAAGTTATGAACCATTTTTCCTAAACACTCTAGAATAGGCACTAATGTTTGCAAGATAATGAAAGATGTTTATTTATAAACTTAGTGATTAAGACAATATACAGTGTTGTGGTCTGAGTTCAAAAAAAGTCTAACTGCCAATAAAATGTTTGTATTAGTGCTTTTAAAATGAAAACAGAATTTTCTTAGTTATCAATACATTATATATTAAATGTTTGGATTTTATCAGGTGAAAACAAAACTCATTTGAACATTATTTCCTGTTTTCTACTACAAGATAAAAAATCAACACTAAACAACAGAGTTCAGTTCAAAACATGAACGTGACTACTCATATCCTATATTGATAGCTGTATAAAAAAAGCTCTGTCTTTTGTCTGTATTCTCCCTCCATTATTTCTTACTAATTCTCCCTTCTTGGGATCTTGTAGAAAAATGAAGTAGGTAACAAGGTGGTTAAGAAGATGGAGAAGATAGACTCCATTCATGAAAAGTTACTGTTTTTTTCTGTAGAACTATGGATTACTGAAATAATGATGTCAGCTTGAAAAACAATGATTTATATGAGTTATGAAAAATTATTTAGTTTTTGAGATTGTCTAAAAGGAAACGTGTAAATAGAGGGCTTGGAACCTTTTTTCTACTCCACCTCCTCCTGTGGGCTACTAATTCAAGAAAAGATTTGCCAAAGTACAGCCAGAGTTGAAACCTACTTAAAAGTGAGAGGGAGAGATCGAAACAGGGTATGGTGAGTGAAAGTAACCCACATATTTGGGCACCCAGTGACCCAGTCAGGTTGACAAAAAATTCACCATCACATCCCCTTTTCTCCTTCCCCCTTGTCCCTGGTAACCTCCATTCTACTTTTTTTCTATGAATTTGACCACTTTAGATACCTTATATTAAGCACAAGTATAGACAGAGGGAGAGAGAAGCTCAGGATTTTGAGTTGATGTTATTCAAGTATAAAGTGTTCCTGATATATTCTATTCTTCATTTGGAATTTCACTTTTGAAAAGCTAATTATGATCACTGTTCAGATCTTTTTTGCTACTCTTTGTGAGTTTTTAAACCTTTCTTTGATAGGATAGCTTTTATAGTTCATTGTTTTTCGGGCCATACTGCAGTGATTAAAAGATTATTAGGTTAAGTCAAATCACTCAATAAGGTCCTCGGTTTAGGGTGACCCTTTTTTTTTTATTTGTAAGCATTTTGTCAGGTTAAGGGACCAGTAAGTGTTTCTTTTTTATAATAAATTTGGGTGGGATATTGTCTTAGTTCCTTTTGTGCTGCTATAACAGAATGCCTGAGACTGGGTAATTAATAAAGAAAGGAGATTTATTTCTTACAGTTCTGGAGGCTGGGAAATCCAAGATTGAGGGGCCAACATCTGGTGAGGGCCCTTATGCTACATCATCTCATGGTAGAAGATGAAAGGGCAAGAGAGAGCAAGAGTTGGGGAGAACTGACTTTTATAACAAACCTACTTCTAAGATAATAAACCCATTCCTGTGATGACATTAATTCATTCATGAGAGTAAAGCCCTCATAACCCAGTAACCTCTCAAAGATTCCACTTCTCAACACTGCATTGGGGATTAAGTTTCCAACACGTGAACTTTGGAGGACATATTCAAATCATAGCAGCTGGAGGCTGAGCAAGATGGCTGAATAGAAGCCTCCAGTGATCATCACCCCCACAGGAATACCAAATTTAACAGTTACGTAGGCAAAAAAAACCACCTTCATAAGAACCAAAAATCAGATGAGCAGTCACAGTACCTGTTTTAAACTTCATATCACTGAAAGAGGCATTGAAGAGGGTTGAAAGACAGTCTTGAATTGCTGACACCACCACTCTTCCATGCCCCAGCAGCGGCTATGTGGTGGGGGGAATCTGTGCACTTGGGGAAGGGAGAGCACAGTGATTGTGGGACTTTGCATTGAAGCTCAGTGATGCCCTGTCACAGTGGAAAGCAACACTGAGAATAAGCCAGTGCTCACGGAGGGAACATTTAGACTAGTCCTAGCCAGAGGGGAATTGTCCATCCTAGCATTTGGAATTTGAGCTCTGACAAGCCTTGCCACTGTGGACTAAAGTGCTCAGGGTCCTAAATAAACTTGAAAGACAATCTAGGCCACAAGGACTGCAACTCCTAGGCAAGTCCTAGTGCTGTGCTGGGCTCGGAGCCAGTGGACTTAGAGGGTATGTGACCTAGTGAGACACCAGCGGGGGCAGCAAAGGGAGTGCTTGCAGTACCCCACCTCCAGATTCAGGCAGCACAGCTCACAGCTCTGAAAGAGACCCCTTCTTTCTGCTTAAGAGGTGAGGGAAGAGTAAAGAGAACCTTTTCTTGCAACTTGGATACCAGCTTAGCCACAGAAGGATAGAGTACAAGGCAGAGTCCTGAGACACTCATTCCAGGCCTTAGCTCCCAGATGACATTTCTAGACACACCCTTGGCCAGAAGGGAATCTACTGCCTTGAAGTGAAGGACCCAATCCTGGCAGGATTCATCACCTACTGACTAAAGAGCCCCTGGGGCCTGAATAATCAGCAGCAATACCCGTGTAGTACACACGGACCTTTGGTGAGAATCTGAGATCTGCTGGTTTGAAGTGTGGCCCAGAACATTCACAGCTGTAGTGGCTACGGCAAGAGATTATTTCTGCTTGAGAACAGCAGAGAGAAGAATAAAGGGGACTTTGTCTTGCAGCTAAGTTAGCTTGGCCACAGGGTGGTAGAGCACCAAGTGGGTTCTTGGGGTCCTTGATTCCAGGCCTTGGCTCTTCGATGGCATTTCTGGACCTGCCCTTGGCCAAAGGGGAGTCTGCTGCCCTGAAGGATGATTCCCAGACCTGGCAGCATTCACCACAAGCTGACTGAAGAGCTCTTGGACCTTGAGTGAGCCTTGGCAGTAGCCTGGAAGTACTCCTGGTGGGCCTGTGGCAGTGGTGGCCAGGGGGAGAGACTCCTCTGCTATGGAAATGGGAGGGAAGAGTGGGAAGGACTTTGTCTTGTGCCAGTTCAGCCTCAGTAGAATAGAGTACCAGGTAGATTCCTAAGGTTTCCAACACCAGGCCTTGGCTTCTGGACAGCATCTCTGGATCTTCCCAGGACCTGGGGGAGCTTGCCATCTTGAGGAGAAGGACACAATCCTGGCTGGCTTCACTACCTGCTTATTGTAGAGCCCTAGGGCCTTGAGCAAACATAGGCAGTCGCCAGTTAATGGTTACAGCAGGTCTTGGGTGATACTCAGTGCTGTGCTGGCTTCAGGTTTGACCTAGTGCAGTCCTACTGGTGGTGGCCACAGGGGTGCTTGTGTCACTTCTCCCCCAGTTTTAGCTCAGCACAGAGAGACTCTGTTTGGGAGAAAGTAAGAGAAGGCAACAAGAGTCTCTATGTAGTAATCTAGAGAATTCCTCTGAATTTTATCAAGACCACAAAGGTGGTGCCTCTGTGAGTCTGCAGGAGCCACAGTGTTACTGGGCTTGGGGTGCCCCCTAATGCAGATATAGCTGCAGTGGCCAAAAACTTAGATCACAACACCTAAAGACGTTTAAATACTGGGAAAGCCTTCTCGGGAAGGACAGGTACTAATAAGTCCAGACTGCATAGACTAAAATAAATAACTAACTCGTCAATGCCCAGACACTGAAGAACATCCGCAAGCATCAAAACCATCCCAGAAAACATGACTTCAGCAAACAAACTAAATAAGGGACCAGAAACCAACCCTGGAGATACAGAGATATATGACCTTTCAGATAGAGAATTCAAAAGAACTGTTTTGAGGAAATTTAAAGAAATTTAATATAACACAGAGAAGTAATTCAAAATCCTATCAGATAAATTTAACAAAGAGACTGAAATAAAAAGAATCAAGCAGAAATTCTGTAGTTGAAAAATGCAGTTGACAATGAAGAATGTGTCAAAGTCTCTTAACAGTAGAATTGATTAAGCAAAAGAAAGAATTAGTGAGCTTGAAGACAGGTATTCGAAAATACACAGTCAGAGGAGACAAAAGAAAACAGAATAAAAAAGAATGAAGCACTCCTACAGGATTTAGAAAATAGTCTCAAAAGGGGAAATCTAAGAGTTATTGGCCTTCAAGGCTGGCGGGGGGGTGGGGGGCGGGGCGGGGGAAAGAGAGAGAGAGAGAGAGAGAGAGAGAGAGAAAGTTTATTCAAATGGATAATAATAGGGGACTTTCCAAAGCTAGAGAAATATATCATTATTCAAGTACAAGAAGGTTATAGAACACCAAGCAGATTTAACCCAAAGAAGACTCCCTCAAGGCATTTAATAATTTAGCCATAGCAGACATAAAGCTTACTTTGTACTTCAACTAAACTTTATTATATAAACATTTTCAGGAAATAAAACTTTATTTTATTTAGAATATAAGAATGTTCATAGGTCAGTAAGGAGAGGGCATTTTGTCCCATTACTCTTCAGCACTCATATTAAGATGATTTTATTCTTCTGAATTTCTAAGAGGAAGTTTTCTCCCTTATTGTAAAAATGCAGATTTCCCGAGTGTCCTTGAATGATTTATTCATGGTCTACTTGTGTAGTAGCAAAAGAAAAGAATTATACATTACTTTTTTTTTCATCTTGTGCAAGAGAGGAGTTTAAAAATATATATTTGATAAGACCTTTAATAAAATTTTTAATGAGTTGTCTTTCCAACTCATAGTCATTACGAAGAGTACTGTCTCCTCTATTATCATGGCTCAGAAGAGTGTATTTCTTTTCCTAGCTGTCATATGTGTTGTTTCCACATTACTTTTGGTTTTTAAGTTAAATGTTCCTCTTCTGTTAAAGAAAAACCAAGTTGTACCCATATATAAGTTGGTGCTTAAATTATACCTTGATAAATGTCATAAATATATTAATAACATTTTCTCCAAGATTTAAACATGAGATATCACCATACTCTGAGCTGAGTAAAGTTGCTCTATCATTAACTAAGAATTTTTCCCCTTTCTTCCTTCTTTATTACTGCCTTCCCCCACTTCTCCATAAGTTCTAATAATAGAATATTTGAAGAATGGATAAATGATGTCATATAATTTTTTATCTACTATCTTTCTCTTATTAAACCTTAAATTCTATAAAGACAGAGGCTATACCTTTCTTGTTTATCTTTGTATGCATAATGCCTAAGATTAGTATGTAGTAGGAATTCAGTAAATTAGTTGAATGAATGAATAGTAGGACGTATAATATGAATGCTGCTCTTAAAATTTAGCTTTGTTGAAAATCCGTTTCGTGTATATTGAAATATTTATATTATAAAATATGATGAGAAGAAATAACAAGAAAAGAAAAATATTTTCAATGTGAATATTTAAAAACTGAATTTGCTACTTGCTTTTTAACACTTAAAGAATAGTGCAATCAACAATCAATTTTTTTAGTATATTTTTTATTGTACTTTAAGTTCTAGGGTACATGTGCACAATGTGCAGGTTTGTTCCGTGTGTATGCATGTGCCATGTTGGTGTGCTGCACCCATTAACTCGTCATTTACATTAGGTATATCTCCTAATGCTATCCCTCCTCCCTCCACCCACCCCACAACAGGCCCCAGTGTGTGATGTTCTCTTTCCTGTGTCAAGTGTTCTCATTGTTCAATTCCCACCTATGAGTGAGAACATGCAGTGTTTGGTTTTTTGTCCTTGTGATAGTTTGAATCAACAATCAATTTAGTTTTTGAAATTCAACTTTTTGGATTAATACTTGGAGCTACGTTTGATCATGTGACCTTTATTAGCTCAACTAACATAATTTATGGCCCAACTAAATTAAAGTAGTTTGAGGGCATAACATGGAAATGCTCATATTTTTACCATGAGTATCAGTTTTAAGGGTTTTAATTGAAACATGATGTAGGCTATGTAGATAATAGCATTTTTATTGTTTATTTCAAATTGTAACTTGAGAATTTTAAGGATTGAAGAATATTTCCAAGTATAACAGAAAATTATATACTCTTGGGTTCAGAAATTATTATTTAAGCAAAATAGTGCAGTATAAAAGGCCTGACTAGTCAGAAACACAAGGACCACAGTAAGTGTACATAACTCCCCCAAACAATGGTAATGTATACTTCATTTAGTTGTTGGATAAAAGGTATGTACAAACACTGCCGTTACTTAGGAGACATGAAAACAAAAACAAAAACAAAACTCACTACCATGTGGGTCTTGATAAGGTAGAAAGTAGTCATAAATTTAAATTTGATATATTATGAACTTTAATTTGGCCGCTTGTTTAGAAAGACTATTAATACTTGGCCATACAGCAGTATACTTGGAGAATAAAATTCTATTCAAGAATTTTATTCTCCAAGTATACTGCTGTATGGCCAAGTATTAATAGTTTCATAACGTCTTTTCAGCTCTACCTAATTGTAGTATCTCTGTTACTATTTGCCTAAGTTTTGTCCCTTTGTGACTTTAAGGGTATATTTTCATCCTATATTTTTCTCTAGGCATCCACAAGGACAAAGATAAACCTCCCAGCTTCTCTGTTGTCCTTGAGAGATTGAGGCGTACCTTGACAGATTACCAGAACAAGCTGGAAGATGCATCTAATGAGGTAACACTTGCACTGTTTGGCTCCACACATATAGCCTTCGGCCTGTACCAGTACGTATTCCTTGCTTGTTACAAAGGTCAAAAAGATTGGGAATGTTGAACTGACAGCTTCACAGATACAAAAAATAATAAATTATCTTTCGCTGTTCTTTCTTTAAGTGTGGCCTAAAGTCATGTCTCACTTACGTTTTTGTAACTCTTCAGTCACACTATTATTTTCAAAGTTATAAAGACTCTATCACTTCTTGATCTTCATAATTTATCTGTTTTAACTTAATGAAAAACACTATGCAAGTAGTTTAAGTTAATATGTACTGTATTTAAATGTCAGTGTGTTTTTATGACATTTGGTATAGCTACTGGAAATTTAGATTTTGTCAGTGTTTTAGGTTAAGATTTCTACAAACTGTGGAAGTCTTAATAAAAAAGAGAGAAATTAGTTTTCATTCTCTAAAGGCAGTAAAGTGTTGTTAGAAGTTTTTAAAAAACAAATATCTGTTTGATGTAGCCTGGGAGCTTTTAGTTTGCTGATTGAAAAAGCTCATGCTTCTATTTATCATCCCATTTGTATTGTTTAATGTGTGGGTTGATAATTTTCTTGGGTATTAAAATGTTTTATGAATTTGTGCTTTAAGAATTGAAGAGTTTGTCTAGTTACATCTTGTCAAATTAGCATATGAAGTAATTACATTAAATACAATTAGTTAGCAAAGCAACAAACAGATTGTTAGAGTCAAAGACAAGTCACATAGCATGGAATTTGGAGTTTATCCTTGTGTGTATCTCTTTCTTTCATATAATATAAATGCCATAAAACGGTTACATTTCACATTTCATATGCGGCTTATTTTATTTTAGCTTGCTAAGATGAACAAAGAAGGAAAAGTGAGTCTTTTTAATACCCTCGGTAATTGTTCAAAAGGCATAAAAGAAAATGACCATCGAAATAATTAAATTTCTATGAGGAACAAATATTACGAAGTCTTTCCCAGTGAGACAAGACAACCTGTATTGTTAGTAGTTTATGAAACTCTTCTGAGGCCTAGGTCTGGAAGCTGCAGGGTAACTAGGAACATATTACCCACAGCGAATTGTTATTTGGGAGGATGAATGTCACATGATCCTCAGCACAGTTGAAAAGTCGACTCAGCAGGCTTTGGCTTAGTAATGCGCTTTGTTGTGAACCAGTGCCAGAGACAGCAGTGGGGAGACCAAGGGGGTGGCTGCAAAGAAAGCAAAAAGAGCAGTCTGACAGAAAGAAGAATGAACTGTCAAAGAAAATAAATCACAAGCGGTGCAGGACCAACTGATGACCTGCCACAAGCCTTCCCAGTAGGACTGCATGTGACCGACCCTGAAGTTGTCATATGGAGTGAGAGACCAGTGAATATCCTCATGATGTATAGAAAGAACAGTCTTCTGCTCTGTTCTTTTTTATTTACTTATAGATGCCCCTGCTTCTGGCATTTTGGTCCAGTAGGATTTTAAGAATAAAGTTGTATTTGTTTACAATAAGAATGAAATCCTTTATCTGGACGTGTGGTAAAAATATAGTAACATAAGTGATATTTTAAGCTTGAATGCTTTCTTTTCTTTTTAGCCACATGAACTTGTGACAGAAGCTATATAGCATTTAACCAAAAGAAATAATTTTTTAAAGACTCTTAATTACTATTGAAAAATTTGTATTTAAGTAATTGCATAAAAAGCACTTAAAGATTAACTTTTGAGTTACCCATCCTTGAAAAATGTAAAAAAGTTACTTATATTTTCTTTCATCAGCTAAACAGCATGAATGATGTTAAGGAAAAGGCATGTAATGAACTTGATTCTACGAAACAGAAGATAGACTCTCACACTAAAAATATAAAGGTATTATTTAGAATAACTTTTACCTTTTGTATTAAGAAACAAATATAGTTATCTAGGGAATATTTTAAAGTAGAGATATTGAGGTACCTGAAAATATGTATTTCTATTTTTTAAAGTATGTATGGGTAGAATTTTAATTTTTTCTTGTTGATTAAGAGTAACAAGAATGTTTTTTTCATTTAAAAAATTAAAACCTGATTGGAAATTATTTTGGTTAAAGGAAAATTTATTTCCCAGATTTAATTATAATACCTTATGAGATTCAAATAATTATTTAAGATGAAATGTCCAGCCTTAGGTACGTACTAAACATATTTTACATAAGCACATCATATTTGGAGTCAGTTTTCATCATTTTAAGGTGGAGCCATTGTTTTCAGTACATCATGTCTGTTAATGGGCTGAGACCACACCTGGCTAAGGCCCAGGACTATAGTTTATTTTAGTTTCTGTGCTGGTTTTATGTACTACATCTTTGCAAAATTATGCTGAGTCAACTCTCAGAAGTTTCCCAGTATTGCTGGAATTTCATTATGTTGTTTCATGTTGGGTTTGTCCTGGACACACTTCAAAAGAATTTGTTAGGTTTAAGGAATAAACAGTTCAGCAAAATTTTGTGCCACATATTTGAGATTTCTATAAGTGGTTGGGATGTCATTGGAAAGTAAATGTTCTTATGTTAAATGTAAGATATTTATTTTAAAATATTTTAAAATTTTTGAACTACAACGTTGTTTTAAAAAAATAGGTTGAAAGGAAACTCCCTTGGAAGAACTTTTTGGAATAAGCCATCATATTAACATTTTATGTAAATGTTTAAACATAACAAATGTTCTAATTTTTGAGCTGAGATATTATATTTAGAAAATACATTCAGTAAAATATTTTAATGTAAACAAATGCTTGCCTGCCTTTGTGATTCTTTCATTTTAAAGCTTTGAAAATGTTCAATATGTGTTTTATACTAGTGTCCCCTCACCCCTTGTTGGCTGGCCTTTCTACAATCTCTTTATTTGGTATCTATGACAGGAACTTCAGGATAAACTGGCTGATGTTAATAAAGAGTTAAGTCATTTACACACTAAATGTGCAGACCGAGAGGCTTTAATAAGCACTTTAAAAGTGGAACTACAAAATGTGCTGCACTGTTGGGAGAAAGAAAAGGCTCAGGCAGCCCAGTCTGAAAGTGAACTGCAGAAGCTTTCCCAGGCTTTCCATAAGGATGCAGAGGTATTACCTGAGACTCAATGACTGTCAGGAAGGGCCTTTCACTAATCTCAGTGTTATACATCAAGTGACTATTTTTACTTGTATTTAATTAAGAAAATTGTTCTGAGCAGAGTATTTTGAAATGTTTGTGACAGCTACAAAATCACTCCATTACTCTTGTGTCATTCTCTTTTGTGAGAGAAGTACTATAACTTGCACAACTAATTTTTTTTGTTTATCATGTGTACAACTATCTTTTTGGACTTTTAGAATATTGTAACTCAAGTAACTATGCTCCTAACAGTCCTTTCAAGGTTCCTGTTTGCCAATGACAAAATTATTTTTATTTCAGTAGCTTGGTAGATTGATGGTGGAAAGAATAAATATTTTATAATCAGATAGACCTGAACTTGGATGCTAATACTTCTGTTTATAAATGATGTGGCTGTGGACAAGCTATATAGCTTAGCCTCTCCACATCTTCGTTTCCTTATTTATTTTTTTTCTTTTTTGAGACAAAGTCTTGCTCTGTTGCCTAGGCTGGAGTGCAGTGGTGCGATCTGGGCTCATTGCAACCTCCACCTCCCAGGTTCAAGCGATTCTCCTGCCCCAGCCTCCTGAGTAGCTGGGATTACAGGTGTCCACCACCATGCCTGGCTAATTTTTGTATTTTTAGTAGAGATGGGGTTTCACCATGTTAGCCAGGCTGGTCTCGAACTCCTGACCTCAGGTGATCTGCCCACCTTGGCCTCCTAAAGTACTGGGATTACAGGCCTGAGCCACTGTGCCTGGCCTAGTTTCCTTATTTGTAAAACAGTAATAATATCTACTTTAAGAGATAGCCTCCTAACTCTGTATAATTATAGGATGTTAATAAAAATTTAGAAAAATAAGAGTCCCATAAAATTAAAACTTTTCATTTAGAAACCCTGGAGAGTTGCCTACCCATTTATGTTTATTAATGACTTATAAAAATATTATGACACAAATTTCATATTTTGTTTAAGCCTCTGTGAATGGAATTATCTTCTAGTTCTTTTTACCCTATGGGTTATAGAGCTAGTCTAGCTAGTGGAACTGGTTTATCTAAGTCATCCTGCATATTGAGTTCATTACTCCAACAAATATGAACATGAATGCCAAGAGAGTAAAAAGGAAACATTCTTTCCACTCTTTTTACAGTCTGGGATTTAAATTGTGTCCACATGAAGGGGTTGGAATTGCTCTACACATCAGATAATGATTAAAGTAAAGGAAACTAGAAGCCTGACTATATTGTAAAGTCAGCATGTCTACAGCGCTGTGGTTGGGTTCAACATGTGTGAATTGATTTTGGATTTTGGAGTCTCTTTTCATGCCAAATGGATGATTATCATGCTTGGTTTATCACAGCCCAAGCAAAAAGGACATAATAGCGACACAATGAATTATCCTTGAGGATGAACTTCCTTGAGAACAAACGTGATCAGTAGGCAAAACACAGGAGGAAGATTTTTATGTATTTGTTAAGTTATATTTAATAAGACTTTAAAACATTTTGACCTAGTTAAATAATGCAAAAGTCATCATTAACTGCTTATGAAAAGGTATAGCATATTTGTGAAAAAAATCTGATTTCTTAAATTTGTTGTTGTAACTACATTTTCAAATTTTTTGATTTTTAAATTATTACATTTGGAAAAAAGGTGGCATACATAGTGAACTAAAGATTTATATTTTGATATTTGTAAGAAAATGTTCTCTATAATTTCTAATTATAAAACTTTTACATATGCTATATTCAGTTTTTTAAAAATCTATAATAGACTTTCTAAATTTTTCTTTTTAAGTTTGTCTCTTTTAAAAGTTTTCTTCCTGCTGATCTATTAAAAAATCTTGAGGGAACTTATTTTATCTAGATAAAATAAAAATATTCATTTTGCAGCTTTACAATTACCTTGTCTTAGAGTTCCATGCTTTGGGACTTTACAGATGAAACACCTTATAAAGAGAGCTATTTGACATTATAGTAAGTAAACCCTCCTCATGTGTTCAAATGTGATCTGCTTTATATGAATTCTGCAGCATAGTAAGTGTTTCTAAGTCATTCAGCAATGGATAGTTTAATTACTGAAGTGGTAATATAATTTTAAAGGACTTTTAAAAACATATTTCTAATTGGACATTTTCGAAAGTATGTAATGAGCAGCTATATCCATTTTTTTTTGCTGTTACTTTATAATATTTAAACACCTACAAATGCCCAGTGTGCCAAATACTATATGAACTTATAAGTGGGGAAAACAAATGAGCCCATCTTCCATATCTTTCATATCACTATCTGCTTTGCCTAAGGGGCTTGGGATAGATTTCCTATAAGTAGTAAGTAAACTGGATTCTCTGGAGGAAGAAGAAAGCTGAGTAATTGTGTCCATGTAAAGTACAGATATTGGTATAACTTTTTTTCATCAGAGTTGAATAACACTTTTTTTCTGTATTGTTTTTTGACAAGTAGTATCTATTTTGGCAAATGTAACTATTAAATTATAGAATTACTGTACTGAGTTACAGTTAGATAGGCTTATAAACAATGAGTCCAATCCATATGCTTCGTGTGATAGCTAAGGAAACTTAAGCCTGAGCAGGTGTTTACTCAAATCACAACCTCCATCAGTAGCAGAGGTGGAGATGAATCTTGGTCTTCTGGCTTCCAGACTTCAGATTTCGATTTTGAATACCAAGTGTAAGCAATTCCAAATGTTTTATCTGGTGCTTAGTTTTGATTATAAAAAAAGTCATTAAAATATTCTGAGACTTGAGTATTGTAATTCCTTTTCAGGTTTTTTAAATTAACTCTTCACCATTAGTATTATGTATTTTACTTCTTACAATGTTTATATACAGCAATTAATTTTTCTTTTTTTTTTCCTGCAGGAGAAGCTAACCTTCCTTCACACCTTATATCAGCACTTGGTAGCAGGCTGTGTGCTCATAAAACAACCAGAAGGCATGCTGGATAAATTCTCTTGGTCTGAGCTTTGTGCAGTCTTACAGGAGAATGTTGATGCCCTGATTGCAGACCTCAACAGGGCTAATGAGAAGGTAACTGTCCTCAGGCACCAGATACCTCTATTAAATTCAGTGACATTTGTCCACATCACAGTATCATTAAGAGGGGCTGACATTCATCTTATTTCAAAAAGAATTTGGATGTTAATAATTCAATACCATTAATTATGGCTTGTCTACAACTCAGTTTGATGCCATTGCTGTGGGCATGTAAATGTGACTGAAGTCTGTATGAAGTCTCTAAGCTCCACTTTCTGTGCAGGACATGCTAATACTACTAGCCAGTATTAGCCACAGGGACCTAATTAAAAGAAAATAAATTAATCTTACTGATGAAGCAATTCAAAGACCTTAGTCATTTACATTAATAAACCAACTCTTTATGTTAGCATAAAATAGAAGCAGGATATAGTTATTCAAAAACATGATCTTAAAATTCTTTGCTTAGGAAATATAAGGTGTTATTTTTAAAAGCTTAAACATTTTAAATTATATGCTTATGATTTGCTTCTCGAAATACAACAAAATGTATATTAGAAAACTCACTCCATGCTTTAGACTGCAAAAAGTGTATTTTATAGGAGAATATAGTAGACCTTTATGGTAACATTACTATCTCACAAGTCTAGGAAATCAGTCTCCAACAAATGTTTAAAAACCTGCTTTTGGTCATAGAAAATTACAGTGGCTTAGCAGATCAACATATGCCACCATTAAAGACACATTGGTTCTTATCCTGGGTCTATTGAACTAGTCAGTACTGTGTTTATGTGGTTTAGTTTCCAGGTCTTAGTTGCAATGACATGTGCTCTTAAGGGACAAGAAGAGAAAAACTGTCCCGTAAGTTAAAAAAAAAAATTCTGTTGAAGTAATAAAACAGCATATTGACCTAATTTCAGGGTGATATTTTTTATTATTGAGCATTTTATCTTGGTCCTATTGACAAACACAACCATAGACACTGAGAAGTAGGGCTAGGAAATGAGGGAATAAATTGTGAAAGGCACAGATGCTATTCTTGATTGTGAATGTGTACATAATGGATTTGAAAATTAAAGATAATTAAAATGAATGTGTTTTAACCCTATGAGATGGTATTATATTTTCAATAGTTTTCATTGTTTCAAAACATCCTTAATAGTCATACATTTTAGAAAATGAGGATTTTCTTTCCAGAGTTTGAATGTGAAACAAAAAATGGTTAGAACATTCTGCTTTATTTCATGTAAACTGTTTGCAGATTTTTAAATCTTACTTACTTTTTTTCCCATTGAGATATTTGAATAGCTTGAGCTTTGGTTCCAGAAGTAACAGTATCTTTCTCAATCTCAATCAAATTAATTATAGAATAAGTAACTTCATTAGAAAGAGAAGATGAAAAATTTGCCATCTAAATATACAAGTAACACAATTTTCTGCTAACGTGTGGCAGTTTACACTGCTATTTTCTTTTTTTAAATTTCTTTATTTACATTTTATGTTAAAATTTTTATATGATCTTAAGGAATAAAATATAGTAGGACATTTTGGGTATTTTATTGGGGGAGATGACACAAAGAAATAGCTTGTGAGCATATTTCCTTCTCTGTTGCATCTCCCCGTATAGATAAGGCATCTAGAGTATATCTGTAAAAACAAGTCTGACACGATGAGAGAGCTTCAGCAGACTCAGGAAGACACCTTTACCAAAGTGGCAGAACAGATCAAAGCCCAAGAGAGCTGCTGGCACAGACAAAAGAAGGAACTAGAGCTGCAGTATTCTGAACTCTTCCTGGAGGTGCAGAAGAGGGCACAGGTATGCTACCTTTACAAAGAGCTTTAAAAAATGGGTTACTCAGTGTAACCATTAGAAACTTTTTTTTTTTCAGTAGCAGTGCTAAATCAGTTTAAACTTCTTAAGAACTTCGTAGAACTTGTTTAGATACACATATATTTGTTTAGATACACACACATACGTGTGTGTGTATGGGTGTGTATATTAAGGATTGTCTTTCATGTAAGTTTGGAAATATATGGGTTTCTGATTAAAATATCCCAAAATGCATTGGTCAGTTAATTAAATGCGAAAATTATATTTCCTTTATTTATTTTTAAAATAAAATATTAAAGTATTTGGTAATGTATTGTCAGTTTTAGTGTAGGTATTCCTTTATCTGGTTTACTCCATTTGTGGAGGTTCCTATGTGAACCATCATTTAAATTTATTTGGGGTTAAAATCTCCTATGCCTGCTGATATTATATAAGGTTATATTATATAACTGATATTATATAAGGTTATAGTTGTAGGCCATGTAGCAAAAGTAATTCACTATGAGTTGTATTATGTATTATATCTTGATTGAGAGTAGAAGTTATGGGTTAACATAACCATGTATTTTTTCTACACAAATTATCATCAACATTATTTATATTGTTAACTATCATCTTCACCTAATCAGGAATAACTTGATGATAGGGTATACTTTTTTGGCATTGAATTTATTAATAGGTCACTTTTGTTCCTAAGTTAGGATACTTAGGAACCAGAAGGTTGTATATTCTTCCCATGGTTGATTTGGTATTTAGCCTCTTTATTTGATCCATTCATGCTTATATTGGCAAGTCTAATTAAAAATAACCAAACTATATAAATATATATACACACACATACATAAATAAAATTATTATTATTATATTAAATCAGGTCATTCTGTATCCCCAAATTTAAAGGTCCTATATGAACTTATGCCTTTCTATATGAATTTGAATGAATCAACAAACGTGCCATCTAAAAGTAGTAATTTTTTCATTGTATGCAGATTACTATATTATATGCTCTGCATTTTCTAATATTGAAGTAAAAGAGCTAAACAATTTTAATTTTGTAGAGGTAGCATTGATATACAGTGACATGCACAAATCTTAAGTGTATAATTTGATGTTTTTAAAAAGTATTTATTTGATATGTAATATTTGTACATATTTATGGGGTACATGTGATATTTTGATATATGCATAGAATGTGTAATGCTCAAGCCAGAGTAAGATATCTATCACCTTGAGCATTTATCATTTCTTTGTGTTGGGAACATTTCAAATCTTCTCTTCTTGCTATTGTGAAATACACAATATATTGTTGTTAATAAAGTCACCTTACTGTGCTTTTGAACACTAGACCTTATTCCTTCTATCTAACTGTATTATTGTACCCTTTAACCTACCTCTCTCCATCCCTTTCCTCCCCCAACACACCCTTCCTAGACTGTGGTAACTACAATTTGATGTTTTGATCAACATAAACACCCATGTGATCATTACCCCATTTAAGACTTCAAACATTTTCATTACCCTAGAGTGTTCTCATGTTCTCTCTTCCAGTCAGTTTTACGCCTCATAGGCAACCATTGTTCTGATGCCTGTCATGTAGATTAGTTTTCACCTGTTCTTGAATTTCATGTAAGTGGAATCATTCAATAGTCTGGTGATTGACTAATTTCACTCAATATTAATGTTCCGAGCATAATGTCATTTACGTTGTTGTGTGAATCAGTACTTCATTCTTCTTTATGGTCACTAGCGTTCCATTTTATCACAGCACCACTATTTGATGGATTGTGGGTTGATGGATATTTGAGTTGTTTCTGTTTTTTAAATATTGTAAGTAAAATTGCCACAAACATTATTGTACAAGTCTTTTGTCAACATATGGTTTTATTTCTCTCGCTTAATTACTAAAGTGCAGTTGCCAGGTCATGGGATATATGTGTGTTCATAAGAAACTGTCAAAAGTTTCTAAAAAATGCTTGTGTCATTTTTTATTCCCACCAGCAACACATGTAAGTTTCCATTGTTCTACATCCTCTGCAGCACTTGGTATTGTCAGTCTTTTAAATTTTAGTCATTATAGTGGTTTTAAAATGGAGTTTCATTGTGATTTAAAGTTGCATTTTTTTGGTAATTCATGATGCTGAGCACCTTTCATATACTTATTGGCTATTCACATATCTTCATTTGTAAAGTATCTCTTCTACTGTTTTCTCATTTAAAAAATAGAGATATTTGGTTTTTATTATTGATTTCTAAGAGTTCTTTACATATCCTGGATACATATCCTTTGTCATGTATATGCATCACAATATTTTCTCTGAATCTCTTGCTTGCCTTTTCAGTGTTTCTTTTGATGATCATAAGTTTTAAAATTTTGATGAAGTCCAACTTACAAATCTTTTTCTCTTTTGGCTATTTGTTTATATATGTGAAATGATTTTTCCTTACTTCAAGGTTGGGAAGATAATGTCTTGTTTCTTCTAGAAGTTTCATAGTTTTAGCTTTTACGTCTAAGTTTGTGATCCCTCTCAAATTAATTTTTGTGTGTGCTGTTAGGAAGAGTTTCATTTTTTCCCTCTTCATTTATTGTTCCCACTTCACTTGTTCAGCACTTTCCTAGCTGAATAGCCTTGGTACCTTTGTGAAAAAACAGTTGGCCATATTTAGAAACCACAGACTTGTCCATCTATATAGTTTTGCCCTCTCCAGAATGTCATATAAATGGACTCATACAGTATATAGCCTTTTGGGTCTGGTTACTTTCACTTAGCAAAATATATTTGAGATTCAGTCACATTGTTGCATATATCAGTAGTTAATTCCTTTTTACTGCTGAATAATGTCCCATTGTATGGCTGTAAAATTTTATCCAAATACTTGCTGATGGGCCTTTGGATTGCTTTTAGTTTTGGCAATTATGAGTAGAGATGCTTTAAACATCCATGGAAAGGTTTTTGTGTGATCATAAATTTTCATTTCTCTTGGGTAAATACCTAGGAGTTTGATTTCTAGATTATATGGTAAGTGTATATTTATATGGTTATATGGTAAGTGTAACTTAAGCAACTATTAAGTTGTTTTTCCAAGTGACTATATCATTTTGCACTCTCACTAGCAATGTAAGAGATTTTGATTTGGTCTGCACCTGTGCCAACATATGACTTCATCATTTTTTTCTTTTGAATTTTAGCCATTATAATAGGTGTGTAATGCCATGTCATTGTGATTTCGATTTACATTTTCCCTACTGCCTAATAAATTAATCATTTATTTATGTGTTTATTTGCTATCTGTATATCTTTTTTGGTGAGTTATCTGTTCAGATATTTTGCTCAGTTTTTAATTGGATTGTGTGTTTTCTTATCGTCAAATTTTGAGAGTTATTTACATACCGGAGGTTCAGGTCATTTTTCAGATACATGATTTGTAAATGTTTTCTACTGTTCTCTTAGCAGTACTTTTGCAAAGCAAATGTTTCAAATTTTTATGACCCATTTATCAATTTTTTTATGGGTTATACTTTTGATATTACATGTAAGAACTCTTTGCCTAAGATTATAGGCACCATTTTTTTCCCTATATGTTTTATAGTTTTAGGTTTTACATCTAGGTCTATGATCAATTTTGAGTTAGTTTCTGTAAAGGTGTGAGGTATCGATTAAGGTCAGTTTTTTTTTTTTTTTTGCGTATTCATGTCCATTCCAGTAACATTTATTGAAATCACTGTCCTTTATTGAATTGCCCTTGTACCTTTATCAAAAATCAGTTCACTGTTTGTGTCAATCTATCTCTAGACTTTCTTGTCTGTTCCATTTATTTATGTGTCTAATTCTTTTTTTCTTTCAATACTATACTGATTTAACCTTTTACTAAGTTTAAAATCAGGTAGTGTGAGTCTTCCAACTTCTTTTTTCATCAATGTCCTGAACTCTTTGAAAATCTACCAGAAGGCATAGCAATTCACTTTTTTCTCTTTTTGAGACACTTTCGCCCTGTTGCCCTGGCTTGAGTATGGTGGCACAGTCACGGCTCACTGCAGCCTTAACCTCCTGTGCTCAAGTGGTCCCCCACCTCAGCCTCCCAAGTAGCTGGGACTGTAGGCATGCACTACCATGCCTAACTAATTTTATTTTTAAAATTTTTTTGTAGAGATGAGGTCTCACTATGTTGCCCAGGCTGGTCTCCAACTCCTGGCCTCAAGTGATCCTCTTTCCTTGGTCTCCCTAAGTGTTGTGATTACAAGCGTGAGCCACTGTACCCAGCTGCAGTTCATTTTTTGAAGTAAGAGAATCAGTCATCACAAATGCTAATGTTTTAGGAGAAGCTCTCATTGAAGACTTTTCTCTGAAGAATGTGTAATACCTTAGTCTTTGACCCATCTGTATACAAATGGAAATGATCATTTTAATTATCTGTAAAAGTACATTACTATTATAAATTGGAGGCTGAGTGTGGTGGCTCATGCCTGTAATCCCAGCACTTTGGGAGGCCGAGGCAAGTGGATCACCTTGAGGTCAGAAGTTTGAGACCAACCTGACCAACATGGAGAAACCCCGTTTCTACTAAAAGTACAAAAAATTAGCCAGGCGTGGTGGCGCATGCCTGTAATCCCAGCTACTTGGGAGGCTGAGGCAGGAGAATCACTTGAACCCAGGAGGCAGAGGTTGCAATAAGCCGAGATTGCGCCATTTCACTCCAGCCTGGGCGAAACTCCAACAAGAGCGAAACTCCATTTAAAAATAAATAAATAAATAAATAAATAGGCATATATTCTGTATTATTTATGTACATATTTGCTTTTTTATCAAATATAATTGAATACACTGCAGCAATTTATTTTGGTATTATGTTTGATAAACTGTTATTATAATACATATTATAGGACCTGTAAATTTTATTTTAGGAAATTTTGTTATGATTAATTCTATATCTTTTACCACCAAAAGTGCAATGCAAATAAAAAATTTTCATTTTACATTACTTAATACATTTTCAAAAATTATGTTGATAAGGACATGAGGGGAAAAAATCCGCAGTTGTTATATAGGATTGTGAGTTATAGAGGATGTTTGGTGTCAGATGAGCATAACCATAAGTATATTCCATCTGCTGGGAAACAAATGACCTATTCTTAGAGTCTTATGTTTAATATTTGGCCATTGTAAAGAAGCAATTAGTAAAAGACACTAAATTAAAGTAAAAAACAATATTTGGATTTGATTGCTTTTATCTGAAAAAATGTAGTAGATGTTAGAAAAGTAGTGTTTGTAAGAATCTAATATTTCTAAGACTTTTTTAATGTCGAAGCTTTAAAACAGTTAGTGTAAATGCTACTAGAAAAATGAAATTTGTAGAGAAGGCAGACTGGTTTTACTATCACAGCATGTCTTTAGCACTGGGTAAAGTTTGCTAGCCACATGTTGGGTAATTCTTGAATTTAAATACGTTGAGCCATCATGTAAATATATCTCAAGTGTCTATGCCTACTAAAGTATCTGGGCCCAGTGCCACATACCATTCCATTTACTAACTTTGTTTTTGTAATCTTAGCATTTATGTTCTTGTTTCTTTTCTATTTGAAAAAGATAGTTATTGGAACAAGGACTTCCTTTCTAGAAGTAAAGTTTTTTTTTTACTGTCAGTTAATTAAGGGTTACCCTTGATGTAATGTTTATTGTAAACACTTTAGATTTATTTGACATTTTAGTAAAATCAAGTGAGTTTAGAATGGAGAACAAAACTCAGGGAGATTCAGGTTCATCATGCTATATTGCATTTTATTCTTCTTTTACTGTGGTATTGAGAGTGTATTTGGCAAGGAATCCAGGTGAGTCATAAAAGTGTTATTAGATGTTGAAACTTTTTTCTTCATAATTGAACTCCAAGAATATTCAGAGATAAAGTGGAGCTTATTGATATTGTTGGAGGTGATAATTCCTTAAGGTATACACGCCAGCCTGCAGCGATTCAGAGAGTTAGTTACAATCACGTGTACACTATGTTCTGATAGACTGTGAGTCCATGGGAATGGATACCTCTAATGAAATTGTGGAAGAGACTTCTGACTACTTTTCAAATAATTGCTTTAGAAATTGTTTTTGTTAATTATAATATTAGCAGTTGAATTGGCGTGGTGCTTGATATAATTTTCAATGCTTTTGCATATTTTGTATGTCTCTCCTTATGTAAGCCCTACCACAGGCATATGAGATAGGTCATTTAAGTATCATTTCTATTTTACAAGCGAGGAATCTGAGGTTCAGACAACTGATACTACTTACTTGTGTAGTAAGGAAGTTCTAGGGACAGGATTAGAAGAAACATAACCATATGTGAAATGTCTAGCCCATTGCTTGGCATTTAGAAATTACAAAGTGAATGTTATGGACTGTTTTAGTACGTTTTTACCATCCTTATCTTCCAGTCCCTTTTGCATTATATTGTAATACTGCTTCTTTTAGAAATATATGCTATTTTTATATATAAAGCAATATCTGAAAATAGGTATAGTGATACCTCAGTTTCATATTTATGGAACTCATATTCCTTTTTTTTTTGGAGCTAGTACCTCACTACATTGCCTAGACTAGAGGTCAGTCGTGCGATCATAGCTCACTGCAGCCTCAACCTCCCAGGCTTAAGAGATTCCCCCACCTCAGCCTCCCAAGTAACTGGGACTACAGGGCACGCCACCATGCTCTGCTGATTTTTGTATTTTTTAAGTAGAGACGGGGTTTCGCCCTGTTGTCCAGGCTGGCCCTGAACTCCTGGGCTCAAGCAGTACACCTGCTTTGACCTCCCAAAGTGTTGGAATTACAAATGTGAGCCACGGTGCCCGGCTCACATTTCTTTTTCTTTCTTTCTTTCTTTCTTTCTTTCTTTTTGAAACAGGGTCTCACTCTGTCACCCAGGTGGAGTGCACTGCTGCAGTCTCGGCTCACTGCAGCCTTGACCTCCTGGGCTCAGGTAATCCTTCCACTTCAGCTTCCTGAGTAGCTGAGACTATAGGCATGCACCGCCACACCTGGCTAAGTTTTTGTATTTTTTCGTAGAGATTGGGTTTTGCCATATTTTCGCAAGCCATCTGCCTGTCTTGGCCTCTCAAAGTGCTGGGATTACAGGTGTGAACTACTGTGCCTGGCCAGAACTCACATTTTTAAGTGATTCTTGATTAATGTTTAAACATGATAATGTATGAAAAATCTAAATAGTGCTACATTGTCAGCCACCCACAAATGGTAGTTCTCTTAATTTGTATTTCTCGGATTTTTTTTTTCTGAGAAACTGAAGTTTTAATACACTATATCATAAATTGCTACTGTAGATAAGAATATCAAGATAATTTTTACATAATTTAGTTAATATTAATAAAAAACTATATATGTTATATACCAAATATATAGCACACTGTGTTGCATGCTGTGGTAGTAACAAAGAGGTATACTATATATTTTTTTCCTCAAAAAGTGTAAAATATAATTGGGGAGATACATGAAAAAGTAAATAATACAAGGTTTATCATAGGCTGTACATAATTAGTTGCCAAAAGAATGCTATACATTTAGAAGAGGAGATAGATGGTCAAAGTTTGAGGAGGCTTAGCAGAGGAGACTGGAGCCAACCTGGGCCCTGTTGCCAGGATCTGAAAGCACAGAAAGAAGGGAGATATAGGACACATCAGAATTTAGAGGTAATATTGCTAATTTTCCACAGTCAGAGGTAATATCTCTTAACAGTAAGCAAACCAGACATCTTGCCTGTATTGACATATTTATTCCCAGTCTTCCGATAAAAAGAACTCTGTTCTTTTGAGGGTATGGCTTATCCAAAGGGTATTTTATAATTTACAGTGCTTTAGAAACAAAACAATAAACCCAGGCACATACTATTTTTGGCACATATTTTTGATGTGTTAAATTTACGTAATGAAGATAGTGTTTTAAAATTAAATAACCATTATGGGGCTTGAGAATGTGTGTGTGTGTATGAAGACTAGATAATAGGATTGCTAGATCATATGATAATTCTATGTTTAACTTTTTGAGGAACTGCCAAACTGTTTTTGAAAATGGCTGCACTATTTTACAATCCCATTAGCAATGTCTGAGAGTTCCAATTTCCCTACAAAGTGTCCTTATTTTTTAACAGAGAAACATTTACATAATAGAGAAAGCAGGTGAATTTATGTTTGTTATATTTTTAAATATTACCATAGCTTAAAAAGGCAAGATATGAAACTTATAAAAATAAGACACTTTAAATGAAGTCCTTTGATGTCTATATGCCATTGAATGTCCAGTGTGCAATTTGCCTTTTTGCCAACATAAAGAGCAAGAACTCAGCAAGCAAGAGTGATACAAAAGAATTTTACTCCCTAGGGAAGTGTCTAATTTCTGGCCCAGAGTCTCAAAGTTCACAGAGTGCTGTAAGCCAGTAAGGCATCCCTCAAAGTTCATGTATTTCAGGAAGTAAGTCCGTGATTCATTAAGGAAAAAAGCTGTCCTTTTTCCACATTATGGATGCACTTTGAATTTATTAGAGAGTAAAGGAAAACTGGTGAAATTATGTAGTATTTTTGTTATGCTATTGAATTTTGTGTAAAAGGTATGCATTCTATATTTTTAGGTTTTTTTCTTCATGATCGGAATGTTTTTATGGGGGAATTTGAGAATATTATTTTTCGAAATTAAACACACTGAGGAGCAGGTTATTTCAGTACTAGGAATGCTTTTGTCCCATATGAAAGCGATGTTCCTTATGTTTGTTTTAAAAATACTGGCCTTTAATCTCCTTGGGTGGAAAACATTCGATTTTTTTTTTTAAAGCAAATTTGCTCTATAGCTGTTTCCACCCTTACAATCAAACAGGCTTTGTTCTTCAAGAATAATTCACAGTAAATAATGCAATACCTCTGAAAGTAGTTCCCTATGGAAAGTCAGAATTAATTTAAACCAGAATTCTGACATGTAGATAAGTTCCAAATTACATTTGGAAATTTTGTTTTTTTAAATTATATTTTTCTTTTTTCTAAGCCTTTACACTCTAAAGCTTTTTTCATTAATTGGGCATTTATTCAGTGTCTATTATGGGCAAAACACTGTGCTAAGCAAAGTCAGGGATGATTTTATAAAGGGTTATTTAATTCCTTCAATATTTATTAAATACCTACAGAGTATAGAGCACTGTGACAGACACTATAGTAAATAATTCCTAACCTCTAGGAACTAGCAATCTTGTATTTGAGGGAGAGTAGATATACACACATGAAATAAATAAGTAGTGTAGAAGTTAAATGCCTGAGTGACCCTTACTTAAGTTCAGAGAAGGTCAATATCAGTGTGAAGGAAAATGATAGTAAAATGAGTCATAGAATAGACAGAACCTGAAATGGGCTCTGAAGATTGTTAGTATTCAAATAGTGTTAGGGGAGATCGAAGGCAAAGGAGCCGGGTGTTCTACAGAACATGTTAAATTGTGAAAAGTAGTGGTGAGGCTAATGCCTGTATACTAAAGGAAGAGATCAACTTCTTGTTCATCAGGTTGAGGACAGTGGGAGAAGGTGAATTCTTTACTGGGGAAGACGTGGGGATGTTGGTACCTGAGGGGAGAACCTTAGTTCAGTAAAGACAAAAAAGTTAGGTGATAGAATTAGATAAACCCAGCTGAAGGAGTGTGGGCAAATTGTGTAACTTCTCTAAACCTCAATTTTATTATCAGTAAAACTGTGCCAACCTCATAGTTCAGTATAAGGATTTAAAAAAATATATGTAAAGCATTTAGAACAATGCCTGGAATATGAATAAGCACTATAATATTCAAACTATTCCTATTAAAATAGAGAAATAATAGGTCTCACAGTATCCACTGAGATTTGGGTTCTAGTAGGAGTGAATTGGAAACTTTGAGACAAAATTATTTATGTAATACCAATTTTTTTTTTTTTTTGATACCAAGTCTCACTCTGTCGCCCAAGCTGGAGTGCAGTGGCACGATCTTGGCTCACTGCAACCTCTGCCTTCTGGGTTCAAGTGATTCTCCTGCCTCAGCCTCCTGAGTATCTGGGACTACAGGAGCGTGCCACCATGCCTGGCTAATTTTTTGTATTTTTAGTAGAGATGGGGTTTCACTGTGTTAGCCAGGATGGTCTCGATCTCCTGGTCTTGTGATCCACCTGCCTTGGCCTACCAAAGTGCTGGGATTACAGGTTTGAGCCACCGTGCCTGGCCCTCCAATGTGTTTTTTTTAAATCTGTTAATTGATCTTCTCTTTTTATGCATCTGGATTTTTAGTTTTAACAATCCTATCTTTATAACAAGATTAAGTAATTTGCCTGTATTTTCTTCTAATATTTCTGTGGTTTCATTTTTTTTACATATAGATTTATGGTCTATTTGGAATTTACTTATGTATAAAATGTCAGGTATAGATCAACTTTTATATTTTTTTCCAGAAGGCCATCCAGTTATTTCACCACCATTTAGTCTGTCTTTTTGCTACTGCTTTGAATTGCTACCTTTATCATTGAAGTTTTTTTGTGCTTAGATCTGTTTCTAGCTGTTCTGTTCCATTGGTCTTTTTTTTTTTTATGTACAAATAACGTGATTTTTTAAATAGAGGTTTTTGTTTGTGTGTGTGTGTGTGTGAGACAGAGTCTTGCTCTGTCACCCAAGCTAGAGTGCAGTGGTGTGATCTTGGGTTGCTGCAACCTCTGCTTTTCAGGTTCATGCAGTTCTCCTACGTCAGCTTCCCAAGTAGCTGGGATTACAGGCCTGTGCCATCATGACTGGCTAATTGTTTTTTTGTATTTTAAGTAGAGACAGGGTTTCACCATATTGGCCAGTCTGGTCTAGAACTCCTGATCTCAGGTGATCCACCCGCCTTGGCCTCCCAAAGTGCTGGGATTACAGGCATGAGCCACCGTGCCCGGCCTTAATTAGAGGTTTTGTTGGTGTTTCAATATGTGGTGGGGCTGTTCCCCTCTCATTCCTCTTCTTTTTCAGGGTTAAACTCAGCTTGCCTAGCTCCAGAAAACAAACTGGTTTGTTTTTTGGTGGAATTGTACTACGTTTATCAATTTACTTAGGAATAATTGAATCTTTGTGATGAGTTAGGCTGTTGAAGTTTGAAGTATTATTTTGTGTCTTTCAACCATATTTAAAACTTTTCCTCATATAGATTTTTTACATTTCAGGCCAAATTGATTCCTAAATTATTATATCTTTTTTATTATGGAATTCTAAATGGGGTTTTCTCTTCCATTATTTTCTTTTTTGTTTATCTGTATATATTAAGGATATTGATATTTTAAATTGTGGTAAAATATGCATGACATAACATTTACCATTTTGATCCTTTTAAAGTATACAGTTCAGTGGCATTAAGTGTGTTCACAGTATTGCACAACCATCACCACTATTTAGCTCGTGAACTTTTCATCACTCCAAACAGAAACCCTGAACTCGTTAAGCAGTCACTCCTTATTCCTTCTTCTCCTCAGCCTCTGGTGACCAAAAATGTGTTTTCTGTGTCTATAAATTTTCCTAGTGTGTATATTTTGTATAAATGGAGTCATACAAATGTGGCCTTTTGTGTCTGGTTTCTTTCTCTTAGCGTAATTTTTCAATTTATGTTGTACCATGTATTAGTACTTCATTCCTTTTTATGGCTGAATAATATTCTGTTGTGTGGATATACCACATTTTGTTTATTCATTCATCCTCTGTTAGGCATTTGTGTTTTTCCTACCTTTTGGCTATTGTGAATAATGTTGCTGTGAACAAGAAGCTATTGATTTTTTTGTATGTTAATTTAATATATTTTAACCTTACTGACTTTTTTTTCCTGTTTGAATTCTGTCATTGGATCTTTTGCTATTTCTAGATTTATGATCAAATTTTCTACAAATGGAGATAGTTTTACTTCTTCTTTGCCAATTCTTATGTCTCTACTTGCTTTTTGTTGCCTAGTTGTACTGGCTAATAACACACCAAATACAATGTTAAATACTAGTGGAGATAGTGGGTGTTCTTGCATTGCTCCGGAACTTGGTAAAAAATGCTTTAGGTTTTTCTCCATTATTAAGATACTGACTTTAGGATACAGTGTCTCTATCTCTACCTGTATCTACATGCACAATTTTTATTGTAATTTTATGTGTAATTTTTGTTGAAAACACTTTTGCCTGAGACACTGAGGTTCACTTTTATTTTCACTTATCTAAGTGTTGCTAGTTTGCCTCTTGTATTTTCTAGGTTTTCTGTAATTTTCTTTTTTTTCTCTAATTGAACAGATGAAATTGATTTTGAAGAGAATATGGAATCAACCTTTGTGATGTCCATTTGTTCCCCTCATCCTACTCCCAACTGCTGCAACTCTACTGCTAACCCTGGCTATCTTTATTATGTTTCTGATTCTCACATCCCTTTACTAAGAATAGGGACAGTTCCAGGATTTTATGGCTTCTCATACCTCTCTAGATAAAGTTAAGTTTCTTAGTGTAGCACATAAGGTACTCAGTCCTCTGTTATCTGTGTACTTTTCAAATTTCCATCCTTTCTCTCATTTCTTCAGGTATTCTGAATTATTTGCATCCTTAGAGCATACGATGCTGTTTTCTGCCTCTTCCTTTTCCTCATGCTAGTCTTCCTGCTTTAATA
Organism: Homo sapiens; assembly: GCF_000001405.40. NCBI lineage: Eukaryota > Metazoa > Chordata > Mammalia > Primates > Hominidae > Homo > Homo sapiens. The sequence goes on from NC_000009.12 coordinate 15,742,467, forward strand.
TAGCTATAAGCCAAGTGTCAAGTTTTATTTTTCCTTGAAGTGTGCCTGCTTTAAGAGGGTTGTCGCACATCCTCTTGCAAGCAGTCTGCGTAGCTACTGCTTCTCAGAGTTCCTTGCTTCTTTTAGCACTCCCTGTGGGCCACCACTTGCTTTACTAATGGTCTTTATGTGGAGTTCTGGGACATAGTCCCATTGATAGAATATGGCTGCCAAAGTTTAAGTGCCCTTTTGTACTCCTCTGGCAACCTGGAATATCTCTATCATAGCATTATACCATGCTAGTTGATTTACTTGTCTCTTTTCCGAGTACATGTGATTTAGTAACTAATCAATACTTTTTTTTTTCTTTTTTAATAGAAACAGGGTCTTGCACTGTCACCTAGGCTGGTCTCAAATTCCTGGACTAAAGAGATCCTCCCACCTTCACCCTCTTGAGTAGCTAGAACTATACACATACCACCCTACTTGGCTGATATTTTTAAATTTTTTTTTTGTAGAGACAGGGTCTTAGTCTGTTGCCCAGGTTGGTCCTAAACTCCTGCCCTCAAGTGATCCTCTCACCTTGGCCTCCAAAAGTGCTGGGATTATAGGTGTGAGCCCTTATGCCTGGCCCCAATAAATGTTTATTGAATAATAAGTGAATAGTAAAGGAAACTGGGATCTGTTACCTTCTTTTTTTTTTTTTTTTTTTTTTTTTTTTTTTTTTTTTTTTTTTTTGAGACAGCGTCTTGCCCTGTTACCCAGGCTGGAGTGCAGTGGCATAATCATGGCTCACTGCAGCCTCAACCTCCTGGATTCAATTGATTCTCTGACCTCAGCCTCCCGAGTAGCTGTAACTATAGGTGTACACCACTATTCCTGTCTTAATTTTTTTTATTTTTTATTTGTGGAGATGGGGTCTTGCTATGTTGCCCAGGATGGTCTCAAACTCTTGAGCTCAAGCAATCCTCTTGCCTCAGCCTCCCAAACACTGGGATTACAGGCGTGAGCCATTTTGCCTGTCCCTTCTTAATTTTACTCTTTCTTTCAAGATTCCTTACTGATTAGGTTAAGATTTCATAGAGAGAGCCAATTTATTTTCTAGTGATTAATTGTGGTTCTTACAGTTAAATTTCTTTTTATTTCAAATTAAGTTTTGGATTGTAAGCAACTTGATTAGGCAAAAAGGAGCAGAGGGCTGCTGAGGCCCAGCTCACAATTAGTATTTCCTGTCACCACTGGAGATGCACTGTGTATAGCTTTCTGTCATGGGGAGGTAAGACAGAAACTGAAATTAAGTGAGTATCCTTGAGAGACAGTGCCTTCTCATGCAGTAAATGGTAGACCATGCTATTTGTTATATCATTGATTGAACCGGTTGCTTATTTTGGTAAAAAGTAAAGTCTTTTTTACATCTAGGAAACCCTCTATTGGCAGTGTCATTTCTGTTTAAAAGTAGAAATGAAGAATTAGTGAGGAGTGGAAGAAGAGAAATTATACAGAGAAAGCATATTTTTCTTTTCTAAATTTGTGTGTTTATGTATAAGTCTACAGGAAATATATGAAATAGTCTTAAATTTATGTGTTCTACTTTACATAAAGCTTCTATGTGAGAGGATTTAAAAATCAATGTGCACATTCAGATCTAAGCTGTTTGGCTCACTGTTGCCATGTCTATCTTATTTATATTTTGGATATTTTAGCACATGTATCTTTTAAAGAGGAAGAAGTGGTTGTCAGCAAAAGTTTGTTTTCTTTGAGTAAAGGGAAATTAATATAATGCCTGTTTGTTTCATGATCAAATATATTTTTTGACTTCTTCCATAGAAATTTCAAGAAATTGCTGAAAAAAACATGGAAAAATTGAACCATATTGAGAAGTCACATGAACAGTTGGTTCTTGAAAATTCGCACTTCAAAAAACTGTTATCACAGACTCAAAGGGAACAGATGTCCTTGCTGGCAGCCTGTGCATTAATGGCTGGTGCCTTATATCCCCTCTATAGCCGATCATGCGCCTTGTCTACACAGAGAGATTTTCTCCAGGAGCAGGTCAACACCTTTGAGTTGTTCAAACTGGAAATTAGAACTCTAGCCCAGGCTTTGTCAACTGTAGAGGAAAAGAAGCAAGAGGAAGCCAAGATGAAAAAGAAAACATTCAAAGGATTGATACGTATATTTCGGAAAGGTGTTATTGCTGTTTTGGCAGCAAACAGACTCAAGATTTTGGGCCAATCATGTGCCTCTCTTTTTACCTGGATGGAGAGTTTCAAAGAAGGCATAGGCATGTTAGTGTGCACAGGAGAGCCCCAAGACAAGCATAAATTTCCAAGTAAGATAATTTCTGCTTTTAAAAATATAAGTTGCATGTAAGCGAAATACAGTGTGACTATACCTGGCTATTATGGAAAAACTCTTAAAAAATCATGTAATATGCCAAATAATATAACATAGTCTCCATATGTACGTATATGTGTGTATGGATAAGTGAATATTTTTGTATAAATTAGGCTGTGATTTTTTGTTTTAAACAGGTTAAAATATTAGGTGGCAAATATATATAATTTCAACTTTGTCTTGTTTTAGATTTGAATCCTCTGCAGTAAAGTGGAGAGTTTATACAGTGATTTTTCAGTTATGTCAATCAAAAACTGCCCTGTTTCAAATTACCAGTATAATTTATTTTCAGTTTCTATGAATAAGTATGAAATGGGTTAAAAATATATTGAAGAATTGTGTGAAAATGAGACAAATGTAAATTTTCCAGTTGTGTTTTGAATGCATAACTATTTTGAAGAAACAATTTGTTTTAATTTTTAAAAAGCAGACTATTAAGTAATATAAGTAAAACTAAAGAAAATTTGTTTTTTTCTGTTTATTTGGTGTCATTTACAGTTATTTGTAAATTAGGTCAAGCTAATCTAACATTTAATAGATTTTTCCACATTAGGCAATGTTCACAATAGGGTTTTATCTGTTTCTTAAATAGCTGAACACTGCTACGAATTTTAAATATAGATTTTAATAAAGTTTTGTAGAATTTTACAATGGATTTTTTCAATTTTATAGAACATCAAAAGGAGCAGTTGCGTTGTTTACAAGCGCTCAGTTGGCTCACCAGTTCTGACCTTCTTGCTGCAATAATCAGTTCTATGGCTGAATTACAAGACGTCATTGGTAAAGCAGGTATGGTTCCTTCTTTTATGTCCTTGCAAAATACATTTAAGAACAAATATCCAGAAATTCTTTATGTCACAAATTCTAATAAAACATATAGGGGGAAATATATTTGTTTTTATCTTTATTTTATTCAGTCATAGAGAGATTGTTAACTCTGTACTTAATGATGTAAATTAATATAAATTTTGTCTCTATTTATGGGGAAATGACATTTCTTGGTGAATGTATCCACCTTTTCTTTTTTTCTATCTGTTTTTCCTATGGAAAGCTCATCATCAGCTTTTTATTAAGTAATACTGGCAATGTTTTTTCATATGTTTTGGCCTTATTTCACTTCTACTTCTGGCTGTAAATTTCATAAGCTTGAGTAATATGAGAGCCAGTAGAAAATTTTTATCTCTCGTTTTGTGATATATTTTTTTACTTTTTCTAGTTTATTTTAGATGGAATTAATTTGGATAGTCTGCTCCTTTCCACCTGGTGTGGAACCACCTATTATCAGCAATTTACAAAAGTTTAAAATGCAAGTTTTTTTTTATGATTCGGATTGCATGATATTTTGTCTGACAGGTTCAATGAAAACTAATTGGACTAATTATGGTCATTTCAGACACATTAATTGTTAAAATTGTGTAATGGACTTAAGATTTGTCTGTTTAATGAAATGTAAGCCTATATGTAATGATAATTTGGGATTTAATTCTTAGACAATTCCACTGTGCAAATATAGATTATTCATTGTGATTTCAAATATCTAAACCTAGACTTTTGTAGTAGGAAACTTAAAGATTATTTTTAAGTTGTGGCCATCGATGTTGGTAAGCAATGCGCATATTTAATGTATTGGCAGAACCTCAAGATACTGGGTTTGAAGTCTGAAATAAAAGTCTAAACTAAATGTATTTTAAGAATTTTGGTATTATAACTTCAAAGCAAAACTGAACATTCTTGAAAGAGCTTAGAAATAGTTTTTAGATTTGGTTTAAGAAACAGGCGATTTGAGTGCTTCCAAGATGGCCAAATAGGAACAGCTCCGGTCTGCAACTCCAGCAAGATTGATGCAGAAGACGGGTGATTTCTACATTTCCAACTGAGGTACCTTGTTCATCTCACTGAGACTGGTTGGACAGTGGGTGCAGCCCACGGAGGGTGAGCTGAAGCAGGGCGGGGTGTCACCTCACCTGGGAAGCACAAGGGGTCAGGGGATTTTCGTTTCCTAGCCAAGGGAAGCTGTGAGAGACTGTACTGGGAGGAATGGTACACTTCTGCTCAAATACTCAGCTTTTCCCACAGTCTTCACAACTGGCAGAGCAGGATATTCTCTCCAGTGACTGGCTCGGCGGGTCCCATGCCCACAGAGCCCAGCAAGCTAAAATCCATTGGCTTGAAATCCTTGCTGCTAGTGCAGCAGTCTGAGAATGACCTGGGATGCTGGAGCTTGGCGGGGGGAGGGCGTCTGCCATTGCCAAGGCTTGAGTAGGTGGTTTTATGCTCACAGTGTAAACCAAGTTGCCGGGAAGCTCAAACTGGGCGGAGCCTACCGCAGCTCAGCAAGGCTGACTGCTTCTCTAGATTCCAGCTCTGTGGATGGGGCATATCTGATCAAAAGGCAGCAGCCTCATTCAGGGACTTATAGATAAAACCCTCATCTTCCTGGGACAGAGCCCCTGGGGGAAGGGGCAGCTGTGGGCACAGCTTCTGCAGACTTAAACATTCCCCTGCCTGACAGCTCTGAAGAGAGCAGTGGTTCTCCCAGCATGGTGTTCAAGCTCGAATAACGGGCAGACTGCATCCTCAAGTGGGTCCCTGACCCTCGTGTAGCCTGACTGGGAGACACCTCCCAGTAGGGGCCAACAGACACCTCTTACAGGAGAGCTCTGGCTGGCATCTGGCAGGTGCCCCTCTGGGACGAAGCTTCCAGAGGAAGGATCAGGCAGCAATACTTGCTGTTTTGCAGCCTCCGCTGGTGATACCTAGGCACACAGGGTCTGGACTGGACGTCCAGCAAACTCCAACAGATCTGCAGCTGAGGAGCCTGTTAGAAGGAAAACTAACAGACAGAAAGGAATAGCATCAACATCAACAAAAAGGACATCCACACCAAAACCTCATCTGTAAGTCACCAACATCAAAGACCAAAGATAGATAAAACCACAAAATGGGGAGAAACCAGAGCAGAAAGGCTGCAAATTCCAAAAACCAGAACACATCTTCTCCTCTAAAGGATCACAACTCCTCACCAGCAAGGGAACAAAATTAGACTGAGAATGACTTTGACGAGTTGACAGAAGTAGGCTTCAGAAGATGAGTAATAACAAACTTCTCCGAGCTAAAGGAGCATGTTCTAACCCACTGCAAGGAAGCTAAAAACCTTGAAAAAAGGTTAGACGAGTGACTAACTAGAATAACCAGTGTAGAGAAGAACATAAATGACCATCATGTTGAAGCTGCCAGGCTTCAAATGCATTACTCTGAGCAAGTGACTTAACCTCTCTGGGCCTCAATTTTCTGATGCAGCTGAAAAACACAGCATGAGAAATTCATGAAGCATACACAAGCTTCAGCAGCAGATTTGATCAAGCGGAAGAAAGTATATCCGTGATTGAAGATCAAACTAATGAAATAAAACGAGAAGACAAGATTAGAGAAAAAGGAGTAAAAAAAATGAACAAAGCCTCCAAGAAATAGGGGATTATGTGAAAAGACCAAATCTGTGTTTGATTGGTGTATCTGAAAGTGACGAGGAGAGTGGAACCAAGTTAGAAAACGCTTTTCAGGATATTATCGAGGAGAACTTCCCAAACATAGCAAGGCAGGCCAACATTCAATTTCAGGAAGTACAGAGAACACCACAAAGATATTCCTCGAGATGAGCAACCCCAAGACACATAATCGATAGATTCACCAAAGTTGAAATGAAGGAAAAAATGTTAAGGACAGCCAGAGAGAAAGGTCGGGTTACCCACAAAGGGAAGCCCATCAGACTAACAGCGGATCTCTTAGCAGAAACCCTACAGCCAGAAGAGAGTGGGGGGCCAATATTCAACATTCTTAAAGAAAAGAATTTTCAACTCAGAATTTCATATCCAGCCAAACTATGCTTCTTAAGTGAAGGAGAAATAAAATCCTTTACAGACAAGCAAATGCTGAGAGATTTTGTCACCACCAGGCCTGCCTTACAAGAGCTCCTGAAGGAAGCACTAAACATGGAAAGGAACAACTGGTACCAGCCACTGCAAAAACATGCCAAATTGTTAAGATGCTATGAAGAAACTGCATCAAGTAACGGGCAAAATAACCAGCTAACATCATAATGACAGGATCAAATTCACATATAACAATATTAACCTTAAATGTAAATGGGCTAAAGGCTCCAGTTGAAAGATTCAGACTGGTAAATTGGATAAAGAGTCAAGACCCATTGGTGTGCTGTATTCAGGAGACCCATCTCACACGCAGAGATGCACATAGGCTCAAAATAAAGGGATGGAGGAAGATCTACCAAGCAAATGGAAAGCAAAAAAAAAAAAAGCAGGTGTTGCTATTCTAGTCTCTGATACAACAGACTTTAAACCAACAAAGATCGAAAGAGACAAAGAAGGCCATTACATAATGGTAAAGGGATCAATTCAACAAGAAGAGCTAACTATCCTAAATATATATGCACCCAATACAGGAGCACCCAGATTCATAAAGCAAGTTCTTAGAGACCTACAAAGAGACTTAGACTCCCACACAATAATAATGGGAGACTTTAACACTCCACTGTCAACATTAGACAGATCAACGAGACAGAAAATTAACAGGGATAGCCAGGACTTGAACTGAGCTCTGGACCAAGCGGACCTAATAGACATCTACAGAACTCTCCACCCCAAATCAAAGGAATAAACATTCTTCTCAGCACCACATCACACTTATTCTAAAATTGACCACATAATTCGAAGTAAAACACTCCTCAGCAAAAGTAAAAGAACAGAAATCACAACAAACTGTCTCTCAGACCACACTGCAATCAAACTAGAACTCAGGATTAAGAAACTCACTCTAAACCGCTCAACTACATGGAAACTGAACAACCTGCTCCTGAATGACTACTGGGTAAATAACAAAATGAAGGCAGAAATAAAGATGTTCTTTGAAACCAATGAGAACAAAGACACAACATACCAGAATCTCTGGGACACATTTAAAGCAGTGTGTAGAGGGGAATTTATAGTACTAAATGCCCACAAGAGAAAGCAGGAAAGATCAAAATCAACACCCTAACATCACAATTAAAAGAACTAGAGAAGCAAGAGCACACAGATTCAAAAGCTAGCAGAAGACAAGAAATGACTATGATCAGAGCAGAACTGAAGGAGATAGAGACACAAAAAAACCCTTTAAAAAAAATCAGTGAATCCAGGAGCTGTTTTTTTTTTTAAAAGATCAACAAAATAGACTGCTAGCAAGACTAATAAGAAAGAGAGAAGAATCAAATAGATGCAATAAAAAATGACAAAGGGGATATCACCACTGATCCCATACAAATACAGACTACCATCAGAGAATGCTATAAAGACCTCTACATAAATAAACTAGAAAATCTAGAAGAAATGTATAAATTCCTGGACACATACACCCTCCCAAGACTAAACCAGGAAGAAGTCGAATCTCTGAATAGACCAATAACAGGTTCTGAAATTGAGGCAATAATTAATAGCCTACTCACCAAAAAAAGCCCAGGACCAGATGTATTCACAGCCGAATTCTACCAGAGGTACAAAGAGGAGCTGGTACCATTCCTTCTGAAACTACCCAATCAATAGAAAAAGAGAATCCTCCCTAACTCCTTTTATGAGGCCAGCATCATCCTGATACCAAAGCCTGGCAGAAATGCAACAAAAAAAGAGAATTTTAGGCTAATATCCCTGGTGAACATTGATGCAAAAATCCTCAATAAAATACTGGCAAACCGAATCCAGCAGCACATCAAAAATGCAAGGCTGGTTCAACATGTGCAAATTAATAAACATAATCCATCACAGAAACAGAACCAACCACAAAAACCACATGATTATCTCAATGGATGCAGAAAAGGCCTTCGACAAAATTCAACAGCCCTTCATGCTAAAAACTCTCAATAAACTAGGTATTGATGGAACGTATCTCATAATAATAAGAGCTGTTTATGACAAACCCACAGCCAATATCATACTGAATGGGCAAAAGCTGGAAGCATTCCCTTTGAAAAACGGCACAAGACAAGGATGCTCTCTCTCACCACTCCTATTCAACACAGTATTGGAAGTTCTGGCCAGGACAATCAGGCAAGAGAAAGAAAGGGTATTCAGTTAGGAAAAGAGGAAATCAAATGGTCTCTGTTGGCAGGTGAGATGATTGTATATTTAGAAAACCCCATCGTCTCAGCCCAAAATCTCCTTAAGCTGATAAGCAACTTCAGCAAAGTCTCAGGATACAAAATCAATGTGCAAAAATCACAGGCATTCCTATACACCAGTAACAGTCCAACAGAGAGCCAAATCATGAGTGATCTCCCATGCACTTCCAGTTGCTACAAAGAGAATAAAATACCTAGGAATCCAACTTACAAGGGATGTGAAGGACCTCTTCAAGGAGAACTACAAACCACTGCTCAACGAAATAAAAGAGGTCACAAATGGCAGAACATTCCATGCTCATGGATAGGAAGAATCAATATCGTGAAAATGGCCATACTGCCCAAAATAATTTATAGATTCAGTGCTATCCTCATCAAGCTGCCGCTGACTTTCTTCACAGAATTGGAAAAAACTACTTTAAATTTCATACGGAACCAAGAAGAGCCCGCATAGCCAAGACAATCCTAAGCAAAAAGAGCAAAGCTGGAGGTGTCAGGCTGCCTGACTTCAAAACAGTAATCAAAACAGCATGGTACTGGTACCAAAACAGATATATAGACCAATGCAACAGAACAGAGGCCTCAGAAATAACACCACACATCTACAACCATCTGGTCTTTGACAAGCCTGACAAAAACAAGCAATGGGGAAAGCATTCCCTATTTAATAAGTGTGCTGGGAAAACTGGCTAGTCATATGTAGAAAGCTGAAACTGGATCCCTTCCTTACGCCTTATACAAAAATTAACTCAAGATGGACTAAAGACTTAAATGTAAGACCTAAAACCATAAAAACGCTAGAAGAAAACCTGGGCAGTACCATTCAGGACATTGGCATGGGCAAAGACTTCATGACTATAACACCAAAAGCAATGGCAACAAAAGCTAAAATAGACAAATGGAATCTAATTAAACTGAGGAGCTTCTGCACAGCAGAAGAAACTATCATGAGAGTGAACAGGCAACCTACCGAATGGGAGAAAATTTTTGCAATTTATCCATCTGACAAAGGGCTAATATCCAGAATCTACAAAGAACTTAAACAAATTTACAAGAAAAAAACAACCCCATCAAAAAGTGGGCAAAGGATATGAACAGACACTTCTCAAAAGAGGACATTTATACAACCAACAAACATGAAAAAATGCTCATCATCACTGGTCATCAGAGAAATGCGAATCAAAACCACAACGAGTTACCATCGCACACCAGTTAGAATGGCGATCATGAAAAAGTCAGGAAACAACAGATGCTGGAGAGGATGTGGAGAAATAGGTACGCTGTTACACTGTTGGTGGGAGTGTAAATTCAACCATTGTAGAAGACAGTTTGGCAATTCCTCAAGGATCTAGAACTAGAAATACCATTTGACCCAAGCAATTCCACTTACTGGTATATACTGAAAGGATTGTAAATCATGCTACTATAAAGACACATGCACACATATGTTTATTGCGGCACCATAGCAAAGACTTGGAACCGACCTAATGTCCATCAATAATAGACTGGATAAAGAAAATGTGGCATATGTACACCATGGAATACTATGCAGCCACAAAAAGGATGAGTTCATGTCCTTTGCAGGGTCATGGATGAAGGTGGAAACCATCATTCTCAGCAAACTATCACAAGGACAGAAAACCAAACAGCGCATGTTCTCACTCATAAGTGGGAGTTGAACAGTGAGAACACACGGACACAGGGAGGAGAACATCACACACCAGGGCTTGTCGGGGGTGTGGGCTGGGAGAGGGATAGCATTAGGAGAAATACCTAATGTAAATGATGAATTGATGGGTGCAGCAAACCAACATGGCTCATATATACCTATATAACAAACCTGCACATTGTGTACATGTACCCCAGAACTTAAAGTACATATATAAAAAAAGAAAAAGGTGATTTATGTTACTAATATTCTTTGTAAGTATGACGCTTAAAAGTAGATTGGTTTCTTAAGCTATCTTCTTGTTTATGTTATTAATTTATTTAATGTATTTTTTCTTGTCACTGTGTTATGTATATATTCTAGGAGATAAAATAAAAATGTGTGAATTGGTCTGACGCTAATACGCACAGTTGTTAGAGAACAATAATGACAACTCATGAGCGACTTCAAGCAGAATGTAATTAAGGGTGAGATGAAGAGATACAGGCTTTTAATGCTACAAGAATCTACAGAAGGTGCTGCTCATTGTGGGCTTATGAGTATAGGGAAGACTTCAGGGAGGAGCTTGTGATTTAGCTAGACTTAGAATGATGGCAAGTTAGAGAGGAGAGATGGCATTCAGATGAAGGGCATGGTTAAGCAGAGATGCAGTTGTGGGAATAAACATAGAATGGAAGGAACAGACATTAAAAGGATGAGATTGAAAATCCGTGCCTAGCAGACCTGGCCTATAGATAGTGATTAATAAAGGATATTTTCCATTATTCATATCGGAAGAGAGATGTATCATTGGCATGGGGTCAAATTACAGAGGTTTTATAAAACTAGGCAGTAATTTCCTCTGAGCACATTACAAAAGTGGCCCCTTACAACACTTTCAATGTTAAAATATTGACACAATAATTAAGACCCTGATAAAGATATGCATAGGTAAGATTTATCAAGTAGAAGGTGGTGTCTTTACATGCTTGCCTAAGTCTAGGAGCAGAGGTGCCTTTGATATTAGATCTGGCTGTGCCTCTTACAGCTAGAGGAAATAGCAGGTTCAGGAAAACTTTTTTTTAGGGTAAGTTTTAAGTGTTTGTTCGCTAAGAAACACGACTTTGAGAAGAGTAAGTGATTGTTAATTAAAGCAAGAGAATTATTGATGTATCACAGTCATGAGGAATATTGGAAGGAATATGGTCCATACAGGTAGATAAAGGAATATTATTGGACTGACACAAAATTATCAGTGTGGACCCTCTCTGGATATAACTTGACCATCTGAGCTTTTAGAATAATTTCTTCAAACATGATGAGGGGTTTGTTTATATAATATTTTTCCAGGGTCATGTGTTTTCATTTTAAGTTATATTTTTGTAGTAGAAATTTCAGGTATTTTGACAGAAAGGATGGGAACATATTTTCAGAAAGTTAAAGCGTATGAGTAGTTATGAAGAGAGAATAATGACAGTAATAAATATAAAACCATAAGAGCTTATATAGTCATGTGGAGTTTCCAATTTAGCATATGAATAACCTAAACAGGTAAACATTATTGTATGGTAGAGAGAGCATTAGCTTTAAACAAAGCGGATTTGATTTTGTATCCAAATGTAGTTATCAGTTATCTAGTTATCAGTTGTGTGAAACTGGGCACGTTATTTAACTTTACTGGGTCTCAGATTCTTTGCCTATAAATGAAGATATTATCTTCCTCCTGGATGTTCCAAGGATTTAGTGAGATAATACTTTTTGAGCATTGTGTATAATACCTGGCAGTTGGTGGGTGGTAAAAAAATAGTTGTCACCTTATTACTCATCTCACTGTGAATGTAGAGTATAACATAAATGAGCACACATGCGCATACACACACACACCCCTTTATACATTTTCAGGCTACTAATTATTAATCTTCTATCCTAAAATTGCTAAGCTGCTCTACAGGGGAGGCAATACTTTAGGGTTAAGCAGGAATTCTGCCTGACTTTGAATACTGGTTCTGACACTAGCTGTGTGACCTTGGGCAAGTTATTTAAATCCTGTGTGCATCAATTTGTTTATATATAAAATGGGGAAAGTAGTTTTACCTATCTCATAGAGTTATTTAGAAGACTAAATGAATACATTTTTAAAGTGCTTAGAAGAGTCTTTGATTACTGGTTTGCTTGCTTTGCTTAGTTCATATATTGGTCATTATTAATATTTATTGCATTAACAGAATAATAAATAGATTTTGTAAAAAATAAGGTCAAATGAAAATACATTGGTTGATCTTAGAATTTCAAGGTAATTTAAATGTTATATGTAGCTATAAATTTTAAAAAGATGGTTCTGTTATAAATTAGTATATAAAGATCAAGGAGAAGTTTATTCTCTGAATAGGATGACATTGTATGTTTGAAAGAGGTTTGCCTTCTTTGTAATTATTGGATGACCCTACTTAAAATACCTTAATCAAATAGGAATTTTTCCTCCCAGATAATAGGAAGTCTAGAGGTAAGTAGAAATCTAGACTGGTTCTTTCTTCTCTGCTGTCCTTAACGTGTTCATGTTTGTGCCTCTTAGTTTTAAGCTGGCTACTCTACTTTCAGGCATTAGGATTGTGTTTTTGCAAGAAGGAAAAGGGAAGGGCAAAATGTGAAGGCATTCGTACATTGTTGGTAGGAATGAAAAGGATACAGATGCTTTGGAAAAGAGTCTGGAAGTTCATTAAAAAGTTAAGCATAGAGTTATCATATGAGCTAGCAATTCACTCCTAGGAATGTATCCAAGAGAAAGAGAAAGGAAAACATACATTCATACAAACACAAACCAATTCAAGTGTTTGTGAATTGGATACATTTGCAAATGTTCATAGCATCAGTACGCGTGAGTCAAAAAGTGAAAAGAAAACCCAGATGTCTATCAACTGATTAATGGATAGATATCTAAATGATGAAATATTATTAGTTCATAAAAAGGAATAAAGTACTGCTACATGCTATAATGTGAATGATCCCTGAAGACATTATGTAGTGAAAGAGGATGGTGACAAAAGATCACATATTGCATGATTCCATTTATTTGAAATGTCCAGAGTAGACACATCTAGAGATAGAAAGTAGATTAGTGATTGCCCAAGGCTGGAGTGAGGGTTAAGGGAGTATGGGAAGTGACTGCTAATGGATATAGAGTTTCTTTTGGGGTTGATAAAAATGTTTTAAAATTGGTTGTGGTTATAGTTGCACAACTCTGTGAGTATACTACAAAACATTGATTTGTATACTTTAAATGGGCAAACTGTATGATGTTTAATTATATCTCTAGAAAGCTGTTACAGATGTGAAGAGATGTGGCTGCTGAATATATTCCTTTATGTCAGGAAGGCAAAAGCTTTCCCATAAGCTTACCCAGCAGTTTTCTCTTCTTGTTTCATTGACTTGAACCTGAATCACATGGTTATTCCTGGCTGGCTAGCTAGAAGGTGGCAACAGAGAAGGGATATTTTGTAGATGGATCCACTAATCAACAAACTCAACATAGAGAGGATTTACTTTCTAAAAAGCAAATATCATTTATTACCTCCACATCTACTGCCCCACCCTACCATTACAAAGGAAAACTGGTCAATTCAGAAAACTTGAAAAAAATGAATTAGAAAAGAATAAAAATAACAGAAACAAAAAATATTTTTCTATCAGCTCACACAAGAATGGTTACTGTTATTTTTTCTTTTTTAATAATTTCAACTTTTATTTTAGATCAGGGAATACATGTGCAAATTTGTTATGTGGGTATATTGTGTGATGCTGAGGTTTGGGGTACGAATGATTCTGTCACCCAGGTAGTGAGCATAGTACCCAGTAGGCAGTTTTTCAGCCCTTACCCACCTCTTTCACTCCCTACTCTAGTAGTCCCCAGTGTCTGTTCCCATCTTTTTGTCCATGTATACCCAATGCTTAGCTCCCACTTATAAGTAAAAACATGCGGTATTTGCTTTTCTGTTCCTGTGTTAATTTGCTTAGGATAATGGCTAATAATGGTTTGGCTCTATGTCCCCACCCAAATCTCATCCTGAACTGTACTCCCATAATTCCGGCATGTTGTGGGAGAGACCTGGTGGGAGATAATTTAATCATGGGGGTGGTTTCCCACATACTGTTCTCATGGCAGTGAATAGGTCTTAACAAGATCTGATGGTTTGATAAGGGGAAACACATTCTGCTTCATTCTCCTTCTCTTTCTTTCTGCCACCATGTGAGATGTGCCTTTCACCTTCCACTGTAATTGTGAGGCCTCCTCAGCCATGTGGAACTATAAATCCAATAAACCTCTTTCTTTTGTAAATTGCTCAGTCTCGGGTATGTCTTTATCAGCAGTGTGAAAATGGACTAACTAATACAGTAAATTGGTACCAGTAGAGTGGGGCGTTGCTGAAAAGATACCTGAAAATGTGGAAAGATACCTGAAAATGTTTAAGCGACTTTGGAACTGGGTAACAGGCAGAGGTTGAAACAGTTTGGAGGGCTCAGAAGAAGACACGAAAATGTGGGAAAATTTGGAACTTCTTAGAGACTTACTGAATGGCTTTGCCCAAAAGTCTGATAGATATATGGACAATAAGGTCCAGGCTGAGGTGGTCTCAGATGGAGATGAGGAACTTGTAGGGTATTGGAGCAGAGGTGACTCTTGTTATGTTTTAGCAAATAGACTGGCGGTGTTTTGCCCCTGCCCTAGAGATTTGTGGAACTTTGAACTTGAGGGAGATGATTTAAGGTATCTGGTGGAAGAAATTTCTAAGCAGCAAAAGAGGTGACTTGGGTACTGTTAAAGGCATTTAGTTTTATAAGAGAAGCAGAGCATAAAAGTTCAGAGAATGTGCAGCCTGACAATGTGGTAGACAGAAAAACCAATTTTCTGAGGAGAAATTCAAGTGGGCTGCGGAAATTTGCTTAAGTAACAATTAGCTGAATCTCCAAGACAATGGGGAAATGTCTCCAGGTCACGTCAGAGGTCTTCACGGAAGCCCTTCCCATCACAGGCCCAGAGTCTTAGGAGAAAATGGTTTCATTGTCCAGTCCCAGGGTCCCCCGTGCTGTGGTCAGCCTAGGGGCTTGATGCCCTGCGTCCCAGCTGCTCCAGCTGTGGGGCTGAAAGGGGCCAACGTAGAGCTTGGTCCATGGCTTCAGAGGTGCAAGCCCCAAGCCTTGGCAACTTCCACATGGTGTTGAGCCTACGAGTGAACAGAAGTCAAGAATTAGGGTTTGGGAACCTCTGCCTAGATTTCAGAAGATGTATGGAAATGCCAGGATGCCCAGGCAGAAGTTTGCTACAGGGGTGGGGCTCTTATAGAGAACCTCTGCTAGGGTGGTGTGGAAGGGAAATGTGGGGTAGGAGCCCCCACACAGAGTCCCTACTGGGGCATCTGCCTAGTGGAGCTGTGAGAAGAGGGCCACCATCCTCCAGACCCCAGAATGGTAGATCCACTGACAGCTCGCACTGTTCACTTGGAAAAGCCACAGACACTCAATGCCAGCCCTTGAAAACAGCTGGAGGAAGGCTGTACCTTGCAAAGACACAGGGGTGGAGCTGCCCAAGACCATGGGAACCCACTTCTTGCATCAGCATGACCTGGATATGAGACCTGGAGTCAAAGGAGATCATTTTGGAGCTTTAACGTTTCACTGCCCTGCTGGATTTTGGACTTGCGTGGGGCCTGTAGCCCCTTTGTTTTGGCCAATTCCTCCCATTTGGAATGGCTGTATTTACCCAATGCCTGTACCTCCACTGTATCTAGGAAGTAACTAACTTGCTTTTGATTTTACAGGCTCATAGGTGGAAGGGACTTGCCTTGTCTCAGATGAGACTTTGGACTGTGGACTTTTGAGTTAATGCCGAAATGAGTTAAGACTTTGGGGGATGGTTGGGAAGGCATGATTGATTTTGAAATGTGAGGACATGAGATGTGGGAGGGAGTCAGGGTGGAATGATATGGATTGGCTGTGTCCCCACCCAAATCTCTGAATTGTACTCCCATATTTCCCATGTGTTGTGGGAGGGACCCAGTGGGAGATAATTGAATCATGGGGTTAGTTTCCCTCTTACTGTTCTCGTGGTAGTGAATAAGTCTCACAAGGTTTGATAGTTTGATAAGGGGAAGCCTGTTTTGCTTGAGTCTCATTTTCTCTCTTGCCACTGCCATGTGAGATACGCCTTTCATCTTCCACCATGATTGTGAGGCTTCCCCAGCCATGTGGAACTATAAGTGCAATAAACCTCTTTCTTTTGTAAATTGCCCAGTCTCGGGTATGTCTTTATCAGCAGTGTGAAAACAGACTAATACAGTGGCCTCCAGCTGCATCCATGTCGCTGCAAAGGATATGATTTCATTCTTTTTCATTGCTGTGTATTAGGAATAGTTACTGTTAACATTTGAATATGTTCTTCCAATGTATTTCGTCTCCCTCCCTCCCTCTCTCCAGCCTTCCTCCTTTCCTCCTATCCATCCACTAATAGACTAACAAGTGATATTGATAATATCATAGAGTACATAGGTTTATATCTTCATTTAAAATGTGATATAAAACTTACAGAAAAGTGGCAAGTACATAACAAAGAACTTTTCTTTTTGCTGAACAGTTTGAGAGCAGGTTGATAGTATGATGCTGTGTCACTCCCTCTTGTTTTAGTATGCATTTCAAAGACTGCATATTTTAGTGTGTATTTCACAGTTGCATTCTGGTTATTCTCCTGTATAACCAGAATGCAACTGTCAACATCAGGAAATCAACATGGATACATTACTGTCATTCAGATCCCATTAAACTTTCCCTAGTTGTCCCGACTATGTTCTTTATATAGCAGAAGGATCTAGTTTAGAATTATGTGTTGCATTTAGTCATGTTTTTTTAGTCTCCAGTATGGAAGAGTTCCTCAGTCTTTTCTTGCCCATGATCTTGGCCTTCTTGAAGATTGCAGGCTAGTTATTTGTAGAATATCCCTTAGTTTTGATTTGTCTGATGTTTCCTCATGATTAGATTCAGCTTGTGCATCTTTTGCAAGAAAACTCACAGAAGTGACACTGTACTTTGCTTATGATACAGTGTCATAACTTCATTTTTAAAAAAGCTTTACTTTTTGAGGGTTTTTCCATTTCTATTAATATTCTTTTAGAGAATGATTTTTAATTTCTGAGTAATATTTAATTATTTGTATATTCCATAATTTAACTGATTCATAGTAGGATATTTTCATCATAGGACAGGTAGCAGGAATATCAGTTTAGCTTTGATTTGTAATTGACTCATTGTCCTTTGAATCATGTTAAATTATGAGCAGTATCTTAATTATTTTAGCCAAGTAGGAAATAGAAATGACAGAATCTTGGGGAAATCTATTTAGTAAGTATTCTGAAAATTCTGAAGTGAAAGAAGATGTTTGTTATGAGGCAGAAGTATGTTTTTATCTTTTTGTACTTCTTGTTTTTTGTTTTTGAGAACTTGCTAAAAATTTAAGCCATTTTAAATATTGGGATTACAAATTAATAGCATCACTGACCCCTTTTCTTCTTAGCCCCAGGAAAACTGTGGTGCATGTATGCCAGTACTAAGCTTTTAATAATAACTGTATGGCTTTTCATATTATCTTTGTTCTAAGGTAAAAAACATTCAGTCTTTTTAAAGAGTAGGTTTTTATCTATTTAGAGTAAGTTCTGAATTATATGCATACTATTAATTAGGAAAGAAAATTTACTGTAAAACGTGTTGGATATACATTAAAGTATTGGTTAAGAACTTGGACTCTAGATTTGAATCTGGGTACCGTTGCTTACTATTTGTGTGTTATTGGGCAAATTACTTAATCTCATTTCAGCCTCAGTATCCTAATCTGTAAAATTTGGCTAATAAAATTTCCTAGCTTTTCTTTACATTAAGAAGAAATGTAACCTGCCTAGTGTTTGTAAATGTCCTGTAAATATTCATTGTTTTATTTCTTTCTTGTGCACTGATGTCTTAATGGGACCTGCATATTACTTTTTACCTTTTCATGAAACAGGAGGTTCAATAACAATAGCTTGAATTCAATGCGTAGAAAGTGCTAAAGGTGGCTGCCCCAGCTACCTTCCTAAACTTTGATGATGAACTTATAGAGAGTGGGCAAAGACCCCAGTTTTCATGTTGCCTCTGTAAATACTGGACAGGTGGCAACCTTCTTGCTTTCATTATAGTGTTTGCCCACTTGAGATAAATTACCTCTTCTCGGTATCCAAATGGTGTGCCTGCAAGAGATCATTTACCTCAAACAGGGGAGAATGTTACTTCCACTGAAGGGTTAGGATATCAATCATGATGGGAATGGACTAAAGAATTCTTTAGATAGCTGAACTTTTTGATATGACTGGTCGAGACTAAAATTCTCAAGATAGAAACAAATGTGCTGATTTGCTTTGAAATATCTCTGAACAAACACAGGAGTAGATGGACATAAGTAGAATGTTAACACATTTTGTCACACATTTCCTGTGTAATTACGTCTTAATTGTCTAGAAGATAGATGACCCAAATATACCCCTGCTAGTACAACTCAGAACTTTTTTTTATTGCGTACTTTGAGTTAACTTTCTAGAGGTCATAGCGACCCTTTCAAGCAAACTAAGCCTAGGTTGTGTTCAACTCAACATTGAGGTTTCATACTAAGGAAGTTCAAAGTGGTAAGAAAAGATACTGGTATTGATAAGCAGCTATTGGCATATATTTAAAAGTGCTGAGGCTTTATTGAATCTTAAAAAAATTATAAAAAGAATCTTGCTACTCCAAGTGTGGTCCATGGACCAAGGGCATTGTCATCAACTGGGAATGTGATACAAATGCATAATCTCAGACTCCACTCCAGACCTAATGTGCATTTTAACAAGATCCTCAGGTGACTAATATGCACAGTAAAGTTTGAGAAGAGACTTAGGGGATTTTATTATTTTGTTATTTTTATTTTGTTATTTAAAAAAAATTTTTTGTGTATGGGATTTTGTTATTTATATAACTTCACTCATATCTGGAACGGAAACAAGCACAATCTGACTGAGTATCGTTTCTGGTGCTTCAGCTGCTAGTCTCTATTTTGGGGAGCCACAATTTAACTTACAGATTTTTACAAATTTTGTGATTTCTTATATTATCACTTTCACATTTTGCCATATTTTTTCAAACATTTTATGAAAAAGTATAAGCATGTAGAAAAGTCAAAAGAGTTTTACAGTGAACAGATATTTTGTATTTTAAATTGAAATTTTATTTGCCTATCAATTTTTAAGAGCAATTTTCAAATGGATAATTCATCCTTGAAAGTGTTCACAACTATGCAAAATCTTACTTTCATGTCTTTTATAGAATATATTTTATAATGCAGATCTAAAATAATATACAAAATCAAAATAATTTTAGGAAGCATAGATGAGGCTTGAACACATTTTGTAGTTTATGGGTAATTTCTGGGCAACTTCTAAGAGCCTGAAGCTTTTTTTTTTTTTTTTTAAGAAAGCTAAGTTGGATATCCAGATACTGTCTAACAAAGCAACATAGTTATCTTTTCAGGTTTTTGTAAAAGAACAAAAAAAATCTTCCTTCAAATCTGTACTAAAATATTACAGATATATTTAGAAAAAATTTTTACCTCCTTTTCCAGAAAAAATATGGCAGCTTATAGGTATTTGCAAAATACAACATAATATTCATTAAAACCTAAGCAGGAAAAGGAGCAAATTCAAGCCAGGAATGACATTGAAAAAGTCAACTATGGTAGCCTACACACTTGTGTTCACATTTTGGTCTGAGGATTCAGTTGCCAATTATGTTATTAAAGAAAAATCACAATTTAGGAAAAAATACAAATGTTCCTTAGGCTAAGAGTAGATAGGAAACTGTTCTGCAGCTCTTAATAAAAAGGGATATCAAGTGATAGAATGAACAACATTCTCAGTAATATCAGACATAGGACTTTTTCTTTTAAGCCAAATGTATTGTGATACAATTTACATGCAATAAAATGTGCTTATTTGACTATAAAATTTGACTAGTTGTGAAAAATGTATACACTAGAATGTATACAAGAAAATGTATAGCACATTCTTTTCACCTGTTTTGGAGTCAGTCACCCCTGCTCCTACCTGGTCTAAGGCAACCACTGGTGTCTTCTCTGTCCCTTTAGTTTTTTCTGTTCAAGAATTTCATAAATTTTATAAAAATGGAGTCATACAGTGCAAAGGAGTGTAGCTGAACTGCACAGGTGGAGGGAACAGTTCCCAAAGGCTGTCCTCACTTCTGACACCACAAATTCAGGGGTCCCCAGGGCCACCCTCACTTCAGGCTAGCTGGCTACAAATTCGTGGTCCACATGGATTCCTTCAGGTTGGACAGTTTTCTAGAACAACTCATAGAACTCAGGAAACTGTTATATTTAGGATTACAGTTTTATTATAACAGAAGGAAACAAATTAGAATCAGCCAAAGGAAGAGACACATAGGGTGAAGTCTGGGATGGCTCCAAATGCGAAGCTTCTGTTGTCCTCAGGATGTGTTACCTTCCCAATATTGAGGTATGATAATATGCATGGAGTATGACCAACCCAGGAAGCTCACTGGAGTTTTGATGTCCAGAGTTCTTAATTGAAGCTTCATTATATAAGCATGATTGAATGGATCATGCTCCACATTGTTGACCTCAATATCTAGTTCTTTTCCTCTTCTTGAACATTGGGGTGATATCATATGATTCAAAGCCCCAACTTGCTAATCATATGGTTGGTGTTTCAGGCATGGCCAGCCCTTATCCAGAGTTAGCATAAACTATCAGATGCTCAACATGAGTCATATCATTACAAACTATCAGGTGTGGTCTGGGGCCACCACGAATACAAAAAACACTCTAATCACTCCAGAAATGCCAAGGTTTTAGAGGTTATCTCCCAGGAGCTGGGAAAATGGCCAGACTTCTCCTTAGGTGAGGCCAAATTTCTTACTACCCATACAATATATATTCTTATATATCTGGATTCATCTGCTCAGCATAATGTTTTTGAGATTCACCTGTATTACCTGTGACTGTAGTTTGTTCTTTTTCATTGCTGAGTAATATTTCATTCTATGATTATACCAAAGTTTGTTCATTCATTAACTTATTGATGGGCATTAGAGTTGTTTCTACTTTAGAGTATTATGAATAAATCTGATGTGAATATTCATATACATGTCTTTTGTTGGATGTATGTTTTTATTTCCTTCGAGTAGGTACTCAAAGGCTTGGAATTCTTGGGTTGTAAGCCTGTGTTTTGCTTGAAAAAATGAGCCATGCAAATATCTGAGGGGAAGCGGTGGTAGTTGGGGAAAGGACATTCTAAGCAGAGGAAACTGAAGTGCAGAAACCCTAACAAAGGAGTGTGCTTGATATTTTTAGGAATGGCAAGGAGGCCCAAGTGGCTGAACCAGAGTCAATAGTGGGAGAAAGGTGGAAGATGATGTCAGAGAGATAGCAAGGGCAGGGTTAACACCTGCACCCACATTATGCAAATCCTTGTAAACTATGGTAAGAACTTTAGATTTTATTCAGGATAAGATGGGATACCATCGGAAAGTTTTGAGTGGAAGAATGACAAGATGTGATTTAACGTTTTAAAAGATTATCTCTGACTTCTATCAGTAGTTAAAGGTGTAGGTAGTAAGGGTGCAGTGTTCTAAGATGAGGAACAATGGTAGCTTGGAATAGTATAACATCATTGGACTTGGTTATTGGCTAGAGTCTGGAAATATTTTGAAGATAGAGCTGATAGGGTTTGCTGATGTATGTTGAATGTGAGGTGTGAAAGAAAGATAGGAATCAAGAATGGCTTCAAGGCTTTTGTCTTGTGTAAATGGTAAATTGAAGCAAGAGTTACTGAAATGGGGAGATTAGAGAAGGAACAAGTAGGAAGAGAAAATCAAGAGTTTTTTTGACATGTTATGTCTGAGAAATATATTAGACTCGTAAGTGTCAAGGAGGTGGCTGGATATCTGAATTTGAGAAAAATGTCAAGACAGATAAAATTGTAAGTGCTCTCAGTATAAGTGTTATTTAAAGTCATGCTATTGGATGAAGTCATGTAGGGTAGTGATTTTAACCCTGGTTGTACATTAGAATTACCTGTGGAGCTTTTTAAAAATAGTGAAGCCTGCATTCCACCCAGATTTTGGCTGGGGTGGGACATAACTGCTTTGGGGAGTGAGTATAGCTAGAAGAGCTCTGAGGATTTGTGGACCTTTCAACATTTAGAGGTTAGGAAATGAGAAGGATATAGCAAAGGATTCTGAAGAATAGCCATTGAGCTAGTTGGTGAACCCTGATGGTAACCTTTAAGCCAAATAAAGTGTTTTACAAGTAGGAGTGTAATTAATCATGTGGAATGCTGCTGCTAAGGTGAATATGATGAGAATTGAAGAATCACTCCAAATTTGGCAAGATAGAGATAACTGATGACCTTGAAGGGACTGTTTTGATGGAGTAGTTGAGACAAAGTCCGACTGCAGTCTGTTAAAGAGAAAGTGAGTTCTGTTAAAGACAGTTTTTATGAAAGGCAAGCAGGTACATTGAGTTGGAGCAGGAGCAATATTTAGGGGTCAAGGGAGGTTTTTGTTTTAAGATGAGGGGTAATTCAATGTGTTTGTGTGGTAAGGGGAATGATTCAACGAATGAAAGAAAAAAAAATCTTGATAATGAGGGAAGGCACAATTGGCAGATGTCAAGTCTCTGAGTTGATGAAAGGGATGGGATCCAATGCACAGAAGTGGGGAGGAAGGTTGGCACAAACAGTTCAGGCATTGTAACAGGAGGGAAGGCAGAGTATATGGGTACAGTTGCAGGTAGGTTGGTAGATTTGGTAGTAGATGTATGTAAAAATTATTTTCTGCTTGCTACTATTTAGTGAAATAAGCAAGACTATCAATTGAGATGGAGGAAGGTGAGAAGATATTGGTTATTTGAGAAGCGGAGAAAATGAGAAATAGTCATTCAGGTGAGTGGGAGATTAAGTTCATCAGATGATCAGCTGCTTGGGTGTCAGGCCATAGGAGGTTTTTATTTAATCAGGGTGGGGGTTTGCCAGGTAAATACAATGGAAAGAAAGAGCAGCAAGGAACTTGAAAGTATATGCAAGAGTATAGTTATAATTGTTGGGAGAAAATTCTCCATAGGTCTTGTGTTTTTGCATATTTTGTGAGCAGAGGCACTGACGGCTTTCTTATTTATTTATTTATTAGCTATTTTTTCAGGGAAGTTTATGTAACGAACAGCCTCGGAAAATAAAGACAGTACCTCCCTCCAGAGCGGAGGACACGTTTGTTTACTTTCCAGTATAATGAAAATAATGTTTCCCTTGGGGAAAAGATTGAGCAGGTTTGTTTTCAGCCTATTATAAAAGATTTGGGCTTCCTAAGTTCTGGATTCCTCAGCTATGACACAAACCCATTACATGCACAGCATTAGCCTAGGTCACTCTGTGTCACCTCCATGGGACTTGGGGAGCAAGAGGAACTGTAGTGCATATGAAGCTCCTGCTGTCTCCTGTGCCGTGAGTGTTAAAGTCCCTTGTCTCTCACCCAGGAGTCTTGTGTTTTTTGCCAACATTCATGAAATTTGTTAGCTTGAAAATAAGGTGACCTCGAACTCCTGGGCTCAAGGGATCCTCCTGCCTCAGCCTCCTGTGTAGCTGGGATTATAGATGTATACCACCATGCTTGGCTTCAATTTTAATTTATATATATGTATATATATTTTTATTTTAGAAAATTATGATAGGATAGTAAGTTCCATATTGCAATAAATTAAGTAGCAGAAGGGCAATGGAAATATGAGATATTGGAGAAAACAAATAAGGCAGAATTTCTGATTGTTAAGGAAGAGCTTGTTCATGTATTTTAAAAATGTATTATGGTAAGGGCCAACTCTTCCTGGCATTTAGATTCTCTTAGTTACATTTATTTTTATTTTATTTTATATTTTTTGAGATAAGGGCTCTCTGTCTCTGTCACCCAGGCTGGAGTACAGTGGTGCAATCATAGCTCACTGCAGCTTCAAATTTCTGGGCCCAAGGGATCCTCCTGCCTGAGCCTCCTGAGTATCTAGGACTACAGATGTGTGCTACCACACTCAGCTGATTTCTAAGGTTTGTTTTTTGTAGAGATGGGAGTCTTACTATGTTGTCCAGACTAGTCTCAAACTCCCGGCCTCAAGCAATCCTTTTGCCTTGGCCTCACAAAGTACTAGGATTACAGGTGTGAGCCACTGCACCTGGTTTCTACTGGTTATATTTAAAGGAGGGATGTGTCAGTTTTTTTTAAAAATGCCAAAATTTACAGCATACCAGGAATGATATGCTTTACAACTGGTTAAAAATACATGACGAAAGTTTTTTTAGATGTAAACTTAAAAATGTGTGAGGGCATACATATCAGGTTCCTGTTATTGGGCTAACAAATTGTCACAATCTGTGGCTAAAGACCACACGAATTTATTATCGGATATTTCTGGAGATCAGATGTCTGAAATAGGTCTTATTGGGCCAAAATCAAGGTGTTGGCAGGGCTGTATTCCTTCCGGAGGCTGTAAGGGTGAATCTGATTCTTTTTGCAGCTTTTAGAAGCCATCTGCTTTCCTTAGTTTATAGCTCTTTATTCCATCTTCAAAGCCAGCAGCATCACATCTGCAAATCTCTCTCTGACTCTGACCTCTTCTTCTGTGTACCACTTTAAAGGACTCTTGTCATTATGTTGGGTCTACTTGAATAATCCAAGATAATCTTTGTATTTTAAAGTCCACTGATTAGCAAACTTCATTCCATCTACACCCTTAATTCTCTCTCGTTGTGTAACATAACACAGTCACAGGTTCCAGGGATTAGAATGTGGACATCTTTAGCGAGGTCATTATTCTTCCTACCACAGCATACATAGTTAAAAAAAATTACAGAGTACATTAGTGAGGACAGTTAAAGACCACTGTCCTGCCTTTGGTATTTGACATTGCTGATCACTTCCTTCTTCCAGATTCTTTTGATGCCCATGATATTACTCCTGTTTCTCCTCTTTTCATGTCCTTGGGCCTTTCTGTTCAGTGTTTGTGTGCCCTATGGGCTCTTTTTCTTTTTTCTTTTCTTTTCTTTCCCTCCTTCCCTTCCCTCTTTCCTTTCTTGGAGTAGGACTTTGACTATGGGTCTTTTCTTAGCCATTAAAAAAATTTTTTTAATTTTTAGTAGAGAAGGGGTTTCTCCATGTTGTCCAGGCTGGTCTTGAACTCCTGAGCTTAGGCAGTGCACCCACCTCGGTCTCCCAATGTGCTAGCATTCTAGGGGTGAGCCACTGCGCCCAGCCACTTAGCTATGTTTTTATTCCTTGTTGTCCCGAGCAGTCCCATGTATAGCCAGGGCTTTATTTACCATCTATGTGCTGATGGCTCCCAAATATTATCTGTAACCTAGACCTCATTCTTGAACTGAAAGCTTGTATACTTAGCTTCCTATGAGTTTCCTAAAAAAAAAAAACCCTAAAATTCAGCATATTCAAATTTTTACCCATTTTCTTAGGCCCAAAACTTCCTTCTGAAAACTGTCTTTGTAATTGACATGACCATCTGCCAAATAGTATCTAAAATAGAAACCTAGCAGTCACTGTAACATACTTTTATTCTTACTCTTATTCTCCATATTCTACATTTCTTATTGGGTTATTTTTTTATCCCAGCCCCATTGCTGTGGTCTTAGCTCATTTTTTACATGTGTTACTAACCTGCTAGTGGGTATCCACGAGCCCACTCTTAGACTGACCCACCCTTTCTCCCTGTCTCCCAGCCTTCCTTCATTTAGCAAAGTGATCATTTGGACGAGAGTTATTGAAATAATAAAGAAGTAGCATCAGTATATTGTAGAATATTCTAAAACATATAAAAGTATATAAGGAAGTAAATTTAAACCTCATGTAATCTCCTTATTAGAGAATATTAGTATTTAATTAGTATTTATATCGAGTTGTTTTTTGGATATTTCAGTATAATGGGGTCATTCTATAGATACATTATTTTAATTATTCTTTCCCCCTCACTTATTATTTTAAGTGGTTATAATAATGATATCATTTCATGGGGTTATAATGATGGTTAAATTGGTTAATGCATGTAAGCAGTGCTTGATGTGTCACCTATCTTCATCCGCAGTATCAGCAGCAATATTGTTCCTTGTTTCTTATTGCATGAATTAACACTTTAGCTAGATAAACAACACCCTTCATGACCAGATTCTCATCTGTTTGTACAGTCTCACCTCCCAATGCTGTCCATAATAAACCTGCAATTTAAGCCAATGGAACTGCTTATTATTCTTCAGAAGTGAGATGCTCTCTTATGTCTCCAGACATATGAGAAATAACGTTTCCTGGCACTAAACTTTAAAAGGAATTTATTACATGGATTATTGTATTAGAAATATTGAATAACATTGCAGTTTCTGTCTTTAAATGCAATTTCTTAGAAGATGCAGAAGTTTTTTTCTTGTCAGTAAAACTGAGAGCATGATAGTATATTGTCATTCTCTGACTGAAGTAGTCCAGGGATGTAGCTTTCTTGTTAATTTAAGTTGACAGAGAGAGAGGGTCAAGAATATAGATTTATGATTGGGTAGTATATTCCTTAAATAAGGGATCTCTTAACCAGGGGTTCATAGACCTCTTCTCAAAAGGGTCCATGGGTAGAATTCAGCAGAGCTGGGGGAACGGTCTGTGGACTTGAATGAGAAAAAAACATCTTGTTTCACTATCTGCCAACAGAATTTTGACAGTTCCTTCAATTATGAATGGTAACGATAGACCATGATAATATTAGCAGCATAGTGACTTTGGCGCTAATAGAAGTCACAGATATTTTTATATTGTAATACAGTTACTGCAGCTATCACACATGTAGTTTATGCTCATCTTAACTAATCAGTAATCATGAGAGTCATCACTTACATGGCAAGTCATCATAGTCTCCCCCGTACCAACGGATGCTGGTGCAGTGCAGCCGGCCAAGTGAAAGGACAACTCTGCATTTAGTTGTTCATCCATCAAAGTGAGGTTCTGTGTACTCTTTGTTTATGTTGCTTTTCAGTATTCTCTAAATACGAAATTCTCTGTTATTTTCTTTGAAATAGCAGCCTTAAGCCCTTGGAAAGACTTCAGAACTCCTTCAAAAGAGTTACTGAAGTTACTTCTATCTAAATAGCATAAAATTTGAACCATGGATTCATAGTTCTTTCCTTTCCAATACAAATTGCATTGAATATGTTGACCTAGCCAAAGATGAACTCATTGACTTTAGGACAAAAAAACTTACCACACTAGATTTTGGATTTAAAAGCCTTGGAGAATTCTGGTATTTTTTGTGAGAAGCCCTCCACTATGTTGTAAAACGAACTATCGAAGCTTTAATTATATTTGTAGCAGTAAATACTATATTTGTAAATCAGGACTTTTATCACTTTTAAATATATTAAAAAACTTGATGTCCAACATGACATGTATGATGCCTTGTTGAAGACCACCCAAAAAGTTCAATGTTCTTATTTGGTTTATGCAAAAACTTTCACTATGCTATGTCTTCTAAAAAACTATCTTTATCTATATTTGAAATGTCCTGTCTTGTACTTAATGGATTAGTAATCAAACTTAAAATATTTTGAAAACTATATTACAGAAAAATTAGTTTCCTTTGTAATCCCACATCTCTTGATTTATGGATTTAAAATGATTATTCTTAGAAGGGGAGCCATAGGTTCCACCAGACTGCCAAAGGTATCTACAGTACAAATGTATCATTTGTCTAAAATGATAACAGAAGTATCATTTGTCTAAATCAGAATATGTTTCTGGATATTCTTATTTGGGGGCATTTGTATAATAATAAATAATACAATATAAATGGGAGTTATTGATTCTTAATCAGTGTTACATGTCCCCTCTCTCCATTGTCCAACACAATTCCCTTATACATATGAGCTATTCTATAGCTAGCTGTTTAATGAATGAGTAAGGTAGTGAGTAAGATAGTGCATGGTGCTTTTAAAAATAGTTTTGTTATTTCTGTGAAAATGCTTATACCCAGCGTAAAACCTTCACACAATACAGAAACCTGCACAGAAAGTAAAAATCACTCAAAGGGTCACCTCCAACCATTCTTAACATTTTGATGATCTCTACGAGTATCCCATACATGTGTACAAATATAATCACACACACACAGTTTTACATGAGGGAATCATATAATCATGCTTCATTGTAATTATTTTTACTCCCACTCAATGGATAATGAATATTTTTTAATATCAATAAAATAAATCTATATCATTAATTGTATTTAGTTACATACTAGTTGCACTGTATATATCTACTGTAATTTACTCAGCAAATTTCCTTTTGATGAGTATTTATTTTTTCTTATTTTTTTCGCCATTTTAAGCAATATTGTAATCAGCCATACTATAGTTAATATGCGTGTATATAAAATCATCTTATACTTGTGCAGTTATTTCTTGGGCTAAATTCATGAGAAATGGGATTGTATATTTTACATTTAGAAAGTACTATCAGTATTCTTTACATTGTTCTTTCATGAACAGTGTTGACCGTTCTGGTTTTCTCATAACACCTTTGGCATGCAAAATTTTGATAATCTCTTTGACCTTTATCAATGTAAAAGGCAAAAGACATTATATTATTACTTATTTGTATTCTTTGATTGGTAGTTAGGTTGCACATCTTTTCATTTGTTATAAGCCCATTCATATTCTACAAATGATCATACTATGATCATATTTGGGGGTGTGTGTTTGTGTCTTATGGAATTATAAAAGCTCCTTGTGTATCATGTATATTAACACTTTATCATAGTGCAAATAATTTTGCAGCTTGTGTTTTAATTTTGCTTGTGATATTTTTATATAGTTTAAAATTATTAATCATTTATTTCTGTTTTTTGTTATGGTAAGTTACTGAGAAAGGCTAGCCTTACCTCAAGGTAGTATTGCTCATATTTTAGTAGAATACTTTCGATACATTAAATCTTGAGTTTATCTGGAATTATTTTTCCTGTAAATAGTGAATAAATGATTAAACTATTTTTGCAGCCAGATGACCAGGTAGCTTTTTTGGGGGGACGGGCGGGGCAGAGGCTGTCTCTGTTGCCCAGGCTGGATTGCTATGGCCAGTCTCAGTTCACTGCAACCTCTGCCTCCCGGGTTCAAGTGATTATTGTGCCTCAGCCTCCGGAGTAGCTGGGATTACAGGCATGTGCCACCACATTCAGCTAATTTTTTGTATTTTTAGTAGTGACGGGGTTTCTCTGTGTTGGCCAGGCTGGTCTCCAACTCCTGACCTCAAGTAATCTGCCAGCCTTGGCCACCCAAAGTGCTGGGATTACAGGCATAATTCACCACGCCTGGCCTGCACCAGTATTTTTAAATTCTGTAATCCATCTTTTCCCTGATTAAGATATGCCATTAATAACACGTTAAATTATTGTTTAAGTTCGTGGATCGATCTATTTCCTGTATTTCCAGTTTACTCCATTAGTTTCCACCTCTCTTCTAGTACCAGTATCATACTGCGTTTTTCATGAATGTATATCTGTGTGTTTTACAGTAAGACAAATTCGCTTACTACTTTTTTTTTTGTCGTTTTCTGGGCTGTTTTGCCCAGTGATTTTTAGATAAAACATTGCTTTGAAGCAAACATCTTACTATAGTGTTTGCCTCCACAGTTTGAAAAATGATGTCTATATTCACGTTTCTCAAATTATTAGCAGTTTGGAACACAAGCATAATTTTTACTCAGAGGGAATGCTTTAAGATTGTGATATATTGGGGTCACTTAAAAGGAGTTGCATATAAAGAAAGTTGCATATAAATAGTGAAAGATGTTCCTGTGAAAGTAAGTAGGGACCAGATGTGTAGGACTTTTGAGCCATGTTTTAAGGAGTTTAAAATCCATTCTTAGATGAGAAGAAAGTTATTGAGGCATAAAAGCAGGCAGTGTGATGAGATCCTAGTTGTGTGTTACGAGTTATTCTATCTACTTTGTGGAGAATGGATTGAAGAGCGGGAAGACTAGAGAAGAGTGCGTCTTAGATATGGCCATGACTACAGAGAAAATGGAATAAATTGGAGAAATACTAAGAACAAGAAATGGGAATATGGCAAGGGAAATGGAGATGTCAGGGTTGACAAAATGTTACCAAGTGTGTAGAACTGAGGTGGAATTAAATTTAGTTAACAATACTCATTATTAATATTATTAACCTTATTATTAACATTACTCATTATTACAATATTAGTAATTATTTTTGCTACTATTATACTCATTACTAACATTATTTTAAACGTTACTAATTATTACCTTTTTTGGTTAAAGGAATATTTCTCAATCTTTGAGTATGAGGACTTCATTTTAATAAGAAAAAATGTTGTAGATTGCTCTCTCTTCCACATAATAGATGTATTTTGAGTAGCAGTTGATTTATGTAATGTTTTCAAGGGACTTTTAATTTGATTACTCACAATATCATTATTATTCACGCATATATTTTGTTAGGGCTAGATAAAGATCAAAATGCACAATGGTTACTGCAGCTAAAAGTAGTGGAACTGTTGCAATAACTTTTCAATGTCCTTCCTTCCCCACCTCATCAAGATCTGCAGCCCACAGATTTAGAACTACAGGTCGAAACAATTCTTTATGAATTTGTTTTGAAGATTTTAGCCCTAGATGTACATTTTTCCCCCTTCTATTGGAAAAAGTAATTTCAGAATATAGGGTTCACTTCTTTCATTAAAGACACATTTTATTAAATAGGAAGAAAGTGATTAACAAATGTATTTAACATAAGAATTTGTTAAATGTAACAAGCCAAACATTTACAACAGTCTAGACAAGTATACATGAGGAACTTTAGTGACGTTTTTCCTCTTATTTCTGTATTATTATATAAATAATTTTACAACTGTATCACTAGAGGATTTTTTTTTGTTTTTTCATTTATTTAATATAGAATGAATTGCACTCTGACCCAAAAGAAATGCAAGAAAAACAAAGATAAATAGAGGGGGCATAATTAAACTAAAAAGCTTCTGCACAGCCAAAGAAATAAGCAGCAGAGTTAATAGACAACCCACAGAGTGGGAGAAAAATCTTCACAATCTATACATCCGACAAAGGACTAATATCCAGAATCTACAAAGAACTCAAACAAATCAGCAAGAACAAAACAATCTGATTAGGCCAGGTGCGGTGGCTCACGCCTGTAATCCCAGCACTTTGGGAGGCTGAGGTGGGTGGATCACTTGAGGTCAGGATTTCAAGACCAGTCTGGTCAACGTGGTGAAACCCTGTCTCTACTAAAAATATAAAAATTAGCTGGGTGTGGTGGTGGGCATCT
Source organism: Homo sapiens (assembly GCF_000001405.40). Lineage (NCBI taxonomy): Eukaryota > Metazoa > Chordata > Mammalia > Primates > Hominidae > Homo > Homo sapiens. The sequence continues at coordinate 15,774,123 of NC_000009.12, forward strand.
GTAACCCCAGCTACTCGGGAGGCTGAAGTGAGAGAATCACTTGAACCCAGGTGGCATAGGTTGCAGTGACCCGAGATCTCATCATTGCACTCCAGCCTGGGTGACAGAGCAAGACGCTGTCTTTAAAAAAAAAAAAAAAAAAAAAAAAAAAAAAAGTCATCAGAAAGTAGGCTAAGGACGTGAATAGACAATTCTCAAAAGATATGCAAGTAGCCAATAAGCAGATGGAAAAGTGCTCAACATCACTAAGATCGGGAAATGTAAATCAAAACCATGATGCCATTACTGCCTCACTCCTGCAAGAATGGCCATAATAAAAAAAAATAAAAAATCATAGATGTTGGCATGGATGCAGTGAAAAGGGAACACTTTACACTGTTTGTGGGAATGTAAACTAGTACAACCACTATGGAAAACAGTGTGGAGATTCATTAAAGAACTAAAAGTAAATCTACAGTTTGATCCAGCAGTCTCACTACTACATATCTACTCAGAGGAAAAGATGTCGTTATACAAAAAAGATACTTGCACACGCATGTTGATAGCAGTACAATTTGCAATTGCAAAAGTGCGGAACCAGCTCAGATGCCCATCAATCAACAAGTGGGTAAAGAAAATTGGTATCTATATACCATGGAATACTACTCAGCCACAAAAAGGAACGAAATAATGGCATTTGTAGCAACCTGGATTGAATTGGAGACCATTATTCTAAGTGAAGTAACTCAGGAATGGAAAACCAAACATGGTATGTTCTCACTCATATGTGGGAGCTAAGCTATGAGGATGCAAAGGCATAAGAATGATACATTGTACTTTGGGGACTCAGGGGAAAGGGTGAGGGGTGACGAGGGATAAAAGACTACACATTGGGTGCAGTGTACACTGCTTGGGTGATGGGTGCACCAGAATTTCGGAAATCACCACTAAAATATTTATTCATGTAACCAAACACCACCTGTTCCTCCAAAACCTATTGAAATAAAAAAAATTGCCCTCTGTACTGTATAATGTGAACTATATTGTAAAAACACTTCTTATTATAGCATACATTATTTAGTGCTCTTACTGTAATTCATTGAGAGTCGGCAGTTAGGAACTTAGAGCATATGACTTTCACTTCTTAAAAATTTAGAAGAATGCATTGCAGAATTATATTGTCATTTAGTATCACCCTTCAGATCAGTCAGTGTCTACACAAACATTTCTGTGACAAAGTAAAAAACCTTATTTGTTTGTTTATTTATTTATTCCTTTTTTAAGACAGAGTCTCGCTCTGTTGCCCTCCCGAGTTCAAGGGATTCTCCTGCCTCAGCCTCCTGAGTAGCTGGGATTACAGGCACGTGCCACCACGCCCGGCTAATTTTTTGTATTTTTAGTAGAGACAAGGTTTCACTGTTTTAGCCAGGATGGTCTCGATCTCCTGACCTCGTGATCTGCCTGCCTTAGCCTCCCAAAGTGCTGGGATTACAGGAGTGAGCCACTGTGACCGGCCTATTTATTAAAATTTAATTACAATTAATTTGTGCTTTTAAAGGCTCTTTATCTGTGAAAAATTTTTTTGTATCCTGAAATTTCCTAAAATAATGAACTTTTGTATTGTTTATTTAAAAACAAGAACCTTTGACATAGCTTAAGAGTTAACATTAATTTCTCTTAGTATTCTTGTGTTCAGCATTGTTGCAGTAGCTATGGAAATAAAAAGAAATATAATTTAACAAACATGTAAAAAATACCCATGTATGCTGGGCTGGCCCAGTGAAGATAAAAAGAGTTTGTTAAGATGAAAAAAGACACAGATAAATAATTGCAAGGTAGTTGGAGAAACAGGGAATACATATATATATTAGGTATTGAAATGATAAATTGAATATTATAGACAAAATAAATTTTACTGTTCTTTCATTCAACAGTGGCCTATTTAATTCACATAGTACTTTAGTAAATTCCTTTAACTCAGTGTTCTGTGTTATATATTGATTGCCATATAAAGCTACTTAGTTCTTTTTCATCCATTGTTTTCTTTTTATTTATTTATTTATTTTGTATTATTATTATAAAAACATGGAACGCTTCACAAACTTGCGTGTCATCCTTGCGCAGGGCCATGCTAATCTTCTCTGTATCGTTCCAATTTTAGTATATGTGCTGCCGAAGCGAGCACTTCATCCGTTATTTATTTAAGGAATATGATTGTTAACAAAAGGACTGTGTATTTTCATTATACTTTGTCTTTTTTCCATGGGACTGTCACAGAGTATGTTTATAATGAGTGGCATATAGAATTAAACTTATATTACCGTATATTTATATTCCTAGAAGTTGATGCATCAATAACTGATTGAAATAAATTTTACCTGGAGGATATTATGCTTTTATTCACTTTATTTCCAATTTATGTATAACTCCTAAGCAAGATCATTTTCAAATTCTGGCTGCTACATAGATTTTAAAATTTGTCTGTCCTTTAAACATTGAGGAATAAAATAAGTAGAATGAAGCTCAAATTTTATAACAGTGTCTCCATGAGACAGTTCTTTATGCCATAGAAAACCATTGGTTGATTACCGTCTCAGTCAATGTTGCTCTTCAGTTGTTGAATTATATGTATTCTTATAAGGATAAAACATTTTTAATTTGGTAAGACTAGCTGAATTTGCTTTTTGTGCTTATGATGTAAAGACAAGATTTAAATTAACACCAACAGCAGAGGCTCTTAAAAATGTAGAATGTTATACTATGAATTTAAATAATCTTTCTGTGCTTGTCATTTTACATTGATAGTATCATAAGACAAGTAATGACAGATTAAGACCTACCTAGCAGAGGGAAAACTAAATTACATGGCTTTATTAAGGCGTAAATAAACCTATTAACCATTATCTGGAATACCAATTAGTAGAAAGAGCACTGACAATTTTATTTATCAACATTAAACACAATTATTAATTACAGACCTGATGAATCTAGCAGTAAGCAGGCCATGTTGGATATGCTGGGACCTTAAGTCCATTATATGAGAAGGATGATTACCAAAATCCTGTGGGGAAATAAGTAATTGTAGTTGTAAAATTTTAATTGCCTTGGAATAAGGCAAATTATATTTTCTTGTCTGAGAATATAAATAGTATGGCATGAAGGTAACAAGCTTTGGCAGTTGTAAATAGAAAATGGATTTATGTTAGGTTTTAAAACAAAGAAAAGAGTGATGAATTTTTAGTGTCATGCTATTCCATGTGAATGGCATACTGTAAATACATGCAGATTTTTTTTGATGTATTCTTTAGTAGGTGAGCTATTCTCTGAATTCCTTTTTTTCATAGTGAAAATAATGTGGGAAGGACCTTTTTGAATGAATTACTACAGGTGAATGGGAATTATATAATTAAAAAATATTTTCATTATGTGATTAGCAGTGTTGTGAAATGCACAAGAGACAATTCACATTTTTGTGCCTTTTTTTCTTTTTCTTTGAAGATCCAAATTCCAGAATTTGTGGACATTTACTCATAGGTGCAGCCAAGAATTCTTTTGCAAAACTCATGGATAAAATTAGTCTGGTAATGGAATGTATACCTCTGCACAGTAGCAGGAGTATTACATATGTAGAAAAAGATTCCCTGGTTCAGAGGCTGGCCCATGGACTTCATAAAGTAAACACACTGGCCCTGAAATATGGTTTGCGTGGCCATGTGCCCATTACGGTATGTATACACTTTCATTTAGTAGTAACCTAAGAACTTGTAGGTTTAATTTTGAATTAGCCTAATTTGTAGTTTAAATTATTAGTTGTACATGAATGTATCTGGATTTTCTTTATAGTTCATGTAAAATTTTAATACACTAAATTACTTCCAAATAAGTGTCCAAAATATCTAAATACAAAAATCACTGGCCGGGCGCGGTGGCTCACGCCTGTAATCCCAGCACTTTGGGAGGCCGAGGCGGGTGGATCATGAGGTCAGGAGATCGAGACCATCCTGGCTAACAAGGTGAAACCCCGTCTCTACTAAAAATACAAAAAATTAGCCCGGCGCGGTGGCGGGCGCCTGTAGTCCCAGCTACTCGGGAGGCTGAGGCAGGAGAATGGCGTGAACCCGGGAAGCGGAGCTTGCAGTGAGCCGAGATTGCGCCACTGCAGTCCGCAGTCTGCCGCAGTCTGGCCTGGGCGACAGAGCGAGACTCCGTCTCAAAAAAAAAAAAAAAAAAAAAAAAAAAAAAAAAAAAAATCACTGGCCAGGCGCGGTGGCTGATGCCTGTAATCCCAGTACTTTGGGAGGCCAAGGCAGGTGGATCACCTGAGGTCAGGAGTTCAAGAACAGCCTGGCCAACATGGTGAAACCCCGCCTCTACCAAAAATACAAAAATGAGCCAGGGGTGGTGGTGGGTGCCTCATGCCTCTAATCCCAGCTACTCAGGAGGCTGAGGCATGAGAATCGCTTGAACTCGGGAGGTGGAGGTTGTAGTGAGACGAGATTGTGCCACTGTACTCCAGCCTGGCCTACAGAGTAAGACTGTCTCAAAAAAAAAAAAAAAAAAAAAAGGCATGACATTAGTGCTAAATTTAATGTTCTCTATAAATGCACTGCAACAGAATTGTATGAGACCTAAACAGCTGTCAATTTCATTTTTAGCTATCTAGATTATTTCTTTTCTCCAGATGTTCATTTTTCATAAGCCAAATTATTGGTCACATAAAAAATAAAGTTTTCACCTCTACATTTCTGTAATAGCTAGCACTGGTTTTTGGATAATCTAAGTTACATTTAATTTAGTAAAATGGTTATTGCTATTGTTAGTAAATCTGTAGTTACTGTTTATAAAATTGCTCTTGTTTAACAACAGAAAAGCACAGCATCGTTGCAGAAGCAAATACTTGGATTTACACAAAGACTGCATGCTGCAGAAGTGGAGCGCCGCTCACTACGCTTAGAGGTCACAGAATTCAAACGAAGTGTGAATGAAATGAAAAAGGAGCTTGACAAAGCCCAGGGTCTGCAAATGCAATTAAATGAATTTAAGCAGTCTGTAAGTATATATCATTTAGGAAACTGTTGCTTTGCTGATATATATTTCTTTATCTCTATATCCTTTTTTCCTTAACTTTTGTTATGTGTGGTTTTTCAAATAATTCAAAAGCCTATTAATAACATCTCTTTTTCTTCAGAAAACTTCCTGTCTAAAATGCCTCTAATTGCTGATGTTGGTGGCAGGCGGGGGAGTGGGGAGAGAGATTTCCTCTCTTCTTTTTTTTTGAGATGGAGTCTCACTCTGTTGCCCAGGCTGGAGTGCAGTGGCACTATCTCAGCTCACTGCAACCTCTGCCCCCCGGGTTCAAGTGATTCTCTTGCCTCAGCCTCCCAAGCAGCTGGGATTACAGGTGGCTGCCACCACGCCTGGCTAATTTTTGTATTTTTAGTAGAGATGGAATTTCTCCATGTTGGCCGGGGTGTTCTCGAACTCCTGACCTCAGCTGATCTGCCCACCTCAGCCTCCCAAAGTGCTGGGATTACAGGTGTGAGCCACTGCACCTGGCCTCTTCTCTTCTTATATTGAATATTTTGAGTAAATTAGATTATGTAGTATGAAATCAAATTGCTTTTCCAAAGAAATGTTCAATTTATCTAACGTCCATCAATGACTTATATGTATTATTTTAAAAAGCAGAAAATAGCTGAAAAAGCACAGTCGTATGCCAAATACCATTAGATCAAGAACAAAATGTCTAACTGTGTGAAGCACAATATAATGCAGACATCCACATATTCTGTTTGCAGTTGGGATAGTTATTAACATTGCTGTTTTTAATGTGGATATGGGAACATAGAGTTAAAAGATTACCCTGAAACTTCAAGACTGTACAACTTAAAACAGCTACTATAACTTCAGTTTAAATGTGCTTTTATCTTTTGATTAATTTGGAATTTACAGTTTTAACATTTGCAGTAACAGAGGCAGCAGCAGGTGTAGTAGTTTAGTTATTAATCCTATGATAATGTAATTGTGCTAGTGTTAATTATTATTTCAAGTAGATACACCTTCAAAGGGCAAAGAGTTCCTATGAATTAGGCAGGTCAAGTAATCATGAATTACTCTTAAGCCATAGGTTTCTTTTCGGTAAATGTCTAAAGACACCATAATTTTTCCTTCTCTTAGTTTTTTGCTCAGAGAAGGAAAATTTAAGAGATGAGCTGCTTCAACTTTTTTTTTTCTAATTATGAAAGTTATACATGACAACCTTAAGTAAAAATACAAGAAAGTATTAAGAAGAAAGTTTAGACTGGGTATGGTGGCTCATGCCTGTAATCCCAGTGCTTTGGGAAGCCAAGGTAGGAAGGTTACTAGAGGCCAGGAATTCAAGACCAACCTGGGCAACATAGTGAGACCGCATCTCTAAAAAAAAAATTATATTTATTTTAAAAACGAGGAAAGTTAAAATCATTTTAATCTTACCACCCAAAACCAATCACTGTTGAAATGTGGATGCATTTTGTTCTCCACATTTCGTGTGTATATATGTGCCTGTGCATGCCTTTATGCACAGTTGTAGTTTGGAATAATTTTGTATGTATAGTTTGCAGCCTGACTTATATAAATATATGTATACATGTATGCACTTAAAGTACTGTAATCATTTTCCTCTGTCATTTAATTATTAATTTCATTTTAGTTAAATGAATACTAGTGTGTCATATGAATGTATCAAAATTTGAGTATTTCCCTTTTCTTAGATATGTGATTTTTTTCCATTTTTTGCCATTTTACTTAAATAATAAAGAGATGTTTATACTTTTAAAAACGAATTCTTTTGAAGCATGTCTCTCCTTCCGTTTGATTTGCTTCTGTATCATAGAAATAGTTGAATTTGGGATATTGAGATAGTCTACCAAAATGGACACAGACAGTCATTTATGCAATTTGAGATTTAGAGTATAGTCAACTGTATTTAGATTTAGATAATAATGGCTTTTGTAAAAACTGGAAAATTCCTTACATATGTTGCTCCCTGGAATATATACGAAGAATTCTAAATATTCTACACAATTTGATTTCCTAGTCCATAGTTAAGTATTAAGAAAACAAGTTTGCATCTTTGATTAGTTTAGAAGTAGTCAGGACTTAATTTCTAGAATCTAGAGAGAAGATTAGAGTTTGAGGGAAGGTTAGTGGAAGGTGACAGAATCCTCTTGTAAGAGCTTTGAATAACTGGCTTTCAGTAATTAAGAGTATGTTTGAGGAAGTGCAGGAATAAAAATAGCATAGTAATTGAGGGAAGAGGTACTTAATTTTTACTTTATTTTACCTTATTTTTTGAGATGGAGTCTCGCTCTGTCACCCAGGCCGGAGTGCAGTGGTACGATCTCAGCTCACTGCAGCCTCCACCTCCCAGGTTCAAGGAATTCTCCTGCCTCAGCAGTAGTTGGTGTTACAGGCGCCCACCACCACGCTCAGCTAATTTTTTGTATTTTTAGTAGAGACAGGGTTTCACCATGTTGGCCAGGCTGATCTCAAACTCCTGACCTCAGGTTATCTGCCTACCTCAGCCTGCCAAAATGCTGGGATTACAGATGTGAGCCACCACACCTGGCCAGTACTTAATTTTTATATATTGTCCTATAATTATAAGTTATGAAGTACGTGACGATTTCTAACATTTAGTGATCGTGTTGACCAGGTATCAGACACTGACCCTAAGCACGTTACAGACGTTGACTCATTTGGTCCTTATAATTATCTCACATACTATTATTATTTCTAATTTACAGATGGGGCTTTTGGAGCAGATAGAAACTAAGTAGCTTGCCTGGAGTCATATAGTTATTAATGGAAATGACAGACTTTGAACTTGGTTCCTGTGGCTCTAAAACTCATGCTTTTATCCACTTCATTACAGTGGTTAGTGTTGATACCTAGGTGTGCTAATAAAGGGTTGTTATATTAAAAACATAATAGATGAAGAAAAGATGGTAGTTTCCTCTAAGAAAATTGGAGAGAGTGCCTGCAACCATTTGTCTCTCGCTCATTTCAGAAAAAGTGTATTGGAGAGAATAAAACAGCTTCTTTATAGTTGGTCTAAAATTATGAAGGGAAACATCCTGCTCACCGAAAGCTATTTAGTACTTTAATGGTTTTGGAATACTGTGTCCATCTACTGACAGTCGTTCTTTAACAGCTAACTTCCCCAGTCTCATGATCTTTGTTTATTAGCTCCTTACACTTGCTTTCACACACCATCTCTTTCTTATTCTGCGTTGCTATACTTGCTTGATTTTATTTACTTTACAGAGGAATAAACAGAATTGAGCCAGTCTCTGGGACGGATGGATGGACAAGAGAGGCTAAAATTACCTGAGTTTTTAGGTAAAGGGGAAATTTTGGAGGATTGTGAAGGGAACACACGTTCTGTTAAAACAAGGAAGTCCTGCAAAATGGTGGGGATGTTGATGGAAAGATCTTTATTCACTTGATGGTCAAGTGGATTGAAAAGGACAGAATGGTCTCATGGCAAGGAGTGGTAATTTAAAACAACACATTGAAGATAGAAGAGGTACAAAAATATATGTTCACAAGACCCAGCGCATAGAGGGATGTTAATAAATAGAAATATAACTGGAGTGCTGAGAGGAGACTGTTAGATTAGATGTTTTGAAAGCTGAGGGTTTGGTTGTAATAGCACAATGTGGAGAGTTCGGCAGCTGTTAAACAGCGAGTAAAAAGTTGAGTGTTCTGTATAATCCCAGCACTATGCAAGTATCAGTGACATATTAGATATACCTTTTACTAGGTGACTCTCTGAAAATGAGGCAACTTTCCTGTGTGTCTTGTGATCATTCTCATTAATTTATATTAACTTAGGTAAATCATTAGACATCTGTTTTTATGCTACACTATTGGCTTTTAAAATTTCTTCATTGTTGAGAAATGCACTCTTAAATTTTTGAGGAATGCACCCTTAAAAAGAGAAATGAGTTTTAAAAGACAGTTGCTTCATAGAAGTGGCAGGCAGGGTACCTGGTGCCAAAATAAAACTGAGTGCTTATGTATTATGATATAGAAGGACCTATGTAATTGATTTATCCTAAAACTTAGTTTCAGCAAAAGTCTTTCTCTTTATATGAATTGCATGCTTGCTGTTGTTGGCCCACGAGGAAACTGTGACTATGCACATTTCTATTTTTGTCTTATTTGTCAGAAAAATAAAAGACAAAGTCTGTATTCAGTTACAATAGTTACTAGATGCTTAGAATCAAAAGGATTTTTTTCACTGCTTTTTCCTCCCAGATTTGTTAAAATTTCAAATCAACCTGCTTTATATTTGTGGCGAATGATATTAATCCACCTCACATCCTTTTTTACAATGGGAAAGTTAGAATTTTTAAATAGATACATGTATAACTTGTGTATTTAAGTGGCCTGAATCGTTCCTTTGAGTTTTCCACATATATTTCTCAGGTTATCTACCTTTTGTGAAACCTTCCTCTTTTTTATACTTCACGATGTCTCTGTTGTTTGTTGTATCTAGATTTCATTTGTTTAAATGTTTTGAACAGGAGATAATACAAGCTTGTCTTGCCTTGGATTCTCCATCCCTGTCTAGAACTGTCATTAGTTATTCCAGAGCAGAGTACTGTGCCCTCCAAAGCAGTCATGATATTGTAAAAACCATGTTGTGTGTTATGGTGTAGATTTTGTTGGCAGATGTGTATATATGAGTATTATTTCATTCAACAAATATTGAACACTCACTGAGTGCCAGGCACTCTTCTCTATGTTGGATGAAAAGCTAAATGAAGCCCCTGCTTTGGGGATGCTACACCTTTATATGTGTGGTTGGTGGCAGGGTGTGGACAGGCAATAAAAAAAGTGAGATGAATTTAGATAATGACAATGGCTGTGAAGAAAATAAAACAAGATGGTATAATAGAGTGATTGGGAGTTGGAGAGGTGTAGTCATGTAAGACCTGCCTAGGAGAAGATATTTGACCGGGAGACCTGAATAATAACATACGCTGAACACAAACTTCTAGGTGATCACTTAAAAGCCAAGGAATTTGTTAAAGGTTTTAATTCCCACAATCATAATCTTTATAAAAAGTGCTCATGTATGAAAATTTAAACTGAGCATCATGGATTCATATGGAATTTAAAATGAGTTTTCTAAGATTTTATTTGACTGAAAATGATAACTAAGTGTGGCTGTTTTGCTTTAAAAATCACAGTAGTATTTTTATCTTGACTTATGCAATTAAGAAAAGCTAATTGTATTTTTTTAATGTATCAAGTGCCTAGAAATGTTTGTATTATATTCCTTTAGTTTTGAAGGTGAAATGATACAACAATGCAGTTAGCTTTATAACTGATTCTCCCCTCTCCTCCTTTTTACAGAAATTGATCACCCATGAGAAGTTTGAAAGTGCATGTGAAGAACTAAATAATGCATTACTTCGGGAAGAGCAGGCACAAATGCTATTGAATGAACAGGCACAACAACTACAGGAATTGAATTATAAACTTGAATTGCACTCCAGTGAGGAAGCTGACAAAAACCAAACTCTTGGAGAAGCTGTTAAGGTAAGAGAATAAAGGGATATTTGCATAAAGGGATATTTTATCTATGTGTGGATCTTAGAGGGAATTATGATATCTCCTGAATAGGAATAGATCCCAAGATGTAAAATTTTATTCTATGAGGATAGAATGAAACATGTTTCTGAGACCTCAGTTATAAGCCTGCATTCACATGCATCGAGAAGGTAAAAGTAGGCTTTACTTGCTGGTTGAAAACGAAGTGAAGGTCTTTTCCAGTAATAATAACAATTATTATTAACAATAAAATTAACAATAAATTTTTGTTTCTTTTATCTTCTTTATTTCTTCCTCTCTTTAGAATTTTCCTTTTCTTGTTTTGTACCCAATGGACTTTGGAAACTCCACACATCTTTTGGATTCTGGAAGGTTTTGGTCTGGGTCTGATTCTTATATAAGTACATATTTGGGGAGAAGGGAGGTTTGGTTAGAAAGAGTTGTTCTCTCTGTCATATATTTGTGGTAAAGGTATTTCAAAGGAAAAAGAGAAGCTATCATTTAAAAGTTGTCACTGAGAAAATTTCATTAATGGGTTTAAATGTTGCCTACAAAGTATAATAGAATTCTAGTTTTTGATTATAAAACTTGTGGATTTTTCACTAGTGAGATTATATACGTTGGAATGGAACTAAATCCAGGGAAACAAAAATGATATAGCCACTATATAGGATATCATACTTAATACAGTTAATCAACTCAGAGTTGGTATTAACTTATACAAATAATATCTATTTATTCTGATATCTTAATAATACTATTATGATCAATGATAAAATAGCCAAAATTTATTGTTAACTTCCTGTTTACCAGGCACTATGCTAACTACTTTAAAACACTTATGTACTCCTCACACAAACTGTATGGGATTATAAAACACTTAGGTACTCCTCACACAAACTGTATGGGATTATAAAACACTTAGGTACTCCTCACACAAACTGTATGGGATTATTCCTGTTTTATAAATGAGAAAACAGATACAGAGAGGTGACATAACTTACACATTTCTTAGTAAGTAATATATCTAGGGAGTCAGATTTCACATCTGTCTTCCTAACCACCACATCATATGTTCCACTGATTGACAGCATGCATTTGCCAGGCTCTGTGTTACTGTCTCTACATGAATTACTCATTTTAAACTACCTCTGTGAGGTAGGTACTATTATTATGATTTTGATTTTTTTTTTTGTTTAAATTTAGAGACTTCAATAAACTTGCCCAGGGTATCCTGTAAATGTTGAAACTGGGATTTAGTTTTCAGGAAAATTAGAAAATTTTGAAATCTAAAGCAGGAAAATACACGTGAATTTAAAGAGGAAAATATAGATGTCCTTTACGAAGAGGAATAAACGACCAGGATGGTATTAGTATTTTAGAGTATGTTTTTCCAAATACATGTATTAAATTGAACCATTTGAAATTGCTGTTTTTATAAGTGAAAACTAGACAAATGCCAGGAATTTCAAATGGCTCAACCTAATGCATATTATTTTTCTTACATAAATGAGAATGTACCTATATACTGTTTTGAAACTTACTTGTATTACTTAGTAATAGATTGTGAGCATTCTTGCTTACCAACCGATATGACTGTGAATTTTTTTCACTTTTTTACACAAGTAATAAATATTCATTGTGGAAAAATAAGAAAATATAGATGAAGAAAAATTAAAATAATCTCAAATCATATCACCTGATATATCTACCATCAACATTTTGATATATATATTCCAGACTTTATGTTTTAAAAATATAGAAATATAACTGAATATAGGTTAATAAAAATACAATCATACTATTATACATATTGTTTTTTACTTACTTCAAACACCATGTCAAGGATTTCTTTCTATGCTAATAAGTATAGTGGTATCTGTCAGGCCTCTGAGCTGAAGCTCAGCCATTGAAACATCTGTGACCTGCACATATATGTCCAGATGGCCTATAGGAGCCAAGAAGTCTGGAGCAGCTGAAAAACCACAAAAGAAGTGAAACAGCCAGTTCCTGCCTTAACTGATAACCCACCTTACGACATTCCACCATTATGACTTGTTCCTGCCCTATCCTAACTGATCAATCAACCTTATGACATTCTTCTCCAGGACAATGGGTCTCATGATCTCCCCACCATGCACCTTTTGACCCCTCCCCTGCCGACAACAGATAACCACCTTCAACTGTAGCTTTCCACTGCCTACCCGAGTCCTACAAAGCTGCCCCTCTCCTATCTCCCTTCACTGATTCTCTTTTTGGACTCAGACCACTTGCACCCAAGTGAATAAACAGCCTTGTTGCTTACACAAAGCCTGTTTAGGTGGTCTTCTATATGGACACGCGTGACAGTATCATCATTTCCTGGCTGGTTGAATTCTTTTGGATGTATATTTTTTCTTTTTCTTTTTAACTGACAAATAATTGCATACATTTAGGGTGTATTTTGATGTTTTGCTACATGTATGCATTGTGGAATGATCAAATCAGGCTAACATTCATCTTTTCACATACTTATCATTTCTTTGTGGTGATAATCCACTTTTTTTTTTACCATTTTGAAATATACATTATTATTAACTGTACTCACCTTGCTGTGCAATAGATCACCAAAATTTATTCTTTCTGTCTAGCTGAAACTTTGTACCCTTTGATTAACATTTGCCCATCCCCACTCACAGCTTCTGGTAATCACTTCAATGTACTGTACATAATTTATTAACCTAATTTAATATTATAGACTTAGATTTATCCCAGCTTCTTCCTCCTCCTACTCCTCCACCTCCTCTTCCTTCTCTCACTCCTTTCCCTCCTCTTCTTCCTTTTTTTCTCTTCTGTTTCTCCGTCTCCTTTTGCTATTATAAGTAAGTATCAAGATGAACAACCTGGTATCTAAATGTTACGCACATATCTGTGATTATTTCATCAGGATGAATTCCTAGATGAGGAATTACTAGGTTAGAAACCACATACATTAAAAAATGTACATGTTATCAATTGGCCTACAGCAAGTTTCTACTGATTACATTCTCTCCTAAGATATATGAGAATGGCAACTTTGGCCCTACCTGGCTATTACTATTTAAAACATTTTTGACAGTTTGGTAGATATGTCCTTGTTACTTTAATTTGTATTTCTTTTATTATCAGTGGAGTTGAAAATTTTTATAAGCATATTGGTCATTAAACAACATTTTTATGATTCATGTCCTATTAATAGATAATGTAATGAACTGTGCTTTGGAAAAGCATCTTTGTCATTTTGAAGTCTTTTTCTCTGTTATAGTTTGTGTTTAGGTATAATATCTTTACGCAGATAAAGAGCTGTTCATGTTAATTTTTTTAAATTGCCAGTAGCTTAAATATTGTTGTCAGGAATGGAGAATTGTTTAATTACTATCTCTTAATTAGAACTAGCAGGTGGTAATGTGAAAATGCTCTCTTGTGGGAGGCAACATGGTTCAATGGGAAAAGCACTGGCCTTGGAACAAGTATTCCTGAATTCAAATCCCAGCTCTGTTGCTTGGGCAAATTACTTAACCTTCTGAGCCTCAGTTTCCTCTTCTGCAGAAATAAGGATAATGATACTTAAGTTACAGGATGTTTATGAGAATGAATTAAGATTCTATTTGAAAAGCAAGTGTATACTTGTTAAATATTCGGTTGTGTTTTCAGTAATGCTTTAAAAAATAGTTCTTTTTTAAATATGTCCTGTGCATAACTTCTTTTAAAAAACAAAGTGTATTGTTTCTTCTTTTTAAAAACAAAATAAGATCATGAGTAGAAGATATGGATACAGAAAAAAAAAACAAGCTATCTATGATTTATAATCTGAAAGCAATCACTTAACATTTTGGGAATTTTGTTTTAAATCATATGTTTTTGTTTTTTTTTTTTTAAAGACAGGGCCTCACTCTGTTGCCCAGGCCACGACCTCCTAGGCTTAAGTAATTCTCCTGCCTCACCCTATCAAGAAGCTGGGTCTACAGACACATGCCACCACACCCTGCTAATTAAAAAAATTTTTTTGTAGAGATGGAAACTGCCTATGTTGCCCAGTCCTGGTCTCAAACTCCTGAGTTCAAGCGATCCCCTTGTCTTGGCCTCCCAAAGTGCTGGGATTACAGGTGTGAGCCACTGTGTCCAGCCTAAATCATTTCTTTATATGTAATAGTTTTTATAAATAATAATTTAGACTGGATTCTCAGAATGGCCTTTTGTTTTAATACAGCTAAATCTTGGATTAGACATTCCCTGCAATAAATGCACTGCATTTATTGCATAAATGCACATAAAGGAAATCTCCAAGGACAAAAATAAAACAAATGACAATATTGTCAAACGTCAGTATGTGGAAATCAAAGTTAACACCGTGAGTAGTTGCTAGGTTTGTCCTGGAGGCAGATACAGGTTGAGCATCCCTAATTTGAAAATCCAAAATCCAAAATGCTCTAAAATCAAACTTTTTGAGCACTGACATGACACTCAAAGTAAATGCTCATTGGAGCATTTTGGATTTCAGATTATCAGATTTGGGATGCTCAACCAGTAAGTATATAAATAATACAAACTTTCCAAAATGCAAAAATATTCAAAATCTGAAATACTTCTGGTCCTGAGCATTTTACATAAGGGATGCTCAACCTATACCAATATTAATCCTGGAAATAGGAGATTAAGCTTTGGGTTCCACCAGCAGATAGGAGCTTGAACCTAAAGCTCCGACATTAAGAAATTGCTTAATAACCTGAAAGTGATAATCAATAGTATTCCATTGTTTTAAGCAAAAGCTAAGGCAAAAGTCTATCTGGAAAAAGGCTTGCCTAATCTAGTTCCTTCAGAAGCCAACAAAGAGTAAGATCAACGAAGTAACTGACACATGAATAGATAGATATATTAATCTTTTTTTAAATTATACTTTAAGTTCTAGGGTACATGTGCACAACGTGCAGAGTTGTTACATATGTATACATGTGCCATGTTGATGTGCTGCACCCATTAACTAGTCATTTACATTAGGTATATCTCCTAACGCTATACCTTCCCCCTCCCCCCACCCTACGACAGTCCCCGGTGTGTGATGTTCCCCTTCCTGTGTCCAAGTGTTCTCATTGTTCAGTTCCCACCTACGAATGAGAACATGCGGTGTTTGGTTTTTTGTCCCTGCAATAGTTTGCTGAGAATGATGGTTTCCAGCTTCATCCATGTCCCTATAAAGGACATGAACTCATCCTTTTTTATGGCTGCATAGTATTCCATGGTGTATATGTGCCACCTTTTCTTAATCCAGTCTATCATGGTTGGACATTTGGGTTGGTTCGAAGTCTTTGCTATTGTGAATAGTGCCCAATAACATACGTGTGCATGTGTGTTTATAGCAGCATGATTTATAATCCTTTGGGTATATACCCAGTAATGGGACGGCTGGGTCAAATGATATTTCTTGTTCTAGATACTTGAGGAATTGCCGCATTGTCTTCCACAATGGTTGAACTAGTTTACACTCCCACCAATGGTGTAAAAGTGTTCCTGTTTCTCCACATTGTCTTCAGCACCTGTTGTTTCCTTTTTAATGATTGCCATTCTAACTGGTGTGAAATGGTATCTCACTGTGGTTTTGATTTGCATTTCTCTAATGGCCAGTGATGATGAGCATTTTTTCATGTGTCTGTTGGCTGCATAAATGTCTTCTTTTGAGAAGTGTCTGTTCACACCCTTTGCCCACTTTTTGATGCGGTTGTTTGTTTTTTTCTTGTAAATTTGTTTGAGTTCTTTATAGATTCTGGATATTAGCCCTTTGTCAGATGAGTAGATTGCAAAATTTTTCTCCCATCCTGTAGGTTGCCTGTTCACTCTGATGGTAGTTTCTTTTGCTGTGCAGAAGCTTTTTAGTTTAATTAGATCCCATTTGTCAATTTCGGCTTTTGTTGCCATTGCCTTTGGTGTTTTAGACATGAAGTCCTTGCCCATGCCTATGTCCTGAATGGTATTGCCTAGGTTTTCTTCTAGGGTTTTTATGGTTTCAGGTCTAACATTTAAGTCCTTAATCCATCTTGAATTAATTTTTGTATAAGGTGTAAGGAAGGGATCCAGTTTCAGCTTTCTACGTATGGCTAGCCAGTTTTCTCAGCACCATTTATTAAACAGGGAATCCTTTCCCCATTTCTTGTTTTTGTCAGGTTTGTCAAAGATCAGATGGTTGTAGACATGTGGTATTATTTCTGAGGGCTCTGTTCTGTTCCATTGGTCTATATCTCTGTTTTGGTACCAGTACCGTGCTGTTTTGGTTACTGTAGCCTTTTAGTGTAGTTTGAAGTCAGGTAGCGTGATGCCTCCAGCTTTGTTCTTTTTGCTTAGGATTGTCTTGGCGATGCGGGCTCTTTTTTGGTTCCATATGAACTTTGAAGTAGTTTTTTCCAATTCTGTGAAGAAAGTCATTGGTAGCTTGATGGGGATGGCACTGAATGTATAAATTACCTTGGGCGGTATGGCCATTTTCACGATGTTGATTCTTCCTATCCATGAGCATGGAATGTTCTTCCATTTGTTTGTGTCCTCTTTTATTTCCTTGAGCAGTGGTTTGTAGTTCTCCTTGAAGAGGTCCTTCACATCCCTTGTAAGTTGGATTCCTAGGTATTTTATTCTCTTTGAAGCAATTGTGAATGGGAGTTCACTCATGATTTGGCTCTGTGTTTTTCTTATTGGTGTATAAGAATGCTTGTGATTTTTGCACATTGATTTTGTATCCTGAGACTTTGCTGAAGTTGCTTATCAGCTTAAAGAGATTTTGGGCTGAGGTGATGTGGTTTTCTAGATATACAATCATGTCATCTGCAAACAGGGACAATTTGACTACCTCTTTTCCTAATTGAATACCCTTTATTTCTTTCTCTTGCCTGATTGCCCTGGTCAGAACTTCCAACACTATGTTGAATGGGAGTGGTGAGAGAGGGCATCCCTGTCTGTGACAGTTTTCAAAGGGAACTCTGCTGCTGATACCCGGCAAACAGGGTCTGGAGTGGACCTTCAGCAAACTCCAACAGACCTGCAGCTGAGGGTCCTGACTGTTAGAAGGAAAACTAACAAACAGAAAGGACATCCACACCAAAACCTCATATGTACGTCACCATCATCAAAGACCAAAGGTAGATAAAACCACAAAGATAGGGAAAAAACAGAGCAGAAAAGCTGAAAATTCTAAAAATCAGAGCACCTCTCCCCCTCCAGAGGAACGCAGCTCCTCACCAGCAATGGAACAAAGCTGGATGGAGAATGACTTTGATGAGTTGAGAGAGAAGGCTTCAGATGATCAAACTTCTCCGAGCTAAAGGAGGAAGTTGGAACCCATCGCAAAGAAGCTAAAAACCTTGAAAAAAGGTTAGACGAATGGCTAACTAGAATAACCAATGCAGAGAAGTCCTTAAATGACCTGATGGAGCTGAAAACCATGGCACAAGAACTACGTGATGAATGCACAAGCTTCAGTAGCTGATTTGATCAACTGGAAGAAAGGGTATCAGTGATTGAAGATCAAATGAATGAAATGAAGTGAGAAGAGAAGTTTAGAGAAAACAGAGGAAAAAGAAACGAACAAAGCTTCCAAGAAATATGGGACTGTGTGAAAAGACCAGATCTACGTCTGTTTGGTGTACCTGAAAGTGACGGGGAGAATGGAACCAAGTTGGAAAACACTCTTCAGGATATTATCCAGGAGAACTTCCCCAACCTAGCAAGGCAGGCCAACATTCAAATTCAGGAAATACAGAGAACGCCACAAAGATACTCCTTGAGAAGAGCTACTCCAAGACACATAATTGTCAGATTCACCAAAGTTGAAATGAAGGAAAAAATGTTAAGGGCAGCCAGAGAGAAAGGTCGGGTTGCCCACAAAGGGAAGCCCATCAGACTAACAGCGGATCTCTCGGCAGAAACTCTACAAGCCAGAAGAGAGTGGGGGCCAATATTCAACATTCTTAAAGAAAATAATTTTCAACCCAGAATTTCATATCCAGCCAAACTAAGCTTCATAAGCGAAGGAGAAATAAAATCCTTTATAGACAAGCAAATGCTGACAGATTTTGTCACCACTAGGCCTGCCCTGCAAGAGCTCCTGAAGGAAGCACTAAACATGGAAAGGAACAACCAGTACCAGCCACTGCAAAAACATGCCAAATTGTAAAGACCATCGAGGCTAGGAAGAAACTGCATCAACTAATGAGCAAAATAACCAGCTAACATCATAATGACAGGAACAAATTCACACATAACAATATTAACCTTGAATGTAAATGGGCTAAATGCTCCAATTAAAAGACTCAGACTGGCAAACAGGATAAAGAGTGAAGACCCATCAGTGTGCTGTATTCAGGAAACCCACCTCACGTGCAGAGACACACATAGGCTCAAAATAAAGGGATGGAGGAAGATCTACCAAGCAAATGGAAAACAAAAAAAGGCAGGGGTTGCAATCCTAGTCTCTGATAAAACAGACTTTAAACCAACAAAGATCAAAAGAGACAAAGAAGGCCATTACATAATGGTAAAGGGATCAATTCAACAAGAAGAGCTAACTATCCTAAATATATATGCACCCAATACAGGAGCACCCAGATTCATAAAGCAAGTCCTTAGAGACCTACAAAGAGACTTAGACTCCCACACAATAATAATGGGAGACTTTAACACCCCACTGTCAGCATTAGATCAATGAGACAGAAAGTTAAAAAGGATATCCAGGAATTGAACTCAGCTCTGCACCAAGCGGACCTAGTAGACCTCTACAGAACTCTCCACCCGAAATCAACAGAATATACATTCTTTTCAGCACCACATCGCACTTATTCCAAGGTTTTTTTTTTTTTTTTTTTTTTTTTTTTTGAGACAGAGTCTCACTCTCTTCCCAGTGGCTGGATCTCAACTCACTGCAAGCTCTACTCTCCAGGTTCAAGTGATTCTTCTTCCTCAGCGTCCCAGGTAGCTTGGACTACAGGCACACACCACAACACCTGGCTAAGTTTTATATTTTTATTAGGACAGTGTTTCACCATATTGGCTAGGATGGTCTCGATCTCCTCACCTCGTGACCTGCCTGCCTCGGCCTCCCAAAGTGCTGGGATTATTGATGTGACAGATATATTAATCTTATATGCAGCCACATTGCTGAACTCTCTTGTCATTTCTAATATTTTATCTATACTCTCTGGGGCATAGACAGTAATATTTATTCTATAATGATAGTTTTGTTTTTTGTTTTCAAACCTTATTCCTTTAGGTTTTTTTTTCTCCTGCTTTACTGTACTGGCTAGGATACAGTGTTGGGTGGAGGTGGAGGTGTGGTAGGCATCCTTATCTTGTTTCCAGTCTTAAAGAAAATCTTTCTTTCTTCATTAAGAAGGAAGTTTGATATAGGTTTTTATTTGATAATCCTTGTTGGGTTAAGGAAGTTATCTTCCTGCATTATGCATAAATTAAAAATCATGGACCGGGCATAGTGGCTCACGTCTGTAATCCCAGCAGTTTTGGAGGCTTAGGTGGGCAGATCACCTGAGGTCAGGAGTTCAAAAGCAGCCTGGCCAACATGGTGAAACCCCGTCTCTACTAAAAATACAAAAATTAGCCAGGCATGTTGGTGGGCACCTGCAATCCCAGCTAGTCGGGAGGCTGAGGCAGGAGAATCACTTGAACCCGGGAGGCAGAGGTTGTAGTGAGCCTAGATGGTGCCATTGCACTCCAGCTGGGTGACAGAGCGAGACTCTGTCCCCGCCCCCACCCCCCCACCAAAAAAAAGAAAAGTCATGAATGGATGTTGGATATTATGAAATACAGTTTATGCATCTATTTAGATAATCATATGACTTTTCCCACTTATTCTGTTGGCATCTTGAATTATATCAGGTAATAGCAAACTATGATTTGTGTTTATACAGACTGTGAGCTAAGAGTGGTTTTTAGATTTTTAAGGGATTATAAAAAATAAAACCAAAGAACAACATGTGATACAGATGGCATGTGGTACACAAAGCCTAAAATATTTCCTATCAGAAGTTTGCTGACCCTTGGGTTATGTTTTAGTATTCTAATGTTAAACCAGCCTTGTATTCCTGAAGTAAACCCAATGTAGTCGTGATGATTTTTTAAAAATATATTGCTGCACCCAGTTTCTTAATTTTTCACTTGGGACTTTTAGATCTGTAGTCTTAATTGGAATTGTCTTGTAATGTATGTTTCTCCTACTGTCATCACTTTCTTGAAGTCAGGATTTTGCTAACATGAAAGGACTTCTCTTCCCACTCCAAACACAGAGAGTGGTGTCTTAGTGCATTTTGTGTTGCTATGACAAAATAGCACAGATGGAGTAATTAAATAACAGTAGAAATCTATTTCTCAAGGTTCTGGAGGCTGGCACCAATATCAAGTTGTGGCATCTGGTGAGGACCTTCTTTATGTGTCATCCCATGGCAGAAGGCAGAAGGGCAAGAGAGTGTGCTTGCATTCTCTGGGGGAAGGAAGTAGGGAAGGGGGCCAAACCCATCCTTTTATAAGAAACCCTATTTCATCGGTTAATTTATAACTAACTCACTCCCATGATAACTTTATTAATTCATTTATGATGGCAGAGCCCTGATGACCTAATCACCTCTTAAAGGTCTCACCTCTCAGCACTGTTGCATTGGGGATTAAGATTTTAACACATGAACTTTGGGAAACACATTCAAACCATAGCAAGTGGAAACTAGAAAAAATATAACATGAATTTTGGGGTATATAGCCAAGCTTAAAGAGAGCAAAATAATCAGGTTCAAGAAATAAAGAGGACCAAAACACCAAATGATGAGGACTCAACACCAAATGATGAGAAGGAGCTGAACTCTAATTAGCTCATTGGGGTGTGCAAACCTAGCTGGAGGCCAGAGTTGATAATAATAATGTTAGGGAAATCTAGGCTTTAAGCCTCAGAGACTAGGAGAGATCTACCTGTGTAAAGCTAGGCATCTGGAAGGGCTGCCCTACTATGAAATGTGGATGAGAAAATCTCTGCCTAGCAGCTACATGAGAATTTGACATCTACTCAGGACTGTGGGTGGGAAAAGTTACTAAGGAAACTGGAACCTAGGCCTGTGCCACACACAGGGTCTTAGTTTACACCTTAATGATCCAAGGACTCTTTAGTTGAGATTTAATCTTTAAAATGGTACAGTCCAGTCACCAGTGTGACCTTGTAGAAGGAAACGTGAAAATGTTCAATTAGGGATGTTTCTGCATCTCAAAGAATACAGTCAAGACTTTTATAAAAAAATTCAATATTTGATAATAGAATTCAATATTACAAATCACACAAAAATGAATTACACATCAAATGAGAAAATTTACACTTTAGGTGGTAGAAATACTAGAAGAATTGAAATCAGCTAAACAGATACTTTAAGTGTTTTTTCAAGCATTCTAAGAGATAAGGTATGAATAGAAGTTGTAAGTTAAGACATGAAAATATAGTCATGGAGATTATGAACTCAGTGAACATTGGGTAGACATTGATGAAGTATATTAGCAAATTGTAAGAAAGCTGAGGAAATAACACATAATGCTCTCCAGGGGGACAAAATGATGGATAATAAGAAATTAAGAGGAAAGAAAAAGAGAATGAAACAGATTTAATAAAAGAATGAAAGTAGAGTACCATAAGCACCTATAAACATAGTAATGAGATGACAGAATAACGAAGACAAAAGTAAGTCTTTAAAGTTATGGGAGAAAAAGGATTACTTACAGAAGAATAACAATTAGATCCTAAGAGTAATGACTTAATTCAAAATAACTTAATTGAGGTATAATTATAACAATATAATGTACACTTAAAATATATATAGCTCAGTGCCTTTTGACAAATGTATACATTGTTTAACTACCACTACAGCAGTCTGAGCTCCCTGCTCAACCCTGCGGTTGGGGAGGGTGTTGGCAGGGTGCAAGATGGGCCAAGTCAGACCTGGCAAGTATGCCCTCAGGCAAGAGGCACATTTGTGGAGTGCACAGTGGTCTGAGCTCCCTCCTCAGCCCTGGGGTTGGGGAGGAGCGTTGGCAGGGTGCAAGATGGGCCAAATCAGACCTGGCAAGTACAGCCTACAGCCTACAGGAGAGCCTACAGATTCCCCTATAGCAGACTCAAGCACCAGTGCTAAGGGAGAAACCAGTGGGTGACTAGCAAGCACCCAGAGGTGTACCTAGGTTGTATAGTAAGTGTGAGTTTTTAAGAAACTGCCGAAATCTTTTTCAAAATTGGCTGCATGATTTTACATTTCTATCAGCACTGTACGAAAGTTCCATTTGCTTCACATCCTGGTGAATACTTGGCACTGTCTTTAATTTTATCTGTTATAATGGGTGTATATGGTATGTTTTTTGCATTTAATTTGCATTTACCTGATGATTAATTATGTTAATCATCTTCTAGTGTACTTAGTCATTCATATATGTTCTTTGTAAAATATCTGTTCAAACCATGTGATATTTGATTGATTGACTGATTTTTTTGAGACAAGGTCTCCCTTTGTCACTCAGGCTGGAGTGCAGTGGCGCTATCATGGGTCACTGCAACCTCTGCCTCCTGGGCTCAACTAATCCTCCCATCTCAGCCTCTCAAGTAGCTAGGACTACAGGCGCATGCCACCATGCCAGCTAGTTTTTGTATTTTTTGTAGAGACGGGGTTTCTCCATGTTGCCCAGGCTGGTCTTGAACTCCTGGGCTGAAGCAATCCACCTGCCTCAGCCTCCCAAAGTGCTGAGAATACAGGCATGAGCCACTGTGTTTGGCCAACATTTAATATTTTAAACTTTGGGTTGTTTGTCTTATTCATTGTAAAAATTCTTTCTATATTCTCTATATAGATTCTTTTTTCACATATATTAATAATATTATCTTTTAGTCTTTGGTTTGCTTTTTCATTTTCTTAACAGTATCTTTCAAATAAAAATTTTACATTTTGATGAAGTATCCATATTCTAACTTTTATTGTTGTAGTTGATCCTTTTTATATTTCATCTAAGAAATGTTTGCCTACTATGATGTGAAAAAGATTTTACCTTTTTGACAATTATATCAGTTAATTTTTATACATGGTGTGGTGTAAGGGTTGAAGTTTATTTTCTTTCCAAATAAATATTAAGTTATTCCTGTGCTGTTTAAAACATATGGTCCTTTTTCTATTGAATTACCTTGGCCCCTGTATTAAATCCTCTGTGTATGTATGTGTGTGTTTATTTCTTTATTACTGGACTCTGTCTCTGTTTCATTGATCTATATGTCTTCCTTTTTGCTAATTCCACATTGTTTTAATTGCTGTGCCTTTATAGGATGCCTTGGAATTCATATTTTTAAGGTGCTGTAAGTCCTTTAACTTTGCTCTTTTTTTGGAACTGTATTTGCTATTTGGGTCCATTGAATTTCTATACAAGTTTTAGAATCAGATTGTCATTTTCTTGTAAGATATTAAGTTTACTGATACAGAGAGGCTTTATAACATTCCATTATTATATTTTTAATGCTTGTTGGATCTGTTGTGATAATTCCTCTTTCAGTCCTCATACTGGTAATTCATATTTTCTCTTTTCTCTAGTTAGGAGTTTATTAATTTTGTTGTTCATTTCAAAAAACATAAGCTTTGGCTTTGCTAACTTATTCTATTTTTTGTAATATTTATTTCTGTTATTTTTATTATTTCCTTTTTTTTAGTTTTTTAAAATTTTACTTTAAGTTCTGGGATACATGTGCAGAACATGCAGGTTTGTTACATAGGTATACATTTACCGTGGTGGTTTGCTGTACTTATCAATCTGTCACATTTTAGGTTAGTTTAGCCCTTCTTTTTCTAGTTGTTAAGGGTTTAGCCTATTAGATCAGGAATCAGCAAAATGTGACCCACAGGTCAAGTGTAGCCCACTGTCCATATATAAAGTTTTATTGAAATGCTACTATGCCCGTTTATTAAAATATTGTCTGTGGCTGCTTTCTTACTACAATGGTAGATTTAAGTAGTTGCAACAGTGACCACGAGGCTCACAATGCCCGAAATATTGACTGTGTAGTTTTTACAGGTATTGAATATTTTTTAGAACTTTATAAAGTCTCTGCTATTGGCTTATTAGGTATTTCTCTTTTTTACTTTTAGGGGCTGCTGTAGTGTTTATAATATACCTATTTCACCTATCACAGTCTATTTTAAAATAATATTATTTGACTTTATGTATAATACAAAAATCTTACAACAGTATACTTCCATTTCTTTTCTTTCATTCTCTTTGTGTTGTTGTCATAGATTTCAATTTTACCTGTATTCTAAACTCCATACTATATTGTTATCATTTCAACTTTTAATAGAAAATTAGATTTTAAAGAAATTTTAAAAATAAGAAAACAATTGTCTTTCATCATTGCCATATATATATATATATATATATATATATATACCATTTTGATGCACACTTCCTTTATATAGACCCGTGTTTCCATCTAATGTGATTTTCCTTCTGCTTGAGGAACTCCCTTTAACATTTCTTGTGATACTTGTCTTTATTTTCGAAAGGTGTTCAGTATAGATGTCTGTGTTGACAGTTTCTTTTAGCACTTTAAATATGTTGTTCCCTTCTCTTCTGGTTTGCATTATTTCTGACAAGAAATACGTGTTCATTTTACCTTTGTTTGTCTCTATGTAATGTGTCTTTTTTTCCCCTCAGGTTTTGTAAAGGTTTTCTTTACAAATTTTAATTTTTAATTTTTAATGTTTGTGGAAACTTAATAGGGTATGTGTATATATTTATGGGGTACATGAGATATTTTTATACAGACATTCAATGTGTGATAACCACATCATGGTAAATGGGGTATCCCCTGCAACCGTTTATCCTTTGTGTTGCGAACAATCCAATTATACTCTTTCAGTTATTTTTAAATGTATAATTAAATTGTTATTGACTGTAGCCACCTGTTGTGCCGTCAAATACTAGGACTTATTCAATCTTTCTCTCTGTTTTTTTTGCACCCATTAACCATCCCGACCTTCCCACACATTCCCCACTACTCTTCTCTGCCTCTGGTAACCATCCTTCTACTGTCTATCTCCATGAGTTCAATTGTTTGGATTTTTAGCCCCTCCAAATAAGTAAGAACATGCAATGTTTGCCTTTCTGTACCTGGCTTATTTCACTTAACATAATGACCTCCAGTTCCATCTATGTTGTTGCAAATGACAAGATCTCATTCTCTCTTATGGCTGCGTAATACTCTATTGTGTATAAGTACCACATTTTCTTTATCTGTTGATGGCCACTTAGGTTGCTTCCAAATCTTGGCTATTGTGAACAGAGCTATGACAAATGTGGGAGTGCAGATATCTCTTCAATATACCAATTTCCCTTCTTTTGGGTATATACCCAGCAGTGGGATTGCTGGATCATATGGTAGCTCTGTTTTTAGTTTTTTGAGGAGCCTCCAAACTGTTCTCCATAGTGGTTGTACTAATTTACATTCCCACCAACAGCATACAAAGGTTCTTTTTTCTCCCTTGTGCATCCATTTGTTACTCCCTGTCTTTAGGATAAAAGCCATTTTAACTGGAGTAAGATGATACCTCATTGTAATTTTGATATGCATTTCTCTGATGATCAATGATGTTGAGCACCTTTTCAAATTTGTTTGCTATTTGTATGTCTTCTTTTAAAAAATGTCAATTTAATCTTTTGCCCATTTTAAAATCAGATTATTAGATTTTTTTCCTATAGAGTTGTTTGAGCTCCTTGTATATTCTAGTTATTAATCCCTTGTCAGATGGACAGTTTGCAAATATTTTTTCCCATTCAGTGGGTTGTGTCTTCACTTTGTTGATTGTTTCTTTTGCTGTGCAGAAGCTTTTTAACTTGATGTGGTCCCATTTGTCTATTTTTTCTTTGGTTATCTGTGCTTGTGCGATATTTCTTAAGAATTTTTTGCCCAAACCAATTTCCTAGAGAGTTTCCCCAGTGTTTTCTTGTAGTAGTTTTATAGTTTGAGCTGTTAGATTTAAGTCTTTAATCCATTGTGGTTTTATGTTTGTGTATGACAAGAGATAAGGGTCTAGTTTCATTCTTCTGCATATGGATGTTCAATTTTCCCTACACTATTTATTGAAGAAACTATCTTTTCCCAAGTTTATGTTCTTAGCACCTTTGTCAAAAATGAATTCACTGTAGGTGTGTGGATTTGTTTCTGGGCTCTCTATTCATTCCATTGGTCTGTGTCTGTTTTTATGCCAGTACCATGCTGTTTTGGTTGCTGTAAATTCTGTAGTATAATTTGAAGACAGGTAATAGGATTCCTCCAGTTTTGTTCTTTTTGCTCAGGATAGATTTGGCTATTCTGGGTCTTTTGTGGTTCCATGTAAATTTTAGGATTTTTTTTTTCTATTTGTATGAAGAATGTTATTGGTATTTTTATAGGGATTGCATTGAATTTGTAGATTCCTTTCGGTAGTATGGACATTTTAACAATATTGATTCTTTCAATCCATGAACATGGAATATCTTTCCATTATTTTTGCACTCTTTTCCATTCTTTCAATCATTGTTTTATAGTTTTCATTGTAGAGATCATTAACTTATTTGGTTAAGTTAATTCCTAGGCATTTTATTTTATTTATGGCTATGGTAAATGGGATTACTTTTTTTATTGTTTTATTTCAGATTGTTTACTTTAGGCATATGGAAATACTACTGAATTTTGAATGCTGATTTTGTATCCTGCAGCTTTAGTGAATTTGTTTATCAGTTCTAATAGTTTTTTGGTGGAGTTTTTAGGTTTTTCCAAATATAAGATCATATCATCTGCAAACAAAGATAATTTGACTTCTTCCTTTCTAATTTGGAGGCCCTTTATTTCTTTCTCTTGTTTGATTGCTCGAGCTAGGACTTCCAGTACTATGTCATGTAACAGTGGTGAAAGTAGGCATCCTTGCCATATTCAGATCTTAGAGGAAAGGGTTTCATTTTCTTTCCCTATTCAGTATGATACTAGCTGTGGGTCTGTCATATATGGCTTTTATTATGTTGATGTATGTTCCTTATATCCCCATTTTTTTTAGGCTTTTTTAAAATCATGAAGGGATGTTGAATTTTATCAAATGCTTCTGTCAGCATCAATTGAAATGATTATATGGTTTTTGTCCTTAATTCTGTTTATATGATGTATCACATTTATTGGCATATGTTGAACCATCCTTGCATCCCTGGGATAAATCCCACTTGGTCATGTTGAATGATCTTTTTAATGGATTATTGAATTTGGTTTGCTAATATTCTGTTGGGGATTTTTGCCTCAATATTCATAATAAATATTGGCCTGTAGTTTTCTTTTTTTGATTTGTCTTTGTCTGATTTTGATAAGGTTTCCTTTTTATTATTGGTTTCCGGAAGTTTGATTATGACAAATGTTGGTGTGGTTTCTTTGTGTTTTTCCTACTGAGGGTTTATTGAGCTTTATTTATTTATTTATTTTTAAATTTATTTGTAAAATTTAATTAATTATTTTCAACTTTTAAGTTTAGGGGTACATGTGCAGGATGTGCAGATTTGTTACCTACGTAAATGTGTGCCATTGTGGTTTGCTGTACAGATCATTCTATCACCCAGGTATTAAGCCCTGCATCCATTAGCTATCCTTCCTGATCCTCTCCCTCCTCCCAGCCTGCATCCTCTGATAGACCACAGTGTGTATTGTTCCCCACTGTGTGTCCATGTGTTCTCATTTAGCTCCCACTTATAAGTGAGAACATGTGGTATTTGGTTTTCTGTTCCTGTATTAGTTTGCTAAGGATAATGGTCTCCAGCTCCATCTATGTCCCTGCAAAGGATATGATCCCATTCCTTTTTATGGCTGCATGGTATTCCATGTTGTATATGTTTGACATTTTCTTTATCCAGTCTATCACTGATGGGCATTTGGGTTGATTCCATGTCTTTGCTATCGTAAATAGTGCTGCAATGAACATATGCATGCATGTGCCTTTATAATAGAACAATTTATATTCCTTTGGGTATGTACCCAGTAATGAGACTGCTGAGTTAAATGGTATTTCTGGTTCTTGGTCTTTGAGGAATCACCACACTGTCTTCCACATGGTCAAACTAATTTACACTCCCAGCAACAGTATAAAAATGTTCCTTTTTCTCAACAACCTTGCCAGCATCTGTTGTTTTTTGAGTTTTTAGTAATAGCCACTCTGACTGGTATGAGATGGTATCTCATTGTTGTTTTGATTTGCATTTCTCTAATGATCAGTGATGTTGAGCTTATTTTCATATGTTTGTTTGCCACATGAATGTTTTCTTTTGAGAAGTGTCTGTTCATGTCCTTTGACCACTTTTTAACAGGGTTGGTTGGTTGGTTGTTTGTTTTGTAAATTTAAGTTCCTTATAAATGCTGGATATTAGACCTTTGTCAGATGCATAGAATTGCAAAAATTTCTCCCATTCTTAGGTTGTCTGTTTACTCCATTGATAGTTTCTTTTGCTGTGCAGAAGCTCTTTAGTTTAGTTAGATCCCATTTGTTAATTTTGCTTTTGTTGCAATTGCTTTTGGTGTTTTTGTCATGAAATCTTTGCCCATGCCTATGTCCTGAATGGTATTGCCTAGTTTTTTTTCTAGGGTTTTTTTTTGTAGTTTTGTGTTTTATATTGAAGTCTTTAATCCATCTTGAGTTGATTTTTGTATATGGTATAAGGAAGAGGTCCAGTTTCAATTTTCTGCATATGGCTACCCAGTTCTCCCAGCACCATTTATTAAATAGGGAATCCTTTCCCCATTGCTTGTTTTTGTCAGGTTTGTCAAAGATCAGATGGTTGTAGATGTATGATTTTATTTCTGGGTTCTTTATTCTGTTCCATTGGTCTATGTGTCTGTTCTTGTACCAGTACCATGCTGTTTTGATTACAGTAGCCCTGTAGTATAGTTTGAAGTCAGGTAGCATGATACCTCCAGTTTTCTTTTTTATTGTTGTTTAGGACTGCCTAGGCTATTTGGGCTTTTTTTTGGTTCTGTATGAATTTTAAAATATTTTTTTCTTTTTCTGTGAAGAATGTCAACGATAGTTTAATGGGAATAGCATCGAATCTATAAATCACTTTGGGCAGTATGGCTATTACACAATATTGATTTTTCCTATCTGTGAGCATGGAATGTCTTTCCATTTGTTTATAGTTCTCCTTGAATTGGTCCTTCACTTCCCTTGTTAGCTGTATTCCTAGGAATTTTATTCTTTTTGTGGCAATTGTGAATGGGAGTTCATTCATGATTTGGCTCTCTACTTGCCTGTTGGTGTATGGGAATGCTAGTGATTTTTGCACATTGATTTTGTATCCTGAGACTTTGCTGAAGTTGCTTATCAGCTTGAGAAGCTTTTGGGCTGTGATGATGGGGTTTTCTAGGTATAGAATTATGTCATCTGCAAACAAAGATAGTTTGACTTCCTCTCTTTCTATTTCCATACTTATTTATTTCTTTGTCTTGCCTGATTGCCCTGGCCAGACTTTCAATACTATGTTGAATAGGAGTGGTGAGAGAAGGCAACCTTGTCTTCTGTTGGTTTTCAAGAGGGAATGCTTCCAGCTTTTGCTCATACTGTATGATATTGGCTGTGTTTTTATCATATATGGTTCTCATTATTTGAGGTATGTTCCTTCAATACCTAGTTTATTGATCTTTAACATGAAGAGATGTTGAATTTTATCGAAGGCCTTTTTTTTTTGCATCTATTGAGATGATCGTATGGTTTTTGTTTTGGGTTCTGCTTATGTGATGAATCAGATTTATTGATTTGAGTACAGTGAACCCCAACCTTGCATCCTGGGGATGAAGCCTACATGTTTGTGGTGGATAAGCTTTTTGATGTGCTGCTGGATTCAGTTTGCCAGTGTTTTGTGGAGGATTTTTGCATTGATGTTCATTAAGAATATTAGCCTGGAGTTGTCTTGTTTTGTTTATCTCTGTCAGTTATTGGTATCAGGATAATGCTGGCCTCATAGAATGAGTTTGGTTGGTAAGCTGTTTATTACTGGGAGGAATCTCTCCTCCTCAATTTTTGGAATAGTTTCAGTGGGAATGGTACTGGCTCTTCTTTGTACCCCTGGTAGAATTCAGCTGTGAATATGTCTGGTCTTGGGCTTTTTTTGGTTGGTAGGCTATTTATTACTGCCTCAATTTCAGAACTCATTATAGGTCTATTCAGGGATTCAATTTCTTCCTGTTTCAGTCTTGGGAGGGTATATGTGTCAAGGAATTTATCCATTTCTTCTAGATTTTCTAGTTTATGTACAGAGAGGAGTTTCTAATAGTCTGTGATGGTTGTTTGTATTTCTGTGGGGTCAGTGGTAATATCCTCCTTATTTCTGATTGTGTTTATTTGAATCTTCTCTCTTCTTTATTAGTCTACCTAGTAGTCTGTTTTATTAAGTTTTTCAAAAAGCCAACTCCTGGATTTGTTGATCTTTTGAATGGTTTTTCCTGTCTCTATCTCCTTCAGTTAAACTCTGATCTTGGTTATTTCTTGTCTTTTGCTAGCTTTGGGGTTTGTTTACTCTTGGTTCTCAAGTCCTTTTAGTTGTGATGTTAGGTTGTTGACTCGAGACCTTTGTAGCTTTTTGATGTGGGCATTTAGTGCCATAAACTTCCCTCTTAACACTGCTTTAGCTGCATCCCAGAGATTTTGGTACATTTTATCTTTGTTCTCATTAGTTTCAAAGAACTTCTTGATTTCTGCCTTAATTTCATTATTTACCCAAAAATCATTCAGGAGCAGGTTGTTCAATTTCCATGTAATTGTGTGTTTTCCAGTGAATTTTTTTAGCACTGAGTTCTAATTTGATAACACTAGTCTGAGAGACTGTTTGTTATGATTTCAGTTCTTTTGCATTTGCATTTGCTGAGCAGTGTTTTACTTTTGATTATGTGATTGATTTTAAGTAAGTGCTGTGTGGAGATGAGAAGACTGTATATTCTGTTGTTTTTGGGTGAAGAGTTCTGTGGGCATGTGTCAGGTCCACTTGATCCTGAGCTAAGTTCAGGTCCTGAATATCCTTGTTAATTTTCTGTCTGATAATCTGTCTAATATTGTCAACGGGGTATTAAAGTCTCCCAGTATTATTGTGTATTATTGTCTGGGAGACTAAGTCTCTTTGAAGGTCTCTAAGAATGTGCTTTATGAATCTAGATGCTCCTTTATTGTGTGTATATATATTTAGTATAGTTAGCTCTTCTTGTTGAATGTCTTTCTTTGTCTTTTTTGATCTTTGTTAGTCTAAAGTCTGTTTTGTCAGAAACTAGTATTGCAACCCCTGCTTTGTTCTGTTTTGCATTTGCTTGGTAAACGTTTCTCCATCCTTTTATTTTGAGCCTACCTGTGTCTTTGCATGTGAGATGAGTCTCTTGAAGACAGCATACCGATGGGTCTTGGTTCTTTATCTAGCTTGCCACTCTGTGTCTTTCAATTGGGGCATTTAGCCCATTTACACTTAAGGTTAGTATTGTTATGTGTAGATGTGGTCCTGTCATAATGATGCTAGATGGTTATTTTTCGGACTCGTTTATGTGGTTGCTTCGTAGTGGCATTGGTCTGTGTACTTCAGTGTGTTTTTGTAGTTGCTGGTAATGGTTTTTCTTTTCCATATTTAGTGCTTTCTTCAGGAGCTCTTGTAACACAGGTCTGGTGGTAATGAATTCCCTTAGCATTTGCTTGTCTGAAAAGAATCTTATTTCTCCTTCGCTTATGAAGCATAGTTTGGCTGGATATGAAATCCTTGGTTCAAGATGTTTTTCTTTAAGAATGTTGAATATAGGCCTCCAATCTGTTCTTGCTTGTACAGTTTCTGTTGAGGAGTTCACACTGTTAGACTGATGAGGTGGCCTGCCCTTTTTCTCTAGCTAACTTTAACATTCTTTTTTTTCATTTCAATCTTGGAAAATCTGATGATTATGTGTCTTGGGATGCTCTTGTGTAGAATCTTGCAGGGGTTCTCTGTATTTCTTGAATTTGACTCTTGGCCTCTATATAGCAAGTTTGGGGACATTTTCATTGACAATATCTTGAAATATGTTTCCTGACTTGTTTGCTTTCTCTCCATCCCTTTGAGGGATTCCAGTAATTTGTAGATTTTGCTTCTTTACGTAATCCCATGTTTCTCAGAGGCTTTATTTGTTTTTCTCATTCATTTTTCTTTGTTTTCATCTGTCTTATTTCAGAGAGCCAGTCTTCAAGTTCCAAGATTCTCTTCTCAGCTTGGTTTACTCTGCTGTTAATATTGTCATTGCATTGTGAAATTCTTGTAGTGTGTTTTTCCCCTCTGTCAGATCACATAGTTCTTCTTTGTGGCTATTTCATTTGTCAGCTCCTGTATGGTTTTATCGCAGTTCTTAGTTTCCTTGGATTGCTTATGCCATTTTCTTCAATCTCAATGATCTTTGTTCCTATCCATATTCTGAATTCTATTTCTGTCATTTTAGCCAACTCAGTCTGGTTAGGAACCCTTGTTGTAGAACTAGTGTAGTCATTTGGAGGATGTAAGACACTCTGGCCATTTGATTTCCCAGAGTTCTTGCATTGGCTCTTGCCATGACTTGTAATTTTTTATTGATTGCTGGGCATTGTGTTGCTTCTTTTATAGAGTATTGGACTTTATTCAGATAAGCAGTTATTTGTTGTTTAATTTTATCCTTTTGAGGCTTGTAAGGACGGGGATAGAATAACCTTTACTCAGGGATGGTTAAGCCTTACTACTGAGGTATGGTCCTTCTGGGATCTCTAGCGAATGACACATATAATAAATGTAGACTCACCACATGTCTTGAGGGGACTTGAGTGATTCTCAGTCTTGGTGATCTCTCTGGAAATTGCTTACTACTTTGCTCTTCAGTTGCTCAATTGCCTTACCTTATGGATTTTTTTTACTCTGCACATTCACATCTTATTGTTCAAGCAAAGACACAGGACACTTTAAGCTGGAATTCTAGATTTATTTTTTAGGGTAATTTCTTCCTCTCCAGAACTCTGTACTATACCTTTTAGCTATCTCAGGCACCTAGGTATCTGATCTCTGTCTTCTCACCGGAGCAAGATTGCCGTTTCTGCTTGGAATCTTCCTTCTTGCTCCATGGTCCAAAATATGCCTCCAGGAAGAAAGCCAGATGATTTTATGGCTCCTCTCATTTCTTTCTCTTATTAGGTTTTTTTGCCCTATGCTACTGGTTGTTCAGTATCTGAAAACAGTTGTTTTACATATTTTGTCCAGTTTTATCATTGTTTAAGGTGGAAGGGTTAATCTGGTTCCTGTTATTTCATCATGTCCAGAAGTGAAAGTATCCTCCACTTAAAAAGAAATCCATTTCTCTTTGATGCCACTTTTTCCTTTGTGAAGCTGGCAAACTCATATACTCTGAGTGAGGGGGCATTTGGAGGGAAAAGGCAGCTGGAGAGTAGAGAAGATTTGAAATAGTCACTTTAGAGAGAAGGAGAGCAAGTCAACAGTAGAAATATAACTGGAATGCTAGATAGAAATACAAATGGAGGGATGTTTTGAGAATTTACGGTAATACTAATTTGCCTAAGGCATTTGAATGCTTAGATGTATGCCTTCAAACATGAGTTTGCATTGTTTTTCAAGGATTGGGATTTGTTAGATATATTAGACAAGAAGACAGAGGGGCAAGGGATGATAGAGTCCAAACAAGAGTACTTTTGAATGAATCAATCATTGGATGTAAGCTGGATTAAAAGAGAAGTGAAGAAGGGAGAGTGCTAGTAGACTGGGTGATCAGTGAATGGTCATATAATTTATTGTTGAACAATAAATCTGAAAGAATCATTGCTTGCTTTCAGAGAGCAGGGTGCTTGATTTCAGAGAGCAGGGTGCCTCAGTGATTTTGGAAGCAGAGTAAGGTTAGGATATCACAGGCGTGAAGTTGGAGTATGGAATGGAATTGAGCAGGTGAGATGAAGAGGTCAGGGAAATGGAGAGGTCAGATTTTTTGATGGGCTGTCTGTGTTGTCTTTCAAGTCACCCAGAATGATAGGATGTTGCCTTAGTCTATTTGGGCTGCTGTACCAAAATACAATAAACTGGATAGCTTATAAACAGCAGAAATTTTTCTCACATTGCTGGTTATTGAGAAGTCTAACATCAAGGCACTAGTAGATTTGGTGTCTGGTGAGGGCTTGCTTCCTCATAGATGGCACCTTCTTGCTGTGTCTTCACATGGTGGAAAGCGGCAAGGCAGCTCTAGGGAGCTCTTTGGGCCTTATTTATATAAGGGCACTAATCCCGATTTTGAGTGCTCGTCCATGATGGTTTAGTCACCTCCCAAAAGCCCCACCTTTTATTGCCATCACCTTGGGAGTTAGGATTTCAACATAAAAATTTTTTGGGAACATAAAACATTCAAATCATAGCAAGTGGGTATTGGAGTTAGATAATAATTGTGAGCCAGGCACATGTGGCTGAGAATTAGCATGAGTGTATTTGCAATGAATAGTATTTTCAATGTATGTAGTGGAGTCTAGTGTCTAGAGCAGCACTGTCCAATATGGTAACCACTAGCCACGTGTGGCTATTGAAATTTAAATTAAAATGAAATGAGATAATAAATTCAATTCCTCAGTCTCACTGTGTCTGAAATTGGTGGGTTCCTGGTCTCACTGACTTCAAGAATGAAGCTACAGACTCTCGTGGTGAGTGTTACAGTTCTTAAAGATGGTGTGTCTGGAGTTTATTCCTTCTGATGTTTGGACGTGTTTGGAGTTCTTTTCCTTCTGGTGGGTTCGTGGTCTCGCTGACTTCAGGAGTGGAGCTGCAGACTTTCGCGGTGTGTGTTACAGCTCTTAAGGCGGCACGTCTGGAGTTGTTCATTCTTCCTGTCCGGAGTTGTTCATTCCTCCTGGTGGCTTCATGGTCTCACTGGCCTCAGGAGTGAAGCTGCAGACCTTCGTGGTGAGTGTTACAGCTCATAAAGGCAGTGCGGACCCAAAGAGTGAGCAACAGCAAGATTTATTGCAAAGAGCGAAAGAACAAAGCTTCCACAATGTGGAAGAGGACCCGAACGGGTTGCCACTGCTGCCTGGGGCAGCCTGCTTTTATTCCCTTATCTGGACCCACCCACATCCTGCTGATTGGTTCATTTTACAGAGAGATGATTGGTCCATTTTACAGAGAGCTGTTTGGTCCGTTTTACAGAGAGCTGATTGGTCCGTTTTGACAGGGTGCCGATTGGTGCATTTACAAACCTTTAGCTAGACACAAAAGTTCTCCAAGTCCCCACTAGATGAGCTAGACACAGAGCACTGATTGGTGCATCCACTAACCCCGAGCTAGACACAGAGTGCTGATTGGTGCATTTACAATCCCTGAACTAGACACAGAGTGCTGATTGGTGCATTTACAATCCTCTAGCTAGACACAAAGTTCTCCAAGTCCCCACCAGATTAGCTAGATACAGAGTGCTGATTGGTGCATCCACCAACCCTGAGCTAGACACAGAGTGCTGATTGGTGCATATACAATCCTCTGGCTAGACATAAAAGTTCTCCAAGTCCCCACCCGACTCAGGAGCCCAGCTGGCTTTGCCTAGTGGATCCCATGCCAGGGCCACGGGCAGAGCTGCCTGCCAGTCCCACACTGTGTGCCTGCACTCCTCAGCCCTTGGGAGGTAAATGGGACCGGGCGCTGTGGAGCAGGGGGTGGCGCCTGTCGGGGAGGCTAGGGCCACTTGGGGGCCCGCCATGGGGTGGGGGGGTGGGGCTCGGGCATGGCGGGCTGCAGGTCCCGAGCCCTGTCCTGTGAGGAGGCGGCTGAGGCCCGGCGACAATTTGAGCACGGTGCGGGCGGGCCGGCAGTGCTGGGGAATCTGGTGCACCCTCCGCAGCTGCTGGCCTGGGTGCTAAGCCCCTCCCTGCCTGGGGCCGGCAGTGCCGGCTGGCTGCTCCGAGTGCGGGGCCTGCCGAGCCCACGCCCACCCGGAACTCGCGCTGCCCTGTGAGTGCTGCGCGCAGCCCTGGTTCCCGCCTGCGCCTCTCCCTTGACACCTCCCACAAGGAGAGGGAGCTGGCTTCAGCATGGGCCGGCCCAGAGAGGGGCTCCCACAGTGCAGCGGCAGGCTGAAGGGTTCCTCAAGCATGGCCAGAGCAGACGCTGAGGCCGAGGAGGTGCTGAGAGCGAGCCAGGGCTGCTAGCACATTGTCATCTCTCAACACTAGCCACATGGCAAGTGCTCACTAGTTTCATGTGGCTAGTAACTGTCATATCAGCAGCATAAATATAGAAAATGTTTATCATTACAGAAAATTCTGTTGTACAGTGCTGGTCGAGAGGACAGGTGTCACGTGAAGTATCTAGGCCTGTAGCAGACCTGTTGGGCTTGGAAAGAGAAACTTACCTGCAATATTCTTCATTTAGGCAGAAACCTTTTGGAACCAGAGGGCTTGAAAAGCCAGATCTTTCTTTTGCTGATATTGAGCTAATGGAACTTGTTGAATAGTTATCAAACTCTCTAACAACCCTTATGTCAGTGAAGGAAAAGTCCTTTGAAGGCAAAAACTATAATTAGATACAGCATACCTCTCTGTTATTGGAAACATTACACAAATAAATATGGAAAATATAGTATAGAAAAAAGTGGAACAAATTAAAGGCTTGGGTTTTTTTTCTTTTTTTCCCCACCCCCGTACTCTATTCTTGAGATGTTTCATATTGTTGACCTGGTCTGTAATATCTTTAGTGGTACCAGACCTCTGAGACTGTTGTGTTAGGTATCATTACTTCATTTGGTATAGTTTAGAAGACAATGAAAGCTGCATATGCAATGTATTTTATTTTTTTCTTTAACCTTACTAACTTTAAGTAAGTGTGGATTTAAATTTAGTTACTGTTTCTACTAATGATTTTTTTCTTGAGTCCTGTCTTACATATTTTGATCCTTAGGAGACCTCAGATTCTGTTTGGTGGTAGGCACCCCATGTTAGTGGAAGATGTGGAAGAATGATTAAAATACATAGTTACTTCGATGATGGAGTCTACCTATAGGTAAAATTCATGAGTGAATACAGAAATGTTTACCTTAAGATGTGTTGCTGCTGTAACCAGTACCTAAAGTGTGAGGCACTGGCTTAGAGATCAAGCAGTTTGTGGTGGAGAAACTGGTATCAGGGCTGGAAAGCTGGAGATTTATGTTAAGTTGTGGGAAAACATTTGATAAAACTGTACTTGGGATAATTTAGGAGGCAGACTATGTATCTAATGATCCTACACGTCTAGGGGAAATGGTTGGAAACAATAATATGTCTTGGCTTTGGCACTCTGGTTTGAACAAGGTATTAAAAAAAGAGAAGTGAGCTCAGGAAAGAATTAGTCAGTTTGTGACCAAAATAAAAGGGACGAGAGAGAGTCTAGAAATCTGGAGCTTAGAAGAAGTCCATTAAGACTCAGCTCCATGGCAAAGAAACTAAGGGCATAGCTTTCTTATTCAAACCTGTTATCTTAGATGGCTTCAAGGAAACCACCATTAAGTTCAAGTTCACATGCTATGCCTATTGCACACTCATATACATACACATAGGTATATAGAAACAGGGAAACTGGTAGCGAGGGTAATCTTCAAGGAGTCTAGGTATATTGATTGGCACATGCACTGGTTGGAAGCAAACAGATTGAAAATCAACTTTTTGAGTCAACTGTGTGCTAAAAACCCCACAAGTCTGGACTAAAATTGCCTTATAGTCTTTTAACCTTAAACAAAATTTGGGCCCTCAAATATTTGAAAGTAAGAAAAGGAATGCAAAAATTGTATCGGCCACAAAAAGTTACTGTCCTCAATGTTCATTTCATATATGGCCATGGAAGATAAAGGATAAAGAAGAACCTCCCAGAAGGCAGAGCAAGCGACTATGGAGAGCAGTAGAGAACAGGTTCTTCCAGAATTAGGGACTAATTAAGGAATTTATCCTACTGTCAGGATAGAAGGATCTCTTGAGTTTTTGCCCAACAAGATTTCATTATTATTGTGGACCAGTGACTGCTACTTGTTGCCCACTCTTCCTTTCTCTGAATGGGAGTGTTTGCTGTGCGTTCCCTGTCCCCACTAAATTTGTGTATATTGGGTTGAGCATGGGTTTAAATTATCTTGCAGTTAATAGGTTGCTGTACTATGAGGACCTACATTTGGACCTCGTGGTAACTACTGAGCACTATCAGATGATCCTAGATTTTGAGCTGGATGCAATGACTAGATGGGAATTTAGGTTGTCCTCTTTGGGGAGAGAGTGTGCAAATAAGGGTGAACAGAATACTGAAATGGGTATTTGGTGGCCAAAAACGCAGCCTGTGGGCAGAGACTGGCTAACTGTTCTTCAAGCCCATTTCCTTCTCCTTTGGGGCTTGCTAGAGTGTGATTGAGTTTTGGCTAATGGAATGTGAACAAAGTAATGTTTCTTACTTAAATATTGGTTATATGGTTATGGAAATTTCCCATGTACAATAACTCTATATTGTCTTACCTTTCTGGCATAATGCCAGACAAGTA
Organism: Homo sapiens; assembly: GCF_000001405.40. Lineage (NCBI taxonomy): Eukaryota > Metazoa > Chordata > Mammalia > Primates > Hominidae > Homo > Homo sapiens. Next base: position 15,813,286 of record NC_000009.12, read on the forward strand.
AGGTGACTTTGGAAGCCATGTGTTAAAGATAGTGGAACTACAAGACGGAACATGTGGGTCTTGCAATCACCATTTAGGTGACAACTAAACACCAGTCAGGACCATCTATTTTGGAATTTATGTGACCAAAACTCTGGACATTATCATGTTTGAGCCATCATACATTTTGTTTGTTTTTTGGCTATAGCATCTAACTAATATAAGGGTAAAGCTCCCTTTGACCACAACCAACAGTTTTGGTTGCTTTTTTCCTCCCCAGAAGTAATTAATATTACAAGTCTGTGTTTCTTTCTAGACATTTTACATACTTTTACATGTATTTGTGTGTGTGTGTGTGTATATATATATATATTAAACTATATGTTAATATTGTATATTGTGTCTTTTTGTTCCAGAACATGGGCTAGAGATCTACCTATTTATTATTTTAATTGATGTACAGAATTTTATACTGTAAATAAGTCATTGTTTATTTAGCTATTCATCTGCTGATTGGCATTAGGTTTTTGTCAATTTTTAAAATACTGTAGTTTTGAATAAGGAGGCCAAATGCCTTATGCAGCCATGTTAGATCTAGTTCTGGTGCACACACAATTTTTTAATTTAATTTAGTTGAGTAATAGGATCACTTTGTATTTGCATATAAGGTGAAATAAGAAGAGGTCAGGATAATTAAATTTTAGAATAGGGACCTGTGATTTGCAGTTTCAGTAAATGGAAGGCCTTGGGAATACCATGGCCCCTTGACACTTGTGTGGTTCCTTTGACCCCTTGACACTTGTGGGATTCCTTTGGAAAGGGATAATTTTGCTAGTCTTAATTAATTTTGTCAGTTATAGAGAAATATTGGAAAACAAAGCATCTGAAATAGCCCATTGATTTCCCAGAATATTTTTGGTATCTGTAGCTAGTACCAGCCTCGGGCTGGGTCATCTTCTGAAAATCCATTCCATTGTCCCAAAGTGAGTTGATTTCTCCCAGTTAGTCTACAAACCATAATTTAATGACATGCTTCTTTGACTTGGTGTATATTTCATGTTTGTTTCATCTGTTAAAAACAAGATTTTGGCCCATAGATAATACGAGGATGGGGTTGGGGAAGAGGAGTAAATTAGGCTCTTATAAATGAAAATTTAGGAAATGATAGTAATTTGTGAATTTTTAGCAAACAATGGGAATAGTACAGAAACTGTTACTTCCTTGAAATGACATTGCTTATATGAATTTTTTTTAAATGTTGCTCTCTGCTTACTAAGTTTGAGATTAAGAATGACTGAATCATTTGGGATTGAAATACAATTGTAGCTAAAGTTTTTCTTTTTTTTCTGAGAAAAGTTAGATATCTTACATTGTTATAACTTACAATTGCGTATGAAACACACTAGATATTTTTATTATATATAGAAAATTTAAAAATATTTTTGTATTTGTAGAATCATCTAATGAAGCAGAGTCTTTTTTGTAAAATTACAGATCTACTGATTTATCTTTCTGAAAAAACAAATCTTCATCATGCAATTAATACACATATTTGAGCCTCTACTATGTAAAAAGTGTAGTACTTGTCTTCATGAATATTGTATATCGAAAGTAATTAGAATATTGACATCCTAATGGTTGGTGAGATTTTGATATGACAATGAATGACAGCTTCTGAAGCTGGAGTATTATAAAATCTTACATTCTGTGAATTGGTCAAGTCTGTCCATGAAAAATCTTAGACATTGGTCAACTGAGACTGGCTTAGGGGGAAAAAATAAAGATTTATTCACAGTAAGAGTCCCAGATGGTTCTTTTGTGTAACCTTGATCCAGCTCTTGTTCACACACCCCTTTTCATCATTGTTTTGTGTCATCTGCTTACTTCTGCTATCTTGTCTTTCATCCCATCAAGCTGTTAGCAGCCTCACAGGGGTCTCAAGACTTACGCCTCTTCCTAGCCGCCCGTATCATTCCTTGCCTTTCTGTAGCTGCTTTGGGTTTTTCTCTCCCATGTCTCATTTTTAATAGAATGTGAACTCTGTGCTTTATTGTTCTCCATTCTCAAAAGTTAATTACATTTAGACCATGCATGGGGAAGAAGAATTACTTCTTTTTGCAAAGAATATGTTTTCACTTATTTTTACTTCTTTTACTTTTTTTTTTTTTTTTTACAAAGAATATGTGTTTAAAAATTTCAAATGGAGTAATCATTATACTAATTCTGGCAGAGGGTAACATTTTGTGATTATTTACCTCCTTCTTATTTTAAATGTGTCCCAACGTTTATATTATTAATAAAATTGTTTGCCCTACTCTGAGGGTACAGAATGAAAATGTTGCATAAAGTAATATAATCACTTAATTTTGAATAAATAATCATATTTTCTCTGGTAAACCTTTAAACAAAAGAACTCCAACACTCATTTTCTTTAAAAAATGTAAAGATCTCTTAGTTGCCAAACCTTGGTTATAATAATAATTAACATCTATGATATAACCCATTTTCATAAAGTAGGATTATTAGCATCATTACTTAATTTAAAAGTCTTATCACTTTTTACTTTAATCCCATATATTTTTATCTTCCTACTGACTTATACCATTGAGACCTATAAGACAGTTAATTATATTTCAAGGTCAGAGAAAAAGAATTAAGAAAACAATAGCTCTCAGACCACTTTTTAAAAATAATAATTTTAGCAGAGAAGATTCAAGATAGAAGGTAGAAGATTCATAAAAAGTTGTCATTTTCATTTTTGTTAGCCTGAACAACAGAAAATATGTAATAATGTAAAACATTCACGTTTTGTGTTTATTATGATGTCCTATTATGATATGATAATTTCCTTTTTTCAAAGTGTATGTTCTCATACATAATTTTAAAAACGTTTTTTCATGTTCAAATTTGTCCTCAATGAGTCATAATTTGAAATTAGAGTTTTTTTGAGTACTAACCTTTGATTAGATCATATTTTAAAATTAAAATATTTGAATCATACAGTTCAATTTGTATAAACTTTTTTACAAACATTATATTAGTTTTTTAAATTAAACCTGCTTAAGTAAGAAAAAAATTAAAAACATGGACTAAACAAAATAACTTGTATATAATCTCATTATCACTCACATATAAACATTATTAATATTTTGGCAAATAAAACTGGAAATATGCTATGCATAGTTTCATATCTTGTTTTTGAGGCATGCAGTGACATTATTTTTACTTATATTTTCGAAGAATAATTCTAGCATCTATTGAAGTATAGACTATACGTATGCAAAACTGGAAACAGAGGCAAGTTAGGAGGCTAACAGTATAATCCAGTTCAGTTCTAAGACGAGTGGCTTAGGACAGGGTGGTAGGAGTAAAGAGAGGTTAGATTCTGCATGTACTTGCATTTTGAATGTTAACGCTTATGTAATTTTCTAATGGATCAGATGTGAATGTCAGAGAGATGAAACAAGGACAATCCTGAGCCACTGGGTGAATGGAATTGCTATTAAGCAGTTATTAAGATAATTTAATAACCTTTTTTAATGAACCATATAATATTCTGTTTCATGAATGTGCTAAAATGTATTTAACTATTTTCTTGTTGGATATTCAGATTGTATTCCTTTTTCACTATTAAAAGTTAAGATGAACATCTTGTAATTAGATCTTTGACTACATAGCTGATTATATTCTCAGGATAGAGCTCAAGAAGCAGACTGAGTCAAAAGATAAAAGAAGTTTTATAGTTATGTGTGTGTGTGTATTTCCTTAAGGCTGTGGATGTTTTTCTCAGTTCTGGTGTTTTTCTGAGAGGATGTGTAAGCGCACTTGTCTAATTCCATTCTGATTGGCATTGGCTGTCATTAGGTGTTACCATTAAAACACCAATAACAACAAATCAAAACCAAGAACCTTTGCCAGTGTGACAGATAAGAAAAGGTGTACAGTGGGGTGGAGCCAAGATGGCCAAATAGGAACAGCTCCAGTCTACAGCTCCCAGTGTGAGCGACGCAGAAGATGGGTGATTTCTGCATTTCCAACTGAGGTAACGGGTTCATCTCACTGGGGAGTGCCGAACAGTGGGTGCAGGACAGTGGGTGCAGTGCAGCAAGCATGAGCCGAAGCAGGGCGAGGCATTGCGTCACCCGGGAAGCACAAGGGGTCAGGGAATTCCCTTTCCTAGTCAAAGAAAGGAGTGACAGAGGGCACCTGGAAAATTGGGTCACTCCCACCCTAATACTGCACTTTTCCAAAGGGCTTAACAAACAGCACACCAGGAGATTATATCCAGCACCTGGCTTGGAGGGTCCTACGCCCACGGAGCCTCGCTCATTGCTAGCACAGCAGTCTGAGATCAAACTGCGAGGTGGCAGGGAGGCTGGGGGAGGGGCGCCTGCCATTGCTGAGGCTTGAGTAGGTAAGCAAAGCAACCAGGAAGCTCAAACTGGGTGGAGCCCACCACAGCTCAAGGAGGACTGCCTGCCTCTGTAGGCTCTACCTCTGGGGGCAGGGCACAGACAAACAAAAGGCAGCAATAACCTCTGCAGACTTAAATGTCCCTGTCTGACAGCTTTGAAGAGAGTAGTGGTTCTCCCAGCACACAGCTTGAGATCTGAGAACGGGCAGACTGCCTCCTCAAGTGGGTCCCTGACCCCTGAGTAACCTAGCTGGGAGGCATCCCCCGGTAGGGGCAGACTGACACCTCACACGGCCGGGTACTCCTCTGAGACAAAACTTCCAGAGGAACGATCAGGCAGCAGCATTTGCGGTTCACTAACATCTGCTGTTCTGCAGCCACCACTGCTGATACCCAGGCAAACAGGGTCTGGAGTGGACCTCCAGTAAACCCCAACAGACCTGCAGCTGAGGATCCTGACTGTTAGAAGGAAAACTAACAAACAGAAGGGGACATGCACACCAAAACCCCATCTGTACGTCACCATCATCAAAGACCAAAGGTAGCTAAAACCACAAAGATAGGGAAAAAACAGAGCAGAAATACTGGAAACTGTAAAAAACAGAGTGCCTCTCCTCCTCCAAAGGAATGCAGCTCCTCACCAGCAACGGACCAAAGCTGGACAGAGAATGACTTTGATGAGTTGAGAGAAGAAGGCTTCAGAAGATAAAACTACTCCGAGCTAAAGGAGGAAGTTCGAACGAATGGCAAAGAAGTTAAAAACCTTTAAAAAAAAATTAGACGAATGGCTAACTAGAATAACCAATGCAGAGAAGTCCTTAAAGGACCTGATGAAGCTGAAAACCACGGCACGAGAACTACGTGATAAATGCACAAGCCTCAGTAGCTGATTCGATCAACTAGAAGAAAGTATCAGCGATGGAAGATGAAATGAATGAAATGAAGCAAGAAGAGAAGTTTAGAGAAAAAAGAATAAAAGAAACGAACAAAGCCTCCAAGAAATATGGGACTATGTGGAAAGACCACATCTACGTCTGATTGGTGTACCTGAAAGTGACAGGGAGAATGGAACCAAGTTGGAAAACACTCTGCAGGATATTATCTAGGAGAACTTCCCCAATCTAGCAAGGCAGGCCAACATTCAAATTCAGGAAATACAGAGAACGCCACAAAAATACTCCTCGAGAAGAGCAACTCTGAGACACATAATTGTCAGATTCCCCAAAGTTGAAATGAAGGAAAAAATGTTAAGGGCAGCCAGAGAGAAAGGTTGGGTTACCCACAAAGGGAAGCCCATCAGACTAACAGCGGATCTCTCGGCAGAAACTCTACAAGCCAGAAGAGAGTGGGGGCCAATATTCAACATTCTTAAAGAAAAGAATTTTCAACCCAGAATTTCATATCCAGCCAAACTAAGCTTCATAAGTGAAGGAGAAATAAAATCCTTTACAGACAAGCAAATGCTGAGAGATTTTGTCATCACCAGGCCTGCCCTGCAAGAGCTCCTGAAGGAAGCACTAAACATGGAAAGGAACAACTGGTACTAGCCACTGCCAAAACATGCCAAATTGTAAAGACCATCGAGGCTAGGAAGAAACTGCATCAACTAACGAGCAAAATAACCAGCTAACATCATAATGACAGGATCAGATTCACACATAACAATATTAACCTTAAATGTAAATGGGCTAAATGCTCCAATTAAAAGACACAGACTGGCAAATTGGATAGTCAAGACCCATCAGTGTGCTGTATTCAGGAAACCCATCTCACGTGCAGAGACACCCATAGACTCAAAATAAAGGGATGGAGGAAGATCTACCAAGCAAATGGAAAACAAAAATAGGCAGGGGTTGCCATCCTAATCTCGGATAAAACACACTTTAAACCAACAAAGATGAAAAGAGACAAAGAAGGCCATTACATAATGGTAAAGGGATAAATTCAACAAGAAGAACTAACTGTCCTAAATATATATGCACCCAATACAGGAACACCCAGATTCATAAAGCAAGTCCTGAGTGACCTACAAAGAGACTTAGACTCCCACACAATAATAATGGGAGACTTTAAAACCCCACTGTCAATATTAGACAGATCAACGAGACAGAAAGTTAACAAGGATATCCAGGAATTGAACTCAGCTCTGCACGAAGAGGACCTAATAGACATCTACAGAACTCTCCACCCCAAATCAATAGAATACACATTCTTTTCAGCACCACACCACACCTATTCCAAAATTGACCACATAGTTGGAAGTAAAGCACTCCTCAGCAAATGTAAAAGAACAGAAATTATAACAAACTGTGTCTCAGACCACAGTGCAATCAAACTAGAACACAGGATTAAGAAACTCACTCAAAACTGCTCAACTACAGGGAAACTGAACAGCCTGCTCCTGAATGACTACTGGGTACATAACAAAATGAAGGCAGAAATAAAGGTGTTCTTTGAGACCAATGAGAACAAAGACACAACATACCAGAATCTCTGGGACACATTCAAAGCAGTGTGTAGAGGGAAATTTTTAGCACTAAATGCCCACAAGAGAAAGCAGAAAAGATCTAAAATCGACACCCTAACATCACAATTAAAAGAACTAGAGAAGCAAGAGCAAACACATTCAAAAGCTAGCAGAAGGCAAGAAATAACTAAAATCAGAGCAGAACTGAAGGAAATAGAGGCACAAAAAACCCTTCAAAAAATCAATGAATCCAGGAGCTGGTTTTTTGAAAAGATCAACAAAATTGATAGACCACTAGCAAGACTAATGAAGAAAAGAGAGAAGAATCAAATAGATGCAATAAAAAATGATAAAGGGGATATCACCACCGATCCCACAGAAATACAAACTACCATCAGAGACTGCTATAAACACCTCTATGCAAATAAACTAGAAAATCTAGAAGAAATGGATAAATTCCTCGACACATACACCCTCCTAAGACTAAACCAGGAAGAATTTGAATCTCTGAATAGACAATAACAGGCTCTGAAATTGAGGCAATAATTAATAGCTTACCAACCAAAAAAAGTCCAGGACCAGATGGATTCACAGCCGAATTCTACCAGAGGTACAGGAGGAGCTGGTACCATTCCTTCTGAAACTATTACAATTAATGGAAAAAGAGGGAATCCTCCCTAACTCATTTTATGAGGCCAGCATCATCCTGATACCAAAGCGTGGCAGAGACACAACAAAAAAAGAGAATTTTAGACCAATGTCCTTGATGAACATTGATGCAAAAATCCTCAATAAAATACTGGCAAACCGAATCCAGCAGCACATCAAAAAGCTTACCCACCATGATCAAGTGGGCTTCATCCCTGGGATGCAAGGCTGGTTCAACATATGAAAATCAATAAACATAATCCAGCATATAAACAGACCCAAAGACAAAAATCACATGATTATCTCAATAGATGCAGAAAAGGCCTTTGACAAAATTCAACAACGCTTCATGGTAAAAACTCCCAATAAATTAGGTATTGATGGGATGTATCTCAAAATAATAAGAGCTATCTATGACAGACCCACACCCAGTATCATACTGAATGGACAAAAACTGGAAGCATTCCCTTTGAAAACTGGCACAAGACAGGGATGCCCTCTCTCACCACTCCTATTCAACATAGTGTTGGAAGTTCTGGCCAGGGCAATCAGGCAGGAGAAGGAAATAAAGGGCATTCAGTTAGGAAAACAGGACGTCAAATTGTCCCTGTTTGCAGATCACATGATTGTATATCTAGAAAACCCCATCGTCTCAGCCCAAAATCTCCTTGAGCTGATAAGCAACTTCAGCAAAGTCTCAGGATACAAAATCAATGTGCAAAAGTCACAAGCATTCTTATACACCAATAACAGACAAACAGCCAAATCATGAGTGAACTCCCATTCACAATTGCTTCAAAGAGAATAAAATACCTAGGAATCCAACTTACAAGGGACGTGAAGGACCTCTTCAAGGAGAACTACAAACCACTGCTCAAGGAAATAAAAGAGGATTCAAACAAATGGAAGAACATTCCATGCTCCTGGGTGGGAAGAATCAATATCGTGAAAATGGCCATACTGCCCAAGGTAATTTATACATTCAATGCCATCCCCATCAAGCTACCAATGACTTTCTTCACAGAATTGGAAAAAACTACTTTAAAGTTCATATGGAACCAAAAAAGAGCCCGCATCGCCAAGTCAATCCTAAGCCAAAAGAACAAAGCTGGAGGCATCACGCTACCTGACTTCAAACTATACAACAAGGCTACAGTAACCAAAACACCATGGTAGTATTACCAAAACAGAGATATAGACCCCGGAACACAACAGAGCCCTCAGAAATAATGCTGCATATCTACAACTATCTGATCTTTGACAAACCTGAGAAAAACAAGAAATGTGGAAAGGATTCCCTATTTAATAAATGGTGCTGGGAAAACTGGCTAGCCATATGTAGAAAGCTGACACTGGATCCCTTCCTTACACCTTATACAAAAATTAATTCAAGATGGATTAACGACTTAAATGTCAGACCTAAAACCATAAAAACCCTAGAAGAAAACCTAGGCAATACCATTCAGGACATAGGCATGGGCAAGGATTTCATGTCTAAAACACCGAAGGCAATGGCAAGAAAAGCCAGAATTGACAAAGGGGATCTAATTAAACTAAAGAGCTTCTGCACAGCAAAAGAAACTACCATCAGAGTGAACAGGCAACCTACAGAATGGGAGAAAATTTTTGCAACCTACTCATCTGACAAAGGGCTAATATCCAGAATCTACAATGAACTCAAACAAATTTACAAGAAAAAAAACAAACACCCACATGAACAAGTGGGCGAAGGATATGAACAGACACTTCTCAAAAGAAGACATTTATGCAGCCAAAAAACACATGAAAAAATGCTCATCATCACTGACCATCAGAGAAATGCAAATCAAAACCACAGTGAGATACCATCTCACAGCAGTTAGAATGGCGATCATTAAAAAGTCAGGAAACAGCAGGTGCTGGAGAGGATGTGGAGAAATAGGAACACTTTTACACTGTTGGTGGGACTGTAAACTAGTTCAACCATTGTGGAAGTCAGTGTGGTGATTCCTCAGGGATCTAGAACTAGAAATGCCATTTTACCCAGCCATCGCATTGCTGGGTATATACCCAAAGGATTATAAATCATGCTGCTGTAAAGACACATGCACACGTATGTCTATTGTGGCACTATTCACAATAGCAAAGACTTGGAACCAACCCAAATGTCCAACAATGATAGACTGGATTAAGAAATTGTGGCACATATACACAATGGAATACTATGCAGCCATAAAAAATGGTGAGTTCATGTCCTTTGTAGGGACATGGATGAAGCTGGAAACCATCATTTTCAGCAAACTATCGCAAGGAGAAAAAACCAAACACTGCATGTTCTCACTCATAGGTGGGAATTGAACAATGAGAACACATAGACACAGGAAGGGGAAAATCACACACCGGGTTTGTTGTGGGGTGGGAGGGATAACATTAGGAGATATACCTAATGTTAAATGACGAGATAAAGGGTGCAGCACACCAACATGGCACATGTATACGTATGTAACAAACCTTCACGTTGTGCACTTGTACCCTAAAACTTAAAGTATAATAATAATAAAATATTAAAAAAAGAAAAGGTATATTGTCTTGCCTTGCATTAAGCATAAAAAGGAATAATAATTTTTTTCACAGATGTTTTCTCTTCATATACTTTACATAAAGTTAATTTGCTATTTTTAGTGTAGTTTGAGAAATGAGAGCTAAGATTACTGAGCACATATACCTTGGCTAGGCACATTGCAAGGCACTTCATATTATTTTACTTAACAGTCACAACATGTTAAGATACATAATATTGCTTACATTGTATAAACGAAGAAAGAAAAATAATTGCAAAGAACTTGACAATACGCATGAGGACGCTGCTTTATAGAAAAGCCAAATATATTTGTAATGTTGCATGAAAGGCTTGATTCCCTTTGGGCCCTTCACAGTTTTAAAGAGTGTTACTGTTGAAAATTCTAATTTTAATTTGTCATAGCAGGAGATTTTTGTATTTTATATTGAAAAAAATAAAATGCTTTACACAGATTTAAAGAGAAAGTTGATAATGTGATGTTTTCTTTGTATATTAGAAGAAGATTTACATGACAGAGAAAAAAATTATTTGTCTTTTAACAAAATCATTTTTAGGTAAGTTTTAGAATAGACATTGGTAGACTTGAAAATATGCATTCTTGTTTCTTGTCATATGTTGCCCACTTGAAGAAAACTTAATAGCATTGAATCTGATTTTCCCCTATCAAGCCAGTTAGTCATATTCTGAATTAATCAGGCTACACAGTGGAGAAAATTTTTTTCCAAGCTTTACAAGAAGTTGTACCATTTATTATCAAAATTCTCATTTTATTAAATGAAAAAACATGACATATTGGCTTTTCACTTCTGAAATCATGTATCTATGTTTATCTGTATAGACATCCACATACTCAGTATATGTATATACATACACTCTACAGTTTATGTAAATAAATTATGTATTTCACATATATGTCTATATACAATATAAAATAAAATTTATATACTACACATTTTTACAAATAATTATACATTTACATATGTATTAATTTTATATGTTAATATATATGTGTATATATATGTCTGTCACGATGTTTATTGTTAGAAATATATTCTGTGATGTGTTTTGGGTGTGGTTTTTGTCATTTGCGTGTTCAGTCTTCTATTGGTGCTTTGCTTTTAGGTCCCTTTCAACAGTTAGTGGTATGCTGCCCCCAGGTGTTGGCAAGTACTTTGATTCACATGATCTCCTGGTCTGAATTTACAAAGCCTGTTTTAACTAAGGTCTGGATTATGACTTTCACAGAATTCCTTTTGTAGTTAAAAAACATCTTTTATTAAAATAGATGAACAGAACAACGTATATACAGGAAGCTGGCTAATTTCTATCCTGCGAACTCTTTAAGAAACAAGTATCTTTGAATAATGTGGTACCTTTCTATTAATCTTTTACTGTTGTCCATCCCTAGATTTATCATAGTACTTTGATTAGAATGGTCTCTTCTGATTTACTCTGACAGCCTCTGGTGGTCAAGTAGTTGCCTGGATTCCAACGTGGTTCATGGTACTATTATGAAGGGGTCATTATCTACATGGCTTTAGATGTCAGGCCAGTTTGCTGTTAAAATGGTTCCTTTCCTCTTGGATTCTCAGACTTGGATGATGGTGATGCATTTATTTTACCTAGAGAAGTAATATTATTGAAGAGATGGAAGGAGTTTTTACTTTTCTCCTGCTCTAACTCTCCCAAAGTTCCTCTTGTGGTATGGAAGCAGGATAGAAAAAAAGAGAGTCAACTTCAAATTTTCTTCTTCATCCACCTATGACTGAATTTCAGATGAGAATATTTTTCTAGTTTACACTATTAGAAATAGAACCTATTAATTTGCCTTGTGTTTGTGGAATTTAGATTGCTATAGTCTCCTGCATTAAAGACACCAACCACATGATTGATAACTAAAAATATAGACAAGGAGCAGGTGAGATCAGACAATGCATAGATCAATATTAGTTCAGAGAATGTTTCTTTGATAATGTAGGTAGAAGGGAAATAGGGCTATCACATCTTTGGATTCTCATGAGGATCCTGAGTCATCCTAATAATGTAACCACTATAAAGTGGATGCTTTACATACGTTCTCTGCAATCCTCTAATTTCCTGGAAATAAAAAATAAATATAAATTACAAATAGAAAGTTAATTAAGGATTAGAGTTTTAATAAATTGGTCCAATGTCACATATTAGAAAGTTTTGGAGTCAGAACTTGAAGTCAGTTCCTGGTGATTTAGTGGCTAGGGAGAAAAAGAACTTGAACTCAGGATTGCCCAACTTCATTACCCTCCCTATTTCCAATACAGGATTTTCTTTCAAGTTTGGGGCATTTTCTCTCTAGGAGAGATTTTTTTAAAGAAGAAAATTGGTTAAAATATTTAGGAATGGAGATTGCAATAATTCTAGAAGTGTCTTAATCTGCAGCTATTAGCAGCTAGTTAGCTGTCAAATGATTTATTTCAAGTGAGTATAATTTACTAGTTGAAGTTCAGTTCAGTATTGGTGGTAGAGGGGCACCAAAATGTGGTAGACACTAAGCTTCCAGAGGATTAACATTTTCACTTTGTGAAATAATACTCCATAGACTCTTCAAAATTAAATTTCATTTTCTTGTTTTTGTTTTTCTCTTTTCTCTTTCTGGAACATCTGTTAGTCTGTCAGAAGTTGAATATCCTGGTTCTATCCTCTATGGCTCTTATATTTTAAAAATATTTCTATCTTCTTATTTTATATTCTCGTAGTTTCTCTTCACTCTTTGTATTGAAATGCTTTTTATTGTAGTAATATTTTAATTTCTAAGAATTGCTTTTAATTTCTCATTCTCTTTTCATGGCATCCTTTTTAAAGTTTCTGTGTTTTCTTATAGTTTTTAAAACTGGTGTTTAACAAGCAAATATTATAATAAACAATTATTTAAGTTCTCTGAATTCTCTTTCGTTCTTCTGAGATCTTCATATTTTTTTCATTTGTTTTTGTTGATCCTTTTTTTTTATGCTGAAGGCCATGGAAGATTATATTTTCCAAAAATGGCCACAGCAATATTTCTGATCCCACAAGTGCTTCTAGAACCTTGCTACTCCCATATCAAGATGTGGAGTCTATTTCCCTCTTTTTGAAATTGAATGGGCCTTTGTGAAGTGACAGTGCATGGCTTTTGAGACTATGTCATAAAGACATGGCTTCTGCCTGATTTTCTTTCTCTCTCTCAATTTTCTCTGTTGGAAACCAGCCATCATTCTCTGGGAAAGCCTGGGTCACATCGTGAACTAGGGATAATATGCTCAGCTAACAGCTCAGCTAGGGTCTCTTGCAACAAGCTAGCATCTCATGCAACAAGCTAGCATCAAATGCCAGACCTGTGTGAATGAGCCTTCAGATGACTTCATATACCAGCCTTCAGCTGAGGCTCCAGATAATAGGGAACAGAGACTAGCAGTCCCTGCTGTGCCATGCTCTATTTCCTGATCCATGGAATCCATGAGTCTAATCACAGTAGTTTGACACCATTATGTTTTAGATTAATTTGTCGTATGTAACCCTGGAACACATGACATATTGTTCTAAATTGTAACTGGAACAAAGGCTTTCATCAAATTTATGAAAAGCTTTGTTTGATCATTCACATTTAAGAATGAAGAAAAAAATGCTAACTAGGAGCTCTTTGTATATAGTTAAGAGTTGGTGGCTGGTTGGCTTTCCTTTAGGATGGATGGGCTATGAGCTTGCTGTTAGGCTGGGCAACCCTCAAATGAATATGCTGGTCCTTCCTTTTTGGCACCACCACTCGTAGCTAGTTGCCTATTGCTCCCTTAGAGATCTTTCAATTTTTATTTGTTTTTAGTTTGTTTTATGAAATAAATACCTTCTTTTTTCTCCCTTGCAGGTAAATGTCTGCTTACAGTTTTGTATGATTATGTGTGTGTGGAAGGGGGGACATGTGGGTGTGGTTGGTTATTCCAAGTATAGTCTTTTAATTAATTTCTATCTTCTACAGCTTGATTTACTCCCACCTTGTATTGTAGTGGTTTTACAACTTGAGCCTCTTCTAGGTTGTAGACCATTACTCCTCTTTTCTGTACACATCTCCTACATACACTCTAGGTTGAAGATTGAAGCTTTCACTGCTTTCTAAAATGGAAGTTTGCCAGAGAAGAGTGTCATCTTGAACTAGACTTTAGACCTTCTTGAGTCTGTTGCTTGTTTATTTTCGTAGAAATCTTCTATTTTATTCAAGTTTGAAAGTGTTTCATATACACCTAGGGGAATGCCATATCTTTCCTTATAATTATTAAAAGTTTCCATGTATCTGATATTGTCACCTGTTTTTTATTCCTAATTTTGCATCTTTGTCCTTTTAATCTGATTCAGCTAGCTTGTGAGGGTGCCCTAGATTATGTTTCTTTTAGATTGATTAGGCCACTTGAGTTCAAAGACCTTGTGATTTTTGAGCCTTTAGTTTGTTGTAGCTGAATAAGCTTTTCTGCTTCTAAGTAATTTTTTTGTGTGTCTGAGCAACTCATGTTAGAATTCTCCATACCCGATCTGCTTTCCTCTGGGTCAGAATGAAGGAAAAGGATTCATCTTGTTATTTCTTAGAATCCATTTTTAAAATCTGAGGTGAGGACCTTTCTTTCTTAGAAGTCTTCAATAGTAGGATTTCATGACAGAGTAAATGTAGAGGATATAGGAATAGAAAGGAATAAAAGATGAATTAATATTTTACACTGTAAGATTAATAGTACTGCTAACAACAAAGAGATAGGGCAGGGGAATCAGTTTGGGGAATGTGAAAAAGATGATTTCAGCTTTTCGTTTTGTTTTATTTTGAGATGATCATAAATTCTAGTGAGGAAATGCATAGTTGTTGGTTGTAGTAAAGTGTTAAAGATTTAAAAAGTAGATGAAACATCTTGAAAGCATGAAAGGAAGAGCAAACAAATGTAGGAAAGATCTAAATTTGGAAGGCAGGAGGTAAAAGAGAAGATACAGAAAAAAAAAAACAGGACTTAGAAAAGTGATACGTGAAGAATTTTATTGAGAAAGTGTTCAGTAACATCCAGTGCCCATACATATTAGGTGTTTAGTTTGAATCTATTTTGAAAACTTGTTTAAAATAATTTTGCTTATTGTATATTTTTAGATTTATATGTAGGACGTCCTTAGAAGAAGATAGCTTTCAAAAGAAAGATTTACTTAGCAAGTAGCTCTTCCTGGGTCAAAACACATTTCATCTTGTACTGGAAGAAACAGATATGCATAGATTTAAGTGCAATACAGAATAGAGAGGACCATCATTCTCTATAGGGTGCTACAGAAGCCTGCATATTATGTGTAAAAGCCGTAGGTTGTCAAAGAATGAAAACTATTTTTTCAAACTACAATGAAAATGATTTTTCTCTGTAATATTTTTTAGAGAAAACAGAATGAAAACTGTTTTTTCAAACTGGAATGAAAACGATTTTCTCTGTAATATTTTTCTCTTTTCTAAAAATAGGTCAGAAAATAGCTTATGTTGATGGAAAAAATAATCAGGGTTTTTGTATCTTTAGTTCATAAGTGAGGTTTCTCCTTCTTGACTGGCATTTGGAAGACTGGGAACTGTACACTGGCATGTTGAGTCCTGTCTCTGCTAGGAGAATGGTGAGTCCAAAGGCCAGATTTCACACGGCAAAGAATGGCAGGCATATTTATTGAGTGTTTACTATATGTTTGGCTCTCTGATCAATACTTCAAATATATTGTTACATTCAGTCCTCACAGCAACCTATAGTATAGACACCCAAATTTCCTTTTACAGATTAGAAAATTAATGCTCAGGGATGTTAGTAATTTGACCGTTTCCTCAGGTAGTAAATGTTATAGCAGGAATCTGTATTTCAATCTATTGGCTCTTTTATTACATCTGATGTGTGGATGGGAAGGGAAAGTAGTAGATATAGGTTTTTACCTTTGAGGGATTAGCAAAGGCAGAAAGAAAAGCCGATACATGATAACTTGAGGGAAGATGATGGCCAAGTGAAATTTACAGAAATTAGGACCACTTAAATGTGTCTAAAATGAAAGCCTTGATTCTGAAAACATGTAAAGATGAGAAGAGGGAGATGTGAAGAAAGATAGAAAGACTTGGGATTGGATAAACAGAGATGTGAAAGTTAGTAATTTTTGTGTCTAAAGCATCTAAAATTTAAGGTGCTATAAGTCTGATTCCCATGTGTTTTCCCTCTTTAGTGAAAATACTCTGCAAAACTTGCTATGCAAGAGATTCATATTATATATGCTAAAAGAACTATGTAGGCTGGGCATGGTGGCTCACACCTGTAATCCCAGCACTTTGGGAGGCCGAAGTGGGAGGATTGCTTGAGCCCAGGAGTTAAAGACCAGCCTGGACAACATGGCAAATCCCCATCTCTACTAAAAAATAAAAAATTAGCCAGGTGTGGTTACATGTGCCTATAGTCCAAGCTACTCAAGAAACGGAGGCGGGAGGATCACCTGAGTCCAGTAGATTGAGGCTGCAGTGAACCATGATTGTGCCACTGCACTCCAGCCTGGACAACAGAGTGAGACCCTGCTCAAAAAAATGTGCAATAATGGTAGCAAATATGGCATTTGCTATAATTATGGCATAATAGTAGGCTTGTTGCTGAATAAATGAGATTACTAATGATAATCTGTTTTCTTCAGTAGCGAAGTTGGTGTGCCTGTGATTTGTTGAGATTCATGTCAGTGTTCCTCAAGCAGTGACAACAACTGGTAGTACCCATAAAAATCCTTGCTGGAATGCTGTTTGAGATAGCTTTGTATTTTCCTAAGTTACTAAGGCATCAATGGAATATTTAGTTTAAATTAAATATCATTATGAGAAAGTGTTTTTGTTTGTTTTTATGGTGGTGGAAACTTGTAGGAAGTAAGACATGAAAGACTCATCTGATCTAGATGACCTATTGAGATTTATTTTAGTTTTACATGTTATAACCAGCAGAGGTTTCACAAATAACCTCTGTAGTATTATAATTCATATCTTATTCCAGTTACAGAAGAAAGCAGGATATTCATTTTCTAACTTTTATGTTACTATATGCTTATTACGAGGAAAGCATATTAAGAAACAGACTTTCCCCTAAACAAACAAAACCCTATAACAGCTGCCTGGCCTTTTCAATTGATTCTAATGATAGTAAAGTCCCTAATAATAGGAAGTTCAGACATTGAGAATTAGATATTCTCATTTAATGCAATCCGCTTTACCATGTAGAACAATGCACCCAGAGTCTTTAACCGTAATGTCAAAAAGGAGATAGGAAAACTCTTTTTCTTTGAAATACTGATTGTTCATTATTGAGAGTAGAAAGTAAAGTGATTGGATATTGAAGGATAATCAAGAATCTTTGGTATTATGCATATTTACAGTTCTGTAGAGATAGATTTCAAACACTGGTTAAGAGTGGTTAGAATCTTAATTGCTTAAGAATTGTTAGAATCTTAAATATTTAGAAATTGAACATAGAGACCCTGTTGAAGAATGCCTGTAAAGTTGAATAATTCATTATATTATAAATGAGTTCCTTTTGGCTGTTCAGCAATTTTGGCTTTTTCTACCTCTTTTCTTATGGCCATATCTTAATTTTTTTTTTTTTTTTTTTGAGATGGATTCTCGCTCTGCCGCCCAGGCTGGAGCGCAGTGGCACGATCTCAGCTCACTGCAAGCTCCACCTCCCAGGTTCACACCATTCTCCTGCCTCAGCCTCCTGAATAGCTGGGACTACAGGTGCCCACCACCATGCCCGGCTAATTTTTTTTTGTATTTTTAGTAGAGACGGAGTTTCACCATGTTAGCCAGGATGGTCTCGAACTCCTAACCTTGTGATCCGGCTGCCTCGGCCTCCCAAAGTGCTAGGATTACAGGTGTGAGCCACCATACCCGGCCCTTAATTTTTATAAAAACAAAACTGTACTTCGTAAGTGCTTAAAAAAAGTTAGCAACTTCAAAGATAAAATGCAAACAAAGCTAAAAAATAGATCATGTAATAAAAGAGCACCACATTAGGAATCTTTAGAGCTGAAGAATTAAAACACACTTGACACTTTCTTAATCTTCTTATTCTATTAATGTATGAAACCTAGAACTGGAAGCTTACTGGTATTTTTTCTGCATTGTAATTATACTAATAAACATCTTTGACTGTCACCTTGGAATTTACAGTGCAATAGGAAAGATTTATTATAAGTCAATGCTTTAGAAGAAAAATGGGATTATTGCACAAGTGGATTGCATGTTAAGCACATGTACCCGCATACCATTTGTTCCAGTTAGTTTTGAGCTTTAACTTGTCTTTAGGTTTTCTTTAAAAAACAGAGAGGGTTCTTATTAAATTCAGACTCCTGACAGATCTTTGTAATATTATTGAGTCAACTACAAAGTAACTACTTTACCTTGAAATGTGCAAAAGGAATCAATAGGCTTACAAAACTGCCTTTTAAAAAATGTTTGTAATCATATTTTTCCTGGTAGCCTGAATATCAATGTGTATGACCTTTCTTGGTTTCTTTCTTTCTTTGGTTTTGTTGCAATATTAAAGTCCCTTATAGTTAGAGGGTGTTTGAGTATTTTGGTTTTGATTTCTTTTTTTGTCCCCTGTGCCAGCATCTTACTTTTTTGTCTTTTTTGTTTGTTTGTTTGTTTTGGTAAAGAAGTACTACTTACAAGGAATTTTCCTTAGGGTGTCTTTATTTTTCAACTCAATCAACTTTTCCCATGATCTTCTTTTTCTTTTTGTTTTAAAGTCAAGTCTATAAAGAATTTTATTTTTTAAACTTTTGGTGTGAAATGCCATAGAAATGCCAAATAAATCTACAGTGGACATTCAAATGGTGAGATACAAGTCAAATCCCTTTCTCCTTTAATTTGACCTTATCCAGCTGTGGTTGGCATTTGAGCTCTTTGTGTGCCTTCCTTAAATGAGGTTACATTTTCATTTGAAATACAGTCATGTGTCATTTAAGGATGGGGCTGTGCTCTGAGAAATGTGTCAGACAATTTTGTTGTACAAACATCATATAATGTACTTACACAGACCTACATAGTATACCCTTCTACACACATAGGCTCCATGGTAAAGCCTGTTGCTTCTAGGCTACAAACCTGTACAGAATGTTACTATACTGAATGCTGTAGGCAATTGTAACACAGTGGTAAGGATTTGTGTTATGTGAACATAGAAAAAATACAATAGAAATATGGTATAGAAGATAAAAATCATATACCTATGTAGGGCACTTACCATGAATGGGGCTTGAGGGACTGGAAGTTGCTCTGAGTGACTCAGTGAATGAGTGGTGAGTAAATGTGAAGACGTAGGACATTACTGTATACTGCTGTCGACTTTATAAGCACTGTATACTTTTTGACTCCTTTACAACACTTAGCTTAAAGCACAAACACGGTGTAAAGCTGTACAAAAATATTTTCTTTATATTCTTATTCAGTAAGTGTTTTTCTCTTTAAAATCCTTTTTTTAACGTTTAAAACTTTTTTGGCAAAAAGTAAGACATGAATACGCGTTAGCCTAGCTCTACACAGGGTCAGGATCATCAAGATATTAGTAGGTGATAGGAAATTTTCAGCTTCATTATAATCTTTTTTTTTTTTTTTTTTTTTTTTGAGATGGAGTCCTGCTCTGTTGCCCAGGCTGGAATGCAGTGG
Organism: Homo sapiens; assembly: GCF_000001405.40. Classification (NCBI taxonomy): domain Eukaryota; kingdom Metazoa; phylum Chordata; class Mammalia; order Primates; family Hominidae; genus Homo; species Homo sapiens. The sequence continues at coordinate 15,833,048 of NC_000009.12, forward strand.
CGCGATTTCGGCTCACTGCAACCTCCACCTCTCTGGTTCAAGTGATTCTCCTGCCTCAGCCTCCTGAGTAGCTGGGATTACAGGCACACACCATCATGTCTGGCTAATTGTTTTTGTACTTTTTAGTAGACACAGCGTTTTGCCATGTTGGCCAGGCTGGTCTCGAACTCCTGACCTCTGGTGATCTGCCCACCTCGGCCTCCCAAAGTGCTGGGATTACAGGCATGAACCACCACACCCGGCCTCATTATGATCTCATGAGAGTACTGTAGTATACATGGTCCAATGTTGACCAAAACCTTATGTGGTACATGACTTTATACATTTCCATCTGGAAACTGAAGTGTTCAAATATATGTAAACTATTTGGAATTTTGTAAATGATATTCATTTATGTTGTGCCACTTAAAATCTGTGAGTGAAGTTTATTTTTGCCATTGTTGAATAAGTCTTTCATTTCTTTAAATAATTTTCTCTGTAATTAGTTGAATTGGTAATATGCCAAAATACTTTATTAATACAAATATGCAATTTTATTATCTTATGACTTGTATTTGCTTTAGTGGTTTGTTTTATTATTAACTACAGTGAGGATTCTTTGTAAACTTATAAACCTCCAATGTGGAGGCTTAAGGGACTATGTAAATTTTGTTAGCATTTGTCCTTGCATTAGATAAAAATAGCTAGGATTTATTTCCTTGCCACTTGGCTAAATAATTTGCAGATAATAATTTCTCATCTAACTTTTAAAACAATTTTAAAAATAAATATTATTACCCATCATTTGCAGATGAGGAAACAAAGGTATAGAGGATTTAACTTAGCCCAAGTTTCAGAGCTAGTAATTAGTGGAGCAAGGACCTGAACCCAGAGATGTTTATTGAGAATGACAATACTGTAGTAAGACTTTCTCTCTTAGAAAAATTATTTTCTTTGAATGCACTACAAAAATGACCCAGACTGTATAGTATAATTACAGATATTCCAAGGTTAACTATGAAAATACTTGTTGTTTCAGTGGGCCCAATTTTAAATTAATAAATAGTACATTGTAACCTAAAGGACTAATTAAAATTTGTTCACTTTTTGATCATGATTATTTTAGTTCTCATTAATCTGAGACTCAGCAATGGTTTTGTTTCAGAAATATTTAATTTAATTGTCATCAATCATAGTAACCAACCTTAGAATATTACATTTGTAGTGGAATGAGGATAAATTTAAATGTCTCAGTCTTTGGAGGTAATTATCTAATTATATGTTCATATTTCTAGCATGATTAAGTGGCAATGTTTAATTCATTTTAGAGGTAATTTTACCCCATGTGGGGATATGTATTCTAAATCATTATACCTTTCTGTTTATAGAAAACATTTAATTAACATACTCAAGTTTTATTTGGAAGTTTAGTAATATTGCACTGTTATATCACATCACTACTTAAGATGTTATTTCGGAAAACACCATTATTTATTAATCTTAACAAATTGCATTTTATTTTAGTATATTCACAATTAAGAGGCTACCCAATGGATATGACTTTATAATGCTTTGATCTTATGGAGTGCTGGCGAGTATTATTTTCTATGTTTTAGTTCAGAAAATGTATAAAGTAGTATTAACCTTGATAAAATTAGAATGCCTGAAACTGCAAAGGGTAAAGCATATTTGTCAGTTTTATCTTGTGCTAGCAAAAGCCTGGCCAATTGCCAAAATGTGGTTAGGGACGTATATGCACTCTACAAGGATTATTGTTAAGGGCATCTACAAGGAAAATCACTATGATAGATGAAACAGGATGCTACTTTATGGTGGTTTTATCTTATTTTAGGAGTAAAATCAGAGTATCAAAGCAAACCAAAATCATCAAAATCATTTCTGTGATGGAAATAGAATTCATCTGTTTTTCTGATCTATGTCCTGTGACACAGAACATAGAGTCCTTGTGGAATTCAGAAAATCATTTATCTGTGAAGAATGTTGATTTGGGGTTTCTAAGCTGTGTCATGGCTAAAAGTCTTAAAAACAGGCAACTTTAATTGGGGAGAGGGTTTGACAAAATCCTGGGAATCAGATGGATATGTATTATGATGTGACTATTAGCTTAAGAAATACTAAGGCCCTATTTATTCCCTAGAGGGAAACAGGTCATTGAAATATTTCCCCCTCAAAGAGTTGAATAAATGATAGTGATTAAATTTAGTTGCATATTACATGTATTTGTATTTATTTACCATTTGATAAAATGTTATATAACTGAGCAATTTCCTGTCTTTGTTTACTAGAGCACATTAAAAATCAGTTTTAATTACTATTATGATATCCTGTGTCTAAATTTAAGATTTTGTGATGAAAGTTGAGCTTATGAAGATTGTATCAATTACATTTTTCTCTTTTGAGTTGGAGTTTCGCTTTTGTTGCCCAGGCTGGAGTACAATGGCGTGATCTCGGCTCACTGCAACCTCTGCCTCCCTGGTTTAAGCAATTCTCCTGCCCCAGCTTCCCAGGTAGCTGGGATTACAGGTGTGCGCTACCACACCTGGCTAATTTTGTATTTTTAGTAGAGACAGGGTTTCACCATGTTGGTCAGGCTGGTCTCGAACTCCTGACCTCAAGTGATCCACCTGCCTTGGCCTCCCAAGGTGCTGGGATTACAGGCATGAGCCACTGCGCCTGGCTGTCAGTTGCATTTTTAATTACATAAAGTTTATACATATTATATTGAAAGTAATAAAAATATTAACAAGAAATAAGTGTTGTCATTACTATTTTGGTTTATGCCTTTCATATTTTTAAGTGTACCTATTTACATATATACATGCATATTAGTAATTTATCATATGTATATTAAAAATAGTATGTTTTACAGTATGGTACCCCTCTTTATTTTGTTATTGTCTTCAATTTTTAATTATTAAATTATTTTTCTATAATGTCCTTATATTTACATACTCACCTAAGTCTCAGATGACTTGCTGTGATTTTAATATTTAATTAAACTTCATATCTTCCCCCAATGATCCAATATTAAATGAGCCTAGACACTGATTTTCTAAAGTATCTCCTGATGACTTCATAGTTATATAAATATTAAATTGCCAAATGTAGAAAAATGGGTTAAGATACCCTCTCCTATGTTGCAGTGACAAATAACTCTAAACAGTGACTTTACAACCACAAGTGATTTCTCACACATTATGCATATTCATCATGGGTCAGCTGTGTGCTTCTGCTTCATATGTCCATACCCCATGATTGAGGCTGATAGAGTGTTCTTTATCTGGAACGCTGTTGGTCTTGTTTTATTTTATTTATTTATTTTTGTTTTTATTTTTTGAAACGGAGTCTCTCTCTGTCGCCCAGGCTGGAGTGCAGTGGCGCCATCTCGGCTTACTGCAAGCTCCGCCTCCCGGGTTCACGCCATTCTCCTGCCTCAGCCTCCCGAGTAGCTGGGACACCACGTCCGGCTAATTTTTTGTATTTTTAGTAGAGACGAGGTTTCACTGTGTTAGCCAGGATGGTCTCGATCTCCTGACCTCGTGATCCGCCTGCCTCGGCCTCCCAAAGTCCTGGGATTACAGGCGTGAGCCACCGCGCCCGGCCGGTCTTGTTTTAAAGGTGTCTACATGGGACATTGCTGTCCTTTTCTCCGATAGGAATTGACATTTTGCTTCTAGTCACATTTCATTGGTCAAAGCAAGTAACTTGACCATTCCTGATTTTGACAGGACAGGGTATATATAATCTTCTTTCCAGAAAGGACACCACCGATTTACATCGTCAAATTTCGTATCAGTGGAACGGGAGAATATACTTTCCCCTCTTGGAGAAGGAACAAATAGTTTGACCAATAATAAAATCTACTGCGGTAACTTATCTTTTTCATTATATAATGTATAGAAATAATTAATCTTCTTTCTAGTTAGCCACATTGGCCAAATTTGGTGTAACTTGACATTTTAACATCTGCAACCCTCTTCACTAGTTTGGTCAGTAGGGTTGAAAATAGTTATCTCCGGGAGTCATATGTCTGGTTGATGCTTTTCTCTCTTGTTCTAGAGGTTTTTTAAGTATAAAAGAAAAAGATTCTTCCGTGTATTATGCTGTTTGTTGTTTAAGAAAATTTGAACGTTCTACAATATGTACTCAGTGTCCACCACATTCCACAGAGCATTTTCTAGGCTCCAGAAGCCATATTCCTGACATTTTAAAGCATCACCACTAGATGGCGATCTCGCTCATTTAGAAGGTTAGAACAACTATGTTTTTCTTCAGGTGAATGGGTTGGTTACAGAGGGATCAGAAGTGTAAATTATACTAATTTTATAGCAAGCTCTTTGTAACCAAAATGGTACTATTTACTGAGTATGTATATATTCATGTACATATATACACATACACCCTTATACAGGAAAATTCCATTTGAAGAAAACCTATAAAATGCTATGTTTTGCTATGTTACTTCCCCAGAATATATATTTTTCAACTATTACTGCCTGAACAAATACAGGGGTTTTCATAAGCACAATTCCTCAAGAAACTGCCCAGAGGCTTGAGTCCATCCCTCTGCCTTGTCCCAACAGTACTTTGAATATGCTTCCAACTGTTGCTGAAACTGGTTGATTTAGTTGTGAGCCTTCATCTTTGTTTTAACAACTCTGTATTACTCAGCTTCACTCTCTTTTTCTTTAATTAATACAAGTGAAGAGTGGTTAAAAATTATATATTTCACTCAGATATGTTAAAAAATAACTTTCATGGTTTATTGCACGATGGGAAAGCCGGTACCAACCCTTTTAGAAAGCCTTTTAGAAATCTCACTCAGTGGTTATTGCCAGTGGTAACTTTGTTCTACCCTCTTTTACTTCAAAACAACACAACTTAATAACCGAAAACATTTTAAAACCATAGCCGAAATAGTGTAGTTCTCCTTATAAAACAATTACTGAGTTCAATTGTTAATCCTCTTTTTGGTGTTCCTAAAATAATATTCTTTTCATTTATTTCTGCTATGATGTAGGGTTTATGGCTCTCTATCATATAATTCATATACCTTGTAGGATTTAATAATTAATGGAAATAGAAAATATATGGCTAGAATGTGCGTTTATAGGAAGTAAATATTTAATATATACTCTGAGTAACGTAAAAGTAAATTTTGATATAATACTCTAGCATATTAAGGAAAACTATTATAAGCCAGTTCTTTGAAAATCATTTTTAACATAGTATATCATTGTATCTTTTACTCACAGGTGAAATCATATTAAACCTTGGTTAGAATTCTTCTGAAGGTTTAAATGAGCTATGATGATATAGCCAGAATGACCTCTTGTATTTCTTTAATTAGACAGTTATAGTTTATATATATGATTCCCAAACAGATCAAAGAGGGCTGCTTCACAGCCTAGAATCCTTCAGAAGCTTCCCATGGCCTTCTATTACAATAGTTGGCAAGTATATTTAGCCAAAGAACCCTTTCTTTAAAAAAATCTTCCACAAAGTTCATAGAAAACATTAAAGCAAATTCCAGTTTAAAGAAGGATGGGAGTTGGGAGTCCACTAATTCAAGCATCCTCTTCAAATTTTGCCCAGGCTGGTCTTGAACTCCTGGCCTCAAGCAATCTGCCCACCTCAGCCGCCCAAAGTGCTGAGATTACAGGCATTCACCACCACGCCTGGCTGGATACCAGTTTTTTAAAGATGACATTTTTGATTTAAATTAGGCACATAAGTGTCTTCTTACATAGCAGCTAAGATCTCCCTAACTAGGAAGAGGTAGCTACAGATGCTGTATTATTGAGCTTGGTATCTTGATATACTGTTGTGATAGGGTGGGTTGCTGTTACAAATATTAAAAAGGTGATACTATGCTAGGCAGTCAAATTTTAAGATCTACAGGGAAAGTTAAGTGCTGTTGTTGCCAACTTATAAAGGAAAGGTAAATAAGTCCATTGCTTTTTGAAAGGTTAAAAAAAGCAACAGCCCAATGTGTCTTGAGTTATATAAAATTCTATACTACAATGGAGTGCTGTACAATTCATCATTTCTTTACAAATATTTATTTTTTATTAGTACATTTAATAAGTGATGACAGTGATCCTACTTTCACACAAGGGATCTTGAGTTGTACATTCTTCAATGTTTGATGTTGAAAGTGTATCCTTAAATAATACTGAAGCTCTTATTGGACTTTAATATAAGTAGAAAGTAACCATTTAAATATATTAAAGTACCTTACTAACTTTATGGAGTTTGATAAATAAGAGAAATATTGGTTTTACATTTCCATGGTGATTTCCCAGTTAGTAGATTTTATGGAAAATCTGAAGACGTTGTTACTAATACTACTGTAGTACAGAGTTTAGAGGAAGGTTTTAGATTCAGAAGAAGGGCTCACATTTTGACATAAACCTATTTACTAGTTCCATGACTTTGGGGAAATAACTTTTCTGATTCTTAGTTTTCTCGTGTAAAACAGGAATGGTAATACTATATACCTCACTGGATTATAAAGAATCAAATGAACTAATGTAATTATAATATGCTTGAGTTATAATGATAATAATGACACTTAGTTGTTACTCAAGTAATTTTCCCCCCTAGTGATTATAAGGGAAATAACAACAGCAGTTATAATGGCCAGCATTTGTTGAATACTTACAATATGAGAGGCACTGTTCTGTGTGTACAAGAAAATATGTGGAACACTCCCCATAGTGAAAGTTAGCAAACATTTGCTGTCTAGAATTTTTTCCCCCATGGACATACTTCTAAAATTAATATAGAAATCAGTAGTAAAATACTTAATGCACAGAAAATCATCCAGTGAAGAAACTTTTAAGAAAAAACTCAAAACTTTGTTTTATTTACATTTAAGTCTAAAATAACCTAAATTTATTTTCCCAATTTTAAATTTGACCTTCAAATTCTCTTAAATAATTGAATTTTATTGAGTTGGTATTTGATTTACTTTTATTAAAAGTAGTTAATATATAACATATTCACGTTAAATAATGGCCATTTAAATTCTGTAGTACAGTGAAAATATTAATGTAAGAGTATTTTAATTATTAATAGGCTTATTTACCCTATTATTCACTTCTATCACCAAAACAATTCTCGAAGTTGAAAGATTTTTTTCAACAAAGTTTTTTATTTAAATATTAGAAACCCAACTATATGAAGCCCTTTATAAATTATTCACATTTTTTCAAATTCTTTTCAGACATTTGTTTTAGGTAATTCTCAAATGATTTTAAAACAGCATTTAAATTCTAAATGATAGTTTTTTACAACTTAATTCATAGCTCGACTCGTTTAAAATATTGCCAGGGAATTCAGCAATTTTTTGGACCTCCACATAGCTGGGGTTGTCAGCTCTGGGAAGTTTTTGAGTATGCTATAGCTGATAAGGTCCAACAGAAGAGCCCATGTGTATTCTGTCCCCTTGTATTTATTAGGTATTTGCCAAGAGAATGTAGAGGTCATATAAGAGCTGATTTTGTTATAGCAGCATCATGATGGTTGTCATCTGCAGGTAGTTTCTGTCTCATGAGGTCTGCAGTGCAGCCAAACTCAGTTTGCTTTATACTCAGAAAACATTACTGTCACATTACTGCTTACATGTCGTGTGTCACAATAAATCTAGCTACCACTTTTCTATTTTGTACTTTTCTGAGTATATTTTCCAGTTGAGAGGGTTTTTGTGGTTCTCTTTACTATCCTCCTTTTTTTTTGTCATTTAAAATGTGTAACTATTTCTTTTCCACTTTACTTCACTGTTATACATTTAGTCTATCACAAAGAGTTTTGTGCTTTATATGCGAGGCTTAGAACAAATAGCATTCAATATATTTTGAATACTCTTATGAAGTTCCTTTTTATTCCATTATATTTTATTATTGATCACTTTCAGTTAGTTTACTGGGAAGAATTAGCTTTTTTATTTTATATTGACACCATTTAGGAAGACATTTTCAAAGGCATATATGAGAATATGGTACAGATAATCATGAGGCATTATACAACAAAATCTTACAGCATACTTGGAAATTTTTAAGGTGAATTTCCATTGCTCATTTGCCCCATTTGTTGTTAATCATCTGTCACATGGCCTATTTATAAAAGTAACGTATTTTACACTCTTCTTTGTTAATTTCCTTTTATCTTTTTCATGTGTGATAAAATAATTTTAAAAATTATACGTATTTGTATGTATATATAAGTAAATAAATGAGGCAGAAATAATATAGGCACTCATAAGTTGTCATATATAGGTGGAGATTTAAAGAACAGTCTGTAATGACGTTACATGTAGAAGTGTAATTATTAATCCTGCCTTTTACATTTATGTAGTCTTTTACAGTTTATAGGATACCTTAACATCTGTTGCCTTACTAGACATGTGAGTTCTAACTAAGACTGCCATTTATTTAACCCTGAAAGTGGGTAAGTTATTTGAGTTTCAGCTTCAGTTTATAAATATGTCACCTACTTTCTGTGTAGGTATTACTAGAAAACAATAAAAGATAGTATCCCTAAGGAAGATTAATTTAAATTACATAACTTTGTATTTAAATTCCTCATATAAAATATAAGATACCAAGATCGAAATTTATTCAGATATAAACTGTACTATATACCAACATCTTTTATTGTTGTATTTTTATTGTAAATTATCTAATTGTTTATCTTACAGATTTTCTGGCTTTATTATAAAATATATTATTCTTTAGTTTCATTCCTAACTTGCTTACCCGGCCCTATTGTAAATTTGGTTGTTGTATCATTTTATGTTTATAGTTTCTGTGACAACCTGTACAGTTTGATCCACCTAGCAAGTATTTAATTAATTCTTGATTAATATAATTTTTTAGTTGTTACATAACAGTAGGGCTGAAGACAGCCTTATTTCCTTTTCAAACATTAATTTTACTAAGCTTTTTAACCAAATTTATTGCAATCTAGAGATGTTTAAAGGAACAGTCAGTCAGCAATAAATTTATTTTTCTTTAAATGTTATCTTTTTTCCCCCTGCAAGGAAATGTAACCTAGTTCTTATAACACTTGTGTTGTCTTGCCTTTCATTTTGTATGACTAACTTTTTATACCAAATTGAATAAGCCATTAGCTTTTAGTGTGTAGGAATGTAGATCCATAGATATTTCCCATTAGACAAAAGAAAATCTATAAAAGCAATATCCCCTGGGGCTTGGTCTTCTTAGCGGCCTAATGGTCTAAAGCACTGCTATACTGTACCCTTATGAGAAAGAACTATGTTGGGTGATTCGCTTGGCATCCAGAAATATTAGTTGAAGAGATATGCATACCCTTTAAGATAACTTTAACGTTTGTACTGTACCACATTTATTAATTAAATATTCCAATTCAGGGAATTCATTCATAAATTTTTTATTTCAAAAATCATTTCTAAACAGAATGATACACTTTGTATATCTTATGCAGTTTTCAACTAGAGTTTGCTGAAACTGAGAGATAATATTATTTAGATAGCCACATTGTTTTGATAAGGTTTTTTTTCTAAAGAATTTTACTTCAAAAAAGACCTCTATTGGTGATAGTTGTACAACTCTGTGAATACGTACTGAATTGTACACCTTAAAAGAGTGAATTGTTTAGTATGTGGATTACATCTCAATAAAGCTGTTATTTAAAAAAATTTTCATTGCACAAAATGTTTTCATAGGTGTGAGATAATAGAATTTCAATTTATTTTATAATTAATTAAAAATTATTAGCCTTAATAAACGTTTGAAGCTTTAGAAATATAATATTATGTATGACTTAAAATAATTTTTGCTGTTATTCACTAGTAATACATGCTTATTATAGAAACTTCAGGAACTATGGATAAGAAAAAATACATTGAAAAAATGTGTGGGTCATTTAATATTCACATTTACCATGTATTCTATTCCTAAGCTTTTACTATACTTCACTACTTCCTTTGTATCCATACTTTTCCTGCCAGCTTTCATTAATAGTAAATAGCTTTTCATGATCATTTCTGGAAACAATCAAATGTAAGTATTTTCTTATAGGAGTAGTTAAGTGAAAGCATTGGTTTTTTCTTCCTTAACAGAGAAAATGAAGGTAAGCAATGACATCATTATCTAAAAAGAAATGCAATAAAGATATTATATAATAGCTTTTGAAATACAGTCATTTTGGGATACCATTGTAAAAATTTGCTTTAAAACATTTTGGATTTAAAAGGAAAACTGGAAATCTTTGATAAATAATATTGTGACATTGGTTCTTGTGTAGGTAGAATATTTTTTTCTGCTCTTTAAAAGACTCTTGTTATCATATCTAGCCTTAACTTTCTAACAGCTAAAATTGTTCACAACACTGTTTAAAGATAAATTCAGTATCAGGCTTTGAATTTTTTTTTCTTGGTAAGTATTAAGACCTGAGTACAAAATGAGGGCTGTATTGTGGATTAAGTGAAATATCTCAAGGCTGTGCTGTTCTGATAACTGAACCTGAAGTGACCTTTCTCAGACACAATTACAGAGCTGTATGTTTTTCCTTTAATTTCATCAGGGGTTTAATTAGTATACAAATAAAACTTCCCTTATCTTCCTTTCTACCTAATTGGCTTGTCTTCACTTATATATGAAGTATGTGAAAGTGGGCTGTAATTAGGGTGACCGTGTTAACCTTTTTTCCTCAAATGTACTGTTGCTTAAAGGCCTCAAGGCCTAAAAACAGTGCTTTGGATTATTGCTTTGCAATCACTATGGCTGTCCCATAGGTTTTCTCATGAGCAGAAGGGCTTTGGGTGCTGCAGGTTCCCACTGCTTAACAGGATCTTCATTCTTCTCCCCACTAAATGTTTATTGATTATCTCGCTGTTCCAGGCTCAGCCTCCAACAACTTAATATCAGGTGACAGTCAGGAGAGTTCTCCAAGTAATTAGAGTTGAGCATTGGGGGAACAATTAGGAGCAGAGTTATTAAACTTGATTTATCCTATTCTCTCCTGAACAGTTTCTTGGATATCAGAACATCACACTTTCACAATCTACCCTGGTTGAGAAATTAGTGGCTAACCTGCTGCTTATCATTGTTGCCTTGTTGCCTAGAGGCGCGCCCTCTTGGTTTGTCATTCAGTTGGAAATATTAGAGTCCATAAAGTTTATCATGGGTTTTAATTAGATCAATCTGAACAGGAGAAAAGAAAAGCTGAATTTAAAATTATATGTGATATATGGATATATATTTATAAATATATATGTGATGTGTATATGTATGTAAATATATATACACAAATATATTTTTCTTTAAAGCTCAGTGTTAGGATTTTTAAATATTCTGTTTTTGTTATTTAAAAAAGGTTAAGTATTAGGGAAAAGACGTATTCTTGAATCACGGTTTATGTCTTGGTGTTTTACACACATCCCCATCAATCTTAGGACCCACTGATGTATTTTATGATGTCATTCTCCTCTTTTCAAATGAGAATTCTATGTCTATAAGTTATAAAACTGTGATCTTTTTTCCAAAAAAACTATATTTTTGTTTTCATACTCAAGGAAGTATGAATTATATCACTTTGTTTATACCACTTTTTGTTTCTTTTCTATGCCCCTGAAATAGTATAAGCTTTAGAAGAGTTTGATGACTCCTGTCGTTGCCCCTGAGACATGAAAATGAAAGAATGGAAACGAGAAGATTTAGCTATGTAGTAGAAATTCTAATGTTATGAGGTATATCTTCTTTGAAAGTATATGATAGGATTGTTGAAAAGTCAAGTGTGGGTTTATGATAATTTCAAAGTCATGGATTCCCTGAGATTGGATCAGGAAGCTTCAGTCTGGATAAGGTTAGAGATAATATACTGAATGCTGGATAGTCCCCTCACCAATATGCACCTCTAGTCATAAGAGTTATTGAGCAGAAGAATTTGAATGGACTGGCACAAATGTATTGTTTTTGTTGGAAGAACTCAAGCTTTATCCATAACTGGTGTTGGATCATTAGTTTGATCTTCATATTTGAAAAATTGATTTTTTTGTTGCTTGAAAGATGTCAGAAATGCTGACTTTAAAAGGAACTCAAAAGGATTTTACTTTTTTAAATAAAGAAATCTTATAATGCTTTAGTGTCTTTATCTTAGCATTGGCACAAAATTAGTAGGTTTAGCGTGGTTTTAAAAATTTATTCTTTGCCATCTTTTTAAAGTTGGTTTGAATCAGTGACTATTTCTGTGGTGGAACGTTTGTGAAGATCTGTTAATAGTGAAGATTTAAAACAAAATACAATGTCTCATAAGTAGTCATAGTTTGTTTAATTTTTTGATTTATATTTGTTTGACGGTAACTCGACTATTTGAAAAGTGAATGACTGAATTTTAAAACTTTCAACATTTAAAAATACCTGGTTTGACTGATGATGGCTTGCAGTTCACCAGCATTTAGAGGGAATTAATTGGTTTAACATGTATGCAGCTTAAGTTTTTTATACTATTCTTTTTTTTATACTACCCATTGTGAATGCACTAAAAGAATACTGTTAGAAGAGTTTTACACATGAAATTATAACATTTTTGTTTATTCTTTACTAGATATTTGAAGCACAGTGTGGATGTTAATGTGTGGCTAAACTGAGCAAGAAGAAAACATTATGTGTATGCACTCAATTATTTAGCTCACCATCCAACAAATTTAATAAAAAACTGTTTGATAAGCTTATTCTAGAAATTTTTTCGGCAAAGGAGTAAGAAGATTTTTAGTGCTAAGCGATCCTCTGATCCCTGTACTATTTTGTATCCTAGAATTTTAACTGAGGTCTAGAAAATACTTCTCTCAATTGTGAGCTTCTGATTCTAAGCCTTCAGTGTAAAGTTGCACAATTGCATCTTGAAATTTTTGTGTTAAGTAAATATTTCAGATTAAAGTAGATAGCAAATATAAATCAACAGATCTTGTACTTCTGTGACTAAGAAAATATTTACAGAACACAAATAATTCTGAATGCAAGTATTATTTATAACTTTATTAGTTAAAACATGTTGATCCTATTTGTGTTGCTATCCTTGACGTGAGAGTTATTTACTGGGAAGCAAGTAGATTTTATTTTGGAGTCCAATTTGTTTGTTTGCTGAAATGTCTATAGCCACCTAACTATATATTTATAAAGACAGTAGTGGTACTCTTTCATCTTGGGTTTACCATTTTCTTATAGATATCCTGGTCTATCATTTTCTCAATCACATGCATAGTTTGGGCATATGATAGTTCTTAACTCTAATTCTATTTGGAATAAAATTGACTCTAAATTTCATGTGCTTTCTCCCCTGAAATCTTTATTTTTTCATCATTAAAAGAAAGTACAACTTGAGATTTTTATAATCAGATTATTTTTAGTAAGAATACAATTTGCCTTGCAGTATTTGAAAAAATAAAATGGAACTGTATTTTGTAACAATTTCCCAAACCTTATCAGTTCTATCATTTCTAATTAGTACGTATATAAAATTTTTGCAGAAAATTTGTTAAACTTTGATGTGTAATGACCCAAGTCTACTTCTCAGTCAGTCTGTATTCTTCTTTGTTTAATAGCCTATGGCATAAATTGAAGTTAATTATCAGGGCTGACAAGTAACTCTGTTTTCTGTCTGCTTGCAGAGTCTCTCCGAGGCAAAGATGGAGCTGAGAAGAAAAGATCAATCTCTGCGTCAGCTCAATAGACATCTTACCCAGCTGGAGCAGGACAAGCGTCGACTGGAGGAGAACATCCATGATGCAGAGAGTGCCCTCCGCATGGCAGCCAAGTGAGCATTTGGACCTTGGGGAGATCACTTAAAACAGACAAAAGATCAATTCTTACTTTCATGCTCCGGGTTTTAGCCCTGGATAATACAGTGTTAGAAAACAAAAGTACAGCTGTCTTTCTTTGAAATTCTCTGATATATCCTCAAAAAAGAAAAACTCTTAACATACTAAATGTATATTTTATTGAGAAACCTCAGAAAAGTATAAGCTTCTATGTAACCTCTAATTATGCTTATTTTGGGCTCTGTTACAGTGTTACATGTTAGAAACTATGTTTTATTAATGTGAAATGTAAGACTCTAAAAGTTTTGCATAGTATCTTCTGTTATACATTCCTATTCTCTTCTGCTCCACTGTCTCCGAAATTTTGTTCTGCATATATTATTATATACTAATATTGCGAGTAATATTTCCATAAAGAAATGTTAGCATACAATCAGCATGTGTATCATAGCATTTAAAAAATACAATAAAACATATTGACCATGGAAAACTCATTTAATTTTTATAGCTGTATATTCTAATATTTTAAGTAGAAAAATATAGTTTTCAGAGTAGACCACTATGTAAATGTGATGAAAGTGTTTTTCCTTTTTTATTTTAAACCAGGTAATCAAGTTGACATACATTATGAAGTTCACATTGAACAGTTCTCTTGGGCATTTTTATTTGTTCCTCATATCAAATTTCATGGAATACTTTAAAGACAGTTCTTTGTACAACAGCATGGCTTAAAGAAAATCTATTTTCAAGGAGTAAAGAAACATCTAATTTTGATAAACGCAGTGTTTTCTAAATTTAGAATTCTGAATTTCTTTACTTGCAAAAATATACGTTAAATATTTTTTGAGACAAACTCTTAAACATAAAATATCGTCAGATATGAATATAGTCTGTAAACTGCAGAATGTATATAAATCACTGAACAAGGAATCCACAATCTTAGGATATTCATAAGCTTTGCCACAGGGTTTGTGACATTGCTCAAACATAATGAAAACATGAATTGACACAAGGCCAAAATGTTGGCATGTTTGAATAACCACTGATAATTTTTTGGAAAATTGTAAAGCTATGTAACATTGCACCACCATCTGAGGTGTATGTTTTTGTCATTTTTTAAAATATAAGTTTGACTAAATCAGTTTTTGTTGTTATTGTTCACTCCCAGTTTCATCATGTCAAATGAGAGGCTTAGCCCAGGTAATTTCCAGTGAGTCTTATAGCACTGAGAAAATTCTGAGATGAATGAAAATAGGCTTATAAGACCTCCAGATTCAAATTGTATTTTCAAAACATTGCTGTTAATTCAGTGTTTTGACATGTCTATGATCTGTGACCACGGGCACATGTTTTTATAAATCTAAAGAAAGCTAATTTGAAATCTGGAGACTAATACATTATTTACAGTTTTAAATTTCAATTTACAATTAGATTTTTATCTTCATTATTTTCATTCAAACTTTTTATTTCATTATGAAGGCTAAATTCAATATACTAGGCTGATAGGAGAAACTAGTAACTTTGCATATTCCTAGACAAGTCACAGAAGAGTTTTCTGTGTAATTATTATAGCATAAAAAGAATGTGTGGAAAGGAAAATACTATTTTGCATAGCATGGTCATTTATTATATATCCCCATCACTAAGATTTTTTAAGTCTTTTTCATTAGAAATAAAAGAATAAAGTTTTACCATTTACAGCACATTTTAAATGATCAATAATGTAATTGTGATTTTTTTCTTTGTTTTTCACTTTTTTACCTTTTTATTCTCCCCCACCCCAATTTAGGACAGGCAACAAAATTTAAGATATTAGTTAAATGTGGAAATATATCAGTGAATATGGTTAGTTTTTATAGTTTTAAAAGGAGAACAATGAATTAAAAAATCAAAATTTAAAAAGTTAAAATAAATTAAAAAAATAAAAGGAGAACAGTGATATCAGACCCTTATTTTTTAATACCAGTGACTTATACTAAAATGTGTAACAGTTGTAGTAAGGTTTGAGTTTTACTAACACTTAATCTTTTATTTTTTCTAGAGACAAAGAATGTGTTGCTAATCACATGAGAGCAGTAGAAAATACGCTTCACAAGGTACTGTTATTTTTCTTTAATATTGTTCAATTTGTGTCATGACACCTAGTCATTATTTTTATTAGCCACAAAGTACTTTCATTGATTTTGAAAGTTAAAAAAATAAATTAACAAAAAGATGCTTTGTAGATGACTGGAAATTTCCATTACATGGTGCTATATTGCATGCTTTTTTTCAGAATTCACTTTATATATCTATAAAACTATGAAAATAGTGGTTTCCCCAAACTGGTGTAATTGCACTAGGAATTATTTGCGGTCTTTGCTGAACAAAGCAGAGGTCATTAAGATCCTTATATGTCTCATAATGATAAAATGTTTTACCACAGTGTCTAACCTCTTACCACTCTTAAACCAATGGTCCTATATATATATGTATATAGAGAAATATATATTTTATTTAGTAATACTCATATATATAAACTAGGTAGTAATGTTATTCAAATTGAAATTTTCTTTCTTGTAAGAATATATTCTTAAAGTAGAAATTTAATTATTTAATATATTCTATTGTTTTCAAATTTGATTACTCCTGTATGATAAACTCTGAGTGTTAATTTGTAGTGATGAACAGCATAATAAAAGTATTATGATACTAGTAAAAACATAATATATTTATTGACCATGTATTTTGTTAGCACTCCACTCTGCATTGAAAGATGTGTTCATTATTTCATCATTCAAAAGTAGAGAAACATTGTTTATGTGTTTCTGCTACTGTCTGAAAGGCAAATTATTAGAAATGCAAACATTAAGTACTTTAAAGATACATGGAATTTATGAATGAATCACATTTAGAATAACCTTGTGAATCAATTTTTTATATAATATCATTTTATAAGTCACTTAAAATACCCTAAAACTAACCTTTTGAAGGGCATATTAAATAAAATTAGCAAACTAATAGTTAATGCATTTTAACATTTTAAAAACAATGGGCCCCTGTATTCTTTTATATTTTGACAGTGACCAGCATTATTTCATGTCAACAAAAGTATTTTGAAAAAAAAATAATCTGAGTGCTATTTCCTAAGCTTCTTTGAAATTATTATTTCTCCCCCTTCCCATTTAAAAAAGTTTAGCTAGTCAGTATAGTTTAAATATAGTCACATTAAAGTCATATGTGCCACAAATCTGAAATTTAGATTTGCAGTGAAAGAGACATCTTTGGTATGTTTTTTTGAACTTGGTGGATAGAAAAGTCAATTACGTCATATACATGGCATACCCTTTTATATAGTTAATGTTGACTTTGAAATCCAGTTGGTTTTTCATCATCCCAGTTGGAGAAAAAAAGAGTTAGATAGCAGCTAACTTGGGGAATGAACTTCGACGTCAGGGAAAAACCATCACCAATATGAAATGTAAGTGTTGTACCTTCTTCTTTTCTTATGAAAATGGCAAAATATATCGTTTAAATATAATAAAGACTGACTGCAACAGGATGATTATAATCATACAGTTCTTCAGTTGTAGTTCATCTTTTGATTTTTGTGTCATATGGAAAGAAAGCTGTCTGTAAATCTGGTCTATAGCCATTGTAGATTTGCTTTTGCTTTATGGCTTTTCCTCTCTTCAGATTTAGTAGTTAATTATTTTGATTTATGTCTTTAGAAAATTCTATTAATATAGTGGCTTTAAAGTTATGAATTACTTTTCAAGCTTGTAGTGAAAACTTAGGAAAGATAATTGGGGATAATTCTGTTTTCTGTGAGGTATGAGTGAGAATGAATGAGTGATAAGGAGGTGGCCCAGAGAGTCCTCTGAAAGTCTCAGGAAGATGCAGGCCCACCTGTCTTCGTGCCAGAGTTCAATAGGTTTATTTTTCTGGCCACCTTGGACTTCCCATTGGCATTTTGCTGTCTTTGATGAAACAAAGAGTAGTATGGAAGGAGGGTCCAGGCTCTTTCATGGGATGGTAAAAATGGATATGGATACATCCAAACTCTTTAACGAAGTTTACTGTGCACCGTAAAATAGTATCACTATTTATATTTCTTACTGTTTTAAACACGTGTGTTTTCAAGGTTTGTACCATTCATTCTAGAATAAAACTAAGTCTTACCCGCTGAGTTGAATTTTAATACTAACTTCTGACACAATAATCAAATAGAAGAAAGAACTTGTTTTCCTGCAGACGTTATTTCTTTTCTTGGATGTTAAGGAACTTAACCTGAACATATTTGTTCTTAGGAAAAACAATTACATTTTATTTATACTTGTTAGTTTTTAAGCAACATATTTCATTCAACTTTTCAAATACTACAACTATATTACACAGAACAGTTGATTAGATATTATTTTCAAAATTCCATTGGGGACTGATAACTACTATTTAATAAGGAAGGTCAGTCATTTCAGTTAAAAACATATAGTTTTTTTTCAAAGAAATGTAAATTTTATATTAATTTCATTTAGATATATATTTTTATTTATGCCAGTTTTTAATGTAGGTCAGAAGTTAATTTTAAAAGACACTCTTTTGGGGGGGAATTTCAAGTTATTGGAGATAAGAAAAATAAGAACGAGAAGAAACAAAATCATCATAACTTTTCATGAGGTACATTTTTTAAAACACACCCTTCTCTCTTGAGTTGAAATTTTGGCCGCTTTTTATTTTTTTTGAAAATCCAAAACTGTTGAACTTCTTTTGAAAACAACTCACCAGTTTAACCATTTTAAAGTGCACAGTTCAGTGGTTTTCAGTATGTGCACCCATCACAACTAATTCTGGAACATTTACATCACTGCAAAAGAAACCCAGTACCCAAGAAGCAATTATTTCTTATATCCCTTTCCCCTACATCCTGGCAAACACTGACCTGCCTTCTGTCTCTATGGATTTTTCTGTTCTGGACATTTAATGTAAATGGAATAATACAATATGTGATTTTAGATGTCTGGCTTCTTTCATTTAGCATAATTTATTCAAGGGTCATTCATCTTGTGGCGTGTATTGATACGTCATACCCTTTTATGGCTGAATAATATGCCATTGTATAGTTATACCACATTTTGTTTATGCATTCATCAGCTGATAGACACTGGGTTGTTTCCACTTCTTGGTTATTATGAATAGTGAATGCTGCTGTGAAATTTTGTGTAAAAATTTTTGTTTGAAGGTCTGTTTTCACTTCTCTTGGGTATGTAGCTAGGAGTGGAACTGCTGGATCAAATAATAATACCATGATAACTTTCTGAGGAACCACAACTGTTTTCCACAGTTGCTGCACCATTTTAAATCTCCACCATTATGGATAAGCATTCTTATTTTTCCACATCCTTGCTCACACTTGTTAGTTTCAATTTTTGTTAATGGCCATCCTAGTGACTACTATGTAGTATCTCACTATGGTTTTGATTTGTATTTTCCTAATGACTAACAATGTTGAACATGTTTTCATGTGATTATTGATTATTTGTTTGTCTTCTCTGGAGAAATGTCTCTTCACATCCTTTGCCCGTTTTTAAATTGGGTTGATTGTCTTTTTGTTGTTGAGTTTTAAGAGTTCTTTGCATATTCTGGATACTAGAATCTTATTATATATATGAATTGAAAACATTTTCTCCCATCCTGTAGGTTGTCTTTTTACCTTCTATTTAAATAGTGTCCTTTCATGAACAGAAGTTTTAGAATTTGATGAAATCTAATTTTTTTCTTGCTGCTGCTTATGTGTTTGGCCTCATATCTAATAATCCATGTCCAAATGCAAAGTCGTGAAGCTTTCCCCTCTGTTTTCTTCTAAGAATTGTATAGTTTTAGCTCTCATATTTAGGTCTTCAGTCCATATAGAATTGATTTTATATATTCTATCATGTAAAGGCCCAACTTCATTTTTTTTATATGGCAATCCAATTATTCCAGCACCATTTGTTGAAAAGGATGTTCTTTTCCCATTGAATGATCATGTTGAATCATTCATACTCCTGTTGAAAATCAGTTGACTATAGATGTATAGGTTTATTTCTGGACTCTCAATTCTGTTCCATTGAATTGTATGTCTCTCTTCATATCAGTACCGTAAGTTTTGATGACGATGTTTTCTATTAAGTTTTGAAATTGAGAAATGTGAGATTTCTAGATCTCAAGATTGTTTTGACTATTCAAGTTCTCTCATAAAATTCCATGTGAATTTTGGGATCAGCTTGTCCATTTCTGCAAAAGAAGGCAATGGAATTTTGAAACCTGCTATGTTGAATTTATAGATCAATTTGGGGAGTATTGTCATCTTAACAAAATATTAAGTCTTGCAATTCATGAACATAGAATGCCTTTCTACTTATTTAGATCTTCTTTAATTTCTCTCAAAAGATGTTTTGTGGTTTTCAGTGTATAAGTTAGGCATCTTCTTGGTTAAGTTTATTCTTAAGTATTTTATAATTTGCAATGCTATTTTAAATGGAACTGTTTTCTTAAGTCTAATTTTTTATTCTTAATTGCTGGTGTGCAGAAAAGTACAACTGATTTTTGTATGTTTATCTTTTTGTATGTTCATCTTTTCTCCTGTAACTGCTGAATTTATTAGCTCTAGTAGTTTTTGTATGCATGTATAGCTTCTTTAGGATTTTCTACATGTAAGATTATGTTATCTATGAGTATAGTTTTACTTAGTTCTTTCTAATTTGGATGCCTTTAGTTTCTTTTTCTTATCTAATTATCTGGCTAGAACATCCAGTATGGTGTTGAATAGACATGTTGAGAGCAGACATGTTTGTTTTCTTCTTAATCTTAAGGGGAAAGTTTTTGGTCTTACACCATTAAGCATGATATTAGCTGTGGGTTTTTTCATAGATCCTCTTTATCAGTTTGAGAAAGTGCTCTTCCTTTCCTGGTTTTTTGAGTGTTTTTATGAAAAGGAATTCAGTTTTGTCAAATGCTTTTCTTTTTCTGCATCAGTTGAGATGATCATGTTGTGCCTCGCCTCCTTCATCCTACTGATGTTTTGTACTACCTAACATGATTTATGTATGTTGAACACCATTGTGTTCCTGAGATAAATCTCACTTGGTTATGGTGTATGATCTTTTGAATATGCTGCTAGGTTTGGTTTGCTAGGTTTTTTTTTTTTTTTTGAGGGTTATTGCATCTAAATTCATAGGACATATTGGTCTGTAGTTTTCTTGTGATATCTTTGTCGGGCTTTAGGATCAGAGTAATACTGATCTCATAGAATAGGTTAGGAGATGCTCCCTTCTCTTCATTTTTTTTCAAGAATTTGAGAGAGATTAGTGTTAATTCTTTAAACATTTGGCAGAATTCATCAGTGAAACTTTCTGGGCCTGGACTTTTCTTATCTGGAAGTTTTTTGATACTGATTCATTCTTTTCTCGTTATAGATTTCAGATTTTGTGTTTCTTTTTCAGTCAGTGTTGGTAGTTTGTGTGTTTCTAGGAATTCGTCTATTTTATCTAAGTTATGTGACTTGTTGATATCCCATTGCTCATTTTCTTATAATTGTTTTTATTTCTGTAAGGTTAGTAGTAATGTCCTCATTTTTATTTCTGATTTTAGTAATTTAGTAACTTTTCTCTTGGTCAGTCTAGGTAAGGCATGCCAATATTATTTGTCTTTTTAAGGGTCCAACTTTTGGTTTCCTTGATTTGCTCCATTGTTTTTCTGTTCTCTATTTTGTATTATCTCTGCTCTAAAACATTATTATTTCTCCCTTCTGTTTGCTTTGGGTTTAGTTTGCGCTCTCTGTCTCTCTCTTAACTGCTCCAAGCTGGAAGGTTAGGTTATTGATTTGAGATCTTTCTTCTTTTTTAATGTAGACATTTACAGCTATAGATTTCTGTCTGATGCAGCTTAAACTGCATCCCAGAAGTTTTGGTTTATTATTTTTTTATATTCATCTATTTCAAAATATTTTCTAATTTCTATGATTTCTTCATTGACTTGTTATTTAAGAGTGAGCTGATAATTTCTGAATATTTGGAAATTTTCCACACTTTATTTTTGCTATGGAGTTATACTTTAATTTTATATGGATTAAATACTTCATTTGATTTCTATCCTTTTTAAGTTTGTTAAAGTTCGTTGTATGCTCCAATATATGGTCTGTCTTTCTGAAAGTTAAATGTGCATTTTAAAAGAATATGTATTCTTTTGTTAGGTAGACTGTTCTATGTATGTCTGTTATGTCTAGCGGGTTTATGTTGTTCAAGTCTTCTAAATCCTTGATTGTCTTTTGTCTGGGTGTCCTATTCATTAGTGAAAGTATGATGTCAAAGTCTCCAAATGTTATTGTTGAACTCTTTTTCCTCTTCAACTTGGTCAGTTTTGCTTCATATATTTTGAGATTATGTGGAAATTGTTATATCTTCTTGATGGATTGACTCTTTTATCATTATATTATCTTTGTTTCTTGCAATAATTTTGACTTTAAAGTCTTTCGTCTGATATTAGTGTAGGCGCTCCAGCTCTCTTGGTTACTGTTTGCGTGGGCTATCTTTTTCTGTCTTTTCACTTTTAACCTATTGGTGTCTTTGTATCTAAGATGAGTCTGTTATAGACAGTGTAAAATGAATCACGTTTTGAAAAACATTCATTTTGCTAACTTCTGACTTTCAATTGGATATTTAAATCAATTTACATTTAACGTAATTGTGATAAGGAAGGACTTCTGCCATTTTTTTCTGCATGTGTTATATCTGTTTTGTTCCTCAGTTCTTCTACGATTCCTTCTTGTCTGCATTAGATAGATCTTTGGTAGTGTACCATTTTTTATTCCCTTCTCTTTTATTTTACTATACATTTTTAGTTGTTTTCTTAGTGTTACCCTTGGTGATTATAATTAACATCTTAATTCAAAACAATCTTGTTTGAATTAATGCCAACGTAGTGCCAATTATGTTTAAAAAATTTTGCTCTTAAATAGCTTCATCCTTTCTCTTCATGTTGTTACAAATTACATTCTTATATATTGTGTGCCCGTCAACATAGTTTATAATGATTGTTTTATATAGTTGTCTTTTAAATCTATAGAAGAAAAAGAGGAGTTACAAACCAAACATACATTAATACTGACTTTTATATTTCCCTACGTAGTTACCTTTGCTGGTGTTCCTTATTTTTTCATGTGAATTTGAGTTACTGTCTAGTATCCTTTCATTTCAGGACTCCCTTTAGCATTTCTTATTGGGCAGATCTAGTGGTGAACTCCCTTAGCTTCTGTTTATCTTGGAATGTCTTAATTTCTCCTTCGTTAGAAAAAATTTTAATTTTATTGTGGTAAGAACACTTAATCTAAGATCTAGCCTCTTAATGGATTTTTCGTATGCAATACAATATTGTTAACCACAGGTACAATGTTATAAGGCAGACTTTCAGAACTTATCCATCTGGCATAACTGAAGCTTTATACCTATTTATTAACAACTCCCCACTTCTCCCTCCCTGACCCCAGCCCCTGGTAACCACCATTCTACTCTCCGTTTCCATGAGTTCGACTATTTTAGATACGTCATATAAGTGGAATTATGTGGTATTTGTTCTGTGAATGGTTTATTTCACTTAGTATAATGTCCTCAAGGTTCATCCATTTTGTTGTATTTCATAAGATTTCCTTCTTTTAAAAGGCTGATTATTTCCTTCCTTTGAAAACCTGAGTAATATTTTATTGTATGTTTATACCATATTTTATGTATCCATTTATCTCTCAATAGACATTTAGGTTGTTTCCAGATCTTGGCTATTATAAATAGTACTGAAGTGAACTTGGGAGTGTATATATTTCTTAGAGATTCTTATTGCCCTTCTTTTAGATAAATACCCAGAAGTGGTTGCTGAATCATATGTGGTAGTTCTAATTTTAACTTTTTGTGAAATCTCCATACTTTTTTTCCAGAGCATCTGCACCACTTTACATTCCTTTGCTGTTGTGTACATGGGTTCCAGTTTCTCCACATCTTTGCCAATCCTTGTCTTTTAAAAAAATTTTTTGTAATAGTCATCCTAATAGGTATGAGGTGATACCTCATTGTGGTTTTGATTTTTATTTCCTTGATGATAGTGACATTGAGGATGTTTTCATATACCTGTTTGACCATTTGTATGTCTTCTTTGGATAAATGTATATTCAAGTTCTTAGCCCATTTTAAAATGAGGTTATTAGTTTCTTTTTGCTATTAAGTTGTATAGAGTTTAGAAATTAACCTCTTAAATTTTAGAAATTAAAACCCTCATGTGGTTTGCAAGTATTTTCTCTTATCCCACAGGTTGCCTTTTCATTATGTTGATTATTATTATTATTATTTTTTGCTAGGCAGAAGCTTTTTCATTTGATGTAGTTTCACTTGTCTGTTTTCATTTTTGTTTCTTGTGCTTTTAGTGTCATATCCATGAAATCGTTGCAAAGGCTAATGTCATGAAGTTTCTCCTCTATGTCTTGTTCTAGGAAATTTATAGTTGTAAGTCTTATGTTTAAGTCTTTAATCCATTGTAAATAGATTTTTTTTAATATGGTGTAAGGTAGGCTCCATTTTTTCTTTCTTTAGACAAAGTTCTGCTCTGTCGCTAAGGCTGGAGTACAGTGGCGTGATCTCGGCTCACTGCAACCTCTGCCTCCTGGGTTCAAGTGATTCTCGTTCCTCAACCTCCTAAGTAGCTGGAACTACAGTAATACACCACCATGACCGGCTAATTTTTATATTTTTAATAGAGGTGGAGTTTCACCATGTTGGCCAGGCTGGTCTTGAACTCCTGTCCTCAAGTTATCCACCCCACCTCGGCCTCAGAAAGTGCTGGGATTACAGGCATGAGCCACCGTGCCTGGCCCAGTTTCATTCTTTAGCAAGTGATATCTGGTTTTCCCAACACTCTTTGTTGAAGGAAACTATCCTTTCCCCATTGTGTCTTCTTTGCACTCTTGTCAAGGATCAATTGACCATATATGTGTGGATTTATTTCTGGGCTTTCTATTTTGTTCCATAGAACTCTATGTCTGTTTCTCTGCCAATACCATACTGTTTTAATTACTATAGTTTTGATATATATATATGTATATATGCATATGTGTGTATATATGTAGATGTGTATATATATGTATATATGTATGCATATGTATATATGTTTTTTATTTTTATTTTTGAGGGGGAGTCTTACTCTTTTGCCCAGGCTGGAGTGCAGTGGCATGATCTTGGCTCACTGTAGCCTTCCCCTCCTGGGTTCAATCAATTCTCCCGCCTCAGCCTCCTGAGTAGCTGGGACTATAGGCACACACCACCATGCCTGGCTAATTTTTTTGTATTTTTAGTAGAGATGGGGTTTCACCATGTTGGCCAGGCTGGTCTCAAACTCCTGAGCACAGGTGATCCACGTCCTTGGCCTCCCAAAGTGCTGGGATTACAGGCATGAGCCACTGCATCCAGCCATCTTTGTAATGTATTTTGAAGTCAGAAAGTGTGAGGCCTCCAGCTTGGCCCTGATTTTTCAAGCTCTTTTTGGCTATTTGAGGCAGTTTCTGGTTGCATATGAAGTTTAGAATTGCTTTTTCTATTTCTGCAAAAATGCCACTGGGATTCTGATAGGGATTACATTGAATCTGTAAATCACTTTGGGTAGTATGAACATTTTAACAATAATAAGTCTTCCAATTCATGAACACAGAATGTTTTTTCATTTGTTGTATTTTTAATTTCTTTTGCCAATATTTTATACTTTTTAGTGTACAAGTCTTTCACCTCTGTTAATTTGTAAGTATTTTATTCTTTTTGATGTGGTTATAAGTGTGATTTTTTTTAGTGTTTACCTTGGTGTTTACAATTAACATCTTAATTCATAACAATCTAGTTTGAATTAATACTGAACTAGGATGTTCCATACGTAAGGAATACTCATCTATTCTAAAGGGGTTTCTATGTAGAAGATCACGTCATCTGTAATCAGGGACAGTTTTACTTCTTCCTTTTCTGTTTGGATGCCTATTACTTATTTTTCTTGCCAAATCACGCTTGCTAGGACATTCAGTGATATGTTGAATACAAGTGGTAGAAGCAGACATCCTTACCTTGTTCATGATTTTAGAGGAAAAGCTTTAAGTTTTTAATCATTGAGTATGATATTAGCTGTGAACTCTACATATATGGCCTTTGGTGTGTTCAGCTACTTTTCTTCTATTCCTAGTTTGTTGAGAATTTTTATCATGAAAGGCTATTGAATTTTTATCAATTTTATCAAATGCTTTTTATGCATCTATTGATTGTGTGAATTTTGTCCTTCATTCTGTTAATGTTATGTATCATAATTGATTTTTGTATCTTGAACCATTCTTACATCCCAGGGATAAATCCCACTTTGTAATGGCGCCTAATCCTTTAATTGTGCTTTTGAATTCAGTTGCTAATATTTTGTTGAGGATTTTTAGATCTATATTCATCAGGGATATTGGCCTGTAGCTTTTTTTTTCTTGTGATGTCCTTGTCTGGCTTTGGTATCAGGAAGATGCTGGTCTCATAAAATATATTTCGAAGTTTTCCCTCCTTTTCAAATTTTTTGGAGGAGTTTGAAAATCATTAACATTAATTATTTAATTGTTTTATAGAATTCATCAGTAAAGCCACCTGGTCCTGGGCTTTTCTTTGTCAGAAGATTTTTGATTACTGAGTCAATCTCCTTACTATTGTTCAAGATTTTCCCTCCCTCCCTTCCTCTCTTTCTGCCTTTCCCCCTCTGCCCCCACCCCCCGAATCTTTTTGTTTTGTTTTGTTTTGTTTTGTTTTGTTTTTTTGAGACAGTGTCTTGCTCTGTTGCCTAGCCTAGAGTGGTGCAGTGGCATACTCATAGCTCACTGCAGCCTCAAACCCCTGGGCTCAAGAGATCCTCCTACCTCAGTCTCCTAAGTAGCTGTGACTACAGGCATATGCCACCAAATCCTGCTAATTTTTAAATTATTATTATTTTTTGAAGAGACAGCATCTCACTATGTTGCCCAGGCTGTCTTGAACTCCTAGCCTCAAGCACTCCTCCCACCTTGGCCACGGAAGTGCTGGGATTATAGGTATAAGCCACCACACCCAGCCTCTGTTCAAGACTTTCTATTTTTTTTTTTTAATCATTCAGTCTTGTTAGGTTGCATGTTTCTTAGAATTTATCCGTTTCTTCTAGATTATCTACTATATTGCATATAATTGTTCATAGTAGTCTCTCATGATTCTTTTTATTTCTGTGGTATCAGTTATAATTTGTCCTTTTTGTGTTTTTTTTTTAGTTTTATCTTTTTTGCTTAGTCTTACTAAAGGTTTGTAAATTTCGTCTTTTCAAAATATAAACTCTTAGTTTTACTGATTTTCTCTATTGTGTTTTTCTGTTCTTTATTCTTTTCCTGTTCTAATCTTTATTATTTCCTTCCTTCTGCTAATTTTGGGTTTAGTTTGTTCTTCTTCTCGTTCGTTGAGGTGCCAAATTAAATCGTTTATGCGACATCTTTCTTTTTTTTAATGTAGGTGTTTACTGCTGTATGTTTCCCCTTACTACTGCTTTCACTGAGTCTCTTAAGTTTTGATATGTTGTATTTCATTTTCATTTTGTCTCAAGATATTTTCTAACTTTCCTAATGATTTCTTTCTTATGCCGCTGGTTGTTCAAAAATTTATTTCTATATATTGTGAATTTTCCAGTTTTTCTTCTATACTTTGTTTCTGGTTTCATTTCATTATAGTCAGAAAAGAAACTTGGTATGATTTTAATATTCTTAAATCTATTAAGACTTGTTTTGACACCTAACATATGATATATCCTGGAAAATGACGTGTGTACACTTGAGAACAATGCGTGTTCTGCTGCTGTATACTGGAACGGTCTACGTATGTTCATTAGGTTCATTTGGTCTATAGTGTTGTTTGTGTTTGCTATTTCTTTTTCTGACTGGTTGTTCTCCCCGTTATTGGAAGTGGGGTAATGAAGTCTCCTACTATTATTGTGTTGCTGTCTATATTCCCTTCAGTTCTGCCAATGTTTGTTTTATATATTTAGGTGCTCTGTTGTTAGGGATGTGTGTGTGTGTGTGTGTGTGTGTGATAATTGTTAAAATTGTTATATGTTCCTGGAGACTGCACTCTTATATCATTATATAATGTTATTCTTTGTCTCTCCTGACAGTTTTTGGCTTCTAATCCTAATCTATTTTGTATGATATAAATATATCCACTCCTACTCTTTTTTGGTTACCAAATGGTAACTAATGGAATATCTATTTCCAACACTTTACTTTCAGTCTATGCACATCCTTAAATCTAAAATGAGTTTCTCATAGACAGCGTATAGTTGGATCTTTTTTTTTTTTAAATCCGTTCAGCCACTCTGTGTCTCTTTATTGGAAGTTATATCTATTTATTTATCAGAAGTTAAACCTATTTACGTTTGAAGTAATTACTGATAGGAAATTATTTATTATTGCCATTTTGTTCATCATTTTCTGTTTGTCTTATAGTTCATTTGTTTTTGGAGTTCCAGAGCTTTTTGGAATTCCTTAGTGCACAGTTCTTAGTTCATTTTTCTCCCTTGCTCTCATCCTTTGTGTTTCGTTGATTTTTTTTGTATTGATAAACTTTTATTAATTTCTTTTTTACTTTTGTGTAACTTATATGGGTATTTTGTTTCCAGTTACCCTGGGGCTTATATAAAATACGGTTATGACAGTTTAAGTTGATAACAACTTAACTTTAATCACATGCAAAAACTCTACAGTTTTACTCCTCCTACCTTCACATTTTGTCGTTGATGTCACAATTTACTATATGGTGTATTCATTCATTCATTCACATATTTTTTACTTATAGTTGTTTTTAATACTTTCGTGTTTTAACTTTTACATTAGAAATAAAAGTGATTTACCCACCACCATTAGAGTAATAAAGCATTCTGTATATCTGTATATTTACCTTTGTGTTCTATACTTTCTTATGGTATCATGTTGCTGTACAGCATTCTATTATTTCTACTTGAAGAACTGCCTTTAGCGCTCCTTGTAAGGCAAGTCTGTTAGTGATGAACTTCCTCAGCTTTTGTCAGGGAAATTTTTATGTTTCCTTCATTTTTAAAGGGCAGTTTTGCCAGGTATAGTGTTCTTAGATAGCATTCTTTTTCCCTTTCATCCCTTTGAATATGTCATGTTACTGCCTTCTGGCTTGCAAAGTTTGAGCTGAAAAAGTCAATTGATAGTTTAATAGGGATTCCCTTGTTTGTAATGAGTCATTTTCTTCTTGCTTCTTTAAAAATTCTCTTTTTTTGAATTAAAAAAAGAATAAAAAAGACTTAAAAATTCTCTTTTTTTGAATAAAGACTTAAACTGTCTTTATTCTTTATTACTATTATTATTTTCTTCCTCCGACTGGGTGATTTCACGTGGCCTATCTTCAAGTTCACCAATTTTTTTTTTTCTGCTGGTTTTAGTCTGCTGTTGAACCTCTCTTGAATTTTTAGTTGAGTTATTATATTCTTCTGCCCTAATATTTGTTCCTCTTAAGTTTTCTTATTACTGAAATTCTCACTTTGTTCATGTATTATTTTTCTGAGCTTATCGATCATTTTTATGACAGTATTTTGAATTCTCTTTCAGATAATTAATATATCTCCATTTCATTAGTATTGGTTTCCAGAGTTTTATCTTGTTCCTTTTTTGGATTATGTTTCTCTGTTTTTTCATTTTCCTTGACTCTTTGTGTTGGTATCTGTGCATTAAGGAGAAAAAAAAAAAGAACCTACCATCTCTCTCAGACTTCAAGGATTGGCTTTGTACCAGAGAAGACCTTCACCAATAAACTTGGCCAGAGCTTCTATGGGGCTCTCAAACTTCTGTGTTAGTCCAAACTGTCATCTTCTTAAAGGCTCCAGGGTTCTAGAGTATGCTAGAACCTCATAGAACCTCATCAGTACTTTGTAGTATGCCTCATCAGTACTTTGAGACAGGCAAGACAAAAGATAGAAATATCACCCTCTGGTAATACTTGGAAAAGTTGGAATGTTGTATGTATGGCCCAATTCTTTTCCTCCCAAGGTAGAGGCTGAGAGCTGGGCATTTTTTTTCACTGGTCCTTTCTGTGCCAAGCCAGGGGAGAGCTGTTATGAATATCTGTGCTCTAGTCCAAACCACCACCCTTTTTCTCAAACCACCACCCTTTTTCTCTGTGGATCTAGTGTATGTTGGGTCATGTCAGTACTCAAACACAGGTGAGACAAAAGCCAATCCTTTAGGTAGAACTCTGAAGAGTGGGACATTGTACGCACAGTCCAATTCCTTCCCTTCTCATAAAAAGTTGGGAGCTGAGAGTTCCCTCCTGGTAATAACGATGCTGTGCTGGGAGTGGGGATTACGATTAGAGAGTGTCTTCAGTTTTCCCAGTGGTTTCAATGTGACTGATTTCTTGTTGCCCAGGTTGCAGGAGCCTCTCAGCTACTTTCTTGAATTTCCATAAAGGGAATTGATATGTGCCATTGCATCAGTGTGTCCATGGGGGAAGGAGAGTCCAGGGTTTCCTATTCCACCATCTGGCTGCTATCATTCTCCTTCGTTTTTAAGGACACTTTTGTCACAAACAGAATTCTTGGTTGACACATTTTTTTTTTCTAACTACCCCCACCCCACCACCAAATTTTGAATGTGTCAACTTCAAAATTTATATTTTGCTTCTTTTTTCTTTTCATTTACATTTTCTATTTTGGAAGACATTGTTCTCATGGTTTCTTTTAGTTCCTTGTACATGGTTTTCTATAACTTTATATGCACATTTAAAATAATTGATTTAAAGTACTTATGTGGTAAGGTCAATGTTTAGACTTCCTCAAGGACAGTTCCTGTTCATTTCTGTTTTTATTGGAAATGAGCTATACTTTCTTTTTTCGTGGCATACACAGTTTTTTGTTGAAAAGTAGATATTTTGAAAATTATAATCTGACAACTCTGGAAATAAGATTCTCCCCATCTCCAGGGTTGTTGCTGCTTGCTCTAGTTGTTGTTTTGTATTTAGTGACAGATTGTGTAAAGTCTGAACTGATTTTGTAAAGGCTGTCTTTCTGAACTCATTTTGTAAAGTTGTATCCTTTGTCACGTATAGCAACTGAAGTCTCTGTTGGCTTAGTAGTCAACCACTGTTTTGACAGAGTTCCTTAAATACTGAGATTCAGATTTTTTTCTTGGTTAAGCTTTTACCTGGTTACTGTAAACTTTCAGTTAGCTTCTCGAGTTCTGAAAAAAGCTAATTCTGACCTTTTTTTGCCAGTTTATTTGCTAGTTTTATGGAACGACTAGCTTTTGGAGTTCCTTAGTCCATCATTTTTGCCAACATCAATCTCTAAAAGCATATACTTTTGTTTTTTAATAGCTCTACCAGTAGGCTTTCAATTTTACTGATAATACAGGAATTATTATTTCTTTTTTTATTATACTTTAAGTTCTAGGGTACATGTGCACAATGTGCAGGTTTGTTACATATGTATACATGTGCCATGTTGGTGTGTTGCACCCATTAACTTGTCATTTACATTAGGTATATCTCCTAATGCTATCCCTCCCCCCGCTCCCCGCACCCCACGACAGGCCCCAGTGTGTGATGTTCCACTTCTTCTGTCCAAGTGTTCTCATTGTTCAGTTCCCACCTATGAGTGAGAACATGCGGTGTTTGGTTTTTTGTCCTTGCGATAGTTTAATTAGAGCTTCTCCAAATGTGCCTAAGTATTTCTATTGTGTGGGGTAAAGGGAAAGCACAACAATTATATTAAAATAATTTCAGGATAGGATAATGCCTAGATGAGTAGGATAATGTCTGGATTGTTTAGGATTAGATATGATAAAAATAAGTACTTATTAGATACTAACCAAGTGCCTAATAGAGAGATATCTCAGTTTACTGCAGCTAAGAGTAAAAGTAAGAAAACTTAGGTAAAATTGAAATGTGAAGAAGAAGCTAATAATTTTGTAGTCATGTTTGTTGTTGGATGAGTAGAATGGCTGCATTCTTGAGGCTTTTGAGAAAGCATGAGTCCTACAAGTTTGGAAAGATTAACTGAAATGTTCCCTATGTACGGCCATAACATACAGGCTTTAAAAGTACCAAAGAATGTTCACTGAGAAGTCTTAGATGCTTTTATCGTAAATCATCTAAAAGATAAAACAGGAAATGACAATCCAGAAATTGTAAAAACTCCATAAGACCTTGTGTCTATAAATCCTTTAAATTTATCGGACTGAAATGACACTGGAACAATATTTAGGAAGTCACAGGAGTTTTTGCTGACATCTTTTTGGATTTGCTTCTTCAGAAAAGTTATTTAAAACCTAGAACCCATCATGAAACACAACATTTATAATAATTAAATTCTACATATACATTTTTAGTATGTATAATGTTCCAGAAACTGTAGTAGCCTCTGGGGAAACAAATATACATACATACATACATATATATACACACACACATATATATATGTATATTTGTCATATTTGTGTGTGTGTGTATGTATGTATATAAAGTTGACCCTTGAACACATGGGTTCGAATTGTGTGGGTCCACTTATACGTGGATCTTCTTCCAACTCTGCCATCCATGAGACAGCAAGACCAACCCCTCCTCTTCCTTCTCCTCCTCAGCCTATTCAACATGAAGAATATGAGGATGAAGACTTTTATGATGATCCACTTCCACTTAATGAATAGTAAATATATTTTCTCTTCCTTACGATTTTCTTAATAACATTTTCTTTTTTCTAGCTTTATTATAAGAATATAGTATATAATACACATAACACAAAATATGTGTTAATCAACTGTTTATGTTATCAGTAAGGCTTCCAATAGTAGACTGTTTGTAGTTAAGTTTTGGGGGAGTCAGAAGTTACACATGGATTTTCAACTCTGTGGGGGTTGGCATCCCTAACCCACATGTTGTTCAAAGTTCAACTCTGCGTGCGTGTGTGTGTGTGTGTGTGTGTGTGTGTATCACAGTTCTATATAGATAGTTATTCTCATATGTGGCATACTTAGAAAACTCAGGGATTGCCTGGAGTTTCTTAGAAGAAAACTAATGCCTGGGTGGGGCCTCAAAATATGAGGAAGAAGGGAAAAGTATGCTAGCAAAGAAAGTGGCATGAGCAACAAGTTCATGGAAGCATGAATGACTAAATATTCTAAGTTCAATATTAAATGCAAAAAGAGTAAAAGAGATAAAGCTCAATGAGGCAGGTAGTAGCTAGGTCATGGAAGGCCTTTTTTGCCATGCTAAGAGCCTTGGATCATATAATGGAAGGAGTGGGGAGCAAACCAGGGTTTAAGCTAGGGGTTGATGTGGTTGGATTTTCTTATAAAATTTGAGCTCTAGAGAGCACATTTTGCAAACTGGATATAGTGAGTAATAAAAGTGGTTTTAAGAGCCACAAGTCTGAATAGACAACTCTATTAGGAAGCTGTAGCATTAGGCTAGATGGGGGCTCAGAAGGGTTGAACCAGAAGAGTGATGGTAGGTGGTGTCAGAAGGAAGGATGTGAAACTTATTCAGCAAAGTGGCATATGATGATGAGAAAGAGGCAGGGGAGGATGATTCCCCTGATGGGGCAAAGGACGCTGGGAATACAGAAAGCAGCCTTTTTGCTTTAATTATTTTTATTAAGTAGGGAGAAAGGAGACAATGATGAGTTTTGTTTTGGAAATACTGAATGTAAGGTAATGTGGAATGATCAGCAGGATGTGTGAGTCTGAACCTCAAGGGAAAGTCAGGGCTAAAGATAAAGGTTTGAGATTG
The DNA here is from genome assembly GCF_000001405.40 of Homo sapiens. Classification (NCBI taxonomy): domain Eukaryota; kingdom Metazoa; phylum Chordata; class Mammalia; order Primates; family Hominidae; genus Homo; species Homo sapiens. The sequence goes on from NC_000009.12 coordinate 15,866,678, forward strand.
ACTAACATAATACTCTGGCAAAGAAAGAAGGCAGTATAGCAATTGACAGGAGAAACAAGACATTATAGATAAATGGGAAGCTAGAAAATGCATTTCAAGAGATTAATTATGCTACTAGAGTTTGAAGTCCTTGAGGGATGGAATTCTGTCTCCTTAATTTTTATATTCTTGGCATCTATCACTGTGCCTGGTACCCAGTAGGCACTTAATGAATGTTTGTGGAATGAGTCAAATTTTACCAGCATATAGTCTCTAAATATAACATAAGCCATCTCTAGATTCTAATGGAAGTTTTGCTGATATGGTCACCTGCTTTGTTTATTTGATTACTAAAAATAGCATCTGTATTTCACTTTGCCTAATCAAGACCTAGAGGAGAAAGCCTAAATTCAGTTGTCAGAATATCTCTTGGAAAGAGGTGTGCTAACAATGAATTTGCAGGTAATGTAATGACTAGTTTGATTCCTATGAGATAGAAAGATGATTACTTCTATTCTTAGAGTGGATTGTGGAATGGAATAGTGTCAAACAGGATATGATAGATGAAGACACTGTATAACCAAATCTTTAAATATAATTTTATAATTTTACATTAACAGTGATTAACCAGAGTAAATAATAATATATAGTTATTTTTGATTTTTAGTTTTCCGTGCATTTATAAGGAGTACAAAGAATAATTTTTAATTTATGAAACTGACAGTATTTTAAAAGTTGAAACATGATCCTCTGCCTCTAAAAAACCCAATTTTTAGTGGCTTGTCAATGACTCTCTAAATGTTACTTACGGTCTTTGAACTCTATTCTCAGTTTCTTGATCTTGGTTCCTGAAGATCAGCTGTGCAGGACACACAGGTGTTAACACAGCTGGCTTGCTGATGACAACTCTGTCCATATAGCTGTCTTGTGTGTCATTATTCATATTGTTCGGTGTCATTCTGACCTAGCCAAGCTAAAAATGATACTCCAGCTCAAGAGGGATTTTAAAACCTTGACAAACTAAAGATAAGACACTACAGAATATCATGTACATGTGCTTAGCAGTTTTTAGCTTAAACACATCTAAATAACTAATTTCAGCGTGTATCTGTCTTTATCCTTTAAAATAATTTATCTTCAGAATGAAAATATATCTGTGTGGATGAGTGTTATCAATTCTATTCTCAAGTATGGTTTTTTTGTTTGTTTAAATAGCTCAAGGTCAAAGCACTCTGTGAGGTGCATTCTATAGTATATAGCCTATGCTACAGATTTATCATGTTATATAGTGACTTTATAAGATGTCCATGATTAAATCACCCTATTTTCCAGCTTGATAATTTGATTTGAATAGTCAGTTTTTTAGATCTTTAATTGGGATGTAGCCAGATTGATAATTTGATTCAAGAGATCAGTTTTTTTATTTCTGTAATTGGGATGTAACTATAATGTGTGGTGTGGTTGTGGTGGTGGATTTTGCCCTCTTTTCTGGTGACAGCAGCTGGCAGTCATGGGAGAGTTCTGGCTTTGCTCCAGAGTTGTAGATTAAGTTAAATAACCTGCCAGCAAAAGAGGGCTAGTTGCTTACCTCCCACTTTTCAAATTATGAGTTTCTATGCTTGCTGCAGTGCCAATGGAATGCCTGCTTCTGCTGAGAGAGTGTCAAGGTCTCTTTCCAGTAGGTGTGGAACACAGCTGGAACTGTTGCTTATATCCTGGGACATTGTGGTTTGGGGATCCTCCATTATGACATTGTGATCATTGTATAAGGATGATTGCTACACAGGTAACTTGTTTCTTAGTGTAATAATTGTGTTCATGTGTGTACACGTGTGTGTGTGTGAGAGAGAGAGAGAGAGAGGATATGAATGAATGAGGATGCCCACAGGTGCAAGGAAACTATTGAGGAAAATAAAGATGTTTAATATTCATTGATTATCACAAAACCACTTTTATGAAACAAACATTGTTGCTAAGATTGCCAGACAATAGATATAAAGAAAAAAGATAGGGAAATGGAAGTACCAAAATCTTAAGTAATTTCTTCAACTGTTAATTGTTCATATATAGATATTAAAACGCATTATTGTTTGGCGCTAAGAGCACTAGACTTAGTATCCTCATATTAGAGATGGCAATAACTATTTCACAAGGTGGGTAACAGAATCAAGTGACGTAGTATGGAGAGTACGGTTGTCCCTTGGTTTCCTTGGGGATTGGTTCCCAAACCTTCTGTGGATACCAATATCCATGATATTGAAGTTCCTGATATAAAATGGTGTAGTATTTGCATATAATCTATGCACATCCTTCTGTACACTTTAAATTGCTTCTAGATTTATTTATAGTACCTAATACAATGTAAGTGCTATCTAAATTATACTGTATTGTTTGGGGAATAATGAAAAGGAGAAAAAGTTTGTACATGTTCAGGACAGATGCAGCTTAAAATATATACTTTCAGTTCATGGTTGAATCCATGGATATGGAACCCACAAATATGGGGGGCCAACTGAACTTTGAAAAGTATGAAGTACTTTTGGAGGTACTAATTGTATTATTACTAATAGAAGTAGTATTATTATCTGTCTGTCCATTTGATTAATTAGATAGTTAAAGAAAAGGTTAAAGAAGGAGGAAAGTATCCATTTAGATGTAACCATCCTATCCCTGAATATCATTTTCATTGCATTGACACACTTTGATGCTTCCTCCTATCACTGGGTACATATCAGAGTCTTGGAACTGTCTAATTTTTTTTAAATTATTTTTTCTTTCTTCTACATTGTAGAATTCATGCGTTTATAACGGTGTTCTTATCTGATCATACTTACTAAGAGCCTCTGAAAGCGTAGTGTTTTTTTTTTGTTTGTTTTTGTTTTTTTTGCTACTGTGTATTACAGAGTATATGGTTAACTCTGGCTAGTTCCCTTCTCTTTGTATTTACAAAAGACTCTCCAGTATGCCTTTTCTACTTGTTTAACCAGAATTTCTGTTAATTAGGTACTAGAATAAGTGGTCAGTAGTTGTGACCAGGAAAGTTAGCCGTGGTCAGGAAAGTTAGGACCAGTCAAGATGTGTACTAGACTATATAAAACTTGAAAATGTATCAGGAGACGGTATACAGATTTCTGGAAAAATTGAAGAAAGGAAACAAAGTGTCTTTGAGATGGCACCCTGTATTGGCGATATAAACTTGACTCACTAGAAATTGTTTGTAGATTCTCTGGTGAGAGATAGTCATTTAAAAAAAAACTTTATAGGTGATAAAAGAATATTATCTTTCTTCTATATCTCCAGAGCAGGGGATGACCAAGTTTTTCTGTAAAGGCCAGATAGTAAATATCTTAGGCTTGGTGAACCATATGGTCTTTGTCTCAACTACTCAACTCTGTCATTGTAACAGGAAAGCAGCCATGGACAATAGGTAAATGAATGGGTATAACTCTAATAAAACTTTATTTATAATAGACAGTGGGCTGGATTTGGTTCTCAGGCTGTAGTGTGCTGACTGTACACTGCTCTTTGGTGCATAGGTTGAAAAATAGTATGTAGGCTGTTCTAGTGCATAGAATGAAAAATAAAAGGAAGAAAGGGAAGCAGTAAGGAATCAGTGGGAATGGAAGGAAGTACAAGGGAGGGAGTAGGACAAAGGAGGGCAAGAAAATGGAGGCAAAGTACAACATGAATGCAGGATAATGAGAATGGAGATTATAAGAAATATTATAGAGGTCTGTTTTCATATGGATCTATATCTGGTAAAAAGGTTTATTTTGAAGCATCGGAGGCCATAATAGATTGGAGTAAATACAATTGAAGCAGATTAAAAGTATGACATGAAGCCCTAATATCAGTTGCCTTTCCCAGGCATTCAGGATTCAGACACTGTATACATCTTCTTACATGTGTTTTTAAGTCAACCTCAGTTTTTATATATACCTTGAGGTCTTCTGGCTTGGTATCCAATTGGTAAAAATACAGCTAGTAAATCATTTCATGAGTGTGTGTTTTTTTTTTAATTGGAACATAGAGTCCAGAGGGATTTATAGCTGTGCATGATAAAAGATGGAGGGAGTTGAGCAATTTTTCTAGAAATGACTAATTTAATTTCATAGTTGATATCTAGCAGAAATAGCTTTTTTTTTTGTTTTGGTAGGAGCATAAAAATTAGAAAACATTGTTTACTTGTGAGTAAAGGCTAATCAGAGAAATAGGAATAGTACAGTATGGATCTTGTGGATCACTTAAAATCTAGAACTGGATTATTATAGTAAAATATATTTTAAAATATATTTATCTTGAAATAAATATATTTCATGGAACTGTTTTGACTTTTTAGAAAGTTTTATTTATTTTCTTCTCCTGTTTTTTATGATATGTCTATTAGAGATATCTCCTTTCTGAAAGCATGTAATAAGAAAGGGAGAAAGTAAACTGTTCTTTCTAAAAATCAAAATTTTAGAGTAGAAGTAATATAGGTTTTAAAAATTATTCTAAAATATGATATTGCATGATTTTAAAGAACGTTATAGAATGTATAACATTTGATAACAGATTTATATTGGGAAATTCTATATGTTAAAAATGAGCTGTTAGGCGTTTTGAAGAAGAAAAACATTGTATACATGTATTAGTCATATTGATAAATGAGAATAAAAAGGCATAGAATCTTGATTATAGGATGAATAATAATGTATTATAAACATAATTAAAGATTGGCTTTTGAAATTATAATTTAATCTACAGACAGGTGACTGCTGGTGAATTTTATTCCTAATTCACACTAAACTCAGTACTTTAAAAGATAAACTTTTCCTTTTAGGAAAAAAATAATTTGACTATTCTAATATTACTTCAAAACTTTTTTTGACAGTAACTAATTTGCTTTAGATCCTCATTCTTGAAAATAATTTTGTATCCAATAAGCTGTACTTCCTAAAGAAATTCCAAATTATCTCTCTTTTAATATGTTAGTTACTTTGTTCTCAGCCTGCCTGTTCTATTTCTTTTCATGAACGAACTTAATGCAACAAGGTAAGAGTCCTTTCTTACTGTTCTGTGTTGAATCTCCCTGTTGACACCTTGAAATTCAGACTTGCCTTCTGCATTCTTTCTGAAGTCTCTTCCTTCTACCCTTTATTTCTTCCGTTTCTTGTCATCTTTCTTTTCTTCTCCTTTGCTGCATGATTTTATTTTTGCTTGTCTTAGTGTCACTGTTTTGGATTCTTTCAACATGATGCTTTCACTCCCTTTACTCATTAAAATAAAATTATGGATAATTCTTTTACAAGACTTTTCTAAAAACTTTTCCTAGAAATATTTGAGAACATTTTAGATACTTACTCTCAAAGTTCTCGTTTAATTTAAAAGTGGAAAAAACTCTTAAAATTTTAGTAGAAGTATTTGTGATATTGCATCTATTATATATCATGGGTCTCTCACTCTTGATGGCACTGTCAAGTTGATTCAACAGATAATTTGTAATTAAATGGAAGTATTAAAGCATGCATATTATTCAAATGATTATGATGTTCATCATTAGGTGTAGCAAAAATAGCTGCATTTTGCAAGTTTTTTTTATTCAATATAAAGAATTATTTAATTTGGCAAATTAAGTAATGTTATACCAAAAATATTGAAATGACAATAAATCAGTTTCAAAAGCAAGATGCCACAGCTTAACAATGTTCATAAAGTTTATTTAGAGAATATAAAATGTGGCTTACTGTTCACTGTATGTCAAGCTTCGTGGATGAAGTATGGTGCCTGATGCTAATCAGGTTAAAGGACCTCCAGTGCTCGAACTGTGTTGTGGATTATACTTACATTGCTTATGGTTTTTTTCCCCTCTCTTTGCCCGTATTAGCAATCTGCTTTTGTACTTTGACATCCAGGATTTCCCTAGTGAATTTTGTCACAGAAAAAAGAGAATCATCAATATCGCAGTTAAACTTGACTTTCAAAGCTAATAGTATCTCATTTGGGGGCTCAAATTTAATAAATTTTCTTTGATTCTGGGTGAGTTTTTAAACATCAAACAATGAATTGGCCAGGGTGCAGTAAAATATTTAGATCTATTGACTGTGGTTCAGAAGGGTAGAAGGCAAAACACTAGTGGTTTGATGTTGATAAATTCTCAGAACCTTAATCCACATTAATGTTTTCTTTTATCTGAGTGCACATTGGTGACAAAAAAAAGCAAGAGAAGGTATTCATACATGTAAAATATAAAACCTAAAACAAATGTAGTTGTAAAATACGATTTGTTTTGTTATGCTAAGTAAGTTTAACAGCATTCTTATCCTGAGTGAAGACTCTGGAGAGTGTTTGTTGCAGATAAATATACATTGTGAATTGAGACTCCAGCATGCATGTGGTACTCACATCATTATAAAAATTACATCATAGTGTATGTTTTACAGCATACACTTTGACATTCTCTTATTGACAGAAAGTCTTCAGATCAGCTTGGGACATATAAGGATTTTTATGCCCATAGATTAGCGTGAACAGTTAAAGATGCCGTTATATGTTTGTGTGTGTTTGCTGGCTTAAAGAAACTCAATAGAGTTTGTTTTGTGAAATGTGTGTATATCCTAAGGAACTAATTAATACAATAAAAATAATTCAAACAGTTTTACAAGCTTCCCAAGTAGGCTAGAAAAATGGAGGAGAAATTTTCTATCTTGTATTTTTGCCAAGTTATATTTGAAGTTGCTTGGATAAAACTAGAGATAGAAATATATTTATTTGAGCAGTTAATGCAATTTTTATAGTTAACCTTGTTTTTGACCTTCGCTACCTGATAAAAAACTTTTTGTTCTGTGGCATTGAGCTAATTGTATAATATTTATTAAGTATATGGTAACAAATAGATAAAATTTTAAAACCTATTCCAAGCATAAGGAAAGTTAGAAAATATGCCTATGTATTGAAAACTCCTATTATTAAACTATATGATTAAAATGAGAGCTTTTTGTTCTTAAATGCAAACGAAACTATGGAATTCTTAAGGCTTTTACTAAGTTTGGAAATTAAAAACCAAAATATCTGTTTTTGAATGTTTCCATTTATATTATATAAGGAATATTTTCTCATTTGTCCAGAAGGTGGCAGTGTGATATCAACTGCATGTGATTCCATACTGACTAGAGAATTGGTGTTTTTCCCATATCGGTGATGTGTTTGTATTGTTGCTTTCTGAATACTTAAAATAGAGTACAAATACTACTGATTTTATCTGTTGTATTGTTTAGAAATTGTGTGACTGTGTTGGTTTATATGTATTTAATCATTAAGACTCAAGTTTAATAAAATCCTGCAATTCTAGAAGAGTGAAAAGGGCAAACAAACCTCTTTCTTGTATATTTTTAAGTCTCCTTTTGTGTTGAGTATATTTGTTTTGATTCTAGAGTACATGTTATTGAAGTTTTCTTTTCAAAGACTAGTACCTAATAACTATCTTGTCCAATATGTATCAGTTCATATCAGTTAAACACCACATGTTACTAAGCAGGTGATAATGATTAGGAGATGGCTGTTGTTTTTGATTTTGTGAATGTTTTTTCTTTTCTTCCTTTTTAGGGTGGAACTGTGAAAAAATAATTCAAAACCTCTTGATCAGAAGAGCTCTAGTGACTCTTCTTCCCCTCCCTCATTTCAAGCAGGAGGATGCTTTTTCTTCTTAACATTCTCCCCCAGCACTCTGAATTAGAGATTTATTTGCAACGAAAAATCAATTAGTCCTAAATTTATTCATGGATTTCAGGTCCAGCGATCAATGCAAGTCCACTCAGTGGGCTCAAGGGGACCCAGTTCATCCCAGTTAATGTGTCTGAAGGGGAATTACCATTGATGCTGTTTTTTTCCCTTTAGGTCAGAGATCAGATCTCGCTGTCATGGTCTGCGGCAAGTAGGAATGACTTCACCCTACAGCTACCCAAACTGCACCTGGAGACCTTTGCAATGGAGGGGCTCAAGGGCGGGCCAGAGGTGGTAGCATGCCAGGTTAGAGTCTAAATAACATTGTTTGCTACTGAGACATATAGAAAAATAAATTGCACTAACTGGAGAGAATGAAAGCCTCAAAGTATTGTGAATAATTTAAAGGAGATGCAAATAGATGTTTCTTCATTTTTCTTCTATCATGTAACAGTATACTTTACAAAATATTGTTTTTTTCTTTAAAGCCTAGAACTAGCCTATTAAAATAATCCAGAAAAGTGTTTTTACCAAGGAAAAATGTGTTTTATGGCAAAGTACAGTATTAAAAGAAAATACTTTCCTATCAGCAGAGGACAATAAGACACTAGGCTGTTACCTCTTTAAGCAAGTCTCAATTTGTTGCTTTTATTGTTTGAAAATAAGTAATTTTAGAAAAAAAATAAAATAATAAATCACTTTAGTTGTAAACATCAAAAGAGATACCTGAAATATCTCAATATTAATTCCAAAATATATCCAACATTTCTTATGAAGTAATTTAATTTCAGCAAAGCTTAAACTTATCTGTGTTTTCTATTGAAGAGTATTTTACCCTTTAATATTTAGTTTTAGTGAACATTGTAAGATGTGCAAATTGGGTCATTTCATTTATAAAACTTAAAATATCAAATCATAAGAACTCAAATAACTTTAAAGTACACTAATAAACTTATTTTTAGAAACATTCATTTTCGGATGCTGTAGGTATCCTTCTATTTTATGTCACTATTGTATTAATATTATTGTGATCAATTTTTTCCTTAAGGTTATTTTTCTTAATCTGACAAAATGAAATTCAGTGTGTCCTTTTAATGCCCAAAACCTTCATTAAAAAAAGAAAACTATCAACATTATGTAAATTATAGGAAGCATGATATTTCAAAAGAGACTGTCCTTGTTCAATAGCACTCTATTTTTTAGTGTATTTAAAAGGAGAAATATCTCTTAAAACTTAGTGTGTCTTTCACATGTTGAGATTTAAAATAATCTTTTTCATTTTAGTTTATGACCCTGTGGAATTTTAATTTTATAGAAAATTAATGTCAGTGTGTGTGTGGAGCAATGTTAATTTTTTATATGCTCCATATCCTAATTTAATTTGTTATTAGTACCAAATTAATGCTCTACAAGGAAAAAAATACTCATTGCTTCTTTCATTAGATTGTCCAATATGTCTAAAATATATATAATTATAAAAGTAAGCATAAAATATTTTTCTTCTCTGTTATAGGGTAGATTGCTGTACTGTTATTTAAGATGAGATTTAAAATGTGTATTTTAAATTTGATTGTCAGTATTTATGAATTCATCATTACTATGAATACAGTCTGATTTGAGATTTTTCTAGTGGTTGTAAAATAATCCTTTACTTGGCTATTTCAATTCAGAATCTCACAAGGCTTAGTATTTGTCGTAATTTACAAGTAAAGACTTCCTCAAAACTAGATGTTGGTGATTTCGAAAGAGGTTGATTCCCCAAAATGCCCTTTTTGGGGGTTATGATATCTGGGAACAGCAAGAAGGAAATGTAGAGACCCACAGTTTAAACTACTGTCTTTTCCAGGTTCTAATAAAAATATTAGACTCCCACCTGGATAAGTTCCATTGATATGCTGTAATATATATTGTAGTTTAGTAGTATACATCATAGTTGGAAAATTAGGAGACATTAGTGATAATAATAGTACCTACAGTTTCAGCGAACACTTAACTATGTACCAGGTACCATGCTTAGCTCTTTGAATATATCATCTTATTTAATTCTCACAATGAGCCTGTCAAATAAATGGCACTATCTCCATTTTACACTTCACCACCACCACCACAACAAACACAACGGGTAACTCCTCAGATCAACAGCAAGGAAAAGGCAGAGCCTGGATTTAAGTCTAATAGTATTTGACTGCTAAGCTGAATTAATAAATCTGATACTAAAAAATGTAGACACATATGTTACATGGTAAGAGTAAAACCTTAGATATCTATAATGGAATTTTTCTTCCATTTGTAAAAAATTATGCATCTATGTATGATATAGATCATAGTTTATGCTGTATTGTAGACTAATTATGGGCTAATAGTATGAAACTCTAATTTCACCTTTTTTTTTGCAGTATAAAAATATGTGCATTTATACTAAGTGTGGCTACTGACTTGGGAATTCAGTAGTTGTTTAACTTTGTACTCTGACTCTGTACTGATGAAGTGGACTATTCAGAGTTCTCAACCTTTGATTATGAAGAGAGGATCACTCAGCAGGGTGTGGTGGTATATGAACCATTTGCCCAACTTACTCAGCTGTCATTTACAGAAGTAGGAGCTGAAGTTTTCTGTCTTTTTCAATGGGGGCAAACTTTATTATAGGTATAATCCTGAATGGAAAGAGACCAGTGAGCATTATTACTGAGTGAAGAGGATGAGTGGAGTACCTTTGTTCTCTGAACCTGGAAGAGCATGTGACTGATGCTTTTCTATGGAGAAAACCTCAGTTCAACTTGTTTCTGAGATCTGCTAGCTTTCCCCTCCAACTTTCTTAGCTGAAACAAACAAACAAACAAACAAACAAAAAGTAATGCTACTGATCCCCGAGACTTGCAGTGGGATTGAATACAGCAATGGATGTAAAGTGTAGTACAGTGCCTAGCCTAGAGAAAGCAGACAATGCAGGGTGGCTGTTGTTATTGCAGCCGTTATAAGGCCCTTGTAAAGATGAAGTAAGCAACAGTAGCTTGTTTTCATTACGTTTAAGGTGTATGTATGTTTTATTTTGAGGAATCGTTATTTAAGATCTTTTTTTTTCTGTATCTTTCCATTTAGTTTCTTCACCCTTCCCTGTTTCTTCAAAAACTTTAAATAATTTTGATCAAGCACAGCCTACCATAGCTTCTTATTTACTTTTCCATGGCATAGGATGTTCCAATGAGGCCATGTCTCCAGTGAAACCTTTCGTTTAAGTTCCTGCAGCAAATTTAAACCTATACTAGTGTTTTATCTTCCAAATAACAGCAAATAGGCTTTCATTATAATAGTGAGAAGAATAAAAACACCCCTATTAGACCAATTAGCTTTAAATGAAAAGTCCAGTGTAGTGTGAATGCAGAGAACTTTGCAATAAAAAAGATTCTACTTATACTTTATAAAGATAATACCTATTATTCATTATCTTATACTCTGAATTACAATTTTTCAATAATTATGATATGTACTATTGGTAATAACTGGCAAATATTAGTAGGCATCCAGTAAATATTTGTGTTTTCATTTCGATTCAGTAGTAAACAATAAATAATAATTAAACAGTAACAATAGCTAATATTTGTTGAGTGCACAAAAATCAATCCAAGATGGATAAAAGACTTAAATGTAAATCCTTAAACTATAAAAACCCTGGAAGCCAACCTAGGTAATACCATTCTGGACATAGGAACCAGCAAAGATTTCATGATGAAGGTGCCAAAAGCAATTGCAACAAAGACAACAAATGACAAATGGGATCAAATTAAATTTAAGAGCTTCTGTACAGCAAAAGAAACTATCAACAGAGTAAACAGACAACCTACAGAATGGGGAAAAATATTGCAAACTGTGCATCTGATGAAGGTTTAATGTCCAGCACCTATAAGGAACTTAAATTTACGAGAAAAAACCAACCCCATTAAAAAGTGGGCACAGGATATGAACACATACTTTTCAAAAGAAGACATACACACAAGTTAACAGGAGTATGAAAAAAAAAACTCAACAACATTGCTGATCATTAGAGAAATGCCAATCAAAACCACAATGAGATACCATCTCACACCAGTCAAAATGGCTATTATTAAAAAGTCAAAAAATAACAGATGCTGATGAGGTTGTGGAGAAAAGGGAATGCTTATACACTGTTGGTGGGAGTGTAAATTAGTTCAGCCCTAGTGGAAAGCAGTGTGGCAATTCCTCAAAAAGCTGAAAACAGAACTACCATTTGACCTAGCACTCCCATTACTGAGTATGTACCCAAAGGAAAACAAATTGTTCTACCATAAAGACACATGCAGGCATATGTTCACTGTAGCACTAGTCACAATAGCAAAACATGGACTCAACCTAAATGTCCATCCATGGTAGAATGGATAAAGAAAATGTGGTACATATACACCATGGAATACTATACAACCATAAAAAGAACGAGATCATGTTTTTTGTGGGAACATGGATAAAGCTGGAGGCGATCATCCTCAGCAATCTAACACGGGAACAGAAAACCAAACACCACATGTTCTTGTAAGTGGGAGCTAAATGATGAGAACACATGGACACAAAGAGGGGAACAATTGGGGCCTTGAGTCTGGAGGGTGTGGGAGAAGGGAGAGGATCAGAAAAAATAACTATTGAGAACTAGGCTTAGTACCTGGGTGACAAAGTAATCTGTACAACAAACCATTGTGACATGAGTTTACCTATATAACAAGCCTGCATATTTACCTCTAAACCTAAAATAAAAGTTAAAAAAAATCATTTGAAATTCTGCCATTCAGACACAACCAATGTTAACATTTTGGTATATATTCTTCAAGTTATTTTTTAGCCATAAATACAAACTCACATGCACATATTATTTATATTTAATACACCTATATATATTTAAACAACAATTGGGCCATACAGTTTTTTTCACTTTTTTTCCTTTTTATTGGTATGTAATAGTTGTACATGTTTTGGAGGCACATGTGATATTTTGATACCTATATACAATGTGCAATGATCAATCAGGGTAATTTGGTTATCTGTCCCCTCGAATGCTTTTCTTTATGTTGGGCATATTACAATTCTTCTCTTTTAGCTATTTTGAAATATACAATAAATTATTGTTAATTATAATTTCCCTATTATACTATTGAATATTAGAACTTATACCTTCTAGCTAACTATTTTTGTACTCTTTAACCAACTTCTCTTGGGCCATACTATTTGTGTGCATTGTTTTTTAAACCTAATAACATATCTTTCTTGTCAGTAATTACAGATTTATGTAATTATTTTTGATGCCTGAGTTGTGCTCTGCTACATGGCTCTACCACAGTATATTTTGTCAGTTTTCTGTTGATGGATATTTGAAGTTATTTTGAGTTTTTGGTTATTATGAATAAGGTGGTAATTACTATCCTCTTGCATACATTTTTTCATTATTCTCTTTTTTCCCCTGGAATAAATTAGTAGAATGATTGCATCAAATATTATGTGTACTCTAAGGCTTTTAATACACATTCTCCAATTGCCCCTGAAAAAGATAAGATGGTTCCACTTTACCCCCTGCAAGACTTCTATTAGCCCTTTAATTTTCTTTTTAAAGTGTGGTTCTTTAATTTCTGATAATAGAAGAAAGTTTTTTCCTCTTTTTATAATTTTGGTCTTCCCTGAATTTGCAGACATCCATTCTTACTAGGTCCTTATTTTACACAGAGTTGCTAAGTTTTAGTCTAAGAGATTCTCCTTGGTGAAGTAAAGAGGATACATTTTGTGGCAGCTGCTTGTCTCACAGATTTTCTTTTTCATTGCTTTCTAAGTCCATGACTGTGCTTTGAATGTTTGAGATTATTGGAATTGGTAAGTGACATCATTTTAATAGTAAGTTATCAAAAAGATTTTGGATTATCCAAAGTTGTTGTCTATAGGAGTTTGTGCAATTCTCTTTATTCTTTTACATTTTTTACTTGCCAATTGATAAATTGTAGTTGTGTATATTTACATGGTACAGAGTGATCTTATGGCTTATGAATACAATGTGCAATAATTAAATCATGCTAATGAACATATCTGTCACTTCCAATTCTCTCTCTCTCTCTTTTTTTTTTTTTGAGACGGAGTCTCTCTGTTGCCCAGGCTGGAGTGCAGTGACGTGATCTCGGCTCATTCCAACCTCCCGCAACCGGGTTCAAGCGAATTTCCTGCCTCAGACTCCTGAGTAGCTGGGACTGCAGGCATGTGCCACCATGCCCGCCTAATTGTTTTTTTTTTTTTTTTTTTTTGTAATTTTAGCAGAGACGAGGTTTCACCGTGTTGGCCAGGCTGGTCTCGAACTCCTGACCTCAAGTGATTCACCCGCCTCAGCCTCCCAAAGTGCTGGGATTACAGACATGAGCCACCACACCCAGCCCAAAATAAAAATATCTTTTACATTGAAAAATATTAAATAATTTTTTAATTGGGTTGTGGAATCGAAAATAATGTTGGAATGTCACCTTCTTCAAAGGTTTGTAAATACTACCCAGAGAAGAGCTATTTGTTAGGGAAATACAATTAGCTGGCAAAGTCATATAGTTCATCTGAGAATAAACGAATTTGATGGAAAAATACCATCCTTTGTCTCATCTAGCTACTTGACAGGTATAGACTCTAGTTCTTCAGAATGTAAATTGTGCCAATGAGCAATCTAAATGTCCTAGATATGGGGCCTAACTTGAATGTGAATATAAGAAGTAGTGAATTTGGTGCTTTTTTCGGTTGTTGTTGACAGTAGGAAGAGTTTGCTACTTGGTACTTGAAATTTTAGAATTCTACTCTGAAGATTTCATATTGCACAAGTAGAACTAAAATTTCTTCAAAATTTCCTGAGTAGAGCCCTAAGCAATGCTAAACAAAACAAAGTATTACAAGAAATGAAATACTAAGGTGCGTAGAAGAACTTATTATTTTTCTCTTTTTGTTTCTTTTTCTCATTAAGAAATTTGATGCATAATAGATGTACATGGTTTTAGGGTACATGTGATAATTTAATACATTCATATAATTTGTAAAGTTCAAATCAGTGTGCTTGGGATATAGATCCATCACCTTAAATATTTGTCTTTTCTTTATATTAGAACCATTCAAATTCTTCTAGCTATTTAAAAATACAAAATAGATTATTGTAAACTGTAGTTACCCTACTGATCTAACACTAGGTCTTATTATTTCTATCACACCATATATTTGTACCCATTAATCAACTTCTCTTCATCCCCTTCTCAACCACTACCCTTCCTGGCCTCTGGTAACCACCAATCTATATATCTTCATGAGAGTCACCTTTTTAGCTCCCACATATGAGTCAGAACATGCAATATTTGTCTTTCTGTGCTTGGCTTATTTCATTTAATGACCTGCAGTTCTATCTGTGTTGCTGCAAATGATAAGATTTCATTCCTAATTCATTGTGTATATCTATATCGCATTTTCTTTATTCATTTATTAACGGCCACTTAGGCTGGTTCCACATTTTGGCTGTTGTGAATAATGCTGCAGTAAAAATAGGAGTACAGATGCCTTGTGATGTATTTCTTTCTTTTGTACACATACCCAGTAGTGGAGTTACTGGATCATGTGGTAGTTCTATTTTTAGTTTTTTGAGGAAACTCCATACTGTTCTCCATAGTGCCTTACTAATATACATTCTCCCTAATAGTGTGCGAGGATTCTCCTTTCTCCATATTTTTACTGGCATCCATTATTGCCTGTCTTTTTAATATAAATTTTAACCGGGGTGAGATGATAGCTCATTGTGGTTTTGATTTGCATTTCTGTGATAGTTAATGATGTTGAGTATTCTTTTCATATACTGTTGACCATTTGTATGTTTTCTTTTGAGAAATATCTATTCAGATCTTTTTGCCACTTTTAAATTAAATTATTTGTTATTTTGCTATTGAGTTGTTTGAGCTCCTTGCATATTCTGGTTGTTAATCCCTTGTCAGATGGACGATTTGCGAGTGTATTCTCCCATGCTGTGGGTTGTCTCTTCACTTTGTTGATTGCTTCCTTTGCTGTGCAGAAGCTTTTTAACTTGATGTAATCCCATTTTTCTATTTTTGGCTTGGTTGTCTGTGTTTTTAAAGTCTTAAAAAGAAAATCTTTGCCCAGATCAGTGTCCTGGAGTGTTTCCCCAGTGTTTGGAAAAACTTATTTTAAGGGCTTGTTGCAAAGTGAGATAACAATAGTGATCTTAGTTTTAATTCAATATCAGTATAAATAGCATTTAAACGTCGGTTATAGTCATTGTGAGTTATGCCTTGTCATCCTCAATCTGTATCTTCTCCTAAGATTTTAGTGTTTCATGACTGGGAAAACTGCTTGATAATTAGCTTTGCGTATCAGCTATTACTAGAGCAGTTTTCGTATTATCCCATAAGTCTTTTCACCATCCTTTTCTCCCATTATTCCTCCTTCTCTTTCTGTGCCTGTTGTCTGATTTCTAGGTTTTTTATTTGTTTGTTTGATGGTGGTGGAGGGGGGATGCATCAGATTTTTAGGACAGAATCTTGAGGGTAAAAATATAAAATTATACTCTTTTTGTTCAGATATTTTACCAGCCGATAAAAGCCAGCCTGCCTGCCTGCCTTCCTTCCTTCCTTCCTTCCTTCCTCCCCTCCCCTCCCCTTCCTTTTCTTTTGAGACAGGATCTTCCTCTGTTGCTCAGGTTAGAGTGCAGTGGTGTGATCATAGCTCACTGCAGTCTCAAATGCCAGGGCTCAAGCAATCTTCCTGCCTCAGCCTGCTGAGTACCTAGGACCACAGGTGCGCACCACCATACCCAGGTAATATTTTTAATTTTTTGTAGATAATATTTTATTTTTAAATTTTTTTGTAGAAACACAGTCTCGCTATGCTGCCCAGACTGGTCTGAAACTCCTGGCCTCAAGCTATCCTTCCATCTCAGCCTCCCAAAGTATTGGGATTACCGGCATTAGCCACCATGGCTGGCTCTTTTATTTTAAAAGATTTATTGTAATAAGGTATTTTCTGTATATCCATTATTAAAACATAGTCTTGCACACTAAGGTAGTGCCTTCTGTCTCTCAACTCCTTCTGATAGGTAGAAGGAGTTCTATAAAGTTTTCTTTTTAATACTAGCAGATGAGATATCTTACATCTTGCATCCTGGGTTGTATTTCAGACCAGTGTGTTTGTTTCTTGTTTTTTCTTGTTGAGATTTTTATCTCTCTTTGCCTTTTAAAAAGGACAAGATGACATTTAAGGGCAAGTAATTGCATCCGTGTAAAGCTTCTGCTACAGTTTTAAAGAATCTTATAACTTTGTACTCCTTAATTCAGCTTAATGTATGTATGAATTATATACCTTGCGGGAATGATCTGGTATAACTGATCTGAACTGAGATTAAGGAAAATCTGGTAGGACTTCTTTAAAAACAAGGTAGATTTATAAATTCATTTTTCTAGTTTTGTTGTTTATTATTCCTTTTCTTAATAGGAAAAAATAATTAGGAAGGAAATAAAATCATAGCAGAATCAGTATTACAGAAGGTTGAAGCAGTTATGCAACTTTGCTAGAAAGTAGTAGGACTGGCAATAAAGCAGTTGAAATCCTTCCCCCTGTAGACACAAATTACACCAGTAGCAGGGATTCTCATTATTTTATACAATTGTTTTCTTTTTGTGTGTATGTGGAATACAACATTGTCTTTTCTTGTGAAGGATGAGTATGTATTACAATTCTTGTGGTAGCACTGGATAGAATTCCAGTGCTACTGGAGTTCTATCCTAGAATCACTATTTTCTGTGACCCCTTGACCCTGAATTCTTCCAGCATGTCAGTTTCCTCATCAGTAAAATGGAGGTGATATTACCTGGTCTGGTGCATCTTTGGGTGATTATGAGGATCCTATAACATGTATGAAAGAACTTAGAAAATTAAATCGCACTAATAAATGTTTTTGAAATAATTTTTCTTTAAATATTTGCCATATAAACATCCCTTGGTCAGGTATATATAGATTGCTTAGTTTTCAATTTCAGGTTAATATTTTTACCCCTTTAAAAGACAAGAAAGTAAATCAGATTATATGGAAATTGGCAACCATAAGTCTGTGCAATTTACTGTATGTCATTGAGTTATGTTGATTAGAATGGGAATTATTTTCTTAACAGCATAGTATTTGGAAAAGTTGAAATAATTTCATTTTCTGGGGAAGGAGTCAGCAAGGTAGTATTAGAAAAAGCTTGTGTGGAGAGTCAGAATGCCTGGATTGAAGTTCTGGCCCTGTAATTTAACCACCTCGGTAAGTCACTCAACAGCACAGAGCCACTGTTCCCTCATCTGTAAAAGGTGACAGTGACGCCAGTCTTGCTTTTGCTCACAGGACTGTAGGGAGATCAGATGAGATAATGTGCATGTGAAGGTGATTTTCACATTAAAAAATGCTATATTAGTAAAAGCTAAGTTGGACTGAACTATAAAAGGCCTAAGGTCAGGAACGGTGACCCAACTATATTGAGAAAGGTTTTAGTGTTTTGACTTTTGGAGGTTTTTGATTGATGACCTGTTCAACATGTGCCTTCAAAAAAATAATATGTTCAACAACTTTAGTGTTTCCTTCCAGTTAAGTATACAGCCATTGCCAAGACCCAGGTGGTAAATTCATGCCATATACTACTATTTAAATAATCATATAAAGTAATGCAAACATTACTACTGTTTCCATATTTTGAAACATTTTGTCACCTTTTCATCATTTAATTTTGGGATGATTTCAAATTCCAACTCAAGTGGTGACAGTATTTGCTTTTATGTGAAATGTTTGAGATGCAATTAGTAAAAAACAAAAATGACAAAACGTATCAAAGTACAGTACAGAATTTTGTTTTTTGTTACAACTCTGAGTTCTAGGTGGCCCTAAGTAGAAAAGCTGCTGACATGATGTGAACATAATTTCTTTGTCATTAATGTTAAGAGGCAAAAACTAAATTCTAAACTTGATGCTTTATCTTTTTGTTCATTTTAAGGCCACTTTTTAAATATAACTAGAACTATTATATCTTTTAATACTTATTATTGAGAGAACGAAGCCTGTGAGCAGTTGAACTTTCAAGTGCTATAACCAGAATTGCTATTCATTTTAGCTACTTGGACAAAAAACAGTGTTTGATGGACTGCCTAGGTGAAGACCTGGAAAAGGAAGGGTTATCTACAAATGAGTGAGTTTATTATGGCTTAGTGATTTGCTGATTGATTTCATTTGCTGTCAGTTAAGGCTCTCTTAATGTCAGTTTTCTTTGCATAATGCCTTGAAATGAAGACTGATGAAGTTCTTCAAATTGATGCCGCTTATATAAACTGACCCCGATTTGCCCTATTCTGCATGACAACTTAAGTGACAGCAGTTAGAAGAAAATACAGCAATGAATATGCAACTTAAGGATTAAGGAAGATGCAGTAAATCAGTCTAAAGCTAAGTACAATGATAATTTCTTGTAATAATTCCACAGATGCCTTACATTTGTTAAACAGACTGTTATTACTCTCAAATACTCAAATATATGTTTTCATTATATACATGTATTTGAATTGAAGAAGAGAACTAAAAGTTATTCCAACAGAGATCCTAATTCTTTTCCCTCTTATTTAAACTTGGAATTATCAAAATCACAGTTTTAAAAATATTTTATTTAGGATATCCACATGCAAAAGAATGAAATTGGACCTTGGTCTTACAACATGCACAATAATCAACTCAAAATGGAGTACACAATGTTAGAAAGACCTAATGCCATAAAACAAAGGAAACAACAAAATGGAAAGGCAACTTGTGGAATAGGAAAAACTATTTATAAACTGTATATCCAGTAAGGAGTTTAATATCCAAAATATATAAGGAACTCATACAACACAATAACTTTTTTAAAAAATGGGCAAAGGACCTAAAAAGACATTTTTCCAAAGAACACATGCAAGTGGCCAATAAGTAAAAAGGTGTTCAACACCGCTAACCATTAGGGAAATGAAAATCAAAACCACAATGAGATATCACATCACAACTGTTAGGATGGCTATTACCAGAAAGTCAAAAGACAACAAGTGTTGGCAAGGATGTAGAGAAAAGCGAACCTTTGTGCACTATTGGTGGAAATGTAAATTGGTATAGCTATTATGGAAAACAGTATGGAATTTCCTCAAAAAATAAAAATAGAACTACCATATGATCCAGCAATCCTACTTCTGGGTATACATCAAAAGGAAATGAAACCGTTGTCTTGAAGACATGTCTACACTTCCATGTTCATTGTAGCATTATTCACAATAGCCAAGATATAGAAACAACCTAAGTGTCCTCTGATGAATGAATGGACAGAGGAAATGTTTATACACACACACACACACACACACACACACACCCAGAGGAAAATTCAGCTTTAAAAAATAAAGGAAATCCTGCAATGTGCAACAACATATATGAACATGGAGGACATTATGCTAAGCGAAATAAGCCAGACGCAGAAAGAAAAATACTGCATGATTCCATTTATACGTAGAATTTTTAAAAATCTTACTCACAGAAACAGAGTAGAAGGTGGTTGGGGGTGGTTGGGGGAATGAGGAGATAATTGGTCAAAGGGTAAAAACTTTTGGTCATAAGATGAATAATCTCTGGAGATCATGGTACAGTGCTATATAATGCATTGTGTACTTGAAATTTGCTAAGAGAGTAGATCTTCAGTATTCTCACCACATACACAAAAGAGGGTAACTCTGTGAGGTGATAGATATGTTAATTAGCTTGATTGTGGTAATAATTTCACAAAGTATATATATATTAAATAATCACATTATATCCCTTAAATATATACAAACTTTATTTGTCAAAAAAATATTTCATTTGAGTTTGCATAGTACTGTATATTAAGTAACCAGTGAAATGTAGAGTAATTTTAGAAATGGTTTAGAAAGTACTTTTCAGTTTTGGAGCCTTCTAGTAACAGTAGTAGGTTTTTTTCCCCCTTTTCCCACCAAAAGTCTCATAGTGCTGACTAAAAGGAGGCATAAGTTTTTGAGGGAAGACTAACTTAAGAAGTAACTCACTGAAGAAAACATTAAAAGGTAAACTGTGGCATATAAAATTTTAAGGTATTTGTTTGAGTGAACAGCAATTCATGAGTTGTACAGCTCCAGGCCAGAAGTAGTTTGGAGGTCCTGTTGAGAGAACGCACTCAAATTTCTACACGTTTGTAGACACTAAGCCAAAACCCAAATCAACTCTTTATCTGAAATAAAAGATTGTTGCTTAATTCATTTATTTTCAAAGGAAAAATAAAAATGAAAAATTAAATAAATTCTCATAATAATTTCATTTAGAAATAGTATTATTATTTTTCTTAACAAAGTACCCTTTAAAAAAAAACTCAAAAGACTTGCCAATACTAGCCAATCAAATCCTTCCTTCAATTTTAGAAAACAGGAATTGCATGTAAACAAGTCTGGGCCAACTCTTACAACCTGCTTTCTATATCCTCCTCCTCTGTTCTCCATCTTTCCTAGTTCTTTGAGCCCCAGTGGTCAGGCTGAGCTGAGTATGAGAGAGGGCCCTCAAGAGGCCCTGGAAGCATATTCCCTCAGCTCCTAAATGAAGTCTCCATAAGGTGACCCTAGGAGACTGTGCAGCGTGACTGGCCGCTTGTTTTATCCCAGACTCTTTTCCAGGTAGAAACACTTACCTCTATGGAGATATTTGCTCTGAACAACATGTTTCTTTTCTTGCTGATTATTAGTATGGACTTAAAAAAATAAGAGAAGGTAACACATTTTTAAAGGAGTACTACTTAACTTTTAAAACTTGATGTGATTTTCACATCCTGACTTAATTTTTTTTGGTTGCAATAATTAGAAGAATAATTGGAAGCCATACATATATCTTTTGATTGATGACCTGTTAAACATGTGCCTTCAAAAAAATAAAATGTTCAACAACTTTAGTGTTTCATTCCAGTTAAGTATATAGCCATTCCAAGACCCAGGTGGTAAATTCATGCCATACACTACTATTTAAATAATTACATAAAGTAATGCAAACATTTCTACTGTTTCCATATTTTGAAACATTTCGTCACCTTTATTTACACCATTTAATTTTGGAAAGATTTCAAATTCCAGGGGTATATGTTGACTTGTAGCTCCTCTGAAACTAGCAGAATATCATACCAGAAATTTACACAATGAATTGTTAAACAATTTAGTAGAATTGTTTCGCTTATTATATGGATTTGTGTATGCTCTAGTAAAATATGACCCTATAGACTTAAGCATATATTGCAACAACTCCGAATGATATAATTTTGTTATAACACAGGAGTTATTTTTCATCATTCAGACCCAAATCCCACATCTGAAATTCCACACTCCAGAATGCTCTGAAACTGGTAACTTGAAGGCAAAACCTGACCTGCCCTAATTTTGTGGCAAAACCTGAGAAATATGTTTTTGATTAAAGGGTGCTATTCCAGATCTTGATGAGCTTGATGAGAGTGTTATTTAATATATGGTATATGCCTCATTTTTCTTTTCTTTTTTTTTTTTTTTTTTTTTTTTTTGAGACAGGGTCTTACTTCTGTCATCCAGACTGGAGTGCAGCAGTGCGATCTCAGCTCACTGCAACCTCCACCTCCCAGGTTTAAGCGACTCTCCTGCCTCAGCCTCCACAATAACTGGGACCACAGGTGTGTGCCACCACACCTGGCTAATTTTTGTATTTTTTTTATGGAGACAGAGTTTTACTGTGTTGGCCAGGGTGGTCTCGAACTTCTAACGTCAAATGATCCACCTGCCTCGGCCTCCCAAAGTACTGGGATTACAGCCCACATTTCTAAAATAGGAAAAATCCTGAACTGAGAAACACATTGGTTCCAAGGGTTTCAGATAAAGGAATGTGAGAATTGTACTAGCATTATAAAACAGGTTCTATGCAAAGGACATATACTGTTGTTTCCATGCATTGTGTCAATGCAATCAAACAAAGGTTTTTTGCTTATAGAGAAGCACATTCAGTCTGTGGGATGGTATATTTGAGTGAATTTTTGCTATCTACTCTCTCTTGCATCTTGTTTTGAGTCATAAAGGAATTGTGTAGTATTTTATGCCACTTGAAAACTCGAAAGACTTCAACAGTTGTGTTATGTGCAAATCAGATAAGGCTCTAATAGGCTTTATCTTGCTTGTGTATAGTACCTGTTTGCAAACTAAAGGCACATTTTCACTCCATGCCAGTAGGAATCCTCTGAGGCATTATTTTTTGGGCCCCTCCCACTTTATGTACTGAAAGCAGAATGGATGAAATGCCTTGACACATAACTTACTTATCTTTTCTTACTCAACATTCTAATGTGTTCTCACTGGTAAAGGAATGCAGATTTTTTGAAGGATCTGGAGAAGCCAGACTCTGCTGGTATTCAGACAATTACTCTAGATAGAGAGAGGAAGTCCTCTTGTTGTGAGTCCAGTGGCTTGGTGGTTCGTATCCTGGATTCCTGGTAGTCCATAGGAGCAACAGGGACTAGAAATGGCTTTGTTTCAAAGTTCTCTGCTTATTCTAGAGAGGAAATAAAAATATCACTTAATAGTATTTAGAGACCAGTGTGAACTAAGATACTGGCTTTAAACCAAAATGGCCAGCTCTGTTGATCATATAGATTTGAATGTGGCTAACATCATTCAGTGACGTACTGAGCACCTACCAAATGTAGGGCATTGCGCTGTACTCTGGGACACAAAGGTAACTCAAACTTTTTTTTTTTTGAGGGGAAAGAGAGAATGTGAAATTTAATATGAAAGTTGAGACTGATATGAAATGAAAGACATGGTTGCCATAGGAGAGGCATAGATAAAAGTACCATTGCTTGCCCTTTAGAGATGAATGAAATTTGTTCTTGCTGGGTGATTAGGAGAGGCTTCATAGAGGAGGTAGCATTTGAGTGGACCTTGAAGTTTATGTGGCTACAAATTCCTTTTCCTATAAAATGCTATTGTCAGGAAATACAAATAGGAAATATCTGGAGTTTGAGTCTCATCCACTAGGTAGCTCTGCAGCAGTGAAGTCTATAGGATGACTTTTAATCTGCAAAATGGGGATTGACCTGGAGGATTGGTAAGGTTTTTTTTTTTTGCAGCTACTGAAACTCTGTGATACTGCAAATAAACTATGGTCTTAGGAGAATTTCATGGCACTCTTATTATTTATTCCTTCACAATGTACAAAATAAATTCATTGCTTTAGTTGAAAATCAGAAGGCACCTGGGAATCAATTTGTCCTTAAAACAAAATGGCTATTTATTAAATATGTGCAATTCTTTGTTTATTAATTATACCTCAATAAACCTGTTTTAAAAACTAAAATGGTAACAATATTTTTTTCAGAGTGATATAGTTTAACATACTTCAATGAATTTTGTTATAGAATAGAGATTATAGGGATTATTGAAGTAGATGATAACCCTGGCTGAAGCATGCAAATTCCCAAACCAATTTGCTGTATTATATCAGAATCAGAGTGGAATCATGGTGATAAAAGGACTGGCTCTTAATAAAGGCATAAAATATTTTCTCTCTTTCTCTCTTTGCCAATTTGCTTTTCTTCAGGT
The DNA here is from genome assembly GCF_000001405.40 of Homo sapiens. Taxonomy (NCBI): domain Eukaryota; kingdom Metazoa; phylum Chordata; class Mammalia; order Primates; family Hominidae; genus Homo; species Homo sapiens. The sequence continues at coordinate 15,891,020 of NC_000009.12, forward strand.
ATATTGAAAATTGTTCATATTATATTTAAGTAAACCACAAACAAGTACATCAAATTCTTATAATTCTAGCTAAATGTGTTTTTAGCACCTCTGTCCAAATTAATATAAAGAAACCAATTATGGATGTACTTTGCTGAAATTCATAAATAAAACTAACAGTTTGATGTGAAAAGAGGAAAGATAAGGCAGTCAAAAATGTGTGGATGTGTGGATGTATTTACTCTGAGTCAGTAGCTTAAATGCACTTTCTGAGGAGCTGTTTGTTTCAAGATAATGGATTGAGCAGTTTTTCTTTGATAGTGAACAACTAGCTCTCAACCCTGCAAGCTATTTATTTCTGTAGCTTTTCTTTTTGCACTAACACTACTCTTTAAGACAATTTTTATATTGAACCCCAAAAGGTCAGAATTAGGATGTGTCTTTGGTCCATTGTCAGATCTGATCAAAGCAGTTGGATCTTTGTAGGTCGATTATGGAACAGACACACGGGAGGTGCTGGTTATCACTTTGTTTAGTCTGCAAAAAGTGTAAATCAGAAAGAGATAATTGAGATAGAAAGTGCCTTTATTAAGCCCCAAATATCTTTTGAAGGGGTTAAATAGGCACTTCAAATATAATCCACATTATTAATGAAATTGAAAGGCTCACTAACTAAAATGAAGAACCATACCAATATTTTATAATCTTAATGTAATCAAGTGGAATAAGTATGTATGGAACTCCTGTTCTTTATTTAACCCTGTGCTTAATAGGTGACTGGGTGAGATGACAGAGAATGAACGAGCATGCAGGGAGGATGAATTAAAAAGAAAGAACCTCAGTGTTACCATTCCTAATTACAAGGAGAACAAAACAAGCACTAATACGGGAATCACTGAGTACCAGCATGTATGCTGGGAGCCTATGGGACGCATGAGGATGGGAAAGGGCCTGAATAGATCACTAACCTTGTTTTGGACCTTTCCCCAATCCCCCATCTTTTTCTTACTAACAAGAGGCATTTGGCTTTTAAAAGGAAATAATCTTTATTAGTGTTTTATCCACTGCGTTTCAATATGAAATTTTAAAATGTTTTATTTCCCCAACTTGAAAAATGTGAATCAGATATAGGATCATGTCTTCTGCAAACAAAGATAATTTGACTTTCTCTCTTTCTATTTGAATAGCCTTTATTTCTTTCTCTTGCCTGATTGCCTTAGCCAGAACTTCCAATACTATGTTAAATAGGCATGGTGAGAGAGGGCAGCCTTGACTTGTGCCAGTTGTCAAGGGGAATGCTTCCAGCTTCTGCCAATTCGGTATGATATTGGCTGTGGGTTTGTTACATATGGCTCTTATTATTTTGAGGTGTGTTCCTTCAATACCTAGTTTATTGTGAGTTTTTAACATGCAGGGATGTTGAATTTTATTGAAGGCCTTTTCTGCATCTATTGAGATAATCATGTGTTTTTTTTCTTTAGTTGTTTAGTTTATGTGATGAATCACGTTTATTGATTTGGTTATGTTGAAGCAACCTGGCATCCTGGGGATGAAGCCAACTTAATCTCAGACCAAACCTTCTTAAGCAACTTCAGCAAAGTCTCAGAGTACAAAATCGGTGTGCAAAAATCACCAACAACAGGCAAGCCGAAAGTCAAATCATGAATGAATTTCCATTCACAGTTGCTGCAAAAAACAAACAAACAAAACCTAGGAATACAGCTAACAAGGGAAGGGAAGGACCTCTTCAAGGAAAACTACAAACCACTGCCCAAAGAAATCAGAAAGGACACAAACAAATGGAAAAATATTCCATGCTCAAAGATAAGAAGAATCAATATTGTGAAAATGGCCTTACTGTCCCAAATAATTTATAGATTCAATGCTATTACCATTAAACTACCATTGACATTCTTCACAGAATTAGAAAAAACTATTTTAAAATTAATATGGAACCAAGAAAGAACCTGAATAGCCAAGACAATCCTAAGCAAAAAGAACAAAGCTTGAGGCATCATGCTGTCTGACTTCAAACTATATTACAAGGCTACAGTAATCAAAACAGCACGGTACTTGTATAAGCACAGATACATAGACTAATGGAACAGAATAGATAATCCAGAAATAAGACCACACACCTGCAACATCTGACCTTTGACAAACCTGACAAAAACAAGCAATGGGGAAAAATTCCCTATTTAGTAAATGGTGCTGGAAGAACTGGCTAGCCATATGCAAAATATTGAAACTGGACCCCTTCTTTACACCTTATACAAAAATTAACTCAAGATGGATTAAAGACTTAAATGTAAAACCCAAAACTATAAAAACCTTAGAAGAAAATCTAGGTAGTACCACTCAGGACGTAGGCATGGGTACAGATTTCATGATGAAGATGCCAAAAGCAATTGGAACTGAAGCAAAAATTGACAAATGGTATCTAATTAAACTAAAGAGCTTCTGCACACCAAAAGAAGCTATCATCAGATTGAGCAGACAACCTACAGAATGAGAGAAAATTTTTGCAATTCATCTGACAAAGGTCTAATATCCAGAGTCTACAAGCAACTTAAACCAATTTACAAGAAAAAACAAACAGCCCCATCAAAAAGTGGGCAAAGAACATGAACAAACACTTCTCAAAAGGAGACATACATGTGGCCAACAAACATATGAAAAAAATCTCAACATCACTGATGATTAGAGAAATGCAAACTAAAACCACAATGAGATGCCATCTTGTGCCAGTTAGAAAGGCTATTATTAAAAAGTCAAAAAACACAGATGCTGGTGAGGTCGTGGAGAAAAAGGAACACTTTTACACTGTTGGTAGGAGTGTAAGTTCAACCACTGTGGAAGACAGCATGGCGATTCCTCAAAGACCTAGAGGCAGAAATACCATTTGACCCAGCAATCCCATTACTGGGTATATACCAAAGATGTATAAATAAATCATTGTTATAATGATACATGCACACGTATGTTCGTTGTAGCACTGTTCACAATAGTGAAGACATGAAATCAACCCAAATGCCCTTCAATGATAGATTGGATAAAGAAAATGTGGTACATACACACCATGGAATACTGTGCAGTCGTAAAACAGAACGAGGTCGTGTTCTTTGTGGGAACATGGATGGAGCTGGAAGCCATTATCCTTAACAAACTAACATAGGAACAGAAAACCAAATACTGCATGTTCTTACTTATAAGTGGGAACTGAATGATGAGAACACATTTACACATGAAGAAGAACAACACATACTGGGGCTTGTTGGGGGCGAGTTGTGGGGGAAGAGCATCAGGAAGGATAGCTAATGGATGCTGGGCTTAATACCTAGGTGATGGGATGATCTGCGCAGCAAACCACCATGGCACACGTTTACCTGTGTAACAAACCTACACATCCTGAACATGTAACCCTAAACTTAAAAGATAAAAAAAGAAAAATATGAGTCATTTTTGCCATTCCTCCCTTCTTATACAGCTAAATGGCTTCCCATCACCCTTAAAATGAACTTCAAACTTCTCACTTTGGCCTTGGGCTCTTCATGATCTGGGCCCTGCTGCTCTCCAACTCCATCACCTTAACATTCTCCATCTCATTCACTGAACTATAGTGACACTGACCTTTTTCCTGTAACTTGAACACAGTGCACATAGGCCCATTTTAGAGGCTTTGTGCTTGGTGGTCCCTTTACTTGGTATCCCTTTCTCTCGAATTTCCACAAGGCTCACTCCTTCACTTCATTTATGTCTTTGCATAAATATCACCTCATTGAAGACTTCTCTCATTCCTTACTAAAATAACCTCCCTTCTCCCTGCATATTTTATAGCCCTGACGTAATATGTTTGGCTGTTATCTATTTGTCACCAAAATGTAAGATCCAACAGGGCAGGGCTTTATATACTTTACCACAGTATCTTCAGCACCTAGAACATAATGGGTGCTCAATAATATTTGTTGAATATGTTAATGAATGAACCAGGATTTTCTCCCTTGTGGCCTTTTTGAGAGGCAGAACTGCATGCAAATTAAGGAAAAAAGTAGGAGGTTTGAAATCAAATGGACCTCTTATTTCCAGCCATGTCACTTTTTAGCAATGTGCCTGTAAGGAAGTTATTTATGAACTCTGAGCCTTGGGACCTTTATATCTAAAATATTGCTAAATAATTCCTGTTTTTCAAGGACTGTGTAAAAAGTAAGAGATTATGTATGCCATCACAGAAAACAGACTATGTTCCTATTTGCATATGCTTTATTTAGTAGAGTCAGAGAATGGCTGCCTTTTGAGTGAGGAGCCTAACCATTCTGCACAGGTGTATCTGTTACTTGCTAAGTGTTAGAGAAAGTCAAAGTAACTGTGATCTCCAAGGAGTGTACTCTTAGATATCAAAAATTCATAAGAACATTTCCACTTATCGAGGCCAGATGTCATGATTTTGACACTTGAGCAGAGGTGGACTGCCTGAATTGTAGCTGACACCATTGCAATAGAATCCAAATATTCACCTATATACTCACACCACCATACTCTGTCTTATCTATATGTCAATAGACTCCAAAGTCTCCAAAGCAGCTCTAATAATCTTCATTGTAAAACTCCTAATGATGTCAAGAGAGAGAAGGTGCTGAAGAAATGATAACCATAATAATATATTTTTGTGTGTGATGGAGAACTAAAGTAATGAAGTTAAGCTTCTTCTTGTTTTCCTATGGCCCACAATTCTGCTTTAGTCACTAACCAAGCAACTTCCAGTTTATCAGACCTTGTTTTGCAACACATTAATAAAGCCAGTGGCAATTCTGTAATTTACCAATATGACAAGCATTTTTCAGGCTGCTTAAATTTCTAAGTCCCTAAAGTAAGGCAATTTATTAGTATTGGTGTTATCATCACTGATCTAGTAGTATCTTCTGAGAAACTCATTCCTCTGACTTTTTCTAAGATTATTGTTGCCTTTTATGGTTTTCATGTCCATATGCAATGGTTTTCACTAGGAACTTTTCTCATTCTCTGATTATTTTGATGACCTCTTTTCCATATTTTTGTAGGAAACCATGTTGGTTTTTTTCTATGTAATTGTCCCTTTGCTCTTTCTTTACAGTAATCTTTAGCATAATAAGGGCAATAATCACCATCAATCTAGAAGCTGCATTTGCCCTTAGAATTAGCCTTGATTCAGTTCTACTTGGAAGTAACATATTTGAAAAAGTATTGGTCTTATTTTTGGCACATTTAAGTTGTATATGCCATGGTTGAGTGGAAGCCAGAAAAAAGTTTAGAGTCTAAACAAGATACAAAGAAAACATCATTTAAAAAAAGTCTGCTGCAAAAGTGTTCTGCAACTCTGCTGAATATGGTTTCCCATGAGACTCCTTCTCATACCTGAAGAGCTATTATATTTACATCCTTCAAAGATGGTGCCAGTAAAAACTTTGAGTGATGGGATAAGTCAAGTCCAGGGCCATTTCAAATGCCAAAAAAGGAAAATGAACTTAGATTCTCTTTTTCTTGTATAAAATAACACCAACAAAACAGCTGAACTACATGCAGCATCACATCAAGTCAGTTTACAATTTTGCCTTCAGTTGTGCTTGACTAAGGAGGTTGCATATTTGCAACAAAATTTTTTCTCTTCTACTGACCTGATACATTTGCTATCCTTATCAATGTCACCATTATCACTAAAAAGCCCTTCAGTATCTGTGTATACACTGCATTCAGTATCTAGTTACACATTGTTTTTACCATAGCCTGTAATAGTCATATACAATTTTAACTGAACAGTGGTGGCCCAGACCAGTCTATAAAGGAATAAAATTCTTGTATATGTACACAAACCCTAATACATGTAGGACCGAATATGGGCTATCCAGAAAACTTCTTATAAATAACGAAGGGAGAGGAACTTGGTTCACTAAAATCCTAGTTTTTATATAAAAGAAAGGTCATTTTTTTCTGTCAGATAATTTTCCGGGCAGTGCAAGATGAAAGCCTTCCCCATCTTAGTAGTTAAAATGGAAATGGAATATAATGTCTCTGAGTCCCATTCCTTCTATACATATATCCAGCATGTATAGATCTCATTCAGAATTAGAATTTATGAGTTAGATGAGCTAATCCTATGTGGGCAGGATTTGGGATATCACTGTCTTGGTATTTTGCTTGTCAAGTCCTTTACTGATGCTAACAGGTCCTTTTAGTCAGGCTGCTGAGAGATACATAGCACATTATCATTTTACATGTATAAGTTAATCGAGTATACCAGAAGTTGTTTTCCTTTTTTCCAAGTCATCTATTGTGTGGATAATAGATGATTTGCTATAATTTCTAAGCTTAATTTTTTCCCATTAAAAAAATCTAAGTCTTCTTCCAAATTATGTATGTTTTTAGCATCAAAAGATGTTTTGATGGAAGTGTGGAAGTTATATGGCATGCTTTGATAGAATAGAGATTCATTATTTTGTTACAAATGTTTATTGAACAACTACAGAATGAATGAAGTTCCCAAGAAAATATCATTTGAAGTTCTTTTATTTGAAATATTTATTTACATAAACAAAAATCTGTAGCTCAGAGTCAATGCAGAGTAATACTTATTAATGATTGTGAGATCTTTGAAAATCCTGGTGTCATAGCAAAATTCAAAAGGGGTTTGCTTTGTATCTTTTTCAGTTAATAAAGGAGAGAACATGGATCAATAAAAGAGAGAATATGGATTCAATTGTTGTTATATGAATGTTGTAATAAGTTAGCTGTGCACTTTATGAAACTTGGAAAGCCTGGATTAAGTCTACTGATTTCACTGAGAAACAAATAAACAAACATCAACCAGTCCAAATCAAACCAGGAAACTTGGAACACATTGAGTGAACATGGGCTTTGGAATTGGACAGGCATGGATTTGAATCCCAATTCTGCTCTTTATTAACTGGGTGACACTGGACAAGGTACTTAGCATCACTGAACCACAGTTTCTTAGTCTATAAAGATAATATGAGTCTTACAGCATTATTGGAAGGCAGCTATAATCCTGGTGTAACACCAATACACCTACAGGATTATTGTCAGAATTAGAAAAAATACGCAAAGCTTATAACATGGTGTCTGGCCTGCAGTAGCTGTTGTTATAACCAGGGTCCAGGCAAACCCTGGAACATGGGAACTACAGAGGAAGCTGGAAAACCTTTGAGCAAAGATTTGGTAAGAGCATAGGCTTTATTTACTTCCATACATTCTAACTTATTTGGCAATTCCTGATTGTAGAGTGTGGGGTTCACCTCCTTTGGGGCTTACATGGGTTTGCCTTTGAGTGGAGAATTGAGCTGAGTGCATATACCCCTCAGATTACATTGACTCTTTTGAGGCAACAGGCTGCAGAGGGTCTCAGAATAGCTGGTGTTGCTATCACAGTCAGTGAGCAAATATAGACTAGTATCTGATAATCTCTCATGTTGAGTGTGATGAGCAAAATGCTAGGTCGTTTTATTCAAGTATCTGCATAAGAAGTTATGTGCAGAAGACTGGTTGGTCTAGTCCATGCCTTTGCCCGCTAAATCAGTATCATTTAAACAAAATTTTAATGTTTTATTCTCTTCTTGTTTATTTGTTTCTAAAATAAATATAGACATGTCTATAAATTTGTATATCTTCCCTTTTAAATATTAGAATGCTATATATTTGCTTTTTTACCCTTTTATTTTGAAATAATTATAGATTCACAGAAAAGTACAAAAATAGCACAGGGAGGTCCCTGTGTACGCTTTATCCAGCTTTCCCCATTGTTATATCTTACATCAGTTTAGGAAAATGTCAAAACCAGAAAATTGGCATTAGTACAATGGGTAAATACAGTTTTGTGACATTTTTTCATGTGTATATTTGTATAGACACTACCACAATCAAGATACAGAAAGGTACCAACAAAATTCTCTCTCAAGTAACCAGTTTATGGACATATCACCCCCTGTCCTGCCATCATCCCTAACTCATAGCAGCCACTAAATAGTTTCCATTTCTATAAGTTTGTCATTTCAATAATGTAATATAAATGCAGTCATACAGAATGTGACTTTTTGAGTTGGCTTTTTCACTCAGTGTAATGCTCTTGAGATCCATCCAAGTTTTTGCATATATCAATAGTTTATTCCTTTATTTGTCAATATTGATTAATAGTTTATTGGTGACTTGTTTTCGTGGTATGGATGTATCACAGTTTGTTTAGCCATTCATTCACTGAAGGATATTTTGTTGTTTCTGGATTTCGGCTATTACATATAAAGTTGCATTGAACATTTTTATGCAAGTTTCTGTTTGGGCACAAGTTTTCATTTTTCTAGGATAAGTACTGAGGAATGTGATTGCCTAGCTATATGTAAGTTACATTTAATTTTTAAAAAACTGTCAAACTGTTTCCAGAATGACTGCCATTTTTTTCATTCTCACTATGAATCTTTAAGAGATCCAGTTTCTCTGCTTCCTCGCCAGCACTTGGTGTTATCCCACTTTTTTTCTGTTAGCCATTCTGATAGGTGTAGTGATATCTTACTATGGTTTTAAGTTTGCATTTCCCTAGTGCTTAGTGATTTTTGAAAATATCTTTATGTGCCTGTTTGCTATTTGTATATTCTCTTTTGATAAAATTTGCGATTTGTATATTCTCTTTCGTAAAATGTATCTTAGTGCCTTTTGCTCATTTTCTAATTGAATTGTCTTTTTACTGTTGAGTTTTGAGAGTTGTTTATATATTCTAGAAACTATCAGATGTGTGGTTTGCAAATATTTTTTCTCTGTCATTTACTCTTTGTGACAGAATTTTTTTTCATGGCAATAATTTTTAATGAATAGTTTCTGATGAAGTTCAGTTTATTGTTTTTTTCTTTCATTGATCACACTTTTGATTTTGTGTCTAAGAACTCTTTACCAAGCTCGAGATCCCAAAGATTTTTTCATATATTTTCTTCTAAAAGTTTCATAGCTTTATGTTTTATATTTAAATCTATGATCAATTTTGAGTTAGTTTTGGTATAAGGAGTGTTTCAGGCTGCAGTAATCAGAATTCTAAGATGACCCCTTTGTCCTTTCCCATGTTGTACATCTGCTATAAAATTAGTCTTCTCCCCTCGATGGTGGGTGATACCAGTAAATGTAATGGATACCACTCCTGTGATTAGGTTACTCATCAAAAGAGATTGTCCTGGATGGGCCTGACCTAATCAGGTGACTCCTTTCAAGAAGCCAAGGTGTCTGAGAGATGTTCTTCTGAGGGACTGGAGGAAAGCAAACAGCCATGTTGAAAGAGGGCGGTGGGGGCATTTGGCAAGGAGCTGAGTATGCCCTTTAGGGGCAGAGAGTGATCCTGGGTGACAGCCAGCAAGAAAATGGGGACTTCTTTTTCACAATGGCAAGTAAGTGAATTCTGCCAACTTGAATGAGCTTGCAAGAGGACTCTGCTTCTCAGGTGAGATCACAGCTCCAGATGATACCTTGATTTCAGCCTGCTGAGACACCCGAGCAGAGGACCCCACTAACCTATGCTGGACTCCTGGCCCATGGAAATTAAGAGATAATAAATTTGTGTTGTTCTAAGCCTTTAAGTTTCTGGTAATTTGTTATGCAGCATGCAATACAGATTTCAATACCCTAGAGTGAGGTGCTGCTTTTATGCTTCTTTGTAGATGTAGATTTTGATTATTGGAGCTTACATCTGGGTGTGAGGGAAAGAAGTAGGACATACATGCTGTGAGACACAGTGAATAGATAGACTGTCTTCTGGGTTTGGAAGCTTCCTTAGGCTCTGCTCTGCTTTCCTGATTCTAGGGTCCTTACTCATGGTTTTTGTTTCTGGGGACAAACCCAGCTGCTGCCACCCTGCACAGCCCTAAGTACGGGAAGAGTCAACTAGCTCAGTTGCTTCCAGTGTACATCTACAGTTAGTCACCTGATGCCACAGGGGAGTAGTCTCCAAACTTTTTCATAGCACACTCTTATTTTTAAGTCAGCTTCCCTAACATATATACATTCATTCCTTAATAACTTATATATGTGTTGTTATTAAATATGCTCCATAACATAGAAAAAGAAAATTTTAAAGGTATGATTTTTAAAGGTTTTAAGAGAAACATTAAAAAGTAATTATAAAAACTATTGAGAAAATGAAAAAGATCAGTGGTTGCCAGGAGTTAGAGGGGAGCGAGGGATGAATCTGCAGAACACAGGATTTTTAGAGCAGTGAGTCTATTTTGTGTGATACTAATAATAGTGAATACATGTCACTATACATTTGTAAAACCCATAGAATGTCCAACACCAATAGCCGTAATGTAAACTGTGGATTTTGGGTGATAGTGATGTGTCAGCATAGGTTCATTTTTGTTGCAATAAATGTACCACTTTGTAGGAGGGTATTGATATGAAAGAGGGTTTATGTGTATAGGGGCAGAGCATGTATGGGAACTCTCTGTACTTCATGCTCAACTTTTCTGTGAACCTAAAATTGCTCTAAAAATAGTCTATTTAAAAAGTAAATATACCATAAAATCTATCTGTGGACATCCTATAATTTTTTTTATTTTAACTCACTTTGTTGACTATAAATACATGCCATTAATTATACAAGATAATAAATTATACCTTATTTATAAAGTAAGAAATAACATATGTATTCTTTACTATAGTTTGGCACTGATGTCTTCACTTGGTCTATTTGTTAAACATTAATGTGTCCTGTAAGGTACGTTCAAGGAAGAGTGGAAGGCTTTTGCAATGTAGAGGGGCTGAAAGTGGCATCATTACTCATTTATTTACTTTTGTGTTTCAACATGAAAATATGTATGTAACTGTTAAGTGAATCTATATATTAAATTATTTTACATAGTACAGTCTTTATAATAGTTTATAATGAGATGAGAGACTTTAAAATCTTCTCTGTAAAGTTCACTGTTGTGACAGCATGCTTCAAAGTACTCTTGAACTTGTGTAAGAATTATGCAATTTTCTTTCAAAAAAGATGAGGGTTACAAATCTGTAGAACTTTTCTTTGATGGCAAGTGGCTAACAGAAACATTCTAGCTAGAAGATATTAAACACATACTCTGTCACTTCAAGGTAAAGTGACATTTGTAAAAAAATAAAAACTAACTGCTCTGAGTTTTGCAGAGAAAACATTGTAAAATAGTTGTTTGGAAATATTTCCAGAATTATGGACTTTTTTTCTCAAAATGATACAAAGCTATAAAATTCATATATATATATATATGTATATATATATATATATATACACACACACACACACATAAAAATTTCAGAAATGTAATTTTCTAGCCACAGTGTCTTTTGAACTTTTGTTACGAATGTAGAAAGTATTTAATATAAAAGGTTTTTGTTAAAGAATAATTGATTAATTCAGGGAAGTTGGAAATTTTCTAGGCAAAATTTAAATTACAACTTTTGTTTGATTGATAGGTAGTATTGAAACATGAATTCCCTGATTTAGTAAACACAACTGTATTAGGGCATTCTTGCATTGCTATAAAGAAATAACTGAGGTGGAGCCAAGATGGCTGAATAGGAACAGCTCCAGTCTACAGCTCCCAGCATGAGCAATGCAGAAGATAGGTGATTTCTGCATTTCCAACTGAGGTACCGGGTTCATCTCACTGGCGAGTGTTGGAAAGTGGGTGCAGGACAGTGGGTGCAGCGCACCGAGCATGAGCTGAAGCAGGGCAAGGCATCACCTCACCTGGGAAGCACAAGGGGTCAGGGAATTCCCTTTCCTAGTCAAAGAAAGGGGTGACGGACGGCACCTGGAAAATTGGGTCACTCCCACCCTAATACTGCACTTTTCCAACAGTCTTAGCAAATGGCACACCAGGAGATTATATCCTGTGCCTGGCTCAGAGGGTCCTACACCCACGGAGCCTCACTCATTGCAAGCACAGCAGTCTGAGATCAAACTGCAAGGCGGCAGCGAGCTGGGGGAGGGGCGCTCGCCATTGCCTAGGCTAGAGTAGGTAAACAAAGCAGCCGGGAAGCTCGAACTGGGTGGAGCCCACCGCAGCTCAAGGAAGCGTGCCTGCCTCTGTAGACTCCACCTCTGGGGGTTGAGCATTGCCAAACAAAAGGCAGCAGAATCCTCTGCAGACTTAAATGTCCCTGTCTGACAGCTTTGAAGAGAGTAGTGCTTCTCCCAGCACGGAGTTTGAGATCTGAGAACGGACAGACTGCCTCCTCAAGTGGGTCCCTGACCCCCGAGTAGCCTAACTGGGAGGCACCCCCCTAGTAGGGGCAGACTGACACCTCACATGGCCGGGTACTCCTCTGAGACAAAACTTCCAGAGGAATGATCAGGCGGCAACCTTTGCTGTTCACCAATATCCGCTGTTCTGCAGCCTCCACTGCTGATACCCAGGCAAACAGGATCTGGAGTAGACCTCCAGCAAACTCCAACAGACCTTCAGCTGAGGGTCCTGACTGTTAGAAGGAAAACTAACAGAAAGGACATCCACACCAAAACCCCATCTGTACGTCACCATCATCAAAGACCAAAGGTAGATAAAACCACAAAGATGGCGAAAAACAGAGCAGAAAAACTGGAAACTCTAAAAATCAGAGTGCCTCTCCTCCTCCAAAGGAACTCGGCTCCTCACCAGCAACGGAAGAAAGCTGGATGGAGAATGACTTTGACAAGTTGAGAGAAGAAGGCTTCAGACGATCAAACTACTCCGAGCTAAAGGAGGAAGTTCGAACCCATGGCAAAGAAGTTAAAAACCTTGACAAAAGATTAGACGAATGCTAACTAGAATAACCAATGCAGAGGAGTCCTTAATGGACCTTATGGAGCTGAAAACCATGGCACGAGAGGTACGTGACGAATGCATAAGCCTCAGTAGCCGATTTGATCAACTGGAAGAAAGGGTATCAGTGATGGAAGATCAAATGAATGAAATGAAGTGAGAAGAGAAGTTTAGAGAAAACAGAATGAAAAGAAACAAACAAAGCCTCCAAGAAATATGGGACTATGTGAAAAGACCAAATCTACATCTGATTGGTGTACCTGAAAGTGACGGGCAGAATGGAACCAAGTTGGAAAACACTCTTCAGGATATTATACAGGAGAACCTCCCCAATCTAGCAAGACAGGCCAACATTCAAATTCAGGAAATATAGAGAATGCCACAAAGATACTCCTCGAGAAGAGCAACTCCAAGACACATAATTGTCAGATTCACCAAAGTTGAAATGAAGGAAAAAATGTTAAGGGCAGCCAGAGAGAAAGGTCGGGTTGCCCACAAAGGGAAGCCCATCAGACTAACAGTGGATCTCTCGGCAGAAACTCTACAAGCCAGAAGACAGTGGGGGCTAATATTCAACATTCTTAAAAGAATTTTCAACCCAGAATTTCTTATCCAGCCAAACTAAGCTTCATAAGTGAAGGAGAAATAAAATCCTTTACACACAAGCAAATGCTGAGAGATTTTGTCACCACCAGGCCTGCCCTAAAAGAGCTCCTGAAGGAAGCACTAAACATGGAAAGGGACAACCAGTACCAGCCACTGCAAAAACATGCCAAATTGTAAAGACCATCGAGGCTAGGAAAAACTGCATCAACTAACGAGCAAAATAACCAGCTAACATCATAATGTCAGGATCAAATTCACACATAACAATATTAACCTTAAATGTAAATGGGCTAAATGCTCCAATTAAAAGACACAGACTGGCAAATTGGATAAAGAGTCAAGACCCATCAGTGTGCTGTATTCAGGAAAGCCATCTCACGTGCAGAGACACACATAGGCTCAAAATAAAAGGATGGAGGAAGATCTACCAAGCAAATGGAAAACAAAAAAAGGCAGGGGTTGCAATCCTAGTCTCTGATAAAACAGACTTTAAACCAACAAAGATCAAAAGAGACAAAGAAGGCCATTACATAATGGTAAAGGGATCAATTCAACAAGAAGAGCTAACTATCCTAAATATATATGCACCCAATACAGGAGCACTCAGATTCATAAAGCAAGTCCTTAGAGACCTACAAAGAGACTTAGACTCCCACACAATAATAATGGGAGACTTTAACACCCCACTGTCAACATTAGACAGATCAACGAGACAGAAAGTTAACAAAGATATCCAGGAATTGAACTCAGCTCTGCACCAAGCAGACCTAATAGACATCTACAGAACTCTCCACCCCAAATCAACAGAATATACATTCTTCTCAGCACCACACTGCACTTATTCCAAAATTGACCACATAGTTGGAAGTAAAGCACTCCTCAGCAAATATAAAAGAACGGAAATTATAACAAACTTTCTCTCAGACCACAGTGCAATCAAACTAGAACTCGGGATTCAGAAGCTCACTCACAACCGCTCAACTACATGGAAACTGAACAACCTGCTCCTGAATGACTACTGGGTACATAATGAAATGAGGGCAGAAATAAAGATGTTCTTTGAAACCAACGAGAACAAAGACACAACATACCAGAATCTCTGGGACACATTCAAAGCAGTGTGTAGAGGGAAGTTTATAGCATTAAATGCCCACAAGAGAAAGCAGGAAAGATCTAAAATTGACATCCTAACATCACAATTAAAAGAACTAGAGAAGCAAGAGCAAACACATTCAAAAGCTAGCAGAAGGCAAGAAAAAACTAAGATCAGAGCAGAAGTGAAGGAGATAGAGACACAAAAAACCCTTCAAAAAATCAATGAATCCAGGAGCTGGTTTTTTGAAAAGATCAACCAGATTGATAGACTGCTAGCAAGACTAATAAAGAAGAAAAGAGAGAAGAATCAAACAGACACAATAAAAAATGATAAAGGGGATATCACCACCAATCCCAAAGAAATACAAACTGCCATCAGAGAATACTATGAACACCTCTACGCAAATAAACTAGAAAATCTAGAAGAAATGGATGAATTCCTGGACACATACACCCTCCCAAGACTAAACCAGGAAGAAGCTGAATCTCTGAATAGACCAATAACAGGCTCTGAAATTGAGGCAATAATTATTAGCTTACCAACCAAAAAAAATCCAGGACCAGATGGATTCACAGCCGAATTCTACCAGAGGTACAAGGAGGAGCTGTTACCATTCCTTCTGAAACTATTCCAATCAATAGAAAAAGAGGGAATCCTCCCTAACTCATTTTATGAGGCCAGCATCATCCTGATACCAAAGCCTGGCAGAGACACAACCCAAAAAGAGAATTTTAGACCAATGTCCTTGATGAACATCGATGCAAAAATCCTCAATAAAATACTGGCAAACCAAATCCAGCAGCACATCAAAAAGCTTATCCACCATGATCAAGTGGGCTTCATCCCTGGGATGCAAAGCTGGTTCAACATACGAAAATCAATAAACGTAATCCAGCATATAAAAGAACCAACAACAAAATCCATATGATTATCTCAATAGATGCAGAAAAGGCCTTTGACAAAATTGGACAACGCTTCATGCTAAAAACTCTCAATAAGTTAGGTATTGATGGGACTTATCTCAACATAATAAGAGCTATCTATGACAAACCCACAGCCAATATCATACTGAATGGGCAAAAACTGGAAGCATTCCCTCTGAAAACTGGCCCAAGACAGGGATGCCCTCTCTCACCACTCCTATTCAACATAGTGTTGGAAGTTCTGGCCAGGGCAATCAGGCAGGAGAAGGAAATAAAGGGTATTCAATGAGGAAAAGAGGAAGTCAAATTGTCCCTGTTTGCAGACGACATGATTGTATATCTAGAAAACCCCATCGTCTCAGCCCAAAATCTCCTTAAGCTGATAAGCGACTTCAGCAAAGTCTCTGGATACAAAATCAATGTGCAAAAATCACAAGCATTCTTATACACCAATAACAGACAAGCAGACATCCAAATCATGAGTGAACTCCCATTCACAATTGCTTCAAAGAGAATAAAATACCTAGGATGTGAAGGACCTCTTCAAGGAGAACTACAAACCACTGCTCAATGAAATAAAAGAGGATACAAGCAAATGGAAGAACATTCCATGCTCATGGGTAGGAAGAATCAATATCGTGAAAATGGCCATACTTTCCAAGGTAATTTAGAGATTCAATGCCATCCCCATCAAGCTACCAATGACTTTCTTCACAGAATTGGAAAAAACCTACTTTAAAGTTCATATGGAACCAAAAAAGAGCCCACATTGCCAAGTCAATCCCAAGCCAAAAGAACAAAGCTGGAGACATCATGCTACCTGACTTCAAACTATACTACAAGGCTACAGTAACCAAAACAGCATGGTACTGATACCAAAACAGATATATAGACCAATGGAACAGAACAGAGCCCTCAGAAATAATGCTGCATATCTACAACCATCTGATCTTTGACAAACCTGACAAAAACAAGAAATGGGGAAACGATTCCCTATTTAATAAATGGTGCTTGGAAAACTGGCTAGCCATATGTAGAAAGCTGAAGCTGGATCCCTTCCTTACACCTCATACAAAAATTAATTCAAGATGGATTAAAGACTTAAATGTTAGATTTAAAACCATAAAAACCCTAGAAGAAAACCTAGGCATTACCATTCAGGACATAGGCATGGGCAAGGACTTCATGTCTAAAACACCAAAAGCAATGGCAACAAAAGCCAAAATTGACAGATGGGATCTAATTAAACTGAAGAGCTTCTGCACAGCAAAAGAAACTACCATCAGAGTGAACAGGCAACCTACAGAATGGGAGAAAATTTTCGCAATCTAGTCATCTGACAAAGGGCTAATATCCAGAATCTACCATGAACTCCAACAAATTTATAAGAAAAAAACAACCCCATCAAAAAGTGGGCAAAGGATATGAACAGACACTTCTCAAAAGGAGACACTTATGCAGCCAACAGACACATGAAAAAATGCTCATCATCACTGGCCATCAGAGAAATGCAAATCAAAACCACAATGAGATACCATCTCACACCATTTAGAATGGCAATCATTAAAAAGTCAGGAAACAACAGGTGCTGGAGAGGATGTGGAGAAATAGGAACACTTTTACACTGTTGGTGGGACTGTAAACTAGTTCAACCATTGTGGAAGTCAATGTGGCGATTCCTCAGGGATCTAGAACTAGAAATACCATTTGACCCAGCCATCCCATTACTGGGTATATACCCAAAGGACTATAAATCATGCTGCTATAAAGACACATGCACACGTATGTTTATTGTGGCACTATTCACGATAGCAAAGACTTGGAACTAACCCAAATGTCCAACCATGATAGACTGGATTAAGAAAATGTGGCACATATACACCATGGAATACTATGCAGCCATAAAAAATGATGAGTTCATGTCCTTTGTAGGGACATGGATGTAGCTGGAAACCATCATTCTCAGCCAACTATCACAAGGAGAAAAAACAAAACACTGCATGTTCTCACTCATAGGTGGGAATTGAACAATGAGAACACATGGACACAGGAAGGGGAACATCACACACTGGGGCCTGTTGTCGGGTGGGGGGAGGTGGGAGGGATAGCATTTGGAGATATACCTAATGTTAAATGATTAGTTACTGGGTGCAGCACACCTACATGGCACATGTATACATATGAACTAACCTGCACGTTGTGCACCTGTACCCTAAAAGTTAAAGTATAAAAAAAAAGAGAAATATCTGAGACTGGATAATTTATAAAGAAAAGAAATTTAATTGACTGATGGTTCTGTAGGCTTCTAGGGAAGCTTCAGGAAGCTTAAGATTCTGGCAGAAGGTGAATGGGGAGCAGGCACGTCAGTAGGCAAAAGTAGGAGCAAGTGATGTGTTGGGGAGAGGGAGGTGCCACATGGTTTTAAAGCACCAAGCCATGAGGGATCTCCGCTCATGATCCAAATACCTCCCACCAGGTCCCGCTTCCAGCACTGGGGATTACAATTCAACATGAGACTTGGGTGGGGACATACATGCAAACTATATCAACAACCAACTGTGCACTTCTTCCATTTGCATTACCTGTTTAACCATGTATCATGGGTGATGGGCATGGGGAATCAGAAGTACGACTCCAATTGAGTATATCACAGAGTTATATAAGTCTTTAAAAATAATAAAGCTTATCCAATCATATTTCTTTCACTATGTAACAACTTTTTGTTGAGAGTAAATGTTTTAGGGCTATTAATAAAGCAAGGCTAAGGCCTTCTACCCCGTCTCCTACCTGTTTATGCTGAGCTTCAAGCCTAACTGTAGTTGGTGTTACCATTGTAGAAGTATTCTCTTATTTTAAATAGGGTTTCTCTAAAATTTTGTTTGTGATCCTTTCTACTTTCTATTCCTTATTGCTTAATCAGGATTCTTCTCAGCTGATAGCATTTTTAGCAGCTTTTATGCATTCATGTACATGTGCGTACACACACACACACACACACACGTGCACATAATTCCACTGGCAAAGCGAGAAGGTGGTTGGCAGTCTGACATCCTGATATAGTCCTTCTTACACAACTTTTTACTGGAATGGAATGTCCTGGCGAAACAAGTATTTGTGGGCAGGACCAGAAACCAAACATCAAACTAGAGTACAATTCCACATCTTTGATGGGGATTTTATTGGAGTCACAGTTGCTGTTTGCGTGCTATTAGTAATAGGCCGTCTGTATCTCATTCCCTCCTATATCCTTAAAATTTGTAAAATATTATTAAAATATTGGAATGAAAGTAAGTCTAATAAATGAGCAACCATATCAGAGTAACTTTTTGATAATGAAGAAAATAATGAAATTTCCTTTAATTCCTGGTGCCAATGAAGACACATTTTTTTCTAATGGTGGTCTTTTTATTTTTATTTTTACATATTTAGGAGGTACAAATGCAGATTTCTTACTTGCATATATTGCATAGTGGTGAAGTCTGCTCTTTTAGTATATCCATTATGTGAGTAGTGAACATCATATCCTGACCACCCTCTCACCTTTTGTAATCTCCAATATCTGTTATTCCACTCTGTACTTCCATGTGTAGCCATTGTTTAGCTCCCACTTATAAGTGAGAACATGCAGTATTTGACTTTCTGTCTCTGAGTTATTTCACTTATAATGGCCTTAATTATATCCATGTGGCTGCATAAGACATGAGTTTCCTTTTTTTAATGCCTGTGTTGTATTCCATGGTATATATGTGCACACACACACACACACACACACACACACCATATTTTCTTTATCCAATCATCTGTTGACGGACAGTTAGGTTGACTTCATATCTTTGTTATTATGGATAGTGCTACAACAGACATATGAATGCATCTGTTTTTTTGTTATAACAATAGGGTATAATTTCCCCAGTGTATATTTTTATTGACTTTGTCAAAGATCAGTTGGCTGTAGGTATGTGGCTTTATTCCTCGCTTCTCCATTCTGTTCCATTGATCTGTATGTCTGTTTTGTGCTAGTACCATGCTATTTTGCTTACGATAGCCTTGTAGTATAATTTGAAGTTAGGTTATGTGATGTCTCTAGCTTTGTTCTTTTTGCTTAGGATTGCTTTGGCTATTAGGGCTCTTTTTTTAATATACTTTAAGTTCTGGGATACATGTGCAGAATGTGCAGGTTTGTTACATAGGTATACCTGTGCCATGTTGGTTTGCTACACCCATCAACTCATCACCTACATTAGGTATTTCTCCTAATGCTATCCCTCCCCTAGCCCCCCACCCCACAACAGGCCCCGGTGTGTGATGTTCCCCTCCCTGTGCCCATATGTTCTCATTATTCAACTCCCACTTATGAGTGAGAAAGTGGGGTGTTTGGTTTTCTGTCCTTGTGATAGTTTGTTGAGAATGATGGTTTCCAGCTTCATCCATGTCCCTGCAGAGGACATGAAATCATTCTTTTTTATGGCTGCATAGTATTCCATGGTGTATATGTGCCACATTTTCTTTATCCAGTCTTCATTGATGGACATTTGGGTTGGTTCCGAGTCTTTGCTATTGTGAACAGTGCTGCAGTAAACATATGTGTGCGTGTGTCTTTATAGTAGCATGATTTATAATCCTTTGGGTATATACCCAGTAATGGGATGGCTGGGTCAAATGGTATTTCTAGTTCTAGATCCTTGAGGAATCACCAGACTGTCTTCCACAATGGTTAAACTAATTTACACCCCCACCAATGGTGTAAAAGTGTTCCTATTTCTTCACATCCTCTCCAGCATGTGTTGTTTCCTGACTTTTTAATGACAGCCATTCCAACTGGCGTGAGATGGTATCTCATTGTGGTTTTGATTTGCCTTTCTCTAATGACCAGTGATGATGAGCTTTTTTTCATATGTTTGTTGGCCATATAAATGTCTTCTTATGAAAAGTGTCTGCTCATATCCTTTGCTCACTTTTTGATGGGGTTGTTTGTTTCTTTCTTGTAAATTTGTTTAAGTCCCTTGTAGATTCTGGATATTAGCCCTTTGTCAGATGGATAGATTGCAGTAATTTTCTCCTATTCTGTAGGTTGCCTGTTCACTCTGATGATAGTTTCTTTTGGTGTGCAGAAGCTCTTTAGTTTAATTAGACCCCATTTGTCAATTCTGGCTTTTGTTGCCGTTGCTTTTGGTGTTTTAGTCATGAAGTCTTTGCCCATGCCTATGTCCTGAATGGTATTGCCTAGGTTCTCTTGTTGGATTTTTATGGTTTTAGGTCTTACATTTAAATCTTTAATCCACCTTGAGTTAATTTTTGTATAAGGTGTAAGGAAGGGGGTCCAGTTTCAGTTTTCTGCATATGGCTAGCCAGTTTTCCCAACACCATTTATTAAATAGGGAATCCTTTCCCCATTTCTTGTTTTTGTCAGGTTTGTCAAAGATCAGATGGTTGTAGATGTGTGGTGTTATTTCTGAGGCCTCTGTTCTGTTGCATTGGTCTACATACCTGTTTTGGTACCAGTACCATGCCGTTTTGGTTACTGTAGCCTTGTGGTATAGTTTGAAGTCAGGTCGTGTGATCCCTCCAGCTTTGTTCTTTTTGCTTCAGATTGTCTTGGCTGTACAGGCTCTCTTTTTGTTCCATATGAAATTTAAAGTAGTGTTTTTCTAACTCTGTGAAGGAAGCCAATGGTGGCTTGATGGCAATGGCATTGAATGTATAAATTACTTTGGGCAGTATAGCCATTTTCATGGTATTGATTCTTCCTATTCATGAGCATGGAATGTTTTTCCATCTGTTTGTGTCCTTTCTTATTTCCTTGAGCGGTGGTTTGTAGTTCTCCTTGAAGAGGTCCTTCACATCCTTGTACCTTATATTCTTAGGTATTTTATTCTCTTTGTAGCAGTTGTGAATGGGAGTTTGCTCATTATTTGGCTCTCTGTTTGTCTATTATTGGTGTATAGGAATTCTTGTGATTTTTGCACATTGTTTTTGTATCCAGAGACTTTGCTAAAGTTGCTTATCAGCTTAAGGAGTTTTGGGACTGAGACGATGGGGTTTTTTTAATATACAGTCATGTCATCTGCAAACAGAGGTAATTGACTTCTTCTCTTCCTATTTGAATACCCTTTATTTCTTTCTCTTGCCTGATTGCCTTGGCCACAATTTCCAATAAATAGGAGGGGTGAGAGGGCATCCTTGTCTTGTGCTAGTTTTCAAAGGGAATGCTTCCGGTTTTTGCCCATTCAGTATGATATTGGCTGTGCGTTTGTCATAAATAGCTCTTATTATTTTGAGATATGTTCCATCAGTACCTAGTTTATTGAGTGTTTTTAGCATGAAAGGGTGTTTAATTTTATTGAAGGCCTTTTCTGCATCTATTGAGATAATCATGTGGTTTTTGTCATTGGTTTTGTTTATGTGATGGATTACATTTATTGATTTGCATATGATGAACCAGCCTTGCATCCCAAGGATGAAGCCAACTGGATCATGGTGGATAAGCTTTTTGATGTGCTGCTGGATTCGGTTTGCCAGTATTTTATTGAGGATTTTCACGTTGATATTCATCAGGGATATTGGCTTGAAATTTTCTTTTTTTGTTGTGTCTCTGCCAGGTTTTGCTATCAGGATGTTGCTGGCCTCATAAAATGAGTTAGGGAGGAGTTCCTCTTTTTCTCTTGTTTGGAATAGTTTCAGAAGGAATGGTCCAGCTCCTTTTTGTACTTCTGATAGAATTCCACTGTGAATCCGTTTGGTCCTGGGCTTTTTTGGTTGGTAATTACTGCCTCAATTTCAGAACTTGTTATTGGTCTATTCAGGGATTCGACTTCTTCCTGGTTTAGTCTTGGGTGGGTATATGTGTCCAGGAATTTATCCATGTCATCTAGATCTTCTAGTTTATTTGCATAGGGGTATTTATAGTATTCTCTGATGGTAGTTTGTATTTCTGTGGGAGCAGTGGTGATCTCCCCTTTATGATTTGTTATTGTGTCTATTTGATTCTTGTCTCTTTTCTTCTTTATTTGTTTGGCTGGCAGCGTATATATTTTGTTAATCTTTACAAAAAAACAGCTCCTGGATTCATTGAGTTTTTGAAGAGTTTTTTGTGTCTCTATCTCCTTCAGTTCTGCCGTGATTTTACTTATTTCTTGTCTTAGCTTCCTTGTGTTGGGTTAGAACATGCTCCTTTAGCTCAGAGGAGTTTGTTATTACCTACCTTCTGAAGCCCAATTCTGTCCATTTGTCAAATTCATTTTCCATCCAGTTTTGTTTCCTTGCTGGCGAGGAGTTGTGATCATTTGGAGAAGAGGGATTCTGGTTTTTGGAATTTTCAGCCTTTTTGAGCTGGTTTTTCCTCATCTTAGTGGATTTGTCTACCTTTTGTTTTTGCTGTCGGTGACCTTCGGATGGAGTTTTTGCATGCTTGTTCTTTTTGTTGATTTTGATACTGTTGCTTTCTGTTTGTTAGTTTTCCTTCTAACAGTCAGGTCCCTCTTCTGCAGGTCTCCTGGAGTTTGCTGGGATTCCACTCCAGACCCTGTTTGCCTAGGTATCACCAACAGAGGCTGCAGAACAGCAAAGATTGCTGCCTGCTCCTTCCTCTGGAAGCTTCGTCCCAGAGGGACACCTGCCAGATACCAGCCGGAGCGCTTGTATATGAGGCGTCTGTCAACCCCTGCTGGGAGTTGTCTCCCTGTCAGGATGCATGGGGGTCAGGGACCCCCTTGAGGAGGCAGTCTGTCCCTTAGCAGAGCTCGAGTGCTGTGCTGGGAGATCTGCTGCTCTCTTCAGAGCTGACAGGCAGGAACGTTTAAGTCTGCTGAAGCTGTGCCCACAGCTGCCCCCCTTCCCCCAGGTACTCTGTCCCAGGGAGATGGGAGTTTTATCTATAAGCCCCTCACTGGGGCTGCTGCCTTTCTTTCAGAGATTCCCTGCCCAGAGAGGAGGAGTCAAGAGAGGCAGTCTGGCTACAGTGGCTTTGCTGAACTGCAGTGGGCTCTGTCCAGTCAGAACTTCCTGGAGGCTTTGTTTAAACTGTGAGGGGAAAACCGCCTTCTCAAGCCTCAGTAATGGTGGACATGTCTCCCCACACCAAGCTTGAGCATCCCAGGTTGACTTCGGACTGCTGTGCTGGCAGCGAGAATTTCAAGCCAGTGGATCTTAGCTTGCTGGGTTCCATGGGGGCGGTCTCTTCTGAGCAAGACCACTTGGCTCCCTGGCTTCAGGCCCCTTTCCAGGGGAGTGAACAGTTCTGTCTTGCTAGTGTTCCAGGTGACAATGGGGTATGAAAAAAAAACTCCTGCAGATAGCTTGATGTCTGCTCAAATGGCCACCCAGTTTTGTGCTTGAAACTCAGGGCCCTTGTGATGTAGGTACCCAAGGGAATCTCCTGGTCTGGGTTGTGAAGACTGTGGGAAAAGCGTAGTATCTGTGCCGGATAGCACCATCCCTCACGTCAGGGTCCCTCATGGCTTCCCTTGGTTTGGAGAGGGAGTTCCCTGACCCCTTGTGCTTCCCGGGTGAGGTGATGCCCCACTCTGCTTCTGCTCACCCTCTGTGGGCTGTACCCACTGTCTAACCGGCCCCAGTGAGTTGAACCGGGTACCTCAGTTGGAAATGCAGAAGTAACCCACCTTCTGCATTGGTCTTGCTGGGAGCTGCAGACTGGAGCTGTTCCTATTCAGACATCTTGCCAGGAATCCTCTATTTTTGTTTTATATGAATTTTAGGATTGTTTTTTCTAACTCTTTGAAAAATGACATTGGTAATTTGATAGAGATTGCATTGGATCTATAGATTGCTTTGGGCAATATGGTCATTTTAACGATATTAATCCTTCCAATTCATGATCATTGGATATTTTTCCAATTGTTTGTGTTATCTACAATTTCTTTCATCAGTGTTTTGTAGTTCTACTTATAGATCTTTCCGTCTTTGGTTAAATATATTCCTAGTGTTTTTTTTTATAGCTATTGGGAATTGGATAGCTTTCTTGATTTTGTCCTCAGATAGATTATTATGGGTGTATGGAAATGCTGCTGATTTGTGTACATTAATTTTGCATCCTGAAACTTTACTGAATTTATCAAATCTAAGTGTTTTTTGGTGGGTTCTTTAGGATTTTCTGGATAGAAGAATATATCATCAGCGAGCAGGGATAATTTGACTTCCTGTTTGCCAATTATGATACCTGTTATTTTTTTCCTCTTGCCTGATTGCTTTGTCAAGGACTTCAGTACTGTGTGGAATAAAAGTGGCAAAAAGTGGACGTCCTTTTCTTGTTCCAGTTCTTAGAATGCTTTCAACTTTTCTTCATTAAGTATAATGTTGGCTGTTGGTTTGTCATATAGGCCCTTTACTATGTTGAGGCCTCTCCCTTCTCTGCCTAGTTCTTTGAGGATTTTTATCATGATGGTATACTGAATTTTACCAAATGCCTTCTCTGCATCTATTGAGATGATCTTATGGTTTTTGTCCTTAATTCTGTTTATGTGATATATCATGTTTGTTGATTTACATATATTGAACCATCCTTGCATTCCTGCAGTAAATCTCACCTGGTTATAGTGTATTATCTTTTTGATGTGCTGTTGGATTCTATTTGCTAGTATTTTGTTGAGCATAACCATGTTATCATTGTGAGATCTTCTTCCTTAGGAATGACATAATAAATAGTAACTTTTATTATCAAAGAGAAATAAATATTTAAATATTTTATATTTAAAATATTCACATTATGTCTAATAATTTACACCTCTCAGAAATATTGAATCTTTCTTTTATGAGCT
The DNA here is from genome assembly GCF_000001405.40 of Homo sapiens. Classification (NCBI taxonomy): domain Eukaryota; kingdom Metazoa; phylum Chordata; class Mammalia; order Primates; family Hominidae; genus Homo; species Homo sapiens. Next base: position 15,916,197 of record NC_000009.12, read on the forward strand.
TAAATAGTAATTTTCCTATTTGATATCATTATTACAGGTAACATTTACCTGAGCCTTTATTATATGCCAGGTAGTTTAAGCTCATTTCATGTATTAATACTCATTTAATTTCTATAAAATGTTATAAGGTATGAATTTTTATCCTGATTTTGTGAGAATGTATTACATTTCACATATTTAGTATATTTGGCATATGTGTTTTACACAATATATTTACGTAAGATATAGAAATGAAGTATGTATATAATTATATGAATTAAAGTCGAAGTGATAGAGTTTTTTGCTTTCCAATTACTCAAAAATGTAGATAAAATATTTGATATTTTGGCATGTAGGCTTTATGATATTTTTCACTATTTTCTTCTTCTCTTAATATCAGTCCCCCAACTATCCCATTGTTCCTGATGTTCAAATTTGAAGTCAGTCTAAACTACTTAATAATATGTACATAACAAATTATATAAATGGTCTTCTAGTCTTCAAGTGACATGCAACTGTTTGTATCTTATAACTTTTTATATTCTAATGCACGTACACTTTTAAAAAATGGATAGATGTGGAATTTTATGTTTGAATTCCCTCGTCTTATTACTGTCAATTATAAACACTATAGATTATCCCTTAAACAAAGGCTATTCTTGTTCAGAAACTGTCTTTTGTTCTTCATATACTAACCGAGTCTCACTGAGATACAGATCTCACTGCATGGTATAGTCAAAATAAGCCCCTGGGGCCAAGGATGACAACAGGATAAGTTCTCAAATCCTGGACTTGCTGTATATAATATCATGCTGTTTTGTCATTGTTTCCTAATGTAAAATAATGTGATCTTTTAATAAGGGAACAGGATATGTCGTAGAGGGTTAGACAGTCAGACTGTCATTTCCATTTCTTCTGCCAACTTGACACCTTTCTTTTGTATTAAGGAGTTGAATTTTTCATTGGTATGCTTTACTGTATAGTTTGAATCACTTATTAATACTGGAAGTTAACATTCTTTATTCTTCAAAGGATATGTGGCTTCTTTGAATAATTGCCATTTCAGTGATACTCCTCATACCTTCCAGTTTTGAAGGAGACTTTTGTTTAGAAGAGCATAGTATATTTTATACATATTAGTAACATGAAACCTGCTTTCTGTATTGATCATTGTACCTTGCTGCTCTGAAAAAGTATCATATGCACTATTATACAAATTTTATTTTGTCTCTCAAAATACTACTTTAAGAGAGTTGGAATGTTTAAGATTTGAAATCCTAAGAAAAATTGGATTATTATATTCTTTTTAGTGTTATAAAGAAGTAGTATGTGGTTTATATTAATATTTCGCTGAATATTAGAATTTAGTTATTAAAAGTAGATCAAGGAAGAGTTATCCACTATATAAAATTTCTGACATTACTTCTCAAAAAATTTATTTTTAAAGGGAGATTTGAAGGAATATCATTTATATTATTTATTCCTTTTAGAATGTCATAAAGATGAAATTCATAAAATGTGTTTCTCCAAGGTTAGAAAATGGGATAACTTTTAAAATGTGGAACTTTTAATCCTAAAATATTAAAGGTCAATTCTCTTGTGACTTACAGTGAAATAATAATCCAGGAGCCTATTACTGATGGAAGGGAACTTTCTTACCATTCAATAAGCATTTATGCATGTTTCAGCCTTTTATACATTTTAGGTCCTTAGACAATAAAAGTATATATCTAAGAACCACATATTTCAGATTGTCTCATTTAGATTTTAGTGGAGAATTTAAAAATAGAACAATAGTAATAATACTACAATGAAATTCAATAGTTTACCATTTTTAGAGTGCTTTCTTATATTAAATGCAACATAGGTGAAGGGTTAAGAGAGTGAGTTTGCTTGAGAAATACTTGGATTTGTATCCTGACCATTGTACAACTAATTGTAAACTTGGACTAGTTATTTAATCCCTCCAAGCTCCTGTGTTTTGCTCTGAAAAACTAGATTAAAAAAAGTATCTACTCCATATGGTTACTGTAAAGATAAATGAAATTAAGCATGTAATATGCTACATGGTCCCTGCACTTCAGTAAATCCCTAGTAAACATTAGCTATTTTAATTTTCTGAGCCTTACAACAGTTTTGGAAGTAGACAAGAAAACGACTCTTTTTCCCATTTTATAGAGGGAGGAGATGGAGGCTCAGAGGGATTATGTGGCATTTCCCAACAACATAGAGTTGAATCAAAGTAAGACTCAGAAAAAAAAAAAAAACCAGGACTTGTGATTTCTGGTCTACTATCTCAATGGAGAAGATACATGAATTTATAAGAATTGAGAGAGACTTGACATAGGAAAAAACAGATGTAATTCAAGTTTCTGATTTTCACATACTTTTGAGATGCAGAGATATAGTTTGTATTAGTATTAGCTATAAACTTGCCTTGAAATGATTCAAAGGAAGATAGGTTAGGATATGTCAGATATTCCCAGGTAAGAAGTCATATAATGCTTATGTAGTGTTGGTTAATAAATTAACATTTGTGTACTTCACCCTTTTATGCCTAGCCTATAGTTATGCTTCTGCTTTTTTTCAACTTGAACAGAGTATTATTAATAATTTATTCATTAGATTAGGTGTTAAGATTATACTTTCCCAAACATCATCACCCTTTCGTAGAAGGCATTTTATAACAATATATGGTTTCAACTTATGGTTTTTATCTTTTCTAATTTTTCATCCATTCATTCTTCAAAGCAGTCATTAATTCAAGCAGTCATTCAAACAAGTACTCACTATCCCTGAAGCTCCAAATATGTATAGGCAGAGTATCTTGCCTTAAGTAGCTTCTCAGTCTAGTAAAGAAGATAAACATGTAAACTAATAAATTTCTACTAAAGCAATAATATGCAACAGTAGAAGCAGGCATGAAGGATCCACAGAAAACCAGGATAGAAGTTAACACTGCCTTTTTTGGGCTCACAAGAGGATTCTTGAAAAAGATCTGAGCTGGTTTTTTGAGGGCAAATAAGAATTTATTAGGCCAAAAGGTCTGAATTTTCTTACTCTTACCTGCAAGTAACTAACTTACCTCTGTTTTGCATACATTTACTATATTGTTTCTTACTCTGTCTTTGTTCACTAAATTATTTTTCACATGCATTCACAACTGCTCAAATACATAATTTCTCAAAGCTTTCCTAATTTACAACCTTAAGATAGAATGTAATTTGCAAATTCTCAGACTGTCTACCTTTATACTAAGTTGTGGCTGTTGTAGGAACATTTTTCTTGTAAACAATATAGTATTATTTTTGAAAATGTCTTTGAAATATGGGATTTATTTTGCTATATTTGAGTTATTTTGAAAGTCTCCTTTAAAAAGGCATAATAGTATCCTGGACTTAAAATTTATTACAAATTGCTTTAGAAGAAAAATTCTATAAAATATGATTAAACTGTGATACAATAATTCCCTAAATATGGTACTGTTTAGAGGAGATAATAGGTTACCAGAACTTGCTTATGTTAATTGTTTTATTATGTATAGTCCAATGTAAGGGCATTTCTGTGTTACATGAATCAACATAATTATACTTTTCTTACAAAATAAGAATCACATTTACTCTTAAAAATCACAAGATTATTTTAGCTCCTTTTGTTTCAAAACATTTGTTTTTTAGGTGGTTTAAAAATTTTACTAACTCAGCTTATTTTGAAATACCTTGTTTGTATACCCATTAAGATTGCACCTCTCTTAAGATGGAAATTTAGGTCAAATTACAACTTGAATTTAACTTTACTACAGAAAATAACTGTGCCATCTTTTAAAACCGCATTCTAAATTTTAAGCACAATAGATCAAAGTACATCTTATTTAAATAAATACTCTGGAATGAAGTCTCAATTATTTTCTCACAAACTTTCTTAAAATAGTCACTGTTCTCAATATAAAATGTTAGGTTTAGCTTTATTATTTTAAAGAAAGATGAAAAGTTGTTTATTTTAAAATTTTAATGGTTTTGCTTTCAAATTATGGAAATTCTCCTTTGGGGACATATTTATTTGAATTATATGTGACATTATTTTTATTTCTTAAGGCTATGATTAAAAGTTTCATGGATGTCTACCAGCTTGCAAGCACTAGAATCATGACATTAGAGAAGGAAATGACATCTCATCGAAGTCACATTGCAGCCTTGAAATCAGAACTTCACACAGCTTGTTTACGTGAAAATGCAAGTTTACAATCAGTAAGTCCTTGTCTAACAATATTTTTATAACTTTTTGAATCTTGGGTTACATTTACATTTATGTTTTTAATGTTCATAAGATCATTTGCCAATATATATAATTTAGGGTAAATGATCAATCAAGTGACATAAAATTATTTGTGTGGAGAAAAATTTGAAAGAAGAAAAGCAATTAATTTTTTCATTGTATTATGTATAAAGATATGCATATTGTTATCAATGCTAAAACACTACATCAAGATTCCTTTGTGTTTGGCAGTGCAGCTGACAGTTGAATTTGGCAGTATGCATAGTTAAAGCTTGCAACTGTCTGAAGATTCAGTGTGTCCCATTAAGACAGAATATTATTAATTATGCGTATAACCAAAATGGTAATTAGAACATGTGATTATTCTCTGTAGAAATCTAGACTTATCCATAATACATGCCTAGCTAAAGATGCATGTTGTGATTCATCTATATGATTAAAATTCAGTTTCAGCAGCTATTTTCATGTCTTAAAATTTCAGCCCATGATGAAGTTTGGGCTCACTTAACACTAAAAAAAAAAAAATTTCTCTACTTGAAATATATTTTTGGGGAGTTTTAAAAAATGAATGTATTGTGACATAAAGGAATAAGTAAACATTTAAACTTTCCCTCAAAAGGCTGATATGTCAACAGTAGATTCAGAAGGTTACCAATAATTGGAATGTCTTTTTAATTTTTTTTGGTTTGATTACAGTGACTTATAAAGAAAAACAGTATCATTTTGCTATTCCGCTGTTGACCCGCTTCAAATGCTACATTCAACAGAAAAAGAGTTAGCATTAAAACAAATAGATGCATGGCTGTGGTCTGATTCCTCACCTTCTAGTCTTGGCTCAAGTGCCAGCGTCCAAATAAATCCTTTGTAACCAGGGTATTCAAAATCACAACCATCAACTCTCCCTGCCCCCTGAAAAACTGTCTCTCTTTTGCCCCATATTTCCTGTCTACCTTCCACCTTTCTTATTTTTTTCCCCTCTAGCAGTTATCGTCAAACTGACATATGGTGCATTTTATTTATTTGCTTATTGTTTGTTTGCTCCTTCCTCAGTAGAATGTAGGTTCCATAAAGAAAGGCAGTTTTCAGTGTTTGCTTCATTGCTGTTAAGACTTTCCAGTTCTAAGAGCAGTCTGGCTTATAGTAGGTGCTCAATAAATATTTATTGAGTGAAAAGTACGAGTAATCTATCCAATAAATGTAAAAAGACAGTTATTTGGGACCAGAGTTGTGAGTTCAGTTTTTAAAATGACTTTGTTAATTTCTTAATGAGAGATTAGTAAATTTGACCTCCACCAAGAGAAATTAAAATGAAGAGGAAACTTTTTAAAATTTTGGAGTATTTGGAATTTATTCTAGCCTTTTTCATATTTCTTCTTGCTATCTCTGATTTGATTGGTTAATTTTACATTATACTGTTTAAGTTGTATCAGCTTTGTTGGGTCATACTATTACTACTTTTTACTGTTATTTAATATGAAAACAATTACTTGTATTTTAAGAAGACCAAACTTGGTAAGGTGAGATTGTTTCTCCGTGGGTTCCAAAAATTTTTACCAATTGTTACGCTACTGATATCTTAATGAAAGTGTGTTTAATATACTTCACAATCATACCAAAACTCTACTTTTCAACACTTTTTCCCCTTTGAACATATCTACAGGATACATTCATCATTTCATTTAGAAGAGATGGTTCACCCTGTAGTGATTCTTCATCTATAGAATGCGAAACATTCCCCCAGGTGATTCTGATGTATCCTTTTAGGAGAATGCTGCCCAATTCCATGTCTTGACAGGATGTGTGCTCTCCTGTCTTTTCCCTTAGTTGAGAATCACTGTTTTAAAAATAATAAACTTGTGTGATGGTTTTTATTTTTAAAAGATATTTGTATATGCATTTACTAACTTGAACTTTTTAAGAACTCTCTAAAGGAAATAGAAAAACAAACCTTTGTCTTTGTATTTCGTAGATGAGAGGCAATATTGTTTGGTGGGTAAGAGCATGGGCTTTGGAGGTATATCCATTAGGAATACTATCAGGTGTAAATAACAGAAGATCTGACTAGCACAATTTAAAAAATAGAGGAGTGCGCATATCTCTTTGACCTACTGATTTCATTTCCTTTGGATATATACCCAGTTGTGGGATTGCTGGATCACATGATAGTTCTAGTTTTAATTTTTTGAGGAATCTTCATACTGTTTTCCATGACTGTACTAATTTACATTCCTACAACCAGCGTGTGCAAAGATTCCTTTTTCTCCACGTCTTCACCAACACTTATCTTTTGTTTTTTGTTAACAGCCATTGTAACAGGAGTGAGGTGATATCTCATTGTGGTTTTCATTTGCATTTCCCCGAAGATTAGTGATATTGAGCATTTTTTCATACACAAGTCCATTTGTATGTCTTCTTTTGAGAAATGTCTATTTAGGTCTTTTGCCCATTTTAAAAATCAGGTTATTTGTTTTCTTGCTATTGTTAGAGGTCCTTACTTATTTTGGATATTAATCCCTGTCACATGTATAGCTTGCAAATATTTTCTCCCATCCTGTAGGTTGTCTCTTCACTGTGTTGATTGTTTCCTTTGCTGTGCAGAGCTTTTTAGTTTGATTTAATCGCATTTGTCTGTTTTTGGTTGTATTGCATATAATTTTTAAGATCATATCCCAAAAAATCATTGCCAAGAACAATGGCATGGAGTTACCCCATGCTTTCTTCTAGTAGTTTCAGAGTTGTGATATCTGCGCTCCTATGTTTATCACAGCACTGTTCACAATAGCCAAGATATATAATCAGCCTAAGTGTCCATCAATGGATGGATGGATGAAGGAAATATAGTATATATACATAATAAATACTATTCAGTCGTAAAAAAGAACGAAATCTTGTCATTTACGACAACATGGATGAATCTGTAGGACATTATGTTAAATGAAATAAGCCAGGCATAGAAAGACAAACACTGCATCTCACTCATATGTAGAATCTAAACAAGTAACCTCATAGTAGAGAACAGATTGGTGGTTACCAGAGGATGGAGTGGATAGGGGAGAGAGAGCAATGGGGAGATGTTGGTCAGAGAATATATAATTACAGTTAGGTAGGAGAAATAAGTTCTAGATCTCTTGTACAACATGGTGACTATAGTTAATAAAGACGTATTCTTGAAAAGTGCAAAGAGTGGATTTTAAGGGTTCCTACCATAAAAACGATACCTATGTGAGGTATTACATTTGTTAATAGCTAGATCTAACAATTTAACAATGTATATATACTTGAAAATGTGTTGTACATGATAAATACATGCAATTTCATCTTGCAATTAAAAAATAGAGAACTTTTTTTCTCGCATTACAGGAAGTCTAGAAGTAGGTGGTTATTGTTATTAGTTTAGTGGCTCAACTTTTCTGTAATTTCTCTACTACTCCCTCATTGTCATAAGATTGCAGCCCAGATCTAGGATTTGTAGTAACATTCCAGTGAGAAGGATGGGATAGCCCAACAACAGCTTATATATAATGTGTTACTCAGTTATATATATGCCTCCAAAGGCATGTATATAGATATATAGATATAGGTATATAGATAGATCTCTATACACACCTTAAAAGGCTTTTCCTTTTAAAAACATATATTTAATATTTATATATTTCAAAGAAGGGAAAATCTTCTAAAGAAGCTCCAAACAGATTTCTGCTTATGTTCCAATAGCTGGAAATGGGTCATGTGGCCACACATAGCTGAAATAAGTTAAGGGACAAGGGAGTTAGGAAGGAGTGGATATTGTGTTAACCAGTTAATAGTGTGTGCCATAGAAGTCAAATAAGTTTGGATTCAGATTCTGGTTCTGTCAGTTGCTAACTATGTGGCTTGCATGTCAGGGCTTTCATCTGTAAAATGGGGTTAATGATATTGCTACCTAATACAGATGTTGGGCAGTCTAGTGAGAAGTGTTAAAGTACTTAGGACCTTGCCTCACACTTAGTCAAAAAAAAAAAAAAGTCAGCTATTATTCTGATAACCATTATCTTGATAGAAAGTCATTGGATTATACCACAGGAAAAGATTATTTACTAACCTAACACTTTCAACTACAAATTTCATCATTTTATCCTGCTTCCTACTACAGCCTTGAGCATGTAACTCCTCTTCTTTGATCACCATTAGCATATTCCAGTGACTGAGCTCTCTGCTCCTTTCTGCAGCCTGTTTTCCTCTCCTTTCATTGATACATTCTTAAAAAGTAATCTATACTTGCTTCTATATACTCACTTTCCATTTATTCTTGAGCTTTGGTACCATCTGACTTTTGAGTCTGTCATTCTGCTGAGACTATTTTTCAAAAGTCACCAATAATTTTATGCTTGCTCTATCCATTAGTTCCTTTCCATCCCTTTCAATTTTTATGCAACATCAGGTCTTTAGCTACTCCTTTCTTCTTTAAACACTCATCTCCTTTGTTTCACATGTCTACTTTTCCTTTGTTGACTCCCAGGCCTCTGCTTACTTGTGCTCGGCCTTCTTTGTATTATTAATTCTTTTCTTTATCTATTAATTCAAAATTTATTAAGCATCTGCTTTTTGGTGGGCACAGTTCTGTTCTTGGAGATATCATACGAACCAAAACAGACAATCCTTGTTCTCATGAACTTAAAATCTAGAAGTGGAATTATTTTTCATATAATCACACTAAATAATGTGTAATTACTAACCAAGACAATGCACTGAAAGGAAAGAACTTGACCGATTATGAGTTTTTTAAACAATGGGGCTGTCCTAGACTAGGGTATGAGTAAAACATTTTCAGAGTCAGTGATGCTTGAGCTAGTGACTGAAGATTGGATAGGAATTATCCAATGATGCAAAAGAACAGTGATCTAGATCAGGAAAAGGGGAGTGGTGACTTCTACAAAGTTTCTGTGATGGAAAGAAGAAACTGAGAAAGACCAGTGTGGCTGGCGGAAGAAAGCAAAGGCGAGAGAGGTCTAATATAAGAATGGTCTGGAGAAAAGGGCAGAGGTCAGACTTTGTTCTTTTTCCTAAGAGCAAAGGAAAACTCACTGAAAAATTTTAAAGGAGGAATGAGCTCAGATTTGCATTTTAAAAAAGATCACTTTGGCTACAGTGTGAGGAACCAGCTAGACATGAAGAACAAGAGAAAATGGTGTGCCTGGGACAATTCCTAGTTTTTTGCTTTTGGAAATGGATCAATGGTCTCATTTACTGATAAAGAAAACAGTGGAATGGGGGGAATATTGTGAATGTAGTTTTGAGTATGTTGAGTTTGAGTTTCCCTTAATCTAATGTTTTGGAATGTTAATATCCACTGACATAGATGGTTTGAGCATCAGGGACATATAGGTAGTACTTTGTACCATCATCTCTGAAAAGCACTGAATGTGTGCTCATTTCCTTTCCTTTGGAACTCACACGTCTCTGTGTTCCTTATTGCATAGACCATTTTCTACCTGTATTTAACAATATAGAAATAATCATTAAGTGGACATTATTTGAGGTATGGAGACAGAGGTGAATAAGACATGCTCTGCCCTTGTGAGTTCCTCTTCTAGCTAGGGAAACAGAGACATAAGCAAATCACAAAAATAGGCATATAAAAAAATCTGTGGATGCACAAATGAGAGAAGAGTACATTCTAACATTGTCAGAAGAAAGTGCTGAGAAGATAATGTATGTGTAGGAGTCTCTGAAGAATGTATAGCAATTTGACACATTGTAAAGTGGGAAGAGCAATCAAAATATATATTTTATGTTGACTTGGGTCTTATGGATAGTACATATGTTTAATGAATGAAATTATCATTTTGTATAATAGGAAATGTATTGTTATTTTAGTTCCATTCCCCCTCTTAATTAAAGCCACCCAACTCACCCAAACAGCCCGTACCCAGTGAGCCCAAGACTGCTTGCAATAGTCATTCCAAACCTTACCTTCATCGGTTCCCAATCCATTCTTGCACCATCCAATTCCAGCTTTTTACTTTATAATCTGATTTGATTCCACTTCTGACCATTTTGTTTTTGATGCTCTTTCTTGACCTCTCTCATATTTATTTTGGCTACTCTCAAAACTATTAACCAGCTGCCATTTTCCCCTTCTCACAGAAGGCTTTAGAATCAGGCAGGCCTGGATGTACATTCTGACACTGTTACTCATTAGCCATTAAAACACTCTAATCATCAGTTTTGATATTTGTAATAAGTAGATGAAAATTCCCACATTGTAGTGTTGTTATGAGGATGAAACAAAGACACAGTGTCTGGCATATTAGTAGGTGATCAATAAATATTCTCTTATCTGTGTGTAAAAAGATTTTCTGATAGTTATATGTATTTCCTATAGCTAAGCTATACTATAATTTTAAGAAATATGTTAACTATGAGGAAATCTTTTTATTTGTAGGCAAAAGAACTAAAACAACCCTTATATCAGTGCTTTTACCATATAATAAGTACTGTATTACCATTACTTGTTGTTGTTATGACTTATTTAATGAATCAAGGCAGCCAGTATGTACTCATTACTATCCTATCCAGCCATTTCACCAGATACAAAATAAATATTCATTATTTATCAAAAACATATGTCATGTCATTGTAATGCATATAAAGAGATTGATCATATTGTAGACATAATTATCTTTAAAAACTATCCCTCTTTAGGTAACATTTTCAGTTTTTTTAGCAACACACAATAATAATGCTGGAGTTCATGTAAGATTTCTCATCAGTTGTACACTTGCCAGTACTTTAACTTTTCCGGTATGTTGGTCTTTGGCCCATTAACTTAGGACTGCTCCAGAGCTTTTATCTTGAGTTATAATAACTAGAAAGGGCTTTGAGTAAAGAGCTTTTGAGTCCCATACAGCCCAGTAGAGAACAGTACAGCAGTCAGAACCAATTACTTGTGGGTGTTTGGAGACCAGCACACCCACAGCTATGGAGAAACATGATACTTCAGTCTTGAAACATAGAATGCCAAACCCAAATACTTTGCTGTGAGTTATGATGCTGCAAACTACGGTACTGATTTGCTTCATTTCCACTGTATGTTTAAGCAGTATGTTTTTAATTTTATAGGACTTTATTTATGAGTAAATAATAAATTACAATGCAGAGGACCATTCCATTAGTGTCTTTGCGGGAGAAATATCTTTGCATCATTGTTCAGATTATGTCAGATTTGATACTTGTCAGGTGGTATTATATTGTTAATAAAAGTGAATTGTTTAGATATTTTGGTTCAGTTAAGATGAAAAAAAGGGATCCTCTTTCTCTTAAGTTCCAAAATAGCATTTCACCACATTTATTTTAGTTATACTTTACGGATAGCAGAGGGATCATTTGTTAATTTTAGTGTTGTGTAGCTAGAGAAACTGACACAGAATTAAGTGTTTTTCTCCAGGTAAGTTGCTTCCACAAACATTCATATACCTTATCTTAGTTGATTATTGATACTCATTATTGAGTTTTTAGCCCTTTAAGAATATTTTTTTGAAACAGCTGTTAGCCTTGACAATTTGTTGAGAGAGGCTATACAGTGCACTTCAATGGTATAAAGTACAGATTCTGGAGTTCAACTCCCTGGCTTTTAATTAGAAACCAATCAGATTACAAGCCAAGACCTCTGATTCCCTGTCAGGTGCTTTCCGATGAGACTGCAATGTGGAATAAGACAAATCTTTACCATCATGGCACTTCAGATATAGTGGAGAATACAACCATTGTACAAGTAATTAAAAGAGGGCTGTTAAAGTACAAGCGTAGGGTGCTTTCAGAGCATATAACTGAGGGACTTCACTTGGGCTGTGGTGAGGAAAGGCCTGCCTGGGGAATTGAAATCTCAGTTGAAAAAAATGAAGATTACGTCGGAGTTGACATGAGAAAGCATGGCAAGCTCAAGGGATTGAAAGATGTCTAGCATGGTTGAAGCAGAGTGGATTAGATGGAGAATTGTGAGAGATGACACTGGAGGAGAAGGGGCCAGCTGTGTGGCATATAAGCTGTGATAAATTTCACTGTTTGAGAAACTCTCACTGTGATATCTCTGACAACTACATTACAAAATATTTACTCCTTTTGCTTTATTTTCCTTACCCAAATTTCATTTTTTTCCTATTCTCAAAATTCACCTGCATTTTATGTCATAACAGTGCTCATTTTACCCTTTGCTAAATACTTCTTAGTTAGATTTTCATTAAGTTCTCTCATATTTTTATTGTGACTGCCAGCTCTGGCTTTTGGATACTAATAGAGCTGAATAAGGAAAACATAAAATATCAAAAACTGGACAGCTCAGTCAGCATGCAAAATATATTTTTTTTGATCCTTGGCATATATTTCCAAACTTTTAAAGGTTTCTCATATTCTAGAAACTCAAGAGTTGTTTGTATAGGAAACAGGGGCCTGGAGTTATTGGTGCATATTCCAATGGCCTCATACCTTCTTTCTAGAATTTTGTTTTATGTAATGCAGTTTAAGAAGATGCACTTTCATCATGGTGACTAACCCAAATCCTGATAGTGACTTTTGGGACATGATATAAATTTTGTATTTATGTAAATATAAGTATACATTCATATAATATAAAACATATTAGATATATATTATTTTGCATATCAGTATAAACATTAATATATATTTATATAGTTCTATTCCACAGTGATGAAGTTTTACAAGGATGGAGCAAGAAGTGCCAGAATTAAAATTTCAAAGTGATCAGTATAATTGATTAGTAATTAAGTTGCAGAAAATATGGATAGTAACTGGCAACATAATGCTCTAATTATTCCTATTAGTTTTTCAAAGAATGGCAACAACTAAATATGCTTCTGAGTGTCTCCCCTACTATTTTGTCTTTTTTACCAAATTGAGTTCTTTAAGGGTTTCAATTACCTATTAAACATCTGCACTTTGATTTTCTGCAAAAGCCTGAAATTCACTGAGGTCCCAAACTGAACACTTTTTTCAACACTTCTGTGCCCTGTTTCTCCTAATTCTCCTTTGCCTGCATTGCTTGTCTCTGAAATAACTGTCCACCTTGCAGCCCAAGGAAGAGTCCTTAACTTTTGTTCCACTTTCCCTCTACCACCAATATTTAATTTATTGCTAAGCCTTACTGTTTCTACCACCACAGATCTCTTAGACCCATCCTCTTATTTCTATCTGTGTGGTCACATGACCATTTCCCTGGGCTATTGCAATGGTCTTCCAATAAGTTTTCTCATATCTAGTCTTTTTTCTTCTATTCACCCTGCCTTATTAGTGCCAGAGTTATCCTTCCAAAACACAGATATGGTCAGGTCATAGCATTACTGAAAACATTTTCAAACTTTTAAAGATTTCTCATATTCTAGAAACTCAAGAGTTGTTTTTTCTCTACAGTTTCCCCATAATAAAGTATGAGTTTTTTACCATTGACATTCTGGCATATTCTGACTCCTTCTGGTTTTTTTCACCATTGTTCAATTGGCAGAAGAAGTAAGAGTTCCTTTGTTCTGATCGTTTGTCACTGTATTTACATGTGTGAGTTCTGTATAGTAGTCTGACTTACGTAACCAATTAGTTGTGTATGTATTAGCATATTGTGAGACTTTGAGGTGATGTCTTAGTCATATTTATAATCCATTATAATGATCAGATTTTAATAAATGCTGCTTGATTTGAATTGAAATTAATGAGAAGGTCACTCATTTCATAATATTTGTTCAATCTATACTTGTTATTGGACCTATACTTTGCATAAACCATGATTCCCTCCGAATTTTTCCCACACCAAATTTTCTTTAATTTCCATCAAACTGTTTTATATTATTCTGTATTAGCACTTAATGAAAATGAGTAGAATAATTTACATATTCTATATATGGTAAAATTTTAAGTAAATACTTTTAAATAATATACATTGGATGTTTCTTCTCACTACTTTTCCTAAAAAAAAAAGACAACACAGAATTATTTGTGACAAAGAAGAACATTCTTTTCAACATACCACTTAAATGATTTTCTCAGATATTTTGGCACCCCTACCTCTGGGTGTTTATGTAGAGGTGGACATACATAGACATAAAATTACCATCATAATACCTTTTACTTACATGGTATATACTCAGTAAGTGTTTGTTAGTGACGATATACTGAGTTAAAATGAACTCTACTTAGGCCTAGCAAAAAGTAAGACTTTATGTTATTTCAGAAATAGAGGTCTAATTTACATAAATCAGTAGAAAGTTTGTTTTCAAAAATGTGTTTCCTTGAAGTCTTCCCTCACACTATATACAGAAATTAACTAAAAATGAATCAAAGACCTATTTATAAGAGCTAAAACTATAAAATTCTTTTTTAAAAATTATGTTTTGAACTGACACATTATAATTGCACATATATCTGGGGTATAATTTGATGTTTTGATGCATATTTATGTTGTATAATGATCCAGTCAGGGTAGTTAGTGTATCCATAATCTCATGCATTTATCATTTATTTGTGGTGAGAACATTCAAAGCCTCTCTTCTAGCTATTTTCTAATATACAACATTTTACTGTTAACCATAGTCACATCCATGCAATAAACATTGGAGTGCAGCTATCTCTTTGACCTACTGATTCCATTTCCTTTGGATATATACCCAGTAGTGGTATTTCTGGGTCATATTGTAGTTCTATTTTTAACATTTTGAGGAAACTCCATACCGTTTTCCATTAATAGCTGTACTACTTTACAACCCTACCAACAGTGTGTAAATGTTCCCTTTTTCTCCACATCCTTACCAACATTTGTTTTCTTTTGCCTTTTTGGTAATAATGATTCTAACTGAAATGAGGTGATATCTCATTGTGGTTTTGATTTGCATTTCCCTGATGATTAGTGATGTTGAGCATTTTTTCATATGCCTGTTATCTACTTGTATGTCTTCTTTTGAGAACTGTCTATTCAGGTCTTTTGCCTATTTTTAAATTGGGGTCTTTCTTTCTTTCTTTCTTTCTTTTTTTTTTTTTTTTTTTTTTGCTGTTGAGTTGTTTGAGTTCCTTATATATTCTGGATATTAACCCTTTGAGAGGTGTATAGTTTACCTATATTTTCTGCCATTCTGTAGGTTGTCTCTTTACTCTGTCCATCATTTCCTTTGCTGTGCAAAAGCTGTTTAGTTTGATGTAATCACATTTGTCCATTTTTGTTTTTGTTGCCTGTGTTTTTGAGGTCTTACTCAAAAAATTCTTCCCCAACCCAATATCATGAAGCATTTCTCCTATGTTTTCTTCTAGTGTTATCATAGCTTTGCATTTTACATTTAAGTCTATTACCTATTTTGAGTTGATTTTTGGATATGGTAAGAGGTAGGGGGTCTAATGCCATTCTTTTACATGTGGATATTTAGTTTTCCCAATACTATTTATTGAAGAGATTGTCCTCTCCCCAATGTGTGTGCTTAGCACCTTAGGTGTATGACTTTATTTCTGGGTTCTCTGTTCTGTTGCATTGGTTTATGTGTCTGTTTTTATGCCAGTACCGTGCTGTTTTGCTTACTATAGCTTTGCAGTATATTTTGAAGTCAGGTAGTATGATGCCTGTGGCTTTGTTTCATTTGCTCAGGATTGTTTTGGCTATTCAGGGTTTTTGTGTGTGTATGTGGTCTCACATGAATTTTAGCACTTTTTTTTCCATTTCTGTGAAGAATGTCATTGGTCTTTTGATAGGGACTGCATTACATCTATAGATCACTTTGGGCAGTATGGCCATTTTAACAATATTAATTCTTCCAATCCATGAACATGGGATATCTTTTCATTTATTTGTATCCTCTTCACTTTATTTTATTAAAATGTTATAGTGTTCAGTATAGAGATTTTTCACATCTTTGGTTACGTTGCTTCATAGATATCTTACTTTTTTATAGCTATTGTAAACGGAATTGTTTTCTTTATTTCTTTTTCAGATAGTTGACTATTTGAATATTAAAATGCTGCTGATTTCTTATATTGATATTATATCCTGCAACTTTACTGAATTCATTTATTACTTGTAAAAGTTTTTTTGGTGCAGTTTTTGGGGTTTTCTATGTATAAGATTATGCTTTCTGCAAACAGAGACAACTTGACATCCTCCTTTCCAATTTAGATACCTTTTGTTTCTTTCTCTTGCATAATTGCTCTGGCTAGGACTTCCAGTACTATGTTGAATAGAAGTGGCGAATGTGGATGTCCTTGTTTTCTTCCTGATTTTAGGGGAAAAACGTCTTCTCCCCATGCAATATGATGTTAGTTATGGGTTTCCCATAGGCCTTTATTGTTTTGAGGTACATACCTTCTATTCCTCACTTGTTGAGAGCTTTTATCATGATAGATTTTGAATTTTGTCATCCTTTTTCTGTGTCTATTGAAATGATCATATTTTGTCTTTATGTTAATGTGGTATATCACAGTTATGGATTTGTGTATATTAAACCATCCTTGCATCCCCATGATGAATTCCACTTGATCACAGTGAATAATCTGTTTAATGTGCTGTTGAGTTTGGTTTGATAGTATCTTGTTGAGAAAGTTTGCCTCTATGTTCATCAGGGATATTGGCCTGTAGTTTTTTTTGTCTGTGTGTCCTTGTGCAATTTTGGAGTCAGGATAATGCTGACCTCATAAACTGAATTTAAAAGTATTTTCTCCTTTTCAATTTGCTGGAATAGTTTGAGTAGAATTTTTATTTCTTCTTCTTTGAATGTTAGATAGATTTCAGCAGTAAAGCCATCAGGTCCTGAACTTTTCTTTGATGGAAGATGTTTAATTAAGATGTTCAATTTCCTCACTTGTTTTTGGTCTGTTCAGATTTTCTATTTCTTCGTAATTTAATCTTGGAAGGTTATGATCCTTTATATTTCTGTGGTATCAATTGTGATGTCTTCTTTTTAATCTCTGATATTATTTATTTTTTCTTTCTTTTTCTTAGTCTTGCTAAAGGTTTGTCAATTTTGTTTACTTTTCCAAAAAACGAATGCTTCAGTTTATTAATCTTTTAAATTATTTTTCTTAGTCTCTACTTTTAAAAATTATTTCCATCCTTCTACCAATTCTGGGCTTAGTTTGTTCTTATTTTTCTAGTTCCTGGAGGTGTATCATTAGGTTGTTTATTAGAAATCTTTCTTCTTTTTTAATGTAGGTGCTATAAGCTTCCCTGCAAGAATGGCTTTTGCTGTGTCTCATAGATTTTGGTACGATATGTTTCCATTCTCATTTGTCTCAGAAAATTTAAAATGTCCCTCTTAATTTTCTTTAACCTTTACCTTGCACTATATACAAAAATTAAGTCAAAATGGATTAAAAACCTACATAAGAGATCTAAAACTATAAAATGCTTAGTAAAATGCATACCAATAAATCTTCATGAGCTTGGATTTGGCAGTGGATTCTTATGGATTCTTAGATATGACACCAAAAGGATAAGTGACAAAAGAAAAATAATAAATTGGGCTTCTTCAAAATTAAAAGCATGGAAAGACTCTATCAAGACAGTGAAAAGACAACCCATAGAATGGGGGAAAATATTTATAATTATATATCTGATTAATCCCTGATATCCATACTATGCAAAGAACTCTTACAACTCAACAACAAAAAGACAATCTAATTTTTAAAAAATCACAGAGGACTTGAACAGCTAATTCTCCATAGAAGATATGCAAATGCTTTGGGAGGCTGAGGCAGGAGGATCACTTGAGGCCAGGGAGACCACCCTGGGTACTATAGTGAGACCTCATCTCTACAAAAACTAAAAAAGATTAACTGGGCGTGTTGGCATGTGCTTGTATTCCTGACTACATGAGAGGCCAAGGTGAGAGGACTGCTTGAGCCCAGGAATTGAAGGCTGCAGTGAGCTATGATCATGCCACTGCACTCCAGCCTGGGCAACAGTGTGAGACCCTGTCTCAAAAAAAAAAAAAAAAGAAAAGAAAAGAAAGAAAAGGAAAAAAGAAAAGGAAATGCAAATCAAAACCACAGTGAGATGCCACTTTACACCCACTAGGATGGTCATAATTAAAGGAAGATAACAAGCATTGCAAGGATATGGAGAAACTGGAACCCCTATACATTGCTGGTGGGAATGTAAAGTGGTAAACCACTGTGGAAAATGATTCCTCAATAAGTTAAACTTGGAGTTACCATATGACCCAGCAAATTTACTCCTGCATATATACCCAAAAGAATTGTAAACAGGTATTCATACAAATAAATACTTGTATACAAATGTCTATAGCAGCACTATTTACAAAGCCAAAAGGTACAAACAACCCAAAGTCCATCAGTTGATGAATAGGTAAATGCCATACAGCCAAACCATGGACGAATAATAAAATTCAGCAATAAGAAGGGAAGAAGCACTGATACGTGTTACAACATGGATGCACTGTGAAATCGTTATGCTAAGTGAAAGAAGCCAGACACAAAAGGCCACATTTGTATGATTCCATTTTATATGAAATATCCAGAATAGGCAAATCCATGGAGACAAGAAAGCACATTAGTGATTGACAGAGGCTAGGGGGAGGAGAGGATGGAGAATGACTGCTTAACGCATATGGAATTTCATTCTGGGGTGATGAAAAGGTTCTGGAACTACATGGTGGTGATGGTGGCACAATGTTGTGAATGTTCCTGATGCCATTGAATTGTACACTTTAAAATTGCAAAACTAGTAAATTTTGTGTGTATTTTATCTCATTAAAAATATTTCTTTGAGTTCTTGGGTGGTGTAGGATAGGCAGGTAGATTGTTGCTTACACAGGATGGCAATATGTTGTAGTGGAAAGAGCATGACAGAGACTCAGAGGAAATTTGAGTTCTAGAGCAAACTTTACTATTGACTCACCTCAAAGCTTTGGGAAATAAATTGTGCTATCTCCCTGGGTCTTGGTTT
The DNA here is from genome assembly GCF_000001405.40 of Homo sapiens. Taxonomy (NCBI): domain Eukaryota; kingdom Metazoa; phylum Chordata; class Mammalia; order Primates; family Hominidae; genus Homo; species Homo sapiens. The sequence continues at coordinate 15,935,377 of NC_000009.12, forward strand.
TCCTGGCTGTAAAATGAAGGGTTGCTATTTGATGAAATCTAAATTCCCTGTCAGCTTTAAAATTCTTCAATTGAAGTTACAAATACTGATTTTGAATCCAAGAGTCTAACTATGTTTTGTCTTGTTCCTGTGTCAGTTTACAACAATAGATTAAGTGTGTTTCTAAATTTATAATAAAATTATATGTTGAATTTGGTTATATTAGCATATAATATAAATGTAAGTCATTTACAAATGTATACCAGTTATGTGAGTCTCACAATGTGACTTGTAACTAGGTAGTCAATAAATCCCCAAAGTAATAAAAAAATGTATTAGCGTATTTGTAAGGAGTATTTCCTTTTTTTATGCAACATTTTTTGATACTTAATATGTTAGGAATGTGAACTTTTAACTCATCAGACTGTTGTAACATATTTGAAAATTATAGTAATTTGATTAAAATGTTGCCTATAAGGCAAAAGCCTTAGTTAATAGAATCCATATGTAATTAAAATGCAGAACTAAATGTAATCAGACTCCAGTGACTAGTGCCTTCATATTGATAGTTTTACAATGGCCTCTGGGGTTGAAAGTTTAAATGTTACAGAATGTAACAACATTGCAGAAAACAACTTAGGCTGGCAATTTAGCTGTTTGAAAGTCATCAACATAGTTACTTGATAAGATGTGACTGTCACATTCTAGATTCTCATCATTTTATGAATAGGTACTGTTGGCAGGTGGTAGAAGCACAAGACTAGTGTTCCAGTGGAGGACTATGCTTTGCAGCACTGTTATATAAACAGACCCAGATGAAGGTCCCTGCTAGAAGCCAAGCCACTGCCTTCTTTTCTTTTTTCTTTCTTAATAACAGAGTTGCTTAATTTGGGTGAATTCATTTGAATCATATGAAAGTTATAGACACGACACTATGCACCAAGCCACAAAAAAAAAGTCAAAAATTTTTTCCTGAACTTAAAGAAATTATTTTCTCTGGACAGTTTTAAGAGTTGACATCCTGTGTTAGAGTTCTCTAATCATCACCAGCACAATTTACAATCAGAACACACAGAGAGCCAGTTCAGACCAGCTCATCTGTTGATCTTGGCAGAGACCCTTCATCTCATTGTGTGCAGCTGCCACTTGAGAGTTGAGGGGACTCAGCAGAGAGCGAGAGGAGGGTGGGATGCAAGGCTGGTCAAGGCATGAACACTTGGGCCTGCTGCATTTCAACAGTTGTATGTTGCTTGAAAAAATAGTCTTTTTTATTATACTGCCTCCCCACCTCCCCTTAACCTGAAATTAAACGAGGACCTCTCATGAGCCACTGCGCTCCAGGCATAAGAAATTGTAATGTCTGGCTTCCAGAAACTGTCCCGTCAAAATGTGCTTCTGATTAGGTGGCTTAATTACAGCTGTGAAAACAATGTTGATTTAGGCCTCAAGATTCCAGGGCATGTCAGCCGTTATTAGCTAACCTTGGACTGAATCCATCATTTTAAAACTCTGTACCACTAAAGTCACCCTGTTTGACAACTTTTTTTTTAGGTGGAAAGATTGCCAGAAGCAACACATTTTATGCAAAATATTGCTCAGTGCACAATTTCAACTGCAGCACCATTAGTGGACATTAAAGGGATAGTTAACTTTGCACTTTATCAAGAACAAGGAAGTGCTGTTTGTAAAAACAGTAAGTTTTGAATAGTATTTTTAAAGAGTTGACTGACATAAGAATTAATTTTAATTCCTTTAATTCAGTTTTATTTCAAATCCAGCATGTTGGTTTAACCGCCCAATTTTATTACACCTAAATTTTCCTGACAGTTTCATTTGCTGTTAGGAAATAAAATTGCAATTTTTTTCAACATGGGAAATAATGGCTAGTTTAAAAAATGTTGTGTTTGAAACTTCCTTTGCCTCAAGCTGGTTCAGAGACAACCTCAGTTTACTTTTGGAAGGAAATGAACCTCATTAAACAGTTTTTAATATTTTAATATAAGTAAATTTTTTCATAGTGAGAAAAAAGCTTATTAGACTCATGTATTTACACCTTCCAGGGAAGTAAAAGTTGTAATAATTAGATGATTCCAATACTTTAGAATTTTCTATACAATTGTCACTGGTATAAATATAACTATGTATTGTAAGGAGTTCCAATTCCATTGTATTTTAGATGTCTAAAATCCCCCTTATATACTATGAATACTTTTTTGTCAGCAGTTTTAAAGTAGACATTATTTTAAAAGTCATTACTAAAAAAGCACACTGGGGAGTTGAACAACAAACATAAAGAGTCATAATTCTCATTATAATTTTGGAATAAAGTTTTGCTTGAAAATGCTGAATTTATGCCAAGCTTAATACCTAAGAGAGAGAGCTAAATGATTTCTTTAAAAGGAAATCTCCCACACCCAAGACGTTAAATACAGTGATGTGGGTGGTCAAGGCACATCTTTTTCTACTGGGTAAACTCATTGAGTATTTAACTCTGTCACTGTGAATCATGTATGGACAAGGAAGCTTTTGTCCAAGTTAAGAGTTAATACATAGATAATTAATTGTGAGGAATGGATGGGTGAAGAGATGGGTTGGTAATATAGTATGTACGTCTTGAAAGAGAAAGATGAGCAACTGATTCAAAATAGAGAACAAATTAGTAATCCCGTAATCTAAATAATATCAGTAACACCTGATTGCCAGATACTGAAGAGACACTTTACACTGGTATCTACCTCATCTATTATTTAATTTAATCTTTATACCAGTCTTATGAGGGAAATGTTATTTCCTCACCTTGCAGATGAGGAATCTCAGTCCCAGAGAGAATATGTAATTTGCTCAATACCATGCTGTTTGGGTCTAGACTGGAACCATTATCTGTGTGTCCAAAACCCGTGCTCTAAACTAAAGATGGGAATAGATTTTCTTTTTGAAAATGAATTCCAGGTTATGAAATAGTGGGGAAAAATTAAGAATGACCAAGTTTACATGGAGTGTGCCTTACTCTGTGCATACACTATTAATAGAGAAGAGCATTTAAGCTTAAATAAAAGTTTTACAGTTTTCTACGAAAAAAAATCCTAATTTTTTTTTCTTTTAAAAAATGACTGTATATAAAGACTCACAAATTCACTGGGTCTATGGTTAAGGCCTTTTACCTAGAACAAAAGGATCTTTCTCTTTCCTTTTGAAGTTACTTTATGCACAGAGAATTGAAAGTGTACATCCTTCCATGTTAGACTGGTTTGAAGTTTGGATATATTGCATTTGTTCTTAAGATTCTATGTTAGCTGAGAAATTGGGAAGAAATAGCTGTCTTTCCCAGAACTTTGGCTTAGGGCATACTTTGATAGAATCTGAATTCAGCTTATTCTTTTGGATATTCTTTTGTTCTCCATGTTTGCCTGACACCAACTGGAAAGATACTCTTCCAGAATGTAAGGGGCCAGCTAAGGTTACAGGACTTTATTTTTCTAGTCTCTACCACTTTATTTTTGATTAGTTCTAACTAAAAATATGAATTTGTTTGAAAAAATAATGCCATATGGATAGTATACACAATAGATTTTATTTAATTTTTTCATGATAAAATGATTGCTTTGATATATCATTTTGTGGTGACTTATGACTTAATTTTTCACGATCTTTTATTAAATAACATTAATATTATAGATTCTTATGATTATAATTATGTACACCCTAGCTGGTTTTGCCTCTTCTTGATAATATAACCTTTTTTTTTTTGAGAAAAGAAAATGGCCCAAGAAGGAGTTTTGAAGAATTATGTCTACACCTATTTATATCTATATACTGTGTCTAAATAGATAATATCCATATAGATATAAATATTCTCACTATTTCATGGTATTATACTATTTTGGCTATGGAGTAATCACTTTTTAATATCTTAGTTCATGTACTTATATATCCTGATTCATATTTATTTGCATACAGAATCCTTCAGTTGTAGAAATATGGTATTTATCCTACACAGGTAAAAAAAAGAAAAGAAAACCCTGCAGAATATTTGAAGTCAGATTATTGAAACAATTCAACTTTTATAATCACATAGTTTGTTTCCTTAATGGCACTGCAATAAAGGACATCAGGTATATATAATGCTTCTTAGCAGTGATTCAAAAGAGTTTAAATTGGTCACCATTTCAATAACAAAAGTGCATGAAAAAGTATAGGGTAGTTATTTATTAGAAGCAGCCATTAAATAAGTCTCACAGTCTTGTTTATCTCTATCTCATATGGATACCTCAGGCTGGGAGTGGGAGAAGCCTAGAGAACAGAATTTTTACTTCCACCACTTCCCCGAGCAGAATAACTTTACTTTTATGTCATTTAGAAATTAAATTTTGAAATAAGATTTCATGTAATAAATGCATTCTGCTGCTTAAAAATTTGGAAGCGGTAGTCCACCCTGGAATAACTGATCTGTTAAATAAGTAGTTATTTGAGACACCCCGGAACAAATGATCTGTTAAAAAAGTAGTTAAGTATGTCATAAAGTATCAATTACATACTCAAGGCAAAAAATAATGAAAAGGGATGGATAATTTCATGATAACTTCTACACTTTGTAAAATTATTTTATTTGTTTCATGACTGCTTGAAAGCCTGAAAATTTAAGACTTGTTTTTGTTTCTTCCAACAAAAATACTTTTGCTTTACTCAATGCGTACACTCTTTTTGGCACTACTTGGTACAGATCTTGATTATTGATGCCATACAACTTTATATCATTTGTTTAGTGGATAAAAGCAATACACATAATTTTGCTAAGAGTGTAAAATTATCTTTGAAATAATGAAATATATGTAAATACATGTTTTACAGTCTATATTTTGTATTTGACCTTTATAAACTTAATGAATAAAGACTTTTCATAGTAATATACTGAAGCATGGATTTCCCACCCATAGTATTTGATCTACCTGTAGAACTCAGAATCTTATCTAATTAAGCTGCAAGTCATTTAAGGTCATTTCTCTTTTTCAATGATTGAAGGGAATTTTCCAGGAAATTACCAGTTACACTGGTAACTGACTTGACTTCTCAACTTCCCACATAAGGAAGGATATACACAATAATTTCTTAATGGAAATAAGGGTTCGGTCCCTTTGCACAAAGTCAAACTTGCAGACCAAATGTGGGAACCAACAAGGATATAAAAAGGTACTATCTATCATCAAACATCTTGTACTATTTGAGTACAATAAACAATTTTCTCTCTCCATCTCCCTCACCAGAAGTTATACATATTCACTGTTACTATAGCTTTATCTCCTCAATATTTCTCCCCTTTATTTTTGAGGTACAGAGAAATTGAAGGGATATGCTCCTAATTTTGTGTGGTGGAAAGCAAACTGGACTGTGGAGTCAAGAGCTAAGACCTTGCCTCTAGTCCCAGCTACTCAGGAAGATCAGGAGAATTACTTGAGTCTGAGAGTTCAAGAACAACCAAGGGCAACCTAGTGAGACCCTATCTCACTAGGTTCAAAAAACAAAACATAGCGTTAAGAAGTTAATCTTTGCCCTGCCAACATTAGCTATATGATCTTGGGTGATTAACCTCTCTGGTAGTTCCCACGACTGTAAAAGGTGGAGATTGGACTAGATAATCTCTAAGGTGCCTTCTGGTACTAAACAAGTGTTTTCTCATTCACTTTATTATTATTATTTCTGTCATAGCCTTCCATGCCACTTAAAGGTGTCCCTCTCAGGGCCTTGTGCCACCTAAGTGTTACCTCACCCAGCCGGCAGACTATTGCAGAGGATTCAGATCATTAACAACAGTAATAGCATATGTTTCAGTTTCTATTTTTTAGAATAACAAACAAAATGAGTATTTAAATATTTAAAGTTTTTCACCTTTGAAATTGAATATTTGGCAGTCAGGAATGCATAGAAAGTTAGTGTATTGGTTAATGGAGCTCGCCGGTAGCGATTCAATACTTGGTTAACTTATTACTTTGTTTAACACTTCTGGACACTATTGTAATCTTAACCATTTTCAGTTTAAACTTGTTTTTATTGTTATTCACATTTAATTTGCACCCATAATATACCATTGAATAGATAGGAAACCTTAAAAAAAACACTGAGTTTGAAATTCAGTGATAATAAGGAATCTTAAAAAAGATAATTAGGGAAATTTACCTCAGTCTTCAACAGATCCACAAGTTCCATTCATCTGATCAAAATTCTTATACCAACGCTTGATATTTTTAATGTTTCAAAGCCAGTGTTAAGAAGAGAGAATTGTGATAACTTTATTTAGATTGGCTGTACATTTATTGAAAATCAAGTGCTACAATATATAATTTGAAAGAAGTGCTAGACAGTAGCAGCCTGAAATGCTCTCTTTTAACTAGCCATTTAGAAACAACATACTCAATATTATATAAAAGAAGACAATTCATTTTTAAGCATAAAATGCAAAGAACTAACATAAGGTTACCAGTTAAAAGGGTTACCTATCTATTGTTTTTTTAAATTGGTTTGTTTTTACTTACATTCAGTTTTTATTATTTAAAAAAGCACACATTGACCACATTGCTTTTTAACATGTTCAGCCACATTTGAATTCTTTTTCTTTTTAAATATACCATGCTCTCCCCCATGAGCCTTTATGTATATGCTGATTTCTTGCTTGGAATAGTATTTTCAGCCTTTCACCTACTTGATTTTTTCCCAAGTTTTAAATCCCAAGTCTCTCCCCAAACATCCTCTTGTATAATTATAACATTAATTGTATCATATTACAATTGATTTTTAGTTGACTAATCCTATTCTAGAAGTGCTATGTGAGTAGGAGATTGCTCTATTCCTAGATGTCACTACGATACCTAATACTGGTAGATAACAAATAGTTTGCTAAAAATTCCATTATAAATTCCAAATTATGTGGATCAAGTTAAAGTTCATAAGCCTATTTGGAAGTTCAGATATCAAAAAGCAATGGCTGTAATTGGTCTTCTGTCTCTATGGGTCCGGAATTTCTTTATTAATAAGGTCGTCTGGTATGTCAGATTATTACTGAAAATGTCATATTTCTGTGGTCTCCCTGCCCCTTTCTTAAGGGAAGGAGAAAGGAAAGGAGAGAAATTGCTGTTGTGTGGGTTGTATTTGAATTGTTCACCTGAGATCAGGAATTGTGTCTTGTTTTTACCTTATTCAGTGCCTAGCATACTACTGGAGTACAATAAATAAGTAATAATGGTGAGGAATATACTAGTAGACAATCTGTAGCGCTGAAAAATAATGCAAAGAATGGAAGAAATATTCTTTTAAGTTCTAAGTTCAGGTAAAGAGAGTGCTTTGGGATATGTTTTTGAGTTTAGTAGGAATCATAATTTCTGCAACAGATTGTCCTTATGTGTTGACATTCCATATCCTTAAGAAGAAAATACTGAATTATTGTGCTTTCCCAGAAGAAATATAGAGAAAGATATAGGGTATTATAGAAATTTTAAACTATGACCAAATGCTCCTACAATATTAATAGCAATGTAGAATGGTAAGTTTAAAAAAAAGAAAAAGAAACAAAGCAATTCAGGAGGCAGATGGTAAGAATGTCAGCCCACCTGAGAATAGCTCTGAACTCTGAGCTTTAACTGCTGAACCCAAACCAAGCCGTATAAGGAGATGGGTCCTGAGTTAAACTGCTGGCTGTCTTGTCAGCTTTGTTTGATGTTACTTTTCCCTTTGAAGATTTTGTGTTTCGTATCAAGTTTGTGGCAACATAAGAATGGTTCTATATTACATGTGTGTTTCTCAGCATTGTTAACAGCTTTGTCTTTATTGTCACTGATATATTTAATTCAGTGATCCTAGTTCGCATGGTGGCAGTGTGGTATTTTCATCAGTTTAAGGATGAGAAGAGCAGAGATATTTAAAAGGAAATGTCAAAAGACTTTTTCTTTAGATCTGTGCCAGAAAAAAACACTTATTTATGATTTAGAACTTATGAGACACATATAGGGTACATTAGACAGGATGATAAGAAATTGTGCTTGCTTTTATTTCTGCAAATGGTGGGAACATTGTATGTTTAAAAAGATCAGGTTATTGATATGAAATAATTTAACAATTAAACATATAATAGCAATGAATTAATACTTGTATATTTAGAACCAGATGCAGGTCTAAGTATATTTTTGATTTTGCAAAGCTTGGGATCTCGAAGTCAGACATTGTGTATTATTTAACCTTATAGCCTTAGCAGCACCCACACTGTACCTGACTCATTGCCAAGTGCCCAACGAAGGTTTATTGAATCAATCAATAAATTATCTTCCCTTTTGAAGAGTTCTAAAATCTTTTAGAGCTCTTTCTCTTCCCATCTTTTATGCAGGCAAGGTAGTTGTATCTGCACATGGATTGAATACAAAAAGGCATAATGAAGAGTTGCTGATTTGATGGAACTTATAATCAGTTGGTGAGTCAGGATAGACTCCTGTAGTGCAATAAGGTGATAAATGCTCATGGGGTTTGAAAAGATAAATTTATTGAAATGAGATGGTTAGGGAATATTTTTAAGAAGTTGTATTTGAGCTTGATTTTGAAGGAATGATAGGGCTTGAACAAGGAATTCCAGGCAGGGAGAACTATGTGAACCGAAACAGGATGCCACTAGCCTGTAAGAGAGTAAGGTTAAACTATGTGTTGTTTTTTCTTTTGCAGTAATGTTGATGTTTTTATTTCTTTCTGCAGTTCTTTACAATTTTTGAAATATACCCATATACATACCCTTACAGGTTTTTTTGTGATAAACGTGATATTTGTAAGATTCAGAAAAGTTGGGGGATTTTCTCAGCATCATCTAGTTATTAAACCAAAGAGCTGAGAGTGCTGGCTTTTTGTAAACCACTGTGGCTATTGCTTTTCTTTTTGGCCAAAGTCATCTACACTTAATTATTGAAGCCTTCTTGTGACCACTGGAAAGTATCTTTCAGGTAAAGGCATAATCTGTGAACATGAAACAGAAGAGGACTTGTCGATATATAGTTTTTGAGCCAGAGGGTTGCTAAAATGCTGTAAAAGGAAAGGATGGGGAGGAGGAGAAGGATTAGCTAACATTTATCTAATACTTTCCATGTGTGAGACATTGTCAGGGCCTTAAATGTGTTAATGTATTCAATACTTACAACACTCTTATGGGGATATATTATTTTTATGAACTCTTATTATGCTGTATTGCTTATTACGTATTGAAGCAAATATTTGAACACAGGCAGTTCAGCTCAAGAGCCCATTCATAGTAGCTAGGCATGCGGGTTTAAATGAAAGGATGCCTGTAAGGTTCCTGTTATTATTGTTAATGCCATTTCCTTTATGTTATAATCAATTGAGGATAGACATAATTTTTACTTGTTTTCAAAGTAGGAAGGAACTACCAAGGCCACAAAGTAACTCCTTTATTCTAGGCAGAGCATGGTAGTTGGGTTAGAATTCTTTTTCTTTCTTTTTTCTTTCTTTCTTTCTTTCTTTCTTTCTTTCTTTCTTTCTTTCTTTCTTTTTTATCATTATACTTTAAGTTTTAGGGTACATGTGCACAATATGCAGGTTAGTTACATATGTATACATGTGCCATGCTGGTGCGCTGCACCCACTAACTCGTCATCTAGCATTAGGTATATCTCCCAATGCTATCCCTCTCCCCCGCCCACCCCACAACAGTCCCCAGAGTGTGATGTTCCCCTTCCTGTGTCCATGTGTTCTCATTGTTCAATTCCCACCTATGAGTGAGAATATGCGGTGTTTGGTTTTTTGTTCTTGTGATAGTTTACTGAGAATGATGATTTCCAATTTCATCCATGTCCCTACAAAGGACATGAACTCATCATTTTTTATGGCTGCATAGTATTCCATGGTGTATATGTGCCACATTTTCTTAATCCAGTCTATCGTTGTTGGACATTTGGGTTGGTTCCAAGTCTTTGCTATTGTGAATAATGCCGCAATAAACATAGGTGTGCATGTGTCTTTATAGCAGCATGATTTATAGTCCTTTGGGTATATACCCAGTAATGGGATGGCTGGGTCAGATGGTATTTCTAGTTCTAGATCCCTGAGGAATCGCCACACTGACTTCCACAATGGTAGAACTAGTTTACAGTCCCACCAACAGTGTAAAAGTGTTCCTATTTCTCCACATCCTCTCCAGCACCTGTTGTTTCCTGACTTTTTAATGATTGCCATTCTAACTGGTGTGAGATGATATCTCACTGTGGTTTTGATTTGCATTGCTCTGATGGCCAGTGATGGTGAGCATTTTTTCATGTGTTTTTTGGCTGCATAAATGTCTTCTTTTGAGTAGTGTCTGTTCATGTCCTTCACCCCCTTTTTGATGGGGTTGTTTGTTTTTTTCTTGTAAATTTGTTTGAGTTCATTGTAGATTCTGGATATTAGCCCTTTGTCAGATGTGTAGGTTGCGAAGATTTTCTCCCATTTTGTGGGTTGCCTGTTCACTCTGATGGTAGTTTCTTTTGCTGTGCAGAAGCTCTTTAGTTTAATTAGATCCCATTTGTCAATTTTGCCTTTGGTTGCCATTGCTTTTGGTGTTTTAGACATGAAGTCCTTGCCCATGCCTATGTCCTGAATGGTAATGCCTAGGTTTTCTTCTCTGGTTTTTATGGTTTTAGGTCTATCGTTTAAGTCTTTAATCCATCTTGAATTGATTTTAGTATAAGGTGTAAGGAAGGGATCCAGTTTCAGCTTTCTACATATGGCTAGCCAGTTTTCCCAGCATCATTTATTAAATAGGGAATCCTTTCCCCATTGCTTGTTTTTCTCAGGTTTGTCAAAGATCAGATAGTTGTAGATATATGGCATTATTTCTGAGGGCTCTGTTCTGTTCCATTGATCTATATCTCAGTTTTGGTACCAGTACCATGCTGTTTTGGTTACTGTAGCCAAAATCTCCTTAAGCTGATAAGCAACTTCAGCAAAGTCTCAGGATACAAAATCAATGTGCAAAAATCACAAGCGTTCTTATACACCAATAACAGACAAACAGAGAGCCGAATCATGAGTGAACTCCCATTCACAATTGCTTCAAAGAGAATAAAATACCTAAGAATCCACCTTACAAGGGACGTGAAGGACCTCTTCAAGTAGAACTACAAACCACTGCTCAACAAAATAAAACAGGATACAAACAAATGGAAGAACATTCCATGCTCATGGGTAGGAAGAATCAATATCGTGAAAATGGCCATACTGCCCAAGGTAATTTCTACATTCAATGCCATCCCCATCAAGCTACCAATGACTTTCTTCACAGAATTGGAAAAAAATACTTTAAAGTTCATATGGAACCAAAAGAGAGCCTGCATCGCCAAGTCAATCCTAAGCCAAAAGAACAAAGCTGGAGGCATCACACTACCTGACTTCAAACTATACTACAAAGCTAGAATTCTTATAGTTTTGAATTAGATGCCTTTTGATGGGCATTTTTGTACCTCTGCCTAAGTAAATGTTGTTTAGTTAGGTTTCAAGATATGTTGTTAAATGCTTGACTTATTGATGACGGGGAGATAGCACTTTTATATATAAACACTTTTTTTCTGAATTACAGGGTTTTGTTGTTTAGGTTGTACAATTAGCATTTTAATCTGTCTCAGTTTTATTGTATCATAAGAATCTGTGATAATAAAATTACATTCATTTAGAAACTAAAAAACATGATTCTAACAAGTCAAACTAAGTTGGGATTTTAGAAAGACAACAAATACCTATAATATGAATTTGGATAATGGAAGAACAAGTGATGTGTGTCACCATTGTTATAAACCCTTTCTACATATATTTATTAGAAAATTATAGTTGCATATATATCATAGAAATTCTGAGACCTTAACATTCATAGACGTTAAAAACTTATAGGGTGTTTGTGGAATTTATGGATAAAAGCTTATGTTATGACATCACTAAATACACTTTTAAAATACCCTACTTGTATACCCATTAAACAGTAATTTCCCATTTCCCCCATCTCCCTAGATCCTGGCAATCACCATTCTATTTTTTCTCTATTATTTTGACGACTCTAAGTATTTCATATAAGTAGAATTCTACAGTATTTGTCTTTTCGTGCATGGCCTATTTCACTTAGCATAATGTCCTCAAGGTTAATACATGTTGTAGCATAGTAGCATATATCAGCATTTCCTTCTTTTGTAGGGCTGAATAATATTCCATTGTATGTATATAGCACATTCTGCTTATTCAGTCATCCATTGATGGACATGGGTTACTTCCTTGTTTTAGCAATTGTGAATAATGTTCCTACGAATGTGGGTATACAAATATCTCTTCAAGACCCTACTTTCAATTCTTTCAGGGTTATACCCAGAAGTGAAATTACTGGATCATTTGGTGATTCTATTTTTTTTTCCCAGTGGTTCATAATGGGCATACAAGTATGCTTCCATATTTTTTTTAATTTTTTTATTTTTTTTTAATTTATTATTATTTAGGTTTTAGAGTACATGTGCACAATGTGCAGGTTAGTTACATATGTATACATGTGCCATGCTGGTGCGCTGCACCCACTAACTCATCATCTAGCATTGGGTATATCTCCCAATGCTATCCCTCCCCGCTGCCCCCACCCCACAACAGTCCCCACAGTGTGATGTTCCCCTTCCTGTGTCCATGTGTTCTCATTGTTCAATTCCCACCTATGAGTGAGAATATGTGGTGTTTGGTTTTTTGTTCTTGCGATAGTTTACTGAGAATGATGATTTCTAATTTCATCCATGTCCCTACAAAGGACATGAACTCATCATTTTTTATGGCTGCATAGTATTCCATGGTGCATATGTGCCACATTTTCTTAATCCAGTCTATCGTTGTTGGACATTTGGGTTGGTTCCAAGTCTTTGCTATTGTGAATAATGCCGCAATAAACATAGGTGTGCATGTGTCTTTATAGCAGCATGATTTATAGTCCTTTGGGTATATACCCAGTAATGGGATGGCTGGGTCAGATGGTATTTCTAGTTCTAGATCCCTGAGGAATCACCACACTGACTTCCACAATGGTAGAACTAGTTTACAGTCCCACCAACAGTGTAAAAGTGTTCCTATTTCTCCACATCCTCTCCAGCACCTGTTGTTTCCTGACTTTTTAATGATTGCCATTCTAACTGGTGTGAGATGATATCTCATTGTGGTTTTGATTTGCATTGCTCTGATGGCCAGTGATGGTGAGCATTTTTTCATGTGTTTTTTGGCTGCATAAATGTCTTCTTTTGAGTAGTGTCTGTTCATGTCCTTCGCCCCCTTTTTGATGGGGTTGTTTTTTTCTTTTAAATTTGTTTGAGTTCATTGTAGATTCTGGATATTAGCCCTTTGTCAGATGAGTAGGTTGCGAAGATTTTCTCCCATTTTGTGGGTTGCCTGTTCACTCTGATGGTAGTTTCTTTTGCTGTGCAGAAGCTCTTTAGTTTAATTAGATCCCATTTGTCAATTTTGGCTTTGGTTGCCATTGCTTTTGGTGTTTTAGACATGAAGTCCTTGCCCATGCCTATGTCCTGAATGGTAATGCCTAGGTTTTCTTCTCTGGTTTTTATGGTTTTAGGTCTAACATTTAAGTCTTTAATCCATCTCGAATTGATTTTAGTGTAAGGTGTAAGGAAGGGATCCAGTTTCAGCTTTCTACATATGGCTAGCCAGTTTTCCCAGCACCATTTATTAAATAGGGAATCCTTTCCCCATTGCTTGTTTTTCTCAGGTTTGTCAAAGATCAGATAGTTGTAGATATGTGGCATTATTTCTGAGGGCTCTGTTCTGTTCCATTGATCTATATCTCAGTTTTGGTACCAGTACCATGCTGTTTTGGTTACTGTAGCCTTGTAGTATAGTTTGAAGTCAGGTAGCATGATGCCTCCAGCTTTGTTTTTTTGGCTTGGGATTGACTTGGCGATTCGGGCTTTTTTTGGTTCCATATGAACTTTAAAGTAGTTTTTTCCAATTCTGTGAAGAAAGTCATTAGTAGCTTGATGGGTATGGCATTGAATCTCTAAATTACCTTGGGCAGTATGGCCATTTTCACGATATTGATTCTTCCTACACATGAGCATGGAATGTTCTTCCATTTGCTTGTATCCTCTTTTATTTCATTGAGCAGTGGTTTGTACTTCTCCTTGAAGAGGTCCTTCACATCCTAGGTATTTTATTCTCTTTGAAGCAATTGTGAATGGGAGTTCACTCATGATTTGGATGTCTGTCTGTCTGTTATTGGTGTATAAGAATGCTTGTGATTTTTGCACATTGATTTTGTATCCAGAGACTTTGCTGAAGTCGCTTATCAGCTTAAGGAGATTTTGGGCTGAGACGATGGGGTTTTCTAGATATACAATCATGTCGTCTGCAAACAGGGACAATTTGACTTCCTCTTTTCCTAATTGAATACCCTTTATTTCCTTCTCCTGCCTAATTGCCCTGGCCAGAACTTCTAACACTATGTTGAATAGGAGTGGTGAGAGAGGGCATCCCTGTCTTGTGCCAGTTTTCAAATGGAATGCTTCCAGTTTTTGCCCATTCAGTATGATATTGGCTGTGGGTTTGTCATAGATAGCTCTTATTATTTTGAGATACGTCCCATCAATAGTTAATTTATTGAGAGTTTTTAGCATGAAGGAGTATCAGCGATGGAAGATGAAGTGAATGAAATGAAGCGAGAAGGGAAGTTTAGACGAAAAAGAATAAAAAGAAATGAGCAAAGCCTCCAAGAAATATGGGACTATGTGAAAAGACCAAATCTACGTCTGATTGGTGTACCTGAAAGTGACGGGGAGAATGGAACCAAGTTGGAAACACTCTGCAGGATATCATCCAGGAGAACTTCCCCAATCTAGCAAGGCAGGCCAACATTCAAATTCAGGAAATACAGAGAACACCACAAAGATACTCCTCGAGAAGAGCAACTCCAAGACACATAATTGTCTGATTCACCAAAGTTGAAATGAAGGAAAAAATGTTAAGGGCAGCCAGAGAGAAAGGTCGGGTTACCCACAAGAGAAGCCCATCAGACTAACAGCAGATGTCTTGGCAGAAACTCTACAAGCCAGAAGAGAGTGGGTGCCAATATTCAACATTCTGAAAGAAAAGAATTTTCAACCCAGAATTTCATATCCAGCCAAACTAAGCTTCATAAGTGAAGGAGAAATAAAATCCTTAACAGACAAGCAAATGCTGAGAGATTTTGTCACCACCAGACCTGCCCTAAAAGAGCTCCTGAAGGAAGCGCTAAACATGGAAAGGAACAACCGATACCAGCCGCTGCAAAATCATGCCAAAATGTAAAGACCATCGAGACTAGGAAGACACTGCATGAACTAATGAGCAAAATAACCAGCTAACATCATAATGACAGGATCAAATTCACACATAACAATATTAACCTTAAATGTAAATGGACCAAATGCTCCAATTAAAAGACACAGACTGGTAAATTGGATAAAGAGTCAAGACCCATCAGTGTGCTGTATTCAGGAAAGCCATCTCACGTGCAGAGACACACATAGGCTCAAAATAAAAGGATGGAGGAAGATCTACCAAGCAAATGGAAAACAAAAAGAGGCAGGGGTTGCAATTCTAGTCTCTGATAAAACAGACTTTAAACCAACAAAGATCAAAAGAGACAAAGAAGGCCATTACATAATGGTAAAGGGATCAATTCAACAAGAAGAGCTAGGTATCCTAAATATATATGCACCCAATACAGGAGCACCCAGATTCATAAAGCAAGTCCTGAGCGACCTACAAAGAGACTTAGACTCCTACACATTAATAATGGGAGACTTTAACACCCCACTGTCAACATTGGACAGATCAACGAGACAGAAAGTCAACAAGTATACCCAGGAATTGAACTCGGCTCTGCACCAAGTGGACCTAATAGACATCTACAGAACTCTCCACCCGAAATCAACAGAATATACATTTTTTTCAGCACCACACCACACCTATTCCAAAATTGACCACATACCTGGTGATTCTATTTTTAATTTCTTGAGGAGCTACCATAATGTTTTCTACACTGTTGTACTATTTTACATTTCCACCAACAGAGCAAAGATCCTAATTTCTCCATCTTCCATTTGCTTGGTAGATCTTCCTGCCAACACTTGTGATTATCTGTTTTTTGTTTGTTTGTTTGTTTGCTTGTTTTTTTAAGTAGCCGTTCTAATGGGTAGGAGGTAGTATCTCATTGTAGGTTTGATTTGCATTTCCCTAATGATTAGTGATGTTGAGCATCTTTATATGTGCTTATTGGTTTGTTTGTTTTTTGGAGAATGTTGATTTAAGTCCTTTGCCCATTTTTTAAATCAGGCATTTTGTTGTCATTGAGTTTTAGAAGTTTTCTATATATTCTGGATATAAATCCCTTAACAGATACATGATTTGCAAGTATTTTCTCCTGTTCTGTGGGTTGCCTTTTTACTCTGTTCATAGTGTCCTTTGATGCACACAATTTAAAAATTATCAGGAAGTTCAATTTGTCTGTTTTTTTCTTTTGTTGCCTGTGCCTGTTGTGTCAAATTCCACAAATCTTTGCCAAATCCAGGGTTGTAAAGCTTTCACCCTGTGTTTTCTTCTAAAAATTTTATAATTTTTGGTCTTACATTAGGTCCTTGATCCATTTTGATTTAATTTGTGTACATAGTGTTCTTCATTCTTTCTTCAGTGAACTTCTTCAACTTCATTCTTTTGCATGTGGACATGCAGTTCTCCTAGCACTGTTTGTTGAAAAGACGTATTTTTTCCCCATTAAATGGTGTTGACATCCTTGTCAAAACTCATTTGACCATTATCTGATGCTTTACTTCTGAGCTCTCTATTCTGTTCTATTGGTCTCTATATCTGTCTTTATGCCAGTACACACTGTTTTGAATACTGTAGCTTAGTAGTAAGTTTTGAAATCAGGATGAATGAGTCCTCCAACTTTGTTCTCCTTTTTTCAATCTTGTTTTGGGTATTTCCAGTCCCTTGAGATTATATATGAGTTTTAAGATGGATTTTGCTTTGTTTTTTTAGAGACAGAGTCTCGCTGTGTTTCCCAGGCTGGAGTACAATGGCGTGATCTCAGCTCACTGCAACCTCGGTCTGCTGGGTTCAAGTGATTCTCCTGCCTCAGCCTCCCAAGTAGGTGGGACTACAGGCATGCACCACCAAGCCCGGCTAATTTTGTACTTTTAGTAGAGACGGGGTTTCTCCATGTTGGTCAGGCTGGTCTTGAACTCCCAACCTCAGGTGATCCACCTGCCTTGGCCTCTCAAAGTGCTGGGATTACAGGCATGAGCCACCGCGCGCGGCCAGATTTTGCTATTTCTGCAAAGAATTTCATTGGGATTTTGATAGGGAGTGCATCGACTCTGTAGATTGCCTTGAGTGGTATTGACATCTTAAGAATATTAAGTCTTCTAATCCATTAACATGAGATATGTTTCCATTTCT
Source organism: Homo sapiens (assembly GCF_000001405.40). Classification (NCBI taxonomy): domain Eukaryota; kingdom Metazoa; phylum Chordata; class Mammalia; order Primates; family Hominidae; genus Homo; species Homo sapiens. Next base: position 15,952,837 of record NC_000009.12, read on the forward strand.
TCATGTTTTTAATGTCTTTCAGCAATGTTTTGTAGTATCCATTATACAAATGTTTCCACCTCCTTGGTTAATTTAATGCCTAGGTATTTTATTCTTTTTGATGCTATTTAAATGGAATTGTTTTTGTAATTTGCTTTTCATATCATTTATTGTTAGGGTATGGAAATGTAACTGATTTTTTTGTGTTGACTTTGTGGCCTCCTACTTTGCTGAATTCATTTATTATTTCTTACAGTATTTTGTGTGGAATCTTTAGGGTTTTCTACATGTAAGAGCATATCATCTGCAAAGAAAGATAATTTCACTTCTTCTTTTCCAATCTGAGTGCCTTTTCTTTTTCTTGCCTAATTTCCTTTGCTAGGCCTTCCAGTACTATGTTGAATGCAAGTGGTGAAAGGAGTCAGGTTTGCCTTGTTCCTGATCATAAAGAGAAAGCTTTCATTCTTTCACCATTGAGTAAGATATATGCTCCGGGCCTTTCATATATATGACCTTTATTGTGTTAGGGTGATTTCCTTCTATTCCTAGTTTGTTGAGAGTTTTAAATTAGGAAGCAGTATTAAATTTAATCAAATGCTTGTATGCGTGTATCGAGATGATCATGTGATTTTTAGCCTTCATTCTGTTACTGTGGTGTATCACATAAATTGGCTTTTGTATGTTGAGCTCTCCTTGCATCCTGGGGTAAACCCACTTAGTTATGGTGTTTGGTCATTTTATTGTGCTGTTGAATTCAGTTGCTTGTATTTTGTTGAGGATTTTTGGGTCTATATTCACTGGGGATATTGACCTATAGTTTTCTTTTCTTGTGATACATTTGTCTGGCTTTAGTAACAGGATAATGCTGGCCTCATAAAATTTATTTGGAAGTGTTCCCTTTTCAATTTTTTTGGAAGAGTTTGAGGAGGACTAATGTTAATTCTTCTTTAAATGTTTGGTAGAATTTATCAGTGAAGCCATTTGGTCCTAGGCTTCTCTTGTTGAAAGGTTTTTGATTACTGAGTCAATCTGTTTACTAGTTATAGATCTTTTCCTTTTTTTTAACTAATTTGTTAGTTAGTCCTGGTAGGTTTTATGTTTCTAGGGAATTGTCTGTTTCATCGAGGGCATTCAATTTGTCGGTACAATTGTTCATAGTACTCTTACAATCCCTTTTTTCCCCCTGTGGAACTGGTACTAATATCCCCACTTTCTCTTTTGATATTAGTAATTTGAGTTTCTTTTTTTCTTGCCTATCTAGCTAAAAGTTTGTCAATTTTGTTGGTCTTTTCAAAGAACCAACTTTTGGTTTCATTGATTTCCTCTACTTACTTTCTTTTTTTTTTTTTAGTCTTTATTTTGTTTATCTCTTCTCTAATCTTTTTTCCCCCTTCCTTCTGCTAGCTTTCAGTTTAGCTTTTTATTTTCTAGTTTCTTAAGTAGTAAAGTTAGGTTGTCGATTTGAGATCTTTCTTGTTTCTTAATGTAAGCATTTATAGCTATAAATTTCCCCCTTAGCACTGCTTCCACTGCATCTCATAAGTTTTGATATGTTGTGTTTTCATTTTCATTCATTTCTAAGTATTTTCCAGTTTTCCTCATGATTTCTTCTTTGGACCATTGGTTATTTAAGAGTGTGTTGTTTAAATTCCACAATTTTGTGAACTTTACAGTTTTACTTCTGTTATTGATGTTTAAGTACATTCTTTTCATTCTAGATCTCCACAGTGCATATGTTGCTCTGCTTATTGTTATCCCACAGGTCCCTTAGACTCTGTTCACTTTTCTTCGATCATTTTTCTTTCTGTATCTCAGCCTCAGTAATTTCTGTGGTCCTGTTTTCATGCTTGTTGATTTTTTTTTTGCCTGCTCATATTTGCTTTTGAATCACTGTAGTGAATTTTTCATTTCAGTCATTTTAATTTTCAGCTCCAGAATTTCTTTTTTTGTTGTTGTTTGTTTCTTTCTAGGCTTTCTATCTCTTTATTGATATTTCCATTTTGTTCAGACATTGTTTTCTTGATTTTCTTCACATCTTTCTTTAGTTCTCTGAGCATCTGTAAGACAGTTGTTGTAATGTCTTTGTCTCAGAGACCTGCCATCAAATCTTCTTCAGGGATAGTTTTCTATTGATTTATTATTTTCCTTTGAATGAGCCATAGTTTCCTGTTTCTCTGTATGCTTTGTGATTTTTTTTGCTGTTGTTGAAAACTGAACATTTGAATAGAATAATATAGTAACTCTGGAAATCAGATTTTCTCCCTTCCCTAGGGTTTTCTGATTTTTTAAAAAATTGCTGTAGCTATCTGTGTGTCAAGGATCAGCCTGAGATGTAAACTTACGGTCTTCTCAGGTCTTTTCTGGATCTGCACCTTTCCCTGGGCTTGTGTGGTCACTTTCTAATTTTCCTCACATATGTAGTTGCTTTTAAATCTTAGTTCTTAATGTCTGGTCCCAAAGGGGGGAAAAGAGAAAGATGAAGAGGAGGGAAGAAAGGATGCTGGCCCTTTAAATTCCCTGGATGTCACTTCAGCTGAGGGGGAGTTGCAATGTGGGGAGGTGCAACAATAATGGTCACCTGCCTTTTGGTACCTCTGTGATAAGAAGCGACAATCAGAGCACAGATCCTGATATTTGGAGAACAAGGTTCTTTTTGCCTACCCTGGCTCCTGCAAGTTATGTGCAAGCTGTTCCAAGAACATTTGCACATGTGTCTGTCATGGGGCTGGAAGTGGGAGATGGATAGCTGCTGCTGTGCTAAGAGCTAAAATTGACTGAAATTAATCATAATTTACTGTCCAAGCCTTCCCCTGGAAGTTGCAAGCCTTCAATAGACTCCAGAATTCCAAAATGCTTTCATCAGACAGATTCTGCCAGTGCAATTGTTGTCTAGCTGGTTCCTGGTGCTTACTACTCTGCCATCTTTCCAGAATCCTCTCAAATCCTTGCTGCACTATATTATATTACATTTTTAATAAGATGTGATAAGGTGCTTTCTATCAGGGACTTATAGCTTTAGTGAGGAAACAGACGTGTGTGTATGTGTGTGTGTGTATACTTATAACAAATTATAATAAGGAACATTAAAGCAGTACAAGTAAGAATTGAGAATTATCTGTGTGAGGACAGTAACAGTGGAGATAGAAAAGGATTCGATTCTAGATAGATTTAGATGAAAAATGTGGCTGGACTTAATGAATAAAATTGATGCAGGGCAATTTCCTAATTACTTAGTAATTCATTCAAGATCTCTCCCTTCCTTGAACTTCTGGTAAGAAGTGAGCAGTGTTCAATATAACAAATTTGCCTTTATGTAAAGAAAGATTTTCTGCGATTTGAAGGCATGTCACGAAAGCACTGCTACTTGGAGACCTGTCTTTGAAAGCTTGGAGCATCTTCTCACATTCACAGAATGGCAAGTTATGGTCTAACTGTGCTTTGCCTGGTGTGAAATAGTGGGAAATATCTGCTGGGATTAGTTCATGATGATGGAGGCTAGGATTCCCCATCTTGTGATTAGTTTTTCAGCTTTGATTACTGATAGGATACTTGGAATTGAAATCATAATTCTGTCTTAGTAACTATAAGGATCTGCATTTGGATGTCAGTAACAAAGAGCCCTATCTTTAAGGTTTTGTGTGTGGCCTCTTTATCACACAGCTTTACAAATGTAGGTTTCCGAAGGCAGCGTAGTTTATATTACTTTTCCTTTTCTTTATATAACATTGATTTTTAAAATAACTCAAATTTTCAGAGTGCAAATAAATGAAAACTGATTATATGCTTAGAAGTGAACATATTGGGAGGTGAGAAAAAATGTGCAAAATACTTAGATCATTTTTCAAAAAAGGATTAAAATTTTATTTCTTAGCCAAACATATATTCAAGTACAATGTATTTCATCTGAAAGCCTCAGTAACATGACAAAAATTTACAGAATAATTATTGTTGAGTTTGTCCATAAGTGCATGTTTATGAGTAGAGGCTGAATTCCATACTTTTGAATGTGCGTCGACCTTTCCGCTTTTACTTGTCAGATGCCCCTTTTTTAATGCCAGGTAGTCTTTATACAATACTATTATTAATGATGTAATGGAAAAATTAACTATAAATTGGTTGTTAATATTAAGTTTTGGTAGTCTAAAAATCAAATCTTTTCTCTCAGTAGGGCCGAAAGAACTGACTTGAAATTTAACTTTAATCATCTAGAAGTCTGTTTTTTTTTTTTTGAGGAGCTTAATGTATCACTATAATATTTCCTAGATTCCTGTCTAATTCAAGATATGGAATGACTAAACTGTAGCCATACTAGTTCTGAGCATACAGGCAAGAAGAGAAGTCGTTAAACATCTTGCTGTGTGTGAGCAGTTCGAGGGCAGGCAGACACCATGCACCTTGACCACCTATTATGAAGCTTTTTGCTGCCGTGTCAAGTGAAAGTGAGTTAATTGGGTGAAGCTGTGGAGCATGTTAGGGGCCTGGTAAAGGGTTGCTGTCTGACAGCTGAATGTCAGCGAAAGCCAGTCAAGTGTGGCTGAGAGACAGAGACCTGTCACAAAGTTCCCGCAGACTGGAACACAGTTAGGAAGCTGAAATATGGTTCCGTCTCACTTTCTCCCTCATTGAATCCAAGCACCTTAAAAGATTTTACACTGTATATGTCAACTCTTGTTCTCTAAGCTGTTTCCCCCTAACTGTCCTGCATTCAAATGATTGAACAAAAGATGCTAATGTTGAGCAAAGTGAATGTAAATTCCCTCTTTTCCCCTTTTCTGCCCAAGCAGATAGACATTCAACTCAAAGGAAACTTTGAAGGTTTACATCAAACAATTAGATTTCTTCAAAATTTAGCTTATAACAGAATCTCTTTCTCAAGAGAGTATGAAAATTGACAATTAAAGCAGTAGAATAAGCAATGCATTTTCCTCTGATATAGAAAATCAAGCTTTAGGGAGCTAGGACTCCTGTCTGAATGTCTTGAGAATGGACACTGGCCAAGATAACTTTCCTCTTATCTTTTGTCATAGGCTTCTTTCTTTCTTTTTCTTAGTGGCCTAAGGTAAAATGCAATAATTATAGCCACCAGAAGAATAAAGATTAGCATAGAAAGGAACGGTAAGTTCCCTTCTGAAGCTTGAGACACTTCGAAAGGAGGAATTGAAGAAAGTTGGAATTAAAGAAAATGAAGTTAAACTCTGTGAAATAAAAATATTTGCAGAAAGAGGAGTTTAATATTAAAAGATGCCCTGTTCATTTTCTTTAGAATATGGATTAGAATAAGTCCATTAACTCACTCATCCATTCATTCATTCATTCATTCATTCATTCATTCATTCCTCAACAGGCAGGTGTATAGAGTACCTGCTCTGTACCTGTCACTGTGCAGGCCACTGGTAATACAGAAACAAGCAAACAAAATAGCCTGTGGCTTCAAGGAGTGAACACTCTAAGCCAGCACTATTCATTAGAACTTACTGTGATGATAGAAATATGGCTTTGGGGCACTTGGAATGTGGTTAGTGTGACTGAGGAACTGAACTTTAATCTTTAATTTAATTTTATATTAAATTTTAACTAATGTAAATTAAATAGCTACATGTGGCTACCATATTGAATAGTGCAGGTCTAAGCAAACATAAGACTGTGATACTGTGCTATTATAAAAGTGTGTATGGGGTGTTATAATAACACGGAGGTGAGGTATTATATTATATTATATTATATTATATTATATTATATTATATTATACAAGGTGACAGAGGCCAGGAAAAGTTTGGGGTAAAGGTGATACCTGAGGTAAGCTTTGACTAACAGTAGGAGTTAACGTGATGAAGAAGCCTCCTTCTAAATAGAAAGGGCAGCATGCAAAAGTGGCTCCAAGACAGGAGAAAGCAGGGCATGCTTCAGGATCAGCATTTTGATTAGTACAGGAGAGCAAAGCTGTTTTATGAGAAATTACGTTAATGCAATGGTAGTGTCCAAGAAGACTACCAGTCAAGTTATCCAAGGGGTCATAACAGAAGGTGTCACAGACCAAATTAGTATACCGAAATCACATGGTTTGTGGAATTAAACACACAGCAAAAAGCAAGAAGAGATATAGCAGGGAGCAAGCAGGGGGAAGGATCATAACCTGACTTCTTGGTTGTGCAGTGTTCATGTGCCCTGTCTCTCTCCACTGCCTCAGCCTTCTTCACTCTCTGTGAGTTTATGAGGATCAGGGTTGAAGTTTGAAACAGGGGGCTTGGAAGACCGAAGGTGCCTGAGGCCACTTACACACACTTGCTATCTAGGAGAGATGCAGGGACAAACATGCCTGGCCAATAGCTATAATTTGCCACTGAGGCTGCTGAATAGCTTTGTGTTTTATCTGCAGTTCTAGGGTCATTGTAAGGATGACATTAACTAAAGGTGGCATATCTCTACCTTACGATGTGGCCTTTCCATCCATTTCTATCTATAAAGTAACAGGTCTTACCATATGGATTCTGCCTATGTCCCACAAACTGCTTGCTAATTCATTATCTGTGCTTACTAATATTTCTTATGAGTTTCATCTATCCTATTTTTCTAGTCTTTAATCTCAAATTTGAATATTTTCAAATAGTAAGCAAACATACAGTAAAGAAGAGATGAAGTAGGAAACAGCGAAGTCTGAAGAGATGACTTGTTTACAAAAATAAAAGTATGTTTAGGCCAGAAAAAGTGAAAAGACAAATAACTGATGAAAAATATTTAGCAAAGAGCTTTGAAACCTGTGTCAAAATTATTATCTAGTAGACAACCTACTCCAAGCGCAGACTGCATTTCAAACAAGTCTAGGCCTTTTTGAAACACCATTGTGCGGACTCTAGAGAGTTAATCTGAATGAGGGCTCTGGCAGTTGGAGAAGGACTAGTGGAGATTTTATGGGCAGGCACCCAGAGAAGGAGATGTGAAGTGGAGAGAACGACCTAATGCCTTTCCTCCATGCAGACCTATGGACTGGCATTTGGACTCTTAGAAAAAGGGCCTACAGGTAGAAACTGAAAGAAATGTTCTGTGACAGATACTGCAAGGCACTGGGTTTCAGTCAGAGTTGTCACAGTTTTCAGATGACAGAAAGGGAAGGATGGGCACCCCAAATTTTTGTTAGAGCTATCACCCATATGACCTAGCAAGCCCCCTAATACATTGAAGGCAGACCCTGTTGGAGGGATTGCAGACACCAAGCAGCTCTTGATGGGGAATCCACAGGGGTGTTTGAGGCTTGTATGAGCAGGACAGGGAAGGACCAGGGTAACTTGACTCACTTGGGACTTTGTATCCACAGAATAATGAGGACAGGAAACTTCCAGTGCTATTGTGCATCAAAGCTTTTCCTATAAAAATAGCAATTATGTGGTTTCATAGTATTTCAACAGATTATAATTTAAGAAGAACTGGATCAGGATGAAGATTAGTTAAGGTCTAATAAATAATCCCCAAAACAGGGAATTTTTATTTGTTTAATTCACTTTTGTATTCCAGTACCTGGAACAGTATTTGGCACATCATAGGCACTTGATAGATATTTACTGAAAAAATAAATGAATAGAGCTAATTTAGGATACTAAGAGGGGATATGGGTTTAGGTATCTTTATGCATTATGCAAGCATAGGGAAAATTTATCATATGGAATTGATAATATAGGGAGTCAATTCCTGAAATAAAGCCTAGGGGTATATTATTTTGGAATTTTGTGTTTGCTATATTTTACTGTTACATAAGATGTTCTCCCTAGGGATGGATCTGGGTTGAGACTGCTGGAAATGATGTGGTTATATCAGAAATAACATTCCTGACTATCATGTAAAGGAAATGTCATTGCCAACTAAGTGATTTGTTTTAGAACATGTGCCCCAGTGCTTGTTGTGATTTGAAGGCATTCTGCAGATATGACCCCCAGATCACATGATTTGTCTTACATCTGAAGTACCTTTCTCTCCCTAAGAAATACATTCTTTTAACTGAAGATAGCCAGTCCCTCCAGAAAGGCCCAGCTATGGAACTGTTCAAAGGGTCCACAGCCCTGGGGAGTATAGAGCTTATACCATGGTCAGTGGGGAAATAAAGGCAGCTTGCAGCATTCCACGAAGAATTGCTAAGGATTTTAGGTGTGATATAATGGAACAATGAAGGAGCATGGCCTAAAACAGCAGTGGAAGGGAGGGGCATGCAAAAAAAAATGGGTTTCAAATTGCAAAATGAGAATTTAATGCTAAGTTTTTTGAGATGTGTGATTGACAGATACTTATATTGTTAGAAAGGTTTAGGAAAGTCATTTCTTTCAAACTACTTTAAATTCTAAATGATTCTTTCCTTCCTCTGCTCTTCTTTACCTGAGTGCCTGCTCAGTAATTCCACTCCTTGAAAAACATATTGCTACGAGGTCTAAGTTTATAGCTTCCAGATTATTACTAAATTTTTGACATTAAATAAAAAAGGTTTATAACTTTAAGAGGAAATTCTTCAGTAATGAAATAGTGGTCAGAAAACTTTTGCCTAATAGTTCCCAGAGAGAGTGTGACATGTGTACATTTTGACCACAGAAGTCGTAATTTGGCAGCTGGAAGTGCTATTTGGAGTAAAATGAAGGCACACAAGTTATAAGTAGCCACTCTGCATAAGGAGTTGCATTTGCGCAGAGTAGAGGAACAAATTACTCAGTGTCATTATTTGTGTAGGTGTTTACTCAATGTAAAACTGTAAATATGACTTAGATAACTGAAAACATTGAAATGAGAGTGTTCTTTGCTTGATCAAAATCTTTTCCAAACATGAAAAACACTTAAAGACCTATCCTCTGAGACCTTTAACTATCCAATTACATTTTCATTTTGACCACACATTTTAGAGCCATAACTATACTAAAATATATAGATGTATTTCAGTATATATAAATATGTATAGTTTCATTTTTTAATAAAGGGTTTTTAGCTATAAAAGTAAAACGTACTTACTGTAGGTAATTTGGAAAATACAAATCCTAATCCTAACTCAGAGAATAGAGAAAAAAACCCCAACAATTCCAATACCACAAAACAAGCACCATATGTAATTTTGTGTACCGTTTTTTCATGACGTAGTCTTGCCCTAGGGTCAGCAAATCTACATGCCACCTGTTTTTGTATGGCCTGTGAGCTAAGAATGGTTTTAATATTTTAAATAGTTATGGGAAAAAAGCAAAAGAATAATAACATATCATGACACATAAAATTTATGTGAAATTCAGATTTCACTGTCCATAAATAAAGTTATATTGGAACACAGCCATGCTCATTCATTTACATATCCTCGATGGCCGCTTATGTGCTACAACACAGGGGCTAATGCTTGTAACAGAAAACATATACCCTAGAAAGCATGAAATACTTATCTAGCTCTTTACAAAGGTCTGACCTTTGGTTAGACCCAAGCATTTGTCCATGTTATCCAAAAGTTTATAACTGTAAATTTTATAGCTACATAATTTTTCACCGCGTAGCTATAGCCTACTTAACTATGCTTCTGGTTGAATATGAGAGTATTTCTAATTTTTGTCTGTTATTATTAATATAAACTAATCATAAATGGAATTGTTGGATCAAATGGCATTAAGCATTTAAGACAGTTGCCCAATTATAGATCCAATGGTTCTATCAATTTATACAGTTACTAGCAATTTATGAATGCCTGCTTCACAATGCTTTCACTAACCTTTAGCATAATTTGTAATATTTAATTTTTACTGGCAATCAATGTCTTATTTTCCATTTTTGATTACTTGTGGGGGTTACCATTTTTTTCCCATTTATTTGTTACTTAGCTGTATTTTTGCTTTTGTGAACTGCCAGTTGATAACTTTCTCTCATGATTCAAATAATTTTAAAGATAAAAAATCATGGAAAGAAAAATTTAACCTTTCAAACCTTTTTTTTCTACCCAAACTCTAATTCAGTTCTTTTTTCCAAAGATTATTAAGTTTCTTTTGATTTCTTGTGATTCTTTTTTCCAGAAAAAATAGGGATAGATATGCATGTATGTGTGTTTATGCTTATTTTAAAATGTATATTACTATTTATATATATGTATATATATATACACATAAACACATGTATACATTTTGAACATGTTTTTTTCACTTGGATATATTTCTCTATCAGCCTTTACATATTTACCTCACGTTTAAAATAGTTGTATTATATGGTTGTCATACTTCACTTAAGTAGCCCTCTGTTCATAGACCTCTGGTTTTATTTTTAAAAAGTTTTGTTTAGCACCACATGTTCTCACTCATAGGTGGGAATTGAACAGTGAGAACACATGGACACAGGAAGGGGAACATCACACACCGGGGCCTGTTGTGGGGTGCGGGGAGCAGGGAGGGATAGCATTAGGAGATATACCTAATGTTAAATGATGGGTTACTGGGTGCAGCACACCATCATGGCACATGTATACATATGTAACAAACCTGCACGTTGTGCATGTGTACCCTAAAACTTAAAGTGTGTGAAAAAAAATCACTCTTAAAGTTAAAAAAAAAAAGTTTTGTTTATCTATCTAAAAATGCTTCAGTGAACATACCTGCATGCTCACCTTGGTGAACTCTTTTGAGTGTAGCCATAGAAGAAATGCCTAGCAGTGGAATTGCTAGGTCAAAGGAAGATACATTTAAATTTTTTGTCTTCCAGAAAGGTTGCAACAGCTTATGTCCCTAACTACATGGCATGAGTTTGCCTGATTCCCTCTTTTCAACAGTGGAGATCATCAGACATCTAAGTTTTTGCCCATTTGATATATGAAAAGTCATCTTTAATTGGGATGTGTTGCATTGTATTTCTTTACTTATGAATTAAGTTTAGCACCTTTTCGTATGTTTTTTGGTTATTATACTACTCTCTCCCCCAATCAGACATCTAATCTGTACATGAGGCAGAGGCTGGCAGTGGTTTCCTGGCATCTGTTTTCTCTTTCTTAGTAATAGAGCCTCTGAATGTTACCTGGGCTGCTCAGGAAACAAACAAACAGACAAACAAGCTACATTTCTCAGACCCTCTCTAAGCTAAATTAGTTATATGACCTAAGTTCTAGTCAATGGGATGTAAGTAAAAGTGTACAATTTTAGGAAGTGTCTGTAAACGGAAGCAGTGCCTCCTTCTTTGCTCCATCCTCCTTTCTTCTCGCTAGAATGCAGACATACTAGCTGGAACTTGAGCAGCCATTTTTGACCATGAGGTAAAAGCCATGTACTGAGCTGTGGAGCCCAAGATAGAAGCAGCCTGGATTCTTGATAACTTTATATTGCCCTATCAGAGGGAAATAAACTTTTATTTAAGCCAATGACATTTAGAGTTTTCTCTTACAACTGAACTCAGTCTTAATAAATATGCTACCCTCAGCCTATTTTCTAATTACATTATTTTAATTGATTTTCATGAGCCTTTTGTAAATTAAGAAAATTACTTGTATGGGGATTCTATGTGTTGCACATATTTTTACCAGTTTGTCATTTCAGACTTTCAGTGGCATTTTTCTATATGGTATGCTTGTTTTTATTTATTTGGTTTTTGTGTCTTTTTATATATTTGAGTGCATAAAGTTATTTATATTTTCAATTCTCTCGAATTGTTTGGGAATGTATGTTTCTAAGACAGAGGGGAAAATGCCCCTTTGCATTTTCTGGCCATTTCTGGCACTGTCTACCATCAGTTGTGTCAGGATTGTCAGGTCAGCAACAGACTGCAAGCACAAGGGTATGAAGAACACTGGGAAAAGAAAGAACAAAAGCCACCTGGGAGAATTCTTCAACTCTTTTTCTAACCTCAACCACATCAGGAAATCTAAACATCCTGGAGAAGAAAATGGGACATATTGTCTTGTCAGGCACAAGGTATCTTGAAGTAATTTAAAATTAAAGTTTAAATGTTCTCGTGTAATTTAATTAATTAATTATTTTTTGAGACAGAGTCTCACTCTTGTCACCCAGGCTGGAGTGCAATGGCGCGATCTCAGCTCACTGCAACCTCTGCCTCCTGGGTTCGAGCGATTCTCCTGCCTCAGCCTCCCGGGTAGCTGGGATTACAGGCACCCACCAGCATGCCTGGCTAATTTTTTGTATTTTTAAGCAGAGACGGGTTTTCACCATGTCGGTCAGGCTTGTCTCAAACTCGTGACTTCAGGTGATCTTCCAGCCTCGGCCTCCCAAAGTGCTGGGATTACAGGCGTGAGCTACCGTACCTGGCCTTAAGTGTTCTAGTGTAAGTTTAAACCTCAGTGCCTCATTTTGTCTCTGAATATAACAACATATAAGCTCCTTTGATGAAAGGGCTATAACTTTCATTTTTGTGTAAGTTCCATGAGATCTATGTATTTACTCCAGTAAGTACCACAGGCATTCAAATGTTAGACCACAATAAAATATGCTATCAAAATATAAACATTTCTTTTAGCCTCTAGCACAATCTATGTACTTTTATTTTCCATTTTCAGAGAGGTTTGTTGAGCCCTTATTTTGTTGATGAAATGCCTCTAGATACAAAATAAGCCTGAGGCTAGGCTATATCTTCTTTGGGCAACATGGTAAGGTAATGGTCAAGCGTATGAATAGGAGAGTCAGAGGAACCAAGATTCACATCCCTTTCTACCATTAGCAAGCTGTGCAACCTGTGGCAATTTATTCTGCTCTTTGAGCCCTAGTCTCTTCAACTGTAGAATGAAGATAATTGTAGTGCTTTCTGATTGAGTCACTGTGAGAATTCAGATAACGCCTGTAAAACTAAATCTAGCACAGTGCCTGACATAATGCTGAATACATGTTGGCTATAATTGTAAAGTTAGAATTCATATCATTTGAGAAGAGTGAAAAAGAGAAGGGAAGATATGCTACACATTTTTGTGTATATTATTCCATTTAATCCTCCTAACAGCCCTATGAGGGATTAGTCTGCCTCCTTTACAGATAAGGATAAAAGCTCACACAGGTTAAGTAACTTGTCAAGGATCACATAATTAGTAAATGGCAGAATGAAGTTTAGAACCTTAGTTCCTTCCACCTTCAAAGCCCGTATTCTTTCCATTAATCTTTGCTAAATCTAATTGCGACATAATCTGTATATGTGTGAAATAACAAAATAACAATAAAACACCAAGACCATGGAGTAATAATATAAGTCGTTTGTTCATTCACTCATTCATCATTTAGGAATCTTATTTAGTCCCAGATATTCTGCTAAGTGCTAGGGTACAAAGTCATGATTCCATCACACTAAGTGCTCATAGTTTTATAGCGGAAATATAAGGATATACAAATAAGTGAAAAAATAGTAAAATAAATGCTCATGAAGGAATGTAAAAATGAGATTGGATGTTACAGTTAGCTGTAGTTGGGGAAGGATGGGAAGAGGATCCAGAAAAGCCTTATGAAAGAGGCAGACCTTGACCAGAGTTTGAAACGTGGAGGACTCACCCAACAAAGAGCAGAATTGGACAGACTGGAGGGTGATGTGAACTATGGAATGTCCTATTTAGGGACTCACAAGTTCCATGTAACTGGCTTGCACAGTACAAGTGAGGAAATGGTAGATGAGGCTGGACAGGGAAGCCAAGAGCAAGGGCATAGGTATAGGGAAGCATGAAGAATCAAAACCATTGATCCAATCAATCTTCCACATCAAACGAGTAGCCAAGGCTGAATTAGAACCAGATAGAATGCTGAATGTCTGCCTGAGGACAGAGTTGTTGTGATGTGATTCAGGTTTCTTGTTAATATATTCTACCTCTTTTTTCTGATTTGTTTCTACCTGTATGGTTGTCCTTTTTAGATCTCTAGGCACACTGGGCCCTTAGGGTGTTTCCTAATGCAACTTCTTTGCATTTTTGCCATTAACTCACATTTCTTCCCATGCCTTGATGTCAGTAAGATAGTCAAACTAGTCTGTACTAAGGTTTAATGACTTACAGGGAGAAGAATGCATAAAATATTCCTACCAGCTTGTTATTGGTAGCTAAAAGTTAGAACTGGTAACTACCATATGAGAAATAAATATTGGATGGCATGATAGCAGATGTGTGTGTGTGTATATATATATATATATAACTGTGTATATTTATATGATGCATATATCAAGTATATGTGTGTGTGTATATTTATAAGGTGAATGTATGTTTTTATGTGTATATATATCTCAGATATAAAATAGAGTATTCCACAAGAGAAAACTATGTGATTTTTGCCAACTCTGGCTGTCTGTATAAACTACGGTGGCCTATGAGACCAGCATGACAACTGGAAAATTGACAGGTAGAATTTGGCTAACTCATCTGAAGTATTTAGAAGAAAGAAAACTTTGTGACACTGAGTATTGAGACTCTGGTAAGAGCACGTTAGGAACCAAAGTAGAAATGGCAAGGGAGCCTCACTGTAACACCCTCTTGTGGGTGCTTTGATTTCTTCATCTGTTTATGTGGAGCTGTGCAGACTACTTAAAAGCAGTCAATAATTTACAGGGCTTAAAACATCATCATGGAGTTTGAAGTAATGAAAAGAGTACTATAGAATTTAATTGAATGAAGCCACATCATCTAAATTGTGGCTAATCTTGTTATCTATTTGGCTTTATTTTAGAACAACGTGCAATGTGCAATATGTATTCTTTCCCCTTAAGAATGGTCTGTCTACATCCTCTCAAGTATTATATTCAGGAAACTGATTTCTGGGTTAATGTCCCTCAAAAAAGTTAGGGTTTATAGTATATTCTGTCACACGTGGAATTATGGCAGACCTGTAGAATTTCAAAGCTGGAAAGAGTCCAGCCCCTCATTTGGATGGACTAATTTACCTGCCCCAAATGACCCAGTCAGATTGTAAAAGAACTGTGAGGAGAAGCTAGAGTCCACTGATCTTCAGTCTAGTATTCTTTTAATCACACTATGTGCTTAGCATAATCTCCATGCAATACTACTAAGGCTTACTAAATCACATTTTTCCTCACTTTTTATAATACTAAATTCTAGAAGACTTAACTTGATCATAAATGTTACACAGGAGACAAATGGCTTAGTTTCAGAAGCCTTGGTCGGCAAAAAGGCTTTGACTTACAGACAATTTATTGGGTGGTTATTTTATTATTAGACTAATGCTTTATTTATTTATTTTTGTTTGAAAAACATTTGTAGAAAATTAAGATATTAAAGCCTTGAAAAATGGCTATTGAATGTGTCCAATTACTGTATTTCATAAGATTTTTAAAATGTAGAAATTTAGTAGACACATTTTGTATTGTGAATATGTATTTAGCTGATGGACTATAGCAGTTCAAATAGAATCATTTATAGCTTATTGAGTAAATAAAAGTGCTTCCATAAAGATTCACATGACGCCTAGCTTTTATTTAAGGTAACTAATTTCCTTTTGAAAAACTGCCTAAATTTAGATTTACATAAGAGACAGAACACCTCAGCAGTTTTAAAAGTAGTTTATATGACCATGGACTTTACAGATTTAAAATATAAGATTGGGTGGTGAACACTAACTTTTAATGTTCTCTGACAAAAAGTTATTTAACTGTCCTTTACTCTCTGTGTTACATTAAAATAGTACAAAAGTGTTACGTATTTCTGGATATTATTCTGGATATTTATAACAAGAAAAACCGGTCATATTTACTTGTATTTTAACATCACATTCTCAAATCAAAGTTTCACCAGAATTGTTGCTGGCTTTTTTTTTTTTTTTTTTTTTGAGACAGAGTCTTGCTCTGTTGCCCAGGCTGGAGTGCAGTGTGCAGTGGTGTGATCTTGGCTTACTGCAACCTCTGCCTCTGGATTCAAGCGATTCCCCTGCCTCAGCCTCCTGAGTAGCTGGGATTACAGGCGCCCGCCCAACTGATTTTTATATTTTTAGCAGAGACGAGGTTCCACCATGTTGGCCAGGCTGGTCTCCAATTCCTGACCTCAGGTGATCCACCCACCTCGGCCTCCCAAAGTGCTGGGATTACAAGTGTGAGCCACCATCCCCAGCCGGTGGCTTCTTTTTAAGCTTTTAAGTGACTTAAAATCAGACTTTACCTCATTTCATGAAAAAAGTTTTTTTCTAGCAGTACAGCAGATGATCCCAGTAGCAAAAGCAGTCATTTGTTTTCCTTTATACAAAAGTAACTCTGTTTACTTTCTAGAGACTATACTTTTGGGGGGTACAAGACTTTAAGGAAATCTCTCTGTCTCTCTTTTTCATCTCTGGAGATTCTTTAGATTATTTTCCATGTTTAGGACATAACGTCAGAAAATAGTGTGCAAAAAGTGAAACTAATTTGAAATACTAGGGAAATAACACCCCATTTCAAGGTTATTTAGTCAAAAATATTATATTGGATGAAAGGGTGCTTTCAGACGACATAGTGGAAAGTAGACATATTAGAAAAAGTAGGATGAGAAAAGGCAAAAGAGGGACCTCTTTGTAGGTTACCAAGATCTGTAGAATATTAAAGAGAAATGAGCAGTTAGTAGAGACTTTCCCTAAAGGACTGCCTTCCTAACTTTGTAATGTGTTAGGTTGATGGATTTGCAAGAACAAAAAGGGAAACTTTAAGTACAACATATAAGTTTGAGTAAATTATGCATATCACTAATATTGACAAAACAGGAATGGTTGGTCAGTTTGGCATAGTTACCTTTCTCTAAAACATCCAGAAGAAAATACCCCCAGAGGATATCTGACCTTCCTTGGACTGATTCTGCACACCCCTCTATTTTCCATACATAGTTTTCTTAGACCAGAACTTGAAGTATAAAGATGTATCAAAACAAACTTTTGAAGCCTTTTCTGACAATAAAATATTCTACTATAATAAAGAATACTGTGGCTATAACTATGTTTATTAAGAAGAAAATCAGGCCCCACCATTTCCTGCTCTTCCAGCATTCCCCTAACCCCCAGGCCTGGCAGAATGAGAAGTTAGTAGATGGCACTGTAATGTTTATAGCTGCAAAGTCAATCCAGTAATGACACTGCTAAAAAATGATTCTAGCAGCAGTAAAAATGCAGATGTGTACACCTCTAGCCTCTGATGTAATGAGATGCCTCTGTTCAGGTTCTGAGCTGAGATGATCAGGCCCAGCATTAAGGTTCTGCAAGCAAAACCTCATTAATACTACTAATCAGGGTCAACACACGATTTTGGAAGTTGTTTTCCTTCCACTGGGAAACCTTATCCTTCATAGAGCTATTTCAAGTGACCATTTTAGGTGTTTTCTAACTTCCAGTATAAAAAGAGATGATTTCCGTCAGCTATTGGCCTGCAGTAGAGTATCAGGAAATCAAAAGAACAAAGATCAAAGAAAATTGCTGAACTAGGTGTTAGATGCAGATATTGATTTTTTCTCCAGTTGTAGTTTTAAAAAAATCCACAAAAATGGTAACACATACAACAGTTGAATTTCTAATATGTTCCTAAAGCCAGTGATAAGCTTCCCTCTTGTTTTTACATGTAGCAACAATTTTGTATAACATGACATAATAAAGCACACCTTATAGTTTACATTATTTTGTTATCAAAACTGTAAGAGGATCTACTAAAAAGTTTTTTTTTTTTTAAAACCCTGCAATATAGAGTATGATTTTTAGTGGAGATACTTATAACCAGACTTGTTATTTCAGCAACATTTATTTTGTGGGAATCTGGAAAATTATGTCATACAATTGATCACTATTTTCCTGCCATCTTTAAATGTCATAATACTTACCTGCTTTACTGCTAAGACTTCTTCATGTTAAATATTAACTACTAGATACTGACGTCACTTAAGGCTTAAAGGAGCAGCTTTATCGAAATATTAATTCTACTGTCCAGTATTCCATGACTTTGTGGCATTTTTAATTTCCAACAATTTCTGGATACCATCAGTGTTCTCAAATATATGACAAATTATTTTCATTCCCTTATTTTGACATGTGATTTCTAAATACTTATAATAGTCTTTATCAAAACAGGGTGGTATCATGGACATAAAGATGGAAACAATAGAGACTGAGCACCAGGGACTATGAGAGTGGGAGAGGGTTGAAGAACTACCAGTCGGGGACTGTGCTCACCACCTGGCTGATGGGATCATTTGTACACCGTACCTCAGTGACTTAAATCAAGAATTACCCATGTAACAAATCTGCACGTGTACCCCTGAACCTAAAATAATAAAGTTGAAAGAAAAAACAGGGTGGTGGCATTATTATTAAAGTAAAGCCAAAGAGTTCTCATTAGAATTTTGTATCTTAGTATGCCATTTTCTAGAGGTCACTGGGATTGGCTTATTTTACTTTGTGCTACTTTTGTCAAATAAGTAAAATGGATAGATTTAAAAAACATAAATACTCATAGTTTATTTTCTAAGTAATCTAATCTTCCATATTATATGGCACTTATTTTATAGCATAATGAAATAAATGCTATTAGCATCGGTTTCTGTAAATTGCCAATGGACTGAAGTCAAGGTAAAAATCCCTGATTGTATTGACTCTCTGATATAATAACTTTATAAAAAGTTTTACACAAAGATTTAGTGTTTAGACAAATTCTTGTTGTCTAGAAAAGTTCAGAAAAGAGTAAATAAGGGATTCAGTCACACTTGATAAATAATTTACTATTTATATATTCTCATGTAGATTATTGAAATAGTAGTTTCCATCTCATTTTTATATTATAATGATTATTAGTCTACTTGCCTGTTTATGGTTTTAGGCTCTATTTGAGAGTTTTCAACTCTATGTTTATTATTTTTTTCTTTTGTATGTCACAGATAGGATCACGAGACCATTCAAATCTCTCCATTCCTTCAAGAGCTCCTCTTCCTGCTGACACAACTGGTATTGGGGATTTCTTACCATTGAAAGCTGAACTTGATACTACTTACACTTTCTTAAAGGAGACATTTATAAATACTGTGCCCCATGCTCTGACATCATCTCACTCCTCTCCAGTGACTATGTCTGCTAATGCCAACAGACCAACTCAGATTGGATTATGACTTCATGAAATTAAAAAATGGAGGAAGAGTTAACAGTACAATTAAAATTGTTTTGAATGGGAATTTTCTTATCAGTTGACTTTTGTTTCAGCAGAAGTGGCAGTGGATTTAAAAAATTTGTGCGCTATCTTGATGTATTCTGGTAGCTCTGTCTCCTTGAATAAGGAAATAGCCAACTTTTTTCTCTCCAAGTTTTATTTGTTATCACAGTTGCTCATTTTTATGTAACATATTTTTAAATGTTAAGGAATGACACATTTTGGGTAATTTCCCTCAGACTTAAAAAAATCAATAAGCCATTTTAGTCTCTATCTATCAAAGTTGTTTCATACTTGTCTATTTTAAAGCAGGACTGCAATGCTTTAATAGGATTGAGAGAGCTATTTGAAATGTATGCCAATGATTCCTGTCATTTCATGGCAGCCCGGCCATGGTTCACTGAGCCCCCTCTTCTCTCTTGTCAGCTCAACTGAAGACAAGCATTTAGTTGCAAACTTTAAGCAGGTTGTGCAAAACAGAAATGATGTGACTGCTTCTCCTCCTGCACAATAATGTCACTCCTGGTCAATGTGAGAAGGTCAGGTTGCTCCTTGTAAAGCTACATGATACCACTTGCCCATTTGAACAAGTTAAGTTAACTGCTGAATCTGGTCCCTGAAGGCACTGAAAACTCATTCTTTTAGCAAGTCTGCATTTGATAAGAAAGTAGAGCAATTGTGCTGGAGGATTTCTGTGGTATGTTTAGGCACTTCATAAGGACAGTTCCCACACTAGGATAGCAGGTAATATATTTAGTATAAGCTGAAAAACTTCAAGGTAATGGCTGTTTTGACCTTCAAAATAGACTCCTTTTTTGTTTTTGTTGTTGGTAGGACCCAAGAGTGACACCCATCTTTGATGCTGACAGAATTTAAAACAAGGCCATTGCCCTGCATTTTCTGCCTTGTAGCACACAAAAGTAAAATTGTATGTCAGGCCGAGATGTCGGGGAGCTGACAAGATGCCCCAGTGACATTTCAGCTAGAAAGAGCAAGTGTCTTGCAACCAAGTGGTCAAATATCAAATAATAGGTCAAGCAGGAAGGAGCTGAGTTCTAACCACAAAGAGGTTTCTGGTAACTTACTTGACAAGCTTTTGGGTGCTTTGTGGCTTGACAAAGTGATGTTCTGTTGGGTATCGCTAGACAGACTGTTCTTTATCGCCTTCAGAAGATCAGACATTGACATTGATTAAACTCTTTAACCCTTAAAGGTTAAAT
This sequence comes from Homo sapiens, assembly GCF_000001405.40. Classification (NCBI taxonomy): domain Eukaryota; kingdom Metazoa; phylum Chordata; class Mammalia; order Primates; family Hominidae; genus Homo; species Homo sapiens. Next base: position 15,973,095 of record NC_000009.12, read on the forward strand.
CCTTGCAGTTTGCATCATGGTAAGTGAAGAACAAAAGAATATTTGTAGTAAGAATTTGTTTTTGTATTAATCATTTAACTCCCTAGTGCTATTAACTTCTGATGTGAACTATAGCTTTTGACAAAGAGTCTTGATACATAATCTATTTTTTATATTATTTTTCATTATGGAATCTTTCATTATGGATACATTAGAGTATAACAGTATGTATTACAGAAGTTTTTTTGTCTTATCTTTACAGTGACATTTGATTCAAATTACCCAACTGCTGAGAATTTTTTTATTGGCCTTGGTAAATAAGATTTTATACTAACTATTTATTAGTAGCCAAATTAGCCAAGTGATTTATGCCATCTGAGGGAACACAGCAGTATTACTGTCGTACTGTGTAACACATCCTATTCTTGTAATACTGAACCACTATAATTAGCTTTATATAAAACTTTAGAAAGCTTATATGGAGTAAAATTATATCTTTAACCAAATTTCTCTTAATTCTTTCCTTGGAATTATTTTTAATATGACCTGTGTAACATGACCTGTATGAAATTCAACTTGCAAATTTATTATAACATGGAAGTGCTATTTATTGTTTTTATACAGATCATATAATTTCTGCACATTTCAGAACACCTTTCTCTGCTGTTCCAAACAATGATTAGGATATTGTTCATACAGAAATTGATAGACAATTTTTTAGTTCATGTGATATCACTGAGCTTACAATTCTCACTAGAGAAGAACAAGGTTACTATATGTAACCTCTATGTCTAAGTGTTTGTGTGTGTGTATGCTTGTGTTGAATCTGTTTTCAGATCCTACTGATTTTAGAGGAACAAGCAGCTTTGTAAAATGTGCCTTGGAAAGGCCTTGGTCTTCTTGCCTTGATTTTATAATCTGTTAATGGGATAACTCCAAAAATAAATGTGTATGTGTCTCCATATATATGGGTATCTAACTTTACAGGTACATTTTGTACAGTGAATTCTGAACCACAAATTCAAAATTCGTAAATTATGATTAAATCAAATCAAAGCATGTCACATTTATAAGCAACTAGATGCTAAAGGCCATAGAAACTGAAGGATGAACCTCCTGAGCGATCATTAGTATTCACTACCAAATATAGTAATATTTATACCATATGCTTTTTTCCCAGAAGTCAGACCCAGCAGGAGGAGAAGATTTAATGACATATCCTATGGAGATCTGAGAAACTCTAGACTGCTTCTAAGCACCTTAGTGACCAATTGCTGCATATTTGAGATCTCTGTTGTGTCGGCAAGGACAGTTGCTGTATCAGCTTCTTTATCTTTTTAAGAATGATGTATAGAGTAGACATATCTCAGGATAATGACTTCAAATATTTTTGTAGAGGAAAGGAAGTTTTACTTTACACTTCCGAATGTGGATTTTCCTGCTAACTTTCTGTGATCTAGAAACACACCTATATCACCTATCACTATTAATTCTTAAAGTTATTGTTCTGATACCTGAGTCACACTTACATATTGTGGAGTTGCTGACATTTTTAATACATGTATTTTGGAATGACATAATATAAAAACAAAGAGGTTTAGGATTGCAAAAATTGCCAGTTCAGTGATAACTTAATGACATAAATAAATAACCTTTTAAATAGAATGATCACTTTAATTTACCAAATATCTGACTCTTATTAAACTTAGCAACTCTATTTCCTATTTCATATTTATGACATATGCTATTATTGAATGTTTAATGAGATTATTAGTATTTTCATATTACTTCATTTACCAGTTGTCTGAATTCATTCTGTAGACCATACTGAACAATAGGAAGTTGATCCTATTTCACTGTGCACTTATTCTTTTTTTAAGAGATGGGCTCTCACAACGTTGCCCAGGCCGGTCTTGAACTCCTGGGCTCAAGTGATCCTCCCACCTCAGCCTCCTGAGTACCAGGGACTACAGATGCGTACCACTGTGCCCTCACTGTGCACTTTTTATAGACAAGTTTTCTAATATAAAAGGTGGAAGATAATTAATATTTATCAAGCAACTGTTTTATGCCAGTTATTATAGCAAAACTAATGATCTCACAACAAACCTCTAGCATAGGAGTTTCCATCACCATTTTAGACATGAATAACTGAGGATCAAAAATGTTAAGCTTTTGGCTACCAAAGATCATACATAACCTAGGAATTAGTAAGCCTAGAGCTGCAATTCCAAAGTCCACATTATTTTGAAACACTGCTAGTCCTGCCTTCCAGAAATAATTAACACTTTTTAAAGAGAAAAAAAAATTTTTTTTAATTGTCCTGACCAGCTAGGAATAATTTTGATAAGTATGTTTTGGTTTGAAATCTAGATTTCTTATGAATTGATTAGACAAAACAAAATACATACATACTAGCACTATTTATGTAAACAGTAACTGTGAAGTTGGTGTCTATCTTTCAAAGGAAACACCACCCTCACTGTGTTGCCCAGTGTCTCTAGCTTGGCCAAAAGACCACACAGATACTCTCAGAAGCAGAGTCTCTGTTGAGAGGTACTGATGGTGAGTCAGCTTGACCATGCTATTACTTCCCAATGGAAAATAATGACATATGCCAAATAAAGCTGATCAATAAAGCATTCACTTGTGTAACTCCTAGGATAAAGATTTAAAAATATATTTTCTGGACTAGTGTAGTAGGCTGAATAATGGCCGTACGAGATGTTCATAATACTAATCACTGAAACCTGTGAATGTTACCGTCTACGGCAAAGGGACTTTGCAGGGGTGATTAAGTTAAGGATCTTGAGATCAGGAGATTATCCTGGATTAGCTGGGTGTGCTCTAAATGCAATAGGAGGTATCTTTGTAAGAGAGGGAGGTGCAGGGGTTAGTTTGACTATGGAGAGGAAAAGGTGATACGATGATGGAAGCCGAAGTTGAAGTGATGTGCTGTGAAGATGGAGGCAGAGTCCAGACTTAAGGCTTTCAGGGCGGTGCTAGAAGCAGAAAGAGGCAAGGAAATGGATTCTCCTCTCAGAGCCTCCAGGATTGTAAGAGAATACATTTGTGCTGCTTTAAGCCACAAGTTTGTGGTAATTTGTGGCAATATGTCACAGCCACCGAAGGAAACTAATACACCAGTAAACGTTTAGTAATTTTTTTAAAAGATTAATATGTTAATCTTTTAATATTAGCAAACAGAGAAAATGTTCTTTCTTTTAAATTATCCGTAATAATTGCCTTCATAACTTGAATTTTCAAATTCTTTTCGGTTTCCATTTTATATTCATGGCTTCTAAATATAATAAACAGTGATTATATTGGGCCAGCATAGAGTCACACTCTATTGCCATAACTTTTGATAATTCTTCAATTAACCTGTGATTTCAATGTATATTTTAATTCCTACAGTTTTAAAAAGATGCCTTAAATATCTTAAAGATCTACTTTAAATGATTGTTTTTATTTTATTCCATTTTGGTTGGCATATTTTAATAGCTTTCTTACAAAAGAAATTGAATCTTGAATGAATTTATATTAATCACAGCTTAAAATAATGATAGGGAATTTATGAATTATATACTTTAAATTAAATTATATATTTAAATATATTTAAAAGAAAATGCCAGAGCATTTCCTGGTCATTTCTCCCTGCCTTTTGTTATAATTGAAGTGAGATAATTTTAATAATTTTATTCAACAAGGAAATCTTCTAAAATTTTTACAATGTACTATGTGAATCCATTTTGTCTTTACTTTGGTGAAAGCATATAATTTTTCCTGATGGTTTAATTTAGTGAGAGAAAGGAGAGCAATTTTAATTGAAATGACTAAGTGTTAAATGTGATCAAACCTAAAATATTGAAGATTTAAACCTAGAGCGTTAAATATTGCAAGTACAGCCAAGCAAAGAAAAGAAAAATAAAGCCTCTGGTTCTGTAAGAAACCCCTCCATTCCTCCAGTCCTCCTGGTTAAGTGAGACATAAATGTGTAAATTTACATATTAGAAGAGCTCCATCTTTTTTCTTATACCTTAGCAATTTTATTACGAGACACTTTTCTGGCTGTAGAATGTGTTGATTGACATATCCAGATATCAGATGTCCTGTTAGTTCATATTATGGATGCGTACATATTTTTTCTGAACCTCCCCCTGCATAATCTTTTTTAGTTATTGTTTTAAACAAATCAGAATCTAAAGGTCTCCCTAACTGTATCTTGTGGGCAAATTACATTTCCATGGACGTTGCGATGGGAAAATGTGTTCTTACTCTTTGCAGTAGTGATACCTAATTGATACCACATATTCTTAAGTTTAAAATCTCTGGATATAGTATGGGAAGGAGATAAATCAAAACAGAGTTTTGCTCCTTCCTCTAAATCATATTCTGTGTAGGTGTGTTTGATGCTTAGGCATATGTTTTTAAAGCGCTGACCTTAATGTTAGGCAACAGAAGCCCTACAACATATAAAGCTTTGAAAACTACTGGGTTAATGTTATCTGAAGACAGTTTTTTTGTGGTTTAATTGAGTCATGGTTCATTGTCTTTTATTGCATGTTAATGCCAGTGAAATGCTGATTGTTGACAGAGTCCTCCCAGTGAAGCGGCTCCAGAAATGTTGTGCGGCTATAGGAAACTACGTAAAATAGGAAGGCTTATTTAGATCTGAAGAAGACTCATCTGACAGGTTAAGAGCTATCAGATATTCATAAACATTCACGATGACAAGAATATAAGGTGACCTGTCTTCAGTAGATCCCTTCTGTGTTTTGGGTGTCTATATAAGAGGAAAATCTTAAATGTGATCTAGGACGAATGGAATTGTATTGGATGCCTAGTAAAAAGAACTGTAAAAGAAATAATTACAGGCTATATAATAGGACATCTCATTTTTGCCTTTTTCTTCAAACAGTAACCAAAATACATTTTCTTTTTCTAAGTTTACTTCTGGTTTAAAAGTAGAAGGCTTAGGCAGTAAAAGTGCACATGGAAAGCTTTGGAACGTAGACACTCCCTGCAAATCATTTAGGACCTGAGGTTTAAAGACATCAGTTCATTCTGGTGACTTTGATGTACTACTGACTATTGAACTCATTGTAAATGCTTCTGTGGTTACAGAAGCACCACTTCGGTTTTCCTTGGGCTGAGGAGTATTAGTCTAAATATGTGCTCTGAAGACGATTTAGAGAGATTCCTATGAAGCAGAGTTCTCATTCACAGTCACAATTAAAAGTGCTTTCTAATAACGAATGGTGGCGGTGTTCTTACTGAAGTGTTCATGGGTCCAAGAGGGCACAAACTACATCATAATGTGTGTGACTGGTGCACGACAGGTGGGGCTACACAGAAGAGTCCTGGCACATGGAGGTCATCATCAGCTTCAGCGTCCCTCCTGGGCTTTTTGCTCTCTTTAATCTGTGGGGAGGCAGAATCCCTGTTCTTCCTAAGAGACAATTTTGAGGAAGTCCAACGTTGATTTTCCTGAATATGAAGTTAATCAGAGTAGAAACCCTGTATCACTGTATGTCTAAATAGCTTTCAAAATTGGCAGTCACCCTTTGACTAGATTTATCTGCTTCACAACAATTCAGATAAGAATTCGAACACCTAGGTTAGAGCACATACATATATATTTTTTAAAAAGTACAGCTTTATTAAAATATAGTTCACGTAACATACAATGTATCCTTTTAAAGTATACAATCCACAGTTTTTCACATATTTCACAAAGATGAACAATTTTCACCATCTAATTCCAGAACATTTGTATTACCCCAAAGAGGAGCTCTGAACCCATTGGCAATCACTTTCCATTCCCCAATCCTCTATCCCCTGGTGACCATAATCTACTTTCTATCTCTATGGATTTGCCTATTTTTGTATATATCATGTAAATAGAACAATATGTATTGCTATTTTTATCTGGCTTCCTTCATTGAGACTTAACATTTTCCAGGTTTGTTCATACGGTACCGTGTATCTACTTCATTCCTTTTCAAGTGGAATAATATTCCACTATATGAATAGACCACATTTTGTTTATTCATTCACCATTTAATTGACTTTTGATTTATTTCCAGCTTTTTAATTCAAATAGTTTTGTGGTGTGAATTTCTTAGTATTTTTCTATAGACAAAGTGGTGTCATCTGCAAATAGACACAGTTTTACTTCTTTTCTAATCTAAATGCCTTTCGTTTCTTCTTCTTACCAAATTGTCTCAGCTATAATCTTCAGTACATTGTTGAGTAGTAGTAGCAAGAGTGAACATACTTGTCATGTTCCTGATCTTAGGGAAAAGCATTAAGTCTTATACCATGAAGTGTGACATTAGCAATTGGATTTTCATAGATGCCCTTTATCAGGTTGAAGATGTTCCCTTCAATTTTTAGTTTTGTTGGCTGTTTTTTATCACAGAAGGGTGTTTCAATTTGTCAAATATTTTTTCTGTATCTATTGAGATGATCATGTGGTTTTTGTCCTGTATTCTATTAATATGATGTCTTACATTGATTGATTTTCACACGTTAAACCAATCTTGCCTTCCTGGGATAAATCTCACTTGGTCATGGTGTGGTATGTAATCTTTTTTTTTCATGTTTCTGGATTCAGTTTCCTAGGATTTGTTGGAGATTTTGCATCTCTGAAAATAAGGAGTATTTGTTTGAAGTTTTCTTGTGATATCTTTATCTAGTATTAGGCTAATACTGGGCTCATAGAATGATTGGGAAATTATCCCTTCTCTTCTATTTTTTTAAAGAGTTTGGGAAGGGTTAATGTTAATTTTTTGAACATACTTAGAATTTATTAGTGAATTCATCTTGGCCTGAGCTTTTCTTTGTGGGAATTTTTTTTATTATTAAAGAAATCTTTTTAATTGTGGTAAAATATACATAACATAAAATTTACCATGTTAACAGTTTTTGATTATTTAATCTCTTTACCTAAACAAGGCTGTAGTATTTGGCAAAACTTAATAAGGACTTGAGAATAACTGAAGGGAATTCTATCATAGAGAGTAAAAATATTAAGACTGGAAAGAAAAGAGTTTTAGATGTAATAATACAAAGCATCTAATGTTTTCTGGAAATTTTCTATTTCAAATTAGGATTTTGACTTTACCTTTGTAGAATCAAAAGGTTCTGAAGTGGTTTACTAAAGTGGTTTTTCAGAAACAGGAATAATCTGCCCCCGAATTCAAACAACAACTGGACTTTGGAAATTACATGTTATTTGCAAGACTTTAAAGGTCCTAGAACTAATTCTTAAGTTGGACTCAAGTCAGATTTCTTAAGGTCCCCCTAGCCCCAGTGATCTCTCCAGCAAATGGTTCAGAAAGGGGGTTCAGCAGATCTCCTCCCTCTCAGCACCCTCAGCATCCAAGTTCTATTTCTGAGACAATAGCCTGCATGTATGGCCTCTCTGCTCTCCCCAGGCCCATGCTTTATAATTAGGGTTTTCTCTCAGTGGAGACCTACTTTAATTGATTTCTTAAAAGCCATCTTTCATAGCCCCAAACCATCTGTACAGATCTGTTCTTCAACCCTTTCAAGCTATAGAAGAAGGTCCTTGGCATTTGTCTAAGATTTACCATTCTGTAATACCTGGGCATATATTCTGTTATAATGTCATGGTTGATATTCTTGGGTGTTGCTCATTTGGTTTTTTTTTTTTTAATAACTATTTCAAAGCACCTGCTACGTACTGAATTGTGTCCCCCCAACCCTGCCCCGCCCACCCAATTTGTATATAGAAACCTGTATTAGTCCGTTTTCATACTGCTGATAAAGACATACCAGAGACTGAGTAATTTACAAAAGAAAGAGGTTTAACTGAACCTACAGTTCCATGTGGTTGGGAAGCCTCACAATCATGGTGGAAGGCAAGAAAGAGCAAGTCACGTCTTACATGGATGGCAGCAGGCAAAGAGAGAGAGCTTATGCAGGAAAACCCCCATATAATAACCATCAGATATTGTGAGACTTACTGTCACGAGAAAAGCCAGGAAAGACGTGCCCCCATGATTCAGTTACCTCCCACAACACATGGGAATTCAAGATGAGATATGGCTGGGGACACAGCTAAACCATATCAAAACCCTAACCCCCAATGTGATAATATTTTGATATAGGCTCTTTGGGAGGTACTTCAGATTAGAAGAGGTCATGAGAGTCCTCTTGATGGGATTAATGGCTTTATATGCAAAGAGAGAAAAAGAGAACACTCACTCTTTCTCCACCACATAAGGACACAGTGAGAAGGTGGCTTTCTGTAAGCTAGGAAGGGATCTCTTGTCAGGAATCAAATCAGCTAGCACTTTGATTTTGGACTTCCCAGCCTCCTGAAATAAATGTTCATTGCTTAAGCAACCCAGTCTGTGGTATTTTGTTATAGTCTGAGCTGACTGAGCATCTCAACTTCCAGTGAAAGTGTCTAATTAATATAAGCAGTGCTGATTTATGTATGATGAGGATGACAAATAAATGGAAAGATCTGTCTGGAGTAGACATGTAGAAGCTTTTTAAGTTGTAACTACCTAAACAATGTTAGATGTTCTTTTGTGGTTAGAAGTACGCAGCTCATTTTAAAGTAGGCCAGAAAAACTGGGAGATTCTTACTACTTCAGAAACAATGTCTTACCTTTTCTTTTCCATAACCCTCTCCCTTCCCTTTTCCACCCCCACCTTTTTCTGGCTCCGTCTGTCTCTTTTCCATATACTCTCAGCATGACTTCCCAAAGGTACAGATTAAATGGCTAGGGTTATTTGAAAAAGCGTCTGAAGTTCTCCTCCCAGCCAGAAGGAATTGTACTATAAAGTAGAATAATTTGAAAGGGAGGAGTTTGTCTTTTTCATGAACAGTAAAAAGCTTTCAATTCTTTCAATAACTGAAAAGGCTTATACTTCTGTTAAGAGTCTCTAAGAACCCGTGATAAAGTTCATATTGTAGTTGTAGTTTATTCCATGAACTGGGAGAATGCAAACTTCTTTTGAGAAGATTCTGGCTCTTTCTGACATACTTCCTCTGTATGGAGCATACTGAAGGCTGATGTATGAGTGCTGCAAATTAAGGTGTTATGTTTATAATTAAATACAGAGGAAGATATCATAGCACAGACATAGCCTTCATGCTTCTGAGAACTTCTCAGAATTTCAATTAGCAGTAATTGAGCTTGTTTAGTGTTTATGGCCCAGCGTAGTGATGTGAGAATTTAGAACCGTATTCACTCACCAGCTGTGTGTCCTTAGGCAAGTTATTTAACCTCGTGAACCTCAGATTCCTCTCAGGGAAGAGGGAGATAATGATACCTTCTCTACTGAGCTCTTGTAAGCATTACGTGACAGAGTATTTAGCACACAGCCAAATGGCACACAGTAGTTACTGTCTCGGATGGAGTAGTTTGATGATGAGGCACCAAATCCCACTCCAAATTACTGGAAGGAAAGAGGGATAATTCATGGAACCTGAGGGCAGGAGTGCAGCCCAGCCTTTAGAGGAAGCAAGGGGTCTTTTTCTTGTAATGCACCCTCCTCTCCTCTGTTCCTGGGGGTGTCTGCTCTCTGATCTCTGGGCCTTTCTGTGCCTCTGCTTCCTTCCCTTCCTTCTACTGACTGGTGCTCTCAGCCTAATTTCCACATGACCCAGGCATGGTCACTTTAGGTTCTTAAACCGACTCACTTAATTTTCCAGTTTAAGAACCTAAAAGAGTCTTCACGATTCATTTCCCTGCACTCTTCTGTGTCCAGAGAGAAAGGGGTCTATGGGATTCTACTTGTTCAGCAGACACAATGGGAGACCAAGGGGGACATGGGTAGATTCTGCAAGAAGGTGATGCAGGGGTGAGGTCAAAATAATGGGCATCTCCAGAAAAGTCACTCAAATATTAACATCCATTCTCTCTTAAAGGTCACTTCCTACAAATAAATCCCACTGAAACATGTTCGTTCTTACCCTGGATTTCTTGTGCAGCACTTAACTATGGACTTGTGTTTGCTTCTTGAAGCTCCTATTCTAGCTTTCATAAAAATACATGATCCTGGTTATCCTCCTACTTTTTTGATAGGTTCTTCTCCAGATCTTTTCAGAACCCCCTTCCCCTTTCCTCTTAAATACTGAACATTTTTTAAGGTTATACCCTCCTGCTTAATCTTTTTCCCCAGTTCTCTATCCCTTGATGAAATTCAGCCACAGAGAACTGGAAACATAATAGTTGACAAGTACATGGGAGTGCTCTTCATTTCTCTTTTTTCCTGTATCTTTAATTTTCTAGCAATATCTGTTTTTCTTTTTTTAAAAAAACATATTTTACTATTTTAACTTATTTCTCATACTCTCTTCTTAGGTAATATGCAGTATTTCCCATATTTTGTACAGTTTATATTGTGGATTTTGTGATCAGTTGTGTGTGTGTGTGTGTGTGTGTGTGTGTGTGAGAGAGAGAGAATCTCTGAAGCATATGTGGAATATCTAGGCAAGTGGCTAGTAGGTTCTTAGCACCTTTTTAAGGGATCCTCAGTTCTCCTCCCAAAGTCTCACAGGCATTTGTTCCTGGATAAACATTTGTGTTTCATACTGTTTGAGAAATCACTTTCACTGCTGCCAGATAATTGTGTAAGGAGTTAAATAATCTGCTCAATGGGATGGATGTGATTGCCTGCAATGAGAATAAATCTATAATAATGCATTTATTTGTGTTTGTTCATCCCAAGGTAGGGAGGCAAGAGCTAAATAAAGAGAGTGTGTGTGTGTGTGTGTGTGTGTGTGTGTGTGTGTGTGTTGGCATTTGGAAATCAGCACTACTGTATCAATTTTACCTCCAACTGCTAGATAAGAAATTTAAGTAGATAAAACAGAAACTCTACTAAAAACCATCTTCCCACCAGAACCATTGAGGCAGCATAAATAGCCCTTTCCACTCCTCTGCAGAGTAGAGACCAGGAGCATCTGTAGTCCTCTGTATCAGAATAGACTACAGTATAGTTTCACATCAAGCAAAACTGGTCAGTATTTCTTTGAAATATAGAGCCCAGGTGGGCAACAAGATAAGAAAGAAGGTAAAGCCACTGAAGCCATGGACCCTGGACCAAATGTGAGGTCTGACAGATAATCTGGAGCCCTAAGACCTGCTGTGGTCAATGAGAAAGCATAGACTTCCAGGCCTCAGAAAGCATACCACAGTGGATGCATATAGCTTCATGCCTAATTAGAGAGGACTTAAAAGATGATGCTAACTTTGTGCCGGTAATAGTGTCACTGTGGTTAGGTATGGGGTTAGGTATGTAATTAAGCACAGTCTTTCTGGAAAGCATTTGACCATGTATATATATGAGTGTGTGTGTACATATATATGTGTGTGTGTATATATATATATATGTTTATATGTATGTATATACATATATATGTCATAATTATTAAATAAGTGTATTATCTTTGATCCTACTTCTAGAAATCTTTCCTGAGGAAATAGCTAGAGAGCTAGAGTAAGATTTCTCTGTGTGATATGCGTCATGGGGTTATTTTAAATACATTAGTAAATAAATTGTCCAATAAATCTTATATTCATTTAATGGACTATCAGGCAATGTTGAGAATCATGGTTTTATAGAATATTTATCAACATTACAAAGTTCTCATGATTTGATATTTGATGAAAAGGGTAGGATACAAAATCTGCTCTATAAATTTTCCAGTCACAGATTTTCATGGATAGAAACTAAGTCTCACAACAGAGCAGAAATGGGTCAATTCTTCTCAACAAAAACAGATATTGTGCTAAGTTTAAAGTCACTATGGACTTTTGCACAAATGGATCTACATTTCAGAACCCAGTCTATTGGTAATTTGAAGTATTTCTATATGAAAGTTTTGATGTATTTCTATATTTATACATAATATAAATATCTATGTTGGTACATATATGAGAGAAAAGGCATCAAACATATCTACCAGTGGTAGAATTATGAATAATTTTTATTTTCTTCATATTTTTATAAATTTCTAAATTTCCTACAATGAACATTTATAATTTTATGTTTAGAAGAAAATAAACTCTATAAAGACAGCAGAGGAACATTTCACTGTGTACAAAGAGGCACACAGGAAGGGAGGCTCCATAATTATGTGGCAAATGGAAATAACCTTACTTGAGTAATAATGCAGTACACCAAGTGAAAAGGTTTTTTTTTGGACCAATCATACAAATTCCTTTTCTTCCTAAGGTTCAAGTGCGAGATACATTTGCAGGTATGAACACACTGATCCTTTAGTCAGATTACTTCCTTCCATTCAGTTGCTGCCTTATACTTTAATCTGTAAGTCAGCAGCAGTATCATCACTGTTAACAGGGACAGTCCTTCATCTGGGTTTTGAGTTTCTCATTTGTCCTGGTAGCTAGGCTTTGTGCAAAATACATTATTTGGGTTATCTCATAATTTCCAAAAATGACCTATTGTTACACTACCTTACAGACAAGGAAATTAAGACCTAGAGAGATTAAGTGACTTTCCCAAATTAGGCAGCAATGGAATGGCAGATTCTTCAACTTTCCAACTTTTGGTATACTAGAAAATACTGACAATTTAGGAAGAAACAAGTTGTACTGTAATATGTAGAATAACTGACCACCCAAAGATGATAATTCAGTATTTATTTATTATTTATTTCTGATCTTCCCATGAGAGGCAGAGGTAATTCAGTACTTATTTAAAAGATAGAAAAAATGAATATGAGTCCCTTTGACAGACCCACCTGGAGCTTTGGAATTACTTGATACCATTCACCAAGAAGTGGTCAGACCATTTGAGTTTTGTGTGCAGCTGTTGATGAAGTCAGATAGACTGGTTAATCAATGGAGAATTTGCAGGGCATTCTTTTTCTTCCCATTATTGGCTAGTCATAAACTCTGTACTTGGTTGAAAGGCACAACAGAACCAAATGATGAACAAGAAGGCATAACTTCGTAAAAGAATGAAAGCAGAATTTTAAGAAACTGCTGATGCTTAGGAAATAAAAGGGGCTGATAATGGCAATTAATGATTGTGAAATCTGGGCCTCATTGCTGTGAGTCTTAAAATCAGTTCTAAAACAGAAGAAGATTAAAATACATATTGATCTGCTGATAGGCAAAAGGTAAAGTTTAAAAGCAAAGAATTGACCAATATGTATTACGTTGATTAAACCCTTCTCTGCGATGTGAATAAACACAAGCTGATAACTAGTGTCTGTGAGTTCCTGAATTGATTCTTCATTGAGTATACTTCAAAGATGCAGGACCATGTCTGTCTGCAATCACCTTCAGAAAGGCTGTCTTGCTGCAGAGGGATGCCATAAGACACTTAAAGTTCTCTTTCCAGCTGATCCCCGAACTTACTTTACTAATGCAGCGGGTGTAACAGCAACAGGCTTTGAAATGCAAAGCCTTCCTTCAGTTATGCGCTCATTAAAAACTAACCTGCTCTCGTAAAAATCCAAGAACTGTAATGGGAAAGATTTTATACGAAGAGGGCAACAAAACCCCAGATTGCCCTAGATCCTTGTCCTTTCACTTGTTTGCCTGGCACCTGCTGGAGATGGAGACCAACTTACTGAACTTTAGACATGGCACTCTGTAAAAGTAACTAGGACCTTGGAGAACTTTCTTGCTGACTTACTCTTAGATGACTATTTCCATTCTGTTGTTTATGTCATTTGTTTGTTCATATATGGTCATTAACACAGATTCTATAAGGATTCTAAGAGACTGAGAAATGTAGTAATTAAGTAAAGTAGTAATAGAAATATTATGAGAATTTAAGGTGTAATATTTCAAATCAGTGGGGAAAGATGTATCCTTTAATACATGGCATTAGAATTACTTGCATTTGTCCAGAAAAAAAACCTACATTGTTTATGCTGAAATAAACTCCAGAAAATAAAATATTTAAATACTTAAAAATGAGAACTATGAATGTACTAGAAATATACATAGGTGATTTGTTTTTCATAATATTGGCATAGAGAAGGCATTTCTAGGCAAGACTCCACACCTAAAATCTGTAACAGAAACTATTGAAAAAAATTTACTATACACAAATTTCAAACTTTTATACAGAAAACACCACTAGCAAATGTCAAAAGATGATGAACAAAGTAGAGAAAAAATTTGTAACACACATATAAGAAAATGAACTAATTTCTTTAGCATTTAAAGAACTCCTAAAAATTGGAGGAGGGTGAGGATTGAAAAACTACCTATTGGGTATTACGCTGATTACCTGGGTGACAAAATCATCCATATTCCAAACCCTCATGACACAACTTACCCATGTAATAAACCTGCACATGTACCCCTTGAACCTAAAATAAAAGTTGGAAAGAAAAAGCAACAATATTGTAACAAATGTAAAAAAAAAAGCATGAAAAAGATAAACATTTTAATTTAAAAATGGACAGAGATTTGAAACATCAGTTCCCAGAAAAATGAATACAAGATTGACTGTAGCCTTGTTGGCAGTAGCCAAATCCTGAAGATAAATGTTCTTCAATGGCATGACTTGTTAACTAAACTATGATAACAGCTGTTAAAGGAGTGAGATGGAGTTACATATATTGACATGAAAAGTTGTTCATATTTCCAAAATACAGGTTGAGTATCCCTTATCCAAAGTGCTGGGGATGAGAAGTGTTTTAGATTTGGGATTTTTTTTCACATTTTGGAATATTTGCATATACATAATGAGATATCTTGGGGATGGGACCCAAGTCTAAACACAAAATTCATTTATGTTTCATATATACCTTATACACACGGCCTGAAAGGAATTGTATACAAAATTCTTAATAACTTTGTGCATGAAACAGTTTGTGTACACTGAACCATTGGGAAAAAAGGGTGTCACTATCTCAGCCACCCTTGTGGACAATCTGTGGTTGTTTGGTATAACCTTCATTCCTGACTCTGAATTTATATGCCAGCAGTAAACAATCCTTTTGTTATACTTATTCACACATCAGTACTTAACAATAAAAATATAACATACCATTAATACAGTGAAAAAAATTGTGTTCAGGGTAACTAAGCAGTACAGTAGCATCACCAGGATACTGTCTCAGCTGTTAAACTACAGCAACAACTAACAAATGGCAGGCTTTCAGTCACCACCTATGAAGCTATGATGCTGTGTTTTGATTAAAAGGCTACTGTACACTGTATTTTGTTTTTTTAGATTAGAAGAAACATCAGAAACCCTTGAGGGACCAGGAAGTGAGTCCTCAAGGGATGACTAGCCATTATGCTGCACGACTTTTTAAAATATTTCCTCCAGAATCATTTGTCTCATTATTAACAGTTTTGGTCTTAGAAGTTTCTGTTTCATTTGGAAAAGGCAGTTCCAAGATGGCCGAATAGGAACAGCTCCAGTCTACAGTTCCCAGCTTGAGTGACACAGAAGACGGGTGATTTCTCCATTTCCAACTGAGGTACCAGGTTCATCTCACTGGGGCTTGTCAGACAGTGGGGGTAGGACAGTGGGTGCAGCACACCCACCGAGCATGAGCCAACGCAGGGCGAGGCATCGCCTCACCCGGGAAGCACAAGGGCTCAGGGAATTCCCTTTCCTAGCCAAGGGAAGCTGTGACAGACGGCACATGGAAAATCGGGTCACTCCCACCCTAATACTGCACTTTTCCAATGGTCTTAGCAAACAGCACACTAGGAGATTATATCCCGCGCCTGGCTCGGAGGGTCCCAAGCCCATGGAGCCTCACCCATTGCTAGCACAGCAGTCTGAGATCGAAGTGCAAAGCGGCAGCAGGGCTGGGGGAGGGGTGCCTGCCATTGCTGAGGCTCGAGTAGGTAAACAAAGCGGCCGGGAAGCTCGAACTGGGTGGAGCCCACCGCGGCTCAAGGAGGTCTGCCTGCCTCTGTAGACTCCACCTCTGGGGGCAGGGCATAGATGAACAAAAGGCAGCAGAAACCTCTGCAGACTTAAATGTCCCTGTCTGACAGTTTTGAAGAGAGTAGTGGTTCTCCCAGCATGGAGTTTGAGATCTGAGAATGGACAGACTGCCTCCTCAAGTGGGTCGCTGACCCCCGAGTAGCCTAACTGGGAGGCATCCCCCAGTAGGGGCAGACTGACACACCACACGGCAGGGTACTGCTCTGAGACGAAGCTTCCAGAGGAACAATCAGGCAGCAACATTTACTGTCAGCAATACTCACTATTCTGCAGCCTCTGCTGCTGATACCCAGGCAAACAGGATCTGGAGTGGACCTCCAGCAAACTCCAACAGACCTGCAGCTGAGGGTCCTGACTGTTAGAAGGAAAACTAACAAACAGAAAGGACATCCACACCAAAACCACATCTGTACGTCACCATCATCAAAGACCAAAGGTAGGTAAACCCTCAAAGATGGGGAAAAAACAGAGCAGAAAAGCCGAAAATTCTAAAAATCCGAGGGCCTCTCCCCCTCCAAAGGAACGCAGCTCCTTGCCAGCAACAGAACAAAACTGGATGGAGAATGACTTTGACGAGTTGAGAGAAGAAGGTTTCAGATGATCAAACTTCTCCGAGCTAAAGGAGGAAGTTGGAACCCATCTCAAAGAAGCTAAAAACCTTGAAAAAAAGATTAGACAAATGGCTAACTAGAATAACCAGTGTAGAGAAGTCCTTAAATGACCTGATGGAGCTGAAAACCCTGGCACGAGAACTAGGTGACAAATGCACAAGCTTCAGTAGCTGATTCTGTCAACTGGAGGAAAGGGTATCAGTGATTGAAGATCAAATGAATGAAATGAAGTGAGAAGAGAAGTTTAGAGAAAAAAGAGTAAAAAGAAATGAGCAAAGCCTCCAAGAAATATGGGACTATGTGAAAAGACCATATCTATGTCTGATTGGTGTACTTGAAAGTGACGGGGAGAAAGGAACCAAGTTGGAAAACACTCTGCAGGATATTATCCAGGAGAACTTCCCCAACCTAGCAAGGCAGGCCAACATTCAAATTCAGGAAATACAGAGAACACCACAAAGATACTCCTCAAGAAGAGCAACTCCAAGACACATAATTGTCAGATTCACCAAAGTTGAAATGAAGGAAAAAATGTTAAGGGCAGCCAGAGAGAAAGGTCGGGTTACCCACAAAGGGAAGCCCATCAGACTGACAGCAGATCTCTTGGCAGAAACTCTACAAGCCAGAAGAGAAGTGGGGGCCAATATTCAACATTCTTAAAAGAATTTTCAACCCAGAATTTCATATCCAGCCAAACTAAGCTTCATAAGCGAAGGAGAAATAAAATCCTTAACAGACAAGCAAATGCTGAGAGTTTTTGTCACCATCAAGCCTGCCTTACAAGAGTTCCTGAAGGAAGCACTAAACATGGAAAGGAACAACCAGTACCAGCCACTGCAAAAACATGCCAAATTGTAAAGACCATCGATGCTAGGAAGAAACTGCAACAACTAACGAGCAAAATGACCAGCTAACATCATAATGACAGGATCAAATTCACACATAACAATATTAACCATAAATGTAAATGGGCTAAATGCTCCAATTAAAAGACACAGACTGGCAAACTGGATAAAGCGTCAAGACCCATCAGTGTGCTGTATTCAGGACACCCATCTTACATGCAGAGCCACACATAGGCTCAAAATAAAGGGATGGAGGAAGATCTACCAAGCAAATGGAAAACAAAAAAAGGCAGGAGTTGCAATCCTGGTCTCTGATAAAGCAGGCTTTAAGCCAACAAAGATCAAAAGAGACAAAGAAGGCCATTACATAATGGTAAAGGGATCAATTCAACAAGAAGAGCTAGGTATCCTAAATATATATGCACCCAATACAGGAGCACCCAGATTCATAAAGCAAGTCCTTAGAGACCTACAAAGAGACTTAGACTCCCACACAATAATAATGGGAGACTTTAACACCCCGCTGTCAACATTAGACAGATCAACGAGACAGAAAGTTAACAAGGATATCCAGGAATTGAACTCAGTTCTGCACCAAGCAGACCTAATAGATATCTACAGAACTCTCCACCCCAAATCAACAGAATATACATTCTTCTCAGCACCACATCGCACTTATTCCAAAATTGACCACATAATTGGACGTAAAGCACTCCACAGCAAATTTAAAAGAACAGAAATTATAACAAAAATTATAAACTCAGACCACAGTGCGATCAAACTAGAACTCAGGATTAAGAAACTCACTCCAAACCGCTCAACTACATGGAAACTGAAAAACCTGCTTCTGAATGACTACTGGGTACATAATGAAATGAAGGCAGAAATAAAGATGTTCTTTGAAACCGATGAGAACAAAGACACAACGTACCAGAATCTCTGGGACACATTCAAAGAAGTGTGTAGAGGGAAATTTATAGCACTAAATGCCCACAAGAGAAAACAGGAAAGATCTAAAATTGACACCCTAACATCACAATTAAAAGAACTAGAGAAGCAAGAGCAAACACATTCAAAAGCTAGCAGAAGGCAAGAAATAACTAAGATCAGAGCAGAACTGAAGGAGATACAGACACAAAAATCCCTTCAAAAAATCAATGAATCCAGGAGGTGGTTTTTTGAAAAGATCAACAAAATTGATAGACCGCTAGCAGACTAATAAAGAATAAAAGAGAGAAGAATCAAATAGATGCAATAAAAAATGATAAAGGGGATATCACCACCAACCCCACAGAAATACAAATTACCATCAGAGAATACTATAAACACCTCTACACAAATAAACTAGAAAATCTAGAAGAAATGGATAAATTCCTGGACACATACACCCTCCCAAGACTAAATCAGGGAGAAGTTGAATCCCAAAATAGACCGATAACAGGCTCTGAAATTGAGGCAATAATTAATAGCCTACCAACCAAAAAAAGTCCGGGATCAGGTGGATTCACATCCAAATTCTACCAGAGGTACAAGGAGGAGCTGGCTCCATTCCTTCTGAAACTATTTCAATCAGTAGAAAAAGAAGGAATCCTCCCTAACTCATTTTATGAGGCCAGCATCATCCTGATACCAAAGCCTGGCAGAGACACAACAAAAAAAAGAGAATTTTAGACCAATATCCCTGATGAACATCGATGCAAAAATCCTCAATAAAATACTGGCAAACTGAATCCAGCAGCAGGTCAAAAAGCTTATCCACCATGACCAAGTGGGCTTCATCCCTGGGATGCAAGGCTTGTAAACATACACAAATCAATAAACGTAATCCAGCATATAAACAGAACCAAAGACAGAAACCACATGATTATCTCAATAGATGCAGAAAAGGCCTTTGACAAAAGGCCTTTGACAAAATTCAACAGCTCTTCATGCTAAAAACTCTCAATAAATTAGGTATTGATGGGATGTATCTCAAAATAATAAGAGCTATTTATGACAAACCCATAGTCAATATCATACTGAATGGGCAAAAACTGGAAGCATTCCCTTTGAAAACGGGCACAAGACAGGGATGCCCTCTCTCACCACTCCTATTCAACATGCTGTTGGAAGTTCTGGCCAGGGCAGTCAGGCAGGAGGAAGAAATAAAGGGTATTCAACTACGAAAAGAGGAAGTCAAATTGTCCTTGTTTGCAGATGACATGATTGTATATCTAGAAAACCCCATTGTCTCAGTCCAAAATCTCCTTAAGCTGATAAGCAACTTCAGCAAAGTCTCAGGATACATAATCAATGTGCAAAAATCACAAGCATTCTTATACACCAATAACGGACAAACAGAGAGCCAAATCATGAGTGAACTCCCATTCACAATTGCTTCAAAGAGAATAAAATACCTAGGAATCCAACTTACAAGGGATGTGAAGGACCTCTTCATGGAGAATTACAAACCACTGCTCAACAAAATAAAAGAGGACACAAACAAATGGAAGAACATTCCATGCTCATGGATAGGAAGAATCAATATCATGAAAATGGCCATACTTCCCAAGGTAATTTATAGATTCAGTGCTATCCCCATCAAGCTACCAATGACTGTCTTCACAGAATTGGAAAAAACTACTTTAAAGTTCATATGGAACCAAAAAAGAGCCCTCATTGCCAAATCAATCCTAAGCCAAAAGAACAAAGCTGGAGGCATCATGCTACCTGACTTCAAACTATACTACATGGCTACAGTAAGCAAAACAGCATGGTACTGGTACCAAAACAGAGATACAGACCAATGGAACAGAACAGAGCCCTCAGAAATAATACCACACATCTACAACCAGCTGATCTTTGACAAACCTGACAAAAACAAGCAATGGGGAAAGGATTCCCTATTAATAAATGGTGCTGGGAAAACTGGATAGCCATATGTAGAAAGCTGAAACTGGATCCCTTCCTTACAGCTTATACAAAAATTATTTCAAGATGGGTTAAAGACTTAAATGGTAGGCCTAAACCCATAAAAACCCTAGAAAAAAACCTAGGCAGTACCATTCAGGACATAGGCATGGGCAAGGACTTCATGTCTAAAACACCAAAAGCAATGGCAACAAAAGCCAAAATTGACAAATGGGATCTAATTAAACTGAAGAGCTTCTGCACAGCAAAAGAAACTACCATCAGCGTGAACAGGCAACCTACAGAATGGAAGAAAATTTTTGCAATCTACTCATCTGACAAAGGGCTAATATCCAGAATCTACAAAGAACTCAAACAAATTTACAAGAAAAAAACAACCCCATCAAAAAGTGGCAAAGGATATGAACAGACACTTCTCAAAAGAAGACATTCATGCAGCCAACAGACGCATGAAAAAATGCTTATCACTGGCCATCAGAGAAATGCAAATCGAAACCACAATGAGATACCATCTTACACCAGTTAGAATGGTGATCATTGAAAAGTCAGGAAATAACAGGTGATGGATAGGTTGTGGAGAAATAGGAACACTTCTACACTGTTGGTGGGACTGTAAACTAGTTCAACCACTGTGGAAGACAGTGTGGCTATTCCTTCAAGAATCGAGAACTAGAAATACCATTTGACCCAGCCATCCCATTGCTATGTATATACCGAAAGGATTATAAAACATGCTCTATAAAGACACATGCACATGTATGTTTATTGCAGTATAATCGCAATAGCAAAGACTTGGAACCAACCCTAATGTCCATCAATGATAGACTGGATTAAGAAAATGTGGCCCATATATACCATGGCATCCTATGCAGCCATAAAAAAGGATGAGTTCATGTCCTTTGTAGGGACATGGATGAAGCTGGAAACCATCATTCTCAGCAAACTATTGCAAGGACAAAAATCCAAACACCGCATGTTCTCACTCATAGGTGGGAATTGAACAATGAGAACACTTGGACACAGGAAGGGGAACATCACACACCAGGCCTGTCATGGGGTGGAGGGAGCAGGGAGGGATAGCATTTGGAGATATACCTAATGTAAATGACGAGTTAATGGGTGCAACATGCCAACATGGCACACGTATACATATGTAACAAACCTGCACATTGTGCACATGTACCCTAGAACTTAAAGTATATATAAAAAAAAGTTTCTCTTAGATTTTATAAATGGACACAATTTCTTGTTCTGTTAAGAATTCACACTGCTCTAGTCCTTCAGTAAGCCCATTGCACATTTCACCATGTTGTCTATAGGTACATTGTCTGCAGTGTTAACAACGTCATCTCAGTCATCACTATTCTTACAATCACCTTGATTCTGAACTATTTTGGCTATTTCACCATCAGTCAATGAATGAACAACTGGAGCCTCATTATCTATTTTAGAAACTTCTTTGATATCCACTTCTTCCAGCATACTGATGGACTCTGATGGAATATTTTTTGCATATGTAAGGAGGTCAGACATAATTTTTCTCCTTCAAAGTGGACTCCTTCAAAGTGACCACCTTATGTATCATCATCACTGAATATAATTACAGGCCAGAGGTTGTGCCAGGCATGCCCAGCTGTGTTTTTAGTTGCTGTATTCCAAGCATTGGCAACAGAATATATGGCATCCTTCATGCTAAACTCCTTTTGAAAACCCACACCCACGCCTCTGTTCATTGCTGCTAGCATGCTATTCAAGAAAAAGTTTTTATATTTACTCTCAATTGTTCTAAGTCTACCCTAGGCACATGGTTGAATTAATGAAGTAACATTTGGGGGAAAGTACCTGCCATAACAGGATTAATGAGAATTTCAGCTGGCCAAGAACAGAACAATTGTCAAGAAATAACAAAGGCTTGTAATCTTCCTCCAGTCCAGTCTCCTTACAGGGAGTGCCAGCTACTGGTACAAAATGTTTGTGAAACCAGTTGTGAAAGATGTCCCTGGTGATCCATGTATTTTTGTTAGCGTAATAATGGACTGGTGAGAAATTCACTCCTTGAAAACAGCAAGGACACAAGCTTTTGCCTATCACAGCAAGTTTACACTTAGGTGTGCCTGCTGCATTAGCACATCTCAGCACAGTTATTCTACCCTTGGAATCCTTAATTTCTGTAGGAGCTGTCATCAGCTGTCATCAGTGTTTTTCTGGGGCAATAATACCTAAACAGTGATGTTTAATCAGCACTATAGACTTGTTCTCGTATCAGATTTTAATCAGTGATGACCTTGACAAACTCATCAATGAATTTATTTGTTGCTTCATGATCAGCAGATGCTTTAGCACTACAAATCTTTAAAAACTTAACACTGTGTGTTTTCTTAAATGTCTGCAACCGGTCTGTTGAATATTCAGTTTCCTTCAGTTTTCAGTTCATCATGATCTTTGCTTGTTTCATTATCAACATACCATTAATTGTCATATATTCACTGCTATGGGGTAGATCCACTCTTTCAATACACAATCCAGATCTTCATGTATAGCTTTGTGCAGTGTTTTTCTATTTTTCATTAACTTCTGTTTATCACTTTCAGCATAAAACCCCAGTAGTTTATTCTTCTGTTTCTTCAGGTCCTATACAGTGGTCATTCCAACACCGTGCTCTTCTGTAAGATGTTTCACACTTACACTGCTGTCCAGTTTCTCCAACAATTGACTTTCTGTGCTATAGGTAAACATAAATGATTCCTCTTTTTCTTATTACTTTTCTCTTTTTCTTTTCACTGTTACTCTTCGGGGTATCTGCAGGCCTTTTTGACATTTTGAACAGTTTACACCACAGAGCAGAGAATAAGCAGGAAAACACAGGGAGTAATGCACATAGGTCTTGGCCCCATGTGGGACATCGTGGGGAACCTGCTGTTGGTGCGCCTGGCCGGCACACCTGCCATTTTATTACTTTTTATGGGCAGGCTTGCATGGGGGAATCTGGGCATGCACAGAAAATATATATGGCAGCTGAATGGGGCTAGGAGGCTCTTTTTTTTTTTTTTTTTTTTTTTTGCGGGGGGCGGACATTGGAATAAACTGTGTATTGTGCACCTGTGTTTTGACTGAAACCCATCACATGAGGTCGGGTGTGGAATTTTCGACTTGTGGCATCATGTCGGCACTCAAAATGTTTTGGATTTTGGAGTATTTAAATTTTTGAATTTTGGATTAGGAATGCTCAACTAAAATAGTTTTAAGTTAAAAATACCCAGCAGGTTGTATAACAATGTTTAGTATAATCTCATTTATCTATGGACATGTATGTCAATCTGGAAGGATATACAAGTATTATTATTAGCTCTGAGAATTAGTACTGAAGTATAAAAGGATAATTTTAGTTTTGTACTGTTTGGATTCTACAGTGTATTATTTTTATAATTATTTAAAATATTACATAAATGAATATGAAGACAAATTGAGGTAAAGGCTCAAACCAGCTAATGAATATGGCACATAAGAACAGATACATCATGCATTAAGAAAGAATAATGAACAGGGCTTTGTCCTGTATTGGTAGGTAGTGGGTGGATTGGTCATTGTGTCCTGGACCTCATACTCTTTTATGATTTGTGTCAGTTTGGGTCATTTGGGAAAGACACTAAAACAGAGTTAGGAGTGATTAAAAGATATTTATTGAAGAGGAGTGCCTGTGAAAGATAAAGGGGAAGAAAGGAGGATTGGGGAGGAAAAGCCTTCAGACCATGTGCTGATCTGACATTTACAAAAGTCTTCCTTCCTGTCCATTCCAAGAAGGAGTGGACAGAGAGAGAGACTCAAACCACAGTGCAGATAAGGTAAAGCCAAACCAACATGGAGCTCTAGAGCAAAGACTGCGTCTTAGAGAAGTCCTGTTTGGGGCAGAAATGGCCAGACTCTCGTACCCCTACCATGCTCAGCAGTTGGCTGGGGACTGCCCAGAGGAGCATGGCCCCAGCTCCTACACTTTGTAGATCCCAAAGTTGCTGCAGCTATAGGCTGTGAGTTAACGGCACTTTTTGCAGCTAAAAAATAAGTTTTTTGTTGAAGGGAGTTCAGAGTGGACCACCTGCTTGGCTGCCAGAGTCCAGATCCACTTCTCTATACAGTTTCAGGGAATAGCCCTTCCAGGATTCTACTGGGCCTTTCTTTCTGAGGGGAAATTTACCAGAGGGAGTTTAGGGAGACAAACTACAGCCCCTGTTGCTGTATTTGATCTAAGTGCTATAAATGATACTCACTCTTCTCCACTATCCATTTAAAATTCCCTTGCCCTCAGCTGTCACCTCTGCTGGTCTCAGGGAATTACCTGGTGGCAGTACCCCAATCCTCATTTCTGAGGGATTTGCGTCCCTGATGGCATACCCTTCTCAGGCCCTTGTTTATTCACTGTCAGAACTTGGCAAGGAGGTACCAGGGTGTGCCCAAGTGGATCACCCAGGTTTAACACGTATCCTTCCCTTGCATATTTACCCCACAGTGGAACAGAATCTCTACCTCCCTCTGATGATCAGCATCAATTACCCCTGCCAAGATGGTGACTCTTCTTGCCTGCTGGAGCCTGGACACAAGGAATTCAAAGTGCTCCCATGGTAGCTGTAGCTTGTACTTCCATAGGATCCTTATCATGTCTGTTGATAAGAGTGTGCCCCCTTTGAAGACCAATACCTCCAAGACTTCAGAGCCCTGAGTTGTGGGAATGGGATACACCAAGTCCCCCAGAGAGATCAGAATGATGACAAATGGAGCCACCCCTGCTTCATCCTCGGTTCCCAGACCCATGTGTTCTCTGTTTTTGTGAAATGGTGCCATACAGAGCTGTCTAATTCAGTATATACTGCATCCTGGAGTACGGTGCCTCATCTTTGCAGAGTATTTCCTCTCAGCTCAGTCTTCAGTAGGTCATTCTGTCACTCTGTTAGGCTGACTTCTTCTGGGTTGTTCAAAATGAGATATGATCAGTGGATCCCACCTCTCCTTCACTGGGAAGTGGATCTCCTAGTCAGATGCTATGTAGTTCCAAGTCTGTGGATCAGGCATTTCATAAGCCCCCAGATAGTGATGTGTGGCTGAAGCTTTGGGGAGGAAAGGCGAGTCCATACGCAGATTGTCTATTCCTTTGAGACTAAACTATTAGTCTTTCCAGGATAGCAGAGGATCAATATAGTCGATTTGTCATCAAATAGCCAATTGGTCTTTCACTGTTAGTTTCTGTTGCTGATAGGTTGGACCTTCAGAAGCGGTAGTAACTAGATCAGGCTTGGCAAGTGGTAGTTCACCCTGCTACCCAGGATTGTCCTTCCTGGAAGGTTTATTCATGCCCTTCTGAAAAAAATTATGTGACTAAATGACTTGCATTCATTAAATGCAGAAACTTTAAAGGCAATGGAGGAGAACTCCCTTCCCTCTTTGAAAATTTGAAGAGAGGGACAGTTCTTGCCCCTACTCCTCAGCAAAACTCTTCCTCTATCAGAACAGGAAAGATGGGTCTGTACTGTAGCAACTTGAATTTCTCATTCCCCAAAGCTACATGTGAAAAAGAGACAACTTTTTCTGAAAAAATCTAAATTTTATTTTGACACTCTATTTCAACATGAGTGCTAAATGTAACCTCTATCATTCAGAGAGACCAGCCTGGGCAGCATACATTTTTTTTTAACAAGGGCATAGTGGTGTGCACTTGTAGTCCCAACTACACAGGATGCTGAGATGGGAGGCTTGCTTGAGTCCAAGAGTTTGAGGCTGCCATGAGCTATGATTGCATCACTGCACTCCAGCCTGGGTGACAGAGAGAGACCCTTTTGAAAAAAAAAGGAAAAGAGGAAGAAAGATAGAAAGAAAAGAAAGAAAGAGAGAAAGAGAAAGAAAGAAAGAAAGGAGGGAGGGAGGGAAGGAAGGAAGGAAAAAGAAAGAAAAGAAAAGAAGGAGGGAGGAAGGAAGGAAGGAAGGGTGAGCAAGCAGGGAGGGAGGGAGGAAGGAAAGAAGGAAGGAAGGAAAGAAAGAAAGCAAACAGGGAGGGAGGGAGGGAGAGAGGTGAAAGAAAGAAAACCTGCTGACAGGGCCTGATATAGTGCCATCAGAACAAGGTTGAAGCACCCGCACGCAGCTCGGACCTCTCTATCCATCGAAGCAGTCCTTGTCTTCATCCAAGCCATCCCTAGGTCTTCCAATAGTGGTGCAGCATCTGCACTATTGTCACTGTACCAGAAAGCATCCAGCTGTTGCCTCCAAGGACAAGGCTATAGAGACTCCCTCTGTGAGGCTCCTCCAGCCCCTCCATCTGGACACTTCATGCAGCCATGCTCAATTCTACTGCTCCTACACTATCTTCTCTTTTATGGGCCTTCCCACCCAGCACCTGGGCACTGTCCTGGACTGAGACATAGGTCTCTGCTCTTAGATTCCACAACTTATCTGGAGACGGGGGAGAGGAAATGAATCATGTCCCCAGGCTCCTATGACTCAGCTTGGGAACAAGAACTCAGGCTCTTTTCTCAGGAGCACACTAGTATCTAAGCGCTCTTCCTTCTGACTCTTCTCCAACTAGCCATCCTATGAGATTTTTATGTAATTTGGAGTTAAGGTAGCCAGGAGCTGTAACTATTCTGACAAAATCTAATATTTATGGCAAAAGCATAATGCCCTGAGACCTGCAAGACTTTAAAGAAGCATTTTTTAACTGGATGCTGTAGGCTTTGGGGGCAGGATAATTCTTCATCATATGAGAGTCACATTGCATGCCCTGCTCCCCAACCCCTAGTCCTCCTCATTGTGAAATCCAAAACATGCACACACATTTCCATATGTCTTCCAGCTAAAATTTATGAAGCTCAAAAAGTTTGTAAAACTACAAACCCAAAGCCTTTTCTTTCCGTATTATTCTCTATAGAATAAGTTTCAAAAACAAGGGATTGACTTTTTTTGCTTGCTGTTTTTTGTTACCTCTCCCCTTGAGGCAATGTGTGTCTCTTGAACTGCCCAAATGAGTTGGATCTCTGTGGCAAGGAAGTGTAGGTGAGAACTCTTTAATACTTTAAAAGTTTCTAGGTAGAAAAAAATTTTAATCATCTTTAACACTTTCCATTTTCTAATATGTTGAAGTGAGGTCATCAGCAGACTGAGGTGGGGAGCGATTGCAGAGAATTGAGGAGAGGGAAAAAGATATGAAATATTCATCCTCAGATAATGGGGAGACAGAATTTGAGTGTGAGTGTCCCATATCTTGCCAGACAGGTATGTCTGTAGATATCTTTTGACTCCCTATTTCCTTGTGACTTACCAAACCACTCTGGAAATTTGACCTTCTCGTTAATAAGAAGAGACTTTTTTTTTTTGCTTCACCTACTATGTGCAGAAGTGTATGACAACTACTCTCTCTCAACAAATGTTATCTTCCCCTATTTCTTTTTCCTGCTAAAATCCACTTATTCTTAGCATAATTTTAGCAATAATGAGACGAGAATGCTGTCTTCAACTGGATCTCGCAGAGTTACAGCCTTTGATGGGGGAGGAGGATGGAGTGGAGTGGGAAGGGAGGATCATCAGAGTCCAGTGTTTTGTCCTTAGTTTTGCACAGTCTGAAGATGATGATTGGCTCATTCAGAAATGATTGGCTGATTCACAGTAACCAAACTTGCCAAGAGGGTTGTATGTATATATTGGAAAGCTAATGCATTGATTTATAATGACATGCTGAACTTTCTAGTGACTCAGAGAAGGGCCTCACCTTTTCAGGATTCAGTTGCCTAGAAAATCAAGATAGGAACCAACTGACAGGAGTGCATGATCTTGTAGGATATGCTGCCCAGTTTCTCAAAGTGCTGATGGATTTTTCATGCCCTTCTGAAAAAATTTATCTGTGACCAAATGACTTGCATTCATTAAATGCAGAGCCTCTCTCTCTTGAAGAAAACAATATGGCACCCTCAACTCAGGCTGCCCAGTTTAATTTCCTCTATACTTTGCCCAAGTAAGGAGGGTTTTCTCATATGTATGTGTGTGTGTGTGTGTGTAGAGAGAGTTTTCTCATATATGCATATAAGTATTTACGGTAGGGTGTGTGTGTGGGCGGGGGTAGGGAGTTAAGGGGCATTTTATTAGGTAACCCAGATTCAAAGGTTTGCTGATGACTTTGTATTTTGCTATTCCAGTCATGCACTGCATAACAACATTTCAGTCAACCATGAACCGCATATATGATGGTGGTCCCAATGGTGGTCCCATAAGATTATAATAGAGCTGAAAAATTCCTATAGCCGAGTGACATTGTAGCTGTAATAACACAGTAGTACAATGCAACTTGCATGTTTGTGGTGATGCTGGTGTAAACAAACCTGTGCTGCAAGTAATAGAAAAGTCTGGCACTAAAATTATGTATACTACATAATACTTGGTAATAAATGACTATGTTACTGGTTTACGGATTTATTATCTTTTTTTTTTTTTTTTTTGAGACAGTGTCTCGCTCTGTCACCCAGGCTGAAGTGTGGGGGTGCAATCATGGCTCACTGCAGCCTTGACTTACTGTGCTCAAACAGTCCTCCCACCTCAGCCTCCGAGTAGCTGGGACTACAGGCAGGAGCCACCATTGCCCATCTGATTTTTTGTAGAGACAGGGTCTCACTATGTTGCCCAGATTGGTCTTGAACTCTGACTCAAGCAATCCTCCCACCTCAGCATCCCAAAATGCTGGAATTACAGGCATGAGTCACCATGCCCAGCCTACTATCATTTTTTTTTTTTTTTTTTTTTGCTGTTATTTTAGAATGTACTCCTTTTACTTTTTTTTTTAAAAAAAGTTAACTGTAAAACAACCTCAGGTCCTTCAGGAGGTCTTGCAGAAGAAGACATTGTTATCATAGGAGATGACAAGTCAATGTGTGTTATTGCTCCTGGAGACCCTCCTATGAAAGTGGAAGACAGTGATACTGATGATCTTCACCCTGTGTGGGCCTAGACTAATGTGTGTGTTTGTGTCTTTGTTTTTTAACAAAAAGGTTCAGAAATTTTAAAAAATTAAAAATTTAAAAATAGAAAAAAACTTACAGAATAAGGATATAAGAAAGAAAATAGTTTTGTACAACTGTACGTTGTGTTCGTGTTTTATGCTGTTATTATGAAAGAGTCAAAATGTTTTCTTAAAGATTAAAAGTCTATAAAGTAGAAAAGTTACAGTAAGCTAAGGTTAATTTATTATTGAAGAAAGAAAAGTATTTTTATAAATTTATTGTAGCTAAGTGTACAGTGTTTATAAAGTCTACAGTAATGTACAGTAATGTCCTAGGGCCTAGGCCTTCACATTCACTCACCACTGGCTTACTGATAGAGCACCCTCCAGTCCTGCAAGCTCCATTCATGGTAAGTGCCCTCTGTAGTTGTACCATTTTTTATCTTTTATACCATGTTTGTACTGTACTTTTGCTATGTTGAGATACAGAAATACTGCTGTGTTACAACTGCCTACAGTATTCAGTACAGTAACATGCTGTAAAGATTGGTAGCCTAGAAGCTGTAGGCTACACTACATAGCCTAGATGTAGATGGCTATACCGTCTAGGTTTGTGTCTGTACACTCAACATTTGCACAATGATGACATCGCCTCACAATGTGTTTCTTAGAACATATCCTTGTTAAGTGATGCACGACTCTATAATGTTCATACTGCTTACTCACCATGTTGATAACCCCTTACACAATTTCTGCATCTCTGTTAGTGATTGTAAAAAAGAAAAATCAAAAAGAAAACATCCCAACTTCCCACATCCAGAGTTCTAGTCCTGTCTCTGTCATTACTTTGCTGTGTAACCTTGAGCAAGTCATATATCCTCTTGGTGTCTCTCGAATAATATCCACATTGAAGGTGATGGGACTAGATGATTTCTAAGGTCCCTTCCAGTTCTACAATGCCAAAGATTTTATGACTAAGATCAGAGTTCCTGTTTCAACAATCAAATTATTCCACAACACAATGGCTCCCTTATATTTCCTGGGCACAGAGCAAATGGAAATTTGCACTAAATTGATTGGAGAAGTTAGAGAAACAGCAAAAAGGGATGGGAAAGTGTCAAGAAGAGCCCACTGGGAGGACAACTTCCTGGGCTCAACTGCATGTCTTAGATTTCAAGCTGATAACATTTACCTACCTGATAAGGTGTTGGGGTAAGGGATGGAGGGGCACATTTTCTGAATATATAAAAAGGCTTTTAAATACTTGGATATAAGAACTAAATACTCTGGTTGGGCTTTTTCCGTGTCATTATTTGACAATGAAACTAATGCTGCTGATCTCAACATAATAGGTGAATTTAGAAATAGAGTTACAGGCTTAGATAAAATCCAAGTTTTCACCCTTGACCATTAAGAGGTATTATATGTATGAGGATTGGGATGTCCTACTTTCCCTTAACTGCAAAGTATCCCTTTGGTGCTCATATTTCAACCTCCAAAATGCACTTTGCTAAAATGTTTGCTGTGGAGCCAGGTCCTGTGGACAGAAGCTGAAGAGGTGAGGGCTGTGTGCAAACACACGGCGGGGAGTCTGGATTGGTTTACAGTAAGCACAAGCACCCCACAGGGACTGCAGCCTTTTACCTCTCACTGCAGGGGATCGGCATTGACCAGGTGATGCAGCCCCAGAAATCAATTCAACACTAATGAGGGCTGCAGCTGGGATCAGAAAGGAACACGCGGGAGTTTGTAGATGATGCAGTCAGGCTATCTGAGATATGATGGGAGCACCAGAAACGGCTAGCCACCATATCTGTCCAGTTTGCCTTTCAACACTGCACATTCACATTTGGGGTAACACAAGCCAATAGTGAAGGCCCAAAGCAGAGGCTTAGACATAGGACACTCTCCTGGATGAAATGGAGATTTTAACTAGTGTGTCAGGCCAGAGCACAGCCAGCACCAGAAGTGAAAAATAACTGAAAGAAAGAAAGATGATTTTTTTGACTTACATGCTCTTGAGAAGGCTGGAAAATTCAGTCCAGTAAAGGAAAAATAACAAACTTACAGCTATTGCTTGTCTCTTCTAGAACAAAGATGACGAGCTGGTGGCCCAGTGGGGAAATCTTGTCCAGCGATCTGCTTTCCTTCCTCAACCTTGCATTGATTTTGTGCTGCTTGGTTCTCTTTTGTTTTAACTGTGAATGCCCTTGGTGAATTTTCATGGCCTGCACATCGTATGACTCTAGGTGTCCATTTGCAACTGCAGTTCACCGAATGCCCCGTCACTGCCTTACTGAGCCACCGCCACATATTTCTACTAGCTGGCTTATCCCCACAGGTGTCTAAATTCGAGACCTCTGATGTAGAATAGTAAGATTTCTTAGTAAAGTTAGCAAAGGGTCTAAGTACTAGAGAATTGGTATTTCTAGTCCTGAAGGAGAGCGATCAGCCCTTGAGGGTTGTTTGAAGTTAAGAGTTGCAGGAAGTGGTAGATCTCATTTCCCTGGAGGCCCTTAACATTATAGAAGAGTCTGACCTTGGAAGGATGAGATGTCCAATTGCATCTAAAGTAGAAGGTAAACTAGGTTACTATATATATTATATATCGCATAGATACCATATGAATAACATATATATTACTCATATATACCAGCTTTATTGAAGTATTAATCATGTAACATATAATTCACCCATTAAAGTGTACAATTCAATGATACAGTATTTTCACAAATATGTGCAACTTTCACCAAAGCCAATTTTAGAACTTTCTTATCAACCCGAAAAGAAATCCTGTATTAGTAGTCACTCCCACTCCACCTGCCCTAGGCAACCATTAATCTACATTCTATCTGTATAGATTTAACTATTCTAGACATTTCATATAATCACATAATATGTGGTCTTTTGTGAGTGACTTTTTCACATAGCATAGTGTTTTCAAGATTCTTCCATGTTGTAACATGAATCACTATTTCTTTCCTTTTTATGGCCAAATAATATTCCATTGTATGGATATTGCCACATTATGTTCATCCATTCATCAGTTGATGGACATTTGGGTTGCTCCCACCTTTTGGTCATTGTGAATAGTGCTACTATAAACATTCTGTGCAAGTTTTTGTGTGAACATATGTTTTCTTTTGAGTACAGTTGACCCTTTGTATCTGCAGGTTCTACGTCTGTGGATTCATGCAACCATGGATCACAGATTGAAGATATTCAAAAAGTTAAAATAAACAATATAACAATAAAAATACAAATTTTAAAAGCAATACAGTATAGCAACTATTGACTTAGCGTTACATTGAATTAGGTATTATAAGTAATCTAGAGAGGATTTAAAGTATACAGGAGGATATGTGTAGTAGGTTAAATGCAAATACTACATTTTTTATAAGGGCCTTGAGCATCCATAGATTTTGGTGTCCTGGGCTAGGGGTGAGGGTGGCCTGGAACTAATCCCCCATGGATATCAAGGGATAACTGTGTATACCTAAGAAAGTCACATGGTAACTTTATGTTTAACCATTTGAGAAAGTGCTAGATTGTTTTCTTTTTTTATTTTATTTTTTGAGATGGAGTCTCGTCTCACCTCCTGGGTTCAAGTGATTCTCCTGCCTCAGCCTCCTGAGTGGCTGGGACTACAGGCATGCACCACTACGCCTGGCTAATTTTTTTGTATTTTTAGTAGAGATGGGGTTTCACCATTTTGACCAGGCTGGTCTCGAACTCCTGACCTCAGGTGATCTGCCCATCTTGGCCCTCCAAAGTTCTGAGATTACAGGAGTGAGCCTCTCTGCCCAACCAAGAAGGTTCTAGACTGTTTGCAAAAGTAACTCCACCATTTTACATTCCCACTAGCAATATATAAGGGTTCCAGTTTCCCCACATCCTAACACTTGTTATTATCTGACAATAACTTTTTATTGTACTCATCCTAGTGGGTGTGAAGTGTATCTTTTGGTTTTGATTTGCATTTCCCTGATAATTAATGATGTTGAGCATGTTTTCATGTGTTTATGAGCTATTCGTATATCTTTGAAGAAATGACTATGCAGATTCTTTGCCCATTTTCTTTTCTTTTTATTATTATACTTTAAGTTTTAGGGTACATGTGCACAACGTGCAGGTTTGTTACATATGTATACATGTGCCATGTTGGTGTGCTGCACCCATTAACTCATCATTTAGCATTAGGTATCTCTCCTAATGCTATCCCTCCCCCCTCCCCTCACCCCACCACAGTCCCTGGTGTGTGATGTTCCCCTTCCTGTGTCCATGTGTTCTCATTGTTCAATTCCTACCTATGAGTGAGAACATGCAGTGTTTGGTTTTTTGTCCTTGCGACAGTTTGCTGAGAATGATGGTTTCCAGCTTCATCCATGTCCCTACAAAGGACAAGAACTCATCATTTTTTATGGCTGCATGGTATTCCATGGTGTGTATGTGCCACATTTTCTTAATGCAGTCTATCATTGTTGGACATTTGGGTTGGTTCCAAGTCTTTGCTGTTGTGAATAGTACCGCAATAAACATACGTGTGCATGTGTCTTTATAGCAGCATGATTTATAGTCCTTTGGGTATATACCCAGTAATGGGATGGCTGGGTCAGTTGGTATTTCTAGTTCTAGATCCCTGAGGAATCGCCACACTGACTTCCACAATGGTTGAACTAGTTTACAGTCCCACCAACAGTGTAAAAGTGTTCCTATTTCTCCACATCCTCTCCAGCACCCATTGTTTCCTGACTTTTTAATGATCGCCTTTCTAACTGCTATGAGATGGTATATCATTGTGGTTTTGATTTGCATTTCCCTGATGGCCAGTGATGGTGAGCATTTTTTCATGTGTTTTTTGGCTGCATAAATGTCTTCTTTTGAGTAGTGTCTGTTCATATCCTTTGCCCACTTTTGGATGGGGTTGTTTGTTTTTTTCTTGTAAATTTGTTTGAGTTCATTGTAGATTCTGGATATTAGCCCTTTGTCAGATGAGTAGGTTGCAAAAGTTTTCTCCCATTCTGTAGGTTGCCTGTTCACTCTGATGGTAGTTTCTTTTGCTGTGCAGAAGCTCTTTAGTTTAATTAGATCCCAATTGTCAATTTTGGCTTTTGTTGCCATTGCTTTTGGTGTTTTAGACATGAAGTCCTTGCCCATGCCTATGTCCTGAATGGTATTTCATAGGTTTTCTTCTAGGGTTTTTATGGTTTTAGGTTTAATATGTAAGTCTTTAATCCATCTTGAATTAATTTTAGTATAAGGTGTAAGGAAGGGATCCAGTTTCAGCTTTCTACATATGGCTAGCCAGTTTTCCCAGCACCATTTATTAATAGGGAATCCTTTCCCCATTGCTTGTTTTTGTCAGGTTTGTCAAAGATCAGCTGGTTGTAGATGTGTGGTATTATTTCTGAGGGCTCTGTTCTGTTCCATTGGTCTATGTCTCTGTTTTGGTAACAGTACCATGCTGTTTTGGTTACTGTAGCCTTGTAGTATAGTTTGAAGTCAGGTAGCGTGATGCCTCCAGCTTTGTTCTTTTGGCTTAGGATTGACTTTCTTTGCCCATTTTCAATTGGGTTATTTGCCTTTGTGTTATTGAGCTGTAAGAATTCTTTATATATTCTGGATACAAGACCCTTATATATATGATTTGCAAATACCTTTTCCATTCTGTGGATTATCTTTTTACTTCTTTATAGTGTCCTTTGAAGCACAAAAGTTTTCAACTTTAATGACGTCAAGTTTATCCATTTTTTTGTTCATATTTAATACTTTTGGTGTCATATTTAATACTCCATTGCTAAATCAGAGGACTCAAAAATTTATCCCTGTTTTCTTCCAAGAGTTTTACAGTTTCAGCTCTTACATTTAGGACTTTCATCTATTTTGAGTTAATTTTTTTAAAAGATGTGAGGTAAGAGTTCAATTTCAATCTTTTGCATGTGGTTATCCTGGTATCCCTGCATTGTTTGTTAAAAAGACTCTTCTTTCCCCCATTGAATGGTTGTGGCACCATACTAGGTTTCTTCTTAAGATCTCATCTAAGTCTGACATACTTGTCCGCACATTCGTGACTATAGAGGTTATCCCTCCCTTTAATCTCATCTAATATAGTCAGAGTTCTCACCTTTCATGCGTCCAGAAATGTTTTTTTCCAACTGTTTCCCAAGTCTTTCTGAGAGTCCCCTGGAAATGCTTAGGCGTCTCATGGATCCATCCTAGTGGTTGCTTGTCCTAAATGCAGCCCTCTCTCTTTCTGGTCCCCTGTTCTTGCCATTTTGTAATTCTTTCTGGCTGCTGCCCCTCTCCTTGCATCGCTGGGCCCCAGGTCTTGCCCCTGGCAAGCCTCACTTCTAATTCTCAGAGCACAGCTAAGACTATACAGTAACATCTAACACCATTTATTGAAGGCATGAGGTAAGCAGAATGGAATTGCCTTATAGGAGGCCATAACACATGGTTGGCTATTAATTATCGCTGCCCTGGGTTCCACTCGCTATGCCCATCTATAAAACATCACCTGGCTATCTCCCACCCTAGCCCTCTGGCCATCATGTGAATTCCAGTGTCGGCAGACCTTTTTTTCATATAAGCAGGCCCTTGGCCAGTCCAGGCCCCCAACACTTCTTTTGCCTAATGGAGAAGAAAACCTTTTCTTCCGCAATAATACAATTTGTATTATTATAATTTTATAATTAATATAAAAATTGTATTATTATAATTTTGCAAAGATGTAACTGCTTACAGCAAGGATGCTTTCTCTATTATTATGGAGAACAGTTTAGGTCCTCTTTATCTCTCTCTGCTGCAGAAAATGGAATGGGTTTTACTTTGTAGAACTAAGAAGCTCACAAAAATGTCCTTTCAAACTAGAGTGGTCTGACCTTAGGAGGGGTCAGTGTCTTCATCTAGCTAAAAAGGAAACTTCTGTCCGCTTGAAATAACAGATACTCACCTTTCCATCTGCATTCCTGATATCAAAGTAGACATCAAATATTGAGGTACAGTCTCCAGGAACCCTGTTATTAAACCTAGTATACCACAGTTGTTTTTCCTTAGCTCATTGTTAATTCTCTAATTAGAAACATTCTTACTTAAATAATTATTTTTCTAATAAAAAAGGAGAGTTATGTCTTATTTCTCATTTCAACTATAAGAAAATATGTTCTTATCTTGGACCCGTTATCTTTAAGCTTTTTGATCATTTCCCTTACGATTCTTTCTGGTAAGTGAATGAGAATCATCACTTAGTAGTTCTAATTATGTCCTACCAAAGCAGAAAGAACCACATACATCAATAGTCAAATTGGTAGAAAATTGAGAACACCGAAATGCCTTTAACAAGAATGA
Organism: Homo sapiens; assembly: GCF_000001405.40. Classification (NCBI taxonomy): domain Eukaryota; kingdom Metazoa; phylum Chordata; class Mammalia; order Primates; family Hominidae; genus Homo; species Homo sapiens. The sequence continues at coordinate 16,009,700 of NC_000009.12, forward strand.
TGTGAATATAAGTGACATGCATTCGTTTTTTTAAAATCTAGATAAACTTCTGAGTTATTTAGTCCAATATTATTTGGAAGGGAAATGGAACTAATTTTTAACAAAACATATTTTATTTGAGCTGCTATAAAAATAAATTTGAGGAAAAAAATAAATCTTGAAAGTAGACAGCTAATGGTAATAATCTCTGAGATCTAAAAAATGCATTACAGGCGAATTGAATGCTGGCAACTCTGTTAAAAATAAATAATGTTCTTTTTATTCCAAAACAAGAATTGGTCCTTCTCAATTCTTCATTATTAAAATTCAGAAAACATAGAACCATTTCATAGTGTGAGTAATTTATATCCTTACATCCCAAGTGCCTCAACAGAGTACCCAACATAGAGTAGAAACTTAAACAAGAAATTGTTGAATTAAGTAGAGTAGAAATTGAATGTTCTGAAGTCTGAATGTGTGTGTGTGTACTTTGTGGAGGGGAGGTTTTGCCTCTCCATGGTACCTAGCCCAGCTCCTCCACAGAATAGACTCACTTTCTTCTTGTTGATTTTATGTGAATGGTTCTCATTACCCAAACTTTATATTATAATTCTATAATGTTCAATAAAATAAAAACTTCTTGGACTGAATATTTTTAATACCCAGATTGCTTGCAAGATACTCCAGGCTAGCCAGGATTTTGCAGGGATATACGTGCAGATGCGTCACTAGGGAATGCCTAAGGAATGAACAAGCAGGCAGCAAGGGCCTGTGGGGGCAGCCATATGTGTCTCTCTGGAATCAGTGAGGAAGCTGGAAGCAGAGCAGCTCAGCCCTCTCGCTCCCCCTCAGTGCTTCCAGAGACCCCTAACACAGAAGCTTCCTCCTAAAGAAATGGCCCACTCAGCTCTTTTCCTTTCCACGCTTCTTCAGCTTCCTCACTACTGACAATATTCTGGTTGAAACATTATTTCCTGAATCCTAGCTCTATCCTTGGTGATGAGCACACCTAGGTTCAACTGCAAGATAATAGTGTAGTGTTATTTGGTATTCCAAGGTCAACAGTTTATTAAAAAAAAAAACCCAAACCTCTGGAGCATGGAATGCTGAAAAAAGACCAGTTTATAACCAGTGGTATAACATGGCATTGAAAGCCATGGACATGGGTTAGTTTGCCCTAAAAGAGTATACAATGAGAAGAGGGCATTAGGATGAGGTCCCCAGGGATACCCACATCTGACTGTCATGTGGTAGAGCCTGATTCGCTCCTGAGTATCCATCTTCCCCTTTTTCTTTAGTAAGATGACCCTGATTTATTCAGTTAAAAGACACTGTTCTCCAGCATCTGCAAATGGGAGGCCAATGGAGTGTATGTAAAGCAAGAGGTTGTATGGATCTTACTAGAAGCCTCTTTAATGGCTCATGGAGAAGGTGCAACACATGCCCCTTTTCCCTTCCTTCTGATGTCTCCTGGCACGTGTATGTTGGCTGCTATACTGGACTATGTAGTGGCTATGAGGTGACCTTGAGGATGCTAAAATGCTGGGTTGGAAAGACAGACACTGGGCCCCTGGATGGATTACCCTTGGACTTCCTTTGTTCCTGAGAGAATCACCTATTCTATCCTGTTTATGCTGCCATCATTTAGGAACAATGCAGGAAGACAGTCCTGCAAGCTGGAATGAAAGATGCAATCTGAAAAATAGTAATGGTGTGAAAAATGCTGTTTTTTACTTTTTTTTTGCAGCAAAATTCTCTTAGAGATGAAGTTTTAATAATCCATATAAACTTATTATTCACAATTTTTTTGAAAAATGACAGGCAAAATGGTCTTTTCTGTTGTTAGGAGTGACAACAGAGCCCAATTATGCAGCTTCTTTAACAATGGAGCAGAATGTGCATACTTTTTAGTGGCAGGTCCACAGCCACTGTCACCTTTTCTGTGTTAAAAATAGTGGAAATGTATCCATTCCTTTGTCTGTCCATACAGTCATTCAGCATTTTCTGAGTTCCGATTTTGCACTAGGACTGGTTTAGGGCAGGATAAAAATGCAAAATAAGATATAGACGTTGCTTTCCCAAAGCTTACAGTTAATTAGGAAACAGATAAACAGGAAATGACAATAGAATGGGAGAAGTTTGAATAAAACTTGTTTCCTTTCTCTGAGGGTTTTCCACTCCTGCTCATCAGTCAGAAGATTGTCTTGGTTCCTTATCTTCTCAAGGGTTGTGCACTTTGTCACCGATACTGGGACATCCTGGTGACTCAGAGTCTTGTCCCCAGTGGGCCAGTGTCCCTTTAGTGATGAGAGGGGAAGAGATTGTCCTTTCCTTCTCAATCACTTCATTTCTCTGATAGCATCAGATCCCCTTGTGGACTGATCTGCAAATAGGAAGTTCTCTTCTGAAGGTTAGGGTGAACATAGGAGATAAGTAAATTCTGGCTAACCAGGACTTTCCTCTGTGCTGCCCAAGGAGGGTTCTTTAAGACTGAAGGAGTGTGTCTCATGTGTGGCTCCTCCTGTCCACTTTGCTCCCATGGCCACAGCATCCATGAATGTGGCCTGTCTTTTTTTGCTCTGGAAGATATTAGGATCTCCTTATTCTTGGTGTGGAAGTTGTGTAGGGATCTATCTGGGCACGGTTCTTCTACTCCTTATGCTGGAAATCTAATGAACACATTGAACAAATACACTCATGAGCTTTCATTCTTGTATTATTTCTTTGGTTGGTCAGAGGTTGGCCCTCCTGAATTCATCATCTGGGCCTCTTACCATTTTTCTTACTGTGTCTTAAGTGTTGTTAATTAGTTGGTCAGCTTTCTGGGATATTTACTTGACTTTAATCTCCATATTTTCTATTGAATTTTTTTTTTTACTATAACCCGGATAATTTTTTTTTTCAAAGAATTCGTTATGGATTGCTGGTTGTTTTTTTTTATAATGGCAGCATGCTCTCCTTCCATGAATACAATTTTGTATCAGACTCTTGCAGAATACAAATGAGAATGATTTTAGTTCACTGAATTATCACAGTTCCTCTGAGGTCATTTGTTTGTGTTTGCTCATCTTGGTCATTCTTATTCATGTTTGAGATATTCCCCAGTGTCTGGGATTCCTTTGTTATTTGTTCATGGATGATAGGTAGCATTGCTGTGCATGGGTGGAGAGGGTGGACTGGCTGAATTTACAGGCAGAGAGCCCACCAGCATCTTGGGAACTCCTAAATGCTTAAACGTATAGGTCTCAGCCCTGGGATATCAACCATCACACCAGCTACCACAGTTTTCCTGCATGGTACTTCGACTTCTCAAGCTGAAGTCTGACACCTTCACTTTCACACAGTCTGGGGAACACCTTCACCCATCAGATCTGTCAGCCTTTCCCACTCAAAATGTCCCCAACTCTCTTCCTTCACAAACCTCTTTGCCTCCTTGGACTTCCTACATCTGATAGCTATACTGTCTTTCCAGTATTCAAAACCACAGAATAATATCTGAGTGGATCTTACTCTCCTTGTTTAGTCTGTTCCTAAGGCCTTGAGGATTCCTCCTGCCTCTGTCCACCCTCTTTCTTTCCATCACAGCCTCTCCAGTCAGGCCATCATTATTTATTCCCTGGAAAAAATCCAAGTTTCTCTCTAGCTTTCTGCCTCTCATCTCTCTTATAGTTAGCTGTCAGATTAATATTCCCAGGTGTAGTTCTCTTTATATCATTGTGCTGCTCAAAATTCTTTCCTGGATCTCTTCTATTTACTCACTAAGGCCTACCTTTGCAATCTGACGTTCAAAGGTTCAACCCACTTCTCTTCCCACCTTCCTATGGGAGGCAGGAGCATGTAGCATGCGCTCTTGGGACATACAGGCACAGCCAGATGCAGGCTCCAATGCCTACGGGGCAAATTATTTGCCCTCTCTGACCCGTACCTACCTTTCTCATCTCTAACTTTAAGATAAAAAAAGCACAGGTATGCCTCGGAGATATTGTGGGTTCAGTTTTGGGCCACCAGACTAAAGTGAATACCACAATAAAGTGAGTCACAGATAATTTTTAATTTCCCAGTGCATATAAAAGCTATGTTTACACTATACTGTAATCTATTAAGTACACTATATTGTAGTCTGTTAAGACATTATGTCTTTAAAAATGCAGATACTTTAATTAAAAATATTTTCTTGTAAAACAAATACTAACAATCATCTGAGCCTTCAGCTTGTAATCTTTTCACTGGTGGAAGATCTTGTCTTGATGTTGATGGCTGCTGACTGATCATGATGGTGATTACTGAAGGCTGGGGTGGCTGTGACTATTTCTGAAAATAAGACAACGAGGTTTGCCACAATGGTTGACTTGTGCTTTCACAAAAGGTTTCTCTGCAGCATGTGATTCTGTGTGATAGCATTTTACACATAGTGGAACTTCTTTTAAAATGTGTCAGTCCTCTCAACCCTTGCCACTGCTTTAGCAAATTAAGTTTATGCAATATTCTAAATCTTTTGTTTCATTTCAGCAACATTCACAGCATCTTCACCAGGAGTAGATTCTATTTCAAGAAACCATTCTTCGCTCATCCATAAGAAGCAACTCCTTATTCATTCAAGTTTTCTCATGAGATTGCAGAAATTCAGTCACATCTTCAGGTTCCGTTTCTAATTTTAGTTCTTTTGCTATTTCCACCATCTTGGCAGTGACTTCCTCAGTTGAAGTCTTGAACCCCTCAAAGTCATGCATGAATATTGGAATCAGTTTCTTCCAAATTCCTGTTAATGTTGATATTTTGACCTCCACCCATGAATTACTAATGTTCTTAATGACATCTACAATGGTGAATCCTTTCCAGGATGTTTTCCATTTACTTTGCCCAGATCCATCAGGGGAATCACCATCTATGGCAGCTATAGCCTTATGAAATGTATTTCTTAAATAATAAGACTAGAAAGTCAAAAGTACTCCTAATCCATGGGCTGCAGAATGGACATTGTGTTTGCAGGCATAATAACAATATCCATCTCCTTGTATATCTCCATCAGAGATCTAGGGTGACTAGGTGCATTGTCAATAAATAGTAATATTTTGAAAGAAATCTCATTTCTTGAGCAATAGTTATCAACAATAGGCTTAAATATTCGGTAAACCATGCTATAAACAGGCTTTGTTATTCCATTTATAGAGCTCAGGCAGAGTAGATTTAGCATAATTCTTAAGGGCCCTAGGATTTCAGAATGGTAAATGAGTATTGGCTTCAAGTTAAAGTCACCAGCTCCATTAGCCGCTAACAAGAGTGTCAGCCTGCCCTTTGAAGCCTTGAACTCTTCCAATATAAGACTGTTTCGTCTACATTAAAAATCTGTTGGTGTGCTGCACACCAACATGGCACATGTATACATATGTAACTAACCTACATGTTGTGCACATGTACCCTAAAACTTAAAGTCTAATAAAAAAAAATCTGTTGTGTAGTATAGCCATGTTCATCAGTGATTTTAGCTAGATCCTCTGGATAACTTGCTGCAGCTTCTACGTCGGCATTTGGTGTTTCACCTTACACTTCTATGTAATGGAGATGGCTTCTTAAACCTCATGAACCAGTCTTTTGCTAGCCTCAAATCTTTCTTCTGCAACTTCCTCACCTTCTCAGCCTTCATAGAATTGAAGTGAGTTAGTGCCTTGCTCTGGATTAGCCTTTGGCTTAAGAGACTGTTGTGGCTGGTTTAGTCTTCTATGCAGACCACTAAAATTAATGATCATAAAGGGTTGTATTTATAAAGACTACTACTGTTATTATTGTTATTGTTCTTGTCATGCGTCCAGTATCTTTCAGCCAAGGTGGTCTCCTCTGTATTTTCTGACTACAGCCTATAATTTCCCACCTCTGTACTCTGTCTCAAGTGCCCTTCCTCCTCACTGTACACTGTCAAATTTTTTAAATACTTTTAAAATTGTGATAATATATACATAACACAAAATTGACCATTTTAACCATTTTAAGTGTAAAGTTCATTGGCATTGAGAGCATTCGTATTGTTATGTAACCACTATCCATGTCTAAAACTTTTCCATCTTCCCAACTGAAACTCTGTACCTATTAAACACTAACTCCTCCCTCTTCTCATCTCTTACAACCACGATTCTACTTTCTGTCTATGAATTTTACTATTCTAAGTATTCCAAATAAGTTGACTCCTACAGTGTTTATTCTTTTATGTCTGGCTTATTTCACTTAGCGTAATGTTTTCAAGGTTCATTCGTGTTGTAGCGTGTATCCAAATTTCATTTATTTTTAAGGCTGAATAATATCCCATTGTACGTACATAACACATTTTCTTTATCCATTCATTTGTTGATGGACATTTAAGTTGCTTCCACCTTTGGCTATTGTGAATAGTGCTGCTATAAACATGAATGTACACATCTGTGTCCCTGCTTTCATTTCTTTGGGGTATATACCCGGAAGTAGAAATGCTGGATCATATGGTAGTTCTGTGTTTAGCTTTTTGAGGAACTGCCATACTGTTTTCCACAGCGGCAGTATATCCTGTCAAATTTTAAGTGTCAAGGTCCAGCTCCATTACTACCTCCTCCAAGACATTTTTCAAATCCCCTTCTAGATAGAAGAGACTTCTATCTGGAAGGGTTGTGGTGATTTACTTGCAGATTGCCTTCCCTCAGCCTCTTTTAGAAGAGTCTTCTTGATTTCCCACATAGCTTCGCTCAGAGGCAGGTGCCCAATATATATTTAGTGAATGAATGAAAGAAAGAAAGAATAAATGCATGAATCAAGCAATGGCCAGAGCTGCTGACAACTCACAGGGGAGAGTGCAGGGGATTAGTGAAAACTCCCCACCTGAGAAGATGTCAACTCCCGAAATGCTTTGGTACACGGATGAGGTCGGTGAGCCACTTCTGCATTCTCTTCACAAATCCAGCGTAGTGTTACTTCCTTGGCTCACTCTCCTTCATTACATTAAGAAGCAGCATGTGTTGCTGGTGTCTGTTGGATTTCCCTAATACGAAAAACAGGTTGCCACTTGGGTCTGCAGAGACATTTGGATGCATTGTATTTAAATTTTGTTTTCATTGAAAATTTATAGCTGCCACCTTCTACTCTAATGTAATGAATAATTAGAAGCAATTACAAGGACATTTAGCAAATTACTAAGCCATCTAGGAGTAAAAATTAGTGTTTATGGTGTTCTTCCTTTACTGCCTAGCAATCTAAAATGATATATGATATGCATGCAGACAGCATGCACAAATACTTTTCTATGCACCCAGCAGTTTTCCAGTAAGATCGTAAAAATCAGTGCATGGCATTAGAGTCTTGTGATGTTAAAGGGCCTTCTCAATAAATATTGGATGTTGGGGCAGGGAATGATGAACTTGAGCAGTAAAAACTTAACCACAAAAGGTTATTGGTGGTGGAGTAGATTATGTTCTTTTTTAAAGTTAATTTTTCTATTGTATATTTTAATTTTAAAAATTAAGGAGGAAACCAGAAAAGTGAAATAAATAAAAATGCTGTCTATACCCTTTATCCAGAAAATACTATTTTCCCATTTTTATTGGTATATTGACATTATTTTCTTTGCATGTTTACATGTATTGTCATTATTTTTTTCAAACTGCACAAAAAAATACCATTTTGATTTAAAAACTCAGTAGAATCATGTAAACATGCCTCTGTTACTATGGCCAGTCACATAGACAACGCATAATTATTTTACATTCCTTATGCTTGTAGTTTTAGCTTGTTTCCAATTTTTAATTATTATAAATAATACTATAGTGAACCTCATAGTCCATACAACTTTTAAAATATATTTTAAAGCTAGAATTCTAAGAAGAAGGATTTTTACGTTAAAGAAAATAAACTTTCAAAGTTCTTAATTCTTATTACCTCATCACTTACCAAAAAGCTTATACTTAATTTGTTTTTCAACTTGCAGTGTAGAGAATACTTGTTTTACTGCAACTGCACAAGTATTAATAATATCATTAAAGCATTTTGTTAGTTTATGAGACAATTTTAATATTTTTGATTATAACTGACCTTGGGTGAACTTGAAATCAGTCAGGTTCAGTAGCAAGAAATAGAATTCACCTAGCTTACAAATATTTATTTCATAACATGCGTTGCACAAGAAAGAGGCCTAGGTTGAGCTTTGAGATATAACTTTAAGAGCAGCACCGCAGCACTGGGTCACAGAGAGAACTGCTCCTGCCTCATGAAGCCATCACAATGGAGAAGCTACTATAGGAGAACCAAACAATACTGCAGCAATTGCTGGTGGAAATGACAGAAGCAGCACAAAACATGCCCTTATCTCATTTCTGCATTCCAAATTAAATAACATCCAGAATCATAGCTGCAAGGGAGTCCAATAAATGTAGTTTTAAGATTTTTTTAGCTTCTACAGTGCAGGAAGACCCCTGAGAAGGCAGGTAGAATAGATGTTAGGTGCTAATCTCCCATATCCACCCATGTGTTTGTGATGCTTGTTAGCCTATTAGATGAATTGTCAATTTTTAACCCTTTCTGAGCTAACTTGTAAAAGAAGCTACCAGAGGCCAGAAAGATATATTATTTCTAAGAAGCATATAGCATTATCCTTAGCAAAACTGGAGACCCGGTGAAAGTGAGAAAGGGCAGGAGATGATTCCATATACTCCCACATTGCAGGGGGTTCCAAAGATCTCAGGTAAGTTTATTTGTATATATGTCAATATATAAGCATTAAAAAGAAATATTTTTTTGTTGTGTTTAATACAGCAGCATGCTAATTCAAATATTATTATTTTTCCCTTCCTGATAAAAATTGGACCTTATTCATTTATTAACTTCTTAAATAACTCGTTTCTTCATTGAATGAATTATGATCATTTAAACATAATCAGTAATAAATCAAAGAATCTTTCGTTACCCCTCACTCACCTACTAGGGCCGCTGTGTTGTATAATTCCAGGGTTCACTGATTACGTAGAATATAACATGAATGGCACCCAGTGGAGCTGTGCTCCAACACAGTGGCCCTGTCAATTCCCTTAATTCATTGGATAACTGAGTCTACTTTTTTTGTTAGACTAATTTTAAGAAAGTTGCTGATACCCAAGGGAGCTACAAAAGGTTATGGGGAACCGGGCCCTTAAAAAACCTAGGAGGGCCTTTTTTCAGAGATGATGTGAGCTCAGAAGCCATCAGTCAGGCCCACCAACATCCTTCTCCAAGGAAATCCCTTTGTATTCATGCCTTTTTGCCATTTGACTTAGCAACCAAGATTGAACAATTTTTCCTATGGATGATACAGCTTTTACTTTGAGGGCTGTTTGGAAGACTAAATCTAAAGAAGTAGTGGATTCATTTAAGAAAACAGGAACAAATCTGTTGCAAAGGCAAAACATTAACAGTTCCTTTCAAAGTCCCTCTTTAAAGCCTTTGATTGGGAGTTGACTCTTAACCCATGACTTTTATGAAATTGTCAATGGAATTGCACTAGGGGAAGATTTCTGAACCCTGACCTCTTCTCTCCAGCTACTCCTGTCTAAGAACCAAAGGCAGGTCCCTGGAAAAAATATCCTTCAGATGCTGCTGAGAAGCCAAGTTCCGCTAGGTTTATGAGTGGTGGGGATGAATCTGAGTGAGTTGATGGCTCCCATCAAGTCCTGGTAAAAGTAAATTGTATGACCTCTGTTAGTGGATAGATGAGGGGCCATCTCAAGTAGAGACTAATTCCCTGTAGATGAGATTTTAAATTCTGTTGTTAGGAAGATAGAAGGCTACCAGACTTTGGATGTTTATAAAAACCATTGTTTCTTGTTTTCCCATAGGCAAGGGCAAGAGTTGAGCTGTGAGGGGAATCTGGGTTTAGATAAGGGGTGGTGGGGGTGAAAGAGATTGAGAGGGAGAGACAGAGAGAAACAGAAAGACATGGTTAGAGAAATCTCACCTTTTTTGGAAAGGCTACAGTCTACAATTACCATATTTTCTAGATTTTCTAGGACTATCTGCATTTTAAATATTTACTTTCATTATCCCCATGAAACATCAAAATATTCTGGAAATGTAAATATTTTGACAAATGGTAACTGAATCAGGTCATTAATCATTACAAGTGTGTGAATTCATTCTCTTGGTTCTGAGCATGATTTCAAGGGTATCAAAGGGAAAGTTGATGTCACTGATTAGTGACTTCTGGGCAGCAGGGAAGTTATCAATAGGCTCTGGCACTGAAAATTCTCTTTTAAAATGCGAATCAATATTCAGAGGCTTGTCAAGAGATGTTTGGGGAAAGAAACAGAAAATATAATAGTTCCCCTTTATCTGCAAGGGGTATGTTCCAAGAACCCCAGTGGAAGCTTAAAACCTTGAGTAGTACTGACCTCTCTACTGGCTGAGCATCCTTAATCTGCAAATTTAAAATCCAAAAGCTCCATAATCCAAAACTCTCTTGAGCATCGACATGATGCCATAAATGGAAAATTCCATACATAACACCGAACACAAATTTTGTTTCATGCACAAAATTATTAAAAATATTATACAAATTACTTTCAGGCTATGTGTATAATGTATGTATGCAACACTAACGAATTTCATGTTTATACTTGGGTCCTATCCCCAAGATATCTCATTATATATATGCAAATATTCCAAAATCCAAAAAAATAAAAAATTTGAAACACTTCTGGTTCCAGGCATTTCCAATAAGGGATATTCAAACCATATATGCTATGCATGAATTTCTTTTTCCTTCTTTACAATTTCATGAAGAAATTGTAGAAGATTTGTTTTTACTGCAGATCTTAGCAAGTACAGCATATGATTTTTTTCTTTCCTTATTAAGTGGAAAGCATCCACTTTTTCACTTAAAGAAAACATTTTGTGACTTCTCCTTTACATATCCAAATTGCCAGCAGCACTACGTTTGCACTTTGGAGCTATGATTGAGTAAAATAAAAGTTACTTGAACACAAGTACTGTGACATGGCAACCAAGATGGCTACTGAGTGACACACAGGCAGGGAGCTTACACACCGTGGATACCTGGACGAAGGGAGGATTCAGGTCCCAGGTGGGATGGTGCCGGATAGTGTGACATTTCATCATGTGCCTCCGAATGGTGAGAATTTTAAAACTTATCAATTGTTTATTTCTGAAAATTTCCATGTAATATTTTTGGACTGTGGATGACCACCAGTAATTGAAACCTCAGAAAGCAAAATCTCTGCTAAGAGGAGGCTACTGGAAATAATTACTGAACAAATGAAGTTCTTCTCACAAGCTTAAGTAGGAAGATACACTAGCAGTTTTACTCACTGATGAATAGCAAAGACAAACGCAAGTATTGCACTAATTGTTATATGCTTTTTGCTATATTTTAATTTTTCATTAGAATTTTCCACTTTCAATAAGACAATTTTTGTTTTCTTTAGACGGAGTTTCACTCTTGTCACCCAGGCTGGAGTGCAATGGCGTGATCTCGGCGCACTGCAACCTCCGCCTCCGGGGTTCAGGTGACTCTCCTGCCTCAGCCTCCCGAGTAGCTGGGATTACAGGCACGTGTCACCACACCCAGCTAGTTTTTGTATTTTTAGTAGAGACAGGGTTTCACGATGTTGGCCAGGATGGTCTCAATCTCTTGACCTCGTGATCCACCTACCTTGGCCTCCCAAAGTGCTGGGATTACAGGTGTGAGCCACCATGCCTGGCCTCAATAAGACAATTACTTAAATTTATAACTATGATTTCACTGTCATATTCCTCTAAGATTTTTTACATAAATAAGTTCAGGAATCAGAGAATGTTGTCAAGTGAGGAAGGCAAGGTAACTAAAGGCAGGGATTTGGGAGCTGGCTGAGGAATCAAAACCAGTTTCTGCGACTTGCTAGATTTGCAATAAATTGCTTAATCTCTCTAAGATTCAAGTCTCTTACTTGAAAAATGGAGGAAATAAATGTCTCATAAATTTGTAGTGGTTGAGGATTAAATGAACTAATGTTTGAAAAGTGTTTGACCCCAGAGTGGGTATTCAATAAATGATAGCTGTTATGAAAAGTACTAATAATGAAATAATGTGAGCAAAAGTCTTAGAGTGAATTCAAGATTTGCGATGTCCCCCTATCTCTGTACTATGTGGCTAGCTATGTTCTAGATGGTGCAGGATCTGTTAGCCTGAACCTCTGAGTGAGGCCCATGCAGAATCCCCTGCTGATGAGTGATGAGCATGTGGAATGAGGTAGAAATGTACTTTTGCCTTTTTAAACCACTGTAACGCAGGGGTTGTTTGTTACTGCAGCCTAAGCAGCCTCTCCTGATGGATGCAGGAGGGAACATAGATGCTTCCACTGCTACCATATCTAGGACCCAGGGAGAGAGATGATTTGGACAGTTTACAGAACAAGGGACAAGTAGGCATATGAGTGGTGGACACAGTGGCCATGATTGGCAGGAGGTGATGGCTACTCCAGCAGTGAGCAGTATTGTAGAATAGGCATGGAACCCCATATCCTAACCGACATTGAATCAAGAAAAATAGTACTCATTTGGAATGGTCTTGAACGTACTGGTTCAGTTCCAGGAAAGTCTCAAGGGAGGTTAAAGAGATTTGAAGACCTGTATGTTTTTATAGGCACTGTCTTCTTTCCTTCACAAAACAGGATGGTATTATCATGCTAATGTCTGCAGAGAAGGAAGCACAGATTAGGTGACTGTGGCTACTATGAGGGCCAAGGAGGCCCTCCCACCCATCCTGTGGGATGCACCACCTGCGCTCACTAGGCCTATGGAGAGGGGAGTGACTGGGGCACCTGCTCACCCCTGTACCATGCCTGTTCTTCAGCTTCAGCTCTGGATCGCCCAGAGAGGGACTGCTGCCTGCATCTGGGTTCCTGGACAAACATGCAGTCTACCAGTAAGTGCTTTTAAATCCCCAAGAATGTAATTGCTTTATATTCCCTCTAAGTGGGCACACCCCATTAACACACCTGAAATTGAGACCTTTTCCAAATAGAAAAGCATAAACTTTGTGGTAAAGCTTCTTCAGGCCCTTTATCTCCCTGTCCAGGCCAGCGTGTTCTCCAAAAAGAGGAAAATGAGTGTTCTGCTCCCAAGAGATCACGGAGTCCACCTGAGTCCCACCAGCCGAGTCATTTGTCTGCTCCTGTAGCATTTACCTTTATAGTGCAAAACCTCAGGGTGCTGGCATTTCAGCCACATCCAGGAGGTTGATGCATGGTAAGCAACCTTTCATATGTTGAATTACCAGTGCCCTGGTCAAACCCTGGACAGAGCATCATCATCTAAATAGTTCACATCCTGATTCAGTGTTTCCCAAGCACTATGCCACAGAACCCAAGTTCTGGAAGACATAGATGCCGGGATACTAAGGGGTTCTCAGGTCAAAGCATTTGGGGGTTCATTGTATTCTTTTTTTTTTTTAAATGGAGTCTCACTCTGTCGCCCAGGCTGGAGTGCAGTGGCGCGATCGGGTTCATTGTATTCTGTTTTCCCTTCCCAGCAATTTGAACTGCTTATTAACATATTACAGTTCTAACAGGTCCCCACATAAAACGTAATCTCTGTGACTCAAATAGATTGATTTATTTATGTTTCTGAAATTTATCTGACTTTGACTATGAGCCATGTTTAGTATAGCAAAATGATTAACATCTTAAGGAATAAAGAATTTTTCTCAAATTTATTTTTCTGTATTTCTTCTCAAATTTATTTGAATTTGGCCATGAGTCATGTTAGTAGAGCAAAATGATTAACATCTCAAGAAATAATGAACATTGCCGCACTGACTTAAGAATCACCACCCTGATTTATTCCTATAGCTTGAGGCAGCACCACCTCTTGCCCTGTCCAGAGGAATAACTTAGGTTGGAGATGGACCATATTCAGTCCAGCCAAGATGTTTGCATGAAGTCCCTGAAGGACTCAGCCCTTTCCAACTGGGAGACTTCCAGAATAAACAAAGATGTTCATGAATTGGTGGGTTCATTGGGCATTACTAATTGCTTATTCAACTTTTTTTTTGCTTTTTTTCTCTGAATGTTTCAGTATTTGATCATCTCAAGATCAGTAAGGAATTCAACTGGTCACTGTCACAGCTGAGGTTTTCTGGTGTTCAAATATGTCTATTTCAGACAGAATAATGCCACCCTCCCCCCACCCCCACAAAGATATCCACTCCCTGGATCCATGTTACCTTACATGGCAAAAGGAACTTTCTGGTTAAATTAAGAATCTTGACATGGGGAGATTATCCTGGAATATGTGTGTGGCTCTAATGTAATCCCAGGGTGTTTATAAGAGGAAAATAAGAAGGTCCATGAGAGAAAAAGTTGTGATGAGGGAAGCAGAGGTCAGCGTAATGCACTTTGAAGATGGAGGAAGGGGCCATGAGCCAAAGAATGCAAGCTTAAAGAGGCAAGGAAATAGAGTCTCACCTAGATCCTCCCAAAGGAATGCAGCTCTGTCTACACCTTGATTTTAGCCTTATAAGACTTATTTTGGACTTCTGACCTCCAGAACTTTAAGATAATAAATTTACGTTGTTTTAAATTTACCATAGTAAACTTACAGTAATTTGTTACAATAAAAATAGGAAACTAATACAATACCTTAATCCTATCCTACCTCAAACTGGACCAGGCCCATATAATCAAACTTAGAGCATCCACTCTAAAGGGAGATTACTCTAATTTAGAAGGAGCCAACTCCCAACATCTCCTCCTTTCTATCCACTTCCAGAAGCTGGGCCCCCTATGAGAGCAGCTACTCCATACGGAAATGAATTATTGGTTGTTACCATGGCTTCCTCAGGCATAGAAGAACCCCTCATAGGCATGCTCAGACCACCAGAAGCCAGAGCAGATGAGGCAGACCTAGCAACGCAGGTTCAGAAGAGGAACTGTGTGCTACTTTCTTGGACAGGTTTGATTTTACCTTCTGCTGCATGCAGCCAGCAACCCAAGCAATTCCCTTTATTCTGGAAACCAGAGCACATATCAAGAGGTGGCATCATTTCAGGAATAGGAAAGTCATGTGACCAAAGGAAGTTGTAGCCATGCATCATGGATACAATAAACAGAAACAATATGGAAGAACATGTATGCAGAGGGGATACCTACATATACGGCACCCGAAATTTAGGGCCACTCAGAGATAGTATCCTGGGAAGCCCAGCCTGTATGCTGAGAACCTGCTATTTGGATAACCAATCATCTCAGATGCCTGGGACTGAGGCAGTTCCCAGACATGGAACTTTCCATTCCCAGACATGGGACTTTCCATTTTAAAACCAAGACAGTCCTTTCATACCTTGCTGGTGGGAATGTAAACTGGTACAGCCACTTTGGAAAACAGTTTGACAGTTCCTCAGTAAGTTAAACGTAGAATAACCATATGACCCAGCAACTTCATTCCTAAGGGTATGCCCCAAATAACTGAAAATATATGTCCACATAAAAACTTGAACAGGGGCTGGGCATGGTGGCTCACACCTGTAATCTCAGCACTTTGGGAGGCCAAGGCAGGTGGATCTCCGGAGGTCAGGAGTTCAAAACCAGCCTGGCCAACATGGTAAAATGCTGTCTCTACTAAAAATACAAAAATTAGCCTGATGTGGTCATGTGCGCCTGTAATCCCAGCTACTCGGGAGGCTGAGGCAGGAGAATTGCTTGAAACCAGTAGGGATCCCAGGAGGTAGAGCTTGCAGTGAGCTGAGATTGCGCCACGGCACTGCAGCCTAGCCTGGGTGACAGAGTGAGGCTTCCTCTCAAAAACAAACAAACAAACAAAAAAACTTGGACAGGGATATTGATAGTGGCACTATTCACAGTGGCCAAAAGGAAAAAGCAACTCAAGTGTCCATCAACCGATGAATAAACAAAATGTACTTTAGCCATACAGTGGAATATGATTCAGCCATTAAAAGTAATGAAGCACTGAAACATGCAATAACATAGATGAACCTTGGAAACACTAAGCTAAGTGAAAAAAACTAGTCACAAAAGCCCATTTACTGTATAATTCCATTTATCTGAAATGTCCAGAAGTGGGAAAATGTATAAAGACAGAAAGCAGATCAGTGGTTGCTGAGATCTTAGGGAAGGGGAAATAGGGAATGACTGCCAATGGGTGTGGGGTCTCCTTTGGGAGTGATGAAATGTTCTGGAACTAGATAATAACAGTGGTTGCACAACATGAATGCACTAAAAGCCACTAATTGCGCATGCTGAAATAGTGAATTTTGTGTTATGTGAATTTTACTATAATTAAACAATTTTTTAAAAAACAAGACAGTCCCAGGCAAAGTGGGATGAGTTGGTCACCCTACGGCTAGCATCCACACTGGTAAGGAAACCAGGCTCAACTGTATGGTAAGGGAAGATCACGATACTCAGAGATACCATGTCACGCTCCATGTTTTGCTGGAGAGGACCTGGGTCAGAGGAGTGGGTGTCGTAACCCATCTCACCCCTCACAGAGGAACCTAAAGGTTGTGGAGTCCTCTGCTTGGTAAAGCTGGGGTCACCCTAACCCTGCCACACCAGAGCCAGGGTCTCAACAGATACACGTGGTGTTGGATAGACAGGGAGATTCAACCAGTCATTACCTATTCCTCAAACACTTGTGCTCATTTGATCACCTCTAATAAAGGTTCTCTGGCTGTGAATCCAGACTACCCCTCCCTGGAGTCCCTGGATTTGGGGTGGGAGATTCACAAGAAGTTGCTACAGGCATCTGGAATCCAGTCAGTGTGTTTTCAAGCCACCTCAAGGGCCCTTGCTCCTTTGTTGCCCTGCGTCTCCACCCCTTTGACCCCTTTATCCAGTGGGTAATCATTTAACCTATTCTTGGACCTTGATCCTCAATACGGAACTTGTGAATTTTGCTCATCAGTTGATAATGGGAGAAATATTCGCTTCTGTCCAGTCCTGGGCTCCCACAGGGCTGAGTAAGGACATTTCTCTGCCCCAACTTCCAGAGGCAGGAGATTAGACAGGGATGACAGTTAAGGGGTTACTGGTAATAGGAAAATCATTAAAACTGGAGATATAACTAGGTAAAAAAGAAAAAGCTAGAAATGTGGTTTCACTGGATAAAAAGCAATAATAAAGCATTCACAAAAATGTTTATCATCTATATTTAATTGCTCTGTAGCATAACACAATTATGTGTATTGGTAAATATGTATTATATTAATATATTGTCACTTTAGATTTCCCCAGTTAACCCTCTGTGAGTTTACTCAGTCTTTATAATTTATTGCTCATGCAGCATGGTCATCTGTTTCCAACCTAGAAAATTAGTGGGCCTATGCCTCGGGCTTATGAGCTATCAGTTCTATGCCTTGATATTGCACTTGGTGATGCAGGGCAGAAGTAGTTTGGTGGTTTCTCAGCCCAAGGTTGAGTAAACAGATGTCCCGGAGTTGATTTTCCCCAGAATAATTGCATACAATGAGCACAAATGTTTAATTAATCAGGAATCTTGTGCTTATTATCTTTTCTCTGGGCTTCCACTGATAATGACCCAGAGGAAATTTCTTTTCCTTTGTGGGAATGATATTTTATTTAAAGGTTTTCATTTCATCATCTGATCCTCCCTCCAACCCCCTTTTCTAGTAAAAGAGAGAGAAAGAGACTGACTGACTGAATACCTGGACCACCAACAAAAGAAAGGAACACCCAAGCTTATGACTGCAGAGAGGCACTGATACAGCTGGGTGGAGGGCGTCTCCACCACTCAAGTCAGTCTCAAAACTATGCTGACTCAGAATAATTTAATATTTTATATTCACCTGATGCAAACTTTTCTCCCCAAAATCAAAGTTGCGAGGAAGGAAAGAGAGTTAAGCAAATGTTTAACATACAATCAAATGGAAAGGCGCTTGTGTATGAAGTCAGGTTTGAGTTTTCAGGACTGAGTATTGCAGTCCAGGCTGATTCCCTAATGAAGGGCCCACTCGCCAAGCCTGGTGCACGGCACAAAACATTAATCAGGACATTGTTTGCATTAAAGGGCTGAGTTTTTCAGTGGGTAATCATCAGGGAAACCCAGTCAAGGGCGAACAGGGACGGCAGCCCTGATTAATTAAACATCTGCACCGGGGCTAAAAGCAAGACTTACCCTGTTGGTTGTATAAGAGCTGTTGATATTAATGCCACACATGGAATTGGGAAATATTGTTTGCTGAAATCATGTCTGTATGGAAAGCTCCACATTCAGAGCATATCAAGTTATATCTTCCCATATTATTTCAGCTGCTTCCTGTATCACTAGGTGTAAGGGGTTCTGGGCAGAGTAATGGTATACTTAGCTTATCCCTTCAAGGAGAAGGCAGCATTTGAACTAGCCTTGACACATAGGTTAAATTTTGTGAAGGACATTCCAGGGAGGGGGGCCAGCATAAGCAAAGGCAGGAGATATGTCTTCATGGCCATGAGTCTTGGTCTGATTGGAGCCAGGGACTGGAAAGTCAGCGGCAATTAGTGTTGCAAATGCACGTCCTGATACCAGACACTGAGGTCCAATCTGAAAGCCATGGAGCTATTGGAAGCTTCTTCCGTGGTGGATGGGTGGCATGACCACAGTGTTCCCAGAAGAATGATTTGGAGTAGTGGGGAGAATGGATGTCTGGTTAGCAGAGAGACCGACCGGGAGAGGGATCTGTTAAGATGATACTCAGCGATGTGGGTACTAAAGCAGACCAAAGTAGATCTAGTACAAAAGAGAAAGGATTTTTCACAGATAAAGTCTAGTACAAAAGGAGCTACAGTCAGGGTTACCAGATGAAATATAAGACACCCATATATGGGCACACTCATACTAAATATTATTTGTTGTTTATCTGAAATAAAAACTTACTTGTCATCCTGCACTTTTGTTAAGTCTGGCAGCTCTAGCTCCTGTCAGTTTTGTTAAATCTGGCAGCTCTAGCTCCTGGCAGCTCTAGCTCCTGGTGTGGCAGCTCTGAGAATGCACCTCTCAGATCTCCAACTGCAGGGAGAATAATTCACTGACTGAGGCCCCAGCTGCTGTATTCTGAAATTGCTGCATTTGTCCCAAGGCTGTGCTTCCCGTGGGCTGCTCTCAGTCAGTGACTTGGCATGGCAGGGATGCTAGGCATGGGACCTCTCTGATGGACGACTTTGGCTCTGGGACTTCCCCTAGTATTGCACTGCAGTCTAAGGCACTTCCAACCAACCTTCTTTCCTTCCTTCCTTTTCATGGAGTCAGACCTGTACTGTAGTCTGACAGCTCTCCAGCCTCTGCCGGTGCCTTTTTTTCTCTAGGGGCTTGCCCTGGTAAAAAGCCTTGAGCATAGAGCCCCCTCTTGGCCTCTTCTTCTGAAAAGACCCAGAATAATGTATCTAGTGTCCAAATGGAAGACGGCAGGCGCTGGGTCGAGAAAGTTTAAGATTTTTAGACGTGGAATAGGAAGTAGTGAGGGCTGTAAGGCAACAAGTGGTAAAAGGAGAGGAGAGAGAGGTCTTAGAAGGGGCAACATCTTCTGATTTGGGCTTGTTTTACTTAGTCCTCGATGAGTGCACACCAAAATCATGCATAATACATTTTAAAATGCCCATAATTCATGCCCACAAAAATTCTGGTTTAGGTCTTAGGTCTTAGATGATTCAGACATCTGTGATCCTGATGTTCCCTCCTGGTTGAGTAACCTCGTTTTAAAGGACTTGGGTCAGGGATGGTAAATAGATTTTGTCTCTAGAGGAACTCTGATAAATTGGTGATGCTTGGAGGGCTGTGCTGACAAAAGCTGTGTGGCCACATCTGGGCTCACGGGAAAAGATCTGGGATTGATTAGGATGGTCTGCTAAGGTTGAGGGAATAGGGGCAGTAGGAGTGCTCTGTATTTGTTAGGCCTGCCTATGTTGGTAGACTCTTAAAGCCAATATCCTATGCCTGAAAGGAGGCTATTACTGCAGTCTGGGACAGAAGCAGAAGGGCCTGAAGTATAGTTGAGGCTGTCAGGGTTAGAGAGGAAAAGATAGGGTGATAAATGTGAGATTTTTGGAGCTAGAAGGAGAAAGACTTGGGAACCAAATTGGTGAACAAAGTAAAGATGAGAAAGACTCAGATAATAGTCTGAGGTTTCAATGACTGAGGGGCTTGTATGTGTTCAACTAGCTGGACCATAGCTCCTTGCCAACTGGGACTAAGTCATAGTTTGGGCTGTTATGGCAAAATACCTTAGACAGAGTAGTTTATAAACTGGAATTTATTTCCCACAGTTCTGGAGGCTGGGAAGTCCAAGATCAAAGCTGTCAGATTTGGTGCCTGGTAAGGGGCTGTTCCTCATTGATAGCACCTTTTGTTTGTGCTCACATGGCAGAAAGGCAAGAGGGCAAGGCGGCTCTCTGGGGCCTCTTTTTTAAGGGCACTAATCCCATTCATAAGGAGAGAGCCCTCATGATCTTATCATGTCCCAAAGACCCCGCCTTTAATACCATCACCTTGGTGATTTGGTATCAACACATACATTTTGAGGCAAGGTCACAAACATTTAGACAACAGCAGACTGGTAATTTCAGTTACTCTTTATATATCTAGTAGTGGTAGCAGCAGCAGTAGTGGTCATCATCAGTCTTTTTATTTTCCCGTTCATTATACCTCTGTGTGTTTTATATGAATGGCATATTTGGATGAATAGATAAATGTACAGATTCATATTTAGTTATGTACATATTTGTTGTTTAGATATAAAAATGTGTATAGAAATTTCATCTATTTTGAAGCACTTTAAAAGATTTTAGTACATAGTCTATAGGTGTGTACTGTTCAATTTATCTTTACTAGAAAAAGAATGTGTTGATTTAAAGTGGGTTTAGATTGAGAATATGAACATTTGATATGCAAAAGTAGCAGTGTGTATGGTATGTTAAGGACAAAGGAACATCTGTCTAGTACTGCTTCTCACCAGGAGGTCCCATGCTTGGTCAGGCACACACCCACAGGGAGGAAAGAGGTGACAGAGGCTCTGGGTTTGTGACCACAGAATGCAGAGGACCTGACTCATTTCCCTTCCCGCGCTGTAGGGCATGGTTTGTGGTGGCGGCTCACCACGCTGGCCAGGAGCTTGCCTCTCCTACCATTCCCACTCCATGTGATCGCTTCCCAAGGTGCCAACTCCTGGCTTTCCATCTGGGGAACGCAGATATTTTTTTCAAGAGGGTGGAGGGAAAATCAACATGAAGATTAATGGACTTCAAAGCAGAAAGAGAATGAAAATACTGGAAACCTTTGCCTGTGATTCAGCGTTCAGGGGCACAAGAATACACTGGAGACAAAGAAGAAGAGCCAAGTCGAGTCTGGGGCCAGAGGTTTGAGTTTAAGAAATCACTTAGAGACCTCACCTTAGGCAACATGGCCATGAAATTAGTGGTTGAATGTTGCCCACTTTCTCTTCTTTCTTGAATGCTGGTTGGGGGCTTAGGTTTAAGGTGAATTTTATGTTTAGGAGCATTCATTTGAAAATAGGTTTTTCAGCCTGCATTTGTAAAAATAGCTTCTCCCAACTGGAACACCAATGCATGTTCCACATGTGTGGGCATTCTATGGGATAACATGCTACTAAGTACTACACAAAAGTAAGTTACTAATCTCATTTTAAGTAGCATAGGAAATTTTTAGTGACTAGTAAATCCAATATTTCACACCTGAAAAACTTGAAAGAATGTTCAGTAAAAATCTAACAACATGTGGTAAGTTGTATATATACCAACCAGCAGATACACTCTTCACTGTAGATGTTGGCAATAATCTAGCCACACTAGAGTCACAGTGTTTACTGTGATATGCTAAATTACCTGAATCTGTTGCACCCTAATTTCTCTCTAAAAAACCAAGTTGTTCATGGTCAGGGAGCTGCTCCCTCAATTGGATCTGTATAGGGCTTTAGGGAAATCGAATGGCCAGTTAAGCTAATCACAGGTGTGAATTCCTTATGGGCCCCCTGAGGACAGCCCAGAGAATGCATTTCCCAGCTGCAAGAGGTACACTGAATCATAATATGTAACCACTTCCTGAGGGGTCGATAGGATTCCCTGGCTGCCAAACAGGGCCATTTTTGATGAGGCTCAACTAGGGGGAACATGTTGAGATGGGGTAGCTACTGGACACCATGGTCTGTGAGCATGCCCTCCACCCCAGGGCTCTGTGGGATGTGGCAGCCCCCAGGATCCAGCTGTACAGGCAGCCCCCAGAGCAGGGCAGAGACTGAGCTTGCCCTTCCTCAGTTCCCACTGCTTGCTCTTCAGCAGGGGAGCACGGCCAGTGCTGCTCAACTCACAAAATGGTGCCAAACGGGCCCTGAGAGAAACATGTTCAAAGGCCTTTTTGTCTAGGAATGCATCCGTGCCGAGGAAGGGAATGTTATGCATGACATGCATGGATGGGCTTTCAACCCACCCAAGTCCAAACCTCATTTGCTTTCTGTGAGGGAGGAAGGTGGCAGGAGAGGAAGCCAAGTGGGTAGGATGCTGCCAACATTCAAGCGGGAAGGGCCCTGCTCTGGAATGAGCATGCTGGCAGAGGAATGCATTTTAGAAATGTTGTGGTGAATGAGACACCAAGGTTTATTTTAAAATGAAGATTTATGAAAATAACCTGACACCTGAGGGGAAAAAAAGACAAGAGTTGAAATAGACGATGGTTTGCAAGCTTGGATGATGTGGAACATAAGAGAGCAATGTGGAGGACTGGCAGGGAGGAGAAGGGTCACTGGCCATGCACGAGACGCCAAGAAGAGAGTTCAGAGAGGGCAGCAGAGGGCATAGGTGGCCAGTCTGGGATCTGGCTTCTCTCCTACTTCCACATTAGTTTCCCTGACCTGGGAATGTTTTCTCATCTGTACAGCGAAGTGGGGACCGAGACACATTGCAAAGCACAGATATCCAGGTTGGCTCCAAGGAGCAGAGAACTTTGTTTTTTAGAGACAGGGTCTTGCTCTATTGCCCAGGCTGGAGTACAGTGGCACGATCATAGCTCATAGCAGCCTCAAACTCCTGGGCTCGAGTGATCCTCCCACCTAGGCCTCCCAAAATGCTGGGATTTCAGGCATAAGCCACCATGCCTGGCCAACAGGGAACTTCTTGTAAGGATAAGGATTAGCTCCTAGAACCTGAGGAAGGGGTGAGAATCAAGGCAGCTGTAGGGATTTGGCAAAACAGGGACAAATGCACAGGCTCTCCAGGGCCTGGATTCCAGGTTTAATGAGCTCTAAAAGCCTTCTGTCTTAGTAAGCTCCTCCCCAAGATCCACATTCTTAGGAGGGCAATTCCAGCTGGTTTAGCGTGGGTCACATTCTCACCTGCTGGCCAGAGGAGGGCACCCAAACCATGAGCCAGGGAGGAGAGGTTCCTGGAAGAGGACTGAGGGAACTGGAGCTGGACAAACAGAAACACCAGTGTCCACTGTACAGGGCTAGGATAAAACCACAAGCAGGCATCATCTCAATACCACAGAGTCATGGAAGCAAGGGAAGGCTCTAGTACGTGTCTGATATTGCTGCTTTGTATGCGTTATTATAGGGGTCCCCAACCCCTGGGCCATAAACTGGTACCAGTCCGTGGCCCGTTAGGAAATGGGCTGCACAACAGGAGGTGAGTGGCAGGAGAGTGATGGACGCTTCATCTGTACTTACAGCCACTCTCCATCGCTCACATTACGGCCCGAGCTCCACCTCCTATCAGAACAGCAGCGGCATTAGATTCTCATAGGAGCGCAAGCCCTGTTGTAAACCGCGCATGCGTGGGATCTGGGTTGCGTTCCTTGCGAGAATCTAATGCTTGATGATCTGTCTCTGTCTCCCATCACCCCCAGATGGGACGGCCTAGTTGCAGGAAAACAAGCTCAGGGCTCCCACTGATTCTACATTATGGTGAGTTGTATAATTATTTCATTATATATTACAATGTAACAATAATAGAAAACCTAGCACAATAAATCTAATGCGCTTGAACCATCCCGAAACCATCCCCCTACCCCCCACCCCCTGTCTGTGGAAAAACTGTCTTACACAAAACCAGTCCCTGGTGCCGAAAAGGTTGGGGATGCTGTGTTACTGTATTAACCTCCCATAGTCTTCCTGAGAAAGAGGAAACCGAGGACAGAGAGACTCAGGAAATTGTCTAGGTTCTCCCAACATCCTATGCTAAGATCGGGTGGCAGGGCCCCAAGGGCAGGTGTGCCTCCTGGTTGTCAGTGGTGCCCACACAGGGAGCTCAAGGGAGGAGGGGAGTGGAATGGTGTCTTCCAGCCTGAGGCTGCCCCAGAATTCTGCGTGCTTCACATGTGCACAACAGAATTTGTTCACCTAAGCTTCTTAATATAAGTTTGAAGATCAAGTGCTTATCTCATATCTTACATATTTTCAGGAATGCTGAAAGAGGGGAAACATGCCACCTAGTAGCATTTCCCGAAAGAATTACCTGGGGGAAGGAAGCAACAACGTGCACTGACAGGTGCTAGGTTCAGTCACTGGCTTTGGGTTGCCGCAGAGCCCTCCTGGTTTTTGTAGCAAGAGGCGTGACTTCAGTTGTGTTGGAGTTCCCACCATTGGCGTCTATCAGCCTTCCTTATGAAGAGATGCAAAGATTTAATGGTTTCAGGAGGGAGGCCACCTAATTTGACACACATTTGACACACACATTTGACACATTCTGCACATTCTTGTACTAGAATAATAGTAGTCTGGTGAGATGATTTTCAACGGGTGGTAAACTGCCCTTTTTACTTCATTGTGGGAAGGGAGATCTCACACATTTTTTCCACAGTAATTTGATTTGAGCTGAGAACAACTGCAGGAGACACTGTTGGGAGTGCAACCAAGGTTCAGTGTGGAGGTCATTACTGTAATTAGATGTTTCAGTGCGTGTGACATAGTTGAGTTCTCTTGAACGCCTCAAGGAAGCCTCCTGTCGTAGTTCTGTCCATCAGAATGGACAAGGGGCCAGTGTTCTCACCACTGTGATGGACACTGCCCCAATCCTGGGGGACAGGTGGCTTTAGTTTTTTGGAAAGCTAATATAGCATGAGACTTTACCTACCAAAGCTTCCCTGGATCTCAGATTGGCACTACAATCATGTTTTTTGTGCTGTGGGCTTTATTCTCCAGAGTTTTTACATGTGGAGTCCTCCATTTGGTTTTCAAATTTTCTGGGCCCAAGGGTTAACTTGGAGAGTGGGGTCTATCCTCCCCTATCCCCAGGCCAAACTTAATAAATGCACAATTGAGAAGAAACATAGTACACTTGATATGCAAACACAGTTCCAAATTGAGTCTGCCAGCCCCCATCTTTCAACCAGATGGCTACCCCAAGACCTTTGACGTCTCCGTTAGTAGGGCTGAATCGAATAAATTATATACTGAGAATAAAGAAAACTTAGGTAAAGCAGCATTTTGTAAGGGAACTGTTTTCTTAGCTCCCAGGTTTTGACTGCAGCTCTCAGCTAATTCAGATATCTGTTTATAACAGCATTTGGAGAGATCCTTCAAATTCGGTCTTAAAAACAAAAAGAACATACTAAGAAAGAATCCACAGGAGGATTTGAACTACATATATGTTAATACATAATTAACATGGACATTATTAGATATAAAAAACTAACACAGTGGATCCCTTTAAAAAAATTTTGGTTCTTTCCCCCTAAATCTCTTATGCAGTTATGTCTAAGAGAATTGTCTTCTTTTTTTGTGGGGTGTGCTTTCTCTTAATTTAACACCCGAGTTCACAGATTACTTCCTGCCCTAGGATCTGTGGCGAATGTCACCACCTGTGACAGCGCTCTTATTTATGAACTGAAGAACACTCTCCATCTTGGTATGTATGCTAATTCAAAATCCACTCCAAGTTCCAAGCATTTATGATGATTTCTAAAAGAGATTACTTTCCTCCAGCATTCTTTGCTTACTGCCTGCTTCTAGTTACTTATTTCTCCAGGAAAGATTTACCTTTCTGTGAGCATGGCTTTATAGCTTTCTGGCTCTCTGAACATTTTCTCCCTGCTGCCTCTATGTGTTTCATTCTCCCCTTACTGAAGATTAGAAGAGGGGATTGATATTTGTTTCAACAAATATTTATTCAATATCCACTATGTCAGTCACTGGGCTATGTTGTGTGGAAGAGTAACTTACACATTTGATCAGAGTTGAAAATAAATTCTACCGCTATGCAGAAACAGGCTCACCTTGATGTTTCCTGTGAAACACTATCAACACCTTCCCTGGTTACAACAGCTGACTCTTACCTTTAATAATTTTGTGCCCACAGCTGGGGGTACACAATCATTGATGGCATAGATTTATACAAGAGAAGTGTTGAAGAAAAGTTATTGGTTTCAGGGATACTAATTGTTTCCTCTAATGATCACTTCTTCCCTTCCTCTAGGCCCTCTTGCCAGAAAAGTTCTTTCTCCACAGACCAACAGGAAGTTCCCTAAGTACTATGAGACCTTGTCTTTGCCTATAGCTGGCTGCATTGGACATGGATTCCTGGCCCAAGGTGAGAAAGACACAGAAACTACATTAGTTGTCTTGGGAACGTGAATTGGAAAGGCAAGTATTTGTGAATGCTGAGACCTACATTTTGTGGTTTCCATGATGGCCCAAGAACAGCCCAAAAAGCCATCAGCACAGAGAGACAAAAAAGAAATTTCTTGGCCGGGCACGGTGGCTCACGCCTGTAATCCCGGCAATTTGGGAGGCCAAGGCAGGCGGATCTCGAGGTCAGGAGATCAAGACCATCCTAGCTAACATGGTGAAACCCCGTCTCTCCTAAAAATACAAAAAATTAGCTGGGCGTGGTGGCAGGTGCCTGTAGTCCCAGCTACTCAGGAGGCTGAGGCAGGAGAATGGCGTGAACCCGGGAGGTGGAGCTTTCAGTGAGTGGAGATCGCGCCACTGCACTCCAGCCTGGGCCACAGAGCGAGACTCCGTCTCAAAACAAACAAACAAGCAAAAAACAAATTTACCTATCTTAACTAGCACCAAAAATTCTCTCAGTTGTCAATCAAGAATTCTGAACCAAGAATCCAATGCCTTACTTGGGTTTGAGGTTTGAATTTACACTATAGATGTGGTCTAGGAATATCTGAGATGAGATATTGACATAAACATGTGATTCTATACTATTCAGCCATAAAAAAGAATGAAATCCTGTCATTCACAGCAACATGAATGAGCCTGGGGGACATGATGTTAAGTGAGATAAGTCAGGCACAGAAAGACAAATACTGCATGTTTTCATTTGTGGGAGCTGAAAAAGTTGTGCTCATAGAAGTAAAGAGTAGAATGCTAGGAAGGGGTATGAAGAGGAAATGATGGTTACGGATACAAAATTACAGCTAGATAGAAGAATAAGTTCTAATGTTCTATAGCATTGTAGGATAACCATAGTTAATAATTTATTGTATATTTTTCAAATAGCTAGAAGAGAGGATTTTGAATGTTCTCAACACAGAGAAATGATGTGTTTGAGGTGATGAATATTCTATTTACCCTGAATTGATCATTACATATTGTACACATATATGAAAATGCCACTCTGTACCCAATAAATATGTACAATTATCACATGTCTAAAAATAAATACATGGATGAATAAATGTGATTCTAGGCCATGATGCCATGCAATCATGAACCAGGCACAAAACTCTCCTGGTTGTGAGGTCACGTCCTCAACCCAGACCACACAAGATCCCCTGAATAGAGAAAGCTCCACTGAAGATGATCTCAGCTTCCAAAATTATGAAGAATATTAGGAAATGGTTTCCCATGAGAGAGAACCAGTGGATAGAATACAGAGCGAGATCAGATCCCCAGGCACTTCAGATAATAAATGTATTACATAAAGACTATAAGTAGGTTTAAAAATGATTCAAAGCATAAAATTAGGAATTGAAAACATAATAAATTATGACAATATATAAGGTACCATGAAAAAATAAAATAGAGATTTTAAAAAGAAACAAATGAAACTTCTAAAAGTAATAAATATTGTCATCAATTTTAACAGATTAGATATGGTTAAAGAAAAAAGTAGTAAACTGGAAGAGATTTAATTCCAATTCAGAATGCATCACAAAAACGTAAACATGTGAGGGAGTAACTAAAGATATGGAGGAAAGAATGAGAATAAGCGTTTAGAAGTAGAAATAGAAAATGAAGGAGAAGAAATATTCAGAGAGAAAAAAGACTGAGAATTTTTTTACAATGTCTAAAAGATAAATATCATAAGATTCAGGAAGTACAGTAAGTCATGAGCTGAATAAGTAAGTGTGAATTCAAACTTCAAGTCCACTATAATGAAATTGCAAAATACTGATGCCAAAAAGTTCTTAAAGCAATGAAGATTTTTTTTGTAGGAAATATAATTAGGCAGCAGATTTCTTGACAGCAACAACAGATATTAAAAGTCAAGAAGATGACATACCCAAAGCACTAGGAAAAATCACTATCGGTTTGCAATTATATAGCCAGCTAAACTATTACTCAACAACACATATAAAATTAAAGTTTTGTTTGGTTTTGGTCACCAAAAATGTAAAGTAGTTGCTAAGGGATTTATTTCAAGTAGAAGAAAATTGAACTAGAAAGGAAGGGATGAGCTCTAAGAGGGGAAGTTAAATTTAAACAAGCATTGTCTGTAGAAGTTAATAATCTTGACAGATTTTAAGGGTATAAAAGTGAAAATAATATATTTGACAACAATAATAGATAAAATGGGTGGGAGATGTTTGGAGCTCTGAAGATTGATAGGTAAGTAGAAATGACATTTTGTACTTTTCAAAGTCAAGTATGTGTGTTAAAAATGTAAGGGTAACATCTAAAACATCTGTATGTATATACAGAAATACAAATAAGACTGATAATTACCAAATCAGTAGAACAGGAAAAGAGGAAATAAAGAAATCAGAATCAATCCCACTAAAAGTTTGGAAAAAAGAAAGCAAAGATCATATATAGCAAAGTAAACACAAAGCTCAAACTAAGATGGCAGAAATAAACCCTAAAAAATGTTAATGAACTAAATGTATCTGTTAAAACACAGAGATTGTTAACTTGGATGAAAAAATTAAAATCTATGTGGTTTTATAAGAGAAAATATGAGGGCAAAGAAAAGAACAAAAACAGAAAAAAAAATAGAAAAAGACCTATCAGGCCAAAAAAAAAAAAAAAAAAGCTGAATATAGTTACACTTATGCCAGACTAAAGGGCGAAATTTATGATTACTGATAAAGGTTGTTATACAAAATGTAACACTTTTAGTATATATATAATATGATAGTCTCAAAACTTGAAGTCCCAAGAGGAACTGTGAAATTATAATCATAGTAGATGTTTTAACACATCTGTCTCAGGGAAGTAAAGCTGACTTTAAAAATTAGTGAGGAAGACTTTTCAACAAGTCATTTTGGGAATGATAATGAGAGTTGTCCAAATAGTGCTTCTGGTTCCAGCTCAATGAGGTTCAGGGTCCTTCTTAGGCAAATTTTCCGTAGTAAACTCCTATGGGGAGGAGAGAGCAGGATTCTCTGACCTTTGCTGTCACCTGTGCAGGACTCCCTCATGTGGCTGAGGCCCCTATTCCAGCCTTGACTCAGGGAGGGGGTGATTTTGGCATGTGAGTACTGCTGTTATGTAACTTGGCTACGATTTTTTTCCTTCTGCGTTTTAAGTTAGTGCAAGCTATTGTGGCCTCAAGATTCTTTACACACAGCTGAGGCTGCAGAAAGTCACATGCGTTAGTTAGAATGTAGGCTAAATGGCTGTCACAAAGACATGGAAGAATACAGTGGCTCAGAGGAGGCTGATTATTTCTCCTCACGGAACAGTCTAATTTCCCTGCAGGTCGGTAGCCCCAGGAAGGTAGGTGGCGCTGTTCCATAAACTCGTCTAGCCTCCTTCTGCTGTGCTACTCCAGTAGCCCCTAAGGTTGTCCTCTTCCTCATTCTTACATCTGCGTCCCAGCCCATGGGAAAGGCAAGCAGCTACTTTAAAAAGATGTGACCCAGAATTTGCACACATTACTCCTACTCATGTCCCTCTTCTTGGAAATCATCACTCAGTCACATGGCCCCCCTTGAGCTACGTGGGTGTCTGGGAAATACCATCTCCAGCCAGGCAGCCATCTTCCTTGCTTCTGTGTGTGTGTGTAATGGGGTGGGGGGTGGAGGTGGAGTTGTGTTCATTCTATTGCCAGAAGGAAGGAGATTGGACCGGATAACAGAAGAAAATGAGCAGTGTCTGCCACAGCATACAAGCTTATTTCTAATCATCGCCTACTCATTACATGTGAGGGACACTGGAACCTTTCAGAATCTCAGTTTCATCATCTAGAAAACTGCACCTCACAGAGTTGTTGTTAATGGCAATCAAGATGAAGGGAGGGAAGGTGAGGGCCAGCTGGGTGCCCTGTTACCCCCTCACTCCACAGTCCCTCCTCTGCATAGCACAGAGGCCCCTAGCCAGACGCATACTCCACCAGAGAGCCACAGGCATCGTGTTGGAGGCTGGCCAACGCTTTGCCCAGTCCTGCCTCTGTTCCTGGAGCCCCTCTTTCCTTATCTTGATCCCCCCACTTCTCCCTCCCACACCTCCCCAGTGAAGGGATTCTGCAGATTGATGGACTGTCATCTAGAAGGTGGAGGCAGACCTCAGATTCCTGAGTTCTTGAAGGAAAGGGATTAATGAGCCCTCAGAGTTGTCTCTGGGCTGGAGCTCATCTCAGTGCCTGCTCCAGCTGGGACGGCCCACCGCAGAGAGAAAGGCAGGCGGCTGCGAAGCTTTGGTCATGCTGCCCCATAGGTGACCTGTCAGGTTTTGTTTGTGATTGTTTGTGCCCAGTGGTGCAGGTCACACGCTGAGCTCCTCCCAGGAATTTGATTGTTTGCAGTTGTAAAGTGCAGGAGCTTGGATCTGTCCGAGCAGAGGGTTAAATCATAGAGTGTTTTACAAGAGCAGCTATAGGGAATGCCTTGTTTTCTCCTTATATGGCTATTTCTCTCAGTCCAGAATCCCAGGGTGTATTTTACGTGGTTGAAATACACAAATGGAGTAACAGTCTTAGCCAAACATGCTATGTGGCTTTAAAATTAACAAGCTTCTCTCTACTTCTGTACCCCAAACACACATTCACATGCATAGTTTCTGTTGAGACTCTGCAAAGATACTCTCTCTTTTTTTTTCAGCCAAAAATATTTGATGGGGTGAATTTCTACAGTTCCCTTGCTTTATACATAAGAAATATTTCTTTTGAGGAGAGGTGTTTGCAAGCGTGTGGGTCAAATCTAAGCATCAAGTTCTTAATGAGCAGCTACTGTGTGTGTAGCTAACTCTAGGGTATAAAGACAGAATTGGGTGCCCAACATTAAAATATGACAAGGAAAGATGTTTAATGAAAGTTCAAGATGACACTGGGCAAAGTAGCAGAAGGCAGCACTAGGTGAGTAAGCACATGGGCTTCCTTTGCCACAGGGGCTCAGAGGAAGGAGAAATCTGTTCAGATTGGTGTGTTCAGGACAGATTTCATGGAAGAAGTGGAGGTTTCAGCTAGTCGGATTTGGCCAACTAGGTCAGTGGGAGCAGGGAGGCATTTGGGAGCAGGGAAAAGGCCTGAGAGAAAATGCAGAGGAAATAAAATGAAGGAGCTTTTAGAAGACAGCAAATAATCTGGTGTCTAGAGCAAATGGCTCATGCAGGAGAAAAGGAAGTTTAGGTGGGAAAGATAGACTGAGGCTGGGAATGTTCTGTAGAAGTCAGGCGAAGAAGCTGGGGTTTTTGTTTCATGGTAAAGGGAGGGCAATGAAGATTTTTTAGTACTTATTTTGATCTGAACCAGGTGTCTGAGGTTCAGGATTTCCAATAATTTATATTTCTGAAATGTTATTATTTTTTCTTTTAGCCTACCTTAGTGAATATCACTTAACCCAGAAAACTAGGATTGGATTAATTAAATATGATGTTTGGATATTGAAAATAAGAGGGCTTATCGAAATTTCCTTATTGGTGATTTCGTAAATGAGAAATACAGAGTTTAATATTGAATATAGTTCTTGGCCACACCTTCTGGAACACAAATTATGAACTCAGGTTTTGCAGGGAAAAGTTGAATGACCAACCTTCATTCTTTGTGGGCACAGGAGGAAATTTTGGAGAAAAAATTTGGCATTGGATTCAGATCCAGAAACACCATATTCTGAGCAAGTTTAGATGAAAATGTGCATTTTGGGGGCATTTTGGAGATAAAATCTGGTATGGGAATGATGTTCCCCAAAGCCCGCTTTCTGAGTCTCATTCAATCTTCATTTTAGTTTTCTTTCAGAGATAAAGCTGAAATTATTGTGCATATTATAACTGCAAAGAAACTGCCAGGGAGTTTTAATGACTTTCCCAGACTCAGTCAGCTAGTTCGTCGTGGAGCAAGACTCTTGCGAAGCTAGTGGTATCCAGGCAGCCTCTCTGGAATAGTAAGCTGGCAGTGGGCGGGCTCCAGTGGATTAGAGCGCAGACATATAGTCAAGGAGGCAACCAAATTAGACCAGAGAGCCTTTTGCAGCCAGGCAGGTGTGAGATGATAATAAGACAACTGGGAATGAGGCATGAAAGAGAAAGCCCTTATGAAGAGGATCATGAGGATTCTGGCCTGAGAGAAGAGGGCCCCATCAACCTAATAGGCAGCCTCTTGAGGCCAGGTGGCAGGGAGGGCTTCTGGGTAGGACCAGCTTCAGGAAAGACTCAATGATTGAAGGCGTTTTGCTCCCCAGGGACCTCGAGGAAATCACTTGATTTTTCTGAGCCTCAGCTTCTTCCTGTGCTAAATAAAGTGAATTATAACCCCTGAGGACAAAGTGTTAAGAGGATTAAATGAGAAGACTGGACAAAGCATCTAGCTCAGTCTCTGGGGCACATTTGAGTTCAATACAGATTTTTTGAATGAGTGCCATCAAGAACTGTCAAGCTAGCAATGATATGGGGACCTGCAGTTTCTCTAGGGGTGAGGGTGGTGATGGAGTTTATGTCCAGGAACAAAAGAGAGACTCTAAGGAAAAGTCTCTTGGAAAATAACTCTTTTTTTTGTTTTCATTTCTAATAGTTCATTAAAGAAGATGAGGGAAAATAAACACACATGTACACGCACACCAGATAAACTGAATGCTTCCTTCTGCTGGGGACACGCTGTAGGTGAGCAAGTGCACCAAGGACAAGGCGGCCACTGGTAGGTGCCCTTTGTAGGCCTATCAAGGATCATTTGAGATGATGCTATTTTCCTGCTTTAAAATCTCCTTCTAAAATATTTAGTGCTTGCAGTGGGGAGTGCCAGGCTTCCAGGTGGCTTGCCCAGGTATCAGATGAGTGTTAAGCCAGGAAAGTGTGATGAGCCCAAGTCAGCATTGAAATATGCAAGGTCCAAGGATGCTGAAGCCAGAGAGGTTGGGGAAAAAAAGCAGATATATATGGGTTCTATATAATTGTTCACTATCATAGTATATATTATTTGCAAATGTTTATTGTAAAATCCATTGTGTAATACAACTCTTTCTTGCCTCTGGAGAGTAAAATTTTTATTATATATTTTTGTGTGTTAATGCCATTAGTGTATCCTTGTTCTTATATCTTGGATGACTGTTGTTAATTTATTATGACTATCATTTGTATTAGGGAGCTACATTACCAACATTTATTTGGGGTGTTGAAAAGTTATAGATAAATTAGTTTTGTAAGAAAACAGAATCTTGGGGATGAGTACTGAAACATGTAGAACCAGGCCAGTTATGAAGCAGATTTCGTAAAACCATTCTCAGAAATAAAAATGTGTCCAAAAGCCCCACCACAATATTTGTTTTCCATGGTTCTTTTACACCTGCATGAAGTGGGCTCAGCACCAAAAGGGCCACATTTACCTGTGCCACTTCAAAGACCAAAGGGAATCCTTTTGAGGAGAGACTAGTAAGTCCCAGTGCTGGAGGAGATCTGTAGATATCAGATGTGGCTTTGTTCCTTACTACTTTCTTGGACCTTTTCCTACAATAGTGCTTGTGGAACCTAAGCTATCTGTCCATCTCATAGTAAATTTGAGAGAGATTTCAAAAAATCAAAGTACTGAATCTTACTACAGGGCCCTTAGGATGAGTCAAGATCTTGTTTGGGTTTCAAAGAAAAATTCAGTGCCCTGGCATCACAGATACGTCCATTTGAGTTGCAGTTACCCTTGTTCCAGGGTCTGGAATGCATGGTTAGCATAGGCAAACCTAGCCAAGGAGAGAGAGCTCAGCAGTCACCAGGGAAAACAGTGCCATTCATTCTGAGAATGTGCAGAAACAGCATTTGATTGGGAAGAGGCCTTCGGTCATTTATCTCTCACTTTTAAAATGATGAGATCGATGTGTCTCCCCAATGGGCTGTCCCCCTTCTATTCAGCAACAATACACTACTTCTTTTCAAAGAGAAATATGCTTCCAATAAGGGGGAAGGGAGGCTGGGGGTGGTAGTGAAGGGGATCAAGCAACTTTCATTGAAGGATTCATTTTTGATTTAAATATTTTGTTCTAATCTCCAACTTCCTTTTTAACTTGGCAGAATGACCAAAAGAAAAACAATGTCCCTCCCTAGCCCAGTTTACAGCCTGTCAGAGGAGAGGATCCGGTTACTTCTTCCAAATTGTATACGTTGGGTTGTTTGATATACTAGGTTTTTTTTCTTTTTACATCCATTGCTCATATACATAGGGTTTTCTTTTAATGGCTTGTCAAAGTGGACTTTGGTGAAAAACCACAGGAGAAAAAAAAAGAATGAAAAATATAGATCAAATATAGCCAGCTATTTAATAATTTTTTTTTTTTTTTGGTTCTTTGAGTATGTTGTGGAAGGAATTCTCTGCAAGTGATACATCCTGTAACTGTAGGCAGATGTAATCCCCTGGCCGTGACACAGGCAAAAATTTCCCTTCACATTGGAGACATTTGCAGCCATTTTGTTCCCTCCCACAAAGAGGAAGTGCACAGGGAGGAGGACGCTCTGGGCCTCATGCACTCCCTGCAATGCTCCAGAATTGTTTTTACAATTCCCATGATGCCCCATGAACTCTGCCTTGGAAGGGAAAGAAGCCCAGGGTATTGCAGCCTGGGGTTGGAATCTGGGCTGAATCTTCTCCAAAAGCCCTTTCTCCTTCTTGTTGCCAATTTGCCCCACTCCTTGCTTTGAGCTTGGCTTCAAACTCTTCTCAAGGACACATGCTGAGATTGATTCTGCCCAATCTGGTCTCTGCTCTTTTTAGCGTTACCTATAGTGTGTCTTAAGAGGTTACTGCTTGTCTTATATTCATTGGGACTTGTACCTTTGCTTTGTAAATATGTAAAAAGCATATTTTTTCCTTGTGGTGGAGAGTGCTTCTTCTAGTGGGTATAGGAATAAATTCCACCTTACTCAGACCAGAAATAGCCCAATGCAATTCTTGTTTGGGGGTCCCCAGAAGCACACCCTGAGACAATGATTTGAGTGCAGTGGCGCAATGGGGAGGAATCCCAGGAGATCCTAGGAGAGGAGTGGAGAAATGAGACAGGGAAGGGAAGGAGGCCACCAAAGGGAACCTCGTCAAGGTGGTGGCCACTGTGGACAACTGGATCTTAACACAGCCCAGGAGGCTTGTCAACCTCAGCACTGTTGACATTTTGAGCTGATGATTCCTTGTTATGGGGGCTGTCTTGTGAATTACAGGAGGCTTACAGCAGCCCTGACCTCTACCTGCTAGGTGCTGGTAGCACTCCTTCCTTCACGGCTTATTGTCATGGGTTGTAACAATCAAGAATGTCTCCAGACATTGCCTAGTACTCCCAGGGGGACAAAACTCCCCATGGTTTAGAACCACAGGAGCCACAGCAACTCTGGCCATGGGTAGTCTGGCCACCATGCTCTGAGATGGTAAAGGCCATGGTGAGCCCTGGAGTGTCCACTGCATTCTCTTCTAGAGCCAGAGCAGCACTTGGGGAGGCTGAGGAGTGAATAGAACTGCCTGTCACTCAGCAGACAGCTGCTGGGATGAGGCAGGCCTACCTAACATAAAACCAATGAAAATATTTGTTTTTGGTGACTCTTTTCTAACTCTGCAAGCTCCCATTAACCTGGTGATCTCTCATCCTTCACCCCCATAAAATCCTCTCTAAGAAAAGGTTAGATAAACCCAGGCTCTACTTCCCTGGGATATACACATTCTCAGAGCCTGGAGAGAATATAAGCTAAAGGAAAACAACATTTCTTGAGCCTATTAGGAGGGAGGCAATTTCCTTATGGGCTATCTCATTAATTCCTCAAATCAGCCCTGTGACAGAAGTCTTATTAACCTATTTTACACACTGGTTAGGTCACTCCCATAGACACAGTTATTGAGGGCAAAGTCCAGATTTGAATTCAGCTCTCCTTGCATCTAATAAAGGGCATGGATTTTCTGTGTTCACTATGGGTTGGTGAGTGTGAGGGCAGAATGCTTTAGAAAGAGGAATATTTTCAGGAGGCTCCAACACATGGATGGATGCTGAAGAAACCAATCGAGAAGTAAAATGGGGTCCGGAGTGTGGGAACTGAGGGTTTCAGAGGAGCAGGGTGCATTAGAGTAGGCAGTGGCTGCCAGGCTTTTTGAGGCCCAAACCAGAGACTTGGGTCTGCAGAGCTGTGGTTGTGTTCCACCCAGAGCACCTGCAGGGCAATCTCTTTTCTTCCATGTGCCACTGATAGTATTTTGGAAAAGCTCTGGCAAAAGTTCTCAAAATAGCCAAATTCAGTGGACATATTTTTCCCTCAACTAGACCTTGACATTTGACACAGTGATATGGTTTGGATCTGTGTCCCCACCCAAATCTCATCTTGAATTGTAGCTCCCATAATTCCCATGTGTTATGGGAGGGACCGGGTGGGAGATAATTGAATCATGGGGGTGGTTTCTCCCATACTGTCCTCATGGTAGTGAATAAGTCTCATGAGATCTGATGGTTTTATAAGGGGTTTCCCTTTCACTTGGCTCTCTCATTCTTGCTTGTGTGCCGCCATGTAAGATGTGCCTTTCACCTTCCACCATGATTATGAGGCCTCCCCAGCCACGTGGAGCTGTGAGTCCATTAAACCTTTTTCTTTACAAATTACTCAGCCTTGGGTATGTCTTTATCAGCAGCGTGAGAACAGACTAATACACACAGTAAACCACTCCCTTCTGGAAATAACCTTCAGTCGTTCCCCAGGCATCTCACTCTCCTTCCCTCCCTTCACTCTGACCATTCCCCTCAAGTCCCCGTAGCTGGGTCTTCTCCTACTGCTTTCTAGTAAGCATGGACTCTAAGGACTGCATCCTTGGCCTACTTATTTCATCACTTACCACAGTTTCCCTGGGTGACCTCTTAAACTGCAGTATATTTAGTTCCTGAATTTAAGAATGGCAGCTTTCAAGTCTGATCTCCAGCTCAGACCCTTTAGGGTGGTGAGTGGGGGTGGCATTTTCATCCAAATGTCTTCTGGGTACCTTGAACTCAACATGTCCCAAACAGAACCCAGTAATCTCCCTCCAAGTGCCCTTAAATCTGTGCCCTCCCTGGTCTCTTTCCAGTTGATGGTCCATCTATCTATGCAGCTGCCCAAGCCAGAAATCTGGGAGCGATCCTAACCACCTGCCTTTCACCCACCCCTGCCTAATAAGCCTCGTTCTACCTCCAGCATCTCCTAGGTCTGTGTCCTCTTCACTACCTCCTGCCACTACTTTAGTACAGGTGCCTTTGGGAGTCATTCCTCGATTATCACTGCAGCCTCCAGGTGGTCCCCCTGTCTCTAAAGCCCTCCTAATTTTCTACCTGTGGCCATTCTTTCTTAAAGATATATGACCATCACCAAATTCTATTTGAAGGTTTTTAAAATCTCACAGTTTTCAGGATGAAATCCAGTAGTTTAGCCAGACACACAAAGTCCTTTGTTACCTGGGAAGTGGGTAAGAGTCAGGAGCACGTGGATTTGAATCCTGGTACCTTGGGTAAATGACTAATCCTCTCTCAACGTCTGCTTCCTCAATTGTAGAATAGGGATCAACCACAGTATTCACGTAATCTATAAAAAGCACTTTTAAGAGTGCCTGGCCCATATTAAGAGATCAATAAATATTCTCGATCATCATTGTTGCCTGGCTTCCAGGTTGTGATGGGTGTGAGGTAAGGGGACACTCATGGAAGAGCTCTGCCTCTGCACATCCTCTCATTTCTTCATCTTTGCTTCCTCATCTGACACAGAACCGATGGCTCTCAGAGAGGTAGGGAGTGGGGACAGAGGAAGGATGAACACATTGCCTGCAGTGGCAAGTTGGCTCAAAGGGATGGCCCTCAGTGGAAATGCACAGGCAGAGGAAGAAGGGTTTTGAGTCAAAGCACCAAGTGACTTGTCAAGTTTTGACATTGGCTGCCAAGCTTGAGCTGCGTCCTCTGTAAGAATTCGCTACTCAGTCCCTTGAGCTTCCTTTGGAGCAAATTTAAGAGGTCTAACATGTTCCCAGTACCATTCTCCCTGATGGCTGAACTCGTGGGAAACGTGTAGAGCTCTTAGTTGTGTACAGATGGCACTCTGCATGGCAGTAGGGCTGGACAGGAAAGGTGCAGACTGATGGGCCTCTCTCTGAGGAGGGAGCTGGCTGAGGGAGGGAGGATGGCAGGTTGCCTTGGAAGGTCCCATCTTGAAGAGTGAGCTGGAGGCACCAGGTGAAGTGGGGCCAGCCAATGCCACATTACAAATTAGTGACGTTGGGCCCTGGTACTTCAGTAACAGTGACAACCCCCCTCAGTTTCTTTCAGGGTCCTCCTGTGCCCCTTATCTTTTAGAGATTAAGACCACAGATTTGGGGGCAAAATTTTC
Source organism: Homo sapiens (assembly GCF_000001405.40). Lineage (NCBI taxonomy): Eukaryota > Metazoa > Chordata > Mammalia > Primates > Hominidae > Homo > Homo sapiens. The sequence goes on from NC_000009.12 coordinate 16,048,581, forward strand.
AGGATTAGAACCTCAGTTCTGCCATTGCCATTTAGTAGCCAGTGTAACTTTAGGTGAGTGGCTTTATCTCTCTCTCTTTTTTCTTTTTCTTTTTTTTGAAAGTAAAGAAATAAAGAAATAGGCAGAACACCCGGCTTTAATCTCTTTATGCCTCTGCTCTGTCATCTGTAAAGTGGGGATAATATCATAGTAGCATCCACCTTAAAGAGTTATTGTGGGAATTTAAATGAGTTATTAGAACAGTACCTCGCACGTAGTAAACGCTGTGGACAGGCAGTATTAACAAGGGTTTCAGGGAGGCATTTAGACCACACAATAGGCTGAGAGACAGAAGTGATGAGTTTGGTGCCAATCATAATATAGAAAGACAAAAAAAAAAAAAACCCAAACACCATAATCCCAAATGTTGAAATCCCAAAAGATCAAAATCCCTAAAAATTACAATCCCTAAAGTCTAAAATCCTTAACATCTAAAATCCCTAATGTCTACATTCAGAAAATCGCAATCCCAACAGATTAAAATCCTGAATGTTGAAATCCTGAAAGCCGAATTCTAGGGAGGGGATTAGTATATTTTCAGTTGCATGCAGGATTACTGCATTGTGTCAGTTGCATCATATTAGGCAGAACAATTACCTTGTTATTGTCTTTATTTGGAAATGAAGTATGGCTTACAGAGATGTGTGTGGGTGCCAAGTGGATGAGGGGTAGAATTGTGGACTTAATTTTAGGTGTCAATTTGACTGAATTAAGGAATACCTAAAAACCTGGTAAAGCATTATTTTGGGTGTGTCTGTGAGGATGTTTCCAGAGATTAGTGTGTGAGTCTGAATGAATTAGGCAGGGAAGATCTGCCCTCAATGCTGGCAGGCACCATCTAATCAGCCAGGAGCCTAAAGAGAACAAACACAGAAGGCAAACTGGTCTTTCTCTGAAGCTGGCATGGGCTTTTCTGCTGCTGCCTTGGATATCAGAACTTCAGGGTAGCCGGTCTTTGGGCTCCAGGACTTACACCAGCAGCACCCTGGGTCCTGAGGCTTTTGACCTTGGACTGAGAGATACACCATCTGCTTTCTAGATTCTGAGGCTTTCAAGTTTGGACAGAGCCACACTACCAGCATCCCCGGGTCTCCAGCTTGCAGATGGCCTGTCATGGGGTTTTTCAGCCTCCGTAATCATGTGAGCCAATTCCCCAATAAATCCCCTCTCATAGATCTATATCAATATCCTATTGGTTCTGTCTCTCTGGAGAACCCTGACTAATATAGATTTGATATCAGGGAAGCCAGATATTATTCTTACTGTTGTTTTTTTTGTTTGTATTTTGACAGAGTCTTACTCTGTCACACAGGCTGGAGTGCAGTGGTGCAATCTCAGCTCACTGCAACCTCTGCCTCCCTAGTTCAAGCGATTCTCCCACCTTAGCCTCCCAAGTAGCTGGGATTACAGGCGCATGCCACCACACCTGGCTAATTTTTGTATTTTTAGTAGGGACAGAGTTTTGCCATGTTGGCCAGGCTGGTCTCGATCTCCTGACCTCTGATGATTCACCTGCCTTGGCCTCCCAAAGTGCTGGGATTACAGGCATGAGCCACCGCACCTGGCTTTCTTACTGTATTTCTTACAGCACAATGGAAGATCTGTATAATTGTTGATAAGTCAAGTGTATGAGGCTACTTAATGGTAAAGGATAAATGTTTAAAGGCTAATTATTACTGGTGCTGTAAAAGCATAAATTGCTTAATTGCAATCGCCAAGCAATAATCCAGTTTGTGAATGGACAGCATATACTTTCAAAATTTGTAGACCATAATCACTGTCCAAATACAAATACAATACTCATTGTATTTTGAAGATCTTAGAGGTAAAAATGCAGATGAACAATACAAGAACTCTCTCCTGGCAAATTATTTAATCATGTATGACTTCTGCCCCTGTGCACACAGTGCCAGTTTGCCATACTGTTTTTCACCTTCACATTATTACCAATACTGGAGGTATGACTTATGTAAACTTTAGGGGGTTCTAATTCGTTTTATGCACTTTTTTGCAAATTTGACACCACAAAAGTGCATTATCACAACATTGTCTTTGTATATGAGCATTGCACATGTCCATAAAAATGTTGAAACTCCCTCAATAAACAAAGAGCTGTCCCTTTTGTATATCTGCGTTTGTGAAAAATAAAATTTCACAAGATCTGGGCTCTTGAGCTACTGCATATGTGGTAGTAACCCCTCAAAGTTTTTGAATGATCTTGTCAAATGACTGAGGTTGTCCTTCCAGGTATATCCGATGACCACAGTTATAAAGCTGACGCACACAATTACCAACCATAGTGAAGCACTTTTATACATGTCACTTTTTGACCTCTTTATGAATATGGTTCATCTGCTCATAACTTTTATACTCATGACTGTAGTTAGTATACCTGAGTGTTTATACTTGCAAAAATATATTTTATTGCCTATTTTACTGTACAAAGTGGCCTATGCAGTGTTTATCATATTTTTATATGTTTCTCAAATAAATTCCCCTTAAAAACATAAATAAATGTTTTTTAAATAATTTATAAAATTATTGTTTTCCATAATTATATTTTCAGGATTTCAACATTCAGGATTGTGTCTTTGGGGATGATAGCCCAAGCTCTGCTGGGTTCTGCTGTCATCCGTGTCTCTAATGATTCATGTCACTTAGTCCCTCTGACCTCAGTTTCCTTATCCAAAACAGTGTCTGGACAATGTGTTTTCATAGCAAGCAGTCCCCAGCCCTTGGTTTTGCCCCCTGTGCTGGGAGGAGTCCCAGGCTATCCTCTCTCTCCCTGACTGCTGCCCTCATCCTCTGGTCACCAAGGCCTGGGTAAGTTTGCTCTGGTTCTGTTTTTAGAGAGCTGTCTCTCTGGGTTCTACTTGCCAGCCCCTCCTTAACCGTTGTGGCCCAAACACTCCCTGCTGTGGCCAGCTTTGAGGTACGACCCATCCTTTGTTGTTTTCCTAAACCCAGTCCACACCATTGAAAAACAAATTCCTTTATTAAACTTCACTTGCTACCCAGCATGAGTGCACCATGATGGATCTGGAATCAAACCCCAGTAATTTGAATCCAGAGTTCTTAACCACTACACTGTCCTCATCATCTCAGGATGCAAGTGACTTCACATCTCCTTAGTTTTCTAACTGAACTGATTTGAGCCCCCTGTATTAGTCTGTTCTTTTACTGCTAATAAAGACATACCCAAGATTGGGTAATTTATAAAGGAAAGTGGATTAATGGACTCAAAGTTCCACATGGCTGGGGAGGCCTCAAAGTCATGGAGGAAGTCGAATGAGGAGCAAAGTCACGTCTTACACAGTGGCAGGCAAGAGAGAGAACTCCCCTTTATAAAACCATCAGATCTCGTGAGACTTGTTCACTATCGTGAGAACAGCAGGAGAAAAACCTGCCCCCATGATTCAATTACCTCCCACCAAGTCCCTTCCACGACAGGTGGGAATTACAGGAGCTACAATTCAAGATGAGATTTGGGTGGGGACACAGCCAAACCAAATCACCCCTTTTGTTTTGGGGTTGTGGACCCCATGCTTCTGTTGGAGCCTCTCCATCCTTCTGAATTCTTTGTCTCAGTCCAAGTACTGGAAGGAGGGAGAGAGGGAGGCTCTGAGGAGGCCCTCTTGGTCCTGGTGTGATCCCTGCTGCTGTTTCTCCAGCACGTCATCATGGGCTGTCATTGTGGAAAGCTGGCCTCACGCAGTCTGGCCTTCCTGTCTGCTGCTGCTGTGAGACTGTGGCTCATCCGGGCTGTTTTCTGTCATGAACGAGTGACAGCACTCTCAGGCCCAAGATACCCCTGGGTTACACATGTGCGGCCTCCTTTTATTCTCACAAAGCTCTTATGCCACACAAACTTCTCTTCACACTGGAAATGAGGAAACTGAGGCCTAGGAAGAGTAACTCACTGATCTGCATTATATATATTAGAACTTTCCAGCTTTAAAATAAAATTTGCCTCCTAAACCTCCTTCCTGGTGTTAACAACATTCTTAAGAGTTAATCATGGGCCTCCCCAGCCAGGGCCCGGGGCCTTTTGTAGAGTCCGCCCTCTATTTGATTTGTTCCATGATCTCAAGCTCTGAATTTGTCCTGTATTTATCACTTTCTCTTTCTTCCCCTCTGTTCACTCCACAAACTCTCTTTCTTTCCTCCCCCAACCCACCGCCCCCCATTACACTTTGAGAAGTTGTTAAAATCCAGAGTGAGTGAGCGTGTCCCATTAAAACCCCTTTTCTTTTCAAACGGAATGTGAGTCTTTCCAGATTCCCTTTTCCCATCACCCGGCTCGCCGTTCAGCCACATTTAAGTCCACTGCTGACAGATGGACTTCCGCTCTTCCCTAAGATCCCTCTCCCTCGCCAGGAATATTCTATGCATACATTGTTGCTGGAACGGTAACATTTGCAAAACCTTAACATTCCATGTCTCATATCCACAGGAATAATTCTTTTCAGAATTGTAGCTGGACAAATCCTAACCGATGGGTGTTAAGTTTCTAAGATCAAAGAATTTTTGAGCTAGAAAGCCTATTGGAGATCTACAGGCAGCTCCACTCTAGACAGATGAGGAACTTGAAACCTGCAGTGCTCAGGGGACCTGCCCAAGGTCAACCATCAGCTTGAGCGTGGACCAGAGTCCAGGTCCACTGACTCTTGGGCAGCGCCCAGCACTGTTGTGATGCAACTTGCAACATTTTCCACCTCCCGGCATCATGGCAGCCTCGCCTGAGTTTTTGGTGTGGGAGGGTGTCATGTACAGGGAAGGGACTGGGGGATACAGGCAAGTAAGGGCTCACATGTCAGCCCTGCCACTTACATGCTCTGTGTCTAGTCAGGTTACTGGACCCATCCGCGCCTCAGTTTCCTGTCCTTGATGAATGTTTGTTTGAGGATATGAGGGTGCATGGCACATAGGTGAAGAAGTGATTGCCTCTTTTCTCTCATCTCCTGCTCCCGTGCCTCTCCATAAAGCAATCCGCTGTCAACCTGCCTCCTGAGCACGGCCCCTCTCCATCAATGGTGGCAGCAGATGCTATTTGCCACGAAGGCTGAATCACCAAAGGCTGCAGTGTGGGGCCGGAGAAAGCTCCTGATGTGAGTCTGGCACCTCAAGATGGTGTCTCCCTCACTGGGGCTGCACCACTTCATTTCACAGGCTTTGCAGAGTGATGGGTTTTAAAGCACAGTTTCACAACTATTCCACTAGAAGGCTTTGGGTCCATAGATGAGTAAATCTGAACATCTCTTCTCATGGCCATGCTGCCTGTCACCTCAGTGATGCATTCAAGTTCTTGCCCCGTTAGCACTCTCCTTCGAGCCTCAGAACTGAGCCAGTCTTTGTCAAAGGGAGAGGAGGTGGCCTTGGTTCCCAGAACCTGCAGCCTGGCCTGCTGATGTTCTTTCCTGCCTTCTGAAACCATCTTTCCTTTTCTTCCGGGTTCAGCGCTCCTTTTAAAAGTGGGCTCATGAGGCCACGTATTTGAGTGCGTGGAAAGATATGGTCCTTCTCTGGGGTCCGGGCTTTGTAGACAGCAGCTAGACCATGGCCAGAGGGAGCGAAGGGAGTTGCCCATTCAGGGATCCTGGAAGAACACCCTGGTAACCCATTATCCTGCCCTCAAGGAACCCTCTAATTAGTAGGGGGAAAGATACATAATAAATAATTGCTACATTGTGACAGAGGCTGTCATTCGGGTGTGCACGAAGTCCAGAGATGGCACAAAGGCTTCCGCAGCTGCATGGAGTAGTCAGTGGGGCTCCCACAGGAGGTAACGTTAGAGTGAATTCTCAAGGACTCGTAGGAGGGCACCAGCTAGATGGGGAGGGAGATTTCAGGCATAGCGAGTCCCATAAGCACCTTTGTTGTTGTTGTTCTCTAAAGATCCTCTCCCCTGCCTTCCCCACTAGGACCTGGAGATTCCTTGATTAGTGGTGGTTAACTGTGACAGGCCTCCTACCTGTCTGGAATAGAGCCAGGGGGAGGACTTAACATGGAAACTGCCGGCTTCAAGGTTCAAAAAATATATTTTTTAATGTAAAAAGCCATTTAAACATTTCCTCCAGGGAGCTGTTTGATGGAGAGAGTCCTTGCAGCTTGGGTCTTGAAAGGATCACTGCAGGTCAGAGCTTCTCAGGGAAGTGTTATTGGCATGTTGGATGGGATATTTCTTAGTGGGGAGCATTTAGGACACTAGTCCTTCAGGCACTAAGGCAATGAGCATTGTTGTGACAACCCAGACACCCCCTCCCCACACACATATATCCAAACACGCAGGGCGGGGGGCAGGTGGAACTACCTTGGTGAGAACTTAACGTGGAGACGAAGCCCCTCGGGGCAAGGGTGGATGCAGAGAGGCCAGTTGGGAAGCTGCTGCGGTGGCCAGGTGAGAGGGGGCAGTGGCTGTCGGGCTGGTGGAGGTGGGAAGGTAGGATTTGAGGAATTTAATGATGGATGAGGCATTAGAGAAAGAGAAGGACAAAGGAGGACCTCAGATTTTTGACCTGAGCATTTAGAAAAATGGAGATGTCATTTATGGAGATGGGGGAACTGTAGTAGGGGCAGAGATTTTTGTTATCTTTGTTCGTTTATTTGATAGGGAGATGGGGTAAAATTACATTTTAGTTCTGAGATGCCCAGAGATGTTTTGGCAGATGTCTGAGTATGGAGTTCAGAGAGAGTTCAGGAGGCAGAGAGAAGTTTGGGGTCCTCTTGGTGGCTAAAGCCACAGGCTGGCTGAGCTGGGTCACTGAGGAGTCTGGGGGCAGAGCCTGTGGTCCTTGACACTCATGTGAAGAGGAAGAGGAGACCGGTGTAGTAGGAGAAGAACCTGCTGAGGGAGGGCTCTGGAAGCTTTCTGTGAGAGTGTGCCAGGCTCTGTGTGGGGTCCTTTCATGTCCACTGCCCCCTCAGCAACGCCGCTGGGCCCTGTGAGGCTCATAGTATATTGCAGGAAGAAGGCTCTGAGAGGGCATAATCCTTCTGCGTTAGCTTTTGGCAAATGAAACGTGTAATTTCTTGATGCCTATCCTCATTTTGCAGCATGTTGGCCTTACCTTGCATCTGCTGAACATAGCCCTAAAGTAGTGGGAGATGACACACATGTGCCTCCTCCAAGTTCAGGGGCTCAGGAAGGGAGAGGAAGCCACCAATGGTTCAAGCGGATTATTCCTGATGCTCCCAGATTCTGTGTATGTTAGGAACTATTGCAGAATGCAGTAATTTCTCTGGGCTCTTTTTAAAGCAAGCAAGTGCTATTAAATCAGAAATTTTACCTTTATTTGAATTAAGAAAAATTCAAACGTGTACCCTCTATATGCCAACAATTGGGTAATGAAATATTCTGCAGCCATTTATGTTTCTGAGAAGGAGGCAACAACATGGAAGAATGCTTTTATTTTAAAGCTTAGCAGACTATAACATTGCATATTCAACAGATCACAACCATGTAATCTAAACGAAACAAAACAGATATTCAGGAAAAAAACCCAAACATTATAAATAATCTGCTAAATTATTAATAGTGGTTTTCATTGGTGGTGGGAAAATAAGAAATTTGTGTCTTTTCCCTGATTTTATATATTTTCCACATTTTTGTAATGAGTATATTCTGTATTGTTTTAGAGCAGTGTTGCCCAACGGAACTTTCTACAACAATGGAACTGGTCTATGTTTGTACTGTCTAATCCATAGCCACTAGCCACACATGACTACTGAGCACTTGAAATGTGATTAGTATGACTGAGAAACTGGATTTTTAGTTGTACTAAGTAATTGTTAATTTAAATTGAAATTCAAGTAGCCACACGAGCCTAGTGACTACTATATTTGACAGAGAAGTTTTTTGTTCTTTTGTTTTATTTTGTTTTGTTTTCGAGATGGAGTCTCGTTCTGTGGCCCAGGCTGGAGTGCAGCAGCATGATCTCGGCTCACTGCAACCTCCGCCTCCCAGGTTCAAGCAATCCCCCTGCTTCAGCCTCCAGAGTAGCTGGGACTACAGGGGTGCACCACCACACCTGGCTAATTTTTATATTTTTAGTAGAGACAGGGATTCACCATGTTGACCAGGCTGGTCTCAAACTCCTGGCCTCAGATGATCTGCCTGCCTTGGTTTCCCAAAGTGCTCGGATTAGAGGTGTGAGCCACTGTGGCCGGCCCTAACAGTGAAGTTTTAAAGTATAAAAAATAATATAAGAGAAGATGAATTATATCTCATTAAAGCTGTTAAAGCAATATAAGCATTTAAAATGTGCTCAGTATATTATGTTTAAAATTTAATTGTAATGTAGAAATGAGTTTGGATTTCAAAATAGAGAATGTAGACACAGCAGAAGTATTGGAGTTTTTATTTAAATTGCTTATTTTCTAGCACAATAAAAAGCGATCCAGCATTGAGTTTTCATGCCTGAGTTCAGTTTTAGTTTAAGAAGAAACAATAACCTGGACATTATTAGGTGTTGTTCTGTAACAACTTCTGCTGTTATGAATGACATCCTTTTATATATATGTCTTGATCTTTACACAAGGAGTTCATATCATGTGAGTAATGTTTTTTGAGGTGGGAGCAAAGCTTATTAACCCCATTTTATAGATGAAAATGATAAGAACCATGAAGGTTCAGTTCCCAAAGTCACGAAACAAGAAGCAAAATCAAAGCCTCTTAGTTCTTGAAGCCCAGAGGATTTTATTATCTTTTACAATATGGAGAAAACAGTTTCTGATAAACGGTAGTGGGAAGGGAACTTCCCCCAGGAACTGGAAAGATTTAAGATGTGCTGGTTTTGGTTAAGTTCTTTCAAGGAAGTTTTTTTTGTTTGTTTTGTTTTGTTTTTTTGTTAGTGCTTCATTTTGTTTTGTTTTTGGCTTCTAGAGCTATTGTAAGATCAGTCCTCAGAAGGCAGGGCACTGTGTGTCTATTCAAGGTTGCTCTTTATCTGGTAGGATCTGCACCTTTAGGCTTTCCATGGGAATGCCAAGTCCAAAACCCTTGTCCCTTGTCTCTTCATGTGACCTGCCACTGGGTCCCCAGCCCCAAAGCCCCCTCCCGCTTCCCTCCCTCTGCCACACACAAGCCCTGTTGCCAGACCGGGAGGTAGCAACCGTGATTCCACATCCAGCAGTTTAGGTTTAGAGAGATTTATAAAGGTGCCAAGCTCCCCCCAGATGATATTCCTGGATCCACTCAGGCACAGTGGACACGGCATCAGAGAGATTGGCTGCAGGTTAGCAGGGGCTGGGACACCTCCCTCTATGCCCTTGTCTGGGTGGCCCTGAGTGTTTGCTGTGAGCAGCAGGCAGCAGTGCAAATGAAGCAGAGCACAAATGAATCTCCTGAATGTTTTCAGACCTAAAGTCTCAATCCCTTTTGGTTCAAGGTCTAGGGGAGAGTTGAAGCCAGTTGTGAATTTTTTGAAAAAAAAAAAATAATAATAATAATAATAAATTGGTTCACCCGTCTGTCAGAGCTGCCAAGAAATATTCACATGAGGGGGACTATCCAAAAAAATGAAGAGTAGCTCTTGTCCAAGACCGATCTCTGGAACTCTCTCCCTCCCCTTGCTCAGAACCACTTCCTCTCCTCAAATCTCACTTTAAAACCTTCCTGTTTGCTTTAGCCTATGACTGACTCAGGCCCCATTCATCTTTCTTTCCTCTCTCCCCATGACCACATCCTTCCACTCTCCTCTCATCATCCACCGTGAGAACACTCCCCTGCCTCTTTCCTCCCTCTATTTCTCAGCCCCCTTGCCTGTTACCCTGCAGTGACAGCAGGTATGCTGCAGGTATGCTGCAGGTATCCTCGCCGGCGTGCACAAGTCACCTCCCCGTCCAGATGTGTTTGTGAGCATGAAGATTCTCCACACGGGGGCCTGTTCCTTTGCCTGGTTCTCAGAGGAGGAGATAATGAATTTCAGTGGTACTTCTGCATAAAGAGGGACTTTGCAAGGTGTATTTCAGGAGTTACCGATTCAGAAACTGGAGAAGCAGAACACAAAGAGACCTTGTAATAGACCAGCAAAGATACCAATTCCCCGCTGTGTTTCCTTTGAGATACTTCAGGTAAAGCCTGAAGGAGAGGTGGGAATAAAACACAGGCCAAACTGGAGCTGTTGTTTTGCCTCCAGAATAGAATTCTAATTGTCTCAACTGAGCTTCTTATTTCCCTCAAGTAATGAGAAACGTAAATTCCTCAGCAAAGTTCTAAGGCAGGATTGACCCTGGGAAAACAATCCCAGCGTAAGCTCAAGTGTTTGAATTCTTTTTGTTCAGGTTGTAGACTCAATACTTTCTAACTAGTGTGGTTTCAGTTGTGTTTTCTGAACAACAGGCATGCTGTGGGTTTTCCCACAATGCATTCCTGTCCTCCCTTCCAAGATGGTGCCTTTTCCCACAAACATGGAAGCAAAATGGTCTGTTCCTGTCTCCACAGTGACCTCGCTGCTGGCTCCAAAAGAAATGCTTCCAGAACCAAGCACCCGAGACAGTGTCTGATGAGCCATGTTCTTGGGTCATTTTTGATCTTATTACAATTATAACAGCTGCCATTTCCCTACCACGTTATTGTTTCCAAAGCACATTTGTATTTGCTCATGAGGTACATCAGGCAGGTGCGAATGTTTCTGTTTTACACTTAAAGGACTAAGATTGACATGACTTGTCCAAGGTCACAGAAGTTGAGTGGTGGGGTTGGAATTCACACGAATATTCTTTAGAAACTACGGCCCAATTAGAGGCATCCCCGGGTGAGAATATGCGTCCGGTGTCCGGAGAGGACTTCCACACTGTGAGTGATGCAAACGGCACCTCAAGGGGGCTTTCCAGGGGACACTGGGCTTTTTGCTTGATTTTTGATAGCAGGTCTTTTTTTTTTTTTCTTTTTTTTTTTTTTTTTTTTGAGACGGAGTCTCGCTCTGTCGCCCAGGCCGGACTGCGGACTGCAGTGGCGCAATCTCGGCTCACTGCAAGCTCCGCTTCCCAGGTTCACGCCATTCTCCTGCCTCAGCCTCCCGAGTAGCTGGGACTACAGGCGCCCGCCACCGCGCCCGGCTAATTTTTTGTATTTTTAGTAGAGACGGGGTTTCACCTTGTTAGCCAGGATGGTCTCGATCGCCTGACCTCATGATCCACCCGCCTCGGCCTCCCAAAGTGCTGGGATTACAGGCGTGAGCCACCGCGCCTGGCCTTTTTTTTTTCTTTAACACACCCGACTTATTAAAAAACTTGCAAGTGAGTGAGTCAGTATTACCCAAGCTCACCCAAACTGGTGGTAGAATGATGGAGCTCAGAACTACGCCAGTGTTTAAGCTAACCTGAGATGAAGTCTGGAACAGTTAATTCTGCTGTGTGAAAAACAAATAATGAAAAGCATATTTTTAATAAAAAACTGGAAAAACAAATAAAAAGCAACTGCCCAACCTCCCTTCCTTAATTTTTGAGGGAGACGTAGCATGTAAATGTATATGTATGTAAATTTGTATTTAATTGTGTATTAGTTTTTCTCCTTTGCAGGGTCTTCTCTCTGAAGGCTAGTGGCTGGACCTGCACTCAGATGGCAATTCAGGTCCAGTTCATGAGATCTTGGACTGTTTTGACAAATGATTTGGGGAAAGGGATAGGGAGAGAGTTGTCAGTACCGATGCTGAGACTGTGAGAGCCATTTCTGAGTGGAGGTGAGGAAAAACGGAGCGATGACCGTGAGGGTCTTTGCGTGGCGCCTCGAGACCACACCTGGGAACGGTGACTTTGGAACTGGCTGACGTGTTTATTTGGTGTGAGGTCAACTACAGCTCTGAGGGCAATAACATGATCCTCATAAAACAGACCCCCCAGGCTGGGCCTCAGCCCGCTTGCTGCCAAGCAGGGGTGGTGGCCTAATAAGTGAGACATTGCTATCAACTCTCTGTAAATGGTGGGTTCATTCACTCTGTGGATGACATAGCCTGTTCTTTGCCCTTCTGTGTCAGCCCCATTGATTGCTTTTTAACCACCTTCTTGCTTTGTGCTGCTTCTTTCAGATGAAAAGGAAGGGAAAAGAGACTTCATTTCCATACCCACTAACCATGCCAACAGAAGGCTTTGTGAAGAAGGAAGTAAAAGCTATCGGTAGGAGTTAGAAAAAAACATTTCTAGTTACAAGAACAGCAGAAAAAGACCTGAACTTCAGAGTGGACCACAAATGAATATGAATTAATAACACAGATCTCTTTTCAAAAGCCAACACAAAATGAGGATGTGTTTTTTGCAAAAGCAGTTGTTCTTGCCACTGGGCTTATGCTTGTCATTCTTTCATGTGTCACAGCCAGACCTAGGAAATTCCCTGGAAAGTCCCCTCCATCACACACCTGCAGTTTTTCCATTTGAGTGTAATTCTGTTGGACCTTGAAAGACTTTTTGATCTTTGGGACGCTCTTATCACCAAATGTATCTTTCTGCAGGAAGAAGACAGAAGAAAGGGGTGGACTATGAGATGGGAGCCTGGGTCCCAATTTCAGTTCAACCATTACCAACCAGGTGGCTTTAGGCAAGTCTGGTCATTTCCTTTGCCTCAGTGGCTTTCTATAAAATGGAATTCTATAGGGATGATGAAAGCGAAAACGTTAGCCACTATGCTTGCTAGTGCTCAAGAAATGATTCCTTCCTGCCTGCCTGCCTCAGTTTTCCATCTGTAAACAAGGATTCAACTAGAACATCTTTGAGGTTCCTTGAGCTCTAACACTCTGTGATTCTGTTGGCAGCACCTTAAGAAATTTACAACAAACACTCCATTGAGTCTTAATCTATTAGATCCCATTCAGTTCTAATAGTGTTGTGATTTTGACTTTGTAGCCTCATGTTTATTTTCTCTCTTCCTGATTTTTTATTTATATATTCTATTTAATAGTTTTTGCTTTTTCAAGTTGTCACCAGTTCTTTGTAGAATAAGAAAAAAGTATAACTAACTGGAGGAAAGAATGCATTCACAGAAAGCCAAGGAATGATAACACTAATGCTAATACAATACTACTGCTAATAAAAATAACTGCCTTTATTGAACACTTACTGTGTGCAAAGAACTATGCTAAGCACTTTATAAACATTGGGTCATTTAATTCTCACAGTAACCCCATGAAGCCATACTTTTCATCTCCATTTTTACAGATAAGGAGACTGAGTCTTAGAGATAGCAAGCAACTTGTCCATGGTAAAGCTGAGCTGCAAATTCAGGTTGGGATAACTCGGAGAAGTGGTGTGCCGGCAAACAGGCATGCAAAACCAGAACTCCAAATCCCTGGTTTGGAGCATTTACTGATTTCCATGGTATAAACCCTCCCACTATGGCTGAATTCAAGTTACCAACAGTTTAAAACCAGCTCAAAAATTTTTAAAAATACCTCACTGCTAGGGAATACCAGGAATTGTACAATTCACTGTCTTCATTTTAACAATCCACTCTTGCAAGCCAATCAGAGCCAACCCCAACACATCCCAGAGAGAACCTGTGTTGATGACCACTAGGCTACACTGTCTCCTTGTATCACAGGCTGGGGCTGGGGATGATAGGGAAAACAAACAAAAAAACAAAACAAACAAACAAGAAAGGGGAGAAGGTTATGGACAGAGAAAGTAAGGAGATTTTGCAGCAACATGAATGGAGCTGGAAACCATTATTCTAAATGAATTAATGCAGGATCAGAAAACCAAGTACTGCATGTTCTCACTCATAAGTGGGAGCTAAACACTGAGCGCACATGGACACAAAGGAGGGAATGATAGACACCAGGGACAACTTGAGGGTGGAAGCTGGGAGGAGGAAAGGATTGAAAAACTACCTATCAGGTACTAAGTTTATTACCTGGGTGACCAAATAATCTGTATACCAAAACCCCGAGACATGCAATTTACCCATCGAACAAACCTGCCCCTGTATGCCCTGAACCTAAAAGAAATGTTGGAAAGAAAACAAAAAGAAAGTAAGGAGATGACAAATTCATTCATCCATTCATTCATTCCTGCATTCATTCACTCCACAAAGGCTTTTTGAGTACCAGCTAAGTACCTGGACTTGTGGTACACACTTCAGATACAGACATGAGTAAGATAAGGAGCCTGGAGTGTGTTGGTGAGAGAGTGACATGCACACAAATGACTGAGCACATGATGTGTACAAGTATGTGTATGAGTCTGGGGGACCCCGGTGAGGGACGAATTAATTGTACTTGGAGATCCTTGAAGGATGGAGTTCCAGGTGACACAAATTTTGCTTCCTTTCCAATTTGTAGGGGAGTTTCCCTCACTAGAGACATGTGCTCGGTGTAGCTCTTGATATTTTGGAACTAAATAGTGAAACCGAAGATGGGGCCAGGAGAGGAAGAATGATGAGAAAGTATGCTCCTTGGAGTTAGGGAAGCTGTTGCATCACCCCCGTGTTACCGACACCTGGTACCACAGAGTTGGCGCTCGGTGACTATTTGTTGACTTGGTGAATCACTGATGAATAATGATTTGTAAGCTCCAAAGAAGGTGGTTTGCGGAAAGGGGACCAGTGATAGCAGGAAAATGCACAATGTGAGTAGTGATTCCTAAGCATTTAAGGGGTGATTTTCAAGTAATAGAGTGAGCAGAAGACACCATGTACAGGGACTCCAGATGCCCCAGGCAGAGGTAAAATGCTCGAAAGAGAGGAACATCACTACCTGGCGGGCAGGTGGGGACAGGCTTGCCACGGATGGTCTGGGGATGGGATAACTCTCTGGCTCCCACTCTGAGAAGCAGGAGGTGATCTGGCCACAAGCCCTCAAGACGTGTTGAGTTTGGGAATACCTCACTGCTAGGGAATACCAGGAATTATGCAATTCACTGTCTTCATTTTAAAATTCTGTATGGGAGAAGCTAAAAAGTGAAGTTGGGGGGTTTTAGTATATTTCATTTGCATTGGTTTACTCTTCTCGTTCCTTGATTATCTGAGAGGAGGCTGCTGTTACGGAAAAGCGAAAACCAGGAGTGGTTTGAATATTCTTCCTTGAGACTTTTGACTGTTTCTATAAGAAGTGGATCTGCATGTGCCTTTTGGATATTGTGTTCCTCATGACAATGCCTTTTGTTCATAGATAGTTCCCAGTTTCCAAAGACTTTCCCCATTATAACATTTGTTCCATCCTCAAAACCGTCAAATGCAAAGGCCTCCATTTTATTAAAGGAGAAAGTACGACTCAAAGAAGTCAAGTGACTCACCCGAGGTCACACAGCTAAATTCTAGCAGAGCAAGGGACCAAGATAGTGAATTCTAAATGCAGAGACCTTCTTATTGTTCCAATTTTCTGTCCGACAATGCCCACCTCCTGGAGTGAGCAAGTCTTGCTGGAGACACAACAGCAGCTACAAGTGGTCCTCCCGACTATTCCAGAAATCCTTTTTCCACAGTGAAAAACTGAATTTGCCTGCCCCAGTTTCCCAGCCGCCTCATGACTCGATGAGCAATTGCTTTAACTCTGACAAAATTAGGCCACCTCCAACCTAAATGTAACCCGTTTTCAGAGTGAGACCCTGCATGGAGGCAGCTCTTTTCCTGAAAGGATAACAAAAGCATGCTTTTGTGTGTATTTCACTTGATGGAAAGAAATCCCCAGTGAGGCCGTTTTTTCCCCCTGAATTCTCCCAAGTCCAGAATGTATCCAAGTTTCCAATATTACCTCAGAAGAGCCATTCATCTATGAAGATGGCCGAATTGTCTTCCAGCTCGGTAGACAGTGTGTCTGCGAGAGAGAAGGTGAGGGGGTGCAGATAGAGGTGTGGGGAGAGGGTGAGGGAGGCTGAGGGCAGAGGAGGAAGACGCGAGAGGAGAAAATGTGTGCAGACAAATGCTGACAAGAGAAGGAAAGAGGCGAAAGGGCCAGCCCTGACTCTGGGGTCCCATCTGCCAGGGACACTTTTGGCTGATTCTTTTTAGGGCCTGTCAAGATCTGCCTGGTGAGCTGTCACTTGTCATCACTTGGCTCTCAATGAGGATCTTTGTGTCTTCACTGTCATGAAGAGGCATGGCAACTGGCAAAGAATTTCCTGGGGCGCTACCTGATCCACCATTATTCACCTCTTATCATCTTAGCAGAGTAGTTACGCCACTGTCAGAGGTAATGGAGACCATGCCACTAAGAAAATTGGCCGTAATTTATTTATCAGTTGTTTCTGTATACCACAAAAGCGGCCTTCTACTTTACGGCTGGGTCTAAGGTATTTGAGAGCCCTCGAAGTTCATGGTTTTCCGGTATTCTAACTTCTACTTATGGCCTTTCCTGTAGATGACACACAACACCGCCCTTGTGGCTTGCAGTCAGTTTTCTTCTTTGCTTTCTTTAGTCACAAATCATCCTGAGGCATCCCTTAAGTGCATTTGTATTGTTAAGTGCACCAGCTTGATTTGGTGTTAATTCAATTTGAGTGCCCTTAATATCTTGTGGGGGTGATGCAATGCAGGCTGCCTCTACCTTGTAAAATCGGGTCCCAGGTCCGCCTGCGAGCAAAGCACCTTTCCCATAGCCACTTACCAAAGTTGCTGATAAAATTTTCATAAGGGAACCTTTTTAGTCTGACCCTATTGTGTTATTCTACCATTAAGTCTCAGAGAACTGAGCTGGCTTCTAGTGACAGCTTATCACATTCTCCATTATTGCTGCCTGCCCAGAGAGCTGGCTGGCTGTGTGTAGTGCAAGCTCCCTCCCTCCCCACCACTTCTGGGACGTTCTGGGAAAAGCTTGTGGGCCAGCACCTCGGGGCTAATGGGAGATTGTCTCTCTGTGGGTGCCAGAGAACTGAGCTCTCTTCCTGATGAGCTGGTTCCTTTCACCTTGGAAAGCTCGAGGGGCCCTGAAGGATGAGGAACCTGAGGGATAAGGAGAGCAGTGAAGGGTGAGCTGAAGTGGAGGAAGAGTTACAAAGCACTTTCCTTAAAACAGCACAGAACGCAGCCACAACCATGTGAGCACCACTCTGACACACAGTTTGAGGCAGAGGATTAGACCAGGTATTTGTCTTTGGAATATTTGCTTTAGAAACATGATGACATTATTCACTCCAAGAGAACTCCAAAATCATGGGCCACTTGTCCCTGGGTTGGCATCTGAACTCAGTAGCTTATTTGCTTTGTGACCTTGATCAGTTTTCCTATCTGTGAAATCAGCACCCACCTATGGGTTTGTGTGCATGGTGTGTGTGTGTGTGTGTGTGTGTGTGTGTGTGTGCTGATTAAATGAGGCAACACATATAAAGACCACCAAAAACAGTATCTCCTGTGACTATCTTAGAATCCAGGAGGCCGTCAAAGGGCAAGGTGAGAAAGCTGGTTCAGACAGTGCAGAAATTATCTGGGTACCACAAGATGAGAAAGAGATAATAAGTCTAGAAACTTGGTCTTCTGATCCTTGACCCAATCTAGGTCCTTTCCGTCCATCCCACTGTCTCCCTAATGCTGTCCATGGACATCAGGAGCTTGAGTAGATTTGGGGTGCATCAGGCTACTTTCTACTTCCTTGATGACAAGATTTCTTCACTGCAGACTAACCTCTTCTCGGTCACTCTTCCTTGTTTTGTTGACTGTGTCTGAGGAATGGCTTAAATCTGCCTAACAGTGTGAGCATTGCCCCTACCTGTCTGCTGCGTTGGGTTAAAAAGCATGGTAGTCCAATAAACAGAACTGGGAGATGCTCTTTCAAAAGAGCATTTAAAAATTATTGTTCACTGTAGATGTCACAGAAGTATAGATAAAGTGCAAATACTACAGCAAAAGGGAAAAATCCCCTGTCATGCCACCTATAACCGTGAAGTCACGTGCTGTGTTTTCTTCCTCTTTTTCTTTTCTTTTTTTTTTTTTATTATACTTTAAGTTTTAGGGTACATGTGCACATTGTGCAGGTTAGTTATATATGTATACATGTGCCATGCTGGTGCGCTGCACCCACTAACTCGTCATCTAGCATTAGGTATATCTCCCGATGCTATCCCTCCCCCCTCCCCCCACCCCACAACAGTCCCCAGAGTGTGATATTCCCCTTCCTGTATCCATGTGATCTCATTGTTCAATTCCCACCTATGAGTGAGAATATGCGGTGTTTGGTTTTTTGTTCTTGCGATAGTTTACTGAGAATGATGATTTCCAATTTCATCCATGTCCCTGCAAAGGACATGAACTCATCATTTTTTATGGCTGCATAGTATTCCATGGTGTATATGTGCCACATTTTCTTAATCCAGTCTATCATTGTTGGACATTTGGGTTGGTTCCAAGTCTTTGCTATTGTGAATAATGCCGCAATAAACATAGGTGTGCATGTGTCTTTATAGCAGCATGATTTATAGTCCTTTGGGTATATACCCAGTAATGGGATGGCTGGGTCAAATGGTATTTCTAGTTCTAGATCCCTGAGGAATTGCCACACTGACTTCCACAGTGGTTGAACTAGTTTACAGTCCCACCAACAGTGTAAAAGTGTTCCTATTTCTCCACATCCTCTCCAGCACCTGTTGTTTCCTGACTTTTTAATGATGGCCATTCTAACTGGTGTGAGATGGTATCTCATTGTGGTTTTGATTTGCATTTCTCTGATGGCCAGTGATGATGAGCATTTTTTCATGTGTTTTTTGGCTGTATAAATGTCTTCTTTTGAGAAGTGTCTGTTCATGTCCTCCGCCCACTTTTTGATGGGGTTGTTTGTTTTTTTCTTGTAAATTTGTTTGAGTTCATTGTAGATTCTGGATATTAGCCCTTTGTCAGATGAGTAGGTCGCGAAAATTGTCTCCCATTTTGTAGGTTTCCTGTTCACTCTGATGGTAGTTTCTTTTGCTGTGCAGAAGCTCTTTAGTTTAATTAGATCCCATTTGTCAATTTTGGCTTTTGTTGCCATTGCTTTTGGTGTTTTAGACATGAAGTCCTTGCCCATGCCCATGTCCTGAATAGTAATGCCTAGGTTTTCTTCTCTGGTTTTTATGGTTTTAGGTCTAACGTTTAAGTCTTTAATCCATCTTGAATTAATTTTTGTATAAGGTGTAAGGAAGGGATCCAGTTTCAGCTTTCTACATATGGCTAGCCAGTTTTCCCAGCACCATTTATTAAATAGGGAATCCTTTCCCCATTGCTCGTTTTTCTCAGGTTTGTCAAAGATCAGATAGTTGTAGATATGCAGTGTTATTTCTGAGGGTTCTGTTCTGTTCCATTGATCTATATCTCTGTTTTGGTACCAGTGCCGTGCTGTTTTGGTTACTGTAGCCTTGTAGTATAGTTTGAAGTCAGGTAGTGTGATGCCTCCAGCTTTGTTCTTCTGGCTTAGGATTGACATAGTGTTGGAAGTTCTGTCCAGGGCAATTAGGCAGGAGAAGGAAATAAAAGGTATTCAATTAGGAAAAGGGGAAGTCAAATTGTCCCTGTTTGCAGACGACATGATTGTATATCTAGAAAACCCCATTGTCTCAGCCCAAAATCTCCTTAAGCTGATAAGCAACTTCAGCAAAGTCTCAGGATACAAAATCAATGTACAAAAATCACAAGCATTCTTATACACCAACAACAGACAAACAGAGAGCCAAATCATGAGTGAACTCCCATTCACAATTGCTTCAAAGAGAATAAAATACCTAGGAATCCAACTTATAAGGGATGTGAAGGACCTCTTCAAGGAGAACTACAAACCACTGCTCAAGGAAATAAAAGAGGATACAAACAAATGGAAGAACATTCAATGCTCATGGGTAGGAAGAATCAATATCGTGAAAATGGCCATACTGCCCAAGGTAATTTACAGATTCAATGCCATCCCCATCAAGCTACCAATGACTTTCTTCTTCCTCTTTTTCTATGCACACACACGTGCTCACTTGTTCACCTGCTTGCTCTCTTCAGTATACTGTGATGGCTAAAAGCACAGACCCTTGAACCATTCTCAGTTCAAACTCTGGCTCCACCACTTGAGCAAGTTATTTAACTTTTCCGCTGTTGTTTCGTCGTCTGTTAATTTGACTTCATGATGGTGCCTTCCTCAGCATGGGGGTTAAGAGAAGCAAACGAGTGAATCTACGTAAATCACAGTGCCTGGCACGCAGTCAACATTGTACAGAGATTCCTTTAGGATGACGATTACATACAACAGAAACCTGGGGTCATACGATGTATTCTGCCAGGATACGATGTATTCTGGTTTTTATGGGGGCAGTTTCTTTGCTCACACCCAGCTGCTAAATTATAATCCTTTCTTAAACTGCTCACTCAGACAGGGTCTCAAAGTCTGGAGGGGTCCCGCCTGCCTCCTGGCTCAGCATGCCATGGTGAGCATTGTGTCTTCATCTCCAAAAAGGTCTGGCAGAAGTTAACACCCTACAGCCTGATTCCTGGAGGGGGTAGTTAGACCCATTTTAGAGGAGGGAGGATTAAGACTGAGCAGCTATTGAAGTGGCTGCATTCAGGTCTTCAAGCACATGAGGTGGACTTCCTGCCCCATGTAAGTGACTTGGCCACTCCCTGGCCTTGGTATACACTTTTATTACACTGGCGATTTAGGCCTACATGACGTAAGGAGTAAGGTTAAAATCATAAGAAAAGACTAATTCTCAGAAAAAAACATCTCATGGAAAAAAGCTCTGAGTGGCTTGGTATATGTGTAATGTGTGTGCAGATATGTGTGTGTGTTACCATTTTGGTGTTTTTGAGCATCTTTTTGTGAGATTCAAAAATGCTGAGAGTGAAAAATGATCATTTCAAACCAGACTGGGCCAGGTAGTATCATCAATCAGGAAGGAAGATCAGAGTCCAGCGGTGTGCATGTGCATGTGCGTGTGCACGTGTGTGTGCGTGGAGACCATATGCACGAAGAAGGCGCCAGCGTGCGAGCCTCTCGGGGTGAGAAGGAGGAGCAGATGTGGACCCGAGGAAGGGAGAAGGTTTTGATGAAATATTGGCTAACGCTCGGGGCACCGAAGGAGAAGCAGCTCTGGTCAGGGAACTGTGCTACATTAGAATTTATAATAGATTAGCTTAGCTGTCCCTTGATCTTCAAGGGTATTTGGGGAGCTGAGGACGAGGCATTTCTGCCTTGATTTTCACAGTGAGAGGAAACCTCTGGAACACTATTCCCAGCCTTTCCTTTTGCACAGCCTAAGGCGGTGAGAGCTTGCTGTTCACACCCCCACTCGGGTCATTTGAAGGAGGCTGACAGTGCCCAGGAATGCTGACATGCTTCAAAACATCACACACAAAAGAACCCACTCAGATTCCTAAGGGGAGTTGCTGTCAGCCCTTCCCAAGCTGGATTCTAACATTGGATGTGATTGCCAGGGCTCCCCCTCCCATAGCAGGGGCAGGAAATCCATATTCATTCTGTCCGTCTGCCAGACTCTCCTCTCCCTGTCCATCTGTCTGTCTGTCTGTCTGACTCTGCCTTGCTCTCTGAGGGTGTGTGCTCTCATGAAAAGGGGAGCGCTCAGGGATGTTCCAGATGAGCTGCTGCGAGCCGTGTAGCTTTAAACTCCAATGAGCTGAAGCGGCCTGGAAAGAAAGAGTGAGGGGTGAAGTCTGGTTTGATGTCTTGGCGCACTGGGGAGATGATTCATATAACATGAGCCCCTCGGGGTCCGTGGTTAAATCCCAGCCTAACACCCCCGGCCGGACTGGAATTCTGAAGTCCAGCCAAGGAGTGTTACTGGTCCTGCCTCGGCAAACAATTGGTGGGTCAGAGGTAAAGGACAGAGGAGGGGTGATTCTTTCACTGGAAAAAGTACCTGCTGGGAAGGAAGGAATCATATGATGTGTGTGGTGGGGACATCCAGCCAGGGAGGACCTGGCTCTCACATTACGAGCTCCCTTGCAGAAGCCAGAAGGGACTTTTTATTGCTGGTTGGGCCTGGGGGCCCAGCAACAGTGGCTCTGGCTTGGTTCTGAAAGGCTGGAGAAGGGGTTGAGGGGCTGTGAGCTGGGCTCTGGATGCCAGGGTGGGTGTGAGGAAGGAGGGAAGCCAGGGATGGGTGTGACTGTCTTCAGACTCACAACTAAGGCAGGAGCAAGAAAGAGGAGAGAGGAGCCGCCTGGTTTCCTCTCTGGCCAAGTGCCGTGGGGCCTCTATGGCCTCTATTTTGGCCTTTGCATGACATTTAACATGTGTGGCCACCCACCTCCACCCTCGGCTTCTTAAACATCCTCTCCTCCTGGACCCACTCTCCACCTCTCTGACCGCACTCATTCCGTTTTTATGTGGAAGTTGTGTAGCCCTCCTTCTTCAGGGGAAGCCCCTTTCCCGATGCTTAGTTAGTGTAGGTTTGGATGGGGGATTTTTGGCTTGTGACCCAGGCCTGACTAGAGTGACTGGTTTAAGGACAGGCCTGTGAGCCAATGGGGTCCAATCAGAGCCAAAGCTGGAACTTCTGTTGGAATTTTTGGGACAAGGAATTTCCTTTTCAACTGAGGTTGATGAGATGAGAGGCTAAAAGCCTGGAGCTCCCAGGAGCCGTCACAGTGAGAGAGGCTGTGCAAAGGCGAATCCACAGGAGAGAGGGAGGCAGAGAGAGGAGATGGAGTTCCGATGGCATTGTTTGAGACCTGAGACCTAATCACAGCTGAGGTCAGGATCTACCCCTGGACTCTTCAGTCATGCTGCTAACCAAGACATCCCCTCTTTTTCCTCCACCGAGTCTGAGTTTTTCTGCTCCTGTGATTGCCAGCATTGTGGCTATGTGTCAGCTCAGCACACCTTGTTGTCTCTCCCATACAGAGTCTCCTCTCCCCTTGTCCACTGCTGATCTGTGTCTTCCCCCTAAGTCAAGCCCTCGACCTTCAGTGTTTGCTCCTCTCTCCTTGCTCCCTCAGACTTTCCAGCTACTCTTGTGGTGTCAGCTGTGCCTTCTGTGAGAATGGCCCCACTCCCACAGTTGTGTTTTTGCTTAGATCTTCTTGCCTGTCCCCAGTGCCTGGCCATGGAGAATACATTCCCACATGTGCGTCATGCACAAGCACACGAGCACAGCTGGCTGAGGTTGGTATGTCCCTCCTGCTCCTTGGGAAGAGGAAGCTTCGCTTCCCAACCCTGGAATCACATCCCCAGGGTTCAAAGTTAGAGTTGTCTTTTATTCCTTCTTCTCTTTGTCTGGCCCCCTAGAGTGAATCATCCACCAGGTCTTCAAACATTTCTCTTCTGTATGTTGTTTTTTGCTTCATCCACTGCCATTCTCTAGTCTGAGAGCTCATTGGGATTCCCTTAAAAGCCTCTTACCTGGCTTTCTAATATCCATTTCAAACTGACCCAACCCCATAACCCCCAATTTAACTCCCCCAAATCCCTGTTTCCCCTCACAGCTCACCTGAACAAACCAAATTCCTCACTGTTGTATATCATCCAATACTGGCTTTCATGAGGCATGAGAAGCCATAGGAGCATCTTGCTGGAATATTAATTTGACTGCAAGAATTCTTGGAGTGTGGGAAGTGTTTTTACTGGAAAGTAATTAAATACTATTTTTATATTAAAACAGACTGATCTTATGTAAAGTAGAATGCAAAGCTCATATGAATTTTACAGATTAAACAGAAGTTCCGAGATTGTAAAAGTCCACTTCCAGTCACCACCCAAGATTTCCAGACCTTCTTTTCCTCTGCTATTGGGTAGAAAGCTTTGAGAAGCACTAGCATGTTGAGATCAGTGTAACCTTCTCAATTTAGTGTCTTCCTCTCCTGACCCTAACTTACCTATGCTCCTCCTGGTCTCTCCTTTATTCCTGGAGGCAGGGAGCTCCTCTGGCTGTTTTTTAAACTCAATACTTGCATTCCCAACTCTGTTTCATGCCACAGTCACCTTTTCCAAATGACCTCTGTTCTCCTTTTCCTTATCTTACCTTGAGTAGCCTTTGGAATCCACATCAACAAATGGATTATAAACTAGACAAGAGTCACTCCATAGCTCAAAACCCTTACAAAGCTCATATCTAGCTGTGGGATGAGTCCTGGCTCCTTCACATGGCACACTGGCTTTTGGCTGATCTGGTTTCTACTTGATCTGATGCTTTAGCCTCAACTCTTCTTGGGACGGCATCGTGATCAAGAACCACTGGAGCGCCGCCAAAGCACAGTGCTCACTCTCACCTCTATCTTGGTCCTTTCCATTCCCCTTTCCTTCTCGTCCTATTCGTTAAGATGCAGCTCAGGCATAATTTTCTTCTTGGCCATCTTCCCTGAGATACCCTAGCCCCCTGAGCAGAGCTGCGTCTTAGCATCAATCTTTCTTACCGCTTTCTCTGCTCACCAGATTGTGGGGTCCTTAAATGCAAGAACTAATCACCTTTGTTATTCCTGCTATTTCTTGAATAAATTAATTAGTGGACAAATAAGAGATATCAGGAGACTCAGGATTAATATCTGTCCACATGTCCTTGGGCAAGTTGCTTTACCTCTCTAAGCCTGTGCATTATTTTTTAGTCAAATCTGTTTCATGCACACAATTTTTAAAAATCTCTATTTTGCCTAAGGGCCCCTGGAAGTATCAATGGTTGCATAGATTGGAACTGAAGACTGGGTCTGGGACTGAAGCTGCAAATAAGGAACTGGAGTCAGCGGATGAGTAGGACCAAGGTTGCTGCCTCCTCCCCAGGATGGCACAGCTTGCACAGGAAAGCATCCATATACTCGGGTTTGGTGTAGGAACCCTGGGTAAAGGTCCACAGAGAGACAATTTGGGGTTAGACACACATATTTTATTCATATTATTCTGTCCCTGCCTGCAGGAAGGCTATTATGTTTTTAAATTCCAAGAGCTCTTACTTATTTGCTGAAAGTTCTTTTTACAAGCACTCTGTTCTTGTTACGTGGATGTAAAATCTTCTCTTATCTCTCTTAATTATGTTGCTTACAATCATAATTAATGTTTGTTTTGTTCTCTGCCTTGTCTCTATTTCCTGTAAATTTCTTTTGGTCTCTTCCATTTAGGTTAGTGGTTTTCCTGAAGTGCCAAGAATATAAACCATTTATATTTATATTTATACATATTTAAGAATGAGGGACCAGAAGCTAATTGAGAAACCCATGTGCCTAGTGGCACTGTTGGGTGGCAAACCTCACCAAATCGCGATCTGGCAGCTGATTTGAGAGAGGCCCCATGTCAGCATAGGTCGGTCATGAGTCAGGTGCTGTTCTCTTCACCTCCATGCTCAGTATTCCTGGGTTAGTCTTCCTCTTTTCATTGGAGTTGTCAGTTTCTGTGATCCCCTGTCCTTCTAATTACCTGTCTGAGGTGAGGTAAACAAAGTAGAGAAGGGATTGGGAAGAGGGCTTTCAAAATTTCACTTAACCTTCTTGTCTTTGGTAGAGTATCTCACTGCTGCTCTCTGCCTTACCTGATGCCTCTAAGGCCAGAGCCCTTCTAGAACAATCTAGCCACAGTGCAAACTGCTTATCTTTTGCTTGGATGTGGGGTAGGTCAGTTGCTTAGTATCACTGGGCTGGAGGAGAGGATGGGGGTTTCTACATTCTCCATATAAGAACTTTCAATCAATCCCTTTATTTTAGCCCCACATTTTCTGAAATACCCAGTGCCTTCAATTACATTCTTTGGCCCTTTAAACCTTGCTTCTTGTTGGTTTCCACACCCATCTACTACCATCCAATTAAGCTGCATGTTTATCTCCTTTGATAATCTATCTCCAACAGCATTCTCTTTGTCTTGCTGGATATATGTCTTGAAAACCAATTTTACTGGCATTTTAGTGAAGTTTTATGGGGAGTGGGCAGAGACAGAGTTAAATGTACATTCTGCCATGTTGAACCAGAAGTTGGGCTAATTTCCTATCGTTCAACTTCCATTATTACTTTACAAATACTTTTTTTGGATTCAGTTAGTATACTTCCTGTGCCACTGAGTACTAGAAGTACATTGGTGACCACCACAGACACTGTTCTTTCCTCACAGTGCTTACCATCTAGTGGGGGAGATAGAGAATTAAATAGGAAATTTACAAATGAGAGGGGTTCTATGAAAGGCTAATAATTCAAGGCTTTGTGGAAGAAAGAACATCTCATCTAAGATGGTTTGGATAAGTAGTGGTTATTTAGGCAAAGAGGTGGCAGAAGATATTCCAGGCAGAAGAACAACAAATGTTAGAGTTTGAAAGTAAGAGAGTAAAGGCATATAGGAAGAATAAAAATAAACTCAAAATTACTGCAGGAAGCATTCCAGAGGGTAAGGTATGAAAAATGGGCTGGAGAGATGAGAAGGGACCAGATCCCACTGGGCCTCATAAGCCCTGATATTGGACTTTATTCTGAGGGTGGCAGGAAGCCACCAAATGCTCTAAGTACAAAAGTGACTAAATCATTTGTGCTTTTGGAGGTGTGTCAAACTGTTTTCTCTTCCTCCCAGTTTCGTGCTTGTTACTTTATACATGCTGAGTCTGTATTGTGAGGTGCATATAATTTCAATGATGGTTACATGGTTCTTGCTTACTGTCCTAGATTACTTTTGCCTTGAATTCCATTTTACCAGATATTGAAATTCATACTTTCCTTCTTAGACTCCTACTATCCAGATATTGGCATGTCTCCCAGGTTTCCTGTAATACTTCCTCTTTATCTCTTCCTACTTCTTTCTGTTAGAGATCCTCATATTTCAGCACCCTAATTCGTTATTTGGCTGTATCCTGTTGTTTTTCTGCCTATGGTGTTCCTGGTGTCAACTGTTACTTTTTCTTGTAATTAAAATCACTAATCTTTTCTCTCTTTTGATTTCCTGTTCCTTATTCATATTACCTACATAATCGCTTGTCTCTCTGAATATATATATTATGCTTATTTTAAAATCTTGATCTGTCTGTTACGATAGATCTGCTTCATGTAGTGTAAGTTGCTCAGCCTGTTATCTTTCTAGTGGTTGACTTCTTATGGTCCTCAGTCTTTGGGCTATAAACTCTGGTTCCTTTAGGGGCAACAGCTACTGTACCTGGTTGTCAATACTAACAAAGGAACTCAAATCCCACTCCTAAAGAGGGACAGGGTAAGCTCCAAGACATGGTGCTTCAGGTCTCACACAATGATAGCCCATCACCCCAATTTTTTGTCCTTCTATCAGGCCACAGCTTTAGTCGGGATCCTCCTTTAAATGCTCTGAAAAAAACAACTTAGGGAGGAAATAATCTCTATAGATAAGTTTTTCAATCTCTAGTGGCAACCCATTAATGGGTCACACAGTCAATTTAGTGAGTCAGCCAGCATTAAAGAGAGAATAGCATAGCATAGCACAGCACAGCACAGCACAGCATAGCATAGCATAGCATAGCATAGGTTGAAGTAGATAGAGGGCATCCCACCAGTAAGCACACTGTTTTATGAAACTTTCATGTATATGTACTGAGTCATCACATAAAATGTACTCCTTATTGCAAGTGATAGTCAAAATCAATTTGAAGAACAGTTTTTGACTGTGATCCACCAATGCAGAGGGTCTGTGGATGAGTGGGTGTAGAGGAGGTAGAGGGGTGAATGCTCTGGGCCAGTCAGCTAGTCAATTGATTCTGCTTATCAGTTCTTTACCCAGCAGGGCTTGAGCGTTGCTCTGCTCTCCCGCACCTCACACCTATCATCTGCTGATGCTGCTAACTCCTTTTCCAACATGGGACAGGTAATTATCCCTCAGAGGTTACGTGGGCAAGTGCAGAACTAAGAGCTTTCCCTCAACCTGTACTCCATCCATGCACCTGGTACCCCCTGCGCCGGGTTGGTTCCACCATGTATTTAGTCAACCAAAGGGTTCCCCACAGTTTCTATTTGAGTCCTCCAGATCCAGTCTTCCTTCTCGTTTTTGCTGTTCTTCCAGGTTGATTGTGTGGGAGGGAGCCGGAAGCCCAGGCTTGCTTTCATCTTTCAGAAGCAGAAGCCTTACCTGCAGTCCAGTTTGGAGCTGTGGTGGTCCTGTGCTGAGCTCCTTAGGGTCCCATATCCCTAGGGTCCCATGCTTCCGGCAGCCTTCAGCTCTCTCCGCCCCACTCAGCCCTTCCCTCAGCACATCTTCGTGCTGGGTTTCTCTCCTTTTCTCCATGCACTGTTTTGACTTCTGCCTTTGTCCGTGACTATTAGAAACCTCAGGCCCCAGCCAGCAGGAAAATTTATAGCTAAACAATTACATTGTTGAAACCCTGACAAGTCCACTCTGGTTAATGGCTCTGAAAATATAGGAGAGGTGTGAACAACTAAATCTATTAGGCTCCATATCGTGGGCCTGCAAAGACAGACTTGTAGAACCCGGTATTTGATGGACATTTCTCGTTCTTTTTCTCCTGTGTTGTTCTAAATGCTACTCTCGCTCAACATGGATTCATTACCTGGAGAATGGCTTGGATATTTGGATAATCGTCTTCTAAATAGTTTCTTTTTTCCCCTTTCCTCTTATGATATTTTGGAACTCAACCAACAATAATGCAACAGGCAGGCAACCGACTGAGGAAAAAAGCAAATAGTGCTGGGTTACATTAGGAAATTATCGTGTATTAGATGCAGGTGGGATTCCTTGACTTCCCAGCCTGGTGGAAAGCTTTTAATAAAGAAGCTTGAGAAAGGAGTGCTTTAGAAGAGGTGGTGTCATGGAATCTAGGGAGGAAAAGAGAAGGTTAGAGGACTCAGTGATCAAAGTCCAAACCCTGTGGTTTGGACAGGTACATGGTGGGCAAATAAGCCATGAGTAACTTGAAGAATGGGGCCCTCGCCTTACCGGGGTATCAAATCATTGGTCCCAATTCTCTGCTCCTTTGTGGTAGCATTATACCTGCACACCCTTGCCATGACCTTGCATGACCTTGCCATGACAGGTGGAGAATACTTCCCTACTCCTTGACTTTAGGCTTGGCCAAGCGAATCACTTCGGCCAATGGGAGGCTAGTGGATGTGATGTGAGATTATGCTCACCCCCTTGTGCTCCTGCCTTTTTTCATGAGAAGAAAACACCTGATCCAAGTGCTCATCCAGAGACGACGAGAGACATGTGGAGGAGCTCTAAACCCAACCCACAGGTTGGAGCCAACCTCAGCTTAGCTGAAGCTCAGCCTACATCAGCAGCCAAACCCCTCCCACTCACAGATGTAAGAGGGGAAAAAAAGCCTTTTGTTGCTTTCCACTGAGATTGTTTTTGTGTGTGGTTGCGTTTGCAATGCAGCACACCTGACCTGCATTCCCTGAACAGGGTTGCCCTTGGACAAATGAGGGAGGCATACACTTCTGTTTTTTAAGAGGTTGATGCCTAAGAAGTGGAGCTGGTTTCAGTACCCAGGAAAAAATGTAAACTGTTGCTTTCTGTGGGAAGATGTTGGCAAAGGATACAAATTTGCAATTTATAAGATGAATAAAACCTAATATACATTGTGATGGTTATAGTAAATAATAATGTATTATATACTTGAAATTTGCCAAGAGAGTAGATCTGAAGTATTAATACACCCATGCAAACACACACACACACACACACACACACACACACACACACACACACTCACAAAGGTGAGGGATATGTTAATTGGCTTGATTGCGGTCATTTCAGTGTATACGTATGTCAAAACATCACATTGTACACCTTGAATACGTACACTTTTTGTCAGTTCTACCTCAATAAAGCTGGGGAAAAAAATGACCAATCCAAAGGTGTGCCATTCTCTCCAAGGTGTGAATCTAGAGGGCAGAGCAGGAACTCAGCCTCCAGCTCTTGCTGAGGCACGGCAGGGAGAATTGAGGTATGGGGTCTAGTGACAAGCAGGGAAACAGCATTTCAGAACATTGCTTATGGTCGGTGGTTGAAGTGAAAGCCACTGGCTGATCTGCATGCAGTTGTGCCAAGAAAAAGAAAAAACGTTCTGAGCACTTTTATGGACATGGCTTGGTTAAGAGTGAGCAGGAAGTCCACTTGGCCTCTGCTGATGGGGCTTCTCTATCAACTCTGGAAGTTTTAGTGATTTGATTTGACAGATACCAGGGGTCAATCTTCAATACTTAGCACTGTGCTAAACAAATAGGAGCTGTTCAAGAAATCAACTTGTGACTGATAGATTATCAGGAAACTTATTAAACCTAGTCATAGCACCACCATTAATTAATTACATGACCCCAGGATAAAAGCTTCACCTCTCCGTTCCCTCACATGGAATGAGCATGATACCATTTGGTGCCCTTGGCCTCTGTAACTGTTCAAAGGGTAAGATGAGATGAAGGTGGAAAAAGTCTGCAGTGGGTCAGAAGTGACTGGTTACAGGTCTTTCCCCACAGGTGCTGCTATTTTGGGTGTTTTGTACTTGTGGAGCAGAAAGAATGCTGAATCAGGAAGGCAGGTGATTCAAGACTAAGCTCGGCCTTGAAGGGGTCACCACTAGATATTTTCCCTTATGATCTCTGCAGGAAAATAGACCAAGGAGGTAATGGTTAAATTGCTTTGTACTTTTACTGCTCTAACCTATAAGGCCAAGTTAAGTTCCTGGATTAAGAAATCAAGCTTTTTATTGCACCCTAAATTGAATGGTGGGAGTCCTGATTTGACCAATCATTGTTTTGTAAAAGCAGATCCTCAGCTGGCTGCATTGTAGGACTACAACCAGCAACATCTCTGATCCACGGGCCATCTGACTCTTCTGAAAGATCCCCAGTGGCCTGGTGTTACGGTTTGAATTGTATCCATCCCCAGCTCCAATTCGTACGTGGAAATCCTAACTACCAGTACATAGAATGTGACCTTATTTGGAGCTAGGGTCTTCACAGACAAAATCAAGTTAAAATGAGGTAATTAGGATGATCCCTAATCCAATACAGCTGGTGTCCTTATAAAGGAGGGAAATGTGGAGACAATTATTCACTTAGAGAGAACACCGTGTGAGGATGAAGGCAGAGATCAGGTGATGCTTCTGTAAATCAAAGAGCACCAAAGATTGGAGTGAGTTGGATGAAGGCAAGAAGCAAACGAACAAAGAACACCAAAGATTGTCCGCAAATCACCAGAAGCCGGGAGAGAGGCCTGGAGCCGATTCTTTCTGGGTAAGGAACCAAATCTGCCAACACTTTGCTTTTGGACTTCTAATCTCCAGAACTGTGAGACGATAATTCTATTGTTCAAGCCACTCAGTTTGTGGCACTTCGTTAGAGCAGATTTAGCAACCTGATACGCATGGAATCTCTGTTTATGAAAAAGCTGGTTCTTTGTATGACTAGCAGAGACTTACACAATGCTTACAATTTAGCAGGCACTGTCCTAGGCACTTATATTAACTCCTTTATTCCTCTTAAGAATCCTAGAAAGTAGCAGCTCATAGTATCCTCATTTTGCACATGAGGAAACTGAGGCACAGAGGGATTCAATAACCTGCCCAAAGTTATCATGTCACTGTGTGATAAAACCAGAAACCTTCCATGCTTGTGATGTGGGGCACTTCTCATGGCATCAGCTTCTTCTTACAAAAAGCTGAAATCTGCTGCCTTGGAATAAGAGGAGTGACTTTATTTTCTGCTCTATAGGATGGCCTCTCTGCTGCATTTATGCTATGGCTTCTGGAGCCTTTACCCTCTCAGGCACTCTCCACTGAGTACCTCTTACTTTGTCAACATCACTATTAATTACCTCAGTGATCCAGAACAAAGGCAGGTCCCCAGATGTGGTCTGATTCAATTGGGAAATGGTCTAAATATTATAGTGATCGCTAATCATTTTATTGGTTTTTTTCCCCCAGTATGTTAGGGCTTTTGTGTGTATGTATGTGCATGTGTATATATGTGCCTGTTGGTATTTGTATTATATTCCAATATTTTAAAACTTGGTTTGCCCATAGTTCTTTTTTATTTCTGTTAAGCTTCTTAATTGTTTTCTACGTCTTTTTCTCTATCTCTAAAATATTGAATCATGCTCAGCTCAAAAGGCCATGCCTTATTCCTGGCTTGATCTAACCAAGACGAGCACTATTAAATCTCCTTCTCTGTGACCTTCCCCGGGTGATGCAGCAAGTCAAAAATTCCAATCTACTCATCTTTCGTGAGATCTTGGAAGATCCTCGCTTATGAGAAGTGTTCTCCAGCCTGGGAGAGAAAGGAAAGCTAAATCAGTGTTCTTAGCGGTTAACCTAGGACTCTGGGATTCTTTATACATCTTTGTCTCTGCGCCCCTATCTAGTAGAAATACTGTGTCCCAAAGACAGCTCAAATCTCCTTCTTTTCCATGGTGGGTGACTTCTGTCTTCTTGAAGGCATTTGGGCTTTTCTGCTGCCCCCAGGCTGTATCTCTCTGACCATAGTCAGTAGTTACTGCTTCTGTTTTTGCTGATGTGGGGCATGTCTTTGCTTCTAGTGATTTTATAGTTCTCTAACAAGCTCTGATAAAGTTTCATCTGCCTATTAAGTTTATTTGCAGCCGTCTCTCTTGCGGAACTTAGAATCCATTTTCCTGGGACTAGGTGGAAGCACATAGGCTTACACTTAGAAACACTCCTTCCTGCGAGTAGCGGGCCACCTCTCCTACCCAAAGTTCAGACACGCCATCAGAGCCAACATTCTTCTCATCACTTCTGGGAAGCCCAGTGGGTTCTAACATGGACATTGTCAGTTGCTTTCTAGCATCAATTCATTCTTTCTTGCTTGCTAATGGAACCCAGATTTTCTTTGGATATTCAACCCTTATACCCAATGCAGCCCAATAACTCAAGAAAGGTTCATCAAATCTCTCAGAGGTGAGTCTGGATGCATCCAAGCCATCTCCCTTACTGGTCAGGGCTTAAGACAATCCATGCTTGATAGTTCCCTGGCAACTATTGGCACAGTGTTGGGCATGAGAACTCATGGGTCAAATAAGACTGAAGAGAAGGATTTTTGTTCTATGGTTGGGAGAGTTTTTGTCCCTTGCTCACTGAACATGAACAAGAAAAAATGTAGCTCTAGATGCTGTTGACAGTCAATTTGCAATCGTGAGGAAAGCCAGCCTGGTACAACACCAGCACATGCAGAAGGGCCAAGCTGGGAACATTTCAGAGCAACAGAGCCCAGGCTATGATGTGCCTAGACTTTCTGCTATGTGGGGTAATACATTTTTTTTTATTGTTTGCACCTCTGTGGGTCTAACACATCTTAATTGACACAGAACCTTAAAGAAAATAAGAATCCTGTGGTCTTGCCAGGTATAGTAGAGCTTCTGAGGTAGGTTTGCATGGGGAAAACTCAGATTTTCAATGTTGGCTGTATTTGTATAATGCAGTTAAAGTGTTTACTTCTTATTGATTACTTTAAAAAAAAAAACCCAGGACAGAGATGCTCACTGCATCCTCGAATGACTCTTCTCCACTGATCTAATATTTTATTCCTGATATTTTATCTGAATATTCTACCTCTCTTAACTAAAGAGTAGAAATGGTCACTTTACAAACTGAACATGTCTTATAAGTAATACATAACTAAAAGAACCTTTAAAATCCCTCAAAAACCTGCTCTTGATTTTGTAAAATTGTCTAAATTACATTGGAAAAGGGAAATATTTAGTTTTGGGGGGACTGCATATATGACTAAAACAGAAAAAGAAAAATCATGACCTTTCATTTCTAGACAACTGCCCTTAGGAAAGGTATTTCGTGTCTTCCTCACAAAAAATGTAAATATGCTTTGTAATATGTCACATCTCTGTTGACTTGGAGAATGAGGGGCTTTATGCTATAAAATGATTATTTCCAACATTTCTAATCAAGTGAGTTATGTATGGTCCAAATGGGTTTGATGCAGAATCAATTCATGGCTTCATAGCAGGTCACATGAGTTTCCAAGTTTTAGATGTTCGGTCTCTCTTCTTTTGTGACAGCTTCATTTTAATGCGTAAGGACTGGTAGCCCGGGGTTTCCTGAATTCCAAGTTATCTTTGGGTAATATAAAGCTTCATCAGTATTTTTGACCTGGGCCTGGGGTCATTTGCTTTTGTAAAGCAAAGAAGGGCTAATTCTTGTAAAGAATAAACTTTTCTAGTTTTATTTCAAGTAATCAAAGTATAACTTCTAGGTTTTATTTTAGCAAAATTTATATATCTGTGGAGAGTGTACGCATGTGTATGTCTAAGTACACGCATGCGTGAGCTTTTTATAAACCAGTAACAAACATCTTAAGAGATGTGGTAACATAGAATGGACCGTGCATTCTTGAGTGAGAGACAAATCATTCTTCTCAGGTGGAATCTTTTATTTATGCTTTGGGATTCCATTTTTCCGAGAAAGCTTTGGTTTTCCTTTTTGGCTTTGTCTAAGCTGTGCTTTAGCAAGTAATTCAAATCAAGCTGACATTTATTAGTGAGGACATGGTCCACTCCAACCTTATACTCACAGTCCAGCTGCTGCCATACAAATTTTGCTGTGGACTTTCCTATTTGTGACTAAGTGTGTGTAATGGCAATGGTGTATGGTTGCAGATTTACTGTCTCTAAGTCAATGGAATGAAATCACTGTGCACTCCCATGCCATAAGAATTAGGTATCAGGGGTTTTTATTTTGTCATTAAAAGAATGACAACTTAAAATCTGAGCAATTAGATAGGGTTATCATAGGAATACAAGGTTTTTAGTAATGGGTCCTATGTTGAGAATGTTCCTATTTTCTAAGACATTTCCACACTCTTAACACTTTATCCTCGCGATAATCCTGGAAGTCAGTAAAGCATACACTGTTATCCCTGCCTTATAGTTGAACCACACAACTCAGGGAAGCAAAGTAGTTTTTCCCAAGGTCACTCAGTGAAAAAGTGGCCAGTCTTGGGACTTACACTCGTAGCTTCTGGGTTCTACTCTCTTTCTACCACAGAGAGAACCAAAGTTGGAAACAGTACTCTGAGATCACATCCAGAATATTTCCTCTTGAAATTGTCAAGAATTGTTCCTTACATTGACATTTAAATATATTCCATTGAGATTTTCAATAACTACCATTGTTGGAAAGTGATATATTTATTTGGGTACCTTGGCTGGTGTGATGGTTAAATCATTTCTGTGTTGTTAAGGGCTTTTTAGGACGAGGGTGGAGATGGTTCTAGAAAGACCTAGCCACACATTCCTATCTTTCTTAAAGGCCCAGAAATTCATATTCCCTGGGGATGGAACCTCTTAGGTTCAGGTGTTGAAAGGCCCTTCCAGTGGTGTTAGCTCCCCTAATGGAAGAGTTGAAAAGTTTCAACGATCTTTCTGCATCTAAGAGATATTATTTTGTCCTGATAGTCATATCTCCTGGAATTCCCTCTTGTGATTTCAAGAACTCGCTGAGTTAACCATTTTTTGAGTGTCTATTACAGGCTGCAGGGCTCAGTCCTCCCTTTGGTGATCTCACCATGTTTTCTTGTTTGCAGGAACTGTATTTGGGAGCAAACAGTCGATTTTGCTAAGATAAGTGGTAGACTAAAGACACTGAAACATGGTTTTTCTACTTGAGTTACTCTGCTCTTACAGAATATCCCATTGAGTGAATGCTGGATGCAGGTGGTTCCTTTTAAACCTGAATCAATATGTTCCAGAAGTTGAGCTATTAACGTTTGAAATCTGTAAAGCAGAATACTTAAAGTAAAAGCTGCTTCTTTAAATTGCGGAAACAGTTATCTTTTGGTCTTGAGTGCCATTTTTGTTTAACTCTGAGGAGTACCCCCTTGGTGGCTGACTGCTCCCTATCCTCAGCTCCTGATCATTTCTCTTTCTCTCTCTGTCTTTGGCTGCCTGCCTTCCCTGTACCTTAGATACCCAAGAAGTCCCTTCTAGGGCTGTGTAACTTGCTACCTTTCTTGTGTTCCTCTCTCTACTTGGCATTCCGCACCTCTTCATCCCAGTATTCCTGTTGTCCTCTTTGTCTACCTCATATTCATGGCTCAGCTTGAGAGCAACAACAGTAGCAACAATTTATTAAACCTCCATGTAATTGAAGTCCATGCATTTTGGTAATTGGCCCAGCATTGCCAATTAGAAAGTGGCCAATTAGAGAGCTAGAAAGTATACTATTTGAACCCAGACTACCCGCTTTCCAATTTGCCATGGCGCCTCCTCAAACTTCCTACTGCCTATGTCCATCAATGATGAATACCTCCGGGCTGCCATGGGGGCCCCCAGGAAGCAGGCCTGAGATAAACTCTGTCAATTCACATAGTCACAGAAGATTGGATCCAGGCAGGGTTTTGGGTGTCATCTAACCCAATTCCTTCATTTAACAGATGGAAAAACTGAGGTGGGAGAATCCAGAAGGCCGGTGAGGTAAGGCAGCGTGGTAGAGTAGAATGAACATGGAATTTCCTGACAGTCCAGGGTTCCAATCCAAACTGGTAACCAGTCAAGGGGCCTTGACCAACTCACTTAATCTCTTTGAGCATCAGTTTCATTTGCTATGAAATGAAAATCATAACACCTAAAAATTATGTGTGTATAGTGCCTACTTTTGGTAGGTTTTAAGAACTGATGCCTATTACATTATGACAACCAGTCTAGTAGCCACCTTGCTTGGATCCTGGGAGGGGCCCTACTGAACTGGAGGGCAGCATGTCAGCCTGTGCCAGGCAGGGGAAATAAGGAGGTAGCTCATGTGCCCCTTGTCCTCTTATCTATCGACACTCCATCCATAAATGATCTTGTCCCATTCCAATGGCTTGCTGTATTTGTCAGAGCTTGGTCAGGGAAACAGAAGCTACATGAAGTATTATAAGCAGTAATGTTTTAATTCAGAGAAGTAGAGTCTTACGACACTGTTGGAAGGGCTGGGAGCTAGGGTAGGGGGAACTCAAGCTGCTGACCTCAGCTGCATGTAGCACTGAAATGGGTCATTCTCAAATGCCTGTCCTGAAGTCACTGTAATTTCAAGAGTCTGTAGGAAGCCAGTGCCACTGGCCTACAGCTCCAAGACAGGCAATTCGCTGAGCTTGCCTGGAAACCTCTGCAGCCAGTGACTGAACACAGGTCTGCCAGGAACCGATGCTGGAGAACGCTGGTTCCAAATCTTGTGCAAGGGCTCTTAGTGGCTGACTCTAACTCACAGCTACACTGGGAAGATTTCTGGGAAATGTGTTTCCAGGTCCTCCCCTGTGATGCAGACAGAATGTGGCAGGAGGTGGTATTGATGCCAAATTATCAGCCCACAAACAAACATGAACATTATTCCTTTTTAAAACATTTTTTCATTCTTCACTGCATGCAATAAACACTTATAGTGCCCAAGACTGTGTGAGACCTAGTCTGTATGATTATCACAAATATAATAGAGACCACAAACATGAATGGGAGTGAGAAGGGGAATGTGGTACTCTTTATTCTCTTTTAAAAATTGCCTTTTTATCAGGAATATTGGCCTGAAATTTTTTTATTGTTACGTCTCTGCCAGGTTTTGGTATAAGGATGATGCTGGTCTCATAAAATGAGTTAGGGAGAAGTTTCTCTTTTTCTGTTGTTTGGAATAGTTTCACCAGCTCCTTTTTGTGCCTCTGTGGCTCACCGGCTGTGAGTCCGTCTGGTCCTGGACTTTTTTTGATTTGTAGGCTATTAATTACTGCCTCAATTTTAGAGCTTGTTACTGGTCTATTCAGGGATTCGACTTCTTCCTGGTTTAGTCTTGGGAAGGGTGTATGCATCCAGGAATTTATCCATTTCGTCTAGATTTTCTAGTTTATTTGCATAGAGGTATTTATAGTATTCTCTGATACTAGTTTGTATTTCTATGGGATCAGTGGTAATATCCCCTTTATCATTTTTTTTTTTTTTGAGATGGGGTCTTGCTCTGTTGATGAGGCTGGAGTGCAGTGGCACAATCTTGGCTCACTGCAACCTCTACCTCTTGGGTTCAGGTGATTCTCCTGCCTCAGCCTCCCAAGTAGCTGGGATTACAGGTGTGCACCACCACACCTGGCTAATTTTTGTATTTTTAGTAGAGATGGGGTTTCATCACATTGGTCAGGCTGGTCTCGAACTCCTGACCTTGTGATCTGCCCGCCTCAGCCTCCCTATCATTTTTTATTGTGTCTATTTGATTCTTCTCTCTTTTCTTCTTTATTAGTCTGGCTAGCAGTCTGTCTATTTTGTTAATATTTTAAGAAAAAACAGCTCCTAGATTCATTGAGTTTTTGAAGGGTTTTCATGTCTCTATCTCCTTCAGTTTGGCTCCGATCTTAGTTATTTCTTGTCTTCTGCTAGCTTTTGAGTTTGTTTGCTCTTGCTTCTCTAGTTCATTTAATTGTGATGTTAGGGTTTTAGATCTTTCTAAATGTTTGATAATAGTTCTTTCCTGCTTTCTGCTGTGGGCATTTAGTGCTATAAATTTCCCTCTAAACACTGCTTTAGCTGTGTCACAGAGATTCTGGTATGTTGTGTCTTTGTTCTCATTGGTTTTAAAAACTTATTTATTTCTTCCTTGATTTCATTATTTACCCAGTAGTCTTTCAGGAGCAGGTTGTTCAGTTTCCATGTAGTTGTGCGGTTTTGAGTGAGTTTCTTCATCCTGAGTTCTAATTTGATTGCACTGTGGTCTGAGAGACTGTTTGTTACAATTTCCATTCTTTTGCATTTGCTGAGGAGTGCTTTACTTCCAATTATGTGGTCAATTTTAGAATAAGTGTGATGTGGTGCTGAAAAGATTGTACATTCTGTTGATTTGGGGTGGAGAGTTCTGTAGATGTCTATTAGGTGTTCTTGGTCCAGAGCTGAGTTCAAATCCTGGATATCCTTGTTAATTTTCTGTCTCGTTGTTCTGTCTAATATTGACAGTGGGGTGTTAAAGCCTCCCACTATTATTGTGTGGGAGGCTAAGTCTCTTTGTAGGTCTCTAAGAACTTGCTTTATGAATCTGGGTGCCCTGTATTGGCTGCAAATATATTTAGGATAATTAGCTCTTCTTGTTGCATTGATCCCTTTGCCATTATGTAATGCCCTTCTTTGTCTTTTTTGATCTTTGTTGGTTTAAAGTCTGTTTTATCAGAGACTAGGATTGCAACTCCTGCTTTTTTTTTTTTTTTTTTTTTTGCTTTCCATTTGCTTGGTAAATCTTCCTCCATCCCTTTATTTTGAGCCAATGTGTATGTCTTTGCATGTGAGATGGGTCTGTTGAATACAGCACACTGATGGGTCTTGACTCTTTATCCAATTTGCCAGTCTGTGTCTTCTAATTGGGGCATTTAGCCCATTTACATTTAAGGTTAATATTGTTATGTATGGATTTGATCCTGTCATTATGATGCTAGCTGGTTATTTTGCCCTTTAGTTGATGCAGTTTCTTCATAGTGTCAATGGTCATTATAGTTTGGTATGTTTTTGCAGTGGCTGGTCCCGGTGATGACAAAATCTCTCAGCATTTGCTTGTCTGTAAAGGATTTTATTTCTTCTTTGCTTATGAAGCTTAGTTTGTGAAAATCCTCAATAAAATACTGGCAAACGAAATCCAGCAGCCCGTTAAAAAGCTTATCCACCACGATCAACTTGGCTTCATCCCTGGGATGCAAGGCTGGTTCAACATATGCAAATCAATAAATGTAATCCATAACATAAACAGACCCAATGACAAAAACCACATGATTATCTCAATAGATGCAGAAAAGGCCTTTGATAAAATTCAACTCTGCTTCATGCTAAAAACTCTCAATAAACTAGGTATTGATGGAACGTATCTCAAAATAATAAGAGCTGTTTATGACACACCCACAGCCAATATCATACTGAATGGGCAAAAGCTGTAAATTTTGCCTTTGAAAACTGGCACAAGACAAGGATGCCCTCTCACCACTCCTATTCAACATAGTACTGGAAGTTCTGGCCAGGGCAATCAGGCAAGAGAAAGAAATAAATGTATTCAGATAGGAAGAGAGGAAGTCAGATTATCTCTGTTTGCAAATGACATGATTGTATATTTAGAAAACCCCATTGTCTCAGCCCAAAATCTCCTTAAGCTGATAAGCAACTTCAGCAAAGTCTCAGGGTACAAAATCAATGTGCAAAAATCACAAGCATTCTTATACACCAATAACAGAGACCAAATCATGAGTGAACTCCCATTCACAATTGCTACAAAGGGAATAAAATACCTAGGAATCCAACTGACAAGGGACGTGAAGGACTTCTTCAAGGAGAACTA
Organism: Homo sapiens; assembly: GCF_000001405.40. Lineage (NCBI taxonomy): Eukaryota > Metazoa > Chordata > Mammalia > Primates > Hominidae > Homo > Homo sapiens. Next base: position 16,088,685 of record NC_000009.12, read on the forward strand.
CAAACCACTGCTGAAGGAAATAAGAGAGGATACAAACAAATGGAAAAACATTCCATGCTCATGGATAGGAAGAATCAATATTGTAAAAATGCCATACTGCCCAAAGTAATTTATAGATTCATTGCCATCCTCATCAAGCTACCATTGATTTTCTCCACAGAATTAGAATAAACTATTTTAAATTTCATATGGAATCAAAACAGAGCCCGTATAGCCAAGACAATCCTAAGCAAAAAGAACGAAGCTGGAGGCATCTTGCTACCTGACTTCAAACTATACTACAAGGCTACAGTAACCAAAACAGCATGGTACTGGTACCAAAACAGATATATAGACCAATGGAACAGAACAGAGGCCTCAGAAATAACACCACACAGCTACAACAATCTGATCTTTGATAAACCTGACAAAAACAAGCAATGGGGAAAATATTCCCTATTTAATAAATGGTGTTGGGAAAACTGGCTAGCCATGTGCAGAAAACTGAAACTGGACCCCTTCTTTACATCTTATAAAAAATTAACACAAGATAGATTATAGACTTAAACATAAGACCTAAAACCATAAAAACTCTAGAAGAAAACCTAGGCAATACTATTCAGGATATAGCCATGGGCAAAAGTTTTCTCCCATTCTGTAGGTTGCCTGTTCACTCTGATGGTAGTTTCTTTTGCTGTGCAGAAGCTCTTAAGTTTAATTAGATCCCATCTGTCAATTTTGGCTTTTGTTGCCATTGCTTTTGGTGTTTTAGTCATGAAGTCATTGCCCATGCCTATATCCTGAATAGTATTGCCTAGGTTTTCTTCTAGAGTTTTTATGGTTTTAGGTCTTATGTTTAAGTCTATAATCTATCTTGTGTTAATTTTTTTATAAGGTGTAAAGAAGGGGTCCAGTTTCAGTTTTCTGCACATGGCTAGCCAGTTTTCCCAACACCATTTATTAAATAGGGAATATTTTCCCCATTGCTTGTTTTTGTCAGAAAACTTTTGCAATCTATCCATCTGGCAAAGGGCTAATATCCAGAATCTACAAAGAACTTAAACAAATTTACAAGAAAAAAAAAACCCATCAAAAAATGGGCAAAGGATATGAACAGACACTTCTCAAGACATTTATGCACTCAAGAAACATGAAAAAAAGCTTAACACCACTGGTCACTAGAGAAATGCAATCAAAACCACAATGAGATATCATCCCATGCCAGTAGGATGGAGATCATTAAAAGTCAGGAAACAACAAATGCTGGAGAGGATGTGGAGAAATAGGAAAGCTTTGACACTGTTGATGGGTGTGTAAATTAGTTCAACCATTGTGGAAGACAGTGTGGCAATTCCTCAGGGATCTAGAACCAGAAATACCGTTTGACCCAGCAATCTCATTACTGGGTATATACCCAAAGGATTATAAATCATTCTACTATAAAGACACATGCACACGTATGTTTATTGCAGCATTGTTCACAATAGCAACGATTTGGAACTAACCCAAATGCCCATCAATGATAGAATGGATAAAGAAAATGTGACACATATACACCATGGAATATGAAGCAGCCATATAAAAGGATGAGTTCATGTCCTTTGCAGGGACATAAATGAAGTTGGAAACCATCAGTCTCAGCAAACTAACACAGGAACAGAAAAACACTGCATGTTCTCACTCATAAGTGGGAGCTGAACAATGAAAACACATGGACACAGGGAGGGGAACATCACACACCGGGGCCTGTTAGGGGGTGGGGGGCTAGTGGAGGGACAGCATTAGGAGAAATACCTAATGTAGATGATGGGTTGATAGATGTAGCAAACCACCATGGCACGTGTATACCCATGTAACAAACCTGCACGTTCTGCATATGTATCCCAGAACTTAAAGTATAATTTAAAAAATGCTCTTTTAGCACAAAAGTATGGAAATAAAAATGAAAGAGAAGGAAACCAATGGTGGCCTCACTTTTATCTACCTGTCCCCAAAGCAAACAACTTCTCACCATGAAGTTTATTTTTTTAAAAATTAGTCATTCCAGTTATTCATTGAGCCTTTATGAAGCCTAACATGAGTTTCAAATATTGGCTAAGAGTAGGAGCTATATTCTGATATAAAGAGACTCTTAATAATTTCCAAAATGTCTGATGCAGTGAAGCCCTTTCAGCGAATTAATACAATGAAGAAAAATAGCATTCCTTTTAAGAGGGATGATCAGGACAATAGGAGAAGTAATTCTCGAAAGTTGAGACATGTGTCCTGGTTCTTAACTCTGACCATATCTTTTTTCCACCCTCTTTCTTCATTTTCTTGTTCTGCAGTTCTCTTTTCTGTCCTCTGCCTACTTGTGCCATTTGCTCTTCCCTTTCTAACAGACTTGGCCATAGCCAGTGATGGTCACCCCCCACCCAGGAATGCTGATTGTGTGACTGTAAATCATTTGCAAATCACATGATTAGCTGCCTGGAGCTGCCTGATTAGTCTGCTAGGCCTCAGAATGTGTCCTCCTTGAACCCCTCCTCCATCCCACATACATCTTTGTCACTGGATTTCAAATACAGATAGTGCACAGGAAGAGATAAGAGCCATTTTTTTCCAGTATCCTCTCCACCCTCACCCCACACTCACCATTCTACCCAATGGAAAAGAAATGAGATAATTAGAATTCTTCTTTCATTAGAAAATTTGCAAGATGAGACCCAAGAGGTGGAGCATGCCAGATGTTGTGGAGAGCATGACTGCTCAGTCCCTTTGGCCATACATGCTGAAGTCATGAAATTGGGAAATCTGACTCAGGAGTCACCATCTAGTGTAGGAGCTGACAAAGCACCAAATGCTCTGGGACAACTGGTCAACCTGCCAGTCCCTGGAGCACAGGCCTGGTGTGAGTTTGCTCTCAGGTCGTGATCAGTCAGAGGGGAACGGGAGAGTTGGGGCTCCTTCTGCACATTCTAGGAAACCCTGAAAGGCTCAGATTCAAGGTGAGCTGTGAGCTGGGAATACCTGCAGTTGCAAGGGAAGGCCTGTTGATATTTCTGATTCTTCCTGAGTGCCTGGAGTCTACCTCCAGGTGAATGGTAGAGTACCTTGGATGCATATGTCTCTTTTAGGTGTCAGAGGAATAAGATACGATGCTCTAATAGGTTTCAATGACAGAATGTGAGAAAGAACATACTTCTATGCCTTTTCTGTTACAGCTATATCTTTTTTAAAATTACGATGTGAGTGAGTCATCACTTTCTAAAAAATGAACAAAGACATAAGAGGGAACAAGGTTTTAAATACAGGCTCTGGGCTCAGCTTGTTCCTCACTGAGCCCAATTCCAATCAGTTCTTGGTCTGTCCTAAGCTGTTGTTCCAGGTCTAAGTGGTACATTTATCCCAATTTTTAAAAATAGATTCAGAAAGTTTGAGCTCTGTGCTACTTTTCTCCAGTCTTGACACAACTTGGAAAAGCAAATAGGATCTGCCTCCTCAGCTTTGCTTATCAGCTCTGGGACCACTCCAGGTTTCCTTCATTCCCTAAAGCCTGGAATGTCCTTTCAGGCTCACATGGAGAGACATTCCTCAGACAAGGGGTCCTCTAATCAATATCACCCAGGTGGCCTGACTCTCAAATGAGTTCAGGTTGCAATCACTTGGGAAGCTTGTTCGAAATGCAGATTCCAGGCTGCCAGCTCCAAAGGTGTGGGTGGCCCCCTCAGGCACCTTTAGTGTGTTTCCAGGTGAGTCTGACAGAGTTGCTGAGATGCGCTGGTCTGCCTGGGACAGCTGCATCGGGAACTGTTTTCTGCAGTGATGCTTCTGCTCCACTTCCCCCTTTGTTTCCCACTGCTCCCCACCCCGCCGCCCAAGCAGGTGCAGACATTTGCTAACAGAGGTTCTTTGCTATATGTCATAGCACTTTACAACTAGCTTTCTGCAGAACACTTGAAAAAAAAGGAGTTCAACCTAAACATAGCCAAACAACTTTTACCAGAGCAGTGAAGGGATTTCCTCACTGGGCTCTGCTCTGAGGCAGATCTGAGGAGCTCTGTTCACTCTGGGTCCTTTTGCAAGTTTACCCTGGGCTCACCTTTGGCAAGATTCACCCTACAAGAGATCTGGACCACCATGTGGGATCTGGTCTCCATGGACTGTCACGCTGGCTTATTTCAGACCTGTGTCCCCAGGGGTGGGTGGGAGCTGGCTGAAGCCTCAGGCCAGCTGGGTAGCAGAGCCTCGTGCCCGGCTGGCCCTGTGCAGCCTGGTGGCCTTCTGAGCTCTGCAACATGGGTGGTCCTCGTGCTGGCAGAGCACAAGGCTGTGGGAGTTCATGGGCCCCTCTGGGGGACATGACGAATGGCCTTGCTGACAAAACGTGGTCTGCTTTCCATCTCTGAGCTATGAACGGTTTCATTTTCAAAGCAGGAAAACAAACCACGGGAACCAGACACAACACACCCAGGCCACAAACGATATAGCCATTTTCTCGTCTCAAATAAGGGACCTGCAAAGGTAAAAGAAAAACGGCTTTGTTAGAATTCTTTGATGAAAAGCAAATACGGAAAACTCAACCGGAGGTTGTAATGAGACTTCCTTTGCCTTCCCTCACTGATCCTTATCCTGACCTGGTGGAGTCCCAGTCCTCTGTGGTGGGCCAACCTACCTGATACTGACCTTCAGGGGCTTCCCACAGGCCACTGTGGAGGTGGGAGAGGCAGGGAGTAGGGGGCGGTGCTCTCAGTCCCTCTGCACCCCACCAGCCCCATTTCTATCTGATTCATTTAATACACTTCCACTAACATTTCTTTTGAAGGAAAGGTTGAGCATCTGAAGAACGTTTGAAATATTCTAGTCTAGTCTGATCTCACATGCATTCTAATGAGTGGCTCCAGTGAAGAAAGAAGGAGAAAAGAATAGTAATTTAAGAAGAAGTGCATTGATTTCTGTGCCTCTTCTCTCTCTGATGTTGCCCACTGTTTCCCTTTAACCATTTGTTCCTTGCTTTAAGGGTATGTGTGATAACTTAAGGCTGAGTTCTTAAGAGTGAGAAAGAACTAGCCAAAAATTATGTCTCTGTATCTTGTGAATGACAGGACAAGCATGCCAGCTAACCAACATAAGTGAGTACCCTGCCTCTCAGCCTCTAGCAGTCGGCACATAGACCCATATGCCACAACTAGCTCGTGGATATAGAGCCTATCCTGTGTTCCTATAGTAATATAGGAAATATAATAGATAAATTGGGGTAGCTGCCAGATTGATAATGTCTCACGCTTCTATGGCCCCCCACTGAGTGCTCCCCGTTGGCCATGTGTGGCTTTGTTTCCCTAGCCATAGTTAATTGAGCCAAACTGGGCCAATGGATTCTTTCTCTTGCTAGTGGCTAAGAGCATGGACTCAGGCTAAGCCAGGAGGCATAGTAAGAGGTTGGACGATAAGCAGTGTGGGGAGAGAGGACCGTGAGTAAAGGTAGGGGTGCATAAATGAGTACAGAGTGCACGGTGGGCTGGAAGGAGCACTTGGAAAGCGGGGTGGGCCCCAGCTGCATCAGGTTAAAGTATTTGGATTATTCTTTTAGGCCTTTAGCAGCCATTAGGAGGTGCCTATGTGAAATCAAATCTAAAATTTACAATGTTGACTCTAGTGGTCCAGTGAAGATGAATAAAGAGTGGTGAGCTGGTTAGGAGAGTCTGTCTCAAAATGGTTCATGTGTTCACATTTGGAAAACCTTTATGGAGCGAGTGCTCGTTGTGTATCAAAGGAGAGGGGAAAAGGGTTTAAACTATGGTGTCAGTGTGAGGAAGCAGGAGGAAGAGAGTCACAATCCAGGCCCAGCAGAACCTGATGACCAATTTGATGTGGGTATGAGGGAGGGGCAAGAGTCAAGGGTTGTTTAGTCCACAAAAGGACTGATAGGGCTTTGTAGGAAAAGAAGTTATTTGGGAAAGTGGTAGGGATGTATATGGAAATGAGTTTTCTCCTCAAGAGTGGGACTATGTTAACATTCAGAGGACTTTCAGGAGATGTAGTTTCAATCCACACCTTCTACAAAACTAATATTAAAGCAAACAAGTTTGTATCTTACATGATGATATGAAATAATCAGAAAGTGTTAATAAGGAGGTCATCCAAGAAACAGGTTATTAGAAAGCAGTGTGATAGATTTGGGCAGGGACACAGATCCAAATCATCAAATCTAATTGTAATCCCCAGTGTTGAAAGAGGGGCCTGATGGAGGTGATTGGATCCTGGGGGCAGATTTCCCCGTTGCTGTCTCATGAGGGTGAGCAAGTTCTCATGAGATCTGGTTGTTTAAGTGGGTAGCACCTGGCCCATCTCCTCCTCCTGCTCTGGCCATGTGAGACGTGTATGCTTCCCTTCTCTTTCCTCTGTGATTGTAAGTTTCCTGAGGCCCCCCAGCCATGCTTCCTGTACAGCCTGCAGAACCATGAGCCAAATAAACCTCTTTTCTTTATAAATGTCTGAGTCTCAGGTATTTCTTTATAGCAGTGTGAGAAGGGACTAATATAGCATGGGATCCCAGTGCTAATGTGAAGCTCCCTCAGGAGCAGTTGTGCCTCTTACTGACTCTGAGCAAGGCAAGGACACAATCGCCTTCGGTGAGCATGGGCTGCTTTGCAGAACCTACATTCACATACGGGCCCATGGAAACATGTGGGTCAAACTGCTCTGGGGAAGAATGCTCAGAACAGATCTTATTTTCCACCAGTTCTTTCCCCTACTCCTATTCTTTTAGAACTTCCCTCAAAGATTTTCTTTCAAGCTTCTGAAATCCACACTTTCTTTCTCTCTCCCCACTCTTTCGTTTTCTCTATATCTCTCTTTCCGTCTCTGTCTCTCTTCTCTCTCACACACACGCTCTCTCTTTCTCTCTCTCTCTCGCGCACACACATACACACATGTTGAAATATGGAAAACTGTGAGTTATTAGGATAGTTATTCTAAATCACCTATTTCCCCATAGAAATGAAAGGAAGACATAAGGGTGGGGAATCATAGAGCAGGAGCTTTGGTGCCAGGCGAACCTGGTGTTGATTTGTGAATCTGACATTTGCCAGATGTGACCCTGGCTAAGGTACTGAACTTCTCTGAGCCTCAGCGTCTTTAATACTTCATAGGGCTATTTCGGTGTTGGAGTGAGTATACACACACACCCACATAGACATGTATGTGTGTATATACACACATAGGCACATATATATATATATATATATATATATATATACTGCCTCCAACATATGATATATGATATAGGGGTATGTCTATATATAATATCTAGTGCTTAGTAGGCATTTGATAAATATAATCAAATTAGTTCTATGTTTCTATACACTGTGAAGGTTTTCCTCCTTCATTGCTCATCATAGTAAATAATGGTCCCAGCATATCTTCCAACAGGTAGAATTCTCTAGAAACAAAACTTTAGCAAATATCAGCGTGGAATTTATTCATGTTTTATTTAATTACTTGGGGCATTTAATGAAAGAATGAATTATTAAATGAGAACATTGATTGTTCCCTCTGTATGGCAAGAAGATCTCTTGTGTATGCTTAAAATAACTCCATAAAATGTAGAGCAGGCCATAGTAAATTAAAGAAAGGAAGGAAAATGGAACAAGGATTGAAAACACAATTTATCCTGTAAGTCTGCATAAAGGACAACCACATCCCAATTACCCCACACCTCTGCACTCAGGATTTCCAGCTGTTTAGATGGGTGGTGAGTCCAGACCCAAAAGAGGATTATATGCTGCTACAGGAAGCAGAAGATGTGTGACTGCTATGTTCGTGAGTTAAAAGAAAGCAAGCTCTTTGGTTAGTATGTGCCTCTAGACCCCTGTACCTTGCTTTATCCTGCCGTGTGTCCTGGAAGTCTTGTTCTTTAACTTCTCACTTGTTCTTTGTCCAGCGGAAGCCCTAGATGGATATGGAAGGGAGGGAGAAGAGAAAGTTTGAGGTATTTATCCCCTGGTCCTCTCAAGTGAGGCTACTGCCTCTGTTCAGTGGGGTGTTTCTCCATGACACACTTCTTGCAAGTTCTAGAAACCACTCCCTTTCCTCATCCACTTGGGGCTAGAGGTAGTGATAGCTCCCTTGTTTTTAGACCCAGCGTACTGCACCATCCAGAGTGAAACAGAAGGTAGTTCACTCTGCCCACACTTTGTAGATAGTACTTTTGTTAAGCCCTTCTAGAGTTCTAATTTGAGCATACCACCTGTTTCCTACTGGGACCTTGAATGGTACAATTAGCACTGATGAAAGCCAAGTCTCCCTGATACCAAAGGCTGAGAAAATGGAAGGAAAGGAGGCAAAAGGGGAAAATAGAAATTCGGAAAGAAGAAGAGAGGTTCATGAGGGTGATGAAGGGTATCCTTGGAGAACAGAGGAGGAGAGAAGGCACGATGCAAAATGGAGTAACACCCACTGAGCGAATAGGGGGAAGAAGCTGAAACCCAACCCATGAGGCTGGCCTATCATGCTGAGGCTCCCCAGCCCTGGAACCCCAGGTGTCAAGGTAAAACCATACAAGCCAGTCCGAACAGATGAGATAGAATGCTTATGGCATGTGGGGAAATTGGTTCCCACTTAGGTCAGTAACCTCTGAGTGCCTCACTGTATTAAGACACAATCTAAGGGTGGATGGTTATGGTTTGTATATGCTAGTGTCTAAGAGAAAAAGCTAAATTACATCCCATATATTCCAAAAGGGAAAGCAATATTTTTTGAAGGCCTACTCATTGTCAGAACAGGTGTATTTTAATCCCCACAGCATCCAGAAAATAGAATGGCATTATTCTCATTTTATTAGGTGAGGAAGTGTGTTCAGTGAAATTAAGTACTGAAGCTTGCTTGAAGCTACACAGCTAGTGTGTTTCACAGGCAGGAGCTGAACACAACCTTTTGGATTTCAATGAGCAAGCATACTATCTCAAAAAAGGATGAATCTTTACCTAGCATGATCCTTGAATGTTTCCAGTAGATGAGGCATGACCATATACTTCTATGTTCTGCTAGTTTTGCCAGGGCAAGCCTTGCTAAGACTGCCCTGGGTTTAAGGTGCACCATTTACAAAGAGGCTCATTGAGATAAATAAGTGCATCTCTCAGAACGAATCTGATCTGTGTTATCGGTGAGAATCCAGACACAGCATCATTGAACTTCAAATGTTGCTACTGAGTTAGAGAGAAAAAGAGACTGACTGACTTGCATTTCTGCCTTCTTTGCACCCCATGCATCCTGCCCTAGGTGGTGATCAACTTTATGTTGGTACCAGTCAGCTTCATGTTAGGAAATGTTATATGGAACTAGCAGTTAGCAGTGCCTACTGTGAGAAATAAGGAGCTAGTCCGAGCTTTAAAGGGAAAGAGACACGAAAACAATCAGCGTAGCCTTTGTAGCCAAGTGTTTTGTTCAATGCAATCCATTAGTTATTGAGAACATACACATCACGGTTTAAGTCAGAGTTCGGCTATCTTTTAGCTGAGAGACTTTGGGCTAGCTAACATCGCTGAGCCTTTTTTCCCCTAATGCATAAAATGGGGCTAATATTATTACCCTAACTTACAGGGTCATTTTGAAGAGTTCATTACATTCAAGCATGAACATGTGCTTTAAAGTGTTTAAAATGTAGTGGGTCAAAACAAATGGTCTCTAGTGTCATCATCACCATCATTGTTGTCGTCGTCGTCATCATCATCAAGGACTTCATAGCCTGGTTGGAAGAATATGTGAATAAGAGCTGCTATTTAGAAAAAAATGTGTTCATTCTGAGCAGTTTCCCTCAGAAGGAGAATAAGAAAGCTGGCTTTGGTCCACACTCTTGAGTGTTGGAGTAAGCCACCTAATTTCCCTGAGCCCCAGTTTTGGCATATGTACAATGGGCTGATCATATGTCCGCTTCCCAGTGTACTGTGTTAATGAAGTCGATGAAATGAAATCTAGTACCTTAGAACACAGAATTACAAGGGATTAAGAGTGCTCCTAACTTAAAACACTACTAGTTGGGTTTTTGCCACCTTGAATTGCTGTCTCAATTCACAACCAGTGTTTTAAAGATCCCTTTCTGTTTTCAAAAACAATTTATTGATCCATTTTCCTATGGAATATTCCCCCTTTGAAGAAATAGACTTACATGTGTTAGCCAGAGAAAGCATCTAAATTGGGAGTGGGGGAGCAATGATGGTACAGTGTGCTGTGCACATATGTGGGCACGGATGTTCCTAGAAAAATTGAGACTGCTCTGAGGATTTCCAGTGCCAAGTCCTGCATCAGGGAGGGCTCATTTTGTAGCTCTGACATAGGATGGATATAATAAGCCCTTATTTGGGAAAGCTTTCATTTGGGGGAAGATTTTTAATAATTTTTCTTAAAACTGAAAAACTGGTCAATATCAAATCCAGTTGATTCCAGACTGTTTAGAGAGTGACTGTCATGTGTAAGACCCTGGGTTTGAAAAATTCATCTCTTTAAGGCTTATTTAAAACATCAATTTTTTGCTAATTCTTGGAGATTTAATAAAGCACCACCAGGCTTTTAGATACCCTTAGAGGGGTTAACATCAGAATTCTTCTTAGGAGCCTTGGTCTGTGCCATTGGGGTGCACCCTGTTCCCCCTGGTTTATTCTGCTAAGTTTCATTTCACAACAGAGGAAAAGTGGCAGAGGAGCCTCCAGGCTGGGAACATGGATGGGAAACGCCATCGCAGTGGCTCTCAGAAGGTTCTGGTGAGCAAGGCTTCACAAACACAGGGCAAAGATGTGGCAGGTGAAGAAGCACAAGGGAGCGTGATGCAACCTGAAGACGAATCAGCTGTTTCTGATTTATTGTTGCACACCATTTTCTAAGCATTTCTGATGTCCTTTTCATAAGAAAAATGCCATGAGCTTCCCTAGCGACTTCTGAAACAAGTCTCTGAGAAGCAGCTTGTGGAAGGCACCTTTGTAGGAGGTGCATGAAGGGGGCATCCAAACTCCCATGAGTCCATCCCAGTTTGCCATATTCGTGGGCTTCTGGTGGGTGACCACAGTCTGCACTGATTTGGCAATGAGATAGTCTCAACAAGAAAGAGATCGCACAACAAAGTCATTTAACAAGGACAATGATTAAGAAAAAGACTCAAATAGATCCTCTTCTGCAAGTGGTTAGGGAACTCAGAACAGACACAAGTTAGTGCATGTTGGCCAAATATGAAGATGGAAAGAAAGAATGATTATAAAGACATCCACCCACCCTCTCACTGGCCATTGCTTGCCTGTGGAAAAAGGCCAGTCTATGACAAACTAGAGACTCTTTGAGAAACCAACGCTGTATGGAGATAGCTTTCAAGTTAAAAAAAAAAAAAGAAAAATCTAATCCAGGCTTTGCAAAACATCAGTGAATGCATGTAATACCAGCAAAACCTGAGCTTTCAATAAATCAGAAAACAATGGGGGCATTGTCTGAACTCACCAAACAGTCCTTCGCTCCCACAGCACAGAACACTCTAATCTGTGTGCAGCCAAAACTCAGCCCCATCTTATTGAACTAAATTGATTTATGAGAGGAAAAACCTAAAAAGGGAAGCAGCAAAATGATGATATTAATTCTAATAATGCATTGACTGGTGCTTATATAAATCACTCTCCCCACTCAGATTGATTTCATCCGAGTAAAAACGCCATGCATAAGCCTATCTCCAGCCGCTCAGCTCAGGCAGCTACCTCAGGCCTCCTCTTGCAGATAGAGCTCAGGATAAAGGGTGGGGGGTCTGGTGGAAGTTCACAGGTATTTTGCCTGAGAAAGGCCTGTGGGATCAGCCCCAGAGGTATCGATGTAATTGGCCACACACACAAATGTTGCGGCATCTGAACATTTTTGGCAGCTCATGAAAGCTCCTTTCCTAGAGGCCACTTGAGTGTCCAAATAAAAGGGGATTTTTGTTAGTGAGAACTGGAAAGAATAACCCATCTTAGGATCAGGCTAATAGGGCCTGGCCTGGTAAAATGTAACACTGGGCTGGCCAGAGTTGGAAGTGTTGCTGGCAAGGGTTGGAAGCAGCTGCGAGGAGAGCCAAGCCTCGCTCCCAAGGAAAACTCTTCTGCTGGTTCAGGGGAGTTTTCTGTAGCCCAGAGAGCCTGTCAGGCGCCCCCCACCCCGCCCCCCACCAAGGGCAAGAGCTTCTGTTGGGGCAGATGGGAGGGGGCCTGGGGTGGTTTCTTGCTCCCCCTTCACCCAAGCTCTCCTCTCCGATTCCCTACCCCATCCCCCAGGCTCTGTGATTCTAGGCAAGCGAGCCTCTGTGGCTGACCTCTGTGGCCTGTTGCTGCACACAGCCTGGGAACGGCAGTTGCTCTCAGTGAGTATGCAGGGTGTTGACAGGCTCAGGCTGAAGGAGCTAGGAGGGAAGCAGAGAAAGCCGGGCTGCAGAAATAAGGCCACAGAGGCCTTCTCTTATCACCAAAGGGCCCCCAGCTGAAGAAAGGTCTACTGCTTCTTGCTACACAAAGGAAATACATTCTGCTGCAAGCCAGTCTCTGCCTTTCAGCAGAGCCTGTAGGCTCTCCACCTAGGGTGGCCAGGTAACATACAGGGCACCCAGTTAAATTTGAATCTCAGATGAACAATGAATAATATTTTAGTATACATAGGTCCTGAATATTGTGTGAGAAATAATTAAAATGTATTGTTTATCTGAATTTCAAATTTAATTGGGCATCTTGTATTTTTATTTCTTCTATTAGGCAGAATTCTGAGATGCTCCCCAGTGACCCTCCCTCTGGTATAATGTCTTACCCCAAAGTGTAGGTGAAACCCGTGAATGTGATGCAACATCACTCCTGTGATTATGTTACACTACATGGCAAAAGGGATTTTTGCAAATGCAATTAAGCTCACTAATCAGTTGACTTTATCAAGTTAAAGAGCAAATTATCTGGGTGTGCCTAACCAAACTACATGAACCCTTTAATTCTGGGTCTAGAGTCCAGAGAAAAAGGAAGTCAGGCCTTTGAAGCAGTAGAAAATTGTCCAGTGACCTTGAAGGAGCAAACTGCTGTGTTGTGGAGAAGGCCACAGGGCAGGGAAGAGTGGTCAGCCCCTAGGAGCTAAGAATAGCCTCCAGTTGACAGCCAGGAAGAAAGCAGGGAACCTCAGCTCCATGCTGCAATGAACTGGGTTCTGCCAACAACCTGAGAGCTGGGAAGAAGCCCCAAGCCTCGGACAAGATGGCAGGCCTGGCCAACACCTTGACTTTGGCTGTGTGAGACCTGAGTAGAGAACCTGTCCAGAACATGCCAGACTCCTGAACCAGGGAAACTTTGAGGTATAAAAATACACGTTGTTTTAAGCTGCCGAGTTTGTGGTAATGTGTTCTGCAGCAATAGTAAACCAAAACACCTATTAAATCTGGCAGCCCTCCCTGCATCCTGTGGTCTCCAGCGTACACTTACAGGGGTTTCTGGTGTAGGCACCAAGGACTGAAGATGAAGAACAGTAAAGGAAACAGATGCACTGGACTAACTCCTGTGAGCCTCCTCCACAGTCAAAGAGCAGGGCTAGAAGGGAAATTACGATATTGTCTGTTTTGGTGTCCGTGTCCTGGCCTCCTGGACCCTGCAGCCCCAACATCTCAGTTGAGATCTGTAGACATATACACACGCGCTTGCTCTCCTACACACCTTCCTTTCCAGGGAGGATTGCGGGGGATGAGCTTGTCACTTGTCTCAGACGGATGTAGTTGCTGGCTCGCTAAGTAAACAGGTCATCTCAGCCAAAGTTCATTATGGATCTGAAGCTGTAGAAACAGATGCATTTCATGTAAGGATAAACGTGTGTTGGGGGGGGGCGGGGGTGGGGGCAGGGGGGAGGGTGGGTACAAATATAAACAGGGAAGGTGAAACCGTCTAGAACCTCCTTAGGCATGGATTAAGTTTCTGTGAAGATCATGTAAATAAGCCCTCATAGTCTACAAGAAACTCGGATATCTTTTTTAAAAGGGTCAGAAGATCTGTTTGTGTTTTGCAATTCTCCAAATGTTCTTCTGCTTATGGATTCCCCTAAATTCACTTTCCAACAGCTCTTCGTCCCCCTGGCCTCATGCTGCCCTTGAAAGTGGCCGGAGGAAACTCTTAGGTGTCAGGCAGTCAGCATGGAGAGCTTCTTTTCATCCCCTGAGTGTCTGGAGATGTGAGTTTAATGAGAGGCATCGACCTTTGAATTATACAAATGGACCTCTTTAGCAATCACTTCCCTCCCCAGTCCATACCCACCCTCAGCTTTTAATCTTCTCAATTATATTTCCTTTCCATTGATTACTACTTTGCTAACTTTCGGATTGAGCAGGCAGAAAACCTCAGCCGCACAGGTAATGCAATTGCTCTTCAAGCTTTGACGCCTGCGTCTCACCTCCTGAGGGGACCTGCAGGCCCCCCTCCCACCCTTTTGGGTCTTGGCAGGTCCATCGGCCTTCAATTGATTTTGCAAGATGGCCCCTTCCATCCAAAGAGCTGTGCAATCCTGGTTAGGAAGATGGAGTTTCAGTTCTGAGCTTTAAGTAACAAAGATAAGGGGGATTTGCATGCTGGCAGGGTGTGAGAAGGGCACTCACAGTCACCAGCTGTTTGCAGCTAGGCCTGGGAGTGGGCAAGGGATGGGCCTGGGAGCAGGGAGATCTGGGTTCCTTCCCCACCTCTGCTCTGATTTTTTGAGTGACCTTCATTGAACCACTTAACTTTCTGTGCTTTCCTCTCACTGCCATCTGTAAGGGGGAAGACAACGGCACTTGTCTGTGAAAATGCTTTGAGGGATACTGGCATAAAAGATGCAATGTAAAAGCAAGTGATGGGCAATGTTTTCCATAAAGAGCCCCTTGTTTTCATCTGCAGGAGGCCTCATTTGAAGGCTAAGAAGAAAAATTGAGAAATGTCCTTGGTAGCCGAGGCCAGGCAGAGGACGTGGCTTGGGACCTGTTAGAAATCCCTTCTGTGGCTGGGGGCTCCTGCGCTGCTGCCGGGATGTGAGCTCAGCAAGGGGCATGCTGGGAATTGGCCTGCAGAACAAACAGATCCGAGGTCTCTGCACCGAGCAGGACCAAGGGCCATATCAGGATTAGCCCAGTGACCTGACAAGCGGCGAGGGGGGCCTGCCCCCCAGTGATTTACGGGCTTTGACGCATGGACTCCGGGGGGGCTGGGGGAGAGTCAGAGAAATTTGGGGACGTGTTCAAAACTGGAGGTCGTCCAGAGGAAATTACTCAATAAAAACCAGCTTTCTCTAACTGAATAGATCAATTTACAGCTCATAAGGTGGAAAAAGTCTGAGACTTCAAGATGCCGGCTGGTGGGTCTCCTAAGGTTTCCTCCCTTGGCAGAGAGGCTGTGGCTTTGGCTTTTTTACCCTGGGTACCCCTTCTGTAGCTTTCAGGGCCAGCATTTTTCTTTCTTCTTGTTTTCCTCTTTCTCTGTTACTTAAATTTAGCTGGTTAAGATTCTTTCCCTCCTCTCCTTCTTCTTACAAGCCTCCCACTTTCAACTTTCACCTCCCTACAGTCCTCTCAGAAAAGCCCCTGTTGTTTTTGTCATCCTAATGGCACAGATTCTCCTCTAAGCTCCCCCTTCCCAGCTGCCTCCCCCTCCCCACGGCTCATCTCAACATCCCTTCTCCCTCTGTTTTTCTCTTAGGTCTCCAAAGCTCCTGCCTTTCTCTTCCAGCTGCCCGTGGTCTGTGCTGCTGCATACCTCTCACCCCTCTATTTCTCCCTCTCTGCCTTTTGTCTTCCCAGCCTTTCTCTTTGGCTGTACTTTTTGGCCTTTCTCAGCTGCTGGCCAAGTAATTCATCATGAGCATCCAGGAACACCTTCACCTATTGACTGAGCTGCTTTAAGCTACACTGGACCCACAGAGATTTCAGGGAGGCAGGATTACAGGAAGATGGACAGGGCCCAGATGTAGTGGCACTGAAATTCCATCATCCATCAATCATTCATCCATCCATGCACCCATCATCATCCATCCATCCATTCATCCACCCACCCATCCACCCACCCGTTCACCCAAGCCTTCATTTAATCATATCATTCATTGCTTTTTTTTTTTCATTCAAAAAACATTCATTGAACATGTACTATATGCCAGGCATTGGGCTAGGCACTTGAGAGAGAATGATGACCAAATATAGATGTGGGCCTTGACCTACGGGGCTCAGCAGAAGAGGCAGACATAAGTAATCACAGATAACAATGTAAAACTCCAGTAAGAGCTAAGGAGAGATGTAGGTACCAGCAGACCATCTCATTGGGATTTGACCTACTTAGGAGTGAAGTATTAAGTGGAGGTCTGAAGGCTGAGGGGAGAGAAGATGCAGGCAGTAAGGAAAGCTCTTGATAAAGCCTGGCCCTCCTCATCCCTACCAAATTCCCTCCCATTTGCTTGCCAAAGACTAAAATTCTTTTAGCAGAAGTCAAGGCTGTTAGGCTACAGACTTCAAATGCAACACATCCTATGAGACGGCAGCAGTGACTTAAATATATTTGGGCTATGTGTAAATAATGGATATTAATCTTTCCCTGGGAACAGGCCTTGTTAGAGGATAGAAGGGACATTTAATATCTGAGGGCGGGAGAAGTGTGGGGAAGAAGGCATCCCTAACAAGTTGATGGTACCTAGGACGCTGGCACTCCCTCTATACTGTGCCAGGAGTGGGCTCAGGAAAAAGCACACACTCCCTGTCCACCTGCTGTTCCATGTGTCACTTGGCTGGCCTGACAAACTTTGGAGACCAGGCAGTTCTTGAAGTCCAGCACCCCCCCCTTCTCTTTTTCAGTGGCACTGGTCACAAATTCAAAGTGGACATCAGATTTCATGGCTTGATGGCCTCGTAATTGTTATTGGAACTAGCCTTGGATGGATTTACGGTAATGAACTCATCTAACAGCAAACCCGTCACGGGCCTCTCTGCAGACAGGATCTTTCCTGAGTGAAGATAATAGAAAACCATTCTGTAAAGGAAAAGCAATACTGACTGGTGACTTTGACTTCAAGTTTAGGAAAAAAACACCACTGTTTGGGTTTTTCTGTTGGCCTCTAACTTTAAATGCTACATTGGCCAGTTGCTAACCAACACGGTTTTTGGCCAGAGTCCTGTTTATGTTGGCACCAAATGTATGTATCACAAGCAATTTGTGTATTTCTGGGCATGTGTGTATGAGTTTGTATATATTATAAACTCCAAAACTTTGAACACAAGGTTTTGTACTCTTTTTACAGATTCTTCTGGCCAAGAAAACAGGCCACTGGCAGGCAGGGCATCCATTTGCATTAACGACCTGCTTTCAGGCCACCACACCCCATCGCAGCCACCCTTTGGCTTGGTCCAACGTGGCACTAAACTCTGGCCTCTCTGGACCCCTGTCCTATTGAGTTATGAATGAATGAGGTGGCCCCTGCCCAGCAAGAGGGATTCCGGGGACAGTGGATGTTTTCTGTGTCACCTCAGTCTGCAGGCAAATCATCAAGAATGCTTGGGATATGGAGTTTTCTCCTAACAGGGGCCAGAAAGGCTCCATGTTTTTGTGGCTTGGCATTAAGCAAACAACTGCTTTTTTGTTCTCTCCTCAAATTATTTGCCCAAACAAAAGGCAGCTGTCATGGGGAGAAAAGTAGGATTTTTCCAGCGTTTGCCCCTTTCTGCGCCCCTCGCACAGCATGCTTTTGGACTCCGCATTTCCGTAGCTCAGTGTCAGATTTCCAGCCTGCAGAAATGCTCCAGAATGTGAAGCCACCTTCTGCCTCTCCCGGGCCTCCCAACCCAGTGCAATTCCGGAGCTAAAGGCAGCATTCACAGGATGGCACCTTCTCTCTCCAAAACCCCAAAGGGTTTCCCAAGCCTGTAAACTGTGAATTAGAAACATTCCTTCAGGGACTAACAGTTTGGATAAACAGTGAATTCCAGAACAAAGGTTGTTTTCCCTCAAACTCCTATTTCTTTAGAAAGTTGAGAAGTCAGATCTTCCGCCTAACAAGGGATTGTTATTTAATTGAGAGTCATCTTTTAGAAAAGACATGGCTTATCATTTGTATCTCATTAGAATATGGTAAAATATGCTAAACAATAAAACTAAATGCTAGAGAATTTAATCTTCCTCTGAGGCTTTTTGGGATTAGGCCATGTCCTTATCTGCCCAGCACACTCAGGGTTTTCCTGCAAGACTTGGGCCAGGTGTCACCCTCCAGGTTCAGGACTTCTATACCATCTACCCTGGAGCCACCCTCACTGCCCTCCTGCAAAACCGGGGGACCCAGGCTGCCTCTTCTGCCTCCCCTAGCTCTCGCAGCACTGTCTTGGCTCAGTGTTTGCACTCTTCATTCTGAAATAATTTCAGACTTATAGAAAAGTTGCCAAAAGAGTATAAGGAATTCCTGTATACCAGTGTTTCTCAACCCTTTTCTGATTGTCACCCCTAAAGAAATTTGCAGACATTTTTTTCCTAATCACCCTCATATATGAATTTTCTTTTAGAGACAAGGCCTCGCTCTGTCACCCAGGCTGGAGTGCGGTGGTATGATCATAGCTCACTGCAGCCTTAAATTCCTGGGCTCAAGCGATTCTCCCACCTTAGCCTCCTGAGTAGCTGGGACCACAGGCATGTGACCATGCCTGGCTCCTGACATGAAATTCGAATACCCAAATATACTCTATATCTGCTTATGGACTTTACGTATATCTGAGCTCTATATGTAAAAAGTAAGGTTTCTTTTATCCCCAAGAACAATTTTTATTCCCTTGGGTATGATATTGCCCCCATGGAGAATGTATTTTATATACCATTTACACAAGTTCCCCAAATGCTAATATTTTACCATATTTGCTTTACTGTTCTCTCTCTAAATGTGTGTGTGTATCACACACACACATATACATATATGCATAAATATACCCATTTGTACGTACACATATATACATACACATATGTAAACAATATATATACATGTAAGTGTTTTTTTCTGAACTATTTGAGAGTAAGTTGCAAAAACATGTCTCTTAACCCCTAAATATTTTAGAAAGCATTTCTTATAAACAATGACTTTCTTGACAAAAAAAATTTTAAACATTTTCATCTCGTTCCACATGGCCATAAGTTTCTCAAGGTCAGGAGCCTATGTCTTAATCATTTTCGGAGACTGAGTATCAGGATAGGGCCTGGTATGTAGTAGGAGCTATTATGAAAGAATACATTTCATTATAATGTAGCATATGCCATGCATTTATACATAATTTATACATAATGTAACTATTATAAAGTGAAAGCTTTATTTCAATATAAATGATATCAAATATAGAGTACTACGCATAATAAAAAAATACATTGTTGCTGGCAAGTGAATGGAAAGTTCAGGGTCAGCGGTATAAACTTCAGTCGCAAAGTATTCTATAGTTTCAGAAGCCGGAAGAAAGTGGGTGGAAAATTTACAGATTTTGGAAATTGCTTCAGAATCAGTAAATAACAAAATTGGAGGCTACTTATGGGAGGTCAGTGTCATAGGCCGAGAATGATACTCCAATCAGTTGAGCTTTCCAGTCATTTGTAGGAGTCTGCCCTTCCAGGCTCAACATGTATTCTGTTCTTTGGGAGGCAGCAATGATCCAGTAACTCAAACACTTTGTCTTCTTGCTTTTACTTACAAAGATTTATTAACCACCTACCACTTAACATGTAAATATTGGAGGCTTGTGAATTTTATTTCTTATTTTCTATGTGTTAGAAAAAAATTAGTGACCTAACTTCTATTTCCCTTGATTTCCTTGATTGCAGAATGAGTGTCCCCATAGTATGCTCTGTGCCGCCCATAGGCACTAGTTAATGTGGCACTGAGGATGTCAGAGGCAGATTCTTCATGGATTCTGAAGTGAGCAGACTTAGAATAGGATTTCAGGGACTGAATGACCCACGTAGAACTTCTTTCAGAAATTCGGCATCACATGTATGAATATACTCAGTCCGAATAAACCTCCATTCCACAAAGCATGTAAGAGATGGACAGTTGGCCCTTTGTGTTCACAGGTCTGCATCTGCCAGTTCAGCCGGCCCTGACTGAAAATATTTGGGAAAAAAATTACAATTAAAAAGTAAGAATATTCACCTTCTGCCATGAGCAAAAGCCTCCTGAAGCCTCACCAGAAGCTGAACAAATGCTGGCGTCATGCTTGTACATCCTGCAGAAACGTGAGCCAAATAAATATCTTTTCTTTATATTAAAAAAGGAACAATGTAACAATAAAAACATAAATGTTTAAAAATACAGTATAACACCAATTTACATAGCATTTACATTGCATTAAGTATTATAAGTAATCTAAAGATGATTTTAAAGTATATGGTAGGATGTACGTAGATTATATGCAATTTTATATTATGGACTTAAGCATCTGAGGATTATGGTGTGGCGGGGGCGGGGGGAGGGCCTGGAATCAAGCCCTCACAGATAATTGACTTTGTGATAAATTGCTTTTGCTGAAGTGAGTTTACCAATAATGACACAATGTTATTTGACAGTCCTGAGCATAAATGAAAAAAAAAATGTTGTTGGTACTTAATATTCTGATCACAATTTAAACATTTTCTTGACTTCCTTGCAGACAGCTAACCCCTCCATTGTGTCCTTGAGACTTCTTGTCTCCATGCAGACTTAGGAGACAGCTTCTTCACTAAGTGATCCCAAATCTCATGAGAGAGTGCTAGAACTTAGGGGGTTGTTTGGGGTGGGGCTGAGAAGGATGTGAGGTTCAATAAAAATAGAGCAAGAGGGTGGGGTGCAGTGGCTCACACCTGTAATCCCAGCACTTTGGGAGGGTGAGGCACACAGATCACCGGAGGTCAGAAATTTGAGACCAGCCTGGCTAAGATGGTGAAACCCCGCTTCTACTAAAAATACAAAAATTAGCCGGGTATGGTGGCACATGCCTGTAATCCCAGTATTTGGGAGGCTGAGGCAGGAGAATTGCTTGAACCTGGGAGGCAGAGGTTGCAGTGAGCAGAGATCAGGCCACTGCACTCCAGCCTAGGTGACAGAGCAAGACTCCATCGCATATATGTGTATATATATTGTATGTATTTACATATATATGTATATTATATATAGTACATACATATGTATATTATATATGTACATATACGTATATATATATATACACACACACAATATATATACACACTCACACACACACACAGAGCAAGAGGATATATACCAAGAATTTTGTTTAAACAACAATGTCAGTGTTCAGAAGCTATATTTCCATTCTTTGTGCCTTAATATTTCCACTGCAACAAATGACCAGGAGAGCTGCCCGTATCTTCCAAACTCTGAGACGAGGGACAAATAGGGCTGGAACAAGTGATGACACATGGCCCAGCATCACTGAATCCTGAGATGGAAGGGACCACAGGAGTTGTAATGTCTTGTACTGTAATTTCTCTTAAAAAAAAGAAAAGGCCCTGGAAAGAAAGTGACTTGGTTAAAGTTACAGAGCAATTACTGGCAAAGCTAAGACTAAAGTTCAAGTTTGGCTTCTAGTTTGGGAAGTAGAATTCGTTTTTTAAATGGCCTTTTTGGAAAGTTTGAAGATGAATGGGATGAGAATATGTTTTGTTTCTACTTGTACTTCTTCAAAATAAATAGTTTGCATAAATTTAAATACTTTATCTACCATTATTTGGAATGATCAAAGAGTCCAATTAAGTTCGTATTAATCTGAGACTAAGAAACAGAATAGTTGACTTCATTCATTTTCATTTCCCCACTTTGCAGATGGGTAAAATGGGGTCTAGCTGAGGGCGGTGGTGTCCCTGTGAGCTCTCTTTGAAGCTCTCGCAGAGTTGGGACAAAGACTTTTTTCCCTAAGCTAGGTACCTGTTGAGTTTCTAGGAGATTACATTGTTCCTTAATGGAGAAGCCTGGCAGTAACGGCAGGGAAAGTTCAGTTCTACCTCCCTCTCCAAAGCCCCACATGCCCACTACCATTTTGCCTTACCCTGACTCCCTTTTCTTCCCTACAACTAGGATTTTCACCCCGCTAATACAGTGGTGCCCCACACCCTAGATTTTTTCCAAACTCCTCTCTCTGTTGAATATATATCCATCCTGTGCGAAACTCCATAATAGCCCCACTCATCTACTAGGGCAAGATGGGTCCCAATAGGCTTATCACAAAAATAATCTGAAGCAATGAGTAAGATAGGCAATGTGTTAGTCTACTCATATAACATCATGCCATAACTAACTTAACATGCGCATGGCTCTAAAATACCTCCCGTTTATGGTAAACTCAAATTTTTAACGAAATCTAAAGTGTTTTATTGAATCATACTTATAGCATAAAGCAAAAATGATAAAATACAAAGCCCCTGGCTGATTAAAAACTATTAAAATGTGATTCCATTTTTTGAAGGAGACACAAGCAACCATTTTGGGGGAGATATTGATCAGCTAGAGAGTGAACATCTCTGTACAGTGTAGGTCCAGAATTAGAGTTGGAGGCAGATTTACCTGAAGTAAATAGTAGCATCCAGTGGAATGAAGAAGGTCCTAAAATGCTAGGTGACAATCTGTACAGTCACTAGAAACATGGCTCCTGGTGGGAGAATTTTTTAGTACTACAGCTTCTAAACCAACAGTGTTGCAGGAATGAGACAAGAACATTTTTAAAGTATAGCATTGAGTGAAATGCTAGCAGTATCTTTACTACTTCCATGCTTTGATCAGTGATCTGTGCTTTCTGACTGTGGGAGAAACATCAGAAATAGAACCAGTATTTCTTACTCAGTGGTTCACAGGATATGCTGCATCCTGCAGGACTCACTTCAAACTTGCATTCTTGTGTCTTGGAACCAAGGCTTCAAATGTCCATTCCTAGCTACTCAGGAGGCTGAGGTGGGAGGATCACTTGAGTCCAGGAGGTCAAGGCTGCAGTGAGCTATGATCACACAACTGCACTCCACCCTGAGTGACAGAATGAGACCCTGTCTCGAAAAAAAAAAAAAGAGAGAAAGAAAAAAAGCCCATTCCATCATTCCCTTAAGACAGCTGCTTCTGGGTGATGGGATACATAGTAACACCATGAATACCATAAGCATAGGCTGTTGCCTTGCTTCTTTTGCTGAAAAAGGAGTTGACAGGCAAAAGTGACACTTTGTGCAATAATATTTTGGTTAACAAGGTATCTAATGTCCTAATTTAAAAGGGAAATACATATCCACAAGGTGTCCATTCTGTGAGGACAAATCACTGTCTCTTGTGCAGTGGAAGGGGTTCAGTGTAATGAACCCTCCTGGAGGCTGATAACTACTTGTCACAGGCTAGTCCTCTTTGAGTATGAGCCTATATTTGGGACTTAGGGTGAGTCGTTGCTATTGGCATGTTACGTGATGACTTGCAACTGAGGTCCATTTAGTGAGCAGCCACATGGGACAAAAGCTTTCCGCACTCTGGGGCCATTTTAAGACCATACCTAGTTGTCTTCTGACTTCCCTGTCACCATCAGTCCTACAGTTCTATTCCTCCAAATTCTCAATCCCTTAGCCAAGCCGGAAGCCACTTCTCATGAAACAGTGTAGATCTGCACCTAACACCGCCTGAGATGCTCTGGGAAAAGAACACCTCATGTGCTGTCCAAGGTGCTGCCCACTGGGAGGATTTCTCTTCTTCACTGCCCTCCAGGCCACCCCTAACAGAAGCTATAACATCATAGCCATTGATTTCAAGCTGGCGATTTCAAGCTCAGAGCTAACTGTTAAATAAGACACCGTGTTTTTTGCTTTTCAGTCAACTCTCGGTCATGAGAAACTCCTAGAGAATACAGATGTGGGTTGAGGAAAGAGTAGGGATGTGTCCAGAGTGGATATTATCAGGAGTGTGAACCACTAAGTCAATCAACAGCCAGGGCCTGCTTGACCTTACCCTCATAGAAACACTTCATTTGATGGTGGAATGCGGCAACATGTGGTTTGGTATAACAGATAATACCCAGTTCATTGATGGGTACTCAGGTAGCACAGCCAACTGATATCCAGTGGATTGGTGTTCTGACAGTACCAAGGGTTAATAGCTAGTGTAGAGTTTTTCTTAATGGTAATAGCATGGCTACTTACACTTATGAAGTTACCCTCTCACCATAAACAATTAGAAAACTGGCAAAATACAGGACATAGCTGGTTTATATGTAAATATATAAAAATAAATGAAACAAAATTGGAAAAAGTCAGTGCATGACTAATCGCTAAATGAAAGAAAACAAACAAAGTGATCTCTATATGAGCGGCAGTACTCTGCCTGGAATCAATTTCTATATGGCGTGCAGGGGCAGGGACCCCTGATAGTGCCAGGGGCTCATTGAGTTAAGAGATGGAGACTGGAAGTTAAGGACACCAAGGTGGGAGAAATTTGCAGAAAGGAGTACAGAGAAGACAGAACTGTGCAGAAAACGAGCTCCGTAAATGTGGATACAGGTCTCCTCGAGTCTTTGGCTAAATATCAATATGCACATGGTTAGGGTAAAATACCATGAGGTTGAGCAGAAAAAAAAAAAAATGACAGGGGAGCCATAAGCCATAGAATTCCCAGAGTACATAGAGGGAAAGGAGACTTTTTGAGCTTAGACCACCCAGAGAATCTCCATTGATCACCTGGGGGCAGGAGGACCATGCCTTGGTTGTAGGGCTAAACTATCTCTAGAGTAAGGATTACTACTGACCCTCCCTAAGCCCTTTAAAACAAGCCATAAAGGTATCAAAGTTGTCACCAGGGAACTGAACAGACTGCAAAATGAACAAGTCAAATACTTTTTTAAAGGAAGAAACAAAATTCAGATATTCAAGGATGTAATATTTACAATGTCCAGGATCCAATTTTAAAAGTATGAAACATAAGAAGCAGGAATATGTGACTTATAACCAGTTGATAAATCAGTCAATAGGAAAAAAATCACAGAAATGTCAGATTTGATTGATCTGTAGATAAAAACTTTAAAAAGAGCAATTAGAAATGTGCTCAATATACTTACAAATTTGAATTAAAACCAAAATATAGGGAGATAAATGAAAGAAACAAGCCAAATAGAACCATATCAACATCTGAAAAAATTCTGGAGGAACTGTCAGCAAAATAGATAGCAGAAAAGAAAAAATTAGTGACTTAAAAATAACATAATAGAAACAAATTAAAGCACAGGGGGAAAAAGAGATTAAAAGTGAATGAACAGAGTTTTAGTGATGTAAGGGACTAGATCAAGTGGCCTAAGATATATGTAATTGTAATCCAGGAGGGAAAAGAAAGGAGAAAACAAAACAAAACAAAAATGTTGAAGAAATAATGGCTGAAATATTTTCAAGTCTGATGAAAGTTACAAATCACCATATCAAAAAGGTCTACAAATTCCAAGCAAGATAAACAGAAAGAAAATAACACTAAGGCACTTCATAATCAATTTGGTGAAAAAACAGAGATAAAAAGAGCATCTTAAATACAGCCATAGTGGGGAACAGCACATGACATGAAAAAGAACAGAGATTGGATTTATTGCAGACTTCTCATCAGAATCAGTGCAAACCAGAAGGCAATAAAATGGTATCTTTTAAATGCTGTCAGGAAGAAGAAGAAAAAAACCTGTCAACCCAGAATTCTACATCTATCTATTGTTCTGTTGATTAATGGATCATCTGTGTATTGTCGTTTAAAAAAATACAGTGTTCAGAAATACTTCCAAACATATTAATTGATTTTTGACATGGTTATTCAATGGAGAAAGGATAGTTTTTTCAACAAGCGGTACAAGAACAACTGGATATTCGTATGGAAAAATGAACCTCAACATTTGCAATACACTATATGCAAAGTTTAATTAGAATTTAATTAAATTAAAATTTCTAGAAGAAAGCACAGCAGAAAATCTGTGTGGCTTAAAGGTAGTCAAAATGTGTTAGATAGGAGACAAATAGCAAACCATTAAATAAAATGTGATAATTGAACTTTATCGAAATTTAAAACTCTTGCTCTTTGGAAAATTCCACTAAGAAGATGAAAAGGTAAGCCACAGATCAGGAGAAAATGTTCACAGTACGTGTATCTGACAAACAACTTGTTTCCAGATTATACAGAAAGCTTTTACAACTCCACAATTTAAAAAGCAATTAAAATGGGGCAAAAATGTAATTAACCAGACCATGATAAGATGCTCATCATTATTAGACATCAGGAAAGGAACATTTAAACCACAATTAAATACTACTATATACTCCTTAGAACAACTAACATTTAACACATTGAAAATATCAAATATCAATGTCAAAAACACCTCATATACAAGGTGGTACAACCTCATTTTGGAAAACAGTTCATTGGTTTCTTATAAAGTTAAATATGCATTTACCATATGTCCCTGAAATTTCTTGTAGGTATTTAGCCAAGAGAAATGAAAATATACATCCATAAAAAGATATCACAGGAATATTTGTAGTAGCTTTATTCGTGAGAACCAAAACCTGTAAACAACACAAATGTTTGTTAACAGGTAAGGAAATTGTGGTATGTCCATACAATGAAATACTTAATCATTAAGAAGGAACAAACTGCTGATACTACTGATACATGTAAAGAATAATCTTAGAAACATTATATTGAATGAAAAAGTTCAGACCCCAAAGTGTATATACTGCATGATTTCATTTATATAAAACTCTAGAAAAGATAAACCAAATGTATGATGACAGAAGATGAGTAGTTGACTGGAGCTAGGTTCAAGGAAGGATTGGTGCAAAGGGGCAAAATTCTGGTTTGATCAAAATGCTCCTTATCTTGATTTTGCTGCAGTTTTCCAGGTGTATAAATTTATCAAAACTCATTGAACTGTCCACTTAAAATGTTACATTTTATTGCATGTAAATTATATCTCAGTAAAGTTGACTTAAAAAAAAAAAAAGAAGAATACACTAACTTGCTATTGAGGGCAAACCCTTGCCCTTAAACTCCAGGGTTCTTTATTGTGCTTCTTCTGTCAGGCCTTGGCATGGGGTCCATATAGTATCCTGAACAGCCACTCTTCAAGCACCATTAGGTTCATTAATCATAAGACCCATGGGTAGAATTGCTTGTGTTATGGCCTGAATCAACTACTTTTGTTTTGGACCCTTTATTAGTCTGTTCTCATGCTGCTAGTAAAGACATACCCGAGACCAGGTGATTTATAAAGGGAAGAGTTTTAACTGACTCACAGTTCTACATGGCTGGGGAGGCCTGACAATCCTGGCAGAAGGTGAATGAGGAACAAATTCACGTCTTACATGGCAGCAGGCAAGAGAGCTTGTGCAGGGGAACTCCCATTTATAAAACCATCAGATCTTGTGAGATTTATTCACTACCACAAGAACAGTATGGGGGAAAATGATACCCATGATTCAATTATCTCCACCTGACCTCACCCTTGACACATGGGGATTATTACCATTCAAAATGAGATTTGGGTGGGGACAGAGCCAAACACCCCATTCAAAGATAGTAGCCAGTGCATTAGTCAGCAACAGGGTCAGAGGAATACAGCCTTATGTGGAATACATCCTTATATGTTGCCTTCAAAAATCCAAAGAGGGGCTGGGTGCAGTGGCTCATGCCTGTAATCCTAGCACTTTGGGAGGCTGAGTCGGGTGGATCAGTTGATGTCAGGAGTTTGAGAAAAGCCTGGTCAACATGGCAAAACCCCATCACTACTAAAAATACAAAAATGAGCTGGGCATGGTGGAACATGCCTGTAAGCCCAGCTACTTGGGAGCCTGAGGTAGGAGAACCACCTGAACCTGGGAGGCAGAGGTTGCAGTGAGCCACCAAGATTGCACCACTGCACTCCAGCCTGGGTGACAGAACAAGACTCTGTCTCAAAAAATAAATAAATAAAAAATTTTTAAAAATCCAAAAAGGGTTGGGTATGGTAGCTCATGCCTATAATCCCAGCATTTTGGGAGGCTGGGGTGTGAGAACAGCTTGAGGCCAGGAGTTTGAGACCAGCCTGGGCAACAAAGTGAGGCCCTGTCTCTACTAAAAAAA
This sequence comes from Homo sapiens, assembly GCF_000001405.40. NCBI lineage: Eukaryota > Metazoa > Chordata > Mammalia > Primates > Hominidae > Homo > Homo sapiens. Next base: position 16,116,738 of record NC_000009.12, read on the forward strand.
CAATTTTTTTTAAATAGCCAGTTATGGTAGCTCATGCTTGAATTCCTAGCTATTTAGGAGACAGTGGCAGGATGATTGCTTGAGTGCAGAAGTTTGAGGCAACAGTGAGCTATAATCACACCACTGCACTCCAGCCTCAGTGACAGAGACCCTGTCTCTAAAAAAAGTAAAAATTAAGTCCAAAGAGAGACAATTAATGTATTGCTTGTTTTCATTTGTGGGATATGCATGGTGCAGGAATTTTTCATTTTGGAGGGGATATTCTGATATTATATAGTTATCTGAACTTCTAGAATCATCTCTGAAATCACTGAGTTTCCAATGGATGCATCTCAACCTTCTAACATAAATGTGTTTGACAAGGCATTTAGGGTATGTGCTCCTGCCTGATCACCTGGTCTATTATTAGCATGATATCATATAAATTGTGGTCCAGCATAAAGTTTTGTCGATTAATAAAAAGATCAAAGACCTTATTGCCGTAAGTTATGGTATAAAGCAAAATAATTAATGCAGCTTTGAGACCAGGATGGTGAATATATGCTGTTATTCCTGTCAGGTAAAAGCAACTTTCTTCTAATAGAGAAAATGTATTCACCAGATCAATAGACATATGGCAAACTCACAGAGTAAAGACAGCAGCAGCATCAATTGTAATCATCACCTTACAACCTTAAAATAATACACTATCTTTCTCCAAGATCCATCTGATTTTTTGCAGAGGTCAAATAGATCAGTTAACTAGAGAGATGTAATAGAGATCACTTCCCTTGCAACTTTGAAGTCTTTGTTGCTAAAATAATTGTGTTAGGCTGCCAGGGATGCGATGATGCATTTAGTTCATTACTTTGGTATGGAGGGGATGCCACAGATGCTTCTATTTTACCCATTGTATCATAAAAGCCCTGATTCTTCAAGCCAAAGAGTCAATGTGGTGGTTCTACGAGTCGCTGAGTATACCTATTCAAACTACCTCCTTAAGAACTATGAAAATAACAAAAAGATGTGTTCACAGATTATTCTAGGCCCAAGTGAGACTGAAGTAGCCTCACATTCCAGTTATCAATGGACTCTCCTAAACATCCATTTTAACTTACAGACTGTGGTGATTTTCTGGAACCCTAATGATTAGCATTAGTTTTGAGTCGCTGTCCAATAATCCCTAAAATGTCCAGCTAGTTCTATTTTTCTAGTCCAAAATTATGTGTAAATTGCTGCAGTTTCCTTTGAGGAACTGGAATGAATATTTAGAGTTTTCTAAGTGTGGTCCCTGGACCAGCAGCATCATTATCATCTGGGAAATTCTCAAAAATGAAAATTCTCAGGACCCACCCCAGCCCCTGTTAATCTTAAACTCTGGGAGTGGAACCTAGCAATCTGCATTTTAACAAGTCCATATAGGGATTCTGGGACACACCAGAATTTGAGATCCACTGATTTAAAGTGCATATTCATGGTGGTATGACGGGTTTTTGTTTTCTTTCTCTTTCTCTCTAAGCGTAAGCATCCTCTCTTCATTCAAGGGACTCTGATCTATGAACTGACTCAGATCTGAGAATTGTGAATCTATTACTGTGGTTTGGTTAGACCTCTGTTCACTAAACCTATAGCTCTTAGAATTATGTGATCATGTAGGACCTTAGCTATATGCTCATTGATTTTGCATCTAAGATTCCTGACCAATGAGATACTATATGCTGTATTCCCAAGACTTGGCAAGACCAGGCCCTTTCCTTTAAGAAGCTCAGGCTAGATGGATGAAGCAGATCTTGCTGAGGAATATGCTTCAAGGACAGCCTGGAAGAGCCAGACGCTCTGATTTTAAAAGGAGAGACAAGAAACAGATTTCTGATTGAAGTATGAACAGGCCAGGCAAACTAAGGCCAGAAGTGGAATGACCAGGGCATTTATGGATCAATGTTCTGCCCCTTTTTGAATTTATGGGTGGAGTGCTCCCATCTCAGCCAACCATGCCCAGAGCTGGCATCCGCAGAACAGGAAGAAAGCAGTGGTATTAGGAACTCCCCATGCTTCAGTTTAGGCAATGTTAGCACTGTACCTCCAGCTAACAGATGAGATGGACTCTCTGTGGCTAAGATGAGACCCTCAAGAGAAAATTAAGTGGCCATAGCAGGAAAAGTGGTTTGGTCACTGATATGGTTTGGCTGTGTCCCCACCCAAATCTCACCTTGGATTGTAATAATCCCCACGTGTCAAGGGTGGGACCAGGTGGAGGTAATTGAATCATGGCCTTGATTTCCCCCATGCTGTTCTTGTGATAGCAAGTGAGTGCTCAAAAGATCTGATGGTTTCATAAGGAGCTTCCGCCTTCACTCGGCAGTTATTCTGTCTCTGCCGCCCTATGAAGAGATACCTTCTGCTATGATTGTAAGTTTCCTGAGGCCTCCCCAACTAAGTGGAACTGTGAGTCAATTAAACCTCTTTCCCTTATAAATTACCCAATCTGTTATGTCTTTATTAGCAGTGTGAGAACGGACTAATACAGTCATATACCTTAATGTTGTTAACTATCGTGATGTTTGTTAACTGCCATAAACTTTTCCTCCTGTGATGAGGCAGAAACCTGTTGTAGTGTAACACTGCCCAACTGAAGTTGGTGGACTGCCTGATGCCAGCTGACCATGGCATCCCCATATTGAGGGTCCTGCAAGCAGCACTGATTGGATAGGAGACTGGCCTTGCAAACATTCTTTCCTGATAAGAAACCACAGACCCTAAGCCAGTTCCAGCTGGCTTACAGAGACTAGGTACAAGATGTCTCTGTGCCCTATAGTTCACCTTTTGATGTAAAAGCCAAATTCAACCTCATCTTGATGTTAAAATCCCACCCCAAAGTGAACATGGGATGTATGTCATATATGTGTTAACTCACTGCACGTGCACTAGATTTTCTCCATAATTATTCATAGACATCCCCCAAACCTGATGAATATGCAGGTTAAATCCTGGAAGGCTTAAATGCCTGTTTCCTCTCCTTCTGTGTAGCATGTGCTCACTGTTCCCGGGAGGCTCCATTCCCAATCTGCAGATTGTTACTCTCAAAATAACATTTTTTCCTTTATCCTTCCTCCATACATCTCATGTTCATTTTATTAACAGCAGTAATTATTACCTTGTTTTCTTGTATCTTAAGTGACTTACTGAGGTGAGAGAATCACCCAAATCACCCAAGATATCTTACAAATAAACATCCTGGGATGAGATCCTACCTTAGTGGGGGTTACCCAGGAAATGACTCCATTAGAAAGACTTCCCCGAGGTCACAGGGCAGACAGATGGGATTGTTAGCGGTAGAAGAAGGCATGTGGGAGAGGTGGAGTGAAATAGATCATGTGGTTCACAGAGCGAAGATGAAGGCCTTGGCTTTAGAGAATGGTTTCTGTGGCACCAGAGGCATTCCAGTAGGGTATCCAGAAGTCCCCTGGTGCCAGCAAAGGCTTTTGCTGGGGGAGAAAAGAGAACTGCTCCGAGTTGCTGGGTCCTGGAAGAGCACTGAGAGTGGCCTATTTTTGTTTCATTTCTCTTCTCTCTCTCTCTTTTTTTAAATAATGATCACCAAATTCCTGTCATTCTTTGTATGCAACACCCATTTAACCTAAACGATTCTCCAAGACAAAGAAAACACCATGTCTGGGGAAATATGCCAATAAGAAGTCCATGACCCTCTCTTGCTGGGGCACTGGTATTTTTAAAGCAACAAATGCATGATATCAAATGTCCCATAGGCTCCCTAACTGAGCAGATCCAACAACTGTCTCGGAGAAGGAAGAAACTGGGAAATGCCCCCAAATGACTATGGGATGCCCACAAAAACAGATCATCAAATTCCTATCCCTCATCAGGAAGGCAGGGGGTAGGGCGTGTGCGTAAGAGAGAGGGAGAGAGAGCGAGCCGCTTGTCATGGCTCTGGGAACCCACTGTTGTCCCCTTACAGGCATAGATGATGACTGTTGGACCTTCTGCTCACTCCTAGAAAAACACAAGACCCAACACAGTTTCTTGCCAAGGACACATTCCACCCAGAGGTCTTTGCCTCAAGGCAAAAATGTTGAATATTCTGCCCCCTCCCCAAGGCCTTCTGGCAGATGACAATCCCCCAGTGGCTATGTGAATAACTCGCTCTGTTCCGGGGCTTGGGGGCAGAGCAAGGTCTGTGGTGCCCAGCCCTGGCCAGTAAGGCCGAGGGCTAAGCAGGTGGCACTGAGCCTCTGAGTTCCCCATCACTGCCCCATTGGGCTCCTCTGCGGGCCAGAGCCACAGCCACAGCTGTACGCTGCTTCTGATTGTTTTTCAGCCGCAAGCGAAGCCAAAGGTAGAAGAAAGGGAAATGCAATCTCCAGTGAATGGCAATATTTTGTTTTCTCTAATCCTATTCAGGTGGTGACTGTAGCAAAAAGGAAAAACAGGCCAACATGCAGGATGGATAAAAACCCTGATTATTACCCCAATGAATGCCAGTTGGCTGAATTGAATTCAAGTCCCAGTGATGCATTATTAATGGGCCTCAACTTCGAACCTGAGGTTGAAGATGGGGCTTATGTGAAGTGGGACGGGGTGGCTGTGGGAGGGTCTCTCTCTGGAGAGGGGCTGGGCCAAGGGAGCAGGCAGCCTCCGAGCCTGTCCCAGACCACAGCTGGCTGCATGCTGGGCGCTTCCTCGAGGACCGCCTACTGCACACCTGCGACTCTGCTCCCCTTCTCTCAGGGCCCTGCTCCAGGTGATTTATTCTCCCCTGGAGCCTCCCCAAGGCCGGACTTGGGGAGACGGTGTGCAGAGAGGGTGGGGGGAACCATACTCCATCTTCTCTGTTCTCTAGTGAGGGCCTCCCCAGTGAGGAGAGTGGAAAACACTGTCTTACATCAATAACACGCCTTCTCCTTTGCTCTTTTGAAGAGCTCAGAGCACCTAGCAGACAGGATGTTCTTCACCCTCAGCAACTCCGTGAGGCTGAATCAGGTTTTGATCCCCTCTCCCATTTTTTTTTAATAGATGAGGAAATGACAGCCCCGAGCCATTGATGTCTGTGAGTCAGCTGGCTGCAGCCAGAAGCTGTGTTGTGATAACAGGAAGCAGACAGGGAAGAGCCGCTCTGGTGAGAGTCCTTCATGGAGGCAAAACATCTCTGGGTTAACCCCATGCCCAATCACTGCAGGCACATGAAAGAAATCCTAACCATTTTAGAAGTCCTGGTATATGTAATATCTTGTCTCAGAAGATAGCCAACTAATAGGGTTTTTGTCTGTCTATTTTTACTAGCCAACGGTTTCTCTTCTAAGAGTATGCTACCAGGTCATGTAGAAATATCATCGCAGCTCCACCCAAGCAGTTGCAAAGCAGAGGAGAAATACTGCTTCTTTCAAACTGTAGTCCTGTTGAGCTCAGGAAATGAAGGCAAAACTTCCCTGTCAAATGTCTCTGAGAGATGATTCCCAGATTTTTCTGCCAAATGGATGGAACAAGAAGAGAGGCCCAGACTTCTGAGTCTTAAGTGTTGTCCACGTCCCTAATCTTCTTTTGCCTTTATATTTGTGCAGACTCTTGCTAACCTATCTCATGGCCTCTAGACTTTCTTTTACCACACTATGGAAACAATGATCTTTCAAAAAACCAAAATCTGATCATGATCATGCCATTCCTATACTGAAAACATACAATGTTCTTCAAAATAAAACTTAAATAGCCTTCAAAATAAAAAAATAGCCTTCAAAATAAAACTTAAACTCCTTAGCACAGCATGAAAGGCCCCTGTCTGTTTCACCAGGTGTATGAAAGGCTTATTAATTCATTCATTTGTTTGGACATCAAACTGAAATTTATTGGGTGGCTACTATTTCCCAGCCATTCACCAGGCACTGGGAATATACTGCTTCTGCCGGTGCCTAAAACACGAGCTGACCAAGACTCAATGAAATCTACTTCTAAGAGCTCAGCTCTCTCTCTGCATATAACTACATTCTTGCCTCTTTGACCAGCTAGCTTCACTGGTCCCTGAGTTTTCTTCTTCTTTATCCCTCCTGTGCCTCTCAAATGCCATTCTTGAGTGCCGTGATAAGACATGGTGCAGTAATTGGGTATTTTTGATCTGTTTCTCCACTTGGTCTAAGAGTCTTTTGAGGGCAGGGACTTTGTCTTATGAGCCCTTGGCACAGGGTTCAACTCATGGTAGGTGACTATAGTGGTCATGGTTCCACTGCTGCATTGACTTTGGCCAGTGAGATGTGAGGAAAAGTCTGCTGTGGGCTTCTGGGAGAGAAATATCTTTAAGTGACTGTGCCTTATTTTCTCTAGGGTGTCGTATCTGGAAGTGACACACAGAACTGCAGTAGCCATCTTGCTGTCCAAATGGAACTAGCTTTTGAAAGAAACCAATGATGAGGACAGTGGCGGGGAGAGATGGAGGGAACCTTAGCCTGAGATCATCCTACTTCTAGACTTGAAGTTATGTAAATTACAAATTTCTTATGGCTTAAACCATTCCAAATCAAGGTCTTCCCTTTCCTTCCTCTTCCCTCCTCTTCTTCGCATTCTCCCTTTTCTTTTTCCTTGTTTTCCTTCTTGTCCTCCTCCTTCTTCTTTTCCTTTCTTTATCCTGCTAAAATCTTCCTGATTTGGAGTTTAACACCAATCTTTTGTTGGAATGACTGTGTAGGGCCCAGCAACTGAGTCTGATTAACAGCATCTGGCATTAATGGTGTTCTCTGGCCCACTAAGCTACAGGCTGTTTGAGAAGAGGAAATCTATTTTATCTAAAATCACCCTATTCCTCTCCTCTCCAAAGTGTCTGCCTAATGCCTGCTATGTAGTAAGAAGCTTCATAAAGGTTTGTAGAATTGAGTTGGCCTTCAACTACCTTTTTCCTTTTTCTTAATCACAATTTATGACTTATCTTTGCGCCACGTAAGTCTGCATTTTACTCTGTACTATTGTTTTCACATTGTTTTTCATTGGAAGGCTTGCGCTCCCCAACAGGATGTTAAGGTCCTAGAGAACGGCATCTGAGACTCATCTCGTAGGTCTGTGGTAGCCCACACAGCTCTCAGCATTTGTAGGGTTCATAAGAGGCCTTCCTGATGAACTAAGCCTCTGAAATCTTGGATAGCATTGACTCTGTATCCACTTTCATAATTATGCACTTTATGCTTGTGCTGACCACTACTGCATGTTGGTCTCAGTTCCTTCAAGAAGTTCTCACCTCCTTCTTCTTTATGCTAGACTATGCTAGGCATGGCGTTGGCATTAGTAAAGGCTTTCTGATTCACGGGTGAGAATATTAAACTATTGTTTTCCCACAAATCATATCCCACAAGGCTATTTTGATGAACTTAAACCTCTCAAAGACTGGTGTAGTGGGGATGGAACTAACATGTTTTAGTCTTTTGTGGGATGCAGGGCTGTTTTTGGAAGGGACACCACACACTGATATCCTTGCCAGCCATTAAGATGGCTTTGATGTTATCTGTAGGTAGTTATGGAAAGCTGAGTTTTATTTCTCAGTCAGACATTTCTGTTTTTGAAGCTCCACTTCTTAGGCATATACCTGTGGGTCTCCAAAGGACCATGCACTCACAACTACTGTTTGCTAAAAGGGCCCTTGGCAGCCCGTGTTCTGTCCTTAAGAAGCCCTCTGACAAGCTGTTTGAGTTGCCTGAGTTGCAGGCCTTGCCACATGACTGATATTTAAGAATACAACTCAGCACTTTAAATTATTTACACCAACTCCCAACAAATAACCAACCAGGGAGAGGTAAATATAGGGCCCTAGGCATTCCCATTCCTTCACTGCCACTTTAAACAGAGTTTCTCCTATCTTGGTGATGGATTTTGACCCTGGTTATAACACAGCACCTCCCAGAGACATTTCAAAGCCTTAAAACCAAGAGAAAACAGGGATTAAGAGTCAACAAATCTGTCCTCATTTTTTCCTCATTTTATTTATCAGAGTGGCCTAGCTCCCCTCTCCAAATCCAAAGAACAAGTGTTCTTCGAAGAATGGTTATGCATTCTCTGCCTTGTTTCATTCCACCTGAGTATGAAAGTGGTGGTGGTGATGAACGGAGGGTGAATTACGTGCATGTTTGTGTATCAAGAGCATTCACAATATATAGGAGGGAAGGCCAGAAAGCTGGGCTTTCACATTTAATCTCTTGTGTCAGTGCTCTATGCCCAATCAAAATATCCCAATTTTAGACAACTTTTGACATGTGAGGCAGTCTGCTGCAGGCCCTAGAGGCTGCAGAGATGTGCAAGACATAGTTAGACCCTCCAGGGACACTATGAGACATCAGCAATTTAAAAGAAGAAAAACTTTTTTCAAAATAAAAAATTTTTATTACAAAATTTTTTATTGTAAAATTAATTTGCTGTCATAAAAATTGATATAAAGTAGAAATGTATAGCAAAGGGAGTAAAATTTCTGCATCCCCACCTCTAATCTCATGGACAGGCACTATTAAGAATTTTGCTGTAGCCTTTCAGAATTTTTATGTGTATAGAAACGTGCATTCTTATGGAATTGATGCATATTACGCTGACGGTTCTCTAAGCTGTATCATTACATAGAGCTATATCTTATCCTCGCTTTACCTTCACTGGCTGCATAATATTCCATCGTGTGTGTGACATAATGTCTTGTCTTGGATGGACACTTCAGTTCTCTTTTACTCCTTTAGAAATTGTGTTGCAGTGAACATCCTTGTTCCTTTATTCTTTTGCACTTGTTAAACCAGCTTCTGCTTGGGGAAATCAAGGAAGATTTCAGAGAAAGGGTGGGATGTTTGTAGAGCTGGGGGGCAGGAAACAGCATGAGCAAGAGTAGAAAGAAGAGGGTCTATTCACAGCTCTGTAAGTAGACCGATAAGTTACGTGGTCTTAATTTTCAGTAACTTTTAAAATGAAGGAGTTGGGGTGAAGGGGCAGTTGACAAGGGAACATACATTCAGGTTTACGTCTTTTGAGTTTGTGGTGATGTCATGATACTCACATCTATCTGGGAATGGAGGATATTGGGAGGATGGGAGCCACTGGAGACTGGAAGGCTTTCCTGGAAGCACTGGGAAAGCTAAGACACATGAAGGAGACATTGTGAAACAATGATTCAACAGGGCTTGTACGTCAAGAGAGTCAGTGGAGTAACAGGCAGAGTTTCTTCATCCATAAAATAGGGGCAGTTCCCAAACTCTGGGGGGTGTTATGGACACCATCCAAAATAATGGGTGATCTTTCAATAAGTAGCAGTTACTACTATAACAAAATTTAATTTGGTTTTTGAACTTTTTCGGTAGTTCCCTAAATAATGGTTATCCCAACATGGCTTCAGAGTTGCTAGTTTATGGTATAAAGAGGGTGGATTACAATGACCTTTTCAGATAGCAACTGTGAAGTCACTGAAGAGGGTTGGCTGTGTTTTCTCAGTGATTCAGTGGAAACTTAAGATTTACCTCCAAAGATCTATATCTGGACTAAATACTTCGGGCACTTTCACATCTGTGGTTACTGAGTTAAATTTTCCTTTTATCTAATTCAGTCACCCCCACCCACCAAATTACAGAGACTTGTTTTTGCTTTTCCAGCAGAAAGGATGAAGAGACACACTCCAAATATTTAGTCAGTTTCAGAACTATGTGTTATTCAAAGCACCTTCAAGTACTAGGTTTCTTGAAATAAGAAACTCTATCATCTTACGCTGCTGTGTTCCCTTTGACAGGAGCCTGAACTTTAACCATCCACTTCAAGGGCATAACACACAGCTATTTGCAGGGAAAGAATAACAGCCTGAGAGTCTGGAGAGTGAGATTCTAGGCTCAACTTTTTCTCCATCTGTCTGGGGCCACTTCTCTGGGCCTCAATTTTCTTATCAGTAAAATGAGAGGACTGAACGTAGTAATGTTGTGTTCCTTGTTTGTGGGACATCATGACCTCTGGGTGCAAACTCCTCGAGAGGTTGATGGGTCAATATCATGAGGCCTGTTGTGCAGATTTGAAAATGGAAACCCAAAGAGGTGAAGGACTTGGATAAACCAAATGCGATTCCCGAAGAGTTGAGACCAGAACCCCCATTCATCCTTTTCTGTAGTTAACTCTTACTCCTCCTTAGGGATTTCATTCCAGCATTGCTTCTTCCACATAGCTTCCCCTGACCCTCCCTCCAAGTTAGGCTAGAGGCAATGTCTTGGGACGCCATAGAACTCTATACTTCCTCTCTTAAGATGAAACCAGAATCCATGCCTCCTAGCTGATTGCTAACAGGTAACGCTGTTTTCTGAAAGTTTCCGAGTTCCGTTGGGAAAGGCAGAAGGTCAGGTGTCTGACTTCCTTTAAGTGGACAAACACTTTCCACCACTTGGCAGCCACCACCTCAGGGGGACCACCAATATCTCTTCACCTCTCACCCCCTCTTCATGCTCTTCTTCCAGATACACTAAACATCTTTGAGTTTTCATGGGCCCCACTCCCTCCCACCTCCTGGTCTTTGCATAAACTGGGTTTATTTGGGGGGCTTGGAAATTTTTCCCCCATTAATCCATTTCTGTAGTTAACTCTTACTCCTCCTCAAGGTTCCCATTCCATCACTGCCTCTTCCAGATAGCTTTCCCTCACCCTTCCTCCAAGTTGGGTTAGAGGCAATGTCTCAGGACGCCATGGAGCTCTATACTTCCCAAATCATTGTGATCATAGTATTTACCACCCCACACAGTAAACACCTGTTCACTCATGTCACAGATGAAATGTACTTAATAGCTCCCAAATCACAGTGGCTTAAACAAGAGAAATGTCTAATTTCTTTTATGTAACATCAAGTTTGGAGATAGGCTGTCTAGAGCTTATGATCAACAGGAACTCAGGTTCTTAAAGCTTTTTGTTCCAATATCTTTAGCGTCATCTCGTGGCTGCAATATGGCTGTGGAGTGGAAGCATCACAACCACGAAAGGGGAGGAACAAAAGGAAATAACTCCCAGAGGAGTTAGCCCACTTTAGGAAATTTTTCTGTAAGCTCTACCAAAAGCCGTCTCCTTGCCTGTGTTTAGCTGCTATGCAGTGTTTTAGCACCCTGGAAAACACTAGATGCCCTTGGTAAGATAGAAGGAGAGAGTAGCTGTGGGCAGGAGTAGGGTGGGCAATCAGAAGTCTCCGCCACACCAGCTACTCAATGCGTGGTGGGCAGTCCATGTCAGTCTATAAGCAGATAAACACAGAAACATGGACATTTAGACATTTTGTAACAATTTGACATTGGCATGGCATGGTATCAGTCCAGTGGATAGGAAATGAATCCACAGCAGCTGGGGCTCCACCACACAGAGGCTGAAAAGCCCTGGATGCTGAGGCCTTCTGTCTCTGTCTCCCCCACGAGGGTGCAACCGTCATGAGGGCAGGTAAGCCGCACTCCTCCCTGTTGCACTCACAGATCCTGCCACGTCATGGCAGGAAGAGGGGCTTAACGGGCCTTTGAGGCAGGATGAGCAGGGACCCACTCATCACCACCTGGTTCCAGCTCAGCTCACTTTCTGTGATGGGTTTGTGGTTCTTTCCTCTCCCGTTTCCCTTCATGATCTTTCTTGCTTTCTCTTTCCCTCCTGACAGCATCTCCTTGATCCCTCTTTCTCTCCTACCTCTTGAATGTGATGACTCCCAAGCTTCACCCCAGAGCCCTCTGCTCCTCTCTGCATGCTGTCCCTCAGGGCCTGCCAACTTCAGCACTTTCCCTACTGCAGGAGAAGGACCCCCAGGTCCCCGCAGGGCTGGGCTCCCTCCGACCCCAGTGTTCTCTTGCATGTCTCTCCTCCCCTAAGTCAAGCTGACACCCAGGACAGGAATCAGCCCCTAGCTTGAACAAGAACAGTTCTCCCATTTTTCTGTGACACCCTCCCCGCTTCTCATCATCTTTTGCTAGCTTCCCGGGGCTGCTTTAATAAAATACCACAAACTGAATGCCCTAAGAAAACCAGTTTCTCTCTCGCAGTTCTGGAGGCTAGAAGTGTGGAAGCACGGTGTTGGCAGGGCCCTACGCTCTCTGAAGCCTCTGGGAGAGGTGCCTCTTCCAGCTTCTGGGGCCCTGACCATCCTTGGCTTGAGGCAGGAATCTCCAGTGTCCCTTTCCATCTTCACAGGGCTTCCCCTCCCCAGTGTCTCTGTGTCTTCACTTGGCTATTGTCTCCTCTGTGTCTCTCTCTTCTAAAAAAGCCCCCTGTTGTATTGGATGAGGGACCCACCTTACTCTCGTGTGACCTCACCTAAACTAATTATATCAACAAAGTCCCCATTCCCTAGCAACACATCTGAGGTCCTGGGGAACACACGTGAATGCATAACTTTTCTCTTCCTCTTCCTTTTCATAATTCTTACTCACTGGAAATGTCCATTGAGGTCTCCAAGATGCAGACTCTGAGGCAGAGTTCAAGATGTTATTAGGGAGGGCTTTGGGGATCAACCCCTCCGGAAGGGTGGGCCAGGGACAGGACTGGGCAGAGGGAGAAGTGGGGCATTGAACCAGGGCAAGGCCAGCCTGCTGGCACTAAAAGGGCCCTTCAGCCCGCCGTAACTTGGGCCCAAATGGTCATGTCTTCTGTGATGAACTGAACTGGTTTGAGGGATTTTTAATGCTAAAACTAGAAGCATCTCAGGCCGAGGGAATGGTTGTCACCTTTACACTTCTGCATCAGTCAGTCACAGAGGGTGGATAGAGGCTCCGTATTCAATAGCCATAACAGCAGATATAATCAGAGCACTTCCTTCCTAACAGTGAAGACAGAACACACCTGAAAACAGATTTAATAGCCTCTAGTGGCTTTCCATCCGAAAAATTTGAAGAGGAAATTGACAAAATATTCATCCTCAGGGTCCTCTCTCAAAAGCCCTTGTTGTGTGAAGGCCACATCTGCCTGAGCAGCTCCACATGCCAGCCTCCACCATCAGACCCAGCTCTGAGAACACTGGCTGCAGGTAGCCAAAGAGGGGCCCTCTGTTTTCCCTCTTCCCCTTTGCTCACAGGAGTGCCCTGTGGAACCCACATCCCCTTTCCCCCAACTACTCAGACTGGCTCTGACTCAAGGCCCATACCCTGTTGAGACTATGTGGAACCCCACTAGCTTTGGGGGATTGATCTCCCTCGGGGCATGCCAGGTCCCCTACCCTTACACCAGGCCAAGAGGGCCCCTGCTGGGGCTATGGGATGATGGCCATGGTTCTGTTTGTCAGACCACAGTGTTTTTCATAAAAGAGGAAGGAGGAGTGCTGCGTGAGAAACTCCCTCCTTCAAGGCTACACTTTTGGTCACTTGGGCGATTGCCCTTCCCGAATTGAATACACCAACTGTGAGCTCACTCCCCAGGCCTGGTCAGAACTGACCAGGTCTTCTCAGCCTGCTTTGCAATCAATGGCTCCAGAAAAGGCAGCTTGATTTGCTGAAGTCACAGATCAATGAGACCAGATTTGCATATGAGCTTAGTATATAAATCCTGGGTGAAGTCATCATTTGTCTTCCCTGCTATCTCCTGATTTCCCTCCCTCTCTTGTTCCTCTGCTGCCTCTCCTTTCTGCTCTTTTGTCCTTGTCTTCACTGACAATGTCCTTTCTTTAGAGACTCCTCCTTTCCCCAAGCCCCTAAGCCCCCCTGAGGAATGCACCCCCCTGTACCCCAGATAAATACCCCCATGGTAATTATCTGCTAATTTGCCTCTCTCCCATCACCCCCAGAATTCTGTGAGCAACTCGTATGCAGAGATGGTGTTTCCCCCATGGTCCCCACTCCGAGACAGAGGGCCTGCCGCGTGGCAGGTGCTCAGCATAGTGTCTTAACCATGTCTTTGACACCCTCCTCTGCTCCTCCTTCTTCCATCTCTCCTCTTCTTTCTCCTCTTCTCCTCTCTTTTCACTTACCTTTCTTAAGGGATAGACCTCTAAAGGTGCTAGGGAAAGGAGGAGCTAGCGTGTAGCTCCACAGTTGTGATTCTCATATCCCAGATGCCAAGGAACCACCCTGAGGAATTAGGAATTGTTTTCTTCCATGACAGTGTCACCTGTTACAGTTGTTCCCCAATGTACTCCCTACCCTCAGAAGACCTTAAGAACATGAAAACCATGCATGCCCTTCTCTTAGTTGAAGGCTTTGGGAGCCTCACTTGGAGGCAGAGGCACCATTTGACCAAAATAGTATTGGCGGAAGCCTGGAGAACACGGCTGTCGTAGGTCTTGCCAGGGGATGGTGCCCATAGGCTTCCTCTATACTTATTTTCTATCTTGACCAAAAGTTTGTAATGCTTGCACTGTTTCAAAATAGATTGAATTTTTGGTTTTATTTTTGGCAGTTCTATCATGTTTCCAACTGTTCTGATGTTCTTTTACTTCTTCTGGGATATTGAAAAAAATAACACTGGCGTGTTTTGGGGGCCCTTCCTCAATGTTACACATAGAGATGGATAATCTTTTCAAATAAAAATTGGCATGGATTGCTACCAAGACAACCTCCTACATGATTAGAGACCAGAAAGAAGCCTCAGGGGCCATCTAGTATGCGGCAGGTTGACATCAGAGGCCCTGGGGTTTTGTCGTTGCTGCCTGTAAGCATGGTAGCTGCTGACATTCTCACAGAATGGCACAGTGCAGCTCCACATCGAATCTTACTTGAGTCTTATGTCGGCTCTCATGAGGTCAGTTGGTGTAATCACATCCCTGGTAGATGAGTGAATGGAGGCTCCCAGGCGTTCTGTAACTCGCCTGCAATTCCATAGCACCACCTACAGTGCAAACCCAAACCTTCTACTGCTAAATTCCTTGCTCTTCCCATTGTGGCACAATGTCCAGGAATGAGCAACTTTCTAGAATGATTGGCATTAGAGGGAGGTGCTTGACCAGACTCACCTGTCACCCTCCTGATGGATGCCACTGACCTAGTTGACAGTGTGGAAAACATTCCCTGATGAAGCCCACTTTTCCTGGGGAAGAAAACCTGTACTTTGGTCAAGTATATGCAAACAGCTGAGCCTCCCTTCTCCAGCTTCCAAAAACAGCTACCAGATCCCATAAACAGGCCTGCCTTTACATGGTTCAAGACTCTCTTCTGCCTGTGCAGTTTCTTTTCCACCAGGCCTCTCAGTACTGGCCTTCCTTCTGCCTCCTGCCCTCTGACCATAGCAAAGCCTATTAATATATGTTGTCTTCATCAAAAATATCGTGCAGTTACTCTCCTGTTCCAACCTCTGCTGAAAAAGAATCTGGTTAATTAACATTGATTACAATCCACCAACTGCAAGTAAAAATCGATTGCTGCCGTCCCTAATTTGAATGCTCTTCTCTCTCCTTATCTCTTGTGAGAAAGAAGGGACAGAGTGTGAGTAAGAGAAGCGGGGAGAGGAGAGAGGATTTTTTTAAGCAGTCCAATTTCCAGGGTCCCTGGTGAGGGACATTAGTGATGTGCTGGTCCTTAGATCTTGCCCACACTCCTTCAGCGTGGCCATTTTTCAGTGTGACGTCTAATTGCTGCAAATAGTCATTGTGCACATTTGGGCCTTGTTCATAGCTCCCTTCTTTATTGAGAGAGGAGCGATGGTATTGATTCCGGACGGCTAGGGAGAATGCCAGAGAATATTAGTAAGGAGCACAGAGAACACAGTACATAAACTTTTATGACACAATGTCAAGCTGGATTGTGAAGACATAAATGAAAAGGACAACACGGTCTGTAATTACCACAAGCCCACATCTTCCATCTGCTGGGGAAGGCAGCCCAAGCTGGCCAGAGCAAATCACAAAGAGGGATGGATGGTCCAGCTCACAGGAACGGTGGCCCGTAGTTGTTGCTCCTCATTGTTGAGAAAGAATATATGGGGCATAAAAAAGCACTTGTCGTGGGTCACAGGGCAGGCCTGAGAAAAGTGCGTGGATTCTAAAGTCAGCTTGGCCGTTTACTGCTAGCCATGTGGCACTGGGCCGATCACTTAACCTCTCTGAGTCACAATTCCTTTTCTGCTAAAACAGAGATAATAATAACTACTTTGCAGGGATGATGTAAGGATTAAATGAGATGGTGCAAGCAAAACCCTTTGGCACCTAGAAAATAACTGGCTCTTAGCAGACAGCAGATATTATCATCATTATAACTTTTTTTATTCCATCAATATTTATGGAGTGTTTGCTATGTGCTAGTGCTGTGCTAAGTGCTGGGGATAGAGTGGTGCCCCAGCCTCATGGATCTCACAGCTCTGTGGATGAAATAGACATTAATCAATTATTTACCCAAATCATTGTGAAAATGCTTCTGTAGAAGGCACTGGTAAGGAAGGACACCACACTATAGAAGTGGCTTTTCCAGGAATTTTTGTTGTTCCTGCTTTTTCAGTAGTCACATGTGCTTATTATCTGTCTCTCCCTCTATAGCATAAATTCCATGAGGACAGGGACTCAGTCTGTTTGGTTATTGCTCTATTTCTAGTTCCTGCAATAGTGAATGACAGGTGGTAGGCACTCAGTAAATATTTACTAAATGAATAGCTGTAGACTTAGGGCACAGAGGAAGAATTTGCACCTGCTTCTTCAGAGCTGATAGTCAAATGGGGTGCAGAAGAAAGACATAGCATGTAAGACTCCATGGGATCAGTAGCAGGGTTAGGTACAAAATCAGTTAAACTTAATACTGTGAAAACTGTGCCTAGACACTGGCATCATGGGGTGGATGTACAGTTGGCATCTTGTATCAAGTAGTGACAGGAAATAGAAAGACAAGGGAACTGGTCATCCATCTCTGAATTGAGCTTCTTTGGCTCACACAATGTGAGTGTGTTTGTCAGGGTAGGCTAACTGGTTAACAAGCAATGCCACCGGAGGGACTCCTCTCCATGCGGTCTTCAGGGCTCAGGCCCTGCCTGTCGGGTCTGGGGTCCTTTGCTGGAGCCCCCACAGGCAGCTGGCAGGTGAGGGAAGAGAGACCTAGGATAACTCAAATGAGGCCACTTCACCCACTCCTTCCTATGTCAGTCTGGAAATAGCCAAGTCATGGCTCATGTTGCATTGGCAAGAACAAGTCACATGGCCTCACCTAGGTGCCAGAGAGCTGGGACGTGTGTGCCCAAGTAGTGTGTTCAAGAGGAGGAGTTGGTGGGCGATCCATGTCCCTGCCACAGTGGATTCAATAAACACATACGGAGACTCCAGCGCGTGCCAAGCACCGGGATCCCAGCTGACCCGAGCTCAGAGCCCTCCAAGAGAGCGCCATCTAGTGGAGAAAACACATAACATAAATAACTGTGATAAGCCTTGCAGGAGGAAGGACCGCAGGCACTAAGTGAGCACGGAAGAGGGAGGAGTAAATTCCGCACAGATTACGGGGCAGGTTCACCGGGCTCAGTCAGCCTGAAAAGGACTTTAATACTCTAACCGCTGGTGTGCTGGAGATGCCTAACTGTACACCAGAGATGTGTGTTTCCTTTGCGATAGTATACACATGTCATTGGTAAGCAGCTGTCTAGCATGGCGCTCAAATTCACAGCCTTCTTTCACCTGGGTAAGGCCTGAGACGAGTTCTCAGTGGAATGTTAGCCGAAGGGATGATGATTACCTCTGGGCCATCCATAAAGAAAAAGGTGTTCCTTCTTCATCCTCTCATTCCTCTTTCATGACTAAATGCTGATGCCCGAGTTGCTTGGTGAGCTTTATTTGGGGAAGGAAGAGCTGCCACCCTAGTCTCTAAATGACCATGTGGAGCAAATTTACCCCAGAAACATCCTGCTGACATAGAACTACCTCGGACACCATGTGAGTGAGAAGGTGTGTCATTGGGTTTGAGGCATTATGCATGTTGGGTGTATTTGTTACAGATATTAGGTGGCTTAATAGAGGTGACTCAAGGGAGAAGAGCCAGGCAGTAGCCATAGGGCTTTCCAGGTTTAGTAAACAATGAAAACAAAGACTCAGAGGCAAGAAGATACAGAGTCTATTCAATCTCCTACATTGTTGGTGGGGGGTATAAACGGCACAACCGCTTTGGAAAACAGTTTAACAGTTTCTTACAAAGTCAAACATGTGCCTATCCTACATTCCAGTAATTCCACTCCTAGGTATTTACCTAAAAAAATGAAAAACATACATCCACAGATAGATTTGTGCTAGACATGTTCATTGCAACTTTATGAATGATAGCCGAAACTTGCAAACAGTCCAATTATTACAATGGATGAACGAATATAAACATTGTGCCATATTCATATCATGGAATACTATTCAGCAATGAAAAAGAATGGATTACTACATGTAACAAGATATATAAATATCAAAATTATTATGTTTTATGAAAGGAGTCAGACACAAAAGAGTATATGCTCTGCTTTCTTTCTATAAAGTTCCAGGCAGGCAAAGCAGCCTATGGTGATGGAAACCAGGATAGTGGTTGCTTATAGGGGAGAAGACCGACTTGGGGGAGACATAAGATGCTTTCTGAGATATGGAAATATTGAGGGGGTGATATATGCATGTATCAAAACTCATCAAATTGTATATTTAAGATCTGTACATTTCGGCTGGGTGCAGTGGCTCACGCCAGTAATCCCAGCACTTTGGGAGGCCGAGGCGGGCGGATCACCTGAGGTCGGGAGTTCGAGACCAGCCTGACCAGCATGGCAAAACCCTGTCTCTACTAAAATTACAAAATTAGCCAGATGTGGTGGTGCATGCCTGTAATCCCAGCTACTTGGGAGGCTGAGGCAGGAGAATCGCTTGAACTCAGGAGGCGGAGGTTGTGGTGAGCCAAGATTGTGCCATTGCACTCCAGCCTGGGCAACAAGAGCAAAACTCCGTCTCAAAAAAAAAAATCTATGCATTTCACTGTATGTAAAGTTTTCTTTAATGGAAACTAAACAAAAAATGTGTTCAGGAAAATGAATAGCTAATTTTTACTAGAGCATGAGATTCTAGACTGGGGAATAGGTGCAGGGTGCAGTAGGATGTGAGACTGATGTAGAGTTCAGGGCATTTAATGCCAAAAGAGTTGTGATTCTATTACCTAAACCATGGGGAACCATCTAAGACATTTGAGAAGGGGAGAAGCAAGCTCATGTGCAAGTTTTTGGAATGTAAATGGTGTCAGTATGGAGGAGGGAAAAAAGGAAGATGACAAGTTTTGTTAGGGGCAGGGGTCCCTATAAGTTGTACATGGACTGGAATTTCCTGACCCATGTATGCAAAGGCCAGCCCAGGGAGACTGCTGGGGATCTAGTGGCTGTGTTTGCCAAAGGTTGAATGATAGAACAAATAGTTTCTTTCACACAAAGAATATTTTAATCCCTGTGACTCTATAGTAGGATCAGTCCATGTGTTATTATTGGAAATGATTTCTATTATTAGTTACTATTACTACTCTTGGACTGCAGAATGCCAAGGCTTGGGAGGAGCTGGGCTGAGCCCAGAGAAAGAAATGGTCTGTGAAGTTTGCATTTTCCAGAGCTCAGCACACAGGCATTCAGCCTTGCAGCTACTTATTTTATGTTCATCCACTCACACCTTGGGCAGTGTTCTTCAGTGTGTGTGAGAAGCTCCACAGCTTTGGACAGTGGTGACTGGGTGGGGGCCGTGCCCATAGGGGCCTGCTTCTCTGGAAAGCAATGATGGTGGAACCACAGGGCACAGGCTCAAAGGGTGTGTGGTTATTCAGGCCCACTACTGAGTAGCCAGGTGTGTTTCTCAAATATTCTGGGAGAGACAGTGGCAGGAATGCCTCCTTGCCCTCATGATTTGGCATGTAGATTAACCTCACTGACTTCTTCAGGCTTCAGAAAAGATGTAAGAACTACCAAAGCAGCTCAGAAAACTCTTGTGTATTAAGGAAACATCGTGGACATTCTCCGAGTGCTGCTCTACGCTGGCACTGGACACAGAATCGGGTGGGACGGACGGGGCCCCTTCGCCCCTCCTGTTTCATGTGCATCAGCCAGCAACATTTCCACGTCGGGTATTTTCCAAGACGGTCCTGAGTCTCTGTATTTTTTTCCTTTTCAGCAAAGATGATTCATTAAATGTCAAACCAAATATGACCTTATTTTAGTACCTTTGTCAGACTTAAAAAAAAATACCTAGAGATCAGAACAACAAATCCTTTGTCAGTTTCTGAAGTAGGGTCTCATGAGTAGCAGTAATTGTAGTGGTATGTACATAGCAGGTGGTCAGTAAGTGCTTAAAAGACGCCTAACCTGAGCCACACGGGACCTTCTGGAAGTTGAAGCCAGGCAGCTGCTTCCCAGGGTCTTGTCATCCTGGCTGTGACACCCTAGGAGCTCCCCTCCAACCTCATCTGTGGGTGTTATGCAATTTCATGGTGCTAAGCTCCTACTGAATTGTTGCAATGTTTGCAATCCCACGGTGCCCGAGTCTCTCAGTGGCTGTAGGGGGCCCTCATTTAGTCCACCAGCTGTCCTGAATGCGCAATACTCATCAGGTTAAGAGTTCTTCAGAGGATCCTTGCCCTGCCCTGAACAGCAGTGGCTTGGACATGATGAATCAATCTTCTTGGAAGCTGCAGATGGTCAGACTTCTTTCCAGACTTCCCTGGAGGTGGAGCCGATTACCAAAGATAACTGGCTTTCTCTGGCAGGGAGACCTGTTTCCCACTATGGGCAAATCTGTGGGCCTCAGAACTCTTGCACACATGGGCCTTTGTCATGAAGAGGCAGCAAAGCAGAGTAAAAAACTTTTGAGGCAGGCAGGCCTAGGTTTGAATCCAGGCTCTGCCATTTACTAGCAATGGTGCCTAATCCATTAACCTCCAAGCCTCGGTTTCCTCATAAATAAATGGAGACAGTAATGATAACCACTTGTATTAGGATAAATATTGCTAGGTACCATAACCAGCAAACTTAAATTTCATATTCTTGCCATGAGAAGATTCTCATCCCTGCGAAGTCTAATGTGAATGCTTTTGATCAGCAGCTCTCTTCGTGTCTCCTCTAAGGGAAATAGTTCTGAGGTCAGGACTCCTTCCTTTGTGTGTATCTCCCACCTTCTAGTGCCTGGGAGTCTATGTTTCCAGCCCTGGAAGAGGCAAGGAAGATGGGGGGTTGAGGTGTGGAGAGAGAGGGACAGAAAACACAAGCATTCTTGAAAAGATGGTCAAGAACAAAAGCTGTCAGGATCTCTGCTCGCAAGCTGTGCTGAAACACAAGAGATTAATGAAGAATTGTCTCCTAATTCTTGGTAGCTGAAATTGGCCATGATGGGAATATTTACACCACAAAAATTGGCAAGTGCTACAAATCAGGGCTTTTCCCCATAGAGAGCTGGTTGTTAAACATTTCCAAGAATGTCATTGGTCCCCTCCGGCTCTGAGTTGTATGGGCATCTCTGGGTTTGAGCTCTCTCCTCAAACCCCTTGTGTCAAATGACATTTGAGAAGGAGGTGATCCTGTTTCGAAGCTCTTTCATGAAGTAGTCTCTATGGAAATTGTCATAGAACAGTGTCCTTTGCCAGGATTCAAATTCAGTTCTGCCAGCCTCTAGAGGCTGGGTATTTTTCACTAAGTCATGCTTTGTTTCAGTGACAAAGTCTAGAGCTTTGCCCATATCATAGAAACATGACATCCCACATTCTCAACATGGGAAGTAACATTTGGAAGGTCAGAGGCTCTCTCCACTTGCTCTCCCTAATCCTGCCTCAAGTCTTTGTCCATTCTTGACCTTTTCTCATGCTGCTAGAACTGAGAGATTTTGTGGAGCTGAGAAGGCTTGACTAAAAGGGGATCTCCCTTACAGCAGCCCCAGAACAGAAGAGTTGTCTTCTAAAATTGATTCTTAGTCATGCACAGCATGCGCCCATGCACATGCCCTGTTTCCTAATATTAACATTTCCTACTTTTGCCATTTTCTTTTCTGAGACCCCTGGGAACCATTAACAGGGTTTTCCTGCTACCCAGGATTTGCAGGAGAAGGCAGATGGGCCCAGAGCGGCCCAAGTGACGTCTGGAAGCATGTGATAGAATTTGCTACTGGAACTCCAGCTTTTCTTACCTGTGGCGAATATTCGTCATCATTTCCCAAAATAGCACAGACAGAACAAAGACTTCTCTGGGTCTCCAGGCTAGCCTTGGCCCGGGTCTGTGTGCACTGGAGGACTGGGCTGGGCAGAGGGCTTAAGGTTAGCTTCACTCCTCGTTGCAGTGGAAGAAAGGCAGGGTTCAGTGCATTTTTGCTTGTTTTTACAAACTCAGTGGGACCACCTCAGCACCCCGCCCTCCCCCAGTTTTCACTCAGACCTTCCCCAGACTCTGGAACACAGCCGCACACAGCCACAAGCTCCAGGCAGCAGTGGATGAATGGCAAAACCTGAAATGATGTCAACTGCTTGCGCCGAAGCCAAGGAAAATATGCGGGGGCCCTTGGTGGCTTCATCCCGGTGCTTGTTGCAATGCAGCTGCGAGTCATAAGTTTTCCTTCCGAGCAGACAGAGTACCACACATCTGAATTGGATTCTGAACCTAGCATACACTTTCTGACCTCTTGCAGCCTCCCCCTGCTCCCCAGCCTCCTTGAAGAACTCAAGTTCTTTAGGATAAAGTCAGAGACAAATGTGGGGAAGAATGTGGGGTGGCTAGAGCTGGTGGTATGTTGTAAGTGTTTGGGGGAAGAGCTTAAAGTCCACAAGGCGTGGCAGTAGGGATGGGGAGGAAATATGACCAGGCAGGGCAGGGGACAGGAGTGTAAAAGATCGAATTCCATCACCAAAGTGACTCCAAGAGTTGAGACAGCTGTTTTGATAACTCAGGACCTTAAGCCAATTCTCTGCTGATTTATAGAGGTTTTTACATTTTGTTTTGTGTTTTGAAGAGGCAGAGGCTTGAGTTGCCTAAAATCATTGTTCCAATCTTCCAATTGATTCTAACCATGTAGAATCAAGCCAGAGGGTTTCTGAAAACTTCTAGCCATGGAGACACAGGACAGAGCTGGAGGCCTCTGAGGGCCCAGAGCATCCTTCAGGCTGCTTGATGGTGGAACCATCTCCATGGTCAGTAATTCTGCTTTTGAATCAGAATCACACAGATGCAGCCCTAGGGGAATATTGTAAGTACCCAAGCAGTGCATTTTATGGATCAAATGACAAGTTGGTGGAAGCCTTATTATTTTTCAGAGTCCAGCAAGGCCTTGGAGCCTGGGAGAGGGAGCGGTTAAGCATAACTCCCTGGTTGCCTCCTGCTCCTCGTGCTCCTCCTCCTGTTCCTCCGCCTCCTCCCCGTCCTCCCCCTCCCAGCTGTCTCTTTCTCCCTTGACCCTCTGTAAATTGCTCCAGCCAAGTGAAGTTTGGAGAAAGTAGGGTGTGACAACATGATGGGATGCAGGGCCTCTCCTCCTCCACACTGACTGCTGGGGCTGGGCTGGACACAACCAGCCATCTCCAGAACAATGCCTCTCCCTCTCTTGCTCCAGCCTTGCCATCGCTGATGCACAGCTTTCATTTTATGATTGTTTTTATACAGCAAACACTTTAGGGGGCAAAAACACCCCCATGGCTGCCAGCCATACCACCTTGCGATTGCAGTAGCAAAGTAGGACTCTGCCTGATTGGTGGGTGCTACAGAGTCCCCCTGGGGTCCTACGTGCTCTGAGTCAGCGGGCCCGGTGGCTCGTGTCCTGGCATCCTCTCTTCTGAGTCTCTTGCCTCTGTGAGAAGCAGACGGGGCTTCAAGTCTCCCCAGGAAGGTATAAAGATGAGCCACAAAGTCAAAAGACCCAGTCCATATTTGAACCTCGAACACCCATTCTCTTACACCAAGAATAAAATTAAAATAGCTTAATAGCTACCAGTTTCCAAGAACACAGAGAGTGCTCCCAGGCTTTAGCTGTCATCATTATTATTAATGTACCACTAGGCACTGTCTTCGTGCTTTCCATATGTTTTCTCGAATCCTTACACTAACCAAGCAAGAAAGGTACTTTTATCCTATCTTAAAGATTTGTCTCAGAGAAGTTAAGGAACTTGCCCAAGGTCACAGAGCTAGGCAGTGTTTGAGGCTGCCTGACTCCAAAGTCTAAGCTCTTTGTAGGAAAACCCACAGCCTCCTAATACTTTTCCTCTGTCTCCTTTTTTCTGCCTCTTTGGACTCTACAGGGACTGACCACAAGTAGGGCTAGATCCTCAGGCTCCACTGGGTCCTTGGCTTCCTCTTGGAGAGGAACTGCTTCTTTGCTTCTCTTTCCCCTCAGCCTGTGCACTGGCCTCTGGGACTCTTAAAAGAACCCCTGGCATGTTTCCGAGTGGCAGTGCTGTGAAGAAGGATGGTCTTTGCAGAAAATGCCCTTTCCGATGCTCCTCATGGAGCTGGTGAGAATAGCACTGAGGAGTGGGAATGGTTTGAAGCTCAGAGTGTTGCCTCCTGGGAGCAGCCTTCTCCGCAGAATGCATCTCCAAGGCCTCCCCATCTACACTGGGTGGTAGGATCCATATGACTCCAGGAGGCTTGGCAGGCCAAGCTCTCACAGCTGTGGGGGCAAGGGGAGATGGCCAGGAAGGAGGAAGAGGCCATGGAGTCCATCCAGGACCCCGAAGCCACAGCTACTGGAGCCAACCTGGACTTCCAGGTTGGGTGATCCACTGAGAAGCAGAGCGAGAGAGAGACAGAGGGAAAACTCTGTGACTCCAAGATCTGTGGGAAGAAAGCAGATGCCCTCACCTGCAGTAGGCCCTCAACCCCAGCATTCTCTTCTCTATGATGTGGGCTTCAGGTGTGTGTGTGTGTGTGTGTGTGTGTGTGTGTGTGTGTGTGTGTGTACGCATGCACGCGTGTGCTGTTACTGCTCCCAGGACTCAAATCTTCCATGCCTGGAATGTGGAGCCAGGTGTCTAAGATAGAATCCATGACGTTGTCTGGTGGGAGCTAGACAGGGCATCTCCAAAGATCCAGAGTAGAATAAAGGGACGATTGCAGGCATGCATGAATGAATGAAGAGATGAGCTAGGAGATCTAGTTGGTCTACTCTGGTCTCCTCTCTCCTTTCCACAGGCTACCTACATAGCCCTGTCTTGTACTTTCTAATTGAACAAAAATTGGATCCACCTATGAACAACCCTCAGATACTGTATCCAGGGTCATTGCCGACGTGAATGCCAGTCCCATGGCCTATTCTAGGTAGTCTGTGGGGAACACTAGGCTGGAGACAGGAGGCCCATATGTGAATGCCAATTTGGCCCCCAGTAATCTGTGTGACCTTTGTTAGGCCTCTTTGCTTCCTTGGGAATTAGCCACTGGCTCTGTCAAAGGAGGGTGGTCCTGGTAGAAGGACTATTGTAAAAATAAATCAATAAAAGAAAACAAGTGTTGGCAAGGGTGCGGATTAAAGGGAACACTTGCACACTGTTGGTGGGACTATAAACTAGTACAGCTATTGTGGAAACAGTATGGAGTTTCCTCAAAAAACTACATATAGAACTCTCCTATGATCCAGGAATCTCACTGCTTTGTAGCCGAAGGGTATGAAATCAGTATGTCAAAGAGATGTCTGCACTTCCATGTTCACTGCAGCACTGTTCACACCAGCCAAGACATGGAATCGGCCTAAGTGTCCATCAACAGAGGGGTGAATAAAGACAATGTGATTTATATAATGGAATACTATTCAGCCTTAAAAAGGAAATTGTGTCATGTATGACACAGATGAACCTAGAGGACATTATGTTAAGTGGAATAAGCCAGGCACAGAAAAACAAATACCATATTATCTCACTTATACGTGGAATCTAAAAAATTCAAACTCACAGAAGGAGAGAGTAGAATGGTGGTTAACAGAGGCTGAGGGGAGGGGGCATTGGGGAGGTGTTAGTCAAAGGGCACAGCATTTCAGTTAGATAGGAAGAATAAATTCAAGAGATCTCATGTACATCCTGGTGGCTATAGTTTATAACAATATATTGTATACTTGAAAATTGCTAAGAGGGTAGATTTTAAGTGTTCTCATCACAGAAAATGACAAATTTGTGAGGCATGCATATGTTAATTCGCTTGATTGAGCTATTTCACAATTATATACATCAAAACATCATGTTGTACGCCATAAATATGTATACTTCTATGTCAATTTAAAAAACTTTTAAAGAGGGTGTGGCCTAGGTGATCTGCTGGAGCCCATCAAAATATGGTGGTCTGTAAGTGGCCTTTGCAGGTGCCCACGGCCATCACACACTTGGCCTTCGGTGCAGAAGCCACAGTCACTGAAAGCCACAGACTCCTCAGAAGCTGTAGTTGAATTATCAAGTATCTGCCGCTCAGACCTTAAATCTTCCAGCTCATGGCAGGGTGACTTCCAGTCCTGTGGGCAGCCCTGTCCTCAGAGCCATAACCAGAGAGGGAGGGAAGAGGGATGGAAGTTCAGGATGAGGAACCCCCAGTGCTGGAGGTGAATTACGGGACAGACAGAGGCAAGGAAAGCCAGGGCAGGCAGGGAGGGAGGAGGAAAATGCAGCTTTCTTGGGCTAGGGACCAACCAAGGACAAGAGGCTTTTTAGTGCTGCGGGGTCCCCCTCTCTCCCACTCTCTGACTCCTGTGATAGTGACCCCGGGAGGCAAGGGCGAGAAGGGGAGCTGGAGTCTCTGATCTCTGTCAGTGGCTCCATCCTGAGCTGATGATTCCAATGATTTAGTGATGATAACAGTCAAAGAAACTCCCGAGGTAAGGCACAGCTTACCAAACAGCCTCGCTGGGAGTTTAGGTCAGGGAAGGAAACAGGGTCTGAAAGAAGAAAGGCCAGGAGAAAACCTCTGCAGGCCAGGCTGCGGCGAGGGAGAGGGGAAGCCAGTATCCACCCACCAGCACACAGACCGTGAATCATCTCCCTGGTGAGGGCCCAGGAGCTGCAAGGATGGCAGGGGAGAGAGGCCTAGACGGCTGGGGGCCTACAGGTCAGTCTTTTGCCCCCAGAATAGCAGGTTTCAGGCAGGCTCCACTCCCAGAGCTGGTACTACCGAAATTGCATGCTGCAGGGTGAGGAGCAGGTCTCCTGTCCTCCCTAATCCCCAGTCTCCTAATAATGTTCCTGCAGGCATCTGCAATTTCATCCAGGTATGGAAGGCTTTATTATTTAGGGAATTATTCATACTTTTATTGTGCACATACTGTGTCAGGAATCGTGATCAGTATTTTGTATATACCGTATTAGTTCTCCAGAGAAACAGAAGCAATAGGGGTATGTATACATATATATATATATAATAAATGATAGAGAGGTAGGGAGAGAAAGAGACATTTATTTTAGGGAATTGGCTCATACAATTGTGGCAGCTGGCAAGTGCAAAATCTGCAGGGCAGGCCAGGGGGCTGGAGACACAGGGAAGAGTCGATGTTGGAGTCTTGAGTCTGGAGGCAGAATTCCTTCCTCTTCAGGGGACCTCAGTGTTTTCTCTTAAGGCCTTCAACTGATTGGATGAGGCCCACCCACACTCTGCTTTTCTGAAAGTCCACTGCTTAAAAAATCCGTCAATCTCAAACAGACCTTCACAGCAACATCTAGGCTGGTGTTTGTCCAAACAACTGGGTGCCATAACCTAGCCAGGCTGATGCATAAAAGTAGCCAGTGCACATACTTTACCTCTCTTAATTCTCACAGCAACCACGTGAAGTAGGCACTACTATAATCCCCATTTTCAGGCTAGAGAACTGAGACTAATGAGGGCTGACAAGTTGCCAAAAATAACACAGCAAGTAGGTGGTAGAGCCAGGACTCAGATTGAGGATTGTTTAATACTGAAGACCACCCTCAGCCAACGCACCGCACACCTTCCTTGGCTTTAGTCCCAGAGACCCTGTTTGAAAACACATACACTTGGGCAGAATCGCACACTAAATAAGTAGTGAATTTCGAATGTTTTGAGAGTATCTCTGATGAGTCAGAAGTGCGCTAGTGAAACAGTCTGGCCAATCATCTTTTGCCCCCTGGGTCAGCACTTTTCAGCGCTTCTCATCTGGAGCGCCCTCATCTCACTGGCATGAATGGGCACGCCTGGCATTTGGGGCGATACACAGCACGCTTGTGGTTTCTTTGTTCTTTCATATTACATGCCACAAACACTTTCCTGCTCAGATCATAGCCTCTCTGAGACCCTGCCCAGAAGTTCATTTACTCAGGAATCCCCAGCAGGCTTCAAATTGGATTTGGGGCTTCTACTGTCCCAAACCAATCAGCATGGTTGTCTGAGATGTGGGGTTCCCAGGAACTGGAAGCCAGGGTGCACATCAACCTCCAGAAGACCAGGCCATCAGCCTCCTCCTTTCACTGCCAGAGGTCCAAGACCCCACTACTCAATTGCCTGCACTTGGAAACACGGGCATCGTTCTAACTCCAAGTCAGAAGTAAAGAGAGAAAAGGAAGAGAAATTTCGATTCCCATGAAGAACCTTGAGAAATGAGGAGCTCGAATTGAAAAGCAAAACTTTTTTCCAGCTTCAGGCTCCCTGGAGAAGGGAGAAAAACCCCAAAAAAGCGAGGCGAGAGAGAGCTCCTTGACTCTATGCCTCAACTGTCATCTGCCAGTGGTTCCTCACATGGCTCTGTCTCTCCCATTGGCCTCCAGGCCTCTCCCCTCTCTGCTTCCACCTCCTGGATAGAGCTGGATGAAAAAGGTCAACAAGATGACCTCGCTAATTCTTATCAGCTGATGTTCTCTGACTGTACGTAAACACAAGACAAATGGTTTCAGCCACTACAAATCCTGACCCTGACATGCCCCAGACCTAAAGTCAAGCATGCACCAACACCGAGACTCCCACACTGTTTCTCTTGTGGAAGAAATCTGTCTAGTAAGTTCCCTTTCCTCTGTGTGAGAGGGAAGGGAAGGAGAGAAACCAGCCCGCTTGCACACAAAGCCTCACATGCTGAAGGCCTGGGGTTCACTGCTTTGCTAGGTACCCCCTGTTCAGGCACCAGCCACCAGGTCTTACACAGCATTTGCTCCCTGGTTGTGCCACAGACTGGTTACAGGAAGAGAAAAAAGGCAGACAGATGTTGCTTCTCAGCTTTCAGGTTTTAGGAGCCACTGGCTCCACAAGATTCGAATACCACAGGTGTTTCTCAGCTGGAGCCAAGATGGTCAAGTTGCAAGGGGAGACAGAACCTCATTATGATCAGAGATGTGAGATCAGAGGTGATGCTGTGTGGGCTTCTTGAAGTGACTACTTAGGCCTGAATGAGTCAGTTGACCAGTCTCGTCCTCTGCATCAAAACATGGGTTTCATTTCTTTTTTTTTTTTTTTTAAATCAGAGAACTGATTAAACAGCATTTTATTCCGATAGTGATGTCTCTAAGAGGATCCCTCTGATCACAAGATCCACGCTCCAGGGACCATCGGTTAGGGGTAAGCCAAACATAAAATAGAGGGTGCCCCGTGATGGCCAGCTGCCTCTTACTGCCACGAGTTGGGTTCAGCCGGAAAGAAGGACATTTGGCCAAGGGGAAGACCCACTACGGACATTAGTGACAGGTGCTCTCTACGCTGATGTCAGAGGAAAATGTGAAGGAAGGAGAAAAATGTCTTTCAAAACAAGTAAATTCTAAAGAAAATTGTGTGAATGGGAAGGTTGATACCTGAGCCAAATGTTCCAGCCCAGAAACACATGGGTTATGTTGGAGGATGGCAGGAAACTTACATTTCCACTAATACTGGGAAAAGGCGGCTCTATCTTATGGATATCAGTTGCATATTTTTAAGGTCTCTCCCTCCCTTCCTTTCTTCCTTCTGCTTTTCTGCCTTCATGAAAATAGAACCATATCTACAGTGAAGTGTATAATAGTAAGCAAAACTGCTTAGAGTGGGTCTTGAAATTCATGCTTGAATCTCCATGTTATAGGACTAGGTCACCAATCTTGGAATATGTTGGTTTGGATTCTCTTTGTGTGTGAGTCTAAGAAGCAGAACTTAAAGCTAAATTGAGCATGGATAAATTAGTCAAATCCCCTTACCTTTCAAAAGGGAGGAAATCAAGACCAGAGAAGTTAAGATTCTTAAAAATCATCACATAGACAAGATGAGTCCTAAAGTCTGAGTTTGGAAAAGTGATACCAGTTGCAACTGCAGATTGCGGGGGAGAAAGCCCTCTTTTTCCTGGTGAAGCGTGAAAGCCTTTCAGAGCCCTCCACTAGCCCCATGACCTTACTTCCTTTTGTGGGCGACTTCCCTTTCTCTCTTTGTCTCTTTCCTTCCAGCCTCATGCTTTGAAAACAAAGGATTTGGAGGTCTTTTGTATTTTGCAAAAGCTGCAAGGGCATCCCTGTGTTGGACAACCTATCTGGTAAGGTGTTTTTGTTTTTGTTCCTTTTAGAGACAGGGTCTTGCTCTGTTACCCAGGCTGGAGTGCAGTGGCATGATCATGGCTCACTGCAGCCTCAAACCCCTGGGCTTAAGTGATCCTCCCACCTCAGCCTCCTGAGTAGCTGGGACTACACGTGTGTACCACTATGCCTGGCTAATTTTTCTATCTTTATTTTTTGTAGAGGAGGAGCCTTGCTATGTTGCCCAGGCTAGTCTTGAACTCCTGGGCTCAACTGATCCTCCTACCTGGGCCTCCCAAATCACTGAGATTACAGGCTTGAGCCACTGTGTCCAGCCTCTTGTGAGGTTCTTAATGGCCAAAGAAAAACCTTAATTGGGAAGGCCCTCAGAAATATTTGATCCTCCCTTTGAAAATGTTGAGGGAGGGGGTGGAGGAAGATGGCTGAATAGAAGCCTACATCGTTTGTCTCTTGAGCAGGAACACCAAATTTTAACAACCACACACAAAAATCACCATCACAAGAATCAAAAATCAGGTGGGTAATCACAGTACCAGGTTTTAACTTTATTTCACAGAAAGAGACATTGAGGAAGGAAAGGAAAGACCATCTTGAAGGGCCAATGCCACCCCTCCCTCACCCCCTGTGCTGTCCTTCTTCCAGGAGAGTACAGTAAGGAGAACCTGTGTGCCTGGAAGAAGGAGAGTGTGGTGATTGTGAGGCTCTGCATTGAACTCGGTGCTGCCCTGTCACAGAAAGCGGAACCCGCTATATTCAGTTGGTGCCCCCGAGAAAGCATTTGGATTAGCCATAGCCAGAGGGTCATCGCCCATCTCAGCATCAGGGCTTGAGTTCTGGCAAGTCTCAGCACCACAGGCGGGAGTGCTCTGGGGCCTTAAGTGAACTTGAGAGACAGTCTAGGCCACAAGAACTGCAATTCCAAGGCAAGTCCTAGTGCTGAGCTGGGCTCAGAGCCAGTAGACGGAAGAGGAAGTGGGGGACCTACAACCTGCTGAGACACCAGCCTAGATGGCTTAGGGAGTGCTTGTGCCACCCCTCCCCAGCCCCCAGCATCGATCCTGCTGCACAGAGAAATCTGTGAACTTGGGAGAGGGAGAGTGCAGTGGGTGGGGGACTTTGCATTGAACTCAGTGCTGTCCTGTTACAGTGGAGACCTGTCAGGATTCATCACCTGCTAACTAAAGACTCCCTGGGTCCTGAATAACCAACAATGATACCCAGGTAATATGCCATGGGCTTTGGGCTCTTAGATACGTTGGCTTCAGGTGTGACCCAGCACATTCCCAGCTGTGGTGGCTGTGGTGAAAGACTCCTTCTGTTTGAGAAAAGCAGGGGGAAAATTAAGGGAACTCTTGCATGTTTGATTTTTCAAATGGATTCCTGCCTGTGTGTGACCACTCTTTTCTCTCAAAAACTCATCATGGGAACACTGCAATAAAACCAAAGAACCAGGACACCAAAGATTGTTATATATGGATTTGAGAACATAAGGGGAAATTCCTGGGCTCCCAGAAGAGGGTAAGGTAAGAGTAGAACTTTTACTACCCTCCTAGCCTCTCCACCCTCAATGCTATATCCAATAATTATCAACTCTGAAAAAATGATAACATTTATAGCATCTCCAGTTTTGAGCATTAATAAATAGTGAGCTTTCTGATATCTTGGCTCCTTACCAGTTTGGGCTGGCACCAAGACCATTAAAAAAAAATTTTTTGTGGGCACATAGTGGGTGTATACATTTATAGGGTACATGAGATACATTGATACAGACACGCAGTAAGAAACAATCATGTCATGGAAAATGGTGTATCCATCCCCTCAAACATTTATTCTCTGTATCACAAAGAATCCAGTTATATTCTTTTAGTTATTTTAAATATACAATTGAATTATTACTCACTGCAATCACCCTGTTGTACTATCAAATACTAGGTCTTATTTATTCTTTCTGTCTATTTTTTGTACCCATTAAGCCATCCCCACTTCCCTCCTATTCCCCAACCCCCCTACCACCACTACCCTTCCCAGCCTCTGGTAACCATCCTTCTATTCTCTATCTCCATGAGTTCAATTGTTTTAATGTTTAGCACCCACAAATAAGTGAGAACATACAAAGTTTGTTTTTCTGTGTCTGGCTTATTTCACGTAACATAATGACTTTCAGTTCTATCCATGTTGCTGCAAATGACAGGATCTCATTCTTTTTTACAGCTGCATAGTACTCCACTGTGTATATGTAACACATTTTCATTATCCAGTTATCTGTTGATGGACATTTAGGTTGCTTCCAAATCTTGGCTATTGTGAACAGTGCTGCAACAAACATAGGAGTACAGATATCTCTTTGATATACTGTCTTCCTTTCTTGTGAGTATATACTCAGCAGTGGGATTGCTGGATTGTATGGTAGCTCTGTCCTTAGTATTCTGAGGAACCTCCAAACTGTTCTCCATAGTGGTTGTACTAATTTACATTCCCACCAGCACTGTACGAGGGTTCCCTTTTCTCCACATCCTTTCCAAATTTTTTGGAAATTTAAATCAAATAATATCATTTTCTTGCTCAAAAATGTTCCAATGACTTCCTTTCACTCTCAGAACAAAATTCACAGTCCCTCCATGACATATAAAGCCCTACATAACCTGGCCCCTACCTATTTTCATGGCTTCACTTGTCTTTCATTTTGTTCCAATCACATTGGCATCTTTGTTTCTCTAGTACACAAAATAGTCCCTGCCTCAGGGTCTTTGCATTTGCTGCTTCATCTTTCTACAGTGTCTTCTGCACAAATAGCTATATATCTAACTCCTGATTTATTCACATTTCTGCTCAAAGAGGCTCCCTTCACCCCCCTATTCACCCCATCCATCATTATTCCCTCAACTTTACTTTTCTTTGTAACACTGATCTATTTATCTATTGTTTATTTTCTGTTTCCTTCATTCAGATATAGATATCACAAGGCTAGTAATTTTGTCTGTGCCCCTAGAGTAGTGCCTAGCACCTGGTGAGCGCTCAATAAATATTTATAGAAGAAACGAACGAATGACTTAATATTTATTGTTCACATATCTTTATCTCACTCTCTGTATATTTTTCCAAGTATACACCTACCCACACACACACTCCTCCTACATGCAAATACACACATATCACCTATCACACTAAGCACAAAACATTTATCCATGAGGTCAGATTCATAAAATTCAAATTTATTAGGCATTAACTGAGTATGCTGTAAGTGTAAAGCTCCCTACCAGGTGCAGGGACAAGAGGAAAGTCCTAGATAAAGAAATAAGAATGGTTTGCACTCTCCAGCAAAGCCCTCTTTCCACTGAATCTTCACTAAATCTATTTTGCTTACTGTAATTGTAGCAAAAAATTTACATCAGAAATTATTTCTTTGCACTCACATATGTCCTGAAACTTCACTTTGTTTTTAAGCATGTCACTTTGTAAAATTTTTCCTTTTTTATGTCATTGTGTCCTTGGCACTATAATTACCCTTTTACATTGAGTTGCAATTTTGGAATTCTTGATGAGGAATACTCCCAGTACTGAGCTCACACAATTAATTCTTCAAAATAAGATTTAAAAACTCTGCATTCTGGATGGAAGACCCTGTCTGGTGATTAGTTGCCTGGAAGAGCTTGTTACAAGCCAAATAGAAGGAGCTGTCATCCTGTTGATGGTTTCCAGGGACTAAGGCTCCAGGACCTGCAGTAATTTCATTTGTCATCATTGCAAAACCAGATAGTCACGTGAGCTGCCAAGGCCTGCAGCGGAGCAGGTTCACTTGCCAACTGTCCTTAGGAATCGGAACACAAGGTAGACAAGGCAACTGCTGGAAATGAATTATTTCTAGCAGTTATATTATCATTGTCGTGAAAAATGGAGGAGGCAGTGAGGTTGGATATACTTGTAAAAATTTCCCAACTCTAGGCAAAAACTTCTAATGATGAAGATATCTCCAGAAATCATAAAAATAACTATCTCCCTTGTCATGGTGAGAACAGGCTCGGAGGAAGCTTTGATCAGACAGGGCAGCAACAACAGACCAAGAGGAGGAGAAAGAAATGTGACCCTGGGAGAACCTCCCTACCAGCGTGTCGGGTGTCAGCTAGAGGGAATTCACCTCCAGCAAGACAGCCTGGAGCACAGTGTCCCAGGAGAATAAAAACACAGGTGATACTGAGTCAAGCAAGAGTGCCAGAGGAAGGTGGGGAAATCACCACCCTGTGGGCAGTCGGAGCTGCATTCGCAGGCTGCCGAGTCTGTCTATCTGTTGATTCGTGGAAGTTTCTCAGCCAATACCTTGGGATAAAAGTAGAGGACTCAAGTCCCAGGGAAGGAGATTAGCAAGAGCTGAAAAGAGCACAAGGACCTTACATTAGCCAGGAGAGGCTAAGTTATGTTGTGGTGACAAACCTCAAAGCTCAGCGACTTAAAACCACAAGTTTGTTCTTGCTTGCTCTATGGAACCACTGCAACAGCAAAGGACTCAGTTCATCATTGGCACTTAGGGATACAGGCTGATGTGACAGTCACCATCTTAAAGATTGCCAGTCACCCTGCCTGAGAGAAAAGAGATCTTGGGATGAGGGACTTATATCAGTAAATACGTGCTCTATCTGAGTAATGACCCCCACACAATTCATTGGCCAGGACTAGGTTCATGGGCTTTACGCAAGAGATCCAGGAAGTACAATTTTACCAAGTAGGTAGGTGGAAAGGAGAACTGGAAATAGTTGGTGAATAGCATTAATGACCAGCACAACCCCCTCCTAGTCCTGTGGGGTGCTCAGGTCGCAATGCAGAGAATATTGTCCAACTCAGTACCCGAGATCCAGGGGAGTTTGAGAGAGATAATATGAGGGAGGAGAAATGGGAGAGGGGGAGAAATGGCAAAAGCCCAAAATGTGAACATGAGCCCACAAAATGGAGGTGGGAAGCCTGAAGTGGCAGAGAGGCATGATGTCCCTGCCACCTAGGCTGCCCCTGGGAATCTCATCTAGATGGTGGATAACTTAATTCCAAATCCATCCTCTCTCAATGTGGGGACTGAGGCCACAAACACACTCCTTCCTGCAATCCTGATGGGCTACGGGTCCTCCAGGACCTGCAGGAGATGCCCAGCAGAAGGTTATACCTGTGAGAAAATACAGATGGGAAAGTTGGGGAGGAGAGGCAGAGGCTGACACCTGGTGCTTATCTTCCTCCAACTTAGATGCATTTATATTGTTTTCAAGGAATGTCATCGTGAGTCTCAAACACCCACAGGAATAGATAGAAGGAAGAATTTTTTGCAGCTTTTGAAATTCTCAGATGTGTTCCTAAGGGAGGTGGAGGACTTTTGTTTGCTTAAGGCTCTAAAGCAGAGTTTAACAGAGCATAGTTCAAGACCACCTGCGTCTGAATCACAGGGGAGCTTGTTAAACACGCAGCTCCCTGGGCTTCTCCAGACTTGCTGTATCAGAGCTTCTGGGGATGGAGCCCAGAAATTTGCATGCTTGACAAGTTTCCCTGGTGCAAATGAAAGCTGGAGAACCACTGCCTTAAAAAGGAATAAGATGGCTCTTGGGGTGGCACAGGTTGGTCCTTCCTGGAAACAGAAATGGCAGTTCTTCTAGTCCCATGGCCTTAGACTCGAGGGCAGCAGTTTAAAGATTCCCATGGATATCACAAATCAGTCCTGTATTTATTCTGGTTCATAACCTAATTCTGGCACCAACCTCTAAAGTGTTTCAACTTTCCCCGGCTTTTGCCGGAGTCTGAACTACCAGTTGCTGCGATGGGAAAGACAGGTGGCTGGGCCTATGGGGCAGGGGATCTGCTCTCCCCAGGAGACAATTACATGCTCAGAAAAGGACAACCATGGCTTGTCCTAGGCAACAGAGGGGAACTCTTGTCAGCATTTTGAAGAGCTGGCGCCGTGCTTGAAAGGGGCTGACGGGAGCCACTGATTGGTCTGGCTGAAAAACAATTGCTTATGAGGAGGATCAGTGTCAACTTTGAAATGAGCCATGCTCGAATTAGCACCGTCGTGGTAACAAGCAGAATGAGCAGGGCTGAAATGACATATTTAGTCAGGAAAGAGGCCTGTGTTTAAGGACGGATTCTTTCAAAAGGAAACAACACAGGAGACTTGGATGAGCCTCTGGCTCCTTGTTTGTCTGGTTTAAAATTCAGGAAAATTGACATTTCATTGAGTGGCTCCTTCCCTGGCGTTCCGTGTGTAGCTTCTGTATTTCTGTAGCAGCCATCTGCTACAGATGCTACATGGTCCCATACCAGTCCTTTCTGGATCATTATACTGGTTCCATCCTTCATGGTGCCATGTGTCTTGAAGAGTCATGCAACCTCTATGTGTTCCGGAGTTTCCAAAGGTGGGCTGCCACGGCTCCCTGCTGATTGTGGGCACCCTGAGCAGCTCCATGGAAAAAGCAAACCACAGCGGCTCAACCCTGGGAACTGAGGTCCGTTTTCCCCTCCTTCTTAAGGACCATCTCCCTCTAATAATTTGCAGAGAGTGCTCGTGGTGGTGTGATGGTGGTGGGAGCACAGCCGAGTGAATGGCGGTGCCACCCTCTTCCCAGCCTCCTTTCCCCCCGCCCCGCCTTTGTTTTTTGCTTCACTGTGAGCTTCCACTCTCTTTATTTCTGGCCTCAGCTCCAAACTCTTGGTCTCGTGATCCCCTCAGCTGAGGTTGTCCCTTCTCTTCACAGAGGCCCCAAAGCAAAGTTTGTAATGGTCAAATGAAGTTCTTGGGCCAGGTCCCCTCCTCCTCCCTAGGTCTGGGTAGGTGGTGGGAAATGGGGCAGGAAGCTGGTCATTCTTCCAATTATCCCTTCATAAGCCTTTACTTGTTCAACTTCCTCTTGGAGAAAATGTGGGAATAATGCCTCCCTTTAAGAATAATAATTTCTAAAAAGCCTGGCTCAATGCCTGGCCAAAAAAAGAAAAAAGAAAAAGCCTGCAATACATATTTCTTGAATTGAACTGGACTATTTTCATTAATATTAAAACTGATACTCTTATGATATTTCCTTCCTATTTTGAAGCGGCATTGATTCAGCCTCCTAGATCAGTCACATTACAGATGTCACACAAAGCGGGATTTTTTTCTTATCTCTGTAGCATACAAAACGAACAGCTATACTTGTCTTAATTTAGGAGCAAAGTGTTTTTGCCTCTTTGCTCTTAAAACCGTTCTTTACCAGAGTTCAAAATGCACGGTTGGAAGATGTTGTCCAGTTTGTAATTGGGAGCGGGAGTCCATTCCTAGCTCTCTGCACACACCCAGCCAAGTGATTTGACATTCTTCATCCTGGCCTCCCCACCAGTAAAACTGGGGACAATGTCCATCTTCCTGATGGTCATTTGTCAGCTGTGTTGTAAAGATGAATAAAAGAAGATCATTCAAACGTGTTCTAATCCTCCAAAGAAAAAGTTGCTATAGTAACCCAAAGCACGAGTCGAGGTCTCCGTTCATCGTTGGAAAATCTTGCAAAAGAAAAAAAAAAAAAGTTTTTGCGTAGGGGAAAAAAGACATCATGTGTCAATCACCCATTTAAGGTAATACTTGGAACTCACAAACAGATCGAGAATCACTTCCGGAAGGTTACAGAATGAGTGTGTTGAGAGTAACTTGCAGCAAAGAAAAAGCTGAGCGCAGCTCCTCGCCGCTCGGCCATCTGGCGCGCTCCCGCTCCCTCCACCCTTCTGTCGCTCACCTGGTGGAGCGCGGCCCGGGGACGGCAGGGGGCGGCTGTGCGGCTCCGACGCCACGCTGGTGCTGCAGCAGCAAGCGCCGCGAGCCAGCCACGAGACAGGAGAGCCCATTAATTGGCTAATTTTGCTTATAATGTCTGGTCACTGCTTGGCAGGCCCAGCTGTCTCTCGGGCGGGGTTTGCTTGGGCTCGTTTGGAGAACTGGCCTGGCTTGGAATTTTTTGAATGACTTGATGACATCTTCAAATGGCTCAATCTCAGACCGACTCCCATCTTTGTCTTTACCTTTGCCCCACACTCTAGATCAACCCTTCTGGCCCAGCTACCTCTGGCAGGCCAGTTCAGAGGCCAACCTCAGTGGGTCTCTCCAAGTTCCTGCTCTTTCCTAACTTCAGACTCTCTCCTTTCAGGTGGGGGAAGATGGCTGGGAACTCTCAGCTACCCACAGTCTGCCTTGGGAATCCTCTGTGATCAAATATGTCACTACCCGAGGGACATCTCAGGTTCTAAACTCATCCTAGGTCCCTAGCACCAGAGGACATAAACTTCTCAGGTGTTTACTGCAATCTGGATTTCAGTACTTTTCTCCTGAGGGGTGTGTGTGTGTGTGTGTGTGTGTGTGTGTGTGTGTGTGTTTGTGTGTTCCTAAGGTATTTTTTGGTTCTTTGTGAAAATTTGCTAGAAATTGCTGAACAAAGATGAGCCCATGGCTTACCTCTATTTGATGTTTTAGTTTGCTGTCAGTTACCCCTGGATGTTTTTCTGTTTCTCTAGGATTTTGCTTTGCAAACTTCTCACAGGCCTTGGAAACATGCTTTTTTTTTTTCTTTTTTCAATACAGCTTCATTCCAATACCCCACCCCAAAATTCTTCCCTTTTTAGACCTACAGAGGGACCATGTCTCCTACTATCAACTTCAAAATCTTTAAGAACCTCATAACCTTATACTCCCCTTCTTTGCCCCCAAGGAAATGCCGTTACCATGCCCTCTATCTCTTTCTGGGCCTGTGCTGGAAATGCCTTTTTATTCCGTACAGTTTGCCCAGCTCCCTCGTTTATTTGTCAAAGATTTCCTGAAACCCCATTTTCTTCCCAATGACCGTTCTGCCCATTGGAGGGGACTGGTGACTTATCTTGACATCCAATGCACGGATGTCTTGTCTTCCTTCCAGCTGTCTCAGCTTTCACATAATGAAGATTTTATAATCTTTTTATTTGCTCAATGCTTGCAACTTGGTGCGTGTGACTTCTCATCCCTTTGGGTTTGCAGTGTGCAAACTACTCGACATCAGATGTTGTCTTTACCTAGCCTTGTCCACTCACTGCATGGCTCCAGGTAATTTAATTTTCCTTCACGATAATGAGGAGCTCTGGTTTACAAATGGCAAAATGAAGTACTGATAGATTCCTCAGAACAAATTAGTGGCTTGATTAGACATGGAGTTAATCTTTTAGTGCATGAGTTATTTGGTCCCATTCTCTACAGTTTTTCCTTTTTCTTAGATCCCACAAAAGAGGGGAGCCATTCTTTCCATCTAAATTCCGCTCCACTTCCCTTACTACTTGAGGGACATTTTATACATGCTATTCCATGAAAATGAAAAACTCACGTTGCAAAGAGCAACAACATTAGAGCCTTTATCTTACTGTTAAGTTTCTAACAAGCTCTCAGAATGTGACTTGTTTTTCTTCGGGAAATAATTCAGTTAACAGTCAGTTACGGTTCTTCTCAAGGATAAGATAGAGTCACTGAAATCCAATTCCTTTTGAAGTTTTCCTTTTTAGTGAAAGTGTGACTCTGGGGCTTGTGTGTGTGTGTGTGTGTGTGTGTGTGTGTGTGTGTGTGTGTGTGTGTATGGTGTCTTGGAGTCCTGGTAAAAAGAACAAAACTGTAAGCATCTTGGAGGAAATGTCCATAGCTAAATTCAAAGTTGAGAGCTCTTCCCTGGGCTCAAGTTTCACTGAAAACCCAAAACCTGGGCCAAATTCAGCAAAAGGCTGATTTGTGGCTGCGACCCTTTAGGGCTGAGCAAATCTGATAGTTCATCAGGAGTGGTTTCTTGGGGACCCCAGGTCAGTTTGTGGGAGACAGTCTGTGTCCAATTAGGACTTGATGTGCAAGGAGGGTTTACTAATGATCTAAAGAACAATTTTGGGTTTCTGTAAAGAGAAGCCACACACACATGCACACATATAGACACAGACAAACACCTTATCTGGGTTTTGCAAGGTTTGCATGTGAGGGACTCTTCCAACTGCGTTTCACTTTGATGTTTTCAGGCTCAGAGAACTGTACTTTATTATTTTTTTTTTTTTAAAAAGGAAATTTCCTGTTGTAAGACATTCAGAAACCAGAAACAAACGAGGAAGTGTGCTGCCTCCTCCTTGGGAAACATCAACCCCATTTTTACACCTTTAACTAGGCCCCTCTGGGATGAACAGTGATGATCACTAGCCGTCACTTTGGAACTCCAACTTTAAAGAAACATTTCTGACACACAAATAATTTGCAAACACTAGGGCTGGAAAAGTCCCAGTGCAGCTTCCAGTTATTAAGCACAGATCGACACTCAGGCGTGCTTTGGTCCCGGAGAATCTTTTTACATAAAACAATTAGATCTGCCTATATATCTTGTCACCAATCAAATCACTGCTTTGTGCTAAAGCAAGATAAATACATGCCTGCATTCCTTGTGCAGGGAAATAGCCTAAGTGAATTATTTTGAAAATCTGATTGTGAGATATGCCTGTTCCCTTTAACAAACAGAAAAGGCAGAGTTGAATGACCATCCTTGTCCTATAAAATCCCAGCTGTAGTGAAATCAGCTTCTCATGTTTGCTGCTAGATAATGGTAGAAAACATTTAGGCAA
The DNA here is from genome assembly GCF_000001405.40 of Homo sapiens. NCBI lineage: Eukaryota > Metazoa > Chordata > Mammalia > Primates > Hominidae > Homo > Homo sapiens. The sequence goes on from NC_000009.12 coordinate 16,157,606, forward strand.
TTGCTACTTCTTTTGAAACACTGTGAAAAGTAACACAAAAACAAACCAAAACAAAAACAGCAGGAGAAGAGAATGTAAAATAGTTTTCAGGTAGCATTTGGGGAAAAAAAAAAAAAAAATCCAAAGAGCAGTACCTTTCTTCCACATGCTTCTCAGTGTTTTTCTCTTTGTTTTGACTGTAACCTTAATTCTCCACATCTAGCATGACAGATAGCAAGAAGACTGAATTCTACCATATGGTTGACATCTTAAAGGAAGTTTCACTTACATGGTGGAAGTTTAGAGGAGCTTTTTGCTGTATTCGAGGGAAGAAAAGGAAAAAAGAGTGCGTATGTGTGTTTTGTACGTCTACTCATGCAGGATTTTTATTTAAAAACAAAAACCCTGGATGTCTGGAAATAATTGAGATCCCACATAATATATAAATCAATAAAGAGAAATGCGTAAACAATTCAGATAGCAACCAAGAAACAGATTAATGTAAAATAACATAATTCTGCAACACATTGTCTTCTGGCCTTCTTTTTAGGTAGTGAAAACACATGTTTGTGAAGTCTGGTTTCCAGGACATTCCCTTTAAAACATCTTCAAAAACGTTATCTTATCTCTGGCACACTCTGGCCTTAACCCGGAGTCCGATGTCTCTGGGATAATGATGGTGAATGCTCATGAGATCCAGAAAGCAATATGTTAACCATACAGTGTTCAAAACCGTTCATCAGATGGAGACACTGGTATGTGCATATTCCGCGGCACAGCAGCAGAAAGGATGGCGGGCCTTTATGTTGTCTGATAATGCAGCTCTTTGAAACATTGCTGGCGGACTCTCTTCACATCATGTCACACAGGACAAGAAACGGGACAGGCCCTCTCTGCTTCTCAATTCATCGACCTGCCATACAATACAACAAACCAGCTTTTTCAAGGCCCCCTGAATGAAGGCCTGTGCCTGCAAGGGAAATTTAATTGGATTTCTTTATGGGTTGCAACAATCCAATGAAAAATTATGTAAGAATGGCATGATTCAGTTTCAGCATGCACTTGAATAATAATAATTTTTTTATTTATAACAAGAATTCTTTAAAAAAATAATAAGAATTTTTAAATGAAAACACCCTGCACCAGCACTTTTCAGCTCAACTCGACCAGGCAGCCCAACTTTATACATGGCAGCTTGTGTTGTGTGGATGTTTGTGTCATTGTCCCAGCTTAGAAAATGATTTTAAATGCATAGATTGCAACACATTCAGAATGGAGTCGGAGGCTTTCAAAAGCGCTTGATTTGGCTTTCTGGAAGAATAACGTTGTCTTTAACAATGTCCCCGGCTTTGAACCAAAGTGCATTTGTGCATCCTAGAGAGCAGGAAAATGTCCATCACTCCATCCACTCTTCGGAACATCTTTGTGACATACGAAGATTAAGTCCTCTGTCACATTTTGACATTTCCAAATCGGTAACAGCATTGCAGATTATTTCTTATCCTCCTCCTGGAAGTGGGCAAGTGGCTAGTATCTGCCTAAGATTCCTTTTTTGTTTTTCCTTTGCTAGGATCCTTCCTCTTATTCCCATGGTTCCAGGTGTCCTTTCTGGCTACTGGGGCAGCATATTAGTTAAAAGCAGTTCATTGCACGCATCTCCATCCACAAATAGCCACACAGTTGAAATTCAAGGTGGCGGATAATTTAGGTTTATCTCTTTTATTACTTAAGCTATTCTTTCACTCATCTATCATCCTTTATTCACCAAATCACATGCTCTTCCCAATACCTGAATACATCTTTTGCATCTAGTTCACCTAGAAAACCCATACTCATTCTTCAAGACTGGGTTCAAATATCATCTCTTCTGAAAGGCCTCTTACAACACTCCACACCATTGCAGAGGAGGAATAAGAGCTTCCTCCTCTGTGCTCCCATCACTGCTTACATGTGTGCACCTCTCCATTACAGTCCACATCACATAGTTGTAACTGTGTTTATAGGTTAGGCTTCTCCAGTAGACAGTGAGATGAATTCAAGAACCACCAGTCATATCTTTCATTGTATCCTCAGCACTTAATATAGTGCCTGCCACAGGGTAGGCATTTAATTAATAGTTCTTAAGTGTGTGACTGAATTGATGAATGGATGTATGAAGATAAAAAAAACAGGTAACCCTCACATTTACATGCCCAGCAAAAAAAAAAAAAATCTATTTTTCCAAGGAGGCAATGTTAATGCAGGATTTTATACTCTTGAATCAGGGCTCTGTGCTGAATTTCTATAGAAATGACTAAAAGCATCATACTCATTCAAGGAAATGATATGCCTAAAAACTTTACAGTGGAAATTGTTTTAAATACACATATAAATTGGTTGAACAGGGCAGCCTAGTAACCAATCACTTGGTATTGACATGTCGCATAATAATAATAGTATTTGACATTAGTATGTGCTTTGCAGTTTTCAAAGTACTTTTACATTCTCATATTTGTTCAGCTAATACTCATTGAAGGCTTGCTATATAGTAATCACTCTGCTATAGTGTGCCATATTGAGCTACAATAGTGAGCAAAATAGGCCTCATGGAACTTACAGTCTAGTGGAGGAAGCAGATTTTAAACAAATCATTGTATGGATCATTAAAACTGCAGACATAAGTGCTGTACATGAAAGGAAGAGATTACTTGGTGAGTCTCTATGACATTTTACTTGATATTTACACCTTTGTCAAGGTTACAGACAAGTATTCATTACCACATGTTGAAGGTAGAATGGACAAAGTTTACAATGGGTAGCAAGAGAGGAAGCAAGATTAGAATTCAGTTCTTCTATTTCCAAGTTGGACTAGGTATTGAAAATGACTCCATGCTAAATTTCTTGAGGTATTGCTCTGGGCTTTCCAGAGACTTTCAGACTGAGGTGATGGTAAGAGGTCCCAGCTTTGTGAATGGGAAGGACTTGGAGGCCCAAAAGCAGACTTTCACAAGAGTGTATCAAAACTGAGAGGCTTGGTAGTTGTATTGGGTGTATGTGTTTGAATGAGTACATTTGTATGTAGCCATGCAAACGTGGGGGGAGGTGTGGTATTGAGAGGGATAGTGTGCATGGTATCCTCTAGTTCTTGTTAATTTAAATGAGATGGTCACCATTTGAGTACTTATGACAAGCCGGGCATTTACATATATTATTTCCATTTTACAAATGACAAAAAGGTAGGAAGCCATGATAGCTGGTGCTTAGAGAAATTGAGGAAGTTGTCCAAGAATATGGAGCTAAAAGGTGACAGGGCCTGGATTTGAACACAGGTCTGTGACCTCAATATCTGTGTATGTTGCTGTACCCATTGTGCCTTCTACCTCTTGACCTGCACATCATATGGTTTTATAAATTTGACAATTGCTATCAACAGAACATTTCCATCATCTTTACTCTTACACTGGCACATAGACATTAGAGGATTCTCAGGACAATTGAGTTGGCTGCTTTCAAGCTATGAAGGCAAATGAGTTTTAGATTTGGGTAAGAACCTTCCATGTATGCACACACACACACACACACACAAACACACAAAGACACACATCTCTGCTCTGGAGCTTGTCTTTATAGCTCCACTTTCTTGCCACCAAGAAGAGACCTCAAATGTGTTTTGGGCCTCTCTGACTTCAATGGGATACACATGTGTGCATCTGGAGATAGCATTTGGCTGGCGGAGAAGAAATGAATTGTCATTTTCAGTGACCATAGAGAGAAAACTTGATCCAAGAGGCTCTTTTTACCATGGGAAGTAGCTTTGTTGGTAACAGTCCTAATCTTCTTTTTCAGTGGGCAAACAGGGTAATAATGCTTTTTGCCAAGGGTCATGGGGAAGGGTGGCTCATGGGGGACTAGTTGACCATTCACGGGAGGAAATAGAATCTCAGGAGCTGTAAAACCACTGCCATTCAACCCCGCTCCCAACAGTTCCAGCCCCTCATATTTCAGCCACTCATAACTTTACAACAAATTCTCCTTTTGGGATAAAAGTTTCCAAGTTCAGTCTCTGCTCCCTAGAGGCCAGCTTTTTATGGGAAATTTGTGCTAAGTCAGCAAAGCTATGCTCAAGACGGAGAAATACAAGACACAAGGCAGTTTCCCTCTGCCAAATTGAAAGAGACGGTCAGCAGGGAGTGTCCCCTGAGGTTGTGTCTCAAGGATGTCTCTTGTTTCTAAAGGTTTCAGGCTTGGATATGAGCATAGCAATGATGAGAAATAGGATCGCCAGTTTCAGAGATGTCTGGATCGATGACAGAGCCAATAAATGGATATTGCCAGTGAATGGAGACAGATGTGAGGGAGATTGGGAGGGAGTAATGAACAAACAGAGAGAGATCATAACACCGAAAATATTAATTGAAAAGGACTTCTTTGATTCAGAAAACAAAAAAAAACAAACTACCAGATTTGAATGGGAGAACATCCTTCTTGAATGCACCCATGTTTGTGCAGGTAAGAAATCTCTCAAATTGGGTAGCTAATGTGTCCTGAGCATCTACCAAGTGCCAGACACCACATGAAGCCATTGGCATTGTGTTCCCACATTCTCATCACAAGCCTCCATGGCAGAAGTTACTATCCCCATCTCACAGATGATGAAACAGAAGTTTGTTCATTCATTCAGTCAATAAATATTTTTGGAAAGTTTACGACGTGTTTAAAGCCACGAACAAAACCATAATGTCCCTTTCTTAGGAAGGTCACATTCTAGTGGGGGCAGGGCAAAGACAGCCAACAAACAAGTACTTATATGTCAAGGAAGGATAAGATGGTGAAGAAAAATAAAGCAGGATGTGAGGTGACATTGGGCGGTCAAGAGCTCCCTGATGAGGTGACATCTAAGCAGAGCCCTGAGGAGGAGTGTCCTTGATGTATTTGAGGATGCACAAGCAGGCCAAGTGGCTGGAGTGGAGAGAGCAAGGGAGGGGTAAAAGAAATGAAGTCAAAGAGCTAGTCAAGGGCAAGATCCTATAGGACCTTGTGGGCCTTGGAAAGGTTTCAGATGTTAGTCTAATTGCAAAAGCAAGGCATTGGTGGGGGGGAGGGGGCGGGGGTCTATAGCTAGGGTACATGTTCAGCTGCTGTAATAATTTCATGACATCGAATTCTCACTCATGTCACATCCACAGGCACAGTCCAGAGTAGTTAGTGTGGCTCTGGTCCACCCTTCCCCAGGGTGTGATGGTGAACAACCAGCAAGAGGGGAAAGGAAGAAGTTGAACTTCCCCTTCCTTTAGAGCATGACCTGCACCTTGTTCACGTTCCTTCTGCTCACGTCCCATTAGTTCCAGCCCAGTCACATGGGCACATCAACGACAACAGAGGCTGGAAAATAGAGTTGTTAGTCATTGGGTAAAATTCGGAAGATCTGTGACTTAAGGGAGAAAGGAGAATAGATGTTTGGGAATAGCTAGGAGTCTGTCACAGGTTTTGAGGGAAGGAGTGACATGATTTGACTTATGTTTTTAATAAGACTACTCTAAGGATCAGATGAAAAAATAGTCTGGAAGGCCAGGGTGGAATTCCAGTAGGGTGGAACTACTCTAATGAAAGTAGTTAGCAAGTGATTTTAATAATTCTGGTAATGAATAATGATGGCACAGACTAGAGTGACAGGGCAGGAGATGGTGAGAAGTGCACACATTCTGGATATATTTAAAGGTAAGTTTAGATAGATTTGCTGATGGGTAAAAACGTGAGGTAGGAGAAGGAGAAAAGGAAGTCAAGAATGACTCCTAAAACTTTGGGCTCAAATACAAAAAACAATGGACTTACCATCTACCAAGATGAGGAAGGTTGGGTAAAGAGCATATTTGGCAATGAAATTGAGTTTACTTTTTGATATACTGAGTCAGAACTGCCTATGAAACATTCAAATACAAATGTCTAGAAGGAAGTTAGAATTTTACCATCTAATTTAGTAGGAAAATCAGGGCTGGAGATACAAATTGGGGAGTTGTTGATGCTGAGATGAGATTTAATACCACACACAGAGATGTAATGAATTTGTTCCAGGTGCTGATCTAACTAAGATCCCTCAGCCCGTGTTTGTGTTATTACAAAGCCTTGGCTCTTTCCATTGGGCCACATGAGCCATCTAGGACCTGCTGGTCTGCCTTTCCAGACCCATTGCTCATTACTCCCTCTCCTTCCTCTCTCTTTACACCCTGTTTCAATTTTAATTTATGCCTTCACCATTTCACTAGAGAAGAGAAACAAAATATGCTTCCATCCAAGAGAGAGATCATGTAAGAAAGGAGTGCCTTAGTGGTAGAAACTCTGAAGGGTACATCAGAGGACTTAAGATTAAAACAAAGCTGAGCCCAAAAGCTGGTGGAATGGGCTCACCAGGAAAAGGGAATTGGGATTCCCTGAAGACACAAGTCACAGATGAAACAGTGGGGTGTGGTGATGGCTGAGCAGGTGGTAGAGGTTTGCTGGGAGAATAGAAAGAGGAATGCCTCAAGAGCCCATGAAGTTAGGTGAGGAACTTCTGGGAAGCCATTGGCATCTTTGAAGCCTGCACAGGAGGTGGGACTGGTCTTTATTTCACAGTTCTATTTACTTGGCCAAGATAGCTGCTTGAAGAGCTATTCATGGGCAGTCATTAAGAACAGCTTTTATGAAGATGTCGTGAGGATTGGGGGAAGACTGGAGAAGAGTTTTGAGACTTTCAATAATCTTCCATTGATTTTTAGCACCTCTTTGTTTCTACCATGACTATGTTATCTCAAAAAGAAGAGAAAGATTCTGGAAGAATGAAGAACGTTGGGAATGCCATCATTAAGGTTTGCTTTTATGGACTTTCCTTATTAATTCACTTTCCCAAGACCTATATTTCCCCATGAGTTGACTGACTGATGGAGACAAGGGATTTTTGTCCTCCTACCCTAGAGGCCTTATTATAGGTTGAATTATGCTCCCCTTACAAATTCATAGGTTGAAGTCCTAACTCCCTATACCTCAAAATGTGACCTTACTTGGAAATCAGATTATCGTGGATGTAATTAGTTAAAATGAGGTATTAGAGTGAACCCCAATTCAATATACTGGCATCCTTATAAAAAAGGAAAATTTGCACCCAGAGACACCCATGGAGTGAAGGTTATGTGAAGAGACATGGAGAAGACAGTCGTCTACAAGCCAAGGAGAAAGGCCTGGAACGCCTCCTTCCCTCAGAGCCCCCAGAAGGAACAATCCTGCCAACACCTTGATTTTGGTTTTCTAGCTTCCAGCATTGTGGGTCAATAAATTTCTGTCATATAAGCCACCCAGTTTGTGGAACTTTGTCATATAAGCCCTAGCAAATTAACATTGTCCTCTACATATGTAACTTCAACAAGTATACACGATAAGATACCAAGCTTGGCCAGGGGACAAGGAACTTATATAAAAATCATTACCTCACCTCTAATTTGTTGTGAAGTTTGGGCTAGGCCCTTTTGATTTGTCTTTACTGATGCTTTTTAGAACTCAAGAGGCAGCTTTCAGATGCATTAGCGACCCTGGTGAAAACTGAGTCATGCCAAACACATACTCCTTAAAGAAAGTTGACTACACCAATTCAGGGGACAAAGAGAGAGACAGAAATTTAGATAATGCTGAGAGTTAGCCCACCACCCTACTCAATAGGTTTATGCCTCAGAATGAGTATGAGCTGAGAGGCAGAAATCTGTGGCTCCAATCTGCTGTTTTCTCCTGGTCTCAGTTCTCATGTGCCTTCATGCAAGAGCATCTTTCTGTGGCAAGAGTGGTTCCTGTCTATAAAGATGCCATCTTAGTCCATTTGTGTTACTATAAAGGAATACCTGAGGCTGAGTAATTTATAAAGAAGATATTTATTTGGCTCTTGGTTTTGCAGGCTGTATAAGAAGCATGGCACCAGCATCTGCTTCTGGTGAGGGCCTCAGGAAATTTCCACTCACGGTAGAAGGCAAAGGGGAGCTGGCATGTGCAGAGATTACATGGCAACAGAGGAAGCAAGAAAGGGGAGGGAGGTGCCAGGCTCTTTTTTTAACAACTGGTTCTCGTGGGAACTAATAGAGTGAGAACTCACTCATTACCACGAGGATGGCACCAAGCCATCCATGAGGGATCTACTTCCATGATCCAAACACCTTCCATTAAGTCCCACTGTCAACATTGGGGATCAAATTTCAACATGAGACTTGGAAGGGTCAAATGAACCAACCTATAGCAAATGTCTATTTTCCATACCTCGAGGTGATTTGGGGTTTAAGATACTTGTGCTGTATGAGATGACTTTACCCCCATCCCCATATAGAAGGCAGCTGCATGTGAAGGTTTTCTTCTTATTGATCCAGCTGGTGTGAGGCACTTCTGGTAAGCACAGTGGCATTGGTGGTGGTGACCTTCATGTAGGCATCATACTCCATGACATGGATTGGAGTGAGCACAACAGGCCACAGAGAGAGAGTTTATGAAATTGCCTCTCCTCTCGTTCAAGTTGAATGTGACAATGGAAGGGTAAGACTGATTGGAAAGAGCAGGAAGATCATCTAAGCCAGTCATGTTTAAACTTTTCTTTTAAAGCATCAGATGGTTTTACTCAAGGCATACCTATGTGAAACCCACTGTAGAAAGGAGAAGCTTTCTCTAGACCAGAGTCATCCCAGGCATATATCTCAGGGGGCCAGGCAGGTAATGCAGCTGAGTGAAGTGGGAGGGATGCAGCTCTGGAGAACTGGGGAGAGCTGGCTGTCCACAGAGGCAGCCGCCAGTGGCTTTAGCCCTGCAGGCATGGGTCCCAGTGTTACCAGATGCACTTCCAAGAGAAGCCAGAAAGCCAGATTGCTATGTGAAATGTCTTGATTTTTAAAAACTTCTGGTCTGTCGAAGACACTGTTAAAAGAGTGGAAAAAAAAAAAAAAAAAACCATAGACTGAGAGAAAATATTTGCAAAACACATACCTCATCAAGTACTTGTATCCAGAACATACCAAAAAACTCAACAATGGAAAAACAACCCGATTTAAAAATGAGCAAAGCTCTAAACAGACACCTCACCAAAGAAGATATACAGATGGCAAATTAGCATATGAAAAGATGTTCAACATCATATATTGTAACTCATGGAAATTGCCAATTAAAACAAGATACTACTACACACCTATGAGACTGGCTAAAGTAAAAAACTGAAAACACTATATGTTGGCAAAAATGTGGAGCAATGGGAACTCTTACTATTGTGGAGCAATGGTAAAAATGCAAAATGATATGCTGTCTTTGGAAGACAGTGTGACAATTTCTTACAAAGCTAAACACAATCTTACCATGTGATTTAGCAATTGTGTTCCTTGGTATTTACCCAAATGAATTGGAAATGTATGTCCACACAAAAACCTGCACATAGATTTTCATAGCAGCCTTATTCATAATTGCCAAAATTTGTGAGAAACCAAGATGTCCTTCAGTAGGTGAAATGAATAAATAAACTGTGATACATCCACACAATATACTTCTTATTCAGCACTAAAACGAAATGAGTTATCAAGTCATGAAGAGACATGGAAGAGTTTTAAACGCATTTTGCTAAGTGAAAGAAGCCAGTCTGAAAATATTACATACTTTATAATTCTATGACATTCTGGAAAAGGCAAAACTATAGATACAGTAAAAAGATCAGTGGTTTCCAGGGGGTAGAGGGAAGGGAAGGATGACTAGACAGAACACACAGGGTTTTTTTTAGGGCTGTGAAGCTCTTCTGTATGATACTGTCGGTGGATACACGATACTGTGCATTTGCAAAACCCATAGAATGTGCAACACAAAGCGTAAAACCTAATGTAAACTTTCAACTTTAGTTAATAATAATGTACCAATGTTGGCTCATCAACTGTAATAGGCATACCTGTTACAAGACACAAGATGAGAATAATAGAGAAAACCTGGTGTGAGGGTCCACGTGGAAGGGGGGAGGACATATGTGGGAACTCTCTGTACTTTGCTCAATTTTTCTGTAAATCTAAAACTGCTATTAAAAAATAAAGTGGGCCAGGCATGGTGGCTCATGCCTGTAATCCCAGCACTTTGGGAGGCTGAGGCGGGCGGATCACGAGGTCAGGAGTTTGAGACCAGCTTGGCCAACATAGTGAAACCCCATCTCTACTAAAAATACAAAAATTAGCCAGGCATGGTGGTGCGCGCCTGTAGCCCCAGCTACTTGGGAAGCTGAGGCAGGAGAATCGCTTGAACCCGGGAGGCAGAGGCTGTGGCAAGCCGAGATCACGCCACTGCACTCCAGCCTGGGCAACAGAGCGAGACTTCGTCTCAAAATAAATAAATAAATAAAATGTATATTTTTAAAACCTCCTGATTTTGAAATTTGAGCTACTACTTCAATATTTAAAGAAAAGAAAATCATTGCACAGATCAATAAAAACTCATCTGTAGGCTGGCCATGAGGTGCTGGAGTTTGACCTCTGCCCCAGGCCACTGTGGCAGCTTCACAGGTGCTGCCATGGGGCCCTAGGCTCCATGGAACACAGTGTGAAGACCATGGAGCTGCTCCAATCTCCCCTCTTTAGAGATAAGGAAATTGAGGCCCAGAAAGGTGAAACAACTTGCTCAGGGTGACCTGGCCCATTAGGGACAGAGCTTAGATGGAGATTCCAGGTGCCTTCCAGTTTCTTCCCCAAGATGCCTTTCCTAAGGCCTCAGGACTTCAGCCTCATTTTCCCATCGACTGGGAGGGAAACAGAGAGGCCAACTGGGCTCATTTTTATAGAGGCAAACACTGAATTGTTGAGGCTTGGACTTGGAAAAGAAAACTGGAATGGCGAGCCCAGGCAACAGACAGGGAAGCTATGGAAAAATGCACCAAGACTGTCATCAGAGCTGCTTAACTGCCAGTTTCTGTCTGGAATCCCACTGCAGCAGTTCCCCAGAGAACTGCACATGAGATCTCATCTGCCGTATTTCTTGGGCTGGTAAATGGTCTGTTGTATCCTAAAACTCGGTCTGGTTTTATTAGCCCTTATACTGAAAGAAATCTCAAGACTCCCCAAAATGTCACCCCCAATGACTTGTTGAGATGTTCCCACTCTCTATAATCAGACCCACTCAAAGCAAGCCCTCGCCCCTTCCACACTCCAGTTAGAATGGAAACTCATTCCTGACTTGGAAAAGGTACAGAGCCCTTATCACCTATCCCCCAGAATAATTTCATGGATGGTGACCAGAAGAAGGGAGCTGACATTTGTTGGGAACTTAGCTTCAATGTGCTCTCTTGTTTAATTCTCACAGCCATATGATGAGTTGAAATAGCATTTATTCTAGATTACAGAGGAGGAACTTAAAACTCAGGGTAGTGCCACAAATGCTGGAAATTACACAGCTAATTCACTTAGAGCCAGATCTTAAGCCACACCTGTCTCACTACAAGCTTTTCATTTCCAGTTCAGACTATGGCACCACCCTGCACAAACAGGGCCTCGAAGGACGTGCTTTTATCACTCAATTTTACATGCACTAATGATGGATGTTTTGACTTGAGAAGAAAAATGTAAGGAGGCTCAGCCAAGATCCTCCTCCTCACTCCTCAATGCTATCCCTTGGTGGGGAAAGATTAATTCTTCCAGCAGGGTGCTTCCTGCAAGGCCACAATGATGCTTGAATTTCTGATCCATAGGTCATAGATTGAGGTTAAATGTATGTTGAAAACATTTATGGGAACACAAAGGATTTGGGGGAAAGGGAGCATAGCATTTATGGAGTGGCTATTAATAACTCCAGTTGCCATTATTGAGCACCGACTGTGTCAGGCACTAATATAAGTCCTGTGCATGCTGTGAGCTATTTTATCCTCACTACCACCCAACAAGGCAGGTGCCATTCCACTGCCGTTTACAATTAATTAACTGAAGCACATAAAGGTTACCATCTGCCCAAGGTTATATAGGTACTAAATGGTAAAAGCTGGAATTTGAACTTGAGTGGTATGATTCCCAACCCTCTGCCATAATGTCTGCTTAGCACCTGTCAAGTGCCAGCACTGGCATTTTGGTGTTTTAACTGTCACTGAATCCCCACACATCCCTGTGAGGCAAGTACAACTGGTTATGAACATTTGCAGTCAGATTATCTGGCTGCATCCTGTACAAACTGTATTGTTTTGGGGCACATTACTTAGCCTCTTTGTACCTCAGTTCCCCCTTTGTAAAATGGGGCTAATAGTATCAACCTTGTGGGGCTACTGTGAGAGTAAAAAGTAGTTATATGCATGTTACCTCATATTTATCCCACCTTTTAATACATGAGAAAAAAGAGTTTCAGAGAGATTAAGTCACTTGCCAAAGATCACACAGCTGGTGAGTGTATTGCCTTCTTGGACGGGAGGGAGAAGGGAGTTGGGGGCTGCTTCTGAAATGAAAGTAATTTACTCTAAAATGAATGTAATTTGGACACCAAATGCAGTGGAGAGCATCAGCCTCTAATAGAGAAAACATGATTTAGTGGTTGGTTTTTAAACTAAACAAATTTACTGTGGTCTCTAAATGAGTCTCATGACAAGACCAAAACATTTCTTTTGCCCCAGATTACCAATATCATATGTTAAGGAGAGAAAACCAGATGGCTCTTAAGCTGGTGTCGGTAGAAATATATATAGGTGGGCTGTTTTTTATAGCTGTTGGCATATAAAATAAGTCATTATTTTAAATAGAAAAATATTGATGATGTCATCGAGGCCATTGAAAGACACATCAACCTGATCTGATGAACTGGAAAATCAATAGATACTTTCCAAACAAGATGACATGCCTTTTTAATTGGTTGTGTGAGTGTGATATACTGTGTACTGCAAAGGTTCAAAGTTAATTCTCATTGGTTTGGGGTTTGGGTTGTTGTTTCTGTATGCAGGCGCTTTCACATCCACTTAATGTATTATTAATAGCAGTAATAGTACCTGCTATGTATGCTTTCATTCCAAGAAGGAATACATTTATTGGTTATGTTTGCTGCCTTATAATAAGAAGACTGGCATTTCTACCTACTTCTCAGGTGGCCAAAGGATAGTTGCCATGGGTTTGGTCTACATTTAACACAGGGGACCTCAGCCGAAGAATATCTCATTTCCCATGGGATATTAATTCAGAGGCAGGTGACTTTCTAGACAAATCCAATAAATTCTGGTTCTGGGATCTCTGAGCTATTGCCCTGGCTTCAAACAAAGCCCAAATGAACTGTGGAAACACAGCCTTGATGTTGAAACACCTTGTCGAAGAGGTCTCGAAGCCAGACTAAGTGAGGTTGAGAGGAAGGGAGGTGGTGTCTTGCTGCCGCACTGTGTGACTTCCGTTAGAAAACTGTGCAATATTTTTCTGACATGCATCTTCCTAAGAAGCAGGCCTGGGTAAACATTAAAGGGTTTTTTTCCCAAAAGGACTTGACATGACTTTGTGTGCCTTTCCTTGACTTCACATCGTTTGGGGTAAATTTCCTATTGGAAAGCAATTTAAAGTCTTGAGAGGCCCAGGTGGGGAAAAGGCGTGAGTCCGAAAACTACCTGGGAGAGCAGAGCTGGAGGGAACCTGAGATCCTGCATTTAGTTAGTACCCCTTTTTGTAGATGAGGAGGGGTTCCAGCTTACACTACATCCTGATAAACGAGCTGAATATCAAGTTAAAGTTTTTTTAAATATCGACTTAGCTTGGCGTTGTTCAGGTAACACTAGAAAAGAAGAGAAATAATTTGACCTTCTGTGAAACTCCTGAAATACCCACATTTTGGAGAAAATGATACATGAAAGGAAAAGAGGAAAAGTCGGAGAAAGGGTCAGAAAAAAGGAAGAAGGAAAAGATGCGGAATGAGAGAGGAGAGGGTGACAAAGAAAATAGAGAAACTCCCATACCATACTCTCGAGTCCTCACATCATCTGCCTCCCAAATATTGCAGCGCTTTGTCCTGGCCACTGGGAAGTGGTCCCTTGAACCAAGAACTGTGTGAAAGCCATCAGCCCACAGGCAAAAAAAATAGCTGGTGTTTTAGACCCCCTCCACATATGCTTGGCATCTCTGGGTGATACCTAGTTATTTTCTCTCAGGAGGCAAAAATGCTAGGCACCCAGTTGTTATGAAGGGAGAGGGAGTGGAAGTGGGATTGTAAGGAGGTGGGGAGCGCAGTAGATGGAGCGTGGAAATGGGCAGAGGGCAAAGACCATGGCCACGTGGGTGGGCTGGGAGGTAGCTTGGACACTCTCATGCTCTCAAGCAAGTTCCTCGGCGTCTGCAGAGGGTCCCTTCCCATCGAGTACTCATGTTAGAGGAGAAAGCAGCTGTCTTGCTCCAGAAAAACCCTATATTTACAATGGCTGGCACCGACTGAGATTTATAAACCTGCCCCTTAGGAGGGAAGCCCCGAGAACACAGACCAACCTTGAACTGGCGTTGTCTCTTCACACCTTATCAGCTCTTCATCAATCACAATGACATTTTTTATGGTTGTCTTCCCAGGCCAGGGTCAGAGATAGGGCAGCTGGGCTTCTCTTGTTTTCCTTCCTTCCGAGAATGTCAGGTGACCTTGCTTTGCTCTTTCCCACCAGGCCGCCTGAAGGGTTTTTTCTGCTCATTCTGAGCTGGGCTGCTGCTGATCAATGCCCAGTCCTGGCTGGGAGGGTGGCAACCCTCACGGGGGCTCATTGTGGCTGAGTCTCATTTGAGTTCAGCTGACTGCTGTTTCCATCAGACATGCTTTCTCCGCTGAGGGCACCATCAGTGCCACTCTGGGTGGCCCCATGCCAGAGTCTGCCAGGATGAAGCAGACCTCATGGTCCAGAAAGTGACTTAAATGCACAGGTTCGTCACCTGACATCATACTTTCTCTATGGAATTATGAACTTGAATTTTCCTGGGACTGAATATCCTCATCATGGATAACAATGACAATAACGAGAATAATAATAATAAGTGCTAATATGTATTGTGTTCTTATTATGGAAGAGATGATCACCACCGAAGCACTTTTTCCTGAATTAATTCATCTAAATCTCTCAAGAACCCTGTCATGCAGGTGCTATTATCATCCCCATTTCACAGTTGAAGAAACTGAGGCCCAGGTTGTTTCAATGACTCACCTAAAGCTACTCAGCGGGTCAGCAGTAAGTACTGCTGGATTTTGGATCCAGGCAGTGTGACTTTTCTTTAGAGTCTTAAAACAGTTTGCAAAGATTTTCACAAAAGCTATTTCACCAACTTCTCCACTTAGCTCTGGAAAGAAAGCAGGATAAGAATTACGATTCCCGTTTTACAAACAAGAAAACTGAACTGCGAACTTAAGTGATATCCAAGCGTAGCTGGCCAGGGCAGAGTGGAGTCTGGAACCCCAGTTTCTTCTTTGGTAATTCCCAGATCTCTTAGGGCTGAGCCTCTGCAACATGAAATGCTCAGCCTGGTGATTTCTAAGCTTCCTTCAAGCCATCTCCTCTGATCATAAATGCTGACTTCATTTTTCTTTAACAGTCTTTGGAATGTAGGAAGGAATATCTTCTCGTGGAGGCTGTTGTTTTATTTAGAAAAACCTTGCTAATACTTCCTTAACAAAAACAACAAAAACATTTGGTTGGATATTTTGTTCTTCAACAGAACTCTTTAACAGAAGCCTAATATTTACTCAGGATTGCCCTATCTAAAGAATATTAATTAGGAAATGATTAAAGGATATTGAATCTCATTCATAGCCTCAAATATTTATGAAAAATGCATGTTTATGGAAACGTTTATTTTGTCATCTTTAAATCTACTCTGTTAGTTTGCATACTATGTTTAATTTTGTCAGGTTTCTCCAAAATCCAGTTGCTAATAGGACCTAAATCTATTAAATATTGACTCCAGCTTTGCCATGCAGAAACATTATTCTGTTAATAATGCAGTTCTATTAAACATCATTGACACTGAAAGTGGAATAACGTCTCAGTTTGAGTGGCTGTGTTTACTGTCAGGCAAGATACTAGAGAGGGGTTTTCTGACTTGGTGTTAGCCAGTTTCTTCTGCCATGGGGATGCTCGTGAAAGAAAAAATTGACTGAATTAAAACTGGCCTGTGGGCTTTATTTTTTATTTCCTGTAGCTAAAATTGTATAAATTGAACTGCACTAAATAAAACACAATAATTTGTTCTCGAAATTAACAAACACACGTTCCACCCATAAAACTGTTGCTCTGTGATGTGAGACTGGATTTCATTTCAGTGGTCTTGATTTATTGTTTGGTTTGTTTTATTTTGAGGTGGTGGGGCTGAGACCTCTGCAGGACAAATCTATTAAAATGGTTGACCAGAGCAGATTTGTGAAGGTTTATTAATCTTTAAAAAGTCTGAGTCAGTGAATTGAAAGTTTTTAAATGTTAGAAAGGATTTTTAAAGGCCTTCAAGATGAATATATGTAGCTTAAACCAAAAGATTTGTGTGAGCTCAGAGAGCTCTTCCTCTACGTATTTCACTCTTCTCTTGAAGGTCATTGTCTATGGACTTGCATTTTGTGCTTAAGGGACAGATTTTGTGTCATGCGAGTTGAGAACATGGTGAACTAGGATACCTTAGCTGGCCTGGCAAGAGTCTAGATGTTGCTCAAGTAACTGCCCCTACAGCTTGCCACCAGCCCCCCTGCTCACCACATCCCGTGTGCATCCTCTGAAATGAGTGGGCATAGATGGGAAAGGTGAGAGGCATGTTAGTTGAAATTGGGAGCCAGGGGGTGATTTGGAGAGAGGAGATGGGTTTCCATCGACTCCCTTGGGCTAGTTTTAAGTTTCTCTGGGAAAGCAGATTAAAGGCAAAAGCCATCAGAGCAGCTCAAAAGAGGCTTAGTGAATATCGAGGTGTAGATATCTTTATGAAGTGGCGATTTCATTTCTTTTGGGTATATTCCTTTGTGTTGCTAAATCATATGGTAGCCTTATTCACAATAGCCAAGATATGGAAGAAACCAAAGTGTCCATCAATGGATGAATTAATAAAGAAATTGAGATATGTGTGTGTGTGTGTGTGTGTATATATATATATATATATATATATATGTATATAAAATTTAAGGCTAAATTATATACTATATATAGAGATATATAATCTCCTTATATATATACACATCATATATACATATTATATATATATACACACACACACACACACACATATATATATGTATATATATCCATAAAGAAGAAGATCCTGCCATTTGGAACAACACAACATAAATGAACCTAGACCACATTATGCTCAATGAAATAAGTCAATCACAGAAAGAAAAATACTGCATGACCTCACTTATATGTGGAATCTCAAAACAACAGCAACTTAGAGAGTAGAAAGGTGGTTATCAGGAGTAAGAGAAATGGGGAGATGGAGGTCAGACAGTACCAAGTTGCAGTTATATAGGATAAATGAATCTAAAGATCTAACATACAGCATGAGGACTATAGTTAGTAATATTGTATTGTAAACTGGAAATTTGCTGGAAGTAGATTTTAGATAGTCTTACCACACACAAAAAAATTAACTATGTGAGATGATGGATATGTTAATTTGCTTGACTAGTAATCATTTCATGATGTTTATGTATTTCAAAGCATCACATTATATATCTTAAACATGCACAGTAAATAAATAACAATGTGCTAAGGAAAAATAGACTTGAGAAGTTGCTGGATGCAAGCATAAGTGCTTTGAGGCTCAGAATTCTTAGTTCTAGTGGCACCTAGCCTAAGGAAAAGAAAAAAATAACTTACTGGTTCATGTGACTGACAGGAATTACCTGGTTTATGTGACTGACAGGAATTACCTGGTTTTAGTTCTCAGGTTGTCCCAGGGGCCCAAACGATGTCACCCTTACCCTTCTCTTGGCTCTGTTCCCTACTAGTTGGCTTCATAACCAGACTCCACGCAGTGGCAAGATGGCTGCCAGCAGTTCAAGTCCAGTAGAAAGAATTCTAGCCTCTCTCCCAGCCTACCTAGCAAAAATGCCTTTGCATCTTGTTGCCTCTGATGGGGCCACCTGACCCTCTTGAATCAATTGCAAGGTCCAGGGGAATGAACGGTCTGATTGGTCAGGCGTGAGTCATAGGCCCAACCATGGAGAGAGGCCCACTTCTGGCATTGGCAGAAGAGGATGGATGGTTACCCAGAGGAAAAGAAGGTGTTTGAAAAACAGGAGGCAGAAACTATAGAAAGCTGGGTGCTCTCTGCAGGGTAACAGAGAGACAGCAGGAGAGAACTAACAGGGCCAACTCCACGGGTGGCTGCTGCTGTCACAGTTTGGGACGTGAAAGGCATCCCTTTGGGAACTCCCAGAAATAGCTGAGAAACACTCTGAGGGGGCTCAGTTTCTAGCAGTTAAATGGATTTGGACCATTACGATTTGGATATAAAAACAATGTGTTGATTTTCCTTCCTAAGCAAGGCCTAGGGCATTTGATTCTACTTGGAAATCTAGTAAGACAGATGTCACTTAACGAAGTTGTATGAACATATGTCATAAAATCCCTACAATACTCTGTTTAAACCCTTCTTATGGCTTGTTTTTGCAGTTTTTAAATGTCTCATTCTGGTAAAAATACAAATTCATTTATAGACTGATTCTGAGGAACTGGAGACAAAGAAGTCTTTATCTAAGGCAGTTATTAAGTTGAAATTTTCTGAGGCAACCTCAGCGGCTAAGAGATGTGATTGCATTTGTCTCTTAAAATGCATTCAGTCTCTTCAGTATCTGTGACTGTGCCATTGATTCTTTATTCCTCATCTTGTAGGTTGTAGTTTTCTCTCTCTATTTCTCAGGCTTGCCAGGGATTAGTTAATTTTGTCTTTTCAAAGAACCCACTTTGGTTTTACTAGTCACTTATACTTTGCTATTTATATTTCTAAAATTAACCACAGCAATTTCTAAAATTGCTATTTTATTTTTTTATAATTTCTCTTCCAACTTTGTTGTAGTAGATTTTTTGCTGTCATTTTTCTATTTCCTTAAGTTACATGTTTAGTTTGCTTGTTTCCTTAAATACTAAAACTATACATTTTATTTTGAATACAGCATTAGCCACTACTCATAAATTTGTATCATGTCATTTTTCTGCTGATTTTCTATGTAATTTATTATTTGATTTGATTTCTTCTTTGATTCAGGAATTGTTTAAAATTTCCATTTTAATTACCAGATGAGTAAGTTTTGTTTGGTTACCTTTTTGTTGTGGTTATGGCTGGTTTCTAGCTTTATTTCATTATACTGAGAGAATATGACCCATATGAACTCAACATTTTACGTTTTTACAGTTTTCTTTTTGGTCAAGCACGCTATCAATTTTTTATATATGTGTATATAACATAAAAGGAAAAGTGAATCTTTGTAACATACATTATGTATGTGCGTATATGTGTGTTTATATATATACTCACACATATGAAATATTAGAATTTATTATTTTACTCCTTTATATCTTTTTTTGCCAAAATTGATGTGCTGGAATCTCAGAGAACTAAAGTTCCCACTATGATTATGGTTTTACCAAATTGTTTGTATACAGTTAAAATGTTTTTTACATATAACTTATTGCTTCTATATTTTGCTCATTTCAACAACTCAAAACATTCCTTGTTACCTAATTTCATGTTTTGGTCTCAAGTACTACTTAATCTGACATTAATATTGGTATTCTTCCTTTCATTTGGTTTGTGTTTGGATGATATAATTATAGCTATCATTTATTTTTAAACATTTTCATTTCGTTTCAGGTATCTATAATCTTCTAAACAGTGCCCAATTAAATTTTGTTTTTTGTTGGTTGGTTTGTTTTTCTAACCTAATCTGTGAGTCTTTGTCTATTAATGAGAAAAATAAAGCCATTCACATTAACTGTGATATCTGATATCTTTGTTCTGATGCCTTCCATTTTATATTTTCTTTAATTCTTATTTTTTCTTCTTCTTCTTCCCTGATTTGAATATTTTTAAATCCTTTTTTCTTCCTTCAGTATGAAATTCTGCTATGTTTCTAATTTTGTTGATAAAGTTATATCTTTAAAAGTCATTTTTAAACATATGTCTCTGCCAAAATTAAGTAATAACTTCACACCTGCACCCCTCTCCTAAAAAGCACAGGAACTTCAGCAGGGTTTTTGCCTTCTCACTCTTAATTTCTACACACACCTCCACCCCCACTCCCACTTTTGAGTATTGTTTAATTAATATGGGATTTTAATTCTGACAAGCTATTAAACTTTTATTATAATACATCTCTTTTCAAACATTCTTTTTTATCATTCACATTATCATTTATATTTGCATTATTATGAGGCTATGCACGGCATTACCGTATACAGGATAAATGCAGGTTCTGGAATCAGTTTATCTGACTTTAGATCCTGGTTCAATGAGCTTGGACAAGTTACCAAAGGAAAAGTAATAGCAAAATGTGATATTTGCCTCTAATGTGGGGAAAGTAATAGTAAATAATAGATATAATGTACTTAGAAAAATGCTTGACAGATGGTAGGTAGTCAAAATCTGTAAGGTAGTATCATCATCATCCAATTTAGATTAAATTGTAAACTTCATTGCATTGTTGCATTTGGTCTCCTCTAATTCTTATACTCCATTATCTGCTACCTTGAGATTTGCATTCTGATTTTAATTTTATGTGACTTTCACATTTTATTAAGTAATTCCTTTATAAAAAGTACAAGAGTCTTTGCTTGTGTGGAAATGTCTTTCTTTGACCATCCCAATATCTTGGTCAGGTAGATAATTCTGAAATTATAATCCTTTTCTTACAGATAAGAAAACCAATGCCTGTCTCATTCTGTTCTCTGTTAAGTAAATCATTCTCTCTCTATTATCTGATTTCAGAAACTTTATCATCCAGATATAGCCAGCTTTGTTTGTTTTGCCTTATTAAATCTGCCTGGCAAGCATTTTTGATCTGAAAATGCAAGTCATTTTTCATGTAAGAGGAATTGTCTTCTAAAATGCATTTGATTATTCTCTTCAAACTATTCCCTCCTCTCCTTCTGGGCTACTATTTTCACATTATAGATGTCCTGGATCCATCTTCCACATCTCTTATCTTTTTATTCATTATTACCATTTCTTTATATTGTTCTCTGTCCTGTGAGATAATTTGTCCATTGACTCTTCCAAGTCACTAGTTGAGTATTCATCATGGTCCAGTTTATTGTTCAATTTTCCTGTTCTAGTTTACTGTTTAGAAATTATATTTTTATTCCAGAAACATTTGTGTTCTTGGGTTGTTCCATTGCAACCTCATCTTTTATCATTTTAAGAGTTTTCATTTTAGTTTTATATTTTGTTTTGTTTTATATCCTCTTTCTATCATTAAATCAGCCTCCATAGCAGCCATGTATCCTGGTTTTAGCTTGATCTGCTTTTCTGGAGTCTACTGATTTTACTTGCAATCTTTCTATTAGTGTATGTGAGTTGTTTTGGGACCTGTGTAGGTAAGGCTACCAGTGTCTACTGGGCATGTATACATAGTGGAAGATGGACAAGTGAACAAAGGAAAAAGAGGACTATGTTTTCCACCAGTTAGTTACCAACAGATTAGCAAGTTGAGTCCTGTTTTCTGGGGCATGAGGAGCCCTCTAAGATCTTATTTTTTTTTTGAGACGGAGTCTCGCTCTGTCATCCAGGCTAGGGTGCAGTGGCGCCATGTGTGCTCACTGCAAGCTCCGCCTCCCAGGTTCACGCCATTCTCCAGCCTCGGCCTCCCGAGTAGCTGGGACTACAGGTGCCCGCCACCACACCTGGCTTATTTTTTGTATTTTTAGTAGAGACGGAGTTTCACTGTCTTAGGCAGGATGGTCTCGATCTCCTGACCTCGTGATCCGCCCGCCCCGGCCTCCCAAAATGCTGGGATTGCAGGCGTGAGCCACCGTGTCCGGCCCCAAGATCTTATTTTTCTCCATGACTGACGGGGAAGTGCTGTCTTCAAGTCTGTGGAAGGGAAGCTGTTCATTCCAAGATTGTTGCCCTTGAAGGCAGCCAGAACCAATGAGATGAACAGATGTTTCCCAGGGCTGCACCCAGCAAACAGATGGGGCAGTTTCTGTGCCTGTGCTGCAGAATCCGCAGGCTCAGCTGGGGATCCCCCTTAGGCAGCCAGGCAAGAAGTGATCTCACCTGCTGAGCCCTTCAAAGCCAGACCACATCCTTCAGCTCTCCTCCCCACCAACCCTTAGTGTCAAAAACATGGCTCAGAAAAGCTACCCTTCATTGGCCCCTCATAGGCACTTCTTCTTAAGAACCCAAAGTCTCAACGTATGTAGATGCCCTCGAGGCTCCAACAATAGACCTCGCTCAATCTGCAGGTTTTCTTCTCTAATCGTATTTGAATTGTAAGGTTTCCTATGGCACCATTTAGTGCTAGACAATTCTGTTGGGAAGTCAAATATTTTTCTTTCTTCTTTAAAGAAAAAGTAGACTATTGTTCCTTTCATATTTGGAAAGAGAGAGAGAGAAAGAAACTGTATAGATTTCATGTGACAGTTAAACAATTTTTTTTCTTCTTTGGTGCCTGAAAACAGAGGACTCAGAGGAAGCAGGAATGGTGAAATTTCCTAACTCTGTGTTTTGCAAACTGAATGTGGCAGACATTGTTAGGTAGTCCCCTCTTATCTGCTGTGATGCTTTCCATGGTTTCAGTTACCCACGGTCAACTGCCTTCAAAAATAGATGAGTACAATACAGTA
This sequence comes from Homo sapiens, assembly GCF_000001405.40. Taxonomy (NCBI): domain Eukaryota; kingdom Metazoa; phylum Chordata; class Mammalia; order Primates; family Hominidae; genus Homo; species Homo sapiens. Next base: position 16,180,326 of record NC_000009.12, read on the forward strand.
AGATATTTTGAGAAAGAGAGAGAGAGAGACTGCATTCACATAACTTTTATTACAGTATATTGTTATAATTATTTTATTAGTTGCTGTTAATCTTTTACTTTATCAATTTATGAATTAAACTTTATCATAGGAATGCATGTATAGGAAAAAACATAGTATATATAGCATTCTGTACTACCCGTGATTTCAGGCAACCACTGAGAGTCTTGGAACTTGTCAGCTATGGAAAAAGGGAGACTCTTATATTTGTCTATTCAATAGACATTTCCTGCCTTCTTATTCCCAGTTAGCCAGTTAAATGAATCAGGATTAGTCTAAACCAGTCATGGGAACTCCATTCCCCTTTGCCAGAACTTACATTCCAGCCTCCCTGGTAGCTGGAGAGAATCATAGCAAGTGTCACCCAAAGAGATTTATGTATGTATATTTTGGAGGGCCTGTCCCTTACCTTTCGTTCTTCTTGGAATGACAGTGTGAAAAGGAATGCCTGGAGCTATGGTAACCATTTTGTGATCATGAAAAAACAAAACAAGACAATCATGGAGAGCCAACACGTTGAAGATGGTGTATTAACTTAGGCTTGAAAGAGTCAGGTCACTGGTGACAGAGTTGAAGCACTTAAACATGTTAAGTCAGAATGTAGGTACTAATGGCTTAACCCACTATGGTTAGGTATTGTATTACCTGCAGCTGAAACCCTTTCTAATTGACACACTGATGTTTGGGTTGGTGTACTGCAGTTAGGCAAAGGTCATAGATGAACATTATTTTGTTTTTAAAACAAATACCAATATATTATAAAAAGAATTCAAAACCCACATGAATTTTTAAAATAAAACAGGAAGCATCAAAGTGAATTTCTATTTTCCAGGAAGTTCTTTGGCTCATGCCTATGGATGGTCACTCTCCTCTGCCCTTAGGAATTTGGAGGGCAAGAGTTTCAGAAAGACACTAGAAAGGCAGACCAATGTTTTTTGTTTAATAAAGATCAATAGTCAAGCAGATTATTGCTGCTACTACTGCTGCTGCTGTTGCTGCTGCTGTTGCTGCTGCTGTTGCTGTGATATCATTATTTTTCCACCAGTAACTGAAGAAGAACACGTTGCTGATGACTGTGAGACATTTATGCCAAATATCCCAGCCTGGGAAATATCTGATTTTACCATAAAGATTCAGGGAGAATTACAAATATATTTTTCAAATGAACTAAGGTTAAATGAGGCTGTGATTAATAACAGGGGTTTGTGTTATTTATTATATTTTGAGTTGCCTCTGAGGTGAGCTGCTCTTTAAGTACTTTTTCTTTCCAAAAGAGAAAATGGGCAAAATAATAATGAATGCTGCCTATTATTAGGTACATATCATGTGCCGGTCACTGTACTGAGTACTTCATAGGCATTATCTCACGAAGTCCTTCCAAGAATTCTAGAACAAGCTGTCATAGTCATTGTTTTACAAATAGGCAACTCAGGGCTTAGAAGCATTATATAGTTAGTGGGAGAAATTTGTATCTGCCAAGCCCATATTCTTAATGTAACACTATGCTATCTTCCATAAAGTAGTTGAATGCCACTTCAAGGCCGTGAAACTTACAGTTTAACATAGTAGATCTTTTAACCAAGGTATCTATTTAATAGTGACATATTTTGAACTTCAGATTTAGTTTTTTATTACTTTCCACATCTTTGAAATTGAATTGGCAGAATTAAACCAACTGATTATCAACAGAACATGGCATGATTTGTTTCTTAATTATCAACCGGGGCAGTGTTTATCAATAGTCACATGTATACTTTCATTGTATTAAGTTTTTGAAAAATCAAATTCAGCACATTACTGATAGTCCTTGAGCCATTGGCTAAGTCAGAAAAAAAAATCAAGGGGATAGTGAGGCACATCACAGATAATTCGGACATAGAACAGTGGTTTTCTTCATAAGACAGTGCTCAATAGTCTCTCACTATTTTTCTATGTTGACAAAAAATAATTCCAGTCTTCATACTGTCATGGTACAAATAGAAGTGTGACTTACATCTCACAATTTGCATAGCTGATTTCCTGTCCTTTTAACCATTCCATCATCTGTACGACAGTTACAAAATTGTTTTTCTTTGGGACATCATTGGTATATGCTTATGCTTCAAGGAGTTTCCACATTAAGCCATGGGTTTATTATATGACACACAGGGAATCTGATCCCAAGTAGTATAATAACCAGACTCTGCAAATCAATAAATCAGGCTTCACTGATACTCAGAGCTGCAACTCCAGCCTCAGGAAGCACTTGGCTTTACTCTGGGTACCAAGGTACTCAGATGACCAGTTGTGAATAATAAAGACTCAGCCTTCCTGAGGCCTGGGGTTAACCAGTTCGGAATCCTATTCTCCTGATATAGAATAGCCCTAATACATACTTAGTGTGAACACTGTAGAGACAGGGTTTCACCATGTTGGCCAGGCTGGTCTCCAATTCCTGACCTCAGGTGACCCGCCTGCCTCAGCCTCCCAAAGTGCTGGAATTACAGACATGAGCCACTGCGGCCAGCCATTTAATGGTCTTTACTTGTAAATATGGGGATAATGAAGGAAACTTGGATGACTCTCAGATGAGACCAGTCACCTGCCTTAGTCACAGGCCTCACCTTGGTTACGCTGGTATAGCACTAAGACCACCTGGCATGCCCACGTTCCCCTTCTTGCAGAACCTTCCCTCCCTGCAGCTTCTGCTTTAAAGACTTAGGGCTGTCATCTTTGATACAATGCGACTCGGACCAGGTGTGGATGACTGGACCAGGGATGGGCAGTGCTCTAAGGAAGCCAAGCCAAAGACACAAGGCATGGCCTGGCCCCCCACAAGATGAGCTGAATTAACCAAGACCTTCATTTGAGCTGAGAGACTGCAATGAGGTATCATCGATGAGAGCTGAAGTAGAAAGGATATCCTGGGGTAGAATTAGGCTGGACAAGATCCTGGGGAAAAAATTCTGAGATGAGGAAGTAGATATTACAGGGACACAGGAGCTATGAGGCAGGGAAAATATGTGGTGCAAAGACGTGGTGCACAAGGTGAACGTAGGTCACTGAAGGATGGAAGAGAAAGACATGTAGAGGGAGAAACAGAGAGAGAGTGAAAGAGAGACAAGGAAGGAGAAAGAAAGAGAGAGACAAGAGAGAACTAGTCTCTAAAACTGATAAAACTGTCTCTAATGCTAACAGTTTTCCAATTCCTGCCCATGACTGTGGATATTCACAATAAGCCCTCCTTGTTTTGCTGGATGTTTTGCCCTGTTAGGCCATTTTCAGAGGCAGAGAGTTTGAGAGGCTTACTCTAAAAAGTGTCTTAGAAGTCTGGAAATTGAAGTTGGCTCCACTGGGCATGACCTTGACTATGACCTGAGCAGCATTATTACTAAGAACTAACTCTTAAGAAGGGGCACGCCTCGTAACTAATTCAGATAAGCAGAGTTTGCTTGCTTGGGAATCCTCTGAATCGCCTGTGGCCTAATTCTATGAACAAAACCCCAGAGAAGAGCCACTGTTTATGGCTGAGGGAAAGGTCCATTTACTTAAATAGGGCCCGACATGCTGGTAGCGCAATGCTTTGACAAGTGGGAAAGGACAAATGGAATCACCTAAATGGCTCTGGCTATTTATCTATATATTGTAAGTGCTGTATTTCCTGGAAAGAAGCTGGGACTTAAGAAAATAGTTTTAACCTGTTCTCTCAACTTCCTGGCTGCCGTGATACTCAAACCACATTTCAATATTTCTGGGTTTTGTCTGACAAAGTAGAAGTGTGTGGAGGTGGAGGTGAGGAGGGGAGGAAGGAGGAGGATGTAGTGAAGATGAAATCATAAAACCGGAAGGAATTCAAAGGGTCAAACACTACAGGCCCCATCTGCAGGCAGGACCGTTCTAAAACCGGGGGAGATGCACCTCCTATGTCAAATTGGCAACAAGGGCATTCTAGATATTTAGGCCATTTTGCTCATGCTGCCAAAAGCCTCCTTTGTCACGGAGAGTAGACCTGATATCTGATCTATCTGAAGGAGCACCAGGTACTTGCCCTTTTTTCCAATCTCTCTTCCATTGCTGCCTTAAAATTTTGTAAGTTAAAAGTCATCTGTTTGGGCTACCTATCTCCAGGCATTCTCTTTCGATCTTTATATAAACTTATCAAATAACATTTCTCTAGGGCAGTAGAGAATTGCTGAGTGATTTTGAGATTACTGGGCATCTGTGTGGACTGTGGGAGAAAACAAAACAAAACTATGATATAGTATGATATGATATATGATATGAAATGATACGACACCATCAATCTGTGGCTTTAAAAATTCTTTGTGTATTTATCTCATTTTTCCCCACAACACAAAAGATAGATGCTTTTATTATTCCCATCTTTCAGATGAGAAAAACCAAGGGTTTGAGAGATTGCATGGCTTTTCCAAGCTCTAGAATTAAGGGGCAGAGTTTAGGTGTGACTCCAGTCCATGGGTTGGGTGTTTTTTTTCCTACTCTAGGTGGGTTCTCCAGGGAACTGAAGATATTCACAAACTGTTTCAGGTTGGCTTTGTAGCCAGTGACCAGCAGCCAGCAGGATTCAGGGGTAACAGCAGGCAGTGGGCCCTCCCTCCCCCATGAGCAGACCAAGCCCTCTCCAGGAGGGGAGCCTCCATGGGGCCATGGCACCCCTGAGGAGTAGCAGCCTGGCCAGCCCTCAGGAGAGATGACAAGAGTTGTCCCTTTCCCTAGCATGTAAAGTTGTGTAGGAAATTACCAACCCTATTCTCTGCCTTCTCTTTCCACTCAAAGGCATGTCACTTTCAGACAGAAATCTGACTCAAAATGTACTGTCATCATCTATATTAGTTATCTATTGGTGCATAACGGCTTACCTCAACATTTAGCAGCTTAAAATAATAAACATTAATTATCTTAGTTTCTGTGGGTCAGAAATTTCAGAGCGGCATAGCTTGGGAGTTCTAGCTCCAGGTCTCTCCAAGGCTGCAGCCATCTAAGGTTTGACTGGGGCTGGAGGACCCACTTCTGAAATGGCTCACCCAATGGCTACTGGCAAGAGATTTCAGTTCTTTGCTGGCTGTTGGCAGGAAGCCTCACTTCCTTGCCACATGGACCTCCCCCTGGGGCTGCTTGAGTGTCTTCATGACATGGCAGTCAGCTTTCCCCAGAGTGAGTAATCCAAGGTAAAGGAGGAAGTCCTGGTGCCATTTATGTTTGAATCGTGGGAGACCCACACTGCCCCTCCGGCACACTCCATTCCTTAGAACAAGTCAGTAAGTACAGCTCACATTTCAGAGAGGGAATTAGGGTGTACCTATTGGAGGAAAGAATATCAAAGTATTTGTGGATATTTATTGATTATTTCTATTTTATTTTATTTTCCATTTTTTGAAACAGGGTGTCACTCTGTCACCCAGGCTAGAGTACAGTGGTGTGATCATGGCTCACTGAAAACTCAAACTCCTGCATCAGCTTCCCAAGTAGCTAGGACTATAGGTGAGCAGCACCACGCCTGGCTAACTTTTTAAATTTTTTGTAAAGACCAGGTTTTGTCATGTTGCTCAGGCTAATCTTGAACTCCTGGCCTCAAGCAATCCTCCTGCCTCGGCCTCCTGAAATGCTGGGATTACAAGTGTGACCCATCATGCCCGGCCTATTTGCGGATATTTAAAAACCACCACGCAGGCCCACAGGAGCACTGAGAAATCTCAAAAACATTCAAGAAGTGTGTGACTCTCACAATTGTCAGTTAATAAAACCAGAAAGATGAAGGTTTATCTTAGTTACGCACCTCATTAGACTAGATTATAGGATTGTTTTGATGGCGCTCTGAGAAACATTCCAAGAAGCACACAGTCCTAAATGTAACAGGCAGATGATTATAGTCCATTGCATACAGTGCACTAACAACCATGGCCAGGATGTATTGATAGTTTACTGTGTGCCCATCATTGCCAGAGAGGTTCTACTTGCATTAACTCAACCCTCACAATGACACTATGAGATAGGTACTGACATTATCCCCATTTTACTTACAAGGACAGCTCATAATTGGTAGAGCTGGGATTTAAAAAAAAGGCATGAGCAGAGTGCTGGCAGAGTCCAGGTGGGAGGAGCCTCTTCCTGCCTGGGTTGGGGTGAGAGTCCTGAAAGCCATTCTGAAAGAGGAGATATTTGAGCTGGACTATAAAGGATGAGTAGAAGTTTGTTGAGCAGACAATGTAGAAGAGAACACAGTTGGGGCAGGGAATTGTGACTACTGAGGTTAGGTTATGTAGCGCTGCTGGGATTTTCCTACAGGCCCCTCATGTGTTCAGGCTTTCTATAGTGTTTGCATCTGAGTCTTACACAGGTCATACCCACAGTCTGATCTTGGTCCCTCCCCAAATAGAATTTCCCGCACCAACAGGCCTTTGAGGAGACAGTGGTGGGTATGGGAGAAAGAGGAAAATGTCTTCATGTTGCCTGTATCTAGTTAGACTGGGCAGACTGGGAATGAAGTCAGTCTCTTGATTTCATTTCCCACATGGTCTGGTTTGCTTTCTTTGATGCTTGCCGCAAACAGTGACCACCACTAGCTAATTGTCCCACTGGTGCGTCTGGCTGGTAATGCTCAAGCTGGGTAAGTTCCATCCATTTTACTGGGGGCAATTGAGAAGCCTTAAAGCACACATGTTAATGACAGAAACCATGTATCTATAGGAAAAGTCACATGACGGCCATAGCAAACTCCTACTTAGCATGACTGGGTAAGTAAAGTTGTGGTGGTTAATTGACTATTTCATTTAACTAAGGGTTACACAGAGATCATCCATACCTTACTGATTTTCAAATAATTAGAATCCGGTTAAGCACCACTTTGGTCTGAAATAACTCTGTGCATGATTTAATATTTCTTTTTTTTTATTGAGAGAGGGGTGAATTTTCTTTTTTTTATTATACTTTAAGTTTTAGGGTACATGTGCACACGTGCAGGTTTGTTACATACGTATACGTGTGCCATGTTGGTGTGCTGCACCCATCAACTCGTCATTTGACATTAGGTATATCTCCTAATGCTATCCCTCCCCCCTCCCCCCACCCCACAACAGGCCCCGGTGTGTGATGTTCCCCTTCCTGTGTCCATGTGATCTCATTGTTCAGTTCCCACCTATGAGTGAGAACATGCGGTGTTTGGTTTTTTGTCCTTGCGATAGTTTGCTGAGAATCGTGGTTTCCAACTTCATCCATGTCCCTACAAAGGACATGAACTCATCATTTTTTATGGCTGCATGGTATTCCATGGTGTATATGTGCCGCATTTTCTTAATCCAGTCTATCATTGTTGGACATTTGGGTTGGTTCCAAGTCTTTGCTATTGTGAATAGTGCCTCAATAAACATATGTGTGCATGTGTCTTTATAGCAGCATGATTTATAATCCTTTGGGTATATACCCAGTAATGCGATGGCTGGGTCAAATGGTATTTCTAGTTCTAGATCACTGAGAATCGCCACACTGACTTCCACAATGGTGGAACTAGTTAACAGTCCCACCAACAGTGTAAAAGTGTTCCTATTTCTCCACATCCTTTCCAGCACCTGTTGTTTCCTGACTTTTTAGTGATCGCCATTCTAACTGGTGTGAGATGGTATCTCATTGTGGTTTTGATTTGCATTTCTCTGATGGCCAGTGATGGTGAGCATTTTTTCATGTGTCGTTTGGCTGCATAAATGTCTTCTTTTGAGAAGTGTCTGTTCATATCCTTCACCCACTTTTTGATGGGGTTGTTTGTTTTTTTCTTGTAAATTTGTTTGAGTTCATTGTAGATTCTGGATATTAGCCCTTTGTCAGATGAGTAGATTGCAAAAATTTTCTCCCATTCTGTAGGTTGCCTGTTCACTCTGATGGTAGTTTCTTTTGCTGTGCAGAAGCTCTTCAGTTTAATTAGATCCCATTTGTCAATTTTGGCTTTGGTTGCCATTGCTTTTGGTGTTTTAGACATGAAGTCCTTGCCCAGGCCTATGTCCTGAATGGTATTTCCTAGGTTTTCTTCTAGGGTTTTTATGGTTTTAGGTCTAACATGTAAGTCTTTAATCCATCTTGAATTCATTTTTGTATAAGGTGTAAGGAAGGGATCCAGTTTCAGCTTTCTACATATGGCTAGCCAGTTTTCCCAGCACCATTTATTAAATAGGGAATCCTTGCCCCATTTCTTGTTTTTGTCAGGTTTGTCAAAGATCAGGTAGTTGTAGATATGCAGCATTATTTCTGAGGGCTCTGTTCTGTTCCATTGGTCTATATATCTGTTTTGGTACCAGTACCATGCTGTTTTTGTTACTGTAGCCTTGTGGTATGGTTTGAAGTCAGGTAGCGTGATGCCTCCAGCTTTGTTCTTTTGGCTTAGGATTGACTTGGCAATGCGGGCCCTGTTTTGGTTCCATGTGAACTTTAAAGTAGTTTTTTCCAACTCTATGAAGAAAGTCATTGGTAGCTTGATGGGGATAGCATTGAATCTATAAATCACCTTGGGCAGTATGGCCATTTTCACGATATTGATTCTTCCCACCCATGAGCATGGAATGTTCTTCCATTTGTTTGTGTCCTCTTTCATTTCATTGAGCAGTGGTTTGTAGTTCTCCTTGAAGAGGTCCTTCACATCCCTTGTAAGTTGGATTCCTAGGTATTTTATTCTCTTTGAAGCAATTGTGAATGGGAGTTCACTCATGATTTGGCTCTCTGTTTGTCCGTTGTTGGTGTATAAGAATGCTTGTGATTTTTGCACATTGATTTAATATTTCTATCAAGACTCACTATCAAGAAGGCACTGCAGATTTTGTGGGTTCTTAAAGTCCGTGTTGTAAAGATAAATTAGGTATATGAGGTTGAGGGGGAAAACCAGGGCAAAAAATGTTTTCCTGTGGAAACCACCAAGCTTGCTCTGGGGGTTGAGTGTGGATGTCAACTTAGGAAATCATGGGTCTTCCAGGTTATTCCTGGAATGAGAAGACCTTCAAAGAGCAACACAGGGCCATTCCAGAGGACAGATGCCACCACAGACACTGTCTTGGGCCTTCTCTGACCCAGAGCTAGAAAGGCATCTATGAAAAAATTTCCCTCCTAATCAAAACCAGCTGCTGAGTAGGGTCTATGTGCAGTTTCCAGGGGCATTGCTTCCTATAGGAGCACTGAAGTATCACTTGAATGCTAAACCTTACTAGAAATGTAACAAGATGAGAAAAGTTGCATTCATCAAAAGTACATGTGTAGATGGAATATTTCAATTAAATGTTCTTTGCAGTGGGTTGGGCTTTCACAATACTTGCATGTCTTTTCATCTTCAAAGGAAATCAGGTCTAGTTTGCTGCAGAGCTTTTGTTTATTTGAGTGGCATATGCAAATTTGAGGCAGAGCAGAATTGTTAGAAGAGCAAAGGAAAGACCTATCACTTTTCTTAACTGTCTTCTTTCTCTTTCCCTTACTCCTCCACAAAAATGTTGAACAGATATTTAAAGAAAATCAATATGGAGGCATGTTCCATTATTAGGCTTCCTACTAAGACCATCATGTCAGCATCTGGCTTTGTTCCTAATGCATTGATGGTTTAAAGCTCACTGGCCAACTTATCTTGTGACCCTAATCACCATGCTTTCTGCTATTGCACTGTTAATTATACTTCCATGAGAAAGTGGGAAAGAAAAAAGAAATAAGGAAGGGAATATAAAACAGTCAAGTATTCTACTTTTTGACAATTCTAACTTTTGAAAGAGGGGTAAAAATCAATGGAGAAGGTTGAAATGAATGTCTAAAATGAGGTTTAACACATGGGGGCCAGTTGGGGGGTGGGGGCGAGGGGAGGGAGAACATTGGGACAAATAGCTAATATATGCAGGGCTTAAAACCTAGATGACGGGTTGACAGGTGCAGCAAACCACCATGGCACACGTATACCTATGCAACAAATAGTTCTACACTTGTGTCCCAGAACTTGAAGTAAAATAAAAATACAAATGAGGTTTAAAAGTTGCCTATATCTGACTTTTAAAATCATGTACACTAAAAGGGATTTTCAAGAGGCTTTGCAGATGAGGAGGCATTGCAGATTTTCAAACTGACTGCAGGTCATGATGCTATTATAACATATAATAAAGCTAATCAATGAGGTACAGGAAAGGGTCCCTAAGACTGAAAAAGTATGAAGGATGTGTCTGGTCATCATGTCTTTTCCTTTCTCTTCCCTTTTTTTTTTTTTTTTTTTTTTTTTGAGACAGGGTCTCACTCTGTCACCCAGGCTGGAGTGCAGTGGTGCAATCCCAGCTCACTGCAGCCTTGACCTCCTGGGCTCAGGTGATCCTCTTACCTCAGTCTCCCTCATAGCTGTGACTACAGGTATGCACCACCACACCCGTCTGATTTCTGTATTTTTTTTAGAGATGGGGTTTCGCCATGTTGCCCAGGCTGGTTTCCAACACCTGGGCTCAAGTGATCCACCATCTCGGCCTCCCAGAGTGCTGGGATTCCAGGTGGGAGCCACTGTGCATGGCCCTGGTCATCATTTCTTTGTGTTCTCTTCTTCCTTTTACCTAATGAGAGATAGGGGAAGAGGACCCCAGGATTACTCAGGAAATAGCACAACCAGCCTGGGTTATGTACTTTTATTTGAGAGAGATTTATGTAGTGATTATTATATGTCAGATACTGTTCCAGCAGATTCTGAATACTAACCCATTTTATGACCATCACAACCCCATTAGGCAGGTACTGTTATTTCCATTTTATAGATGAGGCAACCAAGGCACACCACTAGTGCATGACAGCACTAGGGTGCATGCAGACAATCTGGCTCAGAATCCATGCTGTTAGCTACTAAGCCTGCCTGACCTCAGAGCTTTGCTCTTTAAATTTTTCCAGAAATCTTTACTGAAATCCCCGGTGATCTGCCTAAACTAATGAACGTACAGAGATCTGGTGCCAGTGGGAGCACAGAGACTTTGCTGTCTGGGAAGTGGTCCCTGGAAGGGCCTTCAGGATGGAACAATAGAGCAACAGAATGACTCCCAGAGGAAATTTCCCAAGTTTCACACAACTTGGGAGCAGAGGGAGGAAGGCGGGGAGGGTGAGTCTGTGGCTGGAAGATGCAGTCCATATGGGATTACATGAAGACATCTGTATATATGTGTTTGGAGGTCTGTGTACATGTGGTTCTGGTTGGGTGTCCCTGTGTGTGAAAGTGTTCATGCATTTATGTTTTAATACCCACCATATGCATGTGCGTGTGTGTGTGTGTGCATGTATGTGTTTGTATATACATCCATGGGCTTGTTAATATACATGAAAGGTGCAAGAATAGCCTCCTTGTAAAGTGACTTGGTTTCTGTCTTAGTGAATTCAAATTCACATCCAGGAATTCTAAAATCAACAATTTTTATTTTTCCTGAAAGGGCCATTATTTGCTTAGAAGTCCATAGGATGAGCAATACATTTGGCATTCTTCTCTTATCTTTAGTGAAGCTGAGGCCCAGTTGGAGACGAACACAGAGTCCCCTGGTATGCAGGCTCTCTGAGCCAGAGCCCATTCCTGTGGGCAGCCAGGACCTGTCCCTGGGGCTCATAGACATTAGCCATCCAGCTGTCAAATAGAGATATGGAAGGACCTTCCAGGTTCCATTTTTCCAAACCTTTAAATCTTAAGATCCCATCCAAGGCCAGCCCTGCTGACCCCAGCAACACTGTTTATTCAAGGGCTTTTCAGGGAGCCACTGCCTACACTGACAGGGACAAGGAGGCACAGCATAATTGCTATCTGTTGCTGCTGCTGCTGCTGCAGTTTTAGCACAAACTGTGAGCACGTCTGTGGGCATTTGTCTGTCTGCAGAGAGGTCAGTCCAGACTTCTCTCACCGGAAGGCGATGGCTGGAGTGCTATTCCTAAGGAAGCAAAGAACGAGGGGTGGAGAGAGTCGTCCCCGGAATTGCATGGCTTGGGGCTTGGTCCAGATTGCGTGGCGAGGAGGGTAAGCAGGCCCAGCAGAGGGCGCCACCGCGCTGGCTCTCTTCTCCCGCGCAGTGCAGGCAACGGGGCGGTGTTCAGGAAGGCCAAGGAAGGATAGATTCTCGATACTGTACCCCCACCCCACCCGCCTCTGCCTCCCTCCTTCTCCTATCTCTTCTCTCCTCCCTGCCCCCTCCCTCCCTTCCCACCTCTCTCTCAGTCTTTCTTTCTTTCCATCTCTAGCCCCTCACCCCCCTCCCCAACTTGAGCAGGTCACCCCAGGGAACCTCAAGTCTAGTAACTGAGTGTTAATTATGTCTGAGTGGATTCTGGAGAAAAAGAAAACCATATACTGTATCAGCAGAGAAATGGTTTCACTGTGAGGAAACTAATGATGCTTTTATCAGGAACAATATAAAGATTGCTTTTTTACTAGTGTGTGTCCCATAGGGTTCAGGGCTATGAGATATTTCTGTATCTGGCTTTAGGTTCCTCTGAGCTTTTACATAATCAAATCAATAGAGCCATGATTCACCCTCTGGCAACAACTGCTCCCTGCAAGTTTGCTGTTGCATCTTTAGTGGCGAAAGAGAAAATAAATAAATATATGGAAAGGAACTTATTATGAATCTGTAAAAACATTGATTTGTTTCGTCTTCAGTCTTCCTTTTTAATTGCTTTGCATACACATGTACACACACACTGTGAGGGTCTAGGTTCACAGCCGGTCAGAGAATGAGGTGGCTGACGATTGCCCAGGTATTTGCCATTGTCTGATGGGAAGAGATGGGTTCTGTTGAGCAGAATCAGAGGTGGAGATGTGCTGCTTGCCTGTCCTCCCGTGTCTTTTTCAGACATTTTATTCATCTTCTCTCCCATCCCTGTGAATTCCCTACATTCCAGGCATGATTTTGGTTCTTCCCTTTCTCTTTGAGTTATATTGTTTTTATCAGAAATTTCCCTCCCCTCTGCCTGGCAGAAATGATCACCCTTGGACCTACATCTGTCCCCAGCAGCATCAGTGAGGCCGCAGACTTCTCACCCTCCCCAGCCCCCATTCTAAGAACAGCTGGTTAGGACCTCAGTGAGAATACAATATGGGAGTGGGCAGGAGCAGAGAGAGCAGATCTCACCATTTACTCTGGAGACACATCTTTCCTTCTCATTTCTCCTATCCCCAAACCTCCGAGTTCACGGAAAGAGAGCACCAGGAATAACTCCTAAAGTCTTTCAGGACACAGGCAGTTTGCCACTCCTTTCCCTCCTTTCTTTAAGTAAATAAGCAAAGGCATCTTTCAGGCTAAAACATGGGGGAGGATTCAGTGTTGTGCTACTGTGTCATCTACTTTTCACAGGCAAATTTAGATGACCAGGGCCTCAAAACACAGGTGTTTCAGTGTCACTTGCTGCTTTGCATTGACAAAGTCAACCGATAAAATAGGTATGTTCAGCTGGGCTTGGAGAAATAAAAACAGGGACTCACTGGCAGTCCAGCTGGTCACAGAGACAGGGAAAGGTTGTTTTGTATTTTCTACTCCAGTCCCCAACTTAGAGGCCTTGTTCATAGATAGGCTTCATTCTTCCCATCCTTCAGAAGCAGAAAAACATTAGAAGTAATAACAGAGACGAGGCAGGAAAGAAAAGCCACTTATGTAATCAGGTGTGCTGGGACCTGGGGATGACAGTGTCACAAAAATAAAATGGCTCCCTAATGATGACAGAGTCTTATTACCAAAGCCATGCTCCTGTGACAGTGCTGCCAGGCTCCTCTGAGAGGACAGCAATGACAGAATTCTTTAAGGACCTACTTTGGGTAAATATTTGTCCCTAAAGAACATCATCTTTGAGGACCCTCAATCCTATAATCTGGGAGTCCCAGGCATTTGGACAGATGGGATCCAGCTTGGGTTTCAGGAAAGAAAGGGACTTTCATACAGCGCTGGGGACTGTGATACCAGCAACACAGTGTATTAGCATACAAACAATTGCAATGGTGGCCATTTATTGAATATCTACCTTGTACCAAAGACTATGCCGGGAGCTTTGTGCAGACTATTGCATTAAGTTAACTTTCACCCTCAAGACAGTATAGCAAAGAAAGGCTTATTATTCCCATAATTGGGACTTGAGACTCAAAAAGATTACATAATTTGCTCAAGGCCACGGAATTGGTACAAGATTGAGCGGGGTTCCAACTAAGTCTCTTTGAGCCTCACATCTCCGGTCTTCCTGCCATGCCAGCATCATAGAAAGTGTTGAAAACATGCTAAGTTAACCTTGAATGGATCCTGGACAACTTTATTTAAAAATTATATAATTATGTACTTTAAAAACGTATTCAAAATCTTATTGTTACCACATTAAACCATGGATATTATTCTTAGAAAAAGGCTATTCTTTGGCTTAAAAAAAGGGAATCGCTATAAATCAAGTAAGTAAATATATTGAGATGATAGGGAGGATGGATACAGTAAAAATTATGAAGGAGATGAACAGATGACTGGAGGTTGGGGGATGCCACAGCCGGCTGTGCTGCCTTGAAGGGCAGTGAGAATGTTGTTAGTAGCTGCCTAGAATGTTGTGTAGAGAAGGAGTCTGAGGCCCCATGCATTGTCTGTTAGTGACGTCTGCCATGGCGCACGGGGAAGCACTGGAGGTTGCTGGGGGTAACAGCAAATTGTGAGGTCTCCTCGCTCTCTTGAATCAAGCCCAACATGCTCCTTTTTCAGAGGAGGAGGAAGCCCAGAGAAATGAACTGAACTTTTCAAATGTCTCAAGGCAATGATTCTACAACCAGTTGCCTCTTTCTAAGAGGCCCAAACATTTACTCGTGGTTCCCAGTCAATATATTTTGTCTTTTGGGGAGTGGGGATCATGGTTTTTAATAATTTCACCCAGTTTAGATTCTTTCCAGTAGAAAGGCAGACCTGGATTAGAATCCTGCCTTATTCCACGTGTGCTACAGGAAGTAACCGTGTCCCTTTTAACCTCTGAAGTTTCTTCCTCTGTGTAGTGGAGTACGTCACCATCACAGTGCTGTTGTGAGGGTTGAATGAAATAAACCACCTAGAGCATTGATTATGAAATGCAAAGTCGAAGTTCAAGAAATGGTGCCTAATGTTGTCTCTTTCCCTTGTCTACAAAATGGATACTTGTTACAAGCCTACCAGGTGCCTCAACCTTTAACCAGTAGGGTTTTCACTACCATGAAACAAGGGGCAATTCCATGTTCGACACATGCTCGGGAGGCTCTGCTGACTCTCCCAGGCCTTCATGGCCATCATCGTTGGGCATGCAGCCCACCACCCTCCCAGCACAGACACACAGATCCCGACCACACACTCCCAACCAGAAATATCCAAAAATACACTAAGAAAAATCCAATAATACTTACTTGAGGTTCTTAAACTCTTTCTTTGGGGGTAGATAGATACAAGGCAGTAAACCAGCATAGGGAAAGAAAAATAGCAAAAAACAAACAAACCAAAAAAACACCTAATAAAAAAATCCCATAGGAAGGAAATGGAACCCCCCCCCACCCACCCCAAAATGGATCTAAACTGTGTGGTTGCCGGAGCTGCTTTCCTGAAAAGAGGGCCAGAAACTGAGAGCATGGAGCGCTTAGACTGGAATTGTTTTCTAAACAGAATTTTTTAGGGTATATTTTTCACATATATTACCCTTTCTCAAAATGCCCTGGCCAAAAGTAGTAAAAATGCTGTACTATTAAACTTAAGTTAGGGGCCTGTGTTGGCTGAGGGACCCAGCTGGGTTTCTTCTGGCAACCGGAGAAAGAAGGAGGCGGGAAAGTGCCACTGCGCCCTATTACCCTCAGGTGCCCATTTGGTGCCAACTGGGGGATGTTTGATTGAACTTGGCCCCTAGCTAAGAACAGTGGGGGTGGGAGTGGGGGAAAAGTAAGAGACAGTTTAAAAAATAATGAAGGGACATAGGTATGTTGAGAAGAAAAAAAGAAAGAAAAATCACATCTGCATATTTTCTGAATGAGCAAGAGAGGTTATGATTACAGCTTCATTTTGTGTTCCTTGTTAAAAAGAGGCAGGGCCTCCTAGGACTTGGCAGTGGGTGCCTAGAGGTATGGTAAGAAGAGGGTGGAGAATGGCCCAAGTTTTATTCAAAACAGTAGGTTTTAGCTAAAGCCAAGTTGGGCAAAAGAGACATGTTCACAAGTCATCACCAGTTGTGGCCAAAGAAAGGTCACTTTCCATCTTGTGATTTTCCACGGTCCTTGGGGACCAAATTGAAAGCTTTAGGGCTTTGACTTTGTCCTCAGGAAAGTAAACTCAGCTTGAAGTACAAGTTCCTGGTGGCACACTGGGTCACATTGCCACGACGAAAGTCCAGCACACCCTGACTTGCTGGAGGATACCTGAGGAAAGGTCTGTGGTCGGAGCTGAGTGGGTTTATTGATCTTACTGGAAAATGGGCATTTCAGCTTCTCTCCAAGGAACCAGCCCAGACGTGTCAGCAAAGAGTCCCTTTGGACACATTGACCCAAGCTGAAAAATGTATGAAAACACTTCATGTCTACTAAATCTGGTACTGCTAGCTGCATTGTCTGATGGTCCATCCAAGAAGAAAGGGAGGGACTGGGAAGAGTGACCGCCTCTCTCTGCAGTCCTATGTCTGCACCAGAGCCGCCTCACGGGCCTATGGGCAGGCAAGGAAGCTGTCAAGGACCTACCAAGCCTTGGCACAAAGATCGCTGCAGTTGGGAAGAACCTTTAGCTCACAGATGTTTTGCAGCAATGAATGGAACAAAAACAATGTCTGTTAGTGCCACCAGGCCTTGCAGTTGGAATCTGAGTTTGGGCTGCTAGAACATGACCAAAGGAAACAAATGTTTGACCAGACATCTGAGAACATGTGTTTTGTTTTGCTTGTGTAGATGCAGACTGCTGGCCTGAGGTGTCTGCTTTTGGCTGAGAGGCAACATGGAGGCCCGTTGCAGACATGCACCATGCCAAATACAGGCAAAGCCAGCCTAGGGGATTGCACTGGTCTCTGTTTAAATCCCTCAGTAAGATGGGTTTCCCCCTGTTCTATTCCAAGTCTAAACTTACAGTGGTTGAAGAGACGGGACAAAAAAACAGGTGTGGTTTGAACCCTCTGGATTTGAACTCTTTTTTTTCTCTCCTCTTCCTGACTTGGATACCAAAGAAAGAGCCTCAACTCACCACTGCTTGGACCACCCCACAATAGCCCCACTCCTTTTCTGACCAGGACAAGAAAGGGGCTCCTGAGGGAAAGGGTTTCTAATAGATCCATCCTGGGATACCTTGGAGGCACTAAAAAAAGAAAAAGAAAGAAAGAAAACCAATTCTGTTCTGGTGATGTTTATGTGGGCTTTTTAAGAATGTCCAGGCTCCCGTCCAGTGGTGGCTGCTGTTTCTCGGTGGCAGAGATGATGCCTGGTTTATTCTTAGTAAAGTGCTTAGGACGCTGAGCCTGAGGGGCTCTGGAATGGAAAAACAAAACAAAACAAAACAAACCGGAGGCCCGCTCTGCCTGGCTCCTAGAGACACGCAAAGCTGGGCAAAGGAAGGAGATTGAGGTGGGACTGAGACATTGTTGCATTGTGAATGCCCCGGTTCCCCACCTCCTGCCCCCCGAATCATGATTGTTTTATGCGGTTATTTTTCCCTTTGGTGAGGAAAATGGGATGTGGTGTCAATTACTGGGAAAAATATACAAAGTCCTAATGGCTAATCTATTCTTCTAAGTATGTGGAAGGCTACTACACCGAAGAGACTTGATCTAATTGTATAATAAAACTCAAATCATTTCCAGCCAGATCGGACATGCCAGGGCTGCTGCTGCTGCCGCCGCCGCTGCCCTGGGCAAGAGAGAGGTGAGCTGACCCTGGAAATTGCTTGTGGGTAAAATCAGCAGAGGATCTGAAGGCAGTCGGGAATACGGCTGCGGGGAGCAATGAGGGACCATAAAGATGTTGTACTGTAAATAGTATCTTCTTGTTTTATGTGTCTCCGTGGTGGCAGTTGTTTTCTCGGCTAGAACGTCTATGTCAAGAGCCTAACCTTGGAGAAAAATCCACAATACTGCTCCATGATGTTCTCTCCCTTCTTCCCTGGACTCGTCGTTTATAGGTTGTCATTTAAAAAACTCACAGCGCCAAGCGTTTTCACATAATTTGTCTCATTTAATTTCATCCTCCCGACAACCCTCCCAGGAAAATCCAATTATCATTTTACAGATGAAAAATCTAAGGGAGGCTAAGTTGTCCAAAGTTTCATGGCTAAAAGATGATGGTGCCAGGACTCAAACTCAGGCTTTCTAACTCATGTTGGCCTTTTCTGCTCTTCCACAGCTGTCCCAGTTTGGGGCCAGCAGGCCCCCTTTGCAAAGCCCTGTTAAGTGATTTTGGTGTCAGGGCATGGTGGAGACCTGAGGCTTGGGAGCAAGGTGTGTGCAGTGTGGAGCTGGTGGAAACACATTTCCTAAAATTAGCTTTCTCCTTTCAACTCTTTCTGATCTGATCTAAAAACATGAAAAGGCTCACAACCACCCGCTTGCATGTAAATCCAATGACAGCTTCTAAGGCCACCACAAAAGGCAAAGCCTCTGTTTATTTAAGCATTGGGATTTAAAAAAAAAAAAAAAAGAAAAATACATCTGGGAGTAGAAGTCATTGGGTTATAAATGAGCTCTCGCCCCACCAAAGAAAAAAATAATAATTATAATAAAAATAATGGCACCATATTCTCTGATAAACCAGTGCCAGAAAAGCTCTTGGGGATCAAGTTTTGTCAGTCCCCAGCTTTTACCAATTTAAATTCTTGGCAGAGTATTAAAAAAAAAAAAAAAAAGTATAAGGTATTTGAAACTTCAGTCCCTCAGGTACTAAATCTAGCGTTTCCTGGCAATAGATGAATGTTGCTGGAGTGAAAACCTAGCACCACAGGACCATATCTCCACGGCTGTTCGTATTTATACTTAACAGACAAATATGTCATTCTTTCCGGATCCCTTTATGGGGCCAATTTTTTTTTTTCCTAATGTGTTACCCACCTACTTCTGATAAAAACGAAGACCAATGAAGCCCAGGACACAGACTTTGAGTTAGCAGGATGCTCTTTGGTATCAAAAACCATGTTTTCCCCCAGCTGCTTAATTCCCTAAGCCACAGGTATAATAAGGTAGGAACAGGATTCTAGATACACAAACCTCGGTGGAGATTGTGAGCAGGCGCAGGATCGATGTAGCCTGATGACATTCATTCCCTGGTCTCTTCACATGTTCTTGTTCTTTATGAGTTGGTTGTGATCCACAGAGAGAGTTGGAACTGAGATGATTTTGCCAGAACTTGGGTTGGCAGAGGCTGTGTGACTCTTTCTGGGCAGTTAGCAGAAGGACCACTTTTCAGTGTTAAGGTCTACACTCATTCATCAACTATGGATCATTTCTCTATTCGGGGGTCCTGCAGTTCTACTTCATCATAAAGCTTTCTCTAATTGCCTTTCAGAATATCTTTTCTATTCCACTCTTTTTTTTTTTTTTTTTTTTTTTGAGATGGAGTCTCACTCTGTTGCCCAGGCTGGAGTGCAGTGTTGCGATCTCAGCTCACTGCAAGCTCCGCCTCCCGGGTTCACGCCATTCTTCTGCCTCAGCCTCCCGAGTAGCTGGGACTACAGGCACCCACCACTACACCTGGGTAATTTTTATACTTTTAGTAGAGACGGGGTTTCATTGTGTTAGCCAGGATGGTCTCAATCTCCTGACCTCGTGATCCGCCCGCTTCAGCCTCCCAAAGTGCTTGGATTACAGGCATGAGCCACCACGCTTGGCCTATTCTCCTTCTAATTAAGTTTCTTCTCTTTTCTCTCCTCTAACCCCTGCTAATGGCATTAAGCATAGTCTGGAAATATCTCAGATTATTCACCTCCCTGAGTCTACAGACCCCATTTCAACCTTCATCATATAAGAAGGGAAGAGGACAATTGAACACCTACTATCTTTTGGGCTCTGTGCTTACTCCTTACCCACCTTTAAACTTGTATAATGAAACTTACAAGCCTCATGGAGAAAGGAATGGAATTAACATCTTAAGTACTTTGAGACCCTGAAAAACACTGCATAAAATATTGCAATGGGACATGTCCATTTCTTTGTCCAATCTAGAGTTTCATATTTTTGTAAGTAAGTGGAAAATGCATCCTTTAACTTTCAGAAAAATGAGTTTTCAGTAAAAGTGTTAAGATATCTCAACCCTCTGTACTTCATAAAATATTTATACCATAACGTGAGGGACACAGAGATGTCTCAGCAGGAATGGAAAATAACTGGGGTGAGGATTTTCAATAAGAAGTTGCCACGGGAACTTTCCACATATTCTGTGAGTACCACGTAAGCTTTAGCCCACACAGCAGCCTTTCCCTAGCTCAGGCTGATGAGATGCTACTCAGCTGTCTAAGGCAGCCTGAGAACCACAGCATCTTCTCATAACAGCAACAAGGTCGACTTTTCTTTTCGTTCTCCTGCTCCCAAAATAAGGCAGCTGCCCAAGGCAGCCTCTTGCTCTCTGCCCTTTCTTTCTATTCCCTTTATAGAGTTTCTCATCTATTCTCTCAATTTCAGCCATGCCCCATGCTGACCCCTCCTTAGGGTCTCAGTCCTATGTGCTTAGCTGCTTGTGGGACATTTAAACATGCTGGCCTCACTTCAAACTCAACATGCCCCAAAACAAACCCTTTTCCTCCCACAGTTTGATATTTGAGCCAATGTCCCCAATTTTCTGGATACGCACATCTGAAATACCAAAACTATTCTCACTCTCTTGTCTTTCCTAGTACTAACAATAGTTCCCATGTATTAATAATCATACCTAACTTTAATTAGATTCTTCCATATGCCATGGTCATTTCATAGATGAGGAACAAGCTCAGAGATGGGAAGGGACTGGCCCAAGGTCACCTCACTGCCTGTGGTGCTACAAGAAGTGGGTTTCAATTCTGATCTTGGTCTGCCCCTCCGCAGAGCCTACACTCACAATCTCTCCATACTTTGTGGCAATCAGGCAGATCCCCTTCAGTTCTTCCCAAGAAATATCTCTTGAAGTCATAAACGCTGGTCTATTCCCAGTTCACCTTGTCCCTCACCACCTTTCTCCTGGACTGATTTCCCCAGCACCATGATTTCCCTGGCTTCAACCTTTTTTCATCAGGAACAACATCAAGAGCTCATCTTAAGGTGCTGTGTTTACCATACTGAGCAAGAAGCAAACTCCAGTGGTTCCCAGGAGAGCAGCCTTGCCCAAACTATGTTCCTGGAGTATTTCACACACATCCCCTTGTTGGAGGAGAATCTGCTCTGTGCCAGGAAGTCAATGAGACAAATGAATGAACCTTTCATGGTAATAAAAAAGTAGACATTGAATGAAAGTTGCATAGGTGATGAATGTTTCGAAGAAAAATACAGAATGCTTTTGGGAGCCCCTGAAAGGTGAGCCAATCTCACCTAGCTGTCTGGTCAGGGAGGTTTCTTTGAAGAAGATCCAAATGCTGTTTATGGGTGTATACTGGGTTGAGGAAAGCTAAAGACATGTCTTTGTTCTAGGTCTTCTCAGAGTGTGACAATGTGCTAGAGTGTAGTATGACTTTTTTGAGGGGATGACTTTGTACACAGCGTCTTCCAAGTGTCCTTCACGTTGCTGCCCTCTTTTGTGAAGCATCTTAGAGGGCGAGTGTTCCACAGCATACTAGTTTAAGAAAGAAAGACTGCCCTAGAGGATAAAGTCCAAGTTTGCCATCCTGGCCTTGGTGTTCCAAACACAATGACTAACTTGACTTGAATAACGTTGCCCTGCCCTGCCCATCCACCTCACCTCCTGTTTGTTAGTGCATCCCCTTCCGCATTAGTGCAGCCATTTGCCATTAACGTGGCTCTGTGCTGCTCATCAGACACCCAGGCCCCCATCCCACAGAGAATACTGCCTTTTCCCTGACCCTTGTCAAGTCATTCTCCACTCTCTAAGGTCCAACTGGAAATTCCTACTGCAACCAAGAAAACACTGTTTCCCTTTCACTTTCTTAGTTCATGTGGCTCTTGCATTTTTTGCAGTCCTCTAACCCTTAGCTATGTGATTCAATTAGATTAGGTAGATATTGGAATCTAAAGACCTTGGTTCTAGTCCCTGCTGTGAATCCACTCTGTGTAACCCTATGCTCTTGGCCTTTCTAAGTTTCAGCTTTCTCATCAGTAAAAAAGAAATATTGTTCCCTCAGAAGCTGAATTGGTTTTTCCTTTAAGAAGTGTTTGTTTAAAAAAAAAAAAAAAATGAATGTGGAGAGAACACATCTTTGCAGAAACCCTCTCTCTTGGTCTTTGAGCTAGTCCATCCAGGCTCTGTGCAGAACTCTCCATGAGTTCTCCATGAGTCCAGTCATCACGTTTTCGTTGTTTCCCTCAACTCTGCTTCTCTGTTCCCAATACTTTTATCAAAGGAATGAATCAAAGAAAAACAGTAATGAATCTAGTAAAGCAGATGATTGGAGGCTAGGAGCGGTGTGATTGGCCTGACAGTTGGGGACTGGGTGCCGTGGGAGGACTGATGTGAATCCACGTGTGAGATTCAGCTGCGTATTGATCAAGTCCATTTGCACGTGAACCTCATCATCAGCTCCTGCTTAAGCCCTAGCTTCCCCGGTAATTGACTCTCGCATATTGATTAAGATGTTGATGTGTCCCAGGATTTCTCGGTGGTGATGCAGGCGCGCCTCTCGGCAGGCCAGGCTGGCAAAGCTCTTGCTGCACGGCTGTCACCAGGCACTCCTTAATGGATAAAGCTGTCATCTGAGAGCTGGAATATCTTGCAGGCACAAAGACGAAATTAACTGTTCAATAATGTATGGGACACGGAAAAAACTTTACCCAACAACTCGAATTGATTGCTGTAAGTGTTTTGACTGCACTTGCCTGCTTTGCATAAAGTCAGTGACTTTGGCAAGCCTGATGTTCACGTACATCCATTTCTCAGCCTCTTGCAGAATAAGAGGAGTTGAGAGACTTCAGCGGCTGCCAGGAATGGGCTGTCTGGAGGGAAGGGGGAAAAGGGGTTGGGGAGTAGATGGCACCACTGACAGACACCTCTCCCTTGAGAGCCTTCAGTGATCTCTGAGCTTTAAAACGATGTGTTACTGGCAGTTTATTGGAATCTTGCTGGAATGGATCATCTTGGGCGAGTTGGGTGAATCACTGGGTATGGAATTCCTGGAGCTCTGTGTCCTCACTTTGCCCCTGGCTTGCCTCCTCCCCTTCCCTGTTAGGCTGGGACCTCTTGCAGAGAGAGGCTGTCAGTCAGACTTATGGGAGGAGGTCTGTTCTTGGTCACACATTTAACACCAGTTTGATAAACAATTTTCATGCATTTAAGTTGGACCCTGCTTATTATTTGGGACTTGGTCAAACGCATGCTGTCTAACGATCCCACAGGTACTAGAAACCACTGTATGTGTCTCCTCCACTTCTCCCTCTTTAACCTGGAAAAGGGGAAAAATACCAAGGTACAAAGCTATACTCTACATGTTTTCTGCCAAGCTCAGCCCTTTAAAAACATAACAGGATCCTTTGAACATAGCTCTGTTTTATCACAGGATCTTTATTGAAGTTTTAATCAACACAAGCAGCTGACAAAATAGGAGACTGTAGATTCGGCTGTACATTATGTATCTTCCTTGTGAGCCTGAAAAAAAATCATAACATTAAAAGAAGAGAAAATAAACAGCCTCATTTAAAAAACAAACGAATCCCACCAAACCAAGGAAATCCTTTCGCACCCGAAGGAAGGCCTGCCGCGTGGCGTGCCGACTGCAGTCCTAGAGTTTGGAGCCTCATGGAGATCATTACCATAAAACAAATAACCATCTCGTTTTTGTCACCCACTATGAGTGAACTCAAAACCTCAGGCCCACGTCCAGAGATTCCTTCTCCACAGGCTCAGCCAGCTACGAAGGGAAGAGGGTACCAGCCCCTGTGTCCAAATCCTTATCCTTTTCTTGGTCCAGCCGCTGTGCCATGGATCTGGATGGTGACTCATCATTCTGCCTGGCAGAGTCCCCTCCTCACCACTGCCTCCATCTCCTTTACTTGCTTCCTTTCTTCCCAAAGGAAGGGTCTCCACTTAGTGTGTGAGGGAGCACTGGATGAGAGGGAGGAATGCTTTCCTCTTTCTATCCCAATCTTGGGTCCCTTTTTGAAGCCCTTCTGCTGTCTTGCACTCCAAGAAAGGTGTCTCCCGGGCCTGCACAGTGATGTTATTTCCACAACTGGTGCATGGAAACTGTTGAAGAGATGGATCCTGGGGGCTGCAGCCCAACTAGTGGGACTCCTGCTTTTCTGGCCAAAGTGACATCTCTTTTCACTGAGAAAGGAAGCTAAGGCAAGGTCAAAGAGGCCTCAGGGGCAGGGGGTGCCATGGAGTGTTGTGATGGAGAGCCAGGCTCTTGGGTTGTTTAGATCTGGATTTGAATCTCAGCTCTGCCTCTCACAAGGTATGGGCCTAGCACCTGGTAAGGTTCTCAAAATAGGCATTGACAAAAGGAATGCATAGGGAGGAGAAGGATGGGCAGGATGTGGTCCAGATGGGGCACCCAAGCAAGGAGGACATACAAAGTGTGAGAAAGATGAGCTGGATATGGTTCCTCAGAAAGGTTTCTTGAAATAACAGATGAATACCTATTGGCCCAGAAGCATTCAAAGGTCCAAGCTAGGACTAAGCACACTGGGGACGGGAGGATTGGCCTGAGCATCCTCGGGGAGTCTGGAGGGTTGTGTGGTGCCACAGGCACTGTTGGAGAGCCTCAAAGGCCAGATGGGGCCTGGGAATGAGCATGTGATTCTTAAATAGGACAGTGGCAGGATCTGTCCTTTGGGAATGATTACTTGGCCATAGTGGAATGATGGTGAGTGGGCCAGCAGGAGCCTAGACACATGCTTTGTCCAGGATGGCCACCTTGTGTTGGGTATTAAGGGCCAGAGCTAAGACTGTCAGCATCACATAAGGAAATGACACGGTCTTGGCAGGTCTTGGGGGAGATGGCTGCCCAGCCATCCTGATCCTATGAATACTGTGGTGGCATTCATATCAGAGTTTCCGTCTAAGCATAAAGATTTTCCAGGAAGCTTCCCTGGAAGTTCTGTTTCTGTGCATCTTATCAATTTGCAACCACATCCAGGGAACTGGGCCAGTAGGCCAAGACTTCTTCCTGTCATCCTTCCCCTCCCTTGCTTTCCTCAGTTACTTGTTCCCTGTGTGCTCTGGCAGACGGTGGAGATACAATGATGAGACACACCAGGTTCCTCATCCCAGATGTTCTCGGCCCAAAGGAGAGAGACAAACCCATAGGCAGGCATGGCCAAAGTGCAGAGGAGGCCAAGAGAACAGGATGACTAACTCAAATGAGAAGCATAGTTCATAGAGACTCATAACTCCCTATTGATCAAGGGTACAGAGGAACTTGGCCTCTCCAAAAAAGCAAGAGAGGTTCCAAACCTTCCTCATTGCAGTGGGATGAAAGATTGGGAGAAAACAGAAGAAATACACAGACGGGTATGATTGGGTCTTATCTGAGTCCATTTGTGCTGCTGCAACAAAATACCACAGACTATGTCATTTATAAATAATAGCAATGTGTCTCTTATAGTTCTAGAGGCAGGGAAGTCCAAGACCAACGTGCCAGGTTTGGTGTCTGGCAAGCCCTTGCCTCTGCTTCAAAGATGGCCCCTTGTGCTGAGTCCTCACATGGCGGAAGGGAGAGCAGAGGTGGGTGGGGTGAACTCGGTTCCTCAAGCCCTTTCTATAAGGGCACTAATTCCATTCATGAAGGCTAATCACCTCCAAAAGGCCCTACCTCGTAATGCTGTTGCATTGGGAATTAATTTTCAATATGCATTTTGGAGCAACACAAACATTCAAACTACAGCAGATCCATCCAGGCATGTGATTTGGTAGAAAACCCAGGCAAGCCCAGCCACAGCAGCTCATTTGAGCACTCGGGCCTGTGAGAGGCCACTTCGGAGTCAACACACAGGTAAAGGATTCGCAGAAAAACTTTGCAATTATTCTGGCCACCTTTAGCTTCTAGATTTCTCTGGGATACAGAAAGTACTTGCGCTTCAGCCTTAGGGAAGAGGAGTAAATTAATTAGGTCAGAACTGCATTTTGTCCTCATGGGTAAAAGGGGGGAATTGTCGCAGAGCTTAGGTAACCAATGGCCAACTCCCCCATTCTGTCTCAGGGCAATTACAGTAAGTGATGTGAAGTGGTGAGAATGGAAATGATTTATTCGGAGAACCTTGTCAGTACTGCTGTTAAATCATTTGTATTTCATTATGGGCCATGAGTGGGCTAGACTACATTCCTTTGCTTCAGGCCCCCTGTGCCATTTCCACAACTGGTTATTTCAGTTGACAATTAACAGGAAATGATGCTAACAGCCCCAGGGTGGTCACTTTTCTGAGGGACTCTGCGTATTAAGTTTCAATTACTTAGAGTCTCCCATCTAAGTCCCCAAAAGGAAATGAACTGCTTCTATAGTTGTCACAGAAAACCAGTTACTTTTTTTTTTTTTTTTTTTTAATCTTTCCCAGTCTCTGTTTTGTCAGTCAAGTTTCAGGAAGTTAAACTAAGAGTTAAACCTAAGGTTCTTTATCTTTCCCAGTCTCTGTTTTGTCAGTCAAGTTTCAGGAAGTTAAACTAAGAGTTAAACCTAAGGTTCTCTGGGGTCTCATCTGTAAGAAACTCATCTATTTCTTCTACAATCCAAACTCCAAAGACAAAGTCAAAAATGAAAAGCATAAGAAGCAAATCATAATGCTGAAGAAAATAGTGTTTGTCTTTTTCCCTTCAATATTTAAATCTCATGTTATGGAGAATGCTGTCAGCAGAGAACCCAGCATTTCCTGCTCTGATGGTCTCCATGCTCTTTCCTTCTTTTCTGAAGACTGCTGCTTCAGGACCACGGAATAGGATGTGTTGGTTCCCAGGGCAATGTAGCAAACGGAGGTCCCGCCCAGACAGGCAGGATGTGCAGCAGTTTCTGCCGACCGCGGCCGTCGCAGCTGCTGTGGTGCCTTTCTGCTAAGACAGCGAGCAGTGTCTGTTTGAAGTCTGTTCTTTGGAAAGGAGACCCAAGAGAACTTGAGCTGGGCTTGTCTGGATATCAAAGTCCAGATTAAAAATTTATTCTAGTGTTTGAAAAATTCCTGGCCAAAACCTTCATATGGATTTAAAAAATACAAACTCCCTGCTTTCTTCACTGTCTCCGATTGAGGACGAGAGGATTTATTTCTAAAAAGAAAAAATGAAAGCGAGGCCGAATAGTTCCATAAAAGAGCTCAGGTCAGACGGCCTTTTAGCTAAATCTGTAAGAAAAGTAATATGTTAAACCACTTTGGGCAACTGGGAAGCACTTGTATTAGTTATCATTTGTGAATCTTTGTTTTTCCCCTTTCCTATTGCATGTCGGATCACCTGGCTCTTTTTGCTGGATGTAAAGGGTGAAGAAAGAGAAAGAGTTTCTATTCCGTATCCCATACTCCTACCCCATTAGACAGAAAAGTAGAGGAGAAAGCTTTGTTTAAAAGTTGTGATATTGGGAGGGAAAAAAAAGATTGCCAAGCAAGCAGATAATGTAATAGTAATTATGAAATTATTGATAAAAAGAACATAAAAATCATTAGGCCAAAACAGAAAAAAATTAAGGAAAGAGTGAACATTTAAGCAATAAAATTAAACCAAGGCCATTAACAAAATATACAGAAGAAGTAGAACTACCTGACATGGGACATTATTAGTGAAATGTGATTTTGGTTGTTGTTGTTGTTGTTATTGTTTTTGTTTGTTTGTTTGTTTGTTTGAGATGAAGTCTCTCTCCGTCACCCAGGCTGGAGTGCAATGGCATGATCTCTGCTCACTGCAACCTCTGCCTTCTGGACTCAAGCGATTGTCTTGCCTCAGCCTCCCAAGCAGCTGGGATTATAGGTGCCCACCACCACACCCAGCTAATTTTTTTTGCATTTTTAGTAGAGATGGGGTTTCACCATGTTGACCAGGCTGGTTTCAAACTCCTGACCTCAAATGATCCACCCACCTCGGCCTCGCAAAGTGCTGGGATTACAGGCGTGAGCCACCATGCCCAGCTGTGAAATGCTGAAATAGAAGTTGAGAATGAGAAATTAGCTCCAAGGGCAAAACAACTAGATGAAGGATCAGGATGAATATATCAAGTTTAGATTGAAAGCAAAGGGCTGAATAGAAGAAAGTGATAGAACCATGTCAACAGACAGAAGCAATGGCAACTATGAAGGCAGACAGCCCCAGAACTACAAAGACACAAAGCAGCCTGCAAAAATGAATGCTAAGCCTTAAATGAATTCATACAGATCCTCTGGTAAAGGGTTTTTGCTATTGTGGTTGTTTTGATAAACTTCATAATTTGAAGTATAACTAAGATACCTAGCATTAGTGTACAGTTTGATTAATTTTTCAGAGTGAACACACCCACGTGACCACCATTCGGACCTGGCCATGGAATAATGCCATTACTGTAAGGCTACCATCTTTACTCCCACATTCCAAGAGTGACCCCTCTTTGGACAGCCATCAGTATAGATTAGTTTTGTCTGTCATTGAAGGTCCATAGAGTCATACAATATTTTTTCATTTCTTCCTTCACTCAACATTATAATTTTTATCCATACTGTTGCACATAGTGGTAGTTTGTTTATTTTCAGTGCTATATAGTATTCCATTGTATATATGCCATAATGAACACCTTTCTCCTGTTGATTGATAGACATTTGTGTTGCTTCTAGGCTCTGGCTAGTCGAAATAGCACTGCTATGAATATTCTTGTGCGTGACTTTTGATGCCCTTATACACAGATCTCTTTGTGTATGTATCTAGGAGAATGATTGATTGCATCAGAGACTATGCGTACATTAGCTTCAGTAGGTACCACAAGAACAATTTTTCAAAGCATGACATCAGGTTCCATGCCTGCTAATGGCATGTAAGAATTCCTGTCGTCATTTCAGATTCTCACCAGTATTCAGCATTGTCAATTTATCTGAAATTTATATTCTAATAAGAAAGTGGTTAACATTGAATTGTGATTTTAAGTTTGCATACCTAATTTTATATATTTTCATAAGTTTGTTACAAATTTAGACATCTTCTTTTGTAAAGGGACTGTTCAATAATTTTTTGTCCATTTTTAATACATTATATGTCATCTTGTTGTTGTTGTTATATAAGAAATCTTTAAATATTCTAGATATATTTACCTTCTCCCACTCTATGAGTGGTATATGTATGTCTGTGTTTTCTTTACTTTTTTTCATGAGAAGTTGTTAATTTTAATGAGACCAATTTATCAACCTTTAGTTTTATCGTTAGTAAATTTTATGTATTGTTTTGGTTTATCTACACCAAGCTCATGAAGTTATTCTCATAGGTTATATTGTAGAAGCTTTATTGTTCAACCTTTTATACTTAGGCCTATGTTCCATCTGTAATGGACTTTTGTGTATGGTGTGAGATAGGGGGTCAAAGAATTTTTTTTCTTTTGGAAATCCAATTAACCCAGACATTTGTTTTCACACACTACATTGCAGTGGTGCCCGTGTTGTAAATTAGGTGATTTCTATGCAGCTCTGTTTCTGGACCCTCAAAACTCTGTTCCATGGGTCCATTTGTCTCTATTTACACTAGTATCACACTGCCTTAATTACTGTGGCTGTGTAAGTTTTGATATCTCTGGTAGTACAAGTCCTTCAGCTTTCTTCTTTTTCAATTTTGTCTTGACTATTTTTGACACTTTGTATTTCTACGTAAATTTTAGAATTAGCTTACCAATTTTAAGAAGGAAGGGAGAGAGGAAGGGAGAGTGCATGGGAGAGAGGAAGCAAGGGAAAAAGGAGGAAGGACAGAGAAAGAAAATCTGCTGGGATTTTGACTAGTATCGCATGGAAGCATAGGCCAATTTGAAGAGCGTTAACATTTTTACAACTATGGGTCTCCCAATCCAATTTACATGTTATATCTCCTCATTTATTTAAGTCTTTAAAAACTATTCTCTGCAATGTTCTGCATTGCTGTGCATTGGTCAGGTGCATATTTTGCTAAATTTATTCCTAACAAGGTGCTTAATTTTTTAAATACTATTATAAATGGCATCAAATTTAAAGTATTATTTTCTAATATTTGTTGCCAGTATACAAAAACATAGCTGATTTTTGTATGTTGACTTTATATTCATTAGTTTAGCTAAATTGCTGACTCATTCTAATAATTCACCTGTAGATTCTATGCATACAATCATGTCCACAGATACTATCAGGTTTGTATCTTTTCTAATCCTTAAATTTTGAAATTTCTTTTTCTTGTCTAAACTACTCTGGCTAGAACCTCCAGTACACTGTTACATAGAAATGGTAAGAGTGAACATCCTCGTCTTGTTGCTGGTCTCCAGCAGAAGTGTTCGTATTTCATTATTAAGTACAGACTTTTATAGATGAAAGGGTTCCCTTCTAGTCCTAATTTGATGCCAGTTATATTTTCAGTGATGAACAAGTTCTGAGTTTTAACAAATGCTTTTTATTCATCTTTTGAGGTGTTCATATGGTTTTTCTTTATTTTGTTTCTGTGGTGAATTATATTGATTGATTTTCTAGTGTTAAACCAACCTTGCATTTTTAAAAGAAACTTTATTTTGTCATGATATCTGATCCTTTTAAAATATCTCTAGATTTGGTTTGCCACTAGTTTGCTCAAGAGTTTCATATCTATATTACAATGAAGGATTGGCCTATAATTTTCTTCTCCTGGAATGTCCTTGACAAGTTTCAGTATCAAAGTAATGCTGGCCTCATAAAATGAGTAGCAAAGTATTCCTTTTTCCAGTCCCTGGAAGAATTTGTGTAACACTCATTTTTTTTTTTCCTCATATGTTTGAAATAACTCCTCACTCAAATGTCTGGGCCTCAAGATTCCTTTGTAGGAATCTATTTACATTATAGATTCAATTTCTCTAGCAAATATGTGAATATTCAAATTATCCATTTTTTCTTATGTCAATTTTTGCATTTTTCTAGGCGTGTGTCCATTTCACCTGCATGTTCAAAGCCACTGACATAAAATTCTTCATAATATCATCTTAATATTTTGTTTAATGTCTTTAGTGTGTGTGTTAGTAGTTTATGCTTTTGATTTATCTAGGTCAGTCTCTCCAGGGATCTATTTATTAGGCTTTCCCTGAAAATATGGACAAATACATAGAAATTCATTATTCAATAAAAAGTTAAGAGAATGCCAACTGAAAGATATGTAGTGTGTTGGTAGTTAAAAGCAGGAGAAATTGTAATTGATTGGGAAGCTCACAGGGGACTTAAAGTGGGAAATAATTGAGATAAACCTTAAAGGAAAGGTAGAATGTTGACAGTATTAATAGAAAAGGCATTATTGGCATAAGAGAAATTTGGATAATGTGCAGCAGGAAATTGAGAAAAGATGGGAAGGTCTGGACAATCAAGAGATTTGAGTCATAGACAATGAGAAGACACCGAATTCATATTTTCAGTATTTTCATATGTTGACTATTTGGAAAATATAAGGAACGATGTTGAGGAAAGACACTAAGTTGTCCAGCCTGGTGACTGGGAGAAGAAAAAGAAGGCAAGAGGAAGAGCGTTTCAGGGTTAGAAATGTTTGACTTTGTAGGTCCCAGTCAAAAGCTGCAGGCTGGAGCCAAGACAGTGGAGGAGCTGTCAAAACAAGCAACAGCATGAGGATGTGATCAGGCTGTGTCCAGAACCATGGGCTTTAGTCCCTTTACAGCATAAGAGGAGGAAGGAGTCAGTGAGCATAGACCAGAGAGGGGAGCCTGGAGCCACAGAAGCCAAGAAAGCAGGCTTTCTAGTAGGGCAGAGTTCATTGTATCAGACTCTACAACTCAACCGAGGGATGAGGACCCAGAAAGCCACTGGACTCAGCATGCGGGAAGTCACTGTGGGCCTTTGTGGCATATATTGAGATAGTAAATGTCTGGTGTCAATGGGAAGAGAAAGAAGAGAGGGCTTCATTCTAAGGGGCATGCTTTTCCAAGCTGTGCAACCCACTCTGTCTTCCATTCACAATTATTTATAGGTTGCCTGCCTATTCCAGTCACAAAGCTAGGTAGTGATCAAAGTAGACATGACCCCTCTCCTATTGAGCTCATATCTAATGAGGAGCTAAACATCAAATAAATATAAAGAAATGATTAAAAACCATGATTAATGCTTGGGGAGAAAGAAGAGGGAATTATGAGAGAGAATAAAAGGAGGAGGCCGATTTAGATTGCAGCGGGGATTGGGGAACGCCTGACCATGGATTCACATGTAGAGGCATGAAAGAAAGAGTTCTGACAGCATTGAAATAACAAGATGGGCTGTTCGAGTGTCTCCTTCAGGGGCCAAGTAAATTCTGGGGTTCTAGAACTTGCCGGGCATCATGACCCCACAACTTCATCTAATTCCCAAACCTCCCTCCCCATCACATGCCTGTCTTCAGGAGACGGAGAATCAGTCAGAAAGCAGAAACCACCACAAGTCAAATTAAAGGAGAAAATGTGTAGCTCAAGGCAAAAATCTTCTTCCAAAGAACACAAGGAAGATGAATCTACCATTGTTGAGTTATAATGTTGGGGGATTATGAAGGCTAATATGATTAATTGTAATTATCATTTATAATGTATACTTATAATGATATTGCTTCTAGAACATCTTCATTATCTTTCACTTTTGAAATGCTGCTTGGGCTTCCCAACAGATTTCAGAAGGGGCTTTTATTGGGCCCAGATCATCAATCCAAACCTTTTAAGGTAAGGGTGTTGCTACCTCAGAAGCCAAAGAGACATTTCCTGTCCTGGAAAGCACTAAATAGTCATTAGCTTCTTCAATCTGTTTACCAGCCCGCCTGTCACTGGGGTTCGACAGGCCTCAAAATTAACACTCTACTCTATTTGTCCATCACAGGGCTGTCCCACAGACTGCGGTTCTCAAGTGGCCTCAGGCAAGCCTTATTTCATGCCAGAGCTAAGTTCCTGGGGAATAACATGTCTAAATTGAATTTGGTTTATTCAGGTCCGTTTGAAATGAAGCCTTGTTTAAAAGAAAGCCATACTCAATTTTATTTTTCAAGCAAATCTATCTTCATCGTCTGACCTAATTGGTCTCAGAGACCCTAATTTGGAGAGTTTTCATGCCCTTCGTTTATCATTGTGGCAACGTCAAAATCAGGATGGTTTCTTTCAACCACCTATGCTGCCTTTGTAAGAGCAAGGATGCTCCAAGCAACACTGGTCTCCCCAAGTGTCAGCGAGGCCCCTCTCTCCATAATCTCTGGCCACCCTCTGTCTGTCTCAGTTTCTTCTGACTTCACTGTAGGGCTCCCCAGGCCTCCTCAGTCTTGTCTGTCTCACCTGGACACCTGCTCAGTGGGAACCCATGTCCTTGACCATCTCGGCTGGCCCATGCACCTTGGCCTGTTTGTATTCAGACCTTTTGGAATCCACAGGGACAACTCACCAGTGACCAGGGGCAGAGCAGCTGTATCAACTCAGCTTGGGGAAGCTCAAGTATCCAGTGATCTTGGCTGTGTGGAGTTTGAAATGAAGCCCAGTGTATTACTCACGGCAAAACCAGGGGCCAGCCAAGTTAAATAGAGCACTCCCCGAAACATTCACGGACTGATTAGAGAAGGAAGCTCTGATTTGAAGAGAGGCTATTTTGTGTCTGCTTTTATTTTTTTAAACAACATGCTTTCCATTAGTGAGATGGGAAAAGTAGAAACCTGAAAGAATGATATTTATTAATTTAAAAAGTTCAGGTCTGTGACCATATGCCATGTCCCTTTGACTTCATAATAATGGCCACACTTTGAGGTCTTCCTTTGTCCAGAAACTGTGGTAAGCACTTTGTAAGCACTTTCTCATGTAATCTTTATGAAAACTCTGTGATGTAGGTACCGTTCTTACTCCTGTTTGCAGATGGGCAAGCTGAGGTCCAGAGAGAGTAAGCACACACTATTTTTAAGTGGTAGAGCTAAAATTTGAACCCTGGCAGTCTGCCTTCCTATTCTTGCCCGCTCTTAAACAAATGCAAGTACCCAGGAGCTTTCATGAAGAGAACCCCTCAAAAGAAAGCTGACATTACCCCACGGGTTCATAAGTGGGTGCAAGTTTTTTTTTTTTTTTTTTTTGAAAGATCTCTGAAGGCCAGGAATTCAATAAGGCGGAACACACCCCACTGAACCAAGCAGGGCTTGAGTTTGCAGATTATTTTCCGACCAGAAGGAGTTCATTGACTTGGAGGAAGAAAGGAGATCATTTAATGGACTTACAGAAAATATTTTTGTTTTCGCTTTTTTTCTCTCGCAGAACAGTTCAAATCTTCCAGGCCACGGTTCATTCCCTCTGTTGGCCTTTCTACCTGGGATTGTTATGAGAGGCCTGAAGCTAAGTCCCCGTGTCCCCCACTGGCCAAGCCTGCCCTCTCGTTTGGTCAGCGCACCGACACTGCCTTTGCAGCTGCATATCCACGTAGATATGTTTATTGGAGCACTGAGAATCTCACTTCTCAAAAAGCCCCGGGAATTAGATTGTTTTCCACACTGAAAGTTTTCATTTGAAAAATAACCCTCTTTGTTTAACTAATGAAAAGGAGGGGCTGCTGCTCGCTTCTCAGGCTGGGTAAGAATTCCATGGGCAGTAATTCTGTTTCTCAGTGGAAAATGTTTCGGTTTCTTAATGTTGTTTTGCAGACTGGTCCCTGCCCGGCCCTTGCTCCCAGGACCACACATACACACATGTGCACACTCACCCATGCACAGTGCAGCATTTTCCACCCTTCCCTGTTGGGGATGGTTGCATCCTCTTTCCAACACCTGCAGAACAAAAACGAGGTGGGTCAGTGGCTGTCACCCAGCCAGAGACATCCCTGCGTGTACGGGAACAGAACGCTTTCCCTGGCCACGCTTTCAACCCCAGAGGCTGGGTGGGCCACAGAAGAGGAAATTGGACTCCAAACTTCTCTTGTTTCTGTGCATCTCCATGTCAAGCAATTCTCTCACACTATGGAGGGGGTGTTCTGTAACATTCCCTCCTCATTAGGTTCGTATGAAATGGAGATAAACACAGTGCTGTCATCATTGGACTTAGAGTGTGGCCAGCATGGTGCAGAGTGGTCTGGACCGCACAAAACAAATCAAAATATGGCCCCAGGAGACAACTTGCTGGTGGTAGAAAAAGCATGGATGCTTGCATTTCGACAGACCTGCACCGTCACCTAAACAGCTCAGCCCACGTGCAAGCAACTGCTGAACTACTCTGAGCCTTTTGCATCCACAGCTACGGACAAGAGAAGTTATGTAACTCACAGGCAGGTGCAGTGCCCTGGGTGGTGTTTCTCACATAGTAGATGTTCAAGGAACACCTATCTTCTTCCCTCTCCTTTGTTCTCTGAAAACGAGCCATCTCGCGTCTAGCTGGGGGCCAAGCCCCATTCCTACAAAACAAGTTACAAACAAACAAGTGAGTGCAGCCACAGCAGAGCCGAGTCCAGAGCAGGGTGTCCTCACCATCCCCAAGGTCCACTGCAGAGTTAATGTGTACTGTCAAAGGGGTGCTGTGTGCTGTAGGGCTGGGGGATCCAACACCAGCGGGAACTGTTAGGTCTGTTATCCAGAAATGTGAAGTATTCCTTCTCTCTATGGTCTTTGCGTGGGACAGATATATCTGGCCTGAGTATGTGGCCTAAACACAGTTGTGCTTAAAGCAGGCAAAAGGACTGGGCAAAATAACCACCATGTGAAAATAGACATTCAGGAGATCCGCACGCATTAAATGTAAAGAGAAGATTAGCTGTTAGCATGGAGCAAATGAACAGCTTTAAAAGTAGACAGGGATAGTATGAAACAAGGCTGTCAGTCAGACTGCTTTTAGTTTTCAGTGATGAAAACCTTCTTCTATATTACCTCTAGCAAATAAATAAATCAGTAATTTATTGGTTCATATAACCAAGACATTCTGGGTTAGAACTCCAGGTGGGGCTGAATACACAAAGTCATATGATGCTGGTAGGGCTAGCTGCTTGGCTGGCTCTCTTTCTCTCTCCATATCCATATTTTGTCTAATAGCCTAATTCTCTACTCTTTCGAATTACCATCCTACTCTCAACTTGGTAGCTCCAATAGAGAAATTCTATCTATCTCTCAGCACAGGCATATCAAAACCAGGGAGGATTCTAAGGGACCCAACCGTGAACATATTACTGGCTAGAGGATAAGGCACTATACTTTCTCTGCTACAGAAAGTGCAGATCTAGACAGATCTGTTTAAGTGACACCCTCTCTAAGTGACAGTGCAGGTCCAAGTCTCCACTCAACCCAATGTTTTCGTGTCTACTCCGTTCTAGCTACGATCTAGCCACTGGGAACCCAGCCGTGGACAGGGGAGAGGATGCCCAGCTCCCAGGCAGCTTATGGTCTTGTGAAGAGCCAACATTTTAGTTGAATCCTGCTACTTCCTGCTACTCTGCATCAAGAACCAAACAGAAGTACAGAGTCCTCTCCGTTCACAAAAAAAGCCAATTTCTTTTTATAAAATTAACAGAAAGTTACCAAATACAGTTCTGTACACTGAAAGTTACCACATGTAAAGCAAGCATACATATTGCCTCGCATTCCAGCCAGCAGGGCAGTCTCAGTGTGGAACCCCCCTGCTGAATGGCACCTCTGGAAGGTATGCAGCAGGCAGTACTGCCAACCAGAAATGGCCGGGGCTTTCAGGAGACATCACTGCTTTGGAGTT
The DNA here is from genome assembly GCF_000001405.40 of Homo sapiens. NCBI lineage: Eukaryota > Metazoa > Chordata > Mammalia > Primates > Hominidae > Homo > Homo sapiens. The sequence continues at coordinate 16,217,204 of NC_000009.12, forward strand.
TCTTGCAGAAAACTTTCACATTCATCTCACACACAAGGATTGCAAACTGCTTCCTTTTGTGTGTGTGTGTGTGTGTGTGTGTGTGTGTATGTTCTCTGATCAAAGGAAAGTGGGATACTCTGTAATACTCTGTAATCAATGATATGAAATGGAATTACACCCTGAGTACACTGTAATGGGCATTGTGGATTTAGGTTAGGGGAGAAAAGTTGGCCTCCCAAAATTTCTGTATTTGGAGGGACCAGTAGACTTGTGTTTTTTGATGACTTGGATGTGTGATGGTGTGGGAGGACAGTCTCATCAAATATAATTTACTCAGTATTTATTGAGTGCCTACTATGTACCAATCCTCTGGTTATATAAAAACAAATAATACAGCATTTCTTCTTCATGGATAGAGTGGCTAAGTCGGGGACCTGCACATAAACCAAGCACACTACAGTGGGTAAGTGTTCTAAGGGTCTGTGCACAGCACATTACACTATGACATGTTAAGGCATGCAGTAATCTCTTAGTGCCTATGGTGGGGATGAAAGATTTTCTCCTCATCTCTGAATGGCTGGGTGGAACCCCAGCATGGAGCCTCGGCTGGAAACTAGAGGATTCTGGACAAAGACGAGGACAGGCTCTAATGTCAGGCCTTGGAACCATCTGAGGTCACCACCTGTTAAGCACGCTTAACCTCTGTGGACCCAAGGTGGTGTGTGACAAGCATCCCCAGGGCTTGCTGGACAACCATTACTTTTTATTACGTTTCTTACTGTCAGGTGCTCCGAAATCCACATGGACTGCTCTTATGATTTCAGGTTATCCCAAAAGAGAAACTCAAGAATCAGTGATGAGCACAGCCGGGAGTGAGCCGGCTGCCTATCTCAAAAGGGCACATCACCATAATCACAGATATACCATGAGCATATGCAGAAAGAATGTACCGAGGGAGTGTGTGTCAGGAGCGGCCAAGAGGATACATAAACCAGGTGCCCCTCCCAGCATCCCTCTCCCCCACCAAAGCAGTGCCTTTAAAATATGTGATAGGTGCCCACATTGTCTCTCTGGCCCCGCAGAATGCCCCTCCCCCAACAGCCACCTTTGCTGCTCTTCGTCTAAATCCACCCGGGGTCTCCCCTGGGCTGGCTGTTGCCTTCATATTTCATGCGGAATGCGCAGCTTCCCAGGAGCCGGACGCATGCCCTGCATTCTGATGCATCGGCCGGCTCTGACACCAGCCAGCTCCAGAGCATGCCTAATGAGGAGGCTGACACCGAGGCAGAAGAGCCAGGCCGGGCTGTGGACGGCCCGCTGCAAACAGGGAGTGGGGTGACAGGAAGGCACCAAGGGTGAACCCGGGGGAAAGATGGCAGTTGCCTTTTTAAGACACGACTCTAGCATCAGATACTACAAACATGGGCCAATTTAAACCACACCAGGAATGAATCACAGCCTCGAATAAAGAGCAATTTGGATCAAGGAACTTCCTTGGGGAAAGCATAAAACTAAAAGAGGAAGGAGAAGCGGCAAACACTAAGAGAAGGCAGAAGCTTTGAAATCACTCATATTTCAGTAGGCAGAGTGGTTGCCCATTTTAGTTTTTCTTCCAGTGTAGAGCTCCTTCAAGTTTCCTTAGAGACCACTTCATTATCTAAAAGATGCTGCTGAACAGAAGTTTTTCCTTTCCTGAAAGCCTCATCTACCTTAATTTCACACATTATTCCTCGTTTTGACTGGCTCTATCAGGATAAATTGACCCTTGCTTCCCATGGTATTTATGGCATTTATCCTTGGGGTAGAGCCAGTACCGACAATCACCATCCCAAAGCTACGAGGATGCGATGGTAACATGCTCATCAGCCATCTACTTAACACTTTGCCCAAGCCTAGTCCCGTTTCATCATCCCAGCAACTTGATGAGTTAGGTGCAGATGAGAAAACCAAGAATGACAGAAGTTTATCCAAGGCCATACATCAGACCAACGGTCTCAAACATGGGACCGCCTTCAGTACTTTCCAATGAGCTGGGTACCCACTAAAAAAAAAAAAAAAAAAAATCAAAATCTACCATTCCACTTGGTTCTATGTGGAATGATGTGGCAAATCATGATTTCTAATCATTTAGTGTAGATAAAATATTAGCAAATAAAACTTTACACTGACATAGGAAAGATTGTTATTTACATCATGGACTCTAACAAAGAAATTTCCTTTAAAGCTTTAATTTTGTCATTTGTGTTTCTGTGTGTGTGTCTGTGTAATAAGCCTTTGGTTTTGGCTCTGCAGATGCTAATTTCGTAATGAAATTCATAGTTCTTTATTGAAATGCTTACCACATGTCTCACAGTTTTCATTAATTGTCTCATGTCATCCTCCTGACACTGTGATCCAGGTGATATTGTCCCACTTTGGAGATGAGGAAACTCTTGTTCAGACAAGTTACATAGATGGGCCAAGACCACAAAGCTCCTAAGTGGCAGGACAGGAACCTGCCTGGCTTAAAGCTACAGATACTGCTCATAGTAAGCCACCCTGTTCTGCAGCCATGTGGTATCCAACATATTTAATATCATTCAATGCCCTGTGTTTCCCAGCATCATTGTTCTTTTTGTACTTCCTGCCCATTGGGTTCTTGAAATATTTTCCCTGTTAATTCTTGCTCTTTTCCAGAGGAACTGAATATCAGGATATCAAAAAGATATCTGCATTCCAGTGTTCACTGCAGCATTATTCACAACAGCCAAGACATGGAAGCAACCTGAATGTCCATCAACAAATGAATAAAGAAAATGTGGTATATACATATAATGAAATACTACTCAGCCTTGAAAAGAAGGAAATCCTGCCTTCTTTTTTTTTTTTTTTTTTTTTTTTGAGATGGAGCCTTGCTCTGTCACCCAGGCTGGAGTGCAGTGACGCGATCTCAGCTCACTGCAACCTCCACCTCCTGGGTTCAAGCAATTCTCCTGTCTCAGCCTCCCGAGTTGTTGGGACTACAGGCGCCCACCACACCTGGCTAATTTTTGTATTTTTAGTAGAGACGAGGTTTCACCATGTTGGCCAGGCTGGTCTTAAACTCCTGACCTCATGATCTGCCTGCCTCGGCCTCCCAAAGTGCTGAGATTACAGGCATGAGCCACTGCACCCAGCCCCTGCCCTTTTTGATAGCATGGATGAACCTGGAGTCGGTTATGCTAAGTCAAAAAAAGCCCAACACTGAAGGACAAATACTACATGGTCTCACTTATGTTAGGAATCTAAAATGGTCAAACTCAAGCAGAAAGTAGAATGGTGGTTGCCAGGTTCAGAGGGAGGGAAAAATGGGGAGAAGTTAGACAAAGGGCATGAAGTTGTGTGATATGCATAAGTCCAGGAGAGCTGCTACACAGTGTAGTCCCTAGAACTAACAATATTATACTGTATACCTAAAATTTTGCTAAGAGGGTAGATCTTAGGTTAAGAGTAAAAGAAAACTTGCACTTTTTGGCCGGGCTCAGTGGCTCATGCCTGTAATCCCAAAACTTTGGGAGGCTGAAGTAGGCGGATTACTGAGGTCAGGAGTTTCAGACCAGCCTGGCCAATGTGGTGAAACCCCTTCTCTACTAAAAATACAAAAATTAGCCGGGCATGGTGGTGCATGCCTGTAATCCCAGTTACTCGGGAGGCTGACTCAGGAGAATTGCTTGAGCCCAGGAGGCAGAGGTTGCAGTGAGCTGAGATCGTGCCACTGCACTCCAGCCTGGCCAACAGAGTGAGACTATCTCAAAAAAACAAAACAAACAAACAAACAAACAAAAACTTGCACTTTTTCTTGTGTAGAATTACATTTTACTGGTTCTTTTTTAACGCTCGTTTAGATTCTGTCCTTTCTCAAAACAAAACAATTCCTAATTTAAAATCTTCAGCTAATTTTTTGTTTCTGAATACTTTTGGAGTTAGAAGCATAGAATTTTACAATGGAAGGAAATCTTGGAGATTGTGCATCCCCCGCTTGCGGGAATTTTCCCTATAATAGCTCCAGAAACTGGTCATCTCACCATCTCCACTTACACATCCTCAATACTACAAAGCACACTACACCAAAAGGCAGCTCAGCCCACTCTCAGACAGTCTGAATTGTTAGAATGCTCTTCCTTGTGCTTTCTTCAACATACAAATTTGGGGATATAAGGGGGGAAAATTCAAACCATAACAGTCTCTTGTCTGCAAATCAGTGCTTTAGACACATGAATAAGTCACTTGTGTGATCCCTGACGCTTCTCTTTTTCTGGTTTAACAACCTCCAACTTTTCGCCAGACTCCTCTGTCCTGGGAGTCTATTCTGAACGCACTCTTCTGTCAGTGCCTGAAAGGGTGGCACCCTGCCAGCTGGGCTCGGAGGACCCTACTTCCCCATGTCAGCTCCAGTTGAGTTCACACTCTCAGCTGCCTAGGTGTGCAGAGCTAGATTTATATTGATCACAGACTCTGCTAATTCTCCCAGGTCCCGATCACATTGATGATTCTTAAACCTGGATTCCCACATCCAGTACTATGCTATTTGATTCTCTTTGTAGAATATCGACAAAACAACCCTGGCCAGAAAGAGAGATCCTTTCAGTACTTTGCTGAAAACCTCTTTTCTGAGTTTGGGGCTGTACCACATATTTTAGGGTCTTTCCACTTCTCACTGCTGCACCTATTCTAGTCTTCACATCAAATCCAACAAAGACAGGAAGATAGGTGAAGTGGTTTAAAGCCACCGTATTTGCTAATCCTGAAACTCCTGAAACTGAAATATGCAAAGAGCTCAAGTTTGGCAAACTCAGTTTTTCAGAAACATGCCATGTTAATTCCCCATTGTCCTGTTGTCTTGCAGATACTGAGGCTTTTTCTCTTAAGATTTGTTCCCTTTTCTTGCAAAACATTGAACTTCCCAGTTCTATGTTTTCCCTGGATTATTTCCAGGGAAATAATGCTTCCCTATTCTGGAAATCAGTCCCACATGTCTTCTTTTAATACTTCTGATAAATCCCCTGATAGTGATTCATATTTTTCAGTCCTTTAACAAGTTCACTTCTTAAGCAATTGTTTTGATCAGTTTCTAATTTGGGGGCAGGGAAGGGCAATTCTTTCAAATCTACTGATCTGTACTCTCCAAGAGCACCCTTTCTCTTTAGGCTTCCTTTATACATATCAAAGAACTAAGGCGGGGCCATAAAGCAATCAGGAGGTGGAAAGAGGTTAAAACAAGTAGCAGGCTTACAAGAAAAAAAATAGTCGACTCTGTTTTTCAAAATTCTTTTTGTGGAATATGAGATAGATAGGAGAACTACAGTCCAGAGTGGAAGGTCTTGGGGACCAGGGAGGAAAAAAGTAGCGTGGAAGTGGGATTACAGAGGGACCTGAATTGCCATGGCATGTGAAAAAGATAACTCTACCAACCCAAGCAACATCCAGGTCATGAATTCAGGTCTGAATTCTTCCAGGACAAGTTCTGGAATTTCTAGAAAGCAGGGATGTCCTAATATATTTTATACTCAGAGCAGGTCATTATTTGATACCATCCCCTATATCACATTAATTTTTAGGAATCAGTGTGTAGCATTCAATTATAAAATTTTTATTTGTTATTTAGTTTTAAAACGAACAATTAGCAACTTAAAAAAGGAGAAATATCAACCTTAAAGATACTAGTCAAAGTCAGCAAAATATTTCATATATGTACTAAAACTTATATTTATTAAACAACAACATTACATCTCAAAGTTTGCACTGTTTCACTGTCTTGAATTTCAAACCCAAAAACTCCAAGAGGTCACATAAAATGGCAACACTGATAGAACCCAAGTTTTGTTTTTTCATCCTTACAATCACATACCATCGCTTAAAAAAAAAAAAATCTGTTGTTAAGGCTGGCAAGATAGCCCAATAGGAATACCTCCGGTCTACAGCACCCAGCGAGGCTGACACAGAAGGCAGGTGATTTCTGCATTTCCAACTGAGGTACCCGGTTCATCTCATTGGGACTGGTTGGACACTGGGTGCAGTCCACGGAGGGCAAGCCAAAGCAGGCTGGGGCGTTGCCTCACCCAGGAACCGCAAGGAGTCAGGGAATTTTCTCCCCTACCGGAGGGAAGCTGTGAGGGACTGAGTCCAAGGAACTCCAGCACAGATACTGCGCTTGTCCCAGGGTCTTCGCAACCCGCAAACCAGGAGATTCCCTTCCGTGCCCCACCCCACCAGGACCCTGGATTTCAAGCAAAAAACGGGGCGGCCATTTGGGCAGACACCAAACTAGCTTCAAGAGTTCTTTTTTTCCATACCCCACTGGTGCCTGGAAGGCCAGCAAGACAGAACCATTCACTCCACTGGAAAGGGGTGCTGAAGCCAGGGAGCCAAGTGGCCTGGTTCGGCGGGTGCCACCCCCATGGAGCCCAGCAAACTAAGATCCACTGGGTTGAAATTCTCGCTGCCAGCACAGCAGCAGTCTGACATCCACCTGGGATGCTTGAGCTTGGTGGGGGCAGGGGCATCTGCCCTTGCTGAAGCTTGAGTAGGCAGTTTTACGCTCACTGTGTAAACAAAGCCACTGGGAAGTTTGAACTGGGTGGGGCCCACTGCAGCTCAGCAAGGCTGCTGTGGCCAGACTGACAGATTTCTCTTCTCTGGGCAGGGCATCTCTGAAAAAAAGGCAACAGCCCTAGTCAGGGACATACAGATAAAACCCCCATCTCCCTGGGACAGAGCACCTGGGGGAAGGGGCGGTTGTAGGTGCAGCTTCAGCAGACTTAAACGTCCCTGCCTGACAGCTCTGAAGAGAGGAGTGGATCTCCCAGCACAGCATTCGAGCTCTGCTAAGAGTCAGTCTGCCTCCTCAAGTGGGTCCCTGACCCTCGTGTATCCTGACTGGGAGACACACCTCATATAGGAGAGCTCTGGCTGGCATCTGGCAGGTGCCCCTCTGGGATGAAGCTTCCAGAGGAAAGATCAGACAGCAATCTCTGCTGTTCTACAGCCTCCGCTGGTGATACCCAGGCAAACAGGGTCCAGGAGTGGACCTCCAGCAAACTCCAGAAGACTGGCAGCAGAGAGGCCTGTCAGAAGGAAAGCTAACAGAAAGGAATAGCACGTCCACTCAAAGACCCCACCCAAAGGTAACCATCATCAAAGACCAAAGTCGGATAAATTCACAAAGATGGTAAGAAACCACTGCAAAAAGGCTGAAAATTCCAAAAACCAAAATGCCTCTTCTCCTCCAAAGGACCACAACTCCTCACCAGCAAGGGAACAAAACTGGATAGAGAGTGAGTTTGATGAATTGACAGAAGTAGGCTTCAGAAGGTGGGTAATAAGAAACTCCTCTGAGCTAAAGGGGCATGTTCTAACCCAACTCAAGGAAGCTAAGAACCTTGATAAAAGGTTCGAGGAATTGCTAACTAGAATAACCAGTTTAGAGAAGAACATAAATGACCTGATGGAGCTGAAAAACACAGCACAGAACTTCATGAAGCATACAAAAGTATCAGTAGCCGAATCGATCAACCAGAAAAAAAGGATATCAGAGATTGAAGGTCAACTTAATGAAATAGAGAAGACAAGATTAGAGAAAAAATAAATAGGAATGAAAAAGCCTCCAAGAAATATGGGACTATGTGAAAAGACCAAATTTATGTTTGATTGGCATGCCTGAAAGTGACAAGGTAAATGGAACCAAGTTGGGAAACACTCTTCAGGATATTATTCAGGAGAACTTCCGCAATCTAACAAGACAGGCCAACGTTCAAATTCAGGAAATACAGAGAACACCACAAAGATACTTCTCGAGAACAGCCACCCCAAGATACATAATCATCAGATTCACCAAGGTTGAAATAAAGGAAAAAATGTTAAGGGAAACCAGAGAGAAACGTCAGGTTACCCACAAAGGGAAGCCCATCAGACTAACGGTACATCTCTTGGCAAATACCCTACAAGCCAGAAGAGAGTGGGAGCCAATACCCTACTCAACATTCTTAAAGAAAAGAATTTTCAACCCAGAATTTCATATCCAGCCAAACTAAGCTTCATAAGTGAAGGAGAAATAAAATCCTTTACAGACAAGCAAATGCTGAAAGATTTTGTCACCGCCAGGCCTGCCTTACAAGAGCTCCTGAAGGAATCACTAAACATGGAAAGGAACAACTGGTACCAGCCACTGCAAAAACATGCCAATGTAAAGAACATGAAGAAACTGCATCAACTAACAGGCAAAACAACCAGCTAGCATCATAATGACAGGATCAAATTCACACATAACAATATTAATGTTAAATGTAAACAGGCTAAATGCCCCAATTAAAAGACACAGACTGGCAAATTGCATAAAGAGTCAAGACTTATCAGTGTGCTGTAATCAGGAGACCCATCTCGCGTGGAAAGACACACATAGGCTCAAAATAAAAGGATGGAGGAATATCTACCACACAAATGGAAAGCAAAAAAAAAGCAGGGGTTGCAATCCTGATTTCTGATAAAACAAACTTTAAACAAACAAAGATCAAAAAAGACAAAGAAGCGCATTACACAATGGTAAAGGGATCAATGCAGCAAGACGAGCTAACTATCCTAAATATATATGCACCCAATACAGGAGCACCCAGATTCATAAAGCAAGTTCCTAGAGACCTACAAAGATACTTAGACTCCCACACAATAATAGTGGGAGACTTTAACACCCTACTGTCAATATTAGATCAACGAGACAGAAAATTAACAAGGATATTCAGGACTTGAACTCAGCTCTAGACCAAGCAGACCTAATAGACATCTATAGAACTCTCCATCCCAAATCAACAGAACATAGATTCTTCTCAGCACCTCATCACACTTATTCTAAAATTGACCACATAATTGGAAGTAAAACACTTCTCAGCAAATGCAACAGAACAGAAATCATAACAAAGTTTCTCAGACCACATGCAATCAAATTAGAACTCAGGATTAAGAAACTCACTCAAAACCGCACAAGTACATGGAAACTGAACAACCTGCTCCTGAATGACTACCAAGTAAATAACAAAATGAAGGCAGAAATAAAGATATTCTTTGAAACCAGGGAGAACAAAGATACAATGTACCAGAATCTCTGGGACACATTTAAAGCAGGGTTTAGGGGGAAATTTATAGCACTAAATACCCACAAGAGAAAGCAGGAAAGATCTAAAATTGACACCCTAACATCAAAATTAAAAGAACTAGAGAAGCAACAGCCAACAATTTCAAAATCTAGCAGAAGACAAGAAATAACTAAGATCAGAGCAGAACTGAAGGAGATAGAGACAAAAAAACCCTTCAGAAAATAAATGAATCCAGGAGGTGCTTTTTTGAAAAGATCCACAAAATAGATCGCTAGCCAGACTAATAAAGAAGAAAAGAAAGAAGAATCAAATAGACACAATAAAAAATGATATAGGGGATATCACCAATGATCCCACAGAAATACAAATTACCATCCGAGAACACCTCTATCCAAATAAACTAGAAAATATAGAAGAAATGGATACATTCCTGGACACATACACCCTCCCAAGTCTAAACCAGGAAGAAGCCGAATCCCTGAATAAACAATAACAAGTTCTGAAATTGAGGCGGTAATTAATAGCCTACCAACCAAAAAAAGTCCAGAACCAGACAGATTCACAGCCGAATTCTACCAGAGGTACAAAGAGGAGCTGGTACCATTCCTTCTGAAAGTATTCCAAACAATAGAGAAAGAGGGAATCCTCCCTAACTCATTTTATGAGGCCAGCGTCATCATGATACCAAAACCTGGCAGAGACACCACAAAAAAAGAAAATTTCAGGCCAATATCCCTGATGAACATCGGTCCAAAAATCCTTAGTAAAATACTGGCAAACCGAATCCAGCAGCACACCAAAAAGCTTATCCACCACGATCAAGTTGACTTCACCCCTGGGATGCAAGGTTGATTCAACATATGCAAATCAATAAACATAATCCATCACATAAACAGAAACAATGACAAAAATCACGATTATCTCAATAGATGCAGAAAAGGCCTTTGACAAAATTCAACACCGCTTCATGCTAAGAACTCTCAATAAACTAGGTATCAGTGAAACGTATCTCAAAATAATAAGAGCTATTTATGACAAACCCACAGCCAATATCATACAGAATGGGCAAAAACTCAAAGCATTCCCTCTGAAAACTGGCACAAGACAAGGATGCCCTCTCTCACCACTCCTATTCAACATGGTATTGGAAGTTCTGGCCAGGGCAATCAGGCAAGAGAAAGCAAAAAAGGGTATTCAAATAGGAAGAGAGGGAGTCAAATTGTCCCTGTTTGCAGATGACATGATTGTATATTTAGAAAACCCCATCATTGCAGTCCAAAATCTCCTTAAGCTGATAAGCAACTTCAGCAAAGTCTCAGGATACAAAATCAATGTGCAAAAATCACATTGATTCCTATGTTATTAATTCCTATACATCAGTAACAGACAAACAGAGAGCCAAATCATGAGTGAACTCCCATTCACAATTGCTTCAAAGAGAATAAAATACCTAGGAATCCAACTTACAAGGGATGTGAAGGACCTTTTCAAGGAGAACTACAAACCATTGCTCAAAGAAATAAGAGAGGACACAAACAAATGGAAAAACATTCCATGCTCATGGATAGGAAGAATCAATATCGTGAAAATGGCCATACTGCCCAAAGTAATTTATAGATTCAATGCTATCCCCATCAAGCTACCACTGACTTTCTTCACAGAATTGGAGAAAACTAATTTAAACTTCACGTGGAACCAAAACAGAGCCCACATAGCCAAGACAATCCTGGGCAAGAAGAACAAAGCTGGAGGCATCATGCTACCTGACTTCAAACTATACTACAAGGCTGCAGTAACCAAAATAGCATGTACTGGTACCAAAACAGATATATAGACCAATGAAACAGAACAGAGGCCTCAGAAATAACACCACACATCTACAACAATTTGATCTTTGACAAACCTGACACAAACAAGCAATGGGGAAAAGATTCCCTATTTAATAAATAGTGTTGGGAAAACTGGCTAGCCATATGCAGAAAACTGAAACTGGACCCCTTCCTTACACCTTATACAAAAATCAACTCAAGATGAATCAAAGACTTAAACATAAGACATAGGACCATAAAAATCCTAGAACGAAACCTGGGCAGTGCCATTCAGGACATAGGCATGGGCAAAGACTTCATGCCTAAAACACGAAAAGCAATGGCAACAAAAGCCAAAATGGATAAATGGGGTCTAATGAAAGTAAACAGCTTCTGCACAGCAAAAGAAACTATCATCAGAGTGAACAGGCAACCTAGAGAATGGGAGAAAATTTTTGCAATCTATCCATCTGACTAGGGCTAATATCCAGAATCTACAAAGAACTTAAACAAATTTACAAGAAAAAAACAAACTCCATCAAAAAGTGGGCAAAGGATATGCACAAACAGTCCTCAAAAGAAGACATTTACGCAGCCAACAGACATATGAAAAAATGCTCATCATCACTGGTCATTAAAGAAATGCAAATCATATCCACAATGAGATACCATCTCACGCCAGTTAGAATGGCCATCATTAAAAAGTCAGGAAACAACAGATGCTGGAGAGGATGTGGAGAAATAGGAAAGCTTTTACATTGTCGGTGGGAGTGTAAATTAGTTCAACCATTGTGGAAGACAGTGTGGCAATTCCTCAAGGATCTAGAACTAGAAATACCATTTGATCCAGCAATCCTGTTACTCGGTGTATACTCAAAGGATTATAAATAATTCTACTATAAAGACACCTGCACACATATGTTTATTGCAGCACTATTCACAATAGCAAAGACTTGGAACCAATCCAAATATCTATCAACAATAGACTGGATAAAGAAAATGTGGCACATATGCACCATGGAATAGTATGCAGCCATAAAAAAAGATGAGTTCATGTCCTTTGCAGGGACATGGATGAAGCTGGAAACCATCATTCTCAGCAAACTATTACAAGAACAGAAAACCAAACACCACATGTTCTTACTCACAAAGGGGAGTTGAACAATGAGAATGCATGGACACAGGGGGAACATCACACACTGCGGCCTGTCAGGGGGTAGGGGGCTAGGGGAGGGATAACATTTTGAGAAATACCTAATGTAGGTGATGGGTTGATGGATGCAGCAAACCACCCTGGTACGTGTATACCTATGTTACAAAACTGCATGTTCTGCACACGTATCCCAGGACTTAAAGTATAATAATAATAATAATAATAATAATAATAATAAAATATGTTGTTTAAAAGCAGGGATATGTTCTATCACAGGAGTGGAAGATACAAACCTGGACTCCCTGCAAATACTGCACCCAAAGTGAACCCCAATAATCTGTACCTGCAGGAATTTACTCTCAAAAGGAAGACAAATATATGTGTCTACCTGTATTGGAGACCATATGGATGAGAATTAATTAACTTCCATGTAGAATACGAAGTTTATTAAATTATAAATAAAAATGTACACATATGTAAATAACACTTTATAGAAATTTTTAACAATTGCTTAACGTTATCTACCAGAGGATTATGGGGGGTAAGGGAAGCATATTTTATCACTGACTTTTTTTTAGAACCAGTGGTGTATATTGATAATAAACATCTGGCCAATAACACTCCAATACTGGGGCCTTTAGCTCTGGCTGCCCCATCTTTGATGTCTACATCTAAAAAGTCATGGGAATGGTGAGCAGGACTGGATACTCAGATATGCCTGGAGTACTGTTGCAGGCAACAAAAATTAGGGCCTGAAATAAGGGTCTGGGTATTGTTTGTGTGGTTAAATTATGCCTGGTTATTTCATTTAACGAAATTTTGCTTTGTCTCCTTAGCTCTACAGATACCTTCAGGGCATTGTCATCATGAGCTGTTTGAGGGCGGAAATCCTGTTTTGTGCTTCTCTGGGTGGTACCCCCTCTGACTGTCTCCTCAGGTGCTTGGCACACCTGAAGTCCTCTGTAAATGTCCACTGATGGAGAGATTTCTCTGGTATCATCAACAGTTTAAAAACAGCTCATCCTCTTTGTGCTGTTCGAATTCGTGAATTGCACTCTTCTCCTCTTTCATTTATTACCTACACTAGTGGGCTTGTTTTTACCTAAGACAGTTATATAAGACTCTTGATTCTCTGCAACCCTGTTAGCTCATCTTCACTTCTTTGGCTTCCACTGCCTCAGAAGACCAACACTGGGGAAGGCAGACAGACAGGCAGGAAGCAGGAAGAAGATCCCCAAAGATTTAAGTGCATTGGATCCGCCTGTGATGATTCAAATCAGGTTCCTAGCGCCCCAGGCCTGGTGAGGTTTCCCGATTATCTTTACAAAATGGAAGTAACATGTCCATAGAGGTGTCCCGGGATCCAGGTTGGAGTGTCTAGTGGGGGCCACAAGATGTAGCCCTTAGGAAACTCTGCCTGCCCTTGTGTGCCTTCCTCAGGGAGAGATTCAGCTCCGCTAGTTGGAGCAATTCCTCCTGCCCACTTCCAGACCCCGCATTTAGCTCTTCATTAAAAGAAAGTCCATTGAGGGGCTTAAACACAAAACTCCCTATAATGGTGAATACTCAGAATTACTTTCCACCTGATACTGCTTCATTTAATTGGACTAAAGCAGGCTCCCCTGGCTCCAGCCTCCCTTGAAATCCTGCCCAAATTTGCCTGGCTCCTGCGTGGGCCTGAGTAAATATGCGGCAGGTGCGCTGAGGGGTTGCGAGCTGGGCGCCCATGAACCGTAATGGTTGCTGCATGACTGATTCCCCAGCCCCTCCGCCCTCCTGCTAAATCCCAGGACCCTCCCTGCTTGTGCAAAAAGCGGGCTCCCCAGTGCCGCCTTATGAAGAAGTGGTAGAGCAATTTCATTTAATATTGCTAGTGCTTCCATTAACCTGAGTATATTGCTCTCCATCCTCAATTTAAGACTCCCTCTTTCTCTTGATTATCGCTGTATTTCAGAGCACCTGAATGTCCTCCCCAGACCTCTAAGCCAGCCTGGAATAAGTTGATGATCAAAAGCTACAACTCCTTGAATTTTCTGGCTTCAGAGTAATGCGACCTTCCTGTGCCCCACCTGGAGGCCTTGAAAACCAGCCTGGGTTCTCCACTTTGCTCTGAATGAGGCTCCCTCTGGTTGGCTCTGGTGTTGCCTGTACTCACTCTCTCCTCTAGCGCTTTCCTTCCTTCTTTTCCTTTTCCCATTCTTTTGACTGTTGAGATTTGTGAGACAGGAAAGTGTTTTGAAGCTTTGCAGGGTGAGGTGCAGGTGGACAGAAGTCTGCTACGGACTATTTTGAATCTACTTGATCATTACTTAGATATGTCTATAGCTCTACATGATTGATTGATAAAATCATTAATTCAGCAACCATGTATTAAGTGCCTACTATGTGCCAGGCACTCTTATTGGTGCTGAGAATGAATTCTGAGCCAAACTAGCAAAAGTTTTTGCTCAGGAAGCTTAAATTCTAGTAGGGACAGATAGTAAGCAAACATGTTTCCAGCAGATGCTGATAAATGGTATGAAGAAAAAATAGGGTAAGGGCTGGAGTGTGATTGGGAGGCCACCATGAGCACTCTGGTGCACACACACCCTCCTTTGAATGATACAGGCCTCCCTACACCTGAAGTCTACACAATCTACAATAAGGAGGATGGTGGGGGCGAACTAAGGACACCCTTCCTAGGGAGATCAGAACTGGCAGTATACTTGAGTCAACTCCACCCATCCCCTACCCTCCATCACGGCTTGCAGGAAGCTGGGGCAGTCCCTCAGGGACACAACCCCAGGCTTTCCTCTGGAGGGTAGGCCTGGGAGGGTGAGATATTGATATGACTATAGCATACACAATGGTAATGCATCCTGCCCCATCCTGTCACCACTGTCAGAACCCCTCACTCTACCTCTACTCCCTTGCCAAGCCTTAGGGAAAGGCTGTTGCCTGCCCTGCCATCCCTTGACTGCAGTGGGCAGCTCAAGAAGGAATTAAAGCTAGCTTCTCAAAATCTGTGATCAAGGCCAAGTGCAGTAGCTCAGGCCTGTAATTCCAGCACTTTGGGAGGTCGAGGTGGGAGGATCACTGGAGCCCAGGAGTGTGAGACCAGCCCTGGCAACATAGTGAGACACCATCTCTTAAAAAAAAAAAAAATTAATTAGCCTGGTGTGGTGGTGCATGCAGGTAGTCCCAGCTACTCAGGAGGTTGAGGTGGGAGGACTGCTTAAGCCTGGAAGGTCAAGGCTGCAGCAAGCCTTGATTGCACCACTGCATTGCAGCCTGGGTGATAAAGGAAGATCCTGTCTCAAAAAAAAAAAAAAAATCTATGATCACTGGGCAACCAGACTCCTAATGCCTTCAGGGCATTAGGCTAGGCCTGGCCTGAATCAAAGTATAGCGTTCTGAACTTGGGGGGGCGGGGGAAATAAATGGAAATTGTGGGGTCTGTCAAATGCTCTGAGGAAAAGACAGTTTCCCAAGACAAAGATGCCAGGTCAAGGACGGGGCCCGAGGGGGAGAAAGATCATATGCCTTCCATGCAGATGAGTTTCTAGGCCATTTTCTGCAGCTAAGTAGTGACTGAGGGAAAGCTCTACAGCCAGACTTGGTTTTGAATCTTGGCTGCACACCTCTCTAGTTACCTGGCCTTGGATAAGTTACAAACGCTCTCTGAGCCATTGTGTCCTTGTTGATAGAATGGGCCAGTCATACCTTCTTCATAGAGTTGTTGTGAGAATTAGAAGAAAAATATAAATGGACACTGCTGAGCCCAGGGCAAGAGCTGGCTCTGAGTTGATGAACCTAAATGTCATTTCTGGGATTGTGCTTAAGTAGGAAGATGTCCTCATTTTGTGAATATGTACACTAAAGAATTTAGGAGTGAAATATCATGTCCATAATTTACTTTAAAACATTCCAAAACATACTGTGAAGTAAATATGGCACCTTTCTTCCTTCTCTGGAGGACCTCTAGCCAGCACAATACTTACTCACTTTTATTCAAAATCCAGGTAACATCATTCATTGCCATGGTTTTAAAAACCATCTACTTGTCAACAACTCCAAATTTATATCTGCAAGCCAGACCTGTTTTAAGAACTCTGGACTCAAATATTTGACTGACAATTTGACATCTCATTGCCAACATGTCCTAAATGGAGTATTTTGTTTCTCATCCCCAAACCTATCCCAACAACCTAGTTCCCTGCCTACCCCATCCCACCTTTTTCATCTTGACAAATAGGACCACTGTTCACTGAGATGTTTGACTCAGAAACCTGTGCAATAGTCCTGGTCCCTCGTCTTTCTGATGGCAGTGGCAGCCTGTCTGGAGTGGCTGCTGACATGACACCAACTGCAGTGGGGCACTTGTGGCTGGGGCAGTGCACCCCATGGAGCTGGCAGGAGTCCTACCCCCTCTCAAGTTGGAGGGGTGGGAGCCCCACCCTCCCAGGTGTAGCTGCAGCCACCCAGCCATGGCTACAGACCCAGGCATCCCTGTGCTCTAGGGGACCAGGGAAACCCCTCTGTCCCTGCTGGCTCAAACTGTCTGCTCATGCTGCCTGGCTTCTCCCCACTCACAGCACCTGCTCTGATTTCAGACCAAGTTGTGGCTGAACCCAGGCATTATCACTACCTGGCCTGGTGTGCACGTGCTTGGGGCAGTGCTAATATGCCAGCCCTCTGCCACCTTGGCCCCCTCTGAACTTTGGGCACCAAAAAGCATGGGAGGGAGGCCAAGAGGAGGCTGAGGGCAGCTTGGCATGGGCCTGCAGGCACCCCTTGCCATGAACAGCCTGGGGACCATGGGCACTGTAGATGACGTACGGATGGCAACAGGAGGCAGACAGGCTCCTGGGTGGAAAGAGGTGGGTCCCTGTTGAAGTCCCACCTTCAAGCCAGGGACAGCCTGAAGCTTGAGGGCCAGGGTGTCAGTTCTGTGGACCAGAGTGAGAATTTATGGTGCTTTTTCTGGGCCCACCTATGGCACCCATGGACCAATCAACACACACATTCTCCCCTCAGAAGCTCATAAAAACCCCAGACTCAGCCAGACTCAGGCAGAGGACAGAATGTCCTGCCTATGATTAGGAACCCACTCCAGGTCTCCTCTCCACTGAGGGTTGCAGATGATGGGATGACCTGCCTGAGGATAGGAGCTACCCACTCCAGGTCTCCTCTCTGCTGAGGGGTGCACAGACGTTGGGGTGACCTGCCTGTGGGAGGGAGCTACCCCACTGCAGGTCTCATCTCCTCTGAGAGCTGGATGCTAATGGGGACAACCTGCCTGCAGAAAGGAGCTACCCACTTTGCGTCTCCTGAGGACTGTTCTGCCACTCAGTGAAGCTCTTCTCTGCCTTGCTTACCCTCCAGTTGTCCACGTACCTTATTCTTCCCGGACACAGAACAGGAACTCAGTACCCACCAAATGGTGGGACTAAAAGAGCTGTAACACAAACAGGGCTGAAACACGCCCCCCTGCTCACCATGTTGCAGACAACAAGGAGAGAAGAGCTGTGGCCCTTTTGGAGCCCAGACCTAGGGGCTCCCCAAGCCAGGGCTGTGATACCTTTTTGGATTTCTGTGGTTCCTGGCATCTCCGTGCTTCCAGGCAGCACTGCGTTCCCCGTGTCCAGAAATGTGTGCCCTCAGAGGAAGCCACATACAGTGTATCTGGTCCAGCTGCAGCCCTGCACAGAGCTGGTACCTGGAGTTGCCTGCCCTGTGCAGCAGCCAGTGTGCTTAGCTGTGAACAGTGGCTGGACCACATGCTTGCTTACCCACACACTCCTCGCCACTCTGTACCTGGCTTCTGCTTGACCAGTGTGGGATCCTGGCCAGTAGTGCAAAATGAGTAGTGCATAGCCTGCTGGGCCAAGTGGTCAGAACAACCCCAGCGGGCATGAGCAATACTCAGGCAGAAGGCGCCACCAGCTGCAGAGGTTTCTGGCTGGCGAAGTGACACCCTAAAGATCCTGTGACACTTCCTCACTGCCACATCCAGTCCATCAGCATTCCCTGTTGATCTTACCCTAAAGATTGCCGCTACCTGCCCCCTTCCCACCATCTCCGCTGTGACCCATACCTAGACCACAACAGCAGCTTATGAAGTTCACCTCCCTGCTTTGGCTCTTGCTCCTTGTAATTCACTCCCCCTATGGCCAGCATGAAGGCATAAACCCAATCATTTTACTTGCCTACTAAAAAGTACCAGTAAGTTCCCTTGTGCGTATACAGTTAAATCCACATGCCTCGCCTTGGCCTGTAAAACCAAGCATGACTCCCATCTTCATCTCCATCGTCTTCTCCCTCCTCTCCTTCTCCACTCCCTCTCTGTCTTTCACTGTACTCCAGCCACACTGGCCCCCTTTCTGTCTCTCCAACATGCCAATCTCTTTCTCTTTCTGGGCTTTCCATTAGGCTGTTTCCTCTGGCTTGAATTCTCTCCCTTCCTCTTCCTGTTTCTAGCTCATTCCCATCCTTCTAGTGGCAGCTTAAATTTTATCTCTTTGAGTGTCCTTCTATGACACCTAAATCTCAAATAGACCCCTCTGTCATTCTCATAGCCCCCTAATCTCTTACCCTTCATAAACGGAAGTATCATCTGTTTACCACATATATCCAGTGCTTGGCATAGGGCTTATTAAGTATATGTTCTACACATGAATTGAATGAATTAAAAATTCTACTGCCCTTATTTCACATTCCCATCTGTGAGCCCCACTTCTCCATTCTCAGACCCAGGTTCCAGGCCACACCCATCTGCCAGCCACACTGTGGCCAGAGAGCCCCTCTCTGTGAAGCTCTGCAGCTCTCTCATACTTCCTACCTGCTCACCACTCTGCATCCCAGGGCTCTTGGAAGGCAGGTTGGTTGACCTGGTAGATGAAGTGGTACTTGTGGTCCAACACACCGTTGTGTACACATATGTAGGTGTTAGTTCTGTGTGTTTCATATGCAATCTTTTATTTTTCTTGCAACAACTGCTGCCACTAGGTTGCCCATCCAACAACTTCTGCAAAATTGGACCATGCAAACATGAACAGCAGACTACAGGCCATCATTTTCTCATGTTGGGGGCTCCATCAGAGGCCTTCTCCTTGCGCCTTTTGAGGTGATTTCCTGCTGTTGCTGGGGTCCGCGTTTGGACCACCTTTGAACATGGAAGCCTCTCCCATCCCAGGGTGACTCTGGCTTTCCTATCAGACTCTGTGCTCATGAGAAGTGAATGCTGCAATCGCAGGGCTCACTCTGAGGTCGCAATTACGTAAGGATTATTAATGAAGCAACAATGTCAAAATTGTGTGAAATCAAACTCAGATTTAAGTACTTAAAATAAACAGATATAAAGTAACAGATGTCCCGTTTTGTTCTCAGATGATTTCATCCCTTGTTAAAAATAAACGTCTGGCTTGAAAGGAGAAAAAAAATAAAAGAGACTTTACTTCCATGTTAAAAATTAATTGAATCCAGAGATTGGTAAAGCAACTAAGTGGTGTGGGTTTTTTTTTTTTTTCATTAAGGCAAAGACATATTTGTGTTGATTTTTATTTCAGCAAGTAATGAATTCATTGCATAGCCCCAACTTTCGTAGGCCTAAATCACATCCTTTGAAACCCAAAGGGAAAATTTCTCCAAAGTTATTATGTAGATAAGAATGGGGCCTCATGTGTCTATCTGAGAAGAATTTAGTTCGACGCTAAACCCCGAAGGATGCAACAGCAGAGGCTTCGAAAATCAGGAGTCCAGAGTGTCATTTTCTGAAGCCACAAATTCCCACTGTGGAGCTCTTGCCTTGGAATTTCAGTGTGGAATTCCCAGAGACAACTCCTACTGAAATTAGTAATGAGAAAGGCAAATTAGGTCATCTTGTCCGTCCCCCTGCCAGTTTCCTACACTGTGGTTAATTTTCTCCTCCTTTGATCAGATACATTTTAAATGTTTCAAGAGATGGAAATTGCACCAGTTGTCTCTCTCCAGAGTCTTACCGTCTACTGAAGTTATAGGACTCCATTTTCTGCCCGTGAGACTCAGAGGAATTTTTCGAAGAGTGGAAGGTTGTTTGTGGGCTGGAAACTGTCTTTACCTCCCCCAAATTTCTCATCATTTTCTGGTCATGGCCCAATTCACAGGGATTAGGAATCCAGAGGTATGTTCATCGCCCCAAATCACAAAATGGCCCCGAGAACATCCAAAGAAAATAATTTATTTGTAGAATCTGAGTACAAACACAAGGGGATTGATACTGATGCCCTTGAATAAAAGATGGGGCAGCTTGGCCCTGATGCCAGCTTTCTGTGCAAGAGAGTTACACGTAACATTTATTGGAGGGGGATAAATAATCCAGATCAGAAACCACATGTTCCCAGGAAGAAACTACATGTCTTTCTAAACTGTTAGACACATCTAATAGTAAAAGCACTTTGTGTTTTTGAACGAATTAAATATTTCACTGCCTTTATTTCCAATCTCAATCTCTGAACCCTACGTCTGGAAAACCCAACATTACATTAGCAATGAAAAGCAAAATACAGAATAGTGGCAATGACTGCACATAAAGTATATTGTAGACGTAGTCAATGTCACTGAATTCTAAACTTAGAAATGGTTAAAATGGCAAAGAAAAAATGTAAAAACCCAAAGCCATTCTAACTGTACCAGAGGACGGCGGTGGCGGGGGGTGGGGGGGTGGCTTTCTGCAATGGGTAGAGCAGGTGGACACGGGAGAAAGGGAGACCTCTTCTTCCTTGTTTTAAAGCACACGCCTTGGCTCTAGGAGATGAGACGTGGGGTGATGGAGTGGGCAGTGGGCTGAGAGGCACAGACTGGTGTGGTTTCACACAGGTCCATCCCTTCCCTTCTCAGCACATCCCTCTGCACATTTTCCATAGAGGAAGAGGGTGGGACAACATGTTCTCTGAGGTCTCTTCAGCCCTAGCATGTTGCTGTTTATGGCAGACACTGTTATGGCCAATTCCCCATCCATTCTCTTTTCCACTTACTAACAGAACCTCCTTTTTGATTTTGAGTGTCACTATGCCAAATTATTTAAAATAAATAAAAATCAAAAGCTCTCTTCCACAGGCTCCCTTGCAGCTGGGGGTTGGCTATGTGACTCAGTTCTAGCCGATGAGATGTCAGCAGAAGTCCCTGGGGAGATAGTCTCTGTGTCTCCCCCTTTTTCATCCTCTTTGCCCCATCGTGGTTGCAATACTTCACGTGATCTTCTTGCAACCATGGGGATAAAGCAGGAGGAGAGAGGGAAGTTTGGCCTGTAGTGATGGGATAGAGCTGCCATATAAGCCCTGGACAGACAACTCAACAATTTGCATAGGTGTGGGTGTGGGTGTGAATGTGTGTCTATCATAAACACCTTTACTTCTTTAAGCCACTGTAGCATGGCTTTCTGTTAAAGCCAAAGACATTTTTAACTGACATAAATTTCATGTCAATGACATTCGAAATTCCACATTACTCACTCCTTTGAATGAAGTGCTGAAGGCTTGTATTAAAATACAAATGGTTTTTGGAAGGGGAACATTTTAAGTTATAACAAGCCATTGATATCGTAAGTTCAAGAGCATTTATCAAAATAGCTATTCAGTTCAATGGCAGGAACCTAGAGGAACAGGATAGGAGACATGGACTTGGGCGTGAGGGAGTTTCCTTCAGCAAAGTTCTGATGTAAAGGAGCTTCCTTACTGAGTCACAGCAGAGACGGAGTCCTGAGCTCTGGGCCAGGGGTGCTGGGTGAGGTGGACAGAGCTTATGGAGAGATGGAGAAAGGCTGGAAAGAATAATATGGTTTGGTTGAGTCCCCACCCAAATCTCATCTTGAATTGTAACTCCCACAATTCCCAGGTGTCGTGGGAGGAACCTGGTGGGAAGTAATTGAATCTTGGGGGTGCATCTTTCCCATGCTGTTCTCATGATAGTAAGTCTCATGAGATCTGATGGTTTTAAAAACGGGAATTTCCCTGCACAAGTCCTCTTTTTGCCTGCTGCCATCCATGTAAGACGTGACTTGATCCCTTTCGCCTTCTGCCATGGTTGTGAGGCCTCCCCAGCCATGTGGAACCGTAAGTCCATTAAACTTCTTTCTTTTGTAAATTGCGCAGTCTTGGGTATGTCTTTATCAGCAGCGTGAAAGTGGACTAATACAGAGAATGCCAAATTATTCCTTGGATTTGTCTCCTGTGGAGGAAGCTTCAACGCTGAATGGCACCTGAAGGCTTCCAGAGTGGTTCTCAGACATTTAGAAGGGAGACAGGAAGTTTTGTAGTATTTATCCCGGGAGTTTAGAATTTAGTCTGAAGATACCTCCAATTGTGCTTTCTCCTGCTCCCTCCCGTACAGCCACTTCTTATCTTACCCCTTACTCCAGAGCCTGCTCAAAGCCCAGAGTCTACACTATCCCTTTCTAGCCCCCTGGAACCCCCGACAGCATGTCTGTGCTGGCTTCCCAGCTCTTCCCTCCCAGTGCAGATATGCACTGCCTCAGCCCTTTTGGTCCAAGCGTCTCCTGAGCCTGGTGTCTCCTGCAGCACTAAATGTCTCATGGCCCTTTCTTTCTTTAACCGCATTAAGTACTCACAGCCCAGCACCATGCTAAACTATATCTATGAACCAGCTCCTTCCATCCTGGCCCTGGGCTCACCCTCACCCCCAGCCAGGGCCCAGGGCCCTCAGTGTTGCCCTGACAGAACAGGGGCCCCTGTCGGCTGTGTAATAACC
Source organism: Homo sapiens (assembly GCF_000001405.40). Lineage (NCBI taxonomy): Eukaryota > Metazoa > Chordata > Mammalia > Primates > Hominidae > Homo > Homo sapiens. The sequence continues at coordinate 16,239,976 of NC_000009.12, forward strand.
CTAAACCTGTTCATCATCCTCCCTCCTCCTCCCCGCAACCCTCACTTGAAGTAACCTCCTTGCTTCTCCTGCCAACAAGTGCCATGCCCTGTGCTATTTTTGCTGTTAAAAGAGGGACCAGTCCCTATAACATTTTTTATGAAGGAAATGACTACATCATGAGGCTCAGGGTAAGAGGCAGAAAACAAGGGCCCTGGAGAAAGGGCATTCTGGAGAGGGTCCACAGAAGCCAGTCTCACACAGTGCAGGCAGGAAGCCCCCATCCCTGAATACCCAAAAGGCCCTGAGAAACTCACCCAGGGGCAGGGAGCAGAGGCGTTCTTGAGGGGCAGAGTTAAATGCATGGATTTAGCCATCAGACTGACCTGATTTATGTCCCCACTCTGCCACCACATAGCTGTGTGACCTGAGGCAAGTCACTTAGCATCTCTTAGCCTCAGTTACCTCATCTGTGAATAGGAAGTATAGTTTTAACAGCTAACCTCTCCTAGGCTTCTATGAGAATGCAGTGAGATAAGCCATGAAAAGTAGTATCAGTCTGTCCTGTCAGGAAACAGAAACCACCCTGGGTATTTCAACAAAGGAAGTTTAATACAAGTGATTGGGTATGAATGTTTTGGAAGGGCTGCTGGAGCAAAACCAGGAAGGCAGTGTTGTTTAGAGATAGGTACCTACAGGAAGACCCTGCCCTCTGGGACAGGAGACCATAGGGAGGTGGGGTTGCCCATAGCTCACGAGCTCTGCCCCATGGGGCTGCTATGGTGCCTCTGCTTCCTCTACTCTTGTTACCTTGGCTGCCATGATGAGAAAGCAAGGACCTGGGCCTTTGTGGTCATTGCACGGGCCCAGGAGCTCAACAAACCCCAGGGCATTGTCACTTACCAGCTATGTTAGGGGCCCCATGGTCACCTGCTGTTGTTTGCTGCTGCTGCTGCTGCTGCTGCTGCTGCGCAGCCACCAGCACAAGACACTGGATTAGTTAAAATATCAAAATAATGACTTTTTGCTCCCATTTCCCAGTATTCTGTGAGTGCTTCCTATTGACAGAATGGAACCGAACCTGGCAAGGACGTCTGGGAGATGTAGTTTTCAGGCTTCCCAGCCCTGGATACAGAAGAGGAAATCACTAACACAAACAGCACAACTCCTGGCAAATAGTAAGTGCTTGATTATTTTAACCCTCGTCATCATCATTGTTATTATTTGTAGCATACCTTGGTTTTTTACTTCCTGCAACTGACAAGTAGTGGGGTCTCAATCAAGTTATTTCACCTCTTCACGCTTCCATTTCTTTAAAGAGAATGGATGAGTGCCGGGGCCACACACAACAAATAATTTTCTTCTTTCCCTCATTTATCCAATCAACAAACATTGCTAAGTACCCTGAATCAGCCAGGCATGGAGCAGGCAACCATGGATATAAGATCAGCAAGATCAGGTTTGTGCTAAAGGTCACTGTCTCTAGTGAAATGAAAATATGTGCTTCTTAGTCATCGTGAGTTCACCCTGCTAGTTAGAAGCAAAACAAATGGACTCCCAGTCCAGTGCTGTTTCCTGTATATTTTATTACTTCTCTAATTTTTCTAGCAAAGCCCATGTTTCTAGCAAAACATTTCTCCTTCTGTTTCTGGGTGTGCACATAACCAATAGTCCCTTTCTCCAATAAGTTCCATTACTCACTGCCCATCATCCACCCACCCCCGCCCTGCTGTCACCTGGGCCCCCATATCAACTTGTCAATGATGTAGCAGGGAGATGAGCCGCAGAGTGGGTCAGCAGCCTGGGGCCCTGGTCAGCACCTGCAGAGCAATCAGGGTAATAAGGAATGTAAAAATATGAATGCTCTGGGTCTCCATGATTTCCCTGTTTGCCCAATCCGTCACTCTGCTACCCATGGATTTCCCACTATTACTCATGACCCTAATGTGGAGTGGGAGACCCTGTGTATTCCATCTCTTATTCCTGCTCACTCCAAACGCATTTCAAATATTGCCGTGGAAACGTCAATTCCCCAAGCCAAGAAGACCCCCGTTTCCCAGAAGCTACTTCTACGAACTCTAGAATATAGATGAGCCTGGCCCAATCACGCGCTGCATCTGGGCCCAGCGGATTTGTAGCACACCTGCATTGGAGGTAAATCGATTGGCGCTTCTTAATCCTGGCTACTACCAGGCAGGTTCTCTCCTACTCATTGAAGCTTAGTAGCAACATGCCCTTCACTGTAAAGAGAATTTTTTGTCCTCTCACTTGGGACTAAAGGTCAAAGTTTAAATCTATATTTAATGCCATTTTCTGAAAACTGGATTTGTGATTCCCTTTATGTTGGTATTACATATCTTAAGGGATTTCAGGGGGAGAAATCTGGGAAGCCCAGTTTCTGAGAATGACCTTTACTTTAAATGTGTAAATAGGATGGAGCTTGTGTTTCTGGTTTTTAAACCTTCTAATTGTGCTTCCAAAGACAGCGCTGGAAAGCGTAGGCTGTGGTGAGTGGTTACACAGAAGCCACTTTGAAAAGGAAAGACTTTGATTTTTGTCTTATACAGATGAAAGGCCGGAGGCCATAAGGGCTCATGCTTTTCTGGCCTGCTAGGGACAGTTTCTTTTGAAGCTTTGTACCTCCAGCTAGAGTGATCCCACATTAGAATATGCAAATAGTACGGCCTTTAAGTGTCTCGGAAAAGGGAAAGTTCAAATTTACTTAATTCTATTTTTCCTCTGAATTTTATAAAACATTATTGAAGTGGCATCAGAATATCATTCAGAATGTCAGTTTTAGAATATTTCAAATATTTACCTAAAGGTTTTTTAACAGCAGCTTTTACAGTCTGAATGTGGCACTAAAAGCAGATATAAAATCGACTTTTTGTATACTTCATAAGCTCACACTTGCATATTTAGAAGGTAGGGATAAGGGTCTCTCAGTTTGCCAAGTGTCTCTAGCCAGGATTAATGGATGGATGGCTAGATAGACAGAGAGGATAGGATAGATTAGATAAAGAGAGATGAATAACTGTAATAATAAATAAATATGCCATGATAAACTTATTTTTTAGAAAACAGATCGACCCTCATATTATCACATAATCCCCAGCTCTCAGACTCCTAAAATTTGGCATCTGCTATTTTGAAACAAGATGTGACTTGTCCTCCCTGGCTATATGGAAAAGACGGGTGTCTATAAAATTTTTTTTTTTATTACTCAACATCATTATAAAATCGGGCTCTGGGAAATTTGCTGAGTCCTACCAGATTGTTCTGCCCTCACACCTCCCTGCCACTCCCACAGCAAAGGCACGGCCCCCTCCACTGCCAGCCACTGTCTGGACGCTGACTCTGCAAAGGGTCCATTGATGAGAACTGTGAGGACATCACAGCCCAGGCTCAATTCAAAAGTGGCAGGACCAGATCACAATCCCCAGCCTTTCCAACCCAAAACCCACATCCTCCCGCTTTATTCCACTCGGTTGCAAAGTGAAGCTCACTGGGCCTTCAACTTGGGGGGAAGAAAAAGACTTCTTTATGAAGCGAGCCATTTCTTGTAGCATTTAATTTTTTTACCCTCATTCGCACGTGTCTATCAGATACCTCCTCCATCAGAAAGCAAACTCCCAGAAACAGGTTGTGGTAGACTTGGGCTGGTGTTTGCAGCCACTCTAATGACCAGATCAGGTCTCTGTGTGGTAAGCACTGAGCTGGCCAGATGGACCAAAGCTGTAACATGCCTTGGGCACATTTGTTCACAGTTTATAGCCACAGTGAACTTCAGTTTTTAGAGAGGCATCTAAGTACCCTCTTTATGATTGCCCCAAGCTTTCCTCTCCCTCCTGTGGTCATATAGGCCTTAACTGCCACCCTCCCACCTGCAACTTCCAGCCCCTAAACACCCGCTAGGGAGGAATACAGCCCTTCTCCTGCCTGTGTCCCTCCACTGATTTCCTGGTTGGTGTTTGTTTCCTCGTTCTTGCAAACTGGGCTCCTCCCACTGTCTTCCCACCTTTGTTCCCTTGCCCCTGAATAGCTGTCACTGAAACCACTGTTGACCCTTGCCTTTCCAGAATGCCTCCCCTCCTCCCCCTGCATCCTTTATTTAATGGTGGCTGCCTTAGGCGAAGCTGATTAATCTCACCTCCTCCACGGCCACGCCTTCTTCCCTGGGGCTCTGTGCTACCTCTGCACTTTGTTTCTAGGTGACCTCCTCTATTCCATCACTTTTAACTGAGGCGGACTCAAGGAATGTCTTTCTCTCTCTCTCTACACCACACACACACACACACACACACACACACACACACACACACAACCCAAACATACTCTCTTCCCTCTATTCACCACCATCTCTCTCCCAGCTTCTCCTTCTTTTAAGGAAAGTTGCCACCATGTCAAACTGCAATCAAGTTTTATTGTCTTTGCCGGAGGCCATTTTCTTTCTCATTCCCAACTCCTAATCTTCAAGCCTAAGGTACTCATATGATTTGTCATATTGAGACCCTCTTTTCCTTAGGATCTTCAGGATTCCTCCACTTCATTCTCAGCAAAAATGTCTTAATTCAGGGTCCTTGTCTCTTACACCTCATCGACTGTAATGTTTGACTTTTCATGATGTAGTCCAAGACAAAAAACCAGACGGTCACATTTAAGGCAATTTTGAGAGGCTCATATAGTTGTACAACACATTAGAAGCAACTTGTTCGTGGTGGATATTTAATAAATATTGAAACAGGGAAGAAATAGTTAAAAATGCGGTCCCTGGAGTCAGGCAGACCAGAGTTCAAATTCTGCCTACATCCCTTACAATCTCTGAGACCCTAGGGATGTGACTGAATCTCTCTGAGCCTCATTTCCTCTTCCATAAAAAATAAATTATAATCAGAGTACTTCTTTCCTGGGATGTTGTGAAGATTAAGTGAAATAATGGGTATGAAGGCTTAGCCTCAAGTCTGGTACAAAATATTAGTTCAAAAATATTATCTTTTATTAAATGTTAGGTTGATGCAAAAGTAATAACAGTTTTTGGCATTACTTTTAATGGCAAAAAGTGCAATTACTTTTGCACCAACCTAACAGCATTCAACAGACAAAGAACAAACCCCTTGGTTTAGGGCAGTAGCCTCTTAACAGCTTAATTCTGAGTCTAATTTTTGTTTTTTAAATCTCTGCTTATTTCTAGGCTTAATTGACCAAAAAGGATTACCACTGCCTCCTAGGCCAATTTCTAGTTTCTTGCTTATGCCATACATTTTGGGTCTGAAGTTCAACAGGAATCAGGCAATCTCCCAGCTTTTTCTAACACTCTCAGAATTCACCTCTTCACTCTTTATGGCCTTCCACTGTCTGAGAGCTTGGAGGTAGCTAGGGGTCACCTTGGAGGGCAAGCATATGGCTTGGAAAGCATTCTCTTTGACTCACTTTACCTCCCACCCAGCTCTATGCATTGTATAGATTTTTTAAGCCAAACACATGAAAGGCATGGACACAAGTCGTCCACGGAAGTTTCACCACCAGTTCAACTCTTGTAATTAATTAGCCAGTAAATTCAGTAACATTTTAAAGAAGAGTAAATTCAATCAAAGAAACAGGGAATTCAGTTCAGTCATAGGTTTAGATTTTGCTCCCCCACTTTTTTTGGTTAGTTGTGGCTGAGCCACCACTGCAATTGAGACAAAACGGTTGGATCTGTCTTACATCAACCTCCTTTAAGCACTTTCAAGTAACTTGCCTTGACCAGAGAGCTAAGAAGTAGGCATTTCACTACCTTTTCAGCAAATGGTGATTTTCTTTGTCAGCCCCATAAAGTGAAAGTTCTAGCTGTTCCTAGGAGAAAAAAAAAAAGCTCAGTTTCACTGTCAAGGCCAAGAACTGGAAGCCAGAACACTTAGAGCTCTTGGTTCTGTTGCATGATTAATTCTCCATGAAGGCATTTAATTTTCTCTCCCTCATCTTCTGCATCTGTAAAATAGGAGTAAGCAATACCCTAGAGTTGCCAGAGATCAATGGGCAGGGACAGGCATTAATGAGGCAGCATATGAAATATTCAGTGAGATTCTTGGATAAGGAGTTACCAATGATTACATGCTTGCTTACCAACTTCCAGATTTAGCAAATCTGTATTGTTAGTACATACTAAAAATTAAAGGACAGCAAGAAATACAAATTTAATTTGTAAAAAGTCTTCAATTACTGGTTTGGAAATGCCCCTTGGAGATACAGGCTTCATTCTGGCTTGCTTTTCAAACTCAGTCACTAACCACAGGGTGTGAGGGTCCCGCTCCTGCAGTCTTCAGGGCCATTGGCTCCACTCTCCACCCCCTGCTTTGTGCTACAGCTTCCAATCTGATTTCACAATAAAAGGTCACACAGCTGCCTTTGGCTGCCAAGTTTCAAATATGCCCTGATGTTAACCCTTTAGAGGCTACAGAGCAGTGGCATTTTTCTCAGTGCTGTTCCAGTATTCACATAAATGGGTCATCTAAGTTCCAAGAATATGCATGCCCTCCACCCTCCACATAGGACTCCATAAAACCATTACATTTGAATGAGAATGTAAGATGCTTCCAAAACTACATTGATGCTATTTCCTAAATTGATTTTTTTGTGAAGAAAGTTGTGTTGTAGTGTTCCACCCTCAGAGTGTCTTAACCAGTGAGCATCTTGTAGACAGTCCTTCCCCGATATTCTGCAACACCTCACCCCATCCCTCCAAAGTCTTTGGGGAATGAAGAAGGCTAGAGCCACCAGCTTCCCTCAGAGAGGAGACCTGGGCTTTAGGCTTCCTGAACCTCATTCTGACTCTCCTTAATGTTCTTCTTTATCCTGCTTCTTGAAAAAGCCAACTTGGAGCATATGTGGACAAGCTCCAGAAAACAGTGTGCTCTCATCAGTGAGCCCATCTAGTGGGGAAGGCAAACAGAGTCATGCACCCGGATCCCCTTGGTGGAACCAGGCCAGCAGTCAGCTTAGAATGTCTAAGGAAGGAGACTCCAGCAGCCAATCTAACCTCACAACCCCACAACTCCTCCCTGCCTTGAATCACTCTTTCCCCGCTGGCCCACAGAGCTTTGATGCAGCCCTTCAGAGACCTGGGTGCATTGCTGACACGACTGTCTAGCCCACTCCCCTCTGAGACCTCGTGGGAAGTGTTATGATTTTCTCTGTGCTCCTCTGTGCCTAGCACCGTGCCTGACACTTTAGAAGCCCTAATTGTCCGTCAGATGAATCAACAAAGATAAAATATCAGTTGACAATTAACCTGCTTCAAAGGATGAACAACTCTATTTCTGGAAACTGTACTGAAGTAATTGGTTCACAGATTAAATTGCTAAAGTGCTTACTGGACAAGTTAGTGAGTGACTTTTTTGGCACACTTCATAATAAGTGACACATCTTTGACTAGTCACCAGGAATGTGAGTTTATCCACCAAGCATTTATTGAGACTCGCGTACGTGCCCAGGAGTGTTCCAGTACCGTGGGGGAGGGTAGCAGGGAAAGGGAAATAGAACAGAATTGTGAGTCCTGGGTCCTGTCCTCCAGCATCTTAATCCTAATGAGGAGGAACAGATTCAGAAAGACTGTGGCAGAACACTTGTGACACTCCAAGCTGGACCCTCAACCCTGGACAAACTTGCTGTGATTTAGACATGGCTCAGCCAGCCAGGTTGGTTCTGGCCACAGTATCTCTGGACCACATCATGTCACAATGCAGTATGGTCACATCATTAAAACATCCAGACATGCCTTCAACCATTATATAGCCAAACCAGTGTCTGTGGGGAGATGAGTGGTTTCAGTGAAATCACAAGTCTGAGAGCAGAAATGGCAAATGAAGAACTTCACTGAGCAAAACCCCTGGAAAAGCGAGGGGGCCATGCCAGCCTCTTCCTTCAGAGCTCAGAGCTGCTGCCTCTTCCTCTCACCTGCCTAGGTTTCCTAACTTCTCTTGAGAGGCAGGTGTGGCTAACACATTTTTAAAAATAACTTGGCACCTATTTCCAACCCCCTTTTTCTTTATCTCTCTCTGCTATAGCAGCTGGAAAATCTAAATATGGTATTTCCCAGCCTCTCTGGTGTTCTCTTGGCCAATGAGACAGAAGCACAAGTCAGCTGGGGGCTTCTTGGAGGGTTTCAGCTCTCCTGACACCACCCCTACCCAAGTCCCTTTTCTGTCTTGACCACAGACATGACCGCTCAAGGTGAGGCAAGCCTCTTGTGAACATGAGAGAAAGGTTAAAATCAGCACAGAGACATTGGTCCCGATGCCAAAGCAGCCTTCAGATGTCTTGTTGTGTAAGAAAACACAATTCTGTTTAAGTCACCCTTGGGTTTTCTGTTACATGCAGCTAAACATATTCGTAACTGGATTAGAGAGTTAAAAATTTCCTTTTCTTTATATGAGGAATGATCAATAAGATATCAAAAGTGAATACCAAATAGGAAAGAGGAATATAGTAGCAGAGAAACTAGTATCCCTGGGACCCACAATGACATTTGTGGAACAGCTCATTGTGACTGGCTATGGACACAAAGTGGGCCCTTTGCCTGCCTCCCAGTTAATACAGCATAGAACCTTTTAAAATAAATAGTGTTTTTAACAATAAAACCTCAATTAGCCATCTAACTATCCTCTAACTTGAACTCTCAAGTCGTTGGACAAGCTCATGTTATTCATGACCAATATTTGGACTGATGCTTTAAAGTTTTAGAAAGCACTTTTATATGCATCATCTGGCATAATCTCTGCCACTTTTATCAGCTCCTTAAATACAGATAGGCACAGGAGTGCCTGCCTGGCTTTAGAAAGGCAATCCTTGAATCTCCCAGAAAATTAGCTTATTAGTTATCATATGTGAAATATATTCTGGTTTTATTTTTTTAAATACAATTTAGTTGGTTCATAGGAACATTACTTATCAGAGCCACAAAGTGGAGACAACCCAAATGTCTATCAACTAATGAATGGACAAGCAAAATGTTGTATCTATACAATGGGATATCATTTGACCGTAAAAAGGACTGACATTCTGATACATACCAGACCATGGCTGAGCCTTGAAAGGATCTTGCTAAGTGAAAAACAAGCCAGACACAATGACTACGTATTATACGATTCCATTTATGTGCAACGCGGAATAGGCAAACTTGTAGAGACAGAAGGTAGATTAGCGGTTACAAGGAGGGGGAAGGAGGAATGGGGAGTAATGCTAATGGATATCAAGCTTCTTTTGGGGTGATAAAAGTGTTCTAAAATTAGATAATGGTGAGGGTTGTACAATTTTGAACATACTAAAAATTGCTGAATTATACACTTTAAAGGGTGAGTTTTATGGTATGTAAATTATACCTCAATAAAGATGATATCTTTATCATATCTCATGATGGTATAAAGCCATCTTCTTGGGTTTGAATCCCAACTCTGCCGCATACTGGTTGTGTGATTTTGACCAAGTTACCTAACTTCTCTGTGCCTCAGTTTCCTCTTCTGTAGAGTGGCTGTAGTAAGATACCCTATCTCATAGGACTGTTGGGAGGATTAAATTAATTATTTAAAACGTATAAATTACTCAGAATTGTACCTTTCACACAGGGAACACTGTGGAAAAGTGTCTGCTGTTATTATTATTGTTATCATTATTCAAACCTGGGATTTTTATTTGACACAAAGACCATTCTTTGTACCAAGCTGTGAATAAATCTGTTTAGAATTATAGATGACTTTTTGGTGTGGAGTTTGTTGTCCCTTCCTTGTCTATTAGCTACCAAAGTGGGTATCTGTTTTGTGCTTGGTTGCTTGTAGGTACAAAGGTAGTAATTTGGAGCACAAATAAATATACCCCAGGTCTCACCAGCTGGTGATTATACATACACACACACACACACACACACACACACACACAACAAGCTATGATTTTGAACACTGCATGCGCTCCATAAAGGAGCTTGCACGATCCTGCAGTTTGTTGTTAGAGCGTCAGTGGGCACCAGGTGCCTGCATTTCTTTCCTCTCCTGCATCTCCTTCCCGTCCTTCCTCTATGGCTCCCATAGAGCTGCCTAAAGGAGGCCCTGCTGCCCCAGGACAGTGAGCATCCCCAGAGTGCCATTTCCCACCCAGGCTGCCATCTGTTATGTGCCCAGAGGAGATTGTGGATCCTTGCAGGAAAGAGAAGGATAGAAGCTTCTGTGGCTATGGGATCACGTGGGCCCCAAAGCAGCAGATCCATGCCAGAATCTCACCTTCTCAGGAGAACAGCTCTCCTGTGCTCCAACTCTCATTCCTCCAGGCGTGGCTTCAAACCCTCTCTGCCAGACCAGACTCAAAATAGCTGTTCCTGCATTTTACCCAATAGCTCCCTTTTCCTTCTGCCTCTTTCCCAAAGAAAATGTTACCCATGCAATTAAAGTAACAGTCACAAACAGATGCAAATAAGGGGTGAAAAGTGGGCTTGTCTACACTACCAACACCTGGGACCCAGCTTGGCCAGCCAAAGGCTCTATTCCAATGCGGATAGAGAACTACCATCTTGACATTACACGAGAATGAGGTTAGCAGGGCAGTCTTTTAAAGGAGCAGGCACCATTGATCATTGAATAAATAGTTATTGATCACATACTATGGCCTGGCACTAGACTGGTGCTAGGGATATCATTATGAATAAATGCAGAACTGCCTTAATCCTCATTTGCCATGAGGAGAAACAATAGATGAATGTTGAACACACTTTTCTTTTTCCATTGAAACATCAATGATATGCTACCACATTTGGATCAACAAGACACTTTCCCAGCCTGGCCCCTCCAATTCCCTCCTAGGAGAACAGAAAGATAAACATTCTTTTATCTGAAGTTGACATGGTTTTATTTTCATGAACTAGGAGTGGCCTTAATAGACAACAGGCCCTGCTCTCCAGTCACTGCCAGAAAGAAGAGCTACAGACCATTTATTCTGAAACCACATCCCAAATACTTAACTGACTTCTGGTTCACAATCCTATACAACAGTTACCTTTTGGCCTATAACATGGCTAAACGTATTTGATGCTTCTCATCTAAAACTCCAGGATAGCACATTAAGCATCTAGTTCCCAGGTGGTCCTCCTATACTATTCCTCTAGGATAATGAAAATTCTCCTAGGACAGGTTGTGGAACTCATCTAAGAAACATAATAAAATATTTTGGGAAGAATTTTAGTAAGCATGATTGAAACAAAAATGAAAAGATCTAATAAATCTTCTGTTAGCCAGAATATTCTCTACCTCTTATAATTCTGGTTGGTTGAAGTTTTCTTATACCCTCAGGGTTTGTCATAACCCATTCAAAGTATTGCCTAGCAAGTCTTTATGGGGGCTGCTCCAACGTTTGAGTGGTGCATACTTCCACTTCTGGTATACACCCAAAAGAACTGGAAATGAGGGCTGGAATGAATATTTATACACAAGCACATAAAAAGATGCTCAGATTCACTAATCATTAGGGAAATGCAAATCGAAACCACAATGAGATACCACCTCACATCCATTAGGATGGCTACTAACAACAGTAGAAAAGCCAGCTGAAAATATCAAGTGTTGGTGAGGATGTAGAGACACTGGAACCCTTCTGCACAGTTAGTGGAAATGTAAAATGGTGCAACTGCTATGGAAAACAGTATGAAGCCTCCTCAAAAAATGAGAAATAGAATTACCGTGTGATCTGGAAATTCTACTTCTTGGTATATGCCCAAAACAACTGAAGGCAGAGTCTGGAGGAAATATTTATAGACCCATGTTCATAGCAGCATTATGCACAATAACCGAAAGGTGAAAGCAACCCAAGTGTTCATAGATGGCTGAATGGATAAACAAAATATGGTATATACATACGAGAGAATACTATGCAGCCTTAAAAAAGAATGGTACATGCTACAACATGGATGAACCTTGAAGACACAATATGAAATGAAATAAGTCAGGCACAAAGAGAACAATATTGTGTGATTTCATTTACATGAGGTACCTGGAGTAGTTAAATTCATAGAAACAGAACGTAGAACATAGAATAGAGGTTACCAAAGGCTGGAGGGATACAGGGACCAGCACCTGGAAGGAGTTGTTGAATGAGTAGAGTTTCAGTATGGAAAGATGGAAAAGGTCTAGAGATGGATGGTGGTGATAATTGCCCAATGATGTGAATGTACTTAATGCCATTGAATTGTACACCCAAAAATGCTAAATTTGTTATTTATATTTTACCACAGTAAAAAAGCTTAAATAGAAAAAGAATAGGTGCACGCAGAATGCTACTTGCATGGATATAAGGAATGATCACAGTAATCTCTTCTCTCCACAGCCTTAAGACCTTTCACTTTCCTGGCTTGTTTATGCCACAGAGGATGCTCAGCCCCATGGTCTCCGTTGTCATCATCCAATAAGGAGTGTGTAAGTGGCACTGCTGTAACCACATGCACTTTACAAAAATAATATTTCATCCTTACCATTGGTACTGTCTGTGGCTGCACGCTGAATGGGAATCATTTCAGAAGGTTCCAGCTGGCCTTCCTCAAAAGATAAAGAAAATCCTCTAAAGGATGATTTTTCTGGGATCTACTAAGAAGAGCATAATGAATGTTGTAGAACAAACCAACTTAAAAAGTTGGTGGTGGGGGGTAGATATTGCCGACTTGCAGAAATTCCCTCTACCCCCTTTATACCAAAGGAGCCATATCTTCATCTCATAATAAATGCAAACTTGGAAAGGCTCACAAGCCCGCCTGCCTCTTCAGCTAACGACAGCTTCAATTATGAGGCCTAATCCTGCATTCCTGACACTCCCCTTATCCCTGCATAACTTCCAGGGGAGTCAAAGGGCCCTCCGCCCTGGACCTGGTGAGGGAGACATTAGTTATGCAGGAGCAGTGCCTGGAGCTTGCTGGCAAATTTAAGGGTCTGTTCCTATAACTGCACACACTTGGAAGCCTTAAATCCTCATACTTTGACTCTTCACCTTATGCTGAAATAAAAAGCCACAGTAACTCCATTAAAACGTATAAAATTCCTCTACAGGAAATGAGTACTAGTTTGCTTCCAACTTACATTGGTTTTAGGTTTCTTCTTCCCAACCCCTTTTTACTTTTAATGTTGGTGTTCAATTCCATGGAAAATATTTTCTATAAGGGAAAAAAAATAAACACAAGCATCATGCAGGGTCTTTGCATTTTATTTACTAAACTGGGCAAAACATCTTTGATTTGCTGGCTCTTACTCCCTGGTAAATCAGTGGGAATTCCTCACAAATACAAGGTTGGCTTAAGTCACCCTATGGGGACACCCAGTGACCTCTGGCTTATTGAGAAGTGACCTTGTTTTATATACTAATCATCCACCCAGCTATATTAGTAACGAGACTATAACTCATTTTCATCCTAGGCACACACTGTGCATTATCAGTCTCCTAATTAATCCCAGACTATTCAGGGGGCAGGTATTCTTAGTTCTGATTTTCCTCACTGCTCCTCAAGCCAGAGAGTCAGAGAGTCGGCAAACAGAGGGTCGTGCTCTGTGTCCCTGAGGCATGTCCTTATGTCCCAGCCCAGAGCTCACTTCACCCCCAACACCCTCCCTCTGGACTGGGGAAGCCCTGGGAACGAGCACACCTCTGCTGATCTCTGAGGCAGTGGTGCTTCCTCAGGGGAGAAGGAACCTGGGGTCAGCAGATATCCTGCAAGCCTGCTTAATGGACAAAGTCAACAGCAGCTTCCCCACAGGCAGAAAATAAATTCAAAGCATTGGTAGACAGCAAGCAGGCTGGGCTCTGTGCTCTGGGCAGCTCAGACTCCCACACGTTTGCCTCAAACCCTCATCGCATTCACCTTTGTCTCCGGGGATGCAGAGGAGTGGCTCCAGCCTCCCCTCCCCACCTCTCTGAAGAGACAAAAACACGTAACACATTGCTAGGCATCAGTTCCAAAACACTGAGCTGGTATTAGCTCCTTTTCAAAAAGGAAGACACAAGCAGTTGTACATTTTCCATCATTTAATTGCTTATTTTTAACGTCCCCAGTTAAAAGGGAAAAGGGGCACCTATAATATCCAAGCTCTCAGCTTGAATGCGTGATCTCATTTTATCTTCACACAACTCCATGAGGTAAGTACTATGAGTCCCATGTTACAGATGAGGAAACTTAGAAGCTACATATCTTGCCCAGTATCACACAACCGGTGGGTAGATGAGCTAGGCTTTCAATCCAGGCCTGCCTGAGCACAAAGCCCATCTTGTCCTGTAGAACTCCATTTAAGGCTCTATGCCAGATGAGAATCTGAGGGTTCGTGTGCTTGAAAACGTGTTCGTCTATGAGTGTCTAGTATTGCTAAATGGAGTATAATTGCTTCTGCTTTATTTCTTTGTAAAAATCACCATAAATCACGCCCCAGCTTCCCTTTCTCCCCAGGTTTTGAAATCTGGCAAGGTGAATATTAAACCATGAGCACTGGCATCTATAAACACTTTCAAAGGAGGACCAGTTCTTTTCAGCACTTGGGCCCTCCAACGCTGGGAAACCTTCCCTTGTTGGGTTTAAAGGAGCACTAGGCTTAGGGTCAGGAGCTCTGTGTTCAATTTCTAACCTCCGCAAGCCTTGGTTTTCTCCTCTTTGTAATGGAGATAATAATACTTATATTGCTGCTGTCTTTGCAGGGTGGTTGTGAAATGATAGTCCTCAGCCTCCTTTCTAAGCTTCTATTCTAATCAGTCAGTACGTTTTGGAAGGCCTCAGTAAAGCAGTCTTGACCATCTCTCTTCTTACTCCATCTCCCTAGGCAATTCTTGTCCACCCCAGTAGTGAGGATGTCAGCATTCCACCCAGCTGCCCTGGGATCTCTTTTTAGGCTTTCTCTGCCTCACCCCTCACCAGCTGTGGTGTGCTTTCAGCTGCACCTGCGGCCGTTGGAGGAGGAAGAGGTGGAGGAAGGTTGCCCTCAGGGATTGCCCAGGAGTTTGCACAGCCCCTCCCAGTGAGGTTCCTTTGCAATAGTTGGGGAAGCTGTGGCTTATTCACCAGAGCCCCAGAGAGATCGGGCTAAAGCCTGTCCTCTGCAGGACTTACCCCTTGATAATACCTTACCCTGAGATAACCCTGTGCTCAGCTTCTTCCCTTCGCCTGCTCCACTCCCCACTCCCTGACCAGTCTCCCAGGGGAACACAGCCTTAATAAGTAACTTGTACATGACCCCTCATCTCAGGGTGTTTCTAAGGACCTCCTCCAAAAAAAATAATGGTTTCTGTTACACCTATTCCAGGCTTCTCTGAGCTCCAGATCCAAGAATCGAAATTGCTCCTCAACATCTTTCATATTTCTCAATGGCAGCCTCAAGATCAAACACCCAAAACAGAACTCGTGATCTTTCCACGTACCCAGTGCCTTCCAGTGTTCCCCAGCTCAGTGACCCCCCTCCCTCCCGTCCCCTCTCATCCATCTTTCAAGGTGGAATTCTAGGAATCTCTCAAGGCTTTCTCACCTTTCAACCTGGCTTCCTCCTCCCCAATTCCATACAAACCATCTTCAAGCTCCTATCATTTTCATCCCCCAAATAAACCTAAAATCTATAAAATTCCCTCCTTCAACTTCTACCACCACCCTGTCCAAGCCACCATCTGGAGATGCTCATAATTCCCTCTAACAGGTTTACACAACTCTCTTTCAGTTTCCAACATTAGTGATCGTTCCAACCTACTCATACCAATTCCCTACACAAAGCTCTTTAGGAGATTTTTAATGCTCCTCAGTTAAGCCCAGAAAACTCAGTGAGGCCCAGCAGGCTGTGCATGGTGCCAACCTCACCATTCTTTGCACTCCAGCCCCAGGCACTTGCCTCCTTCGGTTCTTTTGACCAGAATGCTTTCCCTCTCCTCTTCCTTTTCATTCTTCCTGGCCTTCTACTCAGCTCAAGTATCGCCTTCTCACCTCCCTGCCTAAGATGAATTCCCTATTTAAGATTCCTGTAATACCATGGACACCTTCTTCTTAAGACCTGCCACAGGTGCAAGAAGTTGCAGTCAAATGATTACCAACATGCACCTGTGTGGTCACGTGGCTTAGCAACCCAGGTACAAGTGCTTTGAGAACAAGGGCTGCATGGGGTTTTTTTTTTTTTTTTTTTGGTCACTTTATCCTCAGTAGCACCCAGCAGGCACTCGGTGAACTGCATCATGACAAAACTTAGAAACTGCAGCACCACGTGGAGGATTTTAGGATGAGTCTTTCCCTCAATACAAGCAGGGGCAGTGTCTCTTCTGTCACTGAGCTATTGCTATTGCTGCTCTGCCTCAGGCTGGTATGACCCAGAGAATCAGAGGATTACGCTATCAAATGACGAGTTATTCTCTCTGAAGACAGAAAGACATGAAACACATTGTAGGCTTCAGTTCCAAAACACTGAGCTGGTATTAGCTCCTTTTTAAAAAGGAAGACACAAACAATTGCACATTTTCAACCATCTAACTGCTTGTTTTTCAATGATCCCAGTTAAAAAGGGAAAGGGGCAACTGTGGAGCACCTACAACAGCCAAACTCTCAACCTAAATGCATGATCTCATTTTATCCTTACAGCAACTCCATGAGGTCAGTACCATGAGTCCCATGTTATAGACGAGGAAACTGAGAAGCTATGTATCTTGCCAAATATCACACCACTAGTGAGGAGATCAGCTAGGCTTTTCAATCTGGGCCTGTCTGAGCATAAATCCCATCTTCTTGTCCTGTAGAACTCCTTTTAGGCTCTACTAGAGACAAAAATCTGGGGGTTTGTGTGCTTGAAAACGTGTTCATCTGTGAATATCCAGTATTCCTAAATTAAGTATAATTGCTTCTGCTTTATTTCTTTGTAAAAATCACTATAAAAGCTTTTCTCTTGATCCAATAGATATTGTATTTTGAAAGAGTGTGATTCAAAGTAGAGACCATGAGTTCGTGTACGACAAGGACCAGGTAGTATTTATTTTGTGTATGCCCTGAAGCTAGTAGGTGCTCAATAAACATTTGTGAAAGGAAATTCAACTTCTCTCTTACTGAACTACTGCGTTAACATGAAATGTTAGAGATTTGTGGTTCCATTTATATTCTTCTCTCAGCACTCAAGACCAAGAGTTTGATTTGTTTTGTGAAAATTAAATAATATATTTGGAAGCACAATAGTGACATTTTTCTCTTTAATTGCTGCATGACTCAATCACAATATTGCAGAGTGTGGGAATGGAAAGGAATCCATTTCAAGGAGGGCTGGTCCTTTTTAGCAGGGAAGCTCATCCACGCACCTTCGTGTTTTACCCCATTCACTACACAGAATCTGTAGAGCCCAAGGTAAGCAATATACCTGAAACCGATTCTTTGTCTAGGACTTCCTAGCAGGCCACAAGCAGTGACCATAGCCTCAGTCTCCCTGTGACAAGAGAGGCTCTATGTTTGGAAAGAAAAAGGGTGTCCTTCCCAGCTCCTCCAGGAATCAGTGTTATATGTGTTCTATGCTTTATACGTCTTTGTTGCCAGGCTTGTCTTGTTGAAGTTTGCCTTGATTTGACAACCGTTACAGCCTAGTCAGGTTGAAGAGAACAGAAGAGAAATATGAAATTCTGAGCCTCGGAAAAGGCTCTTGATAACGTCATTCAGGGCCAGCATTTTGGCCACACTGTATGCTCTAAACAATGCCTTTACACATTAACTTTAGGACTGAAGCCTACTGCCCTTGTTCTAGAATGTTCTGTCCCAGATCTTTCCTCCTCCTGGTTCAGATCTCAACTCAATGCCATTTACCCTGACCACCAGTAGGGGCAGGGCTTTGCACAGCTATGCATTTGTTCCCAAGCTCTCATCAATCTCTGAAATTACCTTGTTTATTTTTCTGTTTATTTATCTCTTTCCCCTACAAAAGAATGTCAACCATGCAAGGGCAGAGGGATCTGTCTTTACTCCTCCCTCCCTGGACCTACAACAAGCCTGGCACGTTAAAAGCACTCAAGATTACTTGTCGTATTGGTGAATGAGTAATGATTTCATCTGAGCATCACAGTCCGTTTTAGAGCAAGGGAATGCTCACCTTCGTTTTAGAGAAGAGGCACCTATATCTCTGTGACCCTCAGCGGTTAGCCTGAAATCACAGGCAGGTCTGTAGCAGAGTCGTGACTTGAACCCAGGTCTTCTGTCTATGATCTGGGAAGGAGAGTGAACTTCTGCCCAAAACTTAGGTCATGCAGGTACTCTTAAAAACAAGAGCCCCATCAAAGATGATCAAATGCCAGCTGCTTTGGGTATAAAGGCCTGATTCAACCCTGAATCTGTTCCCCATACCAGAGATGAAAACTCGTCTACAAGATGAACGTACAGATGCGGCCCAAGACTGCTTCCTGCACAAGCTTCTGCGCCTGTGCACCGGGACCCGTACTCATCCCTCCCTAGCCTTGGCCTCGGGCCGCGCTGGACTCTGGGTCCCTCATTCCAGGAGGCTCTGGCCTGGCTCTAGACTTTCCGTAATTTTTCTGATGTCCTAATTTCTTGATCACCTGTGCTGACAAGATCCTGATTTCCTTCAATATGTCTTTTTTCCACTCTCGGGAAATTTATGTCTGCTTCGGCATATGTCCCCATCTTCCTTTGTGAAAAGAGAGGCAAGGAGCGGGAGTGGGGGAGAGCCCTTTAATATTTTTTAGCTATGTCTTCATGTTCTGTCAATAAATTGCCTCTGCCAGCTTTTAGAGGCCCTATTGGCTTTTGTACTGACCTCTTGTTCCTTCTGCACTTGAAAAATGCCTTATTATTTATCTTAACCTCTCTCGCAATCTTCTTTTCATTCCTCACCTTTGCTTTCCTTATCATGTTTTTGCACTTTCTTAACTTCGCGCTATAATTTCTCTAGCTGAGTCGCTGTTTGATTTTTTTCATACTTTCTCACTTTCCTAGTTTTGATTACTTCCCCTACCACTACCACATCCTCTTTAGAGCTATTTGTCTGGCCTATTCTCTACACTTGGTGTATTTGTTGCTAGGTAGCACGTATTTTCTTTGGGCAGTTTCTATTCATTTCTCTCTGATTACACTCTTCCATCGGCGGCTGTTCTTTTCAATCTCTTCGTGCCCTTGGCTTTTCTTGGTAGGAGCTGACTACTTTATTTGATCTGGGATCTCCTGCATGTCCTTCAAAGAGGGTCCTAATGCCCGCTGAGCCTTATATGGGGTATGTATTCATTTGCTAGAGTTGCCCTAACAAAATACCACAGACTAAGTGGTATAAACAACTTATTTTTTCACAGTTCTGGAGTTTGGAAGTCCAAGATCCAGGTGCCATCAGGGTTGGTCTCCTTCGAGGTCCCTCTCCTTGGCTTTTGGAAGGTCACCCTGTTGCTGCCTCTTCACATGGACTTTTCTTTATGTGAGCACATTCCTTGTGTCTCTTTTTATGTCCAAATTTCCTCTTGTTATAAGGACACCAGTTAGATTACATCAGGGCCCACCCTAATGGCCTCATTTTTAACTTAATCATCTCTTTAAAGGCTCTAGCTCCAAACACAGTCGCATTCTGAGACACTGGGAGTTAGGGCTTCAACATGTATATTTAAGGAGACATAACTCAGCCCATAACAGAATAAGCAGTAACTCCTGACATTCGACCATGGGTCAAGAGCAAGCTAGGTGCCTCTGTTTACATGTCACCCAAGTTTCCCCGGGTCAGACTGCCTGTGGGTACAAGTGGAATCGCCTTACAGTAATATTCTACAGATACTGGCAGGCCCTCAAGCCCTACCAAATACTTTTCTACATAGTTCAGTGAATCTCAGAGAGTGAATCCCACTAACAAGACAGTCAGATGAGAATGGTATCCTCTGGACTCCTCAGCCAATGTCTACCTTCTGGATGTGACCACTTGGCACTAGTACTGATGCTGGGCACCGCTGCCACTTCTGCTGAGTATTGTCATTGGCTGGCACCACCTCCTAGGTGCTGCCAGACACCTGCACTGCCATGGCGCAGACTGCAGTTCTTAAGATCCCAAAGCCACACCATGAAGGTAGAAGGTAGGAGCCTTTTTACCTTCCATACTGTTCTTTGTCCTCAGGTGCCAAGATGGTGATGCCCTATGCCACACGTTTTCTAGATCTTTCAGTGAAGCACCCTGATTTGTTTTAACTTCCAGCTCCCCTTTCTTAGTATTCAGACGGGAGTCCATGCAGCTTGAGACAGGTACACTCAGACACTGTCTGCTTCTCTGCCATTGAGGTGACATATATCTGCCAATTTTATCATCCATTAGAATGAGTTCTCCCACGTGTCTCCTTGGTACCTCCTGCAAGAAGACTTGGGGTAAACGCACCTAGCTATGTCTATCAGCTATGGACTGAATGTTTGTGCATCTACCCCAAATTCATATGCTGAAATCTTAACCCTCGATGTTGATGGTATTAGGAGGTGGGGCCCTTGGGAGGTAATTAAGTCATGAGGATGGAACCCTCATAAATGGGATTAGTGCTCTTATAAAAAAGACATGAGAGCACTTGTTTTTCTCCCTCTAGTCTCCTCTGTGTTAGGATAAATGAGAAGATGGCCAGCTGCAAACCAAGAAGCAGGCCCTCACCAGACATTGGATCTGTCAGCACCTTGATTGCTCTGGAACTGTGAGAAATAAGCCACTCAGTCTATGGTACTTTTGTTAGAGCAGCCCAGACTAAGACACTATTCTATAGTGGTCACAGTTTAGGACCTTCTGCATACATATGGAATTTGGACACAAGTTGAGTCCAGTTCTGACATCTGTAAAATCTCTGTTCTCAGTCTTCCACTGAAATAGCATACTGAGTATGCCTCTCTTCCACCATAGGAAGCTGCAGGTAACAGACAATTACAGTGAATTGAAAATTGAGAATGAAGATGATGGCAGAAATAACCAGGATAATCAAAGTTTATTCAGCCTTACAGGTGCCTGATGCTATGCTATTTTCCGGAATTGCAATGGTAAACATGAATACATATGATTAAAGTGTTTACCCTTATTTTAGGATTTAAATTGTGATGAAGGATAAATTAAGATAAATTTTTATAATATTTTCGGTGGTAAGATAAAGGTTTGTACAATTGCAGCACAGAGAGCCAAAAGTCTATCCTGGACACTTATGGCAGATACCCTGTGTTTCCAGAGTGCTCACATGAGTACATGCACCTTAGTAAATATGCCAGTCATCACCCCCCCATCCACGCCCACTCACACCTTGAAAGGTGACATTCACCCGGGTGTGTTGGCTAATGCCTGTAATCCCAGCACTTTGGGAGGCCGAGGTGTGCACATTGCTTGAGCCCAGGAGTTCAAGACCAGCCTGAACAACATGATGAAACTCCATCTCTACAAAAAATACAAAACAATTATCCAGGCGTGGCGGCAGGCACCTGTGGTCCCAGCTACCTGGGAGGCTGAGGTGTGAGGATTACCTGAGCCTGGGAAATCCAGACTGCAGTGAGCCAAGATTGCACCACTGCACTCCAGCCCGGGTGACAGAACGAGACCCTGTCTCAAAAAAAAAAAAAAAAAAAGAAAGGTGACATTATATACAACCTGCACTTTCCCCTTCTGGCTCCAGGCACCAGTTTACCAATCAGATATCAATGACTTAATCAGAGCCAACTGGGTTCTCTGTCCTGAGAAGTAGAACACTGAGGGATAGAGTCAGGTGTGCCCACAGGATGATAGGCACTTTACCTGAAAGGTCATAGGAAATTGGTCCTGAAGCTGATGCCAGAGCAAGCCACAAATGCCTATGAGGCAAAGATATGGGATTCCTAGGCCACATGTAACCAGGGAAGAATGGACCTCAGGAAGACGGGAAGTGGACAGAGACACAGAGCTTGGAGGATGGAAGTCCTTGTGCCTCTGTCAGGAATTGACACTGGATCATGGTTTCCTGGGTCCAGTCCCCATGGCAACCCACAGCACTTCTTTCCTCTTACTTTCTGGTAAGAGTCTCTGTTGTACTTCTGTAGTAATGCTCCTCATAACTTCAGCTAGTTTAACTGAACTTTTTTTCTCTGCAACCAGAGCCTTCATTATAATAGTCTTGTGGTTACTCAACTACAGTCTTTGGTACAATTTTTCCTTCTTTACCGTGCTCAGTCTTTATTAACCAGCCTCAGTGTCACCTCCTCTCTGAAGCCTTCCCTGACAGCTCTCTCCCTTATGATCCTTCAGGATTCTGTTCATAATCATTGTATTGCAGTGTCATTTATCTGTTTATAAACATTTCACTCCCAGACCACAAGATCCTCAGAGGCAGAGCTCTGGTACCTACAAGGCATTCGGTGAATGTTTGCGGAATTGCCTTAGTGGCTCTGAGTTGGTTCTGAAAGCAGCCCGCCAGTCGGTACGCCATCCTATCTGCTGCTCAACCTTCCAGCCACTTGAGCGGCTCAGAGTTTACACGGACTTCACTGCCTCACCCCTTTAGTCTCAGTTCTGTCTTTTCTCAGTCCTCCTGGTGTCCAGGCTTGCTTGCTTGCTTGCTGGGTCCCCCTGCTCTGTGCAAACTTGACTACCTTTGGATCAGTGACAATTCCAAGGCGACCCCCCTGGGGCAGGGCACAATCTGTTTCCCAGGGTTCTAGAACTCTTTGCTGAGTTTTGGCTCCTCTTAATGGCTTCGTGTGGTTGCCTGGGGCCCATGCTACCTGTGTGTCTGCTCGTGACAGCATCCTCCACCCGATCCAGCCATCTGTTTATTTTGGCTGCATCTCCGTTTTTATGTTCCCTCTTCTGAGAAATAGTGAATGGTAGCTACTCTCTTTAATCAGCCAGAGGCCCTCACTACCTTGTCCATCAGAGAAAAATTGACTCCAGATCTGTAGCAGCTTTCTTGCATGGGAGAAAACACCAGTGCTCGTTTGCTCAGGAAAAACAACAACAACAACAAAAGCCTCTTGCTCTGCTGAGACAATTTTCCTTTATGGATTGCAGGGCCCCCATAGCAAGCCCACCGGGTTTTCCTGCCAACTGCCACTATATATCCAAGCTGCTGACTCACCCCCTGTCAGCCTGGGGCAGGGGGTGGCGATTGGAGCGTTTCACAGCCTCAGGATGTTTATTTGCTTTACTTTCTGTTCTCGGATAGGGAAGGTTTTGCAAGAGGGGTTTCTGCCAGTGCACCTGCTGTGCTATCCTCAGTACTGATAGGTGTGTGATCGCCTGGGAGAGCAGGGGCTGAGACACACTGGGGTTCTGACAATTTTGCCCTCACCTCGCGACACCTTTCTGACCTCTGCTTTCGGGAGGGGAGGAAAAAAAAGACAGAGAGACAGATTCGAGTTCAGCCTTGAGAATTTCAAGATGGACTCTCTTGCCTCTCTCTCTGAACCCCACCTCTCATGTAGATAGATAGCTCAGGCTTTTTACAGATGCTGTGACCTTCATGTTGATTGTTCTGGAAATAGAGTAAGAACTTCTGGCTAAAATATTGCCCGCTGGCTTCACGTGCCCAGGCTGTTTCTGGTCCCCGCGGGGGTCAATGCTGTATGTCCGGCTGGATACTAGTCTGCTCAGGATGGGCCAGTCTGTGGAAAGGCTCCTTCTTGCTTGAGATAAAAGAAACAGCACTCCTCCGCCAGGCAATACTTCAGACTCTCTCTTCAGCCTCTGGCTGTGGGGCAGGACATGGACCGAGAAATGAAGACAGCCTCCAGCCAGGGCTGAGAGCCCTGAGTGACAAGCAGGGGAGCGGACAGTGCCTGTCTTGACTTTCTTCCTCTCCATGGCTTGCTTCTTTCTCCATTAGGAGATCTCAGCACATCAAAATATTAGCTAAGAAGATACTTTAATCTGAGAACAAAGTGACACCTATTTAAACTAACATCAATAAAGACAGCTAGAAGGTTTTTGCACTTGACCATAAATGATACCCAAAAGCTGTTCTAAGAAAACCCGATTTTGTGATTTGGGGCAGCCTAAAAGTATGTGTAATAAAAGAGAAAGAGCACTTAACCAGAGTCGGGAGCCTCAGTTTCTAATGCTAGACTCATTACTAACGATGTCACTTTGGGCAAATCATTCTATTTCTCTGGCTTCATTAGTGACCTCAGTGGGAGCAGCTTTAGCAGAAAAACTGACATCATAATTGCCAAATCCATAGGCTAATTTTCATTCCTCATCCTCCTTGACAACTCCGCCGCATTTGGCACTCTTGACTGCTCTTTTCCTTCTCGAGACCATCTCTGCTCTTGGCTTCTGGGACCCAGCCTCTGTGAATTCTTCTCCCCACTCTCTCCCAGCCCTTCGCACTCTCTTTCTCTATCCCCCATAATCCCCCAACCCAGCACCGCCTGTCCATTGCCTGGCAGTGTTCCCCAAAGCTGTCTCTTTGCCCCTCTTCTCCTCACACATCTGTCTCATATGTAATCCTGTCCACTCCCATGGATCCAGCCACCATCACTTTGCCGGTAACTGCCATATCTCTTTTTCAGAACTCTCCCTACCTCTTTCCCGAATGCAGACGGGCCTTTCCAGTGGCCCAGAAGATGCCCCGTCTACATTGCACATTGAGCACTTCAAACTCAGTCTGCCCTTGACCGAGCTCATCGTCTCTGGCATGTGTCCTACTCAGCCCTTAAACCTGAATCCTTGGGGTGGGCCGATTCTGCCGTCTACATTTCAGTCAGTTTCAGGAGCTACACTGTCTTTCAGGCTTCACTCTCCCTAACAAGATGTTGCTGCCAAGTCTACCTGAGAGCTGTTCCTCACCTCTTCATGCCACTGGCTGCTGTAGTTCAGGGACTCAGGGGCTGTCACCTGGACCTATGAAACAGTACCAGAAAGAGTTAAGAATGGGTTCAGCTGATGTAACAGAAAGCTGAACTTGCCGTGGCTTAACCACATAGAGTCTGATTTTTTCCTCACACAATAAGAAATCCAGATGTAGGAGATCCAGAGCCAATATGGCAGCCCCACAATGCCTCCAGAGACCCCGCATGCCTCCTATCTTTCCAATCAGCCTCTCTTGCCGTATGGCTATCCTCAGTTTGCTTGTCACCTCATGGTGGCAAAATGGTTGCGCTTCTTTCAAATCCACATTCCAGGTTAGAAGAAAGCGAAGGGCAAGGGGAAAAAAGCAGCTTGCCTCCTGAATCTGACCCCTTTCAAAGGGCTCTCCTGGGAGCTCCGCCCAGGGAAATGTCACTTGACATTTCATTGGCCAGAACTGTGTTGTCTGACCTCTCCCTCTGCAAGGAAGGTTGGGAATGGTAGTGGGGATTTTCTTTCTTTTGTTTTCTTTCGCATGCAGCACACATTGCCTCTCTGAATAAAACTGAGGTTCTGTCAGGAAGGAAGAAAATGAGAACTGATACTGAATAAGCAGATAACTGTGTCTGCAACAGCCTGGTCTTGGTCCCCCAGCCATCAAACTCTTCCCCTACTTCTGTACCCTCCATGTCCCTAAAAAGGGATTGGACCATATCGTTCCCCTATTCTAACTCTCTGTGTTGATTCCTTGTTGGCTACAGAATAAAGAACAAACACCACAGCCCACACAACCTGGGTCCCATCTTCTTTTCTATGCTCTCCTCTTGCCATCACCCTCTCCCCTGAGAACACAAAATAGGTCCCACAGAAATCTCCACGGTTTCCTCTGCCCACAATGCTGTGCCTTTCCACACGCTAGTGCCCTATTGCCTTTCCCATCGGTGGCCATTTATTCAGCCCTCATTGCTGGGGAGGGAAGAGGCATCTATCAACTCGGATTTCTTCCTTAACCCTTAGGAGACAGACCTTCCTCACACTTCTGAGTCCTCCCCATTCCCTGTGGGCTCCACTCCATGGGACAAGGTGCTCAGCTTGAGAAGACAGAGCCCAGCCTTAAGTGAGTCATGTTTCCTAGAGAGTGGGGTCACTGAGTTGAAAGAGAACACAATTCCCCAAGCATGGTGTATTCCACTTCTGGCTCTCTCAGAGAAGCCCTGGATCATCCCCATTACTATTATTTCACAGCTGCTCCCTTGAGTAAAGTGCCCTTGAGTGGGACATCCGTCATCTAGGGCAGCAGCCTGTCTTGACCAGTTCACGCCACTTCCGTAATTCGTCCATGCAGTTGCTTCAGGAAGTTGGCTCAGAATCTTCTCAAAAGACTTGGAAGTCTGTCTTGTCTCTCTGTGGACAGCCTGAGCATAGGGTCCCAGCACTGCCCTCATGGAAGTTAGGGTCCCCAGGCCTAAGGCATGGATGTGAATTTTTACCAGAGCTTTGCACTGTGGTATAAGCCTTTGCCAGTCATCTAATGAAATCAGTGTTGAGTTTTTCATACAGCTAGGGATTCTTGTGTGGAGACAGTGGTGTGCTGATCAGTGTTTAACAACTGGTTCCGGGGGCAGGGGTAGCTGTAGAAGAAGAGCTCTGGCTTGTAGAGTTTGCCAATTTCTGTGGTGTAAATACTCCCACCATGGCTAAATTCAAGCTACCAATGCGATAGAACTGAAAATGCAGTAGGAAAGAGTTAGGCATGACTGGCTCGCTGGGCCAGTTTGACCTGGCTCCAGTGCAATAGCAGGAGACCCCACCAGGGGAAAAGGATGTGGATTCAAGTCTAAGCACCAAAGCCATACCCAGAACTCTGTGACCACCTCCTTAGCAACATCTTCTCTAAACCTACCTCCATCCTTCAAATGGATCCTTCTTTCCCCTGCGATTACCCAACTCTGTGATGATTCTTCTCCCACAGCAGTGTTTTAAAAAATCTTCTTTTGGGCGAACGAGTTCACTTTTCCTCAGTATATATGCCATCAATCATTGATGCCACAAACAGGCAGTGAAAGCCTTTCGTGAGCAATGCCCTATTGAATCCTGAGGAAGCCGCCACACCTTGGGTCACCACTAGGAGTCACTCTTTAGCACTGGGAATAGACAGACTCAATAGCGCTTAGCACATAGTAGGGCTAAATGCCCATGTGTCGAACGCATGGAGGAACTACCAAATGTGGGTTAGATGCCCCCTCTTGGGGGTCCCATAAACCTTTGTAGCATCATGTGGTAGGGTGTCTTGTGAGTAGGTATGATGTGCCCTATCTCTAGGTCATTCACCTTAGTATTCGGAAACCTAGTACAGTGCCCAACACGAAGGAGCTACTCAGTAGACATCTGCAGAATGAGTGATGGAGGAGAACATGCAGTACTTTAAAATATTCCCTAAGGAGGTTTAGTTTCATTTCTTTTTTTCACTTTCTTCTTTTGTTACTATTACTATTTTCCCACAAAATTCCTGCTTTCAACATGATGATACCCAAAGAAAAAGAGAGAGAGAAAAGAGTTCAATGAATTGCAGCTTCCAGCTGGTTATTATTATTATTTAAATTTTGGCTGTATCTTTGTGGGCAACTGAAGCCTATGATTTAAGCTATCTCTAGCTGAGCAAGGGGCTGTGCCCGCCCAACCACTCGTATTTCCAGAATGCACTTTGCTGTGTCAATACACATTACTTGTCACATTGCCATGAGTCTGAGAAGTTTGATCTCTGCTCTTAGATTGTTGTCATGTGTCAAATCATACAGCCCAGGGGGAATGACTACATTGCGCAGGAAAAACAGACATCGAGCCGTGGTCAGACCACCTCAAAGATAAACACTGCTGTGTGGACCAGAAGAAGAAAGGTCGAAAAACAATCTGAAGCCTCAGACACTGTAAGGCTTTTTCACTTTCATTTTCTTGCCACTCTGAGGCTTCCATTTTATCAGCGTGTGCAAATATACATTTTTCTTCCAACTGACCTTCCAACAGCTTGTGCCACAATACGGGACTAGCTTGAGTAAGTGGCCCTGTCATTGGTTAAATGGGGTGGTATCTACGATACCCTCAACTGGAAGCTGAGTCTACAAGCCCCCACCCACTGTCCCCTGCAAGATGAAAGCTCAGGAAAGATGTAAAAAATATAACTAAACTCAGGGAAGAAAAGTCCACTTCAGGGAGTATGAGCTACCCAAGCAGAAAGGCTGAAATCACTGTTTGCTGCTGCTGCTGCTGGTGGGTTTTCTATTTTTTGAAGTCGGCTAAAAACAAACAAACAAATGAGTACTAGTTGTTCTCATTAAAAAAGGAAAGGGCAGAAGTCATCTCCCTGTTTAAAGACGCCCACACACTTGAAATAGTTTCCTAGAAAGGCAGATAGAATTTAACTGGGTGTAGCTTAGCACACTCGCAGAGCATTTTTACACCTCCCAAATCCTCAATGGCTGATCCCGTGGTATGACAGCAGCATGCCACATTCATTGCACCAGACAAGGATTAGGGAGTAAAATTTGTCATGTATGTAAATTGTAATCACAGTGGATGGTTGTATGTGCTCATTTAGGCATTTTAACAGAGTGTGATGCTATCCTCTCCGCAGGACTAATAAGCATTAGCCATAATGAGGTCAGTCAGTCAGGCATTATCAGGGGATTTAATTGGGACATGGGTCTCTGCTGAAGTGAAAATTAATAACTTTTGTCAATGTTCTGGTGAAATGTTCTGTCTTATCAAACTATGAGGGTCAATTAGAAAGCATTATGTAATAAAGTCCCCAGCAGCAGAACTCAAATTGAGTTATACCACAGTCATTATTCCAGGGCGAATGCATTTGAAAATGGAAAACCAGAGTGCCATATGGAGGATTTGGGTCAGATTTACAAGCATTGCATGTTAAGGCTTCCACAAGAAGGAAACAATTAAACGTAATACCGAAATAAATCAGCGCGCCGAGTGGGCTGTGCAGGGCCAGGAGCCTGGGGCGGGTCGTGGCCCTGGAGTTGTGACACTGCAAAATGGCAGTGTCAGGAGCCTTCCATGGGCTGCATCAGGCAGCGCCAGCCTGCAAATCGCTCAGAGTGCTTAAAATCTGGGGCACACCTGGAAGGCTCGGGCCTGCACACTGACTCATATAAATAACTCTTTATTGTGTAGCTATTAAGACGAGAGATTGCTTTTATTAAAGTGCAAGTTATTGTGGCACAGCAAATTAAAGAATTTTAAAGCATACTAAACAGCCACTGCTATTCCCTATTCGGTCATGTTTTACGGTTCTTTAAATGGGCAGTATATTGTTAGGGAGATATAAAGCCTGTGCCAAGACTGGGATCTGACACAACGGTTCAGGCACTTTTTCTGGCCAGGAAGGATTGGGAGGGGTGGAACAGTGCTGGTGAGGACACTGTCCTGGGCCTGGATGTGTGTGTAGAGGTGGGTGTGGGGTGGGGGGTTGGATGTCCCCTCTCCTCTGGAAGACTGGGGAGGTGGCTCTTGTCTGCTCCATTCTGGTAAAGAAGGTTATCTTCAAACAGAGAAGAGTTTTAGAGATAGTCTTCAGACAAGGTAGTTAGAAGATGGAAGAAAGGGAGGAAGGAAGAGAGGGAGGGAAGGAGGCGTATGCGCAGAGGATCTGTAGTGTCCCATTACTAAAGAATCACAGCTTCCTCCAACTTCCTTATCTTGACCAACCCCATTTTCTCTGAACCTTCTCTTCTCTAGTGAAGTGAGCTTGCATCTGATTATTTCCCCATTTACCCCCAATGTTGATTATGTTTCTAATTAAAAATACATTGCGGCAATGCCCCTTCTTGGTTCCACATCATCTTGGGACCTAGCCCGTCCCCTCCCTCTCACCTCCATGACTGCCTCTCCAACCTGAGCCCCGTCACCTCCCGTGAGGCCCGACAGTTGCAGTTTTCGCTTTAGCCCCCTCCTACCCATTCTCTTCACAACAGTCGCAGTAATCTTTAAAAAACACAGATCTGATCATGTCACTCTCTACTGAAAAATTCTTTAACGCCTTCCACTTGCACAAAGGATAAAACTCAAATCCTTTCGATGGTCCACAGAGCGCCTCCCTGAAGTGTCAGGGCTCACCTGGAGGCATGCTTCCCTCTCACATAATTCCCCCAAGTTCTAGAACATATGAAGCTCTTGTTCTACCCAGAGGTTTTGCCCAGGCAGTTCTCTGAGACTGGAATCGTCTTCCTCCTGACCATGTGTGGCTGGTGCCTCTCAAGCTTAGGTATTCATTCTCTGGGAGGCCTTTCCCGACCATTCTACCTAAAATAGATCCATCCAGAGCTCTGTATCCTCACCCCATGGGTGTTTCTACAATAGTACTTACAGTTTCTAATTTTAAAACAAACCAGACAACAATAGCAAAAACAAAAAACTTTTTAGCGGCCTACTCCTTTTTTCTCTGACATCTTCCGTGGTCTGAAATTCTGTGACGTGCCTGTTTTGTTTTCTACTGAATCTAGTAATGGAGGCAAATAGCAGATTATGTGTTCAGTGAGTGAACAACTTATTGAATTAGGAAGTTGCCTTAGAAGAGAATCTGAAGCTTATCTAACTCAACTTCTTTACTTTACTGAGAAAGTGTTTCTGAGAATGGTGAGATAACATGTACAAGGAAGACCATTAGGAGAGTTGGGGGCTAGGGCCTGGTTTACCTTCAAAATGTTACTTTCTGGCAGGACACGCAGTGGCTCATGCCTGTAATCTGAGCACTTTGGGAGGCCGAAGCAGGCAGATCACCTGAGGTCAGGAGTTTGAGACCAGCCTGGCCAAAATGGTGAAACTCCATCTCTATACTATTAATTAAAATACCACCACCACCACCACCACCAACAACAAAAACTAGCCGGGCGTGGTGGTGCATGCCTATAATCCCAGTTACTCAGAAGGCTAAGGCAGGACAATCTCTTGAAGCCGGGAGGCAGAGGTTACACTGAGCCAAGGTCCCTCTACTGCACTCTAGCCTGGGCGACAGAGCGAGACTCCGCCTCAAAAAAAAAAAAAAAAATGTTAGTTTCTTACTTCCTTTGCCCAGTCACCTAGTCCTGTTTAACCACACCTTGGCTTTACCTCTACGGGAATAAACACTACTGTAATGGACTGAATGTTTCTGCCCTTGAAATTCATATGCTGAAATTCTAACCCCCAACATGATGGCATTAGCAGGTGGGGCCTTCGGGAGGTGATTAGGTCTGAGCAGGGAGCCCTCGTGAGTAGGATTAATGCCCTCAGAAAAGGGAGCCCACGAGTTCACTCACCCCCTTTCTGCCATGTGAGGACACACTGAGAAGTCAGCAGTCTGCAAGTGGAAGAGGGCCCTCACCAGAACTCGGCCATGCCGACACCCCCTTCTCAGACCTGCAGCCTCCAAAACTGTGAGAAATATGTTTCTGTGATATAAACCAAAGATTATATCTTTGGTATTTTGTTACAGCAGCCTGAACTAAGACAAGCACCCTAAATCCTACAGTGAAAGCATGTTTAAAATAAATGCAAAGACTAAAGCTGTGCTATCAAGAAGAGAAGAGACGATTGATTTCTGGTATATTCATAAATGGAATACAATGGAATGAGAATGAATGAACCAAACCTAGAGGCATAGAAACTGTCAAATCACAAACACATAACGTTGGCTAAAAACAGCAAGTCCCAAAAGAATACATACCTGGTGATGGCATTTATATGGAGTTTAAAAGATAAGCAGGACTAAGTGATATATGGTTAGTGGATATGTGGTCAAACTGTGATACAAAATAGGAATAAAGAATATTGTTTTAAAAAATAAAAGCACCATTCAGATAGTGGTTCCTTGCCATGTATTCAGGTGATGGGAAGGGAAGGGCCCAGCGTGAGGAAGAGACCCTGGATGGAGTGGAGGGTGATGATGTTATTTATCGTTAACTGGGTGGAAGTTTCATGGCTCTCCATTTACTTCTCATGCTTCATAGTTTGTAAGTTTATATTTAGAAAATAATTGATAAGTTGAAAAAAAACTAAAACCAACATGATTTCACCTTTGCCCAAATACAACCCGTCTTGGGAAGAAGAGCTTCTTCCCCCTTCTTCACGGAGGCCTCAAAGAGCTTCACCCCAGCTGCCCATTCACTTTTCCTATTTCTGCTGAGGGAAGACCAATACTTATTTTCATCTTCAGGTCTACCAAATGAGAAACTGAGGCATAGTATGAGGTGAGTCTCTGGAACCCAGAACAACTCTCAAGGGGCGAATGCTCCTTTATATCTCAGTGGATTCATTCGCTCATGACATTTACATATAATGACTACCTGCAGAAAAGGCCTAACGAAATAGTGTCAGTTTCTAAGGCAGGCAACCGTGTCAAAAGCCCGATCATCTTTGTGCCCAGGCTTTTGTTCTCTGACTGTGCTGGGGACAACCACATAAGCCACGTATCCTGATACTACTCTGCATGTGTTCATTTCTGAGTCTCTTAGGAGACTCTGTCACATACATGACCTCATTTGATTCTCCCCATGACACGGTGTGGAAGACACACAGCAGATATTTTAGTTCTCGTTTCAAGAATGCTGTTTCCTATATATTTTGATGCCTTTCTTCCAGCTGTCGACACCCATTTAATGCTGACAGAATAGAATCCCTGCAGCCCATTCCTGAGCCAGGTCAACACTGTACAAAAAACAGTATTTGGAAGATGACTTTGGGGGCATTGGGCAGGGCCCCCAAGCAAAAATAACCTCCTTACTGGTCCTTCCACTATTAGCAAACTATTCTTTGCTATCGTCAAGGCTTTTTCACCTTTTACAATCCCTTATTAAAATGCAAATACTCCTGAGTGTATCCGCATTAAAAAAAAAAAAAAAAAACAACCCTGAATGATCTTCATTAACTGAAAGTGGGTGGGAGATGGAAGCCGGCACCAGGGCAGGAGTGGGCACCAGTGAAGGGAAGGGGAATGAATGAAGAAGGAAGAGGAGACAAAGAAGCCCAAAGGCAAATCATGCCAACATCACCGTTTGGTACAGGGCGTCCTTGCCCTATTTTTCTGCCCAACCTCATTTACTGCACGCTCTCACCTGACTTCAGCCCCTAGACTTGCTACTGGCACAGGGTGGCCTGAGATGGCCAGTCGATGTCCCTCTGATGGTTTGCCACATGCTGATGTTCCCATCCTTGAGCAATTCTGCTCTGTTCGTGGCGGGAGTTCCCACTCTAAGGGTTTCCGGATCATTTGTGTTGCTAGTCTCCCTGGGCCACACTTCTGTTTCGGGAGAGAGTTTTTGCACTGGGCTCCTTCTGACGCGTCAGGCTGAAAAGTGAATTTGAGCCAAGAGTTCTGTTGTTTCATTTCAGTTATTTATGAGAAGCTGGTATTTTCTGCTCACAAAGAAAATATGAAATTTCAAAACCTAAACATTATCAAGCTATTAGGATACTGGTGAGAAAATAGAAATTGCAAAGTATTTCTCAAACAGTCTGAGTAATTTTCCTTCACTATTTTTTCCCCAGGAGTAATAACAAATAGAAATACTACTTGTCTTTTGGAATCTTTTTTTGCTGAAAAGTGTGAAGCGATTCCAGAGATATTCTGAACAGAGGGACCCCATCAGCATGCAGTCCTATAGGAGAATGCAACCTGTCTGCACCTTCTTCCCAAGGGGGCCAGTGAATGAATGAACGAAAGAATAAATGAATGAACAAACCATTCAGCTACACACACTTAATTTTACAGAGCAAATGCCTACTAGTCATGCGTTACTATCCTAGCTTGAGGCCCAATTATTTCTCTATCTAAATAATGTGGGTGTTTTCCTTGATCATAAATGAAACGTGCTCATTATAAAATGCTTAGAAGATACAGAAAAGTATAAAGAAGAAAATAAAAGTCATCCATAATCCTACCCCACAAAAAAGTCTTATTAATATTGAGGTTTATATCATACACGTGTTCCTCTGAGCTCATAAACATTACATGGCTGAGATCTTGTGTATATACAACTGGTATCTGTATTAGACAGAATTCTAAGATGATCCCGGAATCCACATGGCTTTACGTAATCCCTTCCCCCTTGAATGTGGGCAGGTGGGACCTGTGACTATTATGGGCCATCGCTTTCATGATTTGGTTATGTTCCATGGCAAGACTTTAAGGGTGGGAGATGATCCTGGGTTGGTCTGGCCTGTTCAGGTGAGTCTTGACAGAGATTAGGCTTTTCCTGGAGACAGATACGAAGCATGAGAGGGACTTGAAACAAGGGAGAGTCTCCTTTGGTGACTGTGAAGATAGAGAGCCCAACATGGCAAAGAATGCTAGAAGCCTCCAGAACCTGAGAGCAACCCCTAGTTGACACCCAGCAAGGAAAATAGGGACC
This sequence comes from Homo sapiens, assembly GCF_000001405.40. Taxonomy (NCBI): domain Eukaryota; kingdom Metazoa; phylum Chordata; class Mammalia; order Primates; family Hominidae; genus Homo; species Homo sapiens. The sequence continues at coordinate 16,274,102 of NC_000009.12, forward strand.
TTGGGCCTGCAACCACAGGAACTCAATCCTACCAAAAATATGAATGAGCTTGAAAGAAGACCCCAGCTCTAGATGAGAACACAGCCTGGCCAACACCTTAATTTTGGTCTTATGAGACCCTGGGCAGAAAACCCAAACAAGACTGCTGGGGTTTTGGACCTACAGAACCATGAGATAGTAAATGGGTGTTGCCGTAAGTGGCTAAACTTACAATAATTTGTTATGCAGCAATAGAAAATAATATAGTGTTCTATTTTTTCACTTTACATTACAACTTGAACTTTGTCTCCTATTAATGTTAACTAAAAATTTAATGTCTATGTCTAATATATGTGTTTGGATTATAATCAATGTAATGAGTCTGAATGATTGGGCATTTAAATGTAGCCATTATTTGTGTTAGGGATTTGTTATTTGGAAGTTGTGTTGTTTTGTTATTTGTGTTTGTTTTGACTCCTGTGGTCACATGAAAGAAAGATGAAACATCTTTCTCAACAACTGCTGTGCTATAACCCCTGAGAGAGAGAGAAAATGTACTTCTGAAAGGTTATTTTGCTTATTTAAAGGAGATTATGGTACTTTGTGAGAGAGCTTTGTGTTTCAAAAACAGAGGCCCTTGACACCTATAGACTACATCGTCCAAGGAAGAGGATGAATGATGTGGGCTGCAGACGTTTAACAGATGGGCTCCTCCCTGGCTAAATGACTCCCCAAGACTGGGGAAAGAAATAAGACTTGAACTGTGACCTATGGTGGAGATATGGCCCTATCTGAGCCCGATGCTCTGGGTGACCTCAGATGGGCACTGCTACGTGGCTGTCTATGTGGCTGACACCACACACTATGGCTAGAGAGGTTCTGCCAACCCAGCTGGGGTAGAGGAATTCAGAGTTCTTCTCACCACCCTTGGCTAGTGTCAACTTCTATCAGATTTCATTTCACTTTAGAAAATATGGAAATGTGGCATTTCATACATTCCTGGGATGTGGAACGTTCCTACCTGTTTCGTAAGTAGTACTATGATATATAATTCTACAGAAATATGTCACCATTTTTATCATTATTTTAATAGATTTCTAGCAATAGGTCAAAAGATATACACATTTTAAGGTTCTTTATATAAATGATAAAATTAGCAGATTCCTAGACCTGTAAGCAAAAGTATATATAAGACGCTAGATTCATCATAAAGTCTCCCTTTGGCCTCTGCCCCCAAACCATCCCAACATACCAACTCCTAAACATCCAAGGCCCACGGGAGCACATCCAGGCACTGGCTGGGCCCTCATCAAGGAAACCAGCAGTGTGCAGGCTACACTGCATAACTGCGGGGACAGGCAGGGCCTGGACACATACACACCAGCTCCACCACCCACAGTTTGGGTGAGCTTGTGTAGTTACTTCCTGGGGCTCCCATACAAAGTATCACAGGCTAAGTGGCTTCAACAACAAACATATATTGTCTCATGGTTCTGGAAGCTAAAAGTTCGCTATCAGGCTGTTGGCAGGGTTGGCTCTTTCTGAGGACTGTGGGGGAAGGATCTCGTCTAGGCCTCCCTCCTAGAAATCGCTGGCATTCCTTGGCTTACAGATGGCTGTCCTTCCTCTTCTCCCTGAGTCTTCACATGGTCTTCCCTCTGTGTCCAAATCTCCCTGGTTTTTCTACCAGTCATATTGGATCAGGACCCATCCTAATGACTCCTTCCTAACTTGATCATCCACAAAGACCCTTTTTCCAAATAACGTCACATTCACAGGTGGGGAAGGTTAGGATTTCAACACATTTCTTGGGGTCAGGGACACAATTCAATCCATAATACCTTGGCAAGTCTCCTATACTCTCTAACGCACTGTTTCCAGATCACGTCAACAGGGATGACACTGCCTTTCCCACTGCGAGGATTCAATTTAGATGACAAGTGAAAAGATAGGTCAATGATAGGTAGAGCATTGACCCAGTGTCTGGCCCATGGTTGTTGTTCAATAAACATTGGCTAAGTTATCAATGAAAATTCTTGCTATAAGTATCTCATGACACACACGTGGGATACACAGAAACCCATGCTCAACTGGGCAGGCACGTGTGTTTATGTGGCTCCCCAGTGTCCCTAGAGAAGATTCTCTCTTACTTTTCAGGTGTCTTTGGCCTTTTCCTCTTCCAGCCTCTACAAGCAGGTTGTTTGCCCAGACACAGACCTCTCTCCCACAAAGCCCACTTTGGAGATTGGCGCCCGCCTTCTGCTGCTAGTTAGTTGTTTGAAAAGTGCTGACGCTTCTCTTCATCCACCGTGCCAGGACTCCGTGCCAAAGCCGCCCACACAAGCAAGGCTCGCCCTGCATGCCAGGGTTTCAGAAAGTGGACCTGGCACCAACCAAGCGTAGAAAGAGAGGCCCTTGTGATACAGCCTCCCGACACACTCACACACACACACATACCAGCCAGAGACCAGAGACCCCAATCAGTACTTTTAAAAGGAATAAAAATTGCTCAATCTCTTTGATGATATTCAAAGAGTCTTTTTTAATATATGAAGAAGCACATTCTAAATTCTTAACACATCTGGTGTCACCCGCTCTTTTCCCCCTCTAAACCCTCTTAATTCCATAATTTAGAAGGTCTTAAGATACCGAAGGATCTCACTGAGGCATAATTGGATATCTTGTGCGTTCCAAGTTGCATCTGATGTCCCACCTCATCCCAGAAACTTTTCCACTGAGTTGGAGAGAAAAGATTTGGGGGTTCGGGGAGCAAGGACGGTGCTCTGCCTGCTCAAGTGGGCTTTGACAGAAAAGCTGAGCTGCCTGCAGGAAAATGTTTGCTATTCATTTTGCCCTGACACTCCAGGAGAGAAAGCACAATTTCTTTTGTGATTGGAGGTAATGTAATCTACAGGAAAATCAATGTGGGCTGACGGGAGAATCGCCCAGCTGATCTGCAGACCAGAGACACTGAATCACAGCAGCTGAAAGCGGCATGGCAGTGAGGCCGTTCCTGCAGCCTCCGGGAGAAAGTGGTCTTGGAAAGCTCACACCCTGGGGTGCTCCTAACCTCAAAGGAGCCCGTGGACCCAGCCGCCCAAGCCACCAAGAGTTAAGTGGCAAAGTGCTCAGTTGTGGGGACAGTGCTGGGGGTACAGAGGGCCACAACGTGCTCTGCTGGGTTACTGAGAACAGAGAGATACATACAGAAGAAGGAAGACAGACAGAGGACCTAAGATTGTAAGATACAGACAGAAAGAGATAGGGAGGGAGCAAGAAATAGACACACACACACACGCATGCACACACACACACACACACACAAAACAGGGACCTCTGTTTCAAATTGTCCCCTACTACAAATTGTCCTTTACTACTTTTTAAATTAAAAATTCAGACAATGTCCCCACCATCCCCAAACAGCAATTACTTTAGTAATCAGGAAAGAAAATGTTGCAAAAATAAATAAATAAATAAGATAGACTTAACAAAAAATAACTCTCGCCACCCAAGAAACATCTGCGCATCTGCTGGCCCCTTACTGGTCTGGTTCAGCTGACTTCAGCACTCACAGCAGCAGCGGCGGCGGCAGCAGCACCAGCAGCAAAGTTAGCAGGTGTCACCCCAATGTGGCCGCAAACCGCTTCTCAGGATTCAGAGACATAAATCAGAACAACAGGCCCATACTACCCCCTTCCCATATGTCCCCTGTACCTAAGCCACAACCACTCACAGGCTTCTGGCCCCTGGACGCTTGCTTTAAGGCATTACAAACACCCACCCCCCAACTTTGGAGGTGAGGGTGCTTTTCTAGAATCTCTGTAACCTTTCTGGGTAGTCAAACCACCTGGTCATTTATTATTAATACCTGAAGCATGTGGAAAATTGCATTTGGGAAAGGAGTGTGTTAACTAACAACTAGAGCCCAGACCTGGAGTGCTGGGAGAGAGGCTGGTGGTTCCCACTGGTACCCGTTGGTGCCCATTGCTAATCTCTGACACGAGGAGGCTGGAGAGGCCCAGGGTGGGATGGGGCAAAGAATTGCTGATACATGCAGGCCTCTCGGTGGCCCCCTCCCTCCTGCCTATAACAAAAACCCTTCCCCCATCTCTCCTTCTGCCTGGAGTGTATAACAGGCCTCTTCTACCCCCTCGCGAACTTCCTGGCAATGGCTTCCTATTTCACCTATTATGTTCCTGGCAGAAACTTTTAAGGCCACCGAGGCAGCAGTCTCAAACACAGTCTTTTCAAAGACTTGGGGGCAATTCCGAGCCTGAATTGGCTCTGTTTTGTTTCCCTGTACAGTCCCCGCTCTGCAGTGGAGCTGACAAGGGCTCTGGACAGCGGGACAGCGGGATCCAATAAATCTGAGGCCTGTCTAGGTGCTTCATTTATCAAGAGGCCTAATTTACCCAGGCCCTTTAGACTAATTGCAGATTTGCAAAAACTGCTGAGAGTGTAGAACCGTGTATTGTGAGTGTCCCTTGCCATATTTCTGCTAATGTGTTTCATCTGGAGTACATAAAGAGGCAGGGATGCTGATTTTAGACACAGCACTTTGGGGCTAATCCAGCTAAATGATTAGCCCTAAAATTCTGCAGTGATGTCATTTTCCCTACAGTGCTCTGCCAGTCGGGTTGTTTGCTTTATAGTGAGAAATGTGTACTCGAGACACAGGCTTGCTGTCTTGCCATCACAGGGAACTCTGCCCTCCGTGGCTGACTCGGGGAATCACCACCCTGCCCACAGTCTCTGGGTCTCCTCTGAAGATGACAAGGGTTGCCAGCAGGTCAACAACCACGGAAAAATATCACCTCTTTAAGGGACCCAGATAAGAATCACTCTCCGCTAGCACGCACACGCATCTGTGAGTGGGTTACAGGAGAAGTCACCCAGGTTCTGGGCAAGGAGCAGGCCCAAGCTGTGTGGGCATGTGTGGGTTACTTGACCTCTCTGAACCTCAGTTTTCTTCTCTACAAAAGAGAGACACGAACACCTGTCTTGCTGAATGCCACAGGACAGCTGACAAGATGATTACCATGGAGTTTGGAGTGAGAGGGTTCAAGTCCCAGCTCTCTCACTTCTGAGCTCTGGTTACTCATCTACTCTGAGCCCTGGGCTCCTCTGGCATAGATATGAATAATAAAAGCAGCCTTCCGAGGTTACTGGACTGAGCACTTACCCAGCATCCAGCTCCGCATGCCACACGGTATAGTTGCCCAAAAAGTAGTAACTCTGACTTGGGTTCATTGGGCCCATGCATTTGTTTCAGAAAGAGGGGCTGAGCTGCAGTTGATGGTTTTTAAAATACCTTCTGCACCCTAGAAAGTTATTTTCCCAGTAAGTGCAAGTAGGTTTGCACTTGGTACAATGTCAGAATTTACAGATCAAAGTTCCTGAGGCTGGTTAGGCTTTCCATATTACTTTGATATACACTCAACCCTTGAACAACACAGAGGTTACGGATGCCAACCCCCTGCATAACCGAAAATTCACATGTTACTTTTGACTGCCCCAAAACTTAGTTTCTAATTACCTACTAATGACTGCAAGTCTTATCAATAACATAAACAGTCAACACATATTTTATATGTTATGTGAATCATATACTATATTCTTACAATAAAGTAAGCTAGAGAAAAGGAAATGTTATTAAGAAAAGCAGAAGGAAGAAAAAATATATTTACTGTTTATTAAGTGGAAGTGGATCATCATAAAGGTCTTCATCTCCCTCATCTTTAGGTTGAGTAGCCAGAGGAGAAGGAGGAGGAGGAGGAGGAGGAGGAGGAGGAGGAGGAGGAGGAAGTTGGTCTTGCTGTCTCATGGGTGTCAGAGGCAGAAGAAAATCCACTTATAAGTGGATCAACACAGTTCAAACCCATGCTATTCAAAGGTCAACTGTATTTTGGATAAGAGGCAGAAATATTATTTTTCCATGTAGCCAAAGCCTTCACAGATTCCAAAGTACATATCCTATCTTCTGTTTACAACCTTTACTAGGTGCCTGGTTATGCCAAGCAATAAGCATTTTACACACAACTGCCCATCCAATCTTAACCCTAGCTCTCCAAAGTAAGAACTATTTTTATCTCTATCTTACTGATGAGGAAAGTGACGCTTCATGAGATTAAATAATTCATCCCAGATTGCACAGCTGGAAAGAGGTACAGTAGAAACTCTAACCTTAGTCCAGCTGCCCCAAAGCGGGTCCTTTTAGCCAGGACATTACACAGAAGCAAAACCATAGAAAGGGACGCCACCAAATCTAGGACACAACCCAGCAATTGTTTACTGAGGGTCAAGTAATTTTCTGGGTACTAGCAAAGTACCACACAGGGTCTCTAGTCTTCCCAACCATGCTGCAAAGTAGGAATTGCTACTATTGCCCCCATGGTACAGATGAAGAAAGTAAGGCTTGTGTATTCTCACAATTTACTCAGGTTACAACTGGAAGAGTTGGGAGAGGAATTGAAGGCCAACTGCCCCTTGAGGCTGCCTCTTAATCTCTGTTCTGCTGGGAGGAAGATCAGCCCTTCAAAGGGGCTTGTAAAGTAGATGCCCATGACGGGATTGCTGGACCCATCATCTTTAGACACTGGCTGTGGTCCAGTTGTAAGCATGATCTTCACAACTCATCCAGAGTAAATGAGGTTATGCTTTAGATATCTCACAAAGGCCTATGCTTGCCTAAAAACTCTAGGACATGATCCTTTAGCCTAGAGAATAGTTAAATAATAGCCCAGAAGAAGCTGAGGGCAAAGCACTCCGTGTTCTGAGAGGCTGGGTGTTAATAAGCCATCTTATTAATTGGCCTTCCTAGTGGGAGTGTTTGTCCTGATGGGTCAAAGCTTGAAACAGACACAGCACCCAAAGCCTGGAGACAACATTTGGCTTGCATCCCCCATCTCTGATTAAGCAGCTGGGGGCATGGGCCAAATTGCATGATGGATTCCTCACACATCATACCATAAATTTACCCCTGAGGGCCGGGTGCTGTGGGTCCCACCTGTGTCAGCATGCTAACACGTAGCCTCAGAACCATAACATAGTGTTCTTGGGGGAGGCTGAAATTAATGAAACTCCAGCTGACATTTTGAGCACGCACACACATATCTCAAGATTATCCCACAAGTATATTTCTGGTGGAGAGAGTAGTTTTTCCATATTAAAAGATGGCATTAACCTTCAATAGTCCATCACTTGCTTTAATCCTTTCCACCTGTAAATATTTCAGATAAAAATATCACATCGGCTGTGCCTGCATCTTACAAATGTGGCTTAGATCCGGGATTAGAGGGAGATGACAGGTTGAACTTTTTCACTTTCAAATATCCATCAAATTAGAGTCAATGGGTGGTAGTGGAGGAAGCATGGAATTTGGAGTCTGAAAGGCCTGGGTTCGAATCCCTGCTTCTTCACTGCTAGCCCAAGGAGTTTGGAAAAGTTGCTTGCCATTTACCACCGTCAGTCGTAGAGTTTCTGCCCTGCCAAAGAGGGCTTTGTACAGTTTGTCTGTTCAGAGGAGGTGCCTTTTCTAAAGTCATCGGCCTGAGGATGTAGCTTTTAATTTCAGTCACCATAAGCAAGAATTGCAGCCCTCTTCCTGACTTCTTCAAGTCTCATCAACCACATCTATAAAATCACGATCATTCCTTATTTTCCAAGCCTTGAGCTTGAGAGGTGCTGTGTGCATAATCCAAGCACCCACACTCCTATCATGGAAGGCAGGCCCAGTGCAGTCCTGGGTAACTGCTCAACGGTCTGAAACTAGGGTTGCAAAATGGCAGCCTGTGGGTGAGTGCCATTCCAGCTAGGTGTCTTATTTGACTTGCACAAAAATCAGAACATTTTCCCATAAAAACCTGTATTTCCGGTTCCTCTAGATGAAGCCGAATATCTGGGCACACAGGACAGTATTTCCACAGATCAACAGACAGCAGGACCTGCAAGGACGAGGAGCTGCTTCCTCTAGACAGGCAAGCTCACTCCAGGCCACAGACCCCAGCTCTCAGCCAGTGTGTGCCCCTACACCCACCAACTCACTCACATCCACTTCTGGCTTCTGTGGCCCCTGCAGTTTGAGATGTCCAGACCCTTGCTTCTCAAAGCGTGGTTTCTGCCCCAGCAGCACCTGGGAGTGTGTTCAAAATGCAGAATCTGGTCCCGGCCCAGGATCTACATTTTAGCAAGATCCTGAAGTGATGAGTGTGTGCATGAACCTTTGAGAAACTCTGATCTAGAATGGGGGCAGTGATCTGTGGCGAAATCCAGCCAGCTACTTGCTTTAGTAAATTAAGTTTTCTTGGAACACAGCCATGCCCATTTGTTTATGAGTTGTATGTGGCTGCTTTCACTTACAATGGCAGAGTTGAGTAGTTGCAACAGGCCTCAAAGACTAAAATATTTACTCTCTGGCTCTTTACAGAAAAAGTTTGCTGACCTCTGGTCTAGAAGAATGCTCTAAAAAATAGATTTTATAGTCAGTTTAATTGGACATTCCAAGTACTACAGATACCACAAAGAATAAACATTCAGGAGAGTTCCAGCAGTCTAACCTGCTAACTTTCCCATCCCCAATTTCTTCTTTATTTGGGGTTTTTAGCTGTCAGACCTTAGAGAGCCCACAAAGCCATGGAGGTTAGCCAAAAAGGTCTTCCACCCCGGACATCCCATCTCCTCTTCGCCTCTCTCTCTCAGCCTTCCAGCCTTTTCCTCTTTTTCGTCTTTTCTTCAGGGTTCTTCCTCTTCTCTTGGTCTAGTGTCCTTCTGGATGAGTTGGGAAAGTAGAACACTGGGCAGGAGGTGGAAGACGGGAGGGTACTCTCTCAATGTGGTTTCTGCAATACAAGCAGGCCTTCCACCCTGCCCAGATCCACAACGCTTCTACGCCAGCATTTTGCGTTAAGAAAAAGTCTCCTCTGGTATCCCTGCCTTGTGTCTACAGACCTCAAGAGGCAAAAAGGGAAAAGGAGAATAGAACTGTCCTAAAACGTACATCAAGCACCTGGCCCATAGAAGGCGCTCAGCAGGTGATAGTAGGTCTTCCGCACCTAAGGTATCTCACGCTTCTTGACTTACCCTGAGGTAGAAAACCCTGTGAAATACCGCAACACGAAATCATTTTTGAGCCCAAAACCTGTCTAGAATCATACTGAGCTTCCATATGTGGTATGATGAGTTTTTAACTGACCAGTCAACAAAAACTGTTCATCTTCAAAGTGGAATGCAGCATTTCAGAAGGCGTGCCAGCCAGCAAAGGGTTCACCACACGGGGCATCCCACAAACATCCACAGTGACTGGGAATTTCAGGTGGGCCTTAGGGCTCACTGAGTCTCTGGAGGCGCAGTCCCACACCTGTCCCTGACAGATGAGGAGGCTGGGGCCACAGGGGCACGTGGCGGCAGGCAGTTTTTCACCCAGTCCTGCCTTGCCACCCTATTGCCTGCTGCGAACTCTTGGCCCGCTCAAATGTGATTCCATTAGGGGAGGATTTCCAGACACCGGCATGTAAGTCCGTGGTATTTTTGAGCCTGTTCTGGAGCTCATACCCAGTTCTGTTGGGAAATGATCCTTAAAGTAGACCTGATTCCCTCTTGCCACACTCTCTGCTTTCCGTTTGTTTCACCTTTTCCAGAGAAGCACCAGTTGCCGTTTTCTCCTTAATAACCTTTTCATCTCAGAGAATGGCTCCCCATCCCCTCAGTCATCTCCTGTCCAAGTTAATAATTGTAGTTCTTTTCATGTTTCTCCATTAGTCCTGTTTCTCAACTCTTAAAATCACTACCTTCAAACCATTTCCAAATTCCCTGCATCCCTATGAACCTGCTTTATATCTTAAAAAGTATATAGAAATGTACTGAGTAAACATATGGACAGGGCGGCTGTGTAGGTACTAATACACTCCATCTCGTCATGGACTTCGCCAAGATTTCTTCTGAAGGAAATGTTCAAAAATGGAGAGTAGTGAAAATAGAGAAAATGCTACTTGCATTTTCTCAATTATTTGCTATTTTGGAGTCAGGGGATGAGGGAGACCTACTAATAAATCATAATGGTAAAATTAATAATAATAGTATTTGATATGTATGATGTTCAGGGCTCCAGCTAAGATTTACCCATATTATTCTCACTCAATCCTCCTTATAAGCCTGCGAGAAAGTACCATTATCATGCCCATTTTGCAAATAAAGGAATTGAAGATTAAGTAACATATTGAAAGTTTTCCTCTGGTAACATATGCTGATCTCCCAAAAATATTTCCATCTTACTCCCAAGGATATAGAATTTTCCACAGAAGCAAGAGAGAATTTGAGAAGCCTATTCAGGGAAGATTTATTCGCACTGGCCCCCTAGCACCCAGCAACGTGCCTGGCACACAGTAGGTGCTCAGCAAATGTTTGGAATAAATGGATAAACCTTACTGCCCACTTTGAACGTGATGTCAGGGATCAATGGACAACTTGAGCTGAGATCCAGGTGATAGCACTTAATTCAGAAGACCATCACATGACTGATATTGTTTGGCTGTGTCCTCACCCAAATCTCATCTTGAATTGTAGCTCCCATAATCCCCACGTGTCATGGGTGGAACACAGTGGGAGGTAACTGAATCATGGGGGCAGGTTTTTCCCATGCTGTTCTAGTGATAGGGAATAAGTCTCACGAGATCTGACGGTTTTATAAAGGGCAGTTTCCCTGCACAGATTCTCTTGCCTGCTACCATGTAAGACCTGCCTTTGCACTTCATTCGCCTTCTGCCACAATTGTGAGTTCTCCCCAGCCATGTGGAACTGTGAGTCCATTAAGCCTCCTTTCCTTTATAAATCACTCAGTCTCAGGTATGTCTTTATAGCAGCATGAGAACAGACTAATTATGATGACTTAGGAAGGCATTTTCCATTCTGGCTGGCCCATAGAACCACCCAGAGAGCTCTGGAAGGGTACAGCTTCTCTGGGCCCATCCCAGACATCCTAAATTGGAATCTTCCAGGGGCAGCCTGGGAATCTGTACTTGTTACCAAACCTCTCCAGGTGACTGTGATGCACAACTGCATTCATTGTCACCTTCCCCCACCTGCTTTGTGCCCAAGGAATGGGAACCTTATAGACCACACTCAGATGTGCTCCACTGCTCTCTGGCTTCTGATTAGGTTCAGCCACAATGAGGCACTAGCAGATCAGAAGCTGGAAGAAGAGTGGAGTGGGGTGTTCATGCCCCAACTTCCTCCGAGCAAGGCTCTTCTCCAAGAAGGTGACCATGGCTGGTTCTTCTCCCAGAAGGTGACCATGGCTGGTTCTTCTCCCAGAGCTCCTCGGGTGGCCCTCCCTCAGCCACCGCTGCCTCTCCAGGTTCACTCACTACTCCTCCCCTCATCCCATCAGCCCTCCTGGTGCTTGGCTGTGCTCAGCCTGGGTGCTTCTCCAGCACCTTTTAGACTTCCCTTACCACTGCCCACAACTCTGAAAACAGTCCCTTCACTAATCTCCTTTCAATCCCCCCTGTTGTAATGTGCTGTATGCTTCCCACTGAGACCCTGACTGAATATCTAGGAAATTATCCTGAAACTGGGTTTTTACAAATCCATGGGATAGGGTATAAAGGGGGCCACCATGGACACCTTTCTAGGGAGTTTGCTCCTGGGACCACCCTAAGCCCTCTATCACTCTGTCCTACTGCTGGGACCCAGAGGCTAACAGCAGACAAGGTCTTCCCTGGCCCTGACTGGCAGGGGCAGCCCAGGTGTTATTTGTCATATTTTGTTCAAAGGAAGAAGGGAGATCCAAATAATATCTTTTGGAGTTACTGAGCTGTGCCATCAGAAGCTTGACTTTAAAGACCATATTAAAAAGAAAACCATTTTCTTTTGAGGTTTCCATGTACAAATTATTGAAAAGCCAATCTGTTTGAGGTGGCTCCCTTCACTCACACCCTCCATCTTAGAAGGCTGGGACGGTGGGTGAAAGAAATATATGAGCCTTATGGGAATGAGGTTGGGGAGGGAGGCCAGAATTCCCTCCAGAAGGTAAAACTCAGGCTTCCATCACTTGCCCCAAAACCTCAGAGTGAAAACTACTCACAGCCCCAGGCTTTGCCTGTTTTCTGCCCAAGCCCAGTAAATCAGCCCATTCACATACCACCCAGACCAGCCTCCGCTGAAACAGACTCAGCCCCTGAAGAAACCCAAGCTAAGAAAGCTCTCTGCAAACCCAGGCTAGTGCTTGCGAACCTTGGCCAACCTTTCCCAAGTCCTTGGCCCAGCATGCGGGTCTGTGCCTGGTTTAGGGTTTCATAGTGGCAGTTTCAAAGCCGTCTCATTATTACTGATGACCGGGGCTTGCTGAGCGCAATTGTGTTTTATAGCCCACTGAGCAGAGGGACCGAGGAGCTGTGGAGGACTTGCTGCCTCTGAACTTGTACAAAGAACTGATTTCAAAGGTGGGTGGAGGCCACATGCTTAGCTGAAGCTGTTCTAAGTGAATTTTGCAAAAGCGGACAACCAGCATCCATGTACCCATGCAGCAGCCTAAAGATGGGGCAGGCACTTCCAGGTGTGGCACCCCCTCATCTGCAGCCTTCCTCGCTGCCTAAAAAAACTCAAGGAAGTTGTGTGTAACTGACAGAGATTTGGGGCATGTTTTAGTCATGCAGCACATTATCCGATGCCCTTAAGATAACTCCTTTTTCAAATTGGATGTATTTTTCAACTTATTGCCTGGGCCATTTTGGTCGGACTGAAACCTGAGCTTCCATTCTTTACCAAGCCCAATTTCTTTATTATCACCATTCATACCTCATTTTCTGGGGTTACCAAAGTTCTGAGAAAAATTAGAATTGGAGTTTGGGGAGCAGAAGGAATAATATTTATCAAGGTGCCAGAAAGATTTCATCCTTGGACACATTTAACCTTCATTGCAACATAGGAGGTAGTGGCTATGATTACTTTGATTCTATGGCTAAGAAGACTGCTCAGATTTCTATGCAAAGTCCTATAGGTAGAAAAGAGAGGCCAGGTTTGTCTGACCCAGAGTCAGGGTAAACCACATGCACTGCCCTGTTGTGTAGGGTGCAGACAGGGAGATTTATCTGTAGCCCACACTTAATTTTATACTCTACTTTTTATTTACAAAATATGAGAAATGACAAAAGAGAAAATAAAATTTATAGACAATCTCATCAGCTTTTAACATACAAATAAATTAGGAAGTGGAAGTCATTCTGCTCCTGAAATCCCAAACCCTCATTAGTATGACAGTTGGGAGGCCTCCGGCAAATGGAAGAGAACACACGGAGCTTCTGTTGATATAGGCAATAGGACATTGATTATTTTACATAATGGGAAGTCCCAAAGCAGCATGGTTCCAGTGTTGGTTAACTCAGTAACTCACATCAATGAGAACACAGGTTTCTTTTATCTTTCCTCTCTGTTATTCTCAATGTATGGACTTGGTCCCTGGGTTAGCTCTCCTCATGGTTCCCAAATGGTCATAGTGATTCCAAGTGTCACATTCAAACAAGACAACTTCAGCAGAAGGCATGACTCCATTTTTTTAAGACAGGGAAACCTTTCCCAGAAGCCCCACAGTAGAACCCCATCGCCTTTCATTGGCCAAGACCAAGTCACATGCCCGTTCCTAACCAATCATCAGGAAGGAAATGGGACCACTAGAATTGGTGTAGACTCATCAGGATTCACCCCAGAGCTGGGAATACTATCTCTTTCCTTGTGGGGTGGATACCTGGGTAAAGTTAGGGTTCTGTCAGGAAGTAAGAATGAGGCAGTGGACCCTAGGTAGGCAGTCAATAATAATTGCCAAACACACGCACATTTACACATACAACCACAGATTACACCTCTTATTAATTTGTTCATTATTCCTCAAAATTTTCACCATGCAAAAAACGTGTGTTGTGGCTTACTTATTAAGAGTGGACTATTGTATTTTTCACTAAATGAGGTTTTTTTCATGGTGGAACACACAGGTTTTATTTTTCCTCCATGGGAAAATAGCTGTAATTGAAGAGGTAACCCATCTTTAGTAACCATTCCCCTATTAATGGATATTCATGTCATTTTTAGCTTCATGGTACTATAGATAGAACTTTAATTAAACACCCTTGCATGTGCATTTTGACCATTGCATCTCATTATTTCTATAGGACAGCTACCTCGGGTACTTTTTCAAAAAATTTTAATAATTTGTACCAATTTACACTTGTATCAGTATTGTTCTAGAGTACTTTTGCCAGCAATTAAAATGATCATTTTAATTGTATCAATACACCAGATTTTAAAAACTGGTTTTTTATAAAAAATATTTCTGGAGTAAAGTATATGGCTTTTCAATGTTTACAGGGCATTTGTATTTCATCTGTGAATTGCCTTTTTACTCCTTGCCCACGTTTTCCCATTAGACCATTTCTTCTGCACCCCAGGTCCACTGTTGGGCAAAGATCTGGTTCCATTGTTGCTGCACCACCATCACAGTTCACTGTGGTTGGAGTTGTCCCAGGCAAGCTCCGCTCCCAATGAACACTGTAATTCCTTCTACTCCAAAGGAAAGGCATTTTTACCTTGAGCAGAAGCCTTGGGTTTAAAGTATGGACCAACCAGAGCCAACTTTATTCTGCCAGTTTCATGGCTGTGAAGTGTGAAATGTCCATGTTTCCTCCCATGCTGTTCTTAGGAACTGGTTATGCAACTTTTTGGGTAGTCACAGCTTCTTTAACGGAATCTAATACAGATCCTCCAGTTGGCGATATAGAACAAATCTTCACAGTGAACCCCAGAACTGTGGTGATGGTGGACACCTCCACAAGGAAGCAACAGGGACAAGGGAGACCTCCCATCACTCCTCCCTATATGAGATTGTCCCTTCCTTGAAAAGTCAGACAGGTCTTGATCATGGTGGGGCAGCCAGCAGGTTTCCTCGTACCAGCCTTTGTGGAGCTTGATGCCTCCGTCAGCATCAGATCTGAAGGTGAAACTGAGCTTGAAGCTGGAGCTCATGCCTCCTGGCTTTACCCTATCCTAACTGCGTTTGCCCCTTTCCATCATCATTGAAACCTGGAGAGTTTAGAGAAGGGACTCTAGAGTCACATGCCATTCAGCTATGTGACTTAGGGCAAATTAACTCTCTTTCCTCAGTTTCCTTATCTGAAAAATAGGGATAATAATAACAAAACCTACCTCACAGGTTTGTGAGTTATTAGACATAAAGCACTCAGGACATAAGCCTCGCATATGGTAAGCCCTCTGTAAGTGTTTGATGTTGTAATTTATTATTATTCATCAACACACCTTGTTGAGCATCCTAAGTATAGGCACTGGGAAGATCAAGATGAATTAGCGACTATGCTCGCCCTTAAGCAGTGCACAGTCTAAGAGGGAAGGCAGAGAAGTGAAGACATAAGTACAGTGAAGGGCTGCAAGTGTTGTGAAAGCTCTCTGCAGAGTACCTGGGGGACAAGAGAGGGGTGGCATTTTACATACCTCCCTTAACTGTTTTGCCCCCTGCTAGCCCAGAGTCAGCATTCTACTAAACTGAAAATTCCTTAGGAGCTGAGTCTGAAGAAGAGCTTCCTCCATAGCAGAGTTTGAGCTGACTTAAGGTGTCCCAGGCAAGCAAGGGGGATCAGAGTGAGGAACAACCATATGGCATGAAACAACCTAGAACAGTCTGAGGACAACAAGTTCAGTGTAGCTGATCCCTAGGGAGGGGCCCCAGAGGAAGCTGAATGGGGAAGTGGGAGGGATGAGTAACAAAACTGGAAGTATGAAAAGCAGTTAGAGAACTTTGTGGCGATCCAGGGGAGAGCTACTGAGGACCAGGACGGAAGCAGAGCCAGCGAAGAAGGCTAGGGGAGCTGGATAGGTGCATCATTAAGAAGGTAACCCTGACAGTATGTCAGGTGCAAGCTGACCCAGGCCTGCCTTCAGATCCTAGAGTCCCAGGAGACACGCAGATTAAACCCACTGGGACCCTCATCTATATGGAAGAAAAGGTTTTGCTCAAGAAAAGCAACACTGTCTTCCCTACTGGTAAGTTTGCAGGATGCTTTGTTCTTTTATCAGACGTTTTCTTCAAGAAAAAAGAAGTCATTTTATTTTGTGTATGGAAACGGGATGAGTGTTCACAGTCAGGACTACCGAGATGTTCTCCAGCCCCAAGGCTGCCTCTCACAGTCAGATGCCACTCTCCCCCTACTGGAGGTGTAAACAAAAAACTTATGGCTACAGGCAAAGCAGTGTAGCCCACAAAGTCGGACGTGACTCCACACTCTCAGAACTCATGCTTTTCTAAACTTCCCCTCTGTGTGAGAAGCATCTCAGGGTTTCAAAACAAACCCATGCTTCCCCAGCATTGCTTCTGGTGCACTGCAGAAGGCAGAGGAGACATACGTGGTGGCCTGTTTGAGCACTCCCACCTGTGAGTCCTCCACCCCATCCAATAGCAGTGACACCAGGAAGCACAGAGCAGAAAGCCTGCATGAGGAGCTCACTTTGGCTCCACCACGATCAGAAGCATCTCGTTCTAAGAGCCTGCAAACATCTCTTTCTGTTTCAAATGTCAAAATTCCCTTCCTTGAAAAATGAAAAACAAGTCCAAATGTATCTCAGTGTATCATCTATCTTTACAAATGAACAAAGAAGGGAGAGTATTGGATATTAGCAAGTTTATTTTTCCCATTTTCATTTGGTTATGAATTTTTAATTCATCAAGCATTTCACCATGGTAACAATTTTAAATAAACCATTAAATTGTCCTGGGCACCGCCATCATTGGAATATTTTTAAGGCAAATATATTATTGACAGCACTTTTATCATATGTTCCATCCATTCAATTGCCTTCCTAACTGAAATGTCTTTCAACAAGTACGTGTTGTCAAGGTTGCCTGTCTTCTGTCCTGTTCCTATATGTTTAATGGTAAAATACACTGGCATTTGTCAAAAGAAACAGTAATGAGGCTGTCCAACAGCCAGGCTTAGCCTGCTTTATGCAATACATATGCTCCCACAAAGTTGCGGCAACATTTTTGGTGAGTTGTTTCATATTCTGTGTCCTTTTAGGAAATAAAAATCAGTACTAACCTCTTTTTTATATATAAATTGAGATTCTGTATGCCAAGTTTCTTTAAATTCAAGTTTACCTGTAAGAACCATTTTTTAAATTAGGTAAACATTTATGTATTAGTTTATTCAAACATACATTTATTGAGTACCCACTGTGTGCCAGACAGCGCTCTGAGAAGCTGAGAGCTACAGTAAATGAGCCAAAGTCCCTGCCTTCATGGTGACTGTAGTACAGTGGGACAGTCAGACTAAACAAGTAAATAACTGCATAATATATTTTCAGATAGCAAAAGAATGCTATAAAGAAAAATAATGCAGGCAAAGGGATGGAAAATTGTCGAGGGAGGTATTTTAGATGGTGTATTCATTTTCTATTGTTGCCTAACAAATGACCACAAACTTAGTGGCTGACAAGGAGATACATTTGTTATCTCACTCCATGGGTCAGGAATCAAGGCTTAGGTTCCTTGGGTTCCCTGGTTAGGTCTCCCAGGGTTGTAATCACAGGATCAGTCAGAGCTGGGGTCTCATCCAAGGCTTGGGGTTCTCTTCCAAACTCATGGGCTTGTTGGAAGAACTTATTTCCTTGCAGCTGGAGGACTCATGGAGGCTGTGCCGCCAAGGGCAGGAGGAGAATGTCTCTTACTGCTTCTTTCTCATCCAAGGGCTCACCTGATCGGGTCAGGCCCACTCAGGATAGTCTTTCTTTTCAACGACATAAAGTCAAGTGAATAGTAACCTCATGACAGGGGTTATATCCCCTTGAATCATCGTTTCCACTTGCACGAGGACATTACACCAGTGGGCAGGTATCATAAAGGCCATCTAAGAATATTGCCCACCACAGCCAGGGTAGTCAGGGACAGCTTCTTTATGGAGATGACATTTGAACAAAGATCTGAAAAAAGGCAGAGACTGAGCTACCTAAAACTTTGGCACAAAAGCATACTGGCTTGTGCAAAGGCCCTGTGGCAGAAATTGTGCATTCAAGAAATGCAAGGAGACCAATGGAGTTGGAGGCTAATGAATGTTGGGAGACAGCATGGAGTGAGGTCAGAGAGGAAAGCAGGCCACAGAACCTTACAGGTCGTGGTGATGCATATGGAAGGCTCTTGCTGCGGGGTGGAAGAATGTGGTTTATATTTCAAAAGCCCTCTCTGACTTCTTTGTGAAGAAGGAATTGCAGGGGAAATGTAGAATGAAAGCAAAGAGACTATTAACAAGACAGTTGCTAAAGTCCAGGCATAAAGTAAAGGTAGTTTGAACTATATGGTAGCTATTGAGTCGGATAAAACAAATTCAAGGCAGATTTTGGAGGGTAGGGTCAATTAGACATACATGAAATGTAATGATTTAGGAGCATAGGCCCTGGGTACAAACTTCCTAAGTTCAAATCTTTCATCTACCACATGCTAGCCATACGAGCTTGAACAAGTTATTAAACTTCCCTGAACCTTAATGTCCTCATCTGAAAAATAGGACTTAGTGCCTATCTCACAGGGTGTTGTGAGCATTCAATGAGATAATAAAGGCAAAGCACTTAACACAGTACTTGGGCACATAATAACCGATATTTATGTAAATGGTATTTATGTATACATAAATGGCTATTGTTATTTTATCTATTGATGATGGATTGAACATGTGATATTTTCTCATATCAAGAAATCGAGAATGTTCTCAAGGGCTTTGGCCCATGTAACTGGGAGCATAGTGGAACGAAGAAGACTGAAGAATGCTTTGGTATCAGCTTTTCTAATAGTCCAACATCAGAATAGACAATGCATGCATGGGATGCTAGGAGAAAGGTGGGCTTTACAGATTAGGATCTGAAACCCAGCTAATTAACTAGACACCTATGAACATGTTTCCTCATCTGAAAAAATAAATGGATTTGCAGGATAGAATGAGGTAAAGCCCATGGGAGCCCCCAGCACACAGTAGGGCCTCAGAAAATGTGTGCGTTATGGTCTGAATGTTTGTGCCCCCCAAAATTCATATGTTGAAATCCTAACTCCCAATGTGATGGTGTTAAGAGGTGGGGCCTTTGGGAGATACTTAAGTCATGAAGGTGGAGCCCTCGTGAAAGGGATTAGCGTCCTTACAAGGAGAGGCATGAGTGCTCTCTCACCCTCCTTCCACCATGTGAGGAGCAAATGAGAAGTTAGCAGTCTGCAACCAAAAGAGGGCTCTCACCAAAACCCAATCGTGCTGGCACCCTCATCTCAAACTTACAGACCCAGAACTTTGAGAAATAAAATTCTGTTGTTTATAAGCCATCCAGTCTACTGCACTTTATTATAGCAGTCCAAAGGGACTGAGGCAGTGAGGATCTCATGCCCCTAGAAAGCAGACAGATAGGAGATGAGGAGTTTTTCAATTCTTGTTTTAGACTCTGATGTACAAGCTGTCGCCTGCACACTCACTTAGCCAGGGGGTCATTCTGTAGTGCAGCAGTGCTTTTGGCACTCACTTAAAATAGCCTGTGAAAGTTTTGGGGGCTGTCACCAGAAAGCCACTAAGTAGAAAAGACTTTGGCTTCCACTGTCCATTTGGCTATCTGGGATTCTAGCTATGATCTGACAGAAAGCAGAAGTATTGACTCTCTTACCCGGAATGATGTGGTGAATTGTTCCGCCCCTCAATCACCCCAGGACTCTGCCAGCAATGCTGGGATCCTCCCAGATTCACACACTCACACTCTGGGACACAGAAAAGAGCAAATGTGCCCAAAGAATCAAGAAGGAATGAATTTTCTCACTGCTAACCTAGTCCAGTTAGTCCTAATTCTTAAGATAAAATGTTAATTTCTCTTTAATAGTTTTAGGATCAAGTAATTCTCACAGACATAAAAACTGGAAAGAACCTTGGATTTACTGCCTAGTTGGCCATTGTTTCTCCTTTAAGACCTCAGATTCAAGTTTGAGGGGATCATGGCGGACGGGAGGCAGGACTAGATTGCAGCTCCAGGAAGAGCAGCATCTGGCGGCTTGCGTCATGAATTTTAGCTCCAGGTTGACTACAAGAACAAACCAGCAAACCCAAGAGAACCCACAGACCCTCTGAAAGAAGCAGAATGCTCCTGCAGGACCTGGGAGATACCCCAAGTACTGTGAGTGCCCCAGCTGCAGAAGTGGGAAAGGGAGACCTCCTCTCCTGAACACACACCCCTACTGGAGAAGCTGAAGGTATGTTTGCAGGAGAAACTTCCAACTTTACCTGGATCTGAGTCAAGTTAGAGAGCTGAGTGAAACACAGGGGTACAGGAAGCAGCAGAAAGGCCCTGGGAGCTCACTGGATCTCCAAGCAGCCCATTCCTGCCTGGCACCACAGGAATCCACCGGGAGGGTGGCCAGAGGAGGGGTGGGGGGTGAAACTCCACAGGGAGAAGGAATTCTGTAGCCAAACTTTGTAACAATTTGTATGGGGCAAGAAGCCTCCTGGCCAGAAATCAGGGGAAGAACTAAAGCCCTTTTCTTTTTTTCTTTCGCAGCTGGAAGGCAGATTGCCTTGGGCAAGTTTTCAAGCCCCTCTCACCCTCCGCCTGGAAACGGATTCAGGGCTGTTGGTGGGGCACTGTGGGAGTGAGACTGGCCCTTTGCTTTGCGTGGGAGCTGGGTGGGGCCTGTGACTGCTGGCTTACCCCCACTTTCCTGACAACCTGCATGACACTGTAGAGGCAGCCATAATCATAGGTACACAACTCCAGTGACCTGGGAGTCTTACCCCCACCCCCCACGGCAGCTGCAGCAAGATTCGTCCAAAGAGAGTCTGAACTCACACACACCTAGCCCTACCCCCACTCGATGGTCCTTCT
This sequence comes from Homo sapiens, assembly GCF_000001405.40. NCBI lineage: Eukaryota > Metazoa > Chordata > Mammalia > Primates > Hominidae > Homo > Homo sapiens. The sequence goes on from NC_000009.12 coordinate 16,294,973, forward strand.
CTACCCACCCAGGTAGCAGAAGACAAAGAACACATAATCTTGGGAGTTCTAGGGCCCCTCCCACTGCTGATCCCCGCTCCACACTACTACAGCTGATGCTCTCTGGAAAGTGCCACCTCCTGGCAGGAGGCCAACCAGCACAAAAATAGAGCATTAAACCACCAAAGCTAAGAACTCTCACGGAGTCCATTGCACCCCCTGCCACCTCCACCAGAACAGGTGCTGGCATCCATGACTGAGAGACCCATAGACGGTTCACATCACAGGACTCTGTGCAGACAGCCCCCAGTACCAGCCCAGAACCAGGTAGACTGGCTGGGTGGCTAGACCCAGAAGAGAGACAACAATCACTGCAGTTCGGCTCACAGGAAGCCACATCCATAGGAAAAAGGGGAGAGTACTACATTGAGGAATGTCCCATGGGACAGAAGAATCTGAACTACAGCCTTCAGCTCTAGACCTTCACTCTGACAGAGCCTACTCAAATGAGAAGGAACCAGAAAACCAACCCTGGTAATATGACAAAGCAAGACTCTTCAACACCCGTAAAAAATCACACTAGTTCACCAGCAATGGATCCAAACCAAGAAAAAATTCCTGATTTACCTGAAAAAGAGTTCAGGAAATTAGTTATTAAGCTAATCAGGGAGGGACAAGAGAAAGGCGAAGCCCGGTGCAAGGAAATCCAAAACATGATACAAGAAGTAAAGGGAGAAATATTCAATGAAATAGATAGCTTAAAGAAAAAACAATCAAAAATTCAGGAGACTTTGGACACACTTTTAGAAATGTGAAATGCTCTGGAAAGTCTCAGCAATAGAACTGAACAAGTAGAAGAAAGAAATTCAGAGCTCAAAGACAGGGTCTTTGAATTAACCCAATCCAGCAAAGGCAAAGAAAAAAGAATAAGAAAATACGGACAAAGCCTCCAAGAAGTCTGGGATTATGTTAAACGACCAAACCTAAGAATAATTGTTGTTCCTGAGGAAGAAGAGAATTCTAAAACTTGGAAAACACATTTGGGGGAATAACTGAGGAAAACTTCCCCAGCCTAGCTAGAGACCTAGACATACAAATAAAAGAAGCACAAAGACCACCTGGGAAAATCATCACAAAAAGATCTTCACCTAGGCACGTTGTCATCAGGTTATCCAAAGTTAAGACAAAGGAAAGAATCTTAAGAACTATGAGACAGAAGCACCAGGTAACCTATGAGAGAAAACCTATCAGATTAACAGCATATTTCTCAGCACAAACCCTACAAGCTAGAAGGGATTGGGGCCCTATCTTCAGCCTCCTCAAACAAAACAATTATCAGCAAAGAATTTTGTATCCAGCCAAACTAGGCATCATATATGAAGGAAAGATACAGTTGTTTTCTGACAAACAAATGCTGAGAGAATTCGCCATTACCAAGCTACCACCATAAGAACTGCTAAAAGGAGCACTAAATCTTGAAACGAATCCTGGCAACATGTCAAAACAGAACCCTTTTGAAGCATAAATCACACGGGACCTATAAAACAAAAATACAAGCTAAAAAGCAAAAGCAAAAAAACAAAAAAAATACCAAAGTACACAGGCAACAAAGAGCATGATGAGTGCGATGGTACCTCACCTTTCAGTACAAACACTGAATGTAAACGGCCTAAATGCTCCACTGAAAAGATACAAAACTGCAGAATGGATAAGAACTCACCAACCATCTGCTGCCTTCAGGAGACTCATCTAATACATAAGGACTCACAAAACCTTAAAGTAAAGGGGTAGAAAAAGGCATTTCATGCAAATGGACACCAAAAGTGAGCCGGGGTAGCTATTCTTATATCAGACAAAACAAACTTTAAAGCAACAGCGATTAAAAGAGACAAAGAGAGGCAATATATAATGGTAAAAGGCCTTGTTGAACAGGAAAATATCACAATCCTAAACATATATGCACCTGACACTGGAGCTCCCAAATTTATTTATAAAGCAATTACTAATAGACCCAAGAAATGAGATAGACAGCAACACAATAATAGTGGGGGACTTCAATACTCCACTGACAACACTAGACAGGTCATCAAGACAGAAAAGCAACAAAGAAACAATGGATTTAAACTATACCTTGGTACAAATGGACTTAACAGAAATCTACAGAACATTTCATCCAACAACCTCAGAATAGACATTCTATTCAACAGTGCATGGAACTGTCTCCGAGATACACCATATGATAGGCCATAAAATGAGCCTCAATAAATTTAAGAAAATTGAAATTCTATCAAGCACTCCTTCAGACCACAATGGAATAAAACTGGAAGTCAACTCCAAAAGGAACCTTCAAAGCCATGCAAATACATGGAATTAAATGACCTGCTCATGAATGAGCATTGGGTCAAAAACAAAATCAAGATGGAAATTTAAAAATTCTTTGAACTGAATGACAATAATGACACAGCGTATCAGAACCTCTGGGATACAGCAAAGGCAATGCTAAGAGGAAAGTTCATAGCCCTAAATGCCTGCATCAAAAAGTCTGAAAGAACATAAACAGACAATCTAAGGTCACACCTTAAGCAACTAGAGAAACAATAAGAAACCAAACCCAAACCCAGAAAAAGAAAGGAAATAACCAAGATCAGAGCAGAACTAAATAAAATTGAACAAACAAACAAAAAATACAAAAGATAAATGAAACAAAAAGCTGGTTCTTTGAAAAGACAAATAAAATTGACAGAACATTAGCAAGATTAATCAACAAAAGAAGAGAGAAAATCCAAATAACCTCACTAAGAAACAAAATAGGAGATATTATAACTGACACCAGTGAAATAGAAAAGATTATTAAAGGCTACTATGAACACCTTTACACACATAAACTAGAAAACCTAGAAGAGCTGGATAAATTCCTAGAAAAATACAACCCTCTTAGCTTAAATCAGGAAGAATTAGATACCCTGAACAAACCAATAACAGGCAAGACTGAAATGGTAATTTAAAAATTACCAACAACAAAAAAAAATCCAGGACCAAACAGATTCACAGCAGAATTCTACCAAACTTTCAAAGAAGAATTGGTACTAATCCTTTTGACACTATTCCACAAGATAAAGAAGGAACCCTCCCTAACTCATTCTATGAAGCCAACATCACCCTAATGCCAAAACCAGGAAAGGACACAACCAAAAAAGAAAACTACAGATGGATATCCTTGATAAACATAGATGTTAAAATCCTTAACAAAATACTAACTAATCGAATCTAACAACATATCGAAAAGATATTCCACCATGATCAAGTGGCTTTCATACCAGGATGCAGGGATTTTTTAACATATGCAAGTCAATAAATGTGATACACCACATAAACAGAATTAAAAACAAAAATCACATGATCATCTCAATAGATGCAGAAAAAGCATTTGACAAAAATCCAGCATCCCTTTTTGATTAAAACTCTCAGCAAAATTGGCATACAAGGGACATACCTTAATGTAATAAAAGCCATCTATGACAAACCCACAGCCAACTTAATACTGAATGGGGAAAATTTGAAAGCATTCCCTCTGAGAACTGGAACAAGGTGAGGATGCCCGCTCTCACCACTCTTCTTCAACACAGTACTGGAGGTCCTAGCCAGAGCAATCAGGCAAGAAAAAGAAATAAAGGGCATCCAAATGGGTAAAGAGGAAGTCAAAATGTCACTGTTTGCTGAAGATATGATCGTTTATCTTGGAAATCCTAAGGACTCTTCCAGAAAGCTCCTAGAACTGATAAAAGAATTCAGTTCTTTTATCAGTTAAAAGTTTCCAGATACAAGATTAATGTACACAAATCAGTAGCTCTTCTATACACCAACAGCGACCAAGCAGAGAATCAAATAAAAAACTCAACCCCTCTTACAATACCTGCAAAAAAATTAAAATACTTAGGAATATACCTAACAAAGGAGTTGAAAGACCTCTACAAGGAAAACTGCAAAACACTGCTGAAAGAAATCATAGATGACACAAACAAAAGGAAACACATCCCAGGCTCATGGATGGGTAGAATCAATATTGTGAAAATGACCATACTGCCATAAGCAATCTACAAATTCAATGCAATCCCCATTAAGATACCACCACCATTCTCCACAGAATTAGAGAAAAACAATTCTAAAATTCATATGAAACCAAAAAAGAGTCCACATAGACAAAGCAAGACTAAGCAAAAAGAACAAATCTGGAGGCATCACACCACCTGATTTCAAACTATACTATAAGGCCATCGCCACAAAAACAATGTGTACTGGTATAAAAATAGGCACATAGACCAATCACACAGAATGGAAAACCCAGAAATAAACCGAAATACTTACAGCCAACTGATCTTCAACAAAGCAAACAAAAACATAAAGTGGAGAAAGGACAACCCTTTCAACAAGTGGTGCTGGGCTAATTGGCTAGCCACATGTAGGAGAACGAAACTGGATCCTCTTCTCTCACCTTATACAAAAGTCAACTCAAGATGGGTTAAAGACCTAAACCTAAGACCTGAAACTATAAAAATTCTAGAAGATAACATCGGAAAAACCTTTCTAGACATTGGCTTAGGCAAGGATTTCATAATCAAGAACCCAAAAGCAAATGCAATAAAAACAAAGATAAATAGCTGGGACCTGATTAAACTAAAGAGCTTTTGCATGGCAAAAGGAACAGTCAGCAGAGTAAACAGACAACCCACAGAGTGAGAGAAAATCTTTGCAATCTATACGTCTGACAAAGGACTGATATCCAGAATCTACAACAACTCAAACAAATCAATAAGGAAAAAATAAACAATCCCATCAAAAAGTGGGCCAAGGACATGAATAGACAATTCTCAAAAGAAGATATGCAAATGGCCAATAAACATATGAAAAAATGCTCAACATCACTAATAATCAGGGAAATGCAAATCAAAATCACAATGTGATACCACCTTACTGCTGAAAGAATAGCCATAATCAAAAAATCAAAAAACAGTAGATGTTGACATGGATGTGGCAAACAGGGAACAACACTTCTACATTGCTACTGGAAATGTAAACTAGTACAGCCACTGTGGAAAACAGTGTAGAGATTCCTTAAAGAACTAAAAGTAGAACTACCATTTGATCAAGGAATCCCACTACTGGGTATCTACCCAGAGGAAAAGAAATCATTATTTGAAAAAGACACTTGCAGACACATGTTTATAGCAGCACAATTCACAATTGCAAAATTGTGGAACCAACCTAAGTGCCCATCAATCAAAGAGTGGATAAAGAAACTGTGGTATATATATACCACTGCATTTCCAGTGACCTGGACGAGATTGAAGACTATTATTCTAAGTGAAGAAACTCAGGAGTGGAAAACCAAACATTGCATGTTCTCACTGATATGTGGGAGCTAAGCTATGAGGATACAAAGGCATCAGAATGATACAATGGACTTTGGGGACTTGGGGGGAAGAGTGAGAGGGAGGTAAGAGATAAGAGACTACAAATATGGTGCAGTGTATACTGCTTAGGTGATGGGTACACCAAAATCTCACAAATCACCACTGAAGAACTTACTCATGTAACCAAATACCACCTGTACCCCAATAGCTTATGGACAAATAAAATTAAAATAAATTAATTTTTTAAAAAACCCTCAGATTCCTAAGATCAGCTCTCCAGGGAAATCTACCCTAACCCCCTAGACTAGTTCAGGACTTGTATAATCTCAGGGCTCCCTGTAATGTGTCTTCATGGTCCTCCTCACAGTTCATAATTATTGCTTAAAGTCTGTGTCCCCTCTTAATCTATAAGCTTTATGTAGACAGAGACAATATCAGTTTTGCTCACCACCATATCACTAGTGCCTTACTGTCTTGGTTCATTTGTGCTGCTATAACAAAATACCTTAGACTGGGTAATTTACAAACAACAGAAATTTGTTGCTCACAGTTCCAGAAGTTGGGAGGTCCAAGATCAAATTGGCAGCAGATTCAATGTCTGATAAGGGCCTGTTTCTCATAAATGGCACCTTCTATGTGTCTACACGTGACTGAAGAAATAGGCAGCACCAACTGTTTCCCAGCTCCTGGGCAAGGCAATGGGGAATATGGTGGTAAGATATGATCCTTGTCATTTAGGGTTTTACAAGCAATGTGATTGTTAGCACTTGCACCAATGGTGAACTGAGGTGGGATAGTGGTGGAAGGGAATGTGCTGGTATTTTCATATCTCAGACTTTTAAGAGGTTTTGGGGAAATATAAAGATTACAGAATTGGATGACTGTTGCTGGAAGTTATTGACACCTTGCTTCCCAGCAAGAGTCCCATTAAACTTGAAGCTACAGGAACCTCCTAGTCACTTCAGGCATCTGGAGACAAGAGGCCTTCAGGCAAGAAGGGAAGTAACCCATCCTAACAGGGGTAAATGGCCCTAATCAGGCCCATATGAGGCAGGGCTTCTGTCACATAATATCTTTGAACTTGGGTTTTGTAAGTGAAGTCTGATAGGACCATGCTGCACAACATGTGAGCAGAGGAGACAGGCACAGTATGAGTATCTGCTGTTCCTTGCCATCCCCTTCACATAGAGCATTTGCCCCATGGCAGAGAATGTCAGAAACCCATGGACAAGACTCAAAGTGAATATAAGGTAAGTGTGTTATGTCTGCAAATTAAGTGAATAGGCTGGGGGTGGTGGGAAAGGGGCGGTGCTGAGAGCCCTGAGAGGCTTCGTCCTCATTTGAACTAGAATTTGCTTTGAACATAGAAAGAGGGCAATGGCATTCTAGGAAATATAAACATCCTTTCTTGCTGTTATTACTTCCCTTTATTAGCCAACCACTTACACTGAAAATGATAAGGGAACAGAAGAGATAGGACAGCCCATAGCTCCTTTTCCTTACTCAGCAGTTAGCTGAAGGTAGAGAGTGTTGGTAGAATGCATGCATATCAAGAACTGAAATAAAACAGTTGGGTCGGTTTTGTGGAGCATTTCCACCATTCTAGTAACAATGAGATATGTGTGCAAGCTACGAAATACAAATTGTGTAATTTGGATGACTCCACATCAGTTAAATGCTCTAATGTCTGCATTTAAAAGTGGCCTTTTGCAATATAAAGCTGAATGTAAAAGGTACGCTAATAATTCAAGATTTTTCATTTTTTCATTTAAATGGCATTAAAAAGCAAATTTTCAAACCCATGGTAAGTCTAGAGAGAGACTACAGAGGAAAGGAAAAAGCTTTATATTTCTATAGCATTAGTGGCATTTTTTCCTGCTTTCTAAAAAAGGGACCTGCATTTTCATTTTGCACTGGGCCCCACAAATGTAGGTGGACTTGGAACGGAAGTTCTATAGCTGGTGCTATTAGGTGCTATATCATATTGCACCCACAAGGTAAGTCCCATTCTCATAACCACTGATATACAGTGGTAAGAAGGGCTGTATGGACCACCATTATGCTATATCCTGTCTCTGCCACGTACTCCTCTGGCCATGGCCTTGAACTTCAATTTCAAGCCTCAGTTTCTTCAGCAGCAGTGTGGGGGCAGTGCAGGTGTCTATGAGAATTAACTGATATAGAGTATGTGAACATGTTGAGCAATTGTTACATATCAATACTCATGTAAAGACTTGTGATTTTTATTGCATATATGCTCCCAGTGAAGGGCAAGACTGTCGTTGCAGGCCAGGTGCAGGCCAGGTGTAACCAAACTTATGGGAGGAGTCAAGGGGCAGGGCTGGTGATTTGTTGATGAGCAGAGATGAGCTGTTTTGTAACTTGAAGCATCTCATGGAGATGGCATACTTTCCACTGAATTTTGTGAAGGAAAAGTGGCTTTTTGTGACATCCAAAGAATGGGGATGAAAGCACTCCCTGGAAGATTTGGGAAGAGTGACAGTGTCAGCGGTGTTTGAAAAAGAGTGACTCCATCTTGAATAAGGGCTGGGTAAAATTAGGCTGAGACCAACTGGGCTGCATTACCAGGAGGTTAGGCATTCTTAGTCACAGGATGAAATAGGAGGTTGGCACAAGGTACACGTCACAAAGACCTTACTTATATAACAGGTTAAGGTAAAGAAGCCAGCCAAAACCCGCCAAAATCAAGACGGCCATGAAAGTGACCTCTGGTCCTCCTCACTACTCATTATATGCTAACTATAATGCATTAGCAGGCTAAAAGACACTCCCACAAGCGCCATGGCAGTTTACAAATGCTATGGCAATGTCAGGAAGTTACCCTATATGGTCTAACAAGGGGAAGGACCCTCAGCTCTGGGAATTGCCCACCCCTTTCCCAGAAAACTCATGAATAATCCACCCCTTGTTTAGCATATAATCAAGAAATAACCATAAAAATGGCCAACCAGTAGCCCTCAGGGCTGCTCTGCCTATAGAGTGGCTGTTCTTTTATTCCTTTACTTTCCTAATAAACTTGCTTTCACTTTACTCCATGGATTCGCCTTGAATTCTTTCTTGTGCAAGATCCAAGAGCCCTGTCTTGGGGTCTGGATCGGGACCTTCTTTCCGGTAACAAGAAGACACCAGAAACTCAATATCATACTGAGCATCACTGAGTCAAAATCCTCTGCCCCAAAACTCAAGTGAATCCACGATGAACCCCTGGCCAAACTCACCAGTTGAAAAGTTCATGTGAACTTTGGGGTTTTGTGCAAAACATGTAATCAGGCCAGGTTTCAGGTTCCATAACAAAAGTTCTTCCCAGACTGGTGACCGCAAGCCAGTCTGACATTTGTAAGTGCATTTCCATGGAAAAAGAAGGCGCTGCTTAATTGCATTAGGAGAATAGTACCACATTCCATGGGAGAACACTGACATGCTTTGACAAGCATAAGGAAAACGTACTCCTCTCCGTGCTGTGTCCATTTTCTTTGGGGTCACGTCCATTATCTTGGAGATGGCATGCAAAGAAGAACTAGAGTTTATTCCCCAAATGAAAAGCAAATTGGCAGTTCTTTCTTAGTAATGATCACAGCCACCACCCAGCATACTGCTACCAAACCATCCTACTTTCTTCCAGCCACAAGGTTTGTAATTTTGTTCTGCACAATGCCCTCCTGGCTTAAGAGCTCCTACAAATGAAAAGGGTGCTAAATGAGGAGACAGTCTCCGGTTGCAGAGAAAGAGCAAATAGGTAAAAATAACACATATTGCTGATTCAGTGTTGTTCGTTAGCCAGAAAAATAGAGAAAGGATGTGGAATGAAATCCTTCAAAGACAGTCTTTCAAAGAACATATGACTCTGGGGAAAGTGTTTTAGGAAGGAAGTCGAAAATTATAGATGTTTCCAACAGGAAAATTGTATAAATGGACATTTCCTAGAAGGGGAGTGTTTAACGGTGCTTCATGAAAGCTAAGAACCATATTTCTGTAACAAGGATAATATTTTGCAAATATTACACTTCTAACTTTTCAGTTTCCTCTTAAATCACCTTCCCCTGCCGTCTTCCACCTCCAAGGCTGAGGCACGAGGCTTATGGCCCCAGGGATACTGCCTAGAACAAAGAGGCCATTGATCAGTTTGAATCTCAGAGCTGACTTTCTTGACCTCTTAAGCAAGAAAATAGTCTTCAAAGCCAGGCATTGTTGAGAAGGAAAGGGATTTTCTAAATTCCTTTAGCTCCCATTAGTGTATCAAGAGCCATACCTGGTGGAATAGATCATAGAGATTTACTATATGCCATCAGGATAGGATGTGGAGGAGTGGAAAGCTGGCTGCTTTCAGCCTGAGGGATTGGATGAAGAAGACAGAGGGCAGGGGAGTCAAGGGAAGCCAGTTAGGTCCCCAATTCTTCTCTCCAGTCCTGCATCCTGGAAAGGTGGGGGGGGGGGGCATGTTACATAGACAGAGGGGAAGGCTGCACATGTCAGGAGAGTAATGAAGCACTTCTTGTCACGCATATCTGGGGATTCTAGTGGAAGGCTACAAGCCTTAAGGAGAAGTCCTGTGAGTGGTCACTGCCAGCATGGTGCAAGGCAATGGGGCAACAATGGAGGGAGAAGGTAACCAGCAAGTGAGCCCAGAACAATGCTCCTAGGTCCCTACTGCCCTAGGGATGGCACAATGGGGAACTAGAGTATAGAGATGTGAAGGTACTAAAAAGACTGGTGGGAAGGATGAAAACCATGGTCAAAATGAAGAGGCCAGAAGCAGCCCTAGGATCAGAAAACATGGTCAGAAGTGGGTGCCAGCATGTTACCCCAGAACTCCAGGTAGGCAGTGATTACCAGTACAGGAAGCAGGCTAGACTGGCCACTTTGCAGCAAAGACCAGCAAGAATCTGGAGGATCTCACATGATCCCCTTTCTCCTCTCCACCAAATAATAGGCGAGCCTCCTTAACCACCCTGAAATCACCGTGGGATGGAGAATGAGCTTTACCTAAAGAGGAGGAGAGTTCTAAAAGGGAACATTTAAACCAGCCTTGGGAACGGATTGAACATCTGATTAATAAACTATTTAAATTAAAATAAGAACATTTAACTTGGAGGAGACTGCTATAGTGTTAATTGGCAAGTAGGGGAGTATCTAAGGAAGACCAGCTCAGGTTTAGGAAACACAGAAACTACACAATATTGCACATCTGAGTGAGTGTGAGTGAATTCGCAACTCTGTTACATCTTTATTCCTCACTGCTCCTTACCATTCTATTGCATGTGCACTTGTCGACTTTCTTTAAGTCAAAGCAAATTTGGTGTTTGGAAGTGTCCTCGGGGAAGCCTAGGGGCACAAGAAACTTGCTTTAAAGTCCCAAAAAGGCAATAGCAATTTGAAGTTTGCAAGATATCCTCTTGAGAAGTCCTCAATGCTCACATCACTAGAATTAAAATCAAAGCTGCTGGGAAGACTTGCTGAGCCCCAGTGTGTTCCATGTGAAACTGGAGGTCAGCATTCTTCTGCGGGGAAAATAGTATTGCCAACTGTTGGGAGGAAATGGAAGACATGAACCGAAAAATCACAAGAGCCTATCTCCTTTATAGTCTCCATTGAACCTACAATGTGGTGAAGCAAACTAGGCAAACTCAGTTTTGTACAAGAAGAAAGGATAAAATTAGTGGGGAGAGGTAGCTAGCAACAGTTGGTGAACACGGCTCCATCTAAATCCACATCTATCTATTCTACCACCTCCACTCCCCAGTTGTGCAGGGCACTGCTTAGTAGACACATACATATGTGGCCCAGGCATAGCCCAAGGACCCTTTCAAGGAGATCAGAAAGCTAAACTTCAAGAGCAAAGCTATAGCCTGGGCAACAGAGTGAGACTCCATCTCAAAAAAAAAAAAAAAAAAAGAAAAAAAAAGGAGCAAAGTTGAATCTGGGGGACACAGTCAGAAAAACAGTTGTATGACTTAAGTCAGCTCCAGGGTGCTAAACTGCTAAACTGCTGGTGAAAGCCTACTCTATTGTCACCGATTGTTTTTATGGAGCTACCCATACTTAGAAGCTGCTCTACCCTGGCTCTGCCAACCCTCATTGATTTTCAGCAGTTTCTGAAAATCAAGCCCAGTACAGGAGAAGCTCAACTTCTTACAAAAAACAAAGAGTGTCGGAAAAGTTCACACTCAAGGTGACTGGATGACTTGAGCATTGAGGATTAAAGTATGACCCGGTCTGTTTAATCACTGAACACTAGGTATTCCACAGTACAGAAACATTCAGAATAATGGTTCTCTTGCTTTTCAGCAGTGTGCCACCAGATTTCAGGCTTAGTGTAAAACTGATTCCTGGTAAAACAGGGACATATTCTGTTCAGGTGATGTCCGTCAGGTGGAGGCAAGCTGAACCAGCCATGCATGAGGGTGGAGGGGGGTCTCCTGCATGTGAGGATGTGTAAGAGGTGAGGCTGAAGGAGAAGCTGGTGCCTAGGGTACAGGGTGTTCACTGGGACATGAGATACCCCTCCTCAGGAAAGTAGAACAGTGTGTGACCCAGGCAGTCAACGAGTCTATTCCAAGGCAACTCAGCACTGTAGGGCAGGCAAGTGAATAGTCAAATGTCTGTGGATATAACTTAACTCCAACACACGTGCCACCAAAAATTCAGGTTCAAAGAGCACAGACAGCAAAAGAGAGAGAACCAGAGATTCAGTAAAATACATTCCTGAGGAAGAAAGTCATGCATCAAGAAAGTCGTGCCACATATACATTATTGGCATAGGCTGACATACATTAATTCAACTGCCATCTTTGTGCTGGAAGGCATATCAGAAATCATCTAGTTCCATGCATTCATGTTTCCTTACATTGATCTTATATACATGGACTATGCCAAAATAAGATGTAATCCCTGACTTCAATGCACTCTCACTTAAGATGATATTGTATATTCTATGTCACAGAATTACAGATTATCTCATTGAAAAGGGCTAAAATATTCACCACATCCAATTCCCCACATCTGATAAAAGAACTCCAACCAAAACATTCTCATCAAGTGGTTCTTCAACACTTGTAACTCAAGCACATCCAGTGACCAGAAACTTACTACCTCCTAAGGCAGCCCACCCTACCTTTGAAACTGTGGCTATAAATTACTAAATTACTCTTGGAAATTTCTCATGCTTTGTTTTTGGTTAATTATCTGTCATTAGCTAACCCTGGATACTAGCTATCTATTTTTAAACTCTTCTCTGCAAGATATTACATGTGCATATGTAACTGCACACACTTAAACACAGAATCAGCTACTATAGTACTTCCCAAATTAATAGGATTAATCAGAAATAGATTGCACTTTTGTGTGTTCACACACACACACAAGCACACACATGCACATATATTGTCACTCCAGTGCTTAAATTGTCATCAAGAATGGTTTATTTATTCAACCATTCACTGCTCTTTTCTTTGGAAATTATTAACAGACCTGAAAAAGATTTAAAAAAAAAAAAAAAAAAAAGCTCACCAACTTGCCTTGAGGCAGAAAAAAAAAGAGTGCAATTTATCATTTTGCTGAAATAAGTAAACCTTGATGAGGTGAGCACCCATCAATTTCATAAATAAGTCAATAATGGGAATGTCAGCATCGGAACCACCCATTCGCTGTCTGGATATCACACAGGTAAACAAAGCCAGTTCACAGACTCTCACCTCAGTGTATATCCAAATCATTTTTACAAGTTAGACTGTGAAAATAATGATTACAAGTCTCATTGTCATTTTTTAAATATTAAATACTTTTTTTCCTACCATATTTCCTTGTTGCACACACTCTAAGACATATCATGATAATATCACCTTTTGGTGGAAACTGATACATCTAATGCACATGTCAACTCTAAGAGGTCTCAATTTCAGAAATGGTGAAGACTGGGTGGGGAGCATCCATTAGAATTACAGAAATGCTTTGTTTTTTGTCTTTGTTTTTATTTTTGTTTTTGTTTTTGTTTTGAAATGGAGTCTCACTATGTGGCCCAGACTGGAGTGCAATGGCGTGATCTCGGCTCACTGCAACCTCTGCCTCCGGGTTCAAGTGATTCTCCTGCCTCAGCCTCCTGAGGAGCTGGGATTACAAGCGCCGGTCACCACGCCTGGCTAATTTTTGTATTTTTAGTAGAGACGAGGTTTCACCATGTTGGCCAGGCTGGTCTCGAACTCCTGACCTCAAGTGATCCACCTGTATCGGCCTCCCAAAGTGCTGGGATTACAGGCGTGGGCCACCACACCCGGCCCGGAAATGCATTGTTTACTTGCCTGAGCATCACGGAAATAACATGTAAGGGGTTTATTCAACTGAACCACTGCAAAGAGGGATGTGCTTGGGTTTGTTAGGTATGTCTGTGTCCTGTAACTTAACCCATCCCCTCCAGCTGTGGTCTGGGTTCCCCGTTTTCAGGAAGGCTGTACTTTTACCTCTGTTAGCATCTTTTCCTGGACACATTTACTTCTTCAGCTTTGATGTTTGGCAGTGGTGCTGAGTTTTTTTCTAGCCAACTGAAAAAACGGGGGCCAGCTCTAATCTGAAGGCATCCAGTTTGTTTTATTTTTAAGGTCCAAGGCTGGTACATCCAAAAACCAGTTGCATCAAGAGAAAGCCAGTCTATAAATTATGGACATAAATAGTATTGTGGAAGATTGACCTTCACACAGACAGATAAATAAGTGATAACTGTGAGACAAACAAGAACATGTAGATAAATAAGTGATAATCTCAAGAAAACTTCTCTTCTTTCTAAATTAGCAACCCCAAAACTTGGGAGTTCTTCCTTTCTTTCACCAGAGAGCTGTGCGTAATTCCTCCATAGACCATCATGTACCCCAGCTGCTGGTCCCTAACGAAACTGAGGCCACCATGTCACATTCACCAAGCTGCTTTTATGCACATTGGCACAGTTTGTGGAGAGTAATGAGCACACTTTTTCTCTTTTCGGAAAAGCCGTCATGGGCTAAGCCTGGGGATGGGGAGAGGCACTAGGGATTGGGGAGGGGTCCCTTTTCCCCGGAATAAGCTTTGCAAGACCTTAGCTTAAACCCTGGGAAGAAATTAAGGGCAGGTCAGAAGCTCTTCGGGTCACTGTTTGCCCATTCACTGGCAGTCCCTTCCTCAGCTTTGTTCAGCTAATTAATCCCCCCAGACACTTACATTCACCACATGCAAATTATCACAGAAGGGCGCTTTTTTTTTCCCCCTGCTATTTTTTCCAAACATTCACTTGAATTATACTCTTCTGACATCAGCTTCCAGCCCCACTGAGGGGTTTCCAACAGCCTAATAACAAACAGATTAGAGGCCAGAGGAGTGTGTACTCCTCGAGTCCCCCTCTGGGTCCAGCTGCGAGCTGCAAGACTGCGCCGCGATTACCGGCAAACGTAGCCCAGGCCGCGGCTCCAACTCTGATGTTCAAATGGAAACTCGGTGTGAAGGCCTCTGGGGGATTCGAGAACACTAACTTTGTTGCCCATCAGAAATGGATAATATTCCCTGTTCTGTTCCTGCTGGGATCAGTTCCAAGTTGGAAAGCGGCCTCTTCTCCTAATTCAAGCTGGGGCCAGAGTGGAGCAAGCCTTCTCAGATATTATAAGCCAGTGTGAGCTCAAAAAGGAATTCAACGCTCAAGGCCAAATAGCTTCAAAGCTAATAATCCTCCAGAGTCGGCGCGAGAGTGCTACAACTGTCAGTGTCAACTCACACCATGCGCGGTGAGAGCGCAACTTCAATAATGACATCATGGAGGAGAGGGCAGAGGGCAGCCGCTGCACAGGGAAGTGCCCGGGCCCTTCAGATCTTTGAAACCTGCAAGGATTTATCTGGACTAACATGTCTCCATGTAGTCATCGCAGTTTTAGGCTACTCTGATTAAGGATTTAGTGTATTCAAAGGGTTTCGGCGGTGCAAGATGACACGTTTTCAGGAGCTCTATTGGATTCCATTATCTTCTCCTCTCTTCTCCGAATGTATCTCCTCCCCAGCTGGGGCCCCTCTTCCCTGTCATGTCCCCTACCAGGCTTCCAGACAGGCCTCCTCACACAAGCTGCTGGCTCAGCCTGGGGTCCCTACCGCCCCCCAGCGCCTCCCCCCTCTTGTTCATGCCTGGGTTTGATTGTCAAACAGGCTCGGCCGCACTTATGCACTTGAGTGTCAGGATGCAGACCCCAGCAGACTTGAACAAATTCCTCCAGGACTCCCCTGGGCCCTGCGTAACCTCTTTTTAGCCAGCTCAGCGGTGGAAGGAACACAGGTTCCTGTTAGAAGACACCCAGAGATATACACAGTCACGGTCACAGTTCAAAAGAATAAACTTCACAGAATCCTAGGGGAGGGAAGAGAGGGAGAACGTACAGCTCGGGGCAGGAGTAGAAGGTCAGGGAGGAATTTTCCCCCCACCCGGAAAGCCCATGAGGACAAGGCAATTCAACTTTGCAGTTGGTTGCAGTCCATGAATGATGCTAACAAGAACTCGTCACACAGTGTAAGTCTATCTGCCAGGCACCGCGGTGACTGCAGGGAAGCCTGAGCTACAGAGGGCTCCTCCGGGACGGGGAAGCTGCCCTGAAGACGCTGGCAGCAGAGCAACGATGTGTGCTCCGCCGCAGCAGGCATGCCTTGTGCCCTCCCACGGCAGAAGGAGGGGTCGGCCTGGCCCACGGTAGGAAGCCCTGGAGTGCAGTGACAAGAACACAGCAACCTAATCCAACATACTTGAACGTCAGTGCTGGTCTGACCAGCTGTGTGCTCTTGACAAGAGCTTTCACCTCTCTGAACCGCCATCCTTTTCTAAAAAACGGAGACAATGCCTCATAGGGTCAGCGTTATGTGAAGATAACATAAAACAATGCAGGTAAATTACAGAGCCCAGTATCTGGCCCCAGTATGTGTTCAATAAACGTTCGCTGTTATTATCATCACTATCATTGTAATTCAAACGGCAGTTTTTACCTACTCCTGAAGCAGTTAAAAATATTGGAACTTGAAAGACACATAAAAACACTTTAGAGGGAAGAAATATAAACTTCTGTGGGTTCAAACATGCAGAGCTCCCCATAATGGTTAATGTAAATGCACTTCCGGATTGAACACTGCAAGTGTGGTCTACAGGCACAACTCTGGAATGTTGTTGATGGGGTTCCACTCAGGAATAACCACAAAAAGCCTGGGACATATTATTGAATTAATCAATATCTGTCCTGGTCCCAACCCTAGTTCTCCTTTGTTTCAAACTTTGGTTTCATATCAAACTCATTAAAGTGTAATTTACACACAATAAAGTGCGCACATTTTAGGTACGCAGTTTTGATGAGTTTTGGCCAATACGCTCACCCATCTAGCCACCAGGGCAATCAATCTAATGAACATTACCTGCATACCAAAAAAGTTCCCTTGTAGACCTTCCCAGGCAATACTTGCCCCACCCTCCGCCCTAGGCAACCATTGTTCTGCTTTCTGTCACTATAGATTAGATTTGCCTGTTCTTGGTCTTCAAGTAAATGGAATCAAACAGTGTGATTTCTTCTGTGTCTGGCTTCTTTTGCTCAGCATAATGTTACTAAGATTCATTACTGGTTGCGAGCATTGGGCTTTATTCTTTTTCAGTTGCTGAGTGGCATTTCATTGTATGGATATACCACATGATGTTTATCCATTCACCTATTGATGAACATTTAGATTGTTTCCATGTGGGGATTATTATAAATAAAGCTTCTATAAACATGCATTTCATGTGTTTTCATTTCTCTTGGGTAAATATGTAAAAGTGCAATTTCTACAATTTTAAAAGAAACTGCCAAGTAATTCTCCGAGGTGGCCGTACTACATCTCACACACACACACACACACACACATATCCCGCTGGGATGTGGCTCCACATCCTGGCCAAGAGAAGTGTGGTGCCAAGGGAGGGGGCTGTGGGAGAGGTCTGCCCTAGCTGGGGAGGAATATCTTATCACTGACATTGTTTAGAATTGCAGTTGCATGGTGATAATAAAAAGCAGATTGTCTTTGCGGTTTTACTATTGTTTGAAAATTCTCTACAGAAAACGCACCCCCTTATTCAGCCTGCTTGCCCCACCCTGGGCACACCACTGCTCACCCACGGTTGGTCGACAGCCTTAGACATTAGCTACCTTAGTGTCTGCACGGTGCTATTTTACTGTGGCTTGAATTTGCCTTTCCCTGGCAACTGATGAAGTTGGACTTATTGGCCACTTGCATGTCTTATTCTGTGATGTGTCCACTCAAATCTTTCACCTATTTCTAATTGGGCTATTTGTCTTCTTCTTTTTGTGTTGTAAGAGTTCTGTATGTATCCTGGATATGAGTGCTTCATCAGGTGTGTGTGTCACAAGGATTGTCTCTCTTCCCAGTACATAGCTCTTGACACATTCTGCCCCTAGCATCCTGCTGATCCAACCTTATGGACCTGAATGGACCCTGGAGTTTTGACTCAACTACAACAGTTCACTAAATATGTTTGATTGCAGCTTCATGAGCTGCAGGAGTCATGGGTTCCATGATGCCCCTCATTGAAGGAGGCACTGTTCTTTGTTCTTCCTTCAGTGGTTCTTGTTGCCGCTGTTATTGCCCCATTTCTAGGCTCCATTTTGAAGCAGGAAGCTCTGTCCCCTGGTCCACATGCCGCCAGGAATACTTCCCCAACTTCCAGTCCTTCTCACCACAACCGCATGCCACCTGAGCACCTCGGACTGGCTTTCCCAGGGTTTCGCTGCTGAACGTTCCACTCTGGCCCTTCACCTTACGTCATAGGAAAGGGCCAGAGCTGGGCTTTATCCTTTTTGAGCACATTCCACCGGTTTTTCTATTTCACAGCTCCCACCCCATGGATTTACTTGTCTACTTCTTCATGTCTGTCCATGAAACCTGGAACCTGGGTTGGGCCATTTGGAAGCCACCATACCCCTTCCCCATGGATCCATCAGGGGCTGGTCTTTCCAAAGATCCAAGGACTTCAGCACCTTCTAACACAAGGCTGCGAGAGGCAGGGTACTGGTTTATAGGGATGCAGTTCAGCAATGGGCTACCAGCTGGCAAGAGAAGGGAGAGTGGATGGGAAGCAGGAGACACGAAGATCTGTTAAAATTGGCCCATGTCCCACCATAGGAAATACTAGTATCTAACTCCTGGGTAGATTGTGAGGATTAGAAGAGCTGTTATATAAAAGGCACTTAAGCATAGCATCTCGCACCGAATAATTGCTCAATAACTGTTAGCTATTAGATCAGGGTCCCTTTTATCTGATGCAACATGGACTGCTGTTGGTCAGCTAATGGAAAAAGTTGTTCAAAAAGACAAATCAGAGAAAATTATATGACACACCTTCAACATTTTAACTTAAAACATAAACATACATCCTTTCACAGTCCTTAGATCTAGTCACGACACCTTTCCTTTGAGTACGGGTCCATGGATGGGCGTGTCCAGCTGTCTTTCCTGAGCAAACCATCCCTGGCATTTCCAGCTTCCATTTCCTTAAAGTGATACAAAAATGTACACTTGCTAAGTAATCTGAATGAAGAATCATTTTTGATGTCTTCCTTTTTCCCCAATCCTTTTTAGATTTGTTTTTAATTGACAAATAATAATGTGTATATTTATGGGGTACAGTGTGATGTTTTGATCCTAATGTGAAGGCATGCCTACTGAGACCTGTGGATCTTTGTTCCTATTGCAAAAATAAGCCTATTGCAATAAGTAATTTAACAAAATGTTCATAAACAGATGATATAATGAGAACAAAGAGGAAATTTTACTCTTATGAAAACTAAGTTAGTGTGAGAAGATCAAATGACCATGAGTTGCTAGAAAGTGTTGCTTTGTTATGTATAAATCTCTCTGTAATGTATACATTACATACATTACATACATATATATGGAACTTGCATGCTATTTGTTGTTGAACTTTGCCCTGACCTGTAGGATTACTTCTCACACCTCTGGAAAAATCAGCAGGATGACCCTTGGGAGTTAGAAGACCTGAGTTCTAGTCCTGGTTCTGTCACTCACACATCTGGTGACCTTGGCAGACCCTCATCCCTTTCCCTAGAAGGAAAGCCTGATGCTTTAGTTAGTGAGAAATCTGCCCACATCACTCTTGAGGACCTAATGAGATGGTGTGAGCAAAGCCCTGTCCACTTTAGGACGGGCTTCAGTCCAAGCAGCTTCTCTTGTCATGTTACCAGTTCCCAAAACCCAGATGCCAAAGGTCGGGCCATGTCACATTTGGGGGTTCTCAAATTCCAGGCCCCTGTCACTCAGGAGAAGAAAGGGCAAAGGCATGCTTCTACTGTCAGTTCCCTTCAGCATCTGGCCTGAGCCTTCCCTCTGCCCTTTCACTGCTGCCAGAGCACTGTTTATCAGGCAGAGCCCTCCAACCCGAGCTCTGGGCACCTCCGGGGCAGCGCCTGCCAAACTAGACCATCCTCAGCCAGGTTAGTAGGTCTAGTCCCTGCAAACGCAGTTAGCCACAGCCGAACCTATGCTCATTCTCAATGTGCCTCTATTTGGAGGGTGGGAATGCTGCTTGGAATGTGAAGAAGAAACGCATGTTAAGTAATCCTAGCTACTGGGGAGGCTGAGGCAAGAGAATCACTCGAACCCAGGAAGCGGAGGTTACAATGAGCCAAGATTGCACCACTGCACTCCAGCCTGGGCGACAGAGACTCCATCTCAAAACAAAAACAAAAACAAAAAACCAAGACTTCTTTCTATCTACCAAGCACCTTCAGAGCCTGTAGGGGTGATTCCAAACAGCAAGGGGCAGCAGACAAGACCTTATCCTCAGAGCAGGCCTTTGAGGTGAGCAGGAGTCAGCAGCCCTCAACTCAGTGTGCCTTCCGCACCCCCCGCCTCAGTGCTTCTGTGGCATGAGACTCCACACTTTCACAGCCATTTGTCCCTGGAAATGCAAAACCTCCAGGAAGGGGACACTTTATGTCAGTCCTTTTCCCTGTGGAGTAAATGAGTGAGAGTCTTTCCGCAAAGCTAGTTTTTGTAGGGAGAGGGAGAGGAGAATTTGAGGACTTGAGGGGACAGAGAGGAAAAGGAGAGGAAGGGGGAAAGAACAAAAAGCAAGAGGTTCAGGAGAGGCCCTGAGGACTGAAATGGAAGAAAAGCCTGAAAGCTAGCCCTACACCTCTGCAATGTTCTCCAGCGAGCACCTTCATTTTCTAGAAATAGCTCAAAGAAGCACGACATGAGAACCAAACCATCATTTTCTGTACACGTGTGTGTGTGTGTGTGTGTGTGTGCATGTTGCCACACAAACCCTAAAATGATTTGTTAATTGTTTTAAGTTTTTCATCCAGGATGAACATATTGGCATTCTGAGAATGTTTTCTCCCTATCTAAACCCAGCCCTGATTTTTCTCTCTCCATCTGGGTTCCTTTGGCAGAAACTTGTACGAAAAGAATGAAGGAGTGAAGGGTCATTCTGGGAAGGACGGATGGGATGCAGGCCAAGCCGGGAATCCTCCACCACAGTAATGCACTTCTGCCTTGGGGCCCCGCCACTGGCCACCCTGGGAAATGGACTGGTGAAGGAGTTTCAGAGCCCGGTGAGAGGACTGATCTGAAGATCTGTTTCTCACACGCTTGCTTTTACACCAGGTTCACAGCAGCTCCACATCAGGATTTTTTCAGTTTTGTTTCATTTTTTAAAAAAATCTCCAGCCTTGCTGTCCATACCACATGCTCTATGCAGGGGAGTCAGATGAGCTACTGGAAAATTTGGAGCTGGAATTTCAACCCTGGGGTCTGTTCCCTGGAGGGAAGCAGTGTCCCCATACATCTGGAGGCAGAGGGATAAATCCTACATGTTCACTTTTAACCACTGAGTGCCTGGGTGGGCCCTGAAGAGGTGGTCCCTGTGACTTCCAGACAGCTAACTCTGGTTGTTCCGCTCTGATGCAGCCCTTCTGGAAGGAAGTGTCTCCTATAAGGGGCACAGCTTACTCTGAGCTGAGTTACATTATAGGGTCCTCCCTTGCAGGCAAGTGAAAGGCCCCTTGGGGAAGGAGAAGGAGTATGACAGTGGAATCCCAGTTCTTCCCCTTCTTGAGCGAGTCAATCTCTTTGAGCCTCGTGTTTAAGTGTATCATAGACTTTATGCCAGGATTGCAGGAGACCTGAGAACAGTTCCTGGCACAGGCGCCGAGGGTTGCAGCCACTCACGTTACCTGCTGTAGCTCCATGTCCTTGTCCCTGGTGAGTTCCCAGTGCCATCCAATGAAAGGGACAGAGCCGGCTGGGCGGGGAGAGCCTGGCAGATGGCCTTAGTGAAAGATTCAGAGCTATCAGTGTTCTGCTCCCCCATCCCCTTCCCTCAGCTGCCCCCCAGAGCCCTCCATGATGCAGGGGTAGCCCATGCAGCGGTTTTTATGACTCTAAGTGATTGCAGAGCAGCCCGGGGCTGCCCATCACTGCTGGAAAGGCCAAGTTGTGCTAATAGGAAGTGATGGTTGATCTCATTTACTTGGAAACATCCGGGAAAACAGGATTTAAAGGAAGCTCACATTCTTCTGGCCCTTCTCCTGGGAGCTGAGGCTCAGGGGTGAGAAATGGGGACCGAAATGCAGCAGGGACTTGTGATTTGGGGAGGAGGAGGGGTAGGGACGGTGGGACTGGCAGCTGGCAGCTGGCCCTGCGGGTACCAAGGATTATGCTATTTTTGCCAATCCTTTATTCAGACCAGGAAGGGGGAGAACAGGGAAAATATTGGGAAGGTTGAAAAGGGCCAGCCGGCAGAGCCTTCACAGAGGGGCAGAGACGCAGGAGGAGCAGGCACGCAGGGTCTCGATGCAGTTATTCTGAGCATGCCTAAAGAGGGAGGGGGCGGTCAGCCTGCCTGGATTTTGGCAGTCTGAGGCCTGCCAAATGTTCCACAGCTTTGTCAACAGTTTAAGAAATACAAAATTAAACAGTGCCACCATCACTGTGCCAGCTCAAACTGATGACGGCATTGTTCCTTATTCTTTGTGACCCATGACTGCTCCTCTGGGGCAGTTGGGGATTTGGTATTATTGATCAGTCCCAGGAGGGGAGGACCGCTGGCTTTCCGTAGTATCCTTGTGCATCCAATGGACGAGGTCTCTGTCAACGCAGCCCCCAGAGCCAAACCTCCCTGTAAGAGAGGTGTCACGCAGACTCAACTCTTTCTTCACACAATTCCCCCTTCCCAGATGAGCTGATGGGAATCACTTGGTTTCTCAAGAAGCAGCCCCTCAGGGGCTAGCTCCACAGCTCTTGCCCACTGACAAGTCAGACCAGGTGGACCCAAGAAGAAGGAAGGCCACCTCTGTTGGGGTATATTTTCCTGGAACCTCCTGTGCATGCATCTGTCTTATTGACTAGGCTCTTCTCCTCAGGGCAGGGACAAACTCTCACTCCTAACACACCTCCTGGCACATTCTGTGTGTGCATTTTACTACAGACAACTGGATACGAGTACCATCTCTGACCACAGGGATCACTTAGCCTAGCCAGGCAGAGCAAATATATTATCTGTTAAATTTTAGAACAAGCAGAGAGTAGGTATCTGTGAATGTGATACACATCTGCAGTGTCAAACTGTTACATATTAGAGCCAAAAGGGATGTCACAGGGACGGAATGGATTCAGAAAAGTCAAGTGACTTGCCCCATGCCTCACAATAGTTTTGCAGTAGAGACAGGGAAAGATTATCCAGGTTCCCTGCACCTCAGTGCAGTGATGCTCCTGCTCCATCCCCTGCTCCATTACATGAAATAAAGAGCTAACAGGGAGGGCTGTGCAGAGTGATGGGAAGGTCTCCGAAACCAGAAAACTCTAGTTTTGAACCCTTCTCGTGGCTCTTTGGGACGGTGCAGCCTCATCCCTTAAATGGACACAGTGATGGACAGGCCGCACTGAACGAATACGCAGAGTGCCTAAATTCTCTGAGCCTCGGTTTCTGCATCTGTTAAATGGGAACAATAGGGTCCCTCAGAGTCTTCCTGTGAGGAGGCCTCAGTGAGAGAAGACATGGGAAGCACCTAGCACAGCGTCCTGCATATAGTGGCTGCTCAACAAACAGGATTGTTCACAAGACTGTCAATTAAAGAAAAAGCCCCATCTTGCAGAAAAGAAGGTTAAAAGCAGGTCTGAGAGGGAAGAGATGTCAGCGCCCTGAGGAGAAAGATCTTCAGGAGATGAAGAACGACCTTGAGGAGGGGCTCACCGGGGAGGTGAATGGCTGGCGTTTAGCTGAGCCAGGCATTCTCAGCCTGCTACCCGGGCCCCTGGCCTGGGAAGAGTGCCCTGCGTGTTGGCTGCCAGCACGCCGAGGCGCCGCATAATTACTTAGCAGTTTACTAGCGCTGCAGACATCCAGGGTGCACTTCAACCATCAATTAGCTGCCACTCACGGCCCCCCTGTGAGGCCCCGTGGTATCAGGACTCCCATTTTTCAGCCAAGGAAACTAAGGTGTAAACAGGTTAAGCAACCAGCCCAAGGTCACACCTTGAGTCAGGTGGTCACCAGGCACGGAAGCGGCATCCTCGCTGTCTCCCCGGCCTGTCCTTAGCCCACTGGCCCATGCCGCTGCCCATAAAATCCACCGTTTATATCTCATCAGAAAGCCAAGGAGTGCACCCGGGACATTTGGAGCTGTTCAGAAAGGCCATTCAGCTGATTTCCAAGGCACCGTAGGGTTTTTAAAGAAATGTTTAACCCCTTGCTGTGAGAGGGTGATGGTGGGCGATGTGACCTCAGCAGTTTCTTCGCCGGGCTGCTGGTGCCGAGGGTGCTGCCTACTGCATCACACCTGGTTTTAGGGATCTGGGCCTGAGTTTGCTTTTTCTCTGCCTGCTCCACACCAGGGTTTGCAAGCTTGTGTCCCCCCAGATTCCTATGTTGAAACCTAATCCACGATGTGCTGGTGTTTGCAGGTGGGGTCTTTGGGAGGTGATCAGGCCATTATCCTCGTCATTGGGATCAGTGCTCTTATCAAAGAGGCCCCAGAGAGCTCTCTCTCCCTTTCTACCAGGAGAGGACACAGTGAGCAGGCACTGTCTATAAATCAGAAAGCAGGCCCTCACCAGACAATGAATCTGCCAGCACCTTGATCTTGGACTTCCCAGCCCCCAGAACTCTGAGCAATCCATTTCTTTTGTGGATAAGCCACCCCATCTATGGTGTTCTGTTACAGCAGCACAAAAGGTGTTCCAGTAGACACACATTCAAGAGTCATCTGGAGACCACAAAGAGCAGCATTCGGGAGACACTGAGACGGTGAACACAGAGCACAGCCTCACCTCCAGCTCACCCTCAGTTCCTGGACTTTTCCACAGGTTGTCACTGTGGGGGGAAAGAAAGCTTGCCTAAGTTAGAAAGACTTCCACAGGTGTACCAGGGAGCTGGCAGGGGGTGGGGCAGCAGGGGACCTTCTGTTGCCCAAGAAGCCTGCTGACCACACAAAGCCTCTCCTGGTGGTACCTGCCCCAACCACGGGCCTCCCTGACCTATCCATGTTCCAGACTTTCAAGAGCACTGGTCTAGCACATGGCCTATTCTTTCCAGGCCCTTCTAGGTCACTTGCCAAATATTCTAAGTTCCTCCCTGTCCCTCAGCACCCCTTCCCTATATCCAATCACTCACCTCCATAAAATATCTCCCAAACATTCCAGAAACTTCTACCAGATAGCCTCACCCCAGGCCCCTCATTACAACTCAGCTAGACCATTGTAACAATGCCCTAAGCAGGCCTCCCTTTGTACCTCCTCCCCTCAGATCCATCATTACACAGCAACCAGATGCCCCTATCCTAAACTGCTTAGCCCCAGCTGAAAACCTTTGATCTTTATTCACTGAGGATGAAGCCCAAGATCCTGAATATGACCTCCCAGGCCCCAACAGATGCTGAAGGTGGCCTCCCAGGCCCCAGCAGATCCTGAAGATGGCCTCCCAGGCCCCAGCAGATGCTGAAGATGGCCTCCCAGGCCCCAACAGATGCTGAAGATGGCCTCCCAGGCCCCAGCAGATGCTGAAGATGGCCTCCCAGGCCCCAGCAGATGCTGAAGATGGCCTCCCAGGCCCCAGCACCCTTTCCTGCCTCCCCACTTTGCATCCCTCCCTCTGGTGACACTGGGCCATTCACAGCACATACCATACTCGTCCTCCTTCTGGGCCTTGGAGCTGCCTGGAATGCCCTTTGCCTCCTGCCCTCACCAGCGGAGTCCTCCCATTCTCACTGCTCCACTCAAGCTGGGAAGCCCCCCAAACACTCAGGCTGGACTGAGGTGCTCTGCATTCCCACAGCACTCTGTGCATGCTGCCCTTGTACTCCACAAGGTACTGGAATGATCTGCTTGAGGGTCTCTTTCTTCCCATTCCTTAAGGCAGCCACTACGCTTTTTCTTGCCGCACAGTGCCCTGAATGTGGCCACAAGGCACGCACTAACTGCTTATTAAGCTTAAATCACCTGCATATCTGCTTCTAACAATGTTTTCAATAGCTGATAGTTAGTTTATAGGAAGAGAGAGAATAATGGATTCCAACCAGGCTATCATACTCTGCCAAATAAACTTGGGTAACCAAACTTAGTATAAACTATGCCAGCTCTATATTTTCTGTTGAAGTAGCAGACAAGTCACATCACCTCTCTGGACTTGAATTTCCTTTCCGGCAAATCAAACGACTTGGACTAGATTACACGTTTTCAAACTGTGCTGGGAAGCCTGGCTAGTCTTGCTTCTGGGGTGAGGGAGGGCCCAACAGACAAGGACTCCAGGTCCCCCAGTGCATACCCTTATTCAATCAGAGATACTCTACTTTTCTCTATTTTATCAACTGGTCTTCTGTATAAGATATTTGAACAAAAAATTCTGCAGCTAAAGAAAGTTTGAAAACTACTTAGCCTACAGCAGTGGCAAATCGGGGCATTTCAGATAGGGACAGGGGTCTTTCAATGTCCCTCTAATCACACACTCATGGCCTCAAAGAGTGAAGGTCTTTGAATACAAACAGGGCAATGTTAAGCCAGGAATATTTTCATCCAATAAGAAGGAGCCCACAGAAGCATTTCTTTTCTTGTGACCTTTGAGAATCTCTGGGGACCTCAGGCATTGAAGGCTACTGTGGGCAGAAAAGTTCAGGCTGTCAGCTGAGTGGCTGAGCTGCCGAGCTACTAATTGCAGAGAGCAGGCAGAGTGAGTGGGGGCCGGGCAGTGGCTGTGTGGCACAAAGAGGCCTGGGGGCAGACCTCACTCCAGCCTCCAGCTGCATCCACTGCATCTTCCCTGGGCTGCTCAGAGGGAACTGCAAACTGCTTTGGCATGAAAGATGCCAGAGCAACCCTGTTTGCCCAGAACCAACCAGAGCCAATTCCAGGCACTCACAGGCATGAGTTTCCACCTGAAACTTCCAGGTATAATAAAAATTGGGGGTGTTCAGGGTGGAGTAAGTAATGTGGGAAGTAGCACAGCCTCTTCCTAGAAGTGGAACCAAATGCTCCACCTCCTGGGTATTAGTCACAGCCTGTCCACATCCTCCTCGGCCATGTCCGTGACACAACTGGCACCAACCACACAAGCTCACACTCATTGCCAGGATCTTGAAGGGCACAGGGTGGGGAGTCAAACATGTCTGGATTTTTTTTTTTTTTAGATGGAGACTGGCTCTGTCGCCCATGTTGGAGTGCAGTGGTGCGATCTCGGCTCACTGCAACCTCCGACTCCCTGGTTCAAGCAATTCTTCTGCCCCAGCCTCCCTAGTAGCTGGGACTACAGGCACGCACCACCACGTCCAGCTAATTTTTGTATTTTTAATAGAGACGGGGTTTCACCGTGTTAGCCAGGATGGTCTCAATCTCTTGACCGCGTGACCCACCCGCCTTGGCCTCCCAAAATGCTGGGATTACAGGCATGAGCCACCGTGCCCGGCCACATATTTGGATTTTAAACCCCATCTTCACCACTCTGATAACTCTGGGATCTTGGTTAGACAAGAAAATAACTTTGAGCCTCAGTTTTTTTACCCTGTAAAATGGGAACAAGTTATTTAAGTTGCCAGTGTTTTAGTTATCTCATGCATAAAAGTAAAAGGCTGGGCGTAGTGGCTCATGCCTGTAATCCCAGCAGTTTGGGAGGCTGAGCCAGGCAGATCACTTGAAGTCAGGAGTTCAAGACCAGCTTGGCCAAAATAGTGAAACCCCATCTCTACCAAAAATACAAAAATTAGCCGGGCGTGGTGTTGCACACCTGTAATCCCAGCTACTCAGGAGGCTAAGGCAGGAGAATCACTCGAACCTGGGAGGTGGAGGTTGCAGTGAGCTGAGGTCTCGCCACTGCACTCCAGCCTGGGTGACAGAGTGAGACTCTGTCTCAAAATAAATAAATAAAGAAAAAATAAAAATAATAGCAATATCTTTGGGGTGTAGGAATTGGATAAGATAATACATAAGAAGAACTTAGGACATGCCTGACTCCACTACATTCAGTCATTAGGATGAAGATCCTGTTGCTCCCCTGTCTGTTTCCTCTTCACTGATGTTGGCCAGTGGCCCTGCCTGCTGCTTCTCCTGCCAACCCCCGCAGCGTCCTGCCCAGTGCTGGGCCCCTGCACAGCTAACTGTCCTTACTGTCCAGCACTCCTGTCTGTCCTTCCTGCTGGCCTGTGTGTCGTTCACCAGCGCCCATGTCTGGGACATACCCCCTGCATGCATTTGCACGACTTTCGGGAGCAGCCCTCTCCTAGGGTCTCCTTGAGGACCTTGGGACTGGAGCAGCACTGGGCTGAGGACAAGACCCCAGCTTAAACCCAATGTCAAGACTGAGCAACCACCTGCCAGGGCAACCCCGAGGGACAGCCGCACCTCCACAAAACTGAAGCCTCTGCATGGGAGAGGCCCAAACACCTGAGGCCTCTTTCCTGACACTGCACCCACGGAGAAGCTTCCAGAGGCTTTCCATGGGCCCTGCCTCCAGCCACAGCCACAAGCATTCCTTGGCATGCCTTTCACAGGCTCTCCCCGCCATCCATTATCTATGGAAATGTAGAAGTGGACAGACATTGCTCCTGAGCCTTTTTCCAAAGTCAAGGACACTGAGGCAAAGTGGTAGGAGGGGGAATAAGCTGGTTTGGAGGAGTGAGATTGTGAATTAGAGCATTTTGACTTTCTTTGGCCAGGAGGAATGCCAGATGAAAAAGAAAACAAAACAAACACTTCAATGAGCTGCCCCCGACTCCCAAGAAAGTCTCTGGACTTGGGTTCTCCAACTGACCACAAAGGACGGCCAAGCCCAACACTCACCCACAGTGTCCAGGCAGGATCATGCAGGTCCTGCTCATCTGTGCAGTTGCCTTTGAAGGAATGCAGTTGCTGCCATTACTAAGGATACGCACTCTTTCACCCCAGGCAGCTTTTGGATCAGTTTGCCTCTTCTCATCACAAATATTCAAAGTCTAACTCCTATTATATCAATGTAAGGATGAGGACAAGGGGAAGTGGAGCTAGTAGTCTAAGAAAGAAGTTTTGAAGCTTACAAAGCATTCACTTAATGGAAAGCATTGAGGCATTGCGCCTCCCATGAAATCCCTCAGTGCCCGATAAGGGATGGAAGGGGTTCTTTGCAGAGGGAGTTCCAGCTTTGCAGGGATCCATCATGCAAAGTGAATATAGTAGAGCAAGAAAAGGTGTGGCCTAGGATGAGTGTACTTTTCAAGGGAGTGTCCCCACCCTCTCAACCAGGCCCCCAAGCTGAGGAAAAAGGAAGGGGAGGGGAGCAGCCAGTGTCTGCTTGCTGGGGGAGAAGTGTCCTGGCCATGGGCGAGATGTCCAGCTCTGCGACCTGAACACTGGACATCACCACCGTAGTTTGTAAAGCTTCCTGCAGAGAATGCAGGAGCCTTTTCTTTTGCTTCCTGGTCAGTCTAGGGGAGCCCTCGGGCTGGGCTCATGGCCTGGATGCTGCCCCTGGTCTGGTTCCATCCTGTCTGTGGCCTCACAGCAATCAGCATTGGCAGCCAAAGCTCCCAGGGACCGCAGGGCAGTCCCCACAGAGCCCCGGGCTGCTCCTGAGCTTCCCTGGACCTAGAGCCTGGCCTCTCCTAGGCCCTCCTTCGCAAACCCACCCGTCATCTCTACTAAGTTTTCCAGAGCTAGATGATACGCAAAGACCATGCAGTCTAGAAGTGTCACCTTTATTTTACTTGGTTTGTTTGTAGTCCAAAGGCTGGGAATGGGTGGGGGCGGGAGCATAGATGCTCCTAACAGAGAGGACACGCCGTCTCGGTGAGCCCAGCGTGGCAGCCTTGACCACCACAATGCCCAAGCAGGGCCTCTTGGGAGCAGAAGGCTGGGCCACTTCCCTGCTCAAGCTTCTGGTACATTAAAAAAAAAAAAAAAAAAGAAAGAAAGACAAAGCAAGGTTTCAAACACCGTGCTATTGCTATCATTTTTTAGTGTTAACTTTTAAGAGATTAACACTTGACATATTCACAGAAATACAACAGAGTGTAATTGTATCATTTACAATGCAAGACAGAATTTATTTTTAAATTTACATATTGAATGATATGACACCATATTCAAGGTAATATAGTACATAGGATGCAACTTTAAAACGGTGCAATGAATGCTTCTTCCAGTTCTGCCAGTACAGCCTCATATTTTCTTGTAGATAACACACGGGTCTGGAGCTGAGGCCCGCTCTGATAGGCACTACCATGGGGAAGGGACTTTGGCTGCTGGAGAGGTGGGTGGAACACAACGGCATGGGGGTTTAGTGAGACCAGCCTCCCTTTCCCCGCTCCCTTGATGTTCCCCCAACCCCCACCTCTCCTCTCTTCAGCCTAATCTCCATGTGGCTGGCCAGTGAGTTTTTAAAAAATGCGAACCCGACTGTGTCAGTCCTGTCTGTGAAACGTCCAGGGCCTCACATCACCACAGGCACAGCTAAGCGGTGGCTTCCAAAATGTCCACTTTTATGCCCACAAAGCCTTTGATATTGCTGCCTTCAGACAGCGGAGCCTAATTTACAGAATAGACTGTGGTCCATGTGATGGCGGGTGACATCTGGGATCAGGACATAAGGCACAGCCTCATGGAGGCTCAGCCCCATCATGTCCTTTGTCCCTGTTTCAGTCCAGGATCTGCAGGCCACCCCTCCCTGGACCCGCCATCTGCACGTGGCTCTGCACATGCCCTGGTCTGATTCTGTCTCCCACCCGTCCCCAGCTCTGGAACTGCAGGCGCTCCTGGCCTGTCCTCAGCAGATGCCCCTCGGCACTCAAGTCCTTCTTCCGCTTTCCCTTCTCTTATTCACTCAACTTTTTAATGCTGGCCTCAACCCACTAAATTAACTTCACCACCAGCTAATAGGTCATGACCCACCATTTGAGAACCAGATGCATGATATAAAGAATGGGGTTTTGTGGGATTTGTTTTTCATTTCTTCACTGATGCAGGATCTCACTTGTGGGCAAGAGAGCCGAGGTGCTCCAGGACTTGCTCAGAATGAGCCCAAAGGCAGAGAAGGAGGGCACCTTTTCTTCCCGCCATCTGTACATGGGGTCACAAACACAAATGCCCACAAGGGCCAGCTAGGTGATGTCCCAGAGGAAACCAGGAGGATGTAAATCTGTTCTCAAAGAACAGGCCCCGACACTAGGCCTCACTGTCCAGGACTGCTGGGACCAAGGTGAACCAAGCAGCGCATTTCCTGGCAGCACACAGCAGCCACGGCTCCACAACACTCTCAGTGGGCTGCTGTGCACCTGCCTCTACCATTGCCCAGCTGTGCGTTTGGACAAGTCACTTGCCCCACTCTGTGCCTGTGGTTTCCTCAAATGGAAATAGTAATAGTCTATTACGCTAAACTCTGATAAAGCTGTTTTGAGCATTGCGTGATAGGATACAGAAATGTATGTGAAACCACACCTGCCAATAGTTACTCTGGCTAGGTTCAGCTGATAGTGGGCATGCAGATTTATTATTGCCATATCTCACTTTGTTAAGAGAAGCCGAGAAATCCAAGTTTTTATGGTGAATCTTCTGATTTTGAAGCATTCATGGTTTTTTAAGCACTGTGCAGGTTAAGCAAAATCTGTCTGCAGCCGGCTGGGCCCACATCTGCTCTGCTGCCTTAGGTTCCATGCCAGCCTCCTTGGGACTGTGGTGGAGCGCCCCCACCTCTCCCACCTGCCCTACCTCAGCTGGTCTCTGGAGGAGAAAGGATGCCGGTGGGGAAGGAGGGTGGCTGGGAGAAGGAGGGGAAAGGAAAGCCCATGCATCTGGGCGGCGACTTCTGCTCTGGAAACGCTGATCTGCCAGCCCAAGTGACGGATGTATTGAGTTCGTTTCTGCAGGTAATTGTTTAAATGTTACGGCAGCTTTAACATGTCGTCTGTTCAAATGTATTGGTGAGGCAGCCATTCCAAACCTGTAATGTGGGTAATATTTAGATGATTTACTAGGTGAGGTGCATTTTCTGATTCAATCAGAGTTGCATTTGATTCAATAGGTGATGCATCTAATCTGACTGGGAGTCCAATGGATCCAGAGGTGATGCGTTTGATTCACGGGCTGATCTACCTGATTTAGAAGGTGATGGATCTGGGTCCACGCTGAATGATTCCAATTCCCCCATGCCGGGTATTTGCTTCAGTGTGTGATGTATGAGCTTTAATAATAAGACACACTTTTGGGATGGAGAGGGCTGCCTGACATGTTTGTGGCTGCAGCCACTTCTAGGCAGAGCCAGTCCTGGCCTATAGGACCAGAGGTACAAAGTGGGAGAAAAGCCCAGTTCCCCATGTGTGACCTGAGCCTCCACATGTCCCCATAACAGCCATTCTTCTATGATCCATAGGTGGCCTTCTGTCTGTCCAGTTGGAGGTCCACAGATGGGCTCTGTGCTGGGAACCTGGTTCTTTGCATGTGGGGGCCTTAGGGATGGACTTGTCATTTGAAAGATATTCACTCTGCCCATTCTGTTCTTGTCTGCCCCAAGTTCCTTGAGCCTCACCTGACATTTCAGGGCCCCTCCATGGAAGCCTTCCCCAGGTCTGGTGCACAGGTTTGAACCAGCATTAGAGGGACTGAATTGTTGTATTCCAGTGGGAGGCAAACGGAAGGGTGTTCCCTGAATTAGTTTTCAGCCCCTCCCTCCTCTTCTGTTCCCCCCCTGGTGTGGGTGGGAATTCCCTTCAGAGAAGAGCTCCTTCTGTTTGTATTCTCTCCTCTGCCTGGAATGCCTGTCTTCCTTATCCTCAGCTTTATAAAAAGCTGTGCACCCTGTGCAAAGTCGCAGCCTCCTGTCACTCCCCCTAACAGAAGCCACCCTGCACTGAACCTCAGTTCAGCCTAGTAAGAGCAACCCCTCTTCCAGCTATCTGAGTCTTCCGGCCATATCTGTATGATAACACATCACTCGAGTTGTCCTATGATGGGGAGGTTTCTTCTTCACCCTGCTATCCCCTGAAATGGCTCAGCCCTTGACAGATGGCAGACATGTAACCTTGGAAGAGGGAGTGGAGTGAACAGTAATGAAATAATTTGCGTTTATTGAGCTCCAAGTATGTTGTAAGTGTTCCAAGTGTAAAGTGCTGATACTGTCTAGGGTTCACGTCTTTATGTCTTTCAATCCTCACAACAAACCATATGTGGTAAGAATGCTTATTTCCTCCATTTGTACAGTTGGAAAACTGAGGCTCGGTGAAGTTAAACGACTTCCCCCAGGGTTTCACTTTGGCAGAATTTGATTTGAATCTAGGTCTCTCAGGCCCTAAAGCAGAGCTGTTAATTGTTACATCATTATCCGACCTCCTAGGACCAGATAGACTTCTCCATCCTAGCCCAGGTCAGGGAGGACAGAGTCCCTACTGACGCACAGGTGCCCTCAGGGAGACAGAATCATGACACAAGGCAGAATGGCTTGATTGGTAAACTGAGGCACAAGGGGGCGGTAGATGAGGGAGTAACTAGGGAAGGCTTCCTGGAGGAGGCATTTGATCTAGCCCTGGATGAAAAGAAGAAGAAAAATGGGGCCTTCAGATGTGCTAATGCCCATTTTCAGCCACTCTTGGCCCAGCGCCCTAGTCCTCAGACTGCCCTTAAGTCAGGGGAATCAAAGAAGCTGAGTCTGCAACAATTTGTCTTTTGGGTGACTGTTTCCCCACTAGGAGCTATGTGTGGTCAAAAGTGGAGTCTAGGCCAGCACTACAGACCAGAGTGAGCAGTGATCTCCCCGCCACCCAAAAGAGATGAGTCAGCTACCACCACCCTTCAATGCAGAGGAAAACTCAACTGAGCCCCAAGATCAGGCTGAGTACTGGACATTCCTCCAGCAAAGGCCCAGATGCAGGTCATATCTCCTGCTCTCTCCTCCAGCATTTAATCCACAATTCTCCTCCTCCCATTCCTCTCCCTGTCTTGAGTCCCCAGAACCCTCATCCCCCTTCAGGGATGGGCCCATCATGAGATGCTCTTATCTGGATAGTGCCATTTTTGGAGGACAGCCTTATCATGTTCAACCTGCTCCTGCCCAAGCCTCTAGCAGTCTCGGTCTGAGGAGAAGCCAAGGTGTTGAGTTTAAGACAGGGATCTGCTTCCAAGGACCTAGACCACCTCCCTGCTCCAGTCCACAGAGCTGGCCTCCTGATTCTTGGGGTGGGGCCCAGGAATAAGGCTCGCTCCAAGCCCTCCACTACAGTGTGACAATTCCTGTGTTAGGCCATATGTGGGTGAGGGGCTCAGCACTAGAGGTCTGAGACTCCCCTAGTTTCCAACTATTCCCACACCTCAGCTCCCTCCTCCTCGTTTCTCTTCATTCCAAGACCCCAAGAAAGCAAATCTGACTGGTTCAGGGCAGCCTATGAGTTGGCACCTCTAGGCAGAGGGGACGCCACAGCACAGTAGGCTATGGTCAGGGAGTCCAGGCCTTAGTACTCTAGGTTTTTGCAGGCCCAAGAGATCTGGGGGATTTAATGGACATCTCTGAAAAGCAGGACTTTACTGGCCACGTGCTGTGTGCCAGATTCCTCCATGTTCTTGATCTCATTTTATCCATTCAACCCTGTATTCCAGGCCCATTTTACAGAGAGAAGGTTGAGGCTTGGAAAGGCATGGGGGCTTACCCAGGGACAAGCATTTGAAGAACAAACAAAGGGAGTGATATGTGTCAACCCCAAGGCTTAGTTACTTTCTCTCTCTGTCTCTCTCTCATCTCTCTGATGGGGGGCTGTCAGGCACCGTGACAGACTGGTGTGGGAGATATTTGGATCAAGCACATCCTTGTGTCCTCTAATCTCACCACCCAGGCAGCGGCCAACTCTAGCATAAGGCTGGTGATGGGCCAGACAGACGGATTCCTTGGAGGCTGGATGCAGAACAGCTGCCTGCACTACTTCTGCTGCTTCTAGAGGCCACAGTGGCCCTGACTGCACACATTTTCCCAGGCTGCGGCCGCAAGTGGGGGGTCCTCAGACACAGACAAAGGAATAGCTCAGCCTTGCAAATGGCTTTGAAAATGGGACCACGGGGATTCCACTTGGCTGACACACTCTGCCCTGGCCCAGGCCTCATCCCCCAGAGGCATCCCCAGCCCCTGCCGACCAGCTGTGTCTCCCACTGCCGCCCACACCAAAGGCCTGACCACACGGAAATGGCTGCTCAGCCCAGAATTCCCCCATCACACCCCTTCCCACGCAGGGTGGGGCAGGAGGCAGGGATAGTGGCAGCAGGGACTCTGGGGGCTGACCCTCCACTGACATTGGACATTGGCCCTCTGACCCTCACTGGGCACCCACCATGGACTAAACCCCTCATGAGTCAAGCAGGATGTTCAAATGGGACTTGCCTGTCATTCCCATTTCAGATGAGACCTTGATTCTGAGACAGAGGGTGTTAATGCACCCACATGGTAACTCGGGGTGTCAAACCACCTGTGCCAAACCTGCTAAGGGGTGACCACAAAAGATCCAGCAGTTAGCACAGCAGCCTTCTAACTGGGCACCCCTGGGGACACATGGAGACTTTCCCAAGAATACGCAGCATACACAGTGTTAGGGACATCACTTTCCAGCCCCTCCAATCTAGGCATTCTTTTCTAAAATCAATTTGTCTGAGCATAAACTGATGGTCTCCAGTTTTCCTACAAAACAAAGAAAGGTTTTACCCATCTTGAATCTGGCTGCGCTAGATCTCCCCTGGATATAAAATCCTCAGGGCAGCAAACATAGGACTCTAAGAAAAAGTCCAGTAAAAATCCAAGCAAAAAATATTTATCATGAGCGACAAGCTCGTTGCAAAACTCTGCACCTCCCCTGCCTGCCTATGTGTCTTTCTTTGGATCAGAATACAAATGTTTCAAGTATATATAAAAATGTATATTCATAGTGAAAAGTGAAATCAGAATCTTCCCTTTTTTATAAAAAGTTCTGATTTAGCTGTTTGGTTTGGCCAATGATGTGATACAGTGGATATCTCCTATAAATTGAATGGCCCAAATCTAAAGCTTCAGGATTCTAAATATTTAAAGCACATATATCATATTATGTCATAGTCAATACACCAGAAGTCATGTTTTCTTGGTAACTAAACTTATAATGAAAATTTTTTCAATGTCAACTAACGCTCAAGAGGCTGACTAGTTTTCCAAAATCCTTTTAGGAGGTCCTCAAACAACAAATTTGAAGATCATTCCCTTAGTCCACACATATTCTCCAAGGCAGAGAAGAGGACTGATCAGTAGTGACTGATGGAAACAATTTCCTTGGCGGGAGAGTCATTAGCAATGCTGCTCTTGTTCCTGGGCCAGGAAGAGAGAGGTTCCCCTAACTCCAGCCAGATGAGGGGGCCTTCAAGGGAACCATACATACAGAATTAGAAAGTTTCTCATGAGGAGAAAGTGACCGCAGCCCTCTGGCCAGATGCTTTCTGAGCTATACCAGTCTGTGCCTTGGTGTCACCAGTAATGAAAGGCTCTGTTAATAGAGCCTGTCATGAATCCCCTGGAGTGGGGAACACTGGGCTGATGCTGGACTCTTACTTAGAGAATTCTCAAGATGAGTGACTGGAGAAACATAGTCCAAAGCAGGAGACAGAGAGAAGGTGACGACGGGAACAAGCTGTGCTTCCACCAAAGGCAGAAAGAGGACACAGGCAATTTTCTTTGGACCAAGCAGACCTACAAAAGCCAGCAGGTTTGATTTTGTCTTGATCAAGGTTTCCAGACAAGAGGACTTTCTGGCAGGGGCAAGACAGCCCCCACAAACGCGGTTGGAGGCGGTCCAGAGAATGTAGAGGTGGGAGGGTTATCAGATATCAAGAAGAGACTGTCTCCCATGCCAAGGAAAAGCAGAGCAGAGGGCCCCAGGAGGATCCACAAAAGCTCATCACAAGAAAAGGAGCTTGCCCCGGCCTGGGGTGCCCAGGGCCAGATTACGAGAGGCCAGGCAAGAAACACCTTCTCTGCCATTTGTCTCTTGTCCCCTGCTCCAACCTGGAGGCTGCACAAACTCCATAGTCAGTAGAAAAGGAAAGCAAAGGGAAAGCAGCAAAGAAGTCAACCACAGCCCCTTGCCCTGAATCGGTGCTAGGCTGGGAATAGGGGAAGCCCTTAAATTGGGTGAGAGAGTGTAGCTTTGGTATTAGATGGGACTGGACTTTTTAACATTTATTTTGAAAGTAATATTAGAGGGAAGTAACTGCTATAGATTGTTTTTGTTCCTCCCCAAATTCAAATGTTGAAACCCCCAGTGTAATGGTGTTTGGAAGTGAGGCCTCTGTGAGATGACTGGGTTGTAAGGGTTGAGCCCCCATAAGTGAGAGTAGTGCCCTTATAAACGGGACCCGGGAGAGCTCCCTCCCCACTTCTGCCATGCAAGGACACCACAAGAACCAGCTGCTGGCATCTTGATCTTGGACTTCCCAGCCTCCAGAACTGTGAGAAATAAATTCTATCATTTATAAGCTGTCCAGTCTGTTATTCTGTTATGGACACCTGATTGAACTAAGACAGTGACCAAGAAATCTACCAAAGCTGAACCATTGCCCAGGGTGGAGGGAGGACAGACAGTGGTGAAACTACATGAAGTCATAGGTGATTTTTTTTGCTTTCTCTGCTCGCTTCCGATAGAGTCAGACCTACCAGGGAGCTGGAGGGGAGCAGTCAGCCTGGAAGCTCATGGTCAGGCTCCAGAGCAGGCACCAATAGAGACAAACCCCTTCGGGTGATGGGAGGCAGAGGAGCAGGGCAGGTGGTCAGCACTAGGGGAAGACTATGATGTGAGAGGCAGAGAGTCCCTGACAGAGCAACACACATTAGCTGGACAGTACATGGGAGAGCCACCATGTGGAGCAAGAAATGCTTCTGCCAGTGTCTTCACCTGCCCCCCAACAAGACCCAGTTCAGCAGGGGAAGTAAACATATACTTACAGGACTACAATTCACATGGGTGCTGTCCGTGGCATGTGCCAGGAGTTTGGTGCTACTTGTTTTAAGAATTCTGGGCCAGGCGTGGTGGCTCATGCCTGTAATCCCAGCACTTTGCAAGGCCAAGGCAGGCAGATTGCTTGAGCCCAGGAGTTTGAGACCAGCCTGGGCAACATGGTGAAACCCTGCCTCTACAGGAAAAAAAAAAAAAATACAAAAATTAGCCAGTCGTGTGGGCACAGACTTGTAGTCCCAGCTACTCAGGAGACTGAAATGGAAGGATCACTTAAACCCAGGAGGTCAAGGCTGCAATTAGCTGTGATTGTGCCACTGCACTCCAGCCTGGGTGATGGAGTGAAATCCTGTCTCTTTAAAAAAAAAAAAAAAAAAGGAATTTTGAAGAGAGAGTTCACCTTCAGCTGAGATGACTGATTGGGGGTGTCTGGGTTGGGCTTTGAAAGACAGGAGGCTGAATGTGTTAAAGAGGTGTACAGAGAAGGCAGGCAGGTGTGCTGAGCGTGGGGTAATGCCTCTGTAGCACTGCAGGACCAGTGGCCTCTCAGAGACTCCAGACAGGACTGCATACCATCTGCGGCCCTCTGAAGCCCCAGGTGTGAGCCTTCACTACAGGCAGTCTGAGCTCTGGTTCCAGCTCTGCTGCAAGGTGGACCCTGATCTGGGGCCACAGGTGGAGATTTTGGACATACCTGGCAGCCGGCCCCACCAGGTTTATCCTGTCTCTATTCCGTTTGGCTCCAGAGCCAGCACATGCACAGACGCACGTGCATGTGTACCATTGTGTGCGCACACACACTACAGGCGGTACTCATTCTAGCTACCAAGGTCTGTGGAGAAAAGCAAAGCCCAGCACAAGCAAATATGTTTTACATCCCAAGCCCTCACTGGGCCAAACAAGGCGGCCAAAGATGGGGAAGAAAAGAGCCTGGGCACATCCTACCCACCCAAGAAAGCTTTGGCTGAGAATGCTGGCACGACTCCCATCTGGCAGCCAAACTGGACCTCTCGCCCAAACAGATGAGAATCACAGTTCCTCGTGCCCACTCAATGACTGTCTTCCCCCAAAGAGGATGCCACTGCAATCTCAGGAGCACGTGAAACCACAGGGCTCATTAGCCTGGAGCTACATCATGTCCTGCCATGGTCATCTCGTTCCTTCATCTGTCTACCCTGTGGCAGGAAGCCACTTCCCTTAATAAGAATGAAATCTATAGTCTTCCAAATCAGCCCCAGGACGGAAAGTCTCCTGACGTGGAGGGGCAGCTGATCAGATGGCCGTGCTCTCCCTGAGAGAGGCCTTCTCTTGAGTTTGCTGCCTTTGCATCCCCTTCCCACCAGCCTGACCCTAGGGAAGTATCGTTCTCCCATCTACTCTGGTCCAGGCCTAAACAAAAATACCTGGATTATCTGGAATGACCCTGGTGCACACTCTGGGTTACCTGGACAATGATCTTGCTGGAACCAAAGGCCCCAAATTTCCCTAGGGTTTGTCGGGGAGTAGGGGAAGGTAGTCTGTAGCCGAGTTCTCCTGCCCATGGGACTGAGTGTCCTCCCTCTGCAGGAAGACTGCGGCACCACATAGGTCCCAAGGCTCCAGGGGCTGGAAGCTGGTGTTCCCAGACAACTCTGGTAAATGCCAGCCTGTCTTACACTAAGTGGTCTAATGACTTCCCCCTCTGACAAGATCTCTCTCTTGCTCACCCTATAAGGAGGGGGATCCTATCCCCCTGTGGGGATGAAAACCCTCACAAAATCAGCACACCTCTGCACGGACGCAGTGGAGAATGGCTGGCACCTTGTCATTTCCGCTTCTCCCATAGAGCCGGTCCTTAGCCAATGCACTGTAGCATCTGTCTTTACCCCAAGACATGTGTCAATGGAACACAGGACTTTAGTCATCAGATAACAGAAGATCAAACACTCAGCACAGGTGAGTGGCCGGCATGGGACAGAGAGTGATGGGATGGGGCATGTTTATAACTACGGTTATTTGGTCCTGCATCGTGACTAGAGATCATGGGTTTCTCTTTGTTTGAATCTATCCTCAAGCATTGCAGGGGGTGGATATGCAGTGATGTCATAATGTCACCTTAATAAATGTGTGAAATGCAGTTGTTTCCTCTACACTAGCAGCCCCTCTCAATGCAGTCTAAGCATGTACGATACAGAATGATGGAGGGCTAGAGCTAAATGGGGCACCAGGGGAAGACTTAAAGGTGCTCCTTGTCCTTAAGGAGCTGATATTCTGGATGGAGAGTCAGATACATAATTAGCCAACCAGATTACAATGGATTAAGTGCCCAGATCAAGTCATGTGTCATATGTTTTGGGCTCCCAGAAAATGACCACTTCATTCCACCTGGGGAAGGGGACAAAGAAGATTTCTCACTTTACAGATGAGGAAACTGTTTAGTCTGTATTAGTCTGTTTTCATACTGCTGTAAAAAACTGCCCAAGACTGGGTAATTTATAAAGGAAAGAGGTTTAATTGACTCACAGTTCAGCATGGCTGGTGAGGCCTCAGGAAACTTACAATCATGGCAGAAAGTGAAGGGGAAGCAAGGCACCTTCTTCACAAGGTGGCAGGAAGGAGAAGTGCCAAGTGAAGGGGAAAAAGCCCATTATACAGCCATCAGGTCTTGTGAGAATTCTCTCACTATCATGAGAACAGCATGGGGGAAACAGCCCCCATGATTCAATTACCTCCACTTGGTCTCTCCCTTTACACTTGGAAATTACAGGGATTATAATTCAAGATGAGAGTTGGATGGGGACACAAAGCCTAACCATGTCAATGGTCAAGGTGATAAGATTTGCTTAAGGTCAGTGGTAAAACCCAAGAGAGACCCCAGGACTCCAGACACTGAGCTTGTGCTCTGTCTGTCTCTCCAGGGTTTGGGTTGTCCAGGGGGTTGCCTCCACTCTTGGATAAACCTAATGCTCGGCATCCCAGGAGAAGATGCTCCTGGTCCCTAGGCTGAATCTCTGGAATGGGACGGGAAAACAAATGCCCTCCCCGTACTGGGATACCTGGGCAGTGTGGCAGGAGTCAGGAAGGAGGGCAAGGAGGCCACCTGGTCTGGTCCCCTGGCTGACAGGAAGTGATGCCTCCTGGGCTCATTCAGCAGCTGTTGCTTGCTTGGCATGGTTTAGACAAACAGGCAGATGTCCTCAGAGTGACCTCCCTGACTCAGAGAGTTTGGGAACTGAGGTATTCACTCCCTGGGGTTGGGGGTGCTGGCCAAGGACAGGGCATGAGCTGCTGACTCATTCTCACTGCCTCTCCGTTCTGATACTTGAAAAGTTGGGAAAGAATTGGGAAATGAAGAAGCTATCTGAAAAGGGTGAGTTACAGGACCGCAAAATAACATGTTCTCCTTCCTCCAAGCCATCTGCTCCTTGTCCCTTCTAAGATGCCAACAGATCTTGGAGGGTTTCATGCATTCAGGACACAGTGGTCCTTACAAGGTCTCCGGATGGCTGAGCAGACAGAACGGGGAGAGAGATGATTCTATGAGATGCCAGAGAGAGACACGGTCAGGTGGAAAGGCTGTCTCAAATATTTTCATGGTGACCTAAGAATAAACCAGTAAGGAGGGAATAATAGCAGAAAACAAAAGGAAACCAATATTATTGAATAATAGAGCTTGAAGGACATTAAATATCACATGGGCTCACCCTGTCTCCAGGACTGGCTTCAGGGACATGTGACCCATTCAGTCACACAGGTCCCCACACTTGGGAGAACCTACTCTTCATTTAAAGCTCTCCTGTCGCCATCTTGAAATTCAGAATTTATTTTTAACAAGAGGCCCGTATATTTATTGTACACTGGGCCCTGCAAATTATATAGCCAGCCCTGCGCATGGCCTTACAGATTAAAAAAAAAAAAAAAAAAAAAAAAAAAAAAAAAAAAAGCCCAGAAAGGGAAAATGGCTGCTCAGGATCACACTGGTCCTTTGCTCTAGAACCAGGGTGAGAACTCTCAGTTCTGTTGAGAGTCTACATTGAGTGTAACTCTACTGGCAGTGTCTGTTTAGGGCAAGAATTCCTGATTCTGGCCTTGCCTGCTCCAGGTAGGCCACTGCAAGGGCTGTATGGACCACAGCAGCCCACGTGTCCAAAATGGAAAGCATGCCTTCTTTCCCTGATCATCTCCCCCTTCTCCTTTGGCCAACCTTGTCTATATAAATGCAATACCATCCTGTCATCTCAAACTAGGGACTCATGATTGGACTCCACAGTTGTTAACGGGCTTGATCTTGGACTCCCAGCCCTGGGTAACTTTGAGCAAAGTTCCTTCATCTTGCTAAGCCTCTATTCTCTAATATAGGAAGTATAAATAATAATGCCATGAAGCCTCTGGGGTTATTGGAAAGATTAAGTGAGACGATGCAAAACAAACATTTAGCATGGCATCTAACCCATAGCTAGTGCTCAATAAAGTGTTGTGTTTATTTAACTTTATTCTACAGCTCCCCTTGTCCTGGCCTAAGACTGTGACTGGATAAATCCCTGCCTTTGTCCTTGAAGCTGCTCTCTGATACCCTACTATTCAGACTATGGAGCAGCAGGATCAGCCTCACTTGGCAACTCATTAGAAGTGCAGAATCCCAGGCCCCAACCCAACCCTGCTGAATCAGAAACTGCACTTTCACCAGATTCCCAGGTGACTCATATGGGCATTAAGGTTTGTGACACACTGTGATTTCTAGTACACACAGTTGGCCTTTCTTTCTCTGCCCTGGGGATATGAGTAACTTCCTAATTCCAGCCATAATCATTCTTATAAAGGTAGAACCCGAGCCTACCATGACGGGTTTGACCAAAGTCTAAGTCCCTTCCTGAAGGCTTACGATATGGCTAACGTGAACCTGGTGAAGAGTGCCATTAGTGTGAAAGGTGTATGGAAAGGTGAATGAGCAAGAATCAGGAAACCTGTCAGAGACTACTGCAATGATCCAACCAAGACGTGAAGGGCCTGAACTAGGCCTGGGGCC
Source organism: Homo sapiens (assembly GCF_000001405.40). Lineage (NCBI taxonomy): Eukaryota > Metazoa > Chordata > Mammalia > Primates > Hominidae > Homo > Homo sapiens. The sequence continues at coordinate 16,337,845 of NC_000009.12, forward strand.
AAGAAAACAGGGAGAAGGGGGTGAGTTATGGAGTTTTATCCAATACAGAATTCAGCAGATTGAACTACCAGGTAGAGTTACAGGGGATACAGGAGATGGAGTAAAGACAGCTCTGAGATTCCTTTGAAATAACAGGATCATATTGCATGTATATAGACAAGGTTGGCCAGATGGTGGAGAAGGGGGAAATGATCAGAGACAGAAGCCATGCTTCCTTTTGTGGGTATGTGTGCTGGCAAGAAAAGACTTTCAGGAAGAAGGGTGGGCTTCCTCTGGCATTTACTTCACAGTGAGTGTTACAGAGATGTGAGGTAAGTGCACTAGAGCTAAAAGGCTATGGGTTCAAATCTTGGCTTTTCCACCTAGGAAACACAGCTTGTCACTCTGAGCAAGTTGATCAACCTCTCTGTGCCTCAGTTTCTACTTTTGTAAAATAACCTTCAGAGTGTTGCAGTGAGGGTTAAATGAATTAATATATATGAAATGTCTAGAACCATGCCTGGTACATAGTGAACACTCAATAAATATTATCCATTATTATGGCTGCCTCTTTGTCTATCTTCCCAATGAAATTCTGAGGTCCTTGGGGAGAGAGACCTCAACTGACAGTCTTTGTGTCATCTAGCACGTAGCACAAAGCAGGTACACAAATACGGTCCACGGAAATGTATGTTGTTCACTAAAGGTAGCCAGGTGGTCCCGTGTGGTATCTGTGTACACAGAAATACAGATGTTGTATCCCTTTACAAATGTTCATCTCTTCCCTGCTCCCTTTTCCTAATCACAGCTTAATAACTTCTATGTAATGAGAATCTGTGCTCATTCTTTTCTCAGTCTAAATTGATCTATGGGCTACCCTGATAACGCAGCCTGCCTCTTGGGTAAATCCACTCTCCCCAAAGGGTGACAATGAGTGGGAGGAAACTTGTCCTCTGGAGTCTCTTTCACTCATTTGACAAAGATGACCTGTGTGCCCATCAATAATGGCAATCATTCCATCTTCCATTTCTTGAGAGCAGGCACCAAGTCTCTGCCTAGCTCTAGTGCTCTGGTCTTTTCAGGGAGAAAGACAAGAAAATGGCAGATTGTAATATAGTAACAACAGAAGTAGACACAGGGTTCTGCGGGGCTCAGAGGAGGGAGAGGCACCCCAGTCTGATCACACAGAACTGGCTCCTGTGAGAGGGTAAAGCAAAATGGTGGCCCTGAGTGAACCCCAGTCCTGCCCTCAGCACTGTACACTTCTTGTCTTTCACTATCACACTGCACTTAGAAACAGAATAAAGACTGGAAACAAAAAGACAGAGGGCAGAGGCCAAGGCCCAGATGAACATACAAAATGAGCTCCAGACCAGGCATGAGTCTATATCAGGAGGTGGCTTGGACCCATTGCCCTAGAAGCAGAGCTTGAGATAGGGACTGAGTGCACCTGATTTATCAAGGGAGCGTTCTTCAGGGAAAACCATAGAGGGAGGGAGGAAAGAAAGTCAGAGAAGGAGAAAGAGTAGAGCCAGGATACGGTCTCAGGTAAGGTCTTGTCCTCCTGACCCTCAGGGATCTGGGGAGGAATAAACTTAGCCCCGGCCGGGCAGCTTCCGCAGTCAGCTCAACAAAGAAGGTGACAGCTGGGAGCTGTCAGCAGCCAAAAGTCTCAGGTGCACTGGCCCCAGAAAGGGGATCTGAGTGGGGCCTCAACACGGACAGTTACAGGCAGATAAGAGTCAGAAGGGCCAGCATCAGATCCACGTTCCCCTGACATCACTTTGGTCTATCTGTGACCTCTGAAAGGACATTCTTGTGAACAAAGGTGAGCTAACAGGTTCCTTGCAGAACCTCAGTGTGAAACCACATGCACGGGCAGGGGTCCACATGGGGTGGATCCACCCCTCTTAGTCTTGTCCTGTGGTGGTCCTGAGCCATGTCTCCCCCATCTTGTTTGTGCATCAGGTATGTGTCCACAAAACACAACTTTGGGTGGTAGAAGCAAGTTGATTTGCCCAAAACTATTTGGCACCCCGGCTTTCTGGGGTCATGGTTTATACACCAACATCCACCAGTTATCAGCCACAAATTCAAGTATGTAAGAAAAGGTCAATTCCTCCCACCCACCCAGGAAGCCTGGAGGAGCAGGCGTGGAATTCAAGGGGGAACGAGGAATTTAGCTCCCAAGCAACTGCTGGGTGTTAGAGATTGAGAGAAAGTGTTCAGGGAAGCGGTAGGATCTTCTTCTCTCGTAATGAGTTTATGTGTGCATGTGTGCAAGCATGTGTGTATGCATGTATACGTGTATACATCTGCATGTATTGCATGCTTATGCATGAGCATGCATGTATATGTACATGTATGCGTGTGCATGTATATGTGCACATGTGTGTACATGTGCTCACAGCCTTCCCTTTGCAGTTCGGAGTCACTTTGGTGGAAAGCAGTACTTTTTAATTTCAGGAAATTAGCTTCAAGTGAGAAAGCAGGGAAGTAAAATATCGTATTTTAAAACTCTGTCCTGGGGGTCTCGTTGTCCCCTACCCAGCCCCAAATACAGCATCGGTCAGTTTTGTTTGTTTGTTTGTTTCTGGCAGTTTATATAAAGAGCTTCCCAGAGTTGTGTGTGAGATAACAACTTAGCCCACCCCTAGTCTCCCATTCCCTCTCTCTAACTCTAGGTGTCTCATCACACACCCATCCCTGCTTCTCAGGGTGTACTGGTGTTCAGGTGATGTGGCCATGCCACTCCTAGATCTGTGCCAGGGCCCTAGGTTATAGCTGGGCCTTTGGACACTCAAGGGATAGGAAGCCACTGGCCCTTCAAAGAAGGAAGAAGGCAAGAAGTCACCGCCCAGAATGGAGATTTTTTTTTTTTTTTTTTTTTTTTTGAGATGGAGTCTTGCTCTGTTGCCCAGGCTGGAGTGCAGTGGTGCGATCTCGGCTCACTGCAAGCTTCGTTCCCCAGGTTCACGCCATTCTCCTGCCTCAGCCTCCTGACTAGCTGGGACTACAGGTGCCGACCACCATGCCCGGCTAATTTTTTGTATTTTTAGTAGAGATGGGGTTTCACCGTGTTAGCCAGGATGATCTCCATCTCCTGACCTCGTGATCCGCCCGCCTCGGCCTCCCAAAGTGCTGGGATTACACGCATGAGCCACCGCGCCCGGCCCAGAATGGAGATTTCTACGTCTTCCAAATATCCAAAGTCATTTTGCTGTTTTAGATATTTCATTCTTATTATGAAAGCTGTATGTGTTCATTGAATACCACTAGAATACAAAGGCAAAAAAAAAATCATTTTTCTCCAATCCAGGGAGAACCACTGTCAATATTTCAGCATGTACCTTTTCAGATGTCTTTCTATGGTGACCAACACTTTTTAGTTGTATCATGCCTACATTATTTAATATCTTTCTACATTATTAGATCTTCAACACAAATGTAATACAGTCCATGCTAGGGGAACACCATCATATTTTGGCCTATCTACTATTGTTGGGCCTTTTCTGAGCTGGGTTCTCCAGCCTCTTCTGGCAGTTATGAGTCACCCGGCATTCCTTCAATAAATTCTTTTTCTACTTAACCCAGTTTCTATTGATTGCAACTATCCTGATGGATACAGACAGTAAAGCTGTTCTTCATTTCTCACATTTTAACTAGTGGTGTGGTGAACAATGTTATCATTTTGTGCATTTGCCTGATTTGTTCCTTGAGATTCGTCCCTAGAAGCAGAATTGCTGGATTCAAAGGTCTGCAAAAGTGTAAGCCTTCTGGTTGATAGTGCCTAATAGTCTCAGGCCTATGGTGTTGGAACTGATCAAATGTGCTGTGCATTAAGCTTGGAGCTTCACACACATAGGCTCTAAGAGTCACTGCACCTCTCAGGGTGTATGGCATTACAACCATCTTACAGATGAGGAAGCCAGAGTCAGTGAGTTGGGTCACTTGTCCTGAGTTATAGCACTGGGAAGTAGCAAAGTCTACTTGAGATTGGAGCCCAGATGTGCTGGGTATTCTGCTTGCCCCTCCAGATGCAATTGCCCCTCTCTTCCCCTGGGAGGCTTATTATGGACCACATCATGGCCCCCTTGCCTCCGGCTCCTGTTAGATTCACCCACTGGGAGGCATGAGCAGGAGTTGTGAATAGGGAAGGGTAAGAACATACTATTGATTTCCCAGCTTCTTCCCTGGCAGGTCACCCTGGCTGTCTGAGTGGCAGCATCAAAGATCAATCTTAATCTCCCCGGGTTGGAGAGCTTCTCCCTCCACTACCCTTCCTCAAGTCTAAGGATGCAAACAGCTCCTTGCTGGTGCTTACATGGTCCCTGACCATCCCTTACAGCTTTTCTTGACCCCGCCCACCACTGTGTACATAGCTCCCGTGTTAGGGTCACCATCTTTTTCCCGTTGGGATACTGACAATAGACCAGGTCTGTCTGGAGCCGAAGTGCACGTTTTCCCATCACACCATGTTACACACAAGTGTGTATTTTTCACAAGCAGTCTCAGCCACTCCAGCTCCTGTGCACATACACACATCCCATGACAGGCACTTCCACTTTCCACCCCTCAGCTCTGTAGAGGTCAGAATATACTTGAAAGAGCCCTGGAGGGAGAGTGAAGCAAGGTCTTGCTGTGTGACCTTGGGCAAGTCCCTCCAGCTCCCCAGCTCTCTTGACTTCAGTTTCCTCATCTGAAAAATGAGGAGCTGAATTAGAGGGTTTCAAAGGTCAGCTATCCCAGAAGAAAGAGAACAGTGTATACCAGTAGATATTAAATTTACATCTGCACTTTACACACATCTGCACACCAGTGTGTGCGGTATCTGTGCATAGAGAAAAGGGAGCCCTTTTGCAAGCTGAGTGCTCGGACCTTTTATTCCTATGTATTTAGAACCTTTGCTGTTTGTACTTGGCCAGCTTTGGATGGCAAAACAGTCTATTCTCTGTGGAAATTCTGACTTATTTTTCCAGCTGGTCTGCCAGTTGCCAAGAAATGTCATCTGAATACCATTATTTAATCGAAGATTAGCCCACGCCTGTGACATAGGCTGTAACTATTATCTTCTTTGATTTTTTTTACATAAGCACACATTTTCTTCACAGATTAGACCTTGCATTAGCAGAGGTAAATGCTGCCTCCTTCTTGGCCAAATAGCCCAGAAAGTCGTGAAGTGATCCAGTGGGATTGAGGCTGTCTGTATCTGTGTGCGTGTGCGAGTGTCCGTGAGTATGTGCTAGGATGCGTGTGTGACTGGGAGGATATGCATGTGAGTGTGAGTGAGGAAGCTACCTTTGAAGTCATTTCGTGCAGGGATCCAGAGAGAGGACTTTCCTTGGTCATTGGACATATCAACTTGGCCTCCCAATTTATCAGATGATGTTCAGCATTTGTTTTCAAATTAGAGCATGTGTGAAACAAAATCCAGCCGGGCCTGCCGGGAGGTTTTAGGATGGACCCGACAGTATTTGTAACTCAATCATATTACAGATTTCCTGGGTAAAGCAAGAGGGCAGGGAGGTCATGAGTTCAAGCTGTAACTGTTGGCTTGGGTGTTGGAAAACTCTAGACTGCATGACCTTAGAAGGCCACCACTTAGCCCTGGAAAGTCTCCAGCCTCTTTAAGCTCTATGTGGCATCCAAGTTCGCCTCTCATTTGCTGCTTTCAGAGCTTTCTAGGACAATTTTCTCATTGGCCTTTGTTTAGGCAGTTGAGGTGATAACGTCTTATTTTGTTTTGTTTAGATTTTTATCAGGTTGCTCCCGACTGAGCAGGGCCCCAACCCAGCCTCAGAGTGGAGCTCATTACAAGTTGGGGCTTGCTCCCTTGTTCTTGAAGGCCCTTCGGATTCTTTCTTATTTTCCAGGCTCTTGGCCTCTGCCTGGTCCAAGGGCCAAGCTACAGCCAAACATCTAACACGGCCACTCCCAAATTACTGGCTAAATGTTCGTCTGCCAGAAAAGAGGAGCTCAGGAACAAAACCTTGGGCCTGGGGGCAACTTGACTCTTCTCATACACTGAGAGGGCAAGAAAGGTCACGGGCTTCATTTTTAAGAGCCAAGGAAATTGAGAAACTAGACAAACAACCAGAAATTCTCAGATAGAACTTATTTATACCCCCTCCACTTTCATCCCCCAACCTTGTTCTCTTTCCAGAGGCAGTCTATGGACTTGTCAACAACTCAGGAACAAAGAGAACTCTGCCCAAGGGGACGGTCATGCCCTGGCCCCAGCACTTTGCTGGGGGCCTGGTCTGTTGTAAGCACACAAGCATAGTTTTTGAAATAATGAATGAATGAATGGGTGGGTGACTGTGTGAATGAGGATGGTTCCCAGAATAAATCCTCAAGAAAATCTTCTTTGGAAAGGGTGAAGTGTGGAGAAGCCCGTGACCTGTGTTAGTTACATTATAACAGATATCAATGTTTCCCACCCTATTGAGTGTCCCAGCCTTCAAATCAAATCAGAAACTCCTTTCAGGCTCCTCGGGGTGGGTAGATGAGAGCTGAAGGAGGAGGAGAGGCAAATAGGGAAGAGCTGACCAAGATGAAGGTCAGACCTTCATGCCCACATGAGCTCTACGCACACTTCAGTCCTTTTCCCAGACTGCTCAGTGCTTCCCTACCCAGGCACTCCCTCGGGAAACAAGGGAAGATGACTACATGGAGAAGATAACCAGGAGCCCGACCAGGCTTTTTTTTTTTTTTTTTTTTTTCTCTTCGAATTGCTAAGTGTAGAGTGACTCATAGGAACTCCAGACAAAGATGACGATGGAAAAGGAGTCTAGCAGATCAGGGGAGGTGGTTGAGGTAAAAGAAGCGGGGGTACTTGAGGTTGGGAGAGAATGGGAAACATGTTTTGTAAGATTTCCAAGATTTTTGGAGGCTGTTGTTAAGGACTTTTTCATAAGACCTGTTACCCTGCTGGGGTTTACATCACTATTTGATCTAAGCCCCAACAGGACGACTACATCTGCTACTAAGCTGTGTTGTAAATGTCTTTAATTTTTATATTTCATCTGAAGGGAGTTGTTAAAGTGAGTTTACAGGGTGATGGCTCTTTGAATAAAAGCCATCAATACTGGAGCAGAGCTCTGTATGACACTTAATTTTCGCTCTAATAAGCCCTCCTAAAACATTACAAGATTTAGGAGGGATTGTTTTTCCTTTCTTCTTTTTCCCTTTGACTTCCTTTCCCTCCTTGCATTATTTCTCTCCTCTCCAGCTCTCGCGCTCTCCTCTCTTGCTTTCCTTAAAGGACATACTTGAAGAGAACATTTGTGCTCAGATGACACCACTTCTCTTTTTACCGCCAGCCAGATGTGCTCTTGACTTCTGAACAGGAGAAAGGTTTCTTTGAAGTTTTTCAAAGACTTTGCTTTTATTTAGAATTTTTTTTCCCTTTTCTCTCTCTCCCTGGTGTTTAACTGGTTGGGAAGCCCCAGGAGGGGTTTTCGCATGGGCCTCTTTTCTTTTCCTGGGGCATGAAAGGAATGGGATCAGAGGCACAATGTTCCCAGAGAGCCTTCTATTTTCTGCCCCAATGACTCCAAGTATTTTCTGGTAGAGCCGCTGTCCCCAGGAGCAAAAAGAAGATGGCTTTGGATTTTCCCTGGAAACGCATCTATTAAATGAACAGAATGGTTCTGGTAGTGGTGCAGGGGTGAAGGGCACCCCCATCCCGTCCCTGAACATCTCCCTACCCTTCCTAAGGAGGGCAGAGAGAGGTCTTCACTTTCCCGGCCATGCTGCTGTCATGGTTGCTTAACTGCTCTTGCGTGGCACTGAAATTTGATTAAAACAAAGATCAGTAATGGGAATTCAGGGGACGTGTCAGAAAAAGAATGGTACCCCAAAGTGAGAGCAGGAGCCCCTCTGAAAGTAATGAGAAAGCTTTATCTTTGCATCCCTCATAGCACCACAGCCTGGCATCCTGCTCAATATGCTTGGGCCAGTTTGTGATTTTTCAGGAGGACTGGAAAAGTGCTAATGCTTTAGGAGGTGGCAGTGACAGAAAGCTGGAAGACTTCTCTGAAGAACAGGTGAGTCTTTAGCATGACATGCTAGGGCGGAGGATTTGGAGTCTCAAGTTTCCGTCAAAGTGCCAGCTGTGTACTGAGTAGCTCTGTATCTCCCCAGGTGAATATAAGTTCCAGAAAGGCAACATCCCCGCCATTGTATTCCCAGGGCCGAGAAGAGTGCCAGGGACTCCATGGGCACATGGAAAATGTATATGTCCTCCATGCATGTGTCTGTTTCACAATAGCCATGATTTCTTTGGAGGAAATGATGCTGCAAATTCAGGAGGGAGGGGTTTTCTCTCAGAGTACTTTCAAAGAAAATAGGAACTGGGGGCCACCAAAGACTTCTTATGCCACAAAAGTATTTGTGTTTTCTAAAAAACCTCTAAGGTTTTTGAGGAAAATAAATACATTTGGAATTGAGGGGCTTGTTTTTGTTTTATGCAAAAATAGATTAATTAAAACCCAGGAGTGTGTGTGTACACGTGGGTGTGAGCACTGTTTTTTGTTTGTCTTATGTGAAGTGTGTTCACTACTACAGATAATCATAGTCAGGCTCATTTGACTGACTCCTAAAGACGAAAACCCTAAGTCAGAACCAATCACGTTCATATATACCACGACCCACAAGCCTGAAATCACAACACCAACCTTGGGAGTGATTGGGTGGGTTACAAAAATTATTCTCCAGTCTCTTCCTTCCACTAATTTCTTAGCAGCTTCTATGTTCTTAGGGGCAATGTGGATATGTGACTTCTGACACATGGGTATGGTCGTACTGGGGCCATGTGATTAGTTGAAGCCAACAGACCATGAGTGGTGTTGGTCACTTTTGGGTCAAGTCAGTTAAAAGTCTTTGTGTGTATCTTCCCTCCCTCTCTTCCGGTACTTCAGCATCCCATGAGGCCACGTCTTTCAAATGGTGCTGCTAGAAGACCACAGAGCCTCTTTCAACCTGAGTCCCTGAGCATGATGTGGGGCCTCTTGCTAACCAGTCTTGGATGTAAAACATGAGCAACTCAATTTTTGTCACGATAAATACTGAGATTTCAAGATTAATTTGTTATCACAGCATGGCCCAGCACATCTGATTAATGCACCCTTAATAGTCTGGCCAAGCTATCAAACAAACAAAGGCTCTCCTTCCCAAATGTCTTTTGCATCTATTCCCCTTCATTTCAATGGCCAAGATTCCTGTTTGGACCCCAACTTCTCAGTGGTATGATTACGCTAACATTCCATCAGCCATCCTGCTCTATTTCTTCCCCCATGTAGAAATGTCATTTTCCGATTCCACACCCTCAAGCATGGCTTAATATCATGTCACTCCCTTGCTTAAACTGGCTCTCAATAGGCTGCAAAATAAAATGTAAACACTGAAGCCAACCCCACAAAACCCTCCGTGATGAAAACTGAACGCTGTCTTTCCACCTTCTTTTCTTAAATTCCTGAATTAAATGACTCCCTGTCCATGATCCCTCACTGCACATTGTCACCCCTCTCCATTGCCACTTACTCCTCCCAGAAGGCTCGACCCTTCTCATCCCACAACCCAGCTGTTCCTGATGTCAAAGGCTCCAGGGCCAAGTTCTCCATGACAAGTTTTCTCTTTGTAGCCCCACCATGTAGATGAGATCTTGCCCTTATGTGAAGTCCCACAGCCCTCATCCTTTCCTGTGTCAATTAACCCCTTACACAGAGCAGTTTTTTGGTGTGTTTCACTGAGCAGTTCTAGGACATCTTTAACTGCACCACTCTCACCACTTTCATAGGAGCTAGCCCAGTGCCATACGTAGTAGCTCAATAAACTTCTGCTGAAAGAATATATGAAGAATAAGCCAGTATCTCAGGGACCTAGCATGATTGAAGCTTACTATTTGATTGCCTGTATTAGCCTATTGCGTCTTTAAGCCTGCTATTTTGAGAATATGGTTTGGAAACCACTCCCAGGGTGTTTGTACAACTCTAGCTCTGGAAATTCTGATTCTATAGCTCTAGAGTGGGTCTCACGAATTCACATTTTAATACAAAGGTCTTTTTAAAAAAAAGACATTTTAAAGGTCTTTGAAGGAGATTCTGATGTGAGAGATCTGTAAGCCACATTTTGACAAACACTAGGGTGCTGTGAGTATGTGATTGTGAATGCTCTTAGTGTATGAGGGAAATGCATTGGTAGTTTGGGTCGCTGGTGAGCAATCCTTTCCAGAAATGGCAAGTACGTTTTATCTCACTTGTCAACACCAACGCATTGGTAGGGGCGCTCCAGAGGACTGTTTTAAGGAGGTCTCTGGGGCCACATCTGGACTGCACAGGGAGAAGCCCTATGATGGATTGATGATGTCTGCCATAGGAGAGGGGAATGTGGGGCCTGTGTGCCAGGTGTCTGCCGTCACTGCCAGCCCATTGGTCTGGAGACACAGGACCAATACTTGGAGATGAACATCAAAGGATCATCTGAGTCCTAATCCAGCCTGCAACCTGACTTCAACTTCCTCAGGTAACTGTGGCAAGCACAAATAAGATCAAGATGTCCAGTAAAAGGCATTCCTTTAGAAGAAGCCACAAAGTTGTCATAGTGAACAATTGCTGTTTTCATCTGCAGCCTCCATCTTCCTCCTTCAATGGTACCTTGAGTTTCAGCAATTTACCCCTCTTCCATTCTCTTCTACTCTGGTTCCAAGTGGGCATGGGTGGGAATGACCACACCCCCAGTTCCAGGGGTGGGTCCTGATTGGCTGAACTCAAGCAGCTTATCCTATCTCCCCAGTGACAGGAGCAAAAGAGAGAGACGCCCAGGACTTGTAGGAGCTGCAGGAGGACCCTCTCCCTTCCGCATGAGGAGAGGCATGAGGGTGTGAACTCTGACCAGCTAGAGTGATTTTGTAACCACCAGATAAGAAACTGCAGCTGCTGAGGGGCCACTCTGAGCAGTCCAGGAATGAAGTCAACACCACAAAAGGCAGACGAGCGAGATGGTGAGAAACCAGGTCCTGGGGTATCCTTTGAGGCACTGGACCAAGTCTGACCTGAGGTCTGTCTGACTACTGGACTCTTCAGTTATGTGAATGAATACATTTTCTTCATTATCTAACTGGTTGTTTTAGTCATTTTCCATAACACAAGTCCTGACTAACAGTTCTTTGAGGGGAAAATGGAGATTCAGGGGCCTTTGGTCTCAACATAAGCCAGAAACAACAGACTCAGACTCTAGGCCCAGCCCAGAGTCCATATGTGTCCTAACTATGGGCACGTGATGTAGCTTTGTGCCTCTGCTGCCATTACCCTAGTGTGAGACTTTCAGTTCGGGAGGAAAAGAAGCAGAAAAGAGTCAGTCCCACAGGATGGTTGGCTCTGGGCTGCTAGCCTGGAGCTCTGCTTTCAGCATTTGGATCTCACTGAGGCACTGGGCAATGATGCCTGAGCTTTAATTAGTTACACTGGTAAAGGTCTTTGAAGGTGAAAATCGCTGAACATCAGTATTTTGATTCTTTTGAACTTAGGAGCATGTTATTACACGTATAAAATAAAAAATCAATAGCCACTCAGTTATCTAGAGTAAAAGTGGCTGGTTCACATATCAGCATATAGATATACAATTACTTTCACGTGACTGACTTTATATTTATGTATTTTAACAGATCCTATGGTAGTGTTTTCATCATTAGAATATTTTATTAGTCACCTGTTTTTCTACAATCTCCACTAAAAAGGAAGAATTTATTTCTACCCAACCGTTTACTTGTCAGTTTGTGGTTTATTCAAAATCACATTTGCAGAAAACACTCTGAATGAAAAACCACCCTGGAACTTAAGGACACAGGCCTCTGTTGGGGGTGATTTCCTTCTTCTTCTTCTTCTCAACATTGGTTAACATTTTTCTTCTAGATTAAAGGTGAAATTGATGGGAATTAGACTGTCTGCAAGCTGGAAAAGCAATCACTTAAATAATGACATTCAAATAGATCATTCAGTATCATGTAAATGTCAAGCGTGAGGTCATTTTTCAAAACAACACCTTTGTTCAACTGCGTCAAATGCATAGACACACGGTGACCAGCCTTGGTGGACAGAGCCCCTCCTTCTTTCTTGCTGTTGGTCCCTTGAGCAGCAGCACCCCTCATTCAGACATACTCTGCTCTGTGGTGTGTGTCCGTGTGAGAGTGAGCAAGAGAGAGAGAGAGAGAGATGTGGGGGGCAGACAGACAGAGATGGCAGGGGTGGAGTCAGCCCAAGAAAAAGTGCCTTCACCTCTTCTTCCTCTCAAAATGATACCATTAATTTCTTCAGTTTGAGAAAATCAAACTTTTGTTATGATTAAGAAAAAACAAAAAGTGAGCCTCAAACACAAAGCAACTTCCATTCCTGCTCTCAGAATTTGGTCTTTAGGTCTTTAAGCACCCTCTTCTCTTTTCCTCTTTCCACCAGAATCACGCTGTCTGGTTTCCTACCTTATGAAATATTATCGATCAGCTTGAAATGAAAGTGGGCTGCAAATTAATGTCTGCAACATTGTCTCCCATCAGATGGTTGGGGCTGGAAAGCCACAGCTTTTAGGATGTTAAATATTTATAGTTATCATTTCAACCAAAATATGAACTTGCACAAAGAAGAATATGATGCAGATTGCTTTGAAAAAGTTTGCCTCATTTTCATGTCATTGGAGAAACTTCAGAAAAATAGGGCCCGTATGGATGTACACCTTGAATGTAAGCTTTAAAATACTCCCAGAAGAAAATTGCAGCTAATGACGGAAAAGAACCAGCCCGTCTCCCAGAGGAGTGTTTGCCACATCCCTGAGAAATGAGTGGCTCATTTAGATTATCCAATTTTCCACTCTTAAATCTGGTGGACTTCAGCAGGCTCTCAACCCTACTCCCCAATCATGGGGGAAAAAATTGTTCATCAAATATTATTCTAAAAATCATTGGTATGGATAATTATTACAGACAGCAATTGCTTTAGTTTTGTTATCATTATTGCTGGCATTTTAAATGCCTGAAGGCTAAATATCTGAGATTCATTGTTAACTATATATCTCTGAGCAACGACAGACTTGTGGCAGCTTGAAGATATTTTTGAACAAGGAATAATAGTACAGTAGAGATTGAAACTGAATCTCCTTTAGAATTCATGATCACAAGGAAGTGGTATTGAATTTACCTCCCAAGTCTTGGAAAAGAGCACAAGATAACATTCTGTTTTCTTAGGAATCAAAATCAAATTCACAATGTAGTTTATCTAAAAGTGAGCAGGTGACTTTAGGATCTCTGCTAAGGGACAACATATCAAGGATGTCCCTGAGACTTCACCTGGGTTCCAGGAGGAGCGGCACCATAAATACTCACTCTACCAAGATAAGATGGTTTCTGCCAGAAAGCACCTTCAAAACCTCTGAGTCCAAGGTTAAATAATTACTTATTTCCACAATTTAATCTTAAAAAAAAAAGGATTTATGTTAGCTAAGATACAAATGTTATCATGAAATTAAATAACTCTTATATAAGTTTCAAAATAAGGGAAAATAAGATCAAGGAAGCAAGATGGAGTAAAGACGTAGTTTTAGTCCCTAAATGTCTGCCATTAGGAATTCAAGGTTGGACTACAGGTGGGTCATAAAGTTGGCTCTGAGCTTCCTAGCAGTCACTATAAAGAGAGAAACATGAAAGGTCATGAGATGTAGAGTTTGTAAAGTAAAAATAAGCCAGTTGTTCAGAGAAGCAACATAGCCATTCCTGATGCCAAGACAATAAAATAGCTCTCCTGAGCATCCCTGGGAATAATAAATGCCATCTTCTGCAGCATCTTTGATCAGGGCAATGAGTTTCATAGTCTGTGTCTTATGAGATGATGAGACCAAGTTTTTGGTCAAGAACACACATGTGACTGGGCTTCCTAAGAAACTTTCAAATTCTATTTGTATGTTTGGGTAGTTGAATCAGACCTAGTCCTTCTGAGCATATTAGCCCATACACATTTACTCTTCCACAAAGCACACGTGCAGTTGAACAGATAGAACTTGACTGAGTTCTCCAATGACAACACTTTGAATGTCAGGAATTTCTGTAGTATGGACACACACTGCCTTTCAAAGTATATCCTCTGCAGGAAAGGGCGTGAAGCCCTCACCAAGAAGGCCATGTTTTTTGTGGAGACCCCGGTACCCCATTATTAATGGTTACCTTAATAAGGTAACATTGCCTGACTCTTATTATGATAAAATTATTTTGTCATCAGCCGTACCTCTAAGGTATTTTCCTTTTCCCGTCATGAAATGAAAGGGCTTTTCTAAGAATAAATGTGATCATTGAAATGCACCTATTATTTGTCTGCCAGCACTTTCCTTCCCTCTTGGATATCAGGCTACCCCTTTGGGGAAGTTGTTCCTTTTTCTTTGTCCAATCATCCATTTGTGGTTGGGGTCTAAAATTATAGCACTCTAGTCTCTTGCTACAGTTGAGTGGTCTAGGGGTCACATATGATCCAAAGTGGGCCAATCAGATTTCTTTCTAGGGCTTTTCAAACTGGAGCTAGAGAAAGCATTTCAGGCCCTCCTTGGTGGTGAAGTTGTTCTATACAGTCCTGGGAGCCGTCAACAGCTGCATTCCCAGCTGGGTGAAGGCAGCCAGTCTGCAGAGGAGGAGGTGAAGTCAACACAGAGGGAGGCAGAGACAAAGGACACAAAAGTAGACCTGGCAGCATCATGTCCCCAGGTTTCAAGGTGTCTCTTAGACCTTTTATAATCCTCCTATTGCCAATTGAAGTTGAGCTTCTGTCACTTGCAAAGAGAAGACTTTTTGCAAAGGGAAGACTTGTAAATGCTTCTACCGTTTCTCAAAACTCTTTCACCAAAAGATCCCCAGGTTTGTGTAAACTCAAATAAGCAGACTAACCTGAGGCTCCCAGGAATATTTCATATACATTCCCCAAGGGGGCCTGCTTGGTTAGGTGATAGTCTGTGTTCACACAGCTTATTCTCAAGGAGTGCACAAATAATTAAATGAAGATCAGGGGCAGATTACAGGCTTGTGAACATCAGCTTGGGCCCCACACTCTCCCACTGCCAGCCCCGGACTGTCTAGCACAGCTTTACTGTGTCACACAACAGAATCACAGGGCTCCCTGACCTTGGAATATTTCTAGCAAGTGCTTAATCAGGGCTGTTTGGCAGCCCATATGATTTAGAGACAGTTATATCTGAACCAGCCGTCAAACTAATGTTTTCATAGTCATTGTAAATTGGGACAGTCTCCCCTTAAGAATGGTATCTCTCCAACTTTGAGCTACAAAGTAAAAAAACGGGAGACCAGATTTTTGTGTTACACAATATGAGTTGTTTTGAATATGGAAATTCATGCTTCAGGAACCTAAACTGGAATCCTAGCAAACACATTTTAACTTGTGTAAATAGGGGTTAGTAACTATGAGCTGGATTTTTTTTTTAAGAGGCAAGATCTCACTGTTGCCCAATCTAGTCTTGAACTCCTGGCCTCAAGCAATCCTCCTGCCTCAGCCTCTCAAAGTGCTAGAATTACAGGCATGAGTCACCATGCCTAGTTAGGGAAAGCAGGATTTTTGTCAAAATCTACTACATTTAATTGATTCTAAAATGCTGTATAGAATGTGATTGACAGTGGATGGGGTATTGTAACTGGCAGGATTTTTTCCATCTCAGTGATACACAAAATGATAAAATATCCTATAAGCAATGGCATGTTTTCTTTGATTGCATTAAACAAGAAAGGCATATTTTAGTTATTGTGGTTTTTTCAAGGATGTATCACAGTTACTTCCTTTGCTGTCACCAAAACTTTGTGTTGTAGGACTACTTTGGGGAGGCTCAGGTGTGGGCCTAAAGTGCCCCAGCAGTTATTGGCGGAGCCCAGCTTAGAACTTGGTGTTCTAGAATTCCATACAGCATTCTGCACTTTGTATCAGACTCCCAGCAGTTCCAGATCAGAGGCACACACAACCAGAGCTCCCCATCCAACCCCAAACATATTTGCTTTCACCATTTCCAGGCATTCCCAATAAAATTGGTGTTAAGGGAAGAGAGAGAAGGAATAATTGACAAAATAAAGGAACCATTCTCTGTACCCCAGAAATACTGCATATTTGGTAACAGTGTGGGGCATGTATACATCCCCATCAGGTTCAAACCTCACTGTCCTCTTTCAGAGTCCTTTGTTGAACCCCAGGACAAGAAGTGAGATCGGTAAGTCTCAGCCTATGGTGCACATAGCTACTTGCTCCACTCTCTTTCTTATTGATTCTGTATGCTTCATGCAGAACAGTCCAGAAAGCCACTACCAATCCCACACAGCCCGTGAGATGAAATATTTTTGCATGAAACACTTCAGCATAGTCTGATCCCTCAACCCTTTATAATCTGGATGCAACCTCCACTTCCCACTTCATTGCCTGCCATTTCCTTATCCCATGCCATAGTCAAATGGAACTACCGACTGTCTCCAGGTATATGCCTCATTTTCAGTCACCCTGTCCAAAAAACTCCTCCTCTTTGGCATGTTCACTTGTGCATTCACAGCCCCACTAAACACACATTTTCTCCATCAGAAGTAAGCTGTTTGGGCTCTAAACTCCCATAGCATTCTCTCTGTTGTATTTATTTCGCATCAGATGTGAATTTGTCCCACAATACTAGGCTGCAAATAACATTCTGCTTCAATCTTCTTTCCCCCAAACAAAACTCTACTAATGACCACTAAGGGATGCATCTCTGGACAGACAGGCCTTGGAAGAGGTGGCACTGGTACGACGGTTTGGGGCAAGGAGTCCGGCAGCCAGCACGACAAGCCTCAAATTCCACCTTGGCTACTTACCACCCATAAGACCCTGAGCAAGGGATCTGACTTATTTCTTACTGATGGTATTTTAAGTGGCAGGATCATCATCTCAATATCATCATCTATAAAAAAGGGAATGATAATGGGACCTGTGTGAGAGATTCACTAAAATAATCTACAAAAGGGACTTAGCACAGTGCCAGGCATGTGGTAAAGTTCCACAGATGACATTTATTATTAGTATTATTGTACTTTCCTTTAGCTCTATGTTCAGTCCTATGAGACTGTTAGGACTTAAATTATACCAAGGAAATAAGAAGTGGTCCATTTCCTTCATCTTTGGTGGTGGTCATCGTGGTCCCTCTACTGTAGGGTGCCACAGGGGAGCGGGAGCCCTCTGCCACGGGCTGGGCTCTGCTACAGGGGGCATATTCCAGAAGTGCATCCCACAGGACTCAGTGTAGCCACAGCCCACTCCCCACCCTGAGCTCCTGGAGCACAGGAGCCTAATCCACAACCCAGAAACACAGGGGTTGCCCTTTTAGAAGTCTTACCACCTGGCCCAGGAAGGAAAGCAAGGGAGGAGGGCAGAGTTTCTGACCCTTAGACCATCAATCCTACTTCCTCCCCTCTTGCCACCTCCCACACTCCCTGCCCAAGCCCTAGCCATGCTTTCCCCTCCTGGGCAAGCCCCACTTAAGTCCTTGATGGTCCTACGTGGGGATCACACCCTAGTTAAAAGACTTAGGGGTTGATGGGAGAAATTAGGTTCTCATCCTTTTGAGCCTCCTACAATAGCAAACATGAATATCTTGTTCGGTTATGCCGACGCATGGGTGTGCCAGCTGGGATTAGTGTGCTTCTCTCTGCTACTAGATGGTAAGCTCCCTGTGGGCCATATCAGTGTCAGATTCACCCAGCTCTGCCTCTGTCTTGTGCACAGAGTCCTTATTCTGAGAATCTGCAGGAGAAAATATCTGGGGGTACTAGACATTCTATTTCCCCTTTCCCTGTGGCCTCTCCCCATCCCAAGCCACAGGGGACAAAATGCTGCCATTGCTTGCTCCCAGTGACTAGAGGCAAACTGGTTCCCTGTTCCTCCAGACCAATCTTAAATCCAAGGAACATCGCCTGCCATCAGTCCCCCGCCCCTTCCTCACCTCAACTTAATGAACAAATAAGGAAAGAAAATTAAAGCAAAAAAAATTAAACAGCTTCAGCTAAGATCAATAGAATTCTATAAAGCTCTGGGCTATGGTATTGAGTGAGCGCAGAGTAATCCCCTGCATATTGCATGTTAAGTTAACTTGTGAGAGAAATATGCTCTTTCTCAGCCTCGCACCTTCTCCTCCATGGTGAAGGAGGAAGCAGGGAACACAAATTAAAATAATGTTGATTTAGTTTTTAAAGGGAGTACCCAGGAGCATTTTCTGCATGGCCAACTGAAAACTCCAGCCCAGGCTGCAGAACGCCTCTCTCTGCACAATACAAAGAGAATATTTGATCCCCAGAGCTCAGCCTGCTGGTGGATTTTTATTTTGGTTTTGGTTTTTGTTTCTTTTATGCCTTCCTCTGGATCTCAAACTTTTAAATGCCGACTGGAAAATTCCTTTTTCAGCAAAAGGTCCTTGCTCCACTCCAGTGTGACTGTAGGGAATCATTAGTCCTAACACATAGCAGTGTGTGATCAGGGCACACCGCGCCAGGGAAGCAGGTGGGGAAGAACAGGCATGATGTGGGTCCCTGTGTCTTGTCATTGGCTTGGCTTCTCCTAGGTGAGGGAGAACTCAGGGAACCAGGTCATCGGGTTTGCTCCTGGCAATTTAGCCACCTCTTCAGGTCCTGCAGACACTCGCCTAAATTCCAACCAGGGAGCAAGCATCAGAAACCATTCATGCCCACTCGATCAGTCCTTCTGAAAGACAGGCAGCCAAGAGGCAGCCGAGCCTGGTGCCAGGCAACCAGAGCTTGAAGCAGGGGTGGTGGATTCAAGCAGACCTGTGGCCAAATTCCAGCTCCACCATTTACAAGCTGCACAACTTTAACCAAGTTAGTTAACGTTTTAAGTCCCATTTTTAAAACAGCAATCATAATACCTCTCTTGCAGAACAGCACTGGGGATTAAATGAGATGTATCATGTGAAAAAAAATACCTGGCCTAGAGTAAATGCTCAGTAAATGTTGGCTTCCTTCTAAAGGGTTGACCCTGTGCACCTGGAAATGGGCAATGGCACAGGGACTACACACCGAATTCTGAATTCATTTCCAAGTCTCCAGCACTGAACACATTAAACAAGAAAAGCTGAGTGATGAATTAATGAATGGCCAGAACCATAGAGCTAATCCTTCATTGCTATCTTGCAAATAGTTTTCTCACATTATAAAATGAATTCATGCTTGATGTAGAGTTCTTAAGAAGTATAGATAATCAAAGAGAAGGAAATACAAATCATCCAGAATCTTGGCAACAAGAAACAGCTGCCATTATGGTTTCGGTATATAGCCTTCTGGGTATTTGTCATCATGTCTACAGAGATATAAATATTTGTTAAAGCAAAATGGAACCATTCTGAAACACTTTTTACATCACCTGTTTTGCTTATTTAACAATGGACCAGGAACATCTCTCCATGCCATTCAATTTCCTTCTATATGAGTTTTTAAGTGCTGAAAATATGACATTGATTCAATATACAGTAATTTATGTAAAAGAACTCCTTCTTGGATATACAGGCTATTTTCAATGTGTTCCTTTTATGACTGACTCTATAGACAACTATCTATAGATGAACACTTTAGACTTCTATCTTTGCAAATGGGTCTGAATACACCCTAAAAACAAACCTCTACAAATGGAATTGCTTGGTCCAAGACTCTGGAAAAATTTAAGGCCCACCAGAAAGGGAGATGAAAATAATGACATTGTGCAAACAAACCTCACACACAATGCTCACAGGTACCCGACCACCCTTCCAGAATAAACAGAGCCCTAGTCCCAGCCCAGGCAGGATGTTCAGAACTAGGGATGACCTTAGGAGCGGCCAGGACTGGCCACCCCACTAGGGAAGGGGATGTAGTGAATAACAGGGCCAGAATTAGGCCAGGTGCCCTCACCTATGGCTATTTGACCCCAGGCAAGAATTTTAATGACAGTGAGGCTCTGAGAACTCTGTAAAAATAAGGATAATGGTATTTTTCCATCTGCTTTGAGGCAGTGGGGGAGTTGTAAGGAGCTAATGAAAGGATATCTGTGAAAATGCTTTTCAAACAGCAAATGAAATTGGGGAGGAGCTGCTCTGGGGGCAGCTCAGGGAAACTGAGCAGTTTTCCCAAACCTCCAGAGACAATCTTCTCAGTGTGTGGCTTTGGGCTTTTGTTTGAAATGATGTGAATTCCCAGAACATCAGACACACCCACGGTCAAATGTAAGTAAAAAACACACCCAAGCCAAGGGTGCTGGGAATCCTGGCCCCTCTCGATTCAGGGTTATTCACGCTGGGTCTGCCCGCCTTCCTTCCTTGCTTCTTTCCTCCCTTCCTTCCACCCATGCAATCAACTGCCCTGCAGAATGTAAATTACAAACATCTCCCAAAGCAACTACCTGGAACCCTCACCCATTCCACTCAATGGCTTCTGATGGAGAGAGGAGAGAAAAAAGGAAACACACACAGGAATCCTTGCTAATTTATTCAAGTATTTTAGGACACTGGAGATATTTCCTGATAGCAAACAACTTTGCTCTTGGAGACCTTCAACAAAGATGGTTCAGGCTGCAGTTTCCTTCCTGCAGCCTAAACTTCAGTCTGGCACAGTGTTTGCTACCATAGCTCCTCCAGGGCAGATTCTTGTGGTAGGGATGGTGGGAAGTGGGTCAGAAGTACCCAAGATCAACCAGTACAACTGTTCTCTCCTGGTCTGTCAGAGCAATAAGGCTCTGGAGTTTAATGTGCTTGGCTCTTCAGGAGTGTCCAGGGGAAAGGATACAGTCATGGCTTCTTAATTTCTGTTTCTGATTGGGCCAGTAAAGTCCCTTCCTCATCCCTCTTTTCTGCTTATCACTAGAGACAGAAACTAAAAACCATGGCTTCAGGCTACTAAAAAGCCTAAAACAAAACAGAACCACCACCACCACCAAATAAGGCAGGTTGGACAAGCTTGCAAAGAATCCTAATTTGCCAACCCAGAGGTGGTTTCAGCTGCAGTGAGGACACAGGGGAGCTCTGATTGAGAAAATGCACTCATCCGCAAGAACACTTCCTGTATGTGGGGACAGGGAGAAGCTGTTGGGGGTGCAAAGCTGTGAGAGGCAGCGTCCACCCCAAGGAGTGTTTAAGAGTTTGTACCTTGTGGTCAGAAAAGGCTGGGCCTGAACTCCAGCTTTGCCACTGCTGTATGCTGCACCTTGGATAAGATCATTAACTTTGTTAAGCCTACATAAAATGGGAATAGAGCAATTTACCTCTAAGAGCTTGATATGGTTTGGCTCTGTGTCCCCACCAAAATCTCATCTTGTAGCTACCATAACTCCCATCTGTTGTGGGAGGGAGATAATCGAATCATGGGGGCAAGTCTTTCCTGTGCTGGTCTCATGATAGTGTATATGTCTCCTGAGATTTGATGGTTTTAAAAATAGGAGTTTCCCTGCACACACTCTCTCTCTCTCTCTCTCTCTCTCTCTCTCTCTCTCTCTCTCTCTCATCTGCCAGCACGTGAGACGTGCCTTTCAGCTTCCACCATGATTTGAGGCCTCCCTAGCCATGTGAAACTATAAGTGCATTAAACCTCTTTCTTTTGTAAATTGCCCAGTCTCGCATGTCTTTATCATCAGTGTGAAAACAGACTAATACAGAGCTGTTGTGAAGATAAAATGAGATGATGTCAATATAAATGAATATATTGCTGTGACAGACATTATTCTCAACCATAAGCTTTCAGCCCACTCACCTTGCACCCCAACTCCTCCAGCAGTGCTATCTTGGCTGAGCTCAGAGCATTATCAGTCACTTTTTAGACATTAGAAAAGTTTGATTCTCAGAAATCAATAAAGTTCAGATTCTCCTAACACTAAAACTTCAATTTCTCATCCAATTCAAAGGCTCTCTCTTTCCCCAGCTCAGGCCTACACCAGGCTCAGTAACCTGCAGTTGGGAAGCGGGGGGCTTTTCCTTACTCTCAGTCCCTCCTCCACTTCCTCTGGCCTCTCCAGGACTGCAGCAGAAGGAAGGAGGAAAGGTAAAGGGTGGTCTTAGACAGTTCAGACTGCTATAACAAAACACCATAAACTGGTGTCTTATAAACAACAGAGAATTTATTTCTCACAGTCCTGGAGGCGGGGAAGTCCAAGATCAAGTCACTGGCAGATTTGGTGTGTGGTAAGGGCCTCTTCCTGGTTCACAGAGAGCTATATTCTCACCGTAACCTCACATGGCAGAAGTGGTAAGGGAGCTCCCAAGGCCTCTTTAAAAAGCGCACTAATCTCATTTATAAAGGTTCTGCCCTCATGACTTAATTATCCCTCAAAGGCCCCATCTCCTAATACCATAGCACTAGGCATTAGGTTTCAACATATGAATTTAGGGGACACAAATATTTAGTTTATAGCAAGGACTAAAATGGTCAATTGACTTAGCTGCACTGTGAAGATCTGCATGAGGCCCTGTGTGTGGCAGATGGCCAAACCCTGACTGTCACCCACAGGCACTTCAGTGCCTTCCTCTACCTCCATGGAAGCACCTCCTCCCCAATCCCACCTCTACCCATGTGGCTGAGATTGCCCTTGGAAAGGCCGTCCTCTTGGGCATAGCCCTATCACGAGGCCTCTACTCTTAAGACTGCCCATCCATAGCGTCCACTTAGCTAGTGGGAAACTCAGCATCCTCACCCCTCCAATCCTGACAGTGTGTGACATGCCCACCTCAGCCTTTCTCCTCATTCTGCTAACCTTCTCCTTTGGACTTTTGCAGTTTCAGTACCTCCATGTGCCAGAGGATGCGGATTAATTTTGCCCAGAATTCTCTCACCATGTCTACTCCCACAGCAGCTATGGAAGTGTCTAGGTGTTTCTTCAGTTCCACGATCATTCAGCTAGAGGGTGAGGTGGAGTGATGAGTGAAATATCAGTCCCCTTCGGGCTAATCACCCCAAACTTGAGTTTTTCTGCTAGGAAATGTATCTCCCTCCACCAGGTAGCCCATTGTTTTCAAAGAGATGTTTACTCACTCTGACAGTACTGAGGATGACAGTGCTGACACTTATAGGCCCTCACTATGAGCTAAATACTGCTCTAAGAATTCTAGATGTAGAACTGCCTGGTCCATATATAATAACGCATTTAATCCTCACAGCATCCCTATGAGGTAGATGCTATAGTCACCCCACTTCATAGGTAAGTAAATGAAAGTACAGAGCTAAGTAATTTAGCCAAGATCTTGCAGCTAGTAGTAGCAGAGAGGAAACTTGAACTCAGACTCTCTGGGCTTTAGCTTTTGGACCCTAATCACAAATTCCTATTTCCTCTCCGTCTTTCTCTTAAGTAGAAGTGAAGAATGGACTAAAGCATCTGAAAATATGTTAGTCATTTTTTGGCATGTGCTGCAAATGTGTCTAGTACCCATCTTCAGAATGCAGGAGTATTTGTCGCTCTGTTCTCAGCTTTCAGTCAACCAAAATTCCATAGACAATAGTCAAAGTTCCATTTAATATACTGTTACATATATAAATCTCTTAGAACTTTGTCAACCATTCATCAACAATAAATGGAAGCTTCAAAGCTAGGGAGCTCATGGCCTGAAAGGGAGAAAAATAGCCAGGAAATAGAGCATCATAATACAGTATAGACGCTGTAGTATATAATTTTGTGTTATGAATTCCACAAATATTTATTAGAAACCTATTATGGGCTGTTAGGGGCTGAGGATATAATGATCAAATTGGATGAGGTTCCCATCCTGTGGAAAGTCCCTGCAATTGAAAGGAAAAATATTCTCTAGAAAGAAGGAATTTCGGTTATCTATTACTACATAAACTAACTCAAATTTAGAGGCTTAAGATGACAACCACCATTTATTGGCTCATAATTCTACAACTTGGACAAGGCTCAGAGGGGCCCTCCTAGGGTCTCTTAGGTGGCTGCAATCCCCTGAGAACTCAGCCAAGGAATATCCATGAAGGCATCACTGACATGTGTGGCAACTGGTGCCAGCTGAGAGCTGGTGTGCGTAGATTTTCCTCCAAGTGGCTTCCTTTCCTCCACTAGTCTCCATTGGCCTCTTTATCAAATGGCAGCTGGTTTCCAAGAAGGAGGTCCCACTGTGCAAGTACTTATCAAGTCTCTACATTCTAATGTCTCACTGGCCAAGCAAGTCCCATGGCTGAGCCCAGAGTCCATATGGGAGGGGATCACACCAAGAGAATCCTGGTCCACTGGGGATCACTGATGGACAGTCTACCACAAGAAGCTTCACAGGATGTCTGACCCACTGGCTGCCTCTCCCAGGGCCCTGGGTCAGCTATGTTCCTAGCATCCACCCTCCCTCCAAAAGCTCCACCCCAGCAGGTGGTTCTGGGAGGCAGGGCTCAAGTCAGAAGGGCAAGGGATAGGACTTGCTTTGTTCAAGTCAGAAATTTACATTCTGTGTCATCACCTATGTGGCATCAATTTCAAGAGGCACCAAGCAGGTTCCCCATCTCAAAAAATAACCCCACTCTCTGCCACCTCACCATTATTTCATTCTTTGCAGGGGGAACATTTATGTTTGACTTCAGTAGAGACATCCTTAGTTAATATGGATTACAGCCCCACTGTAAGTGATCTTGTTTGTAATATACAATTATAGCAGAGTGTGCACAAAGTCTTGCTGGCCCAGAGGAGACCTTGAGGGCGGTTCACCAGAAGTTAGTCAAATGGTTCAGAGCAAAGTCTCAGGGAATGGGAACGCATCCTCTCTGTGGGTTAGTAAGAACATTCTGGCTGCTGTGAAGGGAAATCCTCAGTAGAGTGCAAAAGAGCTAGCAGAACCCCAGGAGTGCTGCCTTGGACCTGGGGTGGTCACGTACTTTTAATTCAAAATTTCTCTTCAGCCTTTTGTCAACTATTTCTTTCTTTCCGCAAAGGGGCTTAGCTTTTGGAACTCAACAGCTAGGAAGAAGTTCCCCTTTTCTCTGTTTCTCCTATCACATTGTTTCCCCAAGACCATGAATACAGAATGATTAGCCTAATTGAAGGGGACAAAGAGCCAAAGAAATTATAATGATTAGGGGGCGGGGCTCTGTGGACATTTCCAAAAATTCTTATCCCATCACATAAGAATGCATAACCTAATCAAACAGTGAAACTTCTATTAGTCTCATCCCACTGAGTGGGTTCCACCACCATTAACAAGCCCTCGTATTGTCTTCGTAAATTTGAGAAACTTTCCAGGTATTTTTATAGACAGAGTGGGCTGAGCGGGAGCTACCTGACCCTGGTAGTCAAGATGCTGGCATCCAGAATGGGAAAATGAGGTAAGTAACTCCCCTTACAAACAGACTTGCTCCACTGGCAACTGCAGCTTTTGCAGAATGATAGGAAATGACATGGTCACAATTGTATTTGGGTAAGATTCATCTGGCAGCAACATACAGGCTGATTTAGAGGTGGGAGATCTAATAATAATAATTCCCGGGAATTGTAATAGCATCGCGGGGGACCCTGTACTAGGCACTGGATGTGGTCACTCCCACCTCATCCTCACATAACTGTGAGCTAGGGTGGTATTTTCTATGTCGCGCAGATAATAAAATTAAAGTCAAAGATATCCAGACACTTGTCCAAGGGCTAAACTGCAAATAAGAAGCAGAGTCAAGATGACATTCAGATCCAGCTGGCTTTGAAGCCCCTGCTTGTATCTGTTCAGAAGCTATGACAATTGCAGGGCCAAGACATGATCAAGGCCAGAACTAAGGTGCGGAAGCAAATACAGTAAAGAAAACAGCAGACAGAAAGCTGTGTGTCAGGGGAGGACTTGAGAGGACCCAGTGCAGACCCGAAGCTGCAGCAGACTGAGAGAGACATTCTCAGTCCTTCCTGCCTGTGCCTGCAGCAGGCATTGAACTGGATTGGCTTTTGAGCCCTACAAGGAACAATGATGGAAGGCTTTATTGCTGTGTTTTGCTTCAGAAAACTGGTAATTCTTACACATTTCATAAGCCAGGAGCAGAGTAATTATCCACTTATTTAAAGCCATCTCCTCATTTGTGTATTTATTCATTCAGGAAGCTGGTGGGGTGGGGCCGGGGAGGGTGGCAGAAACAGGAAACAAAATCCTGGAAACATCATTAATTATTATTTCCTAGAGATAGCAGTGCCGTGCTATTACCTGCTCATCACTCAAGGCCAGGCCCAACTCGTCCACCTTTTTTGGCTTCTGCTGCTTAGCATAGAGCCCTACACACAGTAGACATTCAACAGGTGCTTCGAGATAATGAGGCTGACGGTGTCACCCAGGAGACATCCCACTGCTGGGGTCCAGGCCCTGTCCCAAGTCTGGCTTGTGGGTCCTTAAGCAAGTCACTTAAAGTCTTGATGCCTCTGTGTATTCATTTGAAGGACAGGAATAATGATGGGACTTATCTCTCTGGGTTGTTAGTAAGATCAATGAGTTATGATAATGGAAGACTTAAAGCAGTGCATTCCAAAAAGATTAGCTGATATTAGTAGCCGTAGTATTGAATGCTTGGGTCCCATTAGGATCTGCTACCTTGTCTCAGCCACAGGCCCCCAGGGCTGGTGACGGGGATGCCTGGGTTATTAGATACAGGGCATTCATTGCCAAGCAGAAGCCTGAGCCCATTGTTCTGAGTAATTATGCTCAAAGTTCTCGGAACCTGCTTGTTTCTGTCCTTTTAGTATCGCCTCCTGTGCTACCGCTTGGCTCTGCGCCTAGACCGAGTCTGTGTTGGTTTCTGGAGTCTGCCACTTGCGGAAATGTCTATTTTAGCAGGGTGTCTCCTCTTGGCCTGGGAGGCCCTTGCTGAGCCCTGCTTTGTCCCCCTCAGGCATGTGGAGAAGCTGCTTTGGCTAACCCCTCCTGCCTACCAGGCCACAGATGCCTCAGGAAAGTACTGACTCTCCAGGCAGGAAGAAAGGAAACAGTTTTGTAGCTCTGACATTTTGGGGAAGGGGGTTCCTGGAAGCACCCTCACTTGCATCCCCAGTGGTCCCCTTCCCCTGAAGCTTCTAATGCAAACTTCATCTTTCTTCCCCAAGTTGACACACTTTTCTAACTTCCTGGACTCAACAGGGGATGAGCTTTCTTCGAAGCCCCTCTCCCCTACTGGTTTTCCCATCTCCCTCCCCACCTGACTCTGTGGGGAAGAAGAACTTTTGGTTTCTTGGTCTGACTGCTGGCCCATCAGCTTTCCTCCATGCCTCTCCTTTTGAATTTTCTGCCAAAAACTGACTTGACCTCCCACTTTTGAGAAAGCCATAGTCACATGGTACAAGAAGTTTTATCCTCCAGCCTCTTGACCTCTGCCTACCAAATCCCTCCTGCCTGTCCTCCACTGGCCACCCTCACAGCTTTCCCCACAGTGCAGACGCTTCCTTCCTTCCTTCCTTCCTAACGTAACCGCCCAGTGGTTCACCTTGTCCACAGCCTAGACAGAGCCGATTTAGCAAGACAGGGCAATGGCAATAGAGAAAGAGTAATTCTCACAGAGCTGGCTGTACAGGAGACTGGAGTTTTATTATTACTCAGTCTTGAAGAAAACTCTGGGATTGGGGGTTTTAAGGACAATTTGGTGGGTGGGGGCCAGTGAGTCCAGAGTGTTGATTGGGTCCGAGATGAAATCACAGGGAGTCAAAGCTGTCCTCTTGCACTTGAGCCAGTTCCTGGGTAGGGGCCATATGACTAGATGAGCCAGTTTATCCATCTGGGCGGTGCCAGCTGGTCCACCAAGTGCACGGTCTGCTAAACATCTTAGGCGCTGGTATCAGGTTTTATAATAATGATGTTATTCCCCAAGAGCAATTTGGGGAGGGTCAGAATCTTGTAGCCTCCAGCTGCATGACTCCCAAACCATAATTTCTAATCTTGCGGCCAATTTGTTAGTCCTGCAAAGGCAGACTAGTCCCTAGGCAGGAACGTTTGTTTTGGGAAAGGGCTGTTATGGCCTTTGTTTCAAAGTTAAACTATACAATAAGTTTCTCCCAAAGTTAGTTGGATTACAACGCCCAGGAATGAACAAGGGCAGCTTGGAGGTTCAAAGCAAGATGGAGTTGATTAGGTCAGATCTCTTTCATTGTCATCATTTTCTTAGTTATAATTTTGCAAGAGTGATTTCACTAGCTCTTGAGAGAATTTTCTCCTGGGCTCTTCTTGGCCCACTGTCAGTCTTCCCTCTCTCCTGCTCCTCTGTTCACTTCCATTTGAAGCAAACGTGCAGCATTCACACCCGGTTTGAAGAGTTTCGCCTTGACCCCATTGACCTATTTGGCCTGCATCCTATCACATTATTTCCTTTTCAGTTCCAAGCCTTTGGATCTAGAAGTGGGTATCTCTTGCCTCTCCCTCCTTCTCTCCCATTCTCTCCCTAAACGCTTCTCTCCAATTGCTTTTTCACCTCATGGATCTATTGAAGATGCTCTCCCAAAGGTCTTCAGAAAAGCATGAGCCTCCAAACCAAATGACCATTTCTTAATCCTTAACCTTCCAGACCTTTCAGAAGCAGGTGCCCCCAGTGAACACATGCTCCTCCCACAAACCTCTCCTCTCTGGGCTTGCCTGGTGTCCCCCTTCCCCAGCCCTCTGACCTCACCAACTGCCAACTGCTTTCTGTCTAAGTTCTTCTTGAGCTTATTCCAAGGCCAGGATCCTTTTCTTCAGGGATCACAAGTCAAAACTCAATGATCTTCTCTAGGCCAGTGACTCTCCAATCTGGAGCTGCTTCCAGCACATTTCTACTTTGCATCTGATAACCAGATCAAACCAACAAGTTTCAAACTCAATGACTTGGCACCAGCCCAGTTGGCTTTCTCTCCTAACATCTGCATTTCTCTCAGGGGTCCATGGTTTTTTAGTAACTTCAACTTGCAATGCAGATTCACCAATGTCCCATGCCCCCTCTTTGATTTCCAGGTCCTCAAGATTTATAGACTCATCTAAGGATTTCTTTCCCTTTCCCTCTATCCTCACAGCCACCCATCTAAGGCTTCCATATTTATTCCTGTAGGATAACAAACTGACTTCTTTTCTCTCTAGACTGTCTCCAAATGTGCCCCATTTAGATACAAATTCTGCCTTTGGTAACTATGGGATTATTTCAAGCATTTAGGTCTCATCTCCTCAAGATTATAAACACTCGGAGGACAGGGACAGAATGACCTTCCTTCAGCCATCCCAGCACAGTGTCATGTCCACCATAGACACACAAGTACTTTGGAAATACCCACATAATGAATTGGCATTAGCTGGGGCCTGAGACATGTCCTCTATAGTGATTGTTTCCTGGACAGTGATCATGACTGGTCTGCCCCATCCACGCCAATCACTCTCTCCTTATCCCTGGCAGCAATGGTTCTACCCCTTCCAGTCAACTTCCCAACTCTGACCACTACCCAATGACCTTTGCTTAGTCTCTGTACTCCCCAATTTCTCTTAGCACCAATGTCGGGTGGGTGGTACAGACCTTGGTGGGCTTGAGGGAGTGTGCACTACTTAGCACTACTATCTTGCCACTTGGTCTAAACATCTTTCAGTGTAGTCTGTGGTCCTTTATTTAGATGCAGAATTTTTTTTTTTTTTTTTTTTTTTTTTTTTTGAGACAGAGTTTCACTCTTTTTGTCCAGGCTGGAGTGCAATGGCACAATCTCGGCTCACCACAATCTCCGCCTCCTGGGTTCAAGCAATTCTCCTGCCTCAGCCTCCCAAGGAGCTGGGATTACAGACATGCACCACCACGCCTGGCTAATTTTGTATTTTTAGCAGAGACGGGGTTTCTCCATGTTGGTCAGGATGGTCTTGAACTCCCGACCTGAGGTGATCCGTCCACCTTGGCCTCCCAAAGTGCTGGGATTACAAGTGTGAGCCACTGCACTTAGCGGAGATGCAGAAACTTTCTAAAGGCAGGGACTACACTGATTTTGCCAGCCCTGAATGGCGAGGTGTATGTGTTAAGCCTGGTGAGCATCTGCAGGGCCCACAAGCCAACACTGGTGCTGAGTATTCCCTAGGCAATCCGAAGTTCTCTACGCAAAATACCAATATTTTACATTTTTCTGAATGTGTCTTTTTTTAAATAGGAAAAAAAAATCACTTTCATAAGAAAAAAGTCAAAGTTGGAAAGTTCTTAGTTTTGCTACCATTAGCTAAAAAAAGACTGATTAAAGACAAATGCGCCCATGAGTCAACTGGGAGGTGATTAAGCAGTCAAGCTCCATGCCCTTAGGGGGGTCATTACCTTGAAGAATGCAGCAGCCTCTGCAACTCCTATAATGGTATATACTGACTGCATCTGTTTTCGAAATCCTTTCCCTTAAGGACCAGGCACACTCCCTCAAGCCCACCAAGCTCTGCACCACCCACCCAACACTGGTGATCAAGGCTATCACCTCTGGGCTACACAGAAAGCCTGACATCAGGATCCTACTTGACCCCACAGTGGTAGACAATGAGACCAAATCTGACGGGACCAAACATTCACAGAGGGTGAAAACACAGGTGTTAGTAGCTTCAAAGGAGGCTACAGACTACAGACAAAGAGCCCAGCAGGTGCCACCCATGGTAGATGATTGAGAGGACCCCGATGCCTCACAAGCAACAGGCAGTGTGGCTGGATGGGACTCCTGCTCTGACAGCAGGGTTGGCGACCGAGGGACTTTAGGGAAATTATTTGTCCATGAGTCTCGGTTTCCTCATCTAAAAAATATTTACCTTGCAGGGCTGTTATAAGGATGAGATCATGTCAAACAGGATTTGAGTGCTTACTTTGTGCCAGGCACAATTCCAAGTATTTACATCCATTAAGTCATTTAGTCCTCTCAACAAACCTCTGAGACAAGTATTCTTATTATCCCCATTTTACACTGGAAGAAACTGAGAAGCAAACTGGTAACTTGCCCAAGGTCACCCAGCTAGTAGCTGGTAACTGACCCATAAAGCCATAATCAGAGTGAAGCCACCACTCCAAAAGTTTTGAGTCAAAAGAGGAGCCCAGTTTGGAGGGAATGACAGCAGCTGGATATCTGTGAGGGGCCCACAGTCTACAAAGAGTGCACAGTCCGGCAAAGACCAGCCCTTGAACAGTCAACAAATGTGGCTGCTTTTTCCTTCCTCCTAATATGTGTGTGTCTGCTTATGTGTGTGTGGGCGTGTGTGAGCATGTGCATTTATGTGGGCATGTTTGTGTGTGAGTGTGATTCTGAGTGTGTTTGCAAGTGTGTGTTCACGTGTGCATGTGTGAGAGTGTGTGTGTAATGGGAATGGTGGGGCTCAGGGATGGGGTGACACCGTCTGATCATCTTTGGTTTCTCCATATCTCCTGCCCTATGCGCCTCTGCTGTCAGATGCACACGGGTGACCAGAGCCTTAAGAAAAAGTGTGCTTGATCCCTGACTCCGCATCTCACTGCCACCCCATTTCTTTGCCACCTAACTAGCTCCATGTTATCTGTTTTATGCTTTGGCAGCTCCGGTTATGTAAAAAATCACCTGTGGATGCAGATTCTTCACAAAATCTGCTGTAAGGATCATTTTGACCAACCAGACTTTTAAGAAGTATTGGGAAGCAAATAGTTTGAGGCAATAGATTCTGGTAAAGACCTAACTTTAGTAATAAAGTAGACATTTCTACCCACCCAGTAAACACTTTGGAAGTGCTTATTACGTGCTAAGATTCAAAGCTGTCAGGGCTGTCCCAGCTCTCCAGTGGCTCACAACCCAGGGGGAGGACTGACAGGAAAGAGCCACAGGGAGGCAGAGATAAAATCAGTGCTGGGGACACCAATGGAGGGATGCAGAAGCTCACTCCACCAAAGCAGCCCTGAAATTGCTAACACCTGGTGCGAGCACCTGCTTCTCCAGCCGCCCTGCTAGAAATAATCCCACAGCGACCTCACTTACCTGAGCCTTCCAGAAGTTCTCCACTTGAGCTTTCACAGGATTGACCAAATTTGTTACTTTGAATCCCTAATGCCAATGCAGAGAGTGAAAAGCCTGACATCCAACCTTTTACTTATGTGTTCCCCCATCAGTGTGCTGGAATCTGTATCGGATTTGTTACTCTAGACACACAGAGCATGAGACGCAGTAGTAAATGGTCACTGAGGTTTCCTTCTGTTTAAGGCAACTGTGAGGGCTGAGGGACCAGGACCATCTTTCTCCCCTGGGATCAGTTTGAAAATGATGAGCTGAGGAGTCAAAGTTCCCTTCAGGCTGGAGAAGCTGGGAATGGGTGGGGTAGGGAGTCTTTTGTACTTTATTTCCTCCTGCTTTTTTTGTTTTTTTGACACAGTATCTCACTCTATTCCCCAGGCTGGAGTGCAGCTCCACAATCACAGCTCATGGCAGCCTCAATCTCCCAGGCTCAAGCGATCCTACCACCTCGGCCTCCCAAGTAGCTGGGACTACAGGCACGCACCACCACACCTGGCTAATATCTCCTCTTGCCTTTTTAATACCCCACCAAAGGTCTGTTTCCTATACCAGCACACTCAGTCATCAGGCACCAACTTTGCAGACTGCTGAGTGAGTCTTTGATTTGCAGATTTAGGAGGTTGAAAATTTGGGTCCTTCTCAGGATAGATCAAAATTGAATTCCCTCTGGACACAGGGCTGAGCCCAGCACGGACGAATTTTCTTCAACAAGTGGTGCTGAGAGTGGCAGGTTAGGTGGAAGACAGAGAGGAAATATCCTAGAACTCCTGCCTGAAGGTGTCCCCTACCCCCACCCCCTCACCGCCTCCACCCTATAACCAACAACACTTCATTTCCAACAAAATATGAACCGAGAAAGAGTGTTGGACACATACAGTAATGAAAATCCATGATTCAACTGTGCATTCATAATTATTTCATAAATAAATGGCTTCTGGAGAGGCGCATCTGTCTCTCGCCACCACGTGCGTGCCTTTCATTAATGTATCCCGGCCTACGTGGAGCTAGCCCGAGAGCTCCACTCAAGTCCTCCTCCTCCTCTCCATCACTGTCCACCAGGAGGTTTTTGTGGTTCAGAAAGAGCTGCAAGCCCCACACTTCTCTGCAAGATTGATGGCTCGTCAATAACATTAGCCAGCATTACGGGCCGCATCGGGCTAAGCAGAATCAATACGGCCAAGTAAAAAGTCTAATAAGTTGACATGGCCATCCTCGGCAGGGCTCACATTACAAGAAATGAGTTTTCTTAAGGAATCAGCATCAGGGCTGCTTAGATGCCCGCACCCAGATGTCCTGACTAAGATTTACAGTCTTTAGTTCAGTTGGTTGGAATGGGACCAGCTGCGAAAAGTAAAATGGTGACTGGGGTTAACTACAAAGTAAAGAGGGCACCTGGGGCACTCTGCTGATAGTGAGGGGCGTGCTTGGGGATCCCTTCCTGTGATATGTGACAGTCTTCCCCATGAGCCGGCCACTCTTCACTGCTGACCACACCTCTCCCATCTCCAGGAGTAAGCCCCTGGTGAATAATGGGTGGTAGCTCCTTCTCCAGGGAGGCTGCTTAGCACCCTGGATGGCCACGGTCCCCTCAGAGGCTTCATGGAGGGCCCCTCCTCACCTCCTGTCACCCAGAGTCACCATAGCTGGAGCAGTCGGCAGGATGCAGCAGAGAGTTCACTTTTACTAACTCAGCTGCTCAGCTCTTCTCATACATCCAGCTGTCTGAGGGAAGCCCTGTGCAGTCATGCGAGGTGAAAGCATTAGCAAGAGCCTTTGCATAGGCTCAGCCACTTTGGAGCTAATGCACCAGAGCCAGGTTCCTCCACATATTTCCATCTTCCTTTTCAAGGAGAAGCCCAAGGGAATAAAGCCTTCAAGAGAATCCAAGCAGTCACTGGAGAGCGCTCACATAGTTCATCTTACCTCTCATAAGCTCAGACAAGTCTTTCGACCCCAAGTTCACAAGCATAGATCAAGGGCCCAATGAACAATGTGGATGATTCAAAGTAGTAAGAGATGGCCTCTGTCCTCATATTGCTGGTGGAGGAAGGGGAGGCCACAGGCAAGTGCAAAAAACGCCATTATATCAAGCAGGCTGTTGATAGGGTCCTTCAGTCATTCAGATACACAAGTATATTGATGCCCTACTGTGTGCCTGGCATTTTGAAGTGCTGGAGTATGGCAGTGACTAAAACAGACCAAGCCGCTGCACTCAGGGAGCTTATACTCTTGTGAGGGTAGGTAGCAAACAATGAACAATTAAGCAAGTGGCATATTGTTTCAGAAAAACTCTATGAAGGAAAATAGAGCAGGTGAGGGAGATGGAAGAGGAGTTGCTGCTTTGAATAGGGATGGTCGTCAAAGGCCTCAGTGAGGGGGCAAATATGAGCAAAAACGTGGACCTAAGCAGAGGAGACAAAGTACAATGTCTTGTGGCAGGCAGACATTTCACTGGTGTGTTCAAGGAAGAGCCAGAGGCCAACGTGACTGGGCCCAGAGCAGGAGAGAAAGGCAGAGACAGCACTGGGAGACAGCCAGGGCCCATAGCCTTGAGAACCTTGCAAGCCAGAAGGAGGGTAGATTTCATTCTGCATATGGCAGGAGGCCTTCAGAGGGGTTCTGAGTCGGGGAATGACATGCACATGCTTTTGTTTTATCGGAGCCCTCTGGCTGCTCTATGGAGAATAGGACAGGAGAATGTAGGTGGGGACGAGGGGCTAAGAGATATGGATTCAGCAGAAGAGAGAATGCTAAGAAGTAGTAGGGTCCTGGGTGCATTTGGAGGTACAGCCAAAAAATTTTTTTCTAGAGTGGATGAGGATGTGAAGGAGATAAGTCAAGGATGAGGCCAATGTTTTTCACCTGAGCAAGTGTATGAATGCTGGCTCCTTTTCCTCAGATGGGGAAAGGGTTGGGCAGGTGAAACCCGGAGATCATTTAGGACACATTGTGCTTGAGACGCCTATTAGTATCCAAGCAAAGACTAGAGGAGGGGGTTAACTATTCAAGCCTAAAGTTCAGGGAGAGTTGTAGGCTGAGGAGATAAGTTAGGAAGACATCTGCATATTGATCTCATGGTGTTTAACGTCATGTTCTTGGATGAGATTGCATAGGGAGCGAGTGTGGAAAGAGCAGAGAAAAAATCAGGACTCTGCTTTTCAACCCACCAGCATTTAGAGGATGGAAAGATATGGAGGACCCAGCAGAGAAGACAGAGGGCGGTCAATGAGGTGGTGAGAGTTTGAACAAATCTCAGCGAGATCACTCAGGAGGGTAATTCATTCTACCTGGAGGTGGCAGGAGTTGAATATAAACCCTGAAGGACAAGACAACTGTAACAGCTGGATGGGGGTGGGAGGAGCGAAGGTTACCCAGGGAAAGTGAGAATGGGGGAGTCAGGGCAGAAAGAACAGCAGGAAGAGAGAGTGTGGGGGAAATGGCTGGGTCTGTCTAAGAAATGTCAGGATGTCCAGATAGGCTGACACAGGGAGTGCATGGGGGGCAGAGCAGGGGTCAAGAGAACAGCCATGAATAGTAGTTGGAGCCAGATCCTGAGAGAACGTGAATGACTGGATGTGATGGGGAGATGACGGCAAGTTGCATCCAAACCATTCATCAGCCATCACAGAACACAGAAACCACAGCATCCCCCAGTCTACTTAACAGATACCATGAGATCTCTGAACTAAGGTGCCCTCTACCCTGTGGCAAATAACATCCACCATCCCCATCCTTGCCATTTAACTAGGACCAAGGGAGATGTTTATGTGATTCCATTACATCTAAGCTCTTGAAAACATAAGAAAAAGTTAAATTGCCAACTGTATAGAACAATTCTAGTTTCTCTATTTGCACGTGTCCCTTCAACAAAACTGACCTAAAGCCTCTTTTAAAAATCTGATGCATTTGCCTGATTTATTCGATAAAACAAGGATGAACATATTGTTTTTCCTTTCCTTCAAATATCTACATTGATTTTGTTGTACATTCATCTTGTGTTGTATTTTGAAGACCCAATGATTGTCAGTTCTGCAATAGCTTTGGCCCAAAGTAATAATGTTCTGATGCTTGAAAAGACCTTGTTGCTTCCTGTGGGGAAAACGAAGGCTTATGGAACAATGTCCCTGGGGACTTAAAAATCCATCAGGGATCAGGAGAGAGCACACATAAAATAAGGTGGTACATGCACCACAGGCAGTAAATGCTCTAGAAAGAAGAGCCTCGAGGAGGGAGAGGTCACCAGAGCAGAGTGGCTGGGAAAGCAAAGCAAGAAAACCCAGAGGACCAGCACTGGAGAGGAGGCATGACGGCGGTGCTGAGTGCTGGACCAGTCAGGAGGCCAGGTGAGTGCTTTACAGAGAGTATTTTTTTTTAACCCTAGAACAACTCCATGAGGTAAATATTATTTACCTTCATTTTAGAAAAAAGTAAAAATAGGCCGGGCACGGTGGCTCACAGTTGTAATCCCAGCACTCTGGGAGGCCAAGGTGGGTGGATCACTTGAGGTCAGGAGTTTGAGATCAGCCTGGCCAACATGGTGAAAACCCATCTCTACTAAAAATACAAAAAATTAACTGGGCGTGGTAGTGTGCACTTGTAATCCCAGCTACTCAGGAGGCTGAGGAAGGAGAATCACTTGCACCCGGGAGGTGGAGGATGCAGTGAGCCAGATTGCACCACTGCACTCCAGCCTGGGCAACAGAGCGAGACTCTGTCTCAAAAAAGAAGAGAAGAAAAAAGCAAAACAGGCTCAGGAAAGTTAAGTTCTTGCCAGTCGAAGTTTAACTGTATGAGGGAGAGGCAGGCACCCACTGCTCCCCAAATCTTAATCATTTACTCCCCTAGCTTATCCTAGAGAAGAACTGGCTGGAGCAAGCTGACGCAGGAATGAGAAGGAAGGGACAAATAACTTGAAAGGACCATCAAGGTTGGAGGCCTTGGGCCCTGTAGGCACCAGGTTAAGCTTTGACACAGAATGTGGCCGCTTTTCCATTACAAAGAGTGGCACAGTCTAAGAATAAACCCCAGGCAGAACTTCAGCAGACCAAACATATGCTGACCCCCACAAAACAGGG
Organism: Homo sapiens; assembly: GCF_000001405.40. Classification (NCBI taxonomy): domain Eukaryota; kingdom Metazoa; phylum Chordata; class Mammalia; order Primates; family Hominidae; genus Homo; species Homo sapiens. The sequence continues at coordinate 16,374,860 of NC_000009.12, forward strand.
CCATCAATGACCCATACAGGACCTTCATACTGAAATTAACACATCTACCTATAGGAGAAACACAACACTGCCCTCTCCTCAAGTCTATTTCCATCAGAAAGTGTTCAGACAACTTTCTTTTAGAATGAGATATTTTATTGTCAGGGGCCAGAAAATTGTGGTAATCAATATATACCTCCATTATGCCTATAGTGTGAATGACACCTCTTAGATAAGACACCCTTGTTCAGAGCGCAAAACACTGCTGAAAGCAATCATACACAACACAAACAAGTGGAAAAATATCCCATGCTCATGGATTGGAAGAATCAATATCAGGAAATGACCATACCGCCCAAAGCAATCTACAGATTCAATGCAATTCCCATCAAAACACCAACATTATTTTTCACAGAATTAGAAAATAAAAATATAAATGGTACCTAATTAAACTCAAAATTTTCTGCACAACAAAATTAATTGTCAGAGTAAACAGACAACCTACAGAATGGGAGAAAATATTTGCACATTTTGCATCTGACAAAGTACTAATATCCACAATCTATGAAGAATTCAAACAAATCAGCAAGGGAAAAAACAACTAATCCCATTTAAAAGTGGACAAAGGACATTAATAGACATTTCTCAAAGGGTGATATACAAATGTTCAACAAACATATTTTTAAAATGCTCAGTATCACTAATCATCAGGGAAATGCAAATGAAAAGCACAATGAGATACTACCTTACCCCAACCAGAATGGTCATTATTAAAAAGCCAGAAAACAGTAGGTATTGGCATGGATGTGGTGAAAAAGGAATGCTTCTACACTGCTGGTAGGAATGTAAATTGGTACCACCTCTATGGAAAACAGTAGAGAGATTTCTCAAAGAACTAAAAGTAGATTTACCATTCAATCTAGCAATCCCACTACTGGGCATCTACTCAAAGGAAAAGAAGTCATATCACAAAGACACCTGTACACATGTTTATTGCAGCACAATTCACAGTTGCAAAGACACGGAACTAAGTGTCCATCAACCAATGAACGGATAAAGAAAATGTGGTATATACCCACACACGCACGCACACACACAAAAACACACCATGGAATACTATTCAGCCATAAAAAAGAATGAAATAATGTCTTTTGCGGCAACTTAGATGAAACTGAAGGTCATTATTCTAAGTGAAGTAACTCAGGAATAAAAAATCAGATACCACATGTTCTCACTTATAAGTGGAAGCTAAGCTGTAGGTACACAAAGGCATACAGAGTGATATAATGAACATTGAAGACTCAGAGGTGGGGAGAGTGAAAGGGAGGTAGGGGATGAAAAACAACACCTCTTCTGTACAACATAACAGTACTTGGGTGACAGTTGCACTATAATCCTAGACTTCACCACTATCCAAGTCACCATGTAACCAAAACCACTTGTACTCCCTCAAAACTATTGAAATAAATTATATATGTAGATATAGATCATATAACCAATGTATATATAACCTGTATACATATAACTTTTATATAATATATATATCAGTTCACATAATTATTGTTTAATCTTGTAGACATTTTAACCAATAAGAAAGGCACATAACAGTAAGAAATATAATTATTAGAAACAAAGGACTAGAATAATTATTACTTCCAGATGTCAAAATTATAAAACCAGATAAGAAAATTTGAAAATTATTATAACAAAAGTAGTTAAAATGACCAAATACTTAAAAATAATTTTTCTACATACCAAACATAATACATTGAACATATAATAATACAGTATAATGGAAAAAAAAGACTTTATAAAAGTAACTTAAGAAAAAATAACGAAGAGGCTGGGTGCAGTGGCTCACGCTTGTAATCCCAACACTTTGGGAGGCTGAGAGGGGTGGATCACCTGAGGTCAGGAGTTTGAGATCAGCCTGGCAAACATGGTGAAATCCCATCCCTACTAAAAATAAAAAATTAGCCTGGTGTGGTGGCATGCGCCTATAGTCTCAGCTACTCGGGAGGCTGAGGCAGGAGAATTGCTTGAAACCGAGAGGCAGAGATTGCAGTGAGCCGAGATCACACCACTGCACTCCAGCCTGGGCAACAGAGTGAGACTCCATCTCAAAAAATAATAATAAATAACTAAGAAAAACTATAGCAGTAAACATGAAGAACCCAAATTTTTTTAAAAACAGAACTCTACTACAGGTCATAATGGAAGATTTTTTAAACAGAGAAAGATAGCTCCTTTCTGGATAGAACCCGAGTAGACTAAATACTGTAGAACAGTTCATTCTTCCAAATAAACATCTTAGGCTAGTTGTAATTTCACCAAAAACCACAAATGGGATTCCAGAATTCATTGGGAAGAATGGATAGGTGAGAACAATTAATATTTTTTGAGCAATGGTGGATCCTTGCTATCAGATATCAAAATTTGTTTGAAGTGAGGGACTTGTACAAAAGATAATGAACAGATGGACAGAATAGTCATCCCTTAGACAGACCTAGTGTGCAGAAGATGTTAATATGTGACAAAGACAGCATCACATGCTAATCCCGCAAATAAGCAAAGAAATGAAAATTAAAACCTATTTTTATGAATCAGATTTGTAAGGATTGATAGTGTCTAATGTTGATGAAACTACGAGGAAATGACATCATTGTTAGAGAAAGCAAAATGGTATATCCTTCACCGAGTACAATTGTATGTATGTGTCAAAACTTAAACACATTGGACCCATCAATTATTATTGAAGAATTGATTCTAAGAAAATAATTGAGAAGTACTAATATTCACATGCATGACTGTTCATTGCTGATTGCTAATATTAACAAAGAAAATTAGAGATATCTAAACTTTATAAATACGGGGTGGTTAAATAAATTATGAAATATTCAATGGAATACTGTCCCATTGCTTTTTAAAAATGTTAAATTTCTTCTTTCCTTTTTATTTCTAAAAAAAAAACTGGATACATGTGCAGAATGTGCAGGTTTGTTACATAGGTATACATATGCCATGGTGATTTGCTGCACCTATTACCACATCCTCTAAGTTCCCTCCCCTCACCCCCCATTCCCCAACAGGCCCTGGCTTGTGTGCTTTTCCCCTCCCTGTGTCCATGCGTTCTAAATGTTCAACTCCCACTTAGAAGTGAGAACATGCGGTGTTTGGTTTTCTGTTTCTATGTTAGTTTGCTAAGGATGAGGGCTTCCAGCTTCATCCGTGTCCCTGCAAAGGACATGATCTTACTCCTTTTTATGGCTGTGTAGTATTCCATGGTATATGTACCTCGTTTTCTTTATCCAGTCTATCATTGATGGGCATTTGGGTTGGTTCCAAGTCTTTGCTATGGTAAATAGTGCTGCAATGAACATACATGTCCATGGGTCTTTATAGTAGAATGATTTATATTCCTTTGTGTATACACCCCGTAATGGGATTGCTGGGTCAAATGGTATTTCTTGTTCTAGATCCTTGAGGATTCACTATACTGTCTTCCACAATGGTTGAACTAATTTACATTCCCACCAACAGTGTAAAAGCATTCCTATTTCTCCACAGCCTCACCAGCATCTATTGTTTCCTGAATTTTTAATAATCACCATTCTGACTGGTGTGAGATAGTATCTCATTGTGGTTTTGATTTGCATGTCTCTGATAGCCAGTGACATTGAGCTTTTTTTCATGTTTGTTGGCTGCATAAATGTCTTCTTGTGAGAAGTGTCTGTTCATATCCTTAACCTACTTTTTGATGGGGTTGTTTTTTCTTGTAAATATGTTTAAGTTCCTTGTAAATTCTGGATATTAGACCTTTATCAGATGGATAGATTGCAAAAATTTTCTCCTTTTCTGTAGGTTGGCTGTTTACTCTGATGATAGTTTCTTTTGCTGTACAGAAGCTCTTTAGTTTAAATAGATCCCATTTGTCAATTTTGTCTTTTGTTGCAATTGCATTTGGTGTTTTTGTCATTAAGTCTTTGCCCATGCCTATGTCCTGAATGGTATTGCCTAGGTTTTCTTCTAGGCTTTTTATGGTTTTGGTTTTTACATTTAAGTCTTTAATCCATCTTGACTTAATTTTTGTATAAGGTATAAGAAAGGGGTCCAGTTTCAGTTTTCTGCGTATGGCTAGCCAGTTTTCCCAACACCATTTATTAAATAGGGAATCTTTTCCCCATTGCTGTTTTTGTTCAGGTTTGTCAAAGATCAGATGGTTGTAGATGTGTGGTGTTATTTCTGAGGTCTCTGTTCTGCTCCATTGGTCCATATGTCTGTTTTTGTACCAGTACCATGCTGTTTTGGTTACTGTAGTCTTATAGTATAGTTTGAAGCCAGAGAGTGTGATGCCTCCGGCTTTATTCTTTTTGATTAGGATTGTCCTGGCTATATGGGGTCTTCTTTGATTCCATATGAAATTTAAAATAGTTTTCTTCTAATGCTGTGAAGAAAGTCAATGTTCGTTTGATGGGAATAGCACTGAATTTATAAATTTCTTTGGGCAGTATGACCAATTTCATGATATTGATTCTTCTTATCCATGAGGATGAAATGTTTTTCCATTTGTTTGTGTCCTCTCTTATTTCCTTGAGCAGTGGTTTGTAGTTCTCCTTGAAGAGGTCCTTCACATTCCTTGCTAACTGTATTCCTAGATATTTTATTCTCTTTGTAGCAATTGTGAATGGGAGTTCTTTCATGATTTGGCTCTCTGCTTCCCTGTTGTTGGTTTAAAAGAATGCTTGTGATTTCTGCACATTGATTTTGTATCCTGAGACTTTGCTGAAGATGCTTATCAGTTCAAGAAGTTTTGGGGCTGACATGATGGAGTTTTCTAAATATAAAATCATGTCATCTGCCAACAGAGACAAAGTGACTTCCTCTCTTCCTACTTGAATACCATTTATTTCTTTCTCTTGCCTGATTGCCCTGGCCAGAACTTCCAATACTATATTGAATAGGAGTGGTGAGAGAGGGCATCCTTGTCTTGTACCAGTTTTCAAAGGGAATACTTTCAGCTTTTGCCCATTCCATATGATATTGGCTGTGGGTTTGTCATAAATAGCTCATTATTTTGAAATACATTCTATCAATACCTAGTTTATTGAGAGTTTTTAACATGAAGGAATGTTGAATTTTATCAAAGGCCTTCTCTGCATCTACTGAGATAATCATGTGGTTTTTGTCTTTGGTTCTGTTTACGTGATGGATTACGTTTATTGATTTGCATATGTTGAATGAGCCTTGCATCCCAGGAATAAAGCTGACTTGATCGTGGTGGGTAAGGTTTTTGATGTGGGGCTGGATTTGGTTTTCTAGTATTTTATTGAGGATTTTCACATTGATGTTCATGGGAGATGTTGGCCTGAATTTTTCTTTTTTTGTTGTGTCTCTTCCTGGTTTTGGTATCAGGATGATGCCGACTTCATAAAATGAGTTAGGGAGGAGTCCCTCCTTTTTCAGAAGGAATGGTACCAGCTCCTCTTTGTTTTTCTGGTAGAATTCAGCTGTGAATCTGTCTGGTCCTGGGCTTTTTTTTGGTTGGTAGGTTATTAATTACTGCTTCAATTTCAGAGCTTGTTATTGGTCTATTCAGGGATTCAACTTCCTCCTGATTTAGCCATGGTAGGGTACATGCATCCAGGAATTTATCCATTTCATCTAGATTTCCTAGTTTATTTGTGTAGACGTGTTTATACTATTCTCTGATGGGAGTTTGTATTTCTGTGGGGTCAGTGGTGATATCCCTTTTATAAATTTTTTGTTGTCTATTTGATTCTTCTCTCTCTTATTAGTCTAGCTAGCAGTCTATCTATTATGTTAATTAAAAAAAACAGCTCCTGGATTCGTTGATTTTTTGCAGGGTTTTTCGTGTCTCTGTCTCCTTCAATTCTTCTTTTACCTTAGTTATTCCTTGTTGTCTGCTAGATTTTAGATTAATTTGCTCTTGCCTCCCTTGCTCTTTTAATTGTGATGTTAGGGTGTCAATTTGAGATCTTTCTAACTTTCTGATGTGGACATTTAGTGCTATAAAGTTCCCTCAAAAATAAGTTAAATTTCTATGCATTAACGTAGAAGGAAATGTTATTAATATATAATTATATAAAAATAAAATACAGTTTTTATGGAAATCTGCATGGTACAGTACCATTTTTATTTTCTTGATTTCATTTTTTTAATTGACAAATAAATGCACATATTCATGGGGTACATAAGTGATGTTTCAATACATATAGTGTACAGTGATGAGATCAGGGTAATTAGCATATGCATCATCTCAATGACTTATCATTTCTTTGTGTTAAGAATGTTCATATCCTTCGTCCACTTTTTGATGGTGTTGTTTGTTTGAGTTCATTGTAGATTCTGGATATTAGCCCTTTATCCGATGAGTAGGTTGCAAAAATTTTCTCCCATTCTGTAGGTTGCCTGTTCACTCTGATGGTGGTTTCTTTTGCTGTGCAGAAGCTCTTTAGTTTAATTAGATCCCATTTGTCAATTTTGGCTTTTGTTGCTATTGCTTTTGGTGTTTTAGACATGAAATCCTTGCCCATGCCTATGTCCTGAATGGTATTGCCTAGGTTTTCTTCTAGGGGGTTTATGGTTTTAGGTCTAACATATAAGTCTTTAATCCATCTTGAGTTAATTTTTGTATAAGGTGTAAGGAAGGGATTCAATTTCAGCTTTCTACATATGGCTAGCCAGTTTTCCCAGCACCATTTATTAAATAGGGAATCCTTTCCCCATTGCTTGTTTTTGTCAGGTTTGTCAAAGATCAGATAGTTGTAGATATGCAGCATTATTTCTGAGGGCTCTGTTCTGTTCCATTGGTCTATATCTCTGTTTTGGTACCAGTGCCATGCTATTTTGGTGACTGTAGCCTTGTAGTATAGCTTGAAGTCAGGTAGCGTGATGCCTCCAGCTTTGTTCTTTTGGCTTAGGATTGACTTGGCGATGTGGGCTCTTTTTTGGTTCCATATGAATTTTAAAGTAGTTTTTTCCAATTCTATGAAGAAAGTCATTGGTAGCTTGATGGGGATGGCATTGAATCTATAAATTACCTTGGGCAGTATGGCCATTTTCACGATATTGATTCTTCCTACCCATGAGCATGGAATGTTCTTCCATTTGTTTGTATCCTCTTTTATTTCATTGAGCAGTGGTTTGTAGTTCTCCTTGAAGAGATCCTTTACATCCCTTGTAAGTTGGATTCCTAGGTATTTTATTCTCTTTGAAGCAATTGTGAATGGGAGTTCACTCATGATCTGGCTCTCTGTTATTGGTGTACAAGAATGCTTGTGATTTTTGCACATTGATTTTGTATCCTGAGATTTTGCTGAAGTTGCTTATCAGCTTAAGGAGATTTTGGGCTGAGACAATGGGGTTTTCTAGATATACAATAACGTCATCTGCAAACAGGGAGAATTTGACTTCCTCTTTTCCTAATTGAATGCCCTTTATTTCCTTCTCCTGCCTGATTGCCCTGGCCAGAACTTCCAACACTATGTTGAATAGGAGTGGTGAGAGAGGGCATCCCTGTCTTGTGCCAGTTTTCAAAGGGAATGCTTGCAGTTTTTGTCCATTCAGTATGATATTGGCTGTGGGTTTGTCATAGATAGCTCTTATTATTTTGAGATACGTCCCATCAATACCTAATTTATTGAGAGTTTTTAGCATGAAGGGTTGTTGAATTATGAACAGACACTTCTCAAAAGAAGACATTTATGCAGCCAAAAAACACATGAAAAAATGCTCATCATCACTGGCTATCAGAGAAATGCAAATCAAAACCACAATGAGATACCATCTCACACCAGTTAGAATAGAGATCATCAAAAAGTCAGGAAACAACAGGTGCTAGAGAGGATGTGGAGAAATAGGAACACTTTTACACTGTTGGTGGGACTGTAAACTAGTTCAACCATTGTGGAAGTCAGTGTGGTGATTCCTCAGGGATCTAGAACTAGAAATACCATTTGACCCAGCCATCCCATTACTGGGTATATACCCAAAGGATTATAAATCATGCTGCTGTAAAGAGACATGCACGTGTGTTTATTGTGGCACTGTTCACAATAGCAAAGACTTGGAAACAACCCAGATGTCCAACAATGATAGACTGGATTAAGAAAATGTGGCACATCTACACCATGGAATACTATGCAGGCATAAAAATGATGAGTTCATGTCCTTAGTAGGGACATGGATGAAGCTGGAAACCATCATTCTCAGCAAACTATCGCAAGGACAAAAAACTGAACACCACATGTTCTCACTCATAGGTGGGAATTGAACAGTGAGAACACATGGACACAGGAAGGGGAACATCACACACCGGGGACTGTTGTGGGGTGGTGGGGGGGAGGGAGACCATTAGGAGATATACCTAATGCTAAATGATGAGTTAATGGGTGCAGCACACCAGCATGGCACATGTATACATATGTAACAAACCTGCACGTTGTGCACATGTACCATAAAACTTAAAGTCTAATAATAATAAAATTTAAAAAAAGAATAAAACAGTTGAGCAAACAGAAAAAAAAAAGAATGTTCAACATTCTCTCTAGCTATTTGAGACTACATATTATTCTTAACTCGTCATCCTACAGTGGTACAAAATGCTAGAACTTACTGCTTCTATCTAGCTGTAATTTTGTATCCTTTAACAAATCTCTCCCTATCCTTCCCAGCCTCTAGTACACTCCATTCTACTTTTAACTTTAATCTTCTATGAGATCAACTTTTTTGAACATATGGTGTTTAACTTTTTTCTGTTCCTGGAATATTTCACCTAACATAATATCCTCCAGTTCCATCCATGTTGCTGCGAATGACAGGATTTCATTTTTTATAATGTCTGAATAGTATTCCACTATGTAAATATACAACGTTTTCTTTATCCATTTATCTGTTATTGGACACCCAGGTGGATTCCATATCTTGGCTATTGTGAATAGTGTTGCAATAAATATGAAGGTACAGATGTCTCTTTGATATAATTATTTCCTTTCCTTTGGATAAATGCCCACTAGTGGGATTGCCAGATCATATGGTAGGTCTAATCGTAGTTTTTTGAGGAACCTCCATACTGTTCTCCATAATGGTTGTATTAGTTTACATTTCCACCAACAGTGTATAAGTTCCCTTTTCTCTGCATCCTTACCAACACTTGTTATATTTTGTCTTTTTGAAAACAGCCATCCTAACTGAGGTGAGATACCTCCTTGTAGTTTTGATTTGCATTTCCCTGATGTTTACTTATGTTGAACAATTTTTCATGTTTATTGGCTTTTTATGTTTTTCATGTTTATTGGCTTTTTTCATGTTTATTGGCTTTATATGTCTTCTTTTGAGAAATCTCTTTTCAGATCACTTGATCACTTTTTAATAGGACTGTCTTTCCTGTTGAGATGTTTGAGTTCCTATATATTCTGTATATTAATCCCCTGCCAGATGAGTAATTTGAACATTTTTTTTCTGCCATTCAGTAGGTTGTCTTTTCATTTTGCTGATTGTTTCCTTTTCTGTGCAGAAGCTCTTTTGCTTAATATAATCTCATTTGTATATTTTTGCTTTTGTTGCCTATTCTTTTGAGGATTTATTTATAAAATCTTTTACCAGTCCAAAGTCCTGAAGCATTTCCCCTATATTTTCTTCTAGCAGGGTTATGGTTCCGGGTATTACTTTAGGTCTTTGATCCATTTTGAATTGATTTTTATATAGGATGAAAGACGGGCATCTAGTTTCATTTTTTCTGCATGTGGATATTCAGTTTCCCCAGAATCATTTATTGAAAAGGCTGTCCTTTCCCCAGTGAGTGTTCTTGGCACCTTTTTCAAAAATCAATTGGCTGTAGATAATGTGGATTAATTTGAGTTGTCTTTTCTGCTCCTTTGGTCTAGGTGTCTGTTTTTATGCCAGTACCATGCTGTTTTGGTTACTATAGCTTTGTAGTACATTTTAAGGTCTGGTAATATAATACCTCCAGTTTTGTTCTTTTTGCTCAGTACTGCTTTGGCTATTTGGGGTCTTGTGATTCTATACAAATTTTAGGGCTTTTTTTCTATTTCTGTGAAGAATGTCATTTGTATTTTGATAGGAATTGCATTCAATCTATAGATCACTTTGGGTAGCATTGTCATTTTAACAATATTAATTCTTCTGATCTATGAGCATGGGATGTCTTTTCATTTGTTTGTATCCTATTCAATTTCTTTCTTCAATGTTTGATAGTTTTCCTTGTAGCGATCTTTCAGTTATTTGGTTAAATCTGTTCCTATTTTATTTTATGTCGCAATTGCAAATGGGTGTCTTCAAGATATTCCAGGAATTGTCTTCAAGACAATCCAGGGAATCTGTGAGGTCCTGCCTTTTCCAATTATGTCTCTGTATGAGACTGAATTTTCAACTAAAACATCGCACCAGTCTGAACACAAAAGCAGATACGAGAATCCCGCTGTCTTCTATCGATCCAGACACTAAAGACATTTGTAAATATGTCAAATAATATCTCATTAGTATTTTGTGTTAGAAAACATGTTAGTTTTCCATAAAACATGTTATTTATGCTGGCATAGAATGAGCTTATTATTGCTATTTTTAAGAGAAATATTTTTTAAATTCTAAGTTTTAATTTTTATGTATAAAACATTGATAGATGTAACCCACATAAACAAAAATTACTTGGTGTCCTCAATAAAATTGAAGAGTGCAAAGAGGTCCTGACACTAAAATGTTCAACTTAGAATAAGGGGTCAGCAAACTATGGCCCTTGGGCAAAATCCAGCCCACCACCTTTTTTTTGAAATAAAGTTTTGGGTTTTTAAAACATTGTTATACTCATGCATTAATATATTGCCTACAGCTGCCTTTACACTAGTAGCAGTGAGTAGTGGTGACAAATCCTATATGGCCACAAAGCCTAAAACATTTACCATCTGGCCCTTTAACAAAACAATTGCCAACCTTGACTTAGGCCATCATGATTCATCACTTGGGAATCAGTTCAAAAGATGAATCTGATGAAGTCTGATTTTTTTCTACCCTGGAAAGAAAAATCAAAATAAATTTTAATCTATTTTCTATATAGGTCTGTATCCATTCAGAAACAAAAAATCAGGGTTCTGTTAGCTGTGAACAAGGCAGACCTAACAACCTCTGTCCCCATGAAACTTATTTTCCTGTTGGGAGTAGAGGGTAGAGGACAATCAATAAGTCAGTGTTGTGTTCCCAGCAGCCAGGACAGTGCCCAGCACAGAACATACTCAGAAGACACTGTTCGATTCTTGTCATGAGGAGTTTAGCAATCTGAGTTTCCTCTCAGCTTTAGTGGGCAGAATTTTCTAACATGTTTCTGATTCTAGTTCCCACTTCTGCAAGTAGCAATCTCCATGGACTTTTACAGTCTCTCTGTAATGCTGATCAATTATGATGAAACTCCTGCCAGGCATTCTTCCAGAAGGATTTCAGCAGCATTAACCTCTAATGAAACAATCTTTGCGGCACCAGGGTGGGACTATTTCCCCACTTCCATGTTGAAACTGACAGAACGAATTGTGTCTTAGAGACTCTCAAACACTAATGTCCCCTTTGACTATCTAAGCTGTTGAGCATATTTTAAATGGCTACTCTGCTTAAACCACACTGGCCCAGGGGAGTCTAACCTCTGCCCAATGTTGATAGTCAAAATATTTAGCAACCAATATGGCCTAGCATGGAAGCCAGCTCCAACAACCCTATGGCCATACTGATGCCCCCAAGCCGAAAATGAGCCCTGCCTCCATGGTCTACCGGGAATGGCTTCCTGAATTCCTCTTTTGGGGGTGTTGAATAAGGTTTCTCATATTATGAAACCACTATTTTCTAGATTCTTTGCAGTCCACTAAAAGAGAAAAGCCATTCTTCTGGAGATTATGCTATCTGGAAATGTCCTGTGGTCACGTCCTGACAAGACCTTTGGAGAAGGCATCAAAGCAGCATGTGTTAGTCTTCCCTGCCTAACCCAGCTAGAAGGCATGCCAAGGAAGAGAAAGCACGTGGCCCAGAGAGACCAGCAGGAGGCAGGAGGATCTTAATGCAGCTCTAGCTCTTATGACCCCAGGTGAGTGTTACATTTAGGCTTGGCTAGACTATCGTCCCCAGGTTATTCAATCAAACACTAGTCTAAGTGTTACTGTGAAGGTATTTTGTCAATGTGATTAAAATCTATAATCAGTTTAATTAAGGAAGATTATCCTAGATTATCTGAGTGGGCTTGATTCAATCCATTGAAAGGTTTAGGAATAGAACTAAGGCTTCCTTGAAGAAGAAATTCCACCTGTGGGGCAGGTGAGATTTCCAGCCTGATCTTCCTGCCCTGCCGATTTCAGATTTGTCTAGCTAGCTTCCCACAACTGTGTAAGGCAATTCCTTGCAATAAATTCTGATCTATATATTCTACATATATCTGTATGTATATCCATATATCTGTCTAGCTATCTAGCTAGCTATGATTTGAATGTGAAATGACGGACAAGAGAGGAAGTGTTCCAGGCCAGGATTTGCTGATGCCTGCCCATTCCAGGGAACCTCTTCTCCTCATGGGACTTTTGGAACTAGCTCTCCACTCACTAAGGAAAATGCATACTCTGTTGTCCCTGAGCTTCCTGCATCATCATAGCCATGGTGATGCCAAAAAGCAACAAGTGTAGAATGAGAATGAGCAATTTCATTTTTTTTTTTTTTCATTCAGCCAGTATTTCCTGTGTGCTACTCTGAGTCAGGCGCTGTGCTACATCAAGCATACAGCAGTGAATGAAGGAAACGGGCCTCCTGCCCTCTTGGAGCTTGTCATCTAGTGGAAGAGGCAGGCATGTCAATGAGTAATTCAGTGAGAATACATGGGGCTTTCATGGGGTCCCAGCAGGCTGCTGAGGAAGCACAAGGGAGGGGCACCCAACTCAAGCAGGAGGGCTCAGGGAAGGAAGGCTTCACTTAAGATGCAAGAGCCAAGTCAAGCCCTGAAGTCAGCCAGGTGAGGCTCACCAAGGGGTGCAGGGAGGAAATTCTAAGCACAGGGAAGAGTACACATAACCCACAGGTGGGCACCACAGAACATGAGATTGCCCGGGAACTTAAAGAAGGCCAATATGATGAAATGCAGAGTGCAAAGTGTAGAGATTAGAAAAGATCAGTCACCCCTTTTTGTACACACTGGTAAGGAGCTTTACACTTTATCCTAAACGGGACCCCCTTAACATATTTTTTAAAGCAGGGGAGTGACAAGGTAAAGTCTGTATTTTTGAAGTGTCAGCATGAGAAAGACAACAGCATGGTCAGAGAAAGCAATTGGGCCTGAGGAAGAGGATCTAACACAGGCTTTAGCTGCTCCAGGCCAAGGGCTTCCCCTCCCACTAGGGCAGCTGAGGGACCCAGGACAGTGTGTCTGCTGCTTAAGACCATTCCTCAGTGTGCCTCTCCCATCAGCCCTGCCATAGCCAACTTCTTCAGCCTTGAAGAAGTTCAAGGGTCTTTTTGGCTTTTGTTAAGACAACAGAAAGATGCAGGGAAGGGAGGAGAGGGAAGTCAGCATTTATCAAGCACAGTTTGTTTTCCAGGTGCTAGGGTTACGTTTTTTGTATGTCTTCCTTTCACTTAATCCTCACTCTAACTCGGCGAATATCTAACGCCCATCCCTCCAGGCATAGCCCAGTTGCTCAAGGAGACAGACAGGCTGGTTAACTGGTAGAGTGTCTGCCCCAAACCACGCTCTTCACCTTCCTGCAACACACCAGGAACCCCTGCAGCTCCTCTCCTGCCACGTCTAGGGTGGACCAGGTAAGGGCCCTCACAGCTAGAGTGTGGGAGCCAAGACAGGCTCGCTTCCTGTACAGTCACAGTAGCAACTGTGATGACACCAACACACATGCAGGCTTAGCTCAGGCCAGACCCTCACTGCTAAGGAGTTGCCATTATCATCCCCGATATGGAGGCGGGGAACCCAAAACACCAAGAGCAGTGGGTGCTTAGGAAGCCACAGAGCTGGGAGTAGAGCCCCAGCAGCCTGATCCAGAGCCCCTGTTCTTCACCACCACCCTGCCCTCCTCCAGGGAGCACAATGGGGGTCCCGGAGCCTCTTTCCATCTGTTGGATCTCGGTGAGAGGTACGAATTGATCTTGAATGAAAGCCATGGGCTCCTCACCTCTCTCTTGCAAGATTCCTAATTTTTAGGCACTCTTACTTGGTTTGATATAGCTAAAACTCTGATACCTTTCATTGTCCTTCATGATTTTACCAACCTCCTTGGTTCTAACAATTGGAGTTTAAGAGTTACTATAGAAAATGTTCTGTATTTTAATGTACAATATGATTGCTGGCCATTTATATACAAGGTATAGACTTCAAAGGAACAGAGTAGGAGTGATCAAATGACTGAATTATCCAAGTATTTCTTCCACAATCCCTTTTTTGGTGTGGGGTCATTGTCTTGGTGCATGTAGACATCTGCGCGATAGAGCAACCAGGGGAGCCGCAACACTCAGCCCAGCCTAAGCCTTTGTGTACAGGATCAGGTCCTAAGAGTGACAGCCGGCCGGGCGCGGTGGCTCACGCCTGTAATCCCAGCACTTTGGGAGGCCGAGGCGGGCGGATCACGAGGTCAGGAGATCGAGACCATCCCGGCTAAAAAAACGGTGAAACCCCGTCTCTACTAAAAATACAAAAAATTAGCCGGGCGTAGTGGCGGGCGCCTGTAGTCCCAGCTACTTGGGAGGCTGAGGCAGGAGAATGGCGTGAACCCGGGAGGCGGAGCTTGCAGTGAGCCGAGATCCCGCCACTGCACTCCAGCCTGGGCGACAGAGCGAGACTCCGTCTCAAAAAAAAAAAAAAAAAAAAAAAAAAAAAAAAAAAAAAAAAGAGTGACAGCCATCTCCAGGTCATATTCTTCCAAGGAAAAGTCAGTGGTACCATGAAGGGGCTGGGTAAGCATTTGGAAGCTCACCCAGAAGAGGGGGCCTCATTGGTCCACGCCTGTCCTTCTGAAGGCCCACAGTTGGACCTGGGGCCGCCCCCTCCGGGATGGCTTCGTGTTAATTATGATGCAATCCCCTGGCCATGCAGCCTCAGCAACAATTTCGGGAGTCAGGGTCCATGCGCAAGGCCATTAACACTAAACATGTTTTAATCCATAATTGTGTGAGATTTATTTAATTTAGGGGCTTTATTTATAGTTCGATTGGAATTGTAATGTATTTTCAGCCCTCCGCACTGTGATCTGTCAATTTTTATGGCGTCTTTTAATTGTGTTCTTCCAGGCCAGGTGCAAGCAGTTTTCCAAAGCAGGCTGATCAGAGAAGGCCTCCAATTATGTGTGGGGGAGGGGAAGTGGCCTCACACAGACATGACCCTGTGCCACCACGAAAGCAGGGACACTCATGCTGGGTCCTAGGTCTTCTGAGAGCCACCATTCACTGATTGCAGGCACGGTGACCCTCCACCCCCAGCCTAGCCTCCCATTCCCTGCTCTGGCAGAGCTTGTATGCTAGAATGAGCTTCCAAAAATTCCTCCACTCAGTTTGTTCCTTTGTTCATTCCTTTGTCCATTTAACAAACATTTACTGCGGGTCTACACTGTGGTAGACTCTGTGTTCAGAATAATACAAAGATGAATAAGACGATGGCCCAGACTTCAGGCAACTTATGGTGCCATAGGGGAAGACAAATAAAAAATGATAGAATTTGCTAGAATTTGCTGAGCATCTATCTAGTGCCAGGCATTGAAGAATGCACTAGGGACACAAAGCTTGTGGATTCAGGGGATTTGGTCAAAGCTAATTTATCCTAGAGTAATTTGAATGACTGTAAGTTGGCCAAGACCTAGGTGCAGGAACGCAAGTTTGTTAATACGGCAATTTGATCCAAACACCTCCAGGTCTCTCGCCATCCAAACTGAACAGCTCCTGATGGTGAGAAATACTTCACTTAGTTAAACATGAGTGTGTCTTAGTCTTGTTTGAGTCTTGGTAATTTTCAAACACCATGGGAGTACTTTTGCAATTCTTTATGCATCTTTAAGCATTTTATCTGTTTTTCTAAGTTATTTTCTTCCAAATCATACACTGCCACAAGCAATCAGTATTGGAGTACAGCACCAGAAAATGAAGTAAAAGAAGATGAAGGAATTGAAATGAGGTTCCCCCAGCTGGGAACACACGATGCAGAAAGGCTAATTCCAACAAAACTGGAGAATAATGTACCCCCAACTCTGTGCTAACACCGAGGCACTCAGCGAAGTCATGGGCCTTGTCCATGTGATTCATTGAGGTATCCCGGAACCTAGAACAATGCCTGGCATGCACAAGTGATCAACAAATGTTCAATGAATAAATAATGGGTGGGGATTTAAAAAACAACAACTAGAGACAATGCTTTACTGGTTTAAAAAATGAACGGGTTTTGTCAGGAAACAAGGGAAGAAATCTGTATTAATTGAGTCCCTACTGTGGGCCAGGCACAGAGCTAAGTGATTTAGTTCTAAGTCATTAAATCCTCACAACAGTGAGGTGAAGTATTGTCATTCCCACCTAACAGAGGACACTGAGGCTCAGGGAGCTTATGTAGCTTGCTTAGGGTTACCAAATGTAAGAGCTATAAGAAGAAAGGTGAAGGACGCCCCTGGCTAAGACGGTGTACTTTCCTGCAGGCTTGCATAAGGCATAATGCATCCTAATTCAGGAACAGCTAATCATGGCCAAACATTACTCCAGAAAGAATTTTAAATATTGTTAATGTGTAACTATTCAAAATGCTTTCCTTTTATAGGTTTATAGAAGAATAGTTTCAGGGCTGTAGCAGTGATATCCAGTAACATTCAATATGAAGGAGCTCTGTGAAGGCTAATTTACAGAATCATGGCTGTGCTTTTTTAACTCTTCATGTATATTTAGGCATTTTCCTGTGTTTCCAAATGAACCCTGTTCCTCCTGTTCCTCCTCCTCCTCCTGTTCCTCTTCCTGTTCCTGCTCCTGTTCCTGCTCCTTTAGGAAAGGCTCATGCAATGGAATCTGAGGCCTGTTGGTCATTTGCAAATCTTCATGGCAGTGGGCTCAAGTCAAGGGTGAGAGAGCCATGGGCTCTGATTTGGAAATGACCAAAGCTCAAGAAGCCTACATTCCTCAACATGAGTCCTAACTGAGGCTAAAGCAACGGGACACCCCCACAGCCACAAGACCATCCACCACCCAGAGGTCCTGTAGCTGAATAAAATATCAATCCTTTGGGAGTTAAGGAGAAATATAGCACCTGCTTGGGAAAAACTGGAGAATACAAGAAAATTCAGTGCCATTCACTAAGCACTTATTGAGGACCCCTGAGCTCCAAGCCTTAAGTAGGACGGAGGATTAGAAAAGATAGCAACTAAGACAAGATTGTTCTCAAGAATATTACCGCAAGTGTTGCTAACACTGCTAGCCCTTTAAGGCCAGCTGGGAAAAGCACAATCAGGCAGCCATCCAGGCAAACTGGAGAAAGCACCCATTTAGACATTAGAGAGATCGCAGTTCAAATCCCCACTCCTCCCATTAATACCTAACTGACATGGAGGGAATTACCTAACTTCTCTGAGCCCAAGTCTTCTCCTCAGTGTAACTAAGCTGAAGAGTTCTGAGGTTAAGGGGTGCCTTTGAAAGAAGAGGATCTGGGTGAGAGGAGGCAATGCTGAGGGAGTCTTGCTGGAAAAAGCAGCAATGTGGCAGAGGGCCTGATACAAAGGACACAAGTCACTATTATCCTGGAAGGTTGCACGTGGAGGCAGGTGAAACCTAATCTCCAGAGATTCTCTCATCTCTAGACTCTAGAGATTCTAGAGAACCTCCCAGTTTCTGTAGAGAGTCAGGAAGCCTTTATTTTCTTAAATCCATAGGGATTGATGAGAAGATTCATGGAACAAACGAAGGGCTAGTAGTAGATAAGGCTTTACAGGTAGGCTGGAGCAAATTGAGAAGTTGAGTGCTGTCCTAAGGCAGTAAACTTTATCCTTGAGGAGATGAAGGTTTGAAGACAGGAAGCTGGTGCCTTAGGAGGTTCACACTGGTGGCTGGGGTCTGGGAGAGCAGTTAAGAGGCTATACTGATGGGCCCAGTGAGAACCCACAGGAGCGGGAGGGAAGGAGGAGAGGTGTTTGTCAAGTGAAGGGATACAAGTGAGAATTGTTATTAATGGGATCTGGTGGGGAGAGAAGATGGCTTTATCACTGGAGAGTTCACTGAATTCAGAAACCCAGGAGGCAGACAAGTAGGGCTGGCAGGAAGAGGATCAGCCTAGATTTACAGCTGCCAAAACGAAAATGCTAGAAGGATGCTTGCGTGCAGGGAATATCCTGCCGGCAGCGGGAAAGGGGCACAGGGCACAAGGAGAAGCTGATGGCCAGATGTAGACGTGGGAACCAGCTTCACAAAAGTAAGGGCTGAAAATGTGTCGTTGGATACAAATCCCTAAGGGAGAAAAGGCAGGGAGAAGAGGGTCAAGGCAATACCCCGAAAGACCACTGAGAAATATAGACTTTGGGATGGAGACCAAGAAAGAGCAATCTCAAAGGAGTGAAGGGAGAAGAGTTTCAAGAATGGTGCTGTCCATGGCCAGAAACTGCGGCTGTCATGGGGTATGGAGGAGACAGCATGTGAGTAGGTGACAGCGAGGACACAGGTGACCTCTGTGAGAGTGACACAGTAATAGGTGAAGAACTGACATTGTGAGGGTTGAAGGTCAATGGTTGAAACTGCTGAAGAAGAAGCGGGAGATGACAGGAAGGGACTGGGCCTTCTAGAAGATCTGTAAGAGAGGAGAGGAAGGCCAGGTAGTGGTAGCTTGTAGAGAAAGTTTTCTTGAAGATTTGGTGTTTTCTACAGACACACAGGGGAGGGAGCAGGGGAATGAGACAGACAGGAAGACGTGAGAGAGAAAGGATTCATAGAAGACAAGAAGACAGGCCCAGCAGCCCTGAACAGGACCTGGAAATGCAGAACTCCATGCAAGTCTGACTTCTGGTGCTGAAGAACATCAGCCACTAAGCAGCACAGACAGAGCCCATGCCTGTGCTGTCCTCACACCCAACATGAGGACTAAGTATTGGCTTCATCATCAGTGAGATTTCCTAAGGAGAATTTCACACCGAGGTGATCAGTTGTGTGTTGCGGGAAGTCAGGGACCCCGAACGGAGGGACTGGCTGGAGCTGTGGCAGAGGAACATGAATTGTGAAGATTTCATGGACATTTATCAGTTCCCAAATAATACTTTTATAATTTCTTATGCCTGTCTTTAATCTCTTAATCCTGTTATCTTCATAAGCTGAGGATATATGTCACCTCAGGACCACTGTGATAATTGTGTTAACTGTACAAATTGATTGTAAAACATGTGTGTTTGAACAATATGAAATCAGTGCACCTTGAAAAAGAACAGAATAACAGAAATTTTTAGGGAACAAGGGAAGACAACCATAAGGTCTGACTGCCTGTGGGGTCGGGCAAAAAGAGTCATATTTTTCTTCCTGCAGAGAGCCTATAAATGGACTTGCAAGTAGGAAAGATATCGCTAAATTCTTTTCCTAGCAAGGAATATTAATATCCTGGGAAAGGAATGCATTCCTGGGGGAGGTTGATAAATGGCTGCTCTGGGAGTGTCTATCTTATGCAGTTGACATAAGGACTGAGATACGCCCTGGTCTCCTGCAGTACCCTCAGGCTTCCTAGGGTGGGGAAAAACTCTGCCCTGATAAATCTGTGGTCAGACCGGTTCTCTGCTCTCGAACCCTGTTTTCTGTTGTTTAAGATGTTTATCAAGAAAATATGTGCACCACTGAACACAGACCCTTATCAGTAGTGCTGCTTTTGCCCTTTTCATTGTCATCTTTGTTGGACCCTTATCAGTAGTTGTGCTTTTGCCCTTTGTCCTGTTCCCTCAGAAGCATGCGATCTTTGTTAGACCCTTATTAGTAGTTCTGCTTTTTGCCCTTTGAAGCATGTGATCTTTGTACCTACTCCCTGTTGTTACACCCCCTCCCCTTTTGAAACCCTTAATAAGAAACTTGCTGGTTTGAGGCTCAGGCAGGCATCATGGTCCTACCAATATGTGATGTCACCAATGGTGGCCCAGCTGTAAAATTCCCCTCTTTATATTGTCTCTCTTTATTTCTCAGCCGGGCAACACTTACGGAAAATAGAAAGAACCTATGTTGAAATATTGGGGCAGGTTTCCCCGATAGTTGTGGACTCCATCAGAGGCTGTTTCAAAACTCTTTGCTGTCTCAAAAGTAAGAGTGAAAACAGGTGACTAGGTCCTCACGACACACCTGAAAGTGGGTGTAGTTGTGACAGATGTTGTGTCCCTGTGGCAAGGCCCTAAGTTTCAGATTTCCTGGGAGGTTAAGGTCACATGTTGCGTGCATGCATAGGAACCTTGCTTCTCCGCAGCCTGGGCTTTTCTGATTTGAGAAAGGACAAGGCTGCCGAGCTCCTTTTAAATACTAGGTTCTTTTTATCTAGATTTACATTGCCAGCACTGTCACGTGTGTGTGTGTGTGCATGCGTGCACGTGTGTGTGTGTATTCTAATGGTCTCCAGAATCTGACCTTGCACAGTTCTACATTTTTATTTTAAACTTTATGATTCATGATTATACGAGTACCACATAAATACATTCTTTTTAATTTTTATTTATTTATTTATTTTGAGACAGGGTCTCACTCTGTCACCCAGGCTGGAGCTCTGTGGCACGATTGCACTGCAGCCTCAGATTCCCAGGCTCAAGCAATCCTCCTGCCTCAGCCTCCCAAGTAGCTGGGACTACAGGTATGTGCCACCACACCCGACTAAACATAAAGACATTCTCATGGTTAAAATTTTTCAAGCAAAATAGGTTTTGTCTCCAGCTCCCTATCTAATCCCATCCCTACCAAGGAAAATGTACTTACACATTCAAATATGTAATTATATTTTGTGGGAAGTTTTCCATAAAAAAATTAGATATTGATCTTTGCCTTGCTTTTTAAACTTAGCTACAGGTCTTAGAGATCTTTCCATGTCAGTATATTCAAATCTGCCAACATTATTTTGAAACGATGCGTAACTTGTTCTATAGTATGGATGAAGCATGGTTCATTTAATAACCACCCCCTCCCCATGATGAGAATACAGGTTGCTCCAATTTACAAGAAAAACAACCCCTTTAAAAAGTGGGCAAAGACATGAACAGACATTTCTCAAAATAAGACATATATGCAGCCAACAAACATATGAAAAAATGCTCAACATCACCGATCATTAGAAAAATGCAAATCAAAACCACAATGAGAAGCCATCTCTCACTAGTCAGAATAGGTACACTAAACAGACAAAAAACAGCTGCTGGAAGTTTGCGGAGAAAAAGGAATACTTTTACACGGTTGCTGGGAGTGTAAATTATTTCAACCATTGTGGATGACCGTATGGCGATTCCTCAAAGATCTAGAGGCAGAAATACCATTTGACCCAGAAATCCCATTAGTGGGTATATACCCAAAGGAATATAAATCATTCTATTATAAAGATACATGCACACATATGTTCACTGCAGCGCTGTTCACAATAACATAGGAGCATGTTATGTTCTTGAGGATGGGACCACTTCTCACAACTGCAACCAAAACGGCAGCTGGAATTGGTGGCTGAGTCATCATGCTCATTGGGATTGCAGTGAAAATGGTGTGACCCCTATCATGCATCAGAGGTTGCACAAACTACCTCCCAGTCACTCTGGGATATCTTTGGGAAATTTTTACTTACTCAGAGACCTCTGACTCAAGCCCCCACTTCCACTGTGTTGATGCTTCTTAGGGATCATTTCACCGCCTCAAGTGCACAGTCCCTTTCCTCATAGCACTATTCACACAGGGACTCTTGATAAGGCGGATTTAAAGTAAACCCTTTTTAACAATATCTTAAGGTTTAGTGCTGTTGATAGTGGGCATCCTTGCCTATCCTTGTTCCTGGGAATTTCTCATCGCCTCCTGTCTCCCAGCCAGTTGCTCAATACTCTCCCCTTCCCACCTTTCCCTCTGTATCTTTCCATGCAAAGCAGCTGCTCCATCCCCTTGTTTTCATGTGTTCTGTATAGATGATCCCCTTTACTCTTCTTCCCACACTCACAAAAAAAAAGGCTTGGGAAATTATTTACTAAACAAAGACTTTCCTATCCCTAAGAGGAGCTCCGATGCCAGTGATTAAGGTAACATTTTTTCACCTCTTAAACAGGTAACTACATTATCCTGTGATGCCAAGGTGGTACATGCACCCCAGGTCACATTGTAGGTACTCAAAAGATGTGTAGATTGGCCAGGCAGTGGACAAATGACATCACCCATTGAAAAGAGTGGATTGATGGACTGATTTAAGAGTGGCGGAAAGGAAATGTGTGGAATTTCATAGGTATGTCCCATACTAAAAAGAAAAAAAGTGGATTTTTAAAAACCATTTTAGATTACTTTTTAAATAGGAATTGCTTCTTTTGGACTAAAGTAACAAGAGGCTGGATCTCCAAATTATCTCCATGCCTTGGGTTAGCCAACACCTGGTACCACTGCCAAGTTCTGCCCTACCTTTTCTGAAAGGCCTCTAAGGCAAATTCTCTTTGGAATTCATTGGTTGACCTGCTTCTTAATGTAAGGATTCTTTTTAGTCTGTGAACCAAGTCTTAAAAACTGAACGTCATGAGCAGATGTGAATGAAATTGTGGAACCTTAAAACTTTCAAGAAAGCCAGGAAGTTGTGTTGAACTTAATTTCCTTAGGAGAAGAAAAATAATTTCATAGAAAACAGCCACAACTATGTATTTTCATTGTGTAGCTAAGAAATAGTAGATTCCTTATTTTCATTACATGTTAAAATAAAATATGTAACTACTTTTTTAGCAATAAAACCACCTAAAAACTAATTTGCTATTTGCGTGCACACACACACACAAACACACATTTTACAATGTTTTATTGTCTCAACTTGCCTTGAGTGTTTTTCACAAACCATTCTTTCCCAGCAGAAGCCTTCCCTGATCAATTTTAACATTCAGTGATTTTTTTAAGATCAATATAAATAATCTCTAACATACACACACCAGAGATTGTGAAGAATTTGCTGATTTTGCCCCAAGGGTTCTTCTACCCACGCAAACTGTGTACTCTTATAGTGCTGTGAGGACCATAGGGCAGCCCCTGGGAGAGCCACAGGGAAACTGAGAACTTAAGGAAGGTGACTCATTTAACATTCTATATTTACATGAATGTTCTATATGAAAATGAATTTTTTAATTGTTTGTTTTTTTTTTTTAACTTTTTGGCCAAGCATCTGAACTCTCTTTCTCTGTGTTTGGGAATTCTCCATCACATGTGTTTTGGTGAGAGCATGTATCAGTCAGATAGATTGCTTTATACCCTGGTAACAAATAACCCCTGCAAATCTTAGTGGCTTGCAAAGGTTTAATTCTTGCTAATGCTGCATGCCCCTCATGGGCTCGTTGTGGCTCTGTTCCATGTCATCTTCCACTTTTGGGATTCAGGTTGATGCAATAGTCCAATCTAGAACATTGGTGTTCTTGAGGCAGAGGGAAAGTAGATGGCAGAGCACGCATTGGCTCTTAACGCTTCCACTAGCACACCACCCACAGATTTTCCTCTAATATGCTACTGGCCAAAACAAGCAACGTGGTCAAGCCTGATGGCAAAAGGGCAGGGAAGCGTAATCCTTTCCCCTCGGAGGGAAAAATGAATATTTGGGGGCAAAATTACAGTTCTTGGAGGCAGAACCCTCCTTTCCACTATGGGCCTGAAAAGACTAGACTAGCAGGGATAGCCTAGGATTGACCAATCAGATCCACCCACTTGGACTCTCTGAATTGAGAGTTGGCATTACAAAAAAAAGCAGGAGCAGTGGAGAAGTCATTCTGGGTCTACATGGCAGCAGTGCTGGCTGCGGTATACAACATGCAGTGCCAATGACAGCAGCCAGGTCCTCACTGGGTTAGTTCTGTGATGTCATTTTGGCTGTCATTTGCCTGTTTTTCAGTCTGTCTTATTCCTGTTTGCTTTCTGTGCTTAGTAATGCAGCCTTCTTAGCAATTCTGTGAGCCACCAGTACTATCTATCTTTTCTGTCAGGGCTGTTCTCTGTTGCTTTCAACTAAGAACCTGATTGATACGGCAAGGCTTCCGGCCAACCCAAACCTTTCCTAAACTCAGTTTCTGATCACCAGATGATTATTGCCCTGGGCTTCTTATCCCTACACAAATTAAGAACATATCTGCCCAATTTGCACTAAAAGCTATCAGATAGGAAAGCCTGGGAGGTTCCCAATTCAGCATGGGTTCCCTGCCCTCATAGATTGAGAGGTACTGGGTATTTTTTGAAAGACAATAAATGTGAGAAGGGCCTTGTTAGTAGTTGGAGGCCTTAGTAATCTTGAATCAGGAAGTATAATATTACAGCAAGGTTTCATTAGGGTAACTATATGTTCTGATTTGTTCAGGACAGTTCCTAATTACTACTATTTTGGAACTGTTAATGCCAGTCAATTAATTTTAGTGCCTCCCTTTCACCTTAGACAATAAATTATATATAACATATAATAAATTTTATATATATCATAACTTTTATGTATAATATATCATAAATTATATGTGTGTGTGTAGATAGATAGATAGATAGATAGATAAAACCCTGACTGGTCTACTTCAAGCAGTCCCTTGCCATGTTACACGTATTTTTGTTTATTTCTCAACTATATTGGAAACTTTTAAATTTCATCCTGAGCCACACCCATAGGAAATCAGCAGGTGTGCTTGTTAATTATTAAGG
Organism: Homo sapiens; assembly: GCF_000001405.40. Taxonomy (NCBI): domain Eukaryota; kingdom Metazoa; phylum Chordata; class Mammalia; order Primates; family Hominidae; genus Homo; species Homo sapiens. Next base: position 16,399,697 of record NC_000009.12, read on the forward strand.
GTATAAGATTCATAAATGGGGGAAGTATGAAAGGTGAAAAGATCAGGATCTCTCTCAGATAAACAGATCTCGGTTCAACTTCCAGTTTTAATGGTCTCTGTTATTTCCTGGGGCCTCAAATCTTCTGAACTTTAAAGCGAGAACAATCATGCTTATTTACAGGTGTTGTGGGGCTTAAATGAGGAAACGTGGGTAAAGTGCTTAACATAGAACCATGTGCACAGTACAGACTCGCAAATAATGCCCTTCCCTCCACAATTTGATCACTGTGAATATTCTGCAGTTCCTATGGCCACCAGGTAGCTGGCCATCCCTGGGCACTTCTCTGTCCTTTGGATATTTGTAGGAGAAACATGATTCTCCCTAACTGTAGGGCTGGATTGAGAGTCAGAATTTAGGTGAGTCACATAGTAGCATTCCTCACATTCTCTATCATGATTAAGTCTTTTCTCTTATTACACACACACACACACACACACACACACACACACACTTTTCTACCACGGCCCTTCTTCCCAATCCAACACAAGGTTCATTCTTTTAGACAGGTAACTTCGTAATAAAATTCCCACACATTCTCATCAGAGCAGCTGGACGGACCGGCACCATTATCTACCTCTCTCGGTACACATAGCTTGTGTCTCGGTCTCAGTCCATTTTGTGCTCCTATAAAAGAATATCACAGACTTGATAATTTATAAAGAACAAAAAATTATTTCTCACGTTCTGGAGACTGAGACGTCCATGATCGAGGCGCCAGTGGCTTCGGTGTATGGTGAGAGCCGCTGTTTCCAGGATGGTGCATTGATACTGTATTGTCTGGAGGGAAGGCACGGCGTCCACCCCCATGGCTGAAGGTGGAAGGGCAAGAGGGTCAAATGCTGCACGAAGCCTCTTTTGTAAGGGCTTTAATCACATTCATTTGTGAAGCCTCGTTTATAAGGACTTTTCGTGACCTAATTACCTCTTATAGGCCCCACCTGTTAATGTGATTGCATTGGCCATTAAGTTGCAACACCTGAATTTTAGAGGGGATGTATTCAAAACCATAGCAGTCTCTCTCTCTCTTGCTCTCTCTATCTCTCTTTCTCTCTTCAAGCCTGCTGTATTTTCCTCTCACATGCAAATGGCCAATCCACTTTATATCTCACAGTCCAAATCCTGGACAGAGCCAGGTGAAACAGCTAATTGTGATCTTTGTGCTAGGCCTCCTCAAAGGTCACCTACCAGCCTAGGAATGGGCTGCCCTTGAGTCAGGTGCCCATGCCTGGTCAGGCTCTGACCACTGTTTTGCGAAAATCAACCTAACACAGCTTGCCTGTGTAGGGGCTGAGGTTGAAGCAGTTTTAACCAGCAGGGGAAGTTGGGCTGGGCAGACACTGTGATGCATATATCATATGTTTGCACTAAAATATTGAAAAATGCCCTAATTATTAAATTCAATGAATGCTTCCCAATTTTTGCCTTACCTGACCTCTCTGGAGTGTTTTATATGGTCGACCACCCACTCTTTGATACTTCTAACTTCTTTACTTTCACTTAACTTCTTTCCTTTCCTTTCACTAGAGTCTAGTTCTCGCGTTACCACTCTTGTCGATCTCTGTTGCTGGTTTCTCTTCCCCACTCACCTTTTACTTTGAAGAAGCAGCTAGCCCATGACATTACCGACATGGACATAACATCTAAGATGTTCTTCATACCTAAGCTCTTGTTCCCCAGTGTTTCTTCAACCTGTACGTGTGTGAAAGCAACCTGGAGGGTGTAGATAGCGACTCAGGGGTTCTGTCTATTAACCGCAATTACAGGGCACTGAAGAGCTCTAGTGCCATGGTCAGGAGTTAGGAGTTATTTACTATTCTAGAGGGAAAGAACTTTGCTTGTTAATATCACAGAATTCCTCCTCTATCCCTGTCCATCACAAATTTTTGAAGTGTTCTCCATATCTACCAACATATGACATATCTACCAACATGAAAGCTGTTCACTTCAGACCAATCATTTTTGTAGTCACTAGCTGTACCTCCTGCTGTAACGTCTTATGCCACTCATCCGACTTTCAGGCTCTCTTGCTGGAAACGAGCCAAAGAATATTTAAACCTAAAGCAGAATTTAAGTCCATGGGTTTTCCTATCTGCTTTTATTTTAAATCTCATCATTTTTATATGAACTTCCCTCTTTTAAGGACATTCCTATAGAAACCAAAAGGAAGAAATGCATCATTTAGAGCTGTGGGGTGAGAGGGCGCGGGAGGCAGATTTCCTTCCCTTTTAAATCAGACTGCCGGGGGACCTAACTATATACTTCCTGTTCTTTTTTTTAGAATTAATATACAGTAGAATTGACTTTTTCTCTGTGTGTAGTTCTATGAAATTTACTACATATATAAATTTGATTTACCACTACCACAAACAAGATACAGTAATGTTTTATCACCTCAAAAACTCCTTCCTGCTCTCTCTCTGCAATCAAAGCCCACCTCCACCCCAAGACCTGGCCATCACTTACATGTCCTCTACCACTATGGTTATGTCTTCTAGAGAACATTGTAGAAATGGAAGCATACAGAGTATAGCCTTCTATCATAGTTGTCTTATGTATTATGTCCACATACATTGAAAATGCCATCAGATGGTGTTGTATTTTTTGCTTTCAAACCATCAAAAAACAACAGAATAAAAATAATATATTAGCCCATATATTTATCATTTCCATTGCTCTCTTTTTTTTTCTTAAGGCTCCAACTTTTCTTCTGGTATCATTTCTCTTCTTTCTGAAGAATTTCCTGTAGCAGCTCTTTTGGAAGATGTATGCTGGAAAACAATGAGAATTCCTTCCTCTGAGAATGTCTTTAATTCAGGTTAATTCTTGAAGAATATTTTTCCTGGATTTAGAATTTGAGTTGACAGTTATTTTCTTTTAGTACTTTGAAAATATTTTTCTACTTTCTTCTGGCTTTCTTGGTTTCTGATGCAAAAACACAATCATTCCAATGTCCCCCCTGTAAGTAAGGCATCATTTCTCTTGGGTTCTTTTCTTTTTGAGATTTGCTTCCTTATCTGTAGAATTCAGCGGTTTGTTGTGCTGCACGTGAGTGTGCATTTCCTTAGCTTTATCCAATTCAGGTTTACCGAGTCTCTTGAATCTGTAGGTTTGTGTCTCTTGTGAAATAAGTTTTTAGCCATTATTTTTGCAAATATTTTTCTTCACTGAACTCTTTCTCCTCTATGTCTGAAACTTTAATAACAGACATGTTAGGTGTTTTGTTGTTGTTTCATGGTTCCCTGAGACTCTGTTCAATGGTGTTGTCTCTATTGTTCAGATTGGATAACTGCTATTTTCCTGTCTTCAAGTTCACTGGATTTCTTCTATCATCTCCATTCTGCTTTTGAACTATCCAGTGGCTTTTTAATCTTAATGACCTTATTTTTCAGGCCAAAAATTTCCGTTTTGTTCTTTATATCTTCTATTTCCTCCTTAAGGCTTTCTAGCATTTCATTTGTTTCAAAAGTATCTGCCCTTATTGTTGGAGGATTTAAATAATCCTTGCTCTTAAATGTTTTTTCTGATAATTCCAACACCTTCATCATCTCTGTACTGGCATCTGTTTTTGTTTTCCCTCATGTAAAAGGAGATTTTCCTAGTTCTTCATAGACTGAAAAAATTTGGATTGTTTCTTGGACATACTGAATATTGTGTTGTATTAGTTATCTCTTGCTGCATTACAAATTACTCCAAAACTCAGTTGCTTGAAACAACATTTATTGTCCCATTGTTTCTTTAGTTTGGGCCTAGTTGAGTCCTCTGCTGTGGGGTCTCTCAAAGGGCTACAAGCAATATGTTGACCAAGGATCTGTGATCTTATCTAAAGGCCCAATTCAGCTAAACTGGTGGTCACTGGCAGCATTTAGTTCCTTGCTGGCTGTTGAACTGAGGACCTCAGTTCCTCTCTGGCTGTTGACTAGAGGCCACCATCAGTTCTTTTTGACATGAGCCTCTCTCACACGGCAGCTTGCTTCATCAAAGTGTGTAAGCCAAGAGGGCAATAAGTTAGAGTACTGAAGATAGAATACAGAGTATAGAGGCAGAACACAGAGTATGCAGACATTGCACATTAGCAGGACAGAAGCCAGAGTGTTTTATAACCCAATCATGGAAGGGATAGCTCAAGATTTTTACCATAGTCTCCCACAGTTAAGGAAAGGGGATATGAAACTCAGTATCTGGGATCATCAGGGGATATCTTAGAAGTCCGCCTACTGGTGGAAGCAACCCAAGTGTCCATCGATGGATGGATGAATAAACAAAATGTGGCACACACACACAATGGAATCATATTCAACCTTAAAAAGGAAGGAAATCCTGACACATGCTATACAACATGGATGAACCTTGACGACATCATGCGGAGTGAAATAAGCCAGACACAGAAGGACAAACATTGTATGATTCCATTTATATGAGGTAACTGGAGTCATCAAATTCATAGAGATGGAAAGAACGGCAAGGGAAATGAGGAATGGGGAGTTAGAGTTGAATGGGTACAGAGTTTCATTTGGGGAACACACAAAAGTTCTTGAGATGGATGGTGGTGATGGTTGCACACCAGTGTGGATGTGCTTTATGCCACAGAACCATACACTTAAAAATTATTCAAATGGTAAATTTTATGCTTTGTATATTTAACACCACAATTTTTGAAAAAGAAGTCTGCCTACCACACATGTTACGAGATTCTGGGTCTTGTTAAAATCTTATGGAGAATGTTGATATGATTTTTAGGAGGCATTTGACCTCACTGGGTTTAGGCTGCAAGTTCCAACCAGCCTTCTGAGGGTGATAGTTCCATCATCAGTTCAGTGTCCAAAATCGTTGCAGCACTGTTTGGATCTGTCCCATGTGTGCACCACGCAGTAGCCAGTTTGGGACATAGTCGACCATCTATCCCATAACACACTTCTCAATGTCTGTGCTGTGCAGGGTCAGCCCCGTGCATGCGCTCCTCAGGGGTAAGCTCAGGAACTGCTAACTCTAAGGGGTCACTTTCCCAAGGACCTCCCTCTCCATGTCTCCCTGGAACTTTTCAGCCTGGCCTTTTCAGTCCTCCGGCTGGAAGGCTGGTGCTCTGCCCTGCACCTACTGTCACTGTGCTCACTTCCAGGGCCAAGCGGTGGGAGGACAGATGGAAATAAAAAGCAAAAGGGAATTTGCCACCTTCTTGGGACAATGGCTCCTCCACTAAGGCAGGAGGATTCCCTCCCGCAGAGTTTTCACCCCTGACGGTTCCTGCTGCCACTGCTTCTTATGTGGGTTTGGGGCAGGCACGAGAAAATGGGCAAAAAAGAAAGAGAAATAGGAAATTTCTCCCTCTCTCTCTGAGCATTTGGTGTTTTCTTCTCTACTCCTTGACTGGAGGAGGGTTTCTTCTAGAGACCTCTCTGATCACACCCTGATGTCCACTTCCGGGTTTTGGATTTTGATGAGTTCGGCCCAGGGCATCCTGGAGGGGAACAAATGGCAAAGTGCCGCTATTTCGGTGGGGCTTTGGAGCCTGGTCTTCGTCCTCGGCGCTTCTGCTTACTGTTTACTTTTCAGAGCCCTCAAATGGCTGACCCATGCACCTGTCTGGGTTTTAAGCTGTGATCAGTGAGAGAGATGGGGTGTGCTTACCCCGTTTTAAGCCTGGCTCTGACTTTGGCATTTAACAAAGGACTCCATCCGCCTTCCCACCCCCATTCCCCAATCACTCACCCAGTTATGCTATTAATATGAATTGAATGCCTACTATGTACCACAAACTATGAGGGCAAGAGAAACATTGCATCTTGAAGGTATTTAGAACACAATCCCATCCAAGACACAGCTTCCTAGATTTCACCTACATTTCACCTTCCTGGATTTCACAACTTACTGGCTTCCCACGCCCCTCCCCTCCCCGTTTATGCTCACAGTAGATATAAGAAAAGTGAGTGGGTTTTGTGTTTTCTTGTTTCCTTGAGAAGGCAAGTACATATATAAGCCTGAAACCATCCTTACTTCCAAGCTCTGTGGGTGAGGCCGAGGGCTTTGGAAAGAGTGATATTTTCAAACACACAGGTTTGTGGTTTTTGAAAGAACAGAAAGCATAAAAGCATAACATCTTGTAGGATTACTTTCGGCTGAAGACCAATTGATGTGACATCTGAAAATAATCAAATAAGTGTCTTGTTTTGAGCCTGCAAATAAGTTTGTGAAACTTTGGGAGGAAATTCTCCACTTATGGAAAAAAAAATAAGAAAAATTGAAATTGAGATCATGGGGTAAGAACAAAGAACGGGAATTATGAGAGTGCTTTGAATTGTTAATAGCATTTATATTTGTAAAAATGAATCTCTCTAAAAAGGTGGAAGTGGCTAATAATCTTAAATCACCTAACACGGCACATGCCCCAAACCCTGATAACCTCCAAATTCCATTGCTTATAATCATTTTTTGGAGCATTCCAAAAACTCGAAGTTGCTGCACAATGCACGGAACTCTGGATTTAAAATTTTTGAAGCCCTTGATTTTTTTTTTTTTTTTCCTGAAAGATCTTACATTTGGAAAGAAGTCAAGGTATAGTCTAACCCCAGAAGATCAAAATATATTGAACTTTTTTTGTAAAGATGATAACAGCCAAGAAAACAAAAATTGAAGTGAACACGATGATGAAGAGAGTAAAGAAAGATAAAGACAAGGCTGAAGGTGGCATTCATAAAAGTCCCAGCGCTGAAGGGAGAGGCTGTGCTTGAAGAAGAAAAAGTCTGCTAGCCACGGTAAGACAAATTAAGACGGGTTGGTGAGGATACTCTGAGGCAAAGAAAATTCAACGTTATCAAAAACCCATGCTCAAGTTAGGAGAGACTGCAGTAAAGAGAAACTTCCCTCTTGCTTCCATGGTTAAAGGGTGACTTAGAGTTCCTGCACTGTTTCATTAATATACAAGTCGAGTGTTGCTAATACCAGTGGGGATGACAGACAGTTTTACTTTGTGAATTTCTGGTTTCTAATGATGCATTTGAGCTTTATTTTTTACAGCTGTCCTTGTCTTAATCCTTTACTTTTTTCTCCCTGGGGTTTAATGGTTTCTAGTTACATATCAGCATTTTAAGCAGCATGTTGCCCGTCAGGCAGCACAAGGCTTCTGATGGTTATGGCATTTGGGTCACCACTAGTTCTCTGGAAGGACAAGTGCTCCTGTGAACAGCACAGCAAACTCCCTCGTATGATTGGAACACGGCAGCGCAGGTTCAGGGCGCATGCTAGAAATCCAACCAAATGCCTTTTGCAAACAGCAGCTCAATGAGGATTCCTGCCACGAGGCAAAATGCTTGGAAAGTTACTATGCGCTGGCATCACTGGGTTTGGGGTCAGCATGCTGAAACCGGGACTCATTATGTTCCTACCATGCCAACTTGGTGCAATTAGCCTAACACGATAATTTCCTGAAGCCATATGTTGATCTTTAGGGGAGGTAGGGGAGGGAAAGCTTCATACGCCTGATGGCTCTAAGCTCTGACTGGCATGTCCCAGCTTCCAGCAAATTTCTGTAAATCAAGATAACACACAGCAATCAAAGATGAGGTCGGATGGCCAGCCTGGACAGAGAGAAAACTTAGAGCAGGGTTATGTACTTGTTGCAGAGAGTGGGGCTTTTTCTTTTCTTTCCAAGGAGGGTTTCAGAGAAAGGTCATAGGGGTAGCACTGTGTGTAAGGCTGTTCCTCCCCACCCCGCCCCCACCCAAATCAAATCAACAGAAGGACCTAGAATACAATAAGTTATGTTCCAGGGCTGCATGGCCTGTATTCCCATTGGAGACCTATCAATGTGAACTAGCACTGTTGGGAAATCTCCTCAGCTACCCCTGTTAATCAATACCTCTGTTCATTATACAGCTTTGATGAATATGGCTAATGATTGGGTGCCCAAGAGTCAGGTGACTAAAAATAACTGCTCCTTACTGAGGATCTATAGATTTTCCCCCCAGTATTACTTCAGGCAATTCAATATTCTCTGCTGCCCCTCTCCAAGCCCCCACCAATGCGATCCTCTCTAGTCTTCATTGATAGGTCAGCTCTGGCCTCAGAGCAGCTTTATTAAATTAGTAGCACTTAATCTACTGTCATATTGTCAACTGACACAGGGCAAACTAGCAGGCGGCAAGCCTTCCAGTGGCTCAGGAGAGCAAGTTGCCACAACCCAGGCAGTTTTGACTAGCTTTGTGCCAAGAGCTGCCTTCATGGGTGTCTCTTCACTGAACAGGAGTATTTCCATCATTTGATAGCATTTAAAACAACTTTTTTTTTTTCCTAAGGAGAAGGGGGAGCTATTCGAGGGAGAATTCTTGCCGATTACAGACTTATTATGACAGATGAAAAGATCATAATTATACTTGGATTCCCTGCAGGAGTGCCTTAACACATCTGTGACATCTAATAACCACATGCCTCAATGGGAGGCTGACTTTTCCAAAGTTGCTTAACCTTTCATTTCTTTGCTGTCACCGAAAACCCATCTATGGGTGCTCAGAGAAATCAAGGAGGGAGACACCATCAAGGCTAGGTGGCTGGCATCCCTGATGCTTTGGGAGAGACACTCAGTCAGTGATACCTGAGCCTGGGTAGCTCCCTACTGGGGGCCTGAGGGGTACAGGCAGCCTGTCCAGAGGCCTGAGGCCAGGGCATCGCTCTAGAGTCCAGGTAGCTTAGGTGTCTGCGTTAGAGTCCAGGGAAAACTGGAGAGGTGGGTAGGACAACCTGGGGAGATTTGAGCAGATCTGGTTCTGCAGATGAACAGACAATACTAAATCGAAGGGGAGATTTCAGCAAAAGTTATAGTCTTGGTTAGTCTAATTTTTAACTTGGATTGGTTTAAGAGGTGGGGGTGATATTAAACACTGCTGAGTTGAAAGCAGTTTTTATATAATTTCAACTTTTATCTTAGATACAGGGTGAACATGTGCAGCTTTGTGAGATGGGTGTATTGTGTGACACAGAGGTTTGGGGTACGAATGGTCCCATCACCCAGGTGGTGAGCACAGCACCCAATAGGCAGCCTTTCAGTCCTCGCACCCCTCCTCCTCTCCCCAGTGTTTACTGTTCCCATCTTTATGCCAGTGTGTGCCCAACGTTTAGTTCCCAAAACGCACCTTCTCTACGCTTCATCCCATAGTCCCCAGGCAGGACGACAGGAGGAGGAAATGTTGCTGATTATGACATCTTTCCATCTGCCAGTTTTATTTCTAGATTATAACAAGGACAATTTGTGGAAAGTTGCTGCCAAGAGACTATAAACTGAAAGACAAGCATTCAGTGTGAAAAAATATGAAGTCATCATCCTGGTGGCTGCTGTCCACAAATTTGAAAGGGTTGGGAAGAAAATTTATTTTTGAAAAGCTCAGGTGCAAAGACACCTAAGTTCTTCCTTTAGTCTTCTTTTCCTCAAAAGAGCAGGGGCAAAGGCTTTGGGAAAAGGACTTCTGGAAAGTCACAGAAAAGGCATCCCTGATAGCTGTGGGAAGGAAGATGGAGGGCAGTGTCTGCTGTGCTCCATTGGGAGCGGCCAGGACCTCTGCAGCTCTGACCCAGCTTTGCCATCTGAGCAAAAGATGAGCTTGGTCTTCCTGAGAAATCTATTAAATAATACAGTGGTTGAGCTTGGCTCTGAGTTCACCAACAAGTGTGCTTAAATAAGGTGAATTACACTGTGAGCTGAAGGGCTGCTCGGTGTATTTTGTAAAGATCTACTGGAGCGTGTGGAGGTTTCTTGAAATCAGAAAGGTAAGAAGAGATCAGTGACTGATAAATCTTTAATATAAAAATTGTACAAGAATTTTGATACAAATTACAAGAGGTATTTGGACAAAATATGAATAAAATTCCATTTACATCCCCAAACCCTTATGCATTTTATGCAAAAGACATACTGTAGGCAGTTATAGTACAGAAAATACAACCAAAGTAACAGCAAATTAAAAAATTTAATTACCTTAGCCTACCAATAAAAACAAAAAGCAAAACAGAACAAAACAAAAATAAAACCCTTGTTCAAGGTACATACAGTATTTAGGAAGCTACCAACGTCACAATGATTAGATCAGGGTGATGCACACTGTCCCATCCCTTGGTGCAGTTACCTTTTGAAGTACAGACTTTGATTCTGCGGCAGGCTTATTGCAAGAGACTGGTTTTATGCAGATGAGAACAATATAAACAAAAAAAAGGAATAAACAGCTAAACTCTGGGAGAGGGAGAGGACATATCTTAGTGAAAATTCCTTTTCTTCAAGATATTTCAACTCCCTCTGGCCACTTTTGCTGTCAAATATGGAGGCTGAGTCCAATAATTTTGTTACTGGAGACACACCAATGGGTCTGGAGTAAGAAAGGTGTGTGTTCTCCCAGCTGTGTGAGGGATCTTGCTAGTTCTAAAAGGCCTAGTCCATCACCAGCAGGAGAGAACAGAGAACTGGCTTTCCCAGATCCCCAACCAGCCCCTTCCCCTCACCTTTGGGGAGGCAGAAAAGCAGCAAGGACTTCATGGAAGAAGCCAGGCAAGGTGTGAGGGGAGAGGGGAAATGGGCATTTGCCTCACTTGGAAACCACCCACTGGTGTGTCAGTCATCCTCATACTGCTGAGTGAGCTACACATGAAAAGCCCAGGTCGTCTCAAGCCCAAGTCTTCTCCCCATTTCTCGACCGTCCTCACCCCTCTGACCTTCATGTACCCAGGTTTAGCTCTCCTGCATTCTTTATACTGGCACTGGCAGGAAAATGGTGAGATTCTCTGCAGGGCAGCTGAACCAAAGTTTGCACAGGAAAGCAAATGCACCATATACTAGAAATCTTAGATAGTCTTATCAGGTTAAGATATAATACTAGAACATCTCATTCACTTAATTCACGTTATGCAAACCCTGGACAGGGTAGAACACGTTTCCAAAGCAATTAAAACCAAGATGAGGGAGGGCGTGTTCTACCTTCTTGCTCAAACATGATTTATTTTTTAAGGGGGGTTGGTGAGATCCGAAGAGCAAAGGGTGGGATTGAGAAAGACAATGGAAAAGTCAGAGGAGATTAAGATACACAATGAGAGGAATGGATTACTCTGTACAAAAACATGCAAAAATACTCCAAATTGGGGACTAGATTTAAAAAAAGAAACAGCCTTGGTGTATACATCTCAAGTGAACCTATTAACTCAGCACATTGTCTGGGAGCTCAAGAGCATCATACCTCATGAATCATGCTTCTCGCAGTGGCCACAGCACCGATTCACAGATGGGGTAGAGGATGCTTTGTCTCCTAGCATGGAAAAGGCAGGCAGTGAGGCTCCCACTGAAACAGTGCCAGGTCAGTTCACCTTGCAGGGACTGGCGCTTTCTCCCTCTCTTTTGAAAAACATATCCAGGGCCAGATGAATGGAGCTCTCTCACACACCCAGGGTCTCCCCAGAGTCACCTCTCAATCCTTGCATTCCATGACAGAAGTGGGCAGAGCCAGTTAATAATTGATGGATTTGCCATCTTAGCTGTGCATTATCTCAACATCACATTTGGCAACAGGAAGCCCTATAAAATCTTGGTATAGCACTTAGATACTCTCTCTTCAAGAAATATACTTTCAATACTATCTACTTCTCTCCATTTTTCTTAAAATACTTCTTTCTGCTCTTCCTTCCCTTCAAAGATTCTTTTTTAAAAAAGTGAAACAAAGCATTAAAAAAACTATTACAAACGTCCTTAAGCATCCCTGGTATTTTAGAGTTAAGGGGAGAAAGCTAGTATCAGCGAGCAGAACTTGTGCAATTTTGGCAACTGGTTTTTCAATTAGGATTCTATTAAGATGTCTGATAAACGATTGTAACATATACATACTGAGGAACTTAAGAAGTATCATGTCAACTAATTGCCTTTGCTCGAACCCAAGAGTCCTTGCTCAAAGTGCTTTTCTTCCCAGTCCCCACACTGGTTCATGAAATTATTTAGCACAGATTTGTCAACATAGACCTGTTACATTGTCTATCCCTAAATCTGCTGCTGTTCTCTCCTTGCTAAAGTTCATATGGAAGATGATACCGATACCTGCACGTGTCTTACCTGGCTGACTAATATCTTACTGAAATGTGACTGTTTGTAATGGGGCCAACTATCTTCTCTGAGATGCGCTGCGGGAAGGTTGGAAGGAAGCATGGCATCCCCTAGTCCCAGAAAGAAGACGCTTGATAGATCTTGCACTTCATTTAGTCACTAACTAGTCACTTTCCAACCATCATTTGAGTATTTCAATATACAAAAATAGCAGCCAATCTTTGGGCTCAGGGCATTTTGGAATATAACATTTTCATGTATTCTTCCTTTGTACCTTTGGTCCCCATCACTCGATTTTCTAAAGCTCCCTGTACTTGTACTTACCAAAGTTCTTCAAAGTGGAGAATTTACCTTTTACTCATAGGGTGGTCCTTGTTTTAACGATTAAAGTCAAAAGCCTGACGCCATCTTTTTTAGATTGTCAGTCCAGTTTGACAAAAGTTAATCTATCATGTTACACTATGGATTTGGAGGGGTCATTGAAAGATGCATTTGTACACCTACGTCCATGGTTTGATGCCAAGGATAAGAAAAAAAAATGACCACTGTGCGTAACCAGTTTACAACATGTGCACTTTTTGAAGGGGAAGAAAAATATTTTAATCTTTTCCCTACAGATTAGGGGGCAATATAATCTTACTTATGCCACTGACTTGCAGGAAAATTTGCTCTAATTATAGGGCCACACCCATTACTCTCAAGATGGAATTGTTAACACTTAAGTTTTCAAAGAAGCAAAGGATGCCGTCACAGACAGCATCTCTCTACTGACCCTTTATTTAAGAAGTCATCTTGTTACTGTCCACTTAATAGCTGGAGAGGGCATCGAGAGGCAGCCTTGGGCTTCCCACAGATACAGTAGGTGTGTGTATGTGCTTGTATGTTAGGAGGGGAGAATAAGAGGGAAGGAGAGAGAGAGGGGAGAGAGAGAGAGAGAGAGAGAGAGAGAGAGAGAGAGAGAGAGAGACTGACTGATTGTGGATGTGTGTGTACATCAGGGAACTCGATGGGAAAGCCTAGCCCTTGTAGTCAATTTCTCCTTCACAAGGGGATAAACAGGCAATTACGCATCCTTTTATATTTGATGGCCAAGTGCTGAACTGGAAAGCACACTATTAGTTTGTGTCCCTTCAGGGCCAGGGCAATAAGTAGCCAGGAGAGCTGGGCTGAAGCAGAGAGGGTGTTGTCTGCTGTTAGTGTGACAGTCTTGTCAGCAGCGTTCACATTACTGGAAGGTAATAAAGTGACAAGTATGTTATTAGAAAGATACGAGGTGAAATTGAACTGAAGCTTCTTGCTGCTCAGCCCTGGCTTTTTTCTTTCCTCTTTTGTAATGGTCCACTATTTGTTACAGACTGAGCCTTGGTCTTCATATCCTATATAAAAAAGATTTTTTTTTTTCCTGCAGTAAAGGTCAAATGAATTTACAACAGCACTTTAGAGGAGAAGAATAAAGATAGTTTTATGACAACTATAGTATGTTGCTCCAAAAATATATATAGCATTATAATGAACAATAATGCTGATCCAATTCAGTGTACATGTAAAAATGCTTAGTTTTTTTTTTTTTTTTAACCTCCTGTTATTTGGATTTGGATTAAAATCATTTGGATTAAAAAAGATTTGGATTAATCTTTTGGATTAAAAGCATTTGGATTTTTCAACAAATGCCAAAAAGACAGTATGCCGAATAACATAGTTATTGCCGAATGAGCACAGAAAATCATTTTGCGCAAGATGTGGGAAGGATGAGGATGATGAAACTACACAAGGAAGGACGGGTATGTGGGCAACAGTGATGACAGATAACTCACTGGTCAGTTGTACAGCTGGAATTACACAATACTTTTTGAAAATGACCATTTATGGTGAGCAACACTCCAGCTACAGGAAATATGCGACTCGTCTGGGACAGATCAAACATGACCTTAGTACTAACGCAAACAAGACTACCACGTGTGGTTTATCTCTGAGGGAAAATGTGAAGAGAAGTTACTTACATACCTCATAGAACAGTAAATGAGCTCCCATTTTGATCAAGGTCTTTAGCCTAGTATTAATTACAATCATGGCTTTGTTGTGTTGCTACAGTGGCAAGCATGAGTAATGATCAAGAAAGGAACGATCCATGCTGGTGCCATTCGCACCTACTCCTCTGTTAGGATGAAAACGAGGTGTTACCACTGGCCTTTTCTATAGCCTTGCTGACCCCTGGCATCTTTCGGTTCTCAGGGGATTCCAGCAACACTTCCCACTCAAAAACAAAGCAAAAGCAACCAAAACCCCACAATTGTCGGCTCTTCCTGACCCCAAAGGAACTTCAGCTATTTCATGCAGCTGTACTTGCTTTCCTAACCCCTTCCTCAGAGCCGACTCACCTGGTCATAGGAACTCTGCAGGTCCCTACGATCAATACGCTCTCACCCACTGCGAGGCAGAGCTATGCCAGTCTTTTCTCTCGAGCCAACATTTCCAGTGCATTCATGATTTCCTTTTCTAGCTACCCCAAAACCAGGGCAGGAACCGACCCTCTACTTAGTTCTGATGAAAACACTGTGATCCCTCCAGTCTTTCTGGTATCTTTTATTGCTCATCTTACTCATTTAGATCCATCCCCAAAAAATAAACAATGAGAGGGAAAAGCAAAACCACCTAATTTAAATACTTCAAGTTTGGGAGAAGATAAGTGATTTTAAAGAATGAAATTCGTTTGTCATAATTTTAAAAAAGAAGCTCTTAAGAAAAGGGTGTGACCACAGGATGAAAAAAAGTTTCTTCTGGATGATTTGTTTCTTGATGATAGCAGATGTAGCGTGTCTTATGACAGGTGAATTTTATTTACTCTGTTAGTCAATCTAACCCAATGCTAACAGACCAGATACAAGTTAGGACTGCTCAGGTCAAGCTGTCAGCAGTTAGCAGCATGTCCATCTCAATCTGGTGACTAGCTTCTTTATGCTTTAATTGTCAACGGCCCTCATTCTCATTTGCTTGGCACATATCTGGGGTGTGTACAGAGAAAGGGGAAAAAAAGGTCACATTGTATTTGGTGGGAACCTAGTGCATAGTTTCTCCTGAGGAGAAGCCTCTGGAATAGCCCATTCTTGATATATTCAAAGTTTTTTTTTTTTTTTTTTCCTTAGAGCAATGTATAATAATGGGGCTGTTAACCAGTTAAGTGCCTTTCTCCTCTTACTGGAAGGGCCTGAAAATTCATGACCAAAGAAATAACACTATGAGGACAGTGGCACCATTGTGCCAAAAAGGTTTTAAAAAATGTTTGCCATGTTGAAAAGGAAAACATTAACACCTTTAAACCTTTAAAAGGCATCAGGCTGAACAGGGCAGCTGGACTAAGATCTGGAATGAGTTACATTGGGTTGACTTATTTAAATACAATTAATATCAGAACAAAGAATGCCAAGGATTTTTATCACACTTTTAAACCAAATTCCTCATTATCTATCCTTTTTTTCTCTCTTTCCATAGCATGCAGATATTCCCGAAAGCGGACTAAACCTGATATTTACAAAAACA
Organism: Homo sapiens; assembly: GCF_000001405.40. Classification (NCBI taxonomy): domain Eukaryota; kingdom Metazoa; phylum Chordata; class Mammalia; order Primates; family Hominidae; genus Homo; species Homo sapiens. Next base: position 16,415,337 of record NC_000009.12, read on the forward strand.
TAGTTTTAAATGATCAAGACAGTACAAGTTTCAACATCAGCTAGAGAACATGCACAGTCATACCGCCTAATTTTGTACCTGTGATAAACTCTGGCTAAAACCAATCACATGGGGAAAAGCTTGTCGGATGAACATCTACATCACTATTAATTTTCAGCCAGCATAGAATGCATGTGGCTTGAGAGAAACTGTTTAACAACAAAAAACTCCTATGAAAAAGCAAATGAGTAGGAATGGGCAAAGATGAGCTCCATGACTAAAACGCTGATCTCTTTATCCTTCCTGTTTGCAAATAAGCCATGGGATCACCATCTTAACTAGAATTCTAGTTAAGTCAAAACAAGACACTCAGGCACACACTCAAGAACGAGCAATACTTTGGAAACAGAAGAATTGTACATTTTATGATTTTCCATTGCATGTACTACATCCATCCACTCCCCTGTCCCTTTTAAGCAAATAGGCTTTATATTGGAAAATGTTATTTACTCATTTAGAAGGCCACCGTAACGACTGGGCACTTGAGGCACAAAAGTAGTAGCAAATAGGGGAGATACTTAAAAAGTGTCAGCTGTCCAGGACTTATTGCCACTTCTCTGACAAAACACAGGTGAACACATTCATGTTTCCAAGCAAGGGAAACTCTACTTCTAGAATCTCATTACTTCTGGACTTTTTCTAACTGGCTATACACATTAGCTTGGTTTGCAGCAAGTAACAAACATTTGTTCTAAGCCTGGTGCATTTGCTGATGTGACTGCCGACAGCTATGTAATTCACTCACGAGGGCTATCTGACCTTTTATTTGACATTAAATTAAACAGACTAAACATTGCTGTTGTACAAGATGAGTTCTAGTAACTCAACTGAGTGTAACTTTTCAAAGTTGCTGAAATAAAAATGTGTATTTATTTTCATAAAACTACATGTAGTCTATGCACACTGCAAAAGCCAGAGTTTCTATAATGTTTTGTTGGGATATTAAAAATCTTTTCCCACCCTTTTTGAATCTAACCATTTGGTAATGGGGCAACAGCACAACACAGAGAACGCTGAGAGGACCAAAATGTTTGCAAACAAACTTTCATTATTCTAGTTCAATCTTTCACAAACATACTGTACAGAGTCTTATATGGTATAAAACAAAGGAAAACATCTGTCTGTTCAATTTAACACAACACCAAAATAAAGCAATTAAGACTTTGGGGAATTCAAAGTACAAGAAAACAAAAACGATTATTACTAATTCCTCAGCTTTTTACCATAAACACTTGTCATTTAACATAGTGTTTGATATAGTTTCTTTTGTACTGCAAATACTTTTGGTCTTTCCTCCCCGTAGAACAAATGAAGAATTAAAATGGACCCCATAGCATCCTCTGAAGGAGGTGAAAAGATAAAGCTCCTAGACATAGCTAGCTTATCTTTAAGAATCTATTGTTTCTGAAATTTTCACAACAAAAATACTGAATCCCCAACTAATGATGCTTATTTTGGGAAACAATAAATACTGTGAGGTACAATAAATCCTACAGGAATAATAACAACAGAAACATATTAACAGTTTCCTTTGGCAAATTTAACGGAAGTGAATGCTGATGTGAACATAGAAAAAATAATTACAAAAACATGAAAAATGGAAACGACATAAAAGTTAAAATAAAGGGATATTTCTAACTTTTAGACTGATGAAAGAAATGTCTGAGGCCATTAAATGCAAAAAAGAAATACATTCTCTTTAAATTATTGTGTACTGTTTGACAAAATATTCCTTGTTTATCTCTTCTTTTCCCCTCCACTTAAAAAAAAAGGAAAAAAGAAAAAAAAAAGACAACAAAACAGTCTGCAATGCACACCCTAATGGTTTTGGCTGCAGACTGAACTTGAGTAAATATCATCATTTAGTCAGTATGTTGTGGTAGCTGAGGCTGCCGATGTGGTTAACCAGCTCAGGCAACATGTGTAAACATCGGAAACAAAACAAAACAAAAAAGGTTTGGAGAATAGTCTCTCTCCTCTTTCTCACTCTCAATTGCTTGGTTTCAGGCTTGCTTTCATTTCTCTCTGACAAATCGTGTGGGGAAACACAAAACACTGAACATTGAGAGATCCTGCTTTAAAACCCCCTTCTTCTGGCTTTTCAGAAAGGAGTGTTGCTCCATTCAAGTTTAGCACATGTTTTCAAAGCTTCCAAGTACTGCTGCTGTTAAATGCCTTTTGATTTTGTCTACCAAACAGGCCTGAATTATAGTACGACTGCAGAATTTGCAACAAATTAGACAGCCATACAACAGACCGACCCAGTTCAGAGGATTTCTTTTTAAAGGATAAGGGTTAGGGCCTTGGAAATGAGTGTTCGACTCTTTTACTGTATTCATCTTTGTTCCGTAGCGGGTAATTTGGGCTTTTGTATCCTGAAATATTATCCTGCCTCTGAAGAATAAATGCCTTGGCTGTTTCACACCACATAATTTTGTTTTCCTTTTATGTAACTTAACGTATAAGCAAGAAGGATGCAATGTTGATTCTAATAACATTCGGCACTTGAAAGAATCACCAAGTGTTTTTTTAAAAAGCGGTTTTCTGGTGGCCAACAAATTGGCCTGTGGTTATGTTGAGTGACTAATTGTATTTTCTTTTCTGGAAACTTGTGCAAAGTTGGCAGTTTTGTGTTAACACTAATACTTTGTTTGGCATTTGTGCCCTATACTGACCAGACCATTTTTATACAAGTGAATTTTTTTTAAAAAAGACACTTACTGAAGTATGGCAATAGTTTAAGGATAAAAAAGAAGCATGGTTATTACACATCCCCTTGTAGTGTATGAAAAAAAGTGCATGACGGGATTTATGTACTAGTACAGGACATTTTAAAAAATCAGATCTGTGCTGTAAAGCATGCCAGCACCTCTTTAGCACTATATCTAACAGGTAGTAAAAACAAGACCATGTTTTTTTCTTTTTTTAAAAATGTGCATTAATGCTAACATAAATGAATAGAGCTAGCCAGCAAACTATCTTTTCCTGCATATCTAACAGCTGGATGTAACTGTAAAAATTAAACAAAAAAGTTAAACAACCATCAATACAATTGTTTTACATCAATGGCCCCTCAAGGCTAAATATTTACAGGTGAATCTGCCATGCTTTAATTGAAGATTCTTTCAAAACCTTAAAGTTCACAAAAGACAACTATAAGAAGTTCCTTTTTGTTTCTTTTTTCTTTTTTTTCCCTTTTATTTTTGCAGGCAACAGTCATGGGTACAACAAATTGTCTCTTTGGGGAAGACCAAGAATTATTCTGTCAAAACTGGGGCTAGTTGCACACTGTGTGTGTGTGTGTGTGTGTGTGTGTATGTGCATGTGTGTGTGTGTGTGTTTAAAGGGGTACTCTGTTTTCACCCTGAAATCAAAGATCCCACTCCTTTCCCAAAACTATAAAGGGAAGTGAAAAAAATTCAAAAGCACCTAGTGTTTATCTTGTTTATCTCAAGGAAATACGTGTGTGTATATGTAGCCACAGAGCATACATAAATGCACACACACACACACACACACACACACCCCAAGTACATAAGCGCACACTGACTATGGCAGTTCAAACACGTAGGCCATCTGGTGAGAGCTGGCATTTGTAGTGTCCATTCTGAGACTAATCTACTGAAGTGAAGGGAATGTTTTTGTGGAGATTAGGGTTCTGACTGTGCCGATTTCGGCTTCGTACAGAGGAAAACATCATATTGCAACCTGGGACTTTGCACTTGTGCATTTCTCTCAAATGCACAGTTTTGTAGTGCACTCTCAGGGTCCCCTTGTTGCTGTACATTTTGTGGCAAATGTTGCACATGATCCCACCATTGCTCCCAGACAAGCTGCTGAACATAAGAGATCCTGAAACTTCAGCCCCTAGGCTGCCAGGGAGGGCAGGGGCCTCGGCCTTGTGTGCCGACTCCCCACTGTCACTCGCCCCGTCAATGTCATCGAGAAGAATCCCCTCATCGCTGCCTGCGTCGGATTCTCTGGAGGAATGGATACTGCTGCTGGACTGGAGGCTGGAGGTGGTGCTCAAGTCAAGGACCATGTAGTCCTCTGCCATGCCTCTCCCATACCCGTTCAGGTGGGAGTCTTCAGTCCCTGCGGGAGAGGAGGCGTCTTCCCTGACATCGAGCCCCATGGGGTGCTGGGCACCATATATCTTCACCAAAAATTCATCGCGGAGGTCCTTGCTAAGGGAGGGCTGCGACGAGTCCAGGCCCATGTCATCGAGTTCTTTGGTCAACAGTTTACGATGTAGGTTTATGTTGGCACTGTGTCTAGGAAAACAAGAGGGAAGGGGGGGTACGTGGATGGGGGGTGGGGAAAGGTGAGAAAAAGGAAAGCATTTTAAAATTGATTCAGCTTTCACTAGGTATCAAATAAGCACATTCACTTCTAATTACACCATTATAAAAGCAAGCATTCCCCTATATCCTCAGGATCTGGGAGTTAGTGGTGGTGGTGAGAGGTGCAATCAGGGGAACTTTCCATTAACATTATTTTTATAAGAGAGTTGACTCTGTCAATGGTAGGATGAATGCAAACCCGTGCACCTTTTTCTCAATGATTACTCTGTTAGTTTTACTATGTAGCAGCATCAGCTGCAGAGAATTTCATGGCAGAGATTTTAGAATATATATTAAATAGGATAAAAGAATAGAAACTTTCTGCTTGTCTAAATGGAATAGTCTAAATTTACCTAAAAACAAGAAAAAGTAAACATCTTTTCTATACAGCACACACTTTATTTTGAGGTATAGAAAAAATTCATTTTTTAAAAAAGTAGCCTAGATAATTTAGATATAACTTCAAAAAATAATGAAATCTTCCGTCTCTACCCTCCACATTTCAAGTTTTAAGGAAAAACAATAGCTTAACAGATTAAGCAATTTGAAATAGGGTTACAGACTGTCTTTTAACAACACGAATGCCTTTTCTCAGAATGATTTGGGAATCCCAGTTAAATCTAATAATAAAATACATTTACTTTTTAGAAGTATGTGCATTTTAGTGTCCAAAATATTTTCATCGAGTAGTTCTACTTTAAAATTTAATTCTTTAAGACAAAAACGGAAAAACAGAAACTTTTTAAAAAAATAAAACCCACCCACCTTTTTAAAAAAAATCACACTGAACAACAGAAAGAAAACTCAGAGGTACAAAAATTAAAACACAGTAAGTACAAAAAAATCAAGCACAACAATAACATAGGGTTCCTTTACTTTAACAACTGGAACCCATACTTCTTCGACAAGCAAAACTTTTATTCTACTCACTCAGTGCTTTGCTTGTATGTATGTATGTATATACATACACATATACATATTTTTTTACATATATATATATAAAGACAGGATTTGTCCCAGAGAATCCATAGGGACATCATGATTTACAAAGCCTGATATGTTATCATCTATCTGGAAACATTGTCTTTGTATTTATATCCCCCATTATTTTTAAAGTGCCCTTGGGCACATACCTCTCTCCACCTGCAAAGGCTCACATGTTCAACAGTACCTAAATTGAAGGTTACCCTTCCAAAAAATAAACTGACATATCTACAGATACATAAAAGCTTCTCAATACTGGTGGAAGCTCTACAGCTTGGAGAAGTAATTGTGATAAAAGAAATGACCTAAATGGCTGATATAAAGTTCAACAGACCTCCCGATTATACTTAAAAGTATGGAAGACCAAAATGTGTCATTCCATTTGGTGACAAACGTGGGTGATATTTCCTAGAGATGGTTGAGAGGTATGTGCCTCAGAGACAAGAAAGGTGGGGAAGACTTCTCCACCTTTCCACACAAGACAATATACAGCACTCTGGGTTTTAAGGGGCAGAGGGCAGCAGCCCTCTCCAACTGCACTTAGGAAGGCTGAGCTTACCTTGTGACAATAAGATCAGCTTTCTAATCTTTTGCTAAATCGATCACAAAAGAAAGCAAGAATAAGAGACAGAGAGAGAGAAAGAAAGAGAAAGAGAGAGAGAGAAAACAAATTCACATTCTAGACATCTGGTTTTGAAAAACTTAAACAATAAAATAGGGATTTAAAACGTTCTGATCACAAAATTATTTTCTGTCATAAGCGATCATCCCATACGCTGTCTTGATGATTTTCAGATCAGCTGTATAATCCAAAAATCATAAATCGAATTAACACAAACCAAATTCACAGCATCATCATCCACAAATGAGTTCTAAACAGATGCATGCAGTGTGTGGGTATGTGAATGATAAACAGAAGTTGTCCCCACGGTCCCTGCTCTGACACAGTAATTCCCCGTTTCCTTGGTGTCAGATGGCAGATGACTCCAAGTGCAGGTTGCTAAGCAAAGTGCAGGAAATGCCTACTGTGAGGTCTTTACTCTGACATGTGGGTACAACACCACCAGTTATTACAAGAATGTGGAAGTAGAGTTACGCTATGCGCTATTATTCTATTGATAAAACTATCTGCCAACTATGAGCAGCTCATGAAATCCTACCCGTTTATTATTTTTAACACCCTCCCCCTTTCTTAATTTCACGAGCACACATTTTGCGATGACTGTAATCTAGAACTCTGTTGCTTCTCACACATCTGCAGTTACCACTTCCTAGGTTCACTGCTGAGAAAACAGCAGCCAGACACACAGCAGTTGCATCAAGACACACTGAATAAGGAAGAATAAATTAACATTGAGAAAAGGACACACTGATCACCCAGATGGACACATCTTCCCTAAGATGACTTGTGAAATTACACATCTCCACCAATATGTTACCAGAAAGAGATTTTCTCTTCATTTCTCACTTACAGCAGTAGAAATCTGTAATCTAATTAGACGATGTACCAGCCCTCAATATCTGTCAACCAAACGATGTGCAGAAATGTGTAGACCAGCTCTGGCACTCTGTTCAACAGTGTCCCTTTTCCGCTGTCAGCAGTACTGTTGGCCTCTGCTAATATAATTACATTGACTTTTATTCAATTAAGTGCCATCCCTCACTTTAAAAAAAACAGCTACTTTATCAATTGATTCAGGTGTAATGCAATAATAAAGATGAACTCATGGCAGTGCATTAGCTCTGCTCTTCATAACTTCAGTACACGGGTTCATTCATGGTAGTCGATTTCCATTATGCAACCACAGTTCAAGAGAATTGATTCTTTTACGTTCAATTCCTAATCTATTTCATTTTTGTTTAATAATCCTCCTAAATGCCATATGCAAAACACTTGAAGTGGAGATGGGAAGGATGGACTGAGGAAAGTCTGCTGTTCACTCTCATGATAGTGGGCTTGAAGATTTTCTCACAAACTCACACAGTATTCCTAAGGTGGAAGGAAGGAAAGCACGAGAAGGAAAGCAGACTAAAATTCTTTAGAGGGTACCGATCCTACCCAAGAGGTTACGGTTCAGTCTCCAAAGAAGGGACAAAAGACAGCACTTGATTTTAACAAAGACCTATTGTTGGACTCTTGAATCAGTCAATCCAGACCATTAGCTGTCATAAAATACTGTCCTCATGAGACACAAAGACCTAGGGTTAATAGCAATTTGAGGACTATTACAAGTTTATCCGGATCAGCAAAACTGAAGAGGTGAAAAGAGAAGTTGGGAGAGACACAGAAAGAACTCTCACCTACTGATAATCAGATGTCGAGAGAAGACCCTAAAATGGCAGGAAGGCCAGAGAGTGCTGGAAACAGGAGGGGGACTCCCTGGCAGAGGAAGCCCTACTCAGTTGTATGTAACAATTGGAACAAAGAATCCAACAAGGAACCAATTTTGAGCTCTCCAGCGACAGAGATGGTTTTTCTAGAAACAGATTTAGTGTTCTGAATATTTATCTCTAGGAAAGAGGGAAGAATACTCAATAACAAATATCTAAGACTGTATTAGAACTTCTTACATTCTATAAGAACATGAACAGTAGAAAGGTTGTTTCTACTTGCTTTGATTTGGAAGGCAAGAAAGATATATGGAAGGAAGTTCCTCTTACAGAAAAAAAGTGACTGGAATGCAGAGAGAAAATGAGTTCATAGGTATAAGGGGTAAGGACTTGGTCTTAAGAAGTGCAGTGGTAATCATTAAGGCAGTGGTCCAAACCTTAGCCCCAGACGTTCACTTTCAAGAACATAACTAAATCTTACTCAATCTTATGTGTCCTGCACGTAAAGTAGAATACTTTGCACAGAGGAGGTACTTAAAAGTACATTGGTTTCCCTTCCATCAATAATATGCATGAGTCTTCAAAAAGTATTTCCCAAAATACACTGTAGAAGGGAAGAAAGCAATGATCCCAAGGTAGGACTCATGTAACAGAATATCCAAGGAAAGGTGGTGGCGACAAAACAAACGGTGATCCTGACGCTATTAATACCATAGTATGTTATAAGGGAATGCCACAAAATTAGGGCTTGAAAAAGCCCTGTAACTTGGGCTATGCTTGGAACTACAAATGCTTCCTTTAAACCTCTGTACTCTTTCTATACTGTGAATCTACCAAAAGCTTGTTAAAGACCAATATCACCCTTAAAAGCAAAAAGTTACAAAACCTTGGACTGAGGGGAGGGTGCTGCAGAACCAAACTTCCTTCTTCTTTGAAATGCTGAGTGGAAGTACTCTAACTGGACTAAAGTGGACTACCAGTCTTTTTCTGTTCCTTTGATGAAAACTTTACCATGCAACCACAGAAGACATGAAATCCATCAAACGTAGTCAAGTAAGTGCAAATGCCCTTTAGAGAGAAAGCAAGTCTTGCCTTGGACTTCTCTTTTCTCATCACATTAAGTTAGATTTAATGTGATGTCTGGCCCATAAAACTAAAAACAAAAACACTATCTAAAGAAAGTGTTTTGAGGTTTTAAACTTGGCTTTAAGATATCGGGGAGACACGAAAAAGAAAAAAAAAAAAAACAAGTTGCATGACCAAATTAGAAAGTAAGACTGTGGCAGTCAGAGACTGAATAATGAACCAAGCTATAGGTTGCATGAAGTGTCTTAATTCTTAATCAGATTTGAGACATTCTGAACTTGGTGAATTGAAACAAAATACTTAATAATTAATTAGAATGCCTCAAGGGAAAAATAACTGAGGCCCCACTTTGGATTAGTTTTTGCCTTTATTTTCCAGCTCAACTCTGCCGTTCAACACACACATTCACAAATTCTCAAATGATATTGTACAGAATGATCATAACAACATATACATAGCGTAACAATAACATATACATACCATATGCATGCCTATTTGTCTGTATGTATGTGTGTACATATATGTATATGGGGAGAATGGGAGAGAGAGAGATAAATTTATATCCAATCTGGGTAAGTCTAGATGCTAGGGTTAAGTACATTGTAAGACTACTGAGTCAACAATACTTTTGAGTAGAAATGTAAACCTGCTATCAAAATCCACAGAAATGAAAAATTAAAACTTCTGCCTTCATTAGTCCTTTTCTTATCTGGATTGCTACAACACTATCTATTACACTTACCTCAACATTTTTGTATTATCATTTATTAACGATAGGATGCTTATGGCTCTGTGCACAAAATGATACTTTTGACACTATACCTTTCTGTAAAATTAGTAGTTGTTCTACAGGTTATTATTTAAAGATTCTGTCCAAAAGATCTGAAAACCATCCCCTAGCTCAGGAAGAAAATTCAATGTGAAATTCTAGTGGGTAACACTCAAAAAGCCCCAAATGTAAGGAAGTACATATTAAATGCAAGAAACAAAATCTAAGCAAATTCTTGCAAATTAAAAGTATGAAACTCAGTCATTTCAACCCCTTTCAATATAAAACAAATCATCCATACTAGTCACGCAGACAGTTTCCTCTACATTCAAATTATTCACTTGAAGATAAGCTCCTACCAAACTCTTTAGGGGTTTAGCTAATTTACTGCACAGATACGGCACGTCTGTTGTAATAACAGGTAGGATGTATTGGGGTCGACCATTTATCAGAATTAGACTTCTTTTCTCAATTCACAGTGAATTATGCTGCCTACACGACTCCCCTCTCTCAGAGCCTGCCATCCCCGTATGGCCCCTAATGTGGCAGGCAGACAAAATTGACAGTCTCATCTTGTCAACAAGGGGCGATTCTCCTGAGAAGCCATTTAACTTTGCAGGGGAAGCAATGTATTAATGTGCTTGTCCCAGGAATGTTAATCATCTTCAAGCTTCCGATCTAACTTTGACGTGAACGAAATCACCAAATTTGTTTACTAAATGAATCGTAATATGCTAATAAGAAAGCATGACATATATGGAAAAGCCAAACAGATGGTTTGTTTACTCCACTTTGCAACTTTATAAATGTTGTAACTCTGAAGACGTTAGTGAGAATTATTGGTTTGTTGGCAGAGGCAAACATGTCTTTCGCATACTAAATCTGGCCCTACAGTTAGAAAACAATTTGTCATTGCTGTGGAATGCATAAAAAATGTTAATGTAGTGATGGCATTTGGGAAGGCAGATTGGTAGATGGAAAATGTGTAGCTGGATGCACAGGTTAAGTGTAGAATTGATATCCAGCAGCCCCATTCCCTAACCATTTTACTTTTGAGTTGTATCTGAGACATCGAGGCTTCTCAAGGGTGCTGATTATTCAATAGGTACCTGTTGCGCTGTAATGTGAGATGAGTGTTACACTGTGAACAGGATTATGTTTTCACAGCATTTGGAAGTGTTCTCAATCAAGCAGCTCATATGGTGCTCAGTTTACTACTATTGTTGGGTAAGAAAAAGCAAAGCCATGAGCCCTGGCATCTTTTAAGGACTTACTGAGAATAAATCTGAGCTTTGAGTTTTATATTTACACTGGACAAATTAACCCTCAAGCTTTCCATTCCTTGTTTTATATAGCCTTACTTTATAAAGATTTTAGAAGATATATTTCCAAAATAATAGGAGCTAATTTTTACAGGCATGTGCCACCATGCCCAGCTTTTTTTTTTTTTTTTGTCAGTATAGATGGGTTTTTGCTATGTTGGCCAGGCTGGTCTTGAACTCCTGGCCTCCAGCAATCTGCCTGCCTCAGCCTCCCAAAGTGCTGGAATTACAGGTGTGAGCCACCACACCCAGCCTAAAATGGTTAATTTATGATCTTCTTAAAAGGTAACAGTCAGGATGCATGAGTTCCCCAAGGGAGGTGACACTATTTTGTAGGACAATCAATATTAGTATTTAGCTATGGCTTTATCTAGAATTCTGTGTTGAAAATGAAACTAATAAAGACACCTGAACAAAAAGAGTGAGCATAATCTAATTTACAACTTTGATTAAATGTCAAAACTACCAGCCAAAACATGAAAACTTCATTTAACCAACCAGCAATGCATGCATGCTACTAAATGTTTTAATATTTAGAAACGGATGATTTTTGTGAAGTTCTTTTTACTTTTTATTTGCACAGGCAGAGTCTGAAATGCAGGATTTTGTATTAAAGAAGTACTTATTCCCTCTGATGTTATTAACCACTCCCAACATCCCAGTCATACAGATACATGTTGAGACTACCACTAATCTTGTGGGATTTCCTGGTGTATCACCATATAGCACTGAACTTTTTACCCGAGAAATGAGAGAGCAAAGTGATCTAAAGAAACCACTGAGTTCATCTTGCTGCCCAAGGATCACTTTGAAGCAAGAAGCATTAGCAACTGTTCCAGCCTGGTGCTTATATCTCATTTGAAACATCTCATTCCTGACCAACAAAGAAAATTTCAATAAAGTACTTTTACTGATTTAACAACAGTGAGCCCTTGGGATTGTCAAAGTGCTAAGCCTTTTCCAAGGAGAGAAGAAATCAGCAGCTCAAATATAATTAACCTTCCATTCTCAATGCAAACTGCCACGCATAGGAGCTCTGCAGTCTATTAGTGAAGTTATAATGGCCAACAGGCAGAAGCAAAATTGGTCAAAAAGTTGGCTGCTGCTGTCATATTTTTGGAATTATGATTAATGGCACTAATAATGTGGATGATTACTGATATGTGTGTTTCCAGCAGTTTATCATATTGCTTTGGCTGCCTACGTCCACAATAAACAGGATACTATCATTTACCTCTTTATTGAAGGCAATCCTTCTCTTGAAGGAGCATATTCTAATTACTTCGTAATGTTTTATGTCTTAAACATTTTGCAGCTCTGGACCTTGCCAACTGCTTCGTGTCTACCATTGATTAATTACTGAATGTTTAATCAAAATTTAGAAACTAATGTAGTCATTTATGAGCACATTGCAGTGCCAAAGTAGTTAGGCTTTGCTCCCAAGTTTGGAGAGTGTTGGGTTCAAAATCAAATCCCAGTCACGCATGAGGATCCAAGAATTTCACCTTGGGTGCTCTGAGGTTGCCAATTCCATCTCTGCTGATGAATGGAAGGTAATCTAACTACAGGGTAAACAGCATCTTTACCTACCCTCTCTTCACTGGATTTCCCTTTCCTCTTTCCTCAGTTCCCTAATCAACCGAGCACCACTGTCAGCTGTTGCTGAGAACAAGAAAGTCCTCGTGAACACCCGTCATGAGAATATAGTTTTGAAGTGGTTAAACAAGTGAAAAATAATTTGCTGGGACAAATACATAAGTTTTTTTTAATGTGGATTTTTTATGGTACTGTCATACAACCATTCACCATTGAAGTTAAGTGTTTTTTTAATACCATTACTGAACTGCTGAAATGGATGCTAATATAGCTTGGAGTGCTAATGTCAAGTCCTGGTAATAAAAAAGACAGACTGCTGAATGAAATAATTTCAAGTAAAAAATAGAACAAAAGTGCTCTCTCTCTTGCTCTCCACTTTTATTGAATTGGGACTGACTGAGCCAATTGCTTTAGAAGTCTGTAAAACACAATTACGAGTGAGCGAACTGACCCACCAGTGCCCCCTCAGTGACAGAGCAGACTAAAAAGGCAGCAGAGTTAGAGCGGCTCCCCTCCACTGCCCATCAGACCTACAGGGCTTCCAGCTGCAGGTCTGTGGTTCTTGGTGCCCAAATGGGTCTTGTTTTACTTACGAAATCTTATTTCCCATCAATGTGATAAAGTTACTTCATACATCACTTTCCGAGATGTAGATGTCTATTCTGGCAATTAAGAATGATCTGTCTTTTGATATTCTTATTTATGTGGATGTTTATGTGTAAACACACATATACATTACGTGGATGAATTTAGATTAGAACATTAGCACAATTTTTGAGTGGCTGGTAATAATTCAGATTGATATATGCAATAGCAATACCGAGGCATCGCTTACATATATTCTGTTAGAAACACTTGTCTTTTTTTTTCTTTCCTAAGGTAAAGTCAAAATTAGAGCAAGCAACAAAAAGAATTAAACTAGAAGTGGGTAACATTTTTCCCCCTAGTTAATAAAAGAAGTAATAAACTCTATAAAGTACTAGAGTTAGGATCACTAACACTTTAGGTGTAACAGCTTTTTACCAGGAATTTACAACTCCTGTTTTAATTCAAGCAGCTTGCATTAGGACATAAAATCTAGGTATATTTTAAAAGTGTAGTTTTATGTGAAATAACTGAAGAAAAATTGTCCTTTCCTAAAAAGTATTCTTTCTTCCTCGGTCTTAGCTTGCCTGCCTCTCCCTCATACACATATCTTGGCACTCAAGAATCAAAGTTACCAAATCCCTCTTTTATGACATTGCAATTTTTTGGCAAGGACAAGCTTCTTTCCAATTCTGCCACATTCATTTATTTGAAGCTTGTGGGAGTCTTATGGCAAGCACATTATTTCTGAGAAGGCTTTAAAAAAAGAAAAAAAATGCTTCATGGCTAAACCTTCACTATGGCATTTAGGCAAAGAAGGTATCCCTTCCTCTTAGTACAACCACGAATGATCACTTACAGCAAAAGAGTTGATAGCAGCCTTTCATCTAAGACAAAACGGAACTTACCTGAGTTATACAAGTGAATGTTAACGTACATGTACAGTCTTACCACCCTCTTCTGGGTAGAAACCAGCCCATGTTTTTTAAAAAGAAAAGATGGGCTACAAAAATGAGCATCTCAAATAAATGGTTAAATATAAGAAAGATTCACACCAATAAAGTCTGTGAGAAGGTCAGATAGATTCTGAGGGAGGTGGAAATCAGGAAGACCCTTTCAAAGTGGTCTCTTCATGAAAAATACCACCGGTGCACTCAGTATGTGCATTCTGCTCAGATATTTTGGCCTGAATTTTCAAGATAATGCTGGCAAGAACAGTAGATTGTTCCTTTATAAGGAAGGTAAAAATAAGAGTTATATAGAAGCATTGTATTTGTGCAACAGAGGTTATAATGCCACAAGAGACTTAATGTTAACTCTCATCAATAGAAATTTGTAAAAATCTCTTTGCATCATGAAAAGGAAATCATTCGTCAGCCATGAAGCTTTGTGGTCTATTTGGTGCACAGTTCTGAAGACGGTGGAAATGAGTGGTGCAGTTCTTGTAGTGGAGGAGTGAAAGGTCAGCAGAGGCTTAAACGAGCTTGTCTTGCATCCAGCTGGGCCAGCAGGAGGTCATTAGGAAGATCCGAGGCTCACTTTAGGCTTGACAGAGTCTCTCCCCATGATACAAGGAGACCGTTTTGCTCATTGCTCTTCTCCCAGTATCTAAAAAGAACCCCAGGGACAGGAATGACACTGAAGTTTATCTTACTACCAAAGTTTTGCTTGAGGAGGGCACAACTAGCAATTACTCAGGAGGGGGATGTATTTTGTGTGTTTGCTTCTGATGGAAAGTAATGGAAGATAAGTACAAAAGGTCTATTGATCTTGCTCTATTGTGAAACCAAATAGAGTAGCAGGGAAAAAAAAAAAACTCTTCCTTAACATTTAGAAGTCAGAGGACCTGCACAACTTCATGTTGTAAGAGAATTTTAGAAATGGAGACTTGTAGTTTGATTGGCAATGAAATGAAACAGCTAATGCTTTAAAATGTTCTCCTCTTTTACTTGGAGGGGATTACCACATCGTATTTGACAGCTAATTATATTAGGGCAAATATACTAATAGTTATCTTGAATTGGTGCTAAGTGGCTCATTTCTTAGAGGTATTGCCTGGTGAAATCATGTGTATTTACTGAAAAGCCCTCCCTAGAAAAAGTTCTGTATAAGTTTCCAAACATAGAGAATGATGGAAAAAATGGTTGTTGCTATGCTGAGAAGGTGGTAACAGGAGGCAGGTAACATGTTTTCGCATCTTCACCTCTGTCGTTAATGTATGCAGTGGCTCATCAGAGGTAGCTCATGTTAATTTATTCCTGCACACCTGTACAGGGCTGGAAGTCAGGTAATCAGACAAGCTAATACTATACATTTCTGCTTTTTAGCTACCGCTAACCCAGAGGCCTACAAAGGAACAAATTTAGTTCTGGAGACATCAGCAGGTTTTAATACATCAAATACACATGTCTTCCGCCATAGGAATACAGAACTTTCCACATTTAGATGTGGACTGATCAAACTAGCAATCGAATGGAAGGTTCACACTTGACACCAATGGTTACCTCATATTTATTTATAAATCACCCTCAGCAAATATAATTTGGTCTTTAAATTTATTCATATGGCTAAATCATCTTTCTACAACTTGAAGATCAAGCATATATGCTTACCTTTCAGATGAAATTTAAGACAAACCTTGACAACTACTGGCCACTACTCTGAGAAGAAGAAAGGAACAAAGATAGTAAAACTCATGTAGGATGAAAAAGAGACAATGACTTCTTACTATACAGATCATCTAGTTTCTGAGTACAAAGTCTTCATTTTAGATGGAATTTTAGAACTGCCAATCATTAAGACAAATATAAATAGATTTTAACATATGAGCCAATGATAAGAAATATTAGGAAACAGAACAGAGGGTATTTGTTATTTTTCTTCCTGAATAAAAACCAAATGCAACTTATAAATAGGCTTCCCTTCAAAATGGGTGACCTATGCCACTCAGCTCCTGGGGATCAAAAATCAAGTCAGAGTATGAGAAATGATGAAAGGTAAATTACACCCACCAGCTAATTCTGACTATCACGCTCTCTTCAAGAGAATCTCCCGTATGAAGACAGCAGGTTCCAGGCCGGTTAGAATTTCCTCTTCCTAGGAAAGATTTCATATGTATACTTCATAATGGAGGGGCAGCCTCCTGTTCCTTAACAGAACAGCACCTCAGCAGCAGACAGATCAAGGGATAAACAAGAAGGAGGAAAGGGTCTTTAGAGACTTTCAAAATCTAACACTACACCTTGCTATCAGGATATACTTGAAGACTTCAGCAGTCACCTTAGAGCAGCAGTCCCCAACCTTTTTGGCACCAGGGACCACTTTCATGGAAGACAATTTTTCCACAGATGTGAGTAGGGGGTATAGTTTTGGGATGATTCAATGATTCAGGCACGTTACATTTATCATTAGATTCTCATAAGGAGTACGCAGCCTAGATCCCTCACATGCACATTTCACAATAGGGTTTGCACTCCTGTGAGAATCTAATGCCACCACTGACAGGAGGTGGAGCTCAGGCAGTAATGCTCACCCACCCACCACTCACCTCCTGCTGTGCAGCCTGGTTCCTAACAGGCCATGGACCAGTACTAGTCTGCAGCCCCGGGGTTGGGGACCCCTGCTTTAGAGCATCAGAGTTCTTTACAGAGAAAATTCTTTACATTTCACTTCTATCACTCAGAATAAAAATTATTCTAACAGCTACCTAGTAACAAAGATGAATCAGATTTTGTGTGTATTAGCTTGCTCTTTGTCAGTGTGGAATGGTCCTCTTGGCTTCTGAATTTGTTAAACACACACTCATTTACAACTATATAGAAAAGAATAGCTTTGACACTGTTGCTTGGAATCTTCAGCCCTAACAAATCTTGCATGTGTCTCTCCCCTTCCTCTGTGTCACTTTACACAAAGAGCATTCTTGCTTTTGAAAAATCTTCAACTTGATCTTATAAAATCTAGAAGGACCATAAACAAAGACCTGGAAATCTTTGCTAATTAACTGCCAAACCTAAAAGACACTATTTAACATCTTTCTGCTTTCCATCTTACTAACATGCCTATCTGGAGACCAAAAATGCAACTACCTCATGTATAACCACTTTGGGAGAAGCCCAGGCAGACCTGTGTAAAACTCCTCCAAGGTGTTCGAATCATGAAGAAGTCTGCTTTCGTAAACAGAAGGAAGAGGGCAATTCTGTTAGCTTTATGACAGGAATCCTAGAAACCCTATAGCCCTGCACACTTCAGCCCCCACTCAAAATCCCCTCTAATGCTTTATTTGCACAAGGAAGACATTGTGGAGTCAAGGATGGATGAAACTGAGACTCTGGGGAGAGGAAAGAAATGGGCCTGAGGACAGCAGGATTAAAGACAAAGGAGGGTTTCTGTTTGAGAAGGTCTGTTGGCTCAAGAAAAAGGTAAGAAAACTTGTCTTAGCTTCACAGCAAATTAAAAGGGAAAAACCAAGGAGATAAAATTCCTGGGGTTCTCGTGACTAACAAAGTAAAAGTGAAGAGACAGGAGAAGGTAAGTCTAAGAGACAGATCAGAGATGTAATCCAAGAGGCTTTGTGAATAATGAGATTAAATCACAGGTTGACATTCATTGACAAAATAACAATAAAAGGCTAAAACAGGAATACAATTATGTTTCACAGTTCACTCTGCTGAGCTGCAGGAAGAGGCAGGCACCCCAATGGCATCACTGGTTATTTGGTGTAGCTAAACTCATAACATTATATTAATTCAAGTCATAGACTCAACCAAGATGAACACTTTTCTTAAGAAAATATAATGTCAAAATTAAAGTATCAGAACTTGTGTGTTTCTAACCTAAGATCAAAAGAGTTGCATATTGTTAAAAAGCAAAATTTCAAGTGAGAATAAAAAAAGTTTTTATTCTACAATGTTTGCAATTTGCTTTTTCATTTATCTTATGTGACAAAGCTCCAAAATGAAAAAGACTGGGCATACTGTGATTTCAGCCAAATGAAATGTATCAACTGTCTTCTGAAGCTTGCTATCTTCTATGTGACTGAACACCCTGGGAGCACATCTGTACTCTTCTTCCCACCTAGAATATCCTCGTCATCCTAGACGCGGGTCTAAACGTATATATGGCTAGTCACTCACTAAAATCCTGATACCTACAATAAAAATGAAGACTGAAATATTTTCCTGCTATCAATAAATGTTTTTCCTCAGATAAACCAACAAGCAGTACCTCAACAGTGCCTCCCTATGTGTTAAGACATAAATATACAAGCGCTTGCGTTTTCTAGGAATTTTACATAAATGAAGGCTTCAAACACTGGGTGTGTAGCCTTTTGGTCTCACAGCTATTTATTCCAGTGCTGTGACTTGCAATATTTTCAGCAAACCAACTAAAACTGTGACAGGAATTCATGCAATTAAGCTTAAATTTTGGCTTGTCTTCAAACACTCCATTTCCATAAATATTTTATGCAGGTTTTCATGAGTCTTTTATTTTTGTTTAAAAAAATACAATGCATTAACCTCGTTATTAGTAGTGTACTATCTCAAATTTAAAAGAATGAATATTACTGACAACTTGGAGGAGGTTGGGTACAGTATTTTATTATTCAAAATATAGCTATCTTATCTGATGCATTCTGGGACTGTCAATGATAACTTGGAACTGAAATAACGTTGTGACTATAAACCATGTTTACAGAACAAAGTAAATGGGGGTGGGAAAATCATTAAAAAAATGGTTTCTCCTCAAACCATGTTTTGGGTTGTATAAGAAAGTTACTTATTTTTCTTAAATATTTTGCTTTTCAAAGATTGGCCCCCTTTTATTTCAGTAGAAAGGAAAAAAATATTCTTCAAACTTTTATTTTAAAAAGGATTGATCTCCAAATATGAAGACAAAACTGAATATTCCAGGGACAGGACACTACTTTTCAGTGGTACTTTTAATGTTACTTTGCCAAAGAACTCTACACAATTGACAAGCACTAGAATTACTGCTTACTATTGGTGGCTCTGTAGAAACTTTCTAGTTAATTTTAATGTGTTTCTTCCATTGATTTCCACCATGTTATAAAATTTTCTCTAAAATATTTTTAGAAGACAATGTAGAACCAAAAACCGCATCTGATATAATGGGAATAACTAACTGCTGTGTGACCCGAGTTGGGCTGGTGGTGTATTATGTACGTGATCTGCTCACAAGCTTATCTGAACAAATGCAGGATAACCGCACTATCCTGCCACTGACCACCTTGACACATTCCATTTATACTGCATTTTCTTGAGGATTAATAAAGAACCTTGTAGGTTTAGGACCATCTGCTTCTGCTTAAGCCCAACTGTTTCAGAGCTGCAACTACATAGCAAGAGTGTGATGTCATCTGAAGGCTGGACATAATATATTCGTGCTGATCCTCAAAGTATATGCATGCCTCCCCTTCTGTGCATAATCCGCATGGTAGACTATAGTTTAGAGATGTGCTCAAAGACATTATGAAGTTAAGATAAAGAAACCCACACGACCATACCATTTTCCCACATCAACAATTACATCTATCCCATTTCCTTCTGATATTTTCACAACTCTTAAAGAATTCAAGGACACACTAAATACTCATGTAAGGAATGATAACATTACTGGTTATACCTACGGAGATGCAGGCTGTCTCGATGTCCTGGACCTATGGTTCTTTCCATCCGTAAATTTCTGTTTCTATATTGGATAAATATGTGTGTATGAAGATAATATACTGATTTAATTAAAAAGCCACATGGCAAAGCAGAAATATAAATATATAAATATATATATAACAGAAGCTGTGGCTTCTAAGTGAAGGTTCACGGGGAAGCAGGGAACCGTGTACATAGTTAACTTATTCACACCTAGATGCATGAAAACACATACACACACGTATACACAGAGCACAGAGAAAAATGGCGTGCATTACGGGTAAGATGGCACATGATTCTGCATGCTTAATCATCACAAGCACCAACTGCAACAATCCTTCATGAGCATGGCAGCCTAGTTATCACATGATCACTGTGGACAATCTTTACAGTGCACCAAAAACATCTAAGTTGGATTTCTTTTAGTGTGAAGTCCAACATGACTGAAAACTGGCACCCTCCACCCCCAGCAGGAGCAGCCAATGGAGATTTACTGACCTGTCTCGGCTTCGGCGAGAGGGGAATGCAGCATTGCAACCAGCCACTGTGCAGACGTGCATCTCTTTCAAGTGAACGTTCCTGTAGTGAAGTTTCACACTGTAGGAGCTTTTGAAACTCTTCTTGCACACATAACAGATTTTGGGGTCTGGGCTAGAACATAGGTCACCTTCTGGGGAGAACTTTTGAGGGCTGCCATAATTCAGAGACGATGTAAAGCTCTCATGCAAGGCGGCCATGCTGGCACCCCCACCATTGTACAGTCCATACTGGCTCATGTAAAACATGTCGTAAGTGGGGTCTGTAAATTCTTCCTTCACCTTGATGACGTCCTGGTGAGAGGGCTCACTGTGGTTCTCATCAGGCCTCTCACTATTCATCAGGACTTTTTCACTCACTTCGCTGTGAATGTGCTCATCCCCTTCCATGGATTCCTCGCCCAGTTTGGGCTCCGAAGACTCAGACTCGTTCTCATAGTCCCGCTCAGGTTCTTGGTCTTCAGAAGTCATGCTGTCGGCCCTCCTTATTTCAGTCCTTGAAATGCACCGGGTCCTGTTATGCTTAGAAAAGTCCTTCACAGACATGCCTGGGCTCATCTCCTCTTGGGAGTGACAATGATTGTCATGGCTCATGTCATTGACCACAGCTCCACCATCATTGGGGTCATCATCTTCATCATCAAACTCATCGGCGGTATCAATAATTTCCTTCTCAATCTTCACAGGCATGCTTGACTTCCTGGGCTTTTTCTTGGGTGCCAGGTCAGCACTGGGCTCATGGGTGGCCATCATCACTGCTGGCACTACTGGCTCAGAGGGTGGCGGGGGGTGCTGCTCTATGGTACCACTGGTTGGAATGATGGGACTGGTTGGGAGGGAGGTTGGAGGACTCACCATTTCCCCTGGAGTGAGTAAACTTCTATAAAATGGAGGAACTGGTTGTACAGTCTTTAGCCCAGAAAATACTAGCTGGCTAGGGAGAGGATTTTGCAAGACAGGGTCTAGAGGGGGAGTGGTAAAACCCATTGGGGGTCGGCCAGGGCTTGTGAGTGCCAGATTTGATTTTGTACTTGCTATGACAGGGGTGGCAGCTCCTGAGGTGGCCCGAATTAAATCTTTATCTCGGTTATTCCTTAGCATAGGCATGTGAAGGCGAGGATTGGGGTTTGCACTGTGGCGATTACGACTTCGGAGGGAGCTAAAGACCATGTTGCAACCTTCAATGGTGCATCGATGTTTGATCTTCAGGTGAACAGCATTGTAATGAATTTTGAGAGTACCTTTGTCATAGAATGTCTTCCCACATGCATTACAGAACACTCTTCCTTTCCTAGAGGCTGACCCCATCCTTCTCATCCGATGAATCCGGAATGAGCTTTTTGGGTGTTCAGTTTTGGTTAGATCACTGACTGGGGCAGAATTCTGAATGGGAGAGACACAGGCTGGCTCGGTTTTGGGCTCCACATTAGTAATGCTGGTCAGGGCATTTCTATTGGGTGTTTGATCATTCTTATAAGGTGTGGGAGAAACTTCGGATTCGCTGCTCTCATTATATTCATTCTGAGTTGAAAGGCTGGGTTCCCGCAGCCTCAACCCTGGTTGCTCTAACAGTAGCCCATTTGGAGGCAACCCTAGCAGTGGTGCTGAGACAGGGTTTATGTACTGGAATGGAAGCAGAAATGCAAGGCTGTTTGGGATGTTTTCGAAGTGATGAATGCTGGAAGGATTGCTGTTCTCTAAGTGAGCAAGGAGGCTGGGACTCCTGGTGCGATTATTGCTCTCAATGAAAGTCCTTATATCTGAGTCTGTCTTTGAAGATGGTACAGCCACGGCCTGCCCTTCTTTCTCCTGAATTGCCATCAGCTCCACAATGGATTTGGTTTCTCCAAACCGCAGAAACTGCTGAAGGGTGATGATTTCCTCTTCTCGAGACATGATGGCCCAGCGGTCCAGCACCTTGCCAGCAGCATCCTAGAGGCCACATCAAAGAAACAACAAAGACAAACACAAAAACTTATTGATTGTGCATAATTATTCAATGCAACTGAAGGTGCTCTGTGTGCTCATAAAACACTGAGCAAGAGCAGAAAACAACATGCAAGCACTGTTAATAAAAGTCAACCCACAAAGCAAACTTTTCTGCCATGCAAATGTAGTAATTAGAGTCACAGTTAGAGAAACAGATTGAGTTTAATAATGTCAAAGCAAACAAAATGTAGACCACTGGGGCTCTGTGATCTAAAATGCCTTCAGTACTGCTTTTTTAACAACAATGATCTATATACTATGCAACTATTTAGCATATATTAGTATAAGATGTGAACTCTTGCTGTGAAATCCAATATAAATGAAAAAAATGGTACCTTAGTCCTTATTAAATAGTGATACTATAGGAAGGAATTAAGTACTTCTTGTGAAATTTACTTCTTCAACATAAGCAGACATGACACTGGATTCAATGATGAAAATTCCTTTAAATAGGAGTTATGTGAATTTCTGAATCAAAAAGATGAATAAAGTAGCACTACCCCTCATACCTTGTTACTAAACTGTATCTTTTTTTTTTGAGTGGCTATATTTTAGTATCATTTAATAGCAGGCAATTTCATAAGGAAGAGTAAGAAAAACATCACTCATAAAAGGTAATTGTACTTTTCCTGAAAATTGGTTGTAATCCTATGATTCAAAGTTTGAGTTAGACTTAATGTATTTGACTTTTTATGATCTTGTTATAAATGACAGTCATAGATATTTAAAAAGTAAACATGTGATGGATTTAGACAGAATAAATGTGTAAAAAGTTGTCTCTCAGCATCCTCCTCTGATAGCAAAGGGAGTCCACAGAGAATACACATCAGTAATCACCAGACTATGTGTTGTTAAATATACATTAAAAAGCATTTCACACTTTCATTTTTGCCAGTAACTATGAGATTTGCCTGGAGGTAGGACTTTAAAATCCTGCAATGTAATGTCAGGCGATCCATTTCAGCATGGATTGAGAGAGATCTATTCAAACACTTAAATAATGACTCCATCACTTTCTAGGGCACCATTTCTTCCCATTGGGACAGCACACTTTGTATCCCTCTGTGAGTGACACTTGCCCTAACCCTGACCATGAATTTAAGAAAGCAAAGAATCTTCTTAAAAACAAAATGACAAGATACTTATTAATTACAAAGGGAAAATCATAACATTATCGCAAAAAACCTAACAGACCCTACCTTAAAAGGGTGATCGACGTTACCACCGTGAGTAGAAATCACGCCATCATGTTCCGCTTGTTAGGACACACTAAGAAGGGCACGACATCACTTTTGTGGCATTCTTCTAATGATATGGTTTGGCTGTGTCCCCACCCAAATCTCATCTTGAATTGTAGCTCCCATAATCCCCAAATGTCATGGGAGGGAGCCGGTGGAAGTTAGTTGAATCATGGGGGTGAGTCTTTCCCGTACTGTTCCTATGACAGTGAGTAAGTCTCATGAGATCTGATGGTTTATAAAGGGGAATTCCCCTGCGCATGCTCTTGCCTGCTTCCATGTAAGATGTGACTTTGCTCCTCCTTTGCCTTCTGCCATGATTGTGGGGCCTCCCCGGCCATGTGGAATTATGAGTCCATTAAAACTCTTTCCTTTATAAATTACCCAGTCTTGGGTATGTCTTTATTAGTACATGGGAATGGACAAACACATTGTAAAAATTTTACAACCTCAACTCAATCATCAGAAATCATCAGGCAAACCAAAATTGAGGGGCATTCTACAAAACAGTAGATAGTACTCTTCAAAGTGTAAAGTTCAGGAAAGATTTATAAAAAATGAAGAATGGTTCCAGATTAGAGGGGACTAATAAAAAATAATTGTGTGATCCTAGACCAGAAAAAAGACATTAGTGGGAAAATTAGCAACATTTGAATAAAGTCTCTAGATTAGCTAGTAGTAGTATACCCATCTGAATTTTCCGGTTTCAGCCACTGTGCTTTATGTAGGATGTTACACTAGGGGAAGCATGATGAGAGGCATAAGGGATCTGTACTGCTTTTGCAAGGGAAAAGTCTCTCCTCAACCTGTGGATGTAAAATTCTCTCTGAAACACTGCCCTATGGTCTGAATCATCACAGCTAGTTTGATTAAGTGGGTATTTGGCATTTACTTGAATTACTTTTTTAAAAAAGCTCTGATAGTTATGTGCCCCCCTTTGTAAGGCTCACTCCTAGCATCCTACCATTTTACATAAAGAATATGTGTGAGTACGTGCATGTGGGTGTCCATTCCTATGAAAACTGTCAAACACAGATGTCCCTCCTTCATCATGTAGATAGAATTGGCCTTCAGATCAAATACTCTTATACAACTATCTGCTCAGAAGAGTCACATAAGGGTGCAGGCACATGGCAACCCCAGATGATCCTGAAGTCCGGCCATCGCCATTTTCAAAACCTCACTCACAGCAGTTGGTATCATTCACATTCTGCTTTTGGAACAGGGGTAACATGGAAGAATGTTGGTGCTATAGGTAAATAGAGAAATAAGTTGTGACTTTAAATACATTATCTCATTTCACCCCTATCGTAACTTCCAGAGCTCAGAGAACAGATGAGAAATCAGGGGAGAAGAAAGCTAAGATAGGTTGTTAAGGCTGTCAAGATACTAATTGAAGGCCCAGGAGTTGAACACAAAAATTCTGACTCTAAGTTTAGAGTGTGTCCACAGTACTCAGTGGCTGTCATTCCATGATGCCATTCCCCAGGTAAGCCCATTGAGTCTGTGGTAGTAAAGAGCAGGACTTCTGAGGAAGTCTTTCTCTAGAGTGCTATAATGTCCTCTTCTATACCATCTTTCTTGTACCATCAAATCTACTCTCTTGAGTGTTCTTTTACAGAGCCTTTCACTACGGATTAATTTCTCAGGCTGAGCCTCAATCTGAGCAATGTACAGTCATATCTTCCCCAGGTTCTTCCAAGGTAGCCTGTACCTAAATCTACATGTCAGTGATATACTTATACAACTGGCAGCCTCTGGCATTAAAATGCACCTCAGAAACCATAGGAACTGATCAGTCCCACCTGAGGCATCTCATTTCCATCACCCTTTATCTTCTTTCTCCCTACAGTACAGAGCAGTCCCATATGGTTTCTCCTGGCCCACCACAATGCCCACTACTATTTCTAAAACCACTGCTTTTCAGATTGTCTTCTAGCGCTTAGTTGCTGTCTCTGCTAAAATGGAGTCTGTTACATTAAACCACTTGCTTCTGGTGAAAGAGATCCAGGTAAGTATGATTTAGAACTTTGCTAGTTCCTGAATCATAAAAGAGAAGCTTTATTTATAGTGGTAATAGAAGCAGCAATTTATATTTACACAGATAAACAACAAAGCATATTTGCAAACAAATAGACTTAAGAACGGGACACATAGCTCTATAACACCAAACTAGAGTCCCCTTGATAGTGCCATAGGTGTCCTTTCCAAAGAAGTCATCATTGGCTGCGCGTTGTGGCTCATGCCTATAATCCCGACATTTAGGAAGGCCAAGGTGGAAGATGGCTTAAGCCCTAGGCAACATGGCAAGACCCTGTCTACAAAAATTAAAAAACTAGCCAAGTGTGGTGGTCCGTGCCTATAGTCCTAGCTACTTGGGAGTTTGAGGTGGAAGGACTGCTTGAATCCAGGAGGTTGAAGCTGCAGTGAGCCATGATAGTGCCACTGCACTCCAGCCTGAGCAACAGAGCAAGACTGTCTCAAAAACCAAAAAATCATTATCAATTTGATCAAGATTATCTAATTCACCACATTTATAAATGGAGAGACTGCAACAAGAAACAAATTGATCTTACACAACCTAACAAGTGTGCAAGCTGGATGCTAAGAATGGCTAGCAGTTTTACTGTATCTTTGACTAACCTCGTTGAAGGGAGTTAGAAAGCATCAAAGGGAAAAAAGAAATGCCAAGTTTTTTTCTGAAGATCTTTGTGATAGAAATAAGTATGGTTTGGTGCTTTGATTCTGAATCACTAGTTTAAGAGTCTTCTGTGAAGGTAACGACCTCTATGCATGGTCTATATTGCTATTCAAAAATGGACCAATGTCAGTTGGATGGCTCTTTTCTTTTTTTAACTCATCTGGAACAAAAGTAACCATTTGGAAAATTTGGGACAAGTGGACACTGCTGCAACAACTAAAGGCATGATACATTTTTTTAGTCAATTTATTTTTATTGTATTTAACTTAAGTATTGGAAAAACTAGTCCTCCTTGCAAACAGTATAAATTGTCAAATAAACTTTACAAAAGTAAATTGGAGCTATAAAAAGAATTAGGTATTATCGTGGAATAAACACTAATAAAACAAAAATTCAGTCTGTTAGGCTAGGACGAAGATCCCAACTACCGACCAACTCATGCTGGGCCACTGGTCTTATGCATGAATAATATGTTAACATCAGAGTACATAACTGAACTCTTGGCCCTCCCTGCAATTTTGTAGCTGGTAAGTCAATTCTTTTAGGTTTTCCCATTTGTAACCAGAGTACAGTGACTTTTAACCCTTCAGGTTGAAAAATGTTATTGACAAAATGAGGATAATAAGATTTACCCTGTTAAGTTAAATGCGAGTTATTATCATAAGTGTTGATTTCCTGTGAAAATAACTGGCTATACTGTTAATTAAAAGATGAGTAACACCAAATAATATAGACTTATAAACCAGTTTTACTGGGTTCAGAAAAAGTATAAAAGACTTAAAATATTTACACCTACACATTTGAAATAAAAAGACTTCCTTTTGTTACTTCATTGGAACTGGTGATTATCACTTGTAGAAATCTGGCACCCTGTTCCTGTATGGCTCTGCCAAGTGACTTTTTAAAACTTTTTGTTGTAGGATCAAATGCATGGTTTAAATGGTTTTATCTGAGTCCTTTCCCACATCAAAGCACTTCAATGATTTATAGTTTTAAAATCAAAGTAAAATAAGGTTGATTGGTTTCCCTTATTGGGAAAGAGGGATAGTAGGGAAGGAACAGATGTGAAGAGATGGAAGAGAAACCAAATAAGGGGCTTTGGGATAATCAGACTGTCGAGGGACCTCAAGCTCAGTCCAACAAGGAGCCCACCTGTGTTCATGGCAGGCTACAACTCACATCACAGCATACAGGAAAACAACTGCTTTCTTTCTGTCCAAGAATGGAAGTGAGGAAGAAACACTGGACGCAGCACGGATCTAAGGCCTATGTGCTCCAGTAGTCAAATTGTTAAGAAATAAGCAGCCGGGCACGGTGACTCATGCCTGTAATCCCAGCAGTTTGGGAGGCAGAGGCAGGCGGATCACCTGGGGTCAGGAATTCAAGACCAGCCTGGCCAACACCATGAAAACCCGTCTCTACTAAAAATACAAAAAAATTAGCCAGGTGTGGCAGAGGGCACCTCTAACCCCAGCTACTCGGGAGGCTGAGGCATGAGAATCACTTGAACCCAGGAAGTGAAGGTTGCAGAGTGAGACTCTGTCAAAAAAAAAAAAAAAAAAAAGCAAAACAAGAAGCAAACAGTTTAAAAGACTCAATCATATGAACTTATTTTCAGTCAAGTTTAAGGTATAATTTAATGGAAAATACTAAAATGATTAGCTAAAAACTAAAAGTATTTCCCCCTTGATATAACTGTAGAGCTTTTAATTAAATGACACTGACCTGTAGGGACTGCTGACTACCTAAAACAAAATCAGAGGTTTGTGAGATATGTTTATTTTTTCATGTCTAGATTGGCACAGTGTGCTATCTTAAGAAATTATTTCATCATAACCACATTGGCAATTTATTTTCATAATCAGTTTCCTATTGTACTTTTCTATTCTTTTTCCTTCTGGGTTAATTCAAATATCAAAGCAAGAGAAACAGATTGGATAGAAAGTAGAGAAATTACCAAATTTCAAGCCTACCTAGCTTAAGTATTCCATTAGGTAAAATGAAACAGTAATTGCTGAATTAAAAATTGATGAAACAATGCTATGCAAAACTTAAATCATAAATTTTACCAGGTTTTCTAGATGTTCAAGTCTTAGGGGTAAAGAAATTGTGAGATATCTATACAATGGAATAGTACTGCACAATAAAAAGAACTAAGCTACCGACTACAACATGGACGACTCTTCAAAAGCATTATGCTAAGAATGAAAGACGTTAGACCCAAAGACATACATACGCTACTGTTCCAAGCATATGAAATTCTGGAAAAGGTAAGATTATGGGAACATAAAGTGGATTAGTAGTTGCCAGGGGAAAGGGACTGAGTGTAAAGCAACACTAGGGAACTTTTGGGGTGGTGAGAATGTTGTACACCATGATTGTGCTGAGGTTTTTATGGCCACATAGATTGTACACTTAAAATTGGCGGATTTTATTGTATGGAAAGTATACTTCAATGAAGTTAATTCAAAAAATTAAATCACGCAAATTGCTTGAACTCTCACACACATAACTCAACATGTACAGCTTTCCACTGTTTATAAGCCACCTTACTCCTTTCCTCCTGTATTACAGCACGGCCAAATCACAGGCACACATGCTCCCATTTGCTCCTATTAGTGGAATATGCAAGACAATCCACTGTGACATGGTGAGTCAACATGAAAACTCCTATTTATTTTTACCTAAAGGTGATTTTTTGCTAGTATCATTCATACACACACACACACAGAGTTTAGAAACAGCTTTACATATATATAAATGGGGGTACATGCTCACAAATTTTTACTAATGGGGTGTGTAATCATAAAACTATGGAGACTACCTCCCTACAGAGCTAACACCAATATATAGCAGGTATGTGCTATGCACACACACCTTCGCAGACACTCTGCAAGACACTGATAATCCGCCTTTGCTTGCCTACACCTGCCGGTGTGCTGACCTCTTGGTTAGGTGGACATGTATCAGAATGTGACCCAGAAATTAGGAGATATACCATCTAACTTCTGGATCACCTCAGGAGTGAGTGATAGGCTCAGACCATTATCTCAGGTAATATGAACAGGGGCATTCAACAAACTTCTAGCTAGGGGTCAGCAAATGGAAAACTCCTAGATCCCACATGTGGGTTGGAAAGAGGTGGCTCTGAGTGCTGAAAGCAGGAGTTTCAGGGAGATATTCTGTGGAAGAGAAACCTTTGAGCATTACAAACAGTTCTGAAGAAAACACTTATACATAATATGTGCAGTCCTCTTCTCTCTCATTCTCCCGCTATTTACCTGTTTTGTAACTGAGATGGGTCCATATGTAATAAGCAGATATTTCAACCTTAAATTGTCATTCTAAAGCCAGTATTTAAACCCTCAGTCAAAAAGTTTAACTGATCTGACTGCTCCCTACTATTTCAGAGTCATTTTTTCCCTTTTTTGTTAGATTATGTTTATCTCTCTAATTTATAAGACTTGGCTTTCCAAAGTGTGCATGGATCAATGTTGTGTGTCTATGTGCCTGCAAGTGTGTAAGTATGAGCAGGCAAGATGGGGAGAAGAATAAAAATGGCCACACAAAAAAAATTCTCATTGAAAACAATAGATTCTGGGAAGCATTTAGGGAAATTTTTCAAGCAATGTTTTGATAATTTCTGAGAAACACTTAAAATCGTGGAAAAAGAACTTGGCATGTTTATTTGTTTTAGCAGATTTACATTAAACACATATTTCTTGCTGGGCACTGACGGAGGAAGATGCACCGCTAGCATACACAATATACATCAGAGCACTTTGCTTGTGTAAGTAAACAAAATTACACCATTCTCTATTCACACAAAGCTCTTTTATGTGACTGTGCTTTTCCAGAACTTCGGGCTAATGTTTCTAGGAGGCCAGCTGGAACAACTGTAATATTTGTAGGCAGAATGAAACATACTCATTCATATCACGGTTGTATGTACCAAATGGTTCAAATTAGAACTTTTTTTTTTTTAAATCAACATTTGTTTTGGGTAACGAAAGCCCTACTCAATTTTCATGATTTGGAAATTTGTATTTTGCAGAATTTCTCAACAGCATCCCTTTACCTTCAAAATACAATGCTGACCAATCACATCCCTACTCTCCTCTCTAGGACAGGGATGCCCCATGAGTGAGAGTCTTCAGGGTGTGGCATGGGCAGAAAGAATGATTTCGAAATAAAAATTCAGACTGGACTTTACTTGTTAACATTGACCTATGTGAACAAATATGCTTTCCTCATCCACCCCAAACTGCCTTTGTCATGAAGTAAGTATGCAAACATTAGAGATAGGTGTATACCAGCTTGCTGTGATTACACAGCTAATGCTACATTCAGTTCATCCAGATAATAAAGGACTTAATTTGAAATATCTTTCCTATTCTTCCTCTGCCCAAGGGGAAATGAATGCTACAGGAATATCCACCATTAGTTAGAATGTTGGGGCTCTCAGAAAACTTTGTATTAAAGAAGTTCCCATCAAGATAAATAACTTATTAGTCTTTGTTAGCTGACATGCTAACATTAACATTAAATCTTCTTTCTGTAAACACTGACTGCATATAAAGATTGATACTTTAAAGGAGTTACTCATTACACACATGTGCATGTACACAAACACACACAGGAATACAGAAACTACTGACCTTGGCTCACTCTTATTATATACTACTCTCATTATAAATCACTCTTATTATAGCATTCAAAGTGCTTCAACTTAGCGAATGGTGATATAATGAGGTGAGGTATATCAAACTACTAGCAAAAAAAAAGTACATAGTCAAAAGAATGCCTCTCCTTGGATTAAAGTGGAAGTTTGAGGAGCATGGCCCTTGACTCTAGTTTTTAGAAGGAAGAAGCAACATGATAATTTTATGTGACTTTGAAGTAGTGGCTTTGATATATTTCCCAGTATACAAATATTTATAATTTTTTTCTGATCCATATTTGAAAAAAATTTCACAATGGAAAGGATATATTTTTAAAAGAAGTAATGTATTCACAAGTTGAACAATATACTCTCCAAAAATGATCACCTCTCTAACCAAAATAACATTATCAAAATGCCAGGGCACTAGTTTCATGTGGTTCTTCTGATTTTTAAAATATTGCTTGACATTTGATTTAAAAAATTTACTGTTACAGAATGTTCTTGATTACGGACCAGATAAGAATGTATAATTCATAGAGTACTATGCCTTTTTTCTTCAGTAACAGTCTATACAGCGTTTTTATTTTAAAAACAGTGATTATGATAGATCACTCTGGGGTACAACATATTTAATCATAGAAGCTCCAGCTAAGCTCTATTACAGGCCTGTCAGGATTTCTTCCTTGTACTGAGGAATTTTAGCTTGTCTAGCTTAAAACCAGCCATATGCATTTCCTCTATGGGCATTTGTTTGCAAATAAATAAAGCAGGTGCCTTGCTTTGCCATATTAAAAAAATTCAAAGGAGTAAATTACTTTCTGCAATGTCTGGAATTGGACTTCAAAGATTCCAAAGTATTTTTCAAGTTACCTCGCTGCATTGTAAATCAAACCTGAGAAACTTTTAAAGACACATTTTAATATTTAATAAGAATATCTTAGGAATCATTTAAGTTTCAAAATAGAAAATACTAAATCCAGTTGATATTCCTAGTATACCAATCTTTAAAATCAAATTACCTATGAGTCCTTAACTTAAGCACAGAATATCTAGCCCTATACCTTTAGGCTAAAGCAGATTTTGTATCTTGATTAGGCTAAATATAACATACACAAATTCAACCTCAGAGGAAAATAAAATTAATGTTCACATGTAAAGAGGAGTCATACTAAAATTTGTAAGCCTTACTAAAAACTCAGCTTTACAATTCTATTATTCTACTATTTATGCCTAGAATCTGAACATATGAATCACTTTAATTAAAATGTTAAAACCCTTTTACTTTTAACCAACTTGTGTAACCAACGTATTTTTAGAATATGTGTATTTATGACTGAAAGTATGCCTTTATCTGAAAGTTCCTGTATTATCGTATATTCTGGATGTTTCCCCTGATGTTTCTGTCTGGTGCTGCTTGTCAGTGATGTGATTACAGTCACTAATTCTTTTGGATTAATTTTGACTCCTGGTCAATTCAATCATCAATCAGTTCAAGTAAAAATTCTGCTTGTAAACTAAGGAAACTGCCCAAAGACTCCCTAAGAGGCCTTGGAAACCCCCAAATCATACCAGTAGGGTTTGTGAACATTCTGCAACTTGAAGGTACAAAATAAATGTTATATATCAAAAAAACTATGTAAACAAATATCGGTAGTCTTTCGGAAATCTTTGCAGCTCCAAAAACTAGCAGTATTTGTACAGAAGACCCTCACCTCAATTAAACCCTTTAATAGTTCTTCATATGGAGATGATAACTAGTGGAGATTCTAGAGGGTACTTATTTTATAGTTTAGAACAGCAAAGGAACCGTTTATGATCCTTAAGGAAAACACTAGAAACAGGAGGAAAGAAAGGGACAGTCCCTGCAGCGGCCTTGTTTTCTTGTCCACTCAGACATAAAGATAAATCCCTGGTCTTAGGACAGCTATAAATCTGCTTGCTTTACAATAAACAGAACTCACCAGAGCCCTCTCTGACATTTTTGCTTTGAGGTCTACATTTTCTAGCTTACCTCTCCTTGCATAAACCAAAGTTCCACTACTAAATTTGTAGATAGTTGAGGCTTTACATTTCTAAACATAAATGCCAGAGTCCCTGGGATTTCCAGATATGCTTTTCCACAATGTCTGAAAAACAGCAAAAATAGGCGCAAAAAATTTTTTTACATGATGATGGTGATTTTACACATCAAGTAAGGGCCAAAACTTGAACAATTCAAGGCTACAACCTCTTATCTTTGAGGTTCCATAAGGTTCCATCTGCACAATCAAGATTACTGATATTGGTATAGAACTTCCAAAGCTTGAATGGATGATTCTCCTTCACATATTATACTTTGAATTACTTTACAAATGAAGCTGATTGAACAACCCCAAGGAACTTTAACATATTCATTAGGATGTGAGGGAGCAGGGCGAGAAAGGGATGGAATACTTAGTAAGCAGTATTCCATAAAACAGTGAGGATTGAGTATTCCATAAAACACACTGAGGACTGAGTGTGTGACTGAACAGAAAGATGTATTAGGAGATTTAACTTTGTTCTTTTCTGGGTATAAGAATAGCCGTAGAACACAAAGATTAATTTCCTGCTTTAGCATTCATCAGGGAACAACACATTATTACTTGTAACACATACACAAGGCTGTTAATGGATCTACTTTCCTTTGATTGCTCAGATTAAATGTGTTCCTATAAAAGGCACCCACACATACACATGTGTGTATAATTATAAATCCACATATGCATTAATAGTTTGTGTTTCTGTATATTAATAAGCCACTATCAACGTAGAGATTATATATTTTATTGGGCCACAAAAGAGAGGTGTTTGGGGTTTGGTGGCTGACTGAAGAAATATAGATCAAATACAGAATAATCAGAGTAAACAATCAATATATGTTACTATAACAAAACCTCAGAAATTCAAAATGAAAAAGGATAAAAGGAGAAAGCGTACATTATAGAGCACAAGGTAATAACGGCGTCTGCGTGCCTTAATACCCTCTTGTCCCAGCAGTCCTGACTTTCTAAGCAGCCCACTTCTCCACATTAACGGTAGTCATTTGGAGAGCTGCAAACGTGCCATTAGAAGCACTTTTACAAGTGTATATTCATCCACCAATTAGCTTAATGTGGCCGCTTTCTGCATATTTTCTATCCAGGCTTGCACAAATCTTATTAATATTTCCCCCTAGCGCTTTGACAGATTACCTTGTCATTATGCATCCTGGAGCCTTTTAAACAATATGGGTAAACTACTGTTTGTGAGGTTAATGACAATTATCCCCTAATTACTGCATAAGTCACTCAGTCCACTTTATCTCATAGGCAGGGTTCTGCTCTGTGTATCTGCCATTGTGTCACCGTAAATGAATCTTGTATTGCTATGTTTATCTGCCATTGCCTTGTAAATTATACTGACAGAAGAATGAACAAATTACTGCATGTCATCACTTAAATACTACTTCTGAAATAAAAATAAAAAGGCTTTGGCACAGAGCTTAAATTTTAGCGGATCACAATTAGTAAAAACATATTTAATGTTCTATGTTGCATTTCAGAGCTGATAGCTTGGAATTTAGTAGTGGAATCACAACAATGGAAATGGGGGTGAATGGGAGGTGAAAAGCAATGGGAATAAAAGTTAAAGGTGGGGCGGGGGGGGAGGGTAACTAAAATTGTAATGCCAATATGATGACCTGAATACATTTCCTATTATTTTGATAGCTGATATGGCATTCTGGAAGTATTTTCCAAGGTTCATCAATTTTAAATCAAATTAAACGGGTTAGGTATAAGCCACACTCTTCAGCTGGCATCATTTTTTTTCAGTGACTTATAACTAGTCCAGACATAAAACACAGAATCTTTGTAATTGAGAACAGATAATGTAATAAAGGCCACAGGCTAAGCCAATTTCATTGATGCATTTTTAAACATTATTAAACAGGTTCAGAAACAATGTTTCCAAAGTTGCATTTGAAATTGTTTAACAATGTTTACATCAGTGAAATTAGTTTAGGCCACTGCTGCATCACAGTGACCACATCTGCTCTGATAAAATTTACAGGGAAAATTAGGACAAAATGAGCATCTTTAAATAATAATTTAAAAAAGACAGACTGCATCAACTGCAGATAATTTAGAAGAATTTGTTTTTAATCTGAAATCTATGATTCTGCAGATTATCAGGTAAATAAATGTTTGTGTGAGAACAGGAAGAAACATCTGGCATTCTGAGATGACTGCCATTTATTATCTTAAAACATTTTCAGATGTAAAATATTCAAAATGCTTCCACTATATGACACCAAGGTGGCTGATAACTGGCAAGCATAAGTAACAGGGCCACACCAATCTGAAGGATAGCTTTCAACTCTCAATTAATTGGGCATGCAGAAAGCTTAAATCAAATCGCCTTATGACAGCCACAGGTTTGTACAGAGAGGCTTCTAACACCGATGATAAAGCTGTTTGGTAGAAACATGCATGTACACCATACAGTAACTCTTGGTGCACTTGCTGAACAGGCTGGAAGAAACAGCTGCAGCAAAAGGAAAGGGAAACATGAAAGCCAGAGTTGACAGGCCTTGCCCAGGGAGTCTAAGCACAACCCCTCGGGTTCTGATCCCCAGAGAGTAATCTCAGTGTCTGTCCTGCATGAAAGCAATGCAACTTCAACTGAGCAGGTGCTGCAGGGAAAAATGGAAGTGCCATACTCTTTTCTTTTAGTCTTTGCAGTTAAGGGGACTGAGATGCCAGTTAAGACAGACATCACTGTGACAACCACTAAGGGGTTAAAATCTTTCCTGATTTATTTAACTATCTAGGCTATCTATGGATGTACAGCTGAGTAAAGTGAATTTCTAAATCATTAACTTTATCTTTTAAGGCTGGATTTCGTTGCCTTTTTACCTTTTGCTAATGATATATCTACTTTGCAGCCTGGGGAAAATAATGTGTGTTTAGGGGAGACAATTAAGAGAGATAAACTCATGGTGCCACCTCAAAGAAGGTAAGCACCAACAGGATTTTACTGAGTTGGTGAAATCGGTGCTGGTTACAGAAATGGGGGCAATCCTGGAAGGATCAATATAAATGCCAAAAGGTACCTGGGTATAAGTTAACAGATGAAGATAGCCATTAAAAAAATAGCAGGATTTCCCTACTCACTTTAATCCACTTTCTACACACTTTCATCAAATTTCAAAAACATGAGGTTGGGAATATTTCACTCCCCTTCTTAGCAAACCTTTCATGGCTCCCTATTGTACACAGAATAAATAATAAATCCTCTTACCTGGCATCTGAAGTCCCCTCAATATAGACTCAACCTACATTTCTAACATCATCTCCTGCCAAGACCTCTGAAGCTCCAGCTACAAAGACCTACTTGCCATAAATGATCCTGAACACTACAAAATCTCACCTACCTCTGCACCCCTCTGCCTTTCTGGTATGCCCATTTTCATACTTCAAAGCCCAACTGAAATTAACCTCTCCATGAAATGTTTCCTCTCCTATCTTTTTCCTTCCACCTTCCCACTCCCATTAAAAATGACCTGCCCCTTCAGTGATCTGCTTATATTTCAGGGATCTGCTTATATTTCTCTGTCAAGTAGGTCTCTTTATTTCAGGTTTATCGTCCTTGATATCCCCACTGCCAAGAAGACTCAATGCTCACAGAGTTTATAAATGCTATGAATGTAGGACTTGGGAGGCAGCTTAGAAATCATCTAGTGCCATGTTTTGTCTTTACATAGAAGGAAATTAACAAGTAAGTATCTTGCTCAAGATCAGGAGGCTAAAGTGTAAGTAGCTGACTTGGGACAAGAATCTAGCTGACCTGACCTGGTCGAGTGCTTTTCCTAAAAATGTAAACTAGTTCCCCAGGACCAATGGTGCAGGGAGGCAGCATCATTACTAGTACGCTAGGGGTGAAGAACAAGTTAAGAATGACAGTTTTTGCAAAATGCATACATTTTAAAATTTAATCTTCATTGTTTTTTCCCCTGCAAGTACCAGTAAGTTACCTATTCTTAGAAAATGCTTTTGGGAATGAGATTACCTTTATGTGGTACATTTTCTTGATCAAAGGTAAATCCCAGTGTACAAAAAATCAGCAAACTGCAACACTGTCTCTCATATAGTTGGCAGTTCTGTAAAGGCTTATGGAGTGAATAAATGAATTAAATGAGCCAGTTTAATATTAGACACATAAATAATGAACCATTACAATTATTATTATTATTATTTTTTAGACAGTCTTTCTCTGTCGCCCAGGCTGGAATGCAGTGGCACGATATTGGCTCACTGCAACCTCCGCCTCCCAGGTTAATGCAATTCTCCCAAGTAGCTGGGATTATAGACGCCTGCTGCCATGCCCGGCTAATTTTTGTATATTCAGTAGAGACGGGGTTTCACCATGTTGACCAGGCTGGTCTTGAACTTCTGACCTCAGGTGATCCACCCGCCTCGGCCTCCCAAAATGCTGGGATCACAGGTGTGAGCCACCACGCCTGGCAGAACCATTACAATTATAAATGTTCGTGGGCGCATACTTTCTTCCTTCATCTTATCTTCTGCAAATAACTTTTTACATTGATTAATTCCTGAATTCTCTTCTGGTCTTCCCCTCCTTCCTGCAATTTCTAATTTCTGTTCTGCATCTGTTCAATCTATTTTATAAGGAAAACTTCAACTCTAAGGATGTCTTTAGGGATCTGGCCTACAGATCAATGTAATCAGTTGCTCAAAAAGAACTTCTATCTGAATTCTGAAAACAAAACAAAACTAAACCCAAACCTAGAACACATAAAGGCACAGAGGCTACTGGACGGATTTAAACAATGCAGTCTGTGCCTTGGTCTCCTCACATATGAAATGGGATTAAAAGTAACTATCTGGTAGAGCAAAGAAAATGAAAGAAAAATACTAGTACCTACACTTTGCTGAGGCCTGAAAATGAGCCAAGTAGGATGCTAGGTAATAGATATGTATTCTGTTCATCTATACCCAAATCAGGCTTGAGATACTATTATCAAACCCACTTAAGAGATGGGAAAACTGAGGTGCGTCAAAGTTGTCTAATATCATGAAGTGAGTAATTTTCGAAGCCATGATTCAAAGAAGCAGTTTGAGTTGAGCCCTCCACTGAGATGCTCTTCACAGAAGGCACTCCTGCCTGCTCACACCCATCCAAACCCCATCAATGTCCTCTCCTACTTTATTTCCCACTATTCTTCTGAAATCCAGGCCTGAAGAGTTAAGAGAGTTTCATATACCTATCTCTTTATACCTATTCTCCCAAGCTTAGTAATGGCTCACATTACATCCTAACTGGATTATTTTGATAGGTGCTCATTGTTTCCATTCACTCCTTTCACCCCACTCACATTCTGACGACATTCTGGTGTCAAGGTGCTTTTTCTAAAGTGCACCTCTGACCACATTACAACTCCTCCCTTTAAAATAAACCTCAGCCGGGCCCAGTGTCTCATGCCTGTAAGTTCCAGCTACTTCCATATTCAGCTGAGGCAGGAGAACTGCTTGAACCCCAGAGGCAGAGGTTGCAGTGAGCTGAGATCATGCCACTTTCCCGAGTGACAGAGTAGACTCCATCTTAAACAAAACAAAACAAACAAAACCTCAACGGTCCCATTTGCTAAATGATTTAAGCATAAATTCTTTAATGCTGCCATTCAAGAACTGCCCCAATCTACCTTTTATGTCTTAGTTCTCACATACACACTCTGACACTGCACCAGAACTAGAGAACTTAGCTTTCAGTGAACACACTATATACTCCCACCACCAACGTTTTGCTTATGCTACCTCTTCTACTTAGAATTCTGTCATCAGTCTGCTGGGGAATCATTTGTGGCCCACCTATCAAATGTTATCTCTCTCTCTTGAATTCTGTGATCTGTTCAGAAGTCCCATTCTGCTTTTTTTTGTGTTTTTTTAATCACATTCTATTTTATATCTATGTGCCACATGTAATCTCAGATAATCCCTTACAGTATAACCAGCTGAGTACAGAGTCTGTAAAATACACATCTTTCTACCCCTAGAGCAGAGCTTGGATGGTACTAAAACCATCACATTTATAATACAATTATTATTTTTTAATTTTAGAGAGAGGGTCTCACTCTGTTGCCCAGGCTGGAGTGCAGTGGTGTGATCATAGCTCACTTCAGCCTGACTCCTTGGCTCAAGCGATACTCTTGGCTCAGCCTCTCAAGTAGCTAGGACTACAGGCATGTGCCACCACACCCAGCTAATTTTTTATTTTAGTTGTACAGAGATGGGATCTCATTATGTTGCCTAGGCTGGTCTTGAACTCCTGAGTTCAAGTAATCCTCCTGCCTCAGTCTCCCAAAGTGCTGGGATTACAGGCGTGAGCCACACAACACAATTTTTATGAATTATGCTGTTCTTATACCTAATTTGTTTCTGTTGAAAACTAACCACTTGTTACTTCTGTAAACTCAACTACCTTCTTTAGCGACATCCTTACTAAAAAATAAAACAAACAAAAACAGCCAGTGTGAGCCTAAAACCTGTTTTTCAATGTCTGATTAGGCAGTCACATTTGCAAATGTAGATATCCAGAAGTTTTACATAATATACTCAGAAATAAGAATATTAATATTTTCTAATACAAGTAAATATTCATCTTTCTGAAAATATTTTAAGACCTTGGTTGAGCCTATGATTCTTAGTTCATTTGTTACAGAATTGTTTATAGTTTTAAGGGCAAAAACTTAAATTTCCTCAAATGTAAAAATAAATGGCAAGAGAGAAAAAGAGTGGCTATCTCAGAAAAACAAGTTGGAAAGAAAAAGAAATGCAGGGACTAGAGACTAAGTATGAGAAACGGAGCCCCAGGTGCAAATGTGAGAAATGAATATACATTTAAAAGCTGATAGACTAGAGGCAATTTCCAATTGTGGGCAAAAACTGAACTGCCCAATGGTGAAACTGAATATTAGCACATTTAAAATACTTTAACCAAAACAATATGTAGTTGAGTCCTGGCCAGAGTTTGAGATATATCAGCATCTGCAGGTGGGGCAGAGGGAGAAGTGGTAGAGAGCATCTTTTACAGAAGACTTGGTAAGACTAAAATGGCCAAGAGAAAATAAACACATAGATACATGAAAGGAGAGACTAATTAATTTTGAATATATCCATTTAATTCTTAATATGGAGCTCTGCTCCTATACCAAAAAGAAAATACACAGAGTGGGGGGAGTAGGGGAAAGCACAGAAATAAAACAATGTTAATGAATGGATATGAAATGTATTTTAAAAGAAATATTGGCCGGGCGTGATGGTTCACACCTGTAATCTCAGCACTTTGGGAGGCCAAGGCAGGTGGATCACCTGAGGTCAGGAGTTTAAGACCAGCCTGGCCAACATGGTGAAACCCTGTCTCTACTAATAATACAAAAAATTAGTGGGGCATGGTGGCACATGCCTGTAATCCCAGCTACTCAGGAGGCTGAGGCAGGAGAATCGCTTGAACCCAGGAGATGGAGGTTGTAGTGAGCCGAGATTGCACCATTGCACTCCAGCCTGGGAGACAAGAGCAAAACTCCATCTCCAAAAAAAAAAAAATCATACAAGGAACTTCAGGCAGTCTAAGGTATAAAATATAAAAGGCTTTCACTTATTTTACTTTTCATACCTAGTAGCATTTGTTATTTCCAAATCTGTAGCTATAATGGTTCCATGGAATAAAAAAGCTTGCCTTATTCCAACTTTTATAATTAGTGAATTGCTTCTCTCTGTGAACTACAGTGCAATGAAAGAGCTCAAGCCACTGCTTAGGATCAACAGGTAGCTGATTTTCTAAATCACCAGGAGGACTTTGTTCTTACTCATCATATCTATTAGAGGAAGAAAAGGTACTATTACATGACAACTACCTATCAAGGACTTAATGCCAGTTTAACATGAAATTAAGGTCAAAATTTCACTAATGAAAAGAAGGTGGAAAACATTTCATTTTTTACTTGTAATTACCTACCAAGTCAGGAGGCAACATTTTTGTCACCTAATCTTTCTTTCAGCATCTGTTTTTATGGAGTCTCAAATAGACATTGCCTATAAATTCACATGTTCTATTTGCTCTATGTTCAATTTTCTTTGGAGTAAGGCATGAAGGTTACCCCACTAGATCAAAAAGGCAAAGTTTATGTGAGGTGAACACTTGCAGACAAAATCAGAGTCCTGGGAGGCTGAGGCAGGAGAATGGCATGAACCCAGGGGATGGAGCTTGCAGTGAGCCGAGATCACACCACTGCATTCCAGCCTGGGAGACAGAGCAAGACTCCGTCTCAAAAAAAAAAAAAAAAAAAATCAGAGTCCTACCAGGCCAAGAGCAGCAGGTAAAGTCACTGGTGGCCAGCAGCCACTCCTGCATCCAGTCTCTGTCCTGTACTTTCTCCCCAAATGCTCTGGCAGATATTTCCTAGCAGCACTTCTGCTTCTTTCTTGTCCTGATAAGGAAGCAACTAAAGAGTCCTTGAAAATGGAGATAGACATGAAAAACTCTAGCAAATTATCTGTCGGTAGGGTAGGGAAAGACATATTCTAGATAAATATCCAAGAAGTGGGACAGTGGTGGAATATTGTAAAAAACATCAAAAAATTTAACTCTAATTTCAGGTAATTTTTATTTTAATTTGTTAACTCATAAAGAATTTCCATATGAGGGTCAACTGTCACTTTATCAGTAAGAAGAATTCTAGTTAGTACTGGTTTCTAATTATTCAATAGTAGAAAGCAGGGAAAATGTGTGAGTATATGTGGTGGGGAGAGAGAGAGACAAAGAGAACGAACATTGTGTTATGTCTCTCTCCTTTATCCCTCAGTTCTAATGGTAGTGGAGAACAATAAATGAATTTGCAGTAATATGTAAATATGCAAGAAGTGCCTACCTGATTACATTATATTCCAAAAATATTCACTGACTAAACTCAATGACAAAATGAAGTAGTCCTTAGGAAGAAGATCATATGGAACAAGGGGTGTCAATAGAAAAAATTTTCAGGCACACCTTCTGAATTTCTGACTTTTCTCCTCATATGGAATCTTATGTAAGTTAGTTTTGGGGGGACTAACTTACTTAGGGACCTGTGTTGGGGGTCCAGGTCCCTAAGATCAGTCCCAGGATTGCGAGACTCACAGGACTCAGCACGTGGTCATACGCACACCTAAGACTCACTACAGTGATGGGATACAAAGCAGCATCAGCACAGGGCAACATGCATGGAGCAAACTCCAGGGGAAACCAAGTGCACGCTTCCAGTGGTGCTCCCAGAGGAGTCACATAGGATGCATGTAATTTCTCCAGCATTAAATTGTGACAACAGGTGTGAGGTGCTGTCTACAAGGGAAGCTCATTTGCAACTCAGTGCCCACAGTTTTTGTGGGAGTGGTCACGTAGGCATGCTTTGCCTAGCATGGACCAAAATTCCAGATTCCCAGAAGGAAAGCGCGTGTTCGGCATAAAGCATATTATTTACAGTGTAGAAGCAATGAGCCACTCTTTCATCAGGTGAGGAAATGGTGGGAATACTCCCAAAATCCAAGTTCCTGGATGCCAGCCAAGGGCCAACCTGGCAAGCAGGCCTCCCTAAAGAGGGCAGTCTCAGGCCTGCTAACCCTTTTTTCCACACCTTCCCATTGTTGTTTCAGATGCACTAGTGTTTCAGATCTGCATCCCCACTGCCATCCAACATAAAGAGAGATTCTGTGATGGTGGCTCTAGGTGGCCTTAAGCTCAGTTCTGTTGCTCGATCCAGGAATGGGTGGGTAGGTGGGAGAAAGAGGTAGAATGTCTGTCTTTATTTGAGCACAGAGAGGTGTGATTTATTAGTGCCCTCTACGGTGTCCAGTTAGGTTGAGTTAAAAAAAAATAACATTACTGAAAACATAGTCAGTCCTAAGGGGGAAAACCCCTACCATTATAAACTGTGCAATAACAGATACATGAGATTAAGGCTCATGGAAGCCAAGGGACCATGCTAGCTTCATTTCCTTTAGAGAGCAGCCATCAAATGAGTATTTAATATATCAAAAGTTATTTATTGGAAGATGCAACTAATCATTTCCCAAAAGAGGCTGCTGGTCCATTAGAGGCTGGAAAAGCAGCTTTTGTGGTCCTTTTCAACATTTACTTCTAAAATTTACTTCTAATAACAAAAATCAATATTGGGATATTAACAAATATCTTGGTTTTGATTTTGTATTCAAATAGGGTAGAAAATCTTCATTGTTGTCTGAAACTGGGTTGTCAATTCTTGGCCTACAAATATGATATACCCTACTTATTTATAGCAATCTGCTAGAGTCATGAGATAATTTAGGGAGAGGAAAACAATGTAGGTAGCATTTTTAAAAAACAATCCGCCAACTACATGTAGAAGTGTACAAAAAACATTTCCTACAGCCCTATGGCAAGAACACACTGACCTTCAGACTTAACTAATGGGCTATCATAAATATGTATTACAGAAAGGGAGGTGTGATATACATTTGGCTCCAATGAAAAGTAACAACTACTGTTTACTAAGCACTCACTATGTGCCGGGCACCAAGGGAACAAGCACTTCATATGCATTTACCTCACTTAATTACTCCATCACTCAGTGCACACATGAAGCCCTGAAACCACATTTCAGCTCAAGTCCAGCACGAGGAGAGAACAATGAGCAAATACATGCACCGTCCTTCTGTTTAGTTTCCTGGTTTTAATAAGAGCACCCCTGTTGAGGAGGGACATGGCAAAAGAAAACACATTCCTTCCCCTTCACAAGGGTGAAGCAAGTACAGAAACCCTACAGTCTCTTGTGAATAACACCATTAATCAAGAAGAAATCCTTATTTAAGGGAAAAAAGAAACAATTATAGAGTTAAATAGAAGCCAAAACACATCCATATACATGCATTTCCTCTCCCTTAGGATGAGTCAGAATTCAGTGTCATGAATCGGCCTGTGTCCTAGCATGCATTCTAACACGTGCAATCACGTTCTCCTATAGCATGACCTTCCTGCACCTCTACAAAAGAGTTTCATGCTCACATGTAGCTAGAAAGGAAACAAGAAACACAACTGAGGGTGTACTTTATAAACAGCATTCAGGGAGTTTCCAGGCCTTTGTAAGTAATGCTCTTAGGGTCACAGGTGTTGCATTTGTTTTCTGTGTCTTTAGGGTAAAGCTCTCTGCAAAGGATTTTACTGAGGGTGGTGGGTGGGA
Source organism: Homo sapiens (assembly GCF_000001405.40). Classification (NCBI taxonomy): domain Eukaryota; kingdom Metazoa; phylum Chordata; class Mammalia; order Primates; family Hominidae; genus Homo; species Homo sapiens. The sequence continues at coordinate 16,459,454 of NC_000009.12, forward strand.
TTCGAAGGCTCTGGGCAAAATGAAACATGGTGGTCTTTGATCACTCCAAGCCAACTAGGAAGAACACACCTATTTGTAAAAGTCCCTGATCCAAGAACATTACAATTCTCCACAGAAACACAAGCAATACACGGCAGGAGAATGGGGACTCAGGACTTGGGCCTGAGGCACCCACACACATAGCAACAAAGAAAACAGCATGCAAACAGCAGCTGCACTGCCATACAGTGAAGACGGAGGCTGGTTTTTAGATCCCACATTGGAGAGAACAAAGATGTCCCAATTAATCACAAGTTAGTCTAGTGGAAAGTTGGGGCTTATGCACCTTATCAACAAATAAAAAGAAAAAAAACCATAGTAAATGCATATATTTTGGCATATATTTTTCATGTATATAAACCACAGATTGCACAGACTTCCTATGGCCACAGCTGCCAGCTACATTATCCCTTTCTGAAACGGCTTTGAGAAAGAAAATGAAAGAGGTAAAAATATTTCCATCTTATTACCTAGAGAGGGAAAGCGCACGTGCAAGTGAGTAGACTGTTGTCAGGTAATTTTTTGTTTGCCCTAAAGACTATTTTAATACAGATTTCTGGTAAATTTTAAGTCATCTAATACATATTTTATTAAAGTTGATAACAATTATCAAAGTACCAACTTTAAGTTATAATATAGAGAAGTCATAATTTAAAAGGCAGCAAGACAACAAGAGCAATAGTACATCATTGAAGGGAAATTCAGTAAAAGATCACTGTTATTACAAAGCACTGGCCATCAGGAAAAAAGGATTAAGCTCTGGTTCTAACAACCCTGAAATTCTCCCTTCTTGGAAATAAGTGGAGGTAAAACGGAACAGAAAAAAAAAAAAAGTCAAAACAAAATAAGGCCGGGCACAGTGGCTCATGCCTGTAATCCTAACACTTTGGGAGGCCAAGGCGGGTGGATTGCTTGAGGCCAGCAGTTCGAGACCAGCCTGGCCAACATGGTGAAACCCCGTCTCTACTAAAAATACAAAAATTAGCCAGGTGTGATGGTGCAAGCCTGTAATCCCAGTTACTCAGGGGGTGGAGACACAAGAATCACTTGTACTCGGGAGGCAAAGGTGGCAGTGAACCGAGATCATGCCGCTGCACTCTAGCCTGTGTGACAGGGTGAGATTCTATCAAAAAACCCAAACCAAAACAAAATACAATGCAATCCTCTATTATATGAGGCATGGAGTCACAGAGCGGTGCTTCAACACCGAGTCTTTTACTTACTATGATCTGCGTTGACTACCCTGAGCCTCAGTTACCCAGGTGTAAAACAAGATGAGAAATCCCTGATTTTTAGCGTTATTATCAGGATTGAATTAAATGACACAGCAGTACTCGTGAAAGGCCTCACGGAATTCTAGGCATATGGCAGGCACTCCATAAATGGTTGTTCATACAGATAATACATACTTGTGGCCTTAGCATAAACCCAAGGATTAACTGAAATCTTGATCCTACATCTAGAAATATGACTGTACAACTTGATCTACCAAGACGGCAGACAAGATAGTATACAGTAAGTACCATAATAGACTTTTAAGGATAACATTTTTAATTACATCAATATTCATTTTTAATTACTAGAAAAACTATACTTTGATCAATTGAGGCTCTCTTGGTTATAGGTAAAACATGCAGGGATAAGATTCTTTATCATAAATAACAGAATAAATTTTCGGAACATTTTACATGTGAATGCCGCTCACTTGAATCAGTAAGTCTTTTTCAAAAATGATCATTTTATATCCCTCTGTTGATCTCTTTGTTGGGGCTGTGTGTGTAAGAACAAGAATGTGCACGTGTGGAGAAACCAGGCGCTTCCATGTTTTTAATTAAAGTATGGCAGGAATCTGTTTCTGCTTCTCCAGAAGAACAAGTACAGAACTTCCTTCACAGAACAGAGAAGCCACTTGAATGAGGATTTATGCTGTGATAAGAGGCAAATATCTTTAAAATGAAGCAATTGCATAGGTTATTTTGTAAATATTTTATTAATCCTCTAAGAGCCTCCTAAGTGAGGCCTCACAGATACTTAGACTCTTAATCTACTATGAATAAACGTTTCAATCCAGCGCCTGCATTCCAATGATCCAGGACAACGTGGTGGGGGGTGGCGGGGGGAGTTTGTAAGGAGGTTTCGGGTATCACAGGTGCAACTCCCTATCAAGGCACAGAGCCCTGCAACACGCTGCATCACCAGGGACTGCTCGCTCCAGTGATTCAAGGAGGTTACAAAAGTGCAACAGGCCTTGATGTCAGCTACGTGGTTTTACATACCTACTGTGTCAGGGACTCACAACCTTCTTGTGAATTTATTCAAGTATAAGAGTTATTTTGTTTCTAACATCATCTTGCACCTGCCACTGAGCTGGAAGCCTGCTCACTTCTCATGTGCATGCAGTTCACAAATGCTGGTAGTGTTCTCTTTAGTATGAAAGTAAACAAACTCTTGCTTCTGCTTCCTAACAAATAATTTCTTTAATGCCTTTCCTTGATTTCATTCACACACCTCCAGTTGTAGACATACAGTTACAAGATGAATCCAGAGCCGCCTGCCTTTCATCACATGCAGTTCCTATTAACATTTAATGAGTGTCCATTGGCAAGTCTATGGATTGCTTTTTCCTCAGCCACTCTCTCAGAAATCCTCCTGCTGTCTCTGAGCTAACCCAGGATTTCCTCACTCACGTTCTTTACTTTTTTATAACTCAAAACCATCTCCATCCACCAGCCAAAGAAAAAAATTATTAAAGCCAGTTAGAACATGACATGCCGACATCAATTCAATTTGGCTTTATTGTAAGAATTAATAAAGTGATACATCTAAGAACAGCTCAGGAGCCATCTCCTGAGATTCTGCCCCCAACTTTTATATTGAGATAAAGCACCTATGCCTATACCTTCTCTACCTTCTCCAAAGCTTGAATTAAATGTTTGCCTTTAAGTGTAAACTGGTGTAAAGTGGAAACCAAAACCAAATCTTGTAACTCCTGCTGGCAAAATGATTAACACGAAGAGCCAAAAGACAAAGTTTGGAGAAAAGTAAGAGAAAAAAAGCCCTATCTAACACCAGGAAAAAACTCCACATAATGGAAAGTGGCAAAGGCACACACGAAGGGCTTTACTTGTAGGATACTTTATCAAGTTTCTTCCAGCTACATCATACCTCTTCCACAATGGAAATGGCGGGGGAGACAGAACCTATCATCAGTCTGCAACACAGATCCAAAGACCAGATCATTTTCTCCATTCCTGCTTGTTCCTGGTCTTCACATTGTCCTCCTTTGACAAAGAGATGCCCCTCCCTCTTTCTGTTCTTTGTTTTTGTGTATGATGTTCTAGTTATTTAATATTATGTCTCTTTTGTGCTCCAGATCCTGAATGACCCCAGCTGAAGTTTCTTCCCTTCATCCAGGCTTGTTTGATGTCCTAGTTTTATGCCCAAATTTTAGAACTATCCTCTTCCTTCTCCAGAACCGACCATTTCTGGGGAACTGATCATTTCCCCCGCAGCCCACCCATTTCCTTCTTTCCTCACATTACTCCACTGGCCTCTCTCTTTCCATTTTTACTACTGAAAGCAATGTTGTTCTGAAAGGTGTGCAGGGAGACTAGTACACTAAGAGTGTACTGACTGTGTGTGTAACAGGAAACATGGATCATCTCACAGAAAATGAGACAGGAGTTAACTTTCAGGAGATTGAATGAGAGTGAATGACAGCACGTTCTGACAACATTTTGGAAAGTTAACAAAAATGACTATGCTGAAAATTTGCCACTGTGAGCATACAAGTATTAAATTCTTTTTTTTTTTTTTTTTTTTGAGACGGAGTCTCGCTCTGTCGCCCAGGCTGGAGTGCAGTGGCGGGATCTCGGCTCACTGCAAGCTCCGCCTCCCGGGTTCACGCCATTCTCCTGCCTCAGCCTCCCAAGTAGCTGGGACTACAGGCGCCCGCCACTACGCCCGGCTAATTTTTTGTATTTTTAGTAGAGACGGGGTTTCACCGTTTTAGCCAGGATGGTCTCAATCTCCTGACCTCGTGATCCGCCCGCCTCGGCCTCCCAAAGTGCTGGGACTACAGGCGTGAGCCACCGCGCCCGGCCAAATTCTTGACTAATCTATCCAAATGAAGGGTATACTTGATGCTATCTCACCGCACTGACAAAAACAGAATTAAATTTCCATTTGTTGCAAATGACGGTTACATATTAACAATGATAGGAGATTATTTTCTAATTCCTCCTCCAACTACAAAATTCACAACTGAAAAAGACAAAAATAGGGTCAGGCATGGTGGTTCACGTCTGTAATCCCAGCACTTTGGGAGGCCCGGTGGCTCATGTCTGTAATCCCAGCACTTCGGGAGGCCAAGGCAGGCAGATCACTTGAGGTTAGGTGTTTGAGACCACCTGGGCCAACATGGCGAAACCTTGTCTCTACTTAAAATACAAAAATTGGCCAGGCTTGGTGGTGCACACCTGTAATCCCAGCTACTTGAGGCTGAAACAAGAGAATTGCTTGAACCTGGAAGGCAGAGGTTACAGTGAGCCAAGATTGTGCTACCGAACTCCAGCCTAGGAGACAGGGCAAGACCCTGTCTCCAAAAAAAAAAAAAAAAAAAGAAAGAAGACAAATATAAATGATTTAAAATGGGAGGAGCTAGTAGTAGACCCTAATAATAGCTAACAACTCTTTAAGATCCTCAAATAAATAAATAATTGTTAAAAATGTATTTATTCATTTTCTCTCCAGGCTGATGTTCAGACAATCTGCACAGGACTGGCATGGCACACAGGCCAATGTCTGGACATCTGCTCCAAGAGTACAGTGTCTTTGCCATTCAGGTCATTAGGATTAAGATTAAATATTACCCATATTATTTTTTAATATTTAAATACTTAATATTTAAGTATCAAACAAACCTGGAAGAAGGGAAGAAACTTCAGCTGAGGTCATTCAGGATCCGAAGCACAAAAGAGACACAATATTAAATAACTAGCACATCATACATGAAGACAAAGAACAAAGACAGGGAGGGGCATCTCTTTGCAGACTGATAAGATTAAATAATTAATATAAGATTAAATATTTCCTAAACATATCTACTTTCCTTTCTTCTCAGAATATTTTGAAAGAACAGTCTTTAATTTTTGTCTCGGGTTCAAGCAATTCTCATGCCTCAGCCTCCATAGTAGCTGTGACTACAGGTGCCTGCCACCACGCCTGGCTAATTTTTGTATTTTAGCAGAGATGGTAACTATATCATTATATGATGTGATGCAATGGTTTTTTCAAAATTCATCTCCTATCCTTTCTACTTATTAATCCTGAAAAAGTTAAAACTAATCATGTTCTTCTTTCATAAGTCTTCCATCAAGATGGGTGATGTCTGTGACTGAACTATGATCTATATGCTTACACCTAAATAAATTAGGAAGTGATAGCTCCTCCTATGGCCTTTCCAATGCTAACTTAGCCCTCAGGATGATTCAGTGAATTCTAACACACGACTTTTAATCATTTCACTCTCTTGCCCAAAGTTCTGTAATGGCTCCCTGTCTTCCAGAAGAGTAGTCAACAGGCCCATGATCAGTTACAAAATATTAGCACACAGTGCCACTCTGGTATATTTACAGGAGTAAGATTGAAATGTGTTAATAAGGCCAGGCCTGGCGGCTCACGCCTGTAATCCCAACACTTTGAGAGGCTAAGGCAGGTGGATGATCTGAGGTCGGCAGTTCAAGACCAGCCTGGCCAACATGGCAAAACCCCATCTCTACTAAAAATACAAAAATTAGCCAGGTGTGGTGGCAGGCGCCTGTAGTCCCAGCTACTATGGAGGCTTAGGCATGAGAATCGCTTGAACCCAAAAGGCAGAGGTTGCAATGAGCTGAGATTGTGCAACTACACTGTAGCCTGGGCGACAGTGAGACTCCAACTCCAAAAAAAAAAAAAAAAAAGGGTTAATAACCGGTAGGGCCAGGCAACAAGGCAACAATCAATCTGAACAGATGCCAACATGCCATTACTGATTAGAACAAACACCAGCCATAAAAACAATTATTGGGTCACAATTGTATACTGGTTGACTATCACGTTCAAATTACATACACGTACTTACAATACTAATATTTAATGCCTTATAAATATATTACACATATAACATGAATATTATAAGACAAATTATAACAAGATAAGGAAAAAAATCAACAGAAATTCAACACTTTCTTAACATATCTCAATAAACTGCCTAAATTAGCTATCTAAAAAAAGTTCCACTTAGGAGATGACTGGTACAGAGTATGCAATTAAAATGCCTTCTTCTGGTTCTGGCCAGGGCATTCAGGCAGGAGAAGGAAATAAAGGGTATTCAATTAGGAAAAGAGGAAGTCAAATTGTCCCTGTTTGCAGACGACATGACTGTTTATCTAGAAAACCCCATCGTCTCAGCCCAAAATCTCCTTAAGCTGATAAGCAACTTCAGCAAAGTCTCAGGATACAAAATCAATGTACAAAAATCACAAGCATTCTTATACACCAACAACAGACAAACAGAGAGCCAAATCATGAGTGAACTCCCATTCACAATTGCTTCAAAGAGAATAAAATACCTAGGAATCCAACTTACAAGGGATGTGAAGGACCTCTTCAAGGAGAACTACAAACCACTGCTCAAGGAAATAAAAGAGGACACAAACAAATGGAAGAACATTCCATGCTCATGGGTAGGAAGAATCAATATCGTGAAAATGGCCATACTGCCCAAGGTAATTTACAGATTCAATGCCATCCCCATCAAGCTACCAATGACTTTCTTCACAGAATTGGAAAAAACTACTTTAAAGTTCATATGGAACCAAAAAAGAGCCCGCATCGCCAAGTCAATCCTAAGCCAAAAGAACAAAGCTGGAGGCATCACACTACCTGACTTCAAACTATACTACAAGGCTACAGTAACCAAAACAGCATGGTACTGGTACCAAAACAGAGATATAGATCAATGGAACAGAACAGAGCCCTCAGAAATAATGCCGCATATCTACAACTATCTGATCTTTGACAAACCTGAGAAAAACAAGCAATGGGGAAAGGATTCCCTATTTAATAAATGGTGCTGGGAAAACTGGCTAGCCATATGTAGAAAGCTGAAACTGGATCCCTTCCTTATACCTTATACAAAAATCAATTCAAGATGGATTAAAGATTTAAACGTTAGACCTAAAACCATAAAAACCCTAGAAGAAAACCTAGGCATTACCATTCAGGACATAGGCGTGGGCAAGGACTTCATGTCCAAAACACCAAAAGCAATGGCAACAAAAGCCAAAATTGACAAATGGGATCTAATTAAACTAAAGAGCTTCTGCACAGCAAAAGAAACTACCATCAGAGTGAACAGGCAACCTACAACATGGGAGAAAATTTTCGCAACCTACTCATCTGACAAAGGGCTAATATCCAGAATCTACAATGAACTCAAACAAATTTACAAGAAAAAAACAAACAACCCCATCAAAAAGTGGGCGAAGGACATGAACAGACACTTCTCAAAAGAAGACATTTATGCAGCCAAAAAACACATGAAGAAATGCTCATCATCACTGGCCATCAGAGAAATGCAAATCAAAACCACTATGAGATATCATCTCACACCAGTTAGAATGGCAATCATTAAAAAGTCAGGAAACAACAGGTGCTGGAGAGGATGTGGAGAAATAGGAACACTTTTACACTGTTGGTGGGACTGTAAACTAGTTCAACCATTGTGGAAGTCAGTGTGGCGATTCCTCAGGGATCTAGAACTAGAAATACCATTTGACCCAGCCATCCCATTACTGGGTATATACCCAAAGGACTATAAATCATGCTGCTATAGAGACACAGGCACACGTATGTTTATTGCGGCACTATTCACAATAGCAAAGACTTGGAACCAACCCAAATGTCCAACAATGATAGACTGGATTAAGAAAATGTGGCACATATACACCATGGAATACTATGCAGCCATAAAAAATGATGAGTTCATGTCCTTTGTAGGGACATGGATGAAATTGGAAACCATCATTCTCAGTAAACTATCGCAAGAACAAAAAACCAAACACCGCATATTCTCACTCATAGGTGGGAACTGAACAATGAGATCACATGGACACAGGAAGGGGAATATCACACTCTGGGGACTGTGGTGGGGTCGTGGGAGGGGGGAGGGATAGCATTGGGAGATATACCTAATGCTAGATGACACGTTAGTGGGTGCAGCGCACCAGCATGGCACATGTATACATATGTAACTAACCTGCACAATGTGCACATGTACCCTAAAACTTAGAGTATAATAAAAAAAAAAAATTAAAAAAAAAAAAATGCCATCTTCTGGATAACAAGGTCTCTCATGATCTGGTGCCTGACCAGGTTCTTATGCTTCAGAAATACTGATGCACAAAATCCTGGAACATGCTATCACTTCTTCCAATTCTATCCTTGAGTGGATGCTGTTCTGTTACTGTGTTCCTGAAAAACTCCTAATCTCATTTCTTTCTTTCTCTTTTTTTTTTTTTTTTTTTGAGACAGGTTCTCACCTGTCACCCAGGCTGGAGTGCAGTGGCACCAACATGGCTCACTGCAGCCTTGACCTCCTGGGCTCAAGTGATTTTCCTGCCTCGACCCTCCAAAGTGCTAGGATTATAGGCATGAGCCACCATGCCTGGCCCTACACTCATTTCTTGAGCATCACTTTGAATGCTACCTACCTCTTTTGCAAAGTCTTCCTTGACTGCCCAAGACACACTTAGAGACTCCTTTCGCTACTAGAGTTACAATAACAATAGCTAATATGTTTTGAACATTTGTTTTCCACCAAGTATTCTGCTAGGTATTTTATATGCAGTATCTTTATTTTTTTTTATTTTTTATTTTTTTGAGATGGAGTCTCGCTCTGTCACCAGGCTGGAGTACAGAGGCATGATCTCGGCTCACTGCAACCTCTGCCTCCCAGGTTCAAGCAACTCTCCCGCCTCAGCCTCCCGAATAGCTGGGACTACAGGCGTGCACCACCACGCCTGGCTACTTTTTGTATTTTTAGTAGAGACGAGGTTTCACCACGTTGGCCAGAATGGTCTTGATCTCTTGACCTCATGATCCCACCTCGGCCTCCCAAAGTGCTGGGATTACAGGTGTGAGCCACCACACCCGGACTATATGCAGTATCTTGAATAATTTCCCCAACAACCACCAGAAGGTAGGTACTATTATCATCTCCAAGCTGAGGTTTAAGAGGCTTAAAAGTGTTATTCAAGGTGACACAGCTAACAGAAGGCAGAGGAGGTATCTAGGCCCAAATGTGACACTGAGGTGCATACTCATATACCTCTAGTTGTCCATATCCCCAATAATACAAATATCACATAGCATTGCAATTGTCAGTTTGCATGACAACAGGGATAGTAACTTTTCACTCTTATATTCACAGAAAACTAATGAAAATGTTTGCTGAATGAATATATCTAGTTAAAATCTTGGATTTTAAAAATTAATTATGAGCTTTTCAGCTTATGTGCTATGGAACATTATACTTTATACCTGTGTGTGCTTTTTATATTTTAAACACTGCTAACAAACTAGGTACTGTATATGACTAAATTTTAGTTTATAAGGAGTAAAACTTGCTTTCACCTACAGCAATAAGCAGCTCAGAAAAAGTGAACATGCTCTCAAACAGTACTAATGATTTGATATGGTTTGGCTCTGTCCCCACCAAAATCTCAACTTGAGTAGTATCTCCCAGAATTCCCACATGTTGTAGGAAGGACCCGGGGGAGGTAACTGAATCATGGGGGCTGGTCTTTCCCATGCTGTTCTCGAGATAGTGATGAAGCCTCACGAGATTTGATGGGTTTTTCAGGGGTTTCTGCTTTTGCTTCTTCCTCATTTTTTCTCTTGCTGTCACTATGTAAGCAGTGGCTTTCGCCTCTCACCATGATTCTGAGGCCTCCTTAGCCATGGGGAACTGTAAGTCCAATTAAACCTCTTTTTGTTCCTAGTCTCTGGTATGTCTTTATCAGCAACATGAAAACAAACTAATACAGTAAATTGGTACCAGTAGAGTGGGGCGTTGCTGAAAAGACACCCGAAAATGTGAAAGCGACTTAGGAACTGGGTAACAGGCAGAGGCTGGAACAGTTTGGAGGGCTCAACAGACAGGAAAATGTGGAAGTTTGGAACTTCCTAGAGATGTGTTGAATGGCTTTGCCCAAAATGCTGATAGCAATATGGACAATAAAATTCAGATGACGTGGTCTCAGATGAAGATGAGGAACTTGAAGGGAACTGGAGCAAAGGTGACTTTTGTTATGTTTTAGCAAAGAGACTGGCAGCATTTTGCCCCTGCTCTAGAGATCTGTGGAACTTTGAACTTGAGAGAGATGATTTAGGGTTATCTGGCAGAAGAAATTTCTAAGCAGCAAAGCACTCAACACTTGCATGCTGCTAATGGCATTCTTTTTTTTTTTTTTTTTTTTTTTGAGATGGAGTCCCGCTCTGTTGCCCAGGCTGGAGTGCAGTGGCATGATCTTGGCTCACTGCAAGCTCTGCCTCCCGGGTTCATGCCATTCTCCTGCCTCAGCCTCCTGAGTAGCTGGGACTACAGGCGCCCACCACCACGCCCAGCTAATTTTTTATATTTTTAGTATAGATGGGGTTTCATCATGTTAGCCAGGATGGTCTCAATCTCCTGACCTCATGATCCGCCCACCTCGGCCTCCGAAAGTGCTTGGATTACAGGCATGAGCCACCATGCCCAGCCGGCATTCAGTTTTATAAGGGAAGCAGAGCACAAAAGTTTAAAAAATTTGCAGGCTGACTATGTGATAGAAAAGAAAACCCCATTTTCTGGGGAGAACTTCAAGCCAGATGCAGAAATTTGCATAAGCAGCAAGGAGCCTAATGTTAATCCCCAAGAACATGGGGAAAATGTCTCCATGCCATGTCAGAGAACTTCCTGTCAGCCCCTCCCATCACAGGCCCAGAGGCCCAGAAGGCAAAGGTGGTTTCATGGGCTGAGCCCAGGGTCCCCATGCTGTGTGCAGCCTAGGAACTTGGTGCCCTGTATCCCAGCCGCTCTAGCTGTGGCTGAAAGGGGCCAACATACAGCTTGGGCTGTGGCTTCAGAGGGTGGAAGCCCCAAGCCTTAGCAGCTTCTACATGGCGTTCTGTGCGCAGATGCACAGAAGTCAAGAATCGAAGTTTCGGAACCTCCGCCTAGATTTCAGAAGATGTATGGAAACACCTGGATGCCCTGGCAAAAGTTTGCTGCAGGGGCGGGGCCCTCATGGAGAACCTCTGCTGCAGCAGTGCAAAAGGGAAACATAGGGAAGGAGACCCCACACAGAGTCCCTGCTAGGGCACTGCTTCGTGGAGCTGTGAGAAGAGGGCCACCGACCTTTAGACCCGAGAATGGTAAATCCACCGACAACTTGTACTATGCACCTGGAAAAGACACAGACACTCAATGCCAGCCCATGAAAGCAGCTGGGAGGGAGGTTGTCCCCTGCAAAGCCACAAGGGCGGAGCTGCCCAAGACCATGGGAACCCACCTCTTACATCAGCGTGATGTGGATGTGAGACCTGGAGTCAAAGGAGATCATTTTGCAGCTTTAAAATTTGACTGCCCTGCTGGATTTCAGACTTGCATGAACCCTGTAACCCCTCTGTTTTGGCCAATTTCTCCCATTTGGAATGGCTGTATTTACCCAATACCTATACCTCCATTGTATCTGGGAAGTAACTAGCTTGCTTTTGATTTTTTTTTTTTTTTTTTTAAGATAGAGTCTCACTCTGTTGCCCAGGCTGGAGTGCAGTGGCACGATCTTGGCTCACTGCAACCCCCGCCTCCCGGATTCAAGCGATTCTCCTGACTCAGCCTCCCAAGTAGCTGGGACTACAGGCATGCACCACCATGCCCAGCTGATTTTTGTAGTTTTAGTAGAGACAGGGTTTCACTATGTTGGCCAGGCTGGTCTCAAACTCCTGACCTCGTGATCCGCCCGCCTTGGCCACCCAAAGTGCCAGGATTACAGGCGTGAGCCACTGCACCCAGCTGCTTGCTTTTGATTTTACAGGCCTGTAGGCGGAAGGGACTTTAGCCTTGTCTCAGATGAGACTTTGGACTGTGGACTTTTGGGTTAATGCTGAAATGAGTTAAGACTTTGGGGGACTGCTGGGAAGGCATGACTGGTTTTGAAATGTGAGGACATAAGATTTGGAGGGGCCAGGTGCAGAATGATATGGTTTGGCTGTGTCCCCACCAAAATCTCAACTTGAGCTGTATCTCCCAGAATTCCCACATGTTGTAGGAGGCACCGAGGGGGAGGTAACTGAATCATGGGGGCGGGTCTTTGCCGTGCTATTCTTGCAATAGTGAATAAGTCTCACAAGATCTGATGGGTTTATCAGGGCTTTCTGCTTTTGCTTCTTCCTCATTTTTTCTCTTGCCTCTGCCATGTAAGAAGTGCCTTTCACCTTCCACCATGATTCTGAGGCCTTCCCAGTCATGTGGAACTGTAAGTCCAATTAAACCTCTTTTTGTTCCCAGTTTCAGTTATGTCTTTATCAACAGCATGAAAACGAACTAATACATGATTTTCTTAAGATCTGTAAGGATATATTCCAAAGGCCTCACAAGCACTATATTGTCCTGTAGTAACACAAAGGGAAAGGAGTCTGGACAGTACAGGTATATAACCTCACTGCTTTCTCATCTTACTTCTCCTTCCCCTCTCACTTCCTAGGAGAAAGAGGGGAGAAAGGGTCAGTGTGAGACAGAGTTGCAGGGGTAAATAGAAAAGCTGGTAGTAAGCTTACATGAGGTGCTGCCCTGCATTTGTCAGTGAGAATGATGGAAATTAGGAAAAACTGAGATCTAAGCCTTCAAAACATGTTCTGGTAGCTTTACCTTCACCTAGGTTCTTATATATACCTACTCTCCTCTACAGGCTGTGCACTCTTTTAGGATAAAAATTCAGAAGAGGTCACATGGCTTAGTTACCTTCCAACTCCTTCCAGACTGGCTCGCCTATTCACTCAGTCCTAAACCAGCCTCTTAGCCTTCAAACATAGTGAAACTTCTAAAATCCAAGAATGGTCCACTTCTTATAATCCTTCTTCTTTTTACATCTCTTAGAGGCAAGTGCTGCTTTATGGAACTTTAGAAATGCCAAGAGATGCACCAGAAAATTCAGCCATTGGAGGCTCAATGAATAGTAAATGAAAGGTTAATGTTGGAAGTTATGAGAAACAGCTACTTAATGAAAGGGGTGAAATATAAAAAATTAAGTTTTAGTTATGTTGATATGGATTTGTGGATCGTGCCAACAGGCATCAGAAGTCAGTGGACATTTGAAAATGTGTAACTGGTACAGAAGGAAGGTGGAAGCATGGGAAATGGACATGGGTCATCCACAGAGAGGCAGCAGCTGTATGTGGATACTATGGCAGAGTCCCAAGGCACATCTAGACAGACAGGAGACAACAGTGGAAAAGGACACACATCTGGGAGACTACTTTGGAGCTAAGCATGATACAAGAAGAGCAAATCAGGTGGCTCTTACTTCTTTCCCTATTGAGGTGTTCCTAGTGTGTGGGCAGACAAAATGGCACTTGTCACAGTGGAACCTTACATCTCTGCAGAAGAGAAGAAACTATTTTAATTAGCATTATACAGTGGAATGCCATGGACGAAGAGTCAGAAGAATTCAGATTCTTTAACAACCGACCATCCTTCAAATTTCTCATCTTCAGAAGGGGATCCTACTTTTTTCCCTTGTGGGGTTCTAACAAGAAACAAACCGGAAAGTGCTCTGTAAAGGTAAGACTGCTATACAGGGATATGAGGTAGCACTTATGAATTCCTTTAAGAAACTAAAGTTAACTTTTCTGAATTAAAAGGCTAAGAGGAAGTATATTTTAAAATATAAAAATAAAAGTGTTGATCCCAGCTCCACCACTGTCAAAGCAACCTTAGACAGTCACCTCACCTCTCCATGTTCCAATTTAAAGTATTCAAATTCCATTCCTGACTATCTCATGAAGATACGATGATGGGACCGGGCGTGGTGGCTCATGCGTAATCCCAGCACTTTGGGAGGCTGAGGCAGGTGGATCACCTGAGGTTAGGAGTTCGAGACCAGCCTGACCAATATGGTGAAACTCTGTCTCTACTAAAATTACAAAAATTAGCCGGGTGTGGTGGTGTACTCCTGTAGTCCCAGCTACTTGGGAGGCTGAGGCAGGAGAATCACTCGAACCCAGGAGGCGGAGGTTGCAGTGAGCCGAGATTGTGCCACTGCACTCCAGCCTGGGCAACACAGCGAGACTCTGTCTCAAAAATAAATAAATAAGAAATAAAAAATTTAAAAAAGATACGATGATGATTAAGTACTTAAAAGTGTTTTCAGATCCACTGGGCAATGTCTTACCACTCAGGGGGCAGTCATGTGATATTATAGCTTGTCTAAATAACTTTTCAAGCTGTGTGATGTTTCTCCAAATTCTCTGGGTCTTTGATACCAAAGATAAACAAAGACACCCAATCTTGACTGATGTAGCATTTGCTTTAAAGTTCTGAGAGAACTGTAATTTTTAACTGCACTAACAGAATGCACAGTGATCAGCTGTAAAAATTAAGTCACTTATCCTTGCATACTGAATAAAAGTTAGGATTATACATCCTAATTGAAAAGAATATCTCCCAGGAAAAAATAAATTAACTCCACATACAAATCACTATATGTTGTTTTTTAAAAATTATTTCATGAAACAGCAGAAAGAAGAACACTTGGGAACATTAGATGTGAAAATAGGCAAGAGACAATGAGGACCTGAATGAAGGGAGAAAAGTGTTCAAGGGCTATTTAGAAGGCTGAGGCAATGGTATTTACTTAGATGGCTGAGGCAGCACCATTTTTCTTTCTTTTGTTTTGTAATTGAATAGAGGAGGTGACAAAGAGGAGAGCATGGGAGATGAACCCTCAATATTGCACCCTGGATGTCCTCCAGGTATGTGCTGGTGGGGAGAAGGTTTGATGAGAAAGATGAGTCAAGTTATTAATACACATACTGAGAATAAAGTATCTCTGCAACACTTTGTTTTGAAAATTGCCTTACTGACTCCTAGTTTATCTTCATATAGTGTAATAGAAAAACGCAAAGTGTTTTAATTGCACTTGAAGCTTTCGTTGAAAAAAAATCAAATTGGTAGAATGTTTAACTACTCAGAGAATATCCCAAAACTGAGTTATTTGTAGAAGGAATATTCACATACCATAGTAATTCTAATCTCCCAGTCATTAAAAAAACCCATGATGAACACCACATGGTGGGCTCATCTTGGGAGCTCTCTATCAAAAGGTACTGAAAATGGCATTAAAGCAAAAGAACTTCAATCAGACTTCTGTGTTCCAGCTTCAACACAGAAAGAACTACATAGACCTGGACAGCTGGAAATGCCATGCCATATGAGATTGCAGCAAAGGAGGGAAATATTAAAAGGCTTTTCCACACTCTAGGTACAACACTATTCAGAAAGTAGGTCTGACTTTACACCATGGTGAACTCCAGGAAGGCTTTACTCTCGTGAAAATAGCAGAGAATCTATTAAATTCATGAAGATAAGGACACTGGGTTAGATTTTTCCAAGCCATAATGTTAGCAGGGGTTAATGTGCCTATATAATAGATGATCTTACTGTACATATAACATAGCCTTGTGAACACATCTGTGTTCACCTGTACACATTATATATACTTGCCTCTTACCCTAAACATGGCTATGTTTTTTAAAACAATGTCAAAAGTTATTTTAGAAACTCACACTATGTTGCTATGGTGCATGCTGCTGCAAAGAAAAAGCTAATGGGCTCTCTACTTAATGTGATTACAGCCATTATTGACATAATGCCAGGAAGACGCAAAACCATTAGCATTACGCTACAGCTCACTTAAGCATCCACTCAGATTCGGTATTTGATCCACAATTTTAATTTTGTTCTGCTCTATTCAGAGCTGCATTACACAAAATGCATAATTAAAAGCTGCTGTGATTCTCTCTACTTCTCAAATTAAAAACATAGCAAACATTTGTAGTTCTAATCCACTAGAAATTAATAAATCAAACAGTGTCTTTTATCCCCTTTCCTCCATACAATTCAGATTGCAGGTTGGGAATACTTTTGCCTGCAACAGAGTATGCTACAGAAGGAGCAGCTGCTCAAAGAAAAGTCTCCAAACTGCCTACTGTAAAGGCAAGTGAGAACCTAGAGGGCCTAGCAGCACCGATAGCCTTACAATTCCAAGCTTTAAGCTGGAAGGGTTTTCTGGAAAGAAAAATTTTAATCAATTCACCATAAATCCTTTTGATGCATTTTCCTTCATTAGCTCACTTTGTCAAGCATACACATGCTCCTAATTTAATTTAATCAAATGCACCATGTCTTTCTGTCAACAGTGAAGCAATTCCCGTGTCCAAAAGATCTCCTATCAACTCCCTACCCAGGACAGCCTAGAGGGGAAACTGATGAGAACGAGGAGTTTTGCTTTATCCACCATTAAAACTGAAAGGGTTTCCCCCTAAAGATCTGCCATCAAGAGCTGAGCCACTGACGCCATTCCTAGTTCCACTGCTACTAGAAGCCTTCATCACTTGCAATAATAGAGGATGATGATTCATTACAATAAAAACAGTATCTACTCCCCTGTGGAAGATAATCCTAGGGAAGTTCTGGAAGAAGTATTAAAAACAGCAGCAGAGCAAAGAGGGGGAATGCGTATCTAAACCTAGGCTCCCACACCGCCCTGGAGTTTCTCCTGTACACACCTGAGGTGCTCCCTTTAGGTCGCCGTGGCCAGTTCTTTCAGCAGGCCATGCTTCTCCAAGTATCTCACCCCTCATCATCACCATTTTCCTCATTAATTGCAACTCATCCTTCAGACCTCTGCTCAAAGCTCACTTTGTCAAGGAAGTGATTCCAGAAGTACTCTAGATAACTTGCTTTTTAACCCGTGTGTGTGTGTTGTTTTTTTTAAAAAAAAAAAAAAACTCTGGCAGTTTGACACTGTCCCCTCCCCCTAGTCTGTAAGCTCCAAGAAAGCAGGGACCACGGGTTTATCTAGCTCACCATTTTAACTTCTAGAACCTCTCAGCTTTGGCACATAGTAGGCACCCAAAAAATACATGTCAAATGACTGAATGCTGAGTTAATCTACTGTGATCCAATGGTCTTCCTATACATGCCAAATTTCTGTCATTTTCTACAGCTATTTAATATTACAAGGTGATCATTCCTGAAATCGTATTTTTGAAAAAAGCATAATGATGCAAGGGGTTTGAAATGTACAAAAATTGTCCAATTTGTGGGTTTTACATGTGTCTGTGGTAGGGAAAGAACATTAGCAGGGAGGGTGTCAGAAGTAATGTAGGATCCAGAAGAGCCTTCAAGAGGAACCCCGATATTCAATGAGAACTTAAATACAAGTGTCCCAAACCACCATGTTGCTCCATCAGGGTAGAAAAGGAGAGGACAGGAAGAAAAGGAGCAAGAGAGAAAAAGACCTCTCCCTGAAGAACAGCCAAAGTATCATTTGGGTCTGTAATCCCAGCACTTTGGGAAACCGAGGCAGGAGGATCACTTGAGGCCAGGAGCTGGAGGTTCCCAAGTGAGCAATGGTCACTCCACTGCCCTCCAGCGTGGGTGACAGAGCAACACACTGCCTTTAAAAAGAGAAAATTTTAAAACTATCATGCAGCTTCGGAATACTCTTTGATTACCTTTAGGGTCTAGTATTGGCTTTTAAAGAAAATCTTTCCTTGATAACAATGTGACAAGGAGATTAAAAAAAAAAAGTCCTTGATTTTCTTAACAAATCAAGATTTTAAAATGTCTAAGCAACAGCCAAAGCTGTCTCACTTAGACAATCATTTATTAATGGCAAACTTAAACATTTTTTCAAAAAGAATTAGTTATTTGTCTCTTACTCTCTTGGATCTGTTTTGTAAGCTTCCTGACTTTAAATTTTTAGCTATTTCTTCTTGCTGAAAAGCTAAGAACTTCATTTAGACATTTAATATATCTAGACTATTTCCTTATAACCCTAAAAAAAGTTTAAAAATATTCATGGGGAAACATATATAATTATATTTCATTTCAGTTTTAACATTATAGAATTTTCTTTTTTATCAAAAATTTGATATCTCTATTTCTTTGTATCATGATCCTGAATCAAGAGGTGTTTTTTCTTGAATGCTTTCAAAAGGACAGGCATCCTCAGAGTAGGCCTGGAGGGAAACTTCCTTTGGCTCCTACTTTAGAAGCAACTCATAGAACAAAGGGGATAGTCTCCTCCGGTGGGGGTACCTGGCCCCCAATTTGAACTTCTCAGCATGTCTTTTTTTAGGTGCTTAGGAACTAAAATTTCTCCTTAGAAAAAGACTTGAGCGGGCCCCTGCATCTTTCCATATCCTGCAAACAGATGACAGGAGTAGTCAGGCAGGAAAAAAAACCCAGCTGTATCTGGCTCATCACAGTCTGAGGTAGTTCATTTCATTGTTTCATGGCTCGAACTGTTCTATGTCTTTCCTTCCACTGGGCTGAAATCTGCCTTCGTATAAATTTCGGTCCTCTGAGATATTAACAAAAGCAATATGCTTCCTGGTCCACGTGGAAGCCCTTACAGATGGGGAGGAGGACTCCATTCTGGCAGGCTTTTCTCCAGGCCAAACACTGTCAATGGCTTCCCCGTGGTCAGTCTGCAGACCCTTCACCACCCTGGTCATGAGTGGTGATCACATTTCAATTGCTCAATGCTCCTCATACACAGTGGTACCCAGAATTAAAAGCAAGATCCCAGAAGTGATCTGTGAAGAAGGAGATAATACCACCGTAATTCTGTTGTTAATGAGCAAAGACACTTTTTCTTAAAAAGGCATATGACATAAATGACACAAAATACAAACATTTTCAGCTTAATATTTCTTCCACATGGTTATAAAATACTGCCTTTTTTTAGATGTAATCTATAACCTAATTTCTGATCTTATTCTTCAATGAACAGTGTTAGTGTAACAGAATATTCAGCTTAAAAACATCTTTTACCACAAATTATAAGAGGAAAGGACCATTAGATGTTGTAAGTGTAGATCACAGAATGTACAGATGCTTATTAGCTTCAGAAAATGTGAACTCCATATTAACCATACAGCTGCTGGCAAACTCTTCTAGGTCAAAAAGGAATGTCAGTGTGTAAGAGTACCTCTAAATTGAAGTAACTATTTTGTGGCTCCCTGCATTCTCATCTCTCAAAGCTCTTCCCGCTCGGACTAAAGAAAAGAAGCATGACCCTGATATTAAACAGATGACCAATAAGCAAATGGGACTTCAATTCACAAAAACCAAGAGGACTCCAAAAAAGAAAAACTTGGTGGTTGGGGCTGGGCACGGTGGCTCACGCCTGTAATCCCAGCACTTTGGAAGGCCGAAGTGGGCAGATAACCTGAGATCAGGAGTTCGAGACCAGCCTGGTCAACATGGTGAAACCCTGTCTCTACCAAAAAAATAAAAATTAGCCAGGCGCGTTGGCGCACACCTGTAATCCCAGCTACTCGGGAGTCTGAGGCAGGAGAACTGCTTGAATCTGGGAGGCGGAGGCTGCAGTGAGCCCACTGCGCCACTGTACTCCAGCCTGGGCGACAGAACGAGACTCTGTCTCAAAAAAAAAAAAAAGAAAAGAAAAGAAAAAGAAAAAGAAAAGAAAAAATTGGTGGTTGGAAATTTATCCCCAACTTTGACTAAAATGGGATTTCAGAGGGTGTGTTCATGTGTGTGTTTCAGACCACTTCAACTGCTATCTCTCATGCCAAAGAATACAGCACCTAGCAAAAGTTTTCAAGTTTCAAAAAGGTTCATTTTCCCTTCAGTGATAGGGAGGTATAAGAGCCTTCCTCTTCAATATTTTATTATTAAAATTTTCAAATACACAGAAAAGTCGAATGAATTGTACAGTGAGCACTTATGTATCTACCATCTAAATTCTACAATTAACATTTTATTACATTTGCTTGTAAGAGTCTTTTTTATGTATCATTGATCAGCATAACAGTCCTATAATTTACAATTTTGGGGGGAAAGTTCCTGATATCACTGGGTCAGCACTCATTTTTAAAGTACAGAAATAAACATTTCAAGTGCTTAAGTTAGGCTAATATAATTTTGCTTGCATTTAAGATCTGACTTCTTTCTTTATGCACGTTGGGTAAAATATTTGTTAGATTATTTATGTTTATTTTAATAGCTCGGCACAAAGATACTAAAATGTTATCTGTAACAGCTTAACCTTTGGAAGAATACTTACCTTTGACAGTTTCCAAATGTTTCTAAAATCTTTAAAATTATTTGCAAGCTACTTGTGGTCCCCCATGAATCAGCTAAAGTTATTATCATAAAATAAGTATAGCAGCTATTATAATATTCAGTATTTACTATGTGGCAAGTACCATTCTAAGTTCATTCAACACATGTAACAACATTCAACACAGGTAACATCATTCGATACATGTAACATCTCCATTAAATAGGTACTTTTAATATTATCATCTCCATTTTAAAAATAAGAAACATGGGGCATAAAGAGTCAAAGACCTCACAAGTGGCAGAAATGGGATTCAAACTCTGGCAACCTAGCACTGCACACTTTTCGGCTTCTCAGTACACTGCACAGCCTCTCTAGCAAACAAAAACAACCCTCTGCCTGATGAAAACCCAATCTGTTAAATCATTACCATCCCATTGAGAGGTGACAGCGTGCTGGCAGTCCTCACAGCCCTCGCTCACTCTCGGCGCCTCCTCTGCCTGGGCTCCCACTTTGGCGGCACTTGAGGAGCCCTTCAGCCCACCGCTGCACTGTGGGAGCCCCTTTCTGGGCTGGCCAAGGCCAGAGCCGGCTCCCTCGGCTTGCAGGGAGGTGTGGAGGGAGAGGCGGGAGCAGGAACCGGGGCTGCAGGCGGCGCTTGCGGGCCAGCTGGAGTTCCGGGTGGGCGTGGGCTTGGCGGGCCCCACACTTGGAGCAGCAGGCCGGCCCTGCTGGACCGGGCAATGAGGGGTTTAGCACCCGGGCCAGCGGCTGCGGAGGGTGTACTGGGTCCCCCAGCAGTGCCAGCCCACTGGCGCTGTACTTGATTTCTCACCGGGCCCTAGCTGCCTTCCGGCGGGGCAGGGCTCGGGACCTGCAGTCCGCCATGCCTGAGCCTCCCACCCCCTCCATGGGCTCCTGTGCGGCCTGAGCCTCCCCGACAAGTGCCACCCCCTGCTCCACGGCGCCCAGTCCCATCGACCACCCAAGGGCTGAGGAGTGCGAGCACATGGCACGGGACTGGCAGGCAGCTCCACCTGCAGCCTGGTGCGGGATCCACTGGGTGAAGCCAGCTGGGCTCCTGAGTCTGGTAGGGAAGTGAAGAACCTTTATGTCTAGCTCAGGGATTGTAAATACACCAGTTGGCACTCTGTATCTAGCTCAAGGTTTGTAAACGCACCAATCAGCACCCTGTGTCTAGCTCAGGGTTTGGGCTCTGGTGGGGCCTTGGAGAACCTTTGTGTCCATACTCTGTATCTAACTAATCTGATGGGGAGGTGGAGAACCTTTGTGTCTAGCTCAGGGATTGTAAACGCACCAATCAGCGCCCTGTCAAAACAGACTACTCGGCTCTACCAATCAGCAGGATGTGGGTGGGGCCACATAAGAGAATAAAAGCAGGCTGCCCGAGCCAGCAGTGGCAACCCGCTCGGGTCCCCTTCCACATCGTGGAAGCTTTGTTCTTTCGCTCCTTGCAATAAATCTTGCTACTGCTCACTCTTTGGGTCCACACTGCTTTTATGAGCTGTAACACTCACCACGAAGGTCTGCAACTTCACTCCTGAAGCCAGCGAGACCACGAGCCCACTAGAAGGAAGAAACTCCAAACACATCCGAACATCAGAAAGAACTCCAGACACGCCACCTTAAGAGCTGTAACATTCACCGCGAGGGTCCGCGACTTCATTCTTGAAGTCAGTGAGACCAAGGACCCACCAATTCCGGACACACCATCGCTGATATCACTGCTAACTTAGGAACTGGTTATTTTCATTTCAGAAACTGAAGCAATGTTCAATTTCAATGAGTATTTTTTAAAGCCAACAAGTTGTTAGTTTCTGAGTAAAAATTACATGTACAAGGTACAGTGTGGTTATAATATATTTGGAAAAGAAAGTACAGATCTACACTGAGAATGAAATTAATGCCTATACACAAACACATACAGTCCAATATGCAAAGAATATGTGTGATCTTAGACAAGATAATTAATTTCTCTGAACCTACATCCTTGTTGACAAAATGAGGGTAATACTATAATCTTAGTACCAACTTCACGGGATCATTATGTGAATTATACTGGATAATCTGAGCTCCAAAGTATGTGTAATAAAATAAGTACTCAATAAATGTTAGCTACAAACACATATAAAAACCTTAGCACTATATGTGGCACATGCTAAATACTAAAAACTGTTGTCAGTAATAAAAATATTAGTAATAATAGAAGACCAATATATGTCAATAATAACTAATGTTCACTGATACCACAGGGGAAATTATAGATCCATAATTGTGTTTTAATGTTTTCAAAAGAATAAGTTTAATCTTGGCCAAACACAGTCTTCCAGCAGATTGCATCATAAAGGATACTTCTGATTAAATCAAAATGACTAAATAGTACTACAGCAGATTTAGCAGAATAATTTAATTTATAAATAAATCAAATTGGTATCAGTGCAAGGTCCCTGTTGGCTATTATATCCCATTGTGTCAACCCAATAGTGTTGGGAAACCTTTAAAAAAATGCTATAAATAGTCATCTATAGAAACTCAAACTAATAGGCAGAAAAAAAAAACCCTCTTCTTATATTGAACAACAAAAGAAGGAAATAAAGTCTATTTTGACAGTTTAAATTGTAAGCTAGCACCGATGAAGGTGATTGCAGACACTGATTCTAAGACTCTCGTTTCTACATACTCATAGAAGGATGATGAGACATATAATCTTACTTACTTTCCAACCCCACAGCCGGCAGATAATTTAGAAAATCTGCTACTTCTTCTCTATCAGGAATAACTGGGATCACAAGAAAAGATTCCCTTCCCTCTGTGTTTCTAATTTAAATGAATAAACTCAGAGGAATCAACCTCTGTATCATCACAAACTTCAGACTCCAGGACTCTCTGGACCAGACTGGGGTCTCAGAGAACAGCCACGGAGTCACTGAACCCCTCAGATGGCTCTAAGTGAAAAGTCATGCAAAGGTCCGGGGCTTTCCGTGGCCAGCCCATCAGTCTACTCATGTGTGACTAACACCCCAACTATCCATCTTTCTGGACCATTTAGTCTTTGCAGGTACAAATGGCAATTTGCTGTCCATTTTCGATTACACATGTATTTTCTCCACCACATCCAACAGCATGTAAAACAAAAAGTGCCATTTTGTATACACAAAGGCACTTACCAGGGCTCAGTGGATCTTAACACCATGCACTCTGAAAGGATTAATGATGGTGTGATGGGAATGAGACGGGAAATGAAAAACTCGGTTTTCCCCTGTTTATACCATAATGTAACTTGATTGCTAAAATGAAAAGTATATTCTCTACCACCTTGGCCACTGAAAAAGACACTGCTGAAACCAAGAGGCTTCTGTCCTGATACAAGCAACTGACCATATTTCATTTCCTTACATACTATTCCCTTCCTTTCATTTCCATTATTTCATTGCTCTCAAATTACATGTATCTGCATGGTTTCTTCAAGACACAAGATTCAAATACTATAAAGCTATGTGGTTTTGGCTGCAGGTGGGCAATCCAGTCCTTAAGCAGATGCTAAACAAGACCATGTCCAGGTTTCCCAAAATTTTGGTAAAACTTATTTAGCAATAATTAGCAATGATTACATGGTATACAGAGTGGTATACACAGTATATGCCATGAAATAGGAGGAAGCCATAAATCTCCAGAGATGAAAATATTAATTTCATACCCCACATAGCTAATTCTATTGCTATTGCAGGATCAAGAACTTTGAAAAGCATCTGCTTTAACTCAAATCCAAGCAAATTCACACGCATATGTGGAGATTATTTTCAGGGATACTTATTTCTACAGCAGCAAAAAGGGAGTGGGATAAAAGGCAAGCTGCCCTTGTATAAGATTTCCTAAGGAATGGTCCCTGAGCAAAAGGACTTGAGAGCCACCCATGGAAGATGTCACGGACTTTCAGGCTTCTAAGTACTCATCTTCAAGCATGACCCTGTCCTAAAGCTTTTCTTTGCTCCACTCACCCAAACTACTTTGTAGACTTTTCTATACGCCATGGGTACTTAATAAATCCTGGCTGATAAAGGTAATGGCAAAAGAAAAATCTACCCAGAACTCCAAATCCCCTGCCAACTCTTTTATTCTTTCTGGCTCTCCCAGGAGAAAGTGGTTGTGATTAACTTCTTAAAATGACCCCAAGGCTTTTGACGTGGTGTCATGTCCCCTCCAAACTCAGGCACCTCTATCTGACTACTGACTTTCTCCTGTTTACTTATTAACTCTGTCTCTTGTTAAATTTTGAACAGTCTAGGCCGTTTTACACCTTATAGCTCAAAAAAGGCAGCACAGTAGCTGGTGTAGGGATGTGACAGAATGTTTTTATTCCACCCCCGAAATAAAGCTCCTTGTTTTTGACACACTGGAAAATGTACAGCCAGAGAGTGCTCGAGGCGAAGATGCCACCCCAGCCTTACATCTGTCTGCTTTCATTTGTCTACAACTGTGCTTATAGATAAAACAAGCTTTCCAGATGTCATCACAAGCAGGGCTCATATGCTGACTTCACTGAGACACCATTGTTGGCTGCCAGCATAACAGAGTTGTAAAACTAAAATATTTAAACTCTGAGCTACTCAAAACAACTCTGAATGTCACACAGGATCTTATTTCGGGATTAATTAATGTACACCCCAATAAAATAATCATGCGTTAAAAACAGAGCTGGCTGGCATGCAAGTGGTTCTAATTTTCCTTTTTCCAACTGTTCCAATGGCATGCAACAGCATCATGAAGAAATTTCTGAAGGACAGCCTTTATGTATATACCCGATCAAGCTCTTAAGTTTCAGGTGCTACATTTCACTGTGCCACGACCTATATGTTCTCATTGTTTAAAACAGACATAATGAACCTAAGATGAACAAAAGCAATATGCCAGGCACAGACTATAAAGACATTTCCACTGTCAGAGGGGAAGACCAATGACAAGTGATGGGGGAGATTACTAATAGGCATTGTTTTACACATCCATATGTGAAGCTTGGCTTCAGGCAACCTGGTATCAGGGAGCTTGAATGTTTGTTTGAGAACACAATATCCCTGTGGTTATAATTACAACCACTGTACAAGAAGAGGACTGCCGTGGTTTCATAATGCCCTTAACAAAGAAGAACACATCATTCCTGTGCTTCCAGAGAAATTACACACACACACACAGAGACACACACAGACACACACACACACACACACTATTTCTATTTTTTTTCTCTGAACCTGCCCAACAATTTAGTTTTCACTGAGTGAACGAAAGGGAGTTCAGCTTCCATCTAAATGATCGTTCCTCATAACCATCTAATACAATTGTTCTGAATTGGAAAAAGAAGCCCTTTCACAGTTGGGTACATGAGACTTCCACTCATCTCCCACTAACTTGGGCTTTCATCCTGCTCTGATTAAGTCTCTTGTAGCCCAGTTTGCATTTTTGTAAAGTTGGGTCAGGGATGTTCATTAAGCATCTGTTACTCAAAAACCTGTTTTGTGGGTCATTCTGGTTTTAGAGGCCAAATCCATCACCCAGCCACAAGCCTTCTGGAATTTCTGCTTAATTTAATAAGAGACCCAACTTTGCATTAACCCAGTCAAGGGATCATATAGGCTCTGTCAGGGCCGGTCCTCCACCCCACTGGGCTCATTTCATGTGGCTAGGGCTTACCAAAAAATTAAAATTAAAAAGCACATTCTAGCCTGAGCAACATAGTGAGACCCTGTCTCTACAAAAAGATTTTTAAAAACAGAGAAGCGTGGTGGTGCATGCCTGTAGTTCCAGCTGCGTGGGAGGACTGCTTGAGCCCACGAGGGCGAGACTGTAGTGAGCTGTTACCACACCACTGCACTCTAGCCTGGGCAACAGAGTGAGACCCTGTCTCAAAAAGAAAAGAGAAAAAGAAAAAAGCATGTTCCAGGCAGTCCACAACCCTTCTCAATCCCCCATTTGTACCCCCAAGGGTACAAATTTATGTGGAATAAAACATTTACTTGTGATGGCTTTCCAGGAGACCATTTACAGAGAGGAAAAGGAGGGAGTCAGTTACTTTGCTTTCCCACCATCCTGAATGTTCCCATCTTCTCTTGAGCTGATCTTAGTTCGAATCCTCTGAAAATAAATCACCCCAAAGCACTCAAGATTTCCCCAAGGCTCCAGCAGGCTTCCTGCTTTGTTGTTTCCACCCCCGTGCTGGGAGGCTAATGTGTTTGAGGAATGTTGTTTTAATGCAAAGAACTTAGAAGAGTCAAAACAACCTGCCATAGGGATCCATCTGCCTCTGATGATCCTGGCCTCTGTCACTCCTGTTTCAGCCAGAGGAAAATGAAGTCAGAGGAAAATGAAGACCTGGGTATTAAATTCTGGTCATTTCTAAGTGTTAGGACAGTAATTATACTTCTTGAAATCAGAATAGTAGTATCATTCCTAGTTCTGTGGGACTTGATGTTCCTTCTTTATTTGGTTAAATGTTTAGGTTGGGGCAGGAAGAATTAATACTGAAGCACACCCTGTACTTAATCTTCTGACACCCAAATAAATGCGCACACCTTTTATTATCCTCCCAGTACTATGCTTGGGCAATGTCATCTGCAAGATTCTCTTCATGAGATTATTATGAGTGATGCTTACACTAACCCTAATTTTCAGCTTTTCAGCAAACATATATTCCTCAGAAACATTTAATGACACATTAGGCTCTCAAATATTTGCACTAAAGTTTACTTTCTGTTCTTTAAAGTTCTCCTGGGTTTCTATAGGGATGCAAATTATTAAACTGTAGCAATTTGGGAGATTCACAGACAATTTTTTTTTTTGGTAGAGACAGGGTCTCACTCTGGTGCCCAGGATGGAGTGCAGTGGTGGGATCACAGCTGACTGTAACATCAAACTCCTGGGCTCAAGCGATCCTCCTGCCTCAGCCTCCTGAGGAGCTGGGACTACAGGCACATGACACCATGCCTAATTTTTTTTATAGAGATAACGTCTCGCTATGTTGCCCAGGCTGGTCTCTCGGATCATGCAGTCCTCCCATCTTGGCCTCAAAAAGTACCAAAATTACAGTTGTGAGCCACCATGCTTGGCCATAGACATCGTTAATCTCATTTTTGCCTTTTAAATCCACTGGGAATCCAGAAGTGACACTTTCTATATTCCCCTTTTACAGATGAGAAAAGAGATGTGTAACTCAAGTTACCTGTTTGCCTAAAGGCAAGACAGTAAGCCTGGGGCTGAGTCAGTTTACTTGAAGAACAACTAGAAGCACAGTCTTGAGGGGGTCAAACGTCCTCTCCTAGCTACAGACCAGAGGATGTAATAACAGCAGTAAGTCTGTCGGCTGGGGGTGGAGGGGGCGGGCAGTTCTGAACGCTGACACCTAACAGGACATGGAGTGTTACTCTCGGGTCCTTATTTGAATACAACTGCACTTAAAAAATAACCCAATTTAACAATTCAGAAGTTCTGATATATGTTTTATAAAAATGTATGAGAGACCTAAAAGCCACGGAGAGCCATAACTTTGAGCTGCCTCATTTGTTTCTCTTTTATTACAGTACTGCACAGTGGGCACAAGCTCTTCACTGAAAAGAGAACATTAAATCTTTATTCTAAACTGTTTTAGCAGAACAATATTAATAGTTGAATATTATTTTGTCTGACTTATAAAATACCATTCAAATAAGACCAAAGAGAGCACTGAACCCCAGCCAAGTCCTATGAGAAAAAAGTGACAAGCTATCTTCAGAAACAATAATTTCTTGTCACTCTTAAGATTCCAGTAACATGTCCACTGCTATGTAAGCCCAAAAGCCGATTTCTTGGAATGAAGGTAAGCTATTCAGAAATAAACATTTCTCTGGGTCCCCCTTAACAAGGAAAGCAGCCATATGAAATATTCTTTCTCTTCCTCGAATGTCTGTGTGGTCTTTCCTAATGCAGGATCAGTAAGCAACCCATGAGGAAGCCACTTTGTTTCCATGGATATTTTACCATAGATGGTGAAACAGGACAAGATTTAAGTTTAGAAGAGAGGGCTCAATCCCGGAAAATATTCAGCCATCAGTACAATTCAATTCAGCAAAAACCCCAATACGACTATTTTTGGCCGCATCTTTGGAGCTCTTTGCTTTATCTTTGTACTACTAAGCTACATATTCCCCATAGCATGCAAAAAGGCACCGTTTCCCCTCGCCTTATATGGCAGTGTGGGTTACTACAGACAATTTCGGTGAGATTAGCCAAAAACCTTAACAATGGCCTTTTTCTTGGGTTTCCAATTTTCTATCAAATTCACAAAGGATTTTTCTCCCCAACGTACTATATCTTGATATTCCAAATAACATAAAAAATAAAATATTAACAACTCATAAGTTAGGAAGTCTGTTTTCTGCTCTAGAGACCTCTTTAAGTAATCAGAGTGGTGACAACAGTACTAACAGCTAAATAGGGTTTACGTAACACTAGCAGGCCTATACTTACACTAATGGAAAAATTATACTGAACCTAGTTGGAACTCACAGAAATAAATTAAGCAACTTTGTAGGAATATTCACAGTATTTCTACATAAACACTACTGAGTAAAATGTTTTAGTGGGAAACAAATTTTTTTCTAATTAGCAAATGAATGCGTTTAGTCTGGAGATCTTTTCATGCACTAAAATATCTAATTCAGGGCTTAGCCTGCAAATATGACAGATTAAGTACTGCCTTATATACTGTATTGACTGTAACTTCCTATAAAAAGGAATGCTGTAGTGAAAGCATTCATGAAATATTTGAATCTTAATCCCGATCATTCAGTTTGCCTGTCACTAGCCAATCAAGGAGCAAAGATTAAAGGCTAAACAAGATCAAAACCAAAACAGTCTTAAAAGGTGATGGCCTGAACAAGGATAAAGGCTTCTTTTAGCAAAAAAAAACCCAAAAAACTGATTAGTAGACCCAGTAAAAATTACAGGCAAAAAATGGTAGGAATCATTAAATCATCTATATTATGTTTCAGTCATTGCTAATCACTCTGCTTTCCAAAATGCCTAGTAAGCTCATTCAGTATAAACCTATACACTAAGACAATAGAATTAAAAATTAAAATATGAACTTTCTAAGTCAGTGTTGTCAAACAGAAATATGTGATCCACAGTAGTAATTTTAAGCTTCTAAGTAACAATTATAAAAAAGTAAAAGAGGCAAAACTTTTAATAATGTGTCTTACTTAATAAAACAATCCAAAATATTGTCAGTTCAACATATTACCAATACAAAAATTTGTCAGTATTTTAAATTTGGTTTTTGTAATACATCTTTAAAATCTGGTATTTTACCTTTACTGCACATCTCAATTTGGTATGGAATACTTGAAATGTGGCTATGCAACTAAGGAAATCAATTTTTAATTTAATTTACATTTAAATAGACACATGTGGCTAGTGGCTACTGTGCTAGACAGCATAGGTTTATAGTTTATTATCTAATTTACCTTTCATTGAGATAAGAGTTTTAACATGCAGCAAAATCCTAGGACTAGAGAAATCTTTAAAAAGACAAAATACAAAGCATCAATCATTGCTGGTCTCAGGGTAGGAAGGCTGAGTTGAAATGTATATGCAAATATGATCCATGGTTTACATAAATGTGTTGCTGACATTTTTCATTTCCATGCACACATGTGGTGATATGTGATTTAACATCCTAAGGAGAAAAAACACATCACCCATCTTCAAAGCCTCTCAGTTGATATTTTATGTTACCTGCCTTTCTCCTTCCCAAAGGCTAACTCCATGGCAGGTTTGAAGTACTCTGAAAAGGAAACACTCCTGAGTGATTTGAGTGTTACATAACGGGGGCTAAAAAGTTTCTTACCCTCTAAAAATTTCATACATATGTTCAGGTGACTCAAAAGAATGTTAACAAAACTTGAGGAGGCAGCAGAACTTACTACTCAAAACTACCGGCAGTAGAACAAGAGCCCTCGTGTATCTGCCACTGATTAGTTACAAGAACTTGATCAAGTTATTAAGTTCCTTACTTCTTACTTAACAATACTGTTTCTCCTTCCCTCAAAAAATTTTTCTGCAAGAAAACAATACACGGATCTTTCTATTCTTCCAATAATGCTCAAATGCAAATGTCTAATTTAATACAATTCAAGTAGGAACCCCTCCAAATCAAAGACCTTTCTCCCCATTGTTAGAGTGAAAGCTCACTGTATTAGTCCATTTTCATGCTGCTGATAAAGACATACCAGAGACTGTGAAGAAAAAAAGGTTTAATTGGACTTACAGTTCCACATGGCTGGGGAGGCCTCAGAATCATGGTGGGAGGTGAGAGGCACTTCTAACATGGCAGCCGCAAGAGAAAATGAGGAAGAAGCAAAAGCGGAAACCCCTGATAAACCCATCAGATCTGGAGAGACTTATTCACCATCAAGAGAAGAGCAAGGGAACGACCAGCCCCCATGATTCAATTACCTCCCCCTGGGTCCCTCCCACAACACGTGGGAATTCTGGGAGATACAATTCAAGTTGAGATTTAGGTGGGGACACAGCCAAACCGTATCACTCACCTTCCTCCAAACTTTCATCTAATACACACCTTTATTAGTAGAAATTTTAGAGTTTTCTCACTTCATATCAGACGTCTATGTATCTGTGTGGGTGTGTGTATGTGTGTGTTTAAGGACACATCTGTTTTCCATTAGACTGTGAGCACCTAGAGGGAAGGGACCCTGGCCTAGTGATTCTTATGTTTCCTCAATCAGGTCTTTCATACAGTTGTGCTGGGTTGAAAGTATTCTACACTCCCTGAAGAAGAGAAGCTACAAAAAGAGAAACATTTAAGAGAAGAGTCCCAACTTTCAAAGGGGTTCATTTGGAGTTGAGGAGATAAACACAACTACATAACAATAAAATGCAGTGCAGCTGGTTTCATGTCAGAATGAGCAGTCCCTAATCTCTAGGTGCTCAAAGGTTTGCGGAGGAGTGTTCCTTGGAAGAGAGTCAAGCAGAATTGAATAAGGACTTTTAGGACATGAATCAGTGGCATATAAGACCTAAGATCCTACAGACCACATGGCTCCATATGAGCAGAGGTGTGGAGGCGGAGCACAAGTCTGGAGGACAGAGACGCAGACAGACAACGTGATTGTGGTGGGTTCCCACAGGGCATAAAAGAATAGAGACTGATACCTGAAATGAGGATGGATCTATGTTAAGCAAGGCACCGAGAGCAAAGACAAATATTTTTACATTACATGTTGCAGTCAGTGAAAAGCCACTGAGAATCTTGAATGGAGAGTGAACTGCTGAGAATGGGATTTGTGAAAAAAGGATCTTGCCACAGCTTTAAGGATACAAATGGCTGGAGGCAATGCTGCTAATCAAGTAAGATCCTTCCACTGCAGTGATATACTCAACAGGTGGAAAGGGTCTCATGCTGGGGAGGCCACTCAAATGAAGAGGAACATGCATTTCTCAGAAATGACAAGATCTGGTAATGACAAAACTTAAGAGGATCAGAGGTAAGGGTCAAAATAATTTTAAAAAACACACATAAAACTCCTACAGCACACGCAGTATTCCTTCAAAATAATTTTTTTCTAGCTATATTGGATACCTTGATAGCTGGGGAAATGGCAGTAATTCTAAGAGAGCCTGGGAAATGGGAGGAAGGCTTAAGAAAACAGTGAATTTAGTTTGGGCCATATTACAATGAAAGAGGATGGAAATTTATCCAACTGAAAAAGTCAAGTGAGCAGCTGAAGATATGCATCATACCTTGTTCACATGTGCACTCGCTCATTAGGGGTGGATTACCAGTCTCTAAGGGTTATTTCACTGCAGTTTAGTTTCATCTCTTTTTAAGTTATACAGAAACACCAACAAAGAAAAAGTTACTACTACATGTATGCTTACGCTACCAGATTAATCAAAATCGTTTTTCTTCTTTAAAATATATTGATGTCCATAGCATGCTAAATAAACAAAACTAATAAACTACACTCTGGTATGCTCACATACTTCCGCTTTTACAAATCAATTTAGTCAAGGATCAGTTATTTTTTCTCAGACCTGATTATAACCGTTTCATCTACAAATACGATTTTATCATTTAATGAAATATTATAAAAACCAGTGAAATACGATTGTAAAATAAAAAGTTCATTCTATCAAAATTAAGTTGAATGCTTTAGGGAGTCCTGACAATGTTTTTTTCTTTTTTTTCCCCACCCTTAAAAAAAAAACAAAAACAATCCTGCTTTCACATGGTGTGGGCAAGACAAATGCAAAATATTGGAGGATTGGATGATTCTACACTCAACCTATTCATGTCTAAGTTCCAGGTTCACTTTAAAGCAGCAAGAGGTGAAAATCTTGGTGATACATCACAGTTGTGGTATATGTAAGAAGTCAGAACTTTAATGAGCACAACCATCCATACTTAAGTAAAGGCCTTGGCTAATCTCAAAATGCACATTTCTATATTTTCAGCTAAAAATGCTTAAAACATGTAGTTTGTTTGTTTTGGTAAAGATTCACCACTTCAACTGATTAACTGGCTGTTGGTCCTGGTTGTGAAAACAGGAGGAATTTTCTACTGCATATGATTTCTTTAAAGCAACAAAAGCCTCTGAGAATTAACTTTAATATGTGTTTACCTGGCAGGTTGTAAAGGTGTTCCTGCTGTGATGTATGGTCCACTGAGAAATCATATGATGTATTTCTTGTCTTTTAGGAATACAGGTTATGCATCGAATAAATACCAAAAGCTCCATCCTTCGAGGGTGGTAAAGGCCTGCCCATTTTTTTTTTTTTTTCTGTATAGCTATCCATCAAGTCTACTCAATTAATGATGAGTAGTAAGCATCATTACAAATCAGTCACAGAACACTGCTGCTAAAATCTTTATGGGTAATCTGAAATGGTGTGTCTTCAGTCTGGGTAGTCTGAAACGTTGTGTCTTAAGTCAACTTAACATGTAGGTTAAGTTTTTTACAGGCATCACTAAGATGAAATTCGTGATCATTAGTATAAATAACATTCAGAATATTATGATGCCATTAAGAAAATGTTTCCTGGTGATCATCCATACTGCAGAGTATGAAACAGACTTAGAGCTCCCCTGCTTTATTTCATTTTTATTGAAAAATTTCATAGAGGAAACTGTAATTGAATGATTAAGCCACTTTGTTTTCACGTAAGTCCTATTTCGAAGAAATAAAGTACGCACGCAGAAAAAGCACTCATTATCAACACACAGGTAAGCAAAACCACTGATCTGTGTTTCTCAGAAAATACACTAAGGTGCTCTATCCATTTCCCAACCAGTGCATCCTGATAGGTTTTAGACTCAGGAAACAGTTACATCTACCTTATCTGACCACATCCAGATCTGGCCAACAACCTGAAGTTAGAAGCCATCAATTCAGAAGATCTTTTCAAAGTACAATATTGATACAAAAATGATTTGAATTTTTAATTAGGGGTGGGTATGTGTAAGAGGGAACAAACAACTCATTCATTCAGAGCTGTCTTGAGCACCTACTGTAATAAACGTGGCAACATGGTAGGTAGACTAGGTAGACTAAGGATGGATGAAATCCTGAAATAATCTTCCAGTTCTATGCTGGCCTCTGTCCCTCCTTTCTCCAGTTAATAAACATTTAAGACATGCCTATACTGTGCTATGTGCAGACTGAGACTACAAATCCAAATAAGACCCTCAAGGAGCTTATGTGGTTTAATGGAAGAGCTAGGCAAAAGGATAAAAGTAAGGCATTCAGGTTGCTCCCATGCTGGGAAAGGGTACTCTACTTGCACAGCAGGGGGCTAAGGCAGTCCTTCTAGCAGAGGTGACTTCTGAGCCATGCCTGAAGAGCCAAACAGGTGAAGATGAACCATCTAAATAGATGCAGCAGTAAGTAGAAAGGCACAGAGAGTGGAGGAAAGCATGGCGTGTTTAGAGAGAGCAGAAAGATGGAAAAGATGTGGGCATGTAGGACATGAAGAAGTCTGATGACACACGAGGGTAGAGAGGCAGGCAGGGGCCAAGTTCATTCAGTCCTCCACTCAACTAATAGGTCTTGACCATATGCTGCATGTTTGGTTTTGTCCTAGGCACTGGAGATACAACACTGAATAAAACAGACAAACCCCTACCCTGGTGGAGCTTAAATCCTGGTGGAAGAGAAACAGACACACTAAATAAAATACGAAATATATTAGAAAATAATTTTCTTTTTCTTTTTTTTGGAGACGGAGTCTTGCTCTGTCACCAGGCTGGAGTGCAGTGACACAATCTCGGCTCACTGCAAACTACACCTCCCAGATTCAAGCGATTCTCCTGTCTCAGCCTCCTGAGTAGCTAGGATTACAGGCCTGTGCCACCATGCCCAGCTAATTTTTATATTTTTAGTAGAGATGGGGTTTCACCATGTTGGCCGGGGTGGTCTCGATCTCTTGAACTCATGATCCACCTGCCTTGGCCTCCCAAAGTGCTGAGATTACAGGCATGAGCCACCGAGCCCAGCCAGAAAATAATTTTTAAGGAAGAAAAGACAAAGTGGAGAAAGAGGACCTGAAATGGTGTGGGTGAGGAAAGGCTGAAAATTCAGATACAGCAGTCAGGGCAAGAGTCATTGAGATGAGTTCTGAGTCAAGGTCTGAGATGTGAAGGCAAAATTTTTCAGGGAAAAGGAACAGCGAAGAAGCCAGTGTGACCAAAGTTGAACAAGTGAAGGAGGGAGAGAGGAGATGCAGTCAGAGATGAAGGGAAAAGGAGACACGTCATGTAGGCCTGGCACGTCCTGTAGGGTTTTGATCAAGATTTGGCAGGCCGTGTAGAAGAGTTTGGATTTTCATGAGAACACATGGACACAGGGAGGGGAACATCACACAGCAGGGCCTGTTGTGGGGTGGAGGGCTGGGGGAGGGATAGCATTAGGAGAAATACCTAATGTAAATGATGAGTTGATGGGTGCAGCAAACTAACGTGGCACATGTATACCTATGTAACAAACTTGCACATTGTGCACGTGTACCCTAGAACTTAAAGTATAATAAAATAAAATAAAAGAGTTTGGATGTTCTTTCAACCCAGGAGAAAGTCAATGACGTATCATTAGCAAGTGTGACTTTCCATGAGTTGGAGTAAAGAACAGGTTGGCGGAGAGAAGATCAGTTAAGAGGTTCTGCAGAGATCCAAGTGGATAGGGGATTATTACAGCCTGAATAAGGTGGTGATAAATCATCAGCCTCTATCTAAATTATTAGCAGATCCTAAAAAAGGACAGTCGTAGTTTAACCTCATTGGCTTTCTTGGCCTAACATGAGAGAGGGTAGCAGGAGGAAAAAAATCAACAGCAAATATTCCCAGATATTATTTAAATTCGACATAAAATGAAACACTTTTCTGTTCCATATAGTGAGATCATGCCATGAACTCTGAGGATTTGGGGCTCAAAGGCCAAAAGACCACTGTGGACTTAAGCAGATCACATACTCAAAAGCACCAGCATTGTGACGTGAATGTCAATCTGAAAAATAACATGGTTCCTGGGTTGCCTGTAAACAGTGCTTGCGTTCTGGCTAGAGATTTGGGTCCGGTCCTTCTGGGGACAGGGTGCTCAACATATGCACTGCCCAAAGTGCCACCAAAGTGGCAAGTGGTGCTGAATGTAGTTCAGGCCTGGCTCACCACGGCCAAGCCATGTGCTCTGGTTTGGGCTTTATCCGCTCAGAAAGAACACCTTTTCTAATTTCATAAAGGCTCAACATGAGCTTGCTAGGGCCCAGTGGCTGGGGCTTAGAAATCTGCACTTGATTTCATGGCTCTCTGAAGGTTAACGAAGACTCAGACATCAGTTTGACTCAAATCTGTAAAACTGATCCTAACGTAGGAAATGGCTGAGACTCTTAGGAGTGTTACACTACCCTGGACTAGGCAGGCTCCTACTACAAAATGTTTTGTTTTCTTTTTTCTTTTTCTTTTTCTTTTTTTTTTTTTTAAGATGGAGTTTCACTCTTGTTGCCCAGGCTGAAATGCAATGGTGTGATCTTGGCTTACTACAATCTCCACCTCCTGGGTTCAAGTGATTCTCCTGCCTCAGCCTCTCAAGTAGCTGGGATTACAGGTGCCCACCACCATGCCCGGCTAATCTTTGTATTTTTAGTAGAGACAGGGTTTCGCCATGTTGGACAGGCTGGTCTCTAACTCCTGACCTCAGGTGATCCGCCCGCCTCAGCCTCCCAAAGTGCTGGGATTACAAGCGTGAGCCACTGCACCCAGCCCTTTAGAATGTTTCATTAAAAACAAAAAAACAAAACAAAACAAAACAAAAACACCATAATGATACCAGAACCCATATCTAATGTGGTTCTGTGCTTCTTTTACTAAGATAAAGAATTCGGAGTCTACATTTTCTCCCTAGTCATGATTCTGTTTAGGACACACACAAAGAATATAGTTTATTTCTTTAGAACTAGGATTGGACTATTAAAAATAGCACCATTATTGTGACAATGACAAATATTCAGAAGAGCCCTAAGTTGTGCTTAAGCACAATTACCTTAATGTCAGTTGATATTTTATGATACAACTGTGAGGCACTTTATTTTTAAGGCAGTTTAACCTGATTCCTTCATGCCTAAGAACAGACATCTAAGGTTTAAATCTAGGATTCTTAATAAGATGATTAAGCAATGCTCTGCAGTTTCTTTAAATATTTAATATAATTTTCATCACATAAATATTTACAGTTTATATTTTTTCTTGTGTTTATCAGGAGCAGGGGATCCATATCTTTTTTAAAGATGGGGAGGGGATGATCTCAACAATCAAAATATTCTACCAAGCTCTTTAGAAGCCCAGGCTATGGTGAGAAAACCTTATTCAAATATGTCTATTCAAGCCGATGCTGTATTTACCAGACACCCAGTTGCTGTTTATAGGGCTAGGATCTGGAAGGTGTTTGCTTCTAAAGGATCTTCTTACCTCACAACTTTGGTTCCATCATCACATCAGCAGCCTCTCCGCAGTACTACTACCATCATCAACATGGCATTAGATATGCACGATGCTCTTTTTCTGAAGATAGCAGAGTAATTCCACACACATTAGGTTGTGATCCATATGTTCTGCAGAGTCAGGCATTGCCTGGCAGGAAGGGGAAGGGCTCAGAGAGTCTGTTCACCCTTGTGGTCACTATTGTGCATGGCCACTCTGGTAGCCTTTTTGGAGCTCTAATATCAGAAAGGGGTTTCCTAGTCATCTCAAAGTGTGGAACAGGGAAGTTCCCTAAATACCCAGTTTATGATGTAGGCCTAATTTCTAGATATTGCAGAAAACAGTATTCAGTATCTCATTTATCCTAAAAACATTTCTGTGAAGTAGATGTAGGTAGTTATTATTCTGTCCATATTAGATGATGAAAGTATAGCACTGAAAGTTTTAATAATGTTAATCCAAGTTGGTTTTATCAGCAAAAGCAGAGACCATGCCCTTTGACATATGTCTGAATATTACATATTCTCTAATTCATGAATTCATTCTCAAATTCCTATTTATTGCTTATTATATGCCACACATTATACCGGAAACCAAGTACCCTAAATAACAAAACAGAAATGATCTCTGCTCTCATGGACCTAAAAGTTTGGTGGGGGAGATGGGTATAAATAAACAAATAGGTAAACAAATATAGGACTACAAGGTATAAAAATCGCTCTAAAGAAAATACGTAGTGGCTAAGAAAAAAGGGTAAAAGTCATTTAGATTGGGTGGCATTTAAGTTGAAAGTAAAGTCGGAATTAACCAAGTAAAAAGGTTGGGCTAAAAACATCCACCAACATAAAGGACATACTATATACCCTGGAAAGAACAATTATACAGAAAAACGCAGGTTAGCCAGTCATATCTGTGAACAGATAAAGAGACTTTAAGAAATTCTCTGTTTTCCAAGATACTTGTACATGCATGTTTACAGCAGCACAATTCACAACTGCAAAATCGTGGAACCAACCCAAATGCCCACCGATCAATGAGTGGATAAAGAAACTGTGGTGTGTGTGTGTGTGTGTGTGTGTGTGTGTGTGTGTGTGTATGTATTCCACCATATATATATTCCATCATATATATTCCATCATATATATATATTCTATCATATATATATTCCATCATATATATATTCTATCATATGTATATATTCTATCATATATATATTCTATCATATATATTCCATCATATATATATTCTATCATATATAT
This sequence comes from Homo sapiens, assembly GCF_000001405.40. Taxonomy (NCBI): domain Eukaryota; kingdom Metazoa; phylum Chordata; class Mammalia; order Primates; family Hominidae; genus Homo; species Homo sapiens. The sequence continues at coordinate 16,498,183 of NC_000009.12, forward strand.
ATTCCATCATATATATATTCCATCATATATATATTCCATCATATATATATATTCCATCATATATATATATATTCCATCATATATATATTCCATCATATATATATATATTCCATCATATATATATATGAATATATGATGGAACACTACGCAGCCATAAAAAGGAATGAATTAACAGCATTTGCAGTGACCTAGATGAGATTGGAGACTACTATCCAAAGTGAAGTAACTTAGGAATGGAAAACCAAACACCGTATGTACTCACTGATATGTGGGAGCTAAGCTATGAGGACGCAAACACCTAACAATGATACAACGGACTTTGGGGACTTAGGGGGAAGAGTGGGAGGGGGGTGAGGGATAAAAGACTACAAATATGGTACAGTGTATACGGCTGATGGGTGCACCAAAATCTCATAAATCACCACTAAAGAACTTACTCATGTAACCAAATACCACCTGTACCCCAATAACTTATAGAAAAATAAAAAATAAATAAAATCTATAATCAAGAAAAAAAAAAGACCCCCAAAAAATTATATGTTTTCTTCTGTCTCCTACCTTAATTTATGATGCCTCATATTGGGAAACAGACCTTTACCGACAATGAAGAAGCCTGGATTCCAGGTCCAGCTCTACCACTGATTCTAAATCCTATTGTCCAATTCTCAGTGGCCCGCAGAGGAGGTGCGTGTCCCTGCCAGGGGTTGTCACCATCTTCTCTGGGCTACTGGATATCAAATAGTAGAATAATGTGAATACAAACAACAGAAACTCTACAAATACTAGACAGATTGAACATATTTAATAACCGTTTTATTAGTTAACACAATTACTATACCTGCCATAAGAAAAGCACAGGTATGTTCAGCACTTACAACAAACCACAATGTAATCAAATTCCCATTTTAAAATATGGACGCTAATGATTATAGTTAAAATACACTGCACTCTTACTATTTGTTGGGCATCATGCCAAGGACTTTCTTATATAAATAAGAATTAAATCTCACTTAATTCTTAGTAAATCTTCCAAGGTGGGTATTACTATTCTCATTTAACAAATGAGAAAACTGAGGCTCAGTCAGTTAAGTTACTTTTTTGAGGTCAATGTGGAGGTTACTGCTTACTTAGGCAGTCTGATTCCAGAGCCTATGTTTAGAAATTAGTTTGTATTAATCTACTGTTAATTAATTAAATATTAATTATATTACTAGAAAATGACCTGGCATTTTAATTATACCACACTAAATCACACCAATTCTTCCTCTGGTGTATCTCAAGCCCATCCCTTATCTTTCCATTTGCACTGCCATCAAATATAGCTCCTCCCTAAATATCTTTTTTTTTCTTTTTTTTTTTTTTTTTGAGACAGAGTCTCACTCTGTTGTCCAAGCTGGAGTGCAATGGCACAATCTCAGCTCACTGTAACTTCTGCCTCCTGGGTTCAAGCAATTCTCGTGCCTCAGCTTCCCAAGTAGCTGGGACTACAGGCGCCTGCCACCCTGTCTGGCTAACTTTTTGAATTTTTAGTAGAGATGGGGTTTCACCATATTGGCCAGGAGGGTCTTGAACTCCTGACCTCAAGTGATAAGCCTGCCTCAGCCTCCCAAAGTGCTGGGATTACAGGCATGAGCTACTGCACCTGGCCCTCCCTAAATATCTTAAATAGCCTTCTAATTGGTTCTCCTGGCTAAGAAAATATGATCAATCTTCATTCTAACTACTCAATTTACTACTATCATACTAAGGCTCTTGGAACTCAGCTTTCTGGATTTCATTCTTCCACTTTAAACCTTCAGTAATCCCAGACTATGAAATGGGGCCCCATTTCATAGCTGGGAATTCACAAACTCCCAGATTCTTAGCCTAGTGGCCTGCTACTCCCAACTCCTCCTCAATTCCTGCAGCCCAGCCCACTGGCTGAAACATGTCTCTAGCCACATGCATGCTGACTCTACCCTGGTTTCCACTACATTCCCTCTCTCCTCTACCCCTTTTCAAGACTATTCTCCTCACCATTCAGAATCCTACCCATCCACCAAACTCAACTCAAGTCTGATGTGTCTCATTAAGCCTGCTCCAGTTTTTAGTAACCTTGCCTGTCCCCAAACCCTGGGCATTTAATGAACATCCAATTCATTTGACTTCTTGCCAACTCCTGCATTCTTATTTAATGTTTACCCTTTTAATTTTCTAAATGTATAGCACTTGTCTCGGGAACCATATGAAAGCTGATAGCAAGAACAAACAATTTTTTTCTTTGATTTTCTAAGGGTTCCAAACCCAAAACACATAAATAAAAAAAATCTAGAATGAACAAAACATTTCACTCACTTGAAGTATATATATAGCTCATATATGACTAAACAATTACAGAGTCTACTTTGTCCTTGCCCATACAGTCATAAATGCAAGTCTGAGTTATGCTAACCAATCTTCTATATGCGCTTGCAAATTTTGGCCAAAGAATTTAGTTTTTCAGGGTGGATGGAGCAGGAGGCATGAGGGAGGGAAAATAATGATCATCCCTTAATCATTTTAAAATACAGATGTGAAAAAAGCATTTCTAGTGGCAAAATAGGACACACCCATCACTCTGTTTTAAGAGTACACTACTACTATCTGTTGGTGCTTTATACCTAAATAAAGTCCTTTTGCAGGAATGAGACAGGTGGTTATTGGGTTGTCTAATGTCTCACAACTAGTAACTAACCATCAGTATTTGAACCAATCTGTATAAGACAGTGGTGTGTCTTCTAGTATCCTGGTATAAATCATACTAAGACAGTGGTTAACAGCATGGACTCCAGAGCTAGACTGTGTGAGTTCAAATCCCAGCTCTGCCACTTATAACTATATGATATTGAACAAGTTACCTAAGTGATCTGCGTCTTAGTTTTCCTCTTTGTAAAATAAAGTTAGTAATCATACTTACTACAGAGTTGGTGTGGTAACAAAATGAGCAAATATAAGTAACGCACTTAAAATTATATATGTGCTCTCTAATGCTATTATGATTGTACAATAACAGAAATGTAATTAGCCTTTCAAACATTCTTCTGAAGGGAGTCTTTATTATTCATACGAATGAGTAATGCTTAACATTTTCACCAAAAATCTTGAGGAACAAGGGAAGTAACTTATCTCATGAGTCAGCAATGAAAACCATTCCTCAACACACCTCTTGACTGATGATAATAATGATACCAATGCTTTTTATATAACCTTCTCAAAGTTTACAACTTTTCAACACTTTTCATACATTTTACCATCACAACCACTCAGTGAGATGGATGGATAGATGGCTGGGTGTCCAAATGGAAGATGAAAGATATATAAAACCTTAGAGTCAGATGACTTCATTAGGGTTGAGTAGCTCTTGCAGAGCCTAATACATGCTTTTAGAACTAAACTCCAGTCTCCCACAGTCTGCATAACATAGAGTATTTCTCTACAGTTCACTTATCCTGAGATACATAGAAAATCTAAGAAGCATAAATAAGGGCCCTAAAAACTCTCTGTCCACAATTGGTTTGATGGAAACGCTGATCCCATTAGGGGCTGGATGAATGGCTAAGTGGGTTTTAAAAAAGCGAATGTAACCAACACTCAAAGGAAGGTCAGGAAGCTAAGGTCTATGTTACCCTGACCTCTGGTAAGGTAGGTAAGACACCCACAGAAAACTACAGCCTCTACTCCATTGGTTGAATTGCTAAAGAACAGAGAATAAGTGACTAAGCCTGGGGAATACCAAGACACTTTGCCATTTTCTTGCATATTTAAAATGCATTTCTAATTTGTAAGGGCTTTTTTGACTGCTAGTCCCAAGAAAAAGGTCTCCTCAGATAAATGAGTTTAGGAAATGTAACATATCCTTTTTTTGGTTGGCATGGAAGGAGTGGGGGTCTAGTGGTTTATGCCTGTAATCCTAGATCTTTGGGAAGTCGAGATGGGAGGATAACTTGAGGGTAGGAGTTTGAGACTAGCCTGGGCAACATGGTGAGATCCCACCTGTACAAAAAATAAGAAAAATTAGCCAGACGTGATGGCACACATCTGTAGTGCTAGCTACTTGGAAGGATCACTTGAATTCAGTTCAAGGTCACAGCGAGCTATGGTCACGCCACTGCATTCTAGCCTGGGCGACAGAGCAAGACTCTGTCTCTAACAACAAAAAGAAGTTTCTAAAAAGTTTTGAATATAGGATTGGGTTAATTTTTTTTTTTAACACAGGCTTTCCCAAACTTATCAGATCTTTGTAACTTTTAAAGCACAACAGTTACTAACATTCCATAGAATAAATGGTTTTGGGATACCCTTGGGGACACTAGTTTAGACACATTTCCACACTGTTTTGTTTTGTCTTTTTTCCCCCCCTCTTACTTCTTCTTGGGGTGAATGGCTTACTTGAAGAATATCATTCTGCACTTAGCTTTCTGTCTGCTCAGATTTAGAGTCAAGGTCTTCCACAGGTCTGAGGAAGCCACAGAATCATGTAGGAAAGCTATACAAAGTCATAGCCAGAATTGCAGGAAAATCATACTTTACATAAAAATATAAAGATGTTCCATTTCAAAAGATTGTATCAACAGTAAGATTTATTCTGCTGAAAAGAAAGTCTGTGAATTGGTATACAGGCTTTTACTTGATGAAGAGATGGGGTTAATCCCACAGAGGGCAAAACAAAGGCATAAATATCAGAAGGTGGTTTCATGTGGCCTCATGAAGTACCTAAAGGAAGAGCTACAACAAGCGTATTCTAATCTACCCTAGATTTATGGGATTGTAACTCAATCAATGAAAGCGTACCAAGACTTTCCAAAAGCACATGGAAGTTAAATGAATTCATGACAGTTAAATGAATTGTCTCTTGCCCTGAGATAAATTTTCACATGAAGAAGAGAAATTGCGCACAGTTTGCTACAGAGAGTATTTGAAAGAAAAACAGAAAAGAATATAAGAGGAAAAACATTTTTAAAGTGTAATATATATGGTTTACCACCCTCCTCCAGCCCCCTCCCACAATTTTGTCCCAAAACGTTACAACAAACATCATTTCTAAGGAACTCTGGGTATAGCCAAGAACGAGGATATTTTGAGGGTCAAAAAACAAAGCAGAATATCATTCTTCCTGGGCCAAGCTCCAAACACTATACCACGGATGTGCAGAAGGAGACAAATTAACAATCCTGTGCCTACTCTAATTCATGCCCTCACAATCCATCTAACTTTTTTTTTACTCATTTTTGTTTCCCTAAGAATTTTTTTTTCTAAATCAAAAATACAAAATACATGGGCCCAAAGGCAGTGAGGAAAGGGGAGAGGACATTCATGTTTCAGTCAACATCAGGAAATACAGTCACTCGTTGAGAACTAGGTCTCTAATCATATGGTGATAGGACAAATTCAAGAAATAGGAAAATGGGGTCAAGCAGTCTCTCAAAAAAATCTGATTAATGATAATCTGGAAGAGTGGACCTAAATAAGGCATATCTCAACTTTTTACTATCACTGATATCCACAGACATGACAATGTTTACTCAAGTTTTTCTTTGTCACCAGAATGTTATAAATATATATGGATATACAAACTACAAATCAATAACACCTTTATAAATACCTTAAGGACCATTATTTAGCAATTATGTGGGCCTCTTCATGTGCCAACACAATACACTTTTCAACATGCCAATAAACCCATTAAACATATTTATGGTGATAGTTATTAAGTTCAAGAGGTTTTATCCAGGAATTATAGTTCAGTAAGAAAAATAACCTTGTAGTGAATCAGAAAACATACTTATTCTAGTCAAGAAATGAATATACTCTGATCTTATAAACATACCCAGCACCTACAGGCAAGTCGGAATCCATATGGCAAATTTAAGCAAAAACACATCACCTGCACCTACTAGATGTCATCTTAGCAACAGCACCCATTTATCTAAGTCATAGTTTCCTCATCTGCGAAATAAGGATTATTTTCCTACACTGTATGTGAAAATGCTTATAAAGATAAGTAATCATGTTCCAAAAAAAGTAGTTAGTCATACCATTTACTGAGAATCAAACTTCTTAAAGTTTGGAATAATACATGTATTCCAGAATGAATACATGTATTAATACATGTATTCCAGAATGAATACATGTATTAATACATGTATTCCAGAATCCAAGTCCACATATTCTGAAATAATTGTCTTCCTCTCTCACAATTATATCTATTCCAAATGATACAAGATGCTTCATGAACCTCTGTGACATACTGACTCCCAAAATAGACTGGTTAATAACTTTGCTTTTTCCCTGAATTCAGATTAAAATGTAAACTCTTAAATAAAGTAGACCCTGAAAGCTGCAAGAAAGATACAGACCCTCCAAATACTGGAGATCAGTCAAGATTTGATAAATTCCATTATCTCTAGATCTTCTGTAAAAAACTAGAAATAAATAAATAAAAATTTCAATACTAAAAATGTGTTCTCATCCTGCGCTAACAAATTAGAACTGTGGAACCAGCCAGGCACAGTAGGACATGCCTATAGTCCCAGCTACTGAGGAAGCTGAGGCGGCAGGATCACTTGAGGCCAGCTGTTCGAGGTTGCAGTGTGCCATGACCGCACCTGTGAACAGCCACTCCACTCCAGCATGGGCAACACAGCAAGACCTCATCTCTTAAAAAACAAAAAACCCCACAAAACTGTGGGACCATGTAATGGTTACAAGAAGCTCAAATTCTAGGTAACATTATTTTAAACAGTGTCATCTTTGGAATTTCTTTATCATGTAGTAGGTAAAAGAGAAGACTATGAAGTCAACTGTCCAGGTTTGAAACACAACTATCTGCCACTCACAACGTAAGTTGAGGCAATACTGCTAACTTTTCTGAGCCTTGTTTCCCTCATCTGTAAAATGGAAAGAACAGAACCTATCTTCTGGGAAGATAAATGAGATAAAATGTATAAATGAGATAAAATGTATAAAAGAGATGCAGCACAGAACTCAGAAATAATTATAACTGTCAAGTCAGTGCTATCCTGCCTGAGTAGCAAATCACATCCCACACCATGCCACTGCAATTTTCCAGTAACAGTCACCACTGCTTGGGGCCCAGTACTGACATTTTTTGCTCTAATCTTTGTTTATAGAAGGAGTAAATAATCGAAACAAAGAACATTCCAGTATGCAGTGCTGATGGTTACACGATAAGGCAGGGCCAGGCACCAACACTAAGACTGGCTATCTATGAAGGTGAAAACACATAACTTTGATAATGAAGCTGTCTCCTGATTTATAGAAGCTAGGCTGTCTTAACTCTTGGGATTCAGAGCCAACCAAGGTCTGGAGAAAACTCTGCCTGGAGGGAGAGAGCCAAATATGCAGCCAGGATTTAAAGAGAGAAGATTTTAAGCTTGAAACACTAAAGCTGTTCTAAAAGAAAATAGTGCTTTAAGTTTACAGAGAAAACTTTTTAAAAGAGAATCAGAAAGATTCTGAGTCCTTATCAGTAACAGTTAAAGACAAAAAAAAATCATATATAGTTCCCTCTCCTAAATTCATCCATTAATCACAGTGCTAAGAACTTCAATCAGGTGATTTGAATTTCATGTTAGCATTCGTAATAATATTAACACCCCAAGCAGAACAAGTCAGTTTCTGAAGCTGTAAGGCCAGAGTCTCATTTTAGCACATTTGTAGGACAGTCACAGGTACACAAAGTCGCATTAACCACATTTACAATCTCTTTCAAAAATTCTGGAGTACAGCAACCAGAAACACTTCCTCAAATAAAAAGCATAATTGTAGCTTTCTGGAAGCTCTTTTCACTTTTAGTCCAAAGACTTAGTAAGAAGTGGACTCTGAAAAGCCAGTTGACGAAACTGGCACAGACACTGGGCCATGAAAGCTTTTAAAAATCTATCGCAAACTTTTCCCATTAAAACTTGGATGGAAATTGTAGAAAAGTTTTTACCTTTTTAATGGTCAAGTGTAGGTTAAAAAAAATACTGAGTTCCACAAACTTTTTACAGGCATAACAAGTTTTTAGAAAAGTCACAAAAATACTTATGTGAGAGTAGACGAAGGCCACCCACTCGGCTCTGGATGAGACCTCAAAAGACCTTCAGGAAGACAACCATTATTTGTCAAGGAAAGTCCTGGATATAACTAGCTTCTTTCCTGTGACTCTTCTTAATCCCACGCTTAAGTGAAATTATCTGCTGTTTCCTAAATAGGTCTCATGATTTTCTGACCCTGTGTCATCTGGCAAGTTGAAATTTTATCTACCCTTACTGGATCAGATAAAGTACACTTCTCTCTCTCTCTCTCCTCTTTTTTTTTTTTTTTTTTTTTTTTTTTTTTTGACGGAATCTCACCTTGTCGCCCAGGCTTGGAATGCAATGGTGCAATCTCAGCTCACTGCAACCTCCACCTCCTTGCTTCAAACGATTCTCCTGCCTCAGCCTCCCGAGTAGCTGGGATTACAGTCACCCGCCACCACACCCAGCTAATTTTTGTATTTTTAGTTGAGACGGGGTTTCACCATGTTGGCCAGGCTGTTTGTTTGGTTTTTTTTGTTTGTTTGTTTGTTTGGAGTTTTGCTCTTGTCACCCAGGCTGGAGTGCAGTGGTGCAATCTGGGCTCACTGCCTCCTCTGCCTCCTGGGTTCAAGTGATGCTCCTGCCTCAGCCTCCCGAGTAGCTAGGATTACAGGCACATGCCACCACACTCGGCTAATTTTTGTATTTTTAGTAAGAGACAAGGTTTCACACCACATTGACCAGGCTGGTCTTGAACTCCTGACCTCAGTGATCTGCCCACCTCAGCCTCCCAAAGGGCTGGGATTACAGGCATGAGCCACCAAGCCCAGCCTACACTTCTCTATAAGGCCCGCCTGACCTTCTGGAATAAAAGGAACCTTTCCTACTTTCAAAAACTTCTACAGCACTTTATATCTAGACATCTCATATTGTACATAGTATTTTCTACCAAACAGTGCAGTTATTAATAGAGAAATCTCATCTTTCTCCCTTGTCTACAAGCCTTTTGAGGGCAGTGTGTCCATTTGCTTTTTTTTTTTTTTTTTTTTTTTTTGAGACGGAGTCTCGTTCTGTCGCCCATACCGGAGTGTGGAGTGCAGTGGCTTGATCTTGGCTCAGCCTACGCCTCCTGGGTTCAAACGATTCTCCTGCCTCAGCCTCCCAAGTAGCTGAGGCTACAGGCGCATGCCCCCACACCTAGCTCATTTTTTTCCTTTGGTTTTTTGAGACGAAGTCTCACTCTGTTGCCCAAGCTGGAGTGCAGTGACACAATTTCAGCTTACTGCAACCTCCACCTCCCGGGTTCAAGCGATTCTCCTGCCTCAGCCTCCTGAGTAGCTGGGACTACAGGCACGCACCACCATGCCTGGCTAATTTTTGTATTTTTAGTAGAGACAGGGTTTCATTATGTTGGCCAGGTTGGTCTTGAACTCCTGACCTTGTGATCCGCCTGCCTTGGCTTCCCAAAGTGCTGGGATTACAGGTGCGAGCCACCGCGCCTGGCCTATTTCCTTCTTCTACGCTTCCATTCAACAACTTGCTCATATAGTAGGTCCATAATAAACACTTAGTAATAAATAAATGAACCTTAATTACACATAGCACTAGTACAAACCCAAATATAATTGAGAATATTCTCCCACTTGCTTAAAGCGGCCAAACTATTGAGAACATTCCAAAATAGAGTTAAATGGAACAGTACATAACAATCGTTCATTATTATAATACTTCACTACCAATGAGAATGCAAATTACAGAAAATTTTAGTCATTGAGTATTGATGACCTATCAAGCATTTTACTAGGCACAGAGTATAAGAAGATAAGCAAGAAATACTTTCTCTGCCACAAGGAATTTGAAGTCTAGTGAGAGAGATAAAACAGGTAACAACAGCATATAAAGTTTAAGTACTGCAACAAAGGTCCGCATTGCTTCTTTGTCCATAATTCAACACACTAACAAATTTTAAGATTCTGCTATAAACCCTAAAAGGAGACTTACTTATTCTGCTCCATAGGTCCTCAGGACTTCTGGTCAAAGACATCTTGGACTTGATCATCGCGGACATTTCCAACACATCAGTCAACTCTTAAACAGGTTTTGGTATGTAGAATTCTTGCCACATACTTGGGTAGACTGTATCACCAACATCTTGCAATTAATAATACAAAGCAACAAAAGAGACACAGTCCTTCGATCTCTCACTATTAATGCTCAGTAAAAAAACATCATAATTCTTGTTGATTCTCTCCCTACAAGACGTTCAAGCCACTATCCATTCTGTTGTATTTCTGGCATGTACATGTTGGCTTGAATATCTGAAGAAAATTCTTCTAATTTCTTCACACCTGAATTTATTATGGCCAGAATTCTTTGGTCATGAAATTTTCATCCTATTGTTCCACGCAGGTCAAAATTCTTATTGGTTCTTGGCTCTTTATGCCCAGAGGCCCAAATCCAAATTTTCATACACTATGCTAGCCCCCACAAAGTTAATTTTTCAACTATCTGCTTTTCTTCTATCCAGGATATTCTGCCTTCTGCCCACAAATCAGTCTACTTCTCTACTCTTTCCCTCCTCTGTGTATGTTTTGCACATCTTTTTTTTTTTTTCTTTTTAGGACATTGTCTTGCTCTGTCACCGAGGCTGGGGTGCAGTGGCACAATTAGCTCATTGTAACCTCGAACTTCTGAGCCCAAGCAATCCTCCTGCCTCAGCCTCCCAAGTAGCTGGGACTACAAGTACATGCTATCACACCTGGCTGTTTTTTTAATTATTATTATTTTTAGTAAAGACAGAGTCTTACTATGTTGCCCAGGCTGGTCTTGAACTCCTGGCCTCAAACTCCTTCCCTCAGCCTCCCAAAGCATTGAGATTACAACCGTAAGCCACCATGTTCAGCCAATGTTTTGCACATCTTAAACTCACCCCAAATGTCCACTTCATCTTCAGCAACTTTGATATCTAGGCACAAGTCTCACCTTCTCCAGGAAGCTGTCAAAGAAAGCCACCTGGCTCTGGTATCTTCTCTTACAGATCACCTCAACACTTAAATCCTCAAATTCTAACATATACATTTCTACTTATTGGCATATAAATGTTGGTAAATGTACTACAATCATTTCATGCAAGGCAGCTGTTGTCTACAGTCCTCGAGGACAGGAAACACATAAATGTCTCTAACTGTTGGGAGTAAGGACCTTGCACACATAAGTTACTCAGCCAATTTCACTAGTAACATTGGTATCAGACATACTGGGAATCCATACCACGTCACAAGGTTTTCTAAAACAGTATTAAGAAACAACCGACTCCTCTGTGCATATCCATCCCAGTTACAGAAAACCAGGATAGCAAAAGGAACAGTTTAAACTGAGAGTAAGTCAAAGTTACTAACCTGGGTAAAAGTAATTCTGAAGGCTTCAAAGATCTATTCAGTTCCATACCAAAGTATAAGGTTCCAAAACCTGTCAAATTTCTATTCAGGAAAGCAGGAAAATTGTTATCTGGCCAAAGAAAGCAGTATTACTTGCTATTTTAAAAAGAATCTCCAAAGCTCCAAGTTATAAAGTCATTTAACTACTAAAGAAGAAATATGTAGAGGTTGTTTGTACATTTCTAAGAAACAGAGGTCACCTGGATGAACTTTCAACTGTAATGGTTAGCTGACATGGTTCTCTGTCCAGATTTTGGGTTCTAAAATTAAGGTGACTTTGAGTGCAAGTATTTTTGAAGATTCTAGGCTGTTTCCAGGTCTTACACTGGTTAGACCATTTTTTCTTCTGGTGTCTAGCAAATGGCTAAAAGACCTGTTTGTATCTCAGATGTTGGAGAAACCGTTCAGGAACAATTCATCTCTGCAAGGCTATGAGTCATAACACATTGCCACGGTCAGGGAGACCTCTGTTAATCAAGGAAGCGCTAGCCACACATTCACTCAAGCTGTCTTAGAGAAGCTGGCCTCAGTGCCCACTGTTCTTTTTCCACAGATCATCAGTCATCTCTACAAAAGAGAAAATGTCCAACTTCCTCACTGGGTGGACAGCCTCCTGCTAGGCCTGCATCCTGGTTTCCTTTCTGCTGAGTTGCTGATTTTCCTAGAGGTGCACAATAGCTACCAAAAGGAAAGTCTCCTACTTCGTCATGAAAAGAAAGCAAGGAGATCCACTTAACGCCCCTCTGTAATAAAATTAGGATATAAAAAGGCAGGAAACACAGAGGTATCTGACCTCCTTTCACGTACTCTTTCTTCTTTCGCTTACCCTTACATTTGGTGTATAATCTACAAAGTCAGGGAAATTCACCAAGTCCCGACATAGCTACATGCTGTATATATTTGCACCAGCTCTTCAAATACAAGACCTAAAACTTGGTTAATTTCTTTTTCCTAGGTCAGAAATCAACAGATAAGCCTTTACAGATTTTTGAATCATTTCCTCTTCCTCAAACTATGGCACATGACAGGATAGGGAAGGTGTAGAGGAAATTCCAGGGGAATAAATTGACCTACAAATGTTATCAAATTTTATCACTGAGTGATGGATGAAATTCTCAGGTGATTCACTGCCAGGGTGGTATTTGGTGCTAAAGTGAGGGAACTGAAAATTTAACTGAGCTAGCTGGCTTCACTTTGTCTTTAATCTGAGTAATGATTGCGAGATTTTACATGGGCAAAATATTACATTTCCTTCCAGATGACCTCAATATGCAATTCTCATTGAAATACTTTTTCAGACCTACACATATACCTGAAGGCTGTCAGGAAACACACATTTGTTCCACAAAAGGCAGAGAGAAGGATAGGCAAAACTTGGAATAGCCACTTAGCTTTTGTTTAATATGAAATCTTTCTCAGAAAAGCTAATGGAGATCACTAAACTTACTTTTTTTTTTTTTTTTTTTTTAAGAAACAGGTCTTGTTCTGTCACCCAGGCTGGAGTGCAGTGGTGCGATCATACCTCACTACAGCCTCAAACTCCTGGGCTCACAGGATCCTTCCACCTCAGCCTCCTGAGTAGGTGAGACTACAGGCACCTGACACCATGTCTGGCTGGTTTTTAAATTTTTTTGTAAAGAAAGGGTCTTGCTATGTTACCCAGGCTGGTCTTGAACTTCTGGACTCAAGGGATTGTCCCACCTCGTTTTCCCAAAGCACTGGGATCACAGCCATGAGCCACCATGCCTGGCAATAAATTTACTTTTTTTTTTTTTTTTTTTTTTTTTGAGGCAGGGTCTTGCTTTGTCACCCAGGCTGGACTGCAGTGGCTCAAACATAGCTCACTGCAGTCTCAACCTCCCAGGCTCAAGTGATCCTCCTACCTCATTCTCCCAAGTAGCTGGGACTATAGGTGTAAGCCACCATGCCTGGCTAATTTTTGTATTTTTTTGTAGAGACGGGGTTTCGCTGTGTTGCCCAGGCAGGTCTTGAACTTCTGAGCTCAAGGAATCCATGGGCCTCAGCCCCCCAAAGTGCTGAGATTACAGGCGTGAGACACACTGCACCTGGCTAATAAATATACTCTTAACCTAACTCCAGGGGCAGAAGAATAAAGACCTTTTGCCGATAAAGTAAGCAAAGGTATTTTTTCATGTATCATAGAAGTAATACTATTTCACCAAAACAAGCACAAGGCCATCACACTAAAGGATTTGTGTACTTGTGTGTCTGTGCCAGCCAATAATACATTAAAACATTCATTTAAAATTCCATCAAAAGTGCTCTCCGTAAAAATCTCATTATGATACTTATAATACTAATGCAAATATATACAACAGAATCAAAAATTTATGTGAAACCTACTTTTATTTGTTTGAATCAAGCGATTAATCTATTGATCTATTTTACCTATTAATCTATTGTATACACATGTGAATACACACAAACATAATTTGAAGAAAGCTTCACACGCATTACCCTCCTCAATATTAATATTTTTTCTTTCCTTGAAGTGATGAGGAAATGAAATCCTTAAAAGGGTGTTTGATCATCAAATTACTGATGAAATTATTCTATTCTGTCAAATAGAAGGACTGAGTACTTTTAAAAATCATGCTATTTCAACATGTGGTAAATAAAATTCTGAGCAATTTAAAAAGTTATTGTTACTGAGGACACTAAAATATCATGAGTCATAATAATCCTCAAGCCAATAACTCACAATCAAACTGATGAGAGCTTGTTTCTGCCTCCGTGGCATAACCTGTAAAATGGGATAATGCTGACACACAGCAGTCCTAAAGACCAATAAAGGTAACACACGCGCACACACACACACACACACACAAATAGAACCTGAGCACAATGTAATTAAATAAACAACCAACTGAACTAACTTGTTGCATGATGACAAAGGCACATCTAATAAAACTACTTTGTTGTTTTACTTTATACATTTATTTGCGAGGTTAGTATGTGGACAAACACATCTTTTATGTACACTATAAAACTTTGATGTTTTAAGGGGTTTCTATAAAAAACTAGTAAGAATCTTTTTGATATAAAAGTATCATTTTTCATCAAATAAAACAATCATCTCAACCATCAATTAGTTGTTTTACTGGAGAAGGGTAGCACTGGCATAAAGCATAACTTTCTTCATACAAAATAAACTTTTAAAAAATAATGAGATATGGCTGGGCGTGGTGGCTCATGCCTGAAATCCAAACACTTTGGGAGGCTGAGGGGGGAAGATCACTTGAGGCCAGGATTTCGAGACCAGCCTGGCCAACATGGTGAAACCCGTCTCCACTAAAAATAGAAAAATTAGCTGGGTATTTTGGCGCATGTTTGTAATCCCAGCTACTTGGGAGGCTGAGACATGAGAATCGCTTGAACCTGCAGAGGTTGCAGGGAGCTGAGATCACACCAGTGCACTCCAGCCTGGGTGACAGAATGAGACTCTGTCTCAAATGAAATAAAAAAGAAAAGAAAAGAAAAACATAATAATGAAATAAAGTGTTCATGCAAATGAAAGGTATAGAATGTTATTTATTACTATTTTCCCCTCAAAATGTGAAAACTTTATTAAAGTAAATAGCTTTTATGAAGACACGGGTCTAAGACATGAGAAAAGGTTCTTTTTTTTTTTTTTTTTTTTTTTTTGAGACAGAGTCTCGCTCTGTTGCCCAGGCTGGAGTGCAGTGGCACGATCTCGGCTCACTGCAAGCTCTGCCTCCTGGGTTCACACCATTCTCCTGCCTCAGCCTCCCGAGTAGCTGGGGCTACAGGTGCCTGCCACCATGCCCCGCTAATTTTTTGTATTTTTAGTGGAGACGGGTTTCACCATATTAGCCAGGATGGTCTCGATTTCCTGACCTCGTGATCCTCCCGCCTCGGCCTCCCAAGTGCTGGGATCACAGGCATGAGCCACCGCGCCAGGCCGAAAAGGTTCTTAATAAATAAGAAATTTCTCTAGTACAACGAAACACAGAGGGGTACAGGACCAGGAAGAAAACTAGACTCTTCTTTGAAAGATGCTAGTTTCATTCAGAGTTGTACATGAGTCCATAGTCGGGAAGGACCGTAGGTTGAAGACTGACACACAACTCAGAAGAGAGAAGGGCAGTCATGGGCCTGGGGATTAGAGCTACAGGTGAAATACTATGAATGATGAACTAGGGAGTTTCTTAATGGAACTTCCTATGGATTAGCAAATTCATGGGGTTCAAAACATTAGGCTGTTATTCCACCCTACGCTCGTGTTTATGCCCTATGAGATTAAATGTTAGCTTCCGTGAAGGCCCAAAACTAATTTCTTTTCAAAAATATTAGCAAGAATATTATTAGCCAGATAAGCAGGAATCACCTATACGTGTGGCTATCTCCTGCAACTTTCTTCTCTGAGATGGCAGGATGTCACAGTTTTCCAGTGGAAATCTGAACCACCAAAGTCCTTTCTACACCCTGGTCCAACCCTTCAGTGAAGCACCACCAGCCAGCAAGGCAGGTTCACCTGATTACTCAAGATTCGTCTGGTTTCAAGGGATGAAATACTTCTATTGTCTCCAGACCATGCAGCCTGAGAGTTACTAGGTTTCAAACCAAATTTTCATGTTCCTTCTGTGCAAAGAATAAATGTACTCTCTACCATTCAAAGAGGATAGCTGCCAACACACCCCTGACTGGTCTGAGTGGCTGAAATTCCACTGGGAGGACAACAAAAGGAAGTGGGGCTTCAGTATGCAGAGCAGGGAGATCAGAATGATGAGCAAAAGCCAGAATCTTTTGTTATGTGTTTTTCACCCAATGCTGACATCTAATTGTTTAGATTTTTTTTTAAAAAGGGGGGAAAAATACTGGTAATAAAGGAGAGGTTCTGAAAAAGCAGCTCTGTACTAGCAATCTGTTATCTGTATCATAAACTTTCTTTCCTCTCTTATTTATCTTTCAGATGTTTACAGTTGACATGCAAATTTCAGTTGTCCTCCCACCAACAGGTGAGCACATTTGTTTCTTTTTTGAATTGTAATAATAACATTTTTCTTCTAAGGAGTCTTAATTTCTATAGTCACCAGGAACTGTTGTTAGCAAGGGATCCACGTCTCGATGATGACAGAATTGAAAAACAAACAAACAAACAAAAAAACACTTTCACATGGAGAGAGAAATAAGTAGTTGTCAACAAAACCATTTCTTTCTTCATTGCTAATGGCAATCACTGGATAAGCAGATCATCTTGATTTTAAAAATTCCAATTATTGAACTCCAAACCACCACATTGATTACTGATTCCAGATATATATTCTGGTTTCTGGAACCAGCAAAACTGTCTGGCAGTTACACTGACCCAGAAGGGAACAGACGGGAGGAAAGAGAACTCCCTTTAATGCACAGCTATCAGTACTGTTGGCTATTTACATAATTCTTGCATCAATAGGACCACTGAACAAGTGTTAATATTGCAAGTGGAAGCAACATCCAGAGGGAATTCAACATCATTAGCTGCATGGAGCAGAGCATGGAGATCCGAGAGGGAATCATGTCAGCTCCAAGAAGCCAATAGTCTGTGGCTGTCAGTGTCTGAAATGGAGCCGCTTCAAAGCCGACTGGGCTGTGACCTGAACACTGCATCCCTGCGCCCGGTGAGAAGAGGATCAATGACTGTGTTTGCTGGGCTCCAGTCATCCCCTTGGCTAATGAAAGCTGTGCTGAAAGGAATGCTACGGGGCCTCTGGGCAGCCTGCAGCCTGGCATTAGCGGAGCTTGGCTGGTGAATGCACCCGGCACCAAAGCCTCCCTCACCCTCACCCGCCCTCTTCCCTGTTCTATCCCACCAACTCCCCTCTGGCTGTCTGTTTAGTGTCACTCAGTTGGGATGGATCCCGTTAAAGATCTGACGCTTAGTGAGGACTCGGAGGTGTCTGGAACGTCTGTCTCTAATCATAAACACCACAGCTGGCAATGATGTGGTCGAAAAAAAATCACCTTGATCCAGTACACATTCTCTTTGATGTCTCTGCAGTGAGTTCACTGCCCAGAGAAAAAGGTACAATTTGAAAAAAAAAAAAAATTTAAAAAAAACCTCTGAAAAAAAAAATCAAGCTTGACATTCTCAAATCATAACCATATGACTTTCAATTCCATGCTAAAAAAAAGATATATATATATATACATCTCATTGCATTATGTTCTAAGAAATTCAGAAAAGAGGCATCTGACAATTGTAACATGAAACAGGTTTGGAAGATAATGGCAGTTTGAGAGGAAAACACTTCCAAAAGGGAAAAAAAAAAAAGTCAGACTGCCACTACCATAAAAGGAAGAAGTCTTCTGCCAAAGATTGCAAACTGCAGTGACCTTAAGTAAGAGACTGTAGCTGATTCAAGGGAAAATGAAAACTTTTCAAAGACAACACTGCTTGAGCTGAGCCACTGTTTCTAAGTGCCTTATGCCCTCTTGCCTTTCGGGTGGCCTGGTAAACACACAGCCTAACTGTGCTTCCAGCCCCAGGCCGCAGGGTTCTAATGAATATTCAGCCACATTAACATGCATTTTCTTTGTGTTGTTCTTGGTTTGTTTGTTTTTTTTCAGTCCTACCAAGATGGGGCTGGTGTAGATAACGTTCTTGTGATGCCGCCTCAGGTATCAGAACTCTGAGAAGCGTTTGCAAGTTAAATGCTAAGATTCCCCAATGATTATGCGGAAACTTAAAAAAAAAAAAACTAACCACACTAACCTAAAGAAGCGAGTTTACAGTGGATAACAGTTATGCAGCTGTCAAGATAACTCATGAGACCTTCTATACCAACTGAGATAAATATCACTTATGTATCATCAATGTCCAAATTACATACATAGGTACCCAGAAACCCCCCCAATACAGGGTGAGAACTCAAAGAGTCTTTATTTCTATCCCAAAGCGGGTTCTTTCTAGTACACACAGTCTAAATATACAAACAAGCACACAAAACAAACTCAGTTAAATGTGTGCTTCTTTTTTTTTCTTTTTTCATCTTAAAATCCAAAGTCATTTGAAAAATCTCTTAAGACTAATAGGAGACTAATTATTAATTTATAGTTTTATCTTAATAAAAAAGTGAATAAAAAGGTGTTTTAATCCAGATAGTTTTAAAATTTGTCGTATTAAAAGCATCTCTTATGCTTATTCCAAATGTAGTAAAATAATCAGGTGATTCTAACTCTAAATGAGGTAAACGTTAATTAGATGTTTCTGGTTTCTTTGATTGTGAGCAAAATAGCAAAAGGCTTTAAACTGGTCAGTTGCACTGTGACACAACCAATGTTTAAGAAATCACTCTGTAAACGGCATCCAGGAATGCAGCACCAACACTTGCAGTAACAATATCCAGACGAAGCCAAAAAGTTTGGATACTGCTGTGTTGTTCTAAACTGACTGAGGTTTTGAGGACTAACAACATTCCCCCATAATGATGGTGGTGTCTTTAGATTGAGATAAGATTCAAATTTATTGAGGGTTATTTACTGTTGTGTATAAGGTTCTGTGTGTTGAGGAGGGAAGTAGCCAGTTGGAGGAGGGCAACTTGGCTGGGCTCACAGCTGAGAAACCTCAGGAGCTTGCATATCCCTATAAGGTAATTTCTTTCCTTTTTTAACATAGGCAAGGTAATTAAATGTTAGTCAATCTTAACAGACTGAAAGGCAAGGATATGCTACTATATACTGAAATACTGGCATTCACTGCAATATTTGCCTTACAGTATTAAGGCTTTAGTGGTATCTCATTAAATAAATAAAGCTCTACAAAATGTTTTAGCCCAATTCTGATCATGAGTATGTGTTTTAAACAGTATTGCTTGCCAGAAAGAAGGGGCAGTGGGAGGGTAATTCCTATATGCTGTAATTTACCTGACAAATTAATTGCAAACACACACACACGTACACAAGTGCACACAAACTTAAGTAAATGTACAAACCTGACCTGGTGTCCTATGATGCAAAGCATTACATTTACAAGAGCATAAAGTTCATTAGTTTACTTCCTTCCTCCAAAGCTTAAAGGAGACAAAAAAATCATATCATTCATTTCATTTTTGAAAGGAAATATGCCTGGGGTGTTTATATAAACACAGTAAATTGTAGGTTCCATGTAACCATATACATTTTTATTTCTAAAGCAGGGTGGACAAGTCATAGGGTCCTGAGTTTTCTAAGATGATTAATATACTAGATAATTGCAGAATTCTCAGCCATACTTCAGATGTGTAAACCAATCCGAAATGGTACTTGGCACAAATATCTCATGCCAGGGTTTCTACCAAATCCCTTAAAACTTACTGGTCTCGAAGGAACACAGACTGGTTATTGGGCCTACCAGTTGCATCTTGAGAGTGAAATCTGGAAAGAAGGGACAATAGATGTGTGTATTCATTTTCTATTATATATACTTCGGTGTAGCTTGAATTATTTATAAAAATATAATAATGAAAATTAAATTTAAAAATATGGCTGAACGTGGTTGCTCATGCATGTAATCCTAGTACTTTGGGAGGCCAAGGCGGGAGGATCACTTAGCCCAGGAGTTCAAGACCAGCCTGGGCAACATAGGGAGACCCTGTCTCTATTAAACATAAAAAATACAAAATTAGCTGGGCATGGCGGTGTGCACCTGTGGTCCCAGCTACTCAGTAGGCTGAGGTGGGAGGATTGCAAAAACCCAGGAGGTCAAGGCTGTACTGAGTACTCCACTGCACTCCAGCCAGTGTAATAGGGCGAAACCATATCTTTAAAAATAATAATAATAAAATAAAAATAGAAAACATGCCTTTTAGGTATAAAGGGCAAATGCCCCCACCTTACTATTATTAATCATATTCTACTAAAGTCTCTGTTACATGAGATTTGGGATGTACAGGTGCAAAAGTCATATATATATATATTTTTTGTTGTTGTTGTTGTTGTTTGTTTGTTTTTTGTTTTTTGTTTTGTTTTTGAGACAGAGTCTTGCTGGAGTGCAGTAGCACCGTCTTGGCTCACTGCAACCTCTGTCTCCCGGGTTCACGTGATTCTCCTGCCTCAGCCTCCTGAGTAGCTGGGACTACAGGTGCCCACCACCATGCCTGGCTAATGTTTGTATTTTTGGTAGGGACAGGGTTTCATCATGTTGGTCAGGCTGGTCCCGATCTCCTGACCTCAGGCAATCCACCTGCCTCGGCCTCCCCAAGTGCAGGGATTACAGGCGTGAGCCACTGAGCCCGGCCCTAAAGTCATATTTTAATAAAACCAGAAAACAAATGTCTTTATCATATAGTTTGGTGAGTCAAACAAACAAACAAAAAGCAAGTGTGTTATCAGCATGTCTCTATGCTGAGAAGAGAAGGTGTGCTTGCCAGAATTGTCAGATTAATTTTTAGAAAGAGACAGAGGTAAGCACTGTGCTTCGTTTTCTTTTAAACAGGGATGAATGCCTCCTTTACTGGCCCTACCTTCTCAGCTGTCATTAAAATATAACCCAGTAGTGTCTAGGGACTGTGTCTCTGGGAGGTGTGACCTTCATTTGCATGATAAATCCCAGTGCATTCCATTAGCAATAGAGGGGAGGGATAGGTATGAGGGGGTGATTCTTACAGAAGAAATTTTGTCTAGAGCTGGAAAGAGGAGTAGCCCTAGTTGAATGGATCAAGGGCCAGAGACAAGGATTCTGAAAATTCTAACGTAAAGTCCCAAAAGATAGGAATTGGAGCTTTTATCTCAAATCAACCTTAGCAGATTTAGGAGATAACCTCTTCGGATGTAGAGATGTGTTCCTTTGGACAGGTAGAGACAACCCTCACTTCTGGGAGAGTTTCTCATTTTGTAGTGGCGAATGAGCCCTAGTGGCAGTGGGTGGACTTCAAAGGCAGCACACTAGTTAGACCTGGGGCTGCTGCTGATCAAGTGAAACATGAGGTTAGACGGAAAGGCTGTCCAAGGCTGCCATGCTGTTAGCAGACAATGACAACAAAAATAGCTGCTACTTGTGGAGTTCTCATTAGGTACTAAGCACTTAACTACCATTTTCTCCAGTTTTTTCTACAACCCTGTAAGGTAGACATTATCATTTCTATTTCACAGAAGAGAAAAGTGAGGTTCATGGAGGTTAAGTAATTTGCTCAAGTCATACAACTGGCAAGAGAAAGAATCAGACTTTGAAACAACACCAAAGACTGTGTTTGGCCTCCTTCCAGGTAGAACTAAAGGAGTTATGTTCCAGTGGAGGACAGATGACCATACCCACGAGACAGTCAACAGACACTGGCAGGGACCAGTGCCATAGTTCCTGGGACCAAACATGGCAAGGCCCAGAATCCAAGGACCAAATCAAATTATCTTTAAGAATCCTTCTTGAGAAACTCTAATGGGCAGATACCGACACATTTTGGCTACCATAATCTGACTTCTGCAGGATGATGTCTGCTCCCTTCTCTTCCAGCTAAATGCACACGCACAGTAGTTCCAGGAGGCCTACGAGGAAACCTTTCCCGTGCTTCTTGATGGGACTCTCAGGCAAGAGTAAAACAATCATCTCACACTGCTGAACACCAACCCGACACTTGGGCTCTTCCAGCTTGAAGCATTCTTGTCATAAGGGTCACAGAAAAGGAAACATCGAAGGTCAGTGCTTCATTATGTGAGTGATTTTGAGGGAAAGGGAGAGAAGCAAGAGAGAAAACCTTGAACAAGAAAGAAGCCAAAGATTCAAAAAGAAAAGCAGGAATGGTTAAGTACAAAATCGAGAAGGAAAGGAACTGGTGTAAGAACAATCTGAATGGAGAGCATGAGATTCCTATTCCTCTGCAATATTGCAGGTAGTTGCATGCACAGACATTTTTCACTACCTAAATCTGTCTTCTTCCTGTGTTTAGACAATGATAGCATAGATAGCAAGAGTTGGAGAGCAAGAGATAGGACATTCTCTGAACAGCACATAAGAGAGTGTAGACCAAGGGAGACTCCTTTCATCCCAGCAGCCCAATCTAAGTAATTTATCTGAATCCATATCATTCCTGAGTACAGAGAGCTCAAGTTCACACAGTAAGGAGTAACTGTACTTTGTGATTCCAGGTTCCACTGTACCTGCATAAGCTATGGGCATATATGTTGTGTTACTATAAGTTTCTTATATCAGGCCACTTGAATGACTTTATAAATAAGAAATCCTGTCTTCAGTATGGCACAAGCATAGCTTTAAAAAAATTGCAAAGAAAAACAGAAATCCAAGGCAATTTTGAAGAATTTCCTCCAAGAATGACTGACTTGGGTCTTTCTCCAGACATACTAATATTAGTATTTTACTCCAGCTTCTCATCAATTTACATGGGTTTACTTCAATCCCAAGGGAACTGTGGGGCCATCCCCACACCATGGAGCAAGATATAAGAGGAACATACATCAGACAGGAGAATCACTTAAAAAAGTGATAAAGAGACAGAATTTAGGCTTCTTAAAGATAAAGAATGGCTAGCCTGCCCTGGGAGTTTTCTAGAAAACTCAAGATATGACAGATGTGGCCGACATATTTGGAAGAGACCAGGAAAGGTCTGCCAGAGGCTGCTTTTCAAAAGAAAGGAACAAAAATAGTGGAAGCTCTATCTCCCTCTACCTCCCCTGTCTGGTGCTCCGAATGTACCCACAACCCAACTGAAATCTTAAGTTAAATTTCCACCGGAAATAAAAGGTCTAAGTGGGAATGGGGACAATGTTGCTGATTTGGCAATGTGAGCAGCAATGTCATGACACTTCAGTGCTTTATGATATAACGTGTTAGCATGGCAGTATTCGTCATATACTGGCCATAAATAGGTAAAACGTGAATGGTTTACATCATTAGAGAAGAAAATATAATTTGCGCACATATACCTATTTCCTGCAGTATGAAAAGAGTAATGTACTCTTCTGAGGGAGGGGACGGGAATTAAAGACTCACCAATAATTCTTTCTATGTGTGTGCCTTTATGGTTTTTTGACATGTATTTTACGTTTTCCTTCCAGAGATTCTTTGTAACGTGAGATTCCTTAAAAGTGCTACTTCCTACTAACAGTAGTCACCAACATTAAAACTCCATATCATGTTAAATTGGATTACTGAGTTCTAATTTTACCTTAAATGGAGCAGAGGGGGGTGTAACATTTTTTAAGCCACAGCAAGAAATCCATGGGATAGCTGCAACCGTTTTTAAATACTCATATTTTTGTATGAGTATTAGGCCTGTCTGTGACAATGTTCTTGGAAAAAATTAAAAAGCTCCCTTCCTCCAATAATATGCTCAACATCCTCTTTTGCCAGAGGCACTCACTCATTATATAAATCAAACAAGCACACAGCACTAGACAAAAAGTGACTAGTAATGCCCAGCACATTCCTCTGCTTGAGCTGAGATGATTTTGGTGCATTGCATGCAGATGTCAGGTATTTTAATAAAGAGCTCCATTGTGCAGGCCCCACTACTCCTCCTTAGCTCCCAGCACTCCCTGAAAAGGGGGGCAGGAGGAGAGGGGAAGAGCAACAGCCATTCCAGCTGGAGCTGGAACCTAGTCTGAGTCAGGAAAACCACAGCTCATAAGCAAAGAGGAAGCATAATGTTCTACAAGGACAAAACATTAGCAGAAATGTCACTCAGCCCCAGTTCCACATGTTGGCTGCCACGGCCTCTTCCTCCTAGCATGCCCGATTGATATAAATTCCATCTGCTCAGCAGCCAAGTGACAGAGAAGAAATACCGGCATCTGGTCTCCATTGCTGTCGGGTTTTTGTTCCATGTAAGACCTTAGCTAGAGACATATGAAGAGATGAAGGTGCTGGCAAGCGACTAAAAGGCTGAACTGGCAAAAGGAGACTTTCTGATGCTTTTCACACTTCTCTTTAGATTTTTTACAGGGATGGGGGAGGGTGTGACTGAGACTTGATAACCTGAACAGTGGGAGCCAAGAGGCCTGAAGGTCATTTCGTGTTTTTTAAGGTTTGAAGCTTTTTAAAAGAGTTTTAATGTTAAAAACGATAAAGCACAACACTTATTCCCCCTTTCCATCCATTTAATGCAACAGAAGGCAACTAAGTCACAGAAGAATGTTCTTCAGCTATTTTTTCCCCCTTCTCTTAAACATCCACCGATTTGGACCTGCTCCACAGGCACTTTATATTCTCCTGAGGAGCAGCTGAAAAATGCCAAAAATCAAAACCACCACTCTGTTTTAACCCCCAGCTGTCCAGAAAAGTATAAAGTCATCTATCAAGCCTAAAACCATGATGGGAAAGAAAAGCCAGTCTAAGCCTCATAAAGAAAGCTGGATGCTCCAAGAGTTCACTCCCACCAATCTCTCAGGTCATCATTTAATTATTCACTCAATCAGAAGACTGAGAACAGTGAAAATGAAACATGGAAGCAGAACTGGTGAGAGAAAACACAGGTATCGAGTTTCAGTGTCTATTCGTGTGTTTTCAAAGCGGTATCAATGAAAATGGCTCTGTTCACAAACATAACACGGAAAGGGTTTTTAAAATAAAACAACTGGCCGGACGCGGTGGCTCACACCTGTAATCCCAGCACTTTGGGAGGCCGAGGTGGGTGGATCATGAAGTCAGGAGATGGAGACCATCCTGGCTAACACGATGAAACCCTGTCTCTACTAAAAACACAAAAAATTAGCCGGGCAGGGTGGCAGGCGCCTGTGGTCCCAGCTACTTGGGAGGCTAAGGCAGGAGAATGGCATGAACCCGGGAGGCGGAGCTTGCAGTGAGCCGAGATAGCGCCACTGCACTCCAGCCTGGACGAAATAGCAAGACCCCGTCTCAAAACAAAAAAAAAAAACAAAACAAAAAAAAACAATTAATGTCAGGTCCTAACGCTGCCTTGAAAAACAACTGTGAAGGTGAATCTTGTTAAACCCTCTTCAAAGTATGACTAAAGAGAAGAAAGGTATAAACTTTCTGGAAAAAGAATACAAAAAAAGATTAAAAGAATCTTTTGGCCCAGCGCGGTGGCTCACACCTATAATCCCAACACCAGAGGCCGAGGCGGGCGGATCACCTGAGGTCAATAGTTCGAGACCAGCCTGGCCAACATGGTGAAACCCTGTCTCTACTAAAAATACAAAAAATTAGCCAGGCATGGTGGCAGACGCCTGTAATCCCAGCTACTTGGGAGGCTGAGGCAGGAGAATCGCTTGAACCCAGGAGGCAGAGATTGCAGTGAACTGAGATCGTCCAGGAGGCAGAGATTGCAGTGAGCTGAGATTGTGCTACTGCACTCCAGCCTGGACAACAATTCCATCTCAAAAAAGAATATTTTAATAACTGTTCTATTTTACAACTCTAACAGATTTTAGCTTCACCCAAAAAAACAAAACACCACCATATGAGATTATGCTGTGAAATAAGCTGCTTCTTCAATCTCCACCTTTTCCTCTTTACTACCTAATGAGCACTTGGGGTGAGAACACCATGCATGGTAAAAGAAGCGAATTATAATAAAGACAAAAAAGTTAAATAAAATGACAAGGAAACCAGTAGCAACAGAGTTGACTGTGACCCCTTTGAAACTGCTACCAGTGTTAATGACTGATGAAACTGTAATGAAGTACAGTATGAGCTACTAGTAGACACCAGATTTAACCTGAGAGTGAATGGGGCTTCAGCTCAGGTCTCTCATTTGCCTAGGTCGTTAGGAGTTTCAGAGTAAGAGAACATCCTAGGTGGTAAGGAGACGCCAGAGTGCAAACAGGCAAGATTTCTAGGTAAGCACTTCTGACAAGTTCCCTAAGGAAATTTAGAAGGAAAGGGCCCAAATCTCCTTGATTCCTGTTTCCATTTCCTGTTTTTTTTTGGGGGGTGATTTCTTATTCTAAATACACATTCAGGATTATACCTAAAAATATTAGGAGCTTAAATTAGTCTATTTGCTAAATAGGACTCTGATGTTCCTATGTATAATAATCTACTGAACATGTTTAACATACTCTGTGTAAATAAATGTCATTAAAATAACAATACAGTGGAAGAAAAAATAGATGAATGAAAAATCTTATTAATAATAAGCTCTATACAACAACATTTATTACCTTAAGAAAATAACAATCCTGGCTGAAAAATTTTATTCAGTAAGACTGAAATTCAGGCCAGATGCAGTGGCTCATGCCAGCAATCCCAGCACTTTGGGAGGCCAAGGCAGGAAGATCATTTGAGGCCAGGAGTTCAAGACCAGCCTGGGCAACATAGTTTGACCCTGTCTCTACAAAAAATACAAAAATTAGCTGGGTGTGGTGGCACCACCTGCAGTCCTAGCCACTCAGAAGGCTAAGGTGGGAGGATCACTTGAGCCTGAAAGGTCAAAGCTGCAGTGAGCTGTGATAGCGCCACTGCACTCCAGCTGGGTGACAGACAGAGACCCGGAGTGGGGGAGGGGGGGGGAAGGAGATTGAAATTCACTGAATACAATTACTACATAAAATACTAGTAGATAACATTGATAACTAGATAACATTAACTAGTTCACATTGTTTTAAGGACTTGAAGATCTTTCTAAGCCAGACTCAAGAATCAAAAGTCAATCAAAAGGTAATAAAACCACACAAAACTTAAAAAAAGAAAACCAACTACGCAACAAAAACAAATGAAAAGCAAAAGCAAAAACAAGGTAAAGAGCTGAAAACCAACTATGAACAACTATTCACAATACAGATATACTATGGGCTAATACTCTTTAGATACAAAAAGGTGCTAAAAATGAAACGGATTTACAACGCAATAGAAATATAGAAAGAACCTGAAAAGACGTTTAGAAAAAAAATGGAAACAGAAATGACTGATAATCATAAAAGGATGGTAAACCTTACTCATTAAGAGAAATGCAAATAAAAGCAATGTACTACCATTTATCCCCTATCAACAACCAGAATACCAAAGATCAAAAATATGTTTCATCACCTAGTCTACCAGTGTATGAAGGAATAGGCACACAAATTACGATACATCCATACAATGCAGCTGTTAAAAAAGAATGAGGTAGCTCTTTATGTGCTGATATGAAGTTGTTTACAAGATATATTATTAAGTGAAAAAGGAAAAGTGCAGAATAATGTGCTCACTATATTCCCCTTCACCATTTTTATCAAACACACAGAAAGATATGTTGTGTTTTACATGCACAGACTATTTCTAGAACTATACCCCAATATCACTTACTTTCAACCACAGTCCTTTATATAATTTTTTTTTGCTAAAGGCATGTATTCCTTTTTAGAATACATTTTAACTTTAAAAGTGTATTTGATACAGCACAATCAAGAGTCTATCCTTGAACTTATGACTAAATACTTTTTGTTTCTTATTTTATCATTCTATCTACTAGATACTGTATATAAGTTCCTACAGACATAACCTGTCCTGATCTTTATAAAGGTAAACTAAAATGCTTCATCCTGGGTTTTTGTTTTTGTTCTCCCTAAAATGCTAAGTTTCTTACTCTTTTTGGTCTTTTCAGATCACTGTTGTATTTAATTATATATAAAGGAACACATACATACACATATATGTATGTATATGTGGCATATGCGTACATCTGTGTGGCAAAGAATATGGTATTTTTCTGGGTATTAAAAATGTGATCATTTGCTAACTCCTTACACCCAGTGAGATAAGGATAACAAAGATCGTTTACGAGGTAAATTCCTTTCCAAATGAAAACCAAACCAACATAATACCTAACTGATTTACCTCCTTGGAGGATTTATTTTTAAAAACATAATGTGTGTCCACCAATGCTGGGATTACTTCCCAACATAGTTTAATGCTTTTTTTTTTTTTTTTTTTTTTTTTTGCCTTGTGATTCACCTTACTCTCGGCCATTTCCTGAGCCACGTCTGAAGAAATCCTGTACTGCCAAGATATATCCTCAGACAAAGAAATGTCCATTAGTCACTCACTAAAAGGGTAAAAAGCAATCGAAATGTTTTCCTATCTGAACCCCTGGTGCCAGCACAGTATACAGTAGACAATATATGCCATAATTTATTGCCTGAACTCCCCATTGATATGACCATGATATGTCAATGGAAAGTGAGTTCATAAAAAATAAATTCTCATTCTCTTCACATAAATTTATTGAGATTCTATGACACTCCCAGAACGTGGATATAGCAAACAACACTATGTACCATCCATGAAAAAACTTACAATCCAGTAGGAGAAAAAGACAAGTAAACAAGCAGTTATTGTAGAGCATAATAAGAAATAAACGAAAACTGCCATATGGGCATTTTAGTTGGTACAGTCAATGCCAAATAGAGAGAGCAGTAGCAGTTTCCTGAAAAAGTGATGGCTAGGTTGAGACCTAAATGCAGGTAGGAATTAATTTGGGGAAGTGTTGGAAGCAGCACACTTCAGGAACAGAGAGAGGAAGAGAGGAAGCAAGAGAGCACATGTCCAAACAGAGGAATGACACACTGCTAAAGGACAAGGACTGGGGGGCAGTTCACATCTTCCGCATGATAGCTACTGGCTTCTCATTCTTAAGCTTCAGAAACAGGCAGAATGCCATACCTGACAGATTCACTAACCTGATCAAACACATCAACTCTTAGTTTGCAAACATCAGAGGATGATGATGATGCCATGATAATTAGGTGCAAAGAGATAATTAGCATCAAAGAGACAGGAAAGTTTATTTGCTGTTGGTCATCTTCACCACCCATCTTATCTCCCCCAGACCCCTGTCTACCCCTGTGGCACTGTTTTGCGGTCTAAATGGGAGTCTTATCATCTATTGTTCAAAATGTAATGCCACCTTTATCAAACTGTACGAAGTGTTCAGCTGCCTGCTTGTGAAGCCCACCAACACAACTTCCTACAAGTATATGGCTGCTGGGGTGACTGAGGAGCTGAAAGAACCTGCATAAGCTTCAATAGCAGGCCAGAGCACCACTTTTCTGTGAACGACAACTGATAGGTCAAATCACTAGGGAGCGGCTAAAGAGTTATTAATGGTGACAGGTACACTACCTGGGAGACAGGTTGAGAGGCAAAAAAGATTATTTATAAGCGAATAGTTAACAGCTGTACCTACTGCTAAGCATTACACGGATGCCACAAACTGTAGAATTCAAATCCTGAGTTATTCAAGCACGAACAACTGCCTGTCACCCAAATGCAACGCATCGCTACAAATTAAGGTGGGAGAGATGAGATGCTGCAACGCTGCCTCACCCAGGAAGGCAATGTCATCCTGGAGCTCAGGTAAGAGGTGGAAAAAGGATGAGATAACCATGAGGTAAATTACGGTTCTTAACAATAATGATGAATTTGCAAGAACAGCTTTATAATTTTTCCTGAGGGCTTTAACAACAGAACAGATGCCAAATGCATCTTGTATTATCAACAGTAAAATGGACTTGGAAGTGAGGAAAGATTGAAGAGCTGTGGGGTTAGAATGACAAAATGAGAAGAAAAATCATGACAAAGAAACGATAGAGGTTTGGTCTTTACAATTTTGAATAATTATTACTTAAGATAATTGTTACTAACAAACTCCATTAATAATATATGACTTATTTTCTAAAATGACAATAGTTCTTGAATATAACTTTTTCTCTTATTTTTTCTTGTCATCTCTTTAACAGCTCTTGTTTCATGGTGGGAAAACAATAGGTATGTCACAGAAATTTTCAGTTCCTAGAGAAACGAAAATACAAAAACTTGTTGAGGATATTTATTCTCATAGATTTTCAACTCAGTATATATTGAGCTTTCAGGCTTTTCAGAACACTGAGTTGAGAGGAACAACTTCCACTGTTGATTTTCTAAATGTTAATATATGAGATGGTTTCTATAGTTATCTACTTTGTTTATGGTCCAGAGTCATGATAGAGTAGCATAAATATTCCTATCAAAGTGGCAGATGTCATATTTACCCAAAATACAATAGTTTTAGAAGTACCTACATAATGACCTGGCAATTCTACTTCTAAATATTTATTCTACAAAAACAAACATACACAGTAATAAACACATATAAGGATATTTCCTACAACAGTGTTTGAAAAGCCCAAACACTGAAAACAACCCAACTGTCTTTAAATAAGTGACTAAATAAATTATGGTATATCCACATAATGGGAAATTATATGGAGGTTCAAAAAATGGATGAGATCTCTCTATACTAACGTGGAAAGAGGCCTGTATTAGTTTCCTAGGGCTGCCACACCAAATTACTACCACCGTAGTGGCTTATAACAATGGAAACATATTCTCTCTCTGTTCCAGAGGCCAGAAGTTTGCAATTGAGGTGTGAGTAGGGCTGTGTTCCACTCAGAGGCTCTGGGAAATAATCTGTTGCATGCCTCTCTCCTAGCTTCCGGAGGCTCTGCCGCCATCTTTACCTCACCTCCTCCTTTGCATATGTCTTCTGCTCTGTATGTAATCTCCTAATATCTTACACGGATACACAGGATGGTAGTTAGGGCCTACCCACAGAGTCCGAGATTATCTCCTTATCTTAAAATCCTTGACTTAATCACATCTGCAAAAACCCTTTTTTCCAAATAAGGTACCATTCACAGGCTCCAGGGATTTGACATGGATATTTTGAGTGGAAGTGGGTAGATATTTTTTGGTCAACCACAAGATATATTTTTTAAACAGTAGGATATAAGAAAAATATACATAGAATGAATCCATTTACTAATAATCATAATTAGTGCCACAGATACATGATAATGATAACATATGGAGAAGTGTTATCTCTACAAAAAGGGGCTATGGACAGTTTTCATTTTTGCATTATACATTACTGCAATGTTTCAATTTTATATTAATTTTGTATTACTTTCATAATCAAAAACCAATAACACATATTTAAAAGGAAGCTTTGATATATTTTGACATCTTCCCAAATTTTCTTACCTAATTCTGGTCCCTGTTGTGGAAAAAGGGTTTAGTCAAAACTGCATAATAGATGATGATTACTAGTTGTTCTAGTGGAATAAAATTTTATAAATAATAAAAATATTAAGTCATAATTTTTGAGTATGCTATTCATTAAATAGACTGCTGTAGTTTCTAAGGATGAAAAGTTTCATCCTTAATCCAACCTTCTATGAATACCTGACAACTGTTCCACTAAATAAATCCCCAAACCGAAATCTATGACCTCTCCTTCAAAACTGAGGTTTTAGTTTTATTTTTTATTTATTTATGAGATGGAGTCTCACTCTGTTGTCCAGGCTGGAGAGCAGTGGCATGATCGCGGCTCACCACAACCTCTGCCTCCCAGGCTCAACCGATTCTTCTGCCTCAGCTTCTGAGTAGCTGGGATTACAGGTACGGACCACCATGCCCAGCTAATTTTTGTATTTTTAGTAGAGATGGGGTTTCACTTTCATCATGTTGGCCAGTCTGGTCTTGAACTGCTGACTTCAAGTGGTCTGCCTACTTCGGCCTCCCAAAGTGCATGAGCCACCGCACCTGGCCAAAAAAGTGAAGTGTTTTTTGTTTTTTGTTTTTTTTTTTAAAAAAGCCTTTCTAAGGTTGACTATGCACAGGCATGAACTACTGAAGCGGCATTACTGTTCACCCTGCCCTTTACGAAATTCCTCTCTTTGCAGATTTTCTCCCTGAATATAGCTTCATCTTCAAGTTTTATTATACCTGCAAAATTTAGTTAACAACAACTTCACCTTATTAACATCTTCTGGAACAAAAGTTCCAGAAATCACTGTACATTTCTCTACTCCACATTTCACCCCCTTCATGAGAATTGCTAAGCACTATGAAAGCCAATTGGGGTTCCCTGGATTTTCTCTCTCATAAAAAAACTGACAAGGCTTTTCTCTGTCTAGGAGAGAGGGCGATGATCAAGATCCACTTTTATGGAAAACATGATATTATGCTGAGAAATCTGTCAAGAGCGGGAAAAGCACTTCATAGAGGGAGAATGTAAACCATAATGCTGAGAGAAATATCTGCATTAACTTTTTGCATTTGTTCACAAAAGTTTATGAAATGCCTACTGTGTGAAAGATTGCACCACAAACCATGGTATATGTTGTAAGCTGTGTGGGCAGAACTTCTGGTGTCTGAGAATCTGACAAGAAGAGAAATGAGTTCACTAACGGCAGACTGTTGCTCTGACGCACGGCCAGCCAGCAAGCCGAGGCATGAGGAGATGCAGGGGAAGAGCATGAGCTGGACAGGTGTCATGCACAAGCAGCTCTGCAGCAGGGCTCACGGTGCCTGATAATTATGGATATTGTCAGATCTGCCAAGAGACATATTTAGCAATGAGCCGGGAGGGGGCAGGAGGAGGTAGGCATATTACGAAACTTGCCACCCACCTCCCATTGGCACTATCAGTTTCCAAGGCTCTATTAAAGATAAACAAGGATGCCTAGCCTCCCCTGAGATCAAGAGGAGATGGTGATTATGAAAATAATAACAGTTTTAAAAATTACTTAAATGTTCTAAGGGAGCCTTTATTTCTGGCAGTGTTAAACACTTGCAAGGAAGAAGGTAGAAAACAAAAACAAACTAGAAGACCACAGTAGCCTCAGTCTGAAAGGCCACTCCAGGGCTACTTAAACCAAACACTCTCTGTGAGTTCAGTGGTTAGGCTTTTCCCTCCTCTGGGTGGCATTCCAAAGGCTTCTCCTTCACATGTGCAAAAACAAGAAAGCGGCGACAAGATGCTACAGCAGATTTCTGTTTGAGACGATGTTTCTGAGGGAATAAGAAAAAAAAAAACAAAAAACCAAGCGAGAGAGGGAGAAGTTTTTCTTTCATTTAATTTTTTTTTTAAACAAAAACCTAGAGACACTGGTCTGTGAAGCCAAGTTTGTTAACGTGCAAGTATAATTTACTTTTATGTAAACATAACTTCACAGAGTTATCAGTAGGTTCCATTTTCAGTAAAAACAAACAAACAAAAAAAAAGAAGCTGCAAAATAATTATAAAACATATGGTGCAAACTCCGGCTGTGTTTATTTTATGACAGTTAACATTATTTACAGTGTGATCTGGTCAGAATTAATACTCAAAGGGTTATACACAGAATATGTCAAATTTTTCTTCTTAATCATGCACACCATTAGTTTTGTCAACCCATCTAAATGAATTTATCTAGAGATCTCCTGTATTCCCCCAAAGAAATCAATTATATTTTTTAACATATTATTTTATTCAAAATGCTTGACTAACACCACCGATAAGCTGCCAATAGTAATATAGGAAGGAGCTCACCCTCTTCTTAAATGGGGAAGTTTGACAAAATGCACTTAAAATTCTGCCATTTGTTGCATGAGATTCTTTAACTCCACACTGTTCATTTCGTTATCTCAGTTGCTAACGCATATTAAATTTTTAAAGATTTAAGTTCTTTTTTTTTTGGTAACAACACAGCTACTACTTTCTGTTAACACATAAATTATCAATATATCCTGTTGAGTAAAACTATTTAAGTAGCTTATCCTTGATACTGGAGTGGCATTAGGAAGCACTGACTATAGGATCTGCTTATTATTCAAGTGGGAGATATACAACAGCCAAGAGACATACAGAAAAAAAAAAATAAGAATAATTTTGCAATGAAAATCTTTATTTTTGTAATCTTTGTAATGAAAATATTTATTTTCCCTGTCCTTTTATTAAAAGACTCTGGTATTTTGCTCTCATTCAAGGCCTTATATTAATATAAATACCAAAATTTATGGGACCAGGTGGTGTTTAGTAATGTGAGCTGAAACAGAAAATGGCTGCTTTTCCTCCCTGGGCACGCAGACACAAGACATCCTCTCCTACAATAGACACTGACCACAACCTATCTTCCTATTCACCAGAAATGGTTTTGTGCAGTAGTGTGCTAGGGCTGGCTCATGCCAGCCTATGAGAGCTGATTGCTAAACATTCGGAAATTTTGGGAGTTGGTGGTTCAAACAGACGACATTAAAAATTAAATTTTAGAAACATGCAATGAAAAAAATTAAAAACAATGATAATAGGTACTCAAAATTCATCACTTCTAATTATTTGACATTTTACTATTATCTATGTTCTTATAATTATTTGACTACATTTTACTATTATCTGTGCTCTGAAGATTACTTGCTTCTACTTACGTCTGGTATGGTGGAAATACCATATAATAATGTGTGACTAAGCATCTCTTCCCAACTCCATGTTCAGTGACTCATGTTGACAGGCTGAAATCAGCCATCATGGGATATTTTCACCAGAGAAATCAGCAAACACTTGCAAATCAGGGTTGGCTGGTTGCTTGGTTTGTTTTCATTTAGAAAGCTATTGTAATGCTACCAACACAACGCTAGCAATGTCTAAATAATAAATTACTGTCTAGTTTCAAAACTTAAGACTTTATTTGTAAATATACACTCATTTAAACTTTATAATCCCATCTGTACCCTTGTGGGAAAAAGAAGAGAAAGAGATAATTTTGCTATGACAGAAAAATTAACTATAAATTTTATTTGGATCACTTATTTTTATGAAGTCTTGTAAAACATAACATGGAGCATGATTTCTGGATATGAAAAACATTAGATATGACAAATGAAATATATGGTTTGTGTCTTGGACAGGAAACACCCTGCATGCCTCTGGAAACAAACACAAAGATTAAGTATCAGGCACACAGGTTTTTAATGCCTAGATTATTCTGTTTTTATAATAAATTAGTAAATGAGATTCTAGCCATTACAAATCTGTGTGTTGTTGAAAACTGTCATTTGATCTATGATAAAAATACAAATAAGGAATAAAGCATAAAAGAGAAATAATTCTGAATCAAAGCCAATAAAAATAAGACAGCTTATAGATATTAAAATGTAAGAAAAATTTAGGGATAAGTTACTTTTGGTTAAACATGTGGCAGTATCTGTTAAGATGAAAATGAGGATGAATCAAATATTCATATTTTTAAAACTAAACCTAGGTAGGAAGAAAAATCTGCCTATTTGTATTTCATGGTACATCCACAAACTCATTACTTCAATCTGTCGTTTATAAACTTAAAACAAACATTACATTTTTCAACATTACTGCTATTTGTAAATCACATATAAAAAGGAAGCACAATGTAACTAAATAGCAAATGCCAACAAGGAGATAATTAGGCAGGAAAAATATTTCTGAGTTAAAATGTATGTTTTTATAGGTCTTCCTATAGCAGCAGGCAAAATTTTATAGAAGTGAATTTTATTAGAGAGAAACATAATCTAAAAATCAACTTTTAAGACAATCATTCTTAGTAGTAATACAGCAGATTTCAATGTAACTACAAAAAACGTCTGACTTCTAAAATTCGTTTTTAAAAACATCCACGTCTACCTAACACTGGTAGACTTTGTGACCATCAGCTAAACCAATAATGGTGTAAGTGCTTTTTAAAATAGTCCTATCCTGAATGAATTACTACTGTTATGATTTAAAGAGAAATATTACTCAATGCAAAGAGCTCTAGATGTGATATTAGAAGATGCAATTTTGAGGATTACTAGTTTTGGCACTGTTAAGCTTTCTTACCATTATCAATTATGGTTTTCTTCCTCGATCTAACATTGTGGAAGTCTCCCTGTTTTAGTTTTACAGTAAATAAGACTGCCCGTGAAGGAGAGAATCACACAATAGTAATGCAGGAATGGACATCTAACTGTGCAACCTAATTCTGATTTGTACCATGGTTGCAAAACCACATCATAAAAAATCATGAGAAAATCATTTCTAAAAATCTGTGTCTCTCTTCCTCCTTCATTACCCTTTCCCTTAATCCGTCTCTCTAAACTGACATAATATAAAATTGAAATACATTGTCATTTATCATACTTAATAGTTTATGTACCCTGATCTTAATTTAAATTATAAATTGCATGTTTGTCTTCTGGAAACAAATAATGCACTAAGTTGCTTTCTCCCCAAGTATCTCTCTTTATCGTCTTTTGTAGGTAGGTATACTCTTTAACAAAAAAATGATTCTCCACCCATCTATAAGAAGTACAGAGAAACCATGAACAAACTAGTTTTCTATTTACTCAGCAGGAAGATGGCTTTTGTATATTTTCATAAATAACCTAGATATGATTTCTTTAAAAAACATTCACAGTTTGGAGGAGTTTAACCTAGATGACAAAGTAAATGGCAGAAAAAATCAAAACTTTTATACTTTGGCTCTGAAACGTAACTAAATAGCAAACCATTCAAAAATCCTAATCTTTTGGTTAAACATGTAGCAGTATCTGTTAAGATGAAAATGTGGATGAATCAAATATTCATATTCTTAAAATTAAATCTAGGTGGAAAGAAAAATCTGCCTATTTTTTTCTGTAGATCTGTAGATAATAAAATGATTTCCAAATTTTTAACTTTTGTCACAATTGACATTTCTACATATAAAAATAATCTTCATCACCTATAAAACTAAGTTTCCAAAAATCCTAGGTAGCTGCTCAGTTCAGAGAAATGAAACTAGGAAATCCAAACTTTTGGGTTTATTGTTTATGGCAACGTTGCCCATATGTTTTTAAAAGATGGGAGAAAACACTTGGTGTCATTTACACATCTTTGCAAGGCTGATGGTAAAGAAAGCACTGGCGTAATTTTTAAGCAACAGTTTCAAAAAAGGAATTTCATAGATTCCATCTCTTTCATATTAATACTTCTGGACAGAGGAATAGAAATTGTTTAGGAAGTTGCATGAATGTCCTATGTTCACTATAAACATAGTTAGGTCTACAACCTTACC
Source organism: Homo sapiens (assembly GCF_000001405.40). Lineage (NCBI taxonomy): Eukaryota > Metazoa > Chordata > Mammalia > Primates > Hominidae > Homo > Homo sapiens. The sequence goes on from NC_000009.12 coordinate 16,535,420, forward strand.
AGTTTCCTAGATTCCCATATACCCAATCTTGAAGCCTGGAATCAACCTATGAGCACCTTTTTTTCTCCCTCATCTAGTGCATCTAGTCAGCAAGTAGTTGTATCTAACCCTGCTGTTTATCCTCCCTGCCATTACTCTTAAATGCCAGCCTTATGTCTGCTTGAACTACAGTGACAGCTTTCAAGCCAGACATCCTGGCTCAGGACTCCTTAGTTCCACATAGATACCACTACCAAATGAAGCTTCCTAAGACACTAAATCAGGTGAGTAAAGATTACAGTACTGGTCCCCAAATTGCTCATGTCTTTGGTATCCATGTCCTGGAGTAGTCATCTGCCACTGCAGCTCTGGGCTTTGTAATGTGACTGGCTTTGGCTGATGGCATGCTAGCAAATATGAAGCAAGTAGACACTTTAGAAGTGCCTGCACACTTGGACTTGCCCTCTCCTGCTGCCCTTAAGAACCCTACAACTATCTGCAGGTGAACAAGCCCAAATTAACCTGCTGAAGGACGCATGATAAATTGCCCAGTTATCTCCACTGCCCCAACCAACAGCCAGTAACAACCTAATAGCCAGATATGTAAATGGGCCATCCTAGACCAACCAACCCCAGGTCAACATGCCAGCTCACTGCAGATATGCCCAGCTGACCCACAGACTTGTGAAAAATAATAAAATGCTGGGAATTTAAACCACTATTAATATACTAATATATGCTTTACTCACTTTAAAAAAAAATCAGCTTTCAGTGAAATGAAACTCTTTAAACTAATAATAAACGCCCTTGGTGCTCTGGTTCTTGTATACCTTTCTATACCTCATCCAAATCTTTTATAGACAATTCTATATTTCAGAATGGACTTTGTTAAAGGCATGCAACATTGTGGAAAAATTAAAAATGCTAACTAAATTTAATAAAAGTGGTCTAAAATACCCTATGTGGTCTTTCTTGTTGTGAAGTTCAGCAAAATTCTTTTCTGTAGAAGGTCTCAAAAGTCAATCACTAATAAGCTGAGGTATGTGAGTTTTTATTCTATCTAAATGTATTTCTAGCCTCACAATTTAAGACTCACAAAAACACAGCCTTTTGTTTTTATTTTTTTCCCTTTCTTTTCATAAATTGGACAGCCTGTTTGACATGGAGAAAAAAAATTCCCCTTCTCCTTCAGTCTTGTATTTAAGCCCTGTCTACAATAACTGTAACATTAAATAAAGCTTTGTATATATATCCCATAAATATTTCATAGAATTCTAACTCAAGCTAATAATGTACTTTAAATGAAAAGAGAAAATATAATAATCTTTCAGATGAATCTTCGTATTTTTGCTCTTTCTTCCAAAGATATATTTTGGAAGGAAATAAGAGAAAATTATGGGAACATTATCTAAGCCAAATTTTAGTTTCTGTCCTAAACCAAATTTCTATAAACAAAAGCAGTTTTTATTACCTGTTTGTTTTACTCATGAACTGTATGCTCCTCAAGGTTAGTTCGGCTATATAGAGGCAATTCCTTCCATTTAGTATATTACTTTTATCAAAACTAAATATTTGAAATGTTACTAACATATTAGCATCTATAAATCTCACTACTATCCTGCTCATAAACCCTATAAAGTGAAAATTATATGGCATATTGTAGAGCTCATCCTAAGCAGAAAAATATTCCTGAAACATGTCTAGAAGCTCCAGATTTAACATAATTATTTAGGTTTTTCAACTACCCTGGATAGAAGATGTCTATACCATTTATACATTTATTCTGCAGGAAAATATGCTTTAATTTTCTGAATGTCATTTCAAAGTGAATACACCTCTTTAGGACTATCTTTTGATGTACACTGTAAAAGTCTGGTGTTATGAAATGCATGAGTACATACGGTTTCCTTGAATCGCACTCGAAACACTATAGTATTATTTGAAAAATCTTTTAAAAGTATTCTTAAAAACCACATATTACTCTTTTAGAAATATTATTGCTGTAAAAAAAAGTGGACAACAAAAAAAGAACCACATATCCTCCCAAGCCCTCCTCAATAGTTATGTAATATTTACCAAGTGAAAATGATCACAAAATATATATATCAAAAATGAAAGAAAGAACACTGTAGAAAAATAATGCTTACCTTTTCCACCACAATGGTATTTAAATTCTACCATCTTGACTTTCTATTAATATAAAATAACACATGTAGGAGAAGGTAGATGTATCTTTCATAAACCCAATGCAACAATTTTAACAAAAGCCAAACCTTGACTAAAATAAATGGCAACCAGACTCATAGCAAGGCATATTTGACCTGTGGCATAGGCAAATCTAAAAAGTTTGTGAAATTTAAACTATCAGACACTCCTTAGGTCTAGGAAACCACAACTTATGCTCAGGATGCTGTTTGGGCCTTCAAAGCAATATGCTCAAGTGAATAAATCATACGTGAAAACCCTATACTATAGCATTCTTTTATAAAGTTCCTTTTTAAGAAGTGTTCTCCTTCTAAGGGTGTGCCCCTTTCAGGTCCCAGATACTTTTCCATATGGGAAATGTAATACAGTAAAGCTTCCTTCCATCTGGTGCCTTGAAAAACATTTATGAAGAAGTTTACATCTTTGATAATTTTGATACTCCAGACGTCTCTTTGTCAAAGTTATCCTAAAATATGAACCTTAGCAATCATAATTTATATTAACAGCCTGGATCCAGGTGTAAGGTAGAACAGAGGAAAGAGAAGACAAAGCAGATGGTACTGCCTGAAGGTTCTTCTCACTGTCCTACCAATTGGACACTGCTTTTCAGAAGAACCTACTGGCACTAGACTATCACCTTCTTAATTATATACATATATTACTTATCAGTCAAGCTATCAGATGAACTAAAATTCTATGTACTGAGTGAAGGAAACTAACAAAGGGAATACAGACTAATTCTAAATCTGGTACTCTACTTTAACAGGCACCACAACTTAATATAAAACATCTACATTTTAATTGGCCCAATTACTCCCCACGTGGCACTGGCAACAGCAATTCCACAGAGATCGTCTCGTTCTAAATGAGTGACTTCACAGGCAGTTTTTCTAAAATGATCCTGATGGGGCTAAAAATGATCATCTTTGATTTCTCACTAAAAGGAAATTTTAAAATAAGTTTTCATTAACTTGTCGAAACATTTTAAGGAATGGGAAGGAAATATATCTTTTGCTGCTTACCTTCTATAATCTAATAAATAAGTGGGTTTTCCATAATGGACAGCAAAATCTCAGTAACTGAAACTAATATAAATGTTTTTAATTCAAAAAGTGGGGGCCAGGTTGAAATTTACGTTAGTCAGTCATTTAATTGCAGAGTTTGAATTAATATTATTAAAATACAACCAAGACAGTTGAAAAATGTTTAAAATTCCTTAAAGCATTGACTTTTCAAGTAAATTGGTAGTATGTCCAAAGAGTCTATTTACATATAATTAATGACTGCAATAATTATAGATCATACTTACGTTTTCATTAGAAAACATACCCAGTGATCTCCCCTTTCCCTTAATTTAGCCTGAGTCACCAACTTCCACTAAACTGAAAGCTGTAACAGAGGGGCATGGTGTCTGTCTGTTTACCACTTGTAATATACCATGGTGTGTGTGTGTTTACCACTTATAATATACCACTTCCACTAAATTGAAAGCTGTAACAGAGGGGCATGTTGTCTGTCTGTTTACTACTTGTAATATACCAGTTATCTCTTGAATAAATACATTTTCCTGAATCCTCAAAACAGGGGGAAAAAAACAAATAGAATATTTGTGGGGAAAAATAAATACGACTGGGCGTGTTGGCTCACGTCTGTAACCCCTAACCCCAACACTTTGGCAGGCCAAGGTGGGCAGATGGCTTGAGGTCAGGAGTTTGAGACCAGCCTGGGCAATACGATAAAATCCCATTTCTACAAAAAATTAAAAAGTGAAAAAAATAGCCAGGTGTGGTGGCACACACCTATAGTCACAGCTGCTCGGGAGGCTGAGGTGGGAGGATGACTTGAGCCAGGGAGGTGGAGGCTGTACTGAGCCAAGATCATTCCACTGCACTCCAGCCTGGGCAACAGAGGGAGAGAGGGATGGAGAGAGAGAGGAAGAGAGGGAGAGAGGGGGAGGGGGAGAGAGAGAGAGACAGAGAAGGGAGGGAGGGAGCGAGGGAGGGAGAGAGAGAGAGAAGGGAGGGAGGGAGCGAGGGAGGGAGAGAGAGAGAGAAGGGAGGGAGGGAGGGAGGGAGGAAGGAAGGAAGGGAGAAAGGAAGGGAGGAAGGAAGGAAGGGGAAGGAAAAGAGGGAAAGGGAAGGGAAGGGAAGGAAAGGAAAGGAAAAGAAAGGAAAGGAAAGGAAAGGAAAGGAAAGGAAAGGAAAGGAAAGGAAAGGAAAGGAAAGGAAGGGAAGGGAAGGGAAGGGAAAGGAAAGCAAAGGAAAGGAAAAGGAAAGGAAAATCTGTGACCTAATTGGAATTTTGAAAAGGAATAGAGGATCATATTTTAAAGACTACACACTAAATAAACAGAATATATCAAATTATATATCTTAAATTAGCAGTAATGAGTAGCAAACTTCTATTCACCACCTGTAACTTTTCTAGATGCACCTCCCAAAGTTTTAACCAGATGTCTCAATTCATTTTTATTAAAAATTAACATGCATAGTAAAAAAAAGACAATTTTCTTTCTGTATCTGACCCCCGCAACCATGCAACTATTTAACGTGATTTTTTTTTTTTTTTTTTTTTTTGGTAACTGCAAGACACAACCCAGGGTAACCAGAAGTTACTGTGAAATTCTCAAACTTGCAAAAGAAGCAAATATCTGCATATAAAAATTTTGTTTCAGGAGAATACTAGGGGGAATTTAGACTGGAGAAACATTTCCACTTGTGTATTGAAAAGAATAAAATCATTATTTAAACACTCTAAGCTTCAAACTTTCCATTAATCCAAACTGACCTACTTATTAACTCAAAATGCTAGTGTTTTCTCCTATCATATACGTCAATACGCATATTACAATGGTTGGGCACATGAGTATAGGGTCTCTATATCTAAAACTTTGACTTAAAGTTAACCAACTATTTCTCAAATCCTTAAAATAATTTTTGTGGATAATTTTTCAATAGCCTTATAAGGCATACAAGCATAACTGGCTACAAAAAAGTGTATATGTAAAGGGAGTTAATGGCCTTGCTTAATTAAAATGTAAAACTTCAGCATCTTAAATTCCATTTATGTGATTTTAAAGGAGGCTTCAGTAAGTCGCTCTTTTGACAGGAGCATTCAGATTGCAGAGAAGGCTACAAAGGCGCTAATGACATTTACCCCCCTAATAAGAGCTGTTCACACTTCATGGTTTTTCCTTGTTATTGCTCAGGACAGACACTAGCACCTCATTGAAAGATCAGTGCTGCAAGGGAAAAAGGCCCCCTGAGACATCTCAGACCTGAGGAAAAGCACTAAATCAGGTGATGCTACAAAGATGACATGTTTGATTCTCCAGGGTTCTTACTCGCCCTATGGCCATGGATTTGAGGCAGTTAACACACAGCCAATCAAAACCCTCCCCTACTCCCAGAAGACAGGGCCATCCTCTTCTGCAGCAGGCATAGTAAAGGCTAGAGAGAAAAGAAATAAACTTCCTTCAGGTGCCCTAGGTCTGGCAGGATCCAAATGTCTTGTACTGCTCTCAGTTAATCTCCATCGATGTGTGGCTGAATGAATAACACACTGACCTTTTCACCTAAGAGACCACAATTTGAATCCAACGGAAAGTCACCAGAGAATCAATGGACAGAGGCACTCATATTTTAAAGCAATAAAGCACTGCAAGAAAGGAAAGGGGGAAAAAGTTTTTTACCACGGTTTTGGCCACAGATTCAACCCGGTTTCCCTGGCTCAGCTATTATGAATTGGAACCCTGATTCAGAATTGAAAAGCTCCCAGAACTGCCTCTATGGATCTCAAAATCTGGCACAAGCCCATGGCTACTGCAAGACAGACATTCCCTCACATGTCAATACGTGGAAAAGCAGAAAAGCAATCCCTGCTGGTGATGGAATGATGGCTGACTCAATGGAATATACTCAGCAGGAACTCTAATTCTGGCAGAGATGACAGCACAGAGACAAGTAGCTCTTAATTACTCTTTCCAGGGGAATTTAAGTGTATTTTGTTGTTGTTAATTCAAAATTTCTCAATGTGTGTGCATGCTTAAAAAGAGGCAAATGAATGCAGCAATTTAAGGTGCTTCCCTGGTTACCTAATTTTCTTATCAACACATCATAAAATAAACAGACTTCATATTAACAGACTCTCTAGAGACAAAACCTATGGGATACTCTATTGTCAGTTTCTCTGAGGAAGCCTGACCTACCATGACCATAAACCAATATTGTCACTGATCTGTGTTCCAAACATTCTCCTATTTATCCTACTAAGGAATCTGAAAAAAAATGCCTATTGTGCACAGAGCCTTCCTTCAAAATTGCATCTCAGAGAAGATGCAATATACGCCAGTCTTCAAATAACCACATTTACTCAACTGCTGTTTTTAAAATCAAGAAAGAAAAAAAAATCCACAGCAGGAAAAGCACATTAAAATAAAAATAGAAAATACAGTAACCACATTACTCACACTAACTAGAAAGCTGCCTCTGACACTATTATTATGGCTTTAAGAGAGAAAATTACATGAGAACAAGGAAATCAGGTTAACACATTTCCTTACAGAGAGAACCTTTGGTTCTCAAAGTCTTTGAAAAATGCTTTTCTGGGGGCTAATGTAAGAAATACACAGAAAAATGACGATGAGTTCGAGCAGAAAATACATCCCAGACAATGTTTCACTCTCTTATTTGGGGGGCCTCATGTATTATGATCTACTATAGCCATGCAAGTCCCCTATCTCAAGTCTACCTTGACTGAAAAAAAGAGAGAAAGAAAAGAGAGAGAAGAAGATGGGGGAGGGGACAGGGAGAGAGGAAAAGTAGACATAACAGATCACTCAGTTGCCACCAACAAATGAAAAAACTTCCTAGATACCAACAGGACCACAATGGTAGGTTTCTAAAACAATTGTTCATGCATCACTAGCTAGTTAGCCACATCTTTAAAATCTAAGGCTATCGGCAACAAATGCCAAGTTTGTAAACAATCAGAATCACTAGTGACTTCCCTAAGAAAGAAGTGTATGCAAACATCAGACAAATCAAGAAGAGCTTCAGATCATCAGGCCTAGATGTGGCCTAACCATGCATGGTCACTCATTCTCCTAGCAAAGTATTGGCCCACATTTTGTTTTACACTTCCGTCAGCATTACATACAGGTATCATGAAGAAATCAAATAAATGTATCTTTATTTGCATTTGTCCCATCTGTATGAATTTAGCAAAAGCTTCCAGAAACCCACACAGATCCTTATCTCATTTTCTACTTTTCACAGCCCTTCAAGATTTCATACACCAGCACTTGAAGTAAGTCACTCAAAAGAAACAGATAGTAGACTAAGACTCAGCCTTGAGAGTTTTCTCATGACTCTTCATTATAGTCACAGAGGATTTCATTCCTGTACAAGTCCCCCTCATCTTCCACTGGGCTATTCTGTCAAATTGGGGGAAATACTAGAAAAGGACACAGTAGCTCAAATAAAACGTATGGGCAACTGGAAGACTCATAAAGCTCCCGTTGCTCTAGAAACTTAAGGGTTGGGGTGGGGGGACTAGGAGATCATTCTACTTCAGGAATTAAATTTACTAAGCTCCACTATGAATTTAACATATTACTTCTCTTCATCCTGAAAGCTCCTTTAAGAAGGCACCATCAAGAAAATACGGCTCATAGAAATTTTGTGCTTTTTGTATGGCTAGAGAGTTAATTGGTGCTAGAATTAAGGTTTAAACCCAAAGCTCAGAGCTTTCCACTTTAAATTCAACAAGAAGGATGTATGAGTGCTGCTCAGGAGATCATATGATTTAATCAGTGCCATCACAGACAATGTCCATTTCAAGTAAATCTGAACTGATTCTTATCAAATGGAGACTGGCCAGTGAGCTGTGGACTCATTTCTGCTCCTCCTGGGGGAATGCAAAAGCCTCTTCATGTCCCACAGGCGCAAATCCTATTCCGGCAGTCACTGCATTCCATCCTGGAATCTGGTAAGCCATATATTTTTATTTTGCAAGAGTAAAGGGAGGAATATTTTCATTTTAACTCTGAGCACAAAACATCAAGCTTTGTCCTTGGATCTAAGGTGTTTATTTTCATTGCCGTTCAAATAGTTAGAGCTTTGGCATGGGATTCAAAATCCCTGTATTCCACTTCCAGCTTTGCCTCTGCCTGAGGCCTCCCCATCACGGTAACTTTAAAACCAAGGATAATAGTCTCTGAAACTATCTCTCTAATAGGGAGGTTAGGAGGCTTGCCAGGACAGTGTTTGTAGAGTGGTCCAAGCACTTTAGAAAACAGACACTATAAATACAACACACTGCTCTGAATCATCTATTTTTTGTATATCCCTGCCAAAGACAGGGGGATCCTGACCAATCATACATGTGATCCTTCTTTCCTGAAAAAGAATCACATATTGGTGACATAATGCAGCGACACCTTCCTTATGTCATGGTGTTGATAATCCAATCTTTACTTGGTATCAAATAATCCCCCCTTTATGTCAATTTTCTGGGTGATCTGAATATTTTTGTAGTTTATATAATACAACTTTCCATCATTTGTTTAGAGCTCACCGATTAGAGTGCTGGTTTTCTGAGAGATCTCCTATCTCAATATATACCAATAAATCAATTTTTTTTGCTATTTGAAGGATTACCTAAATTAATTTATATCTAGATTCATTGATCTTTCTGCTCCAGAAATTTCCTAAAAACCTGTGAGGTCAGATAATACCTATTTCAAAGGCTGTTTTAAATGTTTTATTTTATGCGATAAGGTGCAATCCTAGATACTCTAATCATTTAAACAAATATATCAAGTAATCATTCATTCTGTGCCAGAGCTTGGAAAGTATTGGAAGAGTTGATAAAATAGGGAAATATAAAGGTGATAAAAATGACAGTGTCATATATAGAATAAACCATTACTTGGCCGGGTGCAGTGGCTCATGCCTGTAATCCCAGCATTTTGGGAGGCCGAGGTGAGTGGTTCACTTGAGGTCAGGAGTTTGAGACCAGCCTGGCCAACACTGGTAAAACCCCATCTCCACTAAAAATACAAAAATTAGCTAGGTGTGCTGGCAGACACCTGTAATTTAGGAGGCTGAGGCAGGAGAATCACCCGAATCCAGGAGATGGGGGTTGCAGTGAGCCGAGATCATGTCACTGCACTCCAGCCTGGGAGACAGAGTGAGACTCCACCTCAAAAAAAAAAAAAAAAGAATAAACCATTACTTTAAAAAATGCACACATGAAAATACACATCTTCACAATGTAGTAATGTTAATATTAATAAGAGTACTATGGGCTGGTTATTGCACTACATACTTTTAAAATATTCTTTGATTTAACCTTTATAGATGAAGAAACTGATGTTCAAGTATGTTCTCTCTGCTGGCTAACAGAGCTACCAAAAAGTGAAACCAAGATTCACAACCAAGTCTGTCCAACTCTGAAGTACAAAGTCTTTGTTACTGCATACTCCTGCCTCTTATTTATATCCAAGTACATTCATATGTACATACATATATACGTGTGTATGTGTATGTATTATTTATTGATAATTAAATAGTAGCTGCTCTTTTTCTCTACTGGTTAGAAAGGGATTCTTCTCTAAGAGGTACAGTGAAATCCAGGATTTAAGGCTACTTTATAGAAACAAAGTTCTAAAATCATCAGGTTGGCAGTAGTCTGTAACAGTCTGTATCATCATCTTTTTCACTATCATATTAATAGTTAGCATTGCCTGGATACTTAGCAAGTGGTACTACTAAGTGCTTTCTGTGAATCATTCTACTTTGTCTTCACATCAAAGCCATGAGTACTATTATTATCCCTGTTTTACAGGTGAGTGAACTGAGGTGAATAAAGACACGGGCCTAATTTTTTCACACATCTAGTAAGACCTGAAGCCAGGATGCAAGCCCATGAATCTGCCTTCACTGCATGACTCTGCTGCATTAAGCTTTTCTGGTCCAACTCTATAAAAAGAAGGCATAATTATAGCTATTCCACCACACATGAGTGGAGCACAGACCTGTACTCATTTTCCCTGAGAGTACCTGCCAAGCCCATACATCCTGGCTCCTCCTCTCAGTCACATGGCCTCATTTACAAATCAGTTCTGGTCAGTGATGGGAGAATAAGCACCCTACTACACTTCTGAGCCACATCCATGAAAATATCCCACAGAGAACCTTCATCTTCTCTCAGGGTTGCCACCTGGATGAGGAATCTACGATCCGAGAAAATGGCAGAGCCATAAAACAGCAATAGCCCTAAATTACCTCTTGTCAAATCACTTATGGAAGGAAAGCATTCACCACTAGACTAGGCTTGCAGAGAAAAGAGAAACTTCTGCTGTGTTATGCCACTAGTAGTATTTCAGGATGTACTTACTAAAACAACTGCAATTTATCTTATTGATACTAACGCCTAAAATGCATTCCCTATTTTTTTAAACATTTGGCATTGGTAGAGAAACATGTTTAGCAACTGATATTTCTCTGTTATAATTACTCAGAGTTAACTTTACACATAGATATAAGTGAAAAAATGCCAATTTATTGAGAAGGAGTTCACAACATACATTTCATCTATATTATTTCATCTTTTTAGACACTCAAAGGTAGAGACATGAAGGTTATCTTAATTTTAGAGAGGTATGGGGAGTTATCTTAATTGTAAAGATTAAGAAACTATGACTAAGAATGGCAAAGTCTTCCAGATTTAACCCAATCTTGTCTCAATATCCAGAGCCCTTTTGCCATCCAACTTGAAATGCTTTTATAAACCCAGGAAAGACTACTTCATCTCTCTTCCAATCCCTGCACATGGTATAGCTGAAATCTTACTAACTAGGTACAAAACCTTTGTTTTTATGCTCAACTACAAAAGGTATGTATCCCTGGAAAGGCCAAGTCAAAGACCGGAATTTACAATAAAGCATTAAGGATAAATACCAGATCTGGTTTTAGTCACAGAAATGAGAGCGAATAGAAGTAAAGATAACAAAATGGAGTATCAGGAAATAGGCAAGAAAAGGAACACGAAAGAGGAATCCATTTCACCCAATTTTACCTAAGGTCAGACATTTGGTGTGCCACTGAATATACGAGATCTTAAGTTAGTCTGTCAGTTCCAGACTCAGGCCTCTTCTCTTCCCCCAAATCATGCCACACTGCATCTACAGACTCTCACATATTACATTCTGGAAAGACAGGCTGGTAGCCTTAAAAACAAAAAACAAACATCCAAATATTGCCCATAGAGTCAAAGACCTGAATTCAAATCAAACTTCAAAACATCCTCCTTCCAATATTTAATACACCCTTTTATGTATAAGCCTGGGTGCTGGTGCTGGGAAGCGAGTTACAGTGATGAATAAGAGACATGTGTTATCTTCAGGAAGCTTACAGTGTATCAACTGTGCCAATTAACACTTCTGTGATCAGGGGAAAGTCACTTATTTGAGCCTCAACTATACCAAATGTTAATTCATTGGCAACATCTATAAGAGGATGGTGTAAGAGGAGGAAAAGAGGTAACTTACATGAACTTGCTCCGCAAAGAGCTGTTTAAATACAAGTGTTTGCTTAATATGGATGTTTTCTACCACATGGATACCATAAAACACTTACTCTACACAGATCACTAGCTAGAAGGCATGGGAGCCTTTACTTTTCTTCTTATTGCCCTCAACAGCCCAGCTGCTGCTATAGCAGTCAGTCCTTAGGAAGCCTGGAGAAAAAACTAAGGGCCTTTTGACAAACTGAAGTTACTGGTTATTCCATGAGTTCCATGGTGAAACATCAAGCTATACCAAGCTAAACAGGTTTCCCTAGCCATTCACTTAACAAATACTTATTCAGTGCTCTGCATTTGTGTTGTTCCCTAGTGAGGAGGCCAGAAAAATAAACATTTTAACAGTTGACTTAATTGACTGATTTTAAATTGTGATAGGAGTTTGAAGGAAACAGAGTCCTAAGATATAGCTACACTACAAAAGACCTACATTGGCTAAGATGGTCCTCTGTAAGAAAGTGAGACTTTGGCTGATGCCTAGAAGAGAAGAAATTACCCACGCAGAGACACAAGTAAGGTATTCCAGGCAGAAGAAACCTTACATGCAAATAGCTCATGTGGGAGAAGAACTGAGTGTGTTCAGAACTAAGTACTTCAAATGAGCTTGAAGGGAAGAGGTTATGAAGTGGGAAGGGTTGGAGAAAGCTACTTCCCTACTCTTACAGGCTCGTACCCTAGACCTCCTCAGAGCCTGTGTTATACTAATGAGTATCATGAAGGTTAAGAGAAAGATCCAGTATGTAGTTACTCCCAAATCTAAAGCTGGACCTCTAAAAGACGGATGGCCCCATTCGTCTTTGAGAAATGCTCTTCTAATGTACCAATTGTGCTGGTAAGACACAGAAGAGTTGAGAGGGGCATCAATACCACTCTTCTTATAAGGCTGTTGACATCTCAGCTAAATATTCAGAGTGTCTCAACTGCTTCTCTGAATTCTGGCAGGACCCACCTGCAAATGAGAAGATTTCCACAGACAGGCTGGTGGATGAGCCCAGGCAAGTCAGTTATACGTTCAAACTGAAAGAGACTATAAAAACTTGATTTTTAAATGACTAAATTCAACAATGATAATCACCCGTATTCTTATTTCCTAGGTCAAGGACAGAGGGGAAAATGGGGAAAGGACAAAAGAGGGGGCCACTGCTTCCATTCATGGTCAATAAATGTATCACAAGATACAGACCTGAACTAAGAATTCTTCTTCTTCTTCTTCTTCGTTTTTTTTTTTTTCTTTCGAGATGGAGTCTCGCTGCAATGCCCAGGCTGGAGTGCAATGGTACAATCTTGGCTCACTGCAACCTCTGCTTCCCGGGTTCAAGGAATTCTCCCACCTCAGCTTCCCAAGTAGCTGGGTTAACAGGCACATGCCACCATACCCGGCTAATTTTTGTATTTTAGTAGAGACAGGGTTTCACCATATTGGCCAGGCTGGTCTCAAACTCCTGACCTCAAGTGATCTGCCCGCCTTGGCCTCCGAAAGTGCTGGGATTACAGGCGTGAGCCACCACGCCTGGCCAGAATTATTCTTTAGTAGTAGAAAAACATCATATTCTCCCTTGTATTTAGATTTTATCATCTAATTGCATATTCCCATTTTTGTGGTTTTCTGGAAAATGCTTAAAAGCTAACTTTCTGTACTTTCTGAATAAATACTTTAATAAGTACACAGGAGAATATTGGGTTCTTAATATATTACCTGACTTCTTAAGTAGTTGTAGTCCAAGTTATGTTATGCATTTTATACCCAACTGGCTAGCTTGTGAATTATATAGACACTCACATAGGTGAAAATTAACTTTATAAAAAAAGTACAGGATCCTTGACCGATGTGCCAGCCTTTTAAATGTATCTGTAGCATCACTATCATCTCCCTTTTTCTAATAATAACCTCTTAAACCACATACTTTTGAAAGTTCTGCTCCCCTCTTCCCCCTACATCCAAAAATTCAAAATCAGATCAGACAACTGTCATTCTTCCACATTTAAAGGTATCTCAGAAGGCAGGAGTAGCTGTGTACACATAAAGGATGCAGGCTTTGTCCCACAGAGAGTTAAATTAATATCCTGGCTTGACTAGTTCAACTTACCGTACATCTTCATTTGCCCAGGAACACAATCTGTAGCCAACTGCTAACCAAGTCAATATGTGGTAAGACTAACAGCCACCCTAACCTGCCTTGATAATTATTCTCCTTTAACTGACATAATATTCAATATACTGTTGTTGAGAGCAATAATGCTAAAATTGATGCCTTGAGGGCTACAAGACAATTGAGTTTTAGCCAGATAAAATGACTTGTACACTAATAGAGCATTATGGGGTTCCACAGCCTTCGGACACACATTTTATAGCCTACTTTTACAAAAACGCCATATACAATTATATTCAAAGTAATTTGTGCACACCTTATCATTACCACATACAATCTTTAAAATATTGGCCAATTATCAAGTAACATTACTTTAGAAGAATGGGTTTACTTTTACAGTCTCTCTCTTTTTTCTTTACAAAACAAAGCATTTTCTCACTACAAAAGTGGTAACAGTTTTGGTGTTCTGGGACCATTTGCTTTTTTTTCCAAACCGAGAACTGTTTTAACAAAGAACAAGTAGATTATAAATGCTGAATGACAAAAACCATCATTTAAATAAAATCTATATTACATCAATTCTACCAATAAAACAAGACAGAAACTAAACCTAGAACTCCTCTAATGTAAAAATCATCTATCGTTTTCTCAAAATGTCAATTTTAGACTGAATGGAGAAATATTATATTAAATTTGAGACTGTCAAAATCTATATTAAAATAATAAAAATTAATTATAATTTAAGTATTACAATAAATGAAAATGCTCTCTATAAGCAGTATTTCACCCTAAAATAAGAGATTTATAAATTTTAGTTCCTGGTTTTACTGAATTTTCCTCTCAAATTTCATTTCTCTTGCAATTTTGTTTCTTTAAATCAAGCTTGTCCAACCCACAGCCCACGGGCTGCATGTGGCCCATGAAGGCTCTGAATGCGGCCCAACACAAATTTGTAAACTTTCTTAAAACATTATGAGAGTTTTTTTTTAAGCTCATCAGCTATTGTTAGTGTTAGTATATTTTATGTGTGGCCCAAAACAATTCTTCTTCCAATGTGGCCCAGGAAGCCAAAAGATTTGACACCCCTGCTAAATACTGGGCCCTCCCATACAAAGAAATACAGAGTACATTTACATTTTTTATACCTGCATTAGAGATATGTTCACAAGTTGGGGAAAAACTAACATCTAAATAATTATTTCAAGTAAAATAAAAAACAGGCACTGGCCAAGGCAGAACAATAGGACCATAACACAGAAACATTATCAGGCTTTATGTTTACTCCTATCAAAGTGCTACCTGAGCTTTGTTAAAATGGCAAACCAACATAGCCCTGCACATACCTATTTGTTTGGACAGAAAGATACAATGTATATGCTTGTGTCTCTGCGTAGGTATACAGGTGTAAGTATCTTAGGCAACACATACACATGAAACTGAAATACAATATTAATGACAGAAGTATAAGCAGCATAGTGGAGGTAATAAAGATGGTACCAGATTGGGGCAAAACACTTGTTGGTTTGGAATAAAGAAAGGACTGTTAGCCAAGCTAACAGTTCCATACAAACAACTGTAAGAGGTTTTTCTCTTTGTGTAGGGTAAAATCCATTCAAAACAGACATTAATAATCACGCTGTAGAAATGACTGTAGAAAGACGCAGCACTGTATGCATCTTGGGGCCAGTATAAGCAGGGATTGTGAAACCAGTTCCTGATTTATTTTTCCTGGCCCCTTCCTCCTAGATCTTGTTCCCCCTCATGCCCCCTGACCGTCCAAGACTTATCTTCCTACTTTAACCCACTGAAATGTCCCCATCCTGAGGCAAATGAGATAATGCTTGTAAACATTCTGTATAAACTGAAAACGTAATATATAATTGCTACTATTATCACCATCATCTCATCTTTTGAGGGCCAAATTTTCTGTGTCTTCCCAGTTGAGATTCTCACTAAATTAAGACGTCATTCTATTCTGAGAGCAGACAGGTTATTCCAACTCCCTTCCCTTTCCCTACTTCTACTTTCTATCCTTCCACTGCTCTCCTGTCCCAGCTAACAGCTGGAGGTACCACACAGGAAAATGACAAGAATCTGTGTGTTCTGATGCCAGGTTAAAACGAGAGGTAGACTGAGGCTCCCCACTCCTCACATGCCAAGCTGGCAGCTAATGCCCTTCATGTAACACACAGTAGCTCAGGGAATAAACAGTGGAGATATGTCTAGCACTATACAAGGCTGGCACAGCCAAAACCAATTGTTTTTGAAGGGGTCATGTCTCCTGGTATTATCCTCATGGGAAATTTGAAAAATTGCTTCAGATTCTACCTTCTCAAATTGAGATGTCCTTCGGCGAGAGGGGTATTTCTTCATCATCCAGTGTAGCCTCTTTGGATCCTGGGATCTCCCAAAATGCTGTTCTCAACATTGACCCCTCAAGGGTTACAGGAAGACAGATAGCCATAAACACATTTCAGAGGCAAAGTATACAGTGCAAATAACACATGACACATTGCAAAAATGAGATGAAGAAAGAGAGGGATGGGAGATGGGGGTGCATGAAGGCTGTGGGCCTCCCAGAAAACTCTTAGAGCCCTTACCAGGTCAGAAGTGCCATTGACACAAAGGAGACACTCAAGGCTGGAAGAACAGGTTCTGCAAAGACGAAATCTAAAATCATGTCTGTGTGTTTCAGAAGGTAGAAATCTGAAGGCTATCATGTGAGGGTTTACTGGTTATATAAGTTTATATGGATTATAGTTCTACCTTTGAGTTGGCTGAAAAAACAATAAATAGTAAAATGTGTACCTTTAGGTACAAAGACAACCAAGAAAAACACCGTACCTGCAAACTGAGTATGAGAAAAAGCCCTAATAAACCCAAATGAAGGGTAATCTCAGATTTTCACACACCCATTACCCGCCTCAAAGAGCCCTCCTTTTTAATAGGGTTATAATAAGACTTGTTGAAGAAGCCAGAAAGCCCATGATGTAGAGAAAGAGTTGAATTCAAAAAGGTGCAAACAAAGGTAACGCAAGTCAAGAGGCCAAGTTTTCCTTCTAATACAGCCTGAGGCCCGATGGTGGCCTGCTTTGTCTCTCTCCTTTCCCCTTCCCTGACAAGCCTGCTGAAACGACCACTTTAACCAGAGGAGGGTGTGCAGCCCTTCCTGCGAGGTTTGTCAAGGACTCTCACCCTTCCCCACCCACAGTCGGCCCCGGACACGGGCGGCGTTCAAGTCCTCTCCCTACCTGAAGGATGTATCCTCGGACATAGTCCCGCAGAGTCCAGCCAAGGCCGTGCAGTATGTGCAGTACCTCCTCTTGCTTCAGGACGCTGAAGAGACGGTCCAGCAGGATCTTTAGCCGCACAGGCACTGCTTGTGTCCCATAGAGCATCAGGCTGCTGATGTCAAACACGACGTTGGACTGCACAATCTCCACTTGGGTGGGGTGGTACAGGTGCTGCGTGCTGAGCTTATCCAAGGCTGTGGTGGTCCCGCCAAAGTTCCAGAGATGGGGGTGTTGGGAATAAGATAAAGAGAGAGAACAGGAGTTAGAAATATTGCTGGAAGTTACCAGGGCTCCATTTCTACACATGAATGTTCGCCATAGGTGTTTAAGCAAGATCTTGCAAAGAAAATAGTTCTCTGACACCTCCTTTCTGTTTTACCCCTTTTCTTTCCTATTTTTTTAATTGGATGTGTTTATAAATTGCAGGCAACAACAAATAGAAAACACATTCAACTTTCAGATAAAGAGTCACTGAGGGGGTTTTCAAATGACCGTGGCTGGTGCTAAAAACCTCATTGATTTGTTAACTGAACTGTGTTTCAACCCGAGTGACGATGGTGTCCCCTACCCCCCACCAAAAACAAAACAAAACAATTCCTAACTCATGCCATATGGGCAGGCTCAGTGAATATCACTTTTCTGAATAAGATTCACCCCTTATAATACCTGAATGGTTAAAGAGGAGGAAGAGAGTGTTCTTTAGACGACAGGGGTGAAAGACCTAATTTGGAGGGAATAAGGAAAGCTGACATCTGTGTGGAGGGCTAGTAATTTAAGTCAAGTCATATTAGCTATAGGGGGTTATCCAAAAACTTAGTTCTCTCAATTTCTCTCGTTAGTCACCTGTTAGATAGCTTTTGTGTTCATTGGCATGTTTTCTGAAAGTTATTCAGGATAAAAAAGAAAATTAAAGTCATAATTTTAAAAAGAAAGAAATAACAAGTCACTTTGTTAATAGCTCTAAGGGTACAGATGAAAATGGAAACAAATGACAAACCAACATTTGAGAATTTCTGGTGTATTTCAGCTAACTGTATTATCTCAGTAGAAAAAGCTGAGGATGACCATTCTCAGAGTAAACACTTTTAATAAAATGAAAAGTTCAACAATTGGGTGCTTTTTCTCCTCAAATTTAAGAAACGCCATCTCTTCTCTAGAACTAAAGGCCAAAATAAGGTCATAAATTCCAGTCCCCATCCATATCTGAGTTACTGCACACCCTATTGCTGATAATATAATTACATTTTGCCTCAGTTTCTCAAGCAATAACACTGTCTTATCTGTAGGGCTTAAAGAGATGCTGCAAAGATTAGTGAGATAACGAGTGAGAGGCACTCTAAACTCCTTAAGAGAACACAAAAGGCATTCAAAACTGTCAGAATTATATGCATATGCCCATTTAGGAATTAAACAAGATGAACACATAAGCCTGAAGGATGGTCATCTAACCTCATGAGTCAGGCAAATGGGTATCAGCCAACATCTAGGCTCAAGTCATAACTACACCTAAGTTATGAACCTAAGGTTTCTGCAAATTCTAAACTACAGTGTGGCCTTTCTCAGCGGCTTTTCCTAACACCTTATCCCTAATGGTACGGGCTACACTACACGTGCATTCTCAGCAACTCCTATTTTACTACACCAATATTACTGCATAATCATGGAGGAATTTAAAAGTGCGTGCACACAGATTTTTTAGTATTTCATATGTATTTTTTCAGGGCTCCTCCTCCACTCTCATTTCCTCCTGACTTGTGGTCACTAGAGAGTTCATGTACTCTTGATAAATTGCTTTCTTACATCCACAGTGTAAAGGCCCTTATCATTTACCCGCTGGCTTCATTCAACACATTTACTCCCAGGAATACTTTGTCAAAGAGTTCGGGTTTTCTCATACTTCATTTCTTGCAGCTGATTTGTCTGATCTTCCCTATTCTAGTGGTTAAGTCAACTTTGAATAAATAGCCTTAAAAATTAATTTAACGTTTGGGAAAGATAAGGGCTTCACAAGCCTAGGGATTGAAGTTTTCTCTCACTCCACAGGGCATTTAGACTGCAAAAAAGCAGGGATGGGGTATTACTATCCCTGTTCTTCTTCAAGTACAGCTTAACTACTCAGCCTTCTGATGAGTGGCTGCTCTGCTAACAGAATCCAGTGACCAGATCGGGGGCGATCTGCTCCTCCTCCATTTCCCTTCATCAGCTCTCCTCAACCGTTTCAGATAGTTCTTTACAAAACAGACTTCTATGACAACAGCAAATATGAAACTGACAGGAGTCAGTAGAAAGGAAATAAAATGACACAAAATCCTGATTTTTGTGTGTGTACTTGGCACCTTGCATGTCTGCATTAAATACATGCAGGTGTGTGTGCAAATGCGTTCAAATTGTAGGTGAAAAAAACCACAATCACTCTCCCTCCCACTCATTAAAAAAGGTTGGTTGTTTTATTTTGTATTATTTTTTAAGACGGAGTCTCGCTCTGTCGCCCAGGCTGGAGGGCAGTGGCGCGATCTCGGCTCACTGCAAGCTCCGCCTCCCAGTTTCACGCCATTCTCCTGCCTCAGCCTCCAGACTAGCTGGGACTCAGGCGCCCACCACCACGCCTGACTAATTTTTTTTTTTGTATTTTTGGTAGAGACGGGGTTTCACCATGTTAGCCAGGATGGTCTCGATCTCCTGACCTCGTGATCCACCCGCCTCGGCCTCCCAAAGTGCCGGGATTACAGGCATGAGCCACCACACCCGGCCAAGGTTGGTTGTTTTAAAGATGAAGAGCACTAAACTGTTAAGGGTACAGAAGAAAAGAGAATTAAAAGAGCACAGAAAGAACAAAAATATTTCCCTAGATATGCTTTCGAGAACACCTGAGACTGAGGATATTATAAGGACACTAGTTGATTCTTCTTCATAAGTGTACCATATGTTAGTAAGTATGAATACAGCTGGGCAAGGTGGCTCACACCTGTAATCCCAGCACTTTGGGAGGCGAGACGGCAGATTGCCTAAGCCAAGAGTTCAAGACCGGCCTGGGCAATGCGGTGAAACTCCCACCTCTACAAAAAATGGAAAAATTAGCTGGACATGGTGGCGCCCACCTGTGGTCCCAGCTACTCGGGATGCTGGAGTAGGAGGATTATCTGAGCCCAGGGGAGATCCAGGCTGCAGTGAGCCATGATTGTATCACTGTACTCCAGCCTGGGCAACAGAGTGAGACCCTGTCTCAAAAAAAAAGAAAAAAGTAGAAAAACTGTTATAAACCACATAAATATAGAGCAAAGGTCAACAACTTATTCTATAAAGGCCAGATATTAAATATTTTAGGTTTGTGGGTTATGCATTCTCTTTCACACCTATTCACCTCTGTTGTTATAGCAAGAAAGCAGCCATACACAGATAAGACTTAAACTATTAGGTGTGTCAATGTTCCAATAAAACTGTACTTAGGCCAGGTGCAGTGGCTCACACCTGTAATCCCAGCGCTGTGGGAGGCCAAGGCAGGAGAATTGCTTGAGCCCAAGAGTTTGAGATCAGCTTAGGCAACACATTGAAACCCTGTCTCTACAAAAAAATAAAATATTAGGCAGGCATACCTGTAGTCCCAGCTACTTGGGAGGCTGATGGGGGAGGACTGCTTGGGCCCTGGGGGTCAAGGCTGCAGTGGAGCAATGATTGTGCCACTGCACTTCAGCCTGGGTAGAAGAGTAAGACCCTGTCTCCAAAAACAAACAAACAAACTTTATTTACACAAACAGACACCTCACCAGCTTTGTTTGGGCCCTGAGGACGATGAAAAGGCGGACTAGATATTTAATGGAAGTCAATAGTAGATCACAAAAAAGCTCTAAGAGTGTGGTTTAGGAAGCAGTTACCTAGGAGATGAGCCATAGATGAAGACTTAAAAAATATTAAACTGGGCCAGGCACAGTGGCTCACACCTGTAATCCCAGCACTTTGGGAGGCTGAGGCGGGTGGATCATGAGGTCAAGAGATCAAGACCATTCTGGCCAATATGGTGAAACCCTGTTTCTACTAAAAATACAAAAATTAGCTGGGCATGATGGTGCGCGCCTGTAGTCCCAGTTACTCAGGAGGCTGAGGCAGGAGAATCGCTGGAACCTGGGAGGTGGAGGTTACAATGAGCCAAGATCATGCCACTGCACTCCAGCCTGGCGACAGAGCGAGACTCTAACTCAAAAAAAAAAAAAAATTAAACTGCCTAACTTGCAAATTTCAGCATAAACATATCATCAAAGATTATGATCTGTCAAATTTCTTGAATATATCAAAATTTTCTGCTTTATAATTACTAGATCATATCGAGTCACCAAGTTGTGACAACTTTTGGGGAAGTATCCATGGAACTATGATACATGATGATTTTTTAAGTGTCATAAAATCTGTAAGCTGAGAACTAGACTGCTGCCTAATTTCATGATCTTCACATATCTGACTGTGGAGGAGTCAGGTCTGGATCTTGTAGGGTTAGGAATATGAGTTAGGCCAATGGCGCTGTGGAAAAGGTAGGTCAAGAACTCATTTATCAGGATGGAGTGGGAAAAGATGTCACCTACTTTAATATATTATGGGCCTAACCATCTGCTGATGTGTCCCATACCAATGGTATTGTTAAGATTCATTTTCAGGCCAGGCACCGTGGCTCACACCTGTAATCCCAGCACTTTGGGAGGTTGCAGTGGGCGAATAACCCGAGGTCAGGAGTTTGAGACCAGGCTGGCCAACATGGGGAAACTCCACCTTTACTAAAAACACAAAAATAAGCCGGGCATGGTGGCACACGCCTGTAGTCCCAGCTACTTGGAAGGCTGAGGCAAGAGAATCACCTGAACCCAGGAGGCGAAGGTTGCAGTGAGCTGAGATCGTACCACTGCACTCTAGCCTGGGCGACAGAGTGAGACTCTGTCACAGGATTTAAAAAAAAAAAAAAATTCATTTCCAAATGCAATCTAACCAGAAGTTGCATATACAAAATATATAAAAGTGAAGCTGTTCTAGGTGAAGCTGGAGTAATCATGGGTCAGAGAACATCCAATCAGGTATTACTCCCTTTTTCTCTTCAACTTGCTTAAGTATCTCAGTGGGCTGAACTGTACTTGCTTAAGTACAGTTTGAAAAGCCCTTTTCTCTATAGTGAGTTGATACCAATTTTTTGCCTGACTTGTGTCCACTCCCCTTCACTCTGGTAATAGAAGCTACATTTCCTTTTGGGAACTTGTCCCTTACACTCAACACCAGTATTTCTTTCTTTTCTGTTTTTTTTTTGTTGTTGTTTGTTTGTTTTTTTTTGAGACAGGTTCTAACTCTATGACCCACGTTGGAGTGCAGTGGCAGGATCGCGGCTCCCCACAGCCTCCATCTCCTGGGACTCAGTCTCCCAAGCAGCTAGGACTAGAGGTGCATGCCACCATACCCAGCTAATTTTTCTGTATTTTTTTTGTAGAGATGGGGTTTCCCCATGTTGTTCAGCCTGGTCTCGAACTTCTGGGCTCAAGTGATCCACCTGCCTCGGCCTCCCAAAGTGTTGGGATTACAGGCATGAGCCACCATACTCAGACAATACCAGTATTTCATAGAACTGAATACTCCTTAGCCAGGCCTAGAAAACCAGTCTGCTCCCAGCACCCTGAGCATAACAACTGGTTCAAGAATAGGCAAGTGACCTAAGTCTGGACAGTGCAATTGAATCCAGGAACTTACTTAGAACTACTGGGAATTTCTTCTCTTTCCTCTAAATTTGTACCTAATGAATATGCTTGAGAATGCAAATCATATGAAGAAGATCTAGGCTGCAAGACAATCTGACAAATATCTAGTACTGATAATATTGTTTGATTGAGAAGATTTGGCAGTGCTTTGAGGCTGGTACTATCCCTGGAATCTTCTGTTACATGAGCCAACAAAATCTGTATTTCCTTGTCCCTCCACTACCTCTCCCTGTCCCCTCTGCCATTTTCTCACTGTCTACTTGAAGTCACATTCTGTAAGTTGGAACTAAAAGAGTTCTATTACAACTACCCTTTGAGGTACTTTTCTAGCTGATTAAAAAGTAATTTCAACGTCAGGTGCGGTGGCTCATGCCTGTCATCCCAGCACTTTGGGAGGTTGAGGCGGGCGGATCATGAGGTTAGGAGTTCGAGACCAACCTGGCCAACATGGTGAAACCACGTCTCTACTAAAAATACAAAAATTGTCCAGGCACGGTGGCGCGCACCTGTAGTCCCAGCTACTCTACTCAGGAGGCTGAAGCAGGAGAATCACTTGAACCCGGGAAGCAGAGGTTGCAGTGAGCTGAGATTGTGCCACTGCACTCCAGCCTGGGTGACAGAGCAAGACTCCGTCTCAAAAAAAAAAAAAAAAAAGTAATTTCAAAGTAGTGGTCGGTGTTCAACTAAAAGTATGTTAGTTCCAGGCTGAATGCAATTCACAATTTCTGCAATGAATGGAATGAAGAGTATTCTAAACAATTTCACATCTTATACGGATTTACAAAGAGGGACGAATGCCTTCAACAGCATTAATAAGGAAAAATAATGGTGAGGAAGAGTATAAAGAAAATAACCCTTTAAGTATCAACTATATATCAGGCATCATTCTAGAGCAAATTTGTCCAAACCATGGCCCAGGATGGCTTTGAATGCGGCCCAATACAAATTCATAAACTTTCTTAAATGAGATTTTTTTTTGCCATTTATTTTTAGTTTATCAGCTATCGTTAGTGTGTTAGTGTATTTTATGTGTGGCCCAAGCCAATTCTTCTTCCATTGTGGCCCAGGGAAGCCAAAAGATTGGACATCCCTGTTCTAGGGGCTATTAGCTCATTTAATCCTTCAATTAAAAAGCATACAAACACAGTATTATTATTATTGCTTATTCTGAGATTATAGGCTCAATCAGGTTAGGTAACTGGCCTAAGGTCACTTAGCAACTTCATTCAAGAAAATTCTGTTTTCACCACATGTTCGAATAAATAGTCAATATGAAACCTGCAAGTCCTCATCATGTCGGAAGTCCCTAACTGCCAGCAATCTGGGCTACTTGCCCATCACTCTGCTGAAGCAAGCATTTCAAAGGTCACCAACACCTGCCTTTCTGTGAAATCCAATAGCTTTTTTCCTTCATTATTCTCCACAGTCTCTCCATAGCAGCTGACCTTATTGATCACCACTCCTCCTAAAATGCTCTCCTCCTTCATTCATGCATACATTCATTTATCCACCAGCACCTATTAACTTATCTCTGAGGTACGTGCTGTATGCAGATGCAAAAGTAATTTATGTTGTGGCCTCCACCTTCAAAAGCAGACAGATGTAGGCAATATAAATGCCATAAAAAAGATTTGACAAAGTACTGTGGGACACAGAAGAGAGGGCAATGCTGCCGGGAATGCAGTCTCCTAACTCGGAAGTCAGCAGGCAAGAAAGGAGGAGGAGACTACTGTAGGTAGACGGAACTAAGGCAGTGATTCTCACTCATTGTGTGCATCAGAATCAAGTGGAGGACCTGTTGAAACAGACTGCTGGGCCACCTCCCCCAGAGTTTCTGATTCACTGGGTCTGGGCATCAAGAATCTGCATTTCTAACAAGTCTCCAGAAGATGCTGATGCTACTGGCCAGGACCATACTCTGAGAATCACTGAATTAATGGGTATGTGTTAGGGAACCATCTAAAGAATGTAACACTTGCAGCAAAATAGTTGGAAATTAGTCCAAAAAGATCAGATTAGCAGACTGTAAGTAAGGAGCTGTATTTATAAAGGCAAAGACCTGTGGAAAGCTTATAATTTTATTTCTTGTTAATAGGATTAGGAAAGTATTAAACATTTTATAAGAGGAAAATGGGTAGGTGTGGTGGTACATGCCTGAAATCTCAATGCTTTGGGAGGCTAAGATGGGAGGATCACTTGAAGATAGGAATTGGAGATCTGCCTGGACAACACAGTGAAACCATGTCCACAAAAAAAAAATAAAAAATTAACGAGCCAGGCAAGGACAAGTGTGGTAGAGCAAGCCTATAGTCCCAGTTACTTGAAGCAACAGAGACAGGAGGATCACTTGAGCCCAGGAGTTCCAGGCTGCAGTGAGCTATGATCCTGCACTATACTCCAGCGTGGATGACAGAATGAGACCGCATCTCTAAACAGCAAAAGATTAAAAGATAAAAATGATTTTTAGTTTTAGATGTAAAATTCTGATAAGAGTGCAGAAATTTAATTAAAGCAATAGTTGTCACATGGGAGACATGACACCTATCCAGCAGGAACAAAAGCTGGTGAAGGTACTGGATGAACCTTGGCCACAGAGCCAGAACCAACCAACGCAGGAAAGTTCAGAAGTAAGAGGGTTGTTTTAACTTTGAAAATTGTGGCCAGGCATGGTGGCTCATGCCTGTAATCCCAGCACTTTGGGAGGCCCAGCACTTTGGGATCACCAGAGGTCAGGAGTTTGTGACCAGCCTGGCGAATATAGTGAAACCACATCTCTATTAAAACTACAAAAATTAGCCAGGCATGGTGGTGGGCACCTGTAATCCCAGCTACTCAGGAGGCTGAGATAGGAGAATCTCTTGAACCCGGGAGGCAGAGGTGGCAGTGAGCCAAGACTGCCCTATTGCACTCCGCCTGGGCAACAAGAGTGAAACTCCGCCTCAAAAAAAAAAAAACAAAACCCACAGCCTTTGAAAATTGCCCCAGATGATCATGACACATATGCCCCCACTCACATACCACACTGAAAATTGGAGATAGAAACGGGGAGGGATGGCTTAGAGCCAAGTGAAGAGAGCAGGGCATTTTTGCATTACTCCACTGGGACATGACTTAATTCAGTGGACTTCTCAGTAGAGTATGCCTAAGCTCAGGGTATAAAAAGGCCTTCCATGAGGTATGCAAACACAAGGACCCAATTTCCAGATCTTGCAGTTCCATATTTACTCTAAAACTGATCCACTTGAGAATGGGCCTCCAAGTACATGAATTCATTCTTGTTTCTCTTCTGAAAATTGTACCCTTCCTTCTTTACAAAATAAAGGTAGATACTTGGCTTATATTCTATATGGTACACTAGCCCAGGGTGTAAAACTCTTCTGAGTGCTAAAATAATTCACAATTTGATTATTAAAAGAATTAATAGGCCAGCTGTGGTGGCTCACACCTGTAAATCCAGCACTTTTGAGAAGCTGAGCCAGGTGGATTGTTTGAGCCTAGGAGTTCGACACCAGCCTGGGCAACGTGGTGAAACCCCATCTCTACAAAAAATACAAAAATTAGCTGAGCATGGTGGCACGTGCCTGTAGTCCCAGCTACTCGGGAGGCTGAGGTGGGAGGATCACTTGAGCCCACGGAGGTCGAAGCTGCAGTGAGCCGTGACTGAGCCACTACACTCCAGCCTGAGCAACAGAGTGAGACCCTGTCTCAAAAAATAAACAAACAAAAAAAACAATTAATAAAGGCTCATATTTCCCTGACTATACACAGATGAGTAAAGTGTAGCTAGATCTCATACAGGATTTAGGACTATGCTGGAATGTTCAGAATTCAGACATCATGTAAAATGGGCAATGATAATGAACTCTCCTCTTACATTCTTATCTATTTTAGTAATGTATTGCTCTTTAGAAAGCATCCTATGGGAGCAAAGCATGAGTGTCCAATAATGAAAATGGTCTCCCTCCTCGAACCCCACATATTCAAAGCTAAGATATTCTTTTCAACTATCCTCAACACTCATTCATCCCTAGGAGGCGTCTTCACCTGGGAAGAAAAGCCCCTAAGCAAATGTAAGTGATGCCCACTCTTTTAATTTTAGTTTGAATATTTTCCTGTCCCTACAAAATTTGTAGAACACACTGAATAAAAGGTGTGGATAGAAATGTTACCTAATTTCTTTCAGAAACTATGTTTATCATTTAGTAAGGTAGTTACAGCCTACATAATCAAATAATAGCAAAATATTTACCATTAATCATCATTTTCATCTTAAAAGATTTTGAATACCTTCTACATACTGCTAATAAAATTAACAGAATAAATTATAATCCAAATGTCAAAGCACTTAATTTTTAGCAAGTATGTAAGTTCCTCTTTCATTAAGCATATAAAAACAGTTTGGTCATGATACCTAGCAAAATTGATAAATATTTTTATATATTACTCTTACCTAATTTTTTCCTAAAGTCCAACACTAAATTGTGTGATACACATGGAACCGTATTTATCAAAGTGATATCATGACTTCTAACATACTTCTCATTTCATAAATAAGTTATATATTATAGTACATAATTACTAATTAAGTAAAGAGAAATAGCATGTGTATTATAAGCTGAATAAATAAATTTTACTAGCACCACATTTTATTCTGGACTGTTTTAGTAATGTATCATAAAAGATGCATTCCATAACTTATTGATATGTTTTTATAAGTTTTCACAAAGTGCATTTATTTGAAGTGAAATGTGAACTCAGCTTTTTCTAATAAAAATTAAGTCAAATTTGTCAGTCCCACTGATCAAATATGATCATTTGACCATATCATTGGATTTGCAAATTAGGCTACCTGGTGGAAATTTTCATCAATTAAGATAGCTAAGTCTGCAACAGTAAGATAAAAGCATTTTGTTAAAAAAAAATTGCAGAAGTTATTTGAATTAAAAACTAATACAGTATTTTTATTTTCTCAATCTTTTCTGGGTATACAGGGATAAACAACATGCCTCTAAACTGAAGACTAACGATTAAATTTATAGGGCAGGACTTGGTCGCTCATGCCTATAATCCTAGCACTTTGGGAGGCCTAGGAGGACAGATCACTTGAGGCCAAGAGTTCGAGACCAGCCTGGCCAACAGAGCGAAACCCTGTATCTACCAAAAAAAAAAATTATAAATCATTATTTGATATAATTTCTTAAAGCCCTTTTCCATAAATTGAAAAAGAAATGACTATAACAATATCTGAGTAATACGTAGGATGGTTTCAATTTCTTAGCTTTTAGCAAACCAATCAAGTGCTGTGTAATTTTTGGCATATAACTTGAAATGACTTCTAAGAAATGAATGACAATGTGGTAACAAACCTCCTAGTCCCATGTATTCATGTGAACAGATGTCTCAGCAGTTACAGCTGTAGAAATGAAAATTGGGACTAGAACTGATAGTGTACCTTTTCTCTTTTTTGTAATAAGTACTATTCATCCATGGATACATGAACTAATCTGAGAAGAAAAAAATTTATAGTCCCAACTATTTCACCGGCAGATACTTCACTGACAGATACATTTCTAACAAAAACCCACTTTATGTTTAACAAATTGTTAAAATTAGTAATATTTATATCGCTTGGATTTTATCACTGTGATGACAGTTTTTAAAATAAAATTTCTATTTCTAAATATTTTATTAATTTTCATTGTAGGCATGCATGTTGAGTGATAAAAGACTTTCCAGTGAACATTTATGGTAATGTTATTTGGGGGAAAAGGAGTGGAAACAACAGTTAAGGTTAAAAAATAATGACAGAAAGCAACAATTTCATGTTTCCAGTGTTTTTAAAAGATGCTCGTTGTCTTCCAGATTAAAGACAGAGTCTCTAGGGCCAGAGTCTAATCCCAGCTCTGCCACTTACTTGCTGTAAGATATTCGTAAGTAACTCAGCATATGAGAATGTTAGGGTAGTCCTTAGTTTTCAAAATTATTTTAAGTATAAGCAAGCCAGTGACCTGAAGACTACAATCTTAATGTAAGGAGAAAGGAGAAGAAAGCATAAAATCAAGACCAAGCTAAGAAGTAGGAGGAAAAACAGATGCTTGTAGTAAAGATGAGGCACAGCTACAAAATGATTGGGATTTTCCAGTTTGGAAGATCTGGAGGCAAAATCAACGAGATTCAGAGGAAACATCAGGTTTCCAGACAAACTGCCTCTCCACCTGCCCACCTGTGATCATTTGCCCCTAGGAATCCAACTATTCCTACACTATGCAGATGATCCCTAACCTTTAAATTTCGCTCTGCCCAAGCTCAACTCCAAACACATACTTGACTCCTTTTGCTGTGAAAGGTAGAACTGGGAAACTAGGCCAAAATATTTGAAATCAGACTTCTTTGTGTGTCATTTTCTCATAGGTGCTTATTGACAAAATGTTCTAAATTCAAGAAAAAGGAAAACAAAAAGACAATTACCCATAATCCCACCACCCAAAACAATGATTGTCCACATGTTAAGATGTATCTACATCTACTTTTTTCAATACATAACTTTATATAGTTGAGGTCATACTGTAGATAAAAGTTTCTATCTTGGTGGCGGTGTTGTCTCCCTTAACATTATCTAGCACGAACATTCAAAATTATCTCTGACTACTTTCCCTTGCTTCCGTAGGTCATCGTCATCCTTAATCACTTTAAACTCTTCCATTGCAGTTTTTCCTGGATCAATTTCTTCTTTCTAGTCTAATTTATACCATTTTAGAGCAGGCTTTTAGACCTTCATAACTTCATTACTACAAGGGCTCCTAACTGATTTGGTCTCTCTCTGTTCTCACTGGCCTATTATATGCTAAAGAAAACCAAGTCAATCTTCTCAAAATACTGCTTAGTCTTTCCTCTGTTCAAAATTTCCAATGACGTCCCCAGCCTCTTCACACACATAACTGCCCCACTTCTCTCTCACCCACACACAAAATCCTTAACCTGGGTCAGAAGACCTTGGACAGATTGATTTACTTTCCAGTCTAGTAACTCTCTGACATGGGCCCTCTGATCTGCCCAAAGTAAGGTTCCCAGCACCTTCACATATTACTAGCACTTTACTATTTGGTCACTAAATGTGTATTTCCTGTCCCATGCTAAGTTTTAGAGATTTAGTGAAGAACAAAACAGCTATGATTTGGGCCCACTTGAAGTTAATACACTAGTGAAGAAAACAGACTTTTAAAAATTACACTGCAGGGCACAGTGGCTCATGCCTGTAATCCAGCACTCTGGGAGGCTGAGGTGGGTGGGTCACTTGAGCTCGAGTTTGAGATCAGCCTAAGCAACACGGTGAGACCCTGTCTCTACAAAAAATACAAAAATTAGCCAGGCATTGTGGTGCACACCTATAATCTCAGATCCTTGGGAGGCTGAGATGGGAGGATCACTTGAGCCTGGGAGGTCGAGGCTGCAGTGAGCCAAGATTGCGCCACTGCACTCCAGCCTAAGCAAAAGAATGAGCCCCATCTCAAAAAAAAAAAAAGCAACAAACAAATAAACAAACACATTAACACACAAAATTACAAACTGGATATGTGACATGAGAACATAATTTCAATGGGGTGGGAGTCGGGTATTCCAGGCAAAGCCAATTCGGCCAGGACATGAACAAGAGAAGAACCAAGATGACGCCAGAGAGATAAGCGAGGTTCCATCCGTAAAGCTGTATTTTCTCAGAACGTTTACTTTCAACGCTGTTCAAGTGTCTTTCTTCTTTCTTATTAACTCCTCTAACTACCTTTTCTTTCCCGTTTCGATTTATATTCTATTTTCTTTTTCCATGTAGCCTAGAGAGGCTCCCTCATATAAGAGGAAATGGACTCTACCATTTCCTGGGATCACTTATGTTCCTACTTATCTCAAGACCTTGATTTTGAGCAGCAACCATACCTGAAACAAAATCACTAAAGAGTGTTGAGTAATCATACTGTTGGATGGATGAACACAGTTAAGTGTATATAATAGAATAAAAAGCCATTATTCTATTTTCAATGGAAGGGGTAAATGTATGATTCCACCATGCCACCAAATTCTTAATTTCATCCATGTCCCTTTCTCAACCCTTCTTTTGTTCTAGACAGCACCCCCTCACAGAATAAGTGAAGGTGGGTAATTAAGGCAATTTGGAGGGTAAGGTGGCGCTGCTAGCTAAGCAGGAATCCTGAGTAAACTTGGCATATTTTCTTTCTTACTAGGTCAAGTATTACTTGGGAGATTACAATGCACTTTTAGTAGAAAAACAGGATAGAAGTCTAATATGGTTAAGAAAAAGAATCTTAATTGCAAGGTACACAGACTGAATCATAATACACAGACTTTATGAAAATCATCCATAATGGTAGCACAAATCACTAGATTTGTGATCAATACGCTAGACTGATGGCCTTATAGCTATAGAAAAAGGTGTAGTATAGACCCTGGAAAGTCGTCAGAGAATAGTCACACAGTAAGACTGTAAGAAGAGCATCTATAAAGACAGGATTATTTTTCTTTTGTAAAAGACCTGGAGGAAAAACAAACAAAGGGTCAATTAATCTCTTTTTAGTATGCAGAATTTCATCTGGAAAAAGCAAAAGCTTTAACTGCAAGATAAAGATATTAGAAAAAAGGAAAAAAATTCATACAATACAAGCTCCTTAAACTGTGAATGAGGTTACTGATGGGACATAATTTACTTGGATTTCCTAAAATGCTAGAAACAGAGGCCTAAACTGGCAATTTTATGGCTACAAAACAAAGGAGAAATTGAGGCCTGGATATAATTTCAATAAATATTTTGATAAGATCTATAGTTTTCCAAAGGAACATGGTGGCTAAGCCACAGGACCCCAAAATGACACTTGAGTCTGAATGAAGAAAACTCATTTATGTGGGAACAGAATTGCCATAAGGACAACAGCTGAGATTTCTGTGCTTCATTAATGTATGTAATATAAATGTAAAATGAGCATAAAACATAATGCAAAATGGGTAATAAATGTAAAGTAATATGTACTTTTAACTATACTGCTAACTTAAAGAACAAAGTAATGTCCTTTATAAAATTCAGTTTTCAAATGTATAAAATAGTGCTGGGGGTGGGTGAGGGGTAGTTATAAAAGAACACATCTATCACATGAAATGCGAATAACAATTTTTTATTTCTATTTTAAATAACAGGAATTGCTCCTCAAACCTTCAAATAAATTAAAATAAATGTAAACCTGTAATTCTACAGACTTCACTTCCAATATTTTCTGTGAAGGTCACAGAAATAAGAACATATTCAGATACTTTTTTTTCTTAATGTAAGAGTATAAAAGTGCTTTTCACTGATCCTACAAAATTGGCTCTCAGTGATAGTTTATAGTTCTTAGTTTTCCACAACTTTTTTTAAACACAACTTTCCTTAAAAGTCAAATTCAAGTGACTCAGTTGGTTTCCACAGGAATATGCTCATTTCAGGTCCTGAGGTCCAGTGGAGTCCATCTAGCTGTTCAGGCATGGCAGTGTGAAGCTAGCAGCCATTCAATAAGATAAGAAGTATGTGAAGTACAATGATTTTTCAAAACCACTTACTTTGTAGAATAAAACAATTAAAAATCTGTACGAAAAGGGTCTAAATGGAAACCTGTTATTTCACTAATTTTCAGTCCTGCCCTGGATATTTCAAAATTTTTAATGCTAATTTGAAGTAATTTTACAAGTTAAAAAAGAAGGCTTATTCTTTTATTTTGGGAGAAAGCCAAGTGAGCCTTAAATTACAAGGCTAATTGTTTCGAGAACTCTGGGTCTCTTGCCTCAACTCCCTTTAGAATTCCAAATTACAAGCATCAAGTGGTCAGCTTTTAGGAGCTCTGGATCCTAGACTACTATTTGAATTTCCAATAGATTAACATTTAACACACGTCTTTAGGGATTGTTTTTATGAAACTCTTTCCACGATTACTTTAAGAGTTCTAAAAGTTGTTAGCGATGAGATTTTTATTGGAGCAATTTCTGGGGTCAGATTTTAAAGTTTTCATTATTTATAAACAGAATATTTTTACCACTCCTATCTCAAATGTCCAGGCCATAACCTCTGAATTTATGAGGGTGGTGGCTCTTCATTTTTGCTAATACGACCAATAATTTTCAATTATACCACACTTCATAATAAGCACACTATACCCAATATAATGATATGTCATTTCAATGTACCTAGCCCATGCACTTCCACAGGTTTAATGGGATTTTGCGTATTTAGAATTTCATCATAAAGGGGCCCTTTGGAATCATTATCACATCAATCCTTTCCCATTGTAAGACTCAGCTCTCTTACCAGGCAAAAGCATCAGGGCTCAAGGCAAAGACTTAGTCTACTCTTAGATTGTAAGCTAGATCCTAATAAAAGCCTTAACACTTGGGGAGAACATTAATATAGGGCAATGATGACACATTAAAACTTTTTAGTGAATCAGGAGATCGTGAAGGCAGGCAACAATTGTGATTAAGAGAAAAATTTCTTATGACGTGAAGTAATATTTAGATCTGCACATTTTATTCACTACTTCTGGGGGAAAGAACTATGTAACTGGGAGCAAGTTAAGTACAAAATAACTCATGTTCCATTTAAGTCACAACTTTCTAACTGTAACTGTCAAGGTTGAATTAATTAGGATATTTAATACCAAGGCTTGCTTCTAGAGTTTTTTTTTTTTTTTTAAAGAGAAGAAGAAAACGAATGGTATTTAGCTAAAAGAGTTGATCCCCAAGTGTGGTGATAAAAACTGTCAACCCTTATGTACAAAGGGTTTTTTTTTTTTTCTTCAACAAATAGTGTGTCAGTGTTTTTTAAAATGAATAAACTCCACTGAACCTCTACAAATCCTCATTACATTACTATACCTTATATACATTATGTGAATGGCCCTTGATTTTTTTTCTCATCTCTTAATACATGAGGGATAATGTATAAATACTCTCATGGTTTATTATGAATGTAATTCCAAACTGTAGGGAGGGAAGAGGGACAAAAGTAGTTCCAGTTAAGCCCCACTGTCCTACGGATTTTAATCAACCTCAGTTGACATGTAGCTTTCAGGGTATGTGGATATACATACACATATAAACACCCACAATTAGTCCAGGGTAGACACTGAGCTCCACTCGAGACTATACAGCCAATATTTCAAACTGAATGGCATTTCCCCCTGTGGCCTTACGCATAATAAAGTCCTCAAAACAGACTTTGAAAAGCATTAAAGTCTGACTGAGGCACACATAAAAGTATTTCACCACTCGGTTGTTCAGAAGCTCTCTCTCCTGGCTAGTAGATTAAACAGGTCCTTGGTTATACTTATTCTCCCGCTTCTTCTTTCTTACATGGCCCACTTTTGGGGGCATGCCTTTGCTCTTTTGCAGCAACTCCACATGAAGGTGGTAACAGGCAAAGAGAAAATTTTATCTGCAAATTTGACAGTAGATCTAAGAAGAGATTTAGTAACTGAATCTACTTGCTGAAACCAGGTTTGGGAATTATTATTATTGCCACTGCTGTTCTATCCAATCTCCAGTTGCCTCAGCCAGCTTAAAGTTGGCTACACAAACCCTGCTTTATCCAGTTTATGTACCAATGGATTTAATACACAGTACACTGACTATAAAACATATCTCATTTTAAAAGTAACTATTGAGATTTGCTACCTGAATTAACTATGTACATCCTTTTATTAAACAAAAATACGAATTCTTCTGTAAGAAAATAATCACCCTACCCCCCAGTTATTCACTTTAAAGACTTAATTTTCTTAAAGGAACATATATCTATATAAGAATTTCATTAAGCAAAAAGTGCAAAGGCAAGGCATATTTACTATTTGATAAAATATATGCTTTAAACTATCACATGTGAAAAAATATTTCAAAATTGAGAGTCGTGGTATAAAAAGCCAGCATCTGGTAGGGAAATATCTAAAAGAAAGAAATTATTATACTCAGTCTTGAAAAAGAAAAATGAATGTCACCTTTGTGTCACAAGTAATTTTTCCTCCTTCCCCCAGTAATTCAGGCTGAAATCTCACTCTAAATCTATAATCAATCTGTTTTCCCCACTGTAATCCCTTAAAATCTCTAGGCTATCACACACACTTTTGGCACTGACGTGTGTTTTCTTCTGGACTGCTGGATTTGCTTAATGCATATATCAAGTATCAAACTGCTTTGTATCAGTAACCGGTGGGATAAAAAGACCCTATGTAAAGATTTCCTCATAAAAACGGGTTAAGAGGGCAGTCCTAGGGCTTAGGAAAAGTCTAACCTAACGAAATCTTAAATGCACAAGTAGAAAATGTTAAGAACTAAAGCAGTATCTGCCGATTTTTCCACTAATGTGATCAACATATCATTGAGCAGATAGGGAAACCTAAAGTTACCATCCCATTCTCTATTAGTGGGCTGTTTGACATGTATGAGTTATCAACAAGGCAAAAACTCTTTTGGGATTTAGACCATTGGCAAAACGAAAGTATTTTATACCATCACACATATTTAATGGAGCGCAAACTTTCAGAAAAGAAGTGACATCTGAAATAATGTGAATAAAGAAACAGAGGGGATATATTGGTTAGTGCTTTGAATTCTGTTTACTAATTTGATCATGATAGTAACCCTAATTTCTAATTAGAAAATTTCTAATTAGATAAGTTCAATTAATCAGTACCAACGGGCACAATCAAAAGAGTCAATACAAATTGTAAAATGTAGCAATTTTTCCTTGAGATATTTTACTGTATTTAAAAACCAGTAAAAGAAAACACTTGCCAAATTCATTTAGTCTCTGACTGAGGCACACATATGTGATCTCCTAATTTACAGCTTGCACATACAGATGTTCACACTTAGTAAAAGGGCTTCTTAATAGCTTTTTTTAATTAAAAGTGTGTTGATAATAGGTGTTTTAAATATATCCAAACAACACAGCTGAACTGACAAATGCCTGTCTTCATGCCTCACCATGTCTCACATTGTAGCAAGATTTTGTAAGAGAGAAAAGGTTATATGATTCATTCACATATATATAGGATAAATGTTATCCCCCAAGAACTCCAAATGAAATCTTTCATTAATTTTTCCTTCTATGATCTGTTTCCAAGTAGAAAATGTTAGATAGCTACTCGGTTTATGTAGCCGAAAGCAGAACCACACAGCCGTTGCTTGCTGCCTGCAGTTTTTTTCCTTTGCAAAACTTTGAACCCCATCCAGCTTTGACACACTGCCTCTTCAGTTAATAACTATCAAGTTTCCCCTTGTCTCCTGTCTACTTTTCTTTGAGGCAATTGCGCACTCAGCACCCCGAGATAATAACACACATCTATAAGATAAAAGCAATGGCATTAATGTAATTGTCTGCCTCTCTCTCTTTAGCCTAATCTTTTTTTTCCTTCAGTTTTGACTGCCTGTGTGACACCTGTTTTTGTCTCCTCTGATCCTACGACAGGTTTTCCGCTGACAAGGTTTTTGCCTGACACAGATTCTGCAGACAAGAACATAATAAAATATGAAGAACTGCTTGTCAGAGTTTCTGCCAATGCTCACATGAAATATAGAAAAAAAAATGACTTTTTTTTTAAGGGGCCTTGTGATGGTCGCTTTTGGCATGTCAGAAAAAACACCTCCCTAGCCAAGTTCTCCAAGCCAAACAGGTGTTTTCTTTTATGTTAGAGGTTGATTTGTTTTTTAATTTTTACTGATAGTGGAAAACACGATTAGCCAAAAGGAGGCGGGTGGGTAATGTCTTACCCTCAGATTTTTGCAGGCAAAGGAATATAAAAAAACTGGAAAGCCGAAGGTATTTCACTCAAGATCTTATCTTCTGAATAAAACAAAAACACCAACATCTGTTAATGATTAAACAAATTTAACTTCTCTAAAATTTACTTCCTGGATGTTTGGGCTGCTAAAACCTCCCACTTACCTTTCACTTATTTTGTTGTCTGAAGACAGAGGGAAACAGCAAAGGTGAAAATAGAATGAGAACTGGAAAAGAAAAACGCACAAATGGGCATAAAGACAAGGTGTTTGTGGGCTGTGCTTATACCTTAAAATGGGAAGAGGCTGCTGGAAAAGCAAATGGCAATTAGGAATCTGAGTGAGACTTTTCCATAAGCTTAGAGTTTCAATAAACCTTTGTTCCATGCACCACATGAGATGCTGCAGTATGTTCCAGCACACAAAGGTGAAGTGCCCTTCCTGAGCTTTTCAAGTTAGTGGAAGGATCAGTATTACCCAGAAACCTCTGGTCTCAGCAAAGTGTATTGAGAAAATAAAGAAGGGAGCACTTAATTGCTCCGGGGGTGGGGAGTGGTGGTGCAGAGGGGAGTAAAGGGGTGGGAATCCCACTTTCTTGATGAACAAGGCACAGGAAAAACTGGCCAGGATCAATAGTGCAGCAAGCGTCAAAGTACGAAAAACTGGGAAAGAGTTTACAGTGGTGACTCAAGGGACAAGAGCCTGGATTTAGGGTGTTAGGATTATCACACCAATTCTAACTACTCTGCCACCAAACCACTTTAACCTAGGCTTTAGCTCTCCAAATATATTCTCTCATACCTAGAGCCTACGATTACCACGTCTAATGGAAATATAATTTATGGCCGGGCACGGAGGCTCACAGCTGTAATCTCAGTGCTTTGGGAGCCAGTGCGGGAAGATCATTTGCATCTAGGAGCTTGAGACCAGCCTGGGCAACAAGACGAAACCCTATCTCTACAAAAAATACAAAAATTAGCTGGGCGTGGTAGCGCACACCTGTGGTCCCAGCTACTCAGGAGGCTGAGGTGGGAGGATTGCTTGAACCCAGGAAGGGGAAGTTGCAATGAGATGACATTGCACCATTGCATCTGGGTGACAGAGCAAGACCCTGTCTCAAAAAAAAAAAAAAAACAGAAAAAGAAAAAGAAAGAAATATAATTCAAGCCAAGATACAGAATTTTAATTTTTCTAGTTTCAAGTAAAATAGTAAAAAAGTGATGTTTAAAAACGTATTTGACATGATAAATCAAAAATATATGGAAGAACAACTCTTAATGACTATTTTACATTCTTTTTTTAAATAAGATGACAGCTCCAAAATTTGGTGTACACTTTATACCTACATCACATCTCAATTTGGACTAGCCACATTTCAAGTGTTCAAAGCCATAACAGTGGCTTCCTTATTGGACAGCCAGGTGTAGAGTTGCCTTTACATTTCTTGGCGAGTAGAATCTAAGGCCCAAGACTGTCCTTTCAATTAGATGGGTTTGCATTTAAATTTGTAGCGTCACTTGACTGTACAGAAGGCAAAGAGGCCCATGAGGTCAAAGTGGGGATCTCCCTGGGTACCAGGGAGCAGCTGAACGAAGAGAGGAATCTCACTACTGGGCCTTTTAACAAATACTGGTTACAAGTCTATCCAGTTGTGGTAATACTTAAAGTAATACTTAAAGCACTTCTTATACAATTCTTTGGGTATATGCGAACTAATAACAAATTAATTCAAGAACCTTTTGAAGATATATAAACATCTACAAAGGCAAAACCTGGTAAGAAATGGGATGTATAAACAACATTTTAGGGCTCCCAGAATACAATTCAGAGTTATCTTTGAAATACTGTACTTATCCAGCAATTTCACACTTCAGTAAAGAGGGGAGAGGAGTTAGAAGTCACCATTTATGACATAATAGAGAAGGAAGAGTGGTTGAAAGGATCAACATGATATTGCTGAGGCATATGGGGTCCTTACGACCCAGCCGAATCTCCTAGTTTATCCTGAGTAAAAGGAGAGGAGTTGAGTGTGTTTCATTTATAAACCCTTCAATTTGTGTTCTGCTTAACCTGGTGAACTCCAGTTAATTAAGATGCTCCTATAAACAATTAAGCTTCCTGTAGGATCGTTAGCAAGATATAAAAATTTATGATGTAATAAAATGCAATAAAATGATAAAGTGGCGAGCCCATCGAAGCACTTCACATGCAAAAAGACAGGTGTGAAAATAGGTAAAAGTAGCCTTAATCCTACCTAAAATTCACCTACTTATAGCTTTTGGATTTTTAGCAGGTAAATATTACTATAATTTATTTTAACTGGCGCAATTCTCAAAATGACTTTTGGTGTAAAATATTCCTTACTGTGTTCAAATAAGGGCTCAAATGACATTTTAGGGGAAATGGAAGGTATGGAACTATACTGGATTTGCTTGGGAAAACAATTTCACCTACGGAACACTTGGTCCAACAGCCAAAAGAACTGGTGACCTGACCTCTGCAACTGCATACTGAAGAAAACCTTCCCTGGAAGGAGAAATAGTTTCATCCCAACACATTCCACATTCGTACCTTAAGGGAGACACTAGATATTATCATTAATATTGATGTTTAATATTATTTTATTGACTTAGCAATAACAATACTAGCTCCTAAAATTGTTGTGCCAGAATATTGGGCTAACCCTACTCTTTCATGTAATCCTCTCTCAAAATGAATCTGTGTTATTTAGATGCATTGCTATTATTATCCGAATTTCTCGATGAAATAACTGAGTCTTAGAGAAGGCATTACTAACAAAAGGCAGAGAAGGGATTTGACCACTGGCCTGGCCACACCCAACTTTTAATCACTCTACTTTGCTAAAACATGTCTATCATGTCCACAGTGTTGAAGTCTTACTTTTATAGGAAGTTAGTGATAACAGCAACTAACACTTATTAAGTGTATACTATGTATGAGGCATCTGGATTATCTCATTTAATCTTAGAAGAACACTATGAGCTAGGAGCTATCATCACTCACATTTCACAGATGACAGAACAGAGAGATTATACAACTTGGCAAGATTCTACCTACAGTAGGTGACAGAGCCGCGACGTGAATGTAAACAGTCTCATTCAAGAACAACATTCTTACCTATTTTGTATATTGCCTCCCATTCATTCACCCGAAGCGGGATACAGCTCTGTGTGTTTCATTCTCAACACCCTCCCACGAAACTCCTTACCAGCAGACCAGCAGTGACTACACTGGAGGCCAGGTCTTGCCAGCCTCACTTTATGTTCCATCTGAATAAAACATAGCTAGGAAAAAAAGAAAATCTGGGGAGCTAATAGGCAGACAGCCCAGGACTTTGAAGGGGAGGCACTGTTTGCGCTGGGTTTAAAGAAAATTTAAGGAGTGCAAAGCACCATCCAAAAAGTGTGCAGGCTGAGAAACAAATCAAAAGCTGCTCAGAGACACAATAAGAAAATACTTAGTGCCATTAATCAAGCACCAAACCTTTGCATTTATGAGGATGTCTTCCCTTTAGAGCTTATCAGCAGTGATCAGCAAGTAAAGGAGAGAGGCAGAAGAGGGCACTGTGCCCTCAGGTCAAGCCCAAAAAAGCCTCCTGTGCCAGGCAGGAAAATGGCCTTGCTTTTGCTCTCTAAAACGAAGAAAAAAGTCCAAGGACTTTGCTCATGGAGAGACCAGAATCCAGCTGCCTCACCAAAACTAGGAGGCAGCTAAAAGCTGTTTTCCCTGAGCAAAAGAGAATTTTGCAGCTAGGCAAAGCCGGGTTTCAGCATTTACAATCTGGAAAAACTAAGTCCACTAGAAAGACAAATTCTTTAAGCAGATACTGCACCAGCTTCCGCTTTTTCCAAACGAGTGCACCAAGGGAAGAAGACGATAGTGTTTCTATCCTTGTGTTTCTGAACAAAGCCCTAGAAACATTTCCCCTAAGGATCTGGTTCTTACTTTGCCACTGCTAAGCATGTACTTCCCTTCCCCTGAGGACTCAAATTAGTGCCTGTGCTACTGTTCACCAAACCCTAAACACCCCTCTGGAAAAAAATTTCTACGAAAGAAAATGTTGTTTTCGTTGGGATAGTCTCCAAGCCAGAGCTTGCTGGGAACATTATCTCCCTTTGTCAGACGAAACTTAGTTGTTTTTTAGTCTCCTCTCTTTATCTTGACACATTTACAAATTATCATATGGACACTGTTGTGGAGTCACTCAGAATGAGCATGATATCACAGAAATGTCATGCTTTATTCTTATGATAAAGGAATTTCTATGCGGAGTGGGAAGGAGAGAAGACTAGGGAAGAAAAGAGATTGGCAAGGAAAAGACTGGACTACTTTAGTTATGCTAGGTTTTGGACTCAAGTCAGGGAGAATATTAGAGAGTTACCAGTTGGGAACAAACCACTTTCACAGATATTTAGACAATTTATAAGAACATAGACTGGGACAAATAATAAAGACATGTGAACTTTCATAGGACAAAATGAAAAATTACTTGTTTTGATCTGCCTTGCTTGTAAGTCCTTACAAACTACCATGCCTCCAACGAACTTGAGGAATTTGTAAATAAAATACTGAGATCTCATGATTCTAAATGTAGGACTGATATAATCAACAGCTTTTTTTGTTGTTGTTGTTGAGATGGAGTCTCGCTCTGTCGCCATGCTGGAGTGCAATGGCACAATCTCGGCTCACTGCAACCTCCACCTCCTGGGTTTAAGCGATTCTCATGCTTCAGCCTCCCGAGTAGCTGGGATTACAGGTACGCACCACCACACCCAGCTAATTTTTGTATTTTTAGTAGAGACGGGGTTTCACCATGTTGGCCAGGATGGTCTCAATCTCCTGACCTCCTGATCCACCTGCCTCGGCCTCCCAAAGTGCTGGGATTACAGGCGTGAGCCACCGCGCCTGGCCCAAAACCTTTTTGATTATAGGATGCTTATGACCAATAGCCCTGATTTAGGATTTATGCAAATTGAGTCTGAATAGGATTTTCTTTTAGGTATGGGCTTGCCAGATTTAGCAAATAAACATAAAGGACTCTCACCTAAATTTGCATGGTAATATTTATATTTAAAATCATTTATTGTTTATTGATATTCAGATTCAATCAAAAATTCTATATTTTCTATTTGGGTGAAGGTCTCTATAAATACCCCTGGTCTGATAAGACATATCAAGTACAAGCTGAAAATTCAAATTCAACCATGCTGAGAAAAAAAAAAGAAAAATTATATCCAGTGAATACAAAAAAAAAGGTTTGAAATTAATGGGTTATATGCATATTAAGTCTTACAGTACATTAAACCATAAAGCTGGTTGGTATATGATACTAAATTAACTTTATACTTCTCATCATTTCCGTGGAAGAACTGAAGGCTACCTGGCACAATCCTTCATGTATGAGATAGGTTTAATAAATATCTACTGACTGATGATCTGGATGATGTAGACCAGGTCTGCTTACTTTACATTAAAAAAAAATCAGGAGTTTGGAGAAAATATAGGCAGGAAAAAAGCTGGCTTAATTAGTAAATAATTAAAGTAATAATGTAAAACTATCTTTTCCTCGAATGAAATGCATGCAGTAAAAGGAAATCACATTTACAGAACATAATAAAAGAAAGGTCTCAAAATTCCAGTGCAACAAGCATTCTTGCAGGCAGACCTCAGCCAAAGGAAATAACACTGGTATTAATTCAGATCTCTTGAAAGTGAATGAAGATTCTAGTATTCATGCAGCTTGTTGGAATGGTATATCCTTTCATTTAAAGTCAAAGAAAAAAAAAGAAAATAATTTGCACAGAGAAAGCTGCTGTGGGTGCGTTAAGCTATAAAATGTATTTTTTATTCATCAAGTCTCATATTCTTGCCAAATGCTCACCTCACATACCTAGGAAACAGTGGAATTAAAAAAAAATTTTTTTTTGTTTTTTTCCAAAAAAGAGATGGTCTTAACAAATGAGCTTCATCAGAAGAAAAAGTTACTGATCTAGTTTAAAAAAAAATTCTAAATGAATTACCTCTGTAAAATCTGCCCACCTCTTTTATCAAATACACAAATCAAATATCATGGGATAAAAACAATTTTCCAGTTGTACTGGATTATCATTAAATATTTCCTAAAACGCCTTAGAATTCAGTTTGTTTTCTTTCTTATTTTTACTATTTTATTTACCTTCATCTTAATGGTTTAGAAATAAAGTCCTCATCTAAACTATGGACATTAAAACTAACTTGCAAATATTAAACAATAAAAATGGTTTCGTGCAGCAGTCCTCAACCTTTACATCATGCCTCCTGTTTTTTTTCACGAAGACAGCAAACTCCTATTGGTAATGCTTCCTGTTAGAAGCAGGTATTCTTCAAGGGAGAATAGTAAGTAGGACTCACTCCCACCTGCACCCAATGCTGAGTGTATTCTAGTTGTACCAGCTAATTTTTAACATTCTGTAAAATATTTGGCTGAAGTCTGAATTCTGTGAATGGCCAAATTGCTACTCTAGTGTGGAGGCAAAGGGTAAAAAGAAAAAAAAAAATTACATCACCAGAAAAGGAGCCCATTACTGCTCTTATCCTGATATCTTAATCTTATTTTGCCACTTTCGAACCAAAAAGAGCTCTAAAAAACTTTTGTTGTTATTGTTTTTCAAGCCATACTCAGATTGTTTTAGGTGAATGAAGGAAACGCACTGAGAAGATAAAGCAAACAAGGGAAAGTAAAAAATATAGTATTTATAGTATTTCAGTGAAGTAGTGGCAGTAAACTGGAGTCCTTTTACAGAGACTTGACAGAATTAGAAATTCTGAGCCATTTCTGGCCCATCAACTAAATTATTACAGACTAGGTATGGCCATCTTTTACCAAGAGAAAAAAAAATGTTTAAGTAAATTCAATAAGCCCTGCTTTCTATTATCAGAGTGAAAGAGCTAAGATTCCTTAATGTGGGCAGGGTGGTGGTAAGGTAGGAAATCCTTTATTAATTTAGTGGGAAATACCTACTGGTATTCAGAACTGCTCTGAGATTCCTTCCTCCCTTAACTCAATAGTGCTAAGGATTTTAAGAAAATACTCTGTGAAAAGTAACACAGCCCACTAAGTATTAATAATTTCAAAACCCAGGTGTTGCAGTATAATGAATTAATCACTCTTTAATTTATTATTTTTTTTTTATTTTTGAGACAGAGTCTTGCTCTGTCACCCAGATTGGAATGTGGTGGCATGATCTCAGCTCACTGCAGCCTTGACCTCTTAGGCTCAATCAAACCTCCCACCCCAGCCTTCAAAGTAGTTGGGACCGAGAGCACACGCAAACACACCGGACTAATTTTTGTACTTTTTGTAGAGACAAGATTTTGCCATGTTGCCCAGGTTGGTCTTGAACTCCTGGGCTCAAGCGATCCACCTGTCTCAACCTCGCAAAGTGCTGGGAATACAGGCTGTCAGACACACCACACCCAGCTTTTAATTTTTTAGAAACACATTTCTAAAGATTT
This sequence comes from Homo sapiens, assembly GCF_000001405.40. Taxonomy (NCBI): domain Eukaryota; kingdom Metazoa; phylum Chordata; class Mammalia; order Primates; family Hominidae; genus Homo; species Homo sapiens. The sequence goes on from NC_000009.12 coordinate 16,579,619, forward strand.
TTGTAAAGTAGTTAACGTCAACAACTTACGCAGCTTTAGTAAGCAATCTGTAAGTCAACAGAGAGAATGTGCGTGTGTTTCTGTGTGTGTACATATACAGAGACACACATATGTGCATATATATGGTAGATAATGACCCATGAAATCCAACATCTTAGGAATGAACTGAAAATGCTGTTAACAAGGATAATTTATTCAAGAAAGGAGGTCAACAAATTTCTAAAAATCTGTTTTAGAGAGAATACATGATTTTGGCATTTGGTTATTTTTTAGCAGCAGATATTAAAAATTTTTTTATTGACATAATGACAGGTAGAATGCATTCAGTGCTACCATGAAACCATTCTGGGCAATGTATCTTGGTAGTTTTGTTGCTGTTCCATGCATTTCAGAGGAAAATTACACACTAGAAAACCCAAGTCACTTCCTCATTGCCCCACACCCAGGACACTGCACAGTATAAGGCAGCCGGAAAGAATGCTGTGTTTCACCTCTGAGCAGAAGTCATTGGAGACACGATTTCAGGGTTTCTGTGCAGAGAGAGGGAATGAAGCAATTAGTTGTAATGCTAGGGGCAAAAAGAGTGGGTGCTGTCATCCCACTGCCAACTCCAAGGCTAGAGGCCAACCCCTCACTGCTGTATTTGGCCTCATGAATGGGGAGAGTGTGGGATTCACATGCTTGGGTGTATGCATTTTGAGCTGTATACAGATATCTCCCTGTTGTGGGAAAAAAGAGGTCAAGGTGATAATTGTAAAGGAAAGAATTAGAATACATTTTGCTAAGGTCTGAGAAACACCAAAATTAATATCCTAGAAACATAGAATTTTTAATGGTACAGTAGAAAAAGCACAGTCTGGTGTAACAAAAACATCTTATTCAAGTTGGGTGAAAAATGACATTCTTCAGAAAGTCCTCGAAACAATCACTGGCCAGGAATAATTTATGTTGTTCAAGAAGGAAAAAACATTGCTTTTTCCTTTACATTACTAATGTAATATGCACATGGACATTAAATAGATAAAACAAACTGGTGACACAGTTAACTTTTATACTCCAAGGCTACCATAGTAGATAGATAATGATAATACAAGATGGCTTTGGCAAAAATGAGAGCGAATAAATGAAACGCCTTTGTTCAACGACTGGCCTCCCCTTTAGTGCTCATCTACTGTCCATTTTACTTTTAATATGTATTAGTTAGAAAGGCTTCATATATTTTCTCTTTAATTTTCATAATAAGACTGTAAAGTAGGAACTATTAATCCTATTTTACAGGCAAGAAAACTGAAGTCCAGCAATATTAACATGTCATGAGGTGACAGAGCCAGGATTTGACCTCAGAACAGTCTACAACCAAACTGCCTCCAATATTCATATGGTTCTGATGAGTTTAGGATATAAGCTCTGTACCTATTACCCAGCAAAACCAATACTTCTTCAGAGAAAAAAAGGATATTTGGGAACTGTTATGGGCTTGTGTTCTCCCAAAATTACTATGTTGAAGTCATAACCCCTACTACCTCAGAATGTGACTATATTTGAATATAGGGTATTTAAAGAGGTGATTAAGTTAAAATGAGGCCCTTAGGGTGGGCCCTAATCCAATCTGACTGGTGTCCTTATTAGAGGAAATCTGGATGCACAAGAAGACACCAGTGCTGGGCACAGTGGCTCACACCTATAATCCCAGCACTCTGGGAGGCCGAGGCTGGCAGATCATGAGGTCGGGAGTTCGAGACCAGCCTGGCCAACCTGGTGAAAACCCGTCTCTACTAAAAATACAAAAATTAGCTGGGTGTGGTGGCGCATGCCTGTAATCCCAGCTACTCAGAAGGCTGAGGAAGGAGAACCGCTTGAACCCGGGAGTTGGAGGTTGCAGACACCAGGGCATGCTCCCACAGAGGAGAGACCATGTAAAGGTGACCATCTACAAATGAGGAGGAGAAGCCTCAGAATGAAACCAACCCTGCCAACACTTTGATCTTGGAATTCTAGCCTCCAGAGCTTTGAGGATATAAATTTCTGCTCTCTAAGCCACCCAGCCTGTGGCATTTTGTTATGGCAGCCCTAGCAAACTAATATATGAAGAGAGACGAAATCATTGAATGTAGTAACATAAAGAGACTGCAGAAGTAAATGCAGCTCATCTGTTGTTCAAGACTGGACTGAGACCTGTTGCTGATTTGGGCCTTGTTAATAAAGCAGGAAAGCGCTCTATCCCTGTGGGCATGAAGGACTGCAGGATTGTGGCTGCATGGTGGAAACATACCCCTTCCCGGGTATTCCTCTCAGAGTACTCTCTCTCACAGAAACATGGCTGAAATGTCCCCGCAACTCCATCACACACGCCCTCACAAGCAAGGTACATGATAAATTAAAAGCATTTCGAGGCATGGCCCAGTGTTGTTACCTCAGATGTTGCTAGAATAACATGACATTTATAAAAATACAACCCACTGGATGTTTGGCACTGCTTGGGAATGAAGAATATGTCCACTTAAGAGGCAATACCCGGGGCTGTCAAAAAATCTCAAGCCAGGATTTCTTTTTATAAACATTACCTATCTTTTTAAATTCTACAGTCTGGGAGGTGGAAAAAAAAACGTCTGCTTATTTCCAAGTCTCCTTTTACTTAAACAGAATAAACATAAACCATACACAGGAATATGCTGAACGCTCGGTCAGGGCACACTGACAGAACGGCTCTGTGCACCTGGCAAAAACCCTCAACACTCATATCCTTCGCGTGGGGTCTCCCCACCCCAGCACACACCTACACAGAGCTCACACTCTACCTACGTCGACCACCTCCAATCCCCATGCACACTGAAAGGGAGTATTTACAGGTTATATTTTCAGATACCAGCCAAATAATGTTCCCGTTCACTCTCTCGTCCACCTGAGACCATACAACATTTAACATCTAGAAGGATAAGCTCAGCCCCGAGCACATACGACAAGGGTGAGCAGTCATCGAGGAGTTCTCAAGCAAGGAGGATTTGCCAGCTTCCCTCTGAGGTCCAGGCCCTGAAAGGCCAACTGTGGTATGTTTGAGTTTCCATCAGGCCTGGTGCTTGCTGGCTGCGCCCATGCTCAGTAAGAACTTCACAGCCCAACTGTCCTATAAACATCTTGGCCTTCTGCTGAGAGCTGCTCGCCTAGCTCCTTGGAGCTGAGAATATGCTGTTTTAGAGCCGCAGGCTGAATCTTAACTAACACTTGGAGCACAGCTGACCTCTCTCTTCTCCAGGCCAGTGACTCCTCTAAACAGACACACACACACACACACACACACACACACACACACACACACGAACATGAACATAATAAGAACGGGAAGAAAAGCCCAGATTTTCCTCACCATGTGCCACCCAGCCATGTTTACACTGATCACAAGTCCTCAGGTTAATCTTCCCTGGCTGAAAACATTCACATGTGCAGTTTACCAGTGTGCAACGGATGGCCTGAAAAATAAAGGAGGAAAAAAAGGTCAGCATCTGTTCAAAGATACTATACTCTTTTCACCATTTCAATAAATATTGCCCACTTCTATTTTTAAAGATTTTATGATGGTAGGGGCCTGGAGAGTTTTAAAAATAAATTTAGATATCACCAAAATCTCTTATTAAAAAAGGTAAAGAAAACAAAAGCTCATTCACTAATACAATGTTTTAGGTCATTCACAGTAACCTTTAAATTACAAACTTAGAATAAAAATAAAGGATTACATATTCGATAAGATACCGGATTTACGACATCACAAATCCAAAAAAGAAAAAAGTATATTGCTGCTAATATATATTTCCACTTAAATTTCTCTACTTGTCAATAAAGCAAAAAATACACTGTAACAAAATAATATTCAAGTGAAATGTTTGTGAAAGTAAAATATGGCACACAAATATTATTATTAGAATATTACTTTTCTTCTGCTGAATTTCAATTAAATGTTGTGCTAAACTCTCAAATATATTTTAAAGACACTCCTGTGCTCAATAAGACCTAACATATTTCTATTATTATTTAATCACATCCCAATTCCTTGAATATTTTTTATTCTATTTTCGTTCCTGTTTTGAAAAATAAAAAACAATCCTCCTCTTATTTCAACAGTGACATAAGAAAGAAAATAAGTTTAAATTTTGGTTTCAGATCAGACATGGAACAGAAAAAATCATTTATGTGAATATTTTATATCTGGAACAGTACACCTGTATTGCAGAAAACTGAAAAACACACTTAAAAATCTTTCATTTCCTTATAACCACTTTAAAAAACCATCTCACCAGTTAATATTATAAAATGAATCCATAGAAAATTAGCATAAATGGAGTGTAACTTTTTATGAATAAAAACCTATGTTTAAGAATAGTGCTAAAGCTGACCTAAGCTCCCGGACTACAGTTAATAAATTTATCTCATACAGTTAATTCTAATTTGCATAGAAATTCTGAAGACAGAAGGGATTTAGTCTGATCATTCGCAGATTAACAATCTACTGTAACTACTTGAACTGCCAGGAAAAGATCTCTCTGCAGATTTAGATGCAATCAATGATTACTGATTCTGGGGTGGAGGGGTGGGCATGGGGATACCTGAAACTGCAGCTCTGTGCCTGAAAGCCATGCTCACTCACACAGCTCCAGATGCTCATATTTCTGGAACCATTAGGATTTTTATAGAAACTGTCTCATTTGTAACAGGCAGTATTTTGGATATTGTTAACATGACTGGGACAAATTCCATTCACAGAGAATAAGACTGAGCAGGCTTTTACCATTCCCTATGCTTTAGATCAGGCAAGTGTAAAATATTTCTCTTCCATTAATTAATATTAAATCTATGGATCCCTATTGGTTTCAGATGTTGGAGTCCTCACTGTAGACTCCATTCATACTTCACCCCCATCTTTAATTTGTGCTTCAATTTAGCACTAGGGAAATATTTAATTGTATAATCTCCCTGATATTTCAGGATCTCTCTTCCAAACATGGTCCAATTGTAGCTAGGTTGTAAACTTTGTTGTATATAGAAGTGATTAATTTGTAGACTATAAGGAGAAACGTTTCTTCCAGAAGTTCTTAAATTTCAATAATTTGTTAACTGAGAAATATATCAGAACATCCCAAGTCAGAAATAGTTTATTTAAATAACATGTTCATTAGTTAATGAACTCAAAACTTGATTGTACTGTGACCAAAATAAAAAGAGCTTAGAGGACAGCATTTCCACTAAAAACAAGAACTTTACAAATTATCTAATTATAAATTCAGATACGGGAACTATGTTGACATTAAAACATTCATATAATTTGAAGTGCAATAATAAAAGCTTTCATAAATGCTTTAAAAAAAATAGCTCTGCTTTACCGAAATCAAGGGAGGGCCAATAAAATGAGATGGTATTTCAAGGACAGTTAATATAAACTCCAGCACAAAAGACACAAATATTTAAATCATTAATTTGATAATATTTAATTATTTTATAAAAATATCCTAATTTTGTATTGTCTTTAAAGCACACTTTCATCAACTTTAATTACAGCCATATTTAAGACGAGAACAAATTAACAGACTGTGGATTTGATTTATTTTTATGTGTATTTATTTTTTTTACTGGTTGAATCATTCATTCACTTACTCTGAACAAGTTTATGATTCAAATATTTTGTCTTCCTAAATAACTTTACACATTTGGTACATTCGGGAATTCAACTTTTTAGATCATTATTCCTTTTTATGAATTCTATTCTTTTTGTACCTAAACATGCAAACACTGGAACACCTCAACTCCTTTTGTATATAAACACTTAAGCACTAGAATATCCATTTTGTATATCTATGAATTCCAGAAGGTCTATTTGTTTTAAATTCAGATTTATATAGACTACAATTTTCCCTTAAGAGAATTATATATATTTAAACAATATGGTCTAAATAAATATTTTGAGTAAGAGACTATTGCCGCTTCAAAGGAAGTTTTATTCTAAATAACATTTTTGAAACAGCATAAAACTTTGACATACTATTTATTCACAACAAAATAGAACCAACGTGATCACTGGCCAACTCACCCACACGCAAATAACATAAGTTATCATAAAACTATCAAAACCAGTTAAGCCTCAAAAATGTACATGCATTACAAGGAGACAGTTGGGAAGAGTCGAAATGAATATGCTTTCATTCTTGTGAGCATGTTCACAGCTGCCTCCATTCAGCTCATGTCTGAGTGCCTCCAACCCTCTTCTGGGCACTCGGGACAAGACCAAGCTGTTATATTCTGTGAACTACACACTTTGAAAATGCAGGTATGCAGAAAGGAGCAGAGAGTTCAGTCAGAGTGTTCCCACCTATCTATGCAGAGATTAGTATTCAGGTCTGGGTAAAGCAGGCCTCCAGGACCCAGCCTAACAAGGGTGCCAGGGTGCCTTGTAATTCTTTCCTCAATTTCCATTATTGGAAACTGTCTGCTCTTTTCTTTATACCTGCATTTTCAAAGTTTGTCGTTCACAGAATGTACCACATACAGCTTGGTCTTGTTCCGAGTGCCCAGAAGAGGGTTGGAGGCTCTCAGACATGAGCTGAATGGAGGCAGCAGTGAAGATGATCAGCATATCCCAACTCCCCAAGAACAACCATAACAACAACCATACATTTTCTTAAGTCTGCACCTTATTGAAAGTAATTATTCCTTCTGCTTACCTTTACCATTGACTTCTTGAAAGAGAAATCCATGCACCCAGCAACCAGTGCTCCCACTTCCTCACCACCACCTACATTTTAACTCTACAATCCAGATTCTGCCCCACACGTGCCTGAAACTGTCTCTCTGAGAGGCAATGTTCTCATCCCATCTGGTCCTTTTTTCTAGTCTCCTTGTCCTCCCAGACTGTGATGCAGCTTGCTGCACTAACTCTCCTTCATTCCTGGGCTGTAGAGACTGACTATCCTAGTTTTTCTGGCATCAACTGCTCTCTCCTCTCTCTCTCTCTCTCTCCACTGTAAATAAATACAGGTGTTTCCCATGGCCAAGCTCTTCATTCTTTAATTTGGCAACTTCACGCCCTCCTACAGCTTCAAATATCACCACTAAGCAAAAACCGTCACTGTGGAGCCAGGCACTGCCTCTTAAGTGGTGGGAAGTGGATGGCAGTGTCCCTGTGATCAAGGACTTGATAGTTTGGGGTTTGGGGGCAGTGAGTTTAGAGGAGAGACCCTAACTAAGAACATAAATGAAACCCTTACACAGATTGGAGGACTATCTCCTATGCATTATTCCTCCTCTACCAAACCTCAGGATTTTAATTTATTTATTTACAATAGTAAATTATTACCTGTTATAATAATAGCTAGATGTATTGAATATCTTCCATTTTCCAGACACTGTGCTACAGAGTTTACAAACATCAGCATTCTTAGTTCTCAGAAAATAGCATAAAGTTGTTACTACTATTACTTTTATTTCACAGAGGAAACTAAGGTAGAGATAATTTACTAACTTACCTAAAGTCAATCAACTAGTAAAGTCACAGATCTATAAATCAGAAACAACTCTCCATTCCACTGACTAGGAATCTTTTTTTTTTTTTTTTCCTTCTGTTTTTCAAAGAGACAGAGTCTAGCTCTGTCACCCAGGCTGGAGTACAGTGGTGAGATCATGGCTCACTGCAGCCTCAACCTTTCAGGTTCAAGCAATCCTCCCACCTCAGCTTCCCCAGTAGCTGGGACTACAGGCGTGCACCATCACGTTGAGCTAAGAATCCTGAGCTACGATTCCATTCACAGCAAGTTATAGGGCAGAGTTTTCACTGATATTCTGCCTTTCTCCAAAGATTATGTATCCCTTCCTTTCCTGTCTTTTATTCTCACGGTTACTACCATAATTCCAGTCTTTTTTTCTAGACTATTTAAACTGTCTCCTAATTAACCTACACGTTTCTCTTCTCTCCCCATCTGCATGAACATTCTCTCTTCTTAAGAGATCCACACGGTTGATTGCTATTTGCTTGACTGAGGTTATTTTCACCCTCCTGTCAGATTCTGCCTACTAGAGTAGAAACAGTGGCTGTCCATTCTCCTTGGTTGGACAGCTGACTCCTCTGCTATCCAAATTCTCAATCCCTACTTCTCCAACACCGTGCTCTCTAGCTTCCCTCCTTCCAAGTCCTGCTTAAGTTGTTAACGGCTACTTATTCTTTGGAGTTCAAGTACCACTCATTTCCCAGGGCAGCTGCCCTGTCTCCCATTCAAGACAAGTTCCCCACTAGACTTCTGTATCATAATTGATCTGTCATAATGCTTAGTACAGGTTGTGAATATTATATTTATTGGTGTGATTATCGATATGGGTTTGTTTTCCCCTCTAGAATTTAAGTTCCATGAGGGCAGGATAGACATGTCTGTTGGGCTTTCAATGTATAGTGGCAAATAACAGGTGCTCAAAAGGCACTTTAAAAATACATGATTCTCTGAGCCCGCTTCCTCATCTGTAAAATGATAGTAACAATGACATTGCAACAGTGGCAAAACACTCAAATGAAATAATGAAGAAAAAGTAAGTGTTAACCTATCCGGCAACAGGAAAAGCTCAATAAATGACAACCATTTATGGCCACAAGAAACTTTCCACATATTACATTTAAATGATTGTTTTCTCTCTTATGATTCTTCCCAATGTATTGTTTTACTCCAACACCTTGCAAATTGCTTAACACATATTTAGTCTTAATAAATAAATGAACACTTTGACATACATAATACCATATTATTCATACTATAGTCCTCTAAGGTAGGCACACAGATTATTATTTCTGTTTTACTATTATGGTTCAGAAACGTTTATGTGTTTTACACGGCTCTTAAATGATCTAGTGGAGAAGAAGACAAATCTCCCAATTATGACTCAGTTTATTTCCATTACCTGTAGAAAACTAAAGAAAACTTACAATAAAAATAATTATAAATATTCATATGCAAAAGTACATCTAAAATATACAAAGAAGAATAATTTAGTAAAAAAACTAATCAATGTTTGGTCAGTAACACTTTTATATCTGAATATTAAATAAAAGTACATTTGAAAGTATTTTGGATGCATTCCAAAGCTCTAATACAGAGGATAGGTTCTGTTATCACTAAAGCTGAGGTCTCTAGCTCTACAGTTGGTTCCAATTCTGCAAGTTTATGTGAATTGAACCCCAATCTTCTGACCAAATCATATTTCTCAGGAAAGCACAAATTGTTGTTTCAGTAAATATATAGGGTACTTCACAAAAGAACTACACACAAGGCTAACTGATAAAACTCCTATTAGCAGTTGTTTAGGGACACTTATCCCAGTTATCTGACGCAAATTTAAAAATGCAAAATATGGCCTTTGGGCAAATAGAAGCATAAAGCACATATTCTGAACGACTAATCATAATGAGAGGGGAAAAAACTGATTCCGGTTCTGGGTTTTGGTGTTCCACACACAAACAAAACCAAAAACAACTATTCACAAGGAGCTCCCTTCATGGGTTCATTAACCTTCACCAATCTCCCATACATAACTAAAAAAAAAAATTTTGTTGTTTTTTTCTGAGACAGATCTCGCTCTGTTACCGAGGCTGGAGTGCAGTGGCATAATCTCGGCTCACTGCAACCTCTGCCTCTTGGGCTCAAACAATCCTCCCACCTCAGCCTCCCAAGTAGCTGGGACTACAGGTGCACACCACCACTTCTGGCTAATTTTTGTATTTTCAGTAGAGACAGGGTCTCACCATGTTGCCCAGACTGGTCTCAAACTCCTAAGCTCAAGCGATTTGCCCGCCTCAGCCTCCCAAAGTGCTGGGATTATAGGTGTGAGTCATTGCACCTGGCCTAAAAGCCATTTTTTGTTTGTTTGTTTGTTTGTTTGTTTTTGAGACGGAATCTCACTCTGTCACCCAGGCTGGAGTACGGTGGTGCAATCTCAGCTCACTGCAACCTCCGCCTCCAGGGTTCAAGTGATTCTCCCACCTCAGCCTCCTGAGTAGCTGGGATTACATGCACGCACCACCACACCGGGCTAATTTTTTATATTTTTAGTAGAGACAGGGTTTCACCATGTTGGTCAGGCTGGTCTCAAACTCCTGACTTCGTGATCCACCCGCCTCGGCCTCTCAAAGTGCTGGAATTACAGGCGTAAGCCACGGTGCCTGGCCCTAAAAACCTTTTTAACTCTTCTTTCCCCTTGTTAATTTCTGGAGAGTATAGCAAGATTTACAATATGAATTATGAAATTTTAAAATATTTTAAAATGCTTAATAGTTAAGTACATGACCTACATTAATATTAAATTATAGAAAAAGCTAGTCATTAACATAAGCAGCCACTCAGGTGTGGTGGCTTAAACCTGTAATCCCAGCACTTTGGGAGGCTGAGGCAGGAGGATGGCTTGAGCCCAGGAGTTCGAGACCAGCCTGGGCAACATGGCAAAACCCGGTCTCTACAAAAAATATAAAAATTAGCCAGTATGTACAGCGGTAAAAGAAAATGCATCACAATAATTAATAAAATGCTCTAATGGAGGGAAAAGAAGAAATTTTTTTTTAATTTTTCTTTTTGAGACAGAGTTTTGCTCTTGTTGCCCAGGCTAGAGTGCAATGGCACAATCTTGGCTCGCTGCAACCTCCGCCTCCCAGGTTCAAGAGATTCTCCTGCCTCAGCCTCCCACGTAGCTGGGATTTCAGGCGCCCACCATCATGGCTGGCTAATTTTGGTATTTTTAGTAGAGACAGGGTTTCACCATGTTGGCCAGGCTGTTCTTGAATTCTTGACCTCATGTGATCCACCTGCCTCGGCCTCCCAAAGTGCTAGGATTACAGGCATGAGCCACTGTGCCTGGCTTAAAAAAAGAAAATTTGTTCTTCAAAGACATTTCTATCCTAGCAGGGAATAGTGGCTCATGCCTGTAATCTCAGCAATTTGGGAGGCCGAGGAGAGCACATAGCTTGAGCCAAAGACCAGCCTGGACAACATGGCGAAACCTCGTCTCTATAAAAATATGAAAAATTCGCCGGGCGTGGTGGCATGCACCTGTGGTTCTAGCTACGCGGGAGGCTGAGGCGGGAAGACTGCTTGAGCCTCAGAGGTCAAGGATGCAGTAAACCATGATCATACCACTGCACTCCCAGCCTGGATGGAAGAGTGAGACCTTCATCTCACACACACACACAAAAGACGTCTATCCTAGTGGACGAAAATCTGGAATAGCAAATTATCTGTAATGAATCTGAAAGCTAATTATTCCAGGATTGCCATAGAATACACTGCAATAAACAAACTAATGGCTTGCTAGCATTGTGGATGCAGAGAGTGATCTTATAAACATGACCAAAAAGATGAAACAAGCACTTTTATATAGGTTGTGTATGATATGCTAAGACAGTACTTCAAACATTGCCACAAAGACTAAAAAACTCACATGATAGTAATGGTGATTAAGTCAGCAAATATCTCCCTGTATAATTTTCAGAATTTATATAATACTGCCTTGGGAGAAGAAATCAGCTTCCTAACTGGCCACATCACAATACAGCTTGAGCGAAAAAATTCTGCATTTTTTCTTGCACGGTGGACAACTACTAAGCTTACTTAAGACCAGCATGAACTACAAGACTACATATCAATTTCACTTGTACTTGATTACAAAACTCATCTATGACGAATGTAAAAGAATATCCACCTGTTGTACTGAAGAGTTTTGCAACCAAGTATCAAAAGGAGACAAGGAAGAGGTGAGTCAGAAAGATACAGAACATGGGTCAAAAGATCTACGGTTTTAAACATCCCACAAAAAAGCTTTATTAACAACCTAAAACGTCTATCTAATTCTGACCATGAGAGTATTAATATAAATCTATAGTTTTAGTAAGGTGGGTATGTTTTCTCCATTTATACAAAGAAATACATAAATCTAAGTCTGAATGAACAATGCACACAGAATTTACATGCTATGATTATCAGTGATTATAAAACTGATTATAAATGTTAAGGGTCCACAAGCATGTTAAACCATAGTGCAAATGTCACTACTCCTAATGTAATAGTAACAGCAGCAAATGAGAAACAATGAAGTTATTCTGTCTCCTTAAAAAAATCTACTCAAACATTCATATGATGGAAAATTATACCTAAAAGTATGTCTCTTATTTGGTGGTAACCAGAAAATTAAAAATTAATTAACAATTCAAAGAAAGGTCCTTACATTTGTCTAATTGTTTTTAATGTCATATGAAGAAATAGCAAGCTGGTAAAAAATGATTATTTTGTTGTACTTAATGTGTTCTGAAATTTCTTGGTGTCTTCTCAACGAAAAAACACATTAGATCTTATAACTGAGACAGGAGATTCGCAAGAGCCTGGGTTTGCTGGACTCACTAAAAGGCCAGGTACCATTGGTTTAAACTGCAGGCAACATGGTAAAAGACAAAAAGCTGGGCAATTTAAAGATGGTTAACCACCCCTCCCCTCCCCCCAAAAAAAACCTTGAGAAAAATGTTATGAACCAAAGAAATACATCATCTTCACAATAAACACATCCAAAATAATCGAAAGAGATTCACTGGGAAAAGTTGACCTTTGAACATCAAATGATGTTAAAAATCAGGAGATTTAAAACTTCATTTTATAAAACGCTATCCCTCCATCCACTGACAAATGGATAAACAAAATTCAGTATATTAATATAATGAAATTTTATTTGGCCATAAAAAGGAATGAACCACGGATACATACTACAACATGAATGAACATGAAAAACACTAAGCTGAGTTGCAGGAGCCAGTCATAAAAGACCAAATATTATTATTCCATTCAGATGAAATGTTCAGAAGAGGGAAATATGTAATGATAAAAAGTAGATTAGTGGCTGCCTTGTGGGGGATGAGGCTTAGGGTGACAGCTAAAGGGCATGGAGTTTCTTTTTGAGGTGATAAAAATGTTCAGTGATAACTGAACCTAACCATAAATATAGTAAAATACAGTGAGTATTTTAAATGGGTGGAATGTATGGTAAGTGAAACATATCTCAATCAAGCTGTTTAAAACAGGGAAAGGGTGGGAGGAATCCCACTGCCCCACCTACTTTCTTTTAGTGGTGTTAAAACCATTTAATCCCATAAGATATCATTCCCCAGGAGACATAATGCAGCACATCTTTTGCCCAGTAGGTCTCCAATACACAAATGCTAAGTGAGTTAATACACGGACGGTGAACAAAGAAATTTTACTGTTGCTTATATTTGAAAATCCTTTCTACTTTGAAAATATTAAAACCTAATATATCCATTTAAAAATCCACTGCCATTTTTCTATCCGGAAAAATCCAGTACATCTTTCAAATATTTGCGGGGCAAAAAAGCAAAAGCAAAAACAAAAACAAAACTTCTCAGTTATGATGCTCAGCAATATTAATATCAAAGTATTAAAAAAATTCTAAGATAATTTGTTAAAAATTGACAATGCTGAATTCTGTCATGTATACCAGCAAAAAAAAAAATCCTCAATTTACTGTGATGAAAAAAATTATTTCAGCAAAAGCCAAGATACAAATTTGGCTTAGGGGGAATAGGCAAAGAGGGAAAACCAGAAACTTCTGGGCATATGTTTATATATGAGTGTAAATGTTTCTACAACTGTGTGAATATATAAATACAAACAGGGAGAAAGGGACACACACAGGCATATAAATTTTCCCAGACAGAGATCCAATAAGCATCCATAGTCATTACCTACTATCACAACCTACTATCAATCGATATAAGAAAGGCCCCATTTAAATAATTTAGAAGTTCAGAGTAAAAATCAACAGCGGGATATAGCCAATTATATAAGGAAAATACCCATGCTTCTATGGCATCAAAGCATACGCAAGCTTTGGAGTGCGTGTGTGTGTGTGTGTTTCAATTAAATTAGGCCTATGATAATACATGCGATTTTGTTAGGCAATTAGTAATATTAAAGAAACATGAAATGAAAAGGCATTTCAATTTAGGCAAAAACATTTTATTTTCTTACCTAACATTTAACAATTAAGATACTCCATTTATTGCCTGTATACTTACAAATTTTACAGGCTACTTAGGCAGCTGTAATAACATAAATAGAAAGTAAATAGTCCTTCCATGAACAGACCTATCACCTAATTGAAAATAAGGGGTTAGCTCGCCATTAAAAAAAGAAAAACACACATTTTAACTCAGTCTATATTTACCAGAACACCTAACTTTATAGAAGGAGGCAAAGCACTTCTCATATCTGATGATGCTAAGTAATAATAATCTCATTTCATCTTAATGTTGAATCAGCAATTTTGTATTCCATTGATATATATTTTATTCATTTTCACTAATGCAATTTGAAAGATGGTAATGTGATTACATTTCTCTGTGGCATTCATGAAAACAATTACTAATATAATATGATAGAGAAGACATTAATAAGGACAGGATTTATAATGAGATGCAAAAAGACTTATAAACCTTTAAGCACTTTACAAAGAAACTATTCCTCATTAAGCAAGAAGCAAGACAAGATGAAGCTTAAATTCTGGTATGTTTCAAAAGCACCTCCAATCCTAGAAAGAACAATCGATTTGCATGATTATCACACACTTTGGTGACGAAGCAAAGATGTACAGAAGTAACACAAAAGTTGTCCCAAGTTGTGCCAAATATAACACCTCATCCTAAGTCAGTATCTTTCCCTTCCCAGATGCAATGTGAAGGGCTCCCTAAAGAAAGGAGTTCCTCTAAATCTTTACCCTCTTTATAAAAGGAGCTGCCCACCTTATTTCAAATGCCAAAGCACTGTAATCAATCCATTTCCTAAGCAAGAGCATAGGTAGGTGACCTTTTAACTAAATTTACTCCTCTAGGTTTGTGATAAAATTTACCCCAGTAAAGCAACAGGGGAGAAAAGTTGTTACGTTTTAGAATTTAACATTTCAGATGACAACTGATTACCCAGGCCAATTGAGACAGACTGTAAGACTAATAATATCCCATGTTTGTACAGTGCTATGAAGCTTGCATAACATTTCAAATACATTCTTGTATTTAATCATCAAAATCCCTAAAATTAGAGATTTTTTCAAACAGCAGAAAATGAGGCTCTGAGATGTCCCTAAATGGCCACAGCTACTAATCCAGGGCTCTTTCTACTCAGCCTGGGCATGGGAGGAAAGGAGCCTGATAATCCCCCTTGTTCCCCTCCTCCTCAAACAAATCTGAGATTTCCTCAGATATGTTTTCAGTTCCAATAGGAGCTTATAACCAAATAGGAGATGTGAACAAAACTACACAAAAAGGGAGAGGGATGGGTAAAGGTTTAAGCAACTTGAAAAGTGAAAATGCTAAGTAAGCAGTTAACCATATATACTAGGATTTTCTGCCAAAAAGTGGTACACTTTTAAATAAAGAAAGTGACCCAGCACAGTATTTTATAGTCTTTATATGGTTATATTAAGAAATGTCAAAATCTGAAAACAGTGAGACAAGATATTCCCAGGAACACTTGGTTTATTCTACAGCATTTTACTTATACCTGTCTTGGGACTGTCCATCAGCGACACATCTCAACAAACATTTTAATACCTTCTATTGTACATCTAACTGTGTATCATAATTATCTCTGATTATAAAAGAATATGTTTCTTCACTTAAAAGCAGGTATCAGCAAAGGAATCATACCTGTTACAAATAATAATAGTGATATGATGAACAGTCTATGTGCCCCCTTATACGTTATTTATGTTAGGTCATAGATTCCCCAGGGGTCTGTGCTGAGACCTGGACTGGCTTCATTAGCGCTTCACATAAATCAATGAAGGCACATCTTGATTTTACCAGTGGCTAGAGTCACTGGAATTTTTCAAGTGAAACCTCTCAGGTAATACATTTTTAAAAAACACAAATACAATGTTACCATTTCTTCTAAAAGGTGGTTTTCTCAAATTCAAAGGGCTAAATTCATATGCTCAGAGAAATTCCACAAATTTCTATGACATCTATATGAATCTGAAGGTAAAATGTGTGCTAGTATGCTGAAAAAAAATTATTCTCTTTTTTCTTTTAAAGATTAGATGGTTTTTAAAAACAGACATAAAGAGAAAGACAGGAAAAAACAGACTGACTAGCTAAAAACAAATGCTTCAACATCACTGAGCAAAGCAAGAGACCTATGTAATGGTTGTCAGGAACTTTGAGCTAACTCTTGAAAATTAAGAAATAAATACAAAGCCTTGTGGAGAAAAAAAAAGTCTTCTAGAACAACGTTAATGTCATCTTGGGCATGTGGACTGGGTTCACATGTGTGTCAGCTGAATCAACATAATGGGCTATAACAGCTTCGAAGCAGCTAATATGGTCCATTGGGTCAATAATCCGTGAACTAAGAAGGATTTACTTGATAGACTATAAATGGCTCGTAAGAACTCAAGAATCACTCCATCAGATCAAAAATCCAATTTTCATATGGTGCCTTTCTACAAATTAGTCAAAAGAAAGTAATGGCTATGAAGGACTTTAAGGTTTATCAGCTACAAATTCATGTTTTAAAGAACAGTGTAGAGGAAGAAATAAAAATTAAACATCTTGGGGCAGGGGAGATCAACCTATTTAAGGGGAAAAATATATTTTCTGAAGGAAAGCTAATATACAGTATGAAATATCCAAGGGGCTTTTTATGTTTTCCTATAGGTACGTGAATGTACAAATACAAACCACTAAAATACATACACATATACATTCATATTTTTCTCTCTCTCCCCTCCAGATATCTACACACACTAGGTAAATTGCAAAACCCGATTTCTAAGATAGCAACAATGCAAAATGAAAATTCGTATTTTATTTTTACCTCTTTACACCATTTGTTTGTGGATCTATGGAGACATTTGGGACAGAATATGGATACTGGCAAATTCTTTCATTTTCACTTACAGAGAAGCAGGCAGAAGAAACTACAAAAGGTAAACAGTAAAAACTACAATATATTTTGAACATTTAAGAGAAAGAGGAGAGTTGATTCCCTGGCTGGCCAACGATTATACAGCCAGCATTTTCAGATAACTGCAACTTCTGCCCTCTCTAGACTGCAGAGAAACAGGAGCCTTTACCCTGTGATTGTGAATTTCATTACATATTCATGCTAGGTGATTGTGGTTGTAGATTAATTTTTTAAAAAATAAGCCTATCTACATGAATAATTGTATTTACTAAGTTCATGGCAACGAAGAAAAGCAGAGAAAAATACTCCAAAAATATAACAGGCTGTAATTAGAATTCTTAACAAGAAAGAATTCCTTTACTCGGGAAGAAAATGTGATCTATCACCTCTCTCTCAAAATGCTATTAGCTTCTCTTCATCATAGGAACAACAAAAAGAAATCATTTCTTTTTCTTTTTATAGAAGTGACACTGAATAAAATAATGGATGTTTTTACATCAAAGTATATTAGCTATTGACATAAGCTCGGTCCTCTTAACTTTTACACAAGGGAAAGAAAAATTCCAATAATTCTGAACTAGACAGATAAAACTTTTCTCTGTGGCTACAGCCATGTACTATTGTATGTAACTGCTTATTTTTAAAAAGAGCCTTACTGGTGCTCTCTGAAGGATTTTCTTTTATACATAGCTTTATCCTATAATTTTGTCCCTGTTGGGCACGCTGCCTAAATTTAAACACAAACAGTCAAGCAATGAAGAAACATTAACACATTTACTGTGAACAAAAACTCCCAGTTGTACAGTGAAATTTTAATACATTTCAACTTATCACTTTTACTAATGGGGAGAGTACAAACCCTGCAGGAATTTGCTCTGCAAACTGGTAATTACAGTAGACTCACTTTTTTATAATGCATATGTATAGCCAGACAAAAAAAACGCTGGCTGCCCTTTTGATGTAGGTTACAATAGAAATGTTTTTAAAAAATTATGAAAATCTACAGCAATTCTAAAGGAATGTGTTATTTCATGGAAAAGTGTCCTTTAACTCTGTATGTGGACACAAATAGACATATATTTAGATATTTGTTTTACACATGAGAAGGCATAAGCTTTACCTGCATGAGCTTTTATGTCATTTCCCCCATAATCTTAAGTGTACAAAATAAATCTGCTCCTATTTGTACAAAGCTAGTTGTGATTTAAAATATAAATTTATCTATTTTAAATATAATTTATTTATTTATCGTATAAAGATGATATTCTTTCATTCCGTGCCTGGTTTTCGGGGCAGTTTTGAAGAGTTAAATCCATATATTGGGATCTCACTGTAATTTCTCATTAAATAATTAAGGACTGCAAATCAGTAATTTGTCTCTCAGTCCAGGTATATGTGCTTCTTGATGAAAGAGACCCTATGTGCATGCCTGAAGAGTAAGAACCATATACTGTAATATTCATAATAGTAGCATAATTGATAGAAATGAAATAAAATCTTTGTTACTATTCACATCACGTGCTAGACACTTTACATTTATCTGTCAAATTTTTGGTTCCATAACATCTTTCTAAGAAATTGAAATCTGCTAGACTGCTAAGAAGCTATCAATATATAATTTATGTTAACCTCAGGTTTTCTAAGTATGATCTGACTGGGGAAAAAATAAAAGCAGATAAAGCTTTTAAGTGGACATAACTTTTGTAAAATTATGTGAATTAAAAAATAAAAGTGATGAAGTTGCTAAAATGTCTATTACTGAGTATTATCTACAAATTCCAGGGACAACTTTCTAAAAATAGAAACTATAAAATTCACATGAAATATTTAGCATGTATTTACTAGCAGAATATGCAAAAGTTGCTGTTCAGAAATCACTGCCTTAGTCATCCAACTTCACATAAGAGAGACAAAAGATAATCATTCCTGGTAGGCTTGGCTGTGGCAGAATGAACTCACCACTACGGGGAAGAGACGTTTTGGATACACTAGAAATAAGTACCTTCTTCTAAGTCCACATGCCTTACTATTCTTCCAGGCAACGCTAGTAACATTCTAACCTTAGATCTCCCTGTCATTATAGAAAAGCATATGTTCCCCTCCACCATTCTCATCTCTACCACCAAAGGCTACTTTTACCATACTGTACCTGAAACCCAAAATAGGAAAACAGACTCATCACAGCTTAAGAGGCGGGCACTGGCTCACAGGCAGTGTATATATCCTGGGCAATACCTATTCCTTCTACCTGGAAATTAAATGAGATGCTTTGCATTTTTGAAAAAGCCAAACATCAAAATATGTATTTTTCACTTCTATTTCCTTAAAGTTGGTTTTTGCACAAAATATTAAATAGGGTTGTGCCTTAAATATGAATAAATTAACAACAAAAGTATACTTCAAGGACATGTAAAACTTTAGTCTCTCCAATATCCATTCACCCATATAAAAACAACTGAACATTAAAATGTATGTAGCCTATCACAAAGCATTCATCCCTTCATTTGCTAAGATTTGACTACTCCAAAGACAATGCTAGAAATTATGAAATATAAAAACATAAACAAATATACTTCCTGCTCCCTCATAAACAAATATGCTTCCTGCCTACAAATAACTGAACTGTGGAGCAAAGTGATTTGGAATATGAGCTTAATGTCAATCATATTCAAGTAATTTGGAGAGTTAGGTCATAACTTACATACTACAGAGATTTACAACTTTCATAGGATCAAAAGGAAAGAAGTAGAAATTCAATACTCTCTCTTGCTGCAAGGCAGAGATGGCTGTGAACGGAAGCCTAGGTACAAAAACGTGTCATAACAAAACACACACACCCTTCTAACACCTTCTTCAAATGAATGGTTCCCTCAACTTGTCTTTAAGTAAAGGTAAAAAGCAGTTTGAGGCCAGGCGCAGTGGCTCACGCCTGTAATCCCAGCACTTTGGGAGGCCGAGGTAGGTGGATCACCTGAGGTCAGAAGTTCAACACCAGCCTGGCCAACACGGTGAAACCCCATCTCTATTAAAAATACAAAAATAAGCCAGGCGTGGTGGCACATGCCTATAATCCCAGCTACTCGGGAGGCTGAGGCAGGAGAATCACTTGAACCCGGAGGCAGAGGTTGCAGTGAACCGAGATCACGCCACTGCACTCCCACCTAGGCGAAAGAGCGAGTCTCCATGTCAAAAAAAAGTAATATATTAAGATATGCTTAATACTTTCATACATCTGCATTTTTCATTGATAAATTGATAACAGCGCATGCCCATGTGTTGTGGTGCTTCCACTTCTTCCATACAAGCACCATAGGACAAGCCAATATATTATCGGATGACCAAATACACACAAACCAGCTTTGCTGGTCTACGAAGAATGATAAAGGAAAACAGGGGCAACCAACGGTTTTACTGTATCACTCACTCATATTTAAAACCCTGATATATAAGAAACCTATATCTAGACTACGGTATGTACTTTAAGTAATCCAAGAGGGGCCCTACATTGATGACCACAAATACTGCTATTTATGACACTGAACATCAGTTGGATTTCTGTAAAGTACCTTGTAAGTTTGTGAGATGGCTGTTTCCTACCCTATTTGCACAATTAGTGTGTTCTACTTGAGTGAATCATAAATAGATAAGGAAAGCACAATTCAATATGATTTTTCACTGAAACATTATCTGAATATCCATAGAGCTGGTGATAAGCATGCTTTAATACTTTGATCATATCCAATAAATGTGAGGCTATTATTTTAATTGTCAAATATATTACCTGTGCTCAAGTTGTTTAACACTGAGACACAGCTGCCAGATGGTATGTCTCCTAAAAAAGTAAAGCAGACGTAGTACAATTTTAAGTGGGTGTGTATTTGTACAGTATTATTTTCTTTAGATTTCCAGTCTATTGACAAATTCAGCATTTTATTCCTTAATCAGAAAATAACAGATTTTAAAGTTAAGGTATACATGCTTCCTCACCTAACCATATTCTAGCTGAAAAACATCATTTTTAATGTTTACCTATATTTAATATTTCAGTTTTGTGTTTCAATTAGTTAAAATAGTAACTCTCCCTCCCCTAAATCAACCTACTTGTTTTATTTTAAAAAGGTAATGATGCGGGGGTGCGGCGGGTGGCGAGAGTCTTCTGGTGTTAGAAGTAATATAAAGAGCTAGGGTTATACATGAATAAAGTTAGTTTGTGTATGAAGGAATTACACCTGAGCTAGTAACCTGAGGATCTCTGTACACAGTTGTCAGGTGTCCTACCTTTCATCTGAAATAATAATGCACAACAAAGGGTAGAAATGTAAAATATGTGCTAATAACGCCTTCAATGTGAAAGTGCCTCTTGCTTTAATTTGGGATCACAGAAAATGATGATGATACATCTTTTATTATTTAAACATCTTGGAAGGGGCAAGAGGAGTCTGTAAATTAAAGGTGAGATTTATCACGTGCTGCGAAAACAAGGTTCCACAGCACAATCTCATCTTCTTTAGCTATGAACCAAATGTCTCCACTTCCTTCAGCAAAAGAAAACTCTTACCTATTAAATATAAAAAAGAACAGGTATATGTCAGAATCATCTGTGGTGCTTTACATAAGTACAGATATCCAGGACCACACTCCAGAATCGGGGAATCGCAACTTCCAGTCCACTTGCACAACCCGAGAAGAAGTGCCTCCTCAAATTTTGTACCTCGGGCACCTCATTTGGCTCACCCTACTCCTGGCCCTATATTGTTAACACTTGTGGTACCAGAAGAGGCAGGGAACTGTGCTGAGATCTAAACGAACAGACACAAATGCAAGAAGATGCTCTGTTTAAAGGACTTCAGGGGTAAAGGGAAATCCCAAACTTGTTTCGAATCCCCTGGGACATTGCAAGAGAAGTAAGCAGTTTCCTGAGGAGGGCCTCATGAGCTTTTCCAAGATTTGAAAGCAGAGCTTCTCAGAGGGAGCTGAGTCCAAGCCAACTGTTGAAGCAAGATCCTACTACACACTCCTGAGCCTGAAAATGATGGAGAGGGGAAGAGGAAGCCAGGGAGGGCAGGGTCTGGGTACCTAAATGGCTATCCATTTTCATTTTAAATGGATGCAGGAGAAAAGATATAAATGATTAATATGACTAATCAATTCCCTTAGTAATTCCCTTCCTCCCCACTGCCACCACTCACTAATTTTTCAATACGCATTTAGGAAAGTAGAGAGATTGCGTACAACTGGCCGTAACTGCAGTCACACTTTTCTATAACCAGGAGTCTGGTAATATCTCTAAAGTTTAAAAGATAATGTTCTGGAAAGTACCCAGCACAACCCCTCCAATATAATAAGTGCTCAGTAATGTTTCTCTTCCCTGTCTTCTACATAATCGTCAAAGTATGGAGCCATATACAGCAATCAAGCTTTGACATAGTTAAAAGTTGTTAAGAGGAGGGTACCATTCTGCTTTCATAATTTTTGTCATTCTAACCCCCTTGCAGGAACTAAATCCTTCACTCCTGACCCTTATGAATACAAAGCAGGTTCTTTGCCTAATTTATGGTAATTGTAACTGAACTGGGCCAAGTGGCTCCCAAAGTGATTTCTGAAAGACTAATATGCCCTCTTCTGGTTTCTTATTTAAGAAAAAAGGAAAACAAAATGTTAGTTTATTAGATGTGTAAAAATGTGAGGTAAAAATGTGTACTTATTTATTGTATTTACTACTAATCATCTTAATTACTTCATAGAGATTTTCATAGGTAACTTAGTATTTGGAAGTCCCAACATTAGGTAAGGTGAAAATACTTTCTAATGACATGGTATTCACCAATGGGGCTTTGGAAAAATTTTTCCCAAGCCAGATGACAGCATAAAAATGATATAAATTGCATGAACAGGGGTCAGAAAACAAAAATCTAAATGTGGTATACTAGGAAAATCTACAATGTCTTTTCAGTGGTGCCACATACCCCCTCAGTGCTCCCCACTCTATGCCCACTCAGGCCCGCTTTCACAGCCCTGGGCCGAGAGCAATGCCAATTAGTGTCAGTTGTGATGGGGTTTTGGAGACATGGACCTTTGTCTTAGAGGAAGTGGGCTGCAACCACCAACTTACTGTACAGAAGCAACCTAACAACCCATTAGGTGGAAATGACTTTTCAGCCACTTCCTCCAGGGACTGTATCAGAAACTGATGGCTTAGACAGATGGGAACATTTTTACATTTCTGTTTTAACTGCATCCAGGAACATGGATTTTTATCATTTGATGCTGCCAAACCCTCATTTCATCTACTGCTCTTTTCTATAGTATTCCTTGACTAATAAAATGATAAACTAAATACTTTAGAAATAGAAGATGCCATCTTACTGTATATATTAAAAGCATTCTATGAGTTATCCACTGAATTTTTGGGAATTTCCGAAAACAAGAAATTTCCTTACTGGAATATTGTTCTCCAAGTAGCATT
This sequence comes from Homo sapiens, assembly GCF_000001405.40. NCBI lineage: Eukaryota > Metazoa > Chordata > Mammalia > Primates > Hominidae > Homo > Homo sapiens. The sequence continues at coordinate 16,603,061 of NC_000009.12, forward strand.
ACATGCTTCGAAAAGATGCTGATGGTTACCCTTTATGCCTCCAATTGTCAAACCAGTAATAGATTAGGTTAAATCTATCAAGAAGCAAAAGTAATCCTTCCTTGGTCCAGGAAGCAATGAAGTCAGGCACTGCAAACAGAAATGTTCACACACTAGCAGATAAGTCAGGGCCAAAGGCTTTAATCCAGCATTGTATTTATGTGGTTACAGAGCTAAAATCAAAATTTACTTCTACACAGTGTCAGGTAGAATGCTAATGTTATACAAGAAAACTTGTAACCAGTTAAAATTACATTTTTCATATTATTTAAAACATATGATTTTAAAAATAAACATTTAATACACATTAACTGCTACCAATGCAAATATTTGTTAAACTTTTAACAATCAGGTTCACCCTAACATCACACACCAAAAGTCACAAATTTTTTGTCTGTGTGCAAAATTGCTCCATTGAAGAAAATAATTTTGAGACGCTAAACATATAGTACATAAACACTATTTATCAGCAATAAGCAGCTCTCAAATGCCATAATAAAGACTCAACAATTAGAGCATCCTTTCTGGTCTAAGATGCTTCACTTTAGGCAAAACTAAAAAGGAGGTTGCAAGTGCCATGAAATCTGGCAATAACTTAAAACTTTTAACTTAAGATTTTTAGGTAAGCTTCACTATCAACATCCCAAACCTGCTGTTAGTATTTCTGCTCATAACCTTGGCTGATTTTATTAATGCCCAGAAAAATATACACTTTTCTTTAATTTTTTTTCTGTTTAGGTATATTTTCAAACCTCTCTCAAATATTCTCTTAAAAATTAGGTATTTTATAAAAAAACATTCTGTCACAGTACTGCTTAAAATGTTAGAAATTTCATATAAATTGTCCATTTTTTTCTTTCCTCAAATCAAAAAGATACAAAAGAATGTAAACTCTAGTAAATAAAACTTTACATGAGTTTGTATACTAAATAACATCCTAAATAATAATAAAAGTCTAAATTTTATTTGATCTGGATGTTGGCAAGATAGATGTTCAATTCTCTTCGTATTGTTCTAATTAGTTCACAATTTTAAAACCACTAACAACTACCTGCTTAGTCAACAGAAGTACAATACAAACCAATACAAAGCAAACATCTGGGACCCATCTTAATTAGAACCTCTTTCTCTCTCTCTCTGTAAGAGAGATTTTTTAAAAAACACTTTATAAAAGAGAAGCAATGCCCCATTCATATTAATTAAATGCCAACTTTTGTTTAATTTTGTGAAACACAGAACTGCTATGTTTATTTTAGAAAAGCTGCATGACATAATTTAAATGCAAAGCAAAACTCATAAAACTTTAAATATAAATCCTTTTCAATTAGAAAGATCTTGAGAGACAGATGGCTACAAAACTATGCTAAACCTACGCTAAAAGCCACTGAATTATATACTTTAAAATGGTTAAAATGGGCTGGGCACGGTGGCTCATGCCTGTAACCCCAGCACTTAGGGACACTGAGCTGGGTGGATCACTTGAGGCCAGGAGTTTGAGACCAGCCTGGCCAACATGGCAAAACCGCAGCTCTACTAAAAAATACAAAAAAACACAATTAGCCGGGCGTGGTGGTGGGCGCCCGTAATCCCAGCTACTTGGAGGCTGAGGCAGAAGAATCACTTGAACCCAGGAGATGAGGTTGCAGTGAGCCGAGATCGCGTCACTACACTCCAGCCTGGGCAACAGAGAGAGATTCCAACTCAAGAAAAAAGAAAAGAAAAGAAAAGGTTAAAAATGATTAATTTTTATGCTATGTGAATTTTACTTCAATAAAGAAACCAGACCTTGTAAAACAAGACAAAAATACTTGTGGGTGTCAGTCTGTTTTTGTGTGTTTGTTTTAGTAAAGCTAATAAGGCTACTGTACCAAACAAATCCCTCCACTCTCGGGAATTACACAAATAGAGCACCAACTTTCTTAATGGACACATCTTTTTCAACAATGACTTCATGTGATGTCCCCTCATACACGCCAAAGAATAAGTCAGTATTTCAAAAGGAACACAACATTGTAACTACTTTCTGTAAAACACATGACTAGATTGTGACCTCTATCTAATTCACCAACAATAAATTAGTAGAGAATGAAAAGAGGAAATTATCCTAAAGATTTCATGTTTTCAAGTATATATTTCTACTTATTTGCATATTTCATATATTATCTGCAAAGTTAAGTTTAAAAATACTGGCAACGCTTCTTACGCACTTACTATCAAGCAGTGTTCTAAACACTCTGAATGGACAAACTCAGCTTATCCTGACTTTTCCCTCTTAGGAGGGTATCACGCTATCATTATCTCAATTTTACAGGTAAAAACAACAACAAAGCACAGACATTAACCACCTTTGCCAAGGCAGAGCCAGGACTTCCGATCAACTTCACTACCTACTCTCTAAACCACTATGCTTTACCACCTCTAAGCTTCAACATTTTTCTTTAAGTCCCATGACTACTGTTAAGTAACAAGTGCTACATAAAACTGTTTTCCACATTTAAGATGGACTGAATGGAAGCTTTTCTTATTGCCAAAGAAAGAACTCAAAGTGACAACTTCAGAAAATATGAAATGGAAGTTTATTACAGCACAACAGAGACCAGAGCCATGAAAACAAGCATTCTTAGAGTTCAGAGTCTGTGATATAATTAGTGATAACTAATAAAGAGTCCAACCTTTCAAGAATTCTTTTTTTTTTTTTTTTTTTTTTGAGACATGGTCCCGTTCTGTCACCCAGGCTGGAGCATAGTGGCACAACCACGGTTCACTGTAACCTTAACCCTCCCAGGCTCAGGTGATCCTCCCACCTCAGCCTCCCAAGTAGCTGGGACTACAGGTGCACACCACCATGCCTGGCTAACCTTTTCAAACCCCTGGCCTCAAGTGACCCACTCACCTTGGCCTCCCAAAGTGCTGGGATTACAGGCGTGACCCATGGCGCCCAGTCAAGAACTTTTTTTAAACAAGCCATTTAGAGTGCCTGCTGCTAGAACAGAAAATAAGGGCTTACAATTTCAATTATGAGCAACATTTGAGTCCTAAGTAAGAGAAGTAATTATAGTATTTATAAACCAGCTTACATGTATATTTAGAACAATGACTTAATTCAAACATGTATAAAAGACAAAAACTTGAGAGAATAGAAAAAATATTTTTTAAAGGATTAGCTTTAAAAGTTAATAATAAAGAAAAAAGTTCACTCTGTCAGAGACTCTGAGGAATGGATTAGAGGGGAGAAATATATAGGCATTCAATTTTATTTATTAATTTATTTATATGGTTTGGCTCTGTGTCCCCAACCAAATCTCATCTTGTAGCTCCCATAATTCCCACATGTTGTGGGACAGACCCATGGGAGATGGCTGAATCATCAGGGCAGGTCTTTCCCATGCTATTCTCTTGACAGTGAATGGGTCTCACAAGATCTGATAGCTTTTTTTTTTTTGTGGGTAGGGGGACGGAGTTTCACTCTTTCACCCAGGCTGGAGTGAAGTGGCGCAATCTCAGCTCACTGCAACCTCCACCCCACAACGTTCAAGCAATTCTCCAGCCCCAGCCTCAAGCAATTCTCCAGCCTCAGCCTCCCGAGTAGCTGGGATTATAGGCTCCCGCCACCATGCCCAGCTAACTTTTGTATTTTTAGCAGAGACGAGGTTTCGCCACGTTGGCCAGGCTGGTCTCAAACACCTGACTTCAGGTGATCCACTCACCTGGGCCTCCCAACGTGCTGGGATTAGAGGTGTGAGCCACCACGCCTGGCCGGCGATCTGATGGTTTTTAAAAACAGGAATTTATCTGCACAAGCTCCTTTGGCCTGCGGCCATCCACATAATGTGTGACTTGCTTCTAAACGGACTAACACATTTATTGAGGCAGGGTCTCACTCTGTCACCCAGGCTGGAGTGCAGTGGTGTGACCACAGCTCACTGCAGCCTCAACCTCCTGGGCTCGGGCGATCTTCCTGTCTCAGCCTCCCAAGTAGCTGGAACCACAGGAGTGTGCCACCACACTTGGCTGACTTTAAAAAAAAAAAAAATTTATAGAAACAGAGTCTCACCATGTTGCCCAGGCTGATCTCAAACTCCTGTGCTCAGGCAATCATTCTGTCTTGGCCTCCCAAAGTGCGTGAGCCACAGTGCGCTGTGGTATCCAGTTTTAAAAAGGGGATTCGTTTTGATAAAAGTAATGCAAAACCTCAGAGAAAGAAAAAAACAGACAACAAGGAGAGACGGAGAAAATAATTAGGGAATGTAGAAAAAAAGGGGTGGTCTTATGAAGTGGCATTTAAAAGAAACACAGGACCAAGTCCACACTTGTAAACTTGGCTGTAACAATTCAAACTCAGTGGTCCTTTAGGCAGGTGGTTAAACTAAACACGTCTAAAGGAAAGAGTTTTGATAACGGCTACACTTTAGGGTAAGTAAACAATTTTATTATATTCTTACAGAATAAATTTTCAAAGCAAAAAAAGTTTTGGTTTTCCTACTTTACCAATCTTGTTTAAAATAATACACAGAGAAATTAACAACTCTACTTGAACATAGCATAGTGTGCTAATGTATTTGTATATGCTACACGGATGCTTTCATTTTCAGATGAGGTTCATTTTAAGTCTTTTTGAAATCTAAGGTGATGTTTTCCTACCCTGTCTAGGCAGTTAAGACTTCCAGATGGAAGGCCCCTTAATACTGTAGTTCCAACTCTAGTGACCTAACTTATAGATTAACAAAATTGATCTCTTTTTTAAAAACACAAAACAGGCAAAATAAATTTGACTCTCCTGAAACATTAATGTGTGAACACAGTTTTTAAAGAGTAAGACAGGGTTCCCAGGATCCCCAATTTACTCTTATGACCAATATGGAGTTCCAGGTATCCAAAAACCCCCATGGTACAAGCATCAGTCACACTGCCAGAAGGGACCACAAAGCACTGTTTAAATAAAGCCTTCAAGAAATTTGAGACATCAAATTTACGTCAGGGGAGGGCAGGCTCAAAAAGAGTAGAAAGCTTGTGATTAACTAAATCTACCCTTATCCTCTACTTTCCATGAGCAGAAAAAGATTCCTTAGGGGTACTTCCTACTTCCTATTTTTAAGTTATTTATTTTCCCTGAGACCCCAATTCCTCACTTGTAACAACTGAATGGTACTACTTTTCACACAGCAATTTTGTACACATTAGAAATATTTTGCTTAAAAAGCTAAGCACAGTGATAGACACAGAGTAAATGGTAAATAAAAACGTTTCTTCCCCCTCCCTCTGTCTCTGTACAGGGGAGCTTCTTTTTTCTTTCTTCCCCCTTCTTTCTTGTCTATTAAACTCCCTGCTCCTTAAAACTAAAAGAAAAAAAAAGTTTATTATGATTATTAATTCTTAGACAAAATAAGCATTTAAAAATAATCAATTTTTTAAATTTTGTTTTAAAGAGATAGACTCTTGTTGTGTCACTCAGGCTGGACTCAGTGGCAAGATCATAGCTCACTGCAGCCTTGAACTCCTGGGCTCAAGGGATCTTCCTGCCTCAGCCTCCCAAGTACCTGGGACCACAGGTGCACACTGTACATTTCCAAAATATATGGCTCCCAGACATACACTTTACATGTTAAAATATGCCCTAATTACTTAATAGATAAGTTGATGTCATGAAAAGATAACCTGACAGGGAGTCAGTGAGATCTGAAAAATAGAGGTACTGTTTCCAAAGCCCGGCAGAAGCATGCAAACTTGAAATAGGCAAAAGTCAAACTCCACTTCCTCTTCCATTACATGCATAAGTTTCAATATGCTCAACATTTCTTCAAAGCTCTAGGTTTCCATATTTTATAATGTTTTTATTATGTACTTAAGGTTCCTAAACATCATACCTTGCCAACCTAAGTTCAGTCTCCTGTACAGGAAGGGATCTTGGGATTTTTCTGTGTTTCTTTAGCACCTAGAACACAGCCTTGTGAAAGATGCGCAACATGGGCTGTTTGAATGAAAGGGGATACAGCAGGCTTGGCTAACTCTGATCACTGATTGCCTAGAGAAAAGTGCACCCCAGGGGACCTTTCGGAGCCACTTTTCAAAGGCTCAGAGAGCTTTTATAACAAAAGTCTCAGACATGAAATCATTACTACAACAAGTATTTTGTGAATGCCTACTCTGTGCTGGGGATTGTATACATAGTATAAAACCCACAGTATCCTCAAGAAGCTTGAGCTGCAAGGAAAGTAAATAAGCAATTTCCAATAGAGGGGGGGAAACCATAGGGTGTTATGATATGAAGAGAAGGCGCACCAACCTAGTCTTGCTTCATGGAGGTGAACTGAGATAGGAATCTACAGGCCCAAAGGTGAAAGCTTGAGCTGCTCCAGGACAACAAAAATTGGAGCTCAGCTGGAAAACAAGCTAAATATGAGCATATAGAAATAACTGCTAAAACTGTGTCCAGCCTGCTAAGGAGAAGACCGAACTTCATCCTTGTATCTCCTATGCTTCCTTATGTTACAGGTAATAAAGGTATGTAGAAGATGGCTACAAACTATTCAGGTACCTGGACAGCAGAATCCCAGGAGTGTGCTTTATGGAATTTATCTATGGGACATATTTCTATTCTAGTTCTTAATTTAAACTAATCTCAAGAAAGGTCTTCTCTGCTGGACTTCCAGAAAGATCACTGATCTTTTTCTTTTTGACAAAACTGTTGCTCTTCCCCCTTGTCTCCAGTAGGTCTTGAATCCCTTACCTGCCCTTCTTACCTTTCCCTTGGTACCCCCTCCTCTCAGGACTCCTGTCTCTTAGTATCCTCCATTTTGACTGAATTGACAATAGAAGAAACAGGTTTGGCTTTGTTTTGCTCTTATTCTTCTCTGCCATCTTCTGTCTGATAATCACAAGCTCTTAAGAAGGCAAATCACTTATGTCCCTTAATACCAAATCATTTGTATCTCATCCATATTATGGATAAATATACCATTATTTCCACAAATTCTAAAGGAAAGGCCCAGCAACATAATATAGATATCACACAATGCAGTGATGAGGGAAGGGAAAAGGGGTGGCAAAAACTGGGCGCACCATGTAACCACAACCAGAAGGATAACAGTACAAGGCAATGTACCTAATAACGCAACTGAAGGAGGATTGCTGAATCCGAAGCATTTTAAATTATGCTCATAGAGTGGCATTTGGGAGCCCCCTTTGCTCATCTAATGGTTTTCATGCCTGCCAGATGCACCACTATAATTAAATTCAGTAAAACTTGAAAGGAACGGCCAGTGAGTAACATCTTTCCTTAAATACCCCCAGAAGGAATCCGAGGTTCCCAACAATGTATGTATGACAAGAAAGCAGACTACAGATACAAGTTTGAAGGAATGATAAACTGACAAAATATTTAAATTACTATAATTTATCAGGGTTATAAGGGTCTATGAATTGAAACAGAGATAGGTAGTCTCTGATCAGTTGGCCCAACAGAATTTAAACGCAATCAGTGAAGAAAATACAAAGTAGATCTTAAAAAACTCCTATCTGCTTTTAAAATGTCATCTACCCTGTGGTAACTTAACTCTCATTCTCATACATGGTATTTCACCTTTCCTTGCTTCACAGTTGAAGAAACGCAACACTCAGAAGATCATTAGGTACATGGAGTCTTTCCAGGGGTACAACATCATACACACACTTAAAATAATTAGTCATGAGTGCATACCCATTTTCAAGATGACGTGTATATAGCAAATTCTGTTGCTCCCTGGCACTTAAAAGAGTTTTTTAATTTGTCATGATAAAGCAAGGAGAAAGTAGCTGTCACTTAGGCTGCCACTGCTGTCATACTTTTTAATAATACAGCTCCTGTAATTACACTGCGGTTCTTTATATTAACTCAGTGAAAGCTTGCTTGGTTTTAGCATGAAAACAATTTATGAAATTATAGAAACAGACTGAACACAGCAGTTCATTTGTTGAAGCAATTATCCAGATCCTTGTCAAAAAAAAAGTACAAGCAAGAGAAGACTGTGATGTGCAAAAAATGGTTCTAATTCTATGCTTTAATATGTACAATATGTCTGTGGTTGTGCTGAATTATGTTAATAAACTGCAGCCGAAATATATTTGTTACAACACAAAGGAAAGGCGCTATCAATCGTCCTGCCAGATACTTTAAATTAGTCACCAAAGCATCCATCCAGCCAGAGTTTTTTCTATAACCTGCACATGAAGGGAAGGGCTCCAGGATAGTTTTCTAAAGGACCAGATGGATTTTTCTAGTATTTTGAATTATCTGGAAAACGGCTGTAAAGTGAACTGTGGCACAAATGCCATTTTTAAATGACACATAAAAATCCAACCCTGGACATCAATCTTATGTTATTTTTTGACTGGTTATCATACAAAAATCCAGGTTCCCAAGCAGCTCCCAAGATAGGAATTTAGAATACTTGTTGCTGAAAAGGTGAGGCTAATAGCACAATCAAGTGATGCCAGAGCTATTGTTTAAATGATTGCATAAAGAACAACAACAAAAAAATTCAAGGTAAAAAAAAGGTCTCACTTTACACTCTGATAAAGCAAGACATGCAGTCTGTTAGCATTCAGCCATGAAAATAATAACTTGTAAGACCAGCTTGTAAGGCTATGCCATCCAAGTTTCACTAAATGTGTTTATCAAATTCTCTGGAATAATGATTAAGCTCAATTTTAAAATATTCTACCTGCAGAGTAAAGGAACAATTCTTGATTTAACAAAATTTTTGAAAATTCATATACAAGTAAATTTATCATATAAATGTCTCCAAACAAAATAAATAACTCGAGGAAGAACAAATATTCCTCCATATAAAAATAACCTAGTCTCTTTCTTCTAACTAGACCACCTAACTTCAATAAAAGCACATTACTAAATGTTTCCTTTAAATTATTCTATTAGTTAATTTGTAAGAGGTAGAAGAGAGAACAGAGATCTAACACTAAAATAAATAACTAGAAAACAGAAGCAAAAAAAAAAAACCTCTAAGCTCAAATTGTGAATTGTGCAACAAAGTGTTATATGCAATAAAATGTGGACGTCTTTCTTTCTCCCCACATCTGGAGATAGTTTAGTATACCGACTTCCAGAAACCATGCAATCCTCCAGCCTGACTAGCCCCTTTCATTCACAAATAAACAATTAATAGAATGGGCAACTAATTTTCCAAGTGTTCATATTCATTAGGCTGTTTCCTGAAATTAAGTATCTGCCTCATGATACAATACTGTACACATGAAACAGTCTCACACACCCACCCCTTCCCCAGCCACTTTCTCATACCAAACTTAGAGAACTAGGCATTCATATTTCCATTTTCCATCCTTTTATTAGAGTAGAATTTGAAAATTAAATTCCCTTAACTGTACTGAATAAGAAATACAAAATATTATATGACAAGATCCCCTCACCAATTCTTAGCATGGATTTTTATTCTTGTGGCCCCATCAATTCAATAAATATTTATCAAATACCTACTATGTAGAAAACAGAATTCTAAACCCTGACATGTAAACATAAATATGTCCTTGAGGAATTTACAACTGAGTAGGGAGATAAACCTGACCACAAATAACTATACTATAAAGTGGAATGTGATCAATGTGACAAGACAGGCATAAACAAAATGCTTTAGGGTTCAGGGGAGACAGACTACTTCTATTGAGGTAATGAGAAAAAGCTTAGTGAAGGAAGTGGTTTGGAAGATGGATAGGCTTTCAAGAGGCACTGGACTCAAAGGTCCTCAAGGTCAGAGACCATGTCTTGTTTTACTTGGCACCCACACATATCTCCTAGCTCAGTGCTGGACCATCATCACTTATGACAAACCTATTTAAGTGATTTCAACAAGCCAAGATGGGGAAAGAAGATCATCCAAGAAGATGGACAAGTACTGCCAATGGTACGGAGGTAAAGCAGCATGGGGCTTGTTCAAAGAACATATGAGTTATAGCAAGGAGAATACCTAGGACCATAAGGTTAGAAAGGTAGTCTGAAAAATCAACTGGATCAAAATAAAAGATAGCAGTGAGTTTTATTTTAAATTTGTGAACCATGGGGAACACTGACAATTTCCAAGCATATGACTAATTATTAGAGCCTGTATGCCTATTGTGCCAGTTTGAATAAGCAAATACCCAGTGTACTTTTCCAATTTTAAAATGCAGATCACACAAGGGAAGGAAAACGTACTGTGTTAAAGAAATAACAAGAAATATGCAAAACTTCTAGGAAAAAAATCCATTTTGTGCTTGCAACCCAGAAAAATGTTGCTTTAATAAATTTTAAATGTAAAAGACAAAGTCAAAAGGAAAGGTGGCCCCAAATGCCACATGTTATTGAAAATCACTGGGGACAGCAGGTTATGGAGTATTCCCCATTACTGCTGTGCAGGCTTCTCAGAATAGGTATTTATAACAAACGCCAACACCTGTACCTTTTCTGAAAAGGAGATCAGCTACTACCTTCATTTTTCAATTACTGAGATTGTGCGCAAGAAGATCCCCCTGCTACTTTTCCTGAGTGACAACAGGTAAATGTAAGGAGGAGCCTCTTAGACCTCTTACCATAATTTGGGCGCCCCTGCATCCTTGAATCCAACCACCAATTCAGCTTTAAGTGAGAAATCCTGGGTAACCAGGACAGCAGACTATGACAATTCCCTGGGATTTCCCAGAAGAAATAGTGACAAGCACAGCTGTCACTGGGCATGTCATGGAAGACTGCAAAATTTTCTGAGTTGTCTCTGATTCCAGACAGGCAGTGTATTTTCAATTAATTGCCTCGATGACATCATGAGACAACTCGATTACAAAAGAAAGGTAACAGTCACAAGAGGGAGATGAGCAGTACCATATGGATAACAGCCACAAAAGAAAGGAATGAAAATAAGTTGTTTTCTGGTTTGTGTGTCCTTGGAGCCAAACCTAATGAAACAAGGCTCAAAACCAAATTACAGCATGTCCTATATATTAACACTTGGGAATGAAATTAACCAGAAATTAACGCTTGGGATTGAAACCCAAAAATGTTAAATTTCACTGTCACAAGCCTGAAGAAAAAATACAAAAGCAACAGACGTAGGGGTACACCCTGAGATCTACGGAAGAACTTCTAGTAGAAATAGTTGGCCATTGGCCAAAACTTAGAAATCTTTCTATAATATTACTGTCATAAAGACCTTATTAGCAAGGATGGGGGTCTTACTCATCACAGCCTCCAAAATCCAAGACAGTACCTAGCACAGAGTTAGCAATCAACACATGTATGCTTCAAAAGAGAAACAGATTCAGTTTACTGTGATTGCTTTTGTTTTAAAAGCCAACAAAACCACTTGGAAAAACCTTTTCTTGAAAAAAAAAAAAATCCAAAAAACTCCATCTAATCCATGTAAATGCCTTCACTATCATGGTAAAATGCACCTTTTCTCTAAATAAAAAGAAAGCAAGGTTAGAGTTTCCAGGTACTATTTAAAAGAAAGGTTTCTGGGGTATTGTTCCCTTTTATACAGTAAGGTGATATGGAAGAGCTACATGCATGAAGTTAAAAAAAATGGCCAGGAGTGGTGGCTCATGCCTGTAATTCCAGCACTTTGAGAGGCTGAGGCAGGAGGATCCCTTGAGCTCAGGAATTCAAGACCAGCCTTGGCAACACAGGGAAGCCCTGTCTCTACAAAAAAATAAAAATAAAAATAAAATAGCTGGGTGTGGTGGCACATGCCTGTGGCCCCAACTACTTGGGAAGTCGAGGTGGAAAGATTACTTGATCTCTGGAGGTCAAGGCTGCAGTTAGCTGTCATCGGGCCACTGTATTCCAGCTTGGATGACAGAGTGAGACTCTGTCTCTTTAAAAAAAAAAAAAAAAAAAAAAAAAAAAAAAAAAAAAAAAAAAAAAGCCAAGCAGGCCAGTTACCTTTCCACATACAAGAACAGTCTGCAGACACACCAGCATGCCCCAAATTAGGCAACATTTACTGCTAAGCACAAGGAACACTGCTTGCAAGAGTGAGGATACAGCATGATAAACCCATTATTATTGCCATAATTAACGAATGGTGGGCAGCTCATAGGTAATTTAGCAGGTAAGTTTACAATTCTGCCCCACATCTTCCTAGATGTCATAATTTTAGAGTCAGCATTTCTTAAGCTCTTGATATGTGCCAGGCATTAGGCTAAATATTTTTACATTAATGTTGATGGAGCTCAGGACATGCTACCCCAAAATATGGCACCTTGACATACTGAATATTTAAGATTAAGAGTTTTGAGAGATGATATATGCAAGGACTCTCTGACATTTCCCCATCCTTTTCCCCAGAAGCAGGCCATAAGATCGTCATGTGAGAGGTGCCCTTCCCAAAACCCAGAGGAAAAAAGCAACTGTATATCTGAAAATGGAAGGACATCAAAAGGAATCTAAATAAGAAGGCCTTGCTACGTTTCCTTCGGTTTACTACTCTTAGCACATACTCTTTTTTGTCTTATCACATTTTTCCAGGACTGTCCATTCTTCATCGAACCTATAAAAACATTCAGCTTTAATTGTTTCCTCAAGTCTTCATTTCCTTATGAAGGAAATGTGTCACATAAAATTTATATTAAATAAATTTGTATGCTTTTCTTTGTTAATTTGTCTTTTGTTACAGAGTTAGCAGCCAAGAACTTAGACGAGTGGAAGGAAAATAAATTTTTCTTCCTCTATAATGTAAATACTTCACATGCATGAATTAATTTAATTTTCATGACAATTGAGCATGATTGGTACTATTATATCGCCATTTTACAGATAAGGAGACTAAGGGTCAAGGAGATTAAGGAACTTGACTAAGGCCTCATAGCTGGTCAATGGAAAAAGTGGAATTCAAAACCAAGTCTGAGAGCTCAATGGTCACATTTGTTCAATTCCATTACATCAAGATAACTCCAATTAAGCTGAGAAATCAAGCAACTGTGTCCAGTTGATAATGTTTCCATAACCATATTGAAAATGTTCCGGGCCAGGCATGGTAGCTCACACCTATAATCTCAGCACTTTGGGAGGCTGGGGTGGGAGGATCATTTGAGTCCAGGAGTTGGAGATCAGCCTGGGCAACAAAGTAAGACACTGTCTCTACATAATAAAAAATAAATAAATTAGGTGGGCCTGGTAGTGCATACCTATAGTCCCAGCTCCTTGGGAGGCTGAGGCAGCAGGATTGCTTGAGCCTCGGATGTTGAGACTGCAGTGAGCCATGATCACACCACTGCACTCCAGCCTGGGTGACGGAGAGAGACCCTGTCTCGCAAAATAAAATAAAATAAAAGAGGCCAGACATGGTAGCTCACACCTGTAATCCCAGCACTTTGGGAAGCCCAGGCAGGTGGATCACTTGAGCCCAGGAGTTCAAGACCAGTGTGGGCAATATTGCAAGACCCTGTCTCTACAAAAAAAATTTTTTAAATTAGCCAGCCCCATGGTCTCAGCAACTTGGGAGGCTGAGGCAGGAGAATCTCTACTTGAGCCCAGGAGATCAAGGCTACAGGGAGCTGAGATTGTGGCACTTCACTCCAGCCTGGGCAACAGAGTGAGATCCTCTCTCAAAAAAAAAAAAAAATTAAAAATTAATGAATGAAAGAAAGGAAGAAAGGGGGAAAGGAAGGAGGGCAGGAAGACAGGGATGGGAGGGGAGGGGAGGAAGGAGGGAAGGAAGGAAGGAAGGAAGGAAGGAAGAAAGGAAGGAAGGAAGGAAGTTCTACTGACACGTGGGAATTTCGTAGGTGGCTCTCTATAGCATTTCATAGTATGTTCTTTCCTCTTGTTTTGAACCATTCTGTCCTAGTTGCCACCACTTGTGCAAGTATTATTACATCTTTGAGGAATCTTTAAAAAAAATAGTTGCCACAGATAATATGAAACCCAGTTTTGTGAATTACAACAGGTAATTTGTGAAAGGCTTAAATCACAGTGTTGGCAATCTGGAGTAACTATTCAGACAACCATATAATGCATTTGAGAACACAGAAATTGATATGGGGTCATGATCATCATCGATAAACGTAAATTTCAGTTTACTGTCAAGTCCACTTTAACCGTGGCCCTGCAATCAAAATGAGGTACTTCTTATAGAACAAACAAACAAACAAAAAAACCTACTTTTGAACTAAACTTGATTATCAGATATATCTTCTTAGCCACATGTAAATTGAAAATTAATCACTTTGGTTACGAAAAAATACAATTGAAAACATCATTCTATGACAAATTATACCTGATAAAGAATGTATCACCCAAAGAAAACAAAGCGGAATATGAAAAGAATTATGAAAATGGCCCTATTTTTAGTTCAAAGTAGAGTTTCCTCAGCTACACTGTCACCCAAGAGAATCCCCACAAAGCCCTGTAGAGCCAGCTCCTCCAAATTTTACGTACAGATGGAGGAAAAAAAAAAAAAAAAACCACGATTATCTATAGGAGCTTCTATACAAGGCACATATAAGTATGGTTTTTGTGGCAGGCACAAAGTTTAGTAAAACCTTGGGGCCTTAATGAAGGGTCAGGTTCCAGGGGTTAGGTTTCACTAATGGTTTTCTGAAGCATCAGCAGCTCTCAGCACCCAGTTTTATTTTACTACATAAACATGTATGCAGCATTTATTATGTTTCAGGCACTGTTCTAGGCACCATACATTCATTAAATCCTCACAATTAACTTCAGCTATGCAGGAAGTAGGTATTATCCCATTTCACTGATGATGAACTTGGGTGCCCAGACACTTCAGAAACCTGTCCAGTATCACAGAGACAGTACAAGTGGTGGAAACAGGATTCAAACCTAAGCAGCCTGGCTCCACAGTCCATGTTCTCTGCCACTGTGACATGCTGTACTTTCCCAGCAATGGCAGTAAAGCCATGCCTGGACTGAACTCTAAAATGGAGCGCCACTTTACGGTGACTAAAAGCAACTTTCGGGGCTACCTATTCTACGTGCCCTCACTGACAGACCTGTAACAATGCCATCAATAATCCCTGATCCCATACCCAATGGAACGCCAGCTACCCTCTCAGTGAGGCCAGTGCCTTGGGGACTGGTTGGCTACACTGGCTCTGTGACTTAAACCAGATCATCTGGACACCTTATTCTCTGAGCTGGGTTATCCCTGAAAAAAAATGTTCAGGTTGCATTTAACACCTCTTCTCTCTACCCAATTTTAGCTCTAGAGCTATTCTACGTAGATTTCAGTTCATTCTATAACAGCATAGAGAAAGCTATCCTGTGGACTGCTTTTTAGATGATGAACCTTCTCATTACCAGAATCTGTTCACGGGAGGACGCCAGGAGGAAGAAAGCTATATCGAGCATGGCCACGGACTAGGGACACAACATCAAACATCATGTTCAGAGCTCTCCCTTTATTTACAGAATGCAATCAGCAGCAAGATCTGTAAATTTCATCTTCAAAAAAGAGGAGTAGGACTTCACATTACAGTACTTAATATACCCTAGGATAAAAGAATCTACAAGTTCTCCAAAACTATGAATCAAAGATCAGGTGGAAACAAGGAGTGATAACAAGAGGTCCAGAAAGGACAGATACTCATCCTTTCCACATGAGCCTTGATTGCACAATTACTTAAGTTAAGTTATGCATTCTCAGAAAACCAATTAATTGTGCTGGTGCTCTCTGAAGCTCTAACACCGGCTTTGTCAACAGCTGAGTGGTTTCATAAAGGTGGAGGACAACAGTTGCAGCTCAAACAGTCCTGAAGCTCTAAGAAAAGGCGCCCTTCTAAAACTCAAACGACTTTCAGGAAAGAAGAAATGAAAATGATTTGTCACCAAAAATATTCATTTTCTGACATGGGAACAACTTTAGCTAAGTCACCAAATTTACCAGCATTTCTATAAGTGAAGCAATTCAAAGCATTCTTTATTGAACACCTAAGGTATGCTGGGTGCAAAGATCACTAAAACCAAGAATCTAAGGGCTCTCTATCCCCTGGGGACTTAGAGTGAGAGAGGGAAAGAGAATAATTCAAGAAAATTATAAAAATTCCAAGGAAGAGGTGACTCTGTTCAGGAGGAAAAGGGAAACATGAAGCCAAAATTCCTGGTTAAAATATTCACAGAAAAATAAATATGTACACCATCAATGTTTTTCTCAAGAATACGAAAGAAGGGAGCAAGGAGAAAATTCAAACCCAACATAATGCTTTAGAAAAACAAAAATAGTTTTCTTTAAAAACAAAAAACAAAAAAAAAATACCAAAAAGCACCCTTCTGGCACAGCAGGCTTCCTGTGATTGCAGAGTGAAAACTGTACCATAAAAATCCAGTCCACAAGTGCCAGAGGAAAAGAAACTTTCCCCAAATAACAAAATAAAAATAAACCTTCAGTTAAAATAATATATTACACACTGATGTAAACTGAAATGCTCTTGTCCATGGGTTGAGCTTATGAAACCCTTAAACATGAACATGTAACACTAACAAACTATTTGACATTATTATTTGGGTTCAAAGACTCCCTTTCTCTAAATGTTTATAGCACCATACCAGTTATTTCAACTGAGCTGACACAATGAATTTCAAATGATCTAATACTTTTGACTTACCAGAGGATTAGCACATGATTACCCTGAGTAAAAGGATTATTATTACTGCTGCTCTAAGATATTAACACTTTCTGTAACACACTCTAAGGGCACTGTATAGATCACTGAAAAATGTGACAAAATGCATGGGGGAAAGGGGATTTTAAAAAAGAAAGGTGGTAAGTGTTCTTCTCTTTTAAGTTTCCTTGCTTAAAATACAGTGGGCCTCCCAACGGTAGAATCAACATTTTGCATGATGCTTTCAGTGGACATACAAGTCACAGAAAAATAAGTCCAGCATTCAATGCACTCAGGAAATTAAGCCACGTATGGCCTTCTTCCCGTGAAGATCAGGCTCCAAACAAAAACCCCCACTTTGTAATAGACAACTAATTCTCATGTAATGAATGACAGAACACAGCATTAATGTACTTAACAAGACAGAGCTAAATTCAATGAAGCTTGACGCCATTGATATGAAAAAGGGCTACATTTGTAGACAGAGCCAAAGGGAGAGAAAAAATCATTCTGAATTCCGAGTTAAATAGTGCTGCTTCTGCTTTGGTTTAGCCCTCTCACTGGAAATAAAGATCAGAGCTAAAATATGACCCTTAAAACTGGCAGCAGCAAAGAAAGCTAAATACCACTGTATTAAACTCTCTTACTGACTGACAAAGAGGCAACAGCTAACGGACTTTGCTCGGAGCTTTTACTGGCAAAAGTGTTATTTCTTCATGGCTAAATTCCTGATCCATTAAAAATGTGCCCCTTCACTACCAGACTTCATGATATGCAATTCTGCCACCATCTGATATCATTATAAAAATTTCAGACAACCCAAATGATGACTTAGTAGCTACTGAAACTTCTACATACAGCATCAAAACAAAAGATATGGAAGCAAACCATGTGACACAAAATGAGTATGTAGCAAAGTTTCTTATGTAGAGCCACCATAAGAAAAGATTTGTAAAAGCCTATAAATACCATAGTGCCAACTCCCTTTTTTCAGTGTTAAGTGCAGAAAACAGATTTTAAACTACATTTTAAAATTCAGCATATGAACAATGCTGATCATTCTGAAAACAATTTATAAACTATAAGTAGATGAGTGAATATTTAAACTCCTTGAGCAGGATTACAGTAAGAACACTGATCTAAATAGCACACTTTATGCATCTGGTGATATGACTTATTTCTGTAGGATGTTCTTACACACACAGAGGTAACACCACCTGGAACTGCTATACCTTAAGGCAGGGAAACCTCGACTTTCCACTTCTCTCCTCTATCCACAATGTTATCTGGTTCCGCTGTTGTCACAGAGCCAGGGAATAAAGCTCTTCCAGAAAACTCACCCAAGATCAAATTGAGCCTGGTGACAGCAATGTCCAGGCCGTAAGTAATGTTCAAAGGATTCAACAACGCCTGTGACTGATCATTCTTTTTCCCTTGCCATCACCTGCTGATTTTGTCCAGGTGTTTTATGGCTATCTTGAGGATCTGGAGAGCAGACAGAGGGAAGACTTTGCCAATTTCTTTTGTCTGGGATTGTGAATTCCTTACACAGATGGTGGACAGCCTCAGTCCAGGGCAGCACCAGGGTATACTGCCTTCAACCTCCAAAAGGAGAAACAGAGGGAAACTTTTTCTTCTCCCACAACACTGCCTGTAATGTGTCTGTGGTTAGCAAAACTGAGACAGTATGGCTTCACAGGGAGTAAAGTGACGAAGGAAAAAAGTCTACAAGTAACTTGAAAATATTTACTTGAAGTATTACTAAGCATTTGCCAAGGAATCAAAAATGTTAATGAGAAAGATGATTCTAGAGCAATGTGCTTCTATTATAACGACTTATATAAGGTTTCAGTTACTTTTTCACTTGTATATCAAAGACACCAGGTCTCCTAAATTAACCAAAATAAGACTTTGAAAATCCAAGTCAACCCTTTAAAAGCTACTACACTGCTGTGGTGGAAAGAAAATTGGACTGGTGTCTAGACCTAAGCCATCCAATATGGTAGCCACTAGCCACATGTGGGTATTGACCACGTGAAATGTGGCTAGTCCAAGTTGAGATGTGCTGAAAGTGTAAAATACACTGAATTTTGAAGGCTCAGAATGAAAAAAGAAAAGAAAATGTCTCGATAAACACTCATATTGATTATATATTTTTTATATTTATTATACATGGAAATCATAATTTTTGATATACTGGGTCAAATGAAATACATTATTAAAATCAATTTCACCTGTTTCTTTTTACTTTTGTAGTGTGGCTACTAGAAAATTTTAAATTGCATATGTGGCTTGCAGAATTATTTCTATTGCACAGTACTGGTCTGGACACTAGGATTCTTGTCCATTTCAATCTCTTGTTGGTTGTGATGACCGTGGTCTTCTTAACCTCCTGAGCTTCATCATTTCCAAATGAGAGGGATGAAAATCAAGGAAATGGATTCTAAATTTTATAGCTCCCCAAATTATAAAATTTTATCTAGTTACTTTTCACACTTTCATTCCTAAACTCCATGATTCATTTTCATCTGCGCCCACTCTAAAAGAAGCAGTGAAGAACACCCAATAGGAAAATAGGTTTTATTCATTAGTCAATTAATTTAAGAACCTATAGCTCCCTCTGATGACTTTTAGACTAAAATTTTTCAGGATTTGTGTAATATTTTTAATGTAGACAAACTTACTAATCATGATGAATAAACCAAGATGACGTATCAAATAAAGAATATCTATGCCTTAAGTGGATGTGGATTAACAAAGCAATGAATCGAGTTGCTTGTTTTGTGAATTCAAGCTCACTATCACAGGTACACTTGATTGCAATCCATTTGGTCAGAAGGTTACCAAAGCCTCAGAGAAGGTTTTTCCACTAAATCCAAGAAAGTGTATCTGAAATTACAAGATATAATGTAGCTGATCCCTCTTGGAGGCACAATTTTTGACAGAAATAGCTGCACAGATTGCATCAGTTATACCTAACTTTCTGATAATTCACAAAACACCTCTTCACATGGTTCTTAGGTGGGTGGCCAGGCCAGGAGGAGGGTATTTTTAGAAGCCTGTTGCTCCCACAACTGGCGCTAACTGGCAGTGTTAGGTAATTACAAAGGGCTAAGGGAAACGCATGTAAAGAACAACAATTTCAGGTGACAATTTAAGTGCTTAATTATATACTAAAAAAACCTTATTATTTTTATTTCTCTACTGTTAAAAAACGATGAACAACTTTATTCTCTGGGTACCCTAATATTAATAAACCTTTGGTTTTATAGGTTATACTGAAGATTTGAATCAGTTTGCTGTCTGAATCAAAGAAAGAAAACATAAAACAGGAGGAGAAGATTAAATGCAAGTCAGAAATTCAGTATCTGTTTAATACATGTATTTTTACCAAAATGATGGTGAAACTAAGCCACACATCCTGGCTCACTGAAAGCCTTTGTTGGAATACGTTGTTGGACATGTAAGACACACATGTATCCTTGCTTTATGGACGTATTCCAGTAAACGAGACACAAAGTAGTCAGGTTAGCCACCAGAGATTGAAAGTGCGGCATACAAGACTCAGGACTTAAAAACTAGGAGAGAGAGGGCATATTGTACCAGACTGAATTATTTCCTGTCATGACGTGTTTAAAATTCTAATACAAAGGTAGCAGAAAAGAGAGATCAATAAATGACGTTATATTCTATGTATCCAAAAGGAAGAACTTTCTAAAGAAACGAAAAGACCAAAGTAAAAGGCACTAACAAGTAGATGCAAGTGAAGGAGTAGAACAGTATTGTCAAAGCTAAGGAGCCTGCAGAGAAAACCATCAGAATGGCTTAAACAACTACACTTTGTAAAGCAATTCAGTCGACTATTTAAAAATTTCAAGTTAATATGATGTGTAGCTGATTTTAAGGATCTAACTTACATGCAAGAAAAACATTAGTTTAAATTATTTGCTTTTTAAATATTCCTAATGCATAACAGATAAACACTGAAGTGAGGCTGGATTAATTCATAGTTGCTCTAATACCAGATGTATGTGGGTCATAAAGTAAATGGATCTTTCCAAAAGCCTTTGGGAAAACCCCGTGAGGCCAGTTTTGAGATCTATCAGTAGCAGGAAAGGTAAAAAGGATTCAGTAAAAAGCAAAGCAGAAGGTAGGAAATAATGTTACCTTAGAAACTGATGTATTGTGTATTTTTGTCTCCTTGTTTAATGTTTCTTAAAACAGAGAACATGATTTGCTTAAATGTCAAACTTGGAAATCATATTGATCTCAAAAGATCACTTCGTTCAATATTAAGTTTTAGCCTAGTCAAGAATTTCTTAAGATATACCAAATGTATTTTAAAATATTTTAAAGTGCTACTTCAAAACTCTAAACTACAATGTTTTTTAAAAGCCTTATTTCTTCACAGCAAGGAGCTTCCAGAAACCACTAAAACATTCTTGCCCTTTGAATGTCTGGGCATGGTCTCTTCATGTGTTATTAATAAGCTAGACGAAGTATTTATATTAATGGCCATACAATGAATATTCAACTGCATGTGGACTCATACCACAGGGCTATGAAAACCGAAAACCACCTTCACGTGGACTTGCCAAACTACCCGATTATACCAAACTTTTCATGGCTTAAACAAAGTTATATAAATGTTCACTATGGCAACAACACCAGATGTATGCACAAGGAAATATCTGCAATTTTAAAGGGGGAAACAAGAAAAACTGCTCACACAACATAAAAGTTAATTTTACATTAGTATCATTAATATTATACTCACACTGTAACAGCCAAATAAACCTTGTGCTTTAAAAACAGATCAGGTCACTTGAGTCGTCTGCTGCATTCCGCTAAGAAAGCAAAACCTACCATGCATGGCAAGTGTTGACACTCTTCCTCAATGACTTTTATTGTCTCTGGTCAACCTGTAGATCTTCTTTTTCCAAGCATGGAATCAGAATACCTCACTTGTAGAAAGTTACATCAGTGGTATTAAAAGCATATTGAAAACTTTAAAAAGTTGATCCAAATGGAAGTCATGTTTTTAAAAAAAATCAAAGTTATTTCTCTAGTTTATCGGAGCATTTAAGGTTTTTTTAATCCAACAAGTATTTATTTAAAGAATGATCTTTATGTGGCTGAAATGAGAATGCACACATGATAGTTTTTCAAGGCCAGCAAGCACTTCCTAACCAAATCCCCCACTTCCTTTGCTAGCTAAACATAACTACTTCAACTGTGTACATCCTTTAAAAAGTTAGAAGAGAGCACCTCGCATGTAATAGCAGGCAGCTGGGAAGCCAATTGGTGCAGTCGGAGTGCACATTTTAGAAAGCAGCTTTTTAACATTCAATAACTAAGTGGTAATTGGACACAGAAACATAAACTGTCAAACTGAATCAAAACCCCTTTGCTTTTCAGAGAATTATTTGTAAGATTATACTAGAATTAAATTTGAACATGCATCTACCCTATGCATTAGTCAAATTATGAAACAAAAAAAATGCTGTGCTTTCTTTGGATAAAATTAATGTCAGCTTTGCGTCCTTAAACCAGACCCGATCGGGAAATGAAATATGTTTAGTCCTGAAATAGTTGTGGTAATTCAATCCCTGCACTCTCCTTATTTTCTTGATGACAAAGAAAAACTCCCAACTGGCAGGGCCACCTGCACTGATTACTCCTCCATCCACACCCACAGAATATGAAAATGAGCCAATGATCATTAACCTTAATTTCTTCTAACATAAACCTCAGCTCTTTTTCAGTCTTGCTACTCAGGGAACTCCCCTGAGATAAAGGAAAAGAGAACGGGGGAAATAAGGAAACAGGGAGTGAATGCTCAGAGCAAAAGGCGGGGGGCGGTCCAAGTGAAAAGCGGAATCCACTGGCGTTTTAAAAACTGCACAGCCGGCTTATTAAACTTCATACAGAAAAGAGGTTACAAAGATAAAGAGATTCTGAGGCATCACTAACTCTCTAGATAGTGGGATACTTTCCTTTCTGAGCAAACAATGAGAAAGGCTGCTTCCTCTCCACCCTCCCTATCCCCGACCCTGGGCATCGCACTCCTCTACCTAGACATCACTATAAAAAGACAGCCAACAATAAAGATGGGTCTGGACAGTAGGAATGCATGTGTGGCGGTATGATCTCTAGTATGAGGACCAAAGGACCTCTACAACCAAAAGAGATTTCCAAGGTAAGCACTTGCAATTACAGTGGAGAATGTCTAGCACCTTCTGGTCATTCACATTCAAATACAGCCAACTGGAATCATTTTTGGTCCAAGCTGTGTGGAGCTAGATACCATTAGCATTACATCATCTTCTAATGGATGAGGAGCTAGTTGGGGCCCTTAAAAGAAACACAACTTGGAGGGGAGCAGGAAACCTTCAGAAATGCCAGTCTCTTTAGCACAGACATGTGTACTGAAAATTGTCTTGTAATGTTTGCCTACAGACCTTGGTATATCTAAAGAGGACTCCTCAAAGATAAGACCACAAAAGTGAGGAACAATTCAACAAGGCAACCACACATGACCCTGTGTAAAGCATTCCTGAAGCTGAAGGGAAAACAAACTTCAAAAATCATGACATTGCTGAATGAAAGCAGAAAGTCTTTAAAATGCGAGTTTTTCATTAAAAATATTAAATGCAAAGGCGATAAATGCTTAAAGAATATAATAAAAGTCGAAGTGTTTTTTCCTGCAAGTACATTTGCAAGATGCATGGTGCCCACCCAGTGCAGGCAGACAGAGCAAAACTTTCATCTCTCAGTTATCCCCTCATTATTTCAACCACAAATCAAGTAGCAGTCATGAGGAGGGTGAGACAGAAAGGCAGAGAAAATAAACAACAACAAAGACAGAGACCTGGTTGCAATTTAGTATTGGATTCAGAAGCCCAATTTAAACTAAAACCTGGCTCTGGGGTGCTGGCCCTCATCTCCTTCTTGCCTAGCCTACGAAACGTAAAAGGCAAACACACACACACACACACACACCCTGTATTCTCTTTTCTTTCTCCTTTTTTTCCTTCCGTAATCAGGCTCTCAAATGTCAACGGTCCCCTCTGGAAGGAAGCGAGAACAGGGTATTGAAGTATGCAGTGCCATGAGTCATCTTACTAGATGCTCTAGCAACTGCCTGTGACCCAGCAGTGAGCCAAGATAGCAGGGCTTTTAATAAAGCAGCACGTTTGCACACTCACAGCCCTGTTAATTTAATACCTGCCGCTTGTTTACCAAACAGCACGGGCATGTCTCCGTGTCGGTAACTTCCCAGTGACAGTGAGGCGACTGAATCAGGGCATGGAACAGATGCACCTTTTTACGCTCTGTTACACTGTGTCACAGACTACAGCCCCTGAGCGCATTCCTTTATTTATCCTGCAGCCAGTTGAGCTAATTGTCAGAGACAGACCTGGTTCTAATTCTGCAGAGTCCAGCAACTGCTGGAGTGTATGTAGTGAGGCATGAACGGTGCAGAACTTTAGAAGGGAACAGTTGAAAAACAGAGTCTGAGGGTAGAGGCATAATCTGCCAATATTTTACTTAGACTTTGAAAATACCACCTGTCTCAATAGCAGGCTATGGGAGTGGGGACAAAAGTAAAACAACTCCAGTGTCAGAATGAAGCAGAAGCAAGCAAATGTCAAAGCATATTCCTATGTAAGGAGAACACAACACAGCAGCAATGGCATTCATTTTCCAAAGAATATGGTTCGGCCTGTGCAGTTGTAAAATATTCACAAGCTCAAAAACCTGGTGATAACAGGCCAATATTCAATGCGGCTCACACCAGCAGTTCTGCACAATACCAGGATTGAGCATTACAGAGATACTGTGATGCAAGCCCATTAATGACACCAAAATTACTTAAAAGACTAGTCTCTCAATCCTCCAGCCATACAATTTGAGTCTGCTTGATCATGTGTAGACAAAGAAACTCCCATTTATTGTTCTCCTCACACCCTGTGGTATTAGAAGTGTTTCTTATGAGCTGTAATACCATACTCATATTTTATCAGTAGCAAGAGTTCACTCCAGTTAAAGTTCTTCACCCGTCATGGGCATTTTTCAGCAAATTAATGTCTTTTACTTGCATGACTTCCCTTCATATTATAATTTGGGGTTTAAACGGATCATAATACTTTGCAGAAAGTAAAAAGAGAAAAAGAGCTCAGTGTTGATAATTTTTACCACTTATGACTGAATGACCTCAACTGAGGAATAAAAAATTAAGTCATTTGTCTTATGAGGTACAAAGGACATTTTACGGTGTACAATTTAGCTAATAACGGGTTCAGGCCAATCCTTAAGAAGTCACATGTTTCCATTGTCCCTTCACCCCCTGCTTGTGTTTTTACCACATCCTAACAAAAACATGACCAGAACTGGTGAAAAACATACGGTTCCAACTAATGAATCACATACTTTCCCGCAAGTACAGTAAGTACTACCAGCTGTGTGACAGTCTTGCTTTGGCAGTGGGACCAGCTTAGAACAAGCCGGCTCATCTGAAAGCAGCTGTACTGAAAAACCACAAGCAATATAAGTGTGTCTGCCTTCTCAGGGCGGCTTTGTCTCTGTTCTATGTCTCTGCTCTGTCCCCATAATGTGCCAGCCATCTTGTTTAGAGAAAGTTTCAGAAATTACAGTGGTAGGGAGAAAATCCACACATTCAAAAACCTTAAGTTTTCAGAAAATGTTGTCACTTTATCAAGTGGAACGCCGTGAGAGGTCAATTAAAGGAAAACACCTCTCTCCCACATCCAGCCTTCCACATGCATCTTTTGGGGTTTGCCTTAGATGTAAAAGTGTGCGTATTTATGTATCTAAATAAGTGAGGTGGGAAACAGGGGGAGGAACGGCACAGGATCCAGCTACTTACAGATGGGCTGAGGCATGCATGCGAACACACACAAACACACACGCAGAGCAATTCGCAGATTATCAACTCATGCCATGAGCTACTGCAAAAAAGTTCTATGATTTTAAACTTGCCATTTATACAACAATAAGCTTCATTTGTAACCACAAAGCATTCTGAAAAAGATTCCCTGGCAAGCCCCAGATATTTTTACACAAATGCACTTTTCCTTTCTGTGAAACAACATTCAACTGGATAATCATTGCTGTTAAAGGGAAAGAAAGTCCAACAGCATTGGTCTAGAAATTTAAGTGGAAATAGTAGGATTTTTAAACTTCTGTAGTGTCTGAAGGCAATAAGTAATTAAAATTTTTTTAATGTCATTAAGTGATCAGTAGCTTGTATGTAAGCACCTAAGTACCATCTCAGGCTTGTTCTGCAAAAAAGAAATACCTACCGTTGTCATTCTTGACTTTTCCAAAGTCTCAATCAGAAAAATAAATACAGAGTAGTGAAATTATTTTTGGTTTTTGTCAGTGTTTCACATACAGAGAAGTCAAATGTAAGGACTAATCGGGAAGGTTTACCTTTTATGTTTACTTTTATTGCCTAATTTAGCCAAACACATTACTCTAAACTATAATGTTGTAAAGATGCTTGATTCGGCAATAATCTAATCCAAAAATTATATTAACATCACATCTTTTTATTTACACCATAGTTGTGTGAATAATTTTCGTTTTGAATGAGCTATCAATGTAATACTCAAAAAATGGCCAGAAGACTCACTACATTCAGAAGATTCACTACATTAATTAGAGAAGATCTTGGCCTCTGTGGTTTCTTCCTAAAATTCACTCTTTCTAAATGAACTTTAATGTTTGTGTGTTTGGGGGAGTTCAGTGCTGGGCTGATCAAGGGCAAGTACTTAGGGTGAATCTAGAAATCACATTGAGGCTTACAATTGGATAAAGGCAGACAGCAGAACTGGGAGCACCAACAGTAGTGGGGAAAGAGTAAAGGATGAGCATCTGCAGGCAAACATCGGACGAACTCAGGTTCCACTCCAAACCACCACATAAACCAAGTCACATGATTTTTTTTTGGTTTCCCAGTGCATATAAAATTTGTTTATTCGATGCTGTAGTCTATTAAGTGTGCAATAGCATTATGTCTAAAAAAAACAGCATACATACATCTAAAATACTTTATTGCTAAAAAATGCTAACAATCGTCTGAGCCTTCAGTGAGGTGTAATCTTTTTGCTGGCAGAGGGTCTTGCCTAGATGTTGATGGCTGCTGATTGATCAGGGTGGTGGTTGATGAAGACGGGTGGCTGTGGTGTCTACTCATAAAATAGACGGTTTGCCGCATCAATTGACTCTTCCATTCAGAAAAGATTTCTCTGTAGCATTGATGCTTTGGATAGCATGTTATCCACACTAGGACTTCTTTCAAAATTGGAGTCAATTCTTTCAAACTCTGCCACTGCTTCAATTTGTAAAAGAAATGCAGTATCTGCAGAGTGCAGTAAAGCCAAGTGCAATAAAAGGAGGTATGCCTATGTTCAAGCCTGAAGAACAGACTTAACTAATACATAGACTTGAAACAGTACACTGATAAACAGACATATAATTTTAAAAAAATATTGACTCATTTATAGCACTTAGTTCATGTTAAATCTAATAAAGAATACTAGTCTAAGTGGGAAAAGTCCAAAACTGGATTATTAAATTACACAGTAAAATCTATCAAGAAAGAGCTAATATGGCTGAGCCAAAATTATGATTAAATTATGATAAAAGCATTAAAACTCAGTTATTAATAACATGGAAAGATAGTTACAAAATGTTGATAAGCAAAAAGCAGCTTACAAAGCAGTGTACGCAATATGGTCCTCTATTTTTAAAATGAATACAAAAGACAAGTGAAAACAAAAAATGATTAACACCTGTGTGGAAGGAACTATTGGCGATGCTTTTACTCTTCTTAAATTCCATTTTCTAAACTTTATTTATTTAGCATGTATAAACTACACATAGGAAAAATAAGTGTACTTCTTTTCCTTTTTTTAAACAGTGTGAGAAATTTTATTTTTAAGAAATCTAGTAACTAGATTTCTGGTCCTCACCAGTAGTTACACTGCAAAACCTGTGTATTATTTAAAAATGTGGAGCGTTTCTTTTTTTGAAACAGAGTTTCACTCTTGTTGCCCAGGCTGGAGGGCAACGGTGCGATCTCGGCTCACTGCAACCTCCGCCTCCCGGGTTCAAGCGATTCTCCTGCCTCAGCCTCTCGAGTAGCTGGGATTACAGGCATGCGCCACCACGCCCAGCTAATTTTGTATTTTTAGTAGAGACGGGGTTTCTCCACGTTGGTCAGGCTGGTCTCGAACTCCTGATCTCAGGTGATCAGCCCACCTAGGCTTCCCAAGGTGGTGAGATTATAGGCATGAGCCACCATGTCCGGCCTGGAGCTTTTCTTAAAATCAAAAATTGATTTACTTTGAACAATTCTTTAAAACTACATTTATGGGGTACGTGTGTGTTCTCTATAAAATCTCAAGACAAATAACCAAACTTACTTATCCTCTCCCCGATACCCAGTTTCCCAAGAGTATTCTTTCATAATTTGAGCCAAAAACTAGCCTTTGCTAATTCAACTTTTACATAATTAATGAACCACAGATCTAAATCCTTATCTTTCTAACAAAAATAATACCTTTAAATAGCACTTAATTGCCAAAACACTCCCATAAAATAAGAACCCATACCCCCACCGAATCACCATTACTTAATCCCAAAGTCTAGAGGCTGCCCTGTAGCGCACAGTCCAGGGCACTGGAGTAGTATATAACACCATCACAGGATCAATGCAACAGAGCGAATCTGTTAAATACGCTTATCCACATTGAAACATGGCAGAAATAACTAGGTTAATAACCATACTCCTATAACAAGGGACTTAGAATCACAGCCAATAGTCAAGAAGATTTATTATTAAAGAAGCATTCAAAGTTTTTCATTCTGCAACTGAGAGGGCTGGTATGAACAATCATTTGGCAAATACTTATTAACTGATTTCCGTGGCCTACCATCGTGTCCAATGTTTGGGTTTGAACAAATATAAGGAAAAGCATCTTGACATAAAAACCATCTAGTGAAGGAGAAAATTCAAATAATTTATCACGTTGTGCAGAAGAGCAGAAACACACAGAGATTTCCAGAGAAACAGAAGAAGGCACCAACTCAGGTAGGGCTTTAGAACAACTTCAGAAAAAAAGACAGAACATAATGAAGCTTAAATACAAGTTTAGTAGCCAACCAGGCAAGATAAGGACTAGGGAGAACAACATGGGAGAATGTTCCACGATAGGAAATAGCACAAAATCGGCAAAGAACTACCAGCTGATCTGTGTTGCTGGGGCAATAAGGCTGAGGCAAGAAATGACAAGAATGGCAGACAGGGTAAGGGGCAGGTCCAATCATGTAGGGTCTTGTTTGTCCCTTTTAAGGAGATTCTAAGTTTCCCTTCACCTAATTCAGCAGTGAGAATGCTCAGTCTCCTTACTCCAGAAGAGTCAGGACTACCCATGTCATCTTGCATATGATGGTAGGAACTATTCCCTCCTTTTTTTTAATCGTTATTTTTATTTCAAACAAGTATTTACTGAACCCCTTCTATGTTTTAGGCACTGAGATCTCAGGATCAGACAGTCTTGCTCCTCCTCTGTCCCTCCAGGAGTTCACTTTCCGTGGATCCCCCACATTCGGTAATAATTTCTTTAAAAGCACAAACAAAAAAACTGGCATAGCCTTGTACATCTTCTGGAGTCTGATGGCTAAGAAAGACTAAAACGGGAAAAAAAAAAAATCTGTGTATGTAAAAGCACCATATTCCCAAATCATTTTATCAGGTCACATTCTGCCAAACTGATGAACTCTTAATTTAAGGGAACAATTTGTCAAGGCTCTGCTAATTGCAGATATTAGCATATCAGACCAACCAAAACTTAGAAAACTTATTCTCTTGATAAAATAACAGATGTGGCCATTTTATATAAGCCATAATGCAGACAGCATACACTTAGGTCTAGAACACATCTTTGCTCACCCATTACACTGAGTACAGACTGCCATGTCTCTGAATGAGACACCCATCCCAAGGTCTAATTTAACGCCATCTGGTAATATTCCAGATGCAAGAGTGTGATGCAAATTTTGATGAGTCAAATTTTAGCACCAACTTTTATGCAAAAGTCTATACCCTGTAAAAACCACTTTCTCAATAATTCCTAAAGCAATACTCTTAGGGAAAACAATATAATCGAGTTTTATAGGAGGGTAGGTTTCTTAATACCAGCTGGCAATATTTGGGCCCCGAAGCATGAGAACTGATCATATTAAAATCCAGATACCAGCTATTATATCTAAAATTGTTGCTTCATTCATATTTAGCATGAAGAGGAGCCTATCTAAAGCAGGCTCTATTTAATACAATGTGGTTTTAATTGGAGTCTGTTTTAGATGAGCCACCTGTATTTCATCTTTTTAAAATTATCCATAATTTTCTGCGCAATTTGCCTCTGCAACATAACGAAGAGCAGTTAGTTATAAATTATTGCCATTGTTTAGACGTCTAAGAAGAGAAAAAACTCTCTATTTACTGAAATACGATGGCCCTGTACCAAAGAACAAAATGGGGAGCCCAAGGTTCTAGTTCTGTCCCAGTGCACAAATGAACAAGGCCATACATAAATGTTATTAATAAGCCTTAACTAGAAAAACAACAGATTAAAACCCTGTTAGTCTTACTCCAGCTAAACTTCATTTATGGCTACTCTGAAGCCTACTGTTACAATAACTAAAGTCTCACATTCTTTTCTACTTAAAAGAGCCTCTTTTTAAGCATTTCTAACCGTGAAAATTCTGCTTCCAGCAACTACCTCAAATAACTTTTTTTGGTAGTGCGGTAGCTCTACTTTGCAATTATGTCTATACCAATATATTCTTGGTTTGTTTTCAACTAAAACCATTCAAAAGTTTTTATAATATCATTATTTCTTCAATATTTTCCATCTTCATCGTGTTTATCTAATAATTGTTAAGGTATCCGGAAATACAGTATATCGTAACATCGTGACAATGTTTCCTATTCAGATCCAAGTAAATAGCGGTTTGCAAACTAAGGTATGTTTATTTCTGTGATGGCTACAAGAACCACCCAAAGAAAACATCTAAAATGCAACTTTTAAAGAAGATTCTTCAATCAATCTGTTCTGAATTACCAAAAACATACCCCAACAGGTAAGTCAGAATTTCAGTGGGTGCCAAATATATTATAATTATTTTTGATAACATGCTAAAATAATGCTTACTCTAGGCTATTTAGCAAAAGATAAAACTGTCACAATCCATGTAAATGTGCTGACACTGTTTATTAAACTACCCTATCCAAGCGTTTCTCTTGATGCTTACCAGCTAATACAAGTGATTCCTAACTAGTACTTCTCTAAACAAACTGTTCCACAAGACTCTACTCATCCCGTGTTCTGACAGGACTATTTATATGAATAATATTCCCCAATTGCAATTTGTCCACTGTGCAAATTCAATGGACTTAGGTATGCTATAGAAACAGCATCTTTCTCTTTGCAAATGTCAATGTATTTTTTTCCTTCAATATACTGTATCTATTCCTCTATTATTAAGTTCTGAGCTTGCTTTACCTTGTCCGCTATTTAAAACATTCTGATTTGAAAGTATCACCAACAGCTTATGTGATTTTCCAAATTTCTCAAAATACAGTTGTCACCATTAGTCACATGAAGTCTGGATACTGTCTGGTGACAAATAGGTAAACCAAATATGATTATTGTTATTAAGAGTAACCTCTTAGTCACCAAATTTATCCTATAATTAGACCTTCAAATATCTTTTTTTTTTTTTTTTTGAGACAGAGTCTCATTCTGTCACCCAGGCTGGAGTGCAGTGGCGCAATCTCTGCTCACTGCAAGCTCTGCCTCCCGGATTCACACCATTCTAGTGCCTCAGCCTTCCGAGTAGCTGGGGCTACAGGCACCTGCCACCACACCTGGCTAATTTTTTGTATTTTTAGTAGAGATGGGGTTTCATTGTGTTAGCCAGGATGGTCTCGATCTCCTGACCTTGTGATCTACCCGCCTCAGCCTCCCAAAATGCTGGGATTACAGGCGTGAACAACCGCGCCCGGCCCAAATACCTCATTCTTAAACCCCAAAGTCTGAGCCCAAGAAGCAGTGTACACTGAGGGGAGGGGGAACACATACTAATAAAGGTGTTTTTTTTTTTCTTTTAATCCAACCCAATAACACCAGCAATTTCCTTACATATTCCATTATGGACATTGTAGCTTGAATTCAGTGCCACTTGACAGAATCTATTAGTAATGTGGTCTGTATAAATTACATACCGTATACTCCATATGGAAACCTATTTTCAAAATAACCTATGCTTAATAACAAACATAACTTGGGGTATCTTTTGCAGTTTCTCTTGCAGTCTTAGCTGCATTATTTCAGCAATTTGTCTGTTCAGGTATTTAGTCTATGAAGCCAAGGCTTTTAAATTTTCTCACTGTAGTTAAAAAGAGATTAACTTTAATCCCATGTCATATTAGTTACAAGATAACTAGACTCTTTAAAAGCACCATCAGAAATTATCTTGATTCAGAAATTACTCTGAACACTAGTAGGTTAACAGTGCTCCTGCATAAACATACTTGTTTGTGGAAATTACTGATTTTGTTTATTTACTTTATAATTTTATGTATTTTTTTCTTGGTCTCTGTCAGATAAAATTTGTTAGTCAATGTGCCACAAACTCTAACTTTATTTAATATTTTATAATACTTTTGAATACCTTGATAACAGCAAGTATTTTTTCATTTTAATAAATGTGGTCTGGTGTTTATGTCAAAAATTTACAAGAAAAAGCTATTTTACTGGAAAGTAACAAAAAATAATTGTGATTAGGACAGAGCTCAAATTAATACTGCAGATTTTTGTGTGTATGCAAAAGATATAATTAGAAGTCATATTTCAAAATTGGACAGACAATTCTATTATACAGATTTCTTGGCCAACTTTTGTTGGCAACTCAAACAAGCTAAATAAATTTCTAGATACGATCTATAATAAACTCAACAGATAAGCTACAGAAATGTTTAAGATTTGGTGCCTAGAGGCCATAATCAGTTTTTAAAAGTAAAGGTTTCTTCAACACAGAGAAGGCAAATTTGCTTATTTAAAACCTAACAAACAATACATCCCACACTCCATATGGCAAAGGGTAGGATGGTGGTGAGGGCAGGGGACAAAAGAGTTCCCAAAAAGTAAGGGAATGTGTAGAACAGGGGATACATTAAGAGGGTTGGTTTGTTTGTTTTATTAATATTCAGAAACTGGAAACAATTTAAACTTAAGATTGAAAAAGACTCAAAATCTGCACAAAGCATATGGCAAAATAATCTTAGGAATGTTCCTTGGACTACTCCAGAATTTTAGAATATGGAGACTGTTAAGATGAGTGAACCAGCAGACACTCAAAGGCTAAAATGTGAAATTACATTCGCATGTTGGTCATATAATCATAATGCTGAAAAATTATCTACAGAAAAAAAAATCTGCTAACATAAAAATAAGAAGGTCTGACCATCCATAGTTCATGGTTCTAGAAGATGCAAGTTTTTAGGTGAAGACTTTCTTTTTTTTTTGGAGACAGGGTCTTGCTCTGTCACCCAAACTGGAGTGCAGTGGCACAATCACAGCTCACTGCAGCTTCAAACTCCTGGACTCAAGCGATCCTCTCACCTCAGCCTCCCAAGTAGCTGGGACTATAAGAGCAGGCAACCACACCCAGCTAATTTTTTAATTTTTTGTAGAGATAAGGTCTCACTATGTTGCCTAGGGTGGTCTTGAACTCCTGAGCTCATGCGATCCTCCTACCTCGGCCTCCCAAAGTGCTAGGATTACAGGTGTGAGCCGCCACACCCAGCTAGATAAGCTTTTTGTATAATGCCTACATATCTATATGCCATGAAGCATGGATGAAAGAAGAATCCAGTAACAGATTCCAAATCTAAAGAACAACAAGAAAATACCTGAAGGGAAGTGGAGAACTTCCAGGTTATTCTATCTTTTATTTCTTCCTTTTTTAGCCAAGCTACTGGAATTCTACATCTCACCAGATCCTCAAACAAGGCAAACAGGTGGGATGTTATTTGAAACTACAGCATTTATTTAACCAATAAACTAGAAGAGTGTTCATGCAAAATCTAGATTCAATTTAAATCATTTGTCCTATATTATTCCATGATTTAAATATATATATATATGTATTTTTTTTTTAAAGCTCACATAGTGCTTTCCTAGCTAATGGGAAAAACAAGCTAGAAGACCCTTAAGAGTAAACCCTGCTGTGGTTCAAAGACAACTGCTCTTAATTTTTTTTTTCTTCTTCTTGCCATATAGAAAGAGGCAATTTTTTTTTCTCTATCTTCTTATCTTCTTTTCCTACCATACCCTTATGGCTTTTATTAGCCACATCAAAGGGTATAGAATTAATTTTGTGTTCAAAATTACTCAATAACAATCCCCATATATGAGCTCTTACAGGAAATCACATAAAGAAATAAGACTCTTAAAGTGCCTAACTGACAAGCAAAATTTAAAAGCAAACTGCCCCCTTTACTGTTCATGTATTCAGAACTAAAGTGAAGTTGGAATTATGTGAGAGATGCAGTGAGAGATTCAGCAAGCATTCTTACAGTGTAAACACAGCAGTTCAAGTTGTGATGTTCACCCAACATCAAAGCCATCTATCCAGAACATGCAGGGGCAAGCCTCCGCCAGGGAAGACCTGTCTGTGTCAAGTAGATTGCTCTAACTCCCCAAAATAACCAGTGTGTGATTTAAATCACAACAGTATATAATAAACTCTGGCTTTATCATGCTAATTCCAAGTGTTCAAAGCCATTACTAAATTTCTGAGGCTGGCCAAAATATTTATTTAAAAAAAAGCAAAAACAGTAACTTTTCTAAAAGGCAGCAGCCTCATGTATTTCAAAGATGTGTACACACAACCATGCATCTAACACACCTGTAGGGCAAAGCAGGCCTCACCTGGGTGAGGAGAGTGCCCCAGCTACTAGAAATTTTAAGATACAAATGAAACTAGATTAAAAGAAAAAAAGCCATCTGTCTCATCAAGGTTGAACAAGATATATCAGGCAAAGAAAAAAAAATGCATAGATTCAAAATGCGAACAGTATTGTGGTGTAATATACATACAGTGAAATAAACAGATTTTAAGTGCCCAGCAAGAATATATTTTGGAGGGAACATGCAAAAAATCAGAAATATACTTAGGTGTGGCTGATAACAAAATCACTGGGACATCATAGGCAACTATAATTAGCAATGGATGACTCCGAGCAGGATTGGATCCGCCTCCTAAATTTTAAATGATTGCTTCAAGCTAAATTTCTGGGAACTTCTTTGGTCTGGTAATCAGTCTGGGAGTCTTGTAGGAACAAGCTTTCTCGTGATATTTCCACTGCCTCGTGGTTTCTGGCAAGGTTGAGCCGTCTACAGAAACAAGATTTTCTAACAGTGTTTTGTTATTTCCATTTCCTATCTCATCTGAAACCAAGTGCATAGACATAAAAATGTTGAAAATACATACATAAGCAAACTTTTCATCAACAAAGTTGTTTCTAAATCAACTCAAATGAAATTCATCAATAGTACTTTGAAGAATCAAGGCAGATCATTACTGATTACTGGATAAAACAGAAAACTTGGATAAAAATAATTTTATATTTTTTAATATTCTCCTAACTGTCCAGCATTAAGAAAGTTTAATAATTAAGACATTTTAGTAAGTTAAACACCCAAAAAAAGTCTTAAGATTACAAGGATTTTTCCTACACATGATTCTTCAGGCTCAGGTTCTCCCCTGTACCCCTCAAATGGCCTGTATGGCTCTAATTACCTGTAAAACCCTTACATATAGGTTATGTTATCATGCATTATGTGACATTCCACTCATAAAACTATAGTCCTAGAGATAGACAACCTTTAAAAGAAAAAAAAACCTTCATCTACGAAAATACACTAAACAGAAAATGGCAAACTACAAATAGAGTACGATAATACTATTTTTAATGTTTCCTTCTCTCCATTTATTTTAAATGAGTAAAATTGAGTCTCTTTCTAAACGCACATAAATTGCCTCACTTAAAACCACTGGATAGGATTTATGATTCTCAGTAGGGAATGTAACATCTAAACACAATGATAATATAAATTGCAAAAGTTAAAGATAATAATTAGAAAGTAATAATGTCTAGCATAGCAATGTAATGTAAGAATAATGATTCAATTATTATTGATTTGAAAATACATTCTAAAAGTCCAAGGTTTAAGAAACTCTCATAAGAAGAAAAAGGATGTCATGTGTAATAGGCTATTTTCCCTCAAAAGAAACTTTTCCTTAATGTGAACTTAATAAGTTTGAGGTTATCAAAAAAATTACTGTACTTATTTTTTAAAAACAGAAGTTAATAAAGTATTCTTGGATGACACTTTAGGAGACATTTTATCAAAACCAAATTTTAGTTCAATAACAGAAATAATGAAAATTTATATTCATAACAATGTTGTTATTGGTCTCTGTTAAGCAATGGAAAAAATCTGGTCATTTTATTCTAATATTAAATTTTAGCATTTGCTTACTAATTACCAACATCTAGAAAGAAGAAAAGCTCAGTGTCTGGCATGTTTGTTTCTGTAGACATAGGTCTAACATATGTATTTCAAAAATGATTTCAAGTTTTAAGAAATAATTGCAATCTCAATACACCACTGTTGAATGCTACCACTATATTCTTTTCTATTATCTTTATGTTAGTGCCTCTTCGTTAATTCTCATATCAAATTTTTTTATGTCCTTATTAACAACAATAACAACAAAACCAAATGAACCTTACAACAACACATGTGAAAACACAGGAAAAAAAAAAATCTCAAGTCAGGCACACTGGCTCATGCCTGTAATCCCAGTGCTTTGAGAGGCTGAGGCAGGAAGACCGCTTGAGCCCAAGAGTTTCAGACCAGCCTCGGCAACACAGCAAGACCTCCATCTCTACAAAAATTTTTTTTAATACTTAGCCAGGTGTGGTGATGCATGCCTACCATCCTAGCTACTTGGAAGGCTGAAGCAGGAGGACTGCGTAAGCCCAGGAGTTCAAGGCTTCAGTGAGCTATGATCGCACCACTACATTCTAGCCTGGGCAACAGAGTGAGACCCTGTCTCATTAAAAAAAAAAATCTCCAAAGTGGATTACATTTTTTCCCCCATTAGTGACAGACAGCTTGAGGGATTTTTTAAGAGTGATTTTGATTTTTACAGATCTATGAACCCATTTCTATTATAGCTCTTCTAAAGATTATAAATAAAACGTAGTAATACAAATCTCTTCTTCACAAAAAAAAAAATAGAGACTAGCAAAGAATTTGATACACCTCTGTCCTTAATTTTGCCAAGTCACATTTCAGGTTAAGAAAATTAAGCAAAAGAAGAAAACAAAGTCCTCAGACTACAAAAGCCAAGAGTAATAAAATAAGTGCATTGGTGATTAAATCCAGAAACCAAATATTCAGAGAGGGTCTCAATCTCTCTCTCTTTCTCTCTAAGCTACAACCATCATTCCTATCACATTTCATATCCAGATCATCTAAACAGATTATATTAAATACAAATACATGAGAGTTCAGCTAATTTTGACACTTTTACAATGTTTAACAAAACACATGAGGGATAAAATCCTTTCATGTTAGAAAATGGCAATTATTAACTACTAGTTTTCAACTAAATTTTCATTTACTGGTTAATAGTTTCCAAAGAAAGCAGAGAGTCCTCCTGTTCTTATTGCACTTCAACATTTCAAATTATACAACTCAATTAAGCGGTCATTCTATTAGGCTGAGAAAACATGTAGAACATATTCAAGTTTATGCAAGAAACTGTGAGGGATGGTTTGCCGTATACATTAAGCATGACCTTAGGCATGTATTTTAAGAGTGTTTGATAACCCTATACACCCTTCAGAAATACCCCAACAGGAGGCATCAAATTTGTAAACTTCAGCTTGCAGCATAACAGACTAGCTAGGGAAGAGTCCAAACTGGGCATCAGAACAGCTGCAACCAAGACCTGGCTCTGCCCCTTGTGGTCACAGGACATCCAGGTTCTGGATTTCAGTTCTTACAGTGAAACTAACACTAGGATCCTGTTACTTTAGAAAGAGAGGTGTCTAAGAACTCAAGAAGCAGTACGTTCACAGCTCTAGAAAGAGTTAAGACACCATCACTGTGAGCATTTACAGATGTGCCAGGATGTGAATATAGGAAATTGGACCCTCAGAACAAGACCTTAGAAATGCTCACAGAGAAATGCATGAGAATTACTGGATA
The DNA here is from genome assembly GCF_000001405.40 of Homo sapiens. Taxonomy (NCBI): domain Eukaryota; kingdom Metazoa; phylum Chordata; class Mammalia; order Primates; family Hominidae; genus Homo; species Homo sapiens. The sequence continues at coordinate 16,641,082 of NC_000009.12, forward strand.
AAGTAACTACTGGAAAATACAAAGAATGAAGGCTTTGTTCTATGTTGTAGAAATCATTACCAGAAAAGTTCATTCTCAAAGAAAGACCACTGATTACTTTTTTAAATCCCTGCACAAAAGTAATCACACTATGTACAGTATGCACAGTATGATAATTTTTCAAAATACTTCAGATTGTAAATCATTGAAAAAGTCAGTGAGAAGATTAAAATAAAATCATGGAAAAGATCTTAAATTATAACAGAAAGGAAGTGGTCAGATGAGTGGGACATTTCTTCTCTCCTTCAAGAACCTTCCCTTTCCCATGTCTGGGAAACACAAAAATCTACACCAAATAAATTTGCTGAGGCACTTTCTCAGATATTTTAAAGTGAGCTATTATTAATATTACAAATAGGTTTACTATCCCAATCTGTTGCCTCTATTTAATTAATTTCCTGATTGTTTAGTCTAATTTGCTAGACTGTTTCAAAAGATAACTTAATTTCACCACTAAAAATTTCTAGATTAATAAAGTATTCGGATGCAAATTACATATTGGACTAAACAATCCTGCTATCACATAAGTGTCTGAAATCAGTGGTTCCAGCTAAGATTCCAAAACTTCTAGTCCAAATAAATGTTACATTTCAATGGGGGCATATGGATTAAATGAAATAAAGCATATATACAAAGATATGGCCATGTTAAATATGTATCAAATATGTAATCAAATATGTAAACTCTCTTTCTCTCTAAGCTACAGCCATCATTCCCACATGAGAATTCCCTTTTTTTGGAAGATGCCAAGAAATAATCAAAATACCATGTAAGATGATGCTATTTAATGGAATGGCCATTTTTCTGTTTGCTGTTAACATTTAATTAAAAGTCACAGGCAAATATCTACTAACGTACTGGTTAAAGATTTTTCCTTCGCAATTCAGTAAACACCCAATGCAGCAAGTTATTAAGCAACATTTATCATCTGATTTACCATCATGTTCTATAAGCCAAAATAAGTAGTGACCCTTCTTCTAAAACACTCACCTGATACTAGAAAATTACCTTGCCAACATGCTCCTTCCACTTCGTTATCCTTGAAATTACACCTAATATAATACAAGTTTTGTTGTTTACTTTTATACTTTAAAGTGAGCACATAAGGATTTTTTTAAGGAAAAGGAGAAAGAAAACAGTATCTGTAAACATTAACAAGTCTCAATAGCGTTCTGTTTTATAAATTCTATTTTAGGCAATACTGCAACAGCTTTTCATTCTGACCTAAGAAACATCTCCAAAGTTCTTTCAGGTGGCACTAGCATTGCTACTCACCCTGGACTCTTCTTTGAAAGGTAGAGTACATATTTTAACATATTCTTCCTTACTATATAGCTTTCCTTATTTTCTCCACACTGAGAAAACAACACAAACCATACTACAAAACCACTGACCAAACCACCCTTCCCACAGCATGTGCCTCACTAAAATTTTTCTTTCACTTCTGAGGACACAAAATCTTTGAAGCAAATCTACAACTAGTGGCCAAGCGTCCATTTGGCAGTAGGAAGACTGTCATCACTAATATCCCATGCTGTCTTAAGATTCAAGAATCAAGGAAGAAAAACAGTGAGTGCCTTGGGGCCACATTTTTTGTTTTCTTAATTTTGGCTTTCAAAATACAGTCTACAGTCCCTATGGCTTAAATAGTCTACACAAAACTTTGTTTTGGAATGAAAAGCAATAATCAAATCCTTCTAGGAGAAGGTACAGTTAAGTAGTTCAAGAGTCACAGTTCTGGAATCTAACTATCAGGGTTCCAATTCCAGCACCTCCACTTACTCTTGCTCTAAAAATGTAGACAAGTTACTTTCTCTTTGGGCCTGTTTCCTCATTTGTGAAACGAGAATATGAGTATACTTAATTAAGAAAGTAACCCTGTAAAACTGCTGTCATGGTGCCAGGCCAACAGTAAGTGCTCCCTAAACTGAGCTATGATTATCACAGTAGAAAGAAAACTACACAGATGAATAATGATCACAGACCTGTCTTTTCTATATAGAGCTGGCATTAATTTGGGATTAAAACGTATGAGGTTAGCCGGGCATGGTGGTGCGTACCTATAATCCCAGCTACTCGGGAGGCTGAGGCAGGAGAATCGCTTGAACCTGGGAAGTGGAGGTTGCAGTGAGCCAAGATCACGACAATGCACTCCAGCCTGGGTGAAAGAGCAAGACTCTGTCTCAAAAAAAAAAAAAAAAATGAGGTACCAAATTCTGGGAGACCAGAATTTGGGTCTCAAATAATTAGTTATCTACTCACAGAATAATTTTACTTTCTGTAAGTCTCAGCAACCCCAAACATAAGTAAGAAAGGCTGGTCTGGAATCCACATTCCTGGTTTTCAACCTTGGCTATACATTTGAATCACCTACGGAAAGTGAAAAAAATATCCACGCATAGCCCCCTCCAGCAAAGATTCAACTTTTACACTGGTTATGGTGTAGCATCTTAGGAGCTGCACCATATATGATCTTAGGTCCCTCTTATTTTTAATTCTAGAATTCTTTGCTTTTTTTGCATGAAAAAATATGGAGAAATTATATTCTAAGCATGTGAAAAGCAGCAATCACATCTGATGTTTCTTGGTACTTATAAGGGTAGCTGCTATTCAAAAATCATTTTTAGCTTCTTCTGGAGTAAATGGGACAAATACATGGCTCTTTTTCTGCCCCAAACTGACCTTCCTCAGCATGGTTTAAGATTAAAGATTTTATATTAAAGAAATCTTCAAACAGCTGTCTTCAGCACAATTTTCCTCAAGAACAATAGGAACAAGTAGCCAGTTTTAAAAATCTTGAGTTCTCTTAACACCATAAACTTTCAGAAGAACCTATGGGAGGTGTGGAATGGGGTAGGGCTACACCTATACGCCTGTAATAAGTACCCCAAGAGAACCTTAGAAGAGCTTTCTGATAACCTTTCAGGAAGTCAAAGCAGAGATTCACAGATTTACAAATGGTAACCTACATCAAAAGACTTTGAAATATCTTTTATTTCTATTCTGCCTTTCTACAATGATATCAAAGTTTCCTATACATACCAAATCAAAAGATATTCCAGAGAGATATTTTCATTCTCAATTTATCAATGGAGTCAAGGGGCAAGAAGAGGAAAAGAATCTAGATATCTAGAATAACCTTAGGTGGCCCCCTCAAGTTATTGCAAGATGAACAGAGAAATGACAAGGTTGAATCAAGTGATCCCTTAGGTTCCAAGCACCTTAAATATGTTTTGATTAAAATTTTTAAACAAGATTCTCTCTTGGATGGTATTGAGCATTGAAAATAAACTTCACAGGCAACAAAACTTAAAATTAAAGCTGGTACTATCTAATCATGATGACTATTAATAGAAAAAAATAAATCAACTCGGTGCATTCTAGATATGCTAAGTCATTTATAGTCATAGGGATTCTGAATAATCCCAAATTCTCTAAAATGTTCATCTTTTTCTTTAAGCTTATGTATTGTGTTTATAGAAAATCACCATTTATCCTTTAAACTAGTCATAACAAAGATGAAAGGAAAGATGTAATCAGTGGCATAAGACAGTTAACACAGTGTCAGTCTAAGAGCATCAAGAGAGAAACAGAAAGACAGTAAATAAGTAGCACATATCAAACATTGCACAGCCAGCCCAGCAACTGTCAAGGAGGGGATGAGCTTCCCAATGGAGAGTAGCTGCTGCCTTGTGCAGGTTTCTTTTCTCTTTCTCTTTCTTTTCTTTTGGCTAGTGCTGATTTAGGTACTTACTTTGCTTTTTCTCTTTCAATTCAAAGTTTGAAAGAAACTAGAAACTGTTCCAAAGTACACTTCGTAAAGCAGCCCCTAACTCTTCAACTTTCTCTGCTTCACAAAGTCGTCAGCATTGTAAATCTAAGCCATAATGAAGACGCTACATTTACATACTTTAAAGAAATCATTCCTGACTGCTGTCATAATAGTCTCTTAGGTAAACTCTTAACACATACAAGAATTTCTCTAGTCCTTGTCTATGACTTGCAGGTAAAAAAGATAACAATTAATAATGTTCCTTGAACCTTGGCTTGGATAAGAGAAAAAGAAGATTTGAAAGAGTAGAGGAAGAGGCACAGGGAGACAGTCTAGGTTTCTTCTAACTCTATATTGCTGTGGAAAAGTTAAAGAATCTTGTCTCAAAATCTTCACCTTCAAAATGTGCACAACAGTTCTTACTACTATTCTTTATAAAAAATTATTATTTTCTGCCTTTTCACATGTTCTAAGACCCTTAAATGAAAAGAATTCAATGCAGTTAGAGGCTCCAGTTCACGTCACATTTTTATACTTTTCATAATATTCAATAGCTTAACAATTATATTACACTGGATATTTTATACCCAATACTAAACACATGTACATTACCACACTGTCTATTTTATACTTGGGAGGAGATGTCCAGAAAGTATTTGTGGGACTTAGAATAGAATGTTGGTGGGACTGGATGTCAGATCTGGAATCACATCCTTGTCCCATCACAGCACAAGAGTTGTATAACCATGGGTAAGTTATTTAGGCTTAGTTTCCTCAGCTAGCAAGTGGGAATAATAACAGTATTAACATAAACAGGATGTTAGATTATATATAAATTAATGTACATAAATTCTTAGCATATTGCTTATAATGGTTAAATAGTTTAATAAAGAATAAGTATTATTAACCTAATCACCCAGCACTTCTGTCCTAAAGGTATCTAGAGACCAGCAGGATTACAAGATCCTCTCAAGTAGCAACTCAGGTCCAGAACCATTCTGGGACTTCTGAGGCCTTTAAAACCTACAGAGAAAAACACTGAGGGCAGGATACATTATCGAAAATACACATCAGGAGACGCTCAAAGACAAAGTTCCTTTCAGGTCATTCCACAGGGTTCTGAAAAGGCCTTCGTATTGTTTCAGAATCCTCACTTGTACACAGCAACACGTCTACCTTCCAGTTAGCAAAACAGTTTCACAACGTAAGTGAGGATAGCAAAAGTTTTAAGATGTTCTAAACCATCTCAGTGAACTGGAGGTCACCATTCCTTCTGAAGTTCAGGATGTGAACCAAGAATACCCAGAAGCCTGAGAATTTGGGATGGGCATTCAGCCCACAGCTGGGGAATTCCAGCACCCTTGGGCAGGGAAGTAGTAAAAAAGTGAAAGTCTGATGACAGTCAACTATTTGTTAAACTCAAGAGTTGCTGCAATTTTAAGATGTCTCCACTATATAGAAACAACTCATAAAATATGTCTAAATATTCATTTTTTAAATGGCTGTTGTTTACAGTGAAATACTACTTGGTAATAAAGAAGACACAAACTACTAATACACACAACAATATGAGAAAAACAAACAAAAAAAGCCAGACACAACATAGTACATACTGTATGATCCAATTTATATAAAGTTCTTGAACAGGTAAAATGAATCTATTGTGACAAATCAAAATAATGGTTGCCTTAGGGGAAAGGAGATTAACTGGAAAAGGCATAAGGGAACATTATGGGGTAAAGAAAATGATACGTACTTTGGTTGGGGCGATAGTTTAATATGAGTATACACATTTTGTCACAACTCATAAACTGTACACTTAAAATGGGTCTATTTCATTCTGTGTAAATTGTACCCACATTTAAGAAATTCGGGGTTAAATTAAAAAAATCCTAAATTTCTAAAAGGGATGCAAAAATAGAAGAAAAGGTCACAAAGGGTATGAGATATTGTAACAGCTGGGAATCCATAGAGGGTCTACTGGGATGTCATCCATAGCTGAGTCCCCCGCATAAGTTACATAAGGTTCCCCATATGAAGTATCACAGACAGATCTGTTTCATTTGTCAGTTTAGTAGACCATGCCCACCCATGAGCAGACATGAGAGAGCAAGTTAAAAGTATTACATGTGGGGGAAAGGGGTGTCGGAAGACAAAGAGGAGAATGATGGTTGATTTTATTTAAATGCAACCTGGTTGTAGATGATATTTCCCATGTACACTCATATTCCTCAAGCAAACATCTACATATGGTTGTGTTTTCCTGATGTCTATCAGCCCTTCTTTGTTGAGATTTGGGCACAGCACATGTTCCAATTAACTCCACTCTTTGTTGCAACTTGCTGACTCGGGTGTCCCTTGCCAAAAAGGGGTAGGTGGTAGGTTACATAACAAGGATTGGGGTGGAATCTTATGTCAAGTCTGCACAGAGAATTGGCGGAATGTGTGTGGTACGGGTGGGGGCCGGTAGAAGGTAGAAAGAAAAAGGGAGACCACAGGAAGAATAACATCCTTAGACAGACTTTGACAGAGGCCGACCTGGTTAGCTATGTGGCTCAGGGAAAGGAGGTCAAAGGGTAGCCAAATGGAAGATAATGAATGGTCAATGCATAGAATGCAGAGAGAGTTTTTCTATTACACAATCATTTTTCCCCTAGGGTGACGCTTCTGGGAAAAGTGTAAGATGACAATGACTTTATGAAGAAGCTTGATCCAAGTGCAACCATGATGAGATTTTTGAGAATGAGGGAGAGAGAGGGTTTATCAGGTTAAAGGATAAAGTAGCCTTCAACAGAATTTTTCAAGTAAAATATAAGAGATTCATCAATATGTGTATTCCCATCAATTTAGTAAGTACAATACTGCTCACTAGAAAATAAATATTAAATATGATCCTCTTAGGCAGGTTTAATAAAGGTATCTTATACATTTAGATCAATATGCTATTCCAGTTCACTTGTGGATTAGCTAGTCTATTCCACTGCCATGAACTATATTTCTAATCTTATTCAACCATCTCCCAATTTTGAAAAATTTTATACATTAACAAAAATGAATTCCCACCACCAGAAAAAATTAAGTGACAGAAACTAAATACTAAAAGGCAATCACTGTAAAGTATCTCTGAGACTGGTCCCTTTGAAGACAAAATTACAGAGAGTCACCAATGTACGCAATAAAATATGTGTGTGTGTGTGTTTAAAAAAAGACATATGAAGTTTCTCAGCACTAAGCAACAAACATGGGCAAACATAAAAATTATTCACTAGAGAGATAAATGCTCTGCTGCTAATGTGAAGATTTCCTAGATGAGGCAGATGCTATGAAAAACGAAAACTGCTCCACTACTGGAATTATCATCACAGTTACTACTGCCATACACTTGGCTGTTTTTAACTAAAACTATATGGTTCAGAGATTCTTTGGGTTTCTATTTAAGACAGTAGAACATCAGGACACCAAGCTCTGAGGAGAAATGACAGAGGGCTAAATAAGGACTGCATGGTGATAGCAGTGATTGAGAACACATCCAGGTTCTATTAGCCAAGTCAAGAGAGATGTGTGTAATGCTGGAAAGCAGCTTAAAAACACAATTCTGAACATGGAATTCCTTTGGCTTCCTCGAAGACTAAGGACCTGGGAGAGGTGTCACAAGACAAACACTATTCACTGTGCCGAATGCAAAGTAATGAGGACAGAACTTATCATGACATGTTTAATAACATAATTTTGCTAAGGCGAACTAAGGGGTGGTTAATGAGGCTCCATCAAATAAGTTATGGAAATTGTGTCACCTGCAAACCACAAACTATCACATTAGTTAAGAGAAACATTTGACAAGCAGTTTCCAGTCTCTTGACCAATTCCACATTAGACAATCTTGCAAATGACATAATTAACACAGCTTACTTAACTCATCTCCATTTGCAATTCATTAGGAATAGTTTTTTAGCAGAATTATGCCCTCTAAAGGTGACCATGCACATAAGGGCAGTGAACAAGTATGAGGTACTCAAACTATGATAAAAATATAGTTTGAGTCAATCACTTTGAGTTAAAACCAATGATATCTTTATGTGCTAAAATAGCATAACGACTTAGTCGCCTTAGACTCTGTATGAAAGACAAAAACATAGAAGAAGTGTATCTTTGATATGTAAGTGTGTGAATGCATATATCATCCCATGCTTTGTACACTACTGGGATATCAAATGATTTCTACAAAAATCTGTGCGCACATCAAGTGAAAGAGAATGAGCCTGACTAACACAGAATTTCCAAAGGTCTTCCAGGACGGACTCACGGGCCCCAGCACACCCACTGCATCTTGGAGTTGCAAAGCAGTGTGTGCTATCCACCTGAACCACCCAGTGTTTTGAGAGGCCAGTGGTCTGCAGCTGACCAATTCTTTAAGAACCATTAGTTTTGAACAAGACTTTCCCAGAGTCCTTGAGAAGAGAAGACCTGGAAGACTGCTTTCTCAGACCCTTATAAATCACAAGGGAGAATCAAGTCCACTGGCGACAGATCTTTCTTTCCATAAGCCTAATGCTTTTCTTATGAACTATCACTAAACTCAGAGGAAAAGTAGGAGCACTGGTGCACAAGAGCTTACAATTAGAGACAGAAAAGGGAAGTATGGGAGAGGGAAAAGCATATTCTGTCTTCCTTTGTTTTGTGTTGTTTAGGGATTAAAAAACCATCAGTGACTACAAGCTTGAAAAGCCACTTCTACAGGCCTCTGTTTCTTTTAATCTTAAAATCTTATTTTATGTTCAAGTGGCACAATCTATAAGAGAAAGGCATCTATTTCTGATGTATAAATTATGAATTAGCCAAAATTTTGTTCCAGATGATACGTCAATAAACTTCATTTGTTTGAGAGGCCAATGCTATAGAATCATAAATAATATAGCACAAACTTTGGCTCAGCCTATACTAACATGCCAAGATCATTCGCTCAGTAGTAAACTTCAGAGGTACCCCAAAGAACAGAGCTATGGAGACACAGAGGCCTTCATAAATCTTCTGTAATCTTGCATTTTCAAAGTGTGGGCTAGGGGAACATTAAATTCTCACCCACAGTTTCCAAAATGGAGACACCGAAGAGGTTCATCCAATCTGATAAGCTTAGACCTGCAGTCAGCACTCAACCCTGGGTGCATGGCAGAGGAAGGCAAAGACCAAGAAAGCAAAAATGGAGATAAATGCACAGTTGGTTTCAAAAGGACTCTGCCCTGAATACGGAATATTAAAGGCATAATGTCATTCACAAGACACAGGAACTCTTTAAAATTCAAAACAATATTGACTGTCTGCAGGTATTCTTAAACGGAATTTTACTTGTCGACCATTTTTAATAAGGAACAGAGGGCATAAATAGGACCATTCCATTTAAATTAGATGTATTTTTAAATTGAAAGTGCATTGTGTCTCAGTGTAGGCAGGACTGAGCTCAACTGGTTAGGGCATCACTGATGTGTTCATGCCTTAGTGGTAAAATATTCTGTTTTTACCTATTCTTTAAAGAAAATTAAAGCCTTTTCAGTTCTTCATTCTTCCCTGTACACTCAAGGTAATTCCCGTCTGACATATGAATAACAGAGTCCACCAAACTGCCTGGCTGTTTTCACAGTAGAAAAGATTATTTCAAAATTTTTTTTTATTTTTTTTACACAGTAGACTAATTACTCACTGATTTGTGTTTATAAATAATGGCATTTCAGACCAAAGTCTGACTTCTATAAATATGTAATACAGCTTTAACTGGATTATATATAGGTAAATGTAGTATTATGCAGTATAGCATAATCAATTGCATTCAGAAAAGGGAAATATCTTATAGAAGCTTCTAGCTCAAAATATATTGCAGCTTCCAGGTAGCAAAAAAATTATTCACAAAGCTATGCCTTTTCCAATCCTAAGTGTCGCCTACTTTCCAAACTTTTAGAAAATTATAGGTCCACAAAGTTATGTTTGTGTAAGTTTTGTAAATATTGACATGTGCTATACGTAATGCAAAATATTTTTCACTTCTAAAAATTAATTTTATCTTGCTTTTCTTTCTAGTCAGATAACTCTTTAAAAACAACCATTTCTATATGCCTCGGTTTCCTCACCAGAAAGGATAGTAACTGTTTACCCTAAGATGCCACCCACTCATCCTATTCCACAGGGATATTTTAAGGATTAATGAAAAAATAAAGGTAAAGTGTTGTAAGCTATGCAAAAAAGAAGGCTTGAATACAGAAACAATGGTCATCTTAAGCTATACTTTCAAAAGAGACCGTTACGATGTTGTAACTATATCTACCTGTTCCTTTTCCAAGCTATCAGGTAGATATTACATCATGTATATTTCAAAATGAGAATCTGTTTATTCAATTGATGACTTCAATCAGTAAAAGAAAAACAAGTAACTTAAAAAGCCTATCATCTTAACCTTAGATTTCAGCTATAAGCAAAATCAGACCCACTTTACATTTCCCTTTATTACTCTGACAGATTCTAAATGCATCTTTACTTTACTATTACTTCAAATGATTCATATTACAAGATTTTGTCACAGAACTGGGGAAAACAATACAGGGTTTGGGTTTCTTACCCTCCACCAGTCACTTGTCCTAGAAGCTAAACAAAACTCCCAGCTCTGGCTGATCATGGCTGGGAGCTCATTAGGCTGTTCCTCACGTTAAATTACTGAAAAGGGTGATGTATTTATAATACAGCTTGCGATGCTATAAAATGGCTCATCAATCTGTTTTATTCATGGAAAGTCCACATAAGGCCACTAGTCTGTTACTGGCAATAAACCTTGGGTGCGTCTTCAAAAGACCTGCATATGAGATAGTGATTTATGTCTCTGTCCAAGAAATCAAACATGATACTAACAAGGCAAGGGATAACTCAACTGACACTTTCAAAAGCAATATAATTTCAGTAGTAAATCAAGTGACTATAACATATACGGAGAAGAGAGAAAGACGATTAGCATGTATATATTAAAATAAAAAATAGAGTGTTAAGAAATACCAATCCTGAGTGTTCAGATCTTAAACCATTCCTAATCTATTCTATGCATTATTTTTCTTAGATGGTATTTCTTACACAGCATATGTGTTCCTCAGCTCCCATTTTATAAGTGGAATATCCTTTTGTAAAGACATTGATATATCCTAAATAGTTTGCTTATTTTGTTAATACCCAAAGGCAGACTTGTTCAGCTGTTTCTAACCTCAAAATGTAAATCTGTTTTGGATGAGACATAAAGACCCAACAAAGAGAAACAAGAAATATTTAGAATCAACATAAGAAACCAAAATAATTAATTGAGTCATTGTTTTCAGATAATAGCACTTTTATTAGAATTTTTTTTCTCTCAGGAGTCTGCAAAACTCAATACTACACAGAGATCTCATACTATAAAAACAAGTAAAAACTAACTATAAAACAAATGTTTTTTTTTAACCATTGGGTTTTCTTTTAGGTTGCCAAACCAGTCACTTAAACAAATAGGATGAATGTGAAAATGGAGATGTAGAAAATAATGGGGCTTTTCACGAAAGTGAATGCCTTACTTGTTATTTTTATCTTCAGTGGTCTACTTTTTGAAAAATTCACTTTAATAAAAGATTTAAAGTGAATTATACAAATGTAATATAGTATTACACACATTGAACCTGTCTGCATTATTTTACTTGAAAAAGAGAAACCTCGTTTTTAAAGGAGAGGTTTTTACACCCTAAGTGCACATGATATCATCACTTTTCTTCCCCATCAGTGTGCCTCATATTTTCCTTCGGGCAAATCTGAAATCTACTGGAGTTTTTCCTCATGGACAGCTCAATCTTATGGACAGAAGTTGTGCATGCAACAACATTCCTAAAAGTGAAAGGGAGAAAGGCATCCTCCCTGTTATTGTTAGTCAAAATAAAACACTCAGCTTCAGCAAAGAGTAACTGAAACACCTTCTACTTGGAGGCAAGCATTTCTGGCAAACCGAAGTCTTGACACACCAAGCCCAACAGGAGATAGGGTATACTTCCTCAAGGGCACCCTGTGGGCCCTACTCCCTAATGGTTTACGGGATCAAGTTTTGAACTCTTGATTTCAAAATGTTGGCGGTTATATGTTTCTATTTATATTAGATGATCTCCAAATTACAAACTAGTATTTTTAGTTTAAAATTACCTGATTTTCAGAATAAATGAATTTTTTAAATGCTGCAAAATGACTTAAGAGTACAGTGAATTTTAAGACTATAAAGAGACCTGCAGATTCATATGGACAAATGGGTCTGTGTAGTTTTACTGTTAAACAACTTTTAAAATAACTGCAGATCAATTAAGTGTGACAGTTGATTACTCTTCCCCATCTCACCAAAGCTTTTGAAATAGAGAAGAGGGGAAACACACGCACTCACAAATGTAAGTGCCCACACACAGAAATCTCCCCTTCGATATGTACAAACAGAAAATAAACTATCTCCTCTTGCCGCCTTAAATACAAAATGCACACATATACACCATTGCCCAGACATCCTTCAGTTTATCTCACGGACAAATGAAATAAAAAGGGCTTCTTTTTGTGTGTTTTAAGACACACACAAAAAAGCACACACGCTCCCTCCAAGAATCCTGCCTCCAATTTTCTGTCACAAGGAGCACTCTGGGGGCCTGGCGGGGGAAGTGTTTGGGAAACAGAAGGAGCCGTTTCAGCAGGCATCGGTTTCTCTCTGTGCCTGTGAAGTGGACATTGGCATATCTTGCCTAGGCTGCTCCTGTGGGGTTCATCTGGTCGGCAGGGTGGGGAATAGTTGTCTGCACCATACCAAGGTCAGCCTGCTAGGTCTGACAGTCTCTGTCTCTGTACAAAGAAAAGAATCAATACTTTTGGACTACGGCTGTGCCCTCAGTGTAAAACAACAAACATGCAGCGTCTGACATGTTTCTAGGTGATTTGTGGCAGAACCTCTTGTCTGATCTGTATCCAGGAGCTGCTGTGTTACTGCTCTTTGCTTTTCGCCTCCCCCACTCCTTCCTCGGCCCCCCTCCTGCCTGCCCCAGCTCTGTGATGTCTAATACTTTACTCAGGTACAGAGGCGGGTGTTCTACCCTACAGCTACTTGTCACTCAATAAATCACACCTACAAGCGCAGTCTGCACAGAGTGATCTGGGCTTTAACAAAGGATCAGAGGGACAAAGTGCAGGCAAGATGCTGTAATTATAGCAAAAATAAAACATTCAGAGAGAGGGACAAAAGCACAGGCTCTTAGGCAACTACAGTAGAAATTGTATTTTTTGTCCTCTCTTTTGGTTTCACTCTCTTAATGCACTCCTCCCATCTTTCCTCTGCCGAACCCCAACACCATTTATTTTTGTTGTTCTTGCTCATTTTCATTCTAACTAGAGTTCAGGGCATAACATAAGCATTATTAAAGAGTCCATTAAAATAAACAATGCTCATCTCAGATGTTAAAATGTACGTAAGTTGTGCTAATGAAAGAGAGGCACTTTTAATAATTACCTTTACTATCTTCAGTTTATATCCTTATCTAAAATATTTGCGCATGCAGGTCCCAAATCCTCCTGAAACAGACCAAAACATAACAACAGTACCAAAAGACAGCTATTAATTATGACTTGAACTTAATTATTTGAACAGCCATTAAACAATTTAACTTACACAAAAACACACTTGTTTTGTCTGAGTTAATTTGTGTAGATATACTTCTTCAGTAAAATATTAACATATAGGTTGCTCAATTTGCTTTGGAACAATTTTATACTAGATCTGTTCTTTTTTACCCATCCCCCATGCCCCCAAATTTATTTTCCAGAGCCTGAACCATTAGCCAAGTCAGATAAGAAGGTTTTGGACAGTGTATTCTGTTCTAAATATTTTAAATGCAGCAGTTTGAGTTATCCCAGCAATTTCAGTCACATCAGACACCTCTTAATGCAGGAAAAATGACGTTCCATCATGGAGGTCTTGCACAAGTCTCTACTGTAACTGTTGCTGATGAAAATAAAAGTGAGTTAGAATAGCTCTACACTTCCTTCCTAGTCAATCAATGCCTGACAGCACCAGTTCCTTCAGCCATGTACTTCAGAAATGATAGATCAATAACTGTGGTTTAACAACAGGGAGCCACCAATCATTATACGAATGATTAAAAGGGGTCTCACTCACATACACCTCTGCAGACAGACTAGGCCACGAGATCAGAATCCTTGCCACATTATGCTTCATATTACAGAAATTCAAGTAAAGGAGGAAAAAACTGGGGGAGGGAAAATCATTACGATACAGCATAAAGGAAATATTAAATGCTTCATGACCATGCTAATTTTAAGCCACTATCTTAAAACACAAATTCTCCAAATTCACTAAAATAAAGATGAATAAAAGCAAATATGGGGGGACAGTGCTTATTGCTAAATCCTACAAAGCATCAATGTATTAAGATTACTTGGAATTTGCCCCTATACACACCTGCAGGCCGCATCTGCCGACAGTATGAGACTCAGGTAACTATCTTGGAAATCTCCCCTGCAGTGACTTATTTTATCTCACTGTATTACAGTTCCTCCTTGACTATCTATCTGAAAAGTCTAAAAGGCCATAAAAAGGCAGGACTATTTCATCCAGGAATAAAAAAAGTCCCTAGCACAAAACAAAATTCAAGCATTACTGACAAATTAATTAAATGAATGAATCAGACTTTTAAAAAATCGAGTCTCTTTTTGAAATAATTCTAACAAAAGATATTATACAACTTCCCTCACGTGCCTATTATAGAATATTTTCCTTGAATTCACTTATTACAAAGCAAAGCCTTTTATCAAACTACCAAACTGTTCCAAATGGCAAAATTCTCCACAATTGCTGACTTTCCTTTCTCATTTGTCTAGAGCAGCAGCGAACGACTGTCCTGGCATGCACAGTCAGGCAGCAAAGAACACGTGCTGACTGGGGGCCACTCTGATCTCAGTACTGTTCTAGAAGCCACAGATGTACTGACCTCTGACAGAATGAAGATGGACACGTGTGGACATATTCGCCACGCATTGTAAGTACTTCAGAAGAGGCACATACAAGGCAGTGTTCTTAATAGGGGAGGTTTGTCACCCAGGAAACACTGGGAATGTCTGGAGACACTTTTGGTTGTCACAACTGAGTGTGGAGGACAGTTACTGGTAGCTATGAGTAGAGGTCAAGAAGCTGCTGAATATCCCACAGTGTAGCACAAAGAATTATCCAACACAAAATGTTACCAGTTCCAAGGCTGAGTAACCCTGTGTGTAGGTGCTCAGGGAACACAGAAGAGAATGTGCTTAATTCTACCTCGAGAATGGAGGAAAGGGAGAACTCTACTCACCCGTAAAAGCAGGAGACAAGAAAAGTGGTTACAAGAAAGGACAAAGGGACGACAATGGGGCCACCCATGCTGAGGAGTTTCTGTCTCATTCGATGCACCAGGAGAACTGATGGTAGGATTCGGGGGTGGGGAGAGACAGAATTCACAGTACCAGTAGGAGAAACAGCCTCAAGAATGTTGAAAGTGGAGTCTGAAGTCAAGAAATAATGGAAGGCTCCCTCACCTCAAGATTTGCTGAGGTATAACTGGTATACAAAAAACCACACAAAATTAATGTCTACAATTTGGTGAGTTTGGATATATGTATGCATTCATGCTACCATCACCACAACCAGAATAATAAACATATTCATCATCTCCAAAAGCTTCCATGTGGACCTTTAGGGTTTTATTTGTTTTTGTTTTGTGGTATGAATGCTTAACATGAGAAGTACTGTCTTAACAAATTTCTAGATGCACAATATCATATTGTTAACTGTAGGCAATATGTTGTACAGCAGATCTCTGGGACTTATTCATCTTATATAACTAAATTTATACCCATTCAAAACAACTCCTCACAGAGGGAATCTTTACAAGATTAGAGGCACTGGGGATGCAGAATAATGAATGGGGAAACAGAAGTCAGTTGCCATTTAAAATTGGGGAAGGAGGTATGAGCTAGGGAGAAGGACAAGTCTAAGCTGACTTTCTGGTTTCTAGCCAGATGGTGATGCTATTTAAAGAACGGTGGAGGCTGACTATAGTGGGGCAAGGGTAGACACTAAAAATTTAGCTTCTGACTGGCTTAGTTTTGAAGTGGATCAACCGAGAGAGCTCCATACAAATATGGAGCCCTACAGAGAAGCCTGGGTTGGAGAAACAGGTGGGCAGTTAACATCAAATCTGCAGAAATTTAAAATAATGGGAATGAGTACAACTACCCCAAGTGTGCAGGTGAAAACCCAGTATAGAATACCTGGAAAAGATTTATGTTTAAAAGGATACAAAGATGAACTAGAAAACAAGGAGTCAGAAAAATAAAGATTGAACTGGAACAATGAAGAGTTAGAAAATCCAAAGACTTAAAGGTGGAGCAAAAGTGGTCAGTGGCATCAAATGTCACAGAGAAATAAGTAAAAAAAACAGAAACGCTTCTACAATATGCTTCAGATGAGAGGTCAGCGCTCCAGAGCTGTTGTTGTGGAGAAGACAAGAAACAGAAGCTAGACTGTGGGAGGCTAAGGCAGAAGAGGAAACAAATTTTTTATGTCCTCTTTCTAAAGGCTGAGTTCTGAATGGAAGTTGAGAGAAAGGGACTGCCAGATGGAAACAGAGGTGTGACTTGGCCATCAGTAGGCTGAAGGGAATGTGCTTGGACCAGAAAGAGGCTTATCGTGTATTAATAATAGGAAAGAATTAGAAATAAACTCTAGGAGAACTGTTTTATCCATATAATGGAATAATGTGCAGACTCTTAAAGATGATAGAAGGCTGTTCATAATATCAGACATACAAATACACAAATGCATCAATGACATTACATCATATCAATATTATATATCATACTATGATGTCACCTGAAGCATAATTTGTGGGGGCTACTTGGGATACATAGGTGTGTTGATCTTAGGGCAGGCCAGTTAGGGTTACAGATGATGTTCCTGCTTTTTGTAATCTCTGATTTTCTAAAATTCTTATGTTTAATATATGTAATAATACACTTTTAAAGGAATCAACCCCCTAAGTAGAATAAACAGAAGTTCAATAATAGACCGGAATTTCGGGACAAGAGAAGGGATGGCATCCATAGCACTCAGAGGTAGAAGGAGATCCTAATTTACTAATTTGCAAGGGAATGGGGACATCTCTACATTGCAATAAAACTGTGCAGCAATTTAGAAATTCTCCAAATCAGTAATACATGTAGAATGAGTGAAAATTTTCATTGTTAAACTATTTAGACATTTACAAAAATTTTCATATGTGTGCCATTAAGTGTTTTTGCAGTAATCTCAAAACATGGAAACAGCTATAAGGCTGGAGAATTTGGAGTCAGGGGGAGTACTGTAAGGGAGAGGGGGAAAAAAGAAAACAAAACTTTAAACAGCCCAGTATATTTTAGTCAATGTTCCTAAATGTCACTGTGAAACAAAGCCACTTCAGTTTCTACTACCTGAAACTAAAACACACATTACCCTGGTCAAATGCTTGGGTAAATGCTTGTTTTCACCGTGAATAGTCCCCATATTGTTCAGCATATCACCTCCTGGATTCCTTAATATTTTTTTTCCCATCAAATGGTCTAAGCCACAATTAGAGGGAACAGTTCCAATGTCAAATTCTTAACAATTCTCTTATCCTTCCAAATTCTGGGAAAGATCATAGGTCTTATAAGCATGTGCCCAGCCCTTTTCCTCCCCAGCATCAATAAACAACTTGGTCTGTCTCTTAAGGAAAGACTGTACTTTGCCTCACAGCTAATTTACCAACTATCCCAGAACAGACAATCCAGCTACCAAATAACCAGTGCTCTCTTTACCCAGATGTTGAAGGCACTCTTTCTTATGCCCACACCCCCCACCCAACTTTTTTCTCTTACACTCTTTTCCCTCTAAAAAGCAATGGCTGAAGGACACATTAGATTTTAAGGTGACAGTTTACATTGTCTTAAAATCATCAACTAGGATCAGAAAAATACATTACGCCGATACACAAACCATTGATCATCGCAACTGTCTCTTTTTTTGAATGTGATTAAACTTAAGCATGAATTCATTTGAGAGCTAGGTCCTAGAACAGTGGCTAACTTAAGAGAGGTACTCAATAAATATTTGCTGAATGGCTGAATGGATGGATAGATGGACAGGTGTGGGTAAATGGCAGATGGATGGCGGGGGGGGGCATGTGAATGCACACACGTGCACTGACTTAATGCAGAGGGCCCTGACAATAGTATTACAGTCAAATTCTATTGTACCGCCATGTAAAAGGGCTCTCCGTTTCATCGTGCCCTTCTGCAATTTCAGGACCCCTGTTCACTGGCAACCACGCTGCTTCTCAAAATCCCAAGCTTGCGGCGGGCACAGTGGCTCACGCGTAATCACAGCACTTTGGGGGGCCGAGGTGGGCAGATCAGGAGGTCAGGAGATTGAGACCATCCTGGCCAACATGGTGAAACCCCATCTCTACTAAAAACACAAAAATTAGCTGTGTGTGGTGGTGCATGCCTGTAATCCCAGCTACTCGGGAGGCTGAGGCAGGAGAATCGCTTGAACCCAGGAGGCGGAAATTGAAGTTAGCCGAGATTGCACCACTGCACTCCAGCCCGGTGACAGAGCGAGACTCCGTCTCAAAAAAAAAAAAAAAAAAATTACCAAGCTTGTTTCTGCATCAGGGTCTTTGTCATTGTTGTTCTCTCTGCTAGAATATTCTTCCCTTGATCTGTGCAGGGCTTGCTCTCTCATTTTATTCAGTTCTCTGCTCAACTGTCATCTCCTCAGCGTTGCTTTTCTTGGCCACACGATGTAAAATAACAGGCTCCTCTCTAGCCTCACTTCCCATCCCCTTATTCTCTGCTTTTTTCTTCATAGCCCTTATTATACTCCCTATCTTATATGTTCTTTACTATTTGTCTTCTCCACTAGAATATAATCTCCAAGGGGAAAGGACTTTGTTACACTGTACCTCCAGCAACCAAATAGATGCCTGAAACAGAATTATATGTTCAGTTAATATCTGTATTCAGCCAAATTATTCCCTGCAAAATATTTTACAAATCTAACATCTCACCCCCAAATAAGTTTTACTCACACTAGGGACCCCATAATTAGTTGTTCTCCAATTGTACTATTTACTAGCACTTTGCATCCCTTGCCCACAATGTCTTGGACTTCCCCTTGAAAATTACACATCTTTGGGGCCGGGCGCGGTGGCTCAAGCCTGTAATCCCAGCACTTCGGGAGGCCGAGTCGGGCGGATCACCTGAGGTTGGCAGTTCAAGACCAGCCTGTCCAACATGGAGAAACTCTGTCTCTACTAAAAATACAAAATTAACCAGGCGTGGTGGCACACGCCTGTAATCCCAGCTACTAGGGAGGCTGAGGAAGGAGAATAGCTTGAACCTGGGAGGCAGAAGTTGCAGTGAGCTGAGATCGTGCCACTGCACTCCAGACTGGGCCATAAGAGCGAAAGTCCATCTCAAAAAAAAAAAAAAAATACATACCACTTTGTATTAGTTCCTTGTTTATGTGTGCACCTCCTACTCTTTAGCAGAACATAAGCTGCCTAAGGTATCCAATAGCACGGACTATAATTAGCCTTCACAAACAAAGCCAAACTTTATTGGATAGCAGAAAAAGAGAAAGGACAAAAAGGGGGAAAAACTAAGTTTCCACAGAATGTGCCAGCCAATATGACTGCTATACAATAGGCCCTCTGTATCTGTGGGTTCTGCATCCATGAATTCAACCAACTGCAGATTGAAAATACTCAGGAAAAAAAAATAACAACACAACAATAAAAATAATAGTAATTTAAAAATCAATACAGTATACCAATTATTTACATAGTATTTACATTTTATATTATACTATGTATTGTAAGTAATATAGAGATGATTTCAAGTGTACGGGAGGATGGACATAGATTATATGCATAGTAATGCCATTTATAAGGAACTAAACCGTCCTCAAATTTTGGTATTTGAGGGAGGTCCTGGAACCAATTCTCTACAGATACTGAAGGATGACTGTAGATGATCTAACTTAATCCTAAATATTCTAAAGTGTATATACCATTATTCCCATTTTAAATGTAAGGAAACTGAGGCTCAAGAAAAGCAATTAACCTTCCCAACGTCATGTGGTAAAATTGATTTTACAACCTAGGGGTTCCTTTCTTCATTCCTAGAGAGAAAGAAGGTGTGAGCCCTTACCTCATTCCTGTATCATCAGAAGAACAGATGTAATGGGTAATATACTCATCTTCTAACAAAAAAACCCTAGGTTTTAAGTCTTACTATAGCTAGTCCTTATTAACTGTTTGAACTTACTTGGATAAACCACATAAACTCTCTCAACCAGTTTCCTCATTTATAAAACAGCATGTACCACCTGCCCTTACTAAATCACAAGTTTACTTGGAGACTGACTTCAATAGTATATGGGGAAGTGATCAGTATACTATATAGCTGTATGTTAGTTCCCCAGAGATGAAAACAAAGCTAAGGTATGTATTATAGAAGACTCTGGAGTCCTCTGTCTCATAATTTCCGAGGCCATTAAAGTTTAGTGTTATCAGTTTCCTCTCTGCACTCAGGGATTCCCTCCATCAGAGTTCCAATATATTAATATTTCTATTGCTTTGGAGACTCCTATTAAGCAGGCATGAACATCTAATGATCTTATTTTCATGTCTATTTCTAAAGACTACATGTGTTGTGTGTGTGTGATTTGTTGTGAGAACATTCCTGAACTTAAAAACATCAATAAAATTAATTTCTTAAGATGTTTTTAATGTCCATGTAAATACACATAAGAAAAATTATTTTGTAAATGTCTACTACAGAGTTAAATAATAACAGAGGTTTTTAAAAATAAAACCAAACCATTTAATGCATAAAACTAATCTGAAATTATTTAACTCAACTACTTAGACAACTCCTTAGCATCAAAGACAAGTGACAGAGCAGGTCTAAGCTTTAAGTGTGTAGAAAACCACACTAACAATTGTCTTTAAACCACTAGTTATTTCGAACAGCTGCCAACATGTTTCCCTAGAAAAACAGATTGGGATTTAGGACCTTAAAAGTGATACCAGTTTGGTTAACCATTCAAAAGGAAATTTCTACTCAAGCTGTTAAACTCCCAATATTTCTCCTTCAGAGGGGAAAACATTCACATATTAGTTCATGAGTCTACTTTGTGTACTCAGAATAGATATTCTGGTCCTCTAAATGGTAGATGATGTGATGCTACATATTTAAAACATTCTAGAGCATATGGCTCAAAAAAGTAAACACAACAAACCTATGAAGTGTACAACAGGGCAAGGTCTCATTCTACTCTACACTAATTACACCACATCGCCAATACTTTATTTAAATTCTAGGAGTCATACCTTAAAATAAATACTGATTACAATGAGGCATGGTCAGAGGTAATTGGCCAGATTTTAACTCATCACAAGAGAAAATACCCGGGCTGAGCGTAGTGGCTCATGTCTGTAATTCCAGCACTTTGGGAGACCAAGGCAGGTGCATCACCTGAGGTCAAGAGTTCAAGGCCAGCCTGGCCAATATGGTGAAACCTCGTCTCCACTAAACATACAAAAATTAGCTGAACATGGTGGTGCATGCCTGTAGTCTCAGCTACTCAGGAGGCTGAGGCAGGAGAATCATTTAAACCCAGGAGGTGGAGGTTGCAGTGAGCTGAGATCAGGCCACTGCACTCCAGCCTGGGTGACAGAGTGAGACTGTCTCAAAAAATAAAATAAAACAAGAGAAAATATCCTACCTAAAACAGAAAAAGGAATGAATATTTGATGGCATAAAATCAGGGAGACTTTCTACTGCTTCCTTCTCTAGAAACACCATTCTTAAAAGGTTACTAAATCAATGTGTTTTTATTATAATTTTAAACAAATGCTTTTAAAGTTGCTATTACCTGCAGTAAGTGCCTTAAACAGTAGTAGCAATAGAAAAAGGAAAGCTTATGATCTGCCCTCAAGGAGGTTACAGTCTATTCTGGTTATACCCTTTCTGATTATCTCATCTGCTTCACTATACAGCCAAGTGATTTCATCAATAACATCCCTAACACCTCCCCTACTCGCTCGCTCAATTCCAGTGATCCATAGGCACTCCACTCTGTTTACTCTTTTTTTTTTTTTTTTGGAGACGGAGTCTTGCCCTGTTGCCCAGGCTAGAGTGCAGTGGCGCAATCCCGGCTCACTGCAACCTCCACCTCCCGGGTTCAAGCCATTCTCCTGCCTCAGCCGCCCGAGTAGCTGGGCTGATTACAGGCGCCCGCCACCGTCCCTGGCTAATTTTTGTATTTTTAGTAGAGACAGGGTTTCACCATCTTGGGGCTCGTCTCAAACTCCTAACCTCATGATCCACTGGCCTCAGCCTCCCAAAGTGCTGGGATTACAGGCGTGAGCTACCATGCCTGGCCCACTCTGTTTTCAAACTAATACAAATATGAGTTCTTTCTAATTTACCAAGAAGGTTATGTATTCCAGCTCTGTGATTCTGGACTATACTATAAAAAGAAGGGACTGAACTTCATGATCTCTAATATTATGATATTCTTGGTACTAATATTCTAGTTCTTAGAATATTTGCTCTAAAATTATGTATTTCTGTAACTGCATTCCGGTGACTTTACACAGGTAAAAAACACAAAAGAGCATTTCAAAAATCTCAGAAAGAGTAATAATGTCCAATAGCGTCAATTCAAATGTGCCTGCTGGGATATCTAATCCACTGAACAAAATTTTAAAGAGTCAGGTGTGAATATTATTTCCTTACTTAATAAGAAAGAAAAAAATCTGAAAGCAGACACATGAAAACAGATTTTTCCAAATAAATTTTTGCCTTAATAAGTAATTTCCTCATTGAATAAATGTACTGTTAAACCTATAGAAACTTGCCTAGAGTCTACCTATAAAGTCTTGCTATATTAAATGTGTGGTCCAAAACAAGGGAGGAGGTAAGCCCCTGGCAAGAAAAGGGCTAACCCAACTAACGTGCCATTATTATTAGAGATTAGTTATGAAAACTTAACCCTCCATTGATCCTCGATTCCACCTTTATCCTGCTTCTCGAAATAATAGGCCTTTATTCCTCCTGTTTCCCAATGTAAAGGGAAATACCACGACAAAAAAATGACACTCTGGACTTGTGACATCAGTATTCATTTCATCTCAAACACTGAATTTGATAGGGAATGCTCCACGTTATTGATTTCCTAAACATACTTCAGAGTCCCAAGGTTGTCCCTCCTTTCCACGCCAGTCCTTCCCTGGCTGGCATCTACATATTTTGTTGCTCAGAGGCATGCTAAATCTTCCCTAATGCTGCACTTTGCCCAGAATGTCTGACTCTCACTACCCCTCCCAACCACAAGTTCATGGGTCCAGAACTTTCCTATCCAGAGAAATTCCACTACAATTGCATCCAACCATGGTCTTGACTCATAAGCCTATACCAAGTTTTTGCTCAAGGCCTCTCTCCTTTTAGCTGAGACTGTCTGGGGACACTGAAGAGAATTTCTGGCCTTGTAGGAAGCAACTACAACTTCAGGGTTTCTATGCGGTAAAAATTCCTGTAAACTGCCTGTATCCTAATCTGGTCTGGTGTTGGGTAGGATGCTCATCAATGACAGATTCATAAAAATGAAAGGAAAATAAAAGTAGGGGCAATAAGGGTATTCAGGAAAAAAACAAAAACAAAAAAAACAAAAAAAAACAAAAACAAAAAAAAACAGGGGATCTACAAGAGACCCAATAAGGAGAAGGTTTTGTTGTCCTCAGCTGAAAACGCTGTTCTGCTCTGGAATAAACTCTCAGAATTCATGTCCACGTGAAATGTGAGCACCAGAATGCTTCACCTATACCATAAGCATTGTGCTGATGCTGCCTACACCCTGCCTATTCTTAGATTCAGAATATAGTGAATCTTAAATTCAGAATAGGCAGGTTATAGGCAGCATTAGCACAATGCTTCATGGCAGAAGCAGGGAAGTGCCTTAGATATCACAGCAACTATCCTAAACTAGACCTGTAACTTCTTTATAAATTAAGGAAGTACCTTAGAAATCATAGCAACTTTCAGCCGGGTGCAGTGGCTCACGCCTGTAATCCCAGCACTTTGGAAGTCCAAGACGGGTGGATCACCTGAGGTCAGGAGTTTGAGACCAGCCTGAAAAACAAGGTGAAATCCTGTTTCTACTAAAAATAGAAAAAATTAGCCAGGCATGGTGGTGCATGCCTGTAATCCCAGCTACTCCAGAGGCTGAGGCAGGAGAACTGCTTGAACCTAGGAGGTGGAGGTTGCAGTAAGCTAAGACCGTGCCACTGTACTCCAGCCTGGGCAATAAGAGTGAACCTCTGTCTCAAAAAAAAAAAAAAAAAGAGAGAGAGAGAGAGAAAGAGAGAAAAGAAAGGAAAGAAAGGAAAGAAAAGAAAGAAAGAAAGAAAGAAAGAAAGAAAGAAAGAAAGAAAGAAAGAAAGAAAGAGAGAGAGAGAAATCACAGCAAATTTCCTAAACTAGACCTGTAAATTCTTTGAGGTTGAGCAGTTCTTACCATCTTATTTTACCATTTGACACTATTTTATGCTACTAAGCATGAAAGTGTGTTTAATATTTGACTAGCATCATGAATTTATAGTCAAGACTGATTCAGAGATATGAAAATGCATAATGCAAGTTAATTTTCTAATCAGAACAAAATTTATTTCCTCTGAAACCAAGCCCTGGAACTGCACGGATCTAGGCACTCTGGAGTTAGTATCATTACAAACATGATCCTTACTAAGTAGGCATTTCATTTCTTAAAAATTATAATCCTAAACGATCTGTAAACAAATACTTCCTACCTGTTGAACCTCTCCTAGTAAATCATCTGTAACTAATTGAAAAAAACACATATTTCCATGATTAGTTTTTCAGTCATACTTGCAATAAGGACTTCCAGGATTAAAAATATTAAAGAAACTATCTTTAAAATTTTATCTGGTAAATTATCCCCATTTTTTTCCTTGTGCCATTTCAATGCAGATATTTATTTGTTAAAACACAGTAATTTTAATAACTACTTCATTGACAACTACTTTCAATGAGTTATTTCTTGTATAAAATTTGAATTCATATTTCAATAAATAGGAGATCATGTGGGTTTTTTAGAATATTTTTCCCATAAAATACATTTTTTTTTCTATGAAGAGCTACCTTCTAACATACTTTCCTCCAGAGCTATAGTTTGCCAGAGGGCATCTCTATCTATCTGATTTTGGTCTCATCTTCAGTTCTCTGTTTTCTTCACTCTGGTAATGTTGGCATTCCCTTGATCTCTGCTATGTCCGCTGCAAATGTTCTCTCCTATAACTCTATATAGAAATTTTATTTGGTTTTTCTCAACATCATGAATCCTCCAATAAAGCAGGTAGGTGGCATTAAAGATATTTAACGTGCTTCATTAAAAGAGAGAAACAACAGCTTAAAAACACACGCACAGAAAGGTTACCGACCAACACTATCAATTCTCTAAATGCTACAATGCAACTGACAACACAGTAAACAACATCTAAGCTATCTTGGCAATTAAGTAAAAACATCTTTCAAGAAACCACAGGTCAGCTTTCATTACTGAGACTCACTGGGTGATTCTGGAGCTAAACACTTCAACACACATCCAGCAGACCTGTTTTCCTAGTTTAAACATGGTATCTAAACAGCAAATATATCTGTTTTGCCGCCCATCTGAAATGTAGTCTACACTAATCTATACAAAGCCAGATGCACACACGTTTTGAAGCAATATATTCTTAACAAATTTTTCATGTTTTGAGGAAGTGCTAATTCACTTAAATGTAGTTAGCATTATTCAACCTGAACATTTTGTTTGCCTGACATATTTTGATTTTTTTTCTGCTTCAGTCTACAGTTAAAAAATTCACAGATAAATTCAAATAGTTATGAACTAGTACCAGAGTGATATTACACTCTGAAAAAATTTAAAACCAATAAAGAACACTGTAGGCTTCCTATTTCCACTAAAAAGCTAAATACTAATTTCAGAAAAGCACACATCACTCAGATACACATACACACACACACACACACACACACACACGCACACACGCACACACGCCGATGTTATAAAAGTACTGTCACTAGAATACATGTTTTGGTTGTTTATCCAAATGGTAATGAGATGTGATGATCTACCTTCTTTAGCCAAGTCCTCTTTTGTAATAATAGCATCCATTTATTTAACAGCTAACCAAAATTTGGAGTGCTGTCTATGTTTATTCAAGGAGTTTTTCCTTTTGCAAATTTAACCGGCCTATACAAGAATAAAATCCACAATCAAGCTCTTGTTAGTTCCATGATCTCCTCAACTGAGATTAGGTGGTAAAAACAACTAAAGCATTGTTACTGACAAGATAATCAACATTGTAGTTAATTGAAAATTAACAGTGGGACTCTCCACTTAGTGCCAAATGTAGTAATTTGAGGTGGTCATCCTTAACAGTCCAAGAAAGTCGATTTCCAATTATCAGAAAGTGAGGATTATCTGAGCAAATAATACTTTCAACTTCTTCTTGACATAATTAAATTAAATGAGATAGCCTTTTGACAGCATTTTCTTTCTAGCATAAATTATTTAGATATAATCAAACAAGAAATGTTTTGAAACCAAAACATTTACCACATTTGTAATATGAAAGTTAAGAAAGGTATAGTTCAAGTTTATATACAGAAAAAAATATAGCATATGTTTTGAGGACCTACTATGTATGGGGCACTATGCTGGATACAAGGATATACAAAGATCAACACAACTTTATTCTTGCCCTCAAGGAGAGCATCTTTTAGGTGGGCTTACCTATTCTCCACTCTATTTGCACCCCAAAACACTATTCAAGAACTCAACTAAAACTCCATCCCCTTTTTAAATTCTTCCTTGGTTTTCCTGTCCTCTGTGATTCCATGGCACAAAGATTGGCATTTATCACATCAAGCAATTATTAGGTACGTTCCTACTAAGTGCCAGACGCAATGGTAAGTGCTGAGACCTGAAAGATGAACAGGACTAAACCTGTCCTTCGGGAAGATCACATTTAGCGAAGCTCCCATGGAAAGACCAGCTTATTTTTATGCACCTTGTTTTTCTTCTAAAGGAAGGAGACCTCACTGGGAGACCTCACTGTGTTGCCCAGGCTAGTCTGGAAGAGATCCTCCTGCCTCAGCCTCCTGAGCAGCTGAGACTATAGTCACAAACCACTGCACCTAGCTTCTTCTTATGCATCTTTACACTGCCAGCCCCTGGCATACCGCGGGAGCTCGATGTGTTAATTAAGTATCCTATGAAAAGACCTTTAGATGAGAAATCAGAAAACCATTGTGACACTCTGGGCCTCACTTTTTCCACCAAACAATGCAGTCATTGTCATTCTCCGATATGATCTCAGGGTATACCATACATGAGTGAATATTCTGATTTCAAGTGAGAGTGGTAAACATACTTAACAACGTCAGGATGTACTTTAAACAATTTTAAACCCCTCTAAGCTATGATTAGTTCAATGACTAGGCCTATGCTAAAATACCATCTTGAAACATTATTGTAGCCATTATTGTGGAATTTACTTTCTGATTTTGATATATTGAGTTCTTTTCTTGTCTCCCCTTATCCACAGATGTATAATTTGGGTCTGCTGTATTCTTTCAAAGGAAGAATTGGCAGGGTGGTTGCTGTTACCTAGGGTAAGTGTGTAATCTCTTTGACTTTCTCTTGTTGGGCAAACTGCCCAGTGAATATCAATTTTTTTAGAGCTACAAATACGGTTTTAATAGATTCACAGATTTTAAATTATTATAATTCAGAGCACGTCTCTCCCAGGGTGAGCAAATAATTCACAACAATCCATGAGATGCAAAGGAGATGACAATGGATCAATCTGTATGTGAGTAAGTTGACGCAGTGCTTTACTGTTCCTTCTGTCTCTACAGACCCCACCCCCCTCAAGACACACGATTTTCATATGAAAAAAATTGCTTTGGTGTATGAAAGTTTAAATTAGTCATAATACCCACTTTGGGGACTGAGGAAGACTTACTGTAAATCAGCCACTCAGAAACCACATTTGACATATTTTGGTTATAATGTAACTATAAGTTGCATAATATTGTACGTATTGATTGGAGCCTGAGAATATAATGGAAAGCAACTGCCATATATTGAAAGTGACCAACCACAAGATAAAAAATTGTTCCTGAAGAGCCCACTAAGGGAGTAATTTTCCTTATAATCTAAAACTCCTTATCCTCTAGATGGAATATTCTATCACACCCCCAGGTTACATTTTGCCCTAAAGGTGCTAAGGTATGTTAACCTCAAATAATCCAACTATCCAACTCCCTCAGATCAAGAGAAAGTTCTAGCAGAGTAAACTAAATTTTTCCTTTATTGAAACAGTACTGGCTATTGTGAATTGGAGCAAAATAGCAAATGAGATGCACATCTCACTAGACAGCAACTTCCAATTGGTTGAGGATCTTATAACAGTTATAAATTCTTAGTAGAATCAGGCCCTCTGTTGTTTCTCTGTCCTGGTCTTTTACCTTTAAAATACAATAACTTATTGAGGGAATTAAAGTATGTGAGATACTATGTTATGCATTGGCAAGGTGTTCCTTCCATCTACCTGCACAAATAGAGAACTACTTCTTCTCTAACTGCTTAAATTATCATTCCTATAAGCAGTACATATTTCTTTAAACAGAAACAACCAGAAAGAAATCAGATACCACGGAAAAAGAAATGAAGATCAGCTCATCCACTTATAAGAAGCAAAAACGTGTTAGAAACTTGAACTGCAGCTTAGAGTGGACGGTAGGAAACTTTGATGTGGTTTCATCTCCTCTGCATGATACATGATAATAGTTAACCTTATAATTTGTGGACCATGACTCCAATAAAAATATGTAACTACAATTTAAAAACATATAATAATTGTGTAATTCAACTGCTTTTGTTAGAAGTTGGTTTCTGAAACAGATTCTTCTATCAAATAAGTACTGAAAGCATGCATAATGTTTCAATCCCACTGGGTACTATTTTTAGTTTTTCCTTACACTCTTCTCTAAATCTTCACTGATCTATCATATGTCATGGTTTAATAGAAGCATTAACTATACCTATTCGGGTTCCTAGGACCATTGGAAAATGCCAGTAAAGATTTGGGTCTACTTTTGAACATCTGAAAGAGCCAAATTACCCTGTGGCAGAATTCTGCTAAATACCTCTATTTAGAATATACATATAGAATATAAACATAAATAAAATATATTAGAGACAAGGTCTCACTCTGTCACCCAGGCTGGAATTCAGGGCGCGATCATAGTTCACTGTTCCCTTGAACTTCTGGGCTCAAGTCATCTTCCCACCTCTGCCTCCCAAAGTGCTGGGATTACAAGCATGAGCCACTGTATCCAGCCAATTTAAGAAGAATATTAAGAGTGGCTGAATAGCTGACAACTTTCTCCCACTCCAAAATCAAGGACATAGGATATAACTGTTTTATGCTTTAGTGTGGATAAAGCAGTAGACTTGTGTTAATAAAAGGGAAATGCGTTACCTATTCTAGATCATTCTGGTCCTAATGGTGAATGACCAATGTTCCAAGAGGTAAGATAAAATTATTGAAGGAAATGCAAACAATCCCTTCAAGTAACAAAGTGATGGTAAAGGTATACGTGAACTCACCTGAGAAGTACACTACAATAAATGCAAGAAAAGAGAAATTCAGAACAGCAAATACTCCAGAGCTCTCTATGCTTTTAGACCAAAACCAAAAACAATGTATGGGTTCCTTGGACTACTTAAAAATCCTCTCTGTCACGTCTCTTATTCTAGCCGCATGAACCAACTTCCCCCACTGATCGCTAATTAGCACCTTCCCCTGAGCTTGCCCCACCTGAGTCATGCTTCCTGACAACCTGAAGACGCACATGCACAAGCCAAAAAGTGTGGGAAGTTCATGCTCAGACGGCCATACGGATCAAGGGAAATGAGAGCCAATGGTTAAATATTTCCTCAGAAGGCCTCAGAGAGAATGAGAACCCATCAGTTGTGGCACTGATCATCTCAGTAATTCATCTTTGTGTTGGTTTTCCCTGGTCCTTCATTTCTACTCTAGGATCCTCCCTAAACAAAATGCCTTCATGCAAGTCACTCTCTCAACTGTTTACATAAGGGCCCACATCACATCGGCTCCTCCTAAAAGACATCCTAAAATGTATGGATAAAATAATATGTGATTGCATCAAAATGAACGAAAAGGTGAAGCAATGAAATAACTCACAGGAAAAAGGAAAGGATAAGTGGTAAAAAGAAAAGAGCTAGGGAAGTGCAGAAAGGCTGGAGAACACATCTAGCCTTTCACATCCAAAAGAACAGGCAGCCCATGGAAAAGCCAAACTCAGGAGACAATCTCTGTACAGTGCCTTTACCCCAACATCAGCCTTTACCTTTACCACGAGGGGTTCTGTTTGACAGAAAATTAGACTATATCCCAGAGTTTCTCATCAGCTCTGGTCCTATGCATCACTTCCAAAATAGAAACTGGACATACAGCTCATACTGTTTACTCAGCTCATTGAAGCCTGCCTCCCATGAGATTTGAGAAGCAGGCTCTGGTTGGCAAGTAAAGGAGAGCAGTTGGCCCACCGTTAGTCACCTCTTTAACCCAGAAGGCATCTTGTTTCACCATATGCCTGAACTCCAGTCAGCAGATCCTGGTTTTAACACTGGTTTGACAAGTACTGTTCTGAAAGGCTTACAGAAAACAGACCCAAACTCCACCAAATATATCTACATAGCTCAACAATGACTGAAAATGCAAGTTGCATAATCTAGAACAGAGCCAAGTGTAACAGTGAAAATATACCTGTACATACATTGTAAGGTTGTCTTATGCCACAGTTTCTCTCATTAAGCAAACTCTGAACAAATCATTCATGGGTGATTGGTCACAAATCTTTTAGTGGTTACTGATTCACAAAACCACAGAAATAATACATACTCTGCTAACAGCAAGGGGTGTTGCTATGGCATCACAGATAATCACAGGTGAAACAGGGAGATCTGGGGCACTCCTATGAAGATGAGACAAAAGATCTTTAAAATAATACATCCAAATATCTGACATGTCAAATTGAAAATGTTTAACATTGGCCGGACGCGGTGGCTCATGCCTGTAATCCCAGCACTTTGGGAGGCCGAGGCGGGCGGATCACGAGGTCAGGAGATCCAGACGGTCCTGGCTAACACGGTGAAACCCCGTCTCTACTAAAAATACAAAAAATTAGCTGGGCATGGTGGCGGGCACCTGTAGCCCCAGCTACTCAGGAGGCTGAGGCAGGAGAATGGCGTGAACCCGGGAGGCAGAGTTTGCAGTGAGCAGAGATCGTGCCACTGCACTCCAGCCTGGGCGACAGAGCAAGATCCATCTCAAAAAAAAAGAAAATGTTTAACATCAACTATAGACCAATCCAGAGCAAAAAATCCTAACTGTTCAGGACAAAATGAAATCATAATTACGATTTTATCGTATCACACTCATAATCACCCTATGCATAATCCTAAAAGAACATTGTTCTAAATCCATTCTCTTTATGAGATTAAGTAGGAACAACAAACTCCAGCCATCAGGCTCCATTCATAAAAGGTTTTACAAGAGAGATTACATGTGACATTTTTTTCCTACAATTTATTAGTTACTTTATTGGACACTGTCGCCAAATTCTGCTAAAGAGTAAGAGAACACCATGGAGTAGTGAAGCAATCTAAGAGCAAGGTAAATAAAATCTACATCTTTAACTTTCCAAAAACAAAGTTCTCATTTGGGGACATAAAGAAACCAACTTCACGGAGTCAAAGGAATAGAGACAAGGAAAGAAAGCAGGGTAAACAACACGAAGCAAAAATCCTGAATCAAATAGTAAATAATGACGCTGACAATTTTCCTACGAGCTGGAATCCCTGTTTAGTTTTGGGGGGGTTTTTTATTTTGTTTTGTCTTAGTGTATCTGTTTTCTGCTCTTTAGGTGACAGGAGTGCATTCTCATATAAAAGATAATGAATGATGCTTGCATGTATTAGACATAGACTTATATGACTATAATTACAAACAAAATTCCTCTGCATATCAAAGGGAGAAAAACCTTTGTTTATTCAAGAAATTCCTAATGGTTTCATTTATAAGTAAAACTTTCTCTTTATTTGAGACCCAGTAGCATAGCACAGTATAGCTGGAAGACAGCAGGTAGCTCTTATAATAAACTTTGCACAGTTTTGAGGAAATAACATCTGAAAGCACTTCATTCTTCTAGGGTGAGTAGATGAATGATTCAAAAAGAATAAACTCCCAGGGAACATTCTGAGATTTAAAAAAAAAAAAAACACACACACACACACACACATACAACTGAGAGGTGGAGGCATTCTTGCTAATTAAAATTTCCAGTTCTTATGGTCTTCTATATACACAAGTCCCAGTCAAGAAAGATCTGCAGGATCAGGCCTGTACCGAGAAAAAGTATACCATCATCACATCACATTAATTGTATTATTACTTCACAAGGCTAACCAGCCAGGTTTATACAGAATAGATTAAATAACAAGATAATCTCATAAACAATGATCATTTCATCAGTGTACCAAATAAGTTTGATTTATATCTTTGACTGTTCTAATTAATTTCTGCATCCACATGCTTTAATTTACACAGCCAGACACCTACACTGCAGTAGGGACAGCCATTTTTTTAATGTGTTGAACTCTGAGACGGGTTCATGTTTAGTCTCCCCAGCGTTGCTGTTTTAGTTCCCCTACACTTAAAAAATGAAGTGACTGTTATAATACCTTGCACTAAAATTGAAGCATGCAGAAAGAAAATATTTTATCAAACTCAATACCTATCTCTCTTGCCAACATTTTACATTTAATTTTAGTTGTTATAGCTTTACTCAAACGTACAACTAGAACTGTTCATTCCAAAGTTCTGAACCTGCCTTTTCGGACTAATATTCCACTCAAAGCCTTTTAGATATATAAGTTCATCTCATTACAGCATCAATTTCATATCCTCATCTTTGTTTTAGTGCAGTTCCCAGAGGCTTAGGGGACAGCTAATTTTAAAAACATATGATTTCTAATCACAGTGAGGGTCTGGATAAAATTTTTAAACTGTCCTCTAGAATGCTGGTTTACAACAGCAAGTACTACCATTGAATAGTTAGAAATAAAGAAATTCCAGAGATGGAGGAAAATTAATCTCATCCCAATTTCCTAGCCAGAAAGACAAAAACATCCCTGAATCCAGACCCACTTACAATACACCATCAGTGACATCATATTAATGTCAGCACTCTTTTAAAACCCCTAAAAAAAATAACAATCTAAAGGAGTATCCTGGTGTCATGATTATTTTAGTTTAGTCATTTTACAACTCGCATGGATAGTCTCAGTGTAGGGAAGAAGATGTGTGTTTACTTATTTAATCAGGCAAGCAAAAAGGTTTTTACTTGTCTTTGATATCAAACTTTTATTTATGGATCTAATCGATGTTTATTTGTAGGACTTTAAGACAATAACAGATATCAGCTATATCATCTGTTTTTGATTATAAACTCCTAGAGGGCAACGACCCTATCTATTCAGCTCACTTCTTATAAGATGTAAACATAGTACCATACCCAAGAAGGCACTTAAAGATGGTTTATATAACATTGATTTCAAGGGGACTTGGTCTGCGTATATGCTCCTTGAAGCTCTCCACTGGCACTCAATGAACAGTAGAGATTTACACTTTTATGTTCTTGGGCAATTCCACTGTTCAGTTGTCTATAATGGCAGTTTTGAAACAGATTATTAGATGGGAATATTTCCGATTCTTAAAGTTTAAGAATCGGCATTTGAGCAACACCCAAATTCTAAACTAACTGACACTAGAAAAGTAGAAGGGAAAAAATAAAAGCAAGACCCAAATATTCCATTTCTTAGCATCAAGCTAGCACATTTCACACACAGTGCAGGAAGATCTGCTATTTTCACAGGGAAACCTGCCAAGACAACTACTACAATGCCTAAAAATGTAGCCTCCTTGCATTCTTCTTCACCTTTCCCTCACCTTTCCTGAGGTCTAACTGATATTTACATCCTTTATTTAAGTCCACTTGGATTATACAAAACAAGGACTAAATTGAGTTAATTTTTTTTTTTTTAAGTCTCACTGTGTCACCCAGGCTGGAGTTCAGTGGTGCTGTCGTAATGTGATATCGACTCACCACAACCTCTGCCTCCGGGCTCAAGTGATGCTCCCGCCTCAGCCTTCAGAATAGCTGGGACTACAAGCACATGTCACCACACCCAGCTAATTTTTGTATTTTTATTTTTAGTAGAACCAGCCTTTTGCCATGTTGCCCACACTGGTCTTGAACTCCTGGGCTCAAGTGATAGGCCCACCTCGCCCACCTTCCAAAATGCTGGGATTAAAGGCATGAGCCACTGTGCCTGGCCTAATTTTCGAAGAAAAGAAAAAATTTAGAATACTGCTATATAATACTTGTTAAACTCTAAAGGAATAAAACCTAGTAAATTGTATCTTAAAGACTCTGACACATCAGCAATGAAGAATGTGTTACTAACTACGTGATTTTGGTTAAGTCTTAAAAGTTCTCTACCTTAGTTTCCAAATCTGTAAAGATATTAGGTTACATAACTTAAGTAATTTCCAGCTTTGGCCGGGCTCGGTGGCTCACAAGGGAAGCCGAGGCAGATCGATCACTTGAGGTCAGGAGTTTGAGACCAGCCTGGCCAACATGGTGAATCTCAGCTACCCATGTGAAATTTTGTATTTTAAAATACAAAAATTAGCTGGGTGTGGTGGTGCACGCCTGTAATCCCAGCTACTCAGGAGGCTGAGGCAGGAGAATCTCTTGAACCCGGGAGGCAGAGATTGCAGTGAGCCAAGATTTCACCACTGCGCTCCAGCCTGGGTGACAAAGCGAGACTCTGTCTCAATCAATCAATCAATTCCAGCTTTTAATTTCGAAAACATGAAAAAATACTGATCCTAAAGAATTGAAAACACAAATTGAGATTCCATTATCTACTCAAACAAAAGAATTTTTCTTTTTCTTTTGTGTACATGTAGGAGGGAATGTGTGCTCTTAAATTATTAATTATGACTAACTCCAACAAAATATTTGAACAGAACATCACTAGCTATTCTTATATAAAAATATGGATATATACATATATATGACATGTGTGTATGTACATACAAAATCCATGCATAGGCACACACCCAAACACAAACGCGTAATTCTATTTAAGCCAAGAATTAAAACATTTTGTTTTTCTCTATGTTTTCCTTCTTCTATGAAGCTGCTATGGCTTAGGAACATACATAAACATAAGCATCTTATTTAATACTTCTTACATTAATACTGGCAGTTGCCAACATGAACAGTGTATGTTAAGTTGGTTGTCCAAAATCTAGGTAACATTCTCTCACAGAAATATTGGTATTGAGAGAGAATGCAGAAATGTAGTTAAGTTCTCAGGCCATTCAACCAAAGTTTACTTAATCCACAATGTATCTGACATATAGAACCTGAGACACAGGAATTCACAAATTTAATGCTGCCTAAGCAGATGCTAAGTTAACCGCAGCAGCGGAATAAAGAAGGTCTCGAAAATATGTAGGGGCATCCAGTTCACACCACACCCAAGTGAGAACAAGGGAGGAGAAAAAAAAAGCAAGTTCATGAACTGTTTTTTTCCCTGTAAATATTCACTAACACACTTCTGAAAGAAAGCACAAGTCACTGTTGAAGATATTATCATTTTCTTATTTGTTTTGAGAAACAGATGTATTACAGAAGGCGAATTAAGAAAGATAAAAAGAAAAACATAGTTATCTTGTTCCAAAATTTTCTGTGTTCTTTAGATTCCTTATTTTAGGGAAAAATTATAAAACTGTTTTTAGGTAAATAATATTTAATTTTTCAAGATATGTGAAAATTTCAGAAAAAAATTCTGTCTAATTTTTATGTGCTTGGCCACCACAAGCTAGTAAAAGTAATTTACACAGTAACAACAATGCATTCACTATTAGCCAAAAGCTAATACACAGGCACAATCTCCTTCAATCTGTCCGACAGTGTCAAGAGATAGGCTGAAGAACTCATCTTTCTATACTATCCATCAATTAAAATAAAATTTAAAGATAAAAACACACATGGCCAGGCATGGTGCCTCACACCTGTAATCCCAGCACTTTGGGTGGCTGAGGCTGGCAGATTACTTGAGATCAAGAGTTCGAGACCAGCCCAGCCAACATGGTGAAACTCCATCTCTACTAAACATACAAAAATTAACTGGACATGGTGGTGAATGCCCGTAGTCCCAGCTACTCGGGAGGCTGAGGCAGGAGAATTGCTTGGACCTCGGAGGTGGAGGTTGCAGTGAGCCAAGATCGCGCCACTGCACTCCAGCCCGGGGGACAAAGCTAGACTTTGTCTCAAACAAACACACACACACACACACACACACACACAGTAGCAATATCCTGACTACTGGTCATTCTATTCAACTTCAAACACGTCTCAAGTTAGGGGAAACACAAGTGTTTCAACCTGAATGTCTTCCTCCTGTGTCCGGAGTTAAGAAGGGAGAGGGTAACCCAGAGCTGCAAACTTCTAGCTGGCTTTCACTAATAACAATTTCATTCTGGTCCAGGGAAGAGGATAACTCAATGAGTATTCTGCATTCCTTTTAAAAAGCTTAATCAAGGTTCAATTGCTTTCTTTCAAAAAATTCGCCAATGGTCACACAACTTTATGTAAAAATGTAACCTAAATTTTATAATTTTACAAACTAAGTAATTATAGATATAAATCTTTTAACTAGTAGCAGGAAAACCAACATTATAAATGAAAATGGAATTGCAGTTCACTTTCTGTGACGGTAGAGGATGAGAATCAATTGTAACAAAAATGAGAGGATGCAAAATAAAAAGAGAGAATAATGGAAAGGAAAAGAGAAAATGGAGAGAGAGGAGGAAGAAAAAAGGCAGCAGGTGACAGTGAATAAGAAAGGCAGTAAGGTAAGGGAGGGACGAAGGGGTGAAGGGAGATAAAATATTTTTAGCAAAACAACTCTTGTCCAAATTTGCCGAAGTTCCAGACCATAACTTGTAACTGTTTTCTTTCTTTTTCTTTTTTTTTTTTTTTTTTTTTTTTTTTTTGAGACAGAGTCTTGCTCTGTCGCCCAGGCTGGAGTGCAGTGGTGCAATCTCGGCTCACTGCAGCCTCTGCCTCCCAATTCTCGTGCCTCAGCCTCCAAATAGCTGGGATTACAGGCACACGCCACCATGCCCAGCTAATTTTCTGTATTTTTTTATTAGAGACAGGGTTTCACCATGTTGCCCAGGCTGCTCTTGAGCTCCTGACTCAGGCAATCCGCCCACCTCCCAAAGTGCTGGGATTACAGGCGTGAGCCACCGCGCCTGGCCATGTATCTGTTTTCTGACAGAGGTATTACCTACCTCTCCAGTAATTTTTTTAAAATTCTTTCTGTACCTAAACAGTAACAGTCTCTTTTTTTTTTTTTTCAAATTTCCATGATTGTTTTTACATAAAAGTTCAACTTTGAAAGCTTCACTTGTGTGTAAAGGAATGGCTTTTATTTTACAAATATACTTTGGAACCTACACACCATTGATCCATTTAGTGCACAAAAACTCAGAGTTGTCCTGACATTCCAAACCCAACAGTTTTTCCTTTGTAAAGAAACTGGAGATGTCTCCTTCGGTAGTGCCTGAAAATTACAATCGAAATCAGTGTTCACTGATTGTGCAAAGCCTTATAAATATGTTCCCTTGCTTGAGGAGTAACCTTCTATCGCCCAAGATAGTTGTTTTTAATAGCAAGAAAACAACATGGATGGGCCCAAAGTGTCAGAGGCTCTCACAGGAACATTCGTATCTGGTCATCAGAGAGAAACTGTCCTCCAAGCTGCACTATGTACACAGAGCGAGGGCACCTAATATTGCAATCACAGCCAGACTCTATAGAAAGCTACACTGTGCCTCAATTCAGCCTGGCAAAACACCTCCCACCCACCTCACTGCACCTTTACCTGGTGGCTTGCTTCTTTCTGCCCATCCACCTACACATCCTCTCTACCTACCCATAAACCACTGGTCCTTACTATACTCCATACCGTAGGAATGTTTTATAATATAAAAATTCATTAAATAATATACCACTTTTGATACAGTGATCCTACAAACTGTAACTCTGTGAAATGGTTCAACACGATGTCATCGCTATACAGCAACTTGTTTCATTTACAGTATCTGTTTCACTTCTACTCATGAGCTAATATAATTCAATTTCTTTTAACTGCACACAGGCTGCTAGACACATGTGCATGGCAAATGGAATCTGAACTTAGCTTAACAGCCTCATTTATTCCTGATGGTTTAAATTATTTCATCACAATTAATGACACCCCCTCAGCTTCCTGTGCAGCGCTGCCAGATGTTCAGAGACCACAAAGCCACTCTCTTCTTTGACGGCTGGTGACAAGTTGTCCTCTGAAGGACGTTCCCTAGATGCGCGGGCCGGATGACACCTC
The DNA here is from genome assembly GCF_000001405.40 of Homo sapiens. Classification (NCBI taxonomy): domain Eukaryota; kingdom Metazoa; phylum Chordata; class Mammalia; order Primates; family Hominidae; genus Homo; species Homo sapiens. The sequence continues at coordinate 16,679,691 of NC_000009.12, forward strand.
CATTGCTTAGCACCTCTCTGCCTCCCAGAGTAACCATGGAGAGGAAAAGGCAGGAAGGCGTGAGAAACCAGCAAATGCATTAGCAAGGGCACATTATGTGAAGTGATCTAAACTCGGAGGAACTTGGCTCCTGCCAGAGGAGTTCCTAACCTTGTTGTTTTATAAAAGGGCTCTTTGCCTCCACCTTCCACCACTGGTATCCACTGAGTGCCTACCATGGCGTCAGTCCTCAGGGAAAGTCAGAACAATAATCATACAAACTTTTCCACAGGGATCTGTTTGGTTCTTAGTAATTTTGTTTCGCATAGGGGGAGTGTTATTTAAACTTAACCCCTCCATCATGATCTTCATCTTCTTTTTAAGGGTAAACAGTTTGAAATCACTGTCCTCATGTTCAACTGTGATTATGTTCTATCCTATTCAGTGAAAACTTTCAATAGAAACATACAACATTTTGGCAACTTGTGGTAAATGGTTTTCCGCCATTTACTTAGGTTTAGGAGGATTTAATCTTTTCAGGGGCTTTTGTTGTTGTTGTTGTTGTTAGCTTTGTCGTTTTCTTAATTTTTTAAAGAAAATATTGAAAAACAGGCTTCACACTTTTTCTATGTTGATTCTGATGTGGGTATAATCACTTACCTCCTTTAATAACAAAAAATTTTTCCTCAGTACGGGAATTCAGAAATAATAATTATACTCCTCATTTAAATTTCATATAAAAATATAAATTCACATAATCACAGGTAGCTAAGAAGGTAGCAGAAATAGTAAACACACTAATACTTTTACAATAAGAATCCAATTCCACAAGTCTAATTTGGCAAACATTTCCATAAACTAGAGAACATGTGGCAGACATTTTATGGATTATTTTTTAAATGTTTAAAAAAAAAAAAACGTTGATCTTATTCAGGGAATAAGGGGCCTTTCCATTTGCCAAAAAGTGTAAAAGGAAAACAGACAGGCCACCTGTGTCAGCCCACCCTATGGTATGAACATGAGCTATAAGGGCATTTTGGAAAATATTTTCAAACTGAGATGAGAAAAAAAAAAAATCAGTATCAATACAGATTCCAAGCAGATGCAAAAGGCTTCTGTGCATGTTAGTGATTACGTGTGTGGCCTACACAGGCTAACTTCAGATTCCTCTGAAACTCAGTGTACTTTCTCTTTTTTAAGCTACTTGTGATTAAAACTAGAGCCTCATCCATATCAATTTCGACAATGGACACAAACACAGAGTAAACCAATCAAACCAAATAAGTTGAATTTTCTCCCTCTTAGATGGCTTTTTAAATTCTAAATGACTACTGAATTTTACCAGACACTCCACACTTAATATTTTGACAGCTGTTGATTAAAATTACTTTACTGGGAAGTCCTGTGAAACCAACAGTCTAGTTTTTATCAGAATTGAGGCACTCAAAGGGAAGCTGAGATGGTGGCATACTTGCAGCAAGCAGACAATAGGAAACTCTTAGCACTCCCAGAGTTACGTCAAATTTTCCATGGACCGAAACTAAAATGAAATACTTCAATTACTGAGAGGTAGATAAGTAAAATAAACAATTAATTTCATACGGTGAAGTCAGGAGAGAGTCATATGGACCTCATTCTGTTGTCTCCAAACATTTTATCGGAGGGGAAAAAGGAGCTGAATAAACTTTAAACTCTCATGTAGGGATGTATTGCTTGTGTGTCCCTGGCAGATGTGGAAAGGAGATGAAATGGGCAAGGGAGAATCAAATATCCCATCGCTGCAGGTTTGCTGAGGGAAAGAGCACTGCAAAGATCTCACATCTGGCAATCATTTGTCAATAGCTGGAAAGAGAACTGCAGGAAACTTTCTGGCTCTTGGAGAAGATGAAAAGACAAAAACCATGTGTCACACACACAAACTCACACACACACTCACTCACTCTGCAATGGTACAATGACTACTACACTTATTCTCTACCCCTCCCTTCCCCCACTAAATTTAATGATCTTCAGATATACTCTACTCCATGGTCAAAAACATGCAGTCACTTGACTTGTTAAAGCTGCAGTGTATGTACATTTTTCAAATAAACCGCAGGGCTGATGTTAGAAAATCAAAATCAGTCAAGCATAGACCGCCTGGTACTTTGGGCAGGAATCCTTGCGGTTTAGTCAATAAACAGAATCTGAATGAAAGACACCACAGTAACTAGACAGTAACGTTTTGAACAGATCTTAACCTGAAAGAGGGGGTTGGGGGACCGGTGCGCTGGTGACCAAGGATGTAAGGCTACTGGTCCACTTAGACTGCTCTACCGGCAACACCACTTTGTTTAGCACAAGGTCATCTATTTGGAACAGAAAAAAAAAAGAGAGAGTGAACTTTTATTTGGGGGGATGTTGTGGATGTATCTGTGAAGGAAACAACCTTTTTTTAAAAATAAGTTATACCCATTTAATAAGGTGGTAAGGAGAACTTCAGATTTTGTTTAGTTCATACTGTTGTTAAAAAATATAGAGAATTTGCTGGCTTCATTGTGAGTTCATAAACATGACCAGCTTTGCCCCAGTAGGTTTATCATGTAATAAAAAGTTTCAAGACACCCTATACAAAATTAATTAACTTCTCCAACATCATAGGAATTTAAATCCGTTCATAGTGATCGACAGACTTCGATGAGCAGCTTTTGGTTCACCCTTATGCTGCATTTAACTAGCAGCAGCAGCCGAGCTCATCTCCGTGATTCCAGAAGTGAATGCTGCAGGTTGTTTAATAACCTGGCAAATTCACAGTAGCTTGTCAAATTATTACAGGAACAGTGTCATCACTAAACAAGCCTGATCACGGTTAATTACAATGCAGACCAGAGAGCAGCCACAGTTGTTCATTAATTACAGGAAGCACCTCATTTAACTTTTATGGAAATTTACACTTGCACCCCAGTATGTCTGGAAAAAAAAGTGATCCTCCACGCATTCACATAAGAAAGGAGCCTGTGGTTTATAAAACATCACAGCAAATTGTGTCTAATCTAGTACTGAAATATTGGTTCATTATTTACTCTAATTTTTTAAGCACTTCAGTGGTGAAAAATACCAAGTCAAACCTCACATCCTGAATTCCCAACCAAGAAAAGAACTGTGCTGAGCTAAATGTAACAACTTAATACATGATGAGGCACAACTGAACTAACAAAGTAACTTTTCTCTGATAAAAGTAAAATATCAGCAATTAAGGAGAGTCTAAATTAGAATAACCATTTCTTAGAAGATGATTGCATAAGAGTGGGATTCTTTGCTGCTGTTCATCAGTTAACCTCCCAAACTGGAGTACCCACTTCAAAAGCCACTGGGGAAAGTAAATAAAGTTACAGAATCAAAATCTTGATTTCCAGTTATTTTTCTGAATCAAGCAATATTAACACAAACCACAGCAGAAGTCCTTGCAAAAGTCAAATCAGGCACAGACTTGAAGGTTGACAGTCATTCAAAACCAAAGATACATTCATTGACCACAGTAGGGGATCTTGGGATTATTAAAAATAAAGCTGCTAAGAAATCTGAAATTTTAGGAATAAAAGGCAAAGGTTTAAAAGGAAGAAGGCAAAGAGCAGAAAGGGGCTCCACCAGTCATGAGAACTTACGTCAGCTAAAACATAAAAGTAAACCAGATTTCAGGGCTGTATGTCTAAACAAAAATCCTTTCTAAGAAAGAATATAAACAAACCGCTGCTCCTAAATTGAGGTGTACGGAAGGTTATTCTCAGAATCAAGAGGCCAAACAGCAAAACCTCTAGTGATGATAATGCCTAGCCCTGGGGCAAAGCCTATGATACAAGCAGGAAAAGGAGATGACTGGCAAGTCCTATAGTGAGCTCCCTAGAGTATAAAGCTATGCTGAACAATAAGAAATGGCTCATTCTCTAGGAAAAAATTTAAAAAGGACTAGGACACATGACATGGCAAGAATGAAAGCAGTCTAAGCTAAAAAATACTCCTGAAATAGATAGCTGGTGAAAAGTATATTAAGCATCTTTATTATGGTGGACATAATATGTATATGTACTAGGTATTTCTAAAATGTGCAGAAGAAGCACATTTAGGAAGGCAGAAGAAAAAGAAGAGAGGAAGAAATGCTTCAAGTGGGTCCCAGCTACTTGACTAACTCTCCATAGCTGATCATCTTTTAACAGATTCAATCCTTCCACGCAGTCCACCAAAATGATGATCCACAATGAGGAATATCCAATAATGTCACTTTCATTACTTTGTCCAGGAACTTAGTCTTCTTTGCAAGGTCCTTTCTGAACTATCAACCCCACAATCTGGTTCATCTACAACCAGAATGTTACTTTAACCTGTAAATATAACATTTTCTACATTTTCTCCCATAGTATGTCAATGTACTCAATAGGTTTTTTTTTCCAGTTTTATTTTACACACTCACATCTGCAAAACCCAATTTTCTTTTCACTGTAATTCAAGGTTTAAAAACAGATTTCCAACAATCACCCATGACAGACCATTCCAGGTGATGTGTTTGAAGAACATCACTCGTCCTACCCAAAAAAGGTCAAGGATCAGACTACTCTCCACAAAAAGTCTTCCATCACTCTGCATTTGCATGTCACACACAAGCTGTTAGCTTTCTAGAACTAGGAAATACATGATCGTGTCTCATGTGTCCCACCTGCTTTTCTGTTGTATCACAGACATACACCACCCAGACAGTACCAGTTTGGGGCACAGCAGAGCTCAGGTGGTCTTCCCTGGGCCAAGAGCAGGTGTGCTAGAGATGGCATACCCTTCGGTACCATAAAAACTGAAACCTCCTCCTACCACCACTTCTACCCTCATTCTCACTGCATAGAAGTCCATTTTTTAAATGGTTCTCTCTTCTCATTTGTGGTTCTAAATCAGTAAAAACGTTTTAAAACTGAGCTCACTATGCTCATCTTATAAGCCTGAAAATTTAGAAAATAAGGCCAAATGGAGGTCCTAAAAAAAAAAGTATGAGTTTCCTCATGCTAGGGAGTGCTACCCATGTTGAAACTTCAGCCTGCATCTTTGCATTGGCACACACATTCCTTAAATATTATTATGTACATAGAAATGGAGGCATGCCTTTAGCCAAAATGTCACATTTACATTTTTAATTTGCAATACACCAAATCACTTCTAATGCCTCAAGACCATACAAAACGAACTGAATTTCAATCCAACAGTTTCACCAAAAAAAAAAAAAATGTACTTTGCTAATATACTCCTATTACACCACAAGACATATCTTCCAACGCATGAAGACAGAAGATATTTCATTAAGTCCTGCTTTTCTTATAAAGCACTCAGTTGAATGGCTGCTGTTCTCCTGAGCCGGGAGACCATATTGTAGGAAGCATGACTTACTCACATATATCCCAAAAGTCTTAGAAGATGAAAGCTAATATTTACTGGGTACCTGTTATGTGCCAGGTCCTGCACTAACTGCTGAATATATGTCAGGTCCTTTAAATTCTCATCATCACCTTGTGTGGTAAATCTCCATCTTACAGATGAGAAAACTAAGGTTCACTTAAATTAAGTGACTTGCCAAAGGTCTCACAGCAACTTGTATCAACTCTAGGTAGTCAACCTTCAGAGACCATGTACTTACTACAGTATGTATATATGTCTTGACTGAACAGACAAATGATCTACAGTTACAGACAACGCATCCTGAAAAGGACCTATGGCTGCACATACGCTACACTGGTTCCTCTTTACACCTAACTCAATGGTTGTCTTTTCCTGATGACGCTGATATACCCAAATGGCTTTCCAGGACCACTGTTTCTGTCACACCACCCCTAGCTGAGAAAACAGTTAAGACTCTAACCTGGACTTCCAGCCTGTGGTATGGCTCCTCCAGGTTTGGGCAGAAGTCTGCCCCCAGCACTCTGCCAGTACATGCCAATGGAACCTGAGGGAATACAGCCACGTTAGATGCTGTGTATGGAGGCTGCTGAGAACTGCACACAGTCACACTTGACCCAGGCAGAGAGAGGAAATCCCAACTGCGGGTCTCTAACAGGTCATCATGGCTTGACATGTATGTGACACTTAGTATGTCAAATATATAGTGAATACCATGTAACAAAGTTTATTAACTACCAGAAGGTAAATTCCAAGAAGAAAAAAGCAACATAAATTTTGTTCCTCCTTGTATTCACAGCAGGTAGCACACAGTAGGCACCTAATAAATAGCCACGGACAGGAGGAGGGAGACAGAAGGAAGGAAATGCAGGGATGGGAAAAGACTAAAATAGATAATTTCTGTTTCACATTGGTGACATAAATTTTTTCTTTTCCTCTTTCCTTTAATTTTCTTATGTAGGAATTTAAAAAAAAATACATTCAACAATGCCTAAGTTCCTTTACGTTCTTAAAATATTTGTTCAAATTTATTTTTCCTGTTCCTGGTGTAGGCTAGCACAGGCAGACTTCTATTTATCAATATTTATTATTAATAGTTACTCATTTAAACATGTTATCTTTAAGCTTAAAAACCTTGTTTTATGTATCTGTCCTAATAATAAAAAAACAAGGTTAAAACTTAATGAATGTTTCTCTATATCTAAAATTCTAAACTGAAAGCCACTAAGATCCCTTTTTAAAACTAAGCTATTATAATTAGTCAATATCATCCCTAAATACTGCCTACTGTCCCTTGCTTATTTCATTTCAGATTTTTTTAAGATTAAACAAGGTTTTAGATTCCACCTAAACATGTTTTCTGCTTTTTAAAAATTTCTAATTGTTCCTCATTATTTCCATACTTATACTACTCACACTAATCATATATCTGTCTATATGTCTCTAAACTCAATACATCAACTAAGCATCATCTCACCTTTGTCTTCTTTCCCTATCAAAGCACTCCTCTGTTTTGTTTTCTTTGACTTTTTTAAAACTCCAATTAAGATCATCTGTGCTAATCAATTTGCTTTGTTCAGACATCAGTTTTCAGCCATGCATGCTAGCTTAAAAGGTGCTTCCCTCTTTCTTTTCACCCAAAAATCAGTACAATCGTCCAAACTTAAACAACGTTCAGTATACTCCACTTTGCAAGTTCACTAGTGAATATCACTGGAAAGAAAAGAAAAATAAAAGGTACTCGGTCAACGCTTCAAACATTTTTAGGTCCAGTTCTCTCATTCTTTTCAAGTCTTTTATTCTTCTTTACTAGGCTCATAAGGTGAAATGGACAGAGTGTCATCTGTCTTTGAAGTTTACAACCACTCTTTACCCAAGAGTTTCACACGTGCAGGCCAATGCGCGAGTCACTATGTGGGGAATCTTACGTGTAGATTAACCCTCATTTTCCTCTCAACACTCTTACGGAGTATGAGCATCTCCAGTCTACAAACGAAAAAACTGAGGCTTAGAGTAGGTAAATAACTAGCTCAGAGTCACATGTTATTAGGTTGTAAAACCTGGATTCAAACTTAAGACATGAGAAAGAAAAGAAAGGTTGAGAATACATTTCCAAGAATTTAATTTTAAAAAAAAATGTAATAACTACATTTAGTGGCATCCATTCTAGAGGTATTTGTTGATGTTTCATATGAAAGAAATTACAAAGAAGACAACAAAGGAAAAAGGCGCTAACCGAAATCAAGACCTGCTACCTGCTCCTTGGTCTAGGACAACATAAGTAACAAAAAAGGGAATTTATCCTCTTAACTGAGGAATAAGAAAGAAATGCAGCAGGGAGAAGAGCGGGGGCACTGTGCATTTGTGTTGTGTCACACATAGAAATAATGCTCATTCTACCCCTCAGCTGACATATGGAAGGCCACTAATGAGTTCTGCAACAGTAATTCTCCCCAGGGAGCAATAGAAGGGAAAAGAAAAAAATTAACCTGAGAATATTCCAAATCAAAATGAATCCCCCCAAAACCTTATTATAAAACCTCAATAAATGGGACTTAACTAAGGCAGATTCAGTAAGCCATATATTGCAAATTAAGTGTAAACCTCACCCGATCTCACATACACAAAACAAATTGCTACTTACCTTAAGATTATTTGACCACGTCACAAACACTAAGTTTCTAGTTCTTTTTATCTTCACAGTCACAGAATGCACTTTATAAACATTCTCAAGAGGGAAGGAGAAAGTTAAACAACTAAAATTACATGCAATTACAACTTGAGACACTTAGAAATACACTGTTTCTAAGAGAAAACATAAAGGTCTGTGAGTAAGTTGGGAGGAAATGGTGGCAAACTACCAGTATGTTTCAACAATCATAATCACAAAAAGGAACTAGTAGGGAAGTGGGTACATTTTCAAACTTAGAGTGCTAGGATTTCTGAGCAGAAAAATATATCCATAAGAATCTTTGAAAGTTGACTCCCATATTCTAAAAAATGAGGGATAAGAGATTCAAATCAAAATTGGTTCACAAAGTTCACTGAACGGTTCATGGTCTAAAAATACACCACACTCTCACCCCATCCACCACAATCAGCGTCATCAGTTAGGGAAATCTTTCAACACGGAAAGGCAAACCATATCTCTTTCTGAATTCATCAAAATGTACTAAGGAAGATACAAAAGAGATAAAAGCTGATAACCTAATTAGTTGTAATTTAGCACATCTCATTCCACCTTTTGATTTAGAAGCCTCAGAAGTTAGCCAGCCACAAGCAATCAAAAAATGATTGAAGAAAAATCAGATATCAATTGTCTAACCCCTTATTATTAGTCTATTGTAAATTAGGATAATAAAATATGGGGTGTGCCTAACCATTATTTAATATAAATTTTAAACTGATTTGGGGAATTCCGTTTTATCCACTTTTCCTCTGTGCTAACACCTAGTGCCTGTTTTAATGACATACTTGACATACTATATAGTACAAAGTTCTACAAAGATTTTCCAAAATGTTCACAGTGATTAAGATTATAGGTACTTAACTTTTATTCTTTTTGTATGATTGTATATGTTGCTTTAAAAGTAATAAAATCATTTAACTTAAAAACAAAAAAAAATGGTGAACTGTTCAGCTAATATTTCTAAACATTATGCCACAGGTTTAATTATGGAATAACTGCCTACAACTGATGTAAATTTCATTATCTTAGTACTGTAACAGGAGGTCAGAGGCCTTGAAAGGGACCCTCTGAAATCCCCAGGGCAAGTGGAGGCTGAGTACATATCTACTCTCCTGTATATACATACCTTGAAGGAATCATGGTGTGTGAGAGAGCTATTTACAACTTACTTTGTGTATAATCAGCAGAAACAAAAGATATGACAAGTATAAAGGCCTCTCTCTCTCCCCTCAGGAGAATTCAACAAGGGAGGGCCAGTGGGCATTCACTTCGGTGTCAAAAGGGCTTCCAGAAAACATATTTTCTGTGGGGCAGGGAGGAAATATGGCAGGCTTCCTACACACATAACCACACACACACACACATACACACACTCTTTGTTTACTGAGATCACAAAAAAAAAAAAAAAAAAAAAAAATGTTAGGGACCAGACTTCTGAAAAGAAGACATAAAAAGCTCCAGGTTGTAAATGGGAGCTACCGTTGAAAATATTTGAAGATGAATGGCTGTGAAAAATGGGTGGCAGAAAGGGGACAAAGGAAAAAAGAGAAAAGTCACAGAAATGATAACTTGAGAGAAGAGTCATGTTACGATGAAAAGGGCTCGTAGTCAGGGATGCCCCCTGCAGAGCCAGGGTCCACTTGAAATTTCCATTTTACTTTTAAATATTAAACACGCAGGTAGGCATCTGCCTGATAGACACTATGAAAGTCACAGCCTAAATAAACAAACTAACTTCCATGTGAGCTCCAGTCTCCTCAGTCAAGCTGGCCCCAAGCCCAGATCAGTTCTGAAGTGTATGTGTTTTGGTGGCTTCAGTCTGGCAGTGTTGAAGGGACAAAGACCTTGGAAAAGAATGATATACAATGTAAGTTTAAAAAAAAAAAAAGAGGGAGAGAGATAAACAGAAATAAAGCCCCATCAGAGTGCTCCTCAGAGACATGGCTAGGTACAAGCACTGCCGGATTCCAAGCCAAAAGGAAGACCCAATAGCACTCCAGCCTAATTTCAGTGGTTATACAATGCCAAGCGGCAAGAGGAAAAATCACTCAGATAACACAAAGAGTTCAGGAAGACCATCAAGTGAAATAGATTTGACAATAAGCTCACCAGGAGTCCCTGTGAGAAAGAGCAGATAAAGAAATAAACAAATTATCCAACACTGTAAAGATGAAGATGCACGCTAAACACACTGCTGCAAAATAAATGAATACAAAAGCAGAAACACAGGAAGGTGAGCTACGTGGCAGAGTATGCAGTTAAATTATATCTCCATTTTTCAGCCTACAATTTAACTAGGAGACAAAATTCTGGGCCTAAACTTTCTCTACCATGGGACCCCAGACTAAGACTCAGAAGGACCAAGAATATAGAACCTAAGGGCGAAGAAGGAACCCACTGCTCACTGATCAGAAAGCAACTGGTAAATCAAAACAGAGTCAAATTGGATGTGGTGGATCACACATGTAATCCTAGCACTTAGGGAGGTCAAGGCAGGAGACCAGGAGTTCTAGACCAGCCTGGGCAACACAGAGAGAAAAGTAATAATGAAAGAAAAATTAGCTGGGTGTGGTGACATGTGCCTGTAATCCTAGGAGGATTACTTAAGCCCAAGAGTTCAAAGTTAAAAGGAGCCGTGAGTGTGCCACTGCACTCCAGGCTGGGTGACAGAGTGAAACCCTGTCTCAAATATATACATACATACATACATACATACTAACGACACAGTATTTATTATCCAGCCTGAGTGACAGAGTGAAACCCTGTTTCAAATAAATAAATACAACACAGTACTTATCCATTTTCAAGGATGGAATGACCAGAAATACATTCATTGTTATAGAGTCAGATAAGGCAGAGTTGTATCAATAGGAACATGATAAGGATGGGAGATATTTTATAGGAGAAGAACTGGATAGGACAGATGCCAGTGCCTGAAGGAGACACAGATCTCCTCTGGAGTCATCTCAGAGCAATGAACTATAGGATCAGCATAAGATAAAAGAAAATGGAAAAGAGTCAATCAGTATGTGATTCTGTTATGCAACAGGTTGAAAGACACAGAAGGTGACGGAGGTGGGGGGATGCCAGGGTGCGGGGTGGAGCAGGCACAATGTCCTCACAGCCACCAGGAGCTATTTCACTAAGGTTCACTCTTGCTCTTCCCTCAGGAGCTGATCCTCTGGGGTGAGCTGCCAAAGAACAGTGCCCTGGGCTCTGTGATAGGAGCAACCTCTGCAGGTACAATTACAGGAGATTTTTCACAGCCACAAACAACAACAGAAATACCTTGTTTTTATACTGTGAAATATGGGATAAAAGGTAAAAATCTCTCTTCCCTGGTGACACCCTGAGGAGCCTAATGGACCACGAATAATGCTAAAATTACATAGAATCTTTCTTCCAGAGTGCTCAAAGGGCTTTACACGTAATATTTATTAATTCCCACATCAGACAAGTAAGGAAGGGGAGAAATTTCCATTGTACTCCTTTTACTTCTAAATGAGAAAACTGAGACCTATCACTATGGTCTCCCTCTACATTTGATAAAAATGGATAGAAGTGAAATTAAGACAAAGTTCTCTCAATGACTTCGCTAGTGCTTTACTCGAAAAACATCCTACTATTGGACAGATTTCACGTACTTCCTGCAATTCTTGCTTTACCTGGGTTTTAGCATTGGAGAAAATGAGAATGAAGTCACTTGTACCAGATCCACGGATGGGTATGGGTTCTTTTTTTTTTTTTTTTTTTTTTTGAAACAGAGTCTCATTCTGTCACCCAGGCTGGAACGCAGTGGTGCGATCTTGGCTCACTGAAAGCTGTGCCTCCTGGGTTCAAGCGATTCTTCTGCCTCAGCCTCCCGAGTAGCTGGGACTACAAGCACCCACCACCACGCCCAGCTAATTTTTTGTATTTTTAATAGAGATGGGGTTTCACCACGTTAGCCAGGATGGTCTCGATCTCCTGACCTCATGATATGCCCGCCTCGGCCTCCCACAGTGCTGGGATTACAGGCATGAGCCACTGTGCCCAGCCATTTTTTTTTTTTTTTTTTAAAGATGGAGTCTCACTCTGTCACCCAGGCTGGAGTGCAGTGGCGCAATCTCAGCTCACTGCAACCTCTGCCTCCCGGGTTCAAGTGATTCTCCTGCCTCATTCTCCCGAGTAGCTGGGATTACAGGTGCCTGCCACCATGCCTGGCTAATTTTTGTACTTTTAGTAGAGATGGGGTTTCTCCATGCTGGCCAGGCTGGTCTTGAACTCCTGACCTAAAGTGATCTGCCCACCTTGGCCTCCCAAAGTGCTGGGATTACAGGCGTGAGCCACTGCACCCGGCGGGTTCTTATATTTAAGAAAAAAAGGTACAGAATTCTATTATTCTATTGGTTTGCAATCATTCTTGTAATACATTATTTTGGAAATTGAACACCACAGGTTGTTGCTTATGGGCAAATACATTGTCAACTCTGACAACTGACATTAAATGCAATTTCAAGTATGCCACACCCAGGTTAACTTACTTTCTATCCTCAACACTCAACTCCAGCTATCTTAAAGACAGGTAATACTGAAAGAGTTCTAGCTTTGCAATTAGATCTCTGTTTAAATCTCTACCGCAATATCTTGTAAAGTTGCTCAGTTACGTATCTCCGAGCCTTGTTTCCTGCACCTGTAAAATGAGGATACTTATATTTATTGTGCAGGGTTGGCAAGGTTGAATGAGATGACACATGTAAAGCACCTAAGGATTCAGTAGGTACACAGTATATCTGTAAATGGTACTCTGCCCCCAGCCCACAAAAGCAGCACCACAGCATACCAATCCAATGAAGGCTGAGAACTTTGAGACCACGATGGAAGCCGCATAGGGGAAAGGAAAGCAAGCCACAAGGGTCAAAGGAATATTATAAGCAACTGGGGAAACTAAAAAGAGACAGAGTCACTTGGTCTCACTTAGGGACCAAGGGCCAACTCAATCATCTTTTAGAAGGCTTCCTAGAGTGATGCTGTGTTTGGAATGACCGAAAAGATCGCTGTCAGCTCAGAGGGACTTAGTGTTAAAGACTTCACTGGGTGCTGGGCGTCGTGGCTCATGCCTGTAATTCCAGCACTTTGGGGGGCCAAGGTGGGTGGATTACCTGAGGTCAGGAATTCGACACTAGCCTGGCCGACATGGAGAAACTCCGTCTCTACTAAAAATACAAAAATTAGCTGGGCATGGTGGCGGGCACCTGTAATCCCAGCTACTTGGGAGGCTGAGGCAGGAGAATCGCTTGAACCTGGGAGGCAGAGGTTGCAGTGAGCCGAGATCTCACCACTGCACTCCAGCCTGGGCAACACAGTAAGACAGTCTCAAAAAAAAAAAAAAAAAAAAAAGACTTCACTGGGGGATGAGGGGGTGAGAGTGGCAAGAAGCAGCATATCTGCCCCTCCTGCAACCAACCGTTTCACAATTAAAATATAAGGTAATTTTCTGAGTTCTCTTATGCTAGCAGCCTGGCCTATAAATTATTAAAAAGTAAAGAGTTTCCAGAGAACGTGCATGAATAAAATCTGAAGAACCCAACCCTCTGGGGGTGGGCAGCACACTGACAGACAAGACCAATAGTCTCGGTCAGTGCCCAAGGCATGCTTCTTGGCCAAAGATTATTGTGATCATCACCTGAGAGCATGTCTGAAACTCATTTGCATGCCCCACCTGAGACCCACTGTGACAGAAACTGGAGGTGGAGTCCCTCACCTGTGTTTACAAGCCCTCCACGTGATGCTGATGAGCATTAAAGTTTGAGGCTCCCTAGCCCATGTAAACTAGAAAACCAAAAAGGAACCATAAGACAAAAGCTCTACAGATCATAACTTAGTTTTAGAAAAGATATAACTTAAAACAATGGAGAGAAAGAAGAAGGAGCATACACCAAGGCATAAAATTCTTATCTCCCAACATCTCACTCTGTAAAGAAAAGAAAGGAAGCCAGGAAAGGAAAAGCTTACGAGAAAAAGCCAAAATGAGCAAGCAGCTTGAGCAGTGGTAAGGCCAACTCCACATCTGCTGCAAACATTAGAAAGAAATTATGTGGGGACAGACATTAACTGTAGCATTTACATGAAAAGCACTTTAAAATGATCCAGGTCAACTTGAACTCAGCCATTGGGTTTGCTCCACTCAGCTTCTCTACCTATCTTTCCGCGGCAATCAAGAGTGAAGATGTATTTACCTCTAATGAGGAAAGAGACTGCCTTCAAGTAATCACCATCAAGCTATTGAATGCTTTATTTTGGGGGGAGGGTGTGGCATTTTTTTAGAAAAGAGTTTACTTAGGAAGAAAATACATCCGTCTGAGTTGCTCTTACTTCATCAGAGGCACAAAAATGGAACAAATTGAAAGGGTTTCCTCCCTTGCTAAACAACACCAAAGGGAAAAAGGGTGATTGAAAAACTTATGTGAAAAAAGCAGAATAGTGAATTTGAATGAAATAGGATAGAAGAATATGTTGTGGCATCAGAAAGGGAAAGAGCAAATATTAGTTCCCAAAAATTCAACTTCACAAACTACTCATTGAACCACCTACATTAAACCAATTATGATTTTAAAAAAAAGTTTCAGTAGCATACACAGTTTAAGAGACAAATACAACAGGCATTTACTACTAGAGTAAATGCACAGTGGTTGGCTAGAGATGCAAATTACTCTGGACTAGCACCTTGGCCCATTTGACATGAGTTAGACTTACTATGAAGACTGAGCCTGAAGGAAGGCCACAGATGGTACCAACAGACCAGAGGAATTCCGGCTGCTCTAAACAGGGGAGCCAGGGGAGCCTTTACCTTCTGCCAAGGCTCATAATGTAGCATGTCGAAGATCAATGAATCAACACGGTTTTCTTTGCATGCAAAGCTTGAACATAGGTAATGTTAAAAGAAGAAAGGAAATGAGAAAGCAGATTCAGTCCTGCTGTTCCATACAGGAAAAATTTTCCCAAGTCAAACATAAGTCATACTGTATACTACACAATCCCCCCTCCAAGCCTGCTGAGGACCCCAGACTAAAAAGAGAAAAATGTGCAAACGCATACAAAGTTGATTTCTAAGGGATACCCCCCCACCCCCATCCCAAATGCATGGATCTCAACTGGGGTGAGAACTAGGGGAGATGAAAAGCTGTAGTAGTCTGTATCAGACAGGTAAAAAGTGAATGTAAACCCGTCCTACCAGTAACATCTTTGTTACTAAGGTTCTCAGGAAGTGGAGAGAAGATAAAGTCAAAGGGAGTTATATTTTCCTTGGGAATCTTATGAAAATATTTTTTCCCCAAACTGAACATACTTTACCCCTGAAACCTAGTAGCTTTAGAAGCTAAGAAGAGAAGCTTAGTGGACAACAGAATGCTTTATAAATGGTAAAATACATGAGAGTTTCTTTTTTGCTTTTCTTTTGGTATTAGTTGCCTCACAAAAAGACAGAGCTACTTACGTAATTGACTTACCCAATGGTAAGTAATACTTAAAATAATACCATTTTCTTTTTCTTTATTTTTATTTTTGAGACAGGGTCTTGCTCTGTCACCCAGACTGGGATGCAGTGATGTGCATTTGTGACTCGCTGCAACCTTAAACTCCTAGACTTTCCTTTCAGTTTACTTCTGAATATCTCTAGAACATGACTCCAACTAAAGCAACCTTCTAGAAGGGGGAAAATACCCACGTGCCCTGCAATTTAGCTGAGAAGTGATTCTTTTTAGCTAAATTTTTTTCTTTTTCTTTCTTTTTTTTTTTTTTTTTTGATAAAAATGGGGGTCTTGCTAAGTTACCCAGGCTGGTCTTGAACTCCTGGCCTCAAGTGATCCTCCTGCTGCGGCCTCCCAAAGTACTGGGATTACAGGCATGAGCCACATCATGTGGCCGCATTTTCTCTCTTACACGCATTCTCGTTAAGTGACGTGAAGCTCTTCTCAAGTCTCATCTGTCACGTACCTCTGTGTGAACAGGGCTCCCAAATCCCTAATCCTTACCTCTCATGTGAATTTCAGTCCTGCATTTTCAAACTCTCACTAGATTTTTCTAAGTGTCCAGTTAACATCTCGAGCTAAACAAGCAAATAGGTTCACTGGTCTCCTTTCTTTACTACAGCTTTCCCTGGATTTTTCTATATTTTTCAATGTTATTACCATAAGCCCATTAACAAAGACTCAGAACCATACATCATTATTAAAAGGCTTCTCCTTATTTCCTGAACCCAGTCAGTTCTGATAGCCTGTCCATTCTGCCCTTTCAATCCCCTCAGCTGTCCCCCACACACTTTCCAGAATAATTCTAACAAGTACATGCTCAGACCTCTGCAATAACCCTTTAGCAATAATCCTGACTTTATCATTCCATACTTGCCAACTAGTGCTATACACCACCCCTCCAATTGTCGAACACATTCTCCTAGATCATGTTTATAGCTCCCCACCAATTACCAATTACAGTTCTTTCCAGGCCCTCTACAATCTAGCTCTAACCTGCCTTTCCAGCTTTATCTTCTCCTCCTTCTTCATGAAAAATGCTTGATAGACACTCTAATTAGAATATTTTATGTCTCTTGCATACTGATTTGGACTTTCCTAACCTGAAATAGTTCTCATGCTGCTCTTTTTGGAATACCCTCGCCTGTATTCTCCCTTTGAAAATGTCCCTATTTCCTGATGCCACTTCTTCCATGAAATTTCCTGATACCTTTGGATGAAAGGGATCTCATCGTCCCAAGTGCTCTATGTTCCTTAGGGCTCTAAGCACCACATGACCTTGAACCTTAAAAACATGTTTTTCTCTCCTTAGGATCAAGAACTAACTTATTTCTCTTTGTATTTCCCAATAGCACTTGCCATACTGCTTTACACATAGCAGATAGTCAACAAATACATACTGAATAATAAATAAATATCTTAAAATTCATAAGGGCACCAGTGACACAATGTTACAAATAGAGTGATTTTAACTATTTCATTATTCCAGCAGATCCTCAACAAATACCCGTAAGGCAAGTAGAGGCCAATAATTCCTGTTTTATAGAAACTCAAGATGCAAAAAGGTTATTATTTATGCACAGAGCATTTTTTCAAGTATAATTTAGCCTATTAAGGTTCAGTAACTAACTCAATGTCACCCTGTTGATCTGTGGTATATTTCTGCTGAAATGATTCTTCTCCTCTTATTGGACTTTCCTTTCAGCTTACTTCTGAATATCTCTAGAACATGACTCCAACTAAGCAACCTTCTAGAAAGGGGGAAATACCCATCTGCCCTGCAATATAAATTAAAGAGTGTGCCGTGCACGGTGGCTCATGCCTGTAATCCCAGCACTTTGGGAGGCTGAGGCGGGTGGATCACGAGGTCAGGATTTCGAGACCAGCCTAGCTAATATGGTGAAACCCTGTCTCTACTACACTACAAAAATTAGCTGGGCGTGGTGGCACGTGCCCGTAGTCCCAGCTACTCAGGAGGCTGAGGCAGGAGAATCGCTTGAACCAGGTAGTGAGCCGAGATTGCGCCACTGAACTCCAACCTAGGTGACAGAGCGAGACTCCACCTCAAAATATACAAAAATAAAATTAATTAATTAATTAAAGAGGTCGTTCCTTGCCCAACAAGTTGTCAACATATGCTGAAATCTAAAGTATACGATGTGGCAGGGCACGGTGGCTCACGCCTGTAATTCTAGCACTTTGGGAGGCTGAGGCAGGTGGACTGCTTGAGGCCAGGAGATCAAGACCAGCCTGGCCAACATAGCAAAACCCCATCTCTACTAAAATATTTTAAAAGGCTGGGTATGGTGGCACATGCCTGTAATCCCAGCTAGTTGGGAGGCTAAGAGGCACAAGAATTGCTTAAACCTGGGAGATGGAGGTGGCAGTGAGCCGAGATTGCCACTGCACTCCAGCCTAAGCAACAAGTGAGACTCGATTTCCAAAAAAAAAAAAAAAGTATAGAATGATAAAAATATATACTGGTATATATAACCTCTTAGTTTAAAATTTACTAGGCTTCAGGAGTAGGAGCTGGTATGAGAAGCTCCTTTAATAAGTTCTTTAAAATTAAGTATTGATTGCCACGTACCTGGAAAGAAAGTCAGTCATCAGCCCATTACATTGCCCTGAGATAGGAACACATTTCTAAGAAACTGTAAAAGCAGTTTACAGCAAACTAGGGATAAATTTTCATCCCAAATTAGTTTCTACTTAGTTTCAAGTCCAGGGTAGGCAAACAAGCCTGTGGGCCAAATGCTATCCTGCTGCCTACTTTTGTAAATAAAGTTTTATTGAAATAGAGCCCTGCCTATTCCTTTACATACACAGGGGCTTGGTCCTACAAAAACTTCAATAATTGCTACAGAAACCATACATCTACCTATTTACCATCTAGCCCTGCACAGAACAGATTTGCCAATCTCTCTCTTAAGCTGTGCAAAATTATGCTGCCTTCCCTAGCAGTATCACATCTGTCTTCACCTTTAGGAAATAAGCATACAAGGGCAAGCAAGGATGTTCATATTTAAGCACTACTGTTTATTAAAAAAAAAAAATCCACAAACCAAGAACTCATTAAATAAACTATGATACAATGGCAAGCTAAGAATCCATTAAAAGTCATGATGAGGGCCGGGCGCGGTGGCTCACGCCTGTAATCCCAGCACTTTGGGAAGCTGAGGCGGGAGGATCACCTGAGGTCAGGAGTTAGAGATCAGCCTGACCAACATGGAGAAACCCCATCTCTACTAAAAGTACAAAAAAATTAGCTGGGCGTGGTGGCGCATGCCTGTAATCCCAGATACTCGGGAGGCTGAGGCAGGAGAATCGCTTGAACCCGGGGAAACAGAGGTTGCGGTGAGCCAAGATGGCGCCACCGCACTCCAGCCTGGGCAACAAGAGCAAAACTCCATCTCAAAAAAAAAAGCCATGATGAATACCTATATTTACGGACATGGAAAGATACTTAGGATAACAATGCATTTTTTAAAAGTCACATATACATGTAACATCATCCCTTTATGAAACTACCACCTATTCATACATTGGTAGGTACTTGTAAATGAAGAAAGACGACTAAAAATACATTAACAGTTCCTTGGTGATAGCCCTTCAGGCAGTTTTCTCTCTTTGAGGTTTTCTTAATCAGATCTGCCCTATGAACACATATCCTTTTGTACAGAAGTTGTATTTAAAAGTTTTAAAACTATTAAAAATTAATATCAGTATGCAAACTTTAGATTCTACATTTTATAAAGCACTGGGTTTTCCAGAAAGCTAAGATGGTATTTTTAAGTTACTTTTGGTTTGGGTAGTGATTTTGTTGTTGCTGTTCTGTTTTTGTTTTTGTTTTTGTTTTGTCCTTTCCCTTTGTTTTAAAAACAGAAAGGCTATAAGGCTTACCAGTAACCTGCACATCTACAAACTGTCATCCCCACTATATGTGGCAACCTAAATAATGCAACAAAAAAGTCCCTTATAGAAGCATGCATGGGTTAGGAGGAGGAAGACAGGCCAACAGAATAGTCCCTTGATGGAAATGTATTAATTCAATCAGTGCCTTGCTTCTGGGTTACCATAAAAAGGTTCATAAAGTACCCAAAAGCCACATAAGATTTTAGAATTATGCTGCTCAGTGACTGATTCTCAGTGAAGAGTAAGAAAGAAGAGATTTCTCTCCACCCTCATTTTCTTCTGCAAAAGTAAGACTTCTGCAAGAGTGACACAAGTATTTTTTAAACTAGTAATTGAAAAGGCCAAGTATGTACATGATGCAAGTATAAAGAACACTGTGGCACTGTTGATAAACAGATACCAAGTGCAAACTGCATAAGACTAGCAATCTACAATAGTAACAGACAGAAGAAGAAATTGGTCTAACTAACCCTCTCTGTGCCAGAATTCACAGGCATCATTTACTTCTAAGCCCCATTTTATAAATGAAGCAACTAAGATTCAAAGAGGTTATATAACTTTTACAAAGTCACATAGGAAAGAGATCAGTTCAAATGCAGGTAAATCTAGCTAAAAAGTCTGGACTCTTCTCACTATATTCATGAAAGAGACATATTTCTAATAAAGAGCTACATAAATTCCCAATGTAAATTTATCTGGTGAGAAAACCTGTAATTTCTGGTTTATAAAGATATTACAGAATTATCATGGCAGTTAATTTGTTTTACAAGCAATTTATTTAAAATAGTGATTTTGACATTATTTTCCCAGTTAAGTTGATCCACTTTATCTTCTCCATCCTTATGTTTACACATATATGCCTGTATGATATGTATATGTCTTTAATAGATATGCTATAATGTGATATACAGCACCCAAACTTTAACCTTCAAAATGAAGTAGAGTCTGTAGACACAGACTTCAGTTAGACATAAAACTGTGACTTAGTTTTTTCAGACTCGTTCCATAGTAAAATTACTTCATTGCTATGGATGAAACAAAATTTATACCCTGAAAATTAACATTTACAATGAGGCCAAACATGGTTGCTCATGCCTATAATCCCAGCGCTTTGGGAAGCCGAGGGAGGAGGACTGCTTGAGGTCTTGATAGCAAGACCCCATATCTACAAAAAATTAGCCAGGCTTGGTGTAGCACAACTATAGTCCCAGCTATTCTGGAGGCTGAGGATCACGTGAGCCCAGGAATTGGAGGCTGCAGTGAGCTATGATCACACCACTGCACTCCATCCCAAGCAACAAAGCAACACCCTGTCTGTGCTGCGCAAGCTGGACTCAAAACTCCTCGGCTCAAGCAATCCTCCTGACTCAGCCTCCCAAGCAGCTGGGACTATAGGTGCGTGCCAGCAACCTGGCTTGTAATTTTTTTTGCGGTGGTATTTACCCCACAGTCTTTCATAAGCTTTTAAAATTATACTGATTAGCAGTCAGGTGCAGTGGCTCATGCCTGTAATCCCAGCCCTTTGGGAGGCTGATGCAGATGGATCACCTGAAGTCCAGAGTTCGAAACCAGCCTGGCTAACATGGTGAAACCCCATCCCTGCTAAAAATACAAAAGAAAAAAATTAACTGAGCGTGGTGGCACACACCTGTAATCGCGGTTATTTGGGAGGCTGAGACATGAGACTTTCTTGAACCTGAGATCGGGCCCCTGCACTCTAGCCAGACTCTGTCTCAAGAATAAATAAATAAATAATAAATAAAATTATACTGATTAGCTTTTCCTGTGAATTCCACATAATAACATCGCCAAGCACAAGATAAACAAAACCTTCAAGTCCCAGATGGGGAAACTGAAGAGTTGCACTAGGCCCCATTTTCTGGGGTGTGGAGGTATTAGGCTAAGGCTTTCTCATCAAGTATTCCAGGGATCCCTAGGAGAGGCTTAAAAGATGGGACTGTGGCTCTATCTCTTTTCATCTAGAACAACTCTGATTTTTATCAGTTCTACATACTGACTTCCTCATAAAATTTAATTTGAAAGGAAATAAAACCAGTGGTTTCTACAACTAACTTTCTTTTTTCTTTTTAAATAGCTAGCTTAAATGATATATGAAGAATGCAGCAAGGGGGAAAGCAAGGGATTTGGAATCAACTTTGCTGGATTACACATGTTAGGCCTTGATTTCTTCATCTGTAAAATGAAAATATGGGTACCTTCCATGAATGCTTTTGTAAGCATAAATAAGATATCATGACTAGCATCCCTAGCACACTATGTGTGCTAAAAGGTAGCAATAAAGTTATTAGTTAACAATTTTCATTTTTTTATGCTTACTAACAAGCCAAAGTAAACACTAAGTCAAATATTTATTTTAGATCTTAAGATGCAGTATGTTCAAACTTTGGCAGGCTAAAAGAAGTTAGATGTTAAGCAAAATAGCAATACTAAATAAAGACCATCTACAGGCAGGCGTGGTGGCTCACACCTGTAATCCCAGCACTTTGGAAGGCTGAGGGGGGCAGATCGTTTTAGGCCAGGAGTTCAAGACTAGCCTGGCCAACAAGGTGAAACCCCGTCTCTACTGAAAATACAAAAATTAGCCAGGCGTGGTGGCAGGCACCTGTAATCCAAGCTACTCAGCAGGCTGAGGCAGGAGAATCACTTGAACCCGGGAGGCGGAGGCTGCAGTGAGCCAAGATCATGCCATTGCACTCCAGCCTGGGTGACAGAACGAGACTCTCCAAAAAAAAAAAAAAAAAAAGACCAACCACAATAATATTAATGTACTTCACATGGGAACACAATTATTTTTTATGAAAACATAATCCTGGGCTAAAAAACAATAAAAAGAAGCACATTATTTTGCTCAACAAATAGTTCCTAAGTCCTTAACTACCCTTTAGGCATTCTGCAAGATTCTAAATGAAGATAAAGTATTGCCCAGATACATGTATGTTGACTGCTGCTGTTTTGTTTAATTCTACAGAGGTGTAAACACTCGAAGCTTTAGTGTGGTCTTAGTTCCATGATTATAAGTAGATTTTCACAAAACCAGGGACAGACGCTGGAGTCTAACTTGCAAAATCAAGTTTCAAGATCCACTATCAAATGCTAATGACTATAAGGCAGGAAGCTTTAATTCAAGCAAATGATTAGAAAAGATTATACAAAAGTAAACAGGATCCAACAGAATCGGCCAACTTTACTTGTAAACTACCTGTACCAAAACTGGTAACACAGAAATGATAGCATCACTCTGACATCCACAAAGATCAACCTAATGAAAATTTTGCAGAGTGGTAAAAATGTAGACTAATAAATAACGCCAGAGTTTCTTTACTTAAAAAAAAAAAAAAAAAAGACATCTGCTGATGGCCTAATATCGCCTTTCCTAGAGATAAATGAAGAACCTAAAACATTTTATTTAAACTTATTCCCCTACCATCCTACACTACTATTTCCAAAAATTCAAGCTTCCCAAGGGATAAAAACTGGAGAATAAGCCACAGAGCAGGTCAAAGGAGGATGACCTAAGGTTTATTAAGTATCTACTATGTACTGGAACTTCAAGTGTGTTGTCTCATTTCATTTTCCTGACAATCTGTAAGCTAAATGTCCTTTTCCCCATTTTAAAAGCAAAGAAAATAAAGGTCAGGGATAAAGTCACTTATCCAAAGTCACAAAGCTAACATGTAGCAGCATTAGAATCTGAAACAACACCCATTTTTTCACTATTCCACGAAGTTTCCAAAGCCAAACAAGTGTGCCTGGCACAATGGGAACAGGAAAACACTAAAAGAACAAGTGATGATATTTTTTAAGAAAATTTTACTTTTATGCGGAGAAGATTCCTAAATCAGCTGAAATTTTCTTATTAGAGAGATGTGATACTGGAGTAATTCCACTCTTCCCCTCTTGGATTATGAAAGGAAACTTTTAATAAATCAAATTGGAAAGGGCTGAACACAACTACAACATCCTTTTCACAGTTTAAAAAAAGTGCTTCTATCACTAGGAAAAGAAATATAACTTCAGATAATCTAAATGTTAATTGACAGATTTTTCTCCTAAATTTGGCAACATTAACTACTTTTTCTAGTATTTAAATAAAATAATTAACTTTAAAATTGGCTGTTAAGTAAAAGAAATAAAAATCCAGCACAGAGCAATATTCTCCGGAAAAATCACATTTTAAAATGTACAACTAAAAAACAAATCACTAAAAAAACTATCATCATGTTACTAGACCAAATAGAACAAAAAGAAATAATTATTGAAGTGGGTATTCTCTAGAATATAAGAAAAAAATATCTAATGAATTCACCTAAAATTTGAAGTGCCCAGCCCATAAACACAGCTTGATTTTCCTATGGAGCTGATCGCTTATTGGTGTAAGACTTCCTATAAATAATGTCAATATATATGTTTAAGAAGAACAAGCCATCATACAAACACCATTAGTCAGATTAAACTCAGGGGTCTATCTTGACAAAATCATTGTTTTATAAGATATATATAACATGTACTTAAAACTCTATAAATAGGGCACACGGGTCCACTCATAGTTTACTTTTCTGTGCTATATTCTTGAGTTGAATTTTTGTTACATGACTTTCTGACTGATAATGTATCAATGGAAAAGTAACTTAGCAGCTCTCCAAGTTTTTTCTTATAACTATTTGGCAGTTATTAAAATGTGCACACACTCACACACACATACAAGTATATATGTATTATTAAGGAAAAGAAAAATAACATCTGAACAGGAACATGAAAACAAAGAAAGAATTAAGGTTTGAAATTGAAGAGAAATGCAGTCCAAAAGTAAAATTCAAACTATTATTAATATATCCTTTCTTAGGTCATCTTAGGATAATACATATTTCTCCTATACATTGGGGGAAAAAATCAGACACATGAATATTTTATAAAGGCACACTGCATTATCAGAAAGCTGTTCCACACATCCACACTTTAATCTGTTATAAATTAACTTGAGTCAGTTCAAATGTTATATGTAATGCACACGATTACAACTGAAGTCAAATCATACACACCCTCAGTAACTGTAAGCCTAAAACAACTCCAACAGTGAATGAGACGGCTAGAGTTTTCCCTAAGGAAGGATAGGGGTTGGGGGCAATCTGCAAAATGGATATAACTGAGACAAATGCAAAGACTGAAAATATCCTAAAAACCTGAAGATGCTCGTGTGGTTTCACAACAAAGTCCCTTTATAAGATCCACAGCCCAAATGACTGCATCTTTCAACTGCTCCATTTCCAGAACTCCTGATTTTAAATCACACTGAAAACCTTTGGCTGCAATTGAATTAGCATGGTTGGATTTAGCCCTTCTAAATGCCAAAAAGGAAAAAAAAAAAAAAAGTACCATTCTAAAGTTTGTTTTGTTTTAAACTCGGATCTTCTGCATTCCAAAATTGTATCCCTCTGACTAATATAAACCGTTATTACAGAGAAATGGTTTTTTTTTTTAAAAAAAAAAAAAAAAGCCAGTGAAAAAGAATGAGGGAGTAGTAATGGTAACATACAGTACCATGAGCTGCAGCGGCCTCCCAGCCAGTGGTGCAAGGTTAACAGATCAGTCCTGGCCTTCGGGCAGACAGCAGAACACAGCCTTGGGGAAGGGGGGACAGGGACGGAGGCCAGGGGAGGGGGCCCGCTCTCAGGCAGTTTACACAAGAAGGCAGCTCAGCTCCTTTCTGGCGCACTCCTCCTCTCTATCTCCCAACCTCTTTGCGTGTGTCTTGTCATATTTTCTTCAGCTGTTAATTGTCCAGACTCCAAGACTTTAAACAGCCACAGTTTAGGAAAAAGCGAAACCCTTCTAAGTGACCATCACAGCAAATCAGCTTCATGCTAGTGGGTAAAATTTTCCAAGGGAAGTGTTCTTCTGATAGTTCCTGAGTCTCTAAGTCACCCCCACCCCCACCCCCACCGGCCGCCACACACACTCCCCTGGAGGGCTAAATGCACTGTGGCAATAAAACATTCATGCGACTTGGAATTTTAACACAATGCCATTTCCCTAGTTTAACCTGAAAGGAATGCACTAGTCACAACAGACTACATCATCCTGCCATTAAACCCTGCCAAGGAACCGCTTTTTTGGCCGCGCTGGGCCAGCTTTGACGGGAAAGGAGTACACAGACCCACACACTGAGCACAGAGGGGCCACCTCTGCTTCCTCAGCCTTATCCAGCAACACCCTGCTCTTGAACATGACCCCTGACCCCTTGCATTGTGACCAGCTTGTGAGGCATGTGTCACCCTGGAATTTCTGCAGAGCCACACACTGCGCAGGCCATTTGCTGCTCCCTCTCAACAGGCTCTTGGGCAGACGCCAAAGGTTCTTTCTTATTATTACTGCTACTATTGAAAGTCTTCTGTTTAAATGTAGGGATGCTTTTTCCTCGAGTTGTATGATAGTGTGGCTTGGGTTTTTTTTTCCCTCCTTTGTTTGTTTTGGACTTTTTAAAAAACAAACTTTACATTTGCATTGATAATTATGTTATTATTAATGACAAAATGATTCAGTATGGGGACTACTTATCAAAGGTGCCAGTTCTTTCACATTTAAGTGACATTCAATTTAGATTTACAAAACACCCAGAAACAATTCCTATTTCTCCAGAGAAGTTGAGAGAAAAATTCAAAGGGATTGAATCCTAAAACACCTACACTTAACCATTTTTATTTACATGCTATTATTACAAAACAAACAAGCAACAATATTAGATCAAAAAACTGGATTTACTGACTTATTGCTTGTGCAGAGAGTTCTGCCTTCCAAGCAACATAACTGACAAGCAACTATTTTAAAAAGTATGTATACCAAATGAAAAATTAAAATCATACTAAATGTTTACAAATGTTTTTATAATTTTAAAATTGTTCTCATGTAGCCCTTTATAACCAATCACAACAGTACTAATTTTTGCAAGTTAACAGAGGTCATAGTTTTGCACCCCAAAATACCCCTTTCTTCTTCTACCACTGATTCTCCTACCACTGAAGGATGTCTTCCAGATTGTCTTTTTCTGATCATTCATCTTATTAACTATCTTCATATGATGCACATTCACTTTCAATCTTGTCCAATTGTTTTATTATTCCTCTTCTCTACTGTAGTCATAGGCAATTCTAAAAAGCACAAAGTCCCCTCTTTTTGCCCTGACCTTGAGCTACAGCCAGGTGAGCTGTGATTATCCCTACAGAAGGCAGAAGGTGTTCCAGCTTTAATCTCCTGGAGTGAGGCCATGTCCCCTTTCAGTAACAAATGAAGAACATCTTACTTCATCTAAGAGAATACCCTAAAATACAAAATGATGATCTCAAAGCAGGTTAACATGCACATATAAAATAAAACCAAATTGTCTTCTTTAGAGTAATTTTTGTCTCCTTAGTAGCTGGAATTAGTCTTAAGCCCTAGTTAAAAGACTTTTTTCTTTTTCTTTCCTTTAAACAGACATTATCATGCCTTGAAAAGTCATTCTAATCCCTTCACCTTAGCCAAGCCATGCTAATTCATGAGAGGACAGCAATTAATTTTTAAAAAAAAGGAATTATACTTGACTGGGGGGAGGGGAGAATCAATCCAACTCAGAAGCAAAGGTTACCAAAACCTATGTGAAACACTTCCATTTCAAATTGCAAATGCTGAAATCAAATTGTCAGTTTAATCTATATAAAATACAGCAAGAAGGCTGGGCGCGGAGGCTCACGCCTGTAATCCCAGCACTTTGGGAGGCCGAGACGGGCGGATCACGAGGTCAGGAGATCGAGACCATCCTGGCTAACACGGTGAAACCCCGTCTCTACTAAAAATACAAAAAATTAGCCGGGCGTGATGGTGGGCGCCTGTAGTCCCAGCTAATCGGGAGGCTGAGGCAGGAGAATGGTGTGAATCCGGGAGGCGGAGCTTGCAGTGAGCTGAGATCGCGCCACTGCACTCCAGCCTGGGCAACAGAGCAAGACTCCGCCCCCCCGCCAAAAAAAAACAACAGCAATAGACATTTGATTTTTTTCAAGTAATCTGATTTATTATCAATGTGCATATTCAAATTCCAATTTTGATGTTACTAGTGTGAAGTTACTAGAGTAAAACCCAGTAAAATTGAAGGAAGAATCAAGTGATGCCGTGAGATTAAAATTACAGAGGTTAATTTCTATTTTAGTCCAAACAGATACACTTTTCTTCTTATATCAAGTTAATCAACACAGTGACACCAAAGTATCTTGGACCAATATTCAAAGGATGAACCGGGGCCTATGAAAAGAGGTCTGTGAAGTTGCACCTGCAGTACATGTAACCCTCTCCATGGTAATATATCTCCTCTGAAGACCTCTGGAACTCTGGGATACATCACTAAAAGAAGGATAAGCAATCTCATTTTAGTTCTAAACAAGTTGCCAAGTAATTATTACTATTATTATTATTTTTGAGATGGAGTCTCACTCTGTTGCCCGGGCTGGAGTGCAGTGGCACGGTTTCAGTTCACTGCAACCTCCACCTCCCAGGTTCAAGCAATTCTCCTGCCTCAGCCTCCTGAGTAGCTGGGACTACAAGCATGTGCTACCACACCCGGCTAATTTTTACATTTTTAGGAGAGACACGGTTTCACTATGTTGGCCAGGCTAGTCTGGAATCCCTGACCTCAGGTGCTCTGCCCACCTTAGCCTCCCAAAGTGCTAGGATTACAGGTGTGAGCCACCACGCCGGGCCAAAGTAATTTTATAATCTAAGTATTCACTACTATGGTATAGCGATGCATCACATATTAGGAAATCAGAGCATGCTACAAATACCACGATGAAAACTATTTTCTATGAAATTGTACCAGTACAAATAAGTGGAATCAGAACAATACAGAACCTGCTGAAGAAAAAATGTCGTATCAGTAAGTTCACTGAAATTCAAAAAGGTGCCCAGAGTTTTGTAGAAATGTTAATTTATTTTGGTGGGTACAATGTGAGTAGATCAAATCTGTGATAACCAGCCGTGATTTCCATTTTCCTTGAGCCAAAAGAAAACTTTACTGTGTTAAATGGCATTTAGAAATAAGAGTTTTAAAGTTCTGTAAGCTACGTTTTAATTTCTAGAAAGCAAAATAGGTGAAAGTTTTCTCATGAACTTCTATTAAAAACAGGACATGCATGTGCAAACAGGCATACGTTAATTTATTCTGCTCTGCAGGGATTCATTTGGAGTCGAGAGATTGGCTAAATCAACCCCCTCCTCAACACACACATACAACATGCACATGCAAGCAAAGGCAGTTAACAGACACCAACCCTGAGTGAGGGAAAACTCACTCAGAGATGAGAAAGGACAAGATGTGTATGGACAAAAGAGAGAAGGAAGGAAAAGCAAAGAGATGGTGTGGGAGGAAAACCAGATTGAGACAAAAGCAAGCCACAGGAAGGGCGGGGTGAGAGAGAAAAAGAAATAAGAATGAGATGGGGAGGAGCAAAATGGAAAAAAGCAGAGAAGGAGTCAGTAGGGAAAGGGAGAGAAAAAGAAAAGGAAGACCGAAGGAAAAAAGGGATTGCTGGCAGAGAGGAGGAGCTGGAGCCCCACAACAAAACAGTGGATCAGGCAGCTGGCCTGAGATGCTGATTCAGCGCTTTAACAAATCAATGCCACTAGAAAAGCACAATGTGAGCCCTCACTGGGTAGATGTCAGGGGACTCAGAAAATGCATTCTCAAGTATTTCACATTAAGAGGGAATAATGTGTTAATTTATAACGCTTCACCCTATACACTTGGATTATCTATCTGTGTCAGCGATTTGACTTCTTAAATTTATCAAAAACGCACGCAAAGGGAGGCAGCTTCGGCTTCACCGCTGGGAAATGGAGGTTTAGGGAAAGCCTGTCAGCCAGTCCTAGGTAGTTCTGCTGTTCTTTCCGCTTTCCTATTTGGGCTGAAGTGTTGGTGGGGGTGGCAGCAAGGAGTGAGCAAGCCACTGAAGGGGAGATGAAGTGGGGAGGGGAACTCCTGGTCCAGTTACTAAAGCAACCAAAGAAAAGGCTTTCTCGGCCTGTGGTTGATTGCATTAGGTACCATCCGTCAAAAGTGACACAGAAGAGAAGGAATAACTTGAATCAGCAACCCACGCTGCCATCGTCAGAATTTACTTTATGGAAACTTACTTAAGTCTCTCAGCACACCCAGTGGAAGAGAGCCTGCTGACAACTGGATTTTAATTAAACAGTACACTTGCAATGCCACCACAGTTCCACAGAGCTTATCAAAATAGGAAGGGAAGAGAGAGTTAAGCGAATTTTGTTTGGTTAGTTTTGAGACATGGAGGAGAGATGTTAAAGAACTCAGATGCCAGCCCAGCATTCAGGAGCCTCATTAGAGGGACTATTTCTTTCTCAAGAAAAACCTATTTTATTAAACATCAAATTCTTGGAATTGTTTCCTAATTATTCCTTAATAAAATTTAGTTAACTTTTAATATAATGATTGCACAGTTTCTAACCTGTGGGAGAGACAGGGAAAGACTACGTTAGTAAGTTTTGTTGCCAAAATTAAAGTATGATCAGACTTAAATTTTCAAAGTTTAAGCATTGTCAACATACAAAGGCAAGTGTGTTAAAATTTTGGAATAAATAGAAGAGAGTAGGTTTCAAGAAAGTGTTTTAATTAAGATTATGTCTTCAAAGATATGAAGGGGAAAAGTGGTTATAGGTATAAAGGAAAAACAAGGCCCAATCACGAATAACTTCTAAGATTGCCCAGACTACACACAGTATTCTAAACTGGAGGCATTCTTATTTGCTACATGTACAACTGCAACAGAAACAGACATTCTCTTATTTTCAAGACATTCATATGTAAATGAATGCTGATGAATGGAAATGAGATGCTAAACATGATGGGCAACGTTCAACATTTAAAAAAAAAAAAAGTTACTTCACTTGCTGAAGCTTGAATCTCTTCCCCTCCTACACCTGGGCACAAAAAGAAATGAATGACAATGATGGACCTTCCACCAGTTTCTATTGGTTAAACAACACCTTACAGAGATACTCAAGACAGAAAACAAACATTCTTTCAGTCTTATGCTTTGCATCTTTCCTATGACATGTATCACACAGAGTCCATTGAAAATAAATATTAGAGATTGAAATTATAAGTAAATAGCCAGAAATATTACAGTGGCATTGAGCCAAAGGGCTAAAATATCCAAAACAGTGTAATTATTTAATGAATGTTTTCTTTCTTTCAAATGAGATAATTAATAAGGAATTTCCTGGTTCATGACCACAGAGTACACTATTTTCCCTTTTCATAAAATCTTAGGAGACCGAACATATATTCTGGGCAGTGTGTTTGCAGTGGGAATTATATATATGCATGTATGCTTTTCAAGGGTCTCTATTTATGCCCTCAGAGTAGGATTTGTTCTATCCCCAGTTTTTGCATGAATTACCATTCCTGTCTGTCCCATCCAAGCCACCCCCACATAAACTATCTATTCTTATCATTATGGTACCATTAATCCCATTCTCCCCTCCCCCTCCCAACTCACCTAAGGGGTTAAAAGACTTCAGTACATTTGTGACTTGTCAGTGACATATAATACCCAGGTCCTTCATGCAATCAACTTTTACTTGACATGTATTTGCTCATCACAGGACCCACATTACTACTGGGAAAATGAAGAAAAACCTAAATTAACACTTGACATTCAATATGGTCAAGTCCTTAATTGGCTGGGCTTCCTGAGAAAGCAATTTTCTATTCCCCAAACTGTTCGCGTGTCATGTGTAGAGTGCAGCTCTTGGCCATCACTGCTGTCCCTCGCTCCCTCTAATGAGAGCAGATGAATTAGTGCTACGTGACACGATTTGAGCAGGGCTTCCTCCTCCTCCCCTCCCCCCAGTCTTTCTCCTATACCAGTGACAGCTGTGTGGCAAGGGGAAGAAAGAAAGAGAAACGCAAGAGCAAAGAATCCTGTAAAGGATGATCATTTTTTTAAATGAACCTTAAATGTCTCGTTGAAACTACAGAACAACAGGGTCACTTAATTGTGGAGGTGGGGAAGGGGGGGCGGTTGTTACAAAGATCAGGGGAATTATCTGGCTGTGGTTGATTTGGGTTGTATTAACTTCCAGCACGTTTCTTCCATTCCTCGCTAGTTGCAGTATTAGACTGCACTGCTCTAATTAAAACGGAGTTTACATCCACTTAAAAAGTTTTTGAAAGGTCTGGAGAATGGGTCAACTAGGAAAAAAAGAACAGCATGAAGTGATTATTGTTCGAAGATAAACATACCTCTAAACTAGAGAAAGTCCTTTCAACAATCACTTAGGTCAGGAAGAACCTACAGCACAAAACTATAGTGATACTTTGTTTTCAAATATTATTCCATGTCTGAGCTTAATGCAAACTATTCTTTCCTAACTCATTTTGTTTTGTTTCCATTGATTGTTGAATTACTGAAATGAAAAATTACTTGATCACTGATTTCATTCTATTATTCTGGAGAGAAGGAATATATTCTACTTTAAATGTGCTTGTCTCACTCAGTAAGAAACAATGAATACATGCATGAAAGGAAGGCAGGACAGAGTCTGCTTTATTCAAAAATACTAAAAGGCAAATTAAAGGTATTTCTCTGAGTCTTCACTTACTCGTTTTGAGACCAAAGAAGTAGTAATTTTAAATCCCTAATCGCTCACCCAATCTGATTAGGACAAAACAGAACTACAGGATAGAAGAGCATGTGGCAAATCATTTAGGAAAGTAATTAGTACAAAATACATGGATAAGTGAAAATAATTAGTGAAAGTCACAAATACCTTAGCACTTTGGATCATTACTCAGTTTTATTTAGGTGAGAACCAAGACAAAAATGTTACCTGTGTACAAAAAATTATATCAAGACTGCACTGTGGTGTCACAAAATCAGTTTACACACGCAAAACACAAAACTATGTCAAGTATAGCTCCCCCGCTTCAAGTAGCATGATCATTAATTGTTCTTCTATAATTCTGAATATAATTTAAGCAGTAATAAATACTGAATATAATTTCAGTAAGTAAATTGTGAGTAGATTTAAAGATATAAAAAGATGGTGACATCCACTTTTACACTATGTGTAAAGTTATAACCTAAAGCCAAAAATGCTATTTCCACATTTTTATATTTGTGGGAAATAATGGGAATGGAAATGAAGCTTTATAAGATTTTTTCCAAAATAAAGCAATTCATAACATCTTAGAGTATTATTGCACTAACAGAAGACAAAATGTAAATAAAACTGTTTTTTAACACCTTGAATTTTCAAACTTGTTGGAACATGATTAGTTTCAGACAACTGAAACACTAAAAGATGAGTATAATTTTAGAAGTATTTTCGTGGAAGCAAAACAACACAACGGACACACACACTGCACAGATTATCTCTTCTGAGGCCAAAGCACTGATATTTCACTATCATTAAGATCCCTTTTGAAAATACACTTGAGACAGCTTGTAAATGGGCATTTTATCAGGTGTTTAAAAGAAATAAATAGATAATTTGGTATTCTGGAAAAGTAGCTCAGTCTAATACATCCAGTTAACTGCTACAGTAGCATTATCATCACTGAGCAACAAAGGGCAGTGTATTCTGCCAATAGCTTTAGGGTGACCTTTGCAATGCTGACTAGTCCGTCAAATTCCATCTCTGAGATGCAAGGCATAGACAGGGATGGTTTATTAACTGAGGTAGGAACTAAAGACTAGGAGGCTCCAAAAGGGTAGGCGTTTCACATTCAGGAAATGGGGAATTCCTTTCCCTAAGAAGAGAAGCAGTGTACCGTAAGATCAGGCTGAGCAGGCCCATCGTCCTCCCCATGGAGCATTCCATGGTGGGAAATTGTCATGTACTAGGACAGCATTAGCAATTTTACAGTTTTACATGTTCCTTTTCTCCCCAGCTACACTTTTTTTTAAGGACTGCAATGGAAACCCAAATGGAAATGGGTAAAATGGGATCAATGTCTTGAGCCCTAGGAATAAAGCTGCAAAGGGATACTTACATAGTCATAGACCTTTCAACAAATTGTGACCAATACTACTTTTATTTGGAGGTAGTTTCCAACCATCACCAACAGGATAAATCTACAGAACTCAAGGGGGCAGAAACAACGGGTAAGAAAAATGACTGTACTGAACTGGGAAATTTTTCAAGGATAACCTGTAGAAAACCAGCCTAGGAAAAGGCACTTTTTTTTTTTTTTTTTTTTTTTAAGAAAGTTAACTGTGACTATGGCAAAGTGACATGCTTAAACTTGATATTCTCTTAGGGATGTGCAGGCTTTGAAGCTCATAATAAACTTGAAATGGCTCTGTGGAATGTTAAGGCTTAATGTAGATGGTTGGTGCCACTGTCATGCCTATACAAAAGTATGTCAACTTAGAAATAACTGCACTAACAGCTCCAGGGTATTTAGAATGGAAGGCTTTCCCCCGCCCTTTTTTTTTATTAAGAATTTTACTTTGAACCATAAGAAGCTGCATTAAGTTTCCAACCTAGTTAGTGCAGCTAAAATTAAAATACTTACTCAATTTTGGCTGGGCGTGGTGCCCTCATGCTTCTAATCCCAGCACTTTGGGAGGCTGAGGTGGGCAGATCGCTTGAGCTCAGGAGTTCAAGCCCAGCCTGGGCAATATGGCAAAACCCTATCTCTACAAAAAATACAAAAATCACCTAGGCATGGTGGCGTGTATCTATATTCCAGGTACTCCAGAGACTGAGGTAAGAGGACTGCTTGCGCCTGGGCGGGAGAGGTGGATGCTGGCCATGAGCCCAGATCTCACCACTGTGCTCCAGCCTGGGCCACAGAACCACACCTTGTCTCCCCTCAACCACCAAAATGATACTAATTTCGGTTTACTGTAGAAAGGCAAAATGTCTGCCACCCACTTCGTCTGTGTTACCTTTACATTACACCATTCTCAAAAAGTTTAAACACGGCAGAGGAGAGAAATGAATGCTTTGAAATAGCCTAGCATATGTAACAATAAAACTATCTAGCAAACACAAAGCACAAATGTTATTTTATAAAAATTAACAGCATCTAAAGGGGTATATTCTTTTATCCTCCATTATTCGCTACCTCTTTTACTTCAGTGCTTCCCTCCCCTTATATTAAAGATACTTTATCTAATTCCCAGTTGAAAGGTTTCTGAAAGCGTTAAGTCACAGCTGTGTTGATGCTGAACTTCTTGAACATGGCATACCAGCATCATTCTGACACATTTATAGATGTTTCCTTACAAGCTGCACCAGCACTTGATTTGAAATATCTGACTTACTCTAACACAAACTGTTAATCTCTGGTCTTTTCTCCAGTTGAGTTCTTCTCTGAAGTTTTGGAAGCAAACCAACAACTTGTTATGTTTAAAACACAAATGGCTCCCTTCTGATTGGTTTCTGACACTGTTCAGTGATGCTGTTAAACAAGACCCTAGAAAGAGCCTAGATATACCTAGGCCCCATTTGCAGATCATTTTAACAGGATGTTCTTGTTTCCTTTTCCCACGAAAATCAATAACAGGATGACCTTCAATTTGAAATTCAAACCAATTAATTACCTGTTCTGTTGAAAATGCTGATAACTGATTTGCCTGGAGAATTTCAATTATGAATAGATAATTTCTTTTAAAGAGACCCTTCAAAAAATATAGACAGGCATTTTAAACCTCATCTTATACAATATAAATAATGTTTTCTTGAAGCAGGTATAAAATATTGGCCTTGCATGAATTAGTAGGGGGAAGTTTTCCCCCTTGTGGTCCATCTCCTCCTTGTGACATCATAATCAATTGCTTGGTAAATTATAGCAATCCCACAAAGATTCAGGGCCAAGAATCTACCGCTTTAAGGTGAGACGAAAAGCTTTTTATAGTTGAATTCGGCTTTTCATCTACATCAATTACTTACACAAATCATGGGATTATTTTCAGAATTCAGAAATCTTTTATTATTTTAAAATCCTTATGCTTCTACCTTTATTTAAATTATTTGACTATTTTTTTGTTTTGCCCACACAGGTGATTTTTCTTTAAATGTGGGTCATAAGGAGAAAAGCTATACATCAAAACTATCAGCACCAGAAATATATTTACTAAACTTTTTTTCTAATCACAGGGGAAAAAATGAAGAATTTGGTTGATCCCAGTGGGGAATTCCCAAGATGAATGATCACATGCAATGAAACTATTATCTTCATCCATTAAAATATTATCTAAAACAGAGGTTTCTATCTGGCAGCCAGAGGGCTGAATGTAGCCTGCAGATGAGTTTTGTTTAGACCACACAGTTTTTAAAATATTTGAATAGGTTGCCAAGATTTCAAAATCAGGAGATTTCACATAAAAATCTGGATTTTTGGCTCATCATTATAAAGCAGCAGCAGTGGATCTGGCAAACTGGGCGTGCATTCCCACCTGGTAACAATCGGCTGGAACCAAGGAGCAGCTACCTCACTGTGGTTGAGACATGAGCTTTCTGGTCCACCACAGTTCCCACTAGACTCACTCTACTTGTTTTAATTTTTGTTACCTCCACATGGCCCTTTTAGACAACTACTACTCCTTAAAATGTCATACTACTCTAGAGTTTCTGGGAAAAAAAGAAGAGGGTGTTCTCAGAACAGAGATTTAAAAATACATATTTCACAAGTTTACAGAATATAAGACAATGGGAAGCAAGTTTCATTTCAATGAAACATTCGTGCAAACCAAAGGAAACTCATTTTCATAATTAAATGTTTTTTAAAATAGTAAATCCAGAACTGATGACCCAGCCTTACAGAGTGGTTCAACAATCTTTACATTGGTTTTCAATCAGCCACCTATTTCTCTGAAGCCCAAAATAGATGCTCATGTCAAAGCATTACTCAGATTTTGTTCCTTCACATGTTAACACTTCCACACTTCCTTTCTAGAGCTATCATGTACTTAAGTGAAAATGTACTGTAATATGAAAATAGGATATGTCTTCAAGGTATATTTTAAAAGTCAACATTTAAGATGCATGACTATTATCACAGCAAATATTCATCTTTACTGACTCCACATGTATGCCACCATCTGACATTTATACTTACATTAAATAGACATTATTATGGGTTCAAATGACCCAAAAAGTCATGGCATATTTCTTTACAAATGATTATTACCTAAAAGCAGATGTCTATGACACAGTCACCATGCACTTCTTTATATCTACTTTTTTTTTACATGAAAGCAATTGCAAGGAGAATATCTTTTACATTTCATTATTCCCAATCAATCACAACGACACAGCATTTCTACCTATTAATGGATTTTAAAAACCAATTAAAAATACCCTATTTAGCAGAGGGAAGCAACGGCCTTCTCATTTCATCCAACTATATTAAAAACAGGCTATCTCTGACGTATTACTACAGTACAGAAATGCTTACGTATCATGCAAACTGTAGTACGTAGGCTATGACCAGTCATATGCCAACTAATTTGGATCAACTATACTATAGTGTTTTTACATTATGTTTCATCATTGCACCACATGCTTGAAAGATTAGTTTTTAAGGTGTTTCCTTCCGAAAGGAAGCATTTTTCTTCCATTTTTACCTAAAGAATGTAATCCCTGAACATATGCCAAATTTACTTCACAATCGGACTTTAATCCCCAAATTCTCTTGATTCTTAGCAACTTGCACAACTTTAAGTAAACAGTTCACAAAATCATAATGATCATACTGTAGCATTCCTTAACTCCTAGGTGAATAGAAAAAAAGAAAATACCGTAAACATGAACTCCATAAAGGCAGTCTTAGGTAGGCCTGAATGACAGTGTATTTCTTATGGGAAACATTTTTCCTTAATTTCCATTATGATTGAAATGTGAGCAATTAGAAATAGACACCTGGAACTCAGTTGTTAATTTATCTCTCCGCACCCCTTTCACACTTTTCTTCAAACCATTTCTTACGATGCATCTGAAAGATATGATCTTATAGGATGACCTGCATATAAAGGGCACTGAACCAGTGTTCACATTACTTTCTTTAAAATGCCTTGTTGTAATCCAAGACTAAACTTACTTTCTTTCTTTTTTAAGTATATAGCTTTAGGGAAAAAAAATGGAAATTTCTCAACTAATTACTGAGTAAAATCATTTAAAAAACAAAAATTAAAACAAACATTCTAAGGAAAGTATATACTTCATTACATTCATGTTAATTTGCCTTTTATACCATCTTAGAAAGAGAATTTTATGAAATACACAATTCCCTACCATGATGTGATGACCAAAGCTTTAAGCTGGTCTCCTCAGGTTCACATCATGGCAGCTGACTGCAAATATGTAAAGCAGTTCTGGAAGACTCACAATTCACAAATTTTTGTTTCTACTTAATTGTTTTAAGATGAAAAATAAAGTGTGAGATAATGGATGTTTTAGTTAATCTGTGTTTTATGGAGAGAAAAGTATTACTGTCACTTAACTCCTTCTATTAATCACTCTATTAAGCCTACTTTGAGAAAAGAGTATCTCAAAGTAGGCTTATATTGAAGCTCATTTTCGGCATTCTGCAGTTGTAAAAAAAATTTAAAAGATCAAAAGTACAGGACTGCTGGCACATACAGGAACAGTGATTATCAGAATACTCAGAAGGTAAGCAGCAGTTGGTTTATTAAGAAATTATTTAAAATAACTGTTTACACAAGTTAAAACAACCAACTTCTCACTTTTACTAAAAGGATGTTTTCAATATAATGAACACCCAAGCTTTTCTGGTCATGAGAAAACCTGGAATATATTATACACGCATGAATGTGGCCCGGGATGCAGGATATGGGATGTGCTTCCTATCAACAGATTAACACTTCATTTTCATTACTCTAATCTCACCACAGGCTGTGAACACTCTCTTTTTCTTATTTGAACAACAATGGTACATGAAAAACCAGGCTGACAGGCAGGCAGGGTTCATTAAGTGCACAAGGCCCTTATTCCCATAACACATCTCACCTGTATGAGGCCAGCTTTCCGGCTGCCCGGCTGGCTACTGAAACAAGCTCTCCCAGATGTTGGAGTTTGAATTCTTCTTATCCCTTCCTACTTACATTATAATAGATGACAAAAATAAAGTAAAAATGAAAAAACTCCTCTCCACAATGAAGAGTATTTAGTCATGATAGGACTGGTAACATATTTTAAGCTCCATTCAGTCCCATGATTACTTTCCAAAGTTGTCCAAGAGAACAAACAAAAGTTGCTAGAAAGGGAAATAATGAGACATCTGAAATTTGAGTCAGAGAGACTCATCCTGGTGTCTCTATCCTAGCGCAATTCTAATTTATCTGAAGTAAGCTGTAGTCTCCCACTTGCTGAAAATGGCAGTTCACAAAATAAGAAACCATCATGCTATTTTCCAATGAATGACACTGAGTTTCACCAAAAAGCTATAGTCAAGAAAGGAAAAAGGCTATATAGATAGCATAGTATAAGGAATAATTACAACAAGATTCTTAGGATGGAGAATGCCTCTTTGGGGAAAGCCACCCACAGGCTCACTGCCTCTGAGGAAGTCATTAGCAAATCCTCAACATACATAGAATTAAGTCACCTAATTGTCACCAGCCAACCAATGGAGCAGGCATACACTTTCTGCATGTCTACGCATTACATATAAATGCACTACCATAATGTGGCAATATGGGATTTTTAGTACTTTCAAGACAGTAAGTCCTTCCACAAAGTTTACAGCCAGACTTTGGTTTTGGTTCTTTCTGGTACTCTAATATTTATACCTAAAAAAGAAAGAATAAAAGAAAAGCAATATTAAACAGCAGCTAACTCGCTGACTCCAAGTTAGGTTCTGGCATGAGGTCAACAATGAGAATGTTTGCAGGCATTCTCACTCAGGGACACTCTCATGAATATGCTCAGTGTATAATTACTCCCCATATCTTGCCGGTGACATCCCAGCCATGTCCACTGACCTCCAGCACTGGCAGAGGGCGCAGTAGTGGGCAGCTTTCTTAATCTATGCCTGATCAGGTGTCCCAAATAGCCACCCTAATGATTTAAATCAATGAAATTCTTCTTGATTTAAATGTTAATGGAAAGGGAAAAAAATTATTAAAATCCTCTAATGGAGATTCTCATTTTAATATTAGTTTTGTTATTATTTTAAGCCAGCTGAAAGCAATTACTTGTTGTCATGTAAAACGTTCACTAACCTGTTATCTTCCTTTTCAGACACCCAGTTCAGGTACTCCGATCATAAAATGTGAGTTCTGAAGAACTGTCTAGAGAACCAATAGCCACTAAAAGACACCTTAATAAAGTTGAAAAATTCATGACAGTCTCAAAAAAGCACAGCAGGTAACAATATTGAAAGCTATGTCTTTCCCATACAGAATATGTTTCAGTCTTGTCAATTTTAACAATCTGTATGCCTTGTGAGACAATGGGTTAAAATTTATTAAATACAAAACAAGAGTGAATCCTCCTCATGTGTTATGTATACTGCATGCTTTAAATTTTAA
Organism: Homo sapiens; assembly: GCF_000001405.40. Classification (NCBI taxonomy): domain Eukaryota; kingdom Metazoa; phylum Chordata; class Mammalia; order Primates; family Hominidae; genus Homo; species Homo sapiens. Next base: position 16,719,767 of record NC_000009.12, read on the forward strand.
TTTCATAATACCATCCATTAATACTGGTCCTACCATCATTTCAAGTCCTTTTTTAAATGTTTCTGTTAACTCTTACTAGCTGCAGTTTGTCTGAAAGAATCATCCCTTCAACCTACTGCACTGCCCTTGGTATCTTTTCCTTCTTGTAGGGAAATAAGCTCGTGTAGAAGTCTAACTGCACAAAATAATAAGTCCAAGAATTAGGTTTTTAAAAGAAGAAAAAAGGAAAGCAAAATCTCTCTTCAACTAAGTACTTTCTTATACAGGCTAAGGATCAAATTGAGCTGCCTTTCAGCACCTCTGAATGATAAGCCAGGGCCCCTGGTTACACGTTTTTATCATGCCCTTACTCAAAGAACCCTTCTACAGCAACACTCGAGACAGTCCTGTCAGCACTCACAGAGGACCACACCTGAGGGTGGCACCTCTCTCTCATGCCTCTGCCAGAATGATGTATTGGCAAAAGGGTATTTATTCAATTACTGCTACGTTTCAGGTGCATTTCAATTCTCTTCTATTAAGGCAAAAAGGGCCAGTGAAAGTAAGGAGGAATTCAGAATGAGAGAGATGAGAAGAAAAGAGAATAAAGTGAGAAAGAAATTACCTCTATGAGAAAGGAAATAGGAACAGAATAACCTTGTATTTAGGTCATTAAGTAAATTTCTGCCAACCAAATATGAATGAGATTTATAAATCAACACCACTCAATGACACATAAACCCTAAAGACAGTAGCGAAATAACATTACAGTTCAAAAGCATTGAGTAAATAAGACGTCAGATATGCTCAAGAGAATCAGTTGTTTCAATGAGTAACTTCCTACTGTTCAAGATTATTTTCATTTTCTTTACAGAGAGAAATGAAAAACTGATGGGCTTAATTAAAGAAAAACAAAAGGATATTATTTTGTTGTTAAAGGATCAATTCTTTTTTTTAATCGGAATGATGATTAATAAGTTGAGAATTTGGTTCCTAAACTAGCCAATTTGAGTAATGTGTTGTTTTTCCACAAGCATTTCCATTAAAGAAAGCTCTATGAATGAAGAAAACATACAGCGATTCCTCTCTTCTCCTGATCTCTGCACTTCGTGGCATGAAATGCTACATACAGCATTTGAACAGAATGACACTGCACACTGTCTCCACCCAAATGAACTCCAGTCATAAATTTTTCACCTGAGGGTTTGAATGTACACTGTGAAATCTGCGAGGCTTCCTACAGGGAACGCACAAATTAAAAAATAATCAATACTTTTATTTTTCCTATTCGTTAAACTTTCTTTAAACCTGGGGAGAAAGATGGCAGTACAGGTCAGGCTCAATGAGGAGGAAATGTGGGGACCCTGGATGTCATGGCCCCAGACATCATTTCTGGGATGCCATCTGCACATTTTAAAACTTCTTAGACCTTGAGCTGCTTAGCAGATTTTTTTCATCTTATTTTTCCTGCATCTTTACCAGTTTTTCTTATAGGAAAACATTCCCTCTATTACCCAATGTTTTGTTTCTATGTGAGGATATAAAGGCTGTTGTTCCTGAATTATGTCTCTTTTCCTTTGTTTCTCTAAAGCTTAAAAATAGATGTCAGTTTCTTGAAAGGGTCTTTGACTCCCTTTCTCCTGTCTCCAGGGTCCTTACAGTAGATGAAGATCGCCCAGCAAAATGTAGAAGCCAGCTGCTTTTCTGGAAATAAAAAATGGCATCAGCTTTGGCAGACAGTAGTGAGATCCATCACTTCCTAGGACCCCCAAACAATCTTCTGACCAAGGTCTGGAGAAGGGTGGTCACTGAGCAGCACCATAAACAGACCACAAAAGCGTACCACCAAAGGTACAAGAGGATTTTCAAATGGCGAATTATTTCTACACGCATAACAAACCAGGCTCCAAACCTACCGTGAAAGGAAATCTTGGAACATTATATTCCATGTTCTTTGGACAATAACAAGCAGGGAATCCCACAGAAAATTTCTCTCACTGAAAAAGTCAACCTACCCGATTCACTCTGTTTTCTCTACAACCACAAAGTTCTCTGACAGCACTCTGGGGGGAAAAAGGAGTTAATTCCTAGATCGATTCAAACACTAAGGTTCAAATTATAGACACAAGCTAAAAACAAATTCCAATTTCTTTTCCTCTTTCCTTTTGATATATGTGCTAATCTAGAGTGCCAAGTTCAGAAAATACCTCTTGGGCTATACAGAATCATTAGCTATTCACGTTTACAAGGAAAATCCTCTCAAAAGCTTTGCAGACAGATGACGGCAGATGCCCAATGCAACTTTTTTTAAGTGAGTGTGTGTAATGCATACAAGGTAGAGAGAGGGAGGCACCAGAATTTGTGTTTTTCATTCAAGTGGATGACGCCAGCTCACTATCTGTAACGGACTGTTCCTTTGGAATCAGCTCCCTGTGTCACAACGACCTGGCAAACTTGAATGCTTTCACTATCACTGGAGTCCTTGCAATCCTGCCTTGGTTGTGACCCATTCACTTCTGCCCCAACTTCTCAGAGATGCCTTACTCAGCATCTAATTAGTCAGGGAGGATTTGCCGTGGCTCTTAACCCTGACATGGGAGTGGGAGGATGTGCTGCTGTGGCAGCCCAAATCTGTCCTGTCACTGCATTAATCAGATTTCCATAAAGCTATGCATGAATAATTGGATTTATCAGTGAATGTGAATATACACTCATAAATATAATTATAAAAAATACCTACAATTATAGATAAGATATCTGCACCTTAGAGGGATTTATTTTTCAACTGCAGTTACTTGGCTCACCTTAGCAAAAGGCTTTACAAATTACACAAACATAATAGACCTGTTTGCAGATGACAGAAAGGTGAGAAAATTAAATAATTTCAAAACGATCACCTACTGTGTTCAAATTCATTTAAATGAATCATGTTGAAAATAAACTCCAAATTTGTGCACAGATTTTTAACATATACAAAATACACACCTGAGAATATGTTTGTGCATGCTTTACTTGCGTTAACGTTTACATGTACATAGAATACCATATATATAAACTGTTACTTTCCCACTGCATTACAAATGAGACGGTATCTCTTATGTGAAGTCTGCATGTTATCCATAGACCTTCAAAGTTTAGGACAAACCAAGCACCTGTCTCTATGCTACAATTTGTATCTTAACAAATACAAATACCCAAATATTCCTACTTTAGTGTTACATTATCAGACAATATACTGAGAATTATATTTGAATATATGTCTATTGTTAAAAATAAAACATATTACCACTCAAATTAAGAGGGGCCTAAATTGGAGGTCGTAGCCTAGTAATTCAACAGGCTAAAACTGCATGCCTCTTAATATAAATATTTATTTTAGCATTAAGACCACAAGTTTAGTCAATTTAATCCTTTTTTAGTAAGACAAGATCATCCAAACATACTAACTGTAAGGAAGGGAGTAAAAAATGGAGAAAACTGCAGAAAGCAAGCTAGGGATGGATGATGCCTGGCAATGAAAGTCGTTTTCAAAGACCATTAACTATCAGCTGCTTTACTCAGGGCTTTGATTAAATAAGAATATACATCCTATGTAAAAAGGGATGTCTATTTGAGTGGGACAGAGTTTAGAATAAAAATGCGTTGTATGAACTATAAAGAAGACCCAAACCACAATGTACAACTAGGCGTCTGACTTGTAATACTATATATATATATGCCTTTTAAATGACTAGTGAATAAATACTCAAAAAAATTGGGGGGGGGGACAAAAACATTTTCATTTAAAAATATAGATTCCAGAAACTGAGATTGTTGGCCTATATGAATAGAAAAAAAAGATTTCTTGAGGAAAATTCATATTGAGCACTGTTTTAAATGGATTCTAGCAATGTTATTATACATTTCTTATATTTTATTTATCATTTCTCTGAAAGGTGCTAGATTTTTATATTAGTAAGAAAGTTTGCTTTTACTCTGTCATATCTCTGGTGAGCAGACGCTCTGGTATTAATGTAAATCGTTGATTTAATTTTTAGCTTTCTTGGTTTGCCCCTCACCTATCTAAAAAATGATTTCTCTGGTGATAACTAACACATCATGCTAATGAGAGAATCTAATGCACAATAGAAAAATGTCACTACTAATAATATTTGCATGAAGTTAAATAAAGCAACTGTAAGAGAATGTCAGACAGTTGTTCTTTAATAAGACACAGTTTCACAATGAAATTATGTTGTTAATTTTGTTACATCATCGGGTGAATCCTAAATTACTACATAATGATGCAGAGAGTCATTTATAATCCTAACTTAGTATTTCACTCAAGTATGAAAAAAGACCTTATTAAGGGATCTACATTTTATTTGAAACAGGTTAAATATACCTCACCAATAATAAAAGGTAAATGTCTCTAGTAACACATTAAATGTGGGCTATAGCTATATACCTTTATGGTTTCCTTTCTAAAAAGATTTTTAAATAGACTGGACTATTACATCCCTTGAGATAGCTACAAGAATTTTATTTACTATTCTCTCAAATGCACAAAATATTTATACAAATAGAAGAATTGCCTCCTCAAGTGTGATTAAAAAAAAAACTTTGAAAAGCAAGCCTCATTTTTTGCTTTTAACAGTACCTTGTGAAACTAAAATAGGCAAAATAAGGTTCTTTCTCCACCTGTCACTGATCAAACTGATCCAAAGAAGAACTCCCTTTACACAAGTGTCATACCCTTTAATGTTCTCAAATACTCAGCTATATACATAGAAATAATTTGAGAAAATCATACTTGAGTATAGAAGAAAAAATGTACAGGCACAGGAAAATGTAGTCAAATAGACTTCACTTGAACTTTAGGGGCACATACTTCATCCCACTAAATCTAAATTGGCTTCAGATTGTGATTATTTGTTACTATTAGACAGAATGAAAGATGTACATTTAAGCAGATCCAACTTTGCTCATATGAAACAAAAGACAAAGATTTTTGTATCCCTACTTCCTAGTTTACTAATAGAACACATAAAACTAGATTATTAAATTTCAGTATTCATGGACATTTCCCACAATTTTCTCTATAGTTAAATACTGATGGTAAATTATCTGTAACTCAGTTTTGAAACCTTTTATAGCAGCCCTACTAGTCAGAGTTTTCAAACGTCTAAATAAATAATCAGGAAAATATTAGTTTTTATACTATTAAAGAAAACTTTAAAAAAAATAACCCAATAAATTTTATTCATTTCATAAGCTAAGTAAATTTTACTTAGAAATAAAATAATCATAATCTAGAGAAACCTCTTTATGCCTCAGCAATGAGATGTACAGAATTCTACATATTTGATTAAACTGGACAAACTTTTACCTGTAACAAAAACTAGCGTAACTGTATATATTGAAAGTAATACTCGTTTAAATGGCTGGCTTCAAGAGATATCAGAGATATAATTTCAATAAGTCTCTCTCTCTCACACACACACACACACACACACACACACACACGTGCTGAATCAGCATTGCTGATGAACTACAGGTAAGAAAAACAAACATATTAAATATGAACAGCACACATACTTTCACTCACATAGTTTGAACTTAAGTTATGTAATATTTATACAAACTAAAATGTCATCTTGAAGAGAAAAAAAATGCAAGCTCATATCCTCTTTTACATGCTTTCCAAAAATGCACAAGAGGTAAACATTCAGTGACCATGACAGAAAAAGGTGGGTTGGGGGGATAGGAGTGATTGCTAACTACATCAAAACCAAAAAAAAAAGAAAACATATTTAAAACTGTGATTTCTCTCCTTTTGTTGTACTACTCTATTTCATAAATAGCATAATATTATACAGTTTTAATAGCATCCATTAAGCATAAATTAGTTCCCTATATTTCTATTCTCTCCATATAATCACTGATGCTCACCATTACACATATATGCACACACAGGTACACACAAAATATCCACACAGTCAGACAGCTGGATCAAAGACATCATAAATTGTCCTAATTCTGACCCATCATTTATATTACTTTATTTGTTTTTTAGTTAAAATGTTTTCCATGACAAAATCTCCTTAGATTCAAATCTACTTGGAAATGGGCTAGTGCCAAATAAGCAATCTAACACCATCTATGTGGTTCAATAGCCATTTATCAATTGATCATTATCTCTATCTGGTTTTATTAACTCTTTTCTAGCTAGAGGGAGACGTAAGCCAATCTTCCCTTCTAACACACACACACACACGCACACACACACACACGACCTCCACTAACTCAAGGAAAACCCTGAAGGTGACATCTAGTTTTAAAAGTGAAGCACAAGTTATTTGGTACTAAGGTTAGCGAAAACACTGCATTCCAACACGCGAGAGCCACCCAGGCAGGGATGCGTCGCGGAAAACACCTCTCACAGCGCTCTGCAGTGACAAGGAGCATCTCTGTGTGGAAATGAACTTTTCACTTGAAAGAATGGGAAATTGCACATGAAGAGTTACTTATTGGGTTGATGTTGATTGCATTTAAATCCCAGCTTACTGTATCAGCAGTAATCAGGGTCCCTCTACAGGATATGTCAAAATATACCTTATTCAAATGCATTTATCCTATTTAGAATTGTGTGCTAAAACTGTTCTCTAGCTAAATGCTACAAAACCCTGGTTGTAGGTATTATCGCTTGCAAATGTATTTCTAAACTTGTAGTAGTTTATAGCCTGGCAAATTGTTTTTTTTTTATTATCAACAACTTTAAATATCTAACTCAAAGTATTTAATTTTCGTGAACTCTTACAAACAAAAGCTTTTTAAAAAAAAAAAAAAAAAAAGCAGTTGCAGTATTTTTTTCCTCTTGAGTGGCACAACATTTCTTAATAACCGCCGTCAACTTAAAATCCAAGTATATTTGTCAATAGTACTTTCGTGCTGTGTGGATGATAATATCAAACTAACTTGCTTTGTGTGTGGATGATAATATCAAACTAACTTGCTTTGTGTGGGTTTGGTGTAGGCTTTGGAAAAGCAAGACGTGTCTAGGAGGGAGGCACCAGGGAACTTCCCTCCCTCACTTGAGCACAATCCAAGATGAAAGTTTCTGGGTTGTGTCCCCTTCGCTTCCTCTCACCCTCGCTCCCCCGCGGAGCCAAGGAGCCAGCAATTGTGCAAGAGGAGACCGGCGCACAGGGCGCGTATCACGGAGCGCATGGTACGAGCCGCCGGCTCCGGTGATTAATTATCAGTAACCGATGGCCTCGCGCTACCACGTCGGCTTTCCCAGCAGAGCCAGCAAGCCGAACGCCTCCAGCGCGGCCGGGACGGAGGAGCGGCTCTGGGGAAGACGCCGAGGCTGCGCCCGAGTGAGTGCGCCGGCGGGCCGGCGGGCGGGCGGGAGAGCGGGCCGGAGCCGGCGAAGGGAATGCAGGGGCGGGCGCAGAGGGCTGGCTGGCAAGGAGGAGCGGAGCGGAGGAGCGAGGACCGAGCAGCACAGCCCGCCACGCACGCCGACTCCTCCAGCAACCCTCGGCGCTGGCAGCCAAGCCTGCACAGCCTCGTCTCTCTTCTCAGGTCTGAACGAAGCTGCCTCCAGCCACATGAAGTCAGTAGGGCTGTTCTGAGGGGCCCCGAGATTTGATGACTGTTTTTTAGGTTGCGGAACCTACTCCGAGAGAGCAAACACTTTGGACGAAGTGATTCATATTGATAGATACATTTGTTGGGAGGTGGCTTTTTTCATTCTCAACAGAAAACAAAGAAATAAATTAAGTCTTCCCCTGACCCAGATTGTACTGTGAAACTTTTCAACAATGTCTCTGCTTTCTTTTACTTCGGTATCCTTTCCCCTTTTTCTTTTAAGACGCCCTTAGGGAAACCATGAAGTAACCCTGCACATTCCAGTAACACAGTTATGACAAAACAAGAGCCTAACTAGGAAGTGACCACATTTTAAAAAGTATTTAGAAAGAAAAACACCAGAAACAAAAGTGCCCATAACAATTCAAGGTTTCTTAAAAAAAAGAAAAAAAAAATCAAGAAAGAAAGTAACTTACCTGTTGGGACATTCTGAATAAGAGGTTAGTATCAGCGTTTTGCCATGTCCCCATGAACCCTGGTTCAGCCGTAGTCGTTCTGGTTCCGAACTGCATGGAGTTGTCAGTACAGGAGTCTCTTAAAGTCAAGTCTCTTGCCCTCTTTGGCTCTCTGTCTCTCTGTGTCTCTCTTTCTCTCACATCCACTTCTGCCTCTTCTGACTGAAAAGTGAAGGTGGATTTTTTGAGCCTCTTGGCAGCCAGTAGCAGGAGTGTAGTGTAGTTAAGAAGCTGGCTGAACTGTGCATTTCATTTGGGAAGGGGGAGATTTGGGGGAGGGAGGGGGTCAGAGCTTCTTTCGCACCTTCTGCACAGATATCCCTATCATTTATGCATAGATTGTGACTCCCCAAGCTTGCCTTTGCTCAGTTTAACAGCTGCCTGTCAGGTGTGCAGGCGGCACTGGAGACCCAACCATCAGCTTCAAACTCTCAGCCACTGCATGTCATTGGATAGCAGAGCTAAGAGTCAACTGCACTGTTCCACTGTCAGGCACCAAATGACACCCTGCACTAACCCCTCTCCAGATATACAGATAGATACACACTTATGCACACTCCAGGCAGCACCACAATCACGGTGCACAGGGCAAGGGGAAGCTAGGGCCCTTCCCCGGGAATTTTTCTCAACAATGCTTTCTGATATAACACATAATATCTGACACCAGTCTTTGGCTTTAACATTTGTAAAACTGTGATACTTAAATTTTTTTTTAATTACACTGAAGAAAGTAAAATATTCAGCTGTAAGAGAATGTAAAGTTGGCTCAGTTATGGTCTAAATGTTAGCTCCTGAAAGTCATCTCGTATGTGCTGGGCTATTTATAACCACATAGAAACTCCTAAATAACGTACATAGAGATGTGACCTTATACTCTAAAGAGTAAGCAAATAAGCCTAGCAGTTTTTATAACATAGAAGATGCACAATAAACATTTGCCAAATATAAATATATACTATTTAATATCTAGTACCTCAGGCTATTAATTACTAAACTGGATGTTAGCTAATGAGAAACTGAATGGCAAAGGAAAAAAGTATACCTTTTCTTAAAGCTCAGAAGTAGAAAAAAATCCTTTGTTAAAGTTCCTAGATGAAGCATCTGCAATATCCTTTCAAATCGTTAAGAAAAGAAAAAGATAAACAAAAAAAGCCTGTCCCATTTCAGGCAAAAAGTAATGAATATAAAAACTCCATTTTTTATTCAAGATCTCTGTGGAAAATTCTATAACGTTTTCCTGCCTGATGAAATACACCCTTGATAACATGTCGTATTTTTAATTAAACAAGTCTTAAAACTATTCACCTATTTATTAGATAGTATTTGTCTGCCTTATTTATGGAAAAGCAGCACTGAACAAAATGCACTGTACATAAACAGTAAGTTCAAAATGGAAAGCTAAATTCATGCCATCTCATAAAAGTAGTCAGCAGGAAAAAGCCATCCTTCCTAAACTTAACATGTAAGGAACATTAATCTTCAACCACCTACAAATATCGAGGACAAATGTACCACTCTCCTTGTTCCTTCTTAACTCAAGAATAACAATAAACCTTACTCTCTGAAACAACAAAAGAAACAGAAAAGAGCTTCAATGGCAGCTCTGTGTCATTAGTGGACAATGAGAAAAGATGAGAAAACGTACACTATGTTGACACAAATGTGCCTTCCCCTCTAGAACCGACATCTCCTGAAAGCTTTTCTGTTAAACTTCCCTCCAGTTCCCCACCATTAAGCACAAAAAAGTCTCAAAAGAAGCAAATTCAATATCTGAGAGGAAACAAACAAGAACCCAAAGAATTGTTGCCTTAAAATATATTAAGTCCACCTGTGGTCAATAAAAATATTCTTGCTGGGGGGGAGGGCAGGAAAATCCCCTACGAGTCAATTGTCAACAGTGACTGTACCTTTAGTGCTAGCTATTACCCACTTAAACTCCCTCTAAAATTTGCTAGCCTCTTGATTTCTGAAGTGGCACTCAGTGCCTCAGTCAAGCTGCCTGCTCAGCTCCTGACCTTCCCACTAATGGCTGTTATTTGTGGGAGGCTTAAGGACACTGTCAATAGCAAGCTTCCTCCTCCTTCCACTCAGGCTCTGTTGTATCGCTTTGCCTGTGTGTTTTTGCCTGTGTTCTCTCTCGCCTCTCACTCGCCCTCTCCTTGTCTCTTTCTCCCCCTCCTTCACTCCCTCTTCCTCTTTTTCTAGCCCCCACCCCGTTTTTTCTCAGTCCTGCAGTCCTCTTCTTTCCCAGGTATCCTACCCAACACCCCACACACACACTAACAACACAAAAATCAACTGGCATGCAGCAGCAAGCACCTGCAGTAATAGACTCTTTTATTAAAACTGTTATTCTGCAAGACTTGAAATTCCCCGTGGACCGGGCCATGTCAAAGCCGATATAATTAACTAGAGGCTCAGCAACGGATCAATTACCAGACAAGCAAGTGATAGTGAAATCAATGAAAGATCATCAGCCACATTATCAGTGTTGCAACTCATTAGGGCAAAACTGAGAAATGTGCTCAAAGCAAGCCCAAGCAAGGTGGCATTACAAAACAAAGGGCTAATTTGGAGACCCTGCTGTGAACAATCTGTAACAGAATTAGCCTTTTTTCCCCCTAAACTGCACAGCTCCGTAACTAAATGTGACAGACTGAGAGAAGCAGTTTATTAAGACACCAACCCCAAGTTTATTTAGTTCATAAACTCTCTCCTAGAAAATCAATACAGTCTGTACAGGGTTATTAGGCTGACTAGCTAATACATCCAAATCTAGTCTGCCCAGCCAGCAGTCTTCTGACAAAATGCTACCCAGTATAGGCAAACTGAGCTCCTTCAGATATCATGGACTGAGGTGGCCCTGGCTGAAACACGTCTGCAATATAACATGTTACTGCCACAACACGAGCCTTAAAAGCAGCAGGATATCTTTCTAAGTTTTAAAAAATATTTTTTCATAAATATACAGTACTGCACCTGCTAAATGGATTTGCTCAAACAAAATCTTAACTACTTTGTAACACAAATTTACAAAGAGGACAAGCTCTGTTACAAAAAGAGACAACAATTAATCCAGACTCAATAATAAATAAGATTTTAAGTTTCTCTAACACTCATTTTAAAATAAATATTTGAAAAGAACATTTAATCCCTCTATAAATCCCCAAGATACATGATCTGAACTTCCACATATAACATACTGTGTAGAACATTTGACATTAGGATAATTTCTATCTAGCAAGTGGGACATCTGTATCGTTTTACAGACACAGGTACAAAAAAATACACCTACAAGGCACAAATATGTCTTCTGAGTTTTTTTCACTGGCTACATAGTCTGACAATTATGGAATAACTCTCTGGAATCATTTATATGAAAATTATTTAAAACTAGAAGGAAGAAGACAAGTATCACTTCCACAATAATTGCTTTTTGCTGCTGATTCTGAGTATTTCAGGTTAAAGAATCAGAAGTACTTAAAGGCCATCTGTTGGCTTTCCCACATTTACTGATAGTGAGAGATGGACCATGGAAATTATGAAGTCCACCAAACTAGGTTTCACTGCATCCAAGTTAAAGACATTGTGTGAATGTGAATACTTCCCCCACACCACACCACATAAGTAGAAATATACTTACACAAAGTAAGAAACTCAAAAGCATTTTACAATGGTAAAATAGATTGGAGAACTGAAGGGGAAAAAAAGGCAATGGCTCTGAAAGTGACTTCTGATGTTGATGATGTTTTAACGTTTAAAATCTTCCAAGAAAAGGAATGCACTATAACATGCCTTTCATATACTGGCTCTAATACACTAAATCCTGAACTTAAAAAGAAATCTTTATTTTCACATAACTATAGTAAAATTCAATTTATAGACTGCTGTAATTAAACATTTTCCCTGTAACTTTCGAGCTGACACCTTATTAAGCATTTCATAGCTCATGTTTTTGAGTAATCTGTAAAAAAGTCAGACATATATATTCTAAACCTGTGCTATAGGTACCATGTTTTGGATAGTAATTAAAAGTTGTAATTGCAGGAAAATTTTACTTTTTAAAACCTTTTTGCATATAACTACACACTGTGCATGTACCCTCAATGAGATCCAATTAGTTACAAAAAATTTGCATTTCAGTTAGTGTGGGATAACAAGACTATAGGGAGGCACAATGCAATTCCACCAGCAGAGTAAAAAAGTGTGTTCTTTCTTGTTAGCTCTGTAAGCAATAATTCCCACAACCGTTTAAAATGTTACTGATCTTTTCAGTACTTGAGTATTACGGTGGGTTTTGGGTTTTTCCCTCCATTTCCTGCAAAAAAAAAAGAAAAAGAAACAAAAAAGAAAAAACCTATGTTGGTGTAAAAAATCAGCCACAATGAATACATGAAAACGCAAGTGAGCAAAGAATTTTGTTTTGCATGTATGTTTGTAGGGTGTTTTCTTTGAGGGGAAGGGGATATAACCTATGTTTTCTTCTTTCTACTTAATTTCTTTAAAAGCACATTGCTTTCATAAAATAAGTTATGTAACTGCAGGCAAAAAAACCTCATTGAGTTCTATGTAAATATATATGATTTTATGATGAAAGCATACATTTACTGCACTGAGAAAGTACTCTAGGATTTTTATTTTTTCTGTCTCCAACAATGTAAATCCTGCACAAATATAAAATAAATGTGTAGTTTTTGTATACAATTTAACAAGCATCTCTAGAACTTCTGCTGGTTCACAGAACAATACCTGTAATTCCCTGGGTTGAGTTCAGCAACTGTTAACAGATTCTATAATCTGTAATGTGCTCTGCCTTTGCTCTTCTTTTATTCACTATTCATTTTCAAGGCTTGGTTAAGTACAGAGCTGGGTTAAAGATCAGTGGTTTTTCATGTGACACACGCTGGTATTCATCTAATGGCTTGTCAAGACAAAACTGTCCCTGTTCTTGCCAAAATAATAAAAATGACGCTCCACATCGCATGACAATCAGCACTTCCTTATGGCGAAACAACTCAAGCTTTTGTAATTCATTTATTTTATAGAAAAAAATGTTAAAAACTGGCTATCCAATCTTATATGTGGACTCAGGTTGCCATTCTCGAAGTAGAGTTTTAAAATGTTTTGCCCTCTCTTAATTCTACAGCAACATGTAAACTAGTTTCTAATCAAACCAGACTTTACCATGTAAAAATAATGCTGAAGATACAAATTCATATGGCATTAAGGTATATAACTTAATATATGCAAATTATGCAGCAGGCTGGACTCAGTCACAGAAGTGGGGGAACCAACTAAGGAAATGTCATTTTTCTTGAGAACAAAGTATGGGACTTGCTCTCCAACATCTGTTGGGCTGTGTGAAATGTTAACAGATGTCTTAAGTGAAAAAAGAAGTAATAAAGGAAACCTCTTCTGAAAAGATAATCCACCCAAATTTCCATATTCCTGAGGAAAGAAGTTGACAGCAAGCTTTTTCCCTTGTGAAACCTGCCATCCTTACTTTATTGTGTAAAGTTTCATTTTCTATGTGAAGTTAAGGGGAAAAAATTTTTGACTCACTGTAAAGAAATGAATAGAAAAGAAGTAAAACAATAATTTCAATTCAGGTTTTCCCTTTGTAAAAAATTATATCATAATTTAAGCTGCCTGTTTTCCCTGGACTCACATATGTAAATAGATGGAAAGACAGTAAAAAGTTCACCTCCTCCCGCCCAAAAAAAAAAGAAAACTACACACACAAAGATGAAATATTACTCTACTATGCTTACATTAACTCTGTTGGCATGGAGCGGGGAGAAAGAGGAAGAGTAAAGAGTAGCTTGTAAGATAAAGTTCTGATATGAAGCCATCTCTACTCATAAAGGTACTCATCTTCACAATTAAGATTCACCTATCATTAGCCAGGCATGGTGGCAGGCACTGGTAATCCCAGCTACTCAGGAGGCTGAGGCAAAAGAATCGCTTGAACTTGGGAGGTGGAAGTTGCAGTGAGCCGAGATCACGCCACTGCACTCCAGCCTGGGCAAAAAGAGGGAAACTCCATCTGAAAAAAAAAAAAAGATTCACCTATGATTTACACCTAAGTCCCTGCACTCTCCCACTGGCTCCTAATTTCCTTTCATTACATCCTTATGAGAGATGAAACACTCCTCTTACAACAGCCAAGTGTTCCACAGCAGTAAAGTCTGATATTCCTGAAAAATTTTGGAGAATACTAGTTGGATCCCTGTATTTAAACTTTAAGGAACCTGGACAGCTACTTTCCTAGTTAACAATTCTCTTTTGGGTTTCAATTTATAGATGATCTAGCCAAGCCTAAATGTAGCAGCCTTTAATTCCGATTAACATGTTGATGCATGCACGCCAACTACTGGATCTAACCTAGTGCCTATCTGTGAATGAATGAACTATACACCTATCTGCTTCTGTACGTCTTCCTCTTTGGAAACGCCTATATTCTATTGCTTATTCTCTTAAAAACCTGGGACATGAATTTGGGTTAACAGCTTATAGATGAACAAATTCAAAGTGCTCTTAAGGGTCTTTACAGATTCAAATAGGAAGGAAAAAGCTTGTGTCATCTCTGATTGCCAGCCTCAATCACTGGCCCCTCTCATTATAAGAGTCCATTAGAATTATACATGTCACTTCATATTTACAACTCTACCTTCTCCAGATGGTTCTGGCCACCTTGACTGGGCATTTCAACATACAGAAGGCTTCATCAAAACAGCCTGAAGATTTCAAGGGGCAAGATCATGGTCCAAGTTGGAAATAAGACATAAAGGCATGCCTTCAGTTTTCAGTTAGTTTGGTTTTTGCCAAAGTATTGTGAGTACTATATGGTCCAGTGTTTACACATAAGAACATGATATCCAAGCCCGTGACAAAAGAAAAAATAATAACCACTCACCTACAGGGAGGGAGAAAGCTTGTGTGCTGAAGACTTCATTACATGCCCTTAGACCAATAGAGGAAAATAGGCCTTCTAACTTAAGGTTGGAGGAGGACACAGGGTCAAATCACTTTAAACAGTGGCACAAACATCCTCCATAACTAAATATTATCTAAAAGCTTCACCCTTCTCAGCAAAAGGGAGAAACTGCTCTAGCTGACACGTGTGTCTGTACCAACTAAAACAATCAATGTAATACAGTATCTGCTGACAGCCTAATCAGGGGCTCAGTTTCATAGAAACACATCAAGGAAATATCCAAAAGCCATAATCCCTTGATGCACTACAAAAATTTTAAAATAAAAGGATTTGAGTAGGGTATGGTAGATGAGGTAGTTTACAAAATGTTAGGGAAATGATGAATCCTTAGACTCAAGATATTTGCAGATAATAAAAGCAGCTGAGGTCAGCATGAATCTTGTGCCTACAAAAGGTCAAACATTTTACCTACCTTGTTTTGGTTTAAAAAAAGAAAAGTGACTTTATTAATCTTCTCTCAAGTCCAAACAGTAACAGTGGCTTCTTTATACCAAACCTATATTCAATGTTTTATGAGAAAATCTAGAAGGAAAGAACCAGTGATGGCTTTACTTAAATGAATTTAAAAAAAAAAAAAAAAAAAAACAGGCTGGGGGCGCACACAACGGGAAATTAACATGAACATGAAAGTTGCAAGAATTATAAAGGTAATGTTAATTTCTTTGTTTTTTGTTTTTGTTTTGAGACAGGATCTCACTCTGTCTTCTAGGCTGGAGTGCAGTGCCGTGATCTCGGGTTACTGCAAGCTCCACCTCCTGGGTTCAAGCAATTCTCCTGCCTCAGCCTACCGAGTAGCTGGGATTACAGGCGTGTGCCATCACCCCCGGCTAATTTTTGTATTTTTTGGTAGAGAGGGGGTTTCACCAAACCCTGACCAGGCCAGGCTGGTCTTGAACTCCTGGCCTCAATTGATCTGCCCGCCTTGCCTCCCAAAGTGCTGGGATTACAGGGGTGAGCCACCATGCCCAGCCAAGATAATGTTAATTTCTTTATTTACTTCCTTCTAAAGTCTGTGGACCAAGAAGCTTGCAGCCTCAGTAAAGGTGTCATAATAATGGTTTAAATTACTGTCAGAAAAGAAGATTGAGATTCACCAACATCCAAGAAAATCATGTTGCAGGCCAGGTGCGGTGGCTCACACCTGTAATCCCAGCACTTTGGGAGGCCAAGGCGGGTGGATCACTTGAGGACAGGAGTTTAAGACCAGTATGGCCAACATGGCAAAATCCCATCTCTACTAAAAATACAAAACTTAGCCGGGCATGGTGGCGCATGCCTGTAATCCCAGCTACTCGGGAAGCTGAGGCAGGAGAATCACTTGAACCTGGGAGGCAGAGGTTGCAGTGACCCAAGATCGCGCCACTGCACTCCACTCTGTTTCCAAAAAAAAAAAAAGGAAAGAAAGAAAAAAGAAAACCATATTGCAAGGCAGAGTTCAGTACCTTACAAAATTATTGAGAAACTCAACACTGCCTTTAGAATTATCACAGGAAAAAGCAACACTAAAAATGATACTCCTTCATATGCAATTTACAAACCTAACAAATAAACTTAAAAAATAAAATCCCAGTATACTTAAAGTTTCAAAAATTTTTATAGAAACAGAGACTATTTATTATTATTATTGTTTATTATTATGATTATTTCTTTTTTTTTTTTTTGAGACAGAGTCTTGCTCTGTCACCCAGGCTGGAGTGCAGTGGTGCAATCTTGGCTCACTGCAATCTCCGCCTCCCAGGTTCAAGCGATTCTTCTACCTCAGCCTCCTCAGTAGCTGAGATTACAGGTGCACACCACCATGCCTGGGTAATTTTTTTATTTTTAGTAGAGACGGGGTTTCAACATGTTGGTCAGGCTGGTCTCGAACTCCTGACCTTGTGATCCGCCTCTCTCGGCCTCCCAAAGTGCTGGGATTACAGGTATGAGCCACTGGGCCCGACCTATTGTTTTTTTTTTCTTTCTGAGATGGATAATGGATACACTTTTGGCCTGCCTAGCTCTTTCACTCTTGTTGTGCAGGCTGGAGTGCAACGGCACCATCTCGGCTCACCGCAATCTCCGCCTCCCAGATTCAAGCAATTCTACTGCCCCAGCCTCCCGAGTAGCTGGGATTACAGGCATGCACCTCCATGCCCGGCTAATTTTGTATTTTTAGTAGAGACAGGGTTTCTCCATGTTGGTCAGACTGGTCTCGAACTCCCAACCTCAGGAGATCCACCTGCCTCAGCCTCCCAAAGTGCTGGGATTACAGGCGAGAGCCACCATGCCCAGCTCGGCCTATTATTTTTTAAGAGCTAGGATCTTGCTCTATCGCCCAGGCTAGAGTGCAGTGCACAATCATAGCTCACTGGAACCTCAAACTCCTGGCCTCAAGCAACCCTCCCACCTCAGCCACCACACCTGGCCTTTTTTTTTTTTTTTTTTTTTTTTCTTTTTTTGAGACAGTCTCGCTCTGTTGCCCAGGCTGGAGTGCAGTGGCGCAATCTTGGCTTACTGCAAGCTCCGCCTCCCAAGCTCACACCATTCTCCTGCCTCAGCCTCCCGAGTAGCTGGGACTACAGGCGCCCGCCACCACGCCCGGCTAATTTTTTGTATTTTTAGTAGAGACGAGGTTTCACCATGTTAGCCAGAATGATCTCGATTTCCTGACCTCGTGATCCACCCACCTCAGCCTCCCAAAGTGCTGGGATTACAGGCGTGAGCCACCGTGCCTGGCTTTTTTTTTTTTTTAAAGATGGGGTCTCGCTATGTTGCCCAGGCAAGTCTGGGAACTCCTACTCTCAAGCAATCTACTGGCCTTGATAGAGACTATTTATATACATACATATTTAAATCGAAAAATGTTGAAACAGAGCAAATGTTCATGAACTTAGAGATTGTTTTCCAAATGAAGAAACCCAAAAGATGCCAGAAACCTATTAATGGCAAGTTAAAAATACGAAGACTTAACAGGTCCCTTAGAAGATCTGCATAGTGATTGGCTTTGATGGAGAATAGTGGCTGGGCTAAGGGACACTTTTGGGGTTCAGGTAGTGTTATGTATCTCCATCTAGTTGGTGGTCCTGGGTATATTCAGTGTGTAAAATTTATCAGGCTATACACTTTTATTTGTGCACTTTTCTGTAAGTATGTTAAACTTCAGTTTTAAAAGTTTACTACTAACACTATTAATATAGTATTATTATTAAAAATAGTGATAACAATAAACTAGCCCTAGAACAATAGGAAAGAAAGAATAGAAAAAGGAAAAGAGAAGTAAGTGCAGGGAGAGAAACAATAGAAGGCAGATACTTTATCACGTTCAAAATCATTCAAATAACCATCATTAAATCTACTTTCAATTATTTCTTCAGAGGCAAGAAGTGTTAGGAAGCAAATAAATACCTGAGTTTCATAGAATGAGGATAAGTATGAAAGACAGTAAAAGAGTGGCAGAAAGAAGAGGTGAGAGATATATCTTAACTAGGTAATCAAAGAATGCAAGTGTGTCCAAGTAACTTAAAGGGGGAAAAAAAAAACCAACATACCTCAATTTGAGATGTATCAACCCCACAACATGGGACCTTGAAATATGCTGGCCAGTCTTGCTCACTAAGCCTGTCCTCTGATTTGTAATTAAGGCTATGTGGAGGTGGGGTGGGCCCAAGGTGTGCCTATTGAGAGATTGGGAAAGGAAATTACATATGCCCAGACAGTATTACTTAAAAGCATTGAGTACATCAAAACTTTAAGAAATTGCAAATATAACACACCAATGACCAACTAAACACATTTTTTAAGAGTTAATAGTTTCTAAGGCTGATAGTAGCCAACAGCTAAATAAACTTTGGTGAGAACTAAAGTAACAAAGTGGGAATAACTGAATAATTTGCTGATTGATAATGGATACACTTTTGCCCTGCCTAGCTCAATTTCTTACTCCCTTTTCTTCCACTTAATATGACACTTTTAACTGCTGTTAGGGAATACTAATCACCCCCACCCCCATCCTCCCGCCCCAGCCCCCCGCCCCGCTCCCTTGCCAAGTATAAGAAGCTGTGGAGAACACAAAAGTTAAGACATACTCCTTGCTCACAAGTTTACAATCTAGTACAGGAGATAAGCTATGAACAAAACAACCTTAACAAAAACAGAATAGGAAAAGAAACAAGAGCAGAATTCCATACAACTTAGAGATCCCTTCCAGCCAGTATGGTTTAGAAAAAAAAAAAAGCTTCTACACCGAGGCACTCTCACACTGAGCGTAGATTATATTCCTAGAGAAGTAATACAGTTTGACTGGAACATAAGGGAAGATGTACATAGAAGAACCATCAATGAAATGGATGCAGTGGTTGATAGGAACTATTATAAAAGTAAGGGCCCTATACTCCACTACAAAGAGTTGCTATTTAGCCTGTTATCTACCAACAGTCCAAACTACCAAAAGCTTCTCAACAGCAGTAACGTCTGATCATTATTTTGCTCCAAGAAGATTTATCTGGCAACAGTATGACAGATGGACTGAAGTGTGAAAAGACAAAAGCAGGGTCCAATTAGGAAGACATTAAAATAGGCCGGGCATGGTGGCTCACGCCTCTAATCCCAAAACTGTGGAAAGCCGAGGCGGGCAGATAACCTAAAGTCAGGAGTTCGAGACCATCCTGGCCAAAATGGTGAAACCCCGTCTCTACTAAAAATACAAAAGAAGTTAGCCAGGTGTAGTGGTGCATGCCTGTAGTCCCAGCTACTTGGGAAGCTGAGGCAGAGGAATCACTTGAACCCAAGAGGCAGAGGTTGCAGTGAGCGGAGATTGTGCCATTGCACTCCACCCTGGGCAACAAGAGCAAAACTCCATCTCAATCAATCAGTCAATAATCTGGGTAAATTACTGGCAATACGGCTGGAGAAAAAAAAAAGGACAAGATACAGAAGATACTGTGAAGATAAAATCAAGGGGACCAGAATGACTGTAACAAATGAGAAGTGTCAACAATGACACTAAAGTTCTAATAGTCTGAGCACAGGAAAATGGTAGCATTATCAACAGAAAGGGGGATGAACTAGTTTGTGAGAATATATAGCAAGTTTAGTATGGGGGGAACAGCAGATCATGCAGATAACCAGGCAACTGGAAATGTTAGAAAACAGACTGATACTGAAGTTATCACATCCAGCAGCCATCTACACAGACCTGAAACAAGAGATAAAACAAGTGGCCAAGGTTAGTATCTCAGGGGATATCCATGGTTATTAGGGGAAAAGACAGAAGGAACAGCGTTAACAGGAGCATCGTGATTGTCCAACGTTCCACCTGATAAGGGAAAACAGTTGACAGAAGATAGGATGCTTGAGAGTTTTAAATGATCTAGAACAACAAGACTTATATTTAGGGTATGGTTAAAACCAAGTGAAATAGTAAGTAGAAGCAAATACAGTAAGAGCAAACCAAAAGGCATGGGAATAATAAATACCAAAATCAGAATAGTGCTTAAGGATGGAAAATGGGGAAAGGCAGATAGGGAGATTGACAGTGACTGACACAGTATAATTTAAATGGTAACTCTAGTCTTCAGATGTGTTTGTACATTATTAGTTCCTAAACTCGGGTCAATGAGTGTTCAACATAACATTCATGTATATTTGTGGCTAAAATATTTTATTAGGCTTTGTGTCATAAGAGTGAATGTCTTTGTAGACTGATAGGTATACAGAATCCATATTGCAGAGGAGTTAAGAAGTAAGCAAATTGTGAAGACAAAGAAGCAGAAAAGATAAAACATTCTTTGGAGAAATTCTGCAAAGAAAACAAGTAAGAGAAACGTGGTCTGAAAAGTTAGAGGAGCTCAGACAGGTTGTGTTCATAAGTTGGCAGTTTGTTTTTCACTACAGGGAAAAAAGAGACTATCACAGGCAAAGGGGATGAAGCCAAGAGAGAAAACGATATTGAAGATCTAAGCCAGAGGGAAAATGGTATGAAAGGGTCCGAGGAGAGAATATGATCAAGAGCACAAATGAAAAGGGTGCCCCTGGAGGGAGAAAAAAGAAACCCTTTTTTTCCCTCAGAAACCAAAGGTAAGAGATACAGAAAAAAAATCTGTGGTTAAGAAATACATATATTAAAACTGCTCATGTTAGAAAACCAATTTATTACCAATTTTTTCCACTAAACTGTACACTTCTTAAAAGAGACAGAATTTATCTTTCCTAATTCAGGGTCTAACAGGGTGCTCAATAAATAACAGCTACATGAACAAAATAATCATCTGAGGAAAGTTAAAGATGGGGCTATCTGCTAAGGGAGACATGATAGGAAGGAATCGAGGAGTACTAGAAGGAAGAAAACATTGGGTCCAACTGGAAAGGGTAAAATGAAACTCTGCTATAATCCCAGCACTTTGGGAAGCCGAGGTGGGCGGATCACCTGAGGTCAGGAGTTCGAGACCAGCCTGACCAACATGGAGAAACCCCGTTTCTACTAAAAATACAAAATTAGCCAGGTATGGTGGTGCATGCCTGTAATACCAACTACTCAGGAGGCTGAGGCAGGAGAATCACTTGAACCTGGGAGGTGGAGGTTGCGGTGAGCCGAGATCACGCCACTGCACTCCAGCCTGGGCAACAACAGCGAAACTCCATTTCAAAAAAAAAAAATGAAACTCTGAATCAGTAAGAAATGAGTAACAGAAATGGCAAATAGTAGAACTCAGCCTGGTTCCCACAAAAGCGTGAGAAATAATAAACAAGCTGACTGGGTCCAAGAAAGTATAGCTCAGAGTTCCCAGTTTGGGAAGTGAAATACTTAGAACCAGCAAGGAGTTCTGGACACAAAGAGAAAAATACCTTGCTCTAAAACATGCACCATGACAGGTGCGGTGGCTCACGCCTGTAATCCCAACACTTTGGGAGGACAAGGCAGGTGGATCACCTGAGGTCAGGAGTTCAAGACCAGCCTGGCCAACGTGGTGAAACCCCGTCTCTACTGAAAATACAAAAATCAGCCAGGTGTGGTGGTACACGCCTGTAGTTCCAGCTACTTGGGAGGCTGAGGCACGAGAATCGCTTGAACTCAGGAGGTGGAGGTTGCAGTGAGCTGAGATCACGCCACTGCACTGCAGCCTGGGTGACAAAGTGAGGCTCCATCTCAAAAAAAAAAAAAAAAAAAAAAGACAACAACACGTATACCTTGATGGGCAATAGTATGATATAAATCATTGTCATTATGCAGCATTCTCATAGTGTATAGTTCTTATGAAGAAAATAAAGTAAAACACTGAGAATTGATTTTGGATGAAATTACTTAGTCTTTGTTTAGGTTTTCCCAAATTCGAAGTGTTTAGTATGTAGTGGTCTAATGTCTATGAATTTATTTCTGGCTAGGAAATTCCCCAAAGCCAACAAAAATCAAAATACTTTATGCTATGTCACCTATGTGATTTGAACAAAGGCATAAAAGATGTGGAATAATTTCACTTCATTAATAAACATAAGACAAAGCTGAAGAGAGCCAAGTTCCACTCCTTATTGCCTGATTTCTGTCTCCAGAACTGCAATTGTGGTCCAAAGTCACACCAGCTTTCTGCCCAATTAGCAAGGTCTGCATTAGCAGAACTCAGCACTTCTAGTCCAGAATCCCTCTGGAGAGCAGGGAAATGATGGGTTCCATCACCTGGCCAACATCAGCAACCGCCAGAGTCACCTTAGGGACACAGACAAAGACATTCATCTACTATACTAGCAGCCCCTACAGCCTGCTTTCCTAACAGAGTCCTTTCTGTGAAGACCACTGTCTAAGTGACCTGTCATAGAGCTTTATAAAGCAGCATTAATACTGTGGGCCAAAATGAGATTGATCTTTGAGCTTCGTGGTCTCCTGTTGTCAACAGTGCATTATAAAACCAATACTAAATACTTTATAAACAGGTCTCCCTACAGTATATTAGAAAAACAGTGCATATTTCATGCCCCATAGTTAGGTAGCCACATATCCATCAGACTAATAAATTATTTATTAGGTGCTCAGAAGTGCAATAAGAGTCAATAAACTAACTTCTGGATACTTATAAGCTACTATTTCACTGGAAATTGTACCTGAATGAGAAAACTGTCTCACTAACTGAATGGGGGATGGAAACATCTCAGCTCTCTCAAGTGTACTGTCAGAAGGAAGCATGGACCTCATGAGTGAGAAAGGACAAAATCCCCACACCCTGAAAAGAGTCCTAGTTATTAAATTACCAAGAACCCATGCTCATTTCTTTTCTCTTGTGTATAGATTCCTCTGGTTCTACCATCCTTGGAGACAGCTCAGGGAAATAAAAATCGGTGGAAACATTTCTAACACACCCTGAGTCAGGCCAGATGACAACCACCAACGATGGCTTGCATTTGACATCTCCAAAGAAACTACACGATGACTTGAGTGTACAAGCTTTCTGCTACATGCATAGCACAGAATTTCGAATTTATTAATCTAAGGTTTAGAGGAGACTTTTTACTTTTTTTTTTCCCCATGTTTGGTTAAAGCTCCTAAGCCTACAGACACCCTGTGCTCTGTCCAACATTATAAGGCATCTCTTTCCTGGTTCTACCCCTCTGAAAGAGGACCTTCCATTCTAGAATGTATTCTAGGCCTTCAAAAAGGAATTTCTTCAGACGGAGTTATTTCTCAAACTATCAGAGGCGTGGACCTTTGTGTAGTATTGTGGGTGTCATGGTTTCACATGTTGGCCACATTAATACCGGAGAGCAAGCATCTGTAACCCACAGCTGTGTGTGCTCCAGCCCCAAAGCACCCGCAGGGCTGATGCCAATGCAAACCACTCTTCCCATCCCACATCTGAACCACACTGGTTTTCTTCAGGAGCCAGAGGCTGAGATACAGTTCTGAAAATGAAGGTTTGGGGTTCTTTCCATTCACATGATGGGTATAGGGTGTTGAGAGGAATACTGCCAGATGGACTGGCTCCTTTTTTCTCCCCCATTCCATACCAAGTGAGTAAACCATAAAGAGGCTTATGGTGTCAAAGGGTATTCCAAAATACCCCAGGGGAAAAACCTAAATGGATAAATACATAGATTTTGTTCACACTATTCTCGGTTTTTTTCCCCTACCATCTTATACTTTTATTCCTACAGACTGCAGTTTGTTTGTTTGTTTGTTTGTTTGTTTGGAGACGGAGTCTCGCTCTGTCACCCAGGCTGGAGTGCAGTGGCGCGATCTCTGCTCACTGCAAGCTCCGCCTCCCGGGTTCACGCCATTCTCCTACCTCAGCCTCCCGAGTAGCTAGGACTACAGGCGCCTGCCACCACGCCCGGCTAATTTTTTTTTGTATTTTTAGTAGAGACGGGTTTTCACCATGTTAGCCAGGATGGTCTCAATCTCCTGACCTTGTGATCCACCTGCCTCAGCCTCCCAAAGTGCTGGGATTACAGGCGTAAGCCACCACGCCTGGCCTAGACTGCAGTTTTTAAGGTTGAAAAATATTTTATGCTGGTATGAAAAAGTGGAACTAAAGGAAAAACGTGGGAGAGACTTAGTTTCACATCACTTTCTCAAAAAGACCTCCCAAATCCTACAAATAATGAATGCTAATGTAAAAATATAGGAGAAGACTGGTTTCTTGTATTACTTTTGCTACTACAACCAGTACTGCTAAGATGATTATTCATATTAATGAGTTTGGTATGTAGACAAACTATAAAAGACGCAGTCTCTGACCTCAAGTACTTATCTCTGTCTTCTGGGATTTACTCCTCCTGCTAGATTTACTTTTATTCTTCATACCCTTGCCCAGAGGAAGGGATCATCACTCAGGACTTGGAGCATTTCCATGGGTGGGGTTTAAATATGACAATGAGAAGAAAGAGAACTTTTGCCCTTGGACACAGACAACGTTGGCCCCAAAGCTCAGGATGTCTAGTTTGTGGCAAGGAGAAATATAAACTCCCTGTGAAATTTTTACACTGGTCTCACTGAGCTTTATCAGAAAAACTGTGTAAAATGTGAAAGCTTATAGCATTTCAGTGCTTTATCACATCATGCCCACATATGCAAACATATGTACATGAATGAACTAATAGTAAACAATTTCTCTTCATCCTTTATAGTGTTATTTACATTTTGTGTGTGTGCTTAGAGCATATATAGAAGAAACATATCCAGGAAATCAATTTTGCCAAGTGCTTAAGTGTCAGAGTTCTGCAGCGCAATTTCTTGGGTTTGAATAACTGCAGAACCTTTTACTAATTGTGTGATCTTGGCAAGTTACTTATCCAAAGTTCATCTCTGAAGTGGAAATAAAAGTACCTGTTCACAGAATTGTTGTGAAGGTTAAACATTTTTATTAGTGCAAAAGGTGTAGCCAAGCGCCTAGCATACAAGTACTAAAGTATCAGTTGCTGCGTAGGTACGTGTGTGAAAAGACATTTCAAAGTAGAAGACCACAGGCCAAGTTTGGCTTCAGATGTGTTTTGCTTGGCTCCTCCTAAGTGAGTGTGTATGAGTGTGCATATGTTTAATTAATGACCAACATGTAAAACACAAGAAATTTTAAATTAAAATATGGATATTCAGCTGCTGAGGGAATGGGCAGGGAGAGGCAAAAGGTGAGGCGTTAAAGAATTAAAGATATGGTAACAGAAACGTATGTTCCTTCCTGACAACAATCAGCAAGGGAGGAGTAGAAACTACTCTCTGCAGCACGTACTTTCATTTTATACCCTACCAGGTTCTCGCAATTCCTTTACTTGCCTGGCCACTATTGCCATCTAAGTTCATGATGCCTGGCCTACAAGCATCCATTAGCATATATGGAGAGTTCATTCACACATAAATGAAAGTCATATTTAAATAAAGTATCAAGTACCAAAATGTTTTCTATTATGCCTGTCTCTGATAAAAATAACACTGAATTGCATTCCATTACTTTTCCGTTTTCCTAAACCCTAGATTGTTTACTGTAGTATATATATAAGGAATAAGTAAACCCATTACATGTGACTGTATCAGGGGCCCTGCTGGAAGTACAGACATGGGCTTTGAGACAGCTATTTTTTCAGTAACAGTGGTTCTCAAATATATTTGCTTTAACTAGGGGAGACCTTTTTTGAAAAGAAAAAAATATTGATATTGTGAATATGAGACAAGTCGTATAAAGCCTGGGCTCCTTGGCTTCTGCAGCCTTACACACACAGAATTGTAAGGTCATACCAAAAAATCTTAGGAAACAGATCTAATCCCATTGCTTTACTATACAATCAAGGAAACTGAGGCAAAGTCAAAGAATAAACTGGTAGCAAAGCCTGGACCATTTTTCACGAATTGGTTCTCCTAACTATGTTTACACCGGAGCTCAAAGCAGTCACCCAGGAGGTTGATAATCTAGTAGTATACCAGATTTACTCTTTGCGACTTGTGAGAACTGACTATTAAATTTTTAGGAAACTTACAAGCCAGTTGACTTCATATTGGCCATGTTGAACCTGACTGCAATCAGTGTCAGAGCCCCCCACATTTAACCCTATGAATCTTATTAAACTCGTTTTTGTTTTTTGTTTGTTTGCTTTTTGAGACAGGGTCTTGCTCTGTCACCAAGGCTGGAGTGCCATGGTCCAATCTCTGCTAACTGCAACCTCTGCCTCCTGGGTTCAAGGGATTCTCGAGCCTCAGCCTCCAGAGTTGCTGGGATTACACCCATGTGCCACCACGCCCGGCTAATTTTTGTATTTTTAGTAGAGACAGGGTTTCACACCATGTTGGCAGACTGGTCTCGAACTCTTGGCCTCAAATGATCTGCCCTCCTCAGCCTCCCAAAGTGCTGGGATTGCAGGCGTGAACAACCGCGCCTGGCCTAAACTTAAAATTCGGCCAGGGGCAGTGTGGCTCAGGCCTGCAATCCCAGCACTTTTGGAGGCCGAGGCAGGCGGATCATGAGGTCAGGAGATCGAGACCATCCTGGATTAACATGATGAAACCTGTCTCTACTAAAAATACAAAAAATTAGCCGGGCGTGGTGGCGGGTGCCTGTAATCCCAGCTACTTGGGAGGCTGAGGCAGGAGAATGAAGTAAACTCTGGAGGCAGAGCTTGCAGTGAGCAGAGATTGCACCACTGCACTCCAGCCTGGGTGACAGAGCAAGACTCCATCTCAAAAAAAAAAAAAATTAATCCATGTAATTGAAAAAGAATTATACTTTCCACCTAACAGATATTAAAACATCTGAAATTCTTCCCATTTTTAAAATATACAAAATATCACACCACGCAAAGAAATACAAAGTATACTACGAAAGTACAGATTATTAAAATTTTACAAGCACAACCACTGCTTGAGATGTTGACATTTGGCCAAGTTAGGCATCTTCACAGGGTACATAAATAATTAATTGTCCTTGTACCCGCTTCTAGAGATTTGAGAAATTTCATGAAAAGTTTCAAGAAAACCAAGCCAGACTCTTAAGAATTACAGAATAAATCTACACATAAATGTGGACTTCTTACTATGTACAAGACATTGCAAGTTTTATAAAAGATACAATTAACAGTAAAATCTCAGCATCCAGAGCTCTTAGGAAATTAATCATTCTGGAAGGGCACAGAGTCAAGGAGATGGAACTTTATATTTATTGAGCACCTGTTGTGTGCCAGGTACTATGCAAAACATAAAAGATTTTTTCATTCATTCTTCACAAGTCCTCTGAGATAGGTATTATTATTCTCATTTTACCAATAAGGAAATCGAAGCTAAGAGAGTTTAGTCACTTGGCCGAAGTCTTATATTAAGGGTCAAACTGGGAATTCAAGACCAAGTTGGTCTGATTTCAAAATATGTGCTCATCCAAATATCCAGCATTGCCTCTCCAGGTTTCTACCATTTTAGACAAGAATTTTCTGAAAAGGTGCTGCCTATTACCCTGTTTTAAGCAGGACATATCTTTCTTGATAATTAAACATCAATTAATATCTGGTAATATCTTTAGGCTTCTAAGTGCTTAGGGCTTCCTACTTGACTTGGCATGGGAAAGAGGAGCTCTGGGAAGGCTCTGTTTTCTTAAATTCAACTATCTACCATTTTATCCTTTCATAGTTAGTTATAATTATTAATTGTTTGCCTAACATTTGCCTTCTTCCCAGTTCTAGAATTTGCTATTTTATTTTACTATGAATCTTTCCAATGGAATATTAAGTAGTCATTAAGAAGAATGGAAAAAAAAACTGTAAATACAGATAAACAACATCTCCAAACAAAACATGAGTAAAAGGCAAGATGCAGAACAGTAAATACTGTGTACTATCATTTATGGAGAAAGAGAAAAACAGGAGAAAGAGAGAGTAGAAAAGAAAAACTGAGGAGGTAACAAATACTTCTAAAATGGGGCTAAGCTATTGCTAGAAATACCTTTCAGGATCTGGCAAATAAGTCTGGGTGTGATGGCTCACGCTTGTAATCCCAGCACTTTGGGAGGCCGAGGCAGGAAGACTGTTTGAGCCTAGGAGTTCAAGACCAGCCTGGGCAATATGGCAAAACCCATCTCTACAAAAAATACAAAAATTAGTTGGGCATGGTGGTACGTGCCAATGGTCCCAGCTACTCCAGAGGCTGAGGTGGGAGGGTCACCTGAGCCCGGGGTGGTCGAGGCTACAGTGAGTCCTGAGCGTGCCACTGCACTCCAGCCTGGGAGACAGAGTGAGACATTGTCTTAAACATTTAAAAAGAAGGAATCCAGTAAACAGAAAAAAAGGAGAATTTGCCCGGGTGCAGTGGCTCATGCCTGTATCCCAGCACTGTGGGAGGCCAAGGTGGGTGGACCACTTGAGGTCAAGAGTTCGAGATCAGACTGGCCAACACGGTGAAACCCCATCTCCACTAAAAATACAAAAATTAGCCAGGCATGGTGGCAGCCGCCTGTAGTCCCAGCTACTCAGGAGGCTGAGGCAAGAGAATTGCTAGGACCCAGGAGATGGAGATTGCAGTGAGCCAAGATCAGGCCACTGCACTCCAGCCTGGGCAACAGAGCGAAACCGTCTCAAAAAAAAAAAAAAAAAAAAAAAAGCAATGGACCATTTGTTTTCTCTGTGTAAGCTTCTGTACTTTTTTTCACTTTTTATACTATATATATATATATATATATATATATGAAATTAACAAAATAAAAAAATTAATATATAATGATGGCCCTGAAAACCAAAGAGAGTTTTGGAATTTTCAGGTTCTAAGCAATATATGGGGGAATGACTATCTTAGAAATTCAGTATGTAAGCTTGTAAGCTTTGTTTCATTCTCCAGGATGCTCAAAGCACAGTTCCTGCCTGCTTTTCAACTGTGCTCATATTAGCCCAGTATGAATATTTAAAACAAAGTCCTCTGATTTCACATCATTTACAGTATAGCTGGAGAGACTATATGTAAATGTACAAGTTAAATAAAAGATGTAAATAAGCACTCTCTTACAAAAGTAGAAGTCTACAAATCAGTACACGTGTTGTTAGTTATAATATATCCAGGAACATACGTTATTTGGTTAAAAGAGCAATTTGAGCCAAGATTCTTAGACTAAGGAGAATATCAAAAGGCAAAGAGAAGAGAACATTCCAAATGGGTGGGGGAAGCACGAATAAAAGTATAATAATCCCAGCACCCTGGGAGACCAGGGCGGGAAAGTCAACAGCTTGAGCCCGGTTGTTTGAGATCAGCCTGGGTAACAGAGTGAGATCCCATCGCTACAAAAAAATTAAAAATTACCCAGGTGTGGTGGCACATGCCTGTGGTCCCTACTACTCAGGAGGCTGAGGTGGGAAGATTGCTTGAGCCTGGAAGGCTGAGGCTGCAGTGAGCCATGATTGTGCCACTGCTCTCCAGCCTAGGCAAGAGAGAGAGATCCTGTGCTTTAAAAAAAAAAAAAAAATAGTGTAAGGATGTAAAGATGCACTGTTCCTTGGATAGATGAAAGATATTATTTAATAAGACATGAGATTAGAAAGCGTATATACAGGCAAACTGTAGAGGCCTTGAAATTTGGACTTCAAATTTCTGAACACAGTAGTTAAGTAACAGAAGTTATGTTTCATCTAGGAATGGTGAATGCAGCAGAAAACAGAAGTATTAAATTAGGGGATTTGTTTGTATTCAAATATTCCCCTAGAACATAAGCTCTAAGAACGAGGAATTTTATCAGTTTTATATTCATTTACACTGCATGCATTTACACTTGAAACTATAGTAGACACTAATAGGAAATGGACAGCCCATCACAGAGCATGAGGACCTAAACTAGGTAATTGTGAGAAATAAATTAACAATTTAGAGTTTTGTTTTCTGTTTTAAAGAATCTACGAGAACTGATACCTAAAATAATTTTAGCTCTAAGGGAAAAGAAGCAAAAGATAATTATAGGATTTCTAGTTGGAAAAAATGGTGAAGGTAGAAATATAATTTGATACTTATATTTGTACCAATACATGTACTATACAGTTAAAATATTTCTACCTAAAAATATTTTCTGAAATTAAAAATGGCTGAACACTAAAATTATGCTCTATCTTCAATTCTCTACCATCTACTACTGACTGGCATCACACCCAACAGCATATGGCTTTACCACTCATCTCTAAACTAATGTCATATCATTCCCCTTACAGAACCTACTTTTGCCTTGCATTACGGAGATGTTAGACATCATCTATACATTTGACCAGTAGATCATCTATCCTGTCAGATGCGAATGGGCATCCCTCCAGAATGCCTGGCATACCCAATGAGCAAATGCAAGAGATCTCTCAAACAAACTCTAGAATCTGCCAGATTTCTACAACAGAATATCCTTCTTACTTAGGTCCCAAGTTCAGTATCTCTGAATTAGACCGTAACACATTCTTGCCAAAACCGCTGCCACCCTGTTTTCAACTCTTTGTTAATGAACGATTAAGCCTCCCACTCATCAAGGCTTGAAAGCAAATTCATGTCTGCTTCACCACTATATTCCTACCATGCTTGGCATGCTGCCACATATTCAGAAATGTTGAAAAATTTGGGTGAATGAATGAACACAAGATGAATAAATGAATGATTACAGTAACACAGAAGTTTCTGGGCTAGGGAGATGAATTCAGGAGATGCTTCCACTGACTGGTACTTCAGCGGCAATGGCAGGCATTGCTAACCAAGTACAGAGTTGTGTCTTTTTTCTCTGGCCCACCTCAGACTCTCAAAGCATTCACCAACCATCAGTCTAAATTCACCCACAAGATTAAATATATCTGTCATCCCAGAATTATACCTTTTTTAACATTCCAAATTGGTATCATTTAAAAAGCTTTTCCAGGTAAGCACAAGGAAAACATTTAAAACATCACTGAAGTCTAAAAAAAAACTACAAAACTGTGAAATAAAAAAAACTACAAAACTGTGAAAACTTAATTCTAAAATATTCTCTTAAATTGCATTGAAAATGGTTTAAAAAAAAAAAAACCCTAGTATATTGTGAGCACTGGAGTACTGGATGAGTAAATGTAAACTAAGGAGCTCATGCGTTCTCCATGATCCATTCAGCACACAAATGTTACATGCTTTCAAGGAAAACACAGTATCACATCTAAGAGATCAGCAATGAACTCTCTCAAGAAAAAGTCTTATCTTTGCTCCCTTTCAAGAAATCTCCCTATCTCTCGACTTCCCTTGCATTGCAGATTAATTTTTCTCAAAATAAAAGTAAATATCAAACACTGTGAAGAGTCATAAATCATATAAAAAGTTATTATTGTTCTAGAAATATAAAGCTGCTGTCCCCAGCACAAATATATATATGTGTATATATATATGTATGTATATATGTATGTGTGTATATATATATGTATGTATGTGTATATATATATGTATGTGTGTATATATATATATATGTATGTATATATAAAATTAAAGATTTTTAACAATTATTTTCAGCCAGGCGCAGTGGCTCACGCCTGTAATCTCAGCACTTTGGAGGCCGAGGCAGTTTTATCACTTGAGGTCAGGAGTTCAAGACCAGCCTGGCCAACATGGTGAAACCCCATCTCTACTAAAATACAAAAATTAGTTGGGCATGGTGGCGGGCGCCTGTAATCTCAGCTACTCGGGAGGCTGAGGCAAAAGAATTGCTTGAATCCGGGAGGCAGAGGTTGCAGTGAGCCCAGATCACGCCACTGCACTCCAGCCTGGACAACAGAGCAAGACTCTAAAAACAAAAATATTTTCATCTTAATAACATAAAGATCCAGTTTTTTATGTACGGTAACTTGAACTCCTAGCTGAAGACTGTTCTAATAATTTCTTTTAAGAAATTACGTCTTTTAAAAAATAAGAGATCCGAAGATAAACTGGGTTTACATTTCAGATGATAAGCTGTTTTGGCTCAAAATTTTGTTTTGTTAAGTTATGTTTTACCAGTGCTTGAACATAATAAACAAACTACTATGAAAAATTAAAGGCTACAATATTTGCAAATGCTTTCACTTCCTTTTTAGATAGTCCAAAGCCTACTGCTTTAAATACAATTAACTATAACCTGAAAGTTTAGCTTCAGGGCACATTCAGACTGTATCTTCACAATATTAAAACAACTGATCAATGAAGTCAATGTGTTTGGGCGGCAGTAGTTAAGTCAAATGAGACGTTTCATGCTGTTGTACACAAAATAACCAGCTGACTGAAGCTGTGAATTAGTAGTTTAATCTTAGAAGTAAAATTCTTACGCAGTCTTAGAGAACAAGTCATTCTTACAAATTACTTGGCAATCACACATTTTAAATACAGCCTCTCAAATTGCTAGATTTTTTTAATGACACACAAGTTACAAAATAATCTGTATAGTTTTCTTTTTATTCTAGATTCTCTCTCTAGAAACATATATATCATCAAGTAAACAAAATCGCAACAATCTTTTTTAAAATAAGAAAGAAAATACAATAACTTGCCGTATTTGTGCATTCCAAAGAAACTACAGGAGTGTGAGCTGGCACAGCCAATGCTAAATGTATTCCACATGGTTATTAGCCAGTAAGTTTTGAAAAAGGGAGAGAAAATCTGACACTTAGGGTTTCTAAATGAATACAGTGCACTACATTCACTCTCAGTTATGATTCTGGATGCACAGTTTAATATGATTAAAACTTACAGAACTGCACAGAGCCTAATGTCAGGATGTTTCCATGTCCCTCAACATCATATGAATATCCCAGGTCAAATATAACATGACACTAAAGGTCTGGAAGCAAAGTAGATGACCTGAAACTGTGTATTTTAACAGATCTCATTGACTCTTCTTTTCAATGACTGTGGGACAAACACAGCAGTTTGAATAGTAACAATGGCTGTTAAGGTAAAGCTTAATCCCAAATGTGTAAGCATAAAACTACATTCTTCAAAAAGATTTTAGAGTATATTTTATTAAATCCTGAAATGCATGTCCTGGTAAATTTCTATATAAATTTGATTTACAAATTCCAGTGAAAATGTGCCACAGCTGGCAGAATAAATTACTGCAATAAATCATTATTAAATAACTGTAAATCTTTGTAATGACATAAAGCCTAACTTTTAAAAGTATGCAGAAGTCAACATTTGGTTCAAGAAAAGCACTCTTCACACGGGAAAGCAAATTACAAAACTTATCATGCCAACACTACAATGTGATTCAGTGACTAAACAGGGAAATAAAATTCACATAAATAGTGCTTAAATCTACAGTGGAGTTGTGTTCACTATTGCATCAAAACAAATTGTATGGCAAGGGGTAAACAGACTCAAGTTTTTAACAGTATCAATCACACTGCCAACGGGTAAGTCTTACATGTACAGCTGGATCCAATATTTTGTTAGACAATAAAAGCATATTCCAGGTATCAATCAGCAAGCCCAGTATGTCCCTTCTCTGAAGCTTCATAAATATTTCTTCAAAATAATCTATTTTTCCACCACCACCCTCTCTTCCATATAGAACACCATCCTACTTCAAAATAAACTTTAAAAATATCTATACAGAGTTCTATTCTTTTTGATGTGGAGCAGATGGGTAGTTACAGTAATCCATACTTTAGATATCACTTGAAGTGAATCACACTGAATGTCTATGCCTTACTGAGCGCTGTGAAGCCTCCATATGCCAAAGTGCAGACACTTGGTACTTGTGTCACAACCAATGGGGTCCATGGCTCCAGCCCAGATGGGCTCCAGCAAAGCAAGAAGCCTCAGAGTGCTCGCTTATAGCCTGTAATTGCTGCCTCTGTCTCTCAGAAAGGGTAAATTATTAACCGACACTCTCAGAACTGTCTAAGATAAACTCATTAGAACTGGTGGTCTACAGAATATTTCACACTGCCAGTTGGTAAAATCTTTGTCCAAGGCATCACTGCCTACCTTTTTATGTATTTATCTTCAGCTCACAGTCAGTCATCACAAAATGAAATGTCCCTGAGCGCCATTTCTACCTATTTTCCTACTTGCCAAACCCCAGAGTTCCCTAAAGTGTCTCTGGATAAGAACCTTTGCCTCCTCCACCAAGTGCAGAATTTATCAGTACATGAGTCTGATTCAGAAAAGTTGCCCCAACCCAACAAACTTGCAAACTGACCTGTCCGATATAATAAAGAGCAAAGGTCACTGCTATTTTAATCCAGATCTAAATGTTCTTGTAAATACAAATGGGAGGGTCTTTCCCCCACCCCATATTTCATTTTCCAATTATAGGTTCAGTTATAGATTCAAATAGTCATTTTTTTTTCTTTTTTCTTGAGACAGAGTCTCGCTCTGTTGCTCAGGCTGTAGTGCAGTGGCACAATCTCGACTCACTACAAGCTCCACCTCCCAGGTTCAAGCGATTCTCCTGCCTCAGCCTCCTGAGTAGCTGGGATTATAGCCACCCACCACCATGCCCAGCTAATATTTGTAATTTCAGTAGAGATGGGGTTTCACCATCTTGGCCAGGCTGCTCTCGAACTCCTCACCTCAGGTGATCTGCCTGCCTCAGCCTCCCAAAGTGCTGGGATTAGAGGTGTGAGCCACCGCGCCCGGCCCCAGCCATCTTGTTTTCAATATGCAGCAACTGATTCACTAAGATCATTATTAAATGCATCCACCCAAGAAGCACTTGAGGGCCACAGTCAGCTATTTCTTCCCAACAAGATACTTCCCCCTTCACCTCCACTTCCAATCCACACAAAGCCATTCTCCACATATTGCCCACACTTATGGGAGAGCAAAGCATCTGTGCTGTGGCCTCAAAACCTGACACATTCCAGACCAAATAAATACACCAGAAAAAGGATACCTGACTCTGTAAAAAGGTATAAACATCTAGAAGTTATGTGTGGAAATAACTGAAAATATTTCCAAATAAGCAACAGTTCAAAAAGAGAGAGCAAGAGAGCATGAGAAGACACATGGCCTCAAATGGAGGGAGGCAGAAGCACACTGGGTGCAGGAAAACAGTCCACAGGAGACCCAGGGGACTGAAGAGAATGCATAATCAGTGAACAAAAGGAAAGGAGGCTGTGGGGGGACACCACCTCAGAACATACCCTATTAACAGAAAAGGGCAGGAGTCTAGATTACAAGAGTAGGTGATGTAAACTTTTAGCTACATTATCCAGGAAAAGTAGTCAAAAGATGAAAGTGTCGACCACTGCTGCGCTTAACCATTAGGGTAATATCACTATGCTAACTATGCAATTATATGACAAAAGAGATGACCCCCCCATCCTTTCTTCCCCATCCCACCGTTCCATGTCCCTAAGCTACCCAGTACATTCCCAGGGTTCAGTACTACCTGTTGACGGCTAGTAAATGTCTATATTTAGCCTAGATCTCCCTTCTCCACTATGAATGCACTCCTGTCATTTCCGGGGCAGTGTCTAATAGAAACTTCAAACTTGACATCTTCCCAAGTGTCTGTCTTATTA
This sequence comes from Homo sapiens, assembly GCF_000001405.40. Lineage (NCBI taxonomy): Eukaryota > Metazoa > Chordata > Mammalia > Primates > Hominidae > Homo > Homo sapiens. Next base: position 16,755,743 of record NC_000009.12, read on the forward strand.
CTCCTCAAATCTGCTCCTCCTCCAGCGCTGCCTACCTCAGTAAATGGCACCATCTGCTATTGAGGGCTTGGAAAATGATTTTCTCCATTTATAAAAGACCATTTTATCCTTCTCCGCTTTTCTTAGGAGTGTTTCCTTGGAGACATTGTGAATCTGAGTCCTTACTCTAACCTTTGGAACAGAGATAAATCTCTCTAAGGATTAAGTTCAGTCTCCAGTTTTTACAATGTAGAGATACGTCTAAGTCATGTGCCAAACCAACGCTAGATATGTGAAAAACAACCCTCTGGGATTAACTCAGGTGTCTCTCATGAGATGTACAGAAGACTATCAAAAGGGACAACCCTTTCTTTGTCTCTCAAAGGGATGAGAAGTTATTAAGAATATACTTTCTTCTGCTGTTCTGTATTAACTGTGATTTTGTCCCCAACTTCATAGCCACTTTTGAGATATCTTACATACCTGCAAAATCTTTTTATGCCTACTCAATAATAAATTATATTCTCTCTCTCTTCGCTGTGGATAATATGTCTTTTTTGTTGGCATGATTATTTTATTTCCCCAACTACCTCTCCCTGCCTCTCTGACACCCCACATGCAGTCAACCTCCAAATCTTTCTAGTTTATCTCCTAACTGTCTCTGGATCTATCCTCCATTCCTCTCTCTATTACTCTGGTACAGACTCTCATATTTTGACAGCTGAAATAGCCTCCTACCTCAGCTTCTTGGAGTCACCTTTTTCTCCCTTCCAATACATTCTTCAAATTGCAGCTGAGGTTCCAAAATCATTTAAGAGGACCCTGTAAGATTTGATCTCTGCCAACCTAACCATCTTATCACCTTCTCACAGTGATCTCAGATTTTCTCTGCTCCAGACATTCTTTCTTTGCTTTAAAGCTTTTTTCTTTCCTCATTCCTGAACCTCTCCCCTTGCCTTCAGAAATGGTTTCTTAAACTAGACCTAGGCTGGGCACAGGGGCTCACGCCTATAATCCCAGCACTTTGGGAGGCTGAGGCGGGGAAATCACAAGGTCAGGAGATCAAAAATATCCTGGCTAACACAGTGAAACTCTGTCTCTACTAAAAATACAAAAAAAATTAACCGGGCATGGTGGCAGGTGCCTGTAGTCCCAGCTACTCGGGAGGCTGAGGCAGGAGAATGGCCTGAACCCGGGAGGTGGAGCTTGCAGTGAGCCAAGATCACACCAATGCACTCCAGCCTGGGCAACACAGCGAGACTCTGTCTCAAAAAAAAAAAAAAAAAAATAGACCCAAGAAGGTAACTACCTATTCCTAAAGTGCCCTGTACTACTTTCCAACACTAGTAATTACTTAATTTCTTTCTTATGGGTCAATAAGCACCATGATGGCAGGGCTCTTTGAACCTATATCCCCAGTGCCTAGTACAGACAGACTCAATAAATACTTCTGATTGAATGTTCCAACATACTAGCCATGAAAGTAGACAAGCAGCTTAAAAGCTATTTAAAAGCATGTAGATTTACCTAATTTATTATACGTATTTACAGTGATCTTAAATCTCTTGCTATATGGTACAACATCTTGAATCCTGTCATTTTCTAACTAAATAGGAAACGATTATCTGAAGAATCAGAACTCCCCATCACCACTACTTTCTGGCTACCATCAGTGTCCAGCTTATCAAGACAGAGATAAACTCACTCATGCCCTGGCGCTTGAGTCCAATAAACCCTTGAGCAATTTCTTGACAACTGTCGAACATGACAGAAATCGAAATGTGAGAAATATCTGTCAAAAGTTTGGAGATACTTCTTAAGACCTAACACACTTACATTCCTACATTTCCTTAAGCCCCTTTCTCAAAACTCCATTGTTAACAACAACATTAACAATAGCTAATGAAAATGTTGACTATGTAATTTTACTGTTTCCAACAATTATTGACTGCCTACTATATTCCTGGTACAATGGTAGCAAAGCAACCCTTGATTTTAAAAAGAAAAAAAAAAAGCATACTTGCAAGGTCGCATCAAGTTCGTTCTGTTATTTAAAAGCAAAATTAATTGTAACAATCCATTATAATAAAGTCTTATAAATTACAATTTTATATGCAAGCAAATAGCTTTTTGTTCCTTTACAGTATTTAGAGAGTTTGGTGATAATTTTATTCAAGAAATTACAAACACAAAGCAAGGTATATTAGTTTTCTATGTCTACCCTAAAAAATTACCACTAATTTAGTGGCTTAAAACACACAGTTCTTATCTTACAGTTATATTGGTCAGAAGCCTGACAGGTCTCACTGGGCTAAAGTCAAGATATCAGCAGGGCTGCCATCCATTTAAGAGACTCAAAAGCAGAATCTGCTTCCTTGTATTTCTCAGCTTCTATCCGCCACCAGCATTCCTTAGCTTAGGGCCCAGATGCTCCATCTTCAAAGCCAGCAATGTTAGAGCTCTCTTACTATTCTTCCATGGTCATCTCTCTCTGACCACAGCTGGGAAAAGTTCTCAGCTTTTAATGATTCATGTGATTAGACTGGGTCCACCTAGAAAATCCAGGAATATCTCCCTCATCTCAAGGTCCTTAACATTAGCCGCGTTTGCAAAGTCCCTTGTCTTTCCTTTTTTTTTAGATGGAGTTTCACTCTGTCGCCCAGGCTGGAGTGCAGTGGTGCCATCTTGACTCACTGCAACCTCTGCCTCCAAGATTCTCCTGCCTCAGCTTCCCAAGTAGCTGGGACTACAGGTGCACACCACCACACCCGGCTCCTTTTTGTATTTGTAGTAGAGACAGGGTTTCACCGTATTGGCCAGGCAGCTCTCAAACTCTTGACCTCATGATCTGTCCACCTCGGCCTCCCAAGGTGCTGAGATTACGGGCATGAGCCACAGCGCCCAGCCCAAAGTCCCATTTCTTATGTAAGATATATATTCACAAGTTCTTAAAAGTTGGTCATGCTTGGGTGGCCATTATTCTATTGACCGCACAAGACATACAAAAATGTTAGGTTAGCATTCTACACTGAGAATTAATAGCATTTCTAATTATCTGGTATTTAAAAATCTGCCAATTTAATATAAGGCTAAGGCACAATATATCCATCAATCTTATTATCACAATCAAAAATCTTTGAAGAATCAACTGGTTGTATTTATACTCACAGATGTAAAATTAAATCAACCTTTTAAAAATATTGTTTAAATTATCTTTCATTTGAATGGGAAAAGTATTCTACGGTCAAAGTTCATGTTTTTGTTATAAACACAGATTCCTAAGGAAATTTGTTCTGATTTTTAGCAGTAATAAATTCCAGGAAACTAATTCATTTAAAGTAGGTTATAACACTTAACTTCATGGTAATCATTTTCAGTTCACACCAAAAACCAACGTACAGAAATGGATTACAAGTTACTACTCCAACAGCTGGCTATAATCTCACACTTCTATAATAAGAAAGATATGATTTCATACAAAAAATCGAGGCAATTGGAATTGAGGCTTAATTCACTAATTGCTTTTACTATTTTTGTACTTTGTTATGATAAGGGTCTTTTTCCACAGAAGTCAAGGACCACAAATTAATTTTGTTTTATTCAAGAACAGTATGTTTTCTGTATAGATATTAGAGAGGACTTTAATGGAAAGTATGGTAACTTTTAAGATTTCAGGAGGAGGAAAACCACCAAATATATTTTCCTTAATTTTTTTTTACACTGAAATCTTATTGTCTTGATAGAAGTTTATAAACTGAAATGAAAATTAACACTATCTATATGACTCAGTGTTAAATCCCTCAAAATACATAGGAAGAAAAAAGGAATACTAAACATAGCTTGAAAACAAATCAAGAGAACAATCATTCTTAACCATGCCATTTATATATAATTCCATTTTATTGGTATCTATTTTAAATCTGTGAAGGCATTCTACAATCACAACTGAAGGTAGAAGTCACATAAATATCATAGAATACCTCAATTTTTGGAGACATAAACTATTTTTTTTTTTTTTTTGACACAGAGTCTCGCTCTGTCGCCCTGACTAGAGTGTAGTGGCACCATCCCGGCTCACTGCCTGCTCCGCCTCCCGGGTTCACACCATTCTCTTGCCTCAGCCTCCCGAGTAGCTGGGACTACAGGCACCTGCCACCACGCCCGGCTAATTTTTTGTATTTTCAGTAGAGACGGGGTTTCACCGCATTAGCCAGGACGGTCTGGATTTCCTGACCTCGTGATCCGCCCACCTCGGCCTCCCAAAGTGCTGGGATTACAGGCGTGAGCCACCGCGCGGGGCCAGAGACAGAAACTCTTACGAGCTAAGTATTTTCTGAATTTTATTTGCAGTGAGAATGTATAGGAAATAGCTATAATGATACTTCCATGGGGGAAGGCAGGACAGGAGAGGGTCCTATCAAAGACCATCTAAGTATACCACCAAGTAATCAGCTTCATTTTAAAACTAAGCCAAAAAAGACAAATTCAATGTAACCTCCTCAAGGTGAGTAGTATTTTTCAAAATACCACTGCTGTTCAGCAACTCTCAGAAAAATGTACCCACACTATTGGGTGGAATATAAATAGCTAAGTCATTTAATAATTTGTGCATCCACATATTGGGTCTAAATCATGCATTTTCAATAGGGGTGAAAAAATTTAGATATTACAACGGTTTATGGTCCTTTAAAGTTCAACCCTGCCAGACAAAATCTTATTCTTAGGATGTAATGAGGGCCTGGCTGGGAGGAGGTTGGATAAAATGCCTAAAAAGGCTCCTTAGGCCCTGATAGTGAAAAAAAGGTCCAATCCAGGATAAATCCAAGCCTGGTTAGCAACTACAGGGATATGAATACCAGGAGATCCCCAGTAATCTGCGTTAAGTCCATCTAATCCTACAGCCAACACCTCCACTGGTTCTAAGGCATCTCTAAGGATAACCCAGTTGGACCATGTAAGAAATCAACAAAAATCATCATAGTCCAATGAGTCATTTGTGAACTCACCAAAGGTGTATCTAACCACAGAGAAGGTGGCAAGGGAAATTAATTTAAATTGTGTTTGAATTCTAATGAACAGAAAACAAAGTTGCTGACAGGAAATTTGGGGAGGAGAGGGAAACAGGGGAAAAAATAATGAGTGCTGCAGCATTTCTTTAAAAAAAGAAAGAAAAAAGAAAAGTAGGTAACAATGAACCAAGAAGTTCTGTTATCCCTTATCCCCACTTAAGAATTTTCAGGGCCAGGTGCAATGGCTCACACCTGTAATCCCAGCTCTTTGGGAGGCTAAGGCAGGAGGATTGTTTGAGCCCAAGAGTTCAAGACCAGCCTGTAAAACACAGAGCGGCCCCGTCTCTACAAAAAAAAAAATACAAAAATTAGCTGGGAGTGGTGGCACATGCCTGTGGTCCCAGCTACTTGGGAGGCTAAGGCAGGAAGCTCACTTGAGCCTGGGAGGTTAAGGTTGCAGTGAGCCATGATTGTGCCACTGCACTCCAGCCTGGCAGACAGAGTAAGACCGTCTCAAAACAAAAAACAACAACAACAACAAAGTTTTCACATGTGGTATGAAAAGATGAAAAAATATTTCTGGTATAGAGGTAGCAATAGTTAGCTGCAATTTCAGAGGTAATTCCACTTGTTTTACTCTTGATGCTGAAAAACTAATATTATACCTATAGCAAACATACGTCTCTGATTTTCCACAACAATCCCAATTTCATATAATTGTATTCTTCCTCTTCAAGAAACTGATTCTAAAATACAAAACTATGATATAATCTAAGATTTTTCAAACAAACAAATCAATACCAGAAAATCCATTGTTAGACTCTTATGCTTTTGCGGGGAGAGGGAGTCAGAAAAGCAAACCATTCTATTTAATTTATAAAGCAACATACTCGTAAGTTCAGGATTCTAGTTATGGAAGCTGGAAAACCAAATAATAAATGATGGATGTCTTTACCAATTTATATTTATTTATGGCTTAATTATTCAGTACTCATAATTATTCCAGGGCTCCCTTAAATAATATTTTTGATGAACAGAAATAACTTACATTTCAGACCATGACACTCAACTGTCTTAAGTTCCACCTAACTACAAAGGCCCATGTTTGAGGAATTAGTGCTCTGTAGCTGATGAAATTGAAAATGCTACCAAGTTACATGTAAATGGTGGAGCAGAGTAATCAGTCCACAAATAAGGTAACAGAAGTAAAATTTATCATGATACTCAAAGTACCAAAAATTAAAAAGAATGAACATGGAAAGTAGCAAAACTTTTTAGCCAAGAAGAACCAATAGAGTCACCAACATCAGCTTCAGAATGTTAAGATAAAGGACAGGGTAGGTTACTTTAGAATAGTGATATTTGTGAGATCAAAAGAACCCATGCTCCAGGAAGCAAACTCTTCACTCTGGAAGGTGAGCGTTGATCCTCTATTTTTTCATGGACATCATCAAGTTGGTGCCATCCAAGGCCATATGGAAGTACCTCACCTTCTGGAATTTTTTATGAGGTGCAAGGGAGGAAGTATTTGAGATGAAATGCCAGAAGGGGCTGATGTAGGAAATACAATCATCTCGTACAAAATGCCTTTGAACACTATCCAAAGACATCCAGAGATCTTTACCCACCCTACCCCCAAATGTTTTTCTCTTTCCTAGTAAAACAGTATTTCGAAAAAACAAAGAAAATGAAAGTTGCAAGTGGGAATGAATCAAAGCCCACAATCCACTTCAAAACCCCTGGATGTGCACATTACAGAAAGGGGAGATCAGTATCCAGAGAGGCACAATGAACTTCCCACTTTAGGAGACCCAACACCAACAGCAGTTCCCAGGAAATAACACGAAGTAGACTACAGCTACCCCATTTGTCTCAATTTTCTATTTTCATTTTTGTGTTCCTGGTTTTGCTATTTGTTCTCCAAAGTAACAGACAGAGACAACGAGGAACAGAGCCTGGCTTCAAGAAGAAAGAGAAAGATAACCTGACCGCTTAAGGTCCTCTGTCAACTTCTGGATTCCACAGAACATATTCTGAGATGACTGTTTAGCATTAAAAAGTGCCCCCTTTGTATACAGCACTGTAATAAAATAACAGTAATGATAACAACAATGAAGAGGCCTTGCATCTAGTGCCTTATACCTTACTTAAAGTGCTTTAATGACTTTAATGGATTGAAGCATCCCTATGAGATCAAAGGCAGATAGATACTATCATTTCCAGTGTACATAATAGAAAATCAAGGAAGAAAGGTTAAGTGACTTGACCAAGACTCACTTATCAATACAGTGATGTTCTGATCACAGTTAAGGGGCTGCTAGTCCCTGTGCTGCTTAGATGGTCACTCAGCTCAACCTGCAGTTGAACCCAAAACGGCTCTCTAGCTGAGAGGTTATGGTGATAAGGGCTTTAGAAAAAAGATCCATTTAAACCTTGTTAGCAAAGGGCTCCAGAGAATGTCAGAAGATAAATTTATTTTTATAGAGAGTAATTCCGTTCCCCTCCATTTTTGTGGTCCATACCCCCACAAAATAGTACAATGCAAAATCACCTTCAGGGTCAGGCATGGTGGCTCACACGTATATTCCCAGCATTTTTGGAGGCCAAGACAGGAGTATCGCCTGAGCCCAAGAGTTCATGACCAGCCTGGGAAACATGACAAAACCCCATCTCTACAAAAAATCAAAAACTTAGCCGGCCATAGTGACATGCACCTGTGGTCCCAGCTACATGGGAAGCTGAGGCAGAAGGATCACTTGAGCCCAGGAGGTTGAGGCTGCAGTGAGCTGTGTTCACACCACTGCACTCCAGCCTGAGTGACAGAGCAAGACCCTGTCTCAAAAAAACAAAAAAAAACCATCATCACCTTCAGATGATAGTGATTTTATATGAAGTTAGGAAACAAATAAAACATACAGCATGAAGGGGTCAAGAGGGAGAACCCATCATTCAGGTCTTCTCCAGGCTAGTGGTGAGTGGCAGAAAACTACATAGCATGTTACTTTCCAATGATAAAATCTAACCTTCCTACATCCCATTCATTCTGCTAAAAATGAACACAACACACCCCGCAAAAGAATGCTCAAGTACCATGTCACAAAGGGTGGCAACATCATCTTTAACCAACACCTAGTGTTTGAAAACTACAGAGCTATATATGCACTGGTGTCCACCAGGCCCTCCTGCTGAACACTAATCACTCCCTACCGGAAGACTATAGCAAGTGGGGGGAAAACTAATCCTAACACAAAGTCCCTTAATGTCCCTTTACTACCTATTTATTTGAGTTACCAAGTATGTGACGAGAATTAAAATAAGAGCTGGGATTGGTTCCTAATAAAAGTTAACATTGCTCTCTCTTTCCCACCCACACAAAAGTAATTCTGTTTAGGAACTTTAATTTTTTTGGCCCCAACCCACCCTTGGGGTGTGTAGCTCACTCACTGCCAGTAATTGCTTCCATACAATTCTGTGTTTTAAAACATGTTTGCATACTTATGATGATACATGACATTTATATTACATTTGAAACTCCAAACAGGCATAAAGATTGTATTTTCTGCATTAAGAAACAGAGTCTATGCACGGCATACCAAAGTAGCCACTAGAAAAAAAGTGACCTCAATTTCATTTTTATTTTCAAATCTGTCAAATTGTTGGCCTCCTGAACTTTAAAAAAATTAAGTGGAAACACAAACTCATTCATCTGGTAAGTAACCCAACCTAAAAATCTGTGACAAGAGACCATGAGTATATATCCTGTCATGTACCCAAATTAATATTACCCAAGTCAATATGCCATAAATTGTATTGGTTAATAATCATTTTACTTAAGGCAATTTCATTGGCCCTTTTACAAGACTCACCTTAAATGTAACAAAAATAGAAAACATATAATAATTATAGCTCACATTTCCTTTCTTGAAACTACTAATATAACATTTTAACCCATGTACTAGCTCATTAATGTGGAATTATACAAATTGACATAACTTTACTTATTTGTCTGTTTTTTTTTTAATAAGAAGCAATTATCTTTCTACTTTAAAAATCAAATTTTAAGATTTGGTAGCTAAATTTGATAAACTGAATTTGTTCTTCACAATAAGCTTATGGTCAATGAAAGAACTCAAAATTATCCCAAAAATAAATGAGAGGGAGGGAAAGAAGGAGGGAAGGAGGGAGGAGGGATGGGGAAGAAGGGAAGGAAGAAAAAAGAAGGAGAGAGAGAACATCTTCTGTAAGGATACGAAACCCGCTGTGGCATATACTCTGATTTTTTGGAAGGTTATATCTTCCATCTTGGCTCTTGGTTTAGGAAGAAGTAACAACTCTTTAGAGTCAGACAAGGGATGAAGCAGCTAAGGACGGACGTTTGTACTATCCACACTCTATCGTACACAAATATTTAGTATTCTAGACCCATTTGAGGGATTTTTGTCTCTAATATGGTAAACATACACAAAGAGACAGTCTTATTAGGTAAAAACTAAAGCAATTAGAGGATGTTTTCTGGGGTCACAATGTAATTTTATGAATTGAAAATGTAATCAGATTTTATTCTGGCTAAGACTCCTAAAATGCAATAATAATTTGCTTAAAATATACACATAAGATTTAAGATCTATTTTGGAGAAGCAAAAATCCACCCCTGAAATGAAGGGATAAAAGCTAAATTTTGGTTTCTAAACAGATGGAAACAATATTACTCAATATTATTAAATCTGTTATTATTAACATTTTAGTCAAAACTAGTGCCTTTTAAATAGAAATATTTGACTTTAGAAAAGCAGAAATAATTTGACTTTAGAAAAGCTGAAATATGTTAGGTAATGAAATGCACAGAGTCACAGAATCACCACCTGGTCCCCTCCAAAGCTAAATTTTAAAACCAACCCCAAACTCTTTTGGTAAAAGTAACAGGTTTTTTTCCATGGGCTATAATCAGTCATGAATGATGCCTTAATTAAAGCTGGGCAATGAAACTGTGTATTAAGCTTAGTATGTGAAGTCAAAAAACTTACTTCTTAGCACAACAGGGCACTCTCGTAATTTTTTTTTTTTTTTTTTTTCTGAGACGGAGTCTAGCTCTGTCGCCCAGGCTGGAGTGCAGTGGCACGATCTCGGCTCACTGCAAGCTCTGCCTCCCGGGTTCACGCCATTCTCCTGCCTCAGCCTCCGGAGTAGCTGGGACTACAGGCGCTCGCCACCACGCCTGGCTAATTTTTTTGTATTTTTAGTAGAGACGGGATTTCACCGTGTTAGCCAGGATGTTCTCGATCTCCTGACCTCGTGATCCGCCCGCCTTGGCCTCCCAAAGTGCTGGGATTACAGGCGTGAGCCACCGCGCCCGGCACTCATAATTTCTTAAGTGTACCCTGTTAGGTCTCCATATTAGCAGAGATGTAAACGATATCACTTTTCAACCTTAACTGTGAATTTCTTCACTTTTAGTGCTTTCTGTCTCAACTTTAATGTGCTTTTAATGTAGTTTTTCCTGTGTGATATATCATACTTATCTCTGCAACCATCCATCACTGTTTCCTTTAATTGAGGTTAATTTCTTTCAACTTGGGGGAAGGTGGGAGGGATGAGGGGAATCCTCATTCTGCAGCTCTGAACACGAAGAGCATTCGCAGCTGCTGATTTTTTAATCATGAGGACTGATTTTCAGGATGCTTAAATTCCTCAAATCTGCCCCACTGCCCTCCAATCTGGACCTAAATCAACAATCTACTGGGATGGGAACCCAGTTCCCACCCAGAACCACTTAATGAAAAATTTCTATCTAACTAAAATCCCTCCAGCTGCAATCTAAGTCCTTTTGTTTATTTTCACTCAAATGGCTAACAGCTGGTACTACCTTCCATGCAAAATAATTTCATGTGTTTGAAAACAGTGATTAACTCATACCTTGGTCTTTACTTCTCCAGACCACAAAAATTAGTTCATTTCTCAAATCTTTTAAACATCTTCTACTTTTACCTCTGGGCTACAGGTCCTGTTGGAGTTTGGAATCATCAAATGGCCAGAAATAAGTGAAATGAATTAAATGGTTTGGGAAGGTTACTTTGCTTTTCCTGAAGAGTCTAGTGTAGGGGCTTTAGAGTGGGCTCTCACAAAAAGCTGGCTGGAGGTTGCCCTCCCCACACAAAAAAACAACTCCCCTACCCAGTTTTATGGAGTAAAGATGAACCAAAGAGAGGAAAGAGGGACTTAACAAGTGTAAATACAGAGCCTAACAATTTTTAAAGTCACCATTAAGAAGAGACTGGACAAAGGGTTTTGACATGCCAATCACTATCTGGCTACCTTACATGGCATAGTCTACCTAAGCATCTCTGAACATTATATACTTCATTCCCAAAGGAGAATCTAGGAAGATCGTAAGAGTGAGGGAGAGGGATGAAATGTACAGCCAACGTCAGCCCAGAAAGCCAGATGGTAGACTCTCTCCATATTATAGACCAGAAGCAACCAGTCAATTAAATCTCAAGTATTCATCAAGTGCCCAACACTCAGTAGGCATGCAATGAGTATTAAACTGAAATACTGGCAGGCTGGGGAGAACCTTCTCAGTTTGGGCAGTCCTCAGTACTGGGATAAAACTGGCTGGGGGTCAGTGCTCAGAGAGACACAAGGAAACAATTACATACAATGTGAAAGGCCCCTAAGGGCGGTACATGCTAAGGGATATGGGAGAGAAAACTCAAATCAGGCTAGTAAATTAGGCCAGGGAGGATTTTTTTTGTAGAGCTGAGCCTTTCCGGAGATCAATGCTGAGGACAGAAATGGCTTCAGAGTAGAGTCAGCCTGTATACAGAGTTGAGGGAGATTAGAAGCCAAATGAGGCACTGGGGAAAAAGTATGAGAGGGTTGTATGCTCTGCCAAGAGGTTCATATATTATCTATAGACAGTGTAAAGCCAAAATTTGCTGTGTTTTATTTCAAATTTTTATTATTGAAGTTTTCAAACATGTATTATACAAACGTAAACAGTATAATAGCCCCTCTGTGAGTCTCACTACCTAACTTCAACAATTATCAGCACATGGTCAGTCTTGTTTCACCTCTCCCAAAATCCCCTTTAGCTCTCTCCTCCACTGGATAATTTTAAAGAAAATCCAAAACATGACATTATTTCACTAGTGAATACTTCAGTAGCTATCAAAGACTTTTAAGATCCGACATGCTCAAATCTATCAGGGCAAGAAGTGAAGAGGCAGGTTATGCAATTTTTTTTTTTTTTTTTTTAGATGAAGTTTTGTTCTTTCACCCAGGCTGGAGTGAAGTGGCACAATCTTGGCTCACTGCAACCTCCACCTCCTGGGTTCAAGCGATTCTTCTGCCTCAGTCTCTCGAGTAGCTGGGATTATAGGCACCCACCACCACGCCTGGCTAATTTTTGTATTTTTAGTAAAGTCGGGGTTTCACAATGTTGGCTAGGCTGGTCTTAAACTCCTGACCTCACGTGATCCACCCACCTCAGCGTCCCAAAGTGCTAGGATTACAGGCGTGAACCACCATGACAGGCCAGTGTATGCAATTCAGACACAGAAGTCAGTAAGAGCCACCAAGTAGTGGCAGTGAAGGTAGGGAAGTTATGAGAGATGCCAAGGAATCTTTCCTTAAATCAATCTTCCTATTCAGAAGATGGTGAGAAAACGGGAGTGTTACAAGAAACTGAGGCAAAAGGGATTTGGATAATGGCAACAGAGACATTTAACAAGAATTGGAAATAAGGAAAAAATGCAGAGTTGGGGAGATGTGTTTAGTTTGGGATATGTTCAATTTGATAGACCAAATGCACATGTTAGTAGAATAAATGAAAATGCTAGGCAAAGAGATGAAAGAGAAAGAGCTGATCCAGAGAAGAGAATGAGGGGGGTGGAATCCAACCTAACTCAGTAAGTATTTGAAAACAGACAAGCAGCTGGGATAGGTACCAGAGAGACAGAGAAGTGGTCCCTACCCTCAAAGAACTTTTAGTCTAATTGGAGAAACAGAAAAACTGCCTACATAAACAAATGCAAAATTAGGATAAGTGCTTAAAAAGACAATTTATCAAAAGCGATATATGACTTGAAATAATGGAGACTAGACTAAGATCTTATTAAATCAAGCGTTGAATTTAAACAGGGTTCAGAAACGAGAGAAAGACAGAAAGCAGAGCAGGAAACCTTAAGAAACAGACAAATGGCGCAGACAGTGGCAGGAGAATAGAAGAGGGGAAGAAGAAGCTGAGAAGTAGGTAGGGGGCGGAACTTCCAGGTTTCTGACTTCCAGAGACCTGAAATGGGGAACAATGGAAGAGGATTAGGCAACATAAAAGAAAGCAACGGGTCTTCTGTAAGAATTACAAATAGGACCCTGGAAAAGCATAGTGCCTGCTGAGGCTGCAGCTTAAACTTGAAGTCAAAGTTCCTGGGCCTTAACAACTATATATGATTCAGACATATAGCACAAAACTAAGTGCGCTTTTTGTTTAAGTGTCTTGCCATGCCTACAGGTCTGCAGGCTTCATGAGCAGGGACCACGTCTGTTCGTGTCACTGCTGTACTGGAAGTTCTAGCACAGTGCCTAGCATAAAATAGGTGTCTAATAAATAACAGAGACATTATCTCATTTACTCCTCACAACAACAGGTTAAAGAAGAAGGATCATTCTCTCCCATTTTACTGACAGGGAAAATGCCACTCAGTCAGTGAAAAGACTAACAGTGTCACCTGGTTAATAAGTGATGGGGGTCACGTGACAGGACCCCAAATCAGGGACGGAATCATTGCACAGGCATGAGAGCCAACGGAAAGGAGAGCTCAGGGAGGCCATGCAGCTTAAAGGATGTGATGTCAAAGGCCACGGACCTGGGAATGAGACCAGGCTTGGATCTAAAAATCCCAGTGCTGCCTGCCCCTTACTAGTCACACCGCTTCCTCATCTACAAAATGAGGTAAGTAGTCTCCAAGTCGCCAGCTTAATGTAAAGAGCAAATGATGATGGATGTAAAGCATCTAGCAGAATGCCTGGCACACAATAAGCACTGGATAACAGCAAGCTCTGCCACCACTTACAAGATTCATGTGGGTGGAGCTTGTCATTGAAGCTTGCAAACGTGAGAAAACCCTGATGCTGTGAAGTATAGACCAACCTGTGGCATTTTCAGGCTCTAAGTGGGTGCTCCAGGATAAGTGGAGCCCTCCGGAATTACAGAGAAATTTCCCAGGCCTTGGGAAATTTACACAAACCCTATGGGGAGGAGAAGCTGTATACCTAACCTACAGCCTACGGTTTTGCTCAATGAATTACTTGACCCAAAATGAATGTAAGGCCCAGCAGTCACCGCCAGAAACAAGGAGGTCTTTTCTTCCTAAAGCAGTTCAACAGCAGAGGAAACTAACATAGTCCCATGGCTCAATGCTAACCTGGAAGGTATGGGCCAAATCTCAGAATGCGAGGCACTGAACACCCAGAGATACAGGAGAGTTGACAGTGGATGCTCATCCACTGCCACCCTAAGATCAGGGCCAACCCTGTGTAGTCACAGATATGGGCTGATTGTGCTCTTTCTATTCAGGTAAAACAGAGATGGTGGTTATGAAAAACCTCTCCCCAAAGCTCATTCACCTTAGAAAAATAGTAAGATACTTCTTAAATAATTCACTGACAATCAGAAGGTAAATTACTGACATCGACATCTCTAAATTAACTTGGTCTTTGGCTTAAGAACTCAATTGACAGGCTTCTGAAGCCAGAAAGGAACCAAAATGACCCATATGAATACTGGAGCAACTACTTCCAAATCAGGAGTTTACCCACAATGACCATGGTAACCAATCACCCAGGGGCTGTTTCACCTGAGAAGTTCTACATCTAACAGCACACCTCTATTTTTCAAAAACCCTACCCTCAAGTCATTCAAGAATTTTTTTTTTTTTTCCAGCATGGGCAACATGGTAAAACCCCACCTCTACAAAAAATACAAAAATTAGCCAGGCATGGTAGTGCACGCCTGTAGAGCCAGCTACTCAGGGGCTGAGGTGGGAGAATCGCTTGAACCCCAGGAGGTGAAGGCTGCAGTGAGCCAAGATAGCGAGATCATGCCACTGCACTCCAGCCTCAGCGACAAAGCAAGACCCTGTCACAAAAAGAAAAGAAAAGGGCTGGGCTCGGTGGCTCACGCCTATAATCCCAGCAGTTTGGGAGTCCGAGGCAGGTGGATTACTTGAGGCCAGGCGTTCATGACCAGCCTGGCCAACATGGCGAAACCCCTCTCTACTAAAAATACAAAATTAGCTGAGCATGGTGCCGCATGCCTGTAATCCCAGCTACTCAGGAGGCTAAGGCACAAGAATCGCTTGAACCCAGGAGACAGAGGTTGCAGCGAGCCAAGATCACACTACTGCTCTCCAGCCTGGGTGACAGAGCGAGACTCTGTCCCCCAAAAAAAGAATTCTTAGCAAGGATACCTAATATGGAGTGGAATGTGCTATATCTGTCCTCAGGACAAGAGGTGGCACTGAGTCTAACAGACGTGAAAAAAGGTATCAATTTGCTGAGACTGATAGGCTTACAACCCTCTATACTTAAAACAAGGTTTTTAACACAAGCTACTTCAGAAATAATAAATCTTTCAACAGATTGTGTAGGACAATGTGTTCCCAGGTATGTGAGATCAAAACTTGGCTCTTACTGTCTGCAATCCCAGAAGTTCATTAAATACTGCTATATGGCACCCAAGGTTTGGTTTTAAGATATGTGTTCATTTTCATCCAAGAGGCAGCTACAAGTATAGGCAGAGTATGTGTCACAGTTGGCTTGCCTAGCATATCCTGCATGAATAGTCAGCAAAAAAGATAAGACGTTTATAGATTTTAAAAGCCCACCAACAGCAATACATGAACTATAATGACAAGACAAAGCCTCACTCCAAAGGACATTCAACTTGATAAAGGTGTCACTATTCACAGTTACACTCTTACCATTTATATTTTTTCTCATAAAAGAATGTATTTAACACTTTCTTCAATTTTCCCTAGAAAGGCATCTTTTGCTAAATGACAGATAAACTCCGCCAAGAAATTCAAGACTGATTTTATTACCCTCACAACCCTAATCCTCTATAAAGAGGCAACATTTCCAACATTGAAATATTTTAGCAAGCACAGTTTTAAGTTAAAGTAGTATCTTTACAGTTCATGGTGGGGGGAGGATGGCAGGGACTATAAATGGAAAAAGAATTTTTAAATCCCTGTTGCATTATCTACCAGATGTAAGTGAATAATAACTAATATGTCTGCAGCCTCAGCCTTAATCTTAAAACAAATGATAGTATTCAAATACAATATTTTACACATGCAGACTGATAACAGGTTTTTCCTTTATTTCTTGAAGAGTCTGTGAAAGACACAATACAAAGTACAATGTATTTAATGAAAGGTTTCCAGGCTGATTTCCCTACAGGTTATTTTCTTTCTTTTCTCTGGAACCCACACACGGGGTATACTGCAGGGACCAGGGGTGTATATAAAAATAAACTGTGAGCCAGTATCAGAGTTGATACCCTTCTCCTACAGGGGCAAGTGAATTATTAGATCTGTGTCATGAGTGTTTTTTTTTAATATGCCATTGTTCCCACTTGAGCACATTAAATTTTCCATATCCACTTTTAAACCAATATAACATTTTTTTCCTTGTTCATAATGTTCACGCTGTACATTAACAGGCAGAAAATCCAATAGCTTAAGTCATCATATAGTAGTTATATGTAAAGCTTAGTAGATGAAAACCTTTTGCATTTTCCCCCTCTTTGAACTGATACTATATGAAGTTGGCTAAAACCTAGGGAAAAAAAACCTCACACCTCATGGGAAACTGTACTAATTTTTTTTTGTCTTTTATGATTGATCACAAATCCATTTTGAACATTACACATTTTTTTAAAGTTTATTATAACTGGTTCAACGTCTTCAAGCCCAACAAATTGAAGGTGCTGGAATCTTTTGGTCTGGAGGATGTGTTTGCCAATTATTTTTGCACTAGTGCACATAAACAGGGAAGACTGGATCTTAGGTAGGAGTTATACATTCCCGTACAAAATAATTGTATATTCTATGAAGACTGATTCTTTTTCTGGAGAAACATACAACAACACAAGGGAAATCTTGTACTAGCAGCCTAACTGAAGTGGCAAGATACAATATTAGAAAAACAGAGCTACTTTCATTACTGTGATGCTGTGTGTCAGAATGTCTCTCCTTAATGAACCTGTTTGCAATAAGACTCCGGGTGCAAAGAGGCTATTTAGAGAGACTACTGTGTCTATAGTGAGTCCTTCAAATATCTTCCCACTATTAGACATGCCGCATTGACCAATTCTGTCCTGATTGCTGTTCTTTTTACTATCAAGGGACACTCTTGCCCAGACAGACGGATGGATCAGACACTGCAGTTCATAAAATGTTTGCACTGTACACACACATGCACTATGGTACAAGCTACTGAACTCCAGATCATACAGTGAGTTGAATGTGGCAGTGTCATATGAAGGCTTATGACTTTGCAATATCAATGAAAGGATTTAGGTTAAACTTTGCTCATCCTGCCTGCCTGTCACTCTCAACAAAAAGCCTTTTTTCCCCTCTCTCTTTCAGTGTATGTCCATTCCCACTGCTTACATGGAACACTTCAGGCAAATCTTTTCAGCGTCACAAGGTTTTCTCGTTCTGTTGAGATTTTTCTCCTAATTGCTGACAAGAAAAGAGGACTACACGTCATGCAATCAGAAAAAAAAAAAAAAAAGGTGAGGGACAGTGCAATAATAATAATTTTAAAATGGTCCAAAAGACTTCCTAAAAAGATGTGAAATTCCAACTCACATTGACAGCCGCTGAGATAAAGGGGCTTGTCGCTACAGTAAATGAAGCATCAGCAACCTTTTTACCAAGTCTTAACATGAGAGCCCAAGGTGCTTGGAGGAAACTTTCCGTTCATCTTACACTGTGTATGGTCTTATCAGCTGCTGGGTGTTGCTGTAGCCTCACCTTTCATACACCTACATGCCAAATGACCTCTACAAAAGCCTTTTTCCCTTTGCGCATTTTCTAACAGTACGTCCTTTCTATTTGAATACAAATAATGTGCTTGCCAACAAGTTGCAGATGGTATTATCCCACGCCCCCAATCTCAGCTGTCATATAGAAAAAACTTCAAGCCCAAAGGTCCAAATTGACAGTATGTTTTTTTGTTTTGTTTTGTTTTGTTTTGTTTTTAAAGACACAGTCTCACTCTATTGCCCAGGCTGGAGTACAGCGTCACAATCTCAGATCACTGCAACCTTTGTCTCCCAGGCTCAAGGGAGTCTCATGCCTTATCCTCCCAAGTAGGTGAGATTACAGGTACCCGCCACCACACCCAGCTAATTTTTTTATTTTTAGTAGAGACAGGGTTTCACCATATTGGCCAGGCTGGTCTCGAACGCCTGACCTCGAGTGATCGGCCCCACCTCAGCCTCCCAAAGTGCTGGGATTACAGTCGTGAGCCACCGTGTCCGGCCTAAATTGCCAGTATACTAATAAGTACAACTACTATTCGTTACATCTGATAAGGAACCAGAACTGCACATCGAACTGAATCTGGATCTGATGAACCAAATGCATCCAATGACAGTTTCGATTCCATTTAAAAATTTCTGTAACCACCTCCTTTTTTCTGGGCTCAACCTTACATTCTATCAGGCCTGACATACAGACCATAGCTTGTGCTGTAGCTCAGGCTTCGAAAGACATTTGGAATATCTATGATTTCAATGTTTATTTCCTCATCCAACTTTTAAATCTCCATTGTGATAAAACTTACAAATAAGGCTTTTATTAAATTACTCTGAACATTTACTAAAAACATACAAGCATTTCTTAATCAAGATATTTGCAGTATTGTAAGCCTGTTTAAACATACTGAATATCTGACTACAGATTTAGGAGTTAAAGGGTCCAGAGAGATCTGGTAGCAGTCGCCATTTTTCTACAAAAAAACTAAGGCTACAAAATATTTAAGGAAACCTGTTTTGGGCTGAACAACCCAGGACCCTGAGTGCTTTAAGCCTCTGGATGCCTTATCTGCTGGCCTATCCCACAAAAGACTGTATATCTGTTATCCAGTGACCCTCTTGTATTTTGCCAATGAAGCGTTTTTTATTTGTTTTTGCTTTTACTAAAATATGCTCAGTTATATCTGTCATGTACAACAGTAAAGAGAAAAAATACATGTAATTACAAGGAATACAGATAATGCAAACATTATTTCTAGGTTCCTTTAGAACAGTTGTTTTCAAAGTAGTGTCTCACAAGTAGCAGCAACAGCATCATCCAGGAACTTGCCAGGAATGCAAATTATCAGACCCTGACCACTACAGAATCAAAAGACCTGGGGGTAGGGGCCCAGCAATCTGTGATTACACAAGACAAGCAAGTGATACTGATGCATGCTCAAGTTTAATCGCTTTTTGAGATTCATGGCATCTTTTGAGATTTATATTTTATTTATAAGTAAATGAAGAATGTCCCCTATAAACTCTAATTTGGGATAAGAAGAGCAATATACAGAAGTAGCTGCTGGCTCCACAGTGAAGGAGTCCATACCACTGTTTCCTTAAACACTGATTTCGTTATTAAAAAAAAAAAAACTCCCATGATTTCTTCATGTTGTATGTGTGCTAGAATTAAAACTAAAAATGATTTTTCAGAAACACTACAGTCCCTGGTCAAATGTGTGAGGTAACCAGGGTATCAGTTTCATTCAGTGACAGCCCTTACTCTTCAAGAGCAATAGCTTCTGAGCAGAGGACTTAATACTCATCAAGAGTATCTGCTCAAGGAATGGAAAGACCTTGATCCCAGTGGGCCTGAACTTTCAGTTCCTCTACTTCCAGCCTGGTCTGCTGGTCCACGCTTTGGTCTTCTAGGATTTCTTCAATGGATACTTGCTGGAGGGGTGTGTCATTCTCATTTTCCAAGTCCAAATTGATCAATACTTCTTAAGTCTATTAAGTGTCCTTCCATCTTGAAGCAGGACCAAGTATTTTTTGTCAATGTCCTCAATGAGGCTGGTGGTGCCGGGCCTCCACAAACTGTAGTCCTTGCAACACGAAGGCTGCAGAGGAGCTCAGCAATCAGTTCATTTTGAACTGAAATAATCCTGCAATGTACAGCGGCGGTGGGCCACTGTGTCCAAAACCAAAACCTACCTGACCAACGCAGCTGCTGCCTCAGCAGGACTGAGACCAGAAGTGGAACCCCGACCAGGTCAGGCACTTCTACGCTGACTTTCAGCCACGGGGACCTGCAGGAAACTCCTCCGTATTACCTACCCCTCAAGTTTATAACTATGGCTTTAGAATACACACCATGATTTACTTATTCATATTTTTTTAAGAGGGAGTTTCGCTCTTGTCGCCCAGGCTGGAGTGCAATGGAACCATCTCGGGCTCACTGCAACCTTCGCCTCCTGGGTTCAAGCGATTCTCCTCTCTCAGTCTCCCAAGTAGCTGGGATTACAGGAGCCCACCACCACGCCCTGCTATTTTTGTATTTTTAGTAGAGACGGGGTTTCACCATGTTGCCCAGGCTGGTCTCGAACCTCTGAGCTCAGGCAAGCTGCCCACCTCAGCCTCCAAAAGTGCTAGGATTACAGGGGTGACCCACAGCGCCCAGCCACCTTGATTTATTTAAATTCAGATTAAAATTATTTAAAATGGCTAGTACTCCTTAAGGATATAATCAACTAGCTGTAGGCAAGAAACAGACACAAAGGAAAGAAAAACAGTCCTGGATTTAAAATAACTTCAGAAATATCCCAATTTAGAGCAACAGCCAATTAATTGTAAAGACGTAATTTTAATTGTAATGCATAATACAAACCACTCCACTAATTCTGTTATGTGAAAGAAAGCAAGCACTCTCTTTCAGAATAATTTAAAAAATTAAACACTTAAGTAATTCCAAATTTGAGGTGATATGATGGGCAACACGAAGGAAACAAATTAATGAAGTTAATAATAAGGGTCAATTGAAAGAAACGAATATGAAGGAATCATTCTTTAAAAGATAGGACAGTGGCAGCCAGGCGTGGTGGCTCACATCTGTAATCCCAGCACTTTGGGAGTCCAAGGTGGGCGGATCACCTGAGGTCAGGAGTTCGAGACCAGCCTGGTCAACATGGCAAAACCCCATCTCTACTAAAAAAACAAAAATTAGCTGGGCATGGTGGCACACGCCTGTAATCCCAGCTACTCAGTAGGTTGAGGCAAGAGAATCACTTGAACCTAGGAGGCGGAGGTTGCAGTGAGCCGAGATGGCGCCACTACACTCCAGCCTGGGCGACAGAGTGAGACTCCTGTCTCAAAAAAAATAATTAATTAATAAATTAAAAAATAAAAGTAAATAAATAAATAAATAAACGATAGGACAGTGGTTTGGGGCAGACAAAGGCAAGAAGAGTCTTAGCCAAGGTAAATGGATGTGGGGGTATGAACACATTAGAAAACTAGTACCAGATGAAGAGCAAAAAGGAGAACAGGGACATTCTGCCACATGAGTTGTAATATTCAAAAGACCTGTGAAAAACATGAGGAGCAAATTTGAATTGAATTTATCATCAAACCTCAGGGAAATTATTTCATAAGAACTGTTAGGGGCTGGACACGGTGGCTCACGCCTGTAATCCCAGCACTTTAGGAGGCCGAGGCAGGCAGATCACGAGGTCAGGAGATCGAGACCATCCTGGCTTACACAGTGAAACCCCGTCTCCACTAAAAATACAAAAAAATTAACCAGGCATGGTGGCGGGTGCCTGTAGTCCCAGCTACTCGGGAGGCTGAGGCAAGAGAATGACGTGAACCCGGGAGGCGGAGCTTGCAGTGAGCGGAGATTGCACCACTGCATTCCAGCCTTGGCGACAGGGCAAGACTCCATCTCAAAAAAAAAAAAAAAAAGAACTGTTAGGATGTAAAAAGCATGTCAGAATCACGCATGACTGTAAAATCAAAGCAAGCACTGTTTATAATAACAAAAAATTGGATACAACCTAAATGTCCTCCCAAAGAGAAGTGGTGACAATAAGTATGGTACTCCCATACAATGGAATTCTCTGAGACCGGAAAAAAATTATATACATTCCATGTTACTAAACACTGAAAATATCTATACTGGCAATGAGAAAACAGCAATTAAACAAAACACATACTATTATCTAACTTCTACTTCCAAAGCCACACTAACATATATGTATGTAGATGTGTATAGAATAAAGACTAGAAAAGTATAAACTAGAATGGCCACAGTAGGTGACTAAATGGCAAATGAATTTTATTTTCTCCTCCCCTTTTCTCTATTTTCTGCATTTTCCTATTTTATAAATGAAAAACAATGACTCTCATAATGAGGAAACTGTAAAGATACATACACACAAATACTACAATTACTCTCATAATGAGGATATTGTAAAGATACATACACACAAATACTTTCTTTTTAAGGCAATAAATGATGTTCTCTATTGGCAGAGACCCAAAGGAGTGCTGCTGCCTGGCAGAGGTATTAGAGCAGTGACAAAATTCCAGAGTCTTCATGAAAACAGGATTCTGAAACAAAGACACAA
Organism: Homo sapiens; assembly: GCF_000001405.40. Taxonomy (NCBI): domain Eukaryota; kingdom Metazoa; phylum Chordata; class Mammalia; order Primates; family Hominidae; genus Homo; species Homo sapiens. The sequence goes on from NC_000009.12 coordinate 16,778,383, forward strand.
ACTTTGGAAGAAAAAACCCCCAAACTACCAACAATGATCATAATATATATAAATCCTTCTTTTCAGCCAAAAAAACATGATGACCTAAGCCACTTCATTCAAAACAATAATCCAAAAAAGAAACAGAAAGGACAATCTATTAAGCACATATTATGTGTCAGATACTTTCACATTATTTCTCTTTCACAACAACTTGCAAGGTAGCATCTGTATTTTGCAGATAAAAGGCTCAAAAGGAACAAGCACACTTCTAGTGCACATTGGACCGCAGAGCCTATACCTAGTTTACCAGACTTCCAAGCCTGAGCTCTTTCCACTGCACAAGGCTTCAAACGAGATCCTTAATGCATAGTTCTCAAAGTGGTATAAGCTGAAATCTCAGATGCCCAAACAACTTCAGAAAGGACTCCATTATCCTCTGTTAAATACAAAACAAGTATTAAAGAATAGGAGGGCAGAGGAAGGGGAAAGGCAGCAAGGGTCTGATGTGAAGGCAGCCAAGCAGGTTATGTTAAAGACTTCTGACCCCTAACATAAAACGATATTTTTAGAAATGCTCCTTTTGCCTTCTTTTGGGGATGGCAGTGGTAATGCAATGTTCAAACAAAAGATGTTAATTAGATGTCAGACTCCTGCCTGTAATCCCAGTACTTTGGGAGGCCAAGGATGGTTGATTGCTTGCGGTCAGGAGTTCAAGACCAACCTAGGTTACTCCATCTCTACAAAAATTGTAAAAAAAAAAAAAAAAAAAAGAAAAGAAAAGAAAAAAAAACCAGCCAAGCATGGTGGCGTGCACCTGTAATTCCAGCTACTAAGGAGGCTGAGGTAGGAGGACAGCTTGAGCCCAGAAGGTGGAGGCTGCAGTGAGCCAGTATCACACTACTGCACTCCAGCCTGCGTGACAGAGAGACCCTCTCTCAAAAAAAAAAAAAAAAAAGATTTTGATTAGATAGTTACCAGAGGTAAGTAGAAGAAAGCAGATTTAAGAAGTATCCAAGAGGTAAAACTGACAAGATCCTACTGATTGATGTGCTATTATCTTAAACCCAACAACATATAAGCTTAATTCTAAACATACTTATATATACCTTAACGACTAACAAGCTCTGAAGGCATTTCCAATTTAGGATATCACAACTTCAGTTCTACCTTCATTTTTGCCTTTATAAGGCACAACCACCCAAGCTGATTTACATATTTAAAAGTATTTGATTGACCAACTGATGGATAAATAAAACTGTGACCTATCCATACAATGAAATATTAAGAGGCAAAGAAAATAATAAAATATTGATATATGGCACAACATGGATGAACCTTGAAAATATAAAAAGAAGCCAGTTACAAAGTACCACATATAGTATAATTCCATTTGTATGAAATGTCCAGAAGAGGCAATCCATAGAGAAAAAGTAGATTATGGTGGCTGCCTATGGCTGGAGGAATGGCAGTGTTGTGGGGGGGCCAGGAAGGTGAAAGCTAAAGGGTACGGGTTTCTTTTCTGAGGTAATAAAAACGGTTTAAAATTGAATGTAGTGATAGTTAGACAATATACTAAAAACTACTGAAACTGGCCGGGCGTGGTGGCTCACGCCTGTGATCCCAGCACTTTGGGAGGCCGAGGCGGGCGGATCACAAGGTCAGCAGATCGAGACCATCCTGGCTAACATGGTGAAACCCCATCTCTACTAAAAATACAAAAAATTAGCCGGGCGCGGTGGCGGGTGCCTGTAGTCCCAGCTACTAGGGAGGCTGAGGTAGGAGAATGGCGCGAACCTGGGAGGCGGAGCTTGCAGTGAGCCGAGATCGCGCCACTGCACTCCAGCCTGGGTGACAGAGCAAGACTTCGTTTCAAAAAAAAAAAAAAAAAAAAACAAAAAAAAACTACTGAAACTAATAAAAACATCTTGGCTGGGCTCGGTGGCTCACGCCTGTAATCCCAGCACTGTGGGAGGCCGAGGCTGGCAGATCATGAGGTCAGGAGCTCAAGACCATCCTGGCCAACATGGGGAAACCCCGTCTCTACTAAAAATACAAAAATTATCTGGGCGTAGTGGCGGGCGCCTGTAGTCCCAGCTACTCGGGAGACTGAGGCAAGGGAATCGCCTGAACCCAGGAGGCGGAGGCTGCAGTGAGCCGAGATCACACCACTACACTCCAGCCTGGCGACAGGGCAAGACTCCGCCTTAAAAAAAAAAAATCTTAAGTAGGTGAATTGTATATTATGGGAATTACATTTCAATAAAGCTTTTTAAAAAGTATTGGGCTTTTTTAACACTTATTGGTTATCTATGATGTACTGGACAGTAAGGCAAACACAGGATAAACAGATGAAAACAACAGGACTTCAGCCCCAGAAGAGCAAAAAATCTGCAAAAAATAAAACCCCTGTAAACCAAGTGGCTTCTAGTATTAAGATAGAATACCTTGCTATGTGGGAAACATCCTTGACATCTTTAAGAAAAAAAATGTTTACTTTACCTAAGAAACAAGTCCAGTTTTCTTTTAATTCTTAACTCTACAGAGGTATTTATTTAATAACAGATCTATTCCAATTCACTAACCAAAAAGAGTACTTAATCATGCACTTAAAGAAAATTCTCTATAAGATATAATTCCTTTGTTTGAAAAAAAAAGAGAGAGAGAAGCTATCTCCAGATAAAACGCTTTATCCAGGGACTTCTTTTTTTTAGAGTGGGCACTCTAAAAAAATGGGATCTAATTGTTTCATGTTTTTATTAATGCAAAACGACATTACCCTTCAGTTTTGTGTCCAGCCACGTAACATTTTGTTCAGCTGATACGCTTTTACTTGAACAGATACAAAAAAGATTCATTTTCAAATTTGCACCAAAGGTCTGAAGATCAGGGCTGGACTGATATTGGAGGCAGGTGGCAGACAATGCATACCTACAAAAAAAAGCAGGGGCACAGAAGAAAGGCTATAACTTTATTATTATTATTATGTATATTTTTTTAAGATGGAGTCTCGCTCTGTTGCCCAGGCTGGAGTGCAGTGGCGCAATCGTGGCTCACTGCAACCTCCACCTACCAGGTTCAAGCAATTCTCCTGCCTCAGCCACCCGAGCAGCTGGGACTACAGGCGCAAGCCGCCAGGCACAGCTAGTTTTTTGTATTTTAGTAGAGACGGGGTTTCGTTGTGTTGCCCATGCTGGTCGCGAACTCCTAAGCTCAGGCAATCTGCCCGCCCTGGCCTCCCAAAGTGCTGAAAGGAAATATGAAAGATTTAATTAAATGTTTCAATATAAACACATTCGTGGCAGAATTTTTAAAACAACAAGAAGTTAGAAACAATCTACTTTTCCAATACAAGTATATTGGAAAATATATAATAAATGATGTATAAATGAATAATAGTTGATGATAGAATATTATACAGCCATTAAAATTGATATTTTACAAATACTTCCAATGATATGAACACAATGTGCTTTTTATGTTAACTGTAAAATATCAGTTACAAAATAGCATATTTGATATCATCTCAATTTTATAAAACCAAAGATGGAAAGGAGAAAACTGGTAAGGATATTTACAAAATGACAAGTAAGATTATCTATATAATATTATTATGACTTTCAATTTTTAATAATTTTGTATAGGCTGGGCGTGGTGGCTCATGCCTGTAATCTCAACACTTTGGGAGGCCGAGGGGGGCGGATCACGAGCTCAGGATATCGAGACCAGCCTGGCCAACATGAGGAAACCCCATCTCTACTAAAAATACAAAAATTATCTGGACGTGGTGGCGTGCACCTGTAGTCCCAGCTACTCGGGAGGCTGAGGCAGAAGAATTGCTGGGACCCAGGAGGCAGAGGTTTCAGTCAGCCGAGATTGTGCCACTGCACTCCAGCCTGGTGACAGAGCAAGACTCTGTCTCAAAAAAATAATAATAATGATAATAATAATAATAATTTTGTATAATTAAATTTTTTTAGAATAAATGAGTATTTCTATCGGGGTAAGAAATCAATAAGTTTGTAGTCATTTTTCATCTCCTCATCAAGTAAAATGCAGAGGAAAATTTTTCTGAGCCAAAATGAGAGTTCTAGTTATTTGAGTTCTAGTTGCCTAAAGTTTTTACATACTAGTCTAATGTGCTGACTTCTCTATTTTCTCTGGACTTTTACCAATGTTGTTCTTTGTACCAGAAGCATTTGTAGCAACCCTTCCTAGACCCCTTCCACTGGCTGACTCTGAAGAATAAAGAGGCAGAGGTGTCACTTCCTCCAGGAAGACTTTGGGCACCACTCACATATGTGCCGATGGAACTCTGGGCTTAGGGGTTCCACACCATTTATCATAGTACGTGGTACTGTGGTTGCCTGGTTTCATATTCTCCTCCCCTACCAGACTCTAAGATACTCTGAAGGCCAGAAACGTCTACCTTTTGTTCACTACTATATCCACTATCATTCCTAGCACATAGTATGAACATGGAATATTCATTTTTGGAAAAAGTGAATGTATTAATGAATGAGTGAGTAAGTGAATAGTCTACCTTAGAAGCTAGGCATGCCTAATTCTTAGAAGCATTTACTCTGAAGTAAAGCAGGGGTGTTTCATATAATGAAAACATCGGAGTGTAATCACTCAGTACTTTAAGCAAAAGACAGGTCTTAATGCTGCTTGTGTTTTCAGAGTTCAAAACTCTGAAAGCATGAAGCTAGTAGAAAGTTAAATATATCCAATAACAGGGTATTAAATATGTTAATGTCTTAAATACACAATTTGCAAATAAACAGAAGTAAGTTGAAATTAAGGGAGACAATTAAAATAGATTATACCACATTTCCTGAACTTGGTTCCCAAAGATCAGATTCAGATGTTGCTTTTATTCATAAGCTTTGAAAAAGTAAATAAAACATTCTGCACACTGCTCACCATAAATCTTAACTCACCATTCAAATTTAATCTAAACACAAACATAAACCTAAAACCTCCTCCAGTCCCACAAATACTCAGACAACCAAAATCTGATTTCCAGGACAAAAATGTTACTCTACAAGTACAATATTTATGCTGAAGAGATAAATTATGCAAATCACAATGGTTTATGCTTATGTTATAGCTACGCTTACGCTTCTGCATACGACAAGTTTCAAGAGTCTACAAATTTACATAAAGCTCAGGTTGTCTAATGATTAAACAATTTTACTATTTAGGACAGTTTTAATATTGATTTAGCTTTAAGATATATTTGGGAACAGCTTCAAATGATATGCACTGCTTTACATTATTGACTTAGCACTTGATCACAGTATCTCTATAACAATCTCAAAAATTAATTCACAAATTAAACCTCTACTTCATTTAAACCACTATTATATTCACCTTTCTTCCATGCTGTCTAGAAATATTTTTTCTTAAGTAATTTCAATGAAATCGCAAAGCTATATTTAAACTAGATCAATCATCCCTAACCTTTGGCTAACTGACAACCCAATTAGCCAAAACTGTATTGGTAAATTTTCCAAATGTAAGTTTTAAAATTCTTTTATATTTTTAAAATATCGATACATATATGAAAATGTTGGAAGATTTTAGAATAATTGAAATTTCAAGCAAAGTAATTAGTGACACCTCAATTAACAGTGGAATAGCATCCGATTTTTCCAGTGAATTTGGGAAAAAGGCAAAATTTCTGCTTAAAACAAGAAAAAAAATTCCTATTCAAGGAATGGAGGAAAGCATCACATGAATAAGAAACAAACATGACTATCTTCTTAGTCAAAAAGACTTTCCTGCCACACTGCTGTAGCACTGGAGATTCTGGGAGCACAGTCCCAGCCCTGGAGTTGCTCACAATGTAGCAGGGAAGACAGCTGTGCAAACAGATAATTAGGGTTCAGAGTATTCAGGGGATGTTGCCCTAAGGTCTTTGCAGTAGTCTGGTGCTACTTTTTTAACTATTTACCACTACTACTACTATACTACCACTACTAAAAGTAAATAAAGTATTTTCAAGAATTTCTAAATCTAGTTTGGAGCGCTATACAAATGTACAAATAATTGTCCCACAAGGGACAAAGTAATAAGTGCCTTAAGAAAAAGACTGCAAAATAAGAGGTATTCCTGGGAAACAATATGGATAGGACACAATATCAAAAGAGTGTCAGAAAGAGATGGAGGTAGAAAGGTAAGCAAGCCTACACTCAAGGAGGGATACTGAGCACAGAGGTAAGGGCTTACTCTGAATACAGAGAGTCTGCAATAAATGAAGTTTTGGGGCTGAGCACTGGCAAAGTCAGAGGTGTTTTTAAAAGCCTCCAATCTCAATCACTAGAGTATCCTAGAGAAAGTCTAAAGTTAAAGTGGGCAGGTACTGCAACAAGCCTATAGTAGGTCAGTGGGAATGAAAAGGAGTTAAAAGAGTGATGTGAACTCACAGTATAAACCACTCCCCTGCCCTCCAACTGCGGAGCAATAATAATGAGACTTTTTCTTTTAAGGAGAGGACTGTTCCAGAAGGCAATGCAAACTAAAACAATCTACTTCCAGGACTTGGTAAATGACAAGAGTGGAAGAAGAAATAAGATGACGATCATTCAAGTTTTTAAGCCCGTGAGACCCAGAGAATGGACACTTACAGAGGCTGATTAATACAGTATGAATACAGTATTCTCTGTATGTGCTTATGCTACAAAGCATTTTATAAAGACAGCTTCCAGTGTACCTTTTGGAAAGGGAATGTGTTTGCACTTTGTAGAAAAGAACGGGAACTTTAAACCCACCTGTGCTGAACCCAACTACCCACTAGGCGAGGTTAATATGTGTCCACATTTATGCTCTCATTGCAGTGCAAGACAAGACTGCCCAAGCCTTAAAGTATCCCACTGGGCAGGTTTGTGCGAGGGCCTTCACCTCCTGTTTAATAGTGTGGATGAACAGTTGTTCTCCATTTCACAGATATCACCACTGCAAAAACTGAGGCCACGGGGAAAGTAAGGGGATCAGGTGACTACTTAAGGTGATGGAAATTCTTGCTATGTATTTCTTTTTTTTAGTTAAGACAGAGTTTTGCTCTGCCACCCAGGTCGGAGTGCAGTGGCTCGTTATTGCCTAACTGCAACCTCCACCTCCCAGGTTCAAGCAATTCTCCTGCCTCAGCCTCCTGAGTTGCTGGGACTACAGTCCTGTACCACTACACCCGGCTTTTTTTTTTTTTTTTTTTAGTAGAGGTGAGGTTTCACCATGTTGGCCAGGCTGGTCTCAAACTCCTGACCTCAGGTGATCGGCCCGCCTCGGCCTCCCAAAGTGCTGGGATGAGCCACCACGCCCAGCCTATGTATTTATTTACGAAAGAATGGATGCAGGCTGGGCGCATCCATTCTTGAGTAAATCAGTGAACCAAGCTTGCACCATTGCACTCCAGCCTGGGCAACAGAGCCAGATGCTGTCTCCAAAAAAAAAAAAAAGTATGCAAAAATAAAAATACACAAAAACTTGACAGAAACAAATGGCAATGTGAACACATTGCTGGGGCCTTTTCCCAGGGCCTTGAAGGAAAATCCACCTCTGGGCCTGTGCACCTATTTAGAAGAACTGGAGCTTGCTGGTCCTCTGAGGAAGCTGAAAGGAAGGCAGGAAGAGGGTAGTCTCGGGAACCACAGACACCTTCCCTTGTGAGAAGCAGCAGTAAACTTTCTGGACAGCACCCAAAGAGTTAAAATTACCCATGAAAATATAAGTCAAAAGAGTGGAGTGGCTTAGAATGGCTGATTACTCTTCTAAGAATCTCATTTGACAGAGGTAAAATACAAAGAAAGTGTGCGCTAGTTTTTACAGAAAACATATGGGAACTTACCTGGGGAAATTTGCTTTCTCTTAACTAAACAAGGAGTCTTTTCAGGTATTTTGAGTTGAAATTGGGAAGGACAGTCTTAATTATAGAAAATGTGGAGAAAGACTGAGCCATTGGAGAATGGTGACCATGGTGCATTAATATTCAACTTCATTCCTGGGTAGGTGGAAGAAGACTAGAACAGGACTTAGAATTTTACATACAAAGACCCAGTACAGAAGAAACGGAGGGAAAAAAAAAGTCAGTCTCTACCTGAATAAGCTTACACACGAGACTTTAAGAGAAAGATCAACAAATATTAAAGAAAATTACTTTATCCCCCAAACTGTGGCTCTTCAAAATAAAGTTACAACAGATATGAAATGTAAACCCTTTTCTGTCCCGGATACCATATAATCAGGGTTCCATGAGAATGCATGCATGGGGCAAGCAAATTTCGTCAGAACTCCCTCTCTAGCTCTGAACCCCAACTGCAGAAAGGGGGAGAGGCCCTGCCCCAAATGTGGGGGGCAGAGTCCTGCTGGGAACCCACAGGATGACTGTGATACAGGTGGGGCAGAAAGAGCAAAACCACAAAGAGTGGCATCCTCAAGGGAAGGTCATTGATCTGCGGCACAATAACTCCCACCCTGCAACAGTCTAATTCCCTTCCCCCATCCCAAAACTCACCCCAAACCCACGTGGTTGGGCAGGTTCTCCCCTCTCCTACTTCTTAGTGGGAAGGGACTGGAAAGAGCAAAAGATCTGACAATCAGTGATTAAACAGGACAGGCTAGAGACGAGTAACAGTGATTCCAGGCTCCCTTGAAAATAATAAATGGCAGAGGGGACAGGAAGAGAGCCAATTAGTACATTCCCAGGCAAGAGAGAGCTGAGGCCAAAGTAAAGAATGGAATTAAACACCAATTTTGCCAGTCTGCCTACTTCAGCAACATCTCTCTTCACTGATGTGAAACTGACAAGCAACCAAGACAAAGGTACAAAACTTCCAAGAGTGTCAGAAGCCCTGGGCAGGGGGAAACTAGTTCTCCCTCCATCCACCATCACCTGTGATCTTGAGTCAGTCATCTCAGAGCCCTCTCTAGACTTTACTCCTATTAGCTGTAAAATGAAGAACGGGGAAACAAAATAATTTTCCTAAGTCGGCCTGGTGCTAGCATTCTAGAATTCTGAAAACAGCATGATGTGCATGAAAGAGTATGGACTCTGGAGCCACGCTGCCTGAGTTTAAATCCCAGCTCTGCCAGAATTAGCTGTCTGTCACTGGGCAAGTTACTTGACCTCTTTGTGCCTCAATTTCCTCACTTGTAAGAGACAAGAATGACATGCTTTACATCATGGAGCTATCCTGATGATGAAATGATCTGTTAGCTGAAGTTACGGTAGTGGGCTTATTCTATATCCGGTACCTTTTGAGTGTATTTTTGTGGTGAATCACCTAAAGAGGGTAACTACTCTGGCCACCGCTTCCTACAGTGCTTCCCCTCCTAGGCAAAAGGTAGATAATATTTTCTTTCTTCTTTGTAGAGACGAGGGTCTCACTTTGTTGCCCGGGCTGGTCTTGAACTTCTTGCTTCAGGTGATCCTCCTGGTTCAGCGTCCCAAAGTGCTAGGATTAGAAGCATGAGCCAACGCGCCCTGCCCTTAGACAATATTAATCAAGCACAGAATTATTTCCTTAGCCAGGATGCAGCTTCAGAACCGTTACTGAATTAGAATCACTGAATCATAGCACACAAGATGAGTCAGCCACATCCTAAATATGGGTAATATTGTGTCCCTTCATCACTAATTCCATCACATTTGGTTCAAACTGGTTCAAATGTAGTACCCTCAAACATACAGTTCCAGAAAACTCCTTCTGGTGGAAAGGATGTCCAGGATCTTTACAGAAGAGAATCTCCAGCCTGGATTTGTGACAACTGAACTCTCTGACTTCCAGTTCCACGGACCAAGCAAACCATAGCTATCTCCGCAGATATTTTTACGTTACCAGTGAAAAACAATGGGTAACCACAGATGAACTGACTTGGCTGATGACACTCCATAAAGAGGTCATTCCTGGGCCAGGCGCGGTGGCTCACGCCTGTAATCCCAGCACTCTGGGAGGCCAAGGTGGGCAGATCATGAAGTCAGGAGATCGAGACCATCCTGGCTAACATGGTGAAACCCCGTCTCTACCAAAAATACAAAAAATTAGCCGGGCGTGGTGGTAGGCTCCTGTAATTCCAGCTACTCGGGAGGCTAAGGCAGGAGAATGGCGTGAACCCAGGAGGCGGAGCTTGCAGTGAGCCGAGATGACGCCACTGCACTCCACCCTGGGCGACAGAGCAACACTCCTTCTCAAAAAAAAAAAAAAAAAAGAGGTCATTCCTTTTAAACATGACAAGTTGATTCAATGACAGTCTACAGTCCAAGGCAAGGCCTTGGGAGCAAATTCTTGGTGGTGATATGGTAGGATAAAGAGAAAAGGGAGCCCTTTAATTAACAAGATCAGTGCCTAGCAAATTTGATCCTGGCAAAGATCAGAGGATAAGGAAGGAGAGAAATCAACTCCTTCATATGCCTCACACCCTGCCAAGGTTGACTTGCAGGACAATCCCACACTCCTCAGCCTCAACATGTCCAATATGCAGGGCCTCCTCTTTCCCACCTGTTTTTCCTTCTAGATTCCCCACCTTAGTTGAAACGAATTCCACCTCCTACCTCAAACCAAGCTCCTCCTTGGCATCTCTATTCCCTCTACTCCATTAGCACCTGGTTAAATTGTAATACAATCAAAGTCTCTAGTCTTGCTCCTCTCAAATCCATCCTCCAACCAAATCTCACAGATAATTCTGCTTAAAACCCAAAGGTTCTTACATGCAACAACATGGATCAATCTCAGAAGTATTATGCTAAAGGAAAGAGACAGAATTAAAGCACTACATACTGCATGAGTCCATTTACATGATATTTTGAGAAACACAAAACTATAGGGGCAGAAAACATCAGTGGTTGCTAGGGACTGGGGGTGGGAGGAGTTAGTCACTCAGGAGCACTGGGGGATTTTAGGGAGTAATATAAATGTTCTTCGTCTTGATTGTCACGGTGGCCATGGCACTTATATCAAACACACCAAACAATACAATAAAATGGGTCCATTTTACTGTGTATAAATTATACCTTAATTTAAAAGAAACTAGGGGAAAACCCTATAGACCCTCCCCATTGCCTACAAGTTCCATGGCGTTCCTGATCTGGCCCATATCTTACCCTACACACTTCAACAACACTCAACTTTTTAAAATGTCCTGTGCTTTCCATGCAGAAGCATCTCACCACTGTACCCTTCTTCAACGCAGCTTTTCCAGATTAATTCCTAAGTCCTCCAGGCATGTCTCCCTGCTTCTCCCACCTCTCATACACTCAGGCTATGTGTTTGATAGGTGTCCTCTTGGCTCTTACAATGCCTGGTGTTTCATTATTATTTCATTCACAGAAATGTATTATACATGTTATAGGCATATGTTATAGTATAATGGTCTTGTCTCTCACCAGTCAACTAAGATCCAAATTCTCTGAGAAACGAACTACTATTCATTCACATGTGTACATGCTGCCTGGCACACTGCAGACACTCAATAAGCCTTTATTGGAATAAATGTTTCTTAAAGGCAGGTTTGGCCTGTCCACTTTGTTGGTATACCCTCATCACTTACAAGAGTGCCTACTTGGCTCAATAAATACAGGTAGTCCTCATTTTGCATGATAATGCAATACCACAAAAGTGATCATGCGCGCTGAAATCATGTGAAATGATTTTTTTTTGAGATGGAGTCTCGCTCTGTCGCCTAGGCTGGAGTGCAGTGGCGCGATCTCGGCTCACTGCAAGCTCCGCCTCCCAGGTTTATGCAATTCTACCTCAGCCTCCCAAGTAGCTGGGACTACAGGTGCCCGCCACCATGCCTGGCTAATTTTTTTTTATTTTTAGTAGAGACAGGGTTTCACCATGTTAGCCAGGATGGTCTGGATCTACTGACCTCGTGATCCGCCCGCCTCGGCCTCCCAAAGTGCTGGGATTATAGGCGTGAGCCACAGTGCCTGGCCATGAAATGATTTTAATAATCAACAGAAATATTATGATTGTTCTATGACCTTTAATTTTTTTGTCAAAACAGTAAAAACTGTCTATCAGCTATAAATGTGTAGGAAAATGAAAAGTATATTTATTTAGTACTCTAAAACATCAGAAACTCTGAGAATTGTTTTATTTATTTATAAAAAACTGTGTCAATAGTAGTTTCAATGGGAATGCCTTATTCTCGTTGCTAATTTACAATTCTAAACAAGCATCTTTTCCATGCCTTGGTAGATAGGTATACTTCCTTCTAAGTTCAGACTTGCTTCCAACATTTTATCCTTTGTGTTTTCACAGTTATACAATATCTGTGAGAGTTCCTCTCATATGATTTTTTTTGCCAGCATCTTTCCTCTGTTACATCTTCATCCTTTTCATCACAACCACTTCATAACTGACTTTGATAAGTTAGTTATCTTTCACTAAGTGCTCCTAGCTAAATATATAGAGCCTCTAGAACACTGGCTGAGTTGACATTCCCTTGGTAAGCTTTTTTTTTTTTTTTTTTTAAGAATGCTGTTTACAATTAGCTAAAATTTTAATCCAATTTTAACACTTCATTTATTTGATGCACTTTGATCTTTGACAATTCTCCCCTTTAATTATCCATTTTTATGAAATGCTACATGGGTCTATCACTGGGAGACAAGAAGGCAACACGACTACATGCTTTGCTGTCCGCTGATGAACAAAATAACAGGAAGTGCTAGTGTATGGGATTTTATACAATTATAGATTTTTTTTTTTCTTTTGAGATGGAGTCTCACACTGTCGCCCAGGCTAGAGTGCAGTGGCATGATCTCGGCTCACTGTAAGCTCCGCCTCCCGGGTTCACACCATTCTCCTGCCTCAGCCTCCCGAGTAGCTGGGACTACAGGCACCCGCCACCATGCCTGGCTAATTTTTTGTATTTTTAGTAGAGACGGGGTTTCACCATGTTAGCCAGGATGGTCTCGATCTCCTGACATCGTGATCCGCCTGCCTCGGCCTCCCAAAGTGCTAGGATTACAGGCATGAGCCACCGCGCCCGGCCACAATTATAGTTAATGTAACATGATAACTGAAACTTGGACTGTGTTGAGGGACTAGTATTATTTAGTTAACCATGGCAACTGAAAATTGTGTATATTAAAATCATGCAAAGTGAGAAATATCTGCATTTAGCAAATACAAATTATTTTAGAATGAACTGGCTCACCACTGGGCCAAATTTAAGAAACAGAGATTGATGCCCTTCCCATTACACCTTCTGACTGATAACATCACAGAATCACAGCAACTTCCTAAAGACCCCATTCACAGTCAACTATAACAGATGAGAGGAGAAATCTAGATTATAATTCGAACACTGTTACTAGTAACAAAGTCACATACTGACACTGTGTTTCTATGACTTGCCCTATAAAATAAGTAATACTACTACCTCTTCACAGGGTGGCGTGAGGACCAAAAGAGAAAATAGATTAAAAAGTACTTTTAAAAATTCAACTAGAGGCCAGGCACGGCGGCTCACACCTGTAACCCCATCACTTTGGGAAGCCAAGGCAGGTGGATCACTTAAGCCCAGAAGTTAGAGACCAGCCTGGGCAGCATGGCAAAACTCCATCTCTATCAAAATACAAAAATTAGCCAGGTGTGGTTGCTCGTGCCTGTGGTCCCAACTACTTGGGAGGTGAAGGTGGAGGGATCCCTTTAGCCCAGGAGACGGAAGTTGCAAGGAGCCAAGATCATGCCACTGTACTCCAGCCTGGGTGATAGAACAAGACCTTGACCCTCCAAAAAAAAAAAAAAAATCAACTAGATACCATCATACCAACTATACACTCAGTATGCACCAGGAACTATTTTAAGAACATTTTACAAATTTTCACTTACAATCCTCATGACAACCTACGTGATCAGTTGCATTATAACCCCCATTCAGAATACCAAAGCATAAAGAAGTCAAATAACTTGTCCAAAAGCATGCAACCTGTAAGCAGTGAAGTCAGGATTTGAACTCAGGAAGTGTAACTCCGTAAGTGAAGTTCTTCAAAACTTCATCACTAACTTATCTGCTTTCCTCAGAAAGAAGGATACAGTCATTGAGAAGGGTATAATATTGACTCCTAGAAGCCAGGCAAACCTGATTCATATAATTCAAAGATCATTGCCAGTTAGTTCTGCTGGGAAATTTTCAGGTTTCTGGCAAAAGAACAAGGATGCACAATATGCAGAGATCTGAGAAGCTAGAAAGACCATTCCCAGTCTGCAGAAGGGGCCAAAAGAATAGTTCAAATACATTCAATTCCTTCAATTCTAGTGAGTAGAAGCATAAATACCAGCGGGGGGAACCAACTAAGAAATAAAGTTTACTTTGCAAGAAGAGGGAAAGAATTCGTATTTATCATAAGCGTATAAAAAAGCTAGAGTGCTATAAAAACAAGGTATGTAAAACCAACAAACTTCATTGACATTTTCAGTAACACTGACCCTGAAAGTTAATAACATTGTTTGCTGAGGTCTGATTTCACAAGGAATTCCATATGGAATAGGAACGTGGGAGCCTAATAAGGATGTATGATACAAAAGCAAAGGGATTAGTTAACTAAAATAAGTGGATTCCTCTCTAAATATAATCTACTCATAAGGATACATTTAGAACATTTGTATCTCATTAGGGGTATTAAGTGAGAAAAGATTCTCAATACCAAATAGTCCTAATTATAATTCATCTTAGGAAATAAAGTGAGTTTTCTTAACTAAAAGGGAAAACATACTGCAAGAAACAGCTTTAATATAACAACAGGATTGTCAACAAAGTCAGACACCAAAACAAATCCAATTGCCCAAAGGAATACTGTGAAAACTGAATAACTGCTCCAACAATACAATGTTTTTTTAGACTATTTCTCAACACTTTACATTCTTTTTTCTCTTATTATCAATCATAACAATCCAAAGCCGAAATCAGTTACCTAAGCAAAGAAAATCCAACTATAAACAGCAGAAACAAATTAAATTAATATAAACCATACAAACCAAACACGAATGTATTTACCCCATCACACCTTTCATCAAGGTTCTGCCAGTGGTGAAAATGACATGGTTAGGATATGACTTAACAAGCCAGTGAACATTTTCTTTGGGAAGGATCAATTCTAGTTTTCTTTTGTCCTTTTTATTTTTTTTGACAGGGTCTCACTACATCATTACCCAGGCTGGCCTCAAGGGATTCTCCTGCTGCAGCCTCCCAAGTGGCTGGGATTACAGGTGGGTGCCACTATGCCTGGCCAATTCTAGATTTCGATCCCACCCAAAGGGGTACTTGCCTTCCACATCTTTTTTTTTTTTTTTTTTTTTTTTTTTTTTTTTTTGAGAGGGAGTCTCACTCTGTCCCCCAGGCTTGAGTGCAGTGGCGTGATCTGGGCTCATTGCAAGCTCCGCCTCCCGGGTTCACGCCATTCTCCTGCCTCAGCCTCCCGAGTAGCTGGGACTGGGACTGCAGGTGCCCGCCACCATGCCCAGCTAGTTTTTGTTTTTTGTGGTTTTTGTTTTTTTGTTTTTTTTTTTTTTTAGTAGAGACGGAGTTTCACCGTGTTAGCCAGGATGGTCTCGATCTCCTGACCTCGTGATCCTCCCATCTCGGCCTCCCAAAGTGCTGGGATTACAGGCGTGAGCCACCGCGCCGGGCCTTGCCTTTCACATCTTGAAACAGAAAATTATTTAAATGATATACATTGGATTGTGTGACTTAGTTATAGGTTATAAAACAAGTGAGAGGTAGCACCCAGTGCTGGGTATCAGTGACATGGCTCTGCCTTTCTCACTGCAAGGTATTGTCCTCAGGCTGGCCAAGAAGGTCCATCTCCTCTGTAAGCATCTCAGCCACATTTCAAGCAGTGATGTGTTTTTTATTCCAGATGGGAAACTCTCACTACCGTCCCCCAGCAGACTTCCTCTTACAAAGTATTGGTCAGAACTTAATCACATGACTGCTCGTAAACCAATCACTGCCGAGGGGAATGCAATTATCATGACTGAGCTTTTTTCACATTAATCTTGAGATATCTCCTGTCTGTTCATTAAGACCAAGGCTCTCCTGTTTCCAACCGCCACCCCCAGCCACCTGGGAAGAGAGAGGTGGGATAGACATCATTAACAGGGTTGGCATTAAAATTCACCTCAATTATTCTAAAAGATCCGTATGACAACTGTAAAAGGGCTGTTTTTTGTAAAGATGCACTATAGTCATTATCATCATCTAGGCCTGGGTCCCTGTAACTTAAGAAAAACACTCCACCATTAGACAAACAAAGGCACCAGAATGCAATGAACTATAATACTTTACCCATTAGGTGAGTAAGAGCCAGTAAATCAAAGGGCTTTTAAAAAACACAATTCCTCAGCTAACACCATGAAGCAAAATTAACCATATTAGTTCTCTTCAATTTTACACTTTTGGGGGTTTAGACCTCTCAATCACTCCAGATTTGTTTTTCAAAAAATTAGCTGTCCTTTTTCATTTACACAATTTTCCCCTTCCTCAAGAAGAAGTGTCAGGCTCAAATTACAACAGCTTATCTGATGGGGGAAAAAAAAAACCCATGCAAGATATATTCCTATATTTGGGCCTTTAGTGATAAGTTCATGATAAAGGAAAATACAAATACTCTCTCCTCCTCCATGCCCACGAACAGCCCAAGACTTGGAATCATTCTTCACAGGGTTCACTCACTATCCAGTCCAACTCTCAACCTCCCTAGGCCTTTAGCAGATCCAAGAAAGATGCAATCCTCTCAAGTTTCCAGAACAATGAGAATAAAAAGAAGGCTGACTAGAGTTGAAAACAGGAACACTGCCTGCATCTTTTCTCACTTTTTTTTTCAGGGAGTCCTTTAAAGCAGTGTAGGCGGAAAAGAATAAGCAAAGGAAGTAGGAAGGTTCAACACAAGATAGTAAGGCGAACTCCACATGTGACCGGTCTTTCTACAGTCCAGAGACGCCCAATCTGCACGCCTCTACACACAACAGAACTGACACAAACAAATGATGACTGCTAACTGCTAATTCTGGCTTTTTTTTTTTTTTTTAAACACACTCCAGAAGTCATTGCAATACCGGAAACATTGGGAGACTGAGCCATCTGATGACAATTACAGGAATCCTGGAAGGGAAAGAATGCTCAAGGAAGGCCAGACGGCCATGCAATTATAAACCCTAGCTCAGCCCATGTCCTCTCCACACCCTCCACATCACTGCCAGCGAGAGGAGGATGGTGACACCATTAACCAACATTCCCAGGCTGATCCCAGGCTCACACACACTGCTCCAGAGAGGATATCATGATTTTGGTTTGCTTGGTTTTCTTATCCTTTGAAGTAAGACACTTCATGATTGTCATGAGTTTGGTTCCCAAGGGTGTGAGATTTATAGGAACCAAGACTTTTACAGTAAAGAGATGATTTAAAAGGCAAACCACTAAAAATGACAGTATGAAACTAAAACGTTTCCAAGTTGCTTTAATCCCTGAACTAATCCTTGCAGAATGCCAGGGAAAGAGGATGGGAGGTAAAGGTCATGGTTAGGAAGAGAAAAAGAGCTAACATTTACTAAGCACCTCCAAGAGCAAGCCACTTTCAGGATAAAGAAACCTTGCAAAGGAGAGAGCATCCAAGTCTAACCAGAACTAAGGCTCAGAGAGACAATTTACGCAGTCTCAAAGCTCTTAAATGAAGACAATGGAGTGAAGCCCCAAACCCATCTCACTTCAAAGCCCACACTCCTTCTACTAAGCAACACTGTTAGTGAGACAGCAGGTACATAAAACAGAGACAAAGCCAGTATGACACAAAATGGCATTAACCATTCACTATCTAACCAAGGCACAATTAACTTGGCTTCTTTCGTAAGTACTTTATATAGTTTTACATCCATTTCTTTTCAATTAATATAGCATAAGTATAATCCCATATAATTAAAAATTTCACAAAAGTCTAGTCCTTTAAATAACTACACCCTGATAGATTTCATAACTGATGTCTTCTAACTTAAAGCCCTGTGCTGACAGGACTAGGAAATTTAAAACATTTGAAATAGTACATATTTAATGAAGAAGTCTCAGGAAGCAAGGAAGTATAGGAGACTGCTTAATAAGAAATCATGAAAGGCAGGAGAATGGTGTGAACCCAGGAGGCGGAGCTTGCAGTAAGCCGAGATCACGTCAATGCACTCCAGCCTGGGTGACAGAGTGAGACTCCGTCTCAAAAAAAAAAGAAAGAAAAGGAAAGGAAGGGAAGGGAAGGGAAAGGGAAAGGGAAGGGAAAGGGAAAGGAAAGGAAAGAGAAAAAAAAAGAAAGAAAAGAAGAGAAAAGAAAGAAAGAAAGAAATCCTTATTCCATAGAATTCCTGCTGTTTCAAGAGAATGTACTTGAGTAGAATCGTATTTGACAAATCTTTATAAATGGGAAACATTATCTATAAACACACACACAAGTGTACAAAAATTCAAATTAGGATTGCTAACTACCATTTATTTATCTTCAACTAATGCCTTTTGTGGGTCTCTGTACAAGGTCAAATACTGTCAAATTTTCCTTAAATTGTCGCAAGTTGAACACTTGCTTCAGTCTGTTAGCAAAAGTGGGGCTTCTACGATATGGCACAAAACAAGAGGTAGCTTTTGTTAAGGTAGCTACCTGACTACCTCACAAAATATGGTGTTGGTAGTAATAAAGTGCAACAGGAATGATAAAAGTAAAAATGATGATGATGACAATAATGGCAGCTTTCATTTACTATATCTTTCTCAGTGTCTGTCACTATTCCTAAAGCTTAATATAGATTTTTTTTTACTTAACCTTCTCTAAATCCCATAAGGTAGCTACTACTATTATCCCCAAAAAGTAACAAGCAAGTTGAACTCAGAAAACTTGAGTTCAAGTCCACACTTGGCTCTAATAAGCTGGAAATAGCTTCATCTTTCTAGATACCCAACTTCTCCACTATACAATGGAAAGGATGAGGTTGGGGGCACTGTAGATTAAATGAGCTCCTCTGTACTATAGATTTGACATCCCTCTGAAAATACATATATGCCCCTCCCAATCCATGGCAAACACACATCACTAAACAATCATGCCAGTGAATCTCATTATGACTTCACCATCTTTCACAGCACAACACACTAGGAAGTTACTAACAATCAACATGAGCTAGCTTTTAAAATGAAACCTCGTTGGCCTCTTAAGGATGACACAATATCACCTAGCTGGAGGCTAGGTATGCATCTAGTAAGAGTGTCACACAAGTCCAAAAGCTAAAGTTTGGCAACTTAAAATTTGAACACCAAGATGAGATTGAGTCTGTCAATATCTGGTATCCAGCTGAAAAGTCTTAAAAGAAACTGGGGTTTCTTGCCACCCTAGAAACCAGCAGACCTAAGTAGTCACATATCCCCACCAAAAGTTGCCCAGGGCAACAAATGATACAACTCCAGTCTACCAGTGTGGCATGAAAATTTATGCCATGTCCTAGGAAAGGAAGCAGGCCTATCCCACCAAGAGAAGACTGCCTTCAGAAGGAAAGTATGGGATATCCACAGGAAAGGAAGAGATCCAAATTCTGATTTTCATCTGGCTCTGATCCCATGTATTAAGTTAATGTTTTAGCTCAGTGAAAGTAATTACCAGCTAGGCTCTGCAATCCATCAGTTCACCCTGGGCATTCCTGCTGATTCTTTCTTTGGTCTCTAGGACCCAAGAATCCCTTTTGTTGATCTGGAAGTGTGAAGGAAAAGTTGGTTGTTACTAGCTTCTGTCTTTCTATTCTAAATTTCTGCCAAGTAATTAGGAAGAGAAAATGAACTATTTTCAAGTTTTTTAATGGAAGCTATGCAGATTCGAATAGGCACAGCCTCTCACAAAAATAAGATTAAAACCATATATCTTTGATGTCCCACCTTCCAAGTAGAATGGACAAATGCAATTTGGCTCTAGGCTGTGAACTCAGGGACTTTATCCAAATCACCACCATTCTAATTTAGGTAATTTGGCAAGATTAGCTTAGTCAATAAATTAAATATATATGGATTTACAAAAGATTTTCACATATCCCCACAACTACCCTAAAGGAAAATATTATTTGTATCCCCATTTTGCAGACAAGTATGACAAAGTTCAGAGGTTAAAAGTACTAACCCTAAGATCAAAGTGACAAAGCAGTCTCTTGACTCCAAACACTAGACTTCTAAGTAATTTTTTCAAGTATGGTAGTATCTTATGATTTAAAGGAGTTCCTCCAACCAGAATTAACATTCAAAACTACATTAAGGACTTTACCAAGTGCCATTCAGACAGCAGGCAGGTAAATTTTTCATTCTCCACTAAACTACGTAGAAATTATAGAGGAAATACTGAAATTATTCCCCTATGCTCCCCACCACCCTGTAAGTCCATTTCCATTGCACAACTACACTGAATGGGCAATATAAATATAATAAACATATGCCCACAGAGAGCAGAAGGTAAACAATCACGCACAAGTAATGGCAACAATGGTGAGCCCTTTCTGCCACTTAAGCTGTAAACACAATTGCTGACTTTGGTCACCAGCAAACCCCATGGGAAGGTGGCCCACAGCTAAATACACCACTTTCTATCTATCCAAATGTCAGGGGGCTCTGAGAGTCATACAAACATCAACAAGCCTGTAGTTTTTATGGCTCAGAACCAAGGTTCTGGGATCTGCAATTTGAATGGCCAGTGCTTGTCTCCTTAGGCATGTCAAAATCAGTTATAATGCACATTATTTTCCTTTTTTTTTCCGATTCTACAAGTAATACACTCTAGCTGTAGAAAATATAAAAAATGTAACAAAGTATAAAGAAGCAGAAATTAGTCATAACTCCAGAGGCAACAACTGATAATATTGACCTATTTCCTTCCAGTCATTTTTTTTCCTGAAAAACATTGTTTCCTTTTCTGCAGAAAGTATTTACTTTCTATTTTATTTATTTATTTATTTTTGATATGGAGTCTCACTCTCTCACCCAAACTGGAGTGCAGTGGCAGGACCTCAGCTCACTGCAACCTCCACCTCCCAGATTCAAGCCATTCTCCTGCCTCAGCCTCCCAAGTAGCTGGGATTACCAGCACCTGCCACAACACCTGGCTAATTTTTGTATTTTTAGTAGAGACAGGGTTTCACTATGTTGGCCAGGCTGGTCTCGAACTCCTGACCTCAAGTAATCTGCCCACCTTGGCATCAGAAAGCATTTACTTTCTTCAGGCAATAACAAGAAGGGCAAAATAGCCCAAAAAAAAATTAATCCCATTGTATTTACAGAACTAACTCAAATTTCCCCAGTAAAATCTTGATGCTAACTACATAAAAAATGCATGAAAATCCTCTGGAAAAGCCCAGTAAGGTAATCACCCAAGTCCTTCTACTGGAACACCCACAAAACCAGAAGAAACAATAATCTATAGTGAATATAAGCGGTAACCTTGTCAGATTTTGTTTTTTCAGAACTTTTTTACCTTCCAAAATCCTATTTTTGCACTGAAACTATTAACCCTAATTATCTTATCAGTGACAAAAGGAACTTTGGCTCACACAGAGAAGAAACTATGTAGAGGCCGGGCGCGGTGGCTCATGCCTGTAATCCCAGCACTTTGACAGGCACAGGTGGGCAGATCACCTGAGATCAGGAGTTCGAGACCAGCCTGGACAACATGGGGAAACCCCATCTCTACTAAAAATACAAAAATTAGCCAGGCATGGTAGCAGGCGCCTGTAGTCCCAGCTACTCGGGAGGCTAAGGCAGGAGAATCACTTGAGCTTGGGAGGCAGACATTGCAGTGAGCCGAGATTGCACCACTGCACGCCAGCCTGGGTGACAAAGCAAGACTCCATCTCAAAAAAAAAAAAGAAAAGAAACTATGTAGAAAGGGGTGGCATGGGATGGCAGGTGGATGGAAAAACAGTCTTATTTCCTTCTCAAAATTACACTTCTAGAAGAAACGAAATACTATCTAAGTACCATATACATGTCTTTTTGCATAGTATATAACCAAGGAGCACAGCGTCTGTCCTCTCTAATTTGAAATGGATAGCTCAAAAGTAAGGCAAATCCTGTCTAATAAAGTTGAGGGGATATTCTTTTCATATCAAAAAAAATAGAGACTTAAATGCAACCAGTTACTTAACCAGTAAAAGCACTACTTTTGTAATGCGAAGAGGCACTGGAACTCTTTTTTTTTTCTGGCAATTTCATTGATCATGTATTTCTAAGGTACCTATTTAAGAGGAATTCATAGAAAAAGTACTCTTGTACTACTTATCGCTAAGTAAAGATAATTTTTAAATAATTTTCAGTGCAAGAGATCTGGAATTTTACTCCCTACAGCCTAGTGATTTTAAATGCCCTGTGACCCTCTGAGGCACTGCCAACATCAACATCTGGTACCTGGTACAAAGAAAATGTATTTTCAACAGTTTTTAAAAACCTCTTCTTTTTCATCATGTGCTTTAAATATGTTTCTAAGATAGTTGTCTTTCTCTCCTTTCTGATGTAGAAAAAAAAGGGAAGCTATTCTATCAGGCAACTACGTGTTTTAGAAGCAAAAGGGAAAAATAATAACCAAAAATTAAGTTGTTGCTAATGTTTTTTCATTCCTCCCAAAAGAAAGATTACACAAAATAGACATCTTCAACCTGACTAGATGAAAAAAGAACCCAAAATGATTGTAATTATTGCCCCACAAGTATATACACTTCTAAACAAGACTTCAAAATCCAAAGTATATCCCCTACACAATTCTCCGTATTTCTGATTTCTTCCTCCTTTTTCACATGTAAGTCTTTTTGTGACCTTCAAATCTCCCAAAGACTTTAGCAAAAATAATAATGATAGTACTATTGATAATACATTCATCACCTTTATTTTTATTTATTTTGAGACAGAGTCTCACTCTGTCACCCAGGCTGGAGTACAGTGGCGTGATATTGCTCACTGCAACCTCTGCCCCCTGGGTTCAAGTGATTCTCCTGTTTCAGCCTGCCGAGTAGCTGGGACGTGCCCGGTTAATTTTTCTATTTTTTTTTTTCTTAGTAGAGATGGGGTTTCACCATCTTGGCCAGGCTGGTCTTGAACTCGTGACCTCGTGATCTACCCACCTCAGCCTCCCAAAGTGCTGGGATTACAGGCGTGAGCCACCGTGGCCAGCCCCATTCCTCACCTTTAAATGCTGTACTTTAGCAAACAAGCTCATTCAACTAAACCTCAAGTACTTAACCTAGAAGTTTCAAGTTACTTTTAAAAAGCAATACAGCTATAAGCAAAACTGACCATACTTTACAAAGGAGTGAGAAAGCCATGCCAAAAGAAGCTGAAATATTTTATTCTAAGACACCCCCTTAAATTAAAAAAAAAAAAACACACACACACAGAAAAAATAAAACTGCCTCTCAACTGTAAGTTAATTAATTGAAACAAAGGGATAATCCCTTACTGTATAGCTTCAAAACAGCTGTGTGAAGGTTCATTTCTATGTAAACTTCTCCTTCTCTGTGGTTCTGGCTCAAGTCTGAAGTTATCATTATATAAGTAAAACAGCCCATAAAAGTTTTTCCCGTTTCAGTATCATCAACTAGTATACAGGAGACATGCAATGGGGCAGTCCACAGCTAATGCATCAATTTTTTTCACAAGCACTCATGTTATGCCACACGCCTGCTTCGTATCCAAAATAAAACGACTGTCTTCCACATTAGAAACATTTTCTCAAAGAAAAAAACATAGCTATCATTCATTTCTTAGCCAAACATGCTCAAGGATACGCGGCATTGGGGCCAGTTAAGAGTGCAAATATATTAGCTGCGACTTCAGCAAGTGCCTGTCATGTTGAATAGCATGAAGAAGAGAGATAGTAATTATTGCCGAGAAACCATTAGAGGGCTCCTTAGTAAAACAAGATGCCCGAGCAAACTAATGGACCAACAGTCCACTGCAGTGTCTTTTCCTATTCCATTTAGCTGCATGTCAGTCCTATCAAATCATCTGACACTTGCAATGCAGCCAGGCTCAGTACAATTAGCAATATCCTTCACTCCCGTGCCCATTCACTGGTGCTACAATAAGCTGCTACATTTGTACAGCAAGAAATGATTTCTTGATTGTTTGTGACACAGAGATCTAAAGCCCTTCCTGCAAGGCAAATGTGCATTGGTCTTGCTTCAGCAACAGAAGCTTCAGGTCTTATGTTTATACAAGAGAGACAACTCCTAGAGTAGAGACAACTTGCTTCACATTACTCATCTCTCCCATTCTTTGTCCATCTCTAGCAAGACACTTTTCAAGCCCATAGACAAGGACCGAAGGGTTTTTGTAAGAACACACTATTTGAAATTCCAAGACTGAGATCATGGTGGGTTCTATGTGCTCCACATGTGAAGCATTTTCAGACCTAGAGATTCTGCTGGGACCAGAGAATGTTCTCTGGATTTGGAAATAGGCAAAGCAAGTATGATGTTTTCCCTTCATTTTCTTGACCAAATGGAGGGTCACTAACTTTGGGGAATAAAGACACGCAACTTTGTACTACTTGGCAAACTTATTCATAAGCTATTGCATTTTTAAAACCAGGTAGCAAATATTTGGTTGGTAAAATAGAGTAGACCATCACACAGACATTGACTTAATATTCTCCCCAAGTGTCTCTCACTTCATAATCTATCTACAAGTGAACCTCTAAATGGCCATCTGTTTTAGTGATTGTAGTTTTCCTATATTCCTAAACATTTGGACTTGCAGAAGGACCCAGAATGAACACCAGCTCTAGATGTATCCTGTGTGTTTCCAACAAAGCAGGAAGGCACCACTCCTTGGCTCAATTGTGAAATGCTGCCATTTCAAAAATCATCAGTGCCAAAACATTTATTCAAAAGTGACAGTGGAGACAATTCTGAGGACAGTGCTGAAATCCTGCTGGAAATGTTTTAGCCCTCAACTTTAGTCATGCTATATTTCACCTAACAGCTAATTTATAATACGTACCTCTGCCCCAAAAAGAGCAAAGTTAATGAGTTTTATTACAACGAAGGGAGGCAAGGGCTGGATTATCCAGCACATAGCAAGCCTTCAAGGAGGGAAGTGACGAGTTAACATGAGACATTGTGAATATTTGGAAGACAACCTTCCTTTAAATGAGACACTGCTGGTAACGGTAATGGGGAATTTGCAATGAAGGGAAGGACATGCAATTATAATCTGGCTGGGCCCCACTGGACAAAAAGTGATTTACTTGAAAGCTGCCTTTGCACTCAGTAAATGTTCCTGTTATGGGCTACTCAGCCGGTGACAGCTTTCCAGATGTCAATCAAATTATCATCTATTTACAGTTGATTTGGTAGTGTCATTTGCAATATTCCCTACGTTTCTGATGAAATTGGAAGCACAGAATTTTCTCCAGTTTGCCCTGGCACTCGAGTGGGCAAACTGCTCTTTGCAAATGTCATGTGTCCGCTTATCAGCACTCTAAGGAGTGCGATCTTGCATTCGGCTGAGTGAATCGCTACCAGATGCAAATCTCTCAATCGTCAAGGGAAGACTATGGCAAATTTTAATGTACTTTGAAAAACTCAGTTTACATCAGTGCTCAAGGTGCAGCTTTACCCAGGCTAACAGTTTTTGTATAACAATGAGCCTAAATTAAAGCCTGAAAAACAAGGAAATACTTTTAACTCTTTCAGGCTTCTGCCTGCTCCACGCTAAAGAAAATGATGTACAGAACTATACTTACAAAATGAAATGTCACAGTAGTTTGCCGCTAGCTATAAAATTTAACTCTTTGAGGAAAGATTTGCATATGAGTTATTATTCTTGTCAATAAAGCATCATAAAATAATTTTATTCTAAAAGTAATGCACAATGATTAAACACTCATTATCGGCTAACTGTTCTAAATATTTCACATGCAAATACACAATCCCCAGAACGTTTTGATGTAAGTACTATCATTGTCTCCAAATTACAGATGAGGGCATTGAAACACATGGAAGTTAACTGACTTCCTCGTGGTCACAGCTAGAAAGCTGCAGTATCAAGTCCAAATCTAGACTCCACTGTCTTAGTATGCTATACTCTATGCATGCATATACATGCAGATGCTCACAAGCACATATGCTGGACATGAGATATATGCCTCAGCACATGACCGCTCATGAAAACAGAGGTTATTTCCCTTTCAATTTTTCAAAATAAAACTGCATGTCCTGGAGATAGGTTGTTTTTAGAGGATCTCTCCAATTCCTTAAAAACCAACTGGAACACGAAGTGGAGTATGATACGCACAGAATGAACAGCCACTCAAATATTAGTATTTGCAAGCAAATGGTGCATTTATTTCACATGTCAGAAAATGTATTTTCACTGCTTGGGGGAGATCCTGGTGTGGTTTAAAAGTGGTGTGGAGAGGCCGGGTGCAGTGGCTCACGCCTGTAATCCCAGCACTTTGGGAGGCCGAGGCAGGCGGATCACAAGGTCAGGAGTTTGAGACCAGCCTGGCCAATACAGTGAAACCCCGTCTCTACTAAAAATACAAAAATTAGCCGGGTGTGGTGGCATGCGCCTGTAGTCCCAGCTACTCGGGAGGCTGAGGTGGGAGAATCTCTTGAACTCGGGAGGTGGAGGTTGCAGTGAGCCGAGACCACGCCATTGCACTCCAGCCTGGGTGACAGACTGAGATTCCGTCTCAAAAGAAAAAAAAGTGGTGTGGGGATCTGTTTGGTAGGTAACACCACTGGATCAATATAAAACTATCTCGAATCTTCAAATGAGCATTATAAATAATCCATGGACATAGTAGGGTTTGTCAGAGAACACATGCCATCTTTAGAATCTGGAAGACTTTATGCAAAGGTCTGCAAGGCTACATAAGCACAGTCAAATTTCTATGTGAATGTAGCCAAACACATGAATTCCCTGGCTATTGTTTCATTCAAAGGAAATTCATTATTTTTTTGTTGGTTTTTTTTTGAGACAGGGTTTAGCTCTTGTTCCCCAGGCTGGAGTACAATGGCACGATCTCAGCTCACCGCAACCTCCGCCTCCTCGGTTCAAGTGATTCTCCTGTCTTAGCCTCCCGAGTAGCTGGGATTACAGGCGCGTGCCACCACAGCCTGGCTAATTTTTGTATTTTTAGTACAGACGGGGTTTCATCATATTGGTCAGGCTGGTCTCGAACTCCTGACCTCAGGTGATCCGCCTGCCTCAGCCTCCCACAGTGCTGGGATTACAGGCGTGAGCCACTGTGCCTGGCAGGAAATTCATTTTAAACTACATGGAAACTGCATGAGAAACTGCAATGAACAAATTAAAGTACTTACATGTATAATTTGCATACATGCACACACACACACACACACACACGCAAACACAGTGTCCCTTCTGAATTCTGCTTTAGTAGGGAGGGGCAAAAAAACCTAATGGCTTAAAAATAAAATTCACTTAAATGTAAAACACAGATGGGAATGTGAAAAGTTTGATGCTCAGGCATTAAATACTGATACATTAAGATATATTTTACCTATATTGGTAACTGATTACAAATTTTTAGTGTAACAGTATATTTTGATTCTAATGTGAAATAGTTTGTGAAGCAAACAGTACAAATGATTTGCTTCCCCAATGAAGCAGAGAGAAGCAATGCCCTTAAAGAAGGAAAGGTGTGACCAAACTGAGGGAAAGTCTCAAACCAGTCCCAAAATGATTTAAAAGGGGAGAATACTGAAGATTAAACAGATATTAAATCAGTTTTTTGTAAATGACCTTGGCTAAAGCTTTAACAGGGGGTGATATAAAAATACTCAAATATTTAAAGAAAATAGGCCAGGCACAGTAGCTCATGCCTATAATCCCAGCGTTCTGGGAGGCAAAAGCAGGAGGATCACTTGAGCCCAAGGGTTCAAGACCAGCCTGGGCAACATGGTGGGATCACTGCAGTGAGCAGTGATAGTGCCACTGCACCCCTGCCTGGGTGACAGAGTGAGGCTTAGTTTCTTTCTAAAAAAGAAAAAAGAAAAGAAAAGAAAGAAGGAAGGAAATAATGCAGAGGAACGGAGTGCTATTTTGAAGGTTCACTTGGAACATAATGATAAGAAGGAATTTAAGCAAAGTTTAGCTTGATTAAAACTTGTTGTCAATACCCAATAATCCTGGGAAATTACGCCATAAGTAAAGTGTTGCTTTTTATTTTCTAATTACCCAGGCAAAGTTGTATATGTTTGTCTGAAGGGGTGTTGGAGAAATCAGAGAAAGACCCAGAAAAATAAGGACAGTTTATAACATCTCTGCTTAAGTAACAGCCTTAATGTAACTTCTTCATATTAGTTCTTCCTATCTTACAGTTCTCAACAAGAAACTACAGTCTCCCTATGGGTTCAAAACATGTTTTAAGATTCTAAATTGTCCCCTAATCAGACTGAAAACCTGGTTTGGCATAGGTGGAGGAAGTTAACAGGTGTCAGAAACTATCCTTGAATTAAACTGAGAATAGAAACTCTCTCCCCAGATTGCCAGCTCTGCATGCTGACCAGAAAGAGACCATCCAGAATCTGTCTTTGTCAGTGCAGCACTCACTAGGCTTTATAGTAGAGGTGTGCTATAAATTTAACTTTGATAAGAAATAGTCTACTTTCTTCTCTTTTTTTCAGGTTAGACCCAATGTAATGTTAAGCAGATTATACTTTCTTGACTAATATCATGATTATTATCTATGACTAACAATTTCCATTAGGCAAAGTTATATTTCTCTTTCCTATGCAAGTGTTTTTAAGTTTTAGTATCCTTCTTGTTTGAAACCACCTGACAACTTACCATTCTGGGACAATAAAAAGTCAGTGTCAACACCACAGATCTCTTTATGACTAGAATGAATAAGAATAATGGCAAATGCATTAAATGTTATCTACAGAAAGTTATTTTTAAGTATCAGAACACAACATAGTATCAATTTCCATGAAAACAAGGTTTATAGGACAGAAACTATCATTTTATTAACCCAAATCTTCTTCTAAATCTTCCCATGATCACAAAAAGAAATAAGATACCATATTATTACATCAGTCTACAAAATATATCCTGTTTTGCAATATGCACCAATTGTCTCTTCATGCAATTAAAAAAGATGGAAGTTTTACTGGGGAGAAGGTTACAGCAAAATGAAGAAAGAAAATGAGAAGGAGGTGGAGGGAGGGGAGGTCAACAGGGAAATGCTCCATGAAGAGAGGGACCTAAAACGTTCTAAACACTATCTGTGGGAAGGAAGTAAAAGAGTGACAGAAGACACTTAATTCCTGCTTACATTACTAAATTGTTTAATTGAACCCATTGAGGATAAAGACCTGTAACTAATTCATTGATTAACATAAAGCTATTGTTATCTAAAATATAAAAAATTCCAGTTAGAAAGTGATTTCTGACACCTGAAAATTATCTTTCTGTCTAGAATGCCTTTTTTCTCACTCTGGAGTGAGAAATGAACTTAAAAATTTCCTAACAGATAAACTCATAATATCCAAAAATAGAATTTTATAAATATACTTTGTAGAATAAAAGAACATAGGCAAATCCTAGCATGGCTACCTATGTGGCAGTCAGACAAGATAATTAACTTTCTGAGCTTAAGTTTCCTTGTCTGTAAAATAAGAATAATAATACATGGCACAGAACCTGGCAAAAAGGAGGTGGGCCATATATGTTAATTATATGAGTATTAAAAATGTGTAACTCACCTATTTAAAGAATAACAAAATTTCAGAGTATGTTTCTGATAGCTACAAGTGTTAGACGTATTTCAATATTCAACCTTAAAATTTTTTAAACACAGGAAGAATAAATGAACAATAAGAAATACACACTAATAGAATACTGACAGCAAATTATCTTTTGTTAGGCTAATTACCCACCATTTTCATTATTATTCTCTCGGTTTATTTCATTAAAATTTATTTGACAAACAGCAGAGCCTAGAATCCTGTGCTATTCCCATTAGAAGGATCCCTCAAATTAAAAGTTAGAGGTAGAGGCTAACAGCTGTCAGGCCCTGGAATCACACCAACCTGAGCCCCAGGCCTGAATCTATCAATATCCTAGTTGTGTGATCTTGGGCAACTTTTTTTTTTTTTTTTTTTTTTTTTTTGAGACAGAGTCTCATTCTGTCACCATGGCTGTACTGCAGTGGTGTGACCACGGCTCACTGGAGCCTCAACTTCCCAGGCTCAAGTGATCCTCCCACCTCGGCCTCCTGAGTAACTGGGACTACAGGCGTATGTGACCACAACTGACCAATGTTTTTTTGTAGAGATGGGGTTTTGCTATGTTGCCCAAGCTTTTTTTTTTATTTCAACTTCAATTTTCCTATTTATAAAATAGAAAAAAATAAGAGTAGCTACAATAAAGATCTAAAACCTGGGTAGCAAAATAAACACTGTAAGGTCTGTGAATTGCTTTGAGGCCCAGAGACTCTGAAAGCAACTAGCCCAAGGCAAGCAAGCTGGTGACTGGGACAGGAAAAGAACATAAATCTCCTACTTCCCAGACCAAAAAACAGAGGTACTAATGTACTTGGCTGTCCCCTAAAGAAGAGAGCTCCACCTCCTCTTTCACCAGCCATACTGAGAAGAGAGGCTCATCTCTGCCATCTGACAACAGCTCATTCACAGACTTGGAACCAGGCACAACACTGGTTCCCAGGCAACTTCTTAGATACCAGAATTGTTTCATATCAAATTCTAAAGTAGATCAGTTGTTTCGGCTGAGGCTTAAATGGCCTGGGTCTAAGTGCCCTTTGTCAGAACAAGGGCCTTGTCTCAGCGCTGCATGTGATGGGAGCTGCCGCTAGAGGAAGAACTGTTGACAATGAGATAAGAGCCAAAAACAAGCCCCCTCCTGGATCACTCTCTGATGACCTTTTCAGTGGTCTACAGTGTGTTATCACTCAACACATTAGGGCTAGGAGAGATTTGAAAACATCAGAAAGCTCAATTTTTTTTTATGGAAAAAAAAATGCCTTCGATTGCAGAAATCCAATAACTTCAGTGTTAGGATAAGAGCCCTGGGATGAGGAGCAAGAACTCTCTCGGTCCAGTTTTTGCTTCTGTCACAGACTTATGCAAATAAATATGTGATACTTTTATTTCCACACCAGCTTTCAATAGGTCAAACGAGGGTGTACCTGCTGAATTCCCTTCCTAAAAACTCAATGCACAGCAATTCAGGAGTCTCCTGAACCAAGACCGAATGCGTTGTAATGTACTGAGTATTAGCTGGGTGTGGTGGCGCGTGCCTGTAGTCCCAGCTACTCGGGAGGCTGAGGCAGCAGGATTGCTTGAACTCTGCAAGCAGAGGATGCAGTGAGCTGAGAGCACACCACTGCACTCCAGCCTGGCGACAGTGCAAGACTCTGTCTCAAAAACACAAAAAAAGAAAACAGTGTGCCCAGAACAAGAAGCCACATCTTCTGACTCAAAATTCTGAGTTCTTTCTATATGATAAAGGAATAAAATTTGAATGGCTGAATAAGAATGTATTATTTAAATTGTATAAAAAGATGCTTCATCTTTCCTAATCAATGCTTTGATGGCCATGGTCCATTGATGGTCCTGATGAGTAAGAGGCTTCTCTGCCTCCCCTCTAGGATGATAAAATGCAAAGGTATGATTAAAGAAGCTCTTTAGTCTTTTTCTGCCCCCTGCCTACTGACCCATCTCAATTAATGACAGTACTTAAAAATCTGTAATGCAAATGTAAAGCCACTAAGGTAACTTATGGTTAAAAACTTGCTTTGCTTTATAAAAAGAATATCATTATAATATGAATTGTCCCTGACCTGTCTACTAGGGCCCACTGTTATGCAATCCATAGGACAGGCTTAGTGTAGTCTTCCACAAGACAGCATATTTTCTCCCCGTTCATTTACCTTGGCAGGGGTGGGGCTAGAAGCTGAGGTGAGACACAAGACAGGCATTCACTCTGCCTTTGTCTTCAGCCTTGCAAAACCAAGGAGTCGTGAAAAGACCAGTCCTCACCTGGATACCCACAGCCTAAATAGGGGCTACAGGCTAGGCGTCCCACAGAGCTGTTTGTTTACCTCATGTGAATGACAATGACAATGAGTCTGTGAAACCAGATGCTGCCGCTGCAGGCCAGGAGTTAAGCAGTGATGCACATTCATGGGGAAGGCCCTGGCAAGCAGACCCTGCAGCCAAATCCCAAGCACTGCTTCTCAAACTGCAGGTCACAGGCATTGGTGGATGGTGAAAATCATTTTAGTGGCTCTTAACCATTTGTGCTTAAATGAAACTGAACAAAATGCATCACACATAGTAAGGATAAGTTCATGCACATGTCTATGTCAAAAATGCTTAAAGCCAGTGATCCAAAGAGAAAAGCCGCTAGCCAGATACCCTACCTCAGAGTTCCATGGGAATGTAGACAAGGTGTTGCTAGACCCTCCAGTTGCTAGATCATCCTTCTCTTTTTCAAGAGAAACCAGAACTCTGAGCTGTCATATGAAATCTCCCCAAATTTTTTTTAAAAGGGGCTCGAACTCTTTTAAAACAGTGTACAGGGGCCAGCGCAGTGGCTCACGCCTGTAATCCCAGCAATTTGGGAGGCTGAGGCGGGCAGATCTCAAGGTCAGGAGATCAAGACCATCCTGGCTAACACAGTGAAACCCCGTCTCTACTAAAAATACAAAAAATTAGCCAGGCATGGTGGCGGGCGCCTGTAGTCCCAGCTACTCTGGGACTGAGGCTGAGGCAGGAGAATGGCATGAACCCGGGAGGCGGAGCTTGCAGTGAGCCAAGATCGTGCCACTGCACTCCAGCCTGGGCAACAGAGCGAGACTTCGTCTCAAAAGACCAAAAAAAAAAAAAACCAAAAAAACCACAGTGTATAGGGGGCCAGGCACGGTGGCTCACGCCTGTAATCCCAGAACTTTGGGAGGCCAACGCGGGTGGATCATGTGAGGTCAGGAGTTCAAGACAAGCCTGGCCAACATGGTGAAACCCCATCTCTACTAAAAATACCAAAAATTGGCCAGGCATAGTGGCGGGCACCTGTAATGCCAGCTACTCAGGAGGCTGAGGCAGGAGAATCACTTGAACCAGGGAGACGGAGGTTGCGGTGAGCCGAGATCGAGCCATTGCACTCCAGCCTGGGCAACAAGAGTGAAACTCCATCTCAAAAAAAAAAAAAAAAAAAAAAACAGTGTACAGGGAAAATCAAACCCATGTGAAGGCTAGACATGGACTGACTATTCAGTACATATGTAAACAGAAATGAGGCAGCAGAACTGCTCTTAAGAAAGGAGTGCAAACCTTTCTGCAAAATGTCCCTGGGAAGCTATGCATGTGGAGGCACTCCAAAAACGCATTTGCCAAGACAACACTAGTGTTGAAAGGAAAAGAAGAGCCCCTAGTGAATGGCCTTAGTGAAGGGGGCAAAGCAGTAAAACATTGGTGGGCCTGATGGTTTCTACAAAGCTGTCTTGAGTTGGGTTAGATGATGCAGCGGAGGTCTCAAACAGAAATCTACCTTGACCTTCCCTTCAGAGGTATACATACCTGATTTCTTTAGGGAGGTGTGAAAAAGAATTAATCAGAAGTCATCTCTGAGTGCTACTGCAGAAAGAGCTCTGCCTGCCCACAAGGTTTTCCAGCCTTAACTGCTTCCAGAGTTCTGCTGATCAGCTGCAGGGGAATGAAGCAGGGACTGGCAGGGAAGGAACCCTTCAACTGGGTTCACCTTTTGCTACCTGCCTGGCTACAGAACTAAGACTGAAGAGGGCACAGATCCTCAGTCTCTGGGTTTCTGAAGTGAAACCTGCCTGGCAGGCAAAGCTCTGGCTTGATGTAAGGGCTCTGGGCTTGGAGGTTGGTGGTGCTTGCGCTGGGGCTTCTTCACCTCTCCATCCCAAGAAAAAGATTCACAAAACCAGGGAATATTATCCACCAGCAGTCCCATCTGCCTATGTTAAAACACTTGGGAGTCTTCTGTGCAAATGTGGGGGCTCCCAGCCTGAGAGCTGGTCTCGTATCAAAAAGAAAGCAAGGCCAGACGCCAGCTCCAAACCCATCTGTTCCCCAAGCTCGAGGTGCAGGTGTGAGATCATCCCCACAAACCTCACCTGCCTGCAGTTTGTCACCTCGTGTCATTACCACAGGCAGAGATGCAATTGAGGCTTTTGTTTTACTTCACACCAGGGGGAAGTCATTTTTGGAGTGTTTCATCTTAAACAGTTTTTTCTTAAATGTGTGTGACACATATTCCTCATAGGACTTAATAAAATAGATATTTCTCATGCCTGGAAAGTAAACTACAGCTGCACAGGTTGAAACAAAATTTATTTTTAAAAACTAACATTCCAGTTGGATTCATTCAAAATACGTTTAGCTATAACTTCTGAAAAATGTTAAGCAACAAAAATAAAATAAAAATAAAACTGCTAATTAACAGGACAAAAACAATACTAACAAAACACACACTTAGTAGTATATTTTAGTGTCTCTGGTTACCTCAAGAAAAACAATATAAATTTTCAAAATAGAAAAATTCCTGGCCGGGCGCGGTGGCTCACGTCTGTAATCCCAGCACTTTAGGAGGCCGAGGTGGGCGGATTACCTGAGGTCAAGAGTTGGAGACCAGCCTGGCCAACATGGTGAAACCCTGTCTCTACTAAAAATACAAAAATTAGCCGGGCGTGGTGACGCCCCAGCTACTTGGAAGGCTGAGGCAGGAGAATCACTGGAACCCTGTAGGCCGAGGTTGCAGTGAGCTGAGATGGCGCCACTGCACTCCAGCCTCGGACAGAGCGAGACTCCGTCTCAAAAAGAAGAAAAACTCCTAAAGGTCTATATACCCACAACATTACCATAACGGAAGCAAGCAGAAAAACCATTTTTTTTTTTTGTTTTGAGACGGAGTCTGGCTCTGTCGCCCAGGCTGGAGTGCAGTGGTGCGATCTCGGCTCACTGCAAGCTCCACCTCCCGGGTTCACGCCATTCTCCTGCCTCAGCCTCCCGAGTAGCTGGGACTACAGGCGCCCGCCACTACGCCCGGCTAATTTTTTGTATTTTTAGTAGAGACGGGGTTTCACCGTGTTAGCCAGGATGGACTCGATCGCCTGACCTCATGATCCGCCCACCTCAGCCTCCCAAAGTGCCGGGATTACAGGCGTGAGCCACCGCGCCCAGCCAAAAAACCATTATTTTTAGAGTCTTAAAAATCTATCCTGAACCTGACATTTCTGTGAGAATGGAAAGAGGGGATGAATAATCATAACTACAAAGCTTCTAGCTGCAATTACAATGATTCATTATAAATACAAATAAAGCAAACTCATTTTCTTGCAAGAGCTTTGGTTGAATTGTAGAAGAGGAGGTATTCTTAATGTGACCTCAATGCAAAGAACATAGGTTTTTCACTTGGTTGGTTTTTTGTTTTTTTGTTTTTGTTTTATATATATCAAACATGTTCCCCACCCAGTAAGTGTCCAGCAGAAATAAAAGCAATGGGAATATGGTTTTCATGACATTCTCAGATGACTTCCAAGATCTTGTCACAATCGAGACTGTTAAAATGACAACTAATCTCTGAGACTCCATAACCTCCCCAGACACGGTGTACTAAAAGGATTTGGCTTGTCTCGTCTGTCCTGATTATGCAATATATGCTAGAAGCAGAAGAATGGTGACACGGACCACTGGGCTGTGGACAATGTTTTCTGGCCCTACTTGTTTCATCTCCTCATCTACTATTTTGTAGGTTGCTCTGACACTTGCAGTAAGATGAAGGTGGACATAACTCCAGGCAAGAGCAATGATAAATGTTTTTGCCTTGTCTATAAGGTAAAGAATACAGGAGGGTACATATTTATATAGTTGGTGGGCCAGCACGTGAGTGCACACAGGGACACACACATACACACACACTCTCCCTTTCATATATCTAGGCACTCAATATGTCTTTATTGGCATAGATATATAGATATGTTTAGCTTTATACAACAGACGTTTTCCTTCAGGTTGTGATCAGTATTTTGCAACTCAAATATTCAAAGGGCCTAGAGAAGCCTTACTATTTAAAAGAAATTTTACTCCTTTCATAAACCACTATTTGCTAATATAGGTAATTACCCCTAAATTATCCAAGTTTGTATTTATATATTCAGAAATGCATGCAAACCCAAACAAAGAGATCACAGTTAAACTACCTTTGGAAGTGTCCTCAGTAACATTTCACCTTATGGGTAAACAGATGACCACCACTAAATGGCAATGTTTGAGATAACAGATATCAGCTAGATACTGTTCAAACAACAAAAAATGGCTCAAGGATTACTGTTGGGAAGAGAAGCAGGGAAATTCAACATAATGTGCCAAATGCCACACCCACCAAATATCTAGGGGGGCTCCTATACATTATGGTGATTCTACCTCTCAAAGACATACCAAGATAAATCACATCTGTCCATTGGGATTGACAAGTGCTTTTTTCTTCCCTATTAGTTCTAAGACACTCAAGAGAGATAATGTTATTCACTTTACCTTATGATCTCCAAGGAAACAAACACTTCAGATGATTATCTCTAACTTGCCACCCCCAAACCCTCAAAGTATAAATATTCAGTGTAAGGAATAAGCTACCATGAAAAGAAATTATAAGGAAGACCCTAGGAAATTATATAATAATGATATATAATCAGCAAGACTTACACTCGTTTGACCAGCCTTTGAAAAGCAGCTGCCCAAATTAAAGGACTTAATTAAGAAGTGTAGAATAAAGCACTCCAAAAGCAAAGTCAAGGAGATAGAGGAAAAGAGCCCTGCATTGTGTTGAAAGAACAGCTAAACTAGATTAAGTACAGCTGGAGTGTAGGGTAAACATAGATCAGATATGGTAAGCTGTCTAAGGACCATGGCATGGAAAACTCAAACGCTGTGCAAAGTTTGAAAAGATTAGTAGCATGATCAAAACTGAGCTTTAGGTAAAATCTCCCTGGCAGCAACAGGAAGGATGGACAGCAGTAGGAGAGATTAGATATGGAATGTTTGTAAGGATACTACTATTCAAAGAGTTGAGGCAGGCAACTGCAATGGTCACAGTCAACTTTAATATAGCAGGTAAGAATGAGGGTATATAGATGCAGAATCCCTAAGATCTGGGATCTAAAGATAAGTCAATGATGATAGAGTTCAGCCTTTGGTGATGAGTGGCGGATCCATTAACATAAATTTTGGACATAACACAATCCAACTAATACTCTGGTTAACCATAATAGGGAAGAGGTTATTTCCCCCTTTCTTTTTAGCCTAAACTTCCTGCTATATCTGTGCTTCCCACATCAAGATTTGTACTACTATTTATTGGCTTTCTATCAGGTTCTGACTTTGAAGAACTCTTCTCCTACCAAGTAAATAGTTAGTGGTTAGCAAAAACTGGTAAGGGGCATTATCTTTCAAGTAAGACAGAGTAACTATGCCTTACATTCTTCGACACAAAGATGGAACAATCTCAAATTTGGATTTCTAGCACAGCTGAATAATGCTCTGTAAGGAATAAACTACCAGCCATGCCTAAAATATTGGTCTTTTGCTTGAAGTTCTTCATGTTTTAACTGGAAAGTTAAAAACAATTTCCCAACTGCCTATTTGCCCCTTGTGTTTATTTATTATTTTTCATGTTTAATTAAAAAACACTTCTACTTTAAGCAAACATTTCCCTTTTTTCCCTTTAATTACCTGACAAACGGTAGCAGAGCTGCATAAATTTTGCCTGAGGTTAAAGCTGGAGTAAAGCCTAATCACTAGCTTGAGACATTGTTCTGGCCAAGTAAAGCAGAACACATTTATCCCCCGTGTTTGGACAATACTTAGGCACTTCCATTAAGACCTCTTTTTAACCAGTGTTGATTCTGATGAACCCTCTTTCCTGATTTATGTGGGAAATCTGAGTGTTCTTCACACCACCACTTCAAGATGAAGGAAACGAAGCTCAATGCAGGGGCATGTAGGTGTGCACGCTCTCTTCAGTAGAGAATACAAACACAGGCCAGTTCTGCGCTGTTAAATACCAAGCTGGGCAGCCTTCCCTTGACTGAACTGAGTTTGTTCTAGACAAACCTCCAAATTTTTCTGCTGCCTTCCATAAAAAAGATATACAAAGTATAACAATGACAGCAGATTTTAAAAAGTCAAGGGAAAACAAGGATAGGTGAAATAAATGGCAAATCTAATATTAAAGCAATTAGAAATATAATCTAAGAAAAACTGGGAAATCACGGCACTTGTTAAAAAATTAATCTCAAGGGCAAACAGGACACAATACACACACACAAACATGGATAACGTGTGCTTTTTCTTTTTTCCTTAAGAGGCCCTACTCCAAACTGGGAGGCTCAGGCCCAAGTATGTAGTCTTACATGTGCGGTCTAAAGATGCTCAAAGCACTTTTCTTATCCTATAATTCAATCTAGTAATAAAAAGTATGGTGCTCTGGAAGAGTGAATTTAAGGCAGCTGGTAGGTTTCACTGGAATCAAGTGATCTCATCTGCCAGCCATCTAGGACTCCCCAAAGTTTAGAAGGACTTTTGTGTCACTGGCCATCTCTCTCCAGCAACTGACAAAGAAAAAGAAAGTGGAGAGGGTGAAGAGGCAGCCGCCTTTCCATTTAGGAAAACCTTCCTGCATTCCAGCTCACTTTTCCATCTAAAATATCAAAATTACATAGGCAGAACACTCTGATTCCAACTTAAAAATCTCTTTGACTTGAGTAGCTGGAAGGGATCTCAGGTAACAAACACCCTTACTCAGGTAGCCATTTGCATACACACACAAGAGACTGGTGTAGATTTGTGCTGTAAGGAATAAGAGGATCTAGAAACACTGCTGCCTGAACCATTAATGTTCTCCTCTCCTCGCAAAGTAATGTCCCACCCTTTTTAGAGGCAACAGGCTGCCATTTGAGGACAACTTTGTAAAATCTAAAGGTGATAATGATGATGATCATGATGGCAATTAAAAATAGTAACAGCAATTAATCATTTCTTATACTGCTATGGATGTCTGGAAAATATAAGGGTCTAGAGTCAGAAAGATCCCAATTCAAATTCAAACATCTTGGACAATCTGT
The DNA here is from genome assembly GCF_000001405.40 of Homo sapiens. Lineage (NCBI taxonomy): Eukaryota > Metazoa > Chordata > Mammalia > Primates > Hominidae > Homo > Homo sapiens. Next base: position 16,817,501 of record NC_000009.12, read on the forward strand.
TTAAACTGAGTTCCCATTTCTTCATTCAAAAAATAAAAAAGGTGAAGAGGCATAAACCCACAAGGCTGATGTGGAGATAAACTGAGCAGTATTGATGAAAGCATCTGGCACACTGAAGGTGTTTCTCAAATACTCCTTCATTCCTCTCCCTTGCCAGAGTATGGTTTAACGTGCCTTAAACAAATCAGAAAGAACTAGGCCAGCAACAGAAGTAGATCCAGGATTTACAGCTTTTGCTCATACTGGAGACTTTTAGTCACTCAATAAGCATTTACTGAGTTTTCAGTGTGTGCCAGGCACTGCTTGGGACACTTGGCATATATTTTCTTTAATGTCTGCCGTCTTGAAATTTGATTTACTTTTATGTTTTAGGGTCAGGGATTGAAAGCAAATTTTCTCAAAAAGGAAGCAATATGACAATGTACTCATCTCATTCATTTGATGCAAGCATGGTTCATAAGCATTGTTTGTGTTGTTAGTCTAATGCCAAGCTAAAATGTCATAGAAAAGGCAGGACTGGGGAAGAGGCTGGAGATGGACCAAAATTAATACAATGTGAAATTGCAAGCAAAAATGGCAAGCCTGCAACTGCAACTATAAAATAAAAATTAAAAAAAATTTAGGCCGGGCACGGTGGCTCACGCCTGTAATCCCAGCACTTTGGGAGGCGGAGGTGGGCAGATCACGAGGTCAGGAAATCAAGACCATCCTGGGTAACACGGTGAAACCCCGTCTCTACTAAAAATACAAAAAATTAGCCGGGCGAGTTGGCGGGCGCCTGTAGTCCCAGCTACTTGGGAGGCTGAGGCAGGAGAATGGCGTGAACCTTGGAGGCGGAGCTTGTAGTGAGCCGACATGGCGCCACTGCACTCCAGCCTGGGCAACAAAGCGAGACTCCGTCTCAAAAAAAAATTAAACCCAAAAACGAAGGGAAGGGAGAGAGAACCGGTTTGGAAGTTTAAAGAGAATACCAAAATGGAAGTCCACAATGAGCTGCATGAGCTTAAGTGTCTCTAGAGATGACATTTCGATCACAGGCAAGGAGCTCATGATTCATAATAAATGGTCAAAAAGTGATGGCCATTATTATGGTGATTATTACTGTGTCTTTTATCTGAGTCTCAGTTTTCTCAAGCATCAAAAAAGTTCAGACTAGATCTATGAATTTTAATGGAGAAGAGTCTGAACTAGTTTTTACTGTTGTTGTTTTGAGATGAGGTCTCACTAAGTTGCCCAGGCTGGTCTCAAACTCCTGGAATCAAGTGAGCCTCCCACCTCAACCACCCAAGTAGCTGAGGTTACAGGCACGTGCCACAGTGCCTGGAATGAATTTTTAAAAAAAATTCATTTAAAGGAGTGAGGCATTTTTTAAAGCGGTTAAGAAGTACTTTAGCTAGAGAATACTGCAGATCTCTTCCATTTCTTACATCCTATCTTAACAATATACTCTGGCTTCACTGGACCTCAGAACCTTGGCAATAAAAAAAAGTCCCTTCATCTCTTATCCCCATCAGAAAATCAAACAAGTAATCTAACAAAAATTAGTGAACAAAAGAGGGACATTGCATGAACCAATGACAAAACTGAGTCATGAATTAAGAAGTGAGGTGAAGTCAACCCTCTGCATCTGTATTTAAACAAACAAACAAAACCTATAAGCTGTCTGTACAACAAACGGTCAAAGAAAAAAGCAAATAGTAGAGATGGTATTTGACAGATTTTATTAATTCAGGTATAAGATTATGGTGTATCCATTTCTATTTAAAAAATACTAGTTGGAAATGTGTCATCGTTTTTAATAAAGTCTACCATAGCAGCAGAAATGATGCCCTAATGTCAGCAAGCATAAAAGGAATCATTAATAAGAAATATGCAGTCCAGGCTGGGCACAATGGCTCATGCCTGTAATCCCAGCACACTGGAAGGCCAAGCTGGGTGGATCACCTGAGGTCTGGAGTTCGAGACCAGCCTGGCCAACATGGTGAAACCACGTCTCTACTAAAAATACAAAAATTAGCCAGGTGTGGTGGTGTGTGCCTGTAATTCCAGCTACTCAGGAGGCAGCAGAATCACTTCAACCCAGGAGGTGGAGGTTGCAGTGAGCTGAGATCATGCCACTGCACTCCAGACTGGGTGACAGAGCAAGATTCCTTCTCAAAAAAAAAGAAATATGCAGTCCAAACCAATATCCACAGAAATTCAAAAGATCATATACTATTAAGACTACCTTTATGTTTCATGCCAGTAGGTACCCATACCAAGCACTCTGAAAATATCATCTCATTTAATTTCCACAACTCTGTGAGATATGTATTTTTTTTTTATCTCTAAAAATGGCAATAGGCCAGGTGTAGTGGCTCATGCCTACAATTCCAGTACTCTGGGAGGGCAAGGCAGGAGGATCACTTCAGGTCAGGAGTTCAAGTCCAGCCTGGCCAACATGGTGAAACCCCAGCTCTACTAAAAATACAAAAATTAGCTAGGCGTGATGGTGGGTGCCTGTAATCCCAGCTACTCAGGAGGCTGAGGCAGGAGAATCGCTTGTGCCCAGGAGGCAGAGGCTGCAGTGAGCCGAGATCATGCCACTGCACTCTAGCCTGGGCAACAGAGTGAGACTGTCTCAAAAAAAAAAAAAAAAAAAAGGGCTGGGCGTGGTCGCTCACATCTGTAATCTCAGCACTTTGGGAGGCCGAGGCAGGTGGATCACCTAAGGTCAGAAGTTCAAGACCACCCTGGTCAACATGGTGAAACCCCGTCTCTACCAAATATACAAAAATTAGCTGGGCGTGGTGGCAGGTGCCTGTAATCCCAGCTACTCAGGAGGCTGAGGCAGAAGAATCTCTTGAACCAAGGAGGCAGAGGTTGCAGTGAGCCGAGATCGCACCATTGCGCTCCAGCCTGGGCAACAAGAGCAAAATTTCGTTCCAAAAAAAAAAAGCAATAATAAGGCCCAGAGAAGTAAAAGGTTTTGCCAAAGGTTATATTGCTAGGAAGCAGAAGAACCAAGATTCAAATGATAGGTTTATTCAGCTCCACAACCAGGCTTAAATAACTATGCCTTTCCTCTCATTAAAAGCCACCAGGAAAAGGTACTTCCCAAGTGGGAAGCTTGTTACTCTCAGAGCATGTCATATTTTATTCCATACTGATGATATCTGAATATTAAGACTCAGTAAGGTTACTACGGTCCTAGAGGAAAAATATTTCTCACAAATAGAGATCATGTTATATAAACAAGTGGTCTTTTTTGAAGTTGACAAACAACTGTTCAACATTAAAATGAAACAGGCCAAGTGTATAAAGGGAAAAAAAAAAAACACTAAAAGTTTAAAGTGGATTAGTATTCAATTAATGAATCTGAAAATCAAACAGCAATGGGAAAACCCCTAACCAGGGCAATGATGGCTTAAAAGGATTCAAGTAGGCCAGGCGCAGTGTAATCCCAGAACTTTGGGAGGCCGAGGCAGGAGCACTGTAATCCCAGAACGTTGGGAGGCCGAGGCGGGTGGATCACTTGAGGCCAGGAATTCGAGACCAGCCTGGCCAACATGGTGAAACCCCATCTCTACTAAAAATACAAAAATTAGCCAGGTGTGGTGGCACGCACCTGTAATCCCAGCTACTCGGGAGGCTGAGGCAGGAGAATCACTTCAACCCAGGAGGCGGAGGTTGCAGTGAGCCAAGATCACGCCATTGCAATACGGCCTGGGCAACAAGAACAAAACTCCGTCTCAAAAAAAAAAAAAGAAAAAAAAAGGATTCAAGGAGGAAATAGAATGATAAAGTGATAAACAGCAACAGGGTCTGCAGGCCTCTGAAATTTTGATATTACTTTTATACTCTAGATCCTGTTGTTCTTGGAGTGGCAGGATGACTACAGTTATTTGTTTGCTTTAATAACTTAATAATGCTTACCTTTTATCTACAGAGAAAAAAAAATTATTTCCAATGCAAGGCAATGATCCAGAAGCTATTGGCTTCTTGAATGAAAATTAACTTTCTTTTGTACAGATTTTATATGACTATAAAACATGCCCTGGCAGTCAGTGTCTTAGCTACCTCCACAAGAGTGGACAGTGTAAACAGCAAGAGGTTACAACATATCAGGCTAAACTGTAGAAGTTGCAAGGAGCTTGGGAAAGAGTATTATAATTAAGAAGAACCCAGCAGGGCGTGGTGGCTCATGCCTGTAATCCCAGCACTTTGGGGAGGCTGAGGCAGATGGATCATTTGAGGTCAGGAGTTCAAGACCAGCTGGGCCAACATGGTGAAACCTCATCTCTACTAAAAATACAAAAATTAGCCAGGTGGGGCTGGGCACGGTGGGTAATGCCTGTAATCCCAGCATTCTGGAAGGCCAAGGCGGACGGATCACGAGGTCAGGAGATCGAGACCATCCTGGCTAACACGGTGAAACCCTGTCTCTACTAAAAATACAAAAAGTTAGCCAGGTGCGGTGGCGGGCGCCTGGAGTCCCAGCTACTCGGGAGGCTGAAGCAGGAGAATGGCATGAACCCGGAAAGCGGAGCCTGCAGTGAGCCGAGATCGCGCCACTGCACTCCACCCTGGGCGACAGAGCCAGACTCCATCTCAAAAAAAAAAAAAAAAAAAAAAAAAGCTGGGGTAGTAGTGACATGCCCGTAATCCCAGCTACTCAGGAAGCTGAGGCAGGAGAATTGTTTGAGCCTGGGAGGCGCAGGCTGCGGGGAGGAAGAGGTTATAACAACAGTAATTATTAAGTATTGTACCCTCCTCTACTATATATTAGGCTTCATACTAGACTCTGTTTTCTAACATTACCTCCTATTACCCTAATACATACCTAAAATAGGCCTTTCTTTTTAAATAGAAGAAATCAAGACACAGAAGTTAAGAGACTTGCCCACGGTCAGAGATCAGTTATTCAAATCCAAGTGAGTCTAGATGCAAAAACGCAGCCTTTTAAACTCTCAGTGGTATTTAAAGTAGGGTTAGTACAGCCATCTAGAGTGAACTAGTTAGTTTCCCCCAGTATGGCCTTTAAGGAAAAAATTTAAAAGAGAGGCAGAAAGATGGCAATCCATTAACAACTTACTGGGAAACTGCCTGAAGCTTATTGAAGGCTGATTTCTGGAACTGGAACATTTTAAAAACACCAAAGTTGTTGTCATTTGCCCAAACGTGTCAAATGCAATAAAGCAAATTCACATCAGATTTTTTTAAAAGCTGTGTGACAAGTAAGTAAAGATTAATGTGGTGTTGAATAAATGGAAATATTCTAGCTGAAACTATTGTAGTTCAGAAATTATTATAGTCAACTATGTGGAACACTAAAATCTAATCAAACGTTCCAACATCATTACTATTCTATAAATTTGAATATTTTTTTAAGCCAAGAAAAATTACAGAAGCCTTGAACTCAAAAGTTCATACTATGAATTGAACTTAATATTATTTAGGAAGTGCCCCCTTCAAATTACTGTAATTGGTCAAGTAGTTTCAAGAACCTAGAAAATGGTTTTGTCTCATCAATGTAATGTCCTCCTCCACACAATGATTGAAACCATATTAGGTCTCTACTACTCCAAGCTATCAAATCAGTCTTCTTCATACTAGGAAATTGAGCTAAGTTTCCTGAATAGAATTAACTAAGTTGCTTTGTTTTATTTACAAGAACCACAGTAAATAGTTTATTAAAAAACAAACAGTACTCTTATTAAACTCTCTTCAGTGACTTTCTAACCAACAAATTCTTTTTCTAAAATAGCAAGTAGAAAAGTTTATAGGTCAAACATTATATATAAAATAGTTCTATAGTGACATGTAAGAATTACACCTGCCAGGCCAAGCACAGTGGCTCATGTACTTTGGGAGGCCAAGGTGGGAGGATCACTTGAGCTCAGGAGTTCAAGACCAGCCTGAGTAACATAGTGAGATCCTGTCTCTACAAAAAAAAAAAAAAAAAATTAAAAAATTAGCCAGGTGTGGTGGCATGTCCCTGTGTTCCCAGCTACCTGAGAGGCTGAGATAGGAGGATCGCTTGAGCCTGGGAGGCAGAGGTTGCAGTGAGCTGAGATCACACCACTGCACTCTAGCCTGGGCAACAGAGTGAGATCCTGTTTCAAAAAAAAAAAAAAGAATTACAACTGAAATGTGTAACTTAACAAAAACAATTTAAAATCTACTCAGAAAAATTTTGATTGCCTTCATGTTGATAACTATAGTAACATTTGGTATCCAGGAATTATTTCTTTTTTAAACAGGTGATCTTTGACTACCCAGAAAGCAGAACTATGAAAGAAGAGAAATCTCAGGAAGTAACTTCAAGCTCTGCCCAATAAAAACATTCACTGACTTTCTCTAAAGGTCTTTTTCCTTCTCTGTGGAGGTGATTTTGAAATTTCATTCAAATCCCTAACAGCTCCTATCAAATTATATTAGAATTGTGACCTTATAAGATGCCTACAGACAATTATAATTAATCTTAGTTTGTAGAATGGATTAATGAATACATTTTGTAGCTCTTTGCATAGATTACACATATGTCCATTAATCAGTAGTGAGAATCTAAAACTAATTCCTGGAAAATCTACAAAGGAACCCAATGGTTAGGAGTGATAAGAAACTTCTGACATGGTCCTTTGATAATCAGTCATAAAAATAGGCTGTGACCGCTACCATTATCACTAAGGAGGTAATGTGTCTAACGACAGTGAGGAGGATAATATACTATTTATTGACTCTTTTCCCTGAAGTGTTAAAGGGTTTTTTTTGGTTGGTTTTTTAATGTTTGGTCATTTTATGATACAACACACAAAGAAACTGTAAGTCTAATGACAGAAATTAAAAGACTTGAAACTTCTGGAAATTCAAAGGTCCCTTCTTTTGTGGCCCTGGACAAAGCTTGTTTGTATGCCTTCTTTCTAAAGGCCACATATATGACACTCTTTCAAGTAAAATCTACTACAAGAAAATAAAGGGAGGGAAAGGCACTTGCCTGTCCTCAGTCACCTCCTGGCCCTGTTCTCCCAAACTGTTATCTCCTTGATAAGCAGTGGTGCTCTCAGGTGCTTTCATATTCTCAATGCTCCAGCAGGAGTGATGACTGAGAGGCCCCCAGGCACCTCGAACCAATGCTGTCACTTCTAGTCACTGCTAGGCCCAGCTAATGCCATGCCTGTCATGACAAGCACCAGCCACCTAAAGGCACCACACCTCTGCCTCGACAAAACATACCTCTGAAAAAAGTATGAGCCACAGAGGGAACCTGTTTCAGGGGTTGCCAAGGGAAGCCAAACTTGTCTATAAACAGCAGAGGCACAGTGAAAGAGAACCCAAAGCCACAGATACAAGAGGACTGTTAGCCTGGAGTGCAAATAATTGTTCTACTTCCTGTGCATAGATTGTTTGGGAGGGGAGGGGGAAAAGGACATACGAAGATACGGTTTGACCAGGCTAAACTGGGTTTAGTTGTCAGCCTAAACCTGCCATCTGGTGTTAAGATATAGCAGATCACACCCCAGATGTGTTCCTTCAAACAAATCACATCTTTTTTCTTACCCCTCTTTTTTTTTTCTTTCTGTAAAGAGAGAGGTGCCTGCCAAAGATACGAATCAGTGGAAGTTTACTTTATACTAAAAATTCTCGTTAATTTACTCAGCCGAATGAGGAGGTATGTCATTTATGCACTCACAGCCCAAATGCAACCACTTTTCAAAGATGGTACCTAGAGATGCTGAGCTGAAAATCATTTATTTTCTACTCATCAACCGTCAAAGTTGGGGCTATCCTTAGTCACCCAAAAGCCATTTCATCTGAAAATCAAAATTTATTTCAGTACAGTAGAGTTCTGAAATCCCTATTCTCCTCTTTATTTTTGTCTCAATATCTCATTCCACAATTGGGGTGGGGAAGGGTTATGCAGTGCTATCATTTGCACCTCATTACACTTGGGCTGGAGCTTTGAGAAAGCTGATATTCCCTCTAAATTTTTACAGATGCTTCTAGTTTACCAGTTCATGACTGCACTACTAGAAAAGACTTCCTGCCTCTAAACTGCTTGCTGGCATGTATGCTGAATTTCAAAATCCCTGAAAAAAGTAAACCTTTGTGGTGTTCTCTTAACTTTCTTCCTGGGGAGGAGGAGGAGGGGAGGGTCACCCAAACCAAGCAAAATCTTTTTCTCCTATGGAGTGAGACTAAAGCTCAGAAACATTCCCTCCTAACTACTGGCTCTTCATTTTGATTTGGAAATCACTTCACAAAAATGTTCATTAACTGAACGTTATTTGTGGAAGGTGTTTTTCATTAGAAATTATGATTGTGACATGTTCATTAAATTGTGAAAATAGTTCAACCACAGACAGTCTTTCACCTGAGCATAACTGTATTTTTTTTTTGCATGTGTCATTTGAAAAACACTTTGGACAGAGAGAAGGGACACTTTCTAAACTAGCAAACCCCTTTGTTTAATGGTTCCAGGGTTTTTCAAAGTTCAGGGCAGGTGACACTGGTCTGTTCCTAATCTTTACTGTGTTAGCAATGTTAAGGCTGATGACGAGGGACACAAATCCCCTGATGGAACTGAATGCATTCCAAGCTCCCCGACCCACTCAAAGCCATAATCCCCTGCAGCTGGATCTTACTTACCACCATGCACAGCTAACACATTTTTTAAAAGCTAGTCACTGGTGACAAATGTAAACTGGACACAACAGCCCCCCTTTCTCCTTACTTCACTCCCCCCCGCTCAATCTTCCCCCATAACCCAGAGACTTGCTGTTTCTGTGATGGATAGGACCTGCCTTTTAGAACCACCAAGCCTGTGCCATATAGCTCTGCTCTAAGTAACTAGAAGGTTTTAAAAGCATCTTCAGCTGTCAGACTGTAACAAAAACAACAAAAAAGTCATCCTTAACACAAACATTTCACAACTGAGAAAACCCTCTAAGTTGCGATTATCACTGCCATACGGAGGTCCACTATTTATTTAGCTCTCACATGCAGGAAAACTGTCTGGCACTCTTGCTGCTTGATTAAATTAAGCTGCTTGCCATATTCTTGGGTATAATAAATGCAAAAGAAAATTTTAAACTTGAGATTCTTTTCTATCTTTTGGACTCTTTTACTTTTTACTTTTGGCAGAAAAATGACTGAAATATAGTAAACAAGTAGCCCTTTATGGAAGGCAAGCATGTTTTCACCATGGATTTTGATCATCTACTTAGAAAGGGAAACCCCAATAACCCAAGTGGACAATAGCTCTGTGCTGGATCAAGTCTCCAAATCCAGGGCAACAAACTATGGAAAATAGCCTAAAGACAGATGAAATGATGGATGGATAGATGGATGGATGGATGATCGATGGATGGATGAATACACAGAGCTATCTAAATAAGAAAAAAATTTTCTAAATGCTATCAAAATTCCATATAATACAGATGACAGATTTTGATGAAGGGACAAGCTATCCACTTCACCTGATGCAGAAAAACCAAAGGTTAATGTATGTAACTTTTTTGGTTTATTCCAGTTCCCAGATAACCAGCAATAAGTGCTATGATTTAAGCGATGTTACCAATTAGACTTGGAGATAGCTACCACAGCACTGACTATAATGCTTACATTGCATTAGGTTTAATTACTGTAAAGTTACATCTGGAGAGGAAAACATAATTTTATAACCACTCTCAGCATTCTAACTTGTGCTCAGTCTCTGCACGATACATATTTGCCCAAGTAATTGAAGCCCTACAAGGCACCACAGTTAATAATGTGTAACTAGGAGAAACACATGGAAAAGCGACAAGCAGGTCTCTGTGAATTAAATTCACATGTAATTATGTGACCTTTCAGTGTTCTTCTAGTCTTCCTGAGAGCAGGTACTCCAGAGCAGCTGCGACCAGCCTCAGTGGGACCCACTGAACAGGAATTTGACTGAGAGTGGAGGAAAGAGGTATTGTACTGATGGAGAAAGATGAAGACAATTGCTTGGGTGAGTCCAGCTCTGATTCTCCTACTTGTCACTCATTGTCATATTCCTAGAATCCGGAGAACTCAGTCAACACATGAGTAATTCGATCAAAAAGGAAAACTATAAACTTTGTTGTTCATGGTGACTTAAGTGCATTGGGTCTCAACCTAAAAATGGGGTGCGTGCAAAGGAGTGGAATTTGTGAGTACTGGTGAAAGAACAAGAAAAGGAGATTAAGAGATTCTATGTGCACACGTGTGTAAAAGAGTATCATGGTACATATGGGAAGAAGTGTGAAACATGTATAGCTGGCTACATTTTTCAAGACTGAATTACAGTACAGGAATACAAAAACAAAAAAGAAAATGGGCCCCTATAATTTATAAATCTCAGACTCATGATTAATGGCAACATGTATTTTGTTTGAATCCATATGATATGCCCATTCATCCAAAAAACATTTATTGAGGCATGTCTGTATTCTTCATAAAGTGATCAAAGATGGCAGTGCTTTATAGAATTACCTTATATATCCATTATAAACTGAAAGCAGTATTTCTACTACTAACACTAAATGATCTCAGGTCTAAATTTCCATGTCTGCAATGATATGTTCACACTATAAAGTCATCCAAAATCCTACACAAAATGTAAAAAGTACCTCAGGAAAAAAATTGACAGACATAACCAGACATCTGCATGCTACTTAAAATGTGATAAAAATGGAGTAGCTTAATCAAATCTTTTAATACCAAAATATTCTATAACTGTGCCCAAAAAAAAATCACAGGTTCAAATAAATTTGTAACTAATCCAGTGAGAAATACTGATTATATTTTATAGAAAAACCACAGCAAACAACACATTATATTTACCTGAACTTCCAGGTATCAATTCATAATACTTACAAAACCCTAACTGAAAATGCTTAGTCTTGAGTAAGCATAAACCCTTCCCATGAAATGAATATAAAATTAATACTGTCTCTTTAAGTTACAGGACCTGCTATAGTTAGGTAGTATGAAGCCAAGAATACGTTCTGAAGCTTAACTCTCAGGAGCAAACATTTTCTACTTGTGAAGTAAACTCTGTTGAAAGACAGCAGACTACGGTCCCACCAGTAAAAACAGGAAAGTTTTCAGCCAGTGACAGCTTTGCCTACAGAGAAAAAAAAAGTGTCACAGACTCACTTTATTAAACCATATGCTCATTGCCCTGTGAAGAAAGCAGGGTCACTAATTAGTTCATTCTGTGAAAGAAGCCCTTCCTGATCCCGTTGACTTTTGTCCCCCTGGTTAGCTCCAGCTATTTCTGTCATGCAACTTGAAAATCACTGGAGGGAGGAAGATCGCCATAACAACCGCTGAAATGATCTTGTGGAATGTGTCTAGTGGCACTGGAATAACCTGAATATGTGCTCCAGATGTGTCGGCTGTCAGGAAAAAAGTAAACACATCTGATGGACAGCGTATGACTAGATGGCCCCGAAGCGACTCCAGAGGCTGGGGCGCGGGGGAGAGGCCGCATGTGTGAGCAGGGGGGCGGCGGGGTGGGCTGGGCAGAGCAGAAGGGAGGCGAGCCAGGAGCCGGCACGAGGCACCAGGGGACCTGGGGCCTGGGGCGGCCTGGGAGGACTGAGCGCGACTGTTCCGCCCGCGTCCCTCCCCTGAGTGGCCTCTGCGGGACTGCAGCGGCCTCTGCGAATTTCCGTCTGGCACGGACTTGTGAGCATTAGGGAGCAAACTACAACATGAATGCTGAGGAAGGGTAGAAGAGAGGAGCGGGCTCAAAACGCTTTCTGTCTTAAATATTAATGGCAACATGTTTTTAAAGCATTCTATCTTCAGGGTAGGGCTGTCTCCTGGCCCCTACTCACCCTTTACCAAATGAATGGTTTTGCTTTTTTGTTCCATATGCATACTCAAGCACTCTTTTTATTAGGTGACTGGGTGATTACATTCCTGATCCGAATATGTTGTCTTTTTTGATGGTGGTGGTGTTCCGCAGACTTTCACAAGTTGGACAAGTGGGTTGGTTCCCTAACCCAAAACATTTTTTAAAAATATTTTTCTAATAAAATACATAGAAATGACTAGAAAACACGATATAGGCCAAAACACATTCTCACCTTAGTTCCTATTCTCAGGGGTGTTTGCAAAGAGGAGGATTTAGATCTATGCCCAGTGCTAACATTCACAAACAAAACGGCAATTCTACAAACATCTTAACGCACAGTAGGCACTTGTTAAATATTTGCTGATCAAAATATTTTTAATGTACAAAATTCAACTACAAATGCTACTTGGGTTCTACATATAAACAGTGGCAGGGATTACTTAAAAAAATAAGTAACCAAGCTTAAAAATACTTAAGAAAAATAAATAGGAAGTTTATTTCCCCAGGGGAACAGAAATGCCCCCCTAAAGAAAATAGAAAACACTATATTCACACTATAGGACACAAACCACCTACTTGTGCATGAATCCACCACATTTTAATGCCTATTTCTACTCCAATCATTTGTAGAATGGGCCTTACTTAAGTTTTAGAGACTATGTATAAAAATATTCACTACATTTCTGCTATAAATGCTTATATCTGTGAAAAGCCTAGAAGGTCTGTAAAGAAATTTACAATCTATGTGAAAAGCTTTTGAAACAACATATTCCATATTTTCTTTCAAAAACTCCACACAATTATATTTCAATAAAATATCTAACGGTTTTCCAACATGGTATAAACAAAAAACAAAACTGCATTGGAGGGCAATTATCTCTATAACATACACAGTTATCAGCTTGGCTAAGGCAAGGCAGTATTCACCTAGTATAGCTGTCCCTCAGTATCAGGGTGGTACGGAATGGTTGCAGGTCCCTCTGAGGATAGCAAAATCTTCGAACGCTCAAATCCCTTAAAAATTGGTGTAGCATTTGCATATAACCTACACACATCCTCTTATACTTGAAATCATCCCTAGATTACTAATACAATGTAAATGCTACGTAAATATTTGATATACTATACTGTGTAGGCAGTAATGACAAGAAAATATTCTATACTGAAACATCAGCAACGATGTAACATTTTCTGGATTTTTTCGCATTATTTTTGATCCACGGTTGGTTGAATCTGCGGGCGCAGAAACCATGGATACAGAAGGCCAACTGTATTTTCATTCAAGGTGATTGCCAACTTACAAATCTTGTTTCCATTTCTAAGTATCTAAGTACATTTTTCTCCTTTGATAAAACTCATTTAGTGACTCAGATTCTGAAAGTAGATCACCAAAGGGAAACAGAAAAAAGAAAAACATGAAAAATTATTATTTGAGAGCAGGAAATGGAAGAAATCTTCAACTTACTCTTTACTCTGTAATTCACACATTTAACCTGGCAGAGGAATACCCTAAGGATTCTTGGAGGCTGAAAGACTTAAAATTTGAGGAATGAAAGAATAGCAAGGGTGAATGGCACTGCTTCTGCCTTCTAGAAATTGGATTCCACTGGCAGCTGGCTGAATGAAGCCAGTAACAGATTCATGGTCGTGGAAAATGTTTCATCCTCTCAACGAAAACGTCATTATTTCCTCGTAACAGAAACTGTACTTCCTGACAAGTTAGACAACCTAAAACAATCAGTGTCAAGGTCCAATATATAAAATCTGTTGGCAACCTACAAAAAAGAAATAATCTGTGTATTTGCAATTATTTGCAGAGCCTACTTTATTATTATTCCAGTCTAATCTACCTCCACTCCCAAATTAAAAGACTTCAAAGGGGCTAACAGATTTCCAAATAAAATGCCAAACATTTAAGCCAAAATTATCAATGTGCACATTTGCACAATGAAGTGCCAAATGTCTAAAAGATGGATGAGCTTCAATGACCATTTTCATTCACCTTGATCTTGGCATTCAACCAATAAGTAAAGAGTTCACGTATATTCAAAGAACTGGAATATATCTGTATTCACTTGTGTGACATTTACTTATTTAAAATTTCTTAAACAGAACTTGCAGCTAACTTTTATGAGAAAAATGGCAAATAATGCGTTGACTCTCATGTCAAATTCAAAATAATGGTTTTTCAGTGAGAGGTTTTCTTGTTTGTTTTTTGGGCTTTTTGGGGGTGGTGCAATGTTGGTTATTAACAGCATCACAAGGTTAGAATGAAATTAAACCTGGAGTCAGCATAGGAAGTATTCAAGTTCCAAGAGTTATAAGATACCCATATGAACAGATTTGGTGGTTGAACTCGACACACTTCTGTCCTTAATCTACTGTGTGTTTTAAAAACTCAATCAAGTGCTCCTGGGTTATGGTTCCTCAAGCCACCAACTTTTCTTAGACAATGTCACACCAATTGCATCAAGCTCCATAGAGACTCTCCCTAATGCTTTTCTGTTTTACTCCACTGAGCAAATAATGGCAATGGTTATAACATGCACAGGCTATTAGATTTGCACTCCTATCAACCAAGATCTAGGAAACTTTGAAGAGTTTACCCATAATTTTTTGACCTTATCTACAGGTTTACAGACCAGCCATAACTATGAAGTTAAAGAAAGCCAGAAAAGTTGAATCCTCAAGCAAAACAAAACAAAAACTAATAGGACAATCAGCAAGCCAATCTATTAGAATTCCAGCTGGCTATGAGTAAAATACTGCAATGCAGCTTCCTGGATGTAGGATATTTCAACGGTCCATTTAGTAGGTTTCATTCATGCGCCCTTATTAAAACTACAAGGTAGTCTTCAAAGGAAAAATATGAAACTATTACATGTAGTTAAATACCAGTAGAAGAGAAAATCTAGAAGGTTCTTTGACGTCATCAGTCATGTGTCATGTTATCAAGGGAAAAGAAGCCATGAAGCACAGAATTCCAGAGAAAACCAGGCAATCTGTGAAACAGAACAGAGAACACAATATGTTTTGCCCAGTTTTAGAGGCCTAGAAGAGTTCCTTTCAAGAACATAGCTACAAGACTTGATCTGCTTACTATCATGTCATCAGTGTAGGCAATAGATGACATTAATTTCTGAAGACCTCCACCCCACTCGTGTCCTGACTGTAAAACAAGTGAATCAACGAATCCGAACCCAAGTTCTATAATAAACACAGAATATTCTCTCAAGGGTCTGTGAAATCCTCAAGACAAAACATACAGCACGTTAATTCCCAAAATACATATTTTTCCATATAGCATTTAGAGGTAGAAGGAGAACAAAGTGGTAAGAGCTGAACAAAACCTGAGAAAAGTCCCTGAATCCAAATTCCTTTTTTTTTTCTTTTTTTGAGATGGAGTCTCGCTCTGTCACCAGGCCGGAGTGCAGTGGCGCGATCTCGGCTTACTGCAACCCCCGCCCACTGGGTTCAAGCGATTCTCCTGCCTCAGCCTGCCGAGTAGCTGGGACTACAGGCACGCACCACCATAACCAGCTAATTTTTCTATTTTTAGTAGAGACGAGGTTTCACCATGTTGGCCAGGATAGTCTCAATCTCTTGACCTGGTGATCCGCCTGCCTTGACCTCCCAAAGTGCTGGGATTACAGGTGTAAGCCCCCCCGCCCTACCCAAATTCCTTCTTATTACAGTCCAGGAATCAGTCTTACAGAAGTAAATCAATTCACCCAATGTTGCGTTTATTTGTATCTGGAGAAGAATTAGAACAAAACCCTCAGGAAAGTGATATGCTTCCTACAAATCCACCCTTCTCTTGCCACCACCAATTTCGCTCCCTCCTCCCAAGTGACAACTGACCTATTCATCAGACGATGAATAAGATCTTCTCTTAGAAGCACTCTGCCTTCAAAGAGGACCAAGATTAACAAATCCAAAAACACTCTTCTTGACAATTTCAACCTTCTGTCCCTGTAAGCATTTTACCAGGATCGTCAAAAAGTAAAGACCCACTTTGAGTCTGAACTCCATTCTTTTTCCATTTCCTGGAACAGTTTTCTCAAGCAATGAAATGCCAAGAAGGAAGAGAAAAAAAACTAGCTTGGGAAGCCAAGAGCTTCGAGGTCATTAGCCTCAGAGCAGTAATGGTTGACTATATTCCTTTATGGTTCCTTTAGCCTTACTTCACTAAGGGCAAAGAGCAATTTTTTTTTCTCTCTGATGTTTTTCAAGTGTTACTGTCCTTGCAGGCCCATTATGGGGGCCTCACATGCTGGGAATTGCTGGTTATTTGGCCACTTGCCATAAGGAATTATTACTACTGCACTTAAGACAAATGGTGTCCCTGACTCCAGAAGGAAGACCACTCCAAAGGGAATGACGGGTGGCTAAGCAAGCCCTTCAAGAAAATCATGTGAACTCAAACCCTGCTTAAAACCTCCTCATTTCATTTAGAGTAGTAACTCTTGGTCCTTAACATGGCCTCCTAGCCCCTTCCTTCCCTTCAGTCTGATACCAGCTCACCAGCATTACTCTACTAGGTTCTCTCGGAACCAATTACAATGGCCTGTCCACACCTCCAATGTCCCAAGCAAGCTCTCTCTAATCTCAGGCCTTCAGTCCTTTTGCAATACTCAGCACCCTCTACCTTGCCCTCAGACAACCTAGTTAATTTCTCTGCATCCTTCAGATCTCAGCTCAAACAACCCTTCAGAGAAATCTTCTCTGACCCCACAAACTCCAGTTGGTGGTCACTGCTTTGTATTTTTGGATTCTGAGTAATATTCTATCTGAAAAATGAAGAGTGGTCTCAAAGCTCAAAAAAACTTTGACCATCACTGGCCAGTCAAAAAAAAAATCCCTTAAGCAAAATAATTCTGATATTTGTAGTATTTAATTTCTACTCTTAACTATACTAATAAAAAATTCAGTGTTACAGATTTTTGGAAGCAAACCCCAAATCCACTTGTTGGGGTCAATGTTCATTTATTTCAAACACTCCAAAAACAGATCAATACTTTTGAAAACTGTAGCCACTTAATACTCCTCCTTTCCCTGTGTTGGTAGCAATGACAGACAGTTGCAGAAAAGCAAAAAATGCACCAGGCTTAGAGTCAGACTATAAGTCAGACCTTGCTATTACCAGCTGCCTGACCATAGCTAAATCCACTACCTTCTCTATGCCCAGTCACTCTTCTGTAGAAAGAAGAAAACAATGCTACTTCCTTAGAGTACTCAGGAGACATGCATCTTGAAGCCAATGTTTGCCTTCCACAATTAGCATTTTACATTTTTGCCTGATTATCTAATAATACCGGTCTCCTCACCCATTTGTGAACTCCCTACAAGTAAGTGATTTTTAGTCTTTTTTCTCTATCACTGAATCCCCAGAGTCTAGTATAATGTCTGTCCTATATATAGTAAGCACTCAACAAAGAGTTTTTAAATAAATGGATTAAGAGATAGTGCAGTATGAAAACAGATTCCCCCATCTCCGCATATTAGTTTTGCTTTTTTTTTTAAGTGAGATGTTAATAATTCTACAAAGGGTAATACATCTTCAGCAGTCTCCCCTGTGTATGACTAGTTACTATTCTTTCATAGAATTCAGTGTTCACTGGGATCCAGTCGGTCATGGATATCCACGGGTACTTAAGAAAAGTCTAGTCAGCGAGTTTCATTCACTTATAGTGGCTTCATTCCTCTAGTATCACAAATTGTTCAAAAGAAGAACTGAGTTACAGAGTGTTGTGCAAATATCAACACTGTCCTTCCACACAAATAGAGAAACAATTCATACAGATGAGATGTTAAGAACAGCAACTTCATATAATAGCAAACATTATTCGTCTTTTCTGCATGTCAAAATAGTTTAATACTTTAACAACTGATTGATCTTCAATCAATAGCATTGATTTTTCTTTGTTAAGTATGTTTATAATCATTTTACATGTAGTAAACTCATCTAATTCTCACCACTACAACCCCATGAGTTAGGTACCATTATTATCCTTATTTGATAGAGAAGGAAACCTCACTGCATTTGTGGTTATAAAAATTGTGTACTTGGCCAGGCATGGTGGCTCATGCCTGTAATCCCAGCACTTTGGGAGGCCGAGGCAGGCAGATCATTTGAGGTCAGGAGTTCGAGGCCAGCCTGACCAACATGGTGAAACCCTGTCCCTACTAAAAATACAAAAAAATTAGCCAGGCATGGTGGCACATGCCTTTAGTCCCAGCTACTTGGGAGACTGAGGCAAGGAGAATCACTTGAACCTGGGAGGCGGAGGTTGCAGTGAGCAGAGATAGCGCCACTGCACTCCAGCCTGGGCAACAGAGCAAGACTCCCATTTCAGAAAAAATAAAAAATCGTGTACTTAATATCTATCTAGCAGAAAACTATTGTGTGCAAGGCACAGTTCTGGTATCCTATTTTAAATATGAGGTTTAACTCTCTTGCCAAGAAAAACAGATTTAAGTTAAAGAGGTTTTAGAAGAATTGGCGTCTAAAGTTGAATTGTTTTTTCCCAGACTTACCAGTTTGAGACTTGCTCTAATAGGATAAATCTTTCAACTGCAGGGAGTCTTCAGTAAAACACAGCACCCATCCCACCTAGTTAAGAATCCTGGCACTAGAAATCTATTTCACCCCACTCAGCAGGCTGCAGTACATAATTATTTTCATCTGGTTATAACACGAGGTAGTGAGTTTAATCTCTAAAGGCCTACAGGGATTGATTTTAGCAGTTTTAGAAATTGCCTCTCACGCTATGAATGTGCCTCACAGCAAGACGGTCCTGCTAATGGTTCCCAGATTAGGATTTGGGAAGACCAACGGCATGGCTTCCTCCTCTTCATAATTTCCTTTCCTTTGTGGGCCAAGTCTATGGTCATTCAAGGTAATTCTCATGGCGCTGCTTTCAAAAACAATTTGTTCTGATTTAAATGAAGAATCAGAGGTCGTTTTTTTAGGGTATAATCAATTATTACTATAGCTGGAGTCAAACGAATGCATATATAAAGTAGACCATCAGAAACATATTCTTAGAAACATAAAGGGGTATATGAAAATTAAATAGAATCCCAAACAATAATATGGCCATGAATGTGAAGAAACCTCTAGTTTGTCTTGATTTTTAAAACTTTGGCCCAGCTCTTCCTTTCAGGAGAAAAAAAAAAAAAAGAATCCTAGAAAACCAGTTCAAGAATATATTTAATGTCTCCTTGATTCTTATTAAGTTTGATCCTACTCAACCAACTCTCATTTGTCCCAGGTTCTAAGTGAACCCTCCTCACCACAGAAAGTCATCAGAAATGAAGAGGACATTCTGCTAATCACGAATTTTAAAGTGAAATTGCTACAAAGACTGGGACTAACAAATCCCATAAAGTAAAAATTATCTAATAATACTTTTTTTTTCAGTTTTTGGTAGAAGAACCAACCTCAAAAAAATAAAAAAGAAAGAAAAATATATAGGCAAATTAAACTTCCTGCTTATAAAAGATTCAGAAAAGGCCCTTGGGCTGTCCACAGCATTGAGTGATAGCAGGCCACTTATATTAACAGTGACAACTACATGTCTAAAAGGTATTCAACTTACACACCTGGTTCAACATATGTTACAATATTTTGGCTCTGCCAAAAAAAAAATTTACCACATCATAAATTCTCTCCCCACTGTCCTGGTATCTCAGGTGGGGGACTACATAGGTAAGTTCTAAGAGTCAAATTTTTATAAGCATAGAGAAGTAACAAAACACTTTCAAAATGCTATCTTTTCATGTTTTTGAACCCAAAAAATGGACCCACAACAAAGATCTCAGTAATATAAACCTGAAACACTATGAAACATAATCTTAGAAAACCATAATTCTGGCCAGGCTTGGTGGCTCATGCCTGTAATCCCAGCACTTTGGGAGGCCAAGGCAGGTGGATCACCAGGTCAGGCATTCGAGACCAGCCTGGCCAACATAGTGAAATCCCGTCTCTACTAAAAATACAAAAATTAGCCGAGCGTGGTGGCAGGCGCCTGTAATCCCAGCTACTCAGGACGCTGAGGCAGGAGAATCACTTGAACCTTGCAGGCAGAGGTTGCAGAGAGCTGAGGTCGCGCCACTGCACTCCAGCCTGGGCGACAGTGCGAGACTCCATCCCGAAAAGAAAAAAGAAAGAAAACCATAATTCTACCAGACTGGGAAGTCCTTGGTAGACTGCCAAGTTCTTCCATCTCCAGCCTCGAAGTCGATGTCTGGTGAAGAGGAGGTTCTCAAATTATATTTGTAGAATGAGATAAATAAAACCTCAGAATTATCTGAAGTACTTTCAAACATGTTATCACACTGTGATCCTCTGAAGGTATATAAGACAGGTATTCTTGAACCATTTCAAAGATGAGGAGCCCTAACTTCAGAGCTATCAAATTAGCCTGGTCTTAGGGCTCCTAAGCTACTGCTTTTCTATTACTATCAACTCTGCCTCAACATTTAAAAAGCTCAGGGTTTCCAGGAGGTGGAGGTTGCAGTGAGCCGAGATCATACCATTGCACTCCAGCTTGGGCAACAAGAGTGAAACTCTGTCTAAAAAAAAAAACAAAGGGTTTCTACTCTTTCACTTTTGCTCTGCTTTCTGTATTTTATGATACCTGGTATAAAAACGCCAAAAGGAAAAGGCAACCAGATCATTCAGATGCCAAACCCTAACAAGATCACTACTGCCCTTTGGAGCTATGCAAGTCTGATGGCTCAGGCTACCAGGTATTTAGGTCTACTTAAATAAGGCATACATAATGCGATATTTACACTGTACACAAGTTTCAACCTACCACATATTTTTAACCAAAAATGTTTCTTTGGAATTTTTTTCCATGTACAAATACATACTGACAGTTTAATTCTAGATAGACTTTTACAGGAAAAACAAAGCAGGCCAGGCATGGTGGCTCACACCTGCAATCCCAGCACTTTGGGAGGCCAAGGCGGGCGGATCACCTGAGGTCAGGAGTTCAAGATCAGCCTGGCCAACATGGAGAAACCCCATCTCTACTAAAAAGAAAAAATACAAAATCAGCTGGGTGTGGTGGCGCATGCCTATAATTCCAGCTACTCGGGAGGCTGAGGCAGGAGAATCGCTTGAACCCCAGAAGCGGAGGTTGCAGTGAGCCAAGAGCACTCCATTGCACTCCAGCCTGGACAACAAGAGCGAAACTCCGTGTTAAAAAAAAGAAATGCGAGTTGTTACCTCAAATGTTTTAGTTCTGTGGATGTCACTGTAAAAACTGATCACCACAGAATCACATCACACTACCACATATGAACTGCATAATGGTAAATCCAGTGTTTTCAGATTCCCCAACTTAGACTTCAAAGTAGACATGATCTTCACCTGGTAGCTCACAGTTGCTCTTAGGTAAAATTGTATTTCAACTATGGATTCAACATTATTTATAGTGTACTTATTGTATGCGTGGCTTATGCTAGGTTGGGTGATTCCAACATGAGTAAAACATGACTCCTGACCCACAGTAAGGACAACATTAATAGTACTTGAGAAAGATACAAAGAAATACAAAAAGGCTATTGTATTGGTCTATGTGTGCCACAAATGTGGTTGCTACATACAGTTTCTTAAGGAACACACGTGAAAGAAAACTACTAATTTCACTAGTCAGTAGAGGTGAGCTAACAGAAGTTAGCTCTTAATAATTCCTCCTTGCAGAAAGAGCTGATACATAAAAGTTTCTAACAGAGTTTCCAACATAGTGGATTAAACTGTTAACAATTCTGGATAATTTTCTCAGATAAAAGACACTAGAAACTTAAGGATTCTTTTCCTTAAAAGTGAAGCAATAATTCTGCAACAGTTTGTATATAATATACATATCTGAAAGTAATCTTAGTTGCTTTCAATACTGCTCAACCAATCATAACTAGCACTCGTTGCTAAGGCTATGCATCTTTTAATGCCATGTTTATATTATGCTATGTATCAATACGGTAAAAGTTACACGCCATCACCCATTTTGTACCAGTCTTCCTTCTATGTAGTACTAAAATACTGCCCAAATTACTAGTTTTGAAAGCTATCCTAGAATAGAAATAAAATGCCCTATACCAAATATTAAGCAATGATAAACATTTAATTAACTGTGGCTCATTAGATGATTACCTATCTGAAAGGACCTACTATGTTTGACTCACACAGATATGCAGGTTAGAAGAGAACCCCATGCAAGTCTAAAGCACGCTGCGCACTCTCTAGCTCTCGGACCAACGATTTCATTCCTTCTTAGGCGCCATCACTATATGCCTATTAGGCATCCAGCTCTATAGCACGTAATTCTCTCCCAAAACTAGAAGTACACTGGCTTTCAGTCAGAAAAATTAAAGGCTGATTAGAAGATCCTCTCAACCTTACAGCCAAGAAAAACGTAATTTCCAATATATAGACTGAATTGAAAAGGATTTTTACAAATGATTAGTCAACCAATGCGGTGTGGTGCATGTACCTACGTACAAACATGCATGCCTGCAAGCACACACCCACCACCACCCCATGACAGTCACCAGAAACTGCTAAACTAATCCCAGAACTCCTTCCAATGACCCAAGCAAGACACAGCTGCAGGATTCTCTTCTCAATAGCCTTTACCAATCTATCAATATTGATAAGAGTTGAAACCTGTTTTCCATCTTTAACTTACTCTTTACATCTTTACTGTTTTACATCTTTAACTTCAGATAAGGAGGTCTAAAGAAGTACCAAAGAAGTTACAAAGATCAAACAGGCAGTCAGTGACAGAGTCTGGGTTAGAAAAAAATCCAGACCTTGTGCCTTCTGGTCCATACCACAGAGCCTATCTGCAATGTTTATCACATACCCACTAAACCTTACTATTCCTTAATTTCTCTGTGTCCTGATCATTTAACTTCTTACCATCTCATTTTGGCAGCCACATACGCTCCTCTCCCTTTTGCTTTTACAGAATCCAATGCCCCTGGCATAAAAGGGGAGAGAACTTACTGCCATTTCATATCCACGCAGTTAATGAATGCCCATAGTTAACATGGCGTCTCCCCCTTAAGCCACTAGCTGTCACTCAAAAGTTCACTCTAAAGCTTGACCTTTGCTTCTGCTCAGAAGTATTTATTCACCCTATCACAAGTGTTTTTCCTTTAATGTCATGATGGCAAAAATACTGCAGTGGTTGTATGCCTTTCCAAATACGCACATCTGTGACAAACACTATACAGTTTTGTCACTAAGACTCAAGAACTTAGATGGTAAGATATACCAAAAGCAAAAAAGAATTACCAGGTCAAGGGACTGGGTAAAATTGGTATTCCTATGCTTGTTACCTGCCACAGAAACCAAGTACAATGTTTATAAACCTGACACCAAATAAACATTTCAATCATAGTTATTTCAGCAGTTCTAATGTCAAATGAGCCTACAACTGCTCATCAGAGAAGGGTTACCACATGTATGCACTCAGATTGGAAAATATCTTCACTACTCTTTAAATACCATAACATATTTTGGCCACTCCACAATAAACAGGCCTAACTGTAGATAATATTGTATCTAACAAAATCAGCTTTTTTGACTGAAATCCCACCAGTTCCACCACTATAACCTCTCAGCTAGGGTAATTAGTATTTTCGTTGTTCTTCCGATTCCACATTTGAACACTGTAGTTCTCTACTTCACGGGCAGAAATGACCTCATGGGCAATGTTCTAGGCAGATAAAAAGGTCACAAATTAATGGGCAAAAGAGTCCTTTCTTTAAACAACACATAAGCAAATCTGAAAGATATCCACCGTTTTAATGAGTTTTTGTTTGTCAGGCACTGTGCTGATCCTTACCCAAACTATGTCTTATTGAATTCTCATTCCAACCCTAAGCAATGACAGTTATTACCCTCCATATTTAAAAATGAGGAAATCCAGGCTTAAAGAAATTCTGTCCCTTGTCAAACTTCCCACAGCATAGTTGGGATTCAAACTCAGGACTCCGACGCTTTCTATACCTACACTGCCTATGCTACTTCCACTACACTATAAATACTTAGAAAACATTTGTAAAAATGTTGTGAGGCCATCAGAACTGTAACTAATTATTCCTCAAAATGTAGATATCCTGGCTAAACTGTATGTCCATAATCAAACCATCATATCATCAAAAGCTAATCAAACCAGGGCATAAGGTCTGTGTGGGTCATTTAAGTTAACAATGGAACCCTTATGATCCTTGAGTGGTTTCACTGCACTGTGGTATTCACCATGCCTTCTTATAAAATCAAAAATACAAAGTTTGAAAATGTTTAAACACTTAAAACGTGAAAAAAAAGATAAAATACTTCAAAATAAAAGATTAATCCATGAAAAGAGCTGCATGCATGATGACTGCCCATTGCAAAAGATGTATTTCCGAAGCCTATGTCTGCAAGACATTATTATCAAATTTGTTTTTTTTTTTTGAGACAGAGTTTCACTCTTGTTGCCCAGGCTGGAGTGCAATGGCACAATCTCAGCTTACTGCAACCTCCACCTCCCGAGTTCAAGTGATTCTCCTGCCTCAGCCTCCCAAGTAGCTGGGATTACAGGCATGCACTACCACGTCCATCTAATTTTCTATTTTTAGTAGAGACAGGGTTTCACCACTTTTGGTCAGGCTGGTCTCGAACTCCTGACCTCAGATGATCCACCTGCCTCGGCCTCCCAAAGTGCTGGTATTACAGGCGTGAGCCACACACCCGGCCTGCAAGACATTATTTAATGCACATATTTTTTGGAGTTTTGAAGCTGCTTTGCCTTATGTTATTTTAACATATGAACCTCCACTATGATTTTTAGTATCTTGCAAACTGTTGACCTACCAAACTAGTAAGAGAAATTCACTTAGAAAAGATGCTGGCATTAGAATTTCCAAAATAGTTCATGTAGATATAAGTATGATACTTTCTGTTTCTGTGATAGGAAAAAGAAACGAATGGGTGTTTGGCACTTGCATTACACAGATACCATGCTAGGAATTTTCACATATGTCATCTCAGAAACACTCCAGCATAAATATTATTATACCTATTTTATAGAAAACAGTGGGTCAAAAAGTAAAAGATGCTAAGGGCTGGGGAGGGAGAATGGAGGATTTACTGTTGAGGATAGAGTTTCTCTGTGGAGTGACGAAAGCGTTCTAGAACTAAATAGTGTTGATGGTTCCACAGCCTTGTGAGTATACTAAAAACCAGTGACTATACACTTGAAAATGGTGAATTTTATCTCCATTTTAAAAACTGAACAATCATGGCAAACATTAACATTTGGGAAATCTGGTTAAAGGATATATAGGAATTCATTGTATTTTTTTTTTCTGACTCTTGTGTAAGCCTGAACTTATTTTATTTTTGTTTTGTTTTACTTTGTTTTTTGGAGTCTCCTTCACTCTGTGCAGTCTTGCTGCAGTGCCATCTCGGCTCACTGCAATCTCTGTCTCTTGGGTTCAAGCAATTCTCCTGCATCAGCCTCCCAAGTAGCTGGGATTACAGGTGTGCACCACCACACCCAACTAATTTTTGTATTTTTAGTAGAGACGCAGTTTCGCCATGTTGGCCAGGCTGGAGTCAAACTCATAACCTCAAGTGAAGGCCTGAACTTATTTCAAAATTCAAAGTTTTTTAATGAAACAACAATATGAATATATTTAACATTACTGAACTGTACACTTTAAAAAGTTGAGGGTAAATCTTATCTGTTTTTTACTATAATTAAAAATAGATTTGATAGATAGATAATTGACTGATGGAGAGATAGATGAATTTGCCCAAGATTCTACCATATTCAGTAGCAGAATCAGTATTCAAATTCAGGTCTTTACAACTCCAAAGCCAATACTCTTTAAAAAGGGCAGGGTTATAATTCTGTTTGTACTAGATAGTACTGAGATGTCATTTATGGTCGTTCGAAAGGTGTACACTAAGATACATTCCTTTTTTGTGTGTGAGACGGAGTCTTGCTCTGTCGCCTAGGCTGGAGTGCAGTGGCAAAAATCTCAGCTTACTGCAAGCTCCGCCTCCCGGGCTCAAGCCTCAGCCTCCACTGCCTCAGCCTCAGAGTAGCTGGGATTACAGGTGCACACTACCACACCCAGCTAATTTCTGTATTTTTAGTAGAGACAGGGTTTTGCCATGTTGGCCAGGCTGGTCTCCAACTCCTGACCTCAAGTGATCCACCCGCCTTGGCCTCCTGAAGTACTGGGATTACAGGCGTGAGCCACCATGCCCAGCCTACATATTCTTAAGCTCCTTTTTTATAAATGAAAAATCTATTACCAAGTAAATGGGTTTTAGTAAATGTTTCTGAGCTACTTTAGGTTTACCATGTAAGACTACAAATGTGTGTGGAAGGAGAAGAGGTTTAGGTACTACGCTTTTCATCAAACAGTTACTCCCAATTGAATAGTATTTGAAAACAAGCAGAATTCATGTTAGAATTCAAGCAGAAATTCATGTTAGAATTTTTCTTCCAAGTCAAAATGCCAGAACTGATAATGCCATGAGGATGCAACGAGTATGTGAAATATCTGTTTTTATCAAATTCTGGTTTTTACTCTTAGGTTTTTTGTTGTTGTTGTTGTTCATTTAAAAATCTTTTGGCCAGACACGGTTGCTCACACCTACGAAGCACGAGGATAGCTCAAGGCTAGGAGTTCAAGACCAGCCTGGGCAACATAGTGAGTCACCATCTCTACAAAAATAATAATAATAAATCTTATAAGAGTTTAGCAATTTCTCATAAGTTTTTTTTTTTACGTTACAAAAAAAAATTACAGACAGGAGTTTCAACACACATTTTAAGTGCTAGTTTACCAAACACTGACACAAAATCTGATGGGTGTTTGCAAAAACGGGTATATCTGGGTTTGAGTTGGGGGCTTACGACTAAATACTATTAATATACCAACTGCATAAAATATCCATATGCCTTTACAAATCATGTTTACTTAAAAACGTTAAGAAGTAGAATTCAGTGTTCAATCAAGTACACACCTTAAAAAAAATCAACATTCCTTTAAAAAAAAAAGATGTCAGGTGGTAATTCTAGGGATGGGGAGCAAGAGTAGTATTTTTACGAATATTTTTCTTTTCTTTTTTTTTTTTTTTTTTTTTTGAGACGGAGTCTCGCTCTGTCACCCAGGCTGGAGTGCAGTGGCGAGATCTCGGCTCACTGCAACCTCCGCCTACCAGGTTCAAGCGATTCTTCCTGCCTCAGCCTCCCGAGTAGCTGGGACTACAGGCACCCGCCACCACGCCCGGCTAATTTTTGTATTTTTAGTAGAGACGGGTTTTCACCATGTTGGCCAGGCTGGTCTCGGACTCCTTACCTCAGGTGATCCACCTGCCTTGGCCAAAGTGCTGGGATTACAGGCATGCGCCACCGCACCCAGCCATTTTTCATTTTTTTATATCAATAACTATCCAGTCATTTCTGGGAAAGGTATTATTGGTATTTGGGGCAGAACAACTCATCACTGTATGTAAATTGTTCTGCAATCCTGATGCTGCAGTGTCCCTGACCCACTAAATAGCAGGAGGCAGCCCCCCAGTTGAGTCATTTGTGACAAACAAAACATCGCCCAAGATTTCCAAACACTGTGTAGGTAGTAGCATCACCAGGTTCAGAACCCAAAGAAGCCTAAACCCCCTCCACCTGTCAGTACTTCACAGCGAACTGATGAGTAGGAAGTTCCTATCAGTCGGGCTGGGGGCCAACCTTCCCAGGCACTGCCAGGATGCCCCATGTTTTGAAATAACTTTCTCTTAGGCAGCCTATCAGTGTAAATTCGGATTTCTATCATGTTATTCTTAAAACCAAACATACCTGCATTAATTTGACTGACACCATAAAAATTCTAAGAGAAATGGGCATTTTTTTAAAATGGAGGGAGTTTTTAATTATTCAACACCAGCTTTTTTACAGTTACAGTCCTCAGAAGTCACATGGCCTAGACCATGGAGCTTTTCAAATGCTACAAGTCATAATATACGCATTAGAAAGAAACCACGGTAGTTGGGTTTTCAAAATAGGAAAATTGGCCGGGCGCGGTGGCTCACACCTGTAATCCCAGCAATTTGGGAGGCCAAGGCGGGCGGATCACAAGGTCAGGAGATCGAGACCATCCTGGCTAACACAGTGAAACCCCATCTCTACTAAAAATACAAAAAATTAGCCGGGTGTAGCGGCGTGGGCCTGTAGTCCCAGCTACTTGGGAGGCCGAGGCAGGAGAATGGCGTGAACTTGAGAGGCGGAGCTTGCAGTGAGCCGAGATCGCACCTCTGCACTCCAGCCTGGGCGACAAAGCAAGACTCCGTCTCAAAATAAAATAAAAATAAAATAGGAAAATTATACCAAGAATCCAAACCCCACGTTCCAGAACACAAAATGTTCAAGTTCAATGCCTCTGCATACTTAAGTTACCATATGACAGAAACAATGCAGAATTTATAAAAACTAATTTAGTGGCCCGGGCGCGGTGGCTCACGCCTGTAATCCCAGCACTTTGGGAGGCCGAGACGGGCGGATCAGGAGGTCAGGAGATTGAGACCATCCTGGCTAACACGGTGAAACCCCGTCTCTACTAAAAATACAAAAAAATTAGCTGGCCGCGGTGGCGGGCACCTGCAGTCCGGAGGCTGACGCAGGAGAATGGCGTGAACCCAGGAGACGGAGCTTGCACTGACCCCAGATCGCGCCACTGCACTCCAACGTGGGAGACAGAGCGAGACACCGTCTCAAAAAAAAAAAAAAAAATTAATTTAGTATAAAATTAAAAAGAGCTACGTTTGAAATATAGTTTTGGTGAATTTCTAACTGTAAAAAAAGAAAAGATGCTTCAAAGTAATACATTAACTTAATAAGAGGAAAGAAAATCCAGCATTTTCAGTGTTAAATTCTAAACCATTATCAATAACAGAACTGTACAATCTTTTCACTATTTCCTTAAGCAAAGCCCAAAAGGTCTGCTCATTAATAAGAAAAGTCATCGTATTTCTCTTTGAAAAATATTTGTCACCAATTCTGTGGTATATTCTTTCCCAAGTTCTGACTAGAATCGTGTAAGTCCACCACGCAACACAGCACAGCGCTAAATACCACAATCTATCACCAGCATTAACTGCTCCCAGTCCTAAGACTTTAATTTCGACAAGGCTGCAGCTCAGAAACTGAAGACTGGTAGGGTTTCTCTTTCAGCAGGCATGGACAAGGACCACATATTTTCATACAAGCTGGTGCATATGAGAAACAGTTTGCGGCCCCAGTCATAAGCATATCTAAGACAGGATTTCTAAGTTTGTGAAAATTCTACAATACACTTTTACAAAAGAAGCCCCAAATTATTTTAGACCAATCCATGAAGAGTAAGTGACCAAAGCACCAGCAGGTTTTCCATCAGCCACAATCTTTTGAAAACTTTGAGTAAAAAGAAATCCTATAAAATTTTGCTATCACAGCACTAGGCCATCAATTTCCAATTCACAGATGAAATATCTCAGTCAAAACTGCAAAGGCAGTATTAGTGTATAATTACTGGTAAAGACAGATGTGCTTTGGAAACACCCGAAACTTAACTTCCCTGAAAGTACACTATTTCTGCAAAACACAAAGTAGATAATATATTTAAAATAGTAATATCTGTTCACAATGTCAAGTTGCTGCATGGTAGAAAATGATCTCTGTAGCAGGTCCTCAAGATAAAACTAAATGTGAAGATGTATGCTGCGGTAGGTCTACTTTCCAATTACTAGAAGTAAGCATATAAGAGATATAATTAGTTATGACACTAGGACAGGCATACATGTTTCAACACACACGCAGCTCAAAACAAAGTTTTTGGCACTATATGACAGAGAACTTAAACCAAGACTCAAAGAAAGGTTATGGAGTGTGTGCGTTTATTTTTTTTATTTATTTAAAACTTGCCACATCAAATTACCTTTTTTACACTTTAAGTATATTTTGATTTGTTTAAACATCTCTCTGAAGATTTCTCGGGGCGGGGGGGGGGGGGCGGCGGGCAACAACCCTGAAGCTTTCACTGAGCCTACATTACAAATTAAGGAAGTTGACTTTATAAAATTCATTTGGTTAAAAAGGAAAAAAGAATTGACCAAACACGTTTAGGAAATTTTGAAGTGCTAGTCACAGGTTTTTCAATCAGGAATAGAACATTAAATTCTAAGACTAAAATATACAAGGTAGTATAACTTAATTTTGACAATTAAAAGCTTGTCCGAGATATATCAAGATATCCCCAAACCATAACCATTGAGCAAGGCTTTAAAAACTAAAACACAAAACTATTGAATAAATCCACAAGTAAATCATGATCCAGTTAGGATCATTTATTCCTTGATAAAGACAGAAAAATGAAAAGACCATAAAGATACACCTGAGAATCTACGGAGCAGCATGTGCGGTAGATGTGTAAACAGTTGATTATTTAAAATAAAGTATGATTAAGCTCATATGAAGCATGAATTCAGGAAACTGGAGAGACAGGTTACATAAATACATAAAAAACAAATCCTGTAAGAAACCTGTGTGTTCAATCTCAAAAGACTGAAACAAGAAATATTCCAAAGCATCCCTTTTCTAAGTCTCTGTTCAAAGACAATGAAACCTATGATGCAGTAGCTTATGAAAACACAACAAAATTCAAACTCTTAAGATATTCTAATTAGGAAACATCCAATATTAATAAATGCTGCCTTTTCCCTTAGTATCTTATCAAACATAAATTTCTTTTGCTGAGAAAATTAACCTAAAAACAAATTTTAAGTTAGAAAGGTTCAAAATATCAAAGTAAAGAGAAGGCACCAAAAAAAGGAGGCAGACTTCAAGTCTGACAGCTTCCATCTCCCAAGTCAATCTACAAATGAAATTCCATCGATGAAGTCAGGTGTAGTGAAGAGGAGGTATTGTGAATGGGTGCTGGAAACATAAAGCTTGTAATTAAGTGCATTCTTGAGTATAATAATCCACCCTGGAACAAGATAAAGCATTCAGAACCTATCCAATGCAAAACAGCTAGACGTTATACTCCCACAGGAGTTACAGTACATGACAATGAATTATGAACCAAATCCCATCTTATGAGCCAAATGGTCCATGAAGACAGCACAAACAGTCCCTCCAAAGACACTGTTAATTACGCCCTCAGGTTTTGGTCCAGCAGAACTTTACACCTGAAAACAAGGCCTGCTAAGGACCCTCTCTACCTTCATAAAACAATGTAGGAAATCTAGCATATTAGTTATAAAAAAGACTTTGGGATTTGGTTAAAAGAAAGCACCCAGGAGATTTCAACTAACACAAGAAAAGTTTGACCCTCAAGTTTACAGGCTGAGCATCCTAAATCCAAAAATCATAAAATGCTCTAAAATCCCACACTTTTTGAGTACCAACATGTCCTAAGTGGAAAATTCCACACCTGACACCATTGCTTTCTGATGTCCACGTACACAAACTTTAATTCAGGCATAAAATGTAAAAATATACAAAATTACTTCCAGGCTATGTGTATAAAATATATAAGAAAAATTAATGAATTTCATGTTTAGACTTAGGTCCTGTCCCTGAGATACCCCATTATGTAAATGTAAATATTCCAAAATCTGAATAAATCTGAATTTTGGTCCCAAGCATTTCAAATACCAGAGGCTCAACCTGTATGTCCAACACAGGTTGTTCTAGCTTTCTTTTAAATGAGAAAATTCCAGAGTTTCAGAGAGCCCCAGGGAGGAATGAAGAAACAAATGTAAAATTAGCTTTCCTGGAGTCAAATTTATTTCATTTCTTTTTATTTCCCGAACTCTCATTCCCCCCACCAAAAAAATCTATAAATTTTCTAGAGTCTGACTTCACAAAGCAGACTGAATTTTCAAAATTGCTAGTTATATTTTTAACAATAAAATGATTCCTAGATCTGCAGATTCCATGCAAAAGATTTTTTTTTTTTTTTTTTTTTTTTGAGATGGAGTCTCCCTCTGTCGCCCAGGCTGGAGTACAGTGGCGCAATCTCGGCTCGCTGCAACCTCCACCTCCCAAGTTCAAGCAAGTCTCCTGCCTCAGCCCCCAAAGTAGCTGAGATTACAGGCGCATGCCACCACGCCCGACTAATTTTTGTATTTTTAGTAGAGATGGGGTTTCACCATGTTGGCCAGGCTGGTCCCGAACTCCTGACTTCAAGTGACCTACTCGCCTCTGCCTCCCAAAGTGCTGGGACTATAGGCGTGAGCCACCGCACCTGACCCCATGCAAAATTTGCATTTTACGCTGTGGAGAAGAGGTTGTATACAAATTGGAAGAAGTTCAACAACACAGATTTTTCCAAAGCACTAATGCTTTTCTTAATTGATAACCAAAAAGTCAACATAAAAAAACTGATTAGTATTACCTCAAACCATAACTTGCTGAAATTCAAAAACAAACCCTAAAGTACAAAAAAAAAAGTCATATTCCTCTTTGGCAACTACTTTTTCCTTTGACTTTTGTCAAAGACCAGTATGAATAAGGCTGTCCCACAAACAGTGTTATGTGCACAAATTTGTACTTCACTAGCTTTCTGATTTCTAATGTCACTAGTATTTGTTTATGCCCCCCACACACAGATTTGCTCAACTAAAAAAACAGACTAGGTAGGTTATCTGTCAACCTCTCTAATTTCTTATCTAAGACCTATATATAAAACCATTTCGTATCATGAAGCACTCATGCAGTCTCACATCTTAGTTAAAACTTTTCTTGATATCCTTTGCCTTTAGAAGCCTTCTCAGGCTCCAAAATTTTACTTAGAATAGAAAAAATTCACTCTACAGTAGAATTTATCAGGCACTTAAAACATAGAGCTGGCTACAAAGGGCTACAAAATAATAACACACTTTGGTCAGTGGAATGATATTTATAAGCATGCATGTATGGTACGCATGAATCTATAAGTGCACAAAATATGATACCAATTCTTATATAGTGAAATGGCTTTTTATAGATTTAAAGAAGCTCCATAACTAGTGGGAGGAAAGAATCAATGTCAAAATTGTCAGCTTAAGACACTGTACTTCTTCCAACAATGCTACCATTGCTCAAAATATTTCTAGAACTCATCATCTGTAAATACTTCTAGGGCCAACTTGTAAACTATATGTGAAAAATCAATGTTGTCTTTTTTCTAAATCAAAAATAGGCTGGGGGTGGTAGCCCATGCCTGTAATTCCACCACTGTGGAAGGTGAAGGTGGAAGGATCACTTGAGTCCAGGAGTTGGAGACTAGCCTGAACAATACCTCAGGAAGCTGAGGTAGGGGGATCGCTTAAGTCCAAGAGTTCAAGGCTGCAGTGAGTTATTATTGCATCACTGCACTCCGGTCAGGGTGACAGAGGGAGACTCTGCTTCTAAAAAGTAAATAAAAAAAAAAATCAAAAATAGAATTATCTTGTTTTAACACCCACCAAGTAAGTTAACACCAAAAGACTTTTGAAGATTCAGAAAATCAAAGCTTATGTCATGGAAGATTTGCTAGCACCAAAGACGCTTAGAAGAACTAGACACAGGCTGTCTGAAATCAATGTAAAATGAAGACCTCCAAGAGCATTTTAAGCTATGACACCATCACTGCATCATCTTCTAGGGTGACTATTTTATAAATAATAATACTTATTTGTAACTGCTTATTTGTGGTTTTCAAATTTCCTTAGTGTATTCATTAGTATAGTAATTATTTCAATGCTTCATTCAAATTTATTAATCCTGTCAAACATTTTAAGTTCTTCAAATGTTATAAAATCTCATTTCACTTAAAAAGTATTTAAAATCAGTACAGCGGCTGGGTGCAGTGGC
Source organism: Homo sapiens (assembly GCF_000001405.40). Lineage (NCBI taxonomy): Eukaryota > Metazoa > Chordata > Mammalia > Primates > Hominidae > Homo > Homo sapiens. Next base: position 16,851,242 of record NC_000009.12, read on the forward strand.
TCATGCCTATAATCCCAGCACTTTGGGAGGCCAAGGCAGGAGGATTGCTTGATCCCAGGAGTTTGAGACCAGCCTGGGCAGCATAGTGAGACCTTGTCTCTACAAAAAAAAAAACTTACCCAGGCATGATGGCTCATGCGTGTAGTCCCAGCTACTCAGGAGGCTGAGGCAGTAGGATTGCTGGAGCCCAGCAGGTCAAGGCTGCAGTGAGCCATGATCATGCCACTACACTCCAGCCTGGGTGACAGGGTGAGACCCTGTCTCAAAAAAATAAAAATAAAATGAAAACATAACTAGACTTTCTTCCAAATTCTAAGCATACCATTTCTTTATTTTCCTGTGTCTTGAAAATCACATGTAATTATAAAATGGTACTGTAAAACTTTTCATAGCAATGAATTCTATGGTATGCAAATTATTTCTCAATAAAACTGTTTTTAAAAACTTAAGTCACAGATACCCAAAGAAGCCAGTGAAGCATCATTAACAAGCCTGAACTATTAAAAATGAAGGAAAAAGTTATTCAAAGATTAATCAAAAGCCCAGATCACGCCAAAACAGACCAATCAAGTAATAATTTTTTCAGTCACTGAAAGAGCTCACATACTTCTCACACATATGTTAGCACAGGTACAAAGGACCCCAAAACAGGTATACCCTGAACTGAAGAGACTTGTAAATTCCACCAGAGGATGAATATTAAATAAAACATATAGATATACACATTCATGCTGAATCTCATATATAATATTTCACTTTCAACTCAACATGAGATGTGTGATCTTTTGAAGAGTGGGAACAGATTTTACACTCTCACCCGCAGTCACACCGCCTTATTATACAAAAGCACAAAATCTGTAAAATAGCCTGACTACAGAGATACATTTTGCTTTAAACAAAGTTAACCATCCTGTCCAGATCATGCTCTATCCAGTCTCAGTTTTTTTGACAGCACAATGTTCCCCTTATATATATATCATGCACACTATAAAACACAAAAATAGGTGAACAAGATAAATCAAATTTCTAATATATTTTCCCCCAAATCGTAAAGGATGATTTCTGCATACCCCTTGAAGTGTTTACATCTATCCTGGAAACCACTATTCCAACTGAGCTAAGCATAAGCAGTTCAGAAAAGTTCAGCAGCAGATGCCAAAGAACTCTCAATGGTTATAATAAATAAGTTTTGATAACTATTGATAAAGAATCCGTTCATATTCACAAGGACAATCATATGTGAGATATTCATCCATTCATTCATTCAATAAATATTTGTTGAGTGTTGCTACAGGTAATGGAAATGCAGAATTAGTAAGACAAAGGACCCTGTTCTTATGGGGCTTCATGGTGGTGGGAAGATAAACTACATGTAAATAAAAAAATTAAATATACTTTCAAGCGGCAGTGTGCTGTGAAGAAAAAAATCAGGGTAAGAGACCAAAGAAACATACACTGATAGGGACACAGGAGGGAAGGTTGGCAGGAAGGTCTCTTTAAAGGACTGACATTCCAGAGGAGACTCTAGTGAAATGAGGGAGGAAGCCCTGCAAAAGTGTGAAAAAAAAGAACCTCACAGGCAGAGAAAAACCCCATGCAAAGGGCTGAGGTAGGTACCAGCTTAGCAAAGTTCTATGGCCTGTGGAAAATCAGCAAGGCTGGATTAGAGGGAGCAGTGGCAGGAAACGGCGTCAGAGTTGGGCTGGGTCACAAACATTACATATCCTTTTCAGTGATGGTAAGGAGTTGGGATTTCACTGCAGGTATGATAAGAAGTCACTGGAAGGTTGTGAGATAAGAAGTGATCAACCTGTGGATAGTCTTCTAGGAGTAGTGGGAGGAGAGAGGCAAGCATAGAAGTACTAGGCCACTTAGAAGATACAATAGTATTCTGGGCAGGATACAGTGGCTCACGCCTGTAATCCCAGCACTTTGGGAGGCCCAGGCAGGCGGATCACTTAAGGTCAGGAGTTCATGACCAGCCTGGCCAGCATGGCAAAACTCCATCTCTACAAAAAACTAGCTGGCCGTGGTGGCATGCAGCTGTAGGCCCAGTTAGGAGGCTAAGGTGGAGGATCACCTGAGCCCAGGGAGGTCGAGGCTGCAGTGAGCCATGATCATGCCACTGCACTCCAGCCTGAGTGATGAGAGTGAGACCTTGTCTCAAAAAAAAAAAAAAAAAGCATAATGACACTCATTTTAACTAGTTCTTTGATTTTCAACGTAACTTTCTAATTACATTTTAATCCATGTTCTACAATTCCTGTGCAATTTCTCCATTCTCTCCAACACCTCCCCTCACTTTATTTTCATTTCAGACACATTTTCAAATTTAAAATTTGCAGCTGGGCGCTGTGGCTCGCGCCTGCAATCCCACCACTTTAGGAGGCTGAGATGGGTCAATCTCTTGAGGTCAGGAGTTCAAGACCAGCCTGGCCAACATGGTGAAACCCTGTCTGTACTAAAACTACAAAAAATTAGCTGGACGTGGTAGTGCATATCTGTAATCCCAGCTACTCGGGAGGGTGAGGCAGGAGAACTGCTTGAACCTGGGAGACAGAGGTTGCAGTGAGCCAAGACTGAGCCACTGCACTCTAGCCTGAGCAATAGAGGGAGACTCTGTCTCAAAAAAATAAAATAAAATAAAATTTGGAGTTCATTAAGCTCTGCGGGTTTAAATAATAAAATTCTCACATTACATGCTTGTACTATGACTGCTCGGAAACTTACATGTCGCCTGAACTTATGGATGTAAGTTCATAGACATGGGACTTCTAAAGTCAGACTGGAGCCTAAGGACACCAGGCCGGCAGGCTGCTCCCTGGACCACCAACTTCTGTCCTGCTGCCTAACATCAAGTGGATGTTTGTTCAGTGTCTTTCCTTTCTACTTTCTCTTCCCATAGCAGATTATTCTTGATGTTCAAGTGTTTTAAAAGGAAGGAAAGATTGAAAGGTAAAAAAATGACACTAATTGGGAAGCTGCTAGAATTAACCAATGTGAAATTAAAGGTACAGCTTTAACTTTCTGGTCCATAAAATAATACCACAAATAGATGGTGGGCATCACACAATGTACAGAATTATTAAGAATCTTTAAAACCTAATCTTAACCCTTATTTTAGGATGGAAAAGAGACACAGAAAACAGATACAGAGATTAAATACACATACTCCCTCTTGATTTCTAGAGCAGTTTATTCCACCTGTATATAAAGTCAATTTCAGATCAAGATATTTCTCTATAAGGCATTTAACAAAAGAAACTTTCTCTACCAGGTATTTAATAACTAGTTTCTAAGTCTTTTTTTTCTTGCAATATATATCTTTTTTTCCACCATTTCCACTTATCCGTATACAAAACATGTTATGTGTAAGGCAGTAGCATGAGGTATCCCCCAAGAAAATTTGAAACGAGTGAAATGAGACTGCCATCTGCATTAGATCCATAAAAAACCAAAGAGAGGCAAAGTCACCTTAACAACTAGCTCCCAGGACAGTTGCCTAATATCTGCTTGAGAATATTAACGTATCTAAAGAAAGAGAAATTTGTCTATCACAAGGGCAATGGTAGCAGAAAAAAAGCAAGAGGGGTAAACACTGTCAATACTCTTACAAGCACAGCCCAGGAAAGGAGTCCAAAGTGTGCACCGTGAACATCACAGGTCACTGGAAAGAATTTCTCTATAGGAGGAGAAGACCCTCAGGCCCCCATCCCACCCTTAATATTCTCTGCTGAAATTCCAACCCCATAAAGAGATGAACAACATTTGGATTATAATCTGACTCCCCATTTAAATTTGCCTGCCAAGGAGAAGACGTACTAATCATTTCAATATGAGTACATGAGTATTCCACCTCATATGGTATACAGATACATACATGTTCACATGGCGTGTGTGTGTGTGTGTGTGATCTCCACTCCTCAGCTGGTGAACAAACTGAATGCATCCATGAAAAGGTGATCTTTCTCAATGGTATGTTAACAAAATTAGGTTCCTAAGGCTTCATATGCCAGAGGAAGACCATGGACTATGGTTAATTCTTTTAAGATAATGAATATCCCTTTACCAGTGAATTTTGTGCTCTCTCTTAGGATGACAGCTTCTACTTCATCTGTAATACCTATGGCACCTAATAGAGTATCACATACATCATAGAAATTCAAACGCTTGTTAAATTGTTGTATTCTAAAATAAAAAAAGGTTGTTATACTTTGGCAAATGAAGGCAATTAGAAGTCCCATGCCTACGCCAAATGTACAGCTTGAACATCAAAATCTAACAATTTTTAAAAGCATCTTTTTTTTGTTTTTTGAGACGGAGTCTCGCTCTGTCGCCCAGGCTGGAGTGCAGCGGCGCAATCTCGGCTCACTGCAACCTCCACCTCCCGGGTTCACGCCATTCTCCTGCCTCAGCCTCCCACGTAGCTGGGACTACAGGCGCCCGCGACCACGCCCGGCTGATTTCTTGTATTTTTTTTTTTTTTTAAGTAGAGACGGGGTTTCACCATGTTAGCCAGGATGGTCTCGATCTCCTGACCCCATGATCTGCCTGCCTCGGCCTCCCAAAGTGCTGGGATTACAGGCGTGAGCCACCACACCCGGCCACATCTTTTTTATTTTTACCAAATCAGTACACAATTGTCTAATGTTGTTTCATGGAAATCTGCAGCAAGTTATTCCATATATAGTAAGTAAACATTTACTTGCTGGCTGCTAGCAGATTTATTACCTTAGCATATCCGTACTTCAGGAATGCAATTTGACAGTCATACTAGTAAAACAGTAAGTAAGACACTCAACATTCATCCATGCCATCCATAAATATATGTTAAAAACCACAAAAAACAATGTATCAAGTATTATCTATTGCAAAATGAAAGTACATTAATGGTAAACCCTGCCCTTCCCCTCCAAAAAAATTTCAGTCAACTATACTATTCTACCTTCTATTCTGCCTTCTACCCTCCCCCATAAGGAAGCAGCAAACTACCAGTTTCTCATCCATATTTCTTCACACACACTCTCTCTCTCTCTCACACACACACACACACACACACACAAATTCCAGCATATCTAATTATCACTGTCCTTTGTACACAAATATGTCATGTCAGCGACTGGTTGCTGTTTACAGACAAAAGGGAAGCTTCAAAGACCAATGCACAGATATAAATAAATTCTTGAAGCGAAAATATTTCTTATTTATTTTTTTAGAGACAGGATCTCACTATCTTGCCCAGGCTGGACTTGTACTTCTAGACTCAAAATGATTCTCCTGCCTCAGCCTCCCAAATAGTTGGGACTACAGGCATGCACCACTGCACCCAGCCCTTCGTGTAAATATATTTCTTACAAGGGACATTTACTGGGTGAAAAATATGGCTCCAGACCTGGTAGAATTTCTGGGTTTAAAAAAATTTTTGTTTTTTAGTATCCTTTAGCGTTAATGCACATTAAGGCAAATTAATGTTTTAGTCTATCAAAAGCCAATTCAGCCAAGTATGTTTTCTTTTAAATCACCATTTTGAATCAGAGAAAGATCTGAACTATCACATTGTACTTCCAGAAGCCTACCTGTTAGCATTCGTGTTGATAGAATGAACTTCTCCAATCCTAGATGGTGAAATGTGTATTACAGGGAGATTAGATACCACAGGGCAGAGAATTGAGTGGCCTTTCTTTGAGCAAATGTATTGTTTCAGTTACTTACATTCTTTATGACCTCCAACCACATAAGATGCCAAATAATAGCATATATGATTTTGTCAGTCCATACATATAAAACATACATCTAAACACATGTCAAAATACATCATAAAAAATAGAAAAGTAACATTAATGTTTTATTCAGTATGAATAAAATGTGTCAATTGGGATAAATGTATATGTAACCAAAATTTACGTCTGGTAAACATAAAATTTTTACTGTAACAATTTTTAGAAGTGATTTCAGGCCAGGCACAGTGGCTCACGCATGTAATCCCAGCACTTTGGGAGGTTGAGGTGGGCAGATCACCAGAGGTCAGGAGTTCGAGATCAGCCTGTCCAGCGTGGTGAAACCCCGTCTAAACATACAAAACAAAATTAGCCGGGCGGGTTGGCAGGCACCTGTAATCCCAGCTACTCGGGAGGCTAAGGCAGGAGAATCACTTGAAATCGGCCGGCGGAGGTTGCAGTGAGCCGACATTGTGCCACTGCACACCAGCCTGGGCAACAGAGTGAGACTCTGTCTCAAATAAAAAAAAAAAAAAAAAAAAAAAAAGAAGTGATTTTAAATCCTCTACAGAATTTTCACAGAATTGTTTCCCCTAGGGAAAAAAAAAATTATCCTTAAAATACATCATATCATTTTAAATTGGATAATTACTCTTTATGTACGTAAACACTTATGATGAAAAAATGCACACTCGCTTTGTATAAATTTGAACAGTTACATATCTAATTAATAGTTGATGCTGACTAAATAATGAAACTTTTGTCTAAAATAACTGGCAAAAGGCCAGAAACAGACAATGCAGTGAAGAATGGTCCATCAGAATACTAGAAAAGCAATTACTTAGATGAAAATAAATATCAGCCTTTATTAGCATGAATAAAGAGAAAATTAGAACTGTAAGGGAATGAATATTTCTTTTAATTCAACAATGAAGCAATATAGCTGCCTCTAAATTAAGTTACCTTTCATTTGCTCTCAAGTTTCTCTAATTCAACGATGAGGTATTTTAATTACAAAATTTGCCAGGTAAACTGTAAAGCAAGCTCATGTTTCCAAATATGCTATACCAGATTTGAACATGGTTATTTATATAAAACTTCACTGGACCAGTTATTTTGGGTTTGGAGATCATACAATAATTTTTAGTTTTATCTCTGTTGGTGTTTTTCTAGTCATGACGGGATGTCTAGGAAGACAAATTTTCTCAATAATGGTTTTCTTCCCCCTTTCCTTTTGAGGTATTTATAAAACCAAAAACAATTATTTCTGGGTACTTAATTCCACCCTTCAGGGCATGAAGTGTGTCTCTTATCATACGGAACACCTAGAATGCTTTTAAACTCAATGATAATTAAGAAACATCAAAGTAAAACCAGGGTGTTTCACAGGGAACCAGGAGCTATCATTTTTTGGCTACCAAATGACATATTTCTTGTCCCCTGGAGTACTACCAAGACTTTTTTACCTAAACAATAGAATGTACTTTTTTAATGTAGCCTTTACTCTTCTGAGGATCAGACATATCTGAGCTTTAAAAGTAAACTGCTAAAGGCAACAAAAGCAAGAATAGACAAATGGAACTGAATCAAACTTAGAAACTTCTGGCCAGGCGCGGTGGCTCACGCCTGTAATCCCAGCACTTTGGGAGGCCGAGGCGGGTGGATCACGAGGTCAGGAGGATCAAGACCATCCTGGCTAACATGGTAAAACCCCGTCTCTATGAAAAATACAAAAAAATTAGCCAGGCATGGTGGCGGGTGCCTGTAGTCCCAGCTACTCGGGAGGCTGAGGCAGGAGAATGGCGTGAACCCGGGAGGCGGAGTTTGCAGTGAGCCAAGATTGCACCACTGCACTCCAGCCTGGGCGAAAGAGGGAGACTCCATCTCAAAAAAAAAAGAAAAAAAGAAAAAAGAAACTTCTGTGCTGCAAAAGCAAAGGAAACAATCAGCAGAGTGAAGAGATAAACTATAGAAAGTGAGAAAAAATGTGTAAATCATATTTCTGATAAGGGGTATAGACATATAGACAACTCTTAAAACTCAACAACAACAAAAAAAGCCTGATTTAAAAATAGGTGAAGGACTTGAATAGATATGTCCACAAAGAGGACATATACAAATGCCCAAAAAGCACGTGAAAATATGCTTAACATCAGGAATCAAGGAAAGGCAAATCAAAACCACACTGAGATATCACCTCAACCATTTTTGAATGGTTACCATCAAAAAAAAAAAACAGGAAATAATAAGCTGTGAGGTTGTAGAGAAATTGGAACCCTTGTGCACTGTTGGCAGGAATGTAAACGATGCTGCCCTTATAGAAAACAGTATGGAGGTTCCTCAAAAAATTAAGAACTACTGTATGATCCAGCTATCCCACTTCTACATATATGTCCAAAGATTGAAAGCAGTATCTTTTACAGCTATTTGCATACTTATATTCACAACAGCATAATTCACAAGAGCCAAGAGGTGGAAAGCAAACTAAATGTCTATCTACAGATGAATGGATAAAGAAAATGTGGTATATACATATGATGAAATATTATTTAGCCTTAAAAATGAAGACAATTCTGTTGTATGCTACAACATAAATGAACCTTAAGAACATTAAGTTTCTAGCTAAGTGAAATAAGCCGGAACAAAAAGACAAATATGTACTGCATGATTCCACTTCTATGAGGCATCTAAAGTAGGCAAACTCTTAGAAATAGAAGCTAGAATAGTGGTTTCCCAGGGCTGGGAGGAAAAGGTAAACGGGAGTTGTTATTCAAAGGTTAAAAAATTTCAGCTTTGCAGAATGAAAATGTTCTAGAGATCTGCTGTACGTTAAGTTACAGAAAACACTACTGAACTGTACACTTAAAAATGGTTAACATGGGCCAGGCACGGCGGCTCACGCCTGTTATCCCAGCACTTTGGGAGGCCAAGGCGGGCAGAATGCTGAGGTCAAGAGTTGGAGAACAGTCTGGCCAACATGGTGAAACCCCATCTCTACTAAAAATACAAAAAAATTAGCCAGTCATGGTGCCATGTGCCTGTAATCCCAGCTACTTGGGAGACTCAGGCAGGGGAATTGCTTGAACCAGGGAGGTGGAGGCTGCAGTGAGCCGAGATCACACCACTGCACTCCAGCATGGACGACAGAGTGAGACTCCATCTCAAAAAAAAAAAAGGATTAACAAGATACATTTTACGTTGTTTTCTACCACAATCCAAATTGCTTTTTAAAAAGTCAACTTCTAAGGAACTAAGAATGGCTAAAACAATCTTGAAAAAGAAGAACAGAACGAAGTTGTAGGACTCACACTTCTCAATTGCAAAACTTAATACAAAGCTACAGTAGTCAAGACAGTGTGGTACTGGCACAAGGACAGACAGAAAGATCAATGGAATAGAACAGAAATTCCAGAAATAAACCCTTATATATCATGGTCAATTAATTTTTGACAAGGGTACCCAGACACCTCAATGGAGAAAAACTGTCTTTTCAACAAATAGTGCTGGGAACAACAGACATCCACATTCAAAAGAATAAAGTTGTACCCCTACCTCATACTATTTACAGAAGTTAATCCAAATGGATTAAAGATCTATGAATCCACCCTGTGGGAGCTCAAACTGTAAGACACTTATCAAAAAAAACACAGAGGTAAATCTTCATGATCTTGGGTTAGACAATAGTTTCTTAGATAGCATACCAAGGACAGAAACATCAACAACAACAAAAATTGATAAATTAGACTTCATCAAAAATTTCTGTGCTTGAAAAGGCACCATCAAAAAGTCAAAAGACAGCCGGGGCTGGGCGTGGTGGCTCATGCCAGTAATCCCAGCACTTTGGGAGGCCAAGACCAGCAGATCACCTGAGGCCAGGAGTTTAAAGAGACCAGCCTGGCCAACATAGAGAAACCCTATCTCCACTAAAAATACAAAAATTAGCCGGGCATGTTGGCACATGCCTGTAATGCCAGCTACTCGGGACGCTGAGGCAGGACAATGGCTTAAACCCAAGAGGTGGAGGTTGCAGTGAGCTGAGATCACGCCACTGCCTGAGCGCCAGAGCAAGACTCTGTCTCAAAAAAAAAAAAAGACAGCTGCGCACAGTCACAGTGGCTTATGCCTGTAATCCCAGAATTTTGGGGGGTCAAGGAAACAGGATCGCTTGAGGCCAGGAGTTTGAAACCAGGCTGGGCAACATGGTAATACCCTATCTCTACAAAATATATATATATATATATATAAATTAACCAGGCATCGTGGCTTGCACTTGTAGTCCCAATTACTACGGAGGCTGAAGCAGGAGGATTTCTTGAGCCCAGGAGTTCAAGGCTGCAGTGAGCCATAATCATACCACTGCACTCCAACCTGCACAACAGAACTAGAAAGACCCTGTCTCTTTAAAAATAAATAAATAAATAAAGACAACCCACAGAATAGGATAAAGTATTTGCAAACCTTGTACCTAGCAGAGGGCTTGTACTCAGAATATATAAACAGCACTTAAAACTGCATAATAAAAAGACAAATAACCCAAGTGAAAAATGGCCAATGGAGACATGTCTCTGTTTTCCAGAAAAGATACACAAATGGCCAATAAAGTGCATAAGATGCTCAACATCACTAGCCATCAGGCAAATGCAAATCAAAACCACAGAGATATCACTTCATAGTCACTAGTATGATTCAAATAAAAAGATACTACTTCACACCCACTAAGATCTGTAAAAATAAAAAGACAATAACAAGGGCCAGGCGCGGTGGCTCACGCCTGAAATCCCAACACTTTGGGAGGCCGAGGCGGGAGGATGACGAGGTCAGGAGATCGAGACCATCCTGGCTAACACAGTGAAACAACGTCTCTACTAAAAATACAAAAAATTAGCCAGTCATGGTGGCGGGCGCCTGTAGTCCCAGCTACTCAGAAGGCTGAGGCAGGAGAATGGCGTGAACCTGGGAGGTGGAGCTTGCAGTGAGCCGAGATTGCACCACTGGACTCCAGCCTGGGCGACAGAGCGAGACTCCATCTCAAAAGACAAAAAAAAAAAAGACACATAACAAGTGTTGAGGAGGGTGTAGAGAGACTGGAAGAATTATACACTATTGGTTGAAAAGTAAAATGCTGCAGTTGCGTTGGAAAACAATTTGGAAGTTCCTCAAAAAGTTATAAGTAGATAGGCCATACTATCCAACAATTCTACTCTTGAGCATATACCCAAGAGAAATGAAAACATTATGTCCACAAAAACTTGTACATGAATGTTCAGGGCCACATTACTCAAAAAGTGTAAACAACCCAAATGTGCTTTCATTGAATGGATATATAAGAGGTAGTACATCCATAAAATGGAATATTAATGTACATTTTAAGTGGGTGAGTTATATCTCAATAAAGCTAATAACAGCAAACTGCTATGATTATATAGTGTTATATAAAATATGAAATGTACCATTTGGAAAGGCACTTAGAAATTACCAAACTCACTTGACTTACAAATGAGAGAACACAGGCTATCAAAAGTAGGTGGAATAGAACAGGGCCTCTATAGATACCCCGTCCCAGCGCTGTTCTGAGTCTCTAACAGGCAACAGTACAACTGCCTTCCAAGAAACAGCCAGTCACCTGCGTAGAGATACTGACTGGATAAAGAACAAGTGCAGGATACCTGCAGAGAGTAGCTACTGCCATGTATTCCTCTCTCTTTAATTACCACACAGCACTAACCTATTTTGTTCTAATTTGGGGGTTTTCATTGCCAGGGGAAGAGTTAAAATTATGGCCTTCATCTTCACAAGTCCCTCTTTTCTCTTCTACTACTCCCAACACAAACCATAATAAATGGAAATGAAACTGTTAGAAAAAGGAATGTTAAGACACTCATGCTTTTTCTGTGGGAAGGTCACCAGCCTTAGATGACCACGGCAGATTCATCTATATATAGCTATATATAGATAGATTTTTTTTTTTTTTTTTGAGACAAAGTCTTGCTCTGTCGCTCAGGCTAGAGTGCAGTGGCGAGATCTTGGCTCACTGCAACCTCCGCCTCCCAGGTTCAAGTGATTCTCCTGCCTCAGCCTCCCGAGTAGCTGGGATTATAGGTGCCCGCCACCACGCCCAGCTAATTTTTGTATTTTTAGTAAAGACGGGGTTTCACCATATTGGCCAGGCTGGTCTTGAACTCCTGACCTTGTGATCCACCCACCTGAGCCTCCCAAAGTGCTGGGATTACAGGCATGAGCCACCACGCCCTGCCCCATCTCAATATATTCTACACAGTACTTCCGCCCGCTGGCCAAAAGGCTGGGGCATAGCCCTAGGATAGGATAGCTGGGCATTTAGCATCCCACCTGGGGGAAAGACTATGAAAAATAACTCTCTCTCCCTAAAACAAGGATAACTTAGCCCATACTTTCACAAGACACTAAGAAAAGCTTAATAGAGGTGGCTGGGCACAGTGGCTCACTGTGGGATCACACTGTAATCCCAGCACTTTGGGAGGCCGAGGCCAGTGGATCACCTGAGGTCAGGAGTTCGGGACCAGCCTGGACAACATGGTGAAACCTTGTCCCTACTAAAAATACAAAAATTAGCCAAGCGCAGTGGCGCACGCTTGTAGTCCCAGCTAATCGGGAGGCTGAGGCAGGAGAATCTCTTGAACCCAGGAGATGGAGGTTGCAGTGAGCCAAAATCACGCCACTGCACTCTAGTTTGGGCGACAGAGCGAGATTCCGTTTCAAAAAAAACCTTAACAGAGAAAGTACAACTGTTAAAAAGCCTTGCCTAAAAGAGGTAAGGTCAAGAAAAATTAAAAATAACTTTACAGGGATTTGGCAATAAGTCATTAACATATTTGAAAAGTTATTGGAGAACCCCAAAAGAGTTTGGAAAACTGACAAAATCTGTTGAAATCAGGAGACAAAAATATTTTATTTACCCTCAGTAAAAACGGTTCTCCTAGTTTAAAAAAGAAAAAAAGACAAACTTTTGGGTAAAGAGGGACAAATGTATTATAATGTACCATTTTCTATTCAAGTGTTTTCAGAATTCTTAAAAAGGTAATTCTCTTCATCTCTAAGATTTTAAAATAATATTTTCCAATACAAAATTTACAAATACTTATTTTATTTATGATTTGAAAATGACCACATTATCATCCTTTTTCTCCTCTGCATCTAGCCAATTAAGCAAATGTATTTCTAAAGAACCAGGCTATGCTAGAGGAAAATCAAAGGAGGAAAAGAGCAAAGGAAAATTAATAGGCTACATTATTTTTACATAGATTTTAAAACATATATATGACATCTATGAAATATCTTTTAATTATTCTCTAGATATGGAAAAAGATAAACTGCTAATAGATCCATTCATATATATGATTTAGTCAGTACTAAAAATAGTTATGTTAGTCACCAGAAATACTGCTTTTGTCCTCTGAAAGATTTGAAAAAAGAAAATAAGACTTTCCATTGCTGTCAAATGTATTCAATTTTCCCCTCAAATGAAGTTTGGATGAAAACAATGTGACTGACAAGCCCCGCACAGGCAAATCTTGGCAACCCTCAACTCTGTCTATCTCCTTGGCCTGTTAAGCAAAATTCCTTCACAAACTGTTGGTCTTTGCAATAACTCCTACAAAGCTCATTACTGCCAGCGTCGGCCTATCCCCCATGTTGTGCATTTATCCCTGGGATGCATATCAACATGTGGCACATGTCCTTGACATGCACAGAAGAGCTGCACCCCAGGACAGCAGCATGCACGACAATAGTCTCGACGCTTACTTCTTTACGGTTGCTGGGATGTAACCGAGAAATCTAATAACTGTGACAGTGGGGCCTTTCGGTTTTTCCTTGCCTTTCCAGACAGTGAAGCTGCACAGACACTAATGAAAGGTTAAATGAATAGGAATAGTTGACAAGAGGTACAATAAAGAAGGAGCTTGGTAATCCACAGACACTGAGCAGAGATCCTTGGCTCAAGCAGAGAAAGGACAGCACATCGTCGAGTCACAATATTTAAAACAGCTTGCTATACACAGAGGCTTTTGTGTCTGGGTACACGTCTGGCTTTGGACTGAAAAAAAAAAAAAAAAAGACACTGAAAAGGAATTTCAGCATGGGGCACTTTGGCAAATGTAAGGTCATTATAAGAGAAAAATGTTTTGTGTAGGTTGTTACATCTTTGTAATAAACACAAAAAAGCAGGGACTATGAACTCATGAACCACAAGTTCCAAGACAATACTGTACATTTTGACAACTATTAAATACTGTATCTAGAAGGCTGGCTTGATGCTATTCCCACTGGTAAGATACATACACAGTGAGTCATTTAGGAGTTTCACATTCTGCCTTCCTTATGGAAGAATTCCTGATACTCATCTTATTAGAGTTTTATAGTCAAGTTCTAGTCTTTAGTGAACGTAATTTGTTACAAATACAACCAAAACTCTCAAAGCCACCTTCTACTCATTGAAAAACTTCACAGCAGTTACTAGCAATTTGTGAAGTACCAGGCAAACTTTTTGTAATTGTAAGTGATTGCAACTGTGAAATGGCCTCAGCTAGAATTCTTAATTATCGAACCTATTATTTTTTGGTGCCCTTCTCACTATACCTCAAGGGAAGGTTGTATTCCTTAGGAAGTTTATTTTAAATTATAACAGCAAAACAATTTAAATCACCAAGAGAAAAATACTCTAGAATGTCAAAGAGAAAATAGAGCAAAAAGAACAAAACTGATATTGTTATGTACGGATATTTTTAAAGGAAAAAAGTTATGACGATAGCAAAAACTTAAAGAATGATATATCTGTAATATCATTCTTACGCATATTGAGTTAGAATATAGGTTCTTACGCATTGAGTTAGAATATGGGTTCGTAACAAATGGTAAAAGCATACTGAGAATATATTTCAAAACAAGGGAGGCTCTTTGAACAGCCAAATTAAATTATAGCTGAACTCTTGAGTGTACTGAGGGTTCTAATAAGCAACAAATAAAGACTTTTATTGGCTAGCAACATAATGAGAGCTACTGTGCAAAAGATTTTAAGAAGGACAAATCTGGGTAGTTTATCTCACTGGATTATATTATTTACTTAAATGATAAATATGTTTGTCTAAAGTAATGCTCCTAAAAACTAGTATATAAATATTAAAGTGCAATTATGATCAATGACTCTTTAACATAACTGTATCACAAATGTTAATGGAAAGTGGTAAATATGAAATTAAATGACAATTATTGAATGTAATATCATTTAAATCCTATTTCTTTAACTTATTTTTTGATCCATAATAAGTCAGGTTTATAAATAGTTTAACATTTATGCTTATAACAGGAAGCATTTATTTTAAAGAAAATTTCTCTCTGGAATACAGAAGTTGTATGTAGAACTACTCCAAAACCATCATTTACAGAAAAGGGGTTGTCCTTCATAAACTAAAAGAAGTTAACCCACTTCTCGGTGATTTCGTAGGAAGCTACTTTTAATAGAACTCTGAAGACTGGCCTCCTAAAACGAGAGTAACTCCCTCAGTTGACAAAAACTACAAACAGTAGTTAGTCAAACCAAAACATTTAAAATATAGTATCTGGTTGCATTTTGCCTGATCTTCAAATCACCTGAAAGGCAAAAGCCTAGAAAGCTTAGCTGACGCCTTGACTGTTCTTGTAGAAAGTTCTTTTGCTTCTGTCACTTTTAAAAAAAAAAAAAAAAAAAAAACCATAATAGCACCTCCCAGCCTCAACACTGAGCCAGTATTCATTACCTACTCTTTTTGTGCAACATTCTGATGGCCAGAGTGTTTTTTAAACCTTAAGTATATCTAATAAAATCATGAGGCTCCCTCTAGCTCTTCAGAGGGGATTTTACTAACCAATGATACTATATAATTCCCATCCAACAGGAAAGATTTGAGGAGGCTACCTCCCCTTCCACAAGAAATGTTTTCCACTCTGTTTCTTGTAAGGATGTAGATGGTAAATGAGACCATCTGCTGAGTAAATCAGAAAGCGTTGCTCCTTATATATTTATCAAGTTAAGAATCTATAAACTGCTTCCAACCTAAGCTTTATGTACAGAATTCTATAGTGAAACTTTAATCAGATTAAACCATACGACATAAATTTACCCATCCTGTCTAAAATTAATTTTAATGTCAAAAAACAACAACATGTATGAACATCCACAGAAATTCAAACTTGTGGTCTGGTCTCAGTTTTAAAAATCTACATTTAAATGCAGAATCTCAAAAATTCAGGAAAAAAACACTTCATGAACTGTATCTGTGGGGTTTATATAAAACAAAGATGCTAATAGTATAGAAAACATTTTCATGTACCATAGTATTTATACACAATACTAGTATAATGACTTTTTTATTGTTTAATCTTACCTGCAATTTAGTATTGGATATTTGGGGATCGTAGGTTGTTTAGAAGACTATAAATAATACAGTTGAAGTATGCCATCTTACAATAACCATAAAAGCCACATTGTCAACTGGCAAATCATCTCAAACAAGTGAATGTGAACAGTACTAAATTGAACTCCTCATATTCACTAAGGCCATCTTTCAAATACTTAAGGAATATTTAAAACCGTGCTGAACCCTTAACTGTAAAATTAAAAGTAAAGGAAACCACTAACTTCAAGTCATCATCTATTTTGGACTCCCTTAATATAAGAAATATTCCCAGGAACAACAACAAAAAGAATAGCTCCCTCTACCCCCCCACCCCCACCCCTTTTTGAGCCAGTGTCCAATTTCTTCTTTTCTGAACAGCTGTATTATCCAACTTAAGTTGCTCTGCTAATTTCAGTCCCACAAGGACTAACTTGGAAGGCAAAAAAATACAAGAAAAGATCAATTTGCTGGGAAAGATCAAATGAGAAAACTGTGGGGACAGCACCAGGTCAGCGTGTGGAGAACTAAGCAGACCTGTTCTTCATTAACTGCGGCTCTCTGGGGATGTCACACACTACCTGTCCGTGGGCTTTATTGAACCGCCTAACCCGCCTCTCTGTTCCATTCTTCTGGGCCCAAGTGAATCATATCCTGCTGCTGACAAGTTAGCAGGGGACTGCGGCTGCAACATGAAAGTACTTTTCTTTCTTGTCTAAATCAGGCAGATTTTTGAAAAGACGACACAGCATTGACTCGTGACATGGCAAGATGAAACGAGAGGTCTGGGCCGGTCTTGGAGCTGTGCAGATAAAAGTAATCAAATGACACTCCTGGAATGCAAATTGGCATTCTTGACTGCAGCAATTGCACAACCATGAAACATCCCTGACAGCAAGCAAGATTAGGACAAAATGTTATGTAAAGCACTGAACTCAAGAACTCTCACTTGAAAATTCAAACTGTAACACTTACATTTTAATATAGCAATAGTCAGCTCTGCTTTTGTCTGCTTCTTTTTGTAATCACATATCTCTATCTGACAGATATCTTACATCTCAAATAGAAGAAAAAATCAGGTAGTAGGAATGTACTGCTATTAACATTTTCCTAATATTAATTGTAAAATATAATGCACAGTTTATTCTTATTCAAAGTCTTACATGCAAACACCACCCAACTTAATATTCTCAAGAGGAAAAAAAGTTTCAGACCTTTCTCAAAAGATACTCAAAACAAAGTTCAGGTTCAAGCTCGTTATTACTTCCCTCAGGTAAAGATACTCCTGTACTTTGGTAAAGTGATTAGCAATCTGGACTTTTAATACAGCGCACTCTGGGAACTAAGAACTTCATTAAGACTGAACAGTTTACATGAAACGGCTACAAATATAAAACACAGATACTCTCTAAAGGCTCACAAGGGATTGTGTGTGTGTGTGTGTTTGTCCAAAAAGTAAATGTTCTGTTAACTTGTACAAGGTCTCACTACTAGGGTACATCTTCAGATCAGACACACTAAGTAACGTGCCAGAAATAAATTCCTCCCATTTAAAGCATGTATGCGTGTGGACAGTAACACGTGAAATTGCAGAATACAAAGCAGTGGAAGGCAGACAGGCTTAGCCACAGTTCAAAGTCATTAGGATATAGGAATACATGTGTAGACAAATAGTTAACATAGGCTAGGGTAAAGGGAAGAAAAATAATACCTGCCACCGGCTTTTACAGTGTTCTTGTGTAAAACGCCCGTTAGAAGAAAAACTCTCAAGCTCTAAACAGATATATTTAATATTGTTGTGATGTCTCACTTAAACACGGCTTTCAACAATTCCAAGTGTCCACGAAGTATATAAAAATAAAACAGGCCACTTTTTGCCACTTTAATCCTGGGTACACAGGATTATTTTATGATGTCTTTTGTACGTCAGTTTTACAACAGCTTGACTCTAGGGTAAATGGGAACCATCATAAATCGCACGCTGCTTTCAAAACCACTTTAATTTCTGTCAGCGTTACTGTAACCACAGTCCTGGGCTCTTGCTTTTGTGTGTGTGTGTGTGTGTACGCGCCCCTGCATTTGACAGTCCCATCTCCTACACTCCAGTTGTGACTTTGATCACTGAAACAAGAGATGTCACATTAGGGAGCAGGGAAGAGGAAAAAATGCCAACCCGCTATCTCACCTGTATTCTCATATGTTCCCTCTATATACGGAATACACCATGTCAGATCCCCAAGTGGGGGTAACAATAGCGACGCTGGGAGGAAGCAAACTAAAAAGAAGGGAGTGGTCAAGCCCCATTTCTAACAAATCACTTCCCCGAAAGCGGACAGAGCGGCTCATCACCAGGCGAACTAATTGCACGCTTCCTCGCTGCAAAGAAGTCGCTTCTCGTAGAGGGGCTGTGCTGGAGTCTCGCTTGGCAAAGCCAGCCCATCTCCTCCACCACTTGCACTTGGAACTTTTTTTCAACCTTAAACTCACTTCACAGGAGATTTCACCTAGGGTTTTTCAGCATATATAATTTTTTATTCTGCTCCCTCCCCAGGCCCCAAATCCCACCCTCCAGTCAACGTGCAAGTAAAACAAATCGGCTCCTATAGAATTGCACTTCGAAAAGAGCCGTCTCTGCAAGGTTGATTTTCCTGCCCTGCGTTCTGCACCTTCTCCGTAAAGCCTGCGGGAGCATTTCCTCCCATCTCCATTTACCACGGGAAGATTCCGAATGTGAAGACAAGGGGAGAGGAAGAGTCAACGTGCCGGGCCCGGGCGGCTGCGCCCCAGCGCACCCGGCACCCACGCCCAGCCGCCGGTCCCTCACTCGGCGGCAAGTTGTAAAAGTTCCCGTAGGTCCCAGCCGCCTTCCTCTCTTCCCCGAGCTCCTGCCAGCGCTCCATTCATCCCCCACTCCCCTCCACCTCGTCCCCCCAGCCCGTCCCCAACGCCCTGGAGCCTCCCCTAGCCAGCCGCTCACCTTCGCGCGGAAGCCGCGAGCGGGGCCGACCTTGAGAAGCCCCCTCTCACGTGCACCCTCCCACCTAGAGCTCGCCTCAGAAACTTGGGGCCAAGTTTAGGGGAGGCCACTGGGAGCGCAGCGGGGATCAGGTCGGACCGGGGTTCTGGTCCCCGGCCCGCCCTCCTCAGCGCCCCTTGCCCCTCACGCCGCGGGCCGGAGGGCGGACACGGCCCCCGGGCGGCCCCGGTGGCGCTCGGGCGCGGGGGTCATTTCTGAGGAAGTCTAGAATAAAAGAGGAAGGAGGGTGGAAACTTCTTACCATCTCGGCATGCTGGTTGTCAAGTGCAGCCCCCGCCTCTTGGTCTCCTCTTAGCGGCCGCGCCTGGACCAGCCCCTCGGCCGCCGCTGGCTCCCTCCGTCTCGGCCTTTCTCTCCCTCCCCCTCCGAGTTCCTCCGGGCCTCCGCTCTCGCCGCCTCCGCCTCCCCGCCCGCCCGCGCGCGCCCTCGCCGCGGCCCCTCTGCGCTCAGGTGACTGATTTACACTCGCGCCGGGGTCGCGCTCGCGCCCCGAGTCCCAGCCGGCACGGTTCCCCGGCTCCTCCTCGGGACAAAAAAAAAAAAAAAGGGAACGGCTTGTCCCGGGAGGGGGCTGCCCTGCTCGCGGGAGGCGGGGGACCGGCGGGCGAGGTGACCTCGGCGGCCGTGCAAGCCCCACAAGTTTTTCCTCTCTCTGCAGAATTGTCGTGACTACAATGTTGCTTCCCTTTTGCAAAATAAAAGTCGGTCGTTGTGTTGTTTGTCCTCAGAGGTCCAGGGGCTTGGGGAAGGAGGATGTATGTTTCTCCCTCCCCCCACCGCCCCGTGACTTCTTTGGGGGCTTGTTTGTTGTTTGGGTTGTTCTTGCTCTCTCTTTCTGGGGATGGAAAAAACAACTTTGTGGGGATGGAAAAACAACCCTGGCGCCCCCCCCCCCCCCCGGGGAGCTGCGGGCGTGGAGGTAGAGGTGGCCGCTAGCGCCCAGCTGTCACACACACACAAAAAAAAATTGCGGGGCGGGGGTGGGGAGCGGAGCAAGGAGAGGAGGCTGCGAAACGCCGAGGAAAGGGCGCGAACTTTATTCCGACTGCAGCAAACCGCGGCAGCTCTTTCCTTTTCGGGCACTCGGGCGTCTCTGTCCCCTTTGACCAGTTCCTCCTCCCCAGCCCCGCACGCCCCCTCCTCCCCTGCCCCTTCCCCAGCGTCCCAGCCGCGGCCGACCCGGCTCCCCGCGACCCTCTCAGCCCAGCTCCTCCGCGCGCCGCTGGGGAGAAGGCGAGTGAGGCGGAGGAAAACCCAGCGGACAGAAACCTGGGACGCGAACGTGCTGGGAGAAAAGGCCAAAAGTTGCGCGCAGCTGGGGGAAAAAAGTTTTTCTGGTGGCGGAGCGTTTTGTGCCGGCCCAGACGCCGGCTTGCGGCGAGGGCTTCCTTCCCTTTCCCGTGGTCTGGGCCGCGGGCCTCGGGCTGGAGAGGAAGGAGGCTGTCGCGCCCGCGGGGGAAAGAACAGTCACATCTGTGGGTGACACTCAGCCGACCCAAGTCACCCTGCCCTGGAGACTCAGAAACGCCGACTACAGCCTAAGCGCGCACACGCCTGCAGCTGAACGATATTTCTTAAATACAGGCAAAACACACTCCCCGGCCGCAAGAATGGGGCGGGGGTGGGGGGGGAGCTTAATCATCATCATCTAACTAACGTACACTTTGTGCCAAAAACATCTCCGAGTTATGCAGATTTATCATAACTACAGCAAACTTTCTGGTTATCTAACATGGGAGGAAGGCATAGGTTTCAAGCATACTCCCTGAGCACTAAGAAATCAGAGAATCGGCGAAGACTTGGCAGAACAGCAGGTATGGTTACCGGTTCCTAGTGAAAAGTGAGAATCATCCCTTCTTCCCTTCTCTCTTCCTCAAACGGAGAGAGAGAGAGAGAGAGACTACTTAATTGCATTCAGAGGACAGAATTAAATTCCTTTGAAAATATGTAGCCTTGGAATTACATGGTTTTATTTTCTTTGCAGAGTCCGGTCTTAGTTTAATATAAATTTTCACAGTAACTGATTTTTTTAAATTTTTCGGGAGCCGCTGATGAGAGTCCCAAGTAGCCACAGCTGTCTTGAAAATGTGATTAGGTGGCCGGGCGCGGTGGCTCACGCCTATAATCCAACTTTGGGAGGCCGAGGCGGACGGATCGCCTGAGGTCAGGAGTTCGAGACCGGCCTGACCAACATGGTGAAACCCCATCTCTACTAAAAATACAAAAATTAGCCAACTGTGGTGGCGGGCGCCTGTAATCCCAGCTACTCAGGAGGCTGAGGCAGGAGAATTGCTTGAACCCGGGAGATGGAGGTTGCAGTGAGCCGAGATCGTGCCATTGCACTCCAGCCTGGGCGACAGAGGGAGACTCCATCTGCAAAAAAAAAAAAAAAGAAAGAAAATGGGATTAGGCTTATTATTCACGTGGATCCAGCTTTTTAACACGCACTTGCAGTTCCCTATACTGATTGGGTCCAAATTCCTGACTGTTTCCTGGCCCTTTCAAAGATTTCTGCATTCGTGGATTCTGTGCATCATTTTGTTGTGGAAAAATGTGTGGTAAACACTTCTCGCATATTATTTATCGTAAATACCTTAGAGTTCTGGGGACAGGTTGCATCTGCAGGTTTCCAATGAAAGACAAGATTACTTCTCTCACTACAGCATAAATCAAAGTATAGACTAGATCTCCCAACGACCATCTATATATATATATATTTAAATGTGTGTTATCTAAGAAGGCTCATCTTTAAATGATTTGATTAAGGTGTAGAGCATGTTCCCTTATTCTCTAAACATAACTAACATCATCCTGTAGTTTGCAGAAACTGATTACACAAGGGATAATGATGACCAAATGTGCATTTTGAAAAATTGAGGATCATCACAAGAATTTTCCAGAAATGGGCCAAGTTCCAGTATGTTTTTCTTGCATCATGGAGAGATGAGAAAAGCTAGTTGCTAATTTCAGAATCATTACCTATACAAATCCATTCACACACTTACCGCTTTGGACAAGTGACAGATCAGCAATTGCCAAACAATTGTATTCACACAGTGCATTTTTGGCTGCGCACCTACACTGACCAACATGCAGAAGTTACTCCACATCAAGCGACCTGTAATTTACATTCCCCTGATTGGTTCCACATCTGTCTGTTTTTGACGTTAGCATAACAAACAATTTATGTGAGGCAAGATGCGTCTGTTTGGGATCTCATGCCTTTCTGGAGAGTCATCATGATAAAAATGGGGCATGTGTTAGGCTGAAGAGCAGCACTTGGAGAAGGTGGAAGAATTTACAGGAGGAAGCAAAGCCTAGCATTTAAGAGGATTCCATAGTCTCATTTCATCTAGCGGTCTGTATGGCAATTGGAATAAAACCTTAAGTCCTTTTTGTATCCTGCAAGACCTGAATTATCTAAACCTGCCTGACTTTTTCGACTGTTTTATACCATTTGTTCATTACCATGGTGGACTACACTCAAGTCACATTGGCTTCCTTTCTGTTCCTCTAACTTGCAAAGCTCCTTCCTGCTCTTTGTCCCTGCTGTTCTACCTGGAGTGTTCTCCCAAGTTTTCCAATGATTCCTTCTTATCATTTATATCTCAGCTCTAATAGCAATTCTGCAGACTCTAGTTTAAATAGCCCTTGGCCCACCACTCAAAACACCCCTCATACTTCCTGTTATTACTTATTGTTGTATCCCTTTTCTATCCCTTATCAATATCTGAAATTGTCTTCTTAGTTTATATATTTATTATTTTTCTTCAACTAAAATGGAAGCTCCATAAGGGAAACAACTGTGCTGCAGGTCCTTGAATAACATCGTTTCATTCAATGTCGTTTCATTCAACGTCCTTTTGTTACAAGGCTGAGAAAAAAAAAAAAAAACTGATTCCAGCCAGGGCCACTGTATGTGTGGCATTTGCACATTCTCCCCATTGTCTGCATGGGTCTTCTCTGGATACTCCAGTTTCCTCCCACATCCCAAAGATATGCCCCTTGGGTTCATTGGAGTATCCACATGGTCCCAGTGTGAGTGATTGTGAGTGTGTGTGAGTGTGCCCTGCAGGGACTGATGGCCTGTCCAGGGTTGGTTCCTGCCTTGCACCCTGAGCTGTCTAGATTGGCTCCAGCCACCTGCACCTCAGAACTGGAATAGCTGGGTAAATATTTTAATTATCTAGCTGGGCATGGTGGCTCACACCTGTAATCCCAGCACTTTGGGAGGCCAAGGCAGGCAGATCACTTGAGGTCAAGAGTTTGAGACCAGCCTAGCCAACATGGTGAAACCCCGTCTCTACTAAAAATACAAAAAAATTAGCCGGGCATGGTGGTGTGCGCCTGCAATCCCAGCTACTGGAAGGCTGAGGCAGAAGAACTGCTTGAACCCGGGAGGTGGAGGTTGCAGTGAGCCAAGATCGCACCACTACACTCCAGCCCTGGGCAACAAAGCCAGACTCCGTCTTGAAAAAAAAAAAAAAACTTAATTATCCTAATTTTATTAATCTTTAAGTGTATGTATAGCTCACATTTATTTCAATGTTTCAATATTACAAGTATTTGGGGGTGTTTATTTAGAAGTTTGGTGATGTTTTGTGACCAGAAATAACCTGCAGGATGCTTGTTTATAGCAGCCTATGGTAAAATGCGTTTTGCTTATTGTCGTTTTGCTTAAAGTCACAGTTTCCAAGAACCTAAGCATGACACCGTTAAGTGAGGACTTTGTTCACTTACATAGCCTCAGCCCATAAAACAATGCCAGGCACAAAATAAACTCTTTTAAGTATTACTTGAAGTAATGAAGAAATGTCAAGAGGATTACACTGCATTGATCTGAAGACCTTAGGGCCAAACAAGTTCAGTGTAAGAATATGCGGGGGGGGGAAAGCTTTTTCTTTTGGAGAATGTAGGAAACACTGTTGACTTCCTACGCCAGCCATCCTCAAAGTATGGTCTCGGGACCCCTAAGGATCACCAAGACCCTTTTAGGAGGTCCATGAAGTCAAAACTATTTTTATTACAATACTGGGAAATTATTTGCTTTTCTTACATTCTCTCCTGTGTGTACAGTGGAGTTTTCCAATGACACTGTAACAGGTGGTATCACAACAGACTGAATGCAGAACCAGATACGAGAACCCACCTGTCTTAATCAGCTGTTAAAGAAATGTGCCAAAAATGTAAATCAGTGCACTCCTCTTCTCGCTTTTTTTCTTTTTGTGATGGAATCTCTCTGTGTCGCTCAGGCTGGAGTTCAGTGGCGCAATCTCGGCTCACTGCAACCTCCGCCTCCCAGGTTCAAACAATTCTTCTGCCTCACCCTCCCGAGTAGCTGGAACTACAGGTGCGTGCCACATCCGGCTAGTTTTTGTATTTTTAGTAGAGACGGGGTTTCATCATTTTGGCCAGGCTAGTCTCAAACTCCTGACCTCAAATGATCCACCCACCTCGGCCTCTCAAAGTGGAATTACAGGCGTGGGCCACCGCACCGATCCTGTTTTTGTTTTTCATTTTAAAATGTGAGTATATATTCATTTCCTGTAGCTGCCATTGTGTCCGGAATTCGTGGATTCTTACTCTGACTTCAAGAATGAAGCCGCGGACCCTCACGGTGAGTGTTACGGTTCTTAAAGATGGCGTGTCTGGAGTTTGTTGCTTTTGACGTTCAGATGTGTTTGGCGTTTCTTCCTTCTGGTGGGTTCATGGTCTTGCTGGCTCAGGAGTGCAGCTGCAGACCTTCGCGGTGAGTGTTACAACTCTTAAGGCAGGGCCTCTGGAGTTGCTTGTTCCTCCCAGGGGGTTCGTGGTCTCACTGGCTTCAGGAGTGAAGCTGCACACCTTCGCAGTGAGTGTTATAGCTCATAAAGGCAGTGTGGACCCAAAGAGTCAGCAGCAGCAAGATTTATTGCAAAGAACAAAGCTTCCACAGGGTGGAAGGGGACCCAAACCGGTTGCCCCTGCTGGCTCGGGCAGCCTGCTTTTATTCTCTTATCTGGCCCCACCCACATCCTGCTGATTGGTCCATTTTACAGAGAGCTGATTGGTCTGTTTTACAGAGAGCTGATTGGTCTGTTTTGACAGGGTGCTGATTGGTGCAGTTACAATCCTTGAGCTAGACACAAAAGTTCTCCACCTCCCCACTAGATTAGCTAGATACAGAGTGTCAATTGGTGTATTGACAAACCCTGAGCTAGACACAGAGTGCTGATTGGTGCATTTACAAACTTTGAGCTACATACAGCGTGCCAATTGGTGCATTCACAATCCCTTAGCTAGACATAAAGGTTCTCCAAGTCCCCACCAGATTAACTAGATACACAGTGCCGATTGGTGCATTCACAAACCCTGAGCTAAACACAGGGTGCTGATTGGTGTGTTTACAAACTTTGAGCTAGATACAGAGTGCTGATTGGTGTATTTACAATCCCTTAGCTATACTTAAAGGTTCTCCAAGTCCCCACCAGATTAACTAGATACAGAGTGCTGATTGGTGCACTCACAAACGCTGAGCTAGACACAAGGTGCTGATTGGTGTGTTTACAAAACTTGAGTTAGATACAAAGTGCTGATTGGTGTATTTACAATCCCTTACCTAGACATAAAGACTCTCCAAGTCCCCACCAGACTCAGGAGCCCAGCTGGCTTCACCCATTGGATCCCGCACTGGGCTGCAGGTGGAGCTGCCTGCCAGTCCCGCACCCTGCGGGACTGGGCTCCATGGAGCTGGGAGTGGTGCTCGTCAGGGAGGCTCCGGCTGCACAGGAGCCCATTGGAGGGGCGGGGTGGGCTCAGGCATGGCAGGCTGCAAGTCCCAAGCTCTGCCCGGCTAGGAGGCAGCTAAGGCCCCTAGAGAAATCGAGAAGGAGCACAGCAGCTGCTGGCCCAGGTGCTAAGCCCCTCACTGTCCGGGGCTTGCTGGCCTGCTGGCCGATCCAATTGCGGGCCCGCTGAGACCACACCCACCCAGAACTCGTGCTGGCCCACAAGCGCCACGCGCAGCCCTGGGTTCCCACCTGCACCTCTCCCTCCACACCTCCCGGCAAGCTGAGGGAGCCGGCTCCTGCCTTGGCCATACCAGAAAGGGGCTCCCACGGTGCAGCGGTGGGCCGAAGGGCTCCTCAAGCACAGCCAGAGTGGGCGCCAAGGCCTAGGAAGCGCAGAGAGGGAGTGTGGGCTGCGAGGGCTGCCAGCACGCTGTCACCTCTCACCGTGACAAATTACCACAGATTAAGTGGATTAAACAACACAAATTCATTATAATTTTAGAGGTCAGAAATCTGAAATAGGTTTCACTAAACTAAAACATGTTTGTGAGCCTGTGTTTCTTTTTGGAGTCCCTAGGGGAGAATCTATTTCCTTATTTCTTACAGATTCTAAAGGTCACCCCCAATGCTTGGCTTATGGCCCCCTTCCATCTTCAAAGCCTGTAATAACCAGACATGTCTTTCTCATGCCATACCACTGTGACACTGAGCCTTCTTCCTCCCTCTTTCAATTATAAGTACATGAGTGATTACACTGGGTCTATCTAGATGATGCAGGATAATCTCCCCATCTCAAGATCGTTAATTTAATCATATCTGCATATTCACAGGTTTCAGGGATTAGGATATGAACCATCATTAAGGGTCATTATTCTGTCTACCACAGTATAGTAACAAGTGATGGGTTTAATATTGTTATTTTAAATGAATTAATAACAAATTTTTCTCATAAAATAAACATCAGTAGCTATTGATGTTTATCAACAAAAGCTCTAGGTGGCGTGGTGGCTCACGCATGTAGTCCCAGCACTTTGGGAGGCGGAGGCTGGCAAAGCACCTGAAATCAGGAGTTCGATACCAGCCTGACCAACATGGGGAAACCCTGTGTCTGCTAAAACTACAAAATTAGCTGGGCGTGGTGCTGCATGCCTGTAATCCCAGCTACTCAGGAGGCTGAGGCAGGAGAATCGCTTGAACCCATGAGGCGGAGGTTGCAGTGAGCCGAGACTGTGCCATTGCACTCCAGTCTGGGCAACAAGAGCGAAACTCTGTCTCAAAAAAAAAAAAAAAAAGCTCTTTGAATTCTTCAATAATTTTTAAGACGTCATGAGATCGTGGCTGGGCGTGGTGGCTCACGCCTGTAATCCCAGCACTTTGGGAGCCTGAGGTGGGTGGATTGCCTGAGGCCCGGAATTCAAGACTAGCCTGGCCAGCATGGCAAAACCCCATCTCTACTAAAAATACAAAAATTAGCCGGGCGTGGTGGCGGGCACCCTACTGTAATCCCAGCTATTCGGGAGGCTAAGACAGGAAAATCCCTCGAACCCAGGAGGCAGAGGTTGCAGTGACCCGGGATGACGCCACTGCACTCCAGCCTGGGCGACAGAGCAAGACTCCGTCTCAAAAAAAAAAAAAAAACCAAAGAGATCGTTAGAGAATGGCTGGTGTACACAACAGTTAGTGTCCCTTCCATACCTCAGGTTAAACTAGATTGTTCTAAACCCATTATGGTGGCCCTCTTCCCCCTTGCTGTCATTGGTTTAAGGATGAGCATGTTAGTTCTAGCCAATGAAGGATGAGGAAGTCATTGGAGGGGTGTCAGGGAAAGATTATGCATTAAAACTAAAAAAACCAAAATGGCAAGAAATAGATTGTCCCTTTTCTGCTCTGGATGTTAGTATATGAGACTGTGGTACTTCAAAGCAGCTGCATCCACCTTGTGACCAAAAGGGACCCCACATACCTGGAATGATAGAGTGGGAAGGTGGTAAGCCCCTGAGCTCTTGTTGATGTTACTGACTTACTGAATTAACTAACCCCAGATGGCGTGAAACTTCTTGTTATGTGATATAATCAATCCCCTTATCATTTAGTCTATTTTGAGGTTGCATTTTATTAATTGCAGCTTGAAGCTTTCTAAATTACAGAGAAATGACATGTCTATTTACAGTTTCCATGTAGGAATTCCCTCCTGTCATTTCCTATAAAATTTACATATTTTTTTCCAAATTCTGAGAAAAATCTATGAAGAAATCAGTAAAACGGGAAAAGTATTATCATTTATCATTCCCCTGTGAGAATTAAAAGTTAACAATCAACAGAGACAGTACTAGTTAGCATGAACTCAACAGCAGGAAATGCTGACACAAAGTGGAGTTAAGGTGACATTTTCAGAAGTGGTTACCATCTAATCAGTTAGTTTTATTTGTAGTTGTGGCCACATAAGTGTGTGTTCCTGGCCCCCATCTGCTCCTGTTGATGAGTCATTCTTGCAAATTAAGTAAATGTAAGTTTATTGCATAAAATATTATTTACAAATCCTATGAGTTGTCTTTCAAGAAATAACATGTTTTAGAAACAAAGTAAGTCCTTACATAGACAATTTCAACACACGATTTTGTGTAGTGCTCTTAACTTTTCTAGGAGATCCTGAATGTTACGTTATTCAAATACTACCCAATATATTCACAATGGACTACAGTTCTTGGTAAATAAAAAGAAAAAATATATAAATGTTATGGAAAAAAATATGAATTTTAAAAAGCAATTCAATCTCAGTAGCAAAACAAAAATAAGAGCAGACAAAATATTGTCATCACTAAAAGAGAAAATGAGTTTATACGGAGGAATATATACACTAATGTCAACTTTAGCATGCTTTCTGACTTAATCTTAAAAATCTGACTTCCTCTTATCAATTTGACCAATGTCAACAGGAAATGAAAGAAATTTTCTACCTATGGAAACTTTATCAAGAAACCAAGATCAAGACTATCAGATAGGGCAACTTATGTTTTCTGTTTAAAATGTTTATTTTAACAATGGTAACTTTCTTTTTTTTTTTTTTTTTTTTTTGAGACGGAGTCTCGCTCTGTTGCCCAGGCTGGAGTGCAGTGGCGCAATCTCAGCTCACTTCAAGCTCCGCCTCCCAGGTTCACGCAATTCTCCTGCCTCAGCCTCCCAAGTAGCTGGGAGTACAGGTGCATGCCACCACACCCAGCTAATTTTTTGTATTTCCAGTACAGATGGTGTTTTGCCATGTTGGCGAGGCTGGTCCTGAGCTCCTGACCTCAGGTGATTCACCAGCCTCAGCCTCCCAAAGTGCTGGGATTACAGGCATAAGCCACCGTGTCTGGCTCTTGCCCTGTTTTCCACCATGTCAAGGCAAATTGTAATGTCTTCTTCTCAAGGCTCACTTTTTTTCAACGCCCACACCTTGTACAGTGCCTGGTACCTAATAGTTGTTCAGCAAGTTTGTGTGGAATGAATAAATGATTCACCTTGTTTATACCGTGTTTTTTCCCAACCCAGCAAGAATCCACTGCTCTGCTGGGATAGCCTTCCCTGCACACATGCATAATTATTTCTGTATTTTTCTCTTGACTCTCCAGCTGGATGCACTACTTCCTCTTTAATGATTCGTGTCTGTGCCAACTTAACTACCACCTATTTCCAAAGGTGGATTGAAGCCCCTCTGAAAAAGAGGCACAGCTACATTTAGATCATTTATGATTACAGAATAATTGTACTAAGTATCTGCTATGGGTCAAGTTCTCTATCATTTTCTTTATATTACTGAATCATTCCAACAAACTGCAGAGCCAGGCATTATTATCGCTATCATATGGTTGAGAAAGACTCTGAAGCTTTAACTATCTGGTCTAAGGACTCAGCATGTAGCTGTCCCCCAGGTTTTTTTTTTTTTTTTTTTGAGACGGAGTTTCACTCTGTTGCCCATGCTGGAGTGCAGTGGCGCGATCTCAGCTCACTGCAAGCTCCACCTCCCGGGTTCATGCCATTGTCCCACCTCAGCCTCGGGAGTAGCTGGGACTACAGGCACCCGCCACCATGCCCGGCTTTTTTTTTGTTGTTGTTGTTGCTATTTTTAGTAGAGACGGGGTTTCACTGTGTTAGGATGGTCTCGATCTCCTGACCTTGTGATCCGCCCACTTCGGCCTCCCAAAGCGCTGGGATTACAGGCGTGAGCCACCGCGCCCAGCCAGGTGTCGCCCAGCTCTTAAATCCCGCCTTGCTCTCAAGGACTTGATCAGATTACACATCCTTCATGAAGCCCTTATTTCTGTGGCTCTTTTTCTCCTTTTCTTTTTCTCTCCCCTCTAAAGCTCTTGCAGCACATAGAGCCTGGAATATTGATTTCTCATGGAATCACACGCCCTTACACATTTGTGATTGTTTTATGTATGTCTGATTTACCTCCTTAATGAGAAGTAAGCTCTTTGAGAGCAGAGGCCCTATGGAGTGCAGCTTTCTCCACTCTCCACCATCCCTGGTACAGTGAGATAGGCTCAGAAACAGAGAAAGGGGTTGAATGAAATAATTTATTCAAACGAAGTTCTAACACTTAAGCATGAAATATCTTAAGAAAAACACATTCCTATAGGAATAAAAGTCCCTTATCACAAACTCTAACATTACATGTGCTTGTAAGTTTTGACTCCACTTACACCTGGTCACTGGGGCATTCAGACCAGGATACTTTGTTTCAGTTGCATGCTCTGCTGATGTATCAGCTTATTGCTTCAGCTGTGTAGTTGTATCCACTGCTCAACTAGAAAGGAACCACTGTCAAAGCCCCATTTATGCTGAGGGACATGTGTATGACTGCAACACAGTTGTGTCAAACAGAGTACCCCATACATATCTTTTTCGTCTTCTGTGTTCTCTGTCCTTTAATATAGCCAAAAGTTACCTCTCTCCTACTGGGTCCGGAATTTATTCCTGCTGGTGAGTTCTCGATCTAGCTGACTTCAAGAATGAAGTCTCGGACCCACGCGAAGTGTTACAGCTCTTGAAGATGGTGTGTCCAGAGTTTGTTCCTTCGTATGTTCACATGTGTCCAGAGTTTCTTCCTGCTGGTGGGTTCGTGACATCGCCTACTTCAGCAGCGAAGCCACAGACCCTCACAGTGAGTGTTACAGCTCTTAAAGTTGGCGCGTCTGGAGTTGTTTGTTCCTCCCAGCAGGTTTGTGGTCTTGCCGACTTCAGGACTCATTGACTTCAGGAATGAATCCCCAGATCCTTGCAGTCAGTGTTACAGCTCATACAGGTAGTACCGACCCAAAAACTCAGCAGCAGCAAGATTTATCGTAAAGAGCAAAAGATCAAACTTTCCACAGTTTGGAAGATGAGATAGCGGGTTGCGCTGCTAGCTGTGGTGGCCAGCTTTTATTACCTTATTTGGCCCCGCCCACATCCTGCTGATTGGTCCATTTTACAGAGCACTGATTGGTCCATTTTACAGAGTGCTTATTGGTCCATTTTACAGAATGCTGATTGGCCCATTTTTACAGAGTGCTGATTGGTGCATTCACAATCCTTTAGCTAGACACAGAGCACTGATTGGTACATTTATAATCCTTTAGCTAGGCACAAAAGTTCTCCAAGTCCCCACCTGACACAAATGCTCGACTGTCTTCACCTCTCACTACCAAGAAATACATATCTCGTTTAGGCACTATATACTTCTGCTCAATCTTTTTTTTTTTTTAGATGGAGTTTCACTCTTGTTGCCCAGGCTGGAGTGCAATTGTGCCATCTCGACTCATTACAACTGCCACCTCCCGGGTTCGAGTGATTCTCCTGCCTCAGCCTCCGGAATAGCTGGGATTACAGGCATGTGCCACCACACCCGGCTAATTTTATATTTTTAGTTGAGATGGGTTTTTGCCATGTTGGTCAGGCTGGTCTTGAACTCCCGACTTCAGGTGATCCATCCACCTTGGCCTCCCAAAGTGCTGGGATTACAGGCCTGAGCCACTGTGCCCAGTCTTTTTTTTTTTTTTTTTTTTTTGAGACCGTCTTGCTCTGTCACCCAGATTGGAGTGCAGTGTTGCAATCATGGCTCACTGCAGCCTCGACCTCCCAGGCTCAAGCCATCCTCCCACGTCAGCCTGCTGAGTATCTGGGACCACAGGTGCGCCACCACACCTGGCTAATTTTTTATCTGTGTAGAGATAGGGTCTCCCTATGTTGCCCAGGCTGTTATTGAACTCCTACGCTCAAGCAATTCTCCCACCTCAGCCTTCTTAAGTGTTGGGATTCCAGGCGTGAACCACCGCACCTGGCCTTTTGCTCCATCTGTACATAAATGTTTAACTCTTGTCCTGAGAATGCTTAGAAAATGTGTTTGATTGGTTAAATTCTAAGGCTCTCACTCTTACTCTTAATTTACGACTGAGATGCTACAAGCTGTTAATCTTCTAATTTGCCTCAAGTAAGGTAAGACATTTATTATTTTGCTAGACTAATCTTATTCATTTCTTCCGAACTATGACTCAATTCGTGTAGCCTAAAAAAACACAAGATTTTCATGGAATGTGGTGAATCCCTCCCTGAATTACCAACCAAAGTTAAATACTTTAAAATAGGATTTACTTTTGCAACCAAATAAAAGTCACAGAGCGAGTAATCTACACGAGTCCATTAGTCAACAGGGGTGAGACTGATGGCCATTTTGATACAGTTGATGAGGTCAGAATGCTGTAGAGCTTTAGGCAAAGGGTAAAAAAGCTGTAGTCTTGCTGGGCACAGCGGCTCACACCTGTAATCCCAGCACTTTGAGAGGCTGAAGCGGGAGGATTGCTTGAGCCTAGGAGTTTGAGACCAATATGGGCACCATAAGGAGACTCCATCTCTACAAAAAAAAAGAAAACAAAAAACAATTAGCCAGGTGTAGTGACACACACCTGTGGTCCCAGCAGTGAGCTATGATCATGCAACTGACTCCAGCCTGGGCTACAGAGTGTGACGATGTCAAAAAAAAAAATTAAATAAATAAATAAATAAACATGCTGTTTACCTAGGAATGTTTCTGTTTACCTCAGGCTGAGATACTGGATCTTCGGGGACCAAAAAATAGGAGCTAACGTTTAGTAAATAACTTACAAAGCACTTTACCCAGAGTAACTCATTTTATTTTCTCAACAACCCTGTGAGGTAGTTATTTCCATTGTACAGATGAAGAATTTAGAGCTCAGAGAGATAAAATAAACCTTTACAAGGGTCACAAGGCACAAAAAGAGACAACCCAAGATAGCACAAGCTAGCATTTCCTATGTTAATGCTTTGTCCACTGAGGGACATATGGACTAATCAGCCATATCGTCTCATGCCCTCTGACTCTTATGTCACTGAAGACTTTGGGGAAGTCACAATCACTTCGTTACACAGCATTTATCTGCACCCCTGCCGGCAAACAGGCCTGACCATTTTTTTGGCACTCTGTCTACTTGACACATATTATGTAAGTGCACTGTTTGCTGTTCCAAATGTAGTCTTACATAGTTCTTTATTCTCTTTTAATTCCTAGATTTATACTAGAGAAATAAATGTGTATTTATCTGTAGCTTAGAAGTAGGTTAACACTCTTCCCTCTCACAGATTTCAGTGTAATAAGCATCAACAGTGTTATTATTTAAGAATTTTTTTGACAAGTGCCTTTCGGCATGGCAGGCAAAAGTAATCTGGTGGCTTTGTGCAAATGCTGTACACACTTGGTAATGAATAAATTCTGTTGGCTCTTTTGGAACAGTCAGAAGGGAGTCCTGGTTTATTAGAGTTGTGGCCTAAAAACACCAAGCCAGCTCATCAGTGCTGCTGATCTCGTGCCCTTCCTCTGGCAAACCATGTGTCGGATGTGGTAGAGGAAAAAAAAAAAATCTCCCTTTCAGCAACAGAATGTGTGCAAGCTACACCCTGAATTATCCCATGATGACCTTGCAAATGTAACACATGCCCTTGTGACCACAAGGCCCGACAACTGTAATTTCCTCTGCTTTTCATCAGAGCTCTTCTGCTGCCTGCAGCAGGCACAGCATGCTAGGGTACAGCTGCTCCCTGACGCCCAAGACACCTGCCCTCCATCCTTTACTACGAATGTGTAAAAGATTGTCCAATAGGAAGCTGACCCCAGCTGTGGTTATGCAAACTCTGAGTTCATCTTCCTGAGTGATCCATGAAGGCTGGCTTATGTTTACTATTCAGCCAGCCCACATTTTGGAAATACTACCTAATGCACTTGCTGAAGTCATTCCAGAAATCATTATTAGGCAATTTCTTAGAGCAATTCATGGGTTGAAGAGGCATTTCCTGCAGTGACATCATTGATGGATATTTCATTTATGCAATGTGTGTGTATACACATATATATGTATATATACTTTTTATATATACATATACACACACACGTATATATATTTAGCACTTACTAGATGCTGGGTGCTGCTCTAGGTTCTAGGTGCTGGTAATGAAACCTTGAGTAGGTTAGACAAGGCTTCTACTTTCCCTGAGCTTACTCTCTAGAGAGTAGGAGAGACAATAAGTTAACAAATTCAAGTAGAGATCAATGCATTAATGAAAATAAAATAGGATGTTGTAATCCAGAGTGAGCAGGGGTGAGGCGTTGGTGTCAGATAACCGTGAAGTAAAACGTTACAATATTAGAAAGTCAAAGAAAGCTTCTCTGAGGTGATATGCTGCTGGGATTAGAATCATGATCAGCCTTGTAAAGATCAGCGGGAAGCTCCTCCTAGGCACAGAAAACAATATCTGCAAAGGCCCTGAGGTGAAAAAGAAGTGAGAAAGGAATTTAAAGGTTAGTGTGATAAGTGTGTCCCAAGAGAAGGGGAAGAGGGGGAGGTGTTAGAGAACTTGTGTGTTCAACCGAAACATGATGAAAACAGGGAAAGCCCCCAAGATACCTGTCATTCCCGATGATGTCAGATTCAGCAACCAGAGAGTCCACTGTGGGATAGGGGTAACACTGGAACCTTGATTATATGGTGGGAATCCTCAGTGATTTTCCCTCTTCCAAGATATATTTGGAGGCCAGAATTTCCAGTCTTTGCTAATTCTGATACCCAGTTCTACAGTTTTATCGCTACCACCACCACATACATTTCGTCATTGGTATCATTTTAAATTTTAGCATTTCCTAGGAATTCATGTGATGATGTCTTTTTTTTTTTTTTTTTTTTTTTTTTGAGACAGAGTCTCGCTCTGTTGCCCAGGCAGGAGTGTGGTGGCGCGATCTTGGCTCACTGCAAACTCTGCCTCCCAGGTTCACGCCATTCTCCTGCCTCAGCCTCCTGAGTAGCTAGGACTACAGGCGTCCGCCAGCATGCCCAGCCAATTTTTTTTTATATTTTTAGTAGGGACGGGGTTTCACCGTGTTAGCCAGGATGGTCTCGATCTCCTGACCTTGTGATCCACCCGTTTCGGCCTCCCAAAATGTTGGGATTACAGGCGTGAGCCACCGCGCCTGGCCGATGATGTCTTGTTTAAAACTTGATATTGTCTTATCATTTTGTGTGTGTTACACTCAGAGTAAGAGATGGACATGCAGGACTATATATTTCCCATAAATGCAAAGTGGCTTGACATTTAAAATAAGTATCCTCAAACCCTGTTAAGTATTTACTAACCACATATTTTTCTAAACCATATTTTAAAATGCTCACTCGAACTTCCAGGACATCATTGGCCCTTACCCTGACTCTCCAAATGACTCTCTGGAAGTCTCTCCTTGTGCCTTCATCCTTTCAGAGCTAATGGGTATCCCCTTCAAGGAACGTTGTGTGGCCTCATCAGCAAAAAGGCGACATACCTGTGGTTTGGTACAGGGTGAACTGAGCCAGGAATCTGGGGAGCAATCCTTTATTCCCATCATTGCCAGTCACTCTGGGATCTTAAGCTAATCAAATCCTCCCTGCGCTTTAATTTATACCCGTGCAAAATGGAAAACACAGTACTGTAACGGTGCTCTGAACACGCACAGACAAATCAGATGGAAACAAAACATTTAGGGTATTTGATTTGCTTCGAATTCGAAGACATGACCTGGAAACATCCTGTCACAGAGACTAGGAATTCTTAAGGGAGCCTAACATCAAATAGGATGGAGAGAATTTTGGTTCTAGTTTATTTTGGATATGGGCATGTAGATCTGGCCATTGTCTCTTCCTTTGGAGGGCTATGATGAAAAGAATATTGAAAAAGAGCTAACCAGAGGCTAAATTGCAAGAATTTCCCATGCAGAAAGGCTTAACATTCACCTATTCATGCCCATAAAAGCACATTAAAATATAAGAGAATCTGATGTTGCTTAAACTCTCTTTTAACTAGCTTGGCTCCAGAATGGAAGATTCTATTTCAAGAAAGTCTATCAAATTCTGACTTTAAATAGGCCATTGTTCTCCCCATAAGGGGCAATGATAATGTGATTGTTTACAAAGTATTGGGAAGATAAGCATAGTAAGGTAGGGTAAGAGAAGACCCATCAACAAAACCCAAATAAAGACTTGTGGCAAGTCTAAGGAAATGAGACTGTTCTTCTGGTGGGAAGAATAAGTAGGAAGTGGTATTTGAGATGGGCTTAGAGGGCCTAGATTACAGGTAGAAAACATGCATGTGCAAAGAAAGAACATGCATGAAGCAAGGAATATTTGTCTGGGATGAAGGAAAGACAAATAGTATGTGGTAAGAGCAGTCGTTCCCAAATCTGGCTGCGAGACAGAATTAACTGGGGAGATTTAATAAAAACACAGCTTTCTGGTCTCCTTCGCAGACCCTATAAATGAGAATTTTCAAAGAGATCTCAATTATGTCTCGTCTTTTTTTTTTTTTTTTAAGAAAATAATTTCAGCCAGGCGCGGTGGGTCACACCTGTAATCCCAGCACTTAATCCCAGCACTTTGGGAGGCCGAGGCGGGCGGATCACGCGGTCAAGAGACCGAGATCATCCTGGCTAACACGGTGAAACCCCGTCTCTACTAAAAATACAAAAAAATTAGCCGGGCGTGGTGGCGGGCGCCTGCAGCCCCAGCTACTCGGGAGACTGAAAACAGCAGAATGGCGTGAACCCGGGAGGCGGAGCTTGCAGTGAGCCGAGATTGCGCCACTGCACTCCAGCCTGGGCGACAGAGCGAGACTCAGTCTCAAAAAACAAAAAGAAAAAAAGAAACTAATTTCAGTTCTCCAAGTGATTCTAATGTGCAGTCAGGCTTGGGTATCACTGGAGTAGGTCCTACAGGGCTCTGAAGAAACTTGCCATATTTGGCCATGATGTAGAAGCACGTTTTCCAAACTTTAGGTTTGAAAACCAATTTAGTGAGCCCCATCACATATTTTTTGTTTTAATTTTAAAATATCAGAATGCAGCCAGGTATGGTAGCAGGCACCTGTAGTCCCAGCTACTTGGGAGGCTGAGGCAGGAAGATCACTTGAGCCCAGGAGTTCAAATCCACCTTGAGCAACACAGTGGGACCTTGCCTCTAAAATATAATACATATATATAATATGTTTTTTATTATGTATAGTAAATATATCGATATATTAACGTATTGATATATATTAAATACACTAATTAATACATTATATATTACATGTTATATTACTATATTAAATATGTTATATTAATACATTATATGTTAAATATGTTATATTAATATATATAGCAGAATGCATTTTATGTAGTAATGGTAGGAACTTTTTTTTTTTTTTTTGAGATGGAGTCTTTCTCTGTCGCCCAGGCTGGAGTGCAATGGTGCAATCTCAGCTCACTGCAACCTCTGCCTCCCAGGTTCAAGCCATTCTTTTGCCTTAGCCTCCCAAGTAGCTGGGACTACAGGCATGCGCCACCATGCCCGGCTAATTTTTGTATTTTTAGTAGAAACAGGGTTTCATCGTGTTGGCCAGGCTGGGCTCGAACTCTTGACCTCAAGTGATCTGCCCGCCTCGGCCTCCTGAAGTGCTGGGATTACAGGCTTGAGCCACTGTGCCCGGCCATGGTAGGAACTTTCTGTGAAGGATTTGTTTCTATTGTTTGGGCGTGTGTTTATATATATGTTTGTGTTCTGAGTCACAATATAAAATTAACATTTTACTGATTTTTTGTGTCAGAAAAAGATAGTATCTTAGTCTGTTTTCTGCTGCTTAACAGAATACCACAGACTGGATAATTTATAGAGAAAAGAGATTTATTTGGCTCATGGTTCTAGAGGCTGGGAACCCAAGACCATGGCACTGGCATCTGGCCAGGGTCACCCTGTGGTTGAAGGACAGAAGGCAGAAGTGAGCATGCAAGACAAAGAAAAGGGGTCCGAACTCCTGAGATAAATAACCCACTCCTATGATAATGGCAGAGCCCTTATGACTCAGTAACCTCTCAAAGCCCTGCCTCTCAACACCACCACAACAGCAACCAAGTTTCCAACACTGGAACTTTTGGGGGATGCATTGAAACCATAGCATATGGGAAGATCCTGAATTATAGAAAACGATTGTATTTATTTAAGTTGGCAATGGGGAGCTTTTGAAGGTTTTGAGGTAGGGGGTGACATGATCAGATTTACACTGTTAAAAATTATTCAGGCAGCAATGTATACAGTAGTTTAAAATGAAGAAAAATAAAAATGAAGAGTTAATGAAAACCTATATTCATTACCAATTTTGAAGCAGCAGACTAATTAAAATATACTTAAATCCTAAAATTATTCGTAGTTACCATCATTAACATTTTTCTCTGTCAGGCTGGAGGGCTCATCAGGATTCAGCAGGCCTTCCCATTATTATGAACATCCATTATTACTGAGCTTCTATCAGCTCACAGGTTGTGATTAAGTGATATACCTCATTGTATGAATCCTAGAGGGGAAAAATAAGAGGAAATAACTAGAGATGTTTCATAGGCAATGCAAAAAGTGGGTTTTGATCCAGAGTAATCATTAAATTGTGGACAATGTCTTAGTTCATTCATGCTGTTGTAACAAAATACCACAGACTGGGTAATTAATAAAGAACAGAATTTTTTTTTTTTTTTTTTGAGACAGAGTTTTGCTCTTGTTGCCCAGGCTGGAGTGCAATGGGACGATCTCGGCTCACTGCAACCTCTGCCTCCTGGGTTCAAGCAATTCTCTTTCCTCCCTCTGCCTCCCTCAGTAGCTGAGATTACAGGCACCCGCCACTATGCCCAGCTAATTTTTTTGTATTTTAGTAGAGACTGGGTTTCACCATGTTGGTCAGGCTGGTCTTGAACTCCTGACCTCAGGTGATCCACCCACCTCAGCCTTCCAAAATGTTGGGATTACAGGCGTAAGCCACTGTGCCCGGCATAGAAATGCATTTCTTATAGTTCTGGATGCTGGAAAGTCCAAGATCAAGGTGCCAGCATCTGGTGCCTGGTAAGGGAGAACCCACTCCCTCAAGCCCGTTTATAAGGACACTAATCCCATTTTGAAGGCTCCACCCTTGTGACT
This sequence comes from Homo sapiens, assembly GCF_000001405.40. NCBI lineage: Eukaryota > Metazoa > Chordata > Mammalia > Primates > Hominidae > Homo > Homo sapiens. Next base: position 16,890,668 of record NC_000009.12, read on the forward strand.
TAATCACCTCCTAAAGGCCTATTTATTTATTTATTTATTTATTTATTTATTTTTGAGATGGAGTCTTGCTCTGTCTTCCAGGCTGGAATGCAGTGGCATGATCTCAGCTCACTGCAACCTCTGCCTCCCAAGTTCAAGTGATTCTTCTGCCTCAGCCCCCTGAGTAGCTGGAACTACCGGTGTTCACCACCACACGTGGCTAATTTTTGTATTTTTAGTAGGGACAACGTTTCGCCATGTTGGCCAGGCTGGTCTCAAACTTCTGACCTCAGGTAATTTGGCTGCCTTGCCTCCCGAAGTGCTGGGATTACAGGTGTGAGCCACCACGCCTGGCCAAGGGCTCTCCTTTTAATACTATTACATTGGCCATTAAGTTTCAACCACATGAATTTTGGGAGATACTTTTAGAACGTAACAGACAGTGAAAATACATGAACAGACATTTTTCCCAAAAGATATACAATTGATCAGTGAGCAGAGGAACATCATTAGACATCAGGGAAATCTAGATTAAAAACTACACGGAAAACATGCTACAACATGGATGAACCCTGAGGACGTTATGCTAAATGAAATAAGCCAGTCACGAAAGGACAAATACTGTATGATTCCACTGATAAGGAGGTACCTAGAGTTTTCAAACTCATAGAGACAGAAAGTAGAATAATTGTTGCCAGGGCCTGGGGTCAGAAGGAAGGAGAGTTATTTACTTTTTTTTTTTTTTGAGATGGAGTTTTGCTCTTATTGCCCAGGCTGGAGTGCAATGGCATGATCTTGACTCACCACAGCCTCCCGGGTTCAAGCGATTCTCCTGCTACAGCCTCCCGAGTAGCTGGGATTACAGGCAGGCGACACCACGCCTGGCTAATTTTTTGTATTTTTAGTAGAGACGGGGTTTCTCCATGTTGGTCAGGCTGGTCTCGAACTCCCGACCTCAGTTGATCCACCCGCCTGGACTTCCCTAAGTGCTGGGATTCCAGGCGTGAGCCACCACGCCTGGCGAGAATTATTATTTAATAGGTACAGCGTTTCAATTTTCACAATATGAAGAGTTCCGTGGGTGAATAGTTGTGAAAGGAGCACAACAGTGTGAAAAGAACTTATTGCCACTAAACTGTATACTTAAAATGGCATAGATGGTGAATTTCGTATTATGTATATTTTACATAATAGAAGACAATATTGATGTTAGGGTATATGCCTTAAACTGGCAGTTTAAGGCCCCAGACCTGATTTTGACCCTTACCTGCTGCATGACACTAGGCAAGTTATATAGGACATTTGAGCCGCTAGGTCATCACCAGGGAAATTACTGTAATAAAACTTAACCCACTATTGTATAAACCCAGAGTATGTTACAGGGTTTTTTCTACTTTAAGGCATTGTAGAAAAGCAACTTGTAATAACAGATACTAACGTAAATAACAGCCATTTGATAATACCTGATGAAGGGTGTGAGGAACAGGCATACTCACACATTACTGTTATAAGTGTAAATTGGTTTAGCAGCTAGAGAAATCCATTTGGCAATATTTTTCAAAATTGGAAATGCATATATCCTTTGAGCTTCTAGGAAATTCCAGATACACTTCCACTTGAGGAAAGCGACATAGTAATCCACTGTAGCTTTGTTTAAATAGCAAAAGACAGAAAAACAATCTAAGCGTCCATTCAATAGGATACTGAATAAATAAGTGATGGCACATGGAATACCACGGAATACTATGCAGCTCTAAAAGAGAATGCAAATCTCTTTAGATATTGAATGGAGTAAGATATAATAAGGAAAAAAAGCAAGGTGAAAAACAGCATATGTAGTATGCTACCTTTTGTGTAAAAAAGGAGAGAAAGGGAATATCTCTATGTATTTGCACATATGTGGATAAAATATTTCTCGAACATAGAGGAAAATGATAACACTAATATTCAGAGAGGGAGATATGAGTGAGAGTGAGACCGTTTTTTCAGAGACAGAGTCTCATTCTGTTGCCCAGGCTGGAGTGCAATGGCATGACCATAGTTCACTGTAACCTCAAACTCCTGGGCTCAGATGATCCTCCCACCTTAGCCTCCTGAGAAACTAGGACTACAGGCATGTGTCATCATTCCCAGCTAATTTTTATTTATTTATTTATTTATTTATTTTTGTAAAGACAGTGTCTCGCATGTTGCACAGGCTGGTCTTGAACACCTGGGCTCAAGCCATCTGCCCACCTTGGCCTCCCAAGATTACAGGCCTCCCAAGATTACAGGCGTGAGCTACTGTGTCTGGCCTAACTTAAATTGACATATAGAAAAAGGACCCTGTGGCTGGGTGTGGTGGTTTACACCTGTAATCCCAGCACTTTGGAAGGCCGAGGCGAGTGGATCACCTGAGGTCAGGAGTTCAAGACCTGCCTGGCCAACATGGAGAAACCCCATCTCTACTAAAAAATACAAAAAATTAGCTGAGCATGGTGGCAGGCACCTGTAATTCCAGCTGCTCGGAAGGCTGAGGCAGGAGAATTGCTTGAACCCGGGAGGCAGAGGTTGTGGTGAGCAGAGATCACGCCATTGCACTCCAGCCTGGGCAACAAGAGTGAGACGCCGTCTCAAAAAGAAAAGAAAAGAAAAGAAAAAGGACCCTGTATAAACTTCAGGTATGAGAAGAGCTGGGTTTTGACCCAATATTGATCATCTGTAGCAATGAAATAGGAATTCTGAAATGCAAAAACAACCACTGTGAAGGACTAGTTTTTACATAGCAAGTGTAGTAGCTTGCAAAGCATGGAACAAAACCCACCTGTAAGGCCAGAGGAAAGTTTCCTCTCTGCCCTCTAAAGGTTCCTTGAAATAAAACTGACAATAGGCAGATTAATAGAGAAAAAGGCCTACAAATTTATGTAATGTGCATAAGCATGGGGAATCACAGGAGAACGATACCCAGTAACCAAATAGGTTCCAGATGCTTATGTACCCTTTTTCATAGAGGAAAGGGAGAAGGGGCAAATGTGGTTATTTTGAGGGGGTAGTAAATGATTTTCAGGTAGAATGAATGGGCCCAATGATCAGAGAATGGTTAGTATATAGTTACCTGGGAAATGAATGGGAGCTCAAAATAGACAAAGTTCCTCTTTGTTCCAGGTGTAGTGTTAAATCATCAGTCTGTTCCTCTCTGATATGAATTTTCATCTCTGGTTTGTGAAATTTCAGGGGGAGGATTAAAGGCAACTGTGTTATTCTTTGGCGGGTCTGTTTTTTTGTTAGATAAGGGAATTTCAGAGAACAGCCTCATCCTGTGCTTTGGAAGAGGCAGAGGATTGAGGGGTGATGTGGTGGGGTGGTCAGAGACACCTTAAGGCTGCGTCTTTAGTTCGACATGTCAAAATGCCGCATTTTGGGGTATCCTTTCCTGAGCCCCAACACATCCATCCTGGTATGTCCTCATCTTTGCCATGTGGCTTCTCTGCCACTTTCATCAAGAGGTGCAGTCTGTTTCTCCAATCCTGTGAATCTGGGTGGACCTTAAGTCTTGCTTTGATCAGTAGAATGTGGGAGACGTGATGTTAAGCAATTCCCGAGGCTTGACCTCAACGGGCCTTGCAGCTTCCTCTTTCACTCTCTTGGAGCATTGCCCTGAGAACATGTGAGGGGGCTGGTCTACCCTACCAGAGGATGAGAGGCCACTTAAAAAAGAAGCAAGATGGCCAGGCACGGTGGCTCACACCTGTAATCCCAGCACTTTGGGAGGCCGAGGTGGGCAGATCACAAGGTCAGGAGTTCAAGACCAGCCTGGCCAACATGGTGAAACCCCGTCTCTACTAAAAATACAAAAATTAGCCGGGTGTGGTGGTGCACGCCTGTAATCCCAGCTACTCGGGAGGCTGTAGCAGGAGAATTGCTTGAACCTGGGAGGCAAAGGTTGCAGTGAGCTGAGATCACCCCACTGCACTCCAGCTTGGGTGACAGAGCAAGACTCCATCTCGGGGGAAAATAAATAAATAAATAAATAAATAAATAAATAAAATAAGAAGCAAGATGCCCAGCCCACAGCCAACGCCAACTGCCATTCCTGTGAGTGAGGCTAGCCTCTCCAACCCAGCGACTCTCCCACTGGTCATCCTCTAAAACCAGTCAGTAAACAGCCCAGCCAACCCACGGAATTGTAGGAATTAATAAATTGTTGTTTTATGCCATTTCAGGGTTGCTTCTTGCCAGAACAGACTAACTCAATTAGTAAGGTACTTTTATTTTTATCTAGCACAAATTGTAACCTGAGCCAGGGTAGGTTCCTTGTTTGTTTTATGCCGTCACTGGTATCTCTACCACTGTGCCTATTACAGTCCACCACACATACTGTAGGCACTCAATAAATACTTGTTAACTAGTCCCAACACACATATTAGCCTTTGGGTATATTTATATTTCTAAATGTACTAATTTACTAATTTGCAAACTGCTGAAAATCAACGTAATTATCATCAACAATTTGCATCGCTCTCATATCACAAGTGAAACAATAGAACATGTAATTGGGATATTACTCCCTGGCTGCAGTGGATTATAACAACGGTCATGATAATGCCGGTAAGATTATACAGCAAGCTATCCCTCAAACGTAGGTTAATAAATGAACCAGTGGACTTCTGCAAGTGAAACCCTAAGACGATTTTTTAAATTGCCACTAAAATTGTACTGGGTAGGGTCGTAATAAACAGATCAATGAATCTTGGCAATGGACCACACATCCTTCTACTGATAAACTAATGATGGCTTGCAACTTGTTTACATAGCTGTCTCACTTAATACCAAGATCACAAAAACTGATCCAAGTTAACAACAATAAATATGCTGCTTGGGAAGGAAAGCAAAAGCAAATAAGGAAACAGGAAAATATTAGTATAAAATCAGTTATCTCCATGGTAAGGAGCTTCACAGACGCTAGTTCACTCATTCAAGCTATCACTACCACTTTGATGTCAAATCAGAAGACACTTGGCATGTCACCAAATGTGATTCCAGTAATGGACCACTAATGTGCTTGATCAGCAGAGGGTATGCTGCCACTAAAAACACACCAGTCTGAACTGCAAACTATGTATACATGTGTCTATTCCAAGAGGCTTTCAGATGTATTGCCTCTCATTATTATTCTCAGAATCTTCGGGAAACTAGGTACAAGATATTGGACAGGTCTGTGTGATCCAGGGAGTCAGTATTGGAGCAGAGACTAAAATGAGTCGTCCACATTCAGATTGTATACAGCAAGATGCTGCTAGTAAGAGAATTCTTACAGAGCACAGTTAGAGGTAAAGAAAGAGAATCAACTATCCCACATGGTTTTCCTTCATTTCAGGGGTACAGCCTCAGCCAACTCACCCATCCTAGAAGAAACTCATATATGGTGTGACTGGCATGTGGAGTACCGAGAACATTAATAAGAAATAAATTCATTTGTCATAAGCTGGTTACCTTGAGGATGCAAGTTCTCCAAGCTGGTTACCTTGAGGATACAGACACCTGTAATCCCAGCTACTTGGGAGGTTGAGGCAGCAGAATCACTTGAACCCAGAGGCAGAGGTTATAGTGAGCTGAGATCACGCCATTGCACTCTAGCCTGGGCGACAGAGCGAGACTCTGTGTCAAAAGAAAAGAAAAGAAAAAACTGGTCATCAGTCACCCCTCTGGGATGAACCAACTTTAAGGTGCAAGACTGGAATGAATTGAACCATAAAAACCCTTCAAGCCCCCTGTGTGAGGACCTCAAACTTGCAATAAAAAACCCAAGTGCTGGATCTGCTGCTTTTGTCTACAAACGGAGATGCCAACCAATAACTGAATGCTTCAGAGTCAGATTTCCGTAGACCAGTTTTCTTTTCTTTTCTTTTCTTTTTTTCCTAAGATGCACTCTTGCTCTGGTGCCCAGGCTGGAGTGCAGTGGTGCGATCTCAGCTTAGTGCAACCTCCACCTCCGGGTTCAAACGATTCTGCTGCCTCAGCCTCCTGAGTAGCTCGAATTACAGGCGCCTGCCACCACGCCTGGCTAATTTTTGTATTTTTAGTAGAGATGGGGTTTTGCCATGTTGGCCAGGCTGGTCTCGAACTCCTGACCTCAGGTGATCCCACCCTCCTCGGCCTCCCAAAGTGCTGGGATTATAGGCGTGAGCCACCACATCCAGCCCATAGGCCAGTTTTTAATTACCTGCCTTTACCTCACAACCTCTCCCTCCCCATTTCAGTCTCACCCTAGTGAAAGACGTTATACCCCCACACAGCTTCTGTTTCTTATCTCCTCTGGGAGAGCCGCAGGACACATGCTTGTAGAATAAATGTGGAAAGAAAGAGACACCTTAGCAAAGAAAAACTGGGAGTGGGTGAGAGAAGAAATTCTTTTTTTTTTTTTTTTTTTGAGACAGAGTCTCACTCTGTCACCCAGGTTGGAGTGTAGTGGCATGATCTCCGCTCACTGCAAGCTCTGCTTCCCAGGTTCAAGCGATTCTCCTGCCTCAGCCTCCCGAGTAGCTGGGACTACAGGCGCCCACCACCACACCCAGCTAATTTTTGTTTTTTGTTTGGTAGAGATGGGGTTTCACCATGTTAGCCAGGATGGTCTTGATCTCCTGACCTCGTGATCTGCCCATCTTGGTGCTGGGATTACAGGCGTGAGCCACTGCACCCGGCAGAAATTCTAAATGAAGAAAGCCATCCCTTTTCCTGGGGTCTCTTAAATTTCGTACGTTTTGAGTGTTAAGACATGAGAGGTGCTTTTGGGAACTCGGAGCTGCCTTTCACTCCAGAGAATATGATTTTCGAATTCTGTAATTTTAAAACTTTATAATTAAAAAGTAAATGCACTCTGGGTTTTAAAGTGAAAATCTCATAGAATTGGGTAATGTAGAACATAAGTCACTTTCATCCATACTACACCCCTTGGCTCCTGTTCATATCGTAGTGCAGTGCGTATTCCTGACTCTGGAGAATACCCAGAGGAAGGAATCTAGAACCTAACATGACTGGGGCTGGCTAGAAGCTTAGAGGAAGAAGGTGCAGGCTAACTGTATTAGTCCATTCTCCTGCTTCTAATAAAGACATACTGGAGACTGAGTAATTTACAAGGAAAGAAGTTTAATAAAGTCACCATTCCACATGGCTGGGGAGGCCTCACACTCCTGGTAAAAGATGAAGGAAGGGCAAAGGCATGTCTTACATGGTGGCAAGCAAGAGAGCTCATGCAGGGGAATTCCCATTTATAAAACCATCAGATCTTGTGAGACTTATTCACTACCATGAGAAAACTATGGGGAAAACCGCCCCCATGATTCAGTTATCTCCACCTGGCCCCACCCTTGACACATGAGGATTATTACAATTCAAGGTGAGATCTGGGTGGGACACAACCAAACCATATCAGTTTCCATGCCATTTATTTAACTTATTTATTTTATTTTAGTTTTTGAGACAGTCTCACTCTGTCGTGCATGCTGGAGTGCAGTGGCATGATCTCGGCTCACTGCAACCTCTGCCTCCCAGGTTCAAGCTATTCTCGTGCCTCAGCCTCCCAAGTAGCTGGGACTACACGCGTGCACCACTGCGTCCAGTCCCCCACGCCATTTAAATGTCTCTTCAGAATTCTGAACATCCTGCTTCAGAGTAGGGAAGCAGAAAAAGGTTCTGGATAAAAATCCTATTCAGTAATAGATACCTGGGATGGTGGTTGGCAAGCCCCTTGACGAAAGGAAATCCTCAACCACTTAAATGGATATTATCTTCATTAACTCTGACGCATGTGACAGTAACTGGAAAATATGCTTTCCTCTCTATCCAAAGTCCCTGCTGAAACCCTTATTTCTTCCATTCAGTTTTTGCATCCACTTACTGTTCATACCATTCATTTTAGCCTGCAGAGACACTAACCTGTTGCCTTACATACATTGACACTCAAATCTTTATCAGATGAATGGATGGCAAAAACCCTTCACTGGGTTCAGGAAATGTGGCTTAAAATGAAACTGATAAAAATATCAGACTCAGGGTTAGAAATCTTCAACAGTGCATTGAGTGCGTTAAATAGTGGAGCCTTACAGCAAGAGAGACTCACATTTGAAACATAAGTTACTTAATGATGCTTAGAGGAATTCACGTCTGCTTATTTTACTATAACAGGAAGATAAAATTATTCATTAAATGTCTTCTGAGAGGTTGTTGAGTATAGGGAACGTATCTTTTCTGCCCTGAGTCCCTCAGCACTGAGCATACTGCCTAGCACATAATTGGTACTCAATAAATGCCGGTTGAATTATTGAGTGACCAAAGAAAGACTCCATCGAAATGAATGCCTGGGAATAACTGAGAAATTCTTCAAATATTGTGTAGAATACAGCAATATCTCAAATTTCAGAGCTAAAATAGTTTCTGTAATGGTATAAATTTGGGAAGTATGGTCAGTATCTGAGAGAAAAAAATAAAGTAATTGTTATTTTAATTCTTATGTGGTAAAATATGTTCTTTAAAAAAGCTAGTAAATTTCCATTTTATGCTTGTGATAGAGCTTGAAGAAGAATAAAGATGAGTGATAAGAATGAGCTTTTGTTTTTTTAAACAAGTAGGCTGTTTAAAAATTAAGAGGTTTTTTTATTAGAGTGCTAGTTAAATTTTTTAAAATCTCCATTGTCTGCCCTTTTTATTTCAAGAGGAGGAATAACTAAGACCAAGAGATTTTAGCATGATTTGGGGTCATCATGTTCATCTTGAGCCCTTTTGGGGAAAACATCCACAAAATAAATTTGCAGTTCTCTGGCTTTTGACTCTTAAGCTACAAAGAAATAAAATTTAGAGACTAATATGTCTCTCAGAAAAGGTAATTTAATTATTTTCTTCTTATGCCTTTATATTTGTAAACTCTACTAGCATTATGGCATCAGTGGAACATTTTTATATGAAAACAATGGAAATGTTTCCTTATATTGACAAGTCGTTGTTCAGAATGAAAAGCAGTGTCTGTTCTCAATTTTCAAGTCTTGAAGTGTTGATAAACACAGGAATGCTTGAGCCAAGACCCATCCCTACCAGAGCCTATTTGTTTCACTGAGAGGAAACAAGATACACAAAAGGAAACATTAAAACCTTACACTACGAGTCAGCTATGAATAGAATCTAATAGTGGCTCCCTGTTGCCCTGGAAAGAGAGGTTGCCTAAACACAACCTGGGTTTAAATGCAGATTCTTCTATCCACCAGCTACATAACTTTCTCACAATTATGTGACCTCTGCAATGTGGAATCCTCCTCAGGAAAATGGCTTTAAGAACACTGGCTTCCTGAGGTTGAAATTATTAAATTTAACAAAGGAAAAGTATCTTTAAAAAAAAAAGAAGTAGCTAACACATATTGAGTGCTGTATGCTCTTGTATGATGCTGTGGACATTTCACTTACTGTTATAACATACATTTTCAGAGAAGGCATTGAGACTTAGAGAGGTTGACTATTGGTTTGAGGGCACACAGTGACCTGAGATCTGTCTGAATCCAGGACATATCTTTAACCACCACATTTTATGCCAACAGTTTCCCCTCTAGTAAGAGAAATAAGAATAACATAAATAATAATCTACCTTAAAATACAGCAAGTGCCATAAAAGAAGTCAAAAAGGGAAAATGGAAGAATGGAGAGATTATTTCCAGCTTGTGGATCTTTATGACAAAGCTCTTGATAAGAACTGAGTTTGGCCGGGTGCGCTGGCTCCCGCCTGTAATCCCAGCACTTTGGGAGGCCAAGGCAGGCGGACCACGAGGTCAGGAGATCGAGACCATCCTGGCTAACACGGTGAAACCCCGTCTCTACCAAAAATACAAAAAATTAGCCGGGCGAGGTGGCGGGCGCCTGGAGTCCCAGCTACTCGGGAGGCTGAGGCAGGAGAATGGCGCGAACCTGGGGGGCGGAGCTTGCAGTGAGCCGAGATCGCGCCACTGCACTCCAGCCCGGGCGACAGAGCGAGACTCCGTCTCAAAAAAAAGAGAAAGAAATAAAATAAAATAAAAAATAAAAGAGCTGAGTTCAAAGAAGGAAAACTGAAAGATGTGGTGGGTTTTTGGAGTCTGAAAAACGTACTTTATCTAAGTGGCAATCTGGGGAAAAGCCTACACATTGCCATTCCTAATGGCTCCTCATGACAATTTTTCATCCCTAATGGCATAAAAATCCAGTTTAAATCAGTGACTCAACTTCAAAACCTTGAATAAAGATTCTTAAGATATTCAAGATTTACTCTCCCAGCCGACTCCCCCAACATGCCGGGGAATTGGATACATTCTCAAGCAGCAGAGGCTTAGAATAGTAGTGACTTTTTTTTTTTTTTTTTGAGACAGATCTCGCTCTGTCGCCCAGGCTGGAGTGCAGTGGCGTGATCTCGGCTCACTGCAAGCTCCGCCTCCCACGTTCACGCCATTCTCCTGCCTCAGCCTCCCGAGTAGCTGGGAGTACAGGCACCCGCCACCATGCCCGGCTAATTTTTTGTATTTTTAGTAGAGATGAAGTTTCACTGTGTTAGCCAGGGTGGTCTCGATTTCCTGACCTCGTGATCTGCCCGCCTCTGCCTCCCAAAGTGCTGGGATTACAGGTGTGAGCCACCGTGCCCGGCCCGTGACTTTTTAAAGTAGTGATTTTTTTTTGGCCAGGCGCGGTGGCTCACACTTTGAGAGGCCAAGGCGGGTGGATCACGAGGTCGGGAGTTCGAGACCAGCCTGGCCAACACAGTGAAACTCCGTCTCTACTAAAAATAGAAAAATTAGGTGGGTATGGTGGCAGGCACCTGTAATCCCAGCTACTCAGGAGGCTGAGGCAGTAGAATCGCTTTAACCCGGGTAGCAGAGGTGGCAGTGAGCCAATATCACTGCACTGCATTCCAGCCTGGGTGACAGACCTAGACTCCATCTCAAAAAAAAAAAAAAAAAAGTAATTTTTTCTCACTTCTGACTCAGGAATACTCCAGGTTGACTCCTGGTTTCCGGGCCAGCCCAACAACCTGGCTGTATCTCCCTATTTCAATTTTTGGTCCTCTGACTCATTCCCTTAGCCCTTCTTTCTGCTACAAGTTTGGTTAATTCTGATAAAAGTAATAATGCCCAATACTGTACCCATATGTTAGCTTTTAAATTGTGGCCTTCCAAGTGAAGTTAGTAATGGGAAATGATTTGTCATCAAAGGCGTTGCATAATCTCACAAATGTATCATGTAGGCAGCTATTTGCCCCATAATCACATGACCAATCTTCATCACCAAAGACACAGATTCTACCCCCAAGCAATATAATTAATCTATACAACATTGGTTACTATTGTTTTGCTTCAAATAGGTTATGACAGATCCTGACATCTGTCCTTCTCAAAGGATAAACTCAGCATTCTCTAATCTCAAGAATGGAACCACTTTGACATGTACTTTTTACTCCATTACGCTATAAGCTCCCCGAGAGCAAGGACCCTATTTATTTATTTATTTATTTATTTATTTATTTTAATACTTTTTTATTATACTTTAAGTTCTAGGGTACATGTGCACAACGTGCAGGTTTGTTACATATGTATACATGTGCCATGTTGGTGTGCTGCACCCATTAACTCGTCATTTACATTAGGTGTATCTCCTAATGCCATCCCTCCCCTCTTCCCCCCACCCCACAACAGGCCCCGGTGTGTGATGTTGCCCTTCCTGTGTCCAAGTGTTCTCATTGTTCAACTCCCATCTATGAGTGAGAACATGTGGTGTTTGGTTTTTTGCAAGGACACTATTTCTTATTCTAATATTTCTAGCGCTCAGGATGACTGAGTAGCCATTGTAGATACTCAAAAAATGAATGTTGAATGAATAAATCTGCTTATCAAGTTTCCTTAGACCTATATACTTCTGTGCTTTTACCCTATGTGCAATAACAGAAATAAGAAAATGGGAAGGCTCTCAGATATCTCCTAGGTCTATTTTCTTTCAAACAGGTGTGTTTACCCATAGGCACTTAAGAAACCTGCTGCGTACTGTCATGTCTCAATTATCTTTGGCTACAGGAGATTGAGAAACCAGTTATACACCGTTATATATATGCAGAGGAAGGGACACTACAGATAAATAAACTACTTACAGACTTCTTACTTTGTTGCTGTTGTTGTTTTTTGAGATTTAGTCTCGCTCTGTTGCCCAGGCTGGAGTGCTATGGTGTGATCTCAGCTCATTGCAGCCTCCACCTCCCAGGTTCAAGTGATTCTCCTGCCTCAGCCTCCCAAGTAGCTGGGATTACAGGCACCCGCCACCATGCCTAGCTAATTTTTGTATTTTTAGTAGAGACGGGGTTTTATCATGTTGGCCAGGCTGGTCCCAAACTCCTGACCTCAGGTGATCCGCCAACCTCAGCCTTCCAAAGTGCTGAGATTACAGGCGTGAGCCACCATACCCAGCTTCAAATCACTTTGAAGACTTCATTTCTTTTATTTTTATTTATTTATTTTTTTGAGATGGAGTCTCACTCTGTCACCCAGGCTGGAGTGCAGTGGCGCGATCTCAGCTCACTGCAAGCTCTGCCTCCCAGGTTCACGCCATTATCCTGCCTCAGCCTCCCAAGTAGCTGGGACTACAGGTGCCCGCCACCACACCCAGTTAATTTTTTGTATTTTTGGTAGAGACGGGGTTTCACAATGTTAGCCAGGATGGTCTCAATCTCCTGACCTCGTGATCCGCCCGCCTCGGCCTCCCAAAGTGCTGGGATTACAGGCGTGAGCCACCGCTCCCAGCCTGAAGAATTCATTTCTTCTCCCCGTAAGCCTTTTATTCAATAAATAAATAAATAAATAATTTACTTGTTTTATTTGAAGAAAGATGTCTCAATACTTTTATATATTATTTTTTCTTTTTAGAGTGGAAGCTCTATTATTGACCGAGACAATGGGGATTACCATCTATGGCAGAGACACAGCTCATTGCCCACCAAAGATTTGTGTAACCCACTTCCATGGTGTAGAGTTGTCAGTGACTAGACAGGTCAGTGACCACATTTACCAACCCTTTATATCTAGGTGGAAATGTGACCCCACCCGTTAAGAAGTGTGCTCTCAACCCTCTCTTTCCCTATCTGTGGACTCATCATCAAGGAATCTGAAGCCCTACAAGATGGTGGAGGCACAAGATAGAAGGACCCTTGTCCCACAGTTACCATATAGAGGAAAAAGTCAGCAGTCAACTCTTCTGTTACGTAAGCAAGACATACATTTTTATTGCACGCGGCCACTAAAGTTGGTGAGTTTATCTGTCATGGCAGTTAGTGTGATTCATGTGTGATGTTTTTCTTTCACCCAATCTCTGTTGGAGGTGCAGGAACAATTCTGACACTTTGTCTAAGGCACATCGTTATTAGCTCCATAACCAAAAATGAAATGTGGAATTAGGGTGTCAGATTGTCCGTGTTCAGGTCTCAGGAGACAAGTTAGAGGGCATGTCTGAATGCTGACAAAGGTGTGCTGTGAGCCAAGGGTGACAGAGGAGGCCAGGAGCCAACAAGGGGGAAGGCAATTGCTAAGGTGTGAGGCAGAAAAAGAGCAGAAGCTGTTGTCTAACAGTGTATGTTTTAGATTCCAGATTTTAGAGGGAGGGTTCTAAACTAAAGGAAGAGATTGAAGGCTGGCCTTCAGACTTGTAGCTGGAACAGAGTGAGCATTCTGAGTATAGACTAGCAGTGCACCTGAGGCTGTCCAACAGAGTCTGGCGGCAGAAAGAGCAGGAAACCAGGCAGGTGGGACACTAAACCCCTGAGAGCCAACTGGGATATAGAATCCCAGAGACCTGAAGGGTATGGAGAAACTCCAGGTAACTGAGAGCCTTGATCAAAAAAGGCCCATATGGCTGACCTTTTTCGTTATGGTATTTAGGGATCTGTTATTTGATAATGCCATTGAAACACCAGGCTCTGGCTTCAGCCCTTGAGCACAGTCAATAGAAAATGATTTCTACACATCTCCGGAGTGAGAGCCACAGGCATGATGTTTGGTGGACCTTTATTGGCTCTAGAAAGGGAAGAGCAGCCTTCTCCTGGTTACTTATTGCAAATATGCGGGACGGCCCTGGGACCTGGGGCAAAGACTGACACAGATGCCCTGCCGTTTGGATGAATAGCTGTCTTAGCCAGCTCCATAAGACCAATCATTCTACAGCTGACTGTGCACCAGGAGCAAATTAGAACGAAACTGAAAACTGATAGGTCTAGTGTTTTACCTCACCTGCATCTATAGCAAAGCTATATGGCTGCAACCCCAAAGAACTGGTTAAAGTTCTGAAGATTGAAATGAACATTACTGTATAAAATATTTTCTATTCCTCTGTTTACTACATATGAATGTATGTAGTAAAAGATTTGGGAAGGTGAAAGACAATAGTTATTACTGTGGTGTGGAAAAACTAATACTGAACTTCTCTGCCTGAGTTTTAGCCTCCTATTTGCCCAGCTTTCTTTCTGTTTTCTTTCTTTTCTTTTCTTTCTCTCTCTCTCTTTCTTTCTTTCTCTCTTTCTTTTTTTTTTTTTTTTTTTTTTTTGAGATGGAGTCTCACTCTGTCCCAGGCTGCAGTGCAGTAGCACGATCTTGGCTCACTGCAACCTCCACCTCCCAGGTTCAAGCGATTCTCCTGCCTTAGCATCCTGAGTAGCTGGGATTAGAGGCGTGTGCCACCAGGACCAGCTTATTTTTGTATTTTTAGTAGATACGGGGTTTCACCACACTGGCCAGGCTGGTCTCGAACTCCTGACCTCGTGATCCACCCGCGTTGGGCTCCCAAACTGCTGGGATTGCAAGTGTGAGCCACCGCGCCCGACCTCTTGCCCTTTTCTTACTCAGTGTCTGCCCCATTCCCATCCCATCCTAATGATTTAGAATTTTATTATGCAAAGTAGTCAGCTGCTTACAGCTTCGGCTTCTTAATTCTTTTTTTTATTTATTTTTTTTATTTTATTTATTTTTTTTTTTTGAGACGGAGTCTCGCTCTGTCGCCCAGGCTGGAGTGCAGTGGCGGGATCTCGGCTCACTGCAAGCTCCGCCTCCCGGGTTCACGCCATTCTCCTGCCTCAGCCTCCCAAGTAGCTGGGACTACAGGCGCCCGCCACTACGCCCGGCTAATTTTTTGTATTTTTAGTAGAGACGGGGTTTCACCGTTTTAGCCAGGATGGTCTCGATCTCCTGACCTCGTGATCCGCCCGCCTCGGCCTCCCAAAGTGCTGGGATTACAGGCGTGAGCCACCGCGCCCGGCCTAATTCTTTACCCTCACTATGCAGTTGCGCATACTCAAAGCCAGCCAGCTACACATTGAGCTGTCTGTTCTGATTCTCACTCTCCAGCCCCAGCCAGCTTCTGCAAAGGAGGGCAGCAATGTAGCTGGTCCTTTCCCAACTAGGGTTGACAGATTTAAGCAAATAAAAATACAAGACAGGGGAAAGAGAGGAGATGATTAGGCAGAGAATGGAGAATTTTTAGAGCAATAGAAATACTCTGTACGATTTTGTAATGAAGGGTGCATATCATTATACATTTGTCCAAACCCATGGAATGTACAACACCAAGAGTTAACGCTAATGTAAACTATGGACTCTGGAAGATAATGATGTATCAATGTAGGTTGTCAATTGTAACGAACCACTCTGATGGGGAATGTTGATCGTGGAGAAGGCATGTGTAGAGGCAGGGGACGCATGGGAAGTCTGTGTACCTTCCTGTTAATTTTGCTGTGAACCTAAAACTATTCTAAAAAAAAAAAGTCTTAAAAATAAAGGATGGCCAATTAAATTTGAATCGCTTTCTTTCCCTGAGTGTGTGTGTGTGTGTTTGTGAGAGAGAGAGAGAGAGACAGGGTCTTGCTCTGTGCAGCGTCTTACTGCAGTCTTGAATTCCCTAGGCTTAAGCAATCCTCCCACGTCAGCCTCCCAGTAGCTGACTCTACAGGTGTGCACCACCACGCCTGGCTAATGTTTTGTATTTTTAGTAGAGATGGGGTTTCACCATGTTGCCCAGGCTGGTCTTGAACTGCTGGACTCAAGCAATTTACCTATCTTAGCCACCCAAAGTGCTGGATTTGCAGGTGTGTGCCACTGCACCCAGCTACATTTGCAGTTCATTAGACAATAAGTAATTCTTTAGTACATGTTGCATGGAACATATTTATAATACAAATGTATTTGTTGTTTATCTGAAATTCAAATTTAACTGGGTGTCCTGTATTTTATCTGGCAAACTTATGTCCCCAGTGACACTAATTCAGCCAGCTTCCTTCAAAAGTAGAACCAGTTATATTCATTCTGGGTGGAAATGCATTCTTTTTCTTTTTTAAAAATTAAATTTAGCACAGAACATTGCTTAGCTTGTTGTAGATACTCAGTAGATATTATGAATGAATCACTGAGTGGCTCCTCTTTAACCCTGGAGGTAGCTTAGAGTGCCTTTTAAACGCTAGCAACTAGAACAGTGGGGTGGGGGTGAGGATGATAAAAAGCAACTTTGCTTCCAATGTGTTTTCTAAAATTTATACTTGAGGATTAAGCTACTGTCATATTATGAAGTGCAAAAATTGTTGCCATGAAGACGAACTAGTTTAAGAAAAGACTTTGGATGAATTTACATTTTGACTACTTAGAATTTTTTTGATCAAGTTTTAAAATATATCTTTTGGCTGGGTGCGGGGCTCACGCCTGTAATCCCAGCACCTTGGGAGGCCAAGGCAGGTGGATCACTTGAGGTCAGGAGTTCGAGACCAGCCTGGCCAACATGGTGAAACCCTGTCTCTACTAAAAATACAAAAATTAGCCAAGCATGGTGGCAGGCACCTGTAATCCCAGCTACTCAGGTGGCTGAGACAGGAGAATCGCTTGAACCTGGGAGGCGGAAGTTGCAGTGAGCTGAGATTGAGCCACTGCACTGCGTCCTGGGTGACAGAGCGAGACCCTGCCTCAAAAAAATATATATATATATAATATATATTACATAATATATAATATATATAATATATATTACATAATATATAATATATATAATATATATTACATAATATATAATATATATAATATATATTACATAATATATAATATATATAATATATATTACATAATATATATTACGTAATATATAATATATATAATGTATATATTATATATTATATAATATATATAATGTATATATTATTACGTAATATATAATATATATAATGTATATATTATATATTATATAATATATATAATGTATATATTATATATTATATAATATATATAATGTATATATTATATATTATATTATATATAATGTATATATTATATATTATATAATATATAATGTATATATTATATATATATACACATACACACACATATATTTATATAAATGCATTGGATAAGTATTTGTCTTCATTTAGAACGTGATTTATGGCTTTGTCAGGACTATAAATTACATTCTAAATTTGGATCCAGATTTCTTATTTCTTTCCTTTTTTTTTTTGAGACAGAGTCTCACCATTGCCCAGTTTGGAGTACAGTGGCATGATGATAGCTCACTGCAGCCTCCAACTCCCTGGCTCAAGCAATCCTCCAGCCTCAGCCTCCCAAATAACTGGGATTACAGGCAGGTGCCACCACACCTGGCTAATTTTTGTATTTTTAGTAAAGATGGGGTTTCACCATGTTGACCAGGCTGGTCTTGAACTCCTGACCTCAGATGATTCACCATCCCCCTGGGCCTCCCAAAGTGCTGGGAGGAAGTGTGATTATAGTGTGAGCCACCACACCCTGCCCTCTTTTTGTGTCTTATAACTGCCAGATAAAAGGCATTCAATTAGTTTGGAAGAAAAAAATGAAGAAAAGAAGAATGAAAAAGAAGGGCAAGAGGGAGGGAGGGAGGGAGAGAGGGGAAGAGAGGGTGGGAAGGAAGGAAGGAAGGAAGGAAGGAAGGAAGGAAGGGACTTAATAATTCATGGAAAAAAGGAGAGAAAAACCAATACTTTTCATTCATATGAAATACTTTTTCAAAGAATGATCTCAAAATAAGCAAGACCCAAAGAATCATCAAAAGTGAATTATCTTATTTCAACGAACATAGAAAGCTCAGCAATTCAATTCACAAACTTCAATTCTAACTCATCAAACAGGTTTTGGAGCACCCACTACAGGCAAAGCCACCATAGTAAGCAGTGTTACATAGGTTGTTAAAAGATAAAGTTAGACACATTAAAATTTTAAGGCGTTTATTTGAGCAGACAGCGAGTGACCTGGCAGCACCTGACTGCAAGTGTTTCAGGGTTCCACTGAAGGTGCTTGAGAGGGAGACTTATTTTTATTTATTTATTTTTTGAGATGGAGTCTCGCTCTGTCGCCCAGGCTGGAGTGCAGTGGCATGATCTTGGCTAACTGCAACCTCTGCCTCCTGGGTTCAAGCAATTCTCCTACCTCAGCCTCCCGAATAGCTGGGACTACAGGTGCCCACCACCATACCTGGCTAGTTGTTTTTGTATTTTTAGCAGAGACGGGGTTTCACCATATTGGCCAGGCTAGTCTGGAACTCCTGACCTTGTGATCTGCTAGCCTCAGTCTCTCAAAGTGCTGGGATTACAGGCGTGGGCCACCGCACCCGGCCGAGAGGAAAACTTTTATAAGCATGGGAAGCTAGACAAGGAAAATATTTGGTTGGCTAAAGTGGAACAGTAACCTTAAAGTACCTAGTAGACATTAGTTGGTGGTTTCTGGTTGGTAAAGTCCGTAGTTAGAGGTTAGTTAGAGTTGTTGGTTTCTGACTCGTTAACTTACTCTGAGTTTGGCTTGCTCATGTAGGAACCCAGAATGCTGGAGAAAGCCATCTCAACTAATGGACTCCCAAATATTGTCTTGTAACAAGGTGAAATTAACATGTTGTCCTTTGAAAAATTTATTAACTAGTGTTTGTGGGGATGGAGGAAGGGAAAGAAAGAAAAGAAGTGTAATAATTAGTCAGCTTAAGTCAAGGTAAAATAAAATATGTGATATGGTTTGGCTGTGTCCCCACTCAAATTTCATCTTGAATTGTAGCTCCTGTAATTCCCGGGTGTGGGACAGACCCACTAGGGGGTACTTGAATCACGGGGGTCTTTCCTGTGCTGTTCTCGTAATAGTGAATAAGTCTCATGAGATCTGATGGTTTTATAAAGGGGGGTTCTCCTGCACATGCTCTGTCTTGCCTGCCACCATGTAAGACGTATCTTTGCTCCTTCTTTGCCTTCCACCATGATTGTGAGGCCTCCCCAGACATGTGAAACTGTGAGTCTATTAAACCTCTTTTTCTTTATAAATTACCCAGTCTCCGGTATGTCTTTATTAGCAGCATGAGAACAGACTAATACAATGTGTCATAGGAAAGGGACCTAAAAAGGAATGAAAGAAATCACATCCAGTTCTAGACATGAGGAGAGGCTATGCCACTTGAGTTAACTTTGAGCCAAGTCCAAAAGGTGGGTATTCTAACTAGAGAGCACAGCCTGAACAAAGACACAGAGGCAGGGAAATCCAAGGTCCCTGTGGGGACCCCAAGTGCAAACATTTTAGGTGGATATCACCCCAATAATCCCACCCACTTCTAGATATATCCCAAAGAATTGGCAACTGGAGAATGAAGCAGGTTAAAAGACAGGTAAATACAGCCGTCTTTCAGAGTCCTTTTATGAATGAAACAGGCTAGGAGTATATACATGTATGCATACCTACATGCTTGCATGTACACACAACATAAATATATAACATCTTTTAAAAGTGTTTCTCTTTATGGTTGAAAACTGCCCAGCACAAAAGCACTTTAACATCTTTATGCCAGTTACGCCTATGAGCTCCATCGCAGCGGAGGAAGTTTAACTCACATAGGAACTCCACAGTTGTGTTCTGGGAACATCTTCCATGTGCTTTTTGTTAACTAATATGTCAGAATATCAGGAAAACTGAGTTATAATGCTCAGTGCTGGAATGCTGAATCCTTAGCTACATATGCCTCCCAGCTACAATTTCATGCTTTTTGAGAAACTAATCCAGGCATTACATTATTGTCAGTGCCTCCCCAAATATTCCTTGCTAATTATTCTGCTTGTTTTCAAAGGTTCTCTTAGTACAGGTATTTCCTGTTTTATTTCAAAATTAATGATAAATGATAGGCTTTTGAAGATTTGGAGAATGAATTGTGGTCCAAGAAACATTTTTTTTTTAAATTATTGGATAGACATTGGCTAAAGTGTTCCAACAGTTTTCCTTCTCTCAAGTTGAAATGGTAACTATTTTTTTTCCACAGTCATAAATTCTTGAGGACTTAAATATATTTTGAGAAGTTTATTTGCAGAATATATTTTCAAAATGAAAGCATCACGATATATTTTCACAACGAGTAAAAGTCGCACTTTTGCATTCATTCAATTCTGTGGCATTGTCTCCATAATAGCTACCATTCTAGTACTTAATCATTTTAATATGGGTTAGTGCTTTTATTCTTTTTAATTGCCAAGGAAACTTAAGAGAAATGCTTTTGAATTGACAAATACCCATTTTAGGAAGTATCTGTCAATTTTTTTCACTGTCAGCATTGCTGGTGATGGAATGGTTTACAGAACATCCATTTCCTTTTATTTTTCCTTTAAGGAGATGATAGTATCTCAAGAAGTTACAAGGTAAATTACAGTCCAGTTTCCAATGTTAAAGCCATCAGTGCAAACCCTGATGGGCAAATAATGTCCTTGAAAGTTATTATTATTAAAAAAAATTTGCACTTCATATAGAAATTACAGTTTTATTCTTTGCCTGGGTTAGTCATAAGGGAGACGTTTTTCTTGGGTCCTAATGGGGTTCTACTTTACCCCTCAAATTGTACCTTGAACTTCCCCTTTTCTACAGTTTTGTACCCACTCTTGCCTCTTCTGACTCAGATTCTGTGCCCCAAAACCTGCACTATGCTTAAGATAAGAATGCTCTTTCTGGCCGAAAGTGAATATGACTGGCACCACTTGCACTCCCTGAAAACCTGGGCAGAGAACCAGAGAATCACACCTGGCACTCTGCTCCTGTCCAAGGAAGATGGAAACGGGGCATGTTGAACTTCAGCTGCCAACATGACTGAAGTTACCTGGCCCTCCACACGCCTTTGTTCTGGTCATGAAAGATCACAGTGACCTAAGGCCATACCCAAACCTGAAGGAGAGCCTCTCTTTTCCTTTGTATCACTGCCATGGCCTCTGAGATTATGAAAACTAATCTTATATTTGTAGCACTTTTTTTGGATCACCAGTTCTATAATAGAACTGAAAAAAAGTTTGTATGTATGCGTATATATGTGGGTACACACACACACACACACACACACACACATACGTACTCACATACATGTATGTATATCCTAAAAATAAACTTCTCAAAAAAATTAAGAGAATTGTTTTCAGAATTTCATTGTCATACTGTGTTCCTTTGGGCAACAAATAGAAATTTTAATACATTTAGATTAGAAAATTTAATACGATGTATTAAATGTAAGGACAATGATGTCCTTACATTTACCAAAGTTATTGAATTGCTTGTCGCAACCACCTGGTGGGTTGGCAGTTAGGTTTACATGCTGAGAAGTAGGAGGAAAAGTAGTAATGATTAAAAATACATTTAAGTGCTACTCTTGCCTCCAGCTGGTTTATTTTGGACATCATAAACCTTTTTTTTTCAGGATCCAATATTTGGGAGTATGCTTGAGAAAACAGAGCTTCAGGAAAAGCTAAGAACAACCTCGTTTTGGCTGACTCATTCTGACTTTAAAGTAATATGTCTTTATAGAACATGCTAAGAGTTCAAAGTCTACTTTTATATTTTCCATATTTCTTATTAGAGAAAAATATTATAACCCATGTATTTGTTTAATTCCTGCTTTTATTTCAATGGGATAAGCACAGCATCCTTTTGTCATGAAAGGAAACATGACAGCATAGTTTCTTTCTTATCATCTTCTTGGTGTTCCTTCAGCCCCACAAGCTACAGAAGTGGGGTTGAGGCTCTTATCAGACAAGCTGTCTCCATGCGCTAGTCTTAAAAAACATAGTAGATAGGAATAAAGTATAGAAACAAAGAATATTCAGCAGTGTTAGAACTGTGGCTCAGAAAGAATACAAACTTGGGTTGTAAATCTGTGCAAGATATTTAACATCTTTTTTTTTTTTTTTGAGACGGAGTCTCGCTCTGTCGCCCAGGCTGGAGTGCAGGGGCGCAATCTCGGCTCACTGCAAGCTCCGCCTCCCGAGTTCACGTAATTCTCCTGCCTCAGCCTCCCGAATAGCTGGGACTGCAGGCGCCCGCCACCCAGCCCTGCTAATTTTTTGTATTTTTAGTAGAGATGGGGTTTCACCGCATTAGCCAGGATGGTCTCGATCTCCTGACCTCGTGATCCACCTGCCTCGGCCTCCCAAAGTGCTGGGATTACAGGCATGAGCCCATGCGCCCGGCCTTAACATCTTTTTAAAAAGTTAATTGTTTTGTTTTTTGTTTTGTTTTAGATGGTGTCTTGCTCTGTCGCCCAGGCTGGAGTGCAGTGGCACCATCTTGGCTCACTGCAAGTTCCCCGTCCCAGGTTCAAGCTATTCTCCTGCCTCAGCCTCCCGAGTAGCTGGGACTACTGGCGCCATGCCACCACGCCTGGCTAATTTTTTGTATTTTTAGTACAGATGGGGTTTCACCATGTTGGCCAGGATGGTCTTGATCCCCTGACCTCGTGATCCGCCGGCCTCGGCCTCCCAAAGTGCTGGGATTACAGGAGTGAGCCACCCACCGTGCCTGGCTTAGTCTTTATTTATTTTATTTATTTACTTTTTTTTGAGATGGAGTTTCGCTCTTGTTGCCCAGGCTGGAGTGCAATGGCACAGTCTCGGCTCACCGCAATCTCTGCCTCCTGGGTTCAAGCAATTCTCCTGCCTCAGCCTCCCGAGTAGCTGGGATTACAGGCATGTGCCACCACACCAAGCTAATTTTGTATTTTTATTAGAGACGGGGTTTCCTTATGTTGGTCAGTGTGGTCTCGAACTCCCAACCTCAGGTAATCTGCCCACCTTGGCCTCCCAAAGTGCTGGGATTACATGCGCGAGCCACCTCACCCGGCCTGGCTTAATCTTTATTTTATTTTTTTTATTAATACTATTTAATTTTTTTAAATATTTTTATTTGTTTATTGAGACGGAGTCTCACTCTGTCGCCAGGCTGGAGTGTAGTGGCGCAATCTCAGCTCACTGCAACCTCTGACTCCCGGGTTCAAGTGATTCTCCTGCCTCAGCCTCCCAAGTAGCTGGGATTACAGGCATGTGCCACCATGCCAGGCTAATTTTTTGTGGAGATGGGGTTTCACCATGTTGGCCAGGATGGCCTCGATCTCCTGACCTCAGGTGATCCGCCTGCCTTGGCCTCCCAAAGTGCTGGGATTACAGCCATGAGATGTTTAGAGATGGGATCTCATTATGTTGCTAGGCAGGACTTGAACTCCTGGGATCAAGAGGTCCTCCCACCTCAGCCTTCTGAGTAGCTGGGACTAAAGGCATGTGCCATGGGGTAAGATACTTAACTACTTCATTTCTTGGAGCTTAAGTTTCCCCAGTAACATGGTGATGAGCCTGACTTATGGTGTCTTCATTATAATAAAAAAAATTACAGCTGTAAAAATACTCACATTGTACTAGTCACCCTAGCAACTTCCACAGGTACATGGGTATAATTAGCAAATTGTTTCTTTCTATTCTCAGGCCGTTTTCGAAGTGTAAATTTTCTTTTCTGCAATTTTCCCCTCCAGATCCTACTGCTAAATTACTTCTGGATTTACTAATCAGGGCTTTCTTGCTACTTTCCACATCGCCAATCTTCGAATCTGGTACATTTTCTTTTTTTTTTTTTTTTTTGAGACGAAGTCTTGCTCTGTCGCCAGGCTGGAGTGCAGTGGCGCGATCTTGGCTCACTGCAAGCTCCGCCTCCCGGGTTCACGCCCTTCTCCTGCCTCAGCCTCCTGAGTAGCTGGGACTACAGGTGCCTGCCACCACGCCCGGCTAATTTTTTGTATTTTTAATAGAGACGGGATTTCACCGTGTTAGGATGGTCTCGATCTCCTGACCTCGTGATCCACCCACCTCGGCCTCCCATAGTGCTGAGATTATAGGCCTGAGACACCTCGCCCGGCCCCAATCTGGTAGACTTTCGAAATCCTTCTTTCCTTGTTGTATCATACAGCTCGTGACCTTGGTTCCACAATGGCCCATGCTCTACTTTCCTGTTTTCCTCCATGCTTCTCTGCTGCCTACAGCAGCAAGAAAACCAAACCCCTCCCTGAATCAGGGTACCTGCTCCATATCTTCTGGACCAGTTCTCCAAACTGGCTGGGCATTGGGAACAGTGGGGAAGTTGTTGAAACACTCAGATACGTGCAGATTCTGATTCACTAGGTTACCACCAAATATGCGTGGTGACATGGCACACTTTAGCTGGACGAACTCACCTCCAACTGGAAGATGTAAGGAACAACTCATTTTTCCTTTATCTCACTTTGCGTGTCTTCTGAGGACCCCATTTTCTTCTATGTACTCTAAGTCACTGGACATAATCTTAGTCTTCTTGCTCTTCTGATGACTAACTCTTGGCTTTCCCTAGAGCCTCCAGCATGCCAAATCACACTGGTTCTCAAAAAACTTTCTTCAGCTCTCATGTTCCTCCCTCTTCCATCTCTTTTCTCTGAACTTGAAGCAGCTATTCCTTCTCCTCTCCCCTGCATGCCCTCCAGACCTCTCTTCCAACCAGGTGCACTGGAAGGCCCCTCTGGGTTCCTGTCTCTGCACTATCCTCAGTGTGGTCACATCCTCTCCCTGCCTTGACATTCCTGCTGGCCTTGGTTGCTACAGTAATATCATCTCCTGGTTTGCCTCCAACCGCATAAAAAATGTAGTGAGAGCTGGTTGCCTGCCTGGGCTCCAGCCCTGGCCTGACCTTTCCCCCTCTTGGCAGGACTGGCCCCCAGGGCTTTGCTCTTGCCATCCCCACTGCTGCCAGCTGGGCCTGCCAGGGTTACCATAGAATTGGGCTGGTAAGTTCCCGGACCTGAGAAGGCTGTGGATGCCTTCTGGCCTCCGATCCCACTTTGGAGCCAGCTCAGCTGCAAGGGTGATTCTGTGTAACTGATGTGCATCTCCTCACAGCCTGGTGTGGGGGCCCGGGGGGCTGGGCAGTTGGGGGGCCAGGGGAAAGGCTTCTAGCTATAACTCGCCAGAGCTGTGAGTGCTAGGAGTTGCATAAGAACAAGGCAGTCAGGGAGGAAAGCTGGCATGAGGGTTAATTAAGCTTTCCTTATGACTGGAGTGTATCTCTTTTTTTAAATTTCTTTTTTTGTTTGTTTGTTTGAGACAGAGTCTCGCTCTGTCGCCCAGGCTGGAGTGCGGTGGCGTGATCTCTGCCTCCTGGGTTCACGCCATTTTCCCGCCTCAGCCTCCCGAGTAGCTGGGACTACAGGCGCCCGCCACCACGCCCGGCTAATTTTTTGTATTTTTAGTAGAGACGGGGTTTCACCATGTTAGCCAGGATGGTCTGGATCTCCTGACCTCGTGATCTGCCTGCCTCGGCCTCCCAAAGTGCTGGGATTACAGACTTGAGCCACTGTGCCCGGCCTATGACTGGAGTGTATCTCTATGAACGTGATTCCACACTTCCAGCTCTTTCTTCTCGCCAAACTAAAACAGGCAATTTACTGCCCACTGGAGGCTACCAACACTCCCCCACAAGCCTTGCTTTAAAACAAAACTTATGGCTGGGCACAGTGGCTGTCGCCTGTAATCCCAGTACTTTGGGAGGCTGAGGCGGGCGGATCACGAGGTCAGAAGATCAAGACCATCCTGGCCAACATGGTGAAACTCCGTCTCTACTAAAAATACAATAACTAACTGGGCGTGGTGACTCGTGCCTTTGTCCTAGCTACTCGGGAGGCTGAGGCAGGAGAATCTTTTGAACCCGGGAGGCGGATGTTGCAGTGAGCAAAGATGGTGCCACTGCACTCTGGCCTGGTGACAGGGCAAGACTCTGTCTCAAAAAACAAACAAGCAAACAAAACTCATCTCCTCTCCAAAACCTATCTCCAACTCCACACATCCTTATACTTGGAATTCTTTCTCCTTATTATTTAGGCTTGAAAGTATGGATTGTATTGGTTTTCTGGTCTCTTCTCCCGATACCAGCATTTGACCATTTTAATGCCCCCATTTGAAATGCCTCCTCCCTTCCTTTGTGTTGATTTTATGGGTGGTAAGCCATAAGAAATCAGCAATATTGGCCGAACGCGGTGGCTCATGACTGTAATTCTAGCACTTTGGGAAGCCGAGGCAGGCAGATTGCCTGAGGTCAGTTCGAGACCAGCCTGGCCAACATGGTGAGACCCCGTCTCTGCTCAAAATACAAAAATTAGCCGGGCATGGTGGCAAGCGCCTGTAATCCCAGCTACTAGGGAGGGTGAGGAAGAAGAATCCTTTGAGCCCAGGAGGCGGAGGTTTCAGTGAGCCGAGATCGCACCATTACATTCCAGCCCAGGCAACAAGAGTGACACTTCGTCTCAAAAAAAAAAAAAAGAAATAAGTAATATTATAATAGAATATCATATACGATATGGTTTGGCTGTGTCTCCTCCCAAACCTCATCTTGAATTGTAGCTCCCATAATTCCCATGTGTCGTGGAAGAGAAAAGGGACCTGGTGGGAGGGAACTGAATCATGGGGGCGGGTCTTTCCCATGCTGTTCTCGTGATAGTGAATAAGTCTCATGAGATCTGATGGTTTTATAAAGGGCAGTTCCTCTGCACATGCTCTTTCTTGCCTGCCACCATGTAAGACTTCCTTTTGTTCTTCCTTCATCTTCTGCCCTGATTGTGAGGCCTCCCCAGCCATTTGGAACTGTGAGTCCATTAATCCTCTTTCCTTTATAAATTACCTAGACTTGGGTATGTCTTTATTAGCAGTGTGAAATGGACGAATATATAAAAAAAATCCTTATACAATGATATCTGAAAATACCCTTTCCTCATGTGAATGCCTTACTCAAAACCTTCAATGAATTCTCATTGCTTACAAAACTTAAATCCACCTCTTGATTTTGCATTAAAAACTACTCACAATCCAGTCCTTGGTCACATCTCTAGTAGCCCCTCACTTTTCCTTGGGAGGAATTTGTTGCTTCCACCAATCAAGTCTCTTATTGCTCATTATTCGACAAACTTTGATTGAGTCCTTTGGGTGGTGCATTCCGAGGGCATCATTCACAAACACGCTGTCCACATTTCTGTTTGTGACTTTGTTTTTACCCCACTGCCCGTCCTGCTTTCCCCACTTGCATCTCAGGTTTAGATCAAACTTAATTTCTTTTAGTCTGGAGCCTTTTCAGGAAGCTCCAGGTCTCTGGCTTTCCTCGTTCTCTTTGATCCTTACGTTCCCAAATATCTACATTACTTCTTGGTACCTACCTTCTATTCCCTTTATTTTGCCTTTTTGTTTAAGCTCACGTTATATTAATATCTTCTTTACTCATATGTCTCTGATAATAGTTCTCCATTGTATTGTTATTTCAGGTCAACAGTTCTCAGTTTTTGGTCCCTGAGGAGCAGCATCATCATCACCTAGGAACTTGTTAGAAAGGTAAATATTCAGACCCCATCCCGGACTTACTGAATCAAAATTCTGGGGGTGGGGCTCAGCTTTGTGTCTTCACAAGCCCTCTGGGGAATTTCAGATGCTCCTTGAAATTTGAGAACTACAACTCCACCTCTTGGACTTGAGGATGAGGAAGGCTTGGTCAGCTTGTTTATTCCCTAAGGATACTACAAGGTATTTGAGACCTTTTCCTTTCTGATGGTGTATTTGAAAGCCTTTGGAAAACTCTAAGCCTTCATTGCATACATACATGTGCAATGGTTTATTTTTACCCCATATCTTCTCAAAAAGTATAATATTTTAGCCAACTTAAAAAGATGATAAAGTAGGCCGGGCATGGTGGCTTATGCCTGTAATCCTAGCACTTTGGGAAACTAAGGTGGGTGGATCACTTGAGCCCAGGAGTTCAAGACCAGTGGGCTTGTCAAGATGACAAGGACTTTTGTTGTGGGGATGGGGTGCTTTTATTTGGTGCTTGATAATTGTATTAGTCCATTTCTATACTGCTGTGAAGAATGTTTCACCATGTTTGGTGAAACCCGGTGTCTACAAAAAATTAGCTGGGTGTGGTGGCTCGTGCCTGTAATCCCAGCTACTCGGGAGACTAAGGCAGGAGAGCTTGAGTCTGGGAGGTAGAGGTTGCAGTGAGCTGAGATTGCACCACTGCACTCCACACCACTGCACTCCAGTCTGGAAGACATAGCAAGACTTTGTCTCAAAAAAAAAAAAAAAAGAATGAGAAAATGGAAAATCAGAACAAAGGAAAGGAAGGGGAGGCAAATAGTAACCACAATGGTTACTATTGTTCTCGTAGTATCTCTAAGCTTCCTGGCAGCAAGGAAAATAAGGAAATTAATGTGTTACTTGTGCCGGTTCCTTTCTACCAGAGGAGGTGAAAATTCTATTTGTGAATTCCAAAAGAAATTTCCCATATGGCAACTACTAGAGGAGCCACTTAGAGAGCTAAAAGATAAAATCCTCAGCAAAGGTTTTATCACACAGGCACCAGTGGTTCTCCCATGCCTGCTTTGTTCACTATCACCATTACAGAAATTGTGCCAATGCTTAGCATGTAAGAGGCGCTTATTACTAAATCTGTGACAAGAACTCACTCCGTCATTTCTTATAAGTTGGTGGCTGGAAGGGAGGAGTTTATTTTCCCCCAGCAACCCAGCCACCAAGAAATAATATAGAGTGTTTATTGTCTTGGACTGTGATCTGTTCTGGCTGGACCCTGTTGGAGACGGGAGAGGTGTGAGATGAGTGGGCCATTATCTGCAGGAAAGAGTAAACATCTAAAGGAGGGCAGCCCTATGAGAGGGCCCAGGTCCTGTCTGACTGGCCCCAAGGTCACTGAACCTGAACAAGGTGAGTCTGGACGTGACCACAAGGTTCTACATCAAGTAGAAGCCAAACGCTGTGAGGCTGGAACTGGAAGACAAAGCATCTATGAGATTAGACAAGGTTCTCCTTAGTGCTGTTTACCATGGAGAACAGCTTACAAGATGACAAGAGCTTCTGTTGTGGGGATGGAGTGCTTTTATTTGGCGCTTGATAATTGTATTAGTCCATTTCCATACTACTACGAAGAAAGATCTGAGACTGGGTAATTTATAAAGAAAAAAGTTTAATGGACTCACAGTTTCACATGGCTGGGGAGGCCTCACAATCGTGGCAGAAGGTGAAGGAGGAGCAAAGGTACGTCTTACATGGCAGCAGGGAAGGGAGTGGGTGCAGGGAACTGCCCTTTATAAAACCATCAGATCTCATGAGACTTACTCTCACGAGAACAGCGGGGAAAAACCCACCCCCATGATTCAATTGCCTCCCACTGGGTCCCTCCCACAACACATGGGAATTATGGGAGGTACAATTCAAGATGAGAGTTGGGTAAGGACACAGGCAAACCATATCAATAATAAAGGACATTATAAGGCTTTTTCTGAAATTTGGAATTTAAAACAACATCATTATATAAGCTCAGGGATTTTTTTGTTTTTGTTTTTTTTTGAGACGGAGTCTCGTTTTGTCCTCCAGGCTGGAGTGCAGTGGCACAATCTCGGCTCACTACAAGCTCTGCCTCCTGGGTTCACGCCATTCTCCTGCCTCAGCCTCCGGAGTAGCCGGGACTACAGGCACCCGCCCGCACACCCCGCTAATGTTTTGTATTTTTAGTAGAGACAGGGTTTCACCATGTTAGCCAGGATGTTCTCGATCTTCTGACCTCGTGACCCGCTGGCCTTGGCCTTCCAAAGTGCTGGAATTACAGGCGTGAGCCACCGCGCCCAGCCAGATCAGGGATGATTTTAGATAAGACTGATATGCAGGTGAATTTATCTTCAGTAAGTCCCTATGCATTTTGGGCATAGCCCTCTGTATCCACAGGCTGGATCCTTTTCTCGCTCTTGAATTAGACAACATTATGACACACGGACACCAGTTGGGGGAAGAGTGGAGTTTAATTCCCAAGCACCAAGGAATGCTTGGCTATAGAGTGCTCTTACCCATCTTTCATCAATAACCTTGCACAAGCAATTTTCCTGAAGACAGCACTATAACGAGTCTCCAAATATTTGATAGAATAAAATGGTGATGAGGAAGAAAGATCATAAAACTAGAGTCAGGATTCCAGATTCTGTAATTTACTAGCGCGTGCCCTCCTCAGAGAAGATGCATGAAAACATTTTAGGAATTGAAAGTACTGGCTGGGCACGGTGGCTCATGCCTGTAATCCCAGCACTTTGGGAGGCCGAGGTGGGCGGATCACGAGGTTAGGAGATTGAGACCATCCTGGCTAACATGGTGAAATCCCATCTCTACCAAAAATACAAAAAATTAACCGGGCGTGGTGGTGGGCACCTGTAGTCCCAGCTACTCGGGAGCCTGAGGCAGGAGAATGGTGTGAACCTGGGAGGTGGAGCTTGCAGCGAGCCGAGATCACACCACTGCACTCCAGCCTGGGCGACAGAGCAAGATTCCATCTCAAAAAAAAAAAAAAAGAAAGAAAGAGAGTACTACGTACGTGGGTTGTTATTTCTTATACACGGCCAGGGAACTTGATCTTTATTTTTGTATTTCAAATACAAATCACACTAAATCAAGAGGCTGGGCGTGGTGGCTAACACCTGTGATCCCAGCACTTTGGGAGGCTGAGGCAGACGGATCACCTGAGGTAAGGAGTTCGAGACCAGCCTGGCCAATGTGGCAAAACCCCGTCTCGACTAAAAATACAAAAATTAGCCGAGCGTGGTGGTGTGCGCCTCTGATCCCAGCTACTCGGGAGGCTGAGGCAGAAGAATTGCTTGAATCCAGGAGGCGGAGGTTGCAGTGAGCCAAGATAGCACCATTGCACACCATCCTGGACAAAAAAGAGCGAAACACCGTCTCAAAACAAACAAAAAAAAACAACCCTTAACCCCAACCCACATGCTGTTAGTTACTGAATGTCTATCACCTGCTAGGTGGTGTGCTAAGTTAACAACCATTTCACAAATGAGGATATTCTAGTACCAACATGTTAAATTCTTTATCCAGGCTCTCACAGAAGGACTAGATCGTTTTAGACAGGGCTTCCACTAGAAGAGAAGGACAGAAAGAAATAATATTAACAACAACAATAATTACAGCTGACTCAACGCCTTGCACTTTGTCAAACATTTTATGGCATTGTCTTGTTTGATCACCCATTAACCACCCTGTGAGATGGGTATTAGTCACCCAGTTTCACAGTTTAGGACACTGAGGTTCATGGTCTTTGAGGGAGGTCCCTAAGGTAATTCAGCAGGGATTAAAATCAATCCTTCCTGGAGACTTTGATTTTCACTATGTTCTACTGCCTCCCAGAGTAGAGCAGGAATAAAAACCACCATATTTCTCATTTCCCGATCAGTTAATTTATTGACATCAAATTTCTGAAAAAGTTCCTCCCCTAAAATGTAAGTAAGTTTAAAAATTTCCCAGAATGTAAGTACTGAAAAGAAAGCAATCTATATGGCTGTTCCCCTAGAGGTTTCTAAGGTGATTTAGGTTTATATTGCATTTTAATGGAATACAAAAGTTTCCATGAAAAGAAAATCACTACCTGAATTATTCCCTTCAAGCTAGTATTATATCCTCTAATACAAAAACAATGTAAAGTCATCATTCCTTTTTCTAATCCTTCTCTTACATTCTTTAGGATACTCTAGTCATCTTCATATAAAATGATCAAGGTGAAGAAATATAAAATGATCAAGGTGAAGAAAATAACCAAGGTGAGGAAAGAGAACCCTTTTGCTTTCTGGAATGTGGTTTGCCTTATTCTTTGAAAAGAATGTATAGAGGATTAAGTATACTTCCCCCTCTTAAACTGTGCTTGTTACTTCCTACCTCCCATCAAGTACGTAATTTGCAGATCCCAGTACAAAATGAAAACTAGGTCACCCTTGTTCAAAAATTATTAAGAATTCCAAGATAGCAACAGCAGGGCATAAATGGATGCACAGGACCCTTCTAACAGGGTCTGGCTTCCTAAGCCACTGCGCAGATCTCAAGCTCCTGAAACCAGTCCTGCCTCCCATTACCATGGTAGCTCCACAGATGCAACAGTAACAAACTTAGCTCGCTTTAGCCAAGGAATAAATATCTTTGATGAGCTACCAGTGGGGCCTCTTGGTGTTGTCCAGCTAAGGAGTGTGTGAAGATACTGCTATGAGGCTGGGCATGGTGGCTCACGCCTATAATCTCAGCACTTTGGGAGGCCAAGGTGGGTGGATCACGAGGTCAAGAGATCGAGACCATGGTGAAACCCCGTCTCTACTAAAAATACAAAAAAAATTAGCCTGGCATGGTGGTGGGCGCCTGTAGTCCCAGCTACTCGGGAGGCTGAGGCAGAAGAGCATGAACCCAAGAGGCGGAGCTTGCAGTGAGCTGAGATTGCACCACCACACTCCAGCCTGGGCAACAGAGTGAGACTCCGTCTCAAAAAAAAAAAAAGAAAAAGATACTGCTATGAGTCACTGAAGACATCCTGTCTCTTACTTAGGAGCTTACATCAGTATATAATTGCCACAAGTTATTTCCTTGTAAAAAGTCATTGAAATATTTTAAGTCAAGAATCATATAGAGTATTTTCAAATTCAAATACAATGTTAGAATAGTGGTATTGACTTTGTGTCCAGAATTAGCGGGTTCTTGGTCTCACTGACTTCAAGAATAAAGCTGTGGACCCTGGCGGTGAGTGTTACAGTTCTTAAACATGGTGTGTCCCGAGTTTGTTCCTTCAGATGTTCATAGATGTCCAGAGCTTCTTCCTTCTGGTGGGTTTGTGGTCTCACTGACTTCCGGGGTGAAGCGGCAGACATTCACGGTCAGTTTTACAGCTCTTAAAGGCAGCGCGTTTGGAGTTGTTCGTCCCTCCCAGTGAGTTCGTGGTCTTGCTGGCTTCAGGAGTGAAGCTGTAGACATTCGCAGTGAGTGTTATAGCTCATAAAGGCACACAGACTGAAAGACTGAGCATCAACAAGATTTACTGTGAAGAGTGAAAGAACAAAGCTTTTCCAGCATGGAAAGGCACCAGAACAGATTGCCACTGCTAGCTCCGGAAGCCTGCTTTTATTCCCTTATCTGACCCTACCCACATCCTGCTGATTGGTCCATCTTACAGAGAGTTGCTTGGCCCATTTTACAGAGAGCTGATTGGCCCATTTTACAGAGAGCTGATTGGTCCATTTTGACAGTGTGCTGACTGGTGCATTTATGAACCTTGAGCTAGACACAGAGTGCTGATTGGTGCATTTACACTCCTTTAGCTTGACACAAAAGTTCTCCAAGTCCCCACTAGATTAGCTAGACACAGAGCACTGATTGGTGCATTTACAAACCTTGAGGAAGACACAGGGTACTGATTGATGCGTTTACAAACCTTGAGCTAGGCACAAAGTGCTGATTGGTGCATTTACAAACCTTTAGCTAGACTTAAAAGTTCTCCAAGTCTGCACCCGACTCAGAAGCCTAGCAGGCTTCGCCTAGTGGATCCCGCACCGGGCTGTGGGCAGAGCTGCCCGCCAGTCCTGTGCTGCG
The DNA here is from genome assembly GCF_000001405.40 of Homo sapiens. Taxonomy (NCBI): domain Eukaryota; kingdom Metazoa; phylum Chordata; class Mammalia; order Primates; family Hominidae; genus Homo; species Homo sapiens. The sequence goes on from NC_000009.12 coordinate 16,924,410, forward strand.
CGTCTGCACTCCCCAGCCCTTGGGTGGTCGATGGGACCCAGGCGTGCTGAGTAGTGGGCGGCAGGGAGACTCCAGCCGCATGAGATCCCACAGTGGGGGTGCGGGGGGGTAGTGGGTGTTTGGGCATGGCAGGCTGCATGTCCCGAGCCCTGCCCTGTTGGGGAGGCGGCTGAGGCCCGGTGAGAATTCAAGCGTGGTGTGGGCGGGTCCCCAGTGCTGGGGGATCCAGCATACCCTCTGCAGCTGCTGGCCCAGGTGCTAAGCCCCTCACTGCCCAGAGCCAGCAGCGCCGGGCACAGGGCCTGTGGAGCCCGCACCCACCCAGAGCTCACGCTGGCCCGCGAGTACAGCGCGCAGCCCCGGTTCCCGCCTGTGCCTCTCCCTCCACACCTCCCCACAAACGGAGCCATCTCTGGCCTCAGCCAGCCCAGAGAGGGGCTCCCACAGTGCAGCAGCGGGCTGTAGGGCTCCTCAAGTGTGGCCACACGCCGAGGCTGAGGAGGCGCCAAGGCTGAGGAGGTGCTGAGAGCGAGCGAGGGCTGCTAGCACGTTGTCACCTCTCAACTTCTGATTTTTTTATTATGTGTGTGTGTGTGTGTGTGTATATATATATATGTGGGGTTTTTTGCCAAAGAGGGGGTATATTTAGCATATGATCTTGGTGGCTATCATTGCTTAGTGGGCTAAGAAAAGAAACTGTCACAGAAGAAGACCAAAGGACCTGGGCAGCACAGGGAGCAGAGTGCCTGTCCTGGGGGTGGTCCTTGCTTTTGTGCACACTCCATTCACCCACACACCAGAGAAGCAAGAGGAAGATGGGAGAGGTGCAAACACAGGGTATTACATGTCTTATTTGTAGAATTCTAGATGTACAGATATATAAAGATTAAAAACTACAATTGTCTAAAAGAGGCTTTTCTGGAAAAATTGTTTCAATAGTTAGAATAATTATATTTTAGAGAAAAACTTAAAAGATCCCCTTGCTTGCTAATATTTTAACTACTAACAAGTAAAGAACATAAAAAAATATAAATCCTTCAAAGTCCTTTTTTTCTCTTTCAGCATCTCTGTAGATTTTCACTCAGGGCCCTGAATATAAGCAAAGGAAAATTTACACAGAAAAAAAAAAAAACAAAAAAACAGTAAAAAACAACACTTAAGTCATAGTTTAAAAATGCAAAAAGAAGCCAGGCATGTGGTGGAATGCCTGTAGTCCTAGCTACTTGAAAGGCTGAAGTGGGAGGGTCACTGGAGCCCGGGAGTTTGCAAGCAGCCTGGACAACACAGTGAGACCCTGTCTCTGAAAAAAAAAAAAAAAAAAAAAAGCTTCTAAATGAAGTGAGCAGTTTTCCTTGAGTAGGTTCTAAGGTGGAAGAAGTGGAGAGAAAACTGCTATATAACTATCATCTAGAAAATGATCCCCTCCTTTGAAATGAGTTTCAGTTTCAAACTGGGATAGATAATATCAAGTCTGCTTGTTAAATGTCATGTTGGAAAGCAAAAGTGTCCTTTCAAAGTATGGAATACACTGAATAAGATAAGCAGTGGATCCAGCAGTATGAGTTTTTAAATTTATTCAAAAAGAAGAAATAGAGGGGTACATTTAGAAGCAAAGTACAGGGCCAGGCACGGTGGCTCACACCTGTAATCCCAGCACTTTGGGAGGCCGAGGCGGGTGGATCATGAGGTCAGATCAAGACCATCCTGGCTAACTCAGTGAAACTCCGTCTCTACTAAAAATACAAAAACTTAGCTGGATGTGGTGGTGGGCACCTGTAGTCCCAGCTACTTGGGAGGCTGAGGTAGGATAATGGCATGAACCCAGGAGATGGAGCTTGCAGTGAGCCAAGATCACGCCACTGCACTCCAGCCTGGGTGAGAGAGCAAGACTCCATCTCAAAAAAAAAAAAAGGAACAAAGTACAGAAAACTGAGGAAAGGATTAGCTGCATACAAAAACATACTGCTCAGGAGAAAAAATTCTCACAGATCAGCCATAAAAAATACAACTTAGGGCTGGGTGTGGTGGCTCACGCCTGTAATCCCAGCACTTTGGGAGGCTGAGGTGGGTGGATCACCTGAGGTCAGGAGTTCGAGACCAGCCTGGCCAAGATGGTGAAACCTCATCTCTACTAAAAATACAAAATTAGCCGGGCATGCTGGAGGGCGCCTGTAATCCCAGCTACTTGGGAGGCTGAGGCAGGAGGATTGCTTGAACCTGGGAGGTGGAGGTTGCAGTGAGCTGAGATCTGCACTGCACTCCAGCCTGGGCAACAGAGCAAGACTCCATCTCAAAAAAAAAAAAAAATGGCGTAGATCAAGTGTCTCCACAGGTATCGAGTGTAGAAACATTGGCTTGAAAAATTGAGGTTAGGTCTTTAAATACAAATTGAATTAGATTTATCAGAAAGACTTTCCTAGAATTACCATAAAATTTAGGTAAAAGTTAAATCTGGCCTTAATTTGTCAAAATTATATGCCTTAATAACTTCACTTTCTGCGGTTGATTATAACACTTATCCCATATATTCATTCAACAAAACATTCACTGAGTGTGTAGTAAGTGCCTGGCACTGGGCTAGGCCCAGAGATGGGAAGGGGGCAAACGACATACGAAGATGTAATAAGACAAGGTAAGTGCAATAGTAGAGGCATGCACATGGTATTGAAAGGGAAACCTTGCCAGGCGTGGTGGCTCATGCCTTTAATCCTAGCACTTTGGGAGGCCAAGGCGGGCGGATCACCTGAGGTCAGGGGTTCGAGACCAGCCTGGCCAACATGGTGAAACCCCATCTCTACTAAAAATATGAAAATTAGCCAGGCGTGGTGGTGCGTGTCTGTAATCCCAGCTACTCAGGAGCCTGAGACAGGAGGATGGTTTCAACCCGGGAAGTCGAGGTTGCAGTGGGCCAAGATCGTGCCATTGCACTCCAGCCTGGGTGACAAGAGTGAAACTCTGTCTCAAAAAGAAAAAAGAAAGAAAGAGAAACCTTACCTAGAGAAAGCCACATGAATGTATGTGTGGAGGGATAATGCTATCTGGAAGACTTTGGGTTGTCTCCTAAAGTGATGAGTGTTGTAAGATGAGTAGGAGTTGGCTAAGCTGGGGGTCTGAGGACGGTTTGGGAAGGTAGAAGCAGTAAGCAGAAGCAGAGCACAAAGGCACGGAGAACCATGTGTGAACTTGGAAGCACAGCTGTCTTTGGAGCATAAATCATTAGGCAAAGACTTAGGTGATCTTGGTGAGATACAATGCATGGCTTGTTGGCGGCGTGGAGATTTGGAAGGGTTTTAACCGAGGGAGAGCCCTGCTGAGGTTTTGCATTGTATGGATGAGATGAAAGGGAGCCAAATAGCTCACTTTGGCTGTGTTACAGATGATGGGCTTGAGTAGGACTTACTGGAGACCAGTATTATAATCTAGGGAAAGATGGCAAGGGCCTAAAGACAAGGAAACTAGCAAGACTTAGGACAGATTAGATGTGGGAGTTGGGAAGGCGAAAGGGGAGGGTAAAACAGAGCAGGACTCAGGTTTAGCCTTCCCGACTGGGGGTCTATGCTGCTGCTAATTGAGTTAATGAATACGGAAAAAGGAATGTGTGTGTTTTGGTCAGGGTACCCCCCAGAACAGGAACACACTCAGGTTGGGCAACTGAGAAGGCCTTAATAACTAAATCAGTTACACAAAGTTGTGGGCAGGGTATAAAGACACCACGAGTACTAATGTAGCCCTTTGGAGCTAATAATAGTGGGATGAGGGAAGGAATGCTGTTGTCAACCCAAGATCTGAAGGAACCATTTTTGGGAACCTGAAAACAGAAGGTTGCTGTGTGGAAGGGCTGCCTGGCAAGAACTGTGACCTTGCTCAAGGGATGGGGAAGAAGCCATCCTGCTGCAGCCTTGCAGGGAGGTGAAGGAGGAGAGATCAGCACTGTGACCTCATTCTGGTCTCTTATTCTGACCTCCTGCTGGGATTGCTCATGGCCAAGCCCAACCGGAAGCTGAAGCAGAGTGAAGAGGTCCGCAGCATAGTTCATACAGGTTATCCTCCTAGGGCAACAGAGGATCTGGAGGGGAAAATGCAGTTTATGCAGCTCAATGTTAGGGAAGAACATAGTGAGTTCGGTTAGAAACAGGTGGACTTTTAGTTTTTAAAGGCTATCTGGGGTCTATATAGAGACAAAATGTGCCCTGGTGGCAGAAAAGCTTATATTTGCCTCTGTGATTCACCACTTACTAGATGTGTGAACTTGGACACATTTCTTAAACTGCTCTGTTCTTCAGTTTACTCATCTGTAAAAGAGAGCATAGTAATAGTACCTACCTCAAAGAGCTGTTGTGGATTAGCAATGAGATGACACATATGAAGTACTTAGAATAGTGCCTGGCACATAGAAAGCACTTAATAAACATCTGCTGTTAGCTATTATCCATATGGAAATGGTAAACCGACAGGGGAATATACAAATCTGAAGGTCAGGGAAGAAAGGAGATTTGATTCATACAATTGTAAGGGAAGTTGTCATTCTGAGCGAGCTCACCCAGGGAGACTGTCTTGAGTAGCACTGTCCAAGAGACATAGAATGCAAGCCGCATATGTAATTTTGAAAATGTGAAATTTAAAAAAGAAAAATAACCTGTGACATTAAAAAAACTAAAGAGGAACATGTGAAATTAATTTTGAAAAAAATAAACTTTTTTGAAAAAATAAACATTTGTGTTGTTTAACACAAATATATCAAAAATGTTACAATTTCAATGTGTATTTTTTTCTTTTTTTTTTTGAGACAGAGTTTTGATCTTTCCCCCAGGCTGGAGTGCAATGGCACGATCTGGGCTCACTGCAACTTCTGACTCCCAGGTTCAAGTGATTTTCCTGTCTTAGCCTTCCAAGTAGCTGGGATTATAGGCACCCGCCACCATGCCAGGCTAATTTTTGTATTTTTAGTAGAGACAGGGTTTTGCCATGTTGGCCAGGCTGGTTTTGAACTCCTGACCTCAGGTGATCCACCCGCCTTGGCCTCCAAAGTGCTGGGATTATAGGCATGAGCCACCACACCCAGCCGTATTTCATATTTTAAAAATTGAGATGTTTACTTTCTTTTTCATTTTTTTACTAAGTTTTTGAAGTTTGGCCTGTATTTTCTACTTACAGCACATGTCAGTTTGGATTAGTACATTTCAAATGCTGAATAGCCTCCTGTGGCTAGTGACTACTATATTGGACAGTGCTGGTCCAGAGATAGGAAAGCAGAAAGATTAGGTGAGGTCCCTGAACAATATTTGTCAGTAAGGCTCTGGGGCAGGATGAAGAAACAAAAGTGAAAAAGGAAAGGTTATAAGAATCAGAAAAGTGAGATTCCACAGAGAATCCAGGGTACAGAGTTTTTAGTAGCATTTTAGAGAGGTTAGAGCAGCCAGCCCAGTAAGGACAGGTCTATAAAATGACCACTGCATTTGCAAATAGAATGTTGTTGGTGATCTGGAAAGAAATTGTTTTCATAATAAAAATGATCTGCTGCTGGGTGTGGTGGCTCACACCTATAATCTCAGCACTTAGAGAGGCAGAGGTGGGAGGATAGCTTGAGCCCAGGAATTTCGAGACTAGCCTGGACAACATAGTGAGACTGTTTTCGACAAAAATGAAAAAACAAAAGAACAAATGTGGCCCAAAGGCCGGGCGTGGTGGCTCTCGCCTGTAATCCCAGCCCTTTGGGAGGCTGAGGCAAGCGGATCACAAGGTCAGAAGATCAAGACCATCCTGGCCAACATGGTGAACCCCCGTGTCCGCTAAAAATACAAAAATTAACTGGGTGTGGTGGCATGTGCCTGTAGTTTCAGCTACTTGGGAGGCTGAGGCAGGAGAATTGCTTAAACCAACCCGGAGGTGGAGGCTGCGGTGAGCCAAGATTATGCTATTGCACTCCAGCCTGGGCGACAGAGTGAGACTCCATCTCAAAAGAAAAAAAAAATAGTGGCCAAAAAGTGGACAGGAATGAATTATCTGGTTGTGGTGGAGTGAGAGGTGAGGCCAAGGAAAAATGTTGCTTTTTGTTTTTTTGTTTTTGAGAGAGTCTCACTCTGTCACCCAGGCTGGAGTGCAGTGCAGCAATCTCGGCTCACTGTAACCTCCGACTCTAGGGTTCAAGAGATTCTCCTGTCTTGGCCTTCGGAGTAGCTGGGATTACAGGCATGTGCTACCACTCCCAGCAAATTTTTGTATTTTTAACAGACAAGAGGTTTCAGCAGGTTGGCCAGGCTGGTCTTGAACTCCTGACCTCAGATGACCCACCCACCTTGGCTTCCCAAAGTGCTGGGATTACAGGCATGAGCCACCCTGCCTGGCCAATGTTGCAGTTGTTATTTTTTAAGAATAGGAGTCACTGAGCCTATTTATAGGTTAGGGTGAACAGGTTTACAGGGCATCCAGACAGATAACTCTGTCTAGGAGGCATTTTAAAATGTACTAGGGAAGAATAGCACATACCAGTGCTTCTCAGCTACATCTTTAAGGAGGGACATGCTCAGAAGTGTCGGATCCAACCTGGGCAACAAAGTGAGACCCCATCTCTACAAAAAATTAAAAAATTAGCTGAACATAGTGGCTTACGTCTGTAGTTCCAGCTACTGGGGACCAGCGGGGAGGGGGTCTGAGGTGGGGGGATCGCTTGAGCCCAGGAAGTTGAGGCTGCAGTAAGCTGTGATTACACCACTGCACTCCAGCCTGGGTGACAGAGAGAGACCTTGTCTCAAAAAAAAAAAAAAAAAAAAAAGAAAGTGTCAGATCCACTCATTCACTCTCTATCCCTTCTTCCTATCATGACTTTCATTGTAGTATCCTTCTTACTGATCTTATTGCCTCTAGTCTTAAGAGTTTCATCCACCTCCTCTACAGTTGCACCAGAGAGATCATATTAGGTTGCAAATACCATCAATGCCAGATATTATTTGTCCATTTGGGAAACATCTATTGGGGCCAACTTGTACACTTGGTGTTTATTCTTCAGCAATCAACATCCTTCTTTTCGCTTTCTATAAGGCTTTTGTTTCTATCTTGAAATCCATGTGATTCTGCCAATGGAGCATGTGACCTAGAATATTCCATCTCTCTCTCTTTTTTTTTTTGAGACAAAGTCTTGCTCAGCCACCCAGGCTGGAGTGCAGTGGTGCTATCTTGGCTCACTGCAACCTCCGCCTCCCAGGCTCAAGCGATTCTCCTGCCTCAGCCTCCCGAGTAGCTGGGACTACAGGTGAGTGCCACCACGCCCAGCTAATTTTTGTATTTTTAGTACAGATGGGGTTTCACCATGTTGGCTAGGATGGTCTCCATCTCTTGACCTCGTGATCCGCTTGCCTTGGCCTCCCAAAGTGCTGGGATTACAGGCATGAGCCACTGCAACCGGCCTCCATCTCTTTTGACACATAGGTTGGTTCTTTTGTGACATCTGACCTAGGGTGCCAATTGGAGCAAAACTTAAATTCTGCTTGGAATGTTCAGATAAAGGGTGTTCACTTTCCTTCCAGAGGGTATGTAGCTGTGAGACATGGAATTGTTACAGCTATGTTTGTTCTATGAGGAAATGTAGTCTGAGAATAAAGCAAGCACAGAGGGGACAGCAGAGCCAAGAAAGTCAGAAAAATGGACCCAGAGCCCAAATGATAAGAAATTCTGATTCAAGCCATGCCTGATGTCTCTGACTGGACATTTTGTTTCATGAACCAATAAATTACCTTTATTATTTAAACCAGATTGAATTGAATTTTCTATTATTTGCAACAACAACAAAAAATCTGCTCAAAAGCTTACTGTGTGCTAGGGTTTATACTAGAAGCTTAAAGCCATTTCACTACTTCAATGCTTCTCCTTGCCTATAGTGTTATTGATAATTAGTATAATCACATGCAGGACAAAGTCTCAATTCCTTTCCAAGGAGTTTCTCAATCAACAATGTTCTCCATGAAATGGCCTTGTCTACTTTTTTTGCTGCATCCCTTGTGGCATTATATATGTGTGTTTTCCGTTTTCATATTGCTATAAAGATACTACCCAAGGTACACTCTTCCTTAATTTATAAAGGAAAGAGGTTTAATTGACTCACAGTTCTGCATGGCTGGGAAGGCCACGGAAAACTTACAATCATGGCGGAAGGGGAAGCAGGCACGTCTCACATGGTGGCAGGAGAGATAGAGTGTGTGTGAGCGCAGGAAAAACTACCATTTACAAAACCATCAAATCTCGTGAGAATTCACTCCCTATCATGAGAACAGCATGGGGGAAACCACCCCCGTAATCAAATCACTTCCCTCCATTAACATATGGGGATAACAATTTGAAATGAGATTTGGGTGAGGACACAGAGCCAAACCATGTCTGTCTGTCTGTCTGTCTGTCTGTCTGTCTGTCTGTCTGTCTATCTAGCTATCTATCAGGCGTGGTGGTGGGCGCCTGTAGTCCCAGCTACTCAGGAGGCTGAGGCAGGAGAATGGCGCGAACCCAGGAGGTGTAAACTGCAGTGAGCCGAGACCGCGCCACTGCATTCCAGCCTGGATGACTGAGGGAGACTCTGTCTCAAAAAAAAAAAAGAAATATTCACTTTGACGAATGCTGCACTGACCGTCATATTCAGCAGGATTTGGAATTATCATTAGAATTTGTGCGTACTTGGCAAGAACACCTTTCCCTTCATTGTCCAGGAAAATTCTCATCTGAACCTACAAGGCTAGAATAAAATTACCACCTCAGTGAAGTCTTCCCTTAACCCCTTGCAGCCTTACATTTTCTTTCTGATGTTCCCATAAGTAATTTATAAAGCTTATAAATTATCTTGAAGGATTTTAATTGTTGGGGTCTGTTTCTGTACTGGAGTATAAACTCCTTGAGGATAGCAACCATGTCTTTTGGCTTTCTATCTTTCAGGTCTTGTCGTAGTGTGTGGCACGTGGTAGGTGTCCAATAAGTGCAATAAAATGATGTGTTATGCTAAAAGTGTTATAGAGTTCAAATATAGTACTGTCCAGAACCATTAAGGAGCTGAGAAATGTTACAGTTAAGGGCCAATATTGTCAAGAACTGTGAAGGGTTTGAGATTTTACCCTACTTGTAAGCTATTAAGTTAGCTTGCCACAATATCATGGATGTTGTCAGAGACATGAGGCTCCTTGATCAGAGACAAAATAATGTATTAATCATGACAGTATTGGTAGACAAAGTGCCCAATAATGGCAATTTCTACAAAGTGATACAAATAGGGTGAAGTGATGTCTGAATATGCTGTGGGTTGCATTGTAGGAGATGAATTGTTAGCCTAGCGAAACTGAATCTTTTAGCGTAGAGAAACAGCCTGCCCTTTGCCCTAGAGAGAGACCTTAATTTTGTTATTCTGCACAGTAAACAAACCTGCTCTTGGCTCTGGAGGAAAATACTATCTCGGTCTTCCAAGGCTGTCTGTCATACAAGCATCCTTGAAAAGATAGTCTAGAACACAATGAGTTGTTCCACTGGCAAGATGAGCAGAAGTTTTATAGACCCATAGAGATTGTCTCCCCAAAAAAGACAGAATAGTTACAGTTGTGATTTCAATTCATGAAAGTGGTCGAAGAGGAGGTGATACTTAAGCCGAGGCTTAAAATATATGAGTAGGCATTCACCAGACAGATAGGATAGTAGGACATTTCATGAAGCTGGAGCAATGAGGAGGAGCATGAAGGAAAGGTGACTTAAGATGGTCTGACAAGGACAGCGTGTGAGGGAAGAAGGGGTCTCGTGAGATACTAGAAAAGGTAGGCCAGATGCAGCTCCCAGAAAGTCTTCTCTATCAGGCTGAGGACTACTTTATCCTGAGGTCAACAGGGAGCCAATGAAGGTTTCTAAGCAACTGAGGCATGTAGTCAGATTTGCATTTTAGAAAGATCTGTCTGAAACAGAAAGGGCATTCAAGGCAGAAGGAACAGCACGGATAGAACACACATTCAAGTGCCCAGTAAATTGAGGTAACCATAGGTGTCTCTGAATATGATGGTCAGTGCAACATTCATCAAAGTGAATATTTCTTTTTTTTTTTTTTTTTTTGAGACAGAGTCTCACTCAGTCACCCAGGCTGGACTGCAGTGGCGCAATCTCAGCTCACTGCAATTTACACCTCCTGGGTTCACGCCATTCTCCTGCCTCAGCCTCCCGAGTAGCTGGGACCACAGGCGCCCACCACCACACCCGGCTAATTTTTTCATATTTTTAGTAGAGACGGGGTTTCACCGTGTTAGCCAGGATGGTCTCGATCTCCTGACCTCGTGATCTGCCTGCCTCGGCCTCCCAAAGTGCTGGGATTAAAGGTGTGAGCCACCACGCCCAGCCCAAAGTGAATATTTCTTAAGAGTGACTCAGCACTTTTAGTCAGTCACCAGGTGCCAGCTGTGAAGTTGGAGCCTAACCTGGGGAAGTCTAGGGCTGTGCCATGTTAAATTAGGCTAAGCTAATTTTTTTTTTTTTTTTTTTGACAGAGTCTCACTCTGTCGCCAGGCTGGAGTGCAGTGGCGTGATCTTGGCCCATTGCAACCTCCACCTCCCGGGTTCAAGCCATTCTCCTGCTTCAGCCTCCCGAGTAGCTGGGACTACAGGCATCCGCCACCACACCCAGCTAATTTTTGTATTTTTAGTAGAGACAGGGTTTCACCATGTTGGCCTGGATGGTCTCAGTCTTCTGACCTTGTGATCCGCCTGCCTCAGCCTCCAAAAGTGTTGGGATTACAGGTGTGAGCCGCCGTGCCCAGCCAGGCTAAGCTAATTTATGTCTGAATAATCCATAGTAAAGAAGAGATTTGAGTTGGCAATGAGGTTTCATCTTAACTGGCAACTTTGACTGGTTGTAATGGGCCACCTGGGTCATGATGCTAAGGAAGGATTCTCAGTCCAATTCTGGGCTTTGTGGGATAGAAGAAAGTAGTTATTTAGTTTTGTTTGTTATAGGCAAGGAATGGTAAGTAACAATACACTTGCTGACAATAGCTAAGGAATAAAGTTTAATCCAAGCTTATTATTCAGAAAAAGAAACCTAAACAAGGGCTAGGACCTGTGTCAGGAGCACTTAGACAGCCATGGGCTGGTTATGAGGATAAGTGAGATGGGAGGAGGGCACAAACAGGATGGGAACAGTAACAGTTGGGATTTTAAAGCCAAGATATGTCCTTAAAATATAAGGTAAGGGAGACAACAGCCAGATTGGGGATAGAGATACTATCAGGTCATACCAAAGGAAAGAGTTTTCAATGCAATATTTTTTTAAATGAGGGAACTTGGATCATCTTGCCCCAGACCCAACAATTTGACTCTGGCACTTGATAGTAACAGAGATGAAAGTGACACAGAGAAGGATGTCATGGTCAGTACTCAAGGAGGCAGAGACTGGGTCTTCTTTGGCTCAACTCAAGGTTATATAATTTTTCTGAAGAGTAAGCACTATTGTATGTGGGTTTGCTGTATTATTTGACAATATTCACTTATGAAGGATAAGAAAAATAAATGGGATGGGTGGAATTCATATGGCATGTTGAGTATGGATACTGCATAAGCAAGTGACTTGTAAAACATAGATAAAGTTAATTAGCTTTGTTAAATATAAATAAATAATAAGCTAGCTAACTATAACACATATTAAATATAGATATGATAATTGGAACATGTACTAAAATGGACCCAAAAAGTTTTTTTTATATATAGATAGAAGGACCAAGAGACACAAAATATTAATATTATGCTAAATAGACATGAGGCACACGAAGCACTCACTATTCAATATTAAGCACTCTGTTAGATTGGCTGTTGATTGGTGACATCATTCTGACCTTTTGCCACCTCTGCCCCAAAAAGCTGCTCATCAGGCTGGTTGGTATGCTACAGCTTTTTCCTTGCATCTCTCAAGCATGTATAGGTTCTAGTCACCTCCCATCTTCTTAGCCCCTTGGCTTAAACCTAATTCTGGTCCTTCAGACTACCTTTAAACTACATCAGTGGAGAAGGCTGATGTTGCAGAGAAATAAGACATGAACAGCACAACCCAGGATGCATGTAGTGTGGTCCTTCTATCCTGTTCACCCTATACTTTCAAAACTTTCACAGGCACATTATCTAGACAGAAAATCAATAAGAAAACATCAAACAAACTACACTTTAGACCAAATGGATTTAACAGGCATATACAGAACACTCCATCCAATAGCAGCAGAGTACACATTCTTCTCAAAGACACATTCTCCAGGATAGAGCATGTTAGGCCACACAATAAGCCTTAACAAGTTTAAGAAGACTGAAATCATATCAAGAATCTTTTCCTACTACAATGATATGAAACTAGAAATCAATAACAGGAGAAATTTTGAAAAATTGAAAAACACATAGAAATTAAACAAAATGTTCATCAACAATGGGTCAAAGAAGAAATTTAAATAATCTGGAAAACATGGAAACACACATACCAAAACTTAGGGGATGCAGCAAAGCAGTTCTGAGTCATAAGTTTAAGGCAATATACTTATCACAAAGGAAGAAAGATCTCAGATAAACAACCTAACCTTACTTCTCAAGGAACTAGAAGAAGAAGAAAAAACTAATTCCAAAGTTAGTAGAAGGAAATAATAAAGATCAGAGCAGAAATAAATGAAATGGAGACTAGAAAAACAAAGAGAAGATAAAACTAAGAATTTTTTTTAGAAGATAAACAAAATTGACAAACCTTTAGCTAGACTAAGAAAAAAAGAGAAGACTCAAATAAAATCAGAAATGAAAGAGGAGACATTACAACTGATACCACAGAAACACAAAGGACCCTGAGAGACTTCAGTAGTTTCCTCTTATCCTTGTTGAATATGTTCCAAAATTCCCAGTGGATGCCTGAAACCACGGATAGTTTATATGTACTATATATCGAGTCCTATGCACACTGTGTTTTTTTCTGTTTATCCATACCTATGATAAAGTTTAGTTTATAAATTAGATAGAACAAGAGATTAATAACAATAATTATAAAATAGAACAATTATAACAATAATGTGGGTCTCTCTCTCAAAATATATTATTGTACCCTACTCATCTATTTGCTGACTGTGGTTGACTGAGAGTAACTGAAGCCTTGGAAAACAAAACCACAGGTAAAAGGGGACTACTGTCTCATGAACAATTATACACCAACAAATTGGATAACCTAGAAGAAAAGGATCACTTCCTAGACACATACAACTTACCAAGACTAAATTATGATGAAATGGAAAATCTAACTTGATCAATAACTAGTAAAGAGACTGAATCAGTACTAAAAAGTCTCCCATTAAAAAAAGCCTAGGACCTGATGGCTTCACTGCTGACTTCTACCAAACATTTAAGAAAGAACTGGCCGGGCACGGTGGCTCACGCCTGTAATCCCAGCACTTTGGGAGGCCGAGGCGGGCGGATCAGGAGGTCAGGAGATCGAGACCATTCTGGCTAACACAGTGAAACCCTGTCTCTGCTAAAAATACAAAAAATTAGCCAGGCATGGTGGCGGGCGCCTGTAGTCCAGCTGCCCGGGAGGCTGAGGCAGGAGAATGGTGTGAACCCGGGAGGCGGAGCTTGCAGTGAGCCGAGATCATGTCACCGCACTCCAGCCTGGGCAACACAGCGAGTCTCCGTCTCAAAAAAAAAAAAAAAAGAAAAGAAAAGAAAAACAAAAAGAAAGAACTAATACAGGGTGGGGGCAGTGGCTCACGCCTGTAATCCCAGCCCTTTGGGAGGCCGAGATGGGCAGATCCCCCAAGGTCGAGAGGTGAAGACTAGCCTGGCCAACATGGTGAAACCCTGTGTCTTCTTTTAAACGCAAAAATTAGCTGGGTGTGGTTGTGGGCACCTGTAATCCTAGCTACTTGGGAGGCTGAGGCAGAAGAATCGCTTGAACCTAGGAGGCGGAGGTTGCAGTGAGCTGAAATCGTGCCACTGCACTCCAGCCTGGACGGCCAGAGAGAAACTCCGTTCAAAAAAAAAAAAAAAAAAAAAGAGGAAAGGAAGAAAGGCGGAAAGAAAGAGAAAGAAAGAAAGAAAGAAAGAGAAAGAAAGAAGGAAGGAAGGAAGGAGGGAAGGAAGGAAGGAAGGAAAGGAAAGAAAGAGAAAGAAAGAAAGAAAGAAAGAAAGAAAGAAAGAAAGAAAGAAAGAAAGAAAGAAAGAAAATCAAACCTTCTCAAACTCTTCCGAAAAATTGAAGAAGAAGGATTATTGCCAAACTCACTTTACAAGGCCAAAATTACCCTGATACCAAAGCAGATTAGGACACTACAAGGAAAGAAACTTGCAGGCAGTATCCTTGAAAAACATAGATGCAAAAATACTCAACAAAGTCCTAGAAAACTAATTTTACAACACATTAAAAGGATCATTCACCATGATCAAGTGGGATTTATCCCAAGGGTTCAAGGATGGTTCAACATATGCAAATCTATAAATGTGATAAATCCACATTAAAAGAATAAAGGAAAAAATTCATGATCATCCCAATAGGTGCAGAAAAAGCATTTGACAAAATTCAACATTCTTTCACAATAAAAACTCAACAAATTAGGTATACAAGGAATGTACCTCAACACAAGAAAGACTATATATGACACACACACAGCTAACATTATACTCAATGGTGAAAACTTGAAAGCTTTTGCTTTAAGAACAGGAACAAGACAAGGATGCCTACTCTCTCTACCTCTATTCATGAAATGCTAGCCAGAACAGTTAGGCAAGTGAAAGAAGTAAAAAGCACCCAAATTAGAAAGAAGTTAAATTATCCCTGTTTGCAGACACCATGATCATATACAGAGAGAATCCTAACTACTCCACTAAAAACTGTTAGAACTAACGAACAAATTCAGTAAAATTGCAGCTTACAAAATTAACTTACAAAAATCAGTGGCATTTCTATACACTAAACAATGAACTGTCTGAAAAAGAAATCAAGAAAACAATCTCATTTACAATAGCTACAAAAAATGCATTGGAATAAATTTAAGTAAGGAGGTAAAAGATCTATAACTAAAAACTATAAAACATCGATTAAAGAAATTGAAGGAGACACAAATAAATGGAAAGTATCTTATGTTCATGGATTTGAACAATTAATATTGTTAAAATGTCCATATTATCCAAAGCAATCTACAGATTCAATGCAATCCCTATCAAAATTCTAATGACATTTTTCCAGATTAAAAAAAATTTTTTTCATTGGTGTGGAATCACAAAAGAACTTGAATAGCCAAAGCAATCTGGAGCAACAACAAGGCTGGAGGCTTCATACTACCTGACTTTAGAATATACTACAAAGCTAAAGTAATCAAAACAGTATGGTACTGACACAGAAACAGATACATATACCAATGCAACAGACTAGATAGCCCAGAAATAAATCCATGTATTTATAGCCAAATGAGTTTTGAAAAAGGTGCCAAGAACCATAGGAAGGGGGCAGTCTCTTCAACAAAGGATGTTGGAAAACTGGATATCCCACATGCAGAAGAATGAAATCAGTTTCTTTCTTTCTTTCTCTTTCCTTCCTTCCTTTCCTTCTTTCGTTCTTTCCTTCCTTCCTTCCTTCCTTTCCTTCTTTCCTTCCTTCCTTCCTTCCTTCATTCCTTCTTTCTTTCTTTCTTTCTTCTTATTTATTTATTTATTTTTGAGACAGAGTTTGCTGTGTCACCCAGGCTAGAGTGCAGTGGTGCAATCTCCGCTCACTGCAAGCTCTGGCTCCCAGGTTCACGCCATTCTCCTGCCTCAGCCTCCTGAGTAGCTGGGACTACAGGTGCCCACCACCATGCCCAGCTAATTTTTTGTATTTTAGTAGAGACGGGGTTTCACCATGTTAGCCAGGATGGTCTCGATCTCCTGACCTCGTGATCCTCTGGCCTCGGCCTCCCAAAGTGCTGGAATTACAGGCGTGAGCCACCACATCTGGCCGATCAGCTTTTTCTAATTATAAAGTTGGGAACAGTGCTCTTTCTAGTTCTCTGTATTCTTTTTTTTTTTTGAGACGGAGTCTTGCTCTCTTGCCCAGGCTGGAGTGCAGTGGCACAATCTCAGCTCACTGAAAGCTCCGCCTTCCGGGTTCACACCATTCTCCTGCCTCAGCCTCCCGAGTAGTTGGGACTACAGGTGCCCGCCACCATGCCTGGCTAATTTTTTGTATTTTAGTACAGACAGGGTTTCACCGTGTTAGCCAGGATGATCTCGATCTCCTGACCTCGTGATCCGCCCACCTCAGCCTCCCAAAGTGCTGGGATTACAGGCGTGAGCCACCGCGCCTGGCCTCCAGTTCTCTGTATTCCAAGTGGAAGCTTGCACCTTATCCTAAGAGTGTTAACCTACTTCATCTCTTTCCCCTTGCTTCTCATTATGTACTTAAAATTAATTTAATAAAATATGAGATGCAGCCATGTTAATCTGATCTGTGAGCTTCTCTGCTCTCTAACATCAGTGAGAGTTTGCCTGATAAGTACTTTTAGGTCACCACTGCATCAGTGTAATTTCCCACACAGCCGCTATTTGCTTGGTGTGGACAACACTCCTTCTCCTTGATGAAATTGTTTCCCGAGAGCGTGAGTGCTGCACTGGGGCATATTACTCATGATTTTATAGAGGTATCGAAGAGCAACAACGCTTTCACACACAAACCTTGTGGTGTTAGACAATATGTAAAGCATACATGTATACAAGCATGCACGAAAATGAATATTTTTTTCAGATATAATAAACCATACCTCTGTTTCTAGTTTTCTGGCCCCAGTTTCTTGAAATTAGAGAGGTACAAAAGACCTTAAGATTATTTTTGTTTAAGTTCCTTCTTCAAGAGTTCCAGATTGGTGGAGTGACATGTAAGGCCACAGAGCAGTTAGATCTGGGATCTGCCCTTTGTTCCCTGAGCCCCAGAATGTGGGAGTTTAGAAAATATTTTTAAAACTAAGAAGTCAACTCTAGTAGGAAAATGTCAAAAACATACAGCTTGTTCTTCCGTGAGTAAATGAGTGAATTTTCATTTGGCTACAAGTTTCAAGGAACTTGACCAACCCTATCTTCAGCATGTGTTATCTCATGAAAGTCTAGAGTGGGTGATGGCTTCAGGTATAATTGGTCAACAGTGTCATGGTATTTATCTCTTTCAACTCTGACCTCTTCACATATTGGCTCTTTATCCTTGGGCTTATTACAGGTGGTTACAAGGTGGCTACTGCAGCCCAAGACACTACATCCTCATGTAGCTTTGTTCCAGGAAGTAAGAGGAGGCAGTCCTCCTTGCCTTTATTTTTTTCATGAGGAAGTAAGGTTGTTATTGGGAGTCCCAACATCAAACTTTTTCTTACATGTCTAAGACCAGAAAAGGATCATATGCCCATTCATATATTAATCACTAGGAAAAGGTTTGTGGTTACTACACTTTCCGTAGTCTCTAAACCTAAACTGTGTATAGACCAATCATGGTCTAGTCCTTGGGGCTGGCAGAAGAGCCCATCTCCCAAATGCATGTTGCTTCTTGGGGGTTCTATAATAACAACAAAGACAGGAATAGCCATTGAGTACAGCCAACATTGCCTGACTCAGGGAGGTTCAATAGATGGTATTTTTGCTGCATTAAGAATAATCACAATGGGCCAGGCACGGTGGCTCATGCCTGTAATCCTAGCACTTTGGGAGGCCAAGGTGGGCAGATCACCTGAGGTCGGGAGTTCGAGACCAGCCTGACTAACGTGGAGAAACCCCGTCTGTACTTAAACTACAAAATTAGCTGGGCGTGGTGGTGCATGCCTGTAATCCCAGCTACTCATTATGTGTTTTAAATTAATTAAAGGCTGAGGCAGGAGAATCTCTTGAACCTGGGAGGCGGAGGTTGCGGTGAGCCAAGATCACTCCATTGCAGTCCAGCCTGGGGAACAAGAGCGAAACTCCGTCTCAAAAATAATAATATAATAATCACATTGAAATAAAGCAGAAATAATCAGATTTGGAAAAAAGTAATAATTATTTCTTCAAATTTATGAACTATCTCTAACTATTCAGTTGAGGGTGGTCTTTTACTGTAGCATAGTCCCAGAAATTATACCTGGCTTCTTCACATTGAATATCTTGAGGAGAAAAAAATCAGGTGATGATGTTAAGATTTTCATGTATGATGTGACTGCATTATCGAACATGCCTATGATGCCTTCAAATAAAGCCTGGGAAAAATGAGAAGAATGTAAATTTAAGGTGAAAGGAGTGCTACTATTTTTAATATCAAGAGGTCTTATTCCTTTATGTTAGCTTAATAAAGATTGTCAAAGAAGGTTCTCATTAATTCTCTACGTGTTTATCCTCACAACTTCAAGTAAAAGTAAGACTTGAGTAGAATTACTAAAACACAGCTAGAGAGAAAGGGGAATAAAAGTGCCACAGGCAAAGGTACAGAAATGGTGGAGGGATTTGTCTATTTTCCTGTTGCCCTGTTTTCACATTGGGCTGCCTCCTTCAGGACTTCCAGCATAGATTACATTATTATCACATCGAGGGTTGATTTCAAGTCCTCTATTTACCCTCTGTGACCTTGACCACATGCTTCCAGCCAGAATGTGAGCTTCTCCCTGTACATTTCCATGAGCACCTGACTCATATATCCATTAGTATCACTTTTAATCCAGGTAACCCATATAATTATCCAACTCTGTGTTTGCATCTCCATTATTAAGTTGATTTCTGAAGGAAAGGGACCTCCCTTATTTACCTTTTTATCCTCAGTATCTAAATCAGTCATTAAGAAGTTCAATGCATGTTTGTAAACTGATCCTTAATTAATATCCACCTTGCAATTGTTGTAAGGATTATGTGAGATTGTGTACATGACAGAGTATTGAAAGTGCTTATTAATAGAAAGTGCTTATTAATAGAAAGTGCTTCCCTGAGGTTGGTTATTGTTATTATGGGCTAAATTGGTTTTGGTGGAAGGACCAAGCTAGTAACATGACTTCTATTTATATCAATGATTCTGTGACAAAGTAATGATAGTAGTAATCATTGATGGGCGTTAGATACTTAAATAGCACAATAGCCGGCACAAAGTGCTTTTGGCTATGTTTTCCTGACGTGTACAATTGCCCTTTCTTATGCCACATCTCTGGGCCTCAAAATGTGTATTTCTTTGCTCTAATCTTCATGTTCTGCCCAGAGCTAGTCGGCTGTCTCCTCCCTCAAGGGATGGAAGCCTGCTTCTCTTCCTTCAGACACTGCTGCGGGCCTGCTCTTTGCAGTGCCCATCACCTTAACTGACTGGCTCCAGTGATCCCTTCTTGGGGACGTCATCAGTTATGTCCTGCCTGTGAGACCAGAAACTGTTAGGTGTTGAAATAAATTAAGATTAAGCCAAGACTTTTTTTTGAAGAAATTGGCAGTCTGATCCTAAAATTCATTTGAAGGCTGGGCACGGTGGCTCGTGCCTATAGTACCAGCTACCAGGAGGGTGCAGTGGGAGGATCACCTGAGCCCAGGAGGTCACTGCTGCAGTGAGCTGTGATTGTGCCACTGCACTCCAGCCTGGGTGACAGAGTGACACCCTGTCTAAAAATTAAAAAAAAAAAATTATATAAAATTGCAAGGAACGCAGAGTAGCCAAAATGATTTTGAAAACAAAGAATAAAGTTGAGATCTCACATTTCTTGATTGTAAAACTTATTATAAAGCTACAATAATCAAGACAGTGTGGTACCGGCATAAAGATAGATATGTAGATAAATGAAATAAAGTTGAGAGTCCAGAAATAAGTTCTTATATTTACTGTGAATTGATTTTTGGTGACAGTGTCATGACAATTCAATATGGAAATAATATCTTTGCAACAAATGGGTGCTGGAACAACTGGGTGTCCACAAGCAAAAGAATAAAAGTTGGACCCTTACCTCATACATATACAAAAATTAGTTTAAAATGAATCCAAAACATAAATATAAGAGCTCAAACTATAAAACTATTAGAAGAAAACATATGCATAAACCATAATAACTTTAGGTTTAGGCAATGATTTCTTAGATATTACACCAAAAGCACAAGTAACAAAGTTTTTAAAGATAGAAAAGTTGAACTTCACCAAAATTAAAATCTTTTGTGCTTCAAAGGACACCATCAATAAAGTGAAAAGTCAAACCACAGAATGAGGGAAAGTATTTGTAACTCGTATATCTGACAAAGTAGTTTTATCCAGAATTTATGAATAACTGTTACAACTAGACAGTTAAAACTCAATGTAGTTAAAAAATGGGCAAAGGGGCAGGTCTCAGTGGCTCATGCCTGTAATCCCAGCACGTTGGGAGGCCGAGGCAGGCAGATCACCTGAAGTCAGGAGTTTGAGACCAGCCTGGCCAACTTGGTGAAACCCTGTCTCTACTAAAAATACAAAAAATTAGCCGGGAGTGGTGGCTCACGCCTGTAATCCCAGCTACTTGGGAGGCTGAGGTAGGAGAATCGCTTGAACTGGGGAGGTGGAGGTTGTAGTGAGCTGAGATAACGCTGCTACACTCCAGCCTGGGCAACCAGATCGAAACTCCGTCTCAAAGGAAAAAAAAAGGGCAAAGGATATGGATAGACGTTTCTTCAAAGAAGATACACAAATGGCCAATAAGCACCTGTAGTGCCATGTAACATCATTAATCATTAGAGAAATACAATTCAAAACATAATGGGAGACCATTTCACACCCGCTAGAATGGTTATAATAAAAAAGATGAACAATAAAAAATGTTGGTGAGGATGTAGAGAAGTTAGAAAACACATTTACATTGCTGGTAAGTTTATAAAGTGGTACATCCACTTTGGAAAACATTTTTGCAGTTCCTCAAAATGTTAAACATAGAATTTACCATAAAACACATCCATTCTACTCCTAAGCATATACCCAAGAGAAATGAAAATTAAGTCCATAGAAAAGCTCATACATGAAGCCAGGTACAGTAGAGCATACCTATAGTGCCAGCTACTTGGGAGGCAGAGCACAGGAGGATTGTTGGAGCCCAGGAGCTTGAGGCCAGCCTGGACCACATAGTGAGACCTCACCTCTAAAAATAACGACCAGAAAACACACAGAACCTGCAAGACCCTTCCTATATAAATGTTCATAGCAGCATTATTAGCAATAGCATCAAAATGGAAAAAATCCAAATGTCCATTCAATGCATAAATGGATAAACAGAATGTTGTAAATACATAAAATGGAATATTATTCACCTACGAAAAGGGACGAGGCACTGAAACATGCTACAATAGGAAGGAGCCTTGAAAACATGCTAAACAAAGAGGCCAGTCACAAAAGGCCATGTATTGTATGGTTCAATTTATGTGAATTATCCAAATACATAGAGACACAAACTAGATGAGTGGTTGCCAAGGACCAGGGAGAGGGGGCCGTGGGGTGTGACTCCAGATGGATATATGTGAAATGTTTGAAATGTTTGGGAATTAGATATTGGTAATATTTGCACAATTCTGTAAATATACTAAAACCCACTGAATTGTACACTTTGAGAGGCTAAATTTTATGATATGTGAATTATATCCAAATAAAGTCGTTAGTTAAAAAAAAAAAAAGATTAGGCCAAGATTTCCTTTCACCTCTGTGGCATTAGAATTTGTCCTTCCCACCACTAGCTCTGAAGTGGTGTCGGTACACTCGACTGCCTCACTCTTCAACTTTCCTACATTCCCAGGCTTGATTCTGCGGTTTCTATATACTTTATTGACAAGCTAAATCAGAGTAGATTAATGACATTTTCTTATTAATCAGCAATAATATTTTCAAACTCCTGAATGAAATACACACTATTAAGCTACAGCAGTATGTTTCAATCCATATCTAAGCATTTCATATGTTGATTACATTTGGGATTTTTTTTTTAACAATCAAGGTCACTAGGTTAGATATTTGGAATAAGAGATTCACATGTAATTGTGTTTGCATAAAAACCACCTATTTTTTAAAATATTTTATTTCGATCATTAAAATTCTCTGCACACTGCTACTTCACTACGATTTCCCAAGAGAAGTTTCTCTTTCAAGAAACATAGTATTAAATAGTGAAAAGAAACTTGTTTCTATGTGAAGTGTTTCTTCAAGTTGATTTTAACAATGAAATCTTAAATTTGCTTTATTTCCCCAAACAACTTACCCACCAGGAGACTTGGGGCAAAGTATAATTATGTGGAATTCATTCTTGACATGTTCCTGGAACCCCTATCGCACTGTTCAGCGATACTTATTGCAACAACAGAGAATATAATCTCGCAGTTTTTCTACTGAACAAATGTAATTTGAGCCTGAAATGAATGACACTACACATCATCAGGTGCATGTGAGAAGGCTGTAACCTAAACAGTGAACCTGCTTATAATGCACACTACACTCCTAATTTCTGTTTTGGTCTTCTGAGGCGTGTTGTTAAATCCCTTTCTACATTAAAAACACTCACCACACCCTCCACTTACCTGACAGACTGCAAAACAGTGGAGAATAAAAATTCTGCTTGGATATCATGTCTTCACCGTACACACAGCAGCCACACACAATGATGGTCAGTAATGACTGAAATATGGCACTGAATACAATCCCCTCCATGTGAATTGAATTAATTGATTTATTAGGTGCAAAATAGCCAGGTGGATTTAAGCTAATTAAGAATTTGATTGCTAATTGCCAACAAGGGGCGATTAAAAAAATGAGAAAGTTAAATAAGGGATATGCAAGCCACAGGCTGTCTCTTCCGGCAAGAAGAGCAGTTATAGGAATAGAGTGGTAGTAATTATGGAGTTTGAGGAGCAGTAAAACAGCCTATTCTTTTCATCTTTCTGGGTCCCATGCATGTTTCTAATAATGTCACCTCCTCTTAGTAGTAGACACCCGTAGAAAAATCAGTCAAGACAAAAAAAAACATGTTAAGTATTCTCAAAAAGGTAGACATGAACTGTGAAATAGTAATAAATCAGGATGACTGGCTTAATTAAAAGAAAGATATGGAATAGTGTTTTATTGCATACTTCTATATCCACTTATCCGTTCTGTGCATCCATCCACCCACACATCCATCTGATCATTTATTCAAATTTTGTTGAATACTTTATGTACACTTTTATATCCTGCTTTTTTCTTGATACCGTATATTAAGGATGTCAACACGTTAATAAAAGCATACCATAATCATTTTTTCAACGATGTATTTAGCACTCACTATGTGCTATGAAATGTGTTAAGCATTTCACATGGATAATTACCTTTATCCTAGCAAAAACCAACAGATGAAGAAACTGAAACTTAGACATGTTAAGTAATTTGCCCAAGGACATGAATCTAGTAAGATTCACTGGGGCTCAAACAAAAGCAATCTGTCTCCAGTGCTCTTGGACTTAATGATTTCCCTACACTGCCTTTCCAGAAATCTTTTTAATGGCTATATCATATTTCAGTGTTTGATATGCTATAATTCATGTAACTATTCTTCTATTTTTAGACATCTAGGTTGCTTCCTGTTTTGTTTTTTTGCTACTAAGTACATAGCAAAGTACCTATTGCTGTAATGAGTACATATTGTTGTAATGAGCATATGGATATATAAATGTGTTCACTTCTCTTGTTATTTCTTGGCCATTTGTCTATCTGCTTTGGAGAAATGTCCATTTAGATGTTTTGCCCATTGTAAGATTGGGTTGTCATGTTATTATTGAGTTATAAAACTTCTTTATGTTTTCTACATGCAAGTCTCTTATTGGATATATGGTTTGTGAATATTTTCTCCCATTCTATAAGTTGTCTTTTTACTTTCTTTTTCTTTTCTTTTCTTTTTTTTTTTTTTTGAGACAGAGTCTCGCTCTGTTGCCAGGCTGGAGTGCAGTGGGGCAATCTCGGTTCACCAGAAGCTCCACCTCCTGGGTTCATGCCATTCTCCTCCCTCAGCCTCCCGAGTAGGTGGGACTACAGGCATGTGCCACGAATCCCAGCTAAGTTTTGTATTTTTAGTAGAGATGGGGTTTCACCATGTTGGCCAGATGGTCTCTATCTCTTGACCTTGTGATCTGCTCGCCTCGGCCTCCCAAAATGCTGGGATTACAGGCATGAACCACCACATCTGGCCTTACTTTCTTGATAGTGCCCCTTGAAGCACATCTAAGATTTTTGTTGTTTTGGGTCTTACTTTAAGGACTTTGGTCCATTTTGAGTTAATTTTTGCATATGATATTAGGTAGGGGTTCCAACTTCATTCTTTTGCATGTGAATATCCAGTTGTTCTAGTATCATTTGTTGGAAAGACTATTCTTACTCTATTGAGTAGTGTTGGCACCCTTGTACAAAATCAACTGATCATGGATAGATGGATTTATTTTTGGACTCTCCATTTTATAAAATTGATTTGTATGTTTATCCTTATGCCAGTACCACACTGTCTTGATTATAGTTGCTTTGCAGTAGTTTTAAAATCAGAAAATGTGAGTTTTTCAACTTTGTTCTTGTTTTTCAAGATTGTTTTGGCTATTCTGAGTGTCTTGCATCTTCCTATGAATTTCAGGATCAGGTTATCAATTTATGCAAAAAAGCCAGCTGGTATTTTTATAGGTATTGTTTTGAATCTGTAGATCAATTTAGGAAATATTGCCATCTTAACAATATTAAGTCTTCTAATCCATGAACACGAACTGTTTTTCTTTTAGTGGATCATCTATAGCTTCTTTCAACAATGTTTGGTTATTTCAGAGTATAAATTTTGCAATTCTTTGGTGAAGTTTTCCTAAGTATTTTATTCACACCAATGTTAATGTAAGTGGAATTATTTTCTTAATTTCACTTTTGGATTGTTCATTACAAATGTACAGATATACAATTGATTTTTATATCTGTATTTATTTATATTATATATATATAATATATATTAAAAAGTTTGTGTTTTAGTTCATGGATTGGAAGACTTAATATTGTCAAGATGGCAGTATTTCCGAAATTGATCTACAGATTCAAAACAATATCTAGGAAAATACCAGCTGGATTTTTCTGTACAAATTGATAAACTGGTCCCGAAATTCATGGGAAGATGCAAGACACTCAGAATAGCCAAAACAATCTTGAAAAACAAGAACAAAGTTGAAGGACTCACATTTTCTGATTTTATTTAATTAATTAATTAATTAATTAATTAATGTATTTATGTTTTGAGACAGAGTTTCACTCTTGTCACCCAGGCTGGAGTGCATTGGCACAATCTCGGGTCACTGCAACCTTCGCCTCCCGGGTTCAAGCGATTTTCCTGTCTCAGCCTCCCGAGTAGCTAAGATTAAAGTAAAGGCACCTGCTACCATGCCCAGCTAATTTTTTTTTGTATTTTTTAGTAGACACGGGGTTTCATCATGTTGGCCAGGCTGGTCCTGAACTCCTAACCTCAGGTAATCGACCTGCCTCAGCCTTCCAAAGTGCTGGGATAACAGGCGTTAGCCACCATGTCCGGCCACATTTTCTGATTTTAGAACTTACTACCAAGCCATTATAATCAAGACAGTGTGGTATTGGCATAAGGATAAACATACAAATCAATGTAATAAAATGGAGAGTCCAGATATAAATATCTATATAGCTATAAAAATGAATTATATATCTGTGTTTATTTGAATATAGGTAAATATTTATTCATATCACAATATCACAATCAGTATACAAAAAATATATATATCTTTGTCCCCATTTCTTGGCAAACAACTCCTAAGAACCTTGGAATCTCCAGCGTGCTGTCTTTTTGTATGCTAATGTTGACTAATAGCTTCAGCGTAGGGCTGGTCACTGGAAAGGCAAAGGCGTGATTAGAGGGTTGGGCTTTCAGTCCTATCCCCTAACCTCCAGGGAGAGGATGGGGCTGAAGGTCAAGTTGACCACTAAAGGCCAACGGTTTAATCAATCATGCCTATGTAATGAAGCCTCCATAAAAACCCAGGAGGGCAGGGTTTAAAGAACATCTGGATAGCTGCATGCCTGGAGGTTCCTGGAGGGCAGCATGCCTGGGGAGAGCATGGAAGCTCTGCACCCTTTCCCCATACCTCTCCCTAAGTATCTCTTCATCTGTACCTCTGTAATATCCTTTATAATAAACTGGTAAATGTAAGCAAGTGTTTCCTTGAGTTTTGTGAGCCACTTCAGCAAATTAATTGAACCCAAAGAGGGACTCATGGAAACTCCAACTTGAAGCCAGTCAGTTAGAAGTTCCAGAGGCCCGGACTTGTAACTGATGTCTGGTGAGGCAGGACAGTCTTAGGGACTGAGCCCTCAACTTGTGGGACCTGACACTATCTCCAGGTAGATAGTAATTGTGTTTTTACCATTACTTTTAAATTACATAAGCTGCAATTACTTTTGCACCAGTCTAATAAATTGGAGGACACCCAGCTTGTTTCTGCTTCTTACTGTATGGGGAAAACCCCCCACAAGTTTGGTCATAGAAGCTTTCTGTTTTGGTGATTATTGTTGTGCTGGTGTGAGAGCAGACACTGATATTGCCTCCTGCAACTTTATGAACTTCTGTTAGTTCTAATAATTTTTCAGTTGATTTTTTACGATTGCTTATATATAAGATATCACTTTCAAATAGAGACCATTCTGATTCTTTCTTTCCAATGTGCATGACTTTTATTTCATTTTCTTGTACAATACCCTGGCTAGAACCTCTATTACAATGTTGAACAGGAGTGGCATAAGTGGACATCCTTATCTTCTTCCTAATGTTAGGGGAAAAGCATCCAGTCTTTTTTTTTTTTTTTTGAGCTGGAGTTTCTTTCTTGTTGCCCAGGCTGGAGTGCAATGGCATGATCTCAGCTCACCCTAACCTCTGCCTCCTGGGTTCAAGTGATTCTCCTGCCTCAGCCTCCCAAGTAGCTGGGATTACAGTTGCCTGCCACTACACCTGGCTAATTTTTTATTTTTACCAGAGACGTGGTTTCACCATGTTGGCCAGAATGGTCTCCTGAACTCAGGTGATCTGCCCACCTTGGCCTCCCAAAGTGCTGGGATTATAGGCGTGAGCCACAGCACCCGCCCAATTCAGTCTTTTACCATTAAGAATGAAGTAAGTCGTGAGTCAGATGCCCCTTATCACATTGAGTAAGTCCTTTTCTCTTCCTAGTTTGTTGAGTGTTTTTATCATGAAAAGGTACTGGAGTTTGGCAAATGCTTTTCTGTATTGAGATGATACTGTAGGTTTATGAGGTTTTTAAATCCTGTTGATTGATATATTAATTGATTTTCAAATATTAAGCTGACCTTGCATTCCTGCAACAAATCCCACTTGGTTATGGTGTATAATTCTTTTTATATGTTGCTGGACTCAATTTGCTACTATTTTGTTGAGGATTTTGGTGTCTATATTCATAATAGATTGATCAGTAGCATTTTATGTTATTTTAATGTAATATCTTTGTCTGGTTTTGGTATCGGGGTAATACTGGCCTCATAGAATGAATTGGGAAGTATTCTGTTCTCTTCTAATTTTTGAAAGTGACTATAAATAATTGGTATTACTTCTTTAATTGGTAAAATTAACCTGTGGAGCCTTCTGATTATTTCTTTAGACAAAATATCTGGAAGCAGAATTATTGTGTCAAAGATATAAATGTTTACAAAACTCTTTATATATATTGTTTAATTGCATTTCCTGAGGGGGAGGCAGATGACAATTCATACTTCCACTAGGAATACATGAACTCTCACATAGTTTTGCTCACAGTTGGCTCTCAATAAGTGTATGTTGAACTGAATTTTCTTATTGACTGGTTCTTCCCAACTTTGAAAAACCACACTCACTAGTATATCAATCAAGTACTTTTTCTCAGTACTGTACTTTAAGAAAAAGATAGTATTGGCCGGGCACGGTGGCTCACACCTGTAATCCCAGCACTTTGGGAGGCTGAGGCAGGCGGATCGCGAGGTCAGGAGATCAAGACCGTCCTGGCTAACATGGTGAAACTCCATCTCTACTAAAAATACAAAAAAAAAAAAAAAAAAAAAATTAGCCAGGCGTGGTGGCATGCAACTGTAGTCTCAGGTACTCGGGAAGCTGAGGCAGCAGAATGGCATGAACCCAGGAGGTGGAGCTTGCAGTGAGCCGAGATCACACCACTGCACTCCAGCCTGGGAAACAGAGCGAGACTCCGTCTCAAAAAAAAAAAAAAAAAAGAAAAAGATAGTATCTCTTGCTTATAGTAATTAAAATTTTGTGGGTTTGCTGTATTGATTTCAGGTCAGTCTCAACCACATCTATGTCCAGCATATTTTAGAATTCAACAAGTAATAATGGCCTACATCTGCTTAATACTTTCACACTTTAGAGAATCTTTTCAAGATTTACTATAGTAAGTAATTTTCTTTCTTTCTTTTTTTTTTTTTTTTGAGACAGAATCTCACTCAGCTGCCCAGGCTAGAGTGCAGTGGCGCCACCTCAGTTCACTGTAACCATTATTTCCTAGGTTCAAGCGATTTTGTCATCTCAGCCTCCCAAGTAGCTGGGATTACAGGCACCTGCCATCATGCCCAGCTAACGTTTTTTGTATTTTAGTAGAGACAGAGTTTCACTATGTTGGCCAGGCTGGTCTTGAACTCCTGACCTCAGGTGATCCGCCCGCCTCAGCTTCCCAAAGTGCTAGGATTACAGGTGTGAGCCACTGCACCCAGCCTATAGTAAGTTTTTCTTAGTGAAGAAATGCAGGAAACTTTTTTTTTTTTTTTTAAGAGACGGAGTCTCACTCTGTTGCCCAGGCTGGAGTGCAGTGGCATGATCTTAGCTCACTGCACCCTCTGCCTTCTGGGTTCAAGCGATTCTCCTGCCTCAGCCTCCTGAGTAGCTGGGACTACAGGCATGCGCCACCATGCCCAGCTAATTTTTGTATTGTTAGTAGAGATGGGATTTCCCCATGTTGGCCAGGACGGTCTTGATCTGTTTACCTTGTGATCTGCCCACCTCGGCCTCCCAAAGTGCTGGGATTACAGGCGTGAGCCATCACACCTGGCCCAGAAACTTCTTTATGATATGCTAAGCATGAATCTGGTCACAAGCTAGCTCAGTTTGTTTTGCTGTTGTCATTAACAAAAAGTGATAAAGGATTTATGATTTTAACTATGATAAATATATATTAAAATGCTTGCCAGATTCTTGTATCACGGTTATCATATACAAGAGACTTCATAGTTTCATCACAGCCCTTCACAAGTATTCTGGATTCATTTTCCATATGGATGAACTTACACACCTACAACTATTTAATTCTCATCTTGATTGTATCCTAAGAATTTTCTGATGGATTGAGATTCAGGAAATAAACATAAAATGTGGGCCTTAATTGTAGCATGTAGCAAATCTTAGTTATGTGTCTATAAACTTAAGAGAGTACATCAAGAGGAGAATGACCTCTTGATGTACTCTCTTAATTGAGGAAGGCTCCTCCTCTTCATGAAAGGATGTGGAGCTTGTCACCCACTGTCTACTTAAGTGCAAGGATCATTTTAAACCTGCCAGATCCAGGTTAGTATACTTCTTCTCTCGTCTTGGTTTTAGTACTAAGAAAAACAACTCATAATAATTTAAGACATGTTCTATACAGGTTGATTGCAGTGGAGGTGTAGACAACCAGTTAGGTATATTCTTTAATCGCTCTGTTGCAGAAGCTTGTATTACTTAAAATGGTATTCCAGGCACTAGTCATTCTAAGTCTTGCTTCATTACATTTGAGTGTCTTATTTTCCTTGTCTTTTATTGCCTTCTACTTTGGTGGTTGTTTATAGCCCTGCTGGGCTCACTTGTTTCTTTATTTAAGAGTTCACTGGGTTTGTATCTGATCTTATCTTTAGTGTCACCACCTTCCCACCTCTTGCTGGTTGATTTAATATTCACAGTGACATTACCTCCAACTCTCTTGTGAGTGAATTCACATCCAACTTAGAGCAAAGTACTGCATGAATTATACACGAAACATTGCCAGTGTGAGTGGCAGAAAAGGTTAAATTCTGGATTTATTTTTTTCTGGTGACTGGTTCTTCATCTCTCCCATCCCATTTCTGTGTGTGTCTGTGTGTGTGTGCACATGTGTGATGTTTTAAAGTCCCCTAGGTTTTATTGAAATTTCCTAAACATATACAATTTTCTCCTCTAAACTTTGTTGTTCTTCAGCTTTAGGTACTGAAGGTAAAATTATTTTATATTTATTTTCAAATGTAACTATTGCTGAAGCCTGTGGCTTCCCTTTCACATTTGCTAAAGAGTTCACTGGAGACATGAGCCTGAACCTTTACATCACATGAAAGTTCCAAGCGTATTACAGATGTGCTTACAGTGTGTGTACTTCCCATTTCTTAGCTAAGTTGTTTTGGTTGGAAGTAAGAGAAACTAACTGCTTAAGAAGTAAAGGAAATTTATTGAAAGAATTTGGGAGTATCTCAAAGAACCTAAAGACAGCTGGCCTGCCCAGGGACTAAACCTGGAGAGCCCCCAGGCCTTATGCAGGCATGACTGCTCTGCAATCGTTAGCTCTGCTTCCCCCGCGCACATCTCTGCGGCAGCTCTATCTGATTCTCTGGATACACGATAGAAGAGGCTTGCCCCAAAGTTCCTGAATTTACTCCGTCTCTCTCGTATTTCAGATTTCAGTGAAAATAATTAGCTTGGCCTAGTTTAGATCAAGTGTTCATCTCTGGTCCACATCTGTGCCTGACACCCCGTAGCTCCCTGTGGATATAGATAGATGGGGCAGTTCTCCACTAAAAAGGTGTCATATAAGTTCGACACACACCCTGTAAATTGTTTAGTGTACTGTTTAGGTGCTAGTTTCTCAACTGCAGAAAGTAACTTTATTTATTTATTTATTTATTTATTTATTTATTTATTTATTTATTGAGACGGAGTCTTGCTCTGTCGCCCAGGCTGGAGTGCAGTGGCACGATCCAGGCTCACTGCAAGCTCTGCCTCCCGGGTTCAAGTGATTCTCCTGCCTCAGCCTCCCTAGTAGCTGGGACTACAGACGCCCGCCACCATGCCCGGCTAATTTTTTGTATTTTTAGTAGAGACGGGGTTTCACCGTGTTAGCCAGGATGGTCTCGATTTCCTGACCTCGTGATCTGCCGGCCTCTGCCTCCCAAAGTGCTGGGATTACAGGCGTGAGCCACCGTGCCTGGCCGAAAGTGACTATTTAACAGACAATAAGCGATATCCGTTCTCCTTCAGAAATGTGTATAAGGTCAAAGTTTCGTCAGTATGATGGTGTTTGTTCTCTTCATTGCCTTTCATCTGTCATGT
Source organism: Homo sapiens (assembly GCF_000001405.40). Taxonomy (NCBI): domain Eukaryota; kingdom Metazoa; phylum Chordata; class Mammalia; order Primates; family Hominidae; genus Homo; species Homo sapiens. The sequence continues at coordinate 16,955,723 of NC_000009.12, forward strand.
TCACACTTATTCTCATGGCCTCTTGGGCTCATCCTTTTATTCATTTATATTCCCTATCCAGAAATAAGGCAAATTATAAATCGTTTGCAAAATTTTCTGATTCATTCATTCCTGGATAGCAATAAGTAGAATGAATGGAACTGCCCTAGTGAGATTCAGTTTCATGCTCTTCAAAGTTGATGTGGGTATTATTTCTCCAATAAGCATTCTTAATGTTCTCAATAATACCAGCTGCTGTCATTTTCTTTCAAACGTGGTCTTTAGTGAATTGCATTCCCTGGCTTGTTACAGCACATCTGTGTGACAATGGAATATTTTACATAACTGAAATTTTGAGATAATGTTTCCGGAGATGTATCTATTTAGAATCTGGTGATAGCAAGTTCTATATCTCTATGTAATATGTTGCTAGAACAATGTTTTATATTCACTTATTGATTAACCTTTATTTTATTGAGATCTTAAAATGAACACAGCACCTTATGGGCTGAAAAGGAGTGGAAAATGTTTCCACAGCTGCTTCCAAATTAAAAAATAGGAGACTTTAAGATAAGCATTTGAAAGATAAAGGACATGATATCAACTAAGTCATGGAGTTCAAGGTAGGAGGCCTTCAAAGAGGAGGGGTTCAATGCCATCAAGAAAAGGGTTATGGCATTTGGCAATTAAAGTGACTATCAGAGTGGACTTTAAATAGCTAATTTTAAATTATTTCAAGAGTATATTTTTGCTGTTTTTCCTCTGTTTTGGCCATTGTTTGTATTTAACACTCTCCTTAATACTTTTAAAACACCAATTATTTACCCTATTCGTTAGTGTGTACATTGTATTCATGTGAGTGGGGAGAAGAACTAGGCTCACCCCTGTTATTTGCAGGGCCTGGGGCAAGAGGACAAATGGAGACCCACAGACCATATGTCTAAATATTTAATTTAAAGTTATAAATTAAACTTAAGAAATTATAAGGTAACATTTATTTATTCTAAATGTATTTTACATATAAAATTAAAATGTATTAAATCTTATTAAATTTCTATAAAAATGAAACAATTTTCAATTTTAGCTCCAACGTCCATTTGCTGACAACATAGTCAACATCACACTTCACACATTTAATGTCTAGGCCTATTAGTATACAACTGTAAGAGTAACAGAAATTATTTAATCTTACAAAACTTTCTTCAGTTGTCCTGGCAACTGTAGCAAATATTGTGTACTACATTTGTGGTTATATCCAGAACTCTGTGGTACCATTACATTTAATTCAATAGGAAGCCAGTGTTTAGATGCTTGGCACTAATGGGAAAAGATAGTTCCTTGTGCAACAATCTGTTGAATTCATGCTGTCTCAGAAGGGTTTGACAATTCAAATAATTTGTCTTTTTTTATAAGCATTTTCACCTCTCCAATCCTCCCCGTCTTCTGAAGCTGAGTCCCTCTCTGATGTTGGTGGTGGTACAACCTTCAAACCTTCATGGTATTTGGACACAGTCACCTTTTCTTTCAAAGACATAGGGTAAGAGATGTAGAGAAGCATGTCCCTTGGGCCTGAATGACATTAGTCCCTGGCCAGGGGTTAGAGGGCGGGCAGATATTTATGGTTTCATGCTGGGCAGAGTCAGTGCTACATGAGAGCACCAGTTTCTCTATGTGACATGCCCAGCTGTATTCCAAGCCTAGAATAATGTCAGGTACATAATAGATGCATTTCATTCCAGAAAATAAACATTTATTCCTGGAGGTATGACTAGTGTAGGGTAGTGGTAGCCATTCGGCTGGCAGTATCTTTCAATGCTATGAGTCTTCATTTTTTAAAGTAATAGTTGTTAAATAACTATCCTTCCAGGAATCCTCTTGATCATATTAAGACAACAAAAATGAATAGTTTGAGCACTTTCGTTTAACTCATTTCTTAACTGTGAAACTTTCTCTTTTTTTTTTTTTTTTTTTTGAGATAGGGTCTCACTCTGTCACCAAGGCTGGAATGCAGTGGCATAGTCATGGCTCATTGCAGCCTCGACCTCCTGGGCTCAAACAATCTTCCTGCCTCAGCCTCCCAAGTATCTGGGACTACAGGTGTATACCAACATGCTTGGCTAATTTTTTATTTTTTGTAGAGATAGGGTCTTGCTTTGTTGCCCAGGCTGGTCTTGAACTCCTGGACTCAAGTAATCCTCCTTCCTCAGCTTTCCAAAGCTGGGATTACAGGCTTGAGCCATCACACCGAACAATTGTGATATATTCTTTCCAGATTTATTTTCCCAGGGATCACAAAACATGAGACCCATGGTCCATGTGCTGCTTTGACTCAGGCTGTTGTATTTAGTGATGCTGGTGGCATGCTGCAAGATCCTCAGAAGGGTCTGTGTGCAAGGTGCCACATAAGCACTGTGCTCTGCATATGTAAGTGAGGAGCTGCTCAGTTGTTTCTCTGCAGGGACAACTGTATTGTTTTTAATTGTCTGTTTTAATGGGCCTGAGTAAAATACTTTTCTGTTTTATTTGATCTCCATCCCCTAGTGAGATTTCTCCCTGCCTTCTTCTTACCACTGTGACAGTTTTCTAGTTAGACATTTAGTTCTTTCGACAGGGGCTCTTGATTATCAGTGGCAGTGACTGTTTTTCCATCTACAGGCGTTCAATCCTAGCAGTCCTTAACCTATGGGATCATTTGCAAAAAAGGGTTGAGTTTTGAGCATCTGGGATGAATGAAAGAAATTCCATAAAATAGCAAACAACAACAACAAAATCAGGCACAGGTTTTGGTTAATCAGCCAAATGAATCTGGATTGATTTTTTCCCCAAATGTTTGTAGCAGTGATCATAGCACCCGAGATTAATCCTAGTTTAACCACACCATGCCTCCGCTATATGAATACCATTAACAAATATAGGGCCATATTAGAATGAAATTCGGACTGCAGAATTTTCTGGTAGGAAAAGTATTTGGCTGACATACGATGACATAATGAACACAATCTGGGCTAGAAGGCAGGAGATACGAATTTTAGTGCAACTGTGCCACTGCATGACTGTGTGGGCTTTGTCAAAGCATGTAGTTCCTCATTTGAAAACATTTGCAAGTTGTACTAAGGCACCTACCTCCCTGCTTCTAGCTCTATGACTGCGGACAAAGCATTTGCATCACCTAATATATTTGAAAAAATTGACTGTCTTTTATTTGAAGTTTCAGGTGACTCCACTGAAAAACAAGCCCCTGTGACTCACTTTATCATTGAGACCTGGCTAAGAAATGGGTGTAAGGAAAAAGAGGTAAGCTTTGCAAAATCTTAGGGTAGATTATATTTTCTGCATGTATGTTATTCATACAGCACTTTGCTATTCACATAGGGGGTCTCGTTTTAGAATGACAAAGCTGGGAAGTCCTAAATGAAACTATGAAATCAGTGGAATTGTCTTTGGACTGACCTTTCTGCTACCTGCCCCTTCATGCCCTTTTCCTCCAGTGCCCATGGTCTTCAAGCTGCTTATCCCTGCAGACAGCTGACCCTAGCCCAGCACTCAGGCCTAAAATCCTAAGACTATGCTGTACTTTAGGATCTCCCAAACAAGTCGAATGGCAGCATTTGAGAGTGTTCAGAATTCATCTGCCCCTGTACATGGTTTTGGCAGCTCTGGGCACCTGATCGGGCCTACCCAATCGTAGCACCCAATCCTCCCAGACACAATGAGTGGTTTAGGGATAGCCATGTACACCAAGGTGGGAAAATCAGACTTTTTGGGAACTCTCAGGAAAAAGACAGGCCCTCTTCTCCTTGGGATACCAGCTAGGAGGAAAGTAAGCCTAGGTTGTCCTTAGTCATCCTTGCAGCTATCTGGGAAATTGGCCAGACAATGAAAAGCTATGCAGAGGGACCATCTACCTTAAGGGGTGGAGAATGGTAACTAATTCCTGATGATATTGTTTTAACCCTGGAACAGCTATGACTGAAACTTGATTGATTCCTTAAAATCCCCAGTTATGTGATTCTATAAATGGCTATGCAATCTGAGTTTTTCACTTGCATACAAACATTCCTGATACAATTTTTTCAATTCACTTCACTCTCATAATTGATTTATTTTTAATTGCCCTTTTTACATCCCAAAGGAAATTCCATTGTGATTTCTTTTTCCCTCCACAGTTCCCCTCCTGCTTCTCCCTCTGTTTACAGGCACTTCTGTCCCTACGGTTATACGATGGTGCCTTAATCCCTTTCCCTCCCTTTCTCTCCACCACCAATCCTCCAATCTCATCATCATCAACTCTGCTATTAAAACACCTCATGGACCCATCTCTCAATTGGTCCTTCTTCCTTCTCCGCATTTTCTATACTTCGGCCAGTCCTGAAGACGTGGGGGTGTTTCAGCATCCTCTCTACTCTGCCTCAGTCCAAAGGAAGGAGGATGCATCTGATCATCTAGTACTGCCTTCTCTAGTTCTTACCCAACGGAGAAGGAGTGGCTGTTCTGATGAGTCAGAGCACACTCTTTGGGGGCATGTTTTGCTTATGGAACAAGTGACTACCTAAACTCTACCCTCTCTCTTATCCAGGGCCTACAGGCCATGTGCCCTCTTTTGGGTTTCCCCATGCTCCATTTGTCAGCTGACTTGGGCAGTGTGTGCCTCTTTGAGGAAGGTGACTGCTCTGGGCACACCCTTTGTTCTGTGCCTCCACCTATATGTAACTGGGTGAGTCATCTGGGTCTGTTCTGTGGACCCGGCCATTGCAGAGTCAGTGACTAGGAGCTGAAAGTCTCACGTGGGGTTTGAAGTTTAAAAATGGGGCTTCCAGCCAATGGACTGGCAGAAAACCCCAACATGAGGTGAGGAGATGTTGCGTTAGCAGCTATTAATAATCAATATCTGGCTAGGCGCGGTGGTTCACACCTGTAATCCCAGCACTTTGGGAGGCCAAGGTGGGTGGATCACGAGGTCAAGAGATTGACACCATCCTGGCCAACAAGGTGAAACCCTGTCTCTACTAAAAATACAAAAATTAGCTGAGAGTGGTGATGCGAGCCTGCAGTCCCAGCTACTTGGGAGGCTGAGGCAGGAGAATCACTTGAACCCAGGAGGCAGAGGTTGCAGTGAGCCAAGATCGCGCCATTGCACTCCAGCCTGGCAACAGAGCGAGACTCCGTATCAAATAAATAAATAATCAATATTTTTATGTATCTTCTTCAGTCAGAATCCCAAAAGTAAGAGGAGTTGTAGGATTATTCAGGAGCACAAATTGATAACAACACCCCTCCTTGAAACCTTTGGTTATTTCTATTACTCAGGATCAGCTCTAAGCTTACTTGCATGTTGTTAAATATCAGCACAACCTGCTTCTCTGAACATACCTCCCACTCCTCCCCATGCACAGTCTATCCCATAATGACATTGAGTACTTTCCATTTCTCATCATGCCAGACACTTCCATGCTTGTGTTTCTGATACTTTTCTCCACTCTACCTTGGCTCCTTTCCTCACGATTCTATCCTTTCTTATTTTTCAAGGACCACTTTGAGATGCCAACTCTTTCATGAAGTTTTTCCCAGGCTTTTTTTCCGCCCCCCCCCACCCACAGGTTTTTTGTTTTTGTTTTTGTTTTTGTTTTTAAGACAAGGTCTTGGTCTGTCACCCAGCCTGGAGAGCAATGGCGTTATCACAGCTCACTGCAGCCTCAAACTCCTGAGCTCAAGGGATCCTCCTGCCTCAGCCTCTTGAGTAGCTTGAACTACAGGCACCTGCCTCCATGACCAGCTAATTTAAAAATTTTTGGTAGAGACAGTCTCCCTCTATTGCCAAGGCTGGTCTCAAGGTCCTGGCTTCAAGTGATCCTCCCGCCTTGGCCTTTCAAAGTGTTGGGATTACAGGCGTGAGCTACTGCGCCCAGCCTCCAAGTCTTACAAAAATAATCCCTTTAGGTGGTATGGCACTTTGTTCTTACTTTCCTTAAGTTATACTCATGTTCTCTATTGTCTTACAGTTGTCAGTGTGCATGTCAATTTTTCATACAAGAATATAAGTTCTGTGAGGATATGAATTATATTATTCCTATTTTTACTGCCTCACTCGTGCTACAACAGAGCCTTGCATAAAATAGGTGTTTAATATAAAATGTTCTCTCAGCAATCCAATGGAAAACTGAGTTGGCTGTGGGGGTTGGTGTATGTTGGTTTTGTCCAAGATTCCTAGCCAATTATTTTCCTGTAGTTGAGTCCCTGACTGCCTCTCCTGTTTTACCTACACCCTCACTCAGCCCTAATGTCTCACCCTCAAGCCCCACAGAACTACATACAGCTGCCTGAAATTGCAATAATATTTCATGACACTGTGCTTTCATTAGCATTGTCTTGAGTGTTTTTCTTATTGCTTTCAGCTTGTCAGTCCCCCATTAATCCTTCAACACGGTTTACATGTTACCTTCTTTCAAAGCTTTTCCTGACCCCCTTACTACTCACCCTCTACTATCCATCCTGGAAGAACTGGCCCCTCTTCTCTCTGCCCTGTAGACTTAGCATAGACTGCTTTCACAGCACATATGTTGTTTCATAATTTCCCATTTTTACTCCTATCTCCTTCCTTTTATTATTATTGTATCATAACTACTTGAGGTCAGGTCCCTTGCCTCTCTCATCTGTGGTTCTCAACTGCCCCAAAGTTTGAGACATATGTCTTGCTTTGTATTATATTTAGAGACTTCTCCATAGCCACAAGAATGTAAAGTCTTTGAAGGCAAGGAGTATGGATTTTTTTTTTTTTTTTTTTTTTTTTTTTGAGATGGAGTCTCACTCTGTCGCCCAGGCTGGAGTGCAGTGGTGCGATCTCGGCTCACTGCAAGCTCCGCCTCCCGCGTTCACGCCATTCTCCTGCCTCAGCTTCCTCAGTAGCTGGGACCACAGACGTCCGCCACCACGCCTGGCTAATTTTTTGTATTTTTAGTAGAGATGGGGTTTCCTCGTGTTAGCCAGGATGATCTCGATCTCCTGACCTCGTGATCTGCCCGCCTCGGCCTCCCAAAGTGCTGGGATTACAGGCGTGAGCCGCCGTGCCCGGCCTTTTTTTTTTTTAAACTTTTATTAAGTTCAGGGGTACAAGGGCAGGTTTGTTACGTAAGTAAACTTATGTCATGGGAGTTTGTTGTATAGATTATTTCATCACCCAGGTATAAGCCTAGTACCCGTTAGTGATTTTTCCTTATCCTCTCCCTCCTCCCACCCTCCACACTCCAATAGACCCCAGTGTGTGTTGTTCCCCTCTATGTGTCCATGTGTTCTCATCATTTAGCTCCCACTTATAAGTGAGAACATGTGGTATTTGGTTTTCTGTTCCTGTGTTAGTTTGCTCAGGATAATGGCCTCGAGCTCCATCCACATTCCTGCAAAGGACGTGATCTCATTCCTTTTTATGGCTGCATAGTATTCCATGGGGTGTATATATCACATTTTCTTTATTCAGTCTATCACTGATGGGCATTTAGCTTGATTCCATGTTTTTGCTATTGTGAGAAGTGCTGTAATGAGCATTTGTGTGCATATGACTTTATAATAGAAGGATTTATATTCCTTTGGTTATATACCAAGTAATGGGATTACTGGGTGAAATGGTATTTCTGGTTTTAGATTCTTGGGGAATCACCACACTGTCTTCCACAATGGTTGAACTAATTTACACTCCCACCAACAATGTGTAAGCATTCCTTTTTCTCCACAACCTCGCTAGCAACTGTTATGTTTTGACTTTTTAATTATAGCCATCCTGACTGGTGTAAGATGGCATCTTGTAGTTTTGATTTGCATTTCTCTAATGGTCAGTGCTATTGAGCTTTTTTCCATATGATTGTTGGCCACATGTATGTCTTCTTTTGAAAAGTGTCTGTTCATGTTCTTTGCCCACTTTTTTATGGGATTGTTTGTTTTCTTCTTGTAAATTTGTTTAAGTAAGGAGTATGTTTAATTTATATTTGTACTACTTTGCTTCTATTCAGTCAACATTTTCAGTATGAGCAAATAAAGAACAATTTCCATACTCAGGCCAGGTGAGCCTTGAAATCATGGAAACTGGCTCATTTATGCCAACATAGTAATTCCCAGTGCTTACTTACCTGGCATTGGCCTGGCATCTTTGCTTCAAGGAAGAGACTCATTTAGATTCCACCTGTTTCCCCATCCCCTTTCTATTAATCTTCTATACTTTTTCAAGTTGTCAGGAGAAATATTTTAAAAGGACCCCAGTCGGGAGGGGAGGTGTGGGCAAATTTTCATCCTCGGACTTTCTTCCAGCTGCCTCTGGTTCATTTCACTTTTCACATCGTCTGGCCTTCTTCCCTTCCTGGCCCTGCCTTGGCTTCTGCGGCTTGACTCCTGTGTTCAGCCTGGTCCTCTAATATGCGTACTCTCGTTTCGACCAGCCACCACCCATCCAATTTTCTGTCCTTCAGCTTCACAACACAGCCATGTGTAAGAGGTGCCCTTTCCACATATGCCACCATGGTCCCAAGGAGCCCATTCAGGTCTTGCTCAGCCCTCGCCTGACTCTCGCTCAAAAGAGAAAAATAAGTCCGTCAGAGCTCTGAATTCCCACTGTGAGGCCTCCACTCACTGCAAAGTAGCATTCCCACCTGATTAGTCACTTGAATTGGATTTCATGAGTAGGATGGAGGCATTGGTTTCATGTTGCACTGTAACATGGGTTACAGTGTAAGATGGGTTAACTTTATTAAACATATTGGTATGTTGTAAATATGTATGACTCCTTAGAAACCATCAGTTCGCCAAGTCATACTGAGTCATTCTTCTGGAGGAGAGCTGAGGGGTTAATTAAAAACAGCTGCATCTAGGCCGGGCACGGTGGCTCACGCCTGTAATCCCAGCACTCTGAGAGGCCGAGGCAGGCAGATCGCGAGGCCAGGAGACCGAGACCATCCTGGCTAATACGGTGAAACCCCGTCTCTACTAAAAAATACAAAAAATTAGCCGGGCGTGGTGGCGGGCGCCCGTAGTCCCAGCTAATCAGGAGGCTGAGGCAGGAGAATGGCGTGAACCCGGGAGGTGGAGCTTGCAGTGAGCCGAGATTGTGCCACCGCATTCCAGCCTGGGTGATAGAGCGAGACTCCTTCTCAAGACAAACAAACAAACAAACAAAAAACAAAAACCAAAAACCAAAACAGCTGCATCTAATCATGCACTAGCATGATATACTTCCTTCTTGGACAGCACAGGTAAGACAGAACTCACAAAACAAAAAGGAGGCCTTCCATGGAGACGGGAGTTCTCCAGAAGGAAGATGAGCTCTAGTAGAGTATGACTATCTGAGAATCAGAAAAGAATCGGACCAAGCAATTGGCCATAGTTAAGTACAAAAGTTGTCCTAATGTGGCATTAAACAAGAAGAAAATATTGAGATTAAAGACAAAAAGCATGATTAGTTATATAAAGTATGAACAGTGTGCCTTTTCTGTTTAAATTCTTTCTTTCTTTCTATGACTTGGTATTGCTTATGTTATCCACATTTTAAAGTTAATTTAAAAATAGTGTGCATTAACTGAAGTTAAAATTATGAGTTTCTTTTCTTTTTCTTTTCTCTTTTTTTTTTTTTTTTTTTGAGACAGAGTCTCACTCTGTTGCCCAGGCTGAAGTGCAGTGGTGCGATCTCGGCTCACTGCAACCTCTGCCTCCCAGGTTCAAGCGATTCTCCCACCTCAGCCTCCCGAGTAGCTGAGATTACAGGCATGCACCACCATGCCCAGCTAATTTTTTATGTTTAGTAGAGACGGGGTTTACCTATGTTGGTCAGGCTGGTCTCGAACTCCTGACCTCAGGTGATCCACCTGAGTGCTGGGATTATAGGCGTGAGCCACCGCGCCCAGCCTATTTTCTTAAACAATTTTTTTAAATTAATCTTTTATTTTATTGTGGTTAGAACATTAAATAGGAGATCTACCTTCTTAACAAATTTTAAGTGTACAATATATTATTATTGACCATAGGTATGGTGTTGTACAGCAGATCTCTAGAGCTTACTTAACTGAAACTTGATGGGTGTTAATTAATAACTCTCCATTTCCCAGTGCCCCATCCCCTAGTAACTACCATTTCAGTCTTTGATTTTCTGAATTTCACTATTTCAGATACCTCATGTAAGTGGAATCAGGCAGTATTTGTCTTTCTGTTTCTGACTTACTTTGCTTAGCATAATGTCCTCAAGGTCTATCAATGTTGTTGCACATTGTAGAATTTCCTTCTTTTTTTTTTGGAGACGGAATCTTGCTCTGTTGCCCAGGCTGGAGTGCAGTGGTGCCATCTCAGCTCACTGCAACCTCCACCTCCGAGGTTCAAGCGATTCTCCTGCCTCAGCCCCCCGAGTAGCTAGGACTACAGGCGCACACCGCCAACCCTGGCTGATTTTTTGTATTCTAGTAGAGATGGGGTTTCGCCATGTTGCCCAGGCTGGTCTCCAACTCCTGAGCTCAGGCAGTCCTTCCGCCTCGGCCTTCCAAAGTGCTTGGATTACAGGTGTGAGCCACTGCGCGCCTGGCCGAATTTCCTTCTTTTTTAAGACTGAATAGTATTCCATTGTTCATATATGCTCCTTTTTTTTTTTTTTTTTTTTTTTTTGAGATGGAGTCTCGCTCTGTCCCCCAGGCTGGAGTGCAGTGGCACGATCTTGGCTCACTGCAAGCTCTGCCTCCGAGGTTCACGCCATTCTCCTGCCTCAGCCTCCTGAGTAGCTGGGACTACAGGTGCCTGCCACCACGCCCGGCTAATTATTTTGTATTTTTAGTAGAGACGGGGTTTCACCGTGTTACCCAAGATGGTCTCGATCTCCTGACCTCGTGATCCGCCCACCTCGGCCTCCCAAAGTGCTGGGATTACAGGCGTGAGCCACTGCACCTGGCCTATATATACTACATTTTTAAAACCATCCACCTGCTGATGGACATTTAGGTTGTTTCTACACTTTAGCCATTGTGAACAGTGCTGCAATGAACATGAGGGTGCTAATGTCTCTTCAAGATCCTGATTTCAATTCTTTTGGGTATATACACAGAAGGGGGATTGCTGGATTACACAGTAGTTCTATTTTTAATTTTTTGAGAAACTACCATACCATCTTCCATAGCAGCTGCACTACTTTGCATTCCTACCAACAGTGTGCAAGGGTTCCAATTTCTCTACATCCTTGCCAACACTTGTCGTTTGTTTTTTTTGTTTGTTTGTGTGAGACAAGGTCTTGCTCTGTTGTGCAGGCTGGAGTGCAGTGGTCCCATCAAAGCTCGCTGCAGCCCCAACCTCCTGGGCTCATGCTATCCTCCCACCTTAGCCTCCTGAATAACTGGGTCCACAGGCGCACACCACTATGCCTGGCTAATTTTTTTTTTGTTGTTTTTTGTAGAGACAAGGTCTCACTATATTGCCCAGGCTGGTCTTAAACTCCTGAGCTCAAGCAATCCTCCTGCCTCAGCCTCCTAAAGTGCTGTGATTACAAGGGTAAGCCACCATCCCCAGCCTGTCCTTTGTCTTTTTTAAAAAAATTATAATAACCATCCTAACAAGGGCGAGGTGATAAGCTTAGGCTTTTCACGTCATATTTATAAAATCATTGTCAAGACTGGTGTCTTGAAGCTTTTCTTCTGTTTTCTTCTAGGAGTTTCATAGATTCAGGTTTTAAGTCTTTAATCCATTTTGAGTTGATTTTTGTGTATGGAGTAAGTCCAATTTCATCCTTTTACATGTGGATATCCACTTTTCTCAGTACCATTTGTTGAAGAGACTGTCCTTTTCCTAGGTGTATACTCTTGGTACCCTTGTCAAAGATCAATTGATTGTGTATGTACGTGGTTTATTTCTGGACTCTATTTCCTTATGCCTTTGTGTATAAACAACAGGGATCTATTACTTCTTTTTTTTTTTTTTTTTTTTTTTTTTGAGATGGAGTCTCGATCTGTTGCCAGGCTGGAGTGCAGTGGCATGATCTTGGCTCACTGCAACCTCTCCCTCCCGGGTTCAAGCAATTCTCCTGCCTCAGCCTCCTGAGTAGCTGGGAATGTAGGTTCGTGCCACCACTCTCAGCTAATTTTTTGTATTTTAGTGGAGCTGGGGTTTCACCATATTGGCTAGGATGGTCTCAATCTCTTGAACTTGTGATCTGCCCGCCTTGGCCTTCCAAAGGCATCTATTACTTCTACGAGTAGAAAACTAAATTTAGTAATTTTATTTGCCATCATATCAGAATATAAATCTGTATTGCTTTGCTATTTTTGTTTTTCATCCACAAAGTGTTAAGTTCCTATGCTTCACTATAATATCCAAACAATGAAAGTATACATGGTTTTCTTTTCCTTTTTTTTTTTTTTTTTTTTAAGAGACAGAGTATCGCTCTCTCGCCCAGGCTGGAGTGCAGTGGCGCCATCTCGGCTCACTGCAAGCTTTGCCTCCCAGGTTCACACCATTCTCCTGCCTCAGCCCCCTGAGTAGCTGGGACTGCAGGCGCCCGCCACAATGCCCGGCCAATTTTTTGTATTTTTAGTAGAGATGGGGTTTCACCGTGTTAGCCAGGATGGTCTTGATCTCCTGACCTTGTGATCCGCCCGCCTCGGCCTCCCAAAGTGCTGGGATTACAGGCGTGAGCCACTGTGCCCGGCTGAAACTATATACGGTTTTCTTTACAGCTTCCCCTGTAGCTTAAGCTGCATCATCTACTGCTTGTTGCTAAGGGAAGCCAAGTCAGGCTGTTCATGTTTATGTGATTATTGACTGAACCAAAGTTTATCTCATTTGCGGACTGCCAGGTGACCCATAAAATCATAGCACTTTGTTGAGGGAGGTCCCTGTCTCACTGAAGTAGCTAGTTGCTAGTATTTCTGTCAGATTTTGGACCAGAAAATATGGTGAGAATTTTCTAGCTTGGGATGAAAGAAAAATGGAAGATTCATGCAAAGGGAAATAGAGACTGTATGGTCAAGAGAGAGCTGAGACATCTAGATTTGCCTTGATTATTTGCAACCTTCCTAACAGTAAGTGATACGTAAGGCGGTCTAATGAAATCTGTTTCTTGCAATCAAGAGAGTCTACTAGTTCCTTGCTGCTCAAAGTGTGGTCCACAGACCAGTAGCATTGGCAGCATCTGGATGCTTGTTGGAAAAGCTTGTCTTAGATCCCACTCCAGGCCTATTGTATCAGAAGCTGCATTTCAGCAAGGTCCCCAGGTAATTTACATGCACATTAAAGTTTGAGAAGCTCCATTCTAGTATACCTAGTGTAGCAGACTTCTGTTATTTTTCCATGTCCATTCTCTCCTACTTCCATAACAATAGAATATCAACTGGTCACACGGGTGAGTTCCCAGCTCCACATTTAGGTACCTCCCCTCCAGCTGAGTGAGACTACATTCTGGCCAATGGGATTGAAGGAGTGATGGGAGCTACTTCCAAGTCTTGTCTTTAAAATAATTAGATCTTTCCTAGCTGTGAGATGGGGAGAACTGCGGCAACCACTTTGGACCCATAGGTAGGAGTCAGAAGTTGAGGATGTCATGGCCACCTACTAGCCACGAGTAGGCTGCCCACCTACCTCTGGACTGTTATTTAAGAGAGGAACAAACATCTTTCTTGTTTCAGTCATTGTAAATTGGGATGTCTTTAGCTCAGCAGCTCAACATGTACACTAACAAATAGACTAAAATGAACAGAGCTAGATGAGCAAGGGGACAAAGTGTGATTCACAGATCTCAGAATCAAATATTTAACTCATTAATAGTGCTGGAAGCAGCATTGCATCTCTCTGCTCATGTCGCCTACGTTGAAATGGGCATGAAGTGATTAAAAAGCAAACCCCTAGTGGGAGTAGAAATGCAGCTCAGAAATAACCATAGAATCATTGGTTTTTGATTAATGGGCAAAGATTGTCTGATATTGATTCTCACACAGAGGTTGTTTCTTTCTTTCCTAAAAAAGCTGAGCATCAATAAACCTTTATTCAGCCAAGATCAGTTGGGTTTTCAGGATGTGTAGGATGCATATTCCATATAATCCGTTCAATTTACATAATCCCAACTTCTAGATTTAGATAAATCTCCAGCTTTGCAAATCAGAACAGAAATAAAATTTATAATTTATAAGGTTTTTTCTTTTTTTTTTTTGGGACAGAGTCTCAACTCTATCACCCACATGTAATCTTGGCTCACTGCAACCTCTGCCTCCCAGGTTCAAGCAATTCCCATGCCTCAGCCTCCCGGGTAGCTGGGACTACAGGCCTGCACCACCACACCCAGCTGATTTTTGTATTTTTAGTAGAGACAGGCTTTCACCATGTTGGCCAGGCTAGTCTCGAAATCCTGGCCTCAAGTGATCTGCCCCCCTCAGCCTCCCAAAGTGTTGGAATTACAGGGGTGAGCCACCATGCACAAAGTTTATTTTTAGAAATATGAACTTCTGGCCAGGCACAGTGGCTCACTCCTGTAATCCCTGCACTTTGGGAGGCTGAGGTGGGCGGATCACCTGAGGTTAGGAGTTCGAGACCAACCTGGCCAACATGATGAAACCCTGTCTCTACTAAAAACACAAAAAATTAGCTAGGCATAGTGGGAGCGCCTGTAATCCAAGCTACTCGGGAGGCCTGAGGCAGGAGAATCACTTGATCCCAAGAGGCGGAGGTTGCAGTGAGCTGAGATGGCACCACTCCACTCCAGGTTGGGCAACAAGAGCAAAACTCCATTTCAAAAAAAAAAAGAACTTCTAGCAATGTTCGTCAGAGAATTTGCAGTAACTCATGACTCTACTATGTTATAAGGAAATAACCAAATCCATGTGTGACTTGGAGCATTTTGAGACACAGAATTGCTGAACTACTTGGAACCAGGATGACCAAACAGAAACTCATACCAATCCAGGGATGGAGATATTTTCTTAATCATTCTTGGCTAAAAGTTTTATTAATGCCTTAGTGTAGAGTTGTAAGAGGTAAAATACCAGATGCATAATACTGGATGTATAATTATTATACATCTTAATTGTACTTTGTGCTGTTTTTACAGTTATGTTTAGGGACATTGTCAAGAATAGGCAGACACATTAACTAGCACCCATTACTGACTGGGGTGTAAGCAAGTCTCAGCCCTGTTTCTTTGGTACACAAAACTCCCTTGTCTCTACTGCAAGTGCCTGTTGAAGTTGGAGCCAGAGAATACTGAAAAGGAAATGATAACTGTGATTTATCCCCTTTTCTGGATCCTTTCTGAGGCTGAGCACTCCGTGAAAAATCTCACCTGCCAAAGAATACCTGGCCTTTGTCTCTATATTCTATTCTCTCCTGTGTCACCTTCCTATTTTCAATTTCTCATTCTTTCTCTTTGTCAAGGTTTCTTTAATAGTGCCCTGAACCTTTGGGAGTAAACTCAGTCATCTTTTCTCCTCTAGATAGGGTGATTTTATTGCCTTTTTTCTGAGTTCTCAGGTATGAAGATGA
The DNA here is from genome assembly GCF_000001405.40 of Homo sapiens. Classification (NCBI taxonomy): domain Eukaryota; kingdom Metazoa; phylum Chordata; class Mammalia; order Primates; family Hominidae; genus Homo; species Homo sapiens. The sequence goes on from NC_000009.12 coordinate 16,971,179, forward strand.
GACCAGTTTATGACTAAAACAGATTGAAGGTTATTTTAAATACTTATTACTTAGTACCCTTGTCCAAAATCAAACTCATTTATTATTGCTTTTATTTCTAATTTGAGAGCAATTTTTATCCTGTCTTTGAACTATTGGCCAAGATACTACAACAATAAGAAGTAACCACTGTATCACACTTCACAGTTTATAAAATGCTTTTCAGGCCAGGCCTAGTGGCTCACACCCTTAATCCCAGCACTTTGGGAGGCTGAGGTGGGAGGATTGCTTGAGTTCAGGAATTCGAGGCCAGCCTGGGCAGCACAGAAAGACCCCATCTCTAAAAAAAAAAAAATCAGCCCACCATAATGGCACATGCCTGTGGTCCCAGCCACTTGGGAGACTGGGGTGCAAGGGTAGCTTGAACCGAGGAGGTTGAGACTGGAGTGAGCCATGATTGCAACACTGCACTCCAGCCTGGCCAACAGACCAAGACCCTCAGTAAAAAAATAAAAATAATAAAAATTAAAATAAAATGCTTTTCATATACCTTCCTTTTGAATTCTCAAAGCTGCCCTGTGAGACAAGTATTATTGTTATTACTCTTTTTTACAGGTGTGTAAATTGAGACTTTAGACGGCTAATTTGCTCAAGACACAAAGCTAGAGACTCAGGTGGTTTTATCTCAATTCAAGCTCTGTTACCATGTTTAATATGATCATGATGACTACCATTATCACCACTGATATGGTTAGGCTTTGTGTCCCCACCCAAATCTCATCTTGAATTGTAATCCTCATTGATATGGTTTGGCTGTGTCCCTGCCCTAATCGCAACTTGAATTATATCTCCCAGAATTCCCACATGTTGTGGGAGGGACCCAGGGCGAGGTAATTGAATCATAGAGCCAGTCTTTCCTGTGCTAGTCTCATGATAGCGAGTAAGTCTCATGAGATCCGATGGGTTTATCAGGAGTTTCTACTTTTGCTTCTTTCTCATATTCTTTTGCCACCACCATGTAAGAAGTGCCTTTTGCCTCCAGCCATGATTCTGAGGCCTCCTCAGCCATGTGGGACTGTAAGTCCAATTAAACCTCTTTTTCTTCCCAGTCTTGAGCGTGTCTTTATCAGCAGTGTGAAAACGGACTAATACACCCATAATCCCCACATGTCAAGGGAGAGACTAGGTGTAAGTAATTGGATCATGGAAGTGATTTCCCCCATGCTGTTCTCGTGATAATGAGTGAGTTCTCATGAGATCTGATGGTTTTTGTTTTTTTTTGTTTTTTTTTTGAGACAGAGTCTTGCTCTGTCCCCCAGGCTGGGGTGCAGTGGCATGATCTTGGCTCACTGCAACCTCTGCCTCCCATGTTCAAGCGATTCTCCTGCCTCAGCCTCCTGAGTAGCTAGGATTACAGGCACGCGCTACCAAGCCTGGCTAATTTTTTTTTTGTATTTTTAGTAGAGACAGGGTTTCACTATGTTGGTCAGACTGGTCTCGAACTCCTTACCTCGTGATCCACCCACTTCAGCCTTCAAAGTGCTGGGTTTACAGGCTTGAGCCACCGTGCCCAGCCGAGATCTGATGGTTTTATAAGGGGCTCTTCCCCCTTCATTTGGCACTTCTCCTTCCTGCTGCCTTGTGAAAAAGGTGCCTTGCTTCCTCTTTGCCTTCCACCATGATTGTAAGTTTCCTGAGGCCTCCCCAGCCATGCTGAACTGTAAGTCAATTAAATCTCTTCCTTTATAAATTACCCAGTCTCAGGGAGTTCTTTATAGCAGTATGAAAACGGACTAATACAACCACCATCATCATGGCAGCCATCAGTTACTCAGTTCCTACTCTGTTACTAAGAAGACGGTTAATTATGTCATATCGTTTAATCTTTAAAATATTCCTGTGGTCCTTTATCAATTAGGAAAGCTTTCAGCTTTGAGTTCCATAAAACCCAAATAACTGTGGCTTAAACAAACTGAGTGATCCACTCTCCTCAACCTCCCAGAAGCAGAAGTCCTATCATTGGTTCAGTGACTCAGGGGTGTCAGGGCTCTAGGTCAAGTCTCTTGGCCTTCCATTCATGGTTTTATAAAGACCACCATAGCCCAGAGTATTGTGCCATCACATGACTACATTTAAAAGTGAGAATCAGGACAAAACTCGTCTTCTCCCATGCCTTTCCCTTCTCGAGGAAGCTCCTCAGCTGACTCTTCCTTTTCATCTCATCTCAATTCAGCCATGCTCCTGCTTAGGCCAGCACTGGGCCCATCTTCCTTGTGATCAAGGAGTCTCCATCTAGGAACTAAACAAAACCTAGGTCTCACTAAGGGTCTCACTGCATAAAGGTGCCCAGCAGAGGCCAGAATCAGTCCACACTCTGTACAGCCCACACCTTAAGCTGTGGGACCTGGCTGTGTCAGTCTAGAGGAAGGGGTAGCATTTTGCAATTTGTCTGCCTATTGGGCCACATTTTTGCAAATCATATCAAAGCCCAGGACCTGCTAGGAATAGCCCTGGTTAGTGAAGAAGACAGTGGTGGGGTTTGGCATTTTAGGAAGCATGCAATGGTGTCTGCCACTGGAAGTTATGAATAGTCCATTTGAAAGATGAGGAAATCAAGTCTTGAGGAAATTAAATAAATAAATTTGCCAAGGTGACACAGTTGCCAACTCACAAAGTAAAAGTTGCAAATGAGCTTTGGCTGACTCTGAGGCCTGGAGTCCCATCAGTCATCTGGTTTTTTTTTTAAGCCTAATATCGGCTCTGCAAATTGATACAGACTCACAATCCTAAAAGCTACACAAAATTGATTTTTGAAGGAACTAGTTTCCTGATGAACAAAAATGGAGAACTGATCAATCTACTGACATGACTACTTTTAGAGGCTTCCAAGGTGTCATTAGTTATAAATGGGGCAAAGGATACTGAACATGATACATATTGGTAAAAATTCTTCAAGGCTTTTAGCCTTTCCTGACTTGTAAGGAGAATCATCCTGTCAGAAGAATTAGGAATTCTAACTCTAGTTGCCAAATCTATCAACAATTTCCTTTGTGACAATCTATATTCACTTACCTACATTTTTTCCTCAGGCTAATAATTTATGTCAGTTGGAGCTCAGTGTTTTATGAACCAAGGGTGAAATTATTAAATTTTATTGTTTGTGATTCTTTCCTTAAGTTATATTTCTATAATTGCAAACTTACTGCATTCCCTAACCTCTATTTTGAATTTATTACTAGCCTTCTTACTGCCTTTTCAGATCTCAGAAGTAAACTTCAAATATTTACAAATCTCAATTTCATGTTTTCCCTTTCATAAATCTGTGGGCAAATTCGGTGCTGGAGACAGAGAGTAATAAATCTGGATATTTATGTATTGTGCCAGGAGGCGCTGCACAAACTTCCCTGCATAGCTTGGTCAATGAGCCTCAGTCTTGACCTGTAACACTGGCTCTAGTCTAATCCGGAGGCTCATATTAACAGAATCATTATAAAACATCTGGTGACTTGTATATACAAAAACCCTTCCCTCAGTCATAATTTGCAATCAGGCAAGTTTAGTGGGCACATATGTTCTCCATGTTAGCAAAGGAAAGTGCATCAGTGGTGTTTATTAACGTTTATTATATCTGTCTTTAAAGATATGGACATAGCGATGACCTACCCTAGTTTTAAGGTTATGACCAAACCTGCAAATGATATGAAAATCTATTATTTTTGAAGATCTCTCATTCCACGCATATTTGATGTGCTACAAAAAATGAAGTATAAACGTTCTAGAAGAAAACACTGTGGAATTAAAAAACAATTTTACAGTAGAGAAGGCCTTACTTAAACATGACACAAAATCCAGAAGCCATAAATGAAAGGTTGCTAAAATTGACCATGTAAAAATTTAACGTTTATGTGACAACAACATCCAAAACAAAGTCAAAGACAGATGACAAACTGAGGAAAAATATATGCATCCCATATATACAAGGGCTATTTTTAATATGCAGATCTTATAAATGAAGATGAAAAAGATAAATTACTCAATTATAAAAGCAGATAAAAAACCCAAGTAGGAAGTTTACAGATAAACTAATACAAGCAGTAAAAGCACACACACACACACACACACACACACACACACACACACACACACACAAACCAAGTTTAGGCCAGGCGCAGTGGCTCACGCCTGTAATCCCAGCACTTTGGGAGGCAGAGGCAGGTGGATCACTTCAGGCCAGGAGTTCGAGACCAGCCTGGCCAACATGGCAAAACCCCATTTTTACTTGAAATACAAAAATTACAGGTGCCTACCTGTAATCCCAGCTACTAGGGAGGCTGAGGCACAAGAATTGTGTGAACTGGGGAGGCAGAGGTTGCAGTGAGCCAAGATTGGACCACTGCACTCCAGCCTGGGCAACAGAGTAAGACCGTGTCTCAAAAAAAAAAAAAAAAGTTTAACATAATTTATAATTCAAGAAATAAGGATCAGAACAAGAAAATTTCAACTATTCCATTAGCAAAAATTAGAAAGTTTTAATGAAACCCACTGTTGGCAAAGGTGTGAGCAAAAGCCCCTTCATATATTGTTGGTGGGAGGATAAATTAGTGAAGCCATTTTAAAGGGCACTTTGGTAGAATCTTTTGAAATGTAACATACACTTGTGTCCTTTGACTTGGGAACTCCCCTTATAAAATTCTAATTTTCTTGCCTTTTGTACAAAGATATATGTGTTTGAGTGCTCTTTTTCGCATTGTTTTTACTTTCAAAAAGTTGTAAACACCTCTTTGGTTTTTTTTTGTTTTTTTTTTTTTTTTGAGATGGAGTCTCACTCTGTCACCAGGCTGGAGTGCAGTGGCACTTTTTTGGCTCACTGCAACCTCTGCCTCCCGGATTCAAGCGATTCTCCTGCCTCGGCCTCCCGAGTAGCTGGGACTACAGGCATGCACCACCACACCCGGCTAATTTTTGTATTTTTAGTAGAGACAGAGTTTCACCATGTTGGCCAGGATGGTCTCCATCTCTTGACCTCGTGATCCGCCCACCTCAGCCTCCCAAAGTCCTGGGATTACAGGTGTGAGCCACTGCATCCAGCCTGTAAACACCTCTTATGTGCACCAACTGTACATGTCTACAATGGAAAGTAGGAATGTATGTAGCTCTTTAAAAAGATTATTAGCTCTGTATGCTCAAGACTAGAAATGACTTCTGTAAAATTTCTTCAAAATAAAACTATATAAAGCTTCATTTTTTAAACCAAAAATAAAATGTAGAGGAAATTCTCTATAATCATTGATTATCTGAATATTTATTATTTGGGTCCTCATAGCAACAAGATTGAGAATAAAGTAAAAGCCATCACAACATGAAAATATACACGAAATAACTAGTCATTCAAATCTTCCTTGCTATCTATCTCTGCCCATCAGACGACCAGAACAGCTCAAATCATACACATAACAATTGTTTGTTAGTTTTAGTCTAATCAGCAATTAAAGAAGCCAAAAACATTAACAATGATGACAAGGGAGGCATTTCAAAACAAAATAATGTGAATGTCAAATCATTTTATTTATTTATTTTTATTTTTATTTTATTTTTATTTTTTTTATTGATCATTCTTGGGTGTTTCTCGCAGAGGGGGATTTGGCAGGGTCAGAGGACAAGAGTGGACGGAAGGTCAGCAGATAAACAAGTGAACAAAGGTCTCCGGTTTTCCTAGGCAGAGGACCCTGCGGCCTTCCGCAGTGTTTGTGTCCCTGGGTACTTGAGATTAGGGAGTGGTGATGACTCTTAAGGAGCATGCTGCCTTCAAGCATCTGTTTAACAAAGCACATCTTGCACCGCCCTTAATCCATTTAACCCTGAGTGGACACAGCACATGTTTCAGAGAGCACAGGGTTGGGGGTAAGGTCACCGATCAACAGGATCCCAAGGCAGAAGAATTTTTCTTAGTACAGAACAAAATGAAAAGTCTCCCATGTCTACTTCTTTCTACACAGACACGGCAACCATCCGATTTCTCAATCTTTTCCCCACCTTTCCCGCCTTTCTATTCCACAAAACCGCCACTGTCATCATAGCCGGTTCTCAATGAGCTGTTGGGCACACCTCCCAGACGGGGTGGTGGCCGGGCAGAGGGGCTCCTCACATCCCAGTAGGGGCGGCCGGGCAGAGGCGCCCCTCACCTCCCGGACGGGGCGGCTGGCCGGGCGGGGGGCTGACCCCCCCACCTCCCTCTCGGACGGGGCGGCTGGCCGGGCAGAGGGGCTCCTCACTTCCCAGTAGGGGCGGCCGGGCAGAGGCGCCCCTCACCTGCCGGACGGGGTGGCTGGCCGGGCGGGGGGCTGATCCCCCCACCTCCCTCCCGGACGGGGCGGCTGGCCGGGTGGGCCGGGAGGAGACACTCCTCACTTCCCAGACGGGGTGGCTGCTGGGCGGAGGGGCTCCTCACTTCTCAGACGGGGCGGTTGCCAGGCAGAGGCTCTCCTCACTTCTCAGACGGGGCGGCCGGGCAGAGACGCTCCTCACATCCCGGACGGGGCGGCAGGGCAGAGGTGCTCCCCACATCTCAGACGATGGGCGGCCGCGCAGAGACGCTCCTCACTTCCCAGATGTGATGGCGGCCGGGAAGAGGCGCTCCTCACTTCCTAGATAGGATGGCGGCCGGGCAGAGACGCTCCTCACTTTCCAGACTGGGCAGCCAGGCAGAGGGGCTCCTCACATCCCAGACGCTGGGCGGCCAGGCGGAGACGCTCCTCACTTCCCATACGGGGTGGCGGCCGGGCAGAGGCTGCAATCTCGGCACTTTGGGAGGCCAAGGCAGGCAGCTGGGAGGTGGAGGTTGTAGCGAGCCGAGATCACGCCACTGCACTCCAGCCTGGGCACCATTGAGCACTGAGTGAACGAGACTCCGTCTGCAATCCCGGCACCTCGGGAGGCCGAGGCTGGCGGATCACTCGCGGTTAAGAGCTGGAGACCAGCCCAGCCAACACAGCGAATCCCCGTCTCCACCAAAAAAATACGAAAACCAGTCAGGCGTGGCGGTGCGCGCCTGCAATCGCAGGCACTTGGCAAGCTGAGGCAGGAGAATCAGGCAGGGAGGTTGCAGTGAGCCCAGATGGCAGCAGTACTGTCCAGCTTCGGCTTGGCATCAGAGGGAGACTGTGGAAAGAGAGGGAGAGGGAGACCGTGGGGAGAGGGAGAGGGAGAGGGAGAGCGTCAAATCATTTTAAACTAGATCCTTGGGAAAGCTAGAATAAAGCCCAGAAATAGTTTTGTACAAATGACTGTCCTTAAGATAATGCTGTGAAAATTAAATGTGAATGGAAAGATATTATATTGAGCTATCATATGATTTGGAGTGGGGAAGGACCCAAACCTTCACCCCCACCTACACTTGATTTCTTCTTCTAACAAATGGCACATGGTTGCTATTAAAATACAAATTTTTTTTAAAATGAGAAATTTATTTTTCTTTTCTTTCTTTTTTTTTTTTTTTTTTGGTTTTTAAAAAAATTAAATCCCAGGCCGGGCATGGTGGCTCATGCCTGTAATCCCAGCACTTTGGGAGGCTGAGGCGGACAGATCACCTGAGGTCAGGAGTTCAACACAAGCCTGGCCAACATGGCGAGACCCCATCTCTATTAAAAAATACAAAAATTAGCTGGGCGTGGTGGCGGGCACCTGTAATCCCAGCTACTTGGGAGGCTGAGGCAGGAGAATTGCTTGAATTCAGGAGGTGGAAGTTGCAGTGAGCTGAGATCACAGCACTTCACTCCAGCCTGGGCGACACAGCGAAGCTCCATTTCAGAAAATAAAAAATAAAAAGAATTAAATCCCAACAAAAACATTTTCTCACTCTTAACTATATTTTGGTCTCAGTTTACAAAAACTCTTTTTCAACTGCTGTTACCTTGATATAACCTCTTGCATATCCATAAGTGAATAGAGCAGGCCAAATTGTTTCCTCCTGCTTGGGTTAAAGTTTTAAAATTATATACATATAAAAATATAAAAAATTTTAAAAAGAAACAACAAAAAAATTATACATGTATAATTACAGATGTATGTGTGTTTGCATATATATAAGACATTCCTGGTAGGACACACAGTAAACTATTCATGGCAGTACCTCTGGTGAGAGAATCATTGAGAATTTCAGGATCAAGAAGGAGACATTTACATTTTACTATTAATTCTTTGTATAATTTTTGAATCTTTGAATGCGAGCACATATTAATTCTATAATTTTAAAAAATCTACCTAACAAAATTAATGAATAAATTAACAGAATCAAAAGGAAATAACTAACTCTATCAATAGGTGTTTTCAATCATTGTTGAAGATTATCTTATTGTTTAGTAACAAATTATACAGGGTGAACAATAAAGCAAATATTTCACCAAAAACAATCCTGTACCTTTAATGAAAACTCTCCCTCACTGTGAGGCCAGGGCCAATCATCCACACACAAGTGTCTTAAACCACAGTTAAATTTATAAGAGGGGCCGGGTGTGGTGTCTCATGCCTGTAATCCCAGCACTTTTGGAGGCTGAGGCAGGCAGATCACATGAGCTCAGGAGTTCGAGACCAGCCTGGCCAACACGGTGAAACCCCGTCTCTACTAAAAATACAAAAAATTAGCCTGGCATGGTGCTGCACACCTGTAGTCCCAGCTACTCAGGAGGCTGAGGTAGCAAAATCACTTGAACCTGGGAGATGGAGCTTGTAGTGAGCTGAGATCGCACTCCAGCCTGGGTGACAGAGCAAGACTCCTTCTCAAAAAAATAAATAAATAAAAATTAATTTATAAGGGGATTCACACCACTATGTTTCTTTCCCCTAGTCTCTCATTTCCAGCATCTCATAAATTAGGCATCTAAACTTCCCAATGAAACTGATGGTTGCAATTAAAATCTCAATTTTGTTTAAAATATGAAATTTCCGTGAAAACGTTTCTTAGCTGAGCACAGTTGCTCAGGCTTGTAAAATCCTAGCACTTTGGGAGGCCAAGGTGGAAGGATTGCTTTAGGCCGGGAGTACAAGACCAGCCTGCACAATATAGTGAGACCTGATCTCTAACAAATAAACTAAATAAATAAAATGCTAAGAAAAAGAAAATGTTTCTCTTCCAGAGTGAATTAGGTACATTTTAGAATTTCCTCAACTATTTCTAGATGTGTAAACAAGTCTATGTAGAGGTCAAGGTCAAGAAAACATACTACTTAAACTTTGGAGGACCCTTTGTCTTTCTTAGAAATCTTGTCTTTCTTGCACTTTCCTTTGTCTTTCTCTTTCCCTTTCTATCCTCACTCCTGAGAGAGGTGCATGGTTTGGCATCCCTGGTCTTGCTATCCATCTCAGCCCCCAGGTCCCTGAGTTAGTCTCGAACGTGAGCAGCCCTTGTTATCTACTCCAGGTTGTAAGCTTACAGGGCTGCAGTTGTTCCCTATGGTCTACTTAGCTAATTGGTAGTAATAAATAACATTTATTGAATGCTTGCTATGTACTAGGCATGGTGCTGAGGGCTTTTCTCAAGATGGATTCTCAAAATCATTCTCATTTTGCAGATGAGGAAACTGCAAAAATAACGTGATTCTGATCCGGAAGACACAACTGCACAAACTCTAAAAGCATCCCTCATCTAACCTGTCCATCAGCAAATCCTGTCTAAAATCCAACCATTTCTTGGTACCTTCCCTGCTGCCACCGTAGACACTGCCAGCACCATCTCTTGCCTGGGTTATTACAAGGGAAGGGCCTCCAGCTGGTCTTCTTTCTTGTTCCCTTACCCCATTCTTAAAAATCTTTAAAATGTGAGCTAGAGCATATCACTCCTCTGTTTCCCATCTTACCTGAAAGACAAACAAAGTGCGTAATGGCTCGAAGGCCCTACACCATCTGACTCTACCCCTCTGAAATCAACTACTACTATTGGTCCCTTGGTTGACTCCACTTTACCCACACTACTTTTACAACTCCTGATTTCTGAATTTTAGAAAACAAACTAATTCCATTTCAGTGATGCTCAAATGACTTTAGTTTTTAAATAGATAGGGATTAAATGTTGCACTATGAATTTGTTTACTGTCTACCCCCAGTAGGATGTCAACTCTAAAAGGTCAGAAACTATTTGTTTTGTTCACTAGTATTTCCAGTGTCTAGAACAGTGCCTGGTACATAGTCTGTGTTCAAAAATATTTGTTCTATCTATGAGTGAATGAGTGGGGAAAAAAGCCCACATACTTTGGAATTAGATATAACTGGGTTCAAATTTCAGCTTCATCAACTATTATATGTATGTTCCTTTATAATGTTTTCCCTTTTCAGCTGGGCATGGTGGCTACGCCTGTAATTCCAGCATTTTGGGAGGCTGAAGGAGGTGGATCGCTTGAGATCAGGAGTTCGAGACCAGCCTGGCCAACATGGTGAAACCCCGTCTCTACTAAAAATACAAAAATTAGCCAGGTGTGATGGTGCGCACCTGTAGTCCCAGCTACTGGGGAGGCTGAGGCATGAGAATTGCTTGAACCCAGGAGGCCGAAGTTGCGGTGAGTTGAGATGGTGCCACTGCACTCCAACCTGGGCGACAGAGTGAGAACTCCACCTCAAAAAACAAATAAACAAAAAAAAAGTTTTCCCTTTTCTGAATATCAGTTTCACCTTGCACAGAATTGGAATAGAGATAGCAATTTTATACATTTTGGGAAATGTTTAATGATATCACAGATATTGTGTGCCTGGTATAGGTTTTGATAAATTTTAACTATTTCTAGCCCCTTCTCTCCTCTTCCAGTTTCTCTGCAAGGGAGGTAGGGAGAAATGAATATTAAAAGTCAAATTGGTATTCGCTGAAGTCATTTAATAAATGTTTCTTGAGCATCTACTTTGTTACAGACTAGAGATACAAAGATGAATGAGTTAGTATTCACATCCTCAAGGAACTCATTTTAGTATAATGATTATTAAACCAAGAATAATAAGATATGCATAAATAAAAATTTCTCCTCATAGAGCATGAAAATATCAATCCTGCACTTACCACTATTCTCCCTTGTACCTGAAAAAATTATTACTTTAATATTCTTAGTTTTTATATTTTTTAATTATACTTTAAATATATAGCTAAACATTTAGACAAACACAACAATCTATATCCATTCAGGTTTAATTAGTGTCATTGAATTTTTCAGGTTTCTTTATTCTTCCTAGTGATATCATATTAAATTTGCAGTTTTAAAACAAATACTATAAAAACAGTATGAAAGAAGTTTATTTTTAGGACTGTTGAATGATTTTTTTAATGAACAAATGAGAAAGAGTGTTTTCATATAGCATGCGTTAAGGAAAAAATTATCCATTTGAAAAAACTTTTATTTTTAATTTACCACTCAATGTTCATTAAACAGAGAATTGTTGTGGATCTGTGCACGGTTCAGAAAAGTGAATATCAATGAAATATAGCACACACAACAGTTGAATGGTCCCTAAATTGTTATTACTATCATTTCAATTATTTATGCAGTAAACTGTATAATATAACAATAACATTAAAAGATGAATACAGACCTTAGCTCCCTGATGTGCTACTTCTTCCTCCAAATCATATTTACAATTAACCAGAAGTTGGAATTCCAAGTCTTATTGAGAAATAGTTCACTTGCTTTTGAATTGTACCAGCTTCTTCTCCGAGTCTCCCTACTGAACTCCATGTCTGATGAAACATTTATTTGAACAAACAAAATACATATGTACAAATAAATACAAGTGTCAGGAGCTGACATACGAATGCAAACACATGTCTTTCCCCAGGCCCACTATGACACCGTGACAGGCTAAAGAGCCTTTTGAATGGAAACTACATAAAGCATCAAGCCCCTGAAAAGAATGACCAGACAAAAGTGCCACAATCAATTGAATGTCTTTAGGAGATACACTTTTCTTTTAAAAAGCGTGACGCTTTGATGACTCAGTGGCAGGACAGGTGACAAAGGAATGGCTGCCTGGAGGCTGTGCATGGCAGGAGGAGACACCACAGTCTTCCCGCCCTGCCACCCGTCCCTGCCGCCTGACTGTGGAAGGATGAAGGACACTTTTAGAAATTTCCCTGCGCGGAGATGCCAGGAAACCAATCATCGCCCAGCCACTTTGTGGGGCCATTAGCAGAGCGTCAAACTCCATCTTTGTTTAAACGAAAGCACAAAGAAAATAATTTTTCATCTGAGGAATCACCTTAAGATCCCCAAATGGAAAGTAAGGGGAGCAGTAAACCTCTCACTCCGGGTGGGCAGCTCTAACACAGGGCATTAAGGTAAGAAGGTTATTTATGACAGAAGAAAGGAGACAGGATTCCAAAGTGGGAGACGAAGGACAGAGGTGATTGGAGCCTAGCTTTATCCCCTGCCCCATTCAAATGCGGAGGGCAATGACTTCCATAAGAAACCAGGTGCCACACGTGACCCAAAGGCAAAAGCCTCACTTTAACTCCTTGATATGGTCTGGCTGTGTTCCCACCCAAAATCTCATCTGGAATTGTAGTCCCCATAATCCCTGTGTGTGTCAAGGGCAGAACCAGGTGGAGGTAATCGGATCATGGGGGCGTTTCCCCCATGCTGTTCTCGTGATAGTGAGTGAGTCTCACGAGATCTGATGGTTTAATAAGCGTCTGGCATTTCCCCTGCTGGCACTCATTCTTTCTCCTGCTGTCCTGCGAAGAGGTGCCTTCTGCCATGATTGTTAGTTCCTGAGGCCTCCCCAGCCATGCGAACTGTGAGTCAATTAAACTTGTTTTCTTTATAAATCACCCCGTCTCAGGTATTTCTTCATAGCAGCATGAGAATGGACTAATAGGCTCCTCTTCCAGGTAAGTTAGGCAGAGTACGTTTCCTCCACAAAACAAAAGATGGTTGCCTCAGAATGCCTCCTAACTTTGCCTGCAAGAAGCCTGCAGTAAGACCTTTTCTTAGGGCCAGTCTGAAGGCCACACCCTCCCCTTATCCCCTAATTTTGGATGCAAAAGGTCTCCCTGAGACTTCAGGTGAAGAGGATTTGACTTTGGAATCTGGGATTCACTTTTCAGACTGACCTTCTGCTATATTTTGTTTTGCTTCTCTGGGATTTCAAGCTTGAGAATAGAGTAAGGAAAAAAGTTCTGTGTTCTCCTTTGGGAAATTATTTTCCCTGGTCCCCTTGGTCAGAGGGTAGCAGGTAAGTCTTGATGGGATTGTTCTGTGTTTCCAGGCTTCCCTCTGGAATTAATCTCAGAGGCATGGAAGGGAGCCTGATGGACTCTTCTGGGCTGTGTCCCAGTCAGGAAGCGAGATCTTTCTAATTCCCAGACAGGCCAGCGCTTTCTGCTGAACAGAGGCCTGCTAGACCCTGAGTAGGGGAAGCCCAGGCTGCTTCTGAGGCAAATGATGACCTTAATCATTTTCAGAGGTATGGTTTTCACCTGGGAAGGGACGTGAGACGGCAACAAGGCATTCAGTGAATATTTATGAGTGAGCGGAAAAAACTCTTTCCTCCTGTACGTGGCAGAAAGGGTAGCTGGAAGCTGTGCCAATGTAGGAGACCAGGAATTCCTAGCCTGGGAGGAAGGAAGGGCAGGGATGCAAAGGGACAGAGGGAGAAGAGGAAGCAAATTCCAGCCAGGCTGGCTCTCCTAGGAGGAGTGGCAGTGATGAAACCCTCTTCTTTAGACTCTGTCTTAGAGAAGGATGGGGCCCGAAGAGGTTTCCTCTTTCAGCAAGTGTTGGGGTGTGTGTGTGTGTGCGGGGATTTAATCAGGGGATCTACGAGCACATTCACAGACCCTTAGCTACTAGTGCTGCCCAATTCCAAGCATGTTTAGCTTTAAGTACCTCTTGTCTGGTAATCCAGGGCCAGATATCTGGAGGTGGGAACTGGCTGCCATAGCCTGTTGCTCCCCACAAGGATGAGGACAAGGGCTCCACTGGGCACCTTTCCTAGGCATGGCCAGGGTTGTTATAAAGCATAGGGTGGGAGGGTGGTTGTGGCTTTCTGTGGTATAGCTACTGATCAATGTAGCATTTGATTGATCCATTTTCTCCAGAGGAGAAGGGAGTGTGGTGGGAAAATCCTGAGGCTGAGGAGGTGGATACTTACAGGTCCTGGTCCAACTGACTGGGATCTTAGGATCACTCCCTTCTCCAACCTGAGTGGTTCCCCGCCTTTTTTTTTTTTTTTTTTTTTTTTTTGAGATGTAGTCCCACCCTGTTGCCCAGGCTGGAGTGCGGTGGCATGATCTCGACTCACTGCAAGCTCCGCCTCCCGGGTTCACGCCATTCTCCTGCCTCAGCCTCCAGAGTAGCTGAGACTACAGGCACCTGCCACCACGCCTGGCTAATTTTTTGTATTTTTAGTAGAGATGGGGTTTCACCGTGTTAACCAGGACAGTCTCGATCTCCTGACCTCGTGATCTGCCTGCCTCGGCCTCCCAGAGTGCTGGGATTACAGGCGTGAGCCACCATGCCTGGCCAACATTTTTTTTTTTTTTTTTTTTAATTACAGAATCATCTGACAAAGGAACTCTTTTAAGGAGCCTTAACATATCAAAAGATCAAGGCAGAGCCGCCCTCATTGAAGGGTTTGGAGGACCTGGAGCTTACCCTCTTCTCTCCTTCCCTGACTGGGAGGAAGGATGGGGTGGGGGCAGGGGTGGGGAGTCCTCGGAGCAGTGTGCAATCTTTAAATCTCATGATTAAAAATATCTTCCTTCTGGAGTGCTGGTATTGATGACTGGCAAATTTGGGAGTGGAAGGAGAATGAAGGAAAAAGGGAGGGAGAAAACCACCCTTATACATTTAGGACTCACAGGGCAGGAGTCCCAGACTGGGAGAAAGTCTGGACGTTTCAGCAGAGTTCAGTGTGCTGTGTCACTGTTTGTCTTGGCCTTTTTCGGCTGTGAGCAGCAGCAGCGTAAATGAATGTGCTTCATTTCCTCAGCAACAAGACTGGGTCACACATGTCCCCTCCCCTGGTGAGCAACCCAAGGAGTGAGTGGGGTGTCATGGTGTTGCCAGGGACAGGCTGACAGTAGTACCAAATTAGGAAAAGGACCGACTGAGGATGCCTGGCCAATCTGCATCCCCAATGCTCAGCCAGCAAAATCAGTGGAAGTGTGTGTAATTCTGCGGAGACTAGGATGGCATGTGCTCCGCCAGCAATGCAGGAAAAAGGATAATCAAGCGGGACATGGTTCTTGAATAAGTGTAAAGCTAAACATCATCAAAATGCTGCAACACAATACGAGGGGCTGGAAGTGGTTAGTATTGTGATTACAGAGAGGGCATCAGTATAGGATGTCATTTCTCACAAAGATCCAGGAAAATGTCTAGCATTCATTTTTATAAACAAAGCATAGCACACTGGAGTTATTTCTTATTTCAAACGTATAGTCATACTACCTTTATTTAGAACATGGGCGAGGGGATTGGAATGGTATATAAATCCAGGACAAGACTTGGTATGTAAGTTCCTCCTCAAAAAAGCAAAACGCAAGGCCTATTCTAAACAAATCCAGGGCAATTCAGCTCTGAAGCATTGTTAATCTTTTCATTAAAGGTACAGTCACTATGTTCCAAATCCTTCTTCCAAAGATCAGATCCAGATTTTCCAGCTAATGAAACAATGAAGTCATTTCTACAAAAACCAGAAGAGAGACATTAGAAAAATATTGCAGACTAGATCATTACGGTTGCAGAGACCAATAGATTTGAGTGGGACACATACACACTCACACAGGGGCATGTAAACTGTAGTCCCTATGAGGCAAATCTTAGAAGCTAAAGTGATATGTTAGACTGTGAATAAAAGACAACATGAATCAAATATGTCATCTGCAGCCACCCTCTCCTCCTGCTGCTGCTCCACAGTAGAGCTTTGTGAGTGTGAGTGTGTGTGTGTGGGTGCGTGTGCATGTGTGTGTGTTTCCTTTCAGTTCCTGGCATCAGTTTAAGAACCACAGTTGTGGCTTGTGACTGTGCCTCAGCATGCCAATCCAGGGTGTTGCTGTTTAGAGTAGTTAGCCTATTGGGAACAAAAGGTATTTGATCTTCTCTCTTCTCCTTAAGCTCAAGCTACCTAAATGTGGCTTGGCTTTGTGGTGAGACACATGCTGAACTGCTGGAAAGGGCAGAGCTTAAAATATATGGGTGCCAGTTCATTGTTGGCGACCACACTTTCCCTTGTGGTAAAAATCTTACAGACAAGCATGAGCCTACATTTCCAAATGCATGTTCCCTTTGAATTAGTTCCCTAAAGTGGAAGGTCGGGGGAAGAATATACTGGGGAGGCCTGTGTCATAAAAACTCAGGGCCTGCCCTCTTTCTGCATTTCTGCCGTGGAGTGTGCTAGCCTGTGAGTAGTGGGGGAAAGGAATAAAACATTTCTACTCACGGAAACATGCGGGGTGGTAGGGAGGGAGAAGGAAAGCATGTTGCCAATGTATATTTTTGGCACGGGCAAATACTTCTTGGTGAAGTTCTAAACGCTAGATTTAGAAATCCCCTGGCCTTTTTGAGTTGTGTCGGGGCCTTTTTCACACACACTGATGAAAACTACACTCACCTTAATGCCAAAAAACCCTTGAGAATTTCCTGTGCCATTGGGCACATTCTGTGAGTAGAAGGAATGTGGAATTAGAGGGGGAAATTGACTTCACTGATGACCTCCAGAAGAACTGAATGGTACAGGAAAAAAGTGTTTCACTGATTTAGTGCCTATCTCAAGAGAAAAAGGAGACTTTACAGCTATTCATCACCAATCATTATGCAAGTGTATAATATGTATCATATGTAAGTGTATCATGGTTTCCTGGAAGTACACTGGCTTCAGGTTATGTAAGTATCAAAAGGTGAGTGGTTGGTTGTAGTTTCAATGGCAAACCAGTGGCAAGAAGTGTTATTTTTCTTACTGGCCTTGCCTGTAGCTGTGAAGATTCGGATATGGGATCAAGTGGAGTAAATTGGTGGACCAGTTTGCCTTTAGAGGCTCTTAGCCAGTAGTGGCACTAAGCCCCCACAAACATCCATCAACAAGCATTCAATCCAAGGAGAAACACTCTGCTTCCTCTGCAATGCAGCTTCAAAATAACTCCCCTAAACCCCTTTCTCTCCAACCAGCTTTTGGTACCTTTCTATATAGACATTCTGCCACCAAAACTGATCTTGCACTTGGCAAAAATGATGCCTCCTCATCAAACTGCAGTGGGAAAGAGATGGGTTTCTGTTGTTATTGTACAAATCAGCGTCCTGACAGAAAACAGATGGCAGACTCCATGTAGGTAACATGAAGGGACTGTTTACAAAGGTGTTTGCAGGTTGGAAGGAAACCATGAGAGGTAGTGCCGCATCCCAAGGCTACTAACAAAGGTGAGCTCCTCTAACCTGGAAAGGTGAGGAGGACCAGGTATTGGAACTGAAGGGACATAACTGTGAAGAGGCTCACCTGACTTGAGATGCAAACTTCAGTGAGCCTGGAAGTGAGTCCAAGAAGGAAGTGGTGAGAATGAACACACTGACCTCACTCTCCTTCCTCCTCATATCCTGCTGGTGCTCGTCAGCGGCCAAACCTAATGGGAAACCTAGATCAGTGATACAGTCATATAGATCAGCCTCCCAAGGCATAGGCAGCATGAGGAGGATGGAAAGTGGATCTGGGGGGCAAATAAGTGCTGTCCAGCATTGATAAGCCTGGCTTCAAATCTTGTTTCTTTCCGATTAGCTGATGACTTTTGGCAAGTGATTTAATTACTCTCAGCCTTTCCTCTGAGGAGACAGTCACTTAGATACCATTTCTGTTCCACAGCCTCCGTCTCCTTTCCAACTCCAATAAAAGGGGATTGTTAATGTTATGATTTCTCAAAAGCAGGAAGACTTTAAATGACATTCACATTTATCCTACTTACCCAAATGTTTTAACTCAATAATGTACAGTTTAATGCTTAATAATTTCATGTTTGTTATTTATTGTGACTACAAAATTTTTAGCAGCTTTACCGAGATACAACTTACATGCAATAAACTACACATGCTTAAAGTATAAAATTTGTTGTTTTGATATATGTAGACACCCGTAACACTATCACCACATCAAGATAATAAACAACACCTCAAAAGTTTCCTCATGCCTCACTGTAATCCCTTCCTCTTCCTTCCTCATTCCTCTTCATCATCCATTGATATGCCTTCTGTCACTATGCACTGGTGTATTAATCAGGCTTCTCTAGAGGGACAGAACTAATAGGACATGGGAGTTTATTAAGGTGCATTAACTTACACGATCACAAGTTCCCACAATAGGCTGTCTGCAAGCTGAGGAGCAAGGAAGCCAGTCTGAATCCTAAAACTGAAGAACTTGGAGTCCAATGTTTGAGGGCAGGAAACATCCAGCATGGGAGAAAGATGTAGGCTGGGAGGCTACGCTCTTCTCTCTCTCTGTCCATGTTTTTCTGCCTGTTTTATATTCATTGGCAGCTGATTAGATTTTGCCCACCAGCTTAAGGGTGGATCTGCCTACCCCAGTCCACTGACTCAAATGTTAATCTCTTTTGGCAACACCCTCACAGACACACCCAGGATCAATGCTTTGTATCCTTCAATCCAATCAAGTTGACACTCAGTATTAACCAACACATTTGGGTTGCATTTATTAAAAGTTTTTAGAAAAATAATCATATGTATTCTTATTTAAAATCTGGTTTCTTTCCCTCAGCATAATTATTTTATGATTTATCCATGTTGTAGCATGCATCAATATTTTATTCTTTTATAAAACTGAGTTACTCTATTCTGTGACTATACCACAGTTTATCCATTTGCTTGTCTATGCAGATGTTGATGGATGGACATCTGGGGTTTTCCAGTTTTTGGCTCTCATGAATAAAGCTCATCTGAACATTTGTAGGGACATATGTTTTCATATCTCTTGGGTAAATAACTAGGAACAGAATGGCTGGGTCATATGGTAGATATGTGTTAACTTTTTAGGAAACCGCCAAACTGTTCTCCACAATTTTGCGTTTCCAATAGCAGTATATTAGAGTTCCAGTTCTACAGAAGAAATTCCTCAAAGAAATTAAATAGAAAATTACTATATGATCCAGCAATTCCACTTCCAGTATATACCCAAAAGAATTGAAAGTAGGAACTCAAAGAGATATATTTGTAAACCCACGTTGATAGCAGCATTATTTGCAATAGCCAAAAGGTGGAAGCAGCACAAGTGTCCATGGACAGATGAATGGATAAACAAAATGCACACACAATGGAATATTATTCAGCCTTAAAAAGGAAGAAAATTCTCACACTTCCTAAAACGTGGATGAATCCTGATAAATCAGTCACAAAAAGACAAATACTGTATGGTTCCATTTACATGAGGTTCCTAAAGTACTCAAATTCATAGAGACAGAAAGAAGAATGTTGGTTGCCAGAGGCTGAGAGGGACCAGGGAGTTGTCTAATGGATATAGACTTTCGGTTTTGCCAGATGAAAAGAGTTCTGAAGATTTGTTGTACAACAATGTGAATATACTTAACACTACTGAACTGTACACTTAAAAACGATTAAGGTGGTAAGTTTTATATTATGTGTATTTCACTACAATAAAAAATAAATACAATACAATTGCAGAATTAATGACTGGCTATCCATACAGGAGGAAAACCAAGCATCCCTGAAACCAAGAAATTGGCCACTGATTTCAATTGATGGCACTTAGTTTGAAACACTAGGTTTTAACTTATTTCAGTTTACTGAAGGTAGTGCACATACCCACAAGGGTTAAGGCTGTACCAAGATTATTAAGGAGAAAACAAACACAAATGCAACCCACAAGACTTTATAGATTAGTCCAAAAAGCAATACTAAATAATGTCTAAATGGCAATAAAGATGAAGTATCAGAGATAAACAAAAAACAAACACTAGAACTTTGGCCATAGCCCCTCCTTTGTTGTTTTTTAAATGTTAACCACCTCCTGGTCTTCCACTTATTTCTGTTATCTGTCTACACTCTTCTATTAGCTCCTTCTTCTCACTCTACTACACTTCATTGTCAAAGACCCTGCTCCCCACCATTCCTCCCACACACACACACTCTACATATACACACATGTATGTAGCTCCCACCCCGTACACTATCATGGCAGTTCCCCAGATGTGACTAGTAGTTTCATTGTTCCTCTGCAAATACTGTTCCATCCATCAGAAATACCCTTCCCTAACCTGTCCACTGGATGATCCAGCTTGCCTTTCTACACTCAGCTGGAACAGCTCTTCTGTGAACAGTGTCTTTTGCATGTATAACTAGTGTTATATAAGAGGTCATACTTCTGGAAATCATTTATAGGATACTAAAAAAAGTATATACTTTTGAGTCATTATTCCATTATAGAATTTAAAGAGGAAAAGACGTACAAATGAGCATAATTTTAACATATTTCTCTAACGAAGTATATGCTTTTTTTTTTTTTTTTTAAGACGAGGTTTCACAACATTGCCCAGGCTGGATTCAAACTCCTGGGTTCAAGTACTCCTCCTGCCTCAGCCTCCCAAGTAGCTGCACCACTGCACATGGCTTAAGATATGTGCTTTTAAGAAGATGTTTAAAGATACACCTCAGAAGAAAATAAGCTGTCATCCTAAATCATTGTTCCTCAATAATGTAAACAATCTATACACCATGGAAAAGGTCACTTAAAAACGTGCTAGCAGCCTCACATAACATGAGAATTAATAGAAAAAATCCTATTAGATTAGAACTATTTAAAAGAAGAATGTTTGGAAACTAAAAAATCAAACATACATTCTAGAACACAATGAAACCACCATGAAGATAAATGAAAAATCAGAAGGGCAAAGTACTAATGTAGAAAATATGCTAACATGAATTCATTTTTCTGGACACCTCCTATTTAATAGCCTTCTTCTGAAGTGTTTCATTCAGCTCATCCACTTTGACCATAATACTACCCTAAAAGATTTCCAATTGCCAGATTTGGAAGATGGAATGGGAGGAATGTGGCCAAATAAAGGTATACGAGGTATTTGGTTGCTTTGCACCTTATGTGTTTTTATTAAATAGTTGTTAAATTTCGTATTCCCACTGCTTTACTCCAGATTCAGCTGGTTTATCCCCAGGGCATGACTAAACTGGAGCAGTGTTCCTTGGGTGTGGTTTTCTTTCTCTGGATGAACTTCAAAAGGAGCAGGCCTTACCAGTGTGGGGTTGAATCTCTCTTTAATCATGACACCTTGGAGCAAAGAGACTTACCTTTCAAATAGCTAAACTTTTAGAAGAATTACCAGTTATTGTCTTTGAAGGAATGGTTAACAGGAGGATTGATGATGTATTCTGGGTATGTTGGTTGAATATTTAGGATACTGTTATTTCGAAGCTATTACAAATAGCAAACGCTTTTAAAGCCTTCAGACCTGGCCCCAAATGAAATTAGTAGGAAGTTCACTATCATTAGTTGAACAGACAATTAAGGGCCAGACATTGTACATCTCTTATTTAATCCTCCAAATTTTTGTGAGGTCAATAGCATTACTTTATTTTTTTGAGACAGAATCTCACTCTGTCACCCAGACTGGAGTGTAGTGGTGTGATCTTGGCTCACTGCAACCTCTGCCTCCCAGTTCAAGGAATTCTGCCTCAGCCTTTCAAGTAGCTGGGACTACAGGTGCATGCCACCACACCTGACTTTGCATTTTTAGTAGACGGGGTTTCACCATGTTGGCCAGGCTGGTCTCGAACTCCTGACCTCAGGTGATCCTCTCACCTCGGCCTACCAAAGTGCTGGGATTACAGGCGTGAGCCACCGCACCCGGCCTTTATTTTTGAAAGAAAGCAAAGTAAGGCTAAAGAAACTTAGGTAAGTTAACCCAATTAGTGGCAGAAGGGTAGCTTTACCCAAGCGTCTCTGAGTCTCATTCTTTTCTACTTCACTATGATGGCTCATGATCGGTATGTCTCTTGGGGAGACTGTGAACTTGCATATATGTATTTTTAAAGCTCCCATAGTAATTATAATGTTTAGTGGAGTTTGAAGACAGTTTTCTATTACTGAGGACATTGATTCAACTAAGATGTGAAAGATTTAATGTGATAGTCCTGCCAGGAATACAATATAACATTTATATTTCAAAAGGCAAACACTGGGAATTGCCAGTGTTTAACATAAAGGAATTTATAATGCAACAGTGAGTTTCACTCACTGAGGAGATTTTCCTGGTGGACACCCAAAGACCCTTACAAGCTGTCCTCAAATCATACCAGAGGCAGATTTCTTTACACTTTTCCTTTCCTTTTCGTGTGCTCCATTCTTTAACTATGACTTCTCAAACTCTATTAAATTTCTCTATCCGCTATCAACTTTAAGAAAGAAATTTATTTGAATTTAGCAGAAAAACAATAAATGAAAATGCCAAAGTTTAAATAAATATTGTTTCAAAACAAAATATTTTAGTTTCTTAAAATCCCCCTTCAGTTTTCAAATAATGAAAAGCATTAAAATTATGGAGATTTTTTAAAAATGACATTTCTTAATTGGCATAGTTTACCTTTTCAGGTAGGATATGCTCCTGTTTTTCTTTTTGTGCTCTGAGTTCAGAAAGTCTAGAAAGTCTAGCAGTTTGTGCCTTGGAGGCTCTTATAACAGATGTCCAGGTTGGAGCCAGGCCTACCTTGGCAGTCATAATTCTCCATCATTTCTTCAGTTCAGAGAAATGATAGTTAATGTCCTTTTACTGTTGTTTTAGATGATTTCTTTCTTTCTTTCTTTCTTTTTTTTTTGAGATGGTGTCTCACTGTCTCCAGGCTGGAGTGCAATGGTGCCATCTTGGCTCACTGCAACCTCTATCTCCCGGGTTCAAGCGATTCTCCAGCCTCCCGAGTAGCTGGGATTACAGGCACACGCCACAAAGCCCGGCTGATTTTTGTATTTTCAGTAGAGACGGGGTTTCCCATGTTGGCCAGGCTGGTCTCGAACTCCTGACCTCAGGTGATCCACCCGTCTTGGCCTTCCAAAGTGCAGGGATTACAAACGTGAGCCCCCATGCCTGGCCTCTTTCTTTCCTCTCATTTTCTTCTTTCACTCTGTCTGGGGCATCTTTGAGATGGATATAGAATGTGTAGGCTGTATTCTTTTGTCTTTTAGCTGGTATCTCACCATTTTTGTCTCTTTATGGTTAAGTGCTAGAAGCTTTCCTGCACTTTCTCATTTCCTATTATTGTTTCCTTTGGGGTCATTCTGTTTGTTCATGTCTATCTTTTTCTTTCATGCCGTTGATTTTCCTCAAATGACTAGTGATCCTGTCTACACAAATGAAGGAGTCAGTTGATAGCTAAAATCGCTGGGGTGCATTTTTCTCTGTAGTTGTTTTAGTTTCCCAAGTATTTTCCTCCCTCAGATAGAGTGAGTATCTCTTGTCAATAGGTCTGCAACAAATCTGGAGATTGCTGGACCTTCTGGGTTCTCTCTCAGCCTTTCTGTGCCAAGAAGGTGGGATGCTGGTCCTAGTTCTTCCCAATCTCTTCTCCTTAGAGTGCAGATCTTGCTTCTCTACTCCATCTGGACTAAATTTTCTTTTTTCTACCAGCTTAGATATTTTCTAGTCTCTGCCTTATGCCTCTCTGGCCCTAACTCTGTTCAGGATCCCTCGAGCTGACTCTTTCTGGATGTCAAAACTGTGTGTGCTTAGCAGCATAAACTCAAATTTAGGACTGGAGGAACTGGAGCTGATCTGATGTCCCTGTATTTCTGGATTCCCTTTGCTTTCCCCACTTCTTTTCTCTTCTCTAGGCTTGATCATAAACCTCTATTGCAGCGTGTGAGGGGTTAATCATGATACAAGCCATTCATTCTCACTGAGCTTGTTTCCTCCTCCATCACACTGGACAATATCTGTGCCCACTTCCCATGGGTTAGGTGGCAAGTACATAAATGCAATTATAGACTCTAAAGTGTTCTATAAGGGAGAAACTGGCTTATGAAAGAGTTATAGAATATGCAGTCTATGCAAAGCATTTTTCTAGAGTTTTTAGGAACAAACAAAAGATATAATAAACAACTATAACCAAAGTCCACCTTCTTTAACTTTCTCCATATCAATTAGCATCAACTTCCAAATTCAGAATGTAAATCTTTTCATCACGCAGATGAAGATATTAGCTAAGCCAAATTCACTGCAGAAATTGTAGACTTAGCAAGACCATATCAGCCCTACTTAGGAAGCTAGCAAACTTGGAGCTCTAGAAAACTATGATCATGTCTATGAAAACCATACATAGAGGAGTACCTGACTTTAAGACCTGTATTTAGGGCCAGGCGCAGTGGCTCATACCTGTAATCCCAGCACTTTGGGAGGCTGAGATGGGTGGATCACCTGAGGTCAGGAGTTCGAGACCAGCTTGGCCAACATGATGAAACCCCGTCTCTGCTAAAAATACAAAAATTAGCTGGGCATGGTGGTAGCCACCTGTAATCCAAGCTACTTGGGTGGCTGAGGCAGGAGAATCACTTGAACTCAGGAGACAGAGGTTGCCTTGAGCCAAGATCACACCATTGCACTCCAGCCTGGGCGAAAAAGTGAAACTCAGTCTCAAAAAGAAAAAAAAAAAAGACCTGTATTTAGGAATGAGAGAAAATATTTGCAAATTACCCATCTGACAAGGGATTAATAACAAGAATATATAAGCAGGTCAAACAACTCTATAGGAAAAATATCTAATAATCTGATCACAACTGGGCAAAAGATTTAAATAGACATTTACCAAAAGAAGACATACAAATGGCAAACAAGCCTATGAAAAGGTACTCAAAATCATTGTTCATCAGAGAAATGGGAATCAAAACTACGATGAGATTTCACCTCATCCTGGTTAAAATGGCTTAAGTCCAAAAGATAGGCAAATGCTGGCAAGGATGTGGAGAAAAGGGAACCCTTATAGACTGTTGGTGGGAATGTAAGTTAGTACAACCAGTATGGAGAACAATTTGGAGGTTCCTCAAAAAACTAAAAATTGAGCTACCATATGATGCAGCAATTCCACTGCTGGGTATATACCTAAAAGAAAGGAAATCAGTATATCGAAGTGATGTCTGCACTCCTATGTTTGTTGCAGCACTGTTTACAATAGCTAAGATTTGGAAGCAACCTAAGTGTCCATGAATGGGGATAAAGAAAATGTGGTACATATACACAGTGGAGTACTATTCAGCATAAAAAAGAATGAGATTCAGTCATTTACAACAACATGGATGGACCTGGAGATCATTACTTTAAGTGAAACAATCCAGGCACAGAAAAACAAACGTCGCATGTTCTAACATATTTGTGAAATCTAAAAATCAAAACAATTGAACCTATGGACATAGAGAGTAGAAGGATGGCTACCAGAGGCTGGGAAGGGTAGTGGAGGGCTGGTGGGGAAGTGGAGATTGTTAATGGGAAAAAAAAAAAAAGAGAGAAAGAATGAGTAACACCTACTATTTGATAGCACAACATGGTGAGTATAGTCAATAACAACTTCATCATATGTTTTAAAATAGTGTAACTGGATTGTTTGTAACTGAAAGGATGAATGCTTGAGAGGATAGATACCCCATTCTTCATGATGTGCTTCTTTCACTTTGCGTGTCTGTATCAAAACATCTCATGTACCCCATAAACATATACACCTACTATGAGTCCACAGAATTTTTTTAAAAGACCTGTATTTAGGCCTGTTGCATCTTATATATACTAACAGGTAACATTGATTGAGTGCAAACTATGAACGAGATACCTGTTTAAGTGCTTTACAGTTATCACTTCATGGAATTCTTACATTAATTCCATGGGGTAGGGACAGTATTGTTACAGCCCAGCAGGTTCTTCTTGCCTGCTGCACAGAAAAAGCCAATATACTGAAACAGCAGGTATTGCAGCAGAGAAGGAGTTTCATAATCTCAAGGCATCTGAGTGATCTGATCTGAAATGCCAGTCTTAAGTTTCACAATAGCAATGTTACCCATAGGAGGAACTGGGGAAGTTACAGATCTTTTGATCACTGGCTATGTGACTCCTGAGAAGTAAGCAATTATAAAACAGCAAGTTAGGGAACAATGATTGGTTACTGTATAACTATGCCTATATCTTAGCAGAATTCAGACCCCTATTATAGTTCTAATATTATGACCTTACATTAGTTCCACAAATGCAGTTTCAGTCCCTAACAAGGGAAAGGTTAGTTTTGGGAAGAGACTATAATCATTCTTGCTCCAAGGTTAAAGCATAAACTAAATTATTCCTATAGTTATCCTGGCCTACGTACAAGAATAAGCAAAGGTGGTTAGCTTGTGAGGTTAGAAGCAAAATGGAGCCAGCTAATTAGGTTTCTCTCATTCTTGTAATTTTGCAAGGATGGTTTCAGTATTACCCTCATTATTCTGATGAGAAAGTTGAGGCATGGAGAAGCCAAGTAACTTGCCTAAGGTTTCCTACTTGATAGGGGTAATAGGGAGATGGAAACCTGGGAAGTCTGATACAGGACACTTAATTTTGACCATTATGCACACTGCTTCTCATTAGTCATGCATAAGACATATAATGCTGGAAAGACTTTCACACACTTAGCTCAAAATGTAAATTACATTTATGTTTAAATGTAATTTACATTTTTTGGGATTTAGTTATTTGTAACCTATCTTTATTATTCCTTCAATAACCTTACTCCATCTCTTAATTTAATACAAAAGCTAATGCAACCCCTCCCTTTTTGTTCATAGAGTAGGGTTCAAATTTCTTTTCAAAATAATACTTAACATTTACTGAGCTCTGAACTAGCCAAGTGCTCTATTGAGCATTCTATAAACATTATTTCATTTAATGCAGGAAGCTTATGAAGGAGCTTCATAATTTTATTATTTTATTGATGAGGACATCTACTTA
Organism: Homo sapiens; assembly: GCF_000001405.40. Classification (NCBI taxonomy): domain Eukaryota; kingdom Metazoa; phylum Chordata; class Mammalia; order Primates; family Hominidae; genus Homo; species Homo sapiens. The sequence continues at coordinate 16,998,111 of NC_000009.12, forward strand.
ACATGCCCAAGTTCCAGAGATGGTTAATAGTGCTGTCAGAATCTGAAGGCTTGGTTAATCTCTAGAGCCTGTGGTAGACAGAATTTTAGATGGCCCATGTGACCTTTGTTCCCTGGTGTTATTCCCATGATTATGATATATGACATGGCCAGATAAATTTTGCAAATGTAATTTAAGTTTCTAATTAGTTAACCTTAAGAGAGAAATTATCTGAGTGGGATGAACCTAATCACACAAGCTCTTCCAAGGCTGAGAATTTTCTTTGGCTATTGGCAGAAGTCACAGAGATTCAGCGAGGCAGCAGGACTTTGTGGATTGCTGCTCTAAAGATGGAGGCAGGCACATGGGAAGAAATGTTAATGGCCTGGAAGAACTAATGGTAACATCCAGCTGACGGACAGCATGGAAACAGGGACCTCAGACCTGCCGCCCCAAGGAGGCAGATTCTGCCATCAACCTGAAAGAACTTGGAGGAAAGTCTTCCCCAGCACTTCCCAGCTGACACCTTCATTCTGGTCTTGTGAGACCCTGAGTAGAAGAACCCAGTTGAGCCAGGCTGGATTGATTGATTGATTGACTGATTTTTTAGAAACAGAGTCTCGCTCTGTCACCCAGGTTGAGTGCAGTAACATGATCATAGCTCACTCCAGCCTGGAACTCCTGGGCTTCCAATATTTGTGAACTCCCTTCTCAGCTTCCAGAGTAGCTGGGACTACAGATGTGTGCCACCATATATGGCTAATTAAGAAAAATTTTTACTCCAGGCATGATGGCTCACACCTATAATCCCAACACTTTGGGAGGTGGAGGCGGGCAGATCACGAGGTCAAGAGCGAGACTATCTTGGCCAACATAGTGAAACCCCGTCCCTACTGAAAATATAAAAATTAGCTGGGTGTGGTGGCACACACTTGTAGTTCCAGCTACTCAGGGGGTTAAGCCAGGGGAATCGCTTGAACCCAGGAGGCAGAGGTTGCAGTGAGCTGAGATCGCACCACTGCACTCCAGCCTGGCGATAGAGTGAGACTCCATCTCAAAAAAAAAAAAAATTTTTTTTTTAGACATGGGGTCTCACTGTATTGCCCAGGCTAGTCTCAAACTCCTGACCTCAAGCAATCCTTCTGCTTCAGCTTCCCAAGTAATTGGAATTATAAGTGTGAGCTACAGTGCCTGGTCAGACCTACAGAAATGTGAGTTAAAAGATAGTTATTGTTTTAAGACACCAAGTCTGAGGTAATTTGTTATGTAGCATAGGAAACTGATACAGAGCCCACGTGATTAACTCCAACAGTAACAGAGGCCTCTCCCTCCTTGAGACCCCATATGAGGTGGCTCTCACTTCATCTTGTCTGCCCATATGGCTCCTTATTGTTCTCCTGTTCTCCACTGCTGTGGCTTTTGCCTAGGTGTTGGATGCACCTCATGTCTTCTAAGCTTAGGATGGATATGGAGTTCTCCTCCTCAATCCATTCCCTCCACCTGGCCAACTCCTTTTCATCCTTTGGAATGGATTTAAAATAGTGCTTCCTGCAAGGAAGAATTGGCTGATGCCTCAGACTAGGTCAGGTGCTCTCACAAGACCTTGTATATGGCCCTCTTAGCTCTTAAACCATTTGTAAATATATTTGTATGAGTTCTTTTGATAATGTCTCAGTCGGTCTCCCATTTATTCTCAATATGATCCTGTTCAGGATTCAAAACCAGTAAACAATTTTCTGAATATTTATCTTGATATCGAGTTATTTGTTTTCCTTTTTATAATAGGCCTTCTCTACTTAGACTCTTAAGTTTGTCGAGGAAAGGTACCATGTCAATGTCTCAACATTGTTGGCATTTAATAACCATGTTAACCAGTGAATGAGGAAACTGAGAACTACTAAATTTCCACTTGGCTGACACTAATCTCTCTCTCTCTGTCTGTCTTCTCCTCACCACTCTCCTCCACCCTCCCCACCTACACACACACACACACACACACACACACACACACACACTATTGCCAACTGCTGCGGAGCCATCTATGAATTCATCTGTGCATTCACTCTTTGTTTTGAATTGCTTTTCTGCCAATTAAAAAAAAACTTGCAAAAATAGTGGCTAAAAATAAAAAAGAAAATTTTTTGGATTACTAAAACCAACAGGTTAGCTTTAAAAACTTTTAGAAAAGGGACTTAAATTATAATCATAGAGGAAGTCTTAAAGAAAATAAAATATATAGTAGGTTGGAAACTGGGAAAACTGAGTTTAAACTTTGGATGAGCTGAAACTGTTATTAACCTCTCAGGGTCTACTTGTCAAATTAGAGTTTGAGACTAGATGTATATGAAGTCCATTTTTAAATCTAATTTCCCTAAATTGTACACCTATGACTGCTTAATTTGGCAATACTACTTTGAAGTTACTATGTCATGGAAGTAACTGTATATGTTTAATTAAACAATCTATAAGACTAATAATTTCAGACACACCTCCCCTAATAGTAAGGAATAGATGAGTTTCTAGCAATGGTGGCATTATGAATTTTTATTAAGCAACTGCTTTTCCTTCATCTCTACTAGCAAATTACAGATATGACTCACTAGAAATGCCATCTCAAATAATATGTATGATTATACTAAAATATTAATGCTATGTTGAAATAAAATAAAGTGAAAAATATGCAATACTATTTTTACATAAATGTTCATTCTTAGGGAATTTTCAATTCCTTAAGAAGTTCAATCAGTCTGGCCCATTTTTTTCATCAATCTCAAATTACCTTACCCCATACCGCTTTCAACTGAAGCAATTCCCAACATCTTCCCATAACAAATGTTTTTCCGTGTCTTTTGCTTAACTTTTCCTAGTATCCCAACACACTTGAAGAATCTGTTTATTAGTTGCATATTTGACAGACATTTATTGATGTTCTACTTTTTGCCAGGCAAAACATGATAAGAACACATCAAAAGGAACTTACTTAGTCATATTTATTTATTTATTTTTTCTTTTCAAAATAATTTTCTTCTTACTGCCAATAATGGCTAGGTATGGGTCTGACACTCCAGTGTCATCCCTTTACAGGGCTGGTTGATTTGGCAGGTGAGTTCTTCCACACTCCTTAGTGGATTCTGACTTCCATGCAACCATCCTGGTAAACTTGGTCATAGTCACCCTTCCTGTGAAATATGCTCTGAGACTTGTAGCTGTCTCCCACCAAGCTGTATCTGACAGTCACCAGGAAATGCATAGACTTAGAAATATTGTTGCATTTCCAGTATTAGCCAAACTCATGAAGTTTGGTGAACTGGACATTTCAGCCAATAATTAGATGTTGATCATAAGATAGTAGAATAAACCCCTCTCTCAGTTCAGGGGTGTGGTTTAGGCTACTTATGGTTTCAAAAAAAGAAAAAACTCTGTAAATTATCTTGAGCTAGTTTGAGCAAATAAGGAGGAATTTGTTAGAAATCATGTGAAGGTGGCTTACAGAATCTAAGAGCAGAAATGCAGCTAGGCCCAGACATTTCTGGAACCAAGGCCTGGAAAGACCATCAGGACTTTCTCCTCCTCTGATCTCTGCTTCTTTCTGAGCATCTGTTTCACTACTGGCTTTCTCTTTTTTACAGTCCACATGTTAGAGCAATGGCCTTTACAGCTAGCTCTTCAGTGCTGTGGCACAGGTCAAGCCACATGGGAACCTAACTGATTTTATCCTGTTTTCAGTTCCACTTTCTCTGGGAAGGAAATTTGACCGGCTCAGGTTGTGTCTGGTGTCTTCCTCCTGCCCAACTGATTGAGAATCATGAGGAAGCCGTGCTGTACCATATGCTTGCTAGGGGTACACTTCAAATTTGTAGGGACAAAGTGTAGGGAAGTCTAGGCAGATGTACAGTAGGTGTTGACAAGGGGGACTCCAGGGACTCTCAGTAAGAAACTCACAAATTTCATGGAGGTAGGGAGAGAGGCAGGGAGTATCTTCTGTTAGCAAATATGCCTTGCTTAACATGCAGGCATTGCCTATGATTGTGCTGTGATCATCCTGATAGAGTAGGTGAGGACAAATGGGGATGGAAAAGATGAGGAGAAGAGGTGTCCAGAGCCCTAATGCAGTGGGAGGATTTGGCTGACAGAGAGGAATGAACTTGATGAGGAGAGTAAGGGTGGAAATGGGAAAAAAAGGACATACTGCATGATCTCTTTTGCGTTTCTCAGGGGTTCTTCTACCCCTAGGTGAATAGTGGCCCTACATTTGAGCATTTGCTTTCTAAATAGTAATGTGAAAGAGTGTTTCCAGATTAGTGTGTATACGTGTGAGTGTGTGTGTGTGCATGTAAATATAAAAGTGAATATGTATTTTAAGGAATTGCAAATTGCATATTACAATCAGACTACATGCTGTTTTAATTTTCTATATGACAACTTGCTTGTGATCACTTTTAATTCAGTGATTATTTTCTGTGTTGTTCCTCTCTATAGATTTTTGGAGGAAATATTCTTTAAGTTAATATATGTTCCCTTTTATTCTTATATTTACTTATATGAAACCCGTTAAGTTTATTTACATCCTCTCTTATATTCACTTCAGACCTCTTTCCTAGACAGTGTGGAATTCTTTGGACAGTGTTAAGCTTGTACTTAGCCTGTAAGAATTACTATCTCAAGTTTGCGAGGAGAAAAATGTAATTTTAAGAAGTTTAATGATTCAACTCTTTGTTACAAATCAAAGAAACTGGAATTCAAGTGCATAATACATAAGAAAATAATGTGAAATGGCTTAATTGTGATGTTTGAACTGGAATAGTCACTGGGCTTATATTCTATAAGGAAGTAAGCCCCTGTCAATGTTCACTGTGGCTTACTGAACATAATACTGAAAAATTATGGCTGGGTGCGGTGGCTAACGCCTGTAATCCCAAAACTTTGGGAGGCCGAGGCGGGCGGATCACGAGGTCAGGAGATTGAGACCATCCTGGCTAACACGGTGAAACCCCGTCTCTACTAAAAATACAAAAAATTAGACGGGCGTGGTGGCACGTGCCTGTAGTCCCAGGTACTCGGGAGGCTGAGGCAGGAGAATTGCTTGAATCTGGGAGGCGGAGGTTGCAGTGAGCCGAGGTTGCGCCACTACACTCCAGGCTGGGTGACAGAGCGAGACTCTGCCTCAAAAAAAAAAAAAAAAAAAAACAAAAAAAAAATTATGGTTAATATTTGTTCTCTCTAAAGAGAATGTATGAAAGAAGTATGAATTTGTTGGTTGGAAACATTTTCAGTCCAACAATCTCCTCTACACTAAAATTACAATCTTTATTAGCTGGGCATGGTGGCACGTGCCTGTAGTCCCATCTACTCAGGAGGCTGAGGCAGGAGAATCACTTGAACCTAGGAGGCGGAGGTTGCAGTGAGGCGAGCTCATGCCACTGCACTCCAGCCTGGGTGACAGAGTGAGACTCCGTCTCAAAAAATATATGTTTTTAAATAGAGATAATTCTATAGTAAAAACAATGTACATACATTGTTAAAATTTCTGAGAGTATAAAAAAAAAAAGGAAGAAGGGGGAAAAGAACCACATGGACCTTTTATGTTTGGGTTCAACCCAGAAAGCTTGTCACATCTGAAATTTAATAAAGGCAACAGCAAAAACCAAAGGGGTGTGATTTGCATCATCTATGAATCACTTATTGCAAGTAACACTCCTTCAAGGAATTGTAAATTGCTGGATGTAGTCTTACATTCTGTTTTCATTTTCTATTTGACAAAATGTTGTGGTTGCTCTTTTTTTCAGTGGCTGTTATTTTATGTGTTGTTCCTGCCTCTCTATTGATTTTAGAGAAATGGTCTTTTAGACAGCTAAGTAAATATAAAGAAATATTTGTATAGTAAAATACTATAGTATAATAGGATGTGAAGACACTCTGCCTGTAAGAAATACTTATGAGTTGCCTCACTAGTAGCCAAGATGTGATTCACAGAGCTGGCTGAGCAGGCATGAGAGCTGTGGAAGCTGGTTAAAGAGAAAAACCTGGTACTCCGGCACATTTCAAGTCATGTTCTGTAAATTTCAGCTATATGGTGAGTCTCCACAGAAAGCCTATATGCAAATTTCCTTATAGTCATTTATACTGTAACTTAGGAGTAAAGTTGATATAAATCAAGCATAAGTTATTTTTGTAGTAATTAGAATTTAAAATTTTTAAAATTCAGCTTCTCCTTTTATGTTGATTTAGTAATAAAACCAAAACTCAGTGATTAACACACAACTTTAATAAATCTCGTGTGTAGTCATCCTTTCAAATTCAGAGACATACCAAGATGCGTGAACTTTGGATTTGGGCATATCTATACCCCCAAAGTAGCTGAACTACAGATTTTCAAACCGTCTTTTGGAAAGAGTTGACAGTAAGCTAGAGATTTTGTTGGCTAAATTTTGTCACAAAGTCATTTTCTAAACCTCTGAGTTTATAACTGCCAGAAACAAAGAGTAATAAGAAAAGTGCTGATGACAGAATAATTTACAAGAGGGGTATATGGGGGCTTTTTAAACTACAACACTGAACTGGGAATTAGGAATCCTGGGTATCTCATCCGTCCTGCCACTAATTCTCTTTGTAACCTTGGGTGAGTCACTTGACCTTTGTTGTGGCTTGACTGCCCATTGGTGCACTCAGAGAGAGAGAGAGAGAGGCCTTAAAATAACGAGATGGAAGGTGCTACGAAGGTGCAGAGTATCACAGCCTTTCCACGACTCTCTGATTTTACTTTTCATGAAAATTATTAACATTTGGCAAAGAGTCATTACTCGACAATTTATTATCCTGTTCAAATCCAGGTAGGTTAAAAGTTTAAACTTTTTTATACCAAAAGTCAAGTCTCTTTTGCTTTATAGAAACCCCAGATACCACATGGTAAAAAAAAAAAAAAAATCAAAAAAGCTTATGAAGTTCATTTGAAAAGCCTCTTTTCTGGCACATAGGCTCTGCATTATAATGAAATATTCCATTGAAACGTCTGCTCTTGGCACCATGAACGGAGAAAAGTCTTGTGTTTGTATACTCTGTGAAGTTGAACAACAATTTCCAACATATGTTAGGAGAGGCTGCCCTCTTTGGAGATGGGAAAATGGATAGCCCCAGAGGGAAAAGAAAACCGAGCGCTGAAAAGTTTTTGTTAATCTTTTACTGGTGAAACAGAGCTGGGAGCAGAGCAGCCTGTTGGCTGCAGAGAAGGCTGGAGCCAAAAGGCCCGGCCCACAGGAAATGAACGCTGTCCTCCTCAGCGAGGCTACTTAAGCGGAGAGAAAACATTTACAGTACTTGTAATTACGATGGTTTTCGGCACCTAAATTGTCATAAATCACATTTATAAAAGCCATCTTCGCACCAGTCAAATTTTGAAAGCTGCAAAATATATTCAGCTGGTGGGTAGTTTGAAACGGTGGTACATATGTTTGGAATAAATACATGTTATAATTATGGTTTTTAATACTGGGAGCTTTCTTATGAGGATTTATACTCACATACTGATGATAATGGAGTACATTGTGAACATAATAAAGTGGTGATGGGTGGTATTTGTTCCAGCATTTCTGCAAAATACTACTTCCAACTCTGAGGGGTATGTTCCTATGTAAATCCCCATACATCAAGATAAAAATATACTTCTCAGTGTATTTCCTGGAGCAAACTACCTAGAGAGAAAATACCTGCATTTTCACAACCAATTCATGGATCTTAAAACATAATTATGTCTTATTGCATTGTTGATCCCAGAGCAGTATTTGAATTAAAAAGGAGTGCCAATAGAATTGGTAGAAAGTAAAAGAGCTCTATTTTATAGCCAAGAGCATGGTGGAGCGAAATCTAGTTTTAATAAAAGACTAGTATCATAATAAGCAGATGAATCTAACTGGTAATTAGAGTTTTTATTACATATGTATTACCTAACACCAAAGCCTATTCTACCAAGCAGAAAACGAAGGGGAGAGATGGGTAATGAATTATATAGTCTGGTAGGGCCAAGGAGAAATCTGAATTAACTCTTTACACAGTTCTGATACATTGGACAACTGTACTTTGGACTGGGGACCTGGTCTGAGATATCTTTCTCTATAGTAATCTTTCATTCAATCATTTACTCATTTGACAAATACTTGCTAAGCACCCCTTGTATGCCAGACACTAGCCTAGACGCTGAGGGCAGAAACGAGTAAGTCAAGTTTCTGCCTTAAAAGTTTCTGCCTTTGAGAGAAATAGAGTCATAAATAAATACAACAGAACAGATGATGTGCACAGATAGAGATATAAATAGTAATTTTTGTCTGGGCATGCATTTTCACTGTAAACTCTATAATAGAGGACATATATTATGGGTTTCTTGTTCCTGGCACTGGTCAGAGATCATAGCAGTCTAGGCAAGGAACTTGTTTAAAACTGAGCTTGGTAAGCAGATTCAGGGTGATATCCTACAGCTCTTGGTCTTACTTCATTTCCATAAGCATTTTAAAAGTGTGGGTCTCTGCTTATTGCGAAGGTATGTATTCCATAGGATCCCTTTTCTGTTTTGACAGTTTCTGTCTTAGTCCAGAAAATGTGATTAGACTGATGAGTTTACAGCCTACTGTGGGAATGCAGGGCCTTATCATAGGTAAAATAGGCAGTAATTGGGTACAATAGCAGAGTTTTGCTCCCTCTCTAAGTACATGTCTGTTTCTACCCTCATACCGCTACCATGTCAGAAAATTCTGTTGTAGAGGTTTCATTCCATTAGCTTAAATTTTCATTTTTGCTTTGTTGTAATTCACCTCCTAGTGTGATTGAACAACAGATTCTTTCTTTAGAACAAATTATAGAAATGAGATTAAGAAGAATATAGGAAGGAAGAAGGGGTTATGTTCAATGGGGAGCCTGCAAAAGTACATCAACTGGACTTCATAAGGGAGGCAGGAGATTATACTGAAGAAGCTATATGACCTAGCTAGCTGCCGATGGCTAGGGAAGATCTTCGGGATTGGATTTTGAAGGCGTTTGATCAAGGGAGTCAATATGTATGTATGAATTCATTGACTTCAGGACACAGGATTTAACATGATGGCGTGAACCCCAGGGAGTAAGACAAATTCACTGCAACCATGGCTCCTAAAAGTGTGGAGAAAGTGATGGTTAATGCTGAGTGGAAAGGAAATGCCTAAATTGTGCCAAAAGATGATACAGGAAGGAATAAAGAGCCTGGAGAAACTAGTCATGCTAGAATGGATATATTTTGCCAGGTCAAAAGACTTCCTGGAGGATTATACTCAACAAGAGGACCCAGAGGACACACCACTTACCAAGGTCATTAGGAATGAGCTGGTGAGGCAACCAGCATCACTAAATGTTTAGTGGTGACAAATCTCAGTGGGAGAATTGGAATTCAGGACCCTGGGATTCTGGAACAAGGCCATGCCATTTGCAGCAGCAGATAATTATATGCCTTTTGATAAACATCTCCTGGTGTGTTACTGTGCCCTGGTAAAGATGAAACACTTGACCAAAGGATACCAATTGTCTGTGCATGGAGACCTGCCCAATATTGGCTGTGTTCTCTCAGACCCACCAAATCAGGAAGTCAGATTGGCCTAGCTGCAGCCAATTGTCCATTTTAAGATGGAAATGGTATAGCCTGGATGGGCTGCACAGGCAGGTAGCCCAGATCCCTTGTCACTCACCACAGTTTGAGTAACCCTCTCGCTTACTCACACCTATGGCTGTATGCGGGTTGGGGAGAGGTCCTGTATAACCAGCTGAAGGAGGGGGAGAGAGCCATAGTTTGGTTTACAGATGAGCTGACTCAGTATGTGGGTGCAAACCAGAAATGATTGGTAGCTGCATTATAGCCACATTCAGTGGTGTTCTTCAAAGACAAGGAAGAGGGAATGTCTCCTCAGTAAGTGGAGCTACAGTCACGATGTCTGTTCATCCAGGTGTGGTAAGTGCTTATTTGATGTTCAGTGAATGAATGAATCACTCAATGAATGAACACAGAGCATAGGAGTAATTGAACTCCATAGATCGTTTCTGGTCATGTTACAGTTGGCGAGAAAAGTATCAAATGGTTGCAGAAGCTGGACCTCTAGAACTTCTGGTCTCCGTTAGTTAGAACAGTTAAGAAAGGAAATTTTTGTCCAACCTCTATTATGCTAATTCCAGACAAAGAGGACTCCATCTGGACTATCAGAATGTTTCTTTGAACATGAAGTGATTTTTGTTAGAATAAATTATAGAATAAATATTAGAACAAGTTGAACAAAAAGGCTACACTGAAAGCCGGAGTAGGAAATACATTGTGTGGGAATCTACTTGCCTACAACTCAGAGCAAGTATTCTAGAAAATAATAGAAAGGAGATGAGAGAAAGCTCATCTATGTTAAAAAAAAAAATATACCGGCCTGAGAAATACTTTGCAAAGGAGTACACCTATGCAGTCAGTGGCACATTTATCTCAACAACACTTTAAATACCATTTTTGGTAAATAGGCACCATTTAAAAATAGTTTGCACTCAACATTAGTCAAATTCTATCCTCTTCCTTTAAAATGAATGCTGCTATAAGGAGAATGTTGACACATATGATCCTGTCTGATTCATTTGTAGGGAGTAAAAGGTCTGTCTTTAAATTGTACCAAACCAAAATAAATAAATAAATAAAACCAAGATTCAGACTTACATATGCCACATTATAAATTATTATTATTCTGCTGCTATCTTTTAAAAATGTACTTTACCCACATATTAGAATAAGAAATAGGCTTCTGGTATGTATTAAAGAAAAGTAATATTATAAAGTGTATTTTGCCCTATAACAAAACCTGGTGACATTTCTGGTTGGATTATTGTCACAAATTAAAAACAAAACAAAACAACAAAAAAACCAGAAAACACTGGTTAGATTATTCCTGAGCTCTCAGAGCAAAAGCATTCCATAGGAAGCCAAGAAATATAATTTTAGTTGAAGTATAATTTTCCAGCTGTTGCAAGTAGGCATATTTTGGCATGTTTCAGAACTAGTGAAATGTAAGGAAATATTAACCAGATGATGGTTGAATCTGTTTTTATTTTTAACTGCAGGGAGACAAGATTTAGAAGCCGCCGATTCTTATCTGATTTCACAGTACCTTTGCCACAAATAAAGCCAATAACTTAGTGTCATAAAATCCTAATGACTCTCTAAGATCCTTGGGGCATGTGCATATGAAAATGACTTTCAGGGATCTGGACACATCTCCTTGTTTTTCATATTACTTTTTGAGATCAAGAAAAGATAAAATGTTAAAGTGTTCTCTTTCATTCCACATTTCAAGTAAAAATCTCATTAAGTGAGCAACAGCTGAATATGAACCAAAATCACCTGCAAGTCCGAAATTGATCATATTTGCAGAAAACAGCCCAAATTAGACCCATCTGAAAAATGGTCCCATCTATTCACAGTCCCAATCAATAGGACCTTCATCCATTTCGTAATAGCTGAATATAACACCACTCGCAGAGGGTAGAGCAAACCCATTTGGCAGTTTGTTGAAGTCTCTAGTCTTCTCAATGTTTTCAATTCCCGTTTAAAGCATGTTTATGAAGAATTTTAAAAATACATAATATTGCAAAGGAAATCAATTACAAAAATATAGCCATCAAAATGTTAAAAAACAATTTTGTACAGTAATGTGCTTTCTCACTAATGCATTGAATAACAAGATCTAGCAGCAGGTCTAATAACTACCATAATTTCAAAATAGTGATGAGTATAAACAATATTTTTAAAATATCTATACTAGCTGTGTTGTGTTATGAAAATATCTGTGATTTCTCTTAGTGTCAACATCACAGCTACTGCATATGCTAATATTGCTTACCTGTATTATTTAAGAAATGTGACTTTTCAGTTAGAGATTAGTGAAAATATTAACATATTAGTCTTTCTGTTTCAATTTACCAATGCCCTGAATTTGAGCCCTGGTATAGAGAATGGACCTAATATTTCAATTAATTTCTCTGTGTCAGGCACTGTGTCAGGCCCTATGCATTCACTTACTTCATCTCACAGAAGCCCTTTGAGCTGGGTAACATTGACCCCATGTTACAATCAAGGAATCTGAGATTCAGGTTTCTTGCCCAAAGTCTGGAGTTCAAACCCAGGTGTGATTGGTTCCAAATCCGACAGGTCGCATATCTTTCTGTTTTACTATCCTATTTCCCAGTAGAAAATCTTTTTTTCTTATTAATAATCTCAGGCAAAAGCTTTAGCTCCTCTGTAGCAACTACCTAGCTCTTTGTTTTATTAAAATGAAGCATGTGTGTGTTTCTTCTAAGTAAGTGTAACACCTCTGTAGGAGTCCATAGACGATACATGATAAACTAGTCACATGTTTATCAATATTCTAACTAAACCGAGTTCCAGCTTTCTGGGCTACAGCGTTTTATTTCCTTCTTCTCTAGTTCTAGTCTGTGTTATCTAAACGGAAATGAAGTTTGGCATTTGTATTCCCCCAAATGATGAACTTCCTTACCTTATGCTGACAAAAAGCTCTTTCATTTCATTCTCCTTCAATAACCAGCTCTCCATTTGCAATGTGAGTGGGCAGCTCTGCCCCAAGAAGACCTCCACCTTCCCCAAGCCAGAAAGGGAGCCAAGAGCTGTAGCACCATCCTCCCATAGTTTCCAACCTCAGCCTAGCCTGAAAGACTGTGCTCCTTCTAATAAGAGGCCATTCAGTCTCCCTGGGCTCATGGGGAGGCTCCTCCTGATCAGAGGCTGTGGGTTCTAAACAGTGCCAAATTGTGTGGGGTGGTTTTCCTTACTATGTACTACTGTCCACTGGGGATGGAACTGAGACCACTAAAATAATTCTACGTGGTAGTCTAGGTCTAACTCATGTTTAAGAGAAATATTTGGATACTTGGTGTATTTTAACTTCTGGATGATACTCTTAGCAATTCCCTGATGAAGTAGTTTATGTAACTTAGAGGAATTCTAAACATGATAAATGTTTCACACACACATCTTGATGTCAAGGATAGAATTTATCCAATATAAGAGCAGACAAGTTTAATAAACCACTTAAGTGTTATAAGGCATGTTTCATACTGCAATGAATTATGTCCCTATCTGTGGTTCAATGTATATGTTCTATCATTTTGAATATTGAATTAAAAAAAACCTGTATAAATAATGTGAAAGGTCTGATTTAAAGCAACAAATGCTAATAAAATCAAATTGAAGGCTGACAGAACTTCAGTAACTCACAGATATTTCTTAGGAAAGGTATAATAGGGAAGGTATTAAAGAGGGCGTCTTGATATTTTCTTTAATAAGTCTGTTTGAAATCATGTTGAATATCCAGATTTTTCAAAGGCAAATTCATTCAATTTGTAGAACTTTAAACATCCACAATTATATCTGGTTCATGGCACCTGTTTTAATAATTAGGTTTTCCAGAAAATATGTATTTCCAAAAAATTGATCTTTTAATTGAGTTTTCATATGACAGCACTAGAGATATTCCTTACACTTATGGAGAGTTATATTTCTGCTAGAAGTTCCTGTAAGAAAAATTATTTAAATCAAACCATTCTGATTTTTTTTTTTCATATTGAATCAATAGCACAGCCATGTTATACTGGTTGAGAACCTGAAGCCCAGCTTCTTAAAGAAATGATCTCAGGTAAAATTTATTTTAGAATACCTTTAACAAATTGGGAGTTAAGAAAACATCTAATCAGAGTAAGGATTTGAGAAAAAAAATCTTTCCTTGATCGCAAGCAATTTTGAGAATATTTTTGAGAGACCCAGGATCATTTGATAAATTTTCAGGAAAATTTATCAAATTTGATAAATTTTCAGTTTTGTTGCCTTCTTGTTACTATCACAAATGTCCCTGTGGCTAGGATGGGCCTTAGGGGACAAAGTGTCAGTCCTTTTACTGCCTTCAAGAAACAAAGTCTTTCTGCTCTCTGGAACTGCCACCTCAGCACCTGCTGCTTCATCTTGCACCCTGATGTTATATAAGGCATCACTACCTTTAAAATGCATGAACCAAGCCTTATTTGCATTGAACTTTTCAGCCTTTGATCCTACATCACAATGTTGTTTCACCATGTAGAAAAGCTTCAAAGCTTTGGCTTGAGTAGTAGCCAAACTCAAAGCTAAATTAGATCCTGACTTCACAAAATCTTAAATCTTTTCCATCTTAGCCTCAAATCTTGTAACTTTATCTGAATTAATAATGGACAGCAACCATTGCTAAACTACTTTCAGTCATTTTAAGGACCAGGTCTGTAGTATGAATACCAGTTTGAACTAGTGAGACTAATGTTTTCAAGAAATGGAACAGAATGGACACTTACAGAAAGGAGTGTTACTCTGGAAAGTAGTCTCTTTGGGAAGTCATATACTTAGTTCAATAATGATCTTATTTCTCAAAACATTTTTGGAGTTATTCTTTTGGCTTTCATAGAGAGAGAGAGAGTACTGTTTGCAAAGGTAAACAAGTTTTATTTCTTTATAGCCAAGCAGGTAAAAGTCTCAGGCTGCAAAATCCTCTGTGCAAAAAACAAATATAACATTATTCTGTAACTGAACTTAATTTCAATCATATTCAACTCAGGCTACCTTTGGTCAATTATTTATTAAGTCTGTTCCGGAGTTTTTTTTCCCCCACCATTTTCTCCCTGAGTTGCCTCTAAGTTCTGGGGCCTTAAGTCATCATACTTTGATGTCTATCAAGAGGGGGACCTTTGTCCTCAGAAATTCTTGTTTATTTGTGATGGCTCCTATTGGCTTCCGGGCATAGTGATCTATCCTTGCTGGTATCCTCAAGATGGCCTTGTTCTCCTCTGGACTTGTGTTTCCAGTTCATACAACTTTCAAGACTGCTAGACTGCTTGAGGTCACTCCAGCCTTGTCTTTTGCATCCCTCTTGAGGTGAGAGGACAGGGAAGCACAGGAAATATTTGGATGCCTTTTTGTGCTGCTCTGGAGCTCTGGGAGACTTGACGGAGCTATGCCATGCCCATTCTGCTCTGACGTGCTCAGCAGGCCCCACCTTTACTTTCTCTGCCTGTGACTGGTGGAGGTATAGAGAGAGAGCAAGGGGAGGCTTGTTGCTCCTTCGGTTCCACTAAGGAAATGAGGCACAAGTCTCCCTTTGTTTGGATCCCCACCCTACCTGGGGAATTCAGCATTTCTTTGGGGGTATGTCACACCTTCCACTTAGATCATCATGCATCATTTTTCTAAATCTATTGCTGCAGCATTAACTTTATGCTCAGAGTCTTTCAGGATTTCTACTTTTGTCTTTCTGAAACCTTTCTCTCAAACTCTTCTCTGCCATGAGTTTCAAGGCATCACAATGTAGTGGTTAGGAGCATGGACTCTGGCGTCCCGTGTGCTGGGTTTGAATGCTGGCTCCACCATGCACTGGTTTTAGGGTCCTGGACATGAGTCTGTGCCTTGGTTTCTTCATCTGTAAAACAGGGGTGATGATAATAGTGCTTACCTCATGGAGCTGTTATGGGAATTAATGAGTCTATATTTATAAAGCACTTAGAACAGTGCCTACCCACAATCAACATTGCATATTATTAGCTGCATTTGTAAAATAAATCCATAAACCTGAAAAGCTGAATATTAGCTCTTTTTTCCTTTGGTGCCTAATGCTGCCTGAGTGGGAGAAAGGCCAGGGGTAGGAGGAAAATTTGAAGAGTGATACTGTGATAGTTAATTTTATATGTCAACTTGACTAGGCCATGGGATGCCCAAATATTCAGTTAAACATTATTCTGGGTATGTCTAAAGGTGCTTCAGGGTGAGGTTAACATTTGCAGCAGTCGACTGAGTAAAGCAGATTGCCCTCCCCAAGTGTGGGTAGGCTGCATCCAATCCACTGAAGGCCTGAATAGAGTACAAAGGTGGAGTAAGAGAAAATGTGCTCTGCGTTACCATCTTCTCCTGCCCTTGCATTCAGACTTTGACTGGAGCTTGAGTCATTGGCTTTCCTGGTTCTCAGGCCTTTGGACTTGGACTGGAACTGTACCATTGGCTCTGCTAGGTCTCCAGCTTGCCCATTGCAGAAAGTGGGACTTCTTGGCCTCTCTCTCTCCGTAGGTATGTATATATTCCTATGGGTTCTCTTTCTCTGGAGAGCCCAGATAGATGTATAAAATAATATTTCAAAATATTGACCAGCCTCAATCATCTCAAAAATCTCTCTCCCTCTCACCCTGTATCTCCTTATTCCTCTCTCCTACCCTCCTTTTTATTCATTTTCTTCTTTGCTCAGCTTAGTTTAGCTGACTCAGGCTAAGAGGAGTAATAAATGAAGGAAAGCCAGTCAGGCCAGACTAAGTTGGAAGTTTGAGATCACTCATGATACAGGTATCTGTAGCTTATAATGGACATGGCCTGACAGGATCTTATCCCTGAAAATTGTGGATGTCATCAGCTTATTACATAGGAGGCAATAATAGGTTGTGCCTATTCAGAGTTATCACCATACCCAGCATGATAAGAATTGATTGTGTTAGGCATATATTAATTTCTGATTTTTGTATTATATATTTTTTACTAAATAGGAGATTTATTTTCAGCAGACACTTGAGATAAATTATGTGATTTATTTAAAATATACATTTATTACTGGCAATTTCAAAATTGCTCACATTACAAGTTTCAGGTTCATGAGATCCTATTTGTCAAAAAATATGGTATCATGTATTTTATCTTGCTTCTGTGATTTACAATGAAGACTAAAATTCAGAATCTTCAGTGTCCTAACCCTCTTTCTAGCACTTTATCTTGTTATGGTGTTCGGCAGGTCACTTAATCTCTCCTGGACTCATGTTCCCCATTGGTAAAATGAAACCATTAATAATATTTGCCTCCTACAGAATGGTTGTGAAGATTAGTCAGTTAATATTTGTAAAAACTCCTTAACCATGGAAAGAGCGTTATCACTGCGGACCATTAGAAAGGGCACTGCCCACATTTTCCTTCTATAGAATGGTCGCTCTTTAAAATGTCCTTCAAATGAGCCTTGCAGATCAACAAATTTAGTGTCTGTGTACTCTAAGTGGCTACTTTAAAAACTTTTTGTAGAATTTTTATAAAAGAATTCTTGCAGAAAAAATTTCAAAGAGTTCCAGTATATTGTTATAATTATTCTCCTTTTAAAGATTTTTTTTTTGTGGTGCTACACATTTATATTCACACATACACATACACTTAACACATTCATGTATTATGTAGGTGAATGGTTTTCTGTTAATATTTGTAATGTACAGTGTGGCTTTGTGTAGATTAGCAATTTTAATTATTTGCCTTACATGTGTGGTGCCCGATTTTTCCAGAACCCATAAAAGGGGATTGTTAATTTGAACTTTTTTGCCTTTTTTTTTTTTTTTAAGGACTAGGACTCATAGGGACAAAATAAAATAAAACATATGTTTAGGTCTTTGATACAGGGAAAAAATGGCATGGATGACCATTATTCTGTTCAACCTGGAATCATGTAAAAATAACAATATAGATGAAACTCTCTAAGACAGGTTTTGTACTTGGATTATCGCATTCCATTGGAAGATACTGCTAGATTTCAGTGGACAAAGTACAAGAGTGTTAATTTTCTTATTCCACAGAGGTTTTTGAGTATCCAGGGGAGATTGAAATGACAAACCCAATAGTTTCCCTAATTCCATTATTTACTGTTTTTCTAGTCCACTACATCGAAGCATCCATGCAGCATGCTCCCATCTAAATCACATCAAATTAAATTAAGGAGGCAGCAGGGGCACATCATATTTTCCCAGTGATAAACATTATTATAATTGCCCAGTGTTTATTGAAAGGAAAATTTTCAATAAAATGTCAAATAATACTAGGAAGTGATCACAATATCTTGAGTTTGGAAATGAGGAAATCTGGATAGAAAAAAATACTGAGCAACCACTTTACTGCTAAGTATATTTTTCAAGATAAGAAGATAAGAAAGATTTTGAGTTTATAAACGATACTAAGAGAAGGTTGGAAGACATCCACTGCTATAAACCCTCTGGAAGGATGAGTCTGAAACAGGGAACAAGTGAAAAGAAGAGTCAATGGCTTGGAATATGGATGTGGCCTAGGAGGGGGTAGTGGCGAGTGACATTCTTTCCTAGGTGACTGGCAAAGTAAGAATTACTTATTTGAACGTGGGAGTCTACAGTATGCCAACTTTTATATGTTTCCTGGGAAGTTTAAGAAATAACTGGATAAAATCCTTTCTTCATTCAACTACAAATCCCGGAGATACCAGGCAAGAATGAGGCGAGGAAAAGAAACAATATTTGAATTCTTTACTCTCTGGGAGATCAATGATCACCTTCTGAACGTCCTTCCTCCTTTGCTCTCATTATCCATCATTCGGCTTAGAGACTTGGGGAATGGAGAACCATGAGTATTATTTTAAAAATCCTTTTCTGGCTGCTTATCCCACTTTCCCTGCGAAGTTTCTCATCCTTTCCTTCCCTCCCTCCCTTTGTTGTAGGAAAATCTGGGTTCTTGTCACACAACCAGCAAAGATTAGGCTCACAAACGCTTTGAAGGGTGAGGGGGATGGAATTTATTGGGCAAAAAGGAAAAAGGAAAAGCATGCAGCAAAGTGAGAGAGGGGTTCCTGTTAACAGGACATCATCTCACAGATTGAATCCCAGGTTCCCACACAGGAACAGGAGGGACCAGGCTCCTTCCCCCTGCAAACAGCATGAACTTCCATGGCTCCACCCTGTTCTTCCCATGCACAGGCCGGTTGGAGGTTCTCCAGGGACCCCTTTATACTTAGGTGTCTTGCCTGCCTGCCCTGCCTGCCTCCCTCCCTCCCTCTTTCGAAAAATCATTATTATTAGTTTGAGTACATACATACAAGTATCCCAGAACCTGCCAAAATGCAGTATAAATGTTACCTAAATGTCCCATCTTGAAAGGAACTTTAGAGAATTAAACTTTAACATGGTTTTCTATCAACTGTGATTTCCTTTTTAGAGATTAGCCTACTCTTCTTACCCGAAGTTTTCATGGTATTTTTTAAACCTTGACCTTGGAAATTCTGATTTCTACCCTGCTTGAAATAATGTAAAACTTAAAAACCCACTCACAAATTTTTGAAACTCAAAAATCATGAGTTTGATCTGATTCACGTCTTCTACAATACAATAAATTTTTAGGTGAAAGACTGATAAGGAGGAAAATGTTGTTTCCAGGTTGGTCAGAACTTTAGGAGGATGTATTTACTGCATTTTTCTACCTATACTCATGTCAGATGTACATACATACATGAGACTAGTAAGTGAGACCTGTCAGAAGAACTCAGAGAAACAGAGTAGCCCTTCCCTTCAACGTGGTTTCTATCAACCATGATTTCCTTTTCAGAGATTGGTCTACTCTTCTTACCTGAAGTTTTAAAAACATAAACAGAAGACCACACTCCCTGAAAACAATTGCCTGACACTGATTATTTTTTCCTGAAACACAAGTCTGTAGGAAAAAAAAAACAAAATACCCAAAAACGAAAAAAAAAATAAATAAATAAACACCACGCTCCTCATCTCAATTCTAAAGAAAAGTCTCTGCGTTGGCTTGGAATTCTGTAAGCTCAGCGTCCTCCAGGCCAGACGGAAACATGAGGCTTCAAATGTTTCTAGAGCTGGCTTGGGTCAGTCAAATAAGTCTCTCAGAAGTGGAATAATTAAGAATAAGTACTTTGAGAGTGCATTCACATCTTTTATCACTTAGACGTAACTAACGGTTCCTTTACAGAGCCATCCTTTTTCTTTTCCTGAACGTGTAATCTGACATTCATTAGGATGAAAAAGCTTAAAATGTGTTCCTGAATGAATAGCGGTTCAGAATTCAGAAGAGGAGACCGGCTTTCACAGAAATGTGCTGATTGTTTAGTTGTAAAATAATGAGTCAAGGGAACAGGGACATATACTGTTCAGTCCAGCTCATAGCGTGTGGCTGCCAGCTCACCAAAAGAGATCACATAGTTTGGCCCGGCAAAGGACCAGACCACAGCCAGGGACTGCAGGGGTAGTGAGGAGGGCATGCGGCTGAAACATACCAGCTCCAGCTCTGCAGAGCCCAGCAGCGGGATCTGGGAGACGCTGCCGGACAAAGAGTGTTCATTACCTTCCAGCCAAACCGCTCTGTGCTCCTCGGAGCCAGCCTTCTTCTGAGCAAGGCCCTTAACACCCCTTCTTGTTGAGCTGCCTCTGCTCTCCCTGGATCCTCTTGGCTTAGCACCTCTCCAGCCCCTCCCAACTGGACCTCTCCTGGGACAGCATGTGCTCTGCATGGAATAACAAGGTTAAATGGACAAGGCTGAATGGCCCTGTGATGGGGAGTGCCTTTAAGCCACATGACGGAAATGAAACAGGAGCCATAATGACCATGACTGGAGGAGAATCAGATTCTGGCCTGGCCTGGTTCTGTGAGATACCTTAAATCATACTTTCTGTAGCATCCCTTAAAGGTGGGTAGAGAGAAGGAGAGAGTTAAGTGTGGGTGCAGTCATCCTCAGGATGGTTGATCTCTAAATCTATTCTTGGGCAAAAGTTTAGAGAAAAGCTGAATCACTCAGCCCAGAGGAAGCCTGAGGAGGCATAAAGAAGTCTTGGAAATCCCCTGAAAAAAAGAATCAGGTAGAGTTTGATTTTTGTCTTTGTTGTCAAATTTTTGGCTCAGTCACAGTTGCAGCAACATGAGAGGTTCCAGGCAGAAAGGAGCAGCCAGTTATTAGGAGGTGGAATTTTACACATGGTAAAACCTGGTGTAGAAGCTAGAAAAAGGAGAGCAGACAGGTCTAAGGAAGTGCTCCGGTCGGGGAAATCAGAGGGGAGCCCCAGCATGGGCCAGTGGGTCACCGTTCTCAGCAAACAGGGGTATGAAACTCAGAAAGTGGTTAGGTGTACAAAATCACCTTAATGAACCAACCTGCAGGCAGGCAGCCTCAGTGAGGTTGCTGAAGAGCTTGAGTATTGGAAGGTAAGGCAAGGGAAAGCAGTTGCTCAAAGCAGACTCCAGGAAGCTATAAATGCTGTAATAGAAAAACAAAGCGGCAAGTCACAGACCCTGCAAGCTTTGATAAACCAGGTGATCGGCAAGAACTAAAAGCTGGAAACTGATGTCAAGTCCAGATTTAGGGAGTGGCTGGGAGTGAGACCCAAGGCAAGCTAAGCTGCAGACTTTGGTGGTTCTTCCAAACAGGAAGATCTTGATCCAGAGGCAACTTTCACTCCAGCTAGGAAGCCTCTTAGATAAGATAAGTCTATTACTTTTTTTTTTTTTAACAACAAATATGCTATGCAAATAAGTTTTGGGAAATGATACATTATTCTCCATAACCTCTTACCTGGACTATTGCAGCAGCTTCTTACCTTGTCTCCCTGCATTTGTTCTTCCTTCCTGAAAGCCCTTTGCTCATACAGCTGCCAAAGCCATTCTTCTAAAACACAAGTCTGGTCATATCTCTCTGTCTAAATCTTTCCACTGGCTGACTATTATCATAATTTCCCAAAGTGCTTTAGTGAATACAAGTTCTGTGAAAAGCATGTGAAGTAATTAGCCAAAGAAGGATGTGTAGTCAGATAAGTTGGGAACTCTACAGGTTGCATTCCTTTTCTTAGAGGTTTCCAATGGAGATATGCATTTTAAAGTCTCTGAGAAGTCCCACAACAACTTATTGAATGATAAATGTTTCAACAATTTGTTGAAAGTAATTAAAACCCAATACTTTGCAGGCAGTTTTAACCATGGGGCACCTTTTCTTTTTCTTTTTTTCCCATAAACTTTATTAACATTGATTGGAAATACTCTGAGAAATACTGAACTATGGTGGGGGGTGGGGGATCCATCTTGCTTAGCATGAAGTATATACAGGTCTTTTTGATGTGGCCTCTCCCTGTCTGTCTGTGCTGTTCATCTCTCATCAATCTTCTTCTTGGGTTTTATACTCTGGGAAAACACAGCAGACTGTTGTTCTCACACATATCACTATGTTTCAAATGTTTATTCTTTTTAATAAAAACATTTTCTTTGCATCTTCCCTAACCCTTATGAGTAAAATGTTTCTTATTTTTCAAAATCCTTTTCAGATATCACCTCCATAGGAAGCTGTCTCTCTGCTTTAGAGCAAGAATCAACAAACTTTTTCTGTAAAGAGCCAGATAGTGAGTATTTTAAGCCTTGAGACTCACACAGTCTCTGTTGCAACCCCTCAACTCTGCCATTGTAAAGCTATAGCAGCTACATACAATCCATACATAAACGGGCATGGCTGTGTTCCAATAAAACTTTATTTATGCACAAAGGCAGCAGGCTTGATTTGGGCATGGCCTGTAGATTATTGACCCTTGCTTTAGAGTTACACTTTATACATTTATCGCTGAGGCAAAAGTTAAGTCTCTAGATGTGAAAATCCGTGGCTTCCAAGTGAGAGCAGTATATGGATGTAGTTAGTTAGACTGGACACAAGGTTGGTGATACAGGTGAATCTGCCTAATGTAGCATATGATACTGCTTAGAGTTATTTTATTTTTAATTAATTAATTTATTTATTTTTGAGACAGTGTCTCACTCTGTCACCCAGGCTGGAGTGCAGTAGCGCAATGATAGCTCACTGCAGCCTTGACCTCCCTGGCTCAAGTGATCCTTCCACCTCAGTCTCCCGAATATCTAGGACTACAGGTGCACACCACCACACCCAGCTAATGTATTTTTGTGTGTGAATACAGGGTTTTGCCATGTTGTCCAGGCTAATCTCAAACTCCTGGGCTTAAGCGATCCACCCACCTCCACCTCCCAAAGGGCTGGGATTACAGGTGTGAGCCACATAGCCCAACCTAGAGTTATTTTAGATTCTCG
This sequence comes from Homo sapiens, assembly GCF_000001405.40. Lineage (NCBI taxonomy): Eukaryota > Metazoa > Chordata > Mammalia > Primates > Hominidae > Homo > Homo sapiens. The sequence continues at coordinate 17,021,011 of NC_000009.12, forward strand.
TCATCCCAGTTAACTGAAAGAACTGCCTGCTAAAGGTAAGGTAAAATTAGAGACTCTTCTGTAATGTTGGTTTAGGAATCAGCCCTTGAAAAATATTGCTAAAGGCAAAAATGTCTATTATAAGTTGGCTGAGATATTATTTTAAGGGAAAAATTATGTCTAAAGTGCTAAGCCTTCATTAGCTGCTTAAAGAGAAACTCTACTCTTCTGAACTGCTGTCTGGAAAATAAAGTGAACTAGAACTGGTACATTAGCAAGAGAGAAATGTAATGGGCCCAGTGAAACGTATTGCCCCATCTGGGCCACAGTGCAGGATTGGCTGATGGGGATTGTCAGTGTTTGGGGGACAAGAACGGGGGTGAATCGGAAAGCTGGAAGAGAGGTGGATACCTGTCCTGGAATGGAAGTGACCAGAAGACATGACCAGGGGCTGTTCCTGGGGAAAATAGTAGGTAGGAATCTCTGGTTAAGTAAATTCAGGAAGTGAAATTCATTAGATGTCTGAGATTAAAACCTGACAGGAACAAACAAGCCATGGTAGGGTTTAGACAGAGGGGATTGCAAGGCATTGCATCAGAAGGCTGAATCCCTTTGTAATGGCAGAGTTTCAACTCCACAAAATGCTCCTTTTTGCCTTCTAGTCCTAACTTTCTGTATTGCCTGGTAATGGTGAAAATGGTGAATGACTAGCTATACATTAAATGTTCAGGCTCCCTGTCCATGGTATCCATGGTACAGAATTATTACAGGAACCTAATTTCCCAGCCTTTCTTGCTCATAGGTGGAGCTATGAGAGTAAGTTCAGGCCAATGGAATGTAGGTGGAAATGAATTACATCTCTTGGGCCTGACCCATAAAATCTCCCACTGGCTTCTCCACTGTTTCTCTACTCCATCTGCTGACTAGATTCGGGCAACTTCAGATATCATCTGTTAAAGGCAGCAAAGATTCTATAAAACTCAAGTCTTTGATGGATTCTGTGGAACAGAAAGAATCCCCTATCCATTCAAACATGTAAAACTACCAACATAAACTTCTGTTGTGTTAAGCCATTGAGATTTCAGAGTTTATCTATTATGGGAGGTAGCATCTGCTTGACAAGTACAAGCAGAAAATGAGCATTGCTGTAATAATTAAAGGAGCTCCACTCTATAAAGCAATTCTAGATAAGAACATGGAGCCCACTGAACCAGAAAACATAAGGAAGACACGTTTCCAAATATGCCATTATTTCCAATTTTCAATAAGTGTCACTTGCTTTAACAAATCACATTTTTGGAAATAAATTTTTATGTGTGTTACCATCTCTACTGTCAAATGAATCAACTGAAATATGACACTTCTTCTAGAAGCTTTAGGAAACAAACACCCAGAGGAATAAAAGTTTTAAAAAACGTAAAACCAAGCAAACGTGGGGAACATAGATGCCTCATTGCTCAAACCCAAAAAATGAAGTTAAGCCATTTATTTCCAGGTAGAAAATATCAGGAATAAGCCATTTGAACAATATGAGAACACAATTAGCCGGACCAATTATATTGTCTAAGGGACCGTTATCAGCAGGTTGATTTAGAAAACTACTCAATTTGCTTATCTACCTGCCAAAAAAGTCGTGGTGAAACTCATTTGAAAAGTAATTTAAATTTTTTTATTAAAAAATTTCATCTCTATTTTTTCTTCATAAAGGGGTCATTGGAACAGCATGATTCTTGAGGAAAGGTTTTCCTAGGTGAGATTATGTTTGTATCTTTATCATGAAGAAAAAAAAACCAGAATTGTTCATAAACTATGTGATATAAAATTCAGTTTGATCATTAAAGACAAGCTGTTCAGTTATAGATAATCAATCATAGCTTATTAGGCCACTCTGGATAAACACAACTTTGAAATGTCAATTAAATAGGTTTCCTAAGATATCCATTATTATAATGACACTAAAAATTATGATCATTTTCCAGGATTGAAACAGCGTAGTGTGGTAGTTAAGAATATAATCACTTTTGTTCATCAGGACACCTTTACAGAAGCGAAAAGGCAAAAGAGAGTAATAAATGATAATTACGGCAAAGGATTATTTGAGATATATATTTTCTTTTTTTTTTTTTTTTTTTGAGATGGAGTTTCGCTCTTGTTGCCTAGGCTGGAGTGCAGTGGTGTGATCTCAGCTCACTGCAAACTCTGCCGCCCGAGTTCAAGCGATTCTCCTGCGTCAGCCTCCTGAGTAGCTGGGATTACAGGTGCGCACCACCATGCCCAGCTAATTTTTTGTATTTTTAGTAGAGACGGAGTTTCACCATGTTGGCCAGGCTGGTCTTGAACTCCTGACCTCAGGTGATCCATCTGCCTCAGCCTCCCAAAGTGCTGGGATTACAGGCATGAGCCACCATGCCCAGCCAGGATACATATTTTCTAATAAAGGATTTGTGACAAACGATTTATTTAGGATATATAAAGACTTTTAAAACTCAGCAAAAGATGAACAACCCAGTAGAAAAATGGGCAAAAGAGGCTGGGCACAGTGGCTCACGCCTGTAATCCCAGCACTTTGGGAGGCCGAGGTGGGCAGATCACGAGGTCAGGAGATCGAGACCATCCTGGCTAGCACAGTGAAACCCCGTCTCTACTAAATATACAAAAACAAAATTAGATGGGTGTAGCAGTGGGTGCCTGTAGTCCCAGCTACTCGAGAGGCTGAGGTGGGAGAATGGCGTGAACCCAGGAGGTGGAGCTTGCAGTGAGCCGAGATCATGCCATTGCACTTCAGCCTGGGTGACAGAGCGAGACTCCGTCTCAAAAGAAAAAAAAAAAAAACAGAAAGAAAAATGGGCAAAAGATTAAAACAAGGCCCAGTGCGGTGGCTCATGCCTATAATCCCAGCATTTTGGGAGGCCGAGGGCGGGAGGATCACTTGTGTCTAGGAGTTCGAGACCAGCCTGGGCAACACAGTGAGACCCTGTCTCCACAAAAAAAACACAAAAATTAGCTGGGCATGGTGGTGCATGCCTGTAGGTTGGTAAGGTGGGAGGATTGCTTGTGCCTGGGAGGTCAGCTCCTTGGGAGGCTGAGGTGGGAGGATTGCTTGTGTCTGGGAGGCTGAGGTGGGAGGATTGCTTGTGCCTGGGAGGTCAAGGCTGCAGTGAGCCATGATTGCACCACTGCATTTAGCCCTGGTGACAGAGTGAGACCCTGTCTTAAAAACAAAAGAAAGTGATTTTCTTAACGTTGCTGGTTATCAGAGAGATGTAAATCTAAATCACAATATTATTATGCATCCAGCAGAAAGGCCAAAAATAAAAAGGCAAACAATACCAAGTGTTGGCGAGGATGTGAAATAACTGGACCTCTCATATGCTGCTAGTCAAAGTGTAAATTTGTATAAACACTTTGAAAACAATTTGATGTTTTCTAATAACATGAACATACACATGCCCTATGACCCAGCAATTATACTTTGAGACATATGTAATATGCTCAACAGAGAAATGTACATATGTGCACCAAAATACATGAATAAGAATCTTTATGGTAGAATTATTTTTCATAGCCCCAAACTGGAAGCTACTCAAATTTACCTCAACAGTAGAATGAACTGTAGTCTAGTCATATATTACAATACTATACAACACTAACAATAACATGGCTAATTCTTTACACATGGCAGGTTAACTTTTATAATCATAATGTTGAGTAAAAGAAGCCAGACCCAAAAGAAAAAATACTGTATAATTCAATTTATTAAAAAAATGAAATTAACCTGTGGTGTTAGGAGTCAGGATAGGACTTTTTTTCTGGGAGGGGATAAAAACTAGCAGGGGCACAAATGGAGGTTCTGGGGGCTGTCATGCTCCATTTCTTGATCTGGGTGCCAAGTGGGCTTACTTTATGAAATTTATGAAAATTAACTTAGCCCCACACTTATGATTTGTGCACTTTTCTCCATGTTGATTAGAAAAGGAGGAAAGAGTGTAGACGTTGGTGTCAAATTGCCTGGTTTCATATTATAGCTTTACTCCTTACTAATCAATGTCCTTGGGAAATTTATTTTACCTTTCTTTGTCTCGGGTTACTCATCTGTGAAATGGGGATTATATGATTACCTTCCTTTTAGACTATTAGGAGGATAAATGTGACCATGCACCCAAAGCTCATAAAAGAGTACTGGGCACATGTTTAGCATGTAATAAGTGTCAATTGTTGTAATAATTATCATTAACTCTCAAGAAGACTGGTTGATAAATATTATCTTACAATGTCACTTTTTCCAAGGTAAGAATAATTAGAATAACACAGAAAACCATTCAACATTTTTATTTTGCCTTAGTGTTTTTTAACTCCTTGACCTTCAAAAATAGGGAGTTTCTCAAAACCAACATGGACAACTCCCAAAGCAAAAAGAAAATTCATTTGAAAACTATGGTGTAGTCTGTCTCAACTAATATAAATATTATTGCCACACAAAGGACATCTGTAAGTAGGTACAGTGCCTGAGAAGAAGAAAAAAGATCAGGTTTCAATTATGTAAGGCATGAATTCTTATTTTAAAATGGTCAGTAATGCAATGCTCATACCTCAAGATGGAAGGAATTAGTCAATTTATCCTTGTGTGCAATGGGGTATGATTTTTTATTATGTAGATTTTAAAATTCATTAATAACATTTTAAATTTTTACCCTTCTGGTATACTAAGTTTTTACATCAGTATATAATCTAATATTTATAAGATCTCTACTATATTTTTGTATTAACCCCGATCTCATTTGTACACAAATTCATCCTGTGTTTGCTTTTATATAAAAAATTGGTTCAGAAAATTAAAACCCCAAACACCAATATTAGGTTAGGAAATTTAGACCATAACTTGGACTGTTTGTAATGTTAGTAGTTGATTTAGAGCTTTTGAAACACTGGTGTCCATATTTAAAATTAGGAAATTTAGTGTTATATTTCTATACTAACCATGAGAAACTTACAGTAAAAAAATCTCTTAGGCTTCGTGTACTTCCATCTTCCATCATTTGCACTGTGTGATAACTGTGTTTGCTTCAAAAGTTTATAGTCTGTTACTATTTTTCACTTTCTGTCAATTTTTATTTTCTAAGTGGAAAACCTCAAGAGGAAGGGATCATGTCTGTATTGTCAATTATTATATTACCAGTGGTTAGAACAGTGCCTGGAACATAGTAAGTGTTGAGTAGATATTTCTGGTAAAAGTGAATTAGTGTGAGAATGGGAGCTGTTCAGCCAAAATTCTTAAAGGGCACATGGCTCAAAAATAATAAATTGAAAATATAAAATGAAAATAATCAGGATTTTGAGTTCAGATTGATTTGTATAGTCTGGTGCTCTAATCATAGGAAAAACAAGGAAATTACTTCAAACGGTTCACAGATGTGGGATTTTCTTCATACTCTGATCTCTTTAATGTGACTCGAATGAGAGACTTGATGTGAAATAATCCACCAAAGGACCTTGGCTCACCAGAGAGAAGAGTGAAAGGCACCTTTTGTCTTTTATTCCAAGTCTGGAGGTGTCATCGTGGACAGACATAGGAAGGATGGCTTCACAAAAAGTGTTTCCCCAGGGTAGGCTGTGACAGCGTGGGGCAGGGAGTGGCCAGGAGGCCCTCAGTGAGGCTCCTTCAGAACTGCCTGTCACTTCCTATGGCAAGAAAATGTGGGCATGCTCACCAGAAGGATTTTCTGAACAAGGGCTATAGTAAAAGAAAGTTTTTTGAAATTATAATGTCTTGATATTATCTAATTCTGGGATATTGTGTCTAATCAAGGATTTCTGGTAGATTCTAAAAGATAATTTTGGAATTATATTATCACAGTGTTTCTGGTGTCCCAGGTAGTTCCAGTTTTTCCAACAACATAACAAAGTTACTTATGACCACCCAGGTCCTCTCTTCTCTTTCCCCGTTTCCCACTCCACTTTGGAGAGAGAATCAAACACCTATCAGAAATATGCAAAAATAGTGCACAGTGTTGCCATTTCTTTAAATTTGTTGATATTTATCCTTTTTCCCTGAAGTTTATCTTGCCCTTCCATTATTTTTATTGAGGCATAAAATACATAACATAAAATTCATCCTCCCAACAATTTCCAAGTGTACAGTACAATAGTCAACCTCATGCACTGTATTGTATAACAGATCCCCAAAGCCCCCCATCCTGTGGGACTGAAATTCTATATCCACCAAACAGCTCCACTCCCCTCCCCAGCCTCTGGCAGCTACCAACATCTTTTTTTGTGGGAAGTAAGAAAAAGAAAAATTGTGTAACTAGCAATGAATTTTTAAAATTCTTTTTTTTTTTTTTTTTTTTTTTGAGATGGAGTTTTGCTCTTGTTGCCCAGGCTGGAGTGCAATGGTGCGATCTCAGCTCACTGCAACCTCTGCCCCCTGGGTTCAAGCGATTCTCCTGCCTCAGCTTCCCAAGTAGCTGGGATTACAGGCGCCCACCACCATGCCCGGCTAATTTTTTGTATTTTTAGTAGAGACGGGGTTTCACCATGTTGGCCAGGCTGGTCTCGAACTCCTAACGTCAGGTGATCCACCCGCCTTGGCCTCCCAAAGTGCTGGGATTACAGGGATGAGCCACCATGCCCAGCCTAAAATTCTGTATACATTTTCTCAATTATGAACATAATATATGCTGTTTTTCATAGTTCAAATAATACAGATGTATATAAAGAAATGTTAATAATCTGTCTTATACCCCTCTCATCTAAGCCCCTTGAACTCAGTTAACAGCTTAATATGTAAATATCTTTCATATATTTCTCTATGCTCATAGAAAAAATGTTTATTAATATATAGGGGCTTTCCTATTTCTTAAAAAAAGAAATAACCCTATTTACATTTCTCTGCAATATTTTTTCATTTAATATAACATGGAAATCTTTCCAGGTAGATATACAGACTGTAAGTTAATATTTTAATAGACATGTAATACTACAAATATGAAGCTATTGTGATTTATTCAACTGTTCCCCTATTGATGGATATCCAGGTTGGTACCAGATTTTTGGTCACTGCCAATGATGCCATAATAGCTGCACAGACACACCCATGCCACACACACCCAGTTTCATGTATTAGTCCTTTCAGTGTTTCAAGATAGATTCCCATTGTTACATTGCTGGATCAAAAGTTGCACACACTTTGAATTTAATAGATCATGTTAGGTTACCTTGCAGAAGACCGCAGCAATTCACAAACACATCAGAAATTCGTAAAAGTGTTGCTAATCATTAAACAATAAGAAATGAAAAAAAATTAGCCAGGCATGGTAGTACACGCCTATAGTCCCAGTGCCTCAGGAGGCTGAGGTGAGAGGATCACTTGAGATTGAGAGGTGGAAGCTGTAGTGACCCATGATCGCACCACTGCACTCCAGCTTAGGTGACAAACCGAGACCCTGTATCAAAAAAAAAAAAAAAAAAAAAGTAAAAGATATACCACTATTATTCATGTTTAAATTGTGAAATATATATGCAAAAGAGAATTTATAATACAAATGTACCATTAAAGGAGTTATTATTTTCAGAACTGTGTGCTCCCACCCAACTTGAAAAATAGTTCATATTCTAAATGAGGTTCAGCACCACCTCCCATCCTCCCTGATAGTGTTAACCCTACTCTGATTTGTTTTCTTTTCTCTTATATTTCTTCATACATTTTACCATATATGTATGTATCTGTACATAGTATGTCATTTAGTTTTGCACATTTTGAGTTTTATACACATATGTGTATAAATTATACACGTATGCATTCTGTGACTTGCTTATTCTACCTGACATTATCTTTGTGGTATTCATGTGATGTGTGTAACTATAGTTCATGGGTTTTCACTGTTTTATTATGTATGAATGCAACCTATCTCAAATTGGTGGACATTTGGGATGTTTATACATTTTTGCTATTGCAAACAGTGGCACCACGCACATTTTTGCCTATTTCCTGGTACTCATGTCCAAAAAGTTTCCTATGGCAACAGTTCTCAAACTTTTTGGTCTCAGGGACAATTTATACATTTAACAATTATTAAAGACTCCAAAGAGCTTTTGTTTATGTCAGTTTATTAGGTTGGCACAGAAGTAATTGCGGTTTTTTTGCCATTACCTTTAATTTAAAAATATTTATTAATTCATTACAAACATAAACACATAACATGTGAACATAAATATTTCTAATTTAAAAACAATGTGTATTTTCCAAAATAAAAATACTTAATGAGAAGAGTGGCATTGTTACAAGTTTTTGTAAATCTTTTTAATGTCTGGCTTAATTGAAGACAGCTGGCTTCTGTTATCAGCTTCTGCATTAGTCCTTTGTTGTTTTGGTTGAGATGTAGGGAGAAAATCTGATCTCACACAGATATGAAATTGGAAAAGGGAGGAACATTTGAATAGCCTTTCCAGATAAGTGTGGATATTCTTGTCTGACCAAAACTTGACAAATGGTAACTTCTTAAAGGCTAGATACATTATAGAATTTGAAATAATATGAATATTTATACTCTTTTACGTTAAAATACATTGATCTGTCTTGTACTTTGAATGAACATTTTACCCATGCTTGATTTTGTAACATCGTATGTTGGTCAAAATATTGGTTAACTGGTAGTTATGCAGGTGTTCTCAATGTTGATGTAATTCTTTATACAATATCAAAAACCACATTTATTAATGTTATTACCAATCTCAATAGCAGGGCCAGGACTAGGGGGAGGCAACTGAAGTTGCAGAATTAAGAAGGAACACACTCTCAGGGTCGTGTAAGTACTAACCCTGTGCTTGCGTGACCCTGTAAGTGAGGCCTCCTTTAGAATGACCTTCCTCCCCAAGAGTGAAACATCTTTAAATTTTGTGCCCAGGCATCTCTCTTGCTTTACTCCTAGGCCTGGCCCCCCTCAGGAGAAAAATCTCTAAGAATGGGGAAGCTGTCATGGTCACAGTGGTACACATTTAGAAAATTCTAGAATTTTCTTAACTACTTGAATTTTATCGTTGACAACAAATAGTTGTTTACCTTAAAATGACAGGGTCACTTTGTTCATTTTTGAGAAAATGTCTTCTAAATACCGAAGTCTGAAGATAATAGTTTGTCTGTGAGTCACACTTTAAGAAAAAATGATGTTCTATGAAAACAAAAAACAGAAAGTGGCTAGTTCAGCTTGCAACTCAAATAATTTCACAAGTACTTTTCCTGGAGATGATCATCATGCTTCTTATTTATACACATGCTAAGGAAGTGTTTTATGCATATTTTCCATCTTGTCACACACACTATTAAAAAAGATCTGCTCAAAGGTCAAGTTTAAAAACATTAATAATATTTACTTCTTCATCAAGGGTATTCTTAAGTGAAATTGCCTTTGGTTTTTAACTTCAAGTGTGAGGTTGGTGAAGAATACAATAACTGCTAGCACAATTTCATGCCACTGCAAATGTCAACATAGTTGTTCCAGGCTAGATGAAGGGATTTTAAAAGTTATTTGACACTTTGGGTATTTTAGCACAACCGATCTCTACTCCCTAGCATGCACATAAAATAAGATGTTCAATGTTTAGTTGGTGCCAATACTGGACAGATACAAGCAAAACAGTCACATTTGTAGATTCATCCATTTATACGACAAAAGTACAGTTTGACAAAGAGTAACCCAATCTTCATATTTCTAACTGAATCATTAATTCAATGAGTTACTGTTTCAGGAGAAGGTGGCAGTGTCATGAATCAATTTACAGCTTTTTATCCAGCAGGTATTCAGCAATTCAACTGTTCCAGGCTTTATTTGTTCTCAGTTGTTGTGTGGACTCCAGCTCATGTTGTATGATGACTTTCCCTGTAATATACCTCAGGGGCTTTTTCATTTCTGGTTCAAAATGCTTTGTCAAACAATCTTTGGCTTTCGAAGTGTTTCATTTATTTTTCTTTACACTCTGATCGATTGGTCTTAAAATGAGGCTGCAACCAGCCAGGCGCAGTGGCTCATGCCTGTAATCCCAGCAGTTTGGGAGGCCGAGGCAGGTGGATCACGAGGTCCAGGAGATCAAGACCATCCTGGCTAACACACGGTGAAACCCCATCTCTACTTAAAAATACAAAAAAATTAGCTGGGCGTGGTGGTGGGCGCCTGTAGTCCCAGCTACTCGGGAGGCTGAGGCAGGAGAATGGCGTGAACCCGGGAGGCAGAGCTTGCAGTGAGCTGAGATCGTGCCACTGCACTCCAGCCCAGGGGACAGAGTGAGACTCCATTTCAAAAACAAACAAACAAACAAACAAACAGGCCACAACCTAACTTGCATGAAAATAATATTTTAAAATATTCTGTTGCCTAATACATAAAAAGGTAAACAATTACCACCCGTACAGTGGAGGGAAGGGAAGATAGCTTCATTATATATTTTTTCTCTTTCTTTCTTTTTTTTTTTTTTTTTACAGTTTCTCTGTTTCTTTGGTGTAGATATTCTCCTTTCTATGAGTAAGACAGCTCTCTGATATGACAGTCTCATATTTTTCAGCATTGCAAGTCATAGATGGTGCAAATGTGGATTAAATAAACAAGCCCTTTAATTTCTGTTTTTAAAAAAATGCTGGTAAAATACACATAATGTAAAATTTGCCATCTGAACCATTTTTAAGCATTTGCTCTAGTAGGACTAAGTAAATTCACATTGTTGTGCAACCATCACCACCATCTGTTTTCAGAACTCTTTTCATTTTGCGAAACTGAAACCCGTTAAGCACTGATTTCCCACTCTCCCTCCTCCCAGCCCATAGCAAACCACCATCCCACCTTCTGTCTCTATGAATTTGACTACTGTAGGTATTTCAGAAGTGGAATTATACAGTATTTGTGCTTTTGCGACTGGCTTATTTTACTTAGCATAAGGTCCTTGAGGTTCATCAATGTTATCACATGTGTCAGAATTTCTTCTTTTTAAAGCAGAATAGTCTTCCATTGTATGTATGTACTGCATTTGTTTGTCAATTTATCTGTCAATGGACATTTTGGTTGCTTCCGTCTTTTGGCCATCATGAATAATGTTACCATGAACATAGGTGTAGAAATGTCTCTTTGAGCTCCTGCTTTCAAGTCTTTTGGGCATATACCCAGAAGTGGAATTGCTGCCTCAAATGGTATTCATATTTTTAAGTTTTTGAGAAACCACCATACTGTTTTCCGTAGTAGCTGCAATATTTTACATTCTCAGCAGTAGTGCACAGAGATAAGTCTTTTCATACCATTGCCAACATTGGTTCTTTTTTTTCTTTTTATTTTGATAGTAACCATCCTAATGGGTGTGGCGTAGTATCTCATTGAGGTTTTATCATTTTCCTGATGATTGGTGATTTTGAGTATCCAAGTGCTTGTTGGTCTGTCTACTTTGGAGAAATATCTGTTCAATTCCTTTCAATTGGACAGATATTGAAATTGACAATTTTTAAGTGACAATGAAAAACATCACTTTTTTAACTGGATTGTTTATTATTGTTGACTAATTCCCCTTTTTAAATCCAGTGATCCGTTATCAGTATTGTAACATTTGGAAATAGTAACACTTTCACATAAAATTAAAACCTATAAAAAAGCTTTCAAAAAGAATTTTACATGCTTTTATGAAACAAGACAACAAAATATCCTTATTCTTATTGTGTGTCTGCATAGGCACTGGGATAATTTTGGAATTTATAAATAACAATTTATTGGATGATAGAGGATAACAAGGTTTTAGAGATGATAACAGATATAACTGAAGCTAGCTCATAAGAATGCAGTAGAATTTTGGGCATGAAATTGAGTTAATCTCTGAAACTCTACACTTTATATCCTAACTGGCTACATTAGAAAAATTAGAGGACACATAAATATTCAAGCACAAATTCCATTAGTTGTGAGAGCAAGCATGTTTTTACACATCATGAAGCCACTCAAAACACCAATGTACAGTCATGAGAAAATGACAGTCAAAAATATAGTATTATTACAAAAATAATTCTGAACTTACAGACCCCCTAAAAGTGTCTTAGTGACCTTCACGTTTCCCTGGAACACATCATGAGAACCACCTTTCTTTTTTTTTGAGATGGAGTCTCAGTCTGTCACCCAGGCTGGAGGGCAGTGGCGCGATCTCGACTCACTGCAAGCTCCTTCTCCAGGGTTCACGCCATTCTCCTGCCTCAGCCTGCCGAGTAGTTGGGACTACAGGTGCCCGCTACCACACCTGGCTAATTTTTTTTTTGTATTTTTAGTAGAGACCGGATTTCACCGTCTCAGCCAGGATGGTCTCGATCTCCTGAGCTCGTGATCCACCTGCCTTGGCCTCCCAAAGTGCTGGGATTACAGGTGTGAGCCACCGTGCCCAGCCGAGAACCACTTTTTTAGGTTATCTACCTAGAAATGGAATTTCTATGTTGTTATGTTATATACCTCTTTGGCATCATTACAAGATGCCAACATTTTTTCCAAAGTAGTTTTACCAATTTATAATCTGAAGAGCAGCATAATATTGTTTATATTTGCTTATATTGTTATTTTGTGTTATTCTCTGTTAGTCTGAGTCTTCTCAGAAGCAGATGTCAAGACAAGATTATACACTCAAGATATATTGGGTAACATCTGTGAAACATAATGGAGAAGAAACAGGAGAAAGCAGGGAGAACTTTTGCACCATGATGCAGGACTGGCACCTCAGAAGGAGAGTGGGAAGGAAAGAGGATTGAGTAGGAAAAGCCTTAAATTTCAGCACCATTCTAAGAAAGCTTCAGCAAGACTATTGGGTAATCCTTGAGCCAGTGACCAGTTGAGAGTTCTACACGTCACAGTAATGAACTTGCATTAGTGCCTCCATGGTGCTTTTAATCATCGGCTGGCTGCCACCTGGGAAACTTGGCCTTTGTGGATCCAGAGGGTCACCAATTGGTATCATGACTCATTTATGCTCCCCACAGATGAGATCTGACCATTTCATGGCCTCCAACCCTTGGTCAAGTTGAGTATCAGATTATATGATATTGTCTGTTTGCACTTCATATTCTGTAAATTTTCTATGCATTTTCTTTTCCCAGATTTCTATTAGATTGACTTTTTTCTTTCAAATTCATAAGAGCTTTGTTTGTGTATAAAAACACAAACTCCATATTTTGTCATATATACCACAAATATTTTCTCTCAGCTTACCATTTATCTTTAGATTTTGTATGTGTGGTATTTTTTTTGTTTTACAACTTCTTAACATTTTGAGCTGTTTAAATATGTTTCCCTAACTTTTCCCCCTAAATCATGCATTATACAAAATATTCTCTTAAATTTTCTTCTAATGTCTTACAGTTTTGTTTACACTTATATCTGTAATTCATTTAGATTTTTTTTTTTTTTTGGTGTATGTATACCCAATAAAGTAGGAGCTTGAATTTGTTTTCTTCTAGCTGGATAGCCAGCATATGAGTATTACTCATTAAAATATCACTCTTTTCCCATGGTATTGGAATGCCATCTTTATTCTGGTTAAGCTGAGATTCCCTAGGAACATGTAATTTTGATATCCTTTAGTACAAATATTCATTTCAGTGCCTGGAAGAGAACAAAACATTCAGCTCTTTCTGAGAAAACAAATGATACTAGGTTGATACTTGTGTGAAGCAAGTGCCAATTCAAGCGTTAGTATAAGATTGCCAGGCTTAATATAGGTACTGTTTCTATTTTTTTTAAAAAGAAAGGAAAAAGAAAGTAAAAGTTCTGCGTCCAAGTGGTGTCACAATGATGATTTTAATGTTAAATTTGACTATATGGTTTTTTAGAAAAGACGGGAAGAATTGTAGCCAAAATATATGGGATGGTGTAAGTTCTCGGCTAAAGAAAGTTTTTAACGTGTTTGCTACTTCAAAAATGTAAATATTCTAATAATTAGTTTATGAAAAATTAGATAACTATAGTAATATATAAATTCCCTCCTTACTGAAACAGTGATCTGGTTCTGATCGTGGGTTTATTATTTACTAGTCATATAACTTCATGCAAATGTTAGCTTTTTTTTTTTTTTTTTTTTTTTGAGACGGAATCTTGCTCTGTTGCCAGGCTGGAGTGCAGTGGCATGATCTCGACTCACTGCAACCTCCGCCTCCCTGGTTCAAGCGATTCTCCTGCCTCAGCCTCCCGAGTAGCTGGGACTACAGGCACACACCGCCACACCCAGCTGATTTTTGTATTTTTAGTAGAGACGGGGTTTCACCATGTTGGCCAGGATGGTCTTGATCTCTTGACCTCGTGATCCACCCACCTTGGCCTCCCAAAGTGCTGGGATTATAGGTGTGAGCCACTGCTCCCAGCCAAATTTTAGGTTTTCTAAAACTCAAATTTGAATAGTCAATTGTGATGAATGGTAACTGTAATGTCATCAATAAAATCTCCCTATGCTAAATCTTTTGATCCTAAGTGCTTAGATGATATACTTAATCATGCCATTTATAAATTCTTAGACTTCTGAGCCAATGATGAGTTAACTATGCTAACTCCTACATCAATCTGCAGAGGCAAGTAAATGCTGACAACACTACCTACCCAATACTAAATTTGGATATTAGTCTCTAAATGTTTTCCCCAAATTTTGGCTATTGCTGGAGAAGCAATTTTCTCACCAGTGGAATGATCACTCTTGAAAGCAATGCACACTTAATTAACTGAGTATGAAGGAGCAACCTTTTCAAGGAAATCCCTAGGGATGGGTTATTTTCCTAACAAGTAGAGATCAGGTAATGATGGTTTCTCTACTCACTGGAAGACACTTGGCCAAATGAAAACTTGGAAGTTGTGGTTTGCAAGGGGTGTGTGCAAATCTCAGTGTAATAGATCCTCATCTGGGTATCTGAACATAGCATGACTACCAGTATAATTGTTTTGTGGGTGAAAATACAAAGATATATATCTTAGCAACAAACAGGAGCTCGGGGAAAATCAGGCTAAACCCTGAAATGGCACAACCCTGAATGTTGATGTCATTCCTAAAAAGCATTTTAGTATTCTCTTTAAAGCTACACACAAATGCTGCCTGAAAGTTTCATGAATGCAACTCTCTCTCATGTGCTCCTGGCCTGTTATTGAACTAATGCCACAGCTTAGGAGCCTAAGTACCTTTGAATGTTTGAAGAAAATAGGGATTTTCTAGTATTAGAAAGGAGAACTTAGCCCTTTGAAAGTGGTAATGACTATCATTTCAAACTTAATTATTTACATGCTTTATTCACTGTTAATTTTCAATCCAAACCATGCCATGGTAAATGGAGAACAAAATTCAAAATCAGACTCTTTTTTTTTTTTTTTTTTAGGGCTATGTGTTTTGGGGATCTAACACAAAATGATATTTACATGTTGTATTATGCTGGTGACATACATTGTCTCACAGGGATCATTTTTCCTGGCTATTCTTTTCATTTTTGGTGTTTCTTACAAAATTTTTCAGGTAAAGATCATTTATGTATGGAAACTTGACTTTGTAGCCGCCTCAATTTTAGGTAGAGTAAATGTATATTTCTGCCAATCAAAACATTCTCTTCTCATCACTTAAATACTTTGCAATTTTCTATAAGCAGCTTCATATGTACCCTTACTTTGTGATTTAGCAAAATTTGCACACAGCAATTAGACCTGACAGGCCATATTTATATAATAAAGTGTTACTTAGCAGTTACAATAATATCAGAGAGTAGGAGAGAGGAGTGTTAAACCAACCTCTGAAAAATTGGGGTTGGCAAAATATTTGGAAATTTTATTGTTAATATGTTTGGCTGGTCCAGTATTTGTAATAGAGGTTCCATTTGAGCTCCTATTTTTCCTGCACTTTAAGGAAAGCACAAAGAACTCCAGGCATTCTCACCTTTGTTGGAATTTTATCGAGAGGACTTCTTGAAGTCAGGAAGGGTCAATGCACCATGTTCTATACCATTCAGAGGACTATGCACAGAGATTAGTCAATATGTTTTCTCCTTTACTCCATATCTGCTTTCAATCACCACCTCTGTTTTTAACATGGAAAATTTTTTGTCTGGCCTTAGAAAAGAAGACTGGCTCAGGTGTGGACAGTCAGTCTTCCACAGGTTTATTAATCCCAGACAAGAGAGTATTCTGGGCCCTGAGGTTATATGTTATATGAAGTTATATGCCCATGAGGTTATATGTTGTAACTGACCTAAAGAAGGGCTTTCTATCTCTTGTTCTAAGGCTTTTTTCTCTTAGTAAAGTACCCCTTCCAAAGGAAATGTAATTCTGAATCCTCTAAAGCCTTGCAAAATAATGTGTTTCTACTAAAGTATTTTTTAAAGATTCTGCAAAGGGACAGAATTACATCTCACAGCACTAAGTAAAGTAAAACTTCCTAAAAATTCGTATTATATTGTTGTCTCCTTAAAGGTTCATTGTCTTAGAGGTAGCTTGTTAGCTCTTTTCCATATCTTTCTGAAAACTCTGGCTAGTACATAGTCTCTGTTGATTCTCTTTGTAGATTTTTCCTTCCTGGGGTGGCTTGATGCCCTTTCCTATGTGCATTACTCTGCAAATCTACTCCCTGCTTCTGGTGGCTTCAGTTCTGCAACTCTACCCATTACTACAATTATTAAAACAGAGGCCCCAGCCCTTTAGCATGTCAAACAACAAAGAATATTTTCTTCTTGGTAGCAGAAAGGGGGCAAATGATCTATTTTAATAGTTTTGTCCGTGTCATATATGTTGCTGGGTATGTGTGTGTGTGTATATATATGTGTATATATATATATAATGAAACCTACAGTAGATGCCTTCTGGAAGATGACTTCTTACGTACTCAAGATAGCCCAGCAGATCAGGAATGAACCAGCACTAGGAAAGTTAATACCTAAAGTTTACCAATCATGATCAGAAGTCATACAGAAGTGTAGCAAATTAACAGAAAACTCTGATATTATCTGGAAACACTTAAATCTATACCAGATTTTCAGATGTATAATGAAAGCATTAAAATTTAGGAGAAACCAGAGAAAAATGTACACTTTAGGTAAAAATGAGGCAATAATTGGAATTTTGCACTTGGCTTCATTGGCTGCCAGCACTCTGAATGGTGCACAATGAAATCTATAAAATGTGTTGCCAAATCTCTGATCAGTTAAAACTGCTTCGTTTCATTCTTCTCTGGTACAAATGTCTTAATTTTGGTCATGTGATGTTATTTGTCTCATCTGGTTTCTTGGAGACTGAAGGTCTCTTGTTAACTGTAGTAATAATTTCCCCCAGTGTCTTTGCAGCAAAGACACTGGGGGAAATGATCCAGCAACAACACCCACTGAGGTCACCGTGGAGGTGATGACTGGTGACTGGAGGCCCCACTAAAGTTTCAAGAATAAGGAATGTGGAGCTCTTTTAAGACTGAAAACTAACTGGCAGACTGGCTGGGAAGGAAGGGTATGTGATGCGGTAGAGGGTGCTTTGGAATCACACGGGACAGTGTGGCCTTAGGCAAATTTTACTGATCCTCTCTGAGCTAGTTTCTTCTTTATTTTATTTTATTATTTTATTTTATTTTTAAGAGAGAGAGTTTTCGCTCTGTCACCCAGGCTGGAGTTCAGTGGCGCAATCGTAGGTCACTGCAGTCTTGAACTCCTGGGCTCAAGAGATCCTCCTGCCACAGCCTCCTAAGTAGTTAGGTCTACAGGCACGCAACACAATGGCTGGCTAATTTTTAAAATAATGTTTTTGTAGAGACAGGGTCTTGCTATGTTGCCCAGGCTGGCCTGGAACTCTTGGCCTCAAGTGATTCTCCCACCTTGGCCTCCCAAAGTGCTGGGATTACAGGCATAAGCCACTGTGCCTGGCCCAGTTTCCTCCTCTCTAAACTTGGAATTTTAATGTCAAAGCTCCTCTGCCTGTGAACTTGCAATTGAACACATTTGATTGCTTCTAAGATGTCCCCACTTTCCCCCCTCATTTTAACATCTCTGAAATGGAGTGTGTTTTATAGTCAATAGTTGTCTACAATAACTGTTGTTTCAATGCAGTTATCATTGTGTGTGTGTAAACATCGAAACTGTAAAATTGCCGAAGGAGGCTTGGAAGAAAATTGCAAGTGTAGAGAACAGTGGAACATTCTTTTAACCTTTAGAAACTAAATGATGATAGGGAGGGGGTGAAGAGGTAATGAATCAGAAGTATTAGCAGTATCTCCAAAGCTGTAGTCAAAGTCAGCCAACTCTACATAATTGCAAAGCAGACTTAAGAATTCAGAACCAGTGGTTTGATTCTTTCATGGGTTCTTTTAAGAAATGCATCACCAACACTGTTGATGTACAGAGGACAGTACTGCATTGAAAAACATGGGCAACAGCAATTCTTAGTGAGTAATTCAGAAAACTCAGCCTCCGAATGTGCAGCAGGTTTAGGACACTTTAACTAGTCTATTTCACTTATATTGTCCTCTGTATGTGTGCAGAAGAGTGATATATGGTTTAAAAAGGCTAAGACTGAAGGAGCTTTTTCAGTAAGTGTAAGATGAACATTGTAAGTGACAAGAAAGTGTAGTGTTTCTATTTAATTAGAAATACTTTTTGCTTTTTTATTCTTAAAACATTCCTATTTTAAGAATGTCTTAATAGCAAGTGTCTTAAAATTTTTCAGTGCCTTAGATTCAGCAAATTGCAGTGTATCAGTCCAAATCTTCCTGTAAAAGCCAAAGCTTGTTAATGCTGCCTAACACCAAGAGACGATGTTAGTGGACACTCGTAGAATGACTCTCTTGGCTCTATAGCCAAGAGATTGGAAAATACACTGTGGAACGTGTTCATAATTAGAAGAGCTTTGTAGCTTCTTCATAGGGTTAATATGAGAATTATAAGCACTTTGTAAAAAGATCCTTCTCTAGTTTCTGTACGAAATATATTCTCAATATATAATAGTCACTGTTATTAATAATAATAGGCTTATATTTATATGTGTACAAGCAAGACAAAGCGACTTGGGCGAATAAACCAATTATAGACTTGTGTGATTCACATTTAGTTGTAGGATGGTAAAGTGACTTACCCAAACCATATAGTTTGCTATGCTAGAACCAGGACTAGTATTGAATTCTGTCTCTTTTTTTAAAAAATGAATTTTATTGTGTATATTGAAAGTAAACAGCATGATATTGTGGGATACACATAGATAGCAAAAAGGTTACTGCAGTAAAGCAAATTAACATATCCACAATGTCACATAGTTCTCCTCTTTTGGTTTTTGTGGCAGGAGCAACTAAAATCGAATTTAGCATGAATCCCAAATGTAGCATAATTTTATTACCTGTAGTCCTCATGTTGTTCATTAGATGTCTATACTTGCTCATCCTACACGTCTATTACTTTGTAACCTCAGACCTACATCTCCCCATTTCCTCCCCACCCACCTTCTGCTCCTGTTCTCTATCTCTGTATATTTGATGGGTTTTTTTTTAAGATTCCACATATAAGTGAGATCATGTAACATTTTTCTTTCTGCATATGGCTTACTTCACTTAGCCATGTTCTTCAGGCTCGCCCATGTTCTGGCAAATGGCAAGATCTCATTCTTTTTAAGGGCTGGGTAATATTCCATTAAATATGTATACGTGTGTGTGTGCGTGTGTTTGTATGTATGTATGTATGTCGCAGTGTCAGTTTTTTCCCCATCTGTCTGTTGACAGACACTTAGGTTATTTCCATCTTGGCTGTTATGAATAACACTGCAATCAACTTGGGAATGTGGATATCTTTACAAGGTAGTGACTTCATTTCCTTTGGGTATATGCCCATAAAAGGGATTGCAGGATCCTATGGTAGTACTACTTGTAATTTCTTTCAAAACCGTCATACTACTTTCTACAATGGCTGTACCAATCTACCTCCCCACCAACAATGTTAAGTGTTCCCTTCTCTCCATACCCTCAACAGCATTTGTTATCTTTTGACTTTTTGATAATAGCCATCTTAAGTGGTGTGAGGTGGTATCCCACAGTGTTTTTGATTTGCTTTTCTCTGATGATTAATGATCTTGAGTGCCTTTTCTTCTAACTGTTGGACATTTTTGTCTTCTTTGGAGAAATGTCTATTTAGTTCTTTTGCTCATTTTAAAATTTCTACAATTGAGTTACATGAGTTCTTTATAAATTTTGGATATTAACCCCTTGTCAGATATACATGGTTTGCAAATATGTTTTCCTAATCCATAGGCTGCCATTTCATTTCATTGTTTCCTTTGCTGTGCAGAAGCTCTTAGTTTGAGTTCTCTTGATTCCATTTATTTTCATGTTTGTTCATTTGCTGAGTATCTACTATCTGCAGGCCACCTCACTGTGTCTGTGGGTGATACAAAAATGTCTACAGTGCAGTCACATTTCATGTGCATTTACCTTACCCCAAATCAACTAAGGCCCTGGGAAATGTGGGAGAGAACACAAGGGAACAATTTAAACAGAGCAGCTAGTTCTGCCTACCTTCCTACCAATAAGCACAAGTCCAGAGTGAGTGTGGGATGGGAGTTGTGAATATTTCTTTCCCTCAATAGTCTCAGTTCTCAAGCGCTTTTCATGATGTGACCATCTCACCTCACGGCAGATGATCACCATATTTAAACATACACATTTTTCACACAAGATAGCCCTTAAACACAAAGTCAACTACCCCATTGAGTCTTCAACATGAAGACAACAATCTGTTCTAATGCAAGAAGAACAACCAACTACTTTGGGCTTACCAAGAGATATAAATTAAGTGCACTTACGTTTGCTTGCTAGTATGTGCTTGCATATATAGTTTATACAGTGCTTCATAGGCCAAGATATTTAAGAAATTTGCAAAGGTAACCTTGAATGTATTTTTAATATCTCAGAGCTTGAAGTGAAGGAAGAATACAATAATGGGTTTGTGGATGGGGAATTTGCAAGATGGACCAGAGGGGTGAAAGACTGAAGCAGGGGGACCAGTTAGGAAACTCTCACAATGCTTCACACAAATGATAGCAGGAGCTTCAACCAGGACAGTGACAAAGGAACAATGGAGAAGATATAAAGAAGGCAGAAACAACCAGTGGGCGATGACTAGCGATGGAATCGTCTAGAGAAGGAGGGGTTAAAGCTTACTTTGAGTTTTCTAGTCTGGTGAATTAGGACAATGATTAGGATAAAAAAATGACAATTGCCGCAGGGAACATACAACATGGATCATTTTATCAGTTTGAGGGAAGTTTGGGCAGCCCAAATTATGGGGTCAGTTTTGGATATATTGAGTTGGAAGTATTTGAGTGACATCCTGGTGAAGCTGTCCAGCAGGGAGAAAATATGAGACTTGTATTTAGGAGGATTTAGGGCTCCATATTTTGATCTAATGAAAATACAACATGCCTTTACTAGGCTGAGATATATAAAATGCGATAGTATTGAATTTTCATGTCCCAAATTACACTGGCTCCAGCCCTACTGACTCACTGCCCAACCACAACTCCACTTTGTCTTATTCTTTGTTCCCCAGAAAGTAAAGCCTGAGGCAAAAGCTTGTGAGGACTTCTTTGTTAGGGACCACAACCCCAGGTAACAGAAGTGAGACTATGGGGGAGTGAGGCTGGAAAGGTGAGGAGACCCCACGAGGGTGCGCTACTGAGCTTGCCACCCTTTGAAGGGAGACTGATTACCCGACCTTCTAAGAATCCATATAAAAATTAGTTCCCAGGAGAATGCAATGCGAGGAATTGGGATGAATCTATTCCCTGGCTCCATTTCACATAGGTCAAAGGTTTGCGATATGGAATATCTTCCTTATACTTACAGCGATGCGTGCACAGGTACTGTGGGGTCCCACAGCTTTTAAAGCCCCGTGTCAATAAGGAAGCTCTGGGGCAGAAAGCAACATGTGGCAGATGTGGCATGGGGTGAGGGACTGTTGCATTTCACTCACAGACTCATGGCTGGTCACCACAGCAATGTCTGGGTGGGAACAAGTTGCTTAAGGCTATGAAGATTGGGAAGGTCAAGCTTACCTGAGGGGCGAATCTCCAACTTCAGTGTGCCCTGGTAAATTCCGAGTCCCCAAAAGGATGCCTGTTATGGGGCCACAAAGCAGCTTTCCCACTTCATCTAGCTTGCTCCCTCCAGTGCGGCTTCCCCAGCTGCTGCTGCTGCCCTGGGTTGAGCAAGGAGACAGCACCGCCTCTGCTGATGGCGGTCCCCAGGAAACAGATTTTCTGATGCTGCCACAGTCTTCTCTTTGGGGTGCCAGAATTGTTCTGGGTCAATGTGAAGGATGGAAAACGGCAGGGGAGAAGAAGCCAACCTCTAACCTCCCACCACATTTTGTCACCAGCTCCTGAAAACTTTGCTCTCACTGGCTCCATGAAGTCCCCCAGGGGAGCTTATTTTTCTTTTCTTTTCTCTTTTCTCTTCTCTTCTTTTCTTTTTCTCTTTCTTTCTCTTTTTTTTTTTTTTTTTTTTTTTTGAGACGGAGTCTCACTCTGCCACCCAGGCTGGAGTGCGGGGGCATGATCTTGGCTTGCTGCAACCTCCACTTCCCAGGCTCAAACGACTCTGCCACCTCCTGAGTAGCTGGGACTACAGGTGTGTGTCACCACGCCCTGCTAATTTTTGTATTTTTAGTAGAGACGGGGTTTTACCCTGTTGGCCAGGCTGGTCTCGAACTTCTGGCCTTAGCTGATCTGCCTGCCTTGGCCTCCCAGAGTGCTGGGATTACAGGTGTGAGTGACTGCACCTGGCCAGAAAGCTTATTTTTCTTTCTATTTCTTTTCTTTTCTTTTTTTCTTTCTTTTTTTTTTTTTTTTTTTTTTGAAACGGAGTCTCGAAAATCTGTCTCTCAGGCTAAAGTGCAGTGGCGCAATCTTGGCTCACTGCAACCTCCGCCTCCTGCGTTTAAGTGATTCTCATACCTCAGCCTCCCAAGTAGCTGGGATTACAGGCGCCCGCCACCACACCCTGCTAATTTTTGTTTTTTTTTTTTTAGTAGAGACAGGGTTTCACCATATTGGCCAGGCTGGTCTTGAACTCCTGACCTCAGGTGATCTGCCTGCCTTGGCCTTCCAAAGTGTCGGGATTACAGGCGTGAGCCACCACGCCCAGTCTTGAAAAGCTTATTTTTCAATGGACCCTTCCATTTCTCATCTTCTTCAAACCGTCCCCCTCTCTCTACATGTCTCTATGCAGGATTCCTGCAGGTGATCCAACAGAGAAGCCGATTATGAGAAGCAGGAGATGCCTGTTAGGGAGCCACAGTGAGGTGCTGTGGTTGCACCAGTGTGAACCTGGTCAATGTCTGTGAGCACATGGTCATCACAACATTGGCTGGAGGAGACAGTGGAGTTGAGAGGATCTGAGGGGGACACAAAAGAGGTGCCTGACTCAGTGAGATTTCCCCAATGGAGCAGGGGAGAGAGATGAGGCCCAAGACCTGCAAACACCTGGGAGGCTGAAGAAAGACAGAAGGGGCTGAGAAGAGACCAATGAAAAGGCATCAGAGAGGTAGGAGGAAAATACTACAGTAGTAAATATAACCGCTAAAGCCGTAACAACAACTCTAGCAGTAGTGGGGATAGTCATAGCAGTGAGCTCTGTATAAACGCGGACTCTGCGGCAGGCACTGTTCTAAGGTCTTTATATATATTAACTCGTTTAATACAGCTGGATGAGGTGGCCACAGTTACTCTCCCCAGTTGCACATGGAGTCACCAAGTTACTGAGACATTAAGGTTCACAACTCAGGATTTGAGTCCACAGCCTGTACTCCTCACCACATCACCCTGTGGACCCAAAGAATATAAGGTACTCCTGAGGCAAGGGAGGATGAGAATCACAAGGAGGGAACAGGCAAGGGCATCTCTGCTTCCTCGGGAGAGAATGAAGACTAAAGAAAGGAGGAAAGGCCATGTGATGTGTGAACAAGAAGAAATCAGTCACTTTGGAAAATGTAGTGTGATTTGGGTGGTGAGAACTCAGACTGCAAAGGGCTGAGGACAGCGTGGGGCCCAGGTCAATTTTTGAAGTCCTTTGCTAGTGAAGAGAAGTCAGTGTCTTATTTTAGTGTAATACTCTCAAGTCCTGGTTTCTTAATGGAAGAGAGGGATCCTGTATCTGGGGAAGGACAGTGTCATCAGCAGGACCTTAAATGTTACTATGCTTGAGTTGGCACAGTTCTCTGAGGTCTAGAAAATGTCCTCAGGTGGTGTCTCTCATGCTAAATGCCATTTAAAAAAGTGAAGAAGCAACACAGTGCTCATTAGAGACTGAGGAAGCCTTTGAAGACAGGAATAATGAGCATATTTTTACTCTCATTCTTTGCCATTTCTGGTTTCCCACAAAATGGCAGAAAGGGACACGCTCTCTTGCCAACCTTCTACTTTCCCTCCTCCTGCCTCATTATCTGGGCCCAGTCATTATACTACATTTTCTGTGTGTTTGGATAGAAAAGCCAGCTCTTCAAACCATAACATTGGCAGCAATTTTCTTCCTACAGTTTGTAAAAATTAAATCACAAATCAAAAGAATATGAGCCAAACATGCCGCAGCCATTTGGAGTTACATAAAAGGGAAGCCATCAACACCTCCCTATCTTGGCTGATGAATGTATCTGATATTTCAGACTTATTTCTTGGTTCTTTCATGACCACAAGACCAAAACTAATCAGTCCAATTAGACAAACTTCCAGATTATAGCTCTGAAGTCAACTCAACAAGTAACATATCCAACAATATAATTTGCCAAGTGTAATTTGCAGGATGCAGGGGTGGGGTGGGGTCAGGGGGAGGCGGTTCCTGATTTATCACAGCAGCTAAAGCCATATTCCAGTCTGAATACAAAATAGACAAAGAAAGAGAAAGTTAGATTAGGGGCACTGAAACTACTGATCATCATGTTTTTCCGATATTAAAAAAAAAAAAAAAGAAAAGGAAAAGAAAAGCTGAGGTTAAGAACACCATCCAGTAAAAGCCCTCAAAACAGTTACAAAAATATGTAAAACACATTCCAAAGGAATTAAATGTAAAAAAAAAATCAAACTCAAAGAGAACTAGAAGAATATATAGATATTTTTCTGATTATAATGGTAGGATGGTCTTTCCTAGCATGCAAAGAAAAAAAAGCCCATGAAAATTAAGAGATTTTACCACATGAATATTTAGTTTTTCTGTACCCCACAAAAACCACCATAAACAAAATCAGGCCTAAGACAAATATTTGTAACCCATATGCTAGAAAAATGATTTACATTCTCAGCTTTATTTTTAACTGATTTTATTGGGATATAATTTACCACACCATTCACCCATTTAAAATGGACAGTTAATGGTTTTTAGATATTCACATAATTGTTCAAACATTACCACAATTAAGTGTGTAATATTTTTATCGCTTCAAAAAGAAACTTTTGTACCCACTAAAAGTCACTCCCCGTTTTCTCCCAACCCCCTAGCCCTGGGGGGTTTCTACTTTCCATCTCTATATATTTGCCTAGTGAGAATATTTTATGTAAACGGAATCATACAAAAAATGCTCTTTTTGTGCCTGGCTTCTTTGATACTAGGAGGGAATATACAACTTTCCTGTAGAGTAATTTAGGCATATTCATAGTTTCAAAGTTATTTATAGTGGTTATCCAATAATTCTTATTTCAGGAATTTGTCTTAAGGAAATAAGAGATGTACACAATAATTTATGTACAAAGAGGTTAATAAAGCATTATTTGTAATAGAGAAAAATGGAAAGAATTCAAATGCTCAACAATAGCAAAACAGATAGATCCATATCCATAAAATGGAATGCTACACCATCATAGATAATTAATTGCTACAAATATGCAAGGTCATAAGAATATGCTCATAATATATTATTAAGTCTACCTACCTATTTGTCCATTCATCCTCAATATTTTATTGCTGGATAAGGAAATGTAAATCTGAGTGATTTGTTCTCTTCTTTATACCCCTTTGGTTTCTCCAATTTTAAAATTTAATTAACATGTATGACTTTTATAACAAAAAGCCATCATTAGAACAACTCACTGAATTTTAGAATCACCTCATCTAGCTCATTGTCTAACACTTTGGCATTCCTTGTATCAGTTAGATTCTCTAACTGACAGAAAACAGTTACATTATAGAAAGGCATGCAACTCAAACTGGCTTAAGCAAAAAAAGACAATTGATTGTCATGACTGAAAAATTCACTGGCAGTAATGGTTTCAGGCATAGCTGGATCCAGGGGCTAAAAGGTATCATCAGGAATCAATCTTCCTCTTTCAGCTCTTTGTTTTTGTTTTCCTCTATTTGGTTTTATTCTTAGATGGGCCTTTATTTTTTTAGGGTTGTTCCTAGTAGTTTAGAAACTACATAAGAGGGAAGAAATTTTTCCTTTAATAATTTTAGCAAAAGTCTCAGAATTTAATCTGACTGGACCAACTTGGGTCATGTGCTTATCCTGGAATCATTACTGTGGCGAAGTGGATAAGAAGACCTGAATAGCTCTCCACCCCCAAATTATCTGTTAATTCTTTTAGCCAGGGAACAGTTTCACGTTAATTTTATGAAGAGAGAGAGGTGAAAGAATGGTTCTCTGAAAGAAAATCAGTGTGCTATTGCCAGAAAAGAGAATGAGTGCTTTGCAGCCAAAAAAAAAAAAAAAAAAAGTCTTTAATTTCCCTGGTCTGTAATACATGGTCTCCCTGCATCTCCAGTGTCTGAAGCAGTTAGCTCCATTGAGTTCACTTGGGTTCATTTGAGTTCTTCCTTACACCAATCCAATATCTACCTCCTGCTAAGTCCACCTGATATGGTTTGGTTCTGTGTCCCCACCCAAATCTCATCTCAAATTGCAATCCCCACGTATCGGGGGAGGGATCTGGTGGGAGGTGGTTGGATCATGGGGGTGGTTCTCCCATGCTGTTCTCATGATAGTGAGGGAGTTCTCATGAGATCTGATGGTTTAAAAGTGTGCGCCTTTCTTTGCTGTCTCTCTCTTGCTGTCATTAAGATGTGCCTTGCTTTCCCTTTGCCTTCTGCCAGGATTGTAAGTTTCCTGAGGCCTTCCCAGCCATGCAGCACTGTGAGTCAATTAAACCTCTTTTCTTCATAAATTACCCAGTCTCAAGTAGTTCTTCATGGCAATGTGAAAACAGACTAATACACTACCCTCTGCCACTCTCAGTAATTTCTTTGGTCCATATGAATAAAAAAAGATGTATCCACCATCTCTTCTTGGAAATTAAACTGACAGTGGGTTTTGTTTGGCTTACACCCACCTGCAGGAGCTGATTACCACTCCTTAATAAATCTCTACTTCTAGTGAAGCTTCTTTAGTCCTCAAAGCAGACAGCCCTGTTGCGAAGTGGCCTGAGGCCCTGACCCTGCCGACAGTTGGAGGGAGATAAGAATGGGGAGCCCGTGAGATGATATAGTGTGGGAGTGGGATGAAGGTTTTGCATCTTGGGAAAGGAGGGAGTCTGTAGCCCGAGCTAAAGGCAGAGCAGGATCCTGGCCATTCTAGCTCAGGTTCTGGAGGAAATAGCCAGCAACATCTTCAGCAGGTAGAGGGGAAATGACAAGAAAAAGAAGCAAGCAGTGTCTGTGACCACCTCCCATCCCGATTCATTGTTACTCAAAGTATCATCTTCAGCCCAGCAGTGATCTCACCATGAACCTCTAATCAAAAAAGAAAGTTGTTTCTAAAAATCTTTAAGAGTAAACATTCCCATAAGCCTTTATTTATGCTTATGAGTAAGTGCTACGTATTGATAAATTCTAATTAAGTATTACTAAAATATGGTAAGAGAATGAGCTATTAAGGGAAAATACCCCACATTATTTTTGTTTGTTTTATTTTATTTTTTGGTTTGGGGTTTTGTGTAATTTTGGGATTTTTTTTTCTCCAGCTGTAGGCTAACCCAAGAAGAATAAAGCATCGGCTTCCCTGACATGCTGCTCCCCCCAAAACAGAGTGCCAATATGATTCCAAGGTTCTTAGCACACTGTATATTACCTCACTCCTCCTACAGGTAAGTAGAAGTTCAGGGCCATTGAAGAGATTAATAAGGGCTGTTGGGAGTTGGAAAAGTCAGAATGGACTGAACTAAAGTGAGAAGGCAGAGGTTGAGAAAGAGACAGTCTTGGGGATTTGTGAGCCCAGCAGAAGCTCAGGTTAAATTTGTTTACTGATGAGTTGCCTGCATGGTGCACTTCATGAGACTGGAAGGCAAGGCTGCCTAGGAGCAACATGAGACTTGGGGGTCTATGTTAGACCTGAAGGACTGGAGACACCTGCCTTCATTCAAAATGGACTAGGCTGCCTTAGACAGTGTACATCTCAGCAGTGACAGTGATGGACCAAAGACCCTCTGTATAAGTTCAAAGACTCTGATTGGACTGTACAAGTAGAGTGAGCCTGCTCTCCAGTAATGATTTCGGGCGTCTCATTAACCTGGGAAGTAGGGACTTAGAGGTCCCCATTTTAAAAGTTATAAAATTTTTCTTGCATGGAGTGCTGTGGCTTGGATTCACATCATTCTATATGGCAGTCATAAATCAAAATTATTAGCGTTTGCAGAAGACTAGTTTGGCATTTTATTTATAAGTTTAGTGGACACACAATAATTTGGCTTTTACTCAGTGAGATACTAGGAATTCCTGCCAGAATCATCAGTTTTGATTGGAGTTTTCCGTGGTTTTCAACTACTAATATTCTAGCTTTTTAGTTACAAGTTATTATTGGTTTTGCTTCATCTTTATCATTTTAATTTGCTGTGATTTGCCCAGTTAGCCTGTGATAGTATATATTTTCATCAACAGAGTTTTACCCTATAACTTCCTGATATATAGATTTTTAGACATCTGTTGATAGCTTGAATATCATTCAGTCCCTACTGTTCATATAATCAGTGGCACCCCCCTATCAGCTTCTAAAGTGGTATTTTATTCTAATCATCATTTTTTTTTTTCTGCTAGAAACTCGGAATGAGTGGGGTACGTGAACTAAGGGGTTCTCTGCTTAGCCAGTGGGCCTTGATCATAGTTTGGCAATTGCTACTCGGAGGCTATAACATCCCTGTAGCCTCTGAGGCCCATGGCTTCCTCCCTACTTATTCTTTTCCTTACCTTTTATCTTTGGAAGCTCTAGGAACAAGAGATGAAATCCTAGTTTATCACTTTCAGTGTTGGAACCATATATTTTGCAGTTGTCATATGAAGATACAAAGAAGTACCTGATGATTTAGATACACTGAAAAAGAGTCTTGATGTGTCGGCAGCAAAAATACAGTAAACTAAACTACCTTTGATGATAATTTATATAAGATTTCATTTCTTCCTTGCAAGTAGGCTGTTTTCTAGTATTGATGTTGAATTAGATTTTTAGGGTAGTGTTTTAAAACTAGGAAAAAGACTTTTTAATACTTAAACATTCAGAAACTAGTGTCATCAATGTCATTGTGCCCACCACTCACAATGAATAAATGTTAACATTTTATAATATTCCCTTCATTTATATTTGTAAAACTGAAATATTACTGATCCAGCTGGAGCCTCTTTGTACCTGGTCCTATTTTCCTCCTTCTCCAGAGACAACTGTGCTCATGATTTTGGTATGTATCTGACTTCTAGTATGTGCTTCCATACTTTGACTACACAGGTATTTATCCCTAAACAAGTGTTGCTATTGTATGTTTTTAAACTTACTTAAATGGCACTGTAATGTATACATCAGTCTGTAACTTTGATTTTTCATTTAGTATTATGATTTTGAGATTTATCTTTACACACAGATCTAATTGTTCATTTCATCTAGTTCACTCATTCTAGGAGACAAAGACACATGTAGAGTATTTCTTTAAGTAAATATTCTCCTATGGATGGCCCAATTAAAATGTACAGTATTCTATAAGTTATCAGCTTAGCTACTGTCACTTGCTGGAAGCTTTTTCTATTTCTGTCTTTCTCTCACCATTAGAGTGTAGTAGAGGCCCTTCCTCTTCCTGGTCCCCTGTGCTCATGTGTGTTATAGACTCCACCACATATTGTTGAAAAATGTCCTCCTTTGCCTTAGACTGTGGACTCATCAACATCAGGGACCTGTAATCTGTTCATAATGTTCATGGTGTAGCCCCCAGGTCAGTGCTGTGCAGGAGACAATGCTGGCACATTTTGATGAACAGATGAATAAATGATTCTATGTCATGGAGTAAGCTATGTCAGTGATTTATTGATGTAGCTTAAAATCAAAGTCCCAAGTAAGTACTTTTTTTTTTTTTTCTTTTTTTTGAGACAGAGTCTTGCTCTGGAGTGCAGTGGCACGATCTCGGCTCACTGCAAACTCCACCTCCTGGGTTCAAGTGATTCTCCTGCCTCAGCCTCCCGAGTAGCTGAGACTACAGGTGCGTGCCACTATGCCCTGCTAATTTTTGCATTTTTAGTAGAGACGGGGTTTCGCCATGTTGGTCAGGCTAGTCTCGAACTCCTGACCTCAGGTGATCCACCACCTCAGCCTCCCAAAGTGCTGGGATTGCAGGCGTGAGCCACCCCGCCTAGCCAGTACTTCTTTTTTTTTTTTAGACAGAGTCTCGCTCTTTCACCCAGGCTGGAGTACAGTGGTGTGATCTCAGCTCACTGCAACCTCCGTCTCCTGGATTCAAGCGATTCTCCTGCCTCAGCCTCCCAAGTAGCTGGTACTATAGGTGTGTGCCACCACACCCGGCTAATTTTGGTATTTTTAGTATAGACAGGGTTTCACCATGTTGGCCAGGCTGGTCTTGAACTCCTGACCTCAGGTGATCCACCTGCCTTGGCCTCCCAAAGTGCAGGGATTACAGATATGAGCCACCGTGCCTGGCCACAAGTAAGTACTTCTTAAAGCCATTGCATTCTGTCTGCTGGACCTAGTTGTCCTCCCCCATTGAACAATGGCAGTCCTTTACTATTTGAGTCTTTTACTATTTTAATAATAGTCTTTTACTATTTTAACTTTTACAAATTAAGCTAATGGAAATAATATTCTCAATTTCA
Organism: Homo sapiens; assembly: GCF_000001405.40. Classification (NCBI taxonomy): domain Eukaryota; kingdom Metazoa; phylum Chordata; class Mammalia; order Primates; family Hominidae; genus Homo; species Homo sapiens. Next base: position 17,052,040 of record NC_000009.12, read on the forward strand.
TGTTTGTTAAATCTTTGCCACACATTACCACTTTCTTATTTTAATATCTATTAGATGGTATCTGTTTTAGTTCTAAATGACATATTTATTTTAAATTAAATAAGTGACAGTTTTCTGGTGTTTCATCATAAGCACCTGTACTTCCGTGTGCTCTGCCACTTTAATGAGTATGAAGACCACTGTGCTAACTACATCAAAAACTAGGCACTCAAGGCTGGGTGCAGTGGCTCACGCCTGTAACGCGCTTTGGGAGGCCGAGGTGGGTGGATCACGAGGTCAGGTGTTCGAGATCAGCCTGACCAACATGGTGAAACCCCATCTCCACTAAAAATACAAAAAAATTAGCCAGGCGTGGTGATGCACACCTGTTATCCAGCTACTCAGGAGGCTGAGGCAGGAGAATCGCTTGAACCAGGGAGGCGGAGGTTGCAGTGAGCCAAGATCTCACCACTGCCCTCCAGCTTGGGTGACAAAGCGAGGCTCTGTCTCAAAAAAAAAAAAAAAAAAGGAGGCACTCAGATCACCCACTATTTTCATAAATTATGCTTTTCGAAGATGTTTTTCAAAATAGTAAATTTTCAAAAGCTTAAAACTCATCTCACATGTTATAAAAGGGCATTCTCTTCCCAGAGAGCAAAGCCTTAAAAAATTTATAATAATTACTACTGTACATTTTGTCTCCTTCAGCTCTCACAACATGGTAGTTTCAAGGGTTCCTTCAGGGGCTTACTGGGAAGGAGGCAGCTATGGGCATGGCCCAACAGTCATTCCCCTGTTGCCATGGTTACTAGCCAAGCTAAGCCCTTCTTATGGGTTTCAGCCTGTCCCTCATTCTTCCCCAGAAGCTTGGAAGGCCCAAACTTTAAAACTTCCTATGCAAGCAGGGAGAGGAGAAAGGAGTCATTCCTCCCCTACCAGAATGAGAGTGCCCTGACCCCTAACTGCACATGCAGCTTCCTTGGTAAGAGTCCTGCTACTAGCTGCCAGTCACCTACTACCCTGTCTCTTGTCTCTTTACCCACCGAGAGGGAGGAAGGTCGTGGGCAGGAAAGGGGAACATCAACTCCATGGGATTGTGCAGAACTCTTTTTGGAGGGAGTTGGACTTTCCAAAGTGTTTGAGCAAGGCTTCAAGCAAATCTTTAATCTCATGAGGCAGGGTGACCTCAGCTGGCGTGTGAGTTACACATGTGTTAGCTTCTTTATTCCTCAAAATAACCATAAAATGTAAGGATTATTATATACCTATTTGGTAAATGAGGAAACTAAAATCTGGATAAGTGATTTCCCAAAATTACAAAGCTAAGTAGGGATGGAGTTGAGATTCAAGCCAGGATTGATATGAGAACCCAAACTCTTACTCATGACATAATATAGCCCCTCTATGGACATACATTTTAATTTATTAGCAAGATCTCATTTGCACACAAAGCACTCCTATGGAAGTCAGAGTGAACTGATCAGAGGGCATCAGCCACATGAGTGTTTCAGAGAGGTCATCACTTTTCCTGCTATGGTTTGCCTATTAATTCATGTTCAAAAATTATTCAACAGGCCAGGTGCGGTGGCTCATGCCTGTCATCCCCGCACTTTGGGAGGCCGAGCGGGGCAGATCACCTGAGGTCAGGAGTTCCAGACGAGCCTGGCCTATGTGGTGAAACCCTGTCTTTATTAAAAATACAAACATTAGCCAGGCTTGGTGGCAGGCACCTCTAATCCCAGCCACTCAGGAAGCTGAGGCAGAAGAATTGCTTGAACCCGGGAGGCAGAGGTTGCAATGAGCCAAGACCAAGCCACTGCACTCCAGCCTGGGTGACAAAGCGAGACTCTGTCTCAAAAAAACAAAAAAATTATTCAACATTGCCGGGTGAGGTGGAGGTGGCAGTGCCTGTAGTCACAGCTCCTCAGGAGGCTGAGCTGGGAGGGTCTCTTGAGTCCAGGAGTTCTGGGCTGTAGTGCACTATGCTGATTGGGTGAATGCACTAAGTTGGACATCGATATGGGGACCTTCTGGGGGAGTGGGACCACTGGGTTGCCTAAGGAGGGGTGAACTGGCCCAGGCTGGAAACAGAACAGGTCAAAACACCCCTGCTGATCAGTATTGGAATCACACCTGTGAATAGCTAAAGCATGCCAGCCTGGGCAACACAGTGAGACCCCCTCTATAAGTAATTAAAGTAAAAATTATTTTTAATTTAAATTATTCTTTTTATTATTACTATTTTTTGAGACAGAGGCTCGCTCTATCACCCAGGCTGGAACGTAGTGACGTGATCGTAACTTACTGCAACCTCAAACTCTTGGGCTCAAGCAGTCCTCCCACTTCAGCCTCCTGAGTAGCTGGGATTACAGGCATGTGCCACCAGACCCGGCTAATTTTTTTTTTTTTAATGTAGAGACAGGATCTCACTATGTTGTCCAGACTGGTCTCGAACTCCTGGCTTCCAGTGATCCTCCCACCTCTGCCTCCTGAGGCATTGGGATTATAGGTTTGAGCCACCACAACTGGCCAAAATAAAAATTATTGAATATTCATTTTATTCTAAGCACTAAATAAGAAATAACTAGACATTGGTCCTACACTGAGTTGTTTACAGCCTGTACTCAAATAATTATGATTCAGTCTTACAGGTGCCCCAGAAGGGGAATGTGCAATGTGTATGAGAGTCATAGGAGTGGATGACAGCTTTGGAGAATTGTTCAAGTCTTGAGAGAAGACACGAATTTTAGCTTAATCTATGTAACTGGGTAGAATAGAGGAACCAGAAATCTTACTTATTTTTTCTCTTTAAGATCTTGATTTCTTCTTTTTTTTTCTTTCTTTTTTTTTTTTTTTTTTGAGACAGAGGCTCGCTCTGTTGCCCAGGCTGGAGTGCAGTGGTGTGATCTTGGCTCACTGCAACCCCTGCCTCCCGGGTTCAAGCGATTCTTCTGCCTCAGCCTCCCGAGCAGCTGGGACGAAAGGCACATGCTGCCACGCCCAGCTGATTTTTGTATTTTTAGTAGAGATGCGGTTTCACCATGTTGGCCAGGATGGTCTCTATCTCTTGACCTCGTGATCTGCCCACCTCAGCCTCCCAACGTGCTGGGATTTCAGGTGTGAGCCACCATGCCAAGCCTAATTTTTATTTTTGTTAATCTTACTTTAAGTTCCGGGATACCTATGCAGAACGTGCAGGTTTGTTACATAGGTATACATGTGCCATGGTTGTTTACTGCACCTATTGACCCATCCTCTAAGTTCCCTTTCCTTGCCCCCACCCCCAACAGGGCCTGGTGTGTATTGTTCCCCTCCCTGTGTCCATGTGTTCTCATTGTTCAACTACCACTTATGAGTGAGAATAAGTGGTGTTTGGTTTTCTGTTCCTATGTTAGTTGTTGAGGATGATGGCTTCCACCTTCATCCATGTCCCTGCAAAGGACATAATCTCATTCCTTTTTATGGCTGTGCAGTATTCTATGGTATATATGTACCACATTTTCTTTATCCAGTCTATCACTGATGGGCATTTGAGTTGGTCCCATGACTTTGCTATTGTAAGTAGTGCTGCAGTGAGCATACAAGTGCATGTGTCTTTATAGTAGAATGATTTATATTCCTTTGTGTATATACCCAGTAATGGGATGGCTGGGTCAAATGGTAGTTCTGGTTATAGGTCCTTGAGGAATCACCATACTGTCTTCCACAATGGTTGAACTAATTTACATTCCCACCAACACTGTGAAACCATTCCTATTTCTCCACAGCTTCACCAGGATCCATTGTTTCTTGACTTTTTAATAATTGCCATTCTGACTGGCGTGAGGTGGTATCTACTTGTAGTTTTGATTTGCGTTTCTCTAATGATCAGTGATTTTGAGCTTTTTTTTCATGTTTTTTTGGCCATGTAAATGTCTTCTTTTGAGAAGTGTCTGTTCATATCCTTTGCCCACTTTTTGATGGGGTTGTTTTTTTCTTGCAAATTTGTTTAAGTTCCTTGGAAATTCTGGATATTAGACCTTTGTCAGATGGGTAGATGGCAAAAATTTTCTCCCATTCTGTAGGTTGCCTGTTCACTCTGATGATAGTTTCTTTTGCTGTGCAGAAGCTCTTTAATTAGATCCCATTTGTCAATTTTGGCTTTTGTTGCAATTGCTTTTGGTGTTTTTGTCATGAAATCTTCACCCTTGTTTATGTCCTGAATGGTATTGCCTAGGCTTTTTTTCTAGGGTTTTTATGGTTTTGGGTTTTACATTTAGGTCTTTAATCCACCTTGAGTTAAATTTTGTATAAAGTTTAAGGAAGGGATTCAGTTTCAATTTCCTGCATATGGCCAACCAGTTTTCCCAGCACCATTTATTGAATAGGAGATCCTTTCCTCATTGCTTGTTTTTGTGAGATTTGTTGAAGATCGGATGGTTGTAGATATGTGGTATTATTTCTGAGGTCTCTGTTCTGTTCCATTGGTCAATGTGTCTGTTTTGGTACCAGTACATGTGGTTTTGGTTACTGTAGCCTTGTAGTATAGTTTGAAGTCAGGTAGCATGATACCTCCAGCTTTGTTCTTTTTGCTTAGGATTGTCTTGGTTATAGGGTGTTTTCTTTGGAATCAGAGATCTTGTTCAAAAATCTTAGTTCTATATCTGCTGTGACTTTTGGTAACTAACTTAATATTTCTGAGCCTTGTGACAGGAATGAGAAAAGACACTCCTCATAGGGTTGGTGGAAATATTACATAACATAAAGCATGTGGAGTTTACATATTAATGAGAGTGAGCATTGTTACCTGTAAGATTATTGTCGTAGATGGTGGAAAAGGGGTTCACAAATAATCAGAGAAACTTCATTCCCGAGCGAAGTCCCAGTGGGAGCTGTAGTGATGCTACAAGTCCATTTTTTGTTATTGCTTTCTTTCTTTTTTTTTTTCCTTGAGACGGTGTCTCACTCTGTCGCCCAGGCTGGAGTGCAGTGGCACGATCTTGGCTCATTGCAACCTCCACCTCCCAGGTTCAAGTGATTCTCCCGCATCAGCCTCCTGAGTAGCTGGGATTACAGGCGCCCACCACCACACCCAACTAATTTTTTGTATTTTTAGTAGAGATGGGGTTTCACCATATTGGCCAGGCTGGTCTCGAACTCCTGGCCTCAGGTGATCCTCCTGCCTCTGCCTCCCACAGTGCTGGGATTATAGGCGTGAGCCACTGCGCCTGGCCTGGTTATTGCTTTCAACTATACTGGACCATAGGATGTTGATTTTTTTGACTTTATATGCATATGACTGGTCTCCAGACTCTGACCCAAAGCTATCCCTAGATGGAAATCTGGGGATATATGGCCTGTAGCCTGGGGAATCCTATGCTGCTTTGGAGATCAGCTGATTGGCAGTGACTCACGGAGGGAGGCAACAGATGAGGGAGGTGGGGGTGGGATGAAAATACCTGAGACTCCAGGTATTTTCTCTTTTTGTCCCCCAGCCATCACCACCCATCTCTGTTTGTCCCCCACCCGTCACCACCACCAATCAGAGAACTTTACCTAGACCTCCCAGGTTTGCTTCTTTGGGTTTCCTCTCTTGTCCAGACCAGTTTTTCACTTTATTCCCTTAACAGCCCATCTAGAATTTCCCACAACAATAAAAACTATTATTAACAATTTATTTGGGCTGCATAATTTTACGGAGAATGCATATGCCTATAACTAATTTAGCTAGACTTGTGCATAATTATTCCCTAAGCCATCTCTGACTGAGTTGAAACACAGTAATAGTGCCTCTCCTGTGCTTGGCACGATCCTAATTCTGTAAGTCTATTTACCCATTTAATTCTAATCACCTCCCTAAGAGGCCAGCACTATTGTCACCACAGTTTTACTAACAGGGAAACCAAAGTGGAGCAACACAAAGCACTGTGACCAAAGTCCTGTTATTAGTCAGCAGCAGAGCTGAAATTTGAACCTGGCAATCTAGGACCAAAGTATGCGCTCTTAATGCAAATTAATGCCGTACTGTACCTATAGAGAAGTCAACCAATACCTGTATACTTGGTGTTTAAGGATAAAGGTAAATTTTTTGTGGGTCAAAAAAGCCACTTTCTGGCCTGTACTCTGAGCAGGTGGTTTTAGCTATACCGTAAATAATTTGTTTTGTCTGAATCTTTCAGTTGGTGCCTAGAGTAAAAGAAAAAGAAGATCCTGGCCGAGCACGGTGGCTCACACCTATAATCCCAGCACTTTGGGAGGCCGAGGCAGGCGGATCACCTGAGGTCAGGAGTTCGAGACCAGCCTGGCCAACATGGCGAAAGCTCGTCTCTACTAAAAATACAAAATTAGCTGGGTGTGATGGTGGCGTGTGCCTGTAATCCAAGCTACCCAGGAGGCTGAGACAGGAGAATTGCTGGAACCCGGTGGGGCAGAGGCTGTAGTGAGCCGAGATTGAGCCACTGCACTCCAGCCTGGGCGACAGAGCAAGTCTCCGTCTCAAAAAAAAAAAAAAAAAAAAAAAAAAGAAAAGAAGATCCTAAGTAGGTCGATATATGATTGGCTTGTTTTGATATTCCTGTAGTTCTCAGTTTTCTAAGATGACTCCTTGGCCTCAGCAATTTTCTGGCACAGTGTGAGGGCGTGTACTCAGTCCAGCAATTTGATAGAAAGAGAGAGGACAATGAGAACACAGGTAAAGATAAATATCAAGTGGAGTGAAAGTTGTAGCAACAAAGTGGTCAGACCTAAAAGTGTGTAATAGGTACAGAATTTATATGCCTTTTGAAATCATTTATATATATATATATATATATATATATATATATATATATATATATATATTTTTTTTTTTTTTTTTTGAGACAGAGTCTCACTCTTTGCCCAGGCTGGAGTGCAGTGGTGCCATCTCGGCTCACTGCAAGCTCCACCTCCCGGGTTCACGCCATTCTCCTGCCTCAGCCTCCCGAGTAGCTGGGACTACAGGTGCCCGCCACCACGCCCGGCTAAGTTTTTTGTATTTTTTAGTAGAGACGGGGTTTCACCGTGTTAGCCAGGATGGTCTCGATCTCCTGACCTCGTGATCCACCCGCCTCGGCCTCCCAAAGTGCTGGGATTACAGGCGTGAGCCACCGCACCTGGCTGAAATCATTTGTATTTTTAAAAATTTAGCAGCAATGAAAATAAAGACCTCAAGAAAAGATTAAAAAGTGAGTGTTAAGCAGATTCAGGGAGGTTGCCAATGGCTACCACTTTATCAATGTTCTTTGGAGTCTCCAATGACTTGCTTGATCATTTAACTAATGTCTTCTCATTTCTTTTCCATATAGTCACCCTGAACACATTAACATCAATAATGGTCAGGCCCAGCTGATTCAAACTCTATACATTATAGAGCAGGATATTTTGTTAAGGTAACTAGTAATAAATCAATTTTTAAAAGCCATTTTAGTTATCTGCAAAAATAAGTGGTTTTAGGTTTCAGGTATCATAGTTTTTCAACATACACATTATCTTCTTAAATGGAATTTTGTCTTGGGAACTTTTAACATAAAATTTTTAAGGCTGGAATTATCCAATCGCAAGAGAATCCATTAAAGCAAAGAAAGGGAAAGGCAAATCATGTTCTCTTGATATCTGGCCCAGTTAGGTTGCCAGTTATTGATTTAGTCTGGGATATACTAGCATTAAATCTTCCTCATTATGCAAGTCCTGTGTGTCTTCTTAGCTTCTCTACCTATCCTTTAATCTCTGGGTGCAAACCTAAGTGCAACAGGCACAAAGCACTTTAATATGTCCTGTGTCACTGGGAATACATTTATTCAGAAAATTCCCCCCACCATTATGAGTTGGTTTGGTTTGGAAGGGAATCCTCTTAATAATTAAAGCATCCCATTGTTCACCCCACATAGTGACCTGAACCAAAAGCCATTCTAGATCACAATGATTGTGTTTGTGACTTCTTCTTTGGAACACTAAGAAGAACACTAAGAATGTTCTTCTTTGGAGCAGCCTACATTTTTGAAATCCCCACTGTGAATTATGCATAATAATCTAGGTCAGAGTGACTCCTTCAAGTCTTCTAGGACTTGCTACTCAGAATACGGTCTGTGGACCAGACCCCTCAAAAACGCCAAATCTCAGGCCCCACCCTCAACAGACCAGATCAGAATCTGCCTTTTACAAGAGAACCACTTGAACCTGGGATGGGGAGGTTGCAGTGAACCAAGATCACGCCACTGCACTCCAGCCTGGGTAAAAGAGTGAGACTCCATCTCACAAAAAAGAATCTGCTTTTTAATGATCTCCAAGTGACTGGTATATGCATTAAAGTTTCAGAAGCTCTGCTCTAGTAAGTGGGTACAGAGGATAAGGTCAGTAATTCGGAGCTAATGCAACTGGACAAAGAAGGTATCTTCCTGCAACTCACCCATAAAGAAATAAAAGAATTATCCGTAGGCAATGCTTATACAAGTTATTAGTTTCCAAACAAATTGCATTCTTGAGCTGCAGTTGGGTTTATTTCTGGACAGAATAGCATGAAAGTGTTAAAGAGGATGAAATGATAAGGTAGTGGGTTAATTTGACTGGAGGAGGTTCAATCTGACCAGGTGTGAGGATAAAATCAAGTCTTATCTTTAGCACACTGATCTACTGGCTTTGGTCTTTATCTGTCACTTTTATTCATCATTTTCTTAACTCCCACTGACAACCCACAGATCACCAGACATGATTAGCTGTTAATTGTTTTGGCAAGATGCTTAATATTACCACTTTGACTGTTAGTAGCATTGATCTAGGAACAACTTTTATTTCTTCTTAAAGCATTTCCATGTCATTTTGTAGACTTTCTTTGTCTACGTCATCATAATAAGGAATAAGGCAAAAGAAAGACATATGTGAATAATTTGGTTTTGTAAATATACTACATATGCTACATGTGGGCATTGACTTGAAAATATTCCAGAAAAATCATTTAAGTTGCTAGATTTATGATCATTAATATAATTCTGTCTACTGGACTATAAGCATAATAGTTATAGGGACTATATTTTCTGGATCCAAAATTAAAACAATATATAACCAAGAGCAAGGTATTTAAAATTATATGCGTCCTTGGAAATTTGATGAGTAGGTTAATTATTATTCACTAATACAAAAATGATTCTATAAAAATTTACAAATGACAGGATCACCGTTGAGTTAAATGAAACTCTTTATTTTGGGGTTACATCTCTAATCTTTTTGGGGACACTCAATAATGTATGTTATGGCTTACGTTATTAAGACTTTTAATTGAAGTATAATGCACATGGAGAAAGGCACATATTATCCTAAGTATATCACTTGATACGTTTTCACAGAACAAACACACTCATCAAAAAACGGAATAGAATCAGAACCACGGAAGCCTTTCTTGTGCCCCCTTGTGTTTTTTTCTGCTTTTCCTCCTATGCAGGTAACCTCTATCATGCCCTTTAACAGCACAATTTAGTCAGTTTTGTACTTTTATATAAACAAAATCATACAGCATATTCTCTTTTGTATATGGCTTTTTAATTTCAATATTGTTTTTGAGATATATCAAATTGCTGTATAGAATTCTACTGTGTGAATATACGACACTACGCCTTTTACAGTTGATGGCCATGAAGGCAGTTTTAGTTCTGGGATATTACAATCAATGCTGTTCTGAACATTCTAGTACATATTTTTGGGTGAACATAGATAGGTATTTGTGTTAGGTGTCTATCTGACAGTGGAGTTTCTGGATACGCAGTGTTTCACTTTGGTAGATTCCACGAGCTAAAGGGGTTATATCAATTTACATATCAGTGTATGAGAAATCAAGTCTTCCCACATCCTCTCCAGAAGTTATTATTTTCTGACTTATAAAAAACTTTAGCCATTCTGCATGACTAGTGATACCACATTTAGATTTTGATTTGATTTTTGATATGGCTTACATTTAACCGAGGTTCGAGGAGACTCATGTTGAATCTCTATTATAAGTGGTTGTAGTGCTGCAATCACTGGTCGATTGGGATAAAACTAGGCATGATTTGTGAAATCTAAAATGTTTATTTGCTTAAAAAAATCTACTCTGTGAAGTTTTACTTGAAATTTTTATTATTGACACTTACCCTTCAAGCTCTTATGCAGCTGTGGACCTCTTACCTGAGGTAGATAATTATGCAGCCTGTAGAAATTACTTAAGTCATAACTGAATATGTTTAATTTGATTAACTCATCACCATTATTTATCATGATGGTGAGAAGATCCTTGAAAAGTGGTATGCATGATTTTATTGAAGAGTGTTAGTTAATAGAACAGGGAAGGTGGTAGGTGTATGAGTGGGCAAGGAAGTGCAGAAGTGTCAAGCTCATGGCACTGAATAAATACGTGGAGTCTTTGGGAGGTTGGGATGGCCAGGGGGCCTCCCATCATGGGGTAAAAAGAGTAACCCAAGAGTGTATTATTGCTTTACTAGTCTAGACCATAAACAAATTAGACTTTTACCCCTGATTGGCCCTGAATGCAATAGACAGGTGCAGATTCTTTTGTGTAAAGAGAAAATAGCTGTATACTCCTAGACAGCAAATGTTCATCAACTTCAAATTACACCTCAAATGCTGCTGGTGTCTGGACCATTGATGGATGAGCTAGGTCTTTCCAGGTCTAATGCTGAGTAATGCAAATTAGATTCTCTTGAGTTATGCCTAGTGCAGCTGTAGGGCACAAAACAGTTGCCAGGGACATATCTCCATGCCAAATTCTTGCCAATGTTGTTAATAGTATTGTACCCTGTACATGTGCAAGCACTCTTAGTTTTATTAATGACGATACTATGCTTTTGCCCTTTCTTTCACCTTTTAATTTTTGAATAGAGAATAACTTTGGTTTCATCCTGTTTGGAAAGTAAGTACTAAACTGAAAGGCATGCCCACAGCCTATTCTCCTACTAAGCAAGCAGCGAGTGGGATCAGCTCATTTAAACAGCTCTGCTGTTTCTTGTGGATTTGCATGCTATGGGGAATGGAGGATGTAGAGAAGAGACAGAAAAATGCCTAGGTCTTGTAGCAAGAGAGGAAAGCATCTTCATGGGCAGGAATTCCATTTCTGTGTTTCTTAGGGTTTGTGGCTGGCCATCAGTTCAACTCAGCCCCTGTCCCCTGATCCAGCAACATTTCCGTAACTACCCTCTAGAAGTCATGCAAAGAGAAATGATGACCACAGAAGCCATGATAATCACTTGTTATAAGTGAGCATATAGCAGAAAAAGGGAGAAGATTATTCTCCCTTCTACAATAAGAACAGAAAGATGGCTCTAGATTGAGTTGCTCTTGTGCTATGGCATGTTAGTTTGCAAGCTATATAACAAAAGTAACTGTTAAAATATATGTTAATTGTGGTAGCTCTGATAGGTTTTTTATGTACCTTTATCATGTGCTTCAAAAGCTCTTTTTAACCACATCAATTCAATCCAATTAGTCTCCCCCAAAATATGGGATTACTGGCAAAAATGTGTAATGTTTTGTATGTAATATTACAAAGAGGTACTCAATTTGCTTCCCTCAAATCGTGTCCTACATACTTTATTTAGGTTTCATTTATAATCTCAGATATTGTCTTGTCAAAAAAAATTCTCAGCTGTCTATGATATACAAACATGTAAAAACAGTGTTCCAGTAGAACCTCAGGTGGAACCAATAGCACTGAGACCCACCTAGTCATGCTAACCACTAGAGGGCAATATTGGCCATGTACTTTGGGCTCTAACTCCACCGAGGAGAGCAGTGTAGCTACAGAACTCAATACATACAAATAGTCTTTGTTGAACATCTTATATGTGCTGAAATATTGGCTTGTGATGCCCTTGTACATGAATAAGACTTCATTCTTAATCTTGAGGAGTACATGTTAAAAAAGAAGAGATTATAATCACATATCCATTATGATGAAACCATGAATTGTATTTCAAATTTTGTTTCCATACTAATTGATAGATGATGCACCAATTCAATGCTGATAGCATTAAATAGAGATACAAATATTGCCACATGAAAACTATTCAAAGCATAAATGGAATTAATTTGGAGGACAGAATGATCTGTTTTTATTATTCACTATAGAATGATCTAATTTAAATAAACATATCTTGCTGATTTTTTAATGGGTCAATGATTTATCTTATAGTATAGGTAGACCATCTATTTTCTCTTAGTAGGACTCATAATTTTCATTAGTTTTACTAGTAAAAAGATGAGAGTAAGTTCTTACTGAATTATCTATCATTCATCTCCAGAATTAAGTATTATTTTGTAATTTAAATGAAATATCAGCTTAACTGGTTATTTCATAGGTTAAATGAATGCTGAAGTCATTCAGGGTAAAGCCATAATCTTACTACTTTATTGGCTTTTCCATTAGCATAAAAATGGTATGTCAGGAATATCAGATATTAAACACTTCCTAGATACTTTGTAAAATTTCATCAAGTGTAAGTTCTTAATTTTTAACAAATAGCAGACACAATCTTGGTATATTAATGTGATGTCAAAAAAATTAACCATTTCAGATTAAGACAACATTTGTGTGTTTCTTAAACATTAAAGATAAAAAGATGTAGTACCATTAAAGCTGACAGCTTTTCAGTCAACATTGATTAAATTAAGCTCAGTTTGGAGAATAGGAAGTGAAGAAACCAGACTAGAGCAAATAAAAAAATCTCAGTTAACAACATTACAGTTGTGACATGTGGACAAAAGCCAGATTAAGCAGATGCTATCATCAATTCATTTGTTGCCATGTTTGCAATGTGGCAACTGGCTTCAGAGACAGAAGATATTCTGGAAGTGGTGCATCCTGGGATGCCGTTTTTTGTTTACTCCACAAATGATCATCAGTCATAATGATGCAGTGATATTGGTCCTCACATCAGGAACTGTCAAAGGGAATCAAGGGAGACCAAAGCATTAGTTCTTATTCTTTTAAAAAAAGAAAAAATCTCAAATATTTCTAGATTTTCCCTAAAGGAAAACAAACTCTCCTTTTCCCTGAAAAACAGAATCTATAAGCATTTTTAATATATTTAGGAACTTATTTATGACATATATAACTTAGGTAGCTCAACAGACCAAAATTCCATCAAGTGAAGAGATAAGCATGCATTACATGGCTTCTTTATTTAATTACAAAATACAAAAGCCCATTAGCAGAATAGCCTGTTGGCCTGGAGAGAGAATGCTGGCCTGCCATGTGGTAGACCTGCAGTTTTCTCCCCTGCTCTGGCTTGCCAAGTTGGCGGGGGCTTGGAGAGGAGTCACTGTGTACAGAGTCAACATCAAGAAGGAAATGTGTAATGATGCTGAACTCTGACCACTTCATTGTCTTCACATTAGGGAAATAAACATTAAATTCCTACAAAATATGATTATAAAAGGCCTTTTATAAGTGTTTTATTTATAATTTGAATTTGAACCAAATATCTCTAGAAAAAATATTAATGAAATTATAAATATAAACCTATATTCTAGTGTGGATTCTGTTACCAGCTATGCAATGAGGGAGAAATCATTTTAAATAACTTAAAATGTCTGTTTTTTGTATTTGCTTTGTATTGATAACTGACCTGACTTAACCGTAGGAAGTGTATGTGGATCAAGTGACATTATGTATGTGAACAACACCATGTACATTGGAAAGCAGAGGTCCTTGTTCTGGCATTCATGGCTTGTTGTAAGGCCTTCCCTGAAGTGACATTAGAAGTAGATGTGAGTACCCTTATGTTTACTAGGAGGGCTTACATCTACTTCTCAAAAGTGTTTTTGACCCTGAAGAAGATTTGAAGAAAAATCACTGCTGTAAATGTGAAATATATGTAAGTTATCTTATTTTCACTATTATTCCATTAAATGATTCATTTTAAAATCTTTTAACTCTTTTGTTATTTCAGAGTTGAGTGGTAATTTTAATTTCACGTTGATAATTTGTTCCCCAGTTTACACAGATGCATCCTTCTCAAATGCAAAGAGAAGACAAATCAATGCTCTTGATGGGAGACTATCATACTTTCAGGTCGAGACATTTTTTAATGTAATTTTTAAAAGCCTGTAATACCAGATGTTCACTGAAAGGAGGAAAAAAGGCTTGGGAGTAGGCAGAAGTGCCTCAGAGAGTGGGGATATCCCCTCTCCAAGGAGAGCATTTGACAAGGAGAGAAGAAGGGGCATCCCCATTGGCTGGATATCTATCGGGCTTTCTTTTATTTTTATTTTTATTTTTTTGAGACAGTCTTTCTCTGTCGCCCACGCTGGAGTGCAGTGGTAACCATCTTGGCTCACTGCAACCTCCACCTCCTGGGTTCAAGAGATCCTCCTGCCTCAGCCTCCTGAGTAGCTGGGATTACAGGTGCCTGCCACCACATCCGGCTAATTTTTGAATTTTTAGTAGAGACAGGGTTTTACCATGTTTGCCAGGCTGGTCTGGAACTCCTGACCTGAGGTGATTCACCTTGCTCGGCCTCCCAAAGTGCTGGGGTTACAGGCGTGAGCCACTGCACCCGGCCCTTTCTTTTATTCTTTAGTCTCATTCTGTTTATTTGAAACAAAAAATTAGTACTGTTTTTAAATGATAAAATAGTACCTGTTTATGGAAATTTCTCAGATAATACAGCCTTGCAGAGTGAAAAATCCTTCATCACCCAGTCCTCAACTCTGCAAATGGTAACTTTTATTAAATGCAAAACAATTTGTAACATTCTAAGTTACAAATTGGATATTATTTATATCGAGTTATTTTTGGATATTATTTGTTTGATAAGTGTTTATGGAGTGCTAACTGTACCTAGCTCTCTGCTTGACTCAGGGGCAGAAAAAGTGAACAAGATGGGTGCAGCTACTGTCATCATAGATGTGCCAGTCATCGGGGGCATAGAAAAGCAAGCAGGTGAGACTCTGTCTCCAAAAAAAAAAAAGAAAAGCAAATAGGCAATGACAATGCTGTTAAAGAATACTATCAGAGGCCAGGCATGGTGGCTCATGCCTGTAACCAGCCCTTTGGGAGGCCGAGGCAGGCGGATCACCTGAGGTCAGGAGTTCAAGACCAGCTTGACCAACGTGGAGAAACCCTGTCTCTACTAAAAATACAAAAGTAGCTGGGCGTGGTGGCGCATCCCTGTAATCTCAGCTACTCGGGAGGCTGAGGCAGGAGAATTGCTTGAACCTGGGAGGAGGAGAATGCGGTGAGCTGAGATCATGCCATTGCACTCCAGCTTGGGCAACAAGAGTGAAACTCTGTCTCAAAAAAAAAAAAAAAAAAAAAAAAAGAATACTATGAGAAATTACAGGAGGACCATCTGAAAGGGAAGTAAAGCTAAGCTGAGATTTAGAGCAGGAGTTGGACGGCCAGTAGGTAGTGGCAGGGGAAGGTAGTAGAGCGGTCATATTTTATTATAGGACATGTATATAAGTAATTTACTCATATAATCAATTTAAGCAAATCTTGTTTTGTAGTCTTTCTGTAAACTTCTTATCTGCTCTATTCAATCACTGGCTGATGTGATGGTTGTTTTATAAAATGTTCTCCACACCTACACAAAATCCAAATTCTATTCACTTTCAGTGGCACCAACCACAGTACCAACTCACCTGTCAAAGCTCCCTAATCATTCAAATTCACATCCACATTCATCAAGTAAAACAGAATTGAATTAGAGATAGTCATAGACTTGTTCTCTATTTCATATGCACAAATTTATTCTTCTCAAATAGACTTCAAGCATATTAGGAGCAAGAAATATGTATTCTTCTATACCCTGTAGCACAGTATTACTCAATATTTTGTACTGGAAACCACAGGAAAAAAATACAAATTATGTTGAGATTCAGTATGTACATATGTAATGCACTCTGCTATTTTCTATTCAATTCTATTTCATTTTATTTGTAAAAAAAAATGCTGGTCGAGACCCACCAAAATGATTTTATGACCCTAAATTGATTTCCTTATGGGTTTCAACCTACAGTTTGAAAAATACTTACGTAGAATTTATAGTACAATGTTTGGCACAGTTTTAGGGGTCAATTAAAAAAAACACTTGCTAATTGATCTGTTTAATCAGAATGTTTCTTTCAGCCACATAGGAGGGAAGGCCTTTGAACTTATAACTTACATTACCTGGCACAAGGAAGATAGGAAAATTAAAGGGAGCAGGACCATTCTTCCCAGGATTGTGATTTTTATCAGTCTAAGATGTAATTCCTTTTTGTTGTTGTTGTTTGAGACAGGATTGCACTCTGCTGCCCAGACTGGAGTGCAGTGGCGTGATTGTAGCTCACTACAGCCTCAATCTCCCAGGCTCAGATGATCCTCTGATCTCAGCCTTCCCTGTAGCTGGGACTACAGGCACGTGCCACCACGCCCAGCTAATGTATTTTGCTTTATGAAGACAGAGTTTTGCCATATTGTTCAGGCTAATCTCAAACTCCTGGGCTCAAGTGATCCACCCACCTCTGCTTCCCAAAGTGCTGGGATTATAGGCGCAAGCCACCGCATCTGGCGAGATCTAATTCTTTTTATCCCTATCATGGAGTAAAACACAAGGAGCAAAATGGGGAGGTGAAACAGTTGTCTTGTTGTCATGAGTCAAATCTTCACAGCATCATTTCTTTTGTATTGCTTGAAATGTTTTGCTGGAGAACAGTCAAATGTAGATGACGTGACATTATTGGTTATTCTGTTTTATTTTCCGAGTATATAACAAAAATGTCCAGAGTTTGGGGAACATAAAAAGGAAATGATTAATTCTGCAAGAGTCGTGGATAGGTGTGGAGGCTGTGGAACAAGAATGGTGGGTGGTTTAGGAAGCCTTCACAGAATAAATGAGGAACTTGTTGCTGTGAAGGAAGGGAAGCAGGCATTGTAGAGACAAAAGCATTAGCAAAATCACCATATAAGGTAGTACCAGGAGGATCAGATGTTGTGACTGATAGAAAAAGAGCCAAAAAAGAGAATAATCAATGATAATGTCTTCTACAATTAAGTGACTGTTGATGACAGGAAAAAGGAACTCAGGAAGAACAGGGCTGAGAAGTTTGAGGAAGATAATGCATTTGTCTTTAGACATGCCAATGTCAGGGTTCATTTAAAGTAAACTATTTGGGGAAAAATTTACAAAATCAGTGAAAAATGAAATACAGTGAAAATTATATAATCTGTTTTAAAATTGTGCTATTGCAAATTATTTTCTATACTGTTTCATGAAATTACTTATGAAGCTAGTTCAAGTTGGCTGGAATAAGACTACTGTCACTGGTATTAAAAATTGGCTTTGGCCGAGCGTGGTGGCTCACGCCTGTAATCCCAGCACTTTGGGAGGCCGAGGCGGGTGGATCACAAGGTCAGGAGATCCAGACCATCCTGGCTAACACAGTGAAACTCCGTCTCTACTAAAAAATACAAAAAATTAGCCAGTCGTGGTGGCGGGCGCCTGTAGTCCCAGCTACTCAGGAGGCTGAGGCAGGATAATGACGTGAACCTGGGAGGCAGAGCTTGCAGTGAGCCAAGATCACGCCACTGCACTCCAGCCTGGGCAACAGAGCGAGACTATGTCTCAAAAAAAAAAAAATGGCTTCAAGGATTTAATATCAGTAACGATAAAAGGCAATGTATTAGGTATAGGGAGTTGTCTAAAGGTGTGGTTGCTATAAAGGCTAGCCTTGTTTAACACATTATTAATGAGCTGGAAGAGGAATTTAACATAAGATATATGGGAAGATTAGAAGAAGAAAAATAGATCGATGGGGATAAATTTAAATTATATTTGAAAGATGAATATATTTGTGGTTAATGAAAAAACACAAATATTCAGTGGCTAGGGGAAAAACCTGTAAAGTTACAAGAACAAAAGAGGTATAGTGTGCAGATAGGCACCAAATTAAACTTATTCATAATAATACATAACAAAACTGAATGTAGTCCATTGCATTACGAAGAGTTGTTGTTTTTTTTTTTTTTTTTTTCAAAACATTGTGGTAATAGTTTTTTTCCCCACAGTCTTTGGGAATCTTAGTCTATGTCATATAGAATATTAGTAACAATTGGTAAGGGATATGAAATAACAGGTAACAAAAAACCTGGTCAGCTAGGCTGATTAGGAGTTTTCATATCTTTGAAAACTTACATAAAAGGCACCATTTTACATCATAACAGTGTGGCTCTGAAATGAAAATAAAATATAATTGAATTTTGAAAACTAAGGCTCTTCCTTTTTTTTCTAGCATTTTAGATAGCTGTACAGGTCCAGTTGCTAAAGATGAGGACTATTGTGAAAGTAAATTTTCCTCTCTGAACATGTACAAGAGGAATTATTTCTAGAAGTATTTAAAGAAATCTGTTTCATTTAAAATTAATCTTGGGGTATAAACTAAATGGATGGCCTTTTTTCATCTTTGCTCTATTTTCCTTTTTATGCATATCTTTTTCTGATTACAAAGTAGTGTTTATTGTAAAAAATGATTTTAAAAAAGCAGAAATAAGTGATTTAAATTATTCATAATATATCATCATTTAGGGCCACCCAGAGTTAACCTTTTAGTGTTTATTCATCTAATCTGTTTTCTATGCCCATAGAAACAAAATAAAATAGAGAACACATTTCAAATGGTGTTTTGTAAGCTTCTTTTTCATTTAATAATAAATGATGAAAAATTTCCATGCTGTTAAATTGTCTCCTATAACATGACTTTAATGGCTACATAGTGTTCCATCACATGAACGTGCCATATTTTATTTAATAGCATTTTATTTTGCATATGAGTTGTTTATGATTTTTAGCTGTTACAAATAGCAGTGATGATCATTCTTTTATATAAACCTATGTTCACCTGATTTATTATAACTAAAGGGTATAATATAATTCCTAGGAGTGGAACTGTTGGATTAAAGAGTATTAATGCTTTTTTAATAGCATTGAATATGTATTCCCAATATTCCTTCCATAAAAGTTGTACCAGGCATGAAGTGCCTATTTACTTCTTCCCCTGCCTAGAAGGCTACTCAGGGAGGATATATTTACACACAGATAACACAATAATAATGTGTTTTATGTGTTTAGTGTTTGCCTTTTTCCAAAGTATTTTCTAATTTGATTCTAATGAAAACTTACACAAAGTATATCACACATCATGGCCAATCCTGGAAAGCTAGTTAATGTTTTTTGTAGGGAAGAATAATATTTAAGTGAAAGAAATTTCCATATTTGACACATCTAGAAACAATCTATGCATCTGAGCCAGGGCCATGTAGTTACAGGGTTACAAATTTGTGATAGAAGTGAAGCCCAAGAATATTAAGTCATGCTAAGAGAAATCAAAGGTCTGGTGTAGGAAGTACACTGATGGGTCAGATGATCAGCATGTACCTGGCAAAGGTCAAAGTGATGCAGGAAAACATAACCCAGGGAGTTAATCAGAAATCAAAATATACAAGGGACGTCTACAGAAAGCATAATATAGGATGGCAGAAGTGAACTGGACGTTTTGGAACCGCATTCTGGAATGGATGTGGAATGCTCTGGAAATGGAACATCTGGATTTGAGTCCTTGTTCGGCTCCTTATTTATTAAGTGATCATGTTTTTCTATAAGCCTTATCTTTCTCATCTGCAAAGTGGGTAACACAGGCTGCAAGTATTGCTCTGAGGATTAAATGAGATAATTTGGTGATACTTTATACATTTTAAATTACTATAGAAAGATCAGTTATTATTGGGGTGAAGGGAAATTCAGTGAAGCAGGTAAAAAATCTGGGATGAAGGATGAGTTCATGTCCTTTGCAGGGACATGGCTGAAGCTGGAAACCATCATTCTCAGCAAACTAACACAGGAACAGAAAACCAAACACCTCATGTTCTCACTCATAAGTGGGAGTTGAACAGTGGTAATATATGGACGCAGGGAGGGGAACATTACACACCGGGGCTTGTTGAGGGGTTGGGGGCAAGGGGAGGGATAGCATTAGGAGAAATACCTAATGTAGATGATGGGTTGATGGGGGCAGCAAACCACCATGGCACGCATATACCTATGTATCAAACCTGCATGTTCTGCACATGTATCCCAGAACTTAAAGTATAATAAAAAAAATCCGGGATGTCAGAAGTTAGGAGACACATCAGACAGGACCTAAAGGACTTCAGAAAGGCAAGGAAAAGGTCCTATGTGATCATTTCTACATTTTTATTTTTAAAATAATGCCTATAAAATGTATTATTTTGTGATTACAGAAGTCCTACATGCCTACTACATAACATTTAGGAAATTTGGAAAAACCCCCAAAAAACATTATAAACCACCTTTGCTTTCGCCACCCAATGACAGCTGTGCAAAATGCTTAGTTCAGATTCCAATTCTGTCTTTTACTGACAATGTTGAGAAGTGACAGCGTGCTGGCAGTCCTCACAGCCCTCGTTTGCTCTCAGCGCCTCCTCTGCCTGGGCTCCCACTTTGGCAGCACTTGAGGAGCCCTTCAGCCCACCGCTGCACTGTGGGAGCCCCTTTCTGGGCTGGCCAAGGCCGGAGCCCACTCCCTCAGCTTGCTGGGAGGTGTGGAGGGAGAGGCGCGAGCGGGAACCGGGGCTGCATGCAGCGCTTGCGGGCCAGCTGGAGTTCTGGGTGGGCGTGGGCTTGGCAGGCCCCACACTTGGAGCAGCAGGCTGGCCCTGCTGGACCGGGCAATGAGGGGTTTAGCACCCGGGCCAGCGGCTGCGGGGTGTACTGGGTCCCCCAGCAGTGCCCGGCCCACAGGCGCTGCACTCGATTTCTCACCAGGCCTTAGCTGCCTTCCCGCGGGGCAGGCCTCAGGACTGCAGCCCGCCATGCCTGAGCCTTCTCCCACGTCTGTGGGCTCCTGTGCAGCCCGAGCCTCCCCCACGAGCACCACCCCCTGCTCCAGGGCGCCCAGTCCCATCGACCACCCAAGGGCTGAGGAGTGCGAGCGCATGGCGCAGGACTGGCAGGCAGCTCCACCTGCAGCCCCCGTGCGGGATCCACTGGGTGAAGCCAGCTGGGCTCCTGAGTCTGGTGGGGCCTTGGAGAACCTTTATGACTAGCTCAGGGATTGTAAATACACCAATCAGCACCCTGTGTTTAGCTCAAGGATTGTAAATACACCGATCGGCACTCTGTATCTAGCTCAAGGTTTGTAAACACACCAATCAGCACCCTGTGTCTAGCTCTGTATCTAGCTGCTCTGGTGGGGCCCTGGAGAACCTTTATGTCTAGCTCAGGGATTGTAAATACACCAGTCAGCACCCTGTGTTTAGCTCAGGGTTTGTGAGTGCACCAAATCGACACTCTGTATCTAGCTGTTCTGGTGGGGCCTTGGAGAACCTTTATGTCTAGCTCAAGGATTGTAAATACACCAATTGGCACTCTGTATCTAGCTGCTCTGGTGGGGCCTTGGAGAACCTTTATGTCTAGCTCAGGGATTGTAAATACACCAGTCGGCACTCTGTATCTAGCTCAAGTTTGTAAACACACCAATCAGCACCCTGTGTCTAGCTCAGGGTTTGTGAATGCACCAATCGACACTCTGTATCTAGCTGCTCTGGTGGGGCCTTGGAGAACCTTTGTGTGGATACTCTGTATCTAACTAATCTGGTGGGGACGTGGAGAACCTTTGTATCTAGCTCAGGGATTGTAAACGCACCAATCAGCGCCCTGTCAAAACAGGCCACTCTGCTCTACCAATCAGCAGGATGTGGGTGGGGCCAGATAAGAGAATAAAAGCAGGCTGTCCAAGCCAGCAGTGGCAACCCGGTCGGGTCCCCTAACACACAGTGGAAGCTTTGTTCTTGTGCTCTTTGCAATAAATCTTGCTACTGCTCACTCTTTGGGTCCACACTGCTTTTATGAGCTGTAACACTCACTGTGAAGATCTGCAGCTTCACTCCTGAGCCAGCCGAGACCACGAACCCACCAGAAGGAAGAAACTCCGAACACATCTGAACATCAGAAGGAACAAACTCCAGACGTGCCACCTTAAGAGCTGTAACACCGCGAGGGTCCGCGGCTTCATTCTTGAAGTCAGTGAGACCAAGAACCCACCAATTCCGGACACAATGTGACCTTGGGTTAATTACTTAGCCTCGTTTTTCTCATATATAAAAGGGAGATAATAATAGTTATAATGGTTAACACTTATTGTACACTAAACATTGCTAGTCCTGCAATCAGTAATTAATTTAATTTTTTTTTTTTTTTTTTGAGACAGAATCTCACTCTCTTGCCCAGGCTGGAGTGCAGTGGTGTGATCTTGGCTCACTGCAACCTCCGCCTCCCGAGTTTAAATGATTCTCATTCTTCAGCCTCCTGAGTAGCTGGGACTACAGGCACGAACCACCATGCCTGACTAATTTTTTTGTATTTTTAGTAGAGATGGGATTTTGCCATGTTACCCGGGCTGGTCTCAAACTCCTGAGCTCAGGCAATCTGCCCCCCTCGACCTCCCAAAGTGCTGGGATTACAGGCCTGAGCCACTGCACCCAGCCAGTAATTCGTTTAATACTTCCATTGACCTTATGAAGTAGACCTTTAGAATTATCCCCGTTTTACAGAAGAGGAAGCTGAGGCTTAGAAAGGTTCAGTAATTTGCCCGAAGTTACACAACTTGTAGGATCATCAGGAAATAAAATGGGGGCATAAT
This sequence comes from Homo sapiens, assembly GCF_000001405.40. Classification (NCBI taxonomy): domain Eukaryota; kingdom Metazoa; phylum Chordata; class Mammalia; order Primates; family Hominidae; genus Homo; species Homo sapiens. The sequence goes on from NC_000009.12 coordinate 17,074,699, forward strand.
TACTTGACATTAACAATAATGTGTAACCCAAGTGCATGGACAGGACATGAGTGTGGAAATACATATAACCATTTGACCATAGCTAAGAAAAGTTTTGGGAAGTGTGAATAGAGTAGACTTAAGAAATTATGGTCTCTAAATAATGCCACAGTGTTTCCTGATGAACTAAAGTATAGTAAATACATGCTATGTAAGCAAGGAGTACCCCTCCTACACATACATGGTAAAAATCACTCATTGAAAGATTGAAAGCAGGCTGGCCACAGTGGCTCAGGCCTGTAATCTCAGCATTTTGGGAGGCAGTGGCGGGCAGATTACCTGAGTTCAAGAGTTCGAGAGCAGCCTGGCCAACATGGCGAAACCCCGTCTCTCCTGAAAATACAAACATTAGCTGAGTGTGGTGGCACATGCCTCTAATCCCAGCTCTTGGGAGGCTGAGGCAGGAGAATCACATGTACCCAAGAGGAGGAGGTTGCAATGAGCCAAAATCGCACCATTGCACTCCAGCTGGTGACAAGAGCAAAACTCCATCTCAAAAAAAAGAAAAAAAAAAAGAAAGGTTGAAAGCAACAGAGTTTTCCAGGAACTTGCACTCCTAGAACCCTTCTGTATTGAGTCAAGATTCTCCAGAGAAACAAAACCAATGGGAGATTCTTTCCCCTTCCCTTCCCTTCCCTTCCCTTCCCTTCCCTTCCTTTCCCTTCCCTTCCCTTCCCCTTCCCTCCCCTCCCCTTTTTTCTTTCCTTTCTTCTCTTTCTTTCCTTCCTCTTTTTTCCTTCCTTCCCCCCTCCTTCCCTCCCTCCCTTCCTTCCTTCCTTCCTTCCTTCCTTCCTTCCTTCCTTCCTTCTCTCTTTCTCTTTGTCTCTTCTATTTAATCTGGCTCAGTGATTATGAAGGCTGAGAAGTCTCGTGATCTACTCTGCAAGCTGAAGGCCCACGAAAGACAATGTTCTAGTTTGAAGGCCTGAAAGCTGGAGAGCTGATAGTGTAAATCCCAGTCCAAGTCTGAAGGCCTGAGAGCCAGGAGCACCAAGGGCAGGAGAAGATCGATGTTCAGGCTCAAGCAGTCAGGCAGAGAGCCAGTTAATCCTCCCTTTCTCCATATTTTTGTTCTATTCAGGCCCTCAAGGGAATAGATGATGCCCAACCACAAGGGGCAGGGCAATCAATCTGCTTTCCTCAGTCCACTGATTTAAATGCTGATCTCTTCTGGAAGCGTAGAAACACCCTCACAGACATACTCAAGGTAATGTATAACAGATATCTGGGCATCTTGTGATCCGGTTGAGTGGACACATAAAATTAACTGTCACACCTCCCCAACACAGTCAGCCAGAAAACCACTTCTCAAATGATCAGAGTTAAAGCATGAGATAAAACTTGTTTGCCTTTCTGGTGAAGATACCATGCATGATAACATTTCAACTTATTAGGGCCAGGACTGGCAAATGTTTTCTGTAAGGGGCCAGATAATGGGTCTTAATAGGGTTCCATTCAGATCTCTTCTACTTCACATGTTATAAATCGGCACTTCCATCAGCCTGATGCATTCTGCTGTGTTTCTTAGAGATGTTATCTCATGCTTTCAGTCATGTGGGTGGTACTCTTCCTTTGTATCTACAGCTGATATGTATCAAGGATGTTTTCCTATTTTCATATTCCTTCAGTGACTTCTATATGATTCTGGGGGTGGAGGAGCAGTTGAATGCAGTTTAACATTTAGGTTTAGTCTACCACTTTTCTATGGAATCTGAAGAATGATTTTAAGTTTGAGGCTGGGTGAACTACTAGCAGAACCTATCCAAGCATTCCCTATATCCCCTTTTTCATAGTTTTCTGTGAGCCTCTTCTTGAAAGAAACTACCTGCTTCCCAGTGGGTGGTTAAATCTAGATCCAGGCTACTCTGGAAAAAACACAGGATTAGGAATGAGACATGATTTCCAGTCTCAAGTCTGTCATCAATTATTTATATGACCTCAGGCAAGTCATAATCTCTCTAGGCCAGGTTTCTTATCTATATATTAGAGGTTTGGTCTAGATTGATGGTTTTCAAACCAAGATCCTGTGCAACATGTGCCTGTTACCAGTGTAACTGGGGTTTTTGGAACTTGATATGGGGTAATGGCCTGACTTTTCCTAACTCTCAAAAACATAAGGTACTGAAGAGACTTTTTTTTTTCTCAATTTAAGGCTCTTTACCCATAAATCTTTTTTTTAATTTATGACTATTTGGACTAGCAGATGAAAAGTGTCTGTGATCTCCTGACCTTGTGATCCGCTCACCTGGCTAACATGGTGAAACCCCGTCTCTACTAAAAATACAAAAAATTAGCTGGGCATGGTGGTGGGTGCCTGTAGCCCTAGCTACTTGGGAGGCTGAGGCAGAAGAATGGCGTGAACCCGGGAGGCGGAGCTTGCAGTGAGCCGAGATCGCGCCACTGCAGTCCAGCCTGGGTGACAGAGCAAGACTGAGTCTCGAAAAAAAAAAAAAAAAAGAGTATGTGAAAAAGTAGTAAATGATTCTCATTTGAAATATTTGGAAACAACCATTTATTTCAGTTTTGAGGAAGTATATGCTTGTGATAGTGACTTTATTTTTTTTTAATTTTTATAATTTATTTTATTTATTTATTTATTTTGAGACGGAGTTTTGCTCTGTTGCCCAGGCTGGAGTTCAATGGCGCGATCTTGGTTCACTGCAACCTCTGCCTCCTGGGTTTAAACGATTCTCCTGCCTCAGCCTCCTTAATTGCTCGGATTACAGGCACCCACCACCACACCCAGCTAATTTTTGTATTTTTAGTAGAGACAGGGTTTCGCCACATTGGCCAGGCTGATCTTGAACTTCTGACCTCAGGTGATCCACTCGCCTCAGCCTCCCAAAGGGTAGTGACTTTTATATTGTACACATACAGTCATGTTATGTTTAAGTGAAATTGGTCTCAGTTCACATGGTATTCAAATATATCAATACTGTAGTATTCTGAAAAGGTGCTTCCCATGTGAGCAAGTGTGAAACTGCTGTTCATATGTGTATTTTGGGACTTAGTATTCAATACATACAATATAGCTATATTTTCTTCTGGCAAAATTATTTTCAATTCACATGAAATTAAATATATCAGCACTTCATAATATATAGCAAAAAATGCCATGGATTTCCAGGTGCTTACCATCTGGACAACTTTGAGGATGATGAAACGTTGTATAAGGTTTCTCCCAGATCTTTTGGAAGCTCTTCATTTTAAAGAGTGTCTCCTTAAGTTATGCTTTCTGCTCACCCTCCCTTGCCCTTTTTTTGTGTGTGTTTTTTCAACCAAACATCAGCTCCTTCAGTATCCTGATATTATCTGTTCTCTACACATCCAACCTGGGAGAGTTGTTTTGCTAAGAGCATAGCACCAATGGGAAGGACTGCCTATTTTCCAGAACATCAGTGCTGTTATACCATTCTGCCATTTAGCCCTAGGCTCAGTCCTTGCAGTTTGACTGACAATCCCAAACAATGTGTCAGTGTAGGTTTTACACAAACAAGTTGAAAATCAATCCATAATGGGACTTCTTTTTTTGAGGTCTAAATGGGAGACAAAGATGAAGACTAGATGTCCTGGAGGTACCTTCTGGGCTTATCTCTGCCTTATGATCTTTGACAGCAGTAGGATACTACCTTGTTGTGGTGGTTTTGTACCTTGTTAACTTGGTTAGGTTGGAATTATTTTCCCCTGAATCTCCTTGCCTGTGTGTACTGGGTTAGGGTTGGGGACAAGAGAAATTTGCACAAGATTTGGGAGGCAGCTGTTAAATTCCAAAGGCTGGTGCCTGGTGCCGGGAGTTCCTGCAGCTTGTGCATGCGGTCGCTGGTCTGCTGACCCCCATGTGTCCTCTCTGTTTCCTGTGTCACATCTAGTGTATCTTCCCAACTGCCGGGCCTACTGACTGACAGTGGCTTCAGGCAGATACAAAGGCCACATCCTTCCATAGATTCAGCAGCTCCCACAATTATGTAGGTTCTAATTCCTATAATAAACTCCTAATTCCATAGTGATCCTGCTTGCCCAATGGAACTCTGTGTGATACACTTGCCAATGGCACTGTTTGCTGTTTCAACTTTCCTTTACCGCAAAGAGGTGTGGAGTGGAGGAAGGAACGCATACATGCCTTTAGTTGATTCTGTTTCTCTGAAGAGCATAGCTGGCTGATAATAACTCAGAGCAGCACTATTTTCAGGAGACATGGAATGGATAAAATGGATAAAAAGATGGAAAGAAAACGCATCCACTAAAAAGGTCATCTCTGCCTCTGGCATCAAATTTATGGCTCGCCTCCACTTATTTTCAAGATGTTACTTCAGTTTGGTTTTATAATTTCTGTGGTCCCTTAAACCTCAGAAACCAGCGTATGTTATAGATAAGTCAATGTTTATTTGCAAAACTCACTCTATTACTCTATCCTAAATGGGACTCTGCTTCTTACCTGTGCTATCAGGAAAGAGTTGAAGTTTTGATGCAAGGTTCATGGAGGTCATTACTACTTTTCCAAGCAAACAACCACAGAAAACAGGACTCTCTCCCCAAGTCCCCATCACCACCCTGAAAATAGATCAGGGCTGTGACTCTCTACCTACATGGGAAACCAGAGACCAAATACCAAAAGTGCTTTTACTTTCAAGGAAGCCTAGAGTCCAGAGATTCCTTTTATTATTATTATTATTATTTTTATTTTTTATCTTTTAGGGTTAATGCTAATGTGTTACTCTGACACTTCCAGCTGTGAGGTCCTGAAGTCAACTTCCTTGTGTCAGACCAGTGTTTTACAAAGTTCACTCATTTGTGTTCCCACCTTCATAATTTTATACACTTGGACTATTAATTTAATAATGTTTACTTAAATGTATTTACCATATTTTTTGAATCTTATGTACTATATACTGTAAGATGCACCCTTATCTTATCTTTTTTTTTTACCTCCAAAATAGAAAAAAAAAAAAACCTGTCAACTAAATTATAACACAATGCCTTCTTATCCTAGGAGTTTTATTTTTCACTTACTGAAAAGGCTCACTGGCCGGGCGTGGTGGCTCACGCTTATAATCCTAGCACTTTGGGAGGCCAAGGCTGGTGGATCACCTGAGGTCAGGAGTTTGAGACCAGCCTGGCCAATATGGCAAAACCCTGTCTCTACTAAAAATACAAAAATTAGCACGTCCTTGTAATCCCAGCTACTCGGGAGGCTGGGGTAGGAGAATCGCTTGAACCCAGGAGGCAGAGGTTGCAGTGAGCTAAGATTGTGCCACTGCACTCCAGCCTTGGAGACAGAGTGAGACTCCATCTCAAAAAAAAAAAAAAAAAAGGCTCACTTAGACTTCTACTTAGCCCTGGATGAGTTTCTGAACTATTTCCCAGTCAATTTTTTAAAAGTCTTTTTGGTTCTGCGTTGAAAGCTATGAATGTTAATAGAGTCATGGCCTACATAAATCTACCTTGCTTTGCACCAGTCTTGTCCAGTGTAAAATCCCTGAGTTTTTAGTCCAGGGACTCCTGGTCTTGAGTTCAGGAGAGAGGTGAATGGGACAAGGAGACTGTATGGACTGGACCCAGGAGGGTTGGGGAGGGGAGTTGCTGAGTACACGTTTTTTTTGTTGTTGCTTGGGTCTGCTCTGTGGGGCAAGAGGGCAGCCAGAGACAGTGAAAGCCCAAAGATTATTAGACACATCTTGATTTCAGAGATATCAAAATATGGATGGGAAAATTTCAACTGAGACTGAACAATATCACTTCTTAAAAAAGAAACTTTATATTGCCATCCAAACTAGAAAGCCAATACAGCTTGCCAGAAGTATAAATGGAAAATAATACAATAAAATATATGATATTAAGTTCTAGCTGGATTCCATGACTATGGAGGGCTCTCCACCTGAGGCAGGCTCCAAAAGGGGAAATTTGTCAGTGTTGGATAGGTTTTAAATCATATTAATATCTAACAGAGGCTTTCTTCTTTATTGAGTCAGAAGGATTGGAGAGTGTTAATTAATGCTAGGTCCAGGAACCATCTAAAACCATGTTAATAGATACCACCAGTAGTTATACTTTGGAAAACATAGTATAAGTAAGTACTGCCCTTTTTTTTTTTTAGACAGAGTTTCGCTCTTGTGCCCCAGGCTGGAGTGCAGTGGTACAATCTCGGCTCACTTCAACCTGCGCCTCCTGAGTTCAAGTGATTCTCCTGCCTCAGTCTCCCAAGTAGCTGGGACTGCAGGTGCTTGCCACCACACCTGGCTAATTTTTGCATTTTTAGTGGAGCCGGAGTTTCACCATGTTGGCCAGGCTGTTCTTGAACTCCTGACCTCAGGTGATCAACCTACCTCACCCTCCCAAAGTGTTGGGATTACAGGTGTGAGCCACCACGCCCGGCCTGACCTTGATGTATTTTGCTTTTTTATCTGCTGGCAAGAATGCAAATAAGTAGATCAGGAAAGGCCAAACTAAAGGTGTAAGTCAGGTATAAGCAAGGAAGTGTGGATAGATAAACAGAGATAAGTCAGAATTGAAAAACAAACAAAAACCGAGTCTTTCGATAAAGTCAGAATTGGCAGAACAATCTGCCAATCTGAATGTTCAGAGGCACTGTTTCGTAAGTTTTCTATTGCTTCCTAACAAATTACCGCAAGCTTAGGAATTGAAGACAACACCTGTCTGTTAGCTCCATTCTGTCGTTCTGTGGGTCAGAAGTCCTGCAAGTTTCCACAAGGTTTTTTGTTTAGGGTCTCTCGCAAGGTACGAATCTTGCTGAGCTCTTATCTGAACTCTCCGGGGAAGAATTTGCTTCCAAGCTCATTGAAGCTGTTGTTGGTATTCAGTTCCTTGTGATTGTAGGATTGAAATCGCTATTTTCTTCCTGGCCATGGGCTGCGAGTCAAGTTCAGTTCCCAGAGGCCTCTCCTTGCTCTGATCCTTGCACAGGGCCCCTCCATCTTCAATGCTAGCAATGGCATGTCGAATGCTTAAGCTTTGAAGTCCTCTGATTTCTCCTTCTGCCACTAGTCAGAAAATTCTCTACTTTTGAAGGACTCCTGTGATTAGATCAGGATTTTCCATCTGCAAAATCCCTGCACAATAGTACCTAGATTGGTGTTTGATTGAGTAACGAGAGTCAGGATTCTTGGTGGGCCATCCTTAGAGTTCTGCCAACCACAGTTTTCCTCCAGAATCAAGCTTGATTGTACAGAAATGAAATGGAGACCCTTGAGAAGTTTCAGTAGTAATTCCAGAGAGAATTAAAGGACCTTAAACTAAAGTCTGCCTTCTAGTGGATCATGTTACAGTAAGGCTCCAGAGTAAATCTCCAACCATAATAAATACAGAAGAGTTAACCTTCTATGTATTTTTACCTGAATGCAAGCCATTTCATGGTAATCCATAAGTGAATTTCACTTAAATATAACAATTTGACAAAAAGATAAAATGCCTAACCTCTAAACACTGAGATACCCTTAAATGCGAATAGAGGTTTTATTTTACTTACTGAATTTTGTTGTTAAATCTTAAACAGGACACAATTTTATAATCAAGTTAATTCTCTCATCCTTTTAAAACTAATGTATGGGTCGAAAATACTGATATTTAAATATGTGAACTACATACACACATATGCACTTTTATCTGATTCTGCTTAAAAGTTAGAACCGTCAACTGCTGACTCCCACTTTATTATTCAGAACTCAATCACTGTAGGAAGGCAGATAAGTTCAAAGATACAACAGGATTCTGGAGCCAAAATACACTAACTTCATCCTACTGAAAGGAGACAGTTGTGTCCCACTGAGATGATAGAGTTCAGGCTGCAGTGAAAGTTCAGGCAGGCCGGCTGTAGCACCTCCCTGCTCTGCAGCGTGCAGCTTCTATCTGGCGCTCCCTGGAGCTGGGAATTTACCACAAACACCACCTTGGGGAACAGTGTTAGCAGCTGAGAAACTGCAGAAACAAGCTGCTTCTCAGCGACTCCCAGATACTATCAGAATGCTAGAAAATAATTAAAATCCTAATTAAGTAGTTTCTCATCTGGCTCATTTGAAGATGCTCCAAAATGGTCAGATTTAAGGCCTGGTAAACAGCTGAAGTGTTAAATTTGCTTGGTAGTTGAAACCTTTGTTAGAGATCAGGTTTACATAAAGAATGTGAAATGGAGAATAAGATAGTATCTGCATAATTCAAATGCAAAACAATTTTGCTTGAGTTATTTGTATCTTTCAAGCACAAACCTATCTATTTTACTTTTTTGGCATCAATACTGGTTCCTTCTTGTTTTTAGCATACTACTGTGCAAAGAATAAATTTCATATTATAAATAATATAGAAAATATGGGAGACAGGTTGAAAAAGAATACAATGAGATTTTAAATAATAATTAAACCTGTTTAAATTTTTCTAGTTTTGACTTTCATTACATATAGAATTATAAAGTTGTATATGTTTTACTACCTGGTATTAGTTTTATGCAAAAAAGCTCATGTAAAATGTATAAAATCTATGTACATTTATAAATGAAATTTAATTTTGGCTTTGTATTTTGGAAGATAATTTTCTTCTGATTACCTTTACTCAGGTTTATTTTACTTTTCCTCTTGTATGGATCTAATAAGGACCAAACGTTACTGTGTTTTCCAGAGACAGTTTGTCAGGAGACGTCTGTTAAAATTATAGCCTAAAGATGCATCCAAGTCTACACATACTAAACCTTTGAGATCTGTGTGTGGGTGTGTGTGTACACATACTGTACAGATTACTCAGTAGTCATTCGTTATGTTATTATTTTAAAATTGCTATTTAGAAGTGACATGCGACTGGGCGCGGTGGCTCACGCCTGTAATTCCAACACTTTGGGAGGCCAAGGTAGATCACTTGAGGTCAGGAGTTTGAGACCAGCCTGACCAACATGGTGAAACCCCATCTCTACTAAAAACATAAAAATTAGCTGGGCGTGGTGGCGGGCGCCTGTAATTCCAGCTATTTGGGAAGCTGAGGCAGGAGAATTGCTTGAACCCGGGAGGCGAAGGTTGCAGTGAGCTGAGATCATGCCACTGCACTCCAGCCTGGGTGACAAGAGCACAACTCTGTTTAAAAAAAAAAAAAAAAATAAGAAGTGATATGCACATACCAACATGTAAATTTTTAAGTATATTGATATCATAATTAATGTTAGCTTCTGGCAAATTTTTAAATAGAAGTATGTGTCTCCTATGGTTCCCACCCTTTTCAGACTTCAAACCCACCCTTTTGCATGTTTTGCTGCTGCCAAACTTTGCATCTGGGACTCTTATTATTTCATTACCTGCTTTCCTCTGTTTCTTCCTCCCAATCTTCCTCTCTCATCCAAACCTTTTGATTGGAGAAAAGTGTAGTGCTTGAAAGTGTTAACTTTGGAACTAGACTGCCTGGTTTGAATCCACCCTGTGCCACTTACAAGCCATATGATATTGGGCAAGTCACTTAATCTCTTGTGCCTGTTTTCTCAATAGGAAAATGGGAATAATATTAGCATTTACCTTATAGGATTATTGTGAGGAGTGAGTGAATTAAAGCACATAGATAGAATGCCCTTAATAATTATATTATTTCCATTACAGTATTATTTCTGGAACCTGATCTACCTTAAACAAAATCTCCTACTTCCTTAGCCTTGACATATCCTTTACCTGTTGGCCCCAGTTGAAACTTAGATTTTTTTCTAAGGACAATTTTAATAAGTCAAGCAAAGGTGGCCTTTCTTCCAAATCTAGCTTTCTTCAGTCACTTCCAATCTAGTATTCTTGACCAAGAAGCAAAATTTCCTCTTCATTTAAAGCTTCTATCAGTATTTGCCTTCATCTACCTTCTTTCTACTTAGGCTTCCACATTTATTGAGAATTTGACACTTAGGTCAATAGTTTTCCTTTCTTCTGCAAGTCAACATACTGGCTAATTTCAGTGTCCATGCAGAAGACCCAGCCAACACTCCAGTTTCTCAATACAGTCTGCCCCCTCTTATCTGTGGTTCACTTTCCATTGTTTCAGTTACCCATGGTCTACTGCCATCCACAAGTGTTAAATGGGAAATTCCAGAAATAAGTTTTAAATTGTGCACTGTTCTGAGTACGAGGATGAAATATCATGCCATTTCGCTCTGTCCTACCCAGGACATGAATCATCAGTTGGTCCAGCATATTGTTGCTGTATCCACTCTCACTCAGTTGTCATTGTCTTGGTTATCAGATTGACTGTCACAGTGTCACAGTGCTTGTGTTCCAGTAACCCTTATTTTACTTCATCATGGCTCCAAAGTACAAGAGTTGTGATGCTGGCATATTGTTATAATTATCCTCTTTTATTATTAGCTATTGTTGTTAATCTCTTACTGTGCCCAATTTATACATTAAGCTTTATCATAGGTATGTAGGTATAGAAAAAAAACATACTATATACAGAGTTTGGTATCATTCATGGTTTCAGGCATCCACTGTGGGTCTTGGAACATATCCCCTGGGGCTTAGAAGGGACTAATATAATTGATCTCCTTATTCTGATGACCTTCCCCTTCTTAACACTCCAGTCCCACCCTAGACAGTATTCTCCTAGGTCTGCTGTATCTCAGAAATCATATACTTAGATATCATATTGTTTGACCACAGTGGTGGTCAATGGAAAATGCTGAATGAACGACTGCTCTACTTAGACTGTAAGTTAGATTCTTGACAATAAGGCGTGGGTCTCTCTCTTTTTTTTTTCTTCGACAGAGTTTTGCTCTGTTGCCCAGGATGGAGTGCAGTGGTGCAATCTCAGCTCACTACAACCTCCACCTCCCAGTTCAAGAGATTCTCCTGCCTCAGCCTCCCAAATAGCTGGGATTACAGGTGCCTGCCACCATGCCTAGCTAATTTTTGTATTTTTAGTAGAGATGGGGCTTCACCATGTTGGCCAGGCTGGTCTCAAACTCCTGACCTCTGGTGATCCACCCACCTCGGCCTCCCAAAGTGCTGGGATTACAGGCGTGAGCCACCGCGCCCCGCCAAGGCTTGGGTCGTATGCTTGCTTATGTGCCTTCCCCACAAATCGCATAATAGGAGATTGAGATCTTGTTTGATTGGCTTATTTACTGAAACCTTTCCAAACCTACTGGAGTAAGCTGATACCTATTCTCTTTCTTTCTCTTAATGGAATTGGAAATAGAAGTTCTTATTACAGGCAGTCAATATTTAGTAATAGAGACTATTATGTCACCTGAATATAGGTGTGGGCAATACTTTCTGAAGAACTGAATTATATTTTCATGGAAATATTCTGATCTCCTTTGCTAACTGCCACTGAGGAATTTCCAGTCCAGTTAGATTACTTTCAGATAATTCTTGTAGCTAGTCACAATTCTAGGAGAAATGTATTGGAAGGGATAAAGGCCAAAGAGATTATATGCTTTAAGACTATTGTTACAGAATATTCTAGATTAAAGGTAAGAAACCTGATGTACATTTGTAAAGTTACACACCAACAGTGTCTTAGTTTTCAGAATCCGAATTGTAGGACCATATCCTTACCTGTATTTTTTGTTCTTATAATAAATTTTTATATTGCAAAAGCAATACCTGATTATTTTTTAAATATTTGAAAAAAAGAAAAGCAATGAGGAGAAAGAAATACCACCTGTGATTCCACATCATATTATAACAATATAAATATCTGACCAGGCGCGGTGGCTCACGCCTGTAATCCCAACACTTTGGGAGGCCGAGGCAGGTGGATCACGAGGTCAGGAGTTCGAGACCAGCCTGGCCAACATAGTGAAATCCCATCTCTACTAAAAATACACAAAATTAGCCAGGCATGGTGGCAGGTGCCTGTAATCCCAGCTACTCAGGAGGCTGAGGCAGGAGAATTGCTTGAACCCAGGAGGCGGAGGTTGCAGGGAGCGGAGATTGCGCCACTGCACTATAGCCTGGGTGACAGAGTGAGACTCCGCCTCAAAAAATATATATATATATCTTTCAATATAATAACAAATGTCTTTTGCTAGGTACTTATTAATATATAATACATGCAGATATACATGTTCTCTTTTATAAACAAGGAATTATTAACACTGTGCATGGTATTTTGTAACCCTTTTCCTACTTAATAATATATAGTCAGCTCTCCATATTTTGTGGGTTCCACATAGGTGGATTCAATCAACTGCAGATAAAAAAATCTTTGGGAAGGCCAAGGGCAATGGCTCACACCTGTAATCCCAGCACTTTGGGAGGCCGAGGTGGCTGGATTGCTTGAGCACAGGAGTTTGAGACTAGCCTGGGCAACATGGTGAAACCCTATCTCTACTAAAAATACAAAAATTAGCTGGGCATGGTAGCATGCACCTGTAGTCCCAGCTACTCAGGAGGCTAAGGTGAGAGGATTACTAGAACCTGGGAGGTCGAGGCTGCAGTGAGCCATGGTCATGCCACTGAGCTCCAGGCTGGGCATCAGAGCAAGAACTTGTCTTGGAAAAAAAATTGGGTCTGTACTAAACATGTACAAACGTTTTTATCTTGTCATTATTCCCTAAACAATATGGTATAACAACTATTTACATAGCATTATATTGTATTCGGTATTATATGTAATATAGACATGATTTAAAGTATACAGATGTGCACAGTATATAGGCAAATACCACATCATTTTGTATCAGGGACTTGGACATCCACAGATTTTGATATTGCAGGAGGTCCTGCAGTCATTCCCTCATGGATAGTGAGGGACAGCTATATATTTCATTTCCTTCCATGTTAATAAACAATATAGTTTGCTATAACATAATTTTTAATGAGCCTGTGGTATTCCACTGAATAGATGTAACATACCTTAACCAAACTACCATTGTTGAACACAAAGGTTGTTTTAAGAATGCTATATTGAACTCTTTTAATACTTCTTTTAACTATTTCTTTGGGCTACATTCCTAAGTTAATTCCTAGATCAAATTGCATATACTTTAAAATATTTTCTCTTAAACATTACACAAAGAATACATGCTAGTTGTTTAAAAAAATCCAATTCAGGGAGGCCGAGGTGGGCGGATCACGAGGTCAGGAGATCGAGACCATCCTGGCTAACACGGTGAAACACCATCTCCACTAAAAATACAAAAGATCAGCCAGGCGTCGTGGTGGGCACCTATGGTCCCAGCTACTCGGAAGGCTGAGGCAGGAGAATGGCATGAGCCTGGGAGTTGGAGCTTGCAATGAGCTGAGATCGCGCCACTGCACTCCAGCCTGGGCGACAGAGCGAGACTCGGTCTCAAAAAAAAAAAAAAAAAATTCCAATTCAATAATGTATAGACTCAATGTGTATTTGTCTAGTCACACTCTCCATATTAAATATTGCTGAAGTGAAATTTTGCAAAAATAGAATATTTTTCTTAGACTAATTCCTAATGTCATGTTGCTGAATCTCAGGATGTGCATTTCTAAAAGCTCTTGACATACACTGCCAAATTGTGCTCAAGGAAGGATGTATGCTTTTGGCCATAAGAAAGTAGGAGAGTCTTGCTTTCTTATGATACAGTCCAACACCAGATATTATCATTACAAAAATCTGTCAGTTTGGTAAGTGAAAAACTGTAACTCTTTTTTACAATTTTTCACTTACCAAATTACAGTTTGGGAAGTGAAGTTGCAGTTCGCAAGTGAGTTGCCATTTTGAGACTGGGTGCAGTGGCTCATGTCTGTAACCCCAGCTCTTTGGGAGGCCGGAGGATGGCTTGAGACCAGGAGTTCAAGGTTACAGTGAGCTGTGACTGGGCCACTGCACTCCAGCCTGGGCAACAGAACGAGACCCTGTCTGTCTAAATAAAAAATAAATAAATAAAATAAAATTTGCATTTTTGATTCATGATGATGTTAAATGCCTTAAAATAATGATTGGTTTTACTTCATTTAAGTTTTCATATACTTCGTTTCTTTTTCTATTGACTCATGCTTCAGGAACTGGCTAGTTGTTCAACAAAACTATTTCACTTTCCTCAGAAGCACACGGCTAGATCACATTTCCCAGCCTTCCATGCACTTATATCTGGCGGCTTGACTGCATTCTAGTTCAAACTGTCATAAACCTCTGTAGGTTACAAATCCTCTACAAGTCTAACCAGGCTAAAATAAAAGCATCAGTAGATCTGTGTCCTTTTCTGAAGACTATAGAGGATGATCTGTTTCTGTGTTCATTCCAATTGTTGCGCGAATTCAGTTCCTTATGGTTGTAGAATTAAAGACTGTTTTTTGCTGGCTCTCAGGTGAGGACTGTTTCTAGCTCCTCGAGGCCTCTTGCATTTCTTGGCTTCAAAGCCAGCGGTGGGTCTACTCCCTCTTACGCTACGAATTTCTCCTGCTTTATCTCTCTGACTTGTGATTCTACCTTCCTCTTTTATTTTAAGGACTGCACTGGTCCCATTCAGGGATAATTTCCCTACTTTAAGGTCTACTACTTAGCAATCTTTATTTTATCTGCAACCTGATTTACTTTTGCAATGCAAGGTACCATATTTATAGGCATACACACTAAGCCAAAGATAATAAGGGCCAACATTCACTGACCATAACACTCTCTTTTTCGATGTTTTGAATACGATGTTTAGGACAGACATGGTTGATATTTGTATTCCTTAAGTTTAGACCAGTGATTGGCACAAGTAGTGTAAATAAGGCTCTACTGATAATACAGGAACAAAATTTTCATCCAATAACCTGATTAAACTGTACCACTAAGCCTCCATTCCAATATCCTTATATTTGAGTGCCTGTTCCAGGTGGCTTTAAATATTTCTGTGAAGAAGATTTTGGCATAAATAAATAACATCTATCTTCTGAAACATACCATTAACCTTTTTCATAATGCCATTTTCCCTTATTTTGTATGTTATTTTCTACACTGACCTTATTCTTCTTAATAACTCCTTTCATTTTCCTTCTGCAAGCCTTCTGTGGATGTGGAAAATACAACCACTGCCAAGTGGGAATTGAGGTATAGAATATTTATGTGATTCTCAAAGATAAGCACCTTGTATAGACAGGACTATAATGACTGCACAACTAATTCTTTGTGGGTATCCTCATCACGGAACCAAATAATCTCTCTCTTTTTCTCTTATTGCTGTAAAATAAATGTAACACAAAATTTGCCATTTTACCCATTTTAACTGTGCAATTCAGTGACATTAACTGCATTCACACAGTTGTGCAACTTTTTCACCAGTTTCCAAACTTTTCCATCACCCCAACATCACTCTACCCTTAATCTCTTTTTGAAAATCTCTTTAGTTAACTAATTTCAATATTTACTTATTTTGTGAAATTTAAATATTTCTACTCCTAAGAAAAATCAGTGCCATTCTGTTATTTAATTCAGAGTAACCTCAGCTGGGTGTGGTCGCTCATGGCTATAATCCTAATGCTTTGAGAGGCTGAGGCAAGAGGGTCTCTTGAGGCCAGGAGTTCCAGACCAGCCTGGGCAACATAGCAAAACCCTGTCTGTACAAAGTTTGAAAATTAGTTAGGTGTGGTGGTATGTGCCTGTATTCATAGCTACTCAGGAGGCTGAGGCAGGATTGCTTGAACCCAAGAGCTTGAGGTTACAGTGAGCTAAGATTGAGTCATTGCACTCCAGCCTGGGTAACAGAGCCAGACATTGCCTCTAAAAAACCCAACTGTGATAATAATAATAATAATAATAATAATCTTTAGCAATTTAAATATGGAGATAATAAAATTTATTTTTTCCCCAGATTCCTCTGTACCCCAGGTAATTTTTTGGTTAATATTCTTGAATAGAAACATAATATTCTCTAGGCAAATTCTTAGAAAACAACTATTTTTTGCTAAATGAACACAACAGAAAACAATATGTATAAGGCTTTTAAATATATTTCTAACACTAATGGCCAGAGTACTTTTAAAAAATCATTTGATAAGTAGATGTAGAACACGTTTGCCTGACTGTCACCCACAATATAAGTACAAGTGACATAAACCTCAATGTAACTTCATTTATTAAAGACAAATTTCAATAAAACTATGTTCTACTTACATGACATTTAACAGATTTAAATTACAAAATTGCTGTAAGAATCTCATTATAAGCTTGTCTTTCCCATATGAAGGCCCCATGATTTTCTCAAAAAAGATCTTGTGAAATTAGAAATGCTAATTATACATAATTATTATAAATACAGTACTACAATTACTAGTATAAAAGTAATTTGTGGTAGAATGATTAATTACAAATAATTTGAACTAGAAAATTATTTCCTACCTAGTAATTTGAGAATTAAGTAATAAGATCTCATCTCATTGTTTCTTTTTCAGAAAAATTTGACTGTAAATATTTTTCTACACATATGCAAATATGTGCACATACAAGGTAATGAATCTGAATCTTTGGATTAATCGTAGTTTCAGTAGTATAATGTCTCTTTGTGTTTTATCCTTTTAGAGTAGTGTATTATTATTATTTATTTTGATACTTCTTGAAAGAAGATCGAACTTAGATTTTACTTTTAGAACGATGATCCTGGCCAGGCGCAGTGGTTCACACCTGTAATCCCAGCACTTTGGTAGGTCAAGGCGGGTGGATCACCTTAGGTCAGGAGTTCGCGACCAGCCTGGCCAACATGGTGAAACCCCATCTCTACTAAAAATACAAAAAATTAGCCAGGTGTGGTGGCGCACGCCTGTAACCCCAGCTACTCAGGAGGCTGAAGCAGGAGAATCACTTGAACCTGGGAGGTGGAGGTTGCAGTGAGCCGAGATCGCACCATTGCACTCCAGCCTGGGCAAGAAGAGCGAAATTCGGTCTCAAAAAAAAAAAAAAGTTTTAACAAAGATGATTCTTATGACTAGTTTAACAAAAACAATTTCCTTACATGTCTAGAATACATTTGAAACTTGAAAGTATTTAAATGGTATGATTTTGTAACTTTTCTGTTATAAAGGCTTCTTCTTGGGGTTCTATTTACAAAAATGTGGTTGTTGAGGTTTTTCGCTTTTAAGTTTAATTTTTATGTTTTTTATATATTTTTCATTAACTTACCCAGGCTTGTTTATTTTTTTAAGGTCACCTTTGAATGGCATTACAGTGATCATTATTAAGTAATTCAAATGGGGTATAATACAATAGGTTGTAATTATTATTATTTGCACTACAATTCTGGTTAGTTTACATTTAATACATGAATTATGACACCTTTTGCAAGGGATTCGATATGTTGTAAATTCCAGTATGTTAAATATAACAGTGTAATTCCTGTGTAGTATTATTAATATTTCTAAATCATGAAAACATGATTTTTGACTCAATAATTTGCCAAATTTAGTAAGGTTAAAAAAATTTAAAGAGAATCAGAAGAGAAAATGGGTTTCCCTTCACAAACTGATCTTCACCCAATATACTAAATAACTTACACGATTTATTTTAGTGAACTGAGTTCTACTATCTGTTGCTCTGGAGTAATAGTTGCATTTAATTTGTTTTATTAAAGTGCACTTTAGTTTTAGTTTACTTACTGATGGCTCTTGAAACAAGATATTAGTTGATTCATTTGAATGAATCTGATTAAAAAGCTATGATTGAGAAATGCAACTGAGAGAGCCTTTTTTCCGCCTAATATGTAGACTTTATTAATGTCAGAAATCATTGTGGAAGGATGTGATACCATGAAAGGAGCATTTAACATGTAACTTAGCAGAAGAATAGAAGTAGTTTTATCTGCAACAAAATGTTCTTATTTATTTACCTAACTAAATACACAGTGGATAGCTTTCCATGACAGTCGGTGATCACAGTATAAAATTCAAGAATTCACAGATATTTGGAATAGGTAAGTTTGATAAAAGCCTTTTTTGTTTTAACCGTATGCCTCCTGAATTGTGTTATCTCAATATATTTTCTATCATGATTTTGAAACTATCTTCCTCTGAAAAATATTTTAGTCCAAATATGTAATAAACAAAGATCAACAAGCATAAAAGAAAATGTCAAGACAACTTTCTGATCAATATTAAATAAAATATTTAGAGAAACCACAAGGAGACTGGAAATGGAAATTACTAGAACTTGTACAGGTTGGAATGAGAGAGAGAATTAGAATAGTCAGTTTTGGGATAATATGAAATTTGTACTCCATAAACAGCAGAGAATCAGGATAGGGTGTTGACGTTTTCCCACCTACCTCCCACTGCCAGTTTCTTGTACTGCTGTTAACATTCACGTAAATTTTATAATCCTTCCTTAATCTTCACCTGTTAATGGAGAAAATGTTTGTTGCTTTTATAATGTTAAAGAATTATAAAAACATTCTCCAATTCTGCCTTCTTCTCACTCTTAATTTAGGGAGATAGTATCAAAACCTTGAGGAAAAATCAAGGAAATCTGTTTTCTTTTTTTAAATTCAATATTGACAGGGATTAGATTTAAAATTGTTTTCAAGGAGACCTCAGCATTGTGGAAAATGGATTAGTAGTAAATCAAATTCATTTACTAGTTTGGGTTACACGATGTTAAAAGTATGAATATTTAGTTGTTACCTGTAACAAAGTGTATGTATATCTGGAAAAAAATCTTTGAGTATATTGAACAACGAAAACGTAAAGAAACTTGTTGTTTCTTAAAATAATGGACAAGCTTCATTTCATAAAGTATGAGGAGATGGAATCTGGTGGCATTAAAGAAGAAAAACCCATTTCATTCCAAATGCAGCTAACATTTGAAACATAAACTGGCTCCCTCTCTCCACAGATGCCTCCTTGGAGTCAGAGGACGCGATATAAATGGGGGTTTTGGTGTTGTGAGATGATGGATGAGGGTCTCTTCTGGTTGCCCGAGGATCTGTGACCAGCACAAAAACTGCTTGGTCTGGGTTAATTAATTGCAGGAAAAGTTTATTCAGATGCAGGGCAAGCACCTTGGCTAAAATCTCAGCATCTGTGTTGATTAAAGATCTGAGGCTGAAGAAAGCACATAGTTGGGGGTCTTAGATAGGTTTGGAAGCCATATGGACTTCTTTTAATGAGGGAGGGCTTTTGCAATCCAAGTCTCAAAGCTGTGTTGTTCTAATCAGCATTAATGGAATATCTCCTGCCCAGCACCAAGTCACTTCACAGTACTGTCAAGGCAATATTTTTTCCCTGGTTATTTGTTTCAATATTTTATTCAGAATCTCACCATTATTTTTCATTTCCTACAGACCTGGTGATAAAACACGGTGCAAAATCTTGCTGGCTTTGTTTAAGTCCAGGGCAGACTGAACAAAAATTTATTTCTTTTAAAGGTCATTGTCAATGAAATGTCCATAAGGCTATTATGACACCTTTAGGATGTGAATTGTAGAATGTGTATTCTCTGAAATTTTATCTTGCGGATATTGTGTCTGTAATCAGTTTTTCTTGGCTTTGACTTTCTTTTTATTATAGCCATGAAAATTGACTCAGAGGTTCAGATGAAAAGGGAATAATCATAAAAATGGAAAAATGTAAGCTGCATCAAAAACTAAACTTAGGCTGCTACTTTGGACATTATAATTTGGACATTCATAATTTGGTAATATTATGGCCCCATTCCTTACAAAACTGTGGAGTTTATCGAAGGATCTCTCAGAATTATAAATTTAAACTACCCAGGGATCATAAGTCAGTTGCAAGTTTAGGCGCTCACTTAGGGAAACAAAACTTGGGTCTTGAGCAGTAGTTTTTCTCAGGTGCTTTGTTCCTTTTACACAGTTTGATTTTCAGAGATTTAAGTCAACTGCCTGTCTTAGAGTCTATTCATTTAGGTCGTGAGCGTGACTCACATTTTATCCTGCTTTTGTTATTTTTAAACTTTTACATTATAAAATATATCATAAATACATAGAGACATATAATGTACAGGTAGATTTTAAAAATAATAATAAAGTAAGCATCTGTTTCCCCCTCATGTTAAGAATTAGTACATCAGTTCTTCCTGGTGCTTTTTCAAATCCATCTCTTCCAACTCCCCTCAAAGGTAATCACATTATACATTTACTTGATACTTTCCCTTCTTTTGCTTTTAAATTTTTAACCTACATATGTTTCTACACTATATATAAGTTGGAGTTATATTGTATGTTTTGTTCTGCAACTTGTCCGTTTTGCTCACTATTATACTCCAGCAGTTCATCCATGTGGATGTGTACAGTTGTGGTTCATTTATTTACAATGTTGTTGAGGAATTCATTAAATGAATGTACCATAATTTGTGAATTCATTCTACAGATGAAGTTTCTTTGCATGGTTTTAATTTTTGCTATTAGAAAAAGAGAAGATAAGAACATGTCTTCTGGTACAAGTGGGCAAGAATTTCTGTAAATAGACCAAGGAGTGGAATTACTGGATCATGAAGTATGCATGCACCAAATTCAAATTTCTAGGTTATGCCTAGTTGTTTCCCAATGTGAATTTCACCAATTTCCACACTCACCAGCAATGTATGAGAGTTCCTGAGGCTCTAAGTCTTTCCTAATGTTTGGTATGGTGTGTGCATGCGTGTGTGTGTGTATATATATATATAGATATATATATACACCCACACATATATATTTTATGTATATATATAAAATTTGTAATCCTGTTGTTATGCTGTATTGTTATAAGTTTAATCAGCATTTTGCTAGTTAGTAATAAGATGCACCACATTTTTATATGTTTATTGGTCATCTGTCATCTTCTGTGAAGTGTCTTTGCCACTTTTCTATTGGGTTGTTGATCATTTTCTTTCTTATTCTTTACAGTCTCTATATTAATCCGTTGTTACTAAGACAAATATCTTCTCCTGGTTTGTGCTTATCTTTTCACTGCCTTTTTTGTGCCTATTGATGAATAGGAGTGATGAATATCTTAAAAGTTTCATCTTGAGATAATTTTAGATTCACATACAGTTATAAGCAATAATACACAGGGATACATATACCCTTCACTCAGTTTCCCACAATGGTACCACATGGCTTAACAATATCACAACTAGGAAATTGACATTGATATAATTCATCATCAACTTTACTCAGATGTCACCAGTTTTGCACACACTCATTCGTGTGTGTGTATTTAGTTCTATGCAAATTTTTTATTTTTTGAGGCAGAGTCTCGCTCTGTCGCCCAGGCTGGAGTGCAGCGGCGCGATCTCGGCTCACTGCAAGCGCTGCCTCCCAGGTTCACGCCATTCTCCTGCCTCAGCCTCCCGAGTAGCTGGGGCTACAGGCGCCCTCCACCACGCCTGGCTAATTTTTTATGTTTTTAGTAGAGACGGGGTTTCACCGTGTTAACCAGGATGATCTCGATCTCCTGACCTCGTGATCCACCTGCCTCAGCCTCCCAAAGTGCTGGGATTACAGGTGTGAGCCACTGCGCCCAGCCAGTTCTATGCAAATTTTATCACTTGTTGTAGCTTGGTATAACTACCACCGTGTTCAAGATAAAGAACTGTTCCATCACAACAGGACTCCCTCATCTTTTTAAAAATTTTATGTACAAAGATCTAACATGGTTTCTTTCATTGGTAGGTGGCTTGGATATTCCATTTAAGGAAGATCACTTCATCCAGCTTAATAAAAGCTATGTCCTTTGCATACTGACAGAAACACTGGTGGCACATATTGAGGCCCTATTTCCAGATCAGACCAGGCCGGTTTGAGCAGACCAGAGCGAGAGTCCTGGCCAAATTTTTGCAGGTGGCTCCAGTAGAATGCAACTTCTTTATAGCCATGTTCATCACCTTTCTTCCACCATCCCTAACTCCTGGTAACCACTCATCTGGTATCCATGTCTACAACTTTGTCATTTCAAGAACATTATATAGAGCCATACAGTGTGTAACTTCTTGAGATTGTATAAATCATATGGACTCCAGAGATGACCCAAGCAGACAGTAAGCATCTGCCCACAGCAGGGAATTCTATTCAGGGGTTCTTAATCTTTCTGTGGCAGGGTTGCCTTTGGCAGTCTGGAGAAATCTATGGACCCCCTTCAGAATAATGTTTTTTTTTTTTTTCCCTATGTTTTTATTTGTCAGGCTGGGTAAACATGCACAAATGAAAATAGTGGATCATGTAGTAGATGTATTTAACTTGACATACGAAACTTTTAAAATTTTCCAAAGTAGTTGTACCATTTTACATTTCACCCAAAAATATAAAAAAGTTACCTCACATGCTTGCCGGTATGGTTAGTCTTTTTAATTTTAACCATTCTAGGCGGTGTATAGTGGCATCTCATTGTGTATGTTTTCTAAAACAGACTTTTATTTTTAGAGCAGTTAACTGCAAAATTAAGCAGAAAGTAAAGAGAATTCTCATATAAGCCTCCTGCCCTACACACTCACAGCCTCCCCCACTATCAACATCCCACACCAAAGTAGTATACTTGCTACAATAGATGAACCTACGTTAATACATCATAGTTACCCACAGTCCATAGTTGACATTATGGTTCACTCTTTTTGTTGTACCATCTATGGTTTTAACAAATGTACAATGACATGTATCTATCATAGTAATATCACATCAATAGTTTCACTGTCCTAACAATATTCTATACTCTGTCTATTCATGCTGTCCTCCAACCTAACCCCTGGAAACTACTGATCTTTCTACTGTCTCTATAGTTTTGTCTTTTCCAATGTCATATACTTAAAATCATATAATATGTAGACTTTTTAGATTGGCCTCTTATGTTTATAATGCACTTAAATGTCTTATCTGACATTTAGGATAACTATCCTAATAAATGTCCTAAAGTTTGAATAAATGTCCATGTCTTTTCATAGCTTAATAGCTCATTTCTTTTTAGACCTAAATAATATTCCCTTCTGTGGGTGTACCACAGTTTAGTTATCCATTCACCAACTGAAGGACATCTTGGTTGCTTCTAGGTTTTGGCAATTGTATTAGATTGTTTGCATCACAATCTATGTGATGCAAATCATTTATGCACAAATAAGATTTATGCACATATCTATACATCACATCGCTATAAAGCAATAGGTGAGGCTGGCTAATCAATAAAGAAAAGAGGTTTAATTGGTTCATTGTTCTGCAGGCTGTACAAGCATGGCACCAACATCTGCTCAGCCTCTCAAGAGGGCCTCAGGAAGCTTACAATTGTGGTGAAAGGCCAAGAGGGGCATGTCACATGGTGAAAGCAGGAGCAAGGGGCACGGGGAGGTCCCAGACTTTTAAACAACCAGATCTCCTGTGAACTACCTGAGCAAGAGCTCACTTATCACCAAAAGGATGGTGCTAAACCATTCGTGAAAGATCCACCTCCATAATCCAGTCACCTCGCCCCAGGCCCTACCTCTAACAATGGAAATCACATTTCAACCTGAGATTTGGAGGAGACAAACATCCGAACTATATTAGCCATTATGACTAAAACGGCTATAAACGTTTGAGTACAGGTTTTTGTGTGGATTTAAGTGTTCAACTCATTTGGAAAGATACCAAGGAGTGCAATTACTGGATCGTATGGTAAGAGAATGTTTCATTTTGTAAGAAACCGCCAGACTGTATTCCAAAATAGCTGTACCACTTTGCATTCCCGTTAGCAGTTAATGAGAGTTCCTGTTGCTCCACAACCTTGAAAGCTCTTAGTGTTGTCAGTGTTTTGGATTTGGCCATTCTAATAGGTGTGTAGTTATAGCCTGTTGTTTTAATTTGAAATTCTCTAATGACATGTTGTTGATCATCTTTTCATAAGCTCACCGGCCATTTCTTTTCTTTTTTCTTTTTCTTTTTTTTTTTTTTTTTGAGATGGAGGCTCACTCTGTCTGTCACCCAGGCTCGAGTGCAGTGGCACCATCTCGGCTAACTTCAACCTCTGCCTCCCAGGTCCAAGCAATTCTTCTGCCTCAGCCTCCAAGTAGCTGGGATCACAGAGGTGCGCCACCATGCCCGGCTAATTTTTGTATTTTTCGTAGAGATGGGGTTTCACCATGTTGGCCAGGCGGCTCTTGAACTCCTGACCTCAAGTGATCCACCTGCCTTGGCCTCCCAAAATGCTGGGATTACAGGCGTGAGCCACCACGCCCAGCCTCACCTGTCGTTTCTATGTCTTCTTTGGTGCATGTCTGTTCAGATCTTCTGCACGTTTTTTAATTGGGTCGTTCATTTTCTTATTGATGAGCTTAAAGAGTTACTTGTATATTTTGAGTAACAGTGCTTTATCAGATATGTTTTTTGCAAATATTTTCTCCTGGTCTGTGGCTTGTCTTCTTATTCTCTTAACAGTGTCTTCCACAGAGAAGTTTTTAGTTTTAGTGAAGTCTAGCTTATCAATTATTTCTTTCATGGATTGTGCCTTTGGTGTTGAATTTAAAAAGTCTTCACCATACCCAAGGTCATCTAAATTTTCTCCTATGTTATCTTCTAGGAGTTTTATATTTTTGCATATTACATTTATGTCAATGATTAATTTGGAGTTAATTTTTGCTGAAAAGACTAACTTTTCTCCATTGTATTACCTTTGCTTCTTGGTCAAAGATTGACTATATTTATGTGTGTCTATTTCTGGGTTCTCTATTGTTTTCCATTGATCTGTTTGTCTGTTCTTTCACCAATGTCACACTGTGTTGATTATCATAAGTTTACAGTCGTTTTTGAAATCAGGTAGTGTCATCAGTCCTATGATTTTGTCTCCTTGACTAATGCCTTGGCTATTCTGGGTGTTTGCTTCTCCATGTAAACTTTAGAATCAGTATGTCGATATCCACAAAATAACTTGCTGTGAGTTTGATTAAGATTTATTGTGTTTGTAATTTGCATTGATATCTAATAATATTGAGCATCTTTTCGTGAGTGTATTGCCATTAGTATTTCCCTTTGATAAATTATCCTCAAAATTGTTGCCTATTTTTAGATTGAGTTATTTGATTTCTTACTGGGTTTAGAGAATAATCTTTTCTGTCTTGAAGACCTTTTTTGGTGTATTTAGTCAGGTTTTCCAGAGAAACAGAAGCAGTAGAGAGAGAGAGAGATATGGAAAGAAATTGATTATGAGAGATTGACTCATGCAACTATGGAGGCTAAGAAGTCCCATGATTTGCCATCTGCAAATTGAAAGCCCAGGAAAGCCAGTGGTATAGTTCCAGTTCAAACCCAAGGCCTGAAAACAAGGCACATCAATGTCTCAGAGCAGGAGAAAATGGATATTCCAGCTCAACCACAGAGCAAATTCACCCTTCTTCCAGTTTTTTGTCCTCTTCAGGCCCTCAATGGATTGGCTGGTGCCTATCAAAAATGACGATGGCAATCTTCTTTACTCTGTCTACCCATTCAAAGGCTAATCTCTTCGAGAAACAGCCTCCCAGACACACCCAGAAATAATGTTTCATGTTGTGAATCCCTTAACCAAGTCAAGTTGACACATATTAATAAAATTAACTGTTACTTATGTGATTAGATATGTTAGATACGTGATTTGCAGATATTTTCTCCCAGTCTGTAGCTTGTCTTTTCATTCACTTAATAGTGTTATACTAAAAGGTTTAAATTTTAGTTTAATTTACCAATTATTTAGTAATGGATAGTGCTTTTTTTAAAAATCATATTTAAGGACTTTTTGCCTAACACAAGGTAGCAAATATTTTCTCCTAAAAGATTTATAGTTTTATATTTTATATTTAATTCTAGGGTAAATTTTCAGTTAATTTTTTATATCATATGAGGTATTGGTTGAGTTTCTTTTTTTTTAAAGTGTATCTTTTATGAGCAACATTTATTGAAAAGACCATTCTTTTTTCACTGAACTGACTGTTCATCTTTATCAGAAGCTGATTAATGGTCTGATGTAGTGGCTCATGCCTGTAATTCCAGTGCTTTGGGAGGCCAAAACAGGAGGATTGCTTGAGGCCAGGAGTTCGAGGCCAGCCTGGGCAACATAGCAATACCCTGTCTCTACAAAAAATTTAAAAATTAGCTGGACATTGTGGCATGTGCCTGTAATCCTGGCTACTTAGTAGGATCACTTGAGCCCAGGAGTTTGAGGTTACAGTGAGCTATAATCATACCAATGCACTTCAGCCTGGGAAACAGAGTAAAACCCTGTTTCTTAAAAAGAAAACAAAAAAATCCATATTTACATAAGCCTATTCTGGATATCTTTTCTGTTCCTTCGATCCGTGGTCTGTCCTTTCTCCATTATGACACTGTCTCCATTATTGTAGCTTTGCATTAAAACTTAAAATCAGGGAGTGTGAGTTTTCCGATTTTGTTCTATTTTTCATAATTGTTTTGTTTGTTTGGGCTTCTTTGCCTTTTACATAAAGTTTAGAATCAGCTTTTCTATACCTACAAAAACATCCTACTGAGATATTGCTATGGTTTAAATGTTCCCTTCCAAACTCACGTTGAAATTTAATTGCCATTATGATGATATTAATAGATGGAATCTTGGCTGGGCACAGTGGCTCACGCCTGTAATCCCAGCACTTTGGGAGGCCAAGGCGGGCAGATCAGAGGTCAGGAGATCGAGACCATCCTGGCCAACATGGTGAAACCCCGTCTCTACTAAAAATACAAAAATTAGCTGGGCGTGGTGGCGGGCGCCTGTAGTCCCAGCTACTTGGGAGGCTGGGGCAGGACAATCACTTGAACCCAGGAGGCGGAGGTTGCAGTTAGCTGAGATCATGCCACTGCACTCCAGCCTGGCGACACAGTGAGACTGTCTCTCTCAAAAAAAAAAAAAAAAAAGGTGGAATCTTTACGAGTGATGAGGTCATGAGAGTTTTGCCCTCATGAATGGATTAATGTTATGAGCATTCATTCCCCCCTTTTCTCTCTCTGTCTTGTGCATGCACTTCTGTGCCATGTGATGCTTTCCATCATGTTATGATGCAGCAAGAAAGTGAACTGCGCAGGCTTCAGAACCAGTACCCAAATAAAGGACCATTTTCTAATTTTATTTGTTTATTTATTTAGAGATAGGGTCTCACTTTGTCGCTCAGGCTGGAGTGCACTGGCATGATCTTGGCTCACTGCAGCCTCTAACCCTTCCCTCCCCACCAGGCTCAAGTAATCCTGCCGCCTCAGCCTCCCAAGTAGCTGGACCACAGGTGCATGCTACCACACCTGGCTGATTTATTTTTATTTATACTTTTTGTAGGGACTAGGTCTCCCTATGTTGCCCAGGCTGGTCTCAAACTCCTGGGCTCAAGTGATTCTCCCACCTCAGCCTACCAAAGTGCTGAGATTATAGGCATGAGCCACCACATCCAGCCTTTTCTCTTTAAATTACATAGTTTGTGGTATTCTGTCATAGCAGCAGAAAATGGACTGAGACCAACATTGACCAGGCCTGTGTTAAATCTGTAAAGTTTGGGCATTGTTGACAGAGTAAGTAAACTGAATCTTTTAAATCATGGGCATGGTATTTTTTATTGGTTCATTTAGATCTTAGAATTCTTCAATCAGCATTTAATAGTTCTTAGCACTTATCTTGTACATACTTTTTAAGATTCTTACCTAAGCATTAATTTTTTTCAACTATCTTTAATGGTACTGTTGCAAAATTTTGGTTTTCAATTGTCTGTTGCTAATATATATTTACAGAATGGGTTTGTATATGTTTTGTTGTCGTTAGAAAATTTTGGCCGGGCACAGTGGCTCACTACTATAATCCCAGCACTTTGGGAGGACGAGGTGGGCCGATCACCTGAGGTGGGGAGTCCGAGACCAGCCTGATTGACATGGAGAAACTCTGTCTCTTTTAAAATACAAAATTAGCCGGACATGATGGTGCATGCCTGTAATCCCAGCTACTCAGGAGGCCGAGGCAGGAGAGTCATTTGAACCCAGGAGGCGGAGGTTGCGGTGAGCCAAGATCATGCCATTGCACTCCAGCCTGGGCAACAAGAGTGAGACTCCGTCTCAAGAAAAAAAAAAAAAAATTCCCCCAGCTTCATTTACAAATAATTAGCTAATTAAAATTGTATATATTTAAAGTGAATAACATGTTTTCATATAAGTATACATTGTGAAATGATTACTGCTATTCAACTAATTAACATATCAATCACCTTGAATAATTACTTCTTTATGGTGGGAAATTTCTTTTGGTGAGAATATTTAAATTGATTGTCTTAGAATTTCATTTAAAAATTTAATAACAATTTATTTCACTTAAAAAAATTAAATGTTTTTCTCATATTATTTTACAATAAGAAGAAAAGAAATGAAGAAAGATCTTGTAGCATTTCAAGTATGCAGTATAATATAGTTTTTTAACTGTAGATACTATTCTGTTAGATTTCCAGAACTTATTAATCTTGCATAACTGAATCTTTGTACCCTTTGACCAACATCTCCTTGTTTCTCCTAACTCCTAGTCTCTGGCAACTGTCATTCTGTTCTCTACTTTTGAGTTCTGCTCTTTTAGATTCCACATATAAGTAAAACAATGCAGTATTTGTTTTTATGTGTCTGGTTTGTTTTACTTTATGCAGTGTCCTCCAGTTTCATTCATGTTGTTGAAAATGACAGGATTTCCTTGTTTTCATTTATTTTGTTTTTTAAACCTTTGTTTTAGGTTCAGGGGTACATGTGCAGGTTTGTTATGTGGTAAATTGCATGTTGCAGAGGTTTGGTATATAGAATATTTCATCACCCAGGTGATAAGCACAGTACGTGATACATAGTTTTTCTATCGTCACCCTCCTCCCACCCTCACCCTTAAGTAGGCCTGGTATCTATCGTTCCCTTCTTTGTGTCCATGTGTACTCAATGTTTAGCTCCTACTTATAAGTGAGAACATGCAATATTTGAGAAACAAACAATATTTGTTTCTTTGTTAGTTCATTTAGGATAATGGCCTCCAGCTCCATGCATTTTGCTGCAAAGGACCTTATTTTTTATGGCTGTGTAGTATTCCATGGTGTATATGCACCACATTTTCTTTATCCAGTCTACTGTTGATGGACATTTAGATTGATTCTTTATTGTTGCTATTGTGAATAGTGCTGTGATGAACATATGCATGCCTGTGTCTTTATGGTAGAATGATTCATATTCCTTTGGGTATATACCCAGTAATGGAATTGCTGAGTTGAATGCTACTTATGTTTTAAGTTCTTTGAGAAATTGCTACATTGCCTTCACAGTGGCTGAATTAATTTACACTCTCACCAGCAATGTATAAGCATTCTCTTTTCTCTACAACCTTGCCAGCATCTGTTATTTTTTGACCTTTTGATAATAGCCGTTTTGTCTGGTGTGAGATGGTATATCATTGTGGTTGTGATTTATATTACTCTAACGATTAGTGATGTTGAGCATTTTTTATATGCTTGTTGGCCACATGTATGTCTTCTTTTGAAAAGTGTGTGTTCATATCCTTTGCCTACTTTTTAATGGGCTTGTTTGATTTTTTTTACCTGTTAATTTGTTTAATTTTTTAAATAGATTTTAGATATTAGACCTTTGTCGGCGGCATAGTTTGCAAATATTTTCTACCATTCAGTAGGTTGTCTGTTTACTCTGCTGATAATTTGTTTGGCTGTGCAGAAGCTCTTTAGTTTAGTTAGGTCCTATTGGTCAATTTTTGTTTTTGTTGCAATTGAATGGTTTTGTTTGTTACGAAATGTTTGCTAGGACCTATGTCTAGAATGGTATTTCCTAGGGTTTTTATAGTTTTAGGTTTTACATCTGAGTGTTTAATCTTTCTTGAGTTGATTTTTGTATATGGTAAAAGGAAGGGGTCCAGTTTTGATCTTCTGCATATGGCTAGCCAGTTATCCCAACACCATTTATTGAACAGTGGGTAATTTCCCCATTGCTTGTTTTTGTCGACTTTGTCGAAGATTAGATGGTTTGTAGGTGTGCGGTTTTATTTTTGGGCTTTCTATTCTGTTCCATTGGTCTATGTGTCTGTTTTTGTACCAGTATCATGCTGTTTTGATTACTGTAGTCTTGTAGCATAGTTTGAAGTTGGATAATGTGATGCTTCCAGCTTCTGCTTGCTTAGGGTTGCTTTGGCTAATTGGGGCCTTTTTTGGTCCCATGTGAATTTTAGAATTTTTTTTTCTCATTCTGTGAAAAATGTCATTGGTAGTTTGATAGGAATTGCATTGAATCATAGATTGCTTTGGGTAATTTGACAATTTTAACAATATTGATTCTTCCTATCCATGAGCATGGAATATTTTTCCATTTGTTTTTTTCATCTCTGATTTTTTTCAGCAGTGTTTTATAATTTTTGTTGTAGAGCTCTTTCACATCTCTGGTTAGCTGTATTCCTAGATACTCTGTTTATTTATTTTTTTGTGGCTATTGTGAATGGGATTGCATTCTGGATTTGGCTTTCAGCTTGGACGTTGTTGGTGTATAGAAATGCTACTGATTTTTGCATATCGATTTTATATCCTGAAACTTTGCTAAAGTTGTTTATCAGATCTAGAAGTTTGGGGACAGATATTGTGGGGGTTTCTAGTATAAAGTCATATTGTCTGCAAACAGAGATAGTTTGACTTCTGCTTTTCCTATCTGGATGCCTTTTATGTCTTTCTTTTGCCTGATTTCTCTGGTTAGGACTTCCAGTACTATGTTGAATAGGAGTGGTGAAAGTGGGCATCCATGTGTTGTTTCAGTATTCAAGGGGAATGCTTCCTGCTTTTATCCATTCAGTATGTTGCTGGCAGTGGGTTTGTCATAAATGGCTCTTATTATTTTGAAGTATCTTGCTTTAATGCCTAGTTTGTTTTTTACATGAAGGGACATTGAATTTTATTGAAAGCCTTTTCTGCATCTATAGAGATGATCAGGTGGTTTTTGTTTTTATTTCTCTTTATGTGATGAATCAAATTTATTAATTTGCAAGTGTTGAACCAACCGTGCGTCTCAGAGATAAAGCCTACCTGATTGTGGTGGATTTAACTTTTTGATGTGCTGCTGGTTCAGTTTGCTAGTATTTTGTTGAGGATTTTTGCATCTGTGTTCATCAAGGATATTGGCCTGAAGCTTTCTGTTCTTGTTGTGTCTCTACTAGGTTGTGGTATCAGGATGATGTTGGCCTCATCTTCTTTTTAAAGGCTAAATAGTATTCCATTACGTGTGTGTGTGTGTGTGCATGTGTGGGGTTTGTGTGCATGTATGCATCCTCACATTTTAAAAATTCATTCATCCCTTGATGGACATTTAGGTTGAGTCCATATGTTGGCTATTGTGAATAATGCTGCAATTATTGCAGTTATTATGGGAATGCATACATTTCTTCAACATACTGATTTCAGTTCCTTTGGATATATGCCAGGTAATGGGATTGTTGGATCATATGTAGTTTGATTTTTAATTTTTTGAGCATGCTCCACATAGTTCTCCATAATGGCTGTATCAATTTATATTCCCACCAACAGTAAATAAGGGTTCACTTTTCTTCACATTCCTGCCAACACTTGTTATCTTTTTTTGAAAATAGCCATTGTAAAATGTGTGCAGTGATATCTCATTGTGGTTTAGACTTGCATTTCCCTGATGATTAGTAATGTTGATAATTTTTTTCATGTACCTGTTGCCTACCTGTATATCTTCTTTGGAGAAATGTATATTCAGTTCCTTTGTCCATTTAAAAAACTTAATTATTTTCTTGCCAGTGATTTGTTTGAATTTCTAATATATTTTGGATAATAACCCTTATCAGATATATACTTTGCAAATATTTTTTCCTATTCCATAGGTTGTTTATTCATTCTGTTTATTGTTTCCTTTGGTATACAGAAGCATTTTAGTTTGATGTGATTCCATTTGTCTATATTTGTTTTTGCTGCATGTGCTTTTGGGATCATCTTCAAAAAGTCTTTGCCCAAACCAATGTTAAGAAGCTTATTATATTTTGTTCTTCTAGCAGTTTTATAATTTCAGGTCTATATTTTATTAATTTTGAGTTGTTGTTTTTTTTTTTTTTTTTTGAGATGGAGTCTCGCTCTGTTGCCAGGCTGGAGTGCAGTGGTGCGATCTCGGCTCACTGCAATCTCTGCCTCTGGGGTTCAAGCGATTCTCCTGCCTCAGCCTCCCGAGTAGCTGGGAGTACAGGTGCATGCTACCACGCCAAGCTAATTTTTGTATTTTTAGTAGAGACGGAGTTTCACCGTGTTGGCCAGGATGGTCTCGATCTCTTGACCTTGTGATCTGCCCACCTCGGCTTCCCGAAGTGCTGGGATTACAGGCATGAGCGACCACACCTGGCCTTGAGTTGATTTTTATATAGAGTGTGAGGTAGGGTCCAATTTCATTCTTCTGCATGTGAATATACAACTTTTTCTAGTACCGTTTTTTGAAAGACTATCCTTTTCATTGTTTGTTCTTGGCAACTTTATCAAAGATCAACTGACTGTAAATGAGTAGATTTGTTTCCTGGGCTCTCTATTCTGTTTCATTGGTCTATATGCCTGTGTTCCTGCCAGGTTCATGCTATTTTGATTACTATAGGTTTGTAGTATGTTTTGAAATCACATAATGTGATGCCTCCAGTTTTGTTCTTCTTGCTCAAGGTTGCATTAGCTCTTCGGGGTGTTTTGGGCTTCCATATAAACTTTACAATTTTTTCCAGTTCTGTTAAAAATGCCATTGGAATTTTGATAGAGATTGCATTGAATTTGTAAGTTCCTTTGGGTAGTATGGACATTTTAACAACATTATTTCTTCTAATTAATGAACATGAGATATCTTTCACGTTTTTTGTGTCTACTTCAAATTCATCAATTCATTTTTCAAATAGTTTTCAATTATAGGTCTTTTACTTCCTTGGTTAAATATTTTCTTAGTTTATTCTTTTGATACTATTGTAAATAGGATGGTTTTCTTAATTTCTTTTTCAGAGAGTTTGTTAGTGTATAGAAACAACTAATTTTTTAATGTTGATTTTGTATACTTAAGTTTTACCAAATTTGCTTATTACTTCTAACAGTTTTTTTCTGGAGGGAATCTTTAGGGTTTTCTGTATGTAAAATCATGCCATCTGCAAAGAGACAGTTTTACTTTTTCGTTTTCCAAATTGGGTGGGTTTTATTTCTTTTTTTGCCTAATTGCTCTGGCTAGGACTTCCAGTGGTATATTGATTAGAAATGGCAAGATTAAGTGTCCTTTTGTTGTTCCTAATCTTAGAGGAAAAGCTTTGAGCTTTTTAACATTGATATGATGTTAGCTGTGGGCTTGTCATATGTGAGCTTTATAATGTTAAATTTCATTTCTTCTATACCCAGTTTGTTGAGAGGTTTCTATCATGAAAGGATACTGAATTTTGTCAAATGCTTTTTCTACATCTATGTCAATGATAATGTGGTTTTTATTCTTTAATCTGTTAAAGTGGTATATCGTATTTTTTTATTTTTTGAAACATCCTTGCATCCCAGAGATAAATCCCACTTGATCATGGTGTGTGATTCTTTTAGTAAAAGACAAAAGATTTATATTATCTGAAAAGAAACCAGATATCATAGTGTATGATTCTTTTAATGTGCTGGTAAATTTATTTTGCAACTATTTTATTGAGGGATTTTGCCTATATGTATTTTTTGTGGTTTTATAAATTTGACAATTAGAAGTTAGCTCTCGTCTACACTGACTGTAGATTTTTACAAGTGGTAACAGGTACATAGGTAACCAAACTATAGAGCTTGTTTGGTGAAACTTCATCTTCAGTATATTTTCTGGACTAACACACACTGACATGATATGGGAAATTTCTTATTCCTTCTTATTTCTTATTCAGTGCACACATCTCAGGTCTCTATCTCCTTCATGGCATATTTCTGGATCATTTTGTGCGCCCAAGGGCCACACTTTTTGAAGTGAACTCCATAGATGTACTTATAAATATTGGTTGTATTTTCTTGGGTAGGTACCTCAATAATGGCAGAATAGCTCTTCTTTGTCTTGCTACCTTTGTAGGACCCAAGTTGGAAAGAAAAGTATGAGGGATTGTTTCATCTATATTCATCAAGGCTATTTTACTATAATTATTTTTTCTTGTAGTGCTTTTTTCTGGGTTTGGCACTGTAAAATGCTGGCCTTGTAAAATGAGTTCCAAAGTGTTCTTCCTATTTAATTGTCTGGAAGAGTTTGAGAAGGATTGGCATTAATTTTTCTTTACATGGTTGGTGGAATTCACCAGTGAAGCCATCTGGTCCTGGGCTTTTGTTTGTGGGGAGGTTTTTGATTACTCTTTCAGTCTCTTAACTTTAGTCTGTACAGATTTTATATTTCTTCATAATTCAGTCTTGGTAGGTTGTATGTGTGTAGGAATTAATCTCTTTCCTCTAGATTATCTTTTTTTGGGCATATAGCTGTTCACAGTATGCTCTTATGGTACTTTGTATTTCTGTGGTATTGGTTGTAATGTCCCCTCTTTCATATCTGATGTTATTTATTTGTCTTTTTTCTTGGTCTATCTAAAGATGTTTTTTAGATCTTTTTGTCTTCTCACAAAACCAACTCTTAGTTTCATTGGTCTTTTCTATTTACTTCTAGTCTCCATTTCATTTATTTTTTTCTCTGAACTTTAGTATTTCTTCCTTCTGCTAACTTTGGATTAGCTTGTTCTTTTTCTAGTTCCTTGAGGTGTAAGATTAGGTTGTTTATTTGAGTTCTTTCTTCCTCTTTGTAAATGGTTATTGCTATAAACTTTCCTCTTAGAACTGCTTTTGCTGCATTTCATAAGTTTTGTTCTGCTGTGCTTCCATTTTTGTTTGAAGATTCTATTTTTGTTTCCCTTTTGATTTCTTTTTTGACTCATTGGTTGTTTAGAAGTGTGTGGTTTAATTTCCACATATTTGTAAATTTTCCAATTTTCTTCCTTTGACTGATTTCTAGTCCCATACCATTGTGTTTGGAAAACAAATTTCCAAGTTCTTAAATTTGGTAAGACTTGTTTTGTAGCCTAACACATGATCTATTCCAGAGAATGTCTGTGTGTGCTTCAAAAGAATGTGTATTCTGTTGCTATTGGATGGAGTGTTCTATATGTCTGTTAGGTCCATTTGGTCTATAGTGTTGTTAAAATCTGCTGTTTCATTATTCACTTTCTGTCTGGATGCTCTGCCTATCATTGAAAGTGGGGTATTGAAGTTCCCTATTATTGTTTTATTGCTCTCTATTCCTCCCTTCAAATATGTTAATATTGTTTCATATATTTAGTTGCTTCAACATTGGGTACATATGTATTTACAATTGTTATATCTTCTTAATCCATTGACTGTTTTTTACTATATAATGACCTTCTTTGTCTTCTGTAGCAGTTTTTGACTTAAGGTCTCTTTTGCTTGTTGTAAGCATAACTATTCCTGCTTTCATTTAGTTATCACTTGCATAGAATATCTTTGTTAATGAATTCTTTTCTATTTTATGTGTATCTTTAAAGCTAAAGCGAGCCTCTTGTAGGCAGCAAATCATCTGAGCTTGTATTTTTAATCCATTCAGCCACTGGCTTTTGATTGGAGAAATTAACATTTACAACTCAAGTAATTATTGATAGGTAAAGACTTATTACTGCTATGTTGTTAATTGTTTACTGTTTTACAGTTTTTGTTCTTTTTCTCCTCTCTTGCTGTCCTCCTTTGTGATTTGATGATTTTTTTTTATAATAGTATGCTTTCTCTTTATCTTTTGTGAATCTACTACAAGATTTTCCTTTTGGTTACCATGGGGCTTACATAAAACATCTTCTACTTATAACAGTCTATTTTAAGCTAACAACTTCAAATGCATACAAAAACTTTTGCTTTAACTTCTCCTCCCCCTACATTTTTTGTTATTGATGTCACTAATTACAGTTTTTACACTGTGTATCTATTAAGAAATTATTATATTTCTAGTTATTTTAATTCTTTTGTTCTTTAACTCTTATACTAGAGTTAAAAGTGATTTATGAACCACTATTACAACGTTGGCATTTTCTGAACTTTACTATACTTTAAATTTTACAGTGAGTTTTATAATTTTACAGTATTAGTTAGCATCTTTGTATTTCAACTTGAATAACTTTCTTTAACATTTTTGTAAGGCTAATCTAGTGATGGTAAACTCCCTCAGATTTTGTCCGGGAAAGTCCTTATCTCACCTTTATTTCTGAAGGGTAGCCTTTTCAGGTATAGTATTCTTAGTTCACAGTGTTTTTCTTTATCAATTTGAATATATCATTTCACTCTCTTTTGGCCTGCAAGATGTCTCCTAAGAAATCTACTGATAGTATTATTATGGCGAAGGTATACTTTTGTAACTAGTTTCTTTTCTCCTATTGCTCTCAAAATTCTCTGTTTTTGACTTTTGAGAATTTGATTATAATGTGTGTCAGTGGACATTTCTTTATGTTTAATCTGTTTGAGGTTTTTCAGGTTTCATGGATCTGGATGTGTCATTTCCCATTCCAGATTGGGATAGTTTGCTGTCATTACTTTAAATAATCTTTCTACCCCATCTCTTGTTCTCCATTTTCTGTTACTTCCATAGTGTGTGTATTGGTTCTGCTGATGATGCCCCATTAAGTTCTGTAGACATTCTTTAATCTTTTTCATTCTTTTTTCTTTTTGTTCCTCTGACTGGGTAATTTCAAAGGACCCAGTTTCAAGTTCACTGATTCTTTCTTCTGCTTGATCCAGTCTACTATGGAAGTTCATTTGTGTTCTTCAACTCCAGAATTTCGGTTTGGTTCTTTATTACGGTTTTATCTTTTTGTTGAACTTCTCAATTTCTTCATATAGTGTTTTCTTAGTGTTATTGAGTTGCCTATCCATGCACCCCTTTACCTCATGTGGACCCCCATTTTTTTAAGGTCGGTTACTGGTGCTTTATTTTATTCCATTTGTGGTGTCATGTTTCTTTAATTATTTCTGATCCTTGTGGTCTTGAATTGGTGGCTTTGCATTTGAGAAAGTAGCCACTTCCAGTCTTTGTAGATTGGCTCTTTATGCAAGGCCCTTCACCAGTCAGCCCATCCTGAGATTCTGGGCAAGCCTGTTCTTTGGGTCCACTGGTGGGTGTGTCTGGTACCTGAGTCCACAGGGGCCAGTCTGGTTTCTGAGTCTATGGAGGCAGGCCTGGAGCTAGGTCCACTGTGGGGGGAGCTTGTGCATGTATGAGTAGGCCTGATGCTTGGGGCTATGGAGGCCAGCCTGACACTAGGGCCTGGAGGCTGGGTTGATGCTATGGTCTGTAGTAATGTCAGGTGCTCCCTTGACTCTCCTTTCCCCATGTGGGAAGTATAAGCATACCTCATTGTATTGTATCTCACTTCATTGTGCTTCATAGATATTGTAGTTTTTACAGATTGAAGGTTTGAGGGAACCCTGCATCAGGCAAATCTATTGGCACTGTTTTTTCCAACGTCACATGCTTACTTTGTGTCTATCTGTCAGCATTTTTTAGCAATAAAGTATTTTTTTAAAATAGGGAATGTGCGTTGTTTTTTAGACATAAAGCTATTGCATACTTAATATACTACAGTATAATGTAAACATAACTTTTATATTAACTGGGAAACCTGAAAACTTGTGTGATTTATTTTATTGTGATATTTGTTTTATTGCAGTGGTCTGGAACTGAACTTGCAATTTCTCCAAGATATGTCGGTATCTCTCTCCATGCTGTGCTGCGTGGGCTTTGGGAGCGGTGATGTGGACCATTTGAAATTGTCCTTGCTACCTCTTTAATGCATATTTTTATATTTCTATGCTCCACCCAAGTGCTGTAGTCTCTCAACTGCCTTCTTTTTGTTCTTCAGCTTTTATGAAGCTATTTTCAAGTGTGAGTAGTTGTCCAAATTCATGTTTCTTGAGGGAACAAGTGACTTGTTTGTAAGTTGACTTGTATATCTTTTTATAGCTGAGATTTTATCCTGTGATCTTACTAACTCAGGAATTTTTTGGAGATTCTTTGCAGTTTTCTAAGTAGAATAACCATATTATATTTATTATTATTTTCCTTCTTACTTTGGTTTTAATTTGCTCTTTTTTTACATGTTTTCTGAGTTAGAAACTTAGGTTATTGATTTGATACCCTTATTCCTTTATAACATATGCATTTGATTGTGTAAGTTTTTCTCTAAGCACTGCTTTAGTGCATCCCACAAATTTTGATCTGTTGTATATTTTTTATTTACTTTAATATATCTTCTAATTTTCTTTTGACTTTATCTTTGACCAATGAAATATTCAGAAATGTGTAATTTCTAAATATTTGGGAGATTTTCTAAATATTTCTCTGTTACTGCTTTCTAGTTCAACTCCACTATGGTTAGAGAACACACTTTGAATGTTTTAAATCTGTTAAGATTTGTTTTATGACTTAAGACACAGTTGGTATTTGTGAATGTTTCATGTGCACTTGAAAACAATGTTTATTCTGCTTTCATTGGGTCAGGTGGTCTAAAAATGGCATTTAAGTTAATTTGGTTGATAGTGATTTTCAGGTATTATATATCCTTCCTGATTCCTGCCTAGTTGTTCTAATGATTACTGACAGAAGACTGTTGAAATCTCCAATTACACTATTATTTTTGTATTTCTACCTTTACCTCTATAATTTTTGCTTTAGTATTGTCACAATATTTTGTTGGGTGCATACCAATTTAGTATAGCTATGTATTTTTGGTAGATTGGCACTTTTAACCATTATACAATGTCCCTCTTGGTCCTTGGTAACTTTCCTTCATTGGAATTCTACTTTTTTTGATATTAATATGACAATTCTAGCATTCTTTTGGTTAGTATTTGCATGGTATGTCCTTTTCTATTATTTAGCTTTTAGCCAAGCTGAGTGTTTTTATTTAAAATGGGTTTCCTGCGACTAAAAATCATTCTAATCTTATTAGATTATCTAATAACCTAATTATCTCTCTATTGGCTGAACTTAGTCATGGGATAGAACCTACTTTCAGGGAAGGTTGCATAATACAGTCCTTTATCTGGCCATATTGCCTGCACACTTAAATGTAACCATGCACCTGTATATACACACATTCACATATATCTGTGTTTTGTTTCTAAAGAAAAGGTGAGAGTGGGTGTTTGTATAAGCATCTAGCTATTTCTGCTTTCATATGCTTTTGGTATTTGTAAACTGTCTTTACCTGTAAAATAAGGACATTTCTAACCATTATTTCACTTCTAGAATAATTAATTTATCTGATCATTTTATATAACATTTTAAGTGTCTTGTTAATTTTTTTGTTGAAGTTATTCAATATGTATTGAATATAAAAACACATCATTCCTAGTAAATTATAGGGAGATAATTTTGTCTTTGTTTAAAAAAATAAGCTTGCTTTCTCAAGGGGGGCTTAATATTTCAAATTTCATAGCAGCCATTTATTGTCAGCAACTTAAAGACTGTTTCTGTTTTAAGAATACATTTTTCTTCGAAATAAAGTCAGAAATTGGAGCATCAGCCATCTTACATATCTCCCCATGCAGTATAAATTAATTTCCAGACTTTCGGGGACAAACTTTCATCCTAGAAAACCGGAGTGTCAGCAGTGAGCTAGGGAGAGCAGTGGGCTGTTACATGACACCACTGTTCAAAGTGTCAGGTCACATGTAGCACTTTATGAGTTCCCCCTTTCCTGACTGAAACAAACTATTTTAATACATTTCTAAAAAACCAAAAAATACAAAATACTCTTTTAATACAACATGCATATATGTTTACTATGACTAAATATATTATGCCTCTTCCTGTCAAACAGCATCCAATGTGGTGAAATGAAAAACAATAAATCTGGGCTGGGTGTGGTGACTCATGCCTGTAATCCCAGCACTTTGGGAGGCTGAGGCGGGTGGATCACCTGAGGTTGGGAGTTTGAGACCAGCCTGACCAATGGGGAGAAACCCCGTCTCTACTAAAAATACAAAATTAGCTGGGCGTGGTGGCGCATGCCTGTAATCCCAGCTACTCGGGAGGTTGAGGCAGGAGAACTGCCTGAACCCGGGAGGTGGAGGTTGCAGGGAGCCAAGATGGCACCATTGCACTCCAGCCTGGGCAACAAGAGTGAAACCCCGTCTCAAAAAAATAAAAACAAAAATAAAAACAAAAACAGTAAATATTATATATCAGCATTTGTGATATTTATTCCTTCTGTTTAGTTATTTGCCTCTAGATTGAAGCATTCAAAACAGAAAATTATATTCAGAGTAAAAACTCTTAGCTGGATAATGGAACCTATCATTTTAAGTTTTTCCTATATTTCCTAAAAATACCTATATTAGGTATATTTTTTCCAATATTACTCCTTATCTTTACCTTAGTTCCCTTTCATTTTTGATTGTCATTGTGCTCTCAGCTACACCTGAAAATTTCTCTGATTTTTCCCAAGTTGGGAAATTAATCCACTTTAAATTCCATTAAAGTTTGAAACTCTTTTTCCATTGTCTTGTGGTTTTATTTGTACATTTTAATTTACTGTAATTTTAAAATGTCTCTTTCTAGTTTTGACAAATGTCATACTTTTCCTTGGAAAATTAACATCTACCAAAAAATTACTTCTTAAGCTACATTTATATATCATATATATATATAGTTCTTAATAGTAAATAAAGATATTTGGTTAATAACAGATTTACACATTTTCTAAAGCTGCTCTAAACAAATGTATAAATATGAACT
Source organism: Homo sapiens (assembly GCF_000001405.40). Classification (NCBI taxonomy): domain Eukaryota; kingdom Metazoa; phylum Chordata; class Mammalia; order Primates; family Hominidae; genus Homo; species Homo sapiens. The sequence continues at coordinate 17,115,344 of NC_000009.12, forward strand.
AAGTATAGTGATTTAGATGGGGGGGAAGTTTACAAGAAGATGGCAAGAAATAGGCCAGGTGTGGTGGCTCACGCCTTTAATCCCAGCACTTTGGGAGCCCAAGGTGGGCGGATCAGGAAGTCAAGAGATGGAGATCATCCTGGCCAACATGGCAAAACCCCTTCTGTATTAAAAATACAAAAATTAGCTGGGAATGGTGGCGTGCACCTGTAGTCCCAGCTGCTTGGGAGGCTGAGGCAGGAGAATCACTTGAACCCAGGAGGTGGAGGTTGCAGTGAGCCGAGATCACTGCATTTCAGCCTGGTGACAGAGCGAGAATCCGTCTCAAAAAAAAAAAAAAAAAAAAGATGGCAAGAAATAAACCCAAAACGGTCATTTCCGAGACTCACAGGTTATTACCAAAATCTATATGTATAAATAAATTCTTGTTTCCATTTTAAATTATGCTATTTTATATATTTTCTTCATACATAGAGATAAAATGCACAAAATAAAGATATAGCATGTAAATCTGAAATAAATTTGCTGTTCTGAAGATGTAGAATGATTATTAAAGGTAAGTGAGATGCTTAAAATTTCATAACCTGGAATGAGAGATAAACAAAAAAAATAAGTGGTTGACAGAGGACTACTTACAGTTATGGCCTCAGCCTCTTAATATTATTTTCAGTTAATACAATTCAGACAGAAGCAGAAATTTTTAATTTAGACCACAGAAACAAATCAAATGGCATAAAACAAATGTCATACAAAATAATTATTGAATGTCATGGCAAGTAAAAATTTTATGAGGCTCTGAATTGACTCCGACTTAAATAAACACAGGAGGATATAGAAAAGGGAAGTCCAAGAGAAAGTGATCAGCACATAATTATTATAAAAGAAGGGCAGACTTTCAAATAATTGCCATGCCATGAAGTAATTTCCATTATTTCACAAACATTTAATTAATGTTTTCCCTAGCATGACGATAGGCCTATAATGACTGCCTCTTATACACTGTTATTTTGTTTGGGCTAGACAGTAATTATGAGAGGTAAAGTTTCACCCAACATGATAAAAGTTTATTCAGCTGAAATTAAATAAGGATGCTGTTAAAGACTTGCTTCTGGAAAATGCCAAAGCCGAGAATGTCTAGACAAATCTTGAAAGAACACGTAATTTTCTGTAATTTTACACATGTACAGCAGAGGGCACTAATATAATTATAGTAGTTAGTCCTTATGGGAGTAATTATCTGTGAATCTGGGATTCACCGGAAGTAGTAAACTAGAAAGTTTTTCTCATCTTTATCGATGAATAGTTTCCTCCTATCTAAATAGGGAAATTCTGTGCATGAAATTTACTTAATTTTTATAGCTGAAGGGCCATAATAATAGAGAGTTAATGTTGATTATTCCCTAAGAAATCAACAACACAATGAGTGATCTTTGAGCATCATAAACCAGCTTCCTCAGAAGGCCAATAACACTCTATCAACTTTTCTCCCTCTTCCTCTTGCTCTCACGTAGCTACACTCACCTAGCTACATTTTCTCCCAAAACACCATCCCAGAAATCTGAAAGTGGAAAAACTTTTGGCTATGTTAGCAGCTTTTTATGATACAGTTGAAGCACTGTTTGTAATGATCTCCACGAGGTGATGGAAACTTTGAGACAAGTGGAAAAGAAAAAGACCAACAATTTGCTGTTACAAAAGAATGAGAAAGCTAACCAAAATCATACTCAAAAATGTTGTTTCATCACAAAGTGGGAGAACAGATGGTCAAAACAGTTTCTCATTTTCCGGGTTAAATTAATAGAAAAATTGCTACACTATGCAAAGCATAGAGTGTGTATCATAGAGAAAATTATCCCTTGATATATTAATTTAAGTGTACTAGATGCATGGTAATACAGATGTGACCACAGCAAGTGCCTTGCTTTCCAGAGCTGAAAGTCTAGTGGTAGAGAGCAGACGTACTAACACATACTCACTTATAAATTAGGTAAAATGTGGTGAGTCCTGAGAGTGTGGGGAATAAAGTATGGCTCTGGGAACCTCTAGGAGCCAGAAAGGGCCTGCAGAAACAACGACATTTAAATTGGGCTTTAAAGAATGGGTAGGCATTTTATTAGCTAAAGAAGTGGTGAAAAAATCTACCAGGAAGGTAGAAATTGCTCGTGCCAAGGCTTAGAGGCATGAAAGGCTAATCCCAAAATAAACACATCTCTAGTTTTCAAGGGAACATCCAACTGGAAGCCACGATTGTATATTAGGTAGAAAGTAATTTTATTATGCTATTAAAGTAATTCACTGTGGATGCTTAAGAAATTTAAAAGGGGAGTTAGCTTTGAATTTTAACAGAAGACTTTGTTATTCCCAGAGTGTCTTTAATTGTATGTGGGTATATGGAAGTAGGGAGAGTATTTGTTTCAATGCTTGCTTTTTACTACAGCATTTTCCTATTTTGAGAAGCTGACAGGAGTCAGGAACTTGGCAGCTTGTTTCTGAAAGATTGTTGCTCTTGATTCTAGAAATTTCTGATTACTAGTGCTTAGCTGGTGTTATGGTACATCGACTCTGGGAAACATTTTATTTTATAACCAGAAATTGTAGAGGTAATATATATTATTTTTGTTTGTTTTTTATTCTGGTTACTGCATTACTGTTGAAAAATTAGTTATGGTCAGTTATACGGTCAGAAGCAAGTGTCCTAAGATGGTGAAAATGAGAACTATTTTGAGATCAAGAATTACTATGGAGCCAATTACACATATGATTATGGCCTGTGCATATTTAAGGGCCTATGAAAATATTTGAGACCTGAAAAATAATTTATTGGCCTTGAAATACTAAAAAGTGGCAAAATAAAAAGTAATATATATCTAATTAAGTGTTCATAAATACGACTAACCACTTAGCTTCATCTTAATCCTTTCCTAGCTATCTTAAACATTTTAATGTGCGATCTAATGCATTTTGTATGTTTGATGTGGTAAGGCCTCTAAAATTAAATGGTCTTCAAGCTCTTCATATTTATATATCTCTGCTCATTCTATTCATTGCATCCATATCATTTTACATTTCCATACTGTTCCAGGAATCCTAAATTACAAGTATCTACCCAATTGTTTCTAGGGAGACAGCAGGAGACCGCTCCTGTCACAGAAGCCACAGGCCCCAACACTTGGCCTTGATCCCATTTCATTTTTGTTAGTGGGGGCTGGTTAACAGTAACCCAGTTCCCTATGACACTGCTTAGCCCAGGAATCATGTCTGTTTCTGGGAGGTCAAAGAACCAAGAAATGTCAATGAATCATATTTCAGTTTACAGATAAATTTTAAGTTATTTCATAGGAGATATACATCAGTTGCCAACTTACATGTTACCTACAATATGTTTCTTTTAAATTTGCTTTCTAAAGCTTAGAATTCAATGAAACGTATTACATGTTTTTTGTAATCGAAACGTGTTACAAATCATTAGTAATTTTTTAGTTTGACCCACAAAATCTCATGGATACATAATATATCTGTATTAGGGTTCTCTAAAGGGACAGAACAAATAGGAGATCTATCTATCTATATCTATATCTATCTATAGATATATCTATGAATCTATAGATGTAGATATATCTATAAATAATAGCTATAGATATATAGATATATACAGATATGTAGATATATATCTATAAATAATAGATATCTATAATAGATATATATCTATAAATAATAGATATCTATAATAGATAGATATATATCTATAAATAACAGATATATAAATAACAGATATATATAATATATATATAATATATAATATATATAATATATATTATATATATATAATATATATATTATAATATATATAATATATATATAATATATATCTATAAATAATAGATATCTATAATAGATATATATCTATAAATAATAGATATCTATAATAGATAGATATATATCTATAAATAACAGATATATATAAATAACAGATATATATAATATATATATAATATATAATATATATAATATATATTATATATCTATAACTTATAGACATCTAGCTATTATGGATATCTATTATTTATAGATATATATCTATATATCTATATATGTCTATTATCTATGTATAGATAGATATCTGTCTATAAATATAGATATCTATCTATAATTATAGATAGATATCTATAAATAATTATATATCTATAATTTATAGATATATATCTAAAAATTATAGATATAGATATAGATAGATATAGATATATAAAGTGGAGTTTATTAAGTATTAACTCACATGATCACAAGGTCCCACACTAGGCTTCTGCAAGCTGAGCAGCAAGAAAAGCCAGTCTGGGTCTCAAAACTGAAGAACTTGGAGTTCGATATTCCAGGGCAGGAAGCATCCAGCAGAGGACAAAGATGAGACTGGGAAGCTAGGCCCATTTAGTCTTTTCACGTTTTTCTGCCTGCTTTATATTCTGGTCACGCTGGCAGCTGATTAGGTAGTGCCCACCCAGAGTAAGGGTGGGTCTGCCTTTCCCAGCCCACTGACTCAAATGCTAATCTCCTTTGGCAACACCCTCACAGACACACCGAGGATCAATATTTTGCATCCTTCAAACCAGTCAAGTTGACACTCAGTATTAACCTTCACAATACCTAATTTATTTTAACCACAATTTCAACATTGTTTAAAATATAGTTTCTCCCAAAATAATTAAAAGCAGAGGCTGAAACAGCTACTTAAACACCAATGTTCATAGCAGCATTATATGCAATAGGCAAAAGATGAAAACAACCCAAATGTCCATCAGCAGGTGAGTGGACAGAGAAAATGTAGTGTATAAGATAATGAAATGTTATTCAACCTTATAAAAGATTGAAATTCTGATGCATGCTACAATGTGGATGAACTTTGAAAATATTATGCCAAGTGAAATACATCATACATCAAAAGACAAATATTTCATAATTCTTCAAACATAAGGTACCTGGAATAGACAAATTCAAAGGGGCAGTAAGTATAAAACAGTAGGGGTTGGAGAAAGAGGGTAATGGAGAGTTAATGTTTAATGGATAGAGAGTTTCTATTTGGAATGATGAAAAAGTTCTGGAAATTGATCCTGGTGATGGCTACACAATATTGTGGATATATTTAATACTACTGAGTTGCACACTTAAAAACGGTTAAAATTGTGAATTTTATATTAGATATGTATCCTACCACAGTAAAAAAAAATAGTTCCCAAAAAATAAACTCTTTCTTGATTTCCATCTCCAAAAACCAGGAGCCTAGCTTCTCAAATATGGAACAGGGAAAGATGCTTCCAGCAATTGCAGTGATAGTAGGGTTTGGTATGAAAAAGAATTTTACATTTTTCTAATTCTGTGTGTTTAAAGAAAATGTAATAAGTTACACCAGAATTAGAGTTCATACTTTATAAGCTTGGCATCCAGAGCCATGCCCCATGCTAGCCCTTCAGTTTCCTTTCCCAGTACCCTCTGCTTCTCTCCCCAACATCACTAACACTGTAAGAAAGAGTGGTTGCTCCTACCTGATTAAGTGGGAAGGGCAGGAAAAATGGAGTAATGGGAAAGCAAGGCTATGGCCAGAACAACATGGGAGCTGTGATTTGAAAGAGTGAACTGCCCCTGCTTTTATTGTTTGTTTAGTGTGGGAAAGATGGAGGCAAAATCATGAATTAGAAGAATTTTAAGTAAAATTTATCTGACTGTGTGTGTTTGATACTATTGGTTTCCAACTGTAGCAGACACTTTAGGCTATCTTGCTAATATGGCCTGTCTTCCTCTTTCTTATTAAGAGAACACTAATTTTTGTTTGGGATCATAATGTGTTCACTTAAAAAAAACTTGCTTTTCCATCTCTCTTTCAATTAGGTGTGGCCCGATAATGTAGTTTGGTCAGTGAGATATAAGTGGAAATCTAGAGAATTTGGGGAAAGCTTTTGCTTTTATGATATGAGTACATGCCCTTCCTCTTCCCCTTTGTTTAGCCAGTCATGAAGGTGTAATCCTAACAGTTATAACAACTTTTTTTCATTAAGATGGAAGTCATTTGCTCAGTTCAGTGGAGTAGGAATTTAGAAGGAGCCAGCCGGTGTTCTTTGTGATGTTGAGTAGTGTGGATTCCCTAAATCTGGGCTTCTTGTAAGGTGAGAAAATAAACACCTATGTGTTTAAGCTACTAGTAAGTAGAAGTCGCATGCATCTATTGGGGAAGGGCAGAAATTCCAGATGGAAGGAACAGAATCCCAGAGATCAGAAGTAATGGCCATGTAGGGTAGAGGGTAGGGCTGTAAAGTAAGTGGTTTATTTTGGTTGCAGCATAGAGTATGGAAGAGAAAGTAGGTGTAAATAATATTAAAAAACAGTGTTGAGTCAGAAAGTAGTAGAAGGCCTGACATACTAGTTTAAATAATTGGATTTTGTTATGAAGGCAACAAGGAACCACAGAAGGTTTCTGTATTAGTCGTTCTTATGCTGCTGTGAAGAAATACCTGAGACTGGATAATTTATAAAGAAAAGAGGTTCAATTGACTCACAGTTCTGCATGGCTGGGAAGGCCTCAGGAAACTTACAATCATGGCACAAGGCACCTCTTCACGGGGTGGCAGGGGAGAGAATGAGTGCTAGCAGGGGAAATGCCAGATGCTTATAAAACCATCAAATCTCGTGAGAACTCACTCGCTATCACAAGAACAGCATGGGAGAAACTGCCCCCATGATTCAATTACCTCCCACCAGGTCCCTCCCACAACACGTGGGGATTATGGGAACTAAAATTCAAGATGAGATTTGGGTGGGGACACAGCCAACCTGGATCAGTCTCTGTTTTGCAGAGTGCCATGCTGAGAGCTGTGCTTAGTTAAGCAAGGATTGGCTGTAGTAGTTCAGTTGGGTGAGAACAAGACTATTTTAGTAATCTAGGTTAGAATGAATGAAGGTCTGAACTGGGGCAGAGGTAGTAGGAATAGATGGGAAGTGTGAGTAGTGGGCAAAATATTTAAGGCAAAGTGGACAGATACTGATATGTGGAGTGAATGGAGGGAGTCTTCCTACTTCTGACTTTCATATTTTGATAATTGAATAGAAAATATACAGGTTGGCTTGGCATCCTGATTTCTTTCTTTTAGAATAAAATGAGAAAAAGATATTATAGTTGAAGATTTCTTTCTAAAGACCGAAACCCTGATATATGGCCTTTTTTTTTTTTTTTTTTTTTTTTTTTTTTTTTTTTTGAGACGGAGTCTCGCTGTGTTTGTGTTGCCCAGCCTGGAGTGCAGTGGCGCGATCTCAGCTCACTGCAAGCTCCGCCTCCCGGGTTCTGCCTCCTGAGTAGCTGGGACTACAGGCGCCCACCACTACGCCTGGCTAATTTTTTGTACTTTTAGTAGAGACAGGGTTTCACAGTGTTAGCCAGGATGGTCTTGATCTCCTGACCTCGTGATCCGCCCGCCTCAGCCTCCCAGAGTGCTGGGATTACAGGCGTGAGCCACCGTGCCCAGCCGATATATGGCCTTTATTTGTCTTCCTCCTGATTTCAAAATTACCTTGGTCAAGATTTTAATGAAACAAATCCTTTGGAACATAGACTACAAGAGGTTAGAGATGTTTTCTTCACTGCTGTTTCTGCAGCACCTAGAAGAGTGCCTGGCACATAGTAGGCCTTAAAAAAGTGTTTGTTGAATAAATTAATGAATGGATTATTCATTATCTTTGGAAATTTCTTAGAAATGCAGTTGTTTTTTATTTAATGATATTAGTGATTTTTAGGTCAGAAAAGGACTCAAAGGATTGCCTGACCTAGTCTGTTCATTTTAAACAAAAGGAACTGGATTCACAGGGAATTATGGTATACAGATGTCGTAGTTTTGCTTGTGTATATGTGTTATATTTCTAGGGACCAGTAAACCAAAAAGAGAAAATAATCAATACCTATGTGCCCATTCTGTTTAGGACCATCTTCGAATTAATAAGTACATATTTCTTAGCTTCTGTATTTCTAATACTGTTGAAAATGTGATAGGACATTTTAAAAGGAGACTGAGACCTGATCCTCATCTTCAAAGAAATTACAGTTTAGTTAAGGAGGTAAGATTAAGGCATATGAAATATCTATAATGCAATCAAGAACTATAATTGGGTAGGAATGGGTAGGTGAGTTCAGGAAAGGGAGCGATTAATGTGTCTTACAGACTGTTCTGTGAAAATTTTAAAAATATATTTATATAAGAACATAGAATGATGACATTTATCAAATAACAAGCTAGCACGATAGCTAGCTTAATAATGCTTAATAAGAATTTAATTATAGCTAATATTTATTGAGCATCTGCTATGAAACAGGGAAACAATAAAACAGTATTTACTGACTTTGTTGCTTTTGATCCATAATGCCCCATTAAGCTTGTTTTAATCCTTATTTTTAGGTTAGGTAATGTTCAAAATGTTAAATAATAGATAAGTCATGAGTCCATGCTTCAAATTCAGATTTAGGCTCTTACCTACTACTACATCACACTGCCTCGATAGCTTTAAAAAGGATAAATGTAACCTTCTACATTTATATATTTAGTATGAAGCACCTCATCCTTTTGGAGTACAAATATGGTCACTTATCCTTATGATAATCAAAGTAAATATTCAAGACCCCATCAGCACAATTAACAAGATGCTCATTCTCTGTTTTGAAGCTTCCCCCTTCTGTTGTCTAGAGTCTAATTCTGACTAAAGAGGCTCATTATGATTCCAACAGCAAGAGGAGAAGAGGTCTGGAGATGTTCCTATTTTGAAAGTTCTAATTTCCAACTGTCATTGCTTCCATGGCAGCTTTGTCTATGGCTGAGAACTGACCCTGCACAGTTGGATGCAACTTTCTTGTCTGAAGTAGTAATGGCACCCTTACTGGTACAGAACCCTACACAGATCACATCCATTCTCTTTAGGGGGAGATTATCCCACACTCTCCAGCTGCATGCTGGACCAAGTACAGTTACCCTCGAACTTCCAAGTTTACAGCTCTTTGGTTTACATTCAACTGCTCAGTCATTGTCCTCAAACAGATATGGGGAAAGTTAATTGACAAACAAGTAAGCAACTTAACAAACAACAACATAGAGAACGTAATAGGTGCTAAAAAGGAAAGAAAAGGGTGATGTGACGGAGACTATCTGGGCAGGTACTACTTTCATTAAGTCAGTTAAGGGGGGCCCTCTGAAGAGGTAGAATGTGAGCTGAAATCTATAAGATGAGAAGGAATCAACTATTCAGAAAGTCTACGGTGTGAATGGAAAATACAAAACACCAGAGGTACAAAGTTGCTTGGTATGTTCGGTGACAAGAGTCAACTTGAATTTCCAGTGTAAGTCATGCACTATGATCAAAACTGGCCCTCACTCTACAAGCTCTTTCAGTCAAGTACTCTATCTGGGCTACTAACCCAGACTTTCCCTTCTCTCATGGGCCCATTTCTACCCCTCGGCCTCAGTCAGGACCATCTCAGTTCACTAGATCTAAAACAATGTTTAGACCAAGTGCGGTGGCTCACATCTGTCCCAGCACTTTGAGAGGCCAAGGCAGAAGGATTGCTTGAATCCAGGAGTTCAAGAGCAGCCTGAGTAACATGTCGAGACCTCATCTCTATAAAAAATCCAAGAGTTAGCCAGGTGTGGTGGCACGTGCCTGTGGTTCCAGCTACTCAGGAGGCTGAGATGGGAGGATTGCTTGAGCCTGGGAGGTTGTGGCTTCAGTAAGCCGTGATCGCACCACACCTCTGCACTCCAGCCTGGGTGACAGAGTGAGACCCTGTCTCAACAACAACAACAACAACAAATAAAACAATGTTAAGTCTCCAAGAAGAAGAGGACTTGATGCCTTTCCTTAAAAACACTATGGGTCTCATGCATATTTATCTAACTGCTATATACCTGTGAGTTCTACACACCTTACCACACATATGCTGATGACTTCCAAATGTATATTTTGAGATCAGAATCTCTTCCAAGAAGTTCATGTTTGTGTGTTATTTTGCCTACTCAACATCCGTAATTAGAAGTCTCTTAACAGTTCAAATTCGGTATATCTCACAGGGAACTTTTTTTTTTTTTTTTTTTTTTGAGACAGGGTCTTGCTGTATAACCCAGGCTGGAGTGCAGTGGCTCAATCTCAGCTCACTGCAGTCTCCACCTCCTGGGTTCAAGTGATTCTTTTGCCTCAGCCTCCTGAGTAACTGGGACTACAGGCACATGCCACCACACCCAGCTAGTTTTAGTATTTTTAGTACAGACGGGGTTTCACCATGCTGGCCAGGCTGGTCTTGAACTCCTGACCTTAGGTGATCTGCCAGTGCTGGCCTCCCAAGGTGCTGGGATTACAGGCGTGAGCCACCGTGCCTGGCCTCAAAGGGAACTATTGATTCCCTGCTTCTAATCCTGTTTATCCAATAGTCTTCACCATCTCAATTTATGGTACCTTCAACTATTCAGATTCCCAAACCAAACTCTGGCAGTCAGAGCAGATACTTCCTTTGCCCTCTTCTTTCACACCCAATCCATCAATAAGTCCCATCAGCTTAACCTTTGTAATCCATCCTGAATACCATCAATCTCTCTTTTCCCTCTGCAAACACCCTGGTCCAAGCCATCATTACCTCTTGCTTGGACTGGTCTTCCTGCTTCTGTTCTCCTTCCCTTAACCCCAGAATCCATTCTCTCCACAGCAGAGTGGTTTTTCATTAATGTAGTGAAATAATATCTCTCCTCTGCTTAAAATCTTTCACTCATTTCCGATTAGTCTTAGAATAAAGTCCAAACTCATTCCTTCATCTTACACCACATTTCCTTTCACTTTTTCTGGTTCTAGCCATACTTACCTTTGTTCTGTTTTTAGAACATACCAAGCAACTTTGTACCTCTGGTGTTTTGTATTTTCCATCCACACCCTAGACTTTCTGAATAGTTGGTTCCTTGTCATCTTTCAGATTTCAGCTCACATTCTACCTCTTCAGAGGGCTCCCCCTTAATTGACTTAATGAAAGTAGTACCTGCCCAGATAGTCTCCGTCACATCACCCTTTTCTTTCCTTTTTAGCACTTATTACATTTTCTATGTTGTTGTTTGTTAAGTTGCTTACTTGTTTGTCAATTAACTTTCCCCACATGAGTTCATGAAGGTAGGAACTGGTTGGCCTTGGCTTTTCTGTAACTCCAATGTTAAGCTCCTAGCACATATTAGGTATGCCACACATAATTTTATTAACTACTGACTAAGTAAATAATTGTGTGACATCTTTTGTGCATCCCAGAAGCACAAAAGCATAGGATATTTTTTGACAGCTTAACTCAGTGATTCTCAATTCTGCGTGCATGTTAGACTTATCTGGGGAACTCTTTTTTTTTTTTTTTTTTGAGATGAAGTCTCGCTCTGTCACCCACGCTGGAGTGCAGTGGTGCAATCTCGGTTCACTGCAAGCTCCGCCTCCCAGGTTCACACCATTCTCCTGCCTCAGCCTCCCGAGTAGCTGGGACTACAGACGCCGGCCACCATGCCTGGCTAATTTTTTTGCATTTTTAGTAGAGATGGGGTTTCACCATGTTAGCCAGGATGGTCTCGAGCTCCCGACCTTGTGATCCACCTGCCTTGGCCTCCCAAAGTGCTGGGATTACAGGTGTGAGCCACCGCGCCTGGCCTCATCTGGGGAACTCTTAAAAATAAAATAACAATGCTGGGTCCCATACCACATCCATTGAAACATAATCTCTGGAGATGGGACCCAGGTAACATTCTTTTAAAAGCTCCTTTGTGTGATTCTTATCTACAACCATCACAAGGGAACCAGGGGTAACCATCATTCCTTTTTCTTTAAACCCCAGGTCAGCTTCTTTATCTTATTTAAGTCTTTCAGCATGATTTATATTGGGGATTTTCTTGTGGATCACAAAACTTGTTCCCTTGCCACGTGGGTATTTTATCCACTTGGGGATCAGCTTCTTTGAGATTGCAGGATAATAGGCATTTCCTGGGAAATGGCGTGTAAGAATGTGTTATCCCTCACAATCTATAAAGCGCTGCAGTGTTCAGATTTCACTCAACCTTTTGATTTATGTTCATACCTTCAATGTCCTTGTTGTCTGATAGTCTCCCAGATATCTCCATGGTGTGCTTCCCAGTCAGTTGAGGTGCTTGCTTAGATATTCTTTATTAGAAATGCTTTTCTTGACTAGTCTACCTAAAATGGCACCTTACCACTGTTATTACTCACTGTTCTTCCTTGCTTTTTAAAATATATAACATCACTAATTAACAATATATTTATCTGTTTATGATATGTTTTCTCCTAGTAGAGTATAAGCTCTGCCAAAGCAAGAATTGTGACTGTTTTGTTCATTGCTGTATTCCTAGAAGTGTTCAATAAATACTTGTTAAAAGAGTTAAGGAATGAGTAAAGAACATTGTTCTGGCAAGGGGTCCCCAAATTGACTGCATTTATCCTTTTCTGCCTTTTTCTCTTCCCAAGGAATTTGCTGTAGAAGTTTGCTACATCAGAAAACATTGTTTGGGAAAAAGAAATTTTGGTGGCATCAGGTACCTTTTTTTTTTTTTTTTTTTTTTTTTGAGACGGAGTCTCGCTCTGTCGCCCAGGCTGGAGTACCGTGGTGCGATCTCGGCTCGCTGCAAGCTCCGCCTCCCGGGTTCACACCAGTCGCCTGCCTCAGCCTCCCGAGTAGCTGGGACTTCAGGCGCCCACCCCCACGCCCGGCTAATATTTTGTATTTTTAGTAGAGATGGGGTTTCACCGTGTTAGCCAGGATGGTCTCCATCTCCTGACCTCGTGATCCGCCCGCCTTGGCCTTCCAAAGTGCTGGGATTACAGGTGTGAGCCACCGCGCCTGGCCACCAGGAACCGGTGTTTCTTAACAGTTTCATTTCCCACCAACAGTAGTTAGCATACTGCTACTATGTGATCAATTTATCTCAAATATTAATTTTGATATCTGATACTCCACAAAAACATTCTCTGTTCATAGCAAAGCACTGTCTACTAAAGTGAGATATTAGTAACTACCATGAGGAATGTCCATTAATTGCTGAAGGCAAGAATTTCTGTGGCTTATAGAAAGCTAGCTGGTAGACATTTATCAAGTGATTCCTGTGTTAGGGCACTGTGATAGGTATCATCAGTGATACAGAAAAAAAAAAGCATTTTCTTCCATGTAGGATCTTATAATCTCTAAATATATACAAATATAGAGCTACCAATCACATGTAAATGAAATGTGAGAAGAATTATACAATTATAAAAGAGATGCAAAATATAAAATTAATGCAAAAGACATTGAGTACCTATTATCTTGGAATATATAATATTTAGGATAATCAGAATTACCTAGTGTAGTCTAGACCTTCTGGAAACTGGGTTTAATGAAGAATATGAAGATGATAAAGAAAGTACATAGACACATTCCCTTTGGTGCTTGTAGAGGGGTTTCTGTTTAAAAGCCTAACTCTTTGCCTAACTCTTGCCTGAATTCTTTTCCCTCTACTTTGTAGTGTGTGATTCACTTTTTCTATTTTGTGGGCTTGTTGTAAATTAATGTCCAACCAGCTTCCATGAGAACAACATAAGAGTTGTTACTTTGAATCATTTATTGTCTATAATAGGATGCAATTTGGGCCGCATCCCAATTGTTGCTTATTAGACTACCTTGGCCTCTTGAGCTAGATATATCATGTTTGCCCCTCTAGATTGTTTCCTGATGTTTCCCACCCTGCTCCACGTCCTGGTGGGCTGACCTGTAAGAACTGGTTGGGTTCAGCAAGTGGAGTACAGGAGGAGGTGGGTATGAGGGAAGAAGTTGGAGCATTTGTTTCCCTGGGTCCGAATTTCCAGAGTCTGTGCCTCTCACCAGGCAGCTGTCTGTACCCAGCCCTTCTGTCTCCTGGTACCATTAGCTGCTCTTTCTCTCATCCCTTCAAGCCTAGGGTGCTAACATTTCCTATCCTTTAAGAAGTCTCAGGGTGGCCGGCCGCTGTGGCTCACGCCTGTAATCCCAGCACTTTGGGAGGCAAAGGTGGGCGGATCACGAGGTCAGGAGATGGAAACCACAGTGATACCCCGTCTCTACTAAAAATACAAAAAAAAATTAGCCGGGGGCGGTGGTGGGTGTCTGTAGTCCCAGCTACTCGGGAGGCTGAGGCAGGAGAATGGCGTGAACCCGGGAGGTGGAGGTTGCAATGAGCCGAGATCAAGCCACTGCACTCCAGCCTGGGCGACAGAGGGAGACTCCGTCTCAGAAAAAAAAAAAAAAAAAGAAGCCTCAGGCTATGGTGTGTTTCTCTCAGTCCTACTCTTACCTTTGTAATTAGTCCTTGTTTCAACTGTTCCTTGAAGTACTCAATGAGTTGCCATTAACTTCGTGTTGTACTCTGATTGATCACCTCACCAAGCAGAAAGGGAATTGACCCTCTGATGGTAAGATGACATGTATGTTCTCATCCTTGAGACTGGAATCAGTGCCTCTGTGTGGGTTACTTAAACACATTCAGTAGAAGTGGGATTCTGCCATTCAATATTGCTGCCATCTCCTTGGCCATTTGATAAAGTTTATCTCCTATTGCTAACGTGGAAGATGAGGATAAAAGTCAACTACCGGTAGGGACTAAGAAAATCAGAAAGTTTGGATTTGGCTGCTGCTATTGAAAGTCTGCTATGTGTCATAAGTGGGTATGTGACACGTCAGGATGATGTTGGGTTGGGAAAAAGTGCTCTTTCTCTGGTTATAGAAGCCCCTTTACTAAGGCAAAGAAGTGGTGGTGACTGAAGAGATGGCATTCTGGATCTTCAACAGGGAAAATGCTTGTGTATGTGTGTGTAAGTGTGCGAGACCACTGTAATGTGGAATAAGTAAGAATCTTCAAGACAGAAATGTCAAACCAGGTCATTGGCAGTGGAAAAAGAAGGCCTTCATGTTTAGGAAAAAATCAGGGGAGAAAAAGGGCTGGAAGAACTGGAGTACTTTTGTAATACTGCTTTGAGGATAAACAATATTCTATTAAAATACCTAGGACCATGGGTGTATAATCCCATCTATTAGGGAGGAGGAAATTTAAATATAAATGAGAAGGCTGAAAACGTAGGGTGTTGCCTCACTGTGGTCGTGTGTTGAAATGAAGAGCTGAAACTATGCAACCCTGTGTTTTGTGGAACCAACTGAACTTCTCAGGGAAACGCACTATATTCCAAACTTTTCTGAACTAAATAAACTGATACAAGTTACTCAAACCTAAGGCTTACAGGTTACTTCCCCTGTGCCCCCACCGAACAACCCACACACTTAGAGTTGGGGTTCAGTGGAGATAATTTTTGCTTATAATTAGAAAAAACAACAGATGTTTGAACAGTTTTGCACTGTTTGACAACCTTTGGAGATGAAAATGGAAAATGAAATTCTTTCATAGCTCTGTTGGGTCATAATTTTTGAAAAGGAACTGATGATATCTCCTTGTATACCTATAATTGTGACCTAGAGCATTCTCAGGACTGATCAGGGGATCAATAGTTGCCAGGAATTGCTCAATCAAAATTGCGGTAATTGAAAGCACAAAACAATCCTCTTTATTTACCTCTACTAACTTCTGGATTGAGATTTGTCCACACTAGGCTGTCATGATGCATCTACTACTGACTCAAGCATCACATCGGCACATTCTAGCTTATGGATTTTTCTTTTGATGCTGAAGCAAGTGATTCTTGATTTAAATCTCTAGGACATGGCAAAGACTAAAAACTGAGATAAATTCCTAAAATGATATGAAAAGAAATCTAAGATGTTTGAGGTCTTACCAATACCTAATAGTGTTTTAAAACTTAATTAAATTATGCTGACCAAATAAAGATTACACAAAACTGGTAAAGCAGAAATACATGGGTTTTAAAATTCTTCATTCTTTCTGGAAACAAAGAAACATAAAGGCTGAGAAACGGCTAATACATTTTTTCTCTTTTAAAACAGAAGTTAAAAATAAATTTTAAAAATTAAAGTAAAAGAGGCAATTTAAGTACCATATTAATTGGCACATTTCTTCCATTATTTCCCAAGATTTCGACTATACAGTGATGATATTGAGAGAATTATGTGTTTCTCTATTCTAATATACTTAATCCTCAGCAGACTTCATTATGTATTTCTTCAGAACAGACACTATCACTTTTAAATATTAGGACAAAGAGTTGAACAGGAAAAACACCTTGATTGTTTTGCACATTTTTATTCACATAGCAGTGCAGATATTTAACTTATCCTTCTGAGTCATAAGTGTTTGTATTTAACATTTCATCCGTTTCTGTCATTTCAGCAAATAACTAATACAAGAAAGAACTCCTTATGCATACTTCTAGAAATGTGCACGTTTCTTTTCTTAAAAATTGTCTGCCAGTAAAGAACTTTTATAACTCTACAACAAAAAGACAAATAACCCAATTAAAAAATAGCAAAGAACTTGAATAAATAGATATTTCTCCAAAGAAGAGAAACAAATGTCCAAAAAATACATGAAAATATGCTCATTGTCATTAGTCATGGGGAAAAATACAAATGAAAACCACAAGGAGACAGCACTTTACACCCACTAGACTGGCCATAAAAAACAAACAACAACGCATGCTCTCACTCATAGGTGGGAATTGAACAATGAGAACACTTGGACACAGGGTGGGGAACATTACACACTGGGGCCTGTCATCGGGTGGGGGGAGGAGGGAGGGATAGCATTAGGAGATATACCTAATGTAAATATGAGTTAACGGGTGCAGCACACCAACATGGCACATTTATACCTATGTAACAAACCTGCACGTTGTGCACATGTACCCTAGAACTTAAAGTATAATTTAAAAAAAGCAAATGACACAAAACTAAAACAAAAAATAAGTGTTGGTGAGGATGATGAGAAATTAGAATGCTAATACATTGC
Source organism: Homo sapiens (assembly GCF_000001405.40). Taxonomy (NCBI): domain Eukaryota; kingdom Metazoa; phylum Chordata; class Mammalia; order Primates; family Hominidae; genus Homo; species Homo sapiens. The sequence goes on from NC_000009.12 coordinate 17,132,314, forward strand.
TTATGGGAAGGTAAAATGACACAACCACTGTGGAAAAGAGTTTGGTGATTCCTCAGTAAATTAAACATATGACCTAGACATTCTACTCATAGGTATATAAACAAAAAATTGAACATAAATGTTCAGACAAAAACCTGTACGTGAATGTTTATAGCAGCTCTGTTCACAATAGGCAAAAGGCAGAAAGAACCCAAAGGTCCATTAACAGATGAATGGATAAACAAAATGGAGGATATCCATACAATGGTATATTTTCAGCTATAAAAAAGAATGAAGTACTAATACATGCCATAACATAGATGAACCTTGAAAACATTATGCTAATAAAAGAAAACAGACACAAAAGGCCACATATTATATGGTTCCATTGATATGAAATATCCCAAACAGGCAAAACCGTAGAGACATAAAGGGAATTAATGGTTGCTTGGGGCTCGGGGGCAGTGAGAATGTGGAGAGACTAATGTGGGTATGTGGTTTCCGCCTCCGGTGATGAAAATATTCTGGAACCAGATAGTGGTGGTGGTTGCCTAACATGGTGAATGTAGTTAATGCTGCTGAATTGTTTTTTATTTGTAGCCATTTTATTTATTTATTTATTTTTTGAGACAGTCTTGCTTTATCACCCAGGCTGGAGTGCAGTGGTATGATCTTGGCTGTTTGCAACCTCTGCCTCCCGTGTTCCAATGATTCTCCTGCCGTGGCCTCTCTAGTAGCTGGGATTACGGGAATGCACCACCACTCCCAGCTAATTTTTGTATTTTTAGCAGAGACGGGGTTTCACTATGTTGTCCAGGCTGGTCTCGAACTCCTGGTCTCAAGTGATCCACCAGCCTCGGCCTCCCAAAGTGCTGGGATTGCAGTCGTGAGCTACCACGCCTGGCCTATTTGTAGCCATTTAAAATGCCTACGATGGTAAATTTTATGTTGTGTATTTTGTGTATTTTGCTCCAATAAAGACAAAATTTAAAAAAATGCCTAGTCAAAGAGTCAGGATATTATCCTTTTGGGAGGTCACATATACATATTTATACCACTGCTTTTCAAAAGGATCTTTTTATGATCAGGTGAAATGATGTCCTTTTGAGTGAATGACATACAGCAATTAAAAATGTGCATTAATACTGATTTGGGGCCAAACACGTAACTTATGTGGTTAGACTTCCCAGTCTTAAGTCTAGTGAAATCTCACAGACTATCAAGACCAAATGTTGTATTTCAAGTCACAGGTGTGGAGACAGGGTAGCGATCAAAGTACAGGTTTTCAGAGTTAAGTGGAATTCAGTGAATTCAAAGCCTAGCTTTTCTGATACCAGACATGGCACTTCAGAGAAGTTACAGTAACCTTGCAAGTCTGTTTCCTCACTAGTAAAAATGGAGATATATAATAATCTAATTGAAGGTGACATATGTATTAAGTGAGTTCATATATGAAAAGTGCTTAGCACTGGACTCAGCATATGGTAAATGTTCAGTAGGTTAGCTAGTTCTAAGACAGGCTTATAAACATACTTTTTCTAATGTACTCTTTAATAAGTTTTTGTGAGGAATTCACCTTCAGTTTGAAAGAAGTCCACTTATCTTGGTTGCCTTGGCAGGATTCTAATTGGGAGGGTGTCTTTTGGCATCCTGACTAGATTCTCATGCAGAGATGGTGATATTTTGGTTAAATGAAGTTAACAGTAAAGTGGTCATCTCTCTACTTCTGCTCTCAACCCCCATCTCAGCTTTCCCCAAGTATTCTGGAACCCTTTCTGAAGAAGAGGGCAGTTCTAACTTTCAGGGATGTTCTGGTGCCAGCTCAATATGCATCTCATTAATCTTATCAATAGTAACAAAGTATTTGAAGGGCAAAGAAAGATACGATTACTACCTATTTGAAGTTTATAAAGAAAGCCAGAAGAAAAAGAAAAAAAAGAGAACAAAAGATAAAGTAGGTCTTGTTTCTTCATCCACGCTCCAAATTACTGATTTCAAACTGCTCCAAGGACCCAAACTGTTCAGCAATGTGGGCTACACTTCCTCTGATATCCAGCCAACGCATAAAGAAGCTGACATAAAAACTCAAAGGAAATCATGACTCCTGCAAAACAAAAGACAAAGGGTGTACAAAGGATCATCATTCAAGTTGGAAACCTGCTTGATAGTCCCAGATCAGCACAAGGCTTTCCACATCTCCTTGACATTAGTCAGCTGGATGTCAGCTGTACTAAAGCAGTTTTGCCAAGGGGTGTGAAGAAAACACTTAAGTGTAAAACGTATTCCTTGATCCTCAAGGAGCTTACAACAGGGCTGGGGAGATTAGCCGTGTAACTGACACTCCAGGGCGGTCAATGAAACGTGTCACACGAGTTGGCAGGGGCCTTGAAGGAGAGGGATTTCACAGTTAAGGATCATTTGGGGCTGGGGGCTTGTCAAGGAAGGCTTTAAGAGGTGGGATGTAAGTGGCAGGCAGGGCTTTAGGTGGGCGGGAAATCCAGGCGATCCTGGCCAAGGACTCAGGCACAGGACGCTGGGATGGCCTGCCCGGCGGACCGGCCTTACCCTTTCGGGCCACGGCGCGTGCGTACCCCAAGGCTCGCGCTGGGCGCATTGCCCGCGGGAAGCCGGCCAGGACCAGAGAACACGGGACACCGCGGGCCAAGGCGGGAAAAGCCTCGCGCATGCGCGGTTCGGCGTTCCGGGCTCGCCGGGTTGGGGAAAGGGAGGTGGAGTTTCCAACAGGGAACTTGACCCGTTAGCAGCCGCAGCCATGGCGGCGCGTTCGCCTCCCTCACCGCACCCTTCGCCCCCAGCGCGACAGCTGGGCCCCAGGTCCCCACGTGTTGGGCGGGGAGCTGAAGTACACGCAATGCGCAGCGAGGCCTCGGGTTTTGCCGGCGCAGCGCGGGAGGTGGTCGCGGACGAAAGTGATAAAATCTGGGTGGGTGAAGAAGGGTCAGGGGGCCGGCGAGGGCCTGGGGGGGCAGCTCCGGCTCATGCTCCCCTCCTCAGCGCGCCCATGGGGTCCAGACGGCTAGAGGGCATCTCGGTAGAGGAGGCGATGGTGACCCGGACGCAGCTGCTGGAGGAAGAGCTGAGCAGCCTAAAGGAGGAGTTGGCCCTGTGTCAGGTATCGAGGAGTCTCGCAGTCCCCCTTTCCCCACCACAGCGGGGCCGGGACCCGTGGGGAGGCGCGCCTTTCTCCCTCTGCCTTGGGACCTACCCCGCCCAGCGACGCTCCCTGGCAGATGCACACCCTGCTTCGCTCGCGGCCGGGGGCTGGAGGGACGCGGCTGCGCCCGGCTCCCCAAACCCGGGCCCCTGCCCCTTTCCGAACTGCGGCCAGACAGGCTTCGCCTCCGCGCCCGGGTTTGGTTTTGGTCACTTGGATACTCGCAGTCGCATCCTCTCCGCTTCCCCCCCAAGCCCAAGTTCTTGGTGGTGACGGTAGCTGATACCTGCCGGGGGCCCAGGAGTGACATGCAGTCCACTAGTTGAAATGAACAGGAAAGTGTAAACACTTCGGTTAGAGTAAAATCCATCGATGAAGGAGCCTGTTTTTAAAATTTCAAACCCACACTTGGCTTTGTTTTTACCCAGTCAAACTTAAGTTGTAAACACAGACGAGTAACGTTTAGAAAGTCTCAGAGCCGGGAACTTAACAATAGATGATGCTTGGTACTTGTTTATTAACCAGCTATGGTAATTCCGCGGTCCTTGAGTGAGAAATCACATTTTCATGTGATCTTGCCAGTGAAAAACATTTGCTAAATCAATTGCATTAAAATTACTTTCCTGTTTGTAGAGTTTTTGTAAGGATGGACTTGACTATACTCATGTTCAAAGAGATTGAATTTTCCTTTAGTTTTGCATCCTTACCATCATCTCTTTTGATTTTACCAGAACCTTTAGATAGGGTTGGGAGATTGGATGTGGGAAACTCACTGAACAGTAGATCTTTAAGTCACTCTGTCTTCAACTTAGAAACCAATTAGGAGCTGCTGAACATCAAAGTAACTTTGTGAACAGTATCATCAGTTTAATAAAACAGTTCATGAAATTCATTCTCTGTCGCCCAGGCTGGAGTGCAGTGGTGCAGTCTCAGCTCACTGCAAGCTCCGCCTCCCGGGTTCACGCCATTCTCCAGCCTCAGCCTCCCGAATAGCTGGGACTACAGGTGTCCGCCACCACGCCTGGCTAATTTTTTGTATTTTTAGTAGAGATGGGGTTTCACCGTGTTAGCCAGGACAGTCTCGATCTCCTGACCTCGTGGTCCGCCAGCCTTGGCCTTCCAAAGTGCTGGGATTACAGAAATTCATTCTCTCATAGTTTGTTCTGTTGGATTCTTTTGCCCATTTTATAGGTCCTTGCTGACTGAGTGAAGGGTGTAAAAATGGGACCATCTTCAAATTGAATGTGCCTTTGGTTAAACAAGGTTGGGACATTTAATATGGTGCCCTCTTTTCGTTTTACCATTTTTCTGTTCTTCGTTGGATAAGGAGCAAAGGGATAAATAAATGACAACAATGAATTGAAGCATTTGTCATCTGCAGACCTCACCCTTTGGGGAGTTTTAAGATGTGAACCCATGATAAAGGCCTTTGATACTCTGAGTCCTAATCTAAGACACTCTTTGGCATATTTTCCGCACTCTTTCCTCCCACTTCTGCCTCCCCACATAGTTAGGCCTTTAGCTGGCTAAAGAGCTAAGATACTTTTTTATGACCGACTTGGTTAAGGAAGTCAGTCTATTGGAAACAGCCTGATGAACCTCTTCCCACAAATACTTACATTCTTTAAAAATGTGGCTCCAAACATGGTGTTGGCTTTTGTGACCTCGGACATATATAGACTAGGAAAATGATTGACATACTCTTGGCAAATGTAAGAATACAGAGATGGTCATAATAGTCTAGAATGATGATCTCTTAGATTTTGTAATATTAATACTCTTATATAATTGTAGGCAGTATCCCGCACCATAAAAATCTTAGTCAAATCAGACTCCTGCTCTTCGGGAATCTTGGGGAAAAATAGTAATTGAACTCCCAATTGTTTTGTAAAAAGCATTTAGGTGATTAAATATTCACTTTTATATCTTTTAAAGTATACTCTCCCGCTTATTTATTCAGCTAGAGATCACAGTACCCAAGAATACATAGCATTAAAACTGCTGAAAATTACAACTCGAAGTAAAATTTTGTATCTCAATCTAGTAAGTACACACATATACAAACATATATTTTCAGAAAGAATACATGCCCTAATACTGTGTGGGCTGATATTTTTTCAGTTCTATTCCTTTAAAAAATGCTGTCCAGATCTAAATTAATTTCAGAACCCAACAAGGCTTGAAACATACAGTTTAGGAAAAAGAACACTGCTAATTAGTCCATGGTCATAAGTAGTAGCTTCATTTAATTTGTTTTGCTTTCACATTCAACTTATGGGAATTCAGTGATGTGTGCTTGGTGAAGTTTGAGTAATTCCCCATACCATTCTACATCATTGGAATGCCTCAGAATAAGCATGTAATAGAAAGCAATCAAATGTTTCTCTTAATATCAGCATCTCATCCCACTCTAAGTGATTGTATTATCTAATTAAACTTTAAAAAAATATGGCCCCCTGATTAGCAACTGAACTATAAATAATGCTTATATGAAGAAAAAGTGATTAATTTCAATGAGGGAAGAAAAGCTATCTGTATTGGACTTACTGAGGGTAGTAGGTAAGCTTCCAAATGTAGCTTTTTCCTAAGGAATTTTTCAAGGGTGTTCCAAAGGGTAATTTTGCATCCATGGCATTTAATGCCCTATTTCACTAATTTAGAACCTAACTCCACTACACTTTTAATTTTGATTATATATTTCAAGAATGTGTTCTGTTTGTGATAAAGGATGCTGGGGCATGTGTATTTGTACATTTATCACCATTTATAGAGTGAGATGAGAAAAAAGTGTTATGTTTACATAGAAAGAGTAATATGTTTATATAGCATTTATAAAGCTTATTTTTTGGTATCAGGCAAAAATATTGACTAAACCTATAAGCCAGTTTTAGGAAAAAAATTAGGGTATTTAAATGAAATATGAAATTAGTTTCATCATTAAAGCTCATCCACTTTAATGATGAAACCAACTTTTGAAGCAGGCGATGTTGGAATTGTATGTGATCAGAGAAGTCAGCCAGTTATATTTTATGTTAGAAATTTAGATGTGTTAAAACTTCATTTATTCACAAAGAAAAACAAATTTGAGAACTTACTGTGTAATTCCACCAGTTGTTTGTAGCTGTATTCTACTTGGCGAGTCTTTTTGTGAAATTATTTTTCATGCTAATAATTTACTAAGTGGCTACCTGGTGCCATATTTTGTAAGTAAACTCTTGACATCCTTTGCCCTGAGCTCTGATGACCAAATATTTGTTTAGATTTAGGAAACAGTTTCAAGTGTTTGTTGAGTTCATTCCTCCAGTAGAGGTCAATTGAGGGCTTAATATATTGCCAACACTAAATTATTTTTTGTGGGACTAGGTACCCAGTGAAAAATGGCAATTTGGGGTGTCTGTGTTTGTATAGATGGTATCTATTTCCAGGTCAGTTGATGAAAGACAAAACCAATCCACCTCCAGGGAAATTTAGACCTAGTATTTAGTATTTAGTCAACTGTTTCATAGCCCAAGTTTAATAAACTTTGTGAAAATGATTAGGAATTTTTATTTTTAATTTTTAAAAATTATTATTTGATTCTGTTTGGAAGTTCTATAGTGAGAAAAAAGAATTATTATTTTATTTTTATTTTTTATTTTTAGATGCAGTCTCGCTCTGTCGCCCAGGCTGGGGTGCAGTGGTGCAATATGGGCTCACTGTAACCTCTGCCTCCCTGGTTCAAGCTATTGTCCTGCCTCAGCCTCCTGAGTAGCTGGGATTACAGGTTCATGCCACCACGCCTGGCTGATTTTTGTATTTTTAGTAGAGACGGGGTTTCACCGTGTTGGTCAGGCTGGTCTCAAACTCCTGACCTTGTGATCTGCCCGCCTTGGCCTCCCAAAGTGCTGGGATTACAGATGTGAGCCACTGCACCTGGCCTGAGAATAAAGAATTTTATAATGACAGTAGTTTGGGAGGCTGAGATGGGCGGATCACTTGAGGTTGGGAGTTTGAGACCAGCCTGGCCAACATGGCGAAACCCAGTCTCTACTAAAATACAAAAATTAGCGGAGTGTGGCAGCATGCACCATTAATCCCAGCTACATGGGAAGCTGAGGCAGGAGAATTGCTTGAACTTGGGAGGCGAAGGTTGCAGTGCACTGAGGTTGCGCCACTGCACTCCAGCCTGGGCAACAGAGTGAGACTTTGTCTCAAAAAAAAAAAAGGAATTTTATAGTGAGTAATGTTAGGTTTTTATTTTTTGTTTTCATTTTATTTGTGACAGTCTCCCTCTGTCACCCACGCTGGAGTACAGTGGTGCAATCATGGCTCATTGCAGCGTTGACCTCCTGGGCTCAAAGGATCCACCCACCTCAGCCTCCAGAGTAGCTAGGACTACAGGTGTGTGCCACCACACTAGGCTAAGTTTTGCATTTTTTGTAGAGATGGGGTCTCTGTCTCCCTGTGTTGCCCAGGTTGGTCTCGAACGTCTGGACTTAAGCCATTTGTCCATCTCAGCCTTATAGGGGTGAGCTACCGCACCTGGCCAAGGTTTTTATTTTTGTTATTTAAAAAGAACATCTTTAAGTGCCTGAAGGAAGGGAAAATATAAAGAGAATATGAGTGATTGATAATAGTTTCCTTGTATTAATGTCTGGAACAGTTTGGAAACTAGTTCTGTGTTTTTTCGGGGGGGGACTTTATTTTTTGTATATGAAAGTTTTTTTAGTAATTCTAGGTGTAATCCAAATTGACCATAGTATAGCATTTAAATAACTGAAAAACTCACAAAATTCATATATAACATAGTTCCACAATCCATTTGTAACATTTTATTGTTCACAAAAGAATTTACTGTTTTTCATATCACCAGACTTACTGTACAGCATGGTGTTATAGTTAATAACAATAGATTGTGCACTTGAAAATTACTAAGAGAATAGATTTTAAGTGCTCTCATCACAAAAAAATGGTGGGTGTATGAGGTAATGGTTATGTTTTTTTCTTTGTTTTTTGAGATAGGGTCTTGGTCTATTGCCCAGGCTGTATGGTTTCATGATCATGGCTCATTCTAGCCTTGACCTCCCGGGCTCAGCAATCGTCCCACCCTCAGTCTCCTGAGTAGCTGGAACTACAGGCGTATTCCACTATGGCTAGCTAATTTTTAAGTTTTTTGTGGCGATGGGGGTCTCACTATGTTGCCCAGGCCAGTCTCAAACTCCTGGGCTCAGATGATCCCCTCCCATCTTGGCCTCCCAAAGTGATTACAGATGTGACCCACTGTGCTCGCCCTAATGGTTATGTTAATTAGCTTGATTTAACCATTCTAAAATGTATACATAAAACATTATGTTGTATGCCATAAATATATGCAATTTTTATTTGTTGATTAAAAAATATTAAAAAACAAAAATTCCAGAAGAAGAAATGGGTAAATATATTTCTAATCTTGGAATAGAGAAGGCTTTTCTAACTGGTACATAAAATCCATAAGCCATAATTGAAAAGATGGATACATTTGAGTATGTAAAATTAATAACTTGCTTTTTCAAAAAAATCATCATAAATAAGCAGCAACAGACTGGGAAGAATATTTCTAACAATGGGTAGACACAAGTCTAATTTTAAGATTTCCTTTAAGTTTCCAACAGCACTTATATTTCATTGACAGAACTTAGTCATATAACCCATAAGGCAAGGGAGGTTGGTCTGTTACTTGGGCAGAATTGTTTCTGTAACTAAAAAGAGAGAATGGATGACGGAGACAGAAATTGAGATATCTGCCACACAAGTAAAACCAAATCACTAAACATACAGGATTATTAAATGAAATGTGCTGTGAAAAAAAATTGTAACTGGAAAAGGGGTTGCTAGAGACTTGGGGTTTTGGTGGCTGTGATAGTAGTCAGGGGAGAATTCACTTGAGATATTATTTAAGAAAAGGCTTGAATGAAGTGAGGGAATACTCTATGTGAAAGTGTGATGGATGATGCAGTATGTGCATTGGCCCTGGTTCAAGTAGAGCAAGTAGAGTAAGAAAGTCTGTGTGAACAAGGAGGAAAGTGACAGATGAGGTTGGGGAGGTGTATATGGGCCAGGCCATATGGAGTCTTGTAGCCTTGACACAGAGTTTGGATTAGTTTCCTAATTTAATGGAAACTCACTGGAGAGTTTTGAGTTGTAAGGCTATGAGACCATGATACATAGCTGGGCAAGAGACGGAATTGACTTGGACTAGGGCGATAGTGGTAGAAGTGGTGAGAGTGGTCAGAATTTGCCTATCATGTAGATAAGGACAGTAGGGTTTATTGATGATTTGGATATGAAGTATGAGGAGAAAAGAATAACCAAGATTGGCTGGGCACGGTGGCTCATGCCTGTAATCCCAGCACTTTGGGAGGCCGAGGCAGGTAGATCATGAGGTCAGGAGTTCGAGACCAGCCTGGCCAATATGGTGAAACCCTGTCTCTACTAAAAATACAAAAATTAGCTGGGTGTGGTGGTGCGTGCCTGTAGTTCCAGCTACTCAGGAGGCTGAGGCAGAAGAATCACTTGAACCTGGGAGGCAGAGGTTGCAGTGAGCCGAGATTGCGCCACTGCACTCCAGCCTGGGCGACAGAGCAAGACTCTGTCTCAGAAAAAAAAAAAAAAAAAAAAGAAGAATAAACAAGATTGACTCCTAAGTTTTAGATCAACCTAACCCTAACACCCGGCTCATAGGTGGGCCGCATGCAGCCCAGGATGGCTTTGAATGCGGCCTAACACAAATTCTTAAACTTTCTTAAAACATTATGAGATTTATTTTGCAATTTTTTTTAGCTCATTAACTATTGTTAGTGTTAGTGTATTTTATATATGGCCTAAGATAATAATTCTTCTTCCACTGTGGCCCAGGGAAGCCAAAAGATTGGACACCACTGTTTTAGATCTTTGAATAAATGAATAGATGGCAGTATCAATTTCTGGGAGGGAGAGGGGCAGATTTGTGAGAGGGTAAGGAACCAATAATTTTTTTTTGAACAAGTTAAATTTAAGATATCTATTAGATTTTCAAGTGGAATTATTGAATATGCAGTTGGAGATGTAAGTCTGGACCTAAGAGTAGAGGAAATGGCTCTAGATAGAAATGTGCGAGTCTCAGTGTAGAGTTGGTACTTAAAATCATGGGCCTGATATGAGGTCACCTAGGGCAGTGGTTCTCAACCCAGAGTGCACAGATTCACTCGAGGCACTTTTAAAACATACTGATGCTTGGCTCTAACCTAAGGCCAATTAATCAGAATCTCTAATTCATCCCTATTTTTTAAAAGCTCCTCAAAAGAGATACCTGTCAGCCAAGGTTAATAACAACTAACCTAGGTAATAAGGACTGAAACTACCCATTGTCCTTTGGATTTGGCAATATAGAGGACCTTGAATAATGATTTTAGCATAATGGTGGTTAGGAAAATCTTACTAGGAAGCATTATAGAGTGAATGGGAGATAGGAAACAGACATAGTAATTACAGGCAACTCTTTCAAGGAGTTTTGATAAAAGCGGAGCTGAAAATGGGGCAGCAGGGAGGGAAGTTTCCTTTTAGAGCAAGTTTAACTAGATATTTAGCATTTCAACAGTTGCATCCCAAAATATAGGTGATAGAAATAGTAAAAGTGAATATGGATTATCTGTGTAATAACTTTTTAAAATAAAGTTTTACCCCATTCCTTTAAAGAGAATCAGTTGATGTAGTTATACAACTAGGGATCAAGTAATTGTTTTTTCATTTTAAAATTTAATGTAGTATCTTATTTCACTACCACTACAAAGCAATGCATCTAAATTCTCTTTTATTTCTTTAAGGCTGATAAAGAATTTGTATGGTCTTTGTGGAAACGTCTCCAGGTTACAAACCCAGATCTCACACAAGTGGTCAGTTTGGTTGTGGAAAGGTGAGCTCTCAAATTATTTTTTCATGAGTATTTGGTGTGTTGAGTTTGTTTCTCTTCATTATTAAAGTTAGTACTTATCATTAATCTCCTAAAGAGATTCATTTAATTTCTGAATAAATGTGGAGCTAAAAATTAAATTGTTGGATTTATTATGAAGGGTGCCAGTTCACCAAGTACAGGTATGCCCTGTTCCTGTTCATATTCTGACATATTTGGAGAGTGTGTAGCTAAGAGATAAAACTATGTCTTAAATACTGTGTGTGTGTGTGTCTTGAGCTGTTACAGTTCAACCTTAAAAGTTGGCGAAGTCCCTGTTGTTTGACTTTTTACTCCATGGACTGCCTCTATAGGGAACTTACTAGACGTGACTCAGTTTTCCCCTTAGATAATTGCAGTGTGTAATTGAAAGCCGGGGATGACCTTGCCAGTGTAGAGTAAGTGTTCTGGAATAGGTTAAAGGATTTTACTTAGCACTCCATATTATCCTGTAGGAACTGCCCAGTCATTTAACTGTAGATTGTTGGGCCTCTCCTTGGTTATTAGAAACAGTGGAATGATGCTGGGTTCTCTCTATCAAACATTTGGTATACAGTATTCCCATGACACTTAGCACAGCAATGAAAACACTTGCTTTCTTAGTAAATGGATTTCATTATACTTTTTAAATGAGAAGCTAAGCATATGGATACCTTTTCCTTTTTTAAAAATTGGAATCATGATCCTAAAATCTGAATATCATTTTTTATTACTTGAATTATATTCACCCTTGTAGTCTCTAGTCCTGGGATCATTCCAGCGTTGTCTGAGATTTGACTTGTTAAAAATCTGTGATACATGCCTGAGTATGTCTAATTTTACCATCTTTGGTTATTATGAACACTTAAAATAGTATAATCAGTTTCTTCTCATGTTGCTTGTACGTCTAATTCATCAATCATTTTTTTCCTTCTGATGATCAGAATTAAGTCTTTTGTTGAAGTACCCTTGTTACTTCCTCAATCATTTTTGAGATGAAATGTGATCACTCTCAGACTCCCTCTGTTTTTTTAGTAGAATAAGCCTTCTAGAGAAGCCTTGGGACTTCAATTGTCATTTCCGTGATTCTTTATTCTCCTCTCCTTTTATTTGTTATTTTTTAAAACTTTCTAAACCTATCCATAATTTTTACTTTTCTCTTGGTTAAACAGAAGCAGATATTAAATTATTGTTAGGTCATTTTCCTCATTCTTTACAATGTCTGTTTTTCATATTTATAATATACAGAGTATATATTCATATAACATAAAATTTATAAATAAATGTACGTATGTATATTAGACGTAGGTGTTCAAAAGTCTTTTGTTGATAAGGTGTAATGAGAAATTTTGGAGATTACTGCTTTATAACTATGACTGTCAAAATTTAGTGTGCACAAGTTATACTTGGAGAATTTATTTATTTATTTTATTTTATTTTTTTTATTTTATTTTTTTTTTTGAGACGGAGTCTCGCTCTGTCGCCCAGGCCAGACTGCGGACTGCAGTGGCGCAATCTCGGCTCACTGCAAGCTCCGCTTCCCGGGTTCACGCCATTCTCCTGCCTCAGCCTCCCGAGTAGCTGGGACTACAGGCGCCCGCCACCGCGCCCGGCTAATTTTTTGTATTTTTAGTAGAGACGGGGTTTCACCTTGTTAGCCAGGATGGTCTCGATCTCCTGACCTCATGATCCACCCGCCTCGGCCTCCCAAAGTGCTGGGATTACAGGCGTGAGCCACCGCACCCGGCCTGGAGAATTTATTAAAATGAAGATCTCTGGGCCTTTTACCTGATCTACTGAATCTCTAGGGGGTGGGACCTAGATTTAAAATAAAGTTTAAAATAACATTTCCAGGTAATTCTGATGTCTGTAGATTACACTGTGAGATACTTTGGATTTTGAGTCTATTTTTGAAATTGGAAACGATAAGTGGCATTTATAATTTTATGACTATGTAAATACTTCCTAGAGAACCATGTAGTATGTTCACATCCATTGAGAAGTGAAAATGATATGCTGAATATTCAACCTATGTCTGTTAAAAAGAATATTCTAAATATCAAGGTCAAATAGATGATCTTTCTGTATAGTCCATTAGTTATCCAAATTATGATCCATTTAGGTCTGTTTAATTTTTAAACCGTGGACTTCCTGGACAGCATTTCCCCCCTGGAATTTCTCATTGCCCTTCTCTTTACTTTTTCTTATAAAGAATGTCTACGTCCTTTGTCAGACATTTGTATAACAGGCTGAGAACATTTTTCCTTTTCCTCTTTGGCTTATGGTATGGATTTGGACGAATTAATTTCTAAACCTACTCACGTTTGTCATCATAGGTTTTCTTTTCGTTGTACAGCTGAACTTATTACACAGTTTCTAGGATGCCAGATTATCCGTTTCTTTTTTGTCGGATTATTTTCAAGTATTTTTTTTCTCAGAAAGGATGGACAGGTGGTACGTTTTCTGACTCCTTAAATGACCGAAAATGTCTTTCTTTTGCCCTTAAGCTTAGTTGGCACTTCAGCTGAACATAATATTTTATGTCCATGTATTTTTGCCTTGGATTTTTGAAAGCATAGTTCTGTTATCTAAATTGAGCATACAGTAATGCTACCAAGGAGCCCATCAGTGTGATTCTTGTTTCTTCCTAGATAACTTGCTTGAAGCTTGTAGGATTTTCTCTTTAGGTGCACTATTGTAAAATCTCAACATCATCTGTTTATTTGGGTCCTTTGAAAATTTATCCTTCTTAGCCTTTGGTGGGCCTTTCCATTTCAAAACCTAAGATTTTCTTTTCATTGATAAAATGTTCTCATATTTTTTCTTCATTGTATTCTTTGTTTTAGCACTCTGTTAGAGGTTGGATCTTATGGATTTGACCTTCTTCTCTCTTTTCTCTCTTATCTCATGTTTTCCATCTTTTTATCTTTTGTTGTATCTCCTCAGTGGCCTTTGTACTTTTTGTTCCATCAATAAGTGGAATTCTTCTGTTTGCTCTATGCTATGATCTGAATGTTGGTGTCCCCCCAAAATTCGTATGTTGAACCCTAATACCCAATGTGATAATATTGATGAGGCCTTTTGGAAGTGATTACATCATGAGGGCTCGGCCCTCATAAATGGGATTAGTGCCCTTATAAAGGGGTTTAAGGAGCCTCCCTTCTCTTCTGCCATGTGAGGATACAGAAGGTGTCATTTACATGGAACAGACCCTTACCAGACACTGAATCTGCTGGTGCCTTGATCTTGGACTTTTCAGCCTCCAGAGCTGTGAGCAATACATTTCTGTTGTTTATAAATTACCCAATCTAAGGTATTTTGTTATAGCAGCCCAAATGGATGAAGATTCTCTTTGATTATTTGAATTTTAAAATTTTAGAAATCAAATTATTACTTCTAAAAATTACTTATTTTTTAATTTTTTCCTTTTTCAAAGTAGCTTTCTTTAATAGAATAATTTTTTAATCTTTCTGATTATAATTTTTGAATTCTTTTCTGTTTCTTGCATTATCTTTGTTTTCTGTTGGGTAACTTCTGTTTGTTCTTCCTAGTCTTTCTCTGTTTTAAATTAAAAAAAATTTCCTTGTCTTTCTCTTTGATGCTGTTGATTTTCTTCAAGTGTATAATGAACCTTCACTGCCTTGCTTTATATAGGTATGTTGCTCATATGGGTTTGCTTTGTGTTTTTTGTATATCTGTTTACCAGAAGGTTTCTCCTTTGAATGTAAGGTTTGCCTATGGGCTTTTTGTAAGGCTTGGGGAAGGGCCTATCCACAGGCTTTCCTGAAAGGTGTGTAGTAGATAGACTTCATTGTAGTGAATGAGAGTTAGGTCCTTTAAGTCAGGCCCTTTTCTAATTCTGTTGCTTGCCCAACACTCTGAGTAGGGATCTTTTCTGGACAAATGATTTTGAATGCAGTTTTTGGCCATTTGATGTAGGCAAATGCTGCAGGTAGCTGTTCTGAACATGGATGAGTGGGAGGCTCAGCTTTTTTTGGTGAATGGTTTCTTAATTAATTGTTTTGATTCCTGTGGGCTTCTGCTCTCTATACTTACTAATTGGGTACTTATAAGCCTTTCTGGGGCCTCTTCTATGAAAAGCAGCATCCTCTTCTGTAGACTTCTATTTAGGTTTTGGATTATAGTTTTTCTCCCTCGGTTTATTTGTCTCTATGAGTCTATGCTTCTGTTTTTAAGATATTTGTCAAATTTATAGTTCATTTATGGCTGCTGCTGTTGTTTCCCATGCTGATAAGGATTTATTTAATGTGGTGTGACTTGGGATTGTCAGTGTTGTGTTGTTAGCTCATCCCCTCAGAAAGAAGTATAATATCATTTTTAGGGTTATAGTATATTCTATTATTTAGATATAGCATATTTGTATTTAACCACTGTAATTTTGTTGTACATTAGGGCTATTTTTAAAAATAGTATAATAATGCCGTGATGAATGGCTTTTTGGATAAAGTTTGCCCTGTATTATTGGTTTCAACCGGTTGTGCTACCGACCTAGTGAATAGAGGCTGAGATTGCTAAACATCTTGAAATGAAAAGAATAATCCTGCCCAATTAAAGAATTATACTACTATACTTCATATGCCAGTAGTACCCATTTGGACTGTCTGTGTAGATGTGTTGTGTGTATATGCTTTACTTTTTATTATGGAGAAATTTTAATTAGATGCAAAGACAGAGAGAATACATTATTGAACACTCGTGTACCCATCACTCACCTTGAACAGTTATCAACACACGGACAATCTTGTTTCATCTATAAACCTCTATTCTCTCTCTCCTTCTACCACTAATGGATTTTGAAGCAAATCCTAGATATCATGCTATTTTACCTACAGTTACTTTAGTGTTTACAGACAATTCTAGTTATTAACAGTAATGTTCTGTAAAGTCACTACAAATACTTAATTAGCTAACACTGAACTATTACTCCTAGAGGAAGTAAGGGGTTAGGTTCCTGTAAGCCTCTGGTCACAACAATTTTGTCAACTGATCAATACATAGCCTCATTTTATGTGTGTTTCTGTTTAAAGATACTTCATTTATTGTTGATTCATTGACGTCGAACTCTTGGCCAAAAGCACTGTTAACTCATGCCTGAACAAAGCTTATCTAACCCATTGTTTTCTCCCTATGGCATGTCACAACCTTCTTAGGAACACTAGCCAGCACTTCAGCACTGTGCTTGATGATCATTTGAAGGACTGAAGTCATCAAAAACAAGCACCAAAATGTGACAAATGTGGTACTAAATAAACCGTGAAAAGGAAACTTGTGTTTATAGTATAAGAGCTGAAGCAGAGTGTCACTTTATTTGACATCAGTTGGAAACATGTGGGTTGTGTGACTCAAATTTTTTGCCACTTTGTGTGTACCTGCAAATGACTACAATAGTGCCACAATAATTTTTTTATTTTTATTTTTATGATTATACTTTAAGTTCTGGGTTACATGGGCAGAACGTGCAGTTTGTTATGTAGGTATACATGTGCCCTAGTGGTTTGCTGCACCCATCAACCTGTCACCTACATTACGTATTTCTCCTAATGTTATCCCTCCTGTAGCCCCCACCTCCGACAGGACCCAGTGTGTGATGCTCCCCTCCCTGTGTCCATGTGTTCTCATTGTTCAACTCCCACTAATGAGTGAGAACATGCAGTGTTTGGTTTTCTGATCTTGTGATAGTTTGCTGGGAATGATGGTTTCCAGCTTCATCCATGTCCCTGCAAAGGACATAAACTCATCCTTTTTTATGTCTGCATAGTATTCCATGGTGTATATGTGCCACATTTTCTTTATCCAGTCTATCATTGATGGACATTTGGGTTGGTTCCAACTCTTTGCTATTGTGAATACTGCCACAGTGAACATATGTGTGCATGAGTCTTTATTGTAGAATGATTTATAATCCTTTGGGTACATGCCTAGTAATGGGATTGCTGGGCCAAATGGTATTTCTAGTTCTAGATCCTTGAGGAATCGCCACACTATCTTCCACAATGGTTGAACTAATTTACACCCCCACCAACAGTGTAAAAGTGTTTCTATTTCTCCAGATTCTCTCCAGCATCTGTTGTTTCCTGACTTTTTTTATTTTCTTTCTTTCTTTTTTTTTTTTTTTTTTTTTTAGAGACTGGGTCTCGCTCTGTCGCCCAGGCTGGAGTGCAGTGGCTCGATCTCAGCTCACTGCAAGCTCTGCCTCCCGGGTTCATGCCATTCTCCTGCCTCAGCCCCCCAAGTAGCTGGGACTATAGGCGCCCGCCACCATGCCTGGCTAATTTTTTGTATTTTTAGTAGAGACGGGGTTTCACCATGTTAGCCAGGATGGTCTCGATCTCCTGATCTTGTGATCTGCCCGCCTTGGCCTCCCAAAGCGCTGGGATTACAGGCATGAGCCACTGCACCTGGCCTGTTTCCTGACTTTTTAATGATCACAATTCTAACTGGCGTGAGATGGTATCTCGTTGTGGTTTTGATTTGCATTTCTCTAATGACCAGTGATGATGAGCATTTTTTCATATGTCTGTTGGCTGCATAAATGTTTTCTTGTGAGAAGTGTCTGTTCATATCCTTTGCCAATTTTTTGATGGAACTTTTTTTTTCTGGTAGATTTGTTTAAGTTCTTTGTAGATTCTGGATATTAGCCCTCTGTCAGATGGATAGATTGCAAAAATTTTCTCCCATTCTATAGGTTGCCTGTTCACTCTGATGATAGTTTCTTTTGCTGTGCAGAAGCTCTTTAGTTTAATTAGATCCCATTTGTCTCTTTTGGCTTTTGTTGCCATTGCTTTTGGTGTTTTGGACATGAAGTCTTTGCCCATGCATATGTCCTGAATGGTATTGCCCAGGTTTTCTTCTAAGATTTTTATGGTCCTAGGTCTTACGTTTAAGTCTTTGATCCATCTTGAGTTTATTTTTGTAAAAGGTGTAAGTGAGGGGTCCAGTTTCAGTTGTCTGCATATGGCTAGCCAGTTTTCCCAACACCATTTATTAAATAGGGAATCTTTTCCCCATTGCTTGTGTGTGTCAGGTTTGTCAAAGATCAGATGGTTGTAGCTGTGTGGTGTTATTTCTGAGGCCTCCATTCTGTTCCATTGGTCTATATATCTGTTTTGGTACCAGTACATGCTGTTTTGGTTACTGTAGCCTTGAAGTGTAGTTTGAAGTCAGGTAGCATGATGCCTCCAGCTTTGTCCTTCTTGCCCAGGAGTGTCTTGGCTATGCGGGCTCTTTTTTGGTTCCATATGAACTTTAAAGTAGTTTTTTCCAATTCTGTGAAGAAAGTCAGTGGTAGCTTGATGGGGACAGCATTGAATCTATAAATTACTTTGGGCAGTATGGCCATTTTCACGATATTGATTCTTCCTATCCGTGAGCATGGAATTTTTTTCCATTTGTTTGTGTCCTCTCTTACTTCCTTGAGCAGTGGTTTGTAGTTCTCCTTGAACAGGTCCTTCACATCCTTTGTAAGTTGTATTCCTAGGTATTTTATTCTCTTAGTAGCAGTTGTGAATGGGAGTTCACTCATGGTTTGGCTGTTTGTCTGTTATTGGTGTATAGGAATGCTTGTGATTTTCGCACATTGATTTTGTATCCTGAGACTTTGCTGAAGTTGCTTATCAGCTTAAGGAGGATTTGGGCTGAGACCATGGGGTTTTCTAAATGTACAATCATGTCATCTGCAAACAGAGACAAATTGACTTCCTCTCTTCCTATTTGGATACCCTTTATTGCTTTCTCTTGCCTGATTGCCCTGGCCAGAACTTCCAATATTATGTTGAATAGGAGTGGTGAGAGAGGGCATCCTTGTCTTATGCTGGTTTTCGAAGGGAATGCTTTGAGTTTTTGCCCTATCAGTATGGTATTGGCTATGGATTTCTCATAAATAGCTCTTATTATTTTGAAATATGTCCCATTGATACCTAGTTTATTGAGAGTTTTTGGCATGAATAGGTGTTGAATTTTATTGAAGGCCTTTTCTGCATCTATTGAGATAATCGTGTGGTTTTTGTCATTGGTTCTGTTTATGTGATGGTTCTGTTTATGTGATTACATTTATTGATTTGCATATGTTGAACCAGCCTTGCATCCCAGGGATGAAGCCAACTTCATCATGGTGGATAAGCTTTTTGATGTGCTGCTGGATTTGGTTTGCCACTATTTTATTGAGGATTTTCGCATTGATGTTCATCAGGGATATTGGCCTGAAATTTTCTTTTTTTGTTGTGTCTCTGCCAGGTTTTGGTATCAGGATGATGCTGGCCTCATAAAATGAGTTAGGGAGGAGTCCCTCTTTTTCTGTTGTTTGGAATAGTTTCAGAAGGAATGGTACCAGCTCCTCTTTGTACCTCTGGTAGAATTCGGCTGTGAATCCATCTAGTCCTTGACTTTTTTTGGTTGGTAGGCTGTTAATTACTGTCTCAATTTCAGAACTTGTTATTGGTCTATTCCAGGATTCGATTTCTTCCTGTCTTGGAATTGGGAGGGTGTATGTGTCCAGGAATTTATCCATTTTTTCTAGATTTTCTAGTTTATTTGCGTAGAGGTGTTTATAGTATTCTCTGATGGTAGTCTGTATTTCTTTGGGATCAGTGGTGATATCCCCTATATCATTTTTTATGGCATCTATTTGATTCTTCTTGCTTTTCTCCTTTATTAGTCTGGCTAGCAGTCTATCTGTTTTGTTGATGTTTTCAAAAAACCAGCTCCTGCATTCACTGAGTTTTTGAAGGGTTTTTTGTGTCTCTATTTCCTTCAGTTTTGCTCTGATCTTAGTTATTTCTTGTCTTCTGCTAGCTTTTGAATTTGTTTGCTGTTGCTTCTCTAGTCCTTTTAATTGTGATGTTAGGGTGTCAATTTTAGATCTTTCCTGCTTTGTCTTGTGGGCATTTAGTACTATAAATTCCCCCTAAACACTGCTTTAGCTGTGTCCCAGAGATTCGGGTATGTTGTCTCTTTGTTCTCATTGGTGTCAAAGAATATCTTTATTTCTGCCTTCATTTCGTTATTTACCCAGTAGTCATTCAGGAGCAGGTTGTTCGGTTTCCATGTATTTGTGCAGTGTTGAGTGAGTTTCTTAATCCTGAGTTCTAATTTGGTTGCACTGTGGTCTGAGAGACTGTTTATTTTGATTTCTGTTCTTTTGCATTTGCTGAGTAGTGTTTTACTTGCAATTATATGGTCAATTTTAGAATAAATGTGATGTGGTGCTGAGAAGAATGTATATTCTGTTGATTTGGGGTAGAGAGTTCTGTAGATGTCTATTAGGTCCCCCTGGTCCAGAGCTGAGTTCAACTCCTGAATATCCTTGTTAATTTTCTGTTTCATTGATCTGTCTGATATTGACAGTGGGGTGTCAAACTCACCCACTATTATTGTGTGGGAGTCTAATTCTCTTTGTAGGTGTCTAAGAACTTGTTTTATGAATCTGGGTGTTCCCATATTGGGTGCATATATATTTAGGATAGTTCACTCTTGCTGCATTGATCCCTTTACCATCATGTAATACCCTTCTTTGTCTCTTTTGATCTTTGTTGGTTTAAGATCTGTTTTATCAGAGATTAGGATTGCAACTCCTGCTTTTTTTTGCTTTCCATTTGCTTGGTAAATATTCTTCCATCCCTGTATTTTGAGCCTATGTGTGTCTTTGCACATGAGATGGTTCTCCTGAATACAGCACACTGATGGGTCTTGACTCTTTATCCAATTTGGCAGTCTGTGTCTTTTAATTGGGGCACTTAGCCCGTTTACATTTAAGGTTAATATTTTTATATGTGAATTTGATCCTGTCATGATGTTAGCTGGTTGTTTTGCCCATTAGTTAATGCAGTTTCTTCATAGTGTCAATGTTCTTTACAATTTGGTATGTTTTTGCAGTGGCCGATACCAGTTGTTCCTTTCCATGTGTAGTGCTTCTTTCAGAAGCTCTTGTAAGGCAGGTCTGGTGGTGACAAAAATCCCTCAGCATTTGCTTGTCTGTAAAGGACTTTATTTCTCATTCGCTTATGAAGCTTATTTTGGATGGATATGAAATTCTGGTTTGAAAATTGTTTTCTTTAAGAACATTGAATATTGGCCTTAACTCTCTTCTGGCTTGTAGGGTTTCTCCAGAGAGAGATCTGCTGTTAGTCTGATGGGCTTCCCTTTGCGGGTAACCCAATCTTTCTTACTGCCCTTAACATTTTTTCTTTCATTTCAACCTTGGTGAATCTGATGATTATGTGTCTTGGGGTTGCTCTTCTCAAGGAGTATCTTTGTGGCATTCTCTCTATTTCCTGAATTTGAATGTTGTCCTGTCTTGCTAGGTTGGAGAAGTTCTCCTGGATAATATCCTGAAGAGTGTTTTCCAACTCGGTTCCATTCTCTCCGTCACTTTCAGGTACACCAATCAAATGTAGACTTGGTCTTTTCACATAGTCCCATATTTCTTGGAGGCTTTGTTTTTCCTTTTTATTCTTTTTTCTCTAATCTTGTCTTCTCTGTTTATTTCATTAAGTGGATCTTCAATCAATGATATCTTTTCTTCCGCTTGATCGATTCGGCTATTGATACTTGTGTAGTCTTCGCAAAGTTCTCATGCTGTGTTTTTCAGCTCTGTCAGGTCTTTTATGTTCTTCTCTACATTGGTTATTCTAGTTAGCCATTTGACTGACTCTTTTTCAAGGTTCTTAGCTTCCTTGCATTAGTTTAGAACATGGTCCTTTAGCTCAGAGTTGTTTGTTATTACCCACCTTCTGAAGCCTACTTCTGTCAGTTCGTCAAACTCATTCTCTGTCCAGCTTTGTTCCCTTGCTGGCGAGGAGTTGTCATCCTTTGGAAGAGGAGAGGTATTGTGGTTTTTAGAATTTTCAGCCTTTTTGCACTGTTTTTTCCCCATCTTTGTGGATTTATCTTTCTTTGATCTTTGATGTTGGTAACCTTTGGATGGGGTCTTTGAGTGGATGTGCTAATCCTTTCTGTTTGTTTCTTTTCCTTCTGACAGTCAGGCCCCTCTTCTGCAGGTGTGTTGGAGTTTGCTGGAGGTCCACTCCTGACCCTGTTTGCTTGGGTATCAGCAGTAGAGGCTGCAGAGCAGCAAAGATTGCTGCCTGTTCTTTCCTCTGGAAGCTTCGACCCAGTGGGGCACCTGCCAGATGCCAGCCAGAACTCTCCTGTATGAGGTGTCTGTTGGCCCCAACTGGGAGATATTGACAGGTGAAGCCAGCTGGGCTTCTGGGTTGGGTGGGGACTTGGAGAACTTCTCTGTCTAGCTAAAGGATTGTAAACACACCAATCAGTGCTCTGTGTCTAGCTAAAGGTTTGTAAATGCACCAATCAGCACTCTGTAAAAACGGACCAGTCAGCACTCTGTAAAATGGACCAATCAGCGCTCTGTAAAATGGACTAATTATCAGGACGTGGGCGGGGCCAAATAAGGGAATAAAAGCTGGCCATCTGAGCCAGCAGGGGCAACCTGCTCAGGTCCCTTTCCATACTGTGGAAGCTGTGTTCTTTTGCTCTTCACAATAAATCTTGCTGCTGCTCACTCTTTGGGTCCGCACTACCTTTGTGAGCTGTAACACTCACTGCGAAGGTCTACGGCTTCACTCCTGAAGTCAGCAAGACCACGAACCACTGGGAGGAACAGACGACTCTGGATGCGCCACCTTTAAGAGCTGTAATACTCACTGCAAAGGTCTGCGGCTTCACTCCTGAAGTCAGCAAGACCACGAACCCACTGGAAGGAAGAAACTCTGGACACATCTGAACATCTGAAGGAACAAACTCTGGACACACCATCTTTAAGAACTGTAACACTCACCGCGAGGGTCCGCAGCTTCATTCGTGAAGTCAGCGAGACCAAGAACCCACTAGAAGGAACCAATTCCGGACACAGTATCTCCTAGTCAGTATACATGGGAGTCAGGGACCCATTTGAGGAGGCAGACTGACCCTTAGCAGACCTGGAATGCTGTGCTGGGAGGTCCGCTGCTCTCTTTAGAGCTGTCAGACAGGGATGTTTAAGTCTGCTATAAGCCCCTGACTGGGGCTGCTGCCTTTTTTATAGAGATGCCCTTTCCAGAGAGGAGCAATCTGGCAGTCTGGCCACAGCAGTTTTGCTGAGCTGCAGTGGGCTCTGCCCAGTTCGAACTTCCCAGCAGCTTTGTTTACACTGTGGCCGTGAAACTGCCTACTCAAGCCTCAGCAATGGCGGACGCCCTTCCCCCACCAACCTTGACTGTCCCAGGTGGATCTCAGATTGCTGCTGTGCTGGCAGCCAGAATTTAAAGCCAGTAGATCTTGGTTTCTTGGGCTCAGTGGGGGTGGGACCTGCTGAGCCAGACCACTTGGCTTCATGGCTTCTCTCTGGCTTGTGTTCTGGGCGCCAGTAGGGTATGGAAAAAAAAAAAGCTCCTGCAGCTAGTTCGGTGTCTGCCCAATTGGCTGCCCAGTTTTGTGCTTGAAACCCAGGGCCCTGGTGGGGTAGGCACTGGAGGGAATCTCCTGGTTTGCGGGATGTAAAGACCGTGGGACAAGCACAGTATCTGTGCTGGAGTTCCTCAGACTCAGTCCTTCATGGCTTCCCTTAGGTAGGGGAGAAAATTCCCCCACCCCTTGTGCTTCCAGGTGAGGCGGTGCCCCACCCTGCTTCGGCTAGCCCTCTGTGGGCTGCACCCACTGTTCAGCGAGTCCCAATGAGATGAACCGGGTACTTCAGTTGGAAATGCAGAAATCACTCACCTTCTCTGTTGATCTTGCTGAGCTGCAGACCAGTGCTGTTCCCTTTCGGCCATCTTGAATCTCAGTAGTGCCACAATTATTGAGTTTCGTGTTAACAAATAAATTGTATTGAGTAGGCCAGTTTACAAATTCTGAATCCATGAATAAGGACTATCTCTAAAAGATAAGGGGTGTTTTAACAGAACCATCGTATCATCATCATGCTTTGAATTCTATAATTATTCTCTATTATAATTAAATATCTAGTCCGTTTTCACATTTCTCGGATTGTCTAATACCTTTTTTAAAAAAGGTTGGTTTGTTCCTAGGAGGATCAAACATGGATAGTCTACCTGCTGAATATATAGGTTCATTTTTTTCCTCTTCCATCTTTCTCTTACTCTTTTTTTCCTTGCAATTTATTTTTGGAATAAATTGGGTTATTTATTCTGTAGAGTTTCCCCAAATCTGACTTATTGTAGTACTCTGTACCCTATAGTTGCCATAAATAGGATCTTATTCAGATTCATTTTTGATATTTTGGCAAAAATAATCTTTTTAGATGTTACTATTTACAAGGCTTACTGTGGAGATTTTACAGGTTCAGTTCCAGACCACTGCAATAAAGCAAATATTGCAATAAAGCAAATATTACAATAAAGCAAGTCACACAAATTTTTTAGTTTCCCATTGCATATAAAAGTTATATTCAGAATGATTTATAATTGAAATAATAAAATAGAATTGAAAGCACTCTATATTAGCTAGCCTATGGACTTAATCCTTTGGGAAGCAATGTAATTGTGTAAAGTAGCAATTAATGTTGCTAGGTACAAAGTTGTATTTAAATTTGTAATTATGTAGAATTGATATCACACTATGTAGAAAGATACTGGAGGCTGAAGTGGACGCCACAACAAATAATGTTAGTGATAACACTGTCTACTGTCTCCTCGATAGAAAATAAAGAACGGAAGGAGAATGCAGCAAAACACATTGGGGTCTTGGTTGAGTGTTAGTGTTGTTCATTGAGCAACTTCAGCCAGCATGTTTTGAGAAGACTCTTTTTCTGATACCATTTGGCCTGAATCCCCATTCTTCAGTCATAGTGTCATGACTTACCATGTTTCAAAACCATAGCATAATATATTTGCTGATAACAATCAATACGTACCAAATATTAGTAATGATTTATCTTTTTCCATTAGAGAGGTTTCAGGATTATCCTTTGCTAATACCATTACTTTTTACTAAAATTTCTTGTGCTTTCCTGAGTGAGAAGATGTCTGAAGAATGAGAAGGTTGAAGCAAGGTGAAGGTAGAGAAAGGGGGTGGGGTAAGAGGAAGAAAGAAGAGAAAAGAGCATTTCCTCAATGTGAAAGTTAATTTTAATTATCAATTTGACTGGGCCATCAGATGCCCAGATATTTGGATTAACGTTAGTTTTGGATGTGTTTGTGACAGTGCTTCTGGAAGAGATTAGCGTTTGAATTGATGAACTGAGTAAAGCAGACTGCCCTCTCCAATGTTGGTGGCCATCATCCGGTCATTTGAGGCCTGAATAGAACATGAAGGCTGAGGAAAGTTGAATTTGCTCTCTGCTATGATAATATGTCTTTGCCAAGCATGCCAGACATGTATGTCATATTTTTTACTTAGTACTTATTTGTGAATAAGTATAAGAAAATGATCGCTTATCAGTAGTGCATAAATTTAGATTCAGGAAGGATAGTGATGCAAAGCAACCACAGGTTGTCCACATGGGTAGCTGAGATAGTGACACCTTTGCTTTCTGAGGGATCAGTGTTCACAAACATTGTTTTAAGCACAAAATCATTAAAAAATATTAATTAAAACTACCTTCAGGCTATGTATGTAAGATATATGTTAAACAGAAATCAATTTTGTGTTTAGGCTTGGTTCCCATTGCCAAGATAGCTCATTTATGTATATGAAAATATTCTGAAATCCAAAATTTGAAACACTTCTGATCCCAACCATGTCAGATAAGGGATACCCAACCTGTATCTTTTCTGTCTATTGAGATGATCATGTGATTTTTGTTTTGTATTCTATTGATGTGATGTAGTACATAAATTGATTTTCATATGTTAACTCAACCTTGCATCTGTAGGATAAATTCTTGGTCATGGTATATAATTTTTTTATATGTTCCCGAATTTGGCTTGCTGGTATGTTGCTGAGGACTTTTACATACCTATTTATAAGAGGTACTATAGTTTTCTTTTCTTGTAATGTCTTTGCTTTTTATATGAGGATAATAGCCTTGTAAAATGATTTGGGAAGTGTTTCCTTAAATTTTATGAAGAATTTTTGAAGAATTGGTATTAATTCTTTTTTAAATATTTGGTAGAATTCAGTAGTAAATCCATTCAGGTCTAGGCTTTTCTTTGTGGGTAATTTTATAGTTATGAGTTCATTTTCTTTGCTTGTTATAGGTTGATTCAGATTTTCTATTTTTTCTTGAGTCAGTTTTGGTAGTTTGTGTCTAAGAATTTTCACATTTCTTCTAGGTTATCTAATTTGCTGGGTATAGTTGTTCATAGTATTCCTTACATTTTTATAGTTTTTTAAAGATTGGTAATATCCCCCCCTTTTATTTCTGATTCTCGTAATTTTAGGCTTCTCTTTATCATGATCAGTCTAGCTAAAGGTTTGTCAATTTTGTTGATCTTTTTGAAGAACCAGCTTTTGGCTGTATTGTTCTTTCTCTTCTGTTTTTCTTTTCTCTATTGTATTAATTTCTCCACTAATTTTTATTATTTCCTTCATTCTGCTTGCTTTAGGTTTAGTTTGCTTTTATTTTTATTGACTTGAGACTTTTCCACTTCCTTGATATAGGCATTTATAGTTATATCCTTCCATCTTAGCACTGCTTTAGCTGCATTTCGTAAGTTGTTATATTTTGTTTTTATTTTCGCTAATCTCAGAGTGATGTCCTCTTTGACCTGTTGCTTATTTAGAAGTGTGTTGTTTAATTTCCACTTATTTGTGAGCTTCTCAGTTTTCCAATTTTGATTCTGATTTCCAATTTTGTTCCATTGCATTAAAATTTTTTGACATTTGTTTTATGGCCAAGCATATGGTCTATCCTGACTAGAACTTCTAAGCTTGAACTTCTCTACACTGTGTTGCAAATAAAGTCAGTTTCTTTGGAAAGAGATTAGGCCTTGTTTTACATACTGCTTTTCCTTTCAAGCAAAGTCTCTGAGTCAGGCCTCTGGAGCTGAGGATGTGAACAATATTATGCTTCTCTTTGAGTGACCCCCCAACTCTAGGAGCTGATTGCTTAGTGGAAGGGAGGCAGCAGCCTAAGGTTCTCTTGGCTTGCCTCTCCTGGCATGACACCCGTGCATCACAAGCTGGGGTCTCAATATGCTGCACCCAAAGTAGAGCCTATATTCCATAATTTGGAGCTGGACAGAAGAAAGGAGTACCCACTGCTCAATTGCACTTGCGTTGGACTTAGCCTCAGCAGCAGTTAGCTGGGGACAGGATGAGAATTGCTGATATCCTGTTCTTCCCGGGAAGAAAACCCTCCAACTGGGAACAGGAGGAAGAGGGAGCCCTGTGTTCTTGGCTGCAGCTGTCTGGAATGGAGACTACACCGTGTTGAGCTGGAAAGGTGGAAGGAGGCAGTGGTTTTGGTTTAGATACCACAAACATTGCCTTTCATACTGATTGATAGATTTTCTTGGATAGATGTTTCTTCATTTGCTGTTTGATCTTAGGACCATTTTTAGAGGCTTTAGGTGATTGTTAATAATTTTCACCAGTTTCACTGGAGAGTGGGTCAGGAGAGCTCTTCAATCATCATCTCTCAATGTTTGTTGTTTTAAAACTGCTCAATTTTGGGGTAATTTGTTATACTTCAATAGATAAATACTGGATCAAAAGATACAATGGCAATTGTGATAGAGATTGTGAATTCACTGACTTTAGAAGTTGTACCAACTTACACTTCCACCAGAAAATATAAGAAGGTGCTTATTTTTTCTACATTCCTGGCCATCATATTGTTTTTAAACTTTTTAATTTTTTTATCTGAAATGTAAAAAATGATATCCTGAAGTAGTTTTCACTTGCATTTCTCTTATTATTTGTAAGTGAACTCTAAGGGCCATTTTATATCGTTTTCTATGGGATTTTTCTTTTATATATCTTTGTATATCCATTGTCGTGCCATGTCTAATTCATGTCCTATGGTGCCCTTCAAACTCACTATATTATGTAAAGAACTTATTGGCTTCTTCTTTTAGTTATTTTACTACCTAACTTTCTCACTATCACAGGCATGACATTTTCTTCCCTTTCTTTAAATTTCACATCTTGAGGGTAATCTTTGATACCTTTTGGACTCTTTGAACAGAAAATCAATGCCCAAGTTCAGTCACTTCCTCTTTTGCAGTGTCACTCAAATTTAGTAATTCCTCTGTGTCCTTAACTTTCAAATCCTCTATCTTGGTTCTCAGTAGCTCAGCTCTGAACATCTTATTGATTTCTTTTCCAAATATCAGTTCTGTTTTACATCTTTACTTTGAGACAAAGGAAGATATAAGCCACCAAAGAAAATAATTTGTAAAATTCAAGTTAAAGGTAGCCAATGAAAATTCTAGGACTTTCTTAATGAATATCTGGAGGAAAAATGTAACCTTTAAGCTTGGATGCCTAGAGGATACCTCATGTTGCAAAGTAACCTGACTGTGAGATTTAGACATGCATGGCCATCATTAAAACAGATATTTCCACCACATTTACCCATTCATCAGGTATCAATTGAATGTCATTTGATTGTCAGACCCTCTGAAAAAGTTAGAGAAAGAGATAGCTCTGCATTTAGCTATTAAAGAATACTCTCTAATAGGAAAGACATTTGTAGAAAGAGACAATTTATAATAAGAATTTGATAAATACTATAATGATATTCATATTAATGTAATTATTTGATCTCTGGAAAAAGTTAAAAAAGTTCTCACTCTCACTAATTCTAAGTAATTAGAAGTTTATGTTGTTGAAAGTCAAATTTTGATTTCCTTAGTAGAATAATATCATACTAGAAAATATTTTTATAGTATGATTTTATTCTTATAAATTTGTAGAAAATATTATTTTCTATGATATGTAGATATTTAAGTTTACCTGTCACTTTATGAGTTTGTTATAAATTACTACTGGAAAAAGGACATTTTGAATATATCATTTGTTTATTAGCTCTACAAATCTAATTTCCTTGCTATTATATATAAACTCTCACTTTAGATTATTGGTATCATAAGAGTACAACCACTGTATTTTGTCTTTAAATGCATAAGGAAACATAATCTCAGGAAGCAGGAGTAATAAACATTGAAGAAACAGTAACATGGAGTTTCATAGAAATATAAATACATTAGGAGCCATAAGAGCTTGAATTGTTCAACTTTTCTTTGAATAACTACAAATGTGTGCCAAACTCCAGTATCTTTGCCTTAGACACAAATTTCATCCTGGCTTTAAAAATTAGTATTAGTAATACGTTATTTTTTCCATAAAGAACTTTGAGTTTGGAGTAAAGCAAGAACAACTGCTATTATTTGCCTGCTAAAATTATATTGTGAATAATTTTGTAGACTTATCCAACAATGTGCTGTCCTGCATTTTGTGTAACTCTAGGTACTGCAGCTTGTAATCCACCTACTGTTACAAATAATCTCAGGAAGTGAATTACTGTGTTTCTTTGCTGCTGCAGATCCATCCAGAGTTGAGCTATTAATCTGTTTCCTCCAGTCCTTTTTTTTTCATTACATTTGCTTCTATGGTTAATCTTTTTTGTGTTACTTTCTGTTTTTTCTTTTCCATCAATAGTTATTTGACATCTATTTGTCTTAGGGCAGTGATCTCAGTATGGTCTGTCTGAAGACCTGTGCTAGTAAGGAGAATGTGCCAGAATGTATAGCAACCTCGTGCCCTCTTCACTGAGAAAGCTTTGATACTTGTCTTTCTTTATTTCTTTTTTCTTTTTTTTTTGAGACAGAGTCTCGCTCTGTCACTGAGGCTGGAGTGCAGTGGCGCGATCTCAGCTCACTGCAAGCTCCACCTGCCGTGTTCACGCCATTCTCCTGCCTCAGCCTCCTGAGTAACTGGGACTACAGACACCCACCACCGTGCCCAGCTAATTTTTTGTATTTTTAGTAGAGACAGGGTCTCACTGTGTTAGGCAGGGTGGTCTCCATCTCCTGACCTCATGATCTGCCCGCCTCGGCCTCCCAAAGTGCTGGGATTACAGGCGTGAGCCACCGCACCCAGCCTCGTCTTGCTTTCTTTTATGGCCAACTAGTAACAACCAATTCACAGTCCTGCATTTTGAATAGCATTGCCTTAAGTTCCTATACTTTGTTACACACTACCTTCACTAGAGATACACTAAGCTTTGTTGGTAGAAGAGAATACAGTATGAAGAGAACTGGAATAGTGGTCTTCAGGGAATCACCAAATGCTCTTGAGGACCTCATTAAACATATAGGTGGTATAATTAATTATTTTTCCATCTGGATGTTTCCTTGAGTTGTTGCATTTGCTTTACTTTTATTGCACCTGAGGATGGAGGGAGGGAAGTGGTTTGGTGGGCAGGAGAGTGCACAGACTATGGGGCGTAGAACAGTTACCATAAAGTCAGTCAATAGAAACATTTCTAACTGGGCAGGGTGAAGCTCTTTTTCATTTTGGTTTCAATGGATGGAGTGACTTCTCACATTAATTACTGATTTGGAATTAGATTGGAGGATGTTAACTGTATTTTTAGGCAGACTTCTGGTTTTGATGAGGTATTAGTCTGTTCTCACACTGCTAATAAAGATGTACCTGAGACTGGGTAATTTATAAAGGAAAAGAGGTGTAATTGATTCACAATTCCACATGGCTTGGGAGACCTCACAGTCATGGCAGAAGGTGAACGAGGAGCAAAGTCACATCTTACATTGTGGTAGACAAAAGAGCATGTACAGTGGAACTCGCTTTTATAAAACCATCAGGTCTTGTGAGACTTGTTCACTATCATAAGAATGGGGTTGAGGGGCTAAGATTCCTCCCTGTGATTGAGTTACCCCCCAGCTGGGTCCCTCCCACCACATGTGGGGATTATGGGAGCTGCAATTCAAGATGAGATTTGGGTGGGGACACAGCCAAACCATATTAGATGATATATGAATCTACTAATGCATTGTTTTATTGTTATGATAATTATGCTCTTCCCCCCATTTTTAGAAATTTTTCTAGAAATAAGAGTATAACAAAGTACAAGTTGATACTGTGTTTTTGTGATTCATTAGATATCATTGGCAAATCATGCATAGATAGATTCTGCTTATTCAGTAATCTCTTGAATATTGATTTAACAGCATTTATATTTCATTGTAATTATTTCTGTGTGTCAGTTTGTTGCCTTTTCCATTGAACAGTGGGAGGACCATATTGTGCATATTTTCCACAGTGCTTATTACAGTCGCTGGCACAAAGGCACTGAATAAATGAATGAATAACTGAACAAGCAAATGCATGATATTATAATACAAGGTAGTGGAAACTAGTATCTTGAAGATAAGAATAAATAAGTGTATTTGCATATTGAAAAACATTGATCTGGCTGGGCACAGTGACTCATGCCTGTAATCCCAGCACTTTGGGCGGCTGAGGCATGTGGATTGCTTGAGCTCAGGAGTTCAAGACCAGCCTGGCCAACACAGTGAAACCCTGTCTCTACAAAAATTAGTTGGGTGTGGTGGTGCACATCTATAGTTTCAGCTACTTGGGAGGCTGAGGTGGGAGGATAGCTTGAGCCCAGGAAGTGTAGGTTGCAGTGAGCTGAATTCATGCCACTGCACTCCAGCCTGGGCAACAGAGCAAGACTCTGCCTGAAAAAAAAAATGGCCAGAAGCAGTGGCTCACCCCTGTAATCCCAGAACTTTGGAAGGCTGAGGCCGGCGGATCACTTGAGGCCAGGAGTTCAAGACCAGCCTGTCCAACATGGCGAAAACCCATCTCTACTAAAAATACAAAAATTAAACTGGCATGGTGTCGCGTGCCTGTAATCCTAGCTCCTCAGGAGGCTGAGGCAGGAGAATCACTTGAACCCGAAAGGCAGAGGTTGCAGTGAGCCAAGATTGCCTGACTGCACTCCAGCCTGGGCAGCAGAGTGAGACTCTGTCTCAAAAAAAAAAAAAAAAAAAGTTGATCTATTGAAATGATCTTTCATTCTTTCAAAAAAAAAAAAAAACCATTTGTTAGCTTTAATCGAATATGTATAAGACCAAGTCCGGATTTAACATCAAATCTATAGAACTCCTTATTTTTATGTTTTTTTTTTTTTTTTTTTTTTTTTGAGGTGGAGTCTAGCTTTGTTGCCCAGGCTGGAGTGGAGTGACGCTACCTCGGCTCACTGTGACCTCTGCCTCCCTGGTTCGGCCTCCCGAGTAGCTGGGATTACAGGCGTGCTCCACAACAGCCAGCTAATTTTTGTATTTTTTGTAGAGACAGGGTTTCACTATGTTGGCCAGGCTCGTCTCGAATTCCTGACCTCAGGTGATCTGCCTGCCTTAGCCTCCCAAAGTGCTGGGATTACTGGTGTGAGCCACTGTGCCCAGCCAAGAACTCCTTATTTTTATGTAAGACTTTAACCTCTCTACTAGAATAAAAGTCCAGATTCTTAGAACATTTTTCTTTTTTTTTCTTTCTTTCTTTTTTTTTTTTTTTGAGACAGAGTCTCACTCTGTCGCCCAGGCTCAAGTGCAGTGGTGCAATCTTGGCTCACTGCGACCTCTGCCACCCGAGTTCAAGTGATTCTCCTGCCTCAGCCTCCCAAGTAGCTGGTATTACAGGTGCCTGCCATGATGCCCGGCTAATTTTTTTTTGTATTTTTAGTAGAGATGGGGTTTCACCATGTTGGCCAGGCTGGTCTTGAACTCCTGACCTCGTGATCCATCCTCCTTGGCCTCCCAAAGTGCTGGGATTACAGGCGTGACCCATTGCGCCCGGCCTCTTAGAACATTTTCCTAAGTGACTTTTCTTAAAATAATTAATTTCAACCTTTGATCCCATGTATTGAGAGAATACCACATTTTTTTTCATGTGAAGTGAAAATTTGAAACTATGACAGTAGGAATTTAGGTTAAATGTGATGGGTTAAGCATAAGTATTTATCTTTACCTCCTCCCCAAATCCCACTAAAATGACTAGTAGAGTTTTAAAAGTGTAGAAGCACCTAAAGAGAAGTAGAGAAAAGGTGACAGTGGATGACAGATGTTAGTAAATTCTAGAATGATGTAAGGTGAATTGATAAGTGGTAACTGACTTAGCAGAATGGGGAAAGTTGAAATACATAGAATGTAGAAATTTCTAGTAATAGGTTACATCAGTAATCTGTGATGGTTGGAGTGAAGGATGAGGCTACAAAATGGGAAAATTGAATTAAAGTCTATATAAGGAGCATGTAGACTCTCTGGTCCTCCTCTCATTAAGGCAGGAGGCAGGAAGTTTATTTCCTTGAAAAATTGAAATAAGTATCTTCTGGACTTAGGGACCTCAGGCATATCAAGGTACAGGATTAGCTATTATGAAAACTGGGGGAATAAGTGAATGCCTATTCTACTGAACAGTGGGACACTAACTGAATTATTCAGCCTCAGAGTTGCTGGAAGCAGAGTCCTGATCTATCCAGTCATAAGACAAAATAATTCTTCTCTGGAGAAACTAAGCATCCCTAGAGAAACAACAGAGACACACTGACAGGTCCTAACAAAATGACACTTCCCCCACACTGTTAACTATAGAGACCTTTGGGCAAGCCCTCCACCCCCATCCTAGGTCAAGTAAAACTATCCAACATCATTTTTAGTTCCTCATTCTTAAATATGAATGTGAAACAAATGATCATAAGACATTTGAGTAAAACTTTTAATATGAAGGATAAGAAACCAGAAGTAACAGAAAAATGGAGTTCAGAGAAGACAGAGATATGCTGAATAAAACAAAGGAAAAAACTCCTATGATTAATATTGTAAGACATGTAAGGGAAAATTTGGTGGATGTGAAACATGAACAGGTGACAAAAAAAGAGAAAGAGTACTTGGAAATTAAATAAATATAACAATAAATGATTGTCAAAATAAAAAATTAACTAGAGGGGCTAGAAGACGAGGTTGAATAAATATTCCAAAGATTATAACAGAGACAAAGGAGTAGTAAATAGGAGCAAAAGGAAAAGAATAAGAATCAATATAGGTGCTATAACAGTCATTAATAGGAATTTCAGTAGCAGAGAACAGAGAAAAATGGACATTTTAAAGGAAGTAATTCAAGAAAATTTTCAAATTCAGGCTCAGGAGTTTAGGATTGAAAGCATCCATTGATTGTCCAGCACAAAGAACTATTGCAAGGCACATTATTATGCAATTTTAGAATGTTGGAGATAGTGAGATCATGAAACCTCTTAGAGGGGAAAAAATACAGCCACATACATAGAGTTAATAATTAGAATAACAGTGATTGTCTCAATTGCTAGAAGCTGGAAGACATGGAGCAATGCTTTTGTAATTCTGGGAGATAAATTGTTTTCAACCTAAAATTCTATAACCAGCCAGATATTAATCAAGTTTAAAGTAATAATAAAGACGTTTTCTGTAACACATGGTCTCACATCTCCCATTACATATTCTTAGGAGGCCACCGGAAGATGTGTACCACCAAAACGAAGAATATACCAAAAAAGATAAAAAGTTGGGATTGAGAAAATGTGAGATCCAACACATGAATAATATAAAGATATTCCAAGGTGAAGATGAAAGAAGATTGAGAAGACTTGGTAGCAGTAGTTCTCAATGAAGCAGGACTACAGCAGTTCTTTAAGAAGGATGACTCTGAAAAAATTAGCAGTGATAGATTGTAATGTTTTTGAGAAAGATATTTCATACTTTTTGAGAATTTTAGAAAGGATTAGTGATAAGTAAACAGAAAACTGCACAAATAAAAGTGACATAATTTTTGTTTTTTAAAAAAGGTAAAAGAGCTTTATTAACATTTCTCTCCATTACATTAATTAACACAACTACTAAATCATCACTTACTTGCAGGATTCCAAATGTGATGCCATATTGATTGTAAGGGGTATGTGTAAGTTTCTTGAGAGTTCCTACTCTAGATGAGTTCACTTTAAAAAAATTCTTTTCAATATCCTGTTCTTTCTCATCTCTCAGTTTTGCCTCTTATCTTTCACATGAGGAATGAGAAAAGCTGTCTATACTGATTTTCTTTTGAGATCCACACACAATTCAAGGACCAAAAGGTCAGCATAAATTTATGCTTCTCTTAGCAAGCATGTGTTTAATGTCAGAAGGAAGGGAAGGTGCATAGGCTGTTAAGGCCTGATAGAACCTAAAAGGCAGAATATACCAAAGGTATTTGTAGGGGCACTAGAATGCAAGCAAGACATTTTCTGCTCTGATGTTAACAGTTGTCAGTAAGTGAAAAATTCTACAATGAGGTATAGCATGTGTATCTTCACGGTGAGATTAATGCAGTCAGCTAAACAGTGAGGTTGTTAATAACAGAGTGATGCAATTTTTAACTGTTCAGAAAAAACAAAAAGTTATATATGAAAGGAAGTGTCATCATAGTACACCGTGTTGCTTAGCTGTGAACCATACATAATAAGTATTATGTTAAAAAACTAGACTAAAAATCAGGATTTACACCTGCCATGTAAACACTGGTCAGACGGCACAGCCCCCAGAAGTGCTGGGGTAGTGTACCCTGAGGAAAACTCACAGAGAGGGGCTCCCTGGCAAGTGTGTAGGTACTCCATTGTCCTCTTCCTTCTGGGGCAGTATAAAGCAGTCTGACAAGATTACACATGTCAGACTCTGGGAAAATTACCCCGTCACTTCTGGTATGATGAGAGACTGGGAGACACATTATAAAATGTATATAATAGTTTTTGCTATTCAAATATGTTTATTTCCTGAGTGTGACTAGTAAAAAGTTAGATAATAAGGCATGTTGAGTTATTGGAATCCTCTTTTGATTCTATGTGTTGGTTAGCAGATAGCAAATATTATAATAGCAAGGGATACTAGCCCTCTCAAACACACAAAAGAAAATCTGTCTAAATGTGTTTAGATCCAAGCGCTATCAATGTTGGGAGGAAATGGGTAAGAAGGAAAAAGATTATGTTCCTGTCTTTCTTGATGTTAGTTAGCAAAGAAAGTAAAAAAAGAAAAAAGTTATATCCCCAAATTTAAGAAATAAGTAATATATGACCTAATGAATACATTTATGGATGGTACTTGGGACTGCTTTTTTGGTGGTGGTGGTTGTTTTTTGGTTATGTCTTAATAACTGTGTTTAAGTTGAAAAAATAACATGTAACTTGGATGATATTAAGAATTAAATAAAAATATGTGACTGTTCATGCTGATTCTGTATGTGATCTTCGATTAATTTGACAGTTGCATATAAGTTAGCATAGCAGATTTTTAGGCTATTTATTATTTTGAAACTCTTAAGTTTACTTGTTGAATAAATGTCCTGTATAGCAACATTTATTAACCACAGGTATCTATTTATTTTGTTATACTTTATATACCATTTATGATAAAGACCTTTTTTTTCAGTTTTGGTTTATTTGAAACCATAGATGGCTCTATTGAATAAGGATTATGAATAAGAGTGGGTTATAGTAGAGTAGGTGATGAATTGTGAAGTTTTGTGTTGGATCTAGTGAAGGTGATAGTTTTACCGAAAGACCAGGTCAGCAACAAATTACAGGGGCAGGAGTTATGGAAAGTTTGTTCACTGCCGTAGTCTGGCATCCATTTTTTACCTTTTATTTGAATAGATTTAGAGTCTTTTTATTTTTTAAGTGACCGCATCTTGCTTTGTCACCCAGGATAGAGTATAGTGGTGTGATCATAGCTCACTGCAGCCTCGAATCTCTGGGCTCAACTGATTCTCCTGCCTCAGCCTCCCAAGTAGCTAGGACTACAGGTGTGCACCCAACATGTTTGTCTAATTTTTTAAAAATTTTGTACACATGGGGTCTTGCTGTTTTGCCAGGCTGTTCTTGAACTCCTGGGTTCAAGCATCCTCTTGCCTCAGCCTTAGAAAGTGCTGGGGTTACAGGTCTGAGCCACCACACTTGGCCTTAGAATCTTGAGTAATCCTAAACCTGATAGAACATAATGACAGCCTTGTGAATATTAGGGGTCTCTTTTGATTGCTCCAGATATCCTTGGTACATTCCTTTGAATTGTTGAATATGGTTCTCACTCTAGTTCTATGAATTGAAATCAAATATTAAACTGGAGATTATAAAATCTTTGACAAGACCGATGTCAAGGAGCTTTTCCCTATTGTTTTTTCTAGTTTTGTGATTTCAAGTCTTAGGATTAAGCCTTTAATCCATTTTGAGTTGATTTTTGTGTATGGCATAAGATAAGGGTCCAATTTTATTCTTCCACATGTAGCTATCTAGTTTTCTCGGTACCATTTATTGAAGAGACTTTCCTTTGCACATTGTGTATTCTTGGCACCTTTGTTGAAAGCTAGTTGACCATTTGTGTATGGATTTTTTTCAGATTCTCTATTCTGTTCAATTGGTCTGTTTATCTGTGTTTATGCCAGTACCGTGCTGTTTTGATTACTATAGCTTTGTAATCTGATTTGAAATCAGGAAGTGTGATGCTTCAGCTTTGTTCTTATTGCTGAAGATTGCTTTAGCTAGTCATGATCTTTTGCAGTTCCATATGAATTTTATGACTTTTTTTCACTTGTATGAAAAATGCCATTGGAATTTTGATAGGGTTTACATTGAATCTGTAGATTGTTTTGGGTAATATGTATATTTTAGCAATAACCATCCTTCGAATCCATGAGCTATTTTTCCAGTTATTTGTGTCTTTAATTTCTTTCATCAATGTTTTATAGTTTTCAGTTATAGATCTTTCATGTAGTTGGTTAGATGTATTTCTAAGTATTTATTTTTGATTCTGTTGTTAATGGGATTGTTTTATTAATTTCTTTTTCAGAGAGTATGTTTTAGTGTTATAGAAACACAACTGATTTTCATATGCTGATTTTGTATTCTGAAACTTAACTAAATTTGTTTACTAGTTTCTAACAGTTTTTTGTTTTGGAAGGAGTCTTTAATTTTCTTTATATAAGATTGTGTTGTATAAAGACAGTGGCAGTTTTACTTCTTCCTTTCTAATTTGGATGGCCTTTCTTTCTTTTTCTTGCTTAATTGCTTTGGGTAGGACTTCCAGTAGTATATTGAATAAAAGTGGCAAGAGTGGGTTCTCCTGATGGTGTTCCCTAAGTACTGTAGTCTTTCTTTACTTTTACATTCCTTTTTACATTCTTTCTGTTCCTCTAACTGGGTAATTTCAAATTATCTGTTTTTCAGTTCACAGATTCTTCTGCTTGATTAAATCTGATGTTGACACTATTTCATTTTGCATTTCATTGTTATATTCCTCAGCTTCGGAATTTGTTTCTTTTTAATGATTTTTATCTGTCTGTTTTCATTCTTTTGTTCATGTATTGTTTTCTTTATATATCATTTAATCATCCATCTGTGTTCTCTTGTAGCTCGGTGGGCTTCCTTGAAACAATTAGACTCATTTTCCTCATTACAATGTTTTGGTCAATGATGGACTATATATCTGATGGTAGTCCCATAAGATTATAATACCGTATTTTTACTGTACTTTTTCTATGTTTAGATATGTTTACATGCACAAATACTTACCATTGTGTTACAGTTGCCTATAGTATTCAGTACAGTAACATGCTGTACAGGTTTGTAGCTTGAGAGTTATAGACTGTACCATATAGCCTAGGTGTGTAGTAGTCTATATCATTTAGGTTTATGTGAGTACACTCTGTGACGTTTGCACAAGGACAGAATCACCTAATGATGCATTTCTTGGAATGAATCCTTGTTGTTAAGTTACACGTGACTGTATTTTGAATGCTTTGACAATTCAAATATCTGCACATCTTTGGGATTGGTTACTGGAAAATTGTCATTTTGTTTTTTGGTGGCATTTTGTTTTTTGGTGGCATCTTGTTTTTGGTTTTTTTGTGTTTGTTGCCTTGCATTGATATCTGTGCATTTATTGGAGCAGTCACTTCTAGACTTTACACATTGATTTCAGTGGCCAAAGACTTTCACCTACAGATGGGTACAAGAGTGCTGGCTGGATGAGGTGCCATGGTTCCAAGCTTTGGTGAGGATACAGTGGTATAGTCTCCATGCAGTTTTGTCAGCTGAAGTCAGTATCTGCTAAGATTGTAGGAGTCCTCAGCAGCCAAGGCTGCGTGTGTTACAAGGTGTCTGCAGGGGGAGCGAGGGCTTTTGGGTTCTTTGATGGCCAGGGCTGCTGAGGTCTTCCTGATCTCTTTTTCTCTTGTGCAGGAAGTTGTGGTTGAGGGTATCCCTCTTGGTGCTGGGTCTAGCTTAGCACAGTGCCTATGGAGTGGCCATGGAGCTGATGTTTGGAGCTCAGGCATGTGTGGAGGGAGGGATGGTGACTCCAGGGTCTGGGGTAGCAGTGGTTCTAGTATCCAGGGCACAGGCACCCCCACCGGTTTGGTAATGGTATGTACAGTATGGGTGCTCGTGGAATAGCTAGGGAGCCAGGGTCCAAAGTGTGGTTATGTGCAAAGTTATAGGTAGCTCCAGGGTCCAGGACATTGTTACTCTCCCTGTGGTGGTGGCTTCAGTGTCCTAGGTGCAAGCACATTAGAGTA
Source organism: Homo sapiens (assembly GCF_000001405.40). Taxonomy (NCBI): domain Eukaryota; kingdom Metazoa; phylum Chordata; class Mammalia; order Primates; family Hominidae; genus Homo; species Homo sapiens. The sequence goes on from NC_000009.12 coordinate 17,171,907, forward strand.
GCCATGGAGCCAGGGTCCATAGTGCAGTTGTGTGCAGAGTGAACAGTGGCTTTAAGATCTGGGCACAGGCTAGCCTGCTGTGTTGGTGGCTTCAATGTTTGAGGCATGGATACTCATGGATCGGCCATTGAGCTGGGGTTTGGAGTGCAGGTGAATAGTGCAGCTGTAGTTCTGGGATCTGTTGCATATGTGAGGTTGCGGCGGGTGGCAGCTTCTTCTAGGGGGTGGTTATGGCTACTGTTTATCTCAGTGGTGAAAGCTGCTGGTGTCCTCTGAGGAGCAGGTTGCTGGAGTTTGTACCTATGAACACTAAGGAGACAAAATGCAGAGAGTCTGTGACTGCTTTTGGGACTGTTAAGCTCCTTAGCAGTAATGGCTGCAAGAGTAATCTGCAGAGTAGGCTGTTGGGGACCATGGTAGCACCTGCTGTGTAGCTGATACTGATTTTCCTACACTTCTTCTTTGTTCCTAGTTGTCCCCAGACATTTTAGGTTTTATGGAATACCCCATCCATCCTTTCTGTGCAGTTATTCACCAATTTTTCCTCCATTTTTCTTGTGTAGATTCTTATTTAGACTCTTGAGACCTCTTTGGGCTATTTTGCTTATGGATAACTTTCTAGTTATTTTTAGGGGAGGAAGACGAAGGCTGGTATTTCTTACTCTGTCATCTTGCTGTATACTGCCTTTAAATAATATATTTTTCATAATTGTAAAAAGTTTTAATGCCTAACATTTTTCTATTTTCATTTTTATTTCCTGGATATTATTCTAAAATTGCCTAATTTAAAAAAAGGGAAATTTTACTTAGAAAAGGCTGAACTTAGTAAAATACATAATAGGTCAAATATAAACTTCTAGGTTTCAGTGCACTTTATTGCTAAGTCTACTTATAAGTGTGTACACATTCCTTCATAAACTATTTGATCTGACTAGCCTTTACATCAAGGCCTCCAACATGATTAATATCATATTTATTTATGCTGATGTTTCATCTTTGATATCATATACTATAAGGGAATCACTCAGGGAAACCTGAGGGAAAAGCTTTTTGAATTTTGGAAAAAATAATGGTTATATCCTGTTGGAAGATTTCTACAAATTTTTTGTGGAGAAAAGGAAAGTTAATGGCTTCAGCATCAGTGAAGACCAGCATATTAATTTCAAAGAAGTCACTGTCAAAAAGAACGAATAGTACATCTTTTATCATTTATTGGAAAGCCAGAAATGTTGAGTACTACCTAAACATTATGAGTATGAAGTTATAGCTATAATGCTGAATAATAATATCTAATATTTGTATATTACTTTAATTTTAATGTAAAATATCTCATTGGAAATTTCATGTCTTCTAACCTGATAGATGAATAGTAAACAAATTAGGGTATACATTTTCTTAATCACCAGTGTTATGAAGACAGATTTGTCCTTTAACATAATAACTTTATGAAATACATGTGCGTATGCATATTTAATTTTAAAAATAGTTTCTACCATTTGATACCCTGATGCGTCTTATTTTAAGGAAACAATTTATGTAAAACTTGTTTTCTTGTTTCTGCCATAGTCTTAAAATAGGGGTATTGTAGAAGCGTGGACAGATGCTTATCACTCTTGAGCTCATAAGGGTTAATCCGTGGCTGAAATTATGGTATTAAAAGTTTTCAACATTCTTATTCCTGATTTTTTTTTCTTAAATTGGAATTGTAACGGTGATTCACAGTAATTAAGTCAGAAATTTGCTTTCTTCTCATCAAAACAAAGAAACATTGTTGGAGAAGACTAGTGGAAGACTTAAAGGGTGTTTTCAATTGATTTTAGGGTCAGCGATTTTTTAAGGAAATAGTAGGTAGCCATTTTTTAAAAATTAAACTTTTCATTTTGAGATAATTGTAGATTCACATGCAGTTACAGGAAATAATACAGAGATTTGGCATATGCTTGAACCATTTCTTTCCAATAATAACATCTTGCAAAACTATAGTACAGTATGAAGACAGGATATTGACATTTATACAGTCAATGCAGAACAATTCTGTCACCATAAGGACCCCTTTTATAACCCCACTCACTTCACTCTTTATGCTCCACACCCTAGCCTGTTTGTAAATCCTGGCAGCTGCTTATTTGTTCTCCATTTTTGTAATTTTATCATTTCTAAAATGTTGTATAAATGGAATCAGACAGCATGTAACTTTTTAGTATAGGCTTTTCATTCAGCATAATTCTCTGGTGATTCTTTCAAATTTTTGTATATATCAGTAGTTCATTTATTTTTATTGCTGAAGAGTGTCCCATAGTATGGATGTACCACAGTTTAGCCATTCACTTGTTGAAGGACATCTGGGTTGTTTCCAGTTTTTGACTATTATGAATTAGTTGCTATGAATATTTGTGTACATACTTTTTTGTTGTAAACCTAAGTTTTTATTTATCTGGGATAAATGGCCAGGAGTGTAATTGCTGGGCCATGTGATTGTTATAGCCTTAGTTTGTTAAGAAATTGCCAGCTGGGTGCAGCGGCTTATGCCTGTAATCTTAGCACTTTGGGAGGCCGAGGTGGGTGGATCACCTGAAGTCAGGAGTTTGAAACCAGCCTGGCCAATATGGTGAAACCCCATCTCTACCAAAAATATAAAAATTAGCCGGACGTGGTGGTGGGTGCCTGTAGTCCCAGCTACTCGGGAGGCTGAGACAGGAGAATTGCTTCAACCCGGGAGGCGGAGGTTGCAGTGAGCCGAGATTGTGCCACTGCACTCCAGCCTGGGCAACAGCACGAGACTCCGTCTCAGGAAAAAAAAAAAAAAAAGAAAGAAATTGCCAAACCGTTTGTCAGAGTGTCTATACCATTTTACATTTTATCCAGCAATGTGTGAGAGTGATTTGGTTTATCTGCTTCTTCACCAGTATTTGGTGTCACTATGTTTTCTTTTAGCCATTCTGCTGATGTATAGTTATACCTCATTGAAGTTTTAATTTGCATTTCTCATGGTTAATGATGTTGAACATCTTTTCCTGTATTCATTTGCCATCTGAATGTCCTCTTCGATGAGGACATGTCTTTTGCCCATTTCCTATTTGGATTTCAAAAAATTACTGTTGAGTTTTCAAAGTTCTTTTCATATCCCAGATACTGGTCTTTTGTCAACTATGTGGTTTGCAAATATTGTCTCCCAGTCTATAGCTTGTGTTTCATCCTCTTAACAAGGTCTTTTGTAGAACAAAATTTAAAATTTTGATGAAGTCCAATTTTAATTTTTTCTTCAATGGGTATGTTTTTGGCGTCAAATTGAGATTTTGTTTTTGCCTAGCTCTAGAGACCAAAGATTTTCTCTTATTTTTTTTCCTAAAAGTTTTATAGTTTTATGTTTTGTACTTAAGTTCACAATCCATTTTGAGTTACTATTTGTTTAAGAAGAGATTTAAGGAGGTCAAGTTTCTTTTCTTTTTTTGCCTGTGGATGTCTAATTCTTCTAGCACAATTTGTTAAAAGTATCGTCCTCTTCCCATTGAACTATTTTGCATCTTTGTCTAAAATCACTTGGGTATATTTGCATGGTTGTATTTCTTGGTTCTTCATTCTGTTCTATTGATCTATAGGTCTGTTTTCTGTCAATACCATACCATCTTGATTACTATAGCTATATAATGCATCTTAAAATCTGCTAGAATGATTTCTCCTGCTTTTTCTTCCTTTTCAAAATTGTTTTAGATATTTCAGTCCTGTGCTTTTCCATGAAGTTTAGAAGACTCTTGTCTCTATTTTTTAAAAATCTTGTTCAGGTTTTGAGTTGAACCTAGATATCAATTTGGGGGAGAATTGTTGACTCCTAATCCATGGACATAAGATGTCTCTCCATTTATTTAGATCTTCTTTGATTGCTTTCACTACCATTTTGTAGTTTTCAGCATGCAAGTCCTATATATTGTTAGATTTACACCTATGTATTTAAACTTTTTGGTATGATGGTAAATGATACTGTATTTTTATGTTTAGTGTCCGTGTTTGCATTACTAATATATAGAATAAGGATTTCCGTGTGCACTTATTATTTCTAAGATTTTATTTTTTTAATGATCCCTTGATTTTTCTACATAATCATGTTAATTATCTATTGTAATTATCTATTGTAATTGTAAGCAAGTGGAGTTTTATTTCTTCCTTTCTGATATGTGTGCCTTTTATTTTATTTTATTTTCCCTTATTGTGTTGGCTATATTTTCCAGTACTATGTTGAGTAAGAGTGGTGAGAGTGGCCATCATTGCCCTGCTCCTATTTTAGAGAGAAATCAGTCTTTCACTAAATGGTCCCTGCAAGTTTTTTGTAAATTTTTTTTTTATCAAGTTGAGGAAATTTTCTGTTCCTAGATTGCTGATAATTTTTTTTTTATCATGAATGGGCATTTGATTCCATGAAATGCTTGTACTGCATCACTTGATATGACCAGGAGATTTTTCTTCTTCAGACTGTTGATATGGTGGAATACATGGATTTATTTTTGAATACTGAACCAGCTTTGCCTACTGGAATAAATTTCACTTGGTCGTGGAGTACAATTATACATTGCTAAATACTATTTGCTAATGTTTTGTTAAGGATTGATTGCATCTCTAATCATGAGGGATATTGGTGTATAGCTTTCTTTTATTGTACTATCTTTGGTTTTTATATCAGAGATAAGTAGCTTCATAAAATGAATCAGGAAGTGGTGCTTTCTCTTCTGTTTTCTGGAACAAATTGTGTAGAGTTGATGTTATTCTTCTTCAAATATTTGGTGGAATTCTTTAGTAAATTATCTGAACCTGGAGGGTTCTTTTCTGGGAGTTTCCAAATTGCCAATTCGCTTTCCTTAATAGTTATAGGATTGTTCAGTTATCTATTTCATGTTGGTGAAGTGTGGTAGTTTGTGCATCTTGAGGAACTGGTTTTTCTAAGTTGTCAAATTTATGTGTATAGCGTTGTTCACAGTTTTTTCTTGTTATGGTTTTATGTCTGCAGTGTCTGTTGATAATCCTGTTTCTTGATATTGATAACAGATGTGTCTTTTCCCTATTTTTTTCCCTTGTCAGTCTGCTAGAAGTTTTTGCAAAGTATTGCACTTCCAAAAAGTTCTTAGTTTCATTGATTTTCTCTATTATTTTTCTGTTTTCTATTATGTTGATTTCTGCTTTTTATTATTTCCTTTTTGTTGTTATCTCTGTCAATAATTTTCAGTTTCTTGGCTGGGCGCGGTGGCTCACGCCTGTAATCCCAGCACTTTGGGAGGCTGAGGCAGGCAGATCACGAGGTCAGGAGACCGAGACTATCTTGGCTAACATGGTGAAACCCCGTCTCTACTAAAAATACAAAAAATTAGCCTGGCGTGGTGGCAGGCACCTGTAGTCCCAGCTGCTCTGGAGGCTGAGGTAGGAGAATGGCGTGAACCCGGGAGGCGGAGCTTGCAGTGAGCTGAGATTGTGCCACTGCACTCCAGCCTGGGCGACAGAACAAGACTCTGTCTCAAAAAAAAAAAAATTATTTTCAGTTTCTTGAAGTGGAAATGTGTCCGGAATTGGTGGGTTCTTCGTCTCACTGACTTCAACAAAGAAGCTGCGGACCCTTGTGGTGAGTGTCACAGTTCTTAAAGGCGGTGTGTCCGAAGTTTGTTCCTTCTGATGGTCGGATATGTTCGGAGTTTCTTCCTTCTGGTGGGTTCGTGGTCTCACTGGCTCAGGAGTGAAGCTGCAGACCTTTGCGGTGAGTGTTACAGCTCTTAAGGCAGCACATCCGGAGTTGTTCGTTCCTCCCAGTGGGTTTGTGGTCTCGATGGCTTCAGGACTGAAGCTGCAGACCTTCGCGGTGAGTGTTACAGCTCATAAAGGCAGTGTGGACCCAAAGAGTGAGCAGCAGCGAGATTTATTGCAAAGAGCGAAAGAACAAAGCTTCCACAGTATGGAAGGGGACCTGAATGGGTTGCCACTGCTGGCTCAGGCAGCGGTGCTTTTATTCTCTTATCTGGCCCCACCCACATCCTGCTGATTGGTCCATTTTGACAGGGTGCTGATTGGTGCATTTACAATCCCTGAGCTAGACACAAAAGTTCTCCACATCCCCACTAGATTAGCTAGATATAGAGTGTTGATTGGTGCATTCACAAACCCTGAGCTACACACAGGGTGCTGATTGGTGTGTTTACAAACCTTGAGCTAGATACAGAGTGCTGATTGGTGTATTTACAATATCTTAGCTAGACATAAAGGTTCTCCCAGTTCCCACCAGATTAACTAGATACGGAGTGTCGATTGGTGCATTCACAAGCACTGAGCTAGACACAGGGTGCTGATTGGTATGTTTACAAACCTTGAGCTAGATTCAGAGTGCTGATTGGTATATTTACAATCCCTTAGCTAGACATAAAGGTTCTCCAATTCCCCACCAGACTCAGGAGCCCAGCTGGCTTCACCCAGTGGATCCCGCACCCGGGCCGCAGGTGGAGCTGCCTGCTAGTCCCGTGCCCTGTGCCCGCACTCCTCAGCCCTTGGGCGGTAGATGGGACTGGGCGCCCTGGAATAGGGAGTGGTGCTGGTTAGGGAGGCTCGGGCTGCCCGGGATCCCACAGCAGGGCGGGGGCGGGGGGTGCATGGGGGACTCAGGCATGGCGAATTGCAGGTCTGGAGCCCTGCCCCACAGGGAGGCAGCTAAGGCCCGGTGAGAAATCGAGCACAGCAGCTGCTGGCCCAGGTGCTAAGCCCCTCACTGCCCGGGGCCTGCCGGCTGGCCGGCCGCTCCAAGTGCGGGGACCACCGAGCCCACACCCACCCGGAATTCACGCTGGCCCACAAGGGTTGCGGGCAGCCCCAGTTCCTGCCAGCGTCTCTCCCTCCACACCTGCCTTCAAGCTGAGGGAGTCAGCTCTGGCCTTGGCCAGCCCAGCAAGGGCTCCCACAGTGCAGCGGTGGGCTGAAGGGCTCCTGAAGCGTGGCCAGAGTGGGCGCCAAGGCCGAGGAGGCGCCGAGAGCGAGGGAGGGCTGTGAGAGCTGCCAGCACGCTGTCACCTCTCAGAAGTGTAGATTATTGGCCGGGCGCGGTGGCTCACGCCTGTAATCCCAGCACTTTGGGAGGCCGAGGCGGGCGGATCACGAGGTCAGGAGATCGAGACCATCCCGGCTAAAACGGTGAAACCCCGTCTCTACTAAAAATACAAAAAATTAGCCGGGCGTAGTGGCGGGCGCCTGTAGTCCCAGCTACTTGGGAGGCTGAGGCAGGAGAATGGCGTGAACCCGGGAGGCGGAGCTTGCAGTGAGCCGAGATCCCGCCACTGCACTCCAGCCTGGGCGACAGAGCGAGACTCCGTCTCAAAAAAAAAAAAAAAAAAAAGAAGAAGTGTAGATTATTGATTTGAGATTTTTCCTGTTTTGTAACGTACACCTTTAATTTTATAAATTTTCCTCTCAGCTGCTTTAACTTCATCCCCCATATTTTGATATGCTGCCTTTTTATTTTTATTCAGTTCTATGTATTTTTAACTTTCCTGTGAGACTCTCTGTATGACCAAGGATTATGTAGAAATGTGTTATTTAATTTTCAAGTGTTTGGCGATTTTTCCTTTGCCAGATTTTTAGTTTGATTTCATATGGTCAGAGAATGTACTCTGTGATTTAAATTCTTTAAATTTGACAAGGTTTGTTTTGTGGCCCAAAGTATGGTTTATCTTTGTATAAATCTATGGGCATTTGAAAATAATATATATTTTGCTGATGTTGGTGGATTGTTCCATAAATATTGATTAGATCCTATAGGTTGATTTTGTTGCTGAGCTCTTCTGTACCTTTGATAATTCACTGGCTAGTTCTATACATTGTTGAGAGAGGCATTTTGAAGTTGCCAAACATAATTATTGATTTATCTATTACTCTTTTCAGTTCTATCAGTTTTTTTTCTGTATATTATTTTGAGCTCTAAAGTCTAAAGTTGGTACGTACACATTTAGGATCACTACGTCTTCTTGGTAGATTCTTTTATCATTGTATAATGTCCCTTACTTTCCCTAGTAATTTTCTTTGCTCTGAAGTACACTTTATTCAATGTTAATATAACCACTCTTCTTTCTTTTGAAGAATGATTACATATCTTTTTTCCTTCCTTTTACTTTCAACTTACCTATATTGCCATATTTGAAATGAGTTTCTTTTAGTTACTATATAGTTGCATCATATTTTAAAATCTACTCTGTTGAGCACTTTTGATTTGTATATTTTAGATTATTTACATTCAGCTTGATTATTGATATGTTAGCATTTACGTGTGTCATTTTGCTTTTTTTTCTGTTTGCTATCTCTGTTTTTTTTTTTTTCCTGCCTTCCTGTTGGCTATTGGAACGCATTTTAGAATTTCATTTTGATTTATCTGTATTGGTTTTGGTGGTATCTCTTTGTATATATCTTTAGTGGTTGCTCTAATTATTATATTATATTATATTATATTATATTATATATACATAACTTAGCACAGTGTACTGGTATCAATATTTTACTACTTTAAGTGACATTTATAATAGAAACCTTTCTCTCTATTTTCCTTTTCTTTCCCCTATATAATATAGTTGCCATGAATATTTTTTGACCCACATTTAGAACCACATAAGATATTATTATACTTTTTGTTTCAGCCATCAAACCTAATTTAGAAAACTGAAGAAGACAAGGAAAGTCTGTTGTATTTATGCAGATTTTTGCCTTTACTCTTTTCCTTCTTCCTTCTTGATGTTCCAGGATCCCTCCATTTAAAATTTCTTTTCTATTTAGAAAACTTACTTTAGCTATACTTTTTTGTTTGGTCTCATGACAACCAATTCCTAGATTTCCCCCCTCCTATTTTTTAAGAATGTCTTGATTTCCTTTAATTCCTAAAAATTATTTTCACTGGTTATATTATAGAATTGTGCGTTGATTCTTTTCTTTTCTTTCGGTATTTGAAAAATGCCATGCCCCTTCCTTCTGGTTTTGGTGGTTTCCAGCAAGAAATCTGCTGTCATCTGAATCATTGTTTTTAGGTAATAATGGTATTTCTGTGTCACTATCTTCAAGATTTTTTCTTAGTTTTTAGATTTTGGAAGTTTTCGTATGATATGACTTGGTATAGATTTATTTGAGATTATTGTGTTCGGGTTTGTTCAGCTTCATGAATCTGTATGATTATGTCTTTTGCCAAACTTGATAAATTTTGAGTCACTGTTTCTTTGTATATTTATTGACCTGCCTTCTTTCTCTTCTACCTAGGCTCAGGTGTTGTAAATATTAGATCTTTGACAGGCCTCTGAGGTGGTGTTCGTTTTGTCTATTTTCCATGTTGTTCATATTTGGTAAATTCTGTTGTTCTCTTTTGCTTTTCACTGATTCTTTCCTGTCCTCTCCAGTTGGCTGTTGAGCCCATCTATTGAGTTGGGTTTTGTACTTTTCAGGCATAAAATTTGTATTTGTTTTTTCGTTGTATCTTCTGTCTCTTTGCTTAGACTTTCTGTTTCTTTGCTGAGGCTTCCAATTTGTTTCTTTTACCTTCATAACTGCTCATTGAAGCATTTTCATTATGGCTGTTTTGAAATTGTTGTCACATAATTCTGACATCTCTGTCATCTTGGTGTTGGCATCTGTGGATTTGTTAACAATTCAAGATATTCCTGGTTCTTGGTATAACAAATGATTTTCTGATTGAATCTGGATGCTTTGGGTATTACATTATGAACTCTGTATCTTATTTAAACCTTCTATTTTCTCTGGCTTTCACTGATGACATTCTATCAGAGGAGGAGTTAGCCCCTCCTATTTACTGCCGGAAGAGTTTAGAAGTTTAGGTTCCCCTCTGGTCTCTGAAGACACCTGAGGAATATGATGCTCTTTTTTATTGCTGGATGGGTGTATTCTCACCCTTTATTAGGCCTTCACTAATGCCACCCTAGGTGGAAGGGGCAGGAATGTCTCCCATGTGGCTTCCACTGTCATCACGGGAGGAAGGGAGCCTTGTTATTGCTGGGCAGAGGTGAAAATTCTGACTCTTCCTTGGCCTCCTCTGACACAGTTCCAATGGGGAGCAGGGGCTGGAGGAGTGGGTAACCTCATTACAGTATCGTGAATATGAAAGTCCTGGCTCTCCACTTGTCCTTCTCTGAAATTCTTCTGGCAGCAATTAGGGAGGCTGGGGAGCCTCATTATATAGACTTGCAAAGATTGAAGTCTAGGCTCCTCTCGTGGCCTTTGCTAGCATGAGTGGTGGTAGGGCCACATTTTTTTTTTTTCCTTTGGTACTTGTCAGGAGTAGAGTGGTTAATGTCTAAAAGTTTTTTGTTTACTAGCCTACTCCTTTCCTGGTCCGTAGGGTAGAGAGCAGACTTTCGTTGAGGCTTTTTTCTTTCTGTACTTAGTGGTGTTTCTAGGTTGTCAACTTTTTCTGTTCCATATCTGCTGTGCATGAGGCAAAAGGAAAACCCAGGGAACTTATTGCTGTTTAATAACAAGGTCCCAAGGTCTCTAGTCAATCTGCCTTTTTTCCCCCACTTCAGAGTTTTCTCATGTTTATTTTATATGTAGTATTCAGGGTTTTTAGTTGTGTTCTGAGGGAGGAATCAGGAAAATACTTCTAATCCATTTTCCTGGGAATGGAAGCTGACCATGCTTTAGAAAATTTATTTTGTCATTGTATTTGGTGAGTTAATTGAAGTAGGTAACTTGACATTGTTGACATTTGCTCTTTAGAGTAAGATTAAAAAGTTTGATAGATGACGAGTTTACCCTAGAGGGAAGGTGGCAAATACCTGATCCTTGTGCCACTTCTCTTACCCTTATATACCATAGCAGTCTTTACTTATTGTTCTCCATTCTTCTTCCTGTTGAGTCGTGAATTAAAACAGCATTCCAGATAGCACATTGCTAGAGTTTTGGAGAGAAGAGAAAACTTATTTGCCATACTTGCCATGAAGCTGTATTCAGTTGGGCATAATTAGTCATGTGAATTCTAGTGGGAGGGGCCCAGTTGAGATAGATTCTAGTGCGTGCAAAATTGATGCAGTTACTCACGAAAACAAGTGAAACAGGTCATTAGTTGTTACTGGAGGTCTGTGTCTTCAAAGTCTGGTGTCTGCATCTGTGAGTAGATAATAGTATGATAGAATCTGTATTTACTAATGATTCTAGTAGTTAAGTGTATCTGTGAGTAGATAATAGTGATGGATAGAATCTGTATTTACTAATGATTCTAGTAGTTAAGTGTGGACCTTCAAGTTTGGTCATCAGGAATTATCATTTACATATTTTTTTGAGGGGAGATAAATTTATAATTAGTAAACCAAAATGTTTTAAAATTCATCCATAAATCCAAACCATCTTATAGACATGAATGGGACATATCCACTCTGTCATTTGGAATATCACAGAATAATTCTCATTCTTTTAACAAATTTATCATTTTATAAGGTTATTCAGGAGAATAAACCTAGAAGAAAAGAGTGTCCACAAAAACTCATTGAGTAGGGTTGCAGTCTTATATGTAGACTTTTGAAAACTGTCTTGTTGCATTAAAAATTAATGAACACTTTTTTCTATTTGTTTTTTTTTTGTAAAAAAGGAGAAGAATATAAGTGTTTAAATAGAATTGCAAACAATAAAAACTGTAGTTATGGTAACTTTAAAATGTTCACGTGAAACACTAATAATAATCTTTGGCCATTCGGTAAGATTGATAAAGTCTTGCCTATTCCTTTCAATGCCTTTGGTTAATTTTTATGTTATCATCAAAAATAAATGTTTCAAAGGCAAATGAACTAGATATAATTATATATAAACAATGCTGAGATCAATAGTATTTAAAGTAGTTGGGAAGTATACTAAACATGAAATACACTTCTGCATCCACTTATTTGAAAATACCTGGAGGCCTTTTCTTATCCCAAAGGCATTTCTAATTTGCATAGTAAAGATAGTATTATTTATATTTTCCTTTAATATTCAGATATAGTTATATTCACCAGATAAGAAATGTACCTACCCTGTGAAAGCTAGTATCTAAATTTGTTCTTAAGAACCAGTCAAGTGTAAAGTAAGTAATTTCTGGTTGAAATGGAAAATAGTGAGCTTTTTGAAGTTTCACATTGAGGTCATGAGATAACCTGATTTATGATAGCATATGAGAAGCAACGAATAATCTGAAATGTTCATCCCACACTGTAGATTAAACTGAGTTTTTAATAGACATAACTAATTTTGAGGAAGATTTTCGTGAAATAGCTTTAAAGTATTTGGTGATTTTTACCGACAAACGGACTTATTCGAATCATAAATGAATTTAATTATTTGAAAATGATCAAGCATATATATGTATAAAAAATTCTTGCTATTTTGGAATTTGAATTTTCAAATTACGTAAACATGAATATTTGTTATAACAGAGCACATTTTTGTAGTACTATTTCAACAAATTTCAAACATTTTTATTTTGGTAGTTAAAATCAGAAGCAATTGTATTTTAAAGTGCAATACGTATGATAACTAGCTATTTCAAAATCATACGTTATGCATAAGATGTTACTTTTCAAGAATGAACATTAATGTAGGGAAGAAGTACTATTAAAAGATAAAACCAGACACTCTTTCACTTGAGAATGTGGATAGATGTGAGGTAGGAATTTGCTTTTAGAATTATGAATTGTATTGGGGGAGAAGTGGAGAGTTATTACTATGATCGTGACTACAGTTGCCATTGCCATTGTGAATTGGCTTCATTAGTGTTCAATCCAGCCACTTTAGCAGAACTCATACTAGCATAATTGCTATTGCAGGATTAATTCATTAAAACAACAATAGGAATACTCACACAATAACCATATTCAGAAAATTAACCCCTTTGAAATGAACACGTCTTTATTCAAAACCTGATAAGGACTAAGAGGATCACTTAGGCAAAAATTTGAAATGGTGGAGGAAAGTATCCATAAATTATTACCGTATTTTTCTAAAGGATTGTAGGTTAGAGTGAATTATGATAAAAGCAAATCTGGTATTTAAACTCACAGTGTATTTTTGGATATCCTCTAATTAAGTCTCAGAACTTTATAAAAGCTTTAGCCAATAACATTTAATTTATCTACTCTTGAAGTCTGAATAGAATATTCTAGCCAAATGCTCCTTTGTTAGAGATTCTTAAGCTGGTGTGAATGTTTTCATTATACTGGAAAATAGAATTCTTTTGGAATTCTAGAAATGAAATTTTCTGTTGAAACCTGTCTTCTGGTAAAACATTCAAACACATTTACAATTTATATTCCAAGGTGAAGTGTGTATTCTTTAATTTCCACGGAGGTTATCAATTTTATTGCAATAGATAATATGTCTAAAACATGAGTAAATCAAAAGAATATCAAAAGTCATTCAACTTCTGGTACGTGTTCATGATTTTGCCAGAAACTGGATGGCTCCAAACAAACATGACATTTACTTTCAAAGGGTTTATCAAAAGATAATAATACATTCCTAACTAGCATGTTGGCACAGCATTGTTTCTAAGATAAGTCACTATTTGTCACAGCAAACGTTTTCTTTTTAATTGTCATTTGGCTCAGATCTTTCTGTGATTGCTTTTAAATATATGCTAATTCTTTTAGTTTACTTTTTTTTCTTCTAGTTTACTTTTCCCTGTTAATATCTCTTGGTTTGTGAGTTTGTGAATGACGGGTGGGATCTACTATAAGGGTTCCCCAGAGCATTGAAGAGGTTTCAGAGACCAAGGAGGTGAGGGAGATGCAAAACACATGGAAAGATCTTTCCTATCTATGCCTTGCACATTTCACTCTGTTAGAAAGGCTTTTCTCTCCTCTTTGCTTTTTGAAATGTTTCCCATTTGTGTGTGTGTGTGTGTGTGTGTGTGTGTGTATCTGTGTGTGTCAGGGTCCTGCTCTGTTGCCCAGGCTAGAGTGCAGTGGTGAGCTCATGCCTTACTGTAGCCTCTACCTCCTGGGCTCAAGTGATTCTCCCACCTCAGCCTCCTGAGGAGCTGGGACTATAGGCGCGCACCACCACACCTGGCTAATTTTTAAATTTTTTGTAGAGGCAGGTCTCACTGTGTTGCTCAGGTTGGTCTTGAACTCTTGAGCTCAAGTTATCCTCCTGCCTTGGCCTCCCAGAGTGCCAGGACCACAGGTATGAGCCACCGTGTCAGCCCCTCCCATTCTTTAGTTATCAGAATAAGCTGAGGATAATTTATTTCATCTTGGACTTTGTTTATAATTTTCTTATAGGATTTTCCATATTCTGCCACATGTTCATGCACACTGAGTAGAGATGAATTCCTTGAAAAGGGTATTCATCTTTGAATGACTGGTAATAGTACATCATTCATGTTGTGTAGTGTCTGTTCAGTGCTTTTTTAGAGTTGGTCTCAGCATGTCTCTTTAGAAACTGGGTAGTTGTCATGTTAAAAGAATCTCAGCAACAAAATAGGATTCATGTTGGTAAGCATTAGGAAGTATTGGGAGCATATGGTAGAATTCATCTTGATTTTCTCAATTGAGGACATTTGTTAACTCTAAGGTTATCAATCTGTTGTTCAAAAATATTTATTGAATATCTACATTGTATATGATTTTGGATTAGAAATTCTTGCCAGGCCACCTTGCTTAGTGTAGTTTAATAGTAGGTGCTCACTTCTCTATCTCAAGGTTGTAGCTGTTATTAGTTTTTTTTCCTGGTTCTTGTGATTCTTAGTTTATAGCACACTTTTAGCTGCTAATCATGTGTATATATTTAGGTTCTGTTACCATTTATAAGGCACACTAAGCAAACATTACCTTATTTAATTTAGATACTTATTGCCTGAAATGTTTCAGAATATCATTTGATCCTCCATATATGGATAGTTCTGATAAGTAGTTTCTTTTTCATATTTAATATAAATATTACTATCCTTTCTATATAATGCTTGAGTCCTACATTTTATGCCCTTCCAGACTACCTACTTAATTTTTTATATGCAAAACTGAATTTGATGGATTAGGATTCCTATATGAGACTTTTGGATGGAGTTGCAAATTGTTTTAGTTTTAGAGTTGTGTCTCTGATGTCTGGATTGTTTGGTTCTTGATAATATTATATACATTAATACTTTACCTTGACCAGCAACATGATTTCTGACCCCTGATCTACCTGCATTTTCAGAAAGATTTTGTCATAAGATGGAATGAGCGCATACATGGAATTAAAAACATGTTTGAATTTTGGCTTTGTTACTTATTAGCTTTGATTTTGGGTAAGTTACATAACTTCTAATTATTATAAATTTCCTAATCTGCAAAGACAAATATCTGCTTTATCTACTTTCTGTGTTAATAGGAGCTAATTTGAAAATGTCAAACTCTTTTGTAAGTTATTACATACTCTATAAGTTTAAGTGGCTGCCAATATTCCTTCTACCTGGTTCATTTGATGGCAATCTTAGTTTATTCCTGCGCTTTCATGTTTTTAAGGTTGAGAAAATGAGAGTGTCAGAGGAGGGTTTAATTTTTTTTATAAGAACAAGTAGTAATGGGGTCATTATAGAAAATTTGAGAAAATAATCATAGACCTACTATCTAGGGATAAATCACTTCTCTAATAGTTCACATATATTCCCCTAGTATTTTTTCTGTGCAAATAAATTATTTACTTTTGTTTTATAAAAGTTGGATCATGTTTTTGTAGTGTGCTAATATGACTAGCATTTTCTTATTTTCCCCTTGCTTTGAAAACTTTATTTTTCAATGCCTGTGTAGTATTTCACTTTATGAATTTAACATAATTTATTGTTATGTTATTGTTTTGATATTTATAGAGTGTCATATTTTTACTGTTAGAAATATTGCAATGATGAATGTATTTGAACATAAGTCTTTGCTTGAAAATCTTGAGTCCAATATTGGAACTTTAAAAGAACCTATGTAATATGTAACCAGAAGCAGTTTATGAGACCTTTTGTGGCATCCTCTCCAGCTTTGTGTGAGTTTTATCATGAAATATTTTGAGTGTGTGAAAATGTATAAGGAATAATTTAATATTTATATACTCTCTACTTTGCTCAATAATTATATATACACTATATATATACACCATATATATATATATATATATACACAGCATATTTATGTATATATATAAATTGTAGTTTCCTTTGAATTCTTTCCCACTTCATGCTTTTCCTCCGCAAAGTTTCATATCTGAAGATAAAAAGAATTAACAAAGTGTAATGTCAGTTTTAAATAAAGAACTTGCTAGATTTTTAAGAAGAATTCTGAAGGATTATTTCTATAAAATATAAATGTCTCATCAATGTTTGTGAGAGAAGGCATGGAAAAAAATCACGTTTAGATTTGTTATTTGTATTTCTGTGTGAAATTCTGAAGATTAGCCCAGTTCTACCATGAGGGTATATATCATGGAGCATATTTTTCATATTGAAGGCAAAGCAAAGATAGTTTTCAAAAACTATGACCCTTACATTTATATTGACAACATCTGTAGACCATAAAAAAGCCCATTGTCTTTTTTTGGCATTCTTTGCAAATGACTTATTTTACCGATAAGAATTGCTAGTGATCCAAATGAATATAATATTGTTTAGGCAATATTGTTTGGGAAAGACTATGATCCTCATTTATGAAGCAGTATTTCAGTGAAAGGATCTTAGGCAATGGGAAGCAAATAATTCAACTCTATTTCGAATAATTTTTATTCAGTGGTTTCAAGTTTTCTGATATTTTCTTCTGTACTGTTTAATCTGCTGTTCATCCCTTCTAGTATATGTTTCATATAAGATTCTATATTTTTCACATCTAGAGGTTCCATTAAAAATATATATTCACTTTCTCTCCATTATGTTCATGTTTTCTTTTAAATTATTGAGTATCTTTTAAATGTTTATAAAAACTGTTTCAAGGTTTTTGAATTGCTTAATTTCATTATCTGAGTCATTGACTTTTTTTTCCCTCCAGATTATGGATTATGTGTTTCTACTTCTTTGCATACCTAATAATTTTTGGTTTGATACTTGACATTATGAATTTTATCTTACTGATTGTTTGATTTTTGTTGTATTCCTTTAAGGAATTATGAATTTTTTTTCTTCCATGCAGTTAAGTTACTTGTTAATCAATTTGAGCTTTTTGGGACTTAGTTTTTTTTTTTTTTTTTTTTTTTTTTTGAGATGGAGCATCCCTCTGTCGCCCAAGCTGGAGTGCAGTGGCGTGATCTCGGCTCACTGCAAGCTCCGCCTCCCGGGTTCACGCCATTCTCCTGCCTCAGCTTCTGGAGTAGCTGGGACTACAGCTGCCCGCCACTACGCCCGGCTAATTTTTTGTATTTTTAGTAGAGACGGGGTTTCACCATGTTAGCCAGGATGGTCTCAATCTTCTGACCTCATGATCTGCCCTCTTCAGCCTCCCAAAGTTCTGGGATTACAGGCCTGAACCACCGTGCCCGGCCAGGACTTAGTTTTAAACTTCATTAGTGCAGGCTTAGAGCGATAGAGCAGCTTTTTTTCTAATCTAGGGTGAATTTAATCCCACTATTAAGCTTTTTGTTGTTGTTTTTGTTTTTTTTTTTGAAACAGATTCTCACTCTGTCACCCAGGCTGGAGTGCAGTGGCGTGATCTTGGCTCACTGCAACCTCCGCCTCCCAGGTTCAAGCGATTCTCCTGTCTCATCCTCCTGAGTAGCTGGGATTACAGGTGCCCACCATCACACCTGACTAATTTTTTTTGTATTTTTAGTAGAGACGGGGTTTCCCTATGTTGGCCAGGCTGGTCTCGAACTCCTAACCGCAAGCTGGTCTCCTGCTTCAGCCTCCCAAAGTGTTGGGATTACAGACGTGAGCCACCGTGCCTGGGCTCACTATTAAGATATGATCGTTCTGGGGACTGTACTTAATTTCTTGAATATTACGAGGTCTTTTCACTCTGACTGATGGGAACACGAACTATTGTAAGTCCTCTCTTACCTTTAGGAATTTTTCAGTCTGCTGCTTTCCAATGACTCCTTTCCTTTGTCTGGAGTAGCTTTTCTCTCAGGCGTGGACTGATTAATACTCAGAACTTCCGGAACTCTCTCTCTCAATGCAGCTCCATCCTCTAGTATATTGCCTGGCAAATTCTACCTGCCTTGAGCTTCCTTACTCCAGTCTGTGTCTGCACAACTTAATGAGACCCAGAGCTGTTTGGGTCTCTTCTTCCTTTGCTGTAGCTGGAACACTGTCTCTATCTAGTAAGCCGGGGGCAATCATAGAACTTACTTCATTAGTTACCTTTCTTCAGGGATCACAGCCCTTTGTTTCCTGTTGTACAGTGTCTGATAATATTTTGTATATTTTGTACAGTTTTCAAGGTTTTTTAAGGCAGCAGGATAAATCAGGTTCCTGTTACTCCCTTATGACTAGAAGTTAATTCAGCTTTGTATGCTGAGGAATGGCTCACAACTTTCAGATAATTTAATACATATATTGCATTGTGAACAGATAGTAAATGACTATTAAATTGTAATTGTACCATGAAAGGATTTTTTTATCTTGTAAGTTTATAATTTTAACATGGCTATTAAAATTTTTCATTTAAATTACCAGATATAAAAAGTTTAGCACATTTCTGTTGTTGTTATAGTGAGAGTTTCAAATATCCGCCTCCTAATGAAGTTGATTGACAGATATAGGTAGTGATCTTTATATCTGGAATTTCTTAGTGGTCAAAAATTTATGCAAAAACATCTCTTTTTAAACTTGAAGGTATGTGACTTATTTCTCATTAACCGAGTTGTCATATTCTTATGCCCTTTGATTTTAGACTTGAAAAGTATGAGTCTGGTGAAATGCTGAAAATGGTACAGGAAGAAGTGAGATTAGGAAGAGTGAGGCTGTAGGAAAATTATAATTATAGCAATTAAGAACTACCAGGGAGTTGAAAGACTTTTTGGTAAAGACCTCTGTTACCATAAATGTTGCAATTAGTAACTATTCACATATTATAATTCATAGTCATTTATATAATGGATCTGTTTTCTTTAACTCAGGGATTCCTAAATGTTTTCAGTTCATAATGCCCTTACTACCTCTCATTTTTTCATGATGCCTCAAGGCAAAGAGAAATACCTAATAGTTCCGTGGATTAAATATTTATGTCCTAACAACTTAGTAGCCATTAGAAGTATATGTATAAATTAAAAGAAACAATTATTTTCTTCTTAAACAGCCATAACTATTTACTAATAGGATATGTGAGCCTTTTGGATACTGGACAGCTTCTCATACTTTGAAATCAGATTGGACACTGCCACCCTCATTTCCTGTTTTATGTTGCTTTTTGCTCTGTGTTTGTTTTTTATCACAGCAGTTGTTAAATACCCAGCTTCATGATGCCATGCAAGGAATGTAAGGCAATCTAACATTGTAATCCTAAACTTCCTTTTGCTAGTAGTCTGTGCAGTGTCCAATAGATGTCAAGTATTGCTGTTTCTTTCAAACCCTTAGAATATTTCACAGTGCCCCTGTGTGTCTGCTACAGCACCCCTGGGAAACTTGACACACATTCTGGGTACTATGGGATTAACTAATTTTCTTCTATTGTTCATCACTGTTTTATATGGCATTCTGGCATGATTAAGATCCTAACTAATTTCTGTATTTTGGAATAGAGAATCTTTTTGATACAGTTTCTTAAGAACCTGAGTTAGTAATGGTGAAATTAAGGAATAATATATGACATTTTTTTGATGGAAAAATGCTTACAGCAGAGGCTTCATGGAAAATTATTGAATAAGTTGGTTTTGTGTAATTTTACAAATAATCTGAAAATATGAAGAGAAATAGTGAATAAATATTGAAATATGATATTTAATAGGATAAAAATGAAGGAAGATGAGGTGGGATGAATAAACAGAAAAGAAAAACATGAATTTTATTGTGAGGATGTGTAAGGGAAAGTTATCAAAACTATCTGTGCTATTATTGGGTGTCTTGGCATCAATTATTGTCTTGTAATGGACTAAGGATGTTGCTGATTGATCCTTACAGGTGTCTGCCCACTGAACTGTACTAAGCTGTTTTTTTGACTCAAAAATGATTTTTTAGAATGATACATTTTACAAAGAAGTATATTCTGTACCTTGTGGGAAAATATTCCTATATACTATCATAAGTATACATTTGTGATTCTATGTGTTCATAGTTTAACAAGCATAATGTTAATTAATGGCTAATAATATATTGAGTATTTATTATGGGCCATACACAGTTCTTAGTGCTTTCCATATATTGACTGAATTCTTGCAGTAGCCCTCTGAGGTAGGCCCTATTCTTTTTTTTTTTTTTTTTGAGATGGAGTCTCGTTCTGTCACCCAGGCCAGAGTTCAGTGGCGCCATCTCGGCTCACTGCAAACTCTGCCTCCCGGGTTCAAGCGATTCACCTGCTTCAGCCTCCTGAGTAGCTGGGATTACAGGCGCCTGCCACCGTGCCCGGCTAATTTTTGTATTTTTAGTAGAGATGGGGTTTCACCACATTGGCCAAGCTGGTCTTGAATTCCCGACCTCGTGATCCACCCACCTCAGCCTCCCAAAGTGCTGGGATTACAGGCGTGAGCCACCACGTCCCGCTGAGGTAGGCCCTATTCTTATTTTCATTTAACAGATGAAGGAACTGAGGTACAGAGAACATGAGTAACTTGCTTAAACTCACAGAGCTAATGAATGGTGGAGTCAGAATTTGAAATCTTGCAGTATGGTTCCAGAGCCCCTTGTTTGTAATATACTACCTAAGGGGAGAATTAGCTTTTACCTAAGTGTCAACAATGAAACACTAGTCAGGAAAAAGAAGACAACAAGTGAATGCAATTTACATTTATTTTAAGATCCTAGACTTATTAAAATCTTCTATTAATAAATTGATTCAAGGAAAAGAAGCTGTAGTAGTTTGTTTTCACGCTGCTGATAAAGACGTACCTGAGACTGGGAAGAAAAAGCAGTTCAGTTGGACTTACAGTTCCACATGGCTGGGGAGGCCTCAGAATCATGGTGGGAGGCAAAAGGCACTTCTTACTTGGTGGCAGCAAGAGAAAATGAGGAAGATGAAAACGTGGAAACCCCTGATAAAACCATCAGATCTTGTGAGACATTTTCACTACTGTAAGAATAGTATGGGGGAAACTGCCCCCATGATTCAGTTATCTCACCGGCTCCCTCCTACAACCTGTGGGAATTATGGGAGTACAATTCAAGATGAGATTTGGGTGGGGACACAGGCCAAACCATATCATTCCACCCCGGCCCCTCCGCATGTCATGTCCTCACATTTCAAAACCAGTCATGCCTTCCCAACAGTCCCCCAAAGTCTTAATCCATTTCAGCATTAACCCAAAAGTCCACAGTCCAAAGTCTCATCTGAGACAAGACAAATCCCTTCCACCTATGAGCCTGTAAAATCAAAAGCAAGCTAGTTACTTCCCAGATACAATGGGGGTACAGGTATTGGGTAAATATAGCCATTCCAAATGGGAGAAATTGGCCAAAACAAAGGGGTTACAGGGCCCATGCAAACTGAAATCCAGTGGGGCAGTCAAATCTTAAACCTCCAAAATTATGTCCTTTGACTCCAGGTCTCACATCCAGGTCACAGTGATCAAAGAGGTGAGTTCCCATGGTCTTGGGCAGCTCTGCACCTGTGGCTTTGCAGGGTCCAGCCTCCCTCCCAGCTGCCTTCACGGGCTGGCATCGAGTGTCAGCGGCTTTTCCAGGCAAATGGTGCAAGCTGTTGGTAGATTACCATTCTGGCATTTGGATGATAGTGCCCCTCTTCTCACAGTTCCACTAGGCATCGCCCTAGTAGGTGCTCTGTATGGGGGCTCCGATTCCACATTTCCCTTCTGTGTTGCTCTATCAGAGGTTCTCCATGAGCGCCCGCCCTGCAACAAACTTCTGCCTAGGCATCCAGGTGTTTCCGTACATCTTCTGAAATCTAGGCGGAAGTTTCCAAACCCCAATTCTTGACTTCTGTGCACTTGCAGGCTCAGCACCACATGGAAGCTGCCAAGGCTTGGGGCTTGCACTCTCTGAAGCCATGGCTCAAACTTTACGTTGACTCCTTTCAGTCATGGCCAGAGCAGCTGGGACACAGGGCACCAAGTCCCTAGGCTGCACACAGTACAGGGACCCTGGGCCCGGCCCACAAAACCATTTTCTCCTAGGCCTCTGGGCCTGTGATGGGAGGGGCTGCTGTGAAAACCTCTGACATGCCCTGGAGACATTTTCCCCATTGTCTTAGGGATTAACATTCAGCTACTAGTTATTTTTGCAAATTTCTGCAGCCAGTTTGAATTTCTCCTCAGAAAATGAGTTTTTCTTTTGTATCACATTGTTAGGCTGCACATTTTTCTAACTTTTATTCTCTGCTTCCCTTATAAACCTAAATGTCTTTAACAGTATCCAAGTCACCTCTTGAATGCTTTGCTGCTTAGAAATTTCTCCTGCCAGATACCCTAAATCATCTCTCTCAAGTTCAAAGTTCTACAAATCTCTAGGGCAGAGGCAAAATGCCGCCAGTTTCTTTGCTAAAACCTAACAAGGGTCACCTTTGTTCTAGTTCCCAACAAGTTCCTCATCTCCATCGGAGACCACCTCAGCCTAGACTTTATTATCCATATCAGTATCAGCATTTTGATCAATGCCATTCAACAAGTCTCTAGGAAGTTCCAAACTTTCCCAAATTTTCCTGTCTTCTTCTGAGCCCTCCAAACTGTTCCAACCTTTGTTACCCAGTTCAAAGTCACTTCCACATTTTCAGGTATCTTTTAAGCAACCCCCCACTCTACTGGTACCAATATACTATATTATCTGTTTTCACACTGCTCATAAAGACATATCTGAGACTGGGAAGAAAAAGAAGTTTAATTGGACTTACAGTTTTACATGGCTGGGGAGGCCTCAGAATCGTGACAGGAGGCAAAAAGCCCTTCTTATGTGGCAGCGACGAGAAAATGAGGAAGATGCAAAAGCGGAAACCCCTGATAAAACCATCAGATCTCGTGAGACTTATTCACTACCATGAGAACAGTATGGGGGAAACCGCCCCCATAATTCAAATGGTCTCCCACCGTGTCCCTCCCATAACGTGGGAATTATGGGAGTACAACTGAAGATGAGATTTGGGTGGGGACACAGCCAAACCATATCAGAAGCTAAACAGAAAACCTTGAAACTTTAAAGATAAAGTAATATGTTACTTTGTGTTATTTCATTTATGTCATGATGAATTCAAGATTAAATTGGAAGGTGTTTCATGATGAGCTCAAGGAATTGGATTATAAAGCAAGTAGTTACTGAAAGCTAAGTCGGTTTGAGAGGTCATACTAATGATTTGGGGAGGAAGCAGAACCATGCTTAATAATAATTTGACCTGTAATATTGCTGGAAATGAAAGGTATTTGGTTAGTGGGTCAGCAGTGTGATCTTTTCCTTGTATCCTTTGCTTCTTGATGAAGACTATTGTTTTTTTCCTTTTTGATATACTTTCCCATCTCAGAACGAATACCAAAACATTCAATTATTATCTGGTTTTATTGTCTTGAGTCTTCTTGGAGCTTGTTTTTATGAGTTTTTAAGTTCTAGGTTTATGTAGATTATAGTACTGTTTGTATACTTATAGGTACTTAATAAATACTTCTAAATTAATTCAAAATTATTTACTGAATGGCTAATATGTGCCCAGCATTCTGCCAGTAGCGTGCCTGGAGAGAGAATCGGGAAGGAAAAAAGATAGCCCTTTTTGTGAAGGTGGTTTTGGTAAAAAATGTAATCATTAACTTAAGAGTGGTCTTCCCTGACATCCCTTATTGACTAAAGAAACTCTCTTCCCTGCATTTATTCTATCTCCACTTCCTGGTTTTATTTGTGGTACTTATTAAATTAAAAGGATACTTTTTCTGTGATGAAAATTTTACTCTGCATGGTAATTTATTATAGCTTTACATGAAATCAGAACTTTTGGTGATCTACATAAGATTAAATTTTATTATAAGGAATTTTGAAAATGATAGTAAAGATGGTTAGGAGCACAGAATTAAAAGTCATATAGATCAGAGTTTTTTATTATTATTTTTTACTTTTTTGAGATGGAGCCTTGCTCTGTCACCCAGGCTGGAGTGCAGTGGCGCCATCTTAGCTCACTGTAACCTCCGCCTCCCAGGTTCAAGCAGTTCTCCTGGCTCAGCCTCCTAATTAGCTGGGATTACAGGCGCCTGCCACCACACCTGGCTAATTTTTCTATCTTTGAGAGGCACGGGGTTTCATCATCTTGGTCAGGCTAGTCTCGAACTCTTGACCTCAGGTGATCCACCTGCCTCGGCCTCCCAAAATGCAGGGATTACAGGCATGAGCCACCAGGCCCGGCCTAGATCAGAGTTTATATCCTTAAATATTTCTGATTTCCTTATTCTTTAGACCTCAGTTTTCACATCTTTAAAAGGATTTTATAAAGGGATTTTTAAAGAATTATGGAATATATACATAAAAATTTAGTTTAAAGCTTCTCTAGTAGTAGGTACTCAAAAATGGCAATGATACTTTAAAAGTTATCTTGAGTGGTCAGAACTTTATTAGGAGTTATGTAAGGAATGACATTTATTTTTAACCACTGAAGACTTTAAAAAATAAGACTTATATGAATATTTCCTTCACTGAGTTGTGGATTCACTTAAGATTTTTAAATTTAAATTAAATTAATATTTTTAATGTTTATATATTTTATATGTAATAATACATTTTTAATATTAAATATTTTTAATTTTTAATTTATGTGGGTACATAGTAGGTCTGTTTATCTATGGAGTATATGAGAGATTTGGATACAGGCATACAATGCATAATGATCCCATCAGAGTAAATGGGGTGTACATTACCTCAAGCATTTATACTTTGTGTTACAAACAATCCCATTATATTATTTTAGTTATTTTAAAGTGTACAATAAATTATTGTTTAGTCACCCTGTTGTGTTATCAAATGTTAGATCTTATTCAGTCTATCAAAGTGTATAGTTGTGCCCATTAACCCCCTCCGTTCCACTACATTTCCCAGTCTCTGGTAATCATCATTCTGCTCTCTGTCTCCATGAGTTCAATTGTTTTAATTTTTAGCTCCCCTAAATATGTGAGCAAATTACTTACACTCACGGTACCTCAGTTCCTTCATCTGTTAAATAAAAATAATAATAGGGCCTACTTCAAAGGGCTATTGTATAATAAGAGTTCAGTCAGTATATGGAAAATGGGGTATTTATAGTTATTTTCATATATTGACTGTTCTAATTTACGTGTTCACCAACAGTATACAAGAGTTCCCTTTTCTCCACATCCTTGTCAGCATTTGTAATTGTCTGACTTCTGGATAAAAGCCATTTGACTGGAGTGAGATGATATCTCATTGTCATTTTGATTTGCATTTCTCTGATGATCAATGATGTTGAGCATCTTTTTATTTATTTATTTATTATACTTTAAGTTCTAGGGTACATGTGCACAGTGTGCAGTTTTGTTACATATGTATACATGTGCCATGTTGGTGGAGCACCTTTTTATATACCTGTTTGCCGTTAGTATGTCTTCTTTTGAGAAATATATATTCAGATCTTTTGTTCATTTTAAAATTGGATTATTACATTTTTTCCTATACAGTTGTTTGAGTTTCTTATACTCTGGTTATTAATCCATTGTCAGATGAGTAGTTTGCAGATATTGTCTCCTATTCTGTGGCGTGTCTGCTCACTTTATTGATTGCTTCCTTTGCTATGCAGAAGCTTTTTGACTTGATATGATCCCATGTATCCATTTTTGCTTTGGTTGCCTGTGCTTATCGAGTATTACTCAAGAAATCTTTGCTCAGTCCAGTGTCCTGGAGAGTTCCCCCAATGTTTTCTTTTAGTAGCTTCATAGTTTGAGGTCTGAGATTTAAGTGTTTAATCCATTGTGATTTGATTTTTGAGTATGGTGAGAAATGAGGGTCTAGTTTCATTCTTCTGCATATGTATATCCAGTTTTCCCAGTACCATTTATTGAAGAGACTCTCCTTTCCCCAATGTATATTCTTGGTGTCTTTGTTGACAATGAGTTCACTGTAGATGTATGCCTATATTTCTGAGTTCTGTATTCTGTTCCATTGGTCTATGTGTCTGTTTTTATGCTAGTGCCATGTTTTGGTTACTATAGCTTTGTAGTATAATTTGAAATCAGGTAATATGATCCATCCAGTTTAGTTCTTTTTGCTCAGGATATCTTTGGCTATTTTGGGTCTTTGGTGGTTCCATATAAAGTTTAGAATTGTTTTTTTCTATTTTTGTGAAGAATATCCTTGGTATTTTGATAGGGATTGCATTGAATCTGTAGATGGCTTTGGGTAGTATGGACATTTTAATAATATTGATTCGTCCAATCCAAGAACATGGAATGTCTTTTCTTTCTTTTTTTTTTTTTTTTTGTATTTTTCTTCAGTTTCTTTAATCAGTGTTCTATAGTTTTCATTGTAGAGATCTTTCACTTCTTTGGTTAAGTGAATTCCTAGGTATTTACTTTTATTTGTAATCATTGTACATGGGATTACTTTCTTGATTTTTTTTTTTTTTTTTTAGATTATTTGCTGTTGGCATATAGAAATGCTACGGAATTTTGTATGTTAATTTTTTTTTTTAAGTTCTGGGATACACGTGCAGAATATGCAGGTTTGTTACATAGGTATACATGTCTCCCTCCCCTTGCCCCCCACTCCCCAACAGGCCCCTGTGTGTGATGTTCCCCTTCCTGTGTCCACGTGTTCTCATTGTTCAACTCCCGCTTATGAGTGAGAATGTGTGGTGTTTGGTTTTCTGTTTCTGTTTTAGTTTGCTGAGGATGATAGCTTCCAGCTTCATCCATGTCCCTGCAAAGGACATGAACTCATTCTTTTTTGTGGCTTCATAGTATTCTATGGTGTATATGTGCCACATTTTCTATATCCAGTGTATCATTGATGTGCATTTAGGTTGGTTCCAAGTCTTTGCTATTGTAAATAATGCTACAATAAACATACATGTGCATGTGTCTTTATAGTAGAAGGATTTATAATCATTTGGGTATATACTCAGTAATGGGATTGCTGAGTCAAATGGTATTTCTGGTTCTAGATCTATGAGGAATTGCCACACTGTCTTCCACAGTGGTTGAACTAATTTATACTGCCACCAACAGTATAAAAGCATTCCAATTTCACTGCAGCCTCGCCAGCATCTGTTGTTTCTTGACTTTTTTTTTTTTTTTTTTTTTTTTTTGAGACAGAGTCTTGCCCTATTGTCCAGGCTGGAGTGCAGTGGCATAGTCTTGGCTCACTGCAACCTCTGCCTCCCGGGTTCAAGCAATTCTCCTGCCTCAGCCTCCTGAGTAGCTGGGACTACAGGCATGTGCCACCACACCTGGCTAATTTTTTGTGTTTTTAATAGAGACTAGGTTTCACTGTGTTAGCCAGGATGGTCTCAATCTCCTGACCTCGTGATCCACCCTCCTTGGCCTCCCAAAGTGCTGGGATTACAGGCGTAAGCCACCATGCCCAGCTTCCTGACTTTTTAATAATCACCATTCTAACTGGCATGAGATGGTATCTCATTTTGGTTTCATTTGCATTTCTCTAATGACCAGAGATGATGAGCTTTTTTTCTATGTTTGTTGGCTGCATAAATATCTTCTTTTGAGAAGTGTCTTGTCGTATCCTTTGCCCAGTTTTTGATGGGGTTGTTTTTTTCTTGTAAATCTGTTTTGAGTTCCTTGTAGATGGTGGATATTAGACTTTTGTCAGATGACTAGATTGCAAAAATTTTCTCCCATTTTGTAGGTTGCCTGTTCATTCTGATGATAGTTTCTTTTCCTGTGCATAAGTTTTTAGTTTAATTAGATCCCATTTGTCAATTTTGACTTTTGTTGCAATTGCTTTTGGTGTATGGTCATGAAGTCTTTGCCCTTGCCTATGTCCTGAATAGTATTGCTTAGGTTTTCTTCTAGGGTTTTTATGGTTTTGGGTTTTACATTTAAGTTCTTAATCCATCCTGAGTTAATTTTTATATAAAGTGTAAGGAATGGGGCCAGTTTCTGTTTTCTGCATGTGGCTAGCCAGTTTTCCCAACACCATTTATTAAATAGGGAATCCTTTTCCCATTGCTTGTTTTTGTCAGGTTTGGCAAAGATCAGATGGTTGTAGATGTGTGATGTTACTTCTGAGGCCTCCATTCTGTTCCATTGGTCTACATATATGTTTTGGTACCCGTACCATGCTGTTTTGGTTACTGTAGCCTTGTAGTATAGTTTGAAGTCAGGTAGCTTGGGGCCTCCAACTTTGTTCTTTTTGCTTAGGATTGTCTTGGCTATAAGCGTTCTTTTGGTTTCATGTGAAATTTAGGGTAGTTTTTCCTAATTGTGCTAAGAAAGTCAGTGGTAGTTTGATGGGAACAACATTGAATCTGTAAATTACTTTGGGGAGTATGGCCATTTTTACGATATTGATTCTTCCTATCCATGAGCATGGAATTTTTTTCCATTTGTTTTTGACCTCTCTTATTTCGTTGAGCAGTGGTTTGTAGTTGTCCTTGAAGAGGTCCTTCATATCCCTTGTAACATGTATTCCTAGGTATTTTATTTTCTTTGTAGCAATTGTGAATGGGAGTTCAGTCATGATTTGGCTCTCTGCTTGTCTATTATTGGCATATAGGAATGCTTGTGATTTTTGCACATTGATTTGTATCCTGAGACTTTGCTGAAGTTGCTTACCAGCATAAGGAGTTTTGGGGCTGAGCTGATGGGGTTTTCTAAATATACAATCATATCATCTGCAGAGACAATTTGACTTCCTCTCTTCCTATGTGAATACCCTTTATTTATTTCTTTTGCCTGATTGCCCTGGCCAGATCTTCCAATACTATGATAAATTGGAGTGGTGAGAGAAGGCATCCTTGTTTTGTGGTGGTTTTCAAAGGGAATGTTTCCAGCTTTTGCTCATTCAGTAAGATATTGGCTATGGATTTGTCATAAATAGCTCTTGTTATTTTGCGATACGTTCCATCAATACCTAGTTTATTGAGAGTTTTTAACATGAAGGGATGTTGAATTTTATTGAAGGCCTTTTCTGCATCTATTGAGATAATCATGTGATTTTTGTCATTGGTTCTGTTTATGTGATGGATTACGTTTATTGATTTGTGTTTGTAGAACCAGCCTTGCATCCTATGGATGAAGCCGTCTTGATCGTGGTGGATAAGCTTTTTTGATGTGCTGCTGTATTCAGTTTGCCAGCATTTTATTGAGGATTTTCGTATTGATGTTCATTAAGGACATTGGCCTGAAATTTTCCTTTTTTTGTTGTGTCTCTGCCAGGTTTTGGTATCAGGATGATGCTGGCCTCATAAAATGAGTTAGGGAGGAGTCCCTCTTTTTCTATTGTTTGGAATAGTTTCAGAAGGTATGGTACCAGCTCCTCTTTGTACCTCTGGTAGAATTCAGCTGTGAATCCGTCTGGACCTGGGCTTTTTTTTGGTTGGTAGGCTATTAATTGCTGCCTCAATTGCAGAACTTGTTATTGGTCTATTCAGGGATTCGACTTCTTTCTGGTTTAGTCTTGGGAGGATGTATGTGTGCAGGAATTTATCCATTTCCTCTAGATTTTCTAGTTTTTTTGCGTAGAGGTGTTTATGGTATTCTCTGATGGTAGTTTGTATTTCTGTGGGATCAGTGGTGATATCCCCTTTATAATTTTTTATTGTCTATTTTATTCTTCTCTCTTTTGTTCTTTATTATTAGTCTAGCTAGTGATCTATTTTGTCAATCTTTTCAAAAAACCAGCTCCTGGATTCATTGATTTTTTTTTAAGGGTTTTTCAGGTCTCTGTCTCCTTCAATTCTGCTCTGATCTTAGTTATTTCTTGTCTTCTGCTAACTTTTGAATTTGTTTGCTCTTGATTCTGTAGTTCTTTTAATTGACATGTTAGGGTGTCGATTTTAGATCTTTCCAGCTTTCTGATGTGGGCATTTAGTGCTATAAATTTCCTTCTTAACACTGCTTTAGACGTGTCCAGAAATTCTGGTATGTTGTCTCTTTGTTCTCATTGTTTTCACAGAACTTACTTATTTCTGTCTTAATTTTGTTATTTACCCAGTAGTCATTCAGAAACAGGTTGTTCAATTCCCATGTAGCTGTGAGGTTTTGAATGAGTTTCTTCATCCTGAGTTCTAATTTGATTACACTGTGGTCTGAGAGACTGTTTATTATGATTTCTGTTTGTTTGCATTTGCTGAGGAGTGTTTTACTTCCAATTATGTGGTCAATTTTAGAATAAATGTAATGTGGTGCTGAGAAGAATGTATATTCTGTTGATTTGGGGTGGAGGGTTCTGTAGATGTCTGTTAGTTCCCCTTGGTCCAGAGCTGAGTTCAAGGCCTGAATATCCTTGTTAATTTTCTGTCTCATTATTGACAGTGGGGTGTTAAACTCACTCACTATTATTGTGTGGGAGTCTAAGTCTCTTTGTAGGTATCTAAGAACTTGTTTTATGAATCTGGGTGTTCCTGTATTGGGAGCATATATATTTAAGATAGGTAGCTCTTGTTGCATTGATCCCTTTGCCATTATGTAATGCCCTTCTTTGTCTTTTTTGATCTTTGTTTGTTTAAAGTCTGTTTTATCAGAGCCTAGGATTGCAACCTCTGTTTTTTTTTTTTTTTTTTTTTTTTGTTGCTTTCCATTTGCTTGGTAAGTATTCCTTCATCCCTTTATTTTGAGCCAATGTGTGTATTTGACCATGTGATGGGTCTCCTGAGTGCAGCACACCCATGGGTCTTGACTCTAACCAATTTCCCAGTCTGTGTCTTTTAACTGAGGCATTTAGCCCATTTACATTTAAGGTTAATATTTTTTTGTGTGAATTTGATCCTGTCATCATGATGCTAGCTGTTTATTTTGTGCATTAGGTGATGCAGTTTCTTCATAGTGTCGTTGGTCTTTATATTTTGGTGTGTTTTTGCAGTGGCTGGTACTGGTTTTTCCTTTCCATATTTCGTGCTTCCTTCAGGAGCTCTTGTAAGGCAGGCCTGGTGGTGACAGAGTCCCTCAGCATTTGCCTGGTCTGGAAAGGATTTTATTTCTCCTTCACTTATGAAGCTTAGTTTGGCTGGATATGAAATTCTGGTTGAAAATTATTTTCTTTAAGAATGTTGAATATTGGTCTTCACTCTGTTCTGGCTTGTAAGGTTTCTGCAGAGAGATCCACTGTTAGTCTGATAGGCTGCCCTTTGTAGGTGACCTGACCTTTCTCTCCGGCTGCACTTAACATTTTTTCCTTCATTTCAACGTTGGAGAATCTGACGGTTATGTGTCTTGTGGTTGCTCTTCTTGAGGAGTATCTTTGTGGTGTTCTCTATTTCCTGAATTTGAATGTTGGCCTGTCTTGCTAGGTTGGGGATGTTCTCCTGGATAATATCCTGAAGTGTGTTTTTCACCTTGGTTTCATTCTGTCACTTTACGGTACACCAATCATTCGTAGGTTTGGTCTTGTCACATAGTGCCCTAATTCTTGGAGGCCTTGTTTGTTCCTTTTAATTCTTTTTTGGTTTGTTTTTGTTTGTTTGTTTGTTTTTTGAGACAGAGTCTCACTCTGTCGCCAAGGCTGGAGTGCAGTGGCGCGATCTCGGCTCACTGCAAGCTCCACCTCCCGTGTTCACGCCATTCTCCTGCCTCAGCCTCCTGAGTAGCCGGGACTACAGGCACCCGCCACCACGCCCGGCTAATTTTTTGTATTTTTTAGTAGAGACGGGGTTTCACCACGTTAGCCAGGATGGTCTTGATCTCCGGACCTCGTGATCCACCCGCCTCGGCCTCCCGAAGTGCTGGGATTACAGGCTTGAGCCACCGCACCCGGCCAAGATTAATTCTTTTTTCTCTAATCTTGTCTTCACACTTTCTTTCGGTAAGGTGATCTTCAATCTCTGATAGTCTTTCTTCCACCTGATCGATTTGGCTATTGATACTTGTGTTTGCTTCACAAAGTTCTTGTGCTGTGTTTTTCAGCTCCATCAGGTCATTTATGTTCCTCTCTAAACGGGTTATTCTAGTTAGCAGTTTTTGTAACCTTTTATCCACGTTCTTAGCTTCTTTGCATTGGGTTAGAACATGTTCCTTTAGCTCAAAGGAGTTTGCTATTACCCACCTTCTGAAGCTATTTCTGTCAGTTTGTCAATCTCGTTCTCCATCCAGTTTTGTGCCTGTGGAGATGAGGAGTTGTGATCATTTGGAGAAGAGGCATTTTGGTTTTTGGAATTTTCAGCATTTCTGCCCTGTTTTTTCCTCATCTCCATGGATTTATCTTCCTTTGATTTTTGAGGTTGATGACCTTTGGATGGGTTTTTTTTGTTTGTTAGTTTTTTTGTTTTTTTTATGTGGGGGTCTTTTTTGTTGATGTTGATGTCATTGCTTTCTGTTTGTTAGTTTTTCCTCTAACAGGCCCCTCTTCTGCAGCTTGCTGGAGGTCCAGTCCAGACCCTGCTTGGCTGGGTATCACCAGCTGAGGCTGGAGAACAGCAGTGATTGCTGCCTGCTCTTTCCTCTGGAAGCTTCATCCCAGAGGGACACCGGCCTGATGCCAGCAGGAGCTCTCCTGTATGAGGTGTCTGTCAACCATGTTGGGAGGTTTCTCCCAGTCAGAAGGCATGGGGGTTAGGGACCCATTTGAGAAGGCAGTCTTTCCCTTCTCTGAACTAGTGCACTTTGCTGGGAGAATCACTATTGTCAGGATCAGCTGCTCTCTTCAGAGTTGGCAGCCAGGAAAGATTAAGCCCGCTAAAGCTGAGCCCACAGCCGCCCCTCCCCCCAGGTGCTCTGTTGCAGGGAGATGAGAGTTTTATCTGTAATCCCTAGACTGGGACTGCTGCCTTTCCTTCACAAATGCCCTGCCCAGTGAGGAGAAATCTAGAGTAGCAGTCTGGCCACAACCGCTTTGCTGTGCTGTGGTGAATTCCGTCCGGGCCAAACCTCCCAGCCTCCTTAGCACTGTCAGGGAAAAACAGCCTAGGAAAGCCTCATTCATTGCAGGTGCCCCTCCTATCACCAAGCTCGATCATCCCAGGTCGACTTCAGACTGCTGTGCTGGCAGTGAGAATTTCAAGCCAGTGGTTCTTAGCTTGCTGGGCTCCGTGGGAGTGGGACCAGAAAGCTGGGCTCTGTGGGAGTGAGACCACTTGGCTCCCTGGCTTCAGCCCCCTTGTTCTGTGTGGGAAACGTGAGAGGGGAGAATAAAGAGCACACACACTTGTTACCTTTAAGGGTAAACAAGCTTTATCCCATGTAAATGGCAATGCAGATATAATAAATGATATAATAAGCAAATTAACATGATAAGCAAATTGGTATAATAAGCAAATGATATAATAAGCAAATTGCATTGGGAACAGGAGAAGGGAAGAGACATACATATATTTATGCTTACCAGACTGGAAGATTCACCACCAGACTGGGAAGCAACAGCCTGGGCACCAGAGTCGGACACCGAACTCACCAGACCATGATGTCTTTATGAGGCTTGAAATTCCTGTTATGACTTGGGTCATGAGTTCCCCTAAAACACACCAGTTCTGATGAAGGAAGCGGTGGGAGCAGTCAGCTGGCTGAACTAGTAGTGGTCCTCTGAGCTATTCAGGAGGAGGCCAGAGGGATTTGTCACTTGTATACCAACTCTTGGTCAGTAGCAAATGGCCTTACTACTTGGATGCCCCAATGGCAACAAAACTAATGGTTAATCGGGAGTAAAGAGGTTTGGGGAAAACAATACTGGGAAGATATCTGAATCCTGCTGCATGCTACCATTATCACTGTTTTCCATGTTGATGCTGATGGATCTCTGCTTTTTCTTGACGGACTATTTAATCAGCAGGCAGATCAACAGGCCAAAATTCCACCATAACTGCAAACTTAAATGCAGATGAATGGATTACAACATGTTCAAGCCTTGCAATGAGAGGCATTATAATGTATGATGGTATAATTAATGAGAATAACCTGTCTGCTAGTAATAAGTACATGGGTCATTATGTCTGAGGCTGAGAATGAGTTCATCAACTGGGTAGCCACCACTGCAGCAGGAGCCAACTGCCGTCAGTGCTGGGTATGCCTCAAGTTGCTAGAGGCTGCCAGGAATGGGCTACCTTGGAGAATCGTCCCTGCTAACATTTCTGGATGGATATGCCGATACCAATGGGGGTGGGGTAATAACACTTGTAATCCAACCTGGACTTTTTTTTAACCAAACCAAACAGTCTATTTTTGCCTAAGCCCTAACTAAACACAGCACCCTTGTTACTTAAATTACACATTACAGCAATAAGCTACATGTAGAAAAAGATCTTAATGATAGTATCACTGGACTTATGTTATCAGATGAATTTGCTCAGCTGCGTACTGTTGTGTTGCAAAATCGGATGACATTAAATACGCTTACCACAGCCCAAGGAGGGGTTTGTGCCTTACTGTATACTGAATGTTATGTGATATACCTAACAAATCTCACAATATTACTCTCCTTGCAAAGCCATGGTGGGTGTGGTTTTTATTAATTGTGCTTTTAATTCTCCTGTGCTTATCCTGTATCTGTAATCTATATCAACTTTGCCTTCCCCATGTATCTGTAAGGGTATTTTCCTACAAATGAGTATCAAATTGAGTCTGAATGTGGAGGTAAAGTTAAATATTAAATTTGAACTCAATTGACCATTTGAACTCAATTGACCACAAACAGTGGTCACCAAGTCCTGGAATGGGTTGTATGAGTGAGCCCCTTTAGGCGTTCATCCAGTGTTGTTTCGGAGAAATCTCTGTTTCAATCTATTCCTATATGTTAGTCATTGAAAAACAATAGACAATCACAAAAACAAGTTGACCTTTTTGTGTTCCTTGAGCCCAGTTGCAAAGGGCCCTCATGACTGGGCCTCATGCCAAACAGCTTGTTAAAAAAGAGCTAGGGTCCCAGACTGCACCAACACTTCATGAGACCCCTCCTTGTCTGTGCACTGATGAGTAGTGGACTCTGGAGCCCAGGCTGTTGCTTCCCAGTCTGGTGGTGAATCCGCCACAGTCTGGTGAGTGCGGTGTCTGACTCTGGAGCCCAGGCTGTTGCTTCCCAGTCTGATGGTGAATCCTCCATAGTCTGGTGAGTATAAATGTGTGTCTCTATTTTCCCTTCTCCTGTTTCCATTGCAATTTGCTTATTATATCAATTTGCTTATTATATTAATTCGCTTTTTATATCATTTGCTTATTATATCTGCATTGCCATTTATGTGAGATAAAGCTTGTTTACCCTTAAAGGTATTGTGTGTGTGCCTTTTCTTCTTCCCTTGCGCGTTTCCCACACAGAACACCCCTTGCCAGGGGAGTGAACCGTTTTGTCTCACTGGGGTTGCAGGTGCCACTGGGTATGAAAAAAACTCCTGCAGCTAGCTCGGTGTCTGCCCAAAGAGCAGCTCAGCTTTGTGCTTGAGACCCAGGTCCCTGGTGGTGTCAGCACACGAGGGAATCTTCCGTTGTGCAGACTGCAAAAACCGTGGGAAAATTGTAGTACCTGGGCTGGGTAGCACAGTCCCTTGTGGCTTCCCTTGGCTGGGGGAGGGAGGTCCCCCAGCTCCTTGTACTTCCTGGGTGAAACGGTACCCCACCCTGCTTCTGCTCACCCTCCGTGCTTTGTACCTACTGCTTAACCAGTCCCAATGAGATGAACTGGGTCCCTCACTTGGAAATGAAGAAATTGCCCACCTTCTGCGTTGGTCTCGCTGGGAGCTGCAGACCAGATCTGTTCCTATTTGGCTATCTTTTCCCCTCCCTTGTATGCTGACTTTTTATCATGCAACTTTACTGAATTTATCAGTCCTAATAATTTTCTTGTGGAGTCTTTAGGTTTTTCCAAATATAAGATGATATTTTCTCCAAACAAGGTTAATTTGACCTCTTCCTTTCCACTTTGGATGCTCTTTATTTCATTCTCTTGTCTGATTGCTCTAGCTAGGACTTCCAATACTATGTTGAATAACAGAGGTGAAAGTGGACATCCTTGTCATGTTCCAGATCTTAGAGGAAAGACTTACAGTTTTTCCACATTCAATATTAATACTAGCTTTTGGTTTGTCATTTATGGCTTTTATTGTGTTGAGATATGTTTCTTTTATACTCAGGTTTTTGAGGGTTTTTATCCTGAAGCAATGTTCAATTTTATGAACTGCTTTTTCACGTGACATCAATTGAAATGATCATGTGGTTTTTGTGCTTTATTATGTTGATAGGATATATCTCATTGACTGATTTGCATATGTTGAACTATTATTGCTTCCCCAGGATAAATCCCACTGTGTCATGATGAATGACCTTTTTCATGTGTTGTTGAATTTGGTTTGGTAGTATTTTGTTGAGGATTTTTGCATCAATGTTCATCAGGGGTATTGGCCAGTGGTTTCCTTTATTTGATGTGTCTTTGTCTGGTTTTGGTATCAGGGTAAGACTAGCCTTGTTGAATGAATTTGGAAGTGTTCTCTTCCTGTTTTTCCAACTACTTTAAATATGATTGGTATTAGTTCTTTAAATGTTTGGTAGAATTCAGCATTTAAGCCATTGGGTGCTGGGCTCTTCTGTGCTGGAAGACTTTTTTTGTTATGGCTTCAATCTTATTACTTGTTACTGGTCTGTTCAGGTTTTGGATTTCTTCATGATTCAATTTTGGTAGGTTGTATGTGTCAAGGAATTTATTTGTTCTAGATTTTCCAATTTATCGGCGTATAGTTGCTCATAGTAGCTGCTAATAATCCTTTGAATTTCTGTGGTATTGGTTGTAATGTCTCCTTTTTCATCTTTGATTTTATTTGTGTCTTCTCTCTTTTCTTATTAATTAGTCTGGCTAAGGATTTGTCAATGTTATGTATCTTTTCAAAAACCATCTTTTTCTTTCATTGTTCTTTTTCTGTTTCAATTTCATTAATTTATGCTCTGATCTTTATTATTTCTCTTCTAATTTTGTGTTTTGTTTGCCCTTTCCTAGTTCTTTAAGATCAATGGTTAGGTTGTTTATTTGAAGTTTTCCTACTTTTTTGATGTAGGCGCTTATAACTATAAACTTTCCTGTTAGTACTGCTTTTGCTATAGGTTTGTTTTGTTGAGTTTACATTATTATTTAAGAAAATTTTCAATTTCCTTCTTAATTTCTTCATCGTCATTCAAGAGCATATTGTTTAATTTTCATGTGTTTTTAGAGGTTCCAAAATTCCTCCTGTTACTGATTTCTAGTTTTATTCCATTGTAGTCAGAGAAGATACTTGATATAATTTCAATTTGTTTGAATTTTTAGGAATTTTTTATTGAGTCACATATGGTCTATTCTTGATAATGATCCATGTGCTGAGGAGAAGAAAAGAATGCGTATTCTGGACCAGTTGGATGAAATCATCTGTAACTACTTATTAGATCTATTTGTTCTGCAGTGCAGATGAAGTCCAGTGTTTCTTTGTTGATTTTCTGTCTGGATGATTCTGTCTAATGCTGGAAGTGGGATGTTGAAGCCTCCAGCTATTCTTGTACTTGGGCCTTGCTTTTTAGCTCTAATAATATTTTCTCTATATGTTTGGGTTCTCCAGTGTTAGGCACCTATATAATTATAATTGTTATAGCCTCTTGCCAAATTGACCCCTCTCTTATTGTATAATGAGCTTGTCTCTTTTTATAGTTTTTGTCTTGAAATCTGTTTTGTCTAAGTATAGCTACTCATACTCATTTGAGAGATTCTTGAGCCACAACTATAATTCACCCATGACTTCTATAAGAATGTGGTTCACCAAGGTTTAGGAAGAGATTGAGGTATCTGCATTTTAAAACATATTCATAGGCAATTTTGATATTCACCTTAGGGAAAATACTATGATTTTACAGAAGATAATCTAAACTTGAAAAGTAAATATTTTTCCATCTTTATGGATGGAGAAACCCAAGATCCAATATTTAACAGTTTTAAAGACTACTAGAGAAAATTTGTACATCTTTCATTGTAACTTGCTTAATACTTAACTCTAACATTTGGACAGAAGTTATTTTTATTATTTATTTATTTATTTTTATTACACTTTAAGTTCTGGGGTACATGTGCACAACGTGCAGGTTTGTTACATATGTATACATGTGCCATGTTGGTGTGCTGCACCCATTAACTCGTCATTTACATTAGGTATATCACCTAATGCTATTCCTCCCCGCTCCCCCTACCCCACGACAGGCCCCGGTGTGTAATGTTGCCGTTCCTGTGTCCAAATGTTCTCATTGTTCAATTCCCACCTGTGAGTGAGAACATGCGGTGTTTGGTTTTTTGTCCTTGCGATAGTTTGCTGAGAATGATGGTTTCCAGCTTCATCCATGTCCCTACAAAGGACATAAACTCATCCTTTTTTATGGCTGCATAGTAGTCCATGGTGTATATGTGCCACATTTTCTTAATCTAGTCTATCATTGATGGACATTAGGGTTGGTTCCAAGTCTTTGCTATTGTGAATATTGCCGCAGTGAACATACGTGTGCATGTGTCTTTATAGTAGAATGATTTATAATCTTTTGGGTATATACCCAGTAATGGGATGAGTCAAATGGTATTTCTAGTTCTAGATCCTTGAGGAATCACCACACTGTCTTCCACAATGGTTAAACTAGTTTACAGTCCCACCAATAGTGTAAAAATGTTCCTGTTTCTCCGCATCCAGCACCTGTTGTTTCCTGACTTTTTAATGATTGTCATTCTAACTGGTGTGAGATGGTATCTCATTGTGGTTTTGATTTGCATTTCTTTGATGGCCAGTGATGATGAGCATTTTTTCATGTGTCTGTTGGCTGCATAAATGTCTTCTTTTGAGAAGTGTCTGTTCATATCCTTTGCCCACTTTTTGATGGGGTTGTTTGTTTTTTTCTTGTAAATTTGTTTGAGTTCATTGTAGATTCTGGATATTACCCCTTTGTCAGATGAGTAGGTTGCAAAAATTTTCTCCCATTGTGCAGTTTGCCTGTTCGCTCTGATGGTAGTTTCTTTTGCTGTGCAGAAGCTCTTTAGTCTAATTAGATCCCATTTGTCAATTTTGGCTTTTGTTGCCATTGCTTTTGGTGTTTTAGACATGAAGTCCTTGCCCATGCCTATGTCCTGAATGGTATTGCCTAGGTTTTCTTCTAGGGTTTTTATGGTTTTAGGTCTAACGTTTAAGTCTTTAATCCCTCTTGAATTAATTTTAGTACAAGGTGTAAGGAAGGGATCCAGTTTCAGCTTTCTCCATATGGCTAGCCAGTTTTCGCAGCACCATTTATTAAATAGGGAATCCTTTCCCCATTTCTTGTTTTTGTCAGGTTTGTCAAAGATCAGTTGGTTGTAGATGTGTGGTATTATTTCTGAGGGCTCTGTTCCGTTCCATTGGTGATATCTCTGTTTTGGTACCAGTACCATGCTGTTTTGGTTACTGTAGCTTTGTAGTATAGTTTGAAGTCAGGTAGCGTGATTCCTCCAGCTTTGTTCTTTTGGCTTAGGATTGTCTTGGCAATGCGGGCTCTTTTTTGGTTCCATGTGAACTTTAAAGTAGTTTTTTCCAATTCTGTGAAGAAAGTCATTGGTAGCTTGATGGGGATGGCATTGAATCTATAAATTACCTTGGGCAGTATGGCCATTTTCACAATATTGATTCTTCCTATCCATGAGCATGGAATGTTCTTCCATTTGTTTATGTCCTCTTTTATTTTTTTGAGCAGTGGTTTGTAGTTCTCCTTGAAGAGGTCCTTCACATCCCTTGTAAGTTGGATTCCTAGGTATTTTATTCTCTTTGAAGCAATTGTGAATGGGAG
Organism: Homo sapiens; assembly: GCF_000001405.40. Taxonomy (NCBI): domain Eukaryota; kingdom Metazoa; phylum Chordata; class Mammalia; order Primates; family Hominidae; genus Homo; species Homo sapiens. Next base: position 17,211,831 of record NC_000009.12, read on the forward strand.
TTCACTCATGATTTGGCTCTCTGTTTGTCTGTTGTTGGTGTATAAGAATGCTTGCGATTTTTGCACATTGATTTTGTATCCTGAGACTTTGCTCAAGTTGCTTATCAGCTTAAGGAGATTGGGGCTGAGACGATGGGGTTTTCTAAATATACAGTCATGTCGTCTGCAAACAGGGACAATTTGACTTCCTCTTTTCCTAATTGAATACCCTTTATTTCTTTCTCCTGCCTTATTGCCCTGGCCAGAATTTCCAAGACTATGTTGAATAGGAGTGGTGAGAGAGGGCATCCCTGTCTTGTGCCAGTTTTCAAAGGGAATGCTTCCAGTTTTTGCCCATTCAGTATGATATTGGCTGTGGGTTTGTGATAAATAGCTCTTATTATTTTGAGATACGTCCCACCAATACCTAATTTATTGAGAGTTTTTAGCATGAAGTGTTGTTGAATTTTGTCAAAGGCCTTTTCTGCATCTCTTGAGATAATCATGTGGTTTTTGTCTTTGGTTCTGTTTATATGCTGGATTACGTTTATTGATTTGCATATGTTGAACCAGCCTTGCATCCTAGGGGTGAAGCCCACTTGATCATGGTGGATAAGCTTTTTGATGTGCTGCTGGATTTGGTTTGCCAGTATTTTATTAAGGATTTTTCTGTGGATGCTCATCAGGGATATTGGTCTAAAATTCTCCTTTTTTGTTGTGTCTCTGCCCGGCTTTGGTATCAGGATGATGCTGGCCTCATAGAATGAGTTAGGGAGGATTCCCTCTTTTTCTACTCATTGGAATAGTTTCAGAAGGAATGGTACCAGCTCCTCCTTGTACTTCTGGTAGAATTCAGCTGTGAATCTATCTGCTCCTGGACTTTTTTGGTTGGTAGGCTATTAATTATTGCCTCAATTTCAGAGGCTGTGTTTGGTCTATTCAGGGATTCAACTTCTTCCTGGTTTAGTCTTCGGAGGGTGTATGTGTCCAGGAATTTATCCATTTCTTCTAGATTTTCTAGTTTATTTGCATAGATGTGTTTATAGTATTCTCTGATGGTAATTTGTATTTCTGTGGGATCGGTGGTGATATCCCCTTTATCATTTTTTATTGCGTCTATTTGATTCTTCTCTCTTTTCTTCTTTATTAGTCTTGCTAGCGGTCTATCAATTTTGTGGATCTTTTCAAAAAACCAGCTGCTAGATTCATTGATTTTTCTGAAGTGTTTTTTGTGTCTCTATCTCCTTCAGTTCTGCTCTGATCTTACTTATTTCTCGCCTTCTGCTAGCTTTTGAATGTGTTTGCTCTTGCTTCTCTAGTTCTTTTAATTGTGATGCTAGGGTGTCAATTTTAGATCTCTTGTGCTTTCTCCTGTGGACATTTAGTGCTATAAATTTCCCTCTACACACTGCTTTAAGTGTGTCCCAGAGATTCTGGTATGTTGTGTGTTTGTTCTCATTGGTTTCAAAGAGCATCTTTATTTCTGCTTTCATTTCATTATGTATCCAGTAGTCATTCAGGAGCAGGTTGTTCAGTTTCCATGTAGTTGACCGGTTTTGAGTGAGTTTCTTAATCCTGAGTTCTAGTTTGATTGCACTGTGGTCTGAGAGACAGTTTGTTATAATTTCTGTTATTTTACATTTGCTGAGGAGTTCTGTACTTCCAACTATGTGGTCAATTTTGGAATAAGTGCGATGTGGTGCTGAGAAGCATGTATATTCTGTTGACTTGGGGTGAAGAGTTCTGTAGATGTCTCTTAGGTCTGCTTGGTGCAGAGCTGAGTTCAATTCCTGGATATTTTTGTTAACTTTCTGACTCGTTGGTCTGTCTAATGTTGACAGTGGGGTGTTATCGTCTCCCATTATTATTGTGTGGGAGTCTAAGTCTCTTTGTAGGTCTCTAAGGACTTGCTTTATGAATCTGGGTGCTCCTGTATTGGGTGCATATATATTTAGGATAGTTAGCTCTTCTTGTTGAATTGATCCCTTTACCATTATGTAGTGGCCTTCTTTGTCTCTTGATCTTTGTTGATTTAAAGTCTGTTTTATCAGACACCAGGATTGCAACCCCTGCCTTTTTTTGTTTTCCATTTTCTTGGTAGATCTTCCTCCTTCCCTTTATTTTGAGCGTATGTGTGTCTTTGCAGGTGATATGGGTCTTCTGAATACAGCACACTGATGGGTCTTGACTCTTTATCCAATTTGCCAGTCTGTGTCTTTTAATTGGAGCATTTAGCCCATTTACATTTAAGATTAATATTGTTATGTGTGAATTTGATCCTGTCATTATGATTTTAGCTGGTTATTTTGCTTATTAGTTGATGCAGTTTCTTCCTAGCCTCGATGGTCTTTACACTTTGGCATGTTTTTGCAGTGACTGGTACCGGTTGTTCCTTTCCATGTTTAGTGCTTCCTTCAGGAGGTCTTGTAGGGCAGGCCTGGTGGTGACAAAATCTCTCAGCATTTGCTTGTCTGTAAAGTATTTTATTTCTCCTTCACTTATGAAGCTTAGTTTGGCTGGATATGAAATTCTGGGTTGAAAATTATTTTCTTTAAGAATGTTGAATATAGGCACCCACTCTCTTCTGGCTTGCAGAGTTTCTGCCAGGAGATCTGCTGTTATTCTGATGGGCTTCCCTTTGTGGGTAACCCGACCTTTCTCTCTGGCTGCCCTTAATATTTTTTCCGTCATTTCAACTTTGGTGAATCTGACAATTATGTGTCTTGGAGTTGCTCTTCTCGAGGAGTATCTTTGTGGCGTTCTCTGTATTTCCTGAATTTGAATGTTGGCCTGCCTCACTAGGTTGGGGAAGTTCTTCTGGATAATATCCTGCAGAGTGTTTTCCATCTTGGTTCCATTGTCCCCATCATTTTCAGGTACACCAATTAGATGTAGATTTGGTCTTTTCACATAGTCATGTATTTCTTGGAGGCTTTGTTCATTTCTTTTTACTTTTTTCTCTAAACTTCTCTTCTCACTTCATTTCATTCATTTGATCTTCAATCACTGATACCCTTTCTTCCAGTTGATCAAATTGGCTACTGAAACTTGTGCATTCATTACGTAGTCCTCGTGCCATGGTTTTCAGCTCCATCAGGTCATTTAAGGACTTCTGTACACTGGTTATTCTAGTTAGCCATTTGTCTAATCTTTTTTGAAGGTTTTTAGCTTCTTTGTGATGGGTTCGAACTTCCTCCTTTAGCTGGGAGAAGTTTGATTGTCTGAAGCCTTCTTTTCTCAACTCGTTAAAGTGATTCTCCATCCAGCTTTGTTCCGTTGCTGGCGAGGAGCTGCATTCCTTTGGAGGAGGAGAGGAGCTCTGATTTTTAGAATTTTCAGCTTTTCTGCTCTGTTTTTTCCCCATCTTTGTAGTTTTATCTACCTTTGGTCTTTGATGATGGTGACGTACAGATGGGGTTTTGGTGTGGATGTCCTTTCTGTTTGTTAGTTCTCCTTCTAACAGTCAGGACCATTAGCTGCATGTCTGTTGGAGTTTATTGGAGGTCACTGCAGAACCTCTTTGCCTGGGTGTCAGCAGCGGAGGCTGCAGAACAGCGAATTTTGCTGAACAGCAAATGTTGCTGCCTGATCATTCCTCTGGAAGCTTCATCTCAGAGGAGTACCCAGACATGTGAGGTGTCAGTCTGCCCCTACTAGGGGGTGCCTCCCAGTTAGGCTACTCGGGGGTCAGGGAACCACTTGAGGAGGCAGTTTGACCATTCTCAGATCTCACACTCCATACTGGGAGAACGACTGCTCTCTTCAAAGCTGTCAGACAGGGACATTTAAGTCTGCAGAGATTTCTGCTGCCTTTTGTTTGGCTATGCCCTGCCCCCAGGGGTGGAGTCTGTGGAGGCTGGCAGGCCTCCTTGAACTGCGGTGGGCTCCACGCAGTTCGAGCTTCTTGGCCGCTTTGTTTACCTACTCAAGCCTCAGCAATGGTGGGCACCCCTTCTCCAGCCTCGCTGCCACCTTGCAGTTCGATCTCAGACTGCTGTGCTAGCAATGAGCGAGGCTCCGTGGGTGTGGGACCCTCTGAGCCAGGCGCGGGGTATAATCTCCTGGTGTGCCGTATGCTAAGACCGTTGGAAAAGCGCAGTATTAGGGTGGGAGTGACCTGATTTTCCAGGTGCTGGTTGTCACAGCTTCCGTTTGCTAGGAAAGGGAAATCCCTGACCCCTTACACTTCCCGGGTGAGGCAGTGCCTCACCCTGCTTTGGCTCACATTCGGTGGGCTGCACCCACTGTCCTGCACCCACTATCTGACAAGCCCCAGTGAGTTGAACCCGTTACCTCAGTTGGAAATGCAGAAATCACCCATCTTCTGAGTTGCTCACTCTTGGAGCTGTAGACTGGAGCTGTTCCTATTTGACCAACTTGGAACTGTCCCCCAGGCTATTTTTAATAATTAGTGGTTAAGAACACAAGCCGTTGAGTCAGGTAACTGGATTTGTAATCCTGGCTTGCTAGTTGTGTAAATTTTGAAGATGTGGTTTGCTTTCTTTTTAATATTCTGTACTTTTTTTGTAGACTTGTTAATACTTTTTTCTTGTGCTCACTTTCCTATTTTCAGTTCTTTTCCTCCTCCTGTTTGGTAATGAAAACTCAATTCTGGAAAATTAGAATGGTAAAAGGGAATAAAGGCAAGATGATTTTTAGATTTTATTGACATGTTTTTATTGGCCGGTTTATTAAGATTTTATTGATACATTTATCAAGGATATGTGTGCTATATCCTTGATACACTTGGTTCAAAGATTTAATTTCATAGTAAAGGAGAGATTGTCTTATTTTTATTTCTATTTCTTATTTTATTTCAATTTTTAGAGTTAAAGTTTACATGTTTGCATGTTTGATAGGGAGACTATTTCTGTAAGTTTATGTTATATTCTCTCACTACTGGGACCACCTCCCTCCTGCTCCTTTCCACTCTAAAGCACTTGGGTTACACAGCTGCTATATGGTTGTACCCTGTCCCATGTGTATTAAGCCAACATAGGCTGCAAAGGGGTTGCAGTTTGGAGCATGATAGTAGCGTGGCTGTTTGGAGACCCCAGAACTGTAGCTGCCAGAATTATGCCATCTGGTAGCAATGCTGCCAGGCAGTTCCACCCAGGGCATAAATGTATTTTTGCTGAGCACTTTTCGTGTTGCAAGAGCCATGATTGCCTAGGCAGGGATGTGGATGGATGGTCATGGGAACTAACTGAAAGGTGTTTAATTGGAACCACTCTAATGTTCAAGGTGAGAGTACTTGCAATAAACATGAAGAATCACATTCAAACTTTTACAATAGATGCAGGAAGCTTAACCAAATAGTCTTTTAACTTTTATGAAGATTTTTAAATTAAATAATTGTGAGATTATAGTAAGGAATAGTTACTTTAAAAATTTAATCTTTATACACATGGCAGAAGGTGGTACAGAAACATAGCTTTTGTTTTTAAGGTAAAATAATTGTGATCACCTTTATTTGTTGAGAGTTTATTTCTGTTTTCTTAAAAATTCCCAGAACATTGAACGTAATTCAACATTCCATGGGGAAGAAAGTATTATGCAGCTTGCATGTGTGCATATCTGCATATCGGAGCACAAAATATTGACATGATAATTGTAGTCAAGCCTGAGTGAACAGTGGCCTGTGGGAATTCAGCTGGTGTTGTACCAACTGGATGGCTGCTCAGGACACAGTTTGAAATGCAAGGTGCAAGTTAGCACTTTATTCAGCACAGGCAGGCATCATTTAAAAATCCTTGGGGGCAACCCTGGTGATGTGCAGATGTTAAAACAGTCTGTTCTGAAGTGCTGATTTTCAAACACTGGAAGAAACTTCTAGATTCTGGGTGAAAAATATTTGCACAATCATGAAAGGCATATAATGCACAATCATAAAAGGCATATAATACACAATCTTTTCCTACTCTTTTATGTTGTTTTACATAATAAATGTTGAGTATATGCAGAAATATCTGGACAAATAGTTAAAAGAGATGAAATATAAGAAAATCAGGAAATAGTCACTTAATTTCTAACTATAAAACAGAAAAAGGTTTTGTTTTGAGTTTCAGCTTTGTATATTTAGAAATGGTGTTGAATGAGTATCTGATATATAAAGAGTATCTGATCTTATTTAATACTATATTTAATATAAGCAGATGTGTTCTTTTGAATTGTTGCTTCTTTGTTTAAAGGGTTCATCTGTACTCCATAATTTACAGATTCAGATTCACATCTTAGCCTGATAATCTTCTGCATTTTAGTCTGATTGAATAAGGAAAAAAATGTCCATCATTTGTCGTTTGCCAACTTCTCCAGCACAAGTTTTGGCTTTCAAATATAATTTTAAACATGTATTTTATACTGGAAATTAAATATAATAGTTCTAAATTCTGGATTATACAATAAAAACTCAGTTTTGTATAAAAGCAAAGTAGATATATTAACTATACTTGAGCCTTTAAAACATTTTATATCAAAGTTTTTACATGAATTAAGATCTGTTGAATTATTTTTATTCCACATATTAAAGTTTTCTTTTTTTAAATATTTGCTTTTACTGTGGAGTAAAATGTGTTTGTACAATATTTTTGCAACCTCTTTTTCAAGTTTTATTATTGTTATATTGTTTATAGATGCCATTCCAGTAATTCACTATGCGTATTCATAAGAAGAAATACTTATAAAATAGTTCATGAATAAATGGATAATTTGATGATGGCATAACTTTGATTTCTCTGAACTTCTGTTATTAAGTCTTACTGTTTTAGAATCTTAGTGTTTACTAGAAATTGGGAATTGTTTAAATTGCAAACCATTGATATGTATAAAATCTGCATTTTAATAGGTTCTCTACTCAAATGAAAGAAAACGTTAGTCCAATAAATAGCTTTATTTTGTGTGTTATTTATGTCTGTAAATCAAAAATAACCAACTTCAGTAAGTTTTGCTTTTTTATTTTGTTTATAAATTCAGACCAATATCACTGCCTCATTTATAGTTGGATGTTTTTTTAGACTCTAATATTTCATTTTGACATCTCATTAAAAGTGGGCTCAAACCCAGAAAATATGATCCTGTTGTAGTGTATAATATATGGCATGGTCTATAACATAATAAAATTTTGTTTCTTAATGATTCAGAATAATTTCTCAGATTTTTGAGCTTAGAAAAATGACTGAAAGTTAGCGTGGTAATTCATGTGGCTAAGTACAGCATTGTTAAAATGTTTAAATGGGAAGTACTCTTGGGAAAAATGATTGGTGCTTAAAAGTTGTACAGATTTGACAGCCTCTCTTCGCTTCATTTTTCATTCTAAAGAAGTCGGCAAATATTCTTCGCTCACATCATTATTGCACATCAGTGGTTCTAATTAGCTAAACAGGAGTTTGTCTCAGTCATTGATCATCATCAGCTCCTGGCAGTGTCTTTTTTTTTCTTTTTAAGGAACCTTTTTTTTTTTAGGTCTTGTAAGTACATAGAAGTACATGTATTAATTGAATTGACCAGATTGGTTGGTGACATTATAAACTTGAAACAATATTTAAAAATTTTATTTTTTCAAGTAGAAAATATTGTATTCCTGTTACAGCACCATTTTATCTTGGGAGCATTTTCCTGTTATGAAAATGTTAGACATCTCATACCACCAGGAGGAGCTGCTAGACAAATTGCCATATTTTGAGTTTTGATTATCTTTCAATTTCAAAATTATAACATATTAGTCAATTTTGGAGGTTTTTGGTTATAAGATATACCATTCAGGTATATTTTTGAAGTTTTTATTTTATATGGCACTTATGACCCATTTTTTCAATATTATGTCACTCAGATTAATCTACTGGGAAGTGTGTTATTGTTATTTTGGTGACTCTCACACTTTAGTGTGCATCAGAATCGCTTGAGATCTTGTGTCTTAGTCAGTTCTGACTGCTAAAACAGAATCCTGGGTGGCTTAAATAACAAACATTTATTCTCATGGTTCCAGGAAGTACAAAATTAAAATGCTAGCCAATGTGGTTTCTGGTGAGGGCTCTTTGTAAATGGCTGCCTTTTTGTTGTATCCTCATATGACACCGAGAGATCTTCTCTCTAGTGTCCCCTCTCATTAAGGTGCTACTCCCATTCATGAAGGAGTAATCCTCATGACCCTAATTGCCTTTCATAGGCCTACCTCCAAATACTATGACATTGGTTATTAGGGCCTCAATATATGAATTTTGAGGAGACACAAACCTTCAGTCCATAGCACCTTGTTAAACACAGATTGCTGGGCCCCCACTCTTACAGTTCTTGATTCAGTGCATCTGGATTGGGCTGAAGAACATGCATTTCTAACCTGGGTGATGATGATGCTCGTGCTCTGGCAACCTAACCACTAGTTAGACTGTGAGTATGTGTACATACTTGTGTCATAGGAGATAATTAGCCTAGTATCAAGCTCATTTGGAAGCTGTAATAATGCTTTTGTTTGGGTTTGGTGTCACATAATCTAGTATTATCCGTATCTCATTTAAAAGTACTACCAGAATTTATTTGGACATTAGTGGGGATCTTAAGTTTATTATAGAAGAGGGGATTATAAAGACTAACCGTACAGTTTTTTTAAAAACATTTAAGTTTAGGGGTACATGTGCAGGTTTGTAATGTAGTTAAATGTTTTTTAGGTAAACTTTAAAGGTAAACTTGTGTCATGGGAGTTTTGTTATACAAATTATTTTATCACCCACTTATTAAGCCTAGTACCCATTAGTTATTTTTCCTGATCTTCTACCTCCTCCCACCCTGCACTCTCTGATAGGACCCAGTGTGTGTTGTTCCCCTCTGTGCAGCCATGGGTTCTCATCATTTAGCTCCCGCTTATAGGCGAGAACATGTTGCACATGCAATATTTGATTTTCTCTACCTGCATTAGTTTTCTGAGGATAATGACCTTCAGCTCCATCCCTGTCCCTGCAAAGGACATGATCTTGTTCTTTTTTATAGCTTTGTAGTATTCCACAGTGTATATGTACCACATTTTCTTTATCCAGTCCATCATTGATGGGCATTTATGTTGATTCCATGTCTTTGCTATTGTAAACAGTGCTGCAGTGAATATATGGGTGCATATGTCTTTATATGGAATGATTTATATTCCTTTGTAACCCTATAAATTAAACTAATTCCTGGACAGTTAAAAATAGATTCATGGTATATCTGGAAAAGAACTTACAAAGGAACTATCTGACTGTAGTTAATGCTTTGACTTTCATGATCTGGGTCTTTGTCCCTGGGTAAATCCTATAATGCCCTAACTTTTGGGATCCTGTTATTTTCCTCCTAATGTATATACCTCTAATAGATTTAGTATTCTTTTGCAGTACTTCTGATTTTATAATGATAAGCTAAACATTCAAGTGGTAATTTGAGATAATATATTAGTGACAAATTATAGGTAAAGTTCATATATTTTAACATAAAATAGTTGTATAAATCAATAAAAACACACTAAAATATAAAATGGCAGATATATCGATAGGCAACGCCAAAACATAAAATAAAAAGGGGCAGAAATTCATCAGTTTCTGAAAGTACATTATATTTTATTATTAATATAAGAAACAAAAGAAGGCCTAGTTGTACATAATGGATTGCAATTATGTATTAAATGTACTATTAACGTATGGTAAGTAGACAACAAAATAATAAAGCAAGATAAAGTGCAAATGGTAAAAATAAATCATCATAATATACATGTTTGCAAAATTTCCAGTGTGGTTTATTCCAATTCTCCGCCTTTTGTGTGCCTACATCCAAAGGGCTAAACTTGGCTTGAGAAAGACCTTGAACCATGATGACAATGATCTTGTATAAATTTATGACCACTAATTTTAAGTGGCCCTCAGTACTGCCTGTTCATCATCCTATTTTTTCCTGGCCCGCTTACTATCTCAGTATCCTAGAATGTTTTGTTTTCTCTTTTCTCAACTTCCAACACTTCTTTTCCCATTCTTACTTTCAGCTGTTGGATACCCTTGCTTTCATATACCATTGAGAAAGTGGAAACTCTTAGAAGGGAGCTTTTATTCCTTCCCATAACTGTATCTACCAACATATCTGAATCTGTTCTCATATTCTCTCTTTTTATTTCTTTGGAAGAACTGTTTATATTTACCTAAGGCCGAACAAACTATATGTACGCTTCAAGCCTCAAGGATTCAAAGATGTTGGACTGCAGTTCTCTTTTCTGTCCTGCATTATCAGTGTCTCTCACTGCCCTGGATCATTCCTGTCAGCATACACACAGGCTGTCTTATCTCCCATGTTTAAAAAAAACAAAAACAAAAACAAACTCTTGTGATCTCATATTTCCCTTGAACTATTTTGCCATTTCTCTGCTCCTTTCTGTGCAAAATTTCTCTGAAGAGTACTTTTCAGTATTTCTGTGTTTTTCTTTCTCACTTGAACTCACTCTAATTAGGCTTTGTAATCACCATCCTTCTAAAATAGTTCTTGTCAAGATATCAACTACTGACCTTAATTGATATGGTTAGGCTCTGCGTCTCCACCCAAATCTCATCTTTAGTTGTACTCCCATAATTCCCAATGTGTTATGGAAAGGACCTAGTGGGTAATAATTTGAACCATGGGGGTGGTTTCCCCTGTACTGTTCTCGTGGTAGTGAAATATCGTGGTATATGAAAGCAAGGGAGATCTGATGGTTTTATCAGGGGTTTCCGCTTTTGCATCTTCCTCATTTTCTCTTGCCGCTGCCATGTGTAAGAAGTACCTTTCACCTCCTGCCATGATTCTGAGGCCTCCCCAGCCATGTCGAACTGTAAGTCCAAGTAAACCTCTTTTTCTTCCCAGTCTCGGGTATGTCTTTATCAGCAGTGTGAAAACAGACTAATACATTAATATTGCTAAATCCAACAGTCATTTCTCAGTCTTTAGTGTGTTTGCAGCATTTGGTATACTTGATCATTCCTTTCTACTAAATTCTATTCACTTAGCTCTTTCTCTTTATTCTCTTAAATTACTGGCTTATCCTTCTTAGTTTCATGTGATGTTTTTTCCTTATCTTACTAATCTATAAATGTTGAAATGTTCCAGGACTGAATCCTCATACTTCTTTATGCAAAATCACTCCCTAGGTGAACTTATCTACCCTTATGGTCTTAAAAATATAGTAGTCTGCCTTATCCATGGGGGATACGTTCCAAGCCTCCCAACGGGTACTTGAAACCATGGATAGCACTGAACCCTATGTACACTACGTTTTTTCCTACACGGTAATAGGCAGGTTGTGTTTATAGCATGGATACTTTCGACAAAGAGATGATTCATGTCCTACGTGAGTTGGGACTTGGACAGTGCAAGTTTTTTCATGCATTCAGAACAGCACTGCAATTTAAAGCTTATGGATTGTTTATTTCTGGAACTTATCATTTAATATTTTTGGATCACAGTTGGCTGCTGGTAACTGAAGCCATGGAAAGTGAAACTGAGGGTAAGGGGGAACTACGGTATTTGGATGACTCCTAAAGTTGTATCTCCAGCCTTAACTTTTTTACTGATTCCAGACTTTTTAATTCAACTGCCTACTCCTCTTGGATGTTGATTAGGCATCTCAAACTTAGTATGTCCACATTTGAAATCCTTGTGTCCGTCCACCAAACTTCTTCTCTGTGTCTCAGATAATGTCTGCTCCATTCTTCCAGTTGTGTAGGCAAAAGCTTGGGAGACATTCCTCACTTTTCTATCAAGAAATCCTGTTAGCTCTACCTTAAAAATATCCAAAATTTAATCACTTCTCAATGCCACTGCATCTGCCTATCATGTACAATTCACCTTTCTTTTTTACCTGGCTGTTTCATTTGCCTTCTAACTTGTCTTTTTGCTTTCTCCCTTGACCCTTAAGGTCTGTCCTCAACCCACCAGCCATTGATACTCTTAGAATGTTATATGTTATTTCTCTGCTCATTGCCTTCCCATTTCACTTCAGATCCAAATTTCACAGGGCCTAGAAGGCCACATATTATTTTATCCCCAGTGATTTCTCTGTTCTTAGCTACCATTTCCTTATCTACTTTACTATAAATGTGTGTACTTCCGTGCTGTTCTTTGAATATACCAATTGCTCTTGCTCTTGTGTCTTTGCTCTTGCTACTAGTTCCATGACTTGACTTGGAAAACTCTTCCCTAGGGTCTTCATGACTCTTCCTTCCTTCCTTTAGATCTCTCCTCAAATATAATATTACTTTTAAGGAGAGTTACATGTTAACTATTCTATATAAAATAACAACAACCTTCGTTTCACTCCCAGCTTCTCTAGGACTGGGAATTCCTTTCTTCGTTACCCTAATTTATTGTCCTTATTATACTGATAGCAATTTGACATACTATGTATTATTTATCTTCATTATCTATGTACTGAAATGTTAATTCCATGAAGGCAGCAACTTGGTTTATTTTGTTCCCTCCAATATCTCTAGTCCCTAGTCCAATGACTGTTATATAATAAATGTGCAATAAATACTTGAATGAGTGATGGATTAATGTATTAGATGTGACTTTTATTTATTCTGGTAGGTATTCCTTCAATCTGAGAACTTTATTTAATTCTAAAATATTCCCAGCAGTTACCTCCTGAAATATTGCTTTATTTTTCATCCCCATAGTTATTACTTCTGGAATGTTGTAGGCATATGTTGGAGTTTCCCAAAGAAACTTGTCTCAACTGTGTTTTCATGTTTTTAATCTCACTATTTTCCTGTGTAGTGTTCTGGATGAATCCCTTATTACTATCCCTTATTTCACTAATCTCTTTTTGTGTCTAGTTTTGAGCTTAGTCCATTTAGTTGTTTTTTACTTCAGTGATTATAATTTTTTATCTTCAAGATTTTAATAGCTTCTTTACATCTACCTGATTGTGTTTCATCTCTCAGCTTTACTTTTAACATTAGTTATTCTTTTGTCTTTACGGACCTTTAACTTACTTATTGTAGTCTTTTTCATTATATTTGGTTATTTTTATTTTTTCTAGAGGATTGCATCTTTTGACTTGAACTAGTATGTCAGTGTATGGGGATTCATGTATTTTGAATTTTTTTGTTTGGGGTCATATCTCAAGAGGGAAGATTGCTGTTATTGTTACTGTTTACTTCCTCCTCTTTCTCCACCACCACGTCCTTAACTAATGCCTATCTTTTTTTCTAGAAATTTTATAGTTGCCTTTAAATTGTCAATCTCACCCTAGTCTCTTTCCTGAAATAGGTTTTATAGAGGTTTTGCTACACCTAGCCTCAGTTGCAGGGTGTTTTGGCTCAACTCTTGATTGGGGAGCTACATCTATAAACTTTTGCCTTTCTAGACTCTAATATAAGCCTTGGTTCTAGGCAAGGATGGGCAGAAGCTTTTTTCCAGCTTCATTTCATGAGTTAGCATTCCCATCCCACACAATGAGCCTGGTTGTGCTTCTGCATACTGGGTAAGGCACTTGTATTCCCTATTAACCCCAGAAGTCAAGCTCCTTTCCACCTCAGCCTGCATCTGGCTCTGGGGGACAGCAAATAGTAGCTTCATCCCCATTTATAGTTTTCTATTTTTGTTTAATTTGTGATTCTCACAGATATAGATTTGTCTGTTTAATTATTTATGTTTTTCTATGAATACCATGTATTTTATTTGTGACCTTTTAAAAAATGTAAATCAGTGTCCAATCAATTTCCCCTTATTTATAATATAAATTGACTGGTGTCAGCCTGATTATACAGTCTCTTCAGACCTTTGTTCCTTCCTTTCCCTTTTCCTCCTTTGCTTTATAAAGCTATATTTGTTTAAAAGCTATATTTGTTTTAGAAGATAGTCATTCTTTACAAGTATTGTGATTTTCTGTTTCCCAGAGAACTATGCTTTGATTGTACAACTACCATTTAGTTTAGTTAATAGTATTCTCAGAGACTAGAAATGTATAGGAAGGTGTCAGAAATCAAAAAATTCTAGTTATAGGGTATCGACTATAAGTAAATCTCTGTCACTCTCTCTTTTGAGACTCTTAAAAAATGGTAAATTTTATCCTTAATATAATTGTGTATATGAAAGCTTAAATTAACAAGAACATGTTTACTTAATTGTAATTATTTTCAAAGCGATGACAGTATGGTTATTGCAATCAAGGTTAAACTATGTTTTATGTAATTTTTATCATATACCTAAATCTAGAAATGAAACTGTTCTTTTAGTATGAAGTTGTCTTAGTTTTCAGCAGTTGTAAGTTGCTGTCACTTGCCATGTGGTCAACTCAAGATGATTTAATTTTCTATATTTTAAAGTGATATTAATATTTGGGATATGAAAATTTAAAGTATTAGCTACCAGTTATGACTAATAAACTCTCTATATTTTATATCTAGAGAAAAACAGAAATCTGAAGCTAAAGACAGAAAAGTTCTAGAAATTCTGCAAGTCAAGGATGCCAAAATACAAGAATTTGAACAGGTTGGTGTTATAATAAAAATATTTAAATTAACTATATTTGTTTTGGGTAGTAGATCTTCAAAATTATTTTTATTTTTTTGCAATAGTGTTTATTGAGAATATCAGGGTCCTTATGTTAAAGCATTACTATTTTGAAGTCACTAGTAAGATTATTCTTCATCATTAATACTTCTCTTGTACCCTTTTGTTTTCTGAATTAATAGATTATAACTCTTCATCTAATGTTACAGTTTTATAATAGTATCTAGCTATTATTCTTTATTTTGTTGAATTTTGACATTATTAGCAGTTATCATTTACTTCTGAAACTTGTAAATTTTCAGATGGTTTTATTTGTAGAAAAGATAAAAATTGAGATCCTATTATTTACACTTAAAACTTGTATTTTTGTGTTAGTACTATATTAGGCTGTTCTTCCACTGTTACAAATAAATACTTGAAACTGGGTAATTAATAAGAAAGAGGTTTCATTGGCTTATGGTTCTGCAGACAGTACAGGATGCATAGCAACATCTGCTTCTGGGAAGGCCTCATGTCAGAAGGCAAAGCATGTGACACTTCATATGGTTATAGCAGGAGCAAGAGAGAGAGACAGGGCATGGTGAGGGAGGTGCCACAGACTTTTTTTTAATTTTTTTAATTTTTATATATATATTTTTTTATACTTTAAGTTCTAGGGTACATGTGCACAACGTGCAGGTTTGTTACATAGGTATACATGTGCCATAGTGTGGCGATTCATCGGTGATCTAGAACTAGAATAACCATTTGACCCAGCCATCCCATTACTGGGTGTATGCCACACACTTTTAAACAACGAGAGCTCATGAAAACTCACTCCCTATGCAAAATCAGCACCAAGCCATGAGGGATCCACCCTCATGACCCAAACACCCCTCACCAGCCCCCACTTTCAGCTTTGGGGATTACAATTCAATGTGAGATTTGGGCAGGGACAGATATTCAAACTATATCAAGTACAGTCCTATCTTTTATGTATAATCAGTAAATTATACAATTACATATAATTATATGTATATGTAATATGTAAAATTACGTGTGATTATATAATCAGTATGTAATCACTGCAAAAGTGCATGTGGTCATGCTTCCTGGAACAATTTTCAAGATACAAACATTTCAAAAAAGAAGTGAAAGAAATTTAAGAGTGGCTAATATCGTTATATAATATTTAAATTCATTTTATACTCAAGCTCATTACGGAGTAAATAAATTATAATTTTTCTTGGGAGGTACCTTTTTGGCAACCATGTTCTTTTGACTTTTGAATTTATTTTCCTTTCTAACCAATTAAAGGTTCATGAGAACTTTGATCTAGGATCAGTTATTGTTATAAAGTTGTTTTATGAAAAGACTAAAAGTTCCATTCCCTACATTTCTATCTGTTCTTTCTAAAAAGGAATATTGATTCCAATAAACTTAGAAATTTGAAATTTACACGTTTTCCAAAGTTGAGTTTTTCTTATAGAAAATGTCATAATTGGTACTATGATGATAAAATGTTAAGAATAACATTTTAGTAAATTTGTTCTGGAAAGAAACATTTGTATTTACCACCCAAGTATCAAACAACATTAAAATGTACTCTAAAATAGGTAAATGTTGTCATGTGCCTGGTATATTAATTGGATTAGGCTAAGCTGCTTGACAAGTACAACCTTATGAGCCAGACATGGCAGACATCATTTGTATTTACATTTTACTGGAAAAAAATTTGGCCACCCCAAGATTCAGGCGATTTGAGAAAATGTAGATACAAGTTTAGCGGTCCCTTCCTCAATTACACCTCTATTCTGTTAGAGCAGGAAAATCTTTAATATCCTTAGGCATTAAGTTTGCAATGCTTTAGTGAATGCTCTTTGGTTTACCAGCTTTGGATAACCATAGCACACCCTTAGAAAATGTTGCCTTTTGTAAATGAAAATATATTTTCCCCTTTTCTTTGCTAAATTCTTTGTCTACTTCTGCATCCTTGAGTAGGGATTGTTTCATTATTTATCTTTTGAGTGGAATCACATAGCTTATATATAACATATTAAACTCTCATAATAGAAATTATTTGCTTTGTAGGGACCCAAATTTCTTAGGATTAATCA
Organism: Homo sapiens; assembly: GCF_000001405.40. NCBI lineage: Eukaryota > Metazoa > Chordata > Mammalia > Primates > Hominidae > Homo > Homo sapiens. The sequence continues at coordinate 17,228,405 of NC_000009.12, forward strand.
TTTCATTTTTGTGCAATGATGATTATAACTTTCTACAAAGTATATTTTCAGTTAGGTGCAACAAGATAATGTATTAAATGTATATATTATCCTGTGATGGTGTTGTAGAATATTCAGAGTTACATTTCTTGCCTTTAACGCTTTTTAAATCTCTTTGATGATTAGGTGATGATAGAAGTAAGGTGGAAATTGCCATATTCTCCTACACTACTTTGTTTCTATGAGGGCAGAGTCTGTTTCTCTTTCATCCACTCTTTAGTCTCATACAGACGACTGTATACCCAGTACGTAATTATTAATAGTTATTTCATAGTCAGGTCCACTGACATGGACCTGAATTATTAGGTTGGCAGGAATTAAAGGTATGTAAATGGAACCATAAGGACTTGATAGTAATTCTGAAAATGACTCTTAGGTTTTCAGCTTAGAGAAACCAGGAGAACAGTGGCGTTATTATCAAAAATAGGCTTATTTTCAGGAAGTATAAATTGTTTTGAAGGTAAGGTTTTGAGCTCCTCTTAGAAAGTTTGTGTTTGAGATGCTGATAGGAATTCCATTTAGAGATTTTTAGCAAACTGTTGGAAGCATGAATCTGATGAAGGAGTTTTGACCTGGAGATGTGGGTATTTAATAGTTTAGTTAGAGGGAAGACTTTAAGCAGTGAGAATTTTGAGAACAAGATATTTACTGATATTTTTAATGAGGAAGGAAAAATTGTAGTGAAAGAGGTGAAAAGACTTTATAGAAGTAAGGAGAGAGTACAATGCAATATCTCATGAATTGAGAAGAGAGAGTTTCAAGAAGCAAAATGTTGTCATTGTCGTAAAATGCTGCAAAAAATGGAGTGGGTTTTTGAAAAAGACATTACATTTAGCAGTCATGAAGTTTTAAAATGAATTTTAGAAAGCAATACAACAGGGATGGCATATGAAATTTTAAGAGATCATTGAATTCTGACAAAGTAATGGAAAGGAATGAAGAAATGTGACATTATGGGGTGGGGAGATAGTGGGATGGATTGATTGATTGACTGATTTGTTTTAAGTAATAGCTCACGCAGTCGTGGGCTGGCAAGTAACTCTGCAGGGCAGCCTGGCAGAATGGAGACCTAGGGAACAGTTTATGTTACATTGCAAATCCTAAGGTAGCCTGGAGGTAGAATTTCTTCCTCCTCTGGGGATCATAGTATTTTCTTGGGGCCTTCAACTGATTGGATGAGGCCAGCCCACATTATGAAGGGTAATCTGCTTTTCTCAAAGTCCATTAATTTAAATGTTAACCACATCTAAAGAATACTTTCACAATAACATCTAGACTGGTGTTAGATAAGAACGTGTGTACCATGGGTAGCCTAGCCAAACTGACATATAAAATTAACCAAATGGGTAAAAACAGCTGGGGTAAATAGGTTTTATGTTTATCTGGCTAGATATTAGGCTGTCTCCACTGTTCGCTGTGGTATGAGTTAGAGGCAGAACTCTGGTATCCGTGCCTTTTATTTGAATTTTTGTAGAGATTTTATAAATATCCTTGATATGCATAATTCAGTTTTCTTAAAAAGAAAAACCTTAGACAAATTAAATTCAATGGAGTTTAATTGAGCTGAAAAAAATTCACGAATTGGGTAACACTCAGGACCAAAAGTGGTTCATAGAGCTCTGCTCCGCAGTGTGGGCTGGGACTGTGTACAGCCAGACAATGGAAGTGACACACAGAAATAGCCAGATTGGTTACAGTTTGGTGTTTGCCTTATTTGGACATGTTTTGGCAATTTGCACTTGTGATTGGCTGAATGCTTGGCTGCTGTGATTGGCTGAGACTCGGCTACTATACAAAAATATACTCTCAAGTAGGGTTGTGTTTACATGTTGTTAGGTTACAGTTAGCTACCTACAGAGGCAATTTAATTTAATAGTTGCTATTTAAACTGCTTTGTTTGGTCAAACCTATTAATTATACAATAGTCCCATTGATGTGGTGGTGGGGTGTTGGGGGAGGAGAGGAAGCGGTCTGTAGTGTTATGTTTGGGTTTTTTTCATGGTGAGCTGTGCTTCTGGACTGTGACCTTCAAAAGTGCTTCTTAGTTTTTTGTTTGTTTGTTTCCCCCCTCCCCTTACCCCCTTAGGAGAGACAGGAAGGCTAGAAGGTGCTAGAGTTGGGTATTTCCCTTTTCCAAGTTGGTTAGTTAGGCTCAGGTAAAACCCCATGAGTCTGGGCTCTGGTAAAATAGTTTTTCTTGATGGCAGGCCTTGGTAAGAAGAAAAGAATACTCTGAGTGTGTTTAAAGATGGTTACTTTCTCCCTCCACATACTGGAAACAGGAAGGAATAATTGTGTGATCTTCCCTGTGACAACATGACAGGGGTCCAGTAGGTTAAACTTATGAAAATGTGTCACCTCTTATTGTTTTATGGTTCCTCTGAGTACTGCTTGCCCCCTTCCCCCAAGCATGACTGAGCCATCCTTGAGTTTTAAACTCTCAGACTTGTCCATATTGATCTTCCAGTAATTCATTAATTACAGAATAAGTTTTTCCACCCTGGTGCTGGCTCCTGTGGAAGTTTTTTCTCCTGGGCATCTGTTCCATTAAGTTGTTATTCTCTCTATTTTCATGTCTGTCTCTTCAATTTTGGGAGCGTTGGTTTGCTGGATAGTCTCAATTCTCTGATGGATCTGAAAAGAGTTGTTGATTTTCAGTTTGTTCAGCGTTTTTTCTTATTGTGTAAATGAGAAAGATGACTGCCAAGTTCCTTATATGCTGGACTGGAAACCAGAAGCCCCCTCCATTGAATTGTTGTTGTTCCACTGAAAAATATTAAATAGCTCCTAATGTTCAAGATTTATAGCTATGAGATAGAGTAAGAATTAGAATGACAAATCCTTCAGCTTATTTAACTCTTACTTCTGTATCTAGTGAAATTACTAGAAAGTTACACACACACACAGTTTTTTTTTAGCTGTTTGCAGAAAAACTTTCCTAGGGTGCAATCTAATAATTATTAGTATAAAGAATTGCCTTTTTTTGGGTAAGACTATGTTTTAGCTTTGTCACTGTTATAAAACAATGTTAATACATTTCCCTTCTAGTATTGTGCTTTGATAGCATGACTTATGATAACCTAGTAAATTGTATTTAATTAGATGATAATTGCTCTTTAACATTATATTTCATTTTTTCCTTACCTTCTAGGAAGCTCAGAAGTTTTGTTTCATAATTGCAATTACTTCTTTTATCCCTTCCTTTTTCTCCACTTATCATTGCTTTAGTTATTGTGGTTTAATTACTGCTTTGTTTGTTTTTTGTTAAAAGTTTCATGTCCATTTTGAAAATAGGTCAGTATAAATAATAAATTAACTATGCTCAAGTATTGCCTAATAGAGTTTGGGGTTTGGGCCTTATGCCCCTTCCCTACCCCCCACCCATTTTTATGCCTGCTTCATACTCACTATTATTCTCTTGTTACTCTGTAGACTTCTCTTGACCATTATTTGAATTATTCATTCATTTCATGGCTTATCTGTAATAAATTATTTGTTCCAGACATTCTCTCTCTTGTCATCCCTTATTGCTTTATGGTTCCTCTGAATTCTGTTTGCTGTTTTAATATTAACTCAAGCCAGGCTATTAAGAATTTACCTGCCTCTATTCAGAAAGATTTGTTGAAAAATATTAATAAAGCTTAATTTTAAAATGAACTTTAACTGTATATGTCTGTGCTTTCATTATTTATAGAGGGTATATTTTATTAGGAAAATATGTTGATTTATACAAACTTTTACACTTTTAGAGTTTATCAGTGCTCTTGTGTTGGGAGAGAATCTTTGTCTAACTTATTTTCTTTAATGATTTTGTGATATAAGTAACTATATTATGCAATTTAATATTAAACTAATTATCGGAATATAATAATTTTGGTTAACCAATTTTTTAAATTTTATTATGCTTTTTAATTTACAGATTGAGTCTGTGTTTGTCCTTTTGAATTACTATTATAAGTTCACTCAAATGCCAAAATCTAAATTATTAAATAATTCTCATGAAAGGACTCTCTATTGGTATCATTTATATTGTCAGTGCCTGTTTAGTTTACTTTAATGGGAAAACTCTTTTAAAACTTGTCATTTGGTTCTTCCTAGAGTTTAACTAATTTCAGAATAGACAAGATATGCTCAAATTTTGTCATTTCTCCTTCAAAGGATAGGCTTATGGGTATTTTACAAACAGTTTTAATGCTTATATTATTGAATTTATTATTTAGTGTCAATTTCATCTGTAAACACTTAACAGTCTAGTTTGGGAGATATTATGAGTAGATAGATTATTAGCAACACTCGGTAGTTTGTTGTGTATCAAATGTATAATATAGATAATACAAAAATTTAGAAATGGCAAGAATTACAAAATACTGAGATAGTAAGGGAAGCTTTTATTGAGGAGGTGGAAGTCGAGTCTTAAAGGGGCATAAGACTTAGCTGAGAGTAGAAAAATTGATTGTAAATTGTGGAGGAGCCATTTTTATGCATCTATTTTTATGTTATTTGATTGATGTCAGGCACATTTTGATATGGCCTAATAATTAAAATAGAACAGAAAAGTTAAAAACTGAGATGCTATTTGTACTTACTGGATTTAAAAAAATTTCCAACCCTGAGAGTTAAGTGTTGGTATGGAGGTAGAATAATGAAAACTCTTGAAATGCAAATAGTCTTTGACTTAGCAATTTCACTTTTAAGTGGATATAATCCAGAGAAGTGTTCTTCAAACTTTTGTTAGTATGATCCCCACGCTGAAGTACATTTTACTTCATGACCCATTATACACACATGAAGTAAGTTTCGTATAAGTTATTTTTACTACATATAATTAAGGTAAATATATGAAAATGTTTATATCAAATGTGAATTTACTAATATTTAAATACAATAAAAATCTTAAACATGATAAAAATTTAGAAAATAATTTATGAAGCATGTCTGTTTTATAAGTTTATTCCTTTAACTGTAGTTTCATTGCTAAGAATGTGTGCCTATTACCTTGATATTTTCTATTGTATTATAATCCGTTTAAAAAAATGCCACTTATTGTAACTAAATCGATTTAATGACCCATTACTAGATTGCAGTCTGCAGTTTGAAAAACACTGCTTGGGAGAAATTCTTGGTCATGAATATTTGCAGTCATGCTGAAGAGTGTTCATAGCAGTATTGTTTGTATACCCCTTTACCTCAAATGGGAAACAGCTGAAATACACACTGATAAAAGATGGATAAATATAGCATAGTTATCTGATGGACTAATACTGTACATCAAGAAATTGATCTAGTTACATTCATTATTATGAATAAATTTGGGAACATATGTTGAGCAAAAATAGCAAGCTATGTAATATGTGTAATATGATTTAAGTTCAGAAGTAAGCAAAACTATACAGCATATTAAATAGGGACATATATCTGTCTTTGAACTATAAAGAAAAGCAAGGCAAAGATAAGAATCAGGGTTTCAGGATAATGCTTACCCTTGGAGGGAATAAGAGGTACTAGAGGATAAAGGGTCATTTATGAGATATCAAAGATAATGGTACAGTTGTGTTTCCTAGCTGAATGTTGGTTACGTACAGGACCTCTCCTTTTACTTATTTTTTTAAAAAATTATTTACACACTGATCACAGATTATTTTTGTATGTATTCAGCGTCTAAATTATTTTTTAACTATAAGTAAAATAAAATCAATAATTAATATTACACTTTTAAAAATTAGAGTATTGGGGTTGGGCACGGTGGCTCACACCTGTTATCTCAGCGGGGCCAAGCTGGGAAGATTAGTTGAGTCCAGGAGTTTGAGAAGGTAACATAGTGAGACCTCATTTCTACAAAGAAAATTAAAAATTAGCTGGGTTGGTGGCACATACCTATGGTCCTTGCTACTTGGGAAGCTGAGGTGGGAGGATCCCTTGAGTCCAGGAGTTCGAGGCTGCCGTGAGCCATGATTGTGCCACTGCACTCCAGAGTGGGTGACATGACAGAGCGAGACCTGTCTCTCAAAAAAAACTAACTAAATAAAATAGAATATTGGATATATTTTCACTTTATTCCTAAAATCCACTTTTCATCATAATCCTGGATCTTCCTCTCATTTTCAGTTTATTCCCAAGTCCTTTGGAGACAATTTGATAAGGAAGAAATGTGAGAGTATAAAATAAATCGATATTTAGGGATCAGCACCAGTGATAGATCAGAAATGGAATAAAGGTCAACTGAGCATATTACTTAAAAAAAAAAGGTGTTTCTATCTTGATGTGTCTCTTTCTTGGTTGACAGACAGAAGGTGTTATTGAGTCTGACTTGGAGGCTTCCAATAATTGTGTGAGGCTAGATACTATGTGTTTAATAAATATTAGTTGAAAGAATGGATGGATTGATAAAAGTTGAAGAAGTTTAGGAAAGAGATAGTATCAGGATATGGATTTCATTTTTAGTAAGTTAGTTTGAGATAGTAGACAATCCAAAGGGAGAGGTCTTGTATAGCTGGAAATATGAGATTGGTGATTGGGAAGGTGAGGGCTGGATTATAGATTAGATAGTCTTTCAGACAGAGGAAAGATCAGCAGCCAAGAGAGGTGCTACATTTTCTGAGAGAAAAGATGTACAGAGAAACAAGGAAAGCTAAAAATTGAGTCTGGGGTACATCCACCTCGTAGGTGTAATTTAGGTATCTCACAGGTGAGAAGAATGTTCGGTTAAAAATTTTGGCAGCCTTAACATTCTAAATATTCTGTCTACAGAGCAAGATATTATTAGTACTAAAATAAACTTGCCATTTTAAAAATTTTAAAGTGATTTATGCTTTTACAAAATCATAGTTTATCAGAAAAGTTCCTTCTAAATGACATTCAAATAAAAGAATAAGGAATTATGTTAGCTATAAATATATTTTCTTTAATTAGAATGGTTCGTAAAATCTTGTTTTTCTCCTGTTACACACCTAAATTTTGAAAATTTGCTTTCTGAGTATGATTTAATATTTAATATCCAGTTTTTATGTGTTCTTCAACATAAATAGGCCCTGTACTTGCACATTTTAGTTAAAAATTCATGGGCATGTTACAGGAGATGAGAATTGTGGTGACAGACATTATTATGAAAGCTATTTAATCATCACATTAGCAAATCAAAATGTAAAACCTTTAAAATAAAATACTGTTTTTCTTAGAAATAAAAGCTCACCAGTAATTTAAATTTTTTTCCACAGAGAGAGTCAGTACTGAAACAGGAAATAAATGACCTTGTAAAACGGAAAATTGCAGTAGATGAAGAAAATGCTTTCTTAAGGAAAGAATTCAGTGACTTGGAGAAGAAATTTAAAGATAAAAGTCAAGAAATTAAGGTGTGTTGACTTGTACATAGTTTTGTGGGACTGTTGCTTTGAAGTTCTGCTTTAAGCTTTGTTAGCCTTTGTGGCACAGAAAGTGACAGATTTGGAGGAAAAATTGCCTTAGGCCCTCCTGTACCATACAGTTTTCTCACATGCAAAAACTCTGATAAAGATGCTTTAAAGCCAGAACTCCAAGCTTTATAACTTTTAGATAAATAGTTAATGATGGAAATGGAGCTAAGAAAGTAGGAGTGTGAATATGTGGCTTCTTGTAATTAGATTCTGATGGGACTGGCATTATTAATTGATAAAACCCAGGTCTGGGAGGATATGTCTGTATGGGTCTCAAAAATAGCTGGGGACAGCATCAAAGGCAGCTTGATCAATTAATGGGCTCTTTGCAAATGTGTACTCATCAAAGCTGTCATCCAGTGAAAAAATATGACCCATCCACCTGCATGAAAAGAGGCCAATAAAAGTACACAGGTGACCTTGGCTATCAAATATAGAAGAAGCTTCTGTGAGGGTAAAACTGCACAGTTTGTATTTGCTGATTAGTGCTCACCATTTTTTGGGTTTTTTGTTTCGTTTTGTTTTATTTATTTGCCCTTGTGGTACTGTTCTACAGGACACTAAGGAGTGTGTACAGAACAAAGAAGAGCAAAACAGACTAGTTATAAAAAATCTGGAGGAGGAAAACAAGAAATTAAGTACCCGCTGCACTGACCTGCTAAATGACCTGGAGAAATTGAGGAAGCAGGAAGCACATTTGAGAAAAGAAAAATATAGCACTGATGCAAAAATAAAGGTATACAATAGGAATGGAATCCATACTCCTCTTTTGGATCTAACTTTTTCTAGGAAGTTTAATACATGTTATTTTCTTTAACAACTTATATATTCATATCCACCAGTGGGGACTAGCATTAATTTATATTCTTTCACTTAAGACCCATAGCTTTTTAAAAATTGATGTTGCAAAGCAGGAAACTGACTTCAAATGGTTATCCTAAAATGTAATCATTAAAAAATAAAGGCTATTGCATTTTGAAAGAAAATGTGTTTTCAAATAACATATTTAGAATCATTGGTTTTAACTTTTTCACTTAAGGCTTAAGCTTACAAAGATAGCTATAATTTGTTGCAGTATAGTTTTTAAGACTATTTTCTAGATCCTTTGAAATATAAAGTGTAAAAAATACTAAACAGTTAAACAATACAAATACGTGGTTCTATGGTGGTGCTTTCTTTGACTTTAAAGGTGCTTTCTTTGACTTTAAAGGGCCTTATTTATGGGAAAATTTTATTTTTATAGAAGATAAAAGTTACAATCAATCTTTATAATCTTATACCCTTTTTAAAAGGCTAATCAAGTGAGGCAGTGGTTTCTTACAATTTTATTAGTATTTTTCAAAATAATACTTTTTTATGGCATTCTCTTTGTCTTTAGAGGTTTTTGCTAATTTCTTTTCTTATTAAATTACATTTTTTTTTAAACTATAGATTTTGTTGAAAAGGGCAGACACAGATTTTAGTACTAGTAAATATGGTGGTCTCTCCATGTATATGCCCCTACACACACACACACACACACACACACACACACACACACACACACACACACACGGTTAGTCAACAGTTACAAGCAGTTGACCATATGTATCTGCAGGTTCTGTATCAGTGGATCAAGCTATTCAGAAAAAAAAAACAACACAATTAAAAGTAACAATACAATAATTAAAAAAAACAAGTAAAAGATACAGTATAACAACTGTTTACATTGTATTCAGTATTTTAAGTAATCCAGACATGATTTAAAGTATATGGGAACGTGTGTAGGGTATTTGCAAATACTATGCCATTTTATATAAGAGACTTAAAGCATCCATGGATTTTGGTATTTGGAGACCCCTGGCTGGGTTCAATCCTCCAGGAATACTGAGGGACGATGGTAATATGTATGGATATATGTGTGTGTATATGCATGTGTGCAAGAATATTTAAGTTAGGGGAGAAGGATACATCTTTCTCGGTGTATAAACCTGTTGCAGATTATTTATGGAAATATTTAAGTCTATTAGTGCACAATCATGGGGTGACTGAGCCATTGAGAGAACTGAATTCTGGTGGATTTATTTTCTTAATTTTTATATCAGTTTCTGCTTCTGTGCAGCATTAAAACAAATTGGAAGTGTGATAAGGGTAAATCAGTACTTGTATTAATTCACAGCTACATGATTATTTGGTGATAATTTTTATTTCCTTATTTATTCTACTTGAATAATCAGTTCTGGGATTTGCTGTGACTTGTGTTACATTTTTTTCTCATGGGGTTATTGTCTTTTTCTTATTGCTTTTTGGGCATTCATTACTTATTTTGGATACTAATACTTCATATCTTATAAATACCTTCTGTTCTACAGACGTTGAATAAAGAAAACTGGAATTTCAAAAGTTTGTGAATTTTGGTAGTCATTTTATTATTTTCTTCTCAAATGTTTAAAGGTTTTATATGACAAAGTTTTTCCCACCCTAAAGTCTTTAATCTATTCATAATTTATTTTTGGATGTGATGGTCCACATCATTTACTCAATACCCACGGAAGCAGCAAGATTGTTCACTGATCTTCTCCCAGCTTTCTCCCATGAAGCATGGTCATAAAAGAATTCTCATAGCTACCTTCCTGGAAAGTAGATCTTATGACCCTCATTCAGAGAGGTTCTGTCTTGTACCTAGAGTCCAAGAAGAATCTCAACAAACAGGCCTTTCTAATAAGTTTATTTTACCACAGAATCATATGCCTTTGTCCTCCAGTCACAGTTTTGCACGACTGTCCATAAAAATACACAGTTTTCCCTGAGTCTTCTGGTCTTCATTTCCAACATCTTCTGTGTCATGTAAAACTTTGGTTAAATAAATGTTATATTTTTCTCTTAGTAATTTATCTTTTATTACTGGGATGTCAGCCATGAACTTTGCCATGGGTAAGGAAAAGATACTACTTTTTATTTCCTACATGTATATATATTTTCATTTCTCTTGGGTATATACTTAGGAGTGAGATTATTGGGTCATATGGTAACTGTTTTTAAGCTTTTGAGGAACTGCTAGACTATTTTCCAAAGCAGCTGCGACAGTTTACATTCAGACACTTTGAGGATTTTGATTTTTCGATGTTCACATCAACACTTGTAATTGTTTGCCCTTTTTGTTATAGCCACCTCAGGAATGTGAAGTGATATCTCATTATGGTTTTTTATTTGTTCGTTTGTTTGAGACAGAGTCTTGCTCTGTTGCCCAGGCTGGAATACAGTGGTGTGATCTCAGCTCACTGCAACCTCTGCCTTCCCGGGTTCAAGCTATTCTCCTCCCGAGAAGAGGCAAATTACTACAGGCGCGTGCCACCACATGCAGATAATTTGTGTATTTTTAGTAGAGATGGGGTTTTGCCATGTTGGCCAGGCTGGTCTGGAATCATTGTGGTTTTGATTTGCATTTTCCTGATGGGAAATGACGGTGAGCATCTTTTCATGTATTACTATCTTTGGAGAAATGTCTATTCAAATCTTTTGTGTACATACTGGATCCACGTTCTTTATCAAGATATATACATTGAAACTATTTTTTCTTAAATTCTTTGTTACTTTTTACTCTTTTGATGGTGTTCTTAAAATACCAGGTTTTAGTTTCGATAATATTTTATTTATCTACTTTTTTTGGTGTTACCCATGCTTTTGATGTCATATCTAAGAAACCATTGCTAATCCAAGGTCATGAAGATTGACACCTTTGTTTTGTTCTAGGAGTTTTATAGTTTTATGTCTTACATTTCATTCTTTGATACATTTTGAGTTAACTTTTGAATATGGTGTGAGATACAGGCCTAATGTCATGCTTTTGTATGTGTTATTTAGTTGTTTCAGCACCATTTGTTGAAGAAAATTCTTTTTTCCCCACTGAATTGTCTTGATACCATTATTGAATATCAGTTGACTGTAAATATAAGGGTTCATTTTTGGACCTCAGTTCTGTTTATTTGATCTATACATCTGCCCTCCTGTCTATGCCACATTTTCTTGGATGTTGCAGATTTGTAGCAAGTTTTGAAATTGGGGTATATGTGTCCTCCATATTTTTTCTTTTTCTAGATTAGTTATTCTGGGTCTGTTGTATTTTCATATGAATTTTACAATTATCTTTTTTCTTCTGGCCAAAAAGGCCATCAGAGAGTTTAATAGAGATTGCCTTGAATCAGTAGATCAGTTTGGGGAGTATTACCATCTCAATAATATTAAGAATCTTCTGATCCATCAACATGTGATGTTTTCCACTTATTTTGGTCTTCAATTTTTTCAGTTGTTTTGTAGCTTTCAGGGTATAAATTTGCACTTCTTTGGGTAAATGTATTCCTGAATATTTTATTATTTTTGATGCTATTGTAATCGGAACTGTTTTAAATTTTCTCTTCAGATCATTCATTCATAATGTATACATACACAATTGAGTTTTGTATACTGATCTTGTATCCTGCAACCTTTCTGAATAGGTTAACTAATTCTGATTTTTTTTTTCTTAGTAAATTCCTTAAGACTTTCTACGTATCATATCATGACAGCTGCAAGTAGACATAGTTTCACTTCTTCCTTTCTAATCTAAGTGCTTTTAATTTCATTTTATTTCATACTTCCCTGCTGGAAACCCTGGTATAGTGTTAAATAGAGAAAGAGTGGATATCCATGTCTTTTCAAATACCTATTTGCCATTTGTTTGTCTTTTGAGAAATGTGTATTCACATCTTTTGTCCCTTTTAAAATCAGATAATTAGATTTTTTTTTCACATAGAGTTGTTTGAGCTCCTTATATATTCTGGTTATTAGTCCTTTGTCAGGTGGATAGTTTGTACATATTGTCCCATTCTGTTCACTTTATTGATTGCCCTCTTTGCTGTGCGGAAGCTTTTTAAGTTGATATGATCCCATGTGTACATTTTTACTTTGGTTTCTTGTCCCTGTGGAGTATTACTCAAGAAATCTTTGTCCAGTCCAATGTCCTGTAGAGTTCCTGCAATGTTTTCTTTTCCTTTTTTTTTATTTTTGAGGTGGAGTCTCGCTCTGTCACCCAGGCTGGAGTGCAGTGGCAAGATCTCTGCTCACTGCAAGCTCTGCCTCCCGGGTTCATGCCATTCTCCTGCCTCAGCCTCCCGAGGAGCTGGGACTACAGGCGCCCGGCACCACACCCGGCTAATTTTTTGTATTTTTAGTAGAGACGGGGTTTCATCGTGTTAGCCAGGATGGTCTCGATCTCCTGACCTGGTGATCCGCCCACCTTGGCCTCCCAAAGTGCTGGGATTACAGGCGTGAGCCACCGCAGCCAGCCTGCAGTGTTTTCTTTTAGTAGCTTCACAGTTTGAGGTCTGTGACTTAAGTCTTTAATCCATTGTGATTTGAATTTTGTACATGGCAACAGATAGGGGTCTAGTTTCATTCTTCTGCATATGTATATCCATTTCCCAGCACAGTTAACTGAAGACACTGTCTTCCCAAAGGTATTTTCTTGGCACTTTTGTTAACAGTGAGTTCACTGTAGATGTATCACTATATTTCTGAGTTCTCTATTCTGCTCCATTGGTCTATGTGTCTGTTTTTATGACAGTACCATGTCATTTTGGTTATTATAGCTTTGTAATATGATTTGAAGTCAGGTGATGTGATTCCTCCAGTTTTGTTCTTTTTGCTCAGGATAGCTTTGGCTACTCTGGGTCTTTTGTGATTCCTTATAATTTTCAGATTAAAAAAAATTCTGCGAAGAATGTCATTAGTATTTTGATAGGGATTGCATAGAATCTGTAATGGCTTTGGGCAGTATGGACATCTTAACAATATTGATTCTTCCAATCCATGAGCAAGGTATTTCTTTCCATTTTTTTTTGTATCCTATCTTTAATTTCTCTCATCAATGTTTTATAGTTTTTATTGTAGAGATCTTTAACTACTTTGGTTAATTCCTAGGTATATAATTTTATTTGTAGCTATCATAAGTAGGATTACTTTCTTAATTTTTTTCAGATTGTTTGCTGTTGGCCTATGGCAATGCTACTGATTTTTGTATGTTAATTTTGTATCCTGCAACTTTACCGAATTTATTTATTCATTCTAATAGGTTTTTGGTGGACTCTTCAGGTTTTTCCAAATATAAGATTATATCATTGGCAAACAAGGATGATTTGACTATTTCCTTTCCAACTTGGATGTCCTTTCTTTCTCTTGTCTGATTGCTCTAGGGCTTCCAGTACTGTGCTGAACAATAGTGGTGAAAGTGGATATTCTTGTCATGTTTCAGATTTTAGCATCAAGCTTTCAGCTTTTCCACATTCAGTATCATACTAGCTTCTGGGCTGTCATTTATGGCTTTTATTGTTTTGAGGTATGTTCCTTTTATATCCAGTTTTTTGAGAGTTTTTATCATGACACAATGTTGAATTTTATCAAATGCTTTTTCACCATCAATTGAAATGATCATGTGGTTTTTTTTTTTCCTTTTGTCTTTGAGATGGAGTCTCGCTGTGTCACCCAGGCGGGAGTGCAGTGGCACGATCTTGGCTCACTGCAACCTCCACCTCCTGGGTTCAAGTGATTCTTGCCTCAGCTTCCTGAGTAACTGGGATCACAGGTATGCACCACCACTGGGCCTGGCTGATGTTTCTTTTTTTAGTAGAGACAGGGTTTTGCCATGTTGGCCAGGCTGGTCTCGAACTCCTGACCTCAGGTGATCTGCCCACTTCAGCCTCCCAAAGTGCTGGGATTACAGGCGTGAGCCACCACACCTGGCCAGGTTTTGTCTTTCATTCTGTTGATATGATGTATCTCATGATGTATCCCAATGATTGATTTGCATATGTTAAACCATCCTTGCATCCCTAGGATAAATTGCACTTGGTCATGATGAATGATCTTTTTGATTTGGTGCTAATATTTTATTGAGGATTTTTGGTATCAGTGTTCATCAGGAATATTGGCCTGTAGTTTCCTTTTTTTGATGTGTCTTTGTCTGGCTTTAGTATCAGGGTAATACTGGCCTTGTAGAATGAGTTTGGAAGTATTCCCTTCTCTATTCTTCAGAATAGTTTGAGCAGGATTGGTGTTAGCTCTTATTTAAAAGTTTGGTAGAAATCAGCGGTGAAGCTGGGAGATGTCTTTTCTGGTAGACTTTAATAAGGCTTCAGTCTCATTACCTGTTATTGATCTGTTCAGGTTTTGGATTTATTCGTGGTTCTGTCTTAGTAGGTTGTATGTGTCTATGAATTTGTCTATTCTAGATTTTTGAATTTATTAGCATATAGTTGCTCATAGTAGCCATTAATAATCCTTTGAATTTCTGCAGTATCTGTTGTAATGTCTACTTTTTCATCTCTGATTTTATTTATTTGGGTTTCTTTTTTTCTGAGTTAATCTGGCTAATGTTTTGCCCACTTAGTTTATCTTTCAAAAAACCCAGTTTCTTTTCATTGTTCTTTTGTATTGTGTATTTCAATTTCATTGATTTCTGCTCTGATCTTTATTATTTCTTTTCTTCTAATTTTGCATTTTGTTTGCTCTTGCTTTTCTAGTTCTTTAGGATGCATTGTTAGGTTGTTTATTTGTTAGGTGCTTTTTTGATGTAGATTCTTACAGCATAAAATTTGCTTTTAGTACTACTTTCACTGTAGCCCATAGATTTTGGTATGGTGTGTTTCCGTTATCATTTGCTTCTGGGAATTTTTCAGTTTTCTTCTTAATTTCTTCATTGACCTACTGGTTATTCAGGAGCATATTGTTTAATTTCCATGTGATGTGTCATTTCCAAAATTTTTCTTGTTACTTATTTCTAGTTTTATTCCACTGTGGTCAGAGAAGATGCTTGATATAATTTTAGTTCTTTGAATTGTTTACACTTGTTTTATGGTGAACATATGGCCTATCCTTGAGAACGAGCTACATGCTGAGGAAAGGAATGTGTATTTCGCAGCCATTGGATAAAATATGGTGTAAATATCTATTAGGTACATTTGTTCTGTAGTGCAGATGAGTCTGTTGTTTCTTTGTTGATTTTTGGTCTGGATTACCTATCCAATGCTGAAGGTGGGGTGTTGAAGCCTCCAGCTGTTATTGTATTGGGGACTATCTTTCTTTAGCTATAATAATATTTTCTTTATATATCTTGGTGCTCCAGTGTTGGGTGCATATATATTTATATTTGTTATATTCTTTTGCTGAATTGACCTCTTTATCATTATATAATGATCTTTATTTCTTTTTATAGTTGTTGTCTTGAAATCTATTTTGTCTGATGGAGGTATAGCTACTCCTGCTCCTTTTTGGTTTTCATTTGCATGGAATATTTTTTTCACCCTTTTATTTTCGATCTGTATGTATTTTTATAGGTTAGGTTTTTGTTTTTGTTTTTTTTTTTGACACATGGTCTCGCTCTGTCACCCAGACTGGAGTGCAGTGGCACGATCATGGCTCACTTCAGTCTCCACCTCCTAGGCTCAAGCAATCCTCCCACCTCAGCCTCTTGAGTAGCTGAGGCTACAGGCATATACCACTATATCTGGCTAATTTTTTGCTTTTTAATTTTTGTAGAGATGAGGTCTTGCTATGTTGCCCAGACTAGTCTCAAACTCCTGGGCTCAAGTGACCCTCCTGCCTCTGCCTTCCAAAGTGCTGGGGTTATAGGTATGCACCACCATGCCTGGTCCCCTGAAGTTTCTTGTAGGCAACAGATCATTGAGTCTTGCTTTTTAAAAATATATATACGTGGAGAGTTTGGTCTGTTTACCTTCCGCATTATTAGTGAGTGTTTGTTTCATTTACCTGTAGCATTATTATTGATAAGTAAGGACTTACTCCTGCCATTTATTATTTGCTTCCTGGTTGTTTTGTGGTCTTCTCTTCCATGTTTTCTTCCTTCTGTTTTTCTTTTAGTAAAGGTGATTTTCTCTGGTGGTATGATTTAATTTCTTATTTATTTATTTTTGTATCCATTGTATGTGTCTTTATTTGAGGTTACCATGAGGCTTGCATGTACTGTTTTATCACCCATTATTTTAAACTGATTACATCTTAACACTGATTGCATATACAATTTAAGAAACACTCAAAGAGAAAACTAATATAAACTCTAATCTTCATCCTGTTTTGTAACATTTTGTTCTTTTTATTTATATCTTATTCTACTGTATTATGTTTTGAAAGTTGTCACAGTTATTTTGGTAGATTTACCTTTTATTGCTTTTACTCCAGATACGAGTAGTTTACACTACAATTACACTTTTATAATACTCTGTATTTGTCTATATACTTATTATTGCCAGTGAGCTTTGTTCCTTTGTATGACTTCTTATTGCTTATTAATGTTGTTTTTTATTTTCTTTCAAATTGAAGAATTTTTTTTAGCGTTCCTTGTAGGACAGATTTGGTATTGATGTAATCCAGCTTTTGTTTGTCTGGGAAAGTCTTTTGTTTGAAGGATATTTTTGATGGATATACTATTCTATGTTAAAAGTTTTTTTTTTTCCTTCAGCACTTTAAATATGTCATGACACTCTCTCCTGGCCTGTAAAGTTTCCACTGTGCAGTCTGCTGCCAGATGTGTTAGAGGTCCATTGTATGTTATTTGTGTTTTTTTTTTTTTTCTGCTGTCAGTATCCTTTCTTTATCCTTGGACTTTGGGATTTTGATTATTAAATACCTTGAGGTAGTTTTCTTTGGGTTACATCTACTTCATGGTCTATAACCTTTTTGTTCTTGGATATTGATATCTTTCCCTAGGTTTGGGATGTTCTCTGATATTATCCCTTTGAATATATTTTCTAGCCTGACCTCTCTCTACCTCTCTTTAAGGCAAGTAATTGTTAGATTTGCCCTTTCACTTTATTTTCTCAATCTTGTGTGTGTGCTTCATTCTTTTTCCTCATTTTTCTTTTGTCTCCTCTAACTGTGTATTTTCAAACAACCCGTCTTCAATCTAACTAGTTCTTCTGCTTGATCATTTCTGCTTTTAAGAGACTGATGCATTCTTTAATATGTCAGTTACATTTTTCAGTTCCAGAATTTCTGCTTTATTCTTTTTAATAACTTCAATTCCTTTTAAAAATATATCTGTAGGATTCTTAATTCCTTATCTGTGTTATCTTGACTGCACTTCCTCAAAGCAACTATTTTGAATTATCTGTCTGAAAGATCACATATCTGTGTCTCTCCACGATTTGCCCTTGGTTATTCATTTAATTCATTTGGTGAGGTCATGTTTTCTTGAATGGTTTGATGCTTGTGGATATTCATTGGTATCCAGGCATTGAAGAGTTAGGTATCTATTGCATTCTTTACAGTCTGGGATTGTTTGTACTCATCTTTCTCAGGAGGGCTTTCCTAGTATTCGAAGGGACTTGGATGTTGTGATCTATGTCTTTGGTCATTGTAGCCTTATCTGCATTAGAGGGCACCGTAAGCCCCGTAACACTGTGCCTCTTGTAGACTCATAGAAATACTGCCTTGGTGGTCTTGTGTGATATCCGGGAGAATTTCCTAGATTACTGGGCAGAGACTCTTGTTCTCTTCCCTTACTTTCCCTGAAACAAATGGAATCTTTCTCTATATGAGCTGCCTGGATTTAGTGAATGGGTGACACAAGCACCCCTGTGACCACCAACATTGGAAAGGAGCTGGGTCATACTTGAAGCTAGTGCAGCACTGGTTCTCACTAAGGCCCATGGATACCACTGTGTGGTTTTTGCCTGTGTTTACTCAGGGACTAAGGACTCCACAATCAGCAATTCGTTAATCCAGCAAGACCTGTGTCCTTCCCTTCAGTACGGCAAGTTTGCCCTGGCCATGTGTAGAGAAGCCATCCGGGAGTCAGGGCCTGGAGTCGGGAAAAGTAGGAATCTACCTGGTCCTCTATTCCATTATGGTTGAGCTGGCAACCAAGCATCAATACAAAGTCCTTCCCACTCTTCTCTCCCTTTTCTTCAAGCCGAGAAGTCTCTCCACACGTCCATCACCCAAGGGCTCTTTAGTCAGCAGGAGATGAATCCTGTTGGGACCAGGTCTCTCCCTCAGAGGAGTGTTTTTTTTTTCTGGTCCAGGGCATGGTTAGAAATGTTGTTCAGGAGCTAGGTCCTGGAATGCGTGCCTCAGGGCACTCCCTGGTGCCTTATTGTAATTTGGCTCAGCTGGTGTCTAAGTTGCAAGACTAAGTCCTCTTAATTCTCTACTCTCCTTTAGCAGAAGGTACGAGTCTCTCCTGGAGCTGTGAGCTGCACTGCCTTTGCTTAGATGATGGGTGATACAAGTATTCCCTGTGCTGCCCTGGGTGGTATTTTATTAGGTCACATGCACCTCACGTCCACTGGCTCTGAGTCTAGCACACCACCAAGACTGCCTGGGAATTGCAATCCTTGTGGCCTAGACTGCCTTTCAAGTTTATTTAGGACCTCAGATCACCTTAGCTCATTGTGACAGGGCTTGCCTGAACTCAGATTCCAACTGCTGGGTTGGGAGATTTGCTTCTGGCTAGGGCTGGTCTACATGTTCCCTCCATGGTGCCAGCTGAGTTCTGCCCCATATTGCTTTCTACTATGACAGAGTAGCACTGAGTTGTAGTGCAAAGTTCCACAGTCCCTGTGCTCTGCCTCTCCCAATAACACAATTTCTGTCTCTGCACCATGCAGCTACTGTTGGGGGATAGGGAAGGGGTTGTGTGTGTTACTTGAGACTGTCTGTCCTTCCTTCTTCAGTGCCTCTTTCTTTAATACGATGTTAAAACCAGGTACTGTGATTGCTCACCTGAGTTTTGGTTCTTAAGAAGGTACTTTTTTGTGTGTGGATAGTTGTTCAATATGGTGTTCGTGCATGGAGAATGATTGCTTGAGGCTTCTATTTAGCCATCTTGCTCCACTTCCTCTCACCAGGTGTTTTTCATTATGAAGGGAATATTGGATTTTGCCAAATACTTTTACTTTTTTTTTTTTTTTTGCATCTATTGAAATGATCATGTGGTTTCTCTGTTCTTTCTTTTTTTTTTTTTTTGAGACAGGGTCTCACTCTGTCAGCCAGGCTAGAGTGTGGTGGGATGACTCAGCTCACTGCCACCTCTGCTTCCTAGGCTCAAACAATCCTCCAACCTCAACCTTGGAAGCAGGTGGTACTACAGGCATCAGCCATCAAGCCTTGCTAATTATTTGTAGAGACAGGGTTTTGCCATGTTGCTTTGGCTGGTCTCGAACTCCTTAGCTCAAAGCGATTCACCTACCTCAACCTCCCAAAATGTTGGGATTACATAGGCGTGAGCCACTGCACCCAGCCTCGTCTTTCACTATACTGGTGTGGTGTACTCTATTAATTGATTTTTTTGATGTTAAACCAACCTTACATTATTGAGATACCTTTATTTTACACTTGCTTTGGTATAAGGATTATGCTGTCCTTACAGAATGAGTTAGGATGTATTTACATCCTCTTCTAGTTGTTATAACAGTTTTAGAGGGTTTGGTATTCTTCTTCAGAAGTTGGGTAGAATTCACCAGTGAAGCTACCTGTCCCTGAATTTTTCTTTTTTGGGAGATTTTGATAACTGATTCAGTCTCTTCATTTGTTATATTGGTTAAGACTTTTCTTGAGTCAGTTTAGGTAATCCAGGTGTTTCTAGCTATTTGTCCATTTTATCTAAATTATTTAATTTGATGGAAAATTATAATTTATAAATATTTATAATTATAAATATATTTAATAATTTATTATATAAATATAGAATATATACTAAATAAATGGAATCAAAATGTGTCACTATAAAAAATCAACTAAGAAAATCAATAATAGAAGAAATGAAGGACAAAAATGCTGTTTTATGTATATAGAGAAAAAATAATAAAATGGCAGCTTCCTTATTAATACTTACTCTAACTATCTAATAATCCATTTTATAAGGTATTTAGCATTATGCAAACCTGAACGGACCAGTAATGAGTAGCAAGATTGAGTCAGTAACAAAAAGTCTTCAAACAAAAGCCCAGAATAAGATGGATTCATTGTAATATATCTAATAATTCTTTTTATTATCTTATAATCATTTTTATTTCTTTATAGTTAATCATAGTGTTCTCATGTCATTTTGGATTTTAGTTATTTGCATCCTTTTTTTTCTTTAGTAATCTAGCTAAGGGTTTGCAAAATTGAACATTCTTTTAAGGAAATAAACTTCTGCTTTGATTCTCAATTGTTTTTCCATCCCTTCTCCTTTTAAAATTTCAACTCTAATATTCATTATTTATTTTCTTCTATGTTTGAGTTTAGTTTGCTATTCTGTTTCTGGGTTCTTAAGTTACTAGGTTCTCAAGATACAAACTTAGGATATTAATGAGATACATCTTTTTAAAATGTAGGTTCTTATGGCTATAAATTTCCTTCTGAGCAACTGCATTTGCTACATGGTATAGTTTTGTCGTGTTGTGTTTCTTTAAAATTCATCTCTAAATATTTTCTAATTCCCTTGTGATTTCTTCTTTGATCCATTGGTTCTTTGATTGTTTTTTTTGTTTTTTTTTTTTGAGCTGGAGTCTCGCTCTATCACCCAGGCTGGAGTGCAGTGGTGCAATCTTGGCTCACTGCAAGCTCTACCTCCCAGGTTCACACCATTCTCCTGCTTCAGCCTCCCGAGTAGCTGGGACTACAGGTGCCTGCCACCACACCTGGCTAATTTTTTTGTATTTTTAGTAGAGACAGTGTTTCACCATGTTAGCCAGGATGGTCTTGATCTCCTGATCTCATGATCTGCCTTCCTCGGCCCCCCAAAGTGCTGGGATTACAGGCACGAGCTGCTGCATCCAGCTGAGTGTGTTTTTAAATTTCCACATACTTGTGTATTTTCCTTTTTCCCTTCTGCTGTGGATTTCTAGCTTCATTCCATTTTATTTAGAGAAGATCCTTTGTGTTATATTACTGTTTTAACATTTTTTGTCAGTTATTTTATGGCTTAACTTATGGTGTGTCCTGGTGAATGTTTCATATGTACTTGAGTAGCACGTTTATTCAGCTGTTTTGGGATAGAGTATTTCGTATATGCCTTCTAGGTGTATCTAGTATGTAATGTTGTTTAAGCCATCTTTATCCTTAATAACCTTCCATGTAGATGCTTTTTCAGTTATTTAATGTGGAATATTGAATTTTCAACTATTATTGTAAATTTTTCTGTTTCTCTGTCAATTCTTTAATTGTTTGCTCTCTATATTTTGGGGCTCTGTTGTTTGGTGCCTACATGTTTATTATTGTTATAACTTCTCGATAAGTTGATTATTAGATCTTTTGTCTCTTGTAACCATTTCTGCCTTAAAGTCTCTTCTTTCTGATATGATTATGTCTACCCCAGCTCTCTTCTGGTTACTATTTTCATGGAATATCTTTTTCCATCATGTTCCTTTTAACTTGTTTGTATCTTTGGATTTAAAGTGAGTCTTTTGTAGATAACATATTGTTGTAGAATGTTTTCTTTATGTTTTATGCCAATCTCTTTTTTTCTGACTGGAGAATTTAATTCATATATATTTAGAGAAATTATTAATGAGGAAGAACTAACTTCTGCCATTTTTTCTTTTTACAGCTTTTTATGTCTCTCATTTCCTCTGTTATTGCTTTCCTTAGTTGATTTTTTCTAGTGACACATTTCGATTTTGTTTGTTTAGTATATATGTTATTGATAATTTCTTTGTGCTTACCATGTAGATTGCACATATCTTTCTAAATTTATAGCAATAAAATTTGAATTGATACAAAGTGTTTTTGATAGTATACAAAACTGTTCTCCTCTACAGCTTTGTCCATCCATTTTATGTTATTGTTGTCACAAGTTATATCTTACACATGTGTACTTAATGTGTAAAAAGTTTATACACTATTTATGTAGTTTTTATGTAGTTTATATAGTTTTTATGTGTTTGTTTTTGAAATCATATAGGAAATAATAAGGATAATTAGAAGCCAAATAGGTAATACTGGCTTTTATATTTGCTCACCTATTTACCTTTACTAGAAGTCTTTATTTCTTCATATGGATTTGAGTTACTGCTTTACATCCTTTCATTTCAATCTGAAGGATTCCATTTTGCATTTCTTGTAGTGCATCTGAAGTGGTAATGACTTCTCTCAGTTTTTATTTGTAAATGTCTTAATTTCTCCCTTTTTAAGGACAGTTTTTGCTGGATAGAAAATTCAAGGTTAATATTTGTTTTTTCCTTATTACGTTAAATATGTTATCTCAGTGCCTCTGTACTTCATGGTTTCTGGCAAGAAATCAGCTTTTACTCTCATTAAGGATGCCATGTATGTGATGAGTCACTTCTTTCTTGCTACTTTGAAGATTGTCTCTTTTTTGTAGGCTGAATTTCAAGAGTTTGATTATAATGTATCTCAACATGAATCTATTTTGTTGATCTTACTTGGAGTTTATTGAGGTTTTTGGATTTGTAGATTCATATCTTTCATCACATTTTGGAAGTTTTGGGCCATCATTTATTCAAATAGTATTTCTACCATTTTCTTGGTCCCTTCTCCTGTTGGGATTCCCATAATATGTGTGTTGGTCTGCTTGGTGGTGTCCCACTGATCACTTTTTTTCTTTTTTCTCTCTTTATGCTCTTTAGACTCAATGATTTTAATTGTTCTATCTTGTAGTTATCTAATTACTTTTTGTGCTGAAATCTGCTGCTGAACCCTCTAGTGAAAATTTTATTTCAGTTGTATTTTTCAGCTCCTGAATTACTTTTGTGTGTGTATTTTGTTCCTTTTTTTCCCTTTCATTGATATGTAATAATCTACCTATTTATGGGCTATATGTGAGTGTTTGTTACATGCATATAATTTGTAATGATGAAGTCAGGGTATTTGGGGTCTCCGTCACCTTGAGTTTTTATCAGTTGTATGTGTTGGTATCATTTATAGTCTCTTTCAGTTGCTTCGAAATACATGTGACGTTGTTCCCAAGTATAGGAACCTGAGTGTGCTATCAAACACTAGAACTTATTTCTTCCATCTAACTGCATATTAGTTCCAATAACCAACCTTTATACATTCCCACTCTCCCACTTTCCCTTCCTAGTATATGGTATCTATCACTGTATTCCCAAGCACCACGAGATAAGGTTTTTAGCTTACAGATGTGAGTAAAAATATGCAGTATTTGTCTTTCTCTGCCTGCCTTATTTATTGTAATGACCTTCAGTTCCATCCATGCTACTTCAAATGGTATGATTTCATTCTTTTTTATGTCTAAGTAGTATTCCATTATTTATATATACACCACATTTTCTTTATGCATTACTTTGGTTTGTGGATACTTAGGTTGATGCCATATCTTTGCTATTATGAATAATGCCACAATAAATGTTCAATTGCAGCAACCTATCTCTTTGATATACTGATTTCTTTTCCTTTGGATAGATACCCAGTAGTGGGATTGTGGGATTGTATGGTAGGTCTGTTTGTTTTTTTGAGAAATTTCCATACTCTTTTTCTTAGTTGTTACACTAATTTACATTTTCACCAACAGTGTATAAGAGTTCTGTTATATACGCTGTTGTATCCTCACTTACATCTGTTATTTTCTGTCCCTTTAATAATAGTCATTCGAACTAGGATGACATGACATCTCATTATGGTTTTGATTTGCATTTTCCTGATGATTAATGATGCTGAGCATTTTTCATATACCTGTTGGCCATGTGTATATCTTCTTTTGAGAAATGTCCATTTTTGTACATGTTATAATGTGATTTTTTAAAAACTGTTGAGTTCTTTGAGTTCCTTGTCGATTCTAGTTACTAGTCCCCTGTTGACTGAGTAATCTGCAAGTATTTTAACTCATTCAAAAGGTTTCTTGCTACTTTGAAGATTGTCTGTTTTTTGTAGGCTGAATTTCAACCTATTTTTTCTTTTGCTGTGCAGAAGGTTTTTATTTAATATAGTTCCATTTCTCTATTTTTATTTTTGTTGCCTGTGCTTTTGAGTTCTTAGGCATAAAATCTTTGCCTAGACCAATGTCTTGGAGAGTTTTCTCTATGTTTTCTTCTAGTATTTTTCTGTTTCCATGTATTACAATTAAGCCTTTAATCCATCTTAAGTTTATTTGTTGTATGGTGAGAGATGTGTCCAGTTTCATTCTTTTACTCATGGTTATCTAGTTTTTCTAGCACCATTTATTGAAGAGGCGCTATCCTATTCTATCGCCAATGTATATTCTTAGTTGCTTTGTTGAAGATCAGTCAGCTATGAATTGGTGGATTTACTTCTGGGTTCTATATTTTGTTTCATTGGTCTATGTGTCTATATTTATACCAACACCATGCTGTTTCAGTTAATATATCCTTGTAATATGTTTTGAAGTCAGATAGTCTCATACCTCCAGCTTGGTTCTTTTGCTCAGGATTGCTTTGGGTATTCAGGCTCTTTTTTGGTTCCATATCAATTTTAGAATTGTTTTTTCTATTTCTGTGAAAAATGATGTTGGTAGTAATAGAGATTGCATTGAATCTAGATTGCTTTGGGCAGTTTGGTCATTTTAACAATATTAATTAATCTGACCCATGAGTGTGATATGTTTTTCTTGTTTGTGTCCTCTTCAATTTCTTTCATCAGTGTTTTGTTTGTTTGTTTTGTAGAGATCTTAACCCTCCTTGGTTAAATTTAATCCCAGATATTTATTTGTGTTTTCTGTAGCTTTTGGAAGTAGAATTGCTTTTTTGATTTCTTCTTCAGCTATTTCATTACTAATGTATGGAAATGCTACTTATTTTGTACATGATTTTGTATCCTGCAACTTTACTGAATTTATTTATCAGTTCTGGAGTTTTTCTGGTAGAGTCATTAAAAAAAGAAAAAGATGTAAGATCATGTTGTTTGCAAAGAGGGACAGTTTGACTTTCCCTTTTTCAAACTGGATGTCTTTTCTATTGTTTTTTTTTTTTCTTTTGCCTGATTGCTCTGACTGGGACTTCCAGTACTGTGTTGACTAGAAGTGGTAAAACTGGGCATTCTTGTCTAGTTTAAATTATTATAGGAAAGGTCCTTAATTTTTCCCCATTTAATAGGATGTTAGTTATATGTTTGATATATATGGTCTTTATTATTTGGAGGCATGTTCTTTGTTTGCCTAGTTTGTTGACAGTTTCTATAATGAAGGTGTGTTGAATTTTATCATGATTTTTCTGTATTAATTGAGATGATCAGATTATTTTTGTCCTTCAGTTCATTGATGTGATGTGTTACATTTGTTGATTTGTATATATTGAATCATCCCTGCATCCCTGGGACAAATCCCAGTTGAACATATTTGTATTATGATGTTGACCATCTTTTCATATGCTTCTTGGCCACTTGTATATCATCTTTGGAGAAATATCTATTGAAGTCCTTTTGTTGCCTTTTTAATCTGTTCATTGTGTCCTTTGATGAACAAAAGTTTTCAATTTTGAGGTAGTACCATCTGTATGCTTTTGGCATAGTCCCAATTTTATGTTTTTGCTTTTGTTGTCTATGCTTTTGGTGTCATTTGCAAGAAATCATTGCCAAATCCAAAATCATGATGTGTTTCTGCTATGTTGGGAATTTTCTAGTTTTGGCTTTTATATTTTGGTCTTTAATCCATTTGGAGGTTTTTTTTTTTTCTTTTGTGTGTATGGTGTAAGGGTCCAAATTCATTCATTTGTGAGTAGATATCTAGTTTTTCTGGCAACATTTGTTGAAAAGGCTGCCCTTTAGTCATCAGTTGGTCTTGGTACCTTTGTGAAAAGTGATTTGAGCACATATAGAAATGATTATTTCTAGGCTATTTTTCATTGGTCTGTATATCTGTATGTCAGTACAATACTGTTTTCATTACTGTAGCTTTGTAATACATTTTGAAATGAAGAAATATGAGTTCTCCAATATTGTTGTTTTTCAGAATTGCTGTGGCTGTTTGGGGTTGCTTAAGATTTCATATGAATTTTAGGATGGTATTTTAACTTTCTGCAAAAAGTGTCATTGGGATATTGATAAAGAGTGCATTAAATCTGTAGCTCACTTTTGGCGTTTTTTACATCTTAACAACATTGTCTTCCAATCCAGTGACATGAGATGTCTTTCCATTTATTTGTGTCCTCTATAATTTCTGTTAATAATGTTCATAGTGTTCAGTGTACAAGTCTTTCACCCCCTTGGCTAGATTTATTTCTAGTATTTTTTTCAGTTGTAAATGGAATTGTTTTCTTAATTTCCTTTTCTGGTTATTCATTGTTAGTGTATAGAATCTTAAGGTTTTCTACATATACATGCCATCAGCAACAAGAGATAATTTTACTTCTGCCTTTTTGATTAGGATGCCTTTTATTTTTCTTGCATAGTTGCTCTGGCTAGGACATTAAATAAATACTATGTTGAATAGGAGTGGTGAGAGTGGGCAACCTCATCTTGTTCCTGATCTTAGAGAAAAAGCTTTTAGTCTTTCACTATTGAGTATGATGTTAGCTATAGGCTTTTTGTATTTGGCCTTTGTTATGTTGAAGTAGCTTCCTTCTATTCCTAGTTGGTGGGTGTTCTTTTAATCATGAAAGGGTGTTCAATCTTGTCAAATGTTTTTTCTGTATCGAGTGAAATGCTTGTATGATTTTTGTCTTTTATTCTTTCATCGTGGTTTATTTCATAAATTGAATTTTGTATGTTTCAATTCCCCTTGCATTCAAGGCATAAATTCCACTTGGTCATGTTATGTAACCTTTTTTGCTAGTATTTTGTTTATGATTTGTGCATCAATATTCATCAGATAATTGGTCTCTAGTTTTCTTCTAGTGTTGTTTTCTAGCGTTGGTATCAGGATGATGCTCTCCTCATAGAAGGAGCTTGAAAATACTCTCCGTACTTCAGTTATTGGTAGAGTTTGAGGAGGATTGGTGTTAATTCTTTAAATTTTTGGTAGAATTATCCAGTGAAACCATCTAGACCCATGCTTTGTTGATAGGTTTTTGATTACTGATTCAGTCTTCTTACAAGTTACTGTTCTGTCAGATTTTCTGTTTTTTCATATTTCAGTTTTCATAAGTGTGTTTCTAGGATTGTATATACTTCCTTTGGATTATCCAATGTGTTAGAATACAATTTTGTATTTGTTAGAATACAGATTTTTTAGAATACAGTTTTGTATTTGTTAGAATACAGTTGTTCTTAGTATTCTTAGTTTTCCATTTCTGCATCACTTTGCTGAGGATAATGGCTTCCAGCTAAATCCATATTGCTGAAAAGGATATGATTTTTTTAACTGCTACATAGTATTCCATAGTGTATATGTATTATATTTTATTTATCCAGTCTGCTATTGATGGTCACCTAGGTTGATTCCATGTCTTTGCTATTCTGTTGTGATGCATATACAAATACATGTGTGTTTTTGGTAGAAAAATTTATTTTTCTTTGGCTACTGAGTAATCCCAGTAATGGGATTGCTGGATCAAATGGTAGTTCTATTTTTATTTTTAGCTCTTTGAGAAATCTCCAAACTGCTTTCCACAGTGACTGAACTAATTTTCAAACCTACCAACAATGTATAAACATTGCCTTTTCTCCACAGCTTCTCCAACATCTGTTATTTTTGACTGTTTAGTAAAAGCCATTATGATTGGTGTGAGATGGTATCTCATTGTGTTTCTGATTTGCATTTCTCTGATGATTAGTGATTTTGAGCATTTCTTTCATGATTGTTGGCTGTTTGTATGTCTTCTCTTTTTTTTTTTAGTGTAAAGCTCTTAGTTGTCTTTTATTTGCAATTCTAGAATCATGCAGCAACTCATTCTGTAAGGCAGAATGTGTATTCAAATGAGCCGATCTGGGGAGGTTGGTTTTATAGACAGAAAAGGGCAGAGAAAAGCAGAAACAGAAAACAAAATGTCGTTTAAAAGTTACTTTTCTTGTACAACTCAAAGCAGAGGGGATTTGGGGATTTCTTTATCCAGTTTTCACTGGCCTGTTTCGATATTTGACTGTTTCTCTCTCTTGATTTTTTGGAAGGTCAAATAATTTAGTTTCTGCTTGGTGGCCTGGAACTTCAGAATGAATGATTCCATTTTGGTTTGGTTTGTTGGGCCTAGTGCAGGAGCTCAGTCCAGACCAATGACCTCCTATACATTTTGTTTAACATTTTTTTTTTATTATTATACTTTAAGTTTTAGGGTACATGTGCACATTGTGCAGGTTAGTTACATATGTATACATGTGCCATGCTGGTGCACTGCACCCACTAACTCGTCATCTAGCATTAGGTATATCTCCTAATGCTATCCCTCCCCCCTCCTCCCACCCCACAACAGTCCCCAGAGTGTGATGTTCCCCTTCCTGTGTCCATGTGATCTCATTGTTCAATTCCCACCTATGAGTGAGAATATGCGGTGTTTGGTATTTTGTTCTTGCGATAGTTTACTGAGAATGATGATTTCCAATGTCATCCATGTCCCTACAAAGGACATGAACTCATCATTTTTTAAGGCTGCATAGTATTCCATGGTGTATATGTGCCACATTTTCTTAATCCAGTCTATCATTGTTGGACATTTGGGTTGGTTCCAAGTCTTTGCTATTGTGAATAATGCCGCAGTAAACATAGGTGTGCATGTGTCTTTATAGCAGCATGATTTATAGTCCTTTGGGTATATACCCAGTAATGGGATGG
Organism: Homo sapiens; assembly: GCF_000001405.40. Lineage (NCBI taxonomy): Eukaryota > Metazoa > Chordata > Mammalia > Primates > Hominidae > Homo > Homo sapiens. Next base: position 17,257,505 of record NC_000009.12, read on the forward strand.
CTGGGTCAAATGGTATTTCTAGTTCTAGATCCCTGAGGAATCGCCACACTGACTTCCACAATGGTTGAATTAGTTTACAGTCCCACCAACAGTGTAAAAGTGTTCCTATTTCTCCGCATCCTCTCCAGCACCTGTTGTTTCCTGACTTTTTAATGATCACCATTCTAACTGGTGTGAGATGGTATCTCATTGTGGTTTTGATTTGCATTTCTCTGATGGCCAGTGATGATGAGCATTTTTTCATGTGTTTCTTGGCTGCATAAATGTCTTCTTTTGAGAAGTGTCTGTTCATGTCCTTTGCCCACTTTTTGATGGGGTTGTTTGTTTTTTTCTTGTAAATTTGTTTGAGTTCATTGTAGATTCTGGATATTAGCCCTTTGTCAGATGAGTAGGTTGCAAAAATTTTCTCCCATTTTGTGGGTTGCCTGTTCACTCTGATGGTAGTTTCTTTTGCTGTGCAGAAGCTCTTTAGTTTAATTAGATCCCATTTGTCAATTTTGTCTTTTGTTGCCATTGCTTTTGTTGTTTCAGACATGAAGTCCTTGCCCATGCCTATGTCCTGAATGGTATTGCCTAGGTTTTCTTCTAGGGTTTTTATGGTTTTAGGTCTAACGTTTAAGTCTTTAATCCATCTTGAATTGATTTTTGTATAAGGTGTAAGGAAGGGATCCAGTTTCAGCTTTCTACATATGGCTAGCCAGTTTTCCCAGCACCATTTATTAAATAGGGAATCCTTTCCCCATTGCTTGTTTTTCTCAGGTTTGTCAAAGATCAGATAGTTGTAGATATGCGGCGTTATTTCTGAGGGCTCTGTTCTGTTCCATTGATCTATATCTCTGTTTTGGTACCAGTACCATGCTGTTTTGGTTACTGTAGCCTTGTAGTATAGTTTGAAGTCAGGTATCATGATGCCTTCAGCTTTGTTCTTTTGGCTTAGGATTGACTTGGCGATGCGGGCTCTCTTTTGGTTCCATATGAACTTTAAAGTAGTTTTTTCCAATTCTGTGAAGAAAGTCATTGGTAGATTTATGGGGATGGCATTGAATCTGTAAATTACCTTGGGCAGTATGGCCATTTTCACGATATTGATTCTTCCTACCCATGAACATGGAATGTTCTTCCATTTGTATCCTCTTTTATTTCATTGAGCAGTGGTTTGTAGTTCTCCTTGAAGAGGTCCTTCACATCCCTTGTAATTTGGATTCCTAGGTATTTTATTCTCTTTGAAGCAGTTGTGAATGTGAGTTCACTCATGATTTGGCTCTCTGTTTGTCTGTTGTTGGTGTATAAGAATGCTTGTGATTTTTGTACATTGATTTTGTATCCTGAGACTTTGCTGAAGTTGCTTATCAGCTTAAGGAGATTTTGGGCTGAGACAGTGGGGTTTTCTAGATATACATTCATGTCATCTGCAAACAGGGACAATTTGACTTCCTCTTTTCCTAATTGAATACCCTTTATTTCCTTCTGCTGCCTGATTGCCTGGCCAGAACTTCCAACACTATGTTGAATAGGAGTGGTGAGAGAGGGCATCCCTGTCTTGTGCCAGTTTTCAAAGGGAATGCTTCCAGTTTTTGCCCATTCAGTATGATATTGGCTGTGGGTTTGTCATAGATAGCTCTTATTATTTTGAAATACGTCCCATCAATACCTAATTTATTGAGAGTTTTTAGCATGAAGGGTTGTTGAATTTTGTACAAAGGCCTTTTCTGCATCTATTGAGATAATCATGTGGTTTTTGTCTTTGGTTCTGTTTATATGCTGGATTACATTTATTGATTTGCGTATATTGAACCAGCCTTGCATCCCAGGGATGAAGCCCACTTGATCATGGTGGATAAGCTTTTTGATGTGCTGCTGGATTCAGTTTGCCAGTATTTTATTGAGGATTTTTGCATCAATGTTCATCCGGGATATTGGTCTAAAATTCTCTTTTTTTGTTGTATCTCTGCCCGGCTTTGGTATCAGAATGATGCTGGCCTCATAAAATGAGTTTGGGAGGATTCCCTCTTTTTCTATTGATTGGAATAGTTTCAGAAGGAATGGTACCAGTTCCTCCTTGTACCTCTGGTAGAATTCGGCTGTGAATCCATCTGGTCCTGGACTCTTTTTTGTTGGTAAGCTGTTGATTATTGCCACAATTTCAGATCCTGTTATTGGTCTATTCAGAGACTCAGCTTCTTCCTGGTTTAGTCTTGGGAGAGTGTATGTGTCGAGGAATTTATCCATTTCTTCTAGATTTTCTAGTTTATTTGCGTAGAGGTGTTTGTAGTATTCTCTGATGGTAATTTATATTTCTGTGGGATCGCTGGTGATATCCCCTTTATCATTTTTTATTGCATCTATTTGATTCTTCTCTCTTTTTTTCTTTATTATTCTTGCTAGCGGTCTATCTATTTTGTTGATCCTTTCAAAAAACCAGCTCCTGGATTCATTAATTTTTTGAAGGGTTTTTTGTGTCTCTATTTCCTTCAGTTCAGCTCTGATGTTAGTTATTTCTTGCCTTCCGCTAGCTTTTGAATGTGTTTGGTCTTGCTTTTCTAGTTCTTTTAATTGTGATGTTAGGGTGTCAATTTTGGATCTTTCCTGCTTTCTCTTGTGGGCATTTAGTGCTATAAATTTCCCTCTACACACTGCTTTGAATGCGTCCCAGAGATTCTGGTATGTTATGTCTTTGTTCTCTTTGGTTTCAAAGAACATCTTTATTTCTGCCTTCATTTCGTTATGTACCCAGTAGTCATTCAGGAGCAGGTTGTTCAGTTTCCATGTAGTTGAGCGGTTTTGAGTGAGTTTCTTAATCCTGAGTTCTAGTTTGATTGCACTGTGGTCTGAGAGATAGTTTTTTATAATTTCTGTTCTTTTACATTTGCTGAGGAGAGCTTTACTTCCAAATATGTGGCCAATTTTGGAATAGGTGTGGTGTGGTGCTGAAAAAAATGTATATTCTGTATGTCTTCTTTTGACAAGTGTCTGTTTATGTTCTTTGCCCACTTTTTAATGGGATCATTTGTTTTTTTGCTTGTTGACTTAAGTTTCTTATGGTTTCTGGATGTTAAACCTGGATGTTAGAACCCTGTTAGATGCATAATTTGTGAAAATTTTCTCCCATTCTGTATGTTGACTGTTTACTCTTTGATAGTTTCTCTTGCTATGCAGAAGCTCTTTAGCTATGCAGAAGCTCTTTAGTTTAATTAGATCCCATTTGTCAATTTTTGTTGCAGTTGCTTTTGATGTCTTCATCATAAAATCTTTGCCAGTTCCTGTGTCCAGAATGGTATTGCCTAGGTGGTCTTCAAAGGTTTTTTTAGCTTTTGTTTTCATATTTAAGTCTTTAATCCATCTTGAGTATGGTGTAAGGAAGGGGTCCAGTTTCAATCTTCCGCATTTGGCTAGCCAGTTATCTCAGCACCATTTATTGAATAGGGGGTCTTTTCCCCATTTCATGTTTTTGTCAGCTTTGTTAAGGATCAGGTAATTGTAGGTGTGCAACTTTATTTCTGGGTTCTCTATTCTGTTCCATTGGTCTCTGTGTCTGTTTTTGTACCAATAGTACCATGCTATTTTGGTTACTGTAGCCCTGTAGTATAGTTTGAGGTTGGATAATGTGATGCATCTGGCTTTGTTCATTTTGCTTAGGATTGCTTTGTCTAATTGGGCTTTTTGGTTTCATATAAATTTTGGAATAGTTTTTGTAATTCTGTCAAAAGTGACGTTGGTAGTTTGGTAAGAATAGCATCGAATTTGTAGATTCCTTCATGGAGTAGGGCCATCTTAATGATATTGATTCTTCCAATCCATGAGCATGGCATATTTTTCAATTGGTTTGTGTCATCTATGATTTCTCTTATCAGTGTTTTGTACTTCTTCTTGTAAAGATCTTTCACCTTCTTGTTTAGATGTACTCCTGGGTATTTTGTTATTTTTTGTGGCTATTGTAAATGGGATTGTGTTTGATTTGCTTTGCAGCTTGAACATTATTGGGATTTAGAAATGCTGCTGATTTTTGTGCATTGATTTTTGTATCCTGAAACTTTACTGAAATTATGTATTCCCTAGGAGACTTTTGGTGGAATTTGTAGGGTTTTCTATGTATAGAATCATATCATCAGTGACAAGGGGTAACGTGACTTCTTTTCCTATTTGTATGTCATTTATTTTTTTCTCTTGACTGATTGCTCTGGCTAGGACTTCTAGTACTATGTTGAATAGGAGTGGTAAGAGTGGGCATGGCTTCTAATTAAACTAAAGAGGTTCTGCACAGCAGAAGAAACTAGCATCAGAGTGAACAGTCAACCTACAGAATGAAAGAAAATGTTTGCAATCTACCATTCTGACAAAGGTATCCAGAATCTACAAGGAACTTAAACAAATTTACAAGTAAAAAACAACCCCATCAAAAAGTAGGCGAAGGACATGAACAGACACTTCTCCTTCAAAAGTGGACATTTATGATGCCAACAAACATAGGAAAAAAGCTTATCAGTAGTCATTAGAGAAATGCATATCAAAACCACTATGAGATACCATCTCACGCCAGTTAGAACAGCGATTATTAAAAAGTTAGGAAACAACAGATGCTGGCAGTGCTATGGAGAAATAGAAACACTTTTACACTGATGGTGGGAGTGCAAATTAGTTCAACCATTGTGGAAGACAGTGTGGCGATTCCTCAGGGATCTAGAACCAGGAACACCATTTGACCCAGCAATACCGTTACTGGGTATATACTCAAAGGGTTATAAATCATTCTACTATAAAGACACATGCACACGTATGTTTATTGCAGCACTATGTACAATAGCAAAGACTTGGAACCAACCCAAATGCCCATCAGTGATAGACTGGATAAAGAAAATGTGGTAGATATACACCATGGAATACTATGCAGCCATAAAAGAGAATGAGTTCACATCCTTTGCAGGGACATGGATGAAGATGGAAGCTATCATCCTCAGCAAACTAACACAGGAACAGAAAACCAGCACTGCATGTTCTCACTCATAAGTGGGAGTTGAACAATGAGAACACATGAACACAGGAAGGGGAGCATCATACACTGATGCCTGTTGTGGGGTAGTGGGGAAGGGGAGGGAGAGCATTACGACAAATACCTAATGCATATTTCGGGGTTAACACCTAGTTGATGGGTTGATGAGTGCAGCAAACATCATGGCACATGTATACCCATGCAACAAACCTTCACGATCTGCACATGTATCTGAGAACTTAAAAAAAATAAAATAAAGAAAAGAAAGATTAGGTATCTCTGTATTTTTCCAGTTCTTAAAGGGAATGCTTCCAGCTTTTGCCAGTATGATCAGTATGATGTTGGCTGTGGGTTTGTCGTAGATGGCTCGTAGTATTTTGGGGTGTGTTCCGTCAATACCTAGTTTGTCGAGAGTTTTTATCATGAAGGGTTGTTAGATTTTATCAAAAGCTTCTCTGTGTCTATTGAGATGATCATATGGTTTTGTTTTTAATTCTATTTTATAATTGAGTTTTAAAATCTAATTTATCTAAAGGTTTATCAATTTTTTTAATTTTATTATTATTATACTTTAAGTTTTAGGGTACATGTGCACAACGTGCAGGTTTGTTACATATGTATACATGTGCCATGTTGGTGTGCTGCACCCATTAAGTCGTCATTTAGCATTAGGTATATCTCCTAATGCTATCCCTCCCCCCTCCCCCCACCCCACAACAGTCCCCGGAGTGTGATGTTCCCCTTCCTGTGTCCATGTGATCTCATTGTTCAATTCCCACCAGTGAGTGAGAACATGTGGTGTTTGGCTTTTTGTCCTTGCGATAGTTTGCTGAGATTGATGGTTTCCACTTTCATCCATGTCCCTACAAAGGACATGAACTCATCATTTTTTATGGCTGCATAGTATTCCATGGTGTATATGTGCCACATTTTCTTAATCCAGTCTGTCTTTGTTGGGCATTTGGATTGGTTCCAAGTCTTTGCTATTGTGAATAGTACCACAATAAACATATGTGTGCATGTGTCTTTATAGCAGCATGATTTATAATCCTTTGGGTGTATACCCAGTAATGGGATGGCTGGGTCAAATGGTATTTCTAGTTCTAGATCCCTGAGGAATTGCCACACTGACTTCCACAATGGTTGAACTAGTTTACAGTTCCACCAACAGTGTAAAAGTGTTCCTATTTCTGCACATCCTCTCCAGCCCCTGTTGTTTCCTGACTTTTTAATGATCACCATTCTAACTGGTGTGAGATGGTATCTCATTGTGGTTTTGATTTGCATTTCTCTGATGGCCAGTGATGATGAGCATTTTTTCATGTGTTTCTTGGCTGCATAAATGTCTTCTTTTGAGAAGTGTCTGTTCATATCCTTCGCCCACTTTTTGATGGGGTTGTTTGTTTTTTTCTTGTAAATTTGTTTGAGTTCATTGTAGATTCTGGATATTAGCCCTTTGTCAGATGAGTAGGTTGCGAAAATTTTCTCCCATTTTGTAGGTTGCCTGTTCACTCTGATGATAGTTTCTTTTGCTGTGCAGAAGCTCTTTAGTTTAATTAGATCCCATTTGTCAATTTTGGCTTTCGTTGCCATTGCTTTTGTTGTTTCAGACATGAAGTCCTGGCCCATGCCTATGTCCTGAATGGTATTGCCTAGGTTTTCTTCTAGGGTTTTTATGGTTTTAGGTCTAACATTTAAGTCTTTAATCCATCTTGAATTGATTTTTGTATAAGGTGTAAGGAAGGGATCCAGTTTCAGCTTTCTACATATGGCTAGCCAGTTTTCCCAGCACCACTTATTAAATAGGGAATCCTTTCCCCATTGCTTGTTTTTCTCAGGTTTGTCAAAGATCAGATAGTTGTAGATATGCAGCGTTATTTCTGAGGGCTCTGTTCTGTTCCATTGATCTATATCTCTGTTTTGGTACCAGTACCATGCTGTTTTGGTTACTGTAGCCTTGTAGTATAGTTTGAAGTCAGGTATCATGATGCCTTCAGCTTTGTTCTTTTGGCTTAGGATTGACTGGGTGATGTGGGCTCTCTTTTGGTTCCATATGAACTTTAAAGTAGTTTTTTCCAATTCTGTGAAGAAAGTCATTGGTAGCTTGATGGGGATGACATTGAATCTATAAATTACCTTGGGCAGTATGGCCATTTTCACGATATTGATTCTTCCTACCCATGAACATGGAATGTTCTTCCATTTGTATCCTCTTTTATTTCATTGAGCAGTGGTTTGTAGTTCTCCTTGAAGAGGTCCTTCACATCCCTTGTAATTTGGATTCCTAGGTATTTTATTCTCTTTGAAGCGATTGTGAATGTGAGTTCACTCATGATTTGGCTCTCTGTTTGTCTGTTGTTGGTGTATAAGAATGCTTGTGATTTTTGTACATTGATTTTGTATCCTGAGACTTTGCCGAAGTTGCTCATCAGCTTAAGGAGATTTGGGGCTGAGACAATGGGGTTTTCTAGATATAGAATCATGTCATCTGCAAACAGGGACAATTTGACTTCCTCTTTTCCTAATTGAATACCCTTTATTTCCTTCTCCTGCCTAATTGCCCTGGCCAGAACTTCCAACACTATGTTGAATAGGAGTGGTGAGAGAGGGCATCCCTGTCTTGTGCCAGTTTTCAAAGGGAATGCTTCCAGTTTTTGCCCATTCAGTATGATATTGGCTGTGGGTTTGTCATAGATAGCTCTTATTATTTTGAAATACGTCCCATCAATACCTAATTTATTGAGAGTTTTTAGCATGAAGCATTGTTGAATTTTGTCAAAGGCCTTTTCTGCATCTTTTGAGATAATCATGTGGTTTTTGTCTTTAGTTCTGTTTATATGCTGGATTACACTTATTGATTTGCGTATGTTGTAACAGCCTTGCATTCTAGGGATGAAGCCCACTTGATCATGGTGGATAAGCTTTTTGATGTGCTGCTGGATTCGGTTTGCCAGTATTTTATTGAGGATTTTTACATCAATGTTCATCAAGGATATTGGTCTAAAATTCTCTTTTTTTTGTTGTGTCTCTGCCAGGCTTTGGTTTGAGGATGATGCTGGCCTCATAAAATGAGGGAGGATTCCCTCTTTTTCTATTGATTGGAATAGTTTCAGATGGAGTGGTACCAGCTCCTCTTTGTACCTCTGGTAGAATTCGGCTGTGAATCCATCTGGTCCTGGACTCTTTTTGGTTGGTAAGCTATTGATTATTGCCACAATTTCAGAGCCTGTTATTGGTCTATTCAGAGACTCAACTTCTTCCTGGTTTAGTCTTGGGAGAGTGTATGTGTCGAGGAATTTATCCATTTCTTCTACATTTTCTGGTTTATTTGCTTAGAGGTGTTTGTAGTATTCTTTCATGGTTGTTTGTATTTCTGTGGGATCGGTGGTGATATCCCCTTTATCATTTTTTATTGCATCTATTTGATTCTTCTCTCTTTTTTTCTTTATTATTCTTGCTAGCGGTCTATCAATTTTGTTGATCTTTTCAAAAAACCAGCTCCTGGATTCATTAATTTTTTGAAGGGCTTTTTGTGTTTCTATTTCCTTCAGTTCTGCTCTGATGTTAGTTATTTCTTGCCTTCTGCTAGCTTTTGAATGTGTTTGCTCTTGCTTCTCTAGTTCTTTTAATTGTGAAGTTAGGGTGTCAGTTTTGGATCTTCCTGCTTTCTCTTTTGGGCATTTAGTGCTATAAATTTCCTTCTACACACTGCTTTGAATGTGTTCCAGAGATTCTGGTATGCTGTGTCTTTGTTATCATTGGTTTCAAATAACATCTTTATTTCTGCCTTCATTTCATTATGTACCCAGTAGTCACTCAGGACCAGGTTGTTGAGTTTCCATGTAGTTGAGTGGTTTTGAGTGAGTTTCTTAATCCTGAGTTCTAGTTTGATTGCACTGTGGTCTGAGAGACAGTTTGTTATAATTTCTGTTCTTTTACATTTGCTGAGGAGAGCTTTGCTTCCCAGTATGTGGTCAATTTTGGAATAGGTGTGGTGTGCTGCTGAATAAAATGTATATTCTGTTGATTTGGGGTGGAGAGTTCTGTAGATGTCTATTAAGTCTGCTTGGTGCAGAGCTGAGTTCAATTCCTGGGTATCCTTGTTAACTTTCTGTCTCGTTGATCTGTTTAGTGTTGACGGTGGGATGTTATAGTCTCCCATTATTATTGTGTGGGAGTCTAAGTCTCTTTGTAGGTTACTCAGGACTTGCTTTATGAATCTGGGTGCTCCTGTATTGGGTGCATATATATTTAGGATAGTGAGCTCTTGTTGTTGAATTGATCCCTTTACCATTATGTAATGGCCTTCTTTGTCTCTTTTGATCTTTGTTGGTTTGAAGTCTGTTTTATCAGAGACTAGGATTGCAACCCCTGCCTTTTTTTGTTTTCCATTTGCTTGGTAGATCTTTCTCCATCCCTTTATTTTGAGCCTATGTGTGTCTCTGCACATGAGATGGGTTTCCTGAATACAGCACACTGATGGGTCTTGACTCTTTATCCAATTTGCCAGTCTGTGTCTTTTAATTGGAGCATGTTGCCCATTTACATTTAAAGTTAATGTTGTTATGTGTGAATTTGGGCCTGTCATTATGATGTTAGCTGGTTATTTTGCTCGTTAGTTGATGCAGTTTCTTCCTATCCTTGATGGTCTTTACATTTTGGCATGTTTTTGCAGTGGCTGGTACCGGTTGTTCCTTTCCATGTTTAGTGCTTCCTTCAGGAGCTCTTTTAGGGCAGGCCTGGTGGTGACAAAATCTCTCAGCATTTGTTTGTCTGTAAAGTATTTTATTTCTCCTTCACTTATGAAGGTTAGGTTGGCTGGATATGAAATTCTGGGTTGAAAATTATTTTTTTTAAGAATGTTGAATATAGGCCCCCACTCTCTTCTGGCTTGTAGAGTTTCTGCCGAGAGCTCCGCTGTTCGTCTGATGGGCTTCCCTTTGTGGGTAACCCGACCTTTCTCTCTGGCTGCCCTTAACATTTTTTCCTTCATTTCAACTTTGGTGAATCTGACAATTATGTGTCTTGGAGTTGCTCTTCTCGAGGAGTATCTTTGTGGCGTTCTCTGTGTTTCCTGAATCTGAATGTTGGCCAAACTTGCTAGATTGGGGAAGTTCTCCTGGATAATATCCTGCAGAGTGTTTTCCAACTTGGTTCCATTCTCCCCGACACTTTCAGGTACACCAATCAGACGTAGATTTGGTCTTTTCACATAGTCCCATATTTCTTGGAGGCTTTGTTCGTTTCTTTTTATTCTTTTTTCTCTAAACTTCTCTTCTCACTTCATTTCATTCATTTCATCTTCCATCACTGATACCCTTTCTTCCAGTTGATCGCATCGGCTAATGAGGCTTCTGCAGTCCACGTAGCTCTTGTGCCTTGGTTTTCAGCTCCATCAGGTTCTTTAAGGACTTCTCTGCATTAGTTGTTCTAGTTATCCATTCGTCTAATTTTTTTTTCAAACTTTTAACTTCTTTCCCATTGGTTTGAATTTCCTCTTGTAGCTTGGAGTAGTTTGACTGTTTGAAGCCTTCTTCTCTCAACTTGTCAAAGTCATTCTCCATCCAGCTTTGTTCCGTTGCTGGTGAGGAGCTCTGTCCTTTGGAGGAGGAGAGGTGCTCTGGTTTTTAGAGTTTCCAGTTTTTCTTCTCTGTTTTTTCCCCATCTTTGTGGTTTTATCTACTTTTGGTCTTTGATGGTGGTGACTTACAGATGGGTTTTTAGTGTGGATGTGCTTTTTGTTTGTTAGTTTTCCTTCTATCAGACAGGACCCTCAGCTGCAGGTCTGTTGGAGTTTGCTAGAGGTCCACTCCAGACCCTGTTTGCCTGGGTATCAGCAGCGGTGGCTTTAGAATAGCGGATATTGGTGACCCGCAAATGCTGCTGCCTGATCGTTCCTCTGGAAGTTTTGTCTCAGAGGAGTACCTGGCCATGTGAGGTGTCTGTCAGTCTGCCCCTACTGGGGGGTGCCTCCCAGTTAGGCTGCTCGGGGGTCAGGGACCCTCTTGAGGAGGCAGTCTGCCCGTTCTCAGATCTCTAGCCGCGTGCTGCGAGAACCACTACTCTCTTCAAAGCTGTCAGACAGGGACATTTATGTCTGCAGAGGTTACTGCTGTCTTTTTGTTTGTCTGTGCCCTGCCCCCAGAGGTGGAGCCTACAGAGGCAGGCAGGCCTCCTTGAGCTGTGGTTGGGCTCCACCCAGTTCCAGCTTCAGGGCTGCTTTGTTTACCTAATCAAGCCTGGGCAATGGCAGGCACTCCTCCCCCAGCCTCGCTGCCACCTTGCAGTTTGGTCTCAGACTGCTGTGCTAGCAATCAGCGAGACTCTGTGGGCGTAGGACCCTCTGAGCCAGGTGCGGGTTATAATCTGGTGTGCCGTTTTTTAATCCCGTCAGAAAAGTGCAGTATTAGGGTGGGAGTGACCCGATTTTCCAGGTGCTGTCTGTCACCCCTTTCTTTGACTAGGAAAGGGAACTCCCTGACCCCTTGTGCTTCCCGAGTTAGGCCATGCCTCGCCCTGCTCTGGCTAGCGCACGGTGCGCTGCACCCACTGTCCTGCACCCACTGCCTGGCACTCCCTAGTGAGATGAACCCGGTACCTCAGATGGAAATGCAGAAATCACCTGTCTTCTGCATCGCTCATGCTGGGAACTGTAGACCGGAGCTGTTCCTATTCGGCCATGTTGGCTCCATCTGTATCAATTTTTAAATATCTCTTCCAAATCCAACTCTTATTTAAAATTTTTTTTCTATTGTTTTGTTATTTAATTAACCACTACTCTAATCTTTCTTATTTCCTTTCTTCTGCTAACTTTTGGTTCAATTTGTTCTTCTTCTAATTGTTTCCAATGTGTAAATTTAGGTTGTTGAGATTTTTCTTCCTTTTTAATGTACTACATACTTAACAGCTATAAACTTGCCTCTTACCATTCCTTTTTCTGCATCCCAGAAGTTTTGGTTTTGGTATGTTTTCTAATTTTTATTTGTCTCAAGGTATTTTCTAATTTCTTTCTTTCATGATCTCTTGTTTGGTCAATTGGTTGTTTAAGAATGTTTTGCTTAATTTCCATGTGGATGAAAAATTTCCAGTTTTCCTTCTGTAATTGATTTCTGGTTTTATTACATTGTGATCAGAAAAAATACTTTATATAATTTTAGTATTTTAAAAATTGTTGAGCCTTGTTTTATGGTCTGTCATGGAGAATGTTTCATGTGCCATTAAGATGAATGTATATTCTGTTGTTGTTGAGTGGAATATTCTGTATTATTCTTTTAGTTCCATTTGTTCTGTAGTGTTGTTCTACTCCTCTATTTCATTATTTTGGTTCTAGACCACCACAATAAAGGGAATATTGTAATAAAGTGAGTTACACAAGTGTTTTTGGTTTTTGACTTCATATAATTATATTGTACATTTGTTTTAAGATTTATTTCTGGTTATTTTATGTTTCTTGTTGGTATTGTAAATGTTTAGTTTTATAGAAAATCATCTGAGTTTTGCACAGTCATCTTTTATAATCTTGCTCAACTCTAGCTCTAAGTGCTTACACTTTGTTTTTGTTTTTTTGGTGGAAGATCATATTGGCTGCTAATAAGAATGGTTTACTCTTTCTGTTAATATTTATATATTTAATGTCTGTTCTTTTTTCCCTTCTCTTAGTATATTACCTAAAATCCCCAGGACAATTTTAATATAAAACCAGTTTGTTCTTGATTTTTTAATGAACATTTCACCATTAATTATGATATTTGCTGATTTTTGGCATTCATATTACTAAAGTAAGAAAATTCTTCTGTATTCCTATTTTGTTGTTAGTTTTTGTTTTTAAATCGTAAGGTGTTGGATTGTTTTGGATGATTTTTCTGACTCTATTGGCATCTTCATATTTTTTTCCTTTAATCTCTTAATGTGGTAAATTATATTAACAGATTTTCTAATGTTAAGGCATCCTTATATTTCTGGAACCAAATCATCTCAATAAATTACCCAAATCTTTCTTCAATACTAGTATAGCTTATTTTGGATTTTTGCATCTATATGCCTAAGTGATATTGCCCTGAAATGTTCCTTTTTATGTCCTTCCCTTTCTAACGTGGATAACAGGTCATTTCATAAAATGAGTTGAGAACATCCTTTTAAAATTCTGTGTAATGTTTCTCACAAGATGGGGGTTATTCATTTATTGTAATGTTTATAGACCTTACCTTTAAACCTTTAGGACCAGATAAGGTGTTTTTTTGAGTCAGCTTCATATAATTGATTAAATGTGTTGATATTTGTAACATTTTAAATTATCCTTTTGAAATTTTCTATTTTTTCTTTTTTTGAATTTTTAAATTTAGAATGTGTAATATAGTCGCATGGCTCAAAACTGAACAAGATATAGTGGGAAACAATGAAAAGTTTTACCTTAATTTTGTATTAATATCAAGGGCATTTCCTTCAGAGAGGAGTTCTTTTTTTTTTTTTTTTTTTTTGAGACAGAGTCTTGCTCTGTCGCCCAGGCTGGAGTGCAGTGGCTCAATCTTGGCTCACTGCAATCTCAGCCTTCCGGGTTCACACCATTCTCCTGCCTCAGCCTCCGGAGTAGCTGGGACTACAGGCACCCGCCACCACGCCCGGCTAATTTTTTGTGTTTTTAGTAGAGATGGGGTTTCACCATGTTAGCCTCGATCTCCTGACCTCGTGATCTGCCCACCTCAGCCTCCCAAAGTGCTGGGATTACAGGCGTGAGCCACCGCGCCCAGCACTATTTTTGTTTTTTACCTTGGGAGCATGATTTGTGGGGGCGCACCATAAATCATGCACCAGATTTGCGGTTCACTGACCTTCCAAAAATGGAAACCCAGGCTGGAATTCTGTGTGAGGGCTAGCTTTAGGACCACCTGTACTAAGGGGTGCATTTTCCTCCTTCGTTTTCTTTCTTTCTTTGCTTAGTATTACAAATGAAGTTCTGTTACTTATTCTGGATTCCATTCTAGTAATTTAGGTTTTTCATGAAAATTGTTCTAGATTTGTATACTTACTGGAAAACTTGTTCTAGTATTTTCTAATGATTAAAATACATATATTATATCCACCAGAAGCTGACATTTGGATTTCTGTTTTCAGCCTATCTTTCTTGTAGTCTGCTTTATCATGATGAATGGATCCACCATTCACCTCTTTGCTCCCAGGCCATATCCCTACGAGAGATCTTTAATTCCTGTTTTTATCTTGCAACTCCACAGACACTTATCAACAGGTCCTGTCATTTTTACCTTCAGAATATATTTTAAATTTGACTCTTCATCACCTCTGTTATTACTTATCAAGCCACCATCAGCTTTGGCTGGATTATTTTCAATAATTTTTGATTTGGTTCCTCTATGTCTACTCTTCACGTAAAATAGTAGTTTTTTCATTTTAGCTGCCTGGTTGTTCCATTTTTGCTTCATAATATTTGTCTATTTTAGTATATTCTGTATATTTATAGTCCTTTTGAATTGGTTCCCATATTTGCATTTTGCTAGGATAGTGTCCCCTCCCTCCCTCCCTTCCTTCCTTTTTTCCTTCCTTCCTTCCTCTCTCTTTCCTTTCTGTCCTTTCTTTCCTTCCTTTCTTTCCCTCCCTCCCTCCCTCCCTTCCTTCCTTTCTTTCCTTTGGTGCGATTTCAGCTCACTGCAACCTCCGCCTCCTGGGTTCAAGCGATTCTTTTGCCTCAGCCTCCTGAATAGCTGGGACTACAGGTGCGTGCCACCATGCCCAACTAATTTTTGCATTTTTAGTAGAGGCGGGGTTTCACCACGTTGGCTAGGATAGTCTCGATCAGTTGACCTCGTGATCTGCCCGCCTCAGCCTCCTAAAGTGCTGGGATTACAGGCGTGAGTCACTGCGCCTGGCCAGATAATGTTTATTTCTGATTGTTCACTTCATTGACTCTGTTTTTGAAGGTTAGATTTTGAAGGGTGTGTCTTGATGGGAATGTTTTACCATCCTCTATTTCTACCCTGGTGTTCGTTTATCGCTTTTAAGCTATTTTGAGGTTCCTGGTACTTTTTGGTACCTCAGTCTGGAGCTAGATCTTCTTTCCAGCCTGAGGCATCTTGTCCCTCCCTGATATTTGGCAGAAATCAGATTGAATCTTGAGATGAGCAGCTTTACCCAGATCCTATCTGTGGTGTGTTAAAAAATTTCTTCTGTGTCTCCAGACCATAGTCATAATCTGTTTTTGGTTTCTTTTTTAAGAGTATGAGAGCCCTTCTGTAGTCCCCAGTTTCATTTTCTGAGTTTGGATTCTTTCCCCTGCTAAGCATAAAAATACATTTACTCCTAACTGTCAGTAGTTGAACATCTGCCACCTCTGTATATGTTGGGCACAAAGATAGAGTAAGTTTTTAAAAAGGCTTGCTTTCCCTCCCTCCCTCCTTCTGCCCTTATTTTCTCCCCTCTGTCTTCCTCTCCTTCCTCCATCTAGTTGTTTATAAACCTTTGTTATTTATCTATCATTGTCTTTTCTTTTTTTACAGATAATTAGGAATTTCTAGTGCTTTATCTAAAACTTGGTGTTTATGTTTGGAAATAATGAATGTATGGTGTTTCTGTTGGCATACTTTATTTAGATATATATTTAGTTCTTTGCAAAAGTAATTAAAATTAATTTTATAATATATTTAAAACACCTAATTTTAAAATCCTTTCACAATGAAAAATATTTAGAGAATGATCAGGAGGAAAAGATCAGCTTTCAAGAACTTTAGGTAAATTTCACCACAGTCAAGAGAATTGAACACGATCTGAGTCTCAAACTCTGAAAAACTTTTTTGATGTCTTTGAAGCACTGTCCTTTCTTCTTGAAATGTATCTGTGTATTTGCACTTCAAACAGAGAAAACAGGGAAATAAGTAAATGTCTATAATTTGTTGTGATTAATGTTGAAGTAAATGAGTTCATTTTTGTTCAGCTAATGTATTACTTTATTGTACAATAATTTAATAACTACATTTTTTATACATATCTTCTAGTTTATTTGCTTCAGATTCTTAACTTTTACACCAAGAGGCCATGATGTTTTTAAGTTTTTGAAAGAAAAAATCTGTGACTGGTATAAAAGTTATTGTTTGTGTTAAAATTATTTTAAGTAAGTGAAAAAATTAAAACTATTTTTCTCTGTCATTTTGTAGAATAATTAAATATAACAGATGTTTTGTTACATGTAGTATTTATTATGTTTGATTATTGATATAAGCACTCTAATTTTAGACCTTTGAAGACAATTTAATTGAAGCAAGGAAAGAAGTTGAAGTATCACAGAGTAAATACAATGCTCTATCATTACAGTTGAGTAATAAACAGACTGAACTTATCCAGAAGGATATGGATATTACCCTGGTCAGGCAAGTATATTCAATTTTTAATTTAACATCATAGAAATGTCATTAGTTATTCAGAATGATACCATTTATACTTATTACTAACACCCTAAAATAATAACTATGTTTTCTGTGGTTATATATGTTTGTGCATTGAGAATCTGGAGTTATTTACACTAACTTGAAAAATTGCCTGGAAGAATGAGTGGGTCTACAGGATTGGACGAGCATGGTCAAGGGGTACCCTAGTTTCAGTTTTTAACAAGGATATTGCAATGCTTTCATTCATTGTTTTCTTCTAACATTTCTAGCCATGTGTTACATGATGCTCATATTGTTACAGTGAACAATAGTAACTGAGAAACAAATTTTGACTTTAATTTTATTATATTCTATATAGTTTGTTTTAAAGCAGTCTTTCTATATCAACATAATTGATTTTGTAATACTATTCATAAAGTTGGATTACTTGAAAAAGGAAGCACGATACTCTTGTATTTCTGTTTTTTAAAGATGTTAAAACTATTAATTTACTTTGTAATTACCTTTTCCAGAAAATAGTATGAGAGAGAATAAATTAAGACAGAACTTTTCCTTGGTTCATAGATCAATATCTATCTATCTATCTATCTATCTATCTATCTATCTATCTATCTATCTATGTATCTTTCTATCTATCCATCCATCCACATGCATGAAAGGACATGCATGCATGTTTGTATTTATTTTGCATGCATGTGTTTATTTATTTTGGTAGCACCAGAGCATGGGATCGAAGATATGCTTCTAGAGGTATATAATAGAGTTTGATTGTATAATTTATTTTAATTTAAAAACTAAGTGATAAATAAATGATGGATACATCACTGCCATTCTGGTACACATTGGGTGGAGTTCTTTGGTAAAACTTGTCTGGGAATTTTCCTTCATGTTAGTGGGCATTGGTAAGGGGGTCAAGTTAGTGCTGTTTATGACGTAGTTTTTATAGTTCCATTAGGCAAAATACAGTTTTGTAAATTTAAATATGCCATTGTGAATTTAGTTTGGATGAAAACTGTTTACCATTACTGAAGCCAATAAAGTTAAAATGAATTAGGACATTAACAGATTCCTTGTATCACATTTTAAAAACTTTCTCATCATAAGGGTGAGGAAAAGTATAAACTTTATAGATGATAGACTGGTTAACATATCAACTCATGTTATAATTATTTTTAAAACAATAACGAAGTCAGAAAAGTAATTCTAAATAGGAATAGAATCTTAGATTTGGATGAAATTTAAAAATTATTATTTATTCTTATCCTCTTCCTAGTAAGATTGCATAGCGTTTAGTCTTTCCTTGAAAACTTAGTTTAAAAGTTTCTGATGCTTTTCAAGACTGCTATTTTCATTTTATATTGTTTAAATTTTTGAACATTGTTTTACATGTACTTAGTTGAAATTTGCCTTTTTATAATTCCCACCCATTTATTGTAGTTTTATTATCTGGAGAATCTCAGAAACCATCTAATCCCTATTCTGTAACATAGCTCAGTGGTCTCAGACATTTATCAATGACAACATTTTTTCACTAATTGATCAACTACTCCTATTTCTTACATAAACTCTCCATGTACATATTTCACAGATGTTATCATGTTTTGGGTTACCTTTCTGACTGTTTTCCATATTGTCAATCTTCTTAAAATATAACATCTGGAACTGCATAAAATATTTCAACAAAGACCTTTACATTTTAGAGTATGATGGTGCTAGGCTATTAGAACAAACATGGTGTTCATTCTAGGATACAGTGCAGTGTTAAGGACATGGGATATAACAACTATGTTTTCTTCTACATTTTGCGTGAGTTTGTATATTTAAATTTAGTGTATTGCAAGAGCTGTAAGTTATTATAAATAAAGCAAGAATATCCTTGCATGCACTTTTTCTTATACAATAGTAAAAGAATAATAGCTAGTGGGCCATGTGTAATTCTAAGAGTTTGATTATAAGGACCTATAGAGGCATATGGCCTATGTGAATTAATGCAGGAACAAAAAACCAAATACTTCATGTTCTCACTTATAAGTGAGAGCTAAACATTGGGTACCCATCGACATAAACGTAGGAGCAGTAGACACTGTGGACTACTAGACGGTGAAGGGAGTGAGGGTGCATGGGTGGAAAAATCTACCTGTTGGATACTATATTTACCACCTGGGTAACAGGATCCATACCCCAAATGTCAGCATCAAGCAATATAGCCAGGTAATAGTACTACACATATACCCCCTGTATCTAACATAAAAGTTGAAATTTTGAAAATAAGGACTCACAGAGGAGAAGAATAATAGCACAGAGTTGGTAGTTTGGAGCAGTGGACTTTCTCTTGAATCCTCATTATAGGGTAGTAGTTGAGATGTCTACAGTGTGTCTCCTAAGTTATCTTGTATGAGGATTACTGTTGGATATACTGTGTGTCTTGTTTCTTTCATCATTATTTCACTGGGAGAGGGTGGTTATGATATACCAGTCCCAGTTTATTGAATCTTTATGTTGTAATCAAGACATATGAAGCCATAATTGTGGAAAAAGTGGTCTAGGCACTTTCTTATTTGGATACACTTTTCCTCACTGATAAATGATGGAGCTACTGTTTCTGTATGGATTTCCTTCTTTGAAGTTCATAGTCATTTATATTTTATTGAATATTTGATCCATGTCACCCATTGTGCTAAAGGATATTTTTGTGAACTCTACCTCAAATGATTTTTGCCTAGGTTACAGTATAAATAAGTATATACAGTCATTCCTTGGTATCTGTGGGGGATTGGTTTCAGGCCTCAATATGGATACTAAAATCTACAGATGCTCAAGCCCTTGATATAAAATGGCAGTATTTGCACATAACTTATGTGCATCCTCCTGTATACTTCAAATCTTTAGATTGCTTATATTAATAGTATCAAATACAATGTAAATGCTATATAAATAGTTGTTATACTGTATTTTTTGTTTGTATTGTTTTGTTGTTATATTTTTAAAATTACTGTTTTTGATCTATTGTTGGTTGAATTTGTGGAAGCAGAAACCACAGATATGGAAGTCCAACTCTATGCATATATAATGATGTACATGTCTGTAATCTGTATAGAGCATATGAATATATTTACCTAGCCATTGCATTAAAAAGGATAACTAATTAAATTGCCTAACCAAAACTTTTACCTGATGGTAATGATGGAGCTACTGTTTCTGTATGGATTTCCTTCTTTGAAGTTCATAGTCATTTATATTTTATTGAATATTTGATCCCTGTCACCCATTGTGCTAAAGGATATTTTTGTGAACTCTACCTCAAATGATTTTTGCCTAGGTTACAGTATAAATAAGTATATACAGTCATTCCTTGGTATCTGTGGGGGATTGGTTTAGATGGGGTAGATGGGGTAGAACCATTACCTAATGGTTCTACAATTGAGATGAGAATTTTTGTTAGAAATTGAGTCAAGACAGTGCAGTCATAATTTTGGTTCAGAAAATCTTCAGACAGAATCCTGAAATTGGATTAATACATCTGGATTGCTGGTTTTCTCAGATGCTTAGCAGAAGCAAGTGAGTTTTCTTTGGAGAATGATAAAATAATCTGGACTTAAATTATATCTAAAGTTTTACAAAATAGGGTCTAGCACATAGTCAGAAATAACAAGTATGTAGTAAGGAAAGAAGAATAAAAAGATATAAGACCTAGAAATGAAAGCAGAAATCCTAGTTATTTGGTAAAACATGATTAATTCACGTAGAGAACCCAAAATAATTTATATATAGTTTAAACTAATAAGTTTATCATGCTTGGTGGATACATGGTCAGTATATAAAACTTAATTGCATCTTTTATACCAGCGAAACATATTAGGAAATAAGAATTTACAATATTACTGGAGGTATGAAGTGCACATATAATGAAAAATGTGTATTACCTCTATTCAGAGAATTCTACAAATGTTGAGAAAAATAGAAGGTGTAATATATTCAGGGAAATATCAAAGTTCATGGTTTGGAAGACTCACTATCATAAAGATACCAGTTCTCTCTGAATAGATATTAGATTCAGAAAATGCTGACCATCGATTATCAACAACAGGAAACCATTACCACCCTTAGCCAGAAGGGACAAGAATTAGTATCCTGTGACGGAAGCTGCCCAATAAGACCAATAACCTTAGACAGAGGAACACAGGCACTATCAAACTGTGGCTCAGCAGAGAGTGAGCTGGGTAAATAAATATCCGGACCTCTTTCTCCTTTACCCTGGAATCACCAGCTAGTGCCTCCAACTGATGAAATTCAGTCACAGCCAGAGAACAAGGAGCAGTATAACTAGTCTGTAGAGAGGTTGGGCTCTTAGGCTAAGCAGAGTAGAGATGATGAAGACTGGCCCATTCTCAGTTACTACTCTTTTTCAGAACTTTTCTGGCCATTATTCCCTGTTAGTTTTTGCATATGAACTTTAGAGTAAACTTGCTTATTTTTTCTTTGGTATGTTAGTAGCACATAAAATTTACAATAATCTAAGAAGAATTGACATCTTTATGATGTTCAGTCTTCTTGTCCCAGAGTGTGGTGTGTCATTCCATTTGTTTCAGTCTACCTCTGTGTCTTTCCTCAAACAGATTTTGAACATTTCTCATCAAATTTATTCCTAGCTCTTTCATGTTTCTTGTTACTATTTTAAATGTAATTTTTCCTTCCCATATAATTTTCAAATGATTTTTCTTTTACTGCATATAGTTTTACTGTACAGCTTTTTTGGTGGATAAAAATAAGTTGTTTTGTTTTTACTGTGAACTGTGCTATAGTTATTTTGGTATAAATGATAAACGTGAATTATGTAAAAATAAATACATGCAGTACAGAAAAGTACAAAGAAGGTAAAAGAAAAAAACGTTAGACTAAAAATGCATCCCTAGAGAATTAACAGCCATAAAATTCTGTGAGCATTGTTCTACATTTTTCTCAGTCCTGATTTATAAATTGAAGATTGGGTAGACAGATGTTTTTAAATAAAAGGGACTATATTGCACATGTTCTTTTGGTAACTAATAATTTTAGGTTTTTTTTTCATATAATGAAACAATAAGGCTCTCTGATGTGAAATTGAGGAGATTATTACATCTTAGATAATTATTTTTTCTCTATAAGGAACACTATCTTTCTAAAACTAAGAACAAACTGATACGAAAAACCTTGGCGATTCATGTTATTATTTTTTTTTAAACTACATTTCATCTGTAGTTGATTTTGGCACTCTGCTCTGTATACTCTGGAAATAAGCACATAAATTCAACCATTTTGACTCCCCCCAATTTGTATCTTAAGAATTACAGCATTTATCTTCTCTTGTATAACCACAGTGAACACAGATGTTTAGGCATAATTCTATATAGTACTTCAGTGTTCATCACTAAACTTTTTTACTCTTGATTTGTTCATTCCATCCTGTTTGTTTTGATTCATCTCATGAGCCCATTTTTACCAGGGCCTTCCCTATTGCTACCATATGCTTTTCTGCCCCTGTTGGCATCCAATTTAGCCATGTGACTTATTTTGGCCAGTGAAATGAGAGGCTTTGCAAATGTTTTAAAGGAGCCGTTGTTTGATTTGCCTTTGCTTTTCACCTTTTTCCAGGAGAACAGCCTATTTCCACTATAGTCTGATGCTCCAGTTTGGTTCTTAGAACAGAGAAAAGCAAATGTAATGTGAAGAAGCCATAGATCTTTGTTTTTGGAAGGTGTCAGGTTTTTTTTTTTTTCCTGCAGAATTATGTAGAGCAGCTGCTCGAAACCCTCTGTTAGTGTTTCCTGTCAAACCTGGTCTTTAAAGGGATAGTCCTAATTTAATCACATGGCCTACTCAACTCCTGAGACAGCATCACTGCAATGGTTTGAATATTTGTCCCATCCAAAGTTCATGTTGAAATTTAGTCCTCAGTGTGGGACATTGGGCTCTGCCTTCATGAATGAATTAATCCAATTCTCATGAATGAATTAATCCACTCAGGTATTAATGGGTTATTATGGGAATGCGACTGTTGGCCTTATAAGACGAAGAGAGACCTGAGCTAGTATGCTCAGCTTCTTTGCCATGTGATGTCTGGCACTGCCTCAGGACTCTGCATAGAGTCCCCATGAGGAAGAAGGTCCTCAGCAGATGGAACCCTTCAACCTTGGACTTCTGTAAGAATAACTGTAAGAAATAAATTCCTTTTTCTTTATAAATTACCCAGTTTTAGGGATTCTGTTATAAGTAACAAAAATGGACTAAAACAATCACTAGTAACTGAAAGATTATTAGATTTATATTTCAGCAGTAAAATATATTCTACAGAACTTAACATCCTTCATGAGGTGGGAAGAAGTATTGTTGGTTCTCAGTATCTTCTCTTTCAACTAACCTAGATTGTCCTTAATTCCCTTTGATCTGTATCTAGAGGAACTTCTCAAGTTTGAACCTAACAATTTTATGTTCCATAACTTTGATTTTGCTTATAACTACTCTCATTATGGATTTAAAGCTATGATGGCATTTTTTTTTCTTTGTATCAATCCTTTTTTATTATCTTTTTCATTTCATTCATTCAACAACTGTTTTTACATAGCCTAGTAAACAGGGCCTGAGTCACGGATTACATACTGATTACTTGGGAGATTCACTTCCAGTACAGAGTGGGCAAAAGTACAAGAATCTGAGGCAGGGAAGGATAAAAAGTAATTCGAGGTAATGCATTGTTGTTCTGGCCATTGCTTCATGATAAACCGTGAAGACATCAGGTCACTGACTTAGCCACCCAAGAACTGAGAAACTGTGCCCTAGAGCAAGCCATCAGATGGAAGAAGATAATTTATCTCTCTGGTTTCCTTTTGTGTTTTGTCTTCCAGTTTGTTGTTCATACCATCCCCTGTATAGTAGCATTGTTTATCCCAGTCTGGAAATGGTAAATGCAGAAAAAGACTCTAGGCATGCAGCTGGTTATCCTCACGTGATGGAGTCATTTGAACTGTATATATCTGGTAGGCTGATGTAGCAATTAGTAGGCTGAGGCAGAGAGATGGACTCAAAATTCTAGTAGCTAGCTGAGGTTGAATCTCAAAAGATGCATAAGACACATATTTAATAAGAGACAGGAACTGTCCTAGGTGCTCTGTTTATAGCAGTGAACAAAAAAAGTTCCTGCTCTCACAGAGATGTCCTTACATCTTGGCTTTCTATTGGTATTTCACAGCGGCATAATGGCTTATTTTTTGTACTTTTTCTTCACTTTTCTTCTAAGTTCTTATGTTACTCCTACTGAGAGGTATACTCTTCCTCTAAGTATTCACAATTGCATTTCGTTTTTCTTAATTTTATTACCCCCATTCCTTTTAGATGTCCTGTTATTTTATTTTATTTTTTAAAAATTAATTTTGTTTCAAGTTCCAGGATACACGTGCAGGATGTGCAGGTTTGTTATGTAGGTAAATATGTGCCATGGTGGTTTGCAGCACCTATCAATCTATCACCTAGGTATTAAGCCCCACATATATTAGCTATTTATCCTGATGTTCTCCCTCTCCCCGCACACCACCCTCCCCACTGACAGGCCCCAGTGTGTATTGTTCCCCTACCTGTATCCGTGTGTTCTCATTGTTCAGCTCCCACTACGTGCAGTGTTTGGTTTTGTGTTCCTGCGTTAGTTTGCTGACGATAATGGCTTCCAGCTCCATCCATGTCCCTGCAAAGGACATCATCTCGTTCCTTTTTATGGCTGCATCATATTCCATGTTGTATATGTACCACATTTTCTTTATCCAGTCTATCTTTGATGGGCATTTGGGTTGATTCAATGTCTTTGCTATTGTGAATAGTGCTGCAATGAACATAACACGTGTATGTATCTTTATAATAGAATGATTTATATTATATTGGGTATATATACCCAGTAATGGGATTGCTGGGTCAAATGGTGTTTCTGGTTCTAGGTCTTTGAGGAATCGCCACACTGTCTTCCACAATGGTTGCACTAATATACATTCCCACCAACAGTGTCAAAGCGTTCCTGTTTCTCCACAGCCTCGCCAGAATCTGTTGTTCCTTGACTTTTTTTTTGTTTGTTTTGAGACGAAGTCTCGCTCTGTTGCCAGGCTGGAGTGCAGTGGAGCGATCTCGGCTCACTGCAACTTATGCCTCCCCAGTTCAAGCAATTCTTCTGCCTCAGCCTCCTGAGTAGCTGGGACTACAGGTGTGTGCCACCATGCCCAGCTAGTTTTTGTATTTTTAGTAGAGATAGGGTTTCACCATGTTGGCCAGGATGGTCTCGATCTGTTGACCTTGTGATCTACCCACCTCAGCCTCCCAAAGTGCTGGGATTACAGAGTGAGACACCGTGCCTGGCTGACTTCTTAATAATATCCATTCTGACTGGTGTGAGATGGTATCTTATTGTGGTTTTGATTTGCATTTCTCTAATGATCAGTGATGTTGAGCTTTTTTTGATATGTTTGTTGGCATCATAAATGTCTTCTTTTGAGAAGTGTCTGTTCGTGTCCTTTGCCCACTTTTTAAATGGGGCTGTTTGTTTTTTTCTTGTAAATTTAAGTTCCTTGTAGATTCTGGATATTAGGCCTTTGTCAGATGGATAGATTGCAAAAATTTTCTCCCATTCTGTAGGTTGCCTGTTCACTTGATGATAGTTTCTTTTGTTGTGCAGAAGCTCTTTAGTTTAATTAGATAGCATTTGTCCATTTTTGCTTTTGTTACAATTGCTTTTGATGTTTTTGTCATGAAATCTTTGCCCGGGCCTATATCCTGAATGGTTTCAGTAGATTTCCTTCTAGGATTTTTGTACTTTTGGGTTTTACATTTAATGAGTCTTTAACCTATCTTGAATTGATTTTTGTATAAGGCATAAGGAAGGGGTCCAGTTTCAGTTTTCTCCTTATGGCTAGCCAGTTTTCCCAGCAGCATTTATTAAATAGAGAATCCTTTCCCCATTGCTTGTTTTTGTCAGGTTTGTCAAAGATCAGATGGTTGTAGATGTGCGGTCTTATTTCTGAGATCTCTGTTCTGTTCTATTGGTTCATGTGTCTGTTTTTGTACCAGTACCGTGTTGTTTTGGTTACTGTTGCCCTGTAGTATCGTTTGAAGTCCGGTAGTGTAATGCCACTGGCTTTGTTCTTTTCGCTTAGGATTGTCTTGGCTATACGGGCTCTTTTTTGGTTCCATATTAATTTTAACGTAGTTTTTTCTAAATCTGTGAAGAATGTTAATGGTAGTTTAATAGGAATAGCATTGAATCTATAAATTACTTTGGGCAGTGTGGCCATTTTCACGATGTTGATTCTTTCTATCCATGAGCATGGAATGTTTTTTCATTTGTTTTTGCCCTCTCTTATTTCTTTGAGCAGTGGTTTGTAGTTCTCCTTGAAGAGGTCCTTCACTCTTTCACTTCTCTTGTTAGCTGTATTCCTAGGCATTTTATTCTTTTCTTAGCATTTGTGAATGGGAAGTTCATTCATGATTGGGCTCTCTGCTTGTCTATTGTTAGTGTATGGGAATGCTTGTGATTTTTGCAGTTGATTTTGTATACTGAGACTTTGCTGAAGTTGCATATCAGCTTGGAAAGCTTTTGGGCTGTGATGATGGGGTTTTCTAGATATAGAATCATGTCATCTGCAAACAGAGACAGTTTGACTTCCTCTCTTCCCATTTGAATACCCTTTGTTTCTTTGTCTTCCCTGACTGCCCTGGCCAGAACTTCCAATACTATGTTGAATAGAAGTGGTGAGAGACAGCATCCTTGTCTTGTGCCAGTTTTCAAGGGAAATGTTTCCAGCTTTTGCCCATTCAGTATGATATTGGCTGTGGGTTTGTCATAAATGGCTCATTATTTTGAGGTATGTTCCATCAATACCTAGTTTATTGAGCATTTTTAACATGAAGCGATGTTGAATTTTATCGAAGGCCTTTTCTGTGTCTATTGAGATGATCATGTGTTTGCTGTCTTTAGTTCTGTTTATGTGATGAATTAGATTTATTGATTTGTGTATGTTGAACCAGCCTTGCATCTTGGGAATGAAGCTGACTTGATCGTGGTGGATAAGCTTTTTGAATGTGCTGCTGTATTCAGTTTGCCAGTATTTTATTGAGGATTTTGTTTGTTTGTTTGTTTTTTTGAGACAGAGTTTCGCTCATGTTTCCCAGGCTGGAGTACAATGGCGTGACCTTGGCTCACTGCAACCTCCACCTCACAGATTCAAGCACTTCTCCTGCCTCAGCCTCCTGAGTAGCTGGGATTACAGGCGCTTCCAGTATGCCTCGCTAATTTTTGAGGATTTTGCATCAATGTTCAGGGATATTGGCCTGAAGTTTTTATTTTCTCAGGGTTTGGTATCAGGATGATACTGACCTCATAAAATGAATTAGGGAGCAGACCCTCCTTTTCAATTGTTTGGAATAGTTTCGGAAGGAATGGTACTAGCTCCTGTTTGCACCTCTGATAGAATTCAGCTGTAAATCCACTGGTCATGGGCTTTTTTTTGGCTGGTAGGGTATTTGTTACTGCCCCTTCAGAACTTGTTATTGGTCTATTCAGGGATTTAGCTTCTCCCTGGCTCAGTTTTGGGAGGGTGTATGTGTCTAGGAATTTATCTGTTTCTTCTAGATTTTCTAGTTTATTTGCATAGAGGTATTTATAGTATTATCTGAAGGTTGTTTGTATTTCTGTGGGGTCAGTGGTGACATCCCCTTTATCTTTTTTTGTTGTATCTATTTGATTCTTTTCTCTTTTCTTATTAGTCTAGCTTGCAGTCTATCCATTTTATTAATTTTTTCAACAAACGGCTTCTGGATTCATTGATTTTTTTGGAAGGGTTTTTCATGTCTGTATCTCCTTCAATTCTGCTCTGATCTTGGTTATTTCTTTTCTTCTGCTAGTGTTGTGGTTTATTTGCTCTTGGTTCTCTATTTCTTTTAGTTTTGATGTTAGGGTGTCAACTTGAGATTTTTCTAGCTTTTTGATGTGGGCAGTTAGTGCTATAAATTTCCCTCTTAACACTGCTTTAGCTGGATCCCAGAGACTCTGTGTGTTGTCTCTTTGTTATCATTGGTTTCAAAGAACTTCTTGATTTCTGCCTTAATTTTTTTTTTTTTTAATTATACTTTAAGTTTTAGGGTACATGTGCACATTGTGCAGGTTAGTTACATATGTATACATGTGCCATGCTGGTGCGCTGCACCCACTAACTCGTCATCTAGCATTAGGTGTATCTCCCAATGCTATCCCTCCCCCCTCCCCCCACCCCACCACAGTCCCCAGAGTGTGATATTCCCCTTCCTGTGTCCATGTGATCTCATTGTTCAATTCCCACCTATGAGTGAGTATATGCCGTGTTTGGTTTTTTGTTCTTGTGATAGTTTACTGAGAATGATGATTTCCAATTTCATCCATGTCCCTACAAAGGACACGAACTCATCATTTTTTATGGCTGCATAGTATTCCATGGTGTATATGTGCCACATTTTCTTAATCCAGTCTATCATTGTTGGACATTTGGGTTGGTTCCAAGTCTTTGCTGTTGTGAATAATGCCACAATAAACATACGTGTGCATGTGTCTTTATAGCAGCATGATTTATAGTTCTTTGGGTATATACCAAGTAATGGGATGGCTGGGTCAAATGGTATTTCTAGTTCTAGATCCCTGAGGAATCGCCACACTGACTTCCACAATGGTTGAACTAGTTTACAGTCCCACCAACAGTGTAAAAGTGTTCCTATTTCTCCACATCCTCTCCAGCACCTGTTGTTTCCTGACTTTTTAATGATTGCCATTCTAACTGGTGTGAGATGGTATCTCATTGTGGTTTTGATTTGCATTTCTCTGATGGCCAGTGATGATGAGCATTTTTTCATGTGTTTCTTGGCTGCATAAATGTCTTCTTTTGAGAAGTGTCTGTTCATGTCCTTCGCCCACTTTTTGATGGGGTTGTTTGTTTTTTTCTTGTAAATTTGTTTGAGTTCATTGTAGATTCTGGATATTAGCCCTTTGTCAGATGAGTAGGTTGCGAAAATTGTCTCCCATTTTGTAGGTTGCCTGTTCACTCTGATGGTAGTTTCTTTTGCTGTGCAGAAGCTCTTTAGTTTAATTAGATCCCATTTGTCAATTTTGTCTTTTGTTGCCATTGCTTTTGGTGTTTTGGACGTGAAGTCCTTGCCCATGCCTATGTCCTGAATGGTAATGCCTAGGTTTTCTTCTAGGGTTTTTATGGTTTTAGGTCTAACGTTTAAATCTTTAATCCATCTTGAATTGATTTTTGTATAAGGTGTAAGGAAGGGATCCAGTTTCAGCTTTCTACATATGGCTAGCCAGTTTTCCCAGCACCACTTATTAAATAGGGAATCCTTTCCCCATTGCTTGTTTTTCTCAGGTTTGTCAAAGATCAGATAGTTGTAGATATGCGGCGTTATTTCTGAGGGCTCTGTTCTGTTCCATTGATCTATATCTCTGTTTTGGTACCAGTACCATGCTGTTTTGGTTACTGTAGCCTTGTAGTATAGTTTGAAGTCAGGTAGTGTGATGCCTCCAGCTTTGTTCTTTTGGCTTAGGATTGACTTGGCGATGCGGGCTCTTTTTTGGTTCCATATGAACTTTAAAGTAGTTTTTTCCAATTCTGTGAGGAAAGTCATTGGTAGCTTTATGGGGATGGCATTGAATCTATAAATTACCTTGGGCAGTATGGCCATTTTCACGATATTGATTCTTCCTACCCATGAGCATGGAATGTTCTTCCATTTGTTTGTATCCTCTTTTATTTCATTGAGCAGTGGTTTGTAGTTCTCCTTGAAGAGGTCCTTCACATCCCTTGTAAGTTGGATTCCTAGGTATTTTATTCTCTTTGAAGCAGTTGTGAATGGGAGTTCACTCATGATTTGGCTCTCTGTTTGTCTGTTGTTGGTGTATAAGAATGCTTGTGATTTTTGTACATTGATTTTGTATCCTGAGACTTTGCTGAAGTTGCTTATCAGCTTAAGGAGATTTTGGGCTGAAACAATGGGGTTTTCTAGATATACAATCATGTCGTCTGCAAACAGGGACAATTTGACTTCCTCTTTTCCTAATTGAATACCCTTTATTTCCTTCTCCTGCCTAATTGCCCTGGCCAGAACTTCCAACACTATGTTGAATAGGAGTGGTGAGAGAGGGCATCCCTGTCTTGTGCCAGTTTTCAAAGGGAATGCTTCCAGTTTTTGCCCATTCAGTATGATATTGGCTGTGGGTTTGTCATAGATAGCTCTTATTATTTTGAAATACGTCCCATCAATACCTAATTTATTGAGAGTTTTTAGCATGAAGCGTTGCTGAATTTTGTCAAAGGCTTTTTCTGCATCTCTTGAGATAATCATGTGGTTTTTGTCTTTGGCTCTGTTTATATGCTGGATTACATTTATTGATTTGCGTATATTGAACCAGCCTTGCATCCCAGGGATGAAGCCCACTTGATCATGGTGGATAAGCTTTTTGATGTGCTGCTGGATTCGTTTTGCCAGTATTTTATTCAGGATTTTTGCATCAATGTTCATCAAGGATATTGGTCTAAAATTCTCTTTTTTGGTTGTGTCTCTGCCCGGCTTTGGTATCAGAATGATGCTGGCCTCATAAAATGAGTTTGGGAGGATTCCCTCTTTTTCTATTGATTGGAATAGTTTCAGAAGGAATGGTACCAGTTCCTCCTTGTACCTCTGGTAGAATTCAGCTGTGAATCCATCTGGTCCTGGACTCTTTTTGGTTGGTAAACTATCGATTATTGCCACAATTTCAGCTCCTGTTATTGGTCTATTCAGAGATTCAACTTCTTCCTGGTTTAGTCTTGGGAGAGTGTATGTGTTGAGGAATTTATCCATTTCTTCTAGATTTTCTAGTTTATTTGCGTAGAGGTGTTTGTAGTATTCTCTGATGGTAGTTTGTATTTCTGTGGGATCGCTGGTGATATCCCCTTTATCATTTTTTATTGTGTCTATTTGATTCTTCTCTCTTTTTTTCTTTATTAGTCTTGCTAGTGGTCTATCAATTTTGTTGATCCTTTCAAAAAACC
Source organism: Homo sapiens (assembly GCF_000001405.40). Taxonomy (NCBI): domain Eukaryota; kingdom Metazoa; phylum Chordata; class Mammalia; order Primates; family Hominidae; genus Homo; species Homo sapiens. The sequence goes on from NC_000009.12 coordinate 17,287,957, forward strand.
AGCTCCTGGATTCCTTGATTTTTTGAAGGGTTTTTTGTGTCTCTGTTTCCTTCAGTTCTGCTCTGATGTTAGTTATTTCTTGCCTTCTGCTAGCTTTTGAATGTGTTTGGTCTTGCTTTTCTAGTTCTTTTAATTGTGATGTTAGGGTGTCAATTTTGGATCTTTCCTGCTTTCTCTTGTGGGCATTTAGTGCTATAAATTTCCCTCTACACACTGCTTTGAATGCATCCCAGAGATTCTGGTATGTTGTGTCTTTGTTCTCGTTGGTTTCAAAGAACATCTTTATTGCTGCCTTCATTTCATTATGTACCCAGTAGTCATTCAGGAGCAGGTTGTTCAGTTTCCATGTAGTTGAGCGGCTTTGAGTGAGATTCTTAATCCTGAGTTCTAGTTTGATTGCACTGCGGTCTGAGAGATAGTTTGTTATAATTTCTGTTCTTTTACATTTGCTGAGGAGAACTTTACTTCCCAGTATGTGGTCAATTTTGGAATAGGTGTGGTGTGGTGCTGAAAAAAATGTATATTCTGTTGATTTGGGGTGGAGAGTTCTGTAGATGTCTATTACGTCCACTTGGTGCAGAGCTGAGTTCAATTCCTGGGTATCTTTGTTGACTTTCTGTCTCGTTGATCTGTCTAATGTTGACAGTGGGGTGTTAAAGTCTCCCATTATTAATGTGTGGGAGTCTAAGTCTCTTTGTAGGTCACTCAGGACTTGCTTTATGAATCTGGGTGTCCTGTATTGGGTGCATATATATTTAGGATAGTTAGCTCTTCTTGTTGAATTGATCCCTTTACCATTATGTAATGGCCTTCTTTGTCTCTTTTGATCTTTGTTGGTTTAAAGTCTGTTTTATCAAGAGACTAGGATTGCAACCCCTGCCTTTTTTTGTTTTCCATTTGCTTGGTAGATCTTCCTGCATCCTTTTATTTTGAGCCTATGTGTGTCTCTGCACGTGAGATGGGTTTCCTGAATACAGCACACTGATGGGTCTTGACTCTTTATCCAATTTGCCAGTCTGTGTCTTTTAATTGGAGAATTTAGTCCATTTACATTTAAAGTTAATATTGTTATGTGTGAATTTGATCCTGTCATTATGATGTTAGCTGGTTATTTTGCTCGTTAGTTGATGCAGTTTCTTCCTAGTCTCCATGGTCTTTACATTTTGGCATGATTTTGCAGCGGCTGGTACCAGTTGTTCCTTTCCATGTTTAGCGCTTCCTTCAGGAGCTCTTTTAGGGCAGGCCTAGTGGTGACAAAATCTCTCAGCATTTGCTTGTCTGTGAAGTATTTTATTTCTCCTTCACTTATGAAGCTTAGTTTGGCTGGATATGAAATTCTGGGTTGAAAATTCTTTTCTTTAAGAATGTTGAATATTGGCCCCCACTCTCTTCTGGCTTGTAGGGTTTCTGCCGAGAGATCCGCTGTTAGTCTGATGGGCTTCCCTTTGAGGGTAACCCGACCTTTCTCTCTGGCTGCCCTTAACATTTTTTCCTTCATTTCAACTTTGGTGAATCTGACAATTATGTGTCTTGGAGTTGCTCTTCTGGAGGAGTGTCTTTGTGGCGTTCTCTGTATTTCCTGAATCTGAACATTGGCCTGCCTTGCTAGATTGGGGAAGTTCTCCTGGATAATATCCTGCAGAGTGTTTTCCAACTTGGTTCCATTCTCCCCATCACTTTCAGGTACACCAATCAGACGTAGATTTGGTCTTTTCACATAGTCCCATATTTCTTGGAGGCTTTGCTCATTTCTTTTTATTCTTTTTTCTCTAACCTTCCCTTCTCACTTCATTTCATTCATTTCATCTTCCATTGCTGATACCCTTTCTTCCAGTTGATCGCATGGGCTCCTGAGGCTTCTGCATTGTTCACCTAGTTCTCGAGCCTTGGTTTTCAGCTCCATCAGCTCCTTTAAGCACTTCTCTGTATTGGTTATTCTAGGTATACATTCTTCTAAATTTTTTTCAAAGTTTTCAACTTCTTTGCCTTTGGTTTGAATGTCCTCCCGTAGCTCAGAGTAATTTGATCGTCTGAAGCCTTCTTCTCTCAGCTCGTCAGAATCATTCTCCATCCAGCTTTTTTCCGTTGCTGGTGAGGAACTGCGTTCCTTTGGAGGAGGAGAGGCGCTCTGCATTTAAGAGTGTCTAGTTTTTCTGTTCTGTTTTTTCCCCATCTTTGTGGTTTTATCTACTTTTGGTCTTTGATGATGGTGATGTACAGATGGGTTTTTGGTGTGGATGTCCTTTCTGTTTGTTAGTTTTCCTTCTATCAGACAGGACCCTCAGCTGCAGGTCTGTTGGAATACCCTGCCATGTGAGGTGTCAGTCTGCCCCTGCTGGGGGGTGCCTCCCAGTTAGGCTGCTCGGGGGTCAGGGGTCAGGGACCCACTTGAGGAGGCAGTCTGCCCGTTCTCAGATCTCCAGCTGCGTGCTGGGAGAACCACTGCTCTCTTCAAAGCTGTCAGACAGGGACACTTAAGTCTGCAGAGGTTACTGCTGTCTTTTTGTTTGTCTGTGCCCTGCCCCCAGAGGTGGAGCCTACAGAGGCAGGCAGGCCTCCTTGAGCTGTGGTGGGCTCCACCCAGTTCGAGCTTCCTGGCTGCTTTGTTTACCTAAGGAAGCCTGGGCAATGGCGGGCGCCCCTCCCCCAGCCTGGCTGCCGCCTTGCAGTTTGATCTCAGACTGCTGTGCTAGCAATCAGCGAGACTCCGTGGGCGTAGGACCCTCCGAGCCAGGTGTGGGATATAATCTCATGGTTCGCCGCTTTTTAAGCCGGTCTGAAAAGCGCAATATTCGGGTGGGAGTGACCCGATTTTCCAGGTGCGTCTGTCACCCCTTTCTTTGACTCGGAAAGGGAACTCCCTGATCCCTCGCGCTTCCCAGGTGAGGCAATGCCTCGCCCTGCTTCGGCTCGCGCATGGTGCGTGCACCCACTGGCCTGCGCCCACTGTCTGGCACTCCCTAGTGAGAGAAACCCGGTACCTCAGATGGAAATGCAGAAATCACCCGTCTTCTGTGTCGCTCATGCTGGGAGCTGTAGACCGGAGCTGTTCCTATTCGGCCATCTTGGCTCCTCCCCTGATTTCTGCCTTAATTTCATTATATACCCAGGAGTCATTCAGGAGCAGGTTGTTCAGTTTCCATGTAGTTGTGTGGTTTGAGTGGGTTTCTTTATCTTGAGTTATAATTTGATTGCGCTGTTTTCTGAGAGACTGTTATGATTTCAGTTCTTTTGTATTTGCTGAGGAGTGTTTTACTCCCAAGTACGTGACTGATTTTAGAGTAAGTGCTATGTGCTATGTGTCGCCAAGAAGAATATATATTCCATTGTTTTTGGGTGGAGAGTTCTGTAGATATTTATCAGGTCCACTTGATCCAGAGCTTAGTTCATGTCCTGAATATCCTTGTTAATTTTGTCTTGGTGATCTGTCTAATATTGACAGTGGGGTGTTAAAAGTCTCCCACTATTATTGTGTGGGAGTCTAAGTGTCTTTGTAGGTCTCTAAGAACTTGTTTTATGAATCTGGGTGCTCCTGTGTTAGGTGCATATATATTTAGGATAGTTAGCAGTTCACATTGAATTGAACCCTTTACCATTATGTAATGCCCCTCTTTGTCTTTTTTGATCCCTGTTGGTTTAAAGTCTATTTTGTCAGAAACTAGGATTGCAGCCCCTGCTTTTTTCTGCTTTCCATTTGCTTGGTATATTTTCCTCCATTCCTTTATTTTGAGCCTATGTGTGTCTTTGCATGTGAGATGGGTCTCTTAAATCCAGCACGTTGATGAGTCTTGACTCTTTATCCAGCTTGCCATTCTGTGTCTTTTAATCGGGGCATTTAGCCCATTTACATTTAAGGTTAATATTGTTGTCTGTGAATTTGATCCTGTTATGATGGTAGCTGGTTATCAGACTTGGTGATGTAGTTGCTTTATAGTTTCATTGGTCTTTGTACTTCAGTGTGTTTTTGCAGTGGCTAGTGGTGGTTTTTCCTTTCTATATTTAGTGCTTCCTTCAGGAGCTCTTGCAAGGTAGGCCTGGTGGTGACTAATTACCTCAGCATTTGCTTCTCTGAAAAGTATTTTATTTTTCCTTAGCTTATGAAGCTTAGTTTGACTGGAAATGAAATTCAGGATTGGAAATCCTTTTCTTTAAGAATATTGAATAATGGCCCCCAATCTCTTCTCGCTTGTAGGGTTTCTGCTGAGAAGTTTGCTGTTAGTCTAATGGGTTTCCCTTTGTAGGTGATCTCCCCTTTCTCTCTGGCTGCTGTTAACATTTTTTTTCCCTTCATTTTGACCTTGGTGAATTTGATGATTATGTGTGTTAGGGCTGATCATCTCATGGAGTATCTTACGAGGGTTCTTTGGATTTCATGAATTTGAATGTTGGCCTATCTTGTTAGGTTAGGGAAGTTTTCCTAGATGATATCCTGAGGTATGTTTTCCACCTTGGTTCTGTTCTCCCCATCTCTTTCAGGTATCCAAGTCAGTCATAGGTTCGGTCTTTTTACATAATCCCAAAGTTCATGGAGGTTTTGTTTCTTTTCATTCTTTTTTCTCTCGTCTTGTCTGCCTTGTCTTATTTCAGCAAGATAGGCTTTAAGCTCTGAAATTCTTTCCTCTGCTTGGTCAGTTTGGCTGTTGATACTTATGGTTGCATTGTGATGTTCTCAGGTTGTGTTTTTCAACTCCATTAGGTTATTTATGTTCCTTTCAAACTAATTATTCTGGTTAACAGCTCCTGTAATGTTTTATCATGGTTCTTAGCTTCTTTGTATTGGGTTAGAACATGTTCCTTTGGCTCAGCTAAGTTCATTGTTACCCACCTTCTGAGGCCTACTTGTGTCAGTTCATCCATCTCCACCTCCGCCCAGTTCTGTGCTCTTCCTAGAGAGGTATTATGATCATATGGAGAAGAGGCACTTTGGCTTTTTGAATTTTCATTGATTCTTTCTCATCTTTGTGAGTTTACCTAGCTTTGATCTTTCAGTTTGCGAGGACCTTTTTGTTGATGCTGTTATTGTTGTTGCTTTCTGTTTGTTTTTCTTTTGACATTCAGGCCCCTCTTCCGGAGGGCTGCTGTGGTTTGCTGGGGGTCACTCCAGACCCTATTCACTTGGGTCCCTTCTGCACCTGCAGGTATCAACAGTGGAAGATGCAGAATAGCAAAGATGGCTGCCTGCTACTTCCTCTGGCTGGGATCTTCGTCCCAGAGGGGCACCAACCTGATGCCAACAGGAATGCTCCTGTATAAGTTATCTGGCAACCCCTGTTGGGGTCTCACCCAGTCTGGAGGCAGGGGTTCTGGGATCTGCTTAATGAAGCATTCTGGCTGCCCCTTGGCGGAGCGGGTGCGCTGTGCTGTGGCGAATCTCAATCATCTGGACTGCCTGGATTCCTCAGAGCTGGCAGGGGGAAAGTCTAAGTCTGCTAATCTGTGAATACTGTGGCTGCCTCTCCCACTAGAGGCTCAGTCCCAGCGACATCAGAGTTCTGTCCCTAAACCCCTGGCTGCAGTTGCTGAAATTCCTGCAGGAAGGTCCCACCCAGTGAGGAGGGATGGGTTAGGGTTCCGCCTGAAGAGGCAGTCTGGCCATGATCTGCCATAGCCATAGCCACTGTGAGTGCTGTGGGGAATTCCATCTGGGTCCAAACCATCTAGTCTTCCTGGCACTGGCAGGGGAAAATTGGCAGACTGGAGCTGCAGTGATGGCTGCCACCCCTTGCCCCTACTCCCCGGGAACTCAGGCATCTTAGGCAAAAGGCAGGGTGGTGATGATGACCTCCCCTTCCATTAGGAAGTTGGTAGTCGTAGGTAGTCACCAGCCCATTGGCTGCTGAGAGGCCACCAAGAGGCTGCCGAGAATCTGGACAGCTCTGCACTTGGGACCCAAGGCCCTGGTGGCATGGGCTCATTGGGGGACCTCCTGATCTGTGGGTAGCACGGATCCGTGGAAAAAGCGTGGTTTCCCAGGCAGGGTAGTAGTGTGTCCAGAATTGGTGCGTTCTTGGTCTCACTGACTTCAAGAATGAAGCCACGGACCCTTGCGGTGAGTGTTACAGTTCTTAAAAGCGGCGTGTCCGGAGTTTGTTCCTTCTGATGTTCAGATGTGTTTAGAGTTTCTTCCTTCTGGTGGATTCGTGGTCTCGCTGGCTTCAGGAGTGAAGCTGCAGACCTTCGAGTGTTACAGCTCATAAAGGCAGTGTGGATCCAAAGAGTGAGCAGCAGCAAGATTTATTGCAAAGAGTGAAAGAACAAAGCTTCCACAGTGTGGAAGGGGACCCAAGGGGGTTGCCACTGCTGGCTCTGGCAGCCTGCTTTTATTGTCTTATCTGGCCCCACCCACATCCTGCTGATTGGTCCATTTTACAGAGAGCCGATTGGTTTTACAGAGAGCTGATTGGTCCATTTTGACAGGGTGCTGATTGGTGCGTTTACAATCCCTGAGCTAGACACAAAAGTTCTCCAAGTCCCACTAGATTCTTTAGATACAGAGTGCTGATTGGTGCATCCACAAACCCTGAGGTAGACACACGGTGCTGATTGGTGTGTTCACAAACCTTGAGCTAGATACAGAGTGCTGATTGGTGTGTTTACAATCCCTTAGCTAGACATAAAGGTTCTCCAAGTCCCCACTAGACTCAGGAGCCCAGCTGGCTTCACCCAGTGTATCCCGCACAGGGGCCACAGGTGGAGCTGCCTGCCAGTCCCGTGCCCTCCACCAGCACTCCTCAGCCCTTGGATGGGACTGGCTGCCGTGGAGCAGGGGGCAGAGCTCGTCGGGGAGGCTGTGGCTGCGCAGGAGCCCACCGCGGGGGGAGTGAGGGGAGGGAGGGGGGGAGGGTGGGGGGGAGTGGGCGAAGGGGGGAGGGCGGGGAGGAGGGGGGAGGGCGGGGAGGAGGGAGGAGGGCGGAGGGAGTGGGGGGAGGGGGGAGTGGGGAGTGGGGGGAGGGCGGGGGGGAGTGGGGGGAGGGCGGGGGAGGCTCAGGCATGGTGGGCTGCAGGTCCCCAGCCCTGCCGCACAGGGAGGCAGCTAAGGCCCGGTGAGAAATTGAGAGCAGCGCCGGTGGGCCAACACTGCTGGGGGACCTGGTGCACTGTCCGCGGCTGCTGGCCTGGGTGCTAAGCCCCTCACTGCCGGGCTGGCGGGGCTGGCTGGCCGCTCTGAGTGCGGGCCGCCAAGCCCACGCCCACCCGGAACTCTAGCTGGCCCGCAGGCGCTGCACGCAGCCCCAGTTCCCGCCCACGCCTGTCCCTCCACACCTCCCTGCAAGCTGAGGGAGCCGGCTCTGGCCTTGGCCAGCCAAGAAGGGGACTCCCAAGGTGCAGCGGCGGGCTGAAGGGCTGCTCAAGCGCCGCCAGAGTGGGCGCCGAGGCCAAGGTGGCGCGGAGAGCGAGCCACGACTGCGAGGGCTGCCAGCACACTGGCACCTCTCAGTAGGTCGATCACTCACCATTTCCCTTGGCTGGTGGTAGGAGCTCGCATTACTCTGTGTGGCTCCCAGGTGGGCCGTCGCACCACCCTGCTTTTCCTTGCTCTCTGTGGGTTGTGCCAGCTGCCTAGTCAGTCCCAATGAGAGAACTTGCATACCTCAGTTGCCGGTGCAGGATTCACTCATTGTTTTTGTTCTTCTTGGTGGGGGGCCTCCGACCACAGCTGTTTCTAGTCGGCCATCTTGGCCCGCCCTGTTTTTCTTTACTTATTTTCAAATGAGGAAAGATCTGGACAAATTCAGTGCTTTCCGCTGGTTCAGATGTGTGAGTTGTGCGAGCTTTGCTTGCTTTTTGTATTTGCAACATTGGTGTACATATCATCACTTGTACTTTCCCGAGGGTTGTGTGGGGCGATAGAAATAAACATATCTACATAGTATAAGAGTATCCTTCAATTCCACTTATTGAGAGCATGCCCAGAAAATACCATGAGGTGGTAGAGAAAAATGTGCTTTTTCCCAGGTTGATTTTTAATTTGCAAAGAGTAATAATAGTATGAGCATCTCCCTACTCTTCAGTGAGAGAGAGAGAGAGAGAGAGAGAGAGAGTGTGTGTGTGTGTGTGTGTGTGTGTGTGTGTGTGTGTGTGTTAGATGGAGTCTGGCTCTGTCACCCAGGTTGGAGTGGGGTGGTGCGATCTCGGCTCAGGATCAAATGATTCCTCTGCCTCAGCCTCCTGAGTAGCTGGAACTACAGATGTATGCTACCATGCCCAGCCAATTTTTGTAATTTTTGTAGAGACGGGGTTTCACTATTGGTCAGGCTGGTCTCGAACTCCTGACCTCAGGTGATCCATCTACCTCAGGTGATCCACCTGCCTCGGCCTCCAAAGTGCTGGGATTACAGGTGTGAGCCATCGCACCCTGCCTAGTGTGTTTCTTTTGACTAAAGATACATATATTTTGTTGTACGTTGTCCTTAAATGCAGACCAGCTACGGATTCGGGCCTTCTCATTAAGAAATACCAAATGTCTTCTAACATGGGAATATAAATAAATTTGCTATGTTTTAACACTGTATTGAAAGATGATATGTTTTATCTTCATCATGTCTCTTTTCTAAATGTGACATTTTTTTAGGCCTCCTGGCTAACGTATCTTAACTGTGATGGAATTTTCTCCTGCCCTGTTGCGTATTTCCTTTGATAATTTTTGCTAATGTTATTAGTGAAAAATGGCAGTAATCATCATGCATGATTACTGTGGGTCTTTTTTCCCCTCCTCTTGTATTACATTTCCTGAAGGCATTGTGCCATTATTGGTTCTCTTCTCTCCCCTTTCCCGTTTTTGACTGCTATTTTCTGCATGTTTCAGTTTTTTGAATTGTTACAGGAAAATTGTGTATATCCATGTATCTGTATGGATGCAGGGGTTGTGGTTGTGGTTTGAGAACATTAATGTTCTAAATCTCTAAGGAGCGGAACTCCTTGCTCCCATACTAATTTTCATCCATGTTCAACAACTGTCTCCGTATCTCTTTTATTCCTTCTTTCTTTTAAGACATTTTATGTGAATGAATGACTAGTTTAAAGTTATAGGTAAAAATAAGTTCCATTAAGAAATACAATCTTCAAAATATTATGTAAGTACAATCGGCCTTTCATATCCATGGATTCCATATCCACGGATTCAACCAATCATGAATTGAAAATATCAGGTGAAGAAAAATGAGTGGTTGCATCTGTACTGAACGTGTACAGACTTTTTTCTTGTCATTATTCCCTAAACAATACAGTATAACATTATTTGCATAGCATGTACTTTGTATTAGGTATTATAAGTAATCTAGAGATGACTTAAAGTATTTGGATGTGCATAGATTATATTCAAAACTACATCATTTTATATAAGGACTTGAGCATCTGTAAATTTTCATATTCAAAGTGGGTCTTGAAACCATTCTCCCATAGATAATAAGAGACTACTGTTTATAGTATATTTTGATGTAATAGTGCTTTATAAATATTTCTCGGTTCAAATTAATTATACAAAAGAATTCCCAGTTTGTATAATCTGTATCACACAGGATTCACAACCACAGCAATCTGGAAACCTCTATCTCAAAGGTGTAGTTCTCCTAGACTCTTAGTGCCATCATTACCACCACCAGTTCATTTGTCCTCCTGCTTATCAGTTTCATCCTGGGTAGGTTCGAAGGACTGGATTTTTCTTGTGACTTTCTGACTCTTTTACCTCATCAGTTCCTTCAAGCTGAGTTAGAGGAGTCACAAGTATCCCAGCCCAGGACCCTGAGGTTACAAACTAGAATTGGCAGTTGTGCTTTAAGGAACTTTGGTTTGAAAACTTAAGTTTGCCCTTTGGGATTCTTTTTAATATATTTAAAGTTCTGTATAGTAATATAAAATGAAAGGTTGACGTACCCTTTGTTCAAAACTGTCTAATAACTATAGCTGATCTTACCACTTGTTAATTCTTGAAACTGAAGTGTTTACTTAAATAAAAGGTTGTACTATGTATATCCATGGTTTTTATTACTATAAAGCTACAAAAGAAAATTAATATGTATCTGGCTTTGAAAGTCATAGTCGTTGTATCAATACTTTCTGTGTGTATGTGATAAATATTAAATATGTCATTATTTCTTTTATTAATAAGTTTGCCTGCAGTACAAATAACAGATGCAAAACAGGATGCCAATCTGTAACCTTAGATGAACACAATTATTTAACTGAGATGATCTTTATCCATACTTTTCTCTATTTATTGCTTGCTTTGCACAGGAAGGAACTGCAGGAGCTGCAGAATCTTTACAAACAGAACAGTACACATACAGCCCAGCAAGCAGAGCTGATCCAGCAGCTTCAGGTTCTCAATATGGACACACAAAAAGTACTGAGAAATCAGGAAGATGTTCACACAGCTGAAAGTATATCATATCAAAAAGTATGCTTTTATTCTGTAATAAAGATGTAAATGTTTATGTATGAACTTATGAACATATATAGAATTCAGATTTTTTCAAATTTCAGCATTTAATTTTTACTTCCTTTTACATGTGTTTCCTCAAAATTTAGAAGTGAAGGATGGTTCAATTTGATAACATTTAAAATTTTTTGAATTTTCTTTATGGTAATTAGAGCTGAATCACTTAAAATATAGATACAAACTTACTCTATAGGGTATTATTTTTATAAATTGGCATTCAGACAGCTTCTGTGAAACATACTAGGAGTATAGTCTCAAAACTGGAATGGAATTCCTCGGCCTGCTATTACAAGAAATTATTTTGTCAAGTATGGCAGACTTTCATTGTAAAATTTGTACATTATTTTTCGGCAAATCTTCACAAATACAAAGGGGATTGCTGAGGAGGGCTTTAGGATCAATATTTTCCAGGATTTTTCTCTGTTTATTTTGTGTGTTTCTGTTCAGTAGTCTTTTACTTTACAGTTGTTTTAGGAGCCTTTCAAGAAGGTTTACCCAAGTATTTAGGTGTGCTAACTGACTCAGCAGCAATAATTTAATCTACTAATTAAAAAAAATACCTTTATTGGCCGGGCATGGTGGCTCATGCCTGTAATCCCAGCACTTTGGGAGGCTGAGGCGGGCGAATCACAAGGTCAAGAGATCGAGACCATCCTGGCCAACATGATGAAACCCTGTTTCTACTAAAAATACAAAAAGTTAGCTGAGCATGGTGGTTCATGCCTGTAGTCCCAGCTACTTGGGAGGCTGAGGCAGGAGAATCACTTGAACCTGGGAGGCGGAGGTCGCAGTGAGCCAAGATCGCACCATTGCACTCCAGCCAGGCGACAGGGGGAGACAACGTCTCAAAAAAAAAAAAAAAAAAAAAAAAAACCTTTACTGAATTCTTCATATGTTTTGTGTAGTGTGCTAAATTATTTTAATAAATAATGTAGTTTATATAGTGTTATTCTCATTTAATGATAGTAGTTGAGGCAAGTGAGGCTTAGAGAGGTTAAATAATACACAGTTCATATTATCCCTCTAGAATTACTGGATTTTTACTTCTGATCTTACTTTTCTAAAAAATCACTGTGAAAATCGAATGTCTATAATTAACATGAAATTAATTACCTTAAAACTTAAACACATATTTTTAAATGATGCTTTGTAACAGTGGTTTTCAGTGTGTGTTTTGTGTTGCCTTTGTGTTTTCCCAAGGACCTAGATGATAGCAAGCAGGAAGATACAGTCTTCCACTTCAGCTAGAGCAGTGCTGCCTTTTTGTTTTATGGGGTGACATTGCCCACTGTGTTTTTTGTTTCTAAAGCACGTTCCATTGCTAAAATGATTTGAAACACTGTACTTTATTAATACTTGTTAATTGTTATTAATACTAATTAATTGTTTTCTCTTTTTCCCCCATTGATGACTTTCTGTTGCTTGGAACATTTTTTTTCTGTTGCTTGAAACATTTTTTTCCCCTCTTGGCTTCCATTGTACTATAATTGGGTGGCTTTCTTCCTTCAGTTTTTAGCTGTCCCTTTTTAATTTCTTTGTGGTCCTCCCCAGTCTCCATGTCCTGTAAAGTGTGAAAATGTTCCAGGCCTCACTCTTAGGATCTCTCCTTTTTTTTCTGTTTATCCTCACACCCTAGGTGATTTCATCTAATCACCTTGACTTTCAAAGTTACACTGCAGGTTCAATATCCCTTATCTGAAGTGCTTGGAACCTGAAACCTGAAGTGCTTCACATTTTTAGCTTTTGAGATTTTGGAATATTTGCATTACATTTACTGGCTGAGCATCCCAAATCTGAAAAATTGAAATCTGAAATGCTCCAATGAGCATTTCCTTTGAGCATCATACTGGTGCTCAAAAATGTTTTGGATTTTGGAGCATTTCAGATTTTTTGATTTGTATGCTCTACCTGTGTCTATAGGCTGATGATTCCCAAATTTGTAAATTTGTTTATCTACCTTGGATCTCTTCTGTATACTCTAGGAAAGAGTATATCTAATTGCCTACTTAATATCTCTTCACTTGGATTCCTAATGGGCATCTCATACTGAACGTGTTCAAAACAAAGCTATTGCCTTTTATGTTTTCAGTACAGGTGCAGAATTCGACTACTTCCCACCACCCTTGCTGTCACCATTCTGTCCAGGCCACTATCACATATTACCTGGATTATTGCAGTAACTTGCCAGTTTCTTTGTTCTGATCTTAAGCCTTTTGACATAGGTGCCAGGATATTATTGCCAAAACTTTGTGAGTCAAATCAGATCACTGCTCTCTTCAAGTCCCTCCAGTGGTTTCCCAGACCATTAAAAATAAAAAACCTAAGTTCTTACTACAACCTGTGGGACTCTACATGTTCCGACTCTACATTACCTCTCTGATCTCATCTTTGCCTTCTTTTCTTATTCACTCCAGCAACACAAACCATGTTTTTATTCCTTGAACATAACAGGTATTTAACCTTTCAAGGTAATACTTTCTTCCAGTGCCTGAAAGCTTTCCTGCCCAGTTATCTGCATAGATACCATTTTACTTCCTTTATTCTACAACTCTTACAGTTTAAAATTAGTTGATAGCAGACATTAAATGGTAGAAGCAAGAAAAGAATGATGTATGTTGTAATAGTAGTAGAGGGAAATATGGGAGCATAACTGGGGGCCTGTTCCAAGACTAAGGATAAAGAAAGCTCTCCTTGATGGTGTCATACCAGTAATACTTTGCTGAGAAGATAAGATATCAAAGAGACAAATTAATTTCTGATAACTTTTCCAAATGGACTCTAGTTCAAACCAGAAATTCCCTAGTGTATGTCTTTACTAAATTGGGAGAAGTAGAGCTTATATGCCCCTATTTGGCGAACTTGCCGTAACCTAAATTGTGATCTGGGGTACATTTTGAAACCGTAAACACTTTTCTTCTAGGATTATGTTTATCCCTTCCAAGAATCATTATAGAAAATGAGAGATGTAAATGATGGGGTTATGTTGTGTTTGTGAATGATATTGAGGCAGAATAAAAATAAAAGAGAACAAACTGAGATGTGCTAACCTAATAATTGGCTTACTTTTCCTTGTGTTTAGTCTGTTTTTTGTCATTTCTTTCTCTAGATTGAATATCATTTTTCTTTTATTTTTGTTTCTCAGAGATTACCTTGGGGAGTGTGGGAGTAGGGGGCTTCACTGATACTTAAGTTGATTCTCACTTTGAAATTGTACCTCCCACTGTAATATTTTAATTTTGTAGTTGTTTTAGATGCTTGTAGTTGTTCATACAGTTTTCATTAGTATCCTCAACTAGACTCAATTTGAAAATATTCTTCTTATTTATTTATTCTTTATAAATTTTGTCTACAGTTAGTAGACATTACAATTGTTTTGGTGGCTGTATGTAGTTATTTTAAAAAACAAAGTCTTTTATAATTCCATCTCCCAGAGGCAAATACTGTGAACATTTTGAATATTTCACTTTTAAAAATGCATCTTAACATATTTGTTAGCACACTAGTATTTTTCACTTTAACATTATATTTTAAAAAATCATAACATATAACTATTTTAGATGGTCATATAATTTATTTTTCTACTGTTGGTTATATATGTTATTTGTTTTACTATTGTAAATAAAGCTGCAATAAACATTTCTTTGTCAGTTCAGACTATTACTATTCATTATAGTGTACTGACTACACATATGTGTACACACACACACACACACACACACACACACAGACACACACACACTGACCTATCCACCCAGGGAAGACTTCCTTTTATGAAGCTATAACATCATATTAACCATATGCAATTCACTTTTTTTTTTTTTTGACAGTGTCTCACTCTGTTGCCTAGGCTGGAGTGCAGTGGCACGATCTCGACTCACTGCAACCTCTGCCTCCCAGGCTTCAAGCAATTCCCCCACCTTAGCCTCCCCAGTAGCTGGGACTACAGGCACGTGCCACCACACTCAGCTAATTTTTGTACTTTTCGATAGAGACTGAGTTTCACCATGTTGACTAGGCTGGTCTCGAACTCCTTACCTCAGGTGATCCATCCGCTTCAGCCTCCCAAAGTGCTGGGATTATAGGTGTGAGCCACTGTGCCTGGCCCAATTCACTTTTAATTAGTTCGTACATAACATACCCTTTTAAAATTATGCCATAATAAGAATGTACGGGGGTCATGGATTCTAAGGGGACCTGCCTACTACATGATCAGTAAACGTTAAGTTACTGAAACTTGAGACATTGCATGCTATGATGTCCCACTTTGGATAATGCAATTTAAAAATCATAATTGTATTTTAAAACTTTATGGCGATGTTTCTATTTTAATTTAAATATTACTCTAGTCCATTTAATGTTTGACTTTGGGTGGATGAATGGTTCTGCAGTGGTGAAAAATGTGGAGAAACAAAATACAAGTGAGAAGTCCTTCCAGTTAGATCACAGTTATAAAGACAGAATGTAAAATTGTACTATAAGCCAGGGAGAATCTGAGTTTCCATTTACACAAATTATTTTAGAAATGTTTTATGTAAATCGAGATAAAAATGTAAATTGCTCCTAGTAACCATATAATAATAATAGTTAACATTTTTTAGCTTATTGTGTATCAGGCACTGGCGATAGGGCTTTTGCCTGATTGTTTAAGCCTCGCACCAACCTGATGTGGTATTGTTATTTTTATCCCTGTTTGTAGATCAGGTAACTGAAGCTTAGAGTGTTGTCTAAAGTCAAACAGCTACCTGTGTAGAATTCAGATCTAGGTAATCTTGGGTCCAGAATGCAATTCTTAAACTTTATTATAAAGCCAACAGTATAGTTCAGTTTTAAATGGAAAGGTGAGGTCTTATCCCTAAAAGCCTCGGTAAACAGATTCTACAAACTTGCATTATCCATTCTCATCCAAATTTTTTCAACACTTAATAATTTCTAATGTTGGAATATTTATCCTGATATCTAAGTTAAATGTTATTCAGAAGATTTCATTGCTCTCTTTTTGGTGACCAGAGTATAGCAGTTACCTTTCTCTGTGAAAAGGGCTTCCATCATTTTTCTCTGGCCATTGTTTCTCCTGATTGTATCCATTTGGTTTCTTTTATCTTGCTATTACATCACACTTTTTAACTTTTTGAGCTTCTGAAGATTTTTTACTAACGCTTTTTTTTTCTCCTCAAAAATGTAGTAGTTGTGTAGTGCAGGATTTTAAAATTTGTGAATGATCACATTGCCTTATTTGTCAGGTGTGTTATTGTTCATACTTTAGTGTTCATTTATGTCAGATTATTCATTCTTATTCTAGAGCATTATATGTATTGTCTTTATTCCTTGTCTACACATATTTTTAGATTGTTTTCTAATTTGAATAATCTTGCAATAATGAGATGAAATTATTTATTCAAAATTTCAAACATTTTCACATAGATTCATTTTAATATTTTCGAATAATAATTGGGATTTAGCTCTAAGACTCAGGTGAGTTGAATTAAAAGTATTACACTAACAATTTGTCTTCAATTCTTATTAAACTTCTTTAAGAATCAGATCTTAGTTTACTGTTTCTAATGAAGTTTGTTTCCTCTGTTCTCTTTCTCTCAATTCTTCACCCCTTTTTCTTGCCCTTACATTACCCATTCTTTCTCTCATTTATTAAGTAGATCTGTATCATAATATCTGTTTAATTATCTGAAAAGATGAAAACAGTTGTCCCAGGTGGTAGGATGTGGGAATTGAGGAGGGGAGACAAAGGTGAAGAAAGAAAACTGAAAAAAGTTTTGAGCACAGAGGTGAGTCATATTGTCCCAGAGCTCTCCGTAACAAATCATCAGTCTCATATACAAGTCTACCAGTCATATAGTGTGGAAGGCTTTTCTAGGAGAAAAACACCTATCAAGATAAATAAAAGTAATCTAATGTGTTCTCTTCCTCTGAGCATGTAGCCGTTCATACAATTTTTAATATTTTTATATCTGCACCTTTATATATGTGTATGAATTAAATATTGATAAGGAATTATATCAGCATTTATGATTTCTAGACCATCCAACATGGTTGGGGTACTAACATGTATTTTATAACTTTTTGGTCTATTTAGTGACAATATTACTCAAACTATTAACTAGGAAAATAAGGAGTTAGCATATTAAATTACATGTTAAATTAGTGTTGTCATTTTTGGCTATAAATAGTACAGTTTTCACTTGAAGAATTTATTGTTTCAGTCAGTGTTGCAAATACAGTTGGCACTCTGTATCCATAGGGCATATCCCCATTCACAGATTCAACCAACCTTGAATTGAAAATATTTGGGAAAAAAATGAAAAATAGCAATACAACAATAAAAATTAATAAGAAAAAGTATAACAACTATTTACATAGTGTTTACATTGTAAACACTGGGTAGATTCCATCTCATTCTTATAAGTAATCCGGAGATGGTTTAAAGTATACAGGAGGATGTACATAGGTTATAAGCAAATACTGTGCCATTTTATACAAGGGACTTGTGCATTTGCAGATTTTTTTTATTCACTTGGGTCCTGGAAACAATATTGTGGATAATGAGGGAATGCTGTAGTATATTTACTAGATTTGGATGATTTCAATTCTTAAACAAATTAGTATCAGTGGATAACAGAGCATATACATTTTCAAAATTGTTAAGATATATAAAATATCATTTAGTTCTTTAACACTAATAAAATATTCGAAAAGGCGTTCTTCAGTCTAAGCCCCTGAAAATTAAAGGAGTTGGAGGTTGAGGTCTTATTTCTAACTTGCTTTCTGTCCCCTGGAGATCCTTTTAACCTTTTTCACTTAATTTCTTCAACAGAAAATAGCATGAAGAATAGTAAGGATAGTATATTGCTTATGAATTATAATGATTGATACTTCTAAAGCATATAATGTAATACGTGGTTACATTTTTATAGGCCAGAATCTTACAAAAAAATTCTTATCCATTCGAGCTTTTTGGATTATTAGAGGAAAGAAGTTATAGAGAAAAGAGCCTCTCTGAAAACTGTTGTAAGGAATCTTATTGCTAATAGGGAAAAAGATAACTCAGTATGCCTAAAGCAATGCAGATGAATGAATTTATCATATTGCCTAATTTACTCACTTGAGCACTGTTTTTTTTTTTTTAAACTCTACTCTTATTAATGGAATGAGAATAAGATGGAATCTACCCAGGGCACTGGAACATCCTAAGCTTTTGCCTTCTTGCAGGATCTCCTAGAGAATTAAACATTTGATTACCCTGAGGTCTTGTCACCAAAAAACACTTTAGAAATAAAGCTAGATTTAACCTTGTTGAAGGCTGTTTTAACCAAGTTTACTGCTGGACTGAGGCCTAGAGTTAAAAATGGCTGGAGGACTATCTTTGCTTCCTGTACTCTAAGTTCACAACTGAGTGATCTCATTACTATTAAATACATGAAATCCAGTCAGCCAACAAAGAAAACAGGCAAGTAGGAGATGTATATTTGGAGTAAGCTAAGGAATAAGATAAGAATTTTTCCCAAAACCTAGAGCAAAGCTGACCTAATTTGTTCTGGGCTTTCTCAGTTCTTTTTCACCTGCTGCTTGGAAGGATGGATATTCAGTGCAAGACATAGAGTTTTTCCCAGTGTAGTCTTACACACCTAGTCATATCACATCAAGTCAGGGCAACTTCTGAATAGGAATGCAACTGCTTAAACTGCATGTCAGAGAGAGCAAAGTAGAGAACACAAGAAGGGTGCTATTAGTCGTCTATTTTTTTTTTTTTTTTTTTTTGAGTTTGAGTCTTGCCCTGTTGTCCTGGCTGGAGTGCAATGGCACGATCTCATCTCATTGCAACCTCTGCCTCCTGGGTTCAAGTGATTCTCCTGCCTCAGCCTCCCGAGTAGCTGGGATTACAGGCGTGTGCCACCATGCCCAGCTAATTTTGTATTTTTAGTAGAGACAGGGTTTCTCCATGTTGGTGAGGCTGGTCTTGAACTCCCGTCGTCAGGTGATCCGCCAGCCTCGGTCTCCCAAAGTGCTGGGATTACGGATGTGAGCCAACGTGCCTGACCAGTGCTCTATTTTATGAAGCAAGGCAGAAGTTAGATGAGAGGAGATAAATTAAGATAGAGCCTTCTTCCATGAATGAATCGGCCTAAAGCCTTATATTTGTGGAAGAAGGTCCCAAGATGTGACACCCAAGAGTAGGGTATACCACATCCTTGGCACTAGTGGCCAGTAAATTGGTCCTCGATCCTGACCATACCCTAGCATCATGCCTGTACCTTGGTCATTAGGATAGAAGGTATGTAGTTTTCTTTGTCAGCACTTATCAGTGTCCATGAGATTCTCAAATATTTGAAATATGTGAATTCTTTAATAATATGTTCTATTATTTACCTCAGAGGGATTAATTTGTACTGATTGGGTAAATATTGGTTAGTGTAAATAATGCACCCGAGATTAGAAAGTGGTTAAATATTCATTGAAAAAATGACTATGCAGTGAAGAGAAGACCGTCACTCATCATAGCTTCAACTTTCCCTAGCCAGGTTAGCTCTTGTGTCCAGGGTTTGCTTTTTTCTTTTCTACCCTAAACCCAGTTATGAGAGCAGCAGCACAGTACAAGTAGGCACGCTGAACTCTTCATTGTCCCTTTAAGCTGTCAGGTTCCTACTCTTTCTTGCCTCCTAGAATATTTGATGGTATCAGCTGTGGAAATGACATTGGACATGCTCCTTGGTATAAAGGTAATGAGAAGGGAAAGTATAAATTGATGTTCTAAATTTTTTTATAAATCATATAGGCAATACTTTCTTTTAAAAGATTGCCTAGACTTTGGCAATAAAGTGAAGTGGATTATTTTAAATATCTCCACAATAATATCGATAGATAATTTTATTTTTTTTTAAGACAGTGTCTCCCCATGTCACCCAGACTGGAGTGCAGTGGCACAATCTCGGCTCACTGCAGCCTCGACCTCCTGGGCTCAAGTGTTCCTCCCACCTCACCCTTCCAAGTAGCTGGGACTACAGGTGCATGCTACCACGCCTGGGTAATTTTTTGTATTTTTGGTAGAGACGGGGATTCGTCATATTGCCCAGGCTGGTCTCGAACTCCTGAGCTCAGGTGATCTGCCCATCTCGGCCTCCCAAAGTGCTGGGATTACAGGCGTGAGCCACCTTCCCAGCCAGAGATACATTTTTTTTTAAAATAAAAGATAAAAGGTATATTGAGCTAATTATATGCCAGTGGAGTGGAACTTTGGAGGGTCTTATTTTTGTGACAAAATTATGTTTCAGGAGATGTATTAATGAAAGGTTTTACAAGCCTTTTTAAATTTTAAATTTAAAAAACGGAGGTAAACATGCATACAGAAATGTACACAAATCCTAGGTTTCTAGATGAACTAAAGCTTTACAATCTTTTATGTATGTAAGTTTCTTCCCATGAGGCAAGGCAAACTGATGGAAGATGTTCGTATCTTTAAGTAAATGAGCAAACCTAAAAACTTACCGTAGCTGTATATAATTTTGAGATTTTTACATTTGAGGGTTTTGCTCTTATTGTAAGATTTTACTGTTAGCCTTTAAAACCACACACACACACACACACACACACACACACACACACACACACACATTTTCGTTCTTAGGTCACTTTTCTAGTGTCAGCCACAGATATACATACAGATTATGTATGTAAATCAACTACCAGAGATTGGATTATATCTCATTAAATCACAATTATACATTAGGATCAAGTTCACAAGTTCTGGAGGCATACCATTGTTAACCTTATATTACTGTCTGTATGATAGCACTTATATGTCATGTTATCTCATAGTTTTAATAAACTTAAATTTATTTAATGCATATTGCCTTGACTTAAAAAGGTTTTAAAGTTATTAATAAGTCTTCAAAATATTGCTTCTATTTTTTCACAGTTTAAGGTTTTCAGTAACTCCCTGTTGTCTGCAGAACAAATCCATCCTCTTAATCCAGTATTGAAGAGCCTTTACATTCTTTCTACAGCCTTACTGCTTGACTTTGTCTCTTACTATTCCTCTGTTCCTCCTAGCAGTAGATACTAAATTATACTTAATAAGAATGTAGAATTCAACATTAATTAACTGTTAATGAAATACTCCTGATTTTGTTTTCTTTCAAATGTATATGTTAAGTCCGATTAAACTGATATACCTTGTGCTCCTTTCTGTCCTTTCCTATCGTTGTACATAATTTTTTTTCACATTTCTTCTATCTTTAGAATGACTTTTTGTTTTTGGTCAATTCCAATTATATTGTCATGGTTCATTTCAGGTCCTTTTTCATAATTCCCTCCATGATTAATACAGCTAGCTTAAAGTATTTTCTTCCTCAGAAATTTGGCATTCTTTTCCTATATTACACTGGCTAATAATACATATTGCCTTTTTAACATATTTTCTAGTTTTTATCACATTTTAAATGTTAAAAAATTAAATATTAAACATATTATTATATAAATTAGTTATTTTTTGTGTTTATATCTTCTTTCTCTCTGAGACTATTAAAATAACCTGAGGGCAAGAACTGTGTTTATACAGTTCATATGTATATATACACACACACACACACAGACACACAGACACATAGTTTTATTGATTATTAATATAATTTGGATATATTTTTTGAAACAGCTTTACAATGAGTTACATATTTGTTTTGAAACCACAAAATCAAATGAAGCTATGCTCCGGCAAAGTGTTACTAATCTTCAGGATCAGCTATTACAAAAAGAGCAAGAAAATGCTAAGTTAAAAGAAAAACTTCAGGAATCACAGGGAGCACCTCTTCCTTTACCTCAAGAAAGTGATCCAGACTACTCAGCACAGGTGAGAGACATTTTCTAAAACTGTTATTCAGTGTAATATTAAATGAAATCATCTCCTACAATTGACTAAAACATAAAAATTTAAATATATTTGCATTTATTGGAGTATAAGAAGTGTGCAGATTGTTTTGCATTATACTGTTTTTATACTGTTTGTAGGCATGAATATTACATACAATACAAATTTATATAGAAGTGCATGTAGAAGTACAGGGTCTAGCAAATATAGTTATCGTGATGAAACATTTGGCTGATATACATTATTGAAAAGCAAATTAATAGGTCATGCCCATTTTGAGACTTTTTAACTGAATGAGCTAATGGAATAGAAAGTATCTAACTAAGTTTCATAAAGTACTTGCCATAATGCCTGGTATTCGGTACTCAGTATCCAATAGTCCTAATTCTACCACTACCTTGATAACATGATTTTGGACAGGTCATGTAACCTTTCTTACTATTTCCTGTGGTAAATGAAGGTAGTATAAATGTATAGATAAATATGTAGGATCTGGTTGCAGAGCTTAGCATATAGAAAATGTTAAGTGGTACCTTTTTAGATAATCTTCAGGGCAACTTTCAACTCTAAACATCTTTAAAAAAATCTCTGTGAATTTATTTAAGTGTTTTTAAGGCTCTCATAGCTTTTCTTTAAATTTTATAATGTATTAATTCAGTAATGGATTGTAATTTTTGAACGCAGCACATTTGTCTTGCTAATTAACCTTATGACAACAATTTTTAAAATTGTACCATATTGTATGCATTTTTTGGACTTCAGGCATACAATATTGGATCAATGATAAAATTTGTGTTATGACATACTATTGTATGCATATGACAATTTAATTTAATGGCTTTGTTTAGTTCTTTATTATAATAAACACCCTTGGTTCAACCAACTTATCCAAAGACTAGATCATTACAAATGGCTTACATCCACTTGTATGTGCTTTGATTCTCTTACAAGAGGTAACCACCAAACTTCTTATCATTTTGATTTTTTTAAACAGTTTTATCATATACAAATTTATGAGGAAACAGTTTATTGTTTAGTCATTCAAAAAAATGATATAATGTGTTGTTTATGGGGTTAGGCAATTTTGACTCATCATTATGTTACTAAGATTTATCCGTGTTTTTTGATATAGGTGTTTGTTTTCACTGTTTAAAAACATTCTATTATATGTGAGTATATCATAACTATTTTTACATGTATCTCTAGATGAGAACTTTGGTTATTTCCATTTTTACTGTTATGGGTAATATTACTGTTGACATTTTCGCACATGTTTCTTGACGTACACGTTCATGCATCTTTGTGGGTTATATATCTAGGAGTAGAAATCCTGGACTATAAAGTGTGAAAATGTTACTTTTAGGTGATACTGATCACCTGTTTTTCAAAGTGGTTTTATCAGTTTTACTACCACCAACAATATAAAAGAGATCTGGTTGTTTCCTGTCCTACTCAACACTTGGTGTTGTCAGACTTCTTAATTCATTACCAATTGAATGAGTATAAAATAATATTTTATTTTGTTTTTTATGTGCATATCACTGACTAGCCAGTATGTGTCTTCTTTTGTGAACTATCTGTTTATGTCTTTTTTGTTCAATCTTCTATTGGATTTTTTCTTACTGATTTTCAAAAGCTCTTTATATATTCTTAATATTAATCCCTAGTAAGTTAATATATGGCAGATATCTCACTGTGTACTTGTCTTTTCTTTTGATTTTCTTCAAGGTGTCATTTGATGAACAGAAATTAAATTACTTCTTTTTTTTTTGAGACAGAGTTTTGCTTTTGTTGTCCAGGCTGGAGTGCAATGGTGCGATCTCAGCTCATTGGAACCTCTACCTCCTGGGTTCAAGCAATTCTCCTGCCTCAGCCTCCCGAGTAGCTGGGATTATAGGCGCCTGCCACCACACCTGGCTAATCTTTTTATTTTTAGTATAGACGGGGTTTCACCATGTTGGTCAAGCTGGTCCTGAACTCCTGACCTCAGGTGATCCACCCGCCGTGGCCTTCCAAAGTGCTGGGATTACAGGCATGAGCCACCGTGCCTGGCCACCTCTTAATTTTAATTTAGGCGGATTAATCATTTATAGTTATTGGTTTGGTATTTCATTTAAGAAATCTTTCTGTTCCCCCAAAGACAGAAAGATTCCCAATCAAAATCCCAGGAGGGTTTTTCTGTTTTTTTTTTTTTTTTAAGGCAGAAGATCCCAATCAAACTCCCAGGAGGCTTTTTCTGTTATTTTAAGAAATTGACGGCTGGGTGCGGTGGCTCACGCCTGTAATCCCAGCACTTTGAGAGGCCGAGGCGGGCGAATCATGAGGTCAAGAGTTAGAGACCATCCGGGCCAACCTGGTGAAAGCCCTTCCTCTACTAGAAATACAAAAATTAGCTGGGCATGGTGGCGCGTGCCTGTAGTCCCATCTACTCGGGAGGCTGAGGCAGGAGAATTGCTCCAACGTGGGAGGCGGAGGTTGCAGTGAGCCAAGATTGCGCCACTGCTCTCCAGCCTGGCAACAGAGAGACTCCATATCAAGAAGAAAAAAGAAAAAAAAGAAATTGACAAATCAATTCTGAAATTTGTAGGGAAATGCAAAGAACCTAGAAGAGCAAAATCAAGTTTCATAAAGAAGAAGTTGGAGGACTTACACTCCCTGATTTAAGACTTATTTATTGAGCTAAAATATCAAGACAGTATGGTGTTAGTATAATAATTGACAAAATAGTCAATAGAACAAAGTCCAGATTATATGCCTGTTCATATATGTAGCTTTATAGTAACTTTTGAAATGAGGGTAATGTAAGTTACTTTATTCTTTTTCAAGAATATTCTGTATGTTCTTGCTCCTTTGCTTTTTTGTAGTAATTTTACTATGAGCTCCTCAATTTCTACAAATAAGCATTCGTTTAGAAATGTTTCTGATTTTCCTTTGGATTTTCTATTTGCTGAGTTTAAGTGTCTTGTTTACTTTTGAAATATTTTTGTGTATGTGTGTTTCCTGTTTTATTGTTACTGACTTCTAATCTACTTCCATTGTGGTCACAGGTAGTACTCGATAAGATTACTGTATTTATATATATATATATATATATTATATATATATATATATATAATTTATTTATTTATTTTTTTGATACAGAGTCTCACTCTGTCGCCCAGGCTGGAGTGCAGTGGCGCGATCTCGGCTCACTGCAAGCTCCGCCTCCTGGGCTCACGCCATTCTCCTGCCTCAGCCTCCTGAGTAGCTGGGACTACAGGTGCCCGCCACCAAGCCCGGCTAATTTTTTTTTTTTTTTTTTTTTTTGTATTTTTAGTAGAGACAAGGTTTCACCGTGTTAGCCAGGACAATCTCGATCTCCTGGCCTCGTTATCCACCCACCTCCGCCTCCCAAAGTGCTGGGATTACAGGCGTGAGCCACCACGCCAGCCTGTATTTTGATATTTATTGAGACTTGTCATAAAGCCAAGCATATTGTTTTGGTGAAAGTACTATATGTACCTGAGAATAATTTGTATTTTGCAACTACTGGGCAGAGTGCTCCTTAAATATCAATATTAGTTATGTCATTGCACTTGATAGTATTCAGATCTTTTATGTCTTTAATGATTGTGTTTAGTTTTTCTATCAATTGCTTTAGAAAGGAGTGTTAAAATCTCTCACATAATTGTAGATTTTTGTTTCTCCTTTGAGTTTTCTCAATTTTTGCTTCATGGGTTTTAAAGCTGTTTTATTAGTTGTATGCATATTTATGATTGTTATGTCTTTCTGATAAATGGAACCCTTTCTCATTATAAAATGTCATTTTTAACTATAATATTTTGTTGGCTTGAAATGTACCTTTATGATGTCAGTATAGCCAATTCTTCCCTTTAATGGTTATATTTTGCATAGTATAACTTTCTCATTCTTTTAATTTCAGCACATAGGTTACTGTATATTTAAAGCGTATATATTCGGATCCTGTTGTTTATAATCCATTCTGACAATTTCTTCCTTTTCATTGCAGTGTTAATCCATTGAATTGTAACATAATTATAATATGATTGGGTTTAGGTGTACCATATTATCATTTGTTTTCTGTTCATCCTGTTTTTCGTTTCTCTGCCTCTCTTTTTCTTCCTTCCTTTTGGATTAATTAACTGGCTTTTTTTTTAATCTAAAAGTTTTACTCTTCTATCCTCTAGACCCACAGTTTCTGATGGTAATTCAGTGGAACTCATTTCATTATTCACTTAAACGTAATGTGTCAGTTTTGTCCGGCTTTCCTTTTTTCCCCAAGATTTTAACTTTTGACTCTTAGCATTTAAACTATGATGTTCCCAAGCTTGATTTTCATTATAGTAATCCATCTTGTGGTTTGCTGAGCTTCTTGATTTTCATAATTTTTAAACCAAATTGGAAAAAAATTTTGATGTTATTTTCGCAAATATTTTTGTTTCCTGTTCTTTCTTTTCTCCTTTTGAGATTACCATTTCCCTTATGTTAGATTTTTCAGTGTTGGTCCACAGATTAGTAAAGCTCTGTAAATTTTTATTTTTTTTGATACAGAGTCTCTCTGTGTTGCCCAGGCTGGAGTGCAGTGGCATGATCTCTGCTCACTGCAATCTCTGCCTCCTGGGTTCAAGTGATTCACCTGCCTCAGCCTTCCAAGTGGCATTCAGCACATGCCCGGCTGGTCTCAAACTCCTGACCTTAGGTGATCTGCCTGCCTTGGCCTCCTGAAGTGCTAGGATTACAGGCGTGAGCCACTGTGCCCGGCCAGCTCTGTTAATTATTTAAAAATTGTTTTATATCTATATTATTCAGATTAGATAGTTTCTATTACTTTATATTCAGTTTAACTGAAATTTCTGTTATGCCCAACTTGCTCTTAAGTCTTTTATGTGAATTATTCTGCAAATATAAGTCCTTGTTATAGTAGTTAAAATAGCTCCTTTAAAATCCGTATTTTCCTTCTCTATTGGGTCTTCTTTGGTTTGATCACTATTGTTTTCCCTTTTCTTTTGAATATGGGTCATACATTGTTTCTTCTAACTTGGAATTATATGGTGTATATTGTAAAATATATGTTATAGAGACTCTGGTTTCTGTTGTATTACTCATGGAAGTGTTGAAATAAATATATGAATCAGAATTTTAATTAGGTCAGATTTAAATTCCAAGCCCTGCGTCCCAACAGGTGGGTGGCAGTGAATTGCTTTTCGGTTATCTTAACCTTATTCAGATTGCTTAGAGGTCTGCTTAGTGCATGAACAGTTCATTTATGAGTTCATAGTTTTGACTCTCTCTTTTCTGGAACTTTTCCCCTCAATTTGTAGCTGCAGAGGTATGACTGAACTTCCAAAGTTTCTGTTGGAATTTTAGTCTCCTAACGTTATTTCTGTTGTGGGCCTTGCTAAGGTAAAAATTCATCAGAATGGGTAACTTAGCCAATGCTGTTCCATTTTCCAACTATCAGTTCTTATCTAGATTCTGCCTACATTTGATCATTCTCTGTTACCTTCAGGTAGTTGTTTATAATTTGCTTGGAGTTTAAATGGTCGTGTGTGGTAGATTTATTCTGATAGGATCTACTCTGTCATTATTGTAAATGGAACTTCCCAATCTTTGACTTTTTAAAGACTATTTTAACTGATTTTTTAAATCATTTTCTATACAATGCAGTGAACTTAATAGACTATAACTTGTTGATCTTATCACCAATTATTGTTATTGTCTTGCATTTTAATTATACATCTATTTTACCCCATAAAATATTATTGTTGTAAAAAATCAATTTCATTTAGAATTTTTACACTTTTTAATCCCTTTATTCTTTTGTGCAATTCTGTATTTCCCACTAGGATCTTTTGCCTTTTGCCTTAAGCACTCCTTTTAGTATTTATTTTATTGGGCATCATCTCACAGTGAATTCTCTCATTTTGTATTTTTTGGATAATGTCTTTCTTTTGCCTTTATTTCTGAACAGTATTTTTTAGATGGATAGAACTGTTGATTTGCACCATCTTTTCTGTCTTTATTTTAAAGATGATATATGTTGTTTTTTGTATTTTGTATTGAGAAGGCATGTCTCTTATTGTTGCAACTTTAACAGTAGTGTGTCCTTTTTGTGTTTACTTTTTATAGCTTCTCTTTATTTTTGGTTTCTAGCAGTTTTTATATGATTTCAATGTGGTAGTGTTTCTCCTTTTCCTGGTTTTTCAGTTTTTAAAGCTTTTGTCAGCCATGGCCTGTGGCTTTGGTTTTCTTCATTCTTAGAAAATTTGTGGTAAAAATGTCTTCAAATATGACTTCTGCACATTCTTTCTCTCCTGTCCTTGTGAGATTCCAATTACACACATATTAGACCTTTTCACTGTATTCCATATATATTTTGAGCTCTTTTTTGTATCTTCAAAGATTTTTTTCTGTTTGCTTGAACCTTGATGTTTCCTTGAGTTCACACATTCTCTTTTCTGTTGTGGTTACTCTGATGTTTTACCCATCTATATTGAATTCTTGAATAGAATATGTATCCTACTTTTGTGGGTAGAATATTCTATAAATGTCATTTAGGTCAAGTTTCTTGATATTGTTGTTTAGGTCTTTATCTGTATAGATTTTCTCTACCTATTCTATCAATTACTAAGAGAGATGTTGAATTTTTCCAACCATACTTGTAGGTTTGTCTATTTCTCCTTTCTGTTCTATTCTGTTTTTTCAGGTCTGATTGGCTTGTAATGTTCTTCCAGTCTTCTGTTTCCATGCTGATCTTCTGTCTAGTTTTTTTCCCCATCATTATTGTTTAATTGTCTTTTTTTCTCTTTAATTCTATCAGGTTTTGCTTCATGTATTTTGGGGTTCTTTTGTTAAGTGCATGTATTTTTATAATTGTTATCTCTTTTTGATGAATCGATTCTTTTATCATTATAAAATGTCCTTTACCTTTAGTGGCAATTTTTGTCTTAAAGTCTATTTTGTCTGATATTAATATAGCCACCACAGCTTCCTTTTGGTAACTGTTTGCATGTTGTATCGTTTTCCATACTTTTACATTCAATATATGTGCCTTTTAATCTAAAACGTTTCTCTTGTAGACACCATATAGTTGAATTATGATTTTAAAATTTATTCTGTCTTAAATTCCACCTATAATTTGAGGGCTTAATGTATGCTCTTTAACTTAGGATGGGGCTATGTCCTGATAAACCTATTGTAAGTTGAAAATATTGCAAGTTGAAAGTGCATTTTTGACATAATATTTTCAGCTTATAATTGGTTTATCTGGTTTTAGCCATATCATAAGTCAAGGAGTGTACTGAATGCATATTGCTTTCACACCATTGTAAAGTTGAAAAATCATAAGGTAAACCATTTTAAGTCAAGGGCTGTCTGTATTGGTAAGGTAAGATATAAATCTGCAATTTTGCTATTTTTAATATGTGTTATGTCTGTTTTGTTCCTCTTTTCCTCTATTACTGCCTTTTTTTGTAATATTTTCTAGTGTGATATTTTAATCCCTTTGTTTTTCTTTTACTATATATTTTTCAGTTATTTCCTTAGTGCTTACCCTGGGGGGGATTATAACTAACAATTTACAGCAATCTCATAGAAATTCATGTGAACTTAATGTCAATACATAACATTGTTCCTGTGTACGTTTGTTTCTCCCCCTGCCCTTTATGCTTTTATTGTCACAAATTACATCTTTATATATTGTATGCCCATCAGTACAGATTTATAATTTTTTAAATGCAATTGTCTTAAACCAGACAGAAGAAAAAAGTGTTTTTTTTTTTTCTTAATGTTGAGAAGATATCATGTCGTTATCATTGGGTTTGCATAATTTTTGGTGAGAAATCTGATGTAATTTTATTATTGTTCCTTTGTATATGTCATACATATGTGGAGTTTGAAAATCGTGTGAATGAATAATAGATGGATACTGTTTAGCATGTTTCTCTGAATAAGAATCTTTGTGTAGCTAGTGAGGTGACCTCAAAATACGTACATTTTATGGACAGTTTAAATAATGGCTCTCATGTTATATGGAAGATACAGACAGGTAAATAGATAAATAGAAAATTTGAAAGTATATTTTTCTGTAAAATTTATAGTAAAATGCAGGAATCATACTGTTAACTACAACTCTCCATCAATTAATATATCTAAATATATATTCCACAAATATTTATTGATATTCTACTATGTGTTAGGTGCTATTCTTGGTGATGAAGAGCTGTTAGGGAACAAAACAAGGCCTTTGTGCTCATGGAGCATACATTCAGGTCAGAGGGTTACCATCTGATAAGCACATGACACACGGTAATAAGTGCTATGGAGAAAAATAATACAGCATGAGATGGAGCATGATGGAGAGTGATAGGGCTTTTTTGTGTATGGTGGCAGAAGAAATCATTCTGATTAGGTGACATTAGAAAAGAAATATAGAAGAAGTGAATCATTTAGATATCTGATGAAGAGCATTCTAAACAGAGAGAACAAATGCAAAGCTCATGAAGCAGGAGCTTGCCTAGTAAGGAGGCGAGTGTGGCTAGATTGAGAGCTATGGGGAGAGGAGTGAAACATGATCTCAGAGAGGTAAATGTGGGACAGGTCTCCTTGGGCCTTGTTAAGTTACTATAAGGATATAGATTTTACTCTGAGTGAAATGGAAAGCCGTTGGTGTGTTTTTTGTAGAAGAGCAACATGGAACCTATTGGGGTGACTTATTCAGAAGAGTGGTGAGATCTAACTGAATTTTTTTTTTCTTTTCTTTTTTTTTTTTTTTTTGAGAAGGAGTCTCACTCTGTCGCCCAGGCTGGAGTCCAGTGGCATAATCTCAGCTCACTGCAAGCTCCGCCTCCCAGGTTCACGCTATTCTCCTGCCTCAGCCTGCTGAGTAGCTGGGACTACAGGCGCCCACCACCACGCCCGGCTAATTTTTTTTGTATTTTTAGTAGAGATGGGGTTTCACCGTGTTAGCCAAGATGGTCTCGGTTTCCTGACCTCGTGATCCGCCTGCCTCGGCCTCCCAAAGTGCTGGGATTACAGGCGTGAGCCACCGCGCCGGGCCCTAACTGAATATTTTTAAAAGATCACTCTGGATGCATTGCAGAAAACAGAATATAGGAAGGCAAGGAAGAGAGGAGGGAGACAAATTTAACAGGCAATTGTAATAGTGCAGGCAGAACTCAGTGGGTACTTAGACTATGTTATAAAAAGGAGTTAGAGCCTGTAAATAATTCAAAGTTAGAATGCATAAACTTTGATATTGACTTATATGTGAAATATGAGAAGAAAGGAGGAATTAAAAATGAATTCATGCTTTTCAGATCTAACCACCTGGACAAATGAATTTGCTATTTTTTGAGGCAAGAAAGATTATTCTCACAGCTCTCCTAGCAGTAGGAGGACTCTGAAGTTAGATAGAGGAGAGATGTGGAAGCCCAGAATTAGGGAAGTAGTAATGAAGAGAAATGTGTGACTTAACATTTCTGCCCATTAGTAACATATACTTTATCATGTCAATACTCTCTTTTTAGTATTCAGTCCAACTAGACTCACCTCTTCATCCATCCTTTATTCCATCCATCCATCCATCCATCCATCCATCCATCCATCCATTAAACCTTCATTTATTCAGTTATGTAGGCAATATTTATTAAAATCCCATTGTATTTTTACAGGGGATACGAAACTGAACAACACCATTTATGTTTCTATGAATCTTATAGATAGGAATGCAGATAGAAAATAGTTACAAAATGTGTTGTAATTGAAGTATGAAACAAATAGGAACCTGTGGAAAGAAGCTTTTCAAGGAGCATGTTTATGGAGAGGAAGGGATTACCAAAGCTTTCACAGAGAAAACAACGTATGTCATTTTGTTAAGGGCTTTCTGGTTTCTTGTCAGAAGCGCACTGGCATAGGCCCAGAGGTGAGAAAGTTTGTGGTGTATCCTAGAGAGTGAGGATAGTCTGGCTAAGTACTTCTTGTAATCTACATCCAAGCATCCTAGGGTGGGAGTAGTTATTATCCTAATTCAGTACGTCTGGGCTGGGGCCTGAGATTCTGCATTTCTGTCATGTTCCAGGTCAGGCTGATGGAGCTGGTCTAGCGATCATACTTTAATGATTAATAGGAGACTAAGTGGAAAGTGAAATATACAGTCGAGGGGAAATGGTAGAAAGGTTTTATTTCATTTTTTTCTATCTGTAAATTTGTAAATACTTCTAGTGGGACTTTTTTGTGCAGGATTTTGGGGGTGTTATTTACAGAGTAATGGATAAAAACATAGATTCTAGAGTCTGAATGCATGGATTTGGAACATAGACTTGATCACTTAATTGTGTGACCTTGGGCAAGTTACTTCTCTGTCAACTCAGTTTCAACATTTATAAAATGGGTATTATAATAGTACTTACCTCATTAGAGTTTCATTAAGATTACACAAGACAATGAATGGTGGGCATTTAGAGTAATAAATGTTAGCTCTTAATTTATTATACAGGGAAGAGACTTGTTAGTAAATTGAGATTTTTTTTTTCTTATATTGGTGGGGATTTATCTTTCCTTTCTCCTATCTCAACTTGTAATCCAAATTATTGGTGAGCTGACAGTCTTTGCCATAGAAAAGGGCAAAGCTAATTGGTTCATAGGGGATTGAAACCTGTGACCCTTGATTTCTAAGCACCCTGCTCTTCACTAGCTGAATTCTGAATGACTGCCTATTCTTATCTCAAAGCGATTGTTTATCTTTTTCATGCAGAAATAATGTTTTTTGCCTTGGAGGAATATCTTGCAGTAGAGGACAAGAGAGAAAGCCAGGGTTTACTATATTTATCTGTGAATGAGATACATGCCATGTGGCTAATGGCAAGACCACAAGATGAGTTGCAAATTTTAACCAGTCTTGTTGATTTTTATTTCTTTTCATAGTTACTCTCTCTTCCTTGCTTTCCTCAATTGAAGAGAATTTTCTTTAGCTGTTTTCCCTTATGTTCTTACTCTCTTTTTATAATTTTTATTACAAAATATTTGCAACCTCTAGAAGAATAAATGTAATGTCTGTATACTCACCAGCAACTGTCACAAATAATCTTGATTATATCTATGTACTCTTTCCTGATTCCATCTTTCTTTTTTTTTCCATGAAGATAACTACCATGTTGGATTTTTTGTTTATGAATTCCTGCCTCTTAAAACTATGTTTTCTTAAATAATATATTCCAATGCCTTTTGTTTGTTTGTTTGTTTGTTTTTTTGAGATGGAGTTTCACTCTTGTAGCCCAGGCTGCAGTGCAATGACGTGATCTTGGTGCACTGCAACCTCCGCCTCCTGGGTTCAAGTGATTCTCCTGCCTCAGCCTCCCAGGTAGCTGGGATTACAGGCACGAGCCTCCACACCTGGCTAGTTTTTGTATTTTTAGTAGACACGGGGTTTCACAACGTTGGCCAGGCTGGTCTCGAACTCCTGATCTCAGGTGATCCACCCACCTCAGCCTCCCAAAGCGCTGGGATTACAGGCACAAGCCACCGTGTCTGGCCTCATTTATATATATTTATTCTGATCCCTGATTGTTTCCTCAGGATGAATTATTAACACTAGAATTACTTTGTCAAAGATTATGAACCTAAGGCTTTTGAATATATATTCCCTGCCAAACTGCATTCCAGCAGGATTATACCAAGTTATCTTCTCACAGTATGTGAGATTGCCCACATTTTGTATTCTTGCAATTATTTATTATAATTTAAAAACAGCCTTTTGTTTTTCAAAACAAATTTATTCCTTTATTATCTCTTTGGAAACTAGTGAGGTTTTTCACTTTCACTTTTATGTAGTTTTCTTTTGTAAATATTCTGTCAGCTTGTATTTTTATCTTGTTTGCTTACAGATACATATGACCCTTTAAATATATGTTAGGGAATGAGTGCTATACAATATTCGTCACAGTATATTATTTGCCCACTTTGTTAATACTTTCTAGACCTTGTAGATTCAGTTCCAAGATAATTGAGACCTTTTTTTGAAGACTTTTTCTTAAGATTGAGCTCCACGTACCTCTTTCTGCATTAGCAGATGTTAAACTTAATTGTTTTCCTTGTGTATCTCCATCTCTGGACTCTGAGCTCCTTGAGGGCAAGGAGAGTTGATGCCTTATCCTTTTCTCCCCACTGCCTTCTCCAGTGATTGACAGTCTTAAGTTCAATAAATGCTTTTTGAATGAACACATGAAAATCCTTGACATAACAATTGTAGGAAGTAGGAAGTAAGAGCAGTAAAGAATTAACATTTGGAAGGGTATATCTAATTGTGACGTGGAGAAAAAATGTCAGTAGTAGTTAGCTTTATTTTCTTGCCAGAGGGTCTGATATTGATAGTGACTATTTGGCATTAACTAAAGTACAGTATTCTGGTTTTTCAGGTGGTAGGGAGAAGATCTGATTGTAGTACCTTTACTTGGGCTCAGAATGCTGGTAACTTTTGTCATACTTTAGTTGCAAAATATTATGCCAGAGTTAATAATTGGTTTGCTTTTGTTTGGTTTTTATGATTTTTACTTTATTATTGTTTCTATTCCATTTTTTTCTCATTTTCAGCATGGAAGAATATCAATCTTATACTTTCTCTAGGTATCTTACTGTACAGGATCAAAATAACTTTCAATATATTAGGTCAAGGTGCCACAAAGATAGTACTTTTATATTATGCTTATCATCGTATTTTTATACTTAATTAGTTTCGAGTTTATATGTGTAAACTTAATTTGAAAAGTTGACTTGATTTATTCTTCAGCATTATTGTAAATGAAAACTGCCTTGTAATTTGTTGCTTGATTTAATTATATTCAGTAATTTATATTTTTAATTCAGTTGTATATGTAGATATGACCACACAAATATATGGGAAATGATTTTTGGATAGTTTGATATTTAATCAATTTTCAGGAGAGAACAACTTAGCAGTAAAATATAATGTTATGATATGATTTTTAGCCTTAATAAATGAAAGACATTTTTATTTAAAAGAAAAATTTGAAGTCTTTATCTTTTGTAAGTCTTAACTATAAACTTTTTTTCTAAAGGCCATTGTGTATTATATTCACAAAATTTGAACTTGTTATCATTCAACTCCACTATCCTGCATGAAAAATAAACCATTTCTGCTATAAAAAGAAGGCTGCCAATAGATATTCTGATATTTCAAGCTTACTTTAAGTTCCAAGCAGAATGAAACAGCCCAAGATATTAAAATCTAGAAATTTAGCATATCTAATGGAAACTGCAACTCAACTTTAACTACTCTATAGTGGCACTTCTCTTGCCGCTGTAATAAAACTTAAGAATGTTTAGTGATTTTTTTTTTCCTACTATTATTCAAAATTACATTACCCTTACTGAAATCTGAATGGCTTTTAGTGGATTAATTAAACTGTAGCTGGTTTGCCATCTGGGTGCAGCTTGTTTAGCTGCCTTTCCACAGAAAAATTTCTCATGGAGTAAAGAGTATTTTTTGTTAGAATACAGCTGCTAGGCTTTACTTTCTAAAAAAACAAATAGTTTATGCTTTCATACATGAAATTTGTGATGAAAATTAATTTGTAAAATATAAAACCTATGATTGCCTTTTAAAATAATACAACACAAGCTTTTTTATATTCTTTATGAATTTGTAAAAAATGTATGCCTTGATAACTTGTAATATTAAATAGAATCCTAGGTTTAGGCTAAATATGAAAAAATGGGTAAGAGGGAATTAACTAAATCTGATTTTTATGGCTCAAGTGGTTTCATTAAATTAGAGTGCTCTGTGTTGTTCATTAATGAACTTATGCCATATGCTTTAACTGTTCTGGTCAATAGCTGATAAAGGCTTGTGGATTTGCTTTTTTTTCATATAAAGCTGGATAAAAATATCCATGTGATGGGCTTTTATCAAAGGAGTTACTCTGAATTCAGTAACTACTACTGAGGCAATATGGCTCGCAATTTGCAACCCAAAGGTAGTCATACATTATTGGAATACAGCCTACTGCGCTTCACATTACACAGATGTGAAGGCCTGATTATAGCTGCTTCATAATTAACAGTGATCCGATTTGTTTTGTGGCATAAATGGTGCATGTGTAGAACATTAGCCATGGCACTCTCATTCAAATTCAACTCAAGGGCTCAGCGGCAGGCGGGTCACGAGCTTCAGGGAGTAGAAGCACAAGCTCCTCCATATGTTCTTGCTGCATCTTACTATGGCTATGTGTGCAAGATAAGTTCCCCAAAGAACCTAATCGTGTTCTGTAATTACAGCGCGGCTTTCTGCTGGCTAGAAATGAGGGAGAAGCTAAAACACTCCCTCATCAGATAATTTGTAAATTACTTTACATGGCGGATGCCTAACTCAGTTGGTTTTCAACTGCTGAAATTATAAATAATTGTAACAGATGTGGCAATATGGCTGGTCTCCAATAAATGAGGCCCTTGATAATTTGGCCAACCCTTTGACAGGCCAATTTAATAAAATGTGAACAAAATCTTCTTGCTAATAATTTATCATCCTTTTTCCCAGTAGAATAAATTTAATTACCCTAGCAGTTAACAAGGTCACACCCAGATGCCAAACTCGGCTACAGTTTTGATAATGCAATCAGGAATTGAGAGGTGATGACAGCGTTGTTGTTTTTTTCATTACCTGGCTTCACATAAACACAGGTGGCGTAGCTTTCTTGTCAGTTTTTAATAATTACAGGCTATTATGGAATGCATAGTTAGCAGATTGAAAACCACACTTTAGTGAATTCGAGTATGATTGAGGTTTTAATGTATAGAGATGATAATGTATAACAAGCATAGTCCCTTGCTTATACCATTAATGCACAAATTTTGGTTGTTTTACTGGTGACATAAGTGTTTATAAAACTTAGAGTATGTATTATAGTAAGTAATGGCTTATACCCCGAAGTCACATATTTAGAGATACACCACAAAAAAGTTTAATTCCATGAATTTTAGAAATTCATTTTAGGATGCCACTAACAGAAACATTTTAAATAACCAGATTTGCAAATTCTGGCAGAATGTGAGGCTTATAACATATTTTGGAAAAATCTGAATGTGTTTTATTTTGCTATTTAAGATAAAAAGAAATTTATAGAAAAATCAGTCTTTTCATTCTAGCTTTTAAGCACTGTCAGGATTAGTTTACTCTTAGGATTGGAATCTATAGGTAATTTGTAAATTGTGGAGTTATTCTAAACCCTCTTGTGTGACATGTAAATATTACTAATTTTTGTCAGTACAGTGTGATATTTACATGTCATAGAATAAATACTTAGCTTGTGGTTGCTCAATTTTGTACCAAAGATGCTACTGTCATTTACTGGATGTATGTATATACCCATAATTGTCATCTACTGGATATAAGTATAATTGGGTTGTAACCCACTCGGTGTTAAGTTTTATTTGGTATATGGAAGAAGTTAAAGTTTTGGAATTAATTTTCTTCCATTTTATTTTGCTGTTAACAACTTGACTGTACCATGTAAGTATTTAGATACTAAAGGAAAGCTAAATTTGACTGACTTGTTTATTACTGAATTTTGCTATAATGTGATAGTGTTATAAGCGGAGATGGTGATAGTTTATTTTTTACTCAAATGTAGTCAATAATTTAATTTTATTTTGTGAATTACAAATGCTACCTGAAAATATTTGGTTAAAAGTGAGTAGATGGAAGAAATGCAAATATTTATATTTTTAAAAGGAGTGCTAGATGAATTTGTTGATATTAGACATTTTATTACTCAATATAGTGGTCTTTCTAAAAATGAAGTATAAATTTAAACTAGTACCCTTAGTTTTATTTGTGAATTTTTATTATAACACTATTTTGATTTACAATATTATGTTAAATTGATATTCTTTTTCTTTTTCTTTTTTTTACAAGAATATATGACTATTATTAAAGTCATTTATTTTCAGGATATAGATGATTCAGCTAACAATGTTTACTTTATTAATTGGTAATAGACATATTGCTGCATTTCTGAAATCAATTTTAAATATAAAGTTAATCTCTGAATATGGGCATTTCATGAGAAGAAAAGTGTGTGTGCATGTGTATGTATGTGTGTGTGTGTGTGTGTGTGTGTGTGTGTGTGTATGTATACACAGACAATTATATACTCTGTTGTATTCCCAGAGGGTTTGAATTAGTTTTCAGAGAACCGTCATTCAAGTAGTTAGTTTTTCTGATATATACGTGTATGTTAGATATGTTATATACACATGTAACAGATTTTATTACACACACACACACACACACGCACACACACACTTGACCCGTACTTGATTTTCAGTGATATATTGTTTTAAGAAAAAGTATTTCTTTTGCTGAGGTATCATGTGCTTTTAGAAATGTTTTTGTTTTGCTATAGGCTTTGTTATGTGTTGACAGGTTTGGAATTCGTAAATTTCTTAAAACAAGTGAGATAATGTATGCAAAATGCTTAGCCAGAGGTAGGAACTAAACACTTTTTTGCTAAATGCTAATTATTATCATCATTGCAATGTAGTAGGAAAAAATATTTAATTATAATTTGCTAATAAAACAATTTAAGTTACAATTTTTGTAATTATTATAGCTGTGAAACAATTTTCTATGTATTAGGCAATATTCAGTCGGCCCCCACTGTAATAATGCCCTACAATATTTCTTGGATTTAATGCAACATGACTATATATTTAAGTTGTATAATTTAAAAAATAGTAATTTGTATAACACCTAAAGGCCCTTCCCCCATGCCTTCTATTCTATTTAATATATATCTTCTACAGAACTTTTCAATTAAAATTAGCTCTGTGAGTCAGTGTGAAAAATAAAGTTATGTGTTAACAATGGCAATTTAAAAAGATTATTTCCACCTGGGAGCCTTTAGCCGTGTAGTCAGTCCACGAATCATTTTTCTTCAGATTAATTATAGTATAGCACTATACCATTGTATTTCAAGAATGTAAACTAAAAGGGAGCAAAATATTTTTAATATTAGAGAAAAAAATTTATTTATAAAATGTGAATAATTGTTAGGAAGGAAAGTTAACTTTTCAAAGATTCTAGGATTTTAAGGGTAATAGAATGAACTTCCACAGAGAGGGGATTGGTTAACTTGATTTTGCTATACATGTAAAGCAGCCCTTAAAAAGGTTAAAGATATGTAAGGATATATGGAGATCTATGATGATATACATGTATATCATATATTTTATTACTTATACATATAATAGTTATATGTGTATATGTTTGAGATTATTAAGTTTTTAAAAAGCAAGTAAAAAAGTACAGTATGGCTGGGGAGAAAAGAGTAGCTTTACAAGTGGAGTAATCTGACAAAACTCTACTTCAGCCAGGTGATCAAACTGAATATCAACAGTCATAAATCATGTTGATAGCATATACCCTTGATATGATGTGATGAAAATGGCACTTTACCTCTATGATCTTCCTTCTCAAAACTCATAACCCCAGTCTAATCATGAGAAAAACATCAGACAAATCCCAAAGGAGGGGCATCCTACAGAAAACTGTCAAGGTCATGAAAGACAAGGAAGGTCTGAGAAAACAGCCAAAAGGAGCTCTAGGAGATATAGGAACTAAATGTAATGTATCCTAGATGGGATCCTGAAACAGAAAAAGGACCTTAGGAAAAAACTAAGGAAATATGAATAGACTATGTCCTTCAGTTACTAATAATGTATGAATATTGGTTCAGTAATTGTAACAAATGTACCATACTAATTTAAGATGTTAATAATAGGGGAAACTGAGTGGGTGGGGGTAGGAGGTCAGGGAGAACTCTGCATAGTATCTGCTTAGTTTTTCTTTACATAAAAAAACTGTTGTAAAAAATAAAGTCTATTAATTTTTAAAAAGTATGTTAAATGACAAAAATATAGTAGTTAACCTTTTTTTTTTTTTTTTTTGAGATGGAGTCTCACTCTTGCCCAGGCTGGAGGGCAGTGGCGCAATCTTGGGTCGCTGCAAACTCCGCCTCCCAGGTTCACGGCCATCCTCCTGCCTCAGCCTCCCGAGTAGCTGGGACTACAGGCGTCTGCCACAGTGAGACGGGGTTTCACCGTGTTAGCCAGGATGGTCTCGATCTCCTGACCTCGTGATCCGCTCTTCTCGGCCTCCCGAAGTGCTGGGATTACAGGCATGAGCCACCGCACCCAGCTGTTTCCTTTTTTTTTTTTTTTTCAAAGTCTGAGAGATATATCACAAACTTACTAGTAGGAACTTTGAGGGATGAGATTGTGAAGAGACTTTTATTTATATTTCCCTTACCTATACTGAAATTTTTACATTGAACTCATAGTCATTTTATTTGCAAAAAAATAAATATTTCTATTTTGAAAAGCATTTAGGCCGGGTGCAGTGGCTTATGCCTGTAATCCCAACCCTTTGGGAGGCCGAGGCAGGTGGATCACCTGAGGTCAGGAGTTCGAGACCAGCCTGATCAACATGGTGAAACCCCTTCTCTACTAAAAATACAAAAGTAGCTGGGCATGGTGGCAGATGCCTGTAATCCCAGCTACTCAGGAGGCTGAGGCAGGAGAATTGCTTGAATTCAGGAGGCAGAGGTTGCAGTGAGCCGAGATTGCACCATTGCACTCCAGCCTGGGCAACAAAAGTGAAACTCCGTCTCAAAAAAGAAAAAAAAAAGCATTTAGTGACATGTCCATTGTAAAATCTTTAAGGAAATTCAGGTAAGTACAAAGAAAATAATTCATATTACAGTCCCTCTACTTAGAAATCACACTGTAACATTTCAGGGTTGTTTTTGTACCTTATGCATGTTTGGTGAAATCTATTTCTACATATAATATACCCTTTTGTACCCTACTTTTCTCAGTTTATCATAGATATCTTTCCATTTTAGCCTTCAGCATAATTAGAAGTAAATTAAAGGTTTGGTACATTTTTATGAGCTTTGATGCATCTTTCATAATTTCTCTAGAAAATTGATAGCAGATTATACTTCTACCCACTACCACATTCTCAAAGTAACCCATAAACTGGGTCCAACCAACATTTGAAAATTTGGACACTCTCCTTAGAAATCCTAATTCTTTGCTTTTCGTGAAAAATCAGTAAATCTAGCAACAGTGGGGCACATTCTTCCCTGAAAACAATTGGCTGGAGTTGAGCGGCAACTGCCCTGAATTCCCTCCTTACCACTCAGCAGTGGGGCTGAGTGTTGACACTTCATTTTGCTCATATTTAATACTTAAAAAAATGGTTTTATTAGGAGAAATGTAAAACACTTCTTGTAAACATGTCTGTAACAAAAGTGATAAAAGGCAAGAGAGAGACAAACCAGACTTAAAGAAAATGGGAACATGAATAAGTTACTTTGTGAAGGGGAGGAACATATCTACTTGGTTAATATGTATGCAAAATGCCTCTGTTGGATGAATTTTAAAGCTATTACTTTAAAACACATATTTATTTATCTGCATTATCTTCCTGGCTTCTATTCACTCTTTGATAGTATTTTAATTGTGAAGTTCTCTGATTTTTTATTGAGGAATTTTGAAGGAATGCTGCCTAAATATCCTTTATTGTTATCAAAAATATTAATATCATTAATATAATATCAGTAGAAATATTAAAAATGAATCCATTATTATAGTGACAGTATCCACTGTTGGAGCATTGTTAATGTCTTATATTTGAGTTATTTATCATAGCTTCTTGACTGAATATTAATTTTATAATATTCCTAGCTATAGCATTATAATCCATTGATGACTTAGGAAGTTCATTTATTGACGAACACAAGTTTGCTTGTTGGATATACCAATAAACTAAAATTATGTTTTTCTGATTTTATTCTAAGTTTTTGTTTGACCTTAAACAAATTATTTAAAATTTATTTTGTATATGATAGGATGTTAATATAACATTTATAATTTTATTAAAGGAAACCTAGACAAGAGCAGGTAGCCTTTGAAATAGTTTAGCTTGGCAGCCCAACCAAAGGAAATATTTCTAAACCTCAGAAGTTTGACTATAAAACAGGAGAAAAGATAAAAAATAAAAGTTGTACAACGATTAAAATGGGGATAAAAGAATAGGGCAAAATCATTTAGACTTCCTGGAAGAGAAATGCTTAAAATATTTTAATTTGATGTTCAAAGCAAGATAATGAAATAAGTAATATATTGTAAGTATGGTAACAGTACAATGTAAACAATACTTTGAGGAAGATAATCATATGGTAGAATAAAGGTTGGAAACAAATGAGGTGATTTAAATATGAGAAAAGTGTAATAGTATAAATCAAATATGGTCCCTCTCATTATACAAATTGCAGGTTAGAATTAGGAAAATTTTGCGTATCCTCTCAAAAAAGAAAAAAGCAGGCACAATTGGAAAAGGATGATGTTTCCCATTGTTGGTTCAAAAAAGTTAACCGTATATATTTTTCTCATAGTACTTAGGAATATCATTTAGGAAGGATGGGGCCCTTCATCAGTTTAAGTGCAAATATTTTCAGGGCTACTAGATCCTTATTGATAATGTTAGAATCATAAGATTTGACATTTGTTTGCCTGTAAGTCAACAAAAACTGTTTTCATGTGATTCTGTGTTTTTGTTTTTGTAAATGTAGTTGTTAATTTGAAACAGCGAATTTGCATGGGTTTTAATGGCCTCAAATACATTCAGTGGAGATGGTAGTCAAATTTTGCAGAATTCCAGTTTTCATGAACAGGTTTCCTACAAGATTAGTTTTCCTGTGACTTCTGTTGTTAAAATGTGGAGCTTACCATTAGCAGTTTATCTGAAACATGAATAAATTTCAAAGGAGAATGCTGTAAACTATATTGACTTAAAATTGTCAGGGTTCTTTGAGGAGTTGTTATTAAATTAGTTTACAGTAAAAGCTGATTGTACTTATAATGCTGTTGTTTTCCTTTTCCCAGGTTTATATTCTATGGTATTGTATGACTCTTGATGACCAGATGGTGGATTGACTGTTTTGTGAGGCAATACATATGTGTATAATCAGAAATTTGAAATGACTCATTTATAGATGAGTGGTGTGTATCATGCAGCCATGCTTTAAATTTTTTTCCTTGAAATCTATATGACAGCATTATTTATGAAAATACTTGCATATAGACTCTTGGTTATTTTATTGGAAAATACTATTCTATGGAATGAAAAGGTTCAGCTCCTGCTAGTTTATTATTAAAAGGAAAATTTCCTTCTCTGAATATTTACAATTTCTATAATATAGTGTTACATTTAACTATTTATTTATAAATAATGTAAGATACAAACATAGATATCTATTTACAATTATACTTTTTAAAATAGGTACCTCATCGCCCATCCTTATCAAGCTTAGAAACGTTAATGGTTTCACAGAAGTCTGAAATTGAGTATTTACAGGAGAAACTAAAGATAGCAAATGAAAAACTGTCAGAAAACATATCTGCCAACAAGGGTTTCTCCCGAAAGAGCATCATGACAAGTGCTGAAGGAAAACATAAGGTAGGGACATTTTGTCATTTTGTGAATTTGCCAGGATGAGGCTGGAAAGACAAGAGATGAAGTTAAAAAACAAATGGCAGCATTTACTTCTCTGCTTGTATTTCGGGAAACTTTTGAAAAATATTATGTACCGAACTCTTGTTAAATAAGTTTTAGGAGTAAGGAGTTTTCCCTTTTTAAAGACTGAGTTATATTCCCAAATTAGTTAATTAAATATATTATTAGTGCTATACCCATTTTGTCAGTAAATTAACATTCTTATATTAAAACTTTGGTAAGTATTCCTCATCTCTCTCATATATTAATCTATCTGATTAAAAATTTATTTTTAAATGGTATTTACTCACTTTTCTAATTTGAATTAAAAGAAAAATATATCTAATATGTCTTTCAATCAGATATGATGTTTAAAATACTGTCTGTGTGGAAAATAAAATAGTAAATGAATTTTAACACTAACTTCTGCACTTGTTATATATTTTTATAGATTTAAAGG
Organism: Homo sapiens; assembly: GCF_000001405.40. NCBI lineage: Eukaryota > Metazoa > Chordata > Mammalia > Primates > Hominidae > Homo > Homo sapiens. The sequence continues at coordinate 17,331,305 of NC_000009.12, forward strand.
GATAGCATTAAGAGAAAAATAAGCAAATTTTACATGTTTCTCGTTTATTAATGTCTCAATTTTTTTTAGTATTCATTACATAGTTGTGTTACGCTGTAAAAGATTCTACAGAATGTTGACTAATATAAAAATTCTAAAATATCATGTAGTACATACATTATTTCTAGATAAATTGAAATAACATTTTCCTCAGAGTAAGAGTTTTAGCATATTTTTCACACGCTTGTTACTTCAGCAATAAAGGAATAATAGTTTTTATAATAGGAAGCCATGTTGTTAAGATAATTGTTTTTGTTTCTTTCCATTTTTTCTTATGGGTAGGACAAACTATCTTAATAAAGGAAGTATTTAAAATTTGAACCATGTTTCTGTGGTACTGTTATTCATGCTCTCTGAAATTATTAGTAATTTTCAGAAAATGAGATTTATTTATTAAAACATAACTGCATTATACATTTCTTGCCATTTTGAAGTAGTTTCACAAGCACTGAACTTTATTTAAATGAAAGAAAACATTCATAAAATTGAAATACAGCATTACCGGGCCTAATTTGGTTGCTTGCTCGATTGCTGAAATTTAAAAATGTATGACTTTGACTTTTTTCTGCCTTTAATAAAAGTCAAGAAAAAGAGAGGGGTATTATGGCCAAAATTTTCTTTCTTTTTGTAAGGCCATGCAGTAAGGATGAGCACTGTGTTGCCCAGCTTAATAGTTGCTTTCACATATTCTTTCTCCAGATTGGTATATGAAGCTGTACATAATATAAACGTATTCTTGTCTCTAGTTAGCCACATTATAGTTAATGACCATATGGTCATTATGGTATAAGATCTACTGTCTGTTGTATTTATATTCCTCAAGCATATTGTTCCTTCAACTTCACAGTGTGTTAAACTATTTCAAAGGGAAAAAAATCCTTTCCCTCTTGTTTCTGGTTGTCCTATCAAGTGTAACCTTGGACCCTTATAGAGCAATTAGACCAGCCTCTATCCCCTCCTTTGTAATGAGGTTTCTTGCATTTCTGAGTCTATAACCCTTTAGTCTTCCCTAATGGGACATCATTATTCTGAAAGAAACAATGTAAATGTAAATGAATATTCTCATTAACGAGTCACAGAGAAACCTTTAGCGGTAGCACTGTGGTAATTCCGCTTGTTATTTCTCTGGTATTCCATGCAGGATTTTTTTTTTTTTTATAATTCATTATTAGTATTCAAAATTACTTGTTCTTTAATTTTGCATGTCTTTCATAATCCAGTGTTCCAACTAGTTCAACCATGTCCTTGTTTTATTCTCGAGGAACCACCTGTGAAACGTTCAAGGTCTTTGTCCCCAAAGAGCTCTTTCACAGACTCAGAAGAGCTACAGAAGCTGAGAAAAGCTGAAAGAAAGATTGAAAACTTAGAGAAGGCACTACAACTAAAGGTGAACATTAAATCATTTCTTTAGTAGTAACCTTGCAAAGATAAAAATATACCAAAGTAAACATACAGTTCATAGATTACTAGTTGTCCTTTTTCTTTCCTGAATTTAATTGCCTGTATAAAAGTGTATAATCAGTTCATCTTGTTATTAAGATTTCTGAGGATGATAAAATAATATAAAATATTTGCTACTTGAAAAGTAAATGTTTATTTACTACTTTCAAGTTATTTGGTAATATTTTGTCTTAAAATTGGGAATAAATTTCTTAACCCTTTCCCAAAGGCAAAAAATAGAATTGTAGCAAGTGAAAAGAGAATTTCTTCTTCTTTATATATGATAAACATATGTAAATGAAAGTGAGTTTAAAAGCATATTAACCTAGCTCAGATCACTTACAATTATCCTTTATAGAAAAATTACATTTAGTCAAAATGAAATATATATATATTTTTTCATTTCAGCTGAATTTGTCTCAGAACATGTGACATTTGAATGAGCACTCTACCATGTTTAAGAAACATGTATGTTATCGACCAGTCTTTGAGAGCTTATATTAATACTTCCTAATTCATACTTTGTGAAATCTCTTTTTCAATATGCAAGTTGTTCATACATATTGAACCCATTTTGTGTGACTACATTGAGGGTTTTTTTTCTCTTTCATTCTTCATTCACAATTACCTGAAGCTGTGCCCTATTTGAAGTTTAATCATATAATTCTCAAGTAGTTTTATGATATTCTGTAAATCTAGTGCTTTACACATGATTAGAATGCAGTACACATGAAGCTCAGATTCTTTGTCATATAATATAGATTACTCTTAAGGAGATAAATGTTCAGTTTAGATTATGTGTGTTCTAAAACAAAATAGGGTTTATGGGTATAGTTAACAATAAGCTATAATTAATAATTTTAGTTTGCCTTAAGTTTAAACATTAAGTTTTAGTTTATGTTTATTCATTCAGAGTTAAACTGCTCTAAAACATGAAAATTATAATGTGTTTCTACCAAAAATAACATGTCCAAATGACCTCAGCTAGCATTTAGCCTACTTGAAATTTATAAAGAACTTAGATAAACACCTAAGTTATTCTCTTATTCATTTGTTTCCTCAATAGCAATTACTGAGCATTGCAATTAGCTAAGCATCATACTAGTACTTGTCTAACAGGAGACTGTTAAATGAGTTGCTATCCTTCAAGACCCTTTCTCTAGTTAAGAAGGTAAGTAAGTAGTTAACTCTTGTGTTAATTGTAAATGTGTGGTTAGGCACAGGATATTATGGGCATTTTTGAGGAGCAAGTCTATCATCTTCCTCCTTTTGCATAATTTTTTTTCTTTCCCTTGAGACAGAGTCTTACTCTGTTGCCTAGGCTAGAGTGCAGTGGCATGATCTCGGCTCACTGCACCCTCTGCCTCCCAGGTTCGAGCTATTCTTCTGTCTCAGCCCCCCGAGTAGCTGGGATTACAGGCGTGTGCCACCACTCCTGGCTAATTTTTGTGTTTTTAGCAGAGATGGAGTTTTACCATGTTGGCCAGGCTGATCTCAAACTCCTGACCTCAAATGATCCTCCTGCCTCAGCCTCCCAAAGTGCTGGGATTACAGGCGCGAGCCGCTGCTCCTGGCCCTTTTGCATAATTCTTGAAATTTGTTACCTGGGTTCTCCAGAGAAACAGAGCCAATAGAATACACACACACACACACACACACACACAGAACAATTATTTACTATATTTATATAATTCCTTATAGTAAATTAGATTTATATGAGATTTCCTATAAGGAATTGGCTTACGTGATAATGGAGGCTCAGAAGTATAAGATCTGTAGTCGCTCAGGGAATGCTATGCAGCCATAAGAAAGAATGAAATCCTGTCCTTTGCAGCAACATGAGTGCAGCTGGAGGTCATTGTCCTATGTGAACTAATGTAGAAACAGAAAACTAAATATCACATGTTCTCATTTATAAGTGGGGGCTAAACCTGAGTACACATGGACATAAAGATGGGAACAGTAGACACTAAAGAACTGCAAAAGGAAGGGAGCAAGGGCTATAAACCTTCTTATTGGGTACTGTGTTCACTATCTGGGTGATGGGATCAATAGAAGCCCAAACCTCAGCATCCTGCAATATACCCTTGTAACAAACCTGTACATGTGCTCCCTGAATCTAAAATTAAAAAAAAAAAAAAAAAAAAAGATTTTCAATTGGCAAGCTAGAGAGCCAGGAGAGCTGATGGTATAGTTCCAGTTTGAGCCCAAAAACTATAGAACCAGGAAAGCTGATGGTGTAAGTTCAAGTTCAAGTCAGAAGGCAAGAGAAGACTAATGTCCCAGCTTGAAGGCAGGCAGAGAGAAAGGAATCTTTCTTACTCAGCTTTTATTCTATTGAGGTTTTCAACAGATTAAATGACATCCATCCATATTGGGGTTCATGCTTTTAGTTCAGCTTATTCTCATCTAGGAACCTTTGTTCAAACCTGAAGATTAGATAAAAAATTATTGGCTGGGCGCGGTGGCTCACGCCTGTAATCCCAGCACTTTGGGAGGCCAAGCCGGGTGGATCACGAGTTCAAGAGATCGAGACCATCATGGTTAACATGGTGAAACCCTGTCTCTACTAAAAATACAAAAATTAGCTGGGTGTGGTGGTGCATGCCTCTAATCCCAGCTACTCAGGGGGCTGAGGCAGGAGAATTGCTTGAACCTAGAAGGCAGAGGTTGCAGTGAGTCGAGATCGTACCACTGCACTCCAGCCTGGTGACAGAGTGAGACTGTGTTTCAAAAATTATTTATGTTTTTAATCAATTCAGAATTAGAATTGCAAAGATCTTTGAGGAAAAGGTCAGTTGATACATTTTTTCCTGTTTTCTATTTCCTAATGTTTCATTCATTCATACTTGTTCGTACACAGAAAGAGCCTTGCCAGGCACGATGGCTCAGGCCTGTAATTGTAGCACTTTGGGAGGCTGAGGTGGGTGCATAACTTGAGGCCAGGAGTTCAAGACCAGCCTGGACAACATGGCAAAACCCTGTGTCTACTAAAAATAGACAAAAAAATGAGCTGGGTTAGGTGGTGCACACCTGTAATCCCAGCTACTCAGTAGGCTGAGGGATGAGAATCGCTTGAACCCAGGAGGCAGAGGTTGCAGCAAGCTGAGATCCTGCCACTACATTCCAGCGAGTCTGTCTCAAAAACAAAAACAAAAACAAAGTTAGAGCTTCTAGTTTAGCTAGTTTAATTACAAAATCCAAAGGAAGTACTTAGTAAATGTTTTATTGAATGATCTAATGAACTGATCTCATTCAGCACCTGCCTGTGGAATATTTTTGTGTGTATCCTGTAGGAAAATATATTAATTAGTGATATAAAATACATTTTTCAGGTCATACACTTGACTTGTTGTAAGATCTTTGGTGGTAATAGTTCCCAAATAAAGTACTATTATTTTGCCTTTGCTTACTATTTGTCAAAGTTTGGATCATAATCCAAACTACAGTTAACCTGTGTTTGTTAGAAGGTTATAAAGAAAGTATTTGGATATTTTGAAAAATATTTATTTTAAGATATCCAACTTTTGATGGATGACTTCAGCTGGCATGTATTCTGGCGCCATTAAAATGAAGAAGTGTTTTTCTTTGAACTGTATCTATCTTATATTTACATTTTTATAAAACTTTACTCTCTATTGCTGAAGTAAGATAAAGGAACAATAGTCTCTAGGACTAATTTAATGCATGATTTACACTTTGACAGCAGCGTCCCCAAACATGAATCTTTGGATGAAACTGCATTTTAAAAGATTTTTTCTTATGAATTATGTCTATCAAATGATTTGCAAATAATAGCTAGTTGAATTTTATTTTTAATAGTTTAGATTTTGATAATTTTATAAGACTTATGTAAACACTCTGCTGTTAGATATAATAAATTAAGCAAGTAAAATTAAAGCAGAAGGCTCATCTATAAAACCTTTTTTTAAAAAAATTATACTTTAAGTTCTGGGATACATGTGCAGAATGTGCAGGTTTGTTACATAGGTGTACATGTGCCATGGTGGTTTGCTGCACCCATCAACCTGTCACCTACATTAGGTATTTCTCTAAATGCTGGGTCAAATGGTATTTCTGGTTCTAGATCCTTGAGGAATCGCCACACTGTCTTCCACAATGGTTGAACTAATTTACCCTCCCGCCAACAGTGTACAAGTGTTTCTGTTTCTCCACATCCTCTCTAGCATTTGTTGTTTCCTGGCTTTTTAATGATCACCATTCTAACTGGCATGAGATGGTATCTCATTGTGGTTTTGATTTCCATAATGACCAGTGATGATGAGCTTTTTTTCATATGTTTGTTGGCTACATAAACGTGTTCTTTTGAGAAGTGTCTGTTCATATCCTTCGCCCACTTTTTGATGGGGTTGTTTGTTTTTTTCTTGTAAATTTGTTTAAGTTCCTTGTAGATTCTGGATATTAGCCCTTTGTCAGATGGACAGATTGCAAAAAATTTTTTCCATTCTGTAGGTTGCCTGTTCACTCTGATGATAGTTTCTTTTGCTGTGCAAAAGCTCTTTAGTTTTATTAGATCCCATTTGTCAATTTTGGCTTTTGTTGCCATTGCTTTTGGTGTTTTAGTCATAAAGTCTTCGCCCATGCCTGTGTCCTGAATGGTATTGCATAGGATAAAACTATTTTTTCTGTAATTAATACTTAGTGGAAAGAGCCACTTATTGAAATTACTATAGGAAAATCAAAATTATTTGGTAATATTGAACATTTTACACTAAAGCTTTGGGAATCAGAAGGGGCAGCATTCACTGCTTTTATTAATTAAAGTGCCTAGTACAGAGTCTGGCACATCATGAATGACATATGGAGCTCAGGAGATTTTTATTGATTCTTAGTCTTTGGTTTAATGGTGTAATATAGTTAGTTTCTATGGACAATTAGGGAAAACACATGAATTCAATGACTAATGGTAGTTGAGGCAGTACTGAAAAATCCTTAACATAGTGTCAATACATATAAGAATCTCAGTTTGTTCCATGAATTTAACAGAGAATCATTGTGAAAGTAATTGAGAAAATTTGTACATCCTATTCTATTTATTTTCACATCTTGGTCAATCTTTGAGGTTCTATTTACTCAGTTTCTGATGACTCTAACAAAAAACTTTAGTCATTCCCCAAACAGTTTATATATAATAATTTTTAAGAAAGTCATTGTAAAATAAGAGTTTGAGGGAAGAACTTTGATTCAATGAAGAATAATTATAGAAAGCTATCATAGAAGTCTTTAACATAAGATACACATTTTAGTTTAAGTTTCTTTTGAAATTATGTTTTGACATGAATCTCTTCCAATATAGTCTGTTAATTTCCCTCCCTCCTTCTTTCCTTCCTTCCTTCCTTCCTTCTTCTTTCTTTCTTTTTCTTTCTTTTTTTTTTGACAGAGTGTCTCTCTGTCGCCCAAGCTGTAGTACAGTGCAGTGGCGCCATCTTTGCTCACTGCAACCTCTGCCTCCTGGGTTCAAGCGATTCTCCTTCCTCAGCCTCCTGAGTAGCTGAGATTACAGGCACCTGCTATCACTCCTGGCTAATTTTTGTTTTTTTTTTTTTTTTTTAGAGATGGGGTTTCACTATATTGGCCAGTCCGGTCTCAAACTCCTGACCTCAAGTGGTTTGTCTGGCTCGGCCTCCCAAAGTGCTGAGATTAGAGGCATGAACCACTGTGTCCAGCCTATTAATTTCTTATAATTAAATTATTAATAAATTTCTAATATGTCTTGCTGAAATCACTAATATTGTTTTCTAGTTTTTAAGCAATCTCAATAAACATAATTAACTCATGTTCATATATGAGAAGGTACCAACATTATTAATTTTTAATCTCTTGTTTTGCTAACTTAAATTATTTATTTCACATACTTAACAATAGAAAGCTTTTTGTTCAAAGACATTAAGTAGTATTTGGATTGTTAACCAAATTAATATGAAAAACTCAAGTTCAAGACTAAATTATTCTCTATGTCTTAGAAGAAGAGATATAAATAGCTTCTATTTTGAAGATGGATAACCTGAGTTAACTGAATTTAAGTAACTAGATCAAAGTAAAATTTAGTTAACTTTGAGCAGCTAGATTTGAACTCTTATCAACACAGCATCCTACGTGTAATAGACTCTTCATGTATGGTTCTTAAATTGAAATGAACAAAATTGAACTCAGTAACCTGAGGTTTTTACTTTTACTTCATATATTAAACTATCCTACTTTAGCAAATTTGCATTATGTGTGATTTGTATATCTTCTAAAACTACTTAGGAAACATTTATTTTGAATGCCTTTGTCAACTGAATCCATTCTGCTTTTTCATCAAGCACTTTCATTTCTGTACGGCATATAGAACACTTCTTGTTACAAACAAGACTCAAATACTTCTTAATAACTACTTAAGAGAACTATCCTAGTAGAAATATAGTGAAAGTAGAATGACAGACTACCCATACTGCTAAGACAGCTAGAATTGCAGTAAAATAATGCAGACTCTATAAAGTATTATCTCACTGTTTAGATGAGAGGTCAAGAAACAGTTACTTGGTTTCTAAAAGATAAGGGCATCACTGTTAACATGTGGGAAAAGGAGACTGAAAGAAGCTAACTTTTGCTTTGTGTCCTTAAAAGGGCTGGGGCCCCACCACCTAGGTTAACTTATTTCATCAAAATTTAAACCTCTTTTTTCTCTTCCATATTTTGCAGGAAAAAACTTGAATTAATTTCAATGGTGTTCTTAAGATAATGCCACTAACAGGAGCAAGCTCCAAGAATGGAATTCAGATCTTTCTGATTACCATATGCCTACTCATATCACCTCACTATAATATTAGAGAGTATCTGTTGCCTCCACCACATAAGTATACAAGTTCATTCATACAGAAATATGAATAACAGTTATTAAAATATTTGAAATTCTCATGAGGGAAGAAACTGGAGAAGTTACTTATTTTACTTTGAGAAACACAGTTTATAGTCATGTGCATATATCTTCTGAGGACTAAGAATTTCGTCTTTATAAATTCATTTTATATATATCTAAAAATGAAAATTGATCTCATGTGCTATATATTGGAAGTAGTTGACTGTGCCACACACGGTGGCTTATGCCTGTAATTCCAGCATTTTGGGAGGCTGAGGCAGGAGGATCATTTGATACCAGGAGTTCGAGACCAGCCTTGGCAACAGAGTGAGACCCTGTTTCTACAAAAATAAAATAAAAAATTGGCTGGGTGTGATACTGTATGCCTGTAGTCCTAGCTACTTGGGAGGCTGACATGGGAAGATTGCCTGAGCCCAGGAGTTTGAGACTGCAGTGAGCTTTGAACTCCAGCCTGGGCCACAGAGGGAAGCCCTGTTTCCAGAAAAATAAAAATAAATAAAAAAGAAGTAGTTGACTATAATTGTCTAACCTAGGTATTGACACAACAAAGCAATGTTTGGATGGCTTGTTTTATAACCTCTTTAAGAGTTGTAAGCCTAGCTTTCCCATTCCAGTTCTTCATGGTACAACCCCAGAAGGTTAAACTATGCTCCTTCTAACATAGGGTCCAATCTCATTTTCTTCCTTATGTGTAATCCTTGTGCCTTAGTAAATATTAGTTATGAATTCATGTGCTAAATAATTGTTCTTACTCTGATTAATGTTCTTATACTAATTATATTTGCACTTTAATAAAATAATCATGGTTTATGTATAGATAAAACCTTATGCTGAAAAAGAAAATAATTAAAAACATGTAAGATAGGTTTATGAATGTATACTAATTAACAACAGGGAAAGGAGTGAAACTATCTTAATGGTAAAATTTTGAAATTATGTGAGCAGCTTAAAAAATGCATTGACTGAGTTGAATTTATCAAGCAAATGTATTCTGTGACTAGAGAAATTCTTTTTTCTGCTTAAATACATATTACAGATTCATTTATGTTTACACACTATTTTCTTTCAAATTTCATATTTAGATGGGTAACCTTTTATTTGAAACATTATATTAATACTTTCTTCAAACTTATATATACTTGCTTTTTTGTGTTCTACAGAGCCAAGAAAATGATGAGCTAAGAGATGCCCATGAAAAACGCAAGGAACGGCTACAGATGTTACAGACCAACTACAGAGCAGTAAAAGAGCAATTAAAACAGTGGGAAGAAGGCAGTGGCATGTGAGTTACATAGCTCATAAAGGCATTTCCCTAAATATTAAATGGAATGGAGTAGCATTATATAGGTGTCTTAATGGCTTTTGTTTGGTTTTAAAGAAATTATTTGGTAGTCAAATCTTTATTGTGAATTTTTAAATGGAGAATATAACAAATTAAAACAGAGGAATGTGTTGGTAATAACTATAGATTTTCCTCACATTTGCAGATATCATTAGCAGTCAATGATTATGAATTATTGTACACATTTTTAATATCAATGGAATAACTTAATAAAATTATGTAATTTAAAGCAAAAATGGTTAATATCCGTGTGATTGAAAAACTTGCTTTTAAATAAATAAAATACTGGTGTTAAAATGTTTATAACTCCAAAAGTATTTAAATTTTAGTGGAAAGACTAGAGAAATATGAAATTCACATATATAGTTAACTATCTTAAAACTACTTCAACCTAGTATGCAATTTGAAGATCTTTACTATCCATCAGTTTGTTCTCCAGCTTATGTGAATGAATTGGCGGTCTCAGTTCAATTGCTCTGAACAGGTGTTCAGATCTTGGTTAGTCGTAAGTGGCTCCCCTGTTAACTGTATCAACAGAGGGCAAAGGACTGAATGAGTACAGAAAATCTACTACCTTCTCATCTTTTGAGATGGATCCTTTAGGGCAATGTTGATGATACACATTGGTCTGTTCTGTAGAGAAATACTGTTTCTAAATTGGCCAGTACGGCACTTTTACAAAATAAAAATGAAGAATTTGTTTTATGTTCAGAAAATGAAAATGTAAAGGGCATTTGGCATCACTTGTAGATAATTGTCACATCTAATTTTTTTCTTTGATGAGTGGAAGTGTTTTGTATCACTTGTCAGTAAAGCAGTGATAAAGCAGTTTGTCCTAGATTTATCCTCTGTTCACCCAGCTTAACTAATCATTAGAAGAGTGAAATCTACTTTCTGACATATTCACTGGTAATAGTTTTTTTAAAAGATAAAGGCATCTGTACCACATTCATCTTGGTTAGCAGCAAATTCCAGATGAGTTGGTTGCATATAGATTTTTTTGTATGCGGGGGGGACCGTTAAAATTCTACAGTGTCTGTTTTCATTACTACTAGACTGAATGGGAGCAATAGACCTTAGAATATCATGTGTCTGCTTAAAAGTTTGCTTTCCACAGTAGCAGTTTAGCTTCAAAAAATTATGATAGAGGGTTTTGATTTCTACATGCTTAGGTTTTAGGAAATTCATTCAATAAATGGTGAACTCGAGTTAGAAATTTGGTCAATAGATATTTTTAAATTTTAAGGAATGTATAAAATAATTTTTATTGCACTTCAGACATGTTAATTGAAAAAGCAACTTTGTTTTAAAAATAGGACTGAAATCAGGAAAATAAAGAGAGCAGATCCCCAACAACTTCGACAAGAAGATTCTGACGCTGTGTGGAATGAACTGGCATATTTCAAAAGGGAAAACCAGGAGCTAATGATTCAAAAGTGAGTTTCATTTTTAACAATATGGACTTAGATAAAATACTTGGGAGAAATTTTTTCATGGCTTAAAAGCTATTAAAGAAACACTTTATAAAATTTGAAATAATCTGATTTTTGCCAATAAAAGTAAAGAAAAAAAGACTAGCTTTTAAAAATATATATATGTATTATGCAATAACAAGTTGCACAGTTGCTAGCTCTAACAGAAACTGGATAATATGATCTAGGGATTGTGTTAATTAGTGTGGCTCTCATCTGTTGGAGGTGTCGCTCTTCATTAGCCTGTATTTTAGACGCTGCCGTGCTTCATTTTTGGAATGAGGTGGAGAGGGGATAACCTAGCCAGCCATCCTTGTTTGATCTCCTAGATACATACGCAATGCAGAATGCCTGAGCTCTCTTGGTTCCCTGCCCTGTCCTGCTAATCCCAGCTGAGCTCATTATGGTGTAGCCTTGCTGCTACTCTTGGAGCTGGAGCTGTCCAAGCTAATTACTGGTAGCAGCAGAACTGCCTGTTAAGGGTCTGGTGTGGATCTGCTAACATGGTCCTTGGTAGTGACCTGCAGAAGACACAAGGGAATTGCCTTCTTTCTTGCTGTGCCCTGCCTGTCCTTTGGGCTTACTGCTGATTTTTCCACATAGGTGTTTTAGCTGCCCTAAGTATAAAACTTGATGAAGGATACTCATATTTTAGAAAACATACAGTTGGTCGCTTGATCTTATAATTCACAGGCTATTATATTCAGCCTGGCAAAGAAAGAACATTTATTTATTTAATTTTAAGACTAAAAGGAGTTAGACCAATATAATTAACCTCTTCTGCTACTTAACTATTTCTTCATTTAGAGTTAATGCCTGACACTCAAGCATACAGTTTTTTAAAGCCTAGATGTCTTTCAGATTGCTAGAATATAGCCTCATTATGGTGTAATGTAATTAAATGTCACTGAATTTTCTTAGCTGTAAATGAGAAGCTTATTTTATATACTACATGATAACATGTATAACTTTTGTTTACAGCCTTTTCCATGTAATGATAAACTTTTGAGGAAATGACTAGACCATATGAGATTTAAATGTTGTATGCTCCCATTTACCACTTAAAGTGCAGTATACTCTATTAGTTCTAAATATTTGATGCTATAATGAAGGCTCTTATCTTGAAAACTATTTTATAGACTCATAGATTTGTCTCAGAGGCATTTCCTAATAATTTCAGTAGCTTTATTGAAATATAACTCACAAGTCATACAATTCACTTATATAACGTATATAATTCACTGGTATATTCAGAGCTGCACCGTCCATTATCACAATCTATTTTAGATTTACAGTTTTATCACCCCCCGCTACTCTCCCCACCAAAGCCCATATGACTTTGTTGTCACTCCCCAGCCCTCCCATCCATCCTGCCCAGCCCTAGGAAACTACTAATCTTCTTCCTGTGTTTACAGATTTGCCTATTCTAGACATTGCATATAAATGGCATCATTTAGTACGTGGTCCTAGACTATCTTCTTTCACTTAGCATAACGTTTTCAAGGTTCATCCATGTTGTAAATGTATCAATGCTTTTATCTGATGATCTTTAATGACCCTTCTGTCTCTAAAAAAGAAAGTAATTTTGAATAAAGTGAATTAGTTGAGAGACCTAATCTAACTATTCAAGAAAATTTAGGAAGGATTACCTATAAATGATTGATTTGGAGTTTATTTTATTTGTTAATGAAATAGAACTACAGAAAAAGTAATGAGGCCTTTTTAAAATTAGAGAACTCAGAATCCTGATCTGTTCACTTAGCAATATTTGCACTTTACAAATAGCTCCTTGAATTAAATGCCGTGTCATTCTTAAAGTGTGGAATTTTTCCCTGAAATATGTTAATATTCATTAATGTGAGAGCAATTTGTGAAATAGTTATTTTTTAGATCAGTCTTAATTTAGTAACAGGTAAGGAAAAAATTTTTAAAAGAATGCTAAAGAATGGAATAAACTTTAACGTAAGCTTTTTTGGGGGAGGGTTGCATTATTTTGTGAAACATTTATTCAGGTAACAAACCTGTTTGAGCGCTGTGTGATAGTCAGTCTGCTAGGTCAATGAAATGAGAATACCAGACAGACTTTCTACTCTCAGGGAACTTACATGGAAACATGTTTAGTATTAAACATTCTTAATGAAATGTGATGTTAAAAATAAATGTCAAAAATGTTAAAAACTAATGTCCAAAAGTGTCATGATAAAACAATAAGGCATTAAATATCAGTGCTATAGTCATTCAAGTTTGTTTTGAGGACAGAAATTTTTTAACATTGTATGTAGTATGTTGAATGTTTAATGTGCAATTTTATGAGTTATATCATATATATAAATTTGAGTAACTACCACTACAATCGGTATGCAAAATAGTTCTATCATCTCAAAAAATTTCCTCATCCTGCCCCTTTGTAGTCAAATCTTCCTACCGCCACTAATACCTGATTTGTTCTCCTTCCCTATAGCTTTGCCTTTTTCAGACTGTCATATGCACAGAATCATACAGGCTATTTACTTTCTGAGACTGGCTTCTTTCCGCATAATGTCTTTGAGATTCTTTTGGGTTGGTTAATCTAATATGTTCCTTTTTATTGCTAAATGATATTCCATTTTATGGATGGACCACCTTATCCATCTATTGAAGAACATTTGGGTTTTTTCTAGTTTTTTGCAATTATGAATACAGCTGCTATAGACAGGTTTTTGTGTGAACATAACTTTTATTTTTTAAGGGAAATGCCCAGGAGTTGCATTACATTCTGTAGACTGCCCTTTCATTCTCTTACCTGTGTCTTTTGAATGGCAAAAGTTTTTAATTTTTATGAAATCCAGTTTCAAACCATATCATTTTTAAATTTTACATTGCTAGTGTATGGATATTTTGCATGCTGACATTTTAGCTTGCATTATTGATAGAGCTAAGTCTGCCATGTTATTATTTATTTCCTGTTTGTTTCCTCTGTTTCCCATTTAATTCCTTCATATGGGTTACTTAAGCTTTTTTTTAGAATTTCATTTTATTTTTTCTGTAGAGTTTTTGACTATATCTTTTTGAGTAGTTTTTTTTTTTAGTATTTGCTCTTGGTATTATATTATGCATACATACCTTATTACAGTCTACTGGTATCAACATTTTATTACTTTAAGTGGAATCTAGAAACCTTGTTTTCATTTACATACCTTTACCCTTCTCCATTATAATACAGTTATCTCAAATATTTTCTCTAATTACATTGAGAACCTCATCACAAGATGTGATAGGTTTTGCTTCAACTGTCAAACATAATTATAAACCACAAAACATGGGTCGTCTCTTATGTTTACCCATAAGAGATAAATAATTTATGTATGGGTAAATATAATAGAGGTATTGTTTATCCTTTCTACTGTCCTCATTGCTAGTCTTCCAAGTTTCTTCTTTTATAGTTTTCTTTCAGTTTGAAGAACTTCCTTTAGAATTATTAAAATAAGTTGGCTGGTAAGAAATTCTCTGTTTTCTTTTAAAATATCTGGATTTCTTCTTCATTATTTGTATTATTCTGTTTTCACAGTATAAAGAAATACACAAAACTGGATAATTTATAAAGGAAAGAGATTTAATTGACTCACAGTTCCACACGGCTGGGGAGGCCTCAGGAAACTTACAATCATGGTGGAAGGTGAAGGGGAAGCAAGGACCTTTTTCGCATGGTGGCAGAGGAGAGGAGTGAGAAGTGAAGGGGGAAGAGTCCCATATAAAACCATCAGATCTCACTAGCATGAGAACACACCAGCATGAGATCTCACTAGCATGAGAACAGCATGAGAACTGCCCCCATGATCCAATCATGGGGAACACATGAGAACACACTAGCATGAGATCTCACTAGCATGAGAACTGCCCCCGTGATCCAGTCACCTCCCACTAGGTCTCTCCCTGAACACCTAGGAGATTATGGGGATTATGGGAATTACAATTCAAGATGAGATTTGGGTGGGGACACAGCTAGACCATATCACTACTGAATGGTATTTTCACCATATGTAGAATTATAACTTAGCAATTGTTTTTCTTCAGCACTTGAAAAATTTGCTACTTCCTTTTGGCCTCTATTGTTTCTGATGCAACATGCACTGTTGAATCTTTGTTCCACAATAGGTAATGCATCATTCTGTTTACTTGCTTTCAATCATTTTTCCTTTTCTTTACTCTTCAGAAGTTTGGTCATAACATGTCTTGGCATGGATTTGTTTGGGTTTATCCTATTTGGGTTTCTGTTTCTTGAATCCCTAGGTTTGTGACTTTTGTCAAATTTGGGAAATTTTTGTCATTATTTCTTTAAATCCTTTTTAAACCCTACATTTCTTTTCCTTTGACAGTTCTAATCACATGAATGCTAGATCTTTTATGATTGTCCTACAGGTCACTGAGGGTCTCTTCAATTTATTTTTCAGCCTTTCAACCTAATTTTGTCTCTGTTATTCAGATTTGGTAATTTCTATTGTGTCGTGTCTTCAAGTTTACTGATTGTCTCTTCTCTCATGAGCTCATGCAGCAAGTTTTTAATTTTGGCTATTGTAATTTTTAGTTCTAAAATTTCCATTGGGTTCTTCTTTATGTATAATTGTTTATTTGCTTAGAGTTTCTATTTAATTTATTTTAAGAGTGTTCTTTAGTGGTTCACTGGAGCATTTTAATCATGGCTGGTTTAAAGTTCTTGTCAAGTAATTCCGACATGTGTTATATCATGGTGGTGGCATCCTTTGAATATAATTTCATCCTTTGATTATAGATTTTCCTTGTACTTTGTATGATGAATTATTTTTTAATTGTCTCCTGGACATGTGGACTACAGATGTTTCTCAACCTACCTTGGGTTATGTCCGGATAAATCCATCATAAGTTGAAAATATCGTAGGTCAAAAATGTTGCTGGGGCACAGTGGCTCATGCCTGTAATCCCAGCACTTTGGGAGGCTTAGGCGGGCAGATCACTTGAGGTCAGGGGTTCGAGACCAGCCTGGACAACATGGTGAAACCCTGTCTCTACTAAAAATACAAAGATTAGCCAGGTGTGGTGGCGCACGCCTGTAATCTCAGTTACTCAGGAGGCTGAGGCAGGAGAATCGCTTGAACCCAGGAGGTGGAGGTTGCAGTGAACCGAGATCATGCCATTGCACTCCAACCTGGGTCTGGGTGACAGTAAGACTCTTGTCTCAAAAAAAAAAAAAAGAAAAAGGAAAAGAAAAAGAAAATGTATTGAATACATGTAAACTACCAGACATCATAGCTTAGCCTAGACTACCTTAAAATGCTCAGAACACTTCCATTAGTTTACAGTTGGGCAAAACTATCTAACACAAAACCATTTTATTTTATTTATATATATTTTTTGAGACAGAGTCTCGCTCTGTCGCTCAGGCTGGAGTGCAGTGGTACCATCTTGGCTCACTGCAACCCCTGCCTCCCGGGTTCAAGGTATTCTTCTGCCTCAGCCTCCTGAGTAGCTGGGGCTATAGATGCTAGCCACCACTTCTGGCTATTTTTTGTATTTTTGTAGAAACGGGGTTTCACCATGTTGGTCAGTCTGGTATCGAACTCCTGACCTCAAGTGATCTGTCTGCCTCCACCTCCCAAAGTGCTGGGATTGCAGGCATGAGCCACTGCGCCCACCAAAACCCATTTTATGATAACGCACTGAGTATGTCGTACGTCACTTATTGCCAGCCTGGGAAAAGATCAGAATTCAAAATTTGAAGTACGTTAAAATTGCAAAAGCTTTACACCATCATAAAGTTGAAAAATCGTTAAGGAGAAGCATTGTAAATCAGTGATTATGTGTATTCTATTTTGAGACTGTGGATCTTATTTAAATCTTTTATTTTAGCAGGCCTCTGATGATATCATGCCTGAGGGAGAAGGTCACGTCAATACTACTAGGAAAAGATGGGAGACTTACTCCTCCCTTTTACCTCTTTTCCTCTGCTGACATTGCATCGAGAGAGTTTGAAGGGGTTCCTGCTTAGTGTTGGTGAAAGTGCAGGCTTCTCACTCTGCTTTCTTTCTTTCTTTCTTTCTTTTTTTTTTTTTTTTGAGACGGAGTCTTGCTCTGTCGCCCAGGCTGCAGTGCAGTGGAGTGATTTTGGCTCACTGCAGCCTCTGCCTCCTGGGTTCAAGTAAATCTCCTGCCTCAGCCTCCCTAGTAGCTGGGATTATAGGCATGCGTCACCACGCGGGGCAAATTTTTGTATTTTCTGTAGAGATGGGGTTTCACCATGTTGTCCAGACTGGTCTTGAGCTCTGACCTCAAGTAATCCACTTGCCTTGGCCTCCCAAAGTGCTGGGATTACAGGTGTGAGCCACCGTGCCTGGCCCTCACTCTGCTTTCATTGACGGAGCATGGCTGCTTTTTGTTTTGTTTTTTCCCCCTAGTTGATTATGGCTGGAGTAGGGTGGGCATGGTGAGCAGGGTTTTTGTTTTACTGGTCCTCACCTTTCCTGTACCTTTGGCTAGAGAGAGTAGGCTTTCCTTGAAGCATTTTTTGTTTCTGTTCATTGGCACTTCTAGGTGGTGAGTTTCTCTAGGAACTAGCTTGGGGTAGGTAGGAGGAAAGAAGAAAACTCAAGGAACTCACCACTGTGAGTCACTTCTCTAATGTTGTTCCACTACTCCTGAGCTCCCTATTCTATCCTTCTTCTTTTCCCTACTTTTCAAAGTCTCATGTTTGTTTTATTATGTTCTGGGTTTTTATAATTAATTAGCAGGAGGAATAGAGATAAATACATCTACTCCTTGTTGGGAAACAGAAGTTTCAGCTTGTTTTTCTATGGGCCAGGCAGTCTTACTTTTGAGTCATTCATTAATATCTAGTTTCATACTCAGTCTTAACTGTTTAAGTAATAAGATGTACCCCTTTTTCTGCAATAATGTTTCTTTTAAATGTAAGGTTAGAATCTACAAAAAAAGATATACTATTAATACTACCTTTCAACTGAATTTAAATAGTACTTCCAAATCGAATTTTAAAAGTTAACTTTTAAAGACTTTTATAAAACATTGTATGACAACTGTACATCAATTTACAAAATATAGTTAAAAATATAATGCTACCACTGACTGAAATTATAGAGTTTCTACCATTGAGTATGGTCGGAAATATTAGTTGCTGCTATCGCATAGGAATCTGAGGACTTAAAAAACTTACATGGAATATAGTTCCTATAATATTTCATTTATATTTATAAGATATATCTATCATATCATAACTATATTTTAATAAAAAGGCCAAGAACTTAGTAATCTGTGAACTGATAAATTGGCTGGTTCCTTCAGTATTTAATGAGCATTCATGTGTTCATTTATTCATTCATTCAATATTTTAACAATATAATTCAGAGCCAGGCACTAACCAGGGGCTGAACATACAGTATAGTTTCAAGCTCTAGGAAGGCTTAATTTAAATAGGGGTATCTGCCATTTGCTAGTTAGGTGAAACCACTCTTTGGAAGCTAGATAGTAAGAGGCAAGCTTTCAGAAATGCCAGCAGGCTTAGTCAGCTTTCTCACTCAGTTGAAGTTGTTGCCTTACCAATGCTAAATTAGATGAAGTACCCATCACAGTCCAACATATGTTAACATTCTTCCAAGTGAAAGTATTAGTAAAAAAAGTTTGTGTACATTCTTTCAGAATGGTGATATAAAACTATAATAAGGGGCTCAAGTGCAGCAGAAAATTAAGCTTCTCTAATCCAGCAAATTATATATTACACATTGTCAACCACAATTGCATGTTTTTGCTAGGAATCCTGGGTGTACTGACATTCGTGTGTGTTTTCTGTGACCTTGGCTAAGTAAATCAGAAATGTGCAGTGGTTTAGTAATAGGTCTTTCTATACTAATCTGTAGCCTATGTAAAATGCTTTAGATGGGTACTTTTTTAGGCACAGGTAAACAAAGAGAAATAATGTTACCCCTTTTATCAGGTCCTCATAGCTTAGCAGAGAAGACAAGCAAAAGTGTGATTAAAAGCAATAATAAGAGAATATTAGGGACACAAGGCAGGGAAAGCTGTATTCTGCTTGTGAGTGGAAAAAGAGGTAACGCAAATCTCTTGCTGATATAACAAAACGCCATAGGCTGGGTGGCTTAACAGACATGCATTTCTGATAGTTTTGGAGGCTGAGAAATTCAAGATCATGGTGCCGATGGATTAGGTTCCTGATGAGGGCTCTCTTCCTGGCTTGTAGATGGCTGCTTTCTCAGTGTATTATCACATTTCAGATTTCTCATCTTAAAAAGCCACTCAGTCCATCATGAGGACCCCTTTCTATCCCTAATTGCTACTCAAAGTCCCCATCTCCGACTATCATCACATTAGGGGTTAGAGTTTCAGCTGAGTTCAAATCTGATGTATGAACACAGTTACAGCTGACCAACATATGTCATATATAACACATATGTCACATACAGATTTTGAGAGGACGTAATTAAGTTCATAGCAATCAATATTTTAGACTACAATTTGTTAAGCATAATTAAATCAAAGACAGAAAAATCTAGGTAAATTGTTAAATAACCAGGAGGTAACTAAAGGATACTTTTTCAAATTCTCGCCAGTATATGAAAAAGCTGGTCACACTCTTTAAAACAAATTTTTTCTTCAACACTCTGGCACCATCTCTTCTGGTTTTATCTCTGTACCTCTGGCCACCTATTCACATTCTCCATTGCCAGCTTTTCCCCCTGAAATCAGCTGTTTACTGTTGCAGTATTTTTGAACTTTGTCATAGGCGTTCTCTGTACTTCATTTGCATATTTGCCTATGACAATGTCATCTATCATCCCATGATTTTAGTCATTTCTTGCCAGTTGACTTTCAGACCTGTATATCTAGCATAGAACCCTCTTTCTGAACTGCAACTAAGTATATCCAAATGTCTACACAACATCTCCTTTTGGAGGTCTCACTGAGATTCAACATGTTTGAAACCAAATTCACGATCTCCAAATTTATTCCCGTCCATTATTCTAAATCTTAGTAAATGGTATTATAATCTATCAGTTTCCTCAAACCAGAAACCATGGTGTTATAAGTTTATGTATTATTTTTTTTCTGACCTCCCCTCATTGAAGTCCATACTAAGCCTTAATATTTCACATCACAAACATCCTATCTTATTTCTTTCCATCCTCACTGTTACGCCCTTATTCATACCACCACCATTTCTTCCCTAGTCAACTAGAATAAACTCATAAACATCTGCATCCACTCTTATCTCTTCATATCTATTTTCAACAGTGCTGCAGATTGACCTTTTAAACTATAGTTCTGAGAATGTCTCTCATCTGTTTAAAAACTTTAAGTATCTTTCCATTGCTCTTTAAGCAAATCTGAGTTCATTATATAACACACTTGAATATCAGCTCCCCCCTTTTATTTTTTTACAATTTCTGCTTTCCCTTTTGTTTCATATCTAAAAATAAGTATGAGAATGCAAAATACTTGCACAGAATTACTAATGTTTTCCTAGCTGATACTGAGAATTCTGGGTGGCAAGTTTGTCAATGAAGGCAGTTGAGCTGGAGTCAGTAGTAAAGGGGTTTTGAATTCATAATACAAAAACTTTTTTATTTCATAGAAGTAGGAAATTTTACCCCCATGTATTATAAGTAGATATATCTTCTTTATTTCAATGATCTTTTGGTCATTTTTCCTTAATGATAAAATGTAAGCTACAGATCAGTGGCATAGCTCGGATTGGAGTACTTCTCTTTGGGGTTAAATATTAAATATATGTTGGCCATAGTTTTAAAGAATATCCTATAAAATCCATAATAATTGCTTAAGTAGCTAAAATCAAAATATTATCCTAGGAAAGTTCAGCCATTATTTTTTTCCTCTGCAAAGCAAGACTCCCAATCTTCTCAAGCTAGAATATATATATATATATATATATATATATTTTTTTTTTTTTTGGTATGTAGAAATGAGGATTTTAGGAACTGCATTTTTCTGAGATGGAAAGAAAATGCTTAGCAAAAAATGTCTGCCAATGATGACATATTTTGAAAACAAATGTATTTTCAGGTAACCATTAACAATATATAAATTTCACATTAGTTGTATTTTAAAGCATAGAATTCAGTGGCATTTAGTGCATTCACAGTGTTGTTTAGCAGTGAACTTTAATTCAAAAGCATTTTCATCACCACTGAAGGAGACCCCATGCCCATTAACCAGTCAGTCTCTGTCTCCCCATTTGTCCCTTCTTTCAATTGCTGGCAACCGCTTATCTGCTTTCTGTTTCTATGGATTTACCTATTTTGAATATTTCATATAAATAGAATCATACAATATGTGACCTTTGTGTCTGGCTTCTTTCACTTAGCATAATATTTTCAAGATTCATCCACATTGAAGCCTGTGTCAAAAGTTCATTACTTTTTTATGGCTGAATAATATCCCTTTGTTTATGTATACCACAATTTGTTTCTCCATTAATCCCTTGGTGGACATTTGGGTTCCTTCCACATTTTGGCTACTCTGAATAGTGCTGCTATGAACATTTGTATACAAGGGATTGTTTGAATACCTGTTTCCAGTTCTTTTGGGTATAAACCTATGAGTGGAATCACTGGGCCACATGCTAATCTATGTTTGTTTTTTATTTTTCTATTTTTTGTAGGGTCGGGGTCTCACTTTGTTGCCTAGGCTAGTCTTGAACTCCTGGCCTCAAGCGATCCTCCCATGTCAGCCTCCCAGAGTACTGGGATTATAGGCATGAGCGATAGTACCCTGCTTTATGTTTAATTTTTTAAGGAACTGCCAAACTTTTTTTTTTTTTTTTTTTACAGTGGCTGCACAATTTTATATTGTTTGCCGTCTATGAGGGTTCTAATTTCCCCACATCCTCACCAATACTTGTTATGGTCTGTTTTTGTTTTGTATTATTTTTGTTCTTTATTATCGCCAAAATTGTGGGTTTTGATTTGCATTTTCTTAATGAGTAATGATGCTGACCATATTTGCATGTGTTTCTTTGGCCAGTTGTTTATCATCTTTGGAGAAATGTCTGTTCGTGTCCTTTACCTATTTTGAAAACTGGGTTGTTTATCTTTTTTTATTGTAATAGTTTTGTTTTCGTTTTTTTTTTTTTTTAACTGAGACGGGGTCTTGCTCTGTTGCCCAGGTTGAAGTGCAGTGGTGTGATCTTGGCTCACTGCAACCTCTGCCTCTTGGTTTCAAGCAATTATCCTGCCTCAGCTTCCTGAGTAGCTGGGATTACAGGCGTGTGCCACTGAGAGGTGACAGCGTGCTGGCAGCCCTCAGAGCCCTCGCTTGCTCTCCGCACCTCCTCTACCTGGGCTCCCACTTTGGTGGCACTTGAGGAGCCCTTCAGCCCACCACTGCACTGTGGGAGCCCCTTTCTGGGCTGGCCAAGGCTGGAGCCCACTCCCTCAGCTTACAGGGAGGTGTGGAGGGAGAGGCGTGAGCGGGAACCCGGGCTGTGTGCGGTGCTTGTTGGCCAGCTGGAGTTTCGGGTGGGCGTGGGCTTGGCGGCCCCGCACTCGGAGCAGCCGACCAGCCCTGCCGGCCCCAGGCAATGAGGGACTTAGCACCCGGGCCAGTGGCTGCGGAGGGTGTACTGGGTCCCGCAGCAGTGCCAGCCCACCGGCGCTGCGCTCAATTTCTCACAGAGCCTTAGGTGCCTTCCCGCCGGGCAGGGCTCGGGACCTGCAGCCCGCCATGCCTGAGCCTCCCACCCACTCCATGGGCTCCTGTGCAGCCCGAGCCTCCCCGACGAGCACCACCCCCTGCTCCAGGGCGCCCAGTCCCGTAGACCACCTAAGGGCTGAGGAGTGCAGGCGCACGGCACCGGGACTGGCAGGCAGCTCCACCTGCAGCCCCGGTGCGGGATCCACTGGGTGAAGCCAGCTGGGCTTCTGAGTCTGGTGGGGCCTTGGAGGACCTTTATGTCTAGCTCAGGGATTGTAAATATACACCAATCGGCACTCTGTATCTAGCTCAAGGTTTGTAAACACACCACTCAGCACCCTGTGTTTAGCTCAAGGTTTGTGAGTGCACCAATCAACACTCTGTATCTAGCTGCTCTGGTGGGGCCTTGGAGAACCTGTGTGTGGAAACTATATCTAACTAATCTGATGGGGACGTGGAGAACCTTTGTATCTAGCTCAGGGATTGTAAATGCACCAATCAGCGCCCTGTCAAAAGAGGCCACTTGGCTCTACCAATCAGCAGGATGTGGGTGGGGCCAGATAAGAGAATAAAAGCAGGCTGCCCGAGCCAGCGTTGGCAACCCGCTCCAGTCCCCTTCCACACTGTGGAAGCTTTGTTCTTTCGCTCTTTGCAATAAATCTTGCTATTGCTCACTCTTTGGGTCCACACTGCTTTTATGAGCTGTAACACCGCCAAGATCTGCAGTTTCACTCCTGAGCCCAGCGAGACCACGAGCCCACCGGGAGGAAGGAACAACTCCAGACACGCTGTGTTGAGAGCTGTAACACTCACCGCGAAGGTCTGCAGCTTCACTCCTGAGCCAGCGAGACCACGAACCCACCAGAAGGAAGAAACTCGGAACACATCTGAACATCAGAAGGGACAGACTCCAGACGCGCCACTTTAAGAGCTGTAACACTCACCGCGAGGGTCCGCAGCTTCATTCTTGAAGTTAGTGAGACCAAGAACCCACCAATTCCGGACACACTGGTTAATTTTTGTGTTTTTAGTAGGGACGGGGTTTCGCCATGTTGCCAACACAGGCTGGTCCTGAACTCCTGACTTCAAGTAATCCACCAGCCTTGGCCTCCCAAACTGCTGGGATTACAGGTGTGAGCCACCGTGCCCAGCCATAGTTCTTTACATATTCTAGATGTTAGACATTTGCAAGAGTTTCCTCCCATTCCGTAGGCTATATTTCCCCTTTTTGATAGTATCCTTTGATGCATGAAAGTTTTTCATTTTAATGAAGTACATATTGTTTATTCTTGTTGTAGCTTATGCTTTTGGTGTCATAATCTCAGAATCCATAATGAAATCCCATAGTCAGAGATTTATCCTCATGTTTTTCTGTAGTTGTTTAATAGTTTTAACTCTTATATTTAGGCCTTTCATCTACTTTGAGTTAATTTTTTATATGTGGTGTGAAGTAGGGGGTCCAGTTTCATTTTTTACAGGTTGATACTCAGTTATCCCAAATAATAATTTCTGTAGGTTTAGAAAACAGGCAGTATGATTATGTGCAATAATTAATGAGATTGATTAATAAGATAAGAACTTGAATGTATCTGTGCCTAAGAAATCAGTCCAGGCTGGGCGCAGTGGCTCACGCCTGTAATCCCAGCACTTTGGGAGGCTGAGGCGGGTGGATCACGAGGTTAAGAGATCGAGACCATCCTGGCCAACATAGTGAAAGCCCGTCTCTACTAAAAATACAAAAAATTAGCCAGGTGTGGTGGCGGGCGCCTGTAGTCCCAGCTACTCGGTAGGCTGAGACAGGAGACTGGTGTGAAACTGGGAGGTGGAGCTTGCAGTGAGCCGAGATCACGCCACTGCACTCCAGCCTGGGCAACAAAGCGAGACTCCATCTCAAAAAAAAAAAAAAAAAAGAAAAAGGAAATCAGTCCAACAGGAAAAAGCATTGCATATCATAAGTCAAGAGCAAATCAGAATATTAAGGTCAGAGATAATAGTTTAATCAAGAGTTGTGTAAGTTTTTCTTATCAGGATCTGTTTTAAAGAAAGACAATGAACTTCAAGGCTATGTGGCAAAAAGTTTTGAATGTTAGTTACTTTATGATTGATAATCAAGCACAAGAAACTCATACACTAAGATTGTAGCTCAGAGGAAGTAAACTCATCTGTTAATTATCCCTAGGTAAGAGTGGAAAGTTTCAGAATAAGATTAACCTAAAACCTAATTATTTGCTAAGTTAGAGTACTGAAGCCTATGGTCAATTATATTCCTCTTTTCTATGTCTTGAATGCTTCAGAGTCTGATGCAACATGACTTATAGATAGGCTTTGAGCAGTGACTCTTGATGCTCTAAAAGTACTAGGGCTTGGGACCAGGTAAACCGTTATAGCTAAGAAAATAATATATGGGAAAATGCTTTTAAACTATGGAGTTTTATAATATTAGTTACATGTAACTGAATCTGTGTGACCTTTTGTGCTGCTTTTGCTTTCCTTTGTTACTTCAATAAATATGCTGGGCACTATAAGTAAAATATTTAGCAGAACACACATGGCTCCTGGCCTCATAGAGCTTCAACTTATTGGAGAATGCAAATAGTAATCAATAAGCATACAGATATGTAATTTAAAATTGTGATTAATATGAAGATAAAGCTCTTCTATGCGTTTCCATTTTTATGTTTTTCCCCTTATTCTTTCCACTTTTTCCCCTTTCTGTTTCCTGCCCTCCCCATATACCTAAAATATAGAAATGATTTACACATTTGTTTGCTGTACAATTAGCCTACACTGTAGGTGAGAATGTATTATGAGTGTGTGTGTGTATATATACATATTTGTTTCTCATTTCCTACTTCTCACAGCCCCTGTCTCTTTCTGCTTTCTGTCTCTATGGATTTGCCTATTCTAGGTGCTTCATGTAAGTGGAATCATTTAATATTTGTCTTTTTTGTATGTGGATTATTTCATTTACTATTTCTTCAAGATTTATCCTTGTTGAACCATGTGCCAGAAGTTCCTTACTTTTTAAGGCTGAATAATGTTTCATTTTATGTATATACCACATTTTGTTTATTCAGCCATTGATGGATGTTTGGGTTTTTTCCATGTTCCAGCTTTTATATTTTTTAGTTGTATTCTAATTTGTATTTTGCTATAAAGTCAACAGGATTCTTTGTATCCTCCACAGGCAGATATATCACTTGAGTAAATGGCAAGTATATTTTGGAATTTTATTTTGTAACTCTGGAGATTAACTTTCAATGTTTATCCCTTAGGTTGTATTCAGACATGAGTCCATATACATATGATATTTATTTTTTGAGGCCATACATATATTATTCTAAATTTATTTACTACTATAGTTTGTTTCCACATATTTTGGGTACCATGTATATATATAAATACTACATATATATATATATAAATACTACATATATATATAAATACTACATATATATATAGTATTTTTAAATTTTCTTAAAGAATTACATAAGAAAATCTTGAGTGTTATAATCATTTGATTTTTCTGTGAAAAGACAGCAAAGTTACTTTCCATAAGTCAATTTTGTCACACGAACTCATTCTATTTGATAGTATTTTTTTCTTTAGAATAAATAACCTTAACAATGTTGGGTTTGAACATCTGAATTGAATGCTAATGACTAAATAATAAAATTTATTTTGAATGACAGGAAACTGATACAAAGGGTTTGTTTAGTCTGGAAAGTATTTCAGGCTTTAGAACAGTTTGTTTTCAGTGTAGATTAGTTGCTTCTTAAGAAACTTTGTTCTGAAGAAAAGAATGATATATAATCAAATGTAGGAATGTTACAGGTAAAGTTATCTTCAGATATAAAAAAGTTTTAAATTTGGTAATATATTTTCCAATATTTGTAGTTTTATCTAGGGAATATAAAAACCCTTGAGAGAAAAATTTTACTCTTAAAGAGATTCTTATGATGTTTTTAAAGGTAGTGAAACAGGATGCATGAATAAGGGTGTTCGCTGCAGCAGTTTGGTAATAGTGAACAATTAGAAGCAATCTAAATGTCTCTTAGTGATAGATACAAATACATTGTGATACATTAATATAATTTGATACTCTACTGCATTTAACATGCATAAACTAGATCTAAACTTATCAAAATAGAAATGCTTAAAAAGCAAAAGTTGATTGAAAAGAAGAAAGTTGAATAACAGTATATATACTATGATATAATTTCTAAGTGTAAAATGTTTAGAAATCACAAAATGATACTATATATTTTTGTAGATGTATATGTAGACATACACATTTGTAAAAATATAGTTACACATAACTGCACACATGTAGACGTACACGTGTGTATGTACTACATATACACTATACACATACATATATCAAAAATCAAAGTGATGAATTAAATATGGCATAATGTGAATATTTTAAAATCTAGTTGTTACATTAATGTTGATTATATTATTTTCCATACTTTTTTAATGTTTGAAATATGCTTTCTACTTTTTAAAGTATGTACTAAAAAAGTAATAATTCTACTTCTAGTTAGAAACACTAAAAGGAATCTTGTATATGAGCACATATACAAGAATGCTCACTACAGCATTGTTTGTAATTATGGAAATTTGGAGACAACCAAAATAGCAGATGATGTAGCTACATAGCTAAAATTCCAAAAAAACCTATTTAATAGAATATTTTAGCCAACTCCAAACCCAAAAGTCAGTTTTAGATTGATTATAGTCTAAATGTGAAGGGTTAAGCAGTAAAGCTTTTAGAGGAAAACATAGGAGAACATCTTTGTGACTTTGTAGTAGGCCAATATTTATTCCTCTCCTCTCCCCTCCCCTCCCCTCCCCTCTCTTTTTGAAATAAGGTCTTACTTTGTCACTCCGCTGGAGTGCAGTGGCACAATCTCAGCTTGCTGCAGCCTCAACTTCCTGGGTTCAAGTGATTCTCCCACCTCAGCCCCCCAAGTAGTTGGTACTACAGGCGCATGCCACCATGCCTGGCTAATTTTTTGTACTTTTGTAGAGATAGGGTTATGCCATGTTGCCCAGGCTGGTCTCAAACTCCTGAGCTCAAGCAATCCACTTGCTTTGGCCTCCTAAAGTGCTAGGATTACAGGTGTGAGCTACTGCACCTGCCCAATTTCTTAAACCAGGCATAAAAAGCACTAAATAGAAATGAAAAATTGATAAATTGGCCTATGTTAAAACCAAGAACTTAATGTTCATTAAAAAATACCATTAAACGAATTAAAAGGCTACTTTCTGAGTATGAAAAGATATTTTCAGTATATATGTCCAGGAAAGTAGTAGTACTCAGAATATATGAAGAATTCCTGTGACTAAATAAGAAAAGGACAGTCAACCCAATAGAAAAATGAGCAAAACACTTGAACAGATATTTCACATAAGAGGACATCCAGGCCGAGTGCGGTGGCTCACGCCTGTAATCCCAGCACTTTGGGAGGCCGAGTCGGGTGGATCACGAGGTCCGGAGATCAAAACCATCCTGGCTAACACGGTGAAACTCCGTCTATACTAAAAATACAAAAAAAAAAAAAAAAAAAAAAAAACTAGCTGGGTGTAGTGGCGGGCGCCTGTAGTCCCAGCTACTCAGGAGGCTGAGGCAGGAGAATGGCGTGAACCTGGGAGGCGGAGCTTGCAGTGAGCCGAGATCTTGCCACTGCACTCCAGCCTGGGCAACAGAGTGAGGCTGTCTCAAAAAAAAAAATAATAATAAAAATAAACAAATGAGAGGACATACGGACATACTAATGGCCAATAAGCACATGAAAAAGTGTTCATCTTGATGTGTCTTATTTTTCTAGATTTTTAAATTGGAAGCTTGCATCATTATGGATATTTCTTTTTTTCCAATTTAAGTATTGTATGTTGCAATATAGATATCCATCTAAGGATTGCTTTTGCTGTGCCTTACAAATTTTGAAGTGTATTTTAAATTTTTCTAAGTTCAAAATAATTCCTAGTTCCTCTTGGATTCTTCTTTGAAAGTAGAACTGTTTAGAAGCATTATAGAAAAATGTTATTCAATGAAACTTGTTAAAGTTTGGTAAAGAAGACTATTTAGGACCATCATCATAGGTAGGGACCACTGCAGTCGGATTTTGCAGTTGGGGAGAAAATTGGACTCAACTCCTAATACAGCATGGGTAAGTGGGAATTTATAGCTAAGGTAGAGGTCAGTGGATTGGAAAATTAGTAAGAGGAAACATCAGTGGGAAGGGAGATTCTGGCTAAACTGACCTTATCAGGATTTTGATTGAAGACAGGCTAGGGTGATCAGATACAGCCTAGGGGGTGGTGGAGGATGAGGAACCCAGTTAGATATTGGCCTTGATTTATATATTGTGGTGGAAGAGATTCTTGCTAAACTGACTTAGTGGAGTTCCTTGCTAAGACTGGATTTTACAAGGAAGTGCACAGATGGGCTTAGGAGAAGGTTCAGGAGAGTTGACTAAAGATTGGTTAAGCAGAACCTCTTTGTCAGAAATAGGTTCTTTAGTTTCAACTATTTTGGGATTTTGCAGACGTCCTTCTGGTATTTATTTTTAATTTTATTATTCTATTGTGGTCATAGAAGATGCTTTGCATGATTTTAAAATGCTTTTAGCTTTACTGAGAATTGTTTTATAGCCCAGCATGTGGTCTTATCTTGTTGAATGTTCCATGGCACTTGAAAAGAATATTTGTTTTGCTGTTGTTGGGTATGGAGTGTTTTATAAAACATTCAGTTAGGTCAAGTTTTTTGATAGTGTTTTTCAAATGTTCTGTATCCTTACTTATTTCTGTCCACTTTTTCCATCAATTACTGGGAGAGGTGTGTTAAAATCTCAGTTTAAATATCTTCAGTTTTTTTTCCATTTTTTTAAATTATTATTATACTTTAAGTTTTAGGGTACATGTGCACAACGTGCAGGTTTGTTACATATGTATACATGTGCCATGTTGGTGTGCTGCACCCATTAACTCCTCATTTAGCATTAGATATATCTCCTAATGCTATCCCTCCCCCGTCTCCCCACCCCACAACAGTCCCCAGTGTGTGATGTTCCCCTTCCTGTGTCCATGTGTTCTCATTGTTCATTTAAAACACTTTTTTAGCACAGGTTTTAGAGTATCATTTACTAGAGGCTTGTTTATCTCTACTCATTAGAATGACCCATCTGTGTTCTCTATTGAATGCCTCTGATGTTCAACTAAGATTCTCTCTTCTCTGACTGGTCGCAACTCAAATGTATCCCAATCCTGTGTGAGAAATATTCTGGGAATATTCTGTTTATAGCTCCTGTTGTTCTTTGCCTGGCCTTGTTGTGTTTCATACTATGCACATGCAAAAAAAGAAATAAAGATTAGCCACATACTCAAAGGAATTCTTATGCAGATTTCTTTAGCTTTTTTCCACTGTAGATTCCTCCTCACTTGGTCATATGCCTCACAAATTCTGGCTGTTTTAGACTTCCTAAACTGCAGTCTCTTGTTTCAACTCAATGAGACTGTCATGTTCTTCTTGGGACCCCTCTCCCTGTCTGGAAAGTGCTTTCAGGCAGAAATCGAGCCATCATTAAGGGCTCTCTCTGTTTATTTGCTTTCTCTCAGGGATTACAGTTCTGTGCTGCCTATTGTCCAGTGGCCGAATACAGTTGTTTCCTATCATTTGTCCAGTAAGAAATAGATTTTAAATTGTGGTCCTCATACCAGAGTATAAGAAACACCAGTGTAAGTGGATAGTAAATCAGAGTCAGTAGCTAGTCAGTGCTCATCCTGGTCAGGAGTACCAGGGCTCTGCCTCTGTCAGCTCCTCCCTCAAACACACAGTAAGATATGGTTTGTTGGTGCTTAGTTTGACTCAAGAACAAGGTGGTCCCTGATGTCTGTAAATATTTATTAAAAGTAGGGACTGTGTGTGTTCTTTCCAAAAGAAACAAGCTGTAAGTATAAAGTATGTTTTAAGAAGCAAGAAATAACTTTTCCAACAACTGCAGCCCTACCTTCTGTTGGGTTAGTGATCTGAGAGCCAAGGAAAACTAAGTTGAGGTAAGTTACACCTGCTTTTTCTTTGTGGGGCCATCTTGCTTCAGTATGTTCCACGTTCTTAAATAAACAAATCAGGAACCTAATCCAAGCTTAATCATTGTGTGGTTGAGTGTATGTGTGTGCATGTGTATGTGTTCCTCCTATCAATCTGTAATGGACCTGGGAAGCTGCCAGTATATATCATGGGATCCCAGTTTTTAAAATCCTTATGTGTGTGAATTGATGTTTATAATATATGAACAAAAAATGAGAGTATACATATCAAAGTGTAAACATTATTTTTTTTCCAGGAAGTATACTGAGTGAGGGGAAGGAGAGGCTACCTAATTTTTACTTCAAATAACTTTTTATTGTTTGAATAATTATAACAATAATTACAACAACTTGTGTTGTTGAGTACATAAAAGTCTAGAACTAATGTATTTTCCTGGTAAATCATTTTTGATCATTGTGTGATGACTATCTTTATTTTTAATTTTTTTCTTGCACGTTTTATTTTCTTATGCTCCTTTTTTTAAAATTATACTTTAAGTTCTGGGATACATGTGCAGAGTATGCAGGTTTATTACATAGGTATACACGTGCCATGGTGGTTTGCTGCACCCATCAACCCATCATCTACATTAAGTATTTCTCCTAATGCTATCCCTCCCCTAGTCCCCCATACCCCAACAGGCCCCAGTGTGTGATGTTTCCCTCTCTGTGTCCATGTGTTCTCATTGTCCAACTCCCACTTATGAGTGAGAAAATGCGGTATTTGGTTTTCTGTTTTGTTAGTTTGCTGAGAATGATGGTTTCCAGCTTCATCCATGTCCCTGCAAAGGACATGAAGTCATCCTTTTTTATGGCTGCATAGTATTCCATGGTGTATATGTGCCACATGTTCTTTATCCAGTCTATCATTGATGGGCATTTGGGTTGGTTCCAAGCCTTTGCTATTGTGAACAAACATACAAGTGCGTGTGCCTTTATAGTAGGATGATTTATAATCCTCTGGGTATACCCAGTAATGGGATTGCTGGGTCAAATAGTATTTCTGGTTCTAGATCCTTGAGAAATCGCCACACTGTCTTCCACAATGGTTGAACTAATTTACATTTCCACCAGCAGTGTAAGAGCATTCCTGTTTCTCCACATCCTCTCCAGCATCTCTTGTTTCCCGACTTTTTAATGATCACCATTCTAACTGGCGTGAGATGGTATCTCATTGTAGTTTTGACTTATGCTCCTTTTTAAAAATGACTTTCTTGCCTTTGATTTGATACAGTTTTTTTTTTCATTTCTCTTCTGACCTCTAATTTTTATTTTTTATATTTATTTTTTATTCTTTAAATAATTATTCTTGAAATTATAACATACATCATTTATTTGACAAAGTCTAAAGTTCATCACTAGCTGTATCCTCCTACAATACAAGGACCTTGAAATGTTTAACTATGGTATCTTTGATGATCCAATATCGTTTTGTTGTTGAGAATGTTAGTTCTACCTTATTTTAGCTCATTCAGATATTGCTATGATTGCTTTAGATAATAAATGTTTATTTAATTCCTTGTATATATCTGTTAGTGTCTTTCTTCATCACTGCTTATTTTGTTTTATACCTTGCTTTTGAGTACATTTTCTTCTTAAAATATATATTTTAATGATTTTTTCATCTAGGATCTATGAGTAGTAAACTTTGGCATGTGAAAGATATTAATTATTTTCCTTCTGGCTTTGTTTGTTGATATGAGAACTCTGCTGTTATTCCAGAGATCTTTAGTTGTTAGAAGTGTTTTCTTCTCAATCTGGTTCATTTAAAGATTGTCTCTATCTTTGTTGTCCTGAAGTTTCACTAAGACATTTTTAAGTGTGAACAGAGTTTTATTTACTCTTCTTGCAATTTTTTGATACTCTTTAAGGCTATTAATTCATATCTTCATCAGTTCTCAAATCCTGAGCTATTAATATTTTGACTGTTATCTCCCATCTGTACTCCTGCCTTCAGTCTTTCAATTCTCTCCTTGAATAATTTCTATTAAATGCTTTCTATACTTCTTATTGCAACATGTTTTGTATACCTCTACTGTTTTCCTTCCTTTACCTCCTTCTGCTCTCTTCCATTTTATCAATTTCCATTAGCTTTTTCTACTTGCTATTGAACCCATCCATTGAGTTTTAAATTTCTGGTATTATGTTATTATTATTAATTTTCATTGCTTTATTTCATATTTTTAGATATATTATTTGATTATTTTTGTCTATTTTCTGTTTCATAAACCCCTGTTCTTTTTTAATATATGTTTATCACTTCTTTATCTTTTTAAAAACATTTTAAAAACTCTAATGGTGAAAGTAATTTTGATTATTCTCTTATCTCTATTTTATTGTTTTACATTATCCCATTTTGGGCAGTGGGATATTTAGACTGTCATTCATGGCTTTGAACTTATTTATATACTTATTGTCTCCATGCTTGACTCGAGAATTATTTTCTGTGGTGGCTTTTCTCCCATACATTTTCTTAGTTGTGGAAGCCTCCCTTTAGGGATGATTGTGTCTTCCTGAACCCTCCAGTATACTCTGGCCATATGTCCAGTTTTTGTATTATTTTTGATTGTTCATGTTTCTGTAAATTGTATGGCTCAGTTTTGAACCTATTGATTTAGGCTTGGGATTCTGATATCATGTGGTTGACTCTGTCCTGTCCCCATCCTAGGGCTGGAGAACTATTTTAGTGAAACTCTAACCAGATAAGTTCAGATATTCAGGTTTTCATTCAGCAGATTGTTTTCTCCCAGTTTCCTGTCGTTAGCTCATTTTTATCTGTCAACCAGGTAGGGCCATGGGTCTAAATGTCCATCTGATATGGTTTGGATTTGTGTCCCTGCCCAAATTTCATGTCGCATTGTAATCCCCAGTGGTGAAGGAGGGGTCTGGTGAGAGGTGACTTGATCATGTGGGCGGACTTCCCCCTTGCTGTTCCATTGATAGTGAGTTCTCATAAGATCCGGTTGTTTAAAAGTGTGTAGCACCTCCCTCTGTGCTCTTTTCCTCCTGTTCCAGCCATGTAAGACCTGCCTGCTTCCTGTTCCCCTTCTGCCATGAATGTTAAGTTTCATGAGGCCTCCTCAGCCATGCTTCCTGTACAGTCTGTGGAACTGTGAGTCAATTGAACCTCTTTTCTTTATAAATTACGTAGTCTCAGGAGGTTTTTTTTATAGCAAAGTGAGAATAGACTAATACACCATCCCTACTCAGGTCTCACATTCTGAGGTCCCCATGGGCAGTATTTGGTTCTGGTCAAATACTCACAATGGTAGCTCAATTCTGTTTTACTGGAAAGTCTTTTTGCCTTTATTTGGCATCTAGGAATTTACCATTCTTGTTTTCAGTGTTATGTATTAACATTTTTCATTACTATTTTGCCTAGAATATCTCTGTGTTAGGATGTGGTTGAGCATGGCGGGTGTTGTGGCTCATGCCTGTGATCCCAGCATTTTGGGAGGCCAAGATGAGTAGGTTGCTTGAGTCCAGGAGTTCAGCCTATGCAACTTGGTAAAACCCTGATTGTACAAAAAATTAGCTGGGCATGGTGGCACACACCTGTAGTCCCAGCTACTTAGGAGGCTGAGGTGGGAGGATCACCTGAGCCTGGGAGGTAGGGGCTGCAGTAAGCCACGATTGTGCCACTGCACTTCAGCTTGGGTGACAGAGTGAGACTTTGTCTAAAAACAACCAAGAAGTGGTTGAGCAATTTAATACATAATTTTTAAAATTATATAGTCTGTATTTTAAGTGTTTAGCATGTTTATTGAGATAAAGTTAACAGAAATAACTTACTTAAAACATTTGATTTTCCAGGTCCTCAGTAAATTCAATTGTAGTTTTTTGGATTTGGGCATATTATTACTATTTTTTATTTTATGGAGACAAGGGCCTAATCTTTTGCCCAGGCTGTAGTGCAGCAGTGAAATTATAGCTTACTGTAACCTTGAAGTCTTGGGCTGAATTAATCCTGCTGCCTCAGCATCCCAAGTAGCTAGGACTACAGGTGCGCGTAACCATGATGGGCTAGTTGTTATTGTTGTTGTTATTATTATTATTATTGTAAAGACAGGGTCTCTCTGTGTTGCCCAGGCTGGTCTTGAACTTCTAGTCTCAAGTGATCCCCTTGCCTTGGCTTTCTAAAATGCTGGAATTGTAGGTATGAGCCACCATGCCCAGCCTGTGAATATTATTGATTTATTTTTGCTTTCATTTTACTCTTCTCCATTTTATATACATTAAAATATCTTTACTGACTTTGATATATTATTTAGAAATATATTTAAATGTATATGTTTGATTTTTTTAAATAAAACAATATGGTTTTAAGTAAATGTTTATTGCTTTTTCATAGGATGAATCTTGAAGAAGAATTAGATGAACTTAAAGTACATATATCTATTGATAAGGCAGCAATACAAGAATTGAATAGATGTGTGGCAGAGAGAAGAGAAGGTAAATTTTCAGAAAATAAATACTTAACAGAGGAATTTTAAAATTGTGTAATTCTTGATGTTTTAGTTTCAATTTCTTTTAAGAATCTTACCCTTTTTGTTTCTTTTCCAACACTTTATTCATTGATAACTCACTAACATTTTCATCCTGAGAAAATTAAATAAATAGAACATCTAAAAGTCAGCTTTGTAATTTATTAAAAAATCTAGGGGAGAACGTACAGCAAGATGGCCAAATAGAAGACTTTATGCTGTGGGAACTCCAAATTTAAGAACTACCTACACACACAAAAAAAACACCTACATAAGAATCAGAAATCAGGTGAGCACTCACAGTACCTGGTTTTAACTTCAAATGACTGAAAGAGGCACTGAAGAGGGTAGGAAAGACAGTCTTAAATTACCAGTGCCACCCTTCCCCTATCTCCTGGCAGTGGCCATGTGACATGGAGAGAGAATTGTGCACTTAGGGGAGGGAGAATGCAGTGACTGTTGGACTTTGCATTGAACTCGGTCTTGCCCTGTCATAGCAGAGAGCAAAACCGGGCCAAATGCATCTCATGCCTGCCCACAGAAAGAGCATTTAGACCAGACCTGTCCAGAGGACAATCACCCATCCCAGTGGTTGGAACCTGAGTTCTGGCAAGCCTCATTACCACAGGACTTTGGGGCTCTATATAAACTTAAAAGACTGTCTAGGCCACAATGACTTCAACTCCTAGGCAAGCCCTAGTGCAGAGTTGGGCTCAGACCAGTGGACTTGGGTGGCATGTGACCTACTGAGACACCAGCCAGGGCAGCTCATGGGGTATTTGTGCCACTGCTCTCCCAACCCTTGGCAGCACAGCTCATGGCTCTGAAAGGAACCCCTTCCATCTGCTTGAGGAGGAGAGAAGAAAGATCAAATAGGTCTTTGTCTTGCATCTTGGACAGCAGCTCAGCCACAATAGGATAGGGCGCTAGTTAGATTTATGAGACCCTTATTCTAGGCCCTAGCTCCTGGATGACATTTCTAGACACATCCTGGGCTAGAAGCGAACCTGGTGCCTTGAAGGCAAGGATGCAGTCCCGGCAGGATCTATCACCTACTGACTGAAGAGCCCTTGGGCCCTGAATAACCAGCAGCAATACCCAGATGGTACACTGTGGGTCTTGGCTGAGACTCTGAGATGTGCTGGATTCAGGTGAAACCCAGGGCATCCCCAGCTGTGGTGGCTGTGGTGAGAAACCCCTGCATGAGAAAAGCAGAGGGAAAAGTAAAGGGTAATTTGTCTTGCACCTTAGGTACCAGCTCATCCACAATGAAGTAGAACACCAAGCAGCTTGTGGGGTCATTGATTCCAGGCTTTGGCTCTTAGTTGGCATTTCTAGACCTGCCCTGGGCCAGAGGGAAACCCATTGCACTGAAAGGTGAGTCCCAGGCCTGGCAGCATTTGTGGCAAGCTGACTGAAGAGCCCTTGGGCTTTAAGGAACATTGACAGTGGCCTGGTAGTACTCCCTGTAGGACTGTGGTGGTGGTGACCACAGGCAGAGACTCCTTTGCCTGTGGAAAGGGAAGGGAAGAGTGGGAAGGACTGTGTCTGGTGGTTTGAGTGCCAGCTCAGCTGCAGTGGACTAGAACACCAGGTGGATTTCTAAGGTTTTTTACTCTACTCCCTGGCTCCTAGATGGCATCTCTGGACCCACCCAGGGCTGGAGGGATCCTGCTACCCTGAAGGGAATGACACAAGTCTGACTGGCTTCACAGTCTGCTCTTTGCAGAGCCCTAGGGCCTTGAGCAAACATAGGTGGAAGCCAGATAGTGGTTACAGTGGGCCTTGGGTGAGACTCAGGGATATACTGGTGTCAGTTCTGACCCCCAGCATAGTCCCAGTGGTGGTGGCCACAGGGGTGCATTTGTCACTCCATCCCCAGCTCCAGAAGGCTCAGCAAAGAGAGAGAGACTCTGTTTGTTTGGGAGAAGGAAAGAAAACAAGAGTCTCTGCCTGGTAATCCAGAGAATTCTTCCGGATCTTATCCAAGACTGCCCAGGCAGTAGTTCTAGAAGTCGGCAAGAACCCCAGTCTTACTGGACTTGGGGTGCCCACTAATGCAGATATGGACTAGATCACAACACCCAAGTCCTTTCAAATACCGGAAAGTCTTGGGCTGAATCAATCCTACTGCCTTAGCATCTTTGTACCCATCTTCTCAAGAAGATTGGGTACAAACAATCCCAGACTGCAAAGACAAAAATAAATATCTAACTTTTGTATTCCCAGACACCAGCAAACATCCATAAGGATCAAGACTATCCAAGTGATAGGTTACGCTTTGTGTCCCCACCCCAGACTCATCTTGAATTATAATCCCCATAATCTCCACGTGTCAAAAGAGAGACCAGGTGGAGGTAATTGAATCATGGGGGTGGTTTCTCCCATGCTGCTCTCATGATAGTGAGTGAGTTCTCATGAAATCTGATGGTTTTGTAAGGGGCTTTTTCCCCGTTCGCTTGGCACTTCTCCTTCCTGCTGCCTTGTGAAGAAGGTGCCTTGCTTCCCCTTCACCTTCCACCATGATTATTAGTTTCCAGAGGCCTCCCCAGCCATGCTGAGTTGTGAGTCAATTAAATCTCTTTCCTTTATTACTCAGTCTTGAGCAGTTCCTTATAGAAGTATGAAAACAGGATAATATACCAAGAAAACATGACTTCATCAAACAAACGAAATGAGGCACCTGGGATCAATACTGCAGAAACAGATATGTAGCCTTTCAGACAGAGAATTCCAAATAACTGTTTTGAGGAAACTCAAAGAAATTCAAGATAACATGGAGAAGGATTTCAGAATTCTATCAGAGAAATTTAACAAAGTGATTGAAAAAATAAAAAAGAATCAAGCAGAAATTCTGGAATGAAAAATGCACTGGAGTCCCCTCATAGCAGAATTGATCAAGCAGAAGAAGGAATTAGTGAGCTTGAAGACAGGCTATTTGAAAATACATAGTCAGGGCGGGTGTGGTGGCTCATGCCTGTAATCCCAGCACTTTAGGAGGCTGAGGTGGGAGGATCACCTAATGTCAGGAATTTGAGATGAGCCTGGCCAATATGGTGGAACCCTGTCTCTACTAAAAATACAAACATTAGCCAGGCATGGTGGCACATGCCGGTGATCCCAGCTACTTGGGAGGCTGAGTCAGGGGAATCGCTTGACCCCGGGAGGCGGAGGTTGCTGTGAATCGAGATCACGCCACTGCACTCCAGCCTGGTGACAAAGCGAGACTCCATCTCGAAAAAAAAAAAAAAGAAAATACACAGAGGAGATAAAAGAATAAAAAACAATGAAGCATGCCTACAAGATTAATGAAATAGCCTCAAAAGGGAAAATGTAGGAGTTATTGGCCTTAAACAGGAGTTAGTGAAAAAGACAGGAGTACAAAGTTTATTCAAAGGGAAAATAACAGAGAACTTTTCAAACCTAGCAAAAGATAACAATATTCAACTATGAGAAAGTTGTAGAACACCAAGCAGGTTTAACCCAAAAAAGACAACCTGAAGGCATTTAACAAACTCCCAAGGGTCAAGGATAAAGAAAGGACCCTAAAAGCAGCAAGAGAAAAGAAACAAATAACATACAATGGAGCTTCAATATGCTGGCAGCAGACTTTTCAGTGGAAACTTTACAGGCTAGGAGATAGTGGCATGACATACTTAAAGTGCTGAAGGAAAAAACAACAACAGACTT
Organism: Homo sapiens; assembly: GCF_000001405.40. Taxonomy (NCBI): domain Eukaryota; kingdom Metazoa; phylum Chordata; class Mammalia; order Primates; family Hominidae; genus Homo; species Homo sapiens. Next base: position 17,370,440 of record NC_000009.12, read on the forward strand.
TTGCCCTGGAATAATATATCCTGCAAAAATATCCTTCAAACATGAAGGAGAAATGCTTTGACAGGCAAACAAAAGCTGGAGATTTCATCAACACCATACCTATCCTACAAGAAGTCATAAATGGAATACTTAAATCAGAAAAAGGATATTAATGAGTAATAAATCATCTGAAGGTACAAAAGTCACTGGCAATAGTAAGTACACAGAATGACATACAATATTGTAATACCGTAACAGTGGTATACAAACTACTCTTAAGTAGAAAGACTTAAAGATGAGCCAATCAAAAAATAACTATAAAAAGTTTTCAAGACATAGTATAATAAGATATAAACAACAAAAAGTTAAAAACAGGCTGGACAAAGTTAAATAATTTTTATCAGTTTTGTTTTTGCTTGTTTATGCAAGCAGTGTTGTTAATCCAGTTAAAATAATGGGTTATAAGATAGTTATATCCCATATATATAATGGGTTGCAACATTCATTGTAACCTCAAATCAAAAACCATACAGTGGCTACGCAAAAAATAAAAAGAAAGGAATAAAATTTTCGTTTTATTTTAGGAGAAAAGGTAAGAGAAAATTACCTTCACTACAAGGAAAACAAGAAAGAATGAAGGAAGGAAAAGAAGACCACAAAATAACCAGGAAACCAACAACAAAATGGTAGGAGTAAGTTCTTACTTATTGGTAATCACATTGAATGTGAATGGACTAAACTCTGTAATCAAAATACACAGAGTAACTGAAAGGATGTAAAAATCAGAGCCACTCTCTGTTGTATATAAGAAACGCTTCATCTATAAAGAAACATATAGACTGAAAATAAACAAATGGAAAAAGATACTCCATGCCAGTACAAACCAAAGAAGAGCAGGAGTAGCTATACTTATATCAGACCAAATAGATTTCAAGCAAAAACTGTAAGAGACAAAGGTCATTATATAATGATAAAGGTGTCAATTTAGTAAGAGGATATCATAGTTGTAAATATATATTCACCCAACACGCTAGTACCCAGATATATAAAGCAAATATTATTAGAGCTAAAGAGAAATGTAGACCCTAATTCAATGATAGCTGCAGGCTTTAGTATCCCACTTTCAGCATTGGACAGATCTTCCAGACAGAAAATCAACAAAGAAACATTGGAATTAATTTGTACTGTAGACCAAATGGAGCTAATATTTACAGAACATTTCATCCAATGGCTGCAGAATACACATTCTTCTCCCCAGCACATCGATCATTCTCGAGGACAGACTGTGTGTTAAGCCATAAAACAACTCTTAAAACATTCAAAAAACTTGAAATAATATCAAGCATCTTACCTGACAACAATGGAATAGCACTAGTAATCAATAACATGAAAAATTTTGGAAGCTCTGCAGACATATGGAAATTAAACAATGTGCTCCTGAATGACCCGTGTGTCAATGAAGAAATTAAGGAGGAAATTTAAAAATTTCTTGAAACAAATGATAATGGAAGCACAACATACTAGAACCTATGGGATACAGCAAAAGCAATACTAAGAGGGAAGTTTATAGCTATAAATGCCTACATCAAAGAAGAAGAAAAATTTCAAATAACTTAACGATGCATCTTGAAGAGCTAGAAAAGCTAGAGCTAATCAAACCCAAAATTAGTAAAAGAAAAGAAGTAGTAAAGATCAGAGCAGAGATAAATAAAATTAAAATGAATAAAACAATATGAAAAAATCATTAAAACAAAAAATTGGTTTATCAAAAAGCTAACCAAAATTTACAAACGTTTAACCAGACTAAGAAAAAGAGAACACAAATAAATATCAGATGTGAAAAAGTAGACATTACAACAGATACTGCAGAAATTTAAAGCATTGTTAGTGGCTACTATCACCAACTATATGCCAAATTCATATCAGCTATATGCCAATAAATTGGAAAATCTAGAAGAAATGGATAAATTCTTATACACATACAACCTACTAAGATTATTGAACCATGAAGAAATCCAGAGCCTCAACGGAACTATAATAAGTAAAGACACTGATGCCATAATGCAGAGGCTCCCAGCAAAGAAACAACCAGGACCTGGTGACTTCACTGCTGAACTCTACCAGACATTTAAAGAAGAACTAACTCCAATCCTACTCAAGCTATTCCAAAAGGTAGAAGAGGAGGGAATACTTTCAAACTCATTCTACAAGGCCAGTATTAGCTTGATACCAAAACCAGACAAAGACACATCAAAAAAAGGAAACTATAGTTCAATATCCCTGATGAACATTGATGCAGAAAAAACCTCTGCAAGATACTAGCAAGCTGAATTCAACAACACATTAAAAAATTAGTCATCATGACCAGGTGGGATTTATCCAAGGGTTGCAAGGATGGTTCAACATTTGGACATTAATCAATGTGATACATATTATCAACAGAATGAAGGACAAAAACCATAGGATCATTTTACTTAGTCCTGAAAAAGCATTCAGTGAAATTCAACATTCTTTCATGAGAAAATCTCTCAAAAAACTGGTTTCATTGGAACAAACATACATCAGGATAATAAAAGGCATATAGGACAGAGCTATTGCTGGTTATCATATTGAATCAGGAAAAACTGAAAGCTTTTCCTTTAAGATTTGGAACGTGACCATGATGCCTACTTTCACCACTGTTATTCAACATAGTACTGGATGTCCTAGTTAGGGCAGTCACACAACAGAAAGAAAGAAAGGGCATCCAAATTAGGAAGAAGTCAAATTATCTTTATTTGCCAATGATAAGATTTTGTATTTGGAAAAACTTAAGAGTCCATAAAAAAACTATTAGAAAGGATAAACAAATTCAGTAAAGTGGAGGATACAAAATCAACATACAAAAATCAGTATCATTTCTATATGCCAACAGCAAACAATCTGAAAAAGAAATCAAGAAAGCTAATTCCATTTACAGCAGCTACACCTAAAAGTCAGTACCTAGGATTTAACCGGAGAAGTGAAGAATCTTCCTACAATAAAAACTATAGAATATTGATGAAAGAAATTGAAGGAGACACACAAAAAATGGAAAGACATCCCCTTTTAATGGATTGTTAAATTGTTAACAATATTGTTAAAATGACCATATTACCTAAAGCAATCTACAGATTTAATGCAAGCCCTATAAAAATACCAATGACATTCTTCACAGAAACAGAAAAAACAATCCTAAAATTTATATAGAATAAAAGAGACCCAGAATAGCCAAAGCTATTGTAAACAAAAAGAACAAAACTAGAGGAATCACATTTCTTAAATTAAATTGTACTATAAAGCTACAGTAACTAAAACAGCATGAAAATTGACACATAGACCAATAGAACCTAACAGACAACCCAGAAATATATTCATACCTCCATATAAACTAATTGTTGACAGCGTTGCCAAGACATACATTGGGAAAAGGACAGTCTCTTCAATAAATACTGCTGGGAAAACAAGATATTCATATGCGTAAGAATGAAACTAGTCCCCTATGTCTTGCCATATACAAAAATCAAACACAATGGATTAAACACTTAAATCTCAGACCTCAAACTATGAAACTACTAAAAGAAAACATTGGGGAAAGTGTCCAAGATGTTGGACTGAGCAAGGATCTTTTGAGTAATATCCTACAAGCACAGGCAACCAAAGCAGAAATGGACACATGGGATTACATGAAGCTAAAAAGCTTCTGGACAGCAAGGGAACAATCAACAAATCAAAGAGACAAGCCACAGAGTGGGAGACAATATTTGCAAACTACCCATCTAACAGGGGATTAATAACCAGAATATATAAGCAGCTAAAAACTACTCTGTAGGAAAAAATTTAATAATCCAATTAAAAAATGGGCCAAAGCTGTGAGTAGACGTTTCTCAAAAGAAGACATACCATTTGCAAATAGATATATGAAAATGCTCAACATTATTGATCATCAGAGAATACAAATCAAAACTAAAATGAAATATCATCTCATCCCAGCCTGAATGGCTCTTATCCACAAGACAGGCAATAACAAATGCTGGGGAAGATGTGGGTAAAAGGGAACTCTCATATATTCTTGGAAGGAATGTAAATTAGTACAACTACTATGGAGAACAGTTTGGAATTGACTCAAACAATTAGAAATAGGCTGGGTGCAGTGGCTTATACCTATAATCCCACACTTTGGGAGGCTGAGGTGGGTGGATCGCTTGAGGTCAGGAGTTTGAGACCAGCCTGGCCAACATGGTGAAACTCCATCTCTCCTAAAAATACAAAATGAGAGGGGTGTGGTGGCACACACACCTGTAATCCCAGTTACTTGGGAGGCTGAGACAAGAGAATCCCTTGAACCAGGAGTTGGAGGTTTCAGTGAGCCGAGATTATGCCACTGCACTCCAGCCTGGGTGACAGAAGTGAGACTCCATCTCAGGAAAAAAAAAAAAAGGAAGTAGAGCTGTGATATGATCTAGCTATCACACTGCTAGTTATATACCCAAAAGAAAGGAAATCAGTATATTGAAGAGATATCTGCATTCCCATGTTTATTGCAGCATTATTCATAATAGCCAAAATTTGGAAGCAACCCAAATGTTCATCAACAGACGAATGGATAAAATGAATGTGGTACATACACACAATGGTGTACTATTCAGCCATAAAAGAATTGAAATCTTGTCATTTGCAACAACATGGATGAAATTGGAGGTCATTGTGTTAAGTGAAATAAGCCAGGTATAGAAAGACAGACTTCACATGTTCTCACTTATTGGTGGGAGCTAAAAATTAAAACAATTGAACTCATGGAGCTAGAGAGTAGAAGGATGGTCACCAGAGCCTGGGAAGGGTAGTTGGAGGAAGTGGGAATAATTAATGGATTACAAAAAAAATAGTTGGAAAGAACAAATAAGACCTGGCGTTTGCTAGCATGACAGGGTGACTATTAAAAAATAATTTAATTGTTGGTTGGTTTGTAATGTAAAAGTTAAGTGCTTGAGGTGATGGATGCCCCATTTACCCTGATATGATTATTATGCATTGCCTGTGTATCACATGTCATCTACCCTGTAGATACATCTACTGTGTACCCACACACAAAAATTCTAGAGATTATTTTATAAGGATAAATGATACTCATTTTTATTATTCATTGATAAAGTTTTCCTAGTTTTGTTTGTTTACAGTTTTGTAGGTACTATAGTGTTATGCTTAATATCAATAATTCGTTAATATTTTGGTTAGGCATTACATTTTTTGGGAAATTATTTAGTTCGTATCTTTTTTCCTGGAATCAAAATCTTAGAGTTAGAAGGAAATTTGGAGATCTTCAGATCTGCAACCTCCCTGACAGCTAGCTTAAATATGACCAGTAACGGGGAATGTCTCACTGCTCAAATTGCAAGAGGATTATCTCTTTATTAAAGCCAAGATAACTATATTTCGTATATAACTTCAGTACCTCATTAGAAAAATTAAAGATTGATATGACAGGATTTTTTGTTGTTTAACCTGCTACATTCTAACCACTGTACTTTTAGGTTTTGACAATTTATACTTAATAATTAGTTTTCATATACCCTTCACTTGGCTTTTGTCCCAGTTACTGTTGTTGCTCCAATGCTCGCATTCAGGTTACTGGTGACTTGTTAAGGCCAATATTTGAACCCCTCCATTTAACACCTTTAATTTTTATCATATTTCAAGCTTATCTCTTTATCAGCTTCTGAATCACATTGTCTCATTTTATGTCCTACTCTTGCTGTTATCTTCCCGTCTCTTTCAGTGGAACAGTTTTTCATTTACTTCTTAATAACTAGGGTTTGCTAAGACTTTATCCTTGGTTTACTTTTCAAAATTAATGACTTTATGTTTTTTTGAAAAATTATACATACTTACATTCGAGCAGTAAGAAAGAAAAAAGAAGAAAGCAAAGAAAAAACTAGTTCACAACATGTTAGAGATAAAAATTTTTAATATTATCATATAACCATCTCTTTTTTTTCTTTTTCTTTTTTTTAAATTTTTTAATTTTTTTTTTTTGAGACGGAGTCTCGCTCTGTCCCTGAGGCTGGAGTGCAGTGGCGCCATCTCGTCTCACTGCAAGCTCCGCCTCCCGGGTTCACGCCGTTCTCCTGCCTCAGCCTCCCAAGTAGCTGGGACTGCAGGCGCCCACCACCTTGCCCGGCTAATTTTTTGTATTTTTAGTAGAGACGGGGTTTCACCATGTTAGCCAGAATGGTCTCGATCTCCTGACCTCGTAATCTGCCCACTTTGGCCTCCCAAAGTGCTGGGATTACAGGCGTGAGCCACCGCACCCGGCCATAACCATCTCTTAATGGCCAGATACGGAGAAGGCTAGATGGGTAGACTAATTATATAAAAAGAGTGTCATATTTTTGAAAAAGAGATTTACATTTATTATATTTATTTGGAGCCAACTAAATGAAGAGAAACAGAAGTAAAGGTAAATGAACTGTAAACTTTAAATAAATGTTTGCTTCAAAAGAATTAATTTCTTTAAGATTAAAAACAATTACAAAAAGAAATTAACACCTTGCTATGCAAGATGGAAAACCCAGAATTTTTACAAAACTTTTTTGTAAAAGTTTTTTGTTTCCTCCTCATCTTGAGTTTTGTTCATTAAATTTCTTTTTAAAAATTTTACCAAAGTCTGTAACTTTATATATTACAAGAATAATTTCCTCAGCTTTAAAGTCTTGTCTCTCTATATAACGAATTCAGTACTCATCACATTTTTAAAAGCCATGGCTTTTCTATTTATGAATTCTTTCTTTTCGTATGTTTCTTGATTAGCCAGATAAAATTCAAAGTATTACTAGGCGCGGTGGCTCACGCCTGTAATCCTAGCACTTTGCAGGCCGACGCAGGTGGATCACCTGAGGTCAGGAGTTTGAGACCAGCCTGGCCAACATGACAAAACTCTCTACTAAAAATACAGAAATTAGCCGGGCGTAGTGGTGCGTGCTTGTAATCCCAGCTACCTGGTAGGCTGAGACAGGATAATCCCTTGAACACAGTGGGCAGAGGTTGCAGTGAGCCAAGATTGCGTCATTGCACTGCAGCCTGGGCGCCACTTCACTCCAGCCTGGGTGAAGGAGCAAGACTCTGTGTCAAAAAAACAAAAAACAAAAAACAAGCATTTTTTTCAAGAAGGAATGAAAGTAGCCATATTTGTAAGAACCTAGATGTTTGAGAATATGATTCAACAGGGATTAAATGGGCTGGGTATAATTTTATTGGGTTACACCCTTTTTTCCTCAGAACTTTCTAGATGTTACTCATTTATAGAATCAGTGGTTGCTGTGAGGATGTGTTACAGAGAGGTGTCTGAATTCCCCAACCTCCCCTGTATCACCCCTGCTGTGGATGTCACTTGCCTTTGCTAAGTGGATGCCTGAAAATTTACTTTTTTCAACTTGATATTCAAAAACTTAAATAGAATATGTCAATATAATTTGTTCTAGATCACATATTCCTGAAATACCTATGCATTTATTGTCAATTAAAATATTACTTTGTTCCAAGGATTTCTCTTTTGCATATATTTTTGCATACTTTTCTATTCCACTTTTTATACTCTAAATCAAGGAAGTTGTCTTTATGTTAGATTATTTTTTGTCCGGCCTTCATATCTATTTTCTTAACAATTCTTTAATCTTTTGTCTTCTGCATCCAGTTTATCTCAAGACTTTCCTTCATCAGTAATTCAATTTTTAGCCATGTTTTATCGTTCTTTTGTTCTTTTTTTGAGACGGAGTCTTCCTCTGTCACCAGGCTGGAATGCAGTGGCACAATCTTGGCTCATTGCAACCTCCGATTCCCTGGTTCAAGCAATTCTCCTGCCTCAGTCTCCCACGTAGCTAGGATTACAGGCATGCACCACCATGCCCAGCTAATTTTGTATTTTTTTAGTAGAGATGGGGTTTCACCATGTTGGCCAGGATGGTCTCGATCTCCTGATCTCGTGATCCACATGCCTTGACCTCCCAAAGTGCTGGGATTACAGGTGGGAGCCACCGCACCCGGCCTTCTTTTGTTCTTTCTTACATTTCTATTTAATCTGTAATAATGTTCTTTGTTATTGTTGTTGTTTTCAATTTATTGTCTCAATTCTTCAAATTCTTATTTTATTTTTGGATGTTTTATTATTTCTTTTCTGAGCTTGTATTTTATTAAATTCAGGTTTTTGGTAAGTTCTTTTCTTCCTTTGTGGCTTTTCTTTTACAATTTGGATTCAAAATCGGTATTTTGTTAAATGTACACTTTGCTCCACCAACTACAGAGTGTTTTCTATTGTAGAAGGGGTGACCCAGGATTTCAAATTGTTGTCTGGCTTCAGCAGAGTGTGTTGGATCTAACCAGGCCTGGTAGTTCTCAGTGTTTTTTGCTGAGAACCATTTCTGCTGCTCTTCATTCCTTTCTGTAGATCCATATTTCCATCTGGTGTTATCTTCTTTCTGCCTGAAGGACTTCTTTAATATTTCTTAGAGTGCACATCTGCTGGTAGTGAAATTCTTTCAGCTGTCATACACCTGAAAAAATCCCTATTTTTCTTCATTTTGAAAGGTATTTTCAGTAAGTATAGAATGCTACATTGACAGATTTTTTTTTTTCTTTAGCAGTTAATTACTCCACTGTCTTCTGGTGTGAATTGTTTCTGATAAGAATTCTGCTGTCATTCTTACTTTGTTCACGTTAGTATAGCGTGCCCCACTTTTTTCCCTCGGCTAGTCAGAGCATAAACTACTACTGCACCTGTATGAGCTTTGCAGTTTGTTTCCTCTAAGTTTTCTCTAATCCTTTTGGATGTTTTTTTTTTCTCTTAAACTTGGGTAGTTTCCTTAAATGCATGTGCTGATTAGTACTTGGCTGAAGACTTAAGGTTCTCAGGTCTGTACATCTTCAGAGCTCTCCCTGTATCTGAGTAGATCTCTCCTCTATGACACTTTGCCCTGCAAACTCTAGCTCACTTGACCTCCCTGGAACCCAGGGTATGTCTCCTTAATTTAGGAAGATTACTGGACTACATTTAGGTTTTCTGTTTCTGTGCTGTAGCTTGGAAGCTCTCTGTAAGCAGTAAGCTGGGGTAATTAAAGAACTCACCTCATTTGTTGCCCTCTCTCAGGGATGACATTGTCTGATGCCCAGTATCTAAAAACCATTTTTCATACATTTTGTCTAGTTTTTAGTTGCTCCATATAGAAGGGAAAATCTGCTCCCTCTAACTTACTTTTCTTCTTATTGAACATGTTTTCTCTAGATTAAATCCCAAAACTTTTTCCATGTTCCAAATATATATTTCCTATTTTCTGACACCTGTTTCCTTCTGGCTGCTTTTACAAGTATCTTAAAAGTTAAGCATGTCATCCAAAAAAACTCATTGCCTTTTCCCTCAAATGAATTCAGTCTCCTCTAGTCTTCCCAAATGAATACCTTAAGCCCCTACCATGCTAAATTTCTCTTTACTGAAAATTGCAATTTATAACGTAATGGGTCTTGAATAGAATCCCACAATACCTCTGTCAAGAGCTTAGCTGAACTGGAGACAGCTGAAATGCCAGGTGTATGAATAGCTGCTCGAAGAGAACAAACCAAAATGAAAGTTACAGCCACCTTTAATTAATTACTGAGATAGTTTAAGCAAGAGGCTAAAGGGGAGAAAGTGCCAGCTCCCCATATTTTATTTTCCCCCATTGGTCAAGTGGATCAACATAGAAATGAGGGTTGTCTCATTGCCAGTGGATCCTCAAACAAAAGTTTCTTGCCATGTGATAGACCTGAGGCATTGGGGGAGGGTATGGGAGGATGGTTGGGAGAGGAAAAGTATAAAGTCAGAATGAGTCAGAACGAGGACAAGTATCTTCAAGTTTACTGCCTCCTCCCAGTCTCCTAAGGAGGTTTCTCGAGAAACACCTAAGCAAGCCTCAGCCAAAGGCCCCCAATAAAAATGCCTCCATATTGAGACACCTGTGGTAGAGATACAGATACGTGTGTAACAGTGTGATTGGCCAGGGAAACTAGTGTCCTTGACCAGGACCTGTGTCCTTGAGTGTAACTCCCTTCAGAGACTGCAGTCCATTGACGTACAACAAGTCTGGTTGGGGAGGGCAGCTTTCCCCCATGAGGTGTGCCAGGTAAAACCTTTGTAATTACCTATGACCAAGCCTGACAAATCACATGTAAGGTTTGGCCAGGAGCTAGATTCCTCAGTCTTTACTGAGTCACAAGTGCATGAATATGTTCACAAACCATTTCTTACCATGTTCGTCATTGAAAGTTGAGGGCTTGTGTATCAGACAATGCAAGAAACAAGCAGATGGGGAAACTCATTCATAAACAATAGCAAGCATTTATTTATTGCATATAGGTCTGTGTGTTGGCTGAAACAGCTCTTACTGCTGCAGGTTTTCTGGTCCAGCTCTGTTTCAGGCTGCAAGTCAAGTCCACTTCTGCTCCATGTGTCTGATTCTTGAACACAATGCAACAAGTGTAAACATGAAGAGCTTCTTTTGCCTATGTTTGGAACTGGCACACTGTCACCTCCACCCGTGATTTCTTTGGCTAAAGCAAGTCTTCTTATTAAATACAGCCAACAACAATTCGTACTGTCAGTGTTAGTTTCTATGGAGGATTGGGGTAGTATTTTTAGGCCTTTACCCAGAGTCTACTAGGCCTTGCATTATTCCTTTCAGAAATTATTAGCAACAGGCATGACAGCCAAATCCCGAGCCATGTTTTAATGTCAGCATCTGAGATTTGGCCTTTATGCTGCCAGTGATTTAGTGTCCACTCCTTTGATATGGTAACAAACAATTTCATTTTCCAACTCTAGAAGTACTGGAACTTATACACTTCCCAAATTTCAATGGCCAGTGCCTTTCTGAGCTCTGATCTTTCTTAGAGTAGCTAGTCAAGTGCAGCCAGCAATAACCAAACTCATACTATCAGCATTCTGCACTGACACCTCCTCACTCAGTATAAAATTTATTAAGTTATTAGGTACATTTTTTGCCTTCCAGGTTATGCCAGGTGGCAGTTTTCCAAATGTTTTGTAACTACATAACATGGGTTACCATTTTCTCAGCATCCTGTAACATATATTTTGCCACCCACCACCCAGTCCCAAAATCAGTGCCACATAATTTAGTCTTTTATCATAGCAGCACCCCACTTAAAGTTACCAATTTCTGTATCCCATCAGCTTTTGCTGCAGAATAAACAACCACAAAGTCTCACTAGCATGCAGTAATAAACATTTATTTCTTGCTCATGAGTCTATCAGCTGGGATAACTGTGCTGCAGGCTGCAGGTCTGTTGGTTGGCTGGAGTGCTTCACCTTGAGGCAATATTGGATTTAGGTCTGCTCCATATTTCTTAATCCCAGTCCCAGGCTGAAGGGGCAGTGACTACCTGAACATGTTCTTTTCAAGGTGGATGTTGGAAATTTCCAAGGGGTGATCAGAAGCATACAATTTCTTGAGTTCTAGGCTCATTTATACCCATGTTTCCCTAGTCCAAGCAAATCACATGGCCAAACTCAACATTAATGGAGCAGGGATCTGTACTGCATCCATGAAGGTATCCATGAAAGGAGTAAGCATTTGCTGAGTAATAATCTACCATAGTATGATATAAAATCTTAAGCCAGTGAACAAAAGTATGCTGGAGCTGTTAGTATATGTTGCGAGCATATGGCTTTCTAGATAGTCTGACCCAATCCAGAAATAAAGCATCTAGAATGGAGTAAATGGATTGCAAATTTCAGATTGTCCTTATTAAATATTAATTTACAAAAGCATAGACTTTCATAATAGCTGGGCAGCATACAATTTAAGTTCCAGATTTCTGGCAAGTAACTCAAGTTTACTTACTATTAAGAATAGATTGTGTTGGATACATACCAAAAAGAACATCACCAAAACAATCAAGCCTTCGGAAATGGTCATCCTACTTTAACTTAGAGCCAAATCAAGGGAACATCTTGGGAACAAAAGGGAAAACCTTTTAGGCATATTCAGGTTTTCTCCAATAAAGGCAAAAACTTTTCAACATCAATAAAAATGTTAAAATATTTACTTCTTGGAATGATTAATATTAACTAATTCTTTGTGACCATAATTTAATGCACAGTCATTAATCTGTTGAGCATATACCTAGTACCTAAACATTTAAGGAGAATAACAAAAATTGTTCTAAAACCCATGCAGTATATTTTATAAATAAAGGAAGGTCAGACTGCAGTTTCGTTTTATACTACTTACAATTGCTATCCAATCTAGCATAAGGGCATTCCTTCCAGCCCTATTCTTGGTGTGTTAATATTTCTGATCTTATTCTCTTATTTAGTGACTTCTGCTAATAGCAAAATAAAGCCCAAATTCATTTATCCCACTGAAAATTAGCCCCTGCCTACCTCATTAGCCTTATCTTTCATATGTTTAGCATTATTTTTTCCTCCCTGGAACTGAAAAATCAGCAAAATAAAACCCCAAAAGTGCTTTAGCGTTTAACCTCTGGACCAGTGTACACAGTACTATATTCCTTTCTTGCAGGTTCCATGTAGAAAAGACCTCCTCATCTTTAACAATAGAACTGAGGTGTGACCTCCTATCTAAAGCCTTTTTCTGTTCTCTTTGTTTGTACCCTCAACATATATAAATATATAAAATATTATATAAAACATATGCATTGTACGTATATGTATATACACACACAAATATATCTATATAAATGATTTATACACAGATTTTGGTTGCTTCTGTTATGCTTAAAGTCATGCTTCTTTGTAGTTGTTACCAACATGGCGCTGTGGCTCACACTGTAATCCCAAGATTTTGAGAGGCTGAGGCAGGTGAATCGTTTGAATCCAGGAATTTGAGACCAGCCTGGGCAACCCTGTCTCTACCAAAAAAAAAAAGTTGGGTGTGGTGGCACACACTTGTACTACCAGCTACTTGGGTCGCTGAGGCTGGAGGATCACTTGAGCTCTGGAGGCGGAGGTTACAGTGAGCTGAGATCACGCCACTGCATTCCAGCCTGGGTGATACAGCAGGACCCTGTCTTAAAAAAAAATGGGAATTTTAAAATTAAAAAAATTATTTTTAAAACAAGCCAAAGGAGTATTAGGAATATAGAGAAATATTAAAGTAAATTGAAACAAAAGTTAATTGCAAGAAGTAATTCGTAACATGAATTTTTTTTTTTTGAGATGGAGCCTTGTTCTGTCACCCAGGCTGGAGTGCAGTGGCGTGATCTCGGCCCACTGCAAGCTCTGCCTCCTGGGTTCACGCCATTCTCCTGTCTCAGCCTCCCGAGTAGCTGGGACTACAGGCGCCTGCCACCATGCCCGACTAATTTTTTTGTATTTTTAGTAGAGATGGGGTTTCACCGTGTTAGCCAGGATGGTCTCGATCTCCTGACCTCGTGATCTGCCTGTCTCGGCCTCCCAAAGTACTGAGATTACAGGCGTGAGCCACCTTGCCCGGCCCGTAACATGAAATTTATATGAAATCAGAAACACAGTTACAATGTTAAACTTCACAAAGCTAATTCATTTAAATATAAAGATCGAAATTAAAATATAATGAAGCACTTGGAAGTAGAAAATAAACAGTCTAAAATATTTTAAAAGTGTGGGCTTAAGGAATAGCATAAAATAAAAAGAGGGTGTTACACATGGCTTTCAAGCTAGCTAGAGGAATTAAAGATAGCATGTTCAAATTCCCCTGATTCATCCAGCGAGCTAATAGGATCGAGTTCATCAAGTCCCCAGCTTAAAGACATTTTATTTTTAAGGCAAGGAAGCCTATTTATTGGGTGTAATTTACAATAAATAAAATGAAAAAAAAAAAACTACTTATCCTTCTGTTTTCCTACCTCTCGTCCTAGAAAAAGATACTTACATCGTCCTGGTAACTTCCTTTTTAGAATATTTGTGGCTGGTAACAAAAATGGGCTAATTGTCTTTGAATTTTCACTGATTGAATAGATTCTTCCCAGGCCTCCTGCCCAGGTAAACTCAAAGGGGATGGTCTGGGTCTCCAGAAAGAGGTGCCAAGTGTAACAGTCATATCAAGTGATTGAAATTCTCTCCTACTCATCAGAAACAGGATTTATTTCTTGCCATTTCATTCATCAGAAATGGGACTTCAGTTTTCATTGGCTTATGGTTACTTCTCGGAGGAGATGGGTTCTAATTATAGTTGGCTGATCTGACTTTATTTTGCCTAAGACAACAATTTTAAATTAACACAAAAACCAAAAACTTTTTCATGGCAGTTCTTGCTGATTATTGCCTATTTATCCCCAATTCACTTATCTGAAACAGTGTTCAGAGTTATTTTTACTCACAATACTTCTGACACCAATTTTATAGGTTTTTTTCTTCCACCCAACAACTAACTCATTGCTTCTCTAAACTCCAATTGGGCAATTCAGTTCAATTCTAGCTACTTAGAATTAGTGCAGACCCTACAGATTAAGGACTGTGTCCCACAGGACTGCCTCCATTTTAGATCCCAGTCACAAGTCCCAGGTTTCCACCTGTATTTCTGACCAACTGAGTTTAAATTGGGGGTTCCCAGGAGCCCTTCCTCAGATTAGTTAATTTGCTAGAATGGCTCAAAAAAGTTTTCCATTTACTATTGCTTGTTTATTATAAAGGATACAACTCAGGAACAGCCAAATAGAAGAGTTGCATAGTTCATGGTATGGAGGAAGGAAAAGGAAGCTTTTGTGTCCTTTCTGAGCATGCCACCTTCAGCACCTCAATGTGTTCACCAACTTGGAATTTCTCCAAACTCCACAGAGTTTGTTATGGAGCTTCCATTAAGTAGCCATCATTGATTCAATCATTGGCCATTGGTGACTGAATTCAGTCTCCATTTCCTCTCCCCTCTGCAGAGGCCTGGTGGTGGGGCTGGACGTTAAAACCATCTAATCACATGGTTGCCTCCTCTTGCAGCCAGTCCTCATCTTGAACCTATCTAGGGGCTCACCAGGAATCATCTTATTAAGCATAAACTCTGGTATGGTTGAAAGGAGCTTGTTATGCTTTGCTTGTAATAACAAAAGATGGTCCTATTACTCAAGAAATTCCAAAGGTTTTAGAAACTATGTTTCAGGAACTGGGGACAAAATCCAAATACAGTGGACCCTCTGTATCCACGGGTTCCACATCCCTGGATTCAACCAACTGCAGATCAAAAATATTTGAAAAAAAATTGTATCTGTATTGAACATGTATAGACTTTTTATCTTGTTATTCCCTAAACAATGTAGTATAACAATATTTACATAGCATTTACATTGTATTAGTTATTATAAGTAATATAGAGATTATTTAAACTATACAGGAGGATGTGCATAGGTTATTTGCAAATGCTACATCAGGGACTTGAGCATGGTTGGATTTAGGTATCCCAGGAAGGTCCCTGGAACAGGAACGACTGTATGTGTTTCTTATTGTATCACAAGTACCTTCTGAAGTAAAACCTACCCACTATGATTCTCATTTTCTTTTCCTAAAAGTGAAATAAAAATAGCAATATTCTTTAGGAAATTGCCCATACAATAAGTTGATAACTGTTTTCCTTTCTTAATCCCTCAAATTGATATAATCACAAACTGACCTTTAAGAAACTTTTTGTATGAAGCTTCATATTAAGATCAGGGAAAAAACAATGATAATAGATTTTTCAAATCATTTGTTAAATTAATTAAAAAAAAGAATCTAAAAGAATACAAAGTAAAAGATTGCAGAAAACTTTATATTAATTATTTAAGCCAAGAGGATTAAAAGAAAAAATATAGAAAATAGAATATACTAAGCTCTTAAATAACTATGAATAAGCAAAATTAAAGGTTAATGAGAAAAAGAAAAAATGGAGAGAAGAAACTCCTGAGAAAGAATATAAATTAGAATGAATGTTTATACTAGTAAAAGTAAAGCATTTAAAACTAAAATATCAAAAATAAATCTCCAGTAAAGTGAAGCATATGCTCACATCTACCATAGGAAAGAAATAGGAGTGTGTATTTCTAACTAGGTCTTGTTGGTTTATTTCCCAAATCCTGGGATCCTTGAAGAGAAAGAGAATCAAGGGCCAGAAAATTGGATCCTTGTTTCTTTCCATGGCATGAGCTTATCTTCTTGAGCGTTCTGTATAAACCGGTGAAGGGGAGAAACAAACGTCAGCAGATAAGTACAGGTGAACATGGTTAGCCAATCTACCAGTGGACCTCACACACATCCAGGAGCAAACAAGCAGCACACAAATTCATTTTTAAATCAGTCTTCACCATTTACTTTATTGGAAGTATTTAGCTATTGTTGGCATCCCATGCTCTTTGAATATAGAACTATTATTTTTAAGATGAAATATTTCACTCAGAAGTATAACAGATATTTAAATGACTAGAAAGGATGAATTGTATTTGCATATTATTTCTATACTGCTGAAAGATTGCTGTAAATGAATTCAGCACCATGGTGTTAGGGGACTAGAAGAAGAAACTTGGGAACTGATAGATTATTATCAAGGTAAAGGTACTTATTCCCCAGGTGGCAAATTCTACCTATCCTAGCTTTTATTATCCTTCGGATACTGTTCTAATTATTTCATAAGTACAGAAGTTTTAATTGGGTATGTCATTTTTCAAAGACAAAAGAAATGCCTAATTCACTCTAACAAACTTGTTAGTCACTGTTTATACCAGGAGGATTTCTACTCTACAGAGAATAATATTGTTTTCTTTTTCCTTTGTTGAGAAATCAAAGTTTTACACTGACCTACAGCAGCCAAGCATACTTTAAAGCAAAATAATCTCAGGCTAACACAGATATATATCCTTTTAGTTTTATATATTCTTTTTTGTCCCCTTTTTATTCCTTAAGAAATGTTATATTCCAGAATTAATTCACTAAGAAAATGTTAGTAAAATTTGTCATAGTAATTTATCTGATAAGAAAAAAGTTATTTATAGGATTTGATATATTTTGATTTTAGTATTAACTGAAGTTTTATGACTTTGTTTTTTCTTTAAGGTTGTTAAGTTACTTGTAGGTTTTGGCTTGGTTGAAAAGGTTTTGGCAGTCAAATGTATAGCTAGTGTAGGAATGATTTGTAGCTATAACCTCACCCATATACCTAGCTTTCTATTTGTTATGAAGTCACAGTATTTCTAGAAGAGTGATTTGTATGGTTTACCTCACCCAGTGCATGATCCTTCACTTGAAAAAAAGGTTGTGGTAGGGGTTGTTACAATTTCAATCCACCCTAATTCTGTTACTGTTTGCTTTGTTCAGCAATCACTGTGATCCTCCTGGCAGGGAACAAGATCCAGAGAACAAAACTAGTAGTGACTGTGTAGATAAAAAGGTAATGAATTCTGCTTTTAAGGCAAAGGGGGAATAGTCTACAAAAGAATGAAAATAGGAATAAAAGTGTAGCATTGTTAACCTGAAGATCTATTGTACTTTTGAAAAATCTTATACTGAAAAAAAAAAAAAAAGGTGGCACTACAAAGATACATAATTATGTTGCTAAAAATCTTGAAAAGGGTCATTGTTTAGTTACTGGCCAAATACTTGACAAGAAAATAGCCTAGATTATTCACAGTTGAAAAACCATAGAACCCTTTTTCTTAAAATGACAGGACAGTATTTCAGCAGTACACGTGGTATCATAATATATTATTTATTCTCTACCAGAACAGCTCTTTAGATCTGGTGAAGATGATGAGGTCAAGAGGAGTACTCCAGAGAAGAATGGAAAAGAAATGTTGGAGCAGACATTACAGAAGGTAGTCTAATCTTTAAGATATTGAGCTGAGCAAGTTAAATCTGAATTTTAACATAAAGGATTATATTTTAAAACGAGGGCTTGTAAATGTAAACCTTGTGTGAATCCTTAATTTAAATTCATAATTCAAAATCATTGGCTTGCCAAAATGGGGTAAAAAAAATCAATGTTAGTGAAATAAATGTGTAAACACTTGTGCTTCCATTGATGTAGATTAACATTATTTTCAAAAGGTGAAATGGAGAGAATGAGAAAAATAGAAATTACAGAAATGTAGACTATATGTGCTTGTTAGTTATAACTTAGTTTAAAGTATATTTTAATAAGACTGCTGTACTTCCACAAATATAGAGATTTATAATATTTGATCTAAAATACTGAGCATAGTTATAGTTTTGCCACAGTAAAATGGTAATATGTTTATAGTTTTAATGTTAAACATGAAAATATACGTGACTCTTCTCATTTTAGATAAAAATTTATACCAGTATGATTTAGTACAGCATTTTATGTTTTAATAAGATCATCCATGTAAACCTTAGTCATATTATAACATGTCTATCATTAATAGTAAAATACTGTTTTAAAATATTAATATTTACCTTTATAATTTTATACTTAATTTGCATTTTTATAAATAAATACATTGTTATCAAGTTCAATTAAGTGGATCTAATTATTAACACTTTGTTATAAAGAAAATAATCTTTAAATAGTTTGTTCTTGTGATTGTCATTTGGCTACATTAGATTGATTTTAGTTTTTTACAGAACCTTAATACTTAGATAAAGCTGAAAATGTACAAATATATAAATAAAAATATTAACATAGTAACTTATATATTGTTGCATCTCTGAATTGACTTGTAGGAAATCTAGTGATTTACAGCAGATAATGTGATTGTTCATACTTCTAACACTTGTCAGGTCACAAAGGCTGTCATCTCATTATTACTGAATGACACATATCAAGTTAACATAGTAACACAGAGAACTAGAAATGCTTACATTCATTTATCTTTAGGTAAAATGATTAATTGAATTAATCTATGCACTACCAGCTAGGATGTCATACAGTTCACACTAGCTTATCACCGTTTTTTCAGAACAATATTTTTATTTGCCAGGTTTTGTATAATTTTTGTATCTATGGATATGTAATACTATGCTACTATTTCTTGCCTTAGGGTAGAAACCCTGAAGAAAGCCATTATTTCATTCCATCTGCCATAAATGAATGCTACAATAGTAGATCCAGACATCCATTTTAAGACCTGAACAACCAATATAAATTATTTTCATTGTACTGTATGTCAAGTTGGTATACTATTTTTTATATTTACCTAATGTAGTTTTATCAAGCACAAGTTAATTCCTCATGTTTGAGTTTCATTATTTTAAAAGGTTATATATGAAACTCACTCAAAATAAATTTAAAAAATAGTAATAAGATGAAAACAATATTTGTATATAGTAGAAATGAAACATATATGCAGATTATTTTGAAAATAATATATTAACATTTCACATTGTTATTGGCAGAATTGTGTCCTGTCCCCCACATTTATATATATTAAGAGTCCTAAGCTGTATTATCTCAGAACGTGGCTGTATTTGGAGATAGGGTCCTTAAAGAGGTAATTAAGTTAAAGTAAGGCTATTAGGGTGAGCCCTAATTCAACATGACTGGTGTCTTTATTTAAAAAAAGGAAATTAGAATACAGACAAATACAGAGGGAAGTCCATGTGAAGACACAGGGAAAAGATAGCCATTTACAAGCCAAGGAGAAAGGCCTCAGAAGAAACCAACCCTGCTGACACCTTGATCTTGGACTTCTAGACTCCAGGAATGTGAGAAAATAAATTTCTGTTGTTTAAGTCACCTACTCTGTTATACTTTATTATGGCAAACCTAGCAAACTAATACACACATTTCATAGCTTCATAATATCAGGCATTGTATTTCAGTTTTGAAAAGAGCCTCTTTTTTTTTTTTTTTTTTTTTGGAGACAGAGTCTTGCTCTGTCACCCAGGCTGGAGTACAGTGGGCAGTGTTGGCTCACTGCAACCTCCGCCTCCCAGGTTCAAGCGATTCTCGTGCCTCAGTCTCCCAAGTAACTGGGACTACAGGTGTGCGCCACTATGCCTGGCTAATTTTTGTGTTTTTCGTAGAGATGAGGTTTCATTTCACCATGTTGGCCAGGCTGGTCTCGAACCCCTGGGTTCAACTAATCTGCCTGTCTCAGCCTCCCAAAGTGCTGGGATTACAGGCATGAGCCACTGCACCCGGCCTGAAAAGAGCCATCTATTTGGTATATTATTTTAAATGTTCAGAACTATAAGAAAATATGGGCTTGAGCTGAATTATAACCCACAGATTGAATACTTTTAACAGTTCCCCAGACTTTCATTCTCAAATATGTATTAAAATTTACTTTGCTGTTTTTGAAGGATTAAAATCAGTTTAACAATTTTTGAGAGTATACCTTGAATAACACTTTAATAAGTGCTATGGATTTTCCCTTTTCAAAATGTTTAGAAGTAGTGTCTCTGTTTTGTTATTTGTCCTCCATTTTAAATTTAAATAATTTTGACCAGTTCTCATGATTAAACATACATTCATATTAGGAAGTTAACAGACCTTAAAACCACAGACATCTTCAGTTGGTATGTATATAGGGGTGGAAAGTTGTGGCATCTTTCCTCACCTATCATAAGGGCCACAGTTGACACTCCTATAATAAAAGGCAGGTTAACACGAGAAATACATAACATTTATTTAATCAAAGTTTTATGTGCCACAGGACGCTTCAAAAACAAAGACCCAGAGAAAACTGTCTATTTATGTGCTTAGGTTTGATAAAGAAAGGATAGCCATGTAGAAATGTATCTGTACAAAAGGATATGTCTATGGTAATAGGCTAAGGAGGGGCAAACCAAGCAAGGCCTGTCTGCTCAGATTCTTCTTGCCCTCTGTGTAGACTTCCTTCCTCCCTGGGTATAGGACAGGACCCCTCTGGAATGAAAGTCTTCAAGGCAGAACTGAGAAGGGAGAAAGTGACCTTTCTTGGTTTTATGGCTTGCTTTTGGGGAGAGGAGTTCTAGTTTGTATGACCTGCCTTAGGGAAGAGGAATTATGTTTGATATGACTTCCTTTAGAGGAGAAAAAGGGGAGGGTGACAGGAAGGCAGGAGATCTTGCTTCTGAGGCACTTCCAGTGACCTTCAATTTAAGGTACTTGGCAAGCCAAAGTGACATACTTTGGTGTGTTGTATTCTGAGCCCCAACGTATGTAAAATTTTAATGAGTTGTCCCCAAACTTAAATGGATTTCAGTCAACAGAAAAAAAATGCTAATTTCCAGAATTGGAATCTCAAATTTAAGATATTTATTTGTTATATTTGTTTATAACATAATTTAATTGAAATATACAGCTGATTTAATGGCTAATTCAGACTATTCAGCACAAGTAATTATATTTTAGTTACAGCAGTTTTATTAGGTAGATGTTAAGGTGAATGATAATAGAAACAGTAATAATGATAATGATAATAAATTGTTTACTACTTACTGTCAGGAATTATGGTTTATGATCACATTTAATACTCCCAACAAAACTGCAAGATGTAGGTATTACTATCCTCATTTCACAGATGAGGAAACTAAAGGTAAAATAACTTAAATATTTTACCAGCTAAAGCAAGTAGAGTTGGAAGTGAGATATAGACCTGATTCAAAATTCTGTTTCCCCTAAAACATACTGCTTCTTAATAATATTTTTGTATCACCAAAGTCACTGTTTAAAGAAAAAATGTGGACCAATCAAGGCAACACAATGCGACCCCATCTCTACAAAATATAAAAAATTAGCCAAGTGTGATGGTGCATGCCTCTGGTCCTAGCTCCTTGGGAGGCTAAGGTGGGAGGATCACTTGAGCCCAGGAGGTCAAGGCTGAAAAACCATGATCGAGCCATGGCACTCCAGCCTGGGCAATAAAGTGAGATCTTGACTCAAAGAAAGTGTAATTACTTACTTGCATCAAATATGTATTTAAAAAATAGAGTATGTTTTACTCACTCCCCTTTGGAATTTAATATGCAAAAGTATTTTAAAATATATTTATGAAAAGTATGCTGATTTGGGCAGTGATTAACACTCCTTCAATAAAATTTAGAGGTAGAGTGATTTGGAAAAAGTAAAAAGGATTCTGGCATAGATTTTTTTCTTGAACACTGTATTTTTTGTCATATTAATCAGCTCCCCAATAAAGTGTTTACATTGAGAAGGAACAATACAATCTCTTTCACAGAAATATGCAGAAGTCTACAATAGTTTGAGACAAAATTTTTCAGATACCTTTATTCCAGGTCATGTGTAGGTCCTTTAAGGACATAGGTCCAATAGTAGGTTAATATATCATACCATGGAATAGAAGTGATTAAAATTAGGTGAGATTCTTCATACTGTGTTGAGAAATACCCATGCCCCAGGATAGTGTAGTCACTTAGTAAATTAATGTTGATTTAAATGAAAGAGGTTGAACATTAAAAAAAAAAGGGTAATATAGAAGGATGTGTAAATCAGACATGACTGAAATTCATGTTTAGGAAACAATTTACATCTTCACTATTACAAGTAAAGTTTAGTAAACTGGAAAGTGTTAAGAATATGTATGTTTTATCTTGTATATTTCTGGAATATTATTATTTTGAATCATTGGTTGTTGTCTTAGTCTCTTCAGTTGGCTATAGAAAATGCTAAAACTGAGAGGATTATAAACAATAGAAATTTGTTGTCCAAGATCCAAGTGTCCAAGATCTGAGATTCAGTGTCTTGTGAGGACTCTCTTTCTGTTTCATAGATGGTGCCTTCTTGCTGTGTCCTCACATGGTCTAAGGAGCTAGCTAGCTTCTGGGGTCTCTTATAATAGCACTAATCCCATTCATGAGGGCCCCACCCTCATGATCCAATCACCTTCCAAAGGCGCCACCTCATCATGCCATCAAACTAGTGAACAGGTTTCAACATATGAATTTTGTGAGGGACACAAGTATTCAGACCATCGGAGTTGTCAGTATATCAAACATGTTTCTCTTTGAAGAATTTTGTTTTAAAAGTAAAAATGAGTTCATATACTTTTTCAGTCATTTAGATTGTTTTGCTTGTCTCCAGTTTTTTCTTGACTCCAAATCTTTGTTCATTTTCCATACACGTCTGAGTAATTTTTCTTTCTCATATGCCTTGTTGAATAGTGGGAAGGGCACAAAATCCTGAATTTGGATCCCAGTTGAATCCCAGAAAAGTTTACCTCTGTGAAATTTAAGTTTTCAGAACCTCTCTTTCCTGTCTGGAAAGATAATTGTTGGTTCTACATACCTCACGTTTTGAGATGGTCAGAAGAGATCATGTTGATCATGTTTTTGAAACTATTTTGTAAATAGTAAAATGTACTTTACAAACAATAACACTTATTATTAATAAGATCTAAATGTAAGTCAACTCCTCCATGAAATGTTTGAAATTATGAACTAGAATTAATTGCCCAGACTTATGATACTTAGATTATATCCTTTATTAGGTTTATGTATGCAGGTGTTGGTCTTTTCAAATAATTTTGAAATTCCTTAAGATTAACAAATGTGTGTTGCCATTGCTATGTCCTATAACACAAGCATTGTTTATTGAAATAAATGGGAAAATTTTAATTTATGTGCAACCTTGAAATCATTATAATTTAAAATTGTTAGACTTTATTATTTAGTAAACTGTTCCCTTATCACATAAACTGAGGACCACATGACTACTAAAATTACATTTTTCTAATTTAGAAAAAAAGCAGCCTCAGTAGATTACTTTATATTGTCATTCCTTTTTCATATGATTGTCGAATATTGAAAAAAAGTTATTTATTATTACAGTTTATCTACTTTTAGACATTTGTGTATATTATTTTTCTCTGAAATATTTTTTTCCACAATGAATAGAATATATAGCCAAGGCACTTATGATCTCAGAAGACACTGCAGTTTATTAGCATACTTAGTTCTGTCACTGTGTAGAATTTTACCTTCTTTTACCATCTGTCCTTTATTCAACAGATACATTATTGCATTTTTGAATGTATTCATCTGCACTGCCTTAGAATTATCTAGAAATTAAGTACTTTATATTTATTTTGTCCTTGTGCTAAATGTGATTTTTATTTCATAAGTTAGAAATGGTAATAAAGTATAGTAGATTATGGTTTTTGGATTCTTAAAAGAATAAACTCTTTCCTTTAGGTCACTGAGTTGGAAAATCGGCTGAAATCTTTTGAGAAAAGGTCGAGAAAATTAAAAGAAGGGAATAAAAAATTAATGAAAGAAAATGATTTTCTGAAATCCCTCTTAAAACAGCAACAAGAAGATACAGAGACCAGAGAAAAAGAGCTAGAACAGATAATAAAGGGGAGTAAAGATGTAGAAAAAGAAAATACTGAACTTCAAGTAAAAATCAGTGAGCTGGAGACAGAAGTCACTTCCCTGAGGAGACAAGTGGCAGAAGCTAATGCATTGAGAAATGAAAATGAAGAGCTGATCAACCCAATGGAGAAATCACACCAGTCAGCAGACAGAGCTAAATCCGAGATGGCCACCATGAAAGTGAGATCTGGACGATATGATTGTAAGACAACTATGACCAAGGTTAAATTTAAAGCTGCGAAGAAAAATTGCTCTGTGGGTCGTCACCACACTGTTCTCAATCATTCCATCAAGGTTATGAGCAATGTGTTTGAGAACCTCAGCAAGGACGGCTGGGAGGATGTGAGTGAAAGCAGGTAAGGCTCTCATTAACTTAGCTCTGTGGTGGGGACACTGCGCATATGTAAAGCACTAGCAAATGGAGATTGAATTTCAACTACTGTCGATTTGGTATTCAGAAAAAATACTGTCAGATCCTTTGAAATATCTTGGGAGGTCTTGTTCTGAGCTTATTGACTGAAATTTGCATGCAAAATTAGCCACAACTGCATGAGTACTTGAATAGGTGCCAGGAAACCCAAAAGAAGGCAATGCTTGATTTCTTTCAGTGATGCTATTTTCATGCAGTCATGAGGCTTGAAATTGACAGTTTGGCAGGTTGATTTAATCTGCTGGCCCTTTGCATATTCACCACTGACAGCTAAGGATTCCCAGGCAAGCCTACTAAGTCGGTTTAGTTATCTTGTGACATACCAACCTGGGAGGAGAAACAATTTTCCCCCTTAATTTAGTTAGATAAATTTTGAATGACCCATTTCAGCTTGTTACCAGATGTCTACAAGCTGTTTAACATCCTTTAAATTAAGAACCATCTTCACTAATTATTTTATGTATGTATTATGCAAAGTCATTGTATTAACTTTAATTGAATGGTGGTTAAAAATTAGTTCTTTAAAGTTATAGCTCTAAAGATTCCTAGTCTTAAGATATGTACCCCTAGTGAACAGCAACAGGAGGATACTAAAAATCTATAATGCTTCTTTCTCTTACCCCTGGCTATACATTCATATATGCACTTGAAACACATCAGTAAAACTGTCAGAGGCCTGTGAACCAGAGCAACTCCATCTTAAATAGGAGCTGGGTAAAATGAGGCTGAAACCTGCTGGGCTGCATTTCCAGATGGTTAAGGCATTCTAAGTCACAGGATGAGATAGGAGGTCAGTACAAAACAAAGGTCATAAAGACCTTGCTGATAAAACAGGTTACGGTAGAGGAGCCAGCCAAAACCCACCAAAACCAAGGTGGCCACAAGAGTGATCTCTGGTTGTCTTCACGGCTACACTCGCACCAGCGCCATGACAGTTTACAAATACCATGGCAACATCAGCAAGTTACCCTATGTGGTCTAAAAAGGGGAGGCATGAATAATACACCCCTAGTTTAGCATATCGTCAAGAAATAACCATAAAAATGGGCAACCAGCACCCCTCAGGGCTACTCTGTCTATGGAATAGCCATTCTTTTATTCCTTTACTTTCTTAAAAAACCTGCTTTCACTTTGCACTGTGGACTCGCCCTGAATTCCTTCTTGTGCAAGATCCAAGAACCCTCTCTTGGGGTCTGGATCAGGACCCTTTCTTGTAACAAAACCACAAAGACGAATGATAGAACACCTCTTTTTTACATCTAGACAGTAGGGAAGTTCAGTGTTGCCATAATTGCTAACAAATTGCCCAATTTGCCATAATTTTAAAAATTCTGCCTTGTTTTATAATGACATATGTCCTTGATTTTCCCTAGTTTTTTATTTTGTTTTGTTTTTAAATCCCTAATAGTGATTCTGTTTTAGATTTGGGATGCCTCCGGATACTTTTCCTAATCACAGACATAGAACTGAAAATTACCTTAAAATGTGGTCCCCAAACTTGTTTGCATATTAGAAGCACCTGGAGGTTTTATAAACATTCCAAAGGTTAGGTCACACCCCAGACAAATTAAATTATAACCTTTGGAGTGGGATACAGGCCTAAGTATTTTTTCAAGTTTCCCTGTTGAATCCAATGTGCAGACAAGTTTGAGAAACACTGTTTTTAAACATCATCTACTCAAGCCCCTTGTCCTCAGGCAGTTAAAGAAACTCAAAAAACATATTCATGAAGGAAAGGCCAAAGGACCAAATCTGCATTCCCATTTCGGTGTTACCGAGGTTCTTCTTTCCTTCTCTCAATAGCAATTAGAGGTAAAAACTTACTTCCCACCCACTAAGCGTTATCTTTATATCTCATTATTCCTCTGTCTTCAAGGAAATTCTAGTGCTAGCTACTAATTCTATCTTAACCACTTGGTACTACCACACTATTCAAAATAAAGTGGTGCCATTTACTTATGTGCAAATATGTATGTATGAATAAATAATCAATAGTTAGGTAATTCACTAATATACTTTTTAAATTTTATCATATTAGTGTTTCCAGAAAGAGGTCCCAATTCAGACCCCAAGAGAGGGTTCTTGGATCTCACGCAAGAAAGAATTTGAGGCAAGTCCATAGAGTAAAGTGAAAGCAAATTTACTAAGAAAGTAAAGGAATAAAAGAATGGCTACTCCATAGGCAGAGCAGTCCCCAGGGGCTGCGGTTGCCCATTTTTATGGTTATTTCCTGACTATAGGCTAAACAAGGAGTGGATTATTCATGCCTCCCCTTTTTAGACCATATAGGGTAACTTCCTGACGTTGCCATGGCATTGGTAAACTGTCATGGCACTGGTGGGAGAATAGCAGCGAGGATGACCAGAGGTCACTCTGATCACTGTCTTCTTGGTTTTGATGGGTTTTCACCGGCTTCTTTACTGCAGGCTGTTTCATCAGCAAGGTCTTTATGACCTGTATCTTGTGCCGACTTCCTATCTCATCCTGTGACTTAGATTGCCTAACTTACTGGGAATGCCTCCCGGCAGATCTGAGCCCTATTTTACCCAGCACCTATTCAAGATGGAGTTGCTCTGTTTCAAACACCTCTGACATTAGTGCATGTGCACAAGGTCACATACTTTGAGAGACATATCATACAATATCTCTTAAAATATAGGATTGTCATTTGTGTTATTTAGCAGTAAAACTCAATTTTACACCATGATTAGTGTTACATTTCCTGCCTGACAGAATGCCTTCAAGAGTCACTCAGCTGCAAAAGAATTCTCAAACGGCTAGAAATTCTTGCACTAGAGCTTTAGGGACTTCAGAAGATTCTTTCTTTTAGATTTTTATAGACAAAAATATAAGAGTTACTTGGATATTGAAAAAAATAGTATGTATATATATAATTTTGTATATATAAAATACTATATCATATGATTATCACCTTCTCAGTATTTATTTCCCATAGTTGAATAGTATTTACAAGAGCATGCCTTTTCAGTGATGGGTTTTATCAGGAGGAGGTGTTTATATCTTCAAGAAGAAAAATAGAATTTCAGTATTCCAAGCAAATTAAAGAAAGAGAAGTGAAGTTTGTAGTGTTATTGAATAAAAGGGGCTCGTTGCCTTATGCTAGAAGTCAATACTATGACACTGGGTTTTTGAGAAAAGAAAAGCTTTATATTGCAAGTTGACTTACAAGGAGACAGGAGTGTCAAGCTCAAATCTGTCTCCCAGGCTGGCTTCAAAGCAGTATTTTTAGAAAGTGATGGGGGGAGGGGGAGTTCTGAGATTAATAGGTGATTGGTGAAAGGAAAGGGGAGATCTGCAAAGTCCTTGAGTGGTTATCTCTTCATGCTATCATAAGTTGCATATGCAATTCTGGGATAGTATGAAACATGCAGTGGAATTTCAGTCTGTGACATCAGCAAGCTCGTTCTGTGCAGACTCCAGTCAGCCACATTGGTTCCAACTGATTTCAGCTAGTTCTTTTATCTCATAAGCAGAGGGAGTTTCATTAAGTTGTTTCTTTTTTATTTGCCGCCTGCAAACTCAAGAATTTCTGTTTATCATTGGTTTCTTTAACTCTTTGAGGCATGGTTTCAGAAGCAGAGAAATAAGAATTTATTGAGGAGATTATAAAGGGTTGCAAAACGTGCCATACCAAAATAAGCAATTTTGGCATAAGAATTATTTCAAACTGAAGCCAGTTCAGAAAAAGCAGTTACAAGAAAAGCTCTCTTATCTCCCGCTAAAAGCAGTACATACATTTACCAAGGTATTCCTTCTTCCCTCTCTGCCAAAAAGGGATAAAAACTAATCACTGGAGACAACTTGAGTCCCTAATGAGCCTGGAGGTAGCACCAGAGGAAGCTACGTTAACACATTTTACCAACTAGCCTTCATCTACCATTAGTTTTCCATATATTTGCCTTCCTACAATTTGCTGTTCCTTGGGACGCAAGTCCTTTCTTTTCCCTTATCACTTCTTTAAATAGTTGTTGTTCTTTGCTGAAGATGCTATGTAAACTGGAGTTCTAAGCCACCTCTTTGAGCTACTCACTTCCACGTAGTCCCATGTATTATATGTGTGATACACATGTTAATATACTTGTTTTTCACTTGTTAATCTGTCTTTTGTTACAGGGGTCTCAAATGAGAACTTAGAGGGAAAATCATTTTTTTCCATCCCTACAGTCATACTTTCTACTTCTATTTTCTCTTATCATTAAGTTACTTATTTAATTGCCTGGTCACATTTCTCAAACACAACATAAACTTCCATGATTCTATGTATTTAGCCTGTCTGACTTCATGTCTCTCCCTACTAGTGCATTTTATTCTCATTCAAAATTATTTTACAAGAAACTGATGCTCTTTGACTTTTCTTTTTCTTTTTGCTTCAGGAATATGGCATTTGGATCCTTTTAAAGTTTTCAACCTTAGTGCTAAAGCCCTTTCCATCTTCCTTCCATTTTATAAAGCAGCATATTCACTCACATTACCACCTTTTGTAAACAGATGATAACAACTGATGGGGTTCAGGACATACTCCTCCCAAAATATAGTTGAAGGAATTTGAAAAATGGCAGGTGCTAGAATGACTCTGTGACCTTCTCCCCTGAAACAGATTATAAGATCCTCACATAAGAGGTGGCTTCCTTATACCAGAGGAAAGGAACGTCCTTATCTCAAAAGACAGAGGAACACCAAGATGAATCTGAATGAACAGCCACACTAAGTGTCCCCCAGTTTACTATGCTTAGCTCATACTCTTTTGTCTTACCACATTTTCCCATGACTTTCTATTTTTCATCAAACCTCGCATGTAACCGTTTCTTCGGGTCCTCATTTCCTTATGAAGGCTCCCTTATCATGTAAAACTTATATTAAATAGATTTGTTTGGTTTTCTTTTGCTAATCTGCATTTTTACGGTGTCTCAGCCAAGAACATAAGTTGGATAAAAGAAACATATTTTTTCTCCCCAACACAACTCTACCATTATTTATTTATTTATTTTTTTGAGATGGAGTCTTACCCTGTCACCCAGGCTGGAGTGCAATGGCGTGGTCTCGGCTCACTGCAATCTCCATCTCCCAGGTTCAAGCGATTCTCCTGCCTCAGCCTCCTGCGTAGCTGGGAATACCGGCGCACACCACAATGCCCGGCTAATTTTTTGTATCTTTACTAGAGATGAGGTTTCACCATGTTGGCCAGGCTGGTCTGGAACTCCTGACCTCGTGATCTGCCTGCCTCGGCCTCCCAAAGTGCTGGGATTACAGGCGTGAGCCACTGTGCCTGGCCAACTGTACCATTATTTAGAGTATATCTTAGGGATTAGGAACGTGGAATCTGTTACCAAACTACTTTTGTTCAAATCCTAACTCTCATCCTCTAGCTGTGTGACCATAGGCATGCTATTTGACCTGTCTATGCTTCAATTTCATTATCCATAAAATAGGCATAATGATAGGATCATATTCATAGATACGTTGTGAGAAAGAAATAGGATAGAACATTAAAATAGCACCTAAAACATGTTCAGTACTGTATGTTTATTATTATTAAAAGGAATCATTTTTTTTGGCTATCTGAAACACCCCTTACCCCATCCTCAGCATATTTGTATGTATGTGTGAAATGTATATGTTAATTCATTCATTCATTCCCAGTTGTGGTCAAGAATATGAAAAATTCTGCAATCAAACAGTGTAGTCTCACATAACAAAGATTTATTTTTCAAATTGTGAGTACAGGTCTTTTTTAGGCCTGCATTTTGTTGCTGTTTATAGATTCCACACACACATAAAAATCTTTATGATTGCAAAGATTTTTAATCTTGGAAATTTTTATACTGCTATTTTTTAATGACCTATACATTTCATTTGATCCTCATTGAAGTCCTGATTCTTCTGTGTTCTCCACTAAATTGGTCAAAAATCGGTTTGTCTGTACTTTCTGAAAATAGCAATCTTGCTTTAGGTTCCTAGCATTTTATTCCTAGGTTACTGTAGATCTAGATTCCATAGAACTTTGCATATAGTTAGTCTCTTGACACAGTATCTTAGGATAAAGTAGTAGAGTTCCTTTCATGTTGTTAAGTTTTTGATGGATGACCAGACTATATATACATAGCAGACTGTGAAGAATAAGTGAACAAATACATTTCTTGAATCATTAAATAATATTCATTGTCTGACTACCTAATATAGTACGGTACATTAAAGCAAAATCCATATAGAGATTTTTTTTTTTTAATGACGTGGAGTCAAGCTCTGTTTCCCAGGCTGGAGTGCTGTGGCACAATCATGGCTCACTGCATCCTCGACTTCCTGAGCTCGAGCTACCTTCTACCTCAGTCTCCTTAGGAGCTGAGACTACAGCACGTGCTACCGTGCCTGGCTAATTTTTCAAATTTTTTGTAGAGATGAGATCTTGCTACATTGCCTAGGCTGGTTTTGAACTTCTGGTCTCAAGTGATCCTCCTGCCTTGGCCTCAGAAAGTATTTGGATTACAGATGCAAGCCATTGTGCTTGGCCTAGATTAGAGGTTTAATGAAACAATGAAAATTTTAAAAGTATTACAAGAAATTACAAGATTACTTGTTTATAACTTTGGAGCATCTCTAGGAAGTATACTTAAGCAAGAGATGAAAATACAGAGCCAGATATGAAAAAGCGTTAATAGAACTTTAAACATCTATATAGTAACAGATATATAAAAAGAGTTAAAAGTCAAATGACTAACCAGAAAAAGGTATTTACAACACATAAAGAAGGTAAAGGACTAATATCCAGAAGATTTAAAGATCATCTACAAATTATATAAAAAGACGCATCAATAGAAAATGGGCAGTGCTATGGACAGGAAATATTAATGGCTTGAGGAGATGACTCAGTGAACCAAAGATTATGAATATGTCTGTAGCAGACAGAGGTGGTATGTGGAATGCCTGACAAGCATGACAAGAACCACATATAGACACCTAAGGCTATGCGATTTCTGTTGACAACTGTTCTCTATTCAAAAAGCTAGTACTACTGGGAAGAGGCTGCAGCAGTGGCAGATATTTTATTTCCACAAATCCCCCATCAAAATAAACAAAACAAATAGGAAGGCATAGCCAAAATCTCAAGGATAGCATCTACAATAGAATTAGTGACAAACCCAAAATATGAACAGGTAGGGACAGCCATCGACAGCTGTATGACTTGCACTGTATCAAGAGAGAGAAAATTGGTGTCCGGAGAAAAGAAAAATACAGTTCTTCTATGAGCTATCTATACCAAAAGACCAGAACTTCCTCACTGAACTAAGTCCCACATGGAGGGGATGACACTGTGAAAAGAAACTGAATTATAGGGACAGTAGCCCCCTCTGTTGGTTATGTATCAACTTGTTATGTGTTTTTGGATGAGATTAACATTTAAATCAGTGAGCTTTGGATAAAGCACATTGTCCTCCAGCATGGAGATAAACCTCATTTAGTCTGTTGAAGGCCTGAATAGAATATAAAGAATGGCCTCTGTGAGCAAGAGGGAATTCTCCAGAAAATTGCCTTCAGATTTAATCTGCACCATCAGCTCTCCTGGGTCTCTAGCCTGCCAGACTTCACACTAGAACTAGAAAATTGACTTTCCTGGGTTTCCACCTGCTGGCAATTGGACTGAAGCTACACCATTAGTTCTCCTGAGTCTCTAGCCTACTGGGCCATACTGTAGATTTGGACTTCCTAGCCTTCACAATCACATGAACCAATTCCTAAAGATATATACGTGCATGCATACATCCTGTTGGTTCCATTTCTCCAGAAAAACCCTGACTAATCCACCTCTCTACTTCCCACTCCCACTCCAAAAAAAGTAGTGAAGATTGAGATCAATGTTGAGGGAGTGCGTCAAAAGAGGCATTTTTCAGTATATCAAAAACTTGGAAGGAAAAGTTGGAAGATTGGTGACAGGGAGGTCTGTGGGAAGGTTGGTGGAAGATTGGTGGCAGGAAGGTCTGTGGGGAGGTTCGTGGATGGACCTTTTGGAAGAGATACACACAAAGCCCATTCTGTGAACAAAATGACCCATTGTATAGATCTTGCCTATTTCACAGCTATCTGAGGGCTTGCTTAATGGGTTCATGAACAAAGTGGCTATGGCAACAGGTATAGCTTCTACATGGCACAGGTGTCCTGCCACTAATCTTCCAATTTTTCCTTGCAAGCTTTTGAACAAAATTGACTTTCTTTCACCAAAACTTGTCTGGCGACTGGGCTACTGGCACTGTTGAATATTCAGCCTGTTCACAAAAAAGACCAATTGCAAATCCCAAAAAAAAGCTTCATTCTCCAGAGGAAACCAACCAGTCTCTTAGTGTCAGGTTGATTACAGTAGGCCTCTTCCATCATGGAGGAGGCATCAATTTTTTTTTTTTACAGTAGTTTTAAGTATTTTAGGTATGGTTTTGTCTATTATATTTTTACCAATATTACCATTCTTAGATTTACAAAATGACTTATATATCCCTATGATATTGCAGAAAACTGCCTCCTTGGATGCACTTGCTCAATCTTGATCTCAACCTTGGAGGTAGGACTGGGAGGTAGGGAGGTGGCCTAGTCAGCATTTTCCCAGAGAAGCAGACTGAAAGACACATTTTCTTCTTAGTTTGAGACAGAGTCTCGCTCTGTTGCCCAGACTGGAGTGCAGTGGTGTGATCCTGGCTCACTGCAACCTCTGCTTCGCGGGTTCAAGCGATTCTCGTGCTTCAGCCTCCCAAGTAGCTGGGGCTAGAGATGTGTGCCACAACACCCGGCTAATTTTTGTATTTTTAATAGAGATGGGGTTTCACTATTTTGGCCAGACTGGTCATAAACTCCTGACCTCAGGTGATTCACCTGCCTCAGCCTCCCAAAGTGCTGGAATTACAGGTATGAGCCACCAAGCCCAGCTAAAAGACAGAGTTTATGGCAAGGGATATATGACAATGCTCTGTGTCTTCAAATTCACTGGTATTACTATATTTTTCATTATTCAAAGGCAACTGGCTGTATACGACAGTAGATGATCAATAGGCTCCGTTATGGCACCAGCTAGAAGACAATATTGAAGTTAGGGTATATGCCCTAAACTGAGAGTTTATTATTTTATCTCCAAGAATGCATAGGTCCAGGAATAAAGTATTTTAGGTTGGCGTGGCCGCTGTAATTATTTAACCAAGTAACCCACTGGAGGAGTTTTTGCTTCTCATTAGTATGATCTTGGGCTAGGGGATTTGAGAGTCCTGATGCCGAAGGTAGGAAAGTTCTTTGAGGGAACACAATTATGGTCTGTAGAGGTAGACGCTGAGATTGTACCCTGGCCATTTTGGATTCCCTATACTGAGCTAAAAAGCGTCAAAAGGAGCTACGGTATTAGCCAGAGCAATTATCCCAATTATTGAGGTAAAATTAGGAGGACCATGTTTGGAAACCAGAGAATTCATTATACACCTGTTAGTACTCCTTTACCTAGTAGTCCTCTGTATTTGCTGTCCTTGGCAGTGAAATTTTAAAAAGTTGTGTACAATCCTTGTTTCAAAT
Source organism: Homo sapiens (assembly GCF_000001405.40). Taxonomy (NCBI): domain Eukaryota; kingdom Metazoa; phylum Chordata; class Mammalia; order Primates; family Hominidae; genus Homo; species Homo sapiens. The sequence goes on from NC_000009.12 coordinate 17,404,705, forward strand.
TCCATTCATCCCTTCATCATCCTTCTGAAACAAATTTTTTTTTTTTTTTTTGAGACAGAGTCTTGCTCTGTCTGCCAGGCTGGAGTACAGTGGCGCGATCTTGGCTCACTGCAGGCTCCACCTCCTGGGCGCAAACGATTCTCCTGCCTCAGCCTCCTGAGTAGCTGGGACTACAGGTGTACGCCACCACCCCAGGCTAATTCTTGTATTTTTAGTAGAAATGGGGTTTCACCATGTTAGCCAGGCTGGTCTTGAACTCCTGACGTCAGGCAGTCTGCCCACCTCGGCCTCCCAAAGTGCTGGGATTACAGATGTGAGCCACCGCGCCCAGCCTAAAACAATTATTTTGAGGGTCACTACCACTTTGCCAAATTCAAAGGTTGATTCTCAGTCCTCACCTTACTTGACCTCTCAGCAGCATTTGACACAGTTGATTTCTACCTCTTGTTATTATAGTTTGCCATACCATACTCTTTATTTTCTTCTTCTCACTGATATTTAACTTCAGTGTCATTTGTTAGTTTTGTGACATTCCCCCTCAGTCTCTCAATTTTTAAGAGCTTCAGTCATTGGACATTGTCTTCAGTCAGTGGACATTTTGTGTTGCTATAACAACACACACAAAAAAATACCACAGACTGGATAACTTATAATGAAAGGAAATTTATTTCTTACAGTTCCGGAAGCTGGGAAGTCCCAGGTTGAGAGCGCCACATTTGATGAGGGTCTTCTGGCTGTGTCATCATGGCCGAAGGTGGAACGGCAAGGAGCCTGATAGAGCAAGAGGGGGCCAAATTTGCTTTTATAACAAGCCTGTTCTTATAACAAACTCACTCCCATGATAACATTAAATCGTTCATGAGGACTCATGATCTAATCACCTCTTATTAGATTCCACCTCCCAACACTGTTGCACTGAGGATTGTGTTTCCAAGATGTGAACTTTGGAGGACACATTAAAAGCTGCACTCATTGTTTTGTGATCTCATAGTATTTATTAACATCATTGTTACCACCTATATTCCAGCCACCCCAAAATGTATGTATCCATTCTATACCTCACTTCTGAATTTTATTTTATTATTATTATTTTTATTTTTTTAGATGGAGTTTTGCTCCTGTTGCCCTGGCTGGAGTGCAGTGGCGTGATCTCAGCTCACTGCATCCTCTGTCCCCTGGGTTCAAGCGATTCTCCAGAGTAGCTGGGATTACAGGCATGTGCCACCACACCCAGCTAATTTTGTATTTTTAGTAGAGATGGGGTTTCTCCATGTTGGTCAGGCTCTGAATTTTAGACATGTAAAGTTGACTGTCAACTTAGCATCATACTTGGATATCAAATAGCCTAATACAAATTCCTGGGCTTTACCCCACCAAGCCTATTTCAGCTGCTGTCTTCCTCTTTCTCACTAATGATAATTCTATCTTTACAGTTGCACTGACCAAAAGCTTGATACCATCTTTGATTCCAGTCTTTCTGTCAGTCATTACATCTACTCTGTCAGGAAATCTTGGTGGATTTCTTTAGAAAAATATCCAGAAGTTGACCATTTCTTATCAATTTTGTTTGTCATCACTCTTATATCTATCATCAGTTGCCTGGAATATGAAAAGAACTTTCCTAACCACCCTCCCTGCTTTCAGCCTTGTTTTTAGTCCATATTTACTGTGTTCTACCTACACTGGACTGACTGTTGCTCGCTGAAAGCAGGAACTTTTAACTTAGGGATTTTAGTTTGATGTCTTCTGCCTGGAATGTATTTAGCCAGATATCTAAAACAACCAACTCCCTCTCCTCTAAGTTTTGCTTCAGTATTACTAATGATCAATCTATTTCAGATTTCAGCCTGCCACCATTTTACCTCCCATAATTTGGATTCCTTCCTCTTATCTTGCTCATTTTTTCCCCAGTGGTCCTTAATAATTTATAACATACTATATCATATTTCAGATTTATTGTGCTTATTGTTTTCTTCGTGGATAGACTAAATTTATTCATGGATAGACTGTAAAGAATTTGTTCATCAATTCTTTCACATGCATAGGGCATAGTAGCCATTCAATAAATGTTTTTTGAATAATGAATGAATAAAGAATTATAAAGAGAAGGAAGCACTCTGCCCCATCACTAAGACACGTCTCCCTCCTTCTGCCCCTGCCCACCCCCCACCAAGGGCTCTCCAATCAAATCTAAACAGTTTGTTTTGAGAGTGTCTTATTGTGAAATATGCTGCTTTTTATGACACTTTTCATACCACTTTGGCCATTACATATTGAATTTCTGCTAAGTTTTGGCCAAACAAAAAAGAGGAATAGAACATAAAAAGAGGTAAACAATTATAGTAGAACACATAAGCAAATAGATTATAGTATTCTGATTCAGAAATAATGAATTCTGGGATACTGAAATAACTTGTAGATTTGATCAATTGCTGTTGGTATTTTGAAGGAGAACCCAAATGATATGAGAATATGGGAAACAGAAAAGTGTAGTTGTGACATTAAAAACACAAAGATGGGTAATTCTATAGTTGGTGTTTTTGAAATAAATCCTAAGTAAGGTTCTGGGACATTATAAAAGAATACTTTGTGAATGTTTCTTAAAAGAAGTAGTGATTTCTCAAAGCCAGTATGAGTTCTTCAAGGGAAATTCTTATCAGACTAACCAGTAACCTTTTAAAATAGAATTACACTAAATACAGAACATCTGAATTCCATCAAAGCATGTTTATCAAATTGTGATTAACATGACGTTGAGAGGGATGTAAAATACGTCACACAATAGAATCAAGATCCCCAAAGATCTCAGTAGACTGGGAATATAGTTACACAAATGCCTACAGGGTAGTTTATTTGGCTATAAAATACCAGTTGCACTGTACAATGGGAGAAATATGTGGCTTTAATAGTTGTCTGGGTGGTTTTGTTAAATCTTATTTGAAATACTTTAGGTGGTTTTGTTAAATCTTACTTGAGTCTATAGTATGATGTATACGCCAGAGAAGCTTACACACTTTTAGTCTGCATCTACCAAGAGTTTTACTCAGTACCTCTCATAGTGTCCCAGGAAGATGAAACTGAATTCTGGACATGATGCTCCATCATGATAAGCTGAAACACATTCAAGACTGACCAGGGAGGCTGGGCGTGGTGGCTCACGCCTGTAATCCCAGCACTTTGGGAGGCTGAGGTAGGTGGATTACCTGAGGTCAGGAGTTCGAGACCAGCCTGACCAACATGGTGAAACCCCATCTCTCCTAAAAATACAAAAAATTAGCCAGGCATCGTGGTGGGCACCTGTAATCCCAGCTACTCGGGAGGCTGAGGCAGGAGAATCGCTTGAACCCTGGAGGTGGAGGTTGCAGTGAGCCGAGATCGTGCCACTACACTCCAGCCTGGGTACAACAGAGTGAGACTCTGTCTCAAAAAAAAAAAAAAAAAAAAAAAAGACCAAGGAGATAAGGCATCTCAAAAGTATATACGTTAGGAACATTTGAACAAGCTAGGGATGTTATTCTTCATGGTGTCTCAAGCAGCATATAATGATGTCTAAATAGTTAAAAGCTCATCCATGTGGGAAAGGGACTTACTTAAATGTTCCACACAACCTCAACACTTCCTGTCTCCTACCCTTGTTTATTTTTATTTTTTTTCTCTTTAACACATCACTATTGACATAGTATGTATTTTACTAAGTATTCTTGTTTCCTGTCCCTCTACCCTGACCAGGATAAAGGTTACATGAGGGAAGGGATTTTTTTTCTACTTTGTTCACTACTGCCTTAGCCTTCATGCCCACAAAAGTCCCTGGGCCCGGCTGGGTGCAGTGGCTCATGCCTGTAATCCCAGCACTTTGGGAGGCTGAGACGGGCAGATCACGAGGTCAGGAGATCGAGACCATCCTGGCTAACACAGTGAAACCCTATCTCTACTAAAAATACAAAAAATTAGTCAGGCGTGGTGATGGGCGCCTGTAGTCCCAGCTACTTGGGATGCTGAGTCAGGAGAATGGCATGAACCTGGGAGGCGGAGGTTGCCATGAGCCAAGATCGCGCCACTGCACTCCAGCCTGGGTGACAGAGCGAGACTCTGTCTTAAAAAAAAAAAAAAGTGCCTGGGCCCATAGTTGGTGCTTAAGAAGTATTTTATTCAGTGATAAATAGCCATAAGGGATGGAACTAGAATCAGTGGGTGAAAGCTTCAGAGATTCAAATTTTGTTTCAGGTGAAGGAAAAACTTTGTTAGAAATATTAAACTTTTCTGGCCTTGTTGGGAAAGTAGTGCATGCTCCAACCCTGGAAGTGTTACAACAATTGCTTCCTGAGTTAACACTTGGTTGAAGTACTATCGAAATGATGTTAGTAGGGATTTGAAATTAGATAATCTGTTTTCTTGATGGGATTCTATAATTTTGTACAATATATTTAGATTCATTTTCCCTTTCACATTGAGAACCAGTAAATGCCCACGTTAAACTTGCAGTTTTATATACAATCTATGCTAAAATATTATTTGGTCTTGAACTTAAGACAAGTACATGTAACAACTTTTATTCTTGGATTTTATGTCCCTACTTTTTTCTAAAAAGCAGTGATTCTGAAGCACAGACCTCTCAAACTTTGGGAACAATTATTGTAGAAACATCCCAGAAAATAAGTCCTACGGAAGATGGAAAAGACCAGAAAGAAAGTGATCCAACAGAAGACAGCCAAACACAAGGAAAAGAAATAGTACAGACATATTTAAATATAGATGGCAAGACCCCAAAGGTAAATGACATGATTTTGCTTAATTGTATGCTATGTTTTAAATTTTATCTTATGCTTTATAACTTAAGTAAATAAATGTTACTACTGATTTAATTTGAATTCTTACAAGTTAAGTCTTTAAAATATACAGTGAAAATATTCACTTTTAAATAATTTTCAAGTACTTGTTTGTTACAGTCTTTTTCATAGACGAAAATAAATACTATTCTTATAAATCTTAAGGTATTTATATCTCAGCAAAAAAGTGGTTAATAAGCTCATTATTGTTTTCAGGTATATGAAATATTCCAAATGATGAAACTTCTTTTTGTATATTAGTCTTTGCAATGATAAAGTCATTTAGTCTGACTAAATCTCTAAATTACTTATTTCTAACTAGCCTCTCAATGTATTTTACATTTTGAAAAATTGAAGTTCTAATACAACTTATTCAGTAATTCCTACTGCTGATACATCATGGCACCAAATGTTTACCTATTTAACATAAATCAGTGAAAAATTAAGGAAAGTTCATTTCTATTTTGTTGTAAAAATTAGGTTGTCTTTGAATTAACCTATAAGATTCTTTTAAAACATAATTCAAAAACATTTATTTTTTGAGCTCTTGCCAGCACTTTGGAGGAAAGGTCTTCTTTAGTTACTACCAGAATAAAGTTCAGACCAAGAATATATGCTAAATGACTGCTGATTGATTGATAAATAGATTTTATAGAAATTTTTGCTGCTCTTCATTGATACTTGATAGGTTAATCTTTCTCATTTCAGCTACTTTTTCATGTATGTTGAGGTATATCATTGTGAGTTAAGTTTCTGTGATTACTAATACAATGTTGAGTACTTTCTCATGGTTATTGGGCATTTGGAATTTTTTAGTAAATTGCCTCTTCAAGTCTCTGCCCATTTTCCAAATGAGTTGTCTGTATTTTTCTTACTGGCTTAGACATTTTTATATATGCTATATATGAGCCTTTTGTGGGTTATGTATTGTAGATATCTTTTCCTACTCCATGGTGTGCCTTTTTTCTTTTCTCACTGGAGTCTTCTGAAGAATATAACATCTCAATTCTAATGTGGCCAAACTTACCAATTTTTTGTTTATGAATAGCACATTTTGTGTCCTGTATAATGCATTGCTTACTGCAATGTAGATATATCCTATGCTACCTTCCATGTTGTCTTTTCCTATATTTTTCTGATTTCCTATATTTTTCTGTTTTGATTTTCACATCAATGTCTAGCATTGATTTTTTCATGTGATGTGAGATAGGGATTAAGTTTACCAATTTTTCCCCAATATTTGTCATTAACTTTTTCCTTACTTTATTCAAAGGTGCCACCTTTATTGTAAATCCAATGTACGTAAACATAGGGATATTTCTCTAGGCTTTTTCTTCTGTTCCTTCAGTAAATGTATCAGTATCATGCTGTCTTAGTTACATTTTAGTAGTCTTGATTGCATGTTGAACAAGTTTCCCACCTTCTTGTTCATCAAGAGTCTCTTCTTGGTCCTTTACTCTTCAAAATGAATTTAAAATCAGCTTAAGTTCTACAAAAACTTTTTTTGGGATTTTGATAGTGACTCTATTAACCTAAATTAATATAAAACAAGAAGAAGACGCTGAAAGGTAGAGAGAAGGCAGCAGACCAGCTAGGTACCTCAGCACTCAAGGAACAACATGGTGGTGAGTTCTTTGGGTTTTCATTTTGCTTCATGTATCCTGGCCTGGATACCTGAAATCCCCAACCTAGAAACCTCAGTAGGTCAGACAATACATGCCCTGGATAAAACCCTTCTTTTAGCCAAAGGACCTGGAAAAGGCCAGCCTAGCAAGACAGAAAAGCTTACACAGTAAGTGTCCTACTCCAGGCAAACACCAGAGAAAAATTGCAACCCTGTTTCCAGCCCCATCTGTAAAGGCCTAATGGGAACCTAGACTTTCACTCTTACCTGGCAATAAGTAGGCACTCTTCACCTCTCCTCCTCCTATCAGGGTGATGCCAGAGAGGACCAAGTGTGGAGCTAGTGATAATGACCTCCTCCTGGGATCCCTAACCCCTGGGCTGCAGACTGGCACCTGTTGTGGCCTGCTAGGAACTGGCTTACACAGCAGAAGGTGAGAGGTGGGTGAGCCATTGTTACGGCCTGAGCTCTGCCTCCCGTTAGACCAGCGGAGGCATTAGACTCTCACATAAGCATGAACCCCGCTGTGAACTGCACATGCAAGGGATCTAGGTTGCTGCTCCTTATGAGAATCTAATGCCTGATGATCTGAGGTAGAACAGTTTCATCCCGAAACCATCTCCACCTCCCCGACCCACTCCACCCCCTATCCATGCAAAAATTTTCTTCCACAAAACTGGTTTTTGGTGCCAAAAAGGTTAAGAACCGGTGACTCCCTCCTTTCCATGTCATTGGAGATCACATAGGGAACCTGGATATCCACCTCCATTCAGCATTGAAATGCCTTTCCCTTCTGAGCAAGATAATTTCAGAGGCCAAGTGCAGAGATGGGGAATTTAATTACTACTTATACCTAACAAGCCCCCACCCCCTCCCCATGATGTCAATGGAAGCCCAGTGGGGAACATTAACTAAGTCCCCCTCCATTATCCAGCCATGATGGTATCAGCAGATGCCTATTGGGTAGCCTGAAGTTCTGCCCTCCCCAAGCAGTAATAAGGTGGCCCTCTCCAACCAGGTTGTCAACTAAGACTGGATTTCCACTTCCAACTGGCAGTAATTAGATGGTGTGCTCCTTGCCCCATCAGTGTGGTGTCAGATGAGTCCCATTCAAATGAGATTCAAGTAAGATACAGAACCTTGAAGTTCTAATACTTGAAATATAATAGCCAAAATGTCCAGGATACAATTGAAAATCACACCTCATACCAAGATCCAGGAAAACCTCAACTATATCAACAGAAGCAAAAAGCAAGATGACAGATGTTGGAGTTACAGACAGTCCCCAACTCACTACAATGGTTTGAGTTAAAATTTTTCTACTTTATGTTGGTGTGAAATTGATACATGTTTAGTAGAAACTGTACTTTGAGTACCCATACAATGGTTTTTTTAATCACTTTCAGGGCAGTATTCAATAAATAAATTACATGACATATTTAATACTTTATTATAAAATAAGCTTTGTGTTAGATGATTTTGCCCAGCTGTAGGCTAATGTAAGTGTTCTGAGTAGGCTAGGCTAAGCTATGATGTTTGGTAGGTCAGATGTATTAAATGCATTTTTGATTTATGATGTTTTCAACTTAATGAGTTTATCAGGACGTAATAATGGATACCCATTGTATGTCAGGAGGCATCTGTATATGACACGTATATTAAAGTTGCTGCCATCAAAATGCTTCAACAAGCAATTATGGACAGGCCTAAAACAAAACAAAATAGACCTAAAACAAAAGCAATAGACTATCTCAGTAAAGAATTAGAAAGTCTCAGCAAATAAATAGAAGATATAAAAGTACCCAGATCTAAATTTTAGAACTGAAAAATTAAATAACTATGTTTGCCCCACAGATGGTGGCATTAATCCTTATCACCCAAAATTGATTCAGATGTCAAGACTGATGGCACCGTACACCCGCCATTATTATTCACATAATGGAACAGAGAATCTAGAAATGGATCCACATAAGTATGAACAACTGATTTTTGACCAAGGTGCAAAGGAAGGATAATCCTTTCAAAAAATGGTGCTGGAGCAATTGGATATTTCTACGCAAAAAATATAGGAACCTATACCTAGACTTTACACTTTATACAAAAATTAATTTGAGGTGGCTCACATATAAATGTAGAATATTAAATCATAAAACTTTCAGAAAGAAATATAAGAGAAAATCTTGAAGTCTTAGAGCTGAGTGAAGAGTTTTTAGACATGATACCAAAAGCATGATCCATAAAAGAAAACAACAGTAAATTAGACTTCATTAAAATTAAGAACTTTTGCTCCTCAAAAGACACTATATAGAAGAGGAAAAGACAAGCCACAGAGTGAGAGGAATATTTAAAAACCATGTGTCTGACAAAAGTCTCATAGCTTGAATATGTAAAGAACACTCAAAACTTAACAGGAAGAAATTAAACAATCCAGTTACAAAATAGGCAGAAGATATGAGCAAACATTTTACCAAAAAAGGATATACGGATGGCAAATAAGCACATATAAAGATTTTCAACTTCACTATTAGGAAACAGCTAAAGTAAAAATTAGTGAAAATACCAAGTGCTGACCAAGGGACAGGGAAACTGGATCTCTCATATATTGTTCATGTGAATATAAAATTCTATATTACAGCACTCTGAAAAAGTTTGTCAGTTTCTTAAAAACTAAACTTACCATACAACCCAGCTATCACACCCTTAGACACATCCCACAGACATGAAAATATATGTTTACCAAAAAAACTTGTACATGAATGATCATAGAACCTTTGTTTGTAATAGCTGAAAACTGGGAACAACCAAAATTCTCTTCAATAGCTGAACAGCTAAACAAACTGTGGTACATCTGTAACACAGGAAACTTCTCAGCAATAAAAAGGAGCTAACTATTGACGTATACAATGTCCTAGCTTTCTGACCTGAAATTTCTCATCTTGGATTGTGAACTAGGCTTTCTTTCTTGCCTTCTGCATTCTGTGTTGCTATTTAAGTGGAATTTCAAGGTCACAAGGGATTGTCAGTTCTACATTTTGCTGGCCACTTTGTTGGTCACTTTTGTATGGTCTCTGAATTTCTGCTTTCACTTCATTTTTGACCTCTGACATTTCCCTTGTATTTTTTGCCATGTTAGAAATACACTTTAAGTGTGTTTGTTTCATAGCATGAGAGTTTTCTTGAGTTTGTATTCAGTAATAGTACTGGAAACAGAAGCCCACTTCTTTGTAATTTAATTTTAGCTACTGTTAATTTGATACCAAATCTGGTGACTGATATTAGTACTTCAATTGGTAGCTGTAGTTTGGATTTTTTTTTTAACAGTGCTCAGTGCGTGGCTGATACTTAAATACTAATTAAATCTTAATAAAGCAATTAAAAATTTATATGCCAGTTCTGAAGATAAGCTTAAATGAAGCATTTCAAAAATATTTTGAGAAATGAAACATTGTTAGGGTTTTATATTTCTGAAACTAATCATTTGAAAGGAAAACCTTATTTTAGATATAGGCTTCTGTTCCATGTGTTAATCAGTTTCATGACTTTCAGGCAATTTGTTGCTGGATTGGGATCTTTTAAAAAGTTCTTTTTAAAATAAGAAATAATTTTCTAGATTGCATATATCTATGTTTCCCAGCCAATACATTCTTAAACAAGGCTAGGCACTGTGGCTCACGCCCATAATCCCAACACTTTTGGAGGCCGAGGCGAGTGGCTCACTGGATACCAGGAGTTTGAAACCAGCCTAGACAGTATGGTGAAACCCCATCTCTACCAAAAATTCAAAAATTAGCTGGGGGTGGTGGTCCCTGTAGTCCCAGGTACTTGGGAGGCTGAGGCATGAGAATTGCTTGAACCTGGGAGGCGGAGGTTGCGGTGAACTGAGATTGTGCCACTGTACTCCAGCCTGAGTGACAAAGCCAAACTCTGTCTCAAAAGAAAAAAAAAAAAATCTTAAGACCACATGTTTTACTACTAATATATACAATTTTAAATTGGTGAAACGTTTTGAAACCAAAAGTCAACAAGGCTTCCTTTTATTCAGCCTCAGTGTATTAGAATGCCATGAGGAAAACATACAGCTTCAGGAAGTTATTTTATTATTGTCAGCATTATTTTTAGCTTTATTTGTCAGAAGGCTATTAGCTTCATTTGTCAGCATATAATAGAGTATTTGAGAAAAGGGCCTATATTTTCAGAGAATAAGTTATTAATTATTCACATTTTACTTTTGTTACGGTTACCATATTTACTCCTAAGTTTTTAAGCTATCCCTAGATTAAATTTCTACTTCTTTGGAGTTGATTTTGTATCTGTATCTTCTGCCTGCTGGTTTAAGTTCAGTGTATACAATAAGTTCATTTGTAAGTTCTTGGTATCAGTTATAGAATTTTATCATCTAGAGTTTAAAAAATATTTTTTTCAATTTTTTTTGTAAGAGGCAGTCTTGCTCTGTTGCCCAGGCTGGTCTCAAACTCCTGGCCTCAAGCAGTCCTCCTGCCTTGGTCTCCCACAGACTTAAAAAAAATTCTGCATAAACAATTGTATTTTTTAAGTAAAGAGATGTTATTTATATCAGTTCACTTGATGTTGTTATTGAAGAATAATACCATTTTTATGAAATCTTCAAATTTAGGACTATTTTCATGATAAGAATGCCAAAAAACCAACTTTTCAAAAGAAGAATTGCAAGATGCAAAAGAGTTCACATACAGCAGTTCCTACTAGAGGTAAGAATGTATATGCAATTAACAATATGTCTTTTACAATTTAAATCTAATTTTTAAAATATGAACAATATTGTTTTTATGTAGTCAACAGAGAAAAGTACAAAAATATAACTGCCCAGAAATCAAGTAGCAATATTATTTTATTACGAGAACGGATTATATCCTTGCAACAACAAAACAGTGTACTTCAGAATGCCAAGAAAACAGCAGAATTGTCTGTTAAAGAATATAAAGAAGTTAATGAAAAGCTCCTCCATCAACAGCAAGTATCCGATCAACGATTTCAGACAAGCAGGCAGACAATAAAGGTAAAGAGAACTTTAAGATTGAACAGTAGTATACTATATTGTAAAAGTGGATATTTTGTTTTACATGTATTATTTAGTTTATATTTGTGTTAGGCAGGTCTATGAGTTTTAAAAAATCCCAGGCACTGTTTACTAGTGTAATTAGTTTAATTACTGGACTTCTTTAATAAGGCCCATATTAAAGGATAACATACATGAGGGAAGGAACTCTGAATCTAAAAGACACTTTACTAGCGTTCCTGTTCCTCTTAGTTTTTCTCATCTTTGAAATATTTTTACATATTCTGTATTGTGTTACATCTTAGTGTTTAAAAGCAGGCTTCATACATACACATAGCTTACCCGTTTGCCTATGTTTGAAACTTTGTGTTTATGATAAGTTACATTATTAAACTAATATATTCATCAGTTACTCTTTGCAAATGCTAGTATAAAATGTGAAGATTTTAATGTAAGTATCTATTTTAATGTATTCCAGTAATCTATCTGTGGTTCTTTTTACTCAGGCAAATAGTCAACATTATACCTTACTCCTGGTAAGGTAATCTTAAAGCACAAGTTTAACTTACACTTTGAGATGAACTTAAAGCAAATGAAAAAGAAAAGATTTTTTGTTCTTTAGGTCTTCATTCTTTACGCTATTTGCTTGTGTAATGAATGATTTGTTAGAAAATTATTTTGCACAGAAAAATTTATTTCATTATATTAGAAAACAATCTTTCAATCACTGTCTCACATAATTTTAAGTTACACTTAAATTCTCTAATTCTAGTATCTAGTGCTTTGATTCAAACAATACATATAAACACTTTAATGGTGAAGGATTAGTGTTATGCCATTTAAGAATTGTGTTCTGACTTTATTCCCAGAGTAGCCTTATACCCAAACCTTAACTGCATTCCAACTTACACCAGAAGTTTCTGGATTTTACAGGCTTGGCCATTGGAAATGTGGCAGTGGGATACCAGATAAGACTGAGCTCTATGTTAGAATTTAGACACAGCCACTGATACCACAACCACTGTATAGGAACCACATTTCCCAAAATGATTTCATCCCATATACATTTTACTGGCTAGAATTTTCTTTTCTTCTCTTTAATATCCTCTCTTTCTTCCCTTTCCTTTTCTTTTCTCCTACGCTTCCTTTCTTTCTTCTCTAGTTAAATGACATTGTTTTATATCTCACCGTGATATTATAAACTATCTGTATTCCTAGGTTTTTTTTGTGCAAATAGCAAAGTGACATGAAAGAACATTTTTTAAAAGAAAGAAAAAATTCTCAACTTTAATTGTTCAATCTTATTATACAAAAAACATTTGAACTTTTTGGTGTTCTCTTAAATAATTTACTAGACCACTGGCTTTTCATAAGAGTAAATTCTGATATTGTCAGAGGAAAATTATAAAAGATTAGAGTTGTTACAAAAATTATTTTCCTCATTCTCCTTGGAAAAGGATTTTCTTCATTGAGAGTTTGAAAAGTAGTGGTATAGTTACTTCTTGGGAGTTCCTTAAATTGCATACACTATGAGAAAAATAAAAATAGTACCCTAGGGATTCAACTAAAAATCTGTGTTAGACATACTTTTTTTTCCTTTTTTGCAATCAATTTTAATGTCCTTTCTTCTAATTTTTGAGGTGCCATACTTGGTAGTATCAAGTAAGAAATCCACATTTTAGCACAGATTTCAACTACTTGTAAAGATAAAATTAGGAGGTATAAAAAGCACCTCAGTTACTGCATGGTTCATCTGCATTTTAGAGAGAGTATAGTATAGATGATCAAATGAATTACTTTCATATGAATTTCTCCCTGAAGTTACCCTCAATTCTAGCTATTTCAAATCTCATCTATTCCAAGGTAAATGTCTTACTTTTGCTACTATGTTATAGGTATAACTTATATTTCATTGTTATATGTAATTTTATTTTTTAATACAAATTTTCTTTAGATGATAGAAAGGTCCAAGAACATCTAATATTCAAAAAAGTACTTTAGGAAAGAGTAAGAATCAGAATTTAGAAATTTTCCATCTCAAAAATCGCTATGAACTCAAATAAATGTAACTAGTGATTAACTAGAATTAGATTTAATTTGAATATTCTGTACATATGGAGAAATAACTGATGTGGTAACTAAACTTAGAATTCTCTACTGATAAAGTAACTCCCCAAATATTACATAGATACAGACAAATTCTCTTTAGTTAATACATTGGTATAGTCTTTCTGGGCTCTAACATAATAACCAAAGCTTGGGATGGAAGATGTCAAGATCCCAGATTCTCATCTACTGGGAAATTTTTCAGGTTACCAACTTGAGGATTTGGGTAGTATCTGTTGATTTCTGTGATATTTTTAATAACTGAACTTAGGTAAACAGATTAAGTTCAGCCTTTCTTTTCCTGCCTATTTATGGTAGAATTCCTATATGCTCGGTAAATATTCTAATTTAATTATTTTATATCTGTATCTTGTGATTTTAAAACCCTCAACATTTTTTTTATTCTAAAGTATTGAATCAGGCATCAGTAGGTTTTGAACTTATAGGTCTTGAATTTATTGTGCATTAATAATTAACATTTAAGACAGATTTCAATATTTGGGCAGCCTCCATACTAAAGATATTACTTTACACTCAGGAAAACTTTTCAAAGACTTTCAACTTTTTCATATGTAATTAAAGTACCATTGTTCGTTAAGAGGTTGATAAGAGGAACACAAAGTATTCTTTGGTATTTTTTTCCCTGTCAGTTTCATTGCAATGTGTTTTAAACCATTGTAGAATTTCCTCAAAAAAGCTTAGAAGAAGAAATTTGAACTGTATAGGCCAAACTGCTAAAGTTTTGGAAGAAAATTTTAACCAAGATAATAGATTTTTTACATGTTTAGACTGAGCTGTCATCACTTTAACTGTATTTTTTTGTTTGTTTGTTTGTTTTTTTTACATTTTGCCTACTCTAAAGATATGTGTTACATATAGATAGTATTTTACAACTATGAGCTAAATGGTATACTAGGTAAATGGCAAAGATTTGTGATTCCCAAAAGCAGGTACTGTAAATATCATTGTAAAATATTCTAAACCTATTTTGAAATGCGCTATAGCCCTATACTAAGCATTATTCTATAGATGGAATATATAAATAGCCATCAACTATTTTCAAGAAAAATTAAGTATAAATCTTTTGCATTTGTTCAAAGTATGTATCCGTTGCCACAGGTGTAAAGATACGAGTAAAAAACATGCTAGCCCCATTCTTCAGAGCTCCCTTTTAATATGAGGAAAATGTTATACACATGCAATGTTTAATTTTATAAATTTATTTATGCTTCTCAGGTCATACACTATTTAATTTAGACAAAAAGTAGGAAAATAATGATATTTTCTCACACTAGGCATTCAAACATGAGAAATTAACTTTGTTTTCTATAAAAGATTTTTGGAAAGTTAGGAGATACAGAGAAATAGAAAGCATATATAAGAAATAACCTTATACCCTTCAGAAATTAACATATATTCTTCCACTGTATATTTTAAAGATAGAAAATGTGATAAATAAAGCTAAATTTTTATTTAATCATTATCTACAGCCCCATCCTCTTCTACCTGTCTCTGGAGACACTTTCAGGTGTTCATACTAATTTTCCAATAATTTAAAAAATTGTTGCATACATATGTACATTGATAAATAATATACAGTGTTATTTTTATTGTAGTATAGTTTTTTGTTTGTTTTTGAGACGGAGTCTCACTCTGTCACCCAGGCTGGAGAGCAGTGGCGCAATCTCGGCTCACTGCAAGCTCCGCCTCCCAGGTTCAAGCAATTCTTCTGGCTCAGCCTCCTGAGTAGCTGGGACTATAGGCACGCAACACCACGCCTGGCTAACTTTTGTATTTTCGGTGGAGTTGGGGTTTCACCATGTTGGCTAGGGTGGTCTTGAACTCCTAACCTCACATGATCCACCCACACCAGCCTCCCAAAGTGTAGCCATTGGGTCCTGGGCTTTTCTTTGCTGGGAGACTTTTTATTAGGCTTTGCTTTTGTTACTTGCTATTGGTCTGTGCAGGTTTTGGATTTCTTCATGGTTCAATCTTGGTAGATTGTATATGTCTAGGAATTTGTCTATTTGTTCTAGATTTTCCAGATTATTGGCATATAGTTGGTGACAGTAGCCACTAACAATGCTTTAAATTTATGCAGTATCTGTTGTAATATCTGCTTTTTCACCTCTGATATTATTTGTCTTCTCTTTTTCTTGGTCTGGTTAAAGGTTTGTATGTTTTGTTTTACTTTTTGAGAAACCAACTTTTTGTTTTATTGATTTTTTTCATATTGTTTTGTTCGTTTTAATTTCATTTATTTCTTCTCTGATCTTTATTATTTCTTTTCTTCTACTAATTTTGGGTTTGGTTTGCTCTAGTTTTTCTAGTTCTTCAAGATGCATCATTAGGTTGTTTATCTGAAATTTTTCTTCTTTTTTGATGTAAGCACTTTTAGGTATAAACTTCTCTCTTAGTATTGCTTTTGCTGTGTTCCATAGGTCTTGGTATGTTGTGCTTCGATTATTTGTTTCAAGAAATTATTGAATTTTCCTCTTAATTTCTTGTTTCTTAATTTCTTCACTTGTCATTCAGGAACATATTGTGTAATTTCCATGTGTTTCTATAATTTCCAAAGTTCCTCTTGTTATTGATTTCTACTTTAATTCCATTGTGATCAGAGAAAATGCTTGATACAATTTCAACTTATTTGCAATTTTTAAGATTTGTTTTGTGGCCTAACATATGGTCTATTCTTGAGACTCATCCATATGCTAAGGAGAAGAATGTGTATTCTGCAGCTGTTTGATGAAGTGTTCTGTAAATATCTATGAGGTTCATTTGGTTTATAATGTAGATTAAGTCTGATGTTTCTTTGTTGATTTTCTATCTGGATGATCTGTCCATTGCTGAAAGTAGGGTATTGAGATCTCCAGCTATTATTGTATTGTCATATTGAAGTCTGGCTCTCTCTTTAATGCTAACAATATTTGCTTTTTATATCTGAGTACTCCGGTGCTGGATATATAGGTATTTATAATTGTTATATCCTCTTGCTAAATTGGCCCCTTTATCATTATATAATGACCTTTTCTTTCTCTCTTTATATTTTTTTGTCTCAAATTTTAAAAATATGATATAAGTATAGCTAGTCATGTTCTTTTTTGGTTTCCACTTCATGGAATATCTTTTTCTATCCCTTTATTTTCAGTCCATGTGCATCTTTATAGGTGAAATGAGTTTCTTGTAGGTAGTGTATCATTGGGTCTTGTTTTTTAATCCATTCAGCTACTATGTATCTTTTGGTTGGAGAGTTTAGTCCATTTGCATTCAGTATTATTATTCATAGATGAGTACTTGCTACTGCCATTTTGTTATTTATTTTCTGGTTGTTTTGTGGTCCTCTCTTTCATCCTTCCTATTTTCCTTTGTGTAAAAGTGATTTTTCTGGTAGTAGTTTTTAATTTCATGCTTTAGTGTGTGTGTATATATCTGTTGTAGGTTTTATGATTTCAGGTTACCATGAGGTCTGCAAATAATGCTTTGTAACCAATTATTTTAAACTGATAACAACTAAACTCTGATTATAAAAACAATAGACAAGCAAAGAGAAACCTAATATACACTCTCCATTTTAACTTGATCCAATCCCCACTTTTACAGTTTTTGTTGTTTATATCTTTTTTGTTTACACATCACAATTACACTGTTATTCTGTATTTGTGTATGTACATGCTATTACCAGTGAGTTTTTTTACCCTTAGATGATTTCTTACTGCTTATCTACATCCTTTTCTTTCAGGTTGTAGAACTCCCTTTAGCATTTCTTGTAGGACAGATCTGGTGTTGGCAAAATTCTCAGCTTTTGTTTGTGTGGGAAAGTCTTTATTTCATATTAGTGTTTGAAGGATATTTTTGGTGTGTATAATACACTACGATAAACGTTCTTTTCTTTAGCACTTTGAATATGTCATGTCCCTCTTTCCTGGCCTGTAAGGTTTCCACTGAGAAGTCTGCTGTATTAGAGCTCTTTTATACGTTATTTATTTTCTTTTTCTGCTCTTAGGATCCTTTCTTTATCCTTGACCTTTGGGATTTTGATTATTAAGTGCCTTGAGGTAGTCTTCTTTGGGTTAAATCTCTTATTTGGTTTAATTCTATCACCCTCTGATACGTGAATTATTCTCCTGTGTATTTTTAAATAGCCCATCTTTAAGCTCACTAGTCTTTCTTCTCCTTGATCAAGTCTGCTGTTGAGAGACTCTAATGCGTTTTTCAGTTTGTCAATTGAATCGTTCAGCTCCAAAATATCTGATTGGTTTTTAAAAATTATTTCAATATTTTTGTTAAATATCTCTGATAGGATTCTGAATTTTTTCTCTGTGTTTTCTTGGTTCATTGAGCTTCCTTAAAACAGTGATTTTGAATTCTCTGTCTGAAAGGTCACATATCTCTGTCACCCTGGGATTGGTTACTGGTGCCTTATTTAGTTCATTTATTGAGGTCATGTTTTCCCGAGTGTTTTTGTTGCTTGTGGATGTTTGCTGGTGTCTGGGCATGAAAGTGTTAGGTATTTATCCTAATCTTTGGATTCTGGGCTTTTTTGTGCTCATCCTTCTTGTGAAGGCTTTCTAGATATTCAAAGGAATTGAGTGTTATGACCTAAGTCTTGGGTCACTGAAGCCACAAATCCGCTAGGGGATACCCTAATCCCGGTAACACTGTGATTCTTGCAGACTTGTACCACCTTGGTGGGCTTAGGTAAGATCCAGGAGAATTCCCTGGATTGCCAGACAGAGACTGTCATTCTCTTCCCTCACTTTGCCCCAAACAAAAGGAGTCTCTCCTTCCATGCTGGGTTGCCTGGAGTTGGGAGAGGGGTGACTGAGTCACTTCGATGTCCACCACTGCTGAGGCTGTGCTAGGTCACTCCTGAAGCTAGCAACATAGTGGTTATTGCCCAAGGCCTTTGGCAACTAGTGCCTGGCTGCCACTGATGTTTATTTGAGGTCCAAGGGCTCTTTAGTCAGCAGGTAATGAATCGTGCCAGAACTGGGTTCTTCTTTGCAGTGCAGCAGGTTCTCTTCTGGCCCAGGGTGGGTCTAGAAATGCCGTACAGGAGCTAGGGCCTGGAATCTGGGGCTTCAGAGATCTGCTTGGTGATTTATTTTACTGTGGCAGAGCTTTTACCCAAGTTGCAAGACAAAGTACTCTTTACTCTTCCTTCTCCTTTCTGCAATCAGGAGTCTCTCACTGAGCTTCCCTGCCTGGAGTAAAGGGAGGGGTGATGTAAACACTCTCTTTACTACCACAACTGATGTCTCAGTGGGTTATGTGCACTTCAGTTCAACTGGCTCCAAGCCCAGCACAGCACCCAGACTTGCCCAAGGACCGCAGATTTTATTATTGCCTTTCATATTTATTCAGTACTGCAGGACACTTTAGTTAGCTGGTAGTGGAGCTTGCTGGAAGTCAGTTTCCTACCAGTGGGGTGAAGGACTCCTCTAGGGCGGGGATAGTTTAAATGCACCTTCTCTGGGCACCAGCAGAATTCCGCCTTGTGTTGTGTTCCGCTGTGACAGGACTTTGCTCTGTCCCCCAAGCACACAGATTCTCTCTCGGCTCAGTGTAGCACTGCTGGGGAATGAGGGAAGGATGATGTAGGCAATGCAAGACTCTCTTTTCTACCCTCTTCAGTGCCTCTTTCTTTGCTATGATGTTAAAACCAGCTTTTAACCTGGTTTGCCTGATTGCTTACCTGAATTTTGGTTCTTAGGAAGGTGCTTTCTTCCCTGGATAATTGTTGAATTTGATGCTTCTGAGGGAAGAAAGTCACTGGAGTTCTGTTTGGCCATTTTGCTCTGCTTCCCTCCCTCAATCTCATTTATTATTAAACTTAATTCGTTAGAATATATTTAAGGTAAATTTTCTTAAAATTTGTTTCTGATTAAAACAATGTATTTTTTCTCCTTACATATTAAAATCTGTATTGCAAAAGTGAACATCAAGGGATAGAAATAGGGTAAGGCAGACTATATTGACTTACTCTTCCAGTTTGAATGATCAGATTTTTGACTTAAAGGTGTTACTCATAATTTAATTGAAACATGAAAATTAGTCCCAAATCTTAAGACTAACAGGATGTAAATGCTCTCTTTTTTTGTTCCAATAATATTACTTAAGTGTATTATGGCTGTGGATACCTCTTTCTAGTAACATATGTGTCATCCTAAAGACTCAAACAGTATTAGCTCACAGAGACAAACTACCAGAATCATATTATCAAAGAAAATGTGGCCATTACCCATAGCACACTTTTTAGAAAGTCTGTTGAATGTTTTATAGTAGGCACTAAATATGTATAAAACTTCAGCTGACAGATTTTGCTGTGGTTTCAATATGTCCTCCAAGTTTTATGTGTTGGAAACTTAATCCCTAAATTCTTATGTTGATTAGAGGTAGGGTAATTAGGATTACATAAGGTCATCAGCAGGGTCCCTATGATGGAACTGGTAGCTTTATAACAGGAGGAAGAGAAACCTGAGCTGACTGGCACACTCTTGCCCTTTCACCATGTAATGCTCTCTGCCATGTCATGACCTGGCAATAAGGCCTTCACCAGATGCCGGAACCATGCTCTTAGACTTCCTAGCCTCCCAAACCATGAGCTAAATAAAACTCTATTCTTATAAATTGGCTAGTTTGTGGTATTCTGTTGTAGAAATAGACAGCAAACTAAGACGGATATCACATGAAATTTTTGTGGAGTTATACATGCTGTTTAGTGTATCTTCTAAAAAGCTCTCTCCTGAAATAATATCTATATTTAGCGAAAACAGAGTAACCTTTATCATTCATTTATATATGAATGGATGAGTTATTTTATTGATTATCTCTCAATGTTTGTTTAAATAACAAAATTGGTTTCAAGAGTTGTATTATTGCTACAGACTGAATTGTGTTCCTCCAAAATTCATGTTGAAACCCTAACTCCTGGTTTGATGGTGTTGGGAGATGGGGCCTTTGGGAAGTAGTTAGAGTTAAAGGAGGTCCTGTGGGCCCTCATCATGTGGTTAGTGTCCTAATAATAATAATAAGAGACACCCGATTCTACTCTCTCTTCCATAATAGGACACAACAAGACACCTGGCATCTGCAAGCCAGGAAGCGATCTGCTGCTAGAAGCTGACTGTGCTGACACCCTGATCTTAGATGGCTAGCCCTCTAGAACTGTGAGAAAGTAAATTTCTGTTCTTTTAGCAACCCAGTCTGGTGGTTTGTTTTGACAGCCCAAGCAAACTAATAGATTTTGGTGCCAAGAACAGGGTGCTGCAGTAACACATCAAATGTGGAAGTGGCTTTGGAATTGGGTAATAGCTAGAAGATTTTTGAGGTGCATGCTGGAAATACGTAGGTTAAGGGTGATTCTACTGAGGTTTCACATGGAAATGAGGAACATGCTACTGGAAACTAGAGGAAAAGCAATCCTTATGATAAAATATTTTTTTTAAAAAAACCTTGGATTGGCTGAATTGTGTTCTAGTGTTTTGTAGAAGATAGAACTTGTGAGTGATGAAGTTGGTTGAAATTTCTAAGCAAGCATTACAGGAATGGCTTGATTTCTCCTGATTGCTTGGTTAAATCTAAAGGAGAGAGATAAACTGAACAGAAATTATTAAGCATAAGTATACCACAACTTGGAAGATATGGATATTTTTCAGCCTACTGATAGTGCAAATAACGAGAAAGGTTGTTTTGAAGAGAACATTAAGAGTGTGGCTGTACAATCATTTGATGAGGAGATTTGTGTGAATGTGAACCAGGGACCTAATCCTTCTTAGCAGAAATCAGGAACAGAGATTGGATTATGCCAGGAGCAACCAGCTGGGTCTAAAGGAAATGAAGAAATAGACAATGAAGGAAAGCTGTCAAACTTCTTGGATTTTCTGGATGGGCCAATAGATCTATTTAACTATAAACCTGCACAATCTTTCAAGAAAAGAGAAGGACCCCAAAAGCAATTCACATATTGCCATGTTGCCACTCCCATCACGGGCCCAGAGTGCAAAGGCTAAGGGATTAGAGCTACCTCCACATTGGTTTTAAAGAGAAAGAAAGTGTATAACTTCTAAATTGTAGTAAGAAATAGAATTTTTAAAAGTGTAAAAAGTAGACTAATATCCATTAATCTAAAACTATTTACTGTTTGTCTTGTTTCGATAGTCTTCCTACATCTTACATATTGTTATCTGAGAGAGCTAAAGTCCAAAATTTTTGTCATGTTGTATTTATATCCATATGTACATGTATATAATATATATACATTTTATATATGTAATAATTTTATTTGAGTTATTAGAATCTTTTTTATGAACTCTTGTTCTCTTCTTGGACTTTAATTTCTTCTTTTGTATCTTTAATCATTTTAAACAAACTTATATATTCTTTCAAGTCACATGTTCTTGAGGTTCTAATCTTCCTGTTTATTTTTTCTGATTACTTTGAGCCAGGATGGGATGTTTCTACATGTGTGTACAGTTTTAATTTGCAGCTCAGCAAATTAAAATTGTAATTCATTGTGGTAATTCCTTGAACCCTGTCTTTGGGGAGCATTCATCCAGACTACACTACTTAATATTTATGTTAATTTTCAGGGTAGTAAGATTCCTGACCTACACTGAAAAATTCAGATTTCAACCCACATGAGGTAAAGTCACAGATATAAACATTCCCAGTAGAGATAACTGAGAATTTTTGTACTCTGCCCTGGTCCCAATCAGAGACATATTTCTTTATTACCTTTCTATCCTAGCAATATTTTTTAGTCTACCCTTGAACTGAAGTTGCAGCACTCCAGAGGATTCTCAAATTTGGCCTCTCCGAGCCCAAGGTCAAAGTTTCAGCTCCTGCTCCCACAATTCCTGAAGTTGCTGGCCCTGGTGATTTCCATGCAGCAGGTGCTACCGAACCTCCAGTCACATGCTCCGTGCTCTGCTGCTGGCTGCTCTCTATAGGTGACTATGATCCCAGCACTTGAGTTGCTGCTTCTTTTTTTTTTTTTTTTTAGATTTTTCAGCAATACTCGAAAAGAATACTTGATATCATATATTTTCTATGTGATACAGAGGGTTTTCAGGTTATATTGTCTTCCAGACTGCCAATCTTTAGATAGTTTAAAAAAAATTTACCTGTATTTCCTGTCAAATATGATATCAAAGATTGAACAAAATATTTAAAATTTCATGAGTAAAGAGTACAGTGGGTGTATTTTAGCCTGTAAATCTCACATGAACTTTCAGTGGCTGTTTTCTTTTTTTTCTAAATTATTTACTAGAAGAACAAAGACAAATCATACTAATACATATAGGCATGACAGTTCAATACTATTCCAATTCCTTTTCCCACTTAATATTTTCTTTACTTCATGATTCTGTGTATTTGGTGGCTAAGGCAATTAAAACTACCAACATTTAAGGACTGATCCTTGAAAATATTATTGCCCTTAGTTGAAGTAAGCCAGTGTTGGGGCTCTCAACGGTGGATTATCACATCTGTACCATAGTAGTCATCTTTCCTCTTGTCTCAGATTTCCAAATTTGGCTGCATAGTAACCCATTAAGATCATTCTTTCATTCATCAAGCATTGCTTGGGTATCTTCTGTGTGCTAGGGTCCATGAAGTATAATGGGAACACAACAGTGAACTAGACACAGGTATGGTTTTACTCTCATGGAGCTTATTTGTGGTAAGAGACAGAATATAATAACCATGCAACAGAATAAGTAAAATAATTAAAGATTACAGAGAGTGCATTGTAATTAGGGATAAAGGGAGAGAATGGTTGGTTTTAGATCACCCTTGTTCAAGGAATGGCATTTCTGAGAAGGTGACATTGACACCAAGGCCCAAAGGATGAGAGGTAGTGTAACAAAATTAGCAGAGTCACTTTCAGGTTTATTAGGAGTCCTCTTGCACTTTTCAACTTCATGAGTACACTGCCCTGCAGTACAGAAGAAGGATAATAAATATTAATGGGGAAAAGTTAGTCCAGACAGATTATGATAATAATAATAGTGAGAATAGCTAACCTTTACGTGCTTACTACGTACAGGGCATCTTCTAAGCACTTTGTGTGCAATCATTCATTTAATTTTCACAACATCCCTGTGAGATTAGATACTATTTTTATCTCCATTTTACAGAAATTAACTTGTATAAGTTCATATGCCTACTGAATGACTCAGCTACTGTATGCCTTCTCAAAAGTTTATTTTGATTTGTTGTATTTATTTTTTGAAAAAGCTGATTTTGTTTTTCAGTAGGTTATATTTGCACAGTGGAAGCTTTTGCAAACTTAGTATTTTTCTTATTTGATCTTTATAAACTGTGACATAATTATTCTCATTGAAAAAATAATTCAGTTGAGATCCAGAGAGTTTAGTTAACTTGTGCATGTTTATTTCACTAGTATGTTTTAGATCTTTTGCTCATATTCTGGTGTTCTGACTCTAACTAGTAGGCCTTCTTTACTATGCAATGTTTCAAATAAATGCATTCTCAAGGTCACAATAATACACAATTATAGGAAGGAAAGTTATTTTGGTGTTCTAAAATCAGAATAGCATATATATTAAATGATTAAGAACTTTAATCATTGGATGACCTTTGTTATTTACTTTTTAAAAAAATTATATTTATTTATTAATTTATTCCAGCTCATTCCTTGAACGATTTGAGGCAGTTAGTGTCTATTATCGTGAGTTATTTTTATAGATTCTTTGAAAATACAGAAATGCTCTAGAAATATCATCAGATATTACATATTTGGCTTTGTATATTTATATAGATGTTTTAAATAAAAATACCACTTTATAGTAATAATTAAAAACAAATCTGCATAAAACTCATTATATGAGCCAACTGTGGAAGTAGTCAATAAAAATATACATAAGCAGATTCATAGTAGCAACACCCTATTTATCTGAGCTTGTCTTATCTCAACAATGCTAATATATAAGACTTCTTAGCTGTAACAGAAGTTCCTGGAGACTTCTTAGCTATAACAGAAGTTCCCCGTGATAGATTCAAGAATTGTTAATGGAAGCTATTGTAGACTGTGGCAACAGTTGTATGACTATATTCGCTACAGCTGTAATTGTTGCTTAAAGTACCCATGGGAACATTCTTCAATTAATCATCTTCAGAACAAGGGATATCATACACTGGAATATATAAATAAAGTATTTGAGTATGTATTTATATTTCATATCAAATTAAATTTAAGGCACTTAGAAATATAACATTTTTATGATGCTTTAAATTTGCAAAGAATTTTCACATACTTTCACAATTTGAGAAATACAGAATATCCATGAGTTAATTGGATAAGAATTATTATCCTGTTTTTATGCAGGAAAAAAAGAGACCGCGTGGGTAAATGACTTATCCATGGGTCATGGTTAGTAAATGGGAAGTCAAAATCTTGAACCTTGTGTTCTGACTATAGAGTCATCTCTCTCTAATCATCCTGCACAGATTTTTAAGAAAATAAAAATACCGACATATTTTACATTTTACCCCTTTTAAGTATAGTAGAATTTTTTCAAAATTATATTAAAAATATAATAATTTGAGTCCAAAAATTTTAGATTCACATATGGTTAGCCAAGCAAAGGAATTTTATTGCTCTTACTAGTTTCATTTGAATGGACATTTAATATTTGGCAAAAAATTTCAACTTCAGAATATGGCTTCTGTGATTTCCATAGCTAAACACTTTGAACACATTTTCTGAAAACTTACCATATTGTATTTGAATTGATTGTTCATCTGTCTGAAGAAGGTATGAAGTTATTGACATCCGTACTTGTATATTTAATCTTTATTTCTAGTCTGATTCTATAACTTTTAAATGTAACTAATATAAAATAAATGATCTCATCAGGTGTGTGATTTTATACATCTCCTAAAATTCTCCCTAGACTCTTTCCAAGAATCATATTCCTGTTCCAGTCCGTGTTATCATAGCTGGCTTAAGATTTCCTATAATAAACTACTCTTTTCAATTGTCACCCATTAGTAATTAATATCATTAATATTACCAAAATTACCTATCTTTTAAATCATACTATTTGAAAACTCTCTAGTATTCTGTCACACCCCTTATTTACCCATTTTAAAATTATTGATACATAATAGTTGTTCATATTTATGGGGTACATGTGATATTTTGTTACATGCATACAATGTGAATTGTATGCATTGTGTGGGTAATTATAATATCCATGATCTCAAAAATTTATTTCTTTGTGTTGAGAACATTCTAGATCTTCTCTTACAGCTATTTTGAAACATACAATAAATTATTGCTAACTGTAGTTGCCCTACTGTACTACTGAACACTAGAACTTATTCCTTCTATGTAACTGTATTTTTGTACACATTAACCAAGTTCTCTTCACCCCGACGCCTGCCACCCTTTGTAGCCTCTGGTAACCACCATTCTACTCACTACCTTCAAGTGATCAATTTTATTTAGCACCTGCATGTGAGTGAGAATATGTGATATTTGTATTTGTGTGCCTGGCTTATTTTATTTATCATAATGTCCCTCAGTTACTCCCATCTTATTGGAAATGACAGGATTTTATTCCTTTGTCATGGCTAAATAGTATTCTATTGTGTATATATATCACATTTTCTTTATCCATTCATCTGTTGTTGGATAACTAGATTGATTCCGTGTCTTGGCTGTTGTGAATAATGCTGCAGTAAACATGGGAATGGAGGTATTTTTGACATACTGATTTCATTTCCTTTAGCTGTATACCCCAGTAATGGGATTCTTGGATCATATGGTAGTTCTATTTCTGGTTTTTTTGAAGAAACTCCATACTGTTTTCCATAGTGGTGTACTAATTTGCATGTCCATCAATAGTGTATGAAAATTCCCTTTTCTCTACGTCCTCACTAGCATCTGTTAATTTTTGTCTTTTTGATAACAGCCATTTTGACTGGGGTGAGATGATACCTCAATGTGGTTTTGATTTGCAAATCAGTTATGATTAATGACATTGAACATTTTTTCTTATACCTTTTGGCCATTTATGTCTTTTTTTAGAGAAATGTCTGTTCAAATCTTTTGCCCATTTTTAATTGTGTTATTTGTTTTTGCTATTGTTTGAGTTCTTTGTATATTATTGTTATTAATCCCTTTTCAGATGGATACTTTGCAAATATTTTTTCTCATTATTTACGTTGTCTCTTTGTTGATTGTTTCCATTGCTGTGCAGAAGCATTTTAGCTTGACATAATCCCATTTGTCTATTTTTGCTTTTGTTACCTGTGCTTTTGAGATCTTACTCAAAAAATATTGGCCCAAACCAGTGCCCTGAAGTGTTTTTTCCCAGTGTTTCTTCCTAGTAGTTTCACAGTTGTGGGTTTCGTATTAAAGACTGTAATCCATTTTGATTTATTTAGCCATTCCTGAGACTTCAGTGAGCCATTAATTAACAGTCCTAGGAACATTGTTTAATGTGTAGAAGATTAAGATCTGTCCCAGCTACATCACTTACTAGGTATAACACCAGAAGGAAGCAACACATTTTCTAAGTGATTAATTCCTTATCTTTAAAAAGATAAAGGATCAAACAAATATATTTCATAAACTAGGAAGCATCTTATTAAAGCACTTCTCTGCATGCTTAGGGATACTGATAACTCTTCTGCAAAAGTATTCCTCTACATTGTGTGTAAATAGTAGAATTGCTGCCTTTTTGTTTTCCATATTAAATCATTAGTTTTAAGGTAAAGTTATTTTCATCCTTATGGTGATCTTGTATCAATGTGAGAGACCCAGTACTTTGAAACATGAATGAAATGAAGTAAATCCAAACCTGGAGAAATCAGGGGAAATAGCAGACCACTAGAGACAAAAAGTAAAATTTATCAAGGCACTAAAAAAACAAAAAACAAAAAACAAAATCCTTCAATGGAATGAATGAATGACAGCTTAAACTGTCAGCCAACATGCTAAAAAATATTTGTAAAGCACAAGAAATTACAAGTGGCCTGATGTATTTGAAAAGAACCATAGAGAGTGTTTAGAAGTGAAATCATACAGTGAGTAAAATTAAAAGTTCACTGACTGTAATTACATACAGGAGAAGAGCTTCAGAATTAGTTAACTGGATGAGGGAAATGACTAGATGATAGATAGAATAATTTATTCAGAAAATGGCATAGAGACAAAGGAATGAAAAACACAGAAGATATATGAGTTATGAAGGGAAAAAGAAGGTCTGTCATTAATTAGGACTCCTGAAGGATGGGAGATTAAATGGTGAAAATTTTTTTTTCAAGAGAAGTTAGAATGGCAACTGACTTCTCAAAAGCAATACTAGAAACCATAAGACAGTAGAACAGATCTTCAGTGTGTGCTGAAATAAAATGCATCAGTATAAATTCTATTCTCTGTTAAAATATTTCTTAAAATGAGGATCAGGCCAAGTGTGGTGGCTCATGCCTGTAATCTCAGCACTTTGGAAGGCAGAGGTGGGCAGATCACCTGAGGTCATGAGTTCGAGACCAGCCTGACCAACATAGCAAAACCCCGTCCCTACTAAAAATACAAACAATTAGCCGGGCATGGTGGCATGTGCCTGTAATCCTAGCTACTCAGGAGGCTGAGGCAGGAGAATAGCTTGAGCCCAGGAGGCAGAGGTTGCAGTGAGCTGAGATCATGCCACTGCACTGCAGCCTGGGTGACAGAGCAAGACTCTGTCTCAAAAAAAAAAAAAAAAAACAAAGATTAGGAACAGAAAAAAAATGTCTAACCTCCAAATCTAACATTATTCTCCACTAAATTCCTCACTAGAGGAAGCTATTTGATTAGAGTAAAAGTGATCTGAGATATAATAAAATTGAAGAGTAAAAAAAGTGACAAATAGCTTGACTTATAACTGTCTTTAAAGTTAAGCTTTAAGTATGATGCTTACTGTACATTTTGATAGATAACATATCAAGTTAAGAAAGTTTTCTTCTATTTTTAGCTTTCTTTTTTTTTTTTGAAATGGAGTCTCGTTCTGTCGCCCAAGCTGGAGTGCAATGGCGCAATCTTGGCTCACTGCAGCCTCTGCCTCCTGGGTTCAAGCGATTCTCCTGCCTCGGCCTCCTGAGTAGCTGGGATTACAGGCGCCTGCCACCATGCCTGGCTAATTTTTGTATTTTTTAGTAGAGAGGGGGTTTCACCATGTTGGCCAGGCTGGTCTTGAACTCCTGACCTCAGGTGATCCACCCACCTCGGCCTCCCAAAGTGCTAGGATTACAGGCGTGAGCCACCGCGCCCAGCCCTATTTTTAGCTTTCTAAGAGTTTGTAGTGGTTTTTTTTTGTTTCTTTTTTGTTGTTGTTGAGACAGGGTCTTTCTCTGTTGCCCAGGCTAGAGTGCAGTGACGTGATCATGGCTCACTGTAACCTCAAACTGCTGGGTGTGTGTCACCATGCCCAACTATTTTAAAAAATTTTTTGTAGAGATGGGATCTCACTTTGTTGCTCAGGGTTGTCTTGAATACCTGGCCTCAAGCAGTCCTCTCACCTTGGCCTCCCAAAGTTCCGGGATTATAGGCATGAACTACCATGCCCAGCCTGTAAGAGTTTTTAATTAGGAAAAATTGTTTAGTTAAATAACTTTTTGAAATTTATGGAGATGATAATAAGAGTTTTCCCCAATTTACTCTGTTGATATAGTGAATTACATTAATAGGTTTCCTTATGCTGATCTATTCTTATATTCTGGGGGTAAACTCTACTTAATGATATTGTTCTCTTATTAGATTATATAACTGCAAGATCTGTAGTGATAGTCCTTGTTTCATTTCTGATAAGAGGATTTGTGTCTTCTTTTTATTTTTCTTGTTCTTGCTAGAAACAACAATTTAGTTGATTTTTCAAGAGCCAGCTTTTTGTTTCATTGATTTTCTTTGTTTTTCTATTGTCAGTTTTATTTATTTCTGCTCTTATCTTTATTAGTTCCTTTTTTTCTGCTTGCTTTGGGTTTATTTTGGTCTTTTTCTAACTGCTTGCTATAAGATCTTAGAATTCTCTTTTCTGATATAACTGTTTAGTGCTATAAATTTCCCTTCCATCACTGCTTTAGCTGCATCCCATATTCTTTTAATATACTATATTTTACATTTCATTACGTTCTTGCTTTTTAAATTTTCTCTGAACCTTCCTCTTTGACTTGTGTATTATTTAAAAATATATTGTTTAATTTATGAGTGTTTGCAGGTTTTCCTTTTTCTTTTTTGTTATCAAATTTTAGTTTTATTCCATTATGACCAGAGGCTAGTCTGTGTATATTTCCAAATTTGTT
Source organism: Homo sapiens (assembly GCF_000001405.40). Classification (NCBI taxonomy): domain Eukaryota; kingdom Metazoa; phylum Chordata; class Mammalia; order Primates; family Hominidae; genus Homo; species Homo sapiens. Next base: position 17,434,610 of record NC_000009.12, read on the forward strand.
GACGTTGGTTTTATGGTCTACATATGGTCTATCTTGTTGAATATTTCATGGGAACTTGAACAAAATTACGATTTCAGCTGCTGTTGAATAGAGTGTTTTATAGTATTTGGTAGCAATTAAGTATGTTTAATTAAGTTATGTACTTTTTTTTAAGTATATAGGTTGTCTGTGAAGTCTCTCTTCATTCCTGAAGGATATAGAATTTGCAGACAACAGTTCTTTAAGAAAAAAAAAAAGTTGTTGTTTTGGAAAACAATTGTGCCACTTTTCTTTTGGCCTCCATAGTTTCAGTTAAGAAATCTACTGTCATTCAAATTAGCATATCCCTATAAGTAATGCATTATTTCTGTCTGGCTACTTTCAAGATTTTTTTGTCTTTCATTATTAAAAGTTGGCTTTTAAAAGTAGTCCATTACTTAAATTTTGACTTCTCCAAAAACAAGTTATTAAGAATGTATTCTGTATTGCAAGATAATATTTTTTCTTCCTGACTGTACGAGACTAGAAAAACTGTCTTTAAATAATCAATTACTCTTGGCTTATTTCTGCCCTGCTTTACCTCGGTTCTGGAGCTTAGTGCCTAGAGTTCTACTAGGAATATTCAGTGGTTTTGTTTTTTGGTTGTTGTTTGTTTCTAAGAGATATTTTTGGAAAGAGAGGCACTCATTCTGGTCTCATCTGCTTTATAGTTTCTACAAAGCCCTTACTGTTCCAATAATGCTTTCTGGACTTAGTTATTTTTATGAATTTATTTTTATACTGCATTTGCATTACAGTGGTATAACTACCCCTCCAAAAACGGTACCTTTTAAACTTTTATTTAAGATAACACACTGTCACAATGGCTGTTAAGACTATGATTAAAAGATGGTAGGAGGAGCATTTTGAAATATGAAGTGGAATTTGACCTTAGACTATGAAAGGTAGTGAGAGTACTCAAAGAGTGGCTCTTTTTTTTTTTTTTCTTTGAGACAGAGTTTTGCTCTTATTGCCTAGGATGGAGTGCAGTGGCGCGATCTCGGCTCACTGCAGCCTCTGTCCACCCCGGATTCAAGAGATTCTCCTGCTTCAGCCTCCTGAGTAACTGGGATTACAGGTGCATGCCAACACGTCCGGCTAATTTTTGTATTTTTAGTAGAGACAGGGTTTCACCACGTTGGCCAGGCTGGTCTGAAACACCCGACCTCAGGTGATCCACCCGTCTTGGCCTCCCCAAGTGCTAGGATTACACGTGTAAGCCATCGTGCCCGGCCAGGGTAGCTCCTTTTTTACGGGCACACTTCCCATCTGACCTGTCAAGGTAACAAATTCCCTAGCCCTCGTCCACCCAGCTGGTATTTCCAGATCTTTATATTAGAATGTGGCTGTGCCTCTAGGCTAGGGGATATAAGAGAAACAAATAAATGTATTTCCTTATTCTTATCCAAGTGGTGGTCTAGCCTCCTTTTGTGATATTTATTTACCTTTTTACATTATAAACAATTTAAAAGCAAGAATATGCTTTACCTAATTTTGTATGTTCTATAGTGCCCACACCATAATTTGATAAATATTACATATTTTCTCAATATTCATAGAAAACATTATATACTATTGTTTAGTTTATGATTAAACATCATTATCTTCTCTGATTTCTTGATGAATTATTGATTCCCCTACCGTCTGAGTCAGATCCAGCTAAATTCTGCAGAAGCACGTTTTGCTGCAGAAACTTTTTCGGCAATGGCAATCTTAAAGCAGTTTCCTTTTTAGAATTTGAGCTTTCAAATTTGCTTCATATGTTGTCCAATTACATTAACCAAATAATCTTAAATTAGTTTAATCAAGCCTCAAATAAAAGACTTTTGCTAAGTGTCAGAATTTGGAATTAAAAACAGCAGAGCACAGCCCATTCAACAAATGCCTTGGGTTTTCTAGTTAATCTAGCATATAAACATTGAGCATGAAAACTACTAAATCTGAAGAGACCTTTAGCAACCCTTTAACACTAAAAGGGCCTTATTTCGTGGATCTTCATTTTAAAAATTTCTGTATTTGGAGTTATGTGATTGTTACTGTATCCAAACTTATATTTGTCCTTGGTTTATATTTATTTACAGAATTCTTATTTGAAAGATAAAAGGTATTAAACTGTACCAGAGCCATTGTTTTTTTCCTGTCAGGAATTGCAGAATTTTAAATAGCCTCATTTCCGTTTTTGTGATCTGTGTTCACACCGCTAGTAATAATGAAGTAGAAAACTACTCTTTTTGTACCTTATTGCTAATCTCCAGAGTTTTCTTTTACCTTACCCCAATAGTTTGTGTAGTACACATTCCTTGTAGGGTATTCATTTTATATACGTCAGATTCTCTAGGGCCGTGGCTTTTGCCAGATGAAGCACTTTTGATTTTGAGGCTGATGAAACACAGTGCGGTTATTGATCTGTGCGTGACATAGCCTGTCTCTCTCCTAGCAGAGTGTAGCAACATTTATCCAGGAATTTGTGAAATGTCACTCGGATCATGTTCGCAAGGCAAACTGTGCAAAACCCAGGATCAGAGCTGAGAATCCATGTGGAATTGGACGTGACTGTCTTATTCCTATGTCCTGTCTTCTATTCTAGATGAAGCAAGTGGTATTTGTTAACAGAATATCTGTGTCCTATATTAGACTTTGTAGGAAACTATTATTACCACTTGGAACACTGTATACTATAAAATTGCACTTCTTATACTCTGTTTTCAGATTCATTTCTTATCTTACCAAAGAAAATATTAATATGAGAATATGTGACCTGAATAGCATCAGTTAGAAATTTCTTTTCTGTTTAAAATAAAGCAGTGTTATAATATATTGCACAATTTTATATTTCTGGTAGTGTCCTGATTTTTTACATCAACATACTTTCAGATAGGTGTGTCTCATCAATATCAATGTTTCAGGAAGTGAAAAATTGTAGCATATTTATCACTATTGAATTGATATACTATTTAACTGTGCATATATTTTAGAGTTTGGTTTTAAATGACTAGAATATTTGTATGCACATGGATAAGTATGTTTGTTACAATTCAATTTAGTTTAATGTACCTAACACATGTAAAGCGCTATAATAATGGAATATTCAACAATGAATTAAATATGAACCTTGTCCCCGATAATAACACAGTTGAACATATGTATAATAATAAAAGGAAACTGTGAGATATAGAGATATATATGTATATGTGTGTGTGTGTATATATAACATGGATGTTTAAATGCATGTGGAGAGAGAGAGTTATTCGTTCCTGTCATTCTTGATTAAGGCTTTTGAAGGAGTGGTATTTGGGCTTAACCTTAAGGTTTTGTATGATTTTGGAAGTTGTGTGCATTGAACAAAGTCATTAGAAGAAAGGATAGCTTGAAAAGACATCTAGCTGACATAGCAGTTTGTTGAGAATAGTGAATAATCTGGTTTGGCTGTGGTTCTCAACCCTGACCACTTATTATTCTCACCTAGGGAACTTTGAAAAATACTTGTGCCAAGGCCTGACCGTAGACCAATTAAATTTGAATATCTAAGAGTTAGGCCCTGTACCTTGGTAGTTTTTTAAAGCTCTCAGGTGATTCTGATGTAGAATAAGGACTGAGACTAAGGCTCGAGAGACTAGAGATTGAATGCAAGCAACTAGATAAATTATTGTTTAAATATCAAGGCAAAAGATGATTAGGAAGAGATCTAGACAATATTAGTAGAAATAGAAAGTTTTTTAAAAAACAAGAGACTTTGCAGTGTTATAATCCCAAAAGTTTGATGACCAATTGCATATAGGAAGGTAAAGAAAAAAGAGGTATTTAAGATATTTTTCAGGTTTTTAACAAAGTGAGTAGAAAGTTGATGATAGAAGAATTGTATTTGTGACAATGTAATACACTAAATATTGTGGTGAGAAAATACCAAGAAAGTTGAATAAAATATTAAAAAGGGCCTCATAAATGCATACTAGAACTTGCAAAAAGAATTAAAAAGAAACTAAATCCTTAGGATCTAAAATCAACAACAGCTTATCGTTTGTAGCCAAATGGTAATTTGTTAGTGAACTGGAAATATCAAGTAAGTAGTAGGATATATGAGTTTAAAATTTAGGGGATAAGCCTGGGCTAGACATATAAATTTTGCAGCCATGAGTATGTAGATGGCATTTAAAAATGAAGCTGAATGAAATCACCAAGGGCGTGGAGATAGGTACAAAAGAGATAAGGTCCAAGATCTGAGCTCTAGGCCCTCCAATATTCAGAAGTTGGACAGATGAGAAAGGACCAGAAAGGAGAGCCAGTGAAAGGGAAAAGCAAGAGAAAAGAGAATCTTAGAAGCCAAATGGTTAAAGTATATCAAGAAGGGAATGATATACTTTATCATTCTCTATGCCAACTGCTGCTTATTAGAATCAGTTCATGGGAGGAATTGAGGAATGGGAACAGAAAGAGAGGAATTGGAGGATATAATTAAATATGCATACATTTTAGAGTTATTTTGAGGAGATTTGCTGGAAAAGGGAGCAGAGAGCCTCTAAAATATAAACATCTAATAACTTAGGCTCAAAATAAATAATTCATGTATTGATAATATCAGTACTTTTAAGTAATGCTGATAAAAAGTCATTAAAGATATACATTATTTTAACAGAGCAATAAAAAGTCTTTCTCTAAGTATTTATCAAAAATGTTCACATAACTAGGCCACAAAACAACATTCCATAAATTTCAAAGGATTTGTATCATATAAATAGTATTATCTAACACAAGTGAAGTAGAAAATACTTTAAAAAGTTAACTTAAAAATATCTGATGCGAATTTATAGAGGCATTTCTAAAAACTAATGGGTCAAAGAAGAAAACAAAATGAAAATGAAAAATACTTTAGATTGAATCACAATGAAATAACACAGATGGAAACTTTTAGAATGTGACTAAGGTGGTACTCAGATGGAAATTTATATCCTTAAATACTTGTAGTAAGATTAGAAGAAGTCTAAGAATCACAGAGCTAAACATTTTATTTAAGAATGAGAAATTGAATAAACCCAGTGTTGTAGACTAAATATATGTGTTCCCCCATAATTCATAACCCCCAATGTGATCATTTCAAAAGTGGAGCCTTTGAGAATTAGTTAGGGTTACATTAGTTCATGAGGGCGGGGCCCCCATGATGGGATTAATGCCCTTATAAAAAGAGGAAGAAACAGGAGATCTCTCTGCTCTCTGCCATATGGCAACTTGGAAGAATGGCCTCACCAGACACCAGATCTATCCACAACTTAATCTTGGACTTCCCACCATCCAGATCATAATAAGTAAATGTTTGTTATTTAAGCCATGCAGTCTATGATAATTTATTATAGCAGCCCAAACTAAGACACCCAAATAAAATAGAAATATTAAAATAAGGGCAAAGTTGATACTGTAGAAAGTAAAAATGCAGCAGACATGATCAACAAATCCAGAAGCTGGATCGCTGAGACTAATAAGTTGACAAACATTAACAAGTGTTGATAAGGATATAGAGAAATTGTAACCTTCATACAATGCTATGGGAATGTAAAATGGCACAGGCATTTTGGGAAATGGTTTGACAGATCCTCGCAAAGTGAAACATAGAGTTACCAAATAACCTACCATTTCCACTCCCAGGTATACATTTAAGAGAACTGAAAACACGGCCGGGCATGGTGGCTCAAGCCTGTAATCCCAGCACTTTGGGAGGCCGAGGCGGGTGGATCATGAGGTCAGGAGATCGAGACCATCCTGGCTAACAGGGTGAAACCCCTTCTCTACTAAAATAAAATACAAAAAAAAAAAAAAAAAATGAGCCGGGCGTAGTGGCAGGCGCCTGTAATCCCAGCTATTCGAGAGGCTGAGGCAGGAGAATGGCGTGAACCTGGGAGACGGAGCTTGAAGTGAGCCGAGATCACACCACTGAACTCCAGCCTGGGCGACGGAGCGAGACTCCGTCTCAAAAAAAAAAAAAAGAACTGAAAACATAAGTTCACATAAAAAACTTGTACATTAATTGATAGAAGCATTATTCATAGTAGCCCAAAGGGGAAACAACCTATGGGTCCATCAACTTATGAATGGAGAAAAAACTGTGGTGTATCCATGCAGTGGATTATCATTCATTAATAAAAAGGAATAAAATACTAACATATGTTACAATATGGATGAACCTTGAAAGCATATTGCTGAGTGGAAGAAGCTAATAATAAAAGACCATATACAGTATGATTCTACTTATATAAAATGTCCAGAAAAGGCAAAATCCATAGACAGAAATTGGATTCAGTGGTTGACTAGAGCCAGGGATGGGAAAGGAGTTTCTGTAAATGGGCATGAGGTTCTTTAGAAGTACTCTACAATTAGTGTGTGGTGATAATTGCACAACTCTGTAAATATACAAAACATCCTTAAGAAATAAACTTAAAGAAGTGTACACCACCTTTAAAAGATAAAAACGTGCCAACCAAGAATATTATGTCTGGCAAAACTGTCTTCAAAAATGAAAGTGAAAGAGACTTTCCCAGACAAACAAAAGTAGAGGGACTTCATCACCACTAGACCTTTCTTAGAAGAAATACTAAACTGAGTTCTTCAAGTTGAAACAAAAAGATGCTAAACAGCAATACTTAAAAGCATGTGAAAGTATAAAGGTCACTGGTAAAGGTAAACAGTGGTGTGTAATCACTTTTTATTCTGGCATAGAAATTACAATAATAGGTATTAAAAAACATAACTAAAAATATGATAATGAATACATAATATAAAAAGATGTAATTTGTTTCACCAAATTACATGTGAGAAGTAAACGTATGAATATTTTGTATGTGATTGAAGTTATGTTGTTATGAGCTTAAAAGATTGTTATAAACAATATATTTTATGTAAGCTCCATGGTGATCACGAAGAAAATACCTATAGAAGATACATGAAGAAAGTGAAAAAGGAGTCAAAACGTGTCACTGCAAAAAAAAAAAAAAATCAATGAAATACAATGAAAGATAGCAACAGAGGAAAAGACAGACAAAAGAGCTATAAGACAGAAAACAAGGTAGCAATAGGAAATTTTTTCACCATCAGTAATTAAATATAAATGGATTACATTCCCCAGTCAAGAGATGGAGAGTTGCCGAATGGATTAAAAAAACAGAATTCAGCTATATCCTGTCTCTATGAGACTCACTTTAGTTTTAACGACACAGGCTTATAGTGAAGGGATGGAAAACTATATTCCATACAAAGGGTAAGCAAAGGAGAGAAGGGGTGGCTATACCAATATCACATATTAAATCAAAAACCATTATAAGAGACAAAGACATTCACCTGAAAGAAGGGCCTATTCACCAAGAAGATAAAACAGTTATAAATATTTATGTGGCAAACCTCAGAACTCCTGTATGTATAGGAAGGAAACTTTGACAGCTGAAGGGAGAAATAGGCAGCAACACAATAATAGGAGACGTAAGTACTCCACTTTCAACAATGGATAGAACAAGATTAATCCGGAATCAGAGGACTTGAACAAGACTGTGGACCAATTGAACCTAACAGATATGTAGAGAATACTCTACCCAACAACAGCAGAATATATATTCTTCTCAAGTGCACATGAAATATTTTCCAGGATAGACTACATGTTAGGCCAAAAACATACCTTAAATTTAAGAAGGTTGAAATAATACAAGGTATCTTTTCTGATCATAATGGTATGAAGCTAAAGAGCAATAGCAGAAGGAGAACTGTAAAATCCACAAATGTGTAGAAATTAAACAAAACTTTCTCTGTTTTTGAGATGGAGTCTCGCTCTGTCACCCAGGCTGGAGTGCAGTGGCATGATCTCAGCTCACTGCACCCTGCACCTTCTGGGTTCAAGTGATTCTCCTGCCTCAGCCTCCTGAGTAGCTGGGATTACAGGCGCGAGCCACCATGCCTGGCTAATTTTTTGTATTTTTGGAGAGACAAGGTTTCGCCATGTTGACCAGGCTGGTCTCAAACTCCTGACCTCAAGTGATTCACTCGCCTTGGCCTCTTAAAGTGCTGGGATTACAGGTGTAAGCCACCATGCCCAGCTAAACCAAACACTCTTAAACAACCAATGGGTTAAAGATGTCACAAAGAAAATTAGAAAATACCTTGAGACAAATGAAAATGAAAACATAACATACCTGAATTTATGGGCTGCAAGCATAAGCAGTTGTAAGAGGGAAGTTTATGTACTGTACACTTGAAAATTTGTTAAGAAAGTAGATCTCATGTTTTTTTACCACAATAAAAAAGGTAAAAATTTTCTGATAAAATTAAATATCTGTTCATGATAAAAATTATCTTAGCAAACTAGGACTAGCAGGGAACTTTCTTATTCTGTTAAAAGGTGTCTACCAAAAACCTGAAACAGTTCTGTTAAAAGGTGTCTACCAAAAACCTGAACTAGCCATCATACTTAAAGAAGTTAGATGCATTCTTTTTGAAATCAGGAAGAATACTTCTATGCCTGCTATCATTGTTTGTCTTTGATGTTGTACTTGAGTACCTAACCAGCACATTAATATAAGAGACAGAAGTGAAAGTTAAATATATTAGAAATGAAGAAACAAAACCATCATTAGTTCCCATGCATTATGCTTGTCTCCACAGAATCTGAAGACAAATTACTATAATTAGTAAGAGATTTCAGCAAGATTGCTGGATCAGTAATATACAAAGATAATAGGACTCATATTCACCAGCAATCAACAGAATATGCAATTTAAAAGAAAAATATTGTTTAAATAATAGCAGGTATTGTGTGGTATCTAGGAAGGGAAGTTGTATTACAATTTCAGGGATTGTTAAAATGTGAAATAGTGTCTTTAAATTGCTATATGGTTGAGGAGTCTATATGTGTATATATTCTAAAAGTATAAAGAAAGGTAAGGGAAAAATAAACAACAAAGTTATTCAGGATAGTGATTATTTCTGGTGGATCAGGAGAGACGTTCATAGCTTCAACTGTATTGGTAATATATTGTCTTAGTTGACTGGTTAACACATGGGCATTCATTGTATTTTTCTTTATATACCTATGGTATATTGAAATATTTCATTAAAAATGAAGAAGGAAATCTACTGATGTCATTAGCCCAGAGAAAGAATGCTGGAGGTGGAACAAATCTTTGCAGCAAGATCTTAAGTTTGGGGGAGTTATCTGCTATATGGGCAAAGAGGAGTCAGAGAAGGAGATCCAAAAGAACTGTACAGAGAATGTGGAGGAAAAATTGAGTACTTTAATAAAGAAACAAGGGAGAGAAAGTTTTTAACAAGAAAAAGAGAAGCTTTGGTCAACAGTGTCAGATCCCATAGAGGAACTGATAATAGAAAACTGAGAAGAGACTGTTGGACTTTACTAAGAAGACTGTATTAACAAGACTGTCTTGATAGCAAGTGATAGAAACAGACTTCAAACTAACATAAGAAAAAAAACACAAAATCAAAGGATGAACTGTAGATCATAGACTTGGTAAAGGTACAGAAAATTGCAGACAGACACTCTAATGTTTTTAACGCTTCTTTCTCACATCTCTTCATTCCAGACCAGACCAGCTTTCTCCATGCAGCTCTGGCCATGCGTATTGGCCATGTGGTAAGCCTACATTCTTATAGCTCTACCTCAGAGAAGGAAAGAACTTCTCTGCTTAAATTTGGGGAGCCACAGGAATACAAATACTTTGTCTGTATGTCATTTTGAGTTAGGATTTAGGTTATTTCATTATATGTTAATTGTCACCTACATGAGTAATTGACAGGAATTTCAGAGTCATGAGGGTACAGAGTAGTTTCTATTGGGCAGGACTGATTTATACATTGCAGTACTTATGTATTCTTTGCTGTCACCCACTTCAGTTGCCAATCATTGTGGCACTCAAAAGTGCCCCAACAAATTTCCAAAATACACACACATCTGGGTAGTATGTACTATTTGAGAACTACTGATTTAGAAGAAAAGCAGATCAACTGGCTTGATTAATAAAAATGGAAGAACACCTAGACTTACCCTCTTACTAAAGATCTACATGAATCATTGTCCTTGATGTAGCATAACTGCCTGAGAGTCAGGTATTTATTTGACTTTATTTATTGAGTGACCTACTTTGTTAGGTCAAGCCTTTTTACTTGAAAGAATATGATAAACAGAAAACAATTCTGAATAGAAAATGAAGGGAAGGCTGATGGTAGAAGTTCCTATGTGGAATTTTGTGTGTTGGAAAAAATAGCTTTTCAGTGAAATCTATGAGAAATACCTTGAATAATATAGTATAGGTCAAAACTTTGCAAATCTCTTTTTTCTATATAAAGGAAATTTCTACTCTATGCTATGAAAGACTTTTTTTGGTAATTTTTACATATGTTGGTCCTTAGTTTTTTAAAATCCCATTTTAAATGGTATCAGTAACTTTTTATTTTATCAAATCCAAAGATTTTTAAAAGTCCTTTCTAAAAATGTCCATTTTTCACTATCTTGAACCTTATGAAATTTATACAGGGAATAGAAAAAAACATTATTGCTTCTCTTGAGAATTTTTATAGGGTATATTTATAAATGATCAACATGATATGAATACTTAGTACTGCTGCTGTTAAATTTGTAATGAGTTGTAGGGTTTTGAAATTCCCTGACTGGCTTTCATCCAAGCACTTTATTTGCAAGACTTAGATACGGTACAACCAACGAGAGACATACAGTTAACTATTGACCCTGTGGGGAAAAGCAAGAGAGATCAGATTGTTACAGTGTCTGTGTAGAAAGAAGTAGACATAGGAGACTCCATTTTGTTCTGTACTAAGAAAAATTCTTCTGCCTTGAGATTCTGTTAATCTATAACCTTACCCCCAACCCCGTGCTCTCTGAAACATGTGCTGTGTCAACTCAGAGTTAAATGGATTAAGTGCGGTGCAAGATGTGCTTTGTTAAACAGATGCTTGAAGGCAGCATGCTCCTTGAGAGTCATCACCACTCCCTAATCTCAAGTACCCAGGGACACAAAAACTGCGGAAGGCCTCAGGGACCTCTGCCTAGGAAAGCCAGGTATTGTCCAAGGTTTCTCCCCATGTGATAGTCTGAAATATGGCCTCGTGGGAAGGGAAAGACCTGACCATCCCCCAGCCCGACACCCGTAAAGGGTCTGTGCTGAGGAGGATTAGTAAAAGAGGAAGGAACGCCTCTTGCAGTTGAGACAAGAGGAAGGCATCTGTCTCCTGCCTGTCCCTGGGCAATGGAATGTCCCGGTATAAAACCCGATTGTATGCTCCATCTACTGAGATAGGGAAAAACCGCCTTAGGGCTGGAGGTGGGACCTGCGGGCAGCAATACTGCTTTGTAAAGCATTGAGCTGTTTATGTGTATGCATATCTAAAAGCACAGCACTTAATCCTTTACATTGTCTATGATGCAAAGACCTTTGTTCACGTGTTTGTCTGCTGACCCTCTCCCCACAATTGTCTTGTGACCCTGACACATCCCCCTCTTCGAGAAACACCCACGAATGATGAATAAATACTAAGGGAACTCAGAGGCTGGCGGGATCCTCCATATGCTGAACGCTGGTTCCCCGGGTCCCCTTACTTCTTTCTCTGTACTTTGTCTCTGTGTCTTTTTCTTTCCTAAGTCTCTCGTTCCACCTTACGAGAAACACCCACAGGTGTGGAGGGGCAACCCACCCCTACAGACCCTATCATGAAAATATTTCCGTTTTTAAGTATTAAGATGTAATTCATATTTAGGATATATTTAAGAAACATATGTCTTTCGCTAGCTTGAATATATGAATTTGGAGCTGCAAATGATGATCTTTAGCCTTTGACTCTATAACCCCCAAAGTTGGTAATATTTAATTTAGATTAATGTGATAATGTAGTCTTCCTAAGAACTGATTCAAATGTAATTTAATGTTTATATTCATACTTTTCAGAGGCTTACTGAGAAATTCTTTATCTTATAAAATTTAAATTTCAGAAATATATCATGGTCTATTATAAATTTTTAGAAGTCAAAAATTATTCTAAGGAATACTGATGCCTCTCTTTTGAAGCTTATGTAGGAATTAAGTATTATGAGCAATTTAATACTATATATGGATATTGATTTCCTCTGGCTAGTCCACAAAGGCCTTTTAGAGCAATAAAATACCATAAAATAAGAAGTAATACTATTGTAATAGCACACCACAAGGACAAGAAAACAGTCAAATAAAAGTATTGAAATCTGATTTCTAGGAAAACCAAGTTTAATCAGAGATGAATCAGCAGTCTTCATGAGACTTCTGCAGATATTTCATAGTCTGTTTCTGATAACTCAGTCATTATAATTGTACTTTAAAAGTTATGGCCTCTTTTCATGTGTATGTCTTTAAAATTTATGAATGCGGTATTTCACATAGACTGCAGTCAAAGAATCTCTCATCCGCATTTACTCTGAGAGAAATTGCCTGGTGGGCAACTCACTGCCATCAGGGTCCCAGAGCTTCTCCCGCTGCGGTGTCAGCTACAGGAACCTTATCCCAGCTCAAAACTAGATGCTATCACATATCCTGTTGCCTGTCTGCACTCCCATAGGAAAGTAGTAATTAAGTTCCAACAGAGCCATGTTGCCAAGCCTAAAGACAATCCTGGTGCCATAAAACTGGCAGATACATTCAGCCAGCTCACGAATACACTTTGGGGCCCTCCCCATAGTTGAGGTTGCAGAGGTTTCCTGTGTTGAGAAAAAAGTGTTTGGAAAAGTTCTCCCAAACTGCCCTGGCTTGGCTTTAAACGTGTTGGCGTACACAGTTGCGGTCCGCTGGCCCAGCGTGCTTCTCCACCTAGGTGGTCGCCTGCACTCTGCTCCGGTGCTGTGCATGCTGAATCCTTGGACACTTGTTGGTCCCCCAAGGTGAAACTATCAGCAGGACTCACAGTTTATCACCATGGGTGCCAACATCCCACCTCAGAGAATTGCTGAAAAAACTGAATCAAATATGAGTGGTTTATTCAACTGAAGTTCAAAATCTTTGATGAAGCTTATATCCCTTGTAGTGTAGCCTGTCAGTTCCTGGTTAACTTTCAGCAAAACACATTTTCTTGGTAAGATGGAAGAATTCTGAAAATCGATGACCATGGCATGTGAAAGACATGATTTAAGTGAATGTCTGCCTTACTTTCAAACAGCAAATGATGCTGTCCTTAAGTGACAGCCCAGGTCTCGCCACATGCCTTTCCAATTGTTGGTGTGGCTGGTCTTTCATATGGGAAGACTGTACTTGGCTGATCATCTTCTGTTCATTTCCGGAAGTGAGCTCCAAGGGAACTGTTCAGTAACTTCATGTAAGTTTACAGATAAATTCCTTTTGAAGTTTCCGGGCCATGGTTTGAAGAAAGGCCATGGGAAGCGTCTTTTGTTCCATGGGAAAAATGAAAAGTCGCCTTTTCTGCATAACCTAGAAGATCAGGGAGTTTGAGGCCAAGTACCGTACTCCCTTCATTGTTTCCAACCATGGTGTTTTAACTGCCCATTAATTTCCTTAATTCAGTTACTTCAAAGGTAACATCTAACCCATTTGGAAATGCATTGTCACCTTGACATGTATCACTCAAAAAATTCACTTGTCTAAAAAATTCCTGGATGAAGAAATTTTTCACGGGCTTCATGAGAATTCCACATTACCTCAATGAGATTTTTAGCCTTAAAAACATCTCCAGTTTTACAAACGGTGATATTATCTTTATTTAGTCCATCCAAGCCCATAAAAATGGGCATGTTGAACAGCCAGATCTTTGTTTTTAAGAATTTCCTGTTTAGCTTCACTTTCACCTTCAGCAAATTCAGTTTCATTTTCTGATGCTCCAAAGCCAGATCCTCTTGGTGGAAGAGGCTCCAAACTCTGCGTGTACAATGTCCTCAGGCTTCCTTCTCCTGCTGCCACCTCATAGAGCTCCCCAGGCCTGACCAAGCCTTGGTTATGAGGGCAGGAGGCTGCCGTTCTTTACTTAGATACAGATAATGCTGTTAACATCACCCTGAAACATCAAGTATTATTTTTGTTGATCTGGCATGTTTATTTTTTTTCTTGGTTCTTTGAGTGGACATTCACTTAAAACATCTTTAAATTGGGATGGATTCTTTTCTTCTTACTGCCACTCAACTCCAGTAACAAAAAAATATTGACAAAGAGGGTGAAGGAAGAATATAATTAAAGTGGTGAATAGTAAATAGGACATGTGAGGAATAGCTATTTCTATGTTGAATTAACTGAATTTAAGCAGGAGAAGGAGAGTGAAAAAGAGGAGTTCCGAAAGACATTGCACAGTTTCTCCTTTAGGACATCAAATAGCGCTACCATCCTCTTTCTTTCCTATTGAGGAAAGGAGTCAGAATGGGTATGCATTGCAACCTCATAGTCATTAGTAAGCATGTCATATGTAAGTCTCGTGTTTAGGAGGGCTATGACTGAACTCATAATATTACCATATAAACATTGAGAAATTATGTTGGTAGTGAGGATGATGAATTATTCTGGATATACTTTTGGTTCCCATTATCTGTCCCAGTATTTAGTACCTGGTATTTAGTTTTCAAGAGAGCTTTTCTTCTACCATTAGGTATATCTCCCAGTGCTATCCCTCCCTCCTCCCCCCACCCCACAACAGTCCCCAGAGTGTGATGTTCCCCTTTCTGTGTCCATGTGATCTCATTGTTCAATTCCCACCTATGAGTGAGAACATGCGGTGTTTGGTTTTTTGTTCTTGCGATAGTTTACTGAGAATTAGTGGGTGCAGCGCACCAGCGTGGCACATGTATACATATGTAACTAACCTGCACAATGTGCACATGTACCCTAAAACTTAAAGTATAATAATAAAAGAAAAAAAAAAAGAGAGAGCTTTTCTTCTCGTAACTTAAACAGAAGATTTGAAATAACAACAAACCAACAGTCAAACTCTTTTTTCTGTGAATAGACAAATGTTTATTTTTCCCGTGAATACTTGAAAGTCAATTGTATTAGTTGACTTTCTAAATTTCACATATAACGTGTTTTTACTATCCATTATTTTCCCCATACTTGTGGGAACAGAAGTTTAAGTGATGTGGTTCAACAAATCCAATTAAAATGCGTTCATTTAGTTATTCAGATTATTTTGAAAGACACTACCTTGCTAATATCACATAGGTTAAAATTTGCTATAAAGGCATATAATGTTAAAACTATTCATATAAATTAAAAGTACTTGTTAAATGTTTTGAGTATTTTTGGTCTTTCAGAATTAAAAGTATTAGTAAACTGTTTTGAATAATTTGACACTTGAAATAATAGTGTTGATTTTCATTTTGAGAAATATTTAAACACAGTTACAAAATATTTAATTGGACATTAGCTAGAACTTGTGTTACAAAGTATAAGGGCATTGAATTAATTTAACTCCTTGTAAATGTTATTGAGAGTAGCGTATCTCTTATCCATATGCAGATATCCATATTTCTCTGATAGAACCTAATTTGAACACATCAAGACAGATTGGCATTTTCAGACCCATAAAAAAACTGCTTTGTTAATTGTAAACCATATTTAGTATGACCTTATAACAAAGTAGCACCTTAAGTGTCATGCTGTGTCTTTAATGTGCACACTGGAGCTGGGTTCATCTGTAGCAGACAACTACACTTCATGAAAAGAGTTTTTTTTTCTTGATAGGCAATTAGCAGTAATTAGGAAGATTCACCTCAATAAGATGTCAACATGAGATTGTTTAAAAAAGTTGAATGTCAGTGACTTAAAAAAGAAAGTTCCTCTGACACCTATGTATGGCATGTGAAACATGAAATGTTAATTTAACTTTTCTGCTTATTATTCATGCACAATATTATTTTGTCATTCAGACTCTGCACTGACAGAGTGTAAGGGTGTTAAAATAGTGTTGCTGGAATAAAAAGAGGATTAATCTACCATTGGCCAATTAGCCAAAAGGTACTTAATGGTCTCTAAAGGCTACTGAAGTCTAACTACTAGCAAAAGCATTGGTGAAAAGTCCTCTATATTACCTTCATTTGCTTGACATTTTGTGAAACATAGTGTAGCCCTTTCATAACTGCAGTTGTCAGAAAATAGTATATAAATGAGTGATGCAGTAACTCAGTGGATTTTTCAGAAGAAATTTTGTTACATAAATAATTACATCTCTGCCTAAGGGTTTTTTTTGGTTATTGGTTTTTAATTTTTAATTCTTTCTCTTAGTGATCTCAAGTATTGTAACAAGAAAATTAATGTTTTAAATTTAAAAGTCTTACTTTTAAATTACTAAACTTGGAAGTTATTAATCTGAACTATTTACCTTTTTAAATAAGTTGTATGGAAAATATTTGTTAATGACATAGAAAATGATAGCATTGTCTTGATAACTCATACATTTGAATTGACTGTGAATTTAGTCCTATACCTGGACAGCATGCAGAATTTTATTTCTTTCAGTTTTATCCCCTTTAAAAGTATAATATTCTCAATAAAAGAACGTTGATTCTATTCACAGGAGGGAGAATATCATTAAGATTATGGTGACTTTCTAGGGAGTTCTTGCCTGTAGAATTTACATATATTCTGTTCAATTAGAATTTTCTCTCCAGTCTCATTTATTTACATTCTGGTAACAGAATTTATGTTGTAATTTTTTAGAAACACAATAATAAGATTTTAAAATTGCTGCCTGTACTTAATTATGAATCAGAATAATCAGATTATGAGAATGTAAATGAACTTATTTCTGTATTCAACATTAAATAGTCTTAAGTCAGTCCTAAGCAGAATTTAAGATGAGAGATTTTGGAGAAGTTATTGGAAACAGATCATTCTCGTTTAATGATTGCTTTTCTCTACTTGGATTGTCAAGCCCTTTGTCTTTCAAAATGAGAAAGAAAACTCGGAGAGTACATTATTGTTATAGATGGGAACTAAGCCTCACTTTTTACTCTGGTTACTGATTGGCCTTTTTCAATATTGAGCGTCTCACCGTTGCTCCAGCATGGACTGCAAAGTGTTCTTTGGCCACCAGCTGTTTCCTCCATGGGCCTCCAAGAAACCCTGATCCAGTGTCTCTGGCATTCCACCTCATGTTTGGCTGGATTTACTAGAATTTTGTGTCTTTATGTTTCAGACTCCACTATCCCAACTAAGAATATTTCCAAATTTTTTAAATGGTTCATTACTTTAAATTTTTAATCCAGTGGTAAAAAACAAATGGGAAAGACTGAACTGTGTCTTTGAATGCTGTAGGATGGATATTGTCCAGAAAAAAGCTGTAGGTCAGAATCACTTTCATTTTAGAAGTAAAGAGCTATACCCGATCCCATTCATTTCCCTTGGAGCACTGCTTGTAAACTAGTTGGATACCCAACAGCATTTTCTTTACATGTGCTACAACTAGCAACATGTTCGTTGAATAGGCAGATATTGAATATTTTATTCTTTAGAGACATCAAGATCAGAGAGTATCTAAAAATATATTGTTTTGGGAGTAATTAGGGAAATGATTTTCTCAGCTTTTTTTCTACGCCCTTTATTTCTCATTATTGGGCCTGAAGAATATTTTCCAAGGGCCTTGTTTTATTTTTTCTGGTAGTTCATTCCTAAACATTAAAATGTTTACCAGGTCTCCCTGATGGAGAAGGGATGCCTGATGTCCTCAGACTGCCCCCAGTTTACTGACCAGTGACTTGGCAACTACCTTCTCTTGACTAAAAGTTGGAAAGCAGAGTGGTCATAGATCTAAGCTAGGACATTCAATGCTGTACTTAGCTTCTAGATCACATTTTACAGAACAAATCAGGGGAATACGGGGAGGGAAACAAGCTCTAGCCAGCATTTACCAGACAGGAATTGAAGGTAGCAGCAGTTCCCTCAGCTTCCTGTTTTGTTTCTTCATAGCACTTACTATAGTTTATTGTTACATATTTCTGGATTATAGACCAGTAGCTACCTAAAGGCAAGGATTATTTATAACCTTTTTCTTACTGAAAACAGAGAACTAGTATAGTGCCAACTACATAGTGTGTGTAAAAAGAATAAATGATAGATATTGAATCGGGTTCTGAATCTAGGTACTGCATATCTAAATCTCCCAGCAAATGTCAAGTTGGGGCCACGAAAAAAAGCAGTTTGTGAATGAAATCCCATATAAGAAAACAAGGGAAAATAGGCCAGGGGTGACTAATTTACCCTATTCATGGGATCCTACAGTTGCAGCTGAGAGCAGCAAACAAAAGCTTCTGGTCAGAGGCTTTTTGCTTGTCAGTTAAACTACAAAATGCAGATCTGGTAGAGGCAATTTATATTTCTAGCATAGAAAATGGAACATACAAATAAATTGAAAAAGAACAAAAAAAATTAAAAAGAAAATGGGGGTCAAGCACAGTCGCTCATGACTATAATCCAAGCATTTTGGGAGGCCGAGGCGGGAGGATTGCTTGAGGCCAGGAGTTCGAGACCAGGCTGGGCAACACAGCAAGATCCCATATCTACAAAAAGAATTAAAAATTGGCTGGGTATGATGGTGCATACCTGTAGTCCCTGCTGCTCAGGAGGCTGAGGCAGGAGGATCCCTTGAGCCCAGGAGTTTGAGGCTGTAATGGGCTATGATTGAGCCACTGCACTCCAGCCTGGGCAATAGAGCAAGACCTCATCTGAAAAGAAAATGGGACAGTTTGTAAAGCAATTGAATAAATAAAATGAATACAAAATTATGGATAAAGAAAACAAAATTAATCCAGAGTGAGAATATTATATAAACTCTACGCACTGTGGGGTTTGGGATACTTTCTTGAGATGGGACAGAGTGGTAGTAAGAGAACAAGAATAAGTTCTAGAAAGGTGTTGATTAAAAAAAATCAGGACCCATATTAATTTTCTGTGCTACAAAACAAATTACCACAAATTTAGCAGCTGAGAAACAACATATGCATTCGTTACCTCACAGTGTCATTGGGTCAGGAGTCTGATACAGCCTAGTGGGGTGCTCTGCTCAGAATGTGGCAAGGTTGCAATCAGTGTGTCAGCCAGGCTGCCTTTTTTGAAAAATTCAGTTACTTGTGGGTATAGGACTGAGGTCCGTGGCTTGCTGGCTAAGAGCCAAGGATCATTCTCAACTCATTGAGGCCTCCCTTAGGTCTTGACTTGTAGCTCGTCTCATAACATGGCAACTTACTTCTTTAAAACCAACGGGGGAATCTCCCTGATCTCAGAGAATGCCTCTGGCCTTCTTTGAAAGGGCTCATCTGATTAGGTCAGGACCAGAGAAGAAAAGCTTGCTTTTGATTAGCTCTCAGAAACTTGATTAGGGACGCTGACCCTAATTACATCTACAGAATCCTCTTTGCATATAACGTAATGTAATCATGGGAATGATAGCATATCGTATTTCTGGGTCCCATACAAGGGGAGGGTATTGTACCAGAGCATGAGTCATCTGAGAATTGTGTCTACCACAGGATATTATACTGAAGAGTAAGTTTTTCAGTACATTCTTATTTCTTCTTACAGTCGCTTAGAGAGTTCTTTCCTTTTCAGGGATTTATGCTTCCTCAATGTTAAATTTAAATAAATTATTAATAGATAGTGTCTAGTTTAAAAATTTTATAGTGTTAAGTTCTATTTTATAACCTTTGGTTAGAAATAATTGACTACACATAAATCAATACAAATCTCAGTACTTATTGAAGTCAACTTTTAAATTGAAATAGATGTTTAGGAGACTGTAGACGGATTGCACTGCTGCGGATATAGAGTCAGAGGAGCATATCTGCCTTCAATACCTGTGTAGTAGTGTAGGAGGGATCCTAGATTGATTCTAGTCAAACAAGTAACTATGACTTAAGACGAGCTAAAGTTTTCTGTCATGGGAGAAATTACCAGGTTATTATGTATATACGTGTTAAAGTTTTATTAATCTAGCTCCTCAGCCTTTAACACGCTTCTCAGACACTATGTAGTAGCCTTTACCACAAGATAACAATGCTGACAATAATGCTGCACGTTGAACATCTACTACGTGCAATCACAGACGTTTTAAGATTCTGTCCTCGAGATCACCTTTGTTAGGTAGACAAGCACCATCTCTTTTTAAATGAGGAAACAAAGCCATGTGTTTATGTAAGCTCACTCAGCTGGTAAGCAGTAGACCCAGAGAATTCGAATCCGGAAATTATGACTCTTCCATGTGTGTTTTGTTTTCACTTGTTCTTAACGTGACTTAAATGCTTATAAATATTTGCTTGAAGATGGAAAGGTAATAGTAGAGAAATAGGAATCATGCTGCTAATAAACAAGAAAAATCACAATTTTAAGAGTAATCTTAATTTGTTGGTAGATTTTATAGCACAGTCTCTTTCTAACAAGGTCACCCACAAAAGTTGTCTCACAGCCTAGAGCACTTGTAAGCAAAAGAAAGTTATTTATACATTTTTTTCTCATCTATAGCTTTCTCAAGTAAGAAGTAGAATTTTTTAAACCGACAGAAGTTAGTAATAGAGCTCCAGTTATTTGTCCACAATGCTAAGGAGAACCAAAGGTTTCCAAACTGATGGAATGTGTGATTTGCATATTTCCTCTATTTCAACAGATGCTGCATAGCATTTCTATGCATATATACCTAACACTGGAAATATGTTTTCAAGATTGTAGATTTTAAATATTGTTTAATCAAAACATTATATTTTAATAAAGTACAAGTCATTTAGTTTACTGCCTCCATAATTTCAGTATTTCTTCATTTAATACATTTTTATATTGTTAAATTGAAGTTGAAAGTTACATATGCATGTCTTTTAGAAGAATGTATTTATTGACTTGGTCTTTCCTCAGTGGAGGTACATTTATAGTGTCAGGATCTGCCAGGTAGAAAGATTAGACAGAAATCTAGTGGCATACAAGTATAACAAATGAGAGAAGCCACCTAAGTATCCCAGTAAGAAGAAAAGAACAAAGAAGCCTTCAAGAAGGAGGAATACTAAGCTGCCCTTTAAAGATGAGACAGATTTCAGCAGAAAGAAACACCACGTGTAGAGTCATCCATGTAAAAATGGCAGGCAGGTTTGGGGAGTGGCAGGCAGGTTTGGGGAATGGCAGGCAGGTTTGGGGAATGGCAGGCAGGTTTGGGGAATGGCAGGCAGGTTTGGGGAGTGGCAGGCAGGTTTGGGGAATGGCAGGCAGGTTTGGCTTCATGTGATGCCTGACTGCAACACAAATTGAAGCCTAATCTTAGAGAGCCTTATTATCCACAAACATTTGAGCTTTATTCTGTTGGAATGAAGAACCTATGAAGGGCTTTGATTAAGGGAATAACTGGTCAGTGTAGTTTTAGGAAGTTGTATAAAAGGTGGAATGAAGGTAGGGAAAGGTTGACGGGAGAGAGAGGGTTGTTGTAATAATCTTAATGAGATAATGAGGGTTTGCATTAAGAGAGTGGCTGAAAGGAATGAAAATGAGAAACACTGTGTAATTTATAGAACCTGACGATTGGATGAATAAATAGAGAATGAACAAATAGGGAGGGAGATGGATTCAAGGTTGAATATTAGCCAGGAAGATTTCCAGGTTTAAGGAGATTAAGAGTTTACTTTTAGATATTAATTATTAGGCTCTTTTGGGGCAACTCATGAACAAATTTCATGGAACAAATTTCATAAACAATTTCCTAAAAATCTATAGAACCATACTTTTAGATTATAAAGCTAAAATATAGCCAAATAGTTTTTTTCACCACAGCATACTTTTTATGTTACCAAAACAGTTTGATCTCAAGTATATCAAGTTCTAGTTTTGAGTCCATGATCTGAAATATTCATATTTAATAATATGCACTTACATATACAAATACATATATAATTATGGTATAGTTTCTAGAAATTGTGTTTTAAATATAGTGTTAATACTTAAGTAACATGTTTCATGTTTATCTTACTGTACACTTTAGCTACATCTTTTGCTATTTCTAATTGGAATTTCAACAAAGAAAGATTTTTCCCCCTCTGAGAGATTTCAGTATCATTTTGTCTAATTGTACCTTATGTTAAGGTACCACATTATAAGCTTCTTTGGAATAATAAAATAGTAATGCAAACACCCTCTTAAGCAGCTCTGAGTTGTTATGCCATTATAGTTTGGTGACATTCTGCTCACTATAGATGGGTGAATGAGAAAGGCTAACGTTAAGATGGGTTTCTTTTATACTCCTTCATAAAAACATTACTATTATGTCATTTAGCAAAATGTTTATGCTATTAAAAATTCAAAATGTAAGGAGTTTAGTGCATTTCTACCTCAACATTAGAAACAGGACTTTTCAACAATCAATCAAGTGCATAAAACTGAGCGAGTTTGTTTGCACGCTATTTATTTGAACTAAATCTCTAACAAGCCTCGTCTGCTAATTGGACTTAACATTTATGTTGCTAAATGAGAAGCATTTTGGCTGCTATATAGGATGGTAAGACCTACCCAGTGGAATAAACAGCTAACATCTGTTATCTTGTCCTGCTCCAGCTTGGCTTTTCCCAGTTAAGTACTACATCAGCTCTGAAGTCAAGGTTATCAAATATGTGAATGTCTGGCTCACCCATGTATGTGTGAAGGTAAAGAAATAGTGCATCATGAGTCAGGACCAGCCAACCAAAAGATATTGAGTATAGCTGGTTCACTTTGTTTTACCTTTGCAAGCCATACTACTATAAGCAAAATCTAGTAGAGGTTAAGATTTTTGTAAAGTTTGTATAATAACTATAATTAATTTCAGTTCTCTTTAATATTTTCCTAGCTGTAGAATTTTATGCTGATAATTGTTAGATTAAATATAGTTACTTTTAAAATATATTTATATTTATTTTCTTTTTTTAAAAAAAAGAAGCTAAATTTGGATTTGGCTGGGCTTCGGAAAGAAAAAGAAGATTTACTAAAGAAATTGGAGTCCTCATCTGAAATCACAAGTTTGGCAGAAGAAAATTCCCAGGTAACATTTCCACGGATACAAGTTACATCACTTAGTCCTTCAAGGAGCATGGATTTGGAAATGAAGCAATTGCAGTATAAACTAAAGGTGATTATAAAATTTATTAAGCATGAAAACATACATTATGCTTGAATCCTGCAAGACATATTTATATGAACACTAATTTATTCTAATAAAGGTAAATTATGTTATAGATAATCCAAAAAATTATTAATATTGCCTTCATCATTAATTTTTAGCCTGGTAGATTCTTATCTGGTAATCAATACTACCATTCTCTGAAAAAGACAAGATACCATGAAATCCTAATTTAGGAGCTGATTTAAACTGGCCAATATCTGCTACTCTAATACTTCTTTCTGCCCCCATGCCTCCCTCCAGCTGAACAGAATCCTTTCAGGCATGTAATGCGTCAACATAAACAGAATTGCTTTTCTCTACATACTTCCAGCAAGTTAAACTTGAGAATGAAACCAACCCACTTTTGCTCTCTGCTTCTTCTCCCTCCCATTTATCTCCTCCTTCTCTGTCTCCAACCAACAACCAACTTAAAATAGTAGGAAGTATGTAGAGAAAAAGCAATGAGAGGAGAGAAAAAAAAAAAAAGAATCTAAGACCAAGCGAAACTGTCAGCAACTTAAAAGTAAGGCTGTCCTTAGTTTAAATAGAATTACTTTGTAAGAAATAGGATTTGTGAGTGATCCTCACACTTAATTGGAAAGTTCATTTTCATGCTTCTTAAGCCCATTTATTCCTCACATATTTAATTATTTTCTTCAGTGGGGATTGCTAGCTAGAAGCTAAAAAGAGCAGTATATATGGGACCATTGCTATAATGTGAGTCACTAGAAAGAAAATCCTGATTGTAAATGCACAGAGTACATTAGAAATGGAATAATCATCCCTGTTAGGAGGGTATTGGAATACTATGTTGAATTGTCAAATAGACTCATCATTGTTTTCGGTCCCAAATAGGATATGTGCACCCTTCAATAATACATCTTTTAGTGCAGATTTACTCATAGGATAAATAGGCTAAAATTTAAAATGAATGAGTTTATTATTGCTTGAAAATAATTTGCTTTATTAATAGTAACCAAATATACAAACTAGCATTGGGATTCTTCTTGAATACCATCTTCTTTAGTCAATTTATGTGTATAACTTGGGTCAGTCACAACATTTTATAATCTTAAATAACTTATAAAATATTAGAAATGTGAAGGAAGAAGTGTTGTGCAATTTCGGGGCATGAATCCTAAAATGTGTCTCTGAAAATGTGGGATAAAATGTGTAAACTGAACATTTCAGTGTTAAGGTTTCATATAGAGAAGATAAAATCATTGAGCTATTCCTTGATCTTATCTATCACATAGACTTTAATTCTTACTTCTGTGATTCTTCATATATTTAAGTCCTCATGATTCTGATATAACTTTGTTTTTCACCAAGATAAAATAGAGTGCTAGGTCCAGTATTGTCTAATCTGACTTCTAAAAGACATAAATAGTTTTAAGTTGATTTATACATAAATCATAATTTATAATTTTTACATAAACAGTTTTTAGTTGATTTATATTTTACTTATTTTACTTACTACAAATGGTCTAATAATTTTTGGTAATAATAGATCCATATGAGTGTCTGTAAGTTCTTTGCATTATGGTTTTCCATGGTATAAGTTTTTACCCCACATACAAATCTCTCTCTTGCTTTGGAGGAATGTGTGAGTCAGAAAGAGAACTAAAGCAATTAGTGTGAAGTGATTGTCCATAATCTAACATAGAGTCTTGGAACACTGACCAAACTGTATAGGGACAAAAAGGATAAGTTTTTACTTTTGTCTTGTTTCATGTTTTCACATAGAAATTTCCTAGAAGACCAAGTACCTTTAAGTACATAATATTGTCTACTACTAAAAATTTTTGTTTTGATGCTGGTTTGTAGAGATTCCGTAACAAAATACCACAGACTGGTTATCTTAAATAGCAAACGTATATATTATTCTCACAGTTCTGAAGGCTGGAAGTCTAAGATCAAGGTGTCAACAGTTTTCATTTCTTTTGAGGCCTCTCTCCTTGGTTTGTAGATGGCTGTCTTCTGCCTGTGTCTTTACATGGTCTTCCTTCTATGTGTCTGTGTCCTAATTTCCCTTTTTATAAAGGCACCACTCAGACTGAATTAGATTCCACCCTAATAACCTCATTTTACCTGAATTATCTGTTTAAAGGCCTTATCTCCAAATACAGTCACATTCTAAAGTACTGAGGGTTCGGTGAGAACTTCTACATACTAATTTGTTTAGGGGAAACAGAATTTAGCACATAACAGATATCAAACTGCTAATATAGTGATTTTCTAATAAGTAGCTTATTTTCTACTTAATGTTTTTAGACTTAATTGAGAAAATTGGCTAGATTCGAATATACTAAAAGTTTATATACATCTTTTCTATACTATCCAGTTAATATTAGACTTTTCTGTGTAATTTTACATATACTTTTCTGATGTCTCTGGTTCATTTACAGTTGAGAAAACTGAGACACAGAAAGAATAAGTTACTTGTCCGAGATCACACAAGTACTGTACATAGAGCCGAGATGAGAACTCAAACCATCTGGCTCCATAGTCCATGCTCCTAATTACTATACTATGCAAATTTTAAAAAAATATTCAATAAACTTAGTATAGGAAAGCTGTAACAGGGATGACTTTTTACCATTGTGACATTTTTGATGTGTGTGTTTCACATCATACATCAAAGGATGTATTACAAGGAAATTACCAGATTTTAAGTTATGTTACAGATATATATTGTATAGTAGGGAATGGAAAAGGGACAAAGGAGCTGGGTTTCGATCACTTTTTGGCCATTAACTTCTCGTCAACCTGGTCAAGGAAATTACTTAACTTCTCTAGAGGTCTAAAGCAGGGATACCTTTCTACCCATCTGATAAAAATTTTTGAGGATCAAATGAAATAGCTGTTAGATTTAGAGATCTTGGCCAAAGTGTATCTCAACCTGGCATTGTTTTATTTATTATAAATTGCTTTTCTCTCAATTCTCCAAGTCAGAGTTAACAGCATTTTCAGCCACATAATACAGCCTTAAGTCTAAAAACAGAAAAGAATCAACTAGTTATCTTAATATCTACTTAACTCATTGCATTGAAGATACTGTCAGGCTTTATTTACTGCCTGTATCTTTTATTTTAAATACAATTCTAAGTTTATTTTACTTCTCAGCAGAAAACACCTTCAGTGCAGCACACTAGAAGTATGCGTATTAAGGGGTAGGATGATTGTTTTTAGGCAGGAATAATGACACAGAAGCAAAAAATTACAAACAAAAGATTGACAGAGAAAAAAAGGCAATATGAAAATGTTAAGGTAAATACAAAATTAGAAAAGCACAGTCTGGGACCATTTAGAGGAGCGATAAGTAGACGTTTATATCACAGTAGTCCCTAAAGCCATCACTATATTATAGTATAGTGATAATATAATACATATTAGTATATCATATATAATTTATAGTGATAATATTTATGATATGATATCACTATATTAACATATCACTATTAGCTTAGCATAATCATGGGTGTCCGTATTTCTAACTGAATGAACAATCATCAGAGAAAGAATTGAAAATTAATGATTGAAGCAAACGCTTCAATTATTTGATAAATTGACTAGTGTGACTAGTGTGGAACATGTTATTCAGGCAGTGCTGGAAATAAGACACAATACATCACTGTAAACGTGCAAAATATGGTAGAAATTTTGATTACATTACACACACATTTGATCAAAACATAACATTCAAAAGAGTTACCATGTTGAGGTAGCTTTGGGTTTTTAAGAAAAATTAATGTTTCATGTAAAAATTAAAATTATTTCAAATGTTTTATTTGTATGTTATACCCATGAGATATTTAAAGTCAGTCTGATGAATTACATTTACCTTGGGTAATTAATAGTTTAATCTTTTCAAATTCAAATTATTTTTAGCATGAGTCAAACATCCAAACCTAGGAATAGTTCTAATAGAAAAAATTTATTGTAGTTTAGAAATATTAGCTAAATAACTACTCCAAATATTTTAAAAGCTATTATATTTTATTATATTTATATTCATTTAATACCTTTAAAACTTAACAAATGGATTAATGTGAGTATGTCAACACTATCTTGAGTGTGGAAAAACTAAATACCAAAAAGACTAAGTGATGTCTTAGATTACACATTTAGTTGGAACTAGAGTCAAAATTGAAAGGTGTTCTAACACTCTAGTTACCACCTCTGGTTCCTAGGCTCTACTGACAACAAATACCACAGAACAAACATGTTTTGCTTTGAAAAACTAATAATTATTTACAAATAATGTAATAAGTAGCATTATTAATAACTTCAAGTAAAGAAGGATTGAGTATTCATGAGGTTTTCTATCAGTTACCATTATTCTCTAACAAACTATCCCGAAACATCGTGGCTTAAAACAACAGTTTATTATTTCTTAAGATTTTGTGGGTTGACTGGGAAGTTCTTTTGCTGGTCTCTTCTGGGCTACCTCATATCCCTGGATTTTTTCAAACCAAAGATTTCCCTAGTTGGAAGATACAAAATAGCCTCACTCATAGATCGGACAATTGGTCTACTACCTGTCAGCTGGAGTACCTTGGTACACTTCCACATGATACATCAACTGTATTCCTAGCAAGGTGATCCTGGAGCAGCATTCCAAGAAGGGAAAGAGAGAAGCCACAAAGCTTTAAGGCCTGGGAACTGAAATTTACACAATTCATTTCTGCTGCATTCTTTTCGACAAAGCAAGTCACAAGCCAGACTACGTTCAGTGGGTTAGGAAATGGATTCCCCTGCTTGATGAGCAGCAAAGCATTTGTGACCATATTTCGTCTAAGATGTTAGTAAATCCAGTATTTGTTTTAAGTGATCTTCTTAAATCATTAAAATTCTTAATTATTCACATATTTACATTATACCAGGACAACTCATATTTCCTGTAAATGTATTTTGGATACATACTCTTTGCAATTCTTAAATGATTGTGTTCCTCTATAGTTTGGCATGTTATATAAAAGTTTTAGTATTATTATTTCTATTACAGCATATAAAATAAAGCATTTAAAATATTAAAATATTCATTTTAATTATTGTTTACCATAATTATTGTAGAGGTATTCTTCTTTAGAATGGCACTTATTTTTATGCTGCCTTAGACCAAGGTTGTAAGGTATATTTAAATTTATTTCTATTTTTAATCTAGAATGCTACTAATGAACTCACTAAACAGTCATCAAATGTGAAGACTTTGAAATTTGAACTCCTAGCAAAAGAAGAACACATAAAGGAAATGCATGAAAAGTATGGTTTTTGTATTTCTATCCATTGTATTTGGTGCCACCTAGTGGCAACCAGCTCTATTAAACGTGCTCCAAGAAACTGCTAATGTTTACGTTTTCCTTCCCTAGTTCATATTTAAACCTACCTAAGATGAAAGTTTAAGGAATACTATGTATAGCATGATTAATGGCAAGCTATTTACTTTTTTAAATTAGATAATGATGAAGTTAAATTTCCGTTATTAAACATATTTAATTTTGAATAAATACAAATTAATGGCTTCGAGACAATGAATGAAAAACTTTACAACGTGGTGGTTATTTGGCCCCCCAAATATATGATTAGTATTTGTATTGGATTTAATGCCTAAGCTTATAAAGCTAAGGTAAAAAAAGGAAAGTTTTGTTTGTGTTTAAAATAACTGGAGGTTATGGAAGTTTGTACTCTTGTGTTTATCAGTACAAAGATTTTAAATGCTCTATCCCACTGAATCAAAATTATTTTCTTTCTGTATCTTTCAAAGCTACACTATTGCTTAGAAATAGTAAGATGTTTAGATAGAATTCCAGTTGTCACTGATACATTTGAGATATATGTATCTCACAAACACACCTGTAGACCTCATTATAAGTGAAGAGCACTTAAAAGTGATATGAATAGATAAAAGCATTAGACAAAAAGCTTGGTTAATTTTTTAACTGATAATATTTTGAAGTTTATTTATCAATTAAGAGTAAGTCTTGCTTATTGTTTAACAGGGCTCTAGATTAACACTCTTTGAATCCTGGCTTCCCTACCTACTAGGCCTATGCCTAAATTTAATAATATTAAATTAGGTTCTTACGAGGAATAAATGAGTTAATACATGTAAAGCACTTATAACAGTGACTGGAACATTGTAAGCCTTCGATACATGTTAGCTATTGTCATTCTTGTTTTAGTAGTAGCAGCAGCAGCAGCAGCAGTAGCAGTGGTTCTCACAGCATCTACCATTTTATACTTAATAGTTCATCAACTTATGCTAAACAGCTGTGTGGATTGAATCTCAAATTATATTAAATTAGAAGATATTATGGCTAATTTAGTTTCATTACAAGAGTTTGCATTTGTTTATTGAAGTATAAGATTTTTTTCTTATCATTTTTATGCTTTTGATTATCTTCATATATCACTTTGATTTTTCACAGCAATGTAAAAATGTAATTTAAATGAAATAGTTCTAAGTTTTCATAAGTGTTATTAATTTTTCTCATTTCTTATATATTTTGTTTTAATACATATATGTAATTATATAATTACCAAGTCACAACTATAGATTTTACAAGTGTTCAAAATATTAAAAGAACAATATCTTATGCAGTGCAATTCATTTTACTGATTTACAGTGTCAATATCACGTAGCATTTAAAAAGTAACAGTAGGTATAATATTGGATAAAATGTAAGATATCACCACTGTTAAGGTATTTTCTGTCACTCTTGATGTCACCTTTTTTTTTTTCAAGGATATCTCGAATGGAGAGGGATATAACTATGAAAAGACATTTGATAGAGGACTTGAAATTTCGACAGAAAGTAAATTTGGAAAGTAACAAGAGTTTTAGTGAAATGTTACAAAATCTTGATAAAAAGGTATCAATTTTTATCTTTACTGACACTAAAAATATCACTTCCTGTTGTAATTACTCTCTTACCACAAACATTTAATCCTAATAAATGTATAGAAAATATTGATAGGATATGTATTTACTGTTACAAAGTAACACTCTTTGCTCTGAAAGTACATTATTTATTTTAAAATTCAATTCTCTAAAACCTCATACATAATATGGCCACACATTCTGTTTCTATTTATAAATATCCCATGAGAAGATTAAAAATCCTCAATATTTCTAGGATACATAATTACATTTTATTCAGTATTTTATTTAAAACTGTAATTTATGATAGAATCAAGCTTATATTTCTTAGTGAAAACTTGATTACCTATAACTATCAGAAGTTCTTTAAAAATGTACTTTCTTCTTGGATACCCTTAATGAATTTTACATGGGAATGGAGTTGTACATGCAAAGGGAGTTGTAGTTAAAGTAGTTACGTAATATATGACCCAAAGTAGAAGGGTTTTTTTTGTTTTTTTTTTTTTGAAGGTGCTTTTTTCACAACTCATAAAGCACCCTGTGCTTTGGCATTCACTAAATGTTATCCACACCTGAGAGAACATCTCCTTTACTTTCCTTGTTGAAAATGAAAATTTAAGTATCTCTTAGGTCAAATTGATTTAAGAAAGAAACTTTTACATGAGCATGACAAATCCATATGGATTTTCTTTCTCTTCTCTTCCACACATCTGTGCAAGTTAAAATCACTTCCTATAGGCTTTTTCAATGTTATCCTTTCAATTTTGCTATTTTTTAACTTCAATAATAATTTCATACATAGCCTTGGAATCTTTATATAAATAACATATATCTTTAGTGGCATTAAACTGAAAAACTATTTTTTCTGTTATGCTTTGAGTTACATACACATATTATAATCTTATAAATAAGCTATATATATATATAAAATATCCTATTGTTTTATTTCATCCAAAAAAAGGTATGTAATAGTTATTTTAGAGAATACAATGGAAAGTTACCTTTAACTTGGCTTGTTTCAGAGTCAAAACAATCATCTCCTGCCTTAGGAAGTTTAGATTAGTAATTAATGGATATGTAGTGAACATTAATATTGTGTTATTGGGTGCAAGAATAAACATACCAGTATTCATTTAGTTTGTGTGCAATTTTAGTTTTTGTTACTGATTTAAGG
Source organism: Homo sapiens (assembly GCF_000001405.40). NCBI lineage: Eukaryota > Metazoa > Chordata > Mammalia > Primates > Hominidae > Homo > Homo sapiens. The sequence continues at coordinate 17,465,806 of NC_000009.12, forward strand.
ATTGTTACTTTCATTCATAATATGAGTTCTGTAAGTATAATACTTGAATTTGATAGCGTTATGAGAAAATAAATGGAAGTAGACTCATTCACTCATTTAGTTTCTGTTGGAACAAACACAGTATATTACTAGAATGCCTTCAACAATAATAATTACCTTTATGCTTTTAATGTAGGTAAAGACATTAACTGAAGAATGTTCCAACAAGAAGGTATCAATTGATTCACTAAAGCAAAGACTTAACGTTGCTGTAAAAGAAAAGTCACAGTATGAACAGATGTATCAGAAATCTAAAGAGGAGTTAGAAAAAAAGGTATGCTTTTAAAAAGGGCATTTTAGATTACAGATGGAATATAATCGTGTTTGTTTCATTTTTAACATTGTTGCTTTTTCCTTCCCAAAACCACAAGCTACTTAAACACTTCAGATAAGTGCAAAGAGGATTTGTATCTCTACATGAAACGCCAAACATTGGTTTAACATTAAAGATATTTCTGTATTAGAGAAAACAGGTTGTGTTTGTCTTGATAGTTTTTAAGAAATGAAAACTATTATTGAACACTGGTATTTATACAAGTAGATCTAAATTTTGTAGGCCCACTTAAACTTTCAAACTAAATGTTTCCATGTTATGTGGAGGATCTTTTGGTCTAAAATAGCTTCCATGCTTTTAATTATTTGTAATCTTTAAAAATCATAAACTAATTTAGATGATAAGTATATGAGAATATGTACTTAGGATGTTTTATTGAAAGTTAATGAAAATAATCATTAATTTTACCCAAATAATAAATACATAGAGAGAATAATAAAATATTTTCCTTATTTGACATGTATAACTAACTCTTCCAAATCTGTTTATAAAATATCTTTTATTTTATGACTGCTGATCTTTTGCAGGATCTCAAGCTTACTCTCCTAGTATCAAGAATAAGTGAGACTGAATCTGCAATGGCAGAAATTGAAACAGCAGCATCTAAGCAGCTTCAAGAATTAGCATTGCAAAGTGAACAGGTCCTAGAAGGTGCACAGAAGACATTGCTGTTAGCCAATGAAAAAGTAGAAGAGTTCACCACATTTGTGAAGGTTTGAATTACTTGTCGTTTACTAACTTGTACTTTACTTTAGGCAGATAGGCAGTAGCCTACTTGAGATGATTTGGGGAATAAAGTTTCTTTCTGCTTTCCTAACACAGAAAGCATCTTCTTCTACCCTATTTATCACATTGCTAATAATTCCTCCATAAAGAATTTATTTTTATAGTTTGAATTTAAAATTTTCTACCATCTTATTAATATTTCTTTCTTAATGTCAATTTAGTTATGAAATTGTAGTAGTCAAGTCATCTGGACAGGTTTTAAGTTGAAAGAATTAAGCTGTTCCCACCCTACTCTCCTTTTGAAAATCGTTCAAGCAGGAACAACCAGAAACTTGCTCAGTGTTCAGTGATGCTAAGAGACATCTGAATCCCAGGCCACAAACTATCAAGACATGGAATAGACAGAGGAATGGCACATGACAAACAGAACAAAGAGAAGACAAACTCAAGTATCTGCAGAGGTGTACCATCTAGAAATTATCTAAAAGCTGAAGAGCCCTAGAAAGCCTTCATTCCCCTAGACATAGAAGTTAATAACATTTTATGCCACTATTGAGTACTCCACGAAGAGGAAATTCCTTACTTTGCTTCTTTGGAAATCATAGATACCTTGGGAGTTTTCTCATTTTAAAAATATCTGCAAAATGAATTGATAAAACATTTTATCTCCTTTATCTCTTTTAATGAATATTTCAACTGGTGTGAAGTCAAGCCAATAATGCCTGCCTCTGAGGATCCTAAATGATTGCAAAGTATTAATTTTAGTAAATGTAATTTACCTTTTCCAGATTCAAAACACTATTTTTTGTAAATGCTTGTTGAATAGTTTCACTGTTTAACTTATAGTGAACACTTTCATTAAATATTGTGACTTATACCCTGCTGGTGGGAATGTAAATTAGTTCAGCCACTGTGGAAAGCAGTTTGGAAATTCTCAAAAAGTGAAAAACAGAACTACCATTTGACCCAGCAATCCCATTATTGGGTACATAACCAAAATAATATAAATCCTTCTACCATAAAGACACATGCATGCGTATGTTCATTGCGGCACTGTTAACAATAGCAAAGATATGGAAGCAACCTAAATGCCCATAAACAATAGACTGGATTAAGAAATTGTAGTACATACACACCATAGGATACTACACAGCCATAGAAAAGAATGAGATCAAGTCCTTTGCAGCAACTTGAATGGAGCTGGAGGCCATTATCCTAAGTGAACTAACACACAAAGGAAAAACCAACACCACATGTTCTCACTTATAAGTGGAACCTAAACATTGAGTACACATGGACACAAAGAAGGCAACAATAGACATCGGGGCCTACTTGAGGGTGAGGGTGGGAGGAGGATGAGAACTGAAAAACTACCTATTGGGTACTATGTTTATTACCTGGGTGATGAAATAGTATGTACATGAAACCCCTGCAACACAAAATTTATCTACAGAACCAACCTGCACATGTATCCCTGAAACTAAAATTAAAGTTATATATATATATAGTCATTATTTTACTCATGATGTAGAACCATTTTTATTATGAGTATTACCTTCATAAATCTTGGTTTTTGTTTTATATTCAACTTAGCATTTTGTTTGTGGAGCTTTTGGCTAAGATATAAAATATGAAATATATAATTATGAGATTTATTCAAAATGCTAATCATTGTTTTTCCTTGAAACATTCTTTGAATGTGGCACTTTAAAAAAGAAGGATGAATGAGAATCAGAAGTTTTCAAAATAGAAAAATTAATTTCATGACTGTATATCTGATTATCATATACTTGAAGTTTCATGACTTCCATGATAAGGTAATGGGTATATTTCTCCATACAAAGTAGTTCAGCAAAAATTATCTTTAAGAAACTTTTTCTTTATATCCAATGATATAAATAGTATTTAATGATGAAGTGGGTATCTAAACTCTAATTATTCAAGGGTAATGTTAGTCCTTCATATTGTTCAGCAACAGTGATATTGAGTAGATGTCTTAATAGATGAATTCAGGATTGCTGTGTTTTCACGACTTTTTAATTTGAATAATGTTTCAAAGATTATATAATAGGGAAAGATGATAAATATGGACAGGCTGTCTTCGGTACTCTTTCAGAATTTTTACACTTTGTTTCAGGTTTAAATTACCTTCATCAGAATCCTGTTTCTACTGCATTTAAATATAATACACAATATTGGGCCCCAAATCTATTGAATCAAAATCCTGTCTGGAGTGGAGCCTAATCTGCATTTTACAAGTTAACGAAGTGATTATTATACATAATAAAGTTTTAGAAGCACTTCCTTACATTGTTTTTAAGAATTGAATTCAAATAACAATACATATCAGTTTGACATTTAGTAAGACCATTTATAACTCATGACTTCCAATGGCAATTTGACATTTGTTTTTCTTAACCGTGTCTTAGTGCCAACATATAGTTGCTATTGGTACCATGTCTGCTGTATAACCTATTTTTCAAATATAGGGCCACCAGCAAATTAATAGCCAAAACCATATATTGATGGCAGAGACTGGATATTTGGGTCTTAAGAAAGGCATGATTATCATCTTTCTTGTCCTTGCACATATGGCCCTAGGTCTAGGCAGAAATGCTTAGGACCCACCATCTGAAGCAGCATATCATCAATGACTCCTTAACTACTACCACATTAGGTGCGTTAGATCAATGCTTCCTCCTTTTTAAATACTTAAGACCTTCCATAGCTGGGTGTTATTCTGCTGAAGTCTAATCTTCTTTCCCACTACTCTTTCACCCATATTGTGCTTACTCCTGCCTTTGCTCAAGTTTTCTTTTCACCCAAAATGCCTTCCCCTCTTTGTTCTCTCCTTCAGATTTAACTCTGGGCCTTTCTCTGTCATGAATCTGTCCTTTAACTCTGTAGTTAAGAGGATAGAGCTCAACTCTGCCATTTACTGGCTCTCTGACTTCAGGATCGTGACTGATTCCTTGTGCCTCAGTTTCCTTATCTGTAGAATGAGTTTAATAATGGAACATAAGCGAAGTGAGAATTTAAGTAAGTTACAATAGCTAAAGATCAGAACAGTGGCTAATTGCTATCTCAATATCAACTATTATTATCAGTAGTAGTAATAGCAGTAGTAGTATGGCTCTGACTCGTCTCCTGAACATTTATTATATGTACATTAACACAGTTGTAAACTTGTATTTTTCTTTCTGTTTCAAGTAGATTAAAGCCAACTTGAGGAAAGGAACGTTGTCATTTGTTGTCTTCAGGGTATTGTTACATAACAGGGCTCAGTAAATTCTTGAGGAATTGATTTACGTCTGCTTCAAGAATAGTACTGGACTTATAGTCACTGCTCAAATGGAAAACTCTGTGAACAGTGAGAACTATGTGCATTCCTTAATGAGCGTAGTTAAGGAATGCACATGGTACCTACATGGAACATTATGATCACCAGGACTCATTCTATGCAGAGCTTATTAGGGTATCATGTACACAAAAGTACTTAATAAATATTATTAGTAGTATTAATAGTAATAATGTTTGTTCTGGCCCTGTTGTGGAATCTATGTTCCCTTTAGTCTTTTCATTTATTCATAGGGCGCAACCAGATTATGGTAGAGGTGGAGTGGCCATCTGTTCTAGATCTAGTCTTGAATATGGAATTTGGCCCTGGGGTGAAATCAAGTACTTTGAGCATCTGGGCTGGATATATGTGGCAGAGCTGAGGCTTTGAATTCTCCTAATAACTGAATAAAACACACAAGGGAAATTTCTAGAAGTATTTGCTCAGTTTGACTCAGCCCTGATACAGGCTTGTTAATGTGCCTGTATGTGAGAGTCATTTGCCAAGCTCCATCTTTTCAGTGGATTTTGTTAGCTATGAAATAAATACCAGCCAAAAAAACAGTATTTAGCTGGAAGCATAAATGGTTTCATTATCAATATGTACTTGCTTTGGTAAGATTTAGTAAGATGCTTTTGGTATATAAATTTCTTGCTTCTTTAGTGAATACATTTGTGGAGCATTAGAATTTTAATTTTACACATACAATTGTTAATACCTTGGCACTGTTAATTAAGATTTATAAACAGGTCTATGATACAATTCAAGTTGAATTAACTCTTTTCACCCTGTCATTATACTGAAAAAGGAAATGACAGCTGTGTTTAGAGAAAAGTTTCATAATAAAAATACATTTCCTTATTTGGAAAACTTTATGTAAATTATATCTCAATAAAGCTGTTTAAAAACCTGTTTTTTAAAAATTCATTTTTTATCCCAAAAACCATGATGGGAAGAGTGACTCCAGAGTCTTTCAGCCACGAATTTTTGCCTTCCTCACAATGTAATCTTACTGAAAAAAGTCCAAGCAATCCATAATGATTCGATGAAACTAAAAATGACATGTATCGCAGACAAAGACTCAAAGAGTGGAAAACTAAATCTAATAAGGCAGAAGTGGGATCGTGTACTATATTTTCCACAAACATTATTGGTGGCTGGTTACAATAAATTATAGTAATTGAAAAGTAAAGTAAATTGATATGTATGTCTAAAAACCATTCATATTTTGACAATATCCTCAGATATTGGGATAATTCCTAGCTCATGATATCCCAAGAATTGCAAGAAGGCTGACATCAGTTTTTGGAAATTCAGTTAACATTTATTGAATGCTTACTTTGTGCCATACAGTGTTTTTACTTAACTTGATAATAAGTGTTAGCTATGGATCATTATTCCACTGATATGTGTAGAGTGACACTTTTTAAAACTTACAGTGTTTTTAGCAAATGATAATTTACAGGGTTTTTCAAAACCCTTTGAGGTGGCTTTAGAGTTGCTCAGAGAGCAACTGAGCAGATTTTGAACTGGTAATAGAAGGCAATTTTGTAACAGATAAGAGAGAAGTAAAGATAAAGGCCAGATGGAAGTAGCACCCAGTGTTGAAAACAGGCTGATTTGTTTATTTTAAAAAAGAGGAAAGTAATGCTGAGACCCAACATGTAAATACAAGGCAAGTGTGACCTTATAAAAATGAAAAGTTAGCTTTGATATATGGGTGGAAGGTAAAACATTTCAGTGAACCTAGCACAGTGAAGGCTCTACTATATCTGAAAGATACACTTTGGATGGGAAAATGATCATTCATGCATTATGAAGTATATTTCAACCAAACAACATAGTATTTTCTAATAATCAATGCATTGGAATTGAAGGCATATGGAATATATCATGTAGTAACAACACTACTCATTATGTAGGCCACCTAGTATTGCTTATACTTCATTTAGGTACCTCTTTAATGATACTTACATGGTACATGAGGGTTGATCTTGGAATTCCTGTATTATTCATACCTACTTAGAAATTCTGTTGGGATGAGTAAGATGTAGGAATGAATATTCAAATAGATCTCAGAAGCCAATTGGAACATATTAGAGTCACGCACCCCAATTATTTGTATCTCATTTTAGAATGCTAGTCATACAGCTTAGCACCCGGATTATCTTTCTCTCCAACACAATTCTGTTATGACTTATGGTGACTTCATATCCATGTAAGCCATCCAATCCCCTATTGGATATTCCCTTTCTATTCTTCAGCATCCTCACTTCCAATGATTATTCCCATCATCATACCCCTGATGTATGGTTCTCAACTTTGGATCACCACCTACCTTAGGGAGCATTTGGAAATGTATGTGGGTGCTTTGTGTTACACTGACTGGTAGATGCTACTAGCATTCAATACCCAGGAGCCAGGGTGGTTAAAAGTTCTGCATTGGGAAGAAAAATCTCATACAGTGAAAAATTGTCATTTTTCTCAAATGCCAAAAATGTTCCCACTAAGAAACACTACCCTTGGCCTTGTCATTACGCATAACTGAATTCCAAAATCTCCATTTCCAGCATTTTATTCTTTGACCACTATTTCTTTTTGTGCTCATAGTGCAACAATTTTTGACCTGATCGTAACTCAAATTCACTGGCCTTACCACTTTTTCACTAATTACTACCACCCTCCTTCCCACTGTGCCCTTACTTCCCTCCTCATGCAGCATGGATTCTGTGTTGTATCATCGTCACTTTCTTGCATATATCCTCAACTTCCTCATATGTCCCTTTGTCATATTCATGTGGAAAAAACTCAAACCTACTTTATTTTGAATCTCTGCCTACTTCCCACCTGAACCCAAGGAAGTGAATGTGATTAAATAAAAACATAACCATGCTGATTCATCTTTATTTAAACAGATAACCAAGAACTTCAGGTGGGCTCTCAGCACTATGTGATAATCCTAATTATATAGTTCCCAGTGCATTCAGGCTCCACATTTCCCAGTCATTCTGCTATCTTCTCAAACCTCCAGCATCCTCTGCTTAGCCACTCAATCTCAGCTGCGTCTTTCACTGAGAAAACAGAAGCAACCCAGAGATAATTTCCTCCTTTTTTTCATTACCTTTATTTTTCACATTCCTCCCAAATCTGTACCCACATACTGTCCCTTCCCTCCTATTGGGAATGAACCATCTGCATGCCCGTCTAGAGCTAATACCTCACTTTGCACACTGGATTTTATCTCCTCATATTCGCAAGGACTTTGGCCCTGTAGTTTCAACCCTACACTTTGTATCACCAATATTCCCTCTATATTGGATCACTTTCATTAGCAAACACACACCATTTACCAAAAAAAAAAAAAACAAAACAAAAAACAACCCTTCATTTGACTCTGTATCTCCTCTAACTGCTGACTCATTTTTCTCCTCTTTTATGTAGCAAAACACCTCAAAAGTGATACCTATTCTCTACCCACTTTCTTATCTTCCATTCTGTTTTGAACCTTCTCCAATTAGGCTTTCAATCTTATTACCCCGCCAAAGTAGTTTATTCAAAGTCACCAGTAACCTCCATATTGCCCAATCTGTGATCAGTTCTCAGTTCTTAGTTCTTATCTTATTTGAACCCTTGGGAGCATTTGATATCGTTGATCACTCCTTCCTCCTTGAAGCACTTTTTTAAAGCCTTCCTTATGATGTACTACACTGTATTGGTTTTCCTCATCACATCTAGCCGGTCTTCTCTGACTTCTTTGCTAGTTCTCATTCTCTTCCTGACAGACATAAGTGTTGGAGTTTCCTAGGGTTCAGTCTTTATACCTTTCCTCTTCATTATCTATACTCGCTCTCTAGACAATCTGTACCAACACTGTAATTTAAGATGCCATATTCTGACCTATGACTCCCTAATATATATCTGTTCTCATCCTGTCTTTGAAACTATGGATTTTTAAATCTTCCTGCCTAGTTGTGATTTTCACTTGGATGTCTAATAGGCATCTCAAACTTAACATGTACAAAAAAGTTGAAAAAAAATTATTTTGCTTCTCCTAGCTTTTTTTCTCTATCCCAGAACAATATTTTCACTAGTCATCCAGATGGTTAGGCTCCAAATCTGTAATCATCTTCGGCTCTTCCCTTTCTCTCATGTTGCATTTCTGATACTTCAAATCGTGTCTGCTCCTGTTTGAAAATAGACCCAGGAGTCTGCTACCTGTCACCACTGCTGTGGTTACTATCACTTCTTGCTTGTACCTATGCATTAGTCTGCCCTTTCAGCTCTTGATCCAGAACAGTCTTTTCTCCATCTGTTGGCAGAATGATCCTTTTAAAATGGAAAACATGGGCAGGCATAGTGGCTCACGCCTGTAATCCCAGCACTTTGGGAGGCCGAGGTGGGTGGATCACTTGAAGCCAGGAGTTCAAGACCAGCCTGGCCAACATGGTGAAACCCCGTCTCTACTAAAAATACAAAATTAGCCAGGCATGGTGGCAAGCGCCTGTAATCCCTGCTACTTTGGAGGCTGAGGCAGGAGAATTGCTTGAACCTGGGAGGCGGAGGTCGCAGTGAGCCAAGATCGCGCCACTGCACTCTAGCCTGGGTGACAGAGTGAGACTCCACCTCAAAAAAAAAAAAAAGGGAAAATATCCAATTACTCCCTTACTCTAGTCTCCTGGCATGACTCCTTATTACTCAAGAAAATGGAAAACCTTGACTGCCCATGAAGGACTCCATGATTAATTTTATTGTTACTTCTGCAACTTCACTTTCTACTACATTTTACCTCACTATTCCACTTTAGCCTTTCTTTCTGACTGACTTTCTTGCTCTTTTTTGAACACTGCAGGCCCTCTTCTCTCTCAAGGTCTTTGTCCTCCTCTTCCTTATATTCAGGTAGTTTATCTTGTCACTACTTGAGGTCTCTTTGCCCTGTCAAATTTCAAACATATGAAACAATGGAAAACAAAGAAGCTAGTAAAACCTGTAAGCTGGTTAAATCTAAATCATTATTGACCTTAACGATTGCAGTATTAGAAATGGGGGTAATGGGTTGGTTGGAAGAGTTGAGTTTCCTTTTTGCTTTGGTGGAACAATATGGGGTATGAGAAACTCTAGATATTGATTCAAAATATAATATTAAATATATATTTGAAATATTTAAAGATGGCCATAAGAATAAAAATATTTAATTTGTAAAGAATATGATGGAAAAAAGAAATAAAGAAAGCTCCATCAATCTAACACAAGCCGGGAAATAAAAAAGAGGGGAGAGAGGGAATGAACAGGGAAAGAAGGAAGGGAGGGAGGGAGGGAACAATAAGAAAAATAGTAAATAAAGAAGATAGGGGCCGGGCACAGTGGCTCACGTCTGTAATCCTAGCACTTCGGGAGGCCGAGGTGGGTGGATCACGAGGTCAGGAGATCAAGACCATCCTGGCTAACATGGTGAAACTCCGTCTCTACTATAACTACAAAAAAATTAGCTGGGCATGGTGGTGGGCACCTGTAGTCCCAGCTACTTGGGAGGCTGAGGCAAGAGAATGGCGTGAACCCGGGAGGTGGAGCTTGCAGTGAGCCAAGATCGCGCCACTGCACTCCAGCCTGGGTGACAGAGCAAGACTCTCTCTCAAAAAAAAAAAAAAAAAAGAAGATAGGATGTAGCTGTTCCTTAAATACAGACATACCTCATTTTATTGTGTTTGCTTTATTGCTTTTCTCAGATGCTGTGTTTTTTACAAATTGAAGATTTGTGGCAGCTTTACCTCAAGCAAATCTGCCAGCTCTATTTTTTTTTCCAACAGTGTGTGCTCACTTTGTGTCTCTGTGTCACATTTTGGTAACTATTGCAGTATTTCAAACTTGTTCATTATTATTCTATCTGTTATGGTGTTCTGTGATCATTAATCTTTGATGTTATTATTTTAATTGTTTTGAGGTGCCATGAGCTGAACCCATATTAATTAGGCAGTGAAATTGATAGATAAATATTATGTGTGTTCTGACTGTTCCGCCCAACTGTCTTTTCCCCCATCTCACTCCCTCTCCCTGAGCCTCCTACTTCCTGAGACTCAACAATATTGCAGTTAGGCCAACTAATAATTCTGTAGTGACCTCTAAGTGTTCAAATGAAGGGAAGAATCACATATCTTTCACTTTTAATCAAAAGCTAGAAATCAGAAGCTAGAAAAACTTAGTGAGGAAGGCATGTCAAAAGCTGAGATAGGCTGAAACTAGGCCTTTTGCACCAAACAGCCAAGTCATGAATGCAAAGGAAAAGCTACTGAAGGAAGTAAAAAAATGCTACTTCATGAATACACAAATGATAAGAAAGTGAAACAGCCTTATTGCTGATACACAGAAAGTTTTAGTGGTCTGGATAAAAGATTAAACCAGTCACAACAGTTTCTTAAGCCAAAGCTTAATCCAGAGCAGGGCCCTGTCTTCAGTTCTTCAAAGGATGAGGGAGGTGAGGAAGCAGCAGAAAACTTTGAAGCTACCTGAGGTTTAAGGAAGGAAGCCACCTACATAACCTAAGAATACAAGGTAAAGCAGCAAGTGCTGATGTAGAAGCTGCAGCAAGTTATCCAAAAGATCTAGGTAAGATAACTGATGAAAATGACTACATATTTTCTATGTAGACAAAACAGCCTTCTATTGGAAGAAGATGGCATCTAAGAGAAAGCTACAAAGGAGAAGTCAATGCCTGGCTTCAAAGCTTCAAAGAACGGGCTGAGTCTCTTGTTAGGGGCTAATGCAGCTGGGGACTTTAAGTTGAAGCCGATGCTCATTTCACATTCCAAAAATCCTAGGACCCTTAAGAATTATGCTAAATCTACTGTGCCTATGCTCCATAAATGGAACAACAAAGCCTAAATGACAACACATGTATTTACAGCATGGTTTACTGAATATTTTAGGCCCAATATTGAGACCTATTGCTTAGAAAAAAAGATTCCTTTCAAAATATTGCTGCTCATTGACAATGCACCTAGTCACCCAAGAGCTTTGATGGAGATGTACATTGAGATTAATGCTGTTTTCATGCCTGCTAATATAGTATCCATTCTTCAGCTCATGTTTCAAGGAGTAATTTCAACTTTAAAGTTGAAGACTTTAAAGTCTTATTATTTAAGAAATACATTTCACAAGGCATAGCTTCTGTAGATAGTGATTCCTCTGATGGAGCTGGCCAAAGTAAATGGGAAACCTTCTGGAAAGGATTCACCATTCTAGATGCCATTTAAGAATATTAATGATTCATGGGAGGAGGTCAAAATAGCAGCGTTAGCAGGAGTTTGGAGAAGTTTGTTCCAACTTTCATGGATAACTTTGAGGAGTTCAAGACATTAGTGGAGGAAGAAACTGCAGATGTGGTAGAAATAGCCAGTGAACTAAAATTAGAAATGGAGCCCAATATGTGACTGAATTGCTGCAATCTCAAAATAAAATCTGAATGGATGAGGAGTTGCCTCTTAGGGACGAGTAGAGAAAGCGGTTTCCTGAGACGAAATCTCCTCCTGGTGAAAACGCTGTGAACATTGTAGAAATGACAACAAAAGTTTTAGAATATTCCATAAACTTAGTTGATAAAGCAGTGGCAGGGTTTGAGAGGATTGACTCCAGTTTTGAAAGAAGTTGTGCTGTGGTAAAATGCTACTGAACAGCATCACATGCTATAGAGAAATCTTTCATGAAAGGAAGAATCAATTAATATGGCAAGTTTCACTGTTGTCTTAAAGAAATTGCCACAGCCAGCCCAGCTGTCAGCAACCATCACCCTAATTTGTCAGCAGTTATCAACCTTGAGGCAAGACTCTCCACTAGCAAAGTTTTTACAATGTGCTGAAGGCTCAGATGATCATTAGCATTTTTAATAATAAAGTATTTTTAATTAAGATATGTACATTTCTTAGACATAATGCTATTGAATGCTTATAAACATAACTTTTACATTCACTGGGAAACCAAAAACATTGTATGACTCACTTTATTGTGATATTTGCTTTATTGTGGTGGTCTGAAATGGAACCCATGATATGTCTCAAGTATGCCTGTATTTTGGCTATTAACCTCTATCAGATATGTGATTTGAAAATATTTGTCTTCCATTGTGTAGGTTGCCTGTTCACTGTTGTTTGCTGTGCAGAAGCCTTTTAGTTTGATGTAGTCCTACTTATTTATTTTTGATTACGTTGTCTTTGCTTTTGATGTCATTTCTAAAAAAATCATTGTCCAGACCAGTGTCATAGAGATTTTTTAAAATGTTTTCTTGTAGGAGTTTTTTCTTTTTTTTTTTAAGAGATGGCGTCTCACTCTGTTTCCCACGCTGGACTCCCGACTCCTGGACTCAAGCGTCTTCTAGAAATTTTATGCTTTCAGGTCTGATACTTAAGTCTTTTATCCATCTTGAGCTGATTTTTGTCTGTGGTGTAAGAGAGGAGTCTAATTTCAATTTTTTTGCCTTTGGATATCCAGTTATCCAGCATCATTTACTGGAGAGACTGTCCTTTCACCGTTATATATCACCCTGTCGACTATATTTATGGATTTATTACTGGGTTCTCTATTCTGTTCCATTGGTCTATGTCTGTCTTTTTGCCAGTATCATACTCTTTTAATTATTGTAGGCTTGTTGTATGTTAAAAAATAGGTTAAGGACTTTAATACAGACTTCTCCAAAACACACAAATGACCAACAGAAACAAACTCAATGTCACTTATCAGGGAAATGCGAATCAATGCCACAGTGAGATAACACATCACACTTGTCAGGATGGCAGCTATTTAAAAAAAGATAATAAGTGTGAGTGAGGATGTGGTGTAATTGGACCCTTTGTACACTGTTGGTGGGAATGCAAAGTGGTGCAGCTGCTATGGAAAACAGTGTGGAGATTCCTCAAAATGTTAAAAAGAGAACCACCATTGGACTTAGTAATCCCACTTCTGGGTATTTATCCAAAAGAAGTGAAATCATGATCTTGAATGGATGTTAGGACTCCTGTGTTCATTGCAGGACTAGTCACAACAGCCAAGATGTAGAAACAATCTAAATGTCCATCAAGAGATGAATGAATAAAGAAAATGTTGTATAAACAACAATTGATTACCCTTAAACAAAGAAGGAAATTCTGCAGTATGCAACAACATGGATAAACTCCGACGGCATTATGCTCAGTGAAAAAAAGCCAGTTACAGAAAGACAAGTGCTGCACGGTTCCACTTCTATGAGTGTTTATGATAGTCAAATTTATAGAATCAAAGAGTGGAATGGTGTTTGGAAGGGATTGGGGAGACTGAGAAATGGGGAATTTTTAATTAATAGGCGTAAAGTTTCAAGCAAGATGAATAAGCTCTAGAGATTTGTGTACAACATTGTACATATAGTCAACAATGATGTACACTTAAAATTTTGTTAAGAGAGTAGGTCTCATGCTAAGTATTCTTACCACAATAAAATTAGAAGAAAAGAAAAATTCATGAAGGAAATAGTTGACTCTAGAGAGAGAAAAAGAAGATAGAATAACATGACTGGTATAAATCCAAATATACCAATAACTATAATATAAATAATAGAGCTGAAATGTATCTTTTGAACAAAGAGGAAAGAAGACAGACTATGATAGAAAAAAAGATGCACTTAAAATATAGTTATCCAAAAGCTTTAAAAGATTTAAAAAATATGGTATCCTGGGACTAGCTTGTACCACAAGAGCCAGTTTTGGGTGTCTCTTTCCAACCCCTTATTCATGTTGGTTGCTTGAAATCAATCATGGTGCATATATTTATTTCACAGAAATTGACCGGTCATGGTGGGCTCATGCTTGTAATCCCAACACTTTTCAAGGCCAAGACAGGATGATCACTTGAGCCTAGGAGTTCAAGGCTATAGTGAGCTATGATTACACCACTGCATTTCAGCCCGGGTGACAGAGCAAGACCCCATCTCTAAAAAACAAAAAAACATATCCGTACCAAAAAATCAACAAACATTACAAGTCATGCTCTTCCCCCAACATCCAAAGAACTGATTTACCAGCACACAACTAAATATACATCAGATAAATGCTAAGAAAAAGAAGATATAGCAATATTATTCCAAGACAAAATTAATGGCAAAAAAAAAAAAACACATTAGGAATGACAAGAATGGATAGTTTGTGAAGAAAATGTAGAAATTATGAAATGTTTATGTATCTGAAAACATGTTAAGCAAAATTTGATGGAAATTGATGAATCCTTAGGTGTATTTACTGTCCTGCAGTATATTTAGTATGTACTATACTCAGAAATCAATAATTCAAGTAGAGAAAACATAAGGCTACTTTGTTTTCAAAGCCATGTGGAACATTCACAGAAACTACTGACATCTTAAGCCACAAAATTTAACAAATTCAAAAACAGAAAAATTGTTTTAGCTATCTGCCTCGAATATGGTGTAATATAACTGTGATTTAACAAAATAAGTGGCCAAAATTTATCTATCCACTTAAAAATTGTAAACCCTTCTATCTGATTTAGGGTTAAGGAAGAAATAAAAAGTAAGTTCATGAACTGTTTCAAATTAAAAAGCAGTAAGAATATTAAAACCTTTGTAATTCAGCCAAAATGTAACTTTGAATTTTAGATATTAGAAAAATAATACAAATGAAGTGTAATCAAGGAGAAGTACATAGGAATCTTAAGCTATGTGTGTAATACACAAAAACAAATTTGTCAAGTCCTTGCCTAGACAGGGAGCCAAGCTGACAATCTTGCCAGAGCACAGCCTCTGGCCCTGCCCACCTTGAGACCTGGAACAGCAACCTTGCCAGCCCCAGATCCCAGCTTACGTACCCACCCAGGCAGGGAGCCGCACCACAGTCCCTACCCAACTGTGGGGCACAGTCTGGACCCCGCCGACCAAGGAGCCTAGTTAGCAACCCCACCTGGCTATAGAGCTCAGCCCACAGCCCTGCCCATTTGCTAAGCACAGCCTATGGCCATGCCTGGGCAGAGAGCCAACCCATTGACCCTGCCAGACCCCAGAATACAGTCAGTTACCTCAATTGATCATGGAGTGCAGCCTTTAGCCCCAACAACTATGGGGCACAGCTGACAGCCCCATCCAACCAGGGAGCTCAAGCGCAGAGCACATCAACAGCCTCACCTGGTCAAGGAACCCAGCCTGTAGCCCCACTTAATCATGGAACCCAGCTTGCAGCCAGCCTGACCTGGGAGTCCTGTAACAACACTGACCAACCACACAGCAAAGCCAGTAGTCCTGTCCAGAGAGAGAACCAAGCCAATGACCCCACCCAACTGCAGCGTACATCTTGCAGCCCTGCTTCATCATGCAGCCCAATGTGCAGCCCTGCCTGAGCAAGGAGTCCAACCAGCAGCAATATTTGACCAGAGAGCCTATCCTGGATGCCCCCCAACTGTGGATGATTATGAAGCCTACCTGCAGCCCAACTGCAAAGCCTAACACATGGCAGCACATGGCCAATGAGCATAGCCTGTGATCCTGCCCAACAGGAAGCAATTCTAGAGCCTAGCCAGCAGCCCTGTCTGACTGCAGAGCCCAACCAGTGGCCCCACCTGACCTTAGCAGTATGGGCAGCAGCCCTGCCCAGCTAGAGAACCTGACAGCAAGTACTGCCTGCCTACCCATGGATGTTGTCTGCTGGCCTGTTCAGATCCAAAGGTTGGACTGACTGGTGAAGGACTATTCCTGCTGAAGAAAACCTGTAAAGGCTGGAAGAAGTGGCTGCTTCCTTAAATGTACAGACACCAGTGCAAAGATACAGGGATATGAAGAATCATGGAAAAATGACATAATCAAAGGAAAATAATAAAGCGCAAATAATTAACCCTAAGTAAATGAATATATAGAAACTGACAACAAATTCAGATTAGCCCTCTTAAAGTTCAGTCAACTATGAGAAAACATGATGGACAACTAAACCAAATTAGGAAGACAACACATGATCAAACTGAGAGGTATTATATATAAGAAAGGAAAAGTAAATTAGAGGTATAAAGATTTAAAAAAGGAGATAAAGTTATCAGTCTTTGCAGTTAGTTATTTGAATTCCTAGAAAAAGTAATCAACTGAAAAACTCCTATAAAAATAAGAAAATATATGTAAAATAAAATAAAATGCCCAGAAATAAACTAGATCTATAAAGAGAAAACTTTAAAACAATCCTTTGAAACACAGATAAAGACCTAAACAAATGGAAAGGAATACCATGTTCTTTGATTAGGAAGACTCAGCATTCCAAAATGTCAACGTGCTCCAAATAAAATGTAACATGATTGAAATAAAATTACCACAGTAAGATATTTTTAAGGGGCAGAGAATCTACACAAGCTGAATGTGAAATTCATATGGAAAACCAAACAAGCAAGAACAGCAAGAAAAATCTGATAAAGAAGGGTAGTGAGAGAGATTGCTTTACCCAATGTTAAAATGTGTTGTAAAGCCTCATTAGTTAAAATATACTCAAATATAAAACTTAACTAATAAAAAGAGATGGAACAGAATAGAAAGTTCAGACACTGACAAACATTTATGAAACCACTTGGAGAAAGATGGACTGCTAAGTGGTGATGGGACAAGTGAGTATGATTTTATTTAATAATCTTCTAAATGATTACAAATGGATAAAAAAATTTTAACTGAAAAATAAAAAAGTAGCAAAAAAATTGTGGTTTGAAAGTATTTTTATATACCTCATTGTGGAGAATGCTTTTTAAAGTATCCCGCTAAATTCAAAAGCGAGAAAGGAAAAGATTCATTAATTTGAATACATACAAAATTAAAAATATTTTTCTGTGACATCAAACAGTACTGTCAAAAGAAAAAGAACAAATAATGAAATAATTGAAATATATACAATAGGCAAATATAATTTCCCGAATACGTGAAGAACTCCTATAAATCCCTAAGAAAAAACAAAAAATGACAAAGAAAATATAATTATTTCTTAAGGCTGATGCTCAACTTTGTTTATAATGAGAGAAATGAAACTTTAAAATACAGCAAAAACACAAGCTACTCTGAAATAGCATATTGGTATTTTGCTAGTTGTGTGGAGAAACAGATACTTTTTATACATTCTTTGTGGAGATATATATTAGTGCTATCTTGGATGGAGAACAGGGATAGAATTAAGTAACAGCTGTCAAAATTATAGTTATACACACCCTTTGATCCAGCAGTTTCAATTCTAGCCATATATCCTGGAGATGCAAAAGTAATATCTGAGCACCATTATTTATTCTAACATTGCTTGTGCTAACAAAAGATTGGAAACAGCCCAAACATCTAACTAACCTGCTCTCAGCTCACAAAGCCATGTATTGAAGCACTCTGTCCAACCAAATTAAGGAGTAACTTTTTGTTACCCACACGTAGGTGTGGTATGGGCTAGCTTTTACTGATTTCTCAAAGAGGCAACTTAAAGGCTTGTGAAGTAGTTCTTGATTTTTTAATGATTTTTCTTCAATCCTTCATTGTTGTCTTGCCCACTCATAATTTACCACATGTAATTGAACTTTGACCCAATTTGTCCTTCTCAACTTCTTCCAAAGCATTTGTAATCTACTATTGATAAAATAGAAACAGTTCTTTCTGCAGTAATCTTTCATTGGTTTATGTAACCATTAAATGAATTATGCAGCTAACCTGTTACAAATAATATATGCACATTGTGGAATAATGAGAACCTGACTCTTAGTGTTAGGTCAACTAGTAGAAGTTGTTGTGCTGATTAAAAATAGCCTGCCTGCTGTAAGCATTCACCAAGCAAGATACCAGTTGGTGTATCTGAAAGAGGGATGGGGGAGCTTTGCTTAATCCAGCAAGTTGGTTAAGTATTCATTGAAGAGAACTTTTATTGCGTGCTGACAATAGGTAAAGAGCAATCCACTATATTCCAGAGTAATTAAAACCAGAGTAATCCTAGTAAAAAAATGATTTGTTAGTATCTTCATATTTTTATGTTATTACTGCTTTGTCTTCATTATGACTTTAATATAAGCTCAATTTCTTTCCAATATGTTACAGGCTTTGGCCAAAGAGTTGCAAAATGATGTCCATGTGGTAAGGCGACAAATAAGAGAGCTTAAAAAAATGAAGAAAAACAGGGACGCCTGTAAAACCTCAACCCATAAAGCCCAGACCTTGGCAGCTTCTATCCTGAACATTTCACGGTCAGATTTAGAGGAAATATTAGACACAGAAGATCAAGTGGTAAGATCATTTAAATATTTATTATTAAAGGGTTTATTATACACTGGACTTAAGTAGATATTTTTATTTGTTTTATACCTCTTAGAATTTCATCTTTAAGAGAGTGTTAATGATGGTAAGATGGTTAAAGTGCCAATGAAAGATACACATCAAGTATTAACTAACTCAAAAAGCCTTTAAAGAAATTTAACTTTATAATATAGAAATAAGCTAGTACTTATAACCTTTCAAATTACTTGTTATTCATTTATTCTTTCCTATCTCCTCCATTTTCTTTAATTTAATCATATTATATATCATGTAAACCAGTATACTTAATTAAGCTAGCTTAAATGGATTTAGTTAAGCTGATCTCCATTGATTTGAAGTTTTTTTCTCTTTGTGATATTTTTTAAAAAGTGCCAAATCTATTGGCTTTCATAGCTAAATTCAAAATTATTATTCACCAGTATACGCTTTGAAAATATATTGTTGAAAAATATTTATTGCTTAAAATTGGTTAAAATACTTCTGTCTGAGTGAATTTATATGCATACAGGCATAGTCTTTAATAGCATTTCAGCACCTCTTGGGAAAGACACTGCATTTTTTACATAGCCACTGCCTCATAACAGCAGAATCTCATACCACGCAGTCTTTTGCGAAACATGTGTAGGATGCTCATTCCTATCCTACTATGGCTCTGAGCTTTAATTCATGAATATTAGATTTTTATCCTTTGGAATGCTAAAAGATGGTGGCACTAGCAGCTTCTCAACAAATATTTGTTCAATGATAGACTTGGGTGTCTGTATGAGATCATCCTCTGGCCCCCTCTTCAGCTTCTGAAAGATCTTCTGGAATAGAGCAAATCTACAATATGTAAAGATTTTTGAACTACCAAGAATCCTCAGATAATAGTTAAAAGGAATCCTACAGGTATTATTTTCATCCAGTGGGTGAATTCCCAGTTTCTGTTTTCAGCAGCTATGCCAAAACGTCTGCGACTTTCTATCAAATTCTAAACTTTGAAGTATAAGAACAATATCACATATAGTACCAAATGTAAGACACATGGGAGTAATATTACTTCTGGCAAGGGTGTTAACTAAGCCTTATTATAGGCATTTAATTAAAATATGTCGATTGATGAGAAACCTAACCAAAATTTAAGGGTAAGGCCTCTACTGTTGCCTAGAAATTTTAAAACACACAGATTTAGCACAGTGTCTCATGTGAGTATGCCTGTGTGCATGTATGTGTTTACATGTACATGATGCTAACACATGTACATATTCTGGAACACAGAGCCACCATGTTTTTTGAGACCAAGTAATCTCTAAAATGATGCACTCTCTGGGCTAACAAATTAGCAAAAAAAGCCCTCTTTGAATGAGCAAATCAGAAAGGTTGTCCTCTTTGAATATGTGAATTAGAAAAGGATCTCTCTTGATAGCCCCAAAGACTAGATGGTGCATGTCTGTGAATAAGTGACACCTCTGCCTCTGGGCAGGTGGAATCTGAAGACAAGAGTACACAGCACTGTAATATGCATGTCACACAATCTTAAATCAAGTCCCTCCTGAAAGAATAAGAGATATAAACACACTGTTCTAAGAGGGATAGGTACATTTTGATATATTTACTAGATTTCATTATAGACCAGAGCTTATTTAGACTGATCCTGTCATCTTCCAGAGGTCCAAGGATTTGCCCAAGCAGAGCCCAGATCACCTGATTTATGTTCTTTACACTATATCGAACTGTAGTAAATTCACATCAGAAACTGTGATAGCCTATCTGAAGTGCCTAGCATGATGCCTGCCATACAGTAAATTTCAACAAATAATAGTTTCTCACGCCCTTCCCTTCTTGGAAAGTCAGTTTTTTTTTTCGTAAACTGAAATTACAATTTCAAGTGAATCATCAACTGTACGTGTGAATACATTTCAATTCCAGAAATATTCTGTCATGATAATTGATGGGTTGAAAATACTTTGTGACCTATAGCACTTTAAGTTGGAGTGTCCCTGGCCTATCAGTAGATTATTGGATAGTTTGAATCAACAAGCATTTAAATATACCGGAGTCATGCCATGTTCTATTCTGTTTGTAATGAACAATTACTCCTTAGTTATCTGCTGACAAGTCAGATTTTGGAATATTAGGTTTTGTATTATCTCATGAGAGTCACCTGTAAATGATTCTTTTATATAACTCCATCTGATTTTTCACTTTAATTGCTTTCACCCCCATATTAGCCCCTACTTTGAGCTCCACTGTGAAGGTAGAAATTAAATATTTCTGAATTACTGTGAAGTATATAAATATAGCTATATCTTCCGTAGTACGTATCGATAAATTAAATTTTAAAGAGCATGGACTTAAATATTTCTACTTTGAGATGACAGACTGTTCTTTGTTGAATCTAATTCTACTGATATTACTCCAGATTTATTCAGTATCTAATAGTATAAACAAGTTCATATAAATTTCGTTAACACCAGTGTTTTTATTTTTTTTCTTCAGGAAATTGAAAAAACAAAAATTGATGCTGAAAATGACAAGGAATGGATGTTGTACATTCAGAAACTTCTTGAAGGACAGGTATTTCATTTTTCTGTTTCATATATTAAGCTTCCAAATAAGAATTCCAAGCCTTACATTTTCACCAGATGTCTAACTTTTTGTAAACACTTCCCCATTGTTTACTTCTGTTAGGTAAAGAAGTATTCCAATAGGTAGAAAGGAAAGTTAACCCTCTATTTGTACTTTGGGACTTAACAAATGAAACAAATACCTTGGGATAGAGCCAACATGGGTCTTAGCAAATGCATTAATTAAATTATTGAGTCAACCTCTGTGCTTGCTAGACTGAAAAGGATCCATTCTCCCAGACCTCTTAGGAAAAGAGATTCTTTATTATGTGTCTTTAAAGTTAGTATTTGATATGGACACCTGAGGAGTTCATGGGTTTCAGTGACCTTTTACTATGGACCTGTTTCCAGTCAATTCATGTTTTCCTCACAGCCAGACAGCTGTTTATTACTGTGTCTTCCCGCATTCTCTACAATATTTTCTACTGAGACCTCGAGCAGCTTGTTAGTGGGAAGTAAATATTGATTTGGCATCCTGTCAATGCAGAAAGAATGAAAAAATTTCCACCAGAGGCCCCTCAAACATTTTCCTATCGACATTTTCTGGGCCGAGTGGAAAGCTGCATAGAGGATGACAAGGCCAAGACGAGTTGAAATCCCTGAGGGGTCTGTTGAGACTGCTGCTGTGACCTGTGTGATACTTTTTCTTCCCTTTCAAGTATTTTTTTAATACACATATAGTCTGCTGGGATGCGCCCCTCTTGTAAGTGATCAAGGGCAGTTTATTGGCAGGTGAGAGCCCTGCTTTTCTAGTCATAGCCAGCTTTTGTTTTGACATCACTGACAGCATGTAATGTATTCTAAAACTTTTTCATTATAGTTCTTTCGGCTTAACCTAATTTTTTATTTTTTAAATGGACTGGAATAAATAAAAGCCAAAACATATTTGTCAAAATACCCCAAAAATTGTCCTGTGATTTTTGGAAAGTCATTGTAAATGTTTCTGTGTAAAGATTAAAAATAGAAACTGATATTAAATGCAATTATTTTACATTTATATTAACAAGTATCAGTTTCCGTGCTTTTAGTAAAGTCGAGAATAAATAAATAGTATATCAACAATTCATGTTAGTATCAGTTTGATATATTTTTGAAACATTGTCTGGAATCACTTTAATAACAATAGGTGATTAAAAATCATTTGCTGAAAGTTGTTTAAGTGTAGATGTGCAGGTGCTAGACAAAGCCTTTTACACTGACTACTTGCTTTTGAGAACAGAGGCCATTTCTTAATCATGTGGTACTCCCAGAACCTAGCTCAGTGGCTGACACATCAAAGAATTCAATAATGATTGTAATGAGGTTTTTCTTTTCAACTTGAAAATGATAAAAATAAACTTTTTAATGAATTTTTAAAATGTTCACTTTGTAAATATGGCCTGTATTTATTTGAATTAGAAATTTTATCATAATTATGACTATAAAAATAATAAATCTGTACGTGTAAAGCTTTGTTAAATTTTACTAAAACTGTACTGACACTGGACCTGAGTTTTTTTGGTTAACACGTGGAGAGGTATATACATACATTCTGCATTAGCTGAATGTATGCTTATTCTGTCCAGTGAGTATAAAAAAATTCTGTTGAAAATGGCATCAGACTGCTTAATACTGCAGCTTGATATAGTGCCTTTTTGTGCCACTGAGCCTGGACTCTGGAATATAATTGCCAGGCAGTATTGATTTAATTGCCCAGGTTTATTTGTGGACTCCTAATTATTGACTGGAGGTAAATTTAATGGAGCAGCCTTTATGAACACTGGGAAACCGCTGCTGTTGCTGTTATACGTAATGAACTGCATCATGTGCCTTTAGATCATTTTTCAAGCTAATTTTATTCCACTGTGACAGTATGATAACATTTAAAAAGTCAAAGACTTTTTATTTTTATTACTGACATAGGTGGTTTTGCTGATGTCTTTGAATTTTGTGAGAGAACAAATAGGTACTTCATTGGTTGCACTTGAATGTCACTTTATAATTACACCCAAGAGAAAAATCTATAAAATAGAAAACACCTTTTTTTTTTAGCCTACTTTTCTTCTCTCTCAATCCAAGCAATTATATTTGTCCTGAATTTTAGAAAAGGTTTTCTTTGCCCACCAGCCTTTTTTTAGAGTCTGAGTTACACTCACAGGATTGTATGGGCAAAAGTGTAAATATGTTCATTCATACATTTTGTTTAGTTTATGGCTTATTGCTCATTGGGTATGAGCTTACATCATCTTCACATTGTGGAATAACTGAAGACATTTTCTAAAAATTACTAATTAGTCCAATGTTGATTTTTTTATTCAAATATTTTGATAAAATTATTGGAAAACCTCTCTTTTATGTCCTCTCTGTGTGTTGGGTGCTGTATGTGATCAAATCCTGAGATTATCAGGGTGAATCTGGCCCTGTGATTTTGTCTTTTGTTTGATTGGGCCACAGAATTGCTTTCTGTTAAAAAAAATATTTTTTTTTCTGCTTTTGTTTGATAGAATGTCATATTGATAAAATATTCACCACAAAATAAAAAGCTGTTCTTCCATGTGGTAATGTGGAACTAATAATAATATGATACCTACTGCTGTTGTTAGCTACAAGTGCATGAGAACTAAAAGGTCTAAAATTTTAACTTATGTATATTTGATACAGAACTCAGATATATGCCATTATTTCAAGTAGTTGTGATGCTATTGGTAATTTTTTATATTTGACATTTATCTGCAGCTTGTCTTTGTCCCCAGAGATTTCTAGTAATAAGAACCACACTGAAAAAATCTTACTAAGTCTACTTTCATCTTTCTATGGCATAGCTGCCTTTAATTTCTTTGAACATTTTTAATCTGTATAAATCTCTCTTTTCACATTGATATATTTTTTAAAACTTGTAATTTATGGCAGAGACAAAGAAGCAAATTGATAATTAAAGCAGGATGGGAGAAACCACCAAAATTACTTTGTCTATAGTTTAGGGAGTGGGAGAAAAGATAGAAATAGGAAAAGTAGGCTGGGACCAAATTATAAAAGCTTTTGAGCAGGGTCGGGATGTAATCAGAGTTGTGCTTTAGAAAGATGCTGAAGGCCAACATTGTAGGATGGTTGGAGAGAGGAGACTGGGAGCAAAAAGGTTCTAGGTAAGGGGCAGTGAGAGTCTGGATGTGGCCTGGCCATGGTATTAGAAAGGCTGGAGACAGATTGTGATCTACATTCTAATGAGTGAATAGATAGCAGTAATGAGATTAGATGAAAGGGGTCTGGGTGGAAACCAAAAGATGGGTGAGTTTAATATACTACATGAGGAGAGAAAGATAATGATATCTTTGGAGGTTTAGGGAACAAAAGAGGTAAGGCAGTTTTAGTTAAACAAAAGAAGTAAAGCCAGGCATAAAATGTTACATACTTTATGATTCCATTCATACAAAATATAAAAATAGGCAAATTTATAGACAGTATGTTTGTGGTTGCCAGAGGCTGGGGGGATATAGAGAGTGACTGCTTACGGATAGAATTTCTCTGAGGATGATGAAAATGCTCTGGAATTACTAGTGATGGCTGCACAATTTTGCGAATGTACTAAAAACCAATGATTTATATACTTTAAAATGGTGAGTTTTGCTATGTGAATTTTATCTCCACTTAAAACAGTTAACTCCTTGATAATGGAAAATATTACAAAAAGAAAAAAAAGAATACATTTAAAAGTAAATTTAATAAATTGCTTATTTCACGTGTGTTGTGCCCCCCACCAATAGCAGAGATTTCTTTAAATGCAATTGAACTTGAATTCTGTCTAGTGGCTGTAAATATGAGTAAATGATATAAATATTTTTATTTCAAACTCAATAGTTTCTTTTCAGTTGGCACATAAGGAGATGTACTACCTTTATATTCTAATTGGTCTTACCTGTTCACATATCCAAACAAGGAGTCAGTTTTTTAAACTTTGCCCACTAAAAGACAGTGTTTATCTGTTCTGCCCATTCTGATCCCCCAAATTAAAATTATAATAAAGGTCATTTTTAGGCCTTTATGATACCCAAAACAGTCCTTTGCACTTGTGACTTTATAAAGGCAATGAAAATAATTAGTGGAAATTAAGCTGAGCCTGTGCTCGGGAATCATTAAAAAATATATATATGAGTACCTTCTACATGCCAGGTATTATTTCAGGTTTGGAGAATATGGCAGTGAATAAAAGAGATAAAAATTCACTACTGTAATAGAATTTACACTTCTGGGGACGGAGGACAATAAATAGTTAAAATGTATAAACTATGAAATTTACTAGGTAGTTAACTTGAGTAGAATTATGGGTGGGTAGATACATTAAAATATGTATATATGTATAAAACAAATATTACATAGTTATAACCAGAGTGTGGGTCTTTACTAAGATTTCTATAAATACCCTTAGACAGGAATGGCTAGAAAATGTGTTCTTGATTTATGGTGTGTTGCTTTATTCTTTGTTATTTGCTAATCCTTTTTTAGGTTTCATTTTGTCCATTTTAGTCCACTTTGTATAGATCATTTTCTTCTATTGGAACTATATAAAAAATTCTGTCTGTTTGCCTTCAGTTTTTGAGAATTTAAAGTAAAGACTTTGATCAGTGGCTTTTCTTTACCTTTAAATATCTCTGTTCCTATTAGTTGCTTCAGATCTTGCAAATGCTGAAATTTAAAATGGCTAACTTTCCCCAGTGTCCTCTCTGCAAAATATGCTTACCTTCTGTAGAATGCCTTGCAGTGTGGCAGTGGGAAGGGTTTTATAAATCTCCCTGGCTTTTGTAAATAGAATATACTACTAGCCTGAAGGTTAACTGAAAGTTTCTCCTTGCATCTCTGAAGCCATTTACTCTGTGGTTATTTCCTGTGTTGCACTTATAACAAATGCATTCAGAAACTGACATACTCACTCACTCACTCTGTCTCATCCATGTAAGCCTACACACTCAGTAACCCATACAGAATTAATCCTCACATTTAGATGAAGTAGCAAGAGTTTAAAATTCTCTACTCACAGCCTTGCTGTTTTTTTTCAATTTAACAAAGTAAGCCTACTTTCGTATCACTAGAATGTGATTACAGTTAAAAGGATCCTTTTAATAAAATAATTAAATTTATTTGAATCTACAATATCAGTTTTTTCTTGTAATTCCTTTTTCTTTCTTTCTTTCTTTCTTATTTTATTGTTTTCTTCGTGTAGTTTTACCTCCTCTAATATATATTCTTGTGCTATAAGAAAACAAAGAAGTTTGTAACCAGTATTCTAAAATTAAGTCTCAACCAAATATAAAGAGATTTCTGCCTGGAAGTTCTTTATTAACAGCTAATTCAATTGCTGTATCTATTTGAAGTTAGCAGTACTATTTATTCAACAAACTTTTATCGAGTGCTGATAGTATGTAAAAGTGCTAGTCAGCATGGGAAACAAATGGGACAATTCATGTCTTTAAAAAGCTTAAACTCTAAAGTAGGAAATTAATAAGTGTTAGGAGGCAGAGAAAATTGTACACTTGTATGTTGCTAATGATAATGTAAAAGGGTGCTGTTATTGTGGAAAACGCTATGGCAGTTCCTCCACACATTAAGCATAGAGTTACCATATTATCCAGTAATTCTGCCTTGGGGTATATCTCCAAAAGAATTGGAAGCAGGAACTCAAACAGATATTTGTACACCAATGCTCACAACAGCGTTGTTGACAATAGCCAAATGATGGAAATGATCCAAATGCCCACCGATGAATGAATGGATAAACAAAATGTGGTTTATGCATACAGTTTATTATTCAGCCTTAAAAAGGCATGAAGTACTGAAACATGCTACAATATGGATGAACCTTCAAGACATTATGCTAAGTGAAATAAGTCAAACACAAAAGGACAAATACCCTGATTCCACTTATTTGAGATTAGTTAAGTTCATAGAGACAGAAAGTAGAATGGTGGTTGTCAAGGGCTGGTGGAACGAGGGGAATGGGGAGTTACTGTTTAATATACGTGGAATTTCAGTTTGGAAAGATGAAAAATCCTAGAGATAGAGGTGGTGATGGTTACACAACAACATGAATGTAATTAATGCCACTGAGTAAGTGACTTAAAAATGATTCAAATGATAAAATGTTTATCATTTCTATAACATAAAACAATTTTTAAAAAATCTAAAGTAGGATTTATAGTCAATATATGTGGGGACACAGGTAATATTCATTTCCATTATGATTTCCAAAATATTGGGAGGCTCTTATTAATATAAGAGCCAAAATAGTATAGTCAAATATAGTATGGAACAGTTTTGCCTTCTAGATAGACAAGTTCCTTGAGAGCACAGTGAGTAATCTTTTACCTCCTATACCGTGCTAAGGGAAAACAAAAAGTCAGTAAATTGTGCCCTAAAAATATGGATTACCCAGAGAAGCATTAAAATGACTCCTATTCTTGCACCTTGAAAAGCCCATCCTATGTCACCTCATTCTGTTTTTTTAACTTTCGAGGGATATTAGCAAGAACATTTTTCATCTAGATTTAGAGCTAGATTTTTCCTTGGCTGCAGAAAATAGAACAAGATACGTGAAGCACAATGGGTAATAAAATCAAAACTCCATACTTAAAATGTTTGCATTGTAAAATATCTAAGCCAACCACTCTTCCAGAGCATGAGCTCTGCCTTGTGGAATAATAGGAAACTCAGTAACTGCTGAAGAAATCCATGTTCAGCACGTGAGTGCCTGAGATTCATTCGGTTTCTCCTTATATTGACCAGAACTCTCTCCACACAGTAAACTTACAATGGCTTATAGTCAGAAGACCTGGGGTTGCGTTCTGTCTCACGTTAGCATGAGAAGAAGTTAGCTCAAGGCAAGTAACTAAAGCCTCTTTAATTCAATATCTTCAACTATAAGATAGAAAGAATACCACCTGACAGATTTGGAATGATAAAATAATGCATGCCAAAATGCATTGTCCCTTGTAAAAGTGTTTTGTCACCCTTAAAAAGGATAACCGTTTGAGGCCTGGGGAAAATACATGGAAAATAACTCAAACTTAGTATGCTAGTGATTTCTCATGTTTAATTATTTTTAATTTATTTTAAAAGCATATCTGTTTGCTAGATTTGCTACTAGTCTCCCCAGAAGATGCCTAACCCATTGCCTACTATAGAGTAAATACAGTCATCACTGCATGAGGACATTTTGGCCAATGACAGACCACACTATACAATGGTGTCCCCATAAGATGATAATGAAGCTGAAAATTTTTTTTTAATTAACTTTTATTTTAGGTTTAGGACTACATGTGCAGGTTGTTATATAGGTAAACTCATGTCGTGGGGGTTTGTTGTATAGATTATTTCATCAACCAGGTACTAAGCCTAGTAGCCAATAGTTATTTTTTTCTGATCCTGTCCCTCCTCCCACCCTCTACCGTCAAATAGGCCCCAGGGTCTGCTGTTCCCCTTCTCTGTGTCCATATGTTCTCATCATTTAGCTCCCACTTATAAGTGAGAATAGGCAATATTTGGTTTTCTGTTCCTGCATTAGTTTGCTAAGGGTATAATGGAGCTGAAAAATTCTTATCCACAAGTGACACTGTAACCATCCTAAGGTTGTAGCACAACACATTACTCTCGTTTGTGGTAATGCTGGTGTAAACAAACCTGCTGTGCTGCCACCCATAGAAAAGTATAGCGTATACAATTATGTACTGCACATAATACTCAATAATGATAATAAATGTCTGTTACTAGTTTATGTATTTACTATACCATACTTTTTTTTTTTTTTTTTTTTTTGGTCACAGAGTCTTGCTCTGTCTCCCAGGCTGAAGTGCAATGGCGCAATCGTGGCTCACCAAAACCTCCGCCTGCCAGACTCGAGCAGTTCTGCCTCAGCCTCCTGAGTAGCTGGGACTACAGGTGCGTGCCACCATGCCCAGCTAATTTTTTTTATCTTTTGCAGAGATTGGGTTTTGCCATGTTGCCCAGGCTGGTCTCCAACTCCTGAGCTCAGGTGATCTGCCTGCCTCAGCCTCTCAAAGTGCTGGGATTACAGATGTGAGCCGCTGTGCCCAGTCTACTATGCTACGCATTTTATCATTATTTTAGAGTGTACTCTTATACTTATTAAAAAAAAAAACTTAACTGTAAAACAGCCTAAGGCAGGTCCTTCAGGAGGTATTCCAGAAGAAGGCATTGTTAACATAGGAGGTGACAGCTCCGTTTGTGTTATTGTCCCTGAAGACCTTCCAGTGGGACAAGATGTGGAGGTGGAAGACAGGGATAGTGATGACCCTGACCCTATGTAGGCCCAGGGTAATGTGTGTGTTTGTGTCTTATTCTTTAATTAAAACGTTTAAAAATAAAAAAATACAAAATTATTTATATCCTTACAGAATAAGGATATAAAAATGTTTTTATACAGCTGTACAGTATGTTTATGTTTTAAGCTAAGTGTTCTTACATGAGTCAAAAATTAAAGCTTACAAAGTAAAGTTACAGTAAGCTAAAGTTAATTTATTATTGAAGAAAGAAAAAGGTTTTTTAATACATTTAATGAAGCTTAAGTATACAGTGTTTATAAAATCTACAGTAGTGTACAGTAATGTCCTAAGTCTTCACATTTACTCACCGCTCACTCACTGACTCGCCCAGAGCAACTTCCAGTCCCACAGGCTCCATTCATGGTAAGTGTCCTATTCACGGGTACCATTTTATAAAGTCTTCTATACCATATTTTTACTACGCCTTTCCTATGTTTAGGTATACTAATACTTATGATTGTATTACATTTGCCTACAATATGTAGTACAGTAACATGCAGTAACAGGTTTCTAGCCTAGGAGCAATAGGCCATAGCATATTGCCTAGGTGTGTAACAGGCTATATCATCTAGGTTTGGACAACGCCAAAATTGCCTAACAATGTATTTCTCAAAATGCATCCCTATTGCTAAGTGATGCATAACTGTATTTGTAGAGTGCTTTCATTGAGGAGGTATAATTCACTATCCACATTCATCCAGATTCT
Source organism: Homo sapiens (assembly GCF_000001405.40). Lineage (NCBI taxonomy): Eukaryota > Metazoa > Chordata > Mammalia > Primates > Hominidae > Homo > Homo sapiens. The sequence continues at coordinate 17,496,132 of NC_000009.12, forward strand.
GGAGCAACATATTTAAATCAACACTGAGTGACACAGTGATGAACAAGAGACTGAATAATTCAGTTCTCTTTTGGATCCTTCCCCATCCCTTTATTTTTCCTACCTGTACTATTAAGTGTTCTCTTAGTCATATCAGGCTGTTATCACAGAATACCATAGACTGGGAAACATTTATTTTTCACATTCCTGGGGTCTGAGAAGTCCAAGATCAGGCATTAGCCATAGGAGCCTTCTTCCTGTTTTGTAGATCTTGGTCTTCTCATTGTATTCTCACATAGCAGAGTGAGCAAGGGAGCGAGTAAGCTCTCCTATCTCTTTTTATAAGGCTACTAATCCCATTCAGGATGCTTCCATCCTCATGACCTAATTACCTCCCGAAGCCCTTATCTCTTAATACCATCACATTGCAGTTTAGGATTTCAACATACAAATTTTGGGGGAACACAAGCATTTAGTTAATAACAAGGGTCTACCTGCTAAATACTTTTTATATCAGTTAAGCTTTCTTTTCCTGAACTCGGAGTTTGTATCCATGTGATAAACATTGGTATTCACACCTAGTCCTATTGAGCCCCCAAATTCTTTCTTTAATGTCTACATTAAAAGGGACTCCTTGTTAACAGTGGACTGTAGACTCTTAAAGCATTATCTCTAGCGTGTATATCTCACCTAGTCATGAAGGAGCATACAAGGAATGGACATATCCCCTTCAAGTATATATACTACACAGTTCCTGGCATTTGAGAACGAAGTCAGTCATATTAGGATAGTCTGAATACCAGTATTAAGATGTATTTGTCATTATGTGTGCTGGCTTTGTGAGAAGACAACTGGGACTTCAAAAATGTCTTGCAGGGGGTTGGAGAAGGTGGGGTAAAGTAATGTGTCAGGCTTTGTGTAAGACCAATGTCCAAACAATTCATAGGGGTCCAAACTGATGTCCAAGGGAGCTCAGGGAATTCAATTCCTTTTTGTGCTGGTATCATTGCCCAAAGCATTATCTTAAAGGTGAAGGCACAGCAGTAGTCTCTGATCTATGAGAATATTGGTCATCAGTTAGGGAAAAGTGACTTGATAGGAGTGGAAAATGAGGGAGGGGAAGAAACTCCCAGCTGCTGAGGAGCCAGTGACAAGGGTTTAGCTCTATCTAGGCAAGTTTTGGGGACGAGAATTATAGTGTCACACAGGAACCAGACAAGAAGCCTAATCACAGCCTAGAGATGCTTCTGGATTTGAAGGAAAGTCTATGGCTAACTTAAATTTCTCTTCTATCTTACATAACTTACCATAGCCCTAAAGAACTTGCTGGCAGTTCATTTTACTAAATCCTGAAGTAAGTTACCAAGCATCTCCCCAACCCCAAGGACTTTATAAATAGAATAGATCACCCATTTGCTTTAAGTGTTACGGAAGCACTCCTTGAAGCTTTTTTCTTCATTCTGTCTTACAACTTCTAGAGTAATTCAAAATTAAAGAGAAAAAAGCTATAGCCTTCAACAGAGTTTGAAAGCAGCAGGCACAGCCTTCTCTGTCCATTTTTAGCAGAACTCCAAGAATTCTTTTTTTCTATTATGATATGCAGCAGAAATAGAAACAACCATTTAGGAGATGTGACTCAAAATTCAGTGCCAAATTTAAATTATAAATACATTGTTCTTTCTGATAGCATTCTTGATTATTTTAACAAGTTCAGTCTTTAACTACAAGATAACAGAGTGGATGCTAACGACGCAGATTTGTGTGTGTGCTTGTATGTATATATATGTATGTAAATAAATGCATATACCAAATGTTGCACCTTTAATTTTATAATAAACTACATTATCGTATCTTACTAAGGTCTCATTAAGTCATATTTTAAGAGCAGATATAATTCATAAAATTTTATATTCTTCACTTTCAATATAACTCTAGATAAAAGTCACATTTTATCTTACAAGAAGTATCTTTTTGGTCATAGTCTTCAAACAGAAAACAAGAATTAAAATGGCCAAATTGTTAATTTTGTCCTTTATACTTAAAAGTTATCCTTATTTCCATTTTTTCTTTCAATGCAAAAGAATTTCAATTTTATATTGAGTATATTCCCATTAATGCTGATGTAATAAGTTATTTTTATGTTTTGCAATCATTTAAGCTCTGCTATTTTTCTAAGATAGTTCTCAAGCATCTGCAGTCATCATTTATATCATTTATATGTCACCTCTAAAGGAAGCCACAATTTGTAAGTGTGAGTAATAAATTTAAGATTGTGATAGTTGCATACCAGTTCCTAAAGGTAAACTTCTGTAGGTATTTATATGTCAGAGAAGCTAAAAATCTGTGTGAAATCAGGGGAGATCCCTCCAGTAATGGAAATCACTCTTTGCAGCAGGAACAGCCAGAATGACTAGGAAGATCTGCCTTAAGACTACCTATAGACCGAGGCAAACTTTGTCAGATATCCCCGTTAAATTTCTATGCCAAGAAATTTCACTCAGTATGAAATCTTCACCTGTCCATTTTTCTCTTTATGCTAAAGAGTTCAAGCATGTCTAACTCTGTGCTGATATGCCCAGGAATATCATTTCTCCTTCTTTATCCAAGAGAGAAAAAGAAATCATGCAGGCTCTCTGGACTTTGTAATCCCTGGCAAATACCATCTGAGATGAAACCCACAGCAGCATAATGTTGGTTTGTTGTTTCAGATGTATTTGATAGGGTGCAAGATCTTTGCTGTGGTCAGTCAGATTGCCACTTCTATCCAACTCTAAAATCCTATTAGTAAAAGGGCAGCTATGCCTGTCTGTATGTCTCCCTCAGAGATTTCTAAGGGAGACGTAGCCCCTTCCAGAATGCATATAAAGATAATATAATTAACTATAAACTCCTTGTATGAAATAAATATGCATTTAATCTGGACTTCAAAGTAGAAGGTTTGGCTCTCTTGTTCTTAGTGTTTTTAAAACATTTTGCACTCAAAAAAATATGGCAAACAAATAAGCAGACCATGTGAATTTTTAAAGTGCTTTCCAAGGCATGTTGTATTTTAAGTACAGTGTCAGTCCTAACTCTAACCAACCTAGAGCTACATGCTGAGAATTGATGTTCATGTGGTACTATAAGATTTTGAAGAGCTTTCTTGAATCACTGAAGATTAAATTATGTTCCATCTGACTTTCAGGTTAACTATAATTTATGATGTTTAAGAGTTAGCGTGTTATAAGTAATAACTCTCAATTAACCAAAATAGCCAGTTAACTTGAAAATTCCACTCTTAGCCATTTTTATAAACAAAATCTTTTGGTAATACATTCTAGACTAAGCAGAATTGTTTTGTGTACAATCTATGAAAAATGTTTGCTAAATAAATGAATAGTATAAACTTGGTAAGAGAGGTTATTTTTAAAACCAAAGTTGTTAGTGCATTCATTATTTGAATACATATTGAATCTGTTCCATAAACCAAGAACTATTTGTAAAGCAGGAAGGCACAGCTACTTAAATTTTTTTAAATTGACAGTTACTTTAAATTGTTGCATTTATTTGAAAACATAAGTAGATTTTACAAAATATTGTTTTGTAGTTCTGACTTTTTCTTAGTCTTCCTCTAAATTTGTTTCAATTATTAACTATTTTGTCATATTTTCTGTTATAAAATTACCTTAATTATGACTGAGCCTTATGTATTTAAAAAATAATTTTTGGAAGACCTCTTTGAAAGCTGAATTTACAGTTAGCAATAAACCATAAGGTATAAACAGCAAGTAGAGTGAGCACTGGGTTTAGAGGAAAATATTGTCAATTGGTTCATAGAAAGGGAAAATAGAAAAATTGAATTAAAATAAAAATTTTAAATCTCACACTAGTAAGATATATGAAATTTTGTCTAAAGTTATGTAATGACAAATAATATGATTCTTCTGAACGATTATAGACAAATAGGTTCCTGCAAGGGCAGTAGATGTACACATACTCTGCATTTTGATTTAAGGATTGACTCCTTTTTGAAATCCAAAATGTGTTATCCTCTATAAAAAGCTTAAAGGAAGCTTATAATCTAATAAAACAGGGTTGGCATACAGTTGTGTTTAACTCTGAGGCTTTGAGTTTTATTGGGAGCCAGGGCAAGAGAATAAAGGGAGTTGGTAATAAATTCGTAAATGGACTTCCCATTCCACATTGGAGGCTTTCTGGAAGAGTTATTTGAGCTTGACTTTTTAAAGGTAATGTCCATGTTGAAAATTGTTCAGATTACAAGATAATAAGAGTAGATTTAGATTTAAATTTGAAAATGAAATTTGCAAACAATATGATTAATGCCAACACATTGTGGACTGGTGAAAGGTCTGTGACATTATTACACAGGAAATGATACAACCAGCATGTTCCCCAAGCTGTGTTTCATGGGCCACTATTTCCGCCTGATAAATAGACCATGAGAACAGGATGGACAAGTGAATTTAGAAATAGGATATTATATTGCCCTCTTGGAGAGATCAGTGCCTGTTAGCCTTTTAAAGACTCTTAAGAGGTAGAAGTTTGGTTTGTTTCCCAAATGTATTTGATTAGAGAACAATTTTAGAAAATGAAACACTTCTGCCTTGTTTCCACCAGTAAGGGACGGGAAATTACTCCCTTCTTGTATTTTCCTTTTAGATAGGAATGCGTGTAGTACTGCGTGACATCATTTAAATGAAAGTTGCCCTGTAGTCTTGTCATTTTTTTGTGCATTTCTTTCACACCTAAAATTAATGCTCTCAAGGTTTAAATTTTTATTTGTAAAACTGGCATCTTTGTCCAAGGTAACTCTTTTTTACATCCAAGAAAAGCAATTTGTCAAAATTAAAGCGTACTGCTTTTATCATTATCCTCCATAAGAGAACTGATCATATTCTTTTTGCTTATCTCTAAGATATGCTTTTCCCACTTCTTCACATTCCTGAAATTGGGATGCATGTGCAATATGAGTGTGTTTGATGTGGTAGGTTTTTCCCCCTAGAAAAGCTATTTTAAAGTCAATGTATATGTCTTCTATTCATCTGTATCTTAAAACTGAAGAAATGTGCTCTTTTGGTATCTTATACTTTCTTTAGTGGTAAGTTTCAAGTAAGACAAATATGTGAAGCTCCTGGGTTTCTAGGGAACAGACACAGACTCAGGCTACCTTAAGGAGAAGGCAGATTACTGTAAACATAAGAAGGGACTTAAACTAGAATGCTCTTTGGGTCTGAGGCAGTTTTCTGGATCAGATGTGGTCTCTATTTCTCTTTCATGGCTAATGTGGTCTATTTGTTTTTGCCTGCCTGCTCTTTAGTTCTACTACCACAGCTAGTCTTTTCTCTTTTCTCCAGTCCAAATTTAGCAAAGAGCCATTCTGATTGGTTTAATTATAGACACCTTAGCGGAGCATAGCTGAGGACCCAGACAAAGGCCGTTAGGCCATCTTGGGTCAGATGCCGACAGTGATGCTGTCAGTCGTCCATCCTAGCACAAAAATGGGCCTGATGCTACTGCCCTGCAGGGAAGGGGGCTGGGCATGCTAAGCATTCCCATTAATATATTCAGAGAAACAGAAGTAGTCTATCCCTGGTTGATCTAAAGGACAAGTCCAAGAAATGACTTAACAAACTTCTTAATTATGACAGACCTCTTATGTGAGGCTATGTAGCTGAGAATAAGGATAAGAGAAATTTCTAGGATTCAGAAGTAACTGGGGCTGCATTTCAGATTGTCTTTTACTTACCACCTATAACTGTATAACTGTATTGGATGAGTTGGAGTTCTACAGGCAACTCAGTGAAGCAGAGGGAACAATAAAACTTGACCAGAAAAGTTATATAAATTATGAAATTTAAAAATGTAGTCTACATTTCATAAACTCAGCAGTTTGCAACATGTGTATTACACTTTGATATGCCAAACAACTTTTCTATAACAACTTAATCAATGGGTATACTTTTGCGATTTTTTCCTCTGAAGTTTTCACTCTACAATTCTTGAGATTTTCGGCTCTAACGCAGACATGTGGATTGATGGTTCTCTCTCATTCTTTTATGAGTGATGAACACACAGTACTACTTCTGTGGGCCCGTGTGCCCTAGAGATGACTGTAACCTACTATTGATCAGCTGATTGAAGATAAATGGCTTAGCTGCTTGTATTGCAGATTACATCATTAACATGGTCAGTAAACCATGAATTGTTCAATAAGGCGTTTATCTTTTTTCATTTTACTTTTGCTCTTTTGTCATTTTTATTAGAAAAGACAAAATTACCCACACTAACCAGCAAGATCAGTAGAAAAGAGATCCAGTAGGGTACCATTATGGCTGCAAAGTTGCAGACATCTAACTTCTAATGGTTTAATAATATTTAGTATGTTTTTGAACTGAAGAAAATATAGAGTTTTAATAATCTTTTTTGTGTTTCTTTTACAGCTTCCTTTTGCCTCATATTTACTAGAAGCAGTACTGGAAAAAATAAATGAAAAAAAGAAACTAGTTGAAGGATATTTCACAATTATGAAAGATATTAGATGATATTAAAATGGAGAGCTTTATTGCAAATGTGAAAACTTTTTATGTGGTGTGATTGGAATACATGCATTGCAATCCTGACACGGTATCTGCTCCAACTATCAATAGTCAGGTTCAATACCAAAATAAGAAGTCTCTGAAAATAATTAATTGCTGAACAAGTGAAACTAATTAAGTACATAGCCATTTAAAAGGAAATAGTGTAGCATCTGATGGTCGAATACAAATATTGCCACAAATCAGTGCAAACTTAAAAATGATTTTCCTTCTAGTGCATTAAAAGAAACTGAGCAGGCTTGGTACACACAAATTGGCCTGAGCATAAGAAGAAAAAGTATCAACTAAGGATTTAATGTTTTACGTTTCATGAAGAAACTAGACTTTTTACATAAAACTGCTATAGATGGCCATAAGTGGTCCAGGGAGCAACAGATTTGTAGTATGAGCAAATATAAAATGAAGCATCATAACTTGAGCATTTATTGAAATAAATTGTGTGGTCCAATTGAATCTGTTCTCATTGATGTGCTGGTTTATGTAGGAGATACTGTGTATTTCTACAACTCTTTGGCAAAAACAAAAACATTTTCTTCTTCTCTCTCTTAACTTCACAATACTATACGTTGTGTAGTCATATAAATTTGCAGGGAACCACAAACCCAATGTATAAAATTAGGCTCTATTTAACAGAACTACTACTGTGGTCAGCTAATTTAAGTTACATTCTTAACCATGATGTCATCCTTATTTAGATTCCTGGACATTCCCACCTCATTTCACCTCTTCACCGTGTTCCTGCCATACCCTTTTTGGTTCCTCTAATTCACCATACTGGTGCCTGCCTCCCACATTTGCCCTTGGTCTTCTCTCTTTCTAGAATACTCTGCACTCAACTTTCCTCATGGCTGGCTCCTTGTCATCATTCAGCTCCACCTTCCCCGGTCCCTCAGAGACACATTCTCTGACCAGCTTACTATTTTATTTCCTCATAGCACAAAATTATCTATCTGTTCATGTATTTGTTTTCTTGTTTATTTTCTTCTTTTCCCTCTTTAGTATGTAGGTCCCATGAGATTAAGGCAAGGGTTGGCAGATTATAGCCTGCAGGGCGAATCTGGCCTGCCACCTGTTTTGTATGGCCCACAAGCTAAGAATGGTTTTTGCCTTATTAAATGGTTTTTAAAAAATCAAAAGGAGAATAATATTTTGTAGCATGTGAAAATTATATAAAATTCAAATTTTGGTGTCTGTTAATAAAGTTTTATTGGAACACAGTGGTGCTCATTCATTTCTTTACTGTTTATGGCTGCTTTCACACTACATGAGTGTAGATGAATAGTAGTTAATGGAAGAGACTGTGCTTCTCTCCTGCTTGGAATGCTACAGATAACAATGACACAGTTACAACTTGACAGAATTTTAGGTGACACAAATACTGCCTTACTGCAATTAAAAAAAAAATACCAGTACACACTTTTCATGTCAAAACAGGAAAAGAAGAAAGAAATGACCATCAAATGTCACACACTTAAGGCACAATGAAGTGTGGATTTTGTTATTGAATTGGATGGCGAAGCATTGTGTTTATTATGTGATGACACTGTATACCCAAAGAATGCAATTAAAACATTACCATACTAAGCATTCATCACAATATTCCCAACTCACAGGAAAGCACGAGTAATAAAAAATTACAAAACTTAAAATGTAATACCTCATTACGACAGAATTTTATTACAAAGATAAAAATGAGACTGCTAGTATGACCTTGATACCAAGACTAAACAAAGACAGTGTACAAAAAAAGAAAATATGGTAGACTGAGAAATGGCCCCTGAAGATGTTCACTCCTTAGTCCCCGAAACCTGCGAATGTGTTACTTTATATGTCAAAAGGAAATTTGCAAATATGATTAAGTCAAGGATCTTGAATGGGAAGATTATCTTGGATTACCGATGTGAGCCTGATGAAACCACAAGTGCTCTTATGAGAGGGAGGTAGGAAGAGTCAGAGAGAGAGAATAATGTTACCAGAGAGGTAGAAAGAGAAATTTGAAGATGCCACAGTACTGGCTTAAAATATGGAGGAAACGGCCATGAGCCAAAGGATGTGGATGGCCCTTGGAGACCAGAAAAGGCAAGGAAACAGATTCTTCCTGGAGCCTTAGGAAAAGCTCAGTCCTGTCAGCACCTTGACTTTACCCCAGTGAAACTGATTTTGGACATCTAGAACTGTAAGATAATACATTTTATCTAATTTAAGCCACTAAGTTTGTGGTACTTTGTGACTGCAACAATAGAAAACAAATAGAATTTGCCAGAAATCTGTTTAGAAGTTTTACATCTATGTTCATGAGGGATATTGGTCAAAAGATACACAATCAAAGCTGGTTCAATCAGTGTAAACCACCATATTAAGAGGCTAAAAATACCCCACAATCATAAAATTTGATATAGAAAAAGCATGTGACAAAAATTGGCACTCATTTATTTTAAAAAAAACTCAGAAAACTATAAATAGGAACTTCTCAATTTGATAAGACCATCTTTTAAAAGCCTACAGCTAACATTGTATGTAATGATGAAGACCAAACACTTCCCCCTATAATCAGGAAGAAGGCAAAGATTTCAACTCTCACCACTCTCTCTCAACATAACGTGGGAAATTCTAGCCAGCCTAATAAGGCAAGAAAAGGAAATAAAAGGCATCCAGATTGGAAAGGAAAAAGAAAAATAACCACTCAAAACAAAAACAAAAAACTTTACAGAATTAATGAGTCCAGCAAGATCTCAAGATGCAAAATCAACATGGAAAGATTGTGTTTCTATACACTAGTAAGCTAGTAAAAAAATGTGGAAAATGAAATTAAAAATACAATACAATGTACAATTTCCCGAAAAAGAGAAATACTTAGGTATAAAACCTGCAAAACATGCATAGTACTTGTGTATGAAAATTATAAAACACTAGCGAAAGAAATGAAAAAGATCTAATAAATTAGGAGACATAGTAAGACCATGGGTTAGGATACTTATGTTAAAGATGCCAGCTGTCTCCAAATTTATATAGAGATTTAACACAATTCCTACCAACATCACAGCAAGAGATTTAGGAAATAGAGAACATTTTTCTAAAATGTATATGGGAACTCAGAAACTAGAATAGCTTTTAAGTAAAACTAAGAGCATAATAGTGGGAGACATCACTTTACCCAGTTTCAAGGTGTATTAAATAGCTACACTAATCAGGAGTGTGTGGTGCTGGCAGGTAGAGGGCTGGACAAATAAATCAATGAAAAAGAATAGAGAACCAAGAAATACACCTAAGCAAATATGCCCAACTGATTTGAGACAAAGGTTCAAAAGCAATTCAATAGAGGCATAATCACCTTTTTGACAAATGGTCCTGAAGCAGTTGGGCATCTTGGGTTAAAAAAAAAAAAAAATCTTGACCTAAACCTCACACATCACACATTCAGACATAAATTACATCAAAATGGGTCAACATTTAAATGTAAAATGTAGAATATAACATGAGAGAAAATCTTCAGGACCTCAGATTTGGTGAAGAATTTCTAGCCATGACACCAGAAGCATGATGCAAAAAAGAAAAATTGATAAGTTTTACTTCATCAAAATTAAAAACTTTCACCCTGGGAATAGACAAGCTACAGACTGGGAGAAAACATTTGCAAATCACTGACAAAGGATTCATATCTAAAATAAACAATTCCCAAAACTCAACAGTAAACAACAACAAGGCAGTCCTCTGTGAGTAACATTTATTTATATCCTGGGAAATTATGAAATAAGCTTGGGGCTATGGCTGCTATAAGTGAAAGTTGTCATGTTTATGTGTGTTTCAGAATATGGGACAGCGGAAAGAGTGAATTTCATTCTTCAACGCTAGCCCTTACTCATCTACTGACAGCTTTGCCTATTTTAATTTCTTCTCCATATTATGCAGGATTCTTCCCAGTAGCAAAAATGACCTTTGGATTTAGAGGGTCGAAAGTGAAAATTACTATAATAAATTTGTAGCCACAACAAGAGAAGCTTACTTAATGTTCTCAAATAACTGTAAAAACAACAAAATGTACCAGAAAACATTTGAGAGAGCCTTTTATTGGCCTATGTTCAGAAGAGTTCATGAGATACATGGGCAGAAGAGTTGCTATTTTTTTCCTCTTAAAAAATTTTTAATTGATACATAATTTTACATACGTATGGGGTAAAATAGAATGTTTCAATGCATGCGTACATTGGGTAATAATTAAATCAGGGTAATTATATCTGTCACCTCAAACATTTATTACTTATTTGTCTTAAGAACATTCAAAATCCTGTCTTTATTTTATTTTAGATTCAGTGGGTACGTGTGTAGGTTTGCTAAATGAATACATTGCATGATTCTGAGCTTTGAGTTTCTAATAATCTCATCACCCAAGTAGCAAACAGTACCTGATACATAGTTTTTCAACCCTCTCTCCCTCCTTTTCCCCACTTTTGGAATCCCCAGTGCTTATTGTTTCCATCTTTGTATTTGTGTGTACCCAATGTTTATCTCCCACTTTTAAATGAGAACATGAGGTATTTTGTTTTCTGTTTCTGTATTAATTTGCTTAGGTCAATGACTTCTAGCTCCATTTCCACTGTTGCACAGGCTATGCTTTTGTTCTTTTTTATGGCTGCATAGTATTCCATGGTGTATATATCTTCCACATTTTCTTTATCCAATCCACCATTGATAGGCACTTGGGTTGATTCCATATCCTTGCTATTGTGAAGAATGCTGCTATGAACATACAAAAGTAGATATCATTTTAATAGAATGATTTACTTTCCTTTGCATATATAACTACTAATTGGGTTACTGGGTCAAATAGTAATTCGGTTTTTAGTTCGAAGAGTTGCTATTTCTAATTCCTACATTTCCATGCACGTAACTGCCTTTGGTATTAACACAAATTTATATAAGTGGCTTAATATAATGGATAAAAATGACTTTTTTGTTGCCTGTGACATGAAATCTTTCATCAAAAAGATGATTTTTTAAAAAAGCTTCGACTTTTAATTTTTAAATACACAGACATATTTGATCAGAAATTTTTTTCTGCTCACCAAGGAATGGTAGACACTACAAACACTTCTGCGCATAGTCCAATCCTCAGTTTCCTTCTTTCTTCAGCAGACACAGTCTACAAAACCAGAGTTTTGACATCAGCTCCTTCCAACACTTTTTGCCACATTCAACTTTCCTTTCACCTAGGAAATGATCATTAGGGATAATTTAAAAGAAGGTGGTGCCCCTGCCTTCTGTACTCTTACATTTTGTGTTAGAGAAAATGTTGCTCTTTGTTAATGCTGACCCTAGCGTGAAGGCCTCAGAGTCACCCAGAGAGAAGTATTAGAGACTTCCCTGGGTTCATGCTCCACCCTGTAGGTCAGAATTGTTTTAGCATACAACCCTCTGTGTTCTTCCTTAGTGCACTAACCGTGACACTCTCCTCATGAATTCAGTGATGGACCCAAGGCAGAAAAAGAAAAGCATAGTCAAGACATTTTTATTTTCCAGATTTTTCTTTATTTTTATATGACATTTTATTTCAAGATAATTTAACATTCACAAGAAGTTGCAAAAATAGTAAGCAGAGTTTTTGAATACACTTCACCCAGATTCCCTGAATGGTAACATCTTACATAACCACAGTACACTGTCCAAACCAGGAAGATGGCATTGGTACAATATTTTTAACTAAAATATAGACCATAGATGGATTTAAGTTTTTACATTCACTTCGTTGGAGTGTTTTTAGGACATTTTGTCACATGTATAGATTATACAAGCATTACCACAATTGAGATACAGAACTGTTCCATCAGCACAAAGACTATTCCTCATGTTACCCCTTAGCACTCACACCCTCCCTTTAACTCTAATCCCTGGCCGCCACCGACCTGTTCATCATCACTATAATTTTGTCACTGAGAGTGTTATATAAATGGAATTATGGAATGTATAGCCTTTTGACATTGGCTTCTTTCAGAGAGCATAATGTCCTTGAAATCCATCTAAATCATTGTATATATCAATAGCCCACTTATTTTTAATTGCTGAGTAGCATCTCATTATATGGACATACCACAATTGGTTTATTCATTTACCCGTCAAAGGACACGTGCAATTACACACCACTCTTGAAGGTCAGGGACTAGGAAAGAATATGATTGAAAAATTGGTTACAATGAAATCTGGAGAAGAGGTTTTTAGATGGACCCCTCTGAATGAGCAAATAATGTGAAGATATTTACATCCCATGTCATGCTCACCAAAGGGTGACCTCAGCGAGGAGGATTTTAATAATCAAATTGATAGGATAGGATAACCTGCTCTGTAGATGCACGTCAGCTTCTTTCTCCAACCACCCCTGTCTTTGCCCAGTGGGCTTCTGAGCAAAGTGGCCATGGTGGCAGGGATAGAAGTTATGGCATATGCTCAGAAGCAGGAATTTTCACTCACCAAGGCTGACCTGGCTATGGCCACTACTGAGTGCCCAATCTTTCAGTAGCACAGACCAACACTCAGCCCTTGATATGGCACCATTTCCTGGGGGTGATCAGCCAGCTACCTGGTGGCATGTTGATTACATTGGACCACTGCCATCATGGAAGGGGCCAGGTTTTGTTCTTACTAGAATAGACACTCTGGATGTGGGTTTGCCTTATTTGCACAAAATGCTTCTGCCAAAACTACCATCTGTGGACTTACAGAATGCCTTATCCACCACCATGGCATTGCACACAGCATTGTTTGTGATCAAGGAAGTTACTTCAAGCAAATGAAGTGTGGCAATGGGCCTGTGCTCATGAAATTCATGTTCGTCACCATCCTAAATCAGCTGGTTTGATAGAATAGTGGAATGGCCTTTTGAAGACTGTTACAGTGCCAGATAGGAAGTAAAACTTTGCAAGGTATGGCAAAGTTCCCCAGAAGGCTGTATACACTTGAAATCAGTGTCTAATATATGGTGCCATTTCTCCCATAGCCAGGGTTCATGGATCCACAAATCAGGGGGTGGAATTGGGAGTGGCACCTCTCATCATTATCCCTAGTGACCTATTAGCAAAATGTTTGCTTCCTGTTCTTGTGACTTTATGCTTTCCTATCCTAGAGGTCTTAGTTCCAAAGAGAGAGATGCTTCCACCAGGAGACACAACACTGATTTCATTGCACTGGAATTTAAAACTGCTGCCTGGCTGCTTTGGCTTCCTCATGCTTCCAAAGCAACAGACAAAGAAGGGGGTTACATTGCTGGCTGGGGTGAGTGATCCTGACTACCAAGGGGAAATTGGACTACTACTCTACAATGGAGGTAAGGAAGAATATATCTGGAATACAGGTGATCCTTTACGGTATCTCTTAGTATTACTATGCCATGTGGTTAAAGTCAATGAAAAACTACCACAACCCAATTCATTCAGGACTGCTAATGGCCCAGACACTTCAGGATTGAAGGTTTGGGTTTCCCACCAAGAAAAGAACTACAACCAGCTGAGGTGTTTGGTGAGGGGAAAGGGAATAGGGAATAAGTAGTTGAAGAAAGTTGTTAGAAATACCACATAACCACAGTGACCATATGACCATAGTGACCACATGACCAATTACATAAATGAGAAATACATTTATCTGAGTATTTCCTCCATATTTTGAAATGAATATGTTTGTGCATGTGTGTTCAGTTGACAAGGGTGGACTTGATGAATTTTGTGTGTCAACCTGATTGGGTCATGGTGCTCAGATATGTGGTCAGACATTCTGGATGTTTCTGTGAGCATGTTTTTGGATGAGATTAACCTTTAAGTCAGTGGACTTTCAGTAAAGCAGATTGCCCTCCATAATGTGGGATGGGCCTCATTCAGTTAGTTGAGTACAAGAAAAAGACTACTGTCCCCCAAGCAAGAGAGAAGTCTGCTAGCAGTTTGCCTTTGGACTTGAATTACAACATTGGCTCTTTCTGGGTCTCCAGCCTGCCTGCCCACTCTGCAGATTTTGGACTTGCTAGGCTCCATAATTCCATGAGGAAACTCCTCAGAATAAATCTGTCTGTTTCCCCATGTTGGTTCTGTTTTCCTAGAGAACCCTAATACACCAAGTTTTGGCTATTGCATATAAAGCTATCATGAATATTCAAGTACAGGTTTTTGTATGAACATAAGTTTTCACTTCTCTAGAGGAATTACCCACAAATATGATTGCTGGGTCATATAGTAAGTGTGTGTTTAAATTTATAAGAAACTGCAAAAGTGTTTTCTAGGGTAGCTATAACACTCTGCAACCCCACCAACCATGTCTGAGAGATGAAGTTGGTCTGCATCTTCTCCAGGACTTGGTACTCTTAATAGTTTTAACTATTCTAATGGGTATGTAGTAGAGATATTTTTCTTTTTGAGTTCTAGTCCAGCTCCACCATTCTCACCCCAACATTTGTCATCATTTTTTGTTTTTCTGTCTCCAAAACCTGCTTATGTGGTCTTTTTAGAAAGCATGGGATGATAAGGACAGGTTGATGGGAATTGGATCAGACATATATAACTCTTCTCCAGAACTATTACCTGGACAATCACCTCCCAGCAATTATCATGGGTTTTACAAGGAACTTTGAAAAAGCAGGTGTCATTATCTATCACTGCATAATAAATTTCTCTAAAACCTAGTGGCTTAAAACAACATTTATTTGGGCCAGTGTCTGTGGATCAAGAATCTGGGTCCTCTGACACTGGATCTCTCACAAGGCTGCAGTCATCGCAAGGCTTGACTCAGAAGGATTCACTTCCTAGCTCTTCCATATGGCTGTTGGCAGGATTCAGTTCCACACAGTTCAGTTGTTCTCAGTTGGACTTAGGGCTTCCTTGCTAGCTATTGGTTGGAGTCTGTCCTCAGTCCTTTGCCACACGAGTCTCTTCAATATGGCAACTTGCTTTATCTCTCTCTCTCTCTCTCACACACACACACACACACACACGCACACGTGCACACCCACACACACACACCAGGAGGGGATTAGACAAGAGCGTGAATAACAAGTGGTGGGAATTATTAGGAGCCATTTCATGAGCTGCCCACCACAGCAGGTGTTTAGGTTTGGTGCTCTAGATAAAGGGGAGGCTACTGGGGAAATTGCCTTGAAGCTGTCTGCAAGGTGAGCATAGAGTGGACTTAGAATAAATATTTATTTGTGAAGGTTTAGGGGAGGAAGACAGATGCAGCTTATGGGTTGCAAAATTACAACTACTTCTTGGTACCACCATAGGATATACATAAAAAGAACCCTGCCTAGAGTGAGGTCTGTCACATAAAGATGCTCAACAGGTGAAATTATGGAGGTATTTAATACCATTTCTAGACTTGAGATCAAGAGGTTGGGACAGCACAATTATTCTTCCACAGTAAATGAACTAAAACCAGTGTCAGAAATCTACAAATTTAAAAGGCCAACTAAGTCCATTCTATAGACCTTTCTCAGATTTGAACTGTGGAAACAATGTTGAAAGCAGGAAGCAGGCAGTGTAAAGCATTAGAGATTCAAAGCCAAAGTAGAATAAGCCCTGGACCCCTGAAATCTACATACCGTATCAGTAGCCTTAGGAGGCCTTTTATCAATTTAAACTGAAGCTAAAGAATACTTTTCATAAAAAAGAATGACATCATTTCCTTTGCAGCAACATGGATGCAGTTGGAGGCCATTATCCTAAATGAATTACTGCAGGAACAGAAAGTCACATACCACATGTTCTCACTTTATAGTGGAAGCTAAACAATGGTCCACATGGACATAAAGATGGAAACAGTCGACTACAAAATAGGGGAGAGAGTAAAGGGGCAAGTGTTGGAGAAACTACCTGTTGCATACTATGTTCACTAGAAGAGCAGCAAACCCCAGCGTTACATAGTACATCCATGTAACAAACTTGCACAGGTACCCCCCAAATCTATAATTAAGAAAAGAAGAGAGTTCAAAAAAGAATACTTTTCAAAACATGTATTTTCACAGCATATTCATACTCCTAAAAAGAAATACCAGAATCTGATAAGATTAGTTACGTCTGGAGAGAGGACTGGGAGCTCTGTGCTAGGAGACACACAGGACTTTTATAGTCTATCATTTTTTTGTTTTTGTTTTTGTTTGAGATGGAGTCTTGCTCTGTCACCCAGGCTGGAGTGTGGTGGCGCGATCTCAGCTCACTGCAAGCTCCGCCTCCCGGGTTCACGCCATTGTCCTGCCTCAGCGTCCCGAGTAGCTGGGACTACAGGCGCCCACCACTATGCCCAGCTAATTTTTTTTGTATTTTTAGTAGAGATGGGGGTTTCACCGTGTTAGCCAGAATGGTCTCAAACTCCTGACCTCGTGATCCGCCCTCCTTGGCCTCCCAAAGTGCTGGGATTACAGGCCACGGTGCCCGGCCTAGTCTATCATTTTATACTGGTTGAATTATGTTCCCATGGACATAAATTAAAAGAAAAATGAAAATACTTTTAATAACAATTTTGACTCTTTTAAACCATCTGTGAGGCAAAGATAAATAGGATGGAAAAGGCAAACTATCTAGAAAATAATGAAAATGAGAATACTTTTTTTTTTTAATCCAAAAACCTATGAGACATAGCTAAAGCTCTATTTAAAAGAGAATTAATAGCTCCAAAAGTGTTCATGTTAAAAATGAACTGAAAAAATTAAATATAGAACTTAAGAAATATAAAATATCATGCTGGGTGCAGTGGCTCACGCATGTAATCCCAGCACTTTGGGAGGCCCAGGCGGGCAGCTCATTTGAGCCTAGGAGTTCAACACCAGCCTGAGCAAAATGGCGAAACCCCTTCTGTACAAAAAATACAAAAAACTAGCCTGGTGTGGTGGCATGCACCTGTAGTCCCAGCTATGCAGGAGGTTGAAGCGGGAGGATAGACTGAACCCAGGAGGTTGAGGCTGCAGTGAGCTGTGATTGTGCCACCGCACTCCACACTCCAGCCTGGGCAACAGAATGCGACCCTGTCTTTAAAAAACAAATAAATAAGAAATAAATAAAATCAAACCTAAATAGAATAGGAGGAAAGAATTCATAAAAGTGAAATTATTTTAAAAGAAAAACAACTGAAAAAAAGATATAACGAAGCTGATCTTTACAATTAAACTAACTCTGGTAAGCCTAGTTAAGGATAAAAGAGAAAAGTGAAAACATGCAACATTAGTAATTAGAAAAGATGCAAAAGGCATTTTAAAAATTGTGAAAGAATAGGTACAGGTCAATTTTAAGGTAATATATGATTTGCTAGCCAAATATAAATAACCCAGATTCACTTAAGAAGTGGTAGAAAGTCAGCCAGGCACAGTGGCTCACACCTGTAATCCCAGCACTTTGGGAGGCTGAGGTGGGAGGATCGCTTGAGCCCAGGAGTTTGAGACCAGCCTAGGCAACATAGTGAGACCCCATTTCTGCAAATAGGTTAAAAAAAAAAACTGGGCGTAATGACACATGCCTGTAGTCCCAGCTACTGGGGAGGCTAAGATGGGAGGATCGCTTGAGTCTGGGGACTTGTGGGTGCAGTGGGCTGAGACTGCATCACTGTACTCCAGCCTGAGAGACAGAGCAAGATGCTGTCTCAAACAAAACAAAAGAAGTGGTAGAAAGTCAAATAAACCGTGACACATAACAGAAATTAGAATATAGATAAAGATCTGCCATTTAGAAAGGCAGCAGGACCAGATGACTTTATCATTAACATCGATCTAGCCTCAAAAAACAGACAATTCCTTTTCTTATAACTACACACAGAAGAAGATGAAAGGATCCCATAAGTGATGGTATGAAACAAGGATAGGCTGAATAACAAAATCAGATAAAAATACCTAAAAAGAGAACTATAAATCAATATTTACTAATAAAAACATAAGTATTCTAAGTAAAAATAGAAATTTTAGTTTATTCAAAAAACAGCATACTTGGCCAAGTAGATTTTATTCCAAGTGTACTGGTTTTTGAAGGGAAGCCCGGCCTAGATCAGCTGACTGTCAGCCAAGCCATAGACTCCTGAGCAATATTAATGCTTACTGTGGCATGCCACTGAGATTTTGTAGTTGTTTGGCATACAGAATTATTGTGACTGTAACTCTAGTTAACTATTATAGTTAGCTCCTCTGAACCATGTGCCTTTATGACCTTTTCCACTTGTTCCTTCATGTTCTTTTGTAGGAACTAAAGCCAGCATTTTGAGGATAGAAGCCATGTGCTAGGATAAAGGAAAAGAAAACTAGAAGGAACCTGGGTCCTAAATTACCACAGGGCTACCATGTAGCCCTGGACTACCTACACTCAGATGTTTTTATGTTTATTCCATTGTCATTTTTGGTGCTCTGGCATATGAAGTCAAACCAAATCCTGACTTATATACAAATGGTCTGTACATTGTCAAATCCTATGGCCAGTTTTCAGCCTTTCTCCTACTTCATCCGTCAGCAACATTTGGCCCTGCTGGTCACGCTTTCTTGAAAGCCTGTCTTCACTTTGCTTCTTGTACCCCACTCTTTCATGAATCTTCTTTTAACTCATTGGCTACTCCTTCTCAGCCTCAATTTCTAGATAGCCCTCATCTTCCTTAATTCTAAATGTTAGGGGTACTACCAGGCTCACTTTTAAGAATTTTTTTTAATAAATATTCAGTCTGTAGTTGATCTTAACTAATTCCTTGACCTTAAGTACAATCTATAAGCTGTCAACTCCCAACCTTATTTTCCAGCCCTGACATCTCCCCTGATCTCATCTTACTGCTTATTCAACATCTCTACTTGATGGTCTAATAGGTATCCCAAATGTCACATGTCCAGAGCTGAATTTGTGCTGCATTCCTATCACTCCCCCCAGTCAGTAAGTGGCAACCCTAAACTTCCATTTTGTTAGGCCAAAAAATCTTAGCATCATCCTGTCTCCTCTTTTTACTCATACTCCCTTCAATGTATCGGGAAATTCTACTGACTCTACCCTCAGAACGTATCCAGCATGCAACAGCTCATCACTGCCTTCCCCATTTCCACTCCAGTTCAGACCGTCAACTGAACTACTGCATCACTTTAATTGGTCTCCCTGCTTCAGCTGTTGCTCTATAATACAGCATATTCACCACCCAGCTTTCATTTAAAACACATGAGACCATGTCATTCCTCTGCTCACAATCCTCAAGTCACTTCCCATCTTACTCAAAGTAACAGAAGAGTCTTTCCTTCAGCCTTCAAGGCCTGCATGACCTGGCCACCAGTTCTCTATCACACTTCATCTTCTTCCTCTCCTTATACTCACTCCACATCACTACAGTGGCCTCATCAAACACACTCAAACTGTGCCCAACTCAGTACCTTTGCACTGCAGTTCTCTGTCTGGAATTCTGTCTCCCTGGCAGCCACATGATTTTATCCCTCCTTTCATTCAAACCTTTACTCAAAGACACCTCTTTAAAGAGGCTTACCCTGACTACATTCTCCACAGCAACATATTTCACATTGCACTCTCTACCATCTACCCTGCCTTATCTTTCTTCTTAGTGGTACCATGTTGCACATATCTGTGTATCACCCATCTCTTCTATAGACCGTAAGTCATGTAACAGTGTGGGGGAGAAAAAGGAATAACTTTGCTCACCCATTGCAAGGGTTGTGGCTGACGCTCCTGTAACAAAAGATTAACAAGAGAAAAGCATAACAAATTTATTCAATTAATGTTTTATGTGATATGGGAACCTTCAGACATGAAGACCCGAAGACCCAGGAAAAAGGGTATAACTTTATACCCTTAGGTTCAATGAAGAAGGAACAGTTGTGCAGAAATGTAACTGGACAAAGGGGGAGTCTGACTTCACACACTACGGAAAACTCAACAGTCCCTATTTGTTTAGATTCTTCTTGGCCCCCCCTGGATAATATGCCTTTACTTTGGGTATAGGGTGGGACATCTGTCACATCAGGGTCCTATGGCCTACTTTCATGGAGGGTAAGTCAGCGAACCCCTTTATGGCCAGCTCTCACATAGACGGGTGGAAGGTCAGAGAGTGGCCTTTCCATTTCTGCTGTTTTCTCAGTTTCCAAGGTGCCATATTTTGAGGTAGCATTTTCTGAGCCCCAACAACAGCAAGAACTTGATCTAGATTTTGTCTCTTTGTTTTGTTGTTATAGATGTAATCCTAGTGCCTATAACAGTGCCTGACACATAGTAAGGATCAAATAAATATTCATTGAGGAAAGGAATCTTTCTATCTCGAGCACAATCTTTCCATCTCCTGGAATGCAGTGGGCACTGCAATAAATGTTACATTCCTAAAGTAATGGGATCAAAAGGTATCTTGAGTTGAATCCTGTCCCCCAAAAGATATGCTGAAGTCCTAGCTCTCCTGTATCTCATTTGGAAATAAGGTCTTGGCCGGGCGCGGTGGCTCACGCCTGTAATCCCAGCACTTTGGGAGGCCGAGACGGGTGGATCACAGGTCAGGAGATGGAGACCATCCTGGCTAACATGGTGAAACCCCGTCTCTACTAAAAATACAAAAAAAAATTAGCCAGTGTGGTGGCGGGCGCCTGTAGTCCCAACTACTGGTGAGGCTGAGGCAGGAGAATGGCGTGAACCCAGGAGGCGGAGCTTGCAGTGAACCAAGATTGCACCCCTGCACTCCAGCCTGGGCAACAGAGCGAGACTCCATCTCAAACAAAACAAAAAAAAAAAGTTAAAAATAAATAAAAATAAAAATAAATGAAAAAAAAGAAATAAAGTCTTTGTAGATGTATTCAAGTTAAGAAAAGACTGGATTAGCATGAGCCCACATTCAATACCTAGTGTCCTTAGGAGGGGAGAGAGATTGGGAGACACAAAGATACACACAGAGGGAAGAGGACCATGTGCAGACGGAGGTATAGTTTGGAGTTAGGCTGCCTCGGCTGAAGGAAGGCCAAGGACTGCCAGCCACCACCAGGAGCTAGAACAGACCCATGGGACATTCTCTCCAGCAAGGCCATTGGAGGGAACATGGCCCTGAGGATACCTTGGTCTTGGATCTCCAGCCTCTAGAAGTGTGAAGGAATACATTTCTGTTGCTTTAAGTCATTCAGCTTGTGGTCATTGGTTATGGCAGCCCTGGGAAAGTAATACAAAGGGTGGGGAGAACTAGGCTTTCAGCATGATCAGTTACCTCATCTGATTAAATGCCAGAATTAGAACTCAGGCCTTCCGACTCTGTGCTTCTCAACTTTATTTCCTTTAACCACCCCCCAAGGAGCCTCTTTAGGCTTTTTTTCTTCCCTAATCACCTCCTACCCCCACCTCCATAAAGTTTTTTTTCTTTTTCTTTTCCTTTTTTTTTTTTTTTTTTTTTTTTGAGACGGAGTCTTGCTTTGTCACCCAGGCTGGAGCACAGTGGCATGATCTGATCTCGGCTCACCGCAACCTCTGCCTCCTGGGTTCAAGTGATTCTCCTGCCTCAGCCTCCCAAGTAGCTAGGATTACAGATGTGCACCACCACACCCAGCTAATTTTTGCATTTTTAGTAGAGATGGGGGTTTCACCATGTTTGCCAGGCTGGTCTTGAACTCCTGACCTCGTGATCTGCCTACCTCGCCCTCCCAAAATGCTGGGATTACAGGCATGAGCCACCGTGCCTGGCCTCCATAAAGTTTTAATACCACAGATATGCAGTATACTGTTTATGTGCTGTGGCCCTTTGAAGGGCCATAGATCATTAGAATATCTAAGTTTTAAGATTTTGCCCCTCCTTCCAAGAATTCCAAATTTTTACCTCCTGGCAGAGGGAAGTGTGGCATTGATAATGCATGCTTTCAACTGAAATATTATCTGATAATGGCCATAAATGAAATATTTATTTTTCTGTTATCAGGAAAAGAAATGTAGGTACAGCTCATGAATATTTATGTCAGCTCTCCCTCTGTCCTATGATGGGATTATACTTCTATACCTGCTCAGAAGTGGAGTGAGGCCCTGTGACTTGTTTTAGGCAATGAAATGTGAGTGTAAGTACCATGTATCACCTTCCAGTAGAAGCTTTGAGACATTGTGTAATTCCCTACCTTCTCCTTCCTGCCCCTGTAATTATGGAAACACAGGGTGTGATGGAGCCTCTGGGAGCTGGGACCCCAAGTGAGAGTGATGAACAGAGCTTCCCTGATGGCTCCCTGTGCACCACATCTATGAATAAGAAATAAGCTTCTGCTGTGAAAAGCCACTGAGACTTGTTTGTTTAGTTTTTGAGACAGGGTCTCTGTCACCCAGGCTTGAGTACAGTGGTACGATCATGGCTCACTGAACCTCTGCCTCCCGGGCTCAAGTGATCCTCCTACCTCAGCCCCCTGAGTAGCTGGGACTACAGGTGTGTGCTACCAGGCCTAGTTATTTATTTATTTATTTATTTTTTAAAGAGAGGGCTTCATTATGTTTCCCAGACTGGTCTCAAACTCTTGGGCTGAGGCATTCTGCCCACCTCAGCCTCCCAAAGTGCTGGGATTACCAGCGTGAACCACTGCCCCAGCCACCACTGAGATTTGAGTGTTTTTTTTTTTTTTTAATCAAAGAAAAACGTATCCCTTCCTCACAAACACAGTATTGCATGAGGGAAAAAGTCAGATGCATAAAATTAACTGTTCTTTTCTCCTTACTTTTAATTTAACATGGTACTCACAAGGGAAAATAAAAACTCCAATAATGTTTTAAAATGTAATTAAATAGAACATTTCTGAGCTTCTTGTTTAAAACTTAACTTCTCACTCACTTACTGTATATTAAATTCTGAAACATAAATAAAACAAAGGTTCACTGCTCTAGAACTCTAAGTTAGAACTTCAATTCAAGTATAGATTGAACTGTTGTAAATACATGGGATGCAGGGAGACTTGCCAGGACTGAGGGCTCAAAGCTTTTTTTACACTTTCTTTGCAAGATATATGGTGCTGGATCATGGACTCCATCACCGATGAAAAATAAAATTATGTGTTTATTGGATTTGAGTGACCTTTTCTTCCAACAATCTCAGGAAACCAAACTTTTAGCACATCCACTCCTTAAGTAATTTTAACATGCAGAGAGGATGAGAAGGTCAAACAGTTACAAGAAGTCTGCTAGCCAATGTCAGCGGAATGCATTAGGTGTCAGTAGAGTTTCTATTTCAAATATTAACAAACAGGACATAAAGCTACAGTATAGCTGGGGTGAAGCAAGAGGCATGCCGGGAAATGTGCTAAATAACCCTCAGGAATCGGGCAGTGCAGCCAGCCTTCTCAGAGAGTGCAGGAGAGGAAGAAGTAAAAGGCAATGTTTTTAAAACCGAAAGCTAGGATTTTTATCAGGAAAGATGCCTCACACTGGAGCCTTACCCTCATTCAAATATTTATTTTGCTTGTGTAAATTCAGTCATTTGTAAAGGTAGAAAACTCTCTTTTCCATTTGCTTCATTAATTACTGTTTGCCTCCTTTCACTGAACAAATTTTGCAAGATTTTATGAAGTGTTTTCTTTGTCTGATCTTCTGTAATAGCCACCTATAGTTTTTGACACTGGAAGTGGATTCAGCCCAGAAAACAGAGCCACTGCAAGTGTTACAGGGGCCAAAGGATTTAATAAAGGAATTAGGGTTATACATATGTGGGAGAGCTACTGGGAGCGTGGGGCTGAACAGCAGGTAGAGGATCAGAGAAACAGTCCCTTAATAACTTCTGCCTAAAGAGCTGGAGCAGGAAGGGAAGCTGTTCTGGCCACCAGGTCCTCCTGAGAATAACAGCTTAGCTTTTCAAATCCCATGCAAGTTCCTCTCACTGGCAAAATCCAACCCTGAATTGTATGGGAAGGGCATTCTGAAAAACATGGCTCCCCGCTTGGAGGTGAGAGGTGGTACTGCTCAGATGACCAAATGCAATCCAGCATAGTTAATTACACATGAAAAGGGAGCTCTATTTATTGAAGTTGAGTCTGTTTATTTTAACTGATAATTGGGTTGCAAGCTAAAATTATGAATTCAGTTCAGTAAGTTGCTCTGTTAAGAGCAAAATATCAGCTGATGTATTTTTAGTTTTTCATGAAATGATTTTCATCACATTTGAGATGTGTGTTTGCAACAAAGAAAAGCTCTAATGCTAGTGGTCAGGGCAGCATCCCCCACCCTGCCTTGTTGCCTTGGCGATGGAGGCTAGACAATGGCAATATTTTGAGTAGCCTATTTTGTCTTCATCAAGAAAATAATCGAAGCTGCTTCTTCTTCTGGTTCTGAAACGTAATTCAGGTCTGAAGCATGAAAAATTCTGTGGATTGTTACTTGCACTAGAATTGAAAACTGGCTTGTAATAGGAGTCTATAAATGAATAAATGAGCATTTAAACTGTTTATCTGTAAGTAATCTAACTAGACAAGGCACGAGATAATTATCAAGGTGATGTTTTAAAATGAAGAAGAAAATCCACAGGCTTTGGTTAAAGATTCTGCATTATTTAGGATGTGATTCCCAAACCTTCAGGGTTCCCAGAAGACAGAAAAGAGGCCCCTTGTGGTTTAGAAAAGCTAGAGAGAGAGAAAGGGAGAAAAAGAGAGAGAGAGAGAGAGAGAGAGAGAGAGGAAATGGAACATAAAGAATGGTAAAGGCAGCTACAAAGGCACTAATAGAGCAATCTTAGGTGTAAGTAAGAAAAGAGAACACTCCTGTGATCAGGTTCTGTAACAAGCTGAACAGAAATGTGATTTAGCTTGTTCTAGAAAAGGACGACTAGCAAGAGACTTGCTTAATTGAATAATTCTTTTTTTCCCCCGAATTCACTCTTGAGTATGTCTGGTGTGGATAATACTTGTTTAATAGCCTAGCTTTTAGCCATTTTTACATAGAGAAACCTATTCCTTGAACAAAAGCCAGACTGCATTTTTTCAGCTTATTTCATATTTAGGATCGCCCTTTTCTCCTAGATGGTGTGGAACTCTACTATCACCAGGTGGCAATTCACAACTTTGCAGGTGAGAGACAAAGGTGAAAGGAAACTGTTCCTTTCAAGTGCTAACAGCATTGCAATTATGATCATTTTTGACATTACAAGCCATAATTGCCAGGACAAAATGCATTTCAGAGTTTGGGCTGCTTCAACAAGTCCTGAAAAATTAATTACTAACAGTTTCCTTCAGAGTTGCTCTAAAAAATTGCAAATGCTGATTTATTTATAGCTATAGCATTTCAAAGATTTTATTTTTTCCCTTAAAATTGCTGTCAATATTGGGAAAACCTGAGTATAATTCTGCCTATATTATTTTCTATCATATTGGGTTGTAGAATCATGACCTGTTAGCTCAAATAGGCATTAGCAACTACTGTTTACAATGAGATACCCCCACCCCACCTGTATGCATTTTCTGCTATACTTTGCTATGATAGTCTCAGTTTCCAGTCTCCTGTCTCCTATGACATAGGACTACCTAGCTCCCAGGGATTTTTTAAGGATTAAGGAGGTAATAATACATGGACGTGGCTAGTATAGTGCCTGCCACATAGTAAATGCTAAATAAATGTCAGTTGCCTTCCCTCCATCCATACAATTTAGGTGCGTAATGGGATGACTACCGATTGTCGAGCTGTGTATCAGGCATTGTGCTAACCGGTTTCATTCCTCAAACAGCCCTATAAGGAAAAGGAGGCTCAGCCGCTAACTTGCCCAAGATTCCACAGCAAATACCTGGCCGACCTGGAAATTAAACCTCAGGACTTTCAAACCCTTTACTGCTATGCCATCCTGACCTTGATTCTTCACACCAAATATGAAATCCCATCATACCTCAGGCAGCCTTTTCATCACTTCGGGGGCTGGGCTCCTATGGGAGAAAGATTCTTGTGGTTTTACGACATTTAGTTTTTGAAACTACAGTACAGCCTTGCCAATCCCTAATGCTTGAGATTGACACAGAGAAGCAGACTTGGCTGGCACACAACCGAAAGTCGGCCTGCCTTCCCTCCAAGGTACAAGGATATTCAGGCTATCTAGCTTTTTGTATGACACACGTGAGACTAAACTAAAAAAAACCCACTTTTTTAAAATTTAAAAGATACTTTTATTCCAAGGATTGATGCCCAAGCGTGTATCCAACGCTGCCCCCTGCCCACCTTGATTTTCCATTCACCTGCATGATGCCCGCTGACAAAATTCTCTTGATTCCTGTCTACTTCTCCAAGTACCATTAAATTCTGCTTCTCTCTTCCTGGTTCCTGTGATTTCCAGAGAGTCACTGTCTTCTCATTTGGTGCCCAGCTTTTTGGGCTCCAAAAAACTCCATTTCCAAAATCACTGAGTAAAAGGTACGAATGTCCCTCTGGGTATGTGGATAGGTTGGAAACCTTTAGAATGCAGATGCCTAGAGTATGTTGAGAGGCCCCCAGTTTCATCACCACCAGAGAGCACCTTTATGACCAATGTTGACACTCCACTATCTGGATAATGCCTCATCTAAAAAAGCCTTATAACCATAATATTGGTCCTAGAACGTGAACAGGGGTTTTAGGTAACTTCTGATGGACTTATACATACGTTTTTTGTTTTTGAGATGGAGCCTCACTCTGTGGCCCAGGCTGGAGTGCAGTGGTGCAATCTCAGCTCACTGCAACCTCCGCGTCCTGGTTCAAGCGATTCTGCTGCCTTAGCCCCCTTGAGTAGCTGGGATTACAGGTGTCCACCACCACACCTGTCTAATTTTTGTATTTTTAGTAGAGACGGGGTTTCATCATGTTGGCCAGGCTCATCTCGAGCTCCTGACCTCAAGTGATACTCCTGCCTCAGCCTCCCAAAGTGCTGGGATTACAGGTGTGCGCCACCATGCCCAGCCCATGTATATTTCTTCAAGGTGCCTTACCTAGTGAAAATAAATATAGATATAATTCTACCTTGATTTTTCACAGTGGAAAAATGAACTGGAAGATTATCTTATGGATTATTTGCTTTGTTTTTATTTAACGGTAGAACTGAATGAACTTCAGCCATGTACAATCCTTTTTTTGTCATTTGCTTAATATCTCTGAGACTTCTAGAACTTTTACACTAATATCTCAGGAAGTAGAATAGCTGGTATCTTTTGAAACTTTTAAGAGGGACCCCGTAAAGAAGCTTGGTCCTATAACAGAGGAATCAATTAAAGCTTTTGCGTTAAGGAGCACTCATCAGTTGAACATATTCCTCCATTACAGGGTTGACCCCTGTGGATCTGTAGAAATTTCTTTGGTCAAAAAACATTAAGAGCAGTTTTCACTAATAAATCTCTTGCTTTTTCCTCTTAGAAACGTCCCTTTACTCTTATGTCAAATGTGTGAAATGTTTTCTAAAATGAGAAAGGTTCAAAAGTGACTATTTGTAAATTGACAACCTGTATGTCAGCTTTCTGTATATACCAGTTAATGGTAATTTGATATTTAATCAGAGTTTTCCAGAGAAGCAGAACTAATATTCTGTATGTGTTTATATGTATGTGCATACATATGTATTTTATTTATTTGTTTGTTTTGTTATTTAGTTATTATAAGGGATTGGCTCATGGGGTTATGGAGGCTGAGAATTTCTAAGATCTGCCATTGGTAATAGAGACCCAGGATAACTGATGATGTACTACCAGTCTAAAAGCCTATATTTCAGTTTGAGTCTAAAGGCAGGAGAAGACTGATGTCCCAGCTCAAGGCTGTCAGTCAGTGGGAGTTTCCTCTTAGCCTTTTTGTTGTATTAGGGCTTCCATCAATTGAATAAGGCCTTCCCATAATTAGAGAGGGCAGTCTGCTTTATTCAGTCTACCTTTTCAAATGTTCAAATGTTAATCTCATCCAGAAACATTCTCATAGACACACCCAGAATAATGTTTGACCAAGTGTCTAGGTACTGGATGTCCCATTCAAGTTGACACATAAACTTAACAATTACAATATTCCATTGCTCATAACATTGAATGCAGCTTAAACTTTCATTCTCAGCTTATATTAAGGCTGTTAAGAACTTGACTATTTGTTGTAAACTTTAAATCCTTCTCTTTGTTAATTATGATTCAGTAGCTCTATCAAAACACATTTTATGTGTGCTTTAGGCATGTTTTTAAGAATAAAACCTTGGCTTGTATAATACATGTATTTCCAAGTTTAGGCTCTAGAGAGTTACAAAGAAAAAGAAAAGCAGCCCCTGACACCTGGGAGACGGCTTCTTACTGTCCACTTGTCCTGTTGTTGCTAGGAGCTAGCCTTGGTATTTTCCTCTTAAACAATTTCACAGAATATCAAAATCAGTTAAGACCACTCTGTGACCATCAGAAATAAAGACAAAAACAAGATCACTCTCAAATCAGGTTTGAACATACACAATAACATAGACATTGTTGGACATTTTACTAATTTGTTTCATTTCATAAAGAACCCTATATGGAAAATGAGGCTCAGCTGCTAACTTGCCCAACATCCCTCAGCCAAAACATTACCCAAACCATAAAAATGACCAAAATATCCCTCCATCCTGATTAATATGCGTGACTATTGTAAACTTTAAAACTTAACTGATAAAAAAAAAACCTTTCAGTCATTTTTGAGGTACTGCAGGAATATTAAGTACATATAAACAGTAAATATTTTCTAAAAGAAAGGTAAAGTCACTAAATTATGTTTCTTTTTATGGGTACTGGAAAGTGTTTTTATATAATAACTTGTTTTTATAGCTATGAGATAGAAAAGATTTTAACTTCAAAATAAAAGGGAATATTGGCATGATTCAGAGTTTTTAAAAACTGGTTTACCATATAAAAATGTTGTTAGCATAACATTTTGATTTGTTCAAGACCAGTGTTATTTCTTATAATTCAAACTTTCCTACATTGGTTTGCGAGTTAAATGATCTACGTATGTTTCTGTAGCTTGTTTAAAATTAAAAATTACATATGTAATTGTATTCAACTAAATAGAATGATAATAAATATCCTTTTAAAAGACCTAATTTTATGAAAATGTATAATACTGTAAATAAAAAATATGTTAGCTAATTTGAAATTACCAGATCCTTCACTAAATTTAAGGTCATAGAGAAATGACTGAATTCATTATGAAAAGATCTTTGAAGGCCTAAACAATTACTAAACAACTTTTTAAAGACATACAAAACACTGGTTATGAAACATGATTTGACTCATTTCTTAAAATAACAATACATTAACAAAGCATACAAATGTCTTTGGACATTTTTATTTTTATTTATTTTTCTATTTCTATTTTTATTTTTTTTGAGACAGAGTCTTGCTCTGTCGCCCAGGCTGGAGTGCAGTGGCGCAATCTCGGCTCACTGCAAGCTCCGCCTCCCGGGTTCACGCCATTCTCCTGCCTCAGCCTCCTGAGTAGCTGAGACTACAGGTGCCCACCACCACACCCAGCTAATTTTTTGTATTTTTAGTAGAGACGGGATTTCACCATGTTATCCAGGATGGTCTCGATCTCCTGACCTTGTGATCCACCCACCTCGGCCTCCCAAAGTGCTGGGATTACAGGCGTGAGCCACCGTGCCCGGCCTGGACATTTTTGTATACATCATTTCCCTACTCAAAATAGCCAAAATGATTTGAAATAAGTGCTCATAGAGCAATAAATAAAATTAATTAGGTATGTCTAAAATTCTCTAAACTGTAATTAAGTAAATTACTATAAGAGACTTTGTCTACCAGACTTAGTACAAAAAAACTGACAAATTATAAAGTTTAACTTCTTTTGATAAATAAGTTGAATATGCTAACGTAAATATCTTTCAATTACTGAATACTTCCAAGTTAAAAGGAACATCTCATGCTAAACATCTCAGGGCACAAAGATTGATAAGACTGATACAATAAGTGTGCACCAAAATATTTTCCAGAATTCTAAATTCACAAATATTTTTCTCTTTTACTCATAAAGGGTCTGGACATACTGTAATGGGAATCATTTGAAACCTATTGCTTCTTTCACTCTTTCATTAGCCCCAATAGCCAAGTCATACGTATATTCTCTAAGAGCTTTAAGAACAATAGTAAAACATGTAAAAAAATTAATTAATTTAGCTCTAGAGTTTCCACTAAATAATGATTATCATGCTTTACAAACTCTTTAACAAAAATGCTTACAATTTTTCAGTTAAGTCACCTAATCTCTCTTTTTTTTTTGAGGCGGAGTCTTGCTGTGTCACCCAGGCTGGATTTTGAGGCGGAGTCTCGCTGTCGCCCAGGCTGGAGTTCTGTTGTGCAATCTCAGCTCACTGCAACTTCCGCCTCCTGGGTCCAAGTGATTCTCCTGCCTCAGCTTCCCAAGTAGCTGGGATTATAGGCGTGCATCACCATGCTCAGCTAAGCTATTTTCTGTATTTTTAGTAGAGATGGGGTTTCACCATGTTGGCCGGGCTGGTCTTCAACTCCTGACCTCAAGTGATCCGCCTACCTCAGCCTCCCAAAGTCCTGGGATTACAGGTATGAGCCACCGTGCCCGGCCACCTAACTTCTTATAAAAAGCTTTCCCTTGACACATCACTGTCCATTACTGTGACACTCCAAATTCAGCCACCCGCCCTCCTTTACCTGAAAAAGAAAGAAATCCCATTGTTCATACCCTGCACAGCCTTTCTACTGATTTGATTATCTTTGTTAATTCTCCATATTTAAAAAGAAAAACTAAAACTTTTCAAGCAGGCTATACTATCAGAGAATTAAATTTATCCTTAAATAGATAGAAGCTCTCACTGTGCTCTAGTTGATAAAGTTGTTTCCCATGGAGTACACACTGACAATTCTGATTCTGCGATGCATGTATACTGGGACGGAAGAATTCAGTACATTGATGGCAAATGGTGGGAGCTAGGATTCTTACTGGTGGAGTGGGTACTTACAGATAAGCAAGGGGAGGAGAGGAGAGTGATGTGTGTGGTAAAGAATTAGAGTTGGCAATATCAGCATGAACTCAGCTGAGACAGCCTGGAGGTAAAGGCACTGGAGTAGCAACAAGCACACCTAGCACTCAGATTTTGGTTTCCAATAAGAGGAACCAGGGCTCTTGGGAGAAATGGCTGATTCTGGAATTGGGGCAGGAAATATACAAGATGAGCCTGGAGTGTTGTGTAGTGCCAGAAGGTAAGACAGTGCTCAAAGAAAAACAAAACACAACAGAAAATCCTGCATTGATGGGGGTGTGTCAAAGAGATACAGGAGCCAGGGGAAAAGAGTCCCCAGTGGCTAAAACTGGAACAATTTGATCAACAAAATAAATATTTTGTGGCACACATTACAAAATAAAGATTAATGAGTCCAT
This sequence comes from Homo sapiens, assembly GCF_000001405.40. NCBI lineage: Eukaryota > Metazoa > Chordata > Mammalia > Primates > Hominidae > Homo > Homo sapiens. The sequence goes on from NC_000009.12 coordinate 17,527,996, forward strand.
ACTGACACAAATAATAGATTGAATAAATACCTGAATATATGGAGAAGAATAGACAAGTCTCCCAAGCAGAAGAAAATAAAGATAGAAGAAACATAGATATGTTTCCAAGTAATTTATGTAGAAACTCTGCCCTCAAAAGGGCTGGGGAAAACCCCCTACTCCTTATGTGTGGGCTGCATGTAGTGACTTTTTCCTGAAGAACACATTATAGAAAGCAGGGGGAAAATAGCAGCTGTACAGTGGAGAAACCTGACAAACACTACCTCAGCCAGCTGATCAAGGTTAACAATGGTGATAAGTCTCATTGGTAATACTGTGTGTACCTTCACATGCTGTGATGAAAATGGAGCTTTACCTCTGTGGTCTTTCTTCCCCCTAATCCATAATCCCAGCTTGATTATGAAGAGGACATTAGACAAACGCCAGTGAAGAAGCATCCTACAAAATACTCGACCAGAGCTCCTCAAAACTGTTATGCTCATCAAAAACGTCTGAGAAACTGTCCCACCCGAAAGGACACTGAGGAGATATGACAACTACATGTAATATGGTATCTGGGTAAGATTCTGCAACAGAAGAAGGATATTCGGTAAAAATAAGGAAATCTGAATAAACTATGGATGTTGGTTAATAAAAATACATCAGCATTGGTTCATTCATGGTAACAAATGCTCTGTACATTAAAAAATCCAGAGCAAAGCCCTACTTCCTTAAGCCTTGAATGCTGTAGTAAGTCCTTTCTGACACATTCTTAGTGAGATGTCCCATGAAGTGTGTTCTCTCTCAATGCCACGTGTAATAACACAACTCCAGGTGTATTTATAGTGCTCTTTGGCATTGGCAAAGCCATGATTCAATCAAATCCATGATGACCCTTAACAGGCTGACAGTGGGGAGTTTTAGATTTATGTTTTCTGAGAAGAAATCCTGTTTTTGGCTTAGTGTTGTTGTTCTTATTTTTATTTTTTAAACTTTTATTCAAAATATCATGCTCTTTTTTAATAGTATAGATTCTCAACAAGACTAAGTATTTCTCTAATTGACCTCAAGATGGCAGGCTTGAATAAAAGATATTTCCATTTTAAAGTTCTGGGCTTCTCAAAAATTCTCTTTGAATTTGGAATTACAAATGAATGCTGTTTTCCTCACTCTTTGTAGACTTTTTTTTTAAGTATCTGTTTCTTTTATATTTGTTTTCTTAATTGTCTCCTAAAGGGTTATGACATTTTATTCAATTTTTTTTTCTTAGAATATCAAAGACAGTCATAAGAATCTGGAGATTATCTTCATTCTTTAAAAAAATGATGATAAATGGAAGAGGTACATTTAGGCAAATGTTGTCCTAGGATGAGATCAGTGATACACACTCCTGTACTGCCTCAGGAGAATGCTAAATTACTATTATTTTTTCTTTTTTTAAAAAATTTATTTTAAGTTCTGGGATACATGTGCAGAATATACAGGTTTGTTACCTGTGTGTACCAAACACATATACATGTGCCGTGGTGGTTTGCTGCACCTATCAACTCATCATCATCTAGGTTTTAAGCCCCGCATGCATCAGGTATTTATCCTAATGCTATCCCTCCCCTTGCCCCCTACCCCGCTATAGGCCCCGGCGTGTGATGTTTCCCTCCCTGCGTCCTTGTGTTCTCATTGTTCACCTCCCACTTAGGAGTGAGAATATGTGGTGTTTGGTTTTCTGTTCCTATGTAAGTTTGCTGAGAGTGATGGTTTCCAGCTTCATCCATGTCCCAGCAAAGGACATGAACTCAGAGAAGGCTAAATTATTATTACACTTTAATTGCAAAAAGGCTTGCAATAATCTAAGTTACCATCATGCATCTACGATAATTTTATCCTGGAGTTTTGGGAGATGAATTTTATGTACTATATCAGCAAGTCGTTGAAAAAAACAAGCTAATGTGGGAACTCTAACCAGTGGTTCCATAACATCGTCGTGTCTAAAATTCTCCCATAGTAAGTAAAACAATATTTTGATTCGATTTGGTCTTTAAAAAGTATGTCACATATTCCTTCCTTCTTTCTCCTAATTTTATTAGAAAAAGCAATATAGTATGGTAGTTAAGTACATAGGCTTTAGAGCCAGACAAACTCAAGTTCAGGTCTAATTCAGCCTCTTATTTGCTGCTTCTTTCTTCTTGGCCAGGTTGCTACTTAACCTCTCTGAATCTCATCTGAAAAGTGGGTATAATATTTCTCATAGGGTTTATGAATGGAAAGCACTTAGCACAGTTGAATAAATGACAGGCATTATTATTATTTGGGGGAAAAGAAGGAAGGGTGAAGTGAGGAGTATCACCAAACAATACTGTAAATTGTGAATTACAGCTCCAAGGAGATTAATAAAATTATATGGATTTTTAAACTGTGATAATCCATGAAAGCTCAGAAGACCCACCTTTCCATAATGATCCCACTAAGGATTTGCTGTGAAATTCAAAGCAAATTATCTAATGACTTTAGGACTCAGTTTCCTTATCTATTTTCACAGCATGTCCATGACCACAGATGTGGGTCAAAGGCCAGAAGGAATTTCCTGAACGTTCTGTTCTTTATAAGACCCCTCAGACCCTCAGTCAGTTCTGAAATTAGGGTGAGGGTTGGGTCATTGGAAACCCCAATAGTAAGCCTGATTGAAAGCCTCACCAGCCCCACAGGACTGGGGTTCAGAAAAGCTTCAATTTAATTTAGAACAAATAGAGTGTTTACACATCTAATGATAACAAATTTGCACTCATTCATAAACACAGACACAGTTTTTTTTTATTTTGAGACGGAGTCTTGCGCTGTCTCCTGGGCAGGAGTGCAGTGGCGCCATCTCGGTTCACTGCAAGCTCCACCTCCCAGGTTCAAGTGATTCTCCTGCCTCAGCCTCCTAAGCAGCTGGGATTACAGGCACCCGCCACCACGCCGGGCCAATTTTTTTGTATTTTTAGTAGAGAGGGGGTTTCACTGTGTTGGCCAGGTTGGTCTCGAACTCCTGACATCGTGATCCACCTGCCTCAGCCTCCCAAAGTACTGGGATTACAGGTGTGAGCCACTGCACCCGGCCACAGATTTCTCTTATATTCATTATAGAGCCTTGAGGCCTTACAGGAGTAAAGAAAGATATTGGTTTGTTGAGTGTACTTGGTGACTCAGCTTAGCTGATGTGACATGTGCTGAAAAGTGAGGAAGATACTTCTAAACCTAACCTGGACCTTTGGGCAGCAACTGGTGACAAAAATTGACACAGGATTTACAGGAATCTAAGGAAATACCTAAATACCATTGAGATCTACCTGTTATTTTTTACTTGAAGTACGTGCTTTTGGTGAATAGAATACATTCTCTACCCCATCAGATCTCTCACCAGACATGTTAACTAGTGACCAACTGATGGACTGGTGGTTAATTGCCTCTGTCAACCCCCAGAGCAGAAAATGCTAAGAAATAGCCAAGAGCAATGTAGCCAGAGGAGGACAATTAAGCCTTTGTTTTAGAAATTTGCCTGAGTAGTTTTCACTGGGAATTAGGGGGACTTTCTTTTTTCCAATTAGTATCCATTTTGAAATATTCAACACAGGGCTGAATACTCAAAGCAACCCCTCGGATTACCCAATCCTTACTCTCAAGTTTGTTGTGTTCCAGGTGTTTCGCTGTTGCCTTAATTTTTAGGCTCACTATTCTGAATACCACATTTTCGACCCAGGAAGACAGTGAGAATTCACTGAACAGTGAGCAACGCAAGCAATTTTTACTAAAAGTGAAAGAGAAGTCAAGAAAGCACCACCAGGGTGCTGTTCTTTTCAAATAAAATACACGTGTCAATAACAGCAGTGGACACCGGGGGGCAGTAACACACAACATAGGCAGCCTTTTTTTTTTCTTTAAATTTTATAATTAAATTGCATAAATTAAATAATGGTTTTCCAAGTTTCCACTTTGAAAAAAGAATTTCCCCAACAGTGTCTGCTGGTCAGGAGATACCACGCAGAGATACATGACTCAAAAGGTTGTCTTCTGGATCTTAATCAGAAGATCTGATTCTGTTTGTGAATCCAGTAATATTGCCGTTTTACATCTTTGACTTGAAATTAGGACAGACTATCTTTTTAAATTGGCTTTTACTATTTTCTCTCATCTCATGGCAGAATGACCAAAAGCTATATATAGTTTTTTTTTCTTGTTTTGTTTCTTTATTTGAGATGGAGTCTCACTCACGTCGCCCAGGCTGGAGTGCAATGGCGGGATATCGGCTCACTGCAATCTCCGCCTCCCGGGCTCAAGTGATTCTCCTGCTCAGCCTCCTAAGTAGCTGGGATTACAGGCACACACCACCACACCCAGCTAATTTTTGTATTTTTAGTAGAGACGAGGTTTCACCATGTGATCCAGGCTGGTGTCACATATAATTTCCTATATTCACGTTTGTAAGTCAGCCCTTCCTAGTTTGAGAGGACAGACTAGGCCCTGGGGTTGTGTGCAGTCTTTCCCTGGCCATGGTGATGGGCTGGAGTGCAGGGGCCGGGGGATGGAGCTTCTGCTTAACAATGGTTTTAGGGCCGCGGTCATCTTGAGGCAGGTGTGGCAAAGGCACCCTGGAGAGGAGAGGTGAAGAGACCTGGAGGCGCCAGGGGTTTGAGAACAGATGGAGAGCAGGTGACCCTGGAGCTCACCTTCCTCGGGGCAGGGACAAGAGGAAGGCCACATGTGCCCCTGTGCAGAGCCAGCTCCCGTGGGACACACAAAGGCATCCACACCCTAGGAGTTTCAGCTTTTCTCAAGTACCACCTCCAGCCTCATCACTCTGCCAGCTGCTCCTGCTTAACTTGTCAGACTCTAGGGACCTATGGCAAGAAGATCACTGGACCAACCAGGAAAGGAAAATACTAAGGCTTCAAACTTTTGGAAAGCTACTGGCCATACTTTTATGGAGCACAGAAGAAAAACAAATCCTCAAGTATCTGATGCTGTTTAGAAATAAGTATAAACTGCAGTTCATCCTTAAAAATAGCTAAATAATAACAGCTGACTGTATATAGTGCTGAAGGGGGTTGGCCACGGTTCTAAAGTCATTTAATTCTTATAAAGACCCCATGGAGCATGTGCCATAATTATCCCAGTTGGGGAATCTGTGGTGCACAGAGGCTAAATGACTCAGCTAAGGACGCTTGAGCTTTTAAGAATTGGAGGTGGGATTTGAACTCAGGCAATCTGGTACCGGAGGCTACACTCTGAACCATTACGCTCTGATGCTGGCAAAATGAGAAATGCAAAGTTTCCTCCTGTAAATGAAAGCAAAGCAAACCCTTACTCTGAATTTCTGTAACTGGATTTGGAGTTAAGTTACTTGAATACATATATGATAAATTGTCTGAATGAAAAATGCTGTTTTACATGGATACCTAACTCATTTAAAACTTATAATGGGATTTTTGCCTTTAATTATTCTAATTCCACTTCCTGGTTACAGATACTTAAAAAAAAAAAAAAAAAAAAAGCTTTTTTACCCCTCTACTGGAAATCAAGCATCCCTAGAGAGAAATAGCGTCTTTTTCATGACCTTTTTTAGCACTTGGCATATTTATCATGGGGTCTAACTCAGAGAAGGTATTCCATAAATATTTATTAGCTGCTTGTACAGCTTTAATAACTATTGTTGCTTCAATAAATATTCATTATGGGTGAAAAGTACATCTGCCAGGAGCTCTTGTTTTACTATATATCATAATAGGAAAATAAATTTATGAGTTTCTAAAAGATGGAAAAATTTATGAGCTAAAATATATCTTAATCACTAATGTATTTTTAAGAATCTTTGATAGTTTCTTAAATTGTTAATGCATCCAAGAGGAGAGGGAGAAGTGGTGAAATTATGTAAATAACAAATTCAGGATTCTTAAGAGAAGACGGGTAAGATTATATGATAGACAATAGGCTAGGCATTTTTATAATTACTTTTTTTAGCTTCTCAGAAATGCTAAAAGGCTATTATATTGTTCCCATTTTCCAGATGAGGAAGCTGAGAGTTAGGGAAGTAACTTCCTTTCCAACTAGTCAGGATTTGAATATGTCTGGTTTCAAAATCCACACCCTTTCTATTATACATTATATCAATCAAGAATTCATTCTATAGCAATAGAACTTGTTGATGGTGGTTTAAAACTGTGGGATTTATTTTCTCACATGAAAGGTAGTGTGGAGACACCTGGGCGTTGGCAATGGCCCAGTGTCTGGGTGATGTCAGGGCAATGATACTGTGATGTTCTCAGCCTTTCCTCACGGTTGCAAGACTCAAGGGAGGAAGATGAGAAGGGGAAGTAGGCCCTCAAATCCAAAAACTTTCTTAGGAACCTCACAGCAGATTTCATTTATATCCCATTGTCCATAACAGAGTTAAGGAGGAGGATGATAAAGAGTTGGACAAGCCAATGATCAGTGTCTACACAATCAGGTTGTGATGTTTGATAGTAGATTCTTTTGATGTTGTCTCTGTAGGGTAATTGTTAAATGATCAAGCAGTTCCTCTGAGCTCATCTCCAGCGGGTACATTCTGGGTCAGAAGAACTGAGTTTTCAAGTGCATCTCGGGTATCTGGTCACTTTTGCTTCTGCCAACATAGTCTTGTCCAGTGTCAGAGAGAGGACATGCTGTTAAGTGCTGCCACTTTTCATGTACTTCCTACAAGTACCATGTCTGTAGCTCTGTGCTGTAAAACTGGGGCACTGGGTTTTTCTACTTTCTGATTTTTGGGTTTCAAATAGAAAGAGCATCAGACAAGGAGTCAGAAGGCTCGGATTCGAGTCCAGCTTTGTTACCCGTGAAGTGACCTGAAATAAATCCCTTAAGCCCCATGGACTTTTATCTTTTTCATCTTCACAGGGTGGTGATAATATTCTTGGCTGTTTGTCAGGGTTGCAGAATGTACTAGTAAGCACTCTGAAATCACCGAGGTCTTATATAAATGAACGTGTCATTACCGTTATTAGGTCCAAAGGGGCCCTCTGGATCCAAGCACTGCAGTGACTATCTTGGATCTTGAGGCTGTAAGATCTCAAAGTCTGGAGCCTCTGTCATCCTTATTTCCATTTCCTGAAAACTAGCACAATGCCTGCACTTAGTGGCAACTTATTAAATGCTTATTCAATGAGGGAGTGAGTAGGTGAATGACTGTATGCATTTTTAAAAATGAATGAAGCCCAATCCTATGACAACTGAATTCTGGCCCTTTGGCTCTTCCTGTGCTCTTGCATGTCTATCTGCCTGCTGGAGGTACTGCCTGAATGGCCTTCGCACAGCATCCAAAAGTGATTTTACCTCCAAGGTACGGTAGCTCTTATCTTCTGCTCAAAGCTGTAGGACTTCCTATTCCTGCCACCAGCATCTCTCTTCTCCAGTCCCTGGGCATGCAGTTCCAGATTTATATTTGTCTCTTTGTTTCCTCTCATTCTCAACATCCTATCATTTGGCAAGCCTCTGAACAGTATTGTACTTCTGCAATATTCAGGTGTGAGACAGACTTCAGCCACCACGCAGTATTGCAAAGAGCTGCTCCTGATTGTGAGACCCTCTCTTCTTTCATAAGGTATTGATGCAGCTGTGGCAAAGTCTGACTTTGGTCACAGGGATGGCTTAGTCGGGCCCTTGCTCTGAGGCAGAGACTGGGCTGGATGCTCTCGGAGAGTCCTAGCCTGTCTTAGGGACCCTGCCTGTGTGGATGTGATCCTTCATGATCAGGCATTGCCAGCAGCAGACTTGAGTCTACATTTTCTCAACTAAAGAGCCATGGGTTAGACAATGATACCATGTGTTCAGATAAGGCACTGAAGAATTATATGCTCAGTTTGGATTGGGGATTCCTTTTCACTTTCACCGTTTGTAAAATAATCATCTTTATTAAGATTTAATTCACATACCATTGAATCCACTTATTTAAAATGGATAATTCAGACTTTTAGCTGTTCACAATATTGTACAACCATCACTACAATAAATTTTAGAACACTTAAATCACTTTACCCCCTCCCACCGAAAAAAAAAAAATCCTTACCCATTAGCAGTCATTCCCCCTTTCTCTTCCTGTTCCCCAGCACCCCTGCCCCTAGCCCTAGGAAACCACTAATCTACTTTCGGTCTCTATGTATTCATCTTCTCTGGACATGTAATATAAATGGAATTTTATCCTATGTGTTTTTTTGTGACTGGCTTCTTTCACCTGGCGTGATGTTTTCAAGGTTCGTCCTTGTTGTGGCATGTATTACTAATTCATTCCTTTTGATGCTGAATAATATTCCATTGTATGGACATGTCGCATTTTATTTTATCCATTCGTCATTGATGGATATTTGTGTTGTTTCTGTTTTGCGTCAATGATGAATAATAATGCTGCTTTAACCATTGGTGTATAAATTTCATGTGGATATGTTTTTATTTCTCTTGGGTAGATATCTATGAGTAGAACTGCTGGATCATATAGTAATTCTATGTTCAACCTTTTGATGAATGGTCAGACTGTTTTCCATTGCAGATGTACCATAGTGTAACTGTTTTTAACTCGGGGACAGTTTTAGCATCAGAATAGAGAAGGGCATTTAAAGTGAGAGTGATAAGTGGCTAAGATTTTAACATGTCAAAAGAAACACAATGTTATTTTACTTTAAAGTACTGTGCATTTATAATTTGTGTCCAAGTCTCTATTAGCAAATCTTCCAGGAGACAGGATTGCATTCTGCCATCTGGCTTGTCCATGGCAGAGGTAACATACCTGGTTAAATATTCTTGCCTTTAAAGTCACCTTCACTGGAAAGTGGTCTTGAACCAGAGTCTTTCTCTGCCACCCCTTGTGCCCCTTGTCAGGTATGTTCAGCCTCAGCCTAGCGGCTGGTGCGGTGCTTGTGTATCATTCCATTCCTGGAGTCCATGCTTAGCAAAATCTTTTGCCCATGGATCTTTTTCTATAGTGGGTGACTATGGTAGAGAATTATATTACAGAGGCAACATCGTGATCTGCCAGTAGAATGCGACAGAGAAAGAGAGAGAGGAAGAGAAAGAGCGTTGCTAGGAATAGGGCATTATCCCCACAGTAGTTAAGGAGGGTGGAGGAGAAGAAAAATCTGTTTTCATGACTTCAAGATTTTAGATGGTATGTTCTAGAATTCTGAATACATAAAATGTAAATGCTATAACTCTGGGTTTAATTCTGTTGGCTTGCCTTCATAATTTAAGAAAATAATATGGAAAGATAAGACAGAAAAATATATCATTGTCAGCTGAGTGTAACCCTTTTTAGACTATATATCTCACCTCTGATATACTGAAATTACATGAATTTCTTATTTTAGCAAAGAGGAGAGAAAGTGTTTTTCTAGCAGATTTAAATGTCTCTTTAAAATAGTACTGGTAGTCACTCCCTATCTATTTCTTCTTTAAAAGAGTTAGGATTCAATGGACACAGTTTTAGGAAACTAGTAAGTTTTAAAACATACAGAATGTTAGAAGTAGAGGAGAGATAGCTAAGGAAATTGAAGCCCAGATAAATTAAACATGGTGCTCAAAGTCTCCCGGTCAGCGGCAGCTCTGGAACCACAGCCAGAGCATTGACCCTCAGGCTGGGGCTCCTTACCTGTACACACTGCCTCAGTCTGCCCTGGCTTTCCTGCACATGGAGGGCAGCAAGGAAGGAGCCTGCTAGCTGGGCACACCTGAGCTCTTGTGCCCACACGTGCTGGGACTCAGTGGCAGCCATTAATAGTACACAGTGGTGGGGTAAGAAGTCCTAGCTCTCATATCTGATCCTCACTCTTGGCAACTACTGTGACAAACAATGCCACTGTGTGAATTATAACAACCCAACATTCCTGAGCATGGTTAAGCCCCTCACCAGGGCTTGAGAGTGGCCCATAGGCACAAGCTCAGCCCCACTTGTACCTTTACCTGGGAGGTCTCCTGCAGGGCCTAACCCACACAATCTTGTAGGATGATCCCATTACTCTTCAAAGCAGATCACTTTCCTCATCCACAAAATGACCAATCACATCAACCACATGAATAATAAGACTCCTCTAGTAAGGATTTGTGATGATTGAATGAGACCATGTCGGTAAAAGTGCTCTGTAAATCAGAAAAGATCACCAAAAAATAATTGTCATAAATATTTGTGGAGGCACACACACAGGCACGCGTGTACACACACACACGCAAACACACGGCTTTTATCATTTTTAAATACTTAGAAAAGTTTTTCAAGTCCTTTAACCTAGTAAATGGGCCTTCGTAACCAGAGAAAATGCCCTTGGTTCTTGGTACCAGAGAGAATCTCAGCAGATATCTTAGCAAAACATAAAGAACAAAATGAAGGGTATTCCCTGAGCTAGCGTTTCTCAAACTTGGCTGCATATTAGAATAGCTTGGAGAATTTTAAGAGTGCCCAGGTCTTACCCCAGAAATTCTGATTCATTTATTTGGTAGATTTAGGGAGTGGGGAGAGGCAACCATTTATAGTTTTAAGCTCCTAGGTGACAGTAATGCACATCCAGCATGGAGAGAAACGATTTTATGCCACCATCCCTTAATCATCTTCCTTCCTAGTTCCTTCCCAGGCTTTGTGAGGCCAGACAATATTGCAGTCGACAGTCAAGCTCAGGTGTCCTCTGATGTTGCTGGAAGCCCAGTGGCCTGATCTGACAAACTTAGACCCACAATCAAATAAGGAGCCAGGGGCCACTTTGGATCCTAACCATCCATATCTGAAGAGATCATTGAAGTGACTGTATTCGTTTGCTAGGGCTGCCATAACAAAATCCGACAGACTGAGTGGCTTAAACCACAGAAACTTATCTTCCCACAGTTCTGGAGGCTGAATGTCCAAGATCAGGTTTCTTCTGAGGCCCCTCTCCTTGCCTTGCAGATAGCTACCCTCTTGCTGCTTCTTCACATGGTCAGCCCTCTGGGCTCACACACCCTAGGCATCTCTTTTTCTATGTCCAAATTTTCTTGCTTTCTTTTTTTTTTTTTTTGAGATGAGGTCTTGCTCTGTAGCCCAGGCTGGAGTGCAGTCATGTGATCTCAGCTCACTGCAACATCTGCCTCCCAGGCTCAAGTGATTCTCCTGCCTCAGCCTCCTGAGTAGCTGGGACTACATGTGCACCACCAAGCCAAGCTAATATTTGTATTTTTAGTAGAGACAGGGTTTCACCATGTTGCCCAGGCTGGTCTCGAACAACTGGCCTCAAGAGATCCACCCACCCTGGCTTCTGAAAGTGCTGGGATTACAGGCAAGAGCCACCACATCCAGCCCAAATTTTCTCTTCCTATAAGAATATCACCTAACAACCTAATTTTAACTTAATTACCTCTTCAAGGGTAATTAAGTTAATTAATTAACTTACAGTCACATGCAAAGATACTGGAGGTTAGGACTTCAGTATACGAATTTGAGGGGGAAACATTTAGCACATAACAGTGGCCTCAATAAAGAAACTGATGGTGTATCTGGGACAAGGGAACCCCATGTTGGCCCCCTGCAGTTACATCCGGGCTGGGATCAAAAAAAATGCACTCAGGGAGGAGCCAAGATGGCCGAATAGGAACAGCTCCGGTCTACAGGTCCCAGCGTGAGCTACGCAGAAGACGGGTGATTTCTGCATTTCCATCTGAGGTACCGGGTTCATCTCACTAGGGAGTGCCAGACAGTGGGCGCAGGTCAGTGGGTGAGCGCACCGTGCGTGAGCCGAAGCAGGGCGAGACATTGCCTCACTCGGGAAGCGCAAGGGGTCAGGGAGTTCCCTTTCCTAGTCAAAGAAAGGGGCGACAGACAGCACCTGGAAAATCGGGTCACTCCCACCTGAATACTGGGCTTTTCCAATGGGCTTAAAAAACGGCGCACCAGGAGATTATATCCCGCACCTGGCTCGGAGGGTCCTACGCCCACGGAGTCTCACTGATTGCTAGCACAGCAGTCTGAGATCAAACTGCAAGGCGGCAGTGAGCCTGGGGGAGGGGCGCCTGCCATTGCCCAGGCTTACTTAGGTAAACAAAGCAGCCAGGAAGCTCGAACTGGGTGAAGCCCACCACAGCTCAAGGAGGCCTGCCTGCCTCTGTAGGCTCCACCTCTGGGGGCAGGGCACAGACAAACAAAAAGACAGCAGTAACCTCTGCAGACTTAAATGTCCCTGTCTGACAGCTTTGAAGAGAGCAGTGGTTCTCCCAGCACGCAGCTGGAGATCTGAGAACGGGCAGACTGCCTCCTCAAGTGGGTCCCTGACCCCTGACCCCCAAGCAGCCTAACTGGGAGGCATCTCCCAGCAGGGGCAGACTGACACCTCACACGGCCAGGTACTCCAACAGACCTGCAGCTGAGGGTCCTGTCTGTTAGAAGGAAAACTAACAAACAGAAAGGACATCCACACCGAAAACCCATCTGTACATCACCATCATCAAAGACCAAAAGTAGATAAAACCACAAAGATGGGGAAAAAACAGAGCAAAAAAACTGGAAACTCTAAAAAGCAGAGCGCCTCTCCTCCTCCAAAGGAACACAGTTCTTCACCAGCAACGGAACAAAGCTGGTTGGAGAATGACTTTGACGAGCTGAGAGAAAAGGCTTCAGACGATCAAATTACTCCGAGCTACGAGAGGAAATTCAGAACAAAGGCAAAGAAGTTGAAAAGTTTGAAAAAAATTTAGAAGAACGTATAACTAGAATAACCAATACAGAGAAGTGCTTAAAGGAGCTGATGGAGCTGAAAACCAAGGCTCGAGAACTACGTGAAGAATGCAGAAGCCTCAGCAGCCGATGCGATCAACTGGAAGAAAGGGTATCAGCGATGGAAGATAAAATGAATGAAATGAAGCGAGAAGGGAAGTTTAGAGAAAAAAGAATAAAGAGAAATGAACAAAGCCACCAAGAAATATGGGACTATGTGAAAAGACCAAATCTATGTCTGATTGGTGTACGTGAAAGTGATGGGGAGAATAGAACCAAGTTGGAAAACACTCTGCAGGATATTATCCAGGAGAACTTCCCCAATCTAGCAAGGCAGGCCAACATTCAAATTCAGGAAATACAGAGAACGTCACAGAGATACTCCTCGAGAAGAGCACCTCCAAGACACATAATTGTCAGATTCACAAAAGTTGAAATGAAGGAAAAAATGTTAAGGGCCGAAAGAGAGAAAGGTTGGTTTACCCTCAAAGGGAAGCCCATCAGACTAACAGCAGATATCTCGGCAGAAATTCTACAAGCCAGAAGAGAGTGGGGGCCAATCTTCAACATTCTTAAAGAAAAGAATTTTCAACCCAGAATTTCATATCCAGCCAAACTAAGCTTCATAAGTGAAGGAGAAATAAAATACTTTACAGACAAGCAAATGCTGAGAGATTTTGTCACCACCAGGCCTGCCCTAAAAGAGCTCCTGAAGGAAGTGCTAAACATGGAAAGGAACAACCAGTACCAGCCGCTGCAAAATCATGCCAAAATGTAAAGACCATCGAGACTAGGAAGAAACTGCATCAACTAACGAGCAAAATAACCAGCTAACATCATAATGACAGGATCAAATTCACACATAGCAATATTAACTTTAAATGTAAATGGACTAAATGCTCCAATTAAAAGACACAGACTGGCAAATTGGATAAAGAGTCAAGACCCATCAGTGTGCTATATTCAGGAAACCCATCTCACGTGCAGAGACACACATAGGCTCAAAATAAAAGGATGGAGGAAGATCTACCAAGCAAATGGAAAACAAAAAAAGGCAGGGGTTGCAATCCTAGTCTCTGATAAAACAGACTTTAAACCAACAAAGATCAAAAGAGAAAAAGAAGGCCATTACTTAACGGTAAAGGGATCAATTCAGCAAGAAGAGCTAACTATCCTAAATATATATGCACCCAATACAGGAGCACCCAGATTCATAAAGCAAGTCCTGAGTGACCTACAAAGAGACTTAGACTCCCACACATTAATAATGGGAGACTTTAACACCCCACTGTCAACATTAGACAGATCAACGAGACAGAAAGTCAACAAGGATACCCAGGAATTGAACTCAGCTCTGCACCAAGCGGACCTAATAGACATCTACAGAACTCTCCACCCCAAATCAACAGAATATACATTTTTTTCAGCACCACACCACACCTATACCAAAATTGACCACATACTTGCAAGTAAAGCTCTCCTCAGCAAATGTAAAAGAACAGAAATTATAACAAACTATCTCTCAGACCACAGTGCAATCAAACTAGAACTCAGGATTAAGAATCTCACTCAAAACCTGTCAACTGCATGGAAACTGAACAACCTGCTCCTGAATGACTACTGGGTACATAACGAAATAAGGCAGAAATAAAGATGTTCTTTGAAACCAATGAGAACAAAGACACAACATACCAGAATCTCTGGGACACATTCAAAGCAGTGTGTAGAGGGAAATTTATAGCACTAAATGCCCACAAGAGAAAGTAGGAAAGATCCAAAATTGACACCCTAACATCACAATTAAAAGAACTAGAAAAGCAAGAGCAAACACATTCAAAAGCTAGCAGAAGGCAAGAAATAACTAAAATCAGAGCAGAACTGAAGGAAACAGAGACACAAAAAACCCTTCAAAAAATTAACGAATCCAGGAGCTGGTTTTTTGAAAGGATCAACAAAACTGATAGACCACTAACAAGACTAATAAAGAAAAAAAGAGAGAAGAATCAAATAGACGCAATAAAAAATGATAAAGGGGATATCACCACCGATCCCACAGAAATACAAACTACCATCAGAGAATACTACAAACACCTCTACACAAATAAACTAGAAAATCTAGAAGAAATGGATACATTCCTCGACACATACACTCTCCCAAGACTAAACCAGGAAGAAGTTGAATCTCTGAATAGACCAATAACAGGAGCTGAAATTGTGTCAATAATCAATAGCTTACCAACCAAAAAGAGTCCAGGACCAGATGGATTCACAGCCGAATTCTACCAGAGGTACAAGGAGGAACTGGTACCATTCCTTCTGAAACTATTCCAATCAATAGAAAAAGAGGGAATCCTCCCTAACTCATTTGATGAGGCCAGCATCATCCTGATACCAAAGCCGGGCAGAGACACAACCAAAAAAGAGAATTTTAGACCAATATCCTTGATGAACATTGATGCAAAAATCCTCAATAAAATACTGGCAAACCGAATACAGCAGCACATCAAAAAGCTTATCCACCATGATCAAGTGGGCTTCATCCCTGGGATGCAAGGCTGGTTCAATATACGCAAATCAATAAATGTAATCCAGCATATAAACAGAACCAAAGACAAAAACCACATGATTATCTCAATAGATGCAGAAAAGTCCTTTGACAAAATTCAACAACGCTTCATGCTAAAAACTCTCAATAAATCAGGTATTCATGGGACGTATCTCAAAATAGTAAGAGCTATCTATGACAAACCCACAGCCAATATCATACCGAATGGGCAAAAACTGGAAGCATTCCCTTTGAAAACTGGCACAAGACAGGGATGCCCTCTCTCACTACTCCTATTCAACATAGTGTTGGAAGTTCTGGCCAGGGCAATTAGGCAGGAGAAGGAAATAAAGGGTATTCAATTAGGAAAAGAGGAAGTCAAATTGTCCCTGTTTGCAGACGACATGATTGTATATCTAGAAAACCCCATTGTCTCAGCCCAAAATCTCCTTAAGCTGATAAGCAACTTCAGCAAAGTCTTAGGATACAAAATCAATGTACAAAAATCACAAGCATTCTTATACACCAACAACAGACAAACAGAGAGCCAAATCATGAGTGAACTCCCATTCACAATTGCTTCAAAGAGAAGAAAATACCTAGGAATCCAACTTACTAGGGATGTGAAGGACCTCTTCAAGGAGAACTACAAACCACTGCTCAAGGAAATAAAAGAGGATACAAACAAATGGAAGAACATTCCCTGCTCATGGGTAGGAAGAATCAATATCGTGAAAATGGCCATACTGCCCAAGGTAATTTACAGATTCAATGCCAGCCCCATCAAGCTACCAATGCCTTTCTTCACAGAATTGGAAAAAACTACTTTAAAGTTCATATGGAACCAAAAAAGAGCCCGCATCGCCAAGTCAATCCTAAGCCAAAAGAACAAAGCTGGAGGCATCACGCTACCTGACTTCAAACTATACTACAAGGCTACAGTAACCAAAACAACATGGTACTGGTACCAAAACAGAGATATAGATCAATGGAACAGAACAGAGCCCTCAGAAATAACGCCGCATATCTACAACTATCTGATCTTTGACAAACCTGAGAAAAACAAGCAATGGGGAAAGGATTCCCTATTTAATAAATGGTGCTGGGAAACCTGGCTAGCCATATGTAGAAAGCTGAAACTGGATCCCTTCCTTACACCTTATACAAAAATCAATTCAAGATGGATTAAAGACTTAAACGTTAGACCTAAAACCATAAAAACCCTAGAAGAAAACCTAGGCATTACCATTCAGGACATAGGCATGGGCAAGGACTTCATGTCTAAAACACCAAAAGCAATGGCAACAAAAGACAAAATTGACAAATGGGATCTAATTAAACTAAAGAGCTTCTGCGCTGCAAAAGAAACTACCATCAGAGTGAACAGGCAACCTACAAAATGGGAGAAAATTTTCACAACCTACTCATCTGACAAAGGGCTAATATCCAGAATCTACAATGAACTCCAACAAATTTACAAGAAAAAAACAACCCCATCAAAAAGTGGGCGAAGGACATGGGCAGACACTTCTCAAAAGAAGACATTTATGCAGCCAAAAAACACATGAAAAAATGCTCACCATCACTGGCCATCAGAGAAATGCAAATCAAAACTACAATGAGATACCATCTCACACCAGTTAGAATGGCAATCATTAAAAAGTCAGGAAACAACAGGTGCTGGAGAGGATGTGGAGAAATAGGAACACTTTTACACTGTTGGTGGGACTGTAAACTAGTTCAACCATTGTGGAAGTCAGTGTGGCGATTCCTCAGGGATCTAGAACTGGAAATACCATTTGACCCAGCCATCCCATTACTGGGTATATAAACCCGAAGGACTATAAATCATGCTGCTATAAAGACACATGCACATGTATGTTTATTGCAGCATTATCCACAATAGCAAAGACTTGGAACCAACCCAAATGTCCAATGATAGACTGGATTAAGAAAATGTGGCACATATACACCATGGGATACTATGCAGCCATAAAAAATGATGAGTTCATGTCCTTTGTAGGGCCATGGATGAAATTGGAAATCATTCTCAGTAAACTATCACAAGAACAAAAAACCAAACACCGCATATTCTCACTCATAGGTGGGAATTGAACAATGAGAACACATGGACACAGGAAGGGGAACATCACACCCTGGGGACTGTTGTGGGGTGGGGGGAGGGGGGAGGGATAGCATTGGGAGATACACCTAATGCTAGATGATGAGTTAGTGGGTGCAGTGCACCAGCATGGCACATGTATACATACGTAACTAACCTGCACATTGTGCACATGTACCCTAAAACTTAAAGTATATTAAAAAAAAAAAGTTATATGCTCAGGGAGACCATTAAAGTCTAACAAGCTCCTGTATTCTTTGAGGAACCTAATATTTCTTTTGGGAGAAGTAAGTATTCTTTCATTTTAAAAGTATTACATGTCCATTTTAAAATGTTTTGGTGGTTGGTGTTTTTAACTTTTGTTTTGGCAAATGATTAAGAGGAAAAGTCAACGCTTGTTTTTGGTATGAGAGCAAATAAGTTCTTTCAAACACTAAGACCAGAACCTAATGTTTGCAGTATGCGCTTTTGATCATGGCAAAGTTTAGAGTTAGAGGCATCATGCCCCCTGAACTGCCATTCTTAGATGAATTCTAGGAACTAATAACAAGAGAGTATACTACTAGTAGGACTCACCTGGTCACCTTGAGACAGGATCCATTGTGAGTTCTTGGGTCTATAGAGAGAGCCTATTGCCAGGACCAGTAGGGGGCTTAAGCTTCAAGCAACTGATATGACATTGGAAATATAAGATCAGTTGTGGTAGAGGGGTTTAGGTGTCAGGACTAAACTTGAGGATGCCCCACCCCTTCGGAGTCCAGAATCAAACTATCAGGGAACAAAACCTGGCCCTGCCTCTTACTCTCTGTATGGCCTCAGGAAACTTGCATTAATACCTGTATGCTTCAGTTTCCTCATATGTAAAATTTAGACAATAGTACTGCCTCATAGAATTGTTTTGAGGATAGTCATAATATTTCATAAGATTAATGTGAGTAAACAGAAATACAAACAATCATCAGAGAATACTATAAACACCTCTATGCAAATAAACTAGAAAATCTAGAAGAAGTGGATAAATTCGTGGACACATACACCCTCTCAAGACTGAACCATGAAGAAGTTGAATCCCTGAATAGACCAATAACAAGTTCTGAAACCGTGGCAGTAATAAATAGCCTGCCAACAAAAAAAGCCCAGGATCAGATGGATTTATGGCTGAATTCTACCAGAGGTTCAAAGAGGAGCTGTTACCATTTCTTCTGAAACTATTCCAATCAACTTAAAAGGAGGGACTCCTCCCTAACTCATTTTATGAAGCTAGCATCATCCTGATACCAAAACCTGGTAGAGATACAACAATAAAAGAAAATTTCAGGCCAATATTTTTGATGAATATCAATACAAATATCCTCAGTAAAATACGGGCAAACCGAATCCAGCAGCACATCAAAAAGTGTATCCACCACGATCAAGTTGGCTTCATCCCCAAGATGCAAGGCCGGTTTAACATACACAAATCAATAAATGTAATTCTTCATGTAAACAGAACTAAAGACAAAACCCACATGATTATCTCAATAGATGCAGAAAAGGCCTTCAATAAAATTCAACAGCCCTTTATGTTAAAAACTCTCAATAAACTAGGTATTGATAGAACATACCTAAAAATAATAAGAGCCATTTATGACAAACCCACAGCCAATATCACACTAAACGGCAAAAGCTGGGAGCATTACTCTTGCAAACCAGCACAAGAGGTGCACTCTCTTACCATTCCTATTCAACATAATATTGAAAGTTCTGACCTGGGCAATCAAGCAAGAGAAAGAAATAAAGCGTATTCACATAGGAAGAGAGAAAGTTAAACTGTCTCTGTTTGCAGATTACATGATTCTATATCTAGACAACCCCATCATCTCAGCCCAAAAGCTTCTTAAGCAGATAAGCAACTTCAGCAAAGTCTCAGGATACAAAATCAATATGCAAAAATCACAAGCATTGCTATACACCAACAATAGACAAGCAAAGAGCCAAATCATGAATGAACTCCTGTTGAGAATTGCTACAGAGAATAAAATACCTAGGAATACAGCTAACAAGGGATGTGAAGGACCTCTTCAAGGAGAACTACAAACCACTGCTCAAGGAAATAAGAAAGGACAAAAACAAATGAAAAATATTCCATGCTCATGGATAGGAAGAATCAATATCATGAAAATGGCCATCCTTCCCAAAGTAATTGATAGATTCTATGATATTCCCATTAAACTACCATTGACATTCTTCACAGATTTAGAAAAAAAAGTATTTTAAAATTCATGTGGAACCAAAAAAGAACCTGTATAGCCAAGACAACCCTAAGCAAAAGGAACAAAGCTGGAGGCACCATGCTACCTGACTTCAAACTATACTACAAAGCTATAGTAATCAAAGCAGCATGGTACTAGTACCAAAACAGATATATAGACCAATGAAACAGAACAGAGGCCTCAGAAATAACACCACACATCTACAACCATCTGATCTTTGACAAAGCTGATAAAACCAAGCAATGGGGAAAGGATTCCCTACTTAATAAATGGTGCTGGGAGAGCTGGCTGGTCATCTGTAGAAAATTGAAACTGGGCCCCTTCCTTATACATTGTACAAAAATTATCCCAAGATAGATTAAAACCTTAATTGTAAAACCCAAAACTATGAAAAC
Source organism: Homo sapiens (assembly GCF_000001405.40). Lineage (NCBI taxonomy): Eukaryota > Metazoa > Chordata > Mammalia > Primates > Hominidae > Homo > Homo sapiens. The sequence continues at coordinate 17,548,019 of NC_000009.12, forward strand.
CTTAGAAGAAACCTAGAAGAAAATCTAGGCAATACCATTCAGGACATAGGCATGGGCAAAGATTTCATGACTAAAACATCAAAGGCAATTGCAACAAAAGCAAAATTGACAAATGGGACCTAACTAAACTAAAGAGCTTCTACACAGCAAAGAAACTATCATCAGAGTGAACAGACAACCTACAGAATGGGAGAAAATTTTTGCAATCTATCCATCTGATAAAGGTCTAATATCCAGAATCTACAAGGCACTAAACCAATTTACAAGAAAAAAAAGCAAACAACCCCATCAAAAAGTAGGCAAAGGACATAAACAGACATTTCTCAAAAGAATACATTTATGTGGCCAACAAACATATGAAGAAAAACTCAACATCACTGATCATTAGAGAAATGCAAATCAAAACCACAGTGAGATACCATCAGACCAATCAGAATGGAGATTATTAAAAAGTCAAGAAACAACAGATGCTGGTGAGGCTGTGGAGAAATAGAAATGCTTTTACACTGTTAGTGGGAATGTAAATTAGTTTAACCATTATGGAAGATAGTGTGGTGATTCCTCTAAGGCCTAGAACCTGAAATACCATTTGACCCAGCAATCTCATCATTGGATATATGCCCAAAGGAATAGAAACCACTCTATTATAAAGATTCATGCATGCTTACATTTATTGCAGCACTATTCACAATAGCAAAGACATGGAATCAACCCAAATGCCCATCAGTGATAGACGGGATAAATAAAATGTGGTACGTCTACATCATGGAATACTATGCAGCCATAAAAAGAAATGAGATCATGTCCTTTGCAGGGACATGGATGCAGCCATTATCCTCAACAAACTAACACAAGAACAGAAAACCAAACACTGAATGTTCTAACTTGTAAGTGGGAGCTAAACAATGAGAACACATGGACACAGGGAGGTGAACAACACACAAGTAGGGTCTGTTAGGGGAGGGGTCAGGGGGAAGGGAGAGCATCAGGAAGAACAGCTAATGTATGCTGGACTTAATACTTAGGTGATGGGCTGATAAGTGCAGCAAACCACCATTGCACACATTTACCTATGCAACAAACCTGCACATCCTACACATGTATCCTGGAACTTAAAATAAAATACAGATTAATGTGAGTAAAATGCTTAGCACAGTGCTTGGCATGTTAGAAATGCTTGATAAATATTATTATTTTTATAATTAGTAGGCAAAATGCTTTATAATAACTTCATTCTAGTTCAGGAGTGCTGTGAAAATTATTTATAAGAATGAGCTGATGTTATTTAACATACGACCTATAAAATAGAGCAGAAGTTCACCTCTGTAATCTACCTAAATATTCACACAGAAGAGCATTAGCTAAAACATTTGAACATGAGTTAGCTGGGAGTTGAGATGGTGAATCATTCTCCCCAGTGATCTGTAATGATCGCTAAGAACCACCTCTAAAGGCTGGAGGCCTAGGGTACTTACAAGACAGGTGGGGAGATCCTATACTCAGAAAGAGAGGATGGATCCCCACCAGGGTAGAGGGTTTAACACCTGGACCCAAGAGTCACAGCAGTTTACCCATCATGACTACAGCCAGATTCCCTGCCTGTAAACTGAGCAACTGTAGGGCTTTAAATCATTCTCTCAACAAGTATTTAATGAGCACTTACTATTTTCCAGTGGGGATATGATAGTTAGCTCAAACCCCTGGGCCCAGTCTTCATGGAGCTCACAGTCTATGGGTCCATCCTTGGAAAACTTCAAGTTAAGCAAGAGCAGTGAGAGTTTCCTATCCTCCTCCCGTTAAAATAACTTTTTACCTCCAGGGAAATGATCTTTTTACAAAAATATGCCCCAACTCTCTGGTTTTGTCTTTAGTTTACTTTTAAATAAACTTGGATCATGGAATGAAAGATAAGGAAACTTAATAGGCTGTTGAAGCGAAAACCCTCAGAAGAGGTTGTTTCAACCAGACTTTCCTTTCTGATAAATCACTGGAGCTGCCTAAACTGAATCCCATCAATCCTCTGTTCTCTGCTAGCCCTTTGTCTTAGCCCACTTGGGCTGCTATAACAGGAATGGCATACACTGCGTGGCTTATAAACAATAGAAATTTATTGCTCACTGTTCTGAGGGCTGGGAAGTCCAAAATTAAGGCACCTGAAGTTGCTGTGTCTGGTGAGGGCATGCTTTCTGCTTCATAGATCGCACCTTCTAACAATGTCCTCACAGGGTGGAAGGGGCTAGCTTTTTGGGTTCTCTTATAAAGGCAATCATCTCATTCACGAGGGTGGAGCCTCATGACCTAAACCCCTCCCAAAAGCTCTCATCTTGTAATACTGTCACATTGGGGATCAGGTTTCAACTTAGGAATTTTGGAGGAACATAAACATTCGGATCATAACATCCTTCGTTTCCCACATTCTTGGCAATTTCTTCCCTGGCTCATTGCCAACTGCCCTACTGTCCCTGACTACCTGTGACGGTTAATTTTAGGTGTCAATTTGACTGGACTAAAGGATGCACAGATAGCTGATAAAACATTAATTCTGGGTGTGTCTGTGAGGGGGTTTCTGGAAGAAATTAGCGTTTAACTCAGTAGACTGAGTAAAGCAGATCACCCCCACCAGTGGGAGTGGGCATCCTGCAATCCATTGAGGGCCTAAATACTAATAGAAGAAAAAGGCAAAGGAGGGGCGAATTCACTTTCTCTGTTGGAGCTGGGACATCCATCTTCTCCTGCCCTCAGATATCAGAACCCCTGGTTCTCAGACCTTTGGACCTGAACTGAATTATACCACTGGCTTTTCTAGTTCTCCAGCTTGCAGAGAGCAGATCATGATACTTAGCCTCCATAATCACATAGGAAAATTCCTATAAATAATAAACGTGTGTGTGTGTGTGTTTGTACGCGTGCGCATGTGTATGTGTGTGTATATGATGGTTTCTTTGGAGAATCCTATTACTCAAGACTGCCTTTTCTTCATCAAATATGTTGATGCAGGTAGGATGAAGTGTCAGCAAATGAGCATATTCTAATTTACTCTTTCACTTTAAAAAACAAAACCAGATAATCATGGCAAGAAACCCTCCTTGACCCTCTGCATTTCTGCCTTATTTCTCTATTTTCATCCACAGTCAAAATTCTCAGGAGTTGTCTGCATACCCTGTCTTCAGTTTTGCATGACTCATTCACCCTTCAACCTCCTCCAACCTGGCTTCTACTCCCTCAGCTCCACCCACGACATTTGCTGAAGCCATAAATTACCTTCAGGTAATCAAATAAGGTCATTTGGTATTTTTCTTTTTAATGAAATATAATGAACGCATAGGACAGTACAAAAAGCATAAGCATACAGCTTGATGATGTTTTTGAAAGTGATCACATCCATTGGACCATCACTAAGGGCAAGAAGTAGGACATTTTCAGCACCTTATAAACATCCATATGCCCCTCCCTAAGGTCACTGCTATTCTGACCTATCAACATATCCTTATTTCCTGTTTTTGAACTTTATAGAAATGAGAATTTATAGTATGTGCTTTTTTGTGTGTTTGGCTTTTTACACTCAGCATTATATTTGGGATATTCAGGATTTAGTCTTATAAACTATGAATATACAAATATACCGCGATTTATTAATACAAATTTACTCTTGACAAATTTGATTGTTTTCTGTTTTTGGCTATTATGAATATTGTTGCAATGAACATCCTTATGCATGCTTTTTATGTACATATATATGCATTTCTGTTAGTTATATAACTGTGAGTAGAATTGCTGGGTCTTAAAGAATGTAGATGGAGGATGCTAGTTTTCAAAGTGATTGTACCAGTTTACACTCTTACCAGCAATATGTAAGAGTTCCAATTGCTGGCCAGGCGTGGTGGCTCACGCGTGTAATCCCTGCACTTTGGGAGGCCGAGGTGGGCGGATCACGAGGTCAGGAGACAGAGACCATTCTGGCTAACACGGTGAAACCCCGGCTCTACTAAAAATACAAAAAAATCAGCCAGGCGTGGTGGTGGGCGCCTGTAGTCCCAGCTACTCGGGAGGCTGAGGCAGGAGAATGGCGTGAACCCAGGAGGCGGAGCTTGCAGTGAGCCGAGATCACGCCACTGCACTTCAGCCTGGGCAATAAAGCAAGACTCCGTCTCAAAAAAAAAAAAAAAAAAAAAAAAAAAGAGTTCCAATTGCTACAGATTCTCATGAACATGTTATTTTTACACTTTTTAATTTTGCCATTCTGTAATTTTTAGTGGTATCTAATTGTATTTTTATTCCTCTAATAAATACTAAGGTTGAGCAACCTTTCAAAAACTTATGAACCATTTGTATATGTTCATAATTGATGTGCCCATTCAAGTCTTTCGCCCATTTTTAAAAGCTTTATTGAGATATAATTGATATACAAAATTTGTACGTATTTAATATATACTTTTCAATTAGTTTGGACAAATGCATACATCCATGATATCACCACAACAAGGTACTACTAGACCGTATATCTATGATATCACCACAATCAAGGTACTAGATATATCCATCACCTCTAAAAATTTCTGTATGTTCGTGTGTGTGTGTGTGTATTAAGAACACATAACATGACATCTATTCTTTTAACGTATTTTAAAGTGTGCAATACTGTACTGTTAACTGTAGGTACTATATTGTACAGCAGATAATAAGTTCTAGAGAACTTATTATCTTGCATATTTTAAATTTTGTCTATTTTTTGAAATTGGGATTTACATGCTTTTCTCATTTATTTTTAAGATATTTTACATTTTCTGAATATGGCCTTCCTTAGTATATGAATTTCAAAATCTTCAACTTTGTGGCTGTCTTTTCTGTGAATAATCTCTTTTAATGTATATGTTATGTCTCTCTGTTTAAATCTTCAATTTTTCTCAGCAGTATTGATAGCTTTATTTTGGAGTTTTTTGCACATCTTTTATTAGATTTATTCCTGTGCATTTGATGGTTGTTGATGATAGTAAACACAACGTCTTTTTTTCTTTTAGAATTTCGCTGTTTATTGCTGGTGTATAAAACTAAGATTATTTTTATCTATTAACTTTTCATCACCCGTATTCCTAAATTTACTTATTAATTCCAACGAACATTAATTTATCTGAAGGTTATTTTTTGTTTCCTAGGTATACAATAATTTTATATGTAAAAAATTAAAGTTTCATTTCATATTTTCCAATCTTTATTACCCTTTATATTTTTATCTTGCCTTTTGTATTGGCCAGCAGTACCTCCAATAAAATTTTAAATAAATGTTGTAACAGCAGAAATTCTTGTCTTATTCTCATTCTCAAGGAAAACATTTTTAATAACTGATATTTGCTTTGTAATTTCTGTTGATATAGTTTATCAGATTTAAAAGTTGTGTCCTATTCATAGTTAGCTAATAATTTCTTGTTTCTAATAATTTTCCATCATAAATGTTAAACCCTATTTTTCTGTATTCATTAAAACAATTATTTTTTCACCTTTTTGTCTCTTAATATGGTTAATTGATTTTTTTTAATGTTAAACCAACCTCGTTTCCTAGAACAAACCCAATTTGGTGGTCATATATTATTCTTTTTATTTATTGCTAGATTTTATTTGTTAATATATTGTTTAGGACTTTTTGCATCTATGTTCATGAGAGAAATGAAACTGTAATTTCCCCTTCTTACCAGGTTTTGACATTCAGGTCATCCCAGTCTCATAACACTTGTTGGGAAATGTCTCCCCAACCCCCTAATTGTATTTATGCATGTATTTATTTGTTCATTTAGAGACAGAGTCTCACTCTGTCATGCAGACTGGAGTGTAGTGGGCGTGATCATGGCTCACTGCAGCCTCAATCTCCCTGGCCCAAGTGATCATCCCCCATTAGCCTCCTGAGTAGCTGGGACCACAGGCACATGCCACCATGCCTGGCTAATTTAATTTCCCTTCCCTTCCCTTCCCTCCTAATTTACTCCCTTCTCCTCTCCTCCCTTCCCCTCTCCTCCCTTCCATTCCCCTCCCCTTTCTCTCTCTCTTTCTTTCTCTCTTCCTCTTTCTTTCTTTTTTCTTTCTCTTTCTTTCTCTCTTCCTCTTTCTCTCTCTCTCTCTTTCCTTCCTTCTTTCTTTCCTTCTTTCTTTCCTTCCTTCCTTCCTTCTCTCTCTCTTTCCTTCCTTCCTTCCTTCCTTCTTTCTTTCTTTCTTTCTTTCTTTCTCTTTCTCTCTTTCTTTCTTTCTCTCTCTCTCCTTCCTTCCTTTCTTTCTTTCTTTCTTTCTTTCTTTCTTTCTTTCTTTCTTTCTTTCTTTCTTTCTTTCTTTCTTTCTTTCTTCTTTCTTTCTTTAGATACAGGGTCTCACTATGTTACCCAGGCTGGTCTGGAACTCCTGAGCTCAAGTGATCTTCCCGCCTTGGTCTCCCAAAGTGCTGGCATTACAGTCATGAGTTAGTGCAGCCAGGCCTCTTGATTAAAAAAAAAATTAAAATTCAGAAAAATTTGTGTAAGATCTTTTGGAATAGCTTACCAGTGATACTATAGAAACTTGAAGTTTTCTCAGAGAGAAGATTTTAACCAAAGATTCAATTTCCTTAAAAGATATAGTACTCTTCATATCATTAGTCAATGGTGAAATGTGGGATGTAATGACTTCATCAGGTTAGAGTTTAGAAATTCACTCTGGTCTCATTGCAGAGGATAGATTGAAGGCAGACAATAATGGACAGAGGCCAGTCAGGAAACTGACAATAGTTACTCGTTGACATCAGTACTAAGCAATGGCAGAGAGTTGAAGAAGCGGGAACAGGTGAAAGTAAATACTTATATATTTTTTAAAGAAATGACTTAGAAAAGACAGTAGTAAGGCAAGGATGGTTTATTTTAAAAGTCTGAGTTTACTGTGTATTTTCTTTACTTTTATAAACAGAATCAGAGAGCTGGTACCATTTTAGTAGGTTCGTGGCCTGCCTGAAAACTATGACCTTGGAGCATCATTTACTCAAAATGCTAATCCAAAAACAGGACATCAAAACTAGTCATCCTTCACCTCATGGAAATGAATACCCCAAGGTAATATGGTGTTATTATTATTATTTCTTGATTGGCATATAGATGTTGTGAGGGTGGATCTTACACCCATGCTGTATCCTTCCTGTCTCTCCTTTCCATTCTGTAGGTTTCCTCTGGTCACTTTCCACACATCCTCATTTGGCCCCTGCTCATGAGCAAGTTGATTTAGGAGATGGTGCCTGGCAGTTCCTCCTCTGATTATCCAGGGAAGACAGAAAAAGAGGAAAACAGGAGACAAGAAGTAAAGCTTAGAACAGAGAGGTAACCATTAACCAGTAAGGGCTAATAGATGAGTCCAGAGAAAAGATAACAAAGGAGGCAAGGAGAGCATGGTAAGCCATGGTAGGGGTGAGGGAAAGATATTGAAGATTGAACTCCACCAGTGTGGGATAATGTTTGTATGTGGACTGTGTTGTGTCTCAGGTTCAGGTTGTTTAAGCAGCCTAGTGACCCAGATGGTCCCCTCCTTAGTGTCTGGTTTTGTCAGGTTGTAACTTGGCTTTTTCAGTTCCCTAATATCTCACATTATCTCCTCTTCCTCCTAGGCCTTAATCATGTCTTACTTTTTTACCTCCCAATTGGTTGATATTGAATTCTTATTAAATAAAAATGTACTCTTTACTCTTGAGTTAAAATTCTGATGGGGGAAGAATGTATACACAGAAATAATGTCACAACTATTTATGTTAATTAAAGGAAATACAGAGCAAGGTCAACTGAGATATTCCGGAGAAGGGAGTTTCCTTAGGGTATTGCCGCATGGACATACGTGCTCACTGTGGCACAGAAACACCTGCAGATTTTTCTTTCACGTAAGACTCAGAGGCAAAGTTACTGTAATCAAGAATATGTTGTTAAGAAGGCCTGGTATTAATACTGTCATTGGTAAGCATTTTGTAACTTATATAAAGCAGACCTTGGGTTTTCAGGACACTTCATCTGCTAATTGTCAACAAAATACAGCTGAGGTTGCAATGTGTCAGCAAGAATGTCAAGGAGGAAGTCAGAGGGTCAAATCAGCTGGGGCTTGGCCCATTTACCCTAGGTGGTGTTCTTAAAGACTCAGTGGTTCATTCTGCTTGGCAGCTTAAAGAGCCATTGAGGTTCAGAACTAAAAATGTGTGGGCCAGGAAGAGGGCAGTGAATGACTGGGACCAACTTGCCAGTGTCTCCCAGGGGCACCGGCTCAGATAACTGGAAGTCTGGAAGCTTTCTCATACGCAGCCAGTCCCGTAAGCAGCTCTTGGCAAGACTAAAAAAAAAAAAAAAAAAAAGAAAGAAAAAAAGAAAAGAGCTTCCCACTTGTGTTTCTTAACTGTAACTGTGCCTAAGAATCACGTGGTGCTTGTCAAAGTGCATATTCCTGAGCCCTACTCACAGGCACTTACACGCTCCTTTCGGGGTTGGGCCCAGAGATCAGCATTTTCACAGGCACACCAGGTATTCCAGAATAAGATGGTCTGTGGAGCACGTTTTCAGAAATGCTGCCTTAAAGCCTTCCACGTGTCCCAGCTGTCTAATCACTGTATGAGGGTCCATGATTTAATCTATTTTCAAAGACAGGGGTCTGGAAGTCGTTTTTCTCCTCCCACATTCAATCTGTCATCTCCTTCTGCCACTGTGTTCTAACATTTCCCTTAAGTTTGGGCCCTCTCCTCAAGCTCCTCACTGAAAAGCACTGTCTAAGCTGGATGCATTTCACACGAGAGCTTCTGTGGTTGGACTGCTTAAGTTAAACCAGCCTCCACGAGGGTGTCCAGCAGAGAGGTGCACCTGAGGGATTAGGGCAACAACCTAACTCGGGCCTCAGTTACTGCAGAATTCAATTTGCCAGAGGTGCCAACGTGAAGACCAAAGGTTGAGTCTTACACAGGTCTTCCTGTTTTGTTTCTTTAAACCTTGAACGTTTTGCCAATGTTTTTAAATGGGGGGAATTTCTCATAGACATCCAGATTTCTGGGTGTTCTTAGAATATCAGATCTGGCTAGTTTGGCCAGTTTCCCTAAGGGCAACAGTCAGCTGGGTTGAGGAGAGGCTGCCCTCTTGAGACGCTGTACCAGCCTCCCCAAGCAGAGGTACATATTGTCTGAAGATAAGAAAGCTAACATGCTAAAGCCTGATCTTTCAAGGCCCTTGACCCAATTTTGTATTTGCAATTCTGTGTTGTTTTCTTAAAGAGGCCTCCACAATTGTATACATTTCTGACTCCAGGAAACCTGGATCTTCTCCTGCAGCTCTGCTCTATGGACTCCCCACACTGAGGTCAAGGGTGGCTGCCATTTATCATAAGACTTGCCAGTGGATTTTCTTTAAGTAGAGAAACATTTCTCTGAACTCGTGGGTCTACAGAAACAAACAAAAGAAGGCCTCAGATTTCATGAATAAGGGGAGAGATCCTATCTCTTTGTGGATGTGATCTGGCCTGCATCCCTGGCCTTTGATTTCATGATCCCTGGCTGCATCGAGGTCTCCATCTACAATTCATGATTCCTTAAATTCTATGGAGTTGGAACAACCTTTTTGTGCATAGTCCTGCTTGCTTTCTTCTCCATTTCTTAAAAGACAGATTTGAATCCCATCCATTTAATCCTCATTTGGTAAAGTGAGGCTGGGAATCACCATGGTGAAGAAAAAGAAAAAGTAGAATCTGCCCATAGAAAGAGAATGAGTTGTACATCTTGCTCTTTTGGAATGGGATGTCCTGTGGGAAAGGACTGGATCATTTCTGTAATTTTTAATGCAACTGTTTGCAGGCATAAATGCTCACTGAGAGCTCAATAGATATTCACTGATGATAAGACATGTATAAAACAGATTACAGCGTATGTTCTTCAGTTACCTTCTAGGGTGTTTTTTTGTATTGGTCACTGCTTGAACAGATCCTTCTATTCCACCATATTAGAGCTCTGTGGAAATACAAATATTTTTGTTGTAACAACATGCTGTAATATTGGGAATTCAGTCATTGCCTTTTCCCTCCCAAGATACTTTTTGCTTTACTTTGATGTTTCTTGTGTTGTTCACAATGCTGTTTTAAAGCCTCATTTTTCACTCTCAAGATCGTTAAGGACTCGGCGATGTTTTCTGTGAATATATTTATTACTCAGGCGCCATGTCTCTGCTTCTCCCCTGGAAAGGAGGAAAAGTGGCATACATTATAGATCATCTGGCAGGGAGTCTTCCCGAATGATTTATTTGAAGCTTATTTTAACATTCTCCATTTGTACAGACTGTTAGTCTTCTCTTGTTTCTAGATAACGTCTTATTAAAAGGAAACACCTGTTTAAACATGTAAAAATAAGACTAAATCTAAACAAAAGGAGTTTTTGGTGAATATGGCATTTGCCATATATACTTTCTAATTTTTCCTGCGTGGAAGTGGGCTGGGGGATGTGATTTATTACTCTGGATCAGACCGATTAGCTACTTTTTCTACAAAATAATTGGGTGAAAGCCAGTGTCCACCAGGCCAGTGTGGTTTATGGGTCATGGCTATAGAACTAGGAAGATGTTGATTATTTTAAAGATATCATTAATAACATAAGCCTAATTTTTCAGTAGTTTTCCATCTAGTTATATTTTGCCTACTTAAATGTCAATCGAATTTTTTTTTTATATTTATTCTGGCCCTCTCTGTGACTGTAGCCCAGTTTCGAATCATTTCTAGTCCTAAGATCATATTAAGATGATTCCAGACTTATGCCTTCGATGTCTGAAAGAATCAACCAGAAATCCTGAAAATCATATTACAAGAAAGGAAAATGATAGGCCAATTACTCTTAGGAACTTAGTTGCAAAAATCCTAAGCAAAATATTAGTAAATCTAATCCATCAATACATAAAATGTAAATATACAATACAACCAAGTTGTAGTTTTCCCAGGAATGCAATGTTATTCAGATATTTGAAAATCACTCAACCACACAATAAAGGAGAAAAAAGTTTGACTATATCAATAGATGCAGCGAAAATATTTGATGAAATTCCACCATGTTAATAATAAACTCTTAGCAAACTAGTAGTAGATAGAAATTTCTTAAATAGAATAAAAGCTACCAAGAAAACAGGATAATAAACAGAGTACTTAATGAGAAAATATTGAAAACATCTTTCTGAGATTAAAAAAATAAAGGATGCTTGCTATTTCCACTGTTACAGTGCTGTAAGTCAAGAAAAAGAAAGAAAACATTGGAAAGGGAACAGTAACTGCCATTCATGCACCCCATTTGCATACTAAATGTTTGCATTCATAGAAATCCAAAATAATCTTTAGATCAACTATTACAATTAGCAAATGGATTTATCAAGGCCATTGCATAAAAGCTCAGTATATAAAATATGTTTTTATATACTAGCTCAAACAAAAATTTGAACGTACCTAAAAGCAGAGCTAACAAAAGATAAACCAGAATGCAGCATGGAGAGATAAAAGGGTGAAAAATACAAAGGGGAAGATAAAATACCTACAGAATAGAGTGAAAAAGATCTAAGCTATGAGTAATTTTAGTCCTAGAGAGAACGTGACAGAAACAGTTCTAATTGAACAGATCATGGCTAAGAAATTTCCAACACTGGTGAAAGAAATCAAGACACAGACTAAAAAGTCCTATAAACTATAAATAAGATAAATAAAAAGAGATCCATACCTATGCATCACAATTAAATGGCTGTAAACAAATAACAAAGAGAAAAATCTTAAAAGCAGCCAGGAGGCGGAGTGAAGGAGGAATGAAGACAAATTATGAAAATTAGAGTGAGCTGACTTTGTATGAAAAATAATGGCAGCCTGAAGATAATGAGAAAATATCTTTAAAGTACTTTAAAAAACTGCCAATCTAAAATTCTGTTTTCATCCTCAAAAAAAGCAATTGAAATGAAGACATTTTCAGATGAGCAAAAACAGTGGATTTATCACCAGCAAACCTATTCTTACGAAAACACCAAAGGATATTGTTTAGGCAGAATAAAAATGTTCACAGATGGAAGGTGGGAGACCTAGGAAAAATGAAGAGCAATAGAAGGGGAAATTTATGAATCAATCTGCATGAATATTGGCTGTATGAAACAATAATAAAAGCGTCTTATAGACATAAGTCAGAAGTTGGGTAAATGGAGTTAAATTATGCTAGAGTCCTTGCCTTGTCCAAGAGAACAATATCAATAAACATGACATTCTAATCAGTTAAAAATATGTTTTGCAATATCAAGGGTAATTATTAAAAGAATAGAAAAGGATTTATTTGTAACTTTGAACCTAATATTAGAAAAAATGAAATAATAAACATTGAGTCCATCTAAAACACGTTAAGAAAATCAAGGAAAAGAAACATAAATCAGGTAGAGCAAAAAAAATACACAGTAAGATTATAGTCTTAGACACGAGTACATTAGTAATTAAATAAATATAAATAGACTAAATGCTTCAATTAAAGAAAAAGCATTTCAGAATGGATTGAAGAGATTTTATGAGGTTTGTAAAAGACATACTGAAAATATAAGAATCATAGAAAGGTGGAAATGCAAAAATTAAACAAAATAAAGCTAAACACACAGAACATTTACAGAAGTTCACCATATGCTGGTCCCTGAAGCAAATCTCTAGTATCAAAAGATTCAAATTAAACATAGTATTTTCTAGATCCACAATGCAATTAAGCTAGAAATCAATTACAAAGAGATATCTACAAAATTTTCATATACATGGAAATTAAGCAATATTCTTTTATGTAACTCACAGGTCAAAGCAGAAATCATAAAAGAAATTAGAAAATACTTTGAACAGAAAAATTATTTCTTCTTAAAACCTGTGGGATATTGCTCAAACTATGCTTAGAAAGAAGTTTATAACTTTAGATGTGATGGAAGTCTGAAATATCAATTTGCTAACCATTTATTTCAAGAAGTTAGTAAATAATATCAAGTCAAATTTAAAGTAAAAGGAAGGAAATAATAAAGATAAGAGAAATTAATGATATAGAAAACAAATAAAAAAATAGAGAAAATCAATAAGCCAAATATTGCCTATCTGAAGAAACTAATAAATCTGAGAAACACCTGCTGAAACTGAGCAAGAAAAGGAAAGAGAAGTAAAAAATAATCAATGTCAGGAATGAAGAGAGCAACATCATTATAGACATTAAAAATATGAAAATATAATTAACTTTATGCCAATATATTTGAAAATTTAGACAAAATTTAGAAATTCCTTGAAAATAGAACAGATATGATATAAGGGGAAATAAAATAGTTCTGCAACTAGTGAAGATAGTAAATCTATAAATTAAAAATCTACCTCATTGCAGTGAGCTGAGATTGCACCACCACACTCCAGCCTAGGTGACAGAGTAAGACTCCATCTCAAAAAAACAAAGACAAAAACAAAGTGTACCTCAAAGAAAATTTTGGGCCTTGATGCCATTAGTACTGAATTCTACCATTCATTTTAGGAAGAACTAACACTGATATTATGTGAACTCTTACAGGGAACAAGACAAGAAAAAACACTTCCAACACAATTTATGAATCCAGTATAATTTAGATACCAAAACCTATAAAGACACAATGAAAAAGGAAAATTATAGGTCAGTCTCAATCTTTACATTTTAATTTGTTTTAGAGACATGGTCTCATTCTGTCACTCAGGCTGGAGCGGTGTGGTCTATTCCCACTCACTGCAACCTCAAACTCCTGGGCTTAAGCAATCCTCCCGCCTCAACCTTCTCAGTACCTGGGATACAGGCACATGCCACCATGCCTGTACAAAAAATTGTCTCTACAATTTTTTGTAGAGACAGGGACTTGCTTTGTTGCCCAGGATGGTCTCAAACTCCTAGCTTCAAGCACTGTTCCTGCCTCAGCCTCCCAAATTGCTGGGAGTCATCATGCCCAGGCTAGGCCAGTCTCATCCTTCAACAAAGACAAATAGACTAATGGAGCAGAGAAAAATTCCCTGTGACATATGTAACTGATAAAGGAGTTGATTCTGGACTGTATCTAGATTGTCTACAAATCAACAGGAAAAGACAACCCAATAGGAATATGGGCAATAGATTTGAATGGCTCCTTCGCAATAGAGGATTTTCAAATGGTCAGTAAAAGTATGAAAAGATACCTACACATTCATCAACAAGCAGAGGAATACAAAATTAAATCATAATGAGATACGACTACACACCTGCTAGCATGGCCAATCAAAAAGACTGACAATACCAAGTTCCAGTGAGGATATGGAAGAGTCAAACACTGGTTGATGAAAGTGTAAATAAGGGCAGCCATTTTGTAAAACTGACATTATATCCTGGCACTTGGCATTATATCCTGAAGTTGAACGTACACTATCCTGTGACTGAGAAATTCTACTCCTGGGTAAATACCCAACAGGTGTGCTTGCACATGTATGCCGAAAGTGTTGCATACAAGAAAGTTTCAGCAGAATTATCATAACAGTCCCAAACCCAAAGCAGCACAAGTGTTCATCAATGATAGAGTAGAAAAATAAATTCCTACAGAGGAATCCTCTGTATAGCAGGGGCCATGGAATTTGGGCTGGTAAAATAATAAATCTCAAAGTCGGCCGGTCGCGGTGGCTCACGCCTGTAATCCCAGCACTTTGGGAGGCCGAGGCGGGCGGATCACGAGTTCAGCATATCGAGACCATCCTGGCTAACACGGTGAAACCCCGTCTCTGCTAAAAATACAAAAAAATTAGCCGGGCGTGGTGGCGGGTGCCTGTAGTCCCAGCTACTTGGGAGGCTGAGGCAGGAGAATGGCGTGAACCTGGGAGGCGGAGCTTGCAATGAGCCGACATAGCGCCACTGCACTCCAGCCTGGTCGACAGAGCTAGACTCTGTCTCAAAAAAAAAAAAAAAAAAAAAACACCAAATAATAATAACAATAAAAATTTCAAAGTCGTTCATTCCATGCTGTAGACGAGCTTGGGTGGATAGAAATCACATCAATACGGAGATGATCCACAGCAGCAACTGCTCTTCACAAGAGCCATCTAGGGAAAATCTCTAAAGCACATGTGATCCACCCCAACAGGACCACCTCAACTCCTATTCTTGATCATGCAGGACCACCAGAAAGCTTCATTCTTGTATTTCATCAATTTAGCCCCTGGCAGAATTTTCTTTTCTAGCTTGCATTTATTGCTTTTCTCTCTCCAAGAGGACAAGCCTCCGTCCTGGCACCCAGCTCTGAGGTGCGCGAAGAGACCTTAGAAACACAAAGAGCAAAGTTTGAATTCCAGCTGCATCTCTTACCAAATTGTAACCATGGGAAAAATTACTTATCTGTCCAAATTTCAATGTCCTTATCCATAAAATGGGTATAATAACATACATATATAGCATACAGTTATATGAAGATCAAGTAATGTCTATAAAATTTCATGCAAAGAAAGGTGCTCCAATGGTAGCTATTCGTAGCTTATGTTGATTCTGACTAGCTTCCATTTCAGCATACAATGATTTGAATGCTTATGTGTCTCCAAAATTCATGTTGAAACTTATTCCCCAATGCAATAGTGTTGAGTAATGAGGCCTTTAAGAGGTGATTAGCTCATGAGGGGCTTCACTCATGTATAGGATTAGTTCCCTTATAAAAGAGGTTTTGCATAGTGCTCACCCCTTTTGCCCTTCTGCTCTTCCACCATGTGAGAACATAGCATTTGTCACCTGTAGAAGATGCAGCAACAGTCACCATCTTGGAAACAGAGAGCAAACCCTCACCAGACTCCAAATCTGCTAGCACCTTGATCTTGGACCTGGCAGCCTCCAGATATGTGAGAAATAAATTTCTACTACATATAAATTACCCAGTCTATAGTATTTTGTTATAGCAGCAGGAATGGACTAAGACAATGTGTTTCGACATTTACTCAGACCTTGTCTTTTCTCCTCACGACAATGGCTAAGAACCCCAAGAGTGAATCAACTGGTTCAAACTAAGCATAACTGCACCAGAGGAGTTGCGCACATACTCAGCTGACTGCTCGGGAAAGGCATTTGTGTGTCACCTGAATGAAGGCTGATTTCCATGGATGGCAGCCAGAGGGACAAAGAGGGAGGAACAAAGAGGGCAGGGAGGATATCCAGGTAAAGAGAATGAGATGAACCTCTGGATTATCTTTTGAAAACTGGACTCTGATCTTGGGGCCAGAAAATACTATTATGTGAGTGTTGACAGCCTTTCTGTACCTTGCTAGCGAGCCAGAATTTTCTTTACCTTCTTTCTTCCATCCTCTAAAAGGGGAGCTCTATTTTCGCTAGCTCAGTTATGAGGCCTCTGTGATGCAGAATCAGGCAATGTGCACAGAAACACAAACTGGATTCTGGGAAAGGCAAAAGAATAGGAGCAGATGGAAAAGGACAGTAAAGGGAGACAACAGGCTGGACACTCGGGGAGAATTTTTTTTGGCACTGAGAATTGGAGAAGGGAAGGAATTTGGGGGAAGAAACTGATGACCACTTTGGAGAACACTGTAGGTGGCAGAGACAATCAAATAACCACAAAGTGGCAAATCTGCCTTGGAATTTAATTTGGAACCAGTTCCGTTGGACCTGGAGTTCATGCTACCAACCTTCATGCCCTCCTGTGACAGCAAGAGAGAGCCAGGAGCTTTTCAAAGAGATGACCAGGGTTATAGGTCACAGATCTGCATGGAGGGCATTTTTAGACACACAAATCCAGGCATGACTGTAGCTGAAAAGGAACAAGGGGGAAGGAAGCAACTAGAATTGCATTTATCATCAATATTGCCTTTGGTCCACTTTACATGGGTGACTAATGAATATGTTGACTAGTGTTCCATGAAATATTTAGTATGTGTTAACTTTGTCTTTGTTTCAAGACTTCTTGATTTACTCTTACATGTTAAATTATCGAACATTTGAATTATAGAATTATCTGAACACAAGTCTTTATCTCTGAGGATTTGTTCTACAAAATTGCCTCTGTGTACCAAATCTTTGTTATATATAAGCCAGCAATAGATCTGGAATTAGCTTAATGCAATATACCTAAAAGTCACAGATATACGAATAATTTTGCTGGGATATTACCTTAAGCTTAAGATATAATCATAACCACAGTCATACATTATCTTTTATATGATAATTGTTTTGATTATATAGATTCCCACAGGAGGGAATTTAGATAGTACCATAAATATAAACAAGATAAAAATCACCCATAAATCTTACCACTCAGAGATAATCATTATTCATATTTTAAAATATTTTCAGCTACTCTTTTTTTTAATGCCTATGCAGACAGTTATTATTATATAATTGAAATTATTGTGGCTTTTTACTTTTATATACTGCTGTTGTTAATTAATACTAAATTCTGATAATTTTAAGATACAAAGAAATGTTCTTTAGAGATTTAATTTATTATGGCTATGCTCTATTCCCCACATGTGGATACATCATAATTTATTTGAACCTTCCTTAATGTTGGAGTTTTAGGTTGTTTTCATTATTTTCCTATTATATAATGTTGTGATAACTATCTTGATACAGTACTAATATTTGCCTGAACTTTTGCTTTTATAACAACTTGATTGAGATCTAATTCACACATCATACAACTCACCCATTTAATGTGTACAATTCAATGTTTATTAGTATATCCACAGCCTGGGGCATCTTTCACCAACATCTATTTTAGAACATTTTCATTATCCCCAAAAGAAACTACACCCCCTTCAGTCATCAACCCCCAGTTCTTCCATATGCCCCACCTGCACTGTAGACAACCACGAATCTATTTTCTCTCTCTAAAGATTTGCCTACTTTGGACATTTTAAATAAATGAACTCATATGATACGTAGTGCTTCATGACAGTCGTCTTTCATTTTGCATAATTTCAAGGGTGATCCATCTGGTAGCATTTATCAGTACTTCATTCTTTTATTGCCAAATAGTATATGACCTGCATGGCTATACCACATGTTACGTATCCATTCATCAGTTGGTGGATATTTGGGTTGTTTCTGCTTTTCAGCTATTACGAAATAATGTTTCTATGAACATTCATTTACAAGTTAGTGTGGACATATGTTTTTATTTCTCTTGGATATATAACTAGGAGTGGAAATGCTTGGTCCTGTGGTAACTCCATGTTTAATCATTTTAGGAATTGCCAGACTGTTTTTCAAAGTGTCTGTGCCATTTTACATTCCTGCTAGAAATGTATAAAGGTTTCAATTTCTCTACATCCTCACCAACATTTGTTATTATCCATTTTTTTAAATTATAACCATCCATTTGGGTATGAAGTATCATCTTGTGGTGTTGATTTACATTGTCCTAATGGCTAATTGCCTGAATTTCTATTTAATTAAGATACTTTTTGGATATAAAGTTACTGAATTAAGAGTACAATTTTTAAAAAGTTAATATATAGTGCCAAACTGCTTTTCACTAATTGTGTGAATTTTACTCTGCCTGGAAGTATGTAGGTCACTAGTTCCCTAAGATTTTCATCAAAATAAATATTTAAATGGGTATCACTTTAACACCCTTTCTTATGACCCTGGGGCTTTTCATATACATAATAATTATTTATGTAACTCCAGTGAGCTACCCATATTCTTTGTCCATTTTCCTATGGGGTCTTAGTTTTTACTTTTTATTGAGTTATGTACATTTCTTCTATTAGTCATATTTTTCATGAAGTATTTTAGTGTACATTTGTTTTGGAAATTTTTCTTAAAATAGCCTACATTCATCTTGAATAATTTTTATTAAATAAAGAAAGTTTTTTTTTTTTTTTTTTTTTGAGACCCAGGCTGGAGTGCAGTGGCACGATCTCGGCTCACTGCAAGCTCTGCCTCCCGGGTTCACGCCATTCTCCTGCCTCAGCCTCCCAAGTAGCTGGGACTACAGGCGCCTGCCACCACGTCTGGCTAATTTTTTGTATATTTAGTAGAGACGGGGTTTCACCGTGTTAGCCAGGATGGTCTCGATATGCTGAACTCGTGATCCGCCCGCCTCGGCCTCCCAAAGTGCTGGGATCACAGGCATGAGCCACCGCGCCCAGCCTAAATAAGGAAAGTTTTAAAGTAAATTATCACTATAAAACATCTGAAAAAGTAAATATGTCAGAGTCTTTGTGATAACCAATCAGACCAATCATTTCCAAAGAATTAAAAAAGATTTAGAAAATTTAAAAATTCGTATTTGTTTATACAATACAACACATTAGGCAAATGGAGACTAATTGAGACACAGCACTTTGATTACATGAGACACATCCATGCTTCTCCCTGAATCTAATTGAAAATTAAAATATACTTATGTTCAATGAAATATAGGAAATCAGAAATGGTAATTATTTGGGGGTTGATCCTTTTCATTTAGTTTCTTTGGCACTTTAATTATATTTATGGAAATAACTGGAGTTTTAAAAAATATGTTGTTTAGTGTCAATTTCTCAATGTTTACTTGTATTTAAAAAACTGTCATGATAAAATTGAGAGCTGAGCAGCCTATCACTTTTTGGTTTGCGAAATTCTTAAACAGAAATCGCCAAAGTATAGCACACATTCTCTGGCTAATTGTGCTTCCAGAAGGTTAAGTGTGATAGGTGAGTTGTGTGAACACTGAACACCTTTCCCCCAGTTCTACTTAAAAGTCAGAATTGCTCATAAGTGGATTACAAATAGCTCTAGTTTTCTTTTATGAAGATCTGTGAACCCCAAATGCTTACTTTTGAGTAGTTCTGAGTTTATAGTCTTTTGAATTTAAGCACCGTCTTTTTAGGCCTAATGAGTCTCCCCTTCTACGCAGAGCTGCCTGGTTACTATGGCTGAAGCCAGAGGCGGCACAGCGTAATGTGGGATGGCTGACAGATACCATGTTCTTCTCTCTAAACTATGTGCTTCAGTGGCTGAATTTTGATCCATTCAATAGGAGGAAACTGCCTGTATTATGCTTAAATGTACCAGATAAGGAATGGAGAAGAAAGGTATGGGAAAATGTCCTGTGTTGATGTATGTAAACATCATTGGTCTGGGGACACACATTGTGTGATGGGAGTAATTTATCCCTTCTTGTTACTTTTTCTCAGCAGTGGCATTAAATAAGGAAATGTGCCAAGTGTCCCAGTGCTGCTGTCATTGGGAAGGTATTGTAACAAAATGCTAAGGAGTAAGATGCACTCTTTTTTTTATATATGTATATATACTTTAAGTTCTAGGGTACATGTGCACAACGTGAAGGTTTGTTACATATGTATACATATGTCACGTTGGTGTGCTGTACCCATTAACTCATCATTTACATTAGGTATATCTCTTAATGCTATACCCCCCCTGCCTCCCACCCCATGACAGGCCCCAGTGTGTGATGTTCCCCACCCTGTGTCCAAGTGTTCTCATTGTTCAATTCCCACCTATGAGTGAGAACATGCGCTCTTAATAGGAGTCCTGTGTTGGACCCCTATTATGGGTTGAATTGAGTCCTCCAGAAAGATACATGGAAGTCCTAAACCTCCAGTACCCCAGAATGTGACCTTATTTGGAAATAGCATCATTGCAGATGCAATTAACTAAACTGGGATGAGGTTACACTAGAATTGGTTGGGCCCTTAATCCAATAAGGCTGGTTTCCTTATAAGAGTGAAATTTAGACACAGATACACACAGAGAGTAGAAGGCCAGAAGGCAGAAGCAGAAATTTAAGTGATGCATCTATTAGCTGAAGACTGCCAAAGAACACCAGTCATCACCAGAAGCTACAGGAAAGCCATGGAAGAAGTTTTCCTCCAAGTCCTCAGGAGGAACTAACCCTGCTGACACCTTGAGTTCAGACTTCTGGCCTCCAGAGCTGTGACAGAGTAGGGTTCTGTTGTTTCAAGCAACCCAGTTTGTGGTCCTCTGTTACAGCTGCCCTTGCAAACCAACACAGGCTCCAAATCTCTAGCCAAACTGCTTGATAACTTTGGCTCAATTTCTTTATCTGTGGGATAGAAATCATAATAGCAACCCAGTGTGAGGATCCAATGGACTTCTTTATAAGGGGAAAGCTTCTATGTTTGGCTACCTGGGGCTTCTGGCCTTAAGACTTGCACCCTTCCCTGTCAGCAATACTGCTGCAGTTTAGAGACCGGTGGCTGTTAAACTGCAGTACACATCAGAATCACCTGGAGGGCTTGTTAAAACACAGGAGGACTGACCCCACCTCCAGAGTTGCTCATCCAGGAGGTCTGAAGTTGGGCCTTGATAACTTGTGAGTCTAACACGTTCTCAGGCGATACTGATGCTGCAGGTCCGGAGACCACATTTCGAGTACTATGGAATTAGACACTTGGGGAAGATTTATGGGGAACAAAGTAGCAAGGCCAGCCTTAGAGGGAGTTCTGAAAGGGCGGGAGGCTTTGCATCACGTGCAGATAAGCCTTATTCTTGTCGCCACAATGGGTCTCAGCTACTCTGCCCTTCTCCTATGCTGTAACACATGGACATTTATGCTATCTTATTGGCTACAGGTTCTTTTCCAATCTTCATTCTGAACTTGGAAGTTATTTTCTTGCACATTCTGGGCTTGGACTTGAATGTCTATCTATTGTTCCATTTTGAGCTTCCCTGAGTGATGAGATTTGAGATCTGATCTAAAGTTAATTTCAGCATCCCTTTGTTTGACCTGCCCCATGAACCCTTTTCTGGATGACCTCTTCCTTCCCAACACATACTTTATTTTTTAAAATTTCTTACATATATATATATATATATATATATATATATATAATTTATTATACTTTCAGTTGTGGGATACATGTGCAGAACCTGCAGGCTTGTTACACAGGTATACACGTGCCATGGTGATTTGCTACACCCATCAACTGGTCATCTATAGTAGGTAGTTCTCCTAATGTTATTCCTCCCCCAGCCCCCCACCCCCCAACAGGCCCCGGTGTGTGGTGTTCCCCTCCCTGTGTCCATGTGTTCTCATTGTTCCACTCCCACTTATGAGTGAGAACATGCAGTGTTTGGTTTTCTGTTCTTGTGTTAGTTTGCTGAGAATGATGGTTTCCAGCTTCATCCATGTCCCTGTGAAGGACATGAACTCATCCTTTTTTATGGCTTCATAGTATTCCGTGGTGTATATGTGCCACATTTTCTTTATCCAGTCTATCATTGATGGGCATTTGGGTTGGTTCCAAGTCTTTGCTATTGTGAACGGTGCCACAATAAATATACACATGCATGTGTCTTTATAACAGAATGATTTATAATCCTTTGGGTATATACCCAGTAATGGGATTGCTGGGTCAAATGGTATTTCTGGTTCTAGATCCTTGAGGAATAGCCACGCTGTCTTCCACAATGGTTGAACTAATTTACACTCCCACCAACAGTGTAAAAGTGTTCCTATTTCTCCACATCCTCTCTAGCATCTGTTATTTCCCAACTTTTTAATGATCACCATTGTAACTGGCATGAGAGGGTATCTCATTGTGGTTTTGATTTGCATTTCTCTGATGACCAATGATGATGAGCTTTTTTTCCATATGTTTGTTGGCTGCATAAATGTCTTCTTTTGAGAAGTGTCTGTTCACATCCTTTACCCACTTTTTGATGGCATTGTTTGTTTTTTTTTCTGGTAAATTTGTTTAAGTTCTTTGTAGATTATGGATATCAGCCCTTTGTCAGATGGACAGATTGAAAAAATTTTTTTCCCATTCTGTAGGTTGCCTGTTCACTCTGATGCTAGTTTCCTTTGCAGTGCAGAAGTTCTTTACTTTAATTAGATCCCATTTGTCAGTTTTGGCTTTTTTTTTTCTTTTTTTTTTTTTTTTGAGACAGAGTCTCACTCTGTCACCCAGGCAGGAGTGCAGTGGCACGATCTCAGCTTACTGCCACCTCCTTTGTATATGACTTATTAGGTGCTTAATCATCATACATTCACCTATGGAACCAGTTTTCATGTGGTCACTCAGAGACTTTCCCGTTGATTTGTAAACCGCCCCCACCCTCCCCGCCGCCAACCCCTGCCTCACTCTGATCATGTTCAGCTAGACTTAGGAAACTAGGCCATCATTGATCCTCCAAAACACTTTAATTTCTTTTAAGTTTTGCTAAATTTCCCAAAGCTTTTCCCTCCATTCATTCATTCATGAAATGTGGAACACCTCCTGTGTGCTCACAGTGTATGCTCGGCATGCAGTGGTGAACAAAACCCAACAGTGCATGCCCTTGAGTTTGCAGAATAGTGAGAGAAGGGGGAGATACACATTTAAAAAATCACATTAATACATGCAAAATCATAGCTGTGACAAGTGCATCAAAGGAGAGTAGTACTTAGATCTACAGGACTATACTGGTAAATCTGACCCTGTTAGGAAGCTCAGAGAAGTCTTTTGAATGGAGATCTGAAGGGTATTCAGGGAATTAGCCAGGTATAAAGTAGAAAACGATCAGGCAGAGAGAATAGTGTGTGCAAAGCTTGGGCAGGTGAAGGAGTGTACCAGAGACCAACCTTTAGTGTGGGCATCAGGGTACATGAAAGGTGCTGGTGCTGTGTGGCTGAACAAGTGGGGAAGTGCCCAGAGCATGTAACGTTCTTAAGGCTGTGTTCTCATTCTGACCAGATATGAGCCATTGGTCATCTCACTTGTTTCCACTTGCTGCCCTCACACCTGTCATCAGACTTCCTCTACTCAAGATGCGGACTTCATCCCTCTCCACCTTGTCACCAGTGCTCTGTCTCAGGGGAATAGGTACCCCAGGGAAATAGGCATCCCTTCTCCTTTCCCAGGTGACTTCTCCATTTGGCCTTTCTTCCTTCCCTACCGCATTCTCCAGTGACCGCGCTCAGTGAGCCTCTAAGTCTCCAGGGTGACTTTTATCTGCAATGTAACTGGCTCCTTCCCTTTGTTCATTAACACACCCAGGTGGCCCAGCTTAAGAAACAAACAAACAGAAAACTTCCTATCAGTTCCTTTGTTATCCATGACCTGATGACTGGCTCCTCCCTTTCCATTGGTAGTAACGGGGTAGGGGGAAAACTGCCTTTGCTTCTTCACTTCCTCTCTTCTCCTGACTCCTTAGTCAGTTCTGCCTTAATAGAGAATTCTTCCTTGCTCAATGTGTTCACTGGTCTTAAGCTTGAGCATCGGATGGAATTTCCTCCCCTCTGTAATACACCTTCCAAGTTAAGGGCATCTTAAGAGTTGCTGTCAACATTCCCCAATTCAACTGAATTCTATTCACAGAAAACTAAAAGTATTTTCTAGATCTTTGATCTAAGGAATTTCCTACTTGGCAAACTTGCTGTAACTGGACCTCAGAGAAAATTAATCTTCCTGAAAGGATAGCGTTTTAATGTTAAATGTTTGAAATGTAGTTTTAAAGTTGTGCTTTATATTTGATTTGTTCTCATTGAAGTCGGCTTTATATGTGTGGCCCAGAGAAAAATACAAGCTGAGCATGTTTAATAAAACAACCAATCTGAAAAATTGTTTTTCAAGGGGAAAAAGAAAATCCTGGGCCAAATAAAGATGAATAATCTGTTTAAATAGTTGTAAATTGTCGATTGTTTTATCCCTTCTTAAAGTGTAATTTTCTTTTAAAAACACAGTAAAGTAGGGCCAGGCATAGTGGCTCACACCTGTAATCCCAGCACTTTGGGAGGCTGAGGCAGGTGGATCACAAGGTCAGGAGTTTGAGAGCAGCCTGGCCAATATGGTGAAACCCCACCTCTAGTCAAAATACAAAAATCAGCCGGGCGTGGTGGTGGGCGCCTGTAGTCCCAGCCATTCGGGAGGCTGAGGTGGTAGAATCGCTTGAACCCAGGAGGCGGAGGTTGCGGTGAGCTGAGATCATGCCACTGCACTCCAGCCCGGGCGACAGAGCGAGATTCCATCTCAAAAAAAAAAAAGTAAAGTAGAATAAATATATTATCAGTATTATTTTCATATATAAAGCTGATACAGAATATTGGAAGCTTGTACTCAGAGTTCTTAGTATCATTGACAGGTTTATGCTAAATTAAATTATCTCTCCTTTCACACTTGGATTTTCTATAATCAAGAGAATGCATCATTTAGATGATGGGGTAACATGCACACTGTGACTAAGGAAAAGCTTTTCTCTGAAAGGCTAACTAGCTACCAAAATAGCAACAGAACTTGGCCTCTTTTTTTTATTGAGACAGAGTCTCACTCTGTTGCCCAGGCTGGAGTACAGTGGCATGATCTCGGCTCCACGCAACCTCCTCCTCCCAGATTCAAGTGATTCTCCTGCCTCAGCCTCCCAAGTAGCTGGAATTACAGGCACATGCCACTGCACCTGGCTAATTTTTGTATTTTTTAGTGGAGGCGGGGTTTCACCATGTTGGCCAGGCTGGTCTTGAAGTAGTGATCCACCCACCTCAGCCTCTCAAAGTGCTGGGATTACAGGCATGAGCCACCGAGCCAGGCCAGAACTTGGCCTCTTTAACACAGTACTTTAAGAGGCTGACTAGCCAAATGCTATGTTCAGGGTTAACAATATGCCTTCAACATCTCTAGTGATAATATCCAGACAAGAATAGAATAAATAAGCCAATGGTAAAGATGCCCTAACAATTTGCCCTTAATTAAGATGATTCCCATTCCAGAAGTGCCACTGCTCTGAGTCCAGTTGCTTGGCATTTATTTACAAGCACTTAGATGCCAATTCCCAGGGGATTGGGAGGTTCAGACCCTGGCAGCCTGAACCATACCAATCACATAAACAAAAGGTTTGATTTGTAAATCGGAATGTCAATGTCTTACAGGGACAATTGACAGTTTGCTAAAAGACTATATTCCTTGTCACTCAATCTGCCCACCCTTTTCTGAGAAGGAAGCCTAATGCAGTGCTTAGCAGGAACTATAGTTGCCTAAATCTCTGAGTTGGTAGCCAAACAAGAAATGGACCTGAGATTAGAATATCATTGCGGGAAGGGGAAAGGGGATGTAACGCCAAGTGTTTTTGATTGCAACCTAGAAAAAGCAGTGTTGGCTGAGTGAACAAAGGGGAATTTATGGGAAAGGCAATGGGAGCTGAATTGTCAGGACCCTGGAGAACCGGGCTTGGACACATCGAGGGAGTAGTAACCATAACCATTGAACAATCTGCTCAGCCAGTTTCCCAGTTTTTTTGACCCTCTGCTGGACCTAGCTTTCAAAATTTAATCAGGCTTTCACAATTGCATTTAGCCTATATCTAGCAAGTGTCTGTATTATCTGTGAAGAGTTATAAAGACCCTGCACTCAAAGAGGTAAGCATGTCTATGGTACATATTAGGCCAAATACAACACAATCAGGGCTGAGGCTTCAAAAATAAAGAGAGGACACGAGGGTAAAAGGATGGGGAAAGACTTCAAAGGAAAAACACTGCAAATGGGCACTGGAGGTGGCAGGATTTTGTGGGGAAGTCAGAACTATTTCAATCTGCAATGGAAATAGTGATGATGGTACAGATGAAGAGTCTAACATGAGTCACCCACTTGGTTAAGCACTTTCTTCTCCTCTGTGATTGGGTTAAAAGGGTTTATCTAAGTGAAAAGGAAGTTTTTGCAGGGAGAGGCCCCTGTACTTTGGGGGGAGGAGGGCTATATGGGAGAGAAGGAAAGGTGGGAAAGGTGGCCATCCCCGGCAGAAAGACCCACACATCCACTTCAAAAGAGGTTAAAAAAAAATGCTTCTCTCTGTGTATCTGTTGGAGAGTGGGTGGTAGGTGACAAAACTGGAAGCAAGGAAACAAAGATGGTCTTTCCCTTGATTTCTCATCTCTAGGAAAGGGCGTGTTAGCCCTGCCTGAGCTAGGTGGGTGTTCAATGCTACTGGGGCGCATCCAAAGGCACAAAATCTTATGTTAAGCGCCACTCACCCTGGAAAAACTGGGTCCTGCGCAATCGAGGTTTTAGTATCTGGTGAAGGCTTTTGAACATCAGATCCAATGTGGTCAGAAGAAAGCATCAGTGTCAATGATACATTGTTCATTCTTTTATTCATTCATTCATTCATTCAAACCTCTTCTATTTATTAACACTGACTAGAGGCTCTACCCTGAATTGAGGCTAAAGGCTGGAGTAGAAAAAGTAAGGATAAGTCACTTCCCTTCATTGCCTCTGTTTTCCTATCTCTAAAATAAGAAGTTGGAGTTTAATGCCTTTGCTTTGCAATGTTTCTTATGCTTAACGAGCTTACACATGAAGTCAGGAGTAGTTTGCCCCGGTATGAGCCAGAGGCACAGAGACAGGGGTTGAAGCTCAGAAAGATGAATGCTGCTGCTTTTCCTCTGCCTCCTTGAAGCTAGGGACCCTCTGAAAGGTGCCAGGGATGCAGCAGCTCTGTGCAAATGAGAGGTCTGGTATTTGCCAGAAGCTTTACCATAATGCAAGGAGAAATAGTGCATGAATGATGTGATGGGATTATTGCTGACCACGAATTTACTGCCCAATTAGTGAGGTGATATTTTGTGGGGGTTTCATTTAATTGGGACTTTCCTGAGCAGATCTAGGTTTATTTAACAGTTTACATTGATTTTTATCTCGGGAGACTAGGGCAGCATGCTGAATTACCACAACCTTTTACCAAACAAAGCTCTTCCTCGTTGACTTTTGATTCCCCTTTCCCTGCATTGTGCTTCTGCATTTCTCTCCAAAGCCTCTGTTGAAGATTCTTTGCAACCAAAGATGGCATCCATGCTTAGAATTGTTCAGTGTCTGGGGTATTTGTTCCTCTGTATTCAAGTAACAATAAATGTCCCTAGGAAGATTTTTTTTTCAAATTACTCGTCTGGAAACCCCTTGGGATTCAAGGTCCAGCCCATACATGCCTCGATACTTCCCCTTCTCAATCCCAGCATCTCCTACCATGATGCTTGCTAGTAGGAGGAGCTTAACAAATTTCTTCAAAGGTGACATCTCAAAGGTCTTTACAGGCATAAATTGTGGCTTCAATACAAATGCTGGGTTTAGATGATGTATCAGTCTGTTTTTACGCTGCTGATAAAGACATACCTGAGACTGGGCAATTTACAAAAGAAAGAAGTTTAATTGGATTCACAGTTCCACCTGGCTGGGGAGGCCTGACAATCATGGCAGAAGGTGAAAGGCACCTCTCACATGGCAGCAGACAAGAGAAGAGAGCTTGTGCAGGGAAACTCCTGTTTGTTTTTTTTTTCTTTTATTATTATATTTTAAGTTTTAGGGTACATGTGCACATTGTGCAGGTTAGTTACATATGTATACATGTGCCATGCTGGTGTGCTGCACCCATTAACTCGTCATCTAGCATTAGGTTTATCTCCCAGTGCTATCCCTCCCCCCTCCCCCCACCCCACAACAGTCCCCAGAGTGTGATGTTCCCCTTCCTGTGTCCATGTGATCTCATTGTTCAATTCCCACCTATGAGTGAGAATATGCGGTGTTTGGTTTTTTGTTCTTGCGATAGTTTACTGAGAATGATGATTTCCAATTTCATCCATGTCCCTACAAAGGACATGAACTCATCATTTTTTATGGCTGCATAGTATTCCATGGTGTATATGTGCCACATTTTCTTAATCCAGTCTATCATTGTTGGACATTTGGGTTGGTTCCAAGTCTTTGCTATTGTGAATAATGCCGCAATAAACATACGTGTGCATGTGTCTTTATAGCAGCATGATTTATAGTCCTTTGGGTATATACCCAGTAATGGGATGGCTGGGTCAAATGGTATTTCTAGTTCTAGATCCCTGAGGAATCGCCACACTGACTTCCACAATGGTTGAACTAGACACTCCTGTTTTTAAAACCATCAGATCTTGTAAGACTCATTCACTACCACGAGAACAGTGTAGGAAAGACCCACCCCCATAATTCAATCACTCCCACTGGGTTCCTCCCACGACACGTGGGAATTGTGAGAGTTACAATTCAAGATGAGATTTGGGTGGGGACACAGCCAAACCATATAAGATGAGGTGCAGAGGATGCCTGGGCGACTAAATCAATGGTTTCCAAAGGATTTAATGTAATGCCCTTAAGTAGTTTTTTTCTCCCAAGGTAGTTTCTTTGAAGTTAAGCAGCATGAGACTTCCAGGTTGGTGGATGAAGAACCAGGGAAAGATAGAAACTGCCTTTTTTATAATGTAGGGCTCAGTTAAGTATTCAAAGTTCCAAGGAGGCAATTCAGGCCCCCATTTCACACCTTTCACTGTTAGAGAGCAGAGCTCCTATCCATCCCAGGCCCTTCCACTTTGTAGATCAATTGCTCTATCTTTTGGCAGCTTCAACAAAGCCCTGTCTTATGAAAATGCTTTATTGTTCAGATCAGGGACCTGGTAGTAAAAATTAACTATAAAATACTTTTTTTTCTATTATGCAAGTAATGGGTAGCCTTTTTAAAAATTGGAAACATAGAGAAAAAAGTTTATTCCTAACAACCGGAGCCTCAGTGGATTAAAATTACTCAGGTTTCTCACTGATGCTACATGCCCATTGAACGTCAGGTGGGGACTCTGCACTGCTTTAGTCTCACTCTGGATACTGGCTGACAGACCACAGCTTTCTAGAATATTGCGGCCGAGGAAAAGAAAGCTTTGCGGCATCTCATACATCTCATATTGCTGCTGCAGAAGTGACAGTCACTTTTCCTCTTAAACCTCTAGTCAAAACTTGTAACCATGCCTCCACTTAACAAGAGGTTTGGAAAGTGCAATTCTGCCATGTAGGGAAAGGTATATGAACAGTGGTAAGGGCTACCACACTGGAGAATAGCTCCTTTCATCTGCCTCCCTTTGCAGCCTGCGTCCCTAGTCCATGCGCTCTACTGCTCCAGTGCCCACCACTGCTTGACTCTGCCTTTGTGTGTGTCAGTTCACATTATCAAGAAGGACCATGACTGGTAGCTCTACGGATGGAGGACCCTTTTGTAGCAGGTGTTCACCCTGTGCCCAAGCCGCAGTGCCTAGAAGAGTGGGGATGGGTCTGTGGCTCCTATCAGGCTGCAGGAGTTGCGGAGACAGAAAAAGTATTTCTAGGACTCCCATTTGGCCTTGCAGTCTCTACACATCCTTGGCAATTTCTCCCATCTTGGCTTCTCCTTCTTATCACTTTGGTCCACATACGGGGACAGCGTCTAAGTTCTTTCTGACCACCTCCTCAGTCCTAGAAAAACCAGACTTGGTTAAGTACCAGAGCACAGAAGGCATTTAGTGCTGCTCTGCTCCCAAGTCATCTATTAGTTTCACTTTAGCCAGCCATACCTCCTTGGTTACATATGAAGCATCTGTATATAACTTAGTATCATGCTTTTTCACATTATATTTTGATTTTTATCGGACCGGAAACCCTAAATCCACAAGCATAACAACAAGATCACATTTGGGCTTTTTCATTTCTGTAACCAGAGGATTGAACGCTAGTTTTGTAGTAAGACTTCAATTCTATTTATCCGTCCAGGCTTAAGGGTTCCTGTTCTTCTTTTTAAGTCATTAAATTGTATCAGACAAGGGGGAAAACGCGTGTGTGACTTTCCCTAAGGTAAGATGGGCTTAAGGGATATTGAAACCAGGGCAGAGAAATGTTTTCTGTGACCCACCAGTCAGGGCAAGGCATAGAAGGAGCAATGACTTATTCATTAGCCCAGATAGAAGGCCAGTCTTTTTCAGGCTGCGGCGCAGAGACGCCAGGCTCAAAGGGCAGGAGGGCCGTCTGCAGGCAGCGCCGCCGCGGCTACCTGGAAGCCCAGCAAGTCACCTGAGTCCTGCGGGTGCCTGGGCTGCCAATCTGCAGCGACCCGTCCGCAGCCCCCGGGGGCAGGAACACCAACCCCGGGACAGGAGGACGTCCTCGGCCCGCTGACTAGGGATCCGCCAGCGGGTGCCGCTGAGCCACATCCCCGCAGTTGGCGCCAGCATCCAGGTACCGCGCGCCACAGCACCTGCCTGGGCGTTCCCGCGCTTGGGGCGGGGCTTCCCGCGTCCCCTTTAAGAGGCCGCATCACCCGCCCTTGACGTCAGAGTGTTTCTCCGCAAGAGCCCGTGTCCCGCTAGGCTCCGCGCCCTCGCGCCCATAGCCCCGGCGGCGGCACGACCAGAGGCGGCCAGGGGAGCGCGCCGCCCCGCTCGGCCCTCCAGTCCCCCTCCGCCTCCTCCCTCCCGCACAGCAGCCGCCAGCGCGGCCTCCTGCACCATGTCGGTGGCCGGCCTCAAGAAGCAGTTCCATAAAGCCACTCAGGTAAGGCGCGCGGCAGGTGCGTCCCGGGGCAGTCCGGGGCGAAGCTGCGAGGGGCGCGCTCGGCGCTGGCCGTCCGGCGGCAGCTTGGGGAGTTCGGCACCGAGCCTCGCCCGCGCCGGCCGCGCCCCGCCTCGCAAGCCAAGGCGGCGGCTCGGGGCATCCCCGGTCTGGGCGTCCACCCTCGGTCCCCCGCCCCCGGCTTGGTGCGCGCTGCCTTCCCGCGGGTCCCCGGCGTCCTGCCTGGTAGCGCTGCTCGCCGCCCCCGCATCATCTCGCGCCCGTGCTGCAGGAAGGGGACCGCGGCTGCACTGCTGCCGCGGCGCGCAGGTGCCTTGGCGGCGCGGTGGGAGATTATGTAAAGTCGCCTCTTCACGGGTGACCTTGCGGAGTCGGTGCACCCGGCTTTCCCGGGATGTGTTGGCATGAGCGGTGGCCGCACTGGGGGTGGCGGGGCGGAGGCCGGCGGTTTGCGCTCCTCTCCCTTACCCTGTTGTCAGAACCCTCCTTCCCCGCCGCCCGCAGGCTCCAGGGGAATGGAAGGCTGGGGTCTTCCTTTAGGGACCCGCATACATTAACTTTTACCTGGAGAACTCGGTCGTGAAACTCCTTTGAGGCCAGGGCATGACAAACAGTCTGCGGGTCTTAAATATTTCCCTAAAACAACCAAATTGTTGAAGACTTAAAATCATCATGTATTTTAAATTGTTTTTAATAAATCTTTGGCATCTTGGATGTGCCCATTTTTCTTTATGGGGTTAATAAGCTGTGACTGTAATAAAACTGATTAATTTAGATTCTAATAATTAAAATCATTGGACTCAAAGAATTTTACATAGGGGCAAGTAAGCGAATACTTACGCTGTGACCTATTTCTTACATAATGTGTGTGATTACTACTTTTTTATCCTTCTGAAATAGGTTCAAATTTATGGGATCTTTAAGGATTTTGATGACTTACCGCGAAATGTTTTTCATGATTTGGTGTTAAATAGTTTTTCATAGGTTAGCCTTAATTAACGAGCTTTCTCATAATTTCTCGGAAGTAGTGAGGTTTTTCCTAGGCTACCACAGTGGCAGCCTTGTTATGAACCACATCCAGAAAAGGTGAGGGTTGTGTTTTACAGAACCTTGGTTAACTTAGGGTGACAGATGCAGCATGTAATTCCCGTCGTGTGTGTGTTTGCACGCATCTGCATCATCTTCATCACACATTCTTGCCTTTATAGAATCAATTATACCTGTCAACTTAGGAAATCAAGAAAAGTAAGACTATTTCTGTAAAAATGTTTCTTAATGTAATTATTTTTGCTTTTCTATTATAATTGGAGTTATCTGTGACCTCTCTGCCAGACATGTTTATGAAAGTAAGTGATTTGTTTGTTGATGTAGTTTGGAAGGCTTCTAATAACTTTATACTGCAAGTTCTTTCAGGTTTACAGAACCAAGCATATGTGCTGCCCAGGAATTCTGTGGCAGGACTTCTTCGATATTACTAACCTTTTTGATTGCTCTACTGGTCACTTCTCTATAGCATATCTCAGCACTGCGTTTACCAACACATCTTTTTTCCACTTGGATTCTAAAGATTTCTTTTGCAAAGCTTAGTGCCCTCAAAGGCAATTAAGAGTCTTGGCTTTGGAGTGGGAAAGGCTAAGGTTTGAATCCTGCCTCTGCTGCTTCTGACCTTGAGAGAGTATTTAACTTCTGAACCTGTCCATGCTGAAGTGATGATAATTTCCGTTGTCTCTTCAGGGTTGAGGTGAAGAGAAACGAGTGTGTAGAACACACGTATAAAGTGTTCAATAAATTATAGTTATTGACATAAAGGATATTTTTATTAGTATAAAATACTATCCCTTATGCTGTGAAGAAGTTACCCAAGCTAGACCTTTTAGTTTTTCCAACTTAAAAAATAGAGCGCTCCATTTCCGCTAAATCTTGAAGTTCTGTGTCGCCCTAAAGTGTAGAAAAAATAATTTAAACTGCGTTAGGAAAGAACTTAAAAGGTTGGAGAAGGTCGGCATGTGATGCGATACGGTTAATGTTTATCACACCGAATCCAAATGCAGAATCACTGCGTCATTGTCTTCCTTTTACTGAAAAGCCTTTTATTTGAAAGGTGAAGCAGCACGTAGTCTCTTATCCATAATTTAGTGTAGCACACTCTTAGAAAGTCTAAGGCACAGGTGACTGTTCTGTGCATATGTATATTTAGGAGAGTATGTAAAGCCCATGTTAATGTTTGCATGTGACAAAAAAATTAGAGAAATAGTCCTGTCCTACTTTTGTAGCCATTTTTTTCCATCAGGTCCGTGAACCTGATGTTATCTACA
Organism: Homo sapiens; assembly: GCF_000001405.40. NCBI lineage: Eukaryota > Metazoa > Chordata > Mammalia > Primates > Hominidae > Homo > Homo sapiens. Next base: position 17,581,621 of record NC_000009.12, read on the forward strand.
GAGAAGCTTTAGACCTAGAATTACTTCCTTTTGAGAACTGATGTGCTGGATAATATAGCCTGGGTTTGTTTGTTTGTTTATTTATTTATTCATTTGAGACAAAGTTTGACTCTTGTCGCCCAGGCAGGAGTGCAATGGCGTGATCTCAGCATACTGCAACCTCTGCCTCCTGTGTTCAGGCGATTCTCCTGCCTCAGCCTCCTGAGTAGCTGGGATTATAGGCATGCACTACCACGCTCAGCTAATTTTTGTATTTTTAGTAGAGACAGGGTTTAGCCATGTTAACCAGGCTGGTCTCGAACTCCTGACCTCAGGTGATCTGCCCGCCTCGATTACAGGCTGAGCCCCCGCACCTGGCCTATAGCCTGGGTTTATAAGTGGAAGGAGTCTGTTCACGCAAACGTTTCTTTCTATGGAATTGAGCTTTTTTGCTTGTGTTAGTAAGCGATGATAAATAAAACAGTATATTGTTTGTACTTGGAATTTCTGATTAAATGTGTCACAACTGTTGTCTTATATTAGAATTGGTTATTTCTACCTTGTTGCTGACAGTTATTTTCAATATGTTTACAATTTGGAGGTAAAAAAATGCTTTTGCCAAGTAAAATTTATTAGAGAAGAAAATCCTTTCAGCATGAAAATATATAATGATACCAAAAATTGATTGATCATCTTATTTTCATGTACTTCATTACTTAATTGCTCATAAAGATATAATTTACTGTATAATTAGAATAAAGTATTCTTTTTTTACTGTAATAAAGGGCAGATGATCTTGTGTTGCTCTTTTAGTGAGTTTTATTCATATTGAGATTTCATTTTACAAAAGTCATGTCAGTTTTTTTACACTTGTTTTAAACTGGCAGCAGCTTAGTTAAAAATAGCTGTTTCCAGTGAACATGAAGCTCCTACAAAATCTGTATTTTTAAAAATTCACTCTATCATGCATATGATGTGGACACATTTTGCTTTACAATATGTAAAAGTCTATTATAAAGTAAAATATATTAGGTCATTTTATGAGTTTGCTGGAGCTGCTGTAACAAAGTACTACAAACTGAGTCGTTTCAACGACAGAAATACATTGTTTCCCACTTCTTGAGACAAGCACACTTGAAGTCTGAGACCAAGGTGCCAGTAGGGCCACGAGCTCTCTGAAGGTATGAGACAGGATCTATTCGAGGCTGCCTTCTTAGCTCTTGTGCTTTGTTGGGAATCTTTGGGCTTCCTTGGCTTGTAGATACATCACCTTGGTCTCTGCCTTCATGCTCACATGACATTCTCCCTGTGTGTGTCTCAGTGTCCAAATTTCCCCATTTTGTAAGGACCCCAGTCATATAGGATTGGGCAAGCCCATCCTACTCCAGTATGATTTTATCTTAAATAATTACCATCTGTAATGCCCCTATTTCCAAATAAAGTTGCATTCTGAGCTATTGTAATTAGGACTTTAATATGAATTTTGGGAGGGGCACAGTTCAATCCATAACAGTCGTTATTTGCATAAAAGGATTAACCACAGTATTCTATATTTGATTCAACATCTAAGAGGACAGTTCAGCCTATAAATAACATATAACTTTCTATTGCATCAAAAAGATATACTTTCTCCTTTTTTAATGAGTTGGTTAGTATATTGCTAAGTTCTGAATGTGTCCCTCTAAAATACGTATGTTGAAGCTTGACTGCCAATGTGACAGTATTAAGAAATGGGGCCTTTAGGAGGTGACTAAGTCATGAGGGCACTCATGATTAAGTCATGAATGGGATTAGTGCTCTCTTAAAAGAAGTTGAAGGGGTCACCCTGTCCCCTTCCACCGTGTGAGGGTTTAGCAACAAGGCACCATCTTTGAAGCAAAGGGTGGGCCCTAGCCAGGCACAAATCTGTTAGTGCCTTCATCTTGGACTGCTAGCCTCCCAAACTGTGAGAAATAAATTCTATTATTTATAAATTACCCCGTCTAAGATATTTTGTTAGTAGCCTGAACAGACTAAGTCAGAAATATACCTATTATAAATTGTGTTTTCTGATTTTTTTAAATGATAAAATTAATTTGGGTAGGCTGGGTTTTATGATACAGTCTGGTATATGTTTATTTGTCACACTCAGATTCCTTAACTGGGAAAATTTCATCATGTTTGTGTTCTGTGTCTTTTTGTTTTACCTAATTTCCTCTTTCAGAATGCTGTATTTTATATGGATGCTTTGCTCAGGAGACCATTACATAAGTCTTTTCATGCATTTGTTGATTTGGTGAGATGTTAAACTTACTAAGTATTGGATTAAATATCTAATTAGTTATGACTTTATCTCAGTGAGATTTTCAGTTTCTTAATTGCCTCTAAGCAGTCAACTCTCTGCTGCCTTTAAAATCTTGGCTGTGGCTTGTTGCTTGACCCAGGATTTCTACACCTGTACCCTTTCACATTCTTAGCCAGTAGTCTCTAATAGGCTGCAAGGGGCCTATATATTTTATAAAATTATAAGTAACATTTTATACATGCATTTTTCTGAGGGAGAATGCCCTTAGCCTGTTACCAGATTCTTAAATAAATTCCTAATTGCTGCCCCTTCCTCCCCTCGAAAAGTAAAAATAGGGTGGGGCGTGGTGGCTCACTCCTGTAATCCCAACACTTTGGGAGGCCAAGGCGGGCGGATCACTTGAGGTCAGGAGTTCAAAACCGGCTTTGCCAGTGCAGTGAAACCTCGTCTCTACTAAAAATACAAAAAGATTAGCTGGGCGAGGTGGCAGGTGCCTGTAATCCCACCTACCCAGGAGGCTGAGGCAGGAGAATTGCCTGAACCCAGGAGGCCGAGGTTGCAGTGAGTCAAGATGGTGCCACTGCACTCCAGCCTGGGCAACAGAGTGAGATTCTGTTTCAAATAAATAAATAAATAAATTCATCATGTCATCAGGAGAAAGTGGATGTTTCTTACAATAATCACTCCAACAGTTCTGTTACTGGGCTTTAGGATGCCTGATCAAAATGCAGCCTTCTCTGCATTAATTTAGCAGCAATCAAATGTAAAAAACCTTTCCAGAGGTGTCAGGATTGAATGAGGTAATGCTTGTGAGAGTGCCATGCTTGCATAATAAGGATCACTTGAACCATGTAAAACAAAATGTTGTTAATGCGCTTGAAGTCAACGATACGGGCCTGTGGGGTATATGAAAAGAAAGTGGTGACTGAAAATGATTTCTCTGTAGACTGAGAGTCCTCGTGATTGAAGTTTGTGTTGTTGAAACAGCTATATTTTTGCAAGCTTTTTTCCCCATAGTGATTCTTTAATATTTTAAATTGAGTTTATATGAATTTTGGTTTCAGTCTACTTAGAAAATTTTAAAGTAACCTGCAAATTAATTAGAAGTACCCTAGAAAATGGCAAGACTTGGTTGGGGCAAATGGTGACTGTTTTGAGACAGATGTCATTGTGGAAGGGAGAGGTTTAATATTCAGGGGAAGGGAGCTGAAGCTTGCAGAGCAGATTCCATTCTGCCAAGCCTCTTGTGCTGCATACAGAGTCTCAGGGCATCAAGCAACCCGAGGGCTTTCTTCAGAGGAGTAGCTTGAGGCAGCGGCGAGAGAAGGGCAGGACACACTGACAAATGAATAATGAGAATTAGGTGAGGAGATGGAGTTTAAGAACTGCTTCAAACTTTAAGGTGGATACCTGATGGGGCTTTCTAGAGATGAGCAATTCTTCTCAATTTAAGGCCAGATAGGGGAGATGCTAAGTAGGTAAGAAGTCAGTGGATTTTTTGGCCTCCTTTTTTCTCTTTTTGTTCTTTTAATCCTTCGTACCCTTGTCCTGTGTTCTTTTAGGTAATGTTCAGTGAGGTGTAGCCACAAGAGGGGACATAGGAGAGGCTCAAGAAAACAGAGTTTATTATACTCACATGTCTTAGAATGACAATCACTGTACAGGAGGATAGGAGGGGGGACACGTGGGGTGGAGGTGACAGCTCTGAGAGCAGGATCAGCTAAGCAGGTGGGAAACAGGTGGGAGCAGAGAGAGCAAGGACTGTGGGCAAGTGCCTTTACTAGTGATCTCAGTGCAGTTCACAGCTCAGTGCAGTTCACAGTGCGTTGCATTGGTGCATTGGTAGGTCGTGGTCAGAAGAAGACAGAGAGGTGAACTTGTGGTAGGGGCCAACCTTATCAAACTTGTGCACCTGGTTACCTGGGTGGGGTGTTCACAGTTAGCGTATGTGGGAATGAATGTTGAGGCAGCAAGAGGCAGCAGGAGACAACATGTGAAGTTTTGAAACTTTGTAGTACAACCCTTCTCAGTGTTTTTGGTTTAGAATTTATTGTTTCCATAATCACTTAAGGAGCCTAAAAGCTTAAGAATGATGTACATGGTATCCGATGGATAATAAAGACTAAAGAGAGCTATAACTATACTTATTAAAATGCCATGATTGTGAGACCCTGCCAAGTCTTTTGCATTCTACCAACAAAATATTTTCATGCTATACTAAATCATTAGCTGATGACAAATGCTTCAGGAAATAATTTCACTATTTATAAAGGTTTTACATTTAGTACAACTTCTAAATGCCAAATATGATGTTGTAGTTGCTCTACCCTAATCTCCCTCCGCCATCCCCTGGGTCAAATTGTATATAGTAGTAATGAATATGGAGAAGCTGTCTGTAATACTCGTGAAGAACCCACAGCTCCATGGAGGTTTACTTGGATACTTAGGACACTGAAGGACCTCTAGGCAGTGTTTTCTGCCTTTTTTTGAATTATGATATATATAAAAAATAGAAATATCTTTTTTATAATTCAAACTAACCTTTCCCCATAGATACTAATGGAAGCAGTTTTATAATGCTGAGAAACATCTCAATATCAAGCTATGTATTAGTCTGTTCTCATGTTGCTAATAAAGGCATACCCGAGACTGGGTAATTTATAAAGGAAAGAGGTGTAATTGACTCACAGTTCTGCATGGCTAGGGAGGGCTCAGGAAACTTACAGTCATGGCAGAAGGGGGATCAAAAATGTCCTTCACATGACGGCAGCAAGGAGAAGTACAGAGCAAAGTGGGGTAAAAGCCCCTTATAAAACCGTCAGCTCTCGTGAGAATTCACTCACTATCACGAGAACAGTGTGGCGGTAACCACCCCTATGATTCAATTACCTCCCACCAGGTCCCTCCCATGACACATGGGGATTGTGGGAACTACAGTTTAAGATGAGATTTGGGTGGGGACACAGCCAAACCGTATCACAGAATAATGCTTGAAAGAAACATAAAGCAGATAGCCTATGCTTTTAAACGTACAGGAAATCGGCTGGGTGCGGTGGCTCATGCCTGCAATCCCAGCACTTTGGGAGGTCGAGGCAGGCAGATCACTTGAGGAGTTTGAGACCAGCTTGGCCAACATGGCAAAACCTCGTCTCTACTAAAAATGGGAAAATTAGCCAGGCTTGGTGATGCACAGCTGTATTTCTGGCTACTCAGGAGGCTGAGGCAGGAGAATTGCTTGCACCTGGGAGGCGGAGGCTACAGTGAGCCAAGATCACACCGTTGCACTCCAGCCTGGGCGACAGAGCGAGACTGTCTCAAAAACAAAACAAAACAAAACAAAAAGTACAGGAAATAATGTCCACAGTGAATGACTCCAGTGAGGAAAGGAGAGAAGGGGAGTCAGGACAGTTATTGTCCATAACAGTGATGGCATCCTGCAGGGGGCATTGTGAAATCCCCTGCCTGCCAGTAGAGGAAGTTCCTTGGTTTTACAATCTGGCTCTGCAATCTGGGAAGAACTCTTGTTCTTTCTTATATATATTTGGCCAGGTCTAAGGAGGGTTAGAGGAAATCTGCCCTCTTTGGGAACGGCATAACTTTTCAGTCAACTTCCTGTTTATTTAAATTTGGGGATTGTTTTACAGTCATAGGGTTTTCACTATCCATGGTAGATTTGAGTAATGAAATTTCTTCATAAACTTAGTAGGCTTCTGGCCAAGTGCGGTAGCTCATGCCTGTAATCCCCGCACTTTGGGAGGCCGAGGTGGGCGGGTCACCTGAGGCCAGGGGTTCAAGACCAGCCTGGACAACATGGTGAAGCCGCTTCTCTACTAAAACTACAAAAATTAGCCAGGCATGGTGGCCTACGCCTGTAGTCCCAGCTACTCGGGAGGCTGAAGCTTGAACCTGGGAGAGTTGCTTGAACCTGGGAGGCAGAGGTTGCAGTGAGCCAGATTGCACCACTGCACTCCAGCCTGAGCAGTAGAGCAAGTCACTGTCTCAAAAAAACAAAAACCAAAAAAAAAAAACCAGAAAAACTTCAACTTAATAGGCTTCTGATGTGTTTTCTTGTGAGTTTCATTTGCCAATTTCTATGATGGAAATTCTTTTTTAGACCTAATTTTCATCCAGTAGACTTGGTTGTGTTACTCTGAACTTAACAAGAGGGCCTGATACTTTGGCTTAACCAAGAAGTCTTAATGGTACTTTGTTGCTCAAAGTCTTTTTCATTTATATTTCCCGTTATTTGCTTCAGGGACTCAGGATGACCCTGGATCGGTTCTGCCATCTGTAACATATGGTTTTCAAGGTTGCCAAAGGGAAAGAATATGTTTGAACAAGCATGGGAGATGTTCATAAGCCAGGCCTGGAAGAGGAATATGGTAGACAGAATGCTACGATTGTTGGTGACTCTTGCTCTTGTGTACTCTCCTCCCCTTTGAGTGTGGGTGCAATGTTCAATTTGAAAAGATGTTATTCCTGAGACTTTTAACTTTGTAAGACAAAAGGGAGATTATATGATTGGACTTAATCTAATCTCATGAGCCCTTTAAAAGCAGGATATTTTCTCTGGCTGGTAGTGGAAGGAAAAATCAGAGAGATTGGAAGTATGAGCAGGACTGGACATGCTGTTGTTGGTTTAAAGAGGGAGGGGCCATGTGAGTAGTAATGCAGGCAGCCTCTAGGAGCAGAAATCAGCTCTTTGGTGACCATCAGCAGGGAAAATAGGGATCTTAGACCCACAGCCTTGAAGAATCTGAGAGGAAGGGAATTCTTCCCCCAAGCTTCCAGATAAGAGCCCAGTCTAGCCAACGCCTTCATTTTGGCCTTGTGAGGCCCTCAACAGGGAGCTCACTTAAGCAGGCCCAGACTTCTAATTTATAGAATTGTAAGATAATAAATGGGTATTGTTTTAAGCTGCTAAATTTGTGGTAATTTGTTATACAACAGCTGAAAATGAAGAGAAGGAATAGTTCCTTCTGTTTATGTTTGGTTGGCTGGAACTTGTAACATGGCCCCTCTGTGGTACACCTAAGAGAAATGGAAGAAGGCAAGTGTAGCCTAGCTATGTGCCCAGGATGTAAAAGTGGGTTTTTGGTTAAAAAGCTAGCAGTTTTGCTATTACTGGTGCCTATAATTAATTAATTGTGTGTCTGTATATTAATCTATTTGTGAGCTTGTAAGTGTATGTATATGTGCATATGTCCATATGTACATACACAACATACATATGCACATATGAATTTTAAGTCTAGTTTGCTGAATAAGTCTTTTCTTAATACATAAGGCTCAGTATGTTCCATGTGCCTTTTGAAACTGTCGTCCAGGCTGGGGTATAATGGGGCGATCACAGCTCACTACAGCCTCAATCCTCTGAGCCCAAGCAATCCTCCCACCTCAGCCTCCAGAGTAGTGGGACTATAGGCGTGTGCCGCTATGCCTGGCCCATGTGCCTTTTTAATATATTTTTTATTTTATAGATTTTTTTCTACAGTGCTTTGGCTTTTTGATATTTAGATGTTTTTCTCTGATGAGGCACAAGTTTATTTCTGTGGCTCCTGATCAGTTTTTTTTTTAACAGTGGCACCGTTAAGTACTTGCTGAGCAGTACCTTAGCCTGGTGGGCTGGTGGAACAGTGACAACTTCTCTAACCTTGGAATAGAGAGACTACAGATCTGCAAAGAAGTTTCTGAATTCTTAGTCTCTGACAGTGTGGCAGGGATTTCAGTTAGAGTAGAGGAGTTGACTGTTAATCCTGCATCTGTTTTTGTGCTTGGGGGAAGGCTGAGGCCAACACAGACAGTGAAATGCCTTACTTAGTGCAGGCACATCGGATGGCTACATGGTACTTTGAAGTTGTTCATTAAGTTGTTGAGGATTGCAGATTTGTGTAGCACATTTGAAGTGTGTTGTGGTGTAAGCAGCAGGGTTGAGGGTGGTTGTGGGCCCCGTAACATGTGGGCCATTGTCTGTGATCCGTTAGCCCCATGCTCTTTGACGTGATTCATGGATCCTTAGCCCTGAATGGTTTTCTAGGTACATCTGGTAGACGGTGCCAGACATAATTTGGAAGGCATGCGGTCTGGCACCCTGAGATATATTTTAGGGACTTGGTGTCAGTTGAGCAGCTTGGCCAGGGAGAGAATAGTGAGGCCTGATTTTGTATCTGAGTGGTAAGTAACCTGAAGGAGAGGTGTCCTGTAGAAATTGCAGGGTGGACACACCTCTCACTTCTGTTATTTTCTGCATATACTGGTTGCTGAGGTGACCCTAATGTGCTTCTTTCTATTGAGTTAATGTGTGTACAGTGGCTTGATGGCTGAATTTATACCATTCATTATTTTACTGCTTAAGTGGCTGCATCTGGGCAAGAAGGACCTACAAACCCTTTGCCATGGCCATTGCACATCATCATCGTATAATACACTGGCTAAAGGAAGTGTTTTCTGGAGGTGTTCATCAGTACTGTAGTTAAGAGTTTACTGATTAATATTAATAGCCTGTTATCCAGAGATCTTCTACTTCTGATGATGAACCTTGCACTTAAGTTCTGTCTCCCATTTCACTTTTTAGTTAAGTTTAACAAACAGTAAAACTGTTTTCCATTATTCTCTTTTCCATTCATCTCATCCATTATGCTCTATGTATTTTGGGCCATTTGAAGCTGATAAACCTAAAATCTTTGGATTTTTCACCTTTTGATCATTATATTCACCTTAAACCCAGTCCAAATTTTGCAGATATATTTATAGTGCTCATCGTCCCTATGTTCTAGACATGGAAAGCTCCTTTTCCCTAGCTCCAAGAAAAGCTGGAAGAATGTCATTCTTTACACAACTTAAATTGTTCAGAAGATATTTTTGTGATCACAAAGGTGTATTTAATTCATTTTTGTTTTATTTTGTTTTTGAGACAGGGTCTCACTCTGTCGCAGTGGCGTGACCACGAATCACTGCAACCTCCTCCTCCCAGGCCCAAGCCTCCCTCCTCAGCCTTCCAGGTAGCTGGGACTACAGGCTCACGTCACCACTCCTGGCTAATTTTTTTGTATTTTTGGTAGAGACAGGGTCTTGCTACATTGCCCAGGCTGGTCTTGCACTCCTACTCAAGTGATATGCCTTCCTTGGCTTCCCAAAGTGCTGGGATTACAGGCATGAGCCGCCGCGCCTGGCTAACATTTAATTCACTTTTTACAAGCTCTTTCAGCTACTTTCTGTGTCTGAAGACACAGACATGTAAAGCATTTTGATACATTTTCACCAAAAAAATCACCTTACATAAAAGGACGTGTCTTAAACAGAAAGCTTATCATAAAATCTCTATATCAATTGTTTTCCTAAATTGATGACTGTTACGTCTTCCCCTTTTGTGAAACAGTGAGTTATACTGATATTTTGTGATATGTACTGGCTTGCCCTTTATAATATCTAAATTACCTAAATTCTTAGTGTTGTCACCCCTCCAGTGCCCCCCAAAAAAGGTCAACAGGTCAGAGTTAAATTAGCATTTACTCAGGAATGGGGGTTGCAACCTGGCTAGCAGTCAGAGATTGTACCACCCGAGAAGGGCAAGGGGGCTATTTAAAAGAACTTATTTAGATTACATAAATTGCTTGTCACATTATTTCATTGGTGTATTAAACAAGTCTTTAATCAGTAGTAGAAGGGTACATTTGTATCAGTTATTCAGGAAAAACCTATATACAGAGTGTTTGTAAAGATTAGGACCAGTTTTACTTGTATTGTGTAGTGCTGAGAGCACGGTTGTTTGTGAAGGAATGTTTTTCACAGTTCCTTTTCGGGTCTCAAAGTTCATCAGCAGTTTAATATGGAGTAGTAGCCCAAGATGGAGTTACTGATATAAAGCCTGGAACATTGCTAAGCTCATAGTGTCCAGTAAAACTGTGTCTACTGGTTGCTGCTGTGAATGATTCAGGTGAACGTAGGCATTTTCTGTAGGCGCTTTCCACATGATTATGGTAGAATAATTTGATTGTTTCCTAAGCGTATCATTCAGTTGTATCTTCATGACATTTTGTCAATCTGTATTCATGTTTACTGACTATATAAGGGTTCACCAGCAAAACAGAACCAACATGATATGTAGATACATGAGAGGGATTTATTATGGGAATTGGCTCATGTGATTATGGAGACTAAATCCTGCAATATGCTTTCTGCAAGCTGGAGAATCAGGAAACCCGGTGGTGTAATACAGTCCAAGTCCAAAGGCCTGAGGCCCCGGGGAGCTGCTGGTGTAAGCCCCAACCCCAAAGTCTCAAGAATTTGGAATTCTGATGTCCAAGGGCAGGAGAAGATGGAAGTCTTGCTTAAGAAAAGAGAGCAAATTTGCTTTTTGCTCTTCCCAGGCCCTCAAGCGATTGGATGTCTGCTGCCCTCAGATCTTCTTTGCTCAGTCTACTGATTCAGATGCTAATGTCTTCTGGAAACACCCTGGCAGACACACACAGAAATATTTTACCAGCTATCTGGGTATCCCTTAACCCAGTTAAGTTGACACATAAAATTAATCATCACACTGACTTAATTTAAAACTGAATCAGTGTACCATTTTCTTAAATGGAAAAATCACTATTAATTATCATGCAAAACAAAATTAAGTCCTGGATACTCTTGCCTGAGTAAATCTGTGAGCTTGAGGTTTATTCTGCCTTTGTTAAAACAGGAGATTAACAGATAAGTAGTAGATATTCTAACAATACCCTGAGATTTCCTCCTTCACTAAATTAGAATGGAAGAAGAATAAAATGGATATTTTAATTTGGGGATTCAGTGTTCTTAAGGACCATGGTATTGTGAAATATGTATTTCGTCTCCCTGTTTCCTCACAGAAAAAAAACCTCTAAAACCCATGGGATCATCAGGGTGGTAACTGTCTTTTCTCTGCTACGAGATGACCAGTGGCTGGGGACTCCTATAGCTTCAGGTTGGGGACTGTTCACCAGAAAGACCAATGTATGCTTAGAGGGTTGGGACTTTCAGCTCCAGCCTCCTTAGAGGGGAAAGGGGGTGAAGGTTAAGTGGATCACCAAAGGCCGGTGATTTAATCAGTCATGCCTATGTAATGAAGCCTCCATAAAAACCCAACATCACAGGGTTTGGGAGGATTTTCAGACAGCTGAACATGTGGTGGTTCCTGAAAGAGGATGTGCCTGGAGAGGGTATGGAAGCTCCAGGCTGCTTCTCCCATACCTCGACCTATGTGTCTCTTCCATCTGGCTGTTCATCTGTATCCTTTTAATACCTTTCTAATAAATGGCTAAACATAAGTAAGTGTTTCCCTGAGTTCCGTGTGCTGCTCTGGCAAATTAGTTGAATCACAGGAGGGAGTTGTGGGAACCCTGATTTATAGCTGATAGGTTAGAAGCACAGGACTGTGCTTGTGACTGGCATCTGAAGCCAGTTGTGGGACCGAGCCCTCAACCTGTGGGATCTGACGCTATCTCCAGGTAGTGTCAGAATTGAATTGAATTAGAGGACACCCAGCTGGTGTCCAGTGGAGAATCATCTGCAGAATGGGTTGCTGGTAGGGAGAAATCCCCACACATTTTGGTAACCAGAGGTCACAGAAATAGTCTGTGCTGGGTATTTTGAGGTATATATATAATAGGAGAAACTGTGTTTGTTTTTTTCCTACATCCTTACAAGGACACAAGAATGTACCAACTGTCTTGTTCAAAACATGGCCCTTCCCATACATAATTTGACTATGGAAATGGTTGACCTTTTTCTGAGTACCAAGGAGTTTTCTGCCTGTAATGGGGTATTTAATTATATTTTAGAAAAAGGAAGGTCATTTGTTTAGAGCAGCACTGAGTCATCTGTTCTGTGCCCGATGTTCAGAAAGGAGGTAGACATGTTCTTTAAGAGAAGCTTTTGAAGTAATTTAGAAAATGGTGCAATACCATCCGTCATCAGGCTGTGTGGCACAAGATCAGTAGGAGCCCAGAGACTTCACATCTCCTAGTTTTCCCATTCTGAGCACTTGTGAGACCCCAGACCAGTCACTAGTCACTTGATCTCAACTTCTTCCTCCTCACACCCACATTTTCTCAGTTGCACAGCTGAGGTAATATGGTCCTGGGCATGATTTTAGGTTCTGACGTTCTGTGCTTCTGGTCTCGTTCCCCTCTGGTTCATTATCTACTGTGGCTATAGTGACTTTTCTAAAGAGCAAATCTAGCATTGTTCTTCTTCTTAAAACTCTTCAGTGGCTCCTTATGGCTCCCAGGATAGGTCCCTCTGAAGTCCTGTTCAGGAGTCTGAAGTGTCATCTGTGTCCTGCTCAGTGATCTGCTTTCACTCTCACACTCTAAATGTGCTCTGAGTTGTAGCTGTGCTAGTTATCCTGACACCTTGCAATTATGCCATACGTTTCTTGCCTTTCAAGCCTTCGCACCATGCTCTTCCCTCTCTGTGGAAATTCCCTTCTTTCCACTTGGTATTTGATTAATCACCACTTTATCAGCTTCATATTTTCTCAGAGAGGTTACCCTTCCCTCATTTAGTGTGGGTTAAATGTCCTTCCATGTGCAATGAAAATTGCATGTTGTGGGAGAGGAACAACACACACCAGGGTCTATGGGGCGGGGGTGGGAGAGCATCAGGACAAATGGCTAATGCATGTGGGGCTTAAAATCTAGGTGACAGGTTGATAGGTGCACCGAACCACCATGGCACATGTATACCTATGTAACAAACCTGCACGTTCTGCACATGTATCCTGGAACTTAAAGTAAAATAAAAATTAAAAAAATAATTGTGTGTTGTACCTCTGTGAAGTGTAGTGCTCGGCTCACTGCTATACAGGCACCAGTCTCCTTGATGGTATCCTCTAGGGTGGGTATAAAGAGAAGGACCCTGCCATTCTATACTTCATTCTGTTGCCAGTTCCTAGCCTGTAGTGGGCATTTAATTGATAATTGTTGAATGAATACATAGCTTCTGTTTCTGTTGATCCTTATGTATATTTAAAAGGGGGTCCTATGCATATATTTTTGATGTATTCATTTCTGCTTAAAATACATCACCGATTTCTAAAAGTTAATGTAGAATTTAAAGCACACCCTCATAAAATTGTAAGATTGTAAGTTTAAAATAAACTTCCTTCATTGTACAAATGGCTAGCCTAGGTACTATTTTAACTCATTTATTACTCACAGCAACCCTATGAACATTATTATCCCCATTTTACAGATGAGGAAGCTGAAACACAGAGGTGGTTACACAGCTTCAGTGGCAGAGTCAGGATTGAAACCACACCACCTGGTTTCAGAGCCAGTAACTGCCAGTAGTTTTTAACCATGAGTCCTATTGTCACCTTATATATCAAACCAAGACATACCTAAAAGCTCTTAGTGGTCACCAAGAAGACGCGAACACTTTAGTAGAAAAATAAGACAACAATATGAAAGGCAGTATTTGAAAGAGCAAGTGGCCAAGATACGAATGCAAAAATCAAGGAAATCAGACAGCAATATCTGACATTTTTCATTGTTTAGATTGGCAGAGATGAAAAGGATAGTAACATTCTGGGTTAGCAAGAGTATAAGAACATGGATCCCCGTTTATGGTGGGAGTGTAAACTGTTAAAACACTTCTGGAGATCAGTAGTTCTCTTCCCTGTAATTCTGTTTTTAGGAAACTATTCACAGAATATAAATGTATAAGTATGTACAACTTAGGTACAAGATTGTTCACTGTAGTAGTTATTGTGGTGAAAAATTGTAAACAACCTCAATAAGGGATGAGGAAGTAAATCTGTATGTCAATATTATGAAATCTCTACAGCTATTTTATCTATAGGGCAATATTTATTGCAGTAGGGAAACATTCATGATTATTGCCAAAATGAAAAAAGCCAGCCATAAAGCAGATATGTAATATGTAGTAAGCCTGATATTGTAAAAATATAGCTATGATGGTAGCTAAAATGCACTGAGAATTTATAGACCAGGCGTTATGCTATATTGTTACAGTAAGATTATTTTTTTAATGAACATTTGAACAGTGATTATTCCTGGTCAGTGGGTTTATGGGTGAGTAGTGTTTCTATATTTTCTTTCTTATCTTTGGTAATTTGATCTATTACAAAATTTTCTTTCCACTTCATCGTCTTTACTTGTAACCCCACTTTCTCAGGATAAGTTGAAAACAAGGAATCGAATAATTTTAGGAGCCATCACGGGGACTAGGAACAAACCCAGTTTCTAGCCAAGTTCTAGAACTATAAATATATGTCAGTTTGCTTCATTAGGCATTTAGCTTAAAACTATTGGAACACCTGCCCTGCCCTCCATAGAGCCCTGAATTAAATTGTGCTGCTTGGGTTTCTTCTGAATGCATGGCTACTTTTCTGGTTTCACCAAGAAGATGTGTACAAACATTATAAGTAAGCAGCTGCTAATGACTTTTGCTGGCATTTCTTTTAAATGAAGATTTTTTTTTTTCAGTTCCCTAAGTCTTATCCCTAGTGTCATAGCATTGACACTGTTTTTTCGTAAAGGGAAAGAGGGCAGCTAAGACATGTATAGGGTATTGGAGTGCTCCTGTAAGATGTTCTTGGTAATTTGGTGTGAGCTGTTCAGCCTCATTCTCCAGCCCTTAGGCCACGAGTCTCCTGGGCATCTGTCACTTCTTAGCTTCTCAGCAAAAAGCCTGTAGGCAGTGCCATTCTAGCAAAAAAAGAATGAAGTGAGGGAGAGATACCTGAGAAGATAGGAGACGTTCCCAGTGATCCCTGTTGAACTTGAATGCGGAACATTGTTAATAGTCTCTGGCAGGCTTCTATTTTGAAGACAGAAAATACAAAGTTTAGGAAGCCATAAATGGTAAAATAATATATTCTTCTCAGCAACCCAAACAAAATACATAAAAATGGAAAAAACACTACCGTGAAACGTAGCCTCAGTAATGAGATGGGCAGGCCACTTTTGCCTTTCTCCCAAAGAGGACACGTCTAGCAAGATCCACTGGACTGCTGACGGTGGTGGATTGCTGGGCACAAGCATGCCTTTATGGATGGTCTGGCTTTCTCTGGGGCCTGCCACTCTTTGATGGCTTCAATGGCAAGTGCTTCGACCTCTGAGATAAATAATTTCTGTGAAATCATTTCTAGAGTGAAGCTAACTTTTCCAACCTCTGCAGCATCTTGTGATGTTTCTGGGGATAATATTAACTTGTAAGCTGAGAAACAGTTGAGACTGCTTCAAGAGATTTGTTTTCTTGTGTAGTAATCTGCTGAAGCATATACCAAATTGATGTTTTTATTTGCTGCAAAACTTCGGGTTTTGGTCCTTTTAAAGTAGTTTCAGATTTCAGCATTTAAAAATAATTGTCCTGGCACAGTGGCTCACGCCTGTAATCCCAGCACTTTGGGAGGCTGAGGCGGGCAGATCACTTGAGTTCAGGAGTTCAAAGCCAGCCTGACCAACATGCCCTGTCTGTGCTAAAATACAAAAAAATTAGCTGGGTATGGTGGCACATGCCTGTAATGCCAGCTACTCGGGAGGCCGAGGCAGGAGAATCGCTTTAACCCAGGAGGTGGAGGTTGCAGTGAGCCAAGATCATGCCACTGCACTCCAGCCTGGGCGACAGAGTGATACTCAGTCTCAAAAAAAAAAAAAATTACTATATAACAATGATTTTTTGAATGAAGGTAGATGTAGCATAATTGAACTTTGTTACTTATGTATTCTGTATTATGTGCTTGTTAGGTGGTTCTCTTAAGAGTAAGGGTTTTGCAAGATGCTTCTTTCATAATTGGACACAACTTGTAGAAAGTGAGGTGTGAGTTTGTTTGATTTATATGTTTTTCTTATCAGATTATGGAACTATCCATTAATAAGCTACTCTAGAAATTATTTGGATTTAAAAACTCTCTTTGGAGAGTTGCAAGGGCCTGCCTGATCTGACCCTGGCCTCTCCACCCTGATTGAGGGCCAGTTTTTCCCCTCTTTATGCTCTGGTCCTCCATCTTTCTTAACAAACAGTAAGCATTCGCCCATTAACCGCCAGGCTCTGTGCTGAGTTTTAGGTATAGAGAGATGGATAAAATACTCATTCCCTGCCCCCGTGGAACTGGCAGTGCAGTGTGGGAGACAGACCAATGATTATGCAAATATATAATTAGAATTTGTCACAGGTGCAGCAAAGAACAATGCTAGGGCACTCTCACGTGGAGGTCATACCTGACATTCTGTTGTGGAGAGAGGCCATGTTCTTTTCAGTATGTAGAAAGGTTAAGGTTGTCTATGAGGTGCAGCTGGGGAAGCTCTCACCAGCTGACGTCATTCAAAAAGTGAACAGGGTACTACTATTTGCACATAAAAAAGAGCAGGTTATGGTTTCACAGACACTTTAGATTCTTATTCAGAGAGGATAGCCTTGAGGGTAAAGAACTACTTCTCATGTCTTACTGAAGCTAGGGTCATGGAACATCTCCAGCTGGAATAGTTTCTGTTAAATAAGATTGTATGATATGATTTTACATCATTATCTTTCTTACCAAAGATCATAACTCTGTCTCACAGAAATGTGTGGTCATGCAGTGTTTCCCTGAGGATGCGTCTTTAAACTGAGAAATTGAGGCTGAGAAGAAACCAGGCCTTTGCAGAGTTGCGGGCCAAGGGGTTTGAGCCCACCCCCCGACCTGCCCACTTCATGTCATCTGGGAGCTAGTCCACTCCCACTCATCCTTTAGGCCTTGATCCAGATGATACTTATTGGAATCCCTTTCTCTGACCTAGTAGGTTGGATCAGGTTCCTTTTATTACATTCACCATGGTTTGTGATTGTGCATTAATTTTATGGCCATTCGATTAAATGCCTGTCTCCTTCAGTTGGTCTCTAAATTCCTGAAGGGAGGGATCAAGTTTCTGCTGATCTCTTGGGGTAGTTACCATTATGCCCATTTTACTGATGAGGAAACTAAGGCACAGGGAAGTGTAGTGACTCATCCAAAATAATACACGGTATTAATGGTGGAGGCAGAGTTTGACACTGGCAGTCCATCCTTTCAAAGTTGGAATAGACTTTAAATGAATCATTTAATTATTTAATTGGTCAATGGAACAAAATGGAAAGTCCAGCAATAAGTAGTACATTGTGGTGATTTGGTATACAATAAAGGCAGTATTTAAAATCATCAAAAAAGAATAGATTATTTAGTAAATGGCATTTGGACAATTAGCTATTCGTTTGAGAAATAAAATTTAATCCTTTTTGTCACATCTTAAAATAAATTTTAACTAGTTGGAAAATATGAAGGTAAAAGAGTGTAAAAAGAAAATATGGTTTCTTTTGAAATGGGGAATACTTTCTAAACATAACATATCATGCAGAGACTGTGCACTATGGATGAAGGCTGGTGAATTTTTGCTACTTGTAAAAATGAAGAACTGCTGAGTAGCAAAGGATCCTAAAGATGGTTGAAGTGACTAATGGGATTAAGATTTGCAGCATACAAATAAAAATAAAATTTACAAAACCCAGCCTTGGCAAGGGTACAGTGCCAAATGGCACTGTATTTCCAGCAGGTTCTTCTTTCTGGGATCCAGTTAGGCAATATGTGTCAATATGCAGATTCCCTTTGATTAAGGTACTTCTTGAAATTTATCACAAGTAGGATAATTGGGGATGTGCAAAGATGTATGTTCAAAATTTATTGCTGTGTTAATGGTAGTGAAATATTGGTCCAGTCATATGATGGAGTTTTATGAGGCAAATGATGTGATCTACATTCACATGGAAACCTTTCTTTGACGTGCTTACGGTTGGGGGACAGATTCTAGCCAGGCATTTGTAGCATGAACCCATATGTAAAATTGTGGGTGTGGCCTGTGTATGTTCTTTTGGATGGGTGGTGATTTGGAACTAGGGTCACAATGTTAATTATCTCTAGATGTGGGCTTTCAAACGTTTTCTTTTTCTTAAAATTTTTTTTGATATTTCCTTTAAAAAATATAAACGGTGAATATATACCTATTGATAATAAACCCATCCAGGAAACGGGAATAAATATCTAAGACTGCCTATCTTTTTTTTTTTTCTAATCTGAACAGTTATTTTGCTTATGAAATATAAAATTAGGACACTTTGTCATTTTGTATTTAAATTCTTATAACACTTATTTTGGGCTCCTATACATGCTCTTCCTGCGTTTGGCTTTCCTAGCCACTGTAGTTGGGATGTTTGAAATATTCAGGGTACTGAACAGCAGTTTAGACACAAAAAAGTACCTGGGTGCAGAAGCATTTTCATTAAAATTACATGAACGCTGGAGTTTATTCTACAGCACAAAGCCTTCCTGGATGAACTGGATTAATGTTTGATAGAAACACAGCCTCTTAAGCATCAATGTTCTTAAACTGTTTGATTATTAATTAAATGTCCTATGTTCTTCAGCCTTAAAAGGTAGGAGAAACTAAGACAAAGGAGAAAAAAATCAAGATGTCAAAGACAGGAATGTAATGTCGAAGGGAGAATTTCAAATAACCCACCTCCACACAAGCCTTTCTCAGGGAGACGGTTAAACAGCACAGCTGGCTCCGATTCTGATGTTTTCTCAGTTAGATCTTCAGAGAACAGTTTTAATAAAGCTTTAATTATGGAGCATCCCTACACACACTGTAGACAGGGATCATTCAGCTGCATAATGTTGCTGATGATATATTTATGGAATGCTATTTCCATCCTAGTTTAAGGTATCTGTTGCTCTTAGTTACTGGAGCTATGCTGATTTCAGAACTACAAACAGTTTTTAATATTGAACATGCTAACTGGTTCAATGTATATGTTGTACTACTTTAGTTTTTGTGGGGAATGGACTTTAAAGATTAGTTTCATGCTGATCCACAGTGTGGGAACATGTTTGGTATTTTTAAAAACTCTTTACTCATTGTCTGAGGTGAGAAATTGTTGGAAGACAGAGCAGAGGGGAGAAAGAGATATGTTATTTATGTAGGTGAAAAATACCATGTGAATTTAGAGTTTAGAGTTTAGAATATGGCAACCTTAATGAATTTTGGAGCTGCAGTAGGTAATGGATCTCTAAATTTTTTTCTGCAATTTTTGTTGTTATCCATTAGCTCAGTGACAATCACTGTGATCCCCTCCCTTGGTCAGTGTGTCCCTCAGCATTCTTAACCATTGTGTATGTGCACTACCAAGCTTTTCCCTGGGTGCCTCATGTGTGGTGGTGTTTCTACAGCTTTTTTGCAGTGCTCAACGTCTTCACCTAATAGGTCACGTGGTGGCTGTGCCTGACCTGCACATGGTCATTTCTTTTTGGTTGCTGAAGCCCAGGTTGTCTTAAGAGATACCGTTGTTTTTCTTTTTCTTTTTTTGGAATCAATTTTTTTTTTTACTAAAGGACATACAGCAAGATGGGTGAAAGGTGGAAAAAATAAACACAGGGCTTAATGTTGAGAGGGTATTTTTAGACTTAGAAGCAGCTTGCTGCTTTCCATGAAATAGTTGAGTGTAATTCATGACTCATGTTTCCGTTTTTGGTGGTTTTTCTTTAAAGGATGAAGGCTGGATTAACTGTGTGTTTGTGCGTGCCTCTGCAGTTTGGTTCTCTGGATTCATAGGAGTGGGTTTCTTTTATTTAGTAACTATGTGCATAATTTCCTTTTGTCCTTTGTAAAATATCTTTTTAGTCATAAAAATCAAATCATCTTCCCATGTAAGCTTCAGAAAAGGTGAAGTTATATATTGAAACAAACCATGACAGTAGTTAAATTTTTTGTAGGGATAGCAGAGGAAGCCAGTGAGTGGTTCAATAACATTGTTAATTTTCAAGTTCTCTGGAATGCTTAAATAGAGCTGAAGTACGTTTTAGGTCATTTTGAGTTGGTACACTTTTGTTGGTGACTTGTTGTGTCCCAAAAACTTGGGGTATGGTCACTGGGGAAGAGAATCCTATTGGTGGGAAATCTTCATCTGTCTGTGGTGGGTTTGATGCTGCCAAATAGGTAAAAGTAATTACAATTCTGGTAGTATGAAAGAGAAATGGTCAAGCTTGGGAGTCATGGATTGTACTTTGGGGCTGGGAATCTTATAGATTGTTCATATATGGAAAGCATTTTAAGGGCATTGCAGAAAGCCTTCTGGTTGAACTTCATGAAACTTAACTCTTCCTTCCCGACTGTCTCTCCCACCTTCTGAAAACCACAGAAACAGCTCTATTTATTGGGTTCTATGACTTAAAAGAAGAAAAGACTGAAGAGTGACAATCAGACGTCTTTAAAGTTCTCTTTTGGACCCAAGGCAGGATGCTCGTGGCATTTCAACACCTTCCTCAGGATCAGAGTAGGGAGAGACAGAAATGATCTTTATTTTTGGGATCACAGCTTGAAATGGGGCTGCTGGGCTGTATTGGATTTGATTCTGTCCAAAAGGCGAAAGTAATGATAGCTGCTGGGCTCCCATCCTCCATGAAAACCCAGTCAGTTCATTGTCAGTTTAATTGTTGTTTTCTGAGCTCTTCTGTTTTGAACATTTTTAAAAAAGACTTTTGCTTTCCTCTTTCTAAGTGTTTTGTATCATACCCCAATGCAGAGGCCACCAGCCACCTTGCCTCTTTCACCCCCATCTCCAGGAGATTGGCAGGTCTAATGGCTGTCACTGTAGAACAGACCTTCCAGGTGACTCTTGACCCCTCAAATGAGGAGTAACCGGATCCCATGTAGACCTGGCAGTATAAAAAAACTTTAATATTATTGATTTGCAAAAGAAGGATTATAAACAAAACGCTAACAAGACAGTTGATTGTCAAATTTTCCTCTTTATTTCTCCATTTTTGGGGAAGATGGAGTGGGAATAAGGTAGGAAACATGCACCAAAATGAAAACATTTCTTGTAGGTGAGAATAACAAGGACTTCTATCACTGAAACATTCTCTTTTTAATGTTTAACTGCAGGATGCTTAAAGAAATCCTACAATTATTGTAGACATTGATGTGCTATCAAGAAAAATCCATCTTAAATCCCCTGCAAAGTTCATTAAAATCTTCCTCATTGTGGTACTTTACTTGAGATTAATTTCTTTAGGTAGCATGTTTTTACTTTAGTTGTAGCAAAGAGCCACATTTACAACAGGAGCTTGGGCCCAGTCATGGAACAGTGCTGTGTGTGCACATTCTGTGGGACTGATTCTGAGGACATGCCACTGAGTCTTTTGGTCTGTGTTGGAGAGGTCACCTTAATTCCAGAGCAGCAAAGAGTTTTATTTATGAGAAATATCCTGATATGTTAAAATATGTTTTTGAACATATTTTGGATCAATTTGTCTTATTAAAAAGCCAGCATTATTTGTATGCCAATGTTCCTTGCAGCATTATTGACCATAGTCAAGAGGTGGGAGCAACCCAAGTGTCTGTGGAGAGATAAATAGATAAACAAAATATGGTAGATCCTGCCACATGCTACACCATGGATGAGCTGTAAGGACATTAAGCTAAGTTAAATAACACAGAAATAAAAAGCCAAAGACTCTGTGATCCCACTTATAAGGTACCTAGAGTAGTCAAATTCATAGACAGAAAGTAGAACAGTGGTTGAGAGGGGAGGGCAACTGGGGAGTTGTGTAACGGGTACAGAGTTTCAGATGGGAGAGATGGAAAGAGTTCTAGAGATGGACGGTGGTGATGGTTGCATAAAACATGAATACACGGCTGGGCGTGGTGGCTCACTCCTGTAATCCCAGCACTTTGGGAGGTCAAAGCCCATGGGTCACCTGAGGTCAGGGGTTCGAGACCAGCCTGGCCAACATGGAGAAACCCCATCTCTATTAGAAATACAAAATTAGCCGAGTGTGGTGGTGCATGCCTGTAATCCCAGCTACTCGGGAGGCTGAGACAGGAGAATCATTTGAACCCGGGAGGCGGAGGTTGTGGTGTGGTGAGCTGAGATCGTGCCATTGCACTCCAGCCTGGGCAACAAGAGCGAAACTCCGTGTCAAAAAAGAAACAAACAAAAGCAACCATGAATAAACTTATGCCACTGAATTATATATACACTTACAAGTTAAGATGGTAAATTTTATGTTACATATATTTTACTACAAATAAAAGTTAAAAAATAGAAAAAAGGGTGAGTCAGTCTCCGATATGTTGTTTTTAGTTTCTGGTCATGGTGGGGTTTGGCTGCCCTGGTCCTACGCTTGTTACAAAACTGCTGGTGGGAAGGGTCCTTAGACCTGTCATCTGCTCCAACACTTTCACTTCATACGTGAGAAAACTGGGTCTCAGAAGTGAGGTATTTACCCCCTCCTGCGTGGGCTTCTTCCTTCAGTTTCCTGGAGAGGCTGTGCAAAGTGCAGCAAGAGCTGGACACTGGACTCTGCTGCCTGGGCTCCACTCTGCTCTGCTGCTTACTCGCCAAGTCCACACAGACCGTTAACTTTTCTAAACCTGTTTCTGAATGTATAAAATGGGAATAATGTCAGTATCCTATGAGGTTGTTATGGGGATTAACTGAGTGAATGCATTTTAGGTGCTTAGCATAGTATTTTCACACAGTAAGTAACACATGAATCTTAGCCGTTTGTTATTGCTTTGTTATTGCTGTTGTTACTGGCATGTGCTGCAAAGAGCCTTTAGGGACAGAGGTTTGGGATTGAGGCTCAGTGGCAATTACTTGTTAGTTCTCTGTCCTTAGCCATGCTGCTTAATTTCTCCTTGTTACCCAGTGCATGAAGTAAGGATGGGTGAAGCACTTGTCTTGGTGTGGTGCTTGTGAAGAGAGAGAGTGGAGTACCTGACAGAGCACTTGGTGAATGGTAATGACCCAGGTCAGTTTTAGTGGGTAAGAGGATGTCACTGCAGCCTGGAGGGCTGGCATCTACTAAGGCGTGGTCTTCAAGGGCGGTGCTGAGAACAGGCATGCTCAGCTCTGACCTTGGGTTAGGGTGGAGGTGTGTTCTTCTAGGCCCGCTTTCTAGGGCCTCCTGAGAAAGGGGTCACCGGACTTCTCTAGGTCAGTTGTCCCTAAAAGTAGGTCGAGGACCTGCAGGTAGAGCCTGGTATAGTTTGAGTCAGGGACAGAGGTATTAGTGTTCTTTCACAAGTCATTTTTTTTTTTTTTTTTGAAATGGGGTCTTTGTGTCCCAGACTGGAGTGCAGGGGGACAGTCATGGCTCACTGCAACCTCAACTTCCTGGGCTCAAGTGATCCTCTCACCTTAGCCTCCCGAGTAGCTGGGAATACAGGCATTCACCACCATGCCCAGCTAACTTTTTTAGAAAAATTTTTTGTAGAGATGGGGTCTTTCTGTGTTGCCCAGGCTTGTCTTGAACACCTGGCCTCAAATGATCCTCTTGTCTTGGCCTCCCAAACTACTGGCATTACAGACAAGAGCTACTGCAGTAGGCTACAGTTACTTTTGTTTCCAATCCCAGGTAATAGACATCCCCTCACTACTGACTCATCCTCTTCCTGACTGTTTTTCACTAGCTTAGCCTTACCTACTTCCAGAGGAAGACTTCATCCGAAATTGAGATGACCAGGGAGGTCATTTGTGCTCAAGAAAAATTCATCTAGCAGGTATGTATTGAGAACCAGTATATGATAGGGGTAAGAGGCTAGAAATATAAAGGGTAATGAAATGCTGCTGACATGCAGGGGCTCAGCACTTTCAGTATATAGTCCTAGTACCTGAGAGCTAGCAAAAAACAAGCAGAGATGTTTCTCTTAGCCCAGGCAGCTCCTCAGTGTGGGGGTCTGGTGCCAACATTGCAACTGTATTGTGTATTATTTAAATGTGTTTGTATGTTTGTGTTCAGTGTACATATGTTTTCAGATTTGTGAAAAATACATAATAAACTGCATGTCATAAAATTCATGGTGTGAGATTTGTCATAGTCTATTACATTCCTAAAGACTCTCAATATTGTGGACATTCAAACTAAATGATTCCAGAATGACTTTAAAATGCTAGTGTCAGAGCAGGCAGTAGGGATGCCTTCCTGTATGGGTGTGGCCATATTCACCTGTATGGGGCCCAGGCAGTAACTGAACTGATAGTTTCATCAAAGTCAACACGTTATTTTTTGAACTCTGACACTCTATGCTTGGTATGCTTGAGCACATGATCCCTTTCATTAATGGCTTATTTTTTTCAAGTAGTCTCATTCTACCCTTGTCAACCTTGACGGCGGGGTCAGCTTCACTTGCGTGAGGTTTGTTTGTTTGTTTGTTTGTTTTTGAGATGGAGTCTCACTCTGTTGCCCAGGCTGGAGTGCAATGGCGTGATCTCAGCTCACTGCAACCTCTGCCGCCTGGGTTCAAGCGATTCTCCTGCCTTAGCCTCCCGAGTAGCTGGGATTACAGGCACCCACCACCACACCCAGCTAATTTTTGGAGTTTTAATAGAGACGAGGTTTCACCATCTCGGTCAGGCTGGTCTTGAACTCCTGACCTCATGATCCGCCCGCCTTGGCCTCCTAAAGTGCTGGGATTACAGGCGTAAGCCACCATGCCCGCTCAGACCCCACAACTCCCAAGGCCAATTAAACCAGAAGCTTCCCAAGTGTTACCAAGCTGCAGCCTGGCTTGGGAATCATTAGCCTATCCAAAAGTTTGACTAGTATCTCCCTTCCCTTTTGATTGATATGAATGATGCTAATCTTGCTTCGATGGTCCATGGCTGTACCAGTTCAGTTTCTTCTTTGTATCCATCATGAGAGATCTGATATAGGAAACAAGGCTAAAATCAATTTTAAAAGTTTCTACAGATTTACTTGATGTTCTCTGATGAAGTGAAGCTGGATATCCTTTAACTACCTGAGCTGCCTGCCACCTTCTGTTTTCTTTCTCTTTGCTAAATTAGGGGAGTAAAGGTGAAACTTAATGTTAGTTGTTCCATATCCTGCAGTGCTGAAAACTACCACAACCAAGAAATAAAATTACAAAATTCAAGATGTATTTTGGCTAGCTTCACTCTTTGTCCAGGCAGCTTCAGTGAAGTGGCAATTTAGAAATAGACGGTCAGCAGTAGAAAGTAAGACCCCACTTGTGATTTACCCAAGTTCTTTGGAAAGATGCAAGCCCTCCTGTAAACACACAGTGATTCAGAGGAGCATGTTTACTAGCTGAAGCCCTTTTTTTCTCCTCTTCTCATAAGGCCGGTTATCGAGGGAGTTTGTGTGTCTGGGGAAAGGACTACTTTATGATAGTTCCTTAAAATTATGACATACAGTCATGCATCAGGTAACAATGGGATATATTCTGAGAAATGCATCATTAGGTGATTTCATAATTGTGTGAACATCCTAGAGTGTAATCACACAGACCTAGATGGTGGAGCCTGCTGCAAACCTAGGCTATATGATGTAGTCCATTGCTCCAAGGTAATGAACCTGTACAGCATATTACCATACTGAATGTTGTAGGTAATTATAACACCATCATAGCATTTGTGTATCGAAACATATTTAAATGTAGAAAAGATACAGTAAAAATATGGTATAAACGATTAAAAATAGTATAACTGTACAGGGCACTTTCCATGAATGGGGCTTGTAGGACTGGAAGTTGCTTCTGGGTGAATTGGTGAGTGAGTGGTGATGAAATCATCTAATCAGTTATGACATAGCTGAGTTTTTCAGGTCTTATAATCTTACAGGACTACCATCATGTATTTGAGCCATCGTTGACCAAAATGTCTATGCGGCACGTGGCTGTATTTAGCTGAACGATTAAGTAGAAATAACCTATTAAGACCTTTTTCCAAAGTATTTTTTACATGGTTCATTGTTCACATTCTGTATATATTTACATCATACTGTATGGTCTGCAATTGTATTTTTGACTTTTTCTTCAAATTTTGAATGGCTAAAAATTCCAGCAGGGTTCAAGAGCTTGTCCTTTTTGATTGTGTTTTGTTTCATCCGTAGCAGAATTGCCTAGATTGAAATGAAATGAAAATAATGAATGGTATGACACTTGGTATCATCACAAACTGATCATTCAAATGAATGGGTTAAATACTGTTCATGTCATGATTTATGGAATGCTTTCCTGTCCCAAATACTTGTGCTTGGTGCTAGGCATACAATTATATGAAATGTTTATTATGGTGAAGAAATTCAAGATTTTCCTTCACCTTACCTCATCTGTTCAAATGAAAATGGGATCTTTGTGTTTGGGGGGCTGTTTTGCACTTGTATATATAAACAAGTGAGGAAGCTGGATATTTAGGAATAAAATCTCTTTTTGAATTTAGAATTTGTAAGCTTTCCTCTTTTTTTTTTTTTTTTTTGAGATGGAGTCTTGCTCTGTTGCCCAGGCTGGAGTGCAGTGGCACAATCTCAGCTCACTGCAAGCTCTGCCTCCCAGGTTCACGCCATTCTCCTGCCTCAGCCTCCCGAGTATCTGGGACTACAGGCGCCCACCACCACACCTGGCT
Source organism: Homo sapiens (assembly GCF_000001405.40). Classification (NCBI taxonomy): domain Eukaryota; kingdom Metazoa; phylum Chordata; class Mammalia; order Primates; family Hominidae; genus Homo; species Homo sapiens. The sequence goes on from NC_000009.12 coordinate 17,608,313, forward strand.
AAATTTTGTACTTTTAGTAGAGACAGGGTTTCACCGTGTTAGCCGGGATGGTCTCGATCTCCTGACCTCGTGATCTGCCCGCCTTGGCCTCCCAAAGTGTAAACTTTCCTCTTAACGGTCAAATCTTACTGAAGAAATCTGTTAATGGAAACTTTGATAAATACAATGAACAGATTTGGTTCTTCCTCATCCACATAGGTTGGAAGCAACAAGTATTTTGATTGTTGACTCATACTTCTCCAGTGAAGTGACAATGTGTTGATGGATTAAACACAGTTATTTTTAAGCTGCTTTGACATTCTCTAGGCAAAGTATTATCAGGAACAGAGCCCTGAGATTTGAGAGTTGCAGATGCTTTCATGATTCTTCACTGTCTGTCTCTCCTTACATAAGTGTTTCCAGAAAGCTAATAAAATTATTCCTGAAGGTTAAAAACAAGGAAGTTATGAACCGGATTTGAGGTTGAAATTAGGTAGGGGGAACATGAATTATTTTCTGTAACGTACAAGTGGAAACAATTTAATCAATCCTTTTTATTTTTATTGAATGTAGACAGAAAATTCAGTGCAGGTGGCTGCATTGCATTTCATTTACAATAATTAAAAAATGTTTGAGTAAAACAGCTCTGTTTTGGTGGACAGAGATCCAGGACACCCACTTTCACTTACAGGTGATCCGCTCTTTCACTGATCCCAGCATCTGCTGCTTCTGTGTCACACCGCTGGGGGAATGGGGGATCCAGAGCTGATGAAGGCATGGTCCTGGCTCTGCTTTGTCCAGCTAGTGACAATGTTAGTAACCCGCATTATTGAGCACTTAATAAACAATAATTCTCACAGCCCGATAAAGTAGTTTTTTATGGCATCCTCATTTTTAGATGAGGAAATAGAAATGCAGAGATGTGATAGCTTGCCCAAGATCAGTCTGTAAGAGGTATAATTAGAGTTTGAAGCCAGGTAGTCAGAGTTTTTTTTTTTCTGGATATTTTGCAGAGAAAGTTTGAGACTTAAGGAAAGAGCAAAGATGCTCTTGTGTTTAAGCAGATCCATTGAGCACTTTTTGGGTCATGGTCTCTGTACCCATAAAACTCTGAAAAGTACAGGGGTTGCAAATCATATGCGTGCGTAAGCCAAGCAGGTAGAATAGAGGCATGAAGTTGGCCAGATGGTCTGTGGTGAGCAGGGGAGCTCTCCGTGGGGCCACCTCCCTGCAGCTGTAGCCAGTGAGAAAGTGAGCCCAGTATGGCTGATCTCTAGAAGGGAAGCTAATGAAAGGTTTAACAAAACATCTCTGGGTCATAAAAATTGATCTTTACATCACATCAGGTTTGTGAATATACAACGTGAAACGTTTAGATATGTACTTGATACGGCTTTGGGGAATTTATTGAGAATGTGGGAAAACATTTGTTCTCTAAAAGAAAGTTGCAGATCATACTGCAAAGTGACAGCTGAGCAAAGGCTCCCCCTTGAGAAGGGCATGTGCTACTCAGCTCATGGCATCTGGGCTCTCATTGATAATGGGGGGTAGGTTGGAAGATTCTTGGAAGCCACAGCAAGACACACCACACCTGGGCTCTCATAATCATTTTGCCACCCTAGAGAGCTCCAGACACACGATTGGCCCTCTAACAGAGGAACATTTTAATACAAGTGTGTACTGCTCAAGGACTCATTTGCTAAGTTAGGGGCAGACTCCTTGGTACCACCAAATCCTATTTTTCCTAAATCGGTCAATGTATTGTCATATCCCCTGTGTGCAGTTTTAACTCTGTGAGTCTGGATTTGAATGGAGGCCCAGCTTTATTCTAGCTGTGCAACTGTGGGCAAGTTCCATCTTCTCCAAAGTTAGCTTCCTCAGGGTATTGCAAGAATTAAATAGCAAAATGCACATAAGTGTCTGGCGTAGAGTAAGTGATAGCTTCCTTTCTTTTCCTCATTTTAATCAATTACCCAGTTGGTGGATGTGATAACAAATGAACTTCCTGAAGATCAGAGCTGTGTGTTAGTGTAGGGCTCAGATCCTCTTTATGTATTCAGTGAACACTATGTTCTGTCTAACAGGCACCTGCTCTAGGTTATTAGGGCCATTAAAGGCATGTTATATTCTCAAAGAGTATACAATTTAGTAAGAGACACAGAAAAAACTGATGTTCGATTGTTAGGTTGGTTTAAGTTGTTGATACATACTTGGAATGACTAAGATCATTGTTTAACATTGGTGAGTGCACACTGCAATGGGAACTTTGTAATGCTGGAGAAACCCTCAACTGTTAAACATATACTTAAAAAAATCAGGGTGTAAGGATCCCTGGCTGAATAGTGTTGAATTTTTTTCATTTTCCTTTTTTTGACGAAGAAGTTTAACACAAAATTATTAAGCAAAGCCATTCAAGAAGTACAGCAAGTTTTCTAAAGTTTTTTTTTTAATAAAAGCGAATATCTTCTCCTATAAACTAGCTTGCTGACCCAGAAATTGAACTGTGATTAAAAAATAGGGCAGTGCCCCCTCAAAATGAGAGTTGTCTTATGTTATGGGACGCTTTTTTGGTGAATACTTTATATTTAGTAATCTCGTTTTTAAGGTTGTAGGCTCTGTATGGTAAAATTAATACAGTGAAAAATTACAGTCTGAATATAGAGAAGATGTGAGTGCCAAAGTGTTAAATAAAACCCTTATTTCTTCTTAGTGAAGGTTCTTTCAATTGACAATTAACTGGATTTTTCTATATTTCTCTGAGAGTTATTCATTGTGACAGATTTTGTTTCATGACAGATGTAAAGAACTTCTTTAATTTTTGATGTTCATAGAGTAGACGTCATACAATAATAACCTTGCAAATAGGAAGTATCGATCATTGGTTTTTTTTATTTCATAAAGCCTAACAATTATTTTACTATAGGGAAATATACAGGTTGAATAACTTTATAGTTTTCATGATCATGAAGTAACTTCCAAGTTATTTCATAGGGTAAACGTGGGTACGTGATAGACATATAGGACATTTTGGTTTCTTTTTTTTTCATTTTTGCTTTTGGTTGAAATTGTTCGTGGAAGCTAAAATGCATTCTAAGGTGAAATAAATTTTCACTTATCCTTGGGGCATTACAATTTAATAGAAAGAGAAGCTCATTTAGAACTTTATTGGCTTCAGTTCCTTCTGGCTACAGCATAATCAGAGACCTTGACTTTCCATGTCATCGCATTGGTGTGTTTGAGATGTGTGTGACCTGTATATGGGATGTATCTGAGACTCTGTGACTGGTAACTGAGGCTCCCTGTTACTGAGTTCATGATCTTACATTACTGTTTTCATGAGAAGCCAGTGGATCCCTGAGACATGGACTAAAGCTTTTAATGCCTCTCAGAATATGTCTGGTTAACTTTGGTCACTGCAGTCTTCTTACTCTGGGGGCCTTGCCCTTGCTACACCCCGTCAGGAGGAGATTAGAGGTGATCATTGCCTTGGGCTCTGTCTTCAGTGCCAACAGAAGGAGACATCAGGACTTGCTGGCCCCAGGTCTGCCCAACTCCTCTTGTCTTTGGTGCCCATTATGGGAATCGTAATGACAACTTGCCTATCTCAACACTCTTTCCCACCATAAAGTAATAGAATGCTTTATGGTTCTGTAAGCTCTTTTTGTGTGCATCATCTTCTTTCACCCTGAAAATGACTTTGTGAAGTCAGTAGCTAATAATATTGGGACTAGTTGTGCATATGGGGAAATTCTCAGAGAGAGGAGGTGCCTGGGGGAAGGTTGCCTAGCAGCAGAGCTGGCATAGAAGGCAAGCCCGTGACCTGTCTGTATGGGGGAAAGTCCGGCTCTTCAAGGGTGGCATTGCCTGTCTGTCCTCTCTCTCTAGTTCTGTGCACAGAAGGAACAGGAACAGGAACAGAAGGCACAGAGGAACAGGGAGGAAAAGCCCTTCCGGGAGTGTGCCTGAGTGTGGCTTGTGGTGAATTTGTGGTAGTAGCTCTGGTCAGATTTTACAACTTAGAATATGTTTTGAATCCATATATGTGGTACACTCTTTTTGTGTGGGACTGACACAACCCTCTTAACCTTACCACATCTGGAAACTTGCTTGAACTGCTGAATCTCAGACCCTATCTCAGACCTAAGAGTCATAATTGCTCTTAATCAAGGTTGTCAGGTGATTCTTATGTACATTAAGTTTGCAAAATGCAGCTCTATTGAAATACAGAGGACCAGAAATTGTATAATTGAGAATAAGGTGAGGAGAGGAAGGGGTGCATGTGTGTATGTGTGAGAGACTGGGAGGATGCATTTCACTTGTGTATGTAATTGTGGGAGTGTGTTCTCATTTTACTTGAAAAAGCAGCTCACTGAGCTATAATTCACATACCATGCAGTTCACCTATTGAAAGTGTACTGTTTAAACCACTTATTGGTTTTAAGTGTGTTCACAGCCTTGTGCACCCATAACCGCAATCAATTTTGGAACGTTTTTACACCTGGAAAGAAACCCCATACCTATAAGCAGTCACTCACCATTTTTCCACAGTGCCTACCTTGCTTCCGAGAAGCCCCTGATTATCACTAATGTACTTCTGCCTCTGTCTTTTGGATTTGTCTATTCTGGTCATTTCTTGTATGACTGAAATAATACAATATATGGTCTTTAGTGTCTGAATTTTTTTCACAGTTTATCCATCTTGTAGCGTGTATCAATGCTTCATTCCTTTTTTACTGCTGTCATTTTGTTGTCAAGTTTATTTTGAGCAAGAATACAGAGATTCACCTTTATCCTAAGCTTTGATGACCTTAGGCTGTCTAAATACGGTCTTTTATTGTACAATAACATTCAATAAGAGTAATTTCTTAGTGTGACCATTGCTTTTCTGATGCCACGTACTCTAGAATCTGAAAAGTGACAGTGAGATAGTAGAAGTATTGTTAAATGCATTCAATTAAAGAAGCAAAACATTAGTATTTTCCATTTGTAAAGTTTTGGTTGTTAATTTTCAACCACTTTCTCTGTAAAAAGCAGTGGTATGCCATCCATGCTCTGCTGAAAACTATGCGTGCCTTTATAAAATATGGAGCTGATGTTGCTGAAAATTAAAATGACAAAATATTGTGTTTAGATAAATAACAACAATGGCAATATTTTTGGCAAGAAATCACATATTGTCCCTCCCCCAAGCAGTCTGTTCCCTGCAATTCTGAATGTTTGGTAATTCTAAGCACCCTAGAGGAAGGTAACATTCTTCCCTTGGTGTCAGTGCTAAGCTCTGAGATTGTTATTTGTCAAATAAAGCACAAATGTGTTTTCCTCTAGTTACGTGAAGACCTTGTGTGGAATGCCTTACTGTTTGGAGAAAATCTTGGTTTGGCTCTTGGGCTCTCTGGTGATCATTTTATAATGCTCATTATGGGAGGTGACGGGAAGAATGGCCAGCAAGATGCTCTAGCCTGCAGAAAAGTCACTTTAGCATTTCCCTGCTTTGACTATGGCACACGGACATTTGGAAATTCTTATTCTGGTTTTGGCAACACAAAAAGCTTTCCTTTTTCCCCTTCCCTCCTGGCTGACTAAGCTCATCTTAATGCCACTAAATTACCAATGCCTTATTTGGCAAGCTGCCTGGTAAATCAAATGAATGACGACAATACTGGAGATCTTGTGTGGTCACTTTCTAAAGGGTTTTGTGCCTCCTTTATACTCTTGTCTCCTTCTCCTTCTTTGGCGGGTCCACTCAGTTATTTGGCTCTGTTTGGGAAGGCTCTGGGAAAAATGCCATTTATCTATCTTTTCAACTTGAGGGGACATGCTTTCTTCACAGATTTCTTTGGGATGGAAAGTTCTTTCTTTAACCTGATTACTGTTTCTAGGTGCTGTAAATTGCTGATCATTCTCAGTAAATCACCAGCATTCTGTTCTTTCTCAGTCTTGACAAAGTTGCCATTGTGCATATGTGTATTTGTGTGTGTGTGACAGGGAACATGCATGGTTTCTGAAAAAAAAAAAAAAAAAAAAAAAAAAAATCCTTGCCCCTTTTAGATTTGGAAATTAGCATAGCTAGGCTAGCCAGATCCCTCTTTTGGAGGAAATGGGAAAGATTGGATTGAGCCCTTGTGTCAAGGAAATTGACTTGGCTGGATTTCAGGGATCCCTGTGGACTGGCCCACTAAAGATCTGTGTCAGTATCTTTAGTGGCACTGGAATTGGGACAGCGTAGCTATTTTCTGTCATAGGGCAAACTCAGGGGGAAAAGGGCAGGCACCCAACATTCTATGAGAACTTCCATGTGTCAGAGAGTGTTATGTAAATGCTATGTATATTCTTGTGTAGTATGACAACCTTGTGAGCTGTATATTACTACTGTTGTTATTATTACCATCACTGCTTCACGAATGGAGAAACTGAGGCCCAGGGAGATCGTATTTCCTAAAGTTCTACAGCTGAGAGGTGGGTTGCGGAGGCTGCTGTCCTTTTCTACCAAGTGAAGTTTGTCTTTGCTCTTTCTCTGCCATATTCTTTAAAGGGGCAGATGTTACAAGGTTGATGCGGCTGATGGAAACACTAGCATAGGACAAAAATACAAAATCCCTTCACAGACTCAAGTTTCCCCACACCCAAAAGGCTCCGCGACAGCATTTCCAGGTATAGGGGCAAGCTTCTGTAGCCTCCAGCAACCACAGAGGTGCCCAGATGCCAATGACACCCTGACTAGAGTGAGCATGTCCTCTCTGCTCTCAGAGTCCTCTGTCATTGGACCCCTCCCAACTGCTGTGGACACTTGGGCTGTGTGCTGCCTACTCCCAGGTGTTAAGTTACTGGTAGGACCCACGGCTGTGTGTTTATTGCACAATTTGGTGAATCAAAGGCTGACTTCCTGGTGAGCACCCCGTAGCAGGGTGAGATATGGACCTTTCTGGAGTCTGTTTTACAAGAAGTGTTTACTGGGATATTTTAGGAATTCTCAGATAAATCCATATGATAGCCTACCTGTATTTCCTATGAATAAATTGGGTATTTAAGATGTATATTCTTTTCATTTGTCATTTTTCCTTGATTTTAAAATTTCCCTTCATTGGCTGGGTGCGGTGGCTCATGCCTATAATCCCAGCACTTTGAGAGGCCGAGGTGGGCGGATCACGAGGCCGGGAGATTGAGACTATCCTGGCTAACACAGTGAAACCCCGTCTCTACTAAAAATACAAAAATTAGCCAGGCGTGGCAGCGGGCGCCTGTAATCCCAGCTACTCGGGAAGCTGAGGCAGGAGAAGTTCTTGAACCCAGGAGGCAGAGGTTGCAGTGAGCCGAGATTGCGCCACTGCACTCCAGCCCGGGTGACCGACAGAGCGAGACTCCGTCTCAAAAAAAAAAAAAAAAAAAAAAAAAATTCCCCTCGTTAATATGTGTTTATTGTTAAAAACTTAGGACGAAAGTTAAAAAAAAAAACCCACACTACTTAATTACAGAGATCTTCATTAACATAATTCTGTATTTATTTTCTATAGGAAAATTTTTAATGCTAACTTTCTAGAACTCAGTCAAAAACTACTGTAATCATTTTAATCAGCTGATTAATTTGCTCTAGCAGCTTAAAATGTTTTTGCTCCATTTTACTTTTTCTACTGCATGATAGAAAAATTGTTGTTCTGTGAATGAGAAAGTTAAAATTTGTGCTCAATGGCAGGACCCCAGAGAGATGTTTCTGGGAATTGAGATTCAGAGGCAGCCTGCATTCAGCTTTCTTCAGGTTACCTTTATTAATGATGCCCTTGATCAGTAAGGTGGATTACTTACCCATTAACACTTATTCTACATCAGCCTTAATGTTTTAGGGAAAATATATTTACTAAGCTGTTTGTGTACAGGAGTATCACACAGTAGATGAAGCACTTATGTTTCTGGAAAAAAAGAGATAAATTAGGAAGCTTTCAGATTTGTTTATAAAAGAAATATGAGGCTAGGAAAGAAGCATGATGACTTTTGTGATACACACAGTGAGTCAGCAACCCATTTTCCAGAAGTTAGCAGCTGCATTTTTTTCCATTGAGGGCAAAACATAATATATGGGTATAACTTTAGTGCTAGCTAATTACTTCTATTGGTGCTTAAAAAAATTAAAATCAACAAGGAGAAATCTACCCAAACTGATCCAATATACACTGAGCTAATGAAGGAAGGTGGTGTACTTTTTGTGGGGTAGTATTTTTATTTTGATTATGTTGAAGTGGTAGAGAAAGAAGGGGAGAGATCTGGGGGTCTGAGAGTCAGAGGAGGCTACAAATGATATAGCAAAGCAAATAACTAGATTATGAATCTTTTGAAATCATGCAGGGGAACAAAATATTGTTACTGCCTTATCAAAAAGTATTTTCTCCTGTATAATTTAAAAAATCAAGAAGGTGTCAACCTTAAAAATCGTATCATTGAATATAGTAAGTCCCTTTTTTTTTGTTAATATAGCCTGTTGGTTTAGTAGATTTTTGCATCTTATTGTCTGATTTTTATACCATACAGACTAATAAAAATTAGTTTATGCACTTATTTGTTACTTTTATTTCTGAATAGATAATACAGTCAGCGTAGTATAAAAGGTTAGACAGTGATGTCTGAATTCTACTCCTTCCCCTAGCTAGTTTCCTTCCCAGAGGCAACCATTGTTACTGTTACCATGTTTTCCTAAAGACAGTTCCTGCAAATGTTGGCAAATCTGTGTGTGTTCTCTTTCCTTGTCTCTGTGCCTTCCTTTCTTTTAGGAATGCTAGCATACATACTATAATATTCTGGGTCTGTCTGGTTGTTTTTACTTCATGTGCTCTGTAGATTATTTCAGTACACCAAGAGCTTCCCCATTGTTTCATAGTTGGGTAGTATTCTGTTGTATTATTATGCCATGATGTATTTAAGGAATATGCTATTGGTGGACATTTAAAATGTTTCCAGTTTGCTCCTTTGAACAATGCTGCAGTATATAAAGTTGTACATATATGTAGGTTTGTTAAGAAATAAGTGGAAACCCATAGCTGAAAGATGGTTTTAGGATTGTCCCTGGGAATTAGATCTCTATCATTGTTTCCCAGTGCTCCTTGGAACCCTCCTCAGGGAAATAGGCATCATTGGAGTAGAAGGCAAATGGGATTTCATGGCCAAATAAATTTGGAAAATGCAGTGTCCTTGATTATTCCTTGGAGCTTCCTAAAATAACTAGCATGTTAAAGGCTTAACGTGCTCATGTGGTTTTAAGAACAACAAAAAAACTGCCAAAGATAAATTTTCAGGCTCACTTGAGTATCACATATTTGAAGATGCCTGTTAACATCTTTCGAGACAGTTTCTGGGAAAAAATAGTTTGGGAAATGTTGACCTATGTGATTACTACCTGTCTCACCAATTCCATAGATACTGGAAACTAGCTAACTGAGTTTTCAGCTGACAAATTGCTTGCTTTTGGAGTCAAGTGTCTTGACATATGTAGCTTGTTCACCTCTCTGGTCCTATTGCTTAAAGTGAGAAATAGCGTATTTGGAAGGTTGTATGTCAGGACCATCTTCTGTTTGTGAGCGCGAGAGAAGGTAGGATCAGATATCTTGGGTGGAGCCCAGTCTCCAGCTCAAGACTTGAGTTGTAAAAATCGTGTTGTATTGTGGGACAAAAATCAAGCAGTTCATTTTGGCTAGGGTTTAGGGGATAGAAATGGGTGGAGGAGAGTCATAAGGCTTTCTAAAATAAGCTGCACTACAGCAGAAGTTGCAGTTGGGAGTTCTGTTGTAGAAAATGGAGAGGAAAGCAATAGATTTTTTTCCCTCCAGTTTGCATTGGTTCTCAACCGGGGATGATTTTGCTTTCCTGCTAAAGGGGATGTTTGGCAATGTCTGGAGACATTTTTGGTTACCACGACTGGAAAGGTGCTACCAGCATCTGGTAAGTAGAGCTCAAGGATGCTGCTAAACATCCTGCAATGCACAGGACAAAAAAATACCTCAGTAAAGAATTATCTAGTCCAAAATGTCAGTAGTACCTCCATTGATATACCCTTCTCTAATGGGATTCTACCAGGGTTGGAGAGTTAGGAAATTGTTACTTTCTTCATACATGGAGAGGAGCATAAGTGAGCCATGTGCCATTCTGGACTGAGGTGCCACCATGGTGCCAGCATTTGATAATAGTAAACTCATGACCCCTTATTCATAGTTTGGAAATTTAAAAAACGCTGGAAAATGTGACGTTTCTTCATAATTCAGTTAGCAGTAAAACCTTGCCTGTGTTGATGTAAAGGTATTTATAGTCTTTATTTACCTGGTTTTGTGTGAATGTTAATGCGCTTGACTGTAGGGTGCTGGCCTAGACCTGGCTTGGGGCTTTATTTAGTAAATATGCTGTATCACTCTTCTAAAGTTTGTAACATTCTATACTTGGAAACACTTTGGTCCCCAAAGGTTTCAGAGAAGAGATTGTGAACTTATATATTGAACTAAATTTTTGCCAAATTTGGCTTATTTTGTGTGTGTGTGTGTGTGTGTGTGGTTTAAGGAGTTGAAAGTTTAATAGAAGAAAGGAGAGAGGAGAGCATCTCCTTGCAAGAGAGAGAGAGAAAGAGAGAAACGTCTGAAAAAGTCCAAAGTTGGCTTATTTTTAAAAATTCAGCGCTTTTAGTAACGTTTATTGATTTTTTTAAATTCCAAAAATGACATAAGATCATTTTGAAAAGTTTAAGTACAAAAAAGTAGTAATATTATCAACCAACTGTATGGTACTTAACTGTGCGCTAGATACAATTCTCAGCACTTTATGTGCAGTAACTAATTTAATCTTACGAATCCCATTATACCTACTTTACAAGTGCAGAAGCCGTGGCATAGTAACTTGCTCAAGATCCCCTAGTTGATGGCAGAGCTGGGCTTTGAACTCTGGCACAGAGAAGGAAGTGATTCATCATCTCCACAGCTGGAGTGGGCTGCTGTGTGTACATGGATGTATTTCCTTATAGCCTTCTTTCAGCCTTCCCTACTCAACTATATTTGAGAATTTCCCCTGTTGTCTTAAATATTTTCAAAAAACCTGATTGTTGAATGGCTGACTACCTATTTAAAAGAATAGGTGAGGTGGGGCATGGTGGCTCACGCCTGTAATCCCAGCACTTTGGGAGGCTGAGCCAGGCAGATTACCTGAGGTCAGGAGTTCAAGACCAGCCTGACCAATATGATGACACCCCGTCTCTACTAAAAATACAAAAATTAGCTGGGCTTGGTGGCATGCACCTGTAATCCCAGCTACTCGGGAGGCTGAGGCAGGAGATTCGTTTGAACCCGGGAGGCAGAGGTTGCAGTGAGCCAAGAGTCACCATTGCGCTCTAGCCTGGGCAACAAGAGTGAAACTCCATCTCAAAAAAAAAATAAAATAAAATAAGTGAGTGAACCATAAATTATTTAAACATTCTTTTGTTGTTGGGCATTTAGGCTCTGTCCATTTTTTCACAATAGAAAATTGACATGGACACATTTATGTATAAATACTTATCCATATCTGATTATTTCTTTAGAGAATGTTTTAATGGGGCTTTTTAATAGACTCTTCATATATACTGTGAAATGTACCAGTTTATTCTCTCATTAGAATTCATTGTCATCAGCCTGGAGTGTTAAATGCTTTTCCCTTTGATTTCTGATTCTGTGATGTAGTATCTTGAAGTTTTCTGAGAAAATCAGACAGATGATTGGAAATTTAGTATGATTTTTTTTAAATTGGTCAGGAAACAAGTAGTTGGAATAACTGATTTTATAAAATTTTATATTTCAAAAAATTCAATTTTAGAGCCATTTTATTTTCAGATTAACCCATGAAGTTAAATCAAGGCTCCATTTCACATTGTTATGAAGAGCTGGTAGAAATAAGGATAGTGCAGCATTAAGAGATACTCTGACCTGAATCTTACTGGTATGTGATCAGTATATGCCTAAAACAACCATTCAGTAAACATTTATGGAGGATCTGCTACGCACCATACACTGCATTTTGCACTGGGTATCCAGTGAGGAACAAGTGTATAAAAGGAAAAATAGCAAATACTTACACAGTGCTTTTTAGGTGTCAGACACTGTTTTAACAGCTTACGCATGTTACTTAATTTATTACTCCCAACAACCCTATGAGGTAGATACTATTATTGTATCCATTTAACTGATGAGACTGAAGCACAGAGAAGATGAGTAATGGGCTCGCAGACATGCAACTACTAACCAAGGCAAACCACTGACTGTGCTAGTTTGGAAGGGCAGACAGAAGAGGGTTGGTGCAGTACTCTGGGCATGAGAAACTGGTGGCTTTTGCCACCAGCAAATTGGTCAAGCAGTCCAGCAATGGGATTGGAGAGAAATGGAGGCATCAGAAAGATTTTTCAAGATAGAATTTATCAGACATGGTGATTGAATGTGGAGGGAGAGGGAGAAGTCAAGGGTAAAGCCTAGGTATCTTGGTATGAGTGACCTGCTAGATGATGGAGCCCTTCAGTGAGTCCAGGAACAGTAGGAAAGAATGAGGAGCATGTTTTAGATTGGTGATGTCAGAGGGGTCTGAAAGGGGGAGGTAAGCAGAGGGGCATTATCTTCAAAATATTTGGAGTCAGTAGCTTTGAAGCTCACCAAATATACCCTGGTAGTTTAGTTATCAGAAAATGAGTTTTTAAAAAATACTTATAATGTGTAGTTCATGAGAAAGTTTTCCAGCGTTTAAAGATGTTGACAGAGTTTCAGTTGATTGCTGTGGTTTTCGTGTATGAAAAACATGTAAAATTTGTGTCATATTAATGCCCTTTTGAAGACTAATTTCAATGCCTGTAGACAGCTTTCTAATGTAGTTGTATCATGATTTGGGTTATCAATAATCTGTGAATGTATAGATTGTTGCCATTTTCCTTCATTGTAGATAATTTTACAATGAATGTCTTTATGCATAAAACAGTTTTGATATGCAGGATTATTTCTTTGGAGGTATAGCTGAACTACAATTTCCGAATCATACATATCACAAAATTAACTTCTAGAAAGACTGTGCTAATTTATGTCCGCAACTACGTGCAAGACCTGCCTCTTAATCAGCCATTGGGTTGAATTGTCCTGATGATTTTTGTGGCACCTTCATTCAATTCCTGCTTTTTGTAACATATCCCATGATCACAATCATATGATGACTTTGTATCCTGTGTCTTTATTTTATTGGAATCAATGCCTGATTCATACAGAATATTGCCAAGAAGTTTTACAGATATAATCAGATAAGAGAGGAGAGATCAAGATCATGTTCTTTAACTCTGTTTAAAGTATTGATGTCAGGATGATACTTCAAGTTTGAGGTGAAGTTTTTGTGCCAAAGCCTGGCTCATGGCTGTGAGGGCACCTAGGACTCACTAAAAGATGCGTGTTCTTCAGTGTGCACATTACCTGCCTTCATGTGGTAAGTGGTGGAGAGTTAAAGCCATTACATGGATCACTCAGGACAAAAACAAATTTTACTGTAAAATTTCTGGTGATTTGGGAGCAAAACTAGGATAACTCTTTTGCACTTGCAGTATGCCATAAGTGCCGCAGTTTTTGACTTTTTCTACTTTGCCCAATAAAAATGTTGCTCTACAACCCTTAATTTTTATAACTGTTCTGGCCTCAGTTTTCCACAGTGAATGTTCCTAGTTTGTGTAATGTTCTTTAGGTTGCTAATTTCTGCCTCCAGAGCCAGGAGATCTGTCTTCTTTTGATTATTCCCAAAGGTAAATTTTGGGAAAACTAGAATCAGGCTATTTCCCTATTTTTCATTTGGAAATTTCTGCATTCATAAACAGTTGCTTGTAACCTTTTAATGAATATGCATTAGGAGTTGTTTTGAAAATTTATTATTTAGGGATTATTTATTAGCCTGGTTACTTGCCAGGGTGGTACATTAAAAAAAAGTTTGTCCACCCATCTGCTTCATCCCGTAATCCCCCCAAACAGTCATCAACTAGGAGAATCGTAATATGCAAATAAGCCATCTGCAGTGTCTAAATGGGAGGATAGCTTCCAATTTTTAGTCAGAAACCTGCCAGGGGCAGGGGAATAATTTCAGTAGCATTCTTCCAAGGGGGAGGATCTCTTAAGAGGCAGCATGATTAAAAATGCTTCCATAGTAAATAAGGACACTAGAATTGGGTGTCCAGGCCACTTGTGAGCAAAGAACCTCCTATTTCCAGATTCGGCGCCACCTGTGGGATACTCATGTTTCATCATAGGTGTCCACAACTTTATTCTTTTAATACCTCTACAAAGACCAAAAAAAAAGTGATACCAATTAAAAAATGTGGAAGAATATTAATTGGGATTGAACAGTACCTGTGGTTTTCTCATGTGACCCTGGGTTTGTCTTATTCTCTGAGAAAGTGGGCTGGTAGGTAGGTGCTCTTGATGTCCTTAATTTCAAAATGAGGAAGTCAGAGCAGGCACGGTAAGTAAAGAATAATGGATCCTGAGCCTCACCTTTTGGTCACTCCGTTGGCAGGGTATGTGCTTGGGGCATGAAAACCAAGACTCAAAGACTGCCAATCCTCTGCCGCAGTTTTTGAGAGTAAGAACTATGCTTGCTGTAATATGGCAGAATGAAATTATACCTGCTCCTTCCTTGCTTCTTCCTTCCCTTCCTCCCTCCCTTTTCCTTTCGTTTCCTTTCGTTTCCTTTCCTTTCCTTTCCTTTCCTTTCCTTTCCTTTCCTTTCCTTTCCTTTCCTTCCCCTTCCCCTTCCCCTTCCCCTTCCCCTTCCCCTTCCCCTTCCCCTTTCCTATCTTTGCATTCGTTCTGCTTTAGTTCACTGTTTGGAAGGGTGAAATAAAGCCCTGGTTCTGTTCTTTCCCCTTGTCCTTCCATCGGAGTGGGCCCTTTAGTGGTTAAGGGTGAGGGATGAGAAGTTAGTCTCTGGTGTCTAAGGTCCCTACGATACGTCTGAATGTTGCCAGGTGTAGAAGATGTGTCCTGTCCATAGGAGGAGCTTGTGGGAAGCTAGCTGGCGAGGTTCAGAAAGTAGAGTTGTGGGATATGTGGCCTTAGGTGTTGTATACGTATGTAGTTCAAATGGAATTAGATTCTATATAGGGTAGTGTGTAGACTGAGAACAAAATGACCTATCAATCTTAGGGAATGAATTAAGAAGAAGGTTGCCTGTGAAGGACAAGTCAGAGAGAAATCCAGAAGAGATTGATGTTCTGAAAGTTAAGACTGGACAATGTTTCATGAAAAATGTAATCGGAGAATGAAGGTTCAATATGTTTTTTGTTTGCATTTTCTTTTTGCTTGGAAATCATTTCAAATTTACAGAAAAAAATTACAAAGAATACCTGTCCATTTATTTATCTAATTCACCTTTTCTTATATTTAACCCTATTTATAATTTCCTACACACACACACACACACACACACACACACACCACCCACCATATATTTTTCTGAACCATTTTGAGGATATGTTACTATATCATGGTCCTTTACTTCTAATTACCTAAGTATTTATTTCCTAAGAATTGGGATATTCTCTTATACTATAACCGCAGCACTATTATCAACTTGAGTAAATTTAACATTGATACAATTTAAAAAATCAGATCTAATATTTATATTCCAATTAACAAGTTAACCCAATTACATTTTGAATAATATTTTTCTGTCTCATACAGGTTCTAGTCTGGGGTCAAATACTTCATTTTATTTCATTCGTTCGTTTCTTTTAATCTGAAACATTTGCACAGCCTTGGTTTATCTCGTTTTTAAGACTGCATCCTGCCCGTTAAAAATGCAGTGGCTGTCAGTTTGAGGTTGTTGCTGCCTCATGATTAGATTCAGGGTGATGCAATCTCAGTTGGAATATTGCATAGTGATGTGTCCTTGCCAGGATGTCCAACCTGCAGGCACCTTATGCCCATCGGTGGCGATGATTTTTAACATCCTTTCACAGTGTTGTCTAGTTTCCTGATTATATAATTATTGTTTTCTCTTTCTTCCCTTGCAATAAGTGGTCTGTGGGGAGCTACTGTAAGGTCATATAGATATCCTCCTTCTCCTCAAAGTCAGTGCAAGATTTAGCATCCATTGATGATTATTACTGGGTCCAGTCTTCACAGTGATAGGTGCGCAAACATGATTTTCCATCTCCATGCTCTTTCCATGTTTACCATTTAGCCTTTGACATTCTGCTCTAAGCAAGAGTCTCATATAATTTTATTTATTTATTTTTTGTGTGCACTCAAGAGTTCCCATTTTCCGTTGGTTCATAATTTACCACTGTACTCAATTTGAGCCCTCAATCAAATTTGAGTTGGCTAGTGGGGGCCCCTTCAAGATGGCTCCTGTGTCCATGTGGCATGTTCCCATCACTTACTTTTGACAAATTTTTCACTTTCTGGCATAACAATGTGATCAGGCTCATCTTGTATATACTCTAGCCCTGGAGCCATCTGTTCCTTTGAGGATCCCAGATTCCTTTTAGTGGAGAAAGGGTATAGGCAGTATGGTCTGTGTTTTCCATTTGCTTCTGTGCTGTGTGAAGTGTTAGGCCCAGGCTTTGGGAACTATCCATTTCTTGGTAGATGTTGGGTCAAGTGGAAATGTTGGGGTACTGAGGAAGAACAATTTTGATTTGCAATTGGTAAATGAGGAATATCTGTTCAGAGTGTGAGTGAGATGAAAATTGTTCTTCTATTTAATTTGTTTGTAAACCTTGGCTAGAGTTGGCCTGACAGATTGTGTCCCTTTCCCTCTGGCCATACTTTTTTTGGGAGGGGGCTGGCCTGCATTTTAATGAACATGCACATTTTGGCACTCTCTCATGCTTGCATTTTTAGTTGTGTTCTCGTCTCACCATGCTCTGTAGGTGCCCCTTTAACATTGGTTCATCCTGTGTGAATGGGCAGGGGGAGGTGGTGAGTGGATGGTATTCTGGTTCCCTTGGTGGGAGCAGCCTGCAGAGGCCAGATAGTCCACATCTGTTGTTGATTGAATCCTGGTCCAGAAGCCCCACTTTATATTGCTGTGTGGAATGAGCAGAATTACTACTGTGGCAACACACAGTTCGTTTTTTACAGTCCACCTCCTTTCATTGCCTCCTAACTTGCAAGTCACCTGATAATTTCTGACACTTTCTTACCAGTATGGAGCTATTTAAAACGCATTCCTACTTTTCTCATCTCATGGGATCCTCTGGACAATACCTTGTGTGATAATCAGGCAGAGATCAATTCTATTTTACAGACAGGGAAACAAGGCAAAGAGAGTACATTTCCAATGGGGAAAGTTAGTCTCTTTTCCTTAGTAGCAAAGAGCTAGTAAGTGGCAGAACCAGAACTTCAACTTGGCACTTCTGCCTCTTTGTGCTTTCTTCTTGTCTTAGTTAAAAACTGAAGAAGAAAAGTAAGCCCTGTGGAAGCAGCTTAGGTACAGGAATTGGCAGGGTAGGAGGTGGGGTAGATTTCTTCCTTCTTAATCAGTTTCCTGTCTGAAGCTTCACATACTGGGGGTATCGTTTTTCAGTGTGAAAGGGAGGCTGAGGTCACTTTGTGTCTTCATGGGAAACCTGTCCCAGGAGGTATGTCTTAAACCCCATGCTTACCTCAAGGCAATTAGAGAAAACCATGTGACAGCATCGGTCTCACTGACTGTGGTTGATGAAGCAGAGCAGAAAAGCTGTTTTCTTCTCCTTGTCCTTTACTTCAGTCTTCCCCATCTCATCTTCCCTACCTGAGCTGATGGACTGTCTTGTGAGGCTGGGGAGGTGTCCACTTGGCTCTTTGGTTTTGGTTCCCAGAGGGAGGCTCTGGCCGCAGGACACAGCAGATGGAGCCTGTGGGAGCCCATGTTTGTGCCTCGGCAGGTGTGGGTCTGGGACGGGTCTGACCTCCACCTGGCACCTGCTTCTTTTATTGCCTCCATATGTCAAGGGGATATGAGCCCATGTGAGTGCTTTCAGATTGCTCTGGCCTGAGGCCATGGTTGGGAATGGCAGGAGCATGTTGCGGGGGACAGGGACCTTTGTGAGGGACAGTTGAGCCACTCTGAGGTTAGAGGACCACACAGCTGCCCCTTCTAGAAGCCTCGCTGGGCCAGAGGTGTGGCTTCATTAAGGTCCTAGTTGGACTGTGTCCTCATCTCTCTCTTATTTCCTGCTCTGTTTTTGATTTTATTTTCTTAAAATCTTCATGCTCATGGATTTTTAAAATGGCAGTAATGATTTTTATTTTTTTAAAGAGTAAAACAATGGCAGTCTAGTGCAGTTACTTTAAGACATATCAGGTAACCTTTACCAGTAAATCGAAGGCCATTGAATAAGGAATGTGTAAGGATCTGTGGACTCCCTGAAATTAGATGCAAAATGTTATATGTTTGTATGAATGCATTTTTTGGAGGAATGGCTCCCATAGCTTTCTGCAGATTCTTGTGGACATTTGACAGTCCCTCTCCAAAGTATGGCCTCCAATATGTCTTCTTCACATTCCTTTGGAGAACTGCCTTTACCTCCCGTGTCTCTCATAGATATCTGAGCACTTTAATTTGTGGAAGAGTCGAGGAAGAGGAGGCCTTGAAAATAGTCTCCTTTCTAACTACCAAATTTGGGGGCTGGCTCAGCTTCCCCTCCCCCATTACTGGTTCCCTGAGCAGGTCTGAGCCAGGATAATCTTCTTTAACCTCCACTTTCTGTCAGGCCCTGGTCGTGTGCTGGATGTACCTCTCCTCATGTAATTGTCACAACTACCCTGTATTGGAGGTGCCAAAGACTGAATAACATGTTTAACTTACTAAATAGAAGAATTGGGACTGCCGGTAAAAACTGCCAGATTCCAAAGCCAGAGTTTTTTCAATACACTCAAGGAATAAAACGTCAGCTGCTGTTTTTATTAGCACTCACCAATGAGACACCATCCTGTCCTGTTCCCTGTTTTCATCCTGCAGCGCCATATATTGCTCCAAAGCTTAGATAGTGCCCAGAGCCCACCTACAGCTCATCTTCCTATGAGGCAGAGAGCTAGCTTGATCGTTGGGGAATAATGGCAGAGCTCTCAGAAGGTGCTGGATCCCTAACCGCTTTGCTGGGTTCTTCATTCCTGGCCCACCCGAGAGCTCTTCTGGAAGTAAAGGCCTGAAACTGTGACCTTCTTGGCTATGGTGAAAAGTAACAGACGTCAAGTGTTAGCAAGCAGACCCTATCTGTTATTTGACTTTTAAAATCACAAACAATAAAGTAATCATTATTACAAGGTATTTTTAATGTCACATTGGCATGAAAAATTTTAATTCTGAGAGTATAATTTCTATGAATTGCTATGAATATAGTAAATTAAAAAATAAATTGCTGTGGCGGTGCTCTGATGGCATTTCAAAAAGGTGTTTGTCATCCTACCCTGCCCCTTCATCCCTCTGTGATAACTGTGTAGACAAAGGATAAAACCCAGGTGAACCTCCTGAGATAGAGGTTCCAGATGGCACTAGCTGAAAAGACAGCTGGCATCCAGAGAGGCCGTGTGGCTCTTTGTACACAAACCATGGGGATTGTTTATTTTTACTGCTCTAGTGACTCAATATAACAGTGGTCTGGGAAGACTTGGCTTTAGCCTCCTCTCTGTTGTGTTTTAACCTCTTCATGTCTCGGGCTTCTTACTTTTCTCCTGGTGTTGTTGAGTGTAGAGTGGTTGTAATGATGAGTTCACAGAGATTTAAGAGCTCTAAGTTCTTTTGGGTCAGAGGAGTGATTTCTCTTTTTTGCAGTGTAAGGTACAAAATATTAAATATCTGAGACGTGACTGTGAGACCCTGGTGAAGCTACCCGGAGTCTCAGTTTCTTCTTTAAAACACGATTATATCATTCAAAATAATAGACTGTATCTTAAATGAGCCAGAATGGATCAGACGTTTAGCATTGTTACTGGCACGTGGGCATTCATGAAGTATCTAACTCTTCTCTGTACCCCCTCACTTCTGTATACATGCCTTCTATCTAAATACAATCTTTTGATTGGCTGGAAGTAGAGTAGGAACATTAATCTATTTCTCAAATGCAGTGCCAAGCTTAAAAATGCATCTCTAGTTCTGGGGATGCCCAGATAACTATATCTTGGGTGTGTGTGTGTGTGTGTGTGTGTGTGTGTGTGTGTGTGTGTATGTGCATGCACATTTATCTATTTGTGTAAGTATGCATAACTGGGTCTACCAGATGAAATGTGGCTTGCCTTGCTGACTTCAGACATTTTGATTTAAAGATCTTAAGGTAAGAGAAGTAGAGTTAACAGCATACATTTAGAGCTAGATGCCTTAGCAGCTGGCTTGGAGGCTTTTTTTTCTTCTTTTTAATGGGTAGCTTTTTATTTATTCATTTTTTTTAAATGGGTAGCTTTAATTTCAACCAAAAAGTTCTGGGTAGATTTTTTTCTAGCTCAAGGGAGAATTGTATATTGGGCACTAAGTATTAACGGGTAAAATCCTGCCAACTGCCCTTTTATAGATCTTCAGTGTGAAGCAAGACTTTGCATAGGTTGCCAGCCAAAAATTGATATTGGATCCAATTCCATCAGAGAAGCTTTAGTATTTTTAGAAGTAACACTCACTCTAGCACAGCATGCGGTGATACATAATACCAACTGTTTATAAAGATCCATGTTTTAGTTAATTTCTAGAAAATTAAATTACCTTTTTTTTTTTTTGCTGATGCCTTCTGTCTGTCAAACAGAAGGAAATTGCATTAGAGTTCAAGATGTGGCCTTTGAAGAGGACTTAGATGAATTGGGATGTTGACCTTTATAGTAGGAGGATTGCGTGGAGTTTGGTTGGCTGGGAGGCAGGAGACCTGGGTTCTAGCCCCAGTTCTGCCTTCCATGAAGTGTGTGATCTGGATTAGTCACAAGGCCTTTGTGGCCCTCATATTGTGTAGTCATTAAACAAAGGGGTTGTATGAAATTCCCATTGTGTTTTAATTTTGATAAGTTATTATAATTTCATGATAGAAATGAAATATAGTGTGCAAGTATTTTTCCTAAAATTGTGAGATCACGTCTGTGAGATCCATGCAGCTTGGGTGGATCCACCAGTCTTTTTTATAATGAAGTCTCTGAAATACTTATTGAATGAATGAATGGTGCTATTAAGGTGATGGAAATAATTTTCCATTCACAAATTGCTAACATACTGCCTTTCATTTCATAACATTCTTCCAAAAAACAATATTCTTGTGACTATTATTGAGTATAAACTGGATACTTCTGGATACAGCTCTGGTTGTACATAAGTGTTTTCCTAACTAAAGGATTGTTTGGGGAAAATGAGATTTAAAGAACCAAGATACTGATTTTTGGTTATTTAGCACTATATCCTTGCCATTTTTCATGGATTCCCTTGTCTTATATTCAGAGAACATTTTCAGATTGCCTTAAGCCTGTTTGTTTCCTGTTTATCCAGGTTTCACTTTTCATTGATGGGCTACTACAAGGCCTAACTTTTGCATATACCTGTGTCCAGGTGTCTCAGTCCAGGAAGTTCTGTAGTCCTGTTTATGCCATGTATTTGGACTTTCATATATTCAGCAACTATTTTTTTCTGTATATATTTTGGGGTCTCTTACACCACTGTTTAAAATGTGGTTCCCAGGCCACCTGTAATGGAATCACATGGAGATGCTTGAAAAAGTGGCACGTTTCTGGTTAATGTGCCGTTCTTACTGGAGCAGAATATCTTGGGGACAGACATAAAAAGCCTCATGTTTTGCAAGTGACTCTCAAATTTAAGCTGGCCTCAGAATCACTGCTTTTGGAAATCAGGGTTATAGCTTTGTTCATGTTCTTAGAATCTAACATATAATTAGAATTCAATGAATATTTTTGAGCAATAAGTGAGCACATGAGTTGCTGGGTTTGTGGTAGTTAGAAAGCTATACAATACCTTTACCAGTCTTTTTGTAATGAAAGCTCTGAAATATTTATTGAATGAATGAATGGTGCTAATAATAAGGTGATGAAAATAATTTTTCATTCACAAATTGCTAACATACTGCCTTTCGTTTCATAACAGTCTTCCAAAAAACAGTATTCTTGTGACTGTTACTGAGTATAAACTGGATACTTCTGGATACGGCTCTGGTTGTACATAAGTGTTTTTCACCTTGTGTTACACACAAACACACACCCTACTCCGTTTGTTGGAAGCCTGCAAGTGATCACGCGTATCAATGCTAGGAGTGACGTCAAGTAGACTGGCTGGGAAGGGCAGAATGTGGTAGGCGGTTAAAAAGCAAAAGGCACATGCTATATGACTTTTTGCCTTTTCTTGTTGTCTTTAAGACTTTTGTGATGGTTACATAACACCAGTGGGACCAGAGACTAGGGCAGGCCAAAGATGCACTGATTAAGGAAATTACTGCTACCTAACAGTTATTCTGGAGCTCAAATATTTCCTGTTCATTATGCAATAATGTAGCCTTTCGAGTCTCCAAATGCCATTTGGAAGAAGAGGGTGGGGGAGTTGGAGGTAGTAGGTTGGATCTGAGGCTTAGTCTCTTGCCTGCTGTTTTATGGGCAAGGTGGGGCAGGACCTATAAAAATTCCTTCACCCATGGCCCTTTTCTCCTACAATGACTGTAGAAAATTAGAACCCTTTAACTGTTTAGGAATGTGAGTGTTCAGCATAAGGATCCAATTAGGATGATGGGGAGGAGAGATAAGTAGCAATAGATTTAATATGTGATGTTTGATAGCATTAAAAATGTCCCAAGCCTATGCATGCAGTGATTGCTTGATACTGTAGTTTTAATTTGAGTTATAGCATAGAGATGGTGATGCTATAGAGGAAAAAACCCGCAATTATTTTTGCACCAACCTAATATTAAGTTTTATATTTCACATTTGTAGGCTTGTTTCATCAACGGAGCAGTTTCCAAGGCTTCAAGGAAACATTGTTCTATGTTTTCTCTCATCCATCCCCCTGTGGAGGGATGTTGAGAGGAGAGTCGGTTTTGAAGGTGCAGTTCTTGCTTTCATAGCATGTAGTTAAAATAAAAACCACAGTGTAGTGTTCTGACATCCCCTCTTGCTCAGGCATAGGGCATATTTGGTGAACCTTGGCCATTCTGACAACTGTTCTGGCAGCTGTTTCTTGTGTCATTCTTTTCTGGGCTTTATTGTAATGTAAACCCACCAAACAAGATTTCTGGCAGTTCTGTACATGGAAAATATAAGGACTCAATTTGTAGGTAAGTGGTTTCTATCCTGGAGAAAACAAAGCCCATCATACTGGATGTTCACATCAGCTGGGCTGTATGACAATGTTGGTGAGTCAGTGCTTTGAAGGCCCTAAGGTTAAATGTTTTGAATACCACCCCCATGCATAGTATTTTGGGTTCAGTGGGGCTTTAAAACATCCTTTATTCTCCCCACATCCCATCATCTTCTGCAAACTTAACAATTTACTATACTTTTTCTGAAAATGAGCCTTTTAATCTCCCAATCCATAGTTGGACGAGGCTCACTTTGAAAAGTAAAGAGGTTGGCTTATTGATAACTTCAGGCCTGCTCCTTGCTTACATGCTGATGTTTACTTTTTGAAATCGACCTAAAAAATGTCAATACTTTGTTATGGTTTTGAAATGTATCTGATAATTCCTTTCTGGGCATGTTAAAAGTCTTAATTTTCTTGGCAACAGAATATTCCTTTTAGGGTTCAGTATCTGCTTTTCAGGGTTATTTCTGGAAAGATTTTAAGATAGCTTAAGGGCTTTCTTAACCACATAAAACATAATTTCCTCAATACATTTTGGGGGAAAAATCAATAATTAGTGTTAGTGTAACACTAATTAGTGAATGCCATTTGCTTTAATGCTGGGTTAAAATTGTCCTTGAATTTAAAAATTAGTTAAATCTTAGTACCAAAAAAATAAAGTGAAATACTACAAAGAAGTTGGTCTTTTGTCATACAACAACCTATCCATGGCAGTAGAGAAAAATAATTAAAAAATGCACAATCTCTAACACAACTATTTTTAGTTTTGCATTTTCTTTCCATCTTGGCCGACATAGCTACAAAGCACAATTATTGGAACTACAGTAATTATTTTGATTTTTGATTTTTATTATGTATCTAATCACTGTTTTCATTTTCCCATATACTATACAAATGTCACTGTCAAAGCTACATATTGGGCTGTCCGGGTGATTTACTGTGAGCATGCCCATATTCTTAGAATTTAGATTCCATCCAGTTATTTGAAATTGTAGATGATGTTATAGGGAACATATTTTTGCCTATGTTTTTCTTTTAATGATTACATCCTTTAATTAAATTTGGACTTTAAATTTGGAATTTCTGGGTCACAGTTGTTTTTATGGCCCTGAAATAACATTCTGTTTTATACTTGTAGAAATAGTTTTTGTTCTTGTAACCAACCAGAGCACAAGTGACAGGCAAGCTTTTAGCTTTAGGGATGTTCTTAACACATCCCGAAGATTTTGTGCTCTCAATGTGTCCCTGCTATTTGGGGCTTCCCTGAAAAAGATTCTGTCAGGAGCTTCTGCTAATTAAATTGAATTGGTCCAGCTTTGTTGTAAACAGGTAACGGATTGTGGTGTTTTATTACTTGATACTTATTGCTGAAACAAGTTTTATGAAAAAAGGAGAGTATTAGCCTGAGGACAAAAGTAGTTTGGAGTTCTGTAGAGGAGCTGCCAGTATTAATGAACTATCACTTGGAGCCTGCAACCTGTCAGCCTTGACTTTTCCTCTCCTGGGTCAGCCATCATTGGTCCTCCACATTGCTTTTCACTTTGCCAGCTAAGGCTTTTCAGTGGCTTCTGATATAGGTCTTGTTTCTCAAGTGAGTGTGCCCTCAGGAGGGGAACTGGGCAATCTGGGAAGGGAGCTTTGATTTCACAACCATGTGGGAATGCCAGTAGAATGAGACGCCATGATGAGTGTGGGTACCTGCCCTTCTTGGCAGGAGTGGACTAGAAATCAGTTGGTGTTACTGCAAGCCCAGTCCATTGATGTGCACATCCATTGTGGGAGGATACTACTCTCAATGGCTGCACTGCTGCCAGTGACGTTAAAAAGTCATCCATGTAAAAGCATGGGTAACTGCTTAACATGTATTAAATGAAAAAGCAAAATACGAAATGATCTAGGTACTGCACAAGTGTCCTAAATGTTTTGCATATCGTCAAAATAATATTAATATAAGAAAGTGTAAATAGCTGTAATAAGTTATGGTGAGATTAAAAGCCATTTCTTTTTCTTTTTTGCACCAACGTGTTCTTTAGTGTTTTGGCACATTTGTAGTAGAGTTTTGAAGTTATTTTTATAAATCAGATATGTAGGATTCTAGGTCTGTGAAATGAAATTGAATGAAGAGGATTTGACAGTCTTCTTAAACTTCTGGGAAATAAAGGCTGAAAACAGCAGGCTTTCATCTGTGTATCTTCTGAAGCTGAAATGAACACTATGCCCATTTTGCTGTATGTCCATTTGAGTATTTTCTAATACCTTTTTGGGGAGTAGGTGTATGTTCAGCTGAAAGAATATTTCTAAGTATCCAAGTCCTTAAGGAAGCTAAAAGTTTTGAGTTATGCAAGTGTGCCTTCAGTGTCCTTTGGCAACCCCTTTCTGCACTTTCTCCACTGCTGTGGTATGTTTCTTGAATGACCATGTCCCTCTTCCTGCTCATGAAAGCCTTGAGCTTAGTTGTGTATACCTTGCATAAAGCAATAGAGTGCAGAAGTAAAGAATGCTGGTTCTGGACTCAGACTCTTGATGTGGAGTCCTGGCTGGTTTTGGAACTTTGGGCTCTTGAAGGGAGTATCCTCATCTGTACGGTGGAGACCACTGGTACCCTCAGGTGGCTGTGGAGGTTGCATCGGTTAACACTAGTGAAGTTCTGAGTGCAATGCTTGGTCCATACTAACCCAGAACTGCAGTGGTGATGATACATATGATACATCTTCTTGGGTAGTTACATATTTTCTTCTTGTTACCAGGGTATTCCTTTTAACTATGAGAAATCAGAAAAATACAGAAAATCACAAAGAAGAGACTAGAAATAACCCAAACTCCACAACAGGTTTTGCTTTTTGTCTTCTCTGATGATGAAGTAAAATATGTTGGCCATTTGGAGAAGTAAAGATGTTTGTAAGTGGGGTGTTTCCAGACCCTCTGAAATATATGCCTCTTTTCTTGCTATGCCTAGTATAATACCTCACTCATTGTCAACCACTAGAGACTTAGCTTCTTGTTCTTGGTTCTACTACTAAATTTTTTGACTTGGGCAAATCATTTAAATATTTCTAGGTGTTCTTTAAGGCTTAAAAACCAAGGTTAGTTTAGCTTTGTCATTCTTTCTTCTCTTAACCTGTGACTTGGTTTATTTATGGTTTGTTCATTTCCTTTATATGTCTTCAGTGAAAGCAGCACAGAAAATGACTTTGGCCATGTCAGTCAGCCAACAGCTTTTGAGCAGACACTCTTCTGGCCCTGGGAATTACAGAACCACACAATACACACATGATCTGTGGCTTTTGGAGCCTGTGGCAGGGCCCTGGATGGGGAAGGGTAAGCATTCTGATGCTATAGTGTGATGGAAACTTCTGTGGGGAAGCATAGGATTCAGTGCCAGTACTTGTGATGCAAGTAGTTATTTGAGCATTCCTTTTGTTTGTTTTTAATTTTAAAGTTCAAGGATACGTGGGCAAGATGTGCAGGTTTGTTATGTAGGTAAATGTGTGTCATGGGAGTTTGTTGTACAGATGATTTCATCACCCAGGTATTAAGCCTAGTACCCATTAGTTATTTTTCCTGGATCTTCTCCCTGCCCACACCTACCACCCTCCTATAGGCCCCAGTGCATGTCATTCCCTCTGTGTGTCCATGTGTTTTCATCATTTAGCACCCACTTACAAGTAAGAACATATAGTATATGGTTTTCTGTTCCTGCATTAGTTTGCTAAGGATAATGGTCTCTAGCTTCATCCATGTCCCTGCAAAGGACATGGTCTCATTTTTTATGGCTGCATAGTATTCCATGTTGTATATGTACCACATTTTCTTTATCCAGTCTATCATTGATGGGCATTTAGATTGATTCCATGCAAGTTCTTAGAGACCTTCAAAGAATATTTGAGCATTTCTAACTGGAAGGAAGTGAAAAAGAAAGGTGTGGTGAGTTGAGCACGTGGCTGACTCATTGAGGAGTCCTGGGTTTGAACTGCTTTATCTGTAAGAGCTCAATTTAATTCAGAGTTAAGTGCCTAAAAGGTATCCAGCACATGCCTCCTGGGGTTCGGGATGCACTGTTCTTGACCTCACAGAGCATTTATTTAAGCTGAAAGTCATGTGCCTGCTGTGAGATTGGGTGCTCTGAGTGTACACAACAGAGGAAATCTGGCTGGTCTATGTTATTTCCTTGGAATGTCTCTTGGAGTCAGCTGTGATGCCCCCAGGGGTTCAGGCACAAGGGAGAAAAATGAGTGGACATCCTAAGGCTCTCTGAGGATTTCCTGGTTGCTTCCAACTCAAGTTGAGTATTACAGGAAGGTTTGGAAGGATAAAAGCCACAAAAATGGCAGTTTCTATTTTCTCTCACCTCCATTTATCAGCCTGGTCACAGCAGCAAGTAACCAAGAGGTCCTAAATGCAGTGTCCAAACTGTATGTGGGCCCAAGACCTGCCAAGGTATTCAAGTACAGCCACACTGAAGCTTTGCTTTCTAGGCACAAAGTTTGATTATCTTATATCTGCTTGCCATGCTTTTTAATATAACTGGAGTTAGATGTTGGGGTTTCTCAGTCTGTGGACAAATATGCAGGTGCTTATGTATGGAATATTAATGATGGAGTTTAAAAAGAGTTACTTAAGAAGAAGTATCTAGCATGGGATAACCGTGGATTGAAAAGCACCAAGTGCATCTTATGAATGCATTTCTAGGCCCTAGCACAGAACTTGCCACTGTGGGCAGCATGGGAATGTTAGGTAAAGGTAATGGATGAATGGTCTGTGTTCTAATAACCTGCCTGACCTGTCTGGAATTTCCAACATTTATCCCACACCCAAAACTCCCATCTTTCCAAACAATATTATATTGCCCTTCCTGCTAAACTGTTTGTGTACGGAAACCTTATGATATATAACAGCATGGCATAACCTGATCCATCTTTGCATTCTCCACGTTGATCATAGCTTTACAAAATGACCTTTTTCACTACTGGAGTCATGTCACAGTACAACTTCCAGCAGTGTTGCTGTTTTGATAATGATAAGGGAAATTAGGTATCATTTTCTTTTGACTCAGGAAGATTATTTTCCCATTGTGCAAGTTTACTAGCCATAGAGTTAATAACCCTCATCACCCTTATATCAACTGGAATTTTTATATTATTCTTGGAAATGATTTTAAGTGGATATTTAATTCAAATCTTGTTACTCTTGTGTCCACTGTACGTACTACTTACCTAGTCCTTGGTTTAGTCTTTAATGCCCAAACCAAAATTAAGGCCAGTTCTCTACTTATTGTTATAACAATTGCCTGCCCTGTGTTTCCTGGGTGGTTTTCTTTATTGTTTAAAATTCATTACAGTGATCCTAGTGTGTTGGATACTAGCATAAAAAGAAGTCCCTTCATGTGTGATGTGTTGTTATTGCTAAATTTTCTTACAATTTGCTTGTAGTAGGTTACTTGCTCTAACCTGCCAGTTGCCTGGAAGGGAAAGGAATATCAAAGGTGAACCTAGTGCATGAAGTATTTATGACTCAGATGGTCTCTTCTGGTCTGAGAAGAACTGAAGTTGTTGAGTGGAGTTTGCAGTAAATGGTGGTATCTTGGTTTGATAGCTTTGGGACAGGAGCACAAACATTTAATGGTGAATTCACGGTATGATGTATTTCAGCCCAAAGTTAAGACCAAAGCACAACTTTAGCCATATATATCTTATTAATGAAGCTTATTAAGTGAGTAAAGGAATGAAAATGGAAATGGTTGGAATATGACCATCAGATTCAGGCCCAACGAGAGTATTCTTAAATTCCCAGTCTTACATAAGAGGCTGTTTTAGAACTCTGGGGACATTGAATTCCCATAAACGTCTGGTTATAGCTCCCTTGTAGCACTTGTGCTGTTTATTATTGCTTTTATGTCTGTGTTCTTTACTTAGTCGGGAACTCCTATAGCTAGGAACTGTGTCATAACATCTTTGAATGAATAAATTCATATAAAAGACAGAATTCCACCCTGGCCTTCCTCAGGACAAGGAAATAGTGGCAACAACATTATCTTTGGACACACAAGTGTGGTTTGAATCCTGTTTCTTTTGTTTACTAGCCATGTGCCTTTAGGCAAATGTCTTGTCCTTTCTGAGCCTTAGCCTCCTCACCAGTAAGAGTGGGATAATAACCTCAGAAGTTATTAACATATTCAGAACAACCTAAGTGGGTGCTTTATGGAGTCACAGCACGTAATGAAGTGCCTAGCATAATGTCATGATTACTGATAAACTCAGTCAGACACTTAATATCTATTCCTCCATCCAGCTTACCTTTTGATCTTAAAACACTGATTTCAGCCGGGCGCGGTGGCTCAAGCCTGTAATCCCAGCACTTTGGGAGGCCGAGGCGGGCGGATCACGAGGTCAGGAGATCGAGACCATCCTGGCTAACACAGTGAAACCCCGTCTCTACTAAAAATACAGAAAAATTAGCCGGGCATGGTGGCAGGCGCCTGTAGTCCCAGCTATTCGGGAGGCTGAGGCAGGAGAATGGCATGAACCCGGGAGGCGGAGCTTGCAGTGAGCCGAGATCGCGCCACTGCACTCCAGCCTGGGCGACAGAGCGAGACTCCCTCTCAAAAAAAAAACAAAAAAACAAAAAAACCACTGATTTCATAGCACTGATGTTTTGCAAGATATCCTAGAGGGGCCCTTAAAAATTTATCATTTCTCATTTTCAAGTCAGTATCAAAAAAGTCCTATTTCGTTAGACATTCATTTATGTATCTATTATCCAGATATTTATTGGGTTCCTGCTGTATTCCAGGCCCTCTGCTGAGTGCTAGAGGTATATAAACCAGCAAAACAGGTAACGTTTTGGGTTGATCTACCTGTATCTTACTTACAGTAGAGAGAGACAAAAAAGTCAACAAGTAAATGAAAACATTGTTGTGAAAGTATCATGAGGAAAACCAAATGATGAGGTGAAGACTGGTTGGGAGTGATAGAAAATTATTTTGGATAGAGTGGTGAGAGAATTCCCCTTTGAGAAATGATGTATAAGCTGAGGCTTAAAGAATGAGACACTGCCACCAGTACTCTCCTCTTTGTGGGCTTGGGGGATGTGCAGAACAAGGACTTCTTGCCTTGTGGGCTAAGGCCATACCACCAGCCTCTACTGTGGTTACCCTGCCCTTGGAGCTAATATCAACAGGTAGGTGGGCCTCCCCTCAGCTAAGCTGCCAACCTCTCCTCAACAGAGGGTCCTTACCACCCACCCCTCCTTGATGTCTTATAAGCTGATCCCTTCAGACTGGGGGAGGGGGTGGTGGTGTGTGACTTCTCTCCATTTCCCTGGTTCTGGAACTTTTAATGGACATCCGAATTACAGGGGTTTTGTGAGAATTACATTGTTGGATCCCATATGTAAAAATGGAGGCTAATCTATCAATTATTAACCCTGGTTGTACTTTAAAATTCTGATTAAGAAACGATTTTTGGCAGGAGAGGCTATTAGCCAAGTGTAATGTATGTAACACTTACTTTATAAAGGTATGTTGAATGAATGTATGAATTCTAAATTGTAAGATTTGAAATGAAACCATTGCCATTTTCTCTCATGACATTAGATTATGGAAAGATTTATTTTAAAAGACATGGAAGGCATGAACTGCAAAAGAAAAAAGTGGTAAATTTTAATCAAAATTTAAAACTTTTGTTCTTTGGAAGATAGATCTGGGGGAACAAGGCAAGTCATAAACTGGGAGAAAATATTGTAAAGCAAAAATCTAATGAAATGTGTGTGCTTAGAATATGTGAAGAACTCTTACACCATACAAAACAGACAACCCAATAAAAATATAGACAAATGGTTTGTATAGACCTGTCTTAAAAGAAGATGCATAAATGATCAAAAGTATGTGAAATTTCAAGGAAATGCATATTAAAGCCACAATGCGATACAACTGTATACCCACTGGAATGGCCAAAGTTAAAAAGAGAATACCAAATGCTGGTGACGATGTGGAGCAACCGGCACCTTTATACATTTTTGTTGGGAATGCAAGTTGGAAAACATTATGGTTGTATAAGATAACATAAAATTGCCGTATAATTCAGCAGTTCAACTCCTTGGTGTTAGTCGAAGAGAAAGGAGAACATGTTCATACAGACTTTATGTGAATATTCATGGCAGTGCTATTCATAATAGTCTTAAAAACTGGACGCAACCTAATTATGGTATGTCTGTACTATTGAATATTATGTAACAACAAAAAGAATAAAATGTTAATACATGAAAAGACATGTTGAATCTTAATGAAACTTTTAAAAGTTATGCTAAGTGAAAGATGTCAAACCCAAAAGAATAAATACTGTTCAATTTCATTATATGAAAATTGAAAATTGGCAAAACTAGTGATATAAAGCAGATTAGTGATTGCCTGGGCTGGTAGTTGAGAGATGGCATTTGACTACAGAAAGTACCAGGAAACTTTTTAGGGTGATAGTATTATTATTAATATATCTTGAATGTGGTGGGAGTTATAAGGTTGTGTGCAATTATGAACACTCATCAAAATATAAAATTAAAATGAGTGACTTTTCTTACAATTTATTATTTTGTCATTAATTTGTAAAATTATAACTTGTACCCCAGTAAAAACATTTTAAAAATATATAGTCTCTGCCAGTTTATCTTATTTGCTTCTACTAATGAAGCATTCTGCAGTGTTTCATCATTAAATATAATAATAAAGGATTATTTTTCTAAGCATTTTATATTCTTATTCTTTCAGTAGTCATTATATGACTAGAGAATTTGGAAAAAGTTTCCTTTTTTCTTTTTTTTAAACCATATTAATCCAATTTGCAGACCTTTTATTTATTTTTCCAAGGGCATTATTTCTACTATGAAAAGACTGGACAGGTTTATGGGACACATTTTTTTTGTTTTGAATCAAAGAGCTTGTCATAATATTAAAGAAAACCAACAACGTTGGTATGATTCAAAAGGAGCTCTCTCAACCGGCTGTCTCTGGTAAGACAGGCCCAGTAATGCCCACCTGCAAGGCTGTTGTGAAGATGAACTGAGACCACCTATGTCAGATGTAGCAGACAGCATATGCCCTCAGAAGGCTGGTAGCTTTACTGTGTTTCTCCATAACACTTCTCATTTCTCGGAGACAAGGTCAGGGAATGTTTTGAAATGTTTATTTGAAAAGTATTTATTGTGCATATATTATTTATTCATTTACTTACTATGTCCTTGAAATGGAGACTGTATTATACAGATATTCAGGTCAGCTTTAACATATCCTTTAGGCCTAATCACTTTTTTCTTTCAACATGCCTAATGTAGCATAATAGTTAATAGCATAGTAGTTTGACTTTTAAAATTGATTTCTAGGGAAGAATGTAAATATAGGAAAGCTTCCTGATAGAGATTATCTAAACTTAGGCATAAATAATAAGTAAAACTCTGAATTTAGGTATGTAATTGTAGAATCCCTTTGATTATAAGCAAGTTGAAAAAAATTGTTTTTTACCTAGATGAGTTTATTTTAAAAAGTTATTAAGCATTTATAAAGGAGCCTTTTTTGGGGTGGCTCCTAATTATTACCAAGTTTCCAATATTATAAACTCTGTGCTTGAGTTGAATATTATAGTTTAGGCTTCTATCTCCTAGTAGTGTTTCCAAGCAAACAGTTTTTCCAGTCTCTCAGAAGTTCATTTCAGTTACCATCTCCTCACTATTCCTGGAGTGTATGTTGCTTATGGTAGCAGCTCAAGGGACAGATGTATGAATGAGAGCAATCCATAAATGTTTGAATTCAAATTATAGTTTTTTTAAAATAAATTCTGCTATAAAAAGAAATGAAATATTTGTCCATGCTAAAACATGGAGAAACCTTGAAAACTTTACTTATTTATTTTTATTATACTTTAAGTTCTGGGATACATGTGGAGAATGTGCAGGTTTGTTACATTGATATACATGTGCCATGGTAGTTTGCTGCACCCATCAACCCGTCATCTACATTAGGTATTTCTTCTAATGCTATCCCTTCCCTTGCCCCACATTCCCTGACAGGCCCCAGTGTGTGATGTTCCCCTCCCTGTGTCCATGTGTTCTCATTGTTCAACACCCATTTATGAGTGAGAACATGTGGTGTTTGGTTTTCTGTTCCTCTGTGAGTTTGCTGAGAATGATGGTTTCCAGCTTCATCCATGTCCCTGCAAAGGATATGAACTTATCCTTTTTTGTGGCTGCATAGTATTGCATGGTTTATTTATGCCACATTTTCTTTATCCAGTCTATCACTGATGGGCATTTGGGTTGGTTCCAAGTCTTTGCTATTGTGAATAATGCTGCAATAAACATACGTGTGCATGTGTCTTTAGAGTAGAATGTTTTATAATCCTTTGGGTATATACCCACTAATGGGATTGCTGGGTCAAATGGTATTTCTAGTTCTAGATCCTTGAGGAATCACCACACTGTCTTGCCCAATAGTTGAACTAATTTACACTCCCACCAACAGTGTAAAAGCATTCCTGTTTCTCCACATCCTCGCCAGCATCTGTTATTTCCTGATGATGAGCTTTTTTCATATGTTTATTGGCTGCATAAATGGCTTCTCTTGAAAAGTGTCTGTTCATATCCTTTGCCCATGTTTCTATGGGGCTGTTTGTTTTTTTCTTGTAAATTTGTTTAAGTTCCTTGTTGATTATGGATATTAGCCCTTTGTCAGATGGATAGATTGCAAAAATTTTCTCCCATTCTGTAGGTTGCCTGTTCACTCTGATGATAGTTTCTTTTGCTGTGCAGAAGCTCTTTAATTAGATCCCATTTGTCAATTTTGGCTTGTGTTGCCATTGCTTTTGGTGTTTTAGTCATGAAGGCTGCCCATGCCTATGTCCTGAATGGTATTACCTAGGTTTTCTTCTAGGGTTTTTATGGTTTTAGGTCTGACGTTTAAATATTTAATCCATCTTGAGTTAATTTTTGTATAAGTTGTAAGGAAGGGGTCCAGTTTCAGTTTTCTGCATATGGCCAGCCAGTTTTCCCAACACCATTGATTAAATAGGGAATCTTTTTCCCATTACTTGTTTTTGTCAGGTTTGTCAAAGATCAGATTGTTGCAGATGTGCGGTGCTATTTCTGAGGGCTCTGTTCTGTTCCACTGGTCCATATATCTGTTTTGGTATGAGTACCATACTGTTTTGGTTACTGTAGCCTTGTATAGTTTGAAGTCAGGTAGCGTGATACCTCCAGCTTTGTTGTTTTTGCTTAGGATTGTCTTGGCTATATGGACTTTTTTGGTTCCATATGACATTTAAAGTAGTTTTTTCTAATTCTGTGAATTTTCTAATTCTGTGAAGTAGGATTTTCTAATTTTGTGAAGAAAGTCAATGGTAGTTTGATGGAAATAGCATTGAATCTATAAATTACTTTGGGCAGTATGGCCATTTTCATGATATTGATTCTTCCTGTCCACGAGCATGGAATGTTTTTCCATTTGTTTGTGTCCTCTGTTATTTCCTTGAGCAGTGGTTTGTAGTTCTCCTTGAAGAGGTCCTTCACATCCCTTGTAAGTTGGGTTCCTAGGTATTTTATTCTCTTTGTAGCAATTGTGAATGGGAGTTTGCTCATGATTTGGCTCTGTATTTGTCTATTTTTGGTGTATAGGAAAGCTTGTGATTTTTGCACATTGATTTTGTACCCTGAGACTTTGCTGAAGTTGCTTATCAGCTTAAGGAGTTTTTGGACTGAGACGATGGGGTTTTCTAAATATACAATCATGTCATCTGCAGACAATAGTTTGAGTTCTTCTCTTCCTATTTGAATACCTTTATTTCTTTCTCTTGCCTTATTGCCCTGGCCAGAACTTCCAATACTATGTTGAATAGGAGTGGTGAGATGTTGAATAGGAGTTTTCAAAGGGAATGCTTCCAGCTTTTGCCCATTCAGTATGATATTGGCTGTGGGTTTGTCATAAAAAGTTCTTATTATTTTGAGATATGTTCCATCAATACCGACCTTATGGAGTGTTTTAGTCATTGGTTCTGTTTATGTGTTTTTTGTCATTGGTTCTGTTTATGTGATGGATTACGCTTATTGATTTGTATATGTTGAAGCAGCCTTGCATCCCACGGGTGAAGCCGACTTGATCGTGGTGGATAAGCTTTTTGATGTGCTGCTGGATTCGGTTTGTCAGTATTTTATTGAGCATTTTCACATTGGTGTTCATCAGGGATGTTGGCCTGAAATTCTCTTTTTTGTTGTGTTTCTGCCAGGTTTTGGTATCAGGATGATGCTGGCCTCATAAAATGAGTAAGAGAGGAGTCCCTCTTTTTCTGTTGTTTGGAATAGTTTCAGAAGGAATGGCACCAGCTCCTCTTTGTACCTCTGGTAGAATTCAGCTGTGAATTCGTCTGGTCCTGGGCTTTTCTTTGGTTGGTAGGCTATTAATTACTGCCTCAATTTCAGAACTTGTTATTGGTCTGTTCAGGGATTTGACTTCTTCCTGGTTTAGTCTTGGGAGGGTGTATGTGTCCAGGAATTTATCCATTTCTTCTGGATTTTCTAGTTTATTTGCATAGAGATGTTTATAGTATTCTCTGATGGTAGTTTATATTTCTGTGGGGTCAGTGGTGGTATCCCCTTTATATCATTTTTTATTGTGCCTATTTGATTCTTCTCTCTTTTCTTCTTTATTAGTCTGGCTAGCCATCTATCTAGTTTGTCAACTCTTTCAGAAAAACAGCTCCTAGATTCATTGATTTTTCGAAGGGTTTTTTATCTTCTTCAGTTCTGCTCTGATCTTAGTTATTTCTTGTTTTCTGCTAGCTTTTGAATTTGTTTGCTCTTGCTTCTGTAGTTCTTCTAATTGTGATGTTAGGGTGTTGATTTTAGATCTTTCCCTCTTTCTCCCGTGGGCATTTAGTGCTATAAATTTACCTGTAAACACGCTTTGGCTGTGTCCCAGAGATTCTGGTACACTGTGTGTTCTTATTGGTTTCAAATAACTTATTTGTTTCTGCCTTAATTTTGATATTTACCTTGTAGTCATTCAGGAGCAGGTTGTTCAGTTTTCATGTAGTCGTGCGGTTTTGAGTGAGTTTCTTCATCCTGAGTTCTAATTTGATTACACTGTGGCTTGAGAAACTGTTTGTTATGATTTCCATTTTTTTGCATTTGCTGAGGAGTGCTTTACTTCCAATTATGTGGTCAGTTTTAGAATAAGTGCGATGTGGTGCTGAGAAGAATGTATCTTCTGTTTGTTTGGGGTGGAGAGTTCTGTAGATGTCTATTAGGTCTGCTTGGTCCAGAGCTGAGTTCAAGTCGTGAATATCCTTGTTAATTTTCTGTCTCGTTGATCTGTCTAATATTGACAGTGGGGTGTTAAAGTCTCCCACTGTTATTGTGTGGGAGCCTAAGTTTCTTTGTAGGTCTCTAAGAAGTTGCTTTATTAATCTGGGTGCTCCTGTATTGGGTGCATCTATATTTAGGATAGTTAGCTCTTCTCATTGCATTGATTCCTTTACCATTATGTAATGTCCTTCTTTGTCTTTTTTGATCTTTGTTGGTTTAAAGTCTGTTTTATCAGAGACTAGGATTGCAAACGCTGCTTTTTTTTTTTTTTTTTTTTTTTTTTTTTTTGCTTTCCATTGCTTGGTAAATCTTCCTCCATCCCTTTATTTTGAGCCTGTGTGTGCTTTTGCACATGAGATGGGTCTCCTGAATACAACACACTGATGGGTCTCCTGAATACAACACACCGATGGGTCTTGAATCTTTATGCAATTTGCAAGTCTGTGCCTTTTAATTGGGGCATTTATCCCATTTACATTTAAGGTTAATATTCTTATGTGTGAATTTGATCCTTTCATTATGATGCTAGCTGGTTATTTTGCCCATTAGTGGATGAAGTTTGTTCATAATGTTGACGTTCTTTACAATTTTGTTTGTTTTTGCAGTGGCTGGTACTGGTTTTTCCTTACCATATTTAGTGCTTCCTTCAGGAGTTCTTGTAAGGCAGGCCTGATGGTGACATAACCTCTCAGCATTTGCTTGTCTGTAAAGGGTTTTATTTCTCCTTCATTTATGAAGTTTAGTTTGGCTGGATATGAAATTCTGGGTTGAAAATTCTTGTCTTTAAGAATGTTGAATATTGGCCCCCACTGTCTTCTGGCTCCTAGGGTTTCTGCTGAGAGATCCGCTGTTAGTCTGATGGGCTTCCCTTTGTGGGTAACCTGACCTTTCTCACTGCTTGCACTTAACATTTTTTCCTTCATTTCAACCTTGGTGAATCTGACGATTATGTGTCTTGGGGTTGCTCTTCTTGAGGAGTATCTTTGTGGTGTTCTCTGTATTTCCTGAATTTGAATGTTGGCCTGTCTTGCTAGGTTGGGGAAGTTCTCCTGGGTAATATCCTGAAATATGTCTTCCAACTTGGTTCCGTTTTCCCCATCACTTTCAGATACACCACTCAACCATAGGTTTGGTCTTTTCACATAGTCCCATATTTCTTGGAGGCTTCATTCATTCCTTTTCCTTCTTTTTTCTCTATTCTTGTCTTCATGCTTTATTTTATTAAGCTGATCTTCCATCTCTGATATCCTTTCTTCTGCTTGATCGATTTGGCTATTGATGCTTGTGTATGCTTCACCAAGTTCTCGTGCTATGTTTTTCCGCTCCATCAGGTCATTTATGTTCTTCTCTAAACTGATTATTCTAGTTAGCAATTCCTCTAACCTTTTATCAAAGTTCTTAGCTTCCTTGCATTGGGTTAGGACATGCTTCTTTAGCTCAGAGGAGTTTGTTATAACCCACCTTCTGAAGCCTACTTCTGTCAATTTGTGAAACTCCTTCTCTGTCCAGTTTTGCTCCTTTGCTGGCAAGGAGTTGTGATCCTTTGGAGGAGAAGAGGCGTTCTGGTTTTTGGACTTTTCAGCCTTGTTGCGCTGGTTTTCCCTCATCTTTGTGGATTTATCTACCTTTGGTCTTTGGTGTCAGTGACCTTTGGATGGAATTTTTGCGTGGTCATGCTTTTTGTTGATGTTGATACTATTGCTTTCTGTTTGTCAGTTTTCCTTCTAACAGACCTGTCTTCTGCAGGCCTGATGGAGTTTGCTGGGGGGCCACTCCAGGCCCTGTTTGCCTCGGTATCACCAGCGGAGTCTGCAGAACAGCAAAGATTGATGCCTGCTCCTACCTGTGGAAGCTTCATCCCACAGGGGCAACTGCCAGATGCCAGCCAGAGCTCTCCTTTATGAGATGTCTGTCGACCCCTGCTGGGAGATGTCTCCCCATCAGGAGGCACAGGGGTCAGGGACCCCACTTGAGGAGGCAGTCTGTCCGTTATCAGAGGTCGAGCACTGTGCTGGGTGATCCACTGCTCTCTTCAGAGCCGGCAGGCAGAGACGTTTAAAACTGCTGAAGCTGTGCCCACAGCCACCCCTTCCCCCAGTTGTTCTGTCCCAGGGAGATGGGAGTTTTATCTATAAGCCCCTGACCGGGGCTGTTGCCTTTCCTCAGAGATGCCCTGCCCAGAGAGGAGGAATCCAGAGAGGCAGTATGGCTACAGTGGCTTTGTGGCGCTCAAAATTCTTGTGTTCTAATGATCTGAAGTTAACAGGATGCAGATCACATATCTAAATTGACTTGTAAACATTTATTTTAGGAAATGATAGTATATTCTCTCATCACTAATATATTTCTGTTGCTTCAATGTGCAAAACACTGTGCTAGATATTGTGGGGAAGACTAAAATGAATAATAGCTAACACTAGGCAAGGTCACATTGTTTGTCAGATGCTATGCTAAATGCTAGATGTGGGTGATTTCATTTAGTGCTGAAACAGCCCTGTGACAGAGCTCTTGTTAGTTTCTCTCTCTCTCTCTCTGTCTCTCTCTCTACCGTTTGAGGAAACTGATGCTTTAGGAAGACATAAAGATACAAATGGTGGAACTGGGATTCAAATTGAGACCACAAAGCTGTTGTTCTTAAGTCTGTAACATACAAAGCCTCACCTTTCTCATCTGAAAGTGAGGATAACAAGCTAGCTTGTTGCAAAGGTTAAATAAAGTAATACTGTAAAACACTTGGTACCACAGAATACTACTATTACTTCTTAATGGTAGTAATTATTATGGCCACCGTAGAGGAGGGATTATAAAGATTAAAATAAATGATACACATAAAGGATTTAGCATGGAGCATGGCATGTAAGCACTCACCAACTCAAAGAGGCATCCTTTAAATTGGACTGTGAAAGTTGACAGCATTTTTACAGTTGAACTTTGAACAACACACGTTTGAACTGTGTGGGTCCACTTATATGCAGATTTTCTTCCACCTCTGCCACCCTTGAGACAGTGAGGCCAGTCCCCCCACCTTCCTCTTCCACCTCAGCCTACTCAACATGAAGATGAAGATGAAGACCTTTGTGATGATGCACTTCTATTTAATGGACAGTAAATATATATTCTCTTCCTTGTGATTTATTAATATTTTCTTTCTGTAGCTTACTTTATTGTAAAAATACAGTATATAATACATATAACATACAAAATGTGTTCATAACTGTTTGTGTTATTGGCAAGTCTTCCAGTTAACAGTAGGCTATTAGTAGTTAAGCTTTGGAGAGGTCAAAAGTTATGTGTGGATTTTCAACTACACAAGGGGATTGATGTCCCTAATCTCCATGTTGTTCAAGGATTCCACTTGTATATAGAGAGATCTGTGCTTGAGGGAAAAGAACATGATCAAGATTAGGGGAATGCATGTACAAAGGTGCTGTACAAAGATGAGATTAACGCTGTTAGGTAGCCAGTTTATATCTACACAAAGGTACATAGGAAGAGTAAAATGTTGGGTTGGAAAGGAATTTGGGGCCAAATCTTACAGATCTTCAAGGCCTGGCAAAGAAGTTTGGCTTTGTCTATCTTTTGGAAAGCCATTGTTCTGAGTTAACTCACTCAAAAACATCCAGGGTTTATTTCTTAGCATTGGTAAATGAATTCTTTAGACACTGAAAAAGGAGGGTTGCCTTTGAATATTTTCTTGTTGTCATTATTATTATAATAAATTTATTTTCTAAAATGTACTGAGGTAGTGACTTGACAGAATCAAAGCATCTCAGAAAATGAGTCATTGGCTTCTTTCTAATAGCTGCTTAGGATTCTAAATGTTTGTGTTGGCAGATCTCACATAATTTTCTTAAGTCTGTGTGAAATGTTCAAAAGAGTTTCCTATGATAATGTTTGGTTCATTCAGGTTGAAAATGATGAAAACAACTTCTAGAAAGAGATGACAGTGTAAGTTACATCTGGCAACCTAGAAACAAAGTTCTGTAGACTACTCATCATATCAATCATTTTTTCCCAAATTATTATGGTGAAACCTAGATACAAAGAGCACTGTTCCATCAGGGATCTTATCTATCTCTGAATAGAACTGTGTTTCCTGTATGATGTTGTGTGTGAGTGCATGTGTATAAAAATAAGTCTGTCAATGTGGGCTTTTTTTCCTTTTTCTCTTAACTCAAGGATTAATCGTAAGGTTCTCTAGTGTACATTTTTCATTATTGTTTTGAGAAAGAGTCTTACCCTGTCACCCACAGTGGACAGTGACATGATCTCAGCTCACTGCAACCTGCGCCTCCTGAGTAGCTGGAATTACAGGCATGTGCCACAACACCCAGCTAATTTTTTGTATTTTTAGTAGAGGCAGGGTTTTGCCGTGTTGGCTAGGCTGGTCTCGAACTTGTGACCTTAAGCGAACCACCTGCCTTGGCCTCCCAAAGTGCTGGGATTACAGGCGTGAGCCACCATACCTGCCCTATCGCGTACATTTTTAAAGGCACAATTGAAACCAGTGTTCTGAATTAAACCACTCACATTAGCTTACAAATACTACATTCTGATTTGGTTGGATCTCTGTTTTCAGTATAATTTAAGTGAAAAAAATCATAATTGTATGATAAAGATAAATCGATGTTACCAAAGTATATTTAAAAGGGCATTGGTAAATACCACAAAACGTATTTTCTGTTTTAAATGGAAAAAATAGTTTACTATGTGCCTATTTAACTTACACAAGGGAGTTTGCTTTATTAGAGTAACTGCAAATGAGGCAACAAAATTTTTCTTTTGGCAAATACACGTATTAGGTCTCATTTCAGGTTTGAGGAAAATAGTGAATATTTTTAGTTATTTTGAATACAAATATGTAATATTCTTTTTCTGAGAAGCCTAAGTAGTTTTTCTTGCTATGCCTGAATTTTGGCAGATAAACGTGTCAAACCAATTTGTTATACACCTGTTGTAACAGAAGTGACAAAGAAAAATCACAGTTCAGAGATTTGACAGGTTTGTACTGAAATGGTGTTTAGTATATCTAGGTGTTCTATCTAGAAAAAAAGTATAGAATGGCTCAACTTTAAATTGATTAATCTAAAAAGAAAAGCCTTCATAACCACCAGCTTTTATTTAGTGTTCCACATATTTCTAATATTCCAACAAGGATATCTTCCCTGGAGAGAGTAGAGTTGAGATCATACCAACTCTGATTAGAATTTTCACTTAAGAACAGCAGTTGAGATGATGTTATCTACATTCAGATTCTCAACTTAGTTATGGAATAAAATATTGCACATGCTGTGTTTGATAAAAAGTAAGTGAAATGTGAGTATTGTCAGGATTTTACTTAAACTAGAAATAAATGATATCCTTGTAACAGTTTGAAGTACACAAAAGAACGTGATATATCCTCTTTCTCAAGCCTTAATAATCATGGTATGGATTGGTTGAAGATTATTTGAGGTGATATCCACTTGAAGTTTTTTTGTTTGTTTGTTTTTTTTAAGACGGAGTCTCGCTCTGTCACCCAGGCTGGAGTGCAGTGGCGCAATCTTGGCTCATGGAGACCTCTGCCTTCCGGGTTCAAGCGATTCTCCTGCCTCAGCCTCTTGAGTAGCTGGGATTACAGGCGTGTGCCACCACGCCTGGCTAATTTTTGTATTTTTAGTAGAGACAGGGTTTCACCATGTTGGCCACTGCTGACCTCCTGATCCGCCCGCTTCAGCCTCCCAAAGTGCTGGGATTACAGGCGTGAGTCACCACGCTCGGCCTTGTCTTGAGGTTTTTATGGCTGAAGCATATTTTTGTAAATCATGTTATTGGTGATATGATGGCTAAAGCCGACCTGAATACATTATACAGTCTTTCCTATTGTGAACATATTAATTAACTTGTGAGATTGCTCATGATAATTCTTTTTAGGGCATCTTGAGACTGCCTTCTGCTGCATTAGGAGAGTTTATTGTTTTATGAAATACATGTTTTCTGCCCATCACTGGTCATCTTATGTCCTTAATGCTAGAACAATAGGAATTTTCCCAGGGCTGAATTCTGGCACCATTTCATACTAGACCTTTTCTCTGTTTCTCCCCTTTTCCTTGTGTGTGTGTGTTTGCACGTGTGCACACATGTATGTGTGGTGTGTGTGTGTGAGAGAGACATAGAACACCTATTTTGTTTCTTGGCTTTGCTTTTTATTGTTTTTTCATTAGTTTTTACTGTTCTTAATTCCTAAGACATAATGAATTTTAATATCTGGCAGGGTAAACTTTCAGCTTTTGCTTTATTTTCTTGAAAAAAATGTCTAAGCCATTTTTTTCTCCATGTATATTTTTAGATTTACTTTGTTAAGCTTCCTCAAATTCCTGATGGGATGTAATAGGAAATCCTCTGAGACTATAAATTAATTTTACAGGGATTTGACATCTTTAAAATGTTGACTCATCTCATCCACGAGTATCTTCTTTCTGCATTTATTTAGGGAATTTTAAATGTCCTTTAAAGTTTTGACATTTTCTCCTTGAGAATCTTGTGTGATCTTTGTTAGATTAATTCCAAGATGTATTGTTTTTGTTGCTCTTATAATTAATGCTGTGTTTGCCTTTTTTCTGGTTATTGCAGAGGAATACTCTTCACTTTGTGTATATTGGTTTTATATTTGACAGCTTTGCAGAATTGTGTAGTTAGTTCTCCATTACCTTATTAGCTGTATATCTTTGTTTTAGCAGTTTGTGGGTGATAAATTCTTTCTGCTTTTGTCTGTTTAAGGAAGTCTTTATTTTGCTTTTTATTTTGAAAGAGATTTGTGTTGGCTAAAGAATTCTAGGATGACATTTTTTTCCTTTTAGCACTTTAAAGATGTTGTTTTCATATTTCCAATATTTCCTCATCTTTAGTATTGATATTGCTTAACTTGTTTTAAATTCTTATTTTGTCTGTTTTCTCACTCATTACTTCAGTAGTTATTTTTCCTCTATTTTTATTCTGTCTTTAAACTGCCCAGGGTTTACTTTTACTTATGGTGTGAGTCGGGGATCTTTGCCAAATCATTGCCTCCTCTCTCTTGT
Organism: Homo sapiens; assembly: GCF_000001405.40. Lineage (NCBI taxonomy): Eukaryota > Metazoa > Chordata > Mammalia > Primates > Hominidae > Homo > Homo sapiens. The sequence continues at coordinate 17,651,953 of NC_000009.12, forward strand.
CAGTCCTGCCTGAGACTCTTCCAAATTATTAGCCTTTTCAAAATACCACTTAGTGGTTCATTAATCAGTCTGAGTGATGAATTGATTGACTGGATTTTTTTTAGTTCATTGATTTCTGCTTACATCTTTATTTTCTGCTTTCACATTTCTGGCTTTATTCTCTTGGATTTGTCCCCTTTGGTGGATTTAGTTATCAGCTAATTGTAAATCATTATTATTTTCTATTGAAGGCATTTAAAGCTCATAATTTACTGTTGTTACTGTTTTAGGTGCATGCCGTAAATTTTGGCATGAGTTCTTCCCTTCTCATTATACTTTAAGGATTTTATAGTTTCCCTCATTTCTTCTTTAAATCATTATTATTCATTATTATTTTTACATATATGTGTTTTTATTTTATATTTCAGATATGTGCAGTCTCTTCTAGTCATCTTTTTTATTGTTTCTACCTTTATTATATTGAGGTAAGAATATAATCTGGTGGAGTTTTTGTAATTTTTTGAGGCTTCAGTTTTGGTCTATGAGGTGATCAAGTTCTGTGACTGCTCCATGAGTGCTTCAGAAGAGCAGCTAGTCTATGTCACAACACTATTAATTAGTGTATTTACATTTTCTCTGCCATTTCTGAGATGGGTGTCTTAATACTATATATTATATAGAGTGAGTATCCCTAATCCAAAAATGTAAAATCCAGAATGCTCTGAAATCTGAACCTTTTTGAGCACCAACATGACACTCAAAGGAAATGCTCATTGGAGCATTAGAGTTCAGATTTTCAGATTACAGATGCTCAACCTGTATTATTAATTGATTTAAATTTTCTATCAGTTGCTATGGGAAACATACTGAATTATCCAATGAAAATAGTTGAATTTGTTATTCTAGTAGATCTGTTACTTACTTCCTTCTATATTTTGTGGTCATATTTTCAGGTACATATACCTCTGTGATTGTTGTATTTTTGTTCTACAGCATTTCCTGTAGGTAAATTTCCTCTTGGTCCTTTATAATGTTTTTGGCTGCAATTCTATTCTGTCTGATAATAAAATTGCTTCATGGGGTTTCTTCCATTTTATCCCTCTGTGACATAATACTTTCCATACACTTAACATTGACTGGTTGAATCATGGTTTTCTCAAAAATCCAATCTGAAAAGTCTTTCTTTTGGTATTTAGTTTCATCCATTTATATTTTCATCATGATTACTTTTCTATCAGGCTTATTTTCACTGTCTTGTTTTCTGTCTTCTATTTATTATAACTGTTTTGTGTCTTGCTCGCATTGCTGTTTTCTTTTCTACCTTCCAGTGGAAACTCTTTAAATCAGATGTCTTATTTTTTTCCCTCAGTTCTGGGAAATATTTGACTGTTATTTCTTCAATACTTTCTCCCATCTGTTTACTTTCCTCTATTCTTTTGAGATTCCTAATACTTCTAGCCTCCAGATTTTTTATCTTATATCTCATTCTTTTTACCTTTAAGATGCCATCTGGAGAGATTTTTGGCCAGGTTTTCTAAGATACTGTGTAGGTTGTTTGAGCTGTTGTCTTTTATTGATGGTGCTTCTGCTCCTCATTTGCCTCATAATTTTCTCTGGACTCATCTTTAATTCCTCTGGAGTTATTACCTGCTTCTGTGGTTGGAATGTGTCCCTTCCCAAGTCCAAGTGCTGCCAATGTGATAGTACAAAGAGGTAGGGCCTTTAAAAGGTGATTAGGCCATGAGAGCTCCTCGCCTTGTGAATGAGACCATTCCTTTGTGTACTTAAATGATTTATTGCTCAGAGGAACTTAACTTTTACATGGAAGCCTGAAGGGTGAAAGCAGTTCAATTTGAGGGTGGCTGAATTGGGCTAGTCTTATCAAAGAAGAAGACAGATACTGCCTTGGTGAACATTCATGGAGACATTAACAAGGGGCTGATGCAGAAGGTATGTGATGACCTATCTTCAAACAGGTAGAAAACATCACATCTGTAACAAAAGAAATGACTAGGCAGATCTTCTTTTAAACTCTGGGAAGAGCAGTTGTGTGCTGTATTCACACAGCAGCTATCCTGTCATTATCCCTTCAGCATTTTAAGCTTTGACTTTACCCCCCTCTCTCATTAGCAGCTAGCTTCTAGAAGGTGTCAAGACACGGAGAGAGCTGCAGACTGGGGGAGGGCAAGAAATCTGGAGTCAGATGATCATCTTTCCCAGTTGGAAGAAAACCAGATTGGAAAAACTGATACTTTGGCTGCTCCTGTTTCTCTCCACTGACCACTCCTGTGCTGCCGAAGACTGAATCATCCTTTCTCTGTCTATGCTCATGTATCATTCATAATATCGCTTTACTGTGGTGATTATAACATATTACCCTCTGGTTTTCTGTGCTGCTTCCCCTGAATAAATGGACTCCTCTAGGGAAGGGGGATTGTCGTATTGTTTTGTGTGTTCACTGAAGATTTGTTAATGAAATAAATGAATTAGCAGTCATTGAAAATGTAGCCATAGATATGAATCCTGCCTGTTGGCTAGACCATTGAGAGTTTTGATTTATTTATAGGAGAACTCTGTTCTGAGCCAATATGCCTGTCAGTAAGACTAGTCTGTGAAAGCGTAGATTAGGGCTTGGAATGAATAGAATTTAAAGATGAAAGTTAATCTTTATCATCTATCTATATCATGTCTAGGAGTCTTAGAAAATCAATGCTTATAAAAAATTATGAAAATAAATTTGTAGATAAAAATGAGTTTAATTATCACTGACTGTATGAACCAGTAGCTAGTGTGAACAAGAAATAGCATGCTGGCAGGAATGAGAACACATTATCACGTGACAGAAGTGTAATACCCAACTGCAAAGGTGCTATAGGATCAAAATGCATAGAGGAAATTAGGTAATAGTACAAAATAAAAATAACCAACATCTGGTAACATGTAGACATTTTCCATCTAAATTGTTGCTTTTAATGACAAAGTCATGCTCCTCCTGGAGGATGTGATGGGAGCTGTGCAGTGAGATTAAATAGGTACTGGAAGAAACCATAGTTTGGTGTTTTGCAGTTGTTCATAGATCAAATAGTTCTTTGCTTTGTGTGAAAAATCCCTCAGCAGCGAGAGATGAGGAGGATGAATTAGATCAGCATGAATTTTCCTTTTCCTCTAGAAATGCTTCAGACACCTAAGGGCCTTAAGCCAGGGTCCATAAGTGGAAAGCTGTAAGGGAAAAAAGAAACTTCACAGTCCAACAGGTGAGAAGACTGTAATTTCTGATCAAATAAATACCTAGGTGTTTCATTGTCTTGTCTTTTTGAATTCATGTAGTACTTCCTTTCTCAAATAACCCCAGAAGGATGGCAAGGGGTGTACGTGCTGTGTTTTGTCCCTCCCTCTTCCTGTGCCCAACTGGTAAGGAAATTGGATGTTTTACTACGATCTCTGGCTCCCCACCCCTGCCCCCTGCTCATATAGCTTGGGAAGTGATGATATGCGCTGAGTCCATTCTAATAAAACACACAACATGACTTACTGCTTCATGATATGTTTTATAAGATGGATTGATTTATGCACCTATATAAGTTGAGTCTGAATAGTCAGTTTTCGAAGTGAATTAAGAATAAATTTTTGTTACATTGCATCTTATCAATAAGCATTTTAAAACCCCAAGCATATTTATTTAAACATATAATTTAAAAATAAATGTTTTGAAATGGTGGTTGAAGAACCTTTTCTTTATTTTTCACATTTTCTGATGTACTTGCTGTTCTCATCTTCTGATTTCATGCCCTCTGGCCTTCTAGCCCCGTGCATCGTTTTTGAGCACATTTGAACATGTCTGATCCATGTAGTCTGAACCTGTTGCTCTCTGAGGGTTACCCTACTCATCCCTGCATGCTTGCCTTCATCTGGAACCAGCCTGATGCATTCCAAGAGGAGGATAGAGGTGGGTCCAGGTCACTTTGCACAGGGATCTGCACTTCATGATCCAGAAGAAAAGTGCTTTTAAAGCCCAACTTGGCACATTTTAAGTCAAAATTAGGTTTGTGGCAGTTGGCACATCTCTTAAATTCTCTATTTTTTTAGTCCCCTGAAATCATATTTGGAGTGAAAGAACTGAAAAAGTTAAAACTCAGTCTCTTAGACTGGCTTAGATTGGCTTTCTATAATTGATTTATCGTCTACTTAGGCAATACTCCAATTTCTTTATTTTCTATGTAAATTGTGTTGATGGATCAGTACACAATATTGTATCATTTATCATTTCTATTGGAATGTTTTTATTTTAATTACTTTGGTAGACCGATTTGCATTAAGAAAGTTACCCATGGATAGATATATTAGAGGATGTTTTAATATTCTTTAATATATAATATTCTTCAGAAGATTAACCAACTAATGTATCATAAAATCGGTAGAGTAACTGACTAGCTTTATGAAATTGTAAATTTGTTGAAAATTGATTTTTTTTTTACTGGAGACGAGAGTTCCATAATTGAAAAAATATCCTATGCCAGTGCTTTGTAGATTGCAAGTAACGTAGATAATCTTGCCTGTAGTTCCTTGATGAAAATGATCTGTTGCATTTACAATATCACAAGTAATTAATTATTAAAGTATATGCCTGTGATTGGTATGTTTTATCTTAATTCTACTTATTCTCTTAGTCATGCAAAGAAGAAATAACTGCCAGTGGTAGCTGTTGAAATTATATTCAGATCTATTGAGGAGCATGTTTTGAACATCTTTTATGCTTATTTAAAAAGAGGCGGAGCTTGTAGTGAGCCGAGTTAGTGCCACTGCACTGCAAGCCTGGGCGACAGAGTGAGACTACATCTCAAAAAAAAAAAAAAAAACAAAAAAGGCTTTTCTATGGGATTCTCATTTGTTTAAATTATACATGTGATTACTTGACACGTTAAAGTGTACACAATTTAGGAAAATGGGATTAAAAATCCAGAAACACTTAAGAAGTTCTTATAGTGAAGATTAAAAAAGTGATTTCATTTAATGACTTTCAGAAAAAAAAATCACTGGGTGGAACATAAATGTTTGAAGTATTCTTGAACAAAAGTGCTCTCTGATACTATAGACATAAAAATTCTTAAATTACCCGTGAAATATGCTGTTCCTAGGGAATGGTTGTGAAGTACTTTTTAGTCACTCACCTGATAGAGAAAAGTAGTCTGAAAAGCTCATACACACTGAATTACTTCTTCAGTTTAACTTTTTTTGTGCCTGCTAGTTAGTTGCCAGGCACTTTACATTGAGTAGTGAATAACAGACACCTGCTTTTCAAGGGCTGCTTCTGTAGTATGAGAAAGAGATACATGAACAGACAATTTTTAATATACTGTAGTGAATGCTGTCATAGATGTACATGCACATGACCTGTTGTAAAATCTGGAGCATGATAGGAGAGAGAGAGATTTGTGGGCAGGTTGTCTTCTAGGTCACCCTTCCCTCAACACCATGTAGATGTGACCTCTCTGGTCTTGGCAGTAGTGTGGTTGTACCACAAACAGAGGCAGGCTGATGAGGTTGACGGATTTTGGTGTTATTCTAATTATTCCTTTAAGCAAGTCATTTACGTTTCTAAGTCTGTTTCCTCTCTGTGAATTAAGGAAAGTAGTAAAACTACCCTGCCTCCCAAGGCAGTTATGAGGACTAGCTGGGGTAATGTGCCTGAATGAGCTTTGTATATAGGGAAAATGTATACAAATTAATCGTTAGTATTTGTGGCACTCACTCTGTGATTTGGCCTATTTCACCTCCCTATGCTCTGGATTTATTATCTGTAACGGGAACAATAATGGTTGTTCTTACAAATGGTAGTTGTGAGGATTAAATGAGTTAAAATATGTGAAGCCCTTAAAACAGTTTCTGGCATACAGTAAATATTAGCTCTCATTTTGATATTCTTATAGCAGAAGAAGTTGACCCTACCTCTCTGTTACCCTGGCAGAAGGTTTTCAAGATACTCATTTTGTGGTACCCTGGACATTAAGATTCCATGTAATTTTGATGGCATAATGAAAACTTTCTATTGTTGGACAGTTGTTGTAGATGAGCATCCAGAACTGGATTAACTGATCCACTGCAGATAGGAACTTATGAGGTGAGCAGGTGCTCCCCTTTAGCTCACACTATTTGCTGAATAGTTTGGAAATGCCTCTTTCTGGCATTCAAATAATATACTCTTCTTTAGTTGCAGAAAGTCAGTTTAATGAACAGTGATTAAGATGCTGCCTTTTGGACAGTCATTAATAAATGTTAATTAAAAACCCCAGTCTAGAGCATCTGCCGTTGTCCCCTCAGATGGGTACCTACTATTTCAGATCTGTTTTGTTTAGAGAACTACAGCAAGCTTAGTAGCCATTTCTGATACCTGTTTTAGTAGCAAATTATACTGCTTCCTGTTCGTTTGATTTCTTCCAGGGACATATTTTATTTTCCTGCCTCCTTAGAATGTCTGGCAAAAAGCTTTATTTCATCTGAATTCTGCTGGGTCATCACATTGGACTTGTGGAAGAAAATGGATTTATAATAGCAATTAATAAAAAATAGTAACAAATAATATTGCTTAATAGTAAATGTGTACTGTATGTGCCAGCCACAGTGCTAAGCATTTTAATACAAAAGCATAAAATAACATTGTGAGATTTCCTCTAGCAATTTTAAACTTAAACTAGATGTTTATTCGAGGGCAGCTTTAAGCTGCATTTGCATAGCAGGCTTTTTGCTGTGTATTTATTGGGAGGAGAGCTGTTAGAAATTACAGAGCTGTTGGAAATAAACCCTAGCTAATTCTCAGGGTTTCTTCCAGTATTGAACTTGTCTGAAAAGCTGTTGGAAATTAGTGTGCACTGACTCCCCCAAGATGCCCCTGGAAATCACCACTGCTTGCTCTACCAAGGTACCAGAAAATCTGCCCTGGAAAATGAGTCCTTTGGATTAAATCTTTCCATCTTCAGGACCTGCTTGAAGTGCAGGTGTCCCTGGAGAGGGAGCTAATTAAATCATTTAACACTTAAATAGGGATTCAGTTATGAAATTATCTTCTGAGAAAGAAAGGAGCTGAAGGCTCAAGTAACTTTTAATGGGAGAAGAAAATGGTGATGGAAGATTTCTTGCTAGTGGTACTTCCTAGGGAATTAACTGGAGATAGAACTGGGAAGCCAGGGAGAGAATATAGAGTGCAGAAAAAGAACGGGAAAGGGCAGATGGGAGTGAGTTAAGCGGCCACTAAGGTCCCTTCCTGTATTTACACTGGGATCCCATATTATAGAGAAAGTCCATTTGGCTCTCTTCCCCATCTCAGACAAAGCTTTGGTTCCCTTTGGTCTGCAGCATTGTCTGTGTTCCTGGGAGAACTCTTCAGTTCCATTTATTGGCTCAGAAGTAGATGCTGTTGCTATAGGATGATGGCTGGCAGAGCCATTCCTGAGAATGGCTCATTCTATGAGCCAGTGTCATAGAATTGTCCTTGGAATGTCAGCCATTGAAGTAAGTGGTGTGTGTGTGTGTGTGTTTTCTCACGCCATTGTGTCTTGTATTCCTGGGTTGGAGAGATATTAATGAATTTGTGGAGACTAGGAAAATAGTTAAACTCTAGATTGTCTCATTTAGGTTCAGGGAGAGAAGTCTTCATCCTTGTAACACAGTGTTGTACTTACACGCTCTCTGGAATTTGAGTTAGAAACTGGTGGTATAACCCAGAAATGCGTTTACTCTCAGAGTTTACTGATTATTTCATCAGATGTGGCTCAGAATTAGTGTTGTTCCATAAAAGTTGAAATTGGTTCACTTTAGAGGCAAAAGAATCTTGACTTTCAAGCTGAACAAAAAATAATTGGGAAGTTAGGAAATATCTTCTAGTTTAAGACTCACTGCTTGAGAGCGCTTCATCACCATTAAAATGGGAAGACAAAAATATTTCAATTTTCATAAAACTGGGTTCTTGATATGACTTTTGGCTGGAATTTACTAATATCTGAGATTACTTTCCCCAGTCTGTAAACATGGATAATGGTAACTGCCTGTAAGAGTAGTTGTAAGTATAGTGGAAGTATTAAGTAAACAGGCTTGGATTATGACTCTACCACCTATTGGGCTATGTGGACAACTTTATTTAGTGTCTTTGAGTTAGAGTTGCCTCATCCAGTAAAACCCTGGCAGGGTAAGAATTTAATAAGATGTATGCTAAATGCCTGGCATGCATTAAGTTGGTTTGCCATTCACGTGTGCTTTCTTTGGCCAGGGCTGTGTTAAATTTGAAATAGTTTCTAACACTTAAGCATCAGATGATTCCACTGTAATAATCTGGATTTCAGAAATCAGAAGATCTGGCAGCCTTGTGTCTGTCCCTCTGGCTGCCTGACTCCTCAAGCTGTGTGTCTGTGGACCTCTTTGGGTAGGATGTGTTCTCCAGTTTTCCACAGAACTGCTGCTGCCTACAGCGTTCTACCCTGACTGTTCATGCCCATATGTTCTGTAGCTGAGCCGGTAGACATTTATTGTTCTGCCAGTAAATGAATGTTTTGGTTGAAAAGTATGTTGCACTAGGTGTGATATTTGGTACACAATAGATGGTCATTAAATATTTCCCTTTTTCTCTATTAGGCTGCTGATGATGTAGTGAAGAGAAAGTTTAAATCCAAATGATTTCAGCCCTGAACTAGAAAGTTCTGTCTCAGTGGGCTGTATGATCTCAGAAAATCACTTAATTCCTCCATTGCTCAGTGTTTTTCTAGGGACACTAGAGAATTTGGACTAGCTGATTCTCAGGGTTTCTTCCAGTACTGAACTTGCCTGAAAAGTGATACATAACCACACGCAAACTTCCATGGGGTGTTTGAATAAAAACTTATATCCTAAAAATAAAATAATGAAGTATGGATTGTAAGAACAATTAGGTTAATTACAAAGTGGCTTAAAATTAATGTTCAGGCTGGGCACAGTGGCTCACGCCTGTAATCCCAGCACTTTGGGAGGCTTAGGTGGGCGGATCACTTGAGGCCAGGAGTTCGAGACCAGCCTGACCAACGTGGTGAAACCCTGTCTCTACTAAAAATACAAAAATTAGCTGGGCACGATGGCAGGCACCTGTAATTCCAGTTACTCGGGAGGCTGAGGCAGGAGAATCGCTTGAACCTGGGAGGCAGAGGTTGCAGTGAGCCGAGATTGTACCACTGCACTCCAGTCTGGGCAACAGAGTAAGACTCCGTCTCAAAAAACAAAAACAAAAACAAAAACAAAATTAATGTTCAGCGTTGTTGGTTAGTACCAATCTAGAAAACTGAAGAATTTAATCTTTTAGCCCTGTGCTGTTGATTTGGATAAAGCTATGGGGGGCAGGGATATCAATATAGGAGCTATTGTGAAGCTGGGTGTGACAGTCATATGATGGATGACAGGCCCAGGATGGAGAGACATCTTGATAGCATGGAGCAGTGGACACAAAATTGAACAAAGATGTGTACACAGTGGTGTAATTTGGTTTGAATAAAACCAACCGAAAAAGTAAAGATGAAGAAGGAAATAACAGGTAAAACAGAGCTAGGGTTTTAGATGAAATGTTCAATCTCAAGTGATATATATACATGGCCATCAATGTGTCATATAAAGAGAATATTAGGATTTCCATTTATGTTTATTTAAATAAGCAACTTTTCAATTTGTGTGTGTGTTGAATTACATAACAGGATGGTACTACATAAATAAAACAAAACATGCCCTTGGGGTATTGATGTAATCTTTTTTTTAACTAATAGGAGAGTGTGATCAAAAGTTTGCAGGCTGCTGGATTGGAAGTTCTGTTTGTTGAAAGGTAGCATAGTATAGTGGAAACTACAGTCTTTAAAATCAGATAGTCCTGAATATAAACTTTAACTTTAACACGTAATACTTATGTAACATAACTTAATGAGCCTCACTTTCATTGAATGTAAAATGTGTGTTATAATACTTCTCTCATAGGTATGTTGGATGGTTGCAATGGGATGATTTTACTGCTGTCTTTTGGTTAATTTCTCTGTTTTTTGTCTTTCATGTTTGATTCTTTAGGGCTGGAGAATATACCCAGTATAATTTTACTCTTTTAAATTTGTTGGGTTTTAAAAATGACCCTTAACTGTCCAATACAAAGTGTATCTTGCTGAATATTCCATGAGTGCTTGATAAGAATGTGCATTCTTTGTGTTCTGTAAATGTCAGTTAGATCCTGTTGGTTGATGTCTTATTCAGTTCTTCTGTATCTTTGCTAATTTTCTATTTAATAGTTCTATCAGTTGCTGAGAATGGGATGTTTGGTCCCCATGATGAGATGAGTTTTTACCATTAATTTTTAAAAATGTACATCTGTGTCTGGCCTTGTGTGACCCAGAGTGGTCAGCATAGTATAGAAGGAATGCAAAGAAGCTGTAGTGAGAGAATAGCCAGCTTCATATAGGAGAAAATGTTCTCATGCTATGATTTCCCATGAATTCAGTAGCAGAGTCTGTCATCATTAGCTTTCCGGGGTTTGTAGAAATACTATCATGCCTTTGGCCTCGTTGTTATTATTGAGCAACCTTGCATACTGGAAGCTCCAGTGCCTTCTGTATACAATGAGCTGGATTAGGTTAGTTTTCTAGTATTTAGTGACTCTTTCAGTCAGATACAGACTCATGTTTGACCCCGTCTTTTGGCATGTTAGCATGCAGAATTAACCTGTTTTCACATTTTGCAGCAGCACATGTAAAAATACATGCTTTCAGTTTTTTGGCCAAGTCTTTTTTTTTTTTTTTTTTTTTTTGAGACAGAGTCTTGCTCTTGTCACCCAGGCTGGAGTGCAGTGGCACGACCTCAGCTCACTGCAACCTCTGCCTGCCGGGTTCAAGCAATTCTGCTGCCTCAGCCTCCCAAGTAGCTGGGATTACAGGCATCCGCCACCACGCCCAGCTCATTTTTGTATTTTTTAGTAGAGACAGGGTTTTGCCATGTTGGCCAGGCTGGTCTCCAACTCCTGACCTCGTGATCTGCCCGCCTCCCAAAGTGCTGGGATTAGAGGCGTGAGCCACCGTGCCCAGCTGGCTAAGTCCTTTTTAAATAAACCTCTTGGGGAAGATATATTCTAGTGGAAAAGGAAGGACATTAAGTAACAAAAAATATCCTCAGGCTTTGGGTCTTAACAAAGCAGTCATTCTTGAAAAGCCACTTTTTATTTCTCTATTCCTCATTTTCTAGAGTAACTCATCAAGTTCTTTTAAATAAATGTGTCTGTTTTAAATAACAGATGGCTGGAAAAATACCCCAGCTGAGAATTGATCTTTTAGTTGTTGATTTTAGTATAAAACAGTTACATTGACTGTGATGATTGTTATGTTGGGATTTATATCCTTCAGTTTTTTTGTATTAGATTTGCTTTTTTACTGTTTATTAATGCTTTCCTTTTGTCTGCTTTCCTCCTATTAAAATTTTTTAAAATTATTTTCCCTCTACTGGTTTGGCCATTATGCATTCTGTTAGACTGAAATTTTAACACACATACTCTGATTAATTTTACAAAAGATGTATCTGGGTTTTAGTAATTTTGTGAATCAAAGAACTGGGAATTTATTATCATATCAAAAAACGTGACCACTCAGGGTTCTGAAATACGGATTTATTGTTGTTCTGTGACTCTAGTCCGTTTCGTAGCTACCTGCTAATTGCATTATTATTAATGGTTCTGGAGAATGATCCATCATAGAGATGTCAAGGCTGGTATAAATTTACTGAGGAACAATTTAATCCATGCTTCAGCACCGCAGACTTTTTGTTAACAGATCCACAATTAAAGTGAAGCTGCTGCCAGTTGTTGAACTTGAGTTAGAAACTGCAATAAGCCACAGGAAAAGAAGCAAAAATAAACCTCTTTTCAGATGAAATTGAAAAATATCTATTGGAATAACATGAATTAAAGACTTGTCACTTCATGAACTTATTGTTCTTTTTTTCTTTTTTGTTATGGAGAGAGACACTTCTCTAGTCTCCATTTCTTGGTTACTGTCACCAACAGTGGCAGTTTTAGATAAAATAATGTCGAGGGAGAAGAATACTGAAACGTAAAAATGTGGTGGTGGTAGTTTTATTTTTAAAAAATATATATCCTGTGGAAATAGTTTTCAGTTTTAGCTTCACTGTATCCACCCTCCTAGCATTAATTCAGTACGCCTAAGTGAAGTTGCTAGCTGCTAAAGAAATAGTTGGAGTGCTATTCAGCTGTGAGGCTAAAAATCTCGAACTAAAACATGGAAATTGTTTTTCTAATTTCATTTGGGTAAAAATGAATTCCCGTGAATACATGTTAGCAAAGCAAGCTTCCTTTTATTATTTCTCATACCACAGATACAATATCCAGAAATGTGTTGATGTGAAATAAAATCAAATCAAGGTGATTATCATGTGGACATTGGATCAGGATTCTGGAATGTTCAGTTTGTGGGTTGCTTTGCATTTCTCACTTGGAGATGCACTCACAACTTTATACCTCTTTGCCTTAGTTTTTTGCACTTTAAAAATGAGAAGTATAATGATCTTGAGCTCACATGGTTGTCAGACAGTGAAGAATTTTGAAAAAGGCAAGTTTTTCATTTAAGTGCATTACATATTAAGAAATTCATATCAAACTTTTGAAAAACAAGTTTGACAAAAAAGCAAGTGATAGTGGCTCTACAAAATGTACTTCTGAACTTTCTATATGATGTATTTCTATAATATATAGAAGTATATAGAAATATTCTATAATATAGAAATATATAATCATATAGAAAATTCAAAAGTACATTTTGGAGGGAGTCTGGGGATATTTTTCAGCCACTTTCATGTATAATCTTTCTTTCCTAGCCCTTCTTTTTTCCCCTTTTAATTCACTCAACTGTCCTAGAGGACAGTGACATTTTAGAGGAAATTTATTCAAACCACAAGGGAATATTTACGAAGAGTTTCTTTGCTTGAAAAAAAAATTATTTCTTTGCTTTGATATTTTAAAGAAATTGATACTTTTAAAGTTTCTTTTAATTTTAAAATGATGTCAAACTTACATAAAAGTTCCACAGGTAGTGTGAGATACTTCCATGTGTACTCTTTACCTTGATTCACCAGTGTTCATCTTTTGCTTCATTGACTTTATCATTAGTTCTGTCTCCCTCGTACACAAACTATTTTTTCTCTGAACCGTTTAAGAGTTCCTGTAGACTAACCCTTAACTGTTTCAACGCATACCTCCTAAGAATAAGGACATTTTCTTATATAACCATAGTACAGTGATAAGAAACAAAACTTTTTATATCCAGTCCACAATCTGAACTTAAATTTTGTCAGTTGTCCCAATAATAACTTTTGTAGCATTTCTCTCCTCCACTGGGTCCAGGATCCATCCACTTGTATTGTGTTTAATTATTATGTCTTAAGTTTCTTTTAATCTTGAATCATTCTTCATCCTTTTTTCTTTCGTGACCTTGATGTTTTTGATGAGTACAGGCAAATTATTTTGTAGAATGTGTCTTAACAGATTTGTCTGCTGTTTCTTCATAATAGTATTCAGGTGTTTATTTGCTTATTTATTCATTAACGTTTATTATGTCCTCTTGGATTCTCATACAGTGTTATAAACTATTACTGTCAACATTTATTCTGATGCTCAAATTGTTACAAATCTGGCCAGTAAGAGCCCCGTCAGCTTAAAGAATGATGTCATCATCGTTCTTTACATCATACATCATCTTGTACTTTTTCTGCTGCATCCTTGGAATCAGCCAGTACTCTAAGGACCCCTGGTTCTTTTTACTGGAGAGTGGTGTTCAGGTCTTGGTGCTAGATGTGCTTATTGCTACCAGAATGTCATAACTTTTAGGTCTTCTTGGAGATCAAAGTGAGGGGAAAATACACACAAATAAATATGCATCTGTCTGTTCATCCATCCATCCATCCATCTAGTTGTCCGTCTATCCATGAAAAACCATGACTTTATACTGATATGTTCAATTTCAGTCTAGTACCACAGGGTTCATTGCAGTAGTCCTCCTTTCCATATTTGTAACTCCACCGCCTAAGAAACATGGCTTTATTATTCTTAATATACCTACTTATTTGCTCACTTTTAACAAAAAATATTTAAAATTTCTACCCTACAGCACCATGAAAAAGTAACCTAATGACTAGAGTTTAGTGTTTGCTTATGGTTCTTTGTGTCTTAGGCTGGGGGTATGTAGTCAAAGTACTGCATTCAGAAGTTACTTGGGATAGTTCCTTTTTTCCTCTCTTCAATGTTACTGTGTTCTTTATTTGAAATACAGTAAAGTTCATATGTTTCTGTTGTATTCCTTTTACCATTCCTTCACCAATGCTTGTTGATTTTATTTATTTGGATATATGAAACAGTATGGTTTCAAAAATGAAAGATGTCCCCAGAAACATTATGACTCTAATTCTTTCAGTTTCTCTGCTCTGTTTATGCAGCTCCCACCCTAGTTCCTGTTACCTATAGGTAACTGGTATCATTAGTTTTTGGTTTATCCTTCTTGTATTTCTTTTGCAAAAACAAGCAGATTCATGTGTTTTCTTTTCCCACTCTTTCATACACAAAGGTAACGTGTGTGTGTGTGTGTGTGTGTGTGTGTGTGTGTATATACATTAAGTTTGCTTTTTTCATCAGTTCATAGGAAGCATTCTCATTCATCCTAACAGCTTATTCAGCCAGTTTTCTAAATATTGGCATTTCACTTGTTTCCAGTAGTTTGCGATTCGGAAACACTGTAGTGGATAACCTAGTGTATATATATGTTTATAATATTGGAGGTGAATATTTTGGGTAACTTCCTGGAAGTAATATTGCTAGATCAAAAGGTAAATGTAAGTACTTTTGTTAGATTTGTCAAATTCCCATCCATAAAGGCTGTACCAGTTTTCATTTGCACAAGCCAAGTTGTGAGAGGACCTATTTCTCCACAGTTTTGTCAACAGAATGTGTTGTCAAATGTTTTAATTTTTGCTGATCTGAAACATGAGAAATGGTATTGCAGCGTAGTTGTCATTTGCTTTTATTATGTGTTAAGTTGAAGAGTTTTCATGTGATAAATACAATTTTTAGATCTTCATTTGTGAATTGTCTGTGTCTTTTGGCTGTTTTTTACATGGTGTTTATCTTGTCTTTTAAACATATTTGGTATATATTTTTAGTGTTATTGGCTTTTTAACTGTGATACATGTTGCAGCAAATACTTTTTTCTAGCTTGTCGTGTATTCTTTTTTGATTGGGATATAATTCACATACCATAACATTAATCCTTTAAAAGTGTACAATTCAGTGATATTTAGCATATTCACAAGATTGTACAGCATCACCACTAGAAAATGTTCTAATTCTAGAGCATTTTCATCTTCCTAAAAAGAAACCCCATGCCCACTGGCACCCACTCTCCTCAACCCACAAATCCCCTGACAGTCACCATACTTTCAGTCTCTAGGGATTTGACTACTGTTTTTTATGTCTGGCTTCTTTCTCTTAGCATAGTGTTTTCAACATATATGAATATGTTACAGATGCATCAGTACAACATTTGTTTTTATGGCAGAATAATATTATATGGATATAAAACATTTTCTCATCAGTTGGACATTTATAATGTTTCCACTTTTTGGCTATTAAGAATGATGCTGTCATGAACCCTTGTGTGCACGTTTTTGTGGGACAAAATTTTCTTTTTTTTGCATATACCTTGAGGTGGAACTATCGAGTCATATGATAAATTTATGTTTAACCTTTTGAGGTACTGCCAGACTGTTTTCCAAAGCAGTTGTACCATTTTACAATTTTGGCAGTGCTTGAGAGTTTCCATTTCTCCACATCTCTACCAATACTTGCTGTTGTCTGTCCTTTTGACTATAACCATCTTATTGGGTGTGAAATGGTATCTTATTGTGATTTGATTTGTGTTTCTCTTAAGACTAAGGATGTTGAGCATCTCTTCATGTGCATATTGGTCATTTGTATGTTTTATTTAGAGAAACGTCTTCTTTAAATCCTTTGCCCATTTTAAATATTGAGTTGTTTTTATTAAGTTTATATGTTCTGGACACTAGACTCTTGTCAGATATATGAGCTGCAAATATTTTCTCCCATTCTATGGGTTGTCTTTTCATGTTCTTGATGATGTTCTTTGAAACACAAAGTTTTGATGAGGTCCAGCTTACCAGGGTTTTTGTTTTTGCTTTTCTTCATATCTGAGAAGCCACTGCTTAATCCAAGTTTACAAAGACTAATGACGATGTTTTCTTTTAAGAGCTTTATAGTTTTAGCTTTTACATTTAGGTTTTAAATTTACTTTGAGTTAATTTTGTGTAAAGTGTGTGGTAGGTGTCCAGCTTCATTCTTTTGCATGTGGATATCCAGAGTCCCATCACTAGTTTTTGAAACGACTGTTCTTTCCTCATTCAATATTCTTGGCATCCTTGTCCGTCAACAATCAGATGCCCAAAAATTTATGGATTTGTCATTTGTCTTTTGAGATTGCTTATGATTTTTTTTGGCCATGCTCAAGTTTGAATATTTGTGTAGCTAAATTTATCAACATTTTGCTTATCTTAATTTTGAGCTAAAGAAAGTTTTTTCCTACACTTAAGTTATGGGGGAATTCACCCATGTTTTCCCCTTATAATTCTGTCATTTTCAAAATGGCTGTTCTTTTGTCTCAGAACCATTTATTTTATTTTATTACTTTAGAAGCAGGGTCTCATTTTGTTGCCCAGGCTGGAGTGCAGTGGCACAATCGTAGCTCACTGCAACCTCAAAGTCCTGGACTCTGGTGATCCTCCTACCTCAGCCTCCTGAGTAGCCAGGACTACAGGTGCATGCCACCATGCCCAAGTAGTTTTTAAAATTTTTAATAGAGATGAGGTTTTGCTATGTTGCCTAGGCTGGTCTCAAACTCCTGGGCTCAAGCAGTACCCCTGCCTTGGCATCCGAGAGGGCTGGGATTACACAGGTGAGTCACCATGCCTGGCCAGAATCATTTATTAAAAATCCATTTCACTCAGTGATTTCAGGTGCCACCTGTAGCATATACTAAATTTGCATATGTATATGAGTCTATTTTTGGACTTCAAAGTCCGTTTCTCTGTTTATGTAATACCATGATTTTTTTAATTAAAAATTTTATTTTGTGTTAGTTTTAGATTCATATGCAGTTGTAAGAAATAATACAGAGATTTTCTGTAGTCTGTATCCAGTTTTCCCCAGTGGTAACATCTTGAAAAACGGTAGTATGGTATCAAAACCAGGATATTGACATTGATAACAGTCTACAGGTTTTTTGCAGTTTACTTGAACTCATTTATGTATATATGTGTGTATTTACTTCGGTGCCATTCTGTCACATATATAGGTTCAAGTGTTCACCACCGCAGTCAAAACATAGAGCAGTTTCATCACTGCAAGGATCACTTATGTTGCTCTTTTATAACCGTACCCACTTCCTCTTTCATCTTCCCTAGCCTCTGGCAACCACAGAAATGTTCTCCATTTCTGTAATTTTGTCATTTTAGTGGCATTAGAAAAGCAGAATTATACAGTATACAATCCTTAGGGATTGGCTTAAAACATCTTTTCTCAGTGCAGTTTCTTGGAGATTTACTCAAATTATTGCATGTTTATTGTTGAGTAGTAGTGTATGGTATGGATGGACCAGTTTGTATAATTGTTTAGTTTTTGAAGGACACCGGGGTTGGTTCTGGGTTTATACTCATAAATAAAGCTGCTATGATCACAGGTTTTTGTGTGAACATAAGTCTTCCACATTCCTCTGAGATAAATGCTTATGAGGGTGATTGTATTGAAGTGGCCTTGTTTTCTGGGGTGACGCTCAGAATTCTTGGTCTCATAGCCAAGGAAATCAAGGACATGGATACACCAAGGGTGAAGTTTAGAGCAGAAATTTAATAGGAGAAAGAAAAAGAACAGCTCTCTGCTGCAGAAAGGGGTCCCAGAAAAAGGGTTGCCATCCTGTAGTGAAATACAGGAATTTTTACAGACAAGCTAGTGGGGAGGCAGTATCTGAACATAGGGTGTGAAAAACCAGTTAGGATCAGGTGTGTCATCTGCATAGGGTGCAAATCTCTGGAAGCCCCTACCCCAATCTTTTATCATACAGGCAGGTCCTCAGCCTGAGCTACTCCATGTTGCTTATTTCTTTCTTACTGTGCATGTGCTCAAAAAGGGGAGGTAGAATCCCCATGGTGGACATGCCTGGCCCCAGCTAGCCCTTTCTGTCCATGCAACTGCTGGCATCCCCCAGTGCAAGCTTCCAGGTTCCTTATCTATGTTTGCAGTCTGATCTTCCAGGCTACTCTTTGTTAGAAAATAAGTAATTTCTTGGGCTGCTTTTTGTTAGAAGGGAAGTTCTGCGAAGGATGCTGTGCCCTCACTATCTGCCTCAATAGTTTTTTCTACCTCCTGTATCATGATAATGGCATGTTTAGTTATATAAGAAACTGCGAAAGTGTTTTAATTATAGGGGCTTTTCAGCATGTTTTAATATCTGGTAGGGCCAATAGCTCCTAATAGCTTTTCAAGTATTTTCCAAGTTTTTACACAAAACAGTTGTATTATGCCAGTGATATGTCTTTGTCTAATTTATCCTACTTATAGGATTGCAGATGGAACAAGTAGCATTTTCTTTGTTTTCCCAACTTTAGCTCTTGACTATCTTTAGTCCAACTTGGCTGGCAAATTGTCATTTAAGTATGTCGCATTTGCTTGCACCTTTTCTGAATTTCTCAATTATTCTTTTTAAGAAACTAAAATTATGAAAGTTTTTTTCCTCTTTTTATTCATTTCTTATCTACTTGAAATAATGGGACTTACATATACATCAGTGATTCTCAAATGTTAGTGGGTAACAGATTCACCTGGAAGGCTTATTAAAGCACAGATTGCTAGGCCTTGCCCCAGAGACTTTAATTCACTAAGTATGGGGTGGGGCCTGACTATTTGCATTTCTGAAGCACCAGGTGATGCTGAGGCTGCTGGCCTGGGACCACATTTTGAGGACTACTAGGCTATATTAGTAGAATGGCTTATGGAGTGTCTCTGAGAAGATTGCTGGGTCTTATGATTGACATTATATTTGAATGATTGTGTAGGACAGATGTCATTATATCTGTACTGCTAAAGAAACAAGATATATGATGCTGGTATCTAACAGACTTTTAAATCTTAGTACTGAAAGGAGATAGAAAAGTTCAGCTTTTAAGTCATTCATTTATTTAATCTTTAATTTATTCATCAGATTTTATTGCTTCCAACTACATTTGCTAGGCAGTGAAATGGTTTCTGTTTTACACAATGAGGAATTTTTTTTTTAAGAAGAGTTAAATATATTTTCTAAAATTCTATATTTAAGAATCAGAAAGTTACTGGAGATTAGGAAGGGTAGTGTGTGGCAGGGTGAGGGGAAGGTTATGAGGCGATAACACGACAAGGTGACTGTAGTCAATAATAACTTAATTGTACATTGAAAAATAACTAAAACAGTATAATTAGATTGATTGTATCACAGAGGATAAATGCTTGAGTGGATGGATATTCTATTTTCCATGGTACGATTATCACTCATTGCATGCTTGTATCAAAACATCTCATGTACCCCATACATATACCCATCTATTATGTACCTACAAAACTAAAAAAAATTATAAAAGCAAAAAACAAAAACGAAAAAAGCCCTTGACTTTCAGAAGCCTCTGACTAACCTTTGCAGTATTGTGCCTCTGTTCTACACATAATTAACTGTGTTGAAACTGAGAATTAAAGCTGAAATGTAATTTCACAAACTTAATAAATGGCCTTTATAACTGATAATGACATCTTCGTTGCCTTGAGACAACAACCAAGGACTTGATTTCCTTGAGATAAGGACTTTGGTTGAATCAGTATGTCTTTAAGTATTTAATCTTGTCTCATAATAATTGTGTTACCTCAACAAAGATTGTACTCATACCTTGACAAATGAAACCATACCAGTAAATTAATTCTATTTAAGTCAGAGTAGAATCAACTAGCAGTTACCCACTGACTAATATCAGAGCCCAGTGTGTTACATGAAACTAAATTGGAAACCGACCTCTGGAACTCAATGTTTTGTTTTGACCTAAATCTACTCTGCAGTGTGAGGTAAATACAATTGTTTAAAGATTCTTAAGCTGTCGATGTTGAATTTGCTTATTTTGTATTTAATTAAAAAGGTGCATACAGATATGTATGTAGTGTGGTTTGGCAATAGTTAAAATTGGGAGCAGGAAAGGAAAATTTTAGAAATCTTGGTTTCCAGGCAACCAAACACACAATATCATATCTGTGTACCACTTGCTTCATGTTAAGATGCCCTAAATGTAAATAATTGATGGAGCAGAGACTAAAAGAACCATTATAGTCAGCTGAATTCCAAGGTCCTTGACCTGAGCTCATTAAGCTCAGGTTAGAGAATAGGGTGGCTGAATTTTCTTAGAAAAAGAGCCCAGATAATATCTGGCATGTACATAGATCTTGAAAATTAGCTGGACTTAAGTAGGCATTTAGTTTTCAAGCTTTAGTTTAGTGAATGTGGGGATCCTGATCTGTAATCCTTCAGGAGGCAAATGAGCTGCAACAGAGCCATGGTTTCTCTCCCTCTTTCTGGGAGCCACCCACCCCCTTCACCCAATACAGAGGACCTAAGGAGTGATTGATTTTATAAAAGATACAGAGTAACACACTCTGTATATTCATCAGACCGTGTAAATAACTAACTTCTAGACCTCTCAGATATAAATACATCTCTTTTTACTTCAGAAGCTTTCCATGGGTGATTTCATCCATGTTCGTGGTTTTAACTCTTGTGCTTATATGAATGACTTCCAAATGCATACCTCCAGCCTCATTCTGTTTCAGAATTAGATTTTCGTACATTCATAGGCCCAACTCAAAATGTCTAAAGTGAATTAATCTCTTAGCTGTCTTCTCCTCCAGAGAAGACTACTGCCTGCTCTGCTCTGTCATGTCTTGGGTAGTATTTGGCAGTATCACTCGGCTCTTTGATTTCTTGCCCTGTTACCCTTACACGTGGCTGTTTGCCATGGTCTGTCAATTCTGCTTCAATAGTCCTCCCTAATAAATCTTCCCTCTCTTCTACTCTTAGAGTCTCTCACCTTGACTTTTTTTTTGTTTGTTTGTTTGTTTTTGAGACAGTCTCACTTTGTCACCCAGGCTGGAATGCAGTGGTGCGATTATGGCTCACTGCAGCCTTGACCTCCTGGGCTCAAGCAATCCTCCCACTTCAACCTTCCAAGTAGCTGGGACTACAGGCACGCACCACCATGCCTAGTTTTTAATTTTTTTTTTTTTTTTATAGAGGCGGGGTTTCATCATGTTGCCGAGGCTGGTCCCGAATGCAGGCTCAAGCGATCTGCCTGCCTCCCAAAGTGCTGGGATTATAGGCATGAGCCACCACGCCTGGCCTTCACTTTGATCTTGACTCATCTCCCTGTCCCTGATCTTTGCCTGCTCAAGTCCATCTTCTATACGCAACCATGATTTTCTTTAGAAACACATTTCTGACCACATTGTTCCCCTTTAAACACTTGGATGATGCTTTGTCACCAGCAGGATAAAGTCTGAGCTCTTTGACTTGACCTACTAGCCAGCCATGATCTCCTTGTCCATCTTGATGTCTTGCCATTCCCCAAACATAACTTTAGAATACAGCAATTCAGAACTGCTTTTAGTTCCCTGAAACCACCATAATGCTTCACACACCCTCACCTGTGATTGTGCTGTTCTTTCTTACTCACCCTTGAGTCTTTATTAATTCTTTTGCTTTCAAGACTTTGCTCTGGCTTTTCTAGGGTGCCTCCCTTGATTTCTTTTGCTCACCCATCTGCTGCCATCCCAGATTATGTCAATTGACTCTACCCTAAGGTCTCCATAGGGCATCCTGTGTCTATCTCTATGATAGATCCTTGCCCACTTTATTGAATTCATCTTTAAGCTCCTTGAATGGAGGGTCTGTGTTTTATTTCTCTTTGTTTCCCTCTTTCCTTGTGTGGCTCTTGAAATCATTATGAATTGATCTGAGCACTTCCTTATGGAGGCATGCAGAATTAACAGCATAATTGTGGCAAGAAATGTCTTTGCCTTTTCTTTTTAATGCAAATGAGAGTTAGTAACATGTTCTTTGTATTTATCTTGGGTATCCATTGCTGACTACCAGATCACCAGATCACCCCAAAACTAAGCAGCTTAAAACAATAAACATTTTGTGTGTATGTGTGTGATTTTATTTATTTATTTATTTTTTTAAGACGGAGTCTCTCTCTGTTGCCCAGGCTGGAGTGCAGTGGTGTGATCTCAGCTCACTGAAACCTCCGCCTCACGAGTTCAAGCGATTCTTTTGCCTGAACCTCCTTAGTAGCTGGGACTACAGGTGTGGCCCACCATGCCTGGCTAATTTTTGTTTTTTTAGTAGGGACAGGGTTTCACCATATCGCCCAGGCTGTGTCAAATTCCTGACCTCAAACAATCTGCCCACCTTGGCCTCCCAAAGTGCTGGGATTACAGGTGTGAGCCTGCCCAAAGCAATGAACATGTTATTTGTTCATGATTTTGTTGGAAAATCATGGGCTCATGATTGAGTTGGGCTCAGCTGGATGTTTCTTCTTTTTGTCTTTTTAGGGGTCACTCATGGGTCCTCATTCATCTGGTCGCCCAGCTGAAGGTAGAAGGTCTAGAATGACCTTACTCACATCTCTGGCAATTTGTTGCTGGCTGTCAGCTCTGCCTCCCTCTCTCATCCTTAAGGGGACTGGCCAGGGTTTCTTTCCATGGCAGTCTCAGAGCAGCAAGAGACTAAGGGTGAAAGTTGCAAGGTCTTTAGAGGCCCAGGCCCGGGAAGTGTACAGTGGCAGTTCATTAACATTGTCTTGGCCAGTGCAAGTGACCAGACCAGCCCAGATTCAAGGGATGGGGAGTAGACTTCATCTAGATAGGAGGAGCCACCAGGTTACATTGCCAAGGGGTGTGCATACAGGGATGGGAGGAATGTGATTGTTTGTTGCTGTCAGCACAGTATACCTTACTAGAACTGAATTGACGTCTCTACTTTTTGAGCATTTTTTGTACATTGTTGTGGTATTTCTTTGTGGTAGTCATCTCACATGCTTTAAACTTCGTATGTCTTATTTCCTTCCTTAGTAGGTCACATTGGGAGCTCATCTTCCCCTTCACTTAGGAGACAGTGCAATAAACATTTGTATCTCTCATAGCACATACCAGATTTTTAAAATTTGGCGGGTTTTAATTCAGGACTTAAGGGGTGAATTATCTTATTAAATAAATAACTCAAGTATACAGGGAAGTGAAAGACAGTCATTTACCTAATGCTCTGAACATCTTTCTTGAGATAAAGTAGTGCTGTGAACTGATAAAGTTCACATAAAGCTAAAGAAATTCCTTTATGTATTAATATTACAGGCATTTATGTAATATCAGTATCTGTCTGAAAAGAATGCATTGATTACAAAACTCTTTAAGTTGTACAGAAGTTATTTTTCCCTAGAACTTCAAAAGTCTTTGCTCTGCAAGGGAGGGGAGAGTAAAAAAGGTGCCTTAAGGATGTAGACATGCTGTATCCAGCACTGTTATTTGTTGTCAGAAATATACTGATAAACATGCTAATGCCAGGCCGGGTGCAGTGGCTCACGCCTGTAATCTCAGCACTCTGAGAGGCCGAGGCGGGAGGATCACGAGGTCAGGAGATTGAGACCATCCTGGCTCACATGGTGAAACCCTGTGTCTACTAAAAATACAAAAATTAGCTGGGTGTGGTGGCGGGTGCCTGTAATCCCAGCTACTGGGGAGGCTGAGGCAGGAGAATCACGTGAACCCGGGAGGTGGAGGTTGCAGTGAGCTGAGATCGCGCCACTGCACTCCAGCCTGGGCGACAGAGCGAGACTCCGTCTCAAAAAAATAAAAAAATAAAAAAAATGCTAATGCCTTTCTTGCATATTGGATTTGGTCTACTGATGACTTTTTTTCCTGGAGTTCTTAGAAGCTGTGTGTAACCAAAGGGGGCTGGAGAGTGAGAGAAAGCAAAAGATTTGGCTAGAAGAAGGGAGAGAAATACATTCTGGTTTAGGGGCTATGGGTAGACCTAAGTTTTTACCCTGCATTGTATCTGAAAAACATAAATCCCTGCTGTTAATCTTAATATCTAATCTTAGTCTTTAGTGTCTCTTCCTTTTCTTTTTTCCTTCCCTTCTCCTCAACTTTTCTACAAAAATATTTATGCATCTAAAATGGGAAGAATTATTTTTGCTCAGACTGTAAAAAGTATATCACAGGCTGGGCACGGTGGCTCACGCATGTAATCCCAGCACTTTGGGAGGCCAAGGTGGGTAGATCATATGAGGTTAGGAGTTCAAGACCAGCCTAGCCAACAGGGTGAAACCCTGTCTCTACTGAAAATACTAAAATTAGCTGGGCATGGTAGTGGGCACCTGTAATCCCAGCTACTCTGGAGGCTGAGGCAGGAGAATCACTTGAACCCAGGAGTTGGAGGTTGCAATGAGCTGAGATTGCACCACTGCACTCCAGCCTGGGTGACAGAGCAAGACTCTGTCTCAAACAAAGAAACAAACAAAAAGTATATCACAAATATTGTTACATATTCTTCTTTAATACATAATTATGCATCCCTGAAAGTGGCATTTTGCTACATAGCCTCAATATAGTTTTCACAACTCAGTTTTGCCCTCTTAAAACAAGATTGCTGGCACCATCTTCACTGATGAAAGACTTGTGTCTAAGAAGGTCTGAGTCATAACAGATGCTTCTCCATCTTGCTTTCTCATCTTTCTCTAGTTTCTTTTTGTCCTTTTTATCTTTTTATATTATTTTTCTCTTCTCCATAATACTGCTTTCTACCCTCTTATTGGGGTGTCTGCTCTATGTGCCAAATATGCCATAAATTCCTTCATCTTGGCTTCCCTCGGGAGAGACTAAGAGAAGACACTGCAGAACTAGGTCTGCTCAGAGGAGATCATGGCCTGCCCTCATGGGACCATTTGGCGATGTCTTCCTCCATCACGCCTGCAGTCACTCCTGTGGACTTAGAGGTTGAGCAAGATTTTCTGTCCTGAGAGAACCCACGTTCATATTCTGACTTGGTCTCTGTGAAGATTTGAAAAACATTTTTTTTTCCTGAAAAGATACAGCTGTACCCATTGAAGCAAACGTGGAACTCTGTTCATTATTTTCTCCTTTTTATTCATTCTCATGTTCACATTCACTGTATAATCTTGTTTGTGGCTTATCTTTGACTTTTATACATACTACATAGATTGGACAATTTTCCTGGTGATACGGTACTCTCACATTGTGAAGGGATGGCTCAATATTAATTTTAGAGTGGATGCTTTGAAATATTATCAATGACAAGATTTTAGCATTTTATAACCTTCAACCAAGCACTTATTTGGGGGTCTGCAACATTCCCCTTATGCATTAAATGAATGAATGATTATTTTATACAACTCACACCAAATCTCTTTTTTTAAACTCATGTTTTCACTTTTATTTTTTGATTACTTGTAAAAGAATGCTATTCTTGATCTACTGTTACCTACTGTTTAAATTGTATGGTATATATATATATATATATTTATACTTTAAGTTTTAGGGTACATGTGCACAACGTGCAGGTTTGTTACATATGTATACATGTGCCATGTTGGTGTGCTGCACCCATTAACTCGTCATTTGCATTAGGTATATCTCCTAATGCTATCCCTCCTACCTCCCCCCACCCCACAACAGGCCCCCGTGTGTGATGTTCCCCTTCCTGTGTCCAAGTGTTCTCATTGTTCAATTCCCACCTTTGAGTGAGAAAATGCGGTGTTTGGTTTTTGTCCTTGCGATAGTTTGCTGAGAATGATGGTTTCCAGCTTCATCCATGTCCCTACAAAGGACATGAACTCATCATTTTTTATGGCTGCATAGTATTCCATGGTGTGTACGTGCCACATTTTCTTAATCCAGTCTATCATTATTGGACATTTGGGTTGGTTCCAAGTCTTTGCTATTGTGAATAGTGCCGCAGTAAACATATGTGTATGTGTGCATGTGTCTTTATAGCAGCATGATTTATAGTCCTTTGGGTATATACCCAGTAATGGGATTGCTGGGTCAAATGGTATTTCTAGTTCTAGATCCCTGAGGAATCGCCACACTGACTTCCACAATGGTTGAACTAGTTTACAGTCCCACCAACAGTGTAAAAGCGTTCCTATTTCTCCACATCCTCTCCAGCACCTGTTGTTTCCTGACTTTTTAATGATCGCCATTGTAACTGGTATGAGATGGTATCTCATTGTGGTTTTGATTTGCATTTCTCTGATGGTCAGTGATGATGAGCATTTTTTCATGTGTTTTTTGGCTGCATAAATGTCTTCTTTTGAGAAGTGTCTGTTCATATCCTTCGCCCACTTTTTGATGGGGTTGTTTTTTTCTTGTAAATTTGCTTGAGTTCATTGTAGATTGTGGATATTAGCCCTTTGTCAGATGAGTAGATTGCAAAAATGTTCTCCCATTCTGTAGGTTGCCTGTTCACTCTGATGGTATTTTCTTTTGCTGTGCAGAAGCTCTTTAGTTTAATTAGATCCCATTTGTCAATTTTGTCTTTTGTTGCCATTGCTTTTGGTGTTTTAGACATGAAGTCCTTGCCCATGCCCATGTCCTGAATGGTAAAGCCTGGGTTTTCTTCTAGGGTTTTTATGGTTTTAGGTCTAACATTTAAGTCTTTAATCCATCTTGAATTGATTTTTGTATAAGGTGTAAGGAAGGGATCTAGTTTCGGCTTTCTCCATATGGCTAGCCAGTTTTCCCAGCACCATTTATTAAATAGGGAATCCTTTCCCCATTTCTTGTTTTTGTCAGATTTGTCAAAGATCAGACTGTTGTAGATGTGTGATATTATTTCTGAGGCCTCTGTTCTGTTCCATTGGTCTATATCTCTATTTTGGTACCAGTACCATGCTGTTTTGGTTACTGTAGCCTTGTAGTATAGTTTGAAGTCAGGTAGTGTGATGCCTCCAGCTTTGTTCTTTTGGCTTAGGATTGACTTGGCAATGCGGGCTCTTTTTTGGTTCCATATGAACTTTAAAGTAGTTTTTTCCAATTCTGTGAAGAAAGTCATTGGTAGCTTGATGGGGATGGCATTGAATCCATAAATTACCTTGGGCAGTATGGCTATTTTCATGATATTGATTCTTCCTATCCATGAGCATGGAATGTTCTTCCATTTGTTTGTTTCCTCTTTTATTTCGTTGAGCACTGGTTTGTAGTTCTCCTTGAAGAGGTCCTTCACATCCCTTGTAAGTTGGATTCCTAGGTATTTTATTCTCTTTGAAGCAACTTTGAATGGGAGTTCACTCATGATTTGGCTGTTTGTCTGTTTTTGCTGTATAAGAATGCTTGTGATTTTTGCACATTGATTTTGTATCCTGAGACTTTGCTGAACTTGCTTATCAGCTTAAGGAGATTTTGGGCTGAGGCGATGGGGTTTTCTAGATATACAATCATGTCATCTGCAAACAGGGACAATTTGACTTCCTCTTTTCCTAATTGAATACCCTTTATTTCTTTCTCCTGCCTGATTGCCCTGGCCAGAACTTTCAACACTATGTTGAATAGGAGTGGTGAGAGAGGGCATCCTTGTCTTGTGCGAGTTTTCAAAGGGAATGCTTCCAGGTTTTGCCCATTCAGTATGATATTGGCTGTGGGTTTGTGATAAATAGCTCTTATTATTTTGAGATATGTCCCATCAATACCTAATTTATTGAGAGTTTTTAGCATGAAGGGCTGTTGAATTTTGTCAAAGGCCTTTTCTGCATCTCTTGAGATAATCATGTGGTTTTTGTCTTTGGTTCTGTTTATATGCTGGATTACGTTTATTGATTTGCATATGTTGAACCAGCCTTGCATCCCTGGGATGAAGCCCACTTGATCGTGGTGGATAAGCTTTTTGATGTGCTGCTGGATTCGGTTTGCCAGTATTTTATTGAGGATTTTTGCATCGATGTTCATCAGGGATATTGGTCTAAAATTCTCTTTTTTTGTTGTGTCTCTGCCCGGCTTTGGTATCAGGATGATGCTGGCCTCATAAAATGAGTTAGGGAGGATTCCCTCTTTTTCTATTGATTCGAATAGTTTCAGATGGAATGGTACCAGCTCCTCTTTGTACCTCTGGTAGAATTCGGCTGTGAATCTGTCTGGTCCTGGGATTTTTTTGGTTGGCAAGCTATTAATTATTGCCTCAATTTCAGAGCCTGCTATTAGTCTGTTCAGGGATTCAACTTCTTCCTGGTTTAGTCTTGGGAGGGTGTATGTGTCCAGGAATTTATTCATTTCTTCTAGATTTTCTAGTTTATTTGTGTAGAGGTGTTTATAGTATTCTCTGATGGTAGTTTGTATTTCTGTGGGATTGGTGGTGATATCCCCTTTATCATTTTTTATTGCGTCTATTTGATTCTTCTCTCTTTTCTTCTTTATTAGTCTTCCTGGTGGTCTATCAATTTTGTTGATCTTTTCAAAAAACCAGCTCCTGGATTCATTGATTTTTTGAAGGGTTTTTTGTGTCTCTATCTCCTTCAGTTCTTCTCTGATCTTAGTTATTTCTTGCCTTCTGCTAGCTTTTGAGTGTGTTTGCTGTTGCTTCTCTAGTTCTTTTAATTGTGATGTTAGGGTGTGAATTTTAGATCTTTCCTGCTTTCTCTTGTGGGCATTTAGTGCTATAAATTTCCCTGTACACACTGCTTTAAATGTGTCCCAGAGATTCTGGTATGTTGTGTCTTTGTTCTCGTTGGTTTGAAAGAACATCTTTATTTCTGCCTTCATTTCGTTATGTACCCAGTAGTCATTCAGGAGCAGGTTGTTCAGTTTCCGTGTAGTTGAGCAGTTTTGAGTGAGTTTCTTAATCCTGAGTTCTAGTTTGATTTTACTGTGGTCTGACAGACAGTTTGTTGTAATTTCTGTTCTTTTACATTTGCTGAGGAGAGCTTTACTTCCAACTATGTGGTCAATTTTGGAATAAGTACAGAACTCACACCAAATCTTTTAACTACCCATGCTTCTAGAAGCTTTCAAGGAATCAAAAAGGGGCTATATTAAAATGGGAAAAAATAGGAAGAAGCTTAGAAATAATTTTAGGAAAGGTATTACGTTTAAGCATAGAACTAAGTAGGAAGAGGTAAGTGGCAAAACAACAATAACAACAACAAAAGAGTCTAATCAGTATGTGGTGGAAGACTACTACAGTGAGTAGTACTTTACAGTGTTACCAATTAATGCTTGTCCTTTTTTGTTCTCTTTTTCTTTGTTGTCATTGTATTTTCCGCTGTCTCTTGATTTATCAGCAAAAATACAGGCACATTTCTAAATTTGTGTTAGGGTTTCCTGTAGCATGGTCATATGTCACCAGTGAGTCCTCTGACTCTGAATTAAGAAAACATGGGCTTAATATGCAGAACACTGAAACTGGACCCCTTCCTTACACCTTATACAAAAGTTAACTCAAGATGGGTTAAAGACTTAAATGTAAAACCCCAAATCATGAAAAACCTAGAAGAAAACCTAGGCAGTGCCATTCAAGACATAGGCATGGGAAAAGACTTCATGACAAAAATGCCAAAAGCAGTTGCAACAAAAGTCAAAATTGGCAAATGGAGGATCTCATTAAACTAAAGAGCTCTTGCACAGCAAAAGAAACTACAGTCAGAGTGAATAGGCAACCAAAGAATAGGAGAAAATTTTTGTAATCTACCCATCTGCCAAAGGTATAATATCCAGAATTTACAAGAAATTTAAACAAATTTACAAGAAAAAACCCCATCAAAAAGTAGGCAAAGGATATGAACAGACACTTCTCAAAAGAAGACATGTGGCCAACAAACATATGAAAAAAAGCTCAACATCACTGAAAAAAAGCTGAACATCAGTGATCATTAGAGAAATGCAAATCAAAACTGCAATGAGATACCATCTCACGCCAGTCAGAATGGCGATTATTAAAAAGTCAAGAAACAATAGATGTGAGCCTGTGGAGAAATGGGAACACTTTCACACTGTTGGTGGGAATGTAAATTAGTTCAACCATTTTGGAAGACAGTGTGGCGATTCCTCAAGGATCTACAACCAGAACTACCGTTTGACCCAGCAATCCCATTACTAGATATATACCCAAAGGATTATAAATCATTCTACCCTAAAGACACATGCATGCATATGTTTTTTGCGTATTATTTTCAATAGCAAAGTCATGGAACCAACCCAAATGCCCATCAGTGGTAGACTGGATAAAGCAAATGTGGTACATGTACACCATGGAATACTATGCAGCTATGTGAAGGAATGAGATCAGATCCTTTGCAGGGGCATGGATGAAGCCAGAAGCCATCATCCTCAGCAAACTCACACAGGAACAGAAAATCAAACACTACGTGTTCTGGTAAGTGCGAGTTGAACATAGAGAACACCTGGACACAGGGAGGGGAACCAACATGCACCAGGGCCTGTTGTGGAGGGAGGCAAGGGGAGGGAACTTAGAGGATGGGTCAATAGGTGCAGCAGACCACCATGGTACACATATACCTATGTAACAAACCTGCATATTCTGCGTATGTATCCTGGAAGTTAAAGCAAAATTAAAAAAAAAAAAAAGGAAAACATGGGCTTAAATAGGACACAAGATCTATTCCTCCTTTGAAAAACCCATTAAGTTTGGATAAATTCTAAGAGGTAGCATTTTAACTAGCATCCTAAGCACTTCCTCACATGCTCATAGTTTGCAAGTTAACATGATGTATGTGTATTTGTGTATTTCAAACTCCGGAAGCTTTTGTATTATTGAAACCAAAACTGACAAGAAACCTTCTGTGAACATGCTTCTGCTGGGGTGTAGAAAGCTCACAGAGTGTTGCCTTCATGCTTACAATAGTAAAAAATCCAGATAGTATACAAAATGACTTTTCTTGGTCTCATCAGAGAATTTCGGTCATAGAGCAACTAACTAGCCTGAAATCTAAGGAAAAGGTATGAGTTTCCAAGTAGACAGGACAAGACATTTGCTTAACTGGAGTAAATGCTGATGCTGATGTCACATAAGCTAGTAAGAAAAAGACTGAGTTATGTTTTAAGTACTAAAAGCTGAATGTATCTCAGCATGGGACCTGCAGCTGCAAGGAGAATTCAGTTACATGCAGGCAGTTCTCTACAGACCTCACCTTGTGCTCATGGGGAACACTGGGGGCAAGGCAAGTGATGGAAGAATGGCATTCTTATGGAGGCAAGCAGCAACCACTGCAAGAAAGGCATGAAGCCCTCTGGATCCTTCTCTAACCCTGTTTCTCTTGTGGAACAAAAGCCTTAAGCTCCTGGGGGAAGGGCGGCAAACTCTAGGCTCAGGGGACAGGTGGAGACCTATTTCAGCTAGGGGAAAGGAACAGGAAAATTGCTGTACCTTTGGAGGAGGGTCAAAGAAATATTATCCACTGGGACTATTAGAGATCTCCTAACATTGTGGGAGGAGGTAGATCACTTGGAACGTCCTACCCCTATACCCAGGCAAACGGATCCTGCCTAAGACTGAGGTTGAACCAGAACAAGAGAATACTTCCTCTCTACATACACCAGGATGCTAAGCTCAGAGTAAGAAATGCTGATGGTCTACTGCTAGGGGAGTGGGGAGAACATGGAGAAAGACCTCCCTAAGGTACAGGCACAAAGGGAAGACCTAAAGCTGAGGGTGAAGCAGACATTGAGAAAAACACTGTGGCAAACCAGCCCCAACTGAAGAACAGGGTGACGCCAAGGACACATGAAACCTGTGATGTGCAGAGGCTAATAAGCCTAAATTCAGCTCTCAACTCCTGACTCCTGACTAAATTGAATCAACTCCCCACACTTAAGATTAGCAGGATGCGAGACATGTTCATTTCCAGGCACAAATACTACATACCTCAGTCTCTATAGTTCTGCACAAGATGGCTGGCTTTTAACCAAAAATTACTGAGATGCACAAAAAGTGAGGTAAAACAACACACATAAAAGAAACAAAGCAATCAATAGAACCAGACTCAGATATGAACCAGATGTTAGAACTATCAGAGAATTTTAAATAACTATGATCAATATGTTAAAGGTTCTAAGTGGGAAAAGTGGGTAATATGCATGTACAGATGGGGAATTTCAGTAGAAAAGGTGAGATTACAAAAAAGAGTGAAATGAAAATGCTAGAAATGAAAAACTTAGTAACAGAGATGAACGATGCTTTTGATACCTCCTTGGTAGAATTGATGCAGTTAAAGAAATAATCAGTATATTTGAAGATTGGTCAGAAGAGATTTATGGGAAATCTGAAACACAAAGAAAAAAGAGGGTGTGACAAAAGACCCAAAAATGTTAGAGCCCCTAAGAGCTTTAGTACAATATCAAAAGTTCCAGTGTATATGTAATTAGAATCCCAGAATGAGAAGTGAGTCAATAGTGTGGTATAAAATAGTGCAATACAAAAAATATTTGAAGAGATGATAGTACAGTTTTCCCAAACTAATGACACATACCACATAAGAAATCCAATAAGCTCACTAAGCAGAATGAATACCCTGCAACAC
Organism: Homo sapiens; assembly: GCF_000001405.40. Lineage (NCBI taxonomy): Eukaryota > Metazoa > Chordata > Mammalia > Primates > Hominidae > Homo > Homo sapiens. The sequence goes on from NC_000009.12 coordinate 17,684,650, forward strand.
ACATACAGTCAGACATATTGTATTCACACTGAGAAAAAACAAAATTTCAAAGTCAACCAGAGAAAAAGACACATTATATACAGAAGAAGAAAGATGAGTCAAAGCAGACTTCTCATCAGAATTAGGTAAGGTTACAGTGTTAACAGAATAAACTGTCAACCCAGATTCCTATGTCCTTCAAAATATCCTTCAAAATGAAAGAAAGCAAATATAAGTGATCTTATTACTCTTCATTTCACTGCCAACATTTAAAAATCAATGGAAATGAAGATAAGGCTCTGGTCTCAACCACATTGATCTGAACTGACAACTGCGATAAATAAGCAGTGTGTCTTGATTTATGAATTTGTCTGTGATGTTTGAGTTTTGTTTAATCCTAATACATGGTATAGCTTTGGTGGTTTTTAAGGGTGGTGTACTTGGTACCTATATCAGCCAAGGTTTTCTAGAGAAACAGAACCAGTGGAATGGACAGGTGTGTGTGTGTTTATGTCTGTGGGTATATGTATATTTATGAGTGGATGGAATCAAGAGATTTATTTCAAGGAATTGGATCCTGTGATCTTGGGAACTGACAAGTGCAAAATTCATAGGACATGTTTGCATGAAAACCCCTCAGGCAGGAATTGGTGCTGCATTCTTGAGGCAGTTTCTACTTCTTCAGGGAAAATATTAATTCTTGCTTTTGAGGACTTTCGGTTGATTGGATGAGGTCCCCCCACATTACTGACAATAATCTTCTTAAAGTTGCTGAATGTAGATTTTAAGCATATCTACAAAATACCTTCACAACAGTACCTAGATTAATGCTTAATTGAATAACTGGATACTATTGCCTAGCCAGGTTGACATATAAAACTAACCATCACAGGATCCATTATTAGAATTGTGGGAAGACCTAGGTTTTCTTCTAGGGTTTTTATGGTTTTAGGTCTAACGTTTAAGTCTTTAATCCATCTTGAATTGATTTTTGTATAAGGTGTGAGGAAGGGATCCAGTTTCAGCTTTCTACATATGGCTAGCCAGTTTTCCCAGCACCATTTATTAAACAGGGAATCCTTTCCCCATTGCTTGTTTTTCTCAGGTTTGTCAAAGATCAGATAGTTGTAGATATGCGGCGTTATTTCTGAGGGCTCTGTTCTGTTCCATTGATCTATATCTCTGTTTTGGTACCAGTACCATGCTGTTTTGGTTACTGTAGCCTTGTAGTATAGTTCAGGACGTAGGCATGGGCAAGGACTTCATGTCTAAAACACCAAAAGCAATGGCAACAAAAGACAAAATTGACAAATGGGATCTAATTAAACTAAAGAGCTTCTGCACAGCAAAAGAAACTACCATCAGAGTGAACAGGCAACCTACAAAATGGGAGAAAATTTTTGCAACCTACTCATCTGACAAAGGGCTAATATCCAGAATCTACAATGAACTCAAACAAATTTACAAGAAAAAAACAACCCCATCAAAAAGTGGGCGAAGGACATGAACAGACACTTCTCAAAAGAAGACATTTATGCAGCCAAAAAACACATGAAAAAATGCTCATCATCACTGGCCATCAGAGAAATGCAAATCAAAACCACAATGAGATACCATCTCACACCAGTTAGAATGGCGATCATTAAAAAGTCAGGAAACAACAGGTGCTGGAGAGGATGTGGAGAAATAGGAACACTTTTACACTGTTGGTGGGACTGTAAACTAGTTCAACCATTGTGGAAGTCGGTGTGGCGATTCCTCAGGGATCTAGAACTAGAAATACCATTTGACCCAGCCATCCCATTACTGGGTATATACCCAAAGGACTATAAATCATGCTGCTATAAAGACACATGCACACGTATGTTTATTGCGGCATTATCCACAATAGCAAAGACTTGGAACCAACCCAAATGTCCAACAATGATAGACTGGATTGAGAAAATGTGGCACATATACACCATGGAATACTATGCAGCCATAAAAAATGATGAGTTCATGTCCTTTGTAGGGACATGGATGAAATTGGAAATCATCATTCTCAGTAAACTATCGCAAGAACAAAAAACCAAACACCGCATATTCTCACTCATAGGTGGGAATTGAACAGTGAAATCACATGGACACAGGAAGGGGAATATCACACTCTGGGGACTGTTGTGGGGTGGGGGGAGGGGGGAGGGTTAGCACTGGGAGATATACCTAATGCTAGATGACGAGTTAGTGGGTGCAGCGCACCAGCATGGCACATGTATACATATGTAACTAACCTGCACAATGTGCACATGTACCCTAAAACTTAAAGTATAATTAAAAAAAAAAAGAATTGTGGGAAGATCGACAGTGGAATCTTTGCAAAACAATGGAATTGCAACTGTGAACTACATTTTGATTGTTTGTATTTTTAGCGGAGTGATAAGAATGATCCCAGACTGAAGATGCACATTAAATAAGCTGGTAATAGTAAGAATTTAAGATGTAAACTAGCATTAAAAAATTCTAAGCCTTTAAATATGCTCTCTCACATTAAGTGTATGCTTTGATTTTTCTTATAATCATTTCATCATCTAGAACCATTTAAATTTTGAGTTTTTTTCAATCCAATTTCACTTAAGCAGTTACGTTTTCATTGAAATCATTGGATTAGCAGAATTGGTACAAGGTATTGAAAGTTTGCAGTTCACTGTGACTTCATCTGCAAGTGAACAAGTATTATTTTGGGATTTTGTGAGAACAGGAGAGCCTTAAAAGTCATTGAAGTACAGTATTGTTGCAGATATTGGAGGAGGAGTATGCTGAATGGTAACACTGAGACTGTTTTTGACTCTGTAACAGGGTACATAGGTTCAATACAAACTTTTTTAAGTGCAGCAAAAAAAATTTCAATTGTAAATACAATTGTCAACATACAGCATAGTGGAGTTAAAAAAGCATGTTCTTCATAGTATAGTCCTGAAGTTCTAATGATAAAAATCAGAATGTTAAAAACAAACTATAACATACATATAGTTGAACTGAAAATCATGTTCCCTATAGAAAATAATGGTATTTCTTTGTCCTGGTGATAAAGTTTAAGTCGAGGATTTGTCTTTGCCCCCCGAAAACATTATTTTGCTGACTCTGATAATCATACTTGTTAAACCAGAGAGAAACAATGATGGATGTGAATCTCAAGGCAGTATGGGGAAAGGGTCTCAAAGACCACTTATTATCTGAGGCATACAATTTAGAAAGTAATTATCATATTTGTTACCATGGCGAGGATTGCTGCCTACAGCCAGTTCTGTTATGTAACAAAATTCATTTAAGAGATGCCTGACAGTATGTTTCTGTAATGCTCTAGTATTTAAAAAGTAAGGGCAAAGATTGTGTCTCATAGTTCAGTATCATAGTAGCTCTTTTTCTAGTATACAAGTTAGCCTTCTGCTCCCTGCTTTCACCTAAGTTCATCTTTTCCAGTCTCTGTCTACTTATAAAATTAAAATACCTCTGAACTTGTTTTGAATTTGTTATGCTACTTAGCAATGGGTGCCTCATGTCGAGGTGTACCAAGATTATCTGGTTCTAACCATTGAGTTCAATTTTATGGGAGACTCAGCATCACAATGTGGCAGCCTTTTTGGCCAAATTTTCAACCACTGGAATTGCCTTTTGGGGAGTTATTTTCTGTTTACGTAGTATTTTCTATAGCTTGCTTTGATCAACGGTGAAAAAAAATGTAGTTTGGGATGGAAAATGGGTGAAAGGAGAATATTAGATATAAGAGAAGTAACGTACTGTTTAACAGGTGAAGCTCTGGATACATTATTTATAAGCAGGAGAAGACAAACGAAAATAAGACCCAGTGTGAAAAAAATAACAGAGATCGTGAGCACACCTAGTGCTCAGCTCTGGTTTCCAATACCATCCTTCAGTAAAAGGAACCAGGGCACCTCGGAGAAATGGCTGATTCTAGTATGGGGGCAGGAAGCATGCAAGATGAGCCTGGAGCATTTTGTAGTGCGAGAGAGGAAAGGGGTGCTAAAGAATAAAAACTCCAGAGAACATGCTGATGGGAGTATGTCAAAGGGATACAGAAGCCAGCTCAAAGAGCTCCTAATGGCCAAAGACAGAAAAATTTGAACAGAAAAATAACATAGTATTGGATCATAACCTGACGTATCAAATAAATATCTATGAGTTCATACTGATGGAAGTAAATGATGGGATAAATTAATAAATGGGGGAGAAGACACATACTTCCTGTGCAGAGGAATTGCAAATTATGCACTCTGTTCTAGCATACCTGCCCACTCTTTAAGTGTGACATGCTCATAGAGACTTCCTCTTGAAGCATACAGAATGGAGAGGGGGTGCAGTGGGAGAGTCACTTTACAGTGGAGAAACCCACACACACTACCCCAGCCAGGTGATCAAGGTGTACGTCATCAACAGTGATAAATCATGTTGATAGTGTGTTCCCTTAATATGATGTGATGAAAATGGCACTTCACCTCTGTGGTCTTCCTCCCTTAAACTCCCACCTCTAGTCTCATCATGAGAAAGAAACACCAGAAAACCCCCAACAGAGGGTCATCCTATAATATACCTGATCAGTACTCCTCAAAACTTTCAGGGTCATCAAAAACAAAGAAAAGTCTGAGAAACTGTCAAACCAAGAGGAGTCTAATGAGATACGAAAACTAAATATGTGGCACCCTGAATGAGTTCCTGTAACAGAAAAAAATGGCCACTAGGTAATAAAGAAGCAAATCTGAATAAACTGTGCACTTTAGTTCATAATAATATATCAATATTGACTCGTCAATTGTAACAAATATGCCATATTAATGTACAGTGCTAATAAGAGGGGACATACACATTTTAAAGCCCAGTGCAGATGACCCCTCCTTTTGAGTGTCCTCACCATAGCCTACAAGGCCCCATGTGATTTGGCCCTTTCATCTCTCTTTAATTGCATGTCTTAGCCCCTCCTCCTTAGCACTGTCCCTGCTACTCTGGCCTGGTTGCTGTCCCTTGAATATGCAAGGTTATTCCTGCCTTTCATTTGCCATTTCCTCTGCCTGAATCTTCATGTATATCGTTTATTTCATTTAGGTCTTTGGGCAAATACCACCTCATTAGAAAAGCCTCTTCTGACCTTCCTGATTATAATAGTATCTCCTGCAGTCTATAACCACAAAACTTGTGTTCTTTGTCTTCATAATACTCAGTTACTGAAATTATTTATTTATTTTAACTTCTTATCCCACTAGAATTAGGCACATGAATTCGGGGACTTTGTTAATTCTGTTTGTTCCTCTGTCTGTAGCAACTAGAACAACTCCAGGCAAGTGGTAGGTAGCACTGAGTAAATATCATGTGAATGAAAGAATTCTCAAATTGTGCCCCTTAGTTTCCTCTGAATGCTTAACCGCACATTCTGTGTGACTCTTGGAAAGATTGTTCTCTGCTGTGTGTTATCTTTTTGTGCCTGTATGAGACTTTGTTTCCCTTCTGGATTGCCAAAACTGCAGCAGTTGTATACCTCTGATTTATGTCTACACCCCCACAATATCTAGCTAGGTGCCTGGCAAAAAGAAGTGACTGCTCAGTAGCGTTTATGGGATAAACATGTGTTTCTGCTTTGGACCTGTCCTTTTACTGCATTCAGCATTCCCCCGGGCGAGGCCTCAGGCACTGCATAAAAAGTTGAATATGTCTGACTTTGTTTTTATGGACTCCTCCAAGCTTTATCTCCCTATCCACTATCTGAACTTCGTGCTGCAGCTCCCTTGATTTTGACCTCTTTGGCTTTGGTCTTGGTTTCCCCCACATCACATGTCCTCTTTAGACTTGACAACATCACTCCCATTTTTAAAAACAAGGCCCTGACCTAGACATCCCATAGGATCTCGCCTCATTCTGCTCAAAAATTATGTTGATGAGGCCCACCAAGCTCCTGTGGCCAGCTAAGCCCAAGACAGGTGTTAGGACCTGTGAGTGGAAGCCCAGTGGTAGAAATGTGCACTGTGGCTTGCATGTGGCAATCTACCTAATGGGAGAATTACTCTCTCTCCATTCTTTCCTAGCCCGTCACATTTATTAAGAATAACATGAAAAGTGCCGGGTACTAGGGGCACCTATGTGAATAAAATACAAAGGCTGAAGAACTCATAGTGGAAACACATGGTCTCCATATCATGAGAATCATTATTTATCCTCTAGAAGGCCAGGGAATTTGTTCATGAAGCTTAACCCAGAGTCCTCTTGTCTACTTAGAAGATCTTGCCAGAATGGGTTACAGACATAGTGATTAGCTGGAAGTAAACAGACTTCTGCAACCTAGCCTTCAAAAACCTTACTACCGAAGTGTGGCAAATATTATACTTTTAAATAATTTCTTCCAGTGGAGAAAAGGGCATGCTTTGTGAAACAGAGACTTCTGAAACCTCTTATTACCAATAAGAACCTTAGCATGCTAGGGTAAAGTTAATGATGAATTGGTCTCGGCAGGTGCCACAGGCTAGATTTTCTGCCATTTAGTTTTTGTGTTTCTCACTTGCCAAGGGGTGACTGAGTGTTTTTCATTGTTTATTTCCTGTTCCAGTTGTTGCTTTATAGCTTTTTCCAGTTTTCTTCTTTCTCTTTGAGACATAAATTGGTCTTTTAATTCCTACTAACCCTAATTCTACTTTTATTTTATCTATCAGAAAATATTGCCACAGTTATCAATAAAAACATTGGAAAGATGTGTTTTGTGTGTCTCTTTTAAATTTGTTGGACAGATAATAGAAAATTAGATAGTAATATATTGCTTAGAAAAACGTACTTAGGACATTTCTTGCTAACCTTAATTTTTTGGGCGGCCTACAAACAAATCCCTATCTAATTGATTTTTGTCAGGGTTTATAACGTTCTAAGCCTGATCTTCAGTTGATTTGCGTATGACTCCCACATGTTGAAACCAAAACACTCAGTTTATTGAACATATGAAATAAGACTGGATTTTTAAAAATCTGCAAATTGAGTTGCTTTCTTCTAGCTCTCAAAAAATTGATGGGATTTGCAGTCAGAGAAGATTTTACACTAACATAGTTGGTATTTTATTAAAAGCTAATTTGTACTATTCACTAACAATATAGATTATAGATTTCCTTATTTTTCCTGGAACTTTGCTCTTTATCTTGTCAGTATTTGATTTGGACTTTAAAATTAGTGGTTTTGTACACTTTTGACAGTTATTACAAAGTACTATATATTCCACATAAACTGCCTGATGTTCTTTGAGAGTACATACTGAAAAGTTTTTTTCAGCCAACAGAAGAAATGGAAGACGAGGACCTAATTTGACAATATCTATAAAAATTACAAATGCAATCTATTTCTCAGAATTCATTTCTGAAGTATTCTTTCATATGTGTGGCATGACCTGTGTGCACATTTATTAAATACAACATTTTTGAAATCGTAAAGTGTTGGAAAGAGACCAAACAAGTATATATTAATAGAAGATAGACTAAGGGATGGTACATCTATATAGTGGAATATGCAGATGTTAAAAAAGTAGAGGGTGCTTGCTATGTATGGATATGGGGGACAGCAAGGTGCAGAATATGCTTATCTGAGCTTTTGAGTAAGAAGGAGTGGTATACAATGGTATTCTTATTTGCTTTTTTTTTTTTGCCTGAAGAAACCCTATAAAGATATTTAAGAAACTATTACATGTGCTTGCTTGTAAATATTACTTGGAGAAGCCAGGTGTGGTGACTCACACCTGTAATTTCAGCACTTTTGAGAGGCCAAGGTGGGTGGATCATTTGAGGTCAAGAGTTCGAGACCAGCCTGGCCAATATGGTAAAACCCCATCTCTACTAAAAATACAAAAATTAGCTGGGTCTGGTGGTGCATGCCTGTAGTCCCAGCTACTGGGAGGCTGAGGCAGGAGAATAGCTTAAAGACAAGAGACGGAGGTTACAGTGAGCTGAGATTGTGCCACCGACCTCTAGCCTGGGCAACAGAGGAGACTCCATCTCAAAAAAAAAAATTACTTGGAGAAAGTAGGGCAGCTAGGAGGGGCAGAGGTGGATAAGAAATATTTTTCACTGTATACTTTTTATTACTGTATTAGTTGGTTTTCACACTGCTGATAAAGACATGCTTGAAACTAGGAACAAAGAGAGGTTTAATTGGACTTACGGTTCCACTTGGCTGGGGAGGCCCCAGAATCATGGTGGGAGGTAAAAGGCACTTCTAACATGGTGGTGGCAAGAGAAAAATGAGGAAGAAGCAAAAGTGGAAACCCCTGATAAACCCATCAGATCTCATGAGACTTATTCACTATCATGAGAATAGCAAGGGGAGAGACCAGCTATTCAGTTACCTCCCCCTGGGTCCCTCCCACAACACATGGGAATTCTGAGAGATAAATTCAAGTTGAGATTTGGATGGGGACACAGCCAAACCATATCAAATAGTGTTTTGGTTTTTTAGCCATGCCACTGTATTGTCCATTGAAAATAAAACTTTTTTTAAGTATTGGAAACTTGCATGTATACTAATATTGATAGTGGGTTTTGGAAATTTACTGAGTGTCTGTTTTTGAGCAGAAAACGTTATGTTTGGACACATGGATCAGGGTCCTCCTTTTGAGACTTTTGGTTGCTGGTGATTTTTTCTCCAGTGGCAAGTACTTGAGCATTTCTTCTGCAACAGAAACCCTACCATTTAGGAGGCTTAATGGATGCTCTTTTGGTTGCATTAGATGGATGAAGAAACAAAGATGAACTAAATATCCAACTTCTACTTTCTAGGAGTTGCCATTACTTCTGTGTAAAATAGGGATAGAAAGTTTTTGTTTTATTTTGTTTACTTCTGTGTAAAATAGGGATAGAATGTTTTTGTTTTATTTTGTTTGCAGAAATGCGAATGGTGTAAAGCTTCTTCAAATATGGACACACACATACACACACACATATAAAAAGAAAGGCTGCCTTTATTCTGCCATTTTATACAAGAATCTTTCTACACATAAAACTGGACAGCAAAATTGCTACCTGAAAATTTGTAATTCTTTTCCTAGATGATATTTTTCAAGAACCAAAGTTGCTAAGAACTCCAGTTCTCTGCTGGATGAATCAAGCGAGCAGTGAACGAAATGCCTGGCAAGGCTTTTGATGGGAGAGGAGTCTCATTTTGCTTTCAGGATAGACACTGAACATCAGTACATTTGTAATCGTGGTAACCACCCCTGTCTTGGTTAGAGCTTTCATGGTAATAATTTAATTTCTATTGATAAAAGAATTTATTACTGAATGTATAGTGGAGAAGAGGAAGCTTATTAATGATCTGAATTTATGTGAAGTGTACGCTATATTTTATTTTCCTACTTTCTTCCATGCCTAATAATATTTTTCAAGATTTTTAGTGGCAGTGCTTCTCTCGTTTTTCTAGTTGGAAACTTTCATATTATTCAGAAAGAAAAAATCCTGGTAAGGAAATTGGAGACCAATTTTCTGTATTAGTCTGTTCTTATACTGCTATAAAGAAGTACCTGAGACTGGTAATTTATGAAGAAAAGAGGCTTAATTGACTCACAGTTCCACAGGCTGTCCAGGAAGCTTGTCTTGGGGGGCCTTAGGAAACTTAAAACCATGGCAGAAGGTGAACCGGAAGCAAGCACATCTTCACAATGGCGGAGCAGGAGAGAGAGAAAGAGAGAGCAAATCTTGGAATATACTAAGAGTCTGGTGTTGATTGCCTATTTTTTAATGCTAATAAGTAAGTGTTCTTTTTCTCTGGGGGATTTCTTAACTGTTCTATTGTAAAAGCAACTACTATAATTGCCTTTTATAATACCCAGATCGCTGGATTTGCTATATACTAGACTTGATGTACCTGAAGCTGCTAACAGGATTGCCTGTCATTTAGCTTTCAGAATTCAATTTATAAAATGTCATTATTTTTCCCCTTCCACTGCAATACTAGAGCTGAAGACAGACAGGGAAAAGCAAGCAAATATTTGAGAGTGTGAATGGTATAAGTTGAGGGTATGAATGTTGGAAATGAACATATTCACCTCTAAATAAAGTGAGAGAAACCGCTATTCTTTCTAAATTTTCCATGTGCCAGTAAAATGGGAATGGTGATTTCCTTAAGGTATTGCTCTGGAGAATTTAAATAATTGAGTTAAATGTCAAACTTCACATTTAGAGAGCCTACTAAAACCTTCACAAGTGGGGGCTTACAGACTAGAGTTTTATTTTTATTTTTATTTTTTCTGTAGGGAATGGAGTAGGGGAGGCAGTGGCACACTTAGGTGATACCTTGCACAGCAGTCACAATGTTGAAATTTGAAGAAATCTAGTGAAAATTATAAAATTTTCACTAGACATGAATAAATCATTATGAAAGAATATAAAAATAGCCAGAGATCACTAGAGGGGAAAGAGGCACTGCAAAAGTTACTGGAGGGAATACAAGAGAAGAAAATAATTAGAAAACAGTCAGTAAGAAATGTCATCCCATTCTGTCCCCTGGCTGCTTTTTGTGGCTTTGTTCAGTGGGTGAAAATTCTGGAGTGTTTATTGGTGTCTTGTAGCATAAGATGAAATATCTTATCAAGATATTTTCATTTTCTCAAAGTGAAATGCGATCCCTTTAACTTCTTAGGATGACAGGTACATGTGGAAGCATCAGAGAGGAACTTGGGATCCCACGAGCTAGCCTCTGCTTCATACACAGTGGAGTAGATGCCTGAGGTTGTCAGCAAATATTGAAGATTTTTATTTCCAGGGGGTTAGAAACTTCACGTAGCTTCTCTGCTCTGCACACATAAGGAGTAAGTGGATTATTTTCCCTGAGTCAGTAAGGTTTTCGGTGTCACATAATCTCAGGGGAACAAATGCAATTGCTTAGATCTCAATATACTCCTCAGATGGCAACTTTGAGGAGGTAACCAGGAGGTATCTGCACTCCCTCTGTGCTCGCCTGGGGCCTTCTGACTTTCTCTGTAAAAAGCCCTTTCTGTATTGATGCTCCCGGGTGGTAGTGGGTTGGATGGCCATTACATAATCACAACCTCTTTTTTTCAGTCAGGGTAGCTATTATGCAGAGAGCTAGGAGTGGATTACTTCTTGGCAGGAATAAGCACAGAAAAATCTATCCAGATTTTTTTAAAAATGGAAACATTGTGAAAAAAATCTTGATGTCTCTGAAATTGGAGGATGGTATTTTATCTGAGGAACATGGGTAGGGAATGTTGGGGTCATTTCTTAGCTCTGACCTTAGTAAGTCATAGAGGCCTTTTTATACTGATGTTGCATTTTTAAAAGGCATCTTGACATGATGGGAGAAAAACAGCAGACCAAAAGAAGGCAGACCTGATAGTTCTAGTTCAGGCTGTGTTGTTGTCTGAGTTGTCCTGCAAGCTGATACAAATCACAACTTCCCCGAGCCTCTCTTTTCTCATCCCTTCAGTGAAGGCCCTCTGTAATACCCAAGTCCTTTCCAGTTCTGAAGTCTGTTCAAAGTGGGGGCAGCTGGAGGACTCAGGGAGGTCCACACTAAAGAGGACTTTTTTTTTCCTTTTTTAAAGAGAACATTTTTAAAATCTAGCTTTATAACTCAAGGATATTTTAAATACAGATAACTATTACATTTGTATTTTGTAATGAATATTTCAGATTTATGTTTGTGCCTTGAAGCTAATTGACTGTGAAGAAAACGGTTTTATAAACAAAGCCAAAGAGAAAGTATTCCTGGATGTATTACAGCAGACAAATAATCACTTTACTACTATGGTATATTAGTCCATTCTCACACTGCTATGAAGAAATACCTGAGATGGAGTAATTTATGAACAGAAGAGGTTTAATTGACTCACAGTTCCACATGGCTGGGGAGGTCTCAGGAAACTTACAGGCCTGGCAAAAGGTGAAGGGGAAGAAAGGCACCTTCTTCACAGGGCGGTAGGAAGGAGAAGTGCCGAGCAAAGGGGGAAAAGCCCCTTAAAAAACCATCAGATCTCATGAAAACTCACTCACTATAATGAAAACAGCATGGGGGAACTGCCCACATGATTCCATTACCTCCTACTGGGTCCCTCCCGTGACACATGGGGATTATGGGAACTACAATTGAAGATGAGATTTGGGTGGGGACACAGCCAAACCATATCACATAGCTTTGGATTATCCCTTCCTTTTTTCGATTTTTCATAGCCCATTTTTTGTGGATGCTAAAACCAAAATTGCTCTCCACATGCATAGCATATCCATAACCCTCTTACCTTCCATCACTTTCTGGGACTTGTTCTTATTTTAGAGTGACTTTTAAAGACTGAACATGCAGAAGCCTCATTGCCTCTTAGAAATAAAGGATGCCCTTCTGGGAGGATGTACTAAGTCCAGTGTTGGAACCTTGATACTGTCCTGGGCTGACATTTCCTCTTTAAGAATCAGCTCCCTCACACCACAGGGTATTAGAGAGGCCACATGGGCTGTGAAAACCGGGCACTCAGGGCTGGATAGATTGATTGCTAACAAACATATAGTCTGCTTTCTTCAGAATTAGTAGCTGGCTTTGCACCTTCAACTTGAGCATGAGCTCAAATGCATTTCTTTTTTTTTTTTTTAAGGCGGAGTCTCACTTTTTCACCCAGGCTGGAGTGCAGTGACATGATCTCGGCTCACTGCAAACTCCGCCTCCCGGGTTCAAGGGATTCTTCTGCCTCAGCCACCTGAGTAGTTGGGATTACAGGTGCACGCCACCATGCCTGGCTAATTTTTGTATTTTTAGTAGAGACAGGGTTTCACCATGCTGGTCAGGCTGATCTCCAACTCCTGACCTCGTGATCCGCCCACCTTGGCCTCCCAAAGTGCTGGTATTACAGGTGTGAGCCACCGTGCCTGGCCTCAAATGCATTTCTATACAGGTCCAGTCAGAGTAGTGGCCAGTCCCACTCATGTGTTCAAAATATAACCTGAGGAATGCAAAGCAACATGTTTAGTCTTTTGTCTTAATAATTCCTCTATTAGCAACTTCATTAGACATCCACTAGTACATAACTTTGTCACTGAAACCATATCATTGCCCCCCGAATAGCCTTCTAGACTCCTAACCTTGGAATGCACCAAGGAATATTTAAACTGTCTCATAGTTTTGCAGAAGCAGAAAATGCTAGGATTGTAACCCTGATGATCAGTTCTCCCTGATGACTTGGCCTGTGTTGCGCCTACTAAATTCTTCTTGTCTTCTCCTTTGCTCTATTGTCATGATATTGGTTGAAGGGAATTAGTAAATCAGACTGGCATTGAATCTCTGGGAGCTAGAAAATGGGCTAAGATTTAGATGGCATATTCACTTTCTGCGTTCCGTTTGTCTGTGTGCTTGTTCTTATTCATTCCTAATTTTTTCCTGTAGCTAGTCTTTTAGGATTTTGGTGTCAACCTTACATATAATTGCCTGGGTACTTCCTGAGGTGATCCTGCTGATTTTAGAAGAAGTGAAAGGGAATATTACATATGGTAGTAGAAGGAGTCCTGGATAGGAAGACTTTGCAGTCCTGGCTTCAAGTCCAGATGCAGGCAGTCACTTGTCACTTTGGTCAACATCTTAAGGCCTCCAGGCTTCAGTTACCTTGTCTAAAACAAGGCACCTTCTGCCTCTGAATTTCTGACTCATAAAATGGTCCAAGCCATATTGTCAGTGATTAGTGCTTTTAATATCAGCTTCATACAGAGGTAGCTTTCCAGGCTGCTCTAACTTTTGGATTACATAACAGAGATAGAGTGCCTGATGGATGGATATCTCGGTATCTGGCATGTTATGGTGAGTGGGAGACAGCCAGAAGAAAATCCTTGGAAAGTATTTTTTTAAATCTGTGTGAATATGTTTATATTGGGATGGTTCTGAATTCTAGGTTTTAGATAAACTAAGAAAATTGGATGTAATATGAAGAGATAAAATTCCATGAGCTGAAGTTGATGAGTAATATACAACTAAGAGAGGAGAAAAGGAAATAAGAGATTAAATGAGATAGAGAAAAATAATGCTGGGCAGGCCATTTAATAAATTCTCTGACTTTGTTTCTGCTTATGCAGAAGAGGTGGACTAAATTATACCTGAACTCCTCTGTTCTGTGAAGGTCACAAGTACAGATGTTTCTAACCTTGAAGGGAAGTAAGGTGTTTATTCATTTTTTTCTTTTAGCTTTTGTTCTTTCCCTAAAGATAGAGAATATGCAAATTATTAAAAAATCAAATACAGGCCAGGCGCGATGGCTCATGCCTGTAATCCCAGCTCTTTGGGAGGCCAAGGCGGGTGGCTCATGAAGTCAGGAGACTGAGACCATCCTGGCCAACATGGTGAAACCCCGTCTCTACTAAAATACAAAAAACTAGCCAGGCATGGTGGTGCGTGCCTGCAGTCTCAGCTACTTGGGAGGCTGAGGCAGGGGAATCGCTTGAACCTCAGAGGCAGAGGTTGCAGTGAGCCGAGATCATGCCACTGCGCTCCAGCTAGGTGACAGAGTGAGACTCTGTCTCAAAAAAAAAAAAAAAAAAAAAAATCAAATACAGAAAGACATGGGGGAGGAAAAGCCAAAATTCGGTGAAATATTCCTCTCTGTATAAAACCATGATTGAGTCACTGTCAGTCATTTGGTAAAGATACTATTAGACTTCTGTGCAAGCAGCATGAACTGTTGCATAGCATTCAAGGTGAAGGAAACAAGCAGTCACAGCTTATATTTTTCCAAACTAAATTAAATCCAACTGAAATGTATACTTGCCAGACTGACAGGAATTTCAATATCACCCTCCAGGGATATTCTCTCCTGTGCCTAGTTTGTCAGCCCCCTAACCCCAATCCCCACACGTGTGTACAGTCTAGAAAGGAATTTCGCTGAAATCTGCTTTCAAGCAGAGAAGAGCCTTACCATCCACCAATCTCCTGCTGCCATCCCTGGCCTGCCCTCAGCCTTACTACCATGTGGCACCACTATTGAGCACTAGCCCCTCTTGGCTGTCCAGTAGTGCTTGCTTTTGATACTGTGAAATATCATGAGCTTGAGCTCCCAGCAAAGACCACGTGCCTCTTTGAACAAGGGCAGCTCTATTAGTTCAGTGCATCATCCATTTTCTGTGTTACATAATATATCATTGATGGCATGTGCCATCATTTATTCAGCCAGTCATCTCATGGTGAATGCATAGATCAGCATTATTTATAAAGTGTCACGTTGAACACTTTACATGTATCTTTGGCCACCTATCTGTGTTTTTAGAGCTAACACTCAGGAGTTATGTTGCTGTATCAAAAGGTTTACCTGTTAAGTTTTGACCCCTATTGCAAGTTTGCATTCTGGAATAGATGCACCAGTTTACATTCCTGAGAGTGCATTGGAGTGCACTTCCTTGTCACGCTTGCTGATGATCTCTGTGCAAGAAGAAAATAGTTCTGGCTACCACAATCTCAGAAGAAGAACATATGGTCATACACATGGCAACATTATCTCTAGAGAACTTGGGTTCCTCTGGTATTCAGGATCCATCTGCTAGGGATTTATTATTTTTCTTGTTTCCCCTCTCTAAGTTGGTGTTGAATTGGTCATGTTGACCCACTTAAATTCAGAGGATGAGCTATTTTATTTATCTCATGTTCTCTTACCATATTTGAAGGAATGGCCAGATTTTTCTCAGCCTTCCAACCCTTTCACTGTGTTTTGTCGTGTATGTAGGATTTACCCAGTAGCAAAACTGTAAATTCAGGGTCTTCAAGCTAAAACTTCCTAAAGCAATACCCTAAGACTCAGTTGTGAACTGAAAAATCTGTGGGACTCTAGAGGAGCGGAAGATCTGCCCCTTGGCCTCTTGGTTCCCTGGATTCCTGTGGTTAGGTTAGCTGGAACTAATTGCTGAATATTTGTTTCTTTCTGAAGTTAACCAGTTATTTTCTTATCTTTTGTTCTTTAGCCAGATTCATTTGTCTTTCTGACTTTTTCATGATTTTTCTGTATTTTACCCTTATTCTTTAGAAATGTTTCTCTATTCTGTGCTTGTGATTGATTTCTAACGTCTCCTAGAAGTTACAAAGGGCCTGGGTTAAAATCCTGTCAGCAATAACGCCATATGGTTTCCTAGATGCTCTGCACACTAAAGAAAACACTTATTCTGATATTTTAATCAAACTCTGAGGACTTAAACATATGGTATAAAGAATGCTAGTTAATAGCTTTTTGTGTTATTTTAATGGCAAAAACTGCAATTATGTTTGCACCAACCTAAATAGAACCATATCAGAGTAGCAGAAGAACTCATCTCAAAGCCTGTCTTAGAGAGGTGGATGGACCTGTGCACTGTGTTTCATCATGCTAATATGGAATGTGCCTGCCTTTGGGCAACTCATTTCATAGTGGGCCTTAATCCCAATTGGTAAAATGAACTATAACCTTTCATCATTCCATAGATTCAGCTTAAAGTGGGCCCACAGAAGAAGAGAGGGTAGAGAGTGAAAATGGAGTCACAAACCCAGCAGAGAATCCTCCCTCTGGTTTCTGAATAAACATTGTATACACAGAAGAAATCAGTACGCAGAACCTTCCCAGAGGAATCAGACTGACTACAAAAGTTGAAAATCTCTTGCTACAAAATACTTAGAAATGATGGATAAAACAAAACAAAAATGTTTTCATTCATAGCAAAAGTAACCAGAAAGTGTTATCAGGAGCCTAAAATGAAGAGGGAAACCGAAGACCTGAGCTGCTTCAGGAGGAGTAGTGAGGGGAGAGGTGGTAGCAGGTAGTGGGTGAGGGTAGGACTTGAGTATATCGTGTATCATTTGGGGCCTCTTTGTGGGGAGAGATTGGAAGTGAGTCACAAGCATGAGTATAGAAATTGGGGAACAGGTAGTAAAATAATTACCGTCATTCGATGATATGATTGTATACCTAGAAAACTTTATGGGAGCAATTGAAACAACATGACGAACAATAAGCATGTTCATTTTAACATACAGAAATATTAGCATATGGGAATAGCCTACATAGATGCGAACAGCCACCAATTAGAAGATATCGTGGAAGGAAAGATCTCATTTGCAGTAGCATTAAACAAAGATAAAATTCCTAGCTATAAATGATATAATTTTTCTATTTAAAAAATAAATATAACACATGTATGATTTTTCCTAGAAAAAGACATGAGAAACAGAAAAGCATACCATGTTCTTTTTATGATTGAAAAGACTTAGCATCATAAAGGAGTCAGCTTTCTCTAAGTTAAACTGTAAATGTAATGTGATACTTATACAAAAGATAATATTTTTAGTAAGATAAGCCTATTATAAATTTATGGAAAAATAGTAAAGTATAGCCCAGGAAAATATAAGGAAGGATAATAAGGAAAACTAGCCCTAATATATATTTAAAAACATTAAAAAATCTTTGATATTTAACATAGTGTATTACTAGTTCATGAAGAAACAGATTAATAGTTTAACATAAGATACAAGTGTATTTCAAATCACTAAAACAAAATAGATAATAAATGGTTTTGGGAAAGATGGATAGTCTGCTTGGAAAAAAGGTTGGATCCATAATTCACATCTTGGATCCATAATTCACATTGGCAGGACCAGGAAAATTTTCCAGTGGAATAAATAAAGATTTAAATGTTAATGAATGAAATCATAAAAATCACTTGAAGAAACCAGTGAAGAAATTTGAAAGTAGTTTTGATCTGATGGAAGCTTTTCTAATTATGATCCCAAACCCAGAAACTATAAAGGAAAGAATCAGGATATATGTACCGATATAAAGAGGAGAAATGTTGCACAGCAAAAAAAAACACCCATGAGCTGGGTCACGAAAAAATTTAAACAGATGGAAAAGCAAGGAGCAAAACATAGTGAACCCTCTTGTTTCCATCTCCCAATTTCAACCATTTCAAACTCATGACTGAATTTCTTTATTTTGAAGGTAATCCTTGCTTATCATATCATTGCATCTAAAACAACCTGCATGTGAATATAAAAGAGTCCTTTTTTCCCTCAACACATTAAAATGCCATTATTACAATTAGGAAATTAGTGATTCCCTAATATTCATGATGATTTTTAAGGCATAGGAAAAATGAGTCTTCCAGTAAGTAAATAATGTCCACCGAAATATCTAAAAGGCACAATCTGTGATTTCAGAAATGGTTTTTTTAAAGAGATTAATATACTGCAGAAATTTCTATTAAACTAAATTTAGACATGCTTCCCCCTTTCAGTGTTCCAAATGCCCTGAATCTGTTAATGCCTTGCTGTCAGCTGGTTATGCCACTTGATTATGCTTTTGTTAATCCTGGATCTTGCTCTGACCTGAAAGAAGCCCATTACTTTATCCTGCCTTAAAAATCGCTTAGGACTGCGACAGATGATGGCCCAGCAGTCTCTAATAAATCCCTCAAGATGGGGACACATCAGACATTGTCAGGACCCTCAAGCTCTTGAAGGAGGATTCAACAGAGATGAAATGTGGAGGTAGTAGTAGCCTGGGTGTTGCCAGAATTTCCCACCCTTTATCAAATGAAAATGAGCTGCATTATTTGGGTAGGGAATGATTTTAAGGATTGTATGGCTCGGGGAAAAAAAACAATAAAAATATTTTATAAATAACTAGCTTGAGTGAATCTCTTTTCATAAAAATATTTAAGATGCATGTGATGTCAATAATGAGTGATGTTGAATTTTGATGTAATAATCACAAGTTTGAATATTAAAATTAGTGTGTTTAGAATAACATGGCAGTTTCATTTCCAAAAGTTGAGGAGGAGGGACTCCTCCTTAACTCATTCTGTGAGGTCAGCATCATCCTGATACCAAAACCTGGCAGAGTCACAATGAAAAAAGAAAAACATCAGTCCAGTATCCTTGATGATGAACATAGATGCAAAAATCCTCAGGAAAATACTAGCAAACCAAATCCAGTAGCACATCAAAAAGCTAATCCACTATGATCAAGTAGTCGTTATCCCTGGGATGCAAGGTTGGTTCAACATATGCAAATCAATATATGTGATTCGTCACATACACAGAACTAAAGACAAAAACCACATGATCATCTCAATAGACGCAGAAAAGGCTTTTAATACAATTCAGCATCCGTTCATGTTAAAAACCCTTGACAAACTAGACATCAAAGGAATATACCTCAAAATAATAAGAGCCATTTATGACAAGCCCACAGCCAGCATCATACTGAATGATGAAAGCATTCCCCTGGAAAACTGGAAGAAGACAAGGATGCCCTCTTTCACCACTCCTATTCTACATAGTATTGGAAGTCCTAGCCAGAGCAGTCAGCAAGAGGTATAAAAAGCATTCAGATAGGCAGAGAGGAAGTCAAACTATCTGTCTTTGTAGACCATATGGTTCTATACCTAGAAAATCCCATAGTCTCTGCCAGAAAGCTCCTTGATCTGATAAATAACTTCAGTGAAATTTCAGGATACAAAATTAATGTACAAAAATCAGTGGCATTTCTGTACACCAACATCATCCAAGCTGAGAGCCAAACCAAGAACACACTCCCATTCACAATAGCCACAAAAAGAATAAAACAACTAGGAAAACAGCTAACCAGGGAGGTGAAAGATATCTACAATGAGAATTACAAAACACTGCTCAAAGAAATCGGAGATAACTCAAAGAAATGGAAAATATTTTATGCTCACAGATAGGAAGAATCAATATTGTTAAAACAGTTATACTCTCCAAAGCAATTTACAGATTTAATGCCATTCCTATCAAATTACCAATGACATTCTTCACAGAATTAGAAAAAAAAAATATTAGAACTCCTATGGAATCAAAAAGCCTGAATAGACAAGGCTAAGCTAAAAAGACAAAGCTGGAGGCATCGCATTACCTGACTTCAAATTATGCTACAGGCTATGGTAACCAAAACAGTATGGTACTGGTAGAAAACAGACACACATACCAATGGAACAGAATAAAGAGCCTAGAAATAAAGCCACACACTTAACAACCATCTGATTTTTGATAAAGTTGACAAAAAGAAGCAATGGGGGAAAGTACTCCTTATTCAGTAAATGTTGCTGGGATAACTGGCTAGCCAATATGCAGAAGATTGAAACTATACCCCTTCCTTACATCATCTAAAAAATTAACACCAGATGGATTAAAGACTTAAATGTAAAACCTAAAACTGTAAAAATCCTGGAAGGATAACCTAGGACATGCTGCTGTGGACATAGGACTTGGCAAAGATTTCATGACGAAAATGCCAAAAGTAATTGCAACAAAAACAAAAATTGACAAAATAGAGATCTTCTGCACAGCAAACAGACAATCTACAGAATGGGAGAAAATATTTGCAAACTATGCATGCAACAAAGGTCTAATATCCAGAATTTATAAGGAACTTAAATTTACAAACAAAAAAAAACCCCATTAAAAAATGCACAAAAGACATAAGCAGACACTTTTCAAAAGAAAGCATACATGTGGCCAACAAGCATATAAAAACATGCTCAACATCACTGATCATTAGAAAAATGCAGATCAAAATGACAATGAGATACTATCTCACACCAGTCAGAATGACTGTTATCAAAAAGTCAGACAATAACAGATGTTGGCAAGATTGCAGAGAAAAGAGAATGCTTATACACTGCTGCTGGAAATGTAAATTAGTTTAGCCATTGTGGAAAGCAGTGTGGCAATTTCTTAAAGAACTTCAAACGGAATTACCACTCAACCCAGCAATCCCATATTGGGTATATTCCTAAAGGAATATAAATCATTCTACCATAAAGGCACATGTATGCATATGTTCAGCACAGCAGTATTCACAGTAGTAAAGACATAGAATCAACCTAAATGGACTTGATATAGAAAATATGTATCATATGTACCATATTCAGGCCACTTAAATTGACGTAGATTCAACCTAAGTCGACTGGATAAAGAAAATGTGGTTTATATACACCACGGAGTACTACGCAGCTGTGAAAAAGAATGAAATCATGTCCTTTGCAGCAACATGCATGGAGCTGGAGGCCGTTATTCTGAGTGAACTAACACAGGAACAGAAAACAAAATACAGTATGTTCAGGTATAAGTGGGAGCTAAACATTCAGTACACATGGACACAAAGAAGGGAACCATAGACATTGGGACCTACTCGAGGGTAGAGAGTGGGAGGAGGGTGAGGGTCGTAAAACTACCTGTTACGTACTGTGCCTATCACCTGGGTAACAAAATACACCAAATGCTCATGACATGCAATTTACCCATGTAACAAACCTGCATGTGTACCCCATAGTGCTAAAATAAAAATGAAGAACTTGGTAGTTCCATCCAATTTGTTTTAAAAAATGTTTAATAAAAAAAATTTTGGAGACATAGGGCTAAAAACTGATCAAAGTAATATATAGAAAGTATTAGTCGATGATATCAAAGTAATGTCGATATATCTAATGTAAGAGATCAAAGTAATATATTCTAAATAAAACTTAGATTTGAGTCATTTGAGAGTTTACCCCTTTTATTCTGGAGTGGCAAAGGGACATGCCCAAGGCCACTAAGTAGGGCCTGAATCCCATGTCATGATCCCAGTGCCTTTTTCCTTTCCATGTGATCATACTTCTTCCTTTCATACCTTTAAGTCAATTATCTTCCTTCCTTAGAATGTGTGTTGAAGTTTTGAATAAAGCATAATAGACATGAATGTATTTTTATGCTTTCCTAATTTAAGCTGTTTTTCTCCACATTGCCTGTGATGCTAGCACCTCTTCATGAACTTTCCTGTCCTCTCAGTTGTACCAGGCTTTTGATTCTGCCAGATGCAGCGGGAGAGCAATTGCTCTTCCTAAAGAAATCCATAGCTGGCTTTATTTTCCTCTTATCTTTTCTTGCCATGGTAAACTTTTATGGTCATTTATCTCTGTCATAAAAATGAATGTTGTACGTGTAATCTTTCCTGTCTTAAATTATATGACATATACTGTTCATGTCTTTGTTCTAGTTTCTTTTATGTAAATGGGCATTTTGGTTTATGAAGAAAGATTTGTATCTTATTTTTTTCCTCCTGGCTTTAGACATCTTATAGGTGAGTCCCTTAGAGTTTTGGATCTTCCTTGCAGGTCCCTCTATTCCTGATATCTAAGACTAATCTTATACCATTAAAATGAATAATGACCCTTAAAAAATGGAATCCTCTTCTCACGTAGGAGAGTCAGGAGAGGCTAGAAAAAGTTGCTGTAGGGTTTTACCTCAACAAAATAGTAAGCATTTGAAAGGCAATTCAAGCAGTGTGCTTTGGCCAGAGAAATGTAGCATTTCAGAGTAAAAGGGATTTTTAGGCAATTTGTATATATATATGCACTTGACATATAAAGCCCTTACACTGCTAACCAGTGGTCAGCCAATCCTTGCTTAACCCATGCTGAAGACCAGAAAATCAGGAGAGCAGCCTACAGTAATGGGGGGAACTTGTGCTTTTAATCAGGCAAATTTCTGTATCCTGACTGCAACACACACATGTTGTGACCTTGGGCAAGACCCTTGACTCTCTGATTCTCCATTTCCTTGTTGTGGTCTCATTAGAGAATTAAATGACATATCAACTACCACTATTCTCATCTATCACATCTGAGCTGAAATATCTTCCACTGGCTCTCATGTCTTTCTTCTAAATCTTCCTCTTGGGGTCATACAGAACACGGTTGTAATCTCACTAGCTATCTTCTAGGTGTGTTTAATTTCAAGTCTCAACTCTCTCTAGGGCTGTCCATTATCTTTTATGTGTTTGAAAGCTGTGCAATCAAAGGACAATGGAGACAGAACATTGGTAAGCCAATGTCACCTTCTAGCATTCTCTGTGATCTACCTGTATTTTACTGTGCTGTACTAACTTTGTGCTATGCAACTGTGCTGTACTAACTTTGTGCTATGCAACAGTCACTTTGTGAACTTGTGGTATTTGTGAACAGGAGCTCAAATTAAATATTCCATTTCAGTCATTAACTGATGTGAAAAACTCTTCCTTTTCTGGATGAAACTATAGATATGTTTGGGCAAAGGAGAGTGAAAGTTGATATTGATACCAGACACTTTACAGCTATTAGACCTTACACCTAAATCCTTATGTCTAAGATTTAAAGCACGGTCCCTTACATAAGCCTGTTTCATTTGCTACCGATAATAAAAATCCTGTCCTAACACAGACAAGTGAAAAAGTAACCTCACATGCATATTCTGTTTCACACTCATCTTGTGTATTTACTCTTCACGTGTCTCCCAAATCCAAATAAAAGGTGAGACCTAGAGAGACACATGTTCACACTTGTCCTCTTAGAAGCATGTAGATTTTATGCATGATGTCCCCATTATTGTAAATGGAGTGCACAAAGATAATTCAGCAAGTCCTTATCTCTCAGTGTCTCAATTATGAATAGTTTTTGATTCAGTGTTGCCCTGAGGGCCTCTGAGGTGGGTAGAGAAACCGTCTGTCTCCAGATTCTGGACTGTTCCCAAGGTCTTGGCTTCTTTCTTCCCATCGTGGTCATTGCTGTTCCCAGGTTCTGTGCCTGCTTCTGGACATCCTCATCACTGTCCCCACTCCTTTCATTTTTCCCTTCATTTTTCTACAGTCTCACTCGTATTTGTGTTTGGTTTTGATAGTGAGACTGAATTTTGTTTCTGCTTAAATGATTATCACGCTTTATATATTTCATTTTTTGATTTTGACTCTTAGCATTCTTTCATGTCAGATGTTTCTAGAGAAACTCTACTTTGCGTAATTTAGGGACCCCAGAGTAGAGCAATTCCAGTTTGAAAATATTCTAATTTTGGCTTTTAAAAACATGTGAAGTGTGAGGATGAAACCATTAGAGCTTGACTTTCTTAGAAATTTGTCAAGTATATATTTAACAAATATATACGATTGCGTTATACTTTATTTATAAACTAAATGTTCTTTAACCATGAACACCTGGTCAGGTGTCTCTAGTGGCTTTAAGTAAAGACCACTTCATTTACCCTCATGTGGCTAAGATAATGCCTCTTGTTGTGCTTCAGGTTTGTTATGTGAAAGCAGTCCACTTCTGAGATTAGTTTAAAATGTTCTATTTAAAGGCTGTTTGCATGGCCCCATTTAAGAAATTAGGCTATGCAAATCCAACCTGATTACGAGATTCAGTTTTAAAGAAATTTGAAGTGCATTTGAGACTCTTTGTTACCATCGATCTTAGATTTTACTGGAATGAAACCACTGAGCTTCAGGCTTGTTAGGTTTCACTTAAGAATTCCATTTCCAGCATCAATGTTATTACCTTTCATTCTGAGTCCTAAGTGACCAAGCTATTATTTTTCTCCCTGTTCAGCAATTGATTTTGTTGCCTTGATATACTTTTATTTGTCAGTTTATTTCCTGCTGCCATGATTCTTACTCCTATCAAGACATTAGTTTTTGTTTCTAATGTGGGTAAAATGTTTAGGCCAGAGGTTCTGCTGATCTATGATTCTCTAGATTCTGCAGGTTGAAGTGTTTCCCAGGGCTTGCTTATTTGGGGACCATGAAGAATCCATTTGGCCTGAAAAAAGCTTGGTTTATTTGTATACTACTTGTAAGATAAGTCAGTCCTTTACAATATCCTGTCGTGGATGGAATAGACCACTCATGAATAGAAAACAGAGTGTATTAAAGCCTTTAATCAAGAAATCCTACCAAATTCCTAATCGCAGATGTAAGAGCATATTTCTTGTGTAGCAAGTCCATGAAACCAAAGGGCTGATCCATACATAAATGTGTGATACCCCTCAGCAGAGAGAGATGCTCCAGATATTAGGCTGTTTTTGGTGCTGTCTCTAACATGCAAGTGGGCTGTGTATCATTGGTCTCTTTTCCTCCGATGTGCCTAGTAGAGCATCCTAAAGGAGCTTACAACTGAAGATGAAAACTAGCATGTGAATAATTACATGTTACATATAAAGAAAACGTTTCTCATTATATTAACATAAATATTATATATGTGTGTGTATATATAGTTTAACTTATTTGTATTACACACACACACACACACACACACACACACACACGTTTAACCTGTATTCTGTCTCCCCTGTTACTTTGCTTATTTTAGAATATGGCAATATTTTAATATTTTGGACAGCCAAACTGACATTTATTCAATATATTGAGTTCCTAGTATGTTCCAGGCACTGTGGAAGGGTGCTGAAGACACAAAGAGGAGTAAAAATATGCATCCTTTTCTTAAATAGTTGGAAGCCTAGTGAGGGAGATAGAAATATATACCATTAACAATAGAGTGAGGGCAGTACCCCTAGAGGCCCTATAAGTACAAAGTGCTTTGAATCCTTAGAGGAAGGAGTGGTCCTTATGATTGGAGTGGAATTGTCTGGGAAGGACTTGCTATGTTGAAGAGTCTGAGTTTCACCCTAAAATCAGTTAGGGAACTGATATGGTTTGGCTGTGTCCCCACCCAAATCTCATCTTGAATTGTAGTTACCATTCAATTGTGAGTGAGTTCTCACAAGATCTCATGGTTTAAAAAGAGGCTTTCCTCCCTTTTGCTCTGCATTTCTTCTTGCTGCTGCCATGTGAAGAAGGATGTGTTTGCATCCCTTTCTGTCATGACTGTAAGTTTCCTGAGGCCTCCCCAGCCCTGCAGAACTGAGTCAATTAAACCTCTTTCCTTTATAAATTATCCAGTCTTGGGTATGTCCTTATAACAGCATGAGAACGGACTAATACAGGGACCATTAAGGAATTCTAAGCCTTGGAGTGTTATGGTCAGGTATTCCTTCTAGAAAGTTGATACTGTGGACTGCAATTTAGGAATGAGAAGCTAGAGGAATTTTTCAACAAATTAAAACAATGAATTACTATATGATGCAGGAATTCTACTTCTAGATGTAGACTCAAAAGAACTGAAAGCAGAGACTTGAGCAGATATTTGTACATCCATGTTCACAGCAACATTATTCATGATAGTCAAAAGGTGGAAAAACCCAAATGTGGATAAACAAAATGTGGTATATATATGTGCAATGGCATATCGTTAAAACCTTAACAAGGGATAAAATTTTGACATATCCTACAATAGGGATAAACCTTATAGACATTATACCAAGTGAAATAAGCCAATCCTCATCTTTGAAGTGTGATAATAATAGTACAGCTCTCTCCTCTTATCTGCAAGGGGTATGTTCCAAAATCCCCAATGTATGCCTGAAACTGGGTATTACTGAATGCTGTATATAAATTAGATACAGTAGGAGATTCACAACAATAACTAAAGTAGAACAATTATAACAGTATACTTAATAAAAGATATATGATTGTGCACATTCATTCTCTGTCTCTCGCTCTCTCAGAATGACTGTGGGTAACTGAAACCATGGAAAGTGAGATCACAGATAATGGGGAAAAAATTGTGTCTATTTAATAAAATGACAGGGTGGTGGCCCTGAGGAATAAATTGGCTAACTCATGTAAGGTGCTTCAAAGGATGCCTGACACAGTAACTCCTCAGTAAATGTGAGCTGCTACTGAAGTACTTTTGTTACCACTACTACCATTAGTGTTTTTTTATTTGAAGAACTAACTTAAATATATGACATATTAATCTTGTTTCCTTGACTTTGATGGGATGTCTTATTTTTAATAGCTTTATTGTGGCATTCTTCACTACAGTAACTGTACTTATTTAAAGCATATAGCATGATAAGTTTTGACATATATATACATCTGTGAATTGATCACTGAAATCCAGAAAGCGAACAGAATCCATTACTTTCTCAACAGAACCCAATGCTTTCTCAAATCCCTTGGTAATTCCTCCATTTCCCCAGACGACCAATGTTATTCTTTCTCTTACCATAGATTAGTTTGAGTTTTCTAGAGTTTTGGATACCTGTAATCATATAATATTGTATTCCTTTTTGTCTGACTTCTTTCAATCGGCATAATTGTTTTGAGACTCCATGTTTTTGTGTATATAAAGTTAATTCCTTTATATTGCCAAATAGTATTCCATTGCATGAATATACCACAGTTTGTTTATCCATAAGCACCTGTTGATGGATGTTGGGTTGTTTTCAGCTTTGGAGAATTATAAATAAACCTGCTATGAATATTCTTGTACAAGACATATTCTTTTAATGGATGTATGTTTTCTTTAGGGTAAATCTAAGAATGGAATAGCTGGATTATGTGGTAGATGTATGTTTAACTTTTAAAAACAGTACTCAACAGTTCTACAAAGTGGTTGTTCTATTTTACAAGCCAGCAACAGTGTACTAGAGTTTCTGTTGCTCTACACCCTCACTAATACTTGGCATGGCAGACTTTTTAGTTTTTTCCACTCTGATAGGTGTGCAGTGGTATGTAGTTGTAGTTTTTAATTGGCATTTCCTTAATGACCAATGATGTTGAGCGTCTTTTTATGTGCTTTTTTTGCTATTCCTATTTTCTTTGATGATGTATCTGTTCAAATCTGTTCCTCATTTCTCTATTGGGTGATTTTCTTATTGTTTCTTTAGATTTGAGAATTATTTACATACTGTGGATACAAATTCTTTATCATAGATATGCTTGTAAATATTTTCTCCACATCTATGGCTTGACTATTTTCCTAACAGTGTCTTCTGGGGAGCAGAATATTTTAATTTTGATAAAAATCTAGTTCATCTAATTTTTCACTTGTGATTTATAATCTTGGAGACATCTCTAAAAAAAACTTTGCCGAACCCAAGTTTACAAAGATTTTTTCCTATCTTTTCTTTCAGAAGTTTCATAGTTAGGTATTATAGGTAGACCTGTGATCAGTTTGTGCTAATTTTGTATATTACTGAAGGTGTGGATTGAATGTTTTTTGTTTCTGCATATGAACATCCAATTTCTCTAGCATCATTTGTTGAAAACTCTGGTCTTTCTTCACTGTATTGCCTTTCTATCTCTGCAAACAATTATTTGTCCTACATATCTAAGTTTGTTTCTAGATTATTTATTCTGTAGCAGTGATCTATTTGTCTTTTCTGATGCCAATACCTCCTTGATTACAGTAGCTTTATGATAAGTCTTGAAATCACATTCATCTAAGTTGTTTTGTCCATCTATGTCCTTCACAGTGTTTTCAAATGGATTTAGAATCAGTTAATCAATCTGTTGGTCTATCTGTATATCCATCCATCCATCCAACCACCCACCCACCCACCCACCCACTCACTCATCCATCTCACTAGCTATAACCTTGATTACAATGTCCAATAGAAATAGTAAGCGTGAACATCCTTGTGAACATTCTTGCCGTGTTCCTGATCATAGAGAAAAAGCATTCAGTCTTTCACCATTAAGGATGATGTTAGCTATACATTTTTCTTATAGGCCCTTTTTAAAGTTTAAGGGCATTCCTTTCCCTTCTTAGTGTGCTGGGTTTTTTTTTTTAAATCAAAAGTAGATGTTAGATTTTGTCACATGCTGTTGAGATGATGGTGTAGTTTTCCTTTTTAGTTTTTTAAATGTGTTGATTGATGTTTTGAGTGTTAAGCTAACTCTATATTCCTCGGATAAACTCCACTTATCCCTCTAAAATTTGTAGAATCTGTAGTGATATCCTCTATCATTTGTAATATTGATAATTTATGTATTCTTTTCCTGTGATAAGTTTTCCTAGAGATTTATCAATTTTATTGATCTTCTCAAATAACATGCTTTTGGCATCATTGACTTTTCTGTACTGTTTTTCTATTTTTTATTTCACTGATTTTTTGGCTTTGAGCTTTATTATTTCCTTTCTTCTGCTTGCTTTGGTTTAATTTGCTTTTCCTTTTCAGTTTGTTAAGGTCATTCGTTTTGAGACTTTTATTCTTTTCTAACACAGATGTTAGGTGGTATAAATTTCTTCTTGAGTACTGTGGTAGTGTCATTCCACAAATTCCATGTTGTATTTTCATTCAGCTCAAAATGCATTCTAATTTTCTTTTGATTTCTTTATTAACCAGTGGATTATTTAGAAGTGCATTATTAACTTTATAAATATTTGGAGATTTTCCAGAGATCTGCTTTTTTATTTCTGATGTAATTCCATTGTGGTTAGAGAAAATACGTTATAGAACTTGAATCCTTTTAAATGTATTGAGAATTATTTTATGGTCAAGAATATTGCCTGTCTTGTATACGTTTCATGTACACTTCAGAATAATTTATATTTTGTCATCGTTGGATGGAGTCTTTTATAAATGTTAATAAAGTCAGTGTGGTTGATAGGATAGTTCTAGTCTACTATGTATCTGACAATTTTCTGTCCATTTGTTTTAATTATTGAGAAAAGGGTACTGAAATCCTCAACTTTAATTTAGGATTTTGTCTGTTTTACTTGTATTTCTGTGTTTTTGCTTCATGTATTGGAAGAAATAATATTGGGACATAAATACTAAGGATTGTTATATCATCTTGATTAATTGAGCCCTTTATTAGTATGAAATGATGGTTTTGATCCCTAGAAATAGTCCTTACTATGGTGTATTTTTTACTTGTGTTGACTTGTGTTACTGTGTGTGTCTTTTTCCATTCTATTACCTTTTTTCCTAACCTATTAGTATCTTTGTGTTTAAAGTGTTTGTAGGTTTGTAGTAAGCAAATATCGTTGGGTCTTCATCTTTTATCCAATCTGAAAATCTCTGCCTTTTTTATGGATGTTTAGAATATTTACATTTTAATATGATTATTCATATCTTTAGGTTTAAACCAGTCATCTTGTTATTTGCTTTCTATTTGTTTAATCTGTTATTTATTCATTTCCTTTGTTTTTCCCTGCCTTTTTTTGGATTGAGTATTTTAATGATTCTGATTTATCTTCCTTGATCTTATATTGTTCATAGCTATTTGTCCTGCTACTTTAGTGGTTGGTAGTGCCTAGATGGTCTATAACATTGATCTTTAACATCACAGTTTAAGTGATATTTAGTACTTCACTTATTGCATACAAACCTTAGAGCAGTATACTTCATTTCTGTCTCTCTTGGCCTTTATGTTACTGTTGTCGTATATATATTTTACTTTTAGCTATATTATAAATCCCTGAGTACATAGTTGTTGTTTTTGTTTGAATAGTCAGTTATCTTTTAATAGGTTTTAACAACAAAAAAACTCACATATATAACCTGTAACATTTTCTATGCTTTTAATTTCTCATGTAGATCCAGATTTTCATCTGGTATCATTTGTTTTTTGCTTGAAGGACTTTCTTTAATATTTCTTTCTCAGTGGTTGTTGAGTGATGAATTATTCCAGCTTTTATATGTCTGAAAGTAAGTCTTTATGTTGCCTGTGTTTTTGGAAGGTGTTTTCACAGGATATAGAATTCTTGGTAGACATGTTTTGTTCTTTTAGTGCTTTAAAGATGTTATCAACAGTCTTTTTGTTTTGTATTGCATATGCAGTATTCATAGCTCTCATCCTTTGTATATAATATGTCTTTTTTTCTCTAGCTGGTATTTAAGATTTTTTTCCTTATCACTGGTTTTGAGTGTTTGATTATGATTTCTTTCTTTTCTTTTTTTTTTTTTTAGATGGGTTCTCACTTTGTTGCTCAGGCTGGTCACAAAATTGCTTTGTTGTCCAGGCTGGTTATGAATATGATTTCCTTTGATGTAATTTGCCTAGTGTTTCTTGTGTTTAGGATTCATTGAGCTTCTTGGATTCATCAGT
Organism: Homo sapiens; assembly: GCF_000001405.40. Taxonomy (NCBI): domain Eukaryota; kingdom Metazoa; phylum Chordata; class Mammalia; order Primates; family Hominidae; genus Homo; species Homo sapiens. The sequence continues at coordinate 17,715,350 of NC_000009.12, forward strand.
TTGTTGTTTTACTGAAGTTTGGACATTTTCAGCCATTACTTTTTCAAAATTTTTTTTGTCTCTCTCCAATTCTTCTCTCCCTCATGAACTTCACTTACTCTTCTGTTAACTCACTCGATATTGTCCTATATCTCACTGATTATTTTCTTTCTTTTTTTGATTCATTTTCTCCATGTGTTTCATTTTTGGATTGATTTTATTGCTAGGCTTTAAATTTCACTAATCATTTTTCCTGCAAGACCTCCCGTGGTTAATACCATCCAGCATATTATTTATCTCAGACATTGTATTTTTTTATGTCTGGGAATTATACCTCATAGTTATGTGTATATATAAGCAGCTGTTCCTCAACTCATAATGGGCATCGCATTATGTCCAGATAAACCTATCATAAGTTGAAAATATCGTAAATTGATAATGCATTTCATACACCTAATATACCAAACATTATAGCTTAGCCTAGCCTACCTTAAACATGCTCAGAACCCTTACATTAGCCTGTAGATGAGCAAGTTCATCTAACACAAAGCCTATTTTGTAAGAAAGTGGTGAATATCTCATGCAGTTTATTGAATACTGTACTGAAAGTGAAAAGAAGATTGGTTGTGTGGGTGTTCAAAGTATTATTTGTACTGAATGTGTATCACCTTTGCACTGTTGTAAATTTGAAAAATCTTAAGTTGAACTATCATAAATTGAGGACTGTCTATGTTTGTACGTGTGTATGTATATATTCTACATCTCTATTTAACTTTTTGAACAAATGGAAAGTAATTATAATTATTTTAATATCCTTGTCAAACAATTGTATCATCTGTGGCATTCTGAGTTGGACTTAATTGGTTGCTTTTTGTCATTTGGATCTTTTATTTTTTGCTTCTTTGCAATGCCTAATAATCTTTAGTTGTACGATATTGTGAATTTTACTTGACTTAGGGGGCTGGATGTTTTAATTTTTCTATAACAGTTCTTGGTCTTTGTTCTGGGACACAGCGAAATTACATGGAAACAGTTTTATTCTTTTGGGTCTTGCTTTTAATATTTGCTAGGAGGGACCAGAGCATCATTTGGTTTATAGCTAAAGCGCCTTGCTTTGCGCTACTGAGATGAGACCTCTGAATTCTCTACTCAATTCCAGGTCAATTATAAGGTTTTCCAGTATGTGCAGTGGGAATAGGCACTCTTCCTGGCCCCATGGCAGTGTGCTGAGTACTGTTCCCTCTACTGTTTTTGGATGGTTCTTTTCTCAGTCTTGGTTAGTTTCCTCACATGCATGTGTTGATCAGAACTCTACTGAATAAGGGAAACATTTTATAGATATCTTGGGTTCTCTCTCAGTGCAGCTCTATTCACTCTGGTATGCTGTCCTGAAAATGCTAGTCACCTTGGTGGTCTCAGATTCTGATCTCTCTTCACTCCATTCGCCTATGTTCTCTCTCTTTGCATTGTGACCTGGAAAATCTCTCAAAGCAGTAAACTGGGAGAGTTGTAGGGCTCACCTCATTTGTTTCCTCTCAGTCAGGGATCTCTGTCTTTCATTTCTTGACACTCATTCTTAAAAATGGTTGTTTCTTATATAGATAGATTCATACATACATATGGTTGATTGGTTGGTTGGTTTCAGGCAGGAGGTTAAACCTAGTCCCTCTCACTCCATTTTGCCCAGAACTGATGGCCTGCTTTTTATTTCGTCAGAACCTGGTAGCTATCTATATCTTTAAAGGCGTTCATTATGGTCCAGTGGGAACAGCAATATAAAGCTGAAGGTCTCATCCTATTTCTACCAATTACCAGCTGTCTCAAGGGACAGACTTGTGGAGTCTCCTATTCGGAAGGTCATGTGGCTGATCATCCAGTGCCGCATAAATCGCTTTCTGTACATTCTCTCTTTTATGCTGTCACATGTTGGGCAGCTCTCCCTTTTGAAGAACACATTTCGTATTTTGGGTATTTCTCATCATTCGAAACATCTTTTTCATATTACCTGAAATCGGTCTTTTACTAACCTCCATCCAAATTTGTCTAGCAAAGTCATATGAAATTAATCTTTTTTCCCACACAGTAGCCCCACTCTTATTTGAGGGCTTTTGCCCTCTTCCTTCCCAAGTCATCTCCCAGAGTAAAAACCTTTTGATCTCTGTGAGCTTCAGTTGTCTCATCTATAAAATGTGCTATTTATTTTAAAAAGGATTCCTGTATCTGTGAGTGCCTCCTTTACTGAGTCAGATACCATGCCAGATGCTCAGGATGCAGAAGAGAATATGCCCTCTCTGCCTTCCAGGGACTCAGACAAAGCGGGGGAAGAGAAGTTAAATGATACAGCGCACAGATAAAATTGCTAACAGAAGTATGCCAGGCATGCTGGGCAAGTCATAGGATTTTATAGATGAAATTAATGGAAGTATGTGAAATGTACTCTATGTGCTGTAAAGGACTGTATGTTTGATTATGTTTGATATTATTTAGTAGTAGTCAAAGATGTACTAGCAGCTGCTCCATACCCATTATTTTTTTCTGGAGTCTGTTATGCTTTGACCTTTTCGGTGTTAAGGTTCTGTGTGAATCCTCTGGGTTCCACATAATTAATAAGTTTTAGTGTGTGCCAACAGGGGGTGGAAACATGACAGTAAGTTCATTTTCTTCCTGCTGTTGCAGGTTATTTGGGCTTGGCTCTTGTAAAAGACAACTTGTACCCAGTGAATTCTCACATGAATTCAAATCTTGTAAGCTAGGAATACTGTAAATCTCTACTGATGCTTGACTGAGTAGGACTTTACAACTCCAGATGGCAGTTGTAATACTTTAGCATTTACCATACAGAGAAATAGAAAACAATTTTCTGAAGAAAGCAGTGACAAAATTCCAATATCATGGTTTTGTAGCACTAGTTCATGCCATCCTCCCTCACACAGTGTTAGAACTTCTTATCGTGATTTATCAAGCATTTCATTACATTGCCAACGATATGAAAAACAAAATTAAGAACTGCTGTATACTGGTGTGGCATGGTGCTGAAGTCAGGCTTTGGGAAAGTACACAATGTGGCAGCATTTCTTAAAGGCCTGGAGACCGTGTTAAAAATGCAGATTCTGGCCAGGTGCAGTGGCTCACTCCTGTAATTGCCACACTTTGGGACGCCAAGGCGGGTGGATTGCTTGAGCCCAGGAGTTTGAGATCAGCCTGGGCAACATGGTGAAATCCCATCTCTACCAAAACAACCCCACAAAAATTAGCTGGGCATGGTGGCACACACTTGTAGTCCCACTGACTCAGGGGGCTGAGATGGAAGGATCACCTGAGCCTGGGGGAGATCAAGGCTGAAGTTAGTTGTGATCATGCCACTGCACTCCAGCCTGGGTGACAGAGTGAGACCCTGTCTGAAAAGAAAATGCTAACTCCCAGGCCCCACCTCCAAATATTCTTATTTAGCAGTTCAAGAAAGTGGGGGCTGCATTGTACTTTTAATTAGTTTCTGGATGATTCTGGTTCAGGTGGGTCCTGCTTTGAGGAACACTGGTGGAGGGAGTGACCATGTGATATAAGGAGAATCGATTTTCCTTCTTCTTCTGCGTGTGACCTTGTATTTATTCTGCCATCCACTATAACTTCTGAGGGTTTACTTTTTATCAGGAATTTAAATCCTAAGGTGTCATAAAGATGAGTTAAAATGGTTCTGTTCTTGAAGTATCTTCAGTGTGACCTGTCTGGTTTAGTCAGGGTAGCTGTCTGATCTTGAATGGGTTACTTTTAAGCTCACTGCATATAATTGGAATAATATGGTCTACCTAATCTTCAGGAGGGTTGTTGTGAAAACCAATTGAATGTCAAGTGCCTTGCAGTAGTCATAGCAAATACTACTTAGTCCTCTCTTAGCATTAATTGTGCCAATATTACTTCTTTCCAAAGCGGTTCAGGTATCTAAATAAGATTCTGAACTCTAACACTTCAAACATTGTAAAGTGATACATGTGAGTTAACTATTTATAGACTGTTTCTAGGAACTGCCAGGCCTAATTCCAGTCAATGTTTTCATGATCTGCCAAATTCAGAGCAGCTTATAAATATGAAGAAGGGACAGAATCTTGTCTAGAGTATAAAGTTAAGCTATTGGAGTCAGGTACATCATGTCCTTCTCAGTACCTTTGAAAGTTTTTGGCTGGGCACAATGGCTCATGCCTGTAATCCCAACACTTTGGGAGGCCAACGTGGGAGGATAGCTTGATTGAGCCCAGCAGTTTGATCCCAGCCTGGGCAACATAACAAGACCCTGTCTCTACCAAAAAATAAAAAAAATTTATCTTGGCATGGTGGCATGCACCTGTGGTCCTGGCTATTTGGGAGGCTGAGGTGGGAGGATCCCTTGAGCCCAGAAGTTAGAAGCTGCAGTGAGCTATGATTGCATCACTGTACTCTAGTCTGGGTAACGAAGTGAGACCCTGTCTTGAAAAAAAAAAAAAAAAGTTGTAATGCCCTTGTGCTACTGGTATTTAAAATGTAATACTGTGTGAAGAATCATTTCCACACTTGATTTCATGTATCACCTGTGTATATATAATAATAAACTATAAATTATATATTATTTTTGATAAGTAGAATTTCTTTTTATTTCTGTTTACTAATTAAAAAAAACCTCCTCTTTATTTTTGATGTGTTGAATATCCTGTTTATAAAGTTGTAGTTGACCAAAACAAATACACAAAATCATCAGTGACAAAGTAGTATTAAATTTTATCAATAGGAAGAAAGATGTTTACTTTATTTTGCTTGATTCTCAAATTTTAATTTTAGCAACATCCCCTCTCCCAAATAAATTTAGTACCGGAGACACGATGCGTCAAAGAAGTTGTCCCAAAAGAGAATTAACTGCATCATCTTATGCCTCTTTACAGACAGGAGGGGACAAAAGAAGAAAGTTACTTTTCTAACATGCTTTCGATACTTAGATTGTTAAAAGAAAAACCTTAGGCAAATTAAATTTAACAGAGTTCGACTGAGCAAAGAATGATTCGCAAATCAGGCAGCCCCCGAACCAAAATACGTTGAAAGAGCTTTGGCCTGCCTTGTGGTTGAGGAAGATTTATGAACAGAAAAGGGAAAGTGAAGTACAGAAAACAGAAATGAGGTACCGAGACAGCTGGATTGGTTACAACTCAGCATCTGCCTTATTTGGACATGGTTTGAACAGTTGGCAGCGCTTATTGGCTGAACCCTGGTGATTGGCCCAAGAGTTGGTTACAGTCTGTTTGCACATCTAGTTAGGTTACAGTTCACTACCTGCTAAGAAACCTTTAGGCTGAACCTAAATTATATAAGGAGGCAGTTTTAGGCTAAGCTCAATTTAACAAGGTGAAATAAGATATAAGGAAACGTAAGAAAAATGAAGGACTTACCACTCAGTTTTCTAAATTTAACTTTTCAGAAAGCCTAATGGTCTTGGTATTGAAGATGCATACCTATCTAAACTGGTGGTTCTTGACTTATGAGCCATGATGTGCTTTTAGGTGAGCCACCAAAATTTGATGAATGTGGACAATTATCGTTTGCTGCAGTGGTCACTACAGTGGCTTTCCAGAGGAAACATTTTGATTGGATTGAGTGGTAGTGTGTTGTGGAGCAGGGTACGACTTGTGGCACATAAGACATGGGAAGCCTTATAGACTGGTTAACAAAACGAGGTCAGTGTTTCAGGCCACATCTGCTCTGCTTTCTGAACTCTCGCACTCTCCTCTGGCTAGTTCCTGCCTGCTTGGTCCTGAGTCTCTTTGTGGCCCTCTAGATTGGCAGCTTGGCTAAACTGACTGCTTGGCTTTTGATTTTGTTTTTGGCTCTTAGAAGTGGACCCACCCACTCCAATGTGATTGAGAAAATTAACATCGAAATGGCCACATCCAGGGGTTTCTATGGAACTTGACCATTTCAGGGTTTATTTCAGGATTACAAAAGTAATATGTATTTATTGGGAAAAGTATAAACGAACAAAAGGAAATTTAAACAATCTATATTCTCTCACCAGAGATAGTTTTGATATATAAGGACTTAGTTTTCTGTTAATCTTTTTTATATGTATATTTTAACAGGATCATACTAATGTAAGCCTGATTTCTTTTAACTTTACTACATATAATAAATATATTTTCCATCATTTTAAATGGTTGCTGTGTGTTCCATTAAATGAATGTACCATACCATATTTTACTTAACCAGTATAGTTTTTCTGGTAATTTTTTTGGAAAATTTCTCTTTAATTTCCCATTACCATTCCACCTAAAGAAAAAAAGTATATTTTTATGGGCAGCTATCTATGCATGCACTTACCATACATGTTCCTCACTATATATTTGTAGCTTTGAATCCCTGGTTCTCAGGCCTTAAGAGTTGGACTGAGCCATACTACTGGCTTTTCTGGTTCTCCAGTTTGAAGAGAGGCCTTCCCAGCCTCCGTAACACTTGAGCCAATTCCCCTAATAAATACCCTCTCATTTATCTGTATGTGTATATCTCCTATTGGTTCTGTTTCTCTGGAGAACCCTAATATAACCACTAATAGGAAAATTAGGACAATGAGATGGGGGTTAGTTCTGGAGAGAACCCAGTGGAGGTGTCCGCAGTGAGGTGAGGTGAGGTTGATAGTTAACGCTGGTGCCTGAGACACATGTATGATTTTCATCACAGTAGCGAAGGATTCACTCTCTCTACGTTGCTATATCCACTTGTAAGTACAATTTGTAAACTCTACTTTGGAGGAATCTGAAGGTGGTGAGGAAGTGAAAGACCTGCCCAAAGTGACATACCCAGAAAGTGGCAGGATTGATACCCAGGAAGTGTGGCTTTTTGGGCTTCCTGTCTTTAAGTTAACCTCAGATCTGTTCTTTGCCTGCCAAGAGAAGGTAAATATGATTATGAAAATCTTCTGTTTAGTAAGCTTTACTGGTCTCTACTTTTAGACAAAATGTCAGTTGTCTGTATATGCAGTACCAATATATTGCACATACAGAAAACTTGCATATACTGACATGTAGTTAATGTCTCAATACTCAAGAGAAAATATTTTCTCCATGCAATGGTGAACATTCATTTACTGTTGGAAATAGTCACTGCATGTTTGCACTCTAAACCTTTTGTGATTGAGTGTGGCAATGAGTGTGCAGTAAAATTTTTTTTTCTTATTTTTTTATTTTATTTTATCATTATTATACTTTAAGTTTTAGGGTACATGTGCACAGTGTGCAGGTTAGTTACATATGTATTCCTGTGCCATGCTGGTGTGCTGCACCTATTAAAATCATGCTGCAGTAAATTTTTTTTTTAAAAAGAATTCCTCTATTTACCAAATAGCTCATCGGAGTTTACATACCTCTGGATCACTTCCCTTCAGCATCTGATAAGGCTTATGCATACATTGTCACTTATTTTCTTCATAAATTAGCCATTTTCTTCTGTCAGTAATTTATGTCCATATCTGACTATAACAACTAGGATTCCAGTAGGATGTGGCAGATCCAGGTGAGAGATGCATATCCAGGGCACCCTAAATGGAATTAGCTGGTTCTTTGTGTCAGCTCATTATCTCAGCTTCACTGCTGATCCTTTCTCTCACAGATGCCTTGAATCTAAATCACAGTGCCTGCTTAGTAATTTTACTTAAATTGTAAAAGATGACTAGCACTGTACAGTCAAAGCACATTTAAAACACACTCACAGTTTGTTTTCTGTGACAGAAAACAAAACAGAAAAATGTTTTCCAGATGCCAGTGCAAGCTTATTGCATTGGTGTAGATAAATGGTCTTTGTGGATTTTATTTGCTTCATATTTGTACAAAGCTTTCATAATGTACTGTCACATTCTCACCTTAAGTATTTTTTATGTTTTTTATATTAGTGTGCATGGAGCCTTCTAAAATTTCTTCTATGTTCACTATTTTTACCAAACTTCAATATATTATATTTTCAGTTAAAAAATTAGAATGAATAAGTTCTCTGGTTGTTTTATGTAATTAATATCACATTATTTTTGCCTTCAGTATCATGTACATGGTACATGTTTATGAGCTGTTATTAATAATTTAGCAACTTCTTTCTAAACAAATGATTTTATACATCTTTCATATATGAACCTAAATACAGAGCAGTTCACTGCCAGGTGTGGTTGAGAAATGTATCTCAATAATTTGTTGAGATGAAATCTGTTAACTTCTCCTAAACTTTCAAACTGTGTAACAGGAGGGATTGCCTCTATTTAACCTTTAATGGAAAGGTCGGTTTCAGATAAAGTCTTTTGACAAACAACATCTTTTCTTCATGACTCTGTCTCAGAATTTCCTTGCTACCACTTTGATCTTCTTCGTCTATTTGCCTGAGGATTTCTGCTACCTATGAAGACTTGCCTCCATTGATTTTTGTGTTTTTTTTCTCTCTCCCAGAGTGAAAAGGTACATGCCTTTCCTGATTTGCACTTTGAATGTGTCATCCTAGTGTCATCTGGCCTCCATTGTTACAGATAAGAAGTCATCTGTTCATCTTATTGTGATGCCATCATTACATAATGAAATTCATAATTTTTCTCTTATTGATTTCAAGAGTTTATCTTTCAACGTTTTGAAGTGTCTGGTGTGGTTCTCTTTGAGTTTTTTGTACTTGTAATTCATTGAGCTTCTTTGAAGTATAGATTAGCATTTTTCATCAGTTTGGAAAATTTTTAGCTATGATTTCTTTGAATATTCTTTGTACTTCTTTCTGTCTCTCATCTCCTTCTTGTATTTTGATTATGTGTTGGTTTGCTAACTGCTATCCCCCATTTCTGAAGCCCTGTTTACTTTTTCTTCTTTATTTCCTCTCTGTTCTTTGGATCATCTCATCTGCCTTCATGTATCATCAGGTTTGTTGATTCATTCTTTTGCCCATGCAAATGAAGTGCTTAGCCCTTCTTGTGAATTTTTCATGCAAATTTTTATACTCTTCAAGAGTCCCATTTGACTCTTTTAGAAAATAATTTGTGTTTGTATTTATATCCTCTATTTGATAAGACATTGTCATCATGCCTTACTTTACTTCCGTAGGCATGGTTTTCCCTTAGTTCTTTGGACATATTTAAAATGACTACTGCCGAGCCATATCTGCTAATTCCAACATCTGGGCCCTGAAAAGGAAGTGTCTGTTGCCTGTTTTGCACATCCCCCCTCCCCCCGTGTATGTGTCACATTTTCCTGGGGGTGTGTGTGTGGATATGTGTGTGCATGCACATGCATGTGTGTGTATGTGTTTGAATGTCTCATAATTCCTTGTTGAAACCTGTACATTTTAGATACTATGGTAACTCTGGATATTGATCCTCTCCCTCTTCTAGGGAAAGTTTCTTGAAGTTGTTGTTTGCTCATTTGTTTATTTGTTTAGTGACTTGGCTTTACTAATTATTTGAAGAATATTTTTCTCACTCTGTGTGGCCCCTGATGTCCCTGCTCAAATTTGTTTCTTTGTGTTTATCTGTTAGTGTGGGTTCGTAGGAGTCACCCCTGGGTCTGCCTAAATCATTTATTGATCAATATTTGTGCTTAAGCTGGCTTAGCCAGTTGGATGTATGCGTGGCTTTCACGGTTCAGGGAATTTATACTTTTGTCCTGAGTTCCACAAGGCTCTAGTAGATAAGTGGTTCTTTCTCCATTCTCTCCTGAGAGGGTGCAGCATGGACATCCATACAGTCTTCCAGACCATGATAGGTGAATGAGATTTTATTTTATTTTAACTCCCTTCCTAGGAGTCACCCCTGGGATAGAGTAGCTTAATGTTCAGCAAGTATTTGGTCTAAGGTTGTGCTTAAGCCCCTCAAGTTAGTAAGGCTTTTGCATTTTGCTGATGGATCTGTGTACGACTTGGGAAATTTTTTCAAGTCTGTTCCACATTCCACTCGATTTACTCCTGAGTAGAAATAAAAGAGGTGTGCATTCCAGGGCATGTGCTTAGCCTTCTTTGTCTCTAGGGGTGAGTGTGATTCCAAGAGCACTCTTCTTTGGTGTCTCTCAGTTTCCTTGGTCCACCGTTTCACTTATTGTTACTGTTATCATGAAGCTACCAGGCCCTGCATAACTGTGTGCCACCAAAATCTCCATTGTTTTTGACAATGCTCTTAGGCGTGAACTTCTCCCCTCTTTGTTCCCAATAAAGTCAGTCTCCTCAGTCAGCAAGGCAGAAGGGGAGCTCCCTCTGTCCTCAGGGCATGCCATTTCTCCTGCACAGAATCTCTGTGGCACTGAGTCAGAGTTGTGGTGATGGTGGCTCTGGTCTTTGTAGCCTGCCTCTCTTCGTGTGGAATGTCTACCCTGTGAGTGAGCTGGGGTTGGGGTTTTAAGGGCCCCAGTATTCTCAGACTTTGCTCTTGGCACACAGCCTTGCTGCACAAATGGGAACTGAATGGGGAAAGGAGACAGAGTCCTCTTAGCAGCACCTGCCAAGAATTGTGCTTCCACAACACATGGCTGGGGGTTGAATAGGCAGCGAGAGGCACTGGCAGCCTGCCCCTTTCAGGTGAAACTCTAGCCCTAGACTAGGAGCTGGGGAGAGTGGGAACCCCCGTGTTCTTGGCCATATCTTCCCATAGCAAAGTTTCCATCACAGAGCTGGCAGTAGGGGTGTAGGGAGGGTATGGGAGCAAGTCATTGCTCCAGTGCCACAGATTCTTGCCATTCTTACCAAGATTTAGTATATTTTCTTGAAGAGATGTTTCTTCACTTGCTGTATGCCCTTAGGAAAATTTCCAGAAACTTTAAATGTTTCTTTAGTTTGTTTTAAGTAATTTTCACCAGTTAAATAAATGGTGGTTGCACCAAGAGAGGATCTGCTAATCTCACACTGCTATTCCAGAAGACTCCCCTTCTTGGCGTGGTTTTTTAAGGCTTTTCTCCAGCAGAGTGACATTTAGCTTATCTGATGGGCTAATCCTTCATTGTCATTGAATGTGTTCATCAGGCTGCGACCTCTTATATCTTTGTGTTCCCTGTCTCCAGTAATATGAATGCTACTTCATAGTAAGTACTCAATAAACGTCTGAATGAATGAATAGATACTACATTTTTAAAGTGATGTGTTGATTTTTATTCACAAGGAGTGATGCAAACAGTGTGGACTTTGGGCACTGTAGGGCTTTGCTGGCTGTGGAAGTAGGTTTTGACTCTGCTGACCCAGCATAATCATAGTGAGCTCGAATGTTTAAAAATAGAAGGGGTATGAAGAACTACTACACGACACACGAATAAGAAGAGACAACCCAATAGCAGAACAAACAACAGTAGCAGCAACAACAAAAAATAGATGTGTGATATGCCTAGGCAGGCTATAAAATAGGAAGCAGAGAGGATCAATTAGCATTAAAGATATTCCACCTATCAGGAATATGACATTTAAAACAATGATGTATCATAAACTTATAATCATCAGATTTGCAAAAATTAAAAAGTCTGACAAAGTATTGGGGAAGATGTGGAGAAACAGAAATTTTGGTAAACTGCAGATAGGACTATAAGTTGGTATAACTCCTTCGGGGAGGAATGCAGCAGTAACAAAATAGGTTGAATATTATATAGTCACACACTAGACACAGTAATTATACTACAAGGCATAGATTCCAGGGAAAACTGTCACTCATGAGCAGCAGGAGACATTAATAGAGAGATGCTTGTTGCTGCACTTTTTGTAATAGTGAAAATCATAAAACAACCCAAATAGGTATCAGTGGGGAAATGGAGAAGTAAATGTTAATATAGACTTACAGTGGAACACGATGCAGCAGTTAAGATGAATAGTCTGCCTCTACAGAGAGCAACATATATAAGTTTGATGGGTAACAAGTTACAGAAGGTTGTATAAGGTTGTATGCGGTATAGTATTTTATACTGTTTATGTAAGTTAAAATACAGCAAATAAGTTTTTGTTGTTTATGGATACCATAGCACAGGTGTCAACTATGTAAAGTGTGTAGGCTGTTTTTGAACAGCTCACAAGCTAAGAATGACGTTTACATTTTAAAAGTGTAAAAACAACCAAAACATGTTACATAGACTCCACCTGACCCTCAAGTTTTAAAATATTTCTATTTGCTCCTTTACTAAAAAAGTTTTCTGGTTTCTGCAGTACAGATGATCTGTGTGCCCAGGGCCATGCCCTCCATGCCCTCCAGCCCAAGCTTGGTAGACAGCTCCCTGAAGGCCACCTCTGACTTTCCTGCCCCAGGAGTTATTCTTGTGCCTTGGAACTTCAGTTCTTCCTGGGGGCAGCCTGAAACATCAGGGATTAACACACTGGAGGCAACCACAGCCACTGGGAATGTGAATCAGTGGATGACGATTTCCATATCTTCCTCTTCAACCAAGGAGCAGTGCTGAGGCATGTTCTTCATGGTCCCTCACAGGGACCCAGCAGAATTGAGCCATTTTGCCTAACTTGGTGACCGGCTCCAGAACATGCCCTTTACTGACCTTCCCTTTCCCTGCCCCACCCCTCTCTTCTGGCTCCTTCCCTCTGTTTGCTGGAACCATCACCCAGATAATCTGCTGTCCCTTCATCCTCATTCTAGGCTCTGCTTTGGAGGACTCCAGACTAAGACAGACATGTGGGCAGTAAAAGAATAAAACTGCCATTGGGAAGGAGACTGGTTATCTCAGGGAAGACAGGAAGCATAAAAGGGGTTTTCATTGTATTTGTTACATGTTATTTCTTTATTTGAAAATATCTGCAATAAATATGGCAAAATGTTTGCTTTTTAAAAGCTGGGTATTTACATTTTTGAGTTTGAAATAATGTAACAGATTTCTATGCGAATCTAGTCTTCCTCCTTGACTTTTCATTCTTTAGGAACCTGACTCTTGTGGTGCTTAAAATCTGGTTTCTACCTTGGCACATTCATCATATCCTGAGGAAAATTGATTTACTATGAGAATAAAGGAAGGGTGTATGTATTTAACTAATAGAAAAGATGAAGTACCACAGCAATTAAATCAAAAGTGGCTTTTCCTCCATTATTTTGTGCTTCATAATATAACTTACTCTTCCAGCAGAATGGTGGTGGTATCTAAAACCTTCTACTTACAGATACTCTTCTGAATTTTATTTTTAAATTTTTAAAATTATTTATGTATGTATGTATTTATTTTTATTATACTTTAAGTTCTGGGATACATGTGCAGAACGTGCAGGTTTGTTACATAGGTATACATGTGCCATGGTGGTCTGCTGCACCCATCAGCCTGTCATCTACATTAGGTATTTCTCCTAATGCTATCCCTCCCCTTGCTCCCGACCCCAGACAAGCCCCAGTGTGTGATGTTCCCCTTCCTGTGCCCATATGTTCTCACTGTTCAGCTCCCACTTATTAGTGAGAACATGCAGTGTTTGGTTTTCTGTTCTAGTGTTGGTTTGCTGAGAATGATGGTTTCCATCCTCATCCATGTCTCTGCAAAGGACATGAACTCATTATTTTTTATGGCTGCATAGTATTCCATGGTGTATATGTGCCACATTTTCTTTATCCAGTCTATCATTGATGGGCATTTGGGTTGGTTCCAAGTCTTTGTTACTGTGAATACTGTGGCAATAAATATACATGTGCATGTGTCTTTATGGTAGAATGATTTATAATACTTTTGGTATATACTCCGTAATGGGATTGCTGGGTCAAATAGTATTTTTACTTCTAGATCCTTGGGGACTTGTCACACTTTCCACAATGACAAATTTATACTCCAACTAACAGTGTAAAAGTGTTCTTGTTTCTCCATATCCTCTCCAGCATCTGTTGTTTCCTGACTTTTAATGATCATTATTGTAACTGGCATGAGCTGGTATCTCACTGTGGTTTTGATTTGCATTTCTCTAATGACCGGTGATGATGAGCTTTTTTTCATATGTTTGTTGGCCGCATAAATGTCATCTTTTGAAAAGTGTCTGTTTAAATCCTTCGCCCACTTTTTGATGGGGATTTTTTTTTCTTGTAAATTTGTTTAAGTTCCTTGTAGATTCTGGATATTAGCCCTTTGTCAGATGGATAGATTGCAAAAATTTTCCCCCATTCCGTAGGTTGCCTGTTCATTCTGATAGTTTCTTTTGCTCTACAGAAGCTCTTCAGTTTAATTAGATCCCATTTGTCAATTTTGGCTTTTGTTGCCATTGCTTTTGGTGTTTTAGTCATGAAGTCTTTGCCCATGCCTATGTCCTGAATGGTATTGCCTAGGTTTTCTTCTAGGATTTTTATGGTTTTAGGTCTGACGTTTAAATCTTTAATCCATCTTGAATTAATTTTTGTATAAGGTGTAAGGAAGGGGCCCAGTTTCAGTTGTCTGCATATGGGTAGCCAGTTTTCCCAACACCATTGACTAAATAGGTAATTCTTTCCCCATTGCTTGTTTTTGTCAGGTTTGTCAAAGATCAGATAGTTGTAGATGTGTAGTGTTATTTCTGAGGTCTCTGTTCTGTTCATTGGTCTATATATCTGTTTTGGTATGAGTACCATGCTGTTTTGGTTACGGTAGCCTTGTACTATAGTTTGAAGTCATGTGGCATGATGCCTCCAGCTTTGTTGTTTTTGCTTAGGATTGTCTTGGCTATACGGGCTCTTTTTTTGGTTCCATATGACATTTAAAGTAGTTTTTTCTAATTCTGTGAAGAAAGTCAATGGCAGCTTGATGGGAATAGCACTGAATCTGTAAATTACTTTGGGCAATATGGCCGTTTTCATGATACTGATTCTTCCTATCCATGAGCATGGAATGTTTTCCCATTTGTTTGTGTCCTCTCTTATTTCCTTGAGCAGTGTCATGTACTTCTCTTTGAAGAGGTCCTTCACATCCCTTGTAAGTTGGATTCCTAGGCTTTTTATTCTCTTTGTAGCAATTGTGAATGGGAGTTTACTCATGATTGGGCTCACTGTCTATTATTGGTGTATGGGAATGTTTTTGATTTTTTGCACATTGATTTTTTTAATCCTGAGACTGCTGAAGTTGCTTATCAGCTTAAGGAGTTTTTGGGCTGAGATGATGGGATTTTCTAAATATCCAGTCATGTCGTTTGCAGGCAGAGACAGTTTGAATTCGTCTCTTCCTGTTTGAATACACTTTATTTCTTTCTCTTGCCTGATTGTCTTGGCCAGCACTTCCAATACTATGTTGAATAGGAGTGGTGAGAGAGGGCATCCTTATCTTGTGCCGGTTTTCAAAGTGAATGCTGCCAGCTTTTTGCCCATTCAATATGATATTGGCTGTGGGTTTGTCATAAATAGCTCTTATTATTTTGAGATAGGTTCAATCAATACCTGGTTTATTAAGTGTTTTAGCATGAAGGAGTGTTGAATTTTACAAAGGCCTTTTCTGCATCTATTGAAGATACTCTCCTAAATTTTAAATAACAGGTCAAACATGATCTAAGTTGCTCTAAATATGACGTGAATTGATGGTAATTCAACAAAGTGCAAAATTTTCAGGAAACTATAGTTCTTTGGGAAATTTCACTTAGACTTCAGAAAATTAAATCTCACTGAAGATTTCAATATGCTGTGTAAGGAGAGGAACCAAAACAAAAGGACAAAAACAGTTTTTTAAATAAGTGCACACTTAGGCTTACTTAGAGAACGGGATGTTTTTATTAGCAGATTTGGGACTTGAGGCATGCAAAACTTTCAGAGAGAGCCATATGTTCTTATGCATGCCAGCCTTGCGACAGTCACGATTCTGTGGTTCTGCAGATGAAAGCAAAACGTTGTATAGTCCTTGTGGCAGGAATGATACCTTTTCCTAAAGCAGCGTCCTTTGGTTATGCCAAGCTGTTATTTGGCTGAGTGGCTTTGCACTAAATATATCTAGAGCGATGTTTTAAAATTATAAATCTTATGTTTCTCCCTGCTATGGACTGAATGTTTGTGTTCCCCCAAATATACGTTGAAGCCCTAACCCCTAATGTGATGGTATTTGGAGATGGGGCCCTTGGGAGGTGTTTAAAGTTATATGAGTTCGTGAGGGTAGAACCCTGCTGATGGAATTTGTGCCCTTAAAAGAAGAGGAAGAGGAAAAGGGAGGGAGGTGGGGGGAGGTAGGGAAGAGAGAGAGAGAGAAAGAGAGAGAGAGAGACAGACAGAGAGAGAGAGAGAGCATCTTTCTCTCTCCACACAACCACAGAGGAAGGTTTATGTGAGGACACAGTGAGAAGGCAAAGGCAGCGTCATGCAAGCCAGGAATTGAGCGTTCACCAAAAACCAACCATGTTGGCACTCTTATCTTGGGCTTCTAGTTCTAGAACCACAAGAAGGTAAAATTCTATTGTTTAAGCTTACCCGGTCTCTGGTATTTTGTTATGACAGCCCAAGCTGACTGATAGACTCCCTCATCGCTGTTAGGATGGAAGCCTTAGTTTAGTCCAAAGGGGCTTGCAGGTTCTGGCTTTTGCCAGTGTCTTCAGCTTCATCTCAAGTGCTCTCTCCCTCCCTCTCTGATTTGCATCGGTGCTGGTCTCTTGGAGGAGCTATGCTTTCCCTATTTACCCCCTGGGCTTTTGGACATCCTCCTCACAGTATCCTCAGTGCCGGACATACAAAAGACATTCAGTGACTATTTTTAAATGAACAAGTGGTAGAAATTAGAAGGTAGTCAGGTTCTGACCTGTGATGGCAGAGGAGGAGATACTGTGATAGGGAAACAAGCATATAAAAAAGGCAACACATTTGACTGTTGTGTCTGATCATGACTGTTTTAAATGACATGAGTGTTGAGTAGGCCAACTCACTTTCACTCTTTTTTTGGACTTCATCATATTCTCAACAACAATCATAACAGCACATTAATATTACCCTTTAAAAAATAACCTGTTTAAGGTAGTACTGTTGGAGATGGTGACCGGAGTTGTTGCTAATTACTCTTTTTTTCTGTAACTGCCTTTTGCCCTCAAGGTTTGCCACTGGAAGAGGCATATCTGGTGGGAAAGAGGAAAAGACAAATGCATGGTGGTTCAGGGGAATGATATCAAAGAGAATTAATTAGAAATTGGAAGTTAAAGGAAGGATAAGCAGATCAAATTAGTATAGAGGTTGGTATACTGTTCCACTGCCTCCTTGTCTGTTAATGTATTCTGGAGCATATATCAGGCCTACATTAGGCACTGGGAAAGAGGGATGAACAAGATCAAAATCACTGCCTTGCAGGAACTCAGAAAGTTTGTAGAGGCATTCATATAAACAACGATAGTTTAAAATACTGTCTAACAAGTGCTGAATGGTTAGGCACAGGGGCCATGGGAGCACAGAGGGGTTTGGAAGTCTTCATGGGGAATGGTATAATTGGCCTAGTGATAATATGATTCAATAGGCCTATAGGCAAAGGAAGGAGATTATGGATTTATTATTGAAGGACAGTAAAACCTAATTGATTTTAATCAATTCTTGTTCATTTCCAAGAAAATGTTCACCAACAGCTTTTAGCAATATAAACAGTTATGAGAAGCAAATTTTAAAAAATTTAAAAGATTTTTGCACACTGAAGTTGCATATTGATTATAGCCAACCCAAATAGATCCTTTCCTGGGAACAGAAGTTTGAGTGGGTTTGGAATCAGGGGACCTGGGTTTCAGTCCTCTCTCTGTAACACCTGGCTGTCTGACCATAGCATACCTGGTCACTTCACTCCCCACGTCCTTGGCAGTTCTTACTGCTGCTGCCTTCCCCACTCTTCAGCACAAGTGTGTACCCGTGGGATGATATCTTCCCATCAAATCATAAGTTTAATTCTACAGTGATTCTTTTTTGATGGGTGGTCAGACCTCCTCTTTCCTACAACCCTCACCCCATGTCAGAAATATAATCCTTCATTTTGCCAAAGCAAAACGAAGTTAGACTGCATATGCTAATGAATGTGTTTATTTCCCTCTCACATTCTCTTTTTTTAAATTTTTTTTATTTTTTTCATTTTTTTATTATTATACTTTAAGTTTTAGGGTACATGTGCACAATGTGCAGGTTAGTTACATATGTATACATGTGACATGCTGGTGTGCTGCACCCACTAACTTGTCATCTAGCATTAGGTATATCTCCCAATGCTATCCCTACCCATCTCACACCAGTTAGAATGGCAATCATTAAAAAGTCAGGAAACAACAGGTGCTGGAGAGGATGTGGAGAAATAGGAACACTTTTACACTGTTGGTGGGACTGTAAACTAGTTCAACCATTGTGGAAGTCAGTGTGGCAATTCCTCAGGGATCTAGAACTAGAAATACCATTTGACCCAGCCATCCCATTACTGGGTATATACCCAAAGGACTATAAATCATGCTGTTATAAAGACACATGCACACATGTGTTTATTGCGGCACTATTCACAATAGCAAAGACTTGGAACCAATCCAAATGTCCAACAATGATAGACTGGATTAAGAAAATGCGGCACATATACACCATGGAATACTATGCAGCTATAAAAAATGATGAGTTCATGTCCTTTGTAGGGACATGGATGAAATTGGAAATCATCATTCTCAGTAAACTATCGCAAGAACAAAAAAACCAAACACTGCATATTCTCACTGATAGGTGGGAATTGAACAATGAGAACACATGGCCTCTCACATTCTCTTACTTAACCTCTGCTTGCCAGCTTAGTGAACCAGTGTACTAAAGAACTCTGGTAACATGAGTTGATTTGATAAGAAAACTTAATATAGGTCCCTTCTAGAAAATGCACTCTCAGTCGAGAATTGCATTTTGAAATATAAATCTCAAGTTCATCACTCCAGTTCATCACTCCATAACAGGTGCCCGCAGGCACATTATTTTGCTTTTCAAGATCATCTGGAATGATGCCATTTAGACTAATTGCCCTCAACCCTTTAATTTACCTGGATTTTTGGAAAGTATCTTTGTTTCCTCATTCAGCCACATGTTTGTCTGAGGTAGAAGCATTTTGGAAGTTTACAGTCACCACATCCATGAGTTTTCATGTGATGTCACCTTGTTCTTAGGTAACAGGACAAATATTGATGCTCATAGATTGACACTAATCTCTTGCATTGGTAAAGTACTTTACAATTGACAAAGCACTTACTCAATTATACTGTACAGTCTTCACATAATTTCGTGTATAACTGTCCTGTGAGGTAGCTTTTAGTTATCCATATATTAGAAAAGTTAAGAGGTAAGACATTTTGCCCACAGTTTTCAACCTAGTAAGTAGCACACAATGTCCATTAACAGTTGAATGAATAAACAAAATATGGATTATCCATACAATGAAATATTATTCAGCCATAAAAGGAATGAAGCAGTGATACATGTCACAACATGAGGAACCTTGAAAACATAATGCTATGTGAAACAAGCCAGAGACAAAACACCACATAATTATATTATTTCATTTATATAAAATGTCCATAGTAGGTAAATCCATAGAGACAGAAGTATATGTGTGGTTACCAAGGTTGGAATGGAGTTGGGGGAAGGAGCCTGGGCAGTGAAGGCTGTAAAAAAATTCTTTTTGGTATGATGAAAGCAGTGTAATATTTGAGTATGGTGATGATTACATAACTCTGTAAATACACTAAAAATCACTGGATTGTGTACTTTAAACGGGTGAACTTTATGGGATATAAATGATATCTTTACAAAGTAATGCATTCTTCTTTCCCCTACATTCCAGAACTAAAGGACAAGTAACTTCAAAAGTGCTGCCTCCGGGCTCCCTTCCTGGTACCTATTCTGCTTCACTTTTGCCACATCATGAGAAGGGGTAACCAGTCTCTTAAGTCTTTTCTTTCTAAATATTCCTCTGTCTCTTCCTCTCAGGTCTCACTTGAACAACTAAAGGGGCAGCCTCCTAGAATCCTGGTATTCACTACCTACCACTCACTGGCAGATGTTGACATTAGCACATTACTAAGCCTAAGCAGAATTAAGAGAAAAGGAAGCCATTAGTGCCAGGTTGGAATCCTGCAATAGGACTTAGCACCTGTCCTCAGTTTAATGTATGAGTATAAGCACCCTGAATCTATAGAAAATCCAGAAATGTCCATTATTTATAAAATGCTCCCTATATATTTGTGTTTGTGCATGTGTGAGATTTGTATTTATGTAAGAGTATGACATATAGCTACAGTTGACCCTTGAACAATACTTACTTGAACTGTGGGGTCCACTTATACATGAATTTTTTTTTTCAACCAAACGTGGGTGGAATATAGAATATTCATGGGATGTGAGCCCTGCCTATGCAGAGGACCAACTTTTTGTATATGTGGGTTCTACAGGGCCAACTGAGGGACTTGAGCATATAAGATTTTGGTAGACACAGGGGTTCTAGGTTCTAGAACCAATCCCCTGCATACACTGAGGGACAACTCTGTTGGCACAGAGTTGATTGAGGCAGTAGGAAATGGGAAGATAAAGCTGGCAGCTCTTTCCACACATGGAAAGCATAATAGGAAAGAAGGGCTTAAGTTAGCAGGTAGGTGGTGTGGGATTCAGGGACATTACTCTGCGTATATGTTTCATCTATTGCAGCAGCCTTTCCTGTTACATACTTATACCCTGTGGGGGCAGTGGACAAGTACAGTTCTGATACCTGAGACTGTGCGAAGAAAGCAAGCCAGGAATTTGTGTGATAGGGGAGACTCCACAATTTCTCGTTTGATTCAGCATAAGCCTGCATTGTTGGGGTATCTCCAGGAAGTCAGCCCCAGTGCAGGCAGCAGACCTCACGGCATAGGGTGGAAGCAAAGTGGAGCATCTGTCAGTGCATAGCCTTCTTAAGCAATGATGAGCTGCTTAGCATTCAGGACATTCAGCCCAAGATTATAAATGAAATGTGTTTGTGTGTTTATATGTGTGTGTATGTATGTATGGATATGTATGTCTGCCCTGTCACTGGAAGGCTTTTTAAATTTTTTGATTTAGATCATAGAATTTCTAGAGATACTAATTTTCAAATTTTATACCTCAGACAGGAATCCATCTTTCTGAGTTTTGTGTAGTTATATTTTTGGTCCTAATTTGTCAGTAAACAGGACTTTTATTTCCTCCATAGAGAAGTCAGTGATTTTTCTGTCTGGGGTGTCTTCTTGCATGCCCCCTGGTTGTCCATCCACTTTCATGACTACCTCTGCAGTCTCTTCATATCTCTTTCTTATTGTTACCTAAGGTAAAGCTTACGATTTATTATTGTATCTGTGAGCATGGTGCCAGTAGCTTCCTTTGGCTTAGGAAGGAAGAACATTTATCTCAGGATAGAGCTTCACTGCCACATTTGGTGACATAAAATGCTATATGGAGAACTGACTATACTGAGGTGTGAAATACATGTAGGAAGTCTCTCAAATACATTCAGATATCCATCGGCTTGCAGTTTGTCCCTGATGTTGGCTTTCTGTGAAGCTGAAGTGCCTACCTTGAATGGATGGAAAAAAACTGTCCAAGTCTTTGTGCCCTGTAGCCGTCAATTACTGTACTTTTCATGAGCATTGCCTGTGGTTCCAAATGATATTTCTATAGGCAGAAAGTGAGATGGAAGAGGGAAATATTGTACACAAAAATATGAGGATGTGAACAGAGCAGGACTGTTCACAATAGCAAAGACTTGGAACCAACCCAAATGCCCATCAATGATAGATTGGATAAAGAAAATGTGGCACATATACACCATGGAATACTATGCAGCCATAAAAAAGGATGAGTTCATGTCCTTTGCGGGGACATAGCCGAAGCTGGAAACCATCATTCTCAGCAAACTAACACAGGAACAGAAAACAAAACACCACATGTTCTCACTCATAAGTGGGAGTTGAACAATGAGAACACATGGACACAGAGAGGGGAACACCACACACTGGCGCCTGTCAGGGGGTGGGGGGCTAGGGGAGGGATAGCATTAGGAGAAATACCTAATGTAGATGACAGGTTGATGGGTGCAGCAAACCACCATGGCACATGTATACCTATGTAACAAACCTGCATGTTCTGCACATGTATCCCAGAACTTAAAATATAATTTTAAAAAATAAGAAAAAAAGTAAATGAATAAATAAATAGAATTTATCTGAGAAAAAAATATGAGGATGTAGTTCCTATTATCTGATTCCTAGTGTCCTTTGGATCATGCTTATTTTGTCTCTAAGCCCATTGTATTAACCTACATCACATATACGCAGTTTGCACTGCTGGAAGCTATCAGGCTCTGTAATACTGACTCTGAAATGATTGTTTCAGCCGCACCCTACTGCTACCTCCTTGCCCGTCCTCTGAGCTTGCTTATACTCATTAGGGAAACTTCTTTGACTGTTATGACCTCTTTCTTTCCTGATTATCCCTTTACTTTCTGTTTTTTGGTTTTGGTCGTTTTCGTTGGTTCTTTCCCTGCCTCGTCTTTAATTGTTGGTGATGCTCAGGGTTCCTTCCTTGACTCAGCTGTACTCTGGAGATGCATGTTCTCCCTGAGCAGTCGCCTTTGAGCTCTGGCAACACACTCTCCTGTGCATATGCCACATGTTTTGCTTGTTTGCTTTTTGTCATGTAGGAACTTCTGTGTAATAAAGCTTCTTCCCTAATCCCATGTCTGTTCATCTGGCTTACTTACTCCTTTCAGAATCAGCCCAGCCTACAGGAAGCTTTTCCCAGCCTACTCTTCTCTCTCAACTATGTTCTAATTGTCCATGAGGGTATTCTGTACTTTGGTTAATGTATGTACACCATTGTATTGAAATGATTTGTTTATATATACAGTCATCTAAACAAAACTGCAGGTTCCCAGACAGCATGTGCCTGTTTTATTTGCATTTAAAACCTTCAGTGCTTGCAAAGTCCCAGGTATATAGTAGGCATTCAATTTGAGTGCTGCTATATTCATTCCATTTGGTGGATTTAATCTTAAGATGTTTTTGTCTCTTTTTTTCTGAAGAATGGAACTTGCACCAAAATAACCCTAATCTGAAAAAAAAATGTGTCATGGCATTTTCTTTTTAAGCACCTTGCATAGTACTTTCTCTTTTCCTCCCTTTCCTAATATATGGTCTGCCTGTGTTGTACTATAAATAGTACTGCAGCAGGTAGAAATTGTAGCAGTTAGGGTTCTCCAGAGAAACAGAATGGTGAGACATGGATATACATACATACATACTTATGTATACACACACACATATACATACATATATACATATGTGTGTGTATATACATACATATATACATAAGTGTGTGTGTATATACATACATATATATATAGAGAGAGAGAGAGAGAGAATTTTATTTCAAGGAATTGCCTCATGTGATTTTATATATATATATATAGAGAGAGAGAGAGAGAGAGAGAGAGAGAGAGATAATTTTATTTCAAGGAATTGCCTCATGTGATTATGTTTGACAAGTCAGAACTTTGCAGGTCAGGTCAGCAGGCTTGGAAACTCTTGCTCAGAAGCTGATGCTTCAGTCTAGAGGCAGAATTCCTTCTTCCTCAGAGTCAGCTCAGCTTTGTTCTTAGGGCTTTTCCATTGATTGGATGAGGCCCACCCACATTATGAAGGATAATCTTCTTTACTTGAAGTCAACAGATTGTAGATGTTAACCATTTTCACAAAACAGCTTCACAGCTATTGCATTAGTTTGATTGAATAAGTGGATACTGTAGACTTGCGAAGTTGATGCATGCAACTCACTGTCACAGAAATAAGCATGAAATTTGTAGTTGTAACGTATCTTAGAACTCTTCTGATTACCCAGGTCCACCCTGTTGTGGCTCCATTTTGTGGATGAGGAAACAGGCCCAGGGTAGTTTGTAGTTTCAATTCACAAAACTGGTTAGTAGAAAGGGGCTAGCCAGAAATTTTCTCTTAACAAATGAGAAATCCTGATTGACTTGCTTTGGCCTTGTCAACAGAGTCATCAGGCATTAGGTTCTAGACCACTTATTAACCAGCTCAGAAATCCCAAAGTAATTATTAGCACTTTTTTCTTCTCTTTATGAGTTGCTTTTTTTTTTCTCAAGGGGATTTATGACTAGCTTTAAATAGAATTCGAAAAACTACTACATGTCATAAATCTGACCTCAAGTCTTAGAGTCTGTTATTAGCAGATACTGTCTTTTTATATTTTCTGTAACTTCAATGGCTTATTGCAGTGGACTATGAAAATGTATAAAATTTTTTCCTATTGCCAGGGATGGGAAACTATGGAAATGTCATCCCTGCTTGCTGAACTGCCCTCTTAAATTGCCCCTTATCTGATGATGAACTAAATTATTTGGGGGAGTTGAAAAATAGAGAAATGCCAGTTAATTTTATTCAGCACATTGTATATACTCAAAACATTTTCTGTAAGGCAAAAACAGGAAACCTTGCAAACGAAACTGTGGGTAATATGTAGTTATAAACCATCTTTCCAGGAAGGAGCTGAAAGCTCTGCATGATCCCTCTATTATAAATTTTTCCAACTCCTTTTGAAGGATGTTAAGTAATTTGCCCCATAGTCTATGGGAATTTTTCACCTCGGGGAAATGGGGCTGAGAAAGTTATTACTTTTAACCCCAGTGAACCACACCAGAAACAGTTACAGCATCATACAAATCAATTTCTGCATTTTCCATAAAGTGTTTGGCAAGGAACAAAATAGGCTGGAAGCTGGGAAAAAGGCCAAGTACTTAACTCACTCAAACTCATTTTAAAGTTTTTAGCTCTAGATATTCAAAGAAAATCAGTGTTCATCCTGTTGAATTCATGGGAACATCATTGTTTTTTATATTATATAAAAGGAAACTTTCCAATTTTCTTAAATATACAATTTTTTGATAGTGAGAAATAAAATTATCTCAATTTAGATAGACAAAATGCCTTTACTCATTTTCTAAGAAAATCTTAAATTTCCGGATAGGAAAATAAATATATATTTTTTGAAATCCATTTTCAAAACATCATGGCATTTAAGCATTCCAACTTAATGACAGCTGAGAAAGACTGCTGTGAGACATATACTGCGTAAAGTGAATCCACCCTGTCTATTATACATGGGGATACCACCATCTGGAAAAACAAGATCTATGTATATTTAGCCAAATACCAAAAGAATACTGCTGAAATTTCACTCTCCTGTTTCCCTCTAAGTATTTGATATGTCATCAAGTATTGTATTGTATTGTATTGTATTGTATTTTTTAAATGTTTTGGTACTTTACTAAATAACAAAGAACTTTTGCACAGAGTCAGAGGATGGTCTTTTATTTATTATCAGAGGTGATGCCTTTCTATAAATATTGAGAATACAGTAGTGTCCTACAGGGATAGCTATTTCGTCTTTCTAAAGAGCTTGTGCATTAAGTAATGTTGTTCTTTAATAATGCACTTAAATTACATTTAGATTTTTTTGCTAAATGTGTGAAATCAGTTTAAAATTCCATCTTTCATTTAAGACTGCTTATTAAGGAATAATAATCCCTTATTTAAATTATGATTTTTGACAGTTGACAAAGTGCTTTTACACATATTTTCTCATCTAATTCTAAAAACAGATCTAGTGTTAGATGATGTTGGTTTTCATTCCTGAGGTGAAGAAATTGAGGCAGCAAGAGTTTAGGCATTTTCTTTTTCACGCAACTATTAGGTGACATTTCCAAGACTGGAATTCATGTGTCTTGACTCTAAATCCAATTTTTAAAAACCCTTGCCTAAAGTGGCTCTCATTTACTGAATTGTCAACGGTATTCTTTGTACATATAAATAAATTATTTTATGGATTGCCCCATAATGCAGATTAGGCAGGATAATTTATGAATTCTGATTTCTACTCTTAAAACCTATGCATACTTAATTTATAGAATGTTAATTAAAGTAATTCTGTTTTAATATGAGTAAAATTATGGTGATTTTTCAAAAAAGTATTTTGGAAAAGTATTATGTTTATTTTCTATCAAATGTATGTGGGTATACACACAAAAACACATTTGCCTACATATGTGTGTGTTTATATATGCAAATATGTGCATATGCATATAAACTAAAATACATGTATTTAGACGGTAGCAAGATTAAGAAAATAATTAGGTCATTAATACTAATTGCAGTTGTAATGAAAGTTGTATAGTGGATGAATGCAGAATAGTTAAAATGAAGATAGAATTTTCTTTAGCCTTGGCTGTAAGTAAAATGTAATACATCACACAGTTTGTTGAATTTTCTTACTCTTTCCCTGTTTTTGATAGAGTAAAAGATATACTTTGGAGTGGAGATTAAACTCTTAAGAGATACAGACCAATGCCGACTCATAGTTAAGGGTCCTTATTTAACTTACATGCAATTTTTGGTTTTAGAATAATTCATTGAGATATATATTTTCTGCTCTGCTCTTCAAGCGCTGTGTTAATTACTGAAGTCTCAGACATTTTCAAATAAAAGAACCTGTGATATATGATCTCTTCCATTAACAGCTTACAATTCATATGAGCAAATATGCTTAGCAGTTTTACTCAACGAGTAGTTCGTTCCAGGTAATCCAACAGATGATGTCTCATTAAGAGTACAGAGGAAGTCTGATAACTTCCAGCTCAGATGGGGAGTCACAGATGATGGAGAAGGTGTCATCTGGGTGGGCGTTTTTGGCAATTGGTAGAATTTGAAGAGTAGAAAAGGAAATAGTTTCAGGTACAAAGCAAAGGGAACAAACAGCACATTTGGTGGATGGTAAGGAAACCTGGCTTTGCATCATGAATAGTGGCTGAACAAAATCAGGGAAATTAAGAGGTAAATAAACTGGCAGTGTGGGAGGTATGAATAAATTTGGTCTTAAGTCTATTGAATTTCACTGATGATGCGGTTTTCAAGGAGACCTTTTTAAATGGCAGTTTGGAGGCACAGTGGTTGGCTCTTAAGCATTTAGTAAATGAAATGCAATGCTGGGAAGAATCAGAGCCACCCCTAGAGGATGGAATGTCTTCTGCGTAGAGGTGACAGCTAACTGGGGGAGGATGAGTCATTATTGGAAAGCAGGACAACATCCTTTGGGCTGAGAACAGTGGCCATTTATTTAAGCTGTCGCTGGCTGGTGGTCCTCTTTGACATTTTTCTTATTTGGTATATGGAAAAAATATAGCATAAGACATCCACTACTGCAGGCTTAAAATTAAGACTTTTAATTTAAAACGTGAGTTGATTGTATTATTTATTTTCTTTTTTGAAATTTGAGCTGTTTGAAATACCATCCCAGAGTGAGGTGAGCAGTCTTATTTGCCTTGATTTATGCTACCTCTAAGTCATCTTAACATTAGTATTCACAAAACTACATTGCAGTGAAATTCAACAAATCTTTACTGAATACCTCTTATGAGGAAGACGATAAAGAATAAGAGGAAAATGAGATTTTTAGTTTGTTTGGAATACAGAGTGTATGGGAAGTATAATAGATTAGAAGTATAAAGTCTCAATGCTGTACTAAATGGGCACCATTAAAGGTTTTGAACCATCAATGTTTTTAGGTTTTTAAATGGTACAGGAGAGTTGTTTTTAGGAGTTGTTTTTAGTTTTTTGGATGATACAGGGGGACATATTGGTTCACTTGTTCTGTTTGATTCGCATATCTTTTGCTTTTAAATAGGTGAACAGTTTCTCAAATGGCAAATATGTTAGTCAAAGTATACTAAGTGGCATCAGATAACATTCAGTACTGTGAAGTGTCAATTTTAGATATCACCTCAGTGGAAAAATAATAGCATCAAATAAACAGTACCAGGTAAGGAGAAACAGAGCTCTTCATTATTGGCCAGATGGACTCAACAAGCCTGTGTTCCTCACCTTGATCCTTATGCATAAAACAAAAGGAAGTTTTAATAACATTTAAAGAAAAGGAAGAAAAAATGTTTGCCATACTCCTAAGGAATGAGTCAGTTGTTACATAGTCTGCTGTTAAATTCGGGGCCTTGATATATTTAGCTCCTTTGTGACTTGGAAAAATAGCCCAGAGAACAATATAGATGTTATTTTTAATATTACTTTTTCCCCCAGGAATCTAATTACGTAAGAAATTTTTTATATCAACCAACCATTCAGGCCAGTATAAGTGTATCAGTACATAACTGCTAATAACATCATTCGCTATATTTGGTGAACTGTCTCTCTCAGCAGCTCAAATGTCAGTTTTTATAGAGAAGAGGAAAGCTCTCTCTTGTTCGCATTCTCATTGAGGCACTCCTCCCTCCTTCTTCCTTTCCCTCTCTTCTTCCCTCTCTCTTTTGTGAACACACACACACACACACACACACACACACACCCCAAATAGTTAAAGCCAATGGATTGATGATTTGACCCCGTTGTGTTATCAAGACTAGTTCTGAATTACTAATGGCCAGTGGGATCCAAGTATCTCATTTGATAGAGTGATGCAGCTACTGTGGTGCTATGCTGTGGATGGATGCAAGAAGAGGGGAAATTAAAATCACTCTATATTTAACAGTATAGGATTGAAAGTGTGATGTAGGCCCTTGTGCTTTTGATAAGGGAAATGGTTTATTCACTAGAGTTGGTCAAAATGTGATTAACACAGGGTTACCAGGATTCTCTATTAATGAAAGCATCTCTCAGCTATATATTTCCTTGTGTGTCTGTTTTTTAAATGAAATTAAATATCACAGGTCACAGGTCACATGAAGGGGTCTATCTATAATGATTCTCTTTGACAACAAATGGAATTTTGGAATATAGTGAGTTTCCTGACATTGGAGACAGCCATGTAGAATGGAGACAACAATTGATTTGGGGTTTTGTAGAAAATATTTTTTATTGTGTGGGAATTCAGCTAGATTAGAGTTTCCTAGCCCAAATTTAATGGTAAACCATGTACTTGAAAAATAAGACAAGAGGGGACTGACATGTGAGCCAGAACTGTTGTCACTGAGCAAAATGAGAGATAGGGAATCAGTGTGACAGTAAAAATTGGTTTGGTGATAGGGACAATATTAATAACCTTTAAGACCCCCTCTATTCATGAGTTTCTGTAACTTAAACCTGAATATGCTCGTCAACTCACTGGCACTTGAAATTTTTTTTTTTTTTTGAGTCTGAGTCTCACCTGTCACCCAGGCTGGAGTGCAGTGGCACGATCACGGCTCACTGTGGCCTCAACCTCCTGAGCTCAAGCAATTCTTTCACCTCAGCCTCCAGAGTATCTGGGACCACAGGTGCACACTACCATGTTCAACTAATTTATTTTTATTTTTGTAGAGACAGAGTCTTACTACGTTGCCCAGGCTGGTCTCGGAAATCCTGGGCTCAAGCGATCCTCCTGCCTCAGGCTCCCAAAATGCTAGGATTACAGGTGTGAGCCACTGTGCCTGGCCTAGTAGGTTCTTAACTGAATTCTAACCCCCGCACCCAATTTCTAGTTTGCTAAAAACCCTTAAGAATGCAGGATGCAGGCCAAGAAGCTGGCTTGCCAAACAAGGTCACAGTTGGTACAGGCTTCAGGTTAGGTGGTATTGATGTCAGAAAAATCCTAAATCTGTGAAGACTGCTGAAATAGGGGATCATCAGTCAGCATCACTCAGGGCACAAGTTAAGTGAGAGGGCTGATATCAAGGATTAAGAGTTAAGGCAGTGGGTACACCTCTAGCCTTGTGAGTCTAATGGAACTTCAGACGGAGGCATCCAGCACCACGGACAGCTCTTCAGAGCTGTTGGGTGGATGTAAAAACTCCTAGGGGTTTTTCCTGGAAAAACTGCTTCTAATTCTTCCTAGCTAAAGATGTCTACTATACACAAGTATCGGACTTTATGCAACCCTCTCTTTTCTCATCTTCAATGTAGTAATAATAAATGTTCTATATAGTTCTCTGGGTACACATATTAAATGATAAATTGAAAGTATGTGTCAGTGATACAAATTTAATAACCTTTCACTTTGAATCATTGCCCTTTATCTACCTAAGATTGTATTATGTCAAGGAAAATTGCCAGCTTCTTCTTAAAGTATGAAATAACAGTTAAATAAACTGATGGGAGAAACTGTGGTATGGTAAACAGATATACACTTTATTGGTGAGAGATAGGAACTAGGATTTATTGTATACCATGTAGGTTCAGACATATGCTCTTACAATTCTTATGCCATTTAATTTTCATAACCGCTCTGTGTACCTATCAAGGAATGGAGGGGTCAGTCCATGTCATGCTCTTCCACTGCGCCATATTTCTCCTATTTCTACTGATGGGATGGAATGGGTGACATCTGGTATGCAGGGCCAGAGTGATGATAGAATTCCAACTTGTGGCTGTCCTAAGAGTGGTCTCTTCTGAGTGTTTTCCCGATGGCAGGAAGTGGGAGTGAAGGACAGATAGAGGGGGTAAGCAACACAGCTCAGGTCCCCCAACAAGGAGATATCAGAGCATTCCTGGCCAGGAGATGGAGCAGGGTATCCAGGGGCCCTTTGGAATGAGGTAAACCAGGTTGTTGCTGAGCTTACTGTGGGTTGGTCATGGTAGGAATCTTCTTAAAGACCCTCAACCTAGCTGCTATTGAAGGAAATGAAAAACCATACTTTGATATCTGTGTGCGATAACTTTATGTAATACAGTGACAACTTAGGGAAAAGCATCTATCTTTACAATTAGGGTATTTTAAAGGGAATGAAAAGGTCTTCGTGCCATTAACATTTAGTATTTGTGTCTTTGATAAAACCAGAGTATCTTTTGTGTGATCCGTTTGTATTTAATTTGAATCATTATTTCAGAATATAAAAGTGTATCTAATTTTTTTATTTTATTTTTTGAGACAGAGTCTCGCTGTCGCCCAGGCTGGAGTGCAGTGGTGGGATCTCCGCTCACTGCAGGCTCCGCCCCGCTGTGTTCACACCATTCTCCTGCCTCAGCCTCCTGAGTAGCTGGGACTACAGGTGCCCGCCACCACGCCCAGCTAATTTTTTTGTATTTTTGGTAGAGACGGGGTTTCACCGTGTTAGCCAGGATGGTCTCAATCTCCTGACCTCGTGATCCACCCGCCTCGGCCTCCCAAAGTGCTGGGATTACAGGTGTGAGTCACTGCGCCCGGCCCTAATTTTTTATGAACATGAATTTTACATGTGGTTAGTGACTGTTTGCATTTGTTATTTGACAAACATAAAATGTATCATAATGGAAAATGATCAAGTAGCAAAGAAATGCCTTCAACAGCTTTCTATATGTTTTGGCTTATGTACTTAAGGATGTAGACAGCTTTATGAGACAGACTATACTATACAAGTACTTTTGTCTGAAGATTAGCTGGGCTGAGACTTTTTTTCTTTTCATAACAGTTTGATAGATGTTTGTGATTATCTGTTCAATAGCCCATTTAGGACTAGGTTGAAGAAGCAGCAGTTTTCTGCATAGGTAGCATTTGAGATCCATTATCAGAGGGAAATGATTATTGTATGATGCTGTTGTCCCTTAGAACTTTCAAGAGGAAAATGTTAGGATTAGGTAGTTATATAATGATTTGTTTGATAGAAGGAGCACTGAGGTTGAAATCAGAAGATACAAATTTGAATGCTTGCTTCTATACCCACCAGATGCATAGCCTTTAGTAAGTTTTTCAGACCCTCAGAGCCACAGTTTGCTGCTATAAAAATGAGACTCTCCACCTAAGTCAGGGAATGGTTGTGAGATTACATTAGATGACATTTGTGAAAGTGCTTAAAATTTCTAACACATTTTTTAAAGAAACTGTTTATAATAATTCTCCTTTGTGGTTATTTTCTACAGAAAGTGAGTGAGAAGGTTGGAGGAGCTGAAGGAACCAAGCTAGATGATGACTTCAAAGAGATGGAAAGGGTAAGCCTTCACTACTGCCTAGTGTTCCCTTTGACATAAACATGTCTACCATAATTAGAGGAGAAGAGAAAACGGGAGAGGGCAACTGTTTTCCACTGGTCTCTGAGAATACTACATTTTGTTATTTAAAACTACTTTTCATGTATGTTTTAAAACATAAAATGTAAAATATTCTGTCTTCCCTTTGTACTGTCCTGAGGACAAAACCTCAGTGAAGGTGAAAGGTCACGATGAACTTTTTCTGGTGGGTTTCATCATCATTTTAAAAAAATAAGGACAGTGTTGAGCTGATGTTTGAATTAGGGTGAGATGCGTAGAAAAGAAGCTGCAGAATGACATCCCAAATGTTTTTGGGAGAGTTTAAGTCACTTTCTGGCTTTAAGGACCTTCCTTACTGGATGATTGGCCAGAGGCAGCCATGTATAGTGGAGAGAATACAGTTTTAGAGCTTGTCCAACCTTGGCCCAAACTCCCCTTCCTGCCATGTGTCACAAAAGTCCATCTATTGATCAGAGCCTCTTTTTAAAATTTTATTATTATTATTGTTATTATTTTTTTGAGATGGAGTCTTGCTCTGTTGCCCAAGCTGGAGTGCAGTGGCATGATCTTGGCTCACTGCAACCTCCGTCTCCTGGGTTCAAGCGATCTCCTGCCTCAGCTCCCTGAGTATCTGGGATTACAGGCACGCACCACCACGTCTGGCTAATTATTGTATTTTTTGTAGAGATGGGGTTTTACCATGCTGGCCAGGCTGGTCTCGAACTCCTAACCTCAGGTGGTCCGCCTGCCTCAGCCTCCCAAAGTGCTGAGGTTCCAGGCATGAACCACTGCACCCAGCAGAGCCCCTTTTTAAGTGAATGTAAAATGAGAAGACTAATACTCATTTGGGGGATTTTAGTTAAGGCTTAAAAATAATGTAGATTATTTAGCTTTCTGCTTAAAAGGTAGGTTCTCAGCAAGTGAGGGTAGAAGTGATGAACAAAACATCTCATTTTATTTTTCTTGGGACATGAGCCATATTTTCGCTTTTACTTTTCTTTTACTTTAACGCTCTTCAGAACAGGTGATATTTAGGCTTATGATTAAAAGTGTGTGTTACATTGTGCACAGAAACATTTTAGGTCTTAAGTGGGTGGTGGGTAATGGATCTGAGAGTAGCAATCCTGTACTTGAACAGAAGAGGATGTTGCAAACTATGGTACCTAGAAACCACATTTAAACATTGTAAAGAATATTGCTTTTGTACTTCGTTGTAACAAAGCAATTTTTTAATATTCTGATTTTGATTCTACCAGAAGTTTTTTAGGGACTGGATATTGTTTTAGTCTACATCAGATCCAACAGGCTGCCTCAGTTTTGCTGTTTTTACTATGTTTGCATGAAGAGTCAAACAAAAAATTCCTAGGTATTCATTAGTGTAGTGTGAGAAATTAAAAAAAAAATCCTAGGTACTTTCTACCTTGTCTTTTTAGTTTTTCTCTTGGTGAGTTTATTGATGAATTCAATAAATATTTTCTTTGTGTCTTCCATGAACCAGGAGGTAGGATATAGACAAGGTTCCTGAGTGCATGAAGTTCGTAGTCTAGTGGGGAGGGCAAACTTGGGGCAAGTAATGACCAGCGTGGCGAGGAGGAAAACTAATGGAGCTACAGAAGCCCAGCACAGAGGAAACTCACCCATACTGCATTGTCAAGGAGAACCTTCCTGATAGTTAAGTGAAGATGGGAAAGAGTTAGCAGAGCCTGGTAAAGGAAACAGCATGCAAGCAGGCAAGAGGGAACGGTTGAGTTCCTGAAAAAAAAAGATAAGTTGCCAAGAGGCAGGGTCCTGTGAAATCAGACTGCATAGTATTGATCCAGCTGGTCATTCTGGCTAAGTTCTTGAGATAGACCTCACTGATGGATACCCAGTGGTGAGGAGATTTTATACTGGAATTCTGAGTCCCAGCCTTCAGAAGTCTGGAAAACCAGACTCTTACAGCTGAGGCCTGGCACCTACTTCCTCCAACTGGACCAAAGTCTGCATTGGTTCCTATTTCTCATCTCTGGATGGTTCTAAATACCACCTGATCCTCAACCAAAGCTGGTAGCCACTAATATCCATAGTTCTGGAAATAATATTTTACCCATTCATCTTCTACGGCATCTGAGACTCCAGGAACTGACACACATTTCCAGAAATGTCTTGTCTTTGACTCTTCTACTGCCCATAAAATTGGAGTTCCTCACGCTTCATTTGAACAGCCCATGGGTTAATCCGCCTCTGTCTTCACCCAGTCTTGCTTGATCCCTCCTTGTACTTTGATGCTCCTCCTTCCCCCTCACCCCTGGAGAGCATTTATAGTTTGCCACGTGGCCAATGTCATGTCATTAATGAAAGATTAGGCAGGTATTTAGGAATTTGGAACTAAGTACCAGGAATCAGAATTTGACACTTCCTTTTAGCATCTGCCAGGACTAAAGGGAATAAGCTAGGCAGCTCACTGTCTAAAGTGAGACAAGCTAACTTCCTGTTTCTTAAATGAGACTAAAAAGAACAGGAAATTTGGAGAACTGAGTAGAATTTATCACTGAGCAACTAATTAGACCTTTGGAGATTTATTTTGGTGAGAAATATATGCCAGTTTTGCAAAGTAATTGAAATAAAAGAGAATCCTCCAAGCATTTTACTTTAGGCAAATACCAACAGACCTTCCTCTGAGTATGAAAGTAAGGTATAAGGATTATTTCTCCTAATTTATAGAAATGTTTCTGAAACTTTTATTTCAAAATATAGATACTCCTGCAGCAAAGTAAACATCTGATTGACTGAAGAACACACTCATGGCTCTTTACTTGGGTTTATACCTGAATAAATTGAGAGATTTAGGTTTCAGTGCAGTGTGGCAATTGTTTTACTCTTTTTGATTCTGTATATCTTTTGTTTCTGTCTCTATTGCAAATTTTGCACCCTCCACTCATGCTAAATTTACATGAATAGTATAAGATTTCTGTGGTAATTGAAAAGCACTTGCTTTGGATTTAGACTCTCAAATCTTTTCTCGCCTGTTAATTGATTATTCACACAAATGTTTGAGCTCAGTGTTCCCAAGCAGACAGAAGAATTGCCTTTCCATAGTTTGTTTTCTGCTCGTCAGGCATTTGGGGTAGAGAGACCTTTGCTCATCTGTATTCTCGGAGGTGCAATTAGATAACAAAATGAAATAAATTAGAGGTTTGCTTCAAGCAGCATTACTGGGAGAGAGAAGTGGGTTTTCCTAGGGGTGTTTCTCTAATCAGCCGCCCCAGCCACTCTGTGGCTGAGATGCAGTAAAATCATCATGTGTGTCCCTTAGCTCTGCAGCCCTCCTCTCCCTGAGCTGATTGGATAGAATCCTGCGGCTGTGCTGTCTCTGTAGGATCCCTGCCCATCATTATTTCTCTCCTAAGTGCCTTGCATGGAATTCTTTTTGTTTTCATTTTAAATGCTGTCTGTTGCTTACAAGCTTTGTTAAACACAGGCTAAATGTCTTACTCTGGTGCAACATTGGAGGATTTGTTCTTTGAAAAGCTATAGGATTTTTTGTTAAGAGGAAGTTCGGAAATTTGAAGAACCTCTGGTTCCTTCTCAAATTTTCCTCAGTTGCTGCAATGATTGTGTAGTTTTTTGTTGTGTGTACAGTTACATTCATTAATTTACTTGGAAAGTGCCTCCATGTTAAGGCAGTATCCCTGCCTTCAAGGGGCTTCCAGTTTTGATTTTTAAAAAATTGTACGTAAATCAGTACCTTACAGAACATAGTGCTTGGTGTCCTGGGGAGGTTTCCCATGGAATATTCAGGCTGGGTACATCAGGCTTCCTAGAAGAGAGAGGGCGTCTGAGCTAAATCCTGAACATGTCTCTTGTCCCTGATTATGTGGTTAATTCAGAATTCTAAGCTGAGGAATATAGTATCTGTTTTGCAGCCTGAAAATTATTGTGGGAAATCCCTTCTGTTGAACCCAGAAGATGTCCTAGGGATAGAAACATGTCTATAGGCCCTTTAATAAAAATGGGATTCTTTTTAAGGAGCAACTT
Source organism: Homo sapiens (assembly GCF_000001405.40). Taxonomy (NCBI): domain Eukaryota; kingdom Metazoa; phylum Chordata; class Mammalia; order Primates; family Hominidae; genus Homo; species Homo sapiens. Next base: position 17,751,191 of record NC_000009.12, read on the forward strand.
TGAGTTTTAAGAAGAGCAAGTTGTTGAGAAAGAATGCCATTTCATATGAGAGTAAGAGAGGATTATTGGCAGATTCAGGTGTGGAGAAAGTCCAATAGGAAAATGTCCATGGTCATTATCTTCATACACTCAGTCACTGGGTGGAGAGGGGTTCAATTTTTCTATCCAGCCCAAGTGGTAGAGCTAGAATTAATGAGTAGAAACCATGGGGAGATAGATTCTGGCTCAATATAAGAAAAACTTTTGGCTATCAAAGCTGGGTTTTTGGTGTGTGTGTTTTTGTGTGTGCGTGTGTGTGTGTGTGTGTGTGTGTGTGTGTTTTGCCTCAGCAATGACTGAATTCCCTATCACTGCCCATGTTTGACCCCCTTGTTCCCACCGCCCATGTTGGAACACACACTGACCTGCTAGTTCCCTCCCATCATGTGAGGCACACCAGTCATCTCTTGTGAGTTTTGTGGTTAGTAATTTGTTACTAATAATGTCACTTTTTAATGATGTCACTCTTACTTGGATTCCAGTGATCTCTCTCAAATGGGGAGAGAAAGGAGTAGAGTTTCAGCTGGAATGCTCTGAGCAACACGTATCCCTGAGTGCACCCATAATGTCTCCTTCATGGTGTGATGGGAAAGGAGGAGGCGTGGAGCATTGTGCTAAGACACACCCCCCCGGTGTGGGGATGTAAGAAGGGCCAGAGCTCCAAACAAGATGAGCTTTGAAGACATCTTTTTCCTTAGTCTGAAATTCAGTGATGACAAGCTTCCTCTGAGTTACATGTTTGCAATATATAGTTCCAAGCTTATATTCATTAAAGGTAATGACCAAGAAGATTAACAGCAAAAAAAATACATTGGAGCAATCACAGCATTCTAATAACCTTGTTTATTTTTGTTTTTTAACACGTTGTTTGTCAGTTGGGCTTTCTGAAAACATAAGATAATGCTTTAAATCAAAGCAGCTTGGGGACAGATGGATTAACTCTTCTGAGTCAGCAGGGGACTATTAAAAACATCACTCTTGGACCTGCCTGTATCTCGCTGCCAGACAGACCTTCCCAGGACACGGTTTTCATCATGTCTCTGTGATTGTTTATTGAGCTGTTCTTGTTCAGGAGTCTCAGTACTTTAAGTGGGTGTGTATGCATTATTAATAGTTGTAGTTTCTTAACTTCAGTGACAGAAAAGTTAAGAATTTGAAAATATTTTAGTTTTTCATATGCCTTTTTAATATTTCTTTTATGTTACCACTGTGAGTTACCCATTTTCAAGTGGGTGTGTAATTCATCTACTTATTTATCTAATTTATTTATTTACTTACTTATGTGGAGATTGAGGTCTCACTCTATTGTCCAGGCTGGAGTGTAGTAGCTCAGTCATAGCTCACTATCACCTCAAACTTCTGGGCTCAAGTGATTCTCCTGCCTCAGCCTCTCAAGTAGCTAGGACTACCAGCACACACCACCATGCCTGCCTAATTTTTATTATTTATTTGATATTTGAGGTCCAATTTCTTTCTTTTTTTAAACTTGTATCTTAACTTCAGGGGTACACGTGCACGTTTGTTACATAGGTAGACACGTGTCATGGGAGTTTATTGTACAGATGATTTTATCACCCAGGTATTAAGCCTAGTACTCATTAGTTATTTTTCCCGATTGTCTCCCTCCTCCCACCCTCCACCCTCCAATAGGTCCCAGTGTGTGTTGTTCCCCTCTGTGCGTTCTTGTGTTCTCATCATTTTTGTCCCACTTATAAGTGAGAACATGTGGTATTTGGTTGTCTCTTCCTGCATTAGTTTGCTAAAGATAATGGCCTCCAGGTTCATCCATGTCCCTGCAAAGAACCTGCTCTCTCTCTTTTATGGCTGCATAGTATTCCATGGTGTATACGTAGCACATTTTCTTTATCCAGTCTCTCACTGATGGGCATTTGGGTTGATTCCATGTCTTTGCTATTACGAATAGTGCTGCAGTGAACACATGTGTGCATGTGTCTTTATAATAGAACAATTTATATTCCTTTGGGTGTATATCCACTAATGGGATTGCTGGGTCAAATGGTATTTCTGTCTTTAGGATTTTGAGGAATCACCACACTATCTTCCACAATGGTTGAACTAATTTACACTCCTACCAACAGTGTATAAGCATTCCTTTTTCTCCACAACCTTGTCAGCATCTGTTGTTTTTTGACTTTTTATCTCATTGTGGTTTTGATTTGTGTTTCTGTAATGATCAGTGATGTTGAGTGTTTTCTCATATGTTTCTTGGCCACATAAATGTCTTCTTTTGAAAAGTATTCATGTCCTTTGTCCACTTTTTAATGGGGTTGTTTGCTTTTTTTCTTGTAAATTTCTTTAAGTTCCTTATAGATGCTGGATATTAGACCTTTGTTGGATACATAGCTTGCAAAAATTTTCTCTCATTCTATAGCTTGTCTTTTTACTCCGTTGGTAGTTTCTTTTGCTGTGCAAAAACTCTTTGGTATAATTAGATCCCATTTGTTAATTTTCGCCTTGGTTGCAATTGCTTTTGGTGTCTTCCTCATGAAATTTTTGCCCATGCCTATGTCCTCAATGGTATTTTGCCTAGGTTGTCTTTCAGGGTTTTTATGATTCGGAGTTTATACATTTAAGTCTTTAATCCATCTTGAGTTAATTTTTGTATATGGTGTAAGGAAGGGGTCCAGTTTCAATCTTCTGCATATGGCTAGCCAGTTATCCTAGCACCATTTATTGAATAGGGAATCTTTTCCCCATTGTTTGATTTTTGTCAGATTTGTCAAAGACCAGATAACTGTAGGTGTGCAGTTTTATTTCTGAGATCTCTATTCTATTCTGTTGGTTTATGTGTCTGTTTTTGTACCAGTACCATGCTGTTTTGGTTATTGTAGCCCTGTAGTATAGTTTGAAGTTGGATAGCATGATGACTCCAGCTTCGTTCTTTTTGCATAGGATTGCCTTGGCTATTCAGGCTCTTTTCTGTTTCCATATGAATTTTAAAGTACTTTTTCCTAGTTCTGCTAAGAATCTTAATGGTAGTCTAATAGGAATAGCATTGAATTCATAAACTGCTTTGAGCAGTATGGCCATTTTGATGATATTGAGTCTTCCTATCCATGAGCATGGAACGTTTTTCCATTTGTTTGTATCATCTCTGATTTCTTTCAGCAGTGTTTGTAGTTCTTCTTGTAAAGAACTTTTGGCCGGGTGCAGTGACTCACGCCTGTAATCCCAGCACTTTGGGAGGCTGAGGTGGGCAGATCATGAGGTCAGGAGATCGAGACCATCCTGGCTAACATGGTGAAACCCTGACTCTACTAAATATACAAAAAATTAGCTGGGTATGGTGGCAGGCGCCTGTAGTCCCAGCTACTCGGGAGGCTGAGGCAGGAGAATGGCTTGAACCCAGGAGGTGGAGCTTGCAGTGAGCCGAGATCACGCCACTGTACTCCAGCCTGGGCGGCAGAGTGAGACTCTGTCTCAAAAAAATAAAATAAATAAATAACTTTCACCTCCCTGGTTAGCTGTATTCCTAGGTATTTTATTATTTTTGTGGCAATTGTGAAGGAGATTGTTCCTGAGTTGGCTCTTGGCTTGACTGTTCTTGGTGTATAGGAATGCTAGTGATTTTTGAACATTGATTTTGTATCCTGAGACTTTGCTGACATTCTTTATCAGCTTAAGAATCTTTTTGGCTGAGACTGTGGGGTTTTCTGGACATAGGATCATGCCGTCTGCAAACATGGATAGCTTGACTTCCTCTCTTCCTACTTGGATGTGCTTTATTTCTTTCTCTTGCCTAATTGGCCTGGTCAGGACTTCCAATACTATGTTAAATAGGAGGGGTGAGAGAGGGCATCCTTGTCTTGTGCCGGTTTTCAGGGGAAATGCTTCCAGCTTTTGCCCATTCAGTATGATGTTGGATATGGGTTTGTCATATATGGCACTTATTGTTTTGAGGTGCATTCCCTTAATACCTAGCTCATTGGGACTTTATAACATGAATGAATGTTGAATTTTATTGAAAACCTTTTGTACATCTATTGAGATAATCATGTGTTTTTCTTCTTTAGTTCTGTTTATGTGATGAATCATATTTATTGATTTGCATATGTTGAACCAACCTTGCATCCCAGGGATAAAGCCTACTTGATAATGGTGGATAAGCTTTTTGACATGCCTCTGGATTTGGTTTGCCAGCATTGTATTGAGGATTTGCATCAGTGTTCATCAAGGACCTTGGCCTGAAGTTTTCTTTTTTGTTGTATCTTTGTGGCTAATTTTAAAATCTTTTGTATAGATGGGGTCTCACTTTTTCCCAGGCTAGTCTTGAACTCCTGGCCTTAAGCAATCCTCCTATCTTGGCCTCCCAAAGCACTGGGGTAACAGACATGGGCCACCATGACTGACTGAATTTATTTATATATTAATGATCACTAAACTCACAAAGTGTTGGTGCTCCCTTTAAGGTGTCTATGTTTTTCTTAAACTTTTGCTCTGCTACAGCATCTGGTATAATGTGGTATCTAATAGTATGAAATCATATCTTTCAGTCCTTTTGTTGCTCCACAAACAACGCCACGCTGTTCACGAGTCCTTACACCTAAGTTCAGGAAATACCAACTTTTCTTCAGGGAAGAAAGGTAATATTCCCATGTCTCTGGAAGAGTAACCCCATTCTAGTCATTTCCATGCCTTCTATTCTTTAGTATCTTGTCTCTAAAGACTGAGACAGCTGGTGAAATAATCAGTATCATCTATAGATTCAGCATGGCATTATTATTAGTGAAGCTAGCACCTAGCACAGGAATCAAGATTTTTTTGTAAGTGCTTTAGGTTTTTGGGGCCAGAGGGTCTCTGTGGTCTCTTACAACTCCTTGCCAATGCTGTCAAAACACAAAAGCGTCCATTGACAGCGTTTAAATGAATAAGTATGGCTGTTTTCCAACAAAACTTTATCTAAGGATGCTGAAATGTGAATTTGAAATTTGAATAATTATTTTGTGCAGTAAAATAGTAGTCTCATTTCAAATTTTTTCAACCATTTAAAGAAGTAGAAATGGAAGTTTTTATTACCTAAAAAACATGCCTGTATCTGTATATATTTACAGTTTCACTTTCTTTTTTTTATTTTTATTTTTTATTATACTTTAAGTTCTAGAGTATGTGTACATGTGCACAGCTTGCAGGTTTGTTACATATGTATACATGTGCCATGTTGGTGTGCTGCACCCATTAACTCGTCATTTACATTAGGTATATCTCCTAATGCTATCCCTCCCCCCTCCCCCCACCCCACGGCAGGCCCCCATGTGTGATGTTCCCCTTCCTGTGTCCAAGTGTTCTCATTGTTCATTTCCCACCTATGAGTGAGAACTTGCGGTGTTTGGTTTTTTGTCCTTGCAATAGTTTGCTGAGAATGATGGTTTCCAGCTTCATCCACGTCCCTACAAAGGACATGAACTCATCATTTTTTATGGCTGCATAGTATTCCATGGTGTATATGTGCCACAGTTTCTTAATCCAGTCTATCATTGATGGACATTTGGGTTGGTTCCAAGTCTTTGCTGTTGTGAATAGTGCCGCAATAAACATACGTGTGCATGTGTCTTTATAGCAGCATGATTTATAATCCTTTGGGTATATACCCAGTAATGGGATGGCTGGGTCAAATGGTATTTCTAGTTCTAGATCCCTGAGGAATTGCCACACTGTCTTCCACAATGGTTGAACCAGTTTACATTCCCACCAACAGTGTAAAAGTGTTCCTATTTCTCCACATCCTCTCCAGCACCTGTTGTTTCCTGACTTTTTAATGATTACCATTCTAACTGGTGTGAGATGGTATCTCATTGTGGTTTTCATTTGCATTTCTCTGATGGCCAGTGATGATGAGCATTTTTCCATATGTCTGTTGGCTGCATAAATGTCTTCTTTTGAGAAGTGTCTGTTCCTATCCTTTGCCCCCTTTTTGAAGACTTAAATGTTAGACCTAAGACCATAAAAACCCTAGAAGAAAACCTAGACAATACCATTCAGGACATAGGCATGGGCAAGGCATTAGACTTCATGTCTAAAACACCAAAAGCAATGGCAACAAAAGCCAAAATTGACAAATGGGATCTAATTAAACTAAAGAGCTTCTGCACAGCAAAAGAAACTACCATCAGAGTGAACAGGCAACCTACAGAATGGGAGAAAATTTTTGCAATCTATTCATCTGACAAAGAGCTAATATCCAGAATCTACAAAGAACTCAAACAAATTTACAAGAAAAAAACAACCCCATCAAAAAGTGGGCGAAGGATATGAACAGTTTCACTTTCTTTAAACAGCCTTCCCTAATGGCTCCTCACACCAATCCCAGGCAAGGTTAGTTGAAGACGGAGGCTCAGGAGCTTATAAGATGAGAAATTCTTGTAATTTAGGATGCATCAAAACTTACTTTCAAATAGTAATTGGAAATTTTGGACATTGAGAAAAATAACAGTTACATGTCATAAGTTCAAAGTTAAACTGTACTGTTCTCAAATGGCAATAAGCTCAATTCTGGGAGCTTATGGGAATTGCTAGTTATAATAAGTTACTTAAGTGGAAATCTTCTTTATGCTAAGTTAATCAGGCCTGTTACTAAGAGAATATGTACTTGGATATTACCAGCTTAGGTATATAAATAACTCTTCTGCCAAGTGCATAACAAGGCACATTCAGGGGTCTCATGGGGTTATGGCCCTCAGCTTGTCTCTGGCTGACACAGTGTAGTTTAGCAAAAGAGTCCTGGGCATTATTATGGAGGACCGAGGTGGAGAGAAGTTAGAAATTAGTCAGCCTCCTACTGGCAGATGACTTCAGAATGTGACTAATCATTGGACCATTCAGTTCTTCTGGTACTTTTTTAAAGAAAGCCTCTGATTAATGGCCTTGGGAACTACTTTTCTCCTCATAACACACTTAAAGAGCTCCTTTCCCTTCTCTAGGCCACAGGTGTGGACATTTAATAAATTAAAGCGTTAAACAGAATGCTCCCCTGGTCTCTTCCTCTTATGTCCATGAAGTCTATCAAGTAATTATCTGTAAGAATGCAGCCATGCCTGGTGCAGTGACTCATGCCTGTAATCCCAGCACTTTGGAAGGCCAAGGCGGATGGATCACTTGAGGCCAGGAGTTCGAGACCAGCCTGACCAACATGGCAAAACCCCGTCTCTACCAAAAAATACAAAAATTAGCCAGGCATGGTGGTGCGTGCCTCTAGTCCCAGCTTCTTGGGAAGCTGGGGAGGGAGAATCGCTTGAACCTGGGAGGAGGAGGTTGCGGTGAGCTGAGATTGCTCTACTGCACTCCAGCCTGGGGGAGAGAGTAAGACCCTGTCTCAAAAAAAAAAAAAAAAAAAAAAAAAAAAAAAAAATTGCAGTCAGTAGCAAGGGCCTAGGAATGGATTTGCCAAAAGTGGGTCCCTCTTTAGTATAATTCCTGATAATGAAATAAAAATGTAACTGTATTGAATAAAGTTGTTTTCAGAGGTGGTGGATTTCAAGCGAAGGTTATTTTATGTTGTAGTCAAAAGGGTTTAGGTAGAACTTGCTCTGTAATGATGCCTGGACTAGGTAACCAAAAGTGTTGAAGGAGTCTGCCTCAATGGGCACAAAGTCGGTAAACATCTGGGTGGGATGAGCTCTTTCTTTAGACAAGTCACAAGGGACACTGGAATAGTTTTTATTCCTACTTCTCTTTTAAGATGGAGTCCTGCCCTGGGGACCAAATGTAATAATCTAATATTGGTATCCCCAGGGTCTCTGGGTCTTCCCTGAGACCACTGGCTTCAGCCAAGCTAGTGGTGTCTGTTTACACTACATGAGTGGTTGGGCTCCCTACACAGAGCTTAAAAGGGAAGGGGGTTCTGTAGCCAAAATGAGAAACTAGCTTTCACAGCCTTCCTTGCTCACCTCCCTGTGGGCCAGGTGGGATAGACACTGCAGGTACCAGTCTCTGTAGGGAAACCCGTGAAACTGAGGGCCTGTGGTTCAGCAGATCAGCATTGCAGAGCCTCCCTTCCAGAGAGGCCCAGGATGGAATAGTCTTGTGGATGAAGCTTCCACAGACTTTGAGAAGTTTCAAAATAAAAACAGAATATGGGATGGCAGGTACCTTCCTGCTGATGCTGTTTCACCGGCTACTGCCAGGTCCCCAGCCCCATCTTAGGGAGGGAACAAAGCATATTCCAGCTCTGACTTGGCCTCTCTTTCAGATTGGGAGATGCCTCTGTTGCCTGTCTTTTTAGGAAGAGCTTTTGCTTTCAAGAAGTATAGGATGGTCATTAAGAACACACACACTGGAACTAGAACTGGGGAAGTTTCTTAACCCCTCTGTATCTGTTTTCTCATATACATTACAGAGTTTGTGAGCATTGAGTGTGTAAAGATATTTATAGTCCTTAGAACAGTTTCTGACAAACAGAAGACAGCTTATGGTGATGATTGTTATAATTATTAAGGACAGAGATGGGGGAACCTTAGAAATTGGTCAGCCCCTTAACAGCAGATGACATCAGGATATCAAACAGCCATTGGAAAATTTAATTCCTATGGCACTCTTTTTTAGAAACCTTGGCTTTTTGAATGATTTTCCTTCTCATCATAACTACAGGATATTTAGACACATTTGTCATCTAATTCCTTAATTCCCATCACATAGGCAGCAGGAGATCTACATTTGTACTTCTATCACACATGTACCATGGAGTTTCAGCATATTTGTTCCATACACACCTTTGATCCATTTCCCTGGCATAAGACATTCTATGACTTGAGTACATAGTGGTTGTTTGGAATTTTGCTAATACTAGGACCTTCACATATGGCTTCACAAGTTGTGTACTGCACAACTCCAGGGGGCTACTGAGCATTTTTAAGCTAATCACTACCTGGTACACACTCAATCTTAAAGATCTTTGAAATTTGAATCAATCAAAAGGATATTTATACAAGATTTATATGTAGACAGGCACATTTGAAATTGCATCCTTCTAAAGATAATTTTATATCATTATAACTTCACAAGAAAAAATTTGTTTTCCTCTGTTGATCCTAGTAATAGCAAACACACACAGTAATATGACTGCCATGGAATGAAAAATTATTAAGTATTGAAAAACTGAACTGAAAGATAAAATCTTTTAATGTGTGGATTATGGAAAAGGAGGAGGCTTACTTTATGCAAGGCTGATATTATATACCGGTATATATTATATACCGGTATATATTGGTATATACTGATATTATACTGGTATATACTGATATTATATACTGGTATATATTATATACCACTAGGTACAGCAGGTTATGGAAAAGTTTCTCATAGTTGAAGGGGGAGCCTTTTAACAAACAGAAAATTTCTCCAGTGGACTTAATTGATACCTAAATTTCTACATTAAAATTTAATCACTTTCATTTATACCTATGTCATATATTACATGTACATACCTTGAATAGGAGGATGCATTTATTCTCATTAGTCATTTACCATGTAGGGCGAATAGGAGGCCCACAGATGCTGATAAGAAAAGGATTTCTTGGAGAAAGACAGAGAGCACTGCAGTGAGCACCTTCCATGACCTCTTTCAAGTGGGGAGAGGGGCCTGACAAAGAGAACACGGTGAGATGCTGAAGGCAAACACTGACCATTCCAAATTTAGAAATTTAGAGGATAGAACAAATTTGGAGGATAGACTCTAGCATCAAGATTTTTGTTTAGCATTAACCAAAAGTTCAAGGACAGACTAGAAGTCTTTGCTCAAGATTTTATATTTTTAGGATGTTCTTAGAAGTTAAATAAAAAGCTCCCCACTTCTTGAATAAGCAGAGTTGATGCTGCATGATTCTTTCTTGAGGGCAGCAAAATCTGCCTCCATGCCTGACCCACTGTAGGCATCCAATAAATGCCTCTGGGACAAAATATGTTTCATTTTATTCACCTTATTTTCACCAGAAGGTAATGAATTATATTTTGAAACAAATTTTAGGAAACTACAAGCTTCTTCTTTGGATAAACGGGCTTTCCACATCTTGGCAGACCACTGCTGAGTACAGTGTCAGCATGACTTCCAGCCGCGTCTCAGCCTCCCTCACCTACTGCGGGACTTGTCCGGGGCTCTGTTGCATACCCCGCCATTGTATACAGACTCAACCAAAAACCGGTATTCTAAAGCTCATCATTTTTGTCATTTAGAGCACTTATTTTCTCATTTCAGAAAGTGGATGTCACCAGCAGGGCTGTGATGGAAATAATGACTAAAACAATTGAATACCTTCAACCCAATCCAGGTAAGGCATCATCTTATATGTTTAAAGGATCCCTCGAGGTAACTTTTAGTTTCTCTTTGATAGACATTTTAAGTTTGGTGTGTTTCTTCTTTTGGTGTTGCTTCCTCGGTCCACTTTTCTGAGAGGTTAGCGACTTCATGGATAGCACATTTTAACTGGGGAGAAGGGCTTTTTAAAGCTCACATTGAAGTAACTGGAAGATCTGTGGTATTTTATCTGACTGTGGTATATTTAACAAATAATGTATGCAAACAGTTCAGGTGACACATAATATCAGAGTAGCTATAAACTGTTATCAGTTTGAACTTTCAAGAGATGGTAAGAAGGAAAATTAGGATAGTTTAAGGTAAGATATAATGATTCCCAGAAGATGTGAAAAAGTAGGGAGGTGAATCGTTTTCATGAAACACAGAGGGTTTCTTCATAGGGCATCACCAAAGTCTTCAGAGCGTTGATCTTGATTCTGATTCTTCTCCAAGCACATCACAGATCAGCATTGGTTCCTGCTAACTTGTTATACTCTAAGAAAAAGAAGTGGTAATAGAGATAACGGAGCTATATGTTGATAAGAGGACCAGGCAGAGTTGGGGCAGTTTCGGTAGGCACTAGGTATAGCAAAGCAAAGCAAAGCAAAGCAGCCTACCTGATAGACCTCCTCATTACCATTCCTGTGTGTCAGTTTCTAACCACAGGGCACGGAAACGGGAAGTGAGGCTGGTTGTATTTAAGTGAGATGTGTGAATATTTGGAATACCCCTTAATCTTGAGGCTAGTTTCTTTGCAAGTTTCAGGTTGGGGTTCCGTGTATTTTATGGTCCTAGAGAGGATGGTGCAGACAACTGCTTCAGCCCCAATGAGTTTGGATACTGAGCAATAGTGGACAAGTGATCAAAAAAAAAAAAAAAAGGGGGCGGGTGTGGGCTGAGAGGAAGCAGGTGTGTGCTGTACTAAGTGCTGGCTCCTTTTCTATGCCCCCTGCTGCTGGCTGCAGCTTCCTTCCATCCTTATTCACCTATGACCAGCCCAGCTGCTATTCTGAGGATGAGCAGACTATGTAGGAATAACTTTCTGGATATTTGTTGCTGTTGTTTTTGTTCATAAAACACATTAGAAATGAGCTTATGTGAGGGAGGAAAATATGGAAGAAAATGTGATAAGCTATAGGAACCAGGAATTTAACTGACAGTGGTCTAGATACATTTTCAAATGCTTAGCAAATTTGTCAAAGCACTGCAAAAATCAGGTTTCTTATTTTTACCCAGAACCTTCTTGGTAACCACTGTTTTTCACAGAGATGCAAAGATCTCTTGGATGCACATTTATTCCTTACTGTTTAAACCACTGTCATAGGTCAAGTTCTGAAAGAGAACTGCTCGCCCTGCTTCCCCGCAAGAAATCATTATATAGGGGCAAGAAGTTTTGGTCTTTATCTTTGCCTAGAACCTTGAAGTACTCCATGATTTCCTGGGATTTTCACGAGTTGTACTTGTAACTCATGGTTGTAGGGCTAAGAGAAAGGCAGTGGGAGGAGGAATATAGTATTTATTGAGCACTGATGCATTTTCAGTGCAGTGCTAGGTATATGAGGCATTGTCTCATCTTTAAAAGTAACCATTTTTCTCCATATAAAGTAAAAACAGTTGAAGAATTTCTAGTATGAAAATAGACTAAAAATTCATTGTAACACAAATTATCAGTGGGAGCTCATCAGTTTTCCTGAGTATAATGGAACTGTGCTCTGTTGTAGGTAGGTGTGGTGGGTTGCATTGTGTGTCTCCCCAAATTCAGGTCCATCCAGAACTAAACTTATAAGGAATGTGACCTTATGTGGAAATAATCCTTGCAGATGTAAGTAGTGATGTAGGATCTTGAGATGAACTCTTCCTAGATTTAGGGTGGCCCCTAGAACCAGTGATGGGTGTCCTTATGAGAAGAGGAGAGGACACAGAGAAACACAGGAAAGAAGGCCACGTGAAGAATGAGAAGAGGTTGAAGTTACACGTCACGAGCAAAGGAATGCCAGGAGCCACCACCACAAGCTGGAAGACATGAGGAAGGATTCTCTCAGAGCCTCCAGAGGGAACCAACTTTGCCGACACCTTGATTTCAGACTTCCGGTATGCTGAACTGTGAGGGAATCAATTCTTTTCTTTGAGGCTGCCCAGTTTGTGGTCATTTGAAATGACAGCTCTAGAAAACTAATCCAGTACGCTAGCCTCATTTTATTCAGGAAAAAACAAGGGTCAGAGAATTTAAGGAACTTTCCCATTCATACACCTAGGAAGGGATGAAGACAAGATTGGAACTCAGGTCTGACTACCTCCTAAGTCTCTGCACTTCACGTTGCACGATCCTGCCTCTGAGAAGGGTAGGCTCCATTTCATTTAGGTGTGAAGGGTCCTTCCCTTTCAGAGAGTACCAGAGAAATTCAGAAAGGAAATTGTGGGATTAAGGCTTATTTTTATTTTAATAAAAAACATCAAAGGAGGAGGTAATTGAGAAGATCTGAATGTTTAGAAATGACATTTTTAATACAATATTGCATGTGCTAATTGGCTGCCAATATAATGGTTTTGTGACTATTTGAGAGTTGAATGGACATCTGCCACTAAGAACAATGAAGGCCATTACAGGCAATTCGAGGTTGGTTTCAGAAAAACAGTTATGTATGGGCAGGCCACATACATATATGAGTAAGTACTACCCAGAAGAGTCCAGAACAAAACGAAAATTTTGTGTAATCATTCCACAGAATTTAAACAACCTGCATTTAATTGTTTACAACAGGTACAATTTCATCCCTCCACCAGCTTCTTGCCCTGAGAGTAGACACTGGCCATAGAGCCCAGACCAGGTAACTGGTAAAGTTGAGAGTTAGGCAGACACCCAGAGAGACAGTCCTTGGGCACAGGAGAGCACAAAGAATGTTCCCAAACTCGTGCAGTTTGCTAAATACTTTGCCCACTCAGCCTTTCAGTGAACCCTAGAGCTGGGCCAACCAGTGTGGATACTGAATGCTGGTTCTGAATAAGCAAGATATGGCCTGGGTTAGGACAGGGCCTGATGCCAAGTAACACATTTACATGGACAGGCCAGGGGAATCAGTAGGATTTGATGCTTCGAGGGTACTTTGGGAGTACATCTGTATTAGATTACTGCTCCCGGGTGCTTGCTGGCTTTCACATCTTGGGTACATGGACAGGCCAGGGGAATCAGTAGGATTTGATGCTTCGAGGGTACTTTGGGAGTACATCTGTATTAGATTACTGCTCCCGGGTGCTTGCTGGCTTTCACATCTTGGGTACATGGACAGGCCAGGGCAATCAGTAAGATTTGATGCTTCAAGGGTACTTTGGGAGTACATCTGTATTAGATTACTGCTCCCGGGTGCTTGCTGGCTTTCACGTCTTGGGTACATGGACAGGCCAGGGGAATCAGTAGGATTTGATGCTTCGAGGGTACTTTGGGAGTACATCTGTATTAGATTACTGCTCCCGGGTGCTTGCTGGCTTTCACATCTTGGGTACATGGACAGGCCAGGGCAATCAGTAGGATTTGATGCTTCGAGGGTACTTTGGGAGTACATCTGTATTAGATTACTGCTCCCGGGTGCTTGCTGGCTTTCACATCTTGGGTACATGGACAGGCCAGGGCAATCAGTAGGATTTGATGCTTCGAGGGTACTTTGGGAGTACATCTGTATTAGATTACTGCTCCCGGGTGCTTGCTGGCTTTCACATCTTGGGTTCATGGACAGGCCAGGGGAATCAGTAGGATTTGATGCTTCGAGGGTACTTTGGGAGTACATCTGTATTAGATTACTGCTCCTGGGTGCTTGCTGGCTTTCACGTCTTGGGGGTGTGGAGCTTACACATGTTTTCTATTCTTAAAACTCAGTTCCTATTGAAGTGATGACCAAAGTGATTTTGTTTAGCTTTTAAGAATACATGGCTATGCTCTGTGAAGGTCCTACATCCACTCTTGCCCATCTCCAGAATGATATTTTAAAAAGCAAATTTGGTCATATTATGTAAAACCCTTCCATGGCTTTTCATGCCTTTAGGATTAACTTTCATTTTTAACATGGCTTAAGGGGCCCTCCCTGCATGGTCAGCCTGCCCTTTCCCCAACACCTTGCTAGGCTAACAGCTCCCTCGGGTCCAGCGTAAAGGTCACTTATTAGCCTTCCTTGGCTCCAACCACATTAGGTTCCCCTGTCACTGTCCCTCTTGTAATCCCAGCTGCTTTTCAGTGGGGCACATGCCATACTTGTGGTTTTGTTTTTCATCCGCCATGAGTTCAGCACTGTGCCTGTCTTATTCACCACCACATCCCCAGCCCCCAGCTCAGTTCCAGGCAGCCAACAGGCACTGGGATATTGGAATAAATGAATTATGAAGCACAGTTGACTGTCAGTGTCTAATGTACTAAAACTTCTCTAATACAAAAAGTAGGAGGAAAAATTCTTCCTTTTCCCTAAATCATCAGATACTCATATGTAACCAACATTTGTCACATGCATTTACTTTTATGCAAAGAGCAATTCTAGATGCTGTGGGGCAGAAATGAGACCAAGACTGGAGGCTTGTCCTCTGGAACCTCACAGTCTTAGTGTAAGTTACACACAGTCTGAGGAGAGGAGCCCAGAAGGCTTCACAGCTAATTCCTCCTGGAAAATCCAGCTAACTGATGAGATGTGGAAGTGTGAGCGGGATCACAGGCTTAAACGTCTGCCCTGTGAGGGTGGGCTTTCGAGAACGCAGGACAGACAGCTGTAAAGTCATCCAAGCTTGAACTGCAATAGCATGAACCAGTACACATTCCTAAAATGCTTAAATAAGATATAATTTGAATATAGAAAGTACTGTGCACAAATTCCATTCTACTGGTTGTAAGTGCCTATTCTTACGATATTTGTGAGCAAAAATCACTGAAGAAGATATAACTCAGTTTTCTTTACATATTCTGATGCCTTACGGGGGAGCAAAAACTGAATCGATGTTGTCCAATAGAAATAGGATGCAAGCCACATATGTAATTTTGAATTTTCTAGAAACCACATTATACAAGTAAAGAGAAAGATGAAATTGTCTTTAATAATATATTTTATTTAACCCATTATAGCCAAAATATTAACCACTATTAAAAATTATTGAGATATTCTATGTTTTTTTTCATACTCTGGATTTCGGTCTGTATTTTATACTTACAGCACATTTCAATTTGGACTAGCCACATTTCAGGTGCTCAGCAGCCCGCTGTGGCCAGTGGTGCCCGTAATAGACGGTACAGCACTAGATAGTTTGCCTTTCTGTTCGATATATGTTTCATGTTTACCTCCTTGGTTTTATGTTTTATCAGTGGGTTTTTCTTTTCAATAGAGAAATGGATTCTTGATTTAGAATTAGGATATATTTAGGCTCTGGATTTTTTAAAAAAAATTCTGAAAGTCTGTTTCATGACACTTGAATGGAATTGTAGACAGTTGGACTGTGGACCTTTTCCAGACTTAGCATCCTTGTTATGAGAGAGGCCTTTTCAGTTTGCACTGAGAAGTTACTCTTACCCTGATGTGATAATCTAATACAAATTTCCAAACTGCTTACATAAAAAGCAGCTTGAATGTGAAAAATGTTGTACACAGTAGGGGTTTGTTTCTCTATGGAAATGCTTTTCCCTTGAATGCCTATATGGTCTAGATTTTTCCAGCATTTCTGAGATTTGGGTATCAAATTGGGGTCATTCGATGTCTATTTAGAATTTTTTAATAATTTCAAATCTCATTTGTGAAATATTGCCTGTGGAAATAAAAGCTAGCTGTATTAGTTTCAAAATGTACCATTAGTCCCTGGAAAGATACTCTATTAAAATTAGTGTACTTCTTTTCCCACAGGCTGTGCTCTTAATCATGTCCTTCCAAAGATGAATAAATACAGTGATTATATTTGGTGACTGTGGAACTGAAAATGAATACATGTATTACTTGGCATTCATGTAGACAAATCCTTGGTCTCACAACACACTGAATTTACTGTTTTTTCCTGGAGGACAGGATAGCTTGTATTCATCTTTGCATCTTTTAGAGTCCTTAGCATTATGCCTGGTACATTGTTTGCTCTCAGTATGTCTGGTGAATAGGTGTATGAATGAATATATCCATCCTTCACTTAAAGAATAAGGGATGTGTGCTGAGTCTAGTAGCCAGAGCTTTTCCATTTCCACATCCTGGCAATGAAAAATAATCAAAATGCATAAAGGACAGATTACAAAAGCAGTTGTGAGGAAAATGTTGTTAAGCTTCAAAGGAATAGGGTATTTCAAGGATAAATATATTAAGAAAGAAAACTTAAGTCAGGTGATGGGTGATATAATTCATATACTAATGTATTGAAAGGCTGGAGGGTTTCTACTTCTACATCTTTGGGGAAAATATTGAAAATAGGTTCCTGAAATATGTGAGACACTGTAAGTGATTTAGACTTTTAAGTCAGCTAGAACTGGTGGAATAATGATATTCTTTACTTGTGTGTCTAAACAATGAATGCTAAAGCCAGATCTTGCTTAAAAGATTCTTAATCAGGGCTGGGCACAGTAGCTCACGCCTATAATCCCAGCACTTTGGGAGGCCGAGGTGGGCGGATCACGAGATCAGGGGATAGAGACCATCCTGGCTAACACAGTGAAACTCTGTCTCTACTAAAAATACAAAAAAGTAGCTGCTGTTGGTGGTGGGCACCTGTAATCCCAGCTACTTGGGAGGCTGAGGCAGGAGAATGGCATGAACCTGGGAGGCGGAGCTTGCAGTGAGCCAGGATCATGCCACTGCACTGCAGCCTGGGCGACAGAGCGGGACTCTGTCTCAAAAAAAAAAAAAAAAAAAAACACCAGATTCTTAATCATAACAAATATAGTATACATTTAAAATGCATGTGTACATGTATATTGAGAATTAAGTTAATGGCACCTCACGTGAATAGTCCCTAAATACTATAAATAAATACCATACCTAAATCCTCAGCATGGCCTTTAAGATCCAGCATGTGGTGGCCCCTGTGCTTTCTGTCTCTCCTAGTTCCTTCTCCCTCTTGTTCACTCTGTGGCCTTTAGTTTCTTCAATTCCTCAAGTTCTTTGCTGTATCAGGAGTTTGTAGCGGCTGTTTCCCCTTCTCCTGGTAGAATATGGGCCCTCATCTGCCCCTTCTTCGACAACTGTCTTCTCACCATCCCTCCTGTCTCAGCTTATGTATCTCGACTCTGAGTGGTGTCTTCTGAGGGCCAAGTCGAAATCATTTCTACTCCAGTTTTATATTTTCATGCTACCTTTATATCACATGAGTTCCCCTCAACAAATCTCTTGAGAAGTTCCTCACTTAGAATAAAATTGAAAGCACTTATGTGGGTTACAAAGTCCTGAGGATCTGAGCTCATTCCTTATGTTCCTGGCTGTCTCCATCTCGCTCCTTCTGAGCTAGCCTTCCTCAAACACACAGGCACTATTGTTCATGGGGCCTGGCCAGCCCCTTTGCTTCAATCACTTCCTCTCCATGTCTTCTCAAAGCCTTCGCTGGGGTCTCTGCTCAAATGTCACCTAATTTGTGCAGCTTTCCTGACCATCTTGTTTAAAACATCAGCCCTTCTAACTTCCTAAGCCTTTTCTTGTTTTACTTTTCTTCAGAGCATTTAGCACCACTTCAGATGTACATTTACTTGTTAAAGTGTTGCTTGTCACTGCTACCGAAATGCAGTGACGCAGTGACTTGAGCACAGGATTGTTTGTACACTGCAAAGAGCCCAATTCTATTCTTTTATTGCACTTTTCATAATATTTACTTTATGCAACTTATGATTTGTTCACTATACTGCCTTTTTCCATTATTACTCTCCTATTTTACATTCTTCACATAGCAGCCAGTTCCATCCATTAAAGATGTAATTCACATCTTGTCACTCCTCTGCTTGTAACTCTCCACTGGCTTCCATTGCACTGAGAATTATCCTCAGACTTGTTCCTGCCTCGGGGTCTTTGCACAGGTGTTTCTTCTGCCTGGAACACTCTTCTCCAGCTCCTGTTAATGTCTGCTGCTCCTCATCACTCCACCTTCAGTCAGATGCCGTCTCCCTGTACAGTCCTTTCCTGCCCCGACCCCTATTGAAAATAGTTTCTCCTCATCCCTCTCATACCTCCTTATATTATTTCCTATCAACATTTGGAATTATCTTCTAATTTATCTTTTTGTTTATTGTTTTCACATCACTCCCATTTCTCATATAGAACGTAATCTCCAGAAGGGTAGAATCTTGTCTGTCTTATTTACTATTCGTAATAATGGAAGTAGTGCCCTCAGTAAATATTTATTGAATGAATGCTGTTCATCTCTTCCAGTATATTGTAAACATAGTCATTGAAGACAAGGACTATGTCTCTTTTACTCCTTTATATATACCCAGTTCCTAGCACAGAGTTTGGTGCTAGCGATTGATTAATTTGCTTAATGAATGAATCAAATCATGTGAAGCATACATAAGCTCCATCTTACGGGAGTAGCTAACTTTTCAGGTAAGTGTCGTGGTCTGCAGACTTTTACAGATCAGTATCAGAGCTGTTCTCTGTGTAATATCTATTTGGTGTCATGTACAATTAGTATATTTCACAATTGCTTTGGGAAAAGTGTGGATGTGCATACTGTCATGTATAAAATCACTGGGCTGAAGCTATTAATAGACATTTGTGTTTATATACATAGATAATAGTTGTATCTATTTTTGAATGAGAAAACTGAAGCTGCAAGGTGATTAGCAATTTGCCCGAACTATACAACAGAACAGCCAGAATCTTTATTCAGATATTACTATCTCCAAGGCACATTCTGTTTTCAAAAAAAAATGTCTTATGCTACAAAGTCTTAAACTACAAAGATACCTCCAGGCTTGGTAAGTGTGGCAAGTGTACTCTAGGGTGACTTGTACAGGTTCACACCCTTATATAATCCCTTCCCGTTGGGTGTAGATGGAACCTGTGACTTGCTGCTAACCAATAAATATGGCAAAGGTAATGGAATCAACTACTCACCACTCCCTTGATAGTGATTACATTATATGGCCAAATCGATGGTGCATCACTCCCATGACCAAGTCACATTATGTGAGACAGTCTTAGCAGACTAATACGAGAGACATTCCCTTCCTTGTCTAGAAGAAGCACACTGCCATGTTATGACAGCCCAAGGAGAGGACCACATGTCAAGGAACTGGGGGTAGTCTCTAGAACCTAAGGGTGGCCACTGGCCAACAGCCAGCGGGAAGCCAGAGCTCTCAATCACACTGCCACAGAGAAGTGAACAGCCCGGACTCAGGAAGACAGCAACCCACGTGAGCCTGGATGCAGACTTCTCCCCTCTCTGGCCTCCACATGGCAAAGCAGTCTGACTCTACATTGTTTGCAGCCTGGCGAGACCCTGAGCATAGGACTCAATTTAGGCATGCCCAGACTTACTTGCAGAAACTGTGAGGTAATGTGTGTTGTTTGAAGCCACTGAGTTTGTGGTACTTTGTTATTCTATGTAGAAAACTAATACAGTGTGGCTGTTCCCAGCCAGAGCTCCTATTTCAAGCATACAACTGTCTGCTGGGGCCATCAGGCTATTTGCCCTGTGGCTTTAGGCTCCTTGGATACCTTACATTGAAGTAGGAGGTAGATTGGGAACACCTGTCACTGTCTTTTCAGCTTAAGATGAGGTCTCCTGAACCCCCCAGGGAGTATAGGTCAGTCCAGTTCCACCAAAGACTGAAGATATCTTTGTGTTTTGAAACATGATAGCAAAGAACACTTGGCACAGTGCCTGACACTTAGTAGGGACTCAAGAAATATTATGCACCTTCCTTTCCTGGGGTACTGCAGCTCAACCTAGGGCATCTCAGATGCTAACCCAGCAGTTCCTCCCTGGGCAAGGTCTTTAGAAATCCCACTGCAGGACCCTTCTTACAATAAGGATATATTATTTACCACCACCCTCTATTTGCTCTGAAAACCTGAGAAAGCAAAGGCTGATGATGTTAGTACACTGAGGGTTGTGTATTTTTCAGATTTCACAAACTGTTTTATGCCCCTGAGGGGGACAGTTGCCTGCTTTGCCAGGGCACTCTGTGAGACCTGTGTTGGCACCTTGCAGCACCCAATCTTGAGGTGGGAGATGTTTGCTGCCCCATGTCACAAGTTCTTAGGGCTGCTGACTGTGTACTACAGCACAGGGTCTTAATATCCCTCCCTGCTGTTTCCTACTTGAGGCATAAGAGAGCTTTGTCACCTTGGAGAGAGGTGTTATATAAATACCATTATTTGGGTTGAGAGTAGCACGATCCAGTGCTAGGGTTGTCTATTTGTGTAAGTCAGTAGGCAAATCTTCCTCTTCCCTTTTCTCAGTGTCTTCTAATAGTTAACTACAAAAGAAACAACATAGATGTGAGTATATTTACCTAAGTTCTCATTACAGTATAACTCTTTCTGTCATTTCGTAATTGTTAGTGTGCAAAACAGCAGAGCACATTGGTATCAGTGCAGAGAGCATCAGAGGGCCACGTTTCAGACTTGTAGATGCTCTGAGACTTCACCTAAGAAAACCAGGCCATAATATGCAATAATCACATGTTGCCAAAATGAAATGCATGCTAAGATGCTATTTATTACATAAATTTTGTTGGAAGTATTAAGCCCCAAATCTTATTTAGTGTGATTTGAGGATTTATACTCATCTTACAATTGTAATCTCTATATTAGACTTCACAAATTTAGTTAAAATAATTTAGAATTAATTTTTCTTATTTTTCATAGTAAAACATGCATAACATGAAATTATCTTAACTATTTTTAAGTATACATTTCACTGGTATTAAATACATTCATAATGTTGCGTAATCACCACCACCATCCATCTCCATAACTCTTTTTGTCTTGTAAAAGTAAAACTCTATCCCCATTAAGTAATAACTCCCCCTTTCCTACTTCAGCCGCTGGCTACCACCATTCTACTTTCTGGCTCTATGATTTTAATTATTCTAATCACTTCATGTAAGTGGAATCACATAGCATTTGTCTTTTTTGTGACGGCTTTATTTCACTTGGCATAATGTCCCAAGGTTTACTTATGTAATAGTGTATATAAGAATTGCCTTCCTTTTTAAGGCTGAATAGTATTCTGTTGTGTGTAAATAGTGCAATTTTTATATAGATTCACCTGTTGATAGACAACTGAGTTGCTTTCACATTTTAGCTATTGTGAATAATGCTTCTATGACCATGAGTATACAAATATCACTCTGAAACTCTGCTTTCAATTATTTTGGGTAGATATCCAGAAATGGAATTGCTGGAACTTAAGGGAATTCTATTTTTTATTTCTGAGGTACCACTGTGCTCTCTTCCACAGCATTTTACTTTCTCACCAACAGTGCACAAGGGTTCGAGTTACTCTACATCCTTGCTAACACTTGTTATTTTCTGTTTTTTTGATGTTTACCATCCTTATGAGTGTGAGGTGGTATCTCATTGTAGTTTTGATTTGTAATGACCTAATGATTAGTGAAGTTAACCACCTTTTTATGTGCTTTTTAGCCATTTGTATGTCTTCTTTGGGGAAATGTCAATTCAAGCCTTCGCTCATTTATTAATCCAGTTGTTTGGGTTTTTTGTTGCGTTTTAGGAGTTCTGTACATATCAGATATGATTTACAAATATTTTCCCCCATTCTGTGGGTTGCCTTTTTACTCAGTTTCTAGTGTCTTTTGATGCACACAATTTCTTAACTTTCGTGAAGTCCAATTGTGTAATTTTTTTTGTTGTTGCATATGCCTTTGGTATCATATCCAGGAATTCATTGCCACATCCAGTGTCATGAAGCTTTTGCCTGTGTTTTCTTCTAAGAGTTCTAGAGTTTTAGATCTTACAGCTAGCTCTTTAATGTATTTGGAGTTAATTTTTGTATATAGTATTAGAAAAAGGTCCAAATTCATTTTTTTGCATATAGATCCATTTTTCCCAGCACCATTGGTTGAAAAGACTATTATTTCTCGTGAGTGGTCTTGGTACCTTTGTCAAAAATCATTTGACCGTGTATGCAAGAGTTTATTTCTGGGCCCTCTGCTCTGTTCCCTTGGCCTACATGTCTGTCTTTATGACAGTACCACACTGTATTACCATAGCTTTGTAGTGAGTTTTCAAATCAGGAGGTGTGAGTCTTCTAGCTTTGTTTTTTTAAGATTCTTTTTGCTATTTGGAGTCCCTTGAGATTCCATATGAATTTTAGGGTGGGATTTCCATTTCTACAAAAAATGTTACTGAGACTTTGATAGGGATTGCATTGAATCTTTAGATTGCTTTGAATAATGTTGACATCTTAATAATATTAAGTCTTCGAGTTCATGAACATGGGATGTATTTCCATTTATATATGTCTTTTAAAATTTCTTTCAGCAGTGTTTGGTAGTTTTCATTGTTGAAGTCTTTTACCTCCTTGGTTAAATTAATTCCTGAGTATTTTATTCTTTTTGATACTATTGTAAATGGAATTAACCTTTTAATTTCCTTTTCAGATTGTTCGTTGTCAGTGTATAGAAATGCAACTGATTTTTGTGTGTTGACTTTGTGTCCTGCTACTTTGTTGAATTCATTTATTAGTTCTGACAGCTTTTTGTGGGAAATCTTTAGAGATTTCTATATGTAAGATCATGTCATCTGAAAATAGATAATTTTACTTGTTTACATCCAATTTGGATTCCTTTTTCTTACCAAATTGCCCTGGCCAGAACTTTCAGTACTGTGTTGAATAGATGTGGTCACAGTGGGCATCATTGTCTCGTTACTGATCTTAGAGTAAAAGCTTTCAGTCTTTCACCATTTAGTATGATGTTCATTGTGAGGTTTTCATATATGACTTGTACCATGTTGAGGTAATTTCTTCCTATTCCTAGCTTATTGTTTTTATCATGAAAAGGTGTTGAACTTAGTCAACACTTATTCCTGCATCAATTGAGATGATCGTGTGTGTGGTTTTTTTTTTTACTCTATTTTGTTAATGTGAGGTATTAGATGGACCCATTTTTGTATATTGAACCATATGCTTGTATTTCAGGAACAAATACCACTTGGTCATGGGGTATAATTTTTAAAATATGCTGTTGAATTTGCTTTGCTAGCATTTTGTTGAGAATTTTCACAACAATGATCGTAAGAGATATTGGTCTGTAGTTGTCTTGTAGTGTCTTTGTCTGGCTTTGCTATCAAGATAATGCTGTCCTCATAGAATGAGCAGGAAATTTTCCTTCTTCAATTTTTTGGAAAAGTTTGAGGAGAGTTGGTGTTAGTTCTTCAAATATTTGGTAGAAGTCACTGGTGAAGCCATCAGATCCTAGGCTTGTTTTTGTTGGGAGATTTTTGATTACTGATTCAATCTTCTTACTAATGATAGGTCTGTTCAGATTTTCTATTTCTTTGTGAGTTAGTCTTGGTAGGTTTTGTGTTTCTAAGAGTTTGTCCATTTCATTTAGGTTATACAGTTCATTGTTGTGCAGTTGTTCATAGTACTCTTAATAATCTTATTTACTTGTGTAGATCAGAATGAATATCCCCACTTTTTATTTCTGATTTTAGTAATTTGTGTCTTTTCTCTCTGTTTTTTTCTAGTTCAGCTAGCTAAATGTTTGTCAATTTTGTTGATCTTTTCCAAGAACAAACTTTTAATTTTTTCCATCAATTAAAGACATCCTTGGCTCTTGATAGGTGATGAAGGGGCAAGTGTATTTTTAGCTGTTGGTTGCCATTTCAACGAAATAGCCGTCAACTGTAATTTTCTCCAAAAGTGGGAAAACAGAGAAAAAAACTAACATTTTTCTGTACTTCATTTTCCATCTGTAAAATGGAGAAACAAAACCCATCTGTTGTGTTTTGCAAGGCTGGATGATGTGTACGCATTATATATGTAGTAGATAACTTCTGAAATTATAGTTATAGGATGAAATCTGGTTATGGTCTTCAGTTTTTCAGGTATTTCAGGGCTCTTTCTAAGTTTCTGGACCAGATAGTAGCAATTAATGAATACTACTACAAATTATTCGGCATTTGTCCTGCTCAAGATCTCTGCTCCTTTGGGTAATGAGGCTTGGTTTCTATAAGACAGATAGGGATGACAAAGGAATTAGGTCACTAAAAGCAGTGAAAGACTTCAGAAACCATGTTTCATGTCTTTGGTCTTCCCTGATGGATGCTAAAGCCATTAGGTTTCCCCCAACAGTCAGAACATAAAGATGTGACTTGGAGTACTGTGGCCACCTGTTCTGCCCAAGTGCATCAGCTGTGTTCATCAACTCACACCAAGGGTGGGGGTTGGATTCTCTTCTTCCCTGTTGTGATAGACAGATGCCCTGTCATTATGTTTTTATGTGAAATTTCACAGTGAAAGAAGGAAGCCACTCTTGAGAATACAGCAATTTAAATCAGGTTGTAATTTTTAAAAAGTGATTTACAAAAGGTCTTTCCCAAAATACTGCCATCATAATCATCTAGGGTGGGGAGAAAAATAGGGTGCGGAGGGCAGAATCACCCCTCATCCTTGCTCTTCCAGCAGGGAACACTCATTTTCACACCCCTGTGCCTCTGCAGCCCCACCCTTTGTTGAGGTTTGTGCTGGGCATGTACGTTCCACAGAGTCTGCTGGTTTCCAGTGTGACAGAAATCTCATTTGTGATAAACCTTGATTTTGAATTGTAGTAAATGAAACTTTAAAAAAAGCAGACATTAAAACTCCCTGTTTTTTTCCCTAGGAAAAGGAGCATTCCATCTTCTGGCATCACTGTCCTTGGGACTAAACCCCCTTAGAAAACACCGCTTTTGCCTAGCCCTCAGAGGCTTGGTCCCCTGACATTTTACACTTTTCCAGAAAAAGAATCTCAGGGGCTTTCCTACAAATGTCTGTCACAACCTCAACAACCTCACAACCTCAAGTCTGTCCTATTTTAGAGACACACACACAAAAATGCTATAAAGGAAGTATTAATACTTGTTTAGAGAGATTATCAGGAACATTGTACTTAACAGTGAGAAATCTGAATAATGTGTATATGAGTGTGTTATGTTATTCTTTGTACTTTGCATTTTCAAAATGTCCCATCTTTTTTTTTTTTTAAGCCAAGAAGTATGATAATACTTACCTGGCCACCACAGATGAGAATTGAAGTGCAATAAAACTTGCCACAAGCTGGGAGGAACCAGCAGTGTGCTGCTACAGGCTTAACAACCATCTTTCTGGAAGAAAAACCTTGATTTGTAGCATGAGCCAGTTTCTGTGTCTCACATGGCCATTTTCAAGCTACCAGTGTGACATCACTGAACTGTGACTTGGAAAAAGAGGCTCACACTTGGCTCCCCTGAGCAGTGCTGGCCTAACTCCAGCACACCACTGGATTGAACTGCCAAGAAAGAGTAGCTCCCACGGATAGGGAGGAAGCAGATGCTCTGTAAATACCTGTAGACAGAGGCAGGGAGACCTTTGTAGAATGGAGAGTGTTAGGGACCTTCCTCTTCTTTATTTCGGAAAATCTTAGATTACATATTCGTTGGTTGATCTCATGCTTGTGTGCTTATGGAAATAAAGCATTTAGTCAGTAAAATATTGTTACCCAAGGACTCAATAACCATGCAGTCAATAAACTGTATATATTTTTAGAGGCTTCTTTCAAACATAACTTTTTAAGATGACTTTATTCAAAAAGAGTAAACCCAGGTGGAATATTTATAAAGATAAAAGCTTCAGAAATCCATGTGAAATGAAAATTATGTAATAATTGGTTTGCTCACAAATATAGTAATTCAGATAGTTTTAAAAAATTACTTTGATTTAAAGTTTGTTAAAATAATCAAGTTTAAAAAGAAAGTATATGGGTTGAGTGATATCCCTCCCAAATTCATTTCATTTTCCCCCGGAACCTCAGAATTTGATCTATGTCAGCTCAGGCTGCCATAACAAAATATCATAAATAATAGAAATTTATTTTCTTGCAGTTCTGGAGGTTATATAGTCCAAGATCAAGTTGCTTGACCATGTTTTAATTTCTGATGAGGGCTCTCTTCCTGGCTGGTAGTTAGACGCCTTCTCACTATGTCCTCATGTAACCTTTTCGTGGTGCATGTGTGTGGAGGGAGAGAGATTGTTCTCTCTCTTCCTCTCTTATAAGGTTACCAATCCTACTGGATTAGGACTTTGACCTCCTGACTTCCTTTAATTACTTCCTAAAAGCACTATCTCAAAATACAATTACATTGGGTATTGGGGTTTCAGCATATGAATTTGGGGAGGACAAATAGCAGTCTTCTTACCTTTTTTACATTCATCACTTACCAACTCTATTCCTTTAGCGTAGGTTGGGCTCTCATCCCTATCTTTAGTTTTATACTAGAGGCAGACTAGATATTTATAGCCGAACCCACCAACTCTAAGAACTTTCCTCTTGTCCATGACAATCTGGGAGTGCCATATTTATACATTTCAGTATACCTCTTGGTTAACATACTTCCATAACACAATTTACCATACTGGTCATAGCCTCCATTTTATTGAATAGTTCCATAAGTGCCAGGCACGGTGCTGGATACTCTAAAACATCATTTGTAATCCTCACAATAAACCCAGCAAGGTAGCTTTGATTTTCTCCATTCTGTAGATGAAGAAATCCATTCATTTTTTTCAGTTATCTTCCACGTTTACTCTAAGGCAGTTCTGAGCCCTGGGCATGTATGAGTGAATGAGGCAGGCAAAGCCCCTGCCCTCATGGAGCCTATACTCTGGAAGGATGAGACTGATAGAGAATAATACCTAATGTCAGATGTGATCAGTGCAGTGAATTAAAATGAAGAGTAAGAGGGGGAGAGAGTGACCGGGTCCAGGAAGTTCTCATGTATATGAGAACAATAAAGTGCCATGTTGGCTGGGGGAGGTCAGAGAGGCAAGAGCAGATAGGACCTTGTCACCATTGTTGGGACTTTGATTCCTACCCTGAATGACGTGGGAACACATTAAAGTGCTTTGGGGAGAAGAGTGATGTGATCTAAATTACACTAAATAGGACTGTCCTTACTCTTCTATTGAGAGTAGATTATAGGGGGCAAGCGTGGAAGCAGGGAGGCCAGCAGGAGCTTATTTTAATAATCCAGGCTGTAGATGGTAGTAGCTTAGACCAGAGTGAGAA
Source organism: Homo sapiens (assembly GCF_000001405.40). Taxonomy (NCBI): domain Eukaryota; kingdom Metazoa; phylum Chordata; class Mammalia; order Primates; family Hominidae; genus Homo; species Homo sapiens. Next base: position 17,778,742 of record NC_000009.12, read on the forward strand.
ACAGTCTGATCCTAGATGTGTTTTGAATGTAGAGCTGACCGAATTTGCTGACTAATTGCATATTAGGCAAGAGAGACATCAAAGATAACTATGAAGTCTAGTGCCTGAGCAAGTGGAAGAATGAATGGAGTTGTATTCATTAATATTGAGAGTACTATAGGAGGAGCAGGTTTGGGATGATGATGGAAAATCTGGAGTTTAGTTTGAATATGTTAAGTTTGAGAGGCCTACACATCCTAGTACAGTCAAGTAGGTATTAGAATGCCTTAGTCTGTAATACAGTGTAAAGGGCTAGCCTGCAGAGATACATGAGAATCATCAGCTTGCCAACTCAAGGAGGTGATACAATTGGCCAGACCTGATAAGAGGTGGGACTTCAGGGCCCAGGCTTGCTTGCTTATATCCCCAAGGCCCCTTGGACACATGCTTGGTGGCCTAACCCACTGGATAGTCCAAATCATCAAGATAGAGATGGGGTCCTTAAATCTATGGTTTTAAAATGTTTTCTGAGTAATTCTGATATGCATCAGGTTGACCACCACTAGTAAAAGCCTTTAGACAAGGATTTTGTTTTTTGGAGACTTAGGGGTTTCCATCTGAAACTTTGAGTCCCACAGGAAATTTGACGGAATGGGAAAGAGAATGGGTTTGGGAGTGGCTCAGACCTGAGCCTGAATCCAATCTTTTCCTGTTAGTAACTATGAGAGCTCGGATAGGCTTTCCAGGCTCTCTGAGGTTCCATATCCTTTCTTTATAGATGCAGCCCATCCCTCTTTCTGCAAATAGGAGTAATTGAACCAAACCCACAGAGTTGTGAAGATTAAGGTAAATTGTTTGTATAAAGCTCCTGGCTTAGAGTAGACACCAATTAAAAGCTAATCTCACCTGCCACATATAAAACCACTGGAAGAAAACTGTTCTTGAATTTTGTTTCATCTTCATTTGGGGGCAATTATCTTCTGCTTCTTTCTGTTATCTAATGGCCTAGCCTTCAAGATTTCAGATGTTGTCAGATAAGTTGGTTTTCTTTACCCCCCACCACCATCCTTTGAGCCCAAGACCGATTTGCTTGGTTGTCTGCTATACAACCACATGGATATTGTTAGACTTTGTGTTTCTGCAGTTGAAGTACTTACACACTTCCACTCTAAAATCTTCTCTTTGTCCTGTGTTCTTTATCTCACATTTGTATCATCACCTCCCACGTTTTCAGTCTAGAGACGAACACAGTGGTTCTCAACCTTGGCTGCACATTAGAATCGCCTTTGGGATTTTAAAAACTGCCGTGTCCAGACCACATGCCAAACCAATTACATCAGAATGTTTAGGAGTGAAATTTCTGAATTTGTTATTGATCTGTAACATACAAAAAGTACAACACATATATCATAAGTATATTGCTCAATGAACTATTATAAACTTCTGTTTAAAGGTACATGGTTCAAGAAACTGAACATTGTCAACATCCCAAAACCTCCTTCCACAGATCCTAGCTGCCCTTACCTTTAATACTATACATTTTTATCTGTCTTGTAACTGAAATATGATCATAGAACATGTATTCTTTTGATCTGGCTTATTTTGTTCATCTTTCTATTTGTCCTACTTCTTTCATTCTCATTGCTCTGTAGAATTCCCTTGTGAGAACATAGCACAGTTTACTTGTCCATTTTCTCCACTGATGAGCATTTAGGTGTTTGCATTTTCTAGATATTTTGAATAGCACAGTTTTTTTTTTTAATTTTTTTTTTATTATACTCTAAGTTTTAGGGTACATGTGCACATTGTGCAGGTTAGTTACATATGTATACATGTGCCATGCTGGTGCGCTGCACCCACTAACGTGTCATCTAGCATTAGGTATATCTCCCAATGCTATCCCTCCCCCCTCCCCCGACCCCACCATAGTCCCCAGAGTGTGATATTCCCCTTCCTGTGTCCATGTGATCTCATTGTTCAATTCCCACCTATGAGTGAGAATATGCGGTGTTTGGTTTTTTGTTCTTGCGATAGTTTACTGAGAATGATGGTTTCCAATTTCATCCATGTCCCTACAAAGGACATGAACTCATCATTTTTTATGGCTGCATAGTATTCCATGGTGTATATGTGCCACATTTTCTTAATCCAGTCTATCATTGTTGGACATTTGGGTTGGTTCCAAGTCTTTGCTATTGTGAATAGTGCCGCAATAAACATACGTGTGCATGTGTCTTTATAGCAGCATGATTTATAGTCCTTTGGGTATATACCCAGTAATGGGATGGCTGGGTCAAATGGTATTTCTAGTTCTAGATCCCTGAGGAATCGCCACACTGACTTCCACAATGGTTCAACTAGTTTACAGTCCCACCAACAGTGTAAAAGTGTTCCTATTTCTCCACATCCTCTCCAGCACCTGTTGTTTCCTGACTTTTTAATGATTGCCATTCTAACTGGTGTGAGAGGATATCTCATAGTGGTTTTGATTTGCATTTCTCTGATGGCCAGTGATGATGAGCATTTTTTCATGTGTTTTTTGGCTGCATAAATGTCTTCTTTTGAGAAGTGTCTGTTCATGTCCTTCGCCCACTTTTTGATGGGGTTGTTTGTTTTTTTCTTGTAAATTTGTTTGAGTTCATTGTAGATTCTGGATATTAGCCCTTTGTCAGATGAGTAGGTTGCGAAAATTTTCTCCCATGTTGTAGGTTGCCTGTTCACTCTGATGGTAGTTTCTTTTGCTGTGCAGAAGCTCTTGAGTTTAATTAGATCCCATTTGTCAATTTTGGCTTTTGTTGCCATTGCTTTGTACATGTCTGTTATGCATGTACACATTTCTGATGGATATACACCTAGAAGTGGAGTTACTGGGTTGCAGGGTATGTGTCTATTCAGCTTTAGTAAACACTACCAAATTGTTGTCCAGAATTTTCTACCAATTTATCCTCCTACCAGCAGTATTTGAGAGTTCTGGTTGTTCCAAACTCTGAACACTTGATCTATCTCTGTTTTGTATACTTTACTCAGATTCTCCAGGTACCTAGAATGGCCTTTCCCAGGTCTCTCCCTTTACGGTTCACTCTTTCAGAAAGCCCAGCTCGAGCATCATCTGTTCATTAGCCTTCCCAGCCTTACTCTTTCAGGTGGAATTTGTTACTGTGTCTTCTGCAGTGTAAATATTAATACATTACAGCCTCACCCACACTCTGCCTCACAGCAGTGAGTGAGCACTCTGACTCTCCACCTGGATAATAAGCTTTTTAAGAGCAGAGGCTGCACCTCACTTCTTTCAGAGTCCCCCTAGACATAGCACTTGCACATTATAGGTGCTTCATGAATATTTCTTTTGCTCACTTTATCACAGAGAAAATCTTTTAAAAATAGATTTTTGGTAAATGACTATATTCAACCAGGCAGTGAAACTTCACATTTCTTCTGTATAGGGAATGCATAATTGTTTCCAGTGTAACCTCCTTATTGATTTTAATCAATTTAATCTTTTTTAAACTCCTTGGTGTGGGACTCGTGATTTGGTGTAGGACTCATGATTTAGCTTGGGAACTCTCTTTTTCGGGGAAAATAAGAGCCTTTTTTCTGATTCTGTGAGAGCACGTGATCACTTTTTGTCATCCTCACATAGAGCAGATTTTCATGGCATAATTTAAGAAGGAAGTGCTTCCAAAGAGCCAGATTCCTAAGGGAAGATTGGAGTGAATGATGGTAAACCATATAGCTTTTTAGCCTACCTGAGAAGTGGAACTGTACTCTTCTGTACTTTACGAAATGGAGTCAGGAGAAATGAAAAGACTCAGTGGTAGCCTTGGAATCCTTAACATTTAATTAGTGTGAAGGAAAAGCAGGCCTGGTGCCAAGGAGACCTGCTCTCAAACCATCCTATGAGACCACAGAGTGAGTGGTGTGATCAGATTGTATCAGCAGCCTCTAGTGCCATTCCAAAGCACAGTGGGCGGTCATGGTACTTCTGAACAGGAAAGCTTTACCTAAGGGTTTGAAAAAATGATGTATACAGAAGCATTTTATAAAAAATTAAAATGTTTAAATGAAGTAATTCAGTACACAGTGGGGAAGAGCAAGGAAAAACTGGAAGCCACAGGCACCTCTGCATCTTTCTGTCACCCTCTCTAACGCACGCCAGCCTTCATAGTATTAGGGCTGCTGCTTCAACTTCACCTCCCAAATCTTGCGCAACCTCACTTTGGACCAATTCTGATTTTTGTCCATGGAAACACGCAAGGAAGGGACTCTGGGCAGTGCAGTTCTCTGTGCAACCAAGTTGTCAGTAGAGCATTCCAGAACACACACACAGACAGGGGAGCCTGGAAGGAGGAAAGAAAGAATATTTTCCCCAGTATCCAGTGCCTGTTGTGTTGTCTGTGCTGGTTTTTGCTGTTTATCATTGAACACTGATAACAGTCTTACAAATGAGAGATTTCTCAGGGATTCACAGCTAACTAGCAAGATTTATAGCCTGGATTTTTAGCTATGTCTGTATGTGCTCAAAGCTAATGTTCATTTTAATGGACTCTGCTGTTTTCCATGGAAAGCAAGACCTAGTGGTTTTCCTGTTTGTTTGTTTGGATTAGGAAATAAAAACTAAGATTTAGCAGAAGTACTGAGTTTACAGCATCCTCAGCTAGTTGCCACACTAGATAAGTAGCTGTAGGACAGACCAGGCAGTGACTCACATGGACACTGCTTTTAGGTCAGAGGAAAATAACTCAGGCAGGGCTAGCAGAGCTTCCATTTTATTCTCAGCAGAGCTTAGATCTCCCTTTGGCTGTTCCCAGAATTAGAAAGCTCGTCAGGGATGCTACAGATTATGCTTTAGAGTTGGGAGTTAAGACTGAGCCTCAACTGCCCCCATTTGTCTTCCTTAAAAGACAGCATAAATTTTAAGGTCAAAAAAGAAACTACTCATTTTAGCAGAGGACAAAACAGTGGAGCCCTTTTGGGAATAGGTCAGCCTTTTATGGTCATCCTAATTTTGCTTCCTGCTGTTTTAATTCACCCAATACATTTCCTTCTGGGAATCACCTAGAAGTAGATTCATGGGTTTGAAGGAGAGGAGTTAGGTATGTTTAGAAGAGAAGGGACACAGATCTCTAAGGGCACATACAACTTGGTAAAGCAATCCAGGTTGAGAGTATATAATAGGAATTTGAGTGCTTTAAATTTGTATTTTCCAGGCTCACTCTCAGTTTCTTAAAGTACTGCTTCAAACAATCATTTAAAGATAATTATGTTAACATTTAAAGATGGTTAATTTGGAGGTCTGATGATATTTTTAATAACACAGAAGTTTCATTAACCCAAGATTCTTAATATGTAATAAATTTGTGAATGAACTTAAAAGCTAGTCTCTTCAGATATGTGAATTAGTAGGCTTTTTTTAATCATTTGAAGTAGATAAGCTAGTAGAAAATGGCTTTCTTCCTCCTTCTTATGAAAATATAGAACATATCCAAGATACTCTTAGTAAAAGAATAAAGCTCTTCATAATTGAACAACATTCAAAATGATGTGTTTGAAAATCAGCCACAGTGTATTAAACTGTTTAGAATTACTTACCTGGAGACAGCCCTTAATAGAGCCAAGATATAAGCACTTACCACATCCAGCTTTTATAAAAGGAATGCATCCTTAAATGTAAAATGGCCTGAATAGGATTTGTAGGGATTAACTCATGTGTGGTTTCATTACTCTGTTTCTCCTTTCCTTCTATTCATTCTGTGTGTTTTAGGTGTTGTTTATTTTATTTGCACTGTTTTCATTTTATTCGTGCTGTCATTCTTCAGTGTCCCCCTAGTACCATGATATCAGCCATGATAATATTTATCATACTTGTTGCCACTGTTTATCTTACTCCTCACTATATTGTGAGCACCTTGAGGGCTGGGACTGTGTCCTTCCTGGATCTCAGATATGACTCACTGCAGAAAATAATGATATTGTTCCCTTAAAAATGATTCTGTGGCATTTTCTCTTTTTAAAAAAGAGACAGGCTCTTGCTGTGTCACCCAGAGTGGAGTGGCACCATCATAGCTCACTACCGCCTCAAACTCCTGGCCTTGAGCAATCTTTCCACGTCAGCTTCCCTAGTAATTGAGACTACAGGTGGGCACCACCATGCCCTGCTAACTTTTAAATTTTTCTGTAGAAATGGGGTCTTGCTATGTTGCCTTGCTGGTCTCAAACTCCTGGCCTCAAATGATCCTCCTGCTTTGGGCACCAAAGGTGCTGGGATTATAGGCATAAGCCACCACACTTAGCCTGCATTTTCTATTTTTCAAACTTAACATATGATCCCTTTTATATGAAAAAGCAAATAAGAAATGAATTTTATATTTTTTCCAGTCACCACCAGCCTTTACATGTGCTGTTAGCCTAACTGCTACATACTGTTTGGATCTAAACTTAAAGATACTTCCCTCCAGGAATCCTTTGCGATGCCCCTCCCCAACTGATGAGGACAGTGCCGCATATCTGGGACTCTCCTCAATCCCCCATCAAGGCACTTGGCATATTTACTTCACTCTAATTAATTTTAAAATAGACTCTACCCTCAGTTCATTATAAACTTTGTGAAAGCAGGGACCATAATTGTCGTGCTCATTGTAATATCCCTGGGACAGGGTTGCAGGATGTGCTCTCCTGATAACTTTTCTCATCTCTATTCAATGCCTCTAAGACTCAAAGTTTAAATAAAAGCCTTGTGAAATAAATGTCAAGATTGTCAGCCACTGAATGCTGGAAGTACCTTAAGCTGTGATTCTATCTGGGGTTTCCATTGAAGATGGGATTTGGGGTATAGTCCTAGGTTAATGTGTAATCCCAACTCTAATTTTGAACCTGAGGAACCTAGGTATCCTAGCATCAATTAAGTCATAGGCTTTAACAATTTTTTTAATAAAGCTGTTTTTGCCACTAACACTGGAATTGGTTTCTAGGCAACTTCTTTTATAAAAACAAAAACAAAGAAAGAGAAATTGAAATGTTCTCTTTGAGGCACAAAACTAATTTTCTCTAGTTATGTGCTGGAGAAGTGATTAAGTCTTTTAAATGAACACAGTATTTTTGCTCTTCATGGGTCTGTTTACCATCAGAATCTTAGTTGAGAAATGATTTTGAAAATAGTTCTGTTTCATACATGGTATAAGTGAAACAAGGCATAAGGCCCACTCTGCAGGAATTTACCATTGGTTCCTTATTTTAATCCTTAGACTCCTAGAATTGAACTATAAAACTAGAATAAAATTTAGAGATCATCACATAATTCGAGAGTTTGTAAAAAGCTCTCCATGGAAGCACCCAGCTCCACAGAGTCACTGCAGGGGCCACCACAGTGAAGGGAGGATGGGGAAGGGCACACAGTGATAGAATTTGAGCGTGTAATCCTGCTTCATCCAGAACAGAATTGCTGTAATTCATTTTAAGATCTTAAGGGAAAGGGAGAGTTTAGTGCTTTAAAAAAGTGGTTGATAAGACTGACTGACGGAGAGAACACTGGAGCGTACTGAAGGTACACTTATCAGTAGCTGAGCTACTTTGTAGGCTGCTCTGAGACCTGATCCTCCATCCAGCCCTATTTCCGCAGTGTCACATTGCCTACTCTGAAAGCTTGTTCTCTCTTCACCTTCAGCTTCCAGAGCTAAGCTCAGCATGATCAACACCATGTCAAAAATCCGTGGCCAGGAGAAGGGGCCAGGCTATCCTCAGGCAGAGGCGCTGCTGGCAGAGGCCATGCTCAAATTTGGAAGAGAGCTTGGAGATGATTGCAACTTTGGTAACAAGTGCTTCCTCACATTGTAATTCTTTCATTTGTCCATGGGGATTTTGGTGCTGGTAAGAAATTCTGTAGGGAATCGGTCAAATCATTTTATATTTTGGTTTTCAGTTTTAGATCCTACACACATGGGCCAAAAATTTGTTTTCAGAATTATTTCATCCGCTCTAATGTGATTTATCTTACAAGTTTTCTTCCCACCCCCCCCACTATAAGACCTCAGTCTTTACAACAGCTTTGGTTGACATATCCAGATGCCTCCTTGGCACTTTCTATTGGGTGTTTCTGGCAGTCATTGAGTATTGAAGCAGAGTGAGCAGGCACAGTCAGCATGATTCAAAGCCCTCCCTGCCTCATGGCCTTTTTCATAGATCTTTGCTCACTTGTATATGGTACCTAGTTCTACTGCCCAAGGTGAGACATGATTTATTCCTTCACCCTGTCTCCCCCAAAACTCAGCTACCACACCCAACATCTTCTATTTTCACCCCCTTGTGATGTGGGATCTCCTTCCTGGTTGAACCCGGCTATTTCTGGTACTTGCTTCTGCTAATAGATTTGCCTTAAGCTAGTCCCACATTAGGGAAAGCTGGTACTTACAAGAGAGGGCAGGGAGCTTCCTAAATTGCTTCTTAAAGGAAAAAGTAACTGTTCCATTCTTGATGAGAGGTATTTACCCTCTTAGGGGGCATTGAGTCTGTTGCCTGGAGTGAACTGAAGATACCTATTCTCTCTTGTCTGTTGTCTTTAGAAGACAAGTGGTAATCCTTTGGGTTTTCATCTGTGAAGGGCCCTGTTATTGCGAGTGCATTTCATCTTTATTCTGTAACATGAAAGAGCTTTATTCTCTCCTAGGCCCAGCACTTGGTGAGGTCGGGGAGGCCATGCGGGAACTGTCGGAGGTCAAAGACTCTTTGGACATAGAAGTGAAGCAGAACTTCATTGACCCTCTTCAGAATCTTCATGACAAAGATCTTAGGGAAATTCAAGTATGTACAATGAGTCTTCTGGAAAGTGGGCAGTTGAAATCATACAGATGCAGATGCCTTTTTTCTTTAGAAAACATTTTTTTAGCTTACCCTGTGTGTTGTCAGCTCTGGGCACGTTAATTACAAAACAACCCAGTAAGACAAAATGAGAGAAACCAGAAATGTGATACTTTTCAGCCTGTTATGACTGTGCCACTCATGAGGGCTGTCTCTGGCTTCTCTATGTTTGATTTTCATATTGAATAGTTTTTTTCAGACTTTTTCTCCAGAGGATAATATACTTTTCCTGAGAATACACAGTTTTGTTAATTATTCTATGGTTTGCTGGGCTGATTTCACCCACTAAAATGTTAGTTGTACTAGTTGTTAGCTTAAATAAATAGTTATTCTATCACTGCATAAGCACATATTTTTATTTTTTTCCAAGTCTAGAAATTAGATGGATGTTATGTGTTTTTATATTAATATTTTCATAATGGTTGTTAGGATTGAGGAAGAATACCAACTAGCCACTTTCTAAAACATGTAGAGCAGTTGAGCTGTTTATAATAAAGTTCATATGTCTTTGAGTGTGGAATGTTTGCTCACTTTTTTTTATCTAACAAATATTTGTTGAGCTTTTTTGAAACTTTGTTGGGTGTAAAATGGATTGCCATAACTTGAACTAGGGCCTCCTCCTCCTTATTCTAGCTTAAATCTCCTTTAGCAGTACCATTTGCTCAAGATTATAGAGTTAGTAAGTGACAGACTGACCCTAAATCCAAAATAGAACTCTGACTCCAATGCTGTACCCTATAGCTCAAATGTTTAAAAAAGAAAGTTCCTTCCAAATGAGCATTTAGTTTTTGGATCAGGGCATGGACTGAGGGGCGGGGGATGCAGTGTGAGGGAAGGTTTAGAATATTATTCTTCCTCCTTTCCTTTTCATTTTTTTAACTACTCCCTACTTTGTTTTCATTTCCTTTCATTCTGCTCCATACATACTAGTAACAAGGGAAAATCCAGGATTTTCCTTCATCCATTAGTAGTGAAAGACTAGCTATCGGGGAAAAACAATACTTTTTAGCTTTGGAAAACTACTTTGCTACCTGGTCACTAGAGATGATGGGTGGAGCCTGGGCAGCCATCTACCAGGTATGGTGCAAGGAGGGGATTGAAGCTCAGCATGGAGCATTAGATATAATCCCTTGGTAGGTCCCTTCCAAGTGAGATTTTGTTCTTGAGTTCAATTATATGTCAAGTGGGAGGCTTAAACTAAATCACTGGATTTAGTTTCTCTGGTGACAGCTGCATCAGTCAGCTGGGGCAAGTGTTAAGATGTAGATTCCTAGGCCCCCACCCTAGATATCGATTCAAGAGCTCAGGAATCCATATTGTGATGAGCAACTTACGTGATTCTAACAGACTGGATGATTTGAAAAGCAAGACTGCCATTTCTATCTCACTTAATTTCAAGGAAAGAGTTTTTCCTCTGGCTTCTCATGAGATACCATTTCTCTTGAAGACAGGGCCTGTGGGGCCTGTGAGTGTGTCCTTTCATTGTGTGTAGGGCATGTGCATTCCTTCTCTGTTTCTGTCATGGGCTGCAAAGGCTTAGTCCAGCTTGGCTTTGGCCTGACAAGGCCAGAAAATAAAGGGCACTGATATTTCCTATAATTTATCTTTTATTCTTAATTATTTTTAAAGATATTCCCCCATATTTAGCCTTTGAAAGCACTGGCCCCATTGATGCATGTTTCTTTATTTCTCTGGTGGCGTTGTATTTTAAAACTTAGCCTATCTTAATTTGGAAGTTAATGGACGTGATGGAGAAGTGAGCTCAAATAAGCCTTTTCCATAAGCCCTTTCAAAGCCTATTCCTGCCCTTGACTTTTGCAGCATCATCTAAAGAAGTTGGAGGGTCGACGCCTGGATTTTGATTATAAGAAGAAACGACAAGGCAAGATTCCGGATGAAGAGCTTCGTCAAGCTCTAGAGAAATTTGATGAGTCTAAGGAAATTGCTGAGTCAAGCATGTTCAATCTCTTGGAGATGGATGTAAGTGACTCCTGTGGTTTTCAATTTAATCTTATCATCGAGGCACAACATTAATATGTTAAAGGCCATAACCCTTAAAAGCATTAATATCTGATTACACTATGTGATAAGAACTTCAGTAGATAGTTATTTATTTTAAATAATTGTCAGTCATAAAGTAGACTGAGAAATAGAAAAGTTTCTTCTGCATTCCTGTAGTTTAACTAGATTCTCGACTGCTAATGAATCTTAAAGTACAGATGCTCCTTAACTTATGATGGGGTTAAAGTCTTGAATATATCATGTAATTTATCGAATAACGCATTAAAAGTAAAAAACAGAATGGTTGTAAGGGTACTTGAGGTATGGTTTCTACTGAGCACATATCAATTTTGCACCATCATAAAGCCTACAAATCGTAAAGTCAGGGACCATCTCTCTTATCAATAGTGGGAAGATAAAGGATATTTCTGAGGATCTATGTATAACTCAATAGAGGCCTGAGAACTCAGTTGTGGAGCAGGGGGCATCAGTAGTACTGGTGCAAGTCCCAGAGTCCAAAGGCCAGAAAGCCTAGAGCTGTGACATCCAAAGACAGGAGCGTATGGGTGTCCCTTCGCTAGAAGAGAGAGAGAACAAACTTGCCTTTCCTCTGCTTTTTATTCTATCTGGGTCCTGAGCTGAGTGGGTGGTCTCCACCCCCATAGGGAAGGGCAGCTCTTCCTTTGTTTAGTCTACTAAGTGAATGCCAGTCTCCTCTGGAAACACCCTAACAGACACACCCAGAAATAATGCTTTACCAGCTATCTGGGGATCCCTTAATCTAGTCAAGTTGTCACCTAAAATTAACCATCACATTGCCTACTTGCCTTACTCCTGACTGTGGCAGGGGAAGTGTGTTGAACATATCCAGACTTTCCTACCACCTGGAGACAGTGTAGGTTTTTGTTTATGTAAAACAACTTGTGTCCACCTAACTCCTCGAGAGGAATACTGTGTGCATGAGGGGTGCTCCAAATCACAGTGCTCCTTCCCTGCAACACAGCACCCCTCCCCATCCCCAAATTCATGGGACAACACTGCTTCTGTTGACTTGGAGGCTGCTACCCAGCTGGATCATAATGTGAAACATAAAATCAAGAGAAATCAAGCTTAGAATATTAGAGCAAGAATGAACTCAAGATGTCACTTGATTTAACCCTTTTACATTACAGATGAGGCTCAGAGAGCACAGAAGATTTTCTGTCATACCATGTCGCCTCTCCGGGTACATTATGTGAGATATTGTCACATTTTTATTAACAGTACCGATATTAACAGCATGAAAAGTATAAGGAACAAAGAGTCCTTTGGCCAGTGTACCTTCTTTTCTATAGAATAAAAGAAGTCAAATCCCAGATACAAGATTGTAGCTAAGCATGAGACTCTTTAGAGCTATATGGTCTTCCTGAGGGTTACCCATGTTGCTTCTCCTCATGGTACTGATACGCATGATTCTAAGCATAAGGATGCTTTCTTTTATCCTTGATGGATTTGAAACCTGCAGAACTATCTATCTTAGTTGGCTTATCACACAGTCATCAGCACCACCAACCAGGGGCTGTGTGTTGAGGGCAGCCCTGGTGTATGTATGAAACAGTAGTGGCTGTTTAGGGATGGTAACGTGTAAAACTAAGGCATGATTTTCCCATCAATCTGCAGATTGAACAAGTGAGCCAGCTCTCTGCACTTGTGCAAGCTCAGCTGGAGTACCACAAGCAGGCAGTCCAGATCCTGCAGCAAGTCACGGTCAGACTGGAAGAAAGGTATTCTACAGTTCCCTGCATTTCACATTTGCATTTTATTGCTATAAAATGATGTATAAAGAAATGGAAATCATAGAATACATTTGGAGACAAACGTCTGCCAAAATTCCGCTTATCCTACAGAGGCGCCTTGTGGATTGTTTTGATTTTGTTTTTTCTTGTGCTTTGTTTTACGTTGTTCTGTTGAATCTAATTTTCTGCTTATGAGAGATCGATACTTGGATTATATTTTGGCTGCCACAGGTGGAACACCAGGATGCTACTGCTGATAATGGATGCCATTTGCTGAGCAGTTATTCCATGTGGGTACTGGATACATATCATCATCAATCTTATAACAGCCCTGTAACCTAAGTGTTTTTAGCCTCGACTAACAGATGAGTAAACTGAGGCTAAGAGAGGTGAAGTAACTAGCCCAGGGTCACTCAGTGGTGCAAGTGGAGTTCACAGCCAGCCATAACCTGTGTGAGAGGCTGTTTCTTTTCACATCTTGTGTTTCTCTGAATGGCGGTCAAGTCCTCTGCCATCAGAGAGAGCTACTTTCACCTCATTAGATGTACCTCACAGCAGGGCTGTAGTAGTAGGAAACTACCGTGTGAATGTGGCTCCGTGGAGTTGTGGGGCACAGCCTGTTTGGCTATATACCAGTGGCCCTATGTTATAATATGTGTTATTTTAATTTAGCCAGATTAAACAGGATGATTTTGCTGAACATGTATACCTCAAAGGGTCACCTCAGCAAGCTTTTTTCTTAGGCCACATGGCCAGATTAGACTCTCACAGCTGATCACATGGCTGCCTGCGTGAAGAAGACACCAATCATACGATTCCACACCTGTTTTCGTTGTTTTCCCTCAGGCTGATCTCATTTCAGTATTTTCTTTGATTCATGGTTTAATTGAGCATTTTCCTTCGGCGCAGCCTTATGGAAATTTATGTAATGCTGAAGCCTCCAGAAAGGTTTTAAAACCATATACTTCAAAGATACTAAAGAAATACTATGTGTCTTTGTAATGTCTCTTGAGCATGAAGGGAGCCCTTTCCTTTTTTTCCTCTGAAATATGTTCAAAGTCAGTATCATTCTACAGTTACCATACCCTAAACCCTCGCCCTCCCTTGCATATCTCTTACATACTTTGTTTATTGAATAACTGAAACTTTGGAAAATATTTAGGGGTATGTAGAAGACAATTATTAGCCATACCTTTCCAATTTCCTTTTGTCTTCCCTCTTTCCTTTCCTCCTCCCTATATTTCAAACTGCTCATTCTTCTAAGAGCACACAGTATATTTCCTCCTTCCCTCTGTCCAAACCTTCTCATGTTCTGAATAGAATAGCTCCCTTTCACATTTTCATCTGGAAACAGCTCCTGTGTATCTTTTAGTTCTCTCCTTAAACCTCCTCCAGCTTCCTTATGGAGAGATAGACTCCTTCCCACCTTCACCCACAACCACACCCCTGTGTTCCTGTGGCACTTTGTAGATATCTCTGACAGTGCTTACTAAAATTTATAGTAATCAGTTGTTTGTGTTCTGTCTCCCTTACAGACCATAATCTGTTTGTGTCTTTTTTAAAATTGAAAAAATTGTGGGTACATAGGTGTATATATTTATGAGATACATGAGGTGTTTTGATAGAGGCATGCAATGCATAATAATCATATCATGGAGAATGGGGTATGCATCCCCTCAAGCATTTATCCTTTGTGTACAAGAACTGTGTTTTAATTCATTTTTGTGTTCCTGGTACCTAGCACAGTGCGTATTTGGATAAAGGACTCTGAATAAATGAGAGAGGAAGTGAGGGATTGAGAGAGAGAATGAAGACAGTGAGGACATGGCCCCATAAAGGGACATCACCAAAATCTCAGACATATACATACAAGAAAACTAAGGGTCCTTTTTTGATTTCCCACACTTCATCATGGTAGCATGGTGGGTGACCCAAGCATTTCCTGAATCTTTATATTTGCTTTTCATTTTACTTCTTAACTGGTTACATAACCTTTCCACCACTTTTCTTTTTACTGCAGAATAAGACAGGCTTCATCTCAGCCTAGAAGGGAATATCAACCTAAACCACGAATGAGCCTGGAGTTTCCAACTGGAGACAGTACTCAGCCCAATGGGGGTCTCTCCCACACAGGCACTCCCAAACCTTCAGGTAAGAGCTGAAACTGCAGATCCTATTGCATAGCCCTTGGCATATCCATTGGCACTCTTCCAGAAATTTTAGGAATAGTCCAATCTGGCTGCATAGGAAATATGCAGTAATACATTTCTTATGGAGTCAGTTGTCAGGTAGAAACTCTGTTAAAGGAATCCTTTTGTCTTTTTTTCATTTACCTTTTCTTTCCTTCCTTCTCATTCTTCTCTATAAAACTTTCTTTGTATATCCCATTTTCTCTGTCAATCATCAGCACACACGAACACATTTTGTTTTGACCCTCCTTTGTGGTCGTAAATCGCCTTTCCTTGTCAGTTTGGTCTGCGAGTGTCATCTTTTCTCCTGCGTGTTCGCTCTGAATCCAGCCTGTATGACAGTGAATGCCCCTGGACAGTGTGTCCCCACATGCATTCGCATATAACCCACAGACAGCAAGCGGCTCCAGAAATGTGCTGATGAGCTGGATTTCTTGAGTCACAGAAGCATATGGTTAAATATATTTGTAGAAGATGATATTTTGAAACTCGACACTTGCTGGGTTTTCCTTCCCATGCCTCACCTCTGATCACTTTATCATGCTGTGGCACTGGGGTTGATATAATAAAAGCTAGATGACATTTTATCTCAGGAATATCGATGCATACCAAATAGAGCATTCTTTACCTTGTCACACTTGCTCTCCACTCCTACACGCAGATTACACAACAGCCTGTGCTGGAGACATTTTCAACCTCCACATTTGCTTGTTTGAAGTGGGAACTGTCTTATACTGGATGTGGATGTTAGAGATAGGTAGCTTTCTTTTATTTTTCCTGTATCCCCAGTGCTTGATGTTCTACTGTAGAAAACTTTTTATAAGATGCTCTCAGGAGACTTATTAAGAAAAAAAGCGAGGTCTGAGCCGGCAGGTGGTGCTCTCTGTCCTTTGCGCTCAGCACTTCAGGGCATGACATAAGCAGCTGTGGCTCCTGGAGCTGGCCACCAGGACTAGTCACAGAAATTGTGTATAGCTATGCTTCTCCCTGTCTGAAAACCAACCATATATTTCACTTTTCATCTGGAGACTCAGTAATTTGCTTCTTTCTCTAAATAAAAAAATAAATTACATTGTTTCCTTTCCAGCCACCTAGATGGCATGGGAACTGTGTGCACTTGTCTGAGTCTGTATCTACATGTGTATGTATGTAGTATTAATACAGCGGGTCATTTGGAATAGATCCCTCTTAAGATATGATTTCATCCTTCATTATTTTACTCAAGGTGGAGTACATTATTTTTGTATGCCATAGCTCCAGTGCACTGCATATATTTATGTATGCAACAGTTTACCTTACCAAGTATAAATTACAAAATTTTTTACATAATCTCATTTAGTAGCCACAGTAGTAATGTGAAGTAAGTCCTACTGTTACATCCAATTTCAGACAGTGAAACTGAGAGCGAAGTACCATGTGCAAGGTCACAGAAAGTAAAAACTTGAACTCAGTGTTTTATATTATTCCGTTTTCACCACATTACAGCAGTTTTCCAGAGGCTGGGGTTATCATTTTAAAGAGTGATAACCGAACTGTTACTTAAAAGCATTCTCCATGTAATTCACCATACTTTTTCAGATATGCAAAGGTTTTAAAGTGCTCAGATGAGAGAATTCTTGCCATGCTGTGTTATTAACCTACATCATTATATTCTTCTTAAGTCATTGTCCCTCCTATTTCTGGGCATTATCACGAAGGCAAACTATAATGAACTGTGTTGTATGTATCACAAGAATAGATGTGACTGTTTTTCATACTGGAAACAGAAACAGGAATATGCAGCAACTTCCAAAGGTCCGAGAAAGCTTCTGAGGATTGGTAGAGGGCAAGATGCCCAGTGCAGTGGACACTAAGGTCCAGTAGCAAGAAGAAGCTTCAACAGGAAGAGGAATGAGGGAGGAAAGACGGGGAGCAGCAAGCCAGGTGGGTACAGCAGGCAGCAGATTCTGTGAGTTAAATACCCCTTATCCTTTTGTGTTCTTCTCTTCTCTCCTGCTCTTACTCCCAGGTGTCCAAATGGATCAGCCCTGCTGCCGAGCTCTGTACGACTTTGAACCTGAAAATGAAGGGGAGTTGGGATTTAAAGAGGGCGATATCATCACACTCACTAACCAAATTGATGAGAACTGGTATGAGGGGATGCTGCATGGCCATTCAGGCTTCTTCCCCATCAATTATGTGGAAATTCTGGTTGCCCTGCCCCATTAGGATGTTATGCTGGCTGGCTCGCCTCCTCTTGACCCAGATAGTTACGGTTAACCACTGCTTTGGCAATGCTGCTTATAACACATCCCAAGTGCAGGCCGCAGTGGTCCACGTCATCCAGCCCCACCAAGTGACTTTGGTTGACTTGTGGGCTCCCACAGGAGTCATGGTGATGGATGATATCCTCTTAGCCTGGTGGGCGTGGCATGTGCTTTTTAAAACATCATCTGAGACCAGCCAGTAGTCACAGAACTGCTGTTTACACAGTTCTCAGGAGGCTGTGGTTTCTTAGAATATGACCATGAGCCATTTCACAGAAAAACCATCCCACCGAAGATATTGTCTATCACCCCAGGGGCCATCTGAAGGTCTCTTTGCATTTCTCCATGCAAAGAGGAGAAAGCTTTTGCTTTCACACTGTCCCTTCCCAAATATGTGAGTCATGGAATTGTCAAAGTAAGCCTTCCCTCACCAGCAAATTGTCTCCTGATCTGAATGAATTTGTCTCTTAATGCATCCATAGAAAAGTGTTAATTGTGGGTTCAAAGCATTCTCTGCAAATAGGCATCTCAGCTCCTCACACTTATGGCTATTTCTGACGTATAGCCAGTTTTCTTCCCTCCTTGCTATTAAAGCCAGAGCGGTAATTCCAAATTATTTTTCAGTAAGACAGTTAATCAGCATTATTGTGAGAGGGACTGAAAAGAAATTCTCCATTATGAGGAATTGGGAAGAAATCTGGTATCCAAGCTTAAATTTCTTGCTATACAGAAACTATGTATGTATTTAGGCTATTTCTGAAGGGCACAGGGAAGGGGGAACAAATATCTTCACTTCAGTTTTATTTGTGAATTACATGTTTCATGAATCCATTTGGCACAGAGACACAAGGAAGAAAACACTAGTAACCATCTTTCCACTAGTTCATATACTGAGAAACAGTAAATACCTTTCCTTTCCACTTTTACCCTGTGTTCTTTGAACATCATTTGTGCAGATTCTGCCCTCAATGAGGACCAAATAAAGATGATTTTTGTGCTTAGCAGTTTAAGGTATATGGCTGCATATGCAAAACTCTTTCCCAATTCAGTCGCTACTTTTACTTCTGCCCTTTCTATCCATCGTCTTCATTTTGTGTGTACAGTGCTGTGTGTAAGCTTATCAGTGTGTTTTTTTATTTGTATCAGTCATGAAAGTCCTGTTAGGTATGCAGAGTTCTATTTATCTAGCTGTACAGACTCTTTCAGAGGTTTAACGTGCTGCTTCCGATGTGCCACCTGCAGTAGTGGATCATGTGGAGTGAAAGGCAAATCTTACTGCTTAATGTATAAACTCTCACCACAGGAAGCATCGCTGTTTCCAATAAATATTGCTGAAGACAGAACCAAAGGCTCTGCTCCTTCATTTTGTGTCAGTTCTTTGGGTCTAACACTGGGTGGATGGGGGCTGGTTTCAGTCTCCATTGCTTTCTCATGCAGCCAAACAAGACCTGGCTCCAACTTCATATCTACCTCTTTACACATAGGAAAAGTTTCAGCAGCAAGGAAGTAGCTAGCCTGGACATTGGGACCTTCCTGGTAACCCCAGGAAGGAGGAGAATTTGGGAGAGAAGAAAGTAAGGAGAATTAGGTCTCATAGATGTTAAATGATATATTGTTAAAAGTGGTATCATCTGAAGAATATAATGTTAGGAAGGGGAAATAAAATATATCCCTTCGAGTAGCCTCTTATTTTCTTTCGTAATTGAAGATAAAGAAATAGACATGGAAAAATAGTTTGATCGAAAGTCACTATTAGGCCAGGTGCAGTGGCTCACACCTGTAATCCCAGCACTTTGAGAGGCCAGTGCAGGTGGATCAACTGAGGTCAGGAGTTCGAGACCAGCCTGGCCAACATGGAAAAATCTCGTCTCTGCTAAAAATACAAAAATCAGCTGGGCATGGTGGTGCATGCCTGTAGTCTCAGCTACTCAGAAGACTGAGGCACGAGAATCACTTGAACCTGGGAGGCAGAGGTTGCAGTAAGCCGAGATCACGCCACAGCACTCCAGCCTAGGGTGACAGAGTAAGATGCTGCCTCCAAAAAAAAAAAAAAAAAAAAAAAAAAGGCCAGTATTATTTTCTCTTGATGTATATGTTTGGGGTGTGAGTGGGAATAGGGGAGCAGCAAGGCACACAAAATGTGTATTTTCTGAGTTCCCAGGAAAATAAACATGTTCTTTGTGTATTAGGGGCCATTTCTATTATTTTGTGCTGAGGCCAATAGTCCAGATTTTCTAATCTAACATGAATAGTTGTAATTAAATATACTAAGTTTCTGTTAGTCCATTTTCATACTGCTATGAAGAAATACCCGAGACTGGGTAATTTATAAAGGAAGAGGTTTAATGGACTCGCAGTTCCACTTGGCTGGGGAGGCCTCACAATCATGGTGGAAGGTGAAGGAGGAACAAATGTACGTCTTATATGGTGACAGGCAAGAGAGCATGTGCAGGGAAATTGCCTTTTATGAAACCATCAGATCTCATGAGACTTATTCACTATCACGAGAACAGCATGGGAAAACCCACCCCCATGATTCAATTACCAATTACCTCCCACCTGGTCCCTCCCACAACATGTGGGGATTATGGGAACTACAATTGAAGATGAGATTTGTGTGGAGACACAGCCAAACGATATCAAAGTTCTATATGTGAACTAGTCTAACGTGAAAATATTTTTTTCTAGCTGTATGAGTTCTAGAGTATTACAGATCAGTTCTCTAAAGCAATTTTAAGAAATACCAATGATATTGTGACTATAGAAAATCATAAAGAATCCAAAGATAAACTATTAGAAAAATCAGTGAATTTAATAGGATCACTAGATATGAGGAATATACAAAAATCTATTTCTATATATCAATAGCAATCAGAAAAAATGTAATTTAAAAAAATGTCATTCACAAAGGCATCAGAAATCAAAACCAGCCGGGCCCGGTGGCTCACGCCTGTAATCCCAGCACTTTTGGAGGCCGAGGCGGGTGGATCACGAGGTCAGGAGATCGAGATCATCCTCGCTAACACAGTGAAACCCTATCTGTACTAAAAATACAAAAAATTAGCCGGGTGTGGTGGCGAGTGCCTGCAGTTGCAGCTACTCAGGAGGCTGAGGTAGGAGAATGGCCTGAACCCAGGAGGCGGAGCTTGCAATGAGCCAAGATCACGCCACTACACTCCAGCCTGGGTGACAGAGCGAGACTCCGTCTCAAAAAAAAAAAAAAAAAATCAAAACCATAGATACAAATCTAACAAGATTGTACCTGATCTCTGCATAGAAAATTATGGAACATATTTGAGAAAGCAATTGAAAGATATTCTGTGTTTTTAGATTGGAAAACTCAGTCTTGTAAAGGTATCATTTTCCTCCAAATCTAGCTGTTTATTAAGTGCGATTTCAACCAGAAATCTTAGGAAGTTTGTTTCCATGTGTTCGAGAACTGACAAGTTCAACTTTTAAGCCTGTCATAAAATTTTTGTGGAAAAGAAAAAAGATGTTTTTTCTCAAAGAAGAACAAAGTTGGAGGACTCTTTCTAGATATAAAACATTAAAAAGTTACAGTAATTAAGGTAGTATGGTTTTGATACAAAGATAGCAGAATAGATTGTATATACAGAATAGCGAGTCCAGAAAGAGACATAGATGCATTCGACCATATTTGAAGGAAAAGCATTCCATTATGTTTAATGTGATGCACTCATATCAACTGAACCTTTTTAATATCAGTTCCATAACCCCAAAGTGAAAACAGCAAGACTTTGTGCCAAATACAGTAATCTCACTATGAGTCAATGTCACATGAAACAAGTGTCATGACCACAGATTCCAGGAAGAACTTACTCTTGATTTAAGGAAGAGTTTTGGAGACCATTACTAATGCACTCACCAGATACAGGACTGTTTGAATTCTTTATTTTTATTGAGGTATAGTTAATACCTTAGTACAAAACCTTATGTATGGAAATTACTCAGTGGACCACCACTAGAAGTTGAACTTGCCAGAAAACACTTGTTCTTCCAAGTCAAATCATTGAAACAAACTGCCTAAAGTGGAAACAGAAGCAGAATTAAACTGAACTAAAATGATTAATAAATTCAGTGGGGCAATGGTTTCGCTTCTTTTTCTAATAGGTCTACTAGGTTTAATAGGTCTTAAAGAGAAAACTCAAGGAGTATAGTTATTTTCACGTAGTTTCTCTTTGCCATAAATCAGTAGACAATAAGAATGATACGACCTAGAATGGAAGTTTCCCTGGGGCTGTGTATAGTACACAACATACATTCTGGAACGTGCCAAGTCCTGTTCTGCATACATTATTTAGGAAATTGAGATTAGCCCAACACTCCATTTTCAAGATAGCTTCTAGTGTTCTGGATGAAACCGTTAATATGTGGGCACTTTTATTTTCTTTCACTGAGATCCCAGGAAACAGTATGTGGGCACTTTTAAAGCCTGTGTTTCATTAGCCAGATTAAGAACTACTGCTAAACATGCAGACTGCCTTCCATCCCACGGAGATGGGGAAGTGATGAAGGAGGGACGTTATGCTGAAGAAGGAGGCAGACAGCTGCCATTAGAACTCTGGGTGGTGGTTCGTGGAAGAGACTTAGAGTGCTGCAAGGCCATACCAGCAATTTCTAGGCCCAGCTTTTGGGGACTAGTTATGAGCCCCTTGGTTAAAGGGGCTGTCAAGGAAAAGAACAAAGCTATTTTTTAAGGACCCATTGAATGCTAACTGCTTACAGTCAGGCAGTTGAATGTTACTCTGCTATCATGTATGCCTAAGTGATGGCAGCCTTCCACTTAAGGGCAGGAGACAACTGTGATTCTTGACAGCAGGGGAGCAGGCTGTTAGCTTTGGGAGCAAAAGAATGAAGCACAGCATCTCACTACCACTTTCTTGAAAAGGAAACTGAATATGATGATTTGCTAGTTTGGGGAAAGGCCAAAGAATCCATTTTTAAATAGCTCTGTCAGTGATTTTTATGTGCATCCCTTATCAAAACGTCTGCCTCCAGGACACGTGGAGATAAGAAATCAAGAACCTAGAGTTTCTTAAGCTTACCTGATAATAAGAGTCACCTGGAGATAACTACAAATTGGATTTCCAGGTTCTCATTACAGCTGCTCAGAATCAGAACTGCCCATAGAGGGGCCCCTAGCAAGTGGTATTTACCATTGAAAGATTTAGGAGAAACTCTACAGGGCATCTAAAACTGATATGTGCTTTATCACCTGGGTATTGTTAAAACATGCCTGGCCTCCATCTCCAGATGTTCTCGTTCAGAATGTCTGGAGTGGGGCCCGAGAATGTGCATTTCTAACAAGCTCCATAGAGATGTTGCCAGTCCCTGGACCACACTTGAAGTAGTGCTGCTCTACCAAATAAACTTAGGAAGAGCCAGCTCTTGGCCCTGCCTTTGGTGTTGAGAATGACCAGAAAACAGACATATTCAGTCATTTTCCTCAACTGAAGTGTTCTTTGGGCTCACACACTGAATAAAACTTTGGTGGAGAATGATGGCTTAGGGAAATCCAGGCATTTTTTACAGACCCCAGAAGTCCCACTTGAGTTGTGCCCCGGTAGCCTCTTAAACATGCCCTTGAGGGTCAGCATCAGGTTTTTTAGCAAGCTTCCCAAGCAACTCTCCCATTCCTGCAAGTCTGGGGAGCTCTTGTGTGTATAAAAACTTTTTAAATAAGTAGCCAACTGCTCACTGACTTTCTTACCTACTGGTTTTGCTCTGAGACATTTGCATTTATTGATTGATCCAGTAACTTCAATGCATGTTTCCACTCAGAGTGATCTTGCAAATTCAGGACATCCTGTGTTTT
The DNA here is from genome assembly GCF_000001405.40 of Homo sapiens. Classification (NCBI taxonomy): domain Eukaryota; kingdom Metazoa; phylum Chordata; class Mammalia; order Primates; family Hominidae; genus Homo; species Homo sapiens. Next base: position 17,801,618 of record NC_000009.12, read on the forward strand.
TCCAACTTTGCTGACGACATTAAAGATGCGCTAGATTTGAGTCTGTGCTGACTTGGAATTCCCACTTCTTTCCTGGTCATTCGTTTACGCTTTGCTTTCCGCTTCCCCTCTTGCGAGGGAATCAGAGAGATATGTCTGCAGTTAGCCCCATGTTCCTCAGATGGGCTGCTCTTAGAGCTCTTGCTTTTCTTGTTTAGATCAGTGGGTCACACCCTGCAGTTCATACCAGAACCCTGAGGGATACGTGCTAAGATGCGGATTTCTGGGGCTGACACCGACGTTCTGATTCCATTTTCTAGAACAGGGCCAGGATCCACATGGGTGACAGGCATCCTGCCCCACCCCATGGTTCTTACAGAGGCAGCGTTCAAAGCCACACTCTGAAGAACCCGCCTTCAAATTTGGGAATTCTTTGATTTGTGAGTGCAGTGGAAGAAGACCATTTAAGAGATGGCTTGGCAACCAAGAAGGGGATATGAGGGACCAGCTTCCTCTCACATTGCAATACAAGTGCTTCCCATGAAAAGAGAAAGTTAACAGTATTGCAGAATGCACAGGTTAATCCCTGACATTAACAGTGACACACACTTCTCTCTTGGTTTTTCTTTTCTGGAATGAAAAAAGATCTGAATTTATTATGTATGAAATAGGGATGAAGAAGGAAGGTGGTTCGAGTCTGAGGAAACATAGACTTACTGACTTCACATACCCAATCATCAAAATTTTGGTGCCATCTAATTATGTATTGTCTTTTATGTTCTTTTTAAATTCTTGTTCTTTTATTTTTCCCAAAGTATTTTCGTGGGACCTAGATTGCCCTCTACTGGCCTGCCCCAAAATTAATCAGTTGCCAATCTGACCAATTTTCCTGGTGGTTATATAGTCATCATATACATAAGCTGCATTTAAGGTCTTTCTTTCTCACATAGCATGCTGCTTAAACTATTGCTCCTTTAATAAGTTAGTCATTTTTAGCAAGTATTGGTGTCAAAGTGATATCCAGTAAATAGTATGTGATCTTTGGGAAAAGAACCAAATTCTTGTTCTTCTAATAAAAAGCGTGCTTGTGGATCAGCTGGCATAGTTACCCAGTGACTGTCAGTTTTACTAGGGCTGCATGTTTGCCCTATAGGAATTACCCAAACTCCTTGAACTGCTTGATGATCTGCAGTCTCACCTCAGCTTTCTGAAACAGCTGAAAAGGTGTAGGTCACAGTATTTCACCTTGGACATCAGCCCTAGAAAAATGCCGTATCTAAAGACAATAGTAAAAGTTATACAGTATAAACAACAGTATTCTTATGAGTAATGCTTAGAGCAGCTTTATAAGGTACAATTTACCTACTATAACATTCACCCATTTGAAATGTACAGGTTAATGGTTTTCGGTAAGTGTATAGAAACATGCAAATAGCACCAAACTCCAGTTTTAGAACATCTCCATCACACCCAAGAGTTGTGCCCATTTGCAGTCGACCCTGCTTCTACCCCCATCTTCAGGCAGCCACTAATTTGTGAGTAATGTTTTAAATTACAAAAATTGAGATATTTTAGTTAAGTGGAAATCATTATAGTTTCATTGATAAATAGCACTGGCATCATTAGCCATCCGTCTTGAAAAATATCCCAACTAACGTGCTCACCTCCATGAAACCTCTCTCCACGTCCTTACCACTCTGATAAGGTAGCTCCAGCATCTGTACTTTGTTCACTTCAGGCTCTCACCATATCCAAGTTTTAAGGGGCTATCCCAGCAACACATTAGGACTAGCTCCAGGTGTTGAATATTGAGTCACAGGAGAGTTCTCCCATGCCAATAAATTATCCAATTCAGCCTTAAATTTCTCTCATCCATCCCCATTTCAACACTCTTGAGATTCACTCCCACGAGTCTGCCCCTAGTCTCTGCCAGTACTTATGAGCCTGCTCTTCCTACAGTGCATAGACTGTTTCCCCCAGAGCAGGCACTGTGTTTTTCTGCTCTGGATGTACTAAGCTATGTCGCTTTATCAGCCCAGAGGCAGCAGGGGCTGACCTTGGGAAGCAGGACCCTTAGGTGAAGACTTTGCAAGGTCTTCAAGCAAGGGGAGGCTGCTGGTCCTCTAGCAAAGTGGAGGAAGGATTTGCCTGTGTCAGATGGGATGATTCAGGAGAATCCAAGAGTTGAAGATTCTGAGCCTTGTCCACCTAGACAGGTCCATGACAGTTTGTGGGTCCCACTGTTCCTTGCTCTGACATAAGAGAACTGTTGAGATTGTACATTCTATTTTCTTTTCCTCCTTCTTCTTCTTCTTTTTTTTTTTTTTTTTTTTTTTTTGAGACAGATGTCTTACTGTGTCATCCAGGCTGGATTGCAGTGCCATGATCTTGGCTCACTGCAACCTCTGCCTCCCAGGTTCAAGTGATCCTTCCACCTCAGCCTCCAGAGTCGCTGAGACTACAGGCATGCACTACCATGCTCAGCTAATTTTTGTAGAGATGCAGTCTTACTATATTACCCAGACTGGTCTCAAACTCCTGGGCTCAAGTGATCCTCCTTCCTTGGCCTCCTAAGGTGCTGGGATTACCGGCAAGAGTCACCGTGCCTGGCCTCCATTTTCTGTCTAGTTTTACCTCTGTAACAAGTTCTGAGTTCTGAGTTTGATTTCTAGTATAGTCTGCTCTGTAGCTGCAGGCAATAATCTGCAAAGCCCATTTGTTTCACAGTAGGAGGGATTTTCCAAGTGTTTTCATAGCTGCTAGACCTGTTTTATCTCATTTAATCTATGCAACAAACCCAAGAGAAAGGTGTGGTCAATTTTACATAGGAAAAAAACCTAAGGCTCAGAATTCTAGCCAAGTTTTTCTGACTCCAAAGCCCATGCTCTCCATGCACCTTAGCACACAGGATTTCGAATAACTAACATTTTGTGGATGAGGCATTCAAGTCCCCAGATTCAAAACACATCACTTCCACTACCTGCCATTTACTAGCTCTGTTATGTTGGGTAGATTATTTAAACTCTCTGTGCCTCAGTTTCTTTAATTGTAAAGTGGGGATATAATAGTACCTACTTAAGTGTTAATGGTAGGTTGTTGAGGTGAAGTGTTTAAAATAATACAAGACATAGAATAGGCATGCCATGTGATTCAATGAAGCAAAACCAGTCCAAGGTTCACAGATTCCGGGACTAGAATCAGTTCTGACTCCAGCTATAAAGTCTTCCTCTATGAAACATTTCTGTAATGGTAGTTTAAGTCAGTGGAAAATGAGTTGCATTTTCCAAAATACTCGCTGTGCACCTCTTTTCAGAAAACGTAACATTGAACCGTGACAATGTATGGCTTTTTAAAATTTGGAGGCTGCATCCAGTATAGAATAATTCAAATTCATTCACCAGGACACTAGGGAAAGAGCAGAAGCTCATAAGGTTGGAGCCACTGGAGCTTTAATGAATGAAAGTAGTGGCTGGGTGTCGTGGCTCACACCTGTAATCCAAACACTTTGGGAGGTTGAGGCAGCCGGATCACTTGAGGCCAGGAGTTCAAGACCAGCCTGGGCATCATGGTGAAACCCCACTTCTACCAAAATAAACCAAACAAACAAAAAAACAAAATTAGATGGGCATGGTGGTGCATGTCTATAGTCCCAGCTACTTGGGGAGCTGAGATGGGAGGATCATCTGAGCCCAGGAGGTTGAGGCTACAGTGAGCCGTGATTGCACCATACCCTGTGAGGCTTAGGAATGGGTATAGAGCTTACCTGTCCTACATATTACAGTAGTGAAAATCTTGGTTGTAATTGACAATAACCTAACACACACTAAAACAAGGACAAAAAAGGAATGAGTTGGTTCATGTAATAGGTAAACTCAAGAATGGAACTCACTTTGGGCAAGACTGGATCTAGGGCCTCAAGCAATGTCTTTAGAGCTTGCCTCCCTCTTTTTTTTCTTCTGTTTTTATATCTCAGCTGTGCTTATTCCCATTCCTCTTGATGTGTTGGTTTAATTCTCTCCTGCCATAGACAACTGTTTGCGCATCATGGGGAAGATGATTGCTGATAGATGTGAGTCTTCATACATAAAGGTAGAAGGTGCCCTTTCTTTTTAATATCCAAATGGGAAAATTGCATGGAAGAAGCCTGATTAGCCCTGCTTGGATCTGTGTCCAACCTTGGACAAGTCACAATGGTCCAAGCACTGTGGTGAGGTGGATAGGGCCCCATAGTAGTCCCAGTGTTGGTCATCGCCCCTCCTTGTGGAGGAGAAGGGCCAAGGCTTTAGGATGGAATCAAAGCAGCTCCCAAATCAAAGTGAAATACTGGACAAACACAAATCAATTGATGTCCACGCTGTTCCTTATATCCATTCTTAGGCTGTCTTAATTGATCTCTTTACCTTTCCCCTCCAGTCTAGGTCCCAACTGGTTCCTGGCTCTTGGTTTTATTTATGTTTTATAATCTCATCTACCCTTAGACTTAATGTTTATATTTGATTCCCTTGCTGAACCTCAAGGATTGTGGCTCAGATGTGCTGTACTATTTCTGCTTTCGACAACTACCTTGAGTAGGATTTCTTTCTGTGGCCAGCCCTAAAGACCTAACTTTTAGCACAAGTTTCATCTTTCCAATCCCCTTGAGATCCTCAGAAACAGAGATCTTGTGTGACATCAGAGTTGTAGTGGATTTAGGGTTCATGTGGCTGATAGCAAGTAGTAAGTCTTCAGTTAACATAAATGCATTGGCAGGAATGAGGGGTGGGATTTCAAGAACATGGAGGTAGAAGGAGAAATATTAAGGTAGGAGGTAGGACCTGAGGACTAACAATGTATCATAATGAGAGCATTGTTGTAGTCACATCTTGGGAAAACTGTGGGGCTTTGAGGTTAAAGGGGAATAGATCACTCCATGGTCAATGAGAAACCTTGGGAATCAGTGACTTCCTTTTATTTGGGAGAGGGTTGATATGACTTTTAAGACTCCATTCATTTGTTTCCTTTCCATATTTTTTTCTTGCAATTTGTTGAATATACAAGATCATTCATTCCATAGAGTTTCCTGCAGTCTGGATTTTGCTTATTGTATCCCTGTGGTGGTATTTTACTTGTTCCTAATATCGTTTTCGTTTCCAGTGATTTGGTACGTAGATCTAGGGAAGTGCCTTGAGTTTTTACCAAGACTACCTCTTAACTAGTGTGTGCTTCCATCAGGAGGTATTTAATCTTTGATAATTTATCTTTTTGTGATTTTGGCAGCTGGGGATGGTCATTCCTTAGATGCATTAATTCATTAGAAGTTGCAAAGTTGTGACATTCTATCATTTCTTTATTTGCCAGAATACTTCTATAAAGAAACTTTCATCATCTACTTTTTTTCGGCATTATAGTCTATAGAGGAAAGATAGAATAAAATCTTGATTTTTTTATTCTGGTTTTGTTTTCAAAATAGTTAACTGACTACCATCTCCAGTGGTGACCAATAAATATTTTTAAAGTATTATGAATTCGTGGATCTAAACATATCTAGTATGCTTTTAATCCATTGGAGTTATCCTTTGATACTCAAATTGTCCCTGCTTTGGCCAGTGTGAATCCATTCAAGTTGAATTCCAAGTACTTTGAATACAACCCTAGGTGTCACTCCAAACTTCCTTGCTTTCTGGTGAGGTGAGAAATACCAGGCTCCTCTGGTAGATTTCTTACCCCAGAACTGGAATTGGCCATTTCTTCAAGGAGTCTTGTTTCTGTTGAGTAGGAGGTAGAATTTAAAGACCACAGCCTAGGTGCTAGGGTGTTATTTTATTTTCGGAATGAGCAAGAACGAGAAGTTATTCAGCTACAATTAACATAAGTAATATGTAAGCGATGACTGGTACTAATTCCATGAAAAGGCCCTACAGATTTTCAGAAAAATTGCAAGGTGTGTTTAAGTACTTTTATGACGTGCCCCCTCCCCTATTATCTTTGGAAGGTCCTTGGGGGCTTCTCAAACACACAGGCTGTTCCTCTTCAGAGGAGCTGACACTGAGGTCTACTGATGGGCCTATGAAACTGCCGATCATGTGAGATATGCTAAGTGAACAGAGAAATCAAACTGTGCTTTCAAATATAAGCCTAAAATTGGAATCACTGGGCCAGATGCTTCAAATTTGAGGCACTGATTTGTGTGAGCAAGCTGTTTCTCACATGGGCAGCCCTATGTAATAGGCCTCAGGAGGGCTAGCAGCAAGGATCTATTTATTTAACGAAGGTTAAACATTCACCCAAGCAGTGTGGGATGCCAGCTGGTGGGGAAGCTATCACAGAGGCTGAAAGGCTGTATCATCCAATCTGTGTGTTCTTTGTGCAGGTGAACTCTGCAGAAAGCTAAATTTGAGTCTGTGTGCTTACAGCCAGTTGTTAATTGTAATGTTCAGTTTCACCATGCACTGATAGCCAGATGCAATGTTTTCTGCCATGGGGCCATTCCTACCAGGAGGTCTGGAATGCACCTTTCCACTAGTCAAACTCCCCCTTCCCTGGACATTGCTGGAGGCTGTTCAAGTTGTATAAAGAGCAAGACTCCTCTTTATAAATGACTTAACTCCACCACCTCCCCCTTTTCTCTTAAAAATATGGCATTTTATGCATTTTATGATGCAGGTCTGCTACATGGTCTGGGTCTTTAGCTGGGGGAATTTTTGCTTGCCTTGTACCCAGCATTTGTTTAAATGCATGAAGACATGAGTGGCCCTTGTCCACACATCTGAAGAAGTTTGCTGACTTTGCTTTCCAAAATTGATTCACTTTATTCTTCCCACCTGAAGATAAGCAGTGGCATCTCCAGAAAGAACATCTGACACACAGAGATGATTGGCTTTTGGGTGAGAACATCAAATTACAGTTGCATATTTGGGTCTTATGAATATGGAGCCACCAAATCCAGCTGATAGTCAGAAACTGAGATAGTATGATGTATCATTTTCTGGCTCATGTTCAATGCAAATCTTAAGTGGTGACAATACCATGTTTCAAAGTCCCTCTTACTAGTACAAGCATGAGAAAATATATCCATATGATGTTTTTATTAAGGAGTTTGGTTATAAGATTTTATCTCTGGGGGAACACAAAACTTTGACCTTCACCTCACCTTCTTCTTTTACCTTTTCTTTTATGGGGGGAGAGGGAGCATATTTGGGTCCAAAAAATGACACAGATAGGCCACCATAAGTATGAATATAATGATTTTCTGCATATGAGGAGGAGGCTGGAGGTGGAGGGGGAAGGGGAATTCTAACCTGTATTGTGGACTCAGTGGCAGTACCCTGGGAGATGCTGGGTTGTGTATATGATAAATCCTGTGATAGTTGCTCCCAGGCCTATGGGCTCCCAGTATCTCCAAAGCAGATGGGCCCTGTAGACTGAAAGAGTGAGCATCTCTGTGGTAATCACTGTGGTTAACAACTGGAGTGCTCATCCAGATGTTTTGATGGTATGCTATGACCCTTCGTAGGAGAACCCCAGTATTGAGTGGGATCGAATTTTCCACCCAAGAGTTGGAATTAAGTGGCTTTGGAAAGAACTGTGATCTGAATTTGTTTGCAAGGCTTGTGCCTACAACTCCCTCCTGAAACCTCAGGGATCTTATGTCATCAATTATCACCTGTCTCCCCTCTCTCTGACCCACTTCCTCTGCTGGTTTTCCTCTTCAATATGTAAATACATTCAAATGTCCCACATCTTGAAATGATACCTTCACCATGCGTTCCCTAACTGTCCCTCAATCTTTCTCCTCCCTTGCATAGCCATCTTCTTGAACGAAGCATCTACTGCTCATATCCATTTCATCTCTCCAACTTAACTGGCTTCTGCTTCTGTACTCAGCAGTCCACAGAACTGTCCTGGTTAAAGGCACCAAAGTGTGGTTTCCTGACCCTGTTTCACTGAAGTGGGAAGTTTCCATCTGGAAACTTTGTTACTTTGCCATTGGAGACGCTTCATTCTTTGCTTTCTCCCTCTGCTGTTTTATAGTCTCTTGTCTCTGTGTAGCTTTCCTTTCTGTCTGTCTGTGGGTATTGGTCATTGTGAGGGCCTCTCTCCACACCCTTTTCTTGTCTCCTTCTCTGTATATATGTTCCCCAAAGAGTGACCAGGTCGACTTCCATAACTTCAATTACCATGTACACATTAATATGTTGAAAATCTTTCTCTTAAGTCCAGATTCTCTGATTTTCATATATGAAATTCAGCTTCTTTAAATTCAGTGTGTAAACAGAATTCATCATTTCCATTGTGTCCTAAATCTAATTCTCCTCCTCAATTGTGAATATCAAGAAGTGACCCATCTACCTACCTCATTATTTAAGCCCCAAACTTTGGATTCATTCTTGACTCCTCCCTTCATCTCATCTTCTAGTTCTCACACGAATGACCAAACTCTGTCCATTCAACTTTCTAATTATTTTTTAGATCTCTCCCTTTTGTTTTATTCTTAGGTCAGACCCTAATCTCTGCCTTTCTCCCCCATCCTCGCTTATACCATTATAGATATCCTACTTGGTCTTCTTCCCTCTTGTCTTGCTCTCTTTCAATTCATTCTCTGCTTGTTTTCAGCCTGATCTTTCGGAAATGCAAATTTCATTGTGTTACATCCTTGCTTAAACCTTGCACTGGTTCCTCACATCAGAGAATGTGAGCATATCAATGAGTATGCTTTAGCTAAAAATAACAGAATACATAACTGGGAGTGATTTAAGCCATAAGGGTTATTTTTTCTTTCATAACAACAAGGACAGAAATAGGTGGTCCCAGAGGTGGGTGGTTCAGCAGCTCTGTAATGTCACCAAGGACTGCCGGCCTCACAGTGTTAGTGATGCTGCCATTCATGTTCACCGGAAGGCTGCAACAGCAACAAGGATCACCTCTTTTCACGACAACTTTGACAGGCAGATTGACATGATGTGTCGTCTCCATGGGTGTCTCCTCTTTTATCATCAAAGAAATTCTATCTCAGCCATCCCTCTGGCAAATGTTCCCTTATATCTCATTGTCCAGAATTTGTTCACAGGGCTATTTCTAGCCATGAAAGCAGTCAGGAAAGTCAGTACCTGGCACATTCAGCCACCAACAGGAAGGCAGACCAGAGGGAAAAAGAAGTCAGGGGACGGTTGGTGAGTGGGCAACCAAAAGTAATTGTCACAACTTTCAATTCCTGAGGTTCTTTCTCACTTCCATGCCTCTCCATCTGTGGCCCCATTGCCTGGAACGTCACTGCCCATCTACACACCCCTCCGTTCACATGGCTCACTCCTACCCTTTTTCAGTCCTCAGCTCAGGCACTGCCCCACACCCCTGCATGCTGGACGAAATGCCCACCTGGTGTTCTAGATGGCATCATTTGTCCTACTCTACTGTAATTCCAAATTTCTCTTCCTCGTACTAGTCTTCAACCCCCTTGAAAACAGGGACTGAATCTTTCCCTCTTTTATAGCCACAGCTCATTTTCTTTGCAGGGACTAAAATATTTTTTAATAATCCCGTGAATGGATTTGAATATAAAGCGGCTTCCTCCGTGAATTTTTCCCCATGGTTTGTTAGCTATCAATAGCCAGTAGAGGGCGCTGTGACCTTTGGCTAGAATGCCCTTTAGCTGTAGTTTGATTCCTGTAGCATTAAGCTGGCTTTTATTTTTATTTTCTCCGAAAGAAGTTCTGATTTTTAGTTTTTTAATCAAAAGATTGAAATAATGCAATAGTTATTTTAGAAATTTGAGTTTTTTTCATCAAAAGATTGAAATCATGTATTAGTTATTTGAAGTTATACTTTGTATAATGTAATGTATCCGTGGAGTATTCTGAGGTCATTCAGAGTTATGGCAAACGTTCAGAATCCTCTGAAGTTTATTACTCAAATGATGTACTCTTTAAGTTCTCCTCCTTAGGCAGAGTGGCTGCAGCTGCTGAGTTCTTGAGAATAGCTGAAGTGGTCCGAAGAGCATCATCTGGTGTCTTAAAAATGTACGAATTTTTTCACTTGTTCAAACACTGTTTCATTTCCCCACTTTGTGGGAAATCACTTAGGCCAGGTTGGCCTAGGATGTTGTGTGGGCAAAAGTGGGTGTTATTTCAGGACTGGAGGGAGAATTGGTCTGGTTTAGGAAATAAGGACAGTGTATCATTCACTCATTCATTCAATCTTACATGCATTTGATAAACACTTGAGAAGCTGCTACCTGCATGGCATTATTCTAGGCACTGGGTCGCAACAGCTAAATGAAGCAGATTAAATCTTTCACTTCATGGAACTTACCTTCCAGGGAAGGAGACAAACAGTTAACTAAACACATGTATAATAAAATGCCAGGAAATCTGGAGACAAACAACCAAATAAACAAATGTATCATAAAACAACAGGAAAACTGTGGAAAAAAATAAGACACAGTAAGGGGTTAGAGGGATGGGGAGGGTGCTGTTTTAGGTATGTGCCATAGAGGAAAGAACGTTCCAGACAGAGGATTCAGCAAGAGCAAAGGCCCAAGGCAGGAGAGTGCCTGGCAAGTTTGAGAGATTCCAGAGAGGCCCCGGGAGCTGGAGCCAGGGGTGTGAGGGGCATGGTGGGAGACGAGATGGGAGAAGTAGGAGTGGATGACGAAGGGCTGGAGGGTCCCCTTAAAGACTGGGATTTTCTTCTCGATGTGATGGGAAGCCATGGGAAGACTTTGAGCAGGGGAGTGGCTTGATCTGATTTACTTCTTTAAAAGAATACCCTGCTGACTGTGAGAGGGGGTGGTCAGCAGTGAACGACTGGCCAGCTGGGAGGCCAGTGTGGGGGCCAGGCCAGAGGCACTGCTGGTTGGAACACAGTAGCAGTAGTGGAGTGGCACACAGTGGTCAGATTAGGCTGCATTGGAAAGATCTTAGAGTTGCCAAGATTTTCAGTGGATTATATAGTGTGTGTGAGAGAAAGAGAGTTGCCAAATCCAGAGTCTCCATTTTTTTCTTTTTCTTTTTTTCTGAGGATGCAATTTAAACAGAGGCCAAACCATTCATCCATCTTAAGCTCTTCTGCACCCTAACAGCAAACGTAGTAACAAACAACTATTGTTTATGTTGTCGTTAGCAATGAGGATCTCTGATTTCAGACAATAGGACTGCAGAATGGAGATGTCCTTCATTGCTCTTGATTGACAGCTATCTGTCAGTCAGGTCTGGATGATCTGCGGGCATTACACACACATGAGCGACCTGCCCATACCTTCAGTGTCCTCTGTTTTCTCTCATGCCCTGCTGCCTGCTTTTTTTTTATCTGGAACAGCAGCATTTCATTTTGTTAGCTGAAGCAAACCACCTTTTTAATGTTCATCTCTGTAACACAGAAAAGAACATGTTCTATCCTTTCTGATAAAGTGCAATGAAACCTCAGTGTGGCATTTGTTATTAGTGCAGGTTGGCCAAATCCCTTGATCAGGACTGATTATAATACTTTTGAGTCCTGTGCCTGTAATTCAGTGAGCTGCACCCAGTGGCGCCTGCAAAGAAAAAACAGGCTCGCCTCCCCCCGGCAATGGAGCCAGTAGGAAAAGAGCATAAGATCCAGTCATAGCCAGGCGCGGTGGCTCACGCCTGTAATCCCAGCACTTTGGGAAGCTGAGGTGGGTGGATCATGAGGTCAGGAGATCGAGACCAGCCTGGCCAACATAGTGAAACCCCGTCTCTGCTAAAAATACAAAAATTAGCTGGGCATGGTGGCATGTGCCTGTCATCCCAGCTATTCGGGAAGCTGAGGCAGGAGAATCGCTTGAATCCGGGAGGCGGAGGTTGCAGTGAGTCGAGATGGCACCACTGCACTCCAGCCTGGGCAACAGAGCGAGACTCCATCTAAAAATAAAAATTAAAAAATAATCTAGTTACTTCTTTTATCAAAAAGAACTCCCAATGTATAGACATGAACCTCATTAAAAATTATGCCCAATACTTTGGGAAGAATATTTGTGCAGCAATTCATAATGAAAAAGCCTGTCCTGGCCAGGCATGGTGGCTCACGTCTGTAATCCTAGAACTTTAGGAGGCTGAGGAAGGCAGATTTCCCGAGCTCAGGAGTTCAAGACCAGCCTGGGCAACACGGTGAAACCCCGTCTCTACTAAAAATACAAAAAATTAGCCGGGCGTGGTGGCATGCACCTGTAGTCCCAGCTACTTGGGAGGCTGAGGCAGGAAAATTGCTTGAACCTGGGAGGCAGAGGTTGCAGTGAGCCGAGATCATGCCACTGTACTCCAGCCTGGGTGACAGAGCGAGACACTGTCTCCAAAAGAAAAAAGAAAAAAAAAAGGAAAAGCTTGTCCTTCAGTGTTCCTGAGTCTCTCACCTTCTCTGCTGCTCCCTGCCTGTTTTGGGTCCCCTCCTCCTATCTTCCTTATTTCCACAAGAGCCTCCTAATTGCAGTCCCTGCACCCGCCACCTGTCTTACCCAGTCCTTCTTTTTTAGAAACTCCTGTTGTGATCTTTTGAAATCGTAGGTTTGATAACATCACTGTTCTTCTCCAAAATTTTGCCCCTATTGTGTACAGAATAAAGCCTGAACATTAAAGTCCTTCATCATCTGGGCCCAATTGCCTTTTAAATTTGCATCTTCTCCCATCCCATCTTTCAACCCTCTGTTCTATGGACAATATACACCCTCAGGATTCCTTTAGTACCAATGTGAATTCAAGGCTTTGCTCTTCTCTGTGCTGTTGCTTCTGTTTGGAATGCTCTTTCTTTTTTCCCTAGGAAACTCCTTACAGATCCTCCAATGCTCAGCTCAAAGCACCTCCTCTGTAAGATCTTATACCACTTCCCCATGTCATTTCCTCTCTATGAGGTCATAGCAGTTTCTAAAACTTCACATGCCATTATCCTAAGCAAATTAAGGCAGAACAGAAATAGATACTGTATTTTCCTACTTGTGAGTGGGAGCTAAATACTCGGTATGCAGGGACACAGAGATGGGAACAATAGGCACTGGGTATTCTGAAAAGGAAGAGGGAGGCAGGCAAGGGTTGAAGAACTACCTAATGGATACCTCATTTACTACTTGGGCAACAGCAACAGGATCATTAGAAGCCCAAACCTCAGCATCTTGCAATACACCCATGTAACAAACCTGCCTTTACCCTCTGAATCTAAAAACAAAACAAAATATCATGTGCGTCTATTATAGTGCAGAAGCTAATAACTAAAGCTGTTATTAAGGGATTTCTATGTGTCAGGGACTCCTTTAAGCTTTTTCTATGTATAATAATATGAATCTATGTCTTCCACTCGAGACTACTTGAGGATCAAGTTTTGCTTACATTCTGTAATGTTTCAGGGCTTAGTAATATACCAGAGGTATAATTCATGCTTATGCATTGTCCACTGAGTAAAGACCCAAAGATTTTGTTTTTGCCTTTGCTGGTTCTCAAGCACCTCCTGATGGTTGTTAGAATTCCCATAAGAATTCTGAGAAGACTTAAAAAAAAAGTCCTTTTTCACTAAGATGAAGTTTGGGGATGCCTCACTTTATAAACCATGGGCTATGCCTCAATTCACCACAGAGGATAAATCAAATTACCTCCTCTCCTATCAAGAGCACTTCTCATTTCTGACATTAATCGTAGATGTAACATGTTTTAGATAATAAGATGAAATGTAATTAATTTGCTCTACATGTTGTAAAGTTCTATTCACATATGTGCTAAATAAAGAACTCAGATTTGTCTTACCTTTCCCTTCTCCCTTGTGCAATTTAATGGTTTAGGAGTTCTGGTATAAAAATAAAGAGCAAGTGGAACATTTTCCCTTCACTCTGAAAAGTTTCAAGGGTCACTAGGAATTTCTATACACTCTGAATTAAGAAAACTACAAATATAAGAAACTGTATGGGTTCAGCTTTGTTCTGATGCTGCTTTGGACTCAGAAGGGTGGAACATCTGCAAACACCTGCTTGGTCCTATATCTGCAGGGGGAAGAGGCTAATCTAAATGCTACCATGGGAGCTCAGGGGTGTAAAAGAATGCTCTTTTCATGAGAGAAAGAGTGAAAAAAAATGTAGGCAGTTAGATGATTGATTGATAGATAAGTGTACAGTCAGACCCTTTGATACCTGGATTAAGACTCTTACACAATATCGGGGGGGAACCACAGTTAATGCCTGCTTCTGACTGAAGTCCTCTGAACAGGCAGAGACATCCTCCTGACAACCAGGATGGCATAATCTAGTTCAGGATCTGGGGAAAAGCTATTTTGAATGTAAAACTGGGTACAGGTGGTACCATTCCAGTGTCTTACGTGAAGATCCCAGGAAAGTTGGACCTAAGTTTTCCTCAAGAGGGCAGACTAAAATACAACCAGGGGCATATGCCGGTCCTGCAGCCTAATAAATAGCCCCAAAGACTGGTGTAAAAAGAAGGCTTTTCCATCAACTACAGAAGAGGAAAATAGTGGTGGACAAAAATCAGCAGCAGCTACCAAAGGAAGCTCCCAGTGGGCAAGCAAAAAAAAAAAAAAAAAAAAAAAAAAAGACATCTGTGGAGCCAGGAGCACTTCATTGACCACTTTGAGGAAAGTGAGACCTGACGTGGGATGAGAGAGGTGTCTAAGGGAAACCGGAGTTGGGTTTCTTATTTAAGGATTAAGGAAGCATAGGAAATGTGGAAAAGCACAAAACCACTAAAAAACTTCTCCATGAGTGTGTGCTGCCCAGCCATTTTGCCTAGATTGGTCATACTGACTGATCTGGGGTGGGGTGTGTGTGTGTGTGTGTGTGTGTGTGTGTGTGTGTGTGTGTGTGTGTGTGCGCGCGCGCACGCACGTATACATTGGGAGACGGTATTACGGTATAGCAGAAGCATTTTCTTTATGGTGGTTGCTGTGTTGTACTATGGTTTGTTGTTTGGTGTTTCTCTCTCTTGCCAGATTGTGAACTAGGTGGGAGAAAGCAGCATGCATCATTCCTTGTTGTACTGCTAGAACCTAACTCAGAACGTGGACTGCTGATTTATCCATAAATCTTGGTGAATGAACTAATTTATGAATGAATCAGTGGATAAATGGATCAAGCTGTGGTTTGGCTTTCTTTCACTGAAGGCTGACTCCATATGCTTCCATATGCTGCTTTCTAAAAAATATTTCAGTCATCTCTGAGAAAGTTTACCACTAGCATAATCTGCATTTTAAAGGTGGAGGACTAAGAATATTTTCTTATCTATGCAGGCATGGCTGGAAAGAACAGATTCATGGTTAACAGTCTCTTTCAGTGGGTGTGAGACAAAGACTTGTGCCTCCAAATGCACTCTGCAGATTCAGCCCAGCCTCCCAGAGCTCTAATAAAGGGCCAAAGCACCATTGTCCTCTAATTCAACTCTTTCATCCAATAGTTAACATGATTTTCAGGCTGTGGGAATAGGTAGGCCAAAGGCAGCATGAAGGAATGCATGTTCAGGAAACATGCAACAATTTATTGTGTGGAATCATGGGCATCTATATGAAATTCAGTACAGAACAAGCAGGTTACCAGTGTGTTATTTTGTTTATTCTGCTTTGTTTTATTTTAAACTTATATTCATCATCATCATCACCATTGAAACGCTCGTAATAGCAACTTAAGTTTCAAATAAGCAAACCCCAAAACAAGCAAACTCATAAGAGTATTCAAGAACAGAAAGCTGATGGAGATAGTTTCCACACTCAGGCCCAGTCTCCGTATGGATGGAAACCAAAGGAAGAGAGCTTGGGAGAAATGTCTTTTCATGATGAGCATCCTTGTATTTCCTGAGTAACTTGCAGATAACTTACGGCTACAGATGGGCTGTGGAGAGTTCCTGAATGGGACCTCTGTTGGCAAAAACAAAAATATAAAAACCTTATTTCTAGGATAGTTATAAATTAGTTAACAAGCGTTTTTGATTCCAAAATAATGAAAACATTTTATCATGCTTCAGTTATTTTAGCATGTGCTACAGTGAAATTGTCTTGGTCCACAGCTGTTTTTCAGCTCTTTACAGTTACTCTACTATACCAAGTTGCTCTGAAAGTAACTATGTTTAAGTGATTTAATTATGATGCTTAAGGTTTCTATGTGTTTTCAAGTCTTTAACATCTAAGCTTTTAGGAAACACTGTGGGACTTGCATCTTGTGGAGAAAGATTTATAGGTGATTAGGGTACCCAGGAACTTCAGACCCCATCTTGCCCCAGCTCTGATCCCCCTGAAACTGAGACAGGAGAGGATAAGGATGGGTAAAGGGCCTGCTGGGGCCTAACCCAGTGTCTGGCTTAGCCAGCTTCCATGGACTCTGAGAGTCTCTCTCCCCTGGAGTGCAGTAGCCTAAGGTCTGGTTCCATAGCAAAAGGAAAGACTTCCTGGACTCTGTTTACCCAGGCCCACACTGAAATCTCAGGTCTCTGAAGTTTACCCTTCAGAGGGAAGAGGAGAAAATCCAAGGAAAGGTATTCCATGAAAGAGAAAGGGCTGAATGATGCAGAAGCTTTATAAGCAAGAGATCCTCATTCACCTGAAGAAGCCTGTTGAGTCAGCTCACCATCTAAGAAGTCCCCAGTGCTGCCAGAGTGGTGGGAGCTAACAGAGACAAAAAAAGAGGAAAAATATGCCACCAGAAAATAAGCAGGAAAGAATTCTGCCTTCATCTGACTTTTTCATAAACACGGTGTTGTTCCTGAACTTACATTCTTGTAAATAAGAGAAAGAATTTATATCATCTAATCAATTATTACCATAGTTGGTGTTGTATTCATAATGCACTGGGTATAGTTTTTTATGAAATATGCTTTATAGGAATAAATTATGTGGAAACAGCCAAATGTTGTTGCACAGTTATTGAATCAGTCAGCATGTATTAAACTTGTTTTAACCTGTGGCTACCCAAACCTGGCTAATCATTGCAAACACCTGGAGAGCTTTCTGGTTGGCCGTTAGAAATCTGTAATTTCCAAAGTTACCAGGTCTTTCTGATGGTCAGCCAGATTTGAGAACTGCATCATGCCATGTTGTGCCTTTCTCCATGTTCACCTTCTGTATCCCAACTCTTCTTTAGGCCCATTCTCTAAATACCTGATCAAGCGAAGTACTCTCTGTTTTCTGATCACTTATAGAATACATGTATTACCTTTTATTCTTAGTCATCTTTTGAAGTTTATAAATCTGGTTTCCTACTTGTGAGTGAGAATATGCAGTTTGGTTTTCTGTTCTTGTGTTAGTTTGCTGGGAATGATGGTTTCCAGCTTCATCCATGTCCCTGCAAAGGACATCAACTCATCCTTTTTTATGGCTGCATAGTATTCCATGGTGTATAGGTGCCACATTTTCCTTATCCAGTCTATCATTGATGGGCGTTTGGGTTGGCTCCAAGCCTTTGCTATTGTGAGCAGTGCTGCAAATATACATATGTGTGCATGTGCCTTTATAGTAGAATGATTTATAATCCTTTGGGTATATACCCAGTAATGGGATTGCTGGATCAAATGGTATTTCTGGTTCTAGGTCCTTGAGGAATCTCCACACTGTCTTCCACAATGGTCGAACAATGAGAACACATGGACACAGGGAGGGGAACATCACACACCAGGGCCTGCCGGTGGGTGGGGAACTAGGAGAGGGATAGCATTAGGAGAAATACCTAATGTAGATGACAGGTTGATGGGTGCAGCAAACCACCATGGCATGTGTATACCTATGTAACAAACCTGCACGTTCTGCACATGTATCCCGAACTTAAAGTATAATAATAAAAAAAAAGAACAATGAAATCTTAAAAAAAATTCTGGTTTCCTCAGACCTGGAGGCAATTGAGTTTAGAACCCTTAGATCTTCAAGAGGTTAATGGCCATACACTCAATGTACATTTGCTGTTTTTTTTTTTAGCAGAATGCTAAACCTAAATTGGTCAATGTCAAATGCTTCAACTTTGAGCTACTTAGAAATATGTCTGTTGCTAAAGAGAACACACACACACACACACACACACACACATCCCTTACCACAGTTTACTGTTGTCAGTATTTTACCAGTTACAGTGAATTCTAGAATCTTACCTCACTTTATATCCATTTACCCTCTTTCCTTTATAATATAATCATCTAAAATAAATATTAATTTTATAAAAAATTCCTCTACACACATTGAGAACTGAGTCAGAAAGTATTACAATTTTTGCTTCAACATTCAAACACAATTTACAAAACTCAAGAGAAGAAATAAAGTTTACTTTACCCATGTTTTTGTTCTTTCCACTGTTCTTTCTTTTTTTTTTATTTAAGTTTTAGGGTACATGTGCACAACGTGCAGGTTTGTTACATATGTATACATGTGCCATGTTGGTGTGCTGCACCCATTAACTCGTCATTTAATATTAGGTATATCTCCTAATGCTATCCCTCCTCCCGTCCCCCCATTCTTTCTTTTCGCTTGATGTTTTAATATTCATTTTTTATTTTTATTTTTTGGTTTAGTGAACTTCCTTTAGCCATTTTTGGCGGTAGGTCTGCTGGTGACAAATTCTCTTGGTTTTCCTTCAGCTGAGAGTGTTTTGATTTCCTCATCATTCCTGGAAGATATTTTTTAGTGAATACAGATTTCTTGGCTGATAGCAACTTTCTTTTAGCACTTGAAAATTGTGTATCACTTCCTTTTGGTTTCCGTGGTTTTGATGAGAAATCCATTGTCATTTGAATGATTTTCCCCCAATTGGTAAGGTGTCATTTCTCCCTCACTGCTTTCAAGAACTTTTATTTGTCTTCAATTTACAGAAGTTTGACTATGATGTGTGTTGGCATGGAATTCTTTGGGTTTAACCTGTTTGACACACATTTGGCTTCTTGAATCTGTGGTTTTATGCCTTCACCCATTCTTTCTTTGAATACTTTTTCAGCCCTATCATCCTTCTCCTCTCCTTCTGAAACTCCAATTACATGAATGTTGGATCTTTTGTTATAATGTCATAAGTCCCCAAGACTGTTAACTTTTTTCAGTCTATTTTTCTCTGTTGTTTAGATAGGATAATTTTATTGTTCTATCTTTAAGTTCACTTTTCATATTTTTCTGTCTTTTCCATTCTACTGCTGAGTTCATGTATTGATTTTCTATTTCATTTTTTTTTTTGGTTCTAAAATTTTCATTTGGGGTTGGGCACAGTGTCTCATACCTGTAATCCCAGCACTTTGGGAGGCCAAGGCAGGTGGATCACCTGAGGTCAGGAGTTCAAGACCAGCCTGGCCAACATAGTGAAACCCCATCTCTACCAAAAATATAAAAAATTAGCTGGGTGTGGTGGCACACACCTGTAATCCCAGCTACTTGGGAGGCTGAGGCAAGAGACTTGCTTGAACCTGAGAAGGGGAGGTTGCAGTGAGCCAAGATCATGCCACTGCACTCCAGCCTGGGTGACAGAGCAAGACTCTGTCTCAAAAAAAAAAAAATTTCATTTGGTTCTTATTTATAGCTTATATTTCTTTGCTGAAGCTTTCTCTTCCTTTGCAAAGATTTTTGATTTTTTCATTTATTTCAAGAGTATTCATATTTCTTCTTAAAGCATTTTTATGATTTCAGCTTTAAAATCCTCGTCAGATAACTTTAACATCTATGTCATCTTGATGTTGGCATCTGTTGAAAGAAAAACTTCAGCTGAATTAAATTTAAAGGAGTTTAATTCAGCAATGAATGATTTGTGAATCAGGCAGCCCCCAGAATCACAGCAGATTCAAAAAGAGTCCAGAGGTGCCTCGTGGTCAGAACAAATTTATAGACAAAAAAAGTAAAAAGACGTATAGAAATCAGAAGTGAGGTACAGAAACAGGTGGATTGGTTACAGTTTGGTATTTGCCTTATTTGAACATAGTTTGAACACTCAGCAGTGTATGAGTGGTTGAAGTATGGCTGTTGGGATTGGCCAAGAGTCAGCGATTGTTACAGGTGCATACTCCTAAGTTAGGTTTTCAATCTTGCCTTACCTATTAAGTTAGGTTGCAGTTCATCCACAAGGACTCAAATATAGAAGTATGGAGTCCTTCTCAGGCCATATTTAGTTTGCTTTAATACATTCATCTAATCATTGTCTTTTCTTGTTCAAGTTCAGATTTTCCTGATTCTTGGTATAACAAGTGATTTTCAGTTGAATCTTGAGTATTTTCAGTATTATATCATGAGATAGATACTGGATCTTACTTAAACAGTCTATTTTACTTATTAGTCTTCCTCTGACACTGCTCTAGTAGGACAAGGGAAGCATATCTTGTTGCTGACAGGTGGTGATGAAAGTCTAAGTTCCCCAGTTGGCCTTCATGGATACCCAGCAGCAGGTGGGTTCTGCCTCATTAGTACCAGACAGAAGTTTGAGTTCAGGATCCTTACAAAGCTTCTGCTTCATGAATATCAATGTGGAGTCATGTCATCCCTCATGTGTTGAGGTCCCCAGCCTGCCTGCCTTTTGCTGTTTGCTTCTTACATTTATTTTATACATAATGTCCAGGAATTTTAGCTATACTTAAAGAATAGGAAAAGGTGTGTTTACTCCATCTTTGCAAATGTGAAAAATCTTAGATAATATTTTGATCCCAATGCTAGTGAAAACATAATCTATCAGGATTTGTGAGATGCAGCTAAAGCAGTACTTAATGAGAAATGTATACTTCTAAAAGCTTAGAAAAGAAAAATGATCTACAATTGATTATCTAAACCTCCACCTTAGGAAGCTAGGAAAAGAGGAAAGGAGATAATACAGATAAGAGCACAATAAATGAACCAGAGAACAAAAGAATAGAAAAAAAGTCAATGAAACCAGCAGCTCATTCTTTGACAACATCAACAAAATTGGTAAAACATCAAGCTAGATTGATCAAGAAAAGGAGAAGATGTAAATTACAAAATCAGTCAGTTCTCATATACTCTGTTTTGAAATGTAAACCTTTCTAATGCAATCGATATACTTTGAGCATAGTATACTTTCACATATATTTATACACAGCTTTGTACACAACAAACGCTAGGTAAGTGCAGAAAACTATACCCAGCTGAACCAAGCCACGTAGGAATACACAAAGTGCACACATGTACACACCTCAGACATCTACCAGCTACCCCATTTCACTGCCTGTGTGGCGAGCCATGCCCAACCACATCTAGCGCTGGAAATTCCAGCCGACTTCAGATGACCCTCCCTTCCACCACTTCACAGTAACTCATAAGCTGCAACAATCCTGATGTCTAACTCCACAAACAAATTTCAGGTTTTTTTTTTTCCTTTTTTTTTTAAATCTTTTAAAAAAAATTTTATTATTATACTTTAAGTTTTAGGGTACATGTGCCCATTGTGCAGGTTAGTTACATATGTATACATGTGCCACGCTGGTGCGCTGCACCCACTAACTCGTCATCTAGCATTAGGTGTATCTCCCAATGCTATCCCTCCCCCATCCCCCCACCCCACAACAGTCCCCAGAGTGTGATGTTCCCCTTCCTGTGTCCATGTGATCTCATTGTTCAATTCCCACCTATGAGTGAGAATATGCGGTGTTTGGTTTTTTGTTCTTGCAATAGTTTACTGAAAATGATGATTTCCAATTTCATCCATGTCCCTACAAAGGACATGAACTCATCATTTTTTATGGCTGCATAGTATTCCATGGTGTATATGTGCCACATTTTCTTAATCCAGTCTATCATTGTTGGACATTTGGGTTGGTTCCAAGTCTTTGCTATTGTGAATAGTGCTGCAATAAACATACGTGTGCATGTGTCTTTATAGCAGCATGATTTATAGTCCTTTGGGTATTTTTCAAGGTAAAGAGCTGTATTTGTTGTAGTATTTATATATTTCTTAATCACTTCCCATATATAAAACTGTGCTATTTTTAATAGGTATCTATCTTTTTTTTTGTACACGTCACTGACAAAGTTTTTGAATATATGACCTCTAACCTAATTTTCCTCATGGGTCTTACGGTTCATAATGTGCAGTTTTCCATAGCACAGTGGTTTTCAGGAATGCATAGGTGGCATTATAGCAGAACTGACTGCACTTTGCCAGGTGGTGAAATTTAGTTTCCCAACCAGACATCGTATGCCTCTTGATATGTTGTAATGTGAACTATACAGCATCACCTATGAAGAGTGATTACCAAAAATCTTAACCTGAATCTAACCACGCCTTTAGATGTAATCTTCAAGGTAAAGAAAAACAGTGGAGAGAGATAAGTTAGATGACACCAAGAGGAAATTATTAGATAAATGCAAAATGCTGTATAGTTAGCTAGACCACTGGCTTGCTCTGATTAAATCCTATTCTGAAGAAACCAACTATAAAACACATTTTTTATATGACTAGGACAATGGATTAGACACCAGGATGTTACATGATATGGAATTTTTGTTAACTTTAAGGGTAATAATGTTACTGATGTTGTCACAAAATGTCCTTATTTTTTGGAAATTAAAGTATATATATATATATATGGCATTTTATAATGCTGTACACACAAACACATGCATGTATATGCAAATACAACACACAAGAATATATTAAACCAAATATGGAAATACATATGAAAATGTAAGAAAGTAAATATGCAAAATGCTATGGGTATTCATTGTACTGATATTTTTACTTTTTGTGTGTTTGACATTTTTATATTTTGATATTTTCATAATTTAAAAAATTGACATGTTAGAGGAATTAAAATATTTTTACCTCCTCTTTTTTAGAGAAACTTCATGACCTTAGGGGGCCCCCTAGGTCTATCCAGCTTGCACCACTCTCTCGTTGCTGTTGTGTTTTCAGTTATAAAAAGCACTCTTAGCTCCAACAGCCTGTGCCCATCTTTGGGATTCCTTGCATTCCTCTAGGATATAAGACTTCCATTGTATTCCCTTATCTGGCCCCACAAGGGAAGTTGAGCACAAATATTTCTAACTTGAATTTTTTTTCTTTGAGTAAAGGAACAATCAGATTATAGAAAAATCTGAAAAAGTAAATGGAGTTGTGCTTAGTAGTCACTGAGAGAACAGATGGTATTCTAGAGGTTTGGGACTTGGGGAAAGAGTGTCAAAGATGTTAGCATGGATGAACAGCCCAGGGAGAAGGCAAAGCCCAAAGAATGATTTTCTAAAATGTGTGTGCCCAGGTCCTGCTTTCATGCCAGATTGGGCACAGTCTCTCTCTCCCAACTCCTTGACAGCTTGTAGCTGCTGAATCTGAGCCAAGACTAAAGGAAATAGATAACTGAGCATTCCAGAAACAGGGGGACAGCTCGTGTGCACACTGTTGTGGTGATAGCAGAGAAATCTCAGAGATGAAGGGTGGGGGAGAGAGGGATCCAGGAGAAGAGTTAGGGGCATTTAGGAGTGATTATAGGACTTTTTTGCATTTTTTTCTCCTTGAATTTTTCACTGGAGGAGGTGATTAACTGTTGTGCATCCAGAAATAGTTTAAGCTAAACATAGCAAAGCTGGCAGGGTTTGGGATAAAATAGAACTTGGGTGTAGGAATGTTGCCTCTTGGCTGTAGTCCTTCCCTTGAGTAAAGCAATGTCAATGTCATGAACTCAAACCAAGGTCAACCTTGAGAATCAAGTGCAAGATCTCATCTCTTTCCTTCAGGAGGAAAAGTTTGTTCTCATGGGGATGCAACCTATCTAAAGTCAGAGGAGTCTTTTAAAAAATACCTTTCAACTTTTTAGAGATGAAAGAGACTATTTTTAAGAAGATTCCATTCAAATTCTTGATTTTATGTATGAGGACTATAGAAGTGAGTTATCTGAGCTCACAGAGCTAGTTGATGGTAGAGGTAAGACTCTCAGTTCAGCGCTCTTCCCAATATAGCATGTGGTTTCTCAAAATTGAAACCTTGTAAAATGTTGGTTAGATTCTTGGGGGCAGGGACAGAAGACCAAAGCTGGAGAGGAGACACAGTCAGCAAAATAATCAAGACCTTTAGTTAGAGGCAGGTATTGGGCTGTCTGCCCTCTGGGTAGTATGATCTCAAGGGATGCTCAGAGATGATTCCAGTGTACATCTGGGCTTTGAATGTGTGGGTGCCTGTTTGGATGGAGGTGGAAAGCCAGTATTTCCTGGCTGTAGGCATTATGAAATTAGGCCAGGAAACATAAGGAAAATAGGAAATCTGGCTGGGCAGTCACCACTCTGGACCTACAGTGGGTACAAGAAAAGAAATCTCTTCCTACCCCCAGCCTTACCCCATCCACCCTGTAAGGGATTCCATGTGACTTTTTCTCTTCCTTCTTCTTCTTCTTCTTTTTTTTTGCTTTTAGTAGAAACTCCCTGGAATTTTGTATTTAATTATTTTAAAATTTAAAAAATATTAAAAACCTTTTATTTTAAAATAATTTCAGGCTTTCAGAAAGGTTGGAAAAATATTTGGAAGAATTCCCATATGTTTTTAACCCAGATTCCAACATGTTAACATTTTACAGAGATGATTTTTCATTCTCTTTCTCTGAATCATTTGAAAGTGCTCTGAAGATATAATGCTTCTTTATGCCTAAATTATTCTGTGTGTGTTTCTTGAAACAAGGGCGTTCTTTTATATAACTATAACACAATTATCAAAACCAGGAAATTAACATTCATACAGCTATTATTCAATCTACAGACCCATTCAAATTTCACCAGTTGTCATACTAATATGCCTTATAGCAAAAGAAAAATATATTTTTCTGGGTAGGATCCAATCTAGGATCATATGATGCATTTAGTTGTCATGTGTCTTCAGTCTCCCATAAGTTCCTCAGTCTTTTTCATGACCTAGACATTTTTGAAGATTATTGGCCAGTGAATTTGTCGCATGTCTCTCATTTTGGGTTTGTCCAATGCTTGCTGTATTAGTCAGAGTTCTCTTAGAGGGACAGAACTAATATTATATATTATATATATTGTATATATATAGAGGAGTTTATTAAGTATTAACTTACACAATCACAAGGTCCTACAGTAGGCTGCCTGCAAGCTGAGGAGGAAGGAAGCTAGCCCAAGTCCCAAAACTGAAGAACTTGGAGTCTGATATTTGAGGGCAGGAAGCATCAAGCCCAGGAGAAAGATGTAGGCTGGGAGGCTAGGCCCGTCTCTCCTTTTCATGTTTTTCTGCCTGCTTTATATTCGCTGGCAGCTGATTAGATGGTGCCCACCAAATTAAGGGTGGATCTGCCTTCCCCAGCCCACTGACTCAAATGTTAGTCTCTTTTGGCAGCACCCACACAGACACACCCAGGATTAATACCTTGTGTCCCTTAATTCAATCAAGTTGACACTCAGTAGTAACCATCACACTTGCCCATGATTGGTTCGGGTTATGCCCTTTTGGAATCAATACCACAGAAATAATGATGTTTTTCTCAGTGCATCATCACAGAAGGCAAATGTTATCTACTGACAATTATACGTTATGTCAACTTTGAACACTTTGTTAACGTATGGTCAGTGAGATTTCTACACTGTAAAGTTACTATTTTTTTTTCATTTGTAATTAATAAGAGTCTGGTGGGGAGATACATCCAGACAATCTAAAAATTCTGCTTCTTATCACTTAGTTTTAGCATCAGTTGGTGATTGTTGCCTAAAACGGTTATTTGTTTACATAACTACAGCACAATTATCCAAACTAGGAAATTAACATTTGTACAGCTATTATCCAATCTACATATCTATTCAAATTTTACCAATTGTCATGCTGATATGCCTTATAGCAAAAGAAATACATAGTTTTCTGCGTAGGATCCAAACAGTTTTTGTCAAATGGTGATTCTTTTCTTATTCCATCATTCCTGCATTCATTTACATCATTTCTTCTGTATCTATTATTAATAGTTGTCATCCTACTGCAAGGAACAGATTTCTGTTATTTCTCATTTACATATTTGCATAACTATAGACCCATGGATTTTTAATGTATTCCATGAGCTATAATCTGTACTATTGATATTTACTTTGGAGCCAAATTGTCCCAGGTTGAGTTCCTTCAAATGGCCCCTTATGCTTCCGACAAGTCCTTGCCTTCTTTGAGCACATCTTTGCCTTCCGCGTAGCAAGATGTTCCACGCTTATCTTGTACTTTTCCAGGTACACTTCTGGAATCAGCCAGTTCTTAAAGAACGCTAATTCCTTTTAGGGGAAAATGGTATTTAGAAACTAAGATCTGGGTGTTAGTTTTGCTTATTTGTACTGGAATATTCCAAATGACACTTTTTTTTTTGAGACAGGGTCTTGCTCTCTCACCCAGGCTGGAGTGCAGTGGCATGAACATGGCTCAGCTGTAGCCTCAACCTCCTGGACTCAAACAATCCTCTTGCCTCAGCCTCCCAAATAGCTCGTACTATAGACATGTGCCACCACACCTGGCTATTTTTTTTTTTTTGTATTTGTTGTAGAGACAGTGTTTTGTCATGTTGCCCAGGCTGATCTCTAGCTCCTGCACTCAAACGATCCGTCTGCCTTTGCCTCCCAAAGTGCTGGGATTACAAGCATGAGCCACCATGCCCAGCCCAAATGACACTTAGAAGCAGTGCTTTTATCACTTCACTTCTAGGAAACGTTCTTGGCCTTTTTGCTAGGTAAGACTCAGGGTCCACTTTTCCAACTCCAGGCCAGTCCCATGTGCAGCCTCCTGTTTTCCAGGAAGAAGTTTCTACCTGCTTATTCCTATCTTCATAGTAACATCTCTTCTCCTAGCGGCTACAAAGTTGCATGCAAGCTCCCTACAGCCCTCCTTTCCCACCTATTCCTTCAGCAACTATGCATTTCTAGCCAAAAACTAGGAAAGTACAACATGTGATCTCCCAAGCATGAATATACTTACGGGTAGAATGAAGCAAGGCTAGTGAAATGAAATCAGGGCATTTCTGGAAATTATATCCATCAACAAGTACAAAGACCTCCCTGTTCTTTAAATGGGGGCACAGGCATGAAAAAATGAAATTGGTCAATATGGGTAGAGTTCAATGTTTCCAACTGTTGCTTATGTGCTTTAGTTTAGGGAGTATCTCTGCCTCTTATGCCTCTTTAATCCCTGGTAGTAAAGCTCATAAATTCATAAATTCCTCTGTCTCTCTCTCTCTCTCTTTCTTTTCCTGGCTATCTCAGGATGGGATTAGTCTCTTGTCAAAGCATATACTCTCCATATGAATTCCCAAATGTTCTGAATATCAACCCTCCAAAAGAAGACCTAATACAATGAGTGATGGTAGACAGGGAAAGTAACTAACATAACATACAAGTTGTCATTTTCCTAGTCCTAACAGTTTTCCCTGGACAACTCTGGCATGTTTATTATGTCTTAATGTTGTACTTTGTTGTCATTTCACTTGAAAACACATATCTTTGTTCAAAATTTTGCATTAGTCAAGGCCAGTTGGAGATCCTGAAACGTCTTCCTGGAACGATAGTACTTTTCGTTAATTTCAGAAAGCGTGCTCTTTTCTGATGCAGGGGAAGCAGAAGCACGAAGTAGGCTTGTCAGAGCTAACTCTCAGCTCAGGGCTTGATTTCTCTGTGTAACCTTAACAAGTCACACATCTCATGTATCATTTCTACTGCTGCCACTAGCCCTTTTGGTAACTTTGTGTGAATTAGAAAGAGGAGCCTAGGAAGTCTCCAACTCACAAGTACATAATTAGTTGGTCCCTCCTACTCATAACTCATCAGCCAAAATTAGTCATATGACTTTACATATCCACAAAGTAGTCAGGAAATGCAGCCCCACCATATATTCAGTATGATATATGAGACAGGGAAATATTTGGTAACAAGAATAATGAGAACTAAATGTCTTACAATTGGTTATATCTTACAATTAATCAGCAGTATTTTCCTGTATTTGTAGTAGATAAAATAATAATGCTTCTTATAATATATGGCTTCTTAGATCATATAAAATATGGTAAATTTTCTGAATAGTTTGAGAATATCAACAAGATTTCTTGCTAGCCCTACCAACATGGAGTGAAAATGGAAGTCCATGGTCATAAAAACACTTATAGCCAATCAACAAATCCAAAAGCTCACAGGGTATAGTTGTGGAAGCATGCACCAATACTGTGCCATCTGCCTGTGTGTTGGGGAGGTGTGAGCTCTGGCCACCACTGCTGTTGCATCCTCTCTCTTTGCCTTGTGTTCTCCTCGCATCTCGTGGTCATTGTAACTACTTCTGCAAGGCCGGGGCCCAAGGTTTCTGTGCCTGTTTGAGTCCTGCTGGCCCTTGTGGCTCTTGCCATGCCTACTGCTTCCCCTGGAACCCTGGTCATGTCCATGTCCACTAAAGTTAATTAACTCTATCTCAGGCAGGAACTGCAGTTGGGCCAATGCTAGGGATCTGGGCCAAACTGACTGTTTTATCTCAGCCTGAGCCCTGTGACTGCTTTGAGGAGGTCCTCTGGCTGTTTGCAGCTCAAGCTGGTGCTGGTATCTGGACGCAATGCTGGTTGCCATCTGGCTAGACTGTCCCAGGAATCCCACACCTTGACTACACCTGTTTTGGTCCAGCTGCAGACAGTCTAACTAGCCAGCAAAATGTCCTTTTCCTGAGCACCCATGGTCATGCTAAGGAGGCTGTGTTTCTTCTGCTCCAGGATGTTAATGAGCTACTCCTAGGGGAGAGCGCCCAAATGAGAGGAAGTCTGTCCCTATTGTCTTTCACCATGCAAGGATTAGCACTTGCACAGACCGCTTTCTCTCCCTACAGACCCACCTCAAACACTCCTGTCCTTGCACATTACACTCCAGCCTAAGCTGTCTGCAACCACCCACTCTCCAACACACCAGGCTCGTTTACACCCAGGTCTTTTCGCAGGCCTTTGATTTAGACCTGTTCCATCTGCTCCATCTTGCCCTATCCTGTGGATTCTTGTATATTCTTCAATGTCAGGCCAATGGCTACCACCTCTATGACACTTTCCCTGATTTCTGCAGGCTTGCTCTCCTTTTCTTCCTTTCTCCCTCCAAAATCTCAGTGAATTTCAGCCATGTCCAAGTATCACAGAGTGACTGTGTGTATATCTGTATCTCCACTGTGAGCTCCTTGCAGGCATAAGCATGTTCTTGCACTTCTGTGTATCTGATCTCTGGCACAAAGCCTGGCACATTATACAAGCTCATCAACTGTTAAACAAATGCAGGTCTGTGTTCTTGATGAAAAGAATGGAGAGTAAGCCTCCAGGCTTGCAAACTTGAGGGCTGCAATAGGGCCGTCTTCCTGAAAGCGAGGGTGGCACAAACTTTGAGACAAAAAAATGAGAGGCTGGAGAAGGACATGCTATCCATTTCAGCTTTTCCTCAAGTAGAGTGAGGAGGAGGCAGCATCAGTGATGCTAGGAAACATGTGACTTCCCCAGGGACCAGTGTGTGCCAAGGAAGAGCTGTGGCACCACGGCCAGTAAGAGTAATTGTCTTGAGGGGCCCACTTCACTCGCGGGTTCACTGTTAAGCACCAGAGTTGTATTCCCAGCTTCCCACTAAAATTTCCTGGATACCTCAGGCTTAGGGTGCCCAAAGATGAATTGATCATTACCTTCTCTACCTCCCAGGCTTCTCCTTGGGGAGGGGGTACTACCACACACCGAACTGCATGAGCCAGATATCTTGGCTCATCATGGTGCCTCTCACACCCTCACTTCCCATATCTCATCCAGCACCAAGACCTGCCAATGTTTTTGCCTGAACATCTTTAGATTCTGCTTGCTAAGTGCCTCTTAATGCTATTCTTTTTTTTTTTTTTTTTTTGAGTCAGAGTCTCACTGTGTCGCCCTGGAGTGCAGTGGAATGATCTTGGCTCACTGCAACCTCCACTTCCTGGGTTCAAGTGATTCTCCTGCCTCAGCCTCCCAAGTAGCTGGGACTACAGGAGGGCACCACTGCGCCCCGCTTATTTTTATATATATATATTTTTAGAGATGGGGTTTCACCATGTTGGTCAGGCTGGTCTCGAACTCCTGACCTCATGATCCACCCGCCTTGGCCTCCCAAAGTGCTGGGATTACAGGCATGAGCCACCACGCCTGGCCCAAATGCTATTTTCTTATCTCCACTCCATTGTCCCTGTTTTCATTCAGGCCACCATCTTCTCCCAGACTTCAAATTGACTTCTCTGCCTTTAGTTCCTGCACAATGCTATTTGATACTCCTCTCCCTTTCTCCTATAAGAAAGGAGAGGCTACTCATTGCCAACAGGAAAAAATCTTATTTTCTTAGAATGAGATAATAACGTTCACTATCTGGCCCCTTCCTCAATGTCAAGCTGACTGAGGTGTCCTCATCAGGAAGAAGCCTTTCTGTTTCCTACCCTTCTTGAGTTCTCCTGCTCTAAGAATGGAGAGACAAAAATCCCCGTTTTCAGCGTTTCCTCAGCATCTCAGGGGCAGGAAGCCAGAGACACTTATCCAGGCCTAGTTGTCCTTTCCTTGGGAATGATGTTGGGGTGGGAGGTGGTAGTTGTTCATGGATCTCAATGGACTAAGTTCTCCTCCTAAATATGTATATTCTAATCCTTGGTCTCAAGGTCTCTGATGCTGTTTCTAGGCTCTCACCTGGCCCAGGTGGGCAAAGTCCTGCACACTTAGTGATCTCTAAGTTTACCATTGCCAATTGCAACAGGGCAGTGCTTGACTCAGAAGTTAGCTGGGTTAGACAAGAGACTGAAAGGTCAGGACACATTTGAGCTGCTATCTTTCCAGAATTCTCTGCTTTAGGATCTATTGTTAAATAAAAGAAAACTAATCACAGGCTGGGCATGGTGGCTCATGCCTGTAATCCCAGCACTTTGGATGGCTGAGGTGGGAGGATAACTTGAGCCCAGGAGTTCAAGACCAGCCCGGACAAGGTAGTGACACCTCATCTCTATAAAAATATCAAATAAATTAGCCAGGTATGGTGGCTCACACCTGTAGTCCCAGTTTTGGGGGAGGATGAGGTAGGAGGATCACTTGAACCTGGGAGTTGAGGCTACCATATCAAATGTATTTGATTGATGTCTCATGCCTTCCTAAAATGTATAAAACCAAGCTATACCTTGACCACCTTGGGCACATATTCTCAGGACCTTCTAAGGGCTGTGTCTCGGGACATGAGTCAAGATCATGTCACCGCACTCCAGCCTGGGCAACAGAGTGAGAGCCTTTCTCAAAAAAAAAAAAAAAAAAAAAAAAAAAAGATTGGAGAGATTTTTCTTCACAAAGACTGGAGAGATTATCGAGGTAACCATCATTTTCTCCACTGACTGATGTGTGAAGCAGTCTGGTGGTCAAAGAGGAGGCTTTGGAGTCATTCAGTCCTCGGAATTCCAGCTTTGCCACATGCTCACAGTGGGCAAGCTACTTAAGGTCTATGGGGCTCATTTTCCTCCTCTGTAAAAGTGGGAAGATAAGAGCTCCTTTATGGAGTTGCAAGAATTAAATTAGACAATACAGTCATGTGTTGCTTGGCAGGGACATGTTGTAAGAACTGCAGTCTTGGGCGATTTAATCATTGAGCAAACATCATAGAGTGTTCTCACACAAACCTAGATGGTAGAGCCTACTACACATCTAGGCTCTGTGGTATAGCCTATTGCTCCTAGAATGCAAACCTGTATAGAATGTGACTATACTGAATACTGTAGGCAACTGTAGCACAATGCTGTCTGTGTATCTAAACATATCTAAACATAGAAAGCTACAGTAAAAATATTATATAAAAGATTTAAAAAAGGGTATCTCTGCATAGGGTGCTACCAGGAATTAAGCTTACAAGACTGGAGTTGCTCTGGGTGAGTCAGTGAGTGAGTGAATGTGAAGGCCTAGGACGTTACTTTACACTACTGTACATCAAATTTATTTTAAAAGTTTTCTTTCTTCAATAATAAATTAACCTTAGCTTATTATAACCGTTTTTCTTTATAAACTTTTTAATTGTGAAAAACTTTTTGACTCTTTTGTAAAATCACTTAGCTTAAAACATTGTCTAGCTGTACAAAATTATTTTCTTTATTTTCTATTTTGAATTATTTTCCTACTTTTTAGATATTTGTGTTAAAAACTAAGACACAAACACACATATTAACCTAGGTACACACAGAGTCAGGGTCATCAGTATCACCATCTTCCACCTTCACGTCCTGTCCCACTGGAAGGTCTCCACACTCAGTAACATGCACGGAGCTGTCACCTCCTGTGTTAACAATGCCTTCTTCTGGAATACCTCCAGAAGGACCTGCCTGAGACGGTTTTACAATTGGCTTTTTTAAAAAATAAGTAGAAGGAATAAGAAAGTTTTTTTCTAAATAACAATGAAAAGTATAATATAGGAAATACATAAACTAATAACATATTTATTAAGTATTATTTACTGTACATAATTGTATGTGCTGTACTTTTATGCAACTGGTGGTGTAGTCACTACAAACGTGAGTACTCCATTGCATTATAGAAATATGTCATACGCCTATGACGTCACTAGGTAATAGGAATTTTTTGGCTCTGTCATAATCTTACAGGACCACCATCACGTATGTGGTCCATTGTTTACTGAACCATCGCTATGTAGTGAATAGGACTGTGCGTGTAAAGCTCCTATAACACGCAGGTAGCACTGTGTAGGTTCCCTTTTCCCTGTTTTTAGAAAACCTCTTTCTGTTAACTTTCCCCTCTTTTAAAATATTCATTCTCCAGCTGATAGACATGTTTCATAGCTTAGAACAAGGGTAGCCACAGGATCTCAGTTCCAGCCCAAGTTTTCCAATTTCAGCATTTTCCCAGTTGTGTGGCTATGTAATGCTGTGATATGTTCTTGTACTGTAAACACCAGTGTACCACACCCAGATTTTCCTGAAATAGGAAGAACTGATGTTATGTAAGAAGCAGAGTTTGAGGTGGGAAAAGAATATTTCTTACAGCCCTGAACTTAGTTCTGCTTATAACCCTGGGTAATGTAATATGTGAGAGAAGCCAGGTCTGGGCAGCAAGAGAGGAACTAAAAGGGTGAAGGAAAATGGAAGGCGGATTGAGACTGGCAAAGGGACAGGGACGAGGATAGAGATTGAGAGAGGGACTGGGATCAAGGAAGGAAGTGTGGAGCTGAACTGCTTTCCTCTTCCTAGGCCCTTTAGAGCATACATGTGCCTTACATGCAGACAGGGCACAGCACTTGTCTCCTGTGCACAGCACTTGGGCAGAACAGGCTGACAGCTGATGGCCAGATTTCCTGTAATTAATTACCAGATCATTGATGCACCCTAGGTGACTGGTGAACCCAGAAATGTAACCTGCAGACTAAATGGAAATGTCAAGACCCTCTTTACTTTTTGCCTTGTTCATATTTTGCCCTGCTCCTCATTTTTGTCCAGTCTCCTGTTGTCAGCTCTGCTCCTGATGATCTTGGTGCTCATGCACTAAATTTGGTTTCCATGGGTCAGCTCTAATGCTAGCCAAAGAGTCTTAATGGGATGTCTCTCTTTAACTCCCAGTGGTATCCTCATCCCGGCTTTAGCACCTGCTCATGGAATGGAGGTTGATCTCAGCCTGACCAAACTAAGTTTTCCTTTCTGATGTGTTAAGCTATATTTTCTCTATCCTTCCATGATTTGAAAATGTCTTTGTTTTAAAGTCTAGTTTTCCTAAAAGAAATTTTGTTACATGGATAGATTGCATAGCGGTAAAGTCAAAATATTCTCTGATGTTGTCAGTAACAGTTGCTCAATCAGATTAGCTAATTTATCAGTGTGAGTGAATGAAAAGAGGAACCATAAATCAGGATGTAGATGGGAGGTGGGAAAGAAGCTTCAAGAAGAGGCTGAAGATTCATGTAATTTAAGGAAGCCTGGGTTAATAGGTAAGAGCAGTCTAGAAGAACACCATGGCTCTTTCGTTTACGTAGTATTTTGTTTAGAGAAGGTAAGAATGAGTGCTGGGGAAAAGCTTTTCTTTACTACTTTCTAGTTTTTAACATATAAACCTTTCTTCTAGCTAAGAGACTAGGTTTTCTAAAATCCAAGTTGTCCAAAATATAATTTGTCTTAAAATGACCTTGCATACCCCACATTAATAACCAAAGCTTCCACCTTAAGAAACTGAAAAAAAAGTAAATTCACCCCAAAGCAAGTGGAATGTAGGATATAATAAAGATTAGAGCAGACACTAATGAAATGGAAAGCAGAAAATTAGGTAAAATCAGGGAAAACAAAAGTTGGTTATTTGAAAAGACCAACAAAATTAAAATCTCATCTAGACCAGTGGTTCTCAACCAAGGGTGATTTTGTACCCCAAGGGATATTTTGTCAATGTCTGGAGAAAAATTTAATTGTAATGCTTTGTGTGTGTGTGTGTGTGTGTGTGTGTGTGTGTGTGTGTGTGTGACAACTCGTGGGTAGAGATCAGAGATGCTCCTAAATATTCTACAATGCACGACAGCCCCTCCATGCTAAAATTATTGTGCCCAAATATCAATAGTACTAAGGTTGAGATACCTGATTTAAACTGACAAAAAAAAAAAAAAATGAAAAAGGAGACATCACTACTAATCTCACAGAAATTAAGAGGATTATAAGAGCACATGATGAACAATTTTAAGCTAACAAATTAGACAATGTAGATGAAATAGTTCATAGCATGATACAAATTAATGAAACTGACTAAAGAAGAAATAGAAAACATGCATAGACTAGTAAAGAATTTTAATAGTAATGGAAAAAATCTTCCCTCAGAGAAAAGCATAGGTCCAGATATCTTCACTGGTGAATTCTATAAAACACCAATTTTTTAAAAAAACATTTCCACAAATTGTAAGAGAGAACATTTCTGAACAAATTCCATGAGACCAGTATACCCTTATACAAAGCTGGACAAAGACATCTCAAGAAAATAAAACTACAGACCAATATTCCTCATGGTTGTAGATGCAAAAATCTTCAGCGAGATATTAGCAAAATGAATCCAGCAACATATAATATGATTATACACCGTGCCAAAGTAGGATTTCCCCTAGTAATAGAAGGTTGGTTTACTATCTAAAAATCAATCAATGTAATGTCACATTAATATAATACTATGAATAAAGACAAAAATCACATGGTCATCTCAATACATGCACAAAACATTTGACAAAAATCTAATCCTCATTCATGATAAAATTTTTTAGTAAACTGTAAATGGAAAATACTTTTCTCAACCTGATAGAGGAATTCTATGAAAAATCTGTAAGTAGCATTATATAATACTTATTGGTTAAAGACTGACTGCTTTTTCCTCTAAAATTGGGGGAAAGACTACATATTATATGATTCTATTTATATATATCTTGAGATAAATAAATCTATAAAGGCATGTAGCAGATTGGTGTTTGCCTGTGATGGGAATGGAGTGACAGCAAATGGGCACTAGCAATCTTTATGGGGGAATAAAAATATGCTAAAATTGGATTTTGGAGATAGTTTCACAACTCTGTCAATTCACTAAGAATCATTAAATTGTAAAATTAAAATGGATGAATTTTATGGAATCTAAATAATGTTTAACAATACTCTAAAAACGTTATTATGTGTGGGGTGTGGGGTGTGTGTAAGTACATGTTTGGGAATGATTCTTAGAATTTCCAAGGGCTTGAGCCTAGTCCTGGCCTAATCTTGAATTCGCTGTCTGTCCTTGGTAAAATTACCTTATCAATTTTTTCATCTATAAAGCAAAAGGGCAGAACTACTTACTTTCCAAAATTTCTTCCAGTTCTTCTAACATTGTATGTATCAGGGTGCTTTTGTGTGAATTGTGGCTCATGATTCAGGTAGCTAAGATTACATGCTAGGCTTCAGAGAAAGGTCTTCCTCTCTGCCTTAGAGAGTTAAGAGACCATTAGGATGAAAGAACCTTTTAGAGATGGATCAGGGTTAGGTTATGCCCTTCACCGTGGGGGTGAGAACACTGATTGATTAACTTGTCCAAACCAGAACATCTCCTTAAATAGCCAAGGTGGGACTAGAATCCACTCATCTGGTCCCATGTCCATCCTTCCCCAGGGGAAAGTTGTGCTTTTATATTTCTTTTACTGGGAGTCTGGAGAGGGTAAGCTTGGGAAAAAAGTAGGCAAGAAAGAACTCTCGGGTGCCTATATGAGCGGGTTTGATTTTCATGCTTGTAGCTATGAGCCTGAGTCTGTGGCAGCTGTGGACGAGTGGGAAGGGTGTTGCCATATTTATGTCTGGTATCTTCCTTGCATGACGGTAAACACACACTCGTTTTCTAGCCATCTTTTTGCACTTGTCTCCCTATCGTGAAGTAAAGTCACCATAAACATCAGCTTTCAGGAAAACTCCTATTTATTCAAAAGATATTTTATTCTCATAAAAGCCAAACCAAAAAAAAATAATTATGTAAAAGTCAAAGCACAGTAAAATCCCTATAAATCCATGGCCTGATTTCACAGCTCTCAGCAGGGACCCACCAGGGTCCCACCAGGTCCGGTTCATTTCTCTTTCCCCTTTCATCCTATTACTGCTTTCTCATTGCTTCTTATCTCCAAGCTCCATCCCAGAGTATAATAGTTAGGGTGACAATCTGTCTGCCACCTTGTGGTTAGGAACCTAAGTGTTGTCGGTTAAGTTCCTTGGATCTAGAGAATTTGGAAAGTTTACATTTGACTATCAGGGTAATAAAAACCATAAAGCTCGTAATTAATGGTAAGAACAGATGTCATGTATTAAGGACTACAAGCTAAGCAGAATGCGAAGCTCTCTGTATGCATTAATGCATCTGTTTCTCAAAATAACCTTATGAGACAGGCACTGTTATCTCCATTTCCTGGTGAAGCAACTGAAGCTCAGATGAGTTAAGTAGAGGGTTTAGAGTTAAGGAAAATGAGTGGGCAAGGCCCTCAAATGTGTCTACTTCTAGGGCTGCTCTCTTGGTGTGACCATTGCACCACTCTCCTCAATCCCTCTCATCCCAATCCAATTTCAACCAATGCTCAAATATGTCTACCACACCACTGTTGATGGACCATCCACCCTTCCCGTGAAAGGGAACTTACTACCACTGAGGCATTACATTCCATAGTAACTTTCTGCAGCCAGTGCCCAGCACTTGTTCTGGAACTGTTATACCAACACATTTAAAATCACATAATTGGCTTTACATTTTTTAAAAAAGGGTATCATGCCCCTTTGCCCCTTGAGCCCTCACCACTCTTACAAGGCAATCCTAGTTCTTGAACAGTCTCTAAATGACAAGGTTTTGTGTCTTTCTACCACTCTGGTTTCTCTCCTTTGACCAGGCCCCAGGTCATCCCTACTCCCTCTTAAAAAGTGGAGTTTGGAACACACAGCACAGGTGGAGCGATGGCATTACCTTCCTCTTTCTAGTTTCTGTACTTCTAATGCTGCCTAAATTTTGTTTAGTTTTCACATTATTCGGTTAATTACTTGGGAAGTGCATTTTAATCTCTATATGGTTAAATAAAATAGATTTAGAAATAACAGTTGAATACATAGAACTTGAAGAAACATTTGTTAAATGCTCTTTTATATCCACTGTATCTTATTTCAAAATTGATTGCCTCTATGTCTATTTCCATGTAAGCTTGCTGATGATTTTACTCCTTGACCTCATAATCCAAATTTGGCCAAGGATGTTTGCTGGTCCTCTTTTTTAAATGCCCTTTCCATAGAGGAAAAATAAACAGACCCTTGTTGTGACAAGCATGGCCGAGCCATGTCCTAGCGGAAGGGGTTGTATCCTGTGCTCATTCCTCTCCTGATTAATTGCCAAGCTGCATATTTGACCACAGAAGATGCTGAGGAACTCTGCCCACTCCAAGTTTAGCCTTGATCTTGGTGAGTAGAAAAATTCTCTGTGTCAATGGCTAAAATTACCTAGTCAGGTTCTCTCTAACTCTGGCCTGCATTTTCCATCATTTGTTTATTTGCCGTGGGAAGAGATCATCTTCCAAAGTGGGCCAAAGGCAGATAGATTCAGCTCTACCCCATGTTGAGGCATAATCATTTTCCAAATCTGCCTGGGGACGCAAATTAGTTCTGGATGCTTTCCTGTCACTTGGGCGGAGGGCTTGTCTCCAGCATTAATATTGACATAGATATAAACTATTGCTGCCTTTCTAGTTTTTAACCAGTTCTTACGGCCTCACAAATATTTTTTAAAGGTGAAAAACAAAACACTTGCCAATTTCTTTATTTCTTAAAGCACTCAAGCGGTAGGTCCTCTCTGATACCCTTAAATCATAAGAACATTTCCCCAACCAGGCCTTTGTCCTGTAATTCTACCTGGAAGCAACTTAATCCACGTTTGAGGTTGTTGCCCTCTTCCTAAGGACCGACGACGCAGAAGGTGGTTGAGTAGGATGAAATCTGAGCCCTCCTGGCAGGCTTGATTTTTAACACATGTCTAAAGCATGTATTTAGCTGTCACCAAGAGAGCTGACAGTTTCTGGGAGAGGTACTATGTACAAAGGACCAGCAGTGGGCATTCCCAGACCACACCCACTTACAGCATGATGTGATCTGAGCTTCTTTTTTCTCCAGAGCCAAACACACAGAATGAAGCGAAAATTCAACCACAGTAATAAAAAAAGAAAACAAACAAACAATGACAACAACAAAACCCTACCATTTAAAAGGCACCAGAATAAGCCATACCAGAGTTTTTTGGGGAGTGGCACCCTAAAAGGACATTGATGCAGGTAGAAAAAAGTATTCAAAAGCAAGTTTACTCATCAAAAGTACATTTTTCTGTCTTGGCTTAAAAATAGTACAGGGAATGTCTGATTCTAGCTATCACCAGAGATCCTAGAACCAACTGAGTTCCTTAGCACTGGGATTTCTTATTTCTTGGGCTGGATCTAGGCTCAACCCCTAAAATGCTGCCTCCTTACAACATTGAACAATTGACAAGCACCATCTAAACACAAAATATTGCACTTTATTACCTTATTCAGGATTCGCAAGTACCCTGCAAAGTAGGCATTATTAGCCCCCTTTTGGAGATGGGAAAATGAAGTTCAGAGAGGATGAGGACCTGCCCCAAGGCTGCACAGCCTGTGAGTGGGGAGCCTTCAAAGTGTCAAAGTGGCCTATAGACGCTTAGGTCTTCATCTCTAAAGCCTATCTTCTTAACCGCTGTGCCCTGCTGCCTCTGCTGGACCTTCTCAACGCTGTGTCCTGTCCCTGACCCATACCCCCACTTCCTTTCAGGTTAAGTGTTAGGATTATCATAAACCTCCTAGTGTTACCCTCCAGGGAAATACATTCTCATGCTTTAAACAAAATAATCTCACCACTTTCCCTAAGAAAGGAGAGGCCCCATAAGGGCATGCTCGCCCAGTTGTCAGCTGGTCCAGCAGTTTGCTGTCCAGGTTCCTACCCCTTCAGGGGACTCCAGCCCCAGCCTGAATCTGACCATGAGAGACCCTAAGTGAGAGCTGCCCATCTGAGTACATCAACCCTAGAACTATGAGAAAGAAAACTAAATTGTTTCAAGGAACTAAGTGTTGGGAAGTTTGTTATGTATAAGTAGACAATCAGAATATTACTTTTAGCAAATTAATATCTTTTTTTTTTTTGAGACAAAGTCTGGCTCTGTCTCCCAGGCTGGAGTGCAGTGGCGTGATCTTGGCTCACTGCAACCTCCGCCTCCCAGGTTCATGCCATTCTCCTGCCTCAGCCTCCCGAGCAGCTGGGACTATAGGCGCCCACGACCACCCCCAGCTAATTTTTTATATTTTTTTATTTTTAGTAGAGACGGGGTTTCACCGTGTTAGCCAGGATAGTCTCGATCTCCTGACCTTGTGATCCGCCTGCCTCGGCCTCCCAAAGTGCTGGGATTACAGGTGTGAGCCACCACAACTGGTCACAAATTAATATTCTTTCTGTGTCATTCAGTATCTCATAGTACCTAATACCTAATATGGAAACATCTCCTTCTACTGACTATTAGTCACATAATAAAATTTTGTTGGCCAGGCATGGTGGTTCACATCTGTAATCCCAATGCTTTGGGAGGCCAAAGTTGGGAAGACCACTTGAGGCCAGGAGTTCAAGACCAATCTTGGTGACATAATGAGACCTCATCTCAACAAATAATTTTAAAAAACTAACCAGGCACAGTGGTGCATACCTGTAGTCCCAGCTACTTGGGAGACTGAGGTGGGAGGATTGCTTGAGTGCAGGAGTTCCATATTACAGTAAGCTATGACAGTGCCACTACATTTCAGCCTGGGGACAGAGTGAGACTCTGTCTCTATACATTAAAAAAAAAAATTAAATTTTTCCTTGTTGGATTGAGGAGAAGTGATCAGAATTCAAAAAAAAATTCCTTATCAGCCTTTTACTCCTGTGTTGTCATATAACGCAACAGAGCAGGTTTGATGAGGGTGGAGGTGGGATGGGGTGGTCAAAACTCAAGGTCGCTATACAGTTCATTACATGATGTTTATACTTCTGCCATGTCCAACATGCCTTCGGATTTGATTTTCCAAATGATTTACTGGGCCTGCTAAAAAATAATTTACATAATGAAGTCAGGGTGTAAACTCTGAGTATATCAAGACAGTTCACCAGTGGACAAAAAATGGGCATGGGAACTCATATTTTACAAGTGCTTCCTATGTGCACAAATGTTTTCTATGTGCCAGGGAGTCTCCATGAATTATCTCATTTGGTCCTCATTCAGACACTCCAGGCAGACTCACTTCTCCCCATTTTATAGGTGGGAAAACTGACTCAGAAAGGTAATTTGGCGATAGTTGGAAGAGCCAAGACTTGAACCTCAGTCTGATTCCAATATCTGTTCACTTCTCATTCATTAGTGTCAGATACATGCAGGAAACCAATGTGACTTCACTGCAGATGTCAAAGCCATGTGAAGGGAATCCTTGCTGCCTCCCTCTGCCCCTCTCTGAGGCAGGGGCCATTTTTTGACTTCTCTCCAGGAATGCATGACCATCACTGAACCAGCTTGTCCTGTCTGAGCAAGAGCTTGTGCTCTATTCTGTTCTGCTCCCTATTAAGGCCCAGGATGCTGCATGCCTGTCCTTGGGGACATGGGTACCTGCTAGTGTTGATTCCCCTTGGTGTCAACATCACTCAGGGTTAGTTTATGGCTCTTGGGTCACCATCACATTTCCAGGTGTTTGGACCTTCAGAGCAGAGTCCTAGGTGACCTTGTCTCTTCATTCAGAAAGAAAATAGAGGCCTTTTACATGTGTAGGATCTGATGTTTATGGTGCTGCTAATCTCTGTCCCCTCCCTCCCAGCATACACTCACTTATCATAGTAGAAAAGTCTCGGTCACGGCTTAGAGGTGCAGCCTGTCTTTATTTACTACTCCATAGCTGTAGGCGTTCTCACAATTACCCCTTTTCCTCTGATGGCTATTTTTTTATTTTTTTTATTTTTTGCCACCTCAAGATACTTAGTCACTTATAATTTTAAAAGTGGTCAATTTTGAATTTAATTCATTCAATTCAATCTACCTTCCCAGTGGCTGTCCTAGCCCAGGGCAGATGGTCCCATGCCTGTGCCCCCCTTCATTCTTTGCTGACTGTTTGACTGTTGCTGGGCCATCTTGTCCCCCCAAGGCTGTGGTGTGGGCCTCTGAGCTTTCTGCCCCTCTGCTGAAGTGTTGAGAGCTGGTGTTGTTTGTGCGTCTCCCTCTGCACCTCCACTGGCACCCCTGCAGCCTTAGCTCCCTTGGCTCACAGCATGGTTGACCCTGACATTCACCTCTCTCTTCATCTAGTTCCTCAAAGCTGTGCCCTCTCCCTAAGCTGCCTAATCCTCTGGCTGACGCATG
Source organism: Homo sapiens (assembly GCF_000001405.40). Taxonomy (NCBI): domain Eukaryota; kingdom Metazoa; phylum Chordata; class Mammalia; order Primates; family Hominidae; genus Homo; species Homo sapiens. The sequence continues at coordinate 17,843,371 of NC_000009.12, forward strand.
GACTCTACCATGGAAACTGTGGTAATCATTAGTGCTGCTCACCAACTATCTCTGGATTACACTTCCTGTGCCCCATTTTGGGTGGCTGGGGCCATGTGATTTGTTGATTAAGCTCCAAAATGAGATGAGTCAAGCTAAACATCTAATTGTCTGGGGATAATCCTCCAGAATCCTCTTTCCTCTGCAGTAGCACCCAGCAATATCCAAGATGGTGACTGCTGCATCTGTCTGGATCCCTGAGGATGGAAGATGGGCTGACCTCCCTCTCAGAGTATTTTCTATATTCTGGCTGCCCCATGGCAACTGAGACACCCTGGGAGGTACTTCAGTTTCCCAAGCCTGTCCAGTATTTCCATCTTGTCTCCCTCCCTCACCACTGGTTTTGACCTTGAGGAGTGAGATAGAGCTGAAATGCCTCTGGCTCTACTCTCTAACTCATGCCTTTCCTTTTTTTTTTTTTTTTTTGAAACAGGGTCTCACTCTGTCGCCCAAGCTGGAGTGAAGTACTGTGTCTCAGCTTACTGTAGCCTCCACTTCCTGGGCTCAAGTGATCCTCTCACCTCAGACTCCCGAGTAGCATGCACCACCATGCCTAGCTAATTTTTAAGGTTTTGGAGAGACAATGTCTCAGTGTGTTGCCCAGGCTTGTCTTGAACTACTGGGCTCAAGGGATCCACCTACCTCGGCCTTCCAAAGTGCTGGGATTACAGGTCTGAGCCACTGCTCCTGACCAGCCTCCATGAGTTTCTTGAAAGAAGAGCATAATCACCAACCATTCCTCACTTCTAGCTCCTTCCATTTTTATGTTCAAATTCAGTGGGCATGTGTCAGCCTCATCTCACTTGACCTCTCAGCAGCATTGCTCCTGTTGACCCCTGGCTTCTTAAAGCCCTGTCCCTCCCTGGTCCTACCTCTCCTAGTTTCTCCCTACTTTCTTTCAGCTACCCTAGGGAGGTCCTCAGCCTATACACACCCTTTTCATGTTGTTGTTGTCTAGGTTCTGTCTGTGGCTGTCTTTTCTACCTACATCCTCTCTCAGGTGAACTTGTCCATGCCCAAAGACTTAGAGACCATCAGATGTCGCCATTGCATCTGCCATCTAACCCTTTATAGTTTCTTCTTTCTTCCCCTGGGATCTGGCCCCTCGACACATTCCTCTTTAGCTTCCTACTGAAGGTGAGTTTGCAGGGTGGTGGGTGGTGCTGCAGGGGTTGCTCCTTATCTGGGCAATGTTGCACCCTCTCTTTGCTTTTAAAGGCTGGTAAGGTCTGCCAACATGGGTGTGCTCTGTGCTCTGGCAGGCCTCTCTTTGTCCTAAGCACACCTTTGATCCTGGCTTTATAATCACCTGATGGGTTCTTCCCACCTGCTGCATAGACAAAATCAATTCACTGAGAGCATGGCATTGCAGTAAAGAAAGACTTTAATTGACATGAGGCTGGCTGTGCAGGAGATGGAGTTATTACTTAAATCAGCCTCCCTGAGCTGAGAGGCTAGGGTTTTTATGGACAACTTGGTGGGCAGGGGGCTAGGGAATGGGTGCTGCTGATTGGTTGGATATAAAATCATAGGGCTGTGGAAAATGGTCCTCATGCACTGAGTCCATCTCTGGGTGGGGCCACAGGATCAGTTGAGTCATGATCCCAAGTGGAGTCAGTCTGAAAAGCATCTCAAAAAACCAATCTTAGGTTCCACAATAGTGATGTTACCTATAGGAGCAACTGGGGAAGTCACAAATCTTGTGACCTCTGGCTACAAGACTCCTGAGCAGTAAGGGATTAGAGAAAGCACACCTACATCTTAGCAGAAATTGGGCCCTCCAACAATCCTAATTTTGTGGACTTTCATTAGTATTACAAAGGTGGTTTTCAGTCCCTGAGCAAGAAGGGGGTTAGTTTTAGGGAGGGGCTATTATCATCCATGCTTTTAAGTTAAACTGTGCACTAAATTCCCTCCCAAAGTTAGCTTGGCTCACACTCAGGAATGACCAAGGGCAGTTTGGAGGTCAGAAACAAGATGTAGTCAACTATGTCAGATTTCTGTTACTGTCAGAATTTTACAAATGCAGCTTCACCTTTCCAATACCACAGTTTTTTTGCAGGAGTAAATTGAGTCTCTTTCATTGTCCACTCCCTGGTGTTAACAACCTTGCTTTTTCCAATGACTTGAGAGTTCTCCTGTCCAACAAGCAGAAGATAATTTGCTCTCTGAGGTCTGTTGAAAGATAAACCTTGGCACATTAAAATTTTAGAGTTTATTTGAGCAGAGAGCAATTCATGAATGAGGCAACTCCAAACTGGAAGTGTTTTTTTTTTTTCAGGACTCCACTAAAGGAGCATGAGAAGGAGGCTTTTACAGAGTGATTGAAGAAGCAAGGCAAAGAAAGTATTTGACTGATTAAAGTGGAGCAGTAGCCTTATTTGGATAATTCCAGTGTAAAGTCCATAGTTAGAGGTTAGTGGGCAGTTTCTGATTGGTTAAGCTTAAATTTTGTTTTCCTAGAATATGACCAATTCCACTGAGTTGGGTTTTGGTTTGCTCACATAGAAACCCAGGGCACTGGAGCTGCCTCAGTCTAATGGCTTCCCAATTAATTATTTTAACTTGTCTCAGACATTTGGTTTCAGAGAGAATTGCATCATTTGAGGAGGGTGAGAAGGACCATCTCAGTTAGGCCTTGTCACAGGAATACATTACTACCTTCTGAGGAAGACAGACTGTGCTCTTGGGCAATAGCTGCCACTGTGTGGAGAAGGACTCTTTCTAATGGCACCTTTCTCTAGTCTCCAAACCTTTGCACCAGGAGCTTCCTATGTCTGGAAGACTCTTCCCTTTCCCCCTCTCTTTCTGCAGGTCTTTGCTCAAGTGTCATTCTTTGACCACTTTATGTTACCTAGCACCCCTCCATTACCCTCCATCCTTTCTTATGGATTTTTCTCCCTTCTCTTTAGCAGTTATCACCATCTGACACTTTTTTATTTCATTTTATTTTTATTTTTTTTAGACAGAGTCTCGCTCTGTCGCCCAGGCTGGAGTGCAGTGGCGTGATCTCGGCTCACTGCAAGCTCCGCCACCCGGGGTTCATGCCACTCTCCTGCCTCAGCCTCCTGAGTAGCTGCGACTACAGGCGCCTGCCACTACGCCTGGCTAATTTTTTGTATTTTTAGTACAGACGGAGTTTCACCGTGTTAGCCAGGATGGTCTTGATCTCTTGACCTCATGATCCGCCCACCTTGGCCTTCCACCATCTGACACATTTTAATCTATTTGGCTGTTGTGCTGTTGTCCTTCTCTCTCTACTGGAATGTAAGCTCCATGAGGCCAGGGATTTCTGCTGCTTTGTTCAGTGCTATATCCCCAATGTCTCAGACAGGGCCTGGCACACACAATACACGTTCATTGAATAGATGAATGAATGAATGATATCTCCTTCCATGAGACTAGGTAAGTCAGAACAGTAGATTTTAAACTACCCCAGGTAAACCAAGCCAGAAACTGGGAATTTACCCTAGGCTCTTTCCTCTCCCCAGCATTCAGTGTCACTCAGTTAGTTCTACCTATTCCATGTCTCTGAACTTAGTTCCAGTCTCTCTGGCCTCATTCCCAGTTGAGACCCACATCACCTTTCAAGCCGTGGCTCAGTCCCATACCTGTTTTCCGTGACTTAAGTTCATCATCCTCCAAATCATCCTTCCACGGCAGCCAGAGGGTGTTTCCAACACACAAAGCTGCTAGTGGCACTCCCTGTGCTTAAAAGATTCCAAAATCTTCCATTTTCCCCAGGGCAAACCCAACCTCTTTTGCATGACATATTTAGATCTTGATAATTTGGCTTCCATGCCTGCAGCCTTATCTGTAGTAGCTTTTCCCTTAAACTCAGAATCTACCTACCCTCTTCCCCGTTCTTCACACCCACACAACCCCCTTCACCCTTCACCACACAACCCCCCCTTCACACAACCCCCTCCCCCTTCACCTGGTTCAAGAACTAGGACATTCTAGACAGACAGCTGGGCATGGACTGGGAGGGGCCATTCTGAGCTGAGAGTCTTGAGGGACTCCAACACAAACAAAAACACACAGCTCCTGCTGCTTCCCACCCCAGCCCCCTCTGGATCCACACAAGGCCCTGTGTTTGCCTTTGCCAATGATGTCATTACAATGTTTCATTGTAATTGTCTCCTGATTAATCTCTCTCCTCCATCAGACTCTAAATTCCTTGTGGACAAGGTCTTCTCATGTATTGTTTGTAGGCTCAGAGTCTTTAAAGAAGACTAGCACATGGCACATAGGAGGTATTGGTTGAAAAGATGATGAGTGAATATAATTTTAACAAACACATTAATTTTATTCACAGAAATTGAAAAGAAAAGCCTATGATCTTTTTAAAATGGAAAATACCCCAAACTATTTAAAAATAACTCAACTTCTTAATGAAATGGTTTTTATGCTTTACATGCAACCTTCTCTGAAATATGCAGAGTTATTGACAGTATTATTTTGTATTTGTGTACCTACATGCCTTTAGAAATGAATGTTCCTAGGACAGAATGCAGAAAAATACAACTTGAAAGAAATCATCAACATACTGCTCAGGCATTTAATTTTGGTGCTTTGAATACTGATGTGTGTTTGGTGTGTTCTAGTGCAGGTGCAGGGCCTGTGGGGCAGCCCTTTCTCTGGGCCACCTCCTCAGCATTCCTCCTTCCTGCCCTGGGGTTGACGGCACTTAGAGACGGAAGTGGTTGTACAGTCTCCAAGGTCTATTTAATCTTTGGCCCAGTTACTGAATTTGCCAAAAAAGAGGGCAATTAGTTCCAGGTGTGATGCTGGGTCTCTAAAGTGGAACTTCCCTATTGGGAAGCTGGCTCACACCTGCCTGCAAATGGCTCCAACGTCATTACCAAGCCTCTTTCTTGCCTATGGGGTGGGAAGAGAACTCTGTTCTCTTGTTTTATTTCAAAGTCAGTGTCCCATATCTCCTACAGAATCAAGCATGCATTTGGTAATGTTCCTTCCACAATCTGAGAATTCAGTGCTATTTAGGCCATACAAGTTACAAGTAAGAAATGACCCTCTGAAATATCTCAAAGCATACTTTTATTGGAAAGAAAAAAAGACATTTTCCCCTTTTCACTAGTTTAAAAAGACATCTGTTTTGATGAAACTGGTCTTGCCCTTCACTCATGGTGTGGCTCTTTTTACCCAATGGGTGATTTGTCCCCAGAGAGGATGATGTAACAATTTCTCTCTCCATGAAGGAGCGTAAAGAAAAACTGTGCTGAATTTTACGTACTGTAAAACCCCCTGCTTAATGTTTTCCAGCATTGAATGCTCATCTTATACACCCCTGCCATGTTCCCAATTACAGTGTTCCTTCCTCCAGCCCCTGGGAAAACCAATTTTACTATTAGTTGTACACACTTGTGGATCCATGTTTTCATTCTCAGTCAAGAATCATGGCAAATTCTGAGCAGCTGATGTATATATGGGGAACTAACATTGTTCATTCTTTAAAAAGCTCCCTATGGTATCAGATGTCACACAGAATTCATGGGGGCAGGAAGGCGGCCCCAACTCCCTAAATGCCTGCAGGTCACTCCGTTCATCCCCCAACTCCTGCCAGGCCCTCAGTCCCTGTGGTTTCAACAGAGGCCTGTGACCTCAGACTTGAACTTTGGGGAGGTTGTTCCCACCCAGATATAAAGAACATCTATGAGCAGAACATGAGGATTTGATTAGAAAATGTGTTCAGGAGGTTGAACGGCTATGTACCAAGAAATGTTCTCTCATTCTTATGTAGTGTATAAAACCCGTGAACAATTTAGGATTGATTAAGAAATATTGGAATTCTATAGCACAGTACGTGAACTCTTTTCAAAATGGAAACAGAGGAAGTTCCTTATTTATAGTCTAAGAGTCTGACTTAAAAACCAAATGCATTTAAGGGCAGAATCAGGGAGGTGTGGATCTTCTGCTCCATAAAGATCATGATTCTTTACTAGATACCAATCTTTTATAAATGTTGAGGTGAACTCCAAGGCCATATCCTTATTGGAGCACTAGTAAAACTATAATAGTTTCATAGCACTAACATGGAAAAATCTAACTATTAAGCCACATTCTTCTATTCTGTCCAATGTATTTACTTTGGGCATCAACTTTTCTAAAATACCCTGAGATCATTGTATGACGTATACTTCTAATAACTTGTAAGCTTTAGGATGGAAGATAAAATAAAAGATAAAACAGTATGTCAACGTTTGTGAGAGCTCCCTTTAAAGAATCCTTGTCTTCGTCTGTTCCTGCTGCTATAACAAAATACTACAGACTTGGCAATTGATGACATAATAGAACTCACAGTTAAATAATAGGCTCTCACAGTTTGAAGGGCTGGGACATCCAGAAGGTGCCAGCAGATTCATGTGTGGTAAGATGGCATTTTGTTGCTGTGTCCTCCCGAGAGGATGAATGTTGTGTCCTCCCGAGAGATGAATGCTGTGTCCTCACATGGCACAAGGCAAAAAAAAAAAAAAAAAAAAAAAAGCAAAACAGGCCTTTTATAAGGGCACGAATCCCATTCATGAAGGTGGAGCCCTCATGACCTAATCACCATCTAATATTGCACTGAGGATCACTTTCGACATACATTTTGGAGGAACACAAACATTTGAACCAGAGCTGTGCTAAAAAAGAAATTTTTTTAAGCTTTTAAGATAGCCAATAATGCCGGTGATAATTTACCCAATAAAATATATGAGCTCTTGGTTCAAGATTACATTTATTTAGGAAAGTCAGCATTTGGTGCTTTGTAAACTCCCTTAGATGAATACTAGTCCTAAGTGACAGAATAAGATTCTTTTCCTCCATGTTACTGAGAGATTAAGGGCAGATGACAGACTAAATACCAATGTAGCTCTGAACCCATGGAAAATGCTGGGAAGACAAGGATCAGAAATGATAGGGAGGGAGTTGGCATGCAATAGTTCTCTCAAAGGCATTAGAAACTTTCACTCATTCAACTCTCGATAAGTAATTGGTGAAATCCTGTCTCTATTAAAAATACAAAAATTAGCTGGGCATGGTGGCAGGTGCCTGTAATCCCAGCTACTCGGGAGGCTGAGGCAGGAGAATCATGTGAACCTGGAAGGCAGAGGTTGCAGTGAGCCGAGATCGCACCACTACACTCCAGCCTGGGTGACAAGAGTGAAACTCTGTCTCAAAATAAATAAATAAATGAATACATAAATAAATACAATAATAATAATTGAGCCAGTAAGCATTTGATACTGATGTTCAGAAAAGACTTAAAGTCACTGGTAAGATACATCTCAATAGTATTCTCTCTGACAACAACAGAAGTCCTTCAATTAGTGGGGGTTAGTGATTTTGGAAACTTGACCTTCTGGTGATGAATATAAAGGAAAACAGAGAGATCTGTGGGAGGTTGCCAATGCTTATGTCACAACTGTATACATTGTGCATATCATATGCATCAGATTCTTTTGGAATGACATGGAACAAATACATTTTAATAAGATACCCAGGCATAATTGAGCAAAGATTTTTCTTTCAAACACAAAATTAACTGTAGGAAAATACTCTTCTCTGATAATATTTCTAAATTCCAGCTTATTTTTAAGCTTTGTTTCCTTGTGAGATTTTAAAAAAATAATATTTCCTATTTTAGCTGAGTCAAATACAACAATAACAATACCACTTGTTTGGGAAATGTGATATTGCTGGAGTGATTCCCTATAGGAATGCAGAAAACGTCCCTAGTATTTAAGCTAGAAGATGTGGCATCTGTTGCATATAAGCTCTCCAAAGACAATTTTGTATACCTGTTTTTTGAGCAGATGTTCTCTTCATTTTAAATGGCCCTATGATTAATGTGCCAGTAGAATGCAAAGGTGTTCTCAAAATTTTATACACACCATATGAGTCATCCTGCATGCATTATGCATGTATACCTTTAAATCTCAAGAAAGCCCTAGAAATTGTCTGACTTATCCTGCATTAGTGTACATTTGTTGGTCCACAAAGATTTCCTCAGTTCAGATCTGTAATACCCTTTTAAAATTCCTACCTGTTTATTAACACGTTTCCTTTTCTCCTTTTGCTGTGTCATTGATTTTCTTCTCTTCATTTAGCATTCTCTCTGAATGAGGAGCCTGGCTGGCTGTAGTATTTCACTAGCCATAAAGCCTCTTGTTGGCCTGCTTGAATATTCTGCTCGCTCCCCTATCCAATATTTCAGATGCTTCCTCAGCATCCTCTTGGTCTGCAGAGCACTTGGCTGTTGTAGAAGACAAAGTGTGCCTCTCTTTGGGAGGTAAACTGAGAACAGTCTTCCAGCAAATCATGCTCACCCTCAAACTCTTCATCATCAACTGTGAGCATCTCCTTTCCAAAAGCAAAAATAATAGTCTGTAACCTGGCAGGTACACTATCTTCTAGGTTGAGCTCATAGAGTTTTAAAATTCAATGTTAATATGGTAAAACAGTACTTCTGAGTTGTTAAGCAATGGGTTTCCTCCTACCTGCCTTTAAGTAATTTTTTCCCTTTCCCTTGTTTCCATTCAACAACCGTCAGAGAAGAGCTGCAGCAGGATGTAAAACTTTCCTGAGTACGTATTCCAAACACTTAAGCACATTAACAAGATTATGCTGGGTGCCCCTGAGGCAAACCTCAAGAGAGAGGGGGCATCACTCAAGAGCCTCCCATGGTAACTTTATTCTCTGCTTCAAGAAACAGAGCAGGCTTCCTTCCTCCCAGTTGTCCCTAGGGTGTCCCCAAGAATTAGGGTATAGGCTGGAGGCAGAGAGGTGCTATTATCATAGTTTTGGAGTTTCCTGGTCTGTGCTCAGGGCTGAGAGCCACAGGGGACTCAGACCTCACGCTGTCATTAGCCAGAGTAGAATCCCAGGGAGCTGTCAAGATACCAGGGAGGAAGTTGCTCCCTGCTGCATTTAGGTACGTGATGCTACAGTCAGCCTTGATGAAATCTGCATGCCTGGAATGAGTAGAAGAGGAGAAAGCCACCAGACTACAGGGGTCCTCTGGACATGAAAGAAAGCTGTTGTTTTTTTGTGCTGCTATAACAAAATGCCACAGACTGGGTAATTTGTAAAAAATAGAAATTTAATTCTCAAAATGCTGGAGGCTGGGAAGTCCAAGGTCAAGGTGCTGGCCTTCAGTGTTTGGTGAGAGTTCTCTGCTTCCTCGATGGTGCCTTATTGCTGCGTCCTCACGTGGCAGAAGAACAGAAGAGCAGCAAAGGGCTAAATGCTGGATGAAGCCTCTTTTATAAAAGCCCTAATCCCATTCGCAAGGGCTCTGCCTTCATGACTTAATTGCCTCTTAAAGGCCCTACCTCTTACTATTGTCACATTAGCAATTACATTTCAACACATGAGTTTGGGGGGACCTTCCAATAATAGCAGCTGTGGCAGGACAGCCAGCATAGAGAGAAGAGTTGAGGATCATGTTCCACCCTCCCACCCAGTACAAATAGCTTTCCTATTATGATGGCACACATCTTGAAAATTACGGAGGCCTGAGATGGATATTACATTTTATTAAAAAAATTAACATATTTTTAGGTTTTTTGAGTAGTAAATGAAATATACTCACTGAATTCATATGTTTGGCATTTTGTTGCAATTTTACAACACTGGCTTATTTCATTTATAAAACTGATAAATGCTTGTAATAATAATAAACAAAGAAGAAAACAACAAATCACAAGAAATACTACCACATAGAGATAACCTATGTTAACAGTTGATGAGCCTCATTCTAGACATATCTCCAGGGATAGTCACAGACCAAAGGATGGAGAGAAGAGAGAGAGGGAGAGGATTTTATTAAAAGGGCATCATACTACATATGCTATATTGAAATAAAAAAGATTACACTTCATTTTACTTGAATTTAATATTTAATACAGGAAAAAAACACTGAACCAAAACTAAAGGAATTTGCTATGCCTCACATAATTTCTTCTTGATCAGAAGAAATACTAGTTTGTATAAGAATCTTTGAAAATTAAGAGGGAAAAATATTAGGAGGCTAAAATCATTATATATGTTTATAAAAATACCTTTGGACTTTATTATTGATTCCCTGATTGAAATTATAAGATTAGTATTTTTGCACTTCCTCTCCCATACCCTCCCTCAAGTCCCCATATTTCATTAAAGTCCCATCTCAATGACTTTGGGCTTGGCCATGTTACTTACTTTGGCCAATGGATTGTGACTGGACATAATGTTTGCCTCTTAAGCAAAAGGTTTTTCTGTGAGCATGTGCTTTGGTGTGGGACCTCTTAGTTTAGCCCTCCATGGTGAAAACAGCATGTTCTAAAGAGGGACTTCTCATTCAGTCTGGATTCAGCAAGGAGAAAATACGTGGTGTTGAACCCAACAGAATCACAGCTGATTTACTGCCCTTATCTAATGTGTGAGCAAGATAAAAATGTTTGTTATTATAAGTCAGTAGAATATAAGTTTTGTTTGTTATAGCATCCAAAGTAGGAACTTAAAAAAAACTTTATATATTTATATTCCGTCCTATAAACACAGTTTCTTCAATTGTTTAGTCTTGGTTTTATAATTAAATGGATTTAGTGTTGAACACCAATGCCTCTACTATGACTTCTCCATTTATTTTGATTTATCTCTTGATTAGCTAGATTTCATCATCCAAGTAGACTTTTCCAGAAGGGTTCATGGTTGCTGTGTTTTGAGTTTTTCAGATTTGTGAATACCTTCTTGCAGCCCTTCTCTACTTGAAGACCAACTTGGCTGTGCATAGTATTCTTGTATTATAATTTTTTCACCTTAGAGTTTTGACAGCATTAAAAGAAATAGAACAATAGTTAAATAATGCTTATTGAAAAATTCAAATGCCAGGCTGATACTTTTTTCCCGTAATACATAATTTTTCCTTTTGCCTGAATACCTCACACATACTTCATTTGTTTGTTTGGATTTCAATAAGTAAACCAGGATATGTCTCTACATGGATCATTATAGATCCATTTTTTAGGCTTTTTCTATCTCTAGATTGTTTTATTTCATGGAAATTTTTCTTTATTATGGCTCTGAATATTTTCTTCTGTTTAATTTATTAGATTCTCTACTTCAAGGACACTAAGTTATCTATATAGTCAATCATTTGAGTTTTTTATTTTTTAAAATTGTGATAAAATAAACATGACAAAAAACCATTCTGTCCATTTTTTAGTGTACAGTCCAGTGGCATTAAGTATATTCACACTGTTGTGCAACCATAGCCACCACCCATTTCCAGAACTCATTTTATTTTGCAAAACTGAAACTCTCTACCCATTAAACAACTGCCCATTCCTTCTTCCACCTACCCTAGCAACCGCCATTTTACTGTCTATGAATTTAACTACTTTAGGTAACTCATATAAGTGGGATCAGACAATACTTGTCCTTTTATGACTAGCTTATTTCACTTAATATAATGTTTTCAAGGTTCATCTACTGTTGTATGTGTGAGAATTTCATTCCTTTTTAAGGCTTATATTCCGTTGTATATATATCACCACATTTTGTTTATCCTTTTATCTGTCAGTGGGCACTTGGGTTGCTTCTGTCTTTTGGCTATTGTGAATAATGCTGCTATAAACATGGGTACACCAATATCTGTTTGAGTTTCCACCTCCAATTCTTTTGGGTATATACCCAGAAGTAGAATTGCTGGATCATATTTAATTTTTTGAGGAACTGCCATACCATTGTCCACAGTGGCTGCACAATTTTACATTCCAACCAACATTGCATGAATATTCTAATTTCTCCATATCCTCACCTATTCTTGTCTTCTGTTTTTTGTTTTTGTTTTAATAATAGCTACCTAATGGGTATGAAGTGGCAGATCATTTCTTGATCTATTCTCTCTATATATACCATCTCTTCTCTATTTGCTATAATCACTTTGTCATTCTCATCTATATATGCTGTGATAAATTCAAGCCTTCTTTCAAGTTAATGAATCCAGACATATCTATTTTGTTTGTTGCTATTACTCCTTAGATATGGCATACTCTTGTTTTGGTAATCAATTAGTTTCCTAGTTTTGCAGTGTGTATTTTCAACTCATTCTGTAGTTTTATTATCCTCATATATTGAATTAAGATATTTTTAAAATGTTGTATCTTAAAGCATTTCCAAGGAGTATCATTCTGTTTTTTGGCACAGGTTTTCCTTGAGACTAGGTTCATATCTGTCTTTTGCCTGTTATGTTGCTTTGTGTCGTTTTCTTTTCCTTTTTTTTCTCATAAGTTTGTATAGTTGCCATTCCTCTTCTCTTCTTGTTTATATTTAATGTACAACATAGGTAGCTCTAACCAGTCTTCTCTTTGCTCTGAGAGCTTATGACCACACACTTCTTGCCACCCTTTTGTCATTTTCTAAGCCTACTTCTCTTCCTCTCTCAGCTGCAGTTTGAGGATAAGTTTAGATTTCTGTCCACTTTTCTGTAAGGATTAGGGAAAGCAAAAGAGATTATCTGGGGGCTGAAAACAATCTTTGTCATGGGACGTGAATTCTCTGGCTTTTTTGTTTTTGTTTTTTTAATTCTCTGTTAGGAGGCCCCACTTCTGCAGAAATACACTCCACTCCTATGATTTTGGGCTGTTCCCCAAGCAGCTCAGAGCCCAGGCAGCATTTCCGGCCTCAGCCTTGGATCCTTCAGGCATGTACAGCCTTCTACCCTTTAACACTTTTCCTTGACTTTTCCCTGAGCTGCCCATTCTCTCCCACAGGCTGCTTCTTTCAAGTTAGGAGGTATTTCTAAGAAGCACAGAATTTTGTCAGTTCTTCTTTCTTTACTATTATTTCTAGAAGGGTGGGGTTAGAAAGCAAGCCACAAAGGAATCTTTTGTTGTTTTTCTCTCACTGACATTTTCTTAACATTTATGTTATGAAGTTTAATCCTTTTGCCTTTTTTGGCTGTTTTTGATTATTGGTTTATAAATTTTTAATGCATTTTGTTAGGTACCAGAAGGAAAATATTTTGTAATCAGGATTTGTTGTGCTATTTTACCTGAAATCCAATATATTTTTAAAATTCCTTCCGCAGGGCCATGGAGAGTGTCACCTGCCCTCTAAGGAGAAACAAAGATTGTGATTCTTTAGCATGGAAGGGATATTTGTTAGAATTTGTATCAGCTATACCGACCTTACGTTTTTCACTTACTGTGAATTCCAGAGAAACTTATAACTTCTTCACTAATAGATCGCAAGAGGGGCTTAACTTTTTCATTTAGAATGCTGACCTCTTAGGCTTGAATGTTCATTTTGAGAGGGGCTTTTCCCCTCCCTGAATCCTGGACTTGTATTGAAGGGCTGAGTTGAAGAGAAGGTCAAGTCAGGAGGAAATGTGGCCTAAGGGGTTGGAGTAGTTAGGGCCGTTATTTTGCTGGCTGAGGAATGGAGTAGCTGCCCCCAGGATGCTGACCAGCAGGAGAGGGGCTCCTGGGGAATGAGGTGGGCTCCAGCTTGTGAGGGGGTGGGAACAAGCTAGATTCTCTGCTGGCCTAGGTTCTGTTTAACTCCCTACCTGCCTTCTCTTTGTCTCACATCGCCTCTGCTGCTTTTGTTCCCTGCTCTTCTGCTTTTCCAGTCCTGCCTCTGTCCAGGTCCGACTCCACAAGAACTTTGAACATAGCGATGGACAATGCAAAACTAGAATCACTCTTCTTTGAACATAATTGCATCATTCCCTTCCTAAGTCAGTCTCTTCCCACATTTATCAATTACTTTAACTACTTGACAGGTCTTGTCTTAGTCTCTTAAATGATTTGTGATGATGGGCTCTATGTGACAGTCAAACAAGAACATAATGCTTTAGACTCACATTTCTGTTCAAACAGAAGCGCCTATTCACTTACAACTAGAATATCACCAGTGTCAAAGAGCACAAAAATGTTCACATTGTTCCAGGAAGAAATGTTACAAATCTTTTCTGATATGTGTATGTGTGTGTGTGTGTGTATATATATATATATATATATCGTACTATATCTGGGTGATTGATCCAATACTGGGGCTTTGCAGTACCTAGTATGTTTGAATTATTTGCGTCTTTTGAGGTCATAAATAACTAAATTATGGACATGTTGGAAAAGGTCCAGAGGCCTCAAAATTCAGAGAGAACCATGGGAAAGGCAGCAATTCCAGCTCCCACATGGCTTGCTCTGCTGCCTCTGGCCAGGGCTTGCCGAGTAGATGCCCATCAGATCTGGGCTACTGGATTGCTTTCAGAGTCCCCCTTCATCATTCACTTGATTGCAGTTTGAGCCTCTCCCCTGGATGACCTTGGTAACCACACAGGCAATATTGAGTTAGTTTTTCCTTTTAAAAATTGATGTTGCCAAGAACTTGAATTTCAGTGGCATTCTTGCCTCTCTGCGGTTGGGGGTGAGGGGTCCCTGATTGGTGCTCAGGGCCAATAACGATAAGGGCTTTGGGCGTTTTGCCACTTACCTGTCCTCTGAGCTTCCTGAGAATTCTCTTGGGCAGATCTGGTGGGCTGGTCAGGTGTTCATGGACTATCCAGTCGCACAACACCATTTTGTCTCTAAGGCTTCTTTCTCCTAAAAGGTAGTTTTGTGTCGTGCAGGTACGATCAACATGATCATGACTCTGAGTTTACGGTTCCTGAAAAAAATTCCACACCTTCGTGGTATCATCAGTAAGTGAGTAGCTCATCCCCCCATGGGGAATATTTTTAAGCACATTCATTTTATTTTAGGGGATGGAGGTGGGATAATATCAAGACCCATACTCTCTGATTCTAATAATAGTGTTATCGTGATAAAGTAACCCCATGAGTAGGATGTATAAGGATTAATTTAAAATAATGTATGCAAAGTGCATAGCACAGTTCCTGACCCGTAGTAAGTGTTCAGTAATAAAAATCAACAAGGGTTCTTGGAAAGTCACTCTAATAGATGCATGTGTTTGTATGCTTACATACAGTTATTAGTTATTTTAACCACTTGAACAAGTTAGCCAACATCAAACATATGTGGGAGATTTCCTAAACCAACAATTTAGGCTTGCGTCTTTCATAATTCATAGGAAATAAATACTGTAACGTTATATATGGGACGAACTACATACAACTATATTGTATGTTATAACATGTATTATATTGCATTATTACATAGTCATATGTTGAATAAAATATGTCATATATTAGTATATACAAGCTGCATTTACTAATCATTGTAAATATCATAGCTTATTTGTGGAGCTCTGTCTGTATGCCAGGTATTACACAAAGCACTTTACAAATGTGATCTCATTTGATCCTCCATCAAACTCTTCCATGTAGGTACCCCTGTTATTTTTGCTTTATGGATGAAGCAATTAGTTGTATGTGTTTGTGTGTGTGTCCACAGTGTATGTTTGTGCATGTGTTGTGGTGCCTTAAGGATCATTCCTGTGCTCACAGAGCTTCCAAGAGGACAAGCCAGGATTTGAGCCTAACTGTGTTGGAGTCCAAAATCAGTGTTCTGATTCTGTAAGCACCATTGTTTCTTCTCACTAGCTACTTATTTGCTGGGCTGTTCCACAGGCTGCCACCCACAAACTCTTCATCCCTCCAAAGAGCTTTGATGTTGACTGCAATCCTAAGTGTATATTCATTATTTACTCCTCTCAACAACTCTGCAAGGTAATAGACTAATTTTACTAATATCCTCATTTTACAGTTGAAAAAACAGAGGCTCAGAGAGATTAAATCACACAGCTCTTAAGTGGCAAAACCAGAATTGGCCATGAGTCTGATTTCAAAGTCCTTCATCCTCTTTTCACTTCACCACACCTATGCCCACACAACTACCACCCACCCACCAACTTGGAAACCTCTCCCCTGTGCAGGGTAGCCAACCAGGGTGAGGCTACCTCAATAGCTCCAGCCTCCTGATCGTGCATGTCATGGAGTTTAATTGAAGGGGAAAAGGACCAACCAATGAGTCAGTGGCTTGGCTCTCCTGGGAAGCCTGCTTTTGACCCTCTGCTCCAGCCCAGCCCTATTAAAATGATGAGCCCTGACAGCCTCGCAGCTGGAGGTATGGCCAGCCTGCCAGTGGTCTGATTGATGATATTTGTTACGGTCTTACCACTGGTTGTTATTGTTTTAGCACTTCATCCATTTCCCTTTAGATGGCTGGTGGTGGAGATTTTCATCAATGTCTTTTGATTAATCTCAAATAAAGAGGAAGCTAGCAGACACCAAACATGTTTGGAAGAATTTCAACCCCAATTAAGTGTGTACTGTAGCATGATTTGATTTGTGGGAGTCGCACAACAAGGAATTCAGAATAAACATATCTAACATGAAACCAGGGACTAAACTTAGGTGCTTAACACATGGAGTGTGTCATTATCCAGCCATTATCCAGCTTGTGCTCGCTGACTCTCCAGATGTTCATCGACATCCCAAAAGTTTTTCCACATCGACCATGAAAGTGGGACTCACCATGTGGGCTCTCCGTTTACTTGTTAAGAGAGTTTTAAGGAGGTCTGCTGTCTATTCCTTGATAAAACTGGGCAGTTTTAGTGCAAAATAAGTTCCCCATTGCTGTATCCCCTCATTTCCACTCGGGTCTGGGGAGACACACACAGTCTTGGTCTTGATGCACCTGAGGCTCACTAGTTAGAGAAGTATGTGTCAATTCTAGGGTCCTGCTTACGTGCCAAGTTGTTTCTTTACATTCTACCTCCCCCACCGTGAGCCACTCATGTAACATTCACCAAAAGGAAATTGCAAACTCAGCAGCTACTGAAGAGTTCATTTTTCCCTCCAATCAGTTCCACTGAACAACCAAGCATTTTTGGAGAGGTCATAGCACCATCAGTATTCTTTTAGACCTCTCTATTGTATATTCAACAAATAGCTATTGAACACCTATTACATAATACTGTCTTACGCTAATTTAATTTTTGCTCAGTGTCAATTTTTTCTTAATTTCTAATACAGGTTGAAATTCTGCTATTCAATGTTTAGTTTCATGGCAGTTTCTGTCTTACCTACTTACCATTCATTTTCTATTACTTGGTGCTTTAGCATTTTAGCCTATTTTCAATGAGTTTTTTGTTCCTCTAGGTCTTTTCCTTCTGGGTACTATAGTAAATTGTCTTCCAATTTTGGTTAATCTTGTGAATCTAGTGTTAGGGTCTCTTTTAATGGTCTGGTATTTTAATAGGTCTTATGTTAAGTTTTTTTTTTTTTCTTTTTTCTTTTTTGAAATGGAGCCTCGCTCTGTCACCAGGCTGGAGTGCAGTGGCACGATCTCGGCTCACTGCAACCTCCGCCTCCTGGGTTCAAGTGATTCTCCTGCCTCAGCCTCTCAAGTAGCTGGGATTACAGGTGCCTGCCACCACGCCCAGCTAATTTTTGTATTTTTAGTAGAGACGGGGGTTTCACCATGTTGGCCAGGATGGTCTCGATCTCCTGACCTCATGATCCGCATGCCTCGGCTTCCCAAAGTGCTGGGATTTCAGGCGTGAGCCACCACGCCCAGCCATGTTAAGTATTTTCTCCACTCTTTTCTTATTTTTAAAGAAGGAGGGATACAATGTTTTTCAAAGACAAAGTTTGTTTGTCTTTGATCTTCTTTGGATGAGCAACTGAACAGTGTGTTAGCACACACAGCTTCCAGACCCATTCTCAAACTCTAGGCTGGGAAATCTCAAGGGCTCCTGTTAGTTGAGCATACCTCACTCCCATCTCCTGACGCTGATCCTGGTGGAAGTCTTAGAAGACTGTAATCCTCAGCATGTACTGCTTCCAAGATGGCTTCTGAGAAGGAACCCTGCTTATTGTGTTTTACTTTAGGGGATTGTACCTTCCATCCACCTTCTTGGAATTCCCATCTCTGACTAGATACAGAAAAGAGAGATCTGGGCAGGAATGAAGGATGGATTAAAGGATTGCACCAGGCCTCAAAGTGTATCACCCACCTAGAGAGAGGCCCTCCGGATCCAGTTAGTATCTATGTTGGATTTCTGAGCCAGGGCTTGGATTTTGAGAGGGTGCAGGGACTTTGTATCTACTTCCTGTCTGTGTTGGGGGTAAGAGGGAGAAGCTAACTCTTATTTTGAGTGGTCATAGCACAAGGGATCTTGGATCATGCTCTTAATCCCATTTTTCCAGTCTTGCAGTTAATGAAAATTGATCCTGGATTCTGAAAATAGATTACTTAGTTCCTGTTTTGGTGGTGGCATAAGTTTTCAATTTTTTTGTGTGTCTTTATAAGTATTTTGTTAGATTTTAGGGAAATATTGAGTGATTAAGTGCCTCTAAGCCAGATGCCATTTTAAACCTAACTTTCTCTCAGTCTTCATTTCTTAAAAGTAAAAAGGCTTTTAGTTAAAAATATGGTTATGTTGATATCATTGTAGATAACGCATCATGTACATGACAGGAAAGAAAGGTCTATTCAGCTGGGACTCATTCTCTAAGGCAGAGAGATGGCTAATAAGGTTTCATGGAACAAAAGTCCTCATTGTCTGGAGAGACTGCATTGACAGAAAGACTACATTGATGAAACAATCTGATCTTCTAACCCATTCACCTTATGTGGAGTGATTCTGTAAATTGTAATGATCTAATAGCAGAACTTGGAAACACCTGAATGACAAAGCCAGGCAACCCCAAGAGCAGATTGTGTTTTCCTTGCTCAAGGGTCAGTTGCTGTGGGACGTTGACCAATTTCCCTGTCTCTCCTGAGGATTTGTGCTGCAGCTCATTTCAGGCATGTGTATTCAGCCCAGTATGACTTCATTACCAGGGGACACTTCCCACATGTGGGATGGGAAGAGGAGTGCCTTCCTCTAGTCACAAGGATGTTGACAGAGCTGAGTCTTTGCTGCATGGGAACAGCGTGTGGACAAATGTTTGGCACTGGAACAGGGCTTGGGCTCCAACATTTGAGTTGCTGAAGCCCAACGAAGTCCTGCAGCCAAATCCACAGAGTCCTAGCAGCTTGCTTTACAAAACTTGAATTTAACGAAGTGTCAGTCTAGACTCAGTTTGATGGACTGCTCTGCACACTGGTGATTTCAAGTAAGAGCTAAAGGATGAGTTTGGTTGGGTGGAATAAAAAGATATTTGGAAGTTTGTTTGCTCCTGTTGTTCTTCTCTTTTGCCAGAAGTCAAGGACTGTAAGCCTGGTTCATTGTGTTTTAGTAGAATAGCATGGATGGCTAAGAGGCAGGATCAAATTAAAAAAACTGAAATATCTTTAAAATTCTTTTTTTGCTGAGGCTACATATTGATTTTTAAATGCATTAAAGTAATTAGGTGTTGGGGCTGGACTAATAAGAAGTTGGTGGTATTGTGTCTGCTCACTGATACTCCATCATCTACGTAGCTCTCAGTAGAGAATTACATATGTGAGGATGCTAATTAGTCCTTCTCAGGGTTGGCATTGAGATTGTGTGGCCAATGATTGGAATGATGATCTCACAGAAATCATTAGTAGGAGCTAGAAAATGTGTATGCCTGTTTCCGTGTGCGTGTGCAGATTCTAAAAGTACAGCGTGCTCTCATTCACTCTGGTTGTCAACATTGTGGGCTGCCTAAGTGCTTTTTATCTTCCTGTATTTTTTTCTGTCTTATATCCATTTTACTTCCCTGCTCCACATAGAGAACGAGGAAGAGAAGGAAAAGCCTACAATCAAATCAGATTCTTGAGCTTATCTCTGGTGAATACCATCTCACCAACAGCTAAATCTGCAAATGGCATTTAGCCTCCTGCTATCTTCCTGGAGGCTGAGCCTTATGCTGATAGGAGAGAAAAAGATCAGGCCAAAAATCCTGTCTTGTCTACATTGTCCCTGATTTCAGGCAACTGGACTACTTTGGGTTGATTCTGGAATTTCCCCTGATGTCATATGAGTTTCTTTGGTGACACTTAGACTCTTGATTGGTCTCTCAAAATCTTGAGGTCATGCTTGACGAACGAGTACAAGTTGGGGTTTTCTGTGGTAACAACCTCAAAATCCCAACCACTCACCACATGAAACAGTTTTCATGGTTCAGCAAGTCAGCTGCAGCTCTGTTGGCTTGATTGGGATCAGCTGGAGTTGCTGCTGGACTATAGATTGGTTTGATACCTGCTCCATGTGTCTTCTCATCCTATCACCCAGTTGGAGGAACAGCCACAGGATGTCCTTCATGGAGCAGGTTGACCTTGTGAAGGAGGGCAGAAGGTTGGGATAAGTGAGAAAAATGCCTCTCTTAGAAGCTTCTGCTCAGAACTGGCACTCTGACATTTCCATTCACAGTCCATTGGTCAAAGTAACTAATTCACAAGTCCAAGGTCAATGGGGTGAAGCTGTATACTCTGCCTACTAGAAAGTATAGACATGTTACGTGAAAATGGGTAAAGGTGTGCTTCCCTATTATAGGGACAGAGCAAAGATTTGAAAAAAAGAAAATCCTATCCGACCACACTAACTATATAATGACCTGAAAAAAGGTTCACCATAACACACGCCTATTTTTACTACATATTCTTAGTTCCAAGGTAGTATAATAGGTAACATAATCACAGAAGAGTGCCTGTCTCAATCATGGCCTCATTTAATTTAATTTTCCTGGAAAACTGGGAAAGAAAGAATTCTTCCACTTCTCCCCACACCCAATGTCTCCATCTGATCATGTATGCACACTAGAGGACATACTCATTTGAATATAGAAGATTTATTGTTTCTCCTCTTCAAGGGGGTGTGTAGTGGAAATTGCTTGGGATCTGCTTTCATATGCACATGAGTTTCAGTACAACTCAGGAATTAAATAGCTAAGAGGAATTTGGGGCCCTTTATTGCACCTCCCCAGTCTCCACTTATTTATATATAGCATGGGAGACACAGGACCTTCTTCACTGCATTGCTCTGCAGATTAAATGAGATAATCTATGGAAATGATCTACTATGAGTCTCATAAAAATTAATTTCATTTCTCTTCTCCTAAATCTCATCCATTATCCAAGATCAACCTTATATTCCAATGTCTCCTCTAAACCACCTTTAACTTCCTCCAGAATTAACTGAGCTTCTTCTCTTCTGAACTTTTGCAGTTCTCTAAGGGAGGGATCCATAATCTGCTCCTGGGTTCATGAATGGATTTCAAAAGCTAATAGACTGCCGTTTTCTTCTCTGGAATCAATATGAAATATTTTGCATATGAACCATATGCATCTTCTGGGGAGAGACTACATAGTATTCATGTGAACTTCAAAATGGTATTGGATCGAGAATAGGTTCTGAACCATTGAGCAGAGATGAACTATTGACCCTTGTCATGTACCACCTTGTATGCTGGGTATTGTTGCATGCCATTAGCTCCCTTTCTTCATCTATATTGTGACTTTCTTGAGGGAACCAAACATATACTCCATGGCTTATGTATATTCTACAACTTGTAGCATACGCTGAACACTTGATGAAAATTCAATATTTGTTAATTACTCAAATAAGGGTTTTAAAAATACCATCATCATAACCACCAAGGTGACTCTAACAAGTGAAACATTTAACAACAATGCTGAAGGAATGTAGAGAAAAAATCACTTGAAACAAAAACAAGCAGAAAACTCTGATGGTAGCAGAATCAGTCTGTCTGCGGACCCCTTCTGGTCCTGGATGAAGGGTGCCAACAGTCCCTTGTACCATGTCCTACAATATGTCCATGAAACATTGCATCAGATGTGATTATACATATCTCCATGCTGATTAAAACTCATATTCTTACATTTTCTAAGAGAAATGTGGAATACTTTAGTGATTATAAGTATAGCTATAGGTTAGAACTGGAAGAGAAAGGCTGTTAGAGAAGTGACATTTTGACAGAATGTTGGAGTGAAGCAGAGTAAGTCTTGTTAGGGAACTCTGAGCTCTCTTTGCAAGCAGAGCCTCTCCTCATCTATAGATTGATGTTTGGGTCCAAATATAATTTGGGAAAAGGAAGAAAACAACAAATAATGATAAATGAAATTGTTTGTGCTTTTTCATCCTTTCCTAGGAAGCAAAAGAAATGTAGGGTTGAGATCATTAACCCGAATTATAAACCTCACCCAAAAATATTTTCTAGAAAATAAATTTCTAAACATTTAAGAATCTTTAACTTAATTGTAAGAACTGAGCAGGTTTGAAGGAGAAAGAATGGTCAGGAAACTCTAAAGAAGATGTAAGCATGTTGACAAAAGTTAGCGAGCAAGCGTGTTGTCAAAAGTCAAGGAGGTTTGTTGGTCCTTTGCCTCCTTATTGGTGATGACTTTCAAGATTCAGGTCTTTGATTCCACAAGATTTTCAAAGTGATTTTAGGGGACACATCATCAAGGGCAGCATGGCCATAGAATTCATAAGACACGCTCTCTACATAAAAATTCATAAGCATACATATTCTCAAGTCAATCCTCTAACACTTTCAGAGGGCCAGATTCCATATGCCTAGCAACAATTCTATTTTTTTGTGTGTTTTATCCTTCTTCTCAGCTTCCTTGCTAGGCTTTAGGGAATTAGCAGGACTTACCACCAATTGGATTGCAGAGCTTTTTGGCCCAGAGTGAGGCTTGCTATCATCAGGTATGTAAAATCTTGCCCAGTGTAGTCAGAAGTTAAAATCAAGCCATCATAAACCTGCAGGACTTATGACCCTGAAGGCCCTGGGGGAGTTTCTTGGACGAGACCTCAATGGAACTTTGCCCAAAACCCCAAATGGGAAATATATATGAACTGATTCTGTGCAGTGTGAAGGCTGAGGCAGCAGCAGAATGCTTTTACAGACTGATACAAGGATAGATTAGCACACATTTAATCCTAGGTTGGGGGTTTAGAGGAGTCAGTCTTCCTCAGTCCTTCCTCCCTGTTCGTTAATGTTAATAGTCCGGAGTGCTGGGTTTAATGGTAGTGGGCATTTTTCTTTTGTGACACAATTATTCTATATTTAAGCCAATTAGAAAGTCGTTTCATGAAGAGAGGGAGTGCCAGTGGGACACTAGTGTGGCTACAATTTGCTATAGGATTGTAGACTTCTAGTCTAATTGAGGTTGGAGAAATAAAAGGAAATTTTTAAATAGCTATCTGATGACAAAAAAAATAACATCACATTTAAAAGTATCTACACATCACTGCCTTTAAGAAAATCTGCTCCCATACAAACGTATAGAACAAATAAATTCAGAGCTATTGTTTATATTACACAAATTCTTTTTTTTTTTTTTTTTTTTGCTAGAGTTTCCATAAAGGATAAGTTTCCTGGTTACATCGAATACATATTTGATTTCCAATAATCCAATAATACCGCTTTTCAGGAACCAACTTATTGTGAAGAGAAAGCTACTTTGCAAAATTATTAGAGCAAAAAGATGCCATGTTGAAAAAAGCCTCAAGAAATAAAGACAAAGTTCTTGGCCACAGTTTGTGAGAGACAGGGGAATTACAGGCTGTTTTGAGAAAAGCTGAAGAGACAGTCTCCCATGGCGGAGTCTGTCAAGATGTCGTATGCAAATGTCATGATGTATTCTGAGTGTGCAAATAATCTAGCGGCACACTCTAATCAGAAAATACAGACAACACCAAAGCTGTAGGGTTTATCCCTCTTGGTTAGATTCCATATTCAATTCTATATTCCATCAGAGTTTAAGCAAAAAACAAAAACACATTAAATTACAGGTCTCTGAATGAGTATTAGAAACCTCCTTTCGAAAATTTGTCTCTAACAATGGAGAGTTCTTTGCAGTTGGGCACCTCTAAGACATACAACACACACTTACCTTAACTTCTAGGTATTTTAAATTGTCTGACTTATCATAAGCTCTAAATATCAGCACTTGTAGCTGGAGATTTCTACATCCTATTCCCATGCCAGTGGAAAATGAGAAGTAAATATATTTACATACAGTGGCTCTGCCAGAAGAACTAGAAGCAATGAACCTTTCTCCCAGAGGCACTGGGAAATTGCCCAGGGATTGCTCTAATAGAGGTGGGTTGGCTACGTCAAGGCCTGCAATCTACCTGATTTTTTTCTTTTGGGGCTTTTCTTCTCATCTTTGAGAAATGCTCTGGAAGTCATTAAGAAGAATAAAAGGATAACCTAGGATTTGGAACAGTGCTGTTGTTAGACAGACAGTGTGAGTTCAGGGTGGCCTGCTTAGAGTGCAGACTCAGATTTTAGTTCTTGGATGTGTCCAAGATCTCTAATTGCTTGGACTTCTTTGCCCTTTAAGATTTAAGCAACAATGGGTATGAACCCCATGAAAAATATAGTAGTATATCTGGTGTCTTTTCTAACATATCTAGAGGCTCTTGGTGGTGGTGGTGATGTTGGTGGCAGTGAATAGGGGTGTGTGTGTGTGTGTGTGTGTGTCTGGTGTTAGGGCAGGGGACTTTCTCTTGGTGCTCTGACTCTGAATTATTACTTGCAATGAATTCTCTGGGCCATCTTGGCTGTTTCCTCCTGTTCCTTTCCTTCACCATGTCATCCCACTGGGCACAATCCCATCCCCCTTTGTGTCCAATCCTCCCCTGCCTTCCCTCCCTTCCCTTCCCCTCCCTTCCCCTACCCTTCTCTCTCTCTCTCTCTTTCTTTCTCTCTCTCCCACCCCACCTTCTTTCTTTTCTTTAGAGACAGAGTCTCACTCTGTTGCCCACACTAGAGTGCAGTGGCCAGTGGTGTGATCATGGCACACCGTAAACTTAAACTCTTGGGCTTCGGTGATCCTGTAGCCTCAGGCTCCCAAGTAGCTGAGACTGCAGGTGTGTGCAACTACACCTGGCTATTTTTTAAAAAATGTTTTTTGTAGATATGGGGGTCTCACTTTGTTGCCCATGCTGGTCTTGAATTCTTGGACTCAAAGGATCCTCCTGCATTGGCCTCCCAAAGTTCTGGCATTACAGGCATGAGCCACCATGCCCAGCCCTAATCCCTTCTCAACCAAAGTGCGCTGACTGTATGGCAGTCTTCACTAACAGTTTGGGACTAGGATTACACAATATAAAAATCTATAATGGAAACTTCACATCTTTCTTCTTACTGTGATAATTCCTGGAACCAGGAATATTTGCTTTGCCATGTTGCTGTTTGTCTCCAACTCATTCATCATTCTTCCTTCTCCTCTCCAGCTCATGTCTCATCCTTCTCTCCAGCTTACACCTCATTCTCCTCCCCTCAAATTCTTATTTATTTTATATAGAGATCAGTTTAGCTAATATTATGTTTCAGTTCAAACCTATCTAAGTCTGTCCTTAACTGCATTCCCAAATAAGCCCAAAGACGGTTCTTTCCTTGGAGGAATTCTACTACTTAGCGATAGTAAAGTAATTATGTTCAATGAATTCTCTCTTCCCAGCATCACTGCACACCTATCACTCAATCAGTAAAAGTACATTTTGAACATCTATGGAAGCCAAGACTTCAGAGTCTTTTAAATCTACTTCCTCTGTAGGCATGGCAGAGCAGTGGCCCTTTTTTATTGACCACACCAGCCGTGGAGGTGAAATCATAAAGGCCCTGGGATTTCTCCTCTGCCAATTCTAACCCCATTTTGTGCTAATGAGTAGAAATGGGAAGAACACAGGTTTTCCTTGTCAAGTTCTTTTCTAAAATCTCCCTGTGGTTCCAAGAGACCCCTGCTCCCTGTTTCTTCCACCACGCCACGTATGAAGCTGGGGACCAAGTACTCTGCTAAGAACTGTTGCTGTTCTCATCCCAGTTGAGAACTGATGCTTCCCTGCATTGGGCCAGGCCCAGTGATGACACTTCAATTAGAGCACCACGAAGTGGCTTTAATCCATTCCAAATAACTCTGTTTACACAAACAGCATTCAAAGTCTGTTTCTAGGTCCATTTGTTCCCAAGTCCTTCGTGATTAAAGGTTTAAAACTAGGCATGTAATTTTCTTTTGTGCTAACATATGTTCTTTTGAGCATCTTCTTTTGAAAAAGTAAAACCAGTTTTGCCCATATTGAAGTTCTAATGTAATAGGACCATCTTCTACCTACACCCCACCGCACCTTGCCTCATGATCTCTGCAAGTTATATCCGGAATACTTTAGCAGCTACTGTATCCACACTCATCAACACTCCCTTTGATGCTGTGCAGTCCATCAGAAACACTGAAAAATAAAAGTTTCTGTAGCAGACTTTTACAGTTAAGTTCTCCATCATGCTCCTGGACTTCTTCTGAATTAACATTAGGCTAATAGATTTTGACATTAAGAGTAAATATTTCATCCTCCACTTTTCTTTGTTTCTTGCTGATTACTGTCCTTTGCTTAGAGATTTTCACCTTGCATGATTTGTTCTTCGTCCTTCAAAATTACTTGTACAGATGAATGGCTCATCCTGGGAATCTGTGGACCTCTGTCGTTTTCTTGGCAATTTGGATTTTTTTCTGCTTTTGAATTTTGTTTCCATGGCCATCAGAACATTTTTAAATAGCACTTTGAAAGTTCTTGGTGCCTTTGTACTTATCAAAAATTAAGCACTTCCAGAAATAAAAGAAACAGAGGCATCACAGTGTAGACTAACAAACGAGAGGACTGTTGAACCTAAAATATGAGCAATGACAGCACCTGTGGTAGCAGGCAGAGTTCGTAGTATTTTGCTTTGGGATATCACTTGATGACTGTGAATGTATATATGCTGAGAGTTTGTAGGGGGATGACATCTGTATATCTCTCTTGCTATTGAAGCATTCTTGAGAGGATCCCTAACGGCTGGGTCACTGTGTAACGTCAGTCTGTAATATGTAGTTAGCATTCCTAATTGAACCTCTATTCTGAGATGTACTCATTAATTCTATGCCTTAAGAGCAGCTAGTTTATTTTCCAGGGACCTTCCTCTCAGCTGCTGGCAGAGATTTCTTCTGCCTGCCTTTGTCCAGGAGGCTTCACCTCTGAGACTTCGTGAGGAGTGGAGAGAGGAGGTAAAGAGAGCATTATCAATATTTCTACTGAAGTATCTTTCTTCCAGATGGCAGAGATGCTCTCATGCACATAACTTTCCTAGTGGCCATGCTCCTTATTCCAGTGTTCCCCAGAAATATTGCCAGATTAGGTTCTTATCATGATCCTTGCTAGAGTGAATTAATATCAGGACTTGCAAAGTTTTTCCTCTATTTCTCTCTAGACTAGACAGTCCCCAGTGACAAAATAGAATCACTGAAGATTTCACTGAAGATTCAGTAAACCTTTGCTATTCCACTGCCTCTCCATCCCAGGGGAATCACAGAGGGAGTAGGAGTAGAGGAGCTAGATGTAGTCCCAGACCAAACCTTGTCTTGGCCTGCTTGATACACTCATGAACCCATAAGAGTTCTGTTTCACTAATTTTATAGGATTTTGCCCTATAGCTTAACCCAAAAGATGCCAAGGCTTTACAATAAATAGTTACCCTGGAAACTCAGGGAAACCCAGGATAAACCCAGAGTATGAAATCATTGTTTAGAATGTCCCTGGCCTGCTCTATCTAATTCTTGGTTAACGCTTTTTGGACGGGCTCTCTGTTGCTGAGGAGGAGGCCTGAAACTGTACATGCTTCATAAACAGATGAGAAGTCAAACTGCTTCAGAGGGGACCCAAACTACAGGCAAAAATCCCTGCTTTGAACTTCATCAAAATGCTTTGTTTAGCTTTAATTCCATACCAAATAAAATGCAAACCTATGCCTGTCTCTCCTGTGTACTCTTAGCCCCATACCTGTTAACATCTTTGGTTCTTCAGTTTCACAAGTGTCACATGCACATTTCTTGGACCCATTTTGTTCTGGGAATTATTGCATAGCACCACCTCATATAAAAAACAAGAAAGAACAGTAAGACAGCTGTGTGCTGTCATGATCACGATTAGTGTTTCTATGGCATATTTTTCCACCCTTTTACTTTTAACCTATTTGTGTCTTTACATTAAGATTCATGTCTTTAAATAGACAGCATAGAGTTGATCTTGCTTTTTTATTCATTATGAAAGTCTCCACCTTATTGTAGTTTACTACATTCACACTTAAGGTGATTACTGATCTGGTTGGGTTGAAGTCAGCCATCTTGCTGTTTGGTTTTTGTCACATCTGTTCTTTCTTTCTTGTTTTTCCTTATTTTCTGCCTTCTTTTGGATTAATTGAGAATTTTTCATGATTTTATTTTATGACCACTTAACAGGTCATTATCCAGAACTTGTTGATTTAGTTTTTAACAGTTGCTCTAGATTTACAATCTTCCTCTTAAAATTTTCGCTTTCTATTTTAAAATGATACTACACTATTTCATGCTTGAAGAAAGAACCTTACCACAATATATTTTCATTTCTATTGTCATTACTTTGGCTATTAAGGTCATACATATTATAAAATCCCTAATACATTTTTCTTATTTTTACTTTAAACATATGTATGTCATTCATTTCACAATACATTTCTACTAGTTTTGCTTTATCTTTAAGTAAAATAAAAATGGACAAGTTTTAAATATTTATTCAAATACCATTGCTAGAGTGCTCATGCTTTGACTGGAAATGAATTCTATCTGATTTTTCTGTTTGTCTAAAAAAGTCTATATTGCTGCTTATTTTAGGAAGATGTTTTTGCTTGATTTGGAATTATAGGTTGATAGGTATTTTTTTCTGTTTTCTTTCCAACTTTTAGCATGTTAAAGATGTTATTCCTTTGTCTTTGAGCTTCATAGTTACTGCCAAGAAATCTATTGTATGTGTTACCCTAGTTCCACTTAAGTAATGCCATCTTTTTTTCTCTGCTTTTAAGATTTTTCTTTTATGCTTCTTTCCCCCACCCGCCCTCTCCGACAGAGTCTTGTTCTGTTGCCCAGGCTGGAATGCAGTGGTGTGATCTCAGCTCACTGTAACCTCCACCTCCCAGGTTCAAGCCATTCTCCTGCCTCAGCCTTCTGAGTAGCTGGGACTACAGGTGTGCACCACCACACCCAGCTAATTATTTTCGTATTTTTAGTAGAGATGGGGTTTCACCACGTCAGCCAGGCTAGTCTCTTGACCTCAAGTGATACATCTGCCTCGGCCTCCTAATGTACTGGGATTACAGGTGTGAGCCACTGTGTCTGGCCTCTTTCATGACTTTTTAAAAGAAATTTGATTAGTATGTACTGGACCTTGAACTATTTTTTCGTTTTTATTTTGTATATATTTTTCTTTGGGCTCACTGAGCTTTTTGTGTCATCAGATTTGGAACAAATTTCGGCCATTATTTCTCCCAAAATTTGTATTCTTTCATTCCTTCTCCCCTTCTCAGGCTATAAAATACATGTTAGACCCCTTGTTATTATCTCACAAATCAGAGAGATCACTCATTGTTTCAGTCTTTTCCCTACATTTCTGCTTCATTTGGATAATGTGTGTTACTGTGTCTTCAGTTTCATTAATCTTTTCCTTTGGAGTGTTTAATCCTTTTCATTTAAGATATTGTTGTTTTTTTTCCTAGATATTTCATTTGGTTTAGTTTTATATTTTCCATTTATATCCTCACTACGTTCATGTGTTTTATTAAATATTTGAATGTGGTTAAAATAGTTTTTAATGCCTTTGATTGCAATTTTATCATTTTCATCATTTGCTGATCTATTTCTTTTGAAACACTTTTATCTTGGTTATGAGTTGCGTTTTCCTGCTTTGGAATGTTTAATAATATTTTATTTTATGCTGAAACTTGTGAATATTATGTCACCAACTGTCTGGATTTTGTTGTCACCCTTTAAAGAGTGCTGGCATTGCTTTTGTGGTTCAGTTTGCTGTTCATTTTGACCCTCTTGAGACTTTTTAAAACTTATTAAGGTGATTCTACAGTACCCTACACTGTTACGGATATTTAAATCCCCTTCTAAAGTATAGCCTTTCTGGTGTTTCTACTGAGTGCCTGGAGTGGTAAAGACTTTCTGTCTCATCTGGTCAGGAATATAATACCTCCTGTTATTTTTTATTTCTTATATATTTTTCATTGGGTTCATTGAGCTTTTTGTATCATCAAATTTGGAGTAAATTTCAGCCATTATTTCTCCCACAATTTTTATTCTTTCACTCCTGTTCTCCCCCGTCTCAGACTGTAAGTATACATATGTTAGACCCTTTGTTATTATCTCACACATCACAGAGATACATTCATTTTTCATTCATTTTTCAGCTCAGCCCCAGGTGAGCTCTGTAAACCATTCAGTTCATAACTCCTGAGCTGCTGCTTGCCTAGTCCCGTGATTTTCCATCCTGTGCATAAGATCTTAGTATTCAACTAAGACTCAAGAGGACCTCTATTCAGATTTCAGAAACTATTTTTCTGCACAGGGCCCTGCTCCCAGAACTTCCTTGCAACTTTTTGCTATTTTAGGCTTCCTGAAGTCTGATTCTCTCTCTCCTTAACTTAGCAAACCTGCCATGCCATGCTTGGGACACCCCCACCTTCCTTCATGGTCTGCAATGTGATTTCAGGCAGAAAGCAAGCATAACTGTAGGAACCATCTCTCTTTTTCCCCTTTTCTCAGAAATCAGAATACTGCTGTGCATGTTGGCCAATGGCTGCGAACAGCTGTTTCATTTTTTTCCCCCTAGCTTTCTAATTGTTTATTTGGGGAAGGAAAATCAAATCTTTGCTACTTCTTCATGGCTGAAAGTAGACTATGCAGCTGGGATTAAATTCAGAATATAGAGGTGGAGCGAGTATTCTGAATTATACAGGTGGGCCCAATGTAGCCACAGGTGTCCTTTACAAGTGAAAGGAGGCAGAAGAGCCAGTCAGAGAGAGAGAGAGATGATGACAGATGCAAAGAGTGGAGTGGTTATGAGAAAAGGAATTCTGGCAGCCTCTAGAAACTGGAAAAAGCAAAGGAGAGATGAGAGATTCTCCCCTAGAGCCTCCAGAAGGAATGCAGCTTTGCCAACACCATGATTTTGCTGTTGTAAGGCACATTTCAGACTTCTGCTGTGAGAAAATAGATTCGTGTTGCTTTAAACCACTGTTTGTGACTATTTATTACAGCAGCAATAGGAAACTAATACAGTTTTTAAGAAAACATTGTTCCTGTATTAGGCTGTTCTTGCATTGAAATGCCTGAGACTGGGTAATTTATAAAGAAAAGAGGTTTAATTGGCTTGTGGTTCTGTAGGCTTTACAGGAAGCATGATGCTGGCATCTGCTCACCTTCTGAGGAGGCCTCAGGAAACTTACAATCATGGCAGAAGGAGAAGGGGGAGCAGGTACGTCACATGGCTAGAGCAGGAGCAAGAGAGAGGGAGGGATGCCACACACTTCTAAACAGCCAGATTTTGCAAGAAGACATTCACTATTGCAAGCATGGAACCAAGGAGATGGTGCTAAACCATTCATGAGAAATTCAGCCCCATGATCCAATCACCTCCCACCGGGCCACACCTCCAATACTGGGGATTACAGTTCAACGTGAGATTTGGACAGGGACACATACCCAAACTATATTAGTTCCTGTCTTCAAGGACACTATTGTTAATGCTGAAACATTTCTCAATTGGCCTATGTTAGCCAGTCTCAATTCAGTGCACTTTGTGCTACATTAATATTTTCTAATTGCCAGGCAGTGGGGCACTACCATCATGACTTTACTATAGCTTTGTAGCACCTGATACCACACCAGTAACTTTTGTGGGCAGTGTAACGTGAATCACCATGATACCAGGTACTGCAACCTCTCCGTTAGCAAATATGTTTATGTAGATCACAAGTTTGAAATTCTAATTATATTCTTTTTGAATGTGCATTAAAATATGCCATATCTGGCCAGGCGCAGTGGCTCACATTTGTAATTCCAGCACTTTGGGAGGCTGAGGCATGTGGATCCCTTGAGCTCATGAGTTCAAGACCAGCCTGGGCAGAATGGCAAAACCCCATGTTTACAAAAAAATACAAAAATTAGCCAGGCATGGTGGCATGTGCCTGTAGTCCCAGTTACTTTTGAGGCTGATGTGGGAGGATCCCTTGAGCCCAGGCAGTGAAGGTTGTGGTGAGCCAAGATTGTGTCACTGCACTTCAGCCTGGATGACAGAGCCAGACCCTGTCTCAAAAAAAAAAAAAAAAAAAGCCATATCTACAAAAATTATTCTCCCACATATCCCCATATATGAATTACAAACCATCAGTGATGCACATCAATAATTTGGGACACCCAGCTGTACTCCACCCAGTATTTAGCAGGATTTTCACATGCTGGAGCTTTATGTTGGAGACTGTAGCTTGCTTTGATACGGCATGGGTTAAGCAGCAGGACTACCCACCAGTATAGCAACAATGATGGAAAGATGCCAGAAACCTGGACTCTTGCTGATCTCTGATGCTATTAGGCACCAATCTTTAATCAACTCTCCTCTCCTGAGAGCTTGTAGATAGGTGTAATTTGGAAGAGAAGCACAGGGTCTTGAACTGTTTGAAACACTCCCTCCCGCAGGCAGACTCTCTCAGTCACTCCATGCTAATGCTTTTCTTGAATGAAGAATAGTAGGGGGAAGAAAAAAAAATTTTAAAAAAGGAGATCTTATGTCAGCAAACTCCTGGAATTTGGTGTTGATTTAGGTAAACTTGCCAGATTCTGGCATATGCTAAATAAAACAATGAGCTAGAGCCTGTGGAAGACACAGCCCAGTTGAACACATGATGCAAAGCTTTTCCAAATTTTCTGCGGGAATGAGTTGGAACATACAAGAGGCCATAGATTCCAGCTTTAGCAATTACACAGTTGATCACACCAGGCCTAACTGAATTTGGCATGACTTTGAGGGCTGTGGTTTTCTTATACTTGTCTCCCTTGCCCCCTCATGCAGCATGCAGGGTAAGACATTCCCAGACAATCTCTGCACTGTATATGCCACACTTATTCTTCCACCTCAGGAACACTGTATTCTCTTCTCCCTCATCACTGATGAACTCCACAGTAACCACAGTAAGGAAGATGTTATGAGTCTTCATCCTGTCCCTCTTGGTCTAGTCTAGCAGAAAGAAGACAAGAGCCATAAAACCTAAATTACCCACCTAGTTTAGCCACATACTCACTATGTGACCTTAAGTAAGATCCCAAACTTTTTTGAGTCTCTTTCCTTATCTACAAAATGTCAACAATAATACCTTAAAATGTTAGTAGTTCAAATAAAATTATATGATGAATAAAGGGAAAAATTATGTGAAAAGTATTTGTAAATATCTGATAAAGTGCCTTTCTTTGCTCCATTATTGCCTGGAAACAGATTGTCCTGTAGCGTCTCTGTAGGCAAATATCTTAATTAGTGATTCTTTTATTTTCACAAATGTGGAGAAGAGTGGAGAAATATCAGATCCTGTTGTTTCTGTCTTAAGACACTTGGTTCATATTTTCACTTTGAATCAACATCATCTGGCCACAGTTTACGTTTCTGACTTTATTTCCTTTTGCCTTGGACCTATCTAGCCATACCAGCCTCACACATAGCAAAGTCATTTCCAATTCATAGCCTTTACAGGTTAGACTTGCTTTGACTGGAACTGTCTTCCTCCCGCATAGATGGCTCCTTGCTTAAATCTCACCTTCTCAGACACCCTTTCCTCTATTGCTGTATGTAAAGGGATCCTCTTGTTTCATAATCCTTTATAACAGTGCCTGCTATATTTCTTTCGTGTGGCTGATCATAAACTCTAATTAATCTGCATGTCAATTTCATGGTCAGTATATTATCTGTTGTCAGTAAAATGAAAACTCTGTGATTTTCGCTTTAGATATAATGAAGAAAGCTCAAAGAAGCAGGCATTCATTTTGGCAAAAGACCCCTCAGTGCTTTGAGGAGGGGCATGATGCTGTGGTGAGTTTTGAATCTTCTTCTGGGTTTCTGTTCAAGAGGATGCAGTCCTTAAAGGAACATAGTAACGTGGTATTCTTCCTCAGCACCCTCAGCATCTAGCCCAGGGCCTGGCACATAGGCCTCAGTATGTTGTGGTTTGGACAGAATGAAACCTGCCTCTCTTTTCTGTAATGGACTGCCCAGTGAGTGCATAGCTGCTCCCCTTATCCAAGAGGGCTAGCAGCTCATGTTGACCTCACTGCCAACCTCAGTAACTCAAACTTTGATTACTCTTCATTCCTGGGAACGCCTTTCACTTCTCCCCACACTGGCTTGCACCAAATCCTTGAGTCTGTGCATAGGCAGCAGGGACTTTCCAGCTTCTGTACTACTAACTTCAGGGAACACTTAGGAGAACTTGTTAAACATAGAAATAATCGATGATAACACTCACAATAACTTGAGCTAAAACATAGTCTAACATGCAGCAGGGACTATTCCAAGAGTTTTGCATATATTAATTTATTTAATCCTTACAATAACCCCATAAGGTAGTTTACGATTACTTCTTCCATTATACAGCTGAGGAAACTGTGACATAGAGGGGCTAAGTAATTTGTCAGTGACAGAGCTGGGCCACAGCCAGGACAGTCAGGCTCCAAGGACTCTGTGTTTAGCTGTTCAGCTATAAACATTGCAGTTCTTCAAGACAGGTCTTCTGGGCTTATCATCAGCCTTCTCTAGGCAGATGGTATATTTAGCCTTTAACTAAATGTTAAATGTTTTATTTATGTAAGTAATGCATGAGATAAATTCTTCTATAAAGCAATTAATACATTCAAATAAAGTAAAATTCCCCTTTGACCATCTTTTGTAACTCTAAATGGCTCCTTCCTTCTCCAAGGGCAGCCATTGTACCCAATTTTGTGTTTATCCTTCCCAAACATTTCCTATACATTTGTATGAACCTGTGTGTCAATCAAACGTACAAAATATTGCTGTGGTTTCTTTATCAATTGTGCATATATAGTAACATGTACAAATAACAATAATTGTATATATATTAGGCCCTTCCTCTGACAATGTACATTTAAGTGGTCTATGCCAGGTACAGGGTTGATATTCAGCTGGTACACAACAGTATGGCCATGGCTATAGCTGCAATTCTGAAACACTTCTGTAATAATTTGGTAAATAGGCCCTACTGCTCTCCTGGGACCAGGGCCAACTTATTCATTAGGCACACTAGGCACAATGCCTGAGGCCCATAATGCATTCAGCCCCCCACCCAAATATTTCAATTTTAGATTTTTAAAAATAATAAGAAAAAAATGAACATAATAATGAATATAAAATTATGAATCTAGCCAAGATTGTATCTGTCTTTTTACCAACATAGTCATAAAATATAATTTTTGATATAATTTATATAGGACGGGGTCCACAGAGGGAAAAGTACCTAGGTCAGTACCTAGGGCCCGGCCTGGGTCCTCCCCATGGTCCAGCAAGTACAGGGCCACTATCTGCCAAAGCACGGGTTTCCTGAGCCCTCTCTCTATGTTTAGGCTGGAGTTCCTAGGTATTAGGACTGGTCAAGGTAGTTCTATATGTATGAGTAAAATTTTTGAGTATCATTCATAGCCACATATATTCCAAAGAAAAAAACATGCTGGCTCATGCAGGGATATTTCTGATGCAAGGATCAGAAAACTATGCAAATGTGCCTAAGCCAAATTAATGGTGTGTGTGGGAGTCTAGAGCCGAAGAGCAACCAGGCCACATGGGGGCCTGGAACAGCATTAAAAGAGTTTCCAGAGAACCCAGTGGCTACCCCTCTCTTCCTTTTCAGGCCATGTGGCCTCTCTTCTGCATCCCTTGGCTTATCTGCTTCCTCCCTCTTTCTTTTTGGTCCAGATTTTCACTTCTGCTTTAGAGCTCTGCCATAAATGTGATGCACCTCCCACAAAACAGTCTTGGTGTTTTTCATTTCAGATTCATATGTGAGACAGAATCTATTTGGCCTAACTTAGGTCAGATGTTCATTGCTCATCTAGTAAGCTAGGGCCACAGGCCGAGGAAACGGCAGCAGAGGTGGAGTCTGGTGGTACTTGCATAGACACTCCAGAATGTCAATGTCATCCCATCCTTTGATTATCCAGTCAACACACCCTTCTGCCCACACACACAATTTTGTTGATCTTAACGTTGGTCTTGCTTAACATGGGCTGGCCTTTTCATAAATAATTACAAATATATTCCCTCCATTATCAGGAGCAGCAACCCACAGTCCCTTCCAGCTAATGCATGCAGAGATCATGCCATGGGCCAAGACTCTGAGAGTGCACAAACTTCCCCTGAGGATGTTTGCTCCTGAACCCAAATTAACTCGTCAACCACTGATTTGTTAAATGATCGTCTTAACTGCCATATATAAAATAGTGGATGAAAAGAATTTTAAAAAGTAGAAATTTTAAGTATATAGTTAGTCTTTGTATAATTTAGCAGCAAATATGGATGTACAGGTAGAGGTGATAGACCCTATTTCTACAATTGGTCATAAGGCTCTGGCTGGTATTTGCAGTTTAAAGAAATTATAAACTAAAAGAACATTCTTTCCAAGTTTGTAACGAAAAATTAAGAAGTCAGTTGACTTTTCTTCCAAAGTATTTTCATGTCTTCCTTGAAACGAACTTGCTTTATCTTAGCATGTCTTGAGAAGTACTGTTATTTATATGGTAAAGCCATCATTTTGTCTGGATTTATAGTGTGAAGAGTCACTAATCTTTTTACTATCTTAAGACCAAATGAACACAACTTCAGTTATTGCTCTATGAAATCTGTGATTTCTTCTAGGCATCTACTCAGAAACAAGGGAGAACTGACCCCACAGTTCTAGGGCCCATAATACATTCAGCCCCCCACTCAACAAATATTTCAAAAATTTTAAATTTTCAAAAAAAATTAGAAGAAAAAAATGAACATAATAATAATGAACATGAAATAATGAATCTAGGTAATATTATATCTGTCTATGTCCTCTGACATTTGGGTAGACTAAAAACTTAAGCTTCAAATTTATAAAGCTAATAAATCTAAGGTGGCAATGGGAGGGGCATTTAATAAGGACTGAATTTACAAGGTTAGAGAACTTTGTTTCTAACTATAAAGGAAAGCCTGAGAGGATAACTCAATGTGGCTGTAATATACAGCTGAATGGAACTGTTTCATTAATTACCTATAGATATCTGAATATGATATATATTTATTAAGGAAGCAGTTCATAAGATACAACTCTGGACTTTAAAAATTTATAATCTAGTAGTCTATGGAATCTGCAACTTCACCAAAAAGTCAAAGATAGTACTTGAATATAATTCTAAAACTTTTATTTTCTACCCTGTAACACAGATGGTGCCATATAACTCTGTAATGAAGGGTAATGTTGTAGGATAAAGTCTTGGTGGAAATATTCTTTTTGTTTTTCCATAAGGATGGACGGAATATAGGAATGTATGTAACGTTATTGTAAGACCACATGTGCTATATACAGTGACTTGGCACAAGGCACCTGGCTTACAGGTGCTCTGGCAAGTGGTGTTGGGAAGGCTTCTTTCCTTTTGTATTTCTAATATCATGTGCATGAAATGATTTTAATGTGTTTTTTTGTGTTGGAGTCTATACTGCAGGCAGTCCCTTTCGGCTAAGCAGTTTGCCTTTGAATGTGGTTCCCGGAAACAGGTGACAATCTCATTTTCTTTCTTGAGAGGATCCTTTGTTCTGGGTGGTGCCCGGGATTGCTAGCTGGAGCAGTTCTCTTTTCCTTTTCATCAAAATTGAGGAAGGAAAATGTGAAAACAAAATAAATCAAAAAGTTACCTTAGAAAAGATAAGATTCAGAAAGGTAGTTCTAGTAAGATCATTCATGCCAAAGCAAGTGCGTCATGAAAGATTAGTAAAAATTTTATAAATGACAAGGCAATTGTACAGATTCTTAACAGCTTGTATCCGGAAGTATTCCAGTGTTTGTTTTTGAATCAAATGTATGCAGCTTTTGTTGTTGGAATGCAATCAGCCTACAGGGAAGAAGATGGTCCTGTAATGATATAGCCAAACATAAACTACAGGGGATGTTGCAGAAGGCATTTGCCTTACCTTGATGCCTTGCTGCTCCGTTGGAAACGCATCTGCCTGGAACATGGCCATCTAAGGGCTGATCTTTCAGCATGTGAAATAAAGTGAGGAAGGGGAAAAATAGCCATCCATACAACCGTGCTGAAATAAAACTGTTCTTCGTTAGAGTCAACCATTCCCCATCGTGCATTCCCCTTCGATGATGTAAAGTCGTTCGGGTGTGCGAAGCCATACCATGAAGCACAGGAAATAGTTTAAATCTTTGGAAATGTTTTTAGGTTAAATAAATGGGGAAATGACTGTAGTTAAAGTTACCAACCACTTGAGAGTAATTTTTACTGGCAGATTTTTTTTTTTTTTTGTTAGTTTTCAGTGTTCCTCTGAAAACATACACACAACCAAGGTATATTGTTATAGCCTGCTCCATGGGTACAGGATAGGCTTTTAAAAGAGGTGACTGTCTGTCCTTTGATTTCTTTCAAACTCAACTTACACATAGGCAGCCTTTTGGGAATACCAATTACTGAGTTTGGTACATTTATCTGATCTGAGGGTGTGACTGGAGATTTTTATATGGATGATGATAAACAGGTGAGATTTTAGGGGTTTTTGGTAAACGTCTATTATTGCCTTCAGTAAACCCAACAGACACATGTCTGAGTTACTTTCATGGCAATAGTACATCTATTTTGTCAGCTCTTCAGATATAATGAAGGCAAGGAAATCATGGAATATAGTTTTGATGACAAAATCTGAATTCAAATCAAGACAGAAAGAAGCTCATTGGCTAAAATTACTTGAAAAGCTGTAGTGTTCTCTAAGGCAGAAGTAACCAACATGCTTATTTGGCCTAAAAACAGCTATTTTTATACCACCTTTCTGACCACCAACTCTGGATGGTCCAGGCAAATCGAGCTTCTTGTTTCTCTCTCTCTCTTGCTTTTTTTTTTGGCGGGGACGCAATATCCTGATGTTTGACTGCCTGATCTCCAAAGAGTAAGGTAGGGAAGGTAAAAAATTAATTGCAAGACACCTTTTTAAAATAGTTCCAATTCTTAGCCAGTACTGTGTAGACGTCATTATTCTGACTTATGGCACATATCATATATTACTATAACTATATGTCATTGTTTCTATTAGTCCCACTAGCCTTAGGGACACTGGATCATGTTCAATTCTCTATTCCTAGTACCTAACGGATTGCTTATAAATAACAGGTTCTTAATGTTTGTTGAACAAATAAATAAACAAATAATAAAAGGTAAAGTATAAGGTTAAAATATGGCTGGGTAACTATGCCAACCCATTACTATGTTAAAATATGTTATTTAAAAGACCCAGCAGCTTTATTGAAATATAATTTATCATAAAATTCACTTGTTCAGAATTCACTGGTTCAAAATTCACTTGTTAGCATATTAACAATGTTGTGAAACTATCATCACTCTCTGATTTTAGATCATTTTGACCATCTCAAAAAACAAAACAAAGCAAAACAAAACAACCCAACTGTGACCATTAGCATTCATTCATTCTCCATATCCTCCTCCCCTCAGGCCCTAGCAACCCT
The DNA here is from genome assembly GCF_000001405.40 of Homo sapiens. NCBI lineage: Eukaryota > Metazoa > Chordata > Mammalia > Primates > Hominidae > Homo > Homo sapiens. The sequence goes on from NC_000009.12 coordinate 17,882,915, forward strand.
AATCTATTTTGTCTCTATGGATTTGACTGTTCTAGACATTTTATGCTATTAGAATCACATAATACATGGTCTTTTGTTCTGGTTCCTTTCACTTGGCATGTTTTCAAGGTTCACATGAATCAATACTTTATTCCTTTTCATACTTTTTTATAACTACTGGATGGATATACCACATTGTCTGTCCATTCATCAGTTCATGGACATTTTGGGTGTTTCCACTTTGTGGCTATTATGAATAATGAGGTTATAAACGTTCATCCCTAAGTTTTTGCATGCATGTATATTTTGAATTCCCTTTGATATACACCTAAGAGTGAAATTATTGGGTCAAATGATAACTCTAACTTTTTGAGGAACTGCCAAAGTGTTTTCCAAAGTAGCTGCACCATTTTGTAATCCCAAGCAATGTATGAGGGTTTGCATTTTTCCACATCCTCACCGACATTTGTTATTATCTGTCTTTTTTATTTTAACCATCCTAGTGTGTGTGAATGGTATCTCATTGTGGTTTTTGATTTGCATTTCCTGATGACTAATGATGTTGAGCATCTTTTCATGTATTCATTGGCCATTTGTTTATCTTCTTTGGAGCAATACATGTCTATTCACATGCTTTGCCCATTTAAAAATTGGATTATTTGTCTTTTTATTGTTTAGTTGTAAGAGTTTTTAACAAATACATTCTGGATATAAGTTCATATCAGATGATTTAAAATATTTTTCATAATCTATGGGCTTCAGATATAAAGTTTTAACTTTTCTAATGGTGTCCTTTGAAGCACAGGTTTTAAAATTTGTTGTTTAATTTATTTGGTTTTTCCTTTTGTTGCTTGTGCTGTAGTTGTCATATCTAAGAAACAATGATGTAATCCAAGGTTACAAATATTTACACCTATATTTTCTTCTAAGAGTTGTATAGTTTAGCTCTTACATGTATGTGTTTAACCCATTTTAATTTTTATATTTTGTGTGAGGTAAGAACCATTTTTTTGTAATCCAATTCATTCTTCTGCATGTGACTATCTAGTTAATCAAGTATGCTTTTAATATATAGTGAATATATCAGCAGAAGTTGAATGGTGTTTGAGAACATAATAAACCTCAATAATTCAGATTTCACTACATTCAAAACTAATAATAATTTGAATATTGACTTATTGTGTTAGTTATAAAGACTTCCCTAAGAAAATTATTGATAAACAGAATCATAGCAGAATGTTAGTATACATAGCAATTTCCTCTGCCAATCTGTTAACTGTAACCATTTGTTCTCAAATGTTATTTATAATATTTTTATTTCCTTATTAAAAAAACTGTTTCACACCGGTTTAGTTGGGCTCTGAATTGCACAGAACAGAGATGTTCATCATTAAACTTAATTTAAAAATAGTTTACTGGAATGAATCAGAAAGCTATCAGAATCTACTCCTGAGAAGGCTTTTTGTTATTTAGTTCACATTTGAGAAAGAAGGGAGGCTTTTTGGTACAATAAGATGGAAAAGCTATGTAGGAAGGGGATCAGCTCCCCATGGCAGAATGTCCTAATTTTCTTTAGATAACTCATCCTGAGACTGATGGCCTTCCTCTTCTCTCCATTCTCAGGAATAAAAGCACTCCTAATGCAACTGGAGCCCAGAGGGTGAACAGAGCTTAGAGCTTCCATATAGGTAAGTGGTTAAAAGGACAGAGGGCTGTGGAAAGGTTTCAAAGGAGAAGCTCTGTACCCTGCGTAGGGAGTGGCCATGTGGGACACCCCCAAAACCTGGAAATAGGGTCCCAGTTTTAGAAAGATGAGGAGTAGAAGGACTGACTTCTCCTCATCTTTCCAACTCTATATGGATTTAATTTTATTTTGTTGATGCTATAGCAAGAAATTACTGGTACAGAGTTGGGGGTTTTATATGTGTTACCTAACCTTTTTATCTTATGCATACAGAGACACAGAGGGGGGCAAGCATGGTGGGAGATGATGCATCTTCCCTTTCTGATCAGGTTGGATGCCTAACTTCCATCAGTGAGGTGTGTACCGAGAGTCATTAGCCAAACAAGTTTTCCATTTTCTTCCCCTGACTATTATTCCTGGCTTCCATACTTGTCTCTGAGTTATGGGGCACTATGCTTGTGTTACATCGAGACTTCTGGGGAATTGACTACTCTTTCTGTGACTTGTATGTGTGTTTCTCGCTAAACTGCTTCATTTTCTTCTGACTTTGCCTACTCACCCTCTCTTCTATGCAATTTCTCTAACTCATTGATTCTGCATACTTATGGTTACTAATCACTTCTAACAGTCGGATATAACCCCTGTCACCCTTGATTCTACATCACAGTCCCTCTGCCTTCTTTCACCTTTGGTTCCCCTGGCTCATTTCAGATTCCTGCAAGAGGGAACTGGGTTGGTCCAGCTCAGCCTTTTGCACCAGTCCTCCTCATGTGTGACCAACCAGCTTTTAGGTTGCTCATCAGCTACTCTCTGACTTACCTGCTTTGCTGGGCATTAGGTTCATGAGTCTTACAACTGGCCATCTGAAGCCCAAGGAGTAGAGTTAGTGATCTTGGAGTACCTATGAACATGGAAGCTCTGTGATTTCCAGAACTAGAAACTGCCTACTCTGGAATGATAAATAAATATGTTTAACTTCTTGGTATGTATAAATAAATGTAGACACATTTGTTTATTTTAGAATAAATAAAAATCAGTAATTTGATCATTCAGATTCACTACTTTAAACATTTCACAAATTCTTCAATGAATATCAGTAAGGTTTTTATGTATTTAACAATTGAGTTATTTTAACCACCCATATTTTTTATATAATAGGAGAAATGGGACTCTGTCTCTTTACTATTTTTCTCTAATGTTCTTATACAAAGGCTCACTTATTTTCTTTTTCTTCATTCTCTCCCTTTGTAAGAAAGTTCTTTTACAGGTAAAATAATGTCATGGGCTGAACTGTGTCTCCTCAAAATGTGTATGTTGAAGCTATAACCCCCTAGGTGCCTGCAGCTGGAGATGGGGCCATTAGGGAGATAATTAAGGTTAAAAGAGATCATAAGAGTGGGGCTCTAGTCTGATAGGCTGGTGTCCTTATAAGAAAAGGAAGAGGCAGCATCCTCTCATCTCTCTCTCTCTCTCTCTCTCTCTCTCTCGCTTTGTGCGTGTGTGTGTGTGTGTGTGTGTGTGTGTTTGTGTGTCTGTCTCTCTCCATGCAGGAAGAGAGAAGAATCCATGTGAGGACACAGTGAGAGGGCAGCCTTCAACAAGCCAGAAAAAGAGGCCTGCTATGGTCTGAATGTTCATGTCTCCTGTGAATTCACACGTTAAAACCTAATCACAATGCAATGGTTTTAAGAGGTGGGGCCTTTAGAAGGTGATTAGGTCATGAGAGCGAGCACTAGCCTCATGGGAATCATGCCTTATCAAGGAGGCCTGAGGGAGCTTGTTGGCCTCTTTTGCAAGGAGAGGACACACAGAAGGCACCATATGTGAGCAACAGGCCCTTACCAGATACTGAATCTGCTGGTGGCTTGATCTTGTACTTCCTGGCCTCCAGAACTGTGAGCAATAAATTTCTGTTCTTTAAAAATTACCCACTCTGTGGCATTTTAAAATGATAACCCTAGTAGACTAATATAAAATGTGAAGCAAAGATGGAATCAGTCCTAATTATCTCTAACTCTGAACCCAACTCAACTTTCTTCCTAGCCTATATAAAATAAGCTTATTTAAGCATTTATTTACATGTTTATTTCCAGTCCCCCTTCCCTTTTTACAATGTAAACTCCTTGATGAGAGGACTTGCCTATCTTGGTCACTGCTTTACCCACCCCAGGCACATCGTAGACAAATACATATTTACTGAGTTAATGTATTAGTGATGGAATCATTTTGGTACACCTTTATGAATGAAAACATGGGAGATTTTTCTACGAATATTAGTATGTGACCCAGAAAACCATTCATTTATTTATTCTCATGATGCTCTCTAGATTTGGCTCTTGGGATACCCCGTGCTTGCTCTTGATTTAGTCTTTTACCTCAGGGGCTGCTTCTTCACCATCTTCTTTGCTACTTCCTCTTCTCTCTGACATGAAAAACTTGGAAATTCAGGTCTCAGCTCTGTTCCCACATCTCTTCTTCAATAGAGTTTAGATTGATTTTTTTATCCAGATTGCCTGGGTCAAAATCCTGGCTCCACTATTTTTTTTTTTTTTTGAGACAGAGTTTTGCTCTGTCGTCCAGGCTGGAGTATAGTGGCGCTATCTCAGCTCACTGCAACTTTCTCCTTCCGGGTTCAAGCAAATCTCTGCCTCAGCCTCCCGAGTAGCTGGGATTACAAGCGCCCACCATCACGCCCTGCTAATTTTTGTGTTTTTAGTAGAGAAGGGGTTTCACCATCTTGGCCAGGCTGGTCTTGAACTTCTGACCTCGTGGTCCACCTGCCTCAGCCTCCCAAAGTGCTGGGGTGAGCCACCACACCCGGCTGGCACCACTATTTAAATAGTTGTATAAGGTTGGGCAAGTGAATTAACCTCTCTGTGCCTCAGTATCCTTATCTGTGAAATGAGGCTTGTAGATTCCTACAAGCCTGGGCAACATAAGGGGACCTCATCTCCACAAAAAAATAAAAAATTAGCTGGGCATGGTGGTGTGCATCTGTAGTCTTAGCTACTGTGGGGGCTAAGATGGGAGGGTCACTTGAGCCCAGGAGTTTGAGGCTGCAGTGAACTATGATTGTGCCATTGCACTCCAGCCTCGGCAACAGAGTGAGACCCTCTCATACACACAAAAAAGAACAGCGGCTGGCAAATAGAATGCACTTAGTAAGTATTAGACATAAGTATTTTATATTAATATTCATTTTTTGATATATACAATTTCTCTGTAGGTAATTTCTCCACTCCTATGGCTTTCCTAGTCCTGAATTGCCACTGAATTCCAGTTTCACAGCCTCATAAAATCATCATATAACTAACTGTGGGAGGCAAGATTCCAATATGGCCTCCCAAATTCCTGTCCCCTGGTGTACATACTCTGTATAATCCCTTACTCTTGATTATGAGTGGACTCTGAATATGGTGTGATATCATTCCTGTTATTTGGTTGCTAATCAGTTGACTTGGAGATAATGAAAAGGAGCTTATTTTGGGTGGGCCTGAATTAATCAGGCAAACCTTTAAAAGAAGGTGAAGGATTAGAGAAATGTGCTCTTCCCGGCCTGAAAGAAGCAAACAGCTATAGTGTGAGCTGCCCATGGGAGCCACATGGCAAGGAACATTGAGTGGCCTCTAGGATCTGAGAGCAATCCCTGTATGACAGCCAGCAGGAAAACGGGGACCTCAGTCAGACAGCTGCAAGGAAATGTATTCGGCCAACAATCAGTGAGTTTGGAAGAGGATCCCAAGCTGCAGATGAAAATCACAGCTCTGGCTCACCTCTTTCTGTTAGCCTGGTGACACCCTCAGCAAATGACCCAGCTATCCCGTCCCTGGAAGTTTCACTTACAAAATCACTGAGATAAATCAGTGCTGTTTTAAACTGATGTTTGTGGTAATTTGTTATACAGCAATAGAAAACACATATATCAACCGCCAAGTTTACTTCTCTACATCAATGTCTAACATGGGAATCTCGCACTTTACACATCTTAAAAAATTCTTAATTTCTTTTCACTATCCTGCATTTTTCTTTCTTCTTCACAATAACTCACTTGGAGCTAAAAACTGGAATAATTCTTGATGCCTCTTTTTTTCCCTCAGACCTCACATACAATTCATCAGCAAATCCTATAGGATCTGTCATCAAAATGTATCCTGCATCTGACCACTTTTCACCCCTTCCTCCTGCTGCAATCTGGTCAAAGCTACCTCCATCTCTTGCTTGGACCCCTACAATAGCCTTCTAACTGCTTGCTCCATTCCATATAGTTGACCCTCTTTCCTGCAGTCACCACAGATGTTTTAATGTAAATCAGGCCATGCTGCTCTGTGTAGGATCCACCAAAGACTTCTCATGGCACTCACAATAAAATCCAGACTCCTTACTATACTAGTCCATTCTCATTTCTATAAAGAAATACCTGAGACTGGGTAATTAATAAAGAAAAGAGGTTTAATTGGCTCACGGTTCTGCAGGCTTTACAGGAAGCATGATGATCTGCTCAGCTTCTGGGAAGGCCTCAGGAAACTTAACAATCATGGTGGAAGGTGAAAGGGAAGCAGGCATGTCTTAACATGACTGGAGTAGGAGCAAGAGAGAGGGGGAGGTGCCACACACTTTTAACCAGATCTCATGAGGACTTACTATTGTGACACAGTACCAAGGGGAAAATTCACTCCCATGATCCAGTCACCTCCCACCAGGCTCCACCTTCAACACTGGGGATTACAATTTGACCTGAGATTTGGGCAGGAACACAGACCCAAACCATATCACTTACCACAGCAATAAGGCCCCACATGATGTGGTTCCTTGTGTCTTAGTTCATTTTGTGATTCTATAACAAAATACCACAGACTGGGTAATTTTTAAGCAATAGAAATTTATTTCTCATGGTGCTGGAAATCGGGAAAGTCCAAGATCAAGGCACCAGCAGGTTTGGTCTCTGGTGAGAGCCTTGTCTACGCTTCCAAAATAGTGCACTGAATGCCGCGTCCTCCAGAGGGAAGGAACACTGTTCCTCACATTTCACAAGAGTAGAGAAGGAGAGAGAAAGAGAAAGAGAGCGTGAGAGAGTTGAACTTACCCTTTTATAAGAACCCACTACCTCGATAACAGCATTAATCCATTCATGAGGACAGTCAGAGTCTGCATGGCCCAATAACCTCTTAATAATCCCATCTCTTCATGCTGGAGAATGAATGGCAATTAGAATTTCAGCATGAGTTTTGGAGTGGACAAACATTCAAATCATAGCACCTGGCTACTCTCTGACCTCATTTCCCATCACTGTCCTCTTCCCTCATTATTTTTCAGCTACGTAGGCCTTTCTGCTTTTCCATTTTGATGCCAAGCAAGCTTGCATTTCAGGACCTTTGTGCTTGTTTTTTCTTTTGTCTGGAATCTTCTGCCTTGTATCTTCCATGACTCCTTCCCTCACATCGTAAGGTTTCTTTCCCAAATGTAACCTCCTCTAGCAGCCTTCCCTGATTGCCCTATGTAAAACAACCAACATCTTCCTCCCCCCACCACTGCCTAATGGTCTCCATTGTACTTGGTACTCCTGGCATTGTTTTATGTGTTGTGTTCTCTCTCTATTTATTTGTTCACTTGTTTATTGCCTGTCTCCACTGTTAGAATGTAAGTTCCATCAAGGCAGGACCTCTGACTTGATCATGACTCAATCCTCAGCCTTAGAACAGTGTCTGGCATATACAAGTAGGCACAGAAATATTTTTTATTGAACAAAGAGCTTAGAGAAATATTTGACATGTTTACATTAAAGTCAGAATGGTAACTCTGTCTTTTCAAAGAAAGTCCTGATCGTGACACTTGTTAAAAGCAGGAATTGAGAAATCACACATTAATGAATTAAGAAGTATTTGTGCTATCAAAATTACGTGGTGTTTCAGAGAAGTTTAATGCTATTGAAACATTACTAATGGTATGGCTGATGTAATTTTTGCTGATGTACAGTTCTGTGGGTTGAACTCCAAGACACAGTGTTGTTCTTATGATGTCTTCTTTTTGTTTTGTTTTGTTTTGTATTTTTGGCAAGGAAGAGGCGATTTCAGTAATCCAAATGCCGAAATGTAAATTCTAGCCCTGATCAAGATAGACATGAAAATGGGGCTGTGATGAGACCAGGTACTTGGTCAAATACTAACAGCCTTACTAATAAATAGCAAAGAGAGCTAGACAATATCCAAAATATACGTGTCATGGAAAATGTAGTTGTTTAGAGCTCATCTCATGGTTTACATATCTAGATAGATCACAAGTTCAAAATTTCAGCACAAAAAATAGATGCCATTACAATGAAGTTTGGTACATTGCAAAGTTTTCCCAGTATGAAAAGAGCTTAAGTGATCCAAGATGTATCATTTTTTAAGGCCAAACTTCCAGGTTTGCAATATCAGTGTATAAGTAGAGACATATTCACCTCCTTTCCTTTTTCCCACAATGAAGATTATCTTTAGAAACACTGACTCAGGCTGGCTAGGTGCAGTGGCTCACGCCTGTAATCCTAGCACTTTGGGAGGCCGAGGCAGGCAGATCGCTTGACCCCAGCCTGGACAACATAGCAAACCCCATATTTACCAAAAATATAAAAAATTAGCAGGGTGTGGTGGTGCAGACCTGTAGTCCCAGATACTCAGGAGGCAGGCTGAAGTGGGAGGATCACTTGAGCCCACGAAGTCAAGGCTGCAGTGAGCCATGACTGTTCCATTGCACTTCAGCCTGAGCAATGAGAGTGAGACTGTGTCTCAAAAAATAAAAATAAATAAAAATAAAAACACTTACTCTACCAGGCCAATAATCAGTTAACTTCCTTGCACTATAGAATATGGCATATTGATTATGAAGAAAGGCAGTGCAATGTGGTGTGCCCTTTTCCATCTGATATCTTAGGTTTCCAAACTTTCAAAACCATCATATCAGCTCACATAATGCACTTATTTCATTTTCCTTAACAGGTCACCTCCTTGCCAACTGGAGCCTTTTTTTTTTTTTTTTTTTTTTTTTTTTTGAGACAGAGTCTTGCTCTGTTGCCCAGGCTGGAGTGCAGTGGCATGATCTCAGCTCACTGCAAGCTCTGCCTCCCGAGTTCATGCCATTCTCCTGCCTTAGTCTCCCACGTAGCTGGGGCTCCAGGTGCCCGCCACCACACCCGGCTAATTTTTTTATTTTTAGTAGAGACAGGATTTCACCGCATTAGTCAGGATGGTCTTGATCTCCTGACCTCGTGATCCACCCGCCTTGGCCTCCCAAAGTGCTGGGATTACAGGCATGAGCCACCACACCCGGCTGCCAACTGGAGACTTTTTAAGTAACGTAAATATCACTTAATTTATGAAAGAAATGTTTATTCTAATTTAGAGTGGTTTAATCAAGCAAATCAAGTTCGACTGCCTCGAAAGAAAAGAAACAGAATGTAATAATTTTTTTAAACTTTTGAATATAAAAATATTTACTGTTTACTAAAAAGAGACTTTTTTGAACTCCAGTCAAGTATGGAAGTATGCTGTGAATTAAAAATCTGATCTGATAAAATAACACAAAAATATTTTAGCAGGAATTTTGGTCCTAATGCCTACGAGATGGCTGTAAATCTGCCTGTAATACAAAGCTCTCTCTCGTTTGAAAACTTCAGAGAGCCAACTATTTGGGTATTAAAAACTCCTGCCCAGATTACTGTTAATGTTAATCCTGATGGAATTACTTAATAATTGTGATTTTTCTTCCTTTTAGAATGTCATAGCTGTGTGACTTATATTGTATGTCTCCACTCGGACTGAATTTCTGGCTTCTTCTGTTGTATACATGGATAGAAAACATGTTTTTTTTTTTTTTTCTCATGAAGGTGGGTTTAGTTCTAGTTGAATGGACATTATAAAAGAATTCTTTATTTTTAATTAATGTCAGTGTTACATCTATACCTTTACAAAAATCTGAGATTTTATTTAGATATAGAAATGGCAATCTTTTTAAGATTTTTAAAAAAAATTGTATTGACTAGAAACAGACTCAGTTCAAATCATCAAAGCTTTAGTTAACAAAGTGGTTAAAGACCTAGAGGTGTCTAAGAACTTTCTAAATTGTACTCACACCACACAATAGCAGTTGTTCTTGAAGAGGTGAAAGTGATAAAGTATTCCAGGAACCAACAGGCTGACGAAATGTCCACAAACAGACCAAAAGGATATTATGAGCCATTCTCCCCCATCACCTCCCCACTCCCACATACTTCACAGATGGACAAAGAGCTAGTTTTCATTGTACCCTGCTATTCATAATAAAATATTACCTCTGTACCTCTTCTTTAGGTCACAGGTTACCCTGCAAGTTAATAATCACATTAAATATGTTCAGTTATGAAGAGGTACAACAACAGTGATTCACAGCGATCAAAGGGAATCACTGCATTCAAATACCTGAGAGCCTCTGTGCTTCCCTCCTATTTTATCATTAATCTTCATATTCCCATGAGGGGCTAGAATCTATAACTCCATTTGACTCATAAAGGCACTGACACAAAAAAAGAGCTGAAGATTCTTAAAATGTCACAAAAGAAGTTCAGGTGGGAAAGTGGCTACAGATTCTAGGTTTATAGACTCCTTAATATTGCTAAGTCCACAATGGTGCAAGCCATTGAACTTATTTAAAATAAAATATCTTTATCTAAGTGGAACAGAACAGTCACCCTGAGCTTGTGTTGGCCTCTTTTAGGAGAAGAAATGTTATTTTTTCCTATTTTTTGCAGGGGACCTGGAAAGCCTTCTAGTGAAATTTACTTCTTAATTATGTAAAATATTCATTTTTGGAATTAAAATTTGCATAGTCGGTCAACTTAGCAAGCAGTTTTACTTGTTTAACTGCCACTGTATATACTTGTCATTATTTGAGCTGTCATTCTCATCTAGTGACCAATTCTACTTGCCTCAGTACATAAAGCACTAGCAGCTCCTCCAATAATTCCTTTTAAATAATTTTTGAGCTCAAAACCTTTTGTTGATGCTCTATTGCAAAATGCCAAGTCTGAACTAATAAACTTGGCTGTCAGGGCTCTCCACTAACTTTTTTTCACTACCCTTCACACTCATTCATTAATTTGTTGAACTAATATTCATGGACTTCCTGTGTATACCAGGTACTGTGTTAGTCCACTGTTATTCAAAGCCACGTAAACTGTCATCTTCCATCTCTTGAGAAACTCCCACTTTAGTAAATGGAGACACACATGTAAATAAATGTTTACAAGTGGTAGAGCCTTTCACAACGCCGTTTCCCACTTACTGCTCAGCCTCTTCCTGAAAGTTGTAGTCTTTGGATGGTAGATAGGTAGTTAAAGGGAATCAGACTGTTCTATTTTTCCTTGCACAGAAAATAACAATCACTTGGAGCAAGGATAATTCCTCAGTTTTGTGATTGGAGTAGGCTTTAGAGGTTACCCCAGGGACTGACAGTGAAAACAGACAAATAGTTCTCTTACGGACTTCTAGACAGGCATAGCATGAGGCTTTTTCCATGTAGCTCCATCAGTCTTAACATTTGGTAGAAATTCTTTTCAAGTTCTGGAAATAACTTGACTAATAGTGCTGATTTCACCATAGTTGGTTTTTGTGTTTTTTTCTTCTGAATCATTGTAGGTATTTTAGAGTAAAGTTTGGGAAATCTTTTTCAGGGATCCATGCCAGCAGTATTAAAAGACCACTATTTGGTTTGGCCAGTGCAGTTTTAAAAACTTCCTTCAGACTGGACACTGATTCTCCATTTTGCCATAGTTCCACTTTCCTTCCATCTTGTACATGACTTACTCATCTATCTGCCTGCCCATTGATACTATCAATGTTTACAATTTTTATTTTATAGGCATAACAAAAATGGAAAAAAATATCATCTGGACTGGTATTATGATACTTTTAGGTATTTTAAACATTTCCATCTTACAATCAGTAGGAACCAACAATAAATTCACATAGAGAAATTTTAATGATCCTGGCATTTTTCATTCATTCCTAAGTACAGGGAGGGAACTTTCCCAGTACCTGAAAAGACTGTCTTTAGTCCATGAATGAGAGAAAGGAATGTGAGGCCTTACAGAATTGATGTTTGAAAGGACTAGAAAATGCAAGCTATAAAGAGTGACATGTAATGGGAATCCTGCCAAGTAATAAAACATTTGCCTTTCAAGCCAGGCACTGGGTCCAAATCAACGAGCTGAATTCTTCATGGTTCAGATCGTCTTCATTTTCTCTGTAACTCTCCATCTTGCTTGTCAACTCATGTTTTCCAAACATTTAGAAACTGGAATGTAATCCCCTGAAGTGAGGGATTTCCTCTGGGCAGCCACCCTGATCTTGGAAAGAAAAAAGATTTCAGATTCCACACCCTTTTCTTGGAAAGTCCATTTCAGATTCCTTTCTGATAGCTCAGGGGAATGCAAATGACGTTAGGGAAGACCTAAACCTTCCTGTCATTCAGCGGAATCCAAAACAGTGAACCCTTCTATTCTCTTTTGGGTACATTCATATTAGATTGAAATATTTTGGGAGGTTTAGAAAAATCTGTGATCTATATTGATCACATAATCCATTTTATTCACTTTTTATTCGTTTTATTTTTAAAACATTAAAGCAGAGAAGGGAGGTTCTTAGATGTTGTTCAAAAACACACAAAGATTGGGATTTATAGATATTAGACAGGAGCTGGGAATAGGCACTTTTAACAAGCATCCCTGGTGATTCTGATGCCCATGGTCAAAGGACCACACACTGACAAACACTAAGAATTTAATTTAATTACACCTGAAATACGTCTGCAGACTTTCCACTGTGAACTTTTCATTATTCTTGATTATGAGGGAATTGGATAATATAAATCTTCTAATAATTGAGAACTTTTCACTTTGTCATTGACTCAAAAATTCCCCCAAATCTCAACACACTGACAGAAAGGATTCTTCACTAGAACAAGGAAGAGAAGAAAACATCATTGATTATCAGTCCATGAACTGGATAATCAAGTTTACTGTTGAACTCAAATTAGAGCTCCTCTTTGAGTGTGAGTGTTGGTTTCAAACATACAGAGACTCATAAGAGAAAATTCAGTTTATTGAAATGTGACTTAATCGAGGATTTCCTCAATGGAAAAAGGAGACAGGAAAATAATTGGGAATGTGAGCTTGTTATAAATTTAGGAGGACAACAGCAAGGAATGTTACCTGTAATGAAACTTGAGAGATATAGTGGATTATATAAAATCATTAGAAAGATGTAAATATATAGTTGCCAAATTGGCCAGAGTATCTGAAGCTCATATAGTTCTATGAAACATATCATTCCATGCTTAGTAAAACTTCTTCCTAGGTGTATGTATTTTAAACATATATAAATATTTCCCTTATCAAGGTCATAAAGGCTGGAGTTTTGAATCTATGTGATGTTAATATGGCATGCGTTATAATTAATAAGCATTTCTTTGGAGATACTGCTCAGTTTATGTATTGATTTTGTTTGAGATCTTAAGGACTAAGTTCAAAAGGAAAATTGACTCAAAATAAAATGTATTTGGAAATATTTAGGAAGGGGCAAATGTTGCATAAATGAGAAAATTCCTGAAATAATTTACAACTTTTACTCTTTTATAAAGTATCCCTATAAGCCTCACACTTTATTTTCTTAAGCCTAGAATTCACTTAAGATGAATGTTAGTAAAGCGCTTTATAATTTCTGATAAGACTGTTTTAGACTTTGAAAAGACTCCAAATTTTGTTCCATCAATGACTTAAGTAATATGGCCTTGTTTGCACAGCCAACACCATAATTTGCACATGTAGCTCGATAAATACATTTATGTACTCTAAGTAGCAGTATCTCAGGCACAAGGGTTTCAGGGAGGCTCTGTTTGCCCTGTATGTTTGCTCACAAATTTCTTTTTTACCCTTGTGGAAGGGGACGGAAACAGGCACAAACAACATTTATTCCCAAAGTAAAGTTTTTACGTATTATAGTGAATAACAGGTGAATTCTAATATGTTCCTTCTCTATAGTTTATTTTCACATAGTGGCACATAATGTGAAAAGCATAAAAGCAAAAATGAAATTGACACTATTTTTTTCCTGTTTTTCCCCCTCTAGCATAATGGCATTTAGAATTGGCATTTATCACATTTCTGTGGCTTACTTTTGAATTAATTCACTTTCTTATACAACTAAAAGATTATAGCTAGTCTTTATCTTCTAAGGTTTAACATCTTTTTGAGTTCTTGTGCTTCTCCCCTCTCTCAATTTCTCCTTTCCTTCTTCCATTCCTCTCTTCTTTCAACGAATATGAATAAGTACCTATTATGTGCCAGGCACTGTCTGAGTACTGGGAAGACAAGGGTGAGAAGAGGTAATTCTTGCTGTCATGGGGCTTACAGCCTAGTACGAGAAATTATACCATTACATTACATCATGTGATGGTCACTATAACAGCGACAGCCTAAGAGGAGAAGTACAAGTTGAGTGGAGGCACTTGGGAAGATGCCTAACCTAGTCTTGTTGGGGAGAGGAGGTCAAATAAGGCTTCCTCAAGAATCTCCCTTAGGCTGTTGCTAATGTATGACAATGTCTGTCTTTTAACTCCAGATAACTCTTTATAGAAATATTCAGTTTTCTGATGTTCTGTTGACTTTCTGAAAGGATTTTTCACATATTTCCAACTGCCATGCTGTTGGCTAAAGTTCACCTATTTATGTAAAACAGCTATTATGCTATGCCATCAAGATTTGGGGATTTATCCATTAACAGCCGTTACTATTACCCATGCCTAACCAATATGCCTCTTGAACCTGACTCAAGCCAGCTGTGGGATCTCAACACCACATCCCTGAGGCTGAACCCAGTGGAAATCCCAGATGAAGGCTGTGAAGATGCTCTTCTCTTCCCTCATTATGTGGCCCTTGATCCAGGTAACAATTTGCATGCCCTATATACAAATAGGCTGCCCCTGTTATAGCACCCATCACACACTGTAATGTAGTGGTGTATGTACTATAACTTGCCTCACCTTCAATTCTGAATTTCCTCTTCTGTTTCCTTTTATGTCTTGTCTTCTTTTTGAAAAACTTAAATGTGCAATTTAAAGAGAAAAGTACATTTTCATGAAATATTGCTACAAGAGGTGGATATAATAATTGATGAAGGAAATTATAGTTTTCTAGATACAAGAATGCCTAGAGATATAATAAATGCCAAATTATAGTTTCCTTTATCAATTATTTACTGTATCATTTTTTGCTATATAACTCCATGCTAATAAACCTAAGGGCATACATGATAAAATCTATATGAGGCCAGATTAAAAAAAAAAACAACTGTGAAACTTTCCCGATTTTCGTCAAGGCTGTAGTGCTTCATGCATGCAACTATGGTCTGATCTCCCCCCACCTAGTTTGGCACTGTAATTTATCAGGTTTCATGACTCTTTGAAAGCTGAGTGCCATATCTGTAGCTGTAGATTTTTATTGGATGTGCATTTGTACTAACTTCATCTCTGGCTTCAATATGGCCATTTTAAGGCCATATTATTGTTTTTCTTTCTCATCCATTTTTTTTCTAAAAGGAAATATCTTCATTGCTTTATTCAGTTACAAAGTTAATTTGTGCTGCAAGAAACAACATTCAAATGATATTAAAAATTAAAGAAGAACCTGAAATATCCCAATAATCTCACACTGACCTCTACTCCCTGAGAATGTTAGTGTTCTCATCAACTTTTAATTAGATTTTCATGTCTGTCTTAAAGCATGTCTTTCTAAGCTGCCATAATGTCTTCTGCAATATGGTAGTGTACTACTGAATAATGAATGAAATGTTTTTAACATTGCTTCACAAATAACAAAGTGCTTTTCACGGTTTGGTTCATTTAATCTTATCAGCGAAGATCAACAATATCTTCTAAAAGGTGGTCATTTTATTGTTGCCATAAATCTTTCTCATTTTTTTCTGGCTGAATTTCATTTTCTTGTCAATGGTTTTTTTTTTTTTTTTTTTGGTCGGTAGTTCTCTGGTGCATCCAGTTAGGAGAAAAACTAAAAGTTGTCAGTCATTAACTTGGGGTTGAAAGTAACAGTTGCTTTCAAATTATATTCTATGGCCAGGCTTGGTGGCTCACGTCTATAATCCCAGCACTTTGGGAGGCCAAGGGGGACAGATGACTTGAGATCAGGACTTTGAAACCAGCCTGGCCAATGTAGTGAAAACCCATCTCTACTAAAAATAAAAATTAGCTGGGCATGGTGGTGCACACCTGTAATCCCAGCTACTAGGGAGGCTGAGGCATGAGAATCACTTAAACCTGGGAGACGGACATTGCAGTGAGCTGAGATCGTGCCATGGCACTCCAGCTTGGGTGACAGAGCAAGACTCTGTCTCAAAATATATATATATATATATATATATTCTATATCACAATTTGTTTTAATTCTCTGAGGGGTTATTTTACTATGTTGTTCATGAGAAGCAAACAGAGTAAACAAAATCCTGTGCTTTCATGTATTTATTCTCATTGAATGAATTTCCAGTGCTATCTGGAGACTCAGTGTTGAAGTTCTGATTTTCCAGCAAAACTGAAGGGGATTGTGTCCGCATATACAAACTGATACTTCTTTCAGAATGAACCAAACAGAGATATAATAAATGTTACCACCTATGTAGCTGCTTATACAGAAACTGAGGATGATAGTTCAAAACAGGCCCGCTTTCCTTTTGTTTGAACACTGATTTCAAATAAAAAATAAAAGTTGGGCCGGGCGCAGTGGCTCATGCCTTTAATCCCAGCACTTTGGGAGGCCGAGGCGGGCGGATCACGAGGTCAGCAGATCGAGACCATCCTGGCCAGCATGGTGAAATCCTGTTTCTACTAAAAATACAAAAATTAGCTGGTCGTGGTGGCAGGCACCTATAGTCCTGGCTACTCGGGAGGCTGAGGCAGGAGAATCGCTTGATCCTGGGAGGTGGTGGTTGCAGTGAGCCGAGATAGCGCTCACCGCATAGAAAACAGACGACAGTAATTTACCCTTGTTGTGTTTGCTACTGTGATTTTATAAGACATGGACATCCAGCTTCCAGGACTTATTTTTGGAGACCTTGAAACACAGTCAAGGAACTTCAGATGTAAGTTTAGAATGAGTACACAACTGTACTTTATCCGCCAGTTTTCTAGGTATGCCTGAGAGCAGAGAGAACATGAACTGCCATTGTACTGGATGATGTAATAACAAAACAAAATACACAGAATATTTTGATTTCAGAATGGCATGCATATATATGTATATATATATACCCTATAAAATAAGTTGAATTAGCTGGCTAACACCTACCTACTAAACCACTACTACTTTCTCTATCATATTTTAGATTATGTCTTAGAAACTGCATATCAGCACTTTATAGAAGTAAAGGTTCTGATCATTGAAATATTCTGACTTTGGCTTCAGGAAGCTGGGCATAAATACAGAATCAGTGTTTATTCCTCACAGTACTCATCAATGTGGTTTGCATTAGAATAAATGTTCAGTGCAGTTCATCAAACATTTATTGAGTGCCTACAGTGTGGTAGGTACTGAGGAAAAATGGCCGGAACAGAATACTCTGCTCTCAAAGGGCATATATTACAATAGAGAACAAACATTTTGGAGATATAAATTTCTTTCATAAATGTATTTTGTGAAACTTAATTGTGTGTATTTTGAAAAAAAACAAGGATCATATACTTTACTTCTTTTACATGTTTTCATAATGGCTAACGTAAAATGGAAACTGAATATTTTTGTTGACAGACTAGTTGAAGTATGGAAAACTTGTTGCCCATTCAGGTAAACAGTTTCTGAGGTCTCCAGAGAAAAGAAACAGAATTCATAAGTCTGTTTTTAAATGTAATTTTTGGTTCCTTTCTAATCTCTGTTGTCCTTTGCTGTATTATTTGAACAAATACATCAACACATGGAGAAAGAATGACAATTTTTTTAAAAGGTTATTATTATATAAGATTTTCTGTGTGATAAAACCACACCCAATGGGCCTCACCCAGACGAGCTTATATATGTTATTAGATTCAGGAATGTGAAGTGTGTTAGATTCTGTCCCTGTTGGGCTGTCATATGACGCAAACAGTGACTCTGAAATGAAGCCATAATATATGGTTTAACCTCTTAACAGTTTGTGATGTCATTTTTTTCTGTGGTAAGAAAAACAAATGCTGTCACATTTTATATTTGAGACTCCCGCAAGCCAACATCAAGGGATTAAGTATGCACATGACGAACACACTATCGTGAATGCAGTCTGACTGATGCCAGGGGATCACTGTGAGCGCAAACCGTCCTCTGGGACTCAGTGTTATAGGATGGAAAGATAAGCCTGCTGATAAGTTACAACCCTCCTGAGACACTGTGTTTTCCCCTTATAAGGAAGCAGAGGCAATTTAAAATATTTTGATCTGGATGTTAATTCATACAACTATGTTTATCTAGTATCAGCTAAACTTTATGCTTATAATTTAAGAACCTAGAAATACAGTAGCTAAAGAAAACCCTGTAGGTTCATTTAAAAGAATTAGAACAGACATTACATTGGGGCAAGGAGTAAGTGAAACTGCTGGTTTCCAGAGTTTACTTTCTTGAAATATGGTTTTGAGTCATTTCTGCGAGATATAAACATACTACTTTATGTTTCCTATCATTTTTTTATTATGCACATAATTTAACAGTTTGTAATAGTTGAAGCCACATGTCTCTGTGGACTTGTTTATTATTGAAATGGCTTCACTCAAGGAGGAGACTTTTAACTGTATAATTCAGGTATGTATATTTTCTTTGAACAAAGTGTGTGACATTCAACTTGTCAAAAATGAACATTTTGCTTGACTGAACAGCTTTGCTCTGTGTTTTCCTTGTCTGCTGAGGCAAAGAAAGGCTGACAAGAGGGCACATCCAGTGAAAGATCAAGAGGGGAATGAAGCAGGATTTGAGTCAACTATCAGAAAATTCCATTCTTGCTGAACATTTTATAATAAACACAATATACTCATTAGAACAATTTAGATAAACCTGAACTCTGGGTAACAGAATGAGCATCTCCTCCCTTCCCCTGCTGCTATGTATTTATGAAAAAATAATTTGTATTGTGGTGGACTTTCTGTATTATTTTCATTATTGTTGTTTTCTTATTGGAGATACTTTGAGATTATGATGGGTAATATAATTGACTCTAAACCAAACTTCATTTCTTAAAAGAAGGAAGAGTTGTTGCTGCAACCTTGAAATTCAAGAACTCTACATAGGCTGATGGATTTTTTACATTGGGGGTTTGCCTAGGAGTTTACATGATTAGTCAGTCTCTCACTCTATTAGTGGATTCTGTCCATTCATTTAGTCGGTCAATCATTTTTTGGAATATCCCCCATGTTGGAGGACTACCATAGGTACTGGGATAAAGGTTAATAGTCTGTCATGCTTATCTTCTAGGTGCTTGCTATTTGTGTCTTGCCTAATGGTTAAGTTTCCAGCCCATTGAAAGGTGTGAAGTACTAATTCACCCATTTATTAATTCAACAAATTTCAATTTTGTCAAACATGTGCTAGGCATTTGGATGCAGTAGGCATTGGCCCCACAATGATGAATTGCTCTTGTAGAATTTACAACCTAGTGGGAGAAGAAAGGACACATTTTGGTTACTTCGGTTAATAAAAGAGTAATCACAAATTAAAATCAATTCTTTGAAGGAAAAGAATACAGATATATCCATGCATGTAAACAAGAAATCCAACCCATATATGGGAGAGGCTCAGTAATGAGTTAATCATTGAAGGAGATCCAGAGGGAAAGGGACACCATCTTCAAAAATGTGTTCCTAGAAGTAGCATGCCAGTGTCAGATGGACAGCCAAGAAAGTAGAATGTTTCAAGAAGGAACAATCAACCATGTCATGAGGTTTTGTGAGGACAAAGAGAGGACTGACCAATGTCCATTGGATGTTACAGCATGGAGGTTATTGGTGACTAGAGTAGCTTCAATTTTCATAGAGTGATGGTGGCCGAATTCTGACTGGAATGGATTGAGGATTAAATAGACACAGAGGAAAGCAATAGGGAATATAAACAAAACCTTTAAGAAATGTAGTTATGATGGGAAGAAGATATGGGTTCATTGAAGGAGAGTTCATGTCCTTATTTATACATGGGAGAGGCTTGGGCATGTTTGAATATTAAAAGGTAGGATACAGTTTACAGGGAGTTATTGAATACACAGTACAGAGATGGAAAAATGAATACATTTTTTTACTAGTTGAAAGCAAGAGAAGATCAGACCCAGAACATTGGAGATGGACTAGCCTTAGAGAGAAGACAGAAGGGAAGTACGGTATGGATAGAAGTAGATTTGGTGCAAAAGGGTAGAAGTAGAAATTGCTCCCATTCAACTAATTTGATTTTCTCTGAAAAGTTGGAGCTCTGCATGTCTGTTGAAAAGGAGCAGCGTGAAGGAGGAGTTGGAGGTTTGGAGAAACTGGGGAATGTTTGAAATAGTCATTGTAGAGAGTAGGATGGTATGAGAGTGAATAGACGGAGAAATATAGGAAGACTGAGGGGCAGTGTTGCAAGTCCATCTGAAGCTGGTGAAGGTGGTGTTCTGATACTTACCTGTCCTATTCTGTGGCTTTCCCCTGCAGTGCTTGTTCCTGGAGGGTGGGCACTGAGAAAGCAGGTAACTGAGATCATTTTGAGTTGAAGAGTGAAGACCAAAGGGCAGGAGAGTGTAGGGTTATGAAAAGAGTGTTATTGAAATGATGAGCTCTGGAAAGAAAAGTATGCTGGATAAAAAGAGGATAGGAAGAAGAGTGAGAGTTGAAGAAAGCATTGGGACATGGGGAACAGTCAGAAGTACCACTGAGATTAAGTGGAAGAGAGAGCCAGCCTCAGCATCATGCATTCGTGTGTTCCAGTGGAACTATCCTTTCAGAGGATGGGCTTGTGATGTCCAAAACTCTCTCCTGCTGCAAATCTCAAATGAAAGGGCTTGTAGTACAGAGCAGAGGCCCTGGCAAGATTGGAACTGGTGAAGAGCCATCAGTGGTGGCTGGTATCTTCTGACACTCCATGTAGATTCCAGGGCCTGAGCAATGTGGCATTTCTTAGTCCTTCTATGACAATGTGGTTATTAAGCTGTTAAGTAAAGACATCTGTTTGAAAGCATCTTCCCTACAATTTTTGCAGTATCAAGGAAAGTTGATTTTAGTGGATAAAGGGAATATTTTTGTCCTTGTCATTCATTCTTTAAACTATCAATCATGTATATTGATCAAAAGTCATCTAAAAACCTATGGCTTTTTAAGCAGACAATGAACAAACCAACAAACTCAGGCTCTGCTAACATTCAAGTCTGATGTTGGATGCAAAGATCTGGAGTTGAACCCTTGGCATGGAGATGCTCTAAGGAGATGCCACCTTCTCACATTATATGAGACCAATCAATGCCTTGCTTCTCCTGTCCAGCTTTCCCAGCACCCACTTTGTTCTCCACTCACCAGAGTGCATCTCCAGGAATGAAAGCTTCATCATCTCATGGCCAGTTTATGGCAGCATCTTCCTAGCTGGTCTCCCTCCTTTTGGACCTTCTACCCTTTTTTAATCCTACACTTGACTAATTGCCTTATTAATTAACTTTAAATTCCTATTTTCTTCTGTTACCTCACTATTAAAGGAACAGAAGTTCATGCTTTTCTAATCAAGTTGTAGGAATGAATTCATCTGCCTCTTACGTGTGAGACTTTGGACACATAACTTAATTTTCGTGGGCCTTAGTTTGTTCATGAATTTAAAAATCCAAGTGTGGCTATTGGACTAGATGGTCAAATTCTTCATGGTTTGAAGTATGTGGCTGGGCTAGAGCTCCATTCCAATCCTGAAATTCTGTTGCTGTGCTCCCCTCCACAGCCTACTTCCAATCCTAGTAATATAGCCATTGAGCTTCAGTACTCTGATGTGTCAAGTTAGGATAATCTGCACCTATCTTGGGGGTTGTTTGAAAATTTAATTCAGTTAATGTTGCTTAGCACTGCTGCCTGGCACATCATTTCCCTTCTTTCTTCCCTCCTGGTGCTGTAGGTACCCCCAACCCCAACAGGTTAGGACCACCTGCTTGCCAAGCACAGCCTTGCCTTTTTCTGTTTAATATTGTGGCTCAATCATCCTAGCAAGACAAGCCATCTGCGACCCTCCATAGAAATATTTTCCTGTCTCCAGCCTCTGTAGTCTTTGTTCTTATTTTGTGTGTGTGTGTGTGTGTGTGTGTGTGTGTGTGTGTGTGTGTGTTTGGTTTATTTATTCATTTTTAAATGTCTCACCTTTTCCTTTATATCAATTCAAGCTGAAAACTTGGCCTAAAACTCCTTTAGAAAAGAATCTCCAAATATTTTGATCTTTGAGCTTTAACTTTCTGGGAATCTAGGCTCAGAGGTAGATGTATTTTTCCCATTTCTGATTTTTTTCTTTCACACTTTGGGAACTCAATACACATGATGAGTAAACAGATGAATTCTGAAAAGCAGCCTCCTTTACCATTAACAACTACACAACTCCTATTCTAGACACAAGTGCTGATACTGGCACACATATGACATTCATTTCCTATAGGCACTTCTGCCCTGACTTTGCCTCTCATTCTGTTAGCAGACAGTTTGTGTCTGGTCTGTTTACCCAATTGAAAAGAGCAGGATCCGCATCTGTCTCAGTCGCTGATGGGCTACAACGTTCAACCACAGCGCCTGGCAAGGAGTAGGCATTTAGGAATATGTGGATTGAATGAATGGTTGCTAGGGAGTATGGTGGCCTCTTAATTTTATGCTGGGCTCATCCCAGTGCGCGCACGTGGGAACTTCACAAAAGTTATTTCATGAGCACAGCGCTGAATCCCCTTATCCTACGGAGTTTACTGAAGTGGGGCCAGTTCTCCGCCTCTTTTAACTTTACTGCCAAGGCAGGAGAGGGGTGGAGTGGCCTGGAAGACAGTTGGAAGGAGGGTGGGAGATTTGCTTTCTTACAAAGATGCTTTGGGAGACTGGATCTATAGCGCCAAATTTTCAGGAAGAAATGATCCTGAGTCCCAATGGCAAAAAAAACAAAAACAAAAACAAAAAACAAAACAAAACAAAACAAAACCCCACAAAACCTGCAGCCGAGCTCAGTGTGTATCTTCTGTTAAAGAGACAGCCTGAAAGCCTCCTGTGTACTGAGAGCGTGGTCCAAACCAGAGAAGGGGGCGCCCTAGCTTGCCCCCAGCAAGCCATTAGTACAGGAAGACAATCAGCGAAGTCAACCTCACTGAACCCACTTCTTGGGCTCCCTGTGCCCGACGCTGGCTTCTGGTTCACGGCGTGCCTACCCAGCTGTCGTGGGTCCCCGTCACTCCCGGGCGCATGTTGCAAAACAAATCAACTCCATGGGAAAAGCTCCATGAGCGCCCAGGGGACAAGTCCCCACGGACAAACATGTCATAACGATTTCAGTTTTGTCCCATTACGTGAGGTTGTAAGTTTCTTCATCATTCCCCCCTCCCAACAAGCACAAAATCGTCCCCAGCCCCTGGAGCATCTTGCGGGGCTCCCAGGTCAGCAACAGCACTCGGAGCTCCGAGCTCCAGGGAAAGCGCTCAGGGAATGGCTCCTAGGACTGGTTCCTGGGAAAGCGCCAGCGTCCAGGGAGAGATTTCCTTCTCCAAGGGCCGGCAGGGTGGCATTCCAAGCGCGAGCAAGGTGGGCAGTGAGCGATCCTCCCTTTAAAAAAGAATAAATAAATAGAAGCCAGCGCGCAGCCCCGCTCGGGTTTCCCGAAGCGCACACCGCTGTCGCTGCCGGGGCGGCTGGATGTCTGCGCTCCCCGCCTCCGCTGGGCTGACACGGGAGGGGAGGAGCAGGAGCTGGAGGGGTGTTGGGGGTGGGGGGAGCGCGAACCATCTCGAGCCAAGACAAGCAGCACATTCACAAATAACGCCCCCACCCCCAGCGCACGCGCTCCCATTCAAAGCAGACCCGCTCCGCGGCCGCACTGAAGCTCCAAAGCCGCGCCGCCTGCCCCAGCGCAGCTCTGTCTCGTGGGGCGCACGCCCGAGCCCGCCTGCCGGCCGCCGCCGCGGAGCCACCGCAATCAGCGCAGGAGGCGGCCACCTCTTCGAGGGAGGGGTCTCGCCTGAGACTCCCCTTGGTCCCCGCCATGGGGACCATGGCACGACTGGAGGCGCCCCAGTGCCCCGGGTTCCTGGCCCGCCTCCTCGGTGGCACCTGGTGCCTGCTCTGTATCGCCGGACAGGTAGGGTAGCCTGTGCGTCTTGCGTCCCTCCCGGGGACTCTGCTTCTAAAGCCTGTGCTACAGCGAAAAGCGCTACAGCGTGGGAGGTGCTCTCTTCCGCGAAGGTCCATCCTGGGGCTGCGCTGCCGCCCAGGCTGGGGACAAGTGGCGCGGGGTTGGGGCTAAGGCGTACCCTGGGGTCGATCGGGTCGATCTCTGCGTTTAGGCTTGACCCAGCTTCCTGGGACCCTGTCCTGGCTTTTCGCCCTTACCTGGGTCCTGCTTCCAGCCAGGCAGAGCCGGGGCGAGAAGGCGGCGCCTGAGCTGGGGAGCTGTCATCCCCAACAGTCCTCTACCCCCCACCCTTTCCGACAGTCCTTCGCGGAGCCCCCTCTCTCGTTCCAGGCTGAGGCTTGGGCGGCGCCGGGGACACTCGGGTGCTGGGACACTCCTCCACACTTCCGCCCTTCTGCGGACCTAGTGAACTTCTGACACTGTCACCCTAGGGCCGCCCGCAGCCGAGTGTCGGGGGCGCAGCGTTGTAATGTGTGCGGACGCCGGACCAGGTGGGCTCCCTGGTGCCTCCGCGGTCTAGAGGTGGCTCTGGTGGGTGGGTGCCCGAGGATTGGCCCTGACCATACCCCCTCCGAATCCTCCCAGGGTCTTCTCCAGGGCCACACGGGGTGTATAAGGAACTGGGGACTTCTCCAGGGTGGGAAATTCAGGCCCTGAGGCGGCGCGGAAGGGCCCTGGGAGAGGGTGTCTGATTAATTCAGTTTGCCTGGTAGTGGTTTATTATCACAAGACTTGGAGAAAGCTGCTTAGGGAAGAGGGCAGGGGTCCAGGGTCGAGTCAAACTCAGAATGCCTGCGGTTCCTTGGTTTTCACACTTTCCAGACTCAGGTTAACTATTGCTTAAAACCCACGAATTGGGCAGTTTGTACATAATTTAGCCTCCATAGATTTGCCTTTCACAGGATTACTTGGGTAATTCTGGGAAAATACCCAAATACTCTTGGCCGGAATTACCGCCAGATAGCCTCCCTTTCCTCTGTTTTGCTTATGGAGACTTGTCCAAATAGGGGGATTTCCTTCCCTCGCTTTTTCTTAACGTTTTGCAACTTGTTTTCCGATCTCTATTTTAAAATTTTGATTGCAGTGGTGCACTTCTAGAGGCTGAGAGAGGACCGAGAATGTTGTCTCAGAAGGGCCCGGAGCAGCAGGGATTACTCTCATCAGTAGTAGAAATTTTCAGCAGGGAACACCTGCTTAGATTGGAATATGACAAACAGTTGGAAAAGCTTGTATTAATTATCAGCAAGTTGTATTCCCACCATGCTTCGTTCCTTGTCAGGGCTTCCCAGCCATGGCTGCACAGTAGAATTACCTAGGGGAGCTCTAGAAATTTCCTGCGTTAGGGCCACACCCCAGCTGGATTACATCAGAATCCTGGAGGGAGAGGGGAGGCTGGGACATCAGAAATTCTAAAGCTCTCGGGTAATTCTGTTCTGCAGCTGGGTTAAAACCCAATGTGCAAAAATGACCTGCCTTAATGTGACTTTTTTTTTTTTTGAAACGGAGTTTCACTCTCGTTGCCCAGGCTGGAGTGCAGTGGTGTGACCTCGGCTCACTGCAACCTCTGCCTCCTGGGTTCAAGCGATTCTCCTGCCTCAGCCTCCCAAGTAGCTGGGATTACAGGCATTTGCCACGACGCCTGGCTAATTTTTTGTATTTTTAGTAGAGACGGGTTTTCACCTTGCTGGCCAGGCTAGTCTCAAACTCCTGGTCTCAGGTGATCCACTCGCCTCGGCCTTCCAAAGTTCTGGGATTACAGGCGTGAGCCACTGCTCCCGGCCAATGTGACTTGTTTTATAGAATCATGGCCCCATGTGTCTTTATAGCAGCATGATTTATAGTCCTTTGGGTATATACCCAGTAATGGGATGGCTGGGTCAAATGGTATTTCTAGTTCTAGGTCCCTGAGGACTCGCCACACTGACTTCCACAATGGTTGAACTAGTTTACAGTCCCACCAACAGTGTAAAAGTGTTCCTATTTCTCCACATCCTCTCCAGCACCTGTTGTTTCCTGACTTTTTAATGATTGCCATTCTAACTGGTGTGAGATGGTATCTCATTGTGGTTTTGATTTGCATTTCTCTGATGGCCAGTGATGGTGAGCATTTTTTCATGTGTTTTTTGGCTGCATAAATGTCTTCTTTTGAGAAGTGTCTGTTCATGTCCTTCGCCCACTTTTTGATGGGGTTGTTTGTTTTTTTCTTGTAAATTTGTTTGAGTTCATTGTAGATTCTGGGTATTAGCCCTTTGTCAGATGAGTAGGTTGCAAAAATTTTCTCCCATTCTGTAGGTTGCCTGTTCACTCTGATGGTAGTTTCTTTTGCTGTGCAGAAGCTCTTTAGTTTAATGAGATCCCATTTGTCAATTTTGGCTTTTGTTGCCATTGCTTTTGGTGTTTTATACATGAAGTCCTTGCCCATGCCTATGTCCTGAATGGTAATGCCTAGGTTTTCTTCTAGGGTTTTTATGGTTTTAGGTCTAACGTTTAAGTCTTTAATCATCTTGAATTGATTTTCGTATAAGGTGTAAGGAAGGGATGCAGACACATGCACACGTATGTTTATTGCAGCATTATTCACAATAGCAAAGACTTGGAACCAACCCAAATGTCCAACAATGATAGACTGGATTAAGAAAATGTGGCACATATACACCATGGAATACTATGCAGCCATAAAAAATGATGAGTTCATGTCCTTTGTAGGGACATGGATGAAATTGGAAATCATCATTCTCAGTAAACTATCACAAAACAAAAAACCAAACACTGCATATTCTCACTCATAGGTGGGAATTGAACAATGAGAACACATGGACACAGGAAGGGGAACATCACACTCTGGGGCCTGTTGTGGGGTGGGGGGACCGGGGAGGGATAGCATTGGGAGATATACCTAATGCTAGATGAGGAGTTAGTGGGTGCAGCGCACCAGCATGGCACATGTATACATATGTAACTAACCTGCACATTGTGCACATTTACCCTAAAACTTAAAGTATAATTAAAAGAAAAAAAAAAAAAGAATCATGGCCCCAGAAGTAAACTCGAAGAACAGTAAAGAAGGCCTGAGACAGGGACTTGGGAGTCTTGACATGTAGCTTCCAGTCCCGGCGCTGTCCCTAAGCGCGGTATCATTTTGGTCGAGGCCCTTACCTTCCACTTCCTCATCTGTTAAGTGAGGGTGTTGGCCCCTTTTTTCACAGGTCCTACCAGCTTTAACAACACCAGGCAGGTTGACATCTGAACCAAATTAAGACATCTTTCGTCTTATTTTTAAATATCCACAAGGTAGAAATTCTACCTTATCATTGATAATTTGCTACAATACCTGCTCATATTTGGATCCAGCAAAGATGCTAAAAAGGAGCTTGTAGTTTCTTAGACTTGCAGTATTTTTTTTTTATGCTTTCCCACTGCCTGTTCAAACTCACTTCAAGTCATTAGGTGCTTTCTTGGCATTCATGACAAGCTGATTTTTCCTAACATTACACACATGTTCTTTCCTGTGCCACTTCTTAACCATTTCTTCTGGATAAGGATGATGACAGCAGATTTGGGTCTTGTGTGTGTGTTGCAAGTGGCTTATTGTTTAATTCCAAATGGGTCTTTCTCTTACCACCATTCAGAGCTGCTGTCCACATGTGAGGAGCCTGATGAAACTTGTCTGAGAAAGAACAGAAAAGAGTTTAAAGTGGTAGATTGGTTCAGTATCCCGGTAAATGCAAAATGCCTTTGAGAGTTAACTTGGTCAGGTGTTTGTCAGAGCAGCTGTTTAAAGTCTTCACTTGGTTTTAATCATATAGGCATTATATTTAACCATCAAATTAAACAGATCAGAAATTTGAGGATACTTAATATCAAATCAAGAAGAAATCATTCTATGATCGATAGCCAGTGCCAGATGATTTGAACATTATTTGGAATTTATATATTCTTCAAGCTGTTTTTGAATCAAAACACTCAATACATGAAGGTATAACAAACAGACCTCCCGTGTAGATACTGTAGCTATAGTGAAAGGAGACTGTGCAGTCAAGAGCTTTTGCTACCCAAATGGAATGATGTTTGAGCTATATTCTCCAAATAGTCCAAAGAACAATTTTAATGCCAATAAAAATTATTTGGAAATCTAAAGATTTCTTTCTTCTCACTGAATTTCTGCTTTCAGGGGTTATTTCCCTTTCTCTTCTGACTGAATTACACTTCTTAAAGGATTCTTTTCTTTCCTTGCAACTTAAAGGCAACTCATTCCTTAGATTCTTATGAAACTGATTATTTTCCTCATTAATTTCATTTCATAAGCTGAACCCAGCATGATCCTATTACCTTAATTGCTCCCAGATAAGGAAATGCTTAATCAACTCATGGTAACCAGTAGATATTATCAATTACTTAACGATTTCTACAACCTGACTGTAGCAATCCACTGTAAAACGAAGAAGGCTGGTCAAGAGGATGTGTTACTAGATCAGCGCAAATCCATTACTGTTGCTTAAAAATGTCACTTGCTGGCGGTTCATGTCCTTTTGGTGATATATATGTGGTAGCTCATTCAGACAGAAAGATTTAATATTTCCATTTACAATGTTATTCTAAATGGTATCCTTGTTAGGAATTCAGTAATAAAATAAATACTTCCTGGTTGGCTGGAAAGAATTGCGCCTTTATGGGCACCTGATTTCCAACTAAAATTCTTTTTCTTATTTTATTTTATTACTATTATAATATAAGTTTTAGGGTACATGTGCACAATGTGCAGGTTAGTTACATATGTATACATGTGTCATGCTGGTGTGCTGCACCCATTAACTCGTTATTTAGCATTAGGTATATCTCCTAATGCTATCCCTTCCCCCTCCCCCCACCCCACAACAGTCCCTAGAGTGTGATGTTCCCCTTCCTGTGTCCATGTGTTCTCATTGTTCAATTCCCACCTATGAGTGAGAATATGCGGTGTTTGGTTTTTTGTTCTTGCAATAGTTTACTGAGAATGATGATTTCCAATCTCATCCATGTCCCTACAAAGGACATGAACTCATCATTTTTTATGGCTGCATAGTATTCCATGGTGTATATGTGCCACATTTTCTTAATCCAGTCTATCATTGTTGGACATTTGGGTTGGTTCCAAGTCTTTGCTGTTGTGAATAATGCCGCAATAAACATATGTGTGCATGTGTCTTTATAGCAGCATGATTTATAGTCCTTTTGATATATACCCAGTAATGGGATGGCTGGGTCAAATGATATTTCTAGTTCTAGATCCCTGAGGAATTACCACACTGACTTCCACAAGGGTTGAACTAGTTTACAGTCCCACCAACAGTGTAAAAGTGTTCCTATTTCTCCACATCCTCTCCAGCACCTGTTGTTTCCTGACTTTTTACTGATTGCCATTCTAACTGGTGTGAGATGGTATCTCATAGTGGTTTTGATTTGCATTTCTCTGATGGCCAGTGATGGTGAGCATTTTTTCATGTGTTTTTTGGCTGCATAAATGTCTTCTTTTGAGAAGTGTCTGTTCATGTCCTTCGCCCACTTTTTGATGGGGTTGTTTGTTTTTTTCTTGTAAATTTGTTTGAGTTCATTGTAGATTCTGGATATTAGCCCTTTGTCAGATGAGTAGCTTGCAAAAATTTTCTCCCATTCTGTAGGTTGCCTGTTCACTCTGATGGTAGTTTCTTTTGCTGTGCAGAAGCTCTTTAGTTTAATTAGATCCCATTTGTCAATTTTGGCTTTTGTTGCCATTGTTTTTGGTGTTCTAGACATGAAGTCTTTGCCCATGCCTATGTCCTGAATGGTAAAGCCTAGGTTTTCTTCTAGGGTTTTTATGGTTTTAGGTCTAACGTTTAAGTCTTTAATCATCTTGAATTGATTTTCGTATAAGGTGTAAGGAAGGGATCCAGTTTCAGCTTTCTACATATGGCTAGCCAGTTTTCCCAGCACCATTTATTAAGTAGGGAATCCTTTCCCCATTGCTTGTTTTTCTCAGGTTTGTCAAAGTTCAGATAGTTGTAGATATGTGGCGTTATTTCTGAGGGCTCTGTTCTGTTCTGTTCTGTTTCATTGATCTATATCTCTGTTTTGGTACCAGTACCATGCTGTTTTGGTTACTGTAGCCGTGTAGTATAGTTTGAAGTCAGGTAGCGTGATACCTCCAGCTTTGTTCTTTTGGCTTAGGATTGACTTGGCAATGTGGGCTCTTTTTTGGTTCCATATGAACTTTAAAGTAGTTTTTTCCAATTCTGTGAAGAAAGTCCTTGGTAGCTTGATGGGGATGGCATTGAATCTATAAATTACCTTGGGCAATATGGCCATTTTCATGATATTGATTCTTCCTACCCATGAGCATGGAATGTTCTTCCATTTGTTTGTATCCTCTTTTATTTCATTGAACAGTGGTTTGTAGTTCTCCTTGAAGAGGTCCTTCACATCCCTTGTAAGTTGGATTCCTAGGTATTTTATTCTCCTTGAAGCAATTGTGAATGGGAGTTCACTCATGAGACACAACATACCAGAATCTCTGGGACACATTCAAAGTAGTGTGTAGAGGGAAATTTATAGCACTAAATGCCCACAAGAGAAAGCAGGAAAGATCCAAAATTGACACCCTAACATCACAATTAAAAGAACTAGAAAAGCAAGAGCAAACATATTCAAAAGCTAGCAGAAGGCAAGAAATAACTAAAATCAGAGCAGAACTGAAGGAAATAGACACACAAAAAACCCTTCAAAAAACTGATGAATCCAGGAGCTGGTTTTTTGAACGGATCAACAAAATTGATAGACCGCTAGCGAGACTAATAAAGAAGAAAAGAGAGAAGAATCAAATAGACGCAATAAAAATGATAATGGGGATATCACCACCGATCCCACAGAAATACAAACTACCATCAGAGAATACTGCAAACACCTCTACGCAAATAAACTAGAAAATCTAGAAGAAATGGATAAATTCCTCGACACATACACCCTCCCAAGACTAAACCAGGAAGAAGTTGAATCTCTGAATAGACGAATAACAGGCTCTGAAATTGTGGCAATAATCAATAGCTTACCAACCAAAAAGACTCCAGGACCAGATGAATTCACAGCCGAATTCTATCAGAGGTACAAGGAAGAACTGGTACCATTCCTTCTGAAACTATTCCAATCAATAGAAAAAGAGGGAATCCTCCCTAACTCATTTTATGAGGCCAGCATCATCCTGATACCAAAGCCTGGCGGAGACACAACCAAAAAAGAGAATTTTAGACCAATATCCTTGATGAACATTGATGCAAAAATCCTCAATAAAATACTGGCAAACCGAATCCAGCAGCACATCAAAAAGCTTATCCACCATGATCAAGTGGGTTTCATCCCTGGGATGCAAGGCTGGTTCAATATACGTAAATCAATAAATGTGATCCAGCATATAAACAGAACCAATGACAAAAACCACATGATTATCTCAATAGATGCAGAAAAGGCCTTTGACAAAATTCAGCAACCCTTCATGCTAAAAACTCTCAATAAATTAGGTGTTGATGGGACGTATCTCAAAATAATAAGAGCTATCTATGACAAACCCACAGCCAATATCATACTGAATGGGCAAAAACTGGAAGCATTCCCTTTGAAAACTGGCACAAGACAGGGATGCCCTCTCTCACCACTCCTATTCAACATAGTGTTGGAAGTTCTGGCCAGGGCAATTAGGCAGGAGAAGGAAATAAACGGTATTCAATTAGGAAAAGAGGAAGTCAAATTGTCCCTGTTTGCAGATGACATGATTGTATATCTAGAAAACCACATTGTCTCAGCCCAAAATCTCCTTAAGCTGATAAGCAACTTCAGCAAAGTCTCAGGATACAAAATCAATGTACAAAAATCACAAGCATTCTTATACACCAATAACAGACAAACAGAGAGCCAAACCAACTAAAATTCTTGAAGATGACTTGCTTGTTTTTTTTGTTATCCTCCTGTATGTTCTTGCTGTTGTTTTTATTTATTTTCTTTTTTTACCATAATAATTTTGCATTGTTAAAAATGCTACTAAGGATTTTTATTTGTTTTGCATTGTATTGAGGTATAAATGGCATAAGGTATACTGCACATGTTTAAAGTATACAATTTGATAAGTTTTGACATATGCATATATTCATGACACCATCACCCTGAAGTTTCCTCATTACCCTTTGCAATGTCTTCCTCCCTCCTGTCCTTGAGTCCAGCATCATCAGGCAAATAATGATCACCAGACAAACATTACCAATCAAATACTTTGTTACTGTGAATTAGTTTGCATTTTCTAGAGTTTTATGTAAATGGAACAATCCCTCCTCCTTTAACTGAAAGGAGGCTTTTGGCTTTTTCCCCTCAGCATAATTATTTTGAGATTATTCCTGTTATAGCATGTATCAATATCTCGCTGCTTTTATTCCTGAGTAGTATTGCATTGTATAGATAGACCACAGTTTGTTGTCCATCAGCATTCACCTATTGATGGACAGTGTGTCTGTTTCCACTTTTGCTATTACAAATAAAGCTGCTGCAAACATTTATGTACAAGTCTTTGTATGAACACGTTGTTTAATTTGTGTTAGGTAAATACCTAGGAATGGAATGGCTGAATAATATAGTAGGTGTACATTTAACTTTTTAAGAAACTCAGTTTTTCAAAAGGTTGTACCCTTTTCTCAGTAGCAGAATGAGAGTTCCAGTTCCTCTGCATCCTTGCCAATACCTGGTGTGGTCTTTTC
This sequence comes from Homo sapiens, assembly GCF_000001405.40. NCBI lineage: Eukaryota > Metazoa > Chordata > Mammalia > Primates > Hominidae > Homo > Homo sapiens. The sequence goes on from NC_000009.12 coordinate 17,915,727, forward strand.
TTTTGGTCATTCAAACAGGTATAGTCATAGCTTGTTCTGGGTTTTAATTTGCAATTCTCTAATGATTAATGATATTGAGCATGTTTTCATACGTTTAGAATCCACACATCTTCTTTGGTAAAATTTCTATTCAAATATTTAGCCCATTATAGGATTGTTAGTTTTCTTATTGGGCTTGGAGAATTCTACATTCTGGCTGTGAATTTTTTTTTTTTGACAGTCTTGCTCTGTTGCCCAGGCTGGAGTGCAGTGGCATGATCTTGGCTCACTGAAACCTCCACCTTCTGTGTTCAAACAATTCTCATGCTTCTGCATCCCAAGTAGCAGGGATGACAGGTGCGTGCCACCATGCACAGCTAATTTTTTTGTACTTTTAGTGGAGACACGTTTTGCCATGCTGGCCAGACTGGTCTCGAACCCCAGGCCTCAAGTGGTCTGCTCACTTCAGCCTCCCAAAGTACTGGGATTACAGGTGTGAGCCACCACCCAGCCACTATGAATGTCTTCTCAGATGTGTGATTTGCAAATATTTTCTTCCAGTCTGTGGCCTGTCTTTTCATTTTCTTAACAGTGTCCTTTGCTTGGCAGAAGCTTTTAATTTTGATGAAGTTGAATTTATCAAATTGTTTCCTGGACAATTGTGATTTTGTTCTTGTTTCTAATAAATATTTGCCTAACCCAAAATTACAGAGGTTGTCTTCTAGAAGTTTTATAGTTTTAGGTTTTTACATTTAGTTTCTTTCATTCTTGAGTTAATTTTTGCATATGGTACAGGGTAGGGATCAAAGTTCGTTTTTTGGCCTATGGATGTTAAATTGTTTTTGCATGACTTTTTGCAAAGACCATCCTTTCTCCACTGAATTGTCTTTGTACTTCAAAAATCAGTTGTCCACACACGCGTAGGTCTATTTTTGGATTCTCTGCTCTAATCCACTGAAGTACATGTTTATTGCTATGCTAGTAGCACACTTTGAGTGGTATAGCCTTATAAAAAGTCCTGATAAATAAAAATAACTTTGTTCTTCATATTTCAAGGACATTGACTTGTCTATCCTGTATGAATTTTAGAATCAGATTGCCAATTAAAAGATGCATGCGGGGATTTGATTAGGAGTGTTTTAATCTAAAAGATATATTTTGAGAGAATTGTCGTTTTACTAATACTGAGTTTCATGACTCATGAACATGAAAACCTCTGTAGTTAGGTCTTCTAAACAGTATTTGGTACAATATTTTAGTGTACAAGTGTTATATATTTTCATCAGATTTATTAATATTTCATATGTTATGCTTTTTTAAATGACATTTTAAAAAATTTTAGTTTCCAATTCTTTTTTTGTTAGTATACAAAAATACAATTGATTTTATATATTCTTGTTTTCCGCAACTTTATTAAACTCATTAGCTGTAGTTGTTGTGTGCAACAATATGTAGTATATTCCATCAGATTTTCCACATAAGTGATTGTCTTGTGCAAATAAAGAGAGTTCTTTAAAGTCTTTATGTCTTTTATGAAATTTTTTCTTGTATTATGACACTACCTTCGAACCTCCAGTACAAGGTTGGATAGAAGTGGTATGAACAGATATCCTTGTCTTGTTTATCATTAAGTATGATGTTAGGTGTGGGCTTTTTTGTAGATGCTCTTTATGTCTGAGGAAATTGCTTTTATTCTTCATTTGCTGAGTGTTTTTATCAGAAATGGATTTTGTTTCTGCAGCTAATTATCACAAGATTTTTCCTTTTTAGTTTAATATAGTGAGTTACCTTCACTGATATTTGAATGTTCAACCTACCTTGCATTCTTGGAATAAGCCCAAATTGATCATAATATTATTTTTATATATTGTTGGATTCAATTTACTAAATTTTGTTTAGAATTTTTACATCTATGTCCATGAGGAATAAGGTTCTGAAGTTTCCTTTTCTTGAAATATCTTTGGTTTTGGTATTAGAGCAATGCCGGCTTCATAGAATAAGTCAGAAAATATTCCCTTATTTTCAACTTTCTGCAATCTCTATATGATTTCTTCCTTAAATGTTTAAGAATTCACCAGTGAAGCCACCTGGACCTAAATTTTATTTGGTGTGAGAACTGTTTAATTACAAACTTAATTTCTTGAATAGATATGGGGCTATTAGGGTTATCAATTTCATCTTGAGTTAGCTTTGATTGTCTTTCACAAGTTCGTCAGTTTCATCTAACTTGTTGAATTCATTGGTGTAAAGTAGTTCATAGTGCTCCTTTATTATGTTATTTAATGTTATTAGGCTATGTAGTTATATTACCTGTATCATTCATGATATTGGTTATTCTTTCTTTTTCCCTGATCAATCTGCTTCATAGCTTATCAATTTTATCAATCTTCTCAAAGAAGCAGCTTTTGGTTTAATGAATTTTTCTTTGTTGTTTTTGTTTTCTATTTCACTCATTTCCTCTCTTCATTAATTTTTCTTCTAGTCTGTTTTATTTGGTCTTATTTTTCTAGTTTTGTAAGGTGTATGCTGAAGTCATTGATATAAGGTATTTTGGATTCTCAAACACAGATGTTTAATGATATAAATATTCCCTAAGTTGTGCTTTAGAGGCATATCATAAATTTCTATATGTATTTTTTTTTCAGTTCATAGTACTTTCTTATAACCTTTTATTTCTTCTTTGACTCATGGCTATTTAGAAATGGTTGTTTGGTTTCTAAATATTTGGGGATTATCTGGGTATCTTTGTGTTATTGATTTCTAGTTTAATTGCAGTGTGATTAGATGACACACTTTATGTCACTTGAATCCTTTTTAATTTATTGACACTTGTTTAATGGACCAGAATGATGGTCTTTCTTATTAACTGTTCTGTGTACACTTGAAAAGAATTAAACTTTCTACAAATTTGTGCCTCTATTTTTTTTTCCCGATCAGTTTTGCTATTGTTTGATAGAATGTTCTTTAAATGTCAATCAGGTCAAATTGGTTGATACCATTGTTCAAGTCTTCCATACACTTACTGATTTTTCTGTATACTTATTGTATCAATTATTGAGAAAGGGATATTGACATCTCTATATTACCACTGTAGACTTGTCTATTTCTCTTGCAGTTCTAATAGTTTTTGCTTTATTTTAAAGCTCTGTTATTGGGTACATAAATGTTTAGGATTGTTATGTTACCTTGGTGAGTTGACCCTTTATTATGAATAAATGACCTTCTCTATCCCTAGTAATGGTCTGTGCTCTAAAATCTACTTTGCCTTTGGCTATATTAATATTAGACAAACATTTCTGATTTGAGATTTTTTTAATATAATAGTTACCTCCATTGTTCTCACACTGTACCTTTAATGTGATCTCCTGACTTACCATATTTTATTAAATTCCCATTATAGTATGACTTCCTAATTCTCTTTCAAATCCTACTTTCATCATCCTTTTGTTATCTTTTATCACATTAAAAAAATCAATGATAAGTATTAATATGTTGTAGTGGCAATAGTGAGCCAAGTAGTACATTATTATTATTTTTTCTAGTACACTTCCTTTTTGTAAAAAAAAAAAGCTTTATTGAGATATAATTCACAAACAGTACAATTTATGCATTTAAAGTACATGTTGCTATTGAGGAATCCAGACTCCATTTTAAACGGTTCTGGTTCATTGGTTTTTATTATATTCACAGTTACATTAAACCATCATCACAGTCACTTTTGCAACATTTTTGTGAATTCAAAAAGAAATCTTGTACCCTTTATATCACCCCCTTACTTCCCTCCCACCCTAGCCTAAACAACCACTTATCTACCTTCTTAATACATTTCCATGTTCTAGATTTTCGTATCAATGGAATTATATAATATGTGGACTTTTGTGACTGTCTGATTTCACTTAACATAATGTGTTTAAGGTTTATCCAAGTTGTAGCATATATCAGTACTTCATTCCTTTCTATGGCTGAGTATTATTCCATTGTATGAATATAACACATTTTGTTTATTTGTTCATCTACCTATGGGTATTTGGATTTTTCCCACTTTTTAGCTATTATGAGTAATGCTGCTATAAACATTTATGTACAAGTTTTTGGGTGGACAAATGTTTTTATTTCTCTTGGGTATATACCTAGGAGTGTAATTGCTAGGTTAAATAGTACACTATATTTAATCATTTGAGAAACTGCCAGAGTGTTTTCCAAACCTGCTACACCATTATACATTCCCATCAGCAGTGTATGAAGGTCCTAATTTTTCCACATCCTCACTATCACTTATTAGTATCTGACCTTTTGATTATAGCCATCCTGGTGAATATGAAGTGATTCCTCATTGTGATTTTTGTTTGCATTTCTCTAATGACTAATGATGTTGAGGATCTTTTCATTTTTACTTATGTTTTATTAGAGTTAACAACTGCCTTGATTGAAAGAAAAGTTCTTAATTTATGTAACTGTTACTCTTTTCCTCCAGTGCTACTGAATACCTGTCACATGCCTATGAATAATTTTTCCAAATGCAAAGGCATAATAACAATCAGAGTCAGTTCCTTTGCCCTGCTAGCATTCCTCCTTTCACCCTTCTCTGTTGTCTTTAGGTCTGATTGCTTTTTGCGTACCCACCCTCATAGCTGTCATACTAAGACTTCGCTTCTTTTATTCTGTTGAACTGGCCTATTTCATAGATTCCTCAACCTCCAGAAAATAAAATGTGTATGAAAGTAAAATTTTTTAAAACTACTTTTGTGTCCAGAAAGTTATTCTACTCTCACACTTGTTGCTTATTTTGCATGACATAGACTCCTAGGTTGAAAATAGTTTTCTCCCTGCTTCTACTCCCCTCCCTCAAATTTTGGTGGCATCACCGCGTTCTCTTTTGACATCTCATGTTGCTATTGAGGAATCCAGTTCCATTTTAAATCTAGATCCTGTGTCTTCAGCCTGCATTTTTTGGTCTCTGGAAACTTCTAGAATGTTCATTTTATATCTGGCACTCTAAAGCAAAGGTCGGCAAACTTTTTCTGTAAAGGGAAATAGTGTAAATGTTTTAGGCTTTGTGGGCTATACGGTCTTTGTCCTAACTTCTCAACTCTGCCTTTATAGCATGAAAGAAGCCTAGACAGTTGTAAACAAATGATTGTGACTGTGTTCCAATAAACTATTTACAAAACCAGGCAAGAGGGCGGATTTGGCCCATGGGCCATCGTTTGCAGACCCCTGTGCTAAAGTTTCATAATGCTGTGCCTTGCTGTGGGTTATTTAAATTCACCATGCTAGGTTCTTTGTGGGCTTTCAGTAGATCTGTCTCTTTCAATTTAGGGAATATTTATTTTCATATATCCTCAATAATTTCCTTTCCAACATTTTATGTGTTTGCTTTTTGTAAAACTCCTATTAGTTATTTGGCCTCTTGGGTTGTTCATCATCTCTTAAAATCTTTTGTATTTATTTGTTTGTTATACTTTCTAAAGGATTTTCTCAATTTTATTTTCAACAGAGTTAAATTTACGTAGATTTTGAACCAGTATTCCTAGCTGGGGACAAACTTCACTCATCTCCCTCTTCTTTCAACAGCACCAGGTACCTCCAAGTCTGAAGCCCTACAGGCCACATGGTTTGGTGACTCCTTGTTTTATCTCTCTGCCCGCACAATTCTGCTAAGTCAGTTACAATTCCTCCACCAGTTTTCCATATTCCAAAAATTTATTTTCATCTTTCGCCTGTTGTTGTGTCCTTTCCAATTCTTTTGTCATCTTTATTTATTTACTGTTATTTTAGCAGACATTTGGGAGAGAAAATATGGTGTTCAACCTGCCATGTTAACTGGAAGTTAGCACTATTTATTCTCTTTAATTTCTATTTTTCTATCCTGATCCAGTTCCCAATCTTGTTATAACTCATTCTGGTTATGAGGCACACTTTTCAGAGACTGACACTTTTTATTTCCTAGTGTAAATAAGACACTGGTCAGAATTATAAAAAAGACACGAGATTTGTGTTCTAGAGGCCCAGGGTCTAGTTCTGGATTTAGTGACCCTTTCTGCAAGTACAAATGTCAGAATTTTTTTTTAGGGAAGAGATTCCGTGCTCACTGACTGCCTTCTGGTTGCCAAACACAATAATAACAGCTCTCTCCATCCCTATTTTTGTTTTTTAATTTTTCAGTAACAGCTCATTTTTCATTCTCTGTTGAAGTAAACATAGTCTAACCTATTTGCTTAGAGATACAGCACAGAAATATTTTATTTTATACATTTTGACATTCATATTTGGAAACAGTTTTATGAGAGAACATAGAGTTAACATGATATAAAGATCTGGCCTTGAAATATCATGTGTGGTATTAAAAATGTATTCTCTAAGGTGTGATTGCAGTTCAGGCTTTTTTTTTTTTTGTGGTGGAGAATGGAGATGAGGTGAAATGAATGGGAAATAATTTTTGAATAGTTATTAATTCTATATCAGTTTTAATGTTTTATTTTGCACTGGGATGATCTCTAAGTGGAGAATTATGCATTTTGGGGGCAGTGGGGTGAGTAGCGCACGTGCTACATATTTCTTTTCAGTTCTGCTCATGACCATAGGATTATAAGGCTGGAAGGCGTCTTAAGGACTCTTTAGTCTTGTGTTTCACAAACTTCAGTGTGCCTAAGTCAGTTGTGCTATGTTGCATAATTCCAGAGGTCACTGAAGAATAGATCTGTGCAACTAAAAGCTGAGAAGTTTTTCATTGCAGATTCCTGAGCCTCAATCTCAGAGATTCTGATTCAATAGGACTAGGATGGGTTTAGGGATATGCGTTTATTACCGGTACCCCCTCCATTCCCACCCTTCCCCCTCACCCACATAACCACAGAGGATTCAGACACATTTTGACCAAAAACCACATTTTAGGAAACACTGATATGATGTGTCTTATTTACAGATGAGAGAGGTAAGGTCTTAGAAAGTTGAGTTGACTTGTCCCAGTTTGTTAGAGGGAGAGGTGGGAGTGAACCACGCATCTCATAACTCTGCTCAGTGATTTTTTTCCCATCAGAGCATACGCTATTATTTTAGTGTCTAGTTACATCATGAACTAAAGGTATGAACCACCAGTTTAAAGTGTCTTTATTTGTAGTAACTGCAGTTGTTTATAAGTGGTTTTCAGATGTTTAGGAATAGCCTCAGCTCTCAGTCACTCTGCAGCAGAGGAATGATCAGAGACATAGGGGAAGGAAAGCCCCAACCCTTACGCCCCTCGTGTAACCTGCTGGAACACAGCTTCTGTGTGTTTTTTCTTCAAGTCATCATGCCCCTGGAAGATTAACAGATACTTGTTTAGAAAACCATCCAAAGCCTTGTAGTATAGTTTGAAGTCAGGTTGTGTGATTCCTCCAGCTTTGTTCTTTTGGCTTAGGATTGACTTGGCAATGCGGGCTCTTTTTTGGTTCCATATGAACTTTAAAGTAGTTTTTTCCAATTCTGTGAAGAAAGTCGTTGGTAGCTTGATGGGGATGGCATTGAATCTGTAAATTACCTTGGGCAGTATGGCCATTTTCACGATATTGATTCTTCCTACCCATGAGCATGGAATGTTCTTCCATTTGTTTGTATCCTCTTTTATTTCCTTGAGCAGTGGTTTGTAGTTCTCCTTGAAGAGGTCCTTCACATCCCTTGTAAGTTGGATTCCTAGGTATTTTATTCTCTTTGAAGCAATTGTGAATGGGAGTTCACTCATGATTTGGCTCTCTGTTTGTCTGTTGTTGGTGTATAAGAATGCTTGTGATTTTTGTACATTGATTTTGTATCCTGAGACTTTGCTGAAGGAGATTTTGGGCTGAGACAATGGGGTTTTCTAGATATACAATCATGTCGTCTGCAAACAGGGACAATTTGACTTCCTCTTTTCCTAATTGAATACCCTTTATTTCCTTCTCCTGCCTAATTGCCCTGGCCAGAACTTCCAACACTATGTTGAATAGGAGTGGTGAGAGAGGGCATCCCTGTCTTGTGCCAGTTTTCAAAGGGAATGCTTCCAGTTTTTGCCCATTCAGTATGATATTGGCTGTGGGTTTGTCATAGATAGCTCTTATTATTTTGAGATACGTCCCATCAACACCTAATTTATTGAGAGTTTTTAGCATGAAGGGTTGTTGAATTTTGTCAAAGGCTTTTTCTGCATCTATTGAGATAATCATGTGGTTTTTGTCATTGGTTCTGTTTATATGCTGGATCACATTTATTGATTTACGTATATTGAACCAGCCTTGCATCCCAGGGATGAAGCCCACTTGATCATGGTGGATAAGCTTTTTGATGTGCTGCTGGATTCGGTTTGCCAGTATTTTATTGAGGATTTTTGCATCAATGTTCATCAAGGATATTGGTCTAAAATTCTCTTTTTTGGTTGTGTCTCTGCCCGGCTTTGGTATCAGAATGATGCTGGCCTCATAAAATGAGTTTGGGAGGATTCCCTCTTTTTCTATTGATTGGAATAGTTTCAGAAGGAATGGTACCAGTTCCTCCTTGTACCTCTGGTAGAATTAGGCTGTGAATCCATCTGGTCCTGGACTCTTTTTGGTTGGTAAACTATTGATTATTGCCACAATTTCAGCTCCCGTTATTGGTCTATTCAGAGATTCAACTTCTTCCTGGTTTAGTCTTGGGAGAGTGTATGTGTCGAGGAATTTATCCATTTCGTCTAGATTTTCTAGTTTATTTGCGTAGAGGTGTTTGCAGTATTCTCTGATGGTAGTTTGTATTTCTGTGGGATCGGTGGTGATATCCAAAACAGCATGGTACTGGTACCAAAACAGAGATATAGATCAATGGAACAGAACAGAGCCCTCAGAAATAACGCCGCATACCTACAACTATCTGATCTTTGACAAACCTGAGAAAAACAAGCAATGGGGAAAGGATTCCCTATTTAATAAATGGTGCTGGGAAAACTGGCTAGCCATATGTAGGAAGCTGAAACTGGATCCCTTCCTTACACCTTATACAAAAATCAACTCAAGATGGATTAAAGATTTAAACGTTAGACCTAAAACCATAAAAACCCTAGAAGAAAACCTAGGCATTACCATTCAGGACATAGGCATGGGCAAGGACTTCATGTCCAAAACACCAAAAGCAATGGCAACAAAAGACAAAATTGACAAATGGGATCTAATTAAACTAAAGAGCTTCTGCACAGCAAAAGAAACTACCATCAGAGTGAACAGGCAACCTACAAAATGGGAGAAAATTTTCGCAACCCACTCATCTGACAAAGGGCTAATATCCAGAATCTACAATGAACTCAAACAAATTTACAAGAAAAAAACAAACAACCCCATCAAAAAGTGGGCGAAGGACATGAACAGACACTTCTCAAAAGAAGACATTTATGCAGCCAAAAAACACATGAAAAAATGCTCATCATCACTGGCCATCAGAGAAATGCAAATCAAAACCACTATGAGATACCATCTCACACCAGTTAGAATGGCAATCATTAAAAAGTCAGGAAACAACAGGTGCTGAAGAGGATGTGGAGAAATAGGAACACTTTTACACTGTTAGTGGGACTGTAAACTAGTTCAACCATTGTGGAAGTCAGTGTGGCGATTCCTCAGGGATCTAGAACTAGAAATACCATTTGACCCAGCCATCCCATTACTGAGTATATACCCATATGACTATAAATCATGCTGCTATAAAGACACATGCACACGTATGTTTATTGCGGCATTATTCACAATAGCAAAGACTTGGAACCAACCCAAATGTCCAACAATGATAGACTGGATTAAGAAAATGTGGCACATATACACCATGGAATACTATGCAGCCATAAAAAATGATGAGTTCATGTCCTTTGTAGGGACATGGATGACATTGGAAATCATCATTCTCAGTAAACTATCGCAAGAACAAAAAACCAAACACCGCATATTCTCACTCATAGGTGGGAATTGAACAATGAGATCACATGGACACAGGAAGGGGAATATCACACTCTGGGGACTGTGGTGGGGTGGGGGGAGGGGGGAGGGATAGCATTGGGAGATATACCTAATGCTAGATGACGAGTTAGTGGGTGCAGCGCACCAGCATGGCGCATGTATACGTATGTAACTAACCTGCACAATGTGCACATGTACCCTAAAACTTAAAGTATAATTAAAAAAAAAAAGAAAACCATCCAAAGCATCCAGCAACCTGACACTTGACGAAATGGAGAATACGTGCTGCTCAATACCTTCTCTCCCCAAGCGCAATGTAGCAATTGTTGCTACATTCTTGGAGGAAAGGAAGGAAATGTTTCATGTGCCTATTATTTAGGATGTTCTCCCCATTTCTACCACAAACCAGCCAAACAAAATACCTGCAGATACGCTCCACTGACTCATGCGGTCTGTGATGTCTACTGCATATGGAAAGGAAAGAAGTTTTCTTTATTGTTAATAATCATTGTCATACTGCTTGTACGTTTTATGAAGAATGACTATTGTGATGTTTCTTTCAGACATCACCTGCAGAGAAATAAAGGTTGTTTATTATTAAAGAGTGCTTATTTATTGGTATAAGATGAAATTCAAATTCTCAGTTTCGAATGCTAATTTTAAAACTCTGTATTATTTAGGATGGACTAGATCATGCTGTAATAGCAAATAACCCCCAAAACACGATGGTTTAACACCACCAAGGTTTATTTCACCACTCGGCCACATCACCAGTGTGGATCGTCAGGAACGCTTGGCTCACTGGGCGTACTCAGGAATCCATGCTGACGGCAGCTCCATCTCAACCCGCATTTCCATAGCCACCCAGGAAGGAGGAGGAGAGTGCTGCTCTAAATAAATACTTCCACTCAGAGGTGACACAGGACACAATGATTTTTTACTTCATTGTAGAACTAATAGATTCACTTTGGCAATCTCCTGCCAATGGTTAAAACAAGAGGTGCTTTTGCTCACATACTATTGGCCAATCAAATTCAAGAGGATTGTAAGTGTAATGTTATCATGAATCCAGAATATCCCCTTTCTTGTTTTGGTTTCCACCAATGAGCTTTTCCAAGCTTTCAGATTTCCAAGGTGTGGTCTAGATGTTTAAGTTTTCTGACTGTGTGTGTCTATGTGTACAGAGATTCTCCGACATTACAGTGAAACCACTTATAATTTTCTTTATCTTACCCATTAAAATTATTTTAAAACTTATGGTAGAATATATATAACACAATTGACCATCATGACCACTTTTAAGTTTACATTTCAGTAGTGTGAAGTACATTTATGTTGTTGTACAACCATCATTACCATCCGTCTCCAGAGCTCTTTTCAACTTGCAAAACTGAAAGTCTATAGCCACGAACAACTCCTCGTTCTTTTCTTCCCCTATCCCCTGGCAACCACCATACTATGTTCTGTTTATGATTTTGACTGCTCTAGGTACCTTACATAAGTTGGAATCACACAGTATTTGGTTTTATTTTGTGACTGGCTTATTTCACTTAAACATAATGTCCACAGGGCTTATCCATATCGTAGCATATATCAGAATTTCCTTCCTTTTTGGGGCTAAATAATATTCCACTGCATGAATGTATATGTACATGTGTATGTACACATACATGTATACATAAATGCACACATACATATACACATATATGTACATGTACATATATACATATGTGCATATACATGCACACATATACGTACATATATACATATGTATGTGTATATACATGTATACATATATGTACATATATACATATACATGCATGCAGTGGAATATTTTATATAAATGTATATTGATATATAAATTATATATATATGGCCCTCTGTATCTATGGGACCTGCATCTGTGAATTCAAGCAACTTCAGATCAAAATATCTAAAAACAATAAAAAACAGATGGTTGCATCTGTACTGAATATGTACAGACTTTTTTCCTTGTCATTACTCCCTAAACAATACTGTATAACAACATATTTACATAGCTTTTACATTGTATTAGGTATTATAAGTAATTTAGAGATGATTTAAAGTATTTCAGAGGATATGTGTAAATTATGCCAATATTACACAATATAAGGGACTTGAGCATCTGTGGATTTTTGTGTTCCTGGGGTGTCCTGGAGTGAATCCCCCATGGATACTAAGAACAGCTGTATATATACTACATTTTATTTACTCATGCATTCATTAGTGGACACTTGAGTTGCTTTCACTTTTTGGCTGTTGTGAATAATGTTGCTATGAAATTGATGTTCCATTTTGCTTTATGTGTGGTTCTTTTTCTTTTCTTTTCTTTCTTTCTTTTTTTTTTTTTTTTTGAGACAGGGTCTTGCTCTGTCGCCCAGGCTGGAGTGCATTGGTACTATCAGGACTCACTGCAGCCTCGACTTCCTGGGCTCAGGTGATTCTCCCACCTTAGCCTCCCAAGTAGCTGGGACTACAGGGATACGCCAACCAGGCCCAGCTAATGTTTTTGTGTTTTTAGTAGAGACAGGGTTTTCACCATGTTGCTCAGGCTGGTCTCAAACTCCCTGCTTCAAGCGATCTACCTGCCTCAGCTTCCCAAAGTGCTGGGATTACAGATGTTAGCCACTGAACCTAGTTCTTTTTCTGTATACAAGAAAAGCAGCACCTGCCTCTTGAGACTTCTAGTTTACTATTTTGGGAGATCCAGGAAACAGTTCTTTTTGAACTCAAGGTAGAGCTAATAGTTTCACATTGGAAATCAGCCAATGGTTAAAACAAAACCTGAGCAATACTCCTCTGACTTCTTCCACCTTTAGCCAAATCAACAGAGCCAAGGAGGATTCTTGTGTTTAGTCTTGTATGTAACCTGCAAATATTGACATTTTTCAAGATAGGGGACAATATGTTGCTAGGACATTATTTTTCCTCAACAATCCAGGAGCATGACAAAAAGAAATTATGTGTTCTGTCAGGCATGGTGGCTCACACCTGTAATCCCAGTACTTTGGGAGGCTGAGGAGGGAGGATTGCTTGAGGCCAGGAGTTCAAGACGAGCCTGGGTGACAGAGCAAGATCCTATCTCTAACAAGAACAAGCAAATAAATTATATATTTTTTGTGCATCTGACCCATACTATGTGAAAGGAGGTCAAATGTGAATCAGTATTTAAAATGCAAACTAATTGCACACATGGCATGGTGTGTGGAGCAACAGACAAGGTAGAATTTTAGAAAGGGTGCTGAAAGAAAAGGCAGTAGACCAGGAAACTCTGCTTACCACTGCCTGCTAATTACACGACTATGGACAAAACAGTTATGTAGACTTCCTGAGTGCATGTGTGGGTGTGTGTGTGTGTATGCTGTGTTTGAGTTGGTAGAAGGAAAGGCTTGGATTACATGATCTAGTGGGTTAATGCCAATTAACCATAATTTTAAAACGATGAAGAATAGGGGTTTCTAACCTTTTTAAATATAAAAACTTTTAAAACACAAACATATTAATAGCTCCTCTTCAGATTTTTGAGAAACAGAAATTGTACCATGGCACTTCCCTGCTTAAAGGCTTCAGTGATTTCCTGCCGCCTTTACATCAGTATTTCTCAGCCTTTTCGTTATCACCTCCCAAAAAAGCTTTTTTAGACATTTTATCCTAATCCACTCCCCCACCCCCATGAAATCTTAACACAATAAATGTACTGTAAGACCTCTTCTTTCGTATCCCTAAGAACCAATTTTTCACCCCTTTGGGGGCATTATTGCCCCCATTGAGAATGCATGCTTCCGAATAAGCTGGAAAACCCTTATTATGAATATCAAGGCCTTGCCTGATCCAGCCCCTGCCTAGCTCCCCAGGTTCCCTCACTCCTCTTCCTCCCTTCTATCCTCCTCCTCTTCCCCTCACTCAGCTCCCTTCTACCCAGGTGTCCTGCCCTTCTTTTCTTTCAGTTCCCCAAGGGCACCAAGCGTTCTTACTTAAGGGACTTTGCACAATTTGTTTTCTTTGCCTGGAGGTCTCTTTCCTTTATTTTGAATTAATTACTTTATGTTCATCTGTCTGGCCTGCAGCTTAAGTATCACTTCCCCAGAAAGTCCTGACCCTGGACTTCCTTCTGTGTTAGATGGCTTCTGTCATTATTTCTCACAATGCCCATTTTCTTTCTAGCACTTGTTTGCATTTTCTTTCATACACTTCTTTGCATTTTTGTTATACGTCTGCCATCCCCAGTACATTGTACACATGAGGCCAGGGATGGACTCACTCTGCACTCTATATATGTCACATCTAGTTCAGTGCCTGGCATTGTTGAAAAAAGGATTAATGAAATATTTTTGAGAAAATATGCAGTGAATAAAACTGTCTTGGGATTGGTTTTACAGTGAATGTATACATTATTAATTACAGCAGCACCTATGTTCGTATGTTATTTAAAGAAATATTAGCTACTATAGTAGAAAAATCCTGAAATCTCAGAGTTTTAACAAAATTTCTCGGTCACATAAAGTCCAATTGGCAGGGCTGAAGTGGGGGTAGGTGCTCTTCAAGCACCTGGTTTGATGGAGTCATCCACCTGGTTTGACTGGTTTGATGGAGTCTCTGCCGTCTTTAACACATAGCTTCCAAGGTCACCCTGGTGCCTGTATCTGGATGACATATGGGGGAAGGGAATGTTGAGAATTGCACGGGTAAGTTTTCTTGGGGGTAGTCCTGGGAGTGGAATGCATCACTTCTGCCCACGTCTACTTTTTGTATTCTTAACTAGGCTCAAATCTGGTAGGGTTCCATTCCCTCTTGTCCCTCCACAAGAAATCAGTTTCATGGTCATACCTCCCAGCAAGGGAGGCTGGGAGGATAGCTGTGAGCTTAGGAGGTCACACAAACTGGTCTCTGGCACATTGTGCTTGGAGAGTCATAAATATATGTGCAAGTGTGTGGCTGATGTCTGGATACATATGGATTCACAAATGACTTTCAAGAATATAGAAACCCTAAAGAATTCCAAGACCCAGAGGGTGGAAACCGCTAAAAATAGGAGTGTGAGTTTTGTTTGTGGAGAAGTTTTTGCCTGCTTCATCATTTTCAACATTGTAAGGTAAGATATGGTGGAGTGGGGTTGAGGGGAACCAGTTAGAAATGCACTATGTGCATCTTGACTGAACAAAGCTATTTGTTGCCCTACAGTAGTGAATCTTCCCAGGCTCTTGTGTAGCTGTATTCATAATATGCGCTGATTAGTATCTTGTCAGCTGAATGGAAGCCCAGGTGGGGTTCTGGTTGGACTGCTGGCGGCATTGTCCTTAATAAAATGGGGCCTTTCAACCAATGTGCTATTTTCGTTCCCACATCACCTGATAAGTCCTAGTCTTTTGATGAACTACAAATAAAAACCAGTTCTCCATCTCATGGGGCTATTAATCAAATAGTATCTGTTTAAACAGAAAAAAAGACCTATTGCATGTCCCGTTCATAATACAACAAGGCAATTGTAACCGAGCTACGACATCATGATACTGCACTTTTATCTGAGCCAAAGCTTACCTGGCCATCCTTCAGATTTGCCATTCTTCCCGACTCCACAGGATAGGAGCAGAAATTCGAGCCCGGGTGCTGCTTTTGTGCACAGTTTGTGGCCTCTCTCTTAACTCCGTTCCTTAGCAGAAAGAAAGAATTCAGTCTGGTGGGTGAGGTGGGCTGCTGAATTCTTTCTATTTCAATTGTATTGAGGAGCTTTCGAGATTTTCCATTTTTGTTTTCTTTCATCATCCATCTAAGTGTAAAAGCTAGCTGTCATTTGGAAAAGTTGGGAGGAGACGGCATTTAGAGACAAACTACAACCTTCAAATAGAAAAATGTACATTTAAACTCTAAAATTTCAAAGAAGTTAGTTTGCAAATTGGTTGTTTTTCAAGAAATGTAAGTATTTTCCACATCGTGCCTCTTTCAGCTGTCTTTTTTTTCCTTTTGCATAAGGTGCAGTCTCAGATCAGTGTTGTCCTGTTTTCTGTTTCTGATGAAGCTTTAAAGTGTTTGATTGACATTTATCAGAAAGTTGTGGCAGCTGTGAACACTCGTCCAAAAGCAGATGAGGGAGGTCATGGTGGCATCCTTCTTGGTTCTTTAATAGGATTAGCAAGGAGGTTTATGCTGAAACTCCATCACGGGTCAGAGCTAGACAATGATGGAGCTCCCAAATCCATGGATCTGTCATTTGGCAAAATCCTTACAGCAGTGCTGATTGGCAACAAGATGGTGAATAATCATCTTCCCCTGTGTATTTTCAAAAACTGCCTCATTTAGAGCAAGACCGCAATGTAGAGGCTGTGTGGAAATGGCTCAATGGGACCCCTGCTGTTTGGAGAATTTGAGTTCAAATCCACCTGTGCACAGGTTTGGATATCTTTGTGTTTGGCAACATGCCATTTCCTGCCAGATTTTGTTGTGGGTCTTCCCCCCAAGTAGAGGATCTCTGTTCAGAGGAATGCTAATTGGGTGGGATTTCGGGAGCCTCTCAGCCAACCATGGGCTCAAGCAGTGCTCCTTTCTTGCAGCTGTACTTGATTCTGTTTTTAGCTGCCACTGTTAATGAGTCAAAAGCCACATCTGTTGAGACCTGGGTTGGCAATTCCAGGGCGGTTGGCCACCTTTCCATCAATTTCTCCAAGAGGGTCCCGGGTATGGAGCAGATAAAGCTGAATGTAGGGTGTTTGGTTCTGTGAGGCTGTTTCGAGGAGGAAAAAAGGGAGAAATGATTGAATTTGCCATTGAGTGGCTAGCCAGTACATTTTATATCTCTTATGCTTTTTTGTCCTGGTTGCTTTTATTTCAATTAGAAAGTCTTAGTGGTAAACTCATTTTTCGTTGAAGGCGCAGTAGAGCTATCTCTCTGAATTTTGAAGACTTTTCCTATAGAATCATTAGTTTCTTGGGTGATTTCTGAAGCTGAGACTTTGGAAAAGATGACAGGAATAAACTTCCACTAAGTTTATCTCATTCATTTCTAAATCTTTTCTGTGTGTTGGGTGGGGATAAATATATTCCCTTTAGTGCAGGCTATCCTGGAAAATATTTTCATTTTGAATACAGTGATCTAAGTAATCTGCTTATTACAATAGACTATTCTCCATGTTGTCCTTTTTTGAAACAAATAAAAGTCAATTGCAAGCACTTTGGAATTTCTTCAGGAATCCATAATCTAGATAGCTCCTCTTCTATCATGACCAGATATATGATTATTTCTTCATATTTTAGGACTCATTTCTTCAAGTGGTTTCGACTTCCTATTATCTGGATTTGATCCATCACTTATGTCAGATCAACTAAGCCTGGTCCATCATGGTTACAAAGTGCCCAGCCTGGCACCATGCATGGTAGGTACTGCTTAGATTAAGTTGTATGTGTTTCTTTTCGGTGCTGTAATAAATTGCCACAAATCAAGTGGCTTAAAACAAGAAAAAATTATTTTCAGAAATCCAAAATAAAGGTTTCAGCAGATGCCATGCTCCCTACCGTGGCCCTGGGGAAGGATCTGTTCCTTGCTGCTTCTGGGTTCTGGTAGCTTTCAGCATTCTTTAGTCTTCCTTGGCTTGTGGCTATATCACTCCACTCTCTGCTTCTGCCTTTATAGCACCTTCTCCTCTGTATGGGTCAAATCGGTCTCTGCATCTCTCTTGTGATGGCATTTGGGAACTCACCGGGATAATCCAAGATAATCTCCTCATCTGAAATTCCTTAACTTACCTATTCAGAGACCGTTTTTCCAGAGATAGGGCAGGGCATATTTTTGGGAGTCTCATCAGTCTACCACACCCATGGATGGATTCTGCATAATATTGTGGTCAGTCATTGGATCTTCATCTAGGCACTTGTATTAGTCCATTCTCACAGTGCTATAAAGAAATGCCCAAGACTGAGTAATTTATAAAGAAGAGAGGTTTAGTTGGCTCACAGTTCTGCAGGAACTATAGGAAGCATGGCTGGGGAGGCCTCAGGAAACTTACAATCATGGCAAAAGTCGAAGAGAAAGCGGGCTCATCTTACATGGCTGGAACAGGAGGAAGACAGAGAAAGGGGAGGTGCTACACATTTTTAAACAACCAGATTTCGTGAGAACTCACTATCATGAGAACAGCAAGGGAGAAATCCACCCTCATGATCCAGTCGCCTCCCACCAGGCCCCTCTTTGAACAATGGGGATTACAATTTGACCAGAGATTTTGGTGGGGACACAAATCCAAACTGCATCAACACTCAACCTCAAAGATACTTGTTTCTGTTCTATTTTTGGTGGGCTGTTTGGTTCAAATCACTTCTGTTTTAATATCCTCTTCTTGTTGTTTCTTTTGTCTTTACGGTATTAACTTATCTGCTGCACAAATGGCTCTCACTGCAGTGGGAATGACTTTGATATTGGCAGTCTGTGTCATTAATACTGAATTTTACATGTTGTTTGGGACTGAGGACAAGGCACTATCACCATTGAAACTAATCAAGAAGCTGTATGTGGTGTCCAAAGTGGGATTATTGTGCATACATAGGTAAGATGGCATCAAAGTCTTGTTGTCAACAATAAGGTAATTCCCCCATAAACTCAGCTTCTGGCATTTTACTCTCTAAGCTTTATTCCTGTCTTTAAATTCACTTCCTCTAGAATTTCCAGTTTCATAATTCTTCAAATCTCTGGGACCTACAAGCCATATTACTTCCACCTTTTTATGACCTTACTTCCCTCCTTGGCTAGCTAAAATGCTTTGTCAAAGTGTTATAATAACTTTCTCAACTTCCTGCTCTCTCTTTGGTGCACTCACTTGTTTAAGCCTTAACGCAGTTTAATTCTACCTGTGCAGATAAATGGCTTGATTTTGATTCATGACCACTGTCCTCAAGTGGGTTTGCATGCTGCTCAACAATGATACCAAATTTCCCAAAGTCCATCCATTCTCCCACTTCCTTGGATGAATATTTTGTAGCTTTTCTTTCATCAGACCTGCCGCATTTCTTTCCCTATCCCTCATAGCTTCTTATTTCATGGAGAAAATAGCAGCTATCAGACAAAAAGTCAAATTTTCCCCACCTACCTGCATGTAGTTCATGTATTCTGACATATCTCCAGTTGTGATGGATAAACTACCCATTTCCCCCACAAAGACCCGTCATTCTACTTGGCGCCCCAGACTCCATCCCCATTTGCCTATTCAAGGATATTCTTCTAGTAATTCTTCCCCTCTTTCTGCATCCTATTTCCTTTAAAAAAAAAAAAAAAAAAACTTCTGTATTGGACCTTCCCCTTTAAACATATAGTTATTCCATCTTAAAAGCCTTCTAGGTATTATTTGCCCCTTCAGTTATCTCTTGTATATTATGGTTATTTTCTATTTATCTTCTTTTATTATCTCTTGAATGGATTGTAGTCAAACTTTCACAGTATTACTCCTCAGAAACTGTTTTTTCAAGGCCATCAGCAGCCTTCATATTATTAATATTACCAAATCCAGTGGACAGCTCTCCATCCTCATTTCACTTGACTTACCACTTTAACACACACAGTCATGCCCTCTTCCTGGAAGTCTTTGATTGTGCGGCCTCCAGAACCCCACACCCTCCTTTCCTCCTGCCTTATGGGTTGTCCCTTCTGTCTCCCATGTTCCCCCGGCACCAGTTCTTGGACACTTTCATTTTTTTCCACACCTACTCCTTGGTGTAACTTACTTTCACTCAGTATCACAGCTTGAAATACTATTTAGACTGATTATCTAGATTTGTATCTGTAGCTTGGAAGTTGCCTAGACTCTAACCTCATGCATTCACTATCTATTTAGCATTTCTACATGAATATTTAACAGGCCTCTTACCATGGCTAAAACTGAGTTCCTGTTTCTCCTGCTCCCACTCCCCCAAAAGCAAAATAAAACAACATGCTTCTCCCAAAGCCATTGCCAATGATCATTGACAGGGAACTTAGTTCTTTTATTTGCTCAGGTCAAAAACGTAGTTGTTCTTGACTCCTCTATTTCTCTCACACCCCTTGCCTGATTTACTATTAATAGCAATACCTCTAGCTGTTCTATCTGTAGGTGCAGATGGACCATCTTGATTCAAATGATCTACATCTTGCCTGGATTATTAGAAAAGTGCTTTACACTGGTCTCAACTTCTGCTTTTATCTACCTTCAGTCTCGTCTCAGTAGAGCATGCAGGTGATCCTATTAAACATGACTCAGGTTATGCTACTCCTGCTTAACGCCCTCCAGTGCTTCCCATCTTCCACATGGCTTATAAGGCCTGATTTATCTAGCCATCTCTCCGATCCTCTCACCTACCAGTTTCTCCTTACTTACTATTCTCTAGCTTCACTGGTCTTTGCTGTTCTTCTAACATTGCCAAGTGTGCTTCTACCTCAAGGCTTTGTATTTAGCATTTAGCTCTTAGAAAACAAAACAAAAATAATATCTTCATTTGCTCTCATTTCTGCTCCCCTGATTTGGGGCCAACTGTGCATGTGTATGTAATTTTTATTCTAAGTGTAATTTCCTTGCTATTTACTGGTGCCTTATGTCATTTTACAGACTTATTATGTATCTCCTTTGCAACTTCACATAATAATTGAAATTCTTGTTTACTTATGCTTTAAAAAAAATCACTGTAGTCCATTTTTAAATTATGACTCTTTTGTCTCTACCTGCTAGGCACCATTGAGGTAGAAGATTGCATTACCCCTAACATCAGTGAAAGATTACTGGTGACAGGGGCCATAGTTATGACCAAGTTCTCTCTCATCCCCAGAAACTCTGAGAGAAGAAACACAGGCTGGGTGACCTCAGGCGAGTCTAGTAGCCTTCGTTTCCCTTCCGTAAAGGCAGGAGGTTGAACCAGTTGATCTCTGAGGTCCTTTCCAGCTCTAACAATCTGTGAATGTGGGCAGGGCTGCCGCTCAGGCCATAAATACCTGCTGGATTATATCGTGGTCTCTCCCTTTTCCTACCTGCTGTTTGCCAGCTTTCATGTTAAATTTTCCCACCACACAGGAATACCAGAGGCAAGAGGCTTACAGCAGGTACCACCCCTGCTTGCTGCCAAATATCTCCCCAACCTCGCCACCGCCTGCATGGATGGGCTTTTGCCAGAAATTGGCCTGCTTTACTCCCCTTCCACAAATAAACTTTAAAGTACTCCCTTGAAGAGTGAGAAGCTGCCAGTGGTACAGGCAGTGAGTTTTATAATTATTTTTTGATATTTTCCATGTGGCTTTTGGTCTGAGGGTAGCATGTTTGGGTTGGGTTGTTGGAGGGGTTTCCCATGGACATGGTTTTGTACCTGCCAGCCATGCAGGATGCAGCATGGTGGGTGAGATCCTTGCTCCACTGGCCCTCCGCTAGCCAGTGTGTGATTGCTTTCTCTGCAGCCCTAACTGTTGTCAACCTGTCTGCTGTTGTTGGTGCCTCATCCATGGTTGCTGCAGAGAGCCTCAGACTACTCAGCTTAGAAACATTAGAAACAATAAGCTGTTTTTTGAAAGCATCTTCTCTAAAATGATGCTGCAGATAGTGATGAAGGATAATCGGAACAGCACATTGCGGTGGGCCCTGCTCAATGTTGGCCTGATCATTCATCCTCACAATAGCCATTTCAGGGGAGGCTTTATCTGCATTTTTGGAAGGAGGGTGACTGAGATCTTGATCAGCAATCAGTACAGAGTTGAACTAAATTGGAATGAAGACCTTTCTGCCTTCACTGCACACGTTCTCTCTGCGGCTCCACACTGCCTCTCAATATAGCCAGTGCTAGACTTAGATCCCTGAAGGGCAACTAGATTTGGATAGTTGATCAGAAGCCCAGATCTAATTCTATAACATTGTTTCTATGGGAAAAAAAATGGATTCCTACTTTTAAACACACTTATAAACTTTGGTAATATTAACCCTTTTTAGATGGAGGGGAGACTTGCTATGCTTGTTGATTTAAATTCCTAAAATCTTGTTGATTTAAATTCCTTAAATACTAAGACAGTGAGGTTAGTTGAGAATTGGCCTACTGTGCACTGCTGGCCATATATTATGTTTCCTCATCTCTCTCTTGCTTAAAATAAACAATAAAACACTCCTCTACCAACAGCAACAAAACATACAACTAGAAATTAGGAAATGAGGAAGACTCTAATGCTTCCTTTTAAAACACATGGATCTTGAGGTTTGAATCAAAATAATGGTGTTTTACAATTCATGTTTGTTTAATTGTGACATGGTACACCTGCTTGCTCTTAAGAAGAGAAGTAACAGAAGTATGAGGAGGGGGGAAGGTGATGTGGACACCCAATAACTCTTCTCCAGTGATATCCTGATGAGTTAAGCATAAATGAATCAGAAACAGATGGATTTTTTTCCCCCTTGAAATACACGTGGGTTTAAAAACCAAGGGAAAATATGCTTGGAAAAAAATGTTCTTTGTTAAAGTCCAAATGTTTGAATTATAATTTAAGATTTTCATAGGTTCCAGCAAGTAGTTGTGTGCACTCGTCTCTAATTTACATGGGGTGTGTGCATAAGCTGAGCATTTAAACTATTCCATGGAGCTGCTGTCAGGGAGGCGTAACAGTCCTGTAAAATGACATAAGGCACAAGGGCCTTATGTGCAAACTCGTTTCACATGGGTTCTTGGGTATTGAGTAACATGAATTTCATGTAATTTGAGTCTTGAAAATTTCATAAGGTTTTACCTCAGTCTTTGTGTGTGAAAGTGGAAACAATTTCAAAGAGATACCCCCAGGTACTATGCCGGGCATCTTTACTGTCCATCCTCATGCCAAGGGTGCGATGTCATCTCCATGACCTTGTGCTTAACTCGTTCTTCTTCATTGTGTCAGGTTTGACTGAAGCCAGTATTCCCTATAATTTGTTCCACTAGCTGCAGGTGTTCCTGTGAACTTTGACTTAACTTGGACTTCACTGTAAAGTAGAAAACTGCAGAAAGTTGTCAGCTGGATATCAGGAAAGCCCCCGACCAAACAAAAGCTAGGTATGAGGAGAGATTTCCCAGTCATCTTCCTCCGACAAGATCCTTCATTGTTTTCTTGGCTTACCTTGTCACAGAATCTTTGAGGAACTCTGGGATTGGTGACCATCCAAGAGCACATTTTTCCTAATTATGAAGCTATTAACTCTGAGCAGATTCACGTTGTGTTTCCTGACTTTCCATGGCTTTCCCCTGATACTTCTGCCTGAGTATCTTGTCATCATCTTAAGCTGGACATAGAGAAAACCCTTTTGTCTTGTTTTGACAAGTCATTAAGCAGCTTCTCTGCCTAATGCCTCTGTGCCTGTTGGGAGGGAAATATCCCTCCTTATGTTTATGGCCTCTCCACACTGAACCCCTATCAAATTCTTTCATTTAATTCTCTCAAATATCCATTGGTTTTTTGCCACTTATACTTTTTGCATGTGTAGCTTGATACCTTCCACTCATAGCTTATTTATACAGTTTCACAATAACTGCCTTGCTTCCTTTCAGTCTCCAGAAAATTCTCTTTATCTCCAAACCATTTTTATCTTGTTTCTTACTTGGTCCCTTACCTTTCTCTTGTAAACTATTTCTTTTAGCATGAATGTGGTGTTACCTAACCTTGCAAAGCCTCCCTTCATTAGAAACTTTTTTTTTTTTTAACTCTCACAACCACCATCTAGTGTCCAGTTGGATTTTTTTGTTCTATTCAAACTAGTCTGTTCTTGGGTCCCCTTTCTACCATTTTTTTTGGGTCATGAATTATGTTTTATGCTGTATTCAATGTCTAAAATACTGACATTTTCACCTCATTAGTGTCTTTTCATCTCATTCAGAAATCTGTAATATTCTTTGAAAAAATAATGTATACTTGGTTGGTAACAATGATGTATGACTGTTGACATATAAAATTCCACCTCAAGGGAAGCTTTAGCTCCTTTAATGAAAGGATGATTATTATAATGACTATATGAATCTTGCTGGGATTTTAATTTTTTCAGCTGGATTTTGATGTTCTGCCTCATTCATTCATTCATTTACTTAGGGCCCATTTATTGAACACACATTGTACTCCCATACTATATTAAACACTTGGGATAAAATCATGAATCATATGTGACCCTGTTCTTGCAAAGTACATAATCTGAGGAACAGAGGCATGTATAAATTATGGTAGAGTATATCTACTATGATGAATGTTTTAATGGAGGCCTGAGAGGACATGAAGGGGGGAGCAAAAGAGTCAGTTAAGGAAAGGGAGGGTTTCTTTGAGGAAGTGACATTGGACTTGACCCTTCTTGGCTGAGTGAGGTAATAGGGAGAACCAGAGTGTTGGTAGAGAACAGCATTGCAGAGGCATGGAAGCATGAGAAAGGAGGGTGTATTGGGGGGAGGATGAAACAATAGGTGTGGTTAGAATGTAGGGTATGGTAGGAGCAGTAACAAGACATAGTCAGGTGGTAGGTTAGACCAGATTCGTGACCACTCTGAATCATATCTTGACAGTTTCTGGAGGTTGTTTAATGCTTTTGTTTGCATGTGTGTTTGTGTTTTAGCATAATGAAATGATATAATTTGTTTTTGAGATTGTAACCTTTACGTCATTGTAGAGGGTAGATTTGAGAAAAGACAACTGCAGAGATGATTTGGGAGGGTGTTCCAAAGATCCAGGAGAGAGATAATGAGGGCTTGAAGTAGGCTGTGGCAGCAAGGAACGGAAAGGACAAACTTCTTACAGCAGAATTCAGTAACTGATTGAATTCAATGGCCAAGTAGGGAGAAGCAGCTGATGAAACTAGGAGAAGTTGTTTGTATGAATGGCAGTACAATGTACTGAGATAGGAGGACAGGAAGAAAAACCAATTTAGGGTGGGCAGATAGCATCTACTTGTTGACCTGTTGAGTTGGAATTGGCTAGGAGGCATCCAAGTAAAGCTGCCTGGAAGGCATTTGGAAATGCAAGATGGGAGCCAAAAGAGGGGGTTTGCATTATAAATAACGACTTGTCTTTTTAATTTTATTATTATTATACCTTAACTTTTAGGGTACATGTGCATAACGTGCAAAAAAAAAAAAAAAGAAAAAAAAGAAAAAAAATGAGACCCTAACTCGAAAAATAAATAAAGGTAAACTTAAAAATAAAAGTAAATAACACCCCCCCCCCAAAAAAAAGAAAGAAATAACGACTCGTCATGTCTTTAGGCTCCCATGGCCCGAAGAGTGGTAGATTTTTCTGCACTTAAAGAAAATTCTTAAGGACTGTATTGTTTATGCCTGCATTACTCTTATTTCTCTCAGATATTTTCACATTTCCTACAAATCCTACAAATTTTTCCATGAACATCTCTTCTGCAGCTACAGGTTTTGATGCTGACTCTTTGTTTTTTAATAAGAGTCTTTTTATTTTAGGCCTTAACTTGAGACCTTTTAGAGAGAGAACAGTTTCATGTTTCATGCCATTTTGAAGTTGTAGTTCTGAGGCTAAGCATGTTTTTGTCTGTATTGTAAAAGAGAGAAGCCAAGCAGATTTCTTTTGGTTTAGATGTTTCAGGCAGGTGATTTCATAGATATTGTGTCTTGAAAATCTTCCCATTCTTCTCTTTATCTCATTGGGTAAATTGGAAACTTCTAATTTACCCAATGAGATAAATTTGGATTTTCAATTTGGAGTTATAAAAATTCATGCTTCAGTTGCCAGCCACAGCAGCCAGTGATGTAGTTAGCCAGTGTTACCTAAAAAGGCTTTGAGCATTGATCTGGTTTTTGGATACGTGTAGTTTATTTCTTAATTGAGGAGACCATATTCTATACAGTTTCAGTATAGAATCTATAAATTTTCTTAGTTGATACAATCTCTACCATTTATCCTATAAATAGAATCTCCTGTGTAATACAGTCTCTACCATTTATCCTATAAATTGACTCTCCTGTGTCCTACTATCAAATGTCTGTCAGGCCTCATTTTTCAAAGAGCTTTTGAGTATAGAGTCGGGGCAATATTAAATACTTAATAACCAGTGTAGTCATATGTATGTGTAAGTGTGTGGGTTTATTTAAAAATAGACTGCTGTCTTAGTCTGTTCAGGCTACTATAATACACTACTTGTAGACTTGTTGGCTTACAAGCAACAGAAATTTATTTCTCACAGTTCTAGAAGCTGGGAAGTTCAAGATCAAGGTGCTAGCAGATTTGAGGTTTGATGAGGGTCTACTCCCTGCTTCATAGAAGGCTGGCTTCTCTGTGTTCTCATGTGGTAGAATGGGTGAGGGAACTCCTTGGGATCCCTTTTATAAGGACAGGCTAATTGCCTACCAAAGGCCCCACCTCCTACTACCGTCACATTGGAGGTTACAATTTCAATATCTGAATTTTGAGGGGACACAAGCGTTCATTATATAGCTGCTGCCATACAAATATTATATGATTCCATTCACCTATATAAGGTATATAATAGGCAAATTCGTTAGAGACAGAAAGTAGAATAGAAGTTACCAGAGGCAGGGGGATAGAGAGTTATTGTTTGTTGGGTACTGAGTGTCTGTTTGGGATGATGAAAAAGTTCTGTAAATGGATGGTGATGTGATGAGTATGCAACATTGTGAATGTATTTAATGCCATTGAATTGTATAGTTAACAAATATTACCTTGTATTACCTACGTATAAAATATACCTCATGAAAGTACTGATCAAATTATTCATTAGATCATTTCTAAGTTATCTGTTGATACCTAGAAATTATCAATGTAATCTTTTGTTTCATAAATGATGTCACTGTCTAAGCTCAGATGTGACACAGGGAACAGCATCAAACGCTTGAAGCTTCTAAGTTCCCCATTAAATTGAGAGTCCGTTGTGTCTCTGGAACTGGTACTTTGTTATAGCTGAAAAATGATTGGATGATGCTCACCTAGAAGCCAGTCCTTCCCACATGGCCTAGGAAGAATTTGTACTTTGGCCTGCACCAAAATATCAATACCAACCTGCCAACTGTCACCCCTTACACATGCTCTGAAACTCATGTGCCCTTGCTGCTCCCAACACCTGTGGAGTTTCAGCAGCCACTGGAAGCCACTCACATCTGTGCTGGCACCACTCCAAGGTCTATTACCTGCTTTTCTGGCTGCCACTGGTGACATAATTAGGTACCTTGTAGTCTCAATAAATATAGGATTTCTTTTTACCAACTGGTATGGGAATATTTCAGTATTTTAACCATCAGTACATTCCATCTGAATGTCAACCCTGATTGCATACTACAATGTAACTTCTTTTTTTGTTGTTTGTTTAATAAGACAGGATCTCATTGTGTCATCTAGGCTGGAGTGCAGTGACAGGATCATGGCTTACTGCAGCCTCAATCTCCTGGTCTTAAGTGATCCTCCTGCTTTAGCCTCCCAAGTAGCTGGGATTAGAGGTGTGCACTACTATGCCAGGCTAATTTCTTTCTTTTCTTTTCTCTCTTCTCTTCTTCTCTTTTGACAGAGTCTCACTATGTTGCCCAGGCTGTTCTTGAACTCCTGGGTTCAAGCAGTCCTCTCACCTTGGCCTCCCAAAGTGCTGGGATTACAGGTGTGAGCCACTGAACCCAGCCTGCAATGTACTTAAGAGTTTATAGTAACAGTGTTCATAAAGAGTAGCTTATAAGGGCTTATTCCTTAAAGATTAACATATTATGGCTGAGCTTGACCTGGATTCCATGTTGAATTATTGTATTTTGGGGAGTTTAGAAGTATTGCTATTGGTTTTGAGATGGGGTAAAGATCATTCTCACCTTATCGCAGGTCAAGGCAGAGATAATTTTTCTTGACTTCCTAAATAATCTTTCCCGAACCTTGTGGGTGGGGGTAGTGCCAAAGTTCCTGTTTAAAGTATTTTGATATTTGATCTGGGCATAGACACACTTGTTTTGTCTCTTTTCTACATGGTATGAATAGCTTATGAGCTATGAATTTGAACCATTTTAGAAATATGAAAATGCTATGAAAGCTCTTCAGTTCCTTTCCCTGGAGCCCTTCCTCATGACTTCATGAATATGGATTCTTATTTGTGCTATTTTACATTAAATTCTATTAGTATCTGTATTAGGCTTTTCTTGCATTACTATAAAGAAATACCTGAGACTGGGTAATTTATAAAAAAAGAGGTTTAATTGGCTTACAGTTTTGCAGGCTATACAGAAAGCATGGTGCAGCCATCTGGTTGGCTTCTGGGGAGGCCTCAGGAAGCTTACAGTCATGGCAGAAGGTGAAGGGTGAACAGGCACATTACATGGCCACAGAAGGAACGAGAGAGAGGGAATAGGGAGAGAGGTGCCACACACCTTTAAATAATCAGATCTTGTGAGAATTCACTATCACAAAGACAGCACCAAGCCATGAGCAATCCACCCTATGATTCAAACACCTCCCACCGAGCCCCACCTCCAGCACTGGGAATTACAATTCAACACTAGATTTAGATGGGAACAAATATCCAATTTATATCAGTATCCTTTAGAAAATCATTCTTATACACAAATAACAGACAAACAGAGAGCCAAATCATGAGTGAACTCCCGTTCACAATTGCTTCAAAGAGAATAAAATACCTAGGAATCCAACATACAAGGGACGTGAAGGACATCTTCAAGGAGAACTACAAACCACTGCTCAATGAAATAAAAGAAGATACAAACAAATGGAAGAACATTCCATGCTCATGGGTAGGAAGAATCAATATCATGAAAATGGCCATACTGCCCAAGGTAATTTATAGATTCAATGCCATCCCCATCAAGCTACCAAGGACTTTCTTCACAGAATTGGGAAAAACTACTTTAAAGTTCATATGGAACCAAAAAAGAGCCCGCATCATCAAGTCAATCCTAAGCCAAAAGAACAAAGCTGGAGGCATCACACTACCTGACTTCAAACTATACTACAAGGCTACAGTAACCAAAACAGCATGGTACTGGTACCAAAACAGAGATATAGATCAATGGAACAGAACAGAGCCCTCAGAAATAATGCCGCATATCTACAACTATCTGATCTTTGACAAACCTGAGAAAAACAAGCAATGGGGAAAGGATTCCCTATTTAATAAATGGTGCTGGGAAAACTGGCTAGCCATATGTAGAAAGCTGAAACTGGATCCCTTCCTTACACCTTATACAAAAATTAATTCAAGATGGATTAAAGACTTACATGTTAGACCTAAAACCATAAAAACCCTAGAAGAAAACCTAGGCATTACCATTCAGGACATAGGCATGGGCAAGGACTTCATGTCTAAAACACCAAAAGCAATGGCAACAAAAGCCAAAATTGACAAATGGGATCTCATTAAACTAAAGAGCTTCTGCACAGCAAAAGAAACTACCATCAGAGTGAACAGGCAACCTACAGAATCGGAGAAAATTTTTGCAACCTACTCATCTGACAAAGGGCTAATATCCAGAATCTACAATGAACTCAAACAAATTTACAAGAAAAAAACAAACAACCCCATCAAAAAGTGGGCAAAGGACATGAACAGACACTTCTCAAAAGAAGACACTTATGCAGCCAAAAAACACATGAAAAAATGCTCACCATCACTGACCATCAGAGAAATGCAAATCAAAACCACAATGAGATACCATCTCACACCAGTTAGAATGGCAATCATTAAAAAGTCAGGAAACAACAGGTGCTGGAGAGGATGTGGAGAAATAGGAAAACTTTTACACTGTTGGTGGGACTGTAAACTAGTTCAACCATTGTGGAAGTCAGTGTGGCGATTCCTCAGGGATCTAGAACTAGAAATACCATTTGACCCAGCCATCCCATTACTGGGTATATACCCAAAGGATTATAAATCATGTGGCTGTAAAGACACATGCACACGTATGTTTATTGCGGCATTATTCACAACAGCAAAGACTTGGAACCAACCCAAATGTCCAACAATGATAGACTGGATTAAGAAAATGTGGCACATATACACCATGGAATACTATGCAGCCATGAAAAATGATGAATTCACATCCTTTGTAGGGACATGGATGAGATTGGAAATCATCATTCTCAGTAAACTATCGCAAGAACAAAAAACCAAACACCGCATATTCTCACTCATAGGTGGGAATTGAACAATGAGAACACATGGACACAGGAGGGGGAACATCACACTCTGGGGACTGTTGTGGGGTGGGGGGAGGGGGGAGGGATAGCTTTAGGAGATATACCTAATGCTAAATGACGAGTTAATGGGTGCAGCACACCAGCATGGCACATGTATACATATGTAACTAACCTGCACATGGTGCACATGTACCCTAAAACTTAAAGTATAATAATAATAATAAAAAAAAGAAAATCTTCCACCACATGTGATTTTTCTGTATGTTCGTAATTCTTTGTGTTGAAAGATAAGCTCATGATGTGTATGTGTGTGTGTGTGTGTGTGTGTGTGTGTGTGTGTGTGTGTGTGTGTGTGTGTACAAACAGAATTGAATGAAATAGCATCTCTCATGACCACCATGCCCAGCTATTTTTTTTTTTATTTTGAGTAGAGATGAGGTCTTCTGTATTGCCCAGGCTGGTCTCAAACTCCCGGGCTCAAGTGTTCCTGCCACCTTAGTCTCCCAAAGTATTTGGATTACAGGCTTGAACCATCATGCCGAGCTGACCTTAATATTTTTGAAAGAAAACATATTTCGTCAATTGGTACTCAGGTATCTAAGTCCAAGAACATTCTCGTAAATGGAAAATATTTTTAGTTCCATATTTTTCATAATTAAATGTATAATTATTTCACCCCCCAGTGAACTTACCATCTTTGGTTCTCCGTTTAGAAGACATTCTTTACTAAACATTTTTGTAAGAAAGATCTCTTTATGATCTTTTTTATGTTTGACTAAATTTAGAGGCTGTGAAATTTTAGGCCTTTTGAACTTTTTTCATTCTGTGGTTGAATGAAAATTTTCTAATTAAAAATAGGAATTCTTTAGGAATTCCATAAAAAGATTTTTCCCACCAGTAGAAGCTATTATTCCAAAGTGAAGTTTGAGAATTTCCAATTAAATCTTTCATGCTATTTGAGGAGCTCTCACCATTGAATTATTTCAGTTGCTCCCTTGCATTTGTAGGGAAATTTCTTAATTTCAAGGTCTTCCTGTTTATAAGCTGTGGTTTCATAATTGCAATTTGCTAAAAGCTTTGAAAACTTAAGTGTTTTGGCATTTTATTGATTGCATTTTGATTATTAAAGATTTCTACTTGATTTTGAGCAGAATGCAATAAATTCAGTGGATTTGTGTACAAAAACAGATCAATACCATTATAGGACACTAGGGTTGATTTACAAAATAGTTCTACAAGTTTTCTAAAATCCAACTGATGATAAAGGAGCAAAGATATAAAGTACACACTGCCTGGCAGAGGCATGTAAAAGCATATCAGCTTTGCCACCAAAATGTTGTTTCTAGTTGCTTTAACTGTGTGTGCATATAAACTATATAGCTATATATATTTATAGTTAACTATATATACATATATAGTTATATATAGTATACACTTACATATATAAAGTAATTAAAAACACAGTCTGTTAAACTGTGGTATGTATGTGTTTGTATATATATACAGTTAAAATAACTAATGTAATGAAAAATTGTAAGGCATTTACCTTATACACACATACACACACACACACACACACACACACACACACACCCCACTATGCACTTGATAATTTTGTAAACTATAGCTATTTTGATTAGTAGACTATCACAGTTTGGGCACAATTTCAAATTGTTTCAACCCTGTGCATTTCTTAATTTAGTAAAAACCATGTTTTTACTAGGATGCTGTATTCTACCAAATTTTTGTTTTGTATTT
The DNA here is from genome assembly GCF_000001405.40 of Homo sapiens. Taxonomy (NCBI): domain Eukaryota; kingdom Metazoa; phylum Chordata; class Mammalia; order Primates; family Hominidae; genus Homo; species Homo sapiens. The sequence goes on from NC_000009.12 coordinate 17,947,512, forward strand.
GTATCACAAAAACAAATACATTTATTTTCAGTGATAAGTTTTTAAACTGAATTTGCAATTGCAGTTGCAATTGCAATATTGTCCGCCACTTAAGACACGGTGAATTTCCCAAAGCTTTAGTCTAGTCTAGAGAGTGAATGAGCAAGCAAATGATTATTGGCATTTATTTAACTGACGTTTTTGAAGCATCTGATGACAGTGATTATTCAACTGTTTGCAAATCTGTGCTAATAAGTCAAGCATCCAGTTAATGGCATTGCTTCATTTTTCTTATGTGCACAAGAAATCTTGGAATTGAAATAGGTGAAATTAATTTAGGGGAACAACTATTCTACCTGAACGAAAAGTCATGCGTCAAAGAGTGATGGATAAACACACCTTCTGCAGCTGCACATGATACACCATCTTCAGGCACCATCTTCCAAAAACAACTACCAATTTTTGAAGCAGACATTGATGCTTCTTGGACAGATTGTGGTCATGTGGTCACTGATGCACTGTGGCTCCAGTGGTGGGTGGTAAATGTCGACAAGCATTCTGTTTATGTTACATGCTCATCATCAATTTTCTTTTGAAATGGAAACTCAGTGCTTAATTTTTCACTAAATATGAATTTTCAGTTTTTGAGCTTATTGCTGCCGGGAGGGTTCATTGCAAAATTACAAAGCATTACCAAAAAATAAATTAATAGTCATAGCTTTCCGCCACAATATATGATAAAACCACTGTAGCAAGAGTGTTCCAACTCCTCTCTGCATGTTCTTCAGCAGGGCTGACTGCGAGACCTTTATTTCCTACACATATTTTACAAATACCAAATGTGTGCTTCTCTGCATTTTCCATTGCTCCAGTTGACTGGTGAATTAGCAGCTTCATGCCTTTCACAGTTAAGGCATGTGAGTGGTTTGGGGAGCAGCTTAGAATACTTATCCCATCACTATCTGAGATCAGGAGTAGCTGTCTGAAGCCACTGGTATTAAAATACACTTTATTTTATTAGGGAGTGCTGTGTATACTGTCCTTGCAAGTAAAGCCTCAGTGGAGTCAAGATAGAAAAGTATCTAGGAAACAGCGTCAGATGAATACTAGTTTCTAGATTTAACCACGTGTTACAGTGATATCTTTGTTACAGCCCGAGTGTCTCCCATGCTAATAGATAAGTCCATGGCAGAAATAAGTACAAAGTGGCTTATTGTGATGTTAAAAGAAACTGGAAACTAGTTAAACCATCCTGGTTTAGGTTAATGCAAATGCTAATAAAAAGACTTTAAAAATTAAAATGGCAACAATAGGACAAATGTAATGGGCAGGATGCCAGGACTATAAGTGTAAACCAAGACTGTTTCTACCAGCTGGGACATGTGATTGTGCTAATTATCAGTAATCCTCTCTAGAAGGTTGATATTACCACTCCCTTTACATGGGAAGAAACTGAGGATGAGCCAGTTTAAATACTGTATTGAGGATCAGATAGCTAGTTAAAAAATATCTGTATGATTCTGAAATTTTATCCCACTGTAAGAGGGATATAGTGGCCATTCCAGTATCTGAAAACCCTAAGTATAGAATGAAGGTACAATGTTAAAGCATATATAGCTCCTCAATAATTGCTGATATTTTAAAAAACACTTAAAATACACATAAAGCCTCCACGTGTATGTTGTATGCAAGATAATTACATAAGAGGTTAAATTTTGAAGATTTTTGCAGACAGGGCATCATGGAGCCCAGAGGCTCAGTGGTAGAAGTGAGGGAGGTAGTCTCCCAGGGACAGAGTCAGGAGGTGGTAGCCAAGCCTGAGTGTGAGAGAGCTGAGATATGAAGGGCTTGCCTTGTAAGTTTGCCCAGAAGGTACTGAAGGGCAGGTCAGTTGGTCAGAGGAAAGACAAATTAGGTTATCTCCACTATTAAGCAGGGCTTTGGAAGGAGAGTGAGGGTCTTGTATTCAGAGTTCAAAGGAAAGATGCCCTAAGGCCCTAAGGAGAGGGCTGGCTGATTGGAGTTTTTGCTTTTCCCTTTTATTAATCAAATTATTTTAACTGAGACCGTCATTTTGTTCAGAATCCTGCATCCTCCAAGCCAGACCAGCCTAGTTCTCAGTGCTATGAACACAATGACATGTTTCTGTCTTATTGCTCACAGGCAGCATGGTAGTAGAAACCTGAGGCCCTTTCTTATCTTTCTTCTCCAGGACTGACAGTATCAGTCCCCATATGTATCTCCTGTGCTTCCCACAGCAACATGTGCAACTAATGTGTGGCTTCCATCTCTTTGTAAAGATAGCCAGGTGGATTTCCAGGTCTGTGACATGATTTCCTGAAAAGCTTGTAAATGTAGAACCACTCTTTGATTTGACAGCAAAAGACGGAAAAGCAGGCTCCACCTCAAATTTTGTTACATGCTGTTACCGTAGTGCTTTTTTTTTGAGACGGTGTCTGGCTCTGTCACCCAGGCTGGAGTGCAATGGCCTGATCTTGGCTCACTGCAACCTCTGTCTCCCGGGTTCAAGTGATTCTCGTGCTTCAGCCTTTGAAGTAGCTGGAATTATAGGCATGCACCGCCACTGCCAGCTTATTTTTTGTATTTTAAGTAGAGATGGGGTTTTACCATGTCTCGAACTCCTGGACTCAGGTGATCTGCCTGCCTCGGCCTCCTAAAGTGTAGGGATTACAGGCGTGAGCCACTGCATCTGGCCTGTGTTCTTGAATTTTTAGAGAGACTTCAAAATTATATTTAAAAACAGAAAGGAAAAACCATAGTACAGTATTTTACAGTGCAATAGTACTAGAAAAAACTTATATACCTACCACCTAGAATTAATATAAATTACATTTTGTTACATATTTTATTTAAAAATTAAAGATAGTAGGGAAGTCCTCTTTGAACTTTTCCAAATCCTATTCCCATCCTTTCCCAGAAGAAATTTCTACTGTGAATTTCATGAGTTTCCTTCCACCTCTCTTTTTATACTTTTATCAAATATGTGTATGATTGTATATATTTTTAAATTTTAAATATTTAAATTTTATATATTATATATGCTACATAAAGCAACCTCTAAATATTTTATGTCACACTATACTTTTATGATCTCTCATACTGATACATAAGAGAACTGGTTCATGAATTTTAATGGTTGTATAATATTTCCATCATATGAATATATCAGAGTTTATGCATTTCTCTACTGATAAACATATACATTTATATCCGTCAGAGTCACAACTGAAAACAGATGGCACGGCACACTCATGCTGGGTAACTGGGGAGAATTTAATAAAAGGACTGTTTACAACTATGTGGGTAATGTTTCAGAATATAACAAACACTATAATAAATATTGCATACAATATAAAGGCCCCATAAATGCAATGTCCCAGGCAAGCAACAGTACACCTAGGCTTGACCCAGGGTCAAGTATTACCACCCCTAGGCTTGACCCAGGGTTATTGTTTCCTAGAGAGAGCTGTCTAGAGAGGCCTCATACAAGCCATGGTCTTCATAAAGTTGCAGCCCCCTCCCCAAAATTCCTCTAAAAGAGAAGGTGAAAGCAAACACCTTGATGGCATTCTCTTCCTTCCCTCCATCTTCCTTGTGGGGCATCCCATTGGATAGATGAACTCGCCTAGAGCACAGGGGGCAAGGGAGTCCTTAGGGATTAGCTCCCGGGGCACAGGGCATCATGGAGAGGGATGAATTGTGGATCTGGAAAGGTAAAGAGATGTGTGGCAGATGGTAGTTTCATATACTGTGCTGCTGTAGACAATGCTTCAGGGGCGATTTTTGTCATGAATCCACATGAGTCTGCCCAGAGTTTCTCCGGAGTGTCCATGTAGAAGTGGAGTTGCTTAGTCTTTGGCATACAATTTTTTTTAAAATTTTCTGCATATTGCCATCTTGTCCTCCCAAGTGGTTGTATTCTTACCAGCTCTGCAGGGGAGTTTCTCCCACATTCTAACCATGCTATTTTTGCCAAAATGGTGAGTTTTAAATTGTATCACAGCATGGTTTTAATGTACCTTTCCTTGATTATCTGTGAGGCTGAATCCCTTTCTCTAGGTTTCTTGCATATTCTGTTTTCTTTTTCTTGTGTTTTACTATTCATAACCATTACTCTTTTTTTTTTTTCTATTGGGCTGTTGTCTCTTATTGATCTGGAGGAATTCTTTATATAATCTGGAAGCCAATCCTTTACTTCTAATACGTGTTACAAATATTTTCTCCTAGTCTGTGGCTTATCTTTTAATTTTATGATATATTTTGTTCTAATATTTTGTATTTTATGTAGTCAAAGTTATCAGTTTTTTTCTTTTTTCTGTTTTTAGAGACAGGGTGTCACTCTGTCACTGAGACTGGAGTCCAGTGGCATGATCGTAGCTCACTGCAGCCTCATGTTCTTCCACCTTAGTCTCCAGAGTAGCTGGGACCACAGGCATGCACCATCTTGCCCGGCTAATTTTTTGATTTTTTGTAGAGATTAGGTCTCACTGTATTGCCCAGGCTAGTCTTGAACTCCTGGGTCTCAAGCAATTTTCCCGCATCAGCCTCCTGAGTTGCTGGGAAAAGAGGTGTATGCCTCCATGCCTGGCTAATTGGTTTCTTTCTTTCTTTTTTTTTTTTTTTGTAAAGATGGAATCTTGCTACGTTGCCCAGGCAGGCCTTGAACTCCTGAGCTCAAGCAATCCTCCTGCCTCAGCCACCCAAAGTGCTGGGATTACAGGTGTGAGCCACTACTTCCAGCCTCATTTTTTTTCTTTAGGACATATTTTATGTCCTATTTATGAACAAATTCCTACCCTGAAATAATATTCTTATGAAGTATTTCTCTGAAAGTTTTATTTTTTAACTTACAGGCCTTTAATCCATGTGGTAATTTTTTGTTTACATCTAGTTGATTTTCTTATTATGGAAAATTTAGTTATTCCAAGACAGTTTACTAACTAGTCTATCACTTGCCTTCTAGTTTATGATGCCTTTGCTCTCATACCCAGGTTCTCATACAAGTAGAGAATTGTATCTGTGCTTTGTAGTCTGCTGCATTGACTTAAAAAAAGTTCCTGCCTAGATACTACCATGTTTTTATTCATTTATTTATTTTTGAGACAGAGTCTTGCTCTGTTGCCCAGGCTGGAGTGGAGGGACCACAGGCACACACCACCACGCCCAGCTAATTTTTGTGTAATTTTTGTACTTTTAATAGAGGCGGGGTTTCACCACGTTGGCCAGGCTGGTCTCGAACTCCTGGACTCAAGCCATCCATCTGACTTGGCCTCCCAAAGTGCCGGGCTTACAGGCATGAGCCACCATGCCCAGCCACTACCATGTTTTAGCAACTATAATTTAAATCTGTACGCTATGAGATAATAAGTCTTATCTGGAAAGCAGTTTCTCTCTCTTCCTCCTTTCCCTCCTCCTCCTCCTCCTCCTCCTCCTCCTCCTCCTCCTTCTTCAGAATGTCCTAGCTTTATTTGGACCTTGACTCTTTCATATGAAGTTTATAATCATTTTGTCAATTTCCATAGTTTTTTTTTTTTGGAATCACACTGACTGTTTACATTCATATAGGTAAAAATGACATGATACTGCAAACCAAAGCTGCCCATGGAGAAAGCTTTGTCACATGACACATTGTATTGCTAAAAGTTCAGGTTCTTACTGCTGCTGTTGATGCTCAGCTGTCACAAGGACATTTGTTCATTTACTTGTTGATGCTACAACCCTTAATTAAACAAAAGCATGCTTTATGCCTGGTGGATAGGCTATCCTATAACTACCCCACCAGAAATGCTACCCTTAGAGATTTCACACTCTATTGGCAGAACGTTGGGAGATTTCACTGAGAAGGGAACAACTGAGCTTGTCCCTATTTATTAAAAAGATTTAAGTTTCCAAGGGGAGAATAGAAAACTAGCTTTACAAAAGCAAAGTGCTTTTGACCCAGAAATTTCATTTGTGGTAATTTGTCCTACAGATATATGTGTTCACAAAGACTTACACATGAGGATGTTCATTCATCGTCGTTCCTAAAAGCAAAATAATAAAAACAATCAAAATGCCAATCACTATGGGACTGGTTTAATACTCTGAAAACTGCCACAAGTGTTAAGTCTTTATGTACTGATTTAGAAACATATAACATTAAATTTGAAAAGAATAACCTTAAAGCTCAGAATCATACATGGGGAAAGAAAAAGGATATGCTTGTATGTGCATGGAAAAAGTCTGAAAGGTTACTGTTTCAGTTATCTATTGCTGCAAAACGAACCACCCCAAAGCTTAGTGGTTTAAACAGCTAATTTTTTATGCTGTTGATTTTGTGTGTGAGGAGTTTGGGCAGGACACAGCTGAGGAGGTTTTCTCTGCACCATCATGACTGGGCTCTCAGATGAAATAGCTTATATAATTGGAAATGGCTGGTCCCCTTGAAGGGTCCATATGTCTGGTTGTTGGTTGGGTTCCTTAATTTTTTTCTACATCACGTGCCTATTTAATATGGCTTCTTCATTCACGAGTCTGGAGTCTGGGCTGGGATAGTTGGAAGGTCTGGGGCTGGCTGAGGCAATCTCTGTCTCTTTGCCTCTGTTTTTCTCTCTAATCTGTCTATCACCTCATGTGGGATCTTCATGTGGCTAGCTTGGACTTTTTTACAGCATGGGAAGAATGCTGTGAGGAAGGGTAAAACTTCCTAAATGGCAGCTGGCTTCTCCTAGAGTAAGCATTTCAAGAGGCCTAGGCAGAAGCCACAAAGCTTCTTGTAACCTGGCCTTGGATGCTCTGAAGCATTATTTCTGCCACGTTCTATTGATCATGCAAGTCAATAAGGCCAGCCTAGGTTCAAAGAATTAGAAGCCATCTCAATGGTAGAATGGCAAAGAATTTTCAGCCATCGTTAATCTGATTCAGATATATAAGAAGTTTGTTATTAGCAATTGTCTGGGATATTAGATAGACTTCTATTTCATTGCATATTTTTGAATGGTTTAAGTTGAACAAAATGTCATTATTATACCTGCATGACATTTTCAATGGGAAAAGCAGCTCCCAAACTTAGTTACTGATAAAAAGCTCAAGGGGTATGGAATTGTGTAACTTGGTGAGGCATGGAAGGAATCATGCTTGATTATTTAATTGTTCCTTAGTGTGCCTATGAAATATTTGCTGTCTTTTCTGTATAAGGTAGTTTGAGCCAGAGAAGTGGGGGAAGTAGAAGACCAGAGTTTTAGTCTAAGTTAACAACCTTAAGTTCTAGAAAGGGGAAAAAAAATTAAACACAGTTAGGTCTGTTTAGAGTTTTCACATAAAATGGAAATCACTCTGTACAGGAAAGGTTCATGTTTCCTGAATTTCTACTTCTTCCAGTTCAGCTATTTGAAGATGCTGGACCTGGAGTCTGTCAAGCCAAAGGTGAAAAGGTACTGGGCTGCTCTTGAACTCCAGAGGCCCCTTAGGAAATGTAATGGTAGCATCCAGCTTGCAAGATAGGAGTTAAGTGCAAACGGATGTGGCCCCAGTTAAAAATAATGAAGAATGAGGTAAATGTACACATACACATGTATATATGTGTATATTTGATGCCGTGTGTGTATACGATATATCGTGTGCATAGAAATCTATTGAAAGACCTAATATGTTGCCTTGAATATACATGCCATGACTTTCTTTTAATAATACAGAAGGGCCTGCCTTTTGTTTGAATTCAAAGCCCATTCTCTGTGGCCTTACGGTTTTGGGTAGCCTTTCAGGATGCTGCATCAACTAAGTGGCTCATCTCTTCTGGGGACCCAGAATAGGAGAGTCTACTGTCAGCAAAGGGAAAGGAGGGCTTTTGTTCTGATGATTTTCTTGGTTTGCTGAGGCATAAAACTCATTCCAAATTTAGGATTATAGTTCTAATCTTACAATTTGAAATTCTAATAAAATTCCAAATTTAGGACTGTAGTTAAAGTAGTCCCCCTTATCCACTGTTTCACTTTCAGCAGTTTCAGTCACCCACGGTCAGCTTTGGTCCAAAACATTAAGTGACAAATTCAGAAATAAACAATTCATATGTTTTAAATTACACCACTTCTGAGTAGCATGATGAAATCTTGCTCCTTCCTCCTTTGTCCTACCCAGGACATAAATCCTTCCATTGTCCTGCATATCCACACTGTAGATGTTATCTGCATGTCAGTCACTCATTAGCCAATTCAGTTATTAGATTAACTGTTGTGGTATTGTTCTACTTTATTATTATAGTTGTTAATCTCTTACTGTATCTAATTTATAAATTAAATTTTATCATAGTATGTACGTTTAGGAAAAACGTAGCGTATATAGGGTTTCGTTCTATCCATGGATTCAGGTATCCCCTGAGGTTCTTAGGATATGTCTCCTGGGGATAAAGTGGGACTGTTGTGTAATATGTTTTGAGCTTCTAATTTATGTTGCTTTATTCAATTTCCCTTTTAGACACATTTTTTAAAACAAATCTGAAAGCTTTCAAAGCAAAAAATAGTTTTGAAATTATTCACCTAAGTTCTTGTAAATGACAACCAAATACTGTGGAAAAATCTGAATAGTTTATTTTTTAAATCCAAATATGCACAATTATCCATGGAACTAATATTATGCAATCAAATACTTTAACAGAAATTTACATTTTTCATAAATACATCTTACCTTGTAGTGCTTTTTGAAGTGGCTGTAAGACCTTCTTTGGAGGTCTTCTGTGGTAAATGCCGTCAGTGTTTTGCAGAGAGATGATCTTAGTCTCGTGATCAATTACCTACATGCAAAGAATAGTTTGAACACTGAATTTTGATCTTTTCTGTTTTGTTGTACTACTTAGCATAATAGTATTGATAGTATTAGTAACAAGGTATTGAGAGTAGTAAGAAAGTCGGCAATATTGTTGGCAGTGTCCTCTTCTTTTGACATGTAACGATTAGAAATTCTGAAGAGCTTCCATTTGATTTGATCAAATAAAAGACTTAAAGAAAACAGCAGAAAATTCCAGAGTAAACCAGCTTATGCTTGGGAAGCCCGGGTGACTGTAACTATTTCAGTAGGTTTGGGTGCTGACCCACCTGAAGGTCTGTAGCATGACTCAGTTTTCCTGCTCTCTCTCTTTCTTTGGACTTCTGGAAAGCCTTCTCTGTATGTAGCATTATTTCTGCCACATTTTATTGATCATGCAAGTCACTAAGGCCAGCTTAGGTTCAAGCAATTAGAAGCCATTTCAATGGTAGAATGGCAAAGAATTTGCAGCCATTGTTAATCTGACTCAGATGTATAAGAAGTTTGTTAATAGCAATTGTCTCTGGAGATGAGCTCAGGGGGTCTGGGATATTAGATAGACTTATATTTCATTGGGGCTATTGCCCTGCCCCTGGTTTGAATATGAAAGTTAAGTATTTCATTCACTGCTGTTCTTTCCTCATTAGCTTGCAAGAATTAAAATCATCCTACTTTGGTGCCTGTTAATTGTTACTGCTAACATGTATAATGAAATGGCATAGCTATCTCATGATTCAGGATATATACATATTTTCCTAGATTTTCATGATTTAGAAAACATGGAATTAGAAACGCTCCGGTATTGTCAATTTTAAATAAGAAAACTGATATTAGAAAGATTAATTGAATTAAAAAACGGATGGATATAGATATAAACTTATTTTAAAGATCAATAAAATGTTCTAAAAGAACTCACAAACCCACGTACCCTCAGTCTGAGAAACGCAGCTGGAGAATCAGAGCCTAGAAGAGCCCATTGGAGTTGACTCCCCAGAATTCTGTCCAGAAACCCTTTCTGACTTCCAGAGACTGCTGCTGTTGCTTCTTCCCTTAGACCCTATTAGCAGCTTCCTATTACTGCTAATCAGCATGGCTTGGAAGCCAATGGACTCGACAGATGCCACCACCAAGGCATGGACATCATCATTGCCTTATAGCTTTTTGGGCTTCTGATACCTCCACCTTCAAGCTTTTCCATGATCTCTACTGCTTCAGCTGCTGTTCTCACATTAGCCTAATTTTTGCCTTTCTCTGGGTCAATCTCCAAAGGGAAGGTAAGTGATAAATCAGGTGGGACCTTTGTTCCCCACTGTAGTGGGTTGAATAGCATCCCCCCAAATTCATGTCCACTTAGAACCTCAGAATGTGACCTTATTTGGAAAAGGGGCTTTGCAAATTGTGAATGTAATACTGAATTAGAGCAGACCCTAAATCTGATGACTGGTGTCCATGTAAGAAGAGGAGCAGACATGAGATGCAGAGAAGGCTGTGTGAAAATGGAGGTGGAGATTGGAATGAGGTAGCTACAAGCCAAGAGATGCTAAGGGCTGCTGGGAGTCACCCAAAGCTAAGAAGAGGAGAGGAAGAATCCTTTTCTAGATCCTTCAGAGGAAGCGTGGCCCTGCCAGCATCTTGATTTTGGACATCTAGCCTCCATGACTGGGAGAGAATAAGTTTTTGTTGTTTGAAGCCTCCCAGTTTGTGGTAATTGTGACAGTCATAGGATGCTAAAACATCCTCCTACAAAATATATTATTCTCACTCTTGTCTTACTTTTCTCCACATGCTTTTCCTTCTAGTCCTCTTTGTAAATGTCTCTTCTTTACTTCTTCCATTTGTGTCTTTAATCATTTTACCTCTTTCCATTCAAACCCTACTATTTAAGAAGGGATGGGTACATTCTGGCTGTGGAATGCAAGCCACCCTTTCACATAAAACCTCCTTGAGTTTCTATTACAGCAGTGTGGTATTTCACAATACAGAAAAACAGGGTCCCAATAAATGATGTTATAATGTGTCTTTCCACTAGACACTGAGATGAGATAACTGGGAGAAGAAGCAACTTGTAGAAACATTCCCTCCATCTTGGGAAACACTTCACAGTCTTGTTTATCAAAGGCACAAGTTTTGTGAGCAAGTTTATCATTATTTTAGTTGACATTTTTCTTCCAAGAAAAATTTGTGGAGTGCTAATAATGTCTTAGGCTGGATCCCAAGCCAAAATAACTTGCTTATCCCTAGATGAGGAACAGCTCATTAATTGGGCATTGGACAAAATGTTCTTTTCCTCTATTTGTCTTTAATTACGTTAATTAGCTTCCATTTCTATGGCATGGTGTGCTTTGTGTATGACACATACCAGGGAAGTTCAAGTAAGGTGATTTAAAATTGGATTTGTGTATTAAAACCAAACCCAAACCCAAACCCGTATTTCTTCCATGCCAAAGAAGGAAAAAAAGCCTTAAAAATTACATTGAGGACCATGTGAGATCTTGCCTGATATAAACAATATGTAACATTACAGAAAGATAACCCTATTAAATTCCATGGGAAATGTGGGCCCATTATAATTCCCGGCAATAGTTGAGAAGAGAAAATCCATGTCATTTGGGTATTAATGCTGTCATACCTTAAATCAAGACCCTGTAAGTATTGAGTTGAGTATCTGACAAATATTTCCAGATTTTAGAGGCTTTCTGAATCAAAGTCTTTTCTAATATTGTCCTAAAGTTTTCTGCCTGTGGGAATAGTAATTTAATATAATTACTACTGTAATATAGTATTATTTTTATTTGCCAACATAAATTCTGTATGTAGTTTGAAATGTAAAAAGGAAACTTGAAAGGATTTCTAAATATTTTGAATATGTTTGACTTAAATGCTCAAAGACGGCAAACTAAAAGTTAAATTTGTGCCTAGAATTTGGCTGAACAGCATTTAGATGTTATTTGATTAATGTCATTTGTCATGTAATATGACTTACTGTTGTACTTTTTTCTCGTCTTCTTTTGCATTAGAGGTCTGCTATTTTGGCGTTTTTGTATGATTAAAAGTTTAGCTGATGCTATAGAAATAGATGATACCCTCCTTCCTCTACCCACAGCTTTACTGGGTATTTGAAATATGTGACAATTAGGTTAATTTTTTAATCTGATTTTTTTATTTTTATTTTTTATTTTTATTTTTTGAGACAGAGTCTCGCTCTGTCACCCAGGCTGGAGTGCAGCAGTGCATTTTCAGCTCACTGCAACCTCTGCCTCCCAGATTCAAGTGATTCTCCTGCCTCAGCCTCCCAAGTAGCTGGAATTACAGGCGCCTGCCACCATGCCTGGCTAATTTTGTATTTTTAGTAGAGACAGTGTTTCACCATTGTCCAGGCTGGCCTTGAACTCCTGACCTCAAGTGATCCACCCACCTTGGTCTCCCAAAGTGCTGGGATTATAGGAGCAAGCCACTGCACTCAGCCTTGACATTTTTTAGAAAAGTATATTTTCTTCTTTCTTCTACCCTGACCCCTGCATTGTGTCCTAGAGTGTGACTTACTCAGTTTGATTTTCCAAGTATGATCTGATTTATCCATAAAATGGGGTTTTATGACCTTCCAACAATGATTTGGGGACTGCTTACCTTTGAACTTTCTATCCCTAGGAGTCCCCTGAGAGAAAGGGTGGTGTATTAGTTAGGATTAATTTCAGATGGGACAGAGAACCCAAAGTTGCAGTGACTTAAACGTTATATAAACATGTATCTCTTCTTACCAACACTGATGATCTAAGGCTGATTTCTGGCTTCATGATCCTTAGCTCCTTCTTTCCTGTGTTTCCATTGTACTATTTTCAACACACGGTTCCATGTTTGGTCCAGATGGCTGCTCTAGCTCAACCATCATGGCTACGCACACTTCATTCAGTAAGAAGGGACAAAGTGATAAAGGAGGGCATGACCCTCCCATGGAGGACGCTTGCTACAAACTGTAGATACTATGTCTGCTTGCATCTTATTGAGCAAAACTTAGTCACATGGATATGTCAGCCTTGAGGGACACTGGGAAATGTATTCTTTATTCCACATCGCTAATTTCCTAGCTAAGGACTTGAGATTCTATACTGTGAAAGAAGGAGAGAAAGAATACAAGGAATAACTAGCATCTTGGTCATTGTTATAGAAAGAAAAGTCATAATGCCTTAGAGAAGGACTCAAACTCCACCATTGACTGTGTGATCAAACTATTGTCAGAAACCTGCTTTGGGTCTCAGTTTCTAGTCATCATTCATTGTATAAATACCAATTGATCTCTTCTTTGTGCACACCACTGTACCCGGTATGGGTGGATAAGAAAGCATGCAACATTGTCTTTTTCCTTAATGTCTAATAGCCCAGTGGGCAAGAAAGATGTTCTTTTCTCACTATTCCTGTATTCATCTGTCTTTTTAACATCTCGGTCTTTTTAACATTTCATCTCATCACTGCCTGCACTTATACTTTATAGATTTCATTTACATTTTCCCAGAGCCTTCCTTTCCATTCCACATCAGCAGCTTGCACAGTGTCTGGCATGTAGTAAATGCGCAGTGAACAGTAACTATGTCAGGTCTCTGGACTGTTCACCCATTTTTCCTTCCTTATCCTAAATTAATGTGATTCTGGTTCAGTTGTAGAATCTTTTGCTAAGATTATGTCATTTTAGAAATATACCAGTTCAGTCAGGCTAGAAAATTGTTTTGAAAGTATACCATACGTCACTTAATTTTCCTGTGTGCCATTTATCTACCTTGGAAATTTAGAAGTTTTGAGGCAGGTTAGCACAATATCTCCAAAGGGACTTTGGAATCACTTGGTTCTAGGTATATACTTGGGCTCTACCAAGTAATTACTATGTGGATTTGGACAAGTTTTTAATCTCTCTGAGGCTGTTTTTTCACCTAATGGGTACAATAACTTTTCATGGATGTTGTGATTATTATTATTATTTTTTTGAGATGGAGTTTTGCTCTTGTTGCCCAGGCTGGAGTGTAATGACGCAATCTTGGCTAACCACAACCTCCACCTCCCGGGTTCAAGTGATTCTCCTGCCTCCGCCTCCTGAGTAACTGGGATTACAGGCATGTGCCACCATACCTGGCTAATTTCGTATATTTTTTAGTAGAGATGGGGTTTCTCCATGTTGGTCAGGCTGGTCTCGAACTCCTGACCTCAGGTGATCTGCCTGCCTCAGCCTCTCAGAGTGCTGGGATTACAGGCGTGAGCCACCACACCAGGCCTATTTTTAAGAGAGATGATGAAAGGTGGTGGTGAGGTACACTTGCCATTTGACTGTTGGCTGTGTGTTCCAAAAGTTTTTAAATGATTATATTCAGTTTGCTGATTTGATTTCAGCTCCAGATTCATTTTTATGTGGAGCAGGCTTTGCTGCTGTGTGAAGCATCAGGGGTGAAAATGAGCCCACTCTGGGGACTCCCTCTCTATTTGCCTGTGGCCCTTTAATTTGAAGGCCTTTCCCATTTCTGCCCCATCTAAGGGAGTTGCAGGGGAGAGCAGCATGGTGTGGTCACCACAGCTCTAGCACCTCCTGAGAACCCCAAGAATCAGGGTTCCTTTTCAGAACTCCCTGGAGCCATAAGCTTAGACTAAAGTAGAATTCTCATCTCATCCAAAAACATAGTAGCATTCACTCTTATACAGAGCTTTGTGGTGTAGAGACACATTGACTTGCAGCAGGAAGATTTGATTATCTTTACTATCGAGATGAGAAAAAGAAAAAAGAGTTGCTTAGAGGTTGAACAACATAGCTAGAGGTTGAGGGTCAGAGCTGGAGATTGGACTCACATGTCCTAATTCCAGTTCCACTTTATGAGACTACGTCTTGACCTTCCCTCGGCTGACCAGGGTGAAACCAGAACCCAGGCTTACCAGCCTTAGTTTAAACCTACCTGAAGGGCTATAATGAGACCACACTCTAAAACTGGGAGGGCAAGGAAGCCCTGCCCCAGAAATGTACCACTGACTATGAATTGACTTCCCTGTGAATATCACAGGATACCTTTTGAACACTTTCCTGTCAGTTGTTTTACATTTTTTATCTCCGGTTTTGTGCACAGTATCAAGCGTTATTATGTGTCTATGAAAATAAGCCCTAGTTAGAGTGGATTTTCTGGCATTTTTCATCTCTCAGTACTGTGCTTTACCTTACACAACCAATGTTAGAGCAAAAATCCAGGGCCTGCTATCTATGTGTAAAGAAAACTTCTCATTGAGAATGTTATCTGAATCATTCATGGTTGTGATTGTGTCACTGCAGAAAAGTGTGAGATCCTGGAACCAGTGTGCTTCAAGTTCAGAACTAGCAAGTTCTAGATCTGTTTATAAGCTTCTTTGTGGAAATTCATTGGACCAATTACATTATTTCCCCCATATGATATCTTTAAACTTATGATTTCTGATACAGTTGTATATGTTTTAAAATTTCAGGTATGCTTTCATCTGTTTTCCTGAATATGTTCAACTTCTTTTCCTTTGAGGACAACTTTGCACAGCGTGCAGTTATTTCATGGGTTGAACAGTGACATCACACTCAAAGTACATGGCCTTGTTGCCAAGTTTCCTGGTGAAGTAATTGTCGGTTGGTATTCAGGGAGCCACATCAGTTGAAACTATTTCTCATGATGTCACCCTGTGTCAGGGCTTGGGGCCAGGAGATAGGATTCCCTGTGACCTTCGGGGCACTAAAACTTGCATTTAGCTACCTTTTGGCAAAATGCCCTTGAGATAAGTAAATGAGATTTAGAGGTTCATTTGAACAATTCCATTAAAGTCCTTTTTTATTTTTAGTTTGTGTGAAGTGGCCCAATTATATCTAGCTCCCTTTCTGAGGCTGAAGTTTCTTTCATTTTATTATGAAAAATTTCAAACATACAGAAGTGTCAAAATAATTTGAAATCTTAGCTATCCCTGAATAAATTCTATAGTTAATGTTTTGCTATGTTTGCTTTATCATATATTTATTCGCCTATTTATCCCTTTATATGGTTGGAGTTTTTAAACATAGATACTAAAGAAGGCTAGATATTAGACTGTGGACATTTTGAGGGGAAAGTTAGAGCACAGCTAGTAGTCATTCAGGATGACATTTTATTAGAGAAAGAGCTATTTAAAGAAAACAATTGTTAAAGTAATAAAATTTGGCAGCAGGATTGTTCAAATTGAGATTAAAGGTGAAACAGTATTCCGTATGAAAAACAGTAGGGAATCAAGAGAAATCAATGAGTTTTTGGGAAGTTTTAGACTCTGACATCTGCATGTTGTTGATTCTAAAAGGATAGACATTCAATTCTGGAAGCCTGAGTTCTAGCAGCTTCCCGTTTTTTAATACGGTTCACTTCATTATGTAACATCAAGTAGTGCAGATTGAGATTCAAATTGGAGGACACTAAAACTGTAATGGGCCTTTGTCCCTCTAGCCTAACAGAAATTTTTGTTAATAGATCCCTTCATTTTTTGTTTTTGTTGAAAGATTCCCAGGAAGAAAAGAATTCTAACCCCATCTCCTCATTTTACTACTTAAGAGCCAAATTTTTTAAAAACGGAATCCTCAGTGACAGCTGGAATCGTCCTGCTGGCTCTCACTTTCCAATTCTCCTCAATTATATTTAGCTGTGCCTTTAACATGCTCATAGATTTATGTCTCTCAAATTATTATTTTTTTATTTAGTGCAATATATGGCACCAATTAGACAAAGTTTTACAAGGCATGGTAAACCAAAAAGGAAAAACAAAATTGTGAAAACCATGTTTCCTTGACCACCTGCTGTTTGAAGATTGATCAAAAAGTTTACAAACTTAGTTATTAGTAACACACTATACATAGAAAAATAAATCCTTCTGGGTAGTAAAAATATTTCCTTGGTCACTTGATGGAACACCATGTGCTCTGTGTGGCGTTAGTAAAAAGTGACTGCTGCCTTGCTCATAAGCTATGTCATTCCTGTGTCGTCCTTTCCTCTTTGGTTGCTGATGACTTTAAAACTCTTTATTTACTGAAACTATATATTCTCCAACCCCTACAAACAATATTCTACACTGTAGGATTCTATTTATGTAACATTCTTGAAGTGACAAAATTATAGCGATGAAAACAAATTAGTGGTAGCCAGGGGTTAGGGAGAAGGGAACAGTCAGGAGGGGGCAACGCAAGGAATCCCTGCGTGGTGACAAAACTCTTCTGTGTCTCGACAGTAGTGGCGAATACATGAACATACTCACATAACAAAACTGTGTTTAACTAAATATACACATAGGTACACACAAATGAGTGTCAGTAAAACTGTGGAAATCTGAATAAGATAGGTGGATGATATCAATGTTAATATCTTTGTTATGCTCTTGTACTGTAGTGGTAGAAGATGTTACCATTAAGGTAAACTGGGGAAAGGGCACATGGGATTTCTCTGTGTTGCTTCTTATAACTACATGTGAATCCACAGTGATCTAAACATTAAAGAAGTTTTATTTCGTGGCTTTCTTTTGGGGAAAATTATCTTGTTTAAAAACAACATTTAAGCATTTACTTCATCTGGATTTCTTTTCTTTTCTTTTCTTTTTTGAGACAGAGTCTTGCTCTGTCGCCCAGGCTAGAGTGCAGTGGCGTGATCTTGGCTCACTGCAACCTCTGTTTCAGGCTGGTCTCAAGCTCCTGGCCTCTAGTGTTCCACCTGCCACAGCCTCTTAAAGTGCTGGGATTACAGGTGTGAGCCACTGCACTCAGCTAGATTTATTTTCTATTTAGTATTTTTACAATAACAATAACATATAATGGACAACCTGGAAATTAAATAGAATGAAGATAGAGTAAAACTTAATTTTCTGCAGGCTTGTAATTTATATTTCTTTTCTATCTATTTTCTGGCATATATTTCAATAGAAGAGTTTCAATTTTTTTCCTATGAACATTTAAAGGGAGAAAATAGTTTTATACCAGAATAAAAGCAAAACAACTTATTTTTACAAAAGAAGAAGAAATATGATACAACCCAAATTTAGCACATTTTGTACTTTGTACCTCTAGAGAATATACTTACATTAAATACTGATGAATTATTATAGACCATCAAGGCAGGCATATTGATTTCATTCATTAAATACTGAATTTCTGGCATTGTGGAATAAAAAGTATTCCATCTATGTTAATTACTAACTGATGTGCTATATTTAGGCTGATCTTTTAAAAAATTTAAAGCAATCACATCGCTTATTATTTTAACTTTATTCATTAGAGACAAACCAAACCAACCAAGTCCTGGTAAAGATTTCTGTGGTATCCTTAAAGAAAGTTCCATCATACATGATAAATTGGGATATTCAGAGTTTTGACAATTCCTATGACTAAAAGGAGATTATTTTCAGACTTTCAATTCAATTGGGCTTGAATAATTGATTCTGTGAGCTGGAGGCCCCAAGGGCATGTAAGTACCCATCCAAGTAAGTGTGGTTGACTGTTTCTCCAGGTTATGAGGATGCTAGATTGCTTTGGTCTGCTCAGAACTCTCAGATATCCCAGTCCTCTGGGCGATGGGATTCTACATCCCAGAAGTAAAGCCAGGCAGCTTTTTTGCTGATGATGGCACATCTACTAGCCAGGAACTATGGCCTGTTCCAATCACTTGGGTCTTCTCTACTTTGTTCTTCTCCTGCCAAATTTTGAACTAGTGAAATAAAGCAAACAAGCAAACGAATCTCCTGTTTCTGAGTACCAGTGCAGTGGAATAAAAGTTGTTTGTCACATTGTTGCAAATATGGTCCACATATTTTAGAAATGTTGAGGCCCACCAGGAGCTTCTTGGATAGATCCAGATTAAGAGAGGTCTGGGAAACCTTCTGAATACTCATCAATGAATACCTGAAGGCACAGTTCTTGCTTTAAGGAAACAAGCCCATAGGAAACACAGAGAAGAAATAAGTAAGTATAGTAAGTGCTATGTCAGAGTGTTAGTATAGAAAAGGTTTACTTGCTCATTTACTTTTTTTAACTTTTTACTGTAAAATAAAACAAGTACAAAAACCACAGAAATCAAATATATGACTTAATGAAGTTGAAGGTGAACACCACCCAAGCGAAGAAACAGGACTTTGCTACGCACTCAGAAGCCTCTTCATGTGCCGCATTCCGATCACAGACCCTCCCTTCTGCAATAAGTACCACCATTCTGCCCTTTATAGTAACTTTTTTTACTTCTTTGTATTTTTCTTTTTGTAGTTTTATCAACAAAATGTGATTGAGCAGAATGTGCATCCAGTGATAATATAGTTTAGTCTTGCCCTTTAAAAACATGTCTAGTTTTCTTTTTGTCTGTAGATTTCCCCTTCATCTCTTTATTTCCTTACAATTATCTGTGAAAAAATAAAGGCCGATTGGCCTTAATATTTATATCTCTTCATTCACTGAGTGCTACAAATGGTGATAGTCTAATTCTAGCATTTCTTTTTCTTTTATTATTATTTGGATTACTTTTTAAGGATTTCCCTCCCCAATCCTGTTGTTTGATTACCTAATAGTACAGTTCATGTAAGAAAAAAAGAAAAAGGGTGTAATATTTTCTTTTATTTAGTAGTTACCAAGATAATGAATTGATTTTCCAACATCTTTGAAAGTGGCCATTATTTATAAATGTTATTATTAACTCACGGATTTAAAGGCATTTGGGTTACAGTCCATTGTAATTTTTATTATTATTGAAATTCAGGTTGACTGAAATCAGATACTTTTCTAAAAGTTGTAATATCCTTAAGTGAGAATACTATTTCAGAACCTATATAATATGGGCACTAAAGGTAGCATTATTGCTGCCAGTTTGATCATTGTCTCTAGGGCATGTCCGGATGTAGGTAGGAAATAAACAAATACCCGTACACATTCATTCTTAGAGTTGGAATGTCTAAGAATTCCTGGTATATTCCATTTTAAGGCTCCTGCTACTTTCTGGAAAATTTATTTTCTGGCAACTTATAGTAATTTGTACTCCTGCCACATTATTTATTATTTTATAGATAACTAGTTTCAATCTTTTGCCAATTCAATTTGCCATGATTACTATTCTTATGTTCTTTAGATTCATCTCTAAATTGACTTTTTGTATCTGTGATTCTGTAAAGATGGGTAACTATAGTAATACCAGCTAACATTCATTGAGCAGCTACTGTGAGTCAAGCACTTTTCCTAGCACTTTACACACAACTCTCAAAGCAGTTGTGTAAAATACCATTACACCAACCATATAGATGACAAAAAAGAGGCTTAGGAAGATTAAATATTTCCAATATAGATCATACAGCCATAGTTAGTCTTTTAGTTTTTTTGTCATCCTACTTTATCTGATTTAGTTTGCTTCTTATATCTCAGCTTTTTCTTCCTTTATAGATTTCTATTTCTGATTCATAGAGGTCTTTTGTGTCCTATTGAGGATGGTAACTGCTTTTCTGAAATATTCTTTTGGTTCTTATAGTAAATAATTTTAACATGTATATACTTTCTCCATTTTCTCAAAATTTCTAGTTTTCCTCCTTTTGTCCAAGGTCTTCTTCTGTTTATTCACACTGGGATCATGAAAAGTCTATTCGGACTTTGTATTTGCCAATAGACAGGGTGTGTAACTTGCTCTTGGCCTTGCTCACTGACCACTTGTGAACTGTTCCATCTCATTCTCTGTTATACAACCAGAGAGCACGTTGCTATGCACAGCTGTTACTCCAATCTTGGGTGAACAGGCATTTGTCTAATGTAGCTTTAGTTGTTCGAGGAAGAATCTTCACTTACTCTCTTCCTGGGTCTCTGAAATGGAACCTATGGATTACATTGAAGACTGAAGACCTTAGTGTGTACTGCTACCAAGGTTTTCAGGTTCATGATCTCTTTATCCTCCTCCATCTCATGATGCAATACGTATTTATTCTATACCTCCAGGAAGGCATTGTGCCACTAGCAGTTCCCACCCTTCTTCAGGTATGGATGCATTTGTGTGTGTATGTTTTCTTCCTAAGTGTTACAATTTCTAAATACATGTCAGAAGAGAAGAACTGAGGGAATAGTATGAGAACAGTGTGCTGGCTATTTCATATTGCTTACTCATGCTATAGAGAAGTGATTTCCCAATTATCTGGTTAGTTCAGATGCTGTCTCCTTGGCAAAGGTGAGGCAGATGAAATTATAACCCCACTATTCCTTCAGATTGATGAGTGTGCATTGTTTCATCTGGTAAAGCAGACACTGGCTTCTGTGTTTGATTCTTAGGTTGGCACCATTGGCATTGTAGTTAGGAGGATGTTCTCCCACACAAACAATGTGGTATCCTCGTTGATTGGTGCTAGTTTGATTTCATCTGTTTCCAGGTCTTACAGAATTTAGTGTAATGTTGGGACAGGCTGTGTCATGCACTGGCTGGCCCCATGCCATTTTAAAACCAGTATCTATGCATGAATTTTGAAGATCAGTTATTTTTAAAAGGTCTTTGGAGGGCTTCTAATACATTGGAAATCCTTCACTGAGGTTTTAAACATAATTTCTTTAAATGCAGAATGGTATCTAACTGCCTCAATGACACTGTATCTAGGGATTTTTTCCTATTCCAAGTACAGCTAGTACTGGTTTTTAATTGCATCGACCCAGAAGATATTTCCAATGTGCTCGTCTAGGGTCTTTCTTTGAGGCCCCTTTTTGAATCCTACTTCAGGAGTTCTGTATGATAAAAATTTCCTCCTCTCACAGTTTCGGGGAGTTTTCTCCTGATTCAATTACATTATTCAGTACCTAGAATCATTTTTGCTATATGTGTATACATTGAGCCTAATTTTTATAGTAAGCACAGACACTAACTGCATAAAAATCAAAGACAAATAAAACAGAAATGGAGTGTTTACTAGATTGCCAGTTAAAAATCTAATTTCTCTCTGCTATTGGAATGAGTAAGCCTTACAGGAAATAGGAAGAAGATGTGATATTAGAGAATAATTTTAATATTTCTTGGGCAATTTTTAATCCTTCCTCAGCAGTGAGTACAATGTGACAATGCTTTCTGGAATAGGAAAGGAGACCAAATTACAAGGAAGGAAGCTGAGATACAGGAGGTAGACTTTGCCTTCATGAGGTGTCTGGTGTCAGACACATCATTTAGCCATATTCTAATAAAAAGCAATTATAGTTTGTAAATCCACACCCTTTGGAAGGAGTTAAGGTCATATACAGCAATAGTTTTTCCTTTACACATCTTACCTTTTTTCCATAACTAAGAAAATGATCACGAGCACTGCTGAGTTGTACATTCTGTTTGTTTTCTATAAAATGAGATCTGAAGAAATATTTGAGCAGTATACTAAATGAGCTAGAACACCTAGTTGTAGATTAAACACATGTCTAATCTATACATTAAGTTATTTTTAGAAAGTGTTCTTAGAGAGGATCTTAAATAAGTTGAATATTAGATAATTTTTGAAGTCTAAAATTTATAAAATATTATTTCCATTAGGCCAGTAAAAAAGCGGAAAATAATTTTATAAAGGTAACAGTTACTTTAGGCATATGCAAACTTGTTTTGGTGTTAAGAGTTTATATTACATGCTATATTAAAAGTCCATGATGAATTTCTTTTTAAATATAGAATCATAAAAACAAAAACCATAAAATAAAAGTTGAGGATAATAAAAGATAACTGTAGTAACCTTATCCTGTACCTCTGGGCTTGTCTCTTTTATCAGCCTTGAACACGTGGCTAATCTTCAAGTAGTATATTCAGATGCCTGCTCTATGTTTCTAATTGGGTATTAACACTGATATTTTCCTCTTAATGGGGCCTCATCATTTTCCCCTAGTTCCCATTCTAGACCATCAGTATTTCTTATTTCAAATAATGTTCTACCATCTATCCAATGACTTCAAAAACAACAACAAATGGGAGTATCTTAACCTCTTCCTGCAAGGACCCATTGTATCTTTTATCAACAAGTCCTCAAAACTACCCCCTCCTATCTACCCCAACTGCCCTGTTAGCTCTTACTCAGAACATGGCATTATCCTCCTCTTTGCCTTTTTCATGTGAGCATCTATGCCATTTCTGTGTCTAAAACCCTTGGATGACTCACTGCTGTCCTCAGAGTGAAATAGAAGCACTTGGGTGTGGAGTACAGGCCTTGTGGTAACCTAGCCTGAGCCACTTGGACAGCTTGACCCTTCTTTCTTGTCACCTTTAACTTGATGCTTCAGTGACTCTGAGCTGTGGGTAGGTGTTAAGGCTGCCACAGTGGCTTCCCTCCTGTATTTTTGCTGTTTCCTGTGTACAGAATGACATTTTCCTTCTTTATTCTACATGTTCCTCCTTACCCTTTAAGTCTGAGCTCATGCATCATCTTCTGCAGGATGTTGTCCCTGGTTCTGCTCCCCCTTGACCCCTTAAATTGGATTAGGCACCTCTGTGCTCCATTGACACTGTGTGCTTACTCCTATCTTCACACTTACTTGGTCTCTTCCTCTGGCACTGAATTTGCCAAAAAATATTTATGTCTTTTCCCTGTGAAACTCCATGCTTTTTGAAGGTAGGAATCAAGTTTAATGTGTCTAGCACAGACCTTGGAGCACAGAAAAAGATTAATTGAATTTATGTATGCAATCATAAACATGCTTTACTTTAAATAGTAGATGTTTTCCTAAACATTTCTATATACATTTGCTGTGTAGTAAATTTGGTTATTGTTACATAAATATCTGTTTGCACACATACATATATACATATAAATAACTAATTTTGTTCATATGGCAAAACTGATTTCTGAAAGGTGGCCTTAATGCTGTTTGTTTTGTGAAGGTCATTCAGGTATGAGAAAATAAAATATACTATTATAACACGTTTGCCTTTAATTGATAGTTTGGAGGGTTGGAAAATGTAGTCAAGCAAACTGACATGTGTCCTTTGAACATTGAAACCAACTTTGGTTTTTGGAGCTAGCTATTGACCTTGAAAAATAGTTTCTTGTCTATTCAACTGACAAGAGTAAATTCTTTAGGATCTCCAAACTAGTGAATAGTTTTGTGACTTAAATTTGTTTTAGCTTCTTAGTCTCCAAGTGCCTAAAAACTATCAATACTACTTTAACTGTGATATTAAGTGGGCTTTTAAATCTAGGACACAAGCAATCATAGCTAATTAGAAGTCTTACAATTGGTACACAATTAAATTAACCTATGGTATAAACGTTTCACAGAGAGAACAATCATAATTCACAAAATACCTGTACTATTATTGGAAAAGTAAACATTTATATGACTTTATGAAGGTAATTTTTTCCATGTCAACAGCTGTTATAAAATTGTGGCCCAATTTAAGTAGCTTTGCAAATTTAACTAAATGGGGCTTTTATTCAATTTTATTTTATAAAATTTAGTTTTGTTTTGGTAGTTCTTCTGCCTGTACACTTGAAGATGCCTGTCCAAAAGATACATTTTTAACTTCTTAAATGTGACCATTCATCAGGGGAGATTATCCTTTTTATTATTTTATATGGGGAAAAAGACAACTTAAAGCATATCATGTGCTTATTTTTCTTCTGTGATACTAATCAGAACTAGGTAAGACTCTCTCCCTATATCCTTCATATCTTTCTTTTTATTTTAAAGTTAAAATTTTTATTTACTTTTTCTGGCTTTATCAAAATAGAATTGACAAAATTATATATATTTAAGGCGTACAATGTGATGTTTTGATATATGTATACATTGTAAAATGATTACCACTATACACTAATTAACATATTCATCATCTCACAGTGACCTATTTTTTGTGTGTTTGTGGTGAGAACATTTAAGTTCTATTTTCTTTTTCTTTTTTTTAAATTTTTTTATTTTATTATTATTATACTTTAAGTTTTAGGGTACATGTGCACAATGTGCAGGTTTGTTACCTATGCATACATGTGCCATGTTGGTGTGCTGCATCCATTAACTCGTCATTTAGCATTAAGTATATCTCCTAATGCTATCCCTCCCCCCTCCCCCCAAGCTACAACAGTCCCCGGTGTG
Organism: Homo sapiens; assembly: GCF_000001405.40. Taxonomy (NCBI): domain Eukaryota; kingdom Metazoa; phylum Chordata; class Mammalia; order Primates; family Hominidae; genus Homo; species Homo sapiens. The sequence continues at coordinate 17,972,344 of NC_000009.12, forward strand.
TGATGTTCCCCTTCCTGTGTCCATGTGTCCTCATTGTTCAATTTCCACCTATGAGTGAGAACATACGGTGTTTCGTTTTTTGTCCTTGCGATAGTTTGCTGAGAATGATGGTTTCCAGTTTCATCCATGTCCCTACAAAGGACATGAACTCATCATTTTTTATGGCTGCATAGTATTCCATGGTGTCTATGTGCCACATTTTCTTAATCCAGTCTACTGTTGTTGGACATTTAGGTTGGTTCCAAGTCTTTGCTGTTGTGAATAGTGCCACTATATACATACATGTGCATGTGTCTTTATAGGAGCATGATTTATAGTCCTTTGGGTATATACCCAGTAATGGGATGGCTGGGTCAAATGGTATTTCTAGTTCTAGATCCCTGAGGAATTGCCACACTGACTTCCACAAGGGTTGAACTAGTTTATAGTCCCACCAACAGTGTAAAAGTGTTCCTATTTCTCCACATCCTCTCCAGCACCTGTTGTTTCCTGACTTTTTAATGATCACCATTCTAACTGGTGTGAGATGGTATCTCATTGTGGTTTTGATTTGCATTTCTCTGATGGCCAGTGATGATGGGCATTTTTTCATGTGTTTTTTGGCTGCATAAATGTCTTCTTTTGAGAAGTGTGTATTCATATCCTTCACCCACTTTTTGATGGGGTTGTTTGTTTTTTTCTTGTAAATTTGTTTGAGTTCATTGTAGATTCTGGATATTAACCCTTTGTCAGATGAGTAGGTTGCAAAAATTTTCTCCCATTCTGTAGGTTGCCTGTTCACTCTGATGGTATTTTCTTTTGCTGTGCAGAAGCTCTTTAGTTTAATTAGATCCCATTTGTCAATTTTGGCTTTTGTTGCCATTCCTTTTGGTGTTTTAGACATGAAGTCCTTGCCCAGGCCTATGTCCTGAATGGTATTGCCTAGGTTTTCTTCTAGGGTTTTTATAGTTTTAGGTCTAACATGTAAGTCTTTAATCCATCTTGAATTAATTTTTGTATAAGGTGTAAGGAAGGGATCCAGTTTCAGCTTTCTACATATGGCTAGCCAGTTTTCCCAGCACCATTTATTAAATAGGGAATCCTTTCCCCATTTCTTGTTTTTGTCAGGTTTGTCAAAGATCAGATGGTTGTAGATATGCAGCATTATTTCTGAGGGCTCTGTTCTGTTCCATTGATCTATATCTCTGTTTTGGTACCAGTACCATGCTGTTTTGGTTACTGTAGCCTTGTAGTATAGTTTGAAGTCAGGTAGCGTGATGCCTCCAGCTTTGTTCTTTTGCCTTAGGATTGACTTGGCAATGTGGGCTCTTTTTTGGTTCCATATGAAGTTTAAAGTAGTTTTTTCCAATTCTGTGAAGAAAGTCACTGGTAGCTTGATGGGGATGGCATTGTATCTATAAATTACCTTGGGCAGTATGGCCATTTTCACATTGTTGATTCTTCCTACCAATGAGCATGGAATGTTCTTCCATTTGTTGGTGTCCTCTTTGATTTCATTGAGCAGTGGTTTGTAGTTCTCCTTGAAGAGGTCCTTCACATCCCTTGTAAGTTGGATTTCTAGGTATTTTATTCTCTTTGAAGCAATTGTGAATGGGAGTTCACTCATGATTTGGCTCTCTGTTTGTCTGTTATTGGTGTATAAGAATGCTTGTGATTTTTGCAAATTGATTTTATATCCTGAGACTTCGACAAAATTCAACAACCCTTCATGCTAAAAACTCTCAATAAATTAGGTATTGATGGGACGTATCTCAAAATAATAAGAGCTATCTATGAGAAACCCACAGCCAATATCATACTGAATGGGCAAAAACTGGAAGCATTCACTTTGAAAATGGGCACAAGACAAGGATGCCCTCTCTCACCACTCCTATTCAACATAGTGTTGGCAGTTCTGGCCAGGGCAATCAGGCAGGAAAAGGAAATAAAGGGTATTCAATGAGGAAAAGAGGAAGTCAAATTGTCCCTGTTTGCATATGACATGATTGTATATCTAGAAAACCCAATCGTCTCAGCCCAAAATCTCCTTAAGCTGATAAGCAACTTCAGCAAAGTTCTATTTTCTTAGTAATTTTCTGCAATACGGTGTAAATGTAGTCACCATGCTGTACTGATCTCTGAAACTTATTCATCCTACGTAACTGAAACTTTGTACCTTTTGACCAACATCTCCCCAATGTTCCCACCCCTCAGCCCCTGGCAATCACCATTCTGCTCTCTGCCTCTATGAGTTTGACTTATTTAGACTCCATATATGTGAGATCATACAGTATTTATCTTTCTGTGCCTTGCTTATTTCACTTAGCATAGTGTCCTCCAGATTCATCCATGTTGTTTTAAATGGCAGGATCTCCTTCTTTTGTTAAGGCCGAGTAATGTTTCATGATATATATGTGTGTATATTTGTGTATATCATATTTTACTAATGCACTCGTCTGTTGAACACTTAGGTTGTTTCCATATGTTGGCTATTATGAATAATGCTGCAATGAACATGGGGTTCTTTGGGATAGTGATTTCATTTTTTTGATACATACCAGAATGGGGATTGTTTGATCATCTAATAGTTCTGTTTTTAATTTCTTGAGGAATCCTCATACATTTTTTCTTAATGGTTGCACTAATTTACATTCCTACAAACACTGCACAAAGTTTCCCTTTTTTTTCACATCCTCCCCAAAAGTTAACCTTCATCTTTGTGATAGTAACCACTCCAAGAGATGCAAAGTGGTATTTTATTATGTCTTTGATTCGTATTTCACAGAAAGTCGTGATGTCAAGCATCTTTTTATGTATTTGTATGGCCATTTCTATGTTTTCTGTAAAAAATGTCCATTCAGGTTCTTTGGCATTTTTTAATTGGGTCATTTTTTTTTCTTTGGCTACTGAGTTGTATGAGTTCTTTACATGTTTTGGTTATTGTCTTGGCTTATTTGAGCTGTTATAACAAAATATCATAAGCTGAGTAGCTTACAACAATATAAATTTATTTCTTACAGTTCTTGGGGCTGAGAAGTCCAAGATCAGGGCACCAGCAGATTTAATGTCTGGTGAGAGCTCGATCTCTGATTCATAAATGTCATCTTCTAGCTGTGTCTTCGCGTAGTAGCAAGGTAAAGAAGCTCCACTCATCAAGAGCACTAATACCATTCGTGAGGGCTGAGCCTAATCATCTCCCAAAGGCCCCACCTCTTCATAGTTAACTATGGCCATTAGGTTTCATCATGTGGATTTGGGGGGTCACAAACATTGAGACCATAGCAGACACTAACCTCTTATCACAGATATGGTTTGCAAATGTTTTTTGCCATTCTGAAGGTCTTCCACTCTGTAGGCCATTTTGTTGATTGATTCCTATGCTGCACAGAAATTTTTTAGTTTGACATATACCCACTTGTTTATTTTTGCTTTTGTTGCCTGTGCTTTTGGTATTGTTACAAAAAATCATTGCCCGGATCAATGTCATAAAGCTTTTCACCTATACTTTCTTCTTGGTGTTTTATGATTTCAGTTCTGATATTTAACTGTTTATCTATTTAGAGTTGATTTCTGTGTTTGGGTAAGATAAAGGTCTGATTTTATTCTTTTGCATGTGGATATCCAGTTTTTCCAACACTATTTATTGAAGGAACTAGCCTTCCCCGACTGTGTATTCTTGGCAACTTTGTTGAAGATTACTTCACTGTATATGTGTGAATTTATTTCTGGGCTCTCTGTCCATTCTGATCCTTTGGTCATTGTGTCTATTTTTATGTGAGTACCATACTATTTTGATTACTATTAATTTGTAATATAATTTGAAATCAGGAAGTGTGATGCTTCCAGCTTTGTTCTTGTTCAAGATCGCTTTAGCTATTTGGGGATCTTTTGTGATTTCATAAAAATTTAGTATTTTTTTTTTCTATTTCTAGTTTTAAAAAGCCAGTGAGATTTTGATAGAGATTGTATTACATCTGTATATCATTTTGGGTAGTATGGGCAATTTAACAGTATTAAGTCTTCCAATTCGTGAACATGGGATATCTTTCCATTTATTTATGTCTTCTTCAGTTTTTTTAAATCAGTATTTTATAGTTTTTGGTGTACAGCTCTTTCACCTCCTTGCTTAAATTTGTTCCTAAGTATCACATTCTTTTTGATACAATTGTACATGGGATTGTTTTCTCAAAACAATTTTTTTTTATTCTCGGAGAATTGGTTGTTAGTGTACAGAAACATAGCTGGTTTCTGTATGTTGATTTTGTATCTGCAACTTTACTGAGTTCTTTGATCAGTCCTAACAGCTTTTTGGTGAAGTCCTTAAGGTTCTTTCTCTCTCTCTCCACTCTCTCTTTCTCACTCTCTCTCTTGCTCTCGCTCTCTCTCTCTCCCTCCCTCCCCTCCCTCCCTGCCCCCTGCCTCCCCGATCCATCCATCCATCATCAATCATCTACAAACAGATATAAATTTACTTATTTCTTTCTAATTTGGATGCCTTTTATTTTGTTTTTCTTGCCTAGTTGCTCGGGCTATGACTATCAATACAATTTTGAATATAAATGGCAAGAATAGGTATTGTTTTTTCCTTCCTGATCTTAGAGAAAAAGCTTTTCACTGTTGAGTATGGTGTTAGTTGTGGGCTTATCACACATAGTCTTTATGAGGTTGAGGCACATTCTTTCTATACCTAATTTGTTGAGAGTTTTTATTATAATAGGATGTTAAATTTCATCGGATGCCTTTTCTTTATTGAATAATCTTATGATCTTTTATCTTTCATTCTGTTAATGGGGTGTATCACATTTATTGGTTTGTGTATGTTAAAATATCCTTGTATCCCAGAGATGAATCTCACTTGATCATGGTGTATGATCCTTTTAATGTGCTGTTTAATTCAGTTTGCCATTATTTTATTGATGATTTTTATGTCTATGTTCATCAGGGCTGTTGGCCTATGATTTTCTTTTCTTGTAATGTCCTTGCCTAGCTTTGGTATCAGAGCAATGCTGGCCTTATAAAATTAATTTGGAAAAATTCATTCTTCAAAAAGATTTTGAGAAGGATTGCTATTAGTTATTCTTTAAATGTTTAGTAAAATTCCTGGACTTTTTTCTTTGAAAGATTTTTGATTATTGATTCAATCTCCTTACTCATTATTGGTTTGTTCAGATGATCTATTTCTCCATTATTTAGTCTTGGTTGGTTCTATGTTTCTTGAAATTTATCCACTTTTTTATAGGTTATTAAATTTGTTGGCATATAGTTGTTCATAGTAGTCCCTTATGATTGATTCTTTGTATTTTTATGATATCAGTTGTAATGTCTCTTCTTTTATTTATGATTTTACTCATTTGAGTCTTCTCTTTTTTTCTTAGTCTACCTAAAGGTCTAACATACAATCTATTCTGCAGAAGGTTTTGTGTGTTCTTGAAGAAGATGTATTTTCTGCTGGTGTTCTTGAAGAAAATGTATATTCTACAGCTGTTGAATAGATGTTCTATATTAATCTGTTAGGTCTATTTGGTCTAAAGCATAGTTCAAATCCAATGTTTCCTTGTTGATTTTCTGTTTGGATGAAAGTGGCTATTAAAATCCCCTACCATTATTGTATTGCTATTTCCCCCTTGAGTTCTGTTAATATTTGCTTTATATTCATATGGGTGCTTCAGTGTGTTGGATATGATTGTTTCTATTCTCTTGATTAATTGACCCCTTTAAAAAAATTATATGTGAACTTCTATGTCTCTCTTTACTGGTTTTAAAGTCCATTTTGTCTGATATAAGTATAACTATACTTCTGTTCTCTTTTAGTTTTCATTTGTATGGAATATCTTTTTCCATTTCTTTATGTTTATCCATGTGTGTCCTTAAAGCCGAAGTGAGTCTGTTTTGTAGGAGGCATATAGTTTGGTTATTTTTTTATCCCTCTATGTCTTTTGGTTGGAAAATTTAATCGATTTTCATTTCAAGTGATTATCAATAAGTAAATACTTACCATTGCTGTTGTGTCCATTGTTTTCTGGCTTTTTTGTAGTTCCTTTGTTATTTTTTCCTTTTTTGCTGTCTTCCTTTGTGATTAGATGATTTTCTGTTGTGGTATTATTCGATTTCTTTCTCTTTATTTTGGGGGAATTTGTTATGGGTTTTTGCTTTGTATTTCCATGAGGCTTACATAAAACATCTTACAGTTGTAACACCTTATTTTATGCTAATAACTTAACTTTGATTGCTTATGAAAACACTATACTTTTTATTTCTCCCTCCACATTTTATGTTTTTACTGTCATAAATTAAACTTTTAAATATGATGTACTCATTAACAAATTATTGTAACTATAAATGCCTTTGTCTTTTAATCTTTATATCAGAGTTAAAAATGACTTACATTATTACCATTACAGTATTAGAGTATTATGAATTTTTCTAAATACTTACCTTTACCATTGATTTTTTTTACCATCATATATTTTCTTGTTACTATTAGGGTCTTCACATTTCAGCTTGAAGAACCCTTTAGCATTTCTCATAAGGCAGGGCTAGTGACAATAAACTCCTTCAGTTCTTGTTTGTCTGAGAGAGTCTTTAATTCTCCTTCATTTGAAATACAGCTTTACTAGGTAAAGTATTCTTGGTTGACAGTTTTTTTTTTTCTTTCAGCATTTTTCATGTGTCACTGCACTGTCTCCTGGCCTGCAAATTTTCTGCTCAGACATATGCTGATGGTCTTATTGGTGGTGTCTATGCGTGTGACAATCTCTTTTTTCTTGCTGCTTTAAAAAATTTCCCTCCGATTTTGACAGTTTGATTATAATGTATCTGATAAAGTCTTCTTTGGGTTGATTTTGTTTGGAGACTTTCAGGATTCATAAACCTGGATGTCCATATTGCTTCCCAGATCTGGGGAGTTTCCAGTCATTATTTCTTTATATATTACCCTGCTCCTTTCTCTTTCTTTTCTTCTTCTTGGATTACTTTAATGCACATATTTGTTCTTTTGATGGTACCTTATAAATTCCACAGGCTTTTACAATTTCTTTTCTCTTTTACTTTCTTTTTTCTCCTCTGACTGGATAATTTCAAATGTCCTGTCTTTCAGTTCATAGATTCTCTCTTGATCAAGAAAGATCAGGGTCATGCTTGATAAAGTCTATTATTACTCTCTATTGCATTGTTCATTTCATTCACTGTATTCCTCAGCCATGGATTTTTTTTTTTTTATTTCTGTCTCTCTGCTTAACGTCATGTTTTTTTCATGTATTGGTACTGAACTTTCTTAAGACAGTGACTTTGAATTCTTAGGAGCTTTTGTAAGATCAGTTACTAGTGCTTTGTTCTTTGGTGGTATTTTGTTTTGCTGCTTGTCTGTAATTCTTGATTCTGCTTTTCTGTGGCTCTGGTGTTTGTGCATTGGAAAGAGTAAGTACCTCTTTCAGGAGTTCCAGACTGGCTTCAATAGTGAAACCCTTCATTGGTTAGCCCTTCCAGGGATTCTGGTTCAGTCAGCTGGTGGGGTCCATGAGCATGCCTACTGCCAGAGTCCTTGGGTAGGCTAGACTGGTGCCTGAGTTAATGGGTGGGTAGTCCTTCTGCTTGGGTCCAGAAGGACAGGAGCTTAGAACTGAGGGGGCTAACATGAAGCTTGGAACCGTGGAAACCAGCTTGGCATTGAAATTCAATAGGGTGAGCATAGTGCTGGGGTCACTGGTAAAGTTTTGTGCTAACTTCACTCTCCTATCCCATGCAGAGGCCATTTCTCTTTGTACTGTACTGCGTGGGCAGTACAGAGAAGGGTGACATGGGTAGTGTGAAACTGTTCTTTCTACTTCTTAAATGAGTATTTTCTTAGTTCTGTGCTCCACCCAGATGCTATAATTTCTCACCTGTATTCATTAGATCTTGTGAAGGTAGTTTTGCTTGCAGATAGTTGTTCAAATTAATATTTATTTAAGGGGATGTGTGTCAGAAATTCCTATTCTTCCATCTTGCTGACATTACCCCCCACCACATCTCTTTTTATTCTGCATTTTCCATCTTTTTGCCTCCTGTGTCACATTTTGGTCTGTTTTTTTTTCTTTTTCTATCTTCTAATTTACCAATTTTCTCTTCTGTTACCAAACATGGCCACTGGGTTTTAATTTTGATTACTAGCTATACTTTTTATTTCTAGCACTTCTACTTGACTTCTTTTCAAATCTTCTGTGTCATCTGTATGAACTGAATGTTTGTGTTCCCTCAAGTTCATTTCTTGAAATTCTAACCCCAGCATGATGGTGTGATGGGGTTGGGAGGTGGGGTTTTTGGGGGGCAATTGGGTCATGAGGGTAGAGCCTTCAGGAATGGTATTAGGACCCTTATCAAGAGAAACACAAAAGAGAGGATCACTGTCTTGGCCATATGAGAATACTGTCTTAGTCTGTATTTGTTGCTATGGAGGAATACTTGAGGCTGGTATATAAAGAAAATACATTTATTTGGCTTACAGTTCTGCAGGCTGTATAAGAAGTAATCTTCTTATACAGACATTCTGACATCTGCTTCTGATAGGGGCTTCAGGCTTCTGCCCATGCAGAAGGTGAAGGGAAGCCAGTGTGTAGAGATCAAACTGGGGGAGAGAGGAGGGAAGTGCTGCACTCTTGACAACCAGCTTTTGGGGAAACTCTCCTGGGAATTAGTGGAGGGAGAACTCACTCATTGCCACGAGGATGGGACCAAGCCATTCACGAGGGATTCATCCCCATGATCCAGATACTTCCCGTTAGGTCCTACTTCTAACATTGGGGCTCAAAGTTCAACATAAGATTTGGTGGGGTCATAGCTTATCCAAACCATAGCAGATACAATGGGAAGGTGGCCCTCTGAAAACCAGGAAGAATGCCCTCACCAGATACCAGGTCTGCCAGTGTTGTGATCTTGGACTTTCCACCTACCAGAACTATGAGAAATAGATTTGTTGGTTAAGCCACCCAATCTATGGTGTTCTGCTATTGCAGACTGAACTGAGTAGAACAGTCACCTTTTATGATTCCCTATTCCCTGGAAATATTTTTAAGCTTGCTATTTATTTCATTAAGTATGCTAGTCCTAGTTATTTTGGTCATTTAAACATCTAAAGTCACTACAGGTCTCTTTCTGCTTTTTATTTGTGCTGGTTCTTGATCATGCTGCCTTATTTCCTGTGTGTCTTATTAATTTTGACTGCTTGCTTGTCATCAACCTTGAAAATTGTTCGAGTGAGCCATCTTTATGGTCTAGGATGAACGTGTCCTTCTTCAAAGAGATTTTGCGTTTTCTTCTGCCAGGCACCTGAGGCCATTCCCTTTAGAAACCTTTTATACTTATGGATTGAGGTTTTTTGGCCCACTGAAGCTGCTTGCACTTGTGGTATAAATCTATTCAAGGTTCACTGTATGATCACACATTGTTAGATACAGGTTCTGTTTGTACTTTTCTTGCTTTACCCCAGGACATCTTTCTCTGTAGCTCCTAGAAGCTGGTGAGGGTGAGGTGGGGTGAAAAAAGTGCTTAGTTTGGGGTTGCCCTTGTCACTAGGATATAGCTATTTGGGCACCTATTTAGAGTATAAGACTCCCCACCATGGTTGGACTTTGGCCTTGACTTCTGCAAGGTCAAGCAACAAAATCTCAAGTGTGAGGTATTGATAAATGCCTTTGGGGCAAAAATGGCTTTCCACTCAGATGCACTTAAAAAGGGAGAAGGCCTGGTTTATGAATAAATCACACTACTTGCTTAAACATTTTCCATATGGATAGTTCTCTTTTAAATACTGGTGTTCCTCTCTCTTGTTTTATAGTTTTCCTCGACATTTCCCTGAAGCTTCCAGTTATACACATCTTATACACATTCATTACTGACATAGCATGACATTAGTTTGGTGATAAAGCCATGAAAATTTTATAGCATTCAATCAAATATCAATATCATTTACAGATCCATATGAGTTGTGGCCTTGTCAGATGGAAAGACTATGAATACAATTAAGAATAAAACCAGGCCAGGTGTGGTGGCTCACGTCTGTAATCCCAGCACTTTGGGAGGCGGAGGTGGGTGGATCACGAAGTAAGGAGTTCGAGACCAGGCTGGCCAACATGGTGAAACCCCGTCTCTCTAAAAATACAAAAATTAGCTGGTCGTGGTGGTGGACGCTTGTAGTCCCATCTACTCAGGAGGCTGAGGCAGGAGAATTGCTTGAACCCAAGAGGTGGAAGTTGCAGTAAGCCGAGATCGTGCCACTGCACTCCAGCCTGGGTGACAGAGCAAGACTCCGTCTCAGGGAAAAATAAATAAATAAATAAATAAAAATAAAACCGGGCAGGATATAGTCCAGCAAACTGAGTGCGTGGAATCACAGGCTCAGTTTAAATGGCAGAATCAGTTAATGTGTAACACTGGGAGAGAATAAAATATTAAAGGGAATCACCTGTCTGAGTTTTACAAGAAGCATTCAATCTTATTGCTGTCTCCCAAAATACCATCAGAATAAGCAGTCTCAGCTTATTATCACTTATCACCAAGATAATGGCAGTTCTCACTTGGGATGTTATTATTTTCTTAGAGCAGAGGTTCTCAATCCTGGCTGCATATTACCATTATATGAACAGCTTGGAAAAAAAAATCATCCTCAGAGATTGTGAGTTAAGTTGGTTAGATTGGGGCTAGGCATTAGTACTTCCTCCCTCCCCTTTTCAACTATTTTTTTTTTCATTTTCTTTTTCTTTTCTTTCTTTCTTTCTTTCTTTTTTTTTTTTGAGACTGAATCTTGCTCTGTCACCAGGCTGGAGTGCAATGGCACGATCTCTGCTCACTGCAACCTCCAGCCTCCTGGGTTCAAGCGATTCTCCTGCCTCAGCCTCCCGAGCAGCTGGGACTACAGGTGGGCACCACCATGCCCAGCTAATTTTTGTATTTTTAGTAGGGATGGGGTTTCACCATGTTAGCCAGGATGGTCTCGATCTGTTGACTTTGTGATCTGCCCGCCTCAGCCTCCCAAAGTGCTGGGATTACAGGCGTGAGCCACCTCGCCCGGCCCCTTTTCAACTTTTAAAGAATCCTAGGTGATCTTAATGTGTGGCCAAGATTGAGAACCTCTTCCTTATTGGGTATGTCTTTTAACCTTGAAATTTTAGCATTTAGTGTCAAAATAAAAAAATAAGTTACATGTATTCCATTAAAGTTTTGCATTGCATTTGAGGATAACTCTATGTGGTTAGTTTTCTAAAGTTTTGTTAATGTGTTAAGAGAATTTGATATTATGTAATTGACTAGCCTTGTGATTTCAATTTAAAATGTGTAAATAGTTTTAGAATTTATGATTTTTAAATGGAAATACATAAGGTGATTTGGCTACATGTATAGACAGAATTGGACTGTTAAAATAACTTGAGAGACACAATATTTATGTCTAATTGATTAGTTTTATTGGGATTAATAACCTGGGAACATTTTGTTTGTTAGTGAGGCTTTTGAAGTTAAAAAAAAAATCCAGCACATAAACTTGTAAAATGTAGTGTAAAATGTGTATAAAAGGGGATGTTTAATTATCTTATTTTTTAAATGAGACCAAATGTTAATCAAATCCTCCCTTGAAGGCAGTTTAAAAAATACATTACTTGGTTTGTAAATAGATAATGAGATTAATAAGTTAAATTTAAGTGATTTAATAAGAGATTTATAAAATAAGTTAGATTTAAGGAATGTAAGACTTTACAATTTATTTAATTGAAAATTATTTTCCAAGTAGCCACAGATGGGATTTTTGTGTGTGTGTTTAAGGCCCATTCTCAAGAATACCAAAAACTTACTTTAGCAATTAGCAGATTCTTGTGATTTTTCTTTCTTTTTCAAAATTAAAATAGAATTTTTCCTAATTAAAAAAGGGACACATAATTCAGAGTACAAAAAGATGTAAGGAATGAAGTAAATTTCATACTCTCAGCACCCAGATTATGATTGTTAGCAGTTTTGTGTATCCTTCCCAATGACTAGCTGGCTGACTAATTTATCTCTCTGTGGTCTATTTACTGATGTTTGATTAACTACTAAATGGGACAATATTATACATGCTTTTTTCTAGCCTTCTTTTTTCTTTACTAGTTTCTTTTGGGCACTTTTGTCTTATAAATTTTAACTGTAAGGATTGTATTGTATCCCATTATAGGGATTTATATGAAGTATGTACCAATTGACAAGTTATTTCCAAATTTTTCTGTTATAAATATTATGGTGAGGAACATACTTAATTTTTTACATTTAGTTACTTGTGTGACTATTTCCAGATACCTTTCTAGAAGTGGAAACTCCTTAGTCCGAGTTGTAAGTTTTTGGACGTATTGTCAAATTACCTTACGAAAGGATCCTAGGCTTGCAAGATTCTGAGAAATAAACCTATTCTTTTGATGGCATCCAGGCATTTTCCGATCATTTAGACCTTTTCCTTCTTTTTAAATGAATGCGTAGCTGTAGTCTAGCTCTGATTTAGGCTTTTCCTCAGTGGTAAGAGTTTGGGGGCCTGGGTCAAAATCCTAATCATAACCCCCTCTACCTTTGTAATTTTAAATGTTACTTAAATTTTCAAAATCAATGTTTTTTGCTTCGTAATATCATATCTAATCATAGTTGCCTTAAACCATTGTGTTTGAGCAGATAGCTTTGTGAGAGCAGAATAGTGCCTAACATGTAGGAAGACCTCTGTAGGTAATTGTTTTCTGTATTTTAAAATAGGAAGATGGAATTAAGTTAGTTCTTCCAAGTACCGTCACTCTTTTAATTGTATAAAAGATTGAGGCACAGTTTAAGTTTTCAGCTTTTGCTTGAGACTTCACTCTGACATCTTTCTCTTTTTGGATGGTTAATAAAAAAGTTTTTCTCTTTTTTGATGGTTAATAAGAATTTTGAATAGAATGATGTAATCACCCTATTCACCACAGAATCTTCTTTCCTCTTTTTCATGATTTTCCAAATATTAAACCTTTTGTATATTTTCCAAACGTTAAAACTTTAAATGTTAAAATGTTAAAACATTAACATTAGATATCTAGGAAGACCATTTAAAATAATTAAATCAGTGCTTCTCTTCTAACACATAAAATTTAAATAGGCAGATTTAACCACAAGGAAAATAAAATCTTGAAAAATACTTTATAGTTCTGAGTACTACAAAAAAGATACTTGAGCTAAGATATAAAGGTAAGACTTGACAGGCAGCATATAAGACAAGGAGGAAATTGGTTGACTGAAATGTAGAAACATTTTGCCGTATTGAGTTTAAGTGGATGCAATTTAGTAAAAATTTTTACTCTGAATGAGCAACTTTGCATATATTACATAATTATACACAGAATTCCGCAATCTCTAAATATCACATGGGAAGCAAGCTTAGCAATCAGATACTCCAATCCTTTCATTTTATAAATGAGCAAAATAAGATTCATGGAGGTTCTGATGTATATTTGATGATTTCTGTAAAGAGCAACATCTGGAGTTTTTGTTAGTATGAATTGTAGGCACAAACCTCCTCATTTCATGCAAGAGAAAATTGATACCTGGAGAATCTGAAATGCGTTGGCTATGACAAGCCAGAATCCTGGCCCAGGACTCTTGTTCCAGTGTTCCTCTAACACTAATTAAGACACATGATGAATGGTCAAGAAACAACAAATGGTTTTATTTATCAGCCTGAAATTCTTTGATATGTGAAGTAAAGTTCCAAATGAATTGAGGTTTATGTGGGAGCAACTGGCCAACAAATACCAATTCAGTTATTTGCACACAGATTTAATTGTCCTTGGATATTGCTTGGAGGCTCTGAGTTCATAAGTACAGAATGGTTTCCAAGGGGTATGCTTTAAGGAATATTAGAATGCCAGTCCCGTATCCCTGGGTGTTTCTACTTAAGGTAAATTGATTGAGAAAACCCATGTTTCTTTAACAGCCTTTCTGCAATGACCACCTACTCTCCTTAGGAATTCAGTTCTGGCCCTCTCTGATTATACATGTAAAGGCTGACCCATTCATTCAATTCAGTTGTCCACATGGCAGAAGTCCAGGACTTTTGAAGACATACCAGATAGAAATAGTCCTGAGTATGTACCCAAGGAGAAAGTGGCAGACATGGTGGAAGAAAACTCAATGTGAACAATTATCAGAAAGAAGAATGATCTGTAATCCTCTGTCATTTTGTAAAGAAGTGTCTTTTCCATTTTCTCTCACCTGCATTTCTCAAAGGTAAGACACATGCTCAAGTTAAGATTATATTGAATTTTAAAAAGGATAGGCAAGGGAATGCATTTAAAATTATGCTATATGTCCTTACAGAGGTTTGAGTTCTCAGGTGAGCCCTCACTCTTTGCCTGTGCTAGCAAACCCTAACTGACAGTGTGGCATTGCAGCACAATAACTTATTTTAAACTCCAGGTGTGTATGCAGTACTAGTATTTGGCCTTAAAAATTTTATTACAGATGTCTGGAGTTGAGACTGTTGACTAGGTGCAAACATTACCTCATACTCCATTTGACACTAGCACAGTTGGGGGGAGATTATAAAGGTAAATAAAAAAGTGCTAAAATGTAAATGTGTGCTATTTCTTCAGCAAATTGGGTTTTCTTCTTATAGCCATTTTAGTGTTTTATGAGTCAGATAATAGAAATCCTGAAATTAAGTACAGATTTACAGCTTGTTAGGGGAAGAGTTCCCACTAATCCCTTGCAGTTTTGATATCCATGGTCTCTTTCATGGACTTAGTGAGAATAACTTCTTTTATATCATGTCTCTCTGAGTTTTCGGAGAGTATCTGTAAGTTTTGATATCAGACAAGAGAGTTAGTGTTTTACATTTAGGAATCTAAAGTAATGGCAGTAGCAGATGCATCAGGGCAGTGAACACAACCTGGTATTACTATCGTAGTGTTCACATCTTGTTTCCTTGTCCTGATGGTATTTCCCCAGATGATAAGCACCACGTTGTAATTACTTTTGGAGGGCTAAGGAAGCAGGGGATAGAGAACAACAGATGTCATTTGATGATCAGCAACAAAAGGTTGCTACAGAGAATTAAATGTCACAGCAATCTGACGTTATTGTTTTATTGCATTGGTTGAACACTACCACACATATCTGACCCATATGACTAAAGCAAAGAGAATTTAAACGAAATATGGAAGAGGGAAGTGTTTAAAATATTTAGATCGTTTTGGACTTTTAGTCTTAGTGTGTTTGTAATAGTTTGTTAAGCAGTCTTTTTAAAAGGGCTGGGCAGGGAGACCCTATCTTGACTAATGAA
This sequence comes from Homo sapiens, assembly GCF_000001405.40. Taxonomy (NCBI): domain Eukaryota; kingdom Metazoa; phylum Chordata; class Mammalia; order Primates; family Hominidae; genus Homo; species Homo sapiens. The sequence goes on from NC_000009.12 coordinate 17,987,618, forward strand.
ACCACGTAAAATGTGCCCAAGAAGCACTTGGTAATGAAATAATTGATTAACCATCACATTCTTTTAGAACTCTGCAAGCAGTGTGCTCTCAAATGCCTTGTTTTTTTGCTTTGGAGCCATTGGAAACTTTTCTTATCTTTCCTTCAAACCTTGGAAGACTCAAGTTCCCTAAATGTGTTGCTTGACTGAGTTAAATGCAGACTCAGTCAGCAGTTGAGACCAGTGGCTCTTGAAAGAGTTTGTATTTACCCTTTAATCTCTCTGTGATAACCCAGGATATATGCATGCTTGTCTTTGCTGAGACCCCATCCCAGAATCCTGGCTTATTTTTAAATCTTTTTTTGAATTACATGGGCTATGACAAACGTGTTTTGGTTCATTAAAGTAGTAATTGCAAAAGTACACTCTTAATTTAGTTCTGTGATTTTTGAATTTGTGTTGCCTGGTGTTGATTGCTGGTTCCACTATTCTGACATTTATGGCTGTGTTTCATCTTGGAAACCATGTGTGGTTGTAACTGGGAGTTGGCAGGTGCAAGAAAAGAGTAAGTGACGCTTTATTGGCATTGTTTTATTCCTCAAGATTCCTTTCAGAAGGTGAAATAAGAAATATTGACTAAATTGGAAAGAATGGAATGTTCAAGCCTGTTAGAGGTATGACCTGATTATGAGTTCACATGTTACTCTCTATTGACCTTATTGCTGTAGTGACAAATTTAACATTGGGTTTCAAATACCTACCTCAATAACAATTCTTTTCCACAATGAATAGCAACCAGTTAATACAGAATTAGAGAGCAGATGGCCCCTCAGTGAATATATTGTAAGTTTCCCCAGGGATTATTACACTGATGTGAAAATCACAAGAGTATTCATACCAGGCCCATGTGTTATTAGTTATATAATTATTTTATATAAAATCCCCTTATTGTTCTTTTTTCTTTTCTTTTTTTTTTTTAAGAAATTTATTGGAAGAGATGGCCAAGAGTACCATCATTTTAAAGTAAAATATCTGACTTCACCTGCCAAAGGGAGCCAATTTGATAGTAAGGTCTGTTAATGATTTAACTTCTCCTCTGCTGATGTCAGCATGAATGTGTTACTGCTTTCAATTATCAGTGAACTCTTTTCCTTTTTCAGAGGAAGACAATATACATAGTGAACGTGTTAGAATAATTTTGGTTTTTATTGTAAATAACTTTATGTGAAAATTGGTAACAAGGTTTCATCTTGATCTGGTTTAGTGTTTCTCAACTTGTTTTTTCATTATTGCCCCCTAAGGAGCTTATTTTTAGGCATTTTTTCCCCCAATTGCTCTCCCTTTCCCATGCATGACATTAAATACTAAGAACAAAATGATTTTTGTCAGGTAGGGTTTTCACATACTTCCAAGAACCAATTTTCACCCTCTTGGAAAGTGATTATACCCTCCCACTGAAAATGCATGGTTTTCTTAAAATAAGCTTATATAGAGGAAACTACTTTAATTTTAAATTTTCTTTATTTAAAAAACAAATTATGTTTATTACAGAAAAATCAGAGAATGTAAATAGGACATGAAACCCACCTCTAAGCTCATCTACCGAGACAGTCCTTGATAACTCCTTTAGGCACTTACAAATTCTCATCTTCTTATGTTTGTGTGTTCAGAATTTTAAATAAGCAGATTGTACTATATGTAATGTTTTGTAACTTTATTTATTTAATATTTTCGGTGAGCTTTCTTTTTTCAGGCTCACAATAGAATTATACAAAATCATTTATACTGACTGTTTTACTGCTTTATCATAATTTAATTAATCAATATCCTATTATTTAACATTTAGAGTGTTTTAAAAAATCACTGCATTGATAAAAAAATCAATTAGAAAGTCACTGCACTTTCCTTTTAGGCAAAGGTTTTTGCAAGTTAATTACTTTAAATGAATTTATTTCAAAAGCAGAATTAAAAGTGATGCACACTTTAAAGCCTTTTTTGAAATAATTTTGCATTAGTGGACATTTCTACCACTATTAATTGAGAATACTCCCTTTGCCTGGAACTTAACCAACAAGAGTATTATCACTTTTTAAAATATTTGCCACTTTCGTAGGCAAAATATTTACTTGTTTTAATGGGTATTTGTTTATTTCTAGAAATGGTAGTCATTTTTTCATATGTTTGTTGGACATTGACATTTTAAGCCTTTTCAAACTTAAAAATAGCATCTGATTTTTTTTTTTAGCATGCAAAGAAAGGTCTTCTAAGTCTTCAAGTATTCTAAGGGGCAAATGGTTTTGATACAAGGTCATTGTAAACATCTTTTTTTTTTTTTTTCCCAAACGTATTCTGCTTAGGTAGTAAAAATCTTCTTGATGTAAGAACAAGAAGTTCCTGAAGGTAAGTTCATGTTAGGGCAAAACAAACATTGAAGACATAGACTTGTTAAATGAAAAGCAGGATTATTTAAATAAAACCTTTGTGGTAGGAGAAAATTGGGGTGGGGGGCACACAAGAATGACCTTTAAATTTAGGGTTTATTAAAATAAGTAATATTTCTCAAAAGGGAAGCCATCTTGTAGGTTTCTCACATGGCACAGAGATGTTATCTTCCGTCATATGTCTATAAGCTTTCCTTTTATGTAGCAAGCTCGACCTTTGGAAAAGTTAGAGAAATAGCTCTTCTGTTTGGGATATTTTGTAGATGACCATTTATGTACTTTATTTAGTCCACATCCTTAATCACTGAAGGTTTACATACTTAATCATTGAGATGTTTGGACTCCTTTCATTTTGTTTTTGGTTAATTAAGTCAGTTTGTTGCCACAAAATAGTAACTAACTTATGCTAAGACTCTCAGTGGCCATGAACTATTACTCCACAATAGGAATCTTTAGGTCTGAGATTTTTTTTCACCTTTTCTTAACAGTAGATTTATGTATCGAAATATAAGTCATTGCACTTATTGACCTTATTTATTGGCCTCACCTTGAGTTGAGCTCATTATACTTAATTTCCTGGTTGTCACGTTTAATTATTAAGACCTGTTTTTAACAACAGTAAAAAGAACTCAGAAAGCCAGATGAGTTTTTAAATGAACTCTCTAGAAGTGGTCATAACCATTGCTTTTTTTCTAAGCTGAGCCACGTTACTAGATAATATTGTTTTGCTTTTGAAATTACATGTTACCCAGTGACTGATGATTGAATCATTCCTGTCCAAACTGTGTGACCTCAGTTCTTTACTCTTTGACATATGAGACAAAACCTTAATTTCCTTACCAACTTTACCTAGTAGGAAACTTGTAGGTAGAAAGATGCATGCCCTTTATCTGTGGTTGGAATTCTTTTATCGAATCTCAGTAACAAAGTAGATAATACAATAAAATAAAGGAAACATTAACTTTGACAGAAAATTCCAAACACGTAGCTTCATGAAACTTTTTTTCAAGAGTTAGTTCTAGAATTTAACAAATAATTGAGGCAGAGGATGTATGGAATTCCTATGTAGATATCCTTACTTATCCCAAACGCTGTACTGGGAATTAGTTGAATATGTCTTAATCACACAACAATATTTTGACCTCTACTTAAAATATGAGGAAATTGAATTCCAGAGAAGGATCAGTGTCTTCCCAGCTCTATCTGTATACTATATGGCTGCTCTGGAAGCAGTGTACGTGTTATTCCAAACCTTTGTCCTATCTATGACCATCTATTTAAACATGTGGAAAAAGAACATTTTTATCAAAGCAGAGATAAATGTTACATGATTATATGTAGACAGGTGGGTCTGAAAAGTACCTGGTAAAAAGGTTCTAATCCTCTGATTCAGGGACTAAGGAGAAACCTCCTGAGAAACTCAGGAGCCAGTTGATGCTACTGAGATCCCAGCGCCACAGATATTCACCTTTGCTCAGACTCAGAAAAGGCTTTGTCTTCTAAGGGGTGAATGGTTTTGGTATAGTTCAAGTCTTTCAGATTCCTTCTCTGGATGGCCCCTGTTTGAATAACTCCAATGTCCTACTGCATTGCCTAAGGACCCTTTGTATAACAATGTGAACCTGGGCTGTATTGGAAGTAAAGAAAACGTGACTTGCATGAAGTCCCTCTCCCATGCCAGGTGCATTGATAGTCAGACCTGCCTCAGATTTCACGGTTAGACTGTACACGTGCATCCTTAACTTTCATGTAACTTCCTCGATTATGCTAGAAGTAGTCTAAGGAATGATTCAGCCAACTCATGAGGATTTCTCATTTTCCCTCGGGGGTGCTTCCTTGGGAACATGAGACAGGGCCCTGCCCCCGTGGTACCCTGCGACACTGCCTTGCCCCTCTCTCTCATTGCTCCCCATTGGGATGGAGATCTCCTAATCACCAGGGGCTTGGTGCTACCTCTTTCATACCTAGAGAGGCCCAGACATTGATTGCCCTTCCCTGCTCAGGTGCCATCCCACCTACCTGATGTTTATTTTGCCCCTTCTGTGGGTGTGACGCTCCACTTTCTCACGGGCCATATAGAGTATGGGTATAGAGAGAGCAGAGAAAGAGACCCTTTTCCCACACCCCTGTCCAGGTTATCCTTTCCTGGTTATATTCCAGGTTCATGTGGAGAGGTTGGGGGTAGGGCAGAGGTCAAGCTAGGGTAGACACCTCTTGCTGGGTGTCAGAATCCTGTGCAAGTTTATCTGCAGCTGGTGCATTACCTGCAATTCTCATTTGTTTTAGAAGTGGGTACCTCCTAGTACTTTGTTGCTTGTAAAATATATTCAATGCCATTCACATTGGTTAACTTTAGCTATCTCTTTTTTAAAATAATTTTTAAAATTTCGCCAGTGATGGTTTTGAAGGTTTTGCCAACTTTGTTTCTTTTCAGATGAATGCTTGTACTTGGTCCCTTTAGTATCTGGGAAGCTGGATGCAGTGATCCCAGCTACTCAGGAGACTGAGGTCGGGGGATCACTTGAGTCATCTGAGGCTAGGAGTTCAAGACCATCCCGGGAAAAGTAGTGAGAGCCTCCCCCTGCCATCTCAAAAAATAAAAGATTAGCCCTGTGTGGCAGCATGGGCCTGTAGTGGCCATGATCACACCACTGCACTGCAGCCTGGGTGAACGGGCAAGACCCTAACTCTAAAAAACAGTACAAAACAAATGAATATTTTGGAAGTAGGTGCTATTACCCTATAACTTACGAGAAGAAAACTGAGAGGTCATACAACTAGAGAGTAAGGCAAGATTCAAACCCAGGTTTCTGTAATCCCCTAACTTATTTTTGTTACATTACTCATGCTGCTATTCCAGCATTACACATAACCCTTTACTGAATTCGAAAATCAAACTGAATGGAAAATTGCAAATGTGAAGAGAGGGGTATTAATCTATGTAAATTTATATTTGATACTAAGTTTACTAAAGTGAATAGCCAATTTATGGGTTATAAATAAGAGAATCTATCCCAATGCTGTGTTCAAAAATGACAGAGACAAATAATACATTCTTGCTAGTATGGGATTTACCTCTCTAGAGGTTTACAAAGCAGCTCCTTATGGAAAGGAAGAAAGATCATAAAAATGCTAGTAGGTTATCTCGTTGGGTGGAGTTGTAAGAATTATGAAATCATGCAGAAGGGTGTAGCACACATCTGGCCTTTTATGAAGTTAGGGGAAAGTGTGACATTCATTCCTGTTTAACATGTTAAATTACATATTTGATCATGAATGTTTTTCTTCCTTACTTGAAACATTTTTCTCTACATATGTTTTCTGAGAATAAATGGATACCTCTGCTATACTGGTGAAAGTCATGGCTGAAGTTCATGCCTTTCAGTTTGTCTACAAGGAATATAATAAGAGCCTGTCGTAGTTTACAGTTCTATTCAAATAGAAATTCTTTGGCTATTGGAAATGTGTTTACATTCATGTCTATTGCTCATAAATTTTCGTTTTTGGGAAGCCTGTTCCAATCTAATGAGAAGTGACAGGATTCTCTCATTGTCAGCCATCTCAACTTGGTCACCCTTAGTCTTTCTTTTAGTTAACATTCCTTGCAGAAATTACACAGTTGTTATTAATGAGGCTAAGTTGGGGAGATCCTTCACATTTTTCTAATACAGAGTATCATTTGGATGTTGACTTTTGTTAAAGAAATTGGCTATTACATTCTGCAAATTTTTGTTTGTTTTCTTTGGCATTTACAAATTTCCTTTTGTCCCTAGCTTCATGATTAAAACTATACATCCATCTCTTGTGGGATTTGGATTTGTCTCTGTTGAAGAATGGTTAAAAATCTAACATATCCCTTAAAAATGAGTCTCCATGTTAGTGGGAGATGGTTTTCTTTATCTTTGTCTATGTTTTGAGAGACCAGAGAGGTCTCTGGAAACTACCTTATGTTTGGTGAGTTTTTTTAATTCGATTTTTTTTGCCCCTCAGTAATACAGATTGTGCTTCCCCTCATTACAGATTATTGCTCCACCTCGGCAGACAGAATCTCATTGTGTGTGTGTGTGTGTGTGTGTGTGTGTGTTTCTATATAGTCCACAGGGGTGATCCTCAAGATGTTTAACCACTTGTGCATCAAAGGCCCTGACTAATCTGAACAGTCATTCTGGCCAATGACAAGTGACATTGGCTGTAAATGGCTGGATGACTCTGTCCATGCACAAGGGTTGAGCTGTCGCTGGTTGGAGATATTTGTGGAGTATCTGTCTCAAATAACTTTTCTATCTTTTTTTCTTTTTACTAACTGTGCAATCAGTGTCATAGATTGTAGAAAATGCTGACAAGAGAGACCATAGCAATAGTCATTTAAAGACACACTGATGAAAGAATTATAAAATAGCTCCTAAGACATTTTCATTGGGAATTGTAATAATTAAATGCTTCAGTGCCATTCAAAAATGCTTTTATTAGATATTCGGTATATTCAGTTCCACTTTTGTGTTGTACTTTTTGGTCATTCTTTTTTCTGTGAACATAACAGAATTCACAAATATTAATTTCTAGCACTTGTATTTAATGTGAGAGTTAACTACCTTGTATTTAAGATAAAGTTAACAAAGCAGAAAGATTAAATCTGAATGCTGTCAGGTCAGTGGTAAATTTAGGATCAAGGTTCAGAATAAGACAGTTCATTTACAATCCTGATTTTCCATGTTCCTCTGAAGTCCAGGCACAGGCTCTTTTCTAGGTAGACAGGAATGTTTATTTAAACATTTTGAAGTGATTTATTAAAGTGGACGCATCAGTATTTTCTGTATGCATGTGAAATCCTTGAGAGATTACACAATTAAAAAGGAAATAGATGAGACCTCGCCCTTTACAGGACCCAAATTCCCTTTAGCTGAAAGCAGGCTTGGAGAAAGAGATTAACAATTTTTAAAGAGGAATGCAATCTGTTTATGTTTATTTCATTTTCTCCACAAGAGATTCTTTCTCACAGTCAGAACGTGTGGCTTAGCACTACCTAGGGAGCTTGTTTGCCTCCATTTTCTTGTTTACTTAACAGAGAATGGGAGGCAGAAGTTAAAGCCCAGCAATGTCTTTTAGCTACACTTTGTATTAGTACTTCCATCTTCCTCTTCTTAACTAGGCTACAGGGACCAGATTGTTATGGATCCTTTCTTCCTGAAGGGCAGAGAAAGAGGAGGTGAGAAACACTGTGACCTCACTGTTCCCTGTTAGGTCCAATCAAGGCGTGGGGAATCATATTTCTCATGGGGATTAGGGAGGTATTCTTTGAAGGTAGGACTGCTTTTACCAGATAGATGCTACTAAGAAAAATGCTGCATTATTTTTTGCTGGCAAAAGAAGGGCAACTAGTGAAATGCAAGGCAAGTAGCTTGAAGTAAAGTTATAATGAACTGAAAGACTTAGTAAGGAGGAAATTGCATTTTTTGGCAAAAGGAAATTAGGTGCTCCCTTTTATTTTGGGTTAATTGGGAATAGTTTGGTCTGAACTAGAGAGAAAAGTGGAGTAACATTTTAATTTACTTCAGCTTTATTATTTTAAAAGTCACAGTAATTTGTTTTAATTCTGACTTCTTTATTCTGTGAATTCCTTGCCAAATTGTTTTTTAACAGAAGGCATTCAAGAGGAAGCCCTGACAAGATTGCTTAAATTAATAGAGAAGATACATTTATAATTAGTATTTATATTATAGGAGTTAGAGTGCTAAAAACAGACGTACTGTATTATTTATGGCATACTGGATAAAAATGCTGGTGCTGGAAATAGAGGATCCAGGTTCAAATCCTGGCTCTGCTACCTCCTGGACTTTGAGCACTGACACTTATTCTTTCTCTGCCTCAATTTCCTCATCTCTAAAATGACACAGTCCGTATAGCTAGGCCATACAGCTGTTGTGATGAGGACTAACGTAATCTAAGCTCCTTAGAATCGTGTCTAGCTCAAAGCAAGTGCTTTATAAATGTGGGTTGTTATTACTCAGTAAACTTCAGGCTTTTAATACTACTAATATTTTTATCATTCCCTGTCTTGTGGATAAACTTGTCTCATCTATATTAAATTATCACATCCTAACTTACCAGTGTTCAAAGAGTGTTTTTAATTTTTTTTTTTTCAAAATATTTTGAGAGCTCCCATCATCTGTAGTTTTCTTCCACTCTCCACCCACCTCCTGCCACCAAGCCTTCATTAAAAGAACAACCGCTGTATTAATTATCATAAGGAACACAGACCTTGACTGGCTTTTCACTTGTGTGCTTTTACTTCCTTGGCACACAAACCTGGATGTTAGAGAGAAGATGGGTTTGGGGATAGCAGAGACCTTTTCAGTATAAGGTGAGGGTAAGACTGAGCTACAATGTTATATTCAGTTAAAGTAACTGCCTCTTTTGTTACTTGCTCAGAATGACCAGGGAGGTGAAGATTGAACACAGGGATCATTGGGCAAGGCAGAATTAATTCTTGGAGAACTTTACAACACACTGCATTATGGTTTTGAGAGGTCATCAGAGTGCTACTTAATGTTCTTATTGTACTGGGTATTGTTTCCCATATTGAATCCCAAAGTGCTCTCAGCTGCTGTTAGTTGCCAACCCTTTTTGAACCAGTTTTCTATTCCTTTCCCTCCCTCAGTTGCCCAACCCCAGCTCTCTTACTTTATCCTTCTTCTAGATCTTTGTGCTCCACATTTCACTCCCTGTACTCCCTTCTCACCACCACCCCCTTTTGCATTTTTTATGGTAAATAAAATAATTGTTCAGTGTAAGCCCACTGGGGCAAGGCAGCATTTGTTATTGCATATCTTTTTGGTAACATAAGCTGCAGAAGAATGATGAATACTATTTTATTTACAAACAATATACAAGTAATTCCACTTAACTGGAGATAACAGCTTAGGTTGCTTTCTGATTTAACCTCCTTGCTATTTCAGATAAGAACCTACGTAAGCTTTCACTTGAGTGGGCATTTTGCCCAAAAATTGACCCTTTGATAGTGAGCAGTCTCAGGGCAGTTCTGTATTCCATTGGTGCCATTAGCCTTTAGTATGCATGGTGAAAAGTAGCATATAGGGTTGGCTCTATCCCAGTTTGGAGCCTAACTGAAACTTGCACAAGTATAAGAGAAAAAACAATTGAATCAAAGCCACATGGTCTAAAAACAGGTTCCCCTATTAGAATGGAAAGTTTTTGGTTAAGAATCTTTCTTTCATTTAATTGATATTGATATTAATTATAACAAACAAGGGTGTTGGTTACAATTTTACAGTGCCCAGTTATCTTGCCAAATAAAGAATGGACTGGTGTTGGTTGTGATGAAGAATTGTTGTGTTGTATATATGGGCAAGGGAATACACATGTATCATATTAGAAATGAGAACATTTGTCACTCCTAAACACTCTAGCCAGAAAATGAATCCGTTGAAAATCTTATTTACACATATGTTGGTAACATTCATTACTTAATTCTAAGTTCGTGGCTCTGCTTTTAGTGAAGACAAATATCTATGTGAAAATAAAAATATTTCTCAGCAGGGCCCTCCACACAGCGATGCCTCTGTTTCATTGACCTTTGTGAAAAAGGTGCTGGCTCTTGAATTCATGCATTACTGTTCTGCACGGGGAAAAAAAAGAAGTAGTAATATCTCCTGTGAAGGGTTCTTTTGAAGATCACACATGTAATGCATGTAGAATATGGTAGCATTTCAAAAATGACAGTTGGTATTATTTTAAGAAAACAGATTTTATGGAAAAATTTGGGGAAAAAAATCACCTCTTTCTTACTGATCTCTTGTCTTCATGCTCCTGATACTCCAAACTAGCAGCTGCATTCACTTACTCTCTTCTGCTGAAAATGCTATGATGATAGTTGCCCCTTACTGTTACCTGGAATGGCTGGCACCACTGTAGTCCCCATTAATAGAAATAGAAGCAGTATTCTCCATTAATAAAATATGATCACTCTCCGTTAATAAAAATACCCACTGAATATTCTCCATTAATAAAAATTGGACTACTTAGGCATCTCACATAGTCCTAGCCTTTCCATTCTTAACAAGCTAAAAAAAAGCCAATTTAACCCAAAAAGTGGAAGCAGACATGTGTTAAAAGAATACATATTTAATATACAAACATATGTGCACACATACCTACGCATGTGGAAATTCAAGCACCATGTCCTTTATTAATGGAAACCAATGTCTCCAGAAGGCAAGGCACAGCACTCAGAAACATAGTAAAGTTAAGAAAAGATAAAAGAATATGGCAAGTGTACATGTAAAAGGAGATAAAGGGGGTTATGGGGCTGGGAGGCAGAGCTAGGGTAGATAGGGGAAGGCTGAAGACAGGTGAGAACCTTGCTAGTTAAGTAATGCTAGGCTGCTGGTCGATGATACCAAGCAAAGTGAAGAAATGAGAACAGACTCACAGATAAAGCGGTATTAATTGAGTAGTCTTGCTTGAAAGAAAGAAGAGAAGGAAGTCTATAGGCTGCAAGGAGTTCAGTAATCACAGGGTATGTTTAGTTATATGTATTTTTTCTTTTAATAATCTGATGTTATGAAGTCATCTAGGGAAGGTAAATGCTTTGGAAAAGGAAGTAGTAATGAGGGGGAAAGTCTTAGAAAGTCAGACCATGGCATGGGTTGGTGGATTCTTTATAAGTATTGAATTTCCTGTCTAGGAGGTAGGCTTCTGACTTTGTGTCTTATAAGTGAGGTGACCTATCAAGCCCTTTGCTGTGATGTCTGCTGCTTTCCTGCCTGTTTTATCTCCTGGATGCCTAGAATAATCTGAGAGGAGACAACAGAAATCAAGCATATGTTCAATACAAAGGCCCCATGAAATCTGCAAGCCTGCTGTGCATCAAGTCAATGTAATTCATTTATTTTTTTAAAGGGGTGATGATACACTCTTTCCTCTAGATGAAAAATTACAGAGCTCATCTGAAAAGCCCTCTCTTTGGGGAAAACATTCTGCCTCTTTTTTTGTTCCCTATATAGCCTCTTTATTGTCTATGGTGAATAAAGAAATAATAACATGAACTGAATACCCATAAAGAGAAAAAATTGATAAAAGCAGAACTGATTGTGTGATTGTGATAATGAACACAAAGATAATATACAAAATGTACATATGGCATTAAACTAGGAGAAACAATTCCTTTGTAGTTTTTTGCAACTGTCTAAAATACGGATTATAGCTAAATCCTATTGTATGTTTAGACCAGAGGCTAGAACTGGTGAAGCCTATCACAGAAGGGGCCACTGTGAAAGCTGATCTCTGTAGGATCTAGTAAGTTAGCTGCTGTGATGCTTCTCCCAGAATTATCCCAAAATAATAGCTTTACTTTACTCAAAGAGTAATTTTCCTAGTTATCAGTAAGACTTTTGTTGGTCATTGTAGATTTTTGTTATACTTGCAATGAGAAAGATTTACAATTGACATATTAATACTATGCTCTATTGAGATTTGGCTTCAAGCTGTCCAATAATCCTCATCATCCTTGATTTTTTTAGTGTGCCCCCCAGAAAATATTTTCAGACACTTTTTTTTTTTATTATACTTTAAGTTTTAGGGTACATGTGCCCATTGTGCAGGTTAGTTACATACGTATACATGTGCCATGCTGGTGCGCTGCACCCACTAACTCGTCATCTAGCATTAGGTGTATCTCCCAATGCTATCCCTCCCCGCTCCCCCCACCCCACCACAGTCCCCAGAGTGTGATATTCCCCTTCCTGTGTCCATGTGATCTCATTGTTCAATTCCCACCTATGAGTGAGAATATGCGGTGTTTGGTTTTTTGTTCTTGCGACAGTTTACTGAGAATGATGATTTCCAATGTCATCCATGTCCCTACAAAGGACATGAACTCATCATTTTTTATGGCTGCATAGTATTCCATGGTGTATATGTGCCACATTTTCTTAATCCAGTCTATCATTGTTGGACATTTGGGTTGGTTCCAAGTCTTTGCTATTGTGAATAATGCCGCAATAAACATACGTGTGCATGTGTCTTTATAGCAGCATGATTTATAGTCATATGGGTATATACCCAGTAATGGGATGGCTGGGTCAAATGGTATTTCTAGTTCTAGATCCCTGAGGAATCGCCACACTGACTTCCACAATGGTTGAACTAGTTTACAGTCCCACCAACAGTGTAAAAGTGTTCCTATTTCTCCACATCCTCTCCAGCACCTGTTGTTTCCTGACTTTTTAATGATTAAAAAGTCATTAAAAAGTCAGACACTTTTTTTCTGTCTCCTAAAATCCCCTTCTTTCCTTCCCCCCAACATAATTATTTTCTTCTCTAATAAAAACCAGTCATCCTGCCTCACCACCCCTCATCCGGTTTTCTCTTTAGCTTTACCTGTCTCTCCTATGGACCCACAGTCAGAGGAAGGGGAAGAGTACCTCTCCTCTGAGCCCAGTTTCTTGACATCCACAAATGAGATCCTTTCTCTCTGCCATAGGGTTCTTTCTGTGTTAGTCATCTTGCTTCTAGGAATTTATAGGTGACTTTTAACTTGGGAAAAACCTCCTTTGACTCAAATATTCATTTGTTATTCACTTAGCGGATGTTTAATACTTATATCATGTAGCACTGGTTGTTGGCAAGCAATTGAAACAGATTTTGGTTATCTTGAACAAAAAAGGAATGTACTGGAAGGCTATGAGATTATCCATAAAATGGGTAGAAAAGATTAAGGATCTGGCTCTGCAGATGTCATAGGCCAGAGCGGCTCAGGTGAATCCAGGTGACAGGGACTACAGTAAATCTCTTCTGGGGTAAAACAACTTTAACCAACATTAACTTGGCCTTTGTATCACATTTTTCAAAACTTCAGTTCCAGGAAGTGACTGTCTGATTGGCTTGGGGCACTATCCCATCCCTAGAGATGAGAAGTAGGGGGAACCTGGATTGACAATCCCATCAGGACTGTATCCAGTTGGGGGAAGTTAGTTTCTAAAAGGAAAATGAAAATGCTATTGCCAGGAAAAAATGAATGGGAATCAGGGAAGCAAAACCAGTAACTTGTCACTGTAGCTCATAATATGTCAGGCAGTCACTATCCTGGTCTTTGAAATAGACAAATAAAGGAAAACTAACATTTACTAAAAGGAAAAAAAAATTGATGAAAGTGGTAGAATTGAAGGTAAGATTGCAATAATAAGCCCAAAGATTAAATACATTGTACATATATCATGAAATATATAGGAGAAATATTTCCCCTTCAAAGATGACAGAAGTAACTGTCCAAACATATGAATAAATCATGGCACAGTCATACCATCTTGTCCCAGTGCTTAGATAAGAGATTGGAACTGGTCCAAGATGAGGGAGACAGTACCTGTCCTCAAGGAGCTCACAGTCAGTGGGGAAGTCAGATGTAGAATAGGTCATTTTAGGAAAATAAAATTGAAATAGAAAGCTACTGATCCCATGGCACATGGAGAAGGTGCATCTAATCTTAGAACGGGCTGATTCAAAGAAGGTTTCCAGGAAGAAAAATCTCCAAGAAGTTGAAATCTAAGAAGAAATTGTCTGTGTTAGGGAGAATGGTGTAGCAGTAAAGAAGGGCATTCCAGGAAGAGAGAATAGACAGGGAAGTGAGAAACAATGCATATGTTGAAGAACCATGGTGATTTTGTAAAGAAGGGATTTGAGGGAGCAGAGGTTGGGGGTGGAGAGCTCTAGGCATTGTGATACCACTGAGGAGCATCGCAGAGAGGGCCAGTAGGATGAGGAGTAGGAATGCCTGTTAGTTTTGGCAGATAGGAAGCCAGTGGTGAGCTGGTAAAGAGAAGTTTGAGTTGAGCAGAGCATGTAGAAACCAGATGATGGTGACCCAGGAGTGAATGGGAGGGAAGGAAGTTGATAGGAAATGGAGACTTCTGTGCAGAATGGTTTGGGTGAGAAGGAGCTAAGGGCAGTTGGCTCACAGCTGGAGAGGACTGTGGAGGGAGGGCTGTACTTTCCTACACTGAAAGGATGAAGTCAGTAGAGGGAAAGATTGAAGACACAGGGGAAGAATGATACCTAATGATGAAAGTAAAAGGAAAGAATGTTGTCCTGAAGGGTAAAAGATGACTTATTTTCTGATACTAGAGATCAGAACATAAGAATAGGTGTTAATCTATAGGAATCTGTGGGCAGAAGGAGAATGTTGAAAGATGCCATTATGGGTAGCCTCCATTTTTTCACAGAAATAGAAGACTAAAAATACCTTGGAATTAAATAAAAACCAAACACCTGAGTTCAGATTCTGGTTCCACAATATTGCTAGGTGACCTTATACTCTGAGCCTCAGTTTCCTCATCTGTAGAATGGAGACATTGCAGAAGTTACCTTAAAGGGCTATGATAGATAGTGTAATATATGTAAAATAGCAAATACTGTCTCTGATGCTTAGTAAGTTCTTAATAATGTAACTATTATTACTAGCATAAGAGTATGTGACCATAGCATTAATGAACTACTTTATAATATACATGATCTCATGTTTATGAAAAGATTCTGGAACTAGTGATTCCAAGCTCTGCCATTTATCAGCTTTGATGAGTTTGGGAATGATAATAATGTCAATCTTATAGGGTATTATGAGGATTACATGAATTAATTCATATAATACACTCAGTGAGGATTCTGTAACTGTCAGATATTGTTAGCTCTTTTATTTTTATTCAAGGTCCAAAGAGCACTTAGCAGTATATATTGTTATCTCTATTTTGTAGGAAAGGAAGTCAAAGTACAAGAGAGTTAAATGACTTACCCAGAGCCAGATAACTAGCAAATGGCAGAATTGGGCTAAAACCAAGATCCTTTGTATGTCCAAAGTCCATTCACTTGCTATTACACTGTGACTGCGGACCCACTGCCAACCTTTGACCTTTAGCATCTGTTTACCAATACTCTGAATTGCTCATCATCACATAACCTGTGAGCTAATATTGACCATGAGCTTCCAGGCCCATCCTGGAGTTCAAATTCTGGTTCTACAATTTAATAGCTAGGTGACTTTATACTAGAGAATGGATTTGAGGGAGCAGAGGCTGTGGGTAGAGAGCCCTAAGCACTGTGGTAGCCTCTAGACCACTAGCTTCCAGGCTCATCCTGGAGTCCTTCCCAGTTCCACGCTGACTCCAGATTCTTGGCTTGCCTTTTTGACCTGCGTGTAGAGCTCCAGCTACTGACAGTCTACATGTCCATGAAGCAGCATGAGAGTAAACAAAAATCTGATTCACCCAAGGGTTGTTCTACAAGTACCTGCTGAAGGTTGCAAATACTCAAGAGAGAGAGGATACCATCATACCTGCAAATACCAAGTGCTCCATTTGTTTCTGTGAATGTGGTGAAAGGAATCTCTCCCGGCCAGTTCCAATGATGCTGCACATCTGTGCACACTCTACCTACATGCCTGTCTGCATTTCTTTCCCATCGGCATGACCTGTTGTTTTACTGCAACATGAATCAGCACTTTGGAAACACTCAAAGACTTACCATTTGGATTGTAGTGTGGATGCTTGATGATAAAAGTCTGACTTTGCTTCTACTCTTGTAGCAAGTCGGATGGGAATCTCAGTTCCAAATGTTACATAACATCATGACCTTTCTTTGATGTATTGTGCTGTAGCAGACAAAGGTACTTAAGGATCAACATCCAGAATATTTCAAACCAAACTTCTTCTTCATAGCAGGATTAGGAAACGAATGAGCCTTCTGTGCAGTCCAGCCTTACCATATGAAATAAAACTCATGTGAAAACCAGATTCTCTGTATTTAGAAATGAGGTTCTTTGGGGTCAGGTTTTATTTAATTTAAGTACACTTAGGTTTTACATTCAAATCGTTTTCCCACTTCATGGCCTTAAAGAGTCAACTATTGAAGTTGGAAAAAAGGATTCCAATAGTGTTTAAAAACAATTAAGCTGTAGAATGTCAATGTTTGGGCACCTAAAAAGAAAATATTTCTTTTGATGATTATAAATGTAATCACTTATATACCGAAGAAAGGGTCCATATGGACCACTTAATTTATTAATGTTTTAAAGGAAAGCAATTTTCATTCAACTGCTGAGGAAATGTTTCAGCTAGCAATAAAAGGGTTTCATATGCACATGGAATGATTTTGCAATATGGAAAGGATATGGAGGGAAGAAAAAATATAAAGACCAGAAATGTTAAACAGAAAATTTGAAGGAAGGACAGGAAGGAGACCAGTGAAAGGCTGAGGGATGCCATCTTCAGGGAGGGAAGGGGCTTTATTTCTGAGCTCTGGCTGCTTCCATAGGAAGCAGATTCAGAGCTCCTTCTGCAGGTGGTAAGGGGACTCCTACAGATAGCCTAGGCTCAGCTCAGACACTGACGTGAACCCACAAAGCAAGTGAAGGCACAGAATGATGTGGGAAGCAAAGGCGGGGACCTGCCACATGCCAAGGGGAGAGTGGAAAGGTGCACAGAGGTAAATTGCATGTGTGTGTCACACACAGGTGTTTGTTATACTCAGTTATCTCACACCCATAGCATGACAATTTTAAGCCAGATTTACTAACCTGAGACCTGGGATTCTTACATATCCCCTCTAGTAACAGTAGGGAAATGATGTTTGTCAGTCTCCTGTAGGCTTTAGAGTGCTACCTTTGATGCATTACAGGGTATGACTAAAGATAAGAACTCAGTACTTTTCTTGGAAAATGTGGGAAATTAGTATTATTTATTAGAAGAAGGAGCATTAAGACAGCAGAGCTCACAAAAGCATTGACTGAAGGAGGAAAATTGAATCAAAATTTAGGTGCCAAAAAGTGAAGACGTACCAAATGTAACTGACTGTTTAAAAATATCTAATTCTACCATTCATTTACTTGGCAAATATTTTAAAATGCTGACTATGTGTTAAGCACTGTACTGGGCCATTTATATATAATGACAAGTAAGAGAGACAAAGTTTCTGACCTCATGGAATTACTTATTCACAGATGAGTAAGTAGGTGGTGACAGTGAAGTTTGATCCGTGCTCTGACGGTAGCTTACGCTATAATGAGGGCGAAGATTCAAGAGCACATAACTGAGTTTATAGAATATCATGGAAAGCTTCTTAGGAGAAGTCACACTTAAATGATAACTGAAGGAGAGAAGATAGTGAGGCAAAGAGATGGGAGACAAGTCTATAGGGAAGAATGAGTGGCAGAGACCTAGAAAACACTTCAAAGGCCTGCACAGCTCACTAGAGAAGTGTGCAGAAAAAACAGACAACTGCTACAGAAGGAAGCTGAAGGATGAGACATGGCCTTTATTGAGCACCTACTGTGATCTTTAAATACATTATCATATTTAATTTTCCCAAGCACAACTTGCTTTCATTTAACAGTTGAAGGAAAAAGAAGTACAGGGAGAATAAGTAGCTTGACCAAAGACACACAGCTTATTGCCAATCCAGTCTATAACTCAGCCCCAACAGGTCCCTTAGCCTTTGTTCTCCCCTCCATACTACTTTATCTCTCTTGGTTTTAAGGAAATAATAACTTGTTTTATGACTATGACTGTCTACATTACCAACCAAGTAGGTCTTAACTTTTAGGTAGTAACAGATCTTTGCTATGAAGCATCACATCTGGTAGACAGTGAAAAAGTGAGTGATAGGAGTATGGAACGTAGTGATAGGAATGTGCTAGAGGCAGAACAGTCTTTAGTTTCTTTGGATCTTTGGCACATCACCTAGCCTTTAGGTGAGTTTACTAAATCCAGTTCAAACATGGCCTCTTCTCTGCCTCTCTTCACTGCCCTGCAGAATGCATTGCTTCCTGGTCTGTGATCACAGGACATTTTATATTATGGTGAGTTTTGCATAGGTCATGTCTTCTACCAGTCATAAAATCTATCTCATAGACTTATTGATATGTGGGAGAGAGTATGAGATCATGTATGTGTGAATTCCTAGTGTAAACTACACAATGGTAAAGTACACCATATATATTCGGTGACTGCAGTAATGAGGTGGTAAATTTGAACAACCACCACTCGGGAAAAAAAAAAGAAAGCTACCTTATAGTGTTTGCTAATATTCATAGTGTAAATACCCAATTTCAAGCTACGAATGTGATATCACTGAGTGTGGACTTGGGAAGAGATGTGCTAGAGCAGTCCATTGTATAATATTTTACACTAGAGGTTAATAACTTCAACAGCATAGAAACATAGTAAAATAATTAGGACATTCTGTTTTGAGTACTTATTACCTTTAATTTTAATATAATTAATTGCAAGCTTATAGAATTTAATTTTTAGTAATGACTATGTTAAACAGCTCACTAAGTTCCTGACAATTTCACAGTTGGCCCTTTGGAGCTGGTAGCAGCTGGCTCCAACATACCAGTGAATTCTGAGTGTCTGACAGGAAGATTCTTGTGTTCAACTTTGTATTTTCAGTGCTTAATACATGTCCTGGAACTTGGAAGTTGTTGGGTAAATCGATAAATTGATGAATAAAATAATGAAAAATGCCAATGTAAAACCAAGTTAGTTACGCATGTGAAAAAGACCTTGGATATATCCCATGGTCTCTCTTGGCCTCAGATTCCTCATCTGTAAGTTGAGGAGCTTGGATGGATTTGATTGATTTGATTAACTTCAGTGTTCTTCTAGCTCTCACATTCTATGTGTTCTAATGACCAGAAGCAGAGTCTGTGATTATGTCAACTGTTTTCTTAGCTGCATACTTACATTGTGATGACGACATTTTACCTCATTTGGGACTTAAGTACTAAGTGAATAGGAGATTCAGAACTGATTTACTTTATCTTGAACAAAAATGAAGACTACCTAATTTGCTTTGTTTCACTGTTGATCATTAGATCGTTTGTCTAGATTTGCTGGAACAGGGCATCATCTTATGCTCTTACGTATTTGGATTTCATGGAAAAATCGGGCTCATTTTTAAAGTGGTAGAAAAAAAGAAATAAAAACAGAGAAATTCCCCATTTTCAAATGTTTAAAGCCTAAAGCTAACTTTTTGGAGCTGTGAGCCTAGGATTAATTTTGCCAAGCATTTCCTTTGAAGGGGAGATCAGAATAAACAATAGAGTGTTGTTAACACAGTTTAAGCCAGGTTCCTCAAACTCATCACAGAACTCCTTTTCCATACAAATTGCAGTAGCACCTCATGGAACATTGGTATTTTGTGGAACACAGCTTGGACAATGCTGCTCTTGATGTTTCTCTCTGATAACTAGCTGTGAAGAGGACCAGAAAAAAATAGCTTCTTGATATTTGCTTATGTCAGATAATTTATATTTTTGAACAGTTCCATGTTTACAGTTATTAACTTAGAAATCTACCTTTTCAGGTGTCATACTACCATATCATTAGCCAGCTACATAGTAAAAAGCAAAAACAGACGGTATGTTAGAGTCATCTTGGAATAAATGTAGAAAGACTAAGAAACACTTTCCTCATCCATTTCCTGAAGATATCCAGTATAATTTGCCGCTTTTGTCACCTTATTT
Source organism: Homo sapiens (assembly GCF_000001405.40). Taxonomy (NCBI): domain Eukaryota; kingdom Metazoa; phylum Chordata; class Mammalia; order Primates; family Hominidae; genus Homo; species Homo sapiens. The sequence continues at coordinate 18,007,568 of NC_000009.12, forward strand.
GTAAAGCGAGGCAGGTGGATTAGATAAGCCCCAGAGTGCATGATTTATACCCTTAACCCATGTAATCACTGCACTGGAGCTCTGGTAATGGGGATGATTATGGCACTGAAGCCTTCAACACATTCACAGAAGTGAAGGGGGAAGCAGAGAAGAGTATAATTAAGCTAAATGTTCTGATGTTCAAATGTTGACACACTCATTCATACTTACATCCAAAAGAATTAAAAAAAAAATTTCCCCTGGGGAGAATAGACTTGATTTACATGGTACTTCTTTCATTAAATTCAGTGAAGCCTGCAAAACTTGCTAATGAAGGAAAATTATGAAGTATTTTGGCTCAGTTAACTTGCTCTTTCCATAATAATTTGGCCTCAGACCATCTGACACATAATCTGAAGTAATCATATTTCAAAGAAATTGGCCCCTTATTCCTTAGCTTAAAATTCAAAGAAACATATTTTGCTCTAATTAGAAAGAAAAGAAGATATGATAACACTGCATTGGTAATTTCATTTTTATTGTGAGATATTTAGGTCATGTTAGACATGAGATTTTAAAATAATCTTAGATGTTTCCATTAGAGCTTCTCAATTTTGCTGAGGCAATTTACTCCTGTGTGACCCTCAGAAAATAGGTCTACATGAGATGTTTAACCAGTCTGTGAAATGGCTAAATAAGTTCTTGCTGTTCAGGAATTGAGATTTCCACATTGTCCTTTCCAATGTGTTCTCTGCTTTGCAGTCAGAGTGATCAATATTAACATGCAAACCTGATTAAAACTCAGCTTAAATCTCTTTAAAGAGATCCCAATACTCTTGGCATAACAAACAAACTTTTTTACCAAGGCTTTGAGGCCCTGCGTGATTCAGCTCTTGTCTGCCACTCTCAGCTTGAGTAAGTTAGGACAGGCTTTACATTTTGCTTATTGTTTATTCCATGGTATCAACAATCCCAAATATTAGGGGTTTAACACAACACAAATTACTCATGCAGAAGGAGCCACTCAGGTAGGCAGTGGGAATTTGCTCATTACAGTCTACACAGGGACTCAGGTTCACTATGCATCTCCACCCTGAACAGTGCAAGTTGTTTTACCTAAGGGAAAAAGAGCTCTCAATGGTCCCACCTTAGCAATTAGGTGCTCTGGCCTAGAAGTGACACTTGCTTAGAACTCATGGCCATCTCTAGTCACATGACCTCATCTACCTACAAGGGGACCAGAATGATGACAACACTTTAACTACCTCATTTGGGACTTAAGTACTAAGTGAACAGGAGATTCAGAACTGATTTACTTTATCTTGAACAAAAATGAAGACTACCTAATTTGCTTTGTTTCACTGTTGATCATTAGATCGTTTGTCTAGATTTGCTGGAACAGGGCATCATCGATCCAAAGGAAGAGAGGACTGGACATGGGTGAGCAGCAAGAATGACTATCACGAGCTCCATGTCTCTTGCTGGTTACTCTCCCCTGCAGATCTGCACTCTAGCTCTGCTGATATTGTCATTATTGTGTCATTCATGCCCTTACTCATTTCACCAGATCCCATTATTCAACCAGTTCTTGCATGCAGTTCACTCATTCATTCCTTTCTCTTTCTCCTCCCCAATGTTGCATTAATATTCAAAATATTCTTCCTCTTCTTCCCTTCATCTTCCTATTTCTTCTTCTGTCTTCCTTTACAACTCAATGTTTCCATCATCTCTTTCAGGAGGCTTATCTAACTGTACCCAAAAAGCTGGCTTGTCATCCATTCTCTGGTCTTTATGTAAAACCTTGTACTCACTTCTAATAGAAACCTAAACACTGCACTGGAAATGCTTACTTGCCTATTTGCCTCACAGCACAGTGTAAGTCTCCTGTCTTATTCACTGCTGTACTCTGAGTACCTTGCATAGTGCCTGGTGCAGGGCCAATTAATAGGCATTTAGTTACTCTTTGCTGTTTCAGTGACAAGAGATTATTTATGGTGAAGAACTTAGCATAATTTTGGATAAGAGAAACTACTTTTTCTCTGGTTTTCAGACTTGTTAAAAATTTATATAATGAGAGATGTGTTGGTTTGTTTTCTGGATAAGAACAATACAGAGAAGGAATTTTGGATATTCCAGTAGCTGAAAATTTAACTAGCCACACAGGCTAGAGGCATAGGCATTGGAATTTAGTGGTAGTGTGTAAGATCAAGTTTAAATTCAAAGAAGAATATTCTAACTTAATGGTCATTATGAAGCCAAAGGAAATAGTCACGAAGCAATTCTGCTTGTTCTTAGGATCCAGGCTTGCAGATATAGGTACTCAGTCACAAACATGCCAATTTTCTTTAATTACATGATTTTCCTTCTCTGAACATTTAGAAGATAGAAGACAGATACTATAAACATTTCTCGCTCTTAACTTCATGAACTTCAGAAGAAACTTCGAACCCATGCATCAATGATATGGGAAATTTAAACTCAATCTAAGAATAATGCTTTCTCATCCCACAACTGATACTGTGTGTGGTTAAATTACCCATGGGGGCAGTCTAGAATACCAATCACTGTACAGTGACTGGTTATTCAAATTCAGTTTCACAATTTGCCAAGTTTTTCAGACGAAACTGAAGCAGCTCTGAGAATTAATATGATTGTTAAGGCAGATTCTTAAAGTTTAAGCATTAGAGATTAGCTCTGAGCCCTGCATAGTAGAAAAATTGCCAGAAAACTTAGCAAACAATAACATATAATCAGAAAGCAAGTTTTCTATCCACACAGACATAATCACTTACATGTATATTACATGCTTTCAAATCTGGAGAGATTGTTACTAGAACATTAAACACTGGGGAGAACTATTTTATGGAAAAGGAACACATCGAAATAAAGGATTGAAGAACAAATAGTCTAATTCTGTAAAATACTTCACTTGGTTTTAAGGACCTGTCAGAGTCAGAACAGGGAGAGATTAATTGTGAACTAGAGTGAGTAATCCTGAGGGCACAATTCAACATCTGCTGAAGGATAGGTGTCAATTCCATGGGAAGTTAGAGAAGAGGAAACCCCTAAGTATCGTCAGTGCTGTTCTTGTGCTTGCTCAGCCCAGACAATGGACACAACCCTAAGAGAGTGGGTGGAGAGCTAGCTAAGCCAAATAGGACATGCAGGCCTAGATTTGTTCCATTTGGTCGATGTAATTCTAGACCTAAGGGTATTCTGCGCAATTACCAAACCCGACACCACCGTGCAATGTAGCCAGATTCTTCTAATTTTATATATCAAAAATGTAATACACAATTAGTTTTGCCTATGAATTTTATGTGATCACTGTATCCTGATATATAGTTACTTTGTGCACATTGTTTAGATATTTAAATAATTATAGAATTATTTTTTATTTGTATGATTTTATGAGTATTAAATTCTATAATTTCATTAGGCAATCAGTTTCTGAAAGACATGGCCCATGTGGCAAGTGAAAATTGCAGAATTCTTTAGAACACAGTCTTATATATCTTATAAATGATAAAAACGTGTAAGAATAAGAAAACCTCAGAAAATGACATGAAGGTGCTGAACTTTTCTCAGGAGTTTATAGCTAGCCTAGAACTAATTTTGGATCTTGAGACAAAAGAGGTATGTCAGAAAATATCTTCTGTAACCATGAAATTAAGTTGAAAGTAATTCAAGAGTTAATGTTTATGAAAAATACTACCTAAACTTTTGTTTGAACTACTCTCATAATCTTTGTCTCAAATACTACCTAAGGATTTTACCAGAAAAATGTTCAACTTAAATAAACTCTTATTGAGCCAGGAGTGGGACAGGCAAACAAATCTTACACCCAGTGGTCAGCAATGGTCTGTTTACCCCCTGCAAGTGGTGAAGAATGTCACACACTCATGCCTAGGAGAGGATGGAAGATGGCACGGAACCGCCCCAGCACTGATGCTGAGGTTCTCAGAATGAGAGAAAGCAGGTGGAAGTGAAGTCACAAGCTCTGGAAATCTGCCTTCTCACTCTCTTAACTCTTTTGCTAGATGGCACTTGAGCCTGCCACAGTCCAGGACCCAGCCGTAGCTGTCAAATAGAGAATATCACATGGTAAGCCATCTAAAACTTAATATTTTAGAGCTCAAAGGAGTGTCAAATATCATGGAGCCTCTTTCATTTTGTAGATGGGAAGGAAATCCAAAGCCTAAAGGGGTTTTGTGGCTTGCCCAAGCTCACACAACCAGTGCATAATACAGAAGTCAGGCTGTTACCTTCCAGCCCAGTGTATTTTACATGACACAATACAACCCATGAGTTGCCTTGAAAGGGGAACCTAGAATTACAAGGGTAGGGCAGCAATCGAAGAGAGTTGCCGGTATGGAGCTTTGGCAGAGTGTTCCCTCTTAGACATAGGGGCAATCCTCCAGGAAATGTTTCCCCAGTGTTAGCATTCAGAGTTCTAAAATGCTCATGGGGATATTTGGCCTTCAGAGTAAGAAGGTTCCTTCCATTTCTAGAGAAAGAAACAGGTTTGCCCTGGCAAAGGTCCAGGGGTTGCAGGTGCTCTTTGTGGGGTTACATTCATAAAAACTTGTCTTGTGAGAGAGAACCCCACCATGGCAGTGTCTCCCCAAGAACTCTGACTTGCAGGCCCCTGTGGCCAGTCAGAAGAGTAGCTTTGGGAAGGGTGGTGGCTTCTAACAGATGGCCCACATCTGACCACCAACTCAGATCCACTTTTATGAAAAAGTTGCTGCTTTCCAGGGTTTCTGGTGTGTGCATTCCAAGCAGGATCAAGAACATCTGGAGAACTTGGAATGAGGCTTGTGCTTAGGTCATGGCCTCTAGGCAAGAGATCAGCCCTTGAGTCACTGAAATCTTTTATGAAGCATTAGCTGTAGGTCTGGAAACAGCATTTAGGCAAGTCCATGTAAAGTGGAGGCTACTTGCCTCCACCCATTTTCCGGGGCTGGGCTTGTGCTGGAGCCCAAGACTCGTACGTGAACATTGCTTTCCAACTACGGAATTTAAAAGCATGAGGGAAGAGAATAGTCACAGATTTGTGTGAGAATGCTGAGACAGGTGACAGAACACCTCACCCTGGAGCCCTCAGAAATGTCTGTGGTGGGTATTAGGAAGGAGGATGTGAGGTGTGGGCTTCTCCCAGGAGATGGGGAGTCCCCTAGAATACTTTGATCCTTGGAAGCATCTTTCAGGGTTGATGAGGTATCACAATGCGGGAGCTTTGTCTTTCTTGCTTCTCCTTAAATATTCTGTGCCTAGAAATGAGAAGAAAAAATAAAGAGTGATGGGAAACTTAATGTGTATAATGTAAATTTTACTCAGTAATGGCATTTGTAGAAAAGTCTCTTTTCAGTTAGGACTTGGAATCGAATCCAAGATAGTTCTCTTTATTTTGGGCCTCCTTCTTACCCACCATTTACTTACCAGCATTTTTTTTTTCTTTAGCACATATTACTTTTTAATTTTTCCTTTTCTTATCTCCATTACCCTTAGATTTTAAGTATCATAAGGGTATTATTCCATAATTATTCATCCTGTACTCTGAACACCTAGCACTGTATTTACTGAGACACCAAAAGTAACAATATAATAGAGTAAAAATTGTCAATGATGATCATAATTACAATAATAATTTTACATGTGCAGCTTCTTATATGTGGCTTGCAGAGCACTTTCACATATTTTGTACACTTTCAAACTTTGATGAAGCCTAACAGAAATTTGACTTCTGCCCAAGTCTTTGGACTCCAAATCAGATGCTTTTTTAATGGTCAGGAGGATATCTAGATTTCAAAACAATGTGTTTTTCAGAGAACAGACTGATCATGGTCGAGAGTTCTGTATGCATACAGCATGAGAGATGGAGGTCTGTACAGTCTTACCTTGAGAGTTCAAGTAAAATTGCAGAGCAACAAAGTTTGTAAATTTTTAAGTGAAGGAGTTTTCTAATGGTAAATAGCCAATTCAAAAACCAAACCAAAGCAACCAAAAAACACGGATTCTAAAACCTTAACTGAGGAAATTACTGAGCAAAAATGTAGTTTTTCTGTTTCTGGTCCCAGAATAGTTGTGTCCTTATTCATGTTACTCAACTTTAGTTTTACAATATGAAAAATAACAGCACTTAGCCAAATGGGGCCTCTGCCACTCCCCATGACAAGATGCCATACCTCTGTTAGTCTAATTTAAAAAGTTGGAAGGTAAGCATTTAATTGTAACTATACAAAGCATGGTACTGATTTCTAGGGGGGGAGCTTCTCATCTTGCCAGTTGAACATGGGGTTATTAAAATGCTGTGATCAAGTTTTCCATATAAAAAGTGGTTAAAAATTAAAAGCCAAGGTTTGAAAGGTCGCTTTTCATCATTCTGTAACTATGGTAAAAGAGAACCTGGGGGCAGTTCCTTAAGCTTTTGAAATCTGTTCCCTCAGAAGGTTTTCTCATGCCACCTTCCAGAGATTACCATCAATCAAGGACATAGTCAAGCATATTTGGCAATACTGCATAGCAGATTATATTCTGAAAATAAGAGGTTCATTTTAAGTATACTTTTTCACATCCTATTTGTGATCTTGCCTCTCCTCAACCCCAAAACCTGTGGCTTTGGGGCTGTGTGCCCCAGGAAGTGCCCCCCATACACTTCCAGGATGCTACCTATCAGCAGGACCAGTGCTCCACTGGCAAAATGGAGTACTAGTAAATCCCATGCAGAACCTGATATGCAACATCATGTGAAAATTCAGAGGTTTCAACAACTTCATGGGATTTATAGTCACATCGAAGCATAACTTGGGAATGGAAACCTTGGTTATTTAGAAAATGTAACCATAACACTGGTTTTTGTTCACTAACAGAATTTCCTAAAGGGTATCTACTTAACTCCTCTGGTGAAACAACTCAACCTAGAATTATTTCAACAATAAAATATTAAGATAGACTAATGAAAAGGAATTCACTAAGAGTATACACCTTATGCATTCAAAACTGAAACAGTTTTAACGCAAGTTGGGTATGTGTGAAAGACTCAAAAGACTGCAGGCTGAAGTCTTATTGCAGCCATCTCTGCATGCAAAATAGTTTTAACCGTAGGTTTCAAAGCAAAGTTGTTAATGCTGAAGGATCATGTTGGATCAGTGGGAATTGCTTGCAGGGGAATTGCAGGGAGGCCAAGGCAGTGGAGGCTGATGACAGCTCAGGTCTGAATCATCCAGAGTGGTGTCAGCTGGTGTATCCAAATACATCAGAACTGTCTTCTCTGAGTTTCAGAGTCATTACCAGGAGTGTATGCAGCTTGTGGAAAATCACTTACTCTGTGGGGGCTCCCCTTCTCTATTGACATTTGTAATGAATAAAGGCCAAGTATAGTGATCATCAAGAAAAGCCGTGTTAAAGTTAATCTCGGCTGTAGACATCAGGAATAGCCTGTAGGTGGTAATATAAATAATAGCAATCATAGCAGAAGTAGCATTAATTGAATGTATACTATGCTGCAAAAAGTATGCTAAATCTTATTTTGTTAAATCCTCACCATAGCCACATGGGGCAGGTATTAATATCCCAGTTTTATTGATCTAGGGAAGTGAGACTGGGAGAAAGGAAGCAGCATGCTCTGGTACACATGGGAATGAGTTGGAACACAGGTGTGTCTAGGCTCATGCTTGCTTCTCTCTGGTGCTCTCTCTCAATCTCTGTCTCTGCTGGGAGGGATCTAACCGAAAGATGGTAAATGGCCTGAGGAAGTTTCTAAAGGAAAGCAGGGAATTTACATAAAGATGGTGATCTCATTTCACATGCTGATGATAACTGAGTTAAAATTTAGCCTCTAGCTATTAACAACTCCCTTTCTTCCTATTCCTGCCACTCCCTTGGGGTCACCCAAAGCTTGGAGATGAACCACAGAAGCAGAGACATTTTGATCCTAGAGCTCATTTTGGTTAGTGCTTTTATTCAGAGCTGTCTGTGATACAAGGACTACACACTCACTTGACACGTATTATTGTTTTGAGTCTTGCTATGACCTAGTCAGGTGGGTATTCTTCCCATTTTACAGTTGATAAAACAGTCTCAGAATGTTTAAGGAATTTTTGTAATGTCCTGCGCTTATTAAGAGGTAGAGCAGGATATGGACTGAGGGCTGCCTGACCCTAAGCTTCTTCCCACAAGACCAGGGCTTCTCATCCTAGGCTGCTCATTGGAAACACCTATGATTTCAAAAAATATGCCTGGATCCCTCCCGAGACCAATGAGATTAGGATAAGAGAGGACCTGAACCCAGTCTTTCTAAGAGCTCCTCAAGAGATTGTAATGTGCAGTCAAGACTGATAACTTCTCATCTGAGTATTGCCATACCCTTTCTCCAGCTGTCTTGCTGAACATAATAAAGATCTCTGAAAACCAGGATGGCAGCTAAGTGATTGGCTTCTTTTAGTTATTATGGCAGATCTAATCTTGTCTGCAGAGCCTTGTATGCCAGGTAACAAATACTTGATCATTTATACAATCTTAATAACTTCCTCAAGGATTTAAATAGGCGGGAATGTTCCTGTTATGGGGTAAACATAAGAGAGAGAGTCAGAAGACATGTATTCAATGTACATCCACTCTAATGGCTGCCTTTTCTTTCTAGTGAAAACAGAAACACAATTAGTTGTCATTGAATTTAGGACTCAAGTATCTGTGAATACCAGAGTACCCAGCTCCTAGCTGTCCTTACAGTCTCTTAAGTGGGTTGAGAAGAAAGTTCTTGTCATTGTCGTGAACTCTTGGGTCAAGTGGCCCCTCTTCTTGATGTCAGTAAACATAGATAATTCTTGTCATAGTTTCTAGTATCGGTTGTCCTTTTGCAAGCTGATGGTCTTCATGGTGTGGTATGGATTCCATTGTACTTGAAACTCACAGAAGCACAGAACAGAGTCCTGTAAGTAAATATTTTCCCCAACATTTGCAAGATACCTGATTACAGAGACCCTGATGTACATGATATCTTCTAATTTTTCCATCCCACTCCTGACCCCCTTACCAACTCTGTGCACATAGTGAATAATTATAAAATGGAATACAAATTATGAGATAAAACTAGTCCAGAAGAAAGAGACTCAGTTACATTTTTAGACTGAATCTCCCATGTCCCATCAAGGTGCCATGTACAAAAAAAGTACCTAACAATTTGTGTTGGTATTTAGGGTATAAAATTTAACTTCAAATTGGTGGATGGCCAGCAGAATATGGTCCCTGCGTTCAGGTGACCAGTATTCTGCGTCATGTTTATGGTCAGTATAATCAAACTTTGGAAGCTGGCTTTGTAGCAAAATTTGTGACTCAAATCATAAAAATATTTTTTCTGTGAATTAAATATGAAAAAACTGGGGGAGATAACACCATACACTTTCATACTAGTTGGATGGCAGATACCTAGCATATGTACCCTTATTACATCCTCCCACATCACTGGATACTTTCCCTTCTCTTTTTCTAGCTGAGCACAGGCATGGACTCAAACTTTTCAACACTGGGACCCATGCAATGATTCCAGATAGATCAGATTTTGCACAAAAGATTAAACCTATTTTCCATCTCTACTATAGCAAGTTATAGTTTACAAAGGATATTCATGCCCAATATCTTGTTCATGTTGTTCTTTGCAAAGTTAAAAGCCCTATAAAATACAAGGTGGTGGTGATTATGTAAAAGATGACAGAGCTCTTCATATTCGTTCTGAATGTTAGGTACATACTGAAGTTTTGTGGGTTTTTTGGAATATGCTTCCAAGTTTCTAAATCCAGCAGGGGGAGTATCCTGCTTTCCCAGACCCTGCTTTTAACACCTGCTTAGTTTCAGCACTGACAGTTTGTTTTGTAATCCCCCCAAATTTGAGAAGCCTGTTGGGAAAAATTATGTTGACACCTTACAGGATAGACCATCAAGGAAATTAGAGTTCAATTTCCCCCTCTACTCATGGAGTCCTATCTGTGGCACCTCTCTTCTCTTAAATTTGGCTCCGAAGCCATGTATAGCTCCAATGATACGGTCTGCGAGCATTTTTGTTGGAAATCCTGTCTTTAGAATTGAACATGAAATTATGATCAAATTTTTTCTTAAATCTAATAGGTCACATGATTTTTCACCCTCTGGAGGAGCTGTGAACTGGCTACGTTTCAATTTAGGTAATTATATCCAACTTCCCAAATTCCACCCTAGTTTATGTGGTTCTGTTTCTTTCCCTGCCGCCATTAAAATTCTATCAGCAAAGAAAGATTGTGTCATTTCTTACAGGAACAGGCTGTCTTTTCCTGGCATGTGAAGTAATCTCCCTCTGCTAAAATAGCATTGTACCTGTCAGATCAATGCACATGTAATGTCAGGCTTTATTTAAAAATACCATTATCTTTGTTGTTCTAAAACTTGTGTCTTAATATCAGAAATTTTCAAACTGTGGCCTGAGGGATAACTGCAGCTAGTGACCTCTTTTGGTACAGCTCTCATGCTAAGACTGGGTTTTACATTTTCAAAGCATTGTAAAAAGAAACTACACATATATAGAAAAATATACAACAGAGATGATATGTGCACTCAAAAGCCTAAAGTATTTACTAACTAGCTATTTACAGAATAAGTTTGGTGACTCTTGCTTAAGATAATCACAGTAGTGGTGATAGTACTTATATTAATAAGAGCCCACTTATATGGTACTTACCGTATAATGTTTTAAGCATTTTTTATGTTTAACTCTGTTAATCTTCATACAGACTCTGAGACAGTGTAGCAGACAACCTTTAAGACTGTCTGAAATAATCCTTGCCTCTGGCATTCATGCCCTTCTGTAATCCCTTCTGAAATGTAGCCTTTATTTATGGACTCCTTTTGAATGAATAGTAATTCCCTCTAATAGACTATGGCATGGAATGTAGAATATGGCTATGGAATGTCACCAAGATTAGATTATAAAAGGCTGTGGTTTTCTTCTTGAGTGTTCCCTCACTCACCCTTTGATTGATCACTATGGGAGAAGCCAACTGCAACTTAGAGATGCCCGTGTATTAAGAAAGGATTGAATCCTACTGATAAACCCCATATGCAAACCCCATCAATTAAACTCCCCACTCCCTCAACCCAATTGAGTCTTCGGATGAGACCACAGCCCCAGTCATCAACTTAACTGCAGTTTCATGAGAGACTTTTAGCCAGAGGTACTCAGCTAGTTTGCACCCAGATTCTTGGCTCATAAAAACCAAGATAATGTTTGCTGTTTTAAGGCACTAAGTTTTGGGATAAATTGCGAGGTATCAATAGATAAACAGAGACTTTGGCACCTGGAAGTGGGAGCATTGCCATAACAAATACATAAAATGTGGGAGTGGCTTTGGAACCAGGTAGTGGGCAGAAACTAGAAATGCTGTAGTACTTTTAGGAGAATGTTAATAAAAGCTTAAAGTACCTTGAACACATTAGTCATAGAATTTTTGGCTTTCAAGACACTGAGAGTGAGAAAGTGCAGGAAAGTTAAGAAAATGTTTTCGAAAAACTGGAGGAAGGGGGACTCTTGTTTATGTAGTGGCAGAAAGTTTAGCAACACTCTGATCTGTGGTTATGTGAAAAGTAGAAAAATATGTCTAATGAACTGGGTAACTTCTAAGTAAAGTGTTGAAGATTCTGCCTGGTTTCTTCTTTCTGATAACAGTAAAATGAGAGAAGAGAAATAATTTGGGGGAAGGATTGTTAAACGAAAAGGAGTCAGGACTTGGTTGTTTTCAAAATTCTCATCCTCTATAAATAACAAATGATACTAAAATTAAAAAATAGCTTATCAGCAAAGATCAAATTTAGAGTACTGTCAGAAAAACATAGTCTAAAGATGAAGCTAAGAGTGTGACCGGACCTTTGTTAAGACCTCAGAGAGATCAAAGGTAATGCCTTGGTGTTCTATTCAGTCACACAGAAAGGTGTTTAAAAGATTGAAGGTATACCTCACACATTCTCTCAGTAGGGCCTCTAAGAAGATTAAGACTGTGTCTCTCAGCCATCTCAGCAGGAGCCCAAGGTAGAGAAAGACTTACCTGGAAGAATTTGTAGGATTGATTTTTGTCTAATAGAGTTGAAATCAAGTGGAGTCATGGGTGACCCACTAAGCAGGAACATTGGACTTGGACTTAGGGGAACAGAGACAGTATAGAATGAAGAAAGGTCTTTGGAATCTCAGAATTCTACTGGCAGGAAGCAGGCAGGAAAAACTGTTCAGTTACCTTTCATTATAAAAAGAAAAGATGACTTATAGAGTAGAGTCCAAAGCCTGGAGGGCATAGCTGAGAGTAGTGGAGAATTATTCTTAGGCCTTGAGAATCTAACCAGGGTGTCCCTAACAGTTCCCTGGTTAGATGTTAGAATCACTATGCACCAGTGACTTCCTTATGCCTCCTATTTACTTCCATTTGAACACAAATGTGTACATTGGTTATCCTGTGCCTTCTTCAACACTATTATTTTTGGTGTCTCTGGAGAAGGGAACTTTTCTGTTTAGTTTCCGAAGTCTACAGTCTGTTATATTCCAGGAGCTATACTCAGTATAGCTTGGAAGTAGATGATGGAAGTAGACCTTGGAAGTAGATGGATGTATTTTTCATGTGTGAAGGATGTGAATCATTGGGGGTTGGGGAGGGGACAGGCAGTTTCTAAGATGGTCCCCATCTACTGGCATCATTCTCTTTAGTGTGAACAGGATTTAGCGATTCAATTTTAACAAATATAGCACTGCAAAAGCGATGGGATGTTACTACCAAACTTAGGTTGTGAAAAAGATTGTGGCTTTTATCCTGAGTGCTCTGCTTTCATTCTCTTTTGGCTTCCTCACTTTGAGGAAAGCCAGCTACGGTGGGGGAAGCTCTGTGTAGAGGGAACAAAGCCTGCCAACAGCCATGTGAGTGAGTCTGGAAAGAGATCTTCCCTTCTTCCAGTCCAGTCAAGCCTTCACAGTGTGTGCAAAAATGAGGAAGTGCCACTCTTTAAAACCATCAGCTCTTATGAGAACTCACTATCAACAGAACAGCAGGGCGGAGACCACCCCCATGATCCAGTTGCCTCCCACCAGGTCTCTCCCTAAACGCCTGGGGATTACAATTCAAGATGAGATTTGGATGGAGACACAGAGTCAAACCATATCACCCGGGTTCCTTGGAACAGGCATCAACTGACATAGAGGGAGTCTCTTGAAATGTCTGTCTACCTCATTGGTGCTCCTGAATATCAATTTTGTTTGCTATTTGATCAGCTACTGGCCAAGGAGTGAGCAAAGCGTCAGTAACTGCAACTCATTTACACTGTTATGTTTAAAAGCCATGATTATATCAAGGAGAAAGATGTGGATATCCTTGGTGGTATAACTTCAATGCCACCCTTTAAATCCCTAGTCATCTGGGCGTGATAGCCCCAGTGCCACTCAAAGGATGGTCTGCACAGTGGTACTGTCGACATCACCTGGGATCCTATTAAAATGGAAATACTTGGACCTCACCTCAGGTGTAATGAATCAGGCTCTCTGGGGCTTTGCTCAGCAATTTGTGCTTTAACAGGTGCTTCTTATACAACACTATAGTTTGAGAAGCACTTGTGAGACTGGGCTCTAGGTTTGATTAACTTGGTCACAAGTTTCTGAAGTCTGAAATACATAGTTATAGCACTTTTGGCAAGAGTTACTTTGTTCACAGCAAATCTTTATGTTAACACTTCATATTTTCTTCTGTGGAGTAGTGATATTTGAAATGTGGTTTGTAACAAATCATTTTAAAAAGGAAAAACTCCTTAACAGAATAGGTTAAGGATTTCACATATAGCTTTATTTTTCCTCTGTGGACCCTCCTGTAATTTGGGGCTGTCTGGAGATTAATTTATCTTTTCATGTGAAAAATGCTGCTAACATTACTAATTGTAAGAGCTTCAGTTGGTGGTTGGAACTGAAACATCTATCCTTAAATCTCCTCTTTACAAAACAAGCGATTGTGTCGTGGTTCCATGGGACAAGCATAAACTTTCTGTGCTGTTAGAAAACAATTATTAGTAAGGTCTAATAAATGTTTATTATGGAATAAAAGTTACTTAGTTATATAACTGCTCAGATGATTGTATTTAAAAGGAGATAGATATCTCTTAATCTAGCTGGGGGTCTTCTCATTAATTGTTAGTTGAGTTGTGCCAGGAAATTATTCTATTTATATACTCTTTTAAGCTTATTGCAGATGTGGAGTCTCATGTCAAGAATGGAACATTCTTAATCTTTCCTGTTTCTTGAAACAAGAAGATAATAAACATATCTGACAAACTGTAATCAGGAACTGGCCTGGTAGTTAATGAACAGGTCAGAGGTGGCTATTGGGGATGTTTCTAAAGAATGTTCATAATGAAAGCTCATTGGCTTAGACCTCAGCTCTATAAAAGTGGTGATAAAAGGCATGAGGAGGGTGGCGGTTAAAGAAAGGAAGATTCTACACAGCCTCTAACATTCACAGTACTCATTTTTTTCTTGTTTTGCTCTCCTAATACTCAGTGGGCCTGTGATGTGTCTAAACCACCCACCTTGCACTGATCACCACCTTGAAGAACTAGGTTTGGTTCAGCACTTTCTCTGTGGCCCCAAGGGAAAGATCACCATAAACTAGGAGGAAAGAATCTGAAATCGAATTTGAGCACTGCCAGTACCTCATGTTGACCTTAGGGAAGTCATAGATACCTGAGCAGCTGCTCTGGGAGGCTGCAGCACTCTGGCCCCAGCAGGAGGCAAGCTGCTGTCCTGTATTGTTCTCCCTTTCCCAAGATTATTGATGCTCGGTTATTTAAGGGTGGACACCCCACACTATCTTTGCCTCTTGCTGCCACAATATCCTCCCTCCTAGCTGGCTATGGGAAGTGGGTGAGGAAAGCATAAATCCTGCAATAATTCTTGCCCATTTTTCCACTTCCTCTAGGTTGTCGCATAAAGAAAACGTAATGTTATTTTTTTTTTAGTTGAAGAAAAGTGTGTGATTAAAGCTGAATACATGTTGAATGTGATTTTTATGTGTGTACAAGGCTTGTGAATTTCAAGTATATTATATGGAAACAGTCTTTACTAAGAATGTCATAAAGCAAAAGCAATTTTAAAAAAGCTAATAGCCTTTATAACCAAAATATATAAAGAAGCATGATTTATGCATGTGCTGAATTCTTCTTTCCTATTGTGAACATGTACAAGAATTCTGTCTCCTCTATTACTATTTACTCTGAAAATATTTATTCAGCGCCTACTATTTGACTATTTTGGTTCCGGAATAACCATGCATGATTTGGTCCCTATCATGTTGCCTAGGTAAGAAGTGATCAAGATCACCAGCTCACTGGCCTCCCATCCTTCTCCACCTTGCTGGGTTTCTTTTCTCTTACCCTCTTCCTCTTTCTCTCCATCTCCCTCTTCCTGTGCCCTTAAACATTTTTTGTGTGTGTTTGAGACTTATCCAATGGAATGAATGGTTTGGAAATATTTATAAAGTAGCTGTTTCCTGAAAGTACTTCCAAAATTGATGGTTTCTAGATCTCTAGTTCAGAATTATTTACTATATATATGTATATGTATGTCTGCGAAAGAGCAATTTACCTAGAACAATGACTCAAATTGTGGGCTGCATTAGAATCACCTGAAGGGCTTCTTAAAACACAGATTGCTGGGTCCCTCTCCCAAAGTATCAGCTTTAGTAGGTCTGGGGTGGTGCTCAAGAATTTGCATTTCTGACTTCCCAGATGATGCTGATACTGCTGGTCTGGAGACCATACCTTGTGAACACTCATCTAGGACAGTGTTTCTGTGGCAATTTATTTGTTAATGTTTTTTATTTGTGGAAAAGCTAAAGAAAAAAACCTTGTGATAAGTTATTTTCTCTGCATATGACCAGATGGGGTCAAGAACCCCAAGATCAGCCACTTTCTCCAAATTGCTTTTAATCTTCAGGAAATGCCCTGCGTCTGACTCATTAACACTGAAACTTACATTCCCGTGGATGGAGCAGAGTAGCTGCTGGCTTTGGGATTTTTATCTGTTGGGTGCGAATGGAGTAATATTATAACATTTCCCCAGATTTCTTCTGTCTGGTGGATTGTAGCCATCTATACATAATATTTCAGGTTAGGACATTTGTGTCCTTTTTCTGTTTCTTCGTGTAAAAATTTCAAATAGCTGCCCTTATGTTTCTTGAAAGACTAATGATTTGCAATGAAAGCAAATGTGAAATTTGCTAAATGATCTTGGCAAAATATAGCAATGCAGAGAATTCAGGAGAAAATAGTTTGATAACAATTGCTAAAAAATCTCAATTTATTAAACTGACGTATTCAGAAAGAAATACGAAAATATTTACTTTTTAAATACCAAGATATTCAATTAAAGTACTTTTCTTTTATAGATCTTTATTCAAATGTCTCCTCATCTTTTTATGGTGCCCCCTTCCCTCCCTTTCTTCTTCTTCTCTGTCATCAGTTATCATTTTGTATCTGGTTACATCATGAATTGATCAGATATTTTAAAATATAGTCTACTGCTTTATTTTTTTATTGGTAAAAATGGATTGATATCTTTGTCTTGATAATTGTAAATGTTTTATAATTACTATGGTCATTAAAACAAAGTAATTTTGTTTATATTAACATAAAAGGAAAATAGTGTTTTATTTATTTATTATCTTTTTATTGCAACTTTTATTTTAGCTTTGAGGGTACATCTGTGGTTTTGCTAAATGGTATATTGTGTGATGGTGAGGTTTGGGGTACAAATGATCTCATCACCCAGGTAGAGAGCACAGTAACCAATAGGTAGCTTCTCATCCCTTACTCACCTCCCTCCCTCCTTCCTCTAGTACTCCCTAGTGTCTATTGTTCCCATCTTTATGTCCCTGTGAATTCAATGTTTAGTTCCTACTTGTAAGTGAGAACATGTGGTGTTTATTTTTCTGTTTCTGAGTTAATTTGCTTAGAAAAATGGCTCCCAGCACCATCCATGTTGCTGCAAAGGACATGATTCCATTCTTTTTTATGGCCATATAGTATTCCACGGTGTATATGTTCCACATTTTCTTTGTCTAGTCTACCATTGATGGACATCTAGGTTGATTCCATGTCTTTGCCCTTGTGCATAGTGCTGCAATGAACGTACGAGTACGTGTGTCTTTTTTGGTAGAACAACTTATTTTCCTTTGGGCCTATACCCAGTAATGGGATTGCTGGATCAAATGGTAGTTCTATTTTTAGTTCTTTGAGAAATCTCCAAATTGTTTTCCAGAGAGGGTGAACTAATACACATTCCACCAACAGTGTATAAGCATTCCCTTTTCTCCACAGCCTTGCCAGCCTTTGTCATTCTTTGATTTCTTAACAATAGCCATTCTGACTGCTGTTAAGATGATATCTCTTTGTGGTTTTGATTTGCATTTATCTGAAAATTGGTAATGTGGAGCATTTTTTCATATTTTTTTGGCCACCTGTATGTCTTCTTTTAAGAAGTGTTGTTCATTTCCTTCGCCTACTTTTTAATTGGGTTTTTTTGCTTGCTGAATTGTTTATGTTCCTTATGGATCCTGGCTATTAGACCTTTGTCAGATGCCTACTTTGTAAATACTTCTCCCATTTAGTAGGTTGTCTGTTTACTCTGTTGATAGTTTCTTTTGCTGTGTAAAAGCTTTTTAATTAGGTGCCACTTGTCAATTTTTATTTTTGTTGCATTTGCTTTTGAGGACTTAGTTATAAATATTTAGCCAAAGTTGATTTCCAGAAGATTACTTGCTAGGTTTTCTTCTAGGATTTTTATAGTTTCAGCTCTTACATTTAAGTCTTTAATTCATTTTGAGTTAATTTTTGTATATGGTGATAGGTAGGGGTTCAGTTTTATTCTTCTGTGTATGGTTAGCCAGTTATCCCAGCACCATTTATTGAATAGAGTCCTTTCCCCATTGCCTATTTTGCTAACTTTGTCAAAGATCAGATGGTTGCAGGTGTGTGGCTTTATTTCTGGATTCTCTATTCTGTTCCATTGGTCTATGTGTCTGTTTTTGGACCAGTACCATGCTGTTTTGGTTACTGTGGCCTTGTGATATAGTTTGAAGTCATGTAATGTGATGCCTCTAGCTTTGTTCTTTTTGCTTAGGATTGGTTTGGGTTTTGGGTCTCTTTTTTTGGTTCCATATGAATTTTAGAATAGGTTTTTCTAATTCTCTGAGAAATTATATTGGTAGCTTGATAGGAGTAGTGTTGAATCTATAGATTGCTTTCGTTAGTATGACTATTTTAACAATATTGATTCTTTCAGTCCAAGAGCATGGAATGTTTTTCCATTTGTTTGTGTCACCTATGATTTCTTTCAGCAGTGTTTGTAATTCTCCTTGTAGAGATCATTCACCTCCTTGGTTAGATGTATTCCTAGGTATTTTTTTGTGGCTATTGTAAATGGGATTGCATCCTTGATTTGGCTTTCAGCTTGAATGTCACTGGTGTATCCTGAAACTTTACTGAAGTCATTATTAGTTCCAGGAGCCCTTTGGTAGAGTCTTTAGAGTTTTCTAGGTGTGGAATCATCATCAGTAAAGAGAGATTATTTACTTCTTCTTTTTCTATTCGGATGTCTTTTATTTCTTTCTCTTGCCTCATTGCTCTGGCCTGGACTTCCAGTACTGTAATACATAGAAGTGGTGAAAATAAGCATTCTTGTCTTCTTTCAGTTCTTAAGGGAAATGCTGCCAGCATTTACCCATTCAGCATGATGTTGACTGTGGGTTTGTCATAGACGGCTCATATTATTTTGAAGCATTTTCCTTCAATGGCTACTTTGTTTAGGGTTTTACTTGTTGAAGGATACTGGATTTTATTGAAAGCTTTTTCTGTGTCTATTGAGATGATAATGTGGTTTTTATTTTTAAATCTGTTTATGTGGTGAATCACATTTATTGATTCATGTGTGTTAAACAAATTTTATACTCCAGGAATAAAGCTATTTAATAGTGGTGAATTAACTTTTGATGTGCTGCTGGATTTAGTTTGCAAGTATTGTCTTGAGGATTTTTGTGACTGTGTTCAGCAGGTATATTGGCCTGAAGTTTTCTTTTTTCGTTGTGTCTTTGACACATTTTGGTATCAGGACAATGCTGGCTTTGTAGAATGAGTTAGAGAGGAGTCCCTCCTCCTCAATTTTTGGGAATAGTTTCAGTAGGATTGATAGCAGCTCTTCTTTGAACATCTGGTAGAATTCGGCTGTGAATCCATCTTGTCCAGGGCTTTTTTTGGTTAGTAGGATTTTTATTACTGATTCAGTTTCAGAATTCATTATTGATTGGTCTGCTCAGGGTTTCACCTTCTTCCTGATTCAATCTTGGGAGTTATGTGTTTCCAGGAATTTACCCATTTCCTCTAGATTTTCTAGTTTGTATCCATAGAGGTGTTCATAATAGTCTCTGAGGATCTATTATATTTCTGTGGAATTGGTTGTGATATCACCTTTGCCATTTCTGATTGTGCTATTTAGGTCTTCTCTTTTTTTTTTTTTAATTTGTTAATCTAGCTAGTGATCTATTGAACTTGTTGATCCTTTCATAGAACAAACTTTTGATTTCATTGGTCCTTTGTATAGATTTTTGGGTCTGTATTTCATTCAGTGCTGCTCTAGTTTTAGTCATTTCCTTTCTTCTGCTAGCTTGGGGGTTGATTTGCTCTTGTTTTTCTAATTTCTCTAGGCGCAATTTAGATTGTTAATTTGAGATCTTTCTAACTTCTTGATGTAGGTATTTAGAACTATAAACTTTCATCTTAATGCTGCTTTTGCTGCATCCCAGAGATTTTGTATATTGTATCTCTGTTATTTATTTCAAAGATTTTTTTTTTTTTATTTCTGCCTTAACTTCATTGTTTACCCAAAAGTAATTCAGGATCAAGTTGTTTAGTTTCCGTGTAATTGTGTGGTTTTGAGAGATTTTCCTGTTACTGATTTCCATTTTTATTCCTCTGTGGTCTGAGAGTATGCTTGGTATGACTTAAATTTTATTTGAATTCACTGAGTTTTGCTTTATGGCTGAGCATGTGGTTGATCTTAGAGTATGTTCCATGTGTAGATGAGAAAAATGTATATTCTGTGGTTGTTGGATGGAATATTATGTACATGTCTAGTAGGTGAAATTGGTCAAGTATAGAATTTAAGTCTGGAACTTCATTATTAATTTGTTTTCTGCCTCAATGATCTAATGCTGTCAGGTGGCTACTGAAGACCTCAACTATTATTGTGTGGCTACTTATTTTTATAGGTATAGAAGTATTTGTTTTATAAATCTGGGTGCTCCAATGATGGGTATGTATGTATTCAGGAGAGTTAAGTCTTATTGTTGAATTGAACCATTTATCACTATGTAATGACCTTCTTTGTTCTTTTTTACTATTCTTGGTTTAAAATCAATTTTATCTGATACAAGAATAGTGACCTCTGCTCTCTTTGTTTTCCGTTTGTGTAATCTTTCTCCATTCCTTTACTTTGAGCCTATGGGTGTCAATGCATGTGAGATGGGTCTCTTGAAGACAGCAGAGTGTTAGGCTGTTTAAATTCAAGGTTACTATTGGTATGTGAGGTGTTGTTCCTGTCGTGATATTGTTAGCTGGTTGCTTTGTAATCTTGACTGTGTAGTTGCTTTAGGAGTCTGTGCAATGTGTACTTAAGTGTGTTTTTGAAGTAGCAGGTATTGTTCCTTTGTTTCTATCTTTAGAACTCACTTAATGTTCTCTTGTAAGGCTGGTGTAGTGGAAACAAATTCACTTAATGATTGCTTATCTGGAAAAGATTTTATATGAAATTCTTGGTTAGAATTTCTTTTCTTAGAGAATGCTGAAAACAGGTCTCCAATCTTTTCTGGCTTGTAAGGTTTCTGCTCAGAAATCCTCTGATAGCCTAATGGGGTTCTCTTCTCTGACCCTTTTCTCTAGCTAACTTTAAGATTTTTCTTTTGTCAAAGATCAGATAGTTGTATATATGCGGCATTATTTCTGAGGGCTCTGTTCTGTTCCATTGGTCTATATCTCTGTTTTGGTACCAGTACCATCCTATTTTGGTTACTGTAGCCTTGTAGTATAGTTTGAAGTCAGGTAGTGTGATGCCTTCCACTTTGTTCTTTTGGCTTAGGATTGACTTGGCAATGCGGGCTCTTTTTTGGTTCCATATGAACTTGAAAGTAGTTTTTTCCAATTCTGTGAAGAAAATCATTGGTAGCTTGATGGGGATGGCACTGAATCTATAAATTACCTTGGGCAGTATGGCCATTTTCACGATATTGATTCTTCCTACCCATGAGCATGGAATGGTCTTCCATTTGTTTGTGTCGTCTTTGATTTCATTGAGCAGTGGTTTGTAGTTCTCCTTGAAGAGGTCCTTCACATCCCTTGTAAGATGGATTCCTAGGTATTTTATTCTCTTTGAAGCAATTGTGAATGGGAGTTCACTCATGATTTGGCTCTCTGTTTGTCTGTTATTGGTGTATAAGAATGCTTGTGATTTTTGCACATTGATTTTATATCCTGAGACTTTGCTGAAGTTGCTTATCAGCTTAAGGAGATTTTGGGCTGAGATGATGGGGTTTTCTAGATATACAATCATGTCATCTGCAAACGGACAATTTGACTTCCTCTTTTCCTATTTGAATACCCTTTGTTTCCTTCTCCTGCCTCATTGCCCTGGCCAGAACAAAGCCATAGGGAAAGGATTTCCTATTTAATAAATGGTGCTGGGAAAACTGGCTAGCCATATGGAGAAAGCTGAAACTGGATCCCTTCCTTATGCCTTATACAAAAATTAATTCGAAATGGATTAAAGACTTACATGTTACACCTAAAACCATAAAAACCCTAGAAGAAAACCTAGGCAATACCATTCAGGACATAGGCATGGGCAAGGACTTCATGTCTAAAACACCAAAAGCAATGGCAACAAAAGCCAGAATTGACAAATGGGATCTCATTAAACTAAAGAGCTTCTGCACAGCAAAAGAAACTACCATCAGAGTGAACAGGCAACCTACAGAATGGGAGAAAATTTTCGCAACCTACTCATCTGACAAAGGGCTAATATCCAGAATCTACAATGAACTCAAACAAATTTACAAGAAAAAAACAAACAACCCCATCAAAAAGTGGGTGAAGGATATGAATAGACACTTCTCAAAAGAAGACATGTATGTAGCCAAAAACACATGAAAAAACGCTCTTCATCACTGGCCATCAGAGAAATGCAAATCAAAACCACAATGAGATACCATCTCACACCAGTTAGAATGGTGATCATTAAAAAGTCAGGAAACAACAGGTGCTGGAGAGGATGTGGAGAAATAGGAACACTTTTACACTGTTGGTGGGACTGTAAACTAGTTCAACCATTGTGGAAGTCAGTGTGGCGATTCCTCAGGGATCTAGAACTAGAAATACCATTTGACCCAGCCATCCCATTACTGGGTATATACCCAAAGGATTATAAATCCTGCTGCTATAAAGACACATGCACACATATGTTTATTGCGGCATTTTTCACAATAGCAAAGACTTGGAACCAACCCAAATGTCCAACAATGATAGACCGGATTAAGAAAATGTGGCACATATACACCATGGAATACTATGCAGCCATAAAAAATGATGAGTTCTTGTCCTTTGTAGGGACATGGATGAAACTGGAAACCATCATTCTCAGCAAACTATCGCAAGGACAAAAAACCAAACACCACATGTTCTCACTCATAGGTGGGAATTGAACAATGAGAACACATGGACACAGGAAGGGGAACATCACACACCGGGGACTGTTGTGTGGTGGGGGGAGTGGGGAGGGATAGCATTAGGAGGTAGATATACCTAATGTTAAATGATGAGTTAATGGGTGCAGCACACCAGCATGGCACATGTATACATATGTAACTAACCTGCACATTGTGCACATGTACCCTAAAACTTAAAGTATAATATTAATAAAAAGAAAAAAAAATATTTTTCTTTTGTGTTGACCTTGAAAAAGTCGGATGACTTATGTTTCTTAGAGGTGGTCTTTTTGTACAGTATGTCACAGGACTTCTCTTAATTTCTTGAATTTGCATGAAATTTACTAGAGAGAATTGACCTCTCTAGTAAAATTGGAGAAATTTTTGTGGACTGTATACTCAAATATGTTTTCCAAGTTGCTTACTTTCTCTCCTTCTCTCTCAGGAATGCCAATGAATCATAGGTTTGATCTCTTTACATAATCCCATATTTTTGGAGGCTCTGATCATTTTTAAAAATTCATTTTTCTTTATTTTTGTCTCACTGAGTTAATTTGAGTGACTGGTTTTTGAGCTTTGAATTTTTTTCCTGAGCTTGGTCTAGTCTGTTATTAAGGCTTTCAATTGTATTTTAAAATTTCTGTAGTGAATTTTTCAACTCCAGAAGTCCACTTTGGTTTTTTCTTAAAATGGCTACGTCATCTTTTAAACTCTTGGATTGTTTTACTTGTTTCCTTGGATTAGATTTCATTTTTTTCTTGAATTTTGTTAAGCTTCTTTGCCGTCCAGATTTTGAATTCTATGTCTATGCTTCAGACATTTGAATCTGGCTAGGGAATTACCGCAATCCTTTAGAGGTGAAAAAACACTCTGAATTTTTAAATTGCTAGAGTTCTTGCACTGATTCCTTCTCATCTGAGGAGGCTGGTGTTTATTTTCCTTTTTGAAATTGCTGCTGTTTTCATGGGGCTTTTTGTTTTTATATTCTTTTTTTCCTTTGAAGCCTTGACTGTGGTGTGTTGTGTATAGTTGATTGGCTTTTTTTCTGGCTGCTTTCAGAGTGCTGAGGCTGTGTTTGGGTTTCTTTGTTGTAGATTGCTTCCTGCATTGGGTTTTACAGGCTTTTGGGTGCTGAAGGAATTTTTGTTTGTTCATATAATTCAGGCTCTAGTCCAATAGATGGTGCATAAGAGTAAGGGCCAGCAGATGGTCTCTTACATACTTCTTTTATATCTTGATGCATATGTAGCAGTGCTCTGGGGAAGGGGAGATGGGAGGGTGAGAGATACCTGCCCCCACCCACCCTCCAAGTCCATTCCAGGGCTTTGGTGGAGCCTTTTCCAATCGTTGGCATTGTTCCTGCATTTCCTTAGTCCCATGGGGGACCTTGTTGGGCTGCATTCTCCCCTCCTTTAGGGGTGGCCTGAGCCAAAGGTTAGATTGCCAGGAAACCTGTAACTCCCCAGGAACCTGCTGGTCCTCTGAGCTTGGCAGGGTCAGAGTGGGCTGTGGGATATGTCTGTGAGTGGTCTGATGATACAGGGGTCAAAGGCACATGATCCTGGGCAGGGCAGTGGTGCCATAGATGTGAAATTGGTATGGTGCCCACAGCCCAGGGATTTTAGTCCAGCTGATGACTGTGGGGTCCACCTAGTTCATGCTTTTCAGACTGGGTCTCCTTCTAGTGTCTTCCCTAGGAGCAGGCCCGCCCAGCTAGATTTGTACCAAGCCTTCTTGTGCTCATATAACTGGGCTCTTCCACGTGTTCAGGGCTGTATGGTTTCCTTGGGCAGAAGCTGTGGCTGGCCAACAGCTACACCCTTCCTGGACCAGTCTTGCAAAGGGAGGGATGCCTGGCTCCTACACTGGCACACAAACCAGCACCTCACTCTTCTTTGTGTCCCAAGAGTGGTGGCTCCTCCTCTGCCCAAGCTCTGGCCACAGACCTTAGCTCAATACCCCTCAGGGTAGTGTGCTCGAATCCTAGAAAGTTGGGACTTAGCCCACAGCTTTGTCCTCTGGACCCTCAGGACTGAGTACTGGCTGTGCTGAGGAGTCCGAACTGCTCTCAGGCTATTGGCAAAACATCCGGGTGGGGCAGTGGAGGCTGAGCTGTGTACACCCTCCTGCGGGAGCAGCCAGGTAGGCAGTTTTGGGAGGGGTTGGCAGACAAGGGGGCACAGAGATCAGATGCACCTTAGTACCATGGGAGAGGTAGCCCTGCTCTCTGCTGGCTGGCAGTCAGCAGGGGCTGCAGCCAGTCAGCAACATGGAGAGTCTTGGAAGAGGGATAGTTGTGGTTCCGTTTTGCTGTAGCTGCCCCTTGTAAGCTTCTGGGCTCCGCACAAGACCAAGCTCTTCCTCTACCTACTCTCCAGGCAGATCCCCTTGCCAATGCAAATGTCTGTGGGGGTTGTGGTATCTCTTGTGGCCAGAATCACAGAAGTCTGTGGTGGAACTGTGGGTTTTTTGGAGTTCCTTTACTCATCCCTTCCAAAGGACCTGTTCAGGACCAGCAACCTGTCCTGGTGCTCAGTGACTCTGTGTGGGGCTTCCCACTTCCTCCTTCTTCAGCTTCAGTGTCTGCATCACCTCTCTATTGACTTTAGCTGTTTTCTGTCAAAAGATCTGTTCGAAATGTAATCGTTTACTTGATATTTTGGTTTCTCTCTGTGGGACAGGCACCTCCCCACTATGCCTAGTTAGCCATCTTGTCCCTTCCCAATCTTATTTTAAAATTATACAAAAATAATATAATAACTTCCTTATTTCTGACCTCATAGCGTGTGATAAATAGGTCTCTTCATTCTTCATTTAATGTCGCTATCAAGGATAATTATGAATTGTTTTTCAAAATTAGTGAAATAGATTCTTATGGTACCACTTTAATAAGAAATGACTAAAATGTTCTTATTCCAAAGAAATAAGTCTGTCATCTAATGGGTGTATTAATTAGCTTGAGTCACTCATTCCACAGTGTGTACACATATCAAAATACCATGTTGTATACCATAAATACATATAATCTGTGTCAATTAAGAAATAAAACGTTAAAGAAATCACTAAAGTTTACTAAGTTGCTGTAAATGTTATTTTAACACATTGTTTCCACTTCTTTCCATTGAGTGAAGCTCCTCTAGTTGTCCAAAGTCAGCTTCAAATACATATACTCATCTAAAAAACTGAAAAAAGGTTTTAGGGAATGTCCTTCTAACCAGCCTGTTTCCCGGAGGCAAGATTAGAAATATGACTTTGATGGTAACCATCCTTTGATACAGAAATGGAAACAATCTCTCAACTTGGTACTCCAGGTTTGAACTTTAAGACAACCAAGTTTCATATTCAGTCCACAATTAGCTCTTGCCCTCACCGTCTGCACGCTATAGTTCCATCTTTATACTCATACTATAATCAGCATCTACTGTTTGCAGCCCTTGAGTATACCCATTAACCTGAATTATTTTGAGGGGAGACCCCTCTCTTATACATGTCTGCATCCTCCACATAACCCAACATAGTAGATGTCCAGTATATTTTTGTTGGTTATTTTCTTCTTTAACTTTTGTATACATTATCACAATAAAGTCCTTCTAACAAGTTTTGTCTCTGTTATCATTCCTTGTACTTTTCTTCCCTCCTCTCTTCTCTCAGAGTAAGAGGGTAGAAATCAAAGTCAGCAGCTCTTACTCTCAGAGTGAGGTTCTTTCTATTGTTCTATGTCTCTCTTGCTTTTTCAATTGTTTCCTTATATCTCTCATTTTCTACAAGCATACTTTTCTCTTTCCCACCTTAAAACAATCATAAAAACTTTTCTTTGAATCTCTAACCCCTTGACTTAACACTTTTTCTCACCCTTCTCATTAACAACCTTCTATAGAAGCTAGCCTTCATTTCCCACCACTTGTCCATCATTTCCTGGGCCTTCTTTAGCTTGGCATCTGCCCTGTGGCTCCACTGAAACTCCTTTCTTTAAACATCACTCTTACTTTCTAATTCCCAAACCAAACTCTCTAAAGCCACCCTCCTTCAAACTCTCCTCTCTGGCCATCTTGCTTTTACTCCTGTCTCTATTAGCCAGTCAGCCTCCTGTTGCATATTTCTATCTCCTAGAAATATCCATTGTGTTTTTCACCAGGATCTTAAGTATATAGAAACATAAACTCATCATTTTCTTTCCCTTTTTTCAAACCAGTTTTGCCTCTTGACTTCTATATTTTTGGTAAGAAAACTACCATTCATTTAGTGAACTTAGCACCAAACCTCAGTACCATCTGACAGTTTTCTCTCCTTCTCTGTGGATATCATTAAGTCCTAATAGTTTTACCTGTGTCATTCGTGCCTTCATTTTTATTCTTACTTTCTCTACTCTGGCTTTGCCTCTCATTAACTTGAACTACTGCTACCAAGATTGTATAAGTTGTTTTGTTTCTATTTTTCTCCATTTTTGACACACTTGGAACATCCTAAAAAACTTTTAGTCTTATTTTTATAAAGGAAAAGTTGTATTCGTCTCTGAGCTGAATATTTCAGTCTTTCCTCATGTTCTAACAAATATATTTTAAACTCCTCGGTATGGTAATCAGATTGTTCTAGTCTTCACTTTCCTTTGCTATGATATCTAGTCTGTATCCTGTGTTCTAGTTCCTTCTCTGTTATGATTGTCTCAGGTTTGATCCCAACTGTCTCTTGGTTCACCTCAACTATGGAGGACTTTTTCTATAAGAAGTTACTCTAATTTAAAAAGATATTTTAATAATTAAAATTATCTTTATCAAAGGATAAATTGTGCTTAAGTTAGTATGTTACTAAACATGGGACTGTGCATAAAGAGAGCTTTAAAATTCCCACAGCTGCTCCTCTACCTCCAAGGTTCTCAGCATAGACAGCGGCTTTTTATGGCCAAATAGAGGAATGCCTGTTAGGCATATTTATGCTGCATCCTTTTTGCACATCCTGAATTCATCCAGGAGAAGAAAAATGATGTGCTTCAATTGAAGTGGACCTATCGTTTTCTCTTGGCAGCCAAAGGAGGAGCAAAAAGTCCAGATTGTGTCCTTTATCTTGTAGGGATTGCGATGGTGAGGAGATATGAGGAAGAGGGGTAATAGCATCAGTTATCCCAGGGAAAGCAGTCCGTTTACTTGGGCTGGCATGTTTTCTCTTCAGATACTTATACAATTTACTTCCTCACCACCTCATCAAGTCTTTGTTCAGATGATCCCCTTCTCAATGAGGCCTGCCTTAATGACATCTAAAATTGCAACCTATTTTCCCTGGGCACTCCTAACCCCCTTTGCCCTGCTCAAGTTTTTCCTCCCATAGTGCTCCCCACCTCCTGACATTCTTCATGGTTTACTTGTTTATTATGATCATCGTCTGCTGTCTTTACTAGTATTTAAGCTCTATGAGGGCAGGTCTCATTGACTATTTCGTTATTACAATATACCCAGAATGATGCTGTAGTAGTAGGTGTTAGTAAGTGCTTAGTAATTATATGTTGAATTAAGTAACAAAATAACTTACTCAAAAAATAATTTTTGTCATGCCCTATATATGCTAAGAGCTGTGCTGGTGATGGGGACCTATAGTGGAAAACAAATAGATTTGGTCCTTACCCCCTATCTTGCTATCTAGCCAAGAAAGCCTACACCAACATTACAATAAAATGAGATGAGTGTTTTGTTCCAGGAACACTGTGCTACACAAGGGATCTCATGTAGGAGGTCACTGAAGACTTCCCTGAACAAATGACCAAGCTGAGACTTGAGGATGGTTAGGAGTTGGCCAAGTAAAGAATGACAGAAGGAGGATGCCTCTTCCAGGCATACTTTAAAGCATTACTGGTTGAAGGAATTGTAATAAGTCAAGTGGCTGGACTATAGAAAGAGGAAGGCAGGCTGGCCCTGCAAAAAGAGAGGCAGGGAAGAGGTTGAGAGGCCTTTCTAACTCCTTCTATGGAATTTTCACTTTTCCCAAAGGCCCGTGGATTCTCCGTATACTCTGCATTACCCCATGTAATAAAATGCTTTTCAGAATATGAACATCTTCCAGTTGACTTTGTTCTCCATTAGACTGGATAAATACTTTGTAAAGAAATATGCACTTGGTCAAAGTAACTCTAGGTATAATATCACATCTTTATTTTTAGCATTTGTGGCTGTGGAGCAGGCACAATTCTGGCCATGGTATGTTTGGTTTGGCATTAGCTAATACCTTGTTGTTTAAGTAATACTCAGATCTTGCTGAAAACAGCATAGCACATTTTAGCGTTAATCTCCAGAGTAATCAGATCAGTGACACATACTGGGGAAGCAAAGAAAATAGGCTTAGGAGGTATCAGATATCTTCGTTTGGTAAAGACCTACATTGATATGGGTTTCCTCTAATTATGTGTTAAGATTCTCCTGCTTTCAGTATATAGGCCAAAGTTCAGACCACATTATTGAGATAGGTAGAAATTTGCTTTAAACTTCCTCTTAATACTCTCCCTTTCATCATCTCTTCTTTTAGAGTTTCCTTATGGACACAGTAGTGTCCTGCTATTTTCTGGTTGCCTAGAGGAACACCCTACCCTCACTATTACATGGTATTATTGGATGTGCATCTAACCAATCTGTGCTTTCTGCCACTAACAAACTCAAAACTCACTTCTCTTTTGTCCCCTCCCTTTTGGGGCTTCCTAGGTGATGTGTCGTCTAATCTCTTGTAATGCTAATTCATGCTGATATCTTTATGACTACAACATCTCTTGGAAGTATTTGCATTTTAAATGATGAACTATGCATTAAATCAGTTTGCACTCATGAAACTTCAAGCTTCAGGGAAAAAAACTTCAAGCTAGAGCTGGGAAAATCATGTTGCTAAGGGAAAAATAAGAATACAAGGTGGGACTTGTAGTCCCTTTAATTTGATCCTTGCATGTCGTATATTTGGTCAGTTTCTAAGGCCTGTCAGTTTTCACAGATAAAAGATCACAAAAGCTTTACTCTCTTCTGAGTGTCTGTGGTCCCCTACACAAATTTGCAGGACTACTTAGTACTTTAGAGCACAAACATCAGTCTGGAGGTAGAGATGGAGCCCTTACTCATGATAGTCACAAAAGTTGATCTATTGCTTAACTTCTTAGAGACTTGCTTATATTTTTTCCCCTTTTTCTAAAATACACTTCTTTCTGTAGTATATTAAATAAGTGTTAATGATTGTCAAAGTATTTCAAAACTATGAAATGTGTATATATAGGAGATAGTAATTAAATGCTTCCTTTTAGAGTTCTAAAGATGTTTTTTGTATAAGATTTCAGATAGCTCCTCTGAAGAATTCCAGCCTATTGGAACCCAAATCCTGATGCATATAATAAAGTTTAAAAGGCTTATTTTTTATGTATGTAACAAGAACTCACCTTTATAACTTCTTACGTGAGTGAAGTAAAATTGTTCCATATAAGAGAAATGCATCCTCTCCAAATACAGCGTGCAGAAATAGCATCTGAAGATTTATTACAGAAACAAAACAAATGGTGCGCAATTAAAATAGGCATGTTCTCCAGGAAAAACATCCCCAGCAGGCTTCAAAATCCTGACTCTACTTTTGGATTTGTCTGGTCTGGTCTGGCATATATACCAAGAATCTAAAGTATTTTAGGGTGATGCAATTTTTTATTTCAGTGATCGTGATGATACGAGAAATCAAAGAGCACTTGGGAAAGTGTGATTCAAAGCTGGGACCAACAAGATGCAGTATCCATGGATGTCACTGACCTGGCTTCCCGCCATTATGGCCACCAATTATGTGTGTCTTTCACTGAAGCGTCAACCACACCTCTGCCATCAGGTAGACCATCTGCTCATGAGACTTGCCCATGTGAGCCTCGGTTGTTCATTCCCGGGTGGCTATTAATCAGGCAGCAGCTTGGGAACATTTCCAAGTGGCATTTTTGGCTGTTGCCCCTCTCTGGGCCTCTGGGGATCTTAGAATGGTCCATTCTCTCTATACTCTAAAGCCAAAACCAAAATCAAAACCAAAACTATTCCTGCCAGCAAGTCAATTAATTAAGAAATCAAGAAGGCCCTAACCTCCTTGAAAGATCAAGGAGAAACTTTTTTTCACTTTAAATAAAAGTCCAGATTTTGAAAGCATAAAACACATTGGCAGTCATTACAGTTTTCAAGCTGATGGCAATTCGATATTTTATCTCAACCTGTATCTTTTGTGTCTGCTATTTTGCCTAAAGGATTTCAAAGGGTGATACAGAAAAGCGGGAAAACAGAGAAATCAGCTAGATGAACTAGCATTACCTAAGGGAGGGTGTGCTGGCTTGGATTATTCCAGGTTTAGATTTGAATCCCAGCTCCATTATTTCTCAGCTGTCTGTCTTCTAACAACTTACCACCAACTTTTCACATGAAGTTTAGATAATGAGCATAAAGCATCTAACAAGAAAGTAAAGAAGATGTGCTTGTTCCACTTCTCCATTGGAAAGCAATTGTTACAGAGAGTCTATTGTGTAAACTTTACCAGTACCATAACTTCCCACATAGCTGAAGGTCAGATTTCTGCCACAGTAATTACCAGTGACAAAGCTATGAACACATAAGTTAGTTAAAGGATGAATGGGTTATCTTCTATAAAACTCATGTACTTCTCTTCATAGGATTAATAAAGAAAGCACTAACCCAGAGCCTAACCCAGATATATATGAAACGAAAATATTAGCTCAGGACCTCAGGTATAATAACATCAAAGAAAAACTAACACCAGCTGAGAAAGAACTTTATAGAAAAAACATGACACTAAATAGTTCAGGCCATTATTTTAGGAACAAACTGTGTTGCAATAGAATGATTATCTTGTGCCATTAAAAGAAGACTGAATTAGGTCTGGCATATTTGTTTTATAATATAATGCCATTAAGGGATTAAGATTTGAGCAAATAAATAGTTTTATCTGGGAAAATGTCATCTTTTGGAATATCACATTGACAGATTAAAGACATATTACTGTATTTTTTTTTACTTCTCAGTGACGGATAATGCCTTCCTACAGGTGACTGTTTTTAAAAAAATAATTCCCCTCTCAAATAATTATAATAAGTCAACAGTGTCTTTCAATAATTTTGGTGGGCTCAAGAATTAGCATGAGTGTATTATTGGTGTATTTTTATTTTATGAATTTTTCTTGTTATGGGATAGGGTTTCTTTCTACGGAACAAACATTTTTCACAAGGAGCTTTTCTTCTCACAATGCATTGAGCAAATTAACTGAGTTAGTTTCCAAGCCTATTACTGGTGGAAATTTAGAAAATTTAGACTGGGAAAAGTCAAGTTAATGCTGTGGAGACATGCACACGTAGATACAGAGGCAAAAAACCAAGCATGCCTTCTTTCAGCCTGTTTCTCTTACTACCATAGATCAAATGGTGGTATTAAAACTAAGATTTGAGGATACTCATTTTTAAAAATTATTATTTAGTCAAGGTAAGGTTTGGGTTTTGGGAGGAAGGTTAATTCTGAGGACATTTGTGTATTTAGCCGATAAGATTTCTGAATCCGATTTGTCTGTCTTCTTGGCAGATAGAAATTGGCAGTTTTCCTCTTTAGACATATGCTACTATATATTGCTATGACAAAACATATATGCAAAGGATAGAATGACCATATTATTGTGTCTCCAGGATGGTCCTGACTTATGCCTATGTCTTGGCATTTTGTCTGTTTTGTCATTTATTCAGCATTATTTTATTTTTAAAACCATTATCATTGATGTCAGATTAAAAATAAGCCAGGTTGAGTTCTACCATGTTCTCATTCAACAGTATGTGAGGTGCATGTATAGTAAGCAACACCCTTCCCTTAAATTGTGAATAAGCCAGGAAGATAACTATTGATAACCTGGCTCTGTTTTCCCCAACCCTTTCTGGAAGCAAGGTAGGTGACATGTCTCCTTCAATGACAGCATGGTCTCTGATAAAATAAAGCCCTTTTGGACATGAGCAGATAAGGAGAACTAATTGTTTCTGATCTTAAGTGGTGGTGGAGAAAGCTCTTGATGCTTCTGTTCCTACTGACTGGTTGGTTTTTCAACTAGTTGGGCTGTGGCTCATGCATGCAAGGTGCATAAAACCTTCAGGCCACCAGCATGCTGGGCCGGTAGGAATCATGGGAAATTATACATTATGTGTAGACGAAATGTCTGTGCATAGTAGAGCTTGAGCAGTCCTGCCATAGTGCATGTAGACCTTGATGTGAATATTACTGCTATAGTGAATTTGTCATTTCCTGCATGGTGTGAATCTGTACTTAAGTATTTGTTTAATCTATGCAGACAGAATTATTTCAGTTACTGGAGAAAGCTTACAACCTGAATGGCTTATAATTACAGCCCTTATTTGGTTTATCTTTCTTTCTGGAAGCTAAGTGAAATGAAAAAAAAAATACTTTGGGAAGGTTAAACTTATTAAAGCCTGGAGTTATAATTTCTATTCATTTGTCAAAGGAGTGATCAACAGATGGCCACAAATCTGAGGATCAGTTTGTCATTATTTGTTCCGTTGTTAACAATCTGAAAAAAATTTTAAATAAACTCATTTGGCACCAATTGGTTTTAAAAAATATATTTTAATGAAAATTTCAATTTCTCAAGTGATTAATTAGTAGGAATTATGTATAAAATGCTTATTGATATTTACCATCCACTAGGGGGGCAATAGTGATCTCAGTTAACCACATAAAAACCAAAGACACAAATCTGCTGAAGGAGCATCAGAAGCTGGTTGAAAAACCAGCAGTTCTGTTCAGAAGACTGGATGTGAAGAGGATGATTTAACACATGTAGCTACAGAAAGTACCCTCATCATCACTCTGTAAAGCCTGCCCTGTCATTTGGAATAAATGGCTGTTTTCCTGAATTAATTTAGCACATTTATTTTAGTTTTTTTGTGTGCAAGAAGTGAAGCAAGAACTATTAATGTGTTAGTTGTATTAGAAGAGTTTTATAAATATTTAATGGTGCTAGTTTTATGGAAGTGTCATTAGATGCTTAAAATAGAAAAGTCAATAAAGCAAATTCCAGTAATGCTTTATTTTCATTCCATTTATGGAATAAAGGTAAAAGTTTGGAAATGTTGAGGATAAAACATTTGACACTATTATAAATGCTACTGTGGATTCAGTTTAAAATTCAGACATGATGAT
Source organism: Homo sapiens (assembly GCF_000001405.40). Lineage (NCBI taxonomy): Eukaryota > Metazoa > Chordata > Mammalia > Primates > Hominidae > Homo > Homo sapiens. The sequence goes on from NC_000009.12 coordinate 18,041,535, forward strand.
TAAATTATTTGTTTTTGCCATAATATGGTTACATAGGCTGGTGGAGGACAGAATCATCATAAAAATCACCTTACTAAATTAAGAACTCTATGGAGCAAAAGGTTACTTGGAATTAATTTGTGGTGTGTGTATATTTAATAATTATTCCTAACCAAACTGATAATCTACCAGTTTTGATATTGTACCAATTGATATGAAAATCATGATTTTCAAAATTTATAAATATTTTGTACATACAGATTTAAAATAACTGATATCCCAAATCAGCTGAGGATGAAGTAAACAAAATGAAACAAGAAAACCCTTCAACAGAGTAGTACATACTTTATGTCTTTGCTATTCATACATCTGATTTTAGAAATGTTGGAAACTTTGTAGCATCTCTTTGCATATCAACCTGAGTGTCCTGAAATCATATTAAAATATTTTAAAATTGGTTACTTTAAATTTTGGTTATATATTGTTTCCAGTCAGTTGGGTGATGCCTTTGATCAAATTACTCCGTGCATGAAGTGCCAAAATTTCTACCCTTGAGGCTTTTAGTGAGTTGTAATTGCTGGGAAAAAAAAAAAAAAAAGCTTACGAACACTAAGAAAGTGGAATTGATAATTGATTTCTCCTAAAATGTGGGAAGAACCAGCCATGAAAGCTTAAGTGATGTACAAATTATGAAGCATAGAAATAGTTAAGATTCATATGCAAAAGTTTCCAAAGCTTGATTTAGGGAAAATTGCTTAATTTAGCAAATGTTAAAAATATTATAATACTAATTCTGATTGAATTTAGCAAGATCAATGAATTTATGCCTAAGAGGAAACTAAAAAAGAAATTTACTGAGTGTTCATTATATGCCAGCAACTTTCATGGACTATCTCATTAAATCCTCATGACAGCTCACTGAGATAAGTTAAAAAAGATCTAGTTGTTTTCTAGATGAAGACATGAGGGGTTGAGAAGTCAAGTAACTTGTCAAAATCCTCACTAATACATAGGATCTGAAACTAGATGTGCTCGATAACAAAGCTCACTTCTTCATTGCTACTCTATTCTGCCTCTGTTTAGTCAGGATCAAATTGAAGTTATCAGAGAAAGCTCTTATAACCCAAATGATTCACTGTTACAGCCCTTATTTGGTGTGTGTTTCTTTCTGGAAGCCAATCAAAATGGAAAGTTATATTTTGTGGAAATTAAACTCATGAAAGCCTGAGTTATAACTTCTACTCTGTAGTCTAAGAAGTGCCAAGAAGGTATACTCAAAAGTCTTGTAGCTCCATTTAAATCATGACTGATATGCAGTACAGAATGATGAGGTTGTGAGATGACATCCTCCCAAGTTTGTAATTGTCAAGACCTCTGCTTTAACCTTAGAAATTTGCCATCCAGGAAAAAATTCACGGGGGAACCTATGTAAATGCTTCATGATAAGAAGTAATTGAAGCCAACATTCATAGTTGGGCAATTAAATGAAGACTCCTTTGTAAGACAAAAAGTAAGGAAAAGAAAGTCATAAAACAGGAACATTTACACGCTAGAAAACTAAGAGGCTGAAACTGTGTAGTACAGACCAGTCTTTTTCAAACTTGCCACATGTCACAATTACCTGGGATATTTACAATGGTGTATATTTATATGCCCCACTGAGGACTGCAATATCTGAATGTGTGGCAGGGAGATCTGTGTGTGTTTTTTGGAGCTTCCGAAGGTGATTTTTTCATCAGCCAGGATTAGGAACTACTAGGCCAGAATACTCCCAAGCAACAGGAAGCTGCTGCACTTTGGTTAGTTGGGAAAAAATGCCCAAGAAAGTAGTGGATTTCCTTAAAAAATTTTTTGGGGGGATGTGTATACATTTTTGGGATATTTAGAACCAGAGGCAGCTTCCAAAGCAACTGGCCAGTTCAAGCTATTTTACCACCTGGGCTACAGTAAGCAAAAGATGATATTAGCTTGGTGCACAAGTTATTGCAGTTCATTGAAAATAATGGGAAAACTGCAATTATTTGTTCACCAACCTACTAGATGGCCTAGGCCTAACCCCTACCCCAGAGCCTGTGCTTATGGAGACGGGTGTTCCCTGACTTCTAGAGGGAAGATATGGCCAGCAGCAAAGGGCAGAAGACTACATTTGGCTTTTATAATCACATGAAAAATTGTAGTGAAAACACATTTATAATTTATTAATGCTATATGAGCAAATATTTTCAGCTTGTGGATAATACTTTTGCTAATAAAAAATAATAATTCTAGATTTTTGTGAATTCTCCTGAATTATACGTAGGTACAATGTATAGGGAAGGAATGTACTTTAGATATGGTGAGCTTTATTGGCACTACTTTATTTAGTAACCTGATGACTATCCTCTTTCTTCATTCCCCTTCATTTTTTGGTCCCTTGTAAAATTTCTAGTGAATTTCTACAACCATGCTATACCCCTCTTCATGGATGCGTGCCTTCCCATCTAGTATGTTACTTTCTATCATTTCCTCCTTGTGTCACCCTTGGGAACCATTGTTATCATTGTGATCAACAACAAATATTTTTTGAGCACCTGCTATGTGTAGGCTATTGCAATAGGTATAAAAATAGGTTTAAGTCATATTTCCTGTAGGGAATAGACTTTGATCTAGTTTGGTCAGAGGAAATTCACTAAGACCAAGTGCCAAGTGGCTAAGGACCAAACAGATGGTCAGAAAAGAGAGACTGCAGAGGACTAGGCAGATGCAGTGAGACATAGGTAGGGCTCATGTTGAGCCCTGAAGAGAAAATTAGGACTTCACCTGATAGAAATAAAGAGGCTATTGAAACACCAGCAAAGACACAGAGGCAGAGAAGGTGGTGGTGCCTTTGTGAAACTATGAGTGGACCATGTGGTGGGATGGTTTGACTGTTTTTCTTAAGGGAGAGGATATGAGTTGTAAGTTTGGGACCAGTCTTCATAACTCTTGGCCTGCGATTTGGTGTAGGGACTTGTAGGCGGAGGGAAATACTAATAATCTACTCAGATGATTGGATTGGCTTTTTATTTCTCCACCACTTCCTTTAGCATCTTACTACCAATTAGTGTGAAAAGATTCAAAGATAAGGAAAACAGTGGATATAGATACATTTGAGTTCAAACTGCCAGGTGAAGCCAGAATATTCAGTGATCTCAGTTCTAAAATTATAGAACCAGAGACTTTTAGGGGCACTTGCAAATATTATTTAGCCTTTTCATTTTACCTTATCTGGATTTATCTAAGACAACACAGAAAGTTATCAGCAGAGTCACACCTAGAATACAGATCAGTTGGCTACTGGTGTATAGGTCTTTTCTCTGCGAAGTATGGCTCTCTGGCTCTCCTGTACTATGCAATATTAGAGAGTTTTATTCTTTTTCAATTACCAAATTATTAATTGGAAGGACTCTGATGCACTTTTATTCCTAAATATGTTTCATTATTGATTTTAAATGTAAACCAGTTGAGAATAGAGGCCAAAGCCCTGTAGTGAGACTTAGGATCCAGAGTTCCACTGTAAACTCTGCCTTCTGTTAGCTTATGTATCTTAGGTGACTTCCATGACCTCTCTGGGGCTCTAGTTCCTCATCAGGAAAGAAAGGAGGTTCTATTAGAAGGACACTAACGTATATGAGTCTTTATTTGCTTTGAATTTAATAGTTTTCATGTCAGAAATATTACTTGCCAGAAAGTAGGATTATATCACAACTGAGTATATGTAGTTTGAGAATCACAAGATTTCTTCTCTGGATACATGTATACTGATGTGGTTGGTTATTCAACTACTATTCAAGTAATTCTTGAATCAGCAGTTGGAGTTGGCATGAGTGAGTGGGAGCACCAATAATTGTGGTTCTGAAGTCTTAACACAAAGAAAGTGATTTTGCCTTCTTTTGCTGACTCTAGGCAAATTTAGCAAGAAAGAAAAAAATCTGTAGAGATGGTTTTGACTAAAACTTGGCATTATGTTTTAAGTCTGTCTACAAAGATACCCATTCATGATCAATGAATGCTTATTAAATTAGATGAATGGGTAGGTCCCAGAGGGAATTTCATTGCCCAAATACAAAAGCACTGCCCTTCCATAGAAATTCTCACATATAGTGATAGGCCATAGCTTTCGGCAGTGAATTTAACTCTATTTTACCCTCACATTGTCTAGTCATCATTTCCATGGATCAGGCTATCTGGCTTGAAAAAAAAGCCTTGAGTTGTTTTCTTTAAGAAAAAGTTGTGTGGCCTTTTTCTACTCTAAGTCCTGATACTCACTTGGTGCCTTTATTTTCTGTGTGACAGTGACACAACAAAGTTCCAATATATTAACATTTTCATCTCAATTGACAATTTTGGAGCAAAAAAAATTTCCCTGTTCTAAAGAGACAGAGATAGACAGAGGGAGACAGAAAGGGTAAACACTGAGATATTGAAGAAGCCGTTTGTAATTAAAATATAAAGTACTGGTTTCTCTGGGAGGAAGGAATCTGTTCCTAGCCATTGTGGAAAGAATTGTCTTGTTCCTGGATGATATATTTTGTTCTTTTTTAGTTTTCTAATCTGTGAAAGCAAAACCACAGTGGGATTTTAAGGGAATGGCAAGTTGAGGCTAAATTGTGAGAGGCATATATAATAAAGGAAATTATGAGTAAAAAGTACTAGTTAAGATATAGGCTTGAGTGCTGTAATGCAGAGACTCAAAACAAGAGCGACTTAAATAAGGCAGCAAGTTGTTTCAGTCTTGCTACTAGGCATGATTTCTTTACCACAGGCCTTTTCTAGCTTGTTGGTCTGCCACCTTTAATGCATGGCTTTCATCTAGCTGTTCAAGGTGGCTGTTCCAGCATTGCTCATCCCACATACATTTCAGTCAGCAGGAAGAAAAGTAAAGAGGCATATAAGCCCTTTCCTGTTAAGGACATGACCAAAAAGTTGCATTATCAACCACTTCTATTCACATTTAACTGGCTAAAATATAGTCACCTGGTTACATCTAGCTGCAAGGGAGTAGTCTTTCATTTGGTGACCATGTGTCCAGCTAAAAATTGTTAGTATGTTAGAAAAGAAAAGGAGCAGTCTCTGCCACAGGAAATAAAATTTGTTTTTGAATCCCTGTACTCTTAACTATTTATATTAATAATGATGGAAACTATAATAATAATTATACAATCTACCATTTATTGAATTCTACCTGCTTCATTACATTTTATCCTATGTAATCTTACAACAACCCTAACAAGGCAAGTAGTTATGTTACAGAGAAGAAAATCAAGGCTCAGAAAATATCATCAACAACCTCAGACACATATCTAGTAAATAGCATCTTTGGAATTGTAGGTAAGTTCTCTGATTCCTGGAGGTCTCTGAAGTCCAAGATAAAGAGACTGAATTTTCTTCTGCAGTATGTCAGCAATGGAACTGAAGAAAATTTAATGAAAATTAGATCAGGGATGTGTGTGGGAGTTCAGATGCATTGTAATGTGGAGTAATGGAAGGCAGAAAAATGGCTTAGAAGATGACTACATAGGATAATGGGGCCTTAAATTGACAAGGGTGAAAATAAAAATAAAAGGACTAATTCAGGAGATGTTACTACAGAGCACTGTATGAGTCTAGAAAGAAGATGGAAACTACACTAGTTATTTGCACACAGAAAATATAAAGAAATGTTAACTAGGTATAAAATTAGTAACTAGATAATGAAAATGATTATTAATTAGTTAATAAACAGTGAAGTCTAAGGTAGTGGCTTTCAACCCAGGGTAATTTTGCCACCCCAGGGAACATTTGGCAATGTCTGAAGATGTTCTTGGTTGTCACAACTTGGTGGGGAGATGTTGTTGGCATTTAATGGGTAAAGGACAGGTATACTGCTAAACATCTTTACACAGGACAAGCCTCTATAACAAAAAAGTATGCAGCTTGAACTGTCAATAATACCAAGGCTGAGAAACATTCCTCTAAGGTATCAGAAGGTAGTGACTGCAAGAAGCAGCCATCCCTAAAATTTAGATAAGTGAAGGGGTCTTGTGGTGCTAAAACTTAGACCTCTAAAGAGGGGGCATTTGTTGGCTGATGCTGAGGTCTTGGGGGTGGGGTGGGGTGATGACACTGGTTCTGCTCATCGTTTTAGAACCTGTAAACTGAACCCAGCTGATCAGAGACACTTTAAATTGGCATGCTGGTATATAAACAGACATTGAACGCAGGCAAAGAAGAATAAAAAAATGATTTTGAAGTCTAATGCTCAGTTAGCGTTAATACTGAGAGAAGTATTTCGCCAATTACTTGGTCTGGGGAAAAAGATGAGTTCAGTTTTAGTTTGTTGACTTCCAGATGGAATCATCCAACAGGCAGTAGGGAGGATTGCAGAGGATAGGGACTGAAGATAAAGATCTGAGTCCTCCACCCAGAGGTCAAACTTGAAGTCCTAAGAGGAGATGAGATCAGCAAGGGAGAAGCTGTGGTGAGAAGAACAAAGTGTTGAACACTTAACTGTCAGAATTGCCCCATTTAGGGACAGGGAGTAAACATTTGACACTATGCTTCTGGCATCATTATCTTGGAAGAGTTGTTAGATTTTTGATTTAGAAATGTTGCAGCTCTGATGTTGACTATTCTATTGTGTCATGGTATGTACTAGGTTATTATGGGCTTATCTTTGGGCTATTCTTGAAAAACAGTTTATTTTTTCATCAACTCACATTTTGTTTATTTGTAGTTTGTAGTCTTTTGGTGGATCTATTCTGCTTATGTTTCCTTTATATGAAATGCGTGAATTATATTGCTTCATCTCACATAGAAATTTAACAAAAAACAGGTGAAATTCCAGTTGGTTTTATGCACATTGTCACTGTTGTGTCCTGGAACAGAAAAAAATACATTAGGTAAAAATAAGAAAATCTGAGTAGAGTATGGGCTTTAATACTGCTATATAGATAGTGGCTCATTAATTGTAACAAACATACCATATATGTAAGATGTAACGTTCACATATTGCATAACATGTAAATGTAACATGGGAGATGTTACTAATCGGGGAAATTGGGTGTGAGATATATGGGGATTCTCTGTACTATCTTGGTAATTTTTCTGCAAATCTAAAATTATTCTAAAATAAAGTTTACTTAAAACATAGATTTTATGAATGGTTGGGGTTTGACAGCCAGAAAGGTGTCTATACCAGACATCGTGAGTTGCTTTCCTTCGTCCTTACCAGCTTTGTTTATAATATCTTCCATCTTGCACATAGTCATGTGCTTCAGGAAGACTGTCCAGCCCCAGACAGTCCATCCCATATGTCTATTACTCAGGGCTGCTATGGCAAAGTACCACAAACTGGGTGGTTTAAAACAACAGAAATGTACTTTTTGACAGTTCAGGGGGCCAGAAATCCAAGATCAAGGTATCAGCAGGATTGTTTTCTTCTGGAGGCTTTGAGAGGAGGATCCAGTCCATGTGTCCACTCCCCTACTTCCGGCAGTTGCTGTCATTCATGGTGTTTCTTGGCTTGTAAATGCATCACTCATCTTCACACTGCTGCTTTCTCTGTGTCTCTGCTCTCCCTCCCCTTTCTCTTATAAGGACACCAGTCATGGGTTTATGGAAGATTCAGGATGATCTCTCTTAAGATCCTCAACTTCATTACATCTACAAAGACCCTATTTCCAAATAAGGTCACATTCCCAGTTACCATGGGTTAGGACTCTGACATACCTTGTTGGGAGACACAATGTAACTCATTACATAGTTAAAATTAATAATAGTGGCTAGTGATCACTTTCATCCTCTACCAGTGGTGATTTTCAGCATGAAAATTTGTCAGAATTCTGGCCAATGAGATGGAAAGGAAAGTTTGCTTGGGGTTTTCTGGGAAAGGTTTCCTGGCTTTTAAACATTTATAAAGGGTAAAGAGCCTCTCTTCTTTCTTTGGACATCGGTATGTCTAGATAAAATGACTGGAGTTACACTGCCATCTTATAACCATGTGAGGATTTTGACCGATGATAAAGCCACTTTATGGGACCAGCAGAGCCCAGTGGTAGAGTCCTGATGGAACTAACTCTGAGGCTTCCTGTCTTCGACTTCTTATTCTTTTTTTTTTTTTTCTTTTTTTGAGATGGAGTCTTGCTCAGTCACCCAGGCTGCAGTGCAGCGGTGCCATCTTGGCTCACTGCAAGCCCCGCCTCCCGGGTTCACGCCATTCTCCCGCCTCAGCCTCCCAAGTAGCTGGGACTACAGGCGCCCACCACTGCGCCCAGCTAATTTTTTGTATTTTTAGTAGAGATAGGGTTTTACCGTGTTAGCCAGGATGGTCTCGATCTCCTGACCTCGTGATCTGCCTGCTTCGGCCTCCCAAAGTGCTGGGATTACAGGTGTGAGCCACCGTGCCCGGCCCGGACTTCTGATTCTGTGGGATAAAAGCACCTTCATTTTGTAACACATTTATTTGAGTTGGGAACTTCTGTCACTTGCAGCCACAGGAAGCACAACAGATACCATATCTATGTTTACATATTCCTTGAAAGAAAGTTTAATGACTTTAGTCATCCAGTGGAAAATGTTAATGTTTGGATTTTCTTACAACCTAGTATAATACTGAATAAAAATTAAATTTTATGGAGTTAAAGTCTCATTATATAGAAGACATAAAATGTCCTGCTTAAACTATTCATGATTAAAATAAAAATTTGGTATCTTAAGAATTAACTAGTAGATTTTGATATAACAAATTCTTTATGCTCATTTTTAAATTTTCTGATAAATGGGTATTCCTTTCTAAAAGTAAATAGAGACTAATAAAATACTTGAGTTTTTTATATATCTATATCAAATTATTGAATACTTGGGTTGGAAGTCAGTAATATGCTACCTTCCAAAAGTGACTTTTTAATAAATATTCCCTGTAAGAAAAATAAAAAAATTATTATCTAAATGAATCTAGCATCAATTCAGATGCCAAATCTCTAAATTGGTCCAGCTGCTTCCATATTGAAAGTATCTCCTTATTTCATCAAAATAAGCTCTGTGTGAATAATATTGAAGCTTGAAATGGCCTTTTTCTAAGTCAGAGTGTTGTGAAAGAAATGCTCTTAAGAATTCTAGTCTTTTGTAAATCTATTTAAGTGTTGATTTTCAGACTTATTTTATGGAAGTGTGCACTTTTTTGTGATGTGTCACTCCTTTTGAGACCCAGAGGGAAATCTAAAGTCACAGGTGGGGATCTGACTCACTTAATATTTAGGGGGAAACATAAGAGATGAGGCTGCCTTCCCATGGCAGAATGATTAGGGTGCCATGTTTCCATGTCAAAAAGCTTGTTTTGGTAAAAAAAGGAAATCCTTTTCAAACCTTGTGTTGGTGATACTACCATTGCATGTCAATTGGATTGTGCTGTGTCCTGTATACACCCTGCTACTTTACACCAGTGCAATTAGAATCCATTCTAATCAGTGCAATCACTTTACTTAGTCCTTAAAATATCCAGACTATATGGCCGGGTGCAGTGGCTCACGCCTGTAATCCCAGCACTTTGGGAGGCCAAGGCGGGCAGATCATGAGGTCAGGAGATGGAGACCATCCTGGCTAACATAGTGAAACCCCATCTCTACTAAAAATACAAAAAATTAGCCGGGTGTGGTGGCGGGCGCCTGTAGCCCCAGCTACTTGGGAGGCTGAGGCGGGAGAATGGCGTGAACCCAGGAGGAGGAGGTTGTAGTGAGCTGAGATGGTGCCACTGCACTCCAGGCTGGGCGACAGAGCAAGACTCCATCTCAAAAAAAAAATTATATATATCCACACTATATAACATTATAGACTGATCATCACTTGCTGTGTTGTAAGGAAGCTGGTAGACTGTGTGGGAAGGAGTCTTCCATGAAGGGGAAGGTAGGAATACTTGGAATATTTGTTGGACATTTCAGAGGCATGTGTCCTGTTGGGCTATATGGTATCAGCCCCTAAAGTTGGGTCCTCCTCAGAGAAGGAGAAAAAAGGAAAGATACAGACAACTTTTTAAAACTTTTTTTTTTTTTTTTAAATACAAGGAACTCCAAGATTAAGTGGGTATTCTGCAAATACAGTTAGGCTATTCATTTTTTATTTACCATGTAAATGGCACATGCCTATCCAGTTATTATCAGTCTTACTCATGGCACAAATGAAACAGATAAGAAGAAGCTCCTGTTATGAAGCTTTTGTAAAGAAGAGTGACTTTGTCAGAATTTTGGTTCACATCTGCATTCTGACACAGCGATGCCATTTCTCTCTCTGTTGGTTTGTGATACCTTGTCTGCTTAAACAGATGCTGAGTAGACAAAAAAAAGTAGGTGACCACGTCAAAGCTGTAAGGTGATTTTACTTTGGTTTGTGCTCTGTTTCTTTGGTTAGAAGTGTTTCTTTCACTTTATTGGTTACCTGAGTCTGTGGATATAGGGAAGCATCATGGAGTAGTCATTAACAAATTTCTCTTTTCTTGACACTTTGTTACAAACATCTTTGAGGAAGTTCAAGATATAAACAGATCAAAGTAGAGCTCCTATTTTTAGAACAGGCAGAGTGCAAGTGCAGAAGGGTCCACAGTCTTCACCTTCACCTTGTGAAAATCATTGTCATACTTCTATCAGTCAATGAGTCAGTCAACAAATATTTATCCAATAATTACCTTTGCAGAAGTGGCCCTTGCCTGTCTGGAGCTTACAGTCTAGACCAGAAAGCAGGCACTAAACACATCACACAAATAAATACATACTTTCACACTTAGGTAAATGCCCTGAAGTGAAAGAATGAGCTACTAAGCTAGTGAAAACAGGGTACTTACTTTAGGTTGAGAGGTCAGAGAAGGGTTTTCTGGGGTAGTGACATTCAAGCTGAGCCTTAAAGAATGAGTAAGAGTTGAGCCAATGGAGAGATGGGGGAGAAGGTTCTAGGCAGAGAAACCAGTGTGTGTGAAGCCGCTGAGAGTGGACGAATTTGCTGCTATTAAGAGATTTGGGGCCAGAGAGCCCTGGCCTAGACTTTGCTTGGCAGCTCTGTGCCTCCCATCAGGCTGTCTACTTTGTGCCTCAGTAGCCTCAGTTGAAATGTGAGGCCAATAGTACCCCCTAACAGTGTTGTCCTGAGGATGAAAGATGATTTCATAAAGCAATGGTGCAAAGTAGAAACTGTATTAAAAACAGCATCATCATCATTCTTTTTTATTTTACTATTTTAGGAGTCTTTTTAATGTTTTATCTTAGTTAACCCAGCTGTGTTTTGTACTAGAGTGGGGGTGGGGGTGACATGTTTTTGGAAATCAGAGCAGGAAATTCTCTGTACATTTTGAAAATGATTAGAATCAGCACAAACCAAAGTAAAATCACCTTTACAGCTTTGACATGGTCACCTACTTTTTTTTCTCTAGTAGGTTTGAACATGGGGCTCCAATTTAGAAATGGGTTGTCTTCAAGTTTCATCCTTTCTGTTTCCTCAATCTTTAAAGTAAACTTGAGGGCAATGTATTATTTCTTTGATTCTTGCCTTTGTAATACTGGGTCAAAATCAAAATCCATAAAGCTAAAGGAACACACCAAGTGTGGAGTTCTGTTCTTGCACTGCTGTGGGAAAATGAGATCTTTGAGCTTGAGAACTTTTTGCCTGAGAATGCAGGTTGGACTTCATGGAGAAGGGTCTTCAGGTGGGCAGTGACACTTGGGGTTAGCACTGCTCTGATGAGTACAGTACCTGCTCTGGATTATGATCTAGATCTTATAATGAGGCAAAGAGGACAGGAGACAGAGGAGACATACCTGTCATTACTCATTATATTGCACTTTCATTCTCTCTCTCTCTCAAAAAAAAATACCCTTGGGAATTAAAAAAATGTTCATACTTTTTCACAGTAAAGAGATTAATGTATTTCTAGAAATTATATGAAAATTGGTTCAGTATGTTTCACATGTGACAATCTCTTAATTTTTAAAAACAAAGTCCATTTTCTGATTTCATGAAAAATTGTGTATTGTAATAATCACACAACATATTCCACCTTCTTAATTGCCAACCTTTCTTGTCTCAGTCTGAATACATTCATTTGAATGTTGCTTGCCCAAGTCTTTCTGTTAATAAACAAAACAAAGCAGAAATCTCGAAAAGCCACTATGATCATCTGTCACTCCCATGTTACATTCATATATTAATTCTTTGAATAAATATTTACTGACCACTCACAATGTACCAGGCTCCGAGTTTACTGAGCACTCTTGATGTACCAGGCTCCGAGGAGGCTTCAAGGATAAAACACAAGCAAGACCCTGGTAACTCTTGGTGTGTATCGTCAAAACCCTAACAGATATCAGGCAATGTCTTTTGAAGTAAAGGTGTTGTTTTGTTTTTTCTTTTATTGTTGGTGTGCACCTTTCACTGTGTAGGACATCTGTATCAACGTTTTGATGGTGTTAAAAGTACAGAGTGATGACGTACTGCTTCTCTTTTTTTTTTCAGAATATTTCAGTAGCCTGTGCAGTTCTGGTTATAAAAGGACATAGATGCTTACATGATAGAAACTACTATAATTAAAACTATTTGCCCATATCTTTTATAAAGCATAGTTTTCTGATTATACAGGAAATATATGTGTGTGTCTATAGTTATGTATGTGTGTGTATGTATGTGCATACATTTGTACGTGTATAAACACAGACATACATTGTAGAAAATTGAGAAACCATGTAAAAGCCCAAAGAATAAATTTACACGCAACCCTACCTCTGAGAAAACGTCTATTCAAATTTTGAATTACAGCTTTTCAATTTTTTCCATTTCTAAGAGTTTATTGCAAAGAACTAATTAGAAAACTTTATTAAGTCCTATGCCTAACAAAATGGATTGTAGTATTGCTTCTAATAGCCCAAAATTTGAATCAGACAGTAACAAGTCAGAGTCATTCAAAGTTTGGCCCAGTTTCTGCTTTTCATTATTCTGTATATAGGTCTGTATGTGTGTTGGAGTGGTACTAACATTTATTTAAGTCTTTCTTACATTCTAGGTCCTATTAGGCCAGGTCGACATGTTTTCTCATTGAATTATTCCATCCACCATCGGGGGGCTAGTGACGGTGTTATAACCAGTTTACAGTTAAAGGGACCTTGAAGCTCAGAAAGATGAAGTGACTTACTCATGGTCCTTCAGCTAATAAATGAAAGAGTTGGGGTTACATGTACTTCAATAATATTTTTTAAACCCTTTTATCAAGGCTGTCTTTTTATTATCTAGAGAGTTCCATATATTTCCAGATGCTTGACAGGATGTGGATAAATTTAAAAATTGACATTATTTCCCTTGGGGGAGGTGCTTGGTAATGTGTGAAGTTCCCCTGCCCCCGCAATCTTTTTGTAGAAGTAGTACTGAACTGGTCCAACTATTTATTTGGAACTTCTTAGAAGGCCAGTTATTTTGACATTAGGGCATGCTCCCTTCCCCAGCCGGTGCTCTAGAGAGAATGGATTTCCGGAGTGGGTGGCACAGGCAGCCATCTCACCCTGCCTGCAGCTCTGCCACAGCACTATGCATTCCCTGAATGGACTGGGGCATGCACATGGTCTCTGCTGAGTGATTTTCCTAAAAAGCATAATGAAATTACAGCACTTGGTATCTTAAACAAGATACTAAAGTCTGTAGTAACAGTGCTCTTTTTTAGCACCTATTCATAGTCAGTTTAGTAAAAGCAGATACATAGCTATCCTTACAGACTGAGTTGTAAAATATAAGACCTTGGGCCTCACAAACAGACTGGTTTCATTGACTCTGTTTTCAAAGCATTTGTTTATAATCATCTTACTTGTATTACCTTTCCTCCATGTGGTAAATGCTGCCACACCCCCATCAAAGGAAGTGTGTAGAAGTAGGGTCAATCTCCTTGTCCTTTTGTGCATTAAAGTCTTCTCTTGGAAACTATAAAGGCTATTCTAAAAACCCTTCTATAAACTATAAATAAGCCCCTAAGATCTACTTGAATGTCAATACATTAAATGCTTAATATATGTACATAGACCAAAGTGATGTTTGCTTTTCTATGGTTCCCTTCTAAAATTCCACAAAGTCTTTCAAAGTAACAACCACGAGGAGTCGTAAGCACATGCTTCATCTATATGTCACCTAATCGCAGGGGCGCTGTGTCTTAGAGTATGCCGTGCATAAAATCACTGGATCTGCACATGCCTCCAGCAGTTTAGGATATTTATGATAGAGAAGAAGAATGAGGTAAATTAGGATAAAGCTCTGGTTTTGGCTTTAAATTTCCTATATTTTACAAGTCCAAGTTATTCGTTTGCCATGCTGTCAAGGTTTAATATTCAAAATATGGGCTTGAAGCCCCTGTGAGGCCAATCAGCTATTAACTATGCTTTCAGGTTTAGTTTTTAAAGAGTTTAAAAATACGCTCATTAATTTGAATTGCTACTATTGCAACATCCATTTTTTGAAAATTATACTGCCTGAGCTATTGACCAGATAACCATGAGCAAAAACAGTTTCCTGGGATCTGCTGTACAGGTCATGAATCTCTTTTGCTCCCTTTATTCTATAAGGGGAAAGAGGCCTTAGGAACTGTTAGATTTTTAGAAAGGGTGATTTTTTTTTTCTTTCAGCAAAAGCTTTTTTTTTTTTCCTCTGCCCTTCTCCTCAAATATCAATATCCAAAAAAGCATTTTCTTATTTTGGAAGAAAGAGAAAGACAAAGCAATTTTTCCCCTAAAGGTATGAAATGTTAATGTGGAAGGAGAATTTTTAGTGAAGAAATCTGAGTTTCTTCCTTTCTGATGCTGGAGGCAGGGTTGGATTCATTTAGTATGTAATGGCTTAGACAAGAGCGTGTTTCAAATCCTGAGCCTCCAGTTATGGCTCAACCGGGGCTCTGCACAGCAGCAGCTGAGAAGTTAATGTTACCCACAGCTCTTCTCCAGAAAGCAGATGAGTAATTCCACCTTCAGAGGGTGACCTGTTGGCACTCCCTTGCTCATCTCGGTATAAACAACACATAGGGAGACGGTTATTTGTTGGCGAGGTATATTTCTGTGGGAGGTAGGGAGCAAAAGAAGAGGCAATAAAAAGAGACTTAGATAGTTGAAAACTACAAATCTCAACATGGCAAGCATTCAGAGCATGGTAACTGGCCAAAAGAGGAATCTTAAGTGCACAAAAGTGCCTGATCTCTCAGACCCTTCAGGTAGAACCTCAGTGGGGTAACGTCCTGCTACATTTCCCCAGCGCATTCTCTAGACCTCAAAGAGGAACCCACTCTGGGTTTCTGCCCAACTTCTCTCCCTGCAGTGCCCTTCACAGACCTCTCTTCAGTGCCTCTTCCTCACTTTTCATTCATCTCCTTTAACATGTTTTTTTCAAGACTGGAGCCTTAAAATATTAGACCTTGTCAGGACGGCAAATGCAAACCAGACAAACCACTACTGCACTACTGTTCAAAATGTTTGATTATCCTTTTAATTAACCAGGAATTCCTCCCTGCAAAATAGCTTTAAGGGGCATCTGGAAACATCCAGCTAGGCTTTACGTTGTCCTGGTGAAGGTCAAAGTTGCACACTAGGTACAGCAGAGACCTTCCCACTGACAGGCAGGTAGCGGTTTTTCTAGTATGTGGTCTTTTCTGAGACCTGCAGAGACCACAGACTTTGCATTTGCCACAAAAAGAATTACTGTGCACTCACGGTTTTCCTGTGTGTGGAACTGATGTGCAATATTGAGTCAGACGATTTTTCCTTTCATAATGAAAAATCCTCTAGAAATAGACAATTATTTCCCTATCTAATTCATTTTGGGGAAATTGGCTATGGGATGCTAAAGAATGATTTTATAAACATCATCAGAAATAAAAAAGTTTTTAATGTGAAAAATTAGTTCTGTTCTCCCAATATGAGTGTTAGAAGTTTATTTGTAAAATGACTGTGAGGACCCATGGAAAGTTGGCAACAGGGGGACTTGCAAATTTCCTTACCCTAGCTGAGGGATATTTGTGACTAGCGTTACAAACAAGGGAGAAATCATATTGGCAAATTTAGTACTTGGTTAGAACGAGTTTTTTAAAATGAAAATCTGACTGTGGGCTGACCGTGGCCTATGGGTCCTGCATCACCCAGACCAGTCCAAAGTCAGAGCTTGTCACCACCACCCATGTTCTCTGGGCTCCAGCCATACCTGCTGAACTCACCAAGCTCTTTTCTGCCTCAGACTCTTTGCACATGCTGTTCCCTCTGCCAATAATGAGCTTCCTAGCACTCGTCTGGCTAATTCTTACTCATTCTTTAGGATTGAGTTTTAATGTCACTATTTGAAGCTGACCATCTTCTTTGAACCCCTAGTCTTCTTTAGGTCTCCCTATTATCCATCTTTGTTACAATATTTCTTCCTAAGAGCACTTATCTCAACTGTGAATGTGTAGCCATCTGGGAGGTTATCATTGTCTGCCTGGCTAGGCTATAAGTCAGCAGGGAAGGGTAAATCTGCTTCCTTGTTCATCATTGTATCTTCAGCACCTAGTACATAGGAGTATCTAAATAAATATTTGCTAGCCAGATAGGTAAAGGAGTGGATAGATGGAAGAATGAATGGTTGAAAGATTAAATGAATGGAAGAATAAATGAAAGAATGCAAGAGTATTTTGAGTAATCTAGAACATTCTTTTGGTTTTTACACAATAAGGAATCTCAGTCAAGTCAGCTTATTTTATAAGATCAAGAGATAAATCTCCTCATCCCTAGAGAGTGTTCTGCCAGATGCTAGAGAAATCTATCTGCTGGGTACCTAAATATAAGATTTCTACCAAGAGAAGAGACCAGATGGGCACACTGCCTTCCTGGAAATCTTTGTTTAACATATAACTGCCATGTTCGCTTTAGTCTTTGTCCTAATCATAAGATTAATCATTGAAGATAAATATTACATCGCATTGACATGTATACCATTTGTTACATTTCAGAATATCATGCACCAATGTCATAAATATTGTGAGCATATTTTTTTTTTCAATGATTATAACTATAAACGAGGATCTGGGGATGAATGGAATTTCACTGATAAAATACAGATACTGGCATTTCTCACATAAGAAAAACTGTAAAATCCCATACTTTTGACCCATGAAATAGGTCTCACTGATTCTTTCCCTAACTGAGAAGTCTTTGTCCTTATGTTGTGAATGCACAGAGAGACTATATTAAAACATTTTGTCTGTACATCTATTGTGTCTCTACACCATTTTCTTTTATGAATAAGCCAAGCAGGGATGTTTGCCTCTCATAAATCTTTTACAAGAACAATTCCAGTAAAAGAAACCACAGATGTTACTGCCAGTTTAAGTTTCTAACAAACTGCTCTGCCAGTCCCACATGAGCTTCTACATTGAAAGCCTGCAGTACTTGGAAATTTCATGGATATTCCTGTCTTTTAGCTTTGGAATTTTTACCAATCAGAAAAGCACATTCTCATTTAAGCCTAAGCAATCACATCATGCTTAGTGTTTGCTTAAGATTAACCTCTGTTACTTTGGTCCTATCCAGTATCTTGCCCTTCTTTGCTTCTTTCTTTCCAAATATCCCCAGTTTTCCATCAAATTCTGTGCTGCAATGATTTGGAGGGTATCACAGACACGAACTCCTGGTATGAAATGTGGCCCTCATCACATTGTCTCTCCTCTGAGTAAGTTACTTTCACTATCGGACTGTTAACTCCTTGCAAAGGTAGGTTTCATGTCACCTTTGCATTCTTCAGTGCTTGTGTTGCAACTGCAGTCTTGATAGTGCTTGGTGTTTGTAGAATTAAGATAAATCGAGTATCATTTTTTTGGTTGAGTCATTTTTGATAATTTCATGTCATGTATTTTGTGAAATATTGGAATGTGTATAAAATTTTTGCTTCTTAATGTGGTGGGGAAAATGGTGATTAGGAAGCTGGCATATTCAAGCCTGGTAACACTTTGGTGTATATGATCTATATTACAGTAAAATTTATCATATGACTTTGATAGGCCTTAGGGGATAATGGATTTTTTCTCACAGACAATGATAAAGAAGTGAATGGTTTTATACACACATTATCACTTGTACACACATACCACTAGGTTCAAGGACTATGGATAAAAGCCAGTACAAAGTCTACTCTTGAATGATTGCTCTTGACCTTGTACAATCTTACCCGGGAATGTTTGTGTATCCCATGTTTTTATTCTTTTTAAGCTATAAAAGTGGATTTCTACCTCACCTCATTAAATTTTGAAACATGGCAATTTAGAACTAAATAAGAATGAATTTGGCTTTTTTTTAAGGCTGTCTTATAAATCTTATTTAGATACCATTTTAAGTTCTCTTTATGTGCATTTTTGTTTCTGTTGACTCAAAAGTCCTTAACAAAGTTTTCTTTAAAAAAAACTTCAATTTTATTTGTACTTGATTAGATAGTACAGTCACATAGTGTAAAATTTAAGAGGTACAAAATAGTAGATAGTAACATAGTATAAATATCTTTTTCCCTAGCTACCCAGTTGAGCTCCTTGGAGTTAACCACTGTTGTGACTTACCTATCCTTCCAGAGTTGGTTTATTCTTGTGCTTGCTTACACATACACACACATTCCACATATATGTATATGTGTATGTACCTAAGGATGTATTTTTTAAGTGCAATTGGCAGCATATCATATACCCTACTTTGTACTGGCTTTTACTTTAGTGTATATGTCTAATCCTTTCTTTTGCCTGGATCAAATATTTGTTTTTACAGTGACTTTCCATTTGTGGGGTCACGTGAATGTTTGTTGCAGGTTTGTTCAGTTATACTGTAGGCACCTCAGATAAGCTGTAAAACAACCCTATGGGCTAAGGTATCTGCAATATTTTATTAACTTCATTTCAAAAGTAAATAATAAGCTGGCTTCTGTCCACTGAGGGTCAGAGTCTGTATGATTATCCTTCCAGCTTCAGCTTCTGACATGTTGGGCAAGACTAAACATAAAGCCAGTTGAGTAAGCTGCCTATAGGAATTTGGCAAAGAAACAAGAAATGTCTATCATTTATTTCTTATTATGCTCTGCCTACTTAACAACAAAACAAAAACCATAAAACAATAAACACTTTTATTTTCATTTCTGACGATGACCCTACTGATTTTAGTCAGGTTAACTACTATTAATAATTCGTCTCACCACTGCCCCCTATCCTGAACTTTTAGAAATTCTCAGGTTCTCTGTTTTTAGAATATGCTTCATCACAATTTTATGTTAAGAATCAATGTCATTGCTAATCTTTTTGCATATTCAGTATATATACACATTACTTATTAACTTTTTGGATTGTCCTTGCTTTACCAGAAAATCTCAGTAATGGCAAACATTTAAAAACTTCTCCTTATTTCTTTATCACAGAAATTAAACAGGTACTATGTCATATAACTAGAAAAGTAACTCACACTGGATGAGAACATAATGCTACCTGTTACTCATGGCAGTTTTCTGCGACTCAGAGTTTTTTGCAATGAGGGTTTTACTGTCCTTGTATCTTAAGAATGAACTTTATTTTTTGGTTTAGAAAATATAAATCCTGTCCCTCTCAAGGCAGGGGTTGGAGGGATAGAAAAAAGAGCCATGACTTATTATCAGAATGTCTTGATCAAATCTAAACAGTTACATTTAAGTATTTGTGTAACATTAGACAGGTCACTTAGCAGCTCTGATAGTGGCATTAACAACTACTGAGCAAAAGTGTTTATGAAATGCTCTGATGGTTAAGGTCGAGTAGCTTTTCTTTCACATAGTTTTCCTGTGCTTCCTATTGATGTCTCATTTTTTTCTGTACTCATGTAGTATTTCTTTGCTTCTACCACAAACCATAGTAGCCTCAGTTTACTCCCATGTGAAGTGGTACTATGAACTCTTTCTCTATGTCACAAAATTGATGTGAAGATCAAACAGGGATAATATATATGAGATTGCCCTCATAAACCACAAAGAACTCTGCAGCTATAAAATATTAGTGTGCCATTTCCTTACATGTGGACTGGACCTAGGCTCTAACAGCTGTATGTGAAAAAGTCTTGTTTCCTGAACAAAGAGCAAGTTAGATGCCCCCAGAGAAGCTGGGATTTTGCTATGTGCAGTATAAATATAGCATTCAGTACTCATTGAAATGAATTTGTCTGAAGTTAGTGTCATATCATTTGAAAACAAGTTCCACTTCTCTGTCTCTTATAAATTATTCTTTTTTATATTTCACAGAGATCAGTTTGGGACCAGTTTAGTTTAGTCCATGCAATAGATAAAGTGCATTGGCGGTTTCAAAATCTCCCGTGATAGAAATACTTTGAATCACCAAACGGCATCTTCAATTTTCAATAGCAAAATGATTGAGCATTTGTGCAAAGGATCTGAAGATCAACAAAAGACCACATGGTGTTTGTTTTGTCATTTACTTGGAGACAGGATGAAGGAAGTACAAGTTGCAGTGCAGTGAATTGAGGGCCAGCTACAAGCTACACTCAGCCATCTGATTCACTGGTTTAGGGGTGCATTCTTGCTCAATGGTCGACTTAAAAAACAGGAAGAATGGGTATTTTATGACTCACATAAGTTCTCTAAAGTGTTTTATTTTTATTTTCTGAATATTTCAACCTTAGTGATTCAATTTCTGGAACATTTCAGGTTTACAACCTTTTCTTCTGATTGAAAAATGTCATGATTGACTTGTATAGGAGTGCTAGAGAATATGCTCATTTTATGCAGATCTTTTCAGGTAAAGGTAAATCTAAGTTTGATATTGAGTTAAAAGTATTGAGTTACTAAACATTAAAATAGTTTGCAGAATATCACAGAATGTATTTGAATGCTGTTGCTAATGTAACTGAATAAATACCATAATAAATATAATATTTTAAGTAGAATAAAAATGCATATGAGTGAAATTATACAATAATCAATTATCCTTTTATTTGGCAAATACTTACTAAAGATTTTCCATATACAGGCTACCTAATATGTTTTGAGACATCTACCTTTAACTGTAAATGAAATAAAGAAGAAAATTAGAAATAAGAGGAATAAGAAATCATTCTGGACAGTCTGAGTAAGGAGAACAGTCATAACATAAATATTTGGAATTGAGGAATTACACAAGATTCTAAAAATTTTAAAGTGCATAATTGAATAATTATATTTTATCCCTTCAATCTGTATATTTTAATGATGGCAGTGAGAAACAATTCTAATGCTTTAGAAAATCCAACTTTTAAAAAATGATTTTTAAAATTTTTCCCTCTGATTTATGGTTGGCTACTTTGATGAAATCTTCCATTAAACAGATACTTGCTAACATGACCTCCTCCTTGGTTTTTCTAATTTTCTTAAATTTAGTAATTTTGTTTCTTGGTTGTTGAAAAGAAACTATTTTGCATGGCACATTATGCCAAGAAAAATTAACTTTATTAAATAAACTGAAGTAATACACAGTATTCCTATTCCATAAGTTTTCATATTACAAAAAAGTTTGTTGCCGGGTGTGGTAGCTCATGTCTGTAATCCTGGTGAATTGGGAGGCTGAAATGGGAGGATTGCTTGAGGCCAGGAGTTCAAGACCAGCCTGAGGCCAGGAGTTCAAGACATAGTAAGAGACTGTCTCTCTTAAAAAAACGTTTTTAAAAAAGTTAGTTGGGCATGGTGGTGTCTGCCTATAGTTTCAGCGACTTGGAAGGCTGAGTTAGGGAGATCACTTGAGCCCAGGAGTTCAAGGTTGCAGTGAGCTATGCTCATGCCACTGAACTCCAGCTTGGGCAGGAGAGCAAGAGCCCACTATTAAACAAATTGTAAAAGGTTCATGTGTATAGCCTTCTATTTTGTAACAGTTAACTAAGGGCAGACTTTAGAAACCAAGAGGAAAATACTGTATTCTGAAATGAATAACTTAAATCTCTTTCCTCTTTTATCTAAATATGTTTGTCAAGCATTCATTTTCAGTTTTGGAAGAGGACACAGAGACATTCATTGTTCAAAACAGGCATAATTCAGTGTTCTTTTCTGTTAGCGAAGCGAATGCAGGGAAGGGCCATGTTGACTAGGACCCGTCAGAATGGCGGGCAGCCCATCACCCAGGATGGGACAGTGATGCTTACTGTATACCACGAGGAAGAGCTCCTGGATAGTTCCCACAGGCAGCCTACTTCAGTTTTGTTCATTTAAACCAATAATTGGGGAAACTACACTAGAATCATCTTGTGAGTATCTGTCCATGCATAAAAGTCTTTGGGCTGAGTGATTTGGCTGTCCCAAAACACCCTCCTTTCTTGTGGCCTCTGCCTCTTGCTGTTGCAGAGACGTTTGGCTCTGCACCTCCTTTATGAGTGGGTGTTCTGCACCAGAGCCAGCTTCCAATTTCCGTGCCGGTTTAGAATCAACAACCACAGGACTCACATTTTATCCCCCACTGCCTCCCTTCTCTCCCCTCATTCATGGCACCATGCATATTTTTATGAATCCCCTCTCTTTTTTCAAAGTTAAAAAAATAAAAGAAACAGGGAAACACAGATGCTCCTACTGTTGCTCCATATGGAAACCCACTTTCTAAGCAAGCAAATTGTAGATCTGGGAAGCACACATTGCTGTCCCAAGCTTCCCCCTGGGAGTGTGCAGCTGGATGGGATCCTTTATTCAAAAGAGCAAGGAGAAGGGTGTGGGTTGGGGGTGGGTTGCACCGTGGAATGATCAATGTAGTCTGTAGGGACATGCAGAGGGAAATCTGCAAAATGTTAGTCTCCTCCATCTCGGATGATTCTCAGCATCTCCAACTGTAAATTCGTGGTAGCCTGGTAGAGCCACTTGGAATTTGAGAACTCAGGTTTTGATGAACTTTCTGGCTGTTTCTTTTGCTATTTACAATTTAGGAGTTCTATTTCATTAGAGTTAATTCCAAAAGGCTATCTATAGGAACATAAAGTGAAAGTCCTGTTACCTCCTTCTTGAACCACAGTTTCTATATTCACTTTTAAGAATCTAACAGATTGATTTGGGTATAAGGTGTTTGAGAGCAGAACTTCTCTCTCCTTTTTATATGCCCTATAACATAAACCTAATACATGAACATTCATAAAGAGGTAGACGAGTTGATGAAAGAATGATTACATGTAGCTTAAATTTATGATTAATAACTGGATTTCTATAAAATCTCATTGGCTTGTTTGTGCCCTTTAATTTGTAAATTATATCCTTTTTGGGAGGGTTATATAATGAAAATTTATATATAATATTTAGAAAACATTATAGATATTACATATGCTAATATTTTCTGGAGATGTCTTTGAGTCAAGACATTGGAACAAAATATTATATATAAAGTTTGGTTGTCTATTATAACTATATCACACTGGTATTCAAAAATTGATTCAGAAAGCAGTATTTGCTAAAGATTTTTTTTTTTTTTTTTTTTTTTTTTTTTTTTTTGGTGGGCTCTGAATAAACCTGGGAACAAGGAAAGGGTTGAAAAGATACGGATTTTTATTAAATATGTTCGAAGCAATTCAGTACCTTGGGGAAAACAACTTCAAACTTCCAAGGGCTTCTCTGCAGCTGGGAAAGTAAATTTGTAGAAAACTTTTTTCATGTTTAACTCCAAAACATGAAACCTGGCTCTATATACCACACTGATTCACATCTTACCCAGAGGGACAGATTCACATCTCTGTTGGGATGTACATGCAAGGATTTCCTGTACACAGAGATGGAATAAGCTATTGTGTTGGCTGGCAATTTCTAGTCACAGAGTAAGGAGACTGCATGTCTTTAAGGATTTAGGTTTTCATCTTTAATAAGTGTGGATTAACTCATGGTGTTTCATTACTCTCTTCTCAAAGTTCAATCATTTGCATGCCCTCTTTATAATTGTTTCCATTTTTATGTACCATTATAATTTTGAACTATGTCATTAAATCTGCTTACTTTGTAATTCAGTTAACTTAAAAGTGAACTTTATATCACCACCATAAGTGAAAAGTAGTGCCACAGGTCGTAGATGAAAAGTAATTGGAAAAATAAACACAGGGGTAATAAAATGACGTCTTTAAATTCTAGCTATGTTTTGTTGTCTGCCCAAGTCTCTGTGCTTAAGGTTAGTTTGTTCTTTGTTAAATGGGAGATTCTTAAGTGTTAGAAAGGGCCAGGCGCGGTGGCTCACGCCTGTAATCCCAGCACTTTGGGAGGCCGAGGCGGGTGGATCACCTGAAGGCAGGAGTTCGAGACCAGCCTGGCCAACATGGCAAAACCCTGTCTCTATTAAAAATACAAAAATTAGCTGGGCATGGTGGCAAGTGCCTGTAATCCCAGCTATTCAGGAGGCTGAGGCAGGAGAATCACTTGAACCTGGGAGGCGGAGGTTGCAGTGAGCCGAGATCGCCCCCACTGCACTCCAGCTTCAGCTTGGGACAGAGCGAGACTCCATCTCAAAAAAAAAAAAAAAAAAAAAAAAAAAAAGAATGGCACCACCACAATGACCAGTTCTCCCTTATTTAATCAGAATGATTGAAAGAAATGGCAAAAGAAATAAGCTTATGACAAGGTGATGTTATTTAATATAGTGTCACTATGTTCTTTCAAATAATCTTGCATAAATCCCGAAAACAATTTGAGTATTCTTAAAATCCTAAGTACCGTCAGTGATAAAGCATCCCAAGTCTTGGGAAATGCTGCTGTATAATAAAGATTTTGACACAGAAACTGAAGCACCAATAATAGAAGTATTATAATAAATTGCTCATATTTCTGGGATGCTAGCATCACCAGGGTAACTAGTGTTCAGTTACATAGAGAAAGATAGTTACAAATGTTTATATAAGACATAGGAGGTAGGGTTATTTATATCTAATTAACTTTAAGTTGACTTAAAAGTATCTAAAATATTCTTTATTATTTTATGCATCCATCCCTTTTGAAAATACATATTTATATAATGTGTACCTATATATACAGAAAGCAAGTGATTATTAGATGACTAGCTCTTTACTAAAATATTGTTTTTATATTTTTAGGTAATTAAAAATTGCTATTCTCATTTAGGTATGTTGTTGAAATATTTTGTTGTTGTTTATTCCCTTAATTTAAACAGCAATTCTAGGTGAAATTTAAACAGAATTTTATGACTATGAGATCCTAATCAAAATAGCAGTGGGTTCAGTGAACAAGCTGTTAGATCAACCCAAATGTCCAACAATGATAGACTGGATTAAGAAAATGTGGCACATATACACCATGGAATACTATGCAGCCATAAAAAATGATGAGTTCATGTCCTTTGGAGAGACATAGATGAAAGTGGAAATCATCATTCTCAGTAAACTATTGCGAGAACAAAAAACCAAACACCGCATATTCTCACTCATAGGTGGGAATTGAACAATGAGAACACATGGACACAGGAAGGGGAACATCACACTCTGGGGACTGTTGTGGGGTGGGGGGAGAGAGGAGGGATAGCATTAGGAGATATACCTAATGCTAAATGACGAGTTAATGGGTGCATCACACCAGCATGGCACATGTACACATATGTAACTAACCTGCACATTGTGCACATGTACCCTAAAACTTAAAGTATAATAAAAAAAAATGCAAGTGGTTAAGGGTTAGCCTGACTCTTTAGATTCCAATCCCAGCTCTACTATTTACTAGCCATGTAAATTTCATCAAGTTATTTAATCTTTTTGTGCTAACTTTCTCGTTGTTAAGGTCACAATAGAAATGATGATGCCTACTTTATTTGTTTTACTTACTTAAAGAGTTAATATGTATAATGCATGGAACAATACCTGGCATGCAGTGAAAATTCAAAAACATTAGCAGATACTCCTCTTCCTCCACCTCCTCTTCCTCATTCTAGAGGGCCTTTTGCCATATTATGAGATGAGAAATATGAAAGCATAAAATGCCACATACCACATTGAAACCATAATCATTGTGCTCTTACTGTGTTTAGTGAGTTTAAGTAGTGGGCAATTTAGATTACAAAACTTTCCTGATTTTGAGAATTACAGTCATGTTAATTCATATTCCAGTTTTCTTGAGGCCATTACCTAATATGAAGAGATATTATTCACAGTCAGGATGGAGGGGCGGTGAAATACTCAGCACAGAGAGCTGTCGGCAGCACTAAGCTTTACAACAGCAGCCGGGCCTAGGAACTTGGAGAGTCTTGTCTGGAGGCGGTGATTAAAAGCTTGTAAAATAAGATCTATGGAGGAAGGCTAAAGAAATTTGGATTGTTTACCCTGGAGAAGAGAAGACTTAAGGGTGATTTAATGCTGTTATTGAAGCATAAGAGGGTTCTTTTCTAGAGCCTCCTGGTAAGCTCCTCTGTAGCTCTCCTGAGATTCAAACAGGAGGGGGTGGGCTGACAGTGAGCACAGAGGATTTAGAGTAGGTAAGAAAAGCTTTCGACAGGATAATTTTTTTAAAAACAAAACAATTTGAAAGGGAGACTGTGGAAGTTAGGTTTCTGGAAGTTGTTAGTAATAATAATAGCCATCTGAAGTGGTTTGGTCTGGTCCTGCCCGGAGGCATAGTGATGGGGTGTATTGGCCAAAAACGTACTTCCTGTGAATCAGTAAAGGGCTGGCCCACCCCACCCTTAGAAATGGACTGTTTATTAAGATAGCAGCTCTTCCCATCAGTGAGAGTGTAAGTGCAGTTGGCCCTCCATATCTGTATGTTATACATCTCTGGATTCAACCAACCATGGATCACAAATAAAGTCAAAAAGAAAAACAACTAAAAATAACAATACAACAATAAAAATAATACAAATTAAAACAATACAGTGTATCAACTATTTACATAGCATTTACCTTGAATTAGGTATTATAAGTAATCTACAGATCATTTAATGTTTACAAGAAGGTCTGTGTAGGCCATATGCAAATACTAGACCATTTTATATAAGGAACTTAAACATGTATGGATTTTGCTATTCTCTGGGGTTCTAGAACCAATCCTCCATGGATACCAATGAACAAATGCACCTCAAAATGGTAAACCCCACAAGGAAAGGCTTCAACCCAGGGTTCCTAAAGGGAAACGCAAACCAAGCAGAGGTTCTCAGCTGGAGCCATGACTGACTATGTGTCCCCCTGGATGCTTCTGGAAGTTTTTAATGTTGTGAATCTAGAAATTTTAATATATTTAACAAG
Source organism: Homo sapiens (assembly GCF_000001405.40). Taxonomy (NCBI): domain Eukaryota; kingdom Metazoa; phylum Chordata; class Mammalia; order Primates; family Hominidae; genus Homo; species Homo sapiens. Next base: position 18,068,723 of record NC_000009.12, read on the forward strand.
TTTTCACTGAAAGCACTCTATGTGGCAATAGCAGTGCTAAGTTCTAAGGTTATAAAAGCAAGTAAGATACATCTTTGCATTCAAGAAGCTCACATTCTGACAGCCTAAGGCAGCATGTGAAAGATCAATTACAGAGTGGTATAGTGCTATACAGCACTTTACTCTGGGACCTAGAAGAGGTTACCTAACTTGGCCTTGTAAGTCAGGAGAGTTTCCAGTGGAGGTGGTCCTTGAGGTAAAGGTATAAAGATAAATAGGAGTTTACCAGATGGATTTAAAAACAAAACAACAGAACAGCATGTGTAAAGACAGGAAGATACAAGGAAGAATGGATGGTTACATTAGCTAAGTGTGTGTCTAAAACAGGTCTATCATTACGTGACTCACTGCTGACATGTAAGCTATCTGGCAGCTGAAATACGGTGTCTGAATTAGGATGTGCTTTAAGTGTAACATACACACCATATCTCAAAGACTTAGTATAAAAAAGAATATGTTTCATTTTTAACTTATGACATGTTGAAATGATAATTTCAATATATCGAGTTGAAGAAAATATACAACTTATTCCACCTATTTTAGTTTACTTTTTTCTAATGCAGTTACTGGAAACATTTAAATTATATATGTGGCTCACATTTTACTCACAATAAGAAGGACATATTACACTGCAACGTATTATATACATACATACATACATACACATATATGGAAAATGCAAACACTGAAACAAAAGGTTCATAAGTTTACCATTATGCTTTGCAGCACACTCTGATATTGCCTATTCTATTCTATTTCATATTGTTTTAATGCTGGTTACAACCCATTAACTTGATTTCAAAGCCCACTTATGGGTCAAAATTTATAGTTTAAAACATATTAACATGTGATTTCACTCCTAATCTGGGCTTTATTCTTTAGCTGCTGAAGTGTTTATTTATTTTGACAATACTGTGATCTGATTGGATTTATCTTTAGACCCTGTCAATACATGGAGGGTGGATTGAGTAGAAGTGAGGTTATGATAGAATGAAGCCATAGTGTTGAAACTGCTATAGTAGTCCATGAGAAAGATCAGGAGGTCTCTAAACTATGGTAATGGCATTGGTGGTGCAGAGAAAAGAATCAATTAAAAGTTGATGAAGACAAAGGGAATGCTATTTAGAACATATATTATGGGATTTGGTGAGAGATTGGATGTGGGAGGTGGAAACATTGGAGCCTATAGTTGAATCTTTGGTTTCAGAACTTGTCATGGGGAGATTAGGAATTCAGGTTTAGACATATTGAGTGGAAATGTCTGCATGAGATCTAGAGTAGACCAGTGAGTAAACTCGTCAGTCTTAAGCTTAGATGTGAGGCTACAGGTCTATATGAGATAATCCAGTGAGTAAGTGTGGACTGAAAACAGACTAGGTAAGAGGACTGAATTCTAAGAAACACAAGCATTCAAAGAACCAGAATAACCATAAAAAGGACTGGATAGGAGAGCACCGTCTAGTGAAGCTGAGGGAGGAAAACATGTCCTGAAGGAGTGGATAGCCAGTCCTTCCACAGAGGAGCCAGTGCTGGGAAACCCATCTGACTTGGTCGACATAGCTAAGAGCAGGAGTTGCTTCAGAGAGGGATGGCAGGCAAATGTGGCTGGCTGGAAAATTAACAGAACGAGAAGAAATAGGGATGATAGACTCTTATACAGTTTTTCAAGAATTTTGCCTGGGGACGGAATGTGAAATTGAAGAAATGAGAGAGAGAGGTAGGGAATAGGAATGTATGAGTAAATGAATGAATGGTAGAAAGTGGAGGATGCAAATTTGAGGAAGCGTTTTGCACAATAAGTTTTGCTTTTTATTTTAAGAAGGGAAAGATTTCGGTATTCTAGTAAGCTTGAACTAAATGGCCCAGCTGTGAGGGAGAATCTGAAGATAAAATCTTGGGAAATGATAAGAAAGCAAAGCCCCTTGGGAGAAGGAGTCTTATAGCCAAACCAGAAGCCATGGAATTCATTGTGGCCAAATGTAAAGAGCGGGGCTAGATAGACAGAAGAGAGGAGGATGGGATGGTGTGGAGATGATGCAGGATGGGCTGCTGAACAGCATAGAAGGACTGCACACTCATCCCCACCCCGATGATCTGATACTCTGCACAGCTAGTGGCATCAAATATGTGAATGTTGTCCAGCAGCACTTGGCAGCCCAGGTCTAGGGGCAGAGAAGAAACATTGGGTGTTGGTTTAGGATCAGGTTCATGCTTGAACTGTAGACTCAGGGCTAGACAGGACTAGAAGGAAAGCAAAGCAAGAAAAAACAGGGAGGGGTCAGGGGACTAAGGATCTGGATGAGGTCAAAGATCAAGAATATATGGAGAAAGAAACAGAAGAGAGAGGAGATTGCTGTCGGGGTTTAAGTTTTGAGATGAGCATTCTGTGACAGAGCCACTGTGGGGGACGGCATGTCCCCAAGTTGACAATAGTCCCATGAAAACTGGTGAGCAGGCTCTAGAACTATAACTTTTTTGTTTGTTGTCAGATGTTTTTGGTTCAAAAAAATTAAAGGTTTGGTCACTTCAGAGCATATCTATGGGAGTGCTTTAGAATTTGTCCAGAACACCAAAAATAAGTGTGTGTGTCTGTCTGTTCCTTATTCTATCAAGATACTTGGAACAACAGGGGTTCCTGCCTTGTATAAAAGGATCTCCATGGTGAAGAAATAGTTAAAGGAACCGGAGTTCAGAATTCAGTTAAAAGATTAGTAAGTGGTTATGTTATTGTTCCAAATTCTCAAATGTGAAAAATACTTTGTAAATTACTAGACTATAACAATGCTAGGAATGCTAATATACTCAGAGGGTAGGAATGATAAATCTAGTGTCAGGTACAAGTGAAGTGACATTTTCAAATGGCCCTCTGCTTTTATCCATGTACCTAGCAGAGCCCAAGTGAAGCCCAGGAAGGGAGTGTGTCCTCTATAGAGATTTCTCTGTATCAGGACGTTTCCTCGAAAGTAGGAGATAAGTGCTGAAGCACGTGCCCATACCTCAGAGTACAGCCGGTGAATTATTTGATGCGTTGTGTGTTCCAGGATGACTCAATCTGGGGAGCTTGGAAGTCACTGCTGGAGAGATATTGTGAAGGGTGCTGAATGATGATATTCATCAGCCGCACTTCCTGTGTGTCCCTTGCTAGAACATGATCCTCAGTTTCATCTCCATTAGAGAGAAAATACTCTGAGTTCTGTTTTAATATAGAACAAGCTTAATGGTTCCAAGCTCTTGACAGTGCCAGAACCTTTCTAAGGCTCTTAGCTGTCCCTGGCAACTGTTAGAACAAGAACATTGCCATTCGTATGTCCAAGCTTGCATTTTCCGGGTGGTCCAAAAGCCATGTGCCGTGGGGATCTTATTTTTGGATTGTATTTGTCGTTTTTCTTGTTTTTCAGGAAATGATAGTTGCAAAAGCAAAAATGGGCTGATTGAAGGCCTCTGTGAATATTTTTCATTACTTTCGATGGCAGCTGATGATTTTTAGGCTTCTTACCACTGTTATGCGAAACATGATTTTATGTGATGGCCTCATTGCTGAGGGTGCAGCAACAGGAATAAAACAAAGATGGCTGTCCAATGTGAGTCTTGGAAGAGCTATCCATGCCTGGAGAGTGCTACTCACCCTGCAGTATTGGATCATTTGCCTGCATCTTGTAGAGGCTTCTGAACTTATATTTGAGAAGCTGAGACCTGCAAATATTGACCTAGTCTTCAAACCAACACAGCTTGCTAGTATACTATGTGAACTGTGTGTACACATACACACACTCATGTGTTTTGTATTTTTGTTTTTGTTTTTAAAGTAGAGAATGTTATTTTCTATCTCACAAATAATGTTCCTTAAACACAGTTATCACCACAGGTTGATTATCTGCATATCTCTCAGAGACAACATTGTTCAGACAGAAAAAAGAAAATCTTGGACCACTTGTATGTTTTTATCCAGGCATTTTTGTAGGGCCCACTTCGTTTTGAAGGGTTGGTACTATTAGGCTGACAATTTTCATTGCCCACGGAGGGCGATGAAGAATAGTGGAGTTTTCCAGTTCATGCTATCAGGAACTGATGTGTAGAATTAGGCTTAGATAATATCCTTTGTCTTTTCCAAAGATGAGACGATATTTTTCCTTTCTAGTAAAGATTGTATTTGTTGTCCATTTGCAGCTTAGGGGAAGGATTAAGAATTTTTATGTACCGTCCAGTTTGATGTTTGTTGCCTATTTAGGAAGCGAGACAACGAAGCTGATATTTAGTTAGTTTCTCTTAGGGTAGATTAATAGTGTTGTCCTCACAGCGTTATCTTCATTAATGAAGAGCACTGAAGTTCATGACATTCTGAGAGGCCAGAACAGGCTCACCAGGCCTGCCACGTGTTTTCTCTTCATGCTAATTCCAGGATTACTTGTAATTCCTGGATTAAATATATTGTTTGTCAGCTCTTCAGAGTAACCCCCAAAGTGCATGACATACTGCAATTCATCACTTGAATTGTGGGCCCTGTGAGGAGAAGGCTGTGTGGAGCTGAGTGATTCAGCCTGTGTGAATGCCTAATGAAGATCCACATCTCAACTAGTTTTGTGCTTTCTACTTGATCGCATGGACTCCTGCAAAGAGCTGCTTTATAAATCCATCTAGGTGATATTTACAGAATTGTTAAGAAGATATCTAAAGGGGGCACAAGTATTTTTCATGTGTACTTTACACATTTACAGAGGAAATTACATGCCACAGTGGTGTTTGCACTTGGGGGATTGGTGAAGGCCTTTGGGTGGGGTCCATTGTGTATGTGCAGAAGCAACACAGCTCTGGAGAATCAGGACACAGTGTTTCTTAGTCTTTCTTGGGTGAAAATATGAACACTTTCACGTATAACTATATCATGTTATTGACATTTAAAAGATATGCATGCATTTTTTATAACCTTGGAACTGTTTTAAGATAGAAGACAACATGGTGTATTTAAGTGAGCTCTGGCAAGGGATTAAAAATAACAGATTCCAACTTCTAAATGACTGACCTTGAGGGTGTCACCCAACTTCAGCGGCCTTGGCAATGTCATGTGCTAAATGAGGTAGTCTTAGTTATAACTTCAGGATCTACTTGGGGAGTGGGACTTCTAAGTTAGAATTCTCAAGCCCTATTTTAGGCTAATTTGCTAAAGGTTGCTTCACACGGGAGGTTATCAGCCTGTTTCATGCCTTGTTGTAAAACTGATTTTTTTTTTTCGCATTGAAAAGGGAGGCAGTGCAGGAGGAAGTAGGCTTGTTTATTCAGTGAACGGTCTAATTTTGGGTTCATTTCTCATTTTTTGGAGCATCTAAGAACTCCTTACGCTTTGAGCATTGGGGACATGAGATTTAAAATCATGCCCCTGTGTTCTGGTGCAGGTCTGAGATGCCCACCAGCTGGCCCAGGCTGCATCTGCTTTAATGACAGGCAAGCCAGGCTTCCCTTTGGCTTGTAAACTACTTGCTCAGCTTCTGTGGTCATTTTCTTTCAAAAAACTATGAATGCAATGCAGGAAGCACCATCCAGATGTCTGTATGCTGCCAAAAGATGGAGTGCATAGAATGGAGATTCCTGCAAATAGGTGTGGAGCAGAGAAACGAAGAGTATGTTGTCTGTTCTCAGGTGACCCTGGAGGAAAGGACTCATTCCACTTTGGCCCTTTTTTGTTTGGCAGATTTATTCATTTCACCACACTGTGTTTTCTTTTCTTTTCTTTTCTTTTCTTTTCTTTTCTTTTCTTCTTTTCTTTTCTTTTCTTTTCTTCTCTCTTCTTTTCTCTTCTCTTTTCTTTTTTTTTTCTTCTTTCTTTTTTTGTTGTTGTTGTTATTGTTGTTGAGACGGAGTTTCACTCTCGTCACTCAGGCTGGAGTGCAATGGCATGATCTCTGCTTACTGCAATCTCTGCCTCCTGGGTTCAAGTGATTCTCCTGCCTCAGCCTCCCAAGTAGCTGGGATTACAGGCGCTTGCCACCAGGCCCAACTAATTTTTGTATTTTTAGTAGAGATGGGGTTACACCATGTTGGCCAGGCTTGTCTCAAACTCCTAACCTCAGGTGATCCACCTGCCTCAGCCTCCTGAAGTGCTGGGATTACAAGCGTGAGCCATGGTGCCCAGCCTCACCACATTGCATTTCCCCTCACTGGAAAGGGAATGCTGTCATCAGCCAGGCAGAACAAATTTATTGGAAATAAATGTACATTTCTTGTTTCTTTTATACCTATATTCCTTATTTATTTCCTTCTTTCCTGCCTTCCTGCTTCCCTCTTGCCCTCCCTCACTCTATCCTTCTCCTTTTCTCTCTCTTTCCTACACTCCTCACTTCCCTCTTTCCCTTCTTTTCATCTTTCCTTTATAAAACTTCTGTGAGGGGGAGGGAAAACCACTTTCCTTTGAGTCCTGATATGAATTTCTTTACTATAATGGTAATTGAAATTTGCATCATTTCTTACTTAGTCTAATAAGAATATTACAATAATGGTTATTAAATTTATTAAAACTTCTATAACATAAAGAAGTGTGTATGGTACACTTGTATGCATTTTTAAAAAGTGAAGTAGAAGTGAGGTCACAGTCAATGTGCAAAAGAGTTTTATCTGAGCAGAAAAAAGCCCTGGTAGTTTAACATGGGTGGGAGCCACAAGTACGTTGGGACTCACCCCACCCTATCCCACCCTTCTGAAGCTGTGTAGTTTGCGGACTATGTAATAAAATGGGGTTAATGTGTGTAGTTTGAAGTCAGTTTCAATATAAAAGTTTTATAAAAGTCAATTTCATTACTTTATAGCACACTAAAATCATTTAGTTTTGGCATATACCCTAGCTGACTGCAGTGATTTATCCAAGAAGAAAAACAGTTTCATTTCTAAAGGAAGAAAAGGCAAAGATCATAGCCAACATCGGAAAATGGATTAGGGAAAGAAAGTAACATCCTTGGCCCCAAGCCCACCCTGGGAGGGCTGTGTAACCCCAGAAGGAGGCCAAGGCTGAATTAGTGCTGACCCAGGCTTTGGGGCATTTCCAAGCTGAGTGTTGAACTAATACAGGGAAGTTCCTGCTGTGGGCAGACCTGTGCCTGTAAAAGGTGCTGAGTGAATATTTATTGATCAAGCTGTTAATTAAATACCAAGTCCCAAACCAGCATTCAATTTATTTGAATTCCAGAGGAAGTAGTGTAGTGTCAACACAAATAAACACTCACCTAAGTAATAGCATCTAAAACTGTTACACAATTTAAACATCACCTCAAGATGAATCCCTGATTCAAGAATGAGGATATTAGTTTTTCTCTTTTATTAGGTTCCTGTTTGGTTTCTCTAAACAATGTGCCAATGAATAATTGTGACTTCCTCAAATCCTTCCTAACCAAGATCTATTCCCGTGGTTTCACGTTTTATTTTGTTTCTTTTCTTTGTATGGATAGCTAAGCCCTAATAAAACTATTGCTCAACATGGGAAATATTGGAAATATTTTATGAAATTTAGGTCATTACCATGGTGCTGTGCTACCGGATTAATACATTCTTCTGCACATCTTACTGAGTTCCTTCTGTAGTCTAGGTATTGTCCTCCTCGTGAGGTGGACACAGGTAAATACCACTGATACAGTTCTTCCATTTAAGACACTTAAAACTTGTGGAAAAAGATCAGTGAGCAAACACATGCATGATCATAAGTGGCTATAAATGCTGTGGCAGAAATGATAAGGGCACAGTGACAAAAATAGTGCCTCCATGGGATAATGAGGAAAGGGGCTTCTCTAAGGAGCTGGACATTAGGAAGCTGTCTTGAGAAAGATAAAAAACACCTGAATGTGGTTATGAGTGCTTTGAGCATGTTCCATTCAGAGCAAATAGAATATTTGGAGACCTCTTAGGGGAATGTACAAGCAGCTAATGTTGGCCAGTGTGGCAATGTCATGTGAGCAGGGAACCACTGTTAACGGCTGGGAGACAGGATTTTGTTGAGTACATCGAGGGACTTATATGTGGAGAGGGGCTGGGCTATGTACATTATTGATACATATCAATAATGACTTGTGTTTTGATAACGTGTGGAGTGTGGCTTGGCAGAAAATAGGAGGAAAAATGGTGGTATTAAGGAGGCTTTTGCATTAGTTTAGGTGAACCATACAAGGTAGTAGAGATGACAAGAAATGGACCGATTGAATGTATACTTGGAATTACACGCTGTTAGATGGCTACGGAAGATAAAGAAAAAGGAAGGATACAGAATGACTCCCAGGTTCCTGGTGTCTTTAAACGTTGGCCACATTTACTGAGATGGGAAGAGTGAAAGAGAAGCAGTCTGGGAGGAGGAGGAGGAGGGTGGAGATTTATTGGTCTATTTTGGACCAGTGGAATTTCTCATGCCTGTGAAATATCCAAATGTAGGTATAAAATTAGTGATAGCATATAAAAGTCTGAATTTCCCAGGAGAAATTTGGCCTGGAAATATAATGTGGTAGTTATCACTATACAAATGGCATTTAAAGCTACACAAAGGCATATTTAACGTTGGAGGAAAGAGAGGGCAGAGAACAAAGATGCAGAGACCCAGAGGCAAGCCCTGGACTCCTCTCCCTTATTGAGTGTTCATGGAGAAGAGGAGGAGGTTGCAAAGGAGATGGAGAACAGCTAGAAACTAAGGTGGAAAATTGGGACAGAGTAATGGCATGGAAGTCAAGAAGGGAAAGTGTTTTGAGCTTAAAGAGGGACCTGTGATATTGAGAAAATGCATATCATGATTGATAAAAGGCCCCTTGGATTTAACAAGATAAGTTATCGGTGATCTCACTGAGAAGTTTCAAAGAAAGGAGTGGTGGTCAGAGGCCACACTGGAGTAGCTGAGAAGTAAATGGGAGCTGAAGGAAGGTAAACATCAAGTAAATGCTACTTGTGTGAGAAGTTGAATTGTGAACAAAATAAGAGAAATGGAAAAAGCTGCAGACTAACGTGGGGTCCAAGGAGGACTTTAAAAAAAATGCATATTTGTATGCTGATAGAATGGGTAAAAGAGAGAAACTGTTGAGGCAGGAGAAGGGGCTAATCGGAGGAAGATGAGAGAGATGGAGAGGGGCTAGCCTTTTATGCAGGAGTTGTCTTTGGATGTAAGAGAAGAAGATGCAGCCCATTTAGGAAGTTTCATGGGTGAGAAGTCAAGGCATCCCCATCTTGGCCTTTCTGGGGTCTCAACGAAGAAAGAGATATATTTGTCACCTAACAAGGACAGGGTGGGAAGGGATGGAGGAAGGAGAGTTGAACTGAGAGAGAAGATGTAAAAGTCATATAGGAGAATAGTGAGCAAACAAGCCTGCTACACAGATAAAAGTAGTAGCATTGCTGGGCTGTGTTGAGAGCCCATTTGGGGCTTGTGAGCACGGAGTTCAAGTGAAACCAGTTTAATCAGTACTTTAACAAGCATGACTCATGAGATAGAATAAAAATAAAACAATTTTTTTCTCCCATTGTGCCTTTTATAGTCGCGCAGTGGGGAAAGTTTTCTCTCTGCCACAGATAGAAAATTCTGGGCTGTCCCTACGCCTCCTAGGAAATAGAGGTTCCTGAAGTTATAGTTAGCTGAAAAAAATCTAGACTCAGAAATACAAATGTTGAGTTTCTACATTTCATCACTATTTTTCTGCATTCAAAAATAAGCCTTTCTTCCCCTACCCCACAGCTCCTGTGTGTCTGTTCTTAGTCAGAGTTTCGCTGACTAACTTTCAGGCTCATCCAGGGTTGTGCTCAGGGAGAGAGGAGAGGAAAGAGGAACAGAAGGTTTCTGCTCAACAGATACACTTGGAAAATAGATATTTCTTTGGTCCTGGTGTATATTTAAAGCTGTATCACTTTCTCGTGAGTATTTTTGTGGTTTTTTCTAGACTTCTCTTCTAAGCCCCTCCAATCGTAACCCCTAGGATGTAGGCATATTCTGTTTCTCTGGTTACCACTCCCTTCTCAGCTCCTAGATTTCCAGAAGCCCAGTCCACCCATATTCTCTCTGCAGGGAATCCATTGCCTTCCCAGTTGGTTTGTACAACTACAAGCCCCTGGACCCTCAAAAAAAGGCAATGGAGCTGTCTTCAGTATGGCCCATCTCTGGCATCAAGAAACAATCATGATGCTGCCTTTGCTCTTAGGAATTACGGAGTAGTGGATTCCAGGCAGCGACCTCTCCTTGGCTCCCATATCAGAGTAGTTTATCAGCCTGTCTATCTCAAGGTTCCCCAGGCAGGGGTCAGAACCTGTATCTGTGGAACCTCCATCCAGAGGTGTGCTGTACTGAACGCTGAGTGGCCCCATAGATGCAGCCCTCATTAGGGTTGACTCAAGAGGGCAGGTATCCCCAGATATCCTTTCCTTTGATGGTGGGTACTAGGCTCATTGTCTAGCAGTTCTCACCCCAAAAATCCTTCTTTTCTCAAAATGTATTCTCAGTCTTTTACTCTCATCCTCGTAAAGAAGGGTTTTTAAATCTCATAAAGTAATTTACACTCTTTTTGAAGATTTATATTCTGGTTACCACTTCACATTGGGATTTCACTGCTATCGCATCTTGATACCTCAAGTCGAAAGTTTCCATTTAATATCCTTTTAACTTCTTTAATTTTTTTAAAGCAACCATTGGGCTGGGCACAGTGGCTCACACCTGTAATCCCAGCACTTTGGGAGGCCGAGGTGGGCGGATCACGAGGTCAGGAGACAGATTGAGACCATCCTGGCTAACACGGTGAAACCCCGTCTCTACTAAAACACAGAAAAATTAGCCGGGCATGGTGGTGCACGCCTGTAGTCCCAGCTACTTGGGAGGCTGAGGCAGGAGAATGGCGTTAACCCACGAGCTGGAGCTTGCAGTGAGCCGAGATCGCACCACTGCACTCCAGTCTGGGAGACAGAGCGAGACTCTGTCTCAAAATAAATAAATAAATAAATAAATAAATAAATAAATAAATAAATAAAATAAAAAATAAAAAGCAACCATTGGTACATGTCTGAAGAGTACCATGGTGGAAAGCATCCAGATTTATTTTTTTTCTGGCAAGTCTTACAGGCACATGAGGTTGGAAGTGTTCCTAAAGGGGTGATTTTGTTGAGGGACTTCAGAATCCCAGCTGGACAAAAAGAAGAACTGAAGACAGGCAACAACTGGTGGATAGTGAGGAAGTGTGTGGGATGAAGGCCACATGCTGTTGAAGAATTGTGGGAGTGCTTGACCAGGTGAGCTGAACAAAGAGGAAATGGTGGTTAGACTAGATTGTGTACTGATGATGACAAGGGTCCAAGTGTTACCATAGGAGAGCCTGGCAGAGGCAGAATGGAGGAAGAGGTAATGGGAGGTCAAGGAGTGAGAAGCCAAAGTGATGGATAGCTCATATTCTGTGCAAATGCAGATTAAGCTGGAAATAGATGAGAGGACTGAACCAGAAGGAAAAGTCCTCAGTGAACAAAGAGTAGTGATCACAAAGTTGGTAGAAACACCAAAGACATATAAGGTAGAGATATAAGGTAAGGTATTTGGATGGTGTCAGACTCAGAGGAGCGGTGGTTTTTGTAAGACTGAGGCAGAAGGATGGTACAGAAGTGGAAAGGGTGAGCTAGGAGGATACCTACAAGATGCCTCTGAGCAAAATCTTAAGATAGCATTGTGCATTAGGAGTTGTGATTCTATCTCCTTTTCTTAGAACGGATGCACAATATCAGAGAAAAAGGTACTTGTGCTAGAAAGGGTATGGACAGCAGCCAGGAAACCAGATTATTACGTATTATGTTGTCTCTACAAAAAACTGGCTCTGCGATCTGGGATAAGTCACTTAGCCCTGAATACCAAAACCCTACATTGAAAGAGTAGCTTACAAAGCACGTTTATGATCAAGTCAAGCTATTACTTTATGAGACAAACCCACTATGTGTTAGACATTATTTTCTCCATTTTACATTTAAAACACCAATTAAGGCCTAGAGGCACTAAGTGATTTGCCTAAGTAGTATTAGACTTGAATGTAGATTTTCTGGTTCTAAGTCATTTCTACTTAATAGTCATTCTGTCATCCTTCATTCTAGACACAGAAGTGCCCATTTAGACTCATAAAACTTATATTTTTAGAAAAAGCCTCTCATTATTTTAATGTTAGTCCCAAAATTATTTGTAACCGTAATTCTAACATATTTATTAATATTTTATGCATTTGTGAGTCAACTTTTAAAATATCAATGATTTATCTGGTGATACAATGCCAACATTTAAACCAAAAACATTTCTAGTTGTACCTTACTTATAAAGATGACTTGATATCTTGAACTGATCATTCTTCTGGAAAAAAAGAAAACAACATTGCTCAGCTTGTTAATATTTTTGGCAGTTTGCAGCTTTGAGTGGGGGTGGACTTTGATAAGTCTAGTCTATCAGAATTAGTAAGTGGCAGTTACTGTCTCAAGGTGGAAAACTGCTCTTTTAGTTCTGAAGATTGTAGAGAAGATACCATCAAGTCTAGTGTGTATGCTATGTATCCCCAAATATAATATTCAGAGTAATTGTTTTACATGTAGTAATACTTTATTGTGAATGAGTATCTTTTTTTCAAGCTTGTAACACGAATAATTCTTTTTCATTGTTTTTTTCTGCCTTATATTACTCTCACTTTATAAACATTCCCAATCTTTAAGAACAGTTAACTATCCTACAGCTGACCTTACATACAAGAGTACTCAGTAGTCCTATTAAACATTTAACAAGTCTTCATGAAAATTGTATGCAGGTGGATCAGGGCAATACTTTAAAATCACTCGAGCTGAATGACACATGTTTGCAGATTTCCATGGGCCCAGTGCATGTTGTTTGGCCAAGCTCATCTTTTTAAAGAAACTGAAATCAGGAACATAGTTTTTAAAATTAGAAAATGACTTGCTTTCTCATTTTGTTTGTACCTCTCCCAAACCAAGGAACAAAAATTGAATCCTTTATTTTTGTCTATTTATATTTTGATTATTATTATAATTAATAGTTTAGACTTTAAAGATTATTAAACAAGAATATGTAAGCGTATCTGCATTGTTTTAAACAATTGTTTTAGCACAGTGAAGAAAAGCTATGTAACTGTGAAAATACTAGCGTATGCTTGTCCTGGATAAACTCAGGTAAACATTTTATATGCACTTATGATGTGAGGACAAGGTTAAGATTGATGAAGAGTCTTTGTTATATTGATAATGGCTCTGAACTGGTGGCTTAATATATTTTAAACTGCTTTTATTTGCTTATGATATGAATCACTCGTTTGGAATATTTTCCAGTGAAGTACTTTTTTAACACAAAACCAAAATGCAAATAAGCTCATTTTCAACTGTAGTTATCTTTAATGTTGAAAATTGTATTCACATTTTTTTGGACAGCAGGTTTATATAAAGGCGGAACAATAGCTTTATTTTGTCAAATAACATATAGAGGATAAGAAGTACGAAACTAAATATGTGCCCATATTAAGTTTTGAAGTAGTAGAAAATGTAAACTACAGTGGACATTTGCATCTGATTATTTCCGCTGACCTAGATAGATTAAACGACCATTTTTTCACTCTTGTCCCTCAGGCTAGAGTACAATGACGTGATCTCAGCTCTCACCGCAACCTCCGCCTCCTGGATTCAAGTGATTCTTCTGCCTCAGCCTCCCGAGTAGCTGGGATTACAGGTGCCAACCAGGATGCCCAGCTAGTTTGTGTATTTTTAGTAAAGACAGGGTTTCACCATGTTGGCAGGTTAGTCATGACATTTTCAGCTTCTTAAGGACACCTTAAGACACATCCTATGTGAGCCTCCTTCACTTGCCTCCTCTTCAAGCCTCCCCAGACCAGATGGCTCCAGCGCTGTCCATGAATCCCTCTACCACCAGCTTCTTTCTGGATGGTCTCCTGCCGTAGGCTCAAGCAAATGTTTGGCTGGTTCCTCCATTGTCCCTCTGCTCACTGTTGTGAAGGAGCCTGCAGGAGAAAGAGAAGCTGAGAAAGGGAAGAGGCAGAGGTAAGAAAGAAGAAGTAGAGAGTTTAAGGGACTAAGAAAAAATGCCTGGCCTCCAGTACCTAAAAATCCTTAAATAGCTAATATAACATGAGAACATTATGAGAAGCAGAATAGGAAAACCCATAATTAGAAGTCAAAACGATTGTAACAAATTATAAATAAAGGTAATATGTCACAACCAGTACTGCCAGGAAGCTGGACTCTGATACAATCAATTACTTTGCAAAATATCATTAGATAAGGATTGAATAAGTGGAAAAATTAAAAGTGCATCTTTATTGCAATAGCGTTATAGAGGAACATGTGGAACGTAAGACTTGAGACAAAAAGACTTTTTATTTTGAGGATGTGGGGCAAGACATGAAACTGTGCCTTTAAGTTTGGCTACTATTGAAGGCAATATTTGAGGTTTTTAGGGCCATTGAAACAGTGATAGGCTGGGGGACCTACAAGTATTGGAAAGATGATGGTAAGTAGGTTCAGACACTTTAAAAGCAGGTTTGTCTTGTATGATGAGTTCAGTTCTCAAGGTTAGAGTTCTGTAACATTGTAATAATATATGGAGATATTCATCTAAAATTGGCTTAAGTCATTGAAGAAGTTATCATGATAGGAAATCTTTTAGTGCCAATGAGACTAGGCTTTTTTGGATAAAAATGCCCACATGATTGACTGTGGCATACATCACCCAAGAAAAATGTATGTCTGTTTTTAATGTTGATATTTAGCCTTTGGCTTGGTCCAAATGCTGTAGGTAATTTCAGGCTTAAACCTTTGATTGTGTAAAGCTCTGAAAATCTCAGGGCACTTAAGAGTTATATGAAAGACAGACTCACAGTCATCTGGAATTCCAATTCTAAACACAGTGCAACTGGGGCTCTTTATGAGGAACAATTTGCTGTTTTCTGCCTGCTATTCAGAGTTATGTGGACAACCTCGTCCATAAGACGTACATAATGTTTCTGGGTATTCTGTATAATTTGTAAATGTTATTCCTGATACTAAAGTTAGCTTTTACCACCCTCCACAATACAACATTCTTGCTCTAGCTCTAAACATTATTTACTCCTCTTTTTTAGGGCTTACTACCTTAGAAAATTCTTTGCCCCAGTTCTTGTTTCCGTAGACCTAGACCAATACGGTGGTCTTGCATTCTCTGTACTCTGGATGAGAGTGAGTAAAGATGAAATAAAGCATCCTGAAAACTAATGGAGGTCAATTAAAATATTCACCAAGGAAAAATGTTTACTGATATTTAAGAAGGTGATGACTTCCCTCCTCCATTTCCCATTGTAGACAAGTTTCCCTACCTCCCAAACAAATTCTTTGCCATGCGAGAATCAATTTTTTGCCTTAGCTAAAACCCAAGACTCTAATCTTGGACAACTGCTTTCCATACAGATTAGGTGAGTGTGGTCTGTTCTTTATGTAAAATAAAATTAAGAGGTGGTGGTGAGGCTGGGCGCGGTGGCTCATGCCTGTAATCCCAGCACTTTGGGAGGCCAAGGCAGGTGGATCACCTGAGGTCAGGAGTTAGAGACCAGCCTGGTCAACATGGTGAAACCCCGTCTCTACTAAAAATGCAAAAATTAGCTGGGCGCGGTGGTGTGCACCTGTAATCCCAGCTACTTAGGAGGCTGAGACAGGAGAATTTCTTGAACCCAGGAGGCGGAGGTTGCAGTGAGCCGAGATGACACTACTGCATTCCAACCTGGGCAACAGAGCAAGACTCCATCTCAAAAAAAAAAGAAAAGAAAAAGAAAAAAAAAGAGGTGGTGATGGAATTCTCTTAGCTTTTCATTAATGTTTAATTCATAGTCACCTCTGATGCTATGAAGAAAATCGATCAGTTACACCGTACAGCTCAAGCTCCCTCCCTCCCTTTCTGCTTCCTTTCCTTCCTCTCTCCCTCTCTCCCTCCCTCCCACCCTCCCATTGCTTTCCTTTCATCTGTCCAAGTGCTAAACACATTCTAGGTGCTGGAGACATGAGAGTGAGCAAAACAGACAAAAATCCTTACAATCATGCAACTTAACATTATAATCAGGTAAAGCAGAAATATGTGCAAGTAAAATATATATCTTGTCAAGTACTGCTAAGCATTAGGGATAAAAATAAAGCTTGCAAAGAGGGGAAGGAAGAAAGGGAGAAGAGGCCTGCAGTTTTAAATAGGGAAGTTAGGTAAGACTCTACTGATAATCTGACATTTGAGCAAACCATGTGGGTATCTGGAGGTAGAGTGTTTGAAGCTGACGGAACAGCAAGTGCTACCATGCTGAGCTGGGAGCATGCTAGTGTGTTTAATAGAGAGCAAGGAGGTGATGAGACTGGAGTGGACTGAACATGGAAATTAATAGGGAATGTGTAGAGAGAGGGCCAGATTACACAGGACCTCATAGACTGTGTTTTTCCTGTGATTCAAGTGGGAACCTCCTAGGAGCAATAGAGGAACTAATGCCCATATTGCCTGGGTTTGGATCCCAGCTTTGCCACTTACCAGCTGTGCGATCTTGGGCACAATACTTAACCTTACTGGGCCTCTGTTGCCTCCTCTTTGAAGAAAGTAATAGTATCTTCTTCATAGACATCATGATGAAATGGCATAATATAAACAAAGCACTTTGGACAGTGCCTGATACATACTAATTATATAGTATATATTGTGTACCATATATACACAAATACACATATGTGTGTGCATATATATATATATATACTGTGTGTGCATATATATATACTGTATGCATATATATATACTGTGTATACATACACACTGTGTGTATACATATATACACACTGTGTGTGTGTATACGTATATACACTGTGTGTGTATACGTATATACACTGTGTGTGTATATATATACATATACTCTGTGTGTGTGTATATATATACATATACTCTGTGTGTGTGTGTATATATATATACTGTGTGTGTATATATATAGCAGGTTATATATATACGTGTATACATATATATGTGTGTGTGTATATATATATACACACACACACACATGCACACACAGTAGCTGGTTGGCACTTGGAAGTCTCACTCTGGCTGCTGTTTGGAGAAGTGACTATAGCAGGAACAAGGATAGGAACTATTTATCTAATGTAGCCAAGAGATGATAGTGGCTCAGGCAAGGACAGTAGCAGCAGAGATGGTAAGAAATGGTCAGATTATAAGATAATATCTTGAAAGTCAAATCGATGAGCACAGATTGGGTATGAGGTGTAAGAGTCGAGGAAGACTGCAGGCCTTTTGCCCTCAGCAGCTAGCGGGCTGGCACTGACATTTACCAAAGGAAGGAAGAATGTGAGAGATAATTTTTTGAGGGAAATCAGAAATCCAGATTTTTGACATGTTATGTTTGAAGTGCCTATTGGTCATTTACATGAATTTGACTCTGCAGAGGTCATCTTTGTCACAGAGTGAAGCAGGCACAAGATAGTCCAGACTGAAGGAAGGACAGACCTCCCAGAGACAGGGACCACCAAATAGAGGAGGAAGCCTTCAAGCATTTGCCAGTTGTGTTGCAGGAATAAGAGACTAACCTTAAATAAAACAGAGTGACCAATGATTTGAATTCCATTGCCTGTGCTTGGTACAGATAATTTAGTGAATTAAAAAAAAAAAGCAAAATAAACAGCCAAAATCAATTTCTTTAAGAGCCATCATATAATCCTAAATCTGCTTTAAAGTTAGATCAAAATCTCCCTAATGTTGCCTCTTTGAATTCCATGACTATGATAATTACATTCTTTTACCTACTGGTTTATTGCTGTAAAAATAAAAGAGATATTATTAAGCAGTAAGATAAGAACTTGTACTCTACACTGTGATACAACCACATATTAAATACTATCTTCAGTGATCGGTAACTGGGTTGCTTTGGCTGGCTGATTTATGTGTACTTTAGAAAGCATTTAAATGATTTTGTACAACAAGGATGGTTATAATTGACTAAAATGATGCTTATGACAATTTCTGTAAAAAGTTGGGCAGTGGCCCTTAATCAGGGATGACTAAGTCATGTTTTAATTTTTCATAGTATTAGCTTCGTATTTTTTTATTTCAAGTGCTTTGAAAACAGTGAATATTTCTTTTTAAAAAATGCTTTCCATATTCAGAACAAGATTTTGATGACTTAGGGTTGCTGATTGCTTGAAATTTTAAGAGAACTCAAACAATAATCTATTATATAACTCTGTAATCAACTCTGTTTTTGTAAAGTCATCTCCCAGTCAACATTCTCATGAGGCTGAGTTAATTTTGTTATTATATGTTTAATTCTTGCTTTGCTTAACTTGGGTTAGATAGCTACTGTGTTGTATTAACTTTATTTTTGTGCTTTCATTTTTCTCATTTATCACACATTGTAGTTAATTTCAGTCATAACCTTTTCTTTTCTCCCTCCCTAAATGCTTTTAAAAATGCTTTCAGCCAGAAGTTGTTCATGTTTACTTGCATCTCAAAGAGCCGTCTTCTGGAAAATTTAAGCAAAATATATTTAACAATGAGTGTATTTTATGGAGGAAAACAAACTGTTCATTTTTAAAGCAATTAAGTTTGTGCAATAATTGATAAACTATAGTTTGGAAACATCCACGTATTTAACTAGTTTTTAATGAGGAATTCTCCTAGGTCACTTAAAGTGAAATAATATGAAAGTGGTAAGTTCTACAAATTAGCCTAAGTTCTCAAAATTTTTAATTTTTTTAAAACAAATCTCTTCATAAAATGTACTTTCTTATTAATAGATCTAGAGCCATGTGACTATGTAATTTTGGATTTGCATTTTATAACAGAAAATTTAAAGTTTTCTATTAGTAGACATGTTTGAGTATAGGATATAGAAAGTTGTATCGTAATTTAACAGTGGTTATTTTGGAATAGGTGAAATAATGGATATTTAAATACTTTTTGATAATATTTTATGATTTTTCTGTAAAAAGAAAGGTAGAAAATGTCTCTTTTAAGTAGAAGAAACTAAGCAATTTGTATCAGTGTTGTATTGCTAAGGTTCTTGGTCTTTTGCAATTAAAAGTTGCAGAACATACAAACAGTATTAGTCACTTATCTGTCCTTTGGATGAAATAGAAAGCAGTTGCCTATCTCAGGAATTTCAATAAGCAACAATTTGTCCACACCTGATATCTTTGGGCCCTCTAACTTATATTAAACAATCAGCCCTGGAGGTACCACACTTCATGATCTCAAGATATATTACAAAGCTATAGTAATTAAAACTATGTATTTGCATAAGTACAGACATACAGACCAATGGAACAGAATAGAGAACCTAGAATTACATACATACAGGGTCAACTGATCTTTGATAATAGTGCCAAAAACACACAATGGGGAAAGGATAGTCTCTTCAACAAATGGCATTGGAACAAGTGGATATTTATATGCAAAACAAATGAAATTGTATCTCTATCTTCATATACAAAAATCAACTTTAAGTAGATTAAATACTTAAATATAAGACTGGAAACTGAAAAATCTGTAGAAGAAAACATAGAGGAAAGTCTTCATAACATTAGTTTTGGCAGTGACTTCATGGATAAGATACTAAATGCACAGGCAGCAAAAGCAAAATTAGACAAGTCACACCACATCACACTGAAGAGCTTTTAGACAGCAAAGGAAACAATCAACATGGAGAAAATGCAACTTAAGGAAAGGTAGAAAACATTTACAAATTATATATTCGATAAGGAGTTAAACGCCTACAACTCAATAGCAAAAAGCCTAATAACCCAATTAAAAATAAGATAGGGACTTGATTAGAAATTTCTTCAAAGAATACATACAAATGATCAACAGGTATATGAAAAGCTGCTCAGTGTCGGTAATCATCAGGGAAATGCAAATGAACACTACAATCCACAATGAGATATGACCTCATACCTATTTAGGATGGCTATTATCATAAAAATGAAAGACAACAATGTTGGTAAGTTTGTGGAGAAATTGAAACCTTAGTACAATGTTGACAGGAATGTAAAATGGAGCAGCCACTGTGGAAAACAGAAAGGTGGTTCCTCAAAAAATTACACATAGAACTCCCATATGATCTAACAATCCTACTTCTGGGTATTTATCTGAAAGATTTGAAATCAGGATCTCAAGGAGATATGAGTATCCCCATGTTCATTGCAGGATTAGTTATAATAAACAAGGTATGGAAACAACCTAAATGTCTATCAACAGATGAATGGGTACACAAAATGTGGTATATATACACAATGAGATATTATTCATCCTTTAAAAAGAAGAAAATGAACCCAGGAGATGGAGGTCGCAGTGAGCCAAGATCGTGCCATTGCGCTGCAGCCTGGGCGACAGGAGCGAAACTCTGTCTCAAAAAACCAAAAAAAAGAAAACAAAAAATTTGTGACTCTGCCAGGTTTTGGTATCAGGATGATGCTGGCCTCATAAATGATAGACTTGATAAAGAAAAGTGGCACATATATACCATGGAATACTCTGCAGCCATAAAAAAGGATGAGCTCATGTCCTTTGCAGGAACATGGATGAAGCTGGGAACCATCGTTCTCAGCAAACTAACACAAGAACAGAAAACCAAACACTGCATATTCTCATTCATAAGTGGGAGTTGAACAATGAGAACACATGGACACAGGGAGGGGAACATCACACACTGGGGCCTGTCGGGGGGTGGGGAGCTAGGGGAGGGATAGCATTAGGAGAAATACCTAACGTAGATGACGGGTTGATGGGTGCAGCAAACCACCATGGCATGTGTATACACATGTAACAAACCTGAATGTTCTGTGCATGTATCCCAGAACTTTAATAAAAAAGGAAAAGTATGGATGAAACTTGAGAACATTATGCTATGAAATAAGCCAGTCACAGAATGACAAATATGGCATGATTCCACTTGTAAAATAGTCAAACTCATAGAAGCAGAGAGTATAATGGTGGTTGTCAGGGTCTAGAGGGAGGAGAAACTGAGAATTGCTTATTGATAGAATATACTTTCAGTCACGCAATGTGATAAGCTCTAAAGATCTGCTGTATAAGATCCTGCCTATAGTTAACGATATTGAGTGGTGCACTTAAAAATCTGTTATAAGGGTAGATCTGTTAAAAGAGTAGAGCTCAGGTTAGGCTTTTCTTACTATAATTTAGGTTAAGGTTGGTAATTATAATTTATATTAAGTTTGGTAAAATACAGTTCAGAAGTTGTTACAGTGTTTTAGCATTTGTTAGCACTTTCATTTTTAGTTTAAATGCTTGGTATTAAAAATTACTTGTTAACACACCCATAGGATGTCTATTATGAAAAAGAAAAAGAAAGTAAGTATTGGCAAGAATGTGAAGAAATTGCTGGTAGGAATATAAAGGTTGCAGCTCCCTTACAAATAAAAGTATGCCACTTCCTCAAAAAATTAAATGTAGAATTACCATGTGATTCAGGATTCCACTCCTAGGTATAAACACAAAAGAATTGAAAGCAGGGACTCAAATAGATATTTATAAATGAATGTTCATAGCAGCATTATTCACAATAGCCAAAACAGGAAAGCAACTCATGTCCACTGACAGACCAATGAATAAACAAAATAGGGTATATACACTGAATAGAATATTATTCAGCCTTAAAAAGGAAATTCTGACTCACACTGCAACATGGATGAACCTTGAAGACATTATGCTAAGTTAAATAATTCAGTCACCAAAGGATAAATACTGGATGTTTCCATTTATATGAGGTACCCAGAGTAGTAAAATTCAGAGACAGAAAAATAGAGTGGTGGTTGCCAGAGGCTTGGAGGAGATGGGAAATAGGGAGTTAGCATTTAATAGGTACAGAGTTTTAATTGCGGAATGTGAAAAAGTTCTGGAGCTGCATGGCGGCAATGGTTACAACAATATGAATATACTTAATACCAGAGAACTGTACACTAAAAAATGGTTTAAAATGGTAAATTTTATGTATCTTTAAACACAATAAAAATAACTGGAAAGTCATTCCCATTCCTGCTTGACATTTAAGACCCTTTCCAACTTTATCTCTGCCTTCTCTCCTTCCTCCCCCTGGCGTTTTCCTTGCTTTTTTCTGGTGGTTTTCTTGTTCCTCATAACCACATGACCCTTCTTATTCTGGGCTGTGTACACATGGAACACTGTTCATGTAGCTTCTCTCTCACTTGCTTTCGCAGGTTCTCCTCAATGGTACCTTCTCCATTAAGCTTTTCTCTCCAACTTGAAAGAATCTTTAGTTAAATAAGTAGTGTGTGTGTGTATATGCATGTGTGTGTGTGTGTGTGTGTGTGTGTACCTAACTTCAAATCAGCCAATTACTGGATATAAATTGGTAGTCAACCATTAGCCCCACGGTACTGTTTTTTGTTTGTTTTTTGTTCTTGGTATCACTGACACAATTTTTCACTTTAAGCCAAGTTCCTTACATAAAGTTTATATGGTGTCTTCTTTTTGATTATATTATATCTTATTTATATGGTGTCTCATCTTGGTAGTGTTATTTTTTGGAAAGGGTCTGGCTGAAGTGTCATGATAACAAATTATCATTCATATTTTATAAAAAAGGAACATCAAGGAGGCAAGTCTTTGAATTAATAAACCTATATAGAGTCTTGAATTTCACCCTGGCCTCTGGCTGTGCCCTTCTGCGATCTCTGAATGTGGATTTAATTTCCCTCATCTTGGGGTTTTCTCTCTGTAAATCAGGACCTTCCTTGTACTATGGAGAATAAGCTGTAACATCATCACACAGTGTCTAGGACACTAAGACATTAGAGTCAGTGACATTTGGGTCCTGATGCCAGTTTTAACATTTAGCTGTGTATCCTTGTCCATGTCACTTAATTTTTTTGGATTATTAGTTTTCTCACATGAAAATGAGGATAGCCATCACAGTGAACTTATAGAGCAATGTGGCATGAGTAATTGGTGAACACAGTGTGCTATTAAAAAGTAAAGGGGCATTATAATTATTAAAGCACAGTCCCTTCCATCTAGTAGCAAGAGAGTCCTTGCGCCTAAAATGATGAATAAGAAAACAGAGCAGCACGGGTATTGTGAGTGAGTGAGTGAGTGGTATAATTAGTGAACGCTAGAGAGGCTGCAAGGAAATCACAAAGGTCCAAGACAAGCTTTTAATTTTAGGAAATCTCATGAACTTCTCTCTTGATTACATTCTTTGGGAATGATCTGTGTCAGTTTCTAATTGTAATTTGATATTTCCTCTGATATTTTTGTTCATCTGTAGATACATCTGGGATACTACATCCCCAAGCAGCTTGGGATTACCTGAAAAAATAATCATTCAAAAAATGTTTGCTTGGCATCGTCTATACTTGGGGCTCGGCTCTGGGGAAAATGAAATGAATAAGACATTGACTTTAGATCACAGATCTCTCAAGACAGTTGGGGAAGACAGACATATAAAAAGGCAATTGTAGCTCAACATGACAAAAGCTATAAGGTACCCAAGGCTGTGAGAGCACAGGAGAGACAGAGATTATCTCTCTGGGAAGGCGAGGAAGGCTTCGCAAAGGAAGTGACATTTTTATTGGGTCATAAAGAATGAGTAGAAAGTATCAGGCAGAGAAAATGATTTCAGCAATATAGTTGAATTAGGGAAATGCGTGTACACACACATACATGTATTTGTTCCAAAGTCAAACATGAATTATTTTGGGGATTATCTTCTGTCTTTGGTCCATACCACTATTTCTTTTTTTCTTGATGTGGATAATTGAGAAATGACTCCAGTGATACAGGAATAAGCTCTTGTGCCTGGCATTTGCACTTTGGATTTTCCCAGTCTTTCCCCAATACTTGTGGTCCAAAAGCTCCTAGTAGAGAATTTTTCATTTGCTCCAGAATTCCCCAGTTTCACTTCCCACAAAGATAGTCTAGTCAGGATACTTTGGGCCACCAACATAATAGAAAGTTGCCAAAATAAATGTTTTCCATCAAGATTTCACACTTGCACTTAATGAAATAGACATTTTTCAAACTGTTTCTTTAGAGCTAAGTTTTTCTTTAAGATTTGTAATGAAAATATTTCATGACCTGTTGACATATTCATATGGTGATTTTCAAAAGGCAGACTTCATTTACAAAATGGACTTGGCAACAAGTAGGAATATCTGGGAAGCTGAACAAGGCTGTTGACAGGGAAAATTGGGGCTCAATCGTAGCTGACATTGTTTTGCAGCTGTGCCATATTTTAAGACTGACCAATGGGATGGGGATTATGGAGGCCTCATGGTAATAATGCTGAGATTGGCAGTTAATGGTCATTCATAGTGGAACTGCATAGGTAGCAGCCGACAAGTACAGAAAATAAGTTCCTGTAATGGATTTTTTATTTTTTTTGCAAATGCCAGGGAAGCAATAGAAGAAATACTATTTAGAAGAAATATAGTAAAGAAAAAAAATCTGCAGTATTTTTCAAAGGAACAGATTTAAAAATCAGAAATTTTTCTTTGAATTCTTAGCCCTGTATTTTCTTTATCCTTTGTTATCTCATTCAGTTAGCTCTTTGGCTAGTTGACTAGCAGATACCTAATTTAAGTTTTTTAAATGCAGACAGTTTAGAATAGAATATATGCTGTGTATTCCCCCTACTCTGTAGTTGAAAGTTAACAAGGAGCGTTCAAATTCAGATGGCATAAGGCCGCATTGGAAATAGCCCTCAAAATTAATTCATTTCAACTATTCTTTTAGGTTTATGAAATTTATATTAGGACTACCCTCATTTTCCTAAGCTTCTATTCCTCATATCAGTAAGCTGAGAGGTTATTAAGAAAAATATAAATATTATTACTTAGAGTTACAGACTAACAAATGTAACTATAAAAATCTAGTAAAATTCTTTAGGAACCAAGAAATAGGCTCTCCTAAAGTTTTTAGCCATCCCTGGGTTTCAAAGTATTTGGCAAAGAGCATGGTATTTGAGCTTTGGTCTTGGAAGAGAAAGAAATCACTTTCCACTGAGGAAGAGATCACACAAAGCTTCTTGGAAAGCTGGTGTTTGAACCAAGCTTTGGAGAGGGGAAGTGGGGCTGGATGAGGACAGGGCTCACTAGTGAGAGAAATATGGGAAGGTCATTGTGCAATGGAGCAACTCTAAGAGGAGAGGAAAAGAGGCAGGTCATTATAAGTCAAGCTTGGTAGTTGGAAAGTAAGAGGCTCCCAGGCGGAATTCTAGGTTTGGGAGTTGATCCATCATTTCATTTTGTCAGACACTAGGACACTGATGAGAGACCAGTTTTCGTTGAGTAATGTACCCAGAGTAGATTTCAGAGGCTAGAAACTGGAGGTTAGAAAACCTATGAGTGATAGCTACCATTATTGGTTGCCTGTTAAATGCCACTCACCATGATGTAAAATTTTAATGTGTTCTTTCAAACCGTTTCAAGAATTTATCTCCATTTTACAGATGAAGAGACTAAGACCCAGGGAGAAGAAACCTTTCTGCAGCTATTCTGTGGCTGGTCAGCAACAGCCTAAAACTAGTCGGCTTTATCTGCCTCTATCTCTATTCCCTGATTACTCACCATATATACTACCACTGTGTGGTTCACTGTGTGAACTTCTCAGTTATGTGTGTAGTATTACAGTTGTCTGCCCTCTTTCTTCCTCCTTCCCCCATACACCCTTCACTAATGCATTTTAGGTCTGTCATCCATTGTGTGTACAGAACATTTTGTGTATGGCATCTGTGAGCCACTGTGCCTGGCCCTCTGATTTCTTAAAGATGACTCTGCCTCATTTCATCAGGTTCGGTCAAATGCCACCTAAATCTAAGTATAATCAGTGGTTTTGTCTTCTAAATACTTTCTAATTGCAACCTCCACCTCCTGGGTTCAAGTGATTCTCCTGCCTCAGCCTCCCGAGTAGGTGGGACTACAGGTGCACGCCACCATGCCCAGCTAATTTTTTTTTTTTGTATTTTTTGTAGAGACAGGGTTTCACCATGTTAGCCAGGATGCTCTCAATCTCCTGACCTCCTGATCTGCCCGCCTCAGCCTCCCAAAGTACCTGGATTACAAGTCTGAGCCACTGCACCTGGCCCTCTGATTTTCTTAAAGATGACTCTGCCTCATTTCATCAGGTTCAGGCAAATGCCACCTAAATCTAAACATAATCAGAGTTCCCTCTTAAAAATATAAAGACTAGAATTAGAACGTTCAGTCCTATCTTTTACCTGCCTTCTTCCTTCCTGTCCCTCTATGTAGGTCACAGGTTCAGAGGTAGACCTTTGGTGCTAAAAGATAGTTCATGGACGCAGCTTACAGAGACACCTGGGAGCTAGTTGCAAATGCAGATTATTAGACGCCACCTGAGACCTTCTGAATCATAATCTATCTTTTAACAAGATGCCCAGGGGAAGTCATCATCTTACACACATGCTCTGATGAAAACACTGCATCAGAAAGGGCTCACAGCCAATAGATCACACACAAGTACCTACGTGCAGAGATTTAAACTAATGGATTTAAATATATTTAGATGGTTTTCAATCCATTTTAATTATCACAGTGTTGAAAGTTCAAATTGGCCAGGGAATGACTCATCAATTTGACACGTTTTTAGTAATCCCTGATAAGTTTCTTCTTTCTTTCTTTTTTTTTTTTTTTTTTTTTTTTGACACAGAGTCTTGCTCTGCCACCCAGGCCAGAGTGCAGTGGCACGATTTTGGCTTACTGCAACCTCCCCCTTCTAGGTTCAAGCTATTCTCCTGCCTCAGCTTCCCAAGCAGCTGGGATTACAGGCACATGCCACCACGCCCGGCTAATTTTTTGTATTTTTAGTAGAGATGGGGTTTCGCCATGTTGGCCAGGCTGGTCTCAAACTCCTTACCTCAGGTGATCCACCCGCCTCAGCCTCCCAAAGTGCTGGGATTACAGGTGTGAGCCACTGTGGTGGCCCTCCCTGATAAATTTCTTAGTGCTGGGCTGACAACGTATTTCAGTCTCATCTTGCATAATTCTTGCTCCAGTCCTGGAATCAGACATTTAAGAAGCCCTGGTTTCTTTTAGTGGGAAATGGTATTTGAAGATCCAAATCTGAGAGTCAGCAATGCCTACTGCTACTGGGTTGGTCATTGTTTCTAAGCCTCCTGAATGGGAAATATGAGTTCATTTTGTTATTTTTGATTCTTATTCAGGACTATGGATCTTTTTATTTGGTCTTGTCTGTATTGTAACTCTTTCCTTCATTTCTGGTTGTCAGGAGCATAGGGGATAATCGCATCAGACTTCCCATAGTCAGTCAATTACATTCTTTCTTATCCTTTATTATACAACAACAGTCTTAGTAACAATACTAGTATTACCACTCCCATATAACAGCATCATGTAAGTAATATGGCATGTACTACTTTTTTGGTCAGCTTCATTTACTCAGCATGTTTTTTCATCAAGTAGAATTGTTAAAAATGTTGCATATATAATGTGCATATTCAGTGAACTATAATGACAATGACTAAATATAGTAATTACCGTATTCCCTTCTTTATCTCACTCTTAGTTCTATCAATAAACGTATATTTAATTCTTACCAGCAATTTTTATTTCAACATTTCTTTAGACCAACATTGTCTAATGGAACTTTCTGCAGCAATGGAAATGTTCTGTGACTGTGCTGTTCAATATAGTAGCCACTGGCCCATGTGGCTCTTGGTACCACTCTGTGGCCAGAGTAGGAGATGGGGGTGGTGGAGATTCCTGCCATATTGGATAGTGCACTTCAGATGTTTTGGTTACGTGAAGCATGTTCTCTGTCACATTCTTCAGAATGGACTCATAGGAGCAATAGTTCCTAATGCTTTTTAAAAATCATCTTTTTCTGAAGTATACTTTA
Source organism: Homo sapiens (assembly GCF_000001405.40). Lineage (NCBI taxonomy): Eukaryota > Metazoa > Chordata > Mammalia > Primates > Hominidae > Homo > Homo sapiens. The sequence continues at coordinate 18,096,657 of NC_000009.12, forward strand.
TTTAAAATACAGACATTAAGAATTCACTTTTGTAGGTTTTGACAAATGTATATGTTGTATCATCACCATCCAAATCATGAGTAGAACTTTTCTGTCACCCTACAAACTTCTCAAGTCCCCTTTCAAGTTAATTCCTCATTTCCTCTTCCACAAATAACCATTGATAAGATTTCTGCCACTATAGATTAGCTTTACCAGCTCTAGAACTCATATAAATAATATGGTATGTACTCCTTTTTTTGTCATCTTCTCTTAGTATGCTTTTAAATCAACTTTGTTGAGGTACAATGTACATATCATAAAAGGCATCCATTGTAAGTATGCTTTTGGATGAGATTTCTTAAATGTATTCATCTTTGTATCAGATATACTGTCAAGATACATGGCGGTTCCATCATCAAAATACAGTCCCTTGTCCACCTTCCTAGTCAGTTACCCATCCCCATTCCAAGCCAACGTTGATCCCCATTGCAAGCCAACATCACTAGATTAATCTCTTCTAGAGTTTCATATGCATGGAATCATGTGGTGTGTATTCATTTGGTTCTGGCTTCTTTGGTGTAGGATAACATTTTTGAATGTTGTGTGTATAAATATTGCTGTGTAGCATTCTATTGTAGGCATATATTACAATTTGTTGATCCATTCATCTTTTGATAGATATTTGTGTTTCTGGATTTTGGCTATTTCTGAGATTTTAGCAGTAACACTGCTATTAACTTCAGTGTACAACATTCTGGCTGTCAAAAATTTTCATTTTGCTTTGGTAAATACCTAGGAATAGAATTTCTGGGTCATATGGTAACCGTATATTTAATTTTATAAGAAACTTCCAGTGTATTCTTCAAAGTCATTACACTATTTTATCTCCAACCAGAATTGTATAAAAGTCTGGCTGCTCCACATCCTTGTTAATACTTCGTGTGGTCTGTCTTTCCAATTTTCATCAATCTAATGCATGTGTACAATTTTCATCAGTCTAATGCATGTCTCTCATTATGGTTCTAGTTGGCATTTTCCTGATTAATAATGTTGAGCATCTTTGTAGAGTATTTGTAGTTCATACAGCTCCTTTTGTGAGACTTTTACAGAATTTTTCATTTAATTCTTATCTTCCCATTCCTAGGTTGTAAAGATTCTTTACATATTCCAGATAAAAATTCTTTGTCAAATATATTTGTTCACTTTTTTCTCTTTTATGGTTATTGTTTTTTTTTTGAGTGTGTATACTGAGAAATCTTTGCATTCTCCCAAAATGGTGAGGATTTTTTCCTATGCTTTTTCCAAAAGTTTTATAGTTTTAGCTTTTAGGTTTAGGTTAGTGATCCATTTTGAATTAATTTTTGTATACAATGTAAATTGGAGATCAAGGCTTATTTTTTTTCCAGATTGATATGCAGTTTTTACAGAAACATTTATTGAAAACGTGATCCAATCTCCCATTGAATTACATTAGCCTTTGTAAAAAATAAATTATGGGTATTTTTTGGAATTTATTTTGTTATATTTATCTATATGTTTATCATTATTCTAATAATATATTGATTAATACAACTTTGTAATAAGTATTGAAAACCAGTAGTTTAACTTATCCAACTTTGTTCTTCCTTTTTCAAGACTATTTTGACTAGTTTCTTTGCATTTCCATATAAGGTTTATAATCAGTTTATTCATTTATAAAAAGGAAATTTTAACAATTTTGGATCTTCTAATTCGTGGACATGATATATCTTTTTAAAAATGTAGATCTTTAATTTCTCTTTGCATTGTTTTGTAGTATGCAGTACACAGAACTGAGAACTCTTTTGTTAAATTTATTTCAAAGCTATTGTAAGTGATATTGTTTTAAATTGCATTTTCCAAATATTGTTGCTCGTCTAGAAACATGTAATTGATTTGCATATATTGGCCTTGTATTATGCAAGTTTGCTAAATTAACTTACTAAATCTAATTGCTTTGGAAGATCCTTGAGTGTTATCTGCAAACCATGACATGCTAACAACTTCATTTCCTATCTATAAGCCTTTTATTTCTGTGTCTTGCTTTATTTCACTGGTTAGAATTCTGGGCACCTTCTTTGTGCCTCTCTCTACTCTCTGGTGTCCTACCCTAAGGATTCCAGCCAATTCACCTACTTTGAATTCTGATCCATGCATTGTAATCTCATCAGGACCACAGTGCTTAGCTAGGACTCCAGCTCACTGAACTACAATAGAGAATTGAGAAATGTCCTTAAACAAAGATCCAGGTCAATTCTGGGGCTCACTTTGTGAGTTTCCCTCCCCTAAAGATTACAGTTTTGTGCTGTCTGTTGATTAATATCTGAAGATAGTTGCCTTATATATTTGATTCAGTTTTATCATTTACGGTGGGAGGATTAATCTGTTTATTTCATCCTATCTAGAAGAAGTCCATTCCATGACTTTTTTGCAGGTTGACAGCAGGTTTTTTTTTTTTAAATTGTTGTTATTTGTTTGTTTTTGGTGCCCTTTATATTTGGAGATCCACGTTGCTGGATGTAAAAGCTTTGGCTTACATTATCTGTCTTTGAGTATTCAAATATGTTACTCTATTTTTGCCTGGGGTGTTGCTCCTGAAAAATCTGATTAGAATCTCATTTTCTTTCCCGAGTAAGTCACTGGCTGTTTTTGCTTTGCTGCAAATGGAAAATATATATATATATATATATATATATATATTTTTTTTTTTTTTTTTAACATCCATTAATTTTACTAGGCTATGCTTTGGTTTTGGTTGCTCTGGAGGTTCATATTCTCAGATATGAGGTGTTTCATTTAATATGAAACTTCTTTTTTTTAATTTCAGAAAATTTTACAAATATAGTGTTTTTTCTGTTTCTTTGTATTTGTTTTCTTCAGGGACTAAATCTGTATGTCGAAATTTTTTTTACCTGTCTTCAATATTTGTCCCTTTCTCTTGAATCAATTTTATTTCTTTCTTCCTTTTTCTCTCTCTCCCTTTTTTTTTTTTTTTTCTTGAGATGGAGTCTCGCTCTGTTGCCCAGACTTGAATGCAGTGGCGCAATCTTGGCTCACTGCAAGCTCTGCCTCCCGGGTTCACGCCATTCTCTTGCCTCAGCCTCCCACTACAGGCTCCCGCCAACATGCCTGGCTAATTTTTTGCATTTTTAGTAGAGACGGGGTTTCACTGTGTTACCCAGGATGGTCTCGATCTCCTGACCTCGTGATCCGCCCACCTCAGCCTCCCAAAGTGCAAGGATTACAGGTGTGAGCCGCTGCGCCCGGCCCTTTTTCAAAGTTTCCTCCTTTTCACTTTCTATTTATGAAGGCATGTTCCTTTTAAATTCGTTTTATTTCTGATATAATTATTCTTCTTAATTTTTTTCTAAGTGCAGTCACTTCATTTCTGAGTTTTTCTAATTCGGAATTAATATAATTTATGTATTGTTTCATTTTTCTTAATATTGTTTAGCCTGTTTTTATGTAGATTGTTACAGTTTCAAACTGTTCTGTGGACATGTCCTCCAGAATTTTTGTCTGTAGGAACATCAGCTGCTTGTTCTTTTTGGCTTTCAGTAACTTTGCTTGGGAGTTGACCGTATTATTTTTATGTTACTCATTTGTTTGTGAAATTCGTTTACCCAAACTGTTTTTGTTTTTGAGAGTCAGTCTTGCTCTATCACCCAGGCTAGAGTACAGTGGCATGATCATGGCTCATTGCAGCCTGGAACTTCCGGGCTCAAGCAATTCTCCTGCCTCAGCCTCCAGAGTAGCTGGGACTACAGGGTGTATATGCCTTGACTTTAGAGGATGGGCCACCATGCCTGGCTAATTTCCCTGAACTTTCAGAAGGATTCTTGCATCAGCGTAGTTTTTCAAGTTCACAGAGCTCTATATTCTGTTATTTGTTCATAGAAGCTTGATTTCTGAAACTTCCTAAGTCTATTCCCCTCCCCTATTTTTTTCTGGACCTTCTCTTTACTTCCCCTTTGTTTTCCTTTTTCTGTGAAATTTTGATTCCACTCCTAGTAGTTTCTTTTCAGTGTGGATCCCTGACCTAGACAGGAGGCCTGGCTGCTAGTTTTGAATATCACAGGTGCCATCCTGCACCACCCACTTCATACCTTACCAGGATCTTGTTGTATTCACTGTTATTGGATTGGCTAAACATTTTCAGTATCAGCTTCTGTTCTGAAATTGACCTCCTATGTTTTCCAGTAAACACCTGTTGGGTATTTTTGAAATTACTCTTTTATGAGTTTCAAATGTCCCCATTTGTTTTGCACTGCCGTGTCCCATACAAACATTAATACCTTTCCAGTTTTTCGCTCTTGATGGCTTGTCCTCGCCTGCATGTAGTTGGGGATGCATGGGGATATGCTGTCACATACTTTTGTTGTATATGTTGTCTGTGGGATTTCTTTTCTTTCTCTTTCTGTCATCTGTGTTGATACATTGTCTCTTAAAGACCACCCTAGTTTTCACCATCTTTCTAGAAGTCCTACATAATACTTTTAAGGAAAGTAGATTCTAATTTAAATGAAATACAGATGAATGCATTTAAAACGGATTATGTAGGCTGGACACGGTGGCTCACGTCTATAATCTTAGCACTTTTGGAGGCTGAGGCGGGCAGATCACGAGGTCAGGAGGTCGAGACCAGCCTGACCAACAGGGTGAAACCCCGTATCTACTAAAAAAATACAAAAATTAGCTAGGCGTGGTGGCATGTGCCTGTAATCCCAGCTACTCAGGTGTCTGAGGCAGGAGAATAGCTTGAACCCAGGAGGCGGAGGTTGCAGTGAGCCAAGACAGCACCACTGTACTCCAGCCTGGGCAACAGGGTGAGACTCCGTCTCAAAAAAAAAAAAAAGAAAAGCAAGAAAAAGAAAATGGATTATGTTTCTGGAAAAGTTTGAAAACTTTTTTCCCCTGGTAGCACATTCCCATCAAAATATTTGTTAGTTGAGCCCCTTCTCAGCAAAGGTCCTGGGAAGGAGGGTTACTCTGAATTTAGACGGGAGACAAGGGCAGAAGATGGAGGTCTAGGAGGTGAGAGATAAGGCACCGTAGATAATTATTGCAGGTAGGATTGAATAAATGTATTAGGTTCGAGTAAGAAGACATGGTAGAGAATCCAGCCGGTCAGAAAAAGGAAGAGCAGCTGGCCCTCGGCTCTAGTGTGCGTATGCAGGTATGCATGTCTTGACTTTAGATCAGAGGATGGGGTTGCTCTCCCACATCAGTGTTTCTTCTTGGTGAGAAGGTTGGTTCTGTGTATAGGTGTAAGTAGTGGTGACAGGGATGTCAGAGGTAGATAAACAAAACTTACTGTATTCAGGGCAAGGACAGAAATTTTCATTTAGCTCCCGTGTGTGGGCATATTTTTATGTTTCTTTCATGTTGTTCTTTGACTTCCTTTTGAGAAAGGCGTTACTTAATAATATTTTCAAAAGACATGTCTGTTTTTGAATATACTAGAGATACTCCTTAAAAGTATGCCATTTGAAATCCTTATGAATGTAACTTGCTGTCTTCTAACCTAAGCTGATCTTTTCATACATTCAAATTTCTTTGAAGTATTTCATGGTTTTTTTCTGCCATTTATTTCTTTTTATTTACAGTTTTGTTCAATTTTTTAGCCATTTATTTTATTTATAAAGTGTTTGTCTATGTGCTTAATATAAAAGTCTGAAAATTAATTTATTTCTGAAAATATTATTTATCCAATGCCTGAGAAACAGACATGGTATTTTTCTTGTATGTCAAGGTCTTATCTTATGAATTATATACAAATATGACAGTTCACAAATGTTTCAAAAACGTATTCAGCATGAGAAGAGGGTCTTGGTTCAGTTAGTTAGTGGTCACTTCTACTTGAAGGATTCAGAAAGGTCCACAAAAGAGTTAAAATTGGAAAATGTCTTGGATGATGAATAAGATTTTGACCAGCAAGATGTGGGAGCAGGTCATGAAGAAAGAACAGAGTCAACAATCCAACAGGAGGGCTGGTTTGTGCAAAGGTACCAAGGGAGAAATCATGGCGTGTGTCCAGTCAGTACCAAATAGACCAGTTTTTCTGTATGGCATGTAAAAGGAAGTTACAGAGATTAGTCTAGAAAGCTTATAGCGATGATCAAGGGATGAATGGCAGGTAAAGGAATTTGTACTTAGCTTTGTGGATACAGGGAGTTTTCAAAAGTTTCGAAATAATAGATTTGAATAATCAGAGCTAGAAGATGATTCTGTGTGGAGGGTCAGTCAGAGAGGGAAAAAAATCCAGAGACGAAGAGCCCAGTTATGACACTAACTTGATTATGACAAAGCTGTTATTTTTGTTTACATTTGAACTGATGCCCTTGACTCTTAGTATTCTCCCATCCCTATACGTGGGTTCTTATGCCACTTTTATATATGTTGTCTGAAAAGTAGACTGTTTAGTGAGAAATGATTTCTCTATATTCCTGGGGATTTTATAATAAGCAAAGATGCCAAAAATTTACAGGATAAAGAGATCTTTGGTGATATGTAACAAATTAGATTGCAGAATGTTAGAAAAACACATTTTTTTTTCATTGAAAATTAAAGACATCTGGGCTTTTCATTGTACATATTTTACATGTTCAGGACTAGGCCAGCTGATGAGTTTAGGGACAATTTGTAGCAAAACATAGGACTTTTTAAGTTTATTACATGCTACATATATTGTTAGAATCAGGGTTAGATACTTATAACGATGTTTTCTCAAGCGATTGTAATCTTTTCAGGGGATTTTTATGATGTCAAGAACATGAATAAATTTCAAGAAATAATCTAAGGAAGATAATAAAGCCCACTTTTTTCTCTCTTTATTCTTAGGCCAGCACTATGAATTTCTGAAAAATAGATACAAAACCATCCCAGTTTCTTATAGCAAGTGGGCAATACAGGATGATATGCTCTGCTTGAACAAGTTTTTAGGGTGAGAACTGCATATTTTAGGCTTACTAGCTATAAAGTATCTATCATTGTAGGTTTCTTATAGTATTTGAGTGCCTGCTATAAAAACAGCAATGTTGTATGTCATATGAGGAATTTTTTTGAAGTGAAATTTAGATCTTTCAACCTATATTCCATGGAATTCTATTCAAGAACTTAAAAGCTGGAAGGGGCTTTAGACATCTTCTAGGCCTTTGTTTCTGGACGTGTGCTCTGTGGAGCACTAGACCCATAGGTGGTCTATAAATAAGAATTTCTGAGGAATTGCTGCATGCTACACTCTTCACTTTGGAGATGTGTATGCTGATATCTGTGATGTATTAGCATATTGAAAGCCCTGAGATTTTCCTAGTGTCAAAACCAGTTTGACATTTTATAACCCAGAGATTCTCAAAGTTACTTTATCATGTGTGTGTGTGTGCACATATACAATTAAATAGTAACATCTTTACAGAACTCATATTGTTTAGAATATGCTTAGGGGAACTACTTGTTCAATCTCTTTATTTCATGAAAAGCTGAGGCCTAGGAGTATTTATTAGTTCTCTACAGGCCACACAGCTCTTGACAGAGTTGTGAACAGTATCTCCCAGTTTCCAGACCTCTTCTCTGCTGAATGATCTTACGTGATATACCACTAGCAGTGTAGTCGCAATCCCGTTTTTCCCTCTCTAGTTACTGCATGCTTCCCTTCCACTGATGAAATTTTCACCCAAATAAAGGGACGAAGTCAGGGATGAGCAATTCCACCCTAATCACAAAGCCTTGGACTTGATTATACAGTGCTTAGTACTAAAGGGACTGGAGCCTCCATAATTTCCATTTTAGCTCTTTTCCTGGTCTGCCAGCTTCCAGTCACCACCAGTGCTGCCCATAACCTGCAGGTGGCCACACTTGGGCTACCTCTGGGAGCTAAACAGTAGGTACACGTGGACATAGAGAGTGGAAAAATAGACACTGCAGACTCCAAAAGGCAGGAGGGAGGGAAGGTAGGGAGGGATGAACAATTACCTGTTGGGTTCAATATACACTCTTCAGGTGATGGGCGCACTAAAAGCCCAGACTTCACCACTATGCAGCATATCCTTGTAACAAAACTGCATTTGTACCCCCTAAATCTAAACTAATTTAAATAACAATAATTTTAAAAGAGCTGAAATGTAATCAGTTATTCAATTCAATCATTCAATTATTCAAATATTCAATTTGCAAGTCACTATCACCCTAGGCTTTCTTTATCTTACCTGTGTCTACTGGCCATTTCATCACTTATATGAGGCTTCAAACTAAGGGTGGACTGGAGCAAAGTAAAATAAATCAGACTTAATAAGGTAAGTTAGAGATTACTCAGCAACTATATCCCTAAAAACATTTATTTTTAAGGAAGAGGTCAAGGCCGTATGTATAAATAAAAAAAAAATAGCCTCTAAAAATAATCCATGGGAGAGAGTAGAAAGAGAGTACTGTGAGTCAGAGACTCAGTTCTATTCTAGGGTCTACCCCTAATGAGATGTGTAAATTCGTACAGGACACCGTCTCCGCTCTTGGTTGTCTCACCTGTAAAACAAGCGAACTGGAATATGTGCTCTCTGAGTTTCCTTCCAGCCCTAACTTTCGGTGTCTCTATGATCCACAAGTGTTAATTATCCGTGACCTGATTGCTATGGATAATCAGAACTTGGCCATACTTGTTTAGACTGACAGCATTCTAAAGGAATAGCCTAGAAAGAGAAGGAAAAGCTGAATCTCTGGAACGTCTCTGACACTTGCCCAACCAACGACCAGTTCATGTTTTCACAGTCTTTCATGCTATGCATTTTATTGTTTTACTTAATATTGCAAAATTGAAATCACCTTATTTTGATGGAGCATTTCTAAGCCCCTTATTTTATAAGATACCATCTTCTTAATTTCTGGAGTGTTTTGGCCTAGAGGGAAAAATAGGGTACTTGAAAGAATATTACTGTAGTGGAGAAATCACATAGCAACAAGAATGCAGAAAGTAAACTAGCCCCACAAAGAGTGCTTTGCAGACCTTACCCGTAATGCCAAATGCAATAAAGGATATGGGGCTGTTTCCATGGCGAAGATGTTGTAGAAAGATACAACCTCACTAGAATGTATACATAGACATACTTCTATTTAACTTAGTTACATCTTATATTGCATAGTCATTTTTCCTTTTGGGAAAACCATACTGACAAATTACTCAAGTAATCTCCTCTGGAGAGTAGAACAAAAAACACAGGCCCACTGCACCATGTCAGGGTTCTAAAAATTAGGAAGACTCATCAAATAACTCAGCCGAAGAACAGGTTTAGTTACAGCAGTTGGATGCTCAGTTCTGCAAAAGATTATTTTGCAATATCGGTCAGGAGATTATTTTATGTACAGATGTTTCTTATCTTTGAATTCCTAGAGTGACTCTCATCACCTCCTTTCGTCCCTGGGAGCTTCTTGCTCTGCTTGTTCAAAGCTACCCAATCTATCACTAAGGAGGCAAGGGAATAGTGATATGTGCTTGAGGGAAAGGGGAGTCACACTGCTTAAGGCAGGCAGCTCGCTTTGGCCCCCTAACTTGCATCTTGTTCTCCCTGCTTCTGAATGAAAGCAGCTAACTAAGGGAGAGTGTGAGCCTCATATGAAAAGACATTTGTTTCCAGATACAATGCTAAACTGGGATTGCTGGCCCATGCTGTTTTGCATCAGCAGATGCTTTAAGAATGCAGTGAAAACATCTTATAAAGTGAAAACCTATCATTTGTAAAGCTGCAAAGAGAGAGCTTTGTTTGCCCACACAGCATTTCTCAATGGAACCCCTGAGGCCATGGGTTTTTCAGGACAAGTTTCAACTCTGCTTAGCGCACATTTATTGTGTTAAGGAAAAAAGGCCCAAATAAGCAGGGCATACTATTGTGAATCTTGTAAAGACAGCCCGAGTTTAAGATCTCTGTCTATCTGGCTTTAAACTAGAGCCAATTCACAATTACCTATGATCAAAATAACAGAGTGTAGACAAATTAAAATGGAATCTACGTAATCTCTTCTTGACATTGAAAATGCCACCCTCACCTTCACTTATTTGGTTATTTTCAATCAGTCACAAGAGTAACTTACAAATATCTAATGCTTTATCAGAACAGCTGACAAGTAGCAGCAATTGTACATTTGAGTTGCATCTTTTAGATGAGGTTCTAGCCAGCAGGAAAAATGGTCTAAGTTTAGATGATAAGAATGGGCCTGAGTGTCTAATTACTATATAATCAAATAGACTGCATATTGCCAACGCCATGTATTAGAAGGGTAATATTTCACAGATATCTGGCAATTCCCACATTGAAACTTACTTTATTGACTAACAAAAATAGACTGTAGACCACATAGGTTGGGGCTTTTTTATGTAACATCTTCAAGCCACTCTGGGAATAGTCTTTCATTTTTATTCATCGTTCTTCCCTGCTGTCTTTTCTTATATCTGTTATTAAGTCTATGCCTAATTTTTCTTGCATAACTGCAGCACTCCATGCCTGTCATGAGGGTATAGTGGGCTGCATTAGATATTTGTAAGTTACTCTTGTGATTTGGAGATAGAAGTGGTCCACATCTCAGGCTATGATACTTCTCATCTCCCTTCAAAATTTGTGAGCTGGATGGCTCCTAATCCAGCAGTTTTACATTGATGGGCTCCATGTACATGAATTTTGCAATTCCCAGGATCCTAATGAAGATTTTAATTATGTTAGTGCTAGAATTCACCTCTTCCTCCTGCAGCAGAAGCATTTCCTTGCATGCATGAAGCTGAAACAAAACTGCCTGGGTAGAAATCCACAGTGACAGACACTATTAAATGAGAGAAGTATTTTGTTGTGATGCTGAACATGGCAGTACTTCAGGGAATAAGGAGCCGAAGTTCTAGATGAACATAAAAATAACATGATTTTTTTTTATAGCCATGCTCTGGGACTTGAAAAGGATATGGACTCAAAGGGAGAAAAAGAAATAGTTTAGAGACTTGAAAATAATTTAAGCAACAAAATAAAAACAAATACCAATTTTTCTGAGCTTCGGAGCAGAAAGATTCTTGAAGTCCAGACTGTGTTTTATGTGCTGCCTTTTTTACCCCAAACATTAAATCATTGTGAATTTGATGTCAAACTGCATGCCTGAAGACATTAACTGGAAGGCAGGTATATAACCTGGTACAGATTAGAAAGTTACGCCAGGAAGTGTTAAATGCTGAGCCAGAAGTCAGTCACGACCAGCATTGTTCTTCAGAGCCACCGTGCTGAGCCCTCCAGCACAGTTTCCTGCCGCCAAACCACTGCCGATTTCTGATGGGAAAATAGAATAAAATGACACCTGAAAGAATCCTGTTTCTAAAACATATAGGAAGTGGCTTTATAATTAATGATTTTTGAAAGTAGGTCTTTATTACACTTGAGAAAAGTCTTTCTAGAGTGAAAGCCTCTTTTGAAGAAGATATTCTTGGTGTTTAGTTTCCTCCAAAGCCCAAGAATCTTAAAATTGAAAGAAGTGAGCAAAAAGTATTCACGTTAACTCTTAAAAGCAAGAGTGTGGAATTTTTTTTTTTTTTTTTTTTTTGAAACAGGGTTCTACTCTGTTGCCTAGGCTGGTGTACAGTGACACCATCATGGCTCACAGCAGCCCCAACCTCCAGGCTCAAGCCATCTTCCCACCTCATCCTCCCATGTAGCTGGGAGTACAGGCTTGTGCCACCATGCCCAGCTAATTTTTAAATTTTTTGTTGAGACAAGGTTTTGCCATATTGCACAGGCTGGTCTTGAACTCCTGAGCTCAAGACATCCTCCCGCCTTGGCCTCCCAAAGTGTTGGGATTACCAGGGTGAGCCACTGTGCCCAGCCGAGAATCATGATCTTAAAGGCTCTTGGAAGCCAGATCACAGAGAAGGTTAAAATACAAAATATTGGTCTGTGTCTAGTAAATAGGTGGTTGGAGAGGCCTTGGACTTCTAAATTCTTGCATTTATTTAAAAAATACTGCATCCTCAATATCAAGGGTGATATTTAGAACTATTTTTTTTACTCTTAGAATTTATTTGAACATTAAGTAAAAATTAGTCAATGTGATGAGTCTTTTAATATCCCTTATCATGGACTTTTGATGAGAGAATTAGCTCTTTTTTTTTCTCCTTTTTCAATGTGTAATTATTTATCTATTTTAAGTGAAATTCTTTTCAGTATTAAAGTAAAAATCATCAGAATACATGTCGTAGTTGAAATTCACCAGCAGTTACCTGTGAAAGCATTGTTGTGTACAAGGTAGGGAGGGATATATTTTATTGTTGTCCCTGATCGTGGTATAAAATTATTAAAAGTTTGGGGCTGTAACGAATTGATAAGCATTACTCAGTGCTATAGTTTTTTTGCAACTCACCAGCAATCTTATAAAATTACTTCAGATACAGTATCATAAAAGACTCTTCTCAACTGCATACATAGACATTAGAAGTTTAAGACTTGTGAATACAATTTTATTGACAAATTCCCTCGCCTAATTTGAAGTTTGTTGGAGGAAATAAATTCTAATAATCTTTCCTCCTTTACATTCATATCTGGCCATTCCTATGTGTTACACCCTCATTTGTGTTCTCTCTTTCCCTTCCTCATTGTAAGGAGACTGGGGACTTGGTAGATCTGCCAGGAATCCCTCGGAAGGACCCAGGTGTTTACTCCTAATCAGCAGGTCATCCAGGAAGAGTTTGGAGCCTGCACACAGTAGCCCAGGAAGTAGCTGACTGCAGTACTTCTGTGTATCATATGTTGGCCAGTCTGGGACATTCTGAAGAATACTAAGTGCCCCAGGTAATAAATCATCCTCCCTCCTGTCATCCAACTTCAGTTTAGGACTCACATATTCCCTCTTTCCTGAGGGCAAATTTAAGGCATGGCCATGTGGTCTTTTGACCATTTCTTTGATATTCAAAGGGTATAAATAAAAGGAGATGCTTATTTCAGAAGGAGTCATCCTGGGACAAACAGATTCATGGTAATAACAAAACATGCATTTGAAGTATATCAGACAGCCTTTTAGACCCCCTTTACCAAAATCTTGTAGCCTAATTCTTCGGAACTTGAACCCAATGTCCCTTGAATTCTTAGCTGTCAGCAGCGTGGCACCAGGTCTTGCAATTGCACAGTTGCCTGCAGTCCTCTGACATCTATGTGGGAGTAACCTGTAGTCACACCCCTACTGCCACTTTCCCCTGCGTATAAAACCAAAGAGAGCAGAGTGACAGACTGATACCATATGTTCTTTCATAAGCAGTATCACTTTTCACTGTTGTGTGCAAATTACCTTGGGATACGAGAGGAGTAGAGAGTGATCCAGAAAGAGAAAGAGGAACACAGGCAAGTGAGGTGAGGTTAAGCTACTCCCCAAGCCTAGCCCCACAAGGCAGACAAAGGGCCCTAGCTTCTAGATGCCTTTTCTTTCTTCATCAAGTCTTTCCTCTTTCCCTAGAGACTACTTTCAGTTACTCAGTTTTCCTCTAATTGCATTCTCTTGGGTGCCTGAGGGCTCCATTTCTCTGAATATTTTGTGCAGCCATTGGTTGGTCTCAAATGGATCTGAGGGCCGTTGGCTATAGAGTGTCTAATTCTCAGCTCTCTGGCATCTCAAGGGTCTTCCATGATCATTCAGTCCTCTTCAATTCATGTTGCTTCCTCAAAAAGGAACTGGATTTGCGAACTGTGGCCCAGCGAATGCTGCAGGTAGGGAAAGTGCAAGACTAGGCAGGTTTAGAGAATCTCCATAATTCAGGCCACCAGGGTCTATGACTGAAATTAGCATTCTCATTCAAGGGATAAAGCCCTAAGATAACTTCTTGTGACACACCTGCTTTGTACCACCCTTTGAGAAAGCTTCAACCCCTATCTGAGACATCCTGAGCTTGAGGCTTTGAGGGGTCTTTTTGAGCTAGTGATTCACTGTCTCTTTTGTAAGAGAAATACCTGTGTAATGGAATTGGAGCAGCTGCTCTTCTTTTCTTGGTGACTACCAAGCTGTTGCTCAGGCATGGAGACTCTCTAAGCTAAGTGGCAATGGCCCTTTATGCCTGCTAGGAAAAGGGACCAGATTTAATGAAAGGTTCTTAGCAAAGGCTCAGGGCCAGTTTCTCTTTTGATCTCATCCTGCTATGCCTACTTATAAGTAATAGTTAAGGGCAAAAATGAATCTGGCTGATATGAAGAATAAGAGTCAACTGAACCACCCCTCCCATAATATGTATCAGTTGACTCGGGAACATTATTAGTTTTTGATCAACTTTGTTGAACAAACTTAGGTGAAGCAAATACTCTTCACACCTACCTCTAAAATATGATCTAGTTTTAGCTGATGTAAAACAGGTAGCAGCAATTTTCTTCTCTAAAATGATGCTCTCTCCATGTGTTCATTTTGCAGAGTGAAGTGTAGAAATGTGTTTCCTTAAACTTCCCTTGCTAAAAATAACAGCAACAAAAATTGACCTTTTGCTTTTAAATGAGATTGAAGAATTTTCTCCCTCTTGGGTCAGGGCTAAGTTCTCCTAACTGTCTATGCTATCTTCCCAATCATCATAATGACAAGAGTTATTTTATAAATCAAGATTTTATACTGGGGCTGGACACATTGAATTGTAATTTGTTTTAATATACAAAACTAAAAATAACTTTGCAGTGGGCAAAACCCCAGATGTGTTTTGTCAGTCTCTTTTTCACTTAATGTCTAAAGCTTTATGTATTTAAGGAAAATTTTATCCATGTGCTTCTCATTTATTTACACTTAACTCATCAGTATGTTTAATATGAGTTATTTGATGTCCAAGAAGCCCTTTTAAACTATTTTATGTGCTTATTTTATGTATCTGTGAAATGGGAAGTCATTTACTGCCAAAAAAGAAAGCTGTGCAAAACCTATCATCATCATTGTCAATAAATATTTACCTCTAAAATTTCAAGCATCATTTAAAAATATGCACAAGACATTTTGGAGTCCACTTTAGACTGACCGCCATAAACAGAACTTACATCTTTTCTCAACAGACAGTTTTGTACATTCAGGTGCTCATGTAGTTAAATAATACAGATACTTTCTTTTATGAAGTAAGAAGTTGGGGTCACGGTTTTCATAAAGCTATGAGTCAAGTGTTGAGCCCAAGAAAAGTCAACCACTGGCTATTTCCATGCAACTCTTTCCTGATATCACTGGTGAGTCCACCCCATCAGTACTACCAGTACCATGCATCTCTTCAAATGGGATTAATAGCTAGTTAGAAATTAATATTTTTTTAAGCATCTAATGGTAAGTTTTATATGTGATAATTCACTAAGAAAACAGTTTCCCAACAGGAGTCCCATCACTTGTGCCCCTTTAGCTTTCAGTGTTCCAGAGCACCAGGAACCTGATGCAGGTATTTATTTCACCACACTTATGTAGTAGAGGTTTATCCATTCATTCAGCACACTTATTTAGTTGTCACCCTGTTCTAGGATCCTACTCTGCTAAGTGCTATGAATAGGAAGATAGATAATGTGTACTTTTTGCAGTGCTTAGGTGGGTAGGAGAACTGGACATTGTAGTAGATGTCATTAAGGTCCTGTCCATTTTTGCCTTAGTCCATCTGAGTTCACCTGTGGCATGGTTACATGCAAGTGCCATCTGAAAGTGCAGTGGAGTTAATCTCCCCGAGGGGACGTACTCCATTAATAGGTATAGTGTGCTTCAGCTCCCATACTCCCTGGTATGATAACATTGAGGTATGTTCCATACAGATTCTCAGAGATTTCGAGGGGCTGAGACTCAGTTGCCCATAACAGTTATATACTCACAAATATACCCATTTTTTTGGGTTTTTTTTTTTTCCTAGTTCTTATCTCACTTTTCCTCGCCTGTGCTTCCTGAGATCATACCCTCTAAAACCAACTGCACCCATGTTTTTGTCTCACTGTTTCCTTTTGGGAGAAACCTAAGATAATGTGTGCAGAAAAGCAGTAATTGCAATATAGTGATGAGCTGTAACAGAAGTGTGCATACATAGTAGTAGGAGACAGTTGCACAATACACAGCAGTTATTTCATTTGGTAGACATTTGTGGGGAATTTACTAGCTCAATGTCAATATCCCCCTCTACCATGTAAATGTTATGAAGGCAGAGATGCCATCCATTCACTGCCTCATCCCTAGAGTCTAGCACAGGCTCTGGCATATAAGAGCTTAATACCTATTAGTTGAATTAGTAGTCATCTTTGTCAGAGGGATACTGAGGATTAGAAAGAAGGCTACCATCATTTGTATGTGGCTTGAACTTGTACAGTCAATCAGTAATGATGGAGCTGCTACGAAATCCCAGGTGTTCTAATGTCTAGTCCAGGGCTTTTTCTCCAACTGGCTTTAAAAAAGGGAGTTAGCTAGAAGGTTGTAGGGATTAGGAGTGGGGCAGTATGTATGAAAGCTGAGTTCTGAGCGAATACGGGGTACTCAGGGAAGTAAGTCATTTAGATACGATGGGATTGTGAAAAATGGGTGAAAATTGGTTGGAAAGAAAGAGATGAAGGACAATGAGTAAGTCCAATAGGAAGACCTGGTAGGCCATGTCCAGGCATTTAGGCTCTTACTGACTAATGACAGTGGCAGTGGTTTTGATGGGGACATAATTGAAGGATCTTGATGGGGCAGTATCTGGTTACATCTAACAAAACTCCAAATGAGGTGGGGGAGGTTAGATGGGATTGGGCAAGACTGGAGACAGCAAGATAAGTTCCATATATGTTCAGGAAAGAGATTTAGCAAGATTGACGGTGAGATGTACAGATGAGGCAGAAGAAAGTCAAGGTCCAGGGTCCTGGCTTGGGCAACTGGGTGGTGCCACTTCTTGAGCTAGAGCAGAAAGAAAAAAGCATTACGAGAGCTTCTAGATCTCAAGGTACCAATAACAAAGCATTCAGTTTGAGGGTATGTAGTATCTAGAGAGATAGGTCTTGACTGGAATGTGGATCCAGAAAGTCTTCAGCACGTGAGTGATTTTGTTGACACCATGGGAGTTAATTTAAAAAATTAAACATCTAAATACTGCTTACTATATGACAGTCACTGTTCTGAGGACTTGTAAAATATTAACTATATTATGTATATTAAAATTAAGTATATTGATATTAAAGTATGAAGTAACTGTGTAACTATTAACTCAGTATTTAACTAAACAACCCTATGAGATAAATGCTGTTTTTCCACTTTGTAGATGAGGAAACTGAGGCACAGAAAAGTGAAACAACTTTCTCAAAGTCATATAGGTAGAGAGTAGTGAAGGGTAAAGCTGGGATTGCTCTACTGAGTGAAGAGAGAAATAAAACACAAATGTCATAAATGCGAAGAATGGAATAGAAGCTTGAGATAGATTAAGACCCACAAGAAGGATCAAAAGAGGTAAGAAAAATATGAGGAAAAGGGTAGAATCTTAGAGGTCAAAGAGGAGAGCACTTTACTTGGGTCACATGACATTGAGAGATCAAGTAACAGGAAGGCTGAAGATACTCATTGGATTTCACGTTGAAAAAAATCATTAGTGACAGCACTTTTCATGAAATGATGAAAGTTGGCCATTTGATGAAAGTTGGCCATTCAACTCAAACACTCTCCCAGGATCAGGAGAAACAGCTACGGATAAAGCTATGCAAACCAAACAGCTTAATCAAACTTGAGGAATCAATTCTAGAAAATGAGTTTGACCTGACGAGTTTGTGCTGCATATACCATGTGAGGAAATTTAAAATGAGCCAAACTTTCTGAAGGCTGTAGGTATGTATTCTGATATCAGAACGGACAAGGCTTAGGCAGCAATAATGCTAAAAAATAAGGAAGGAGGGAGGAGAGGAAAACCTGAGTGAAAAACCCAGAAAAATATGAAAATTAAGGATTCCCCCATAAAGACTGTTCTCAAAATTGTTATTTTTGAGACCCAAATGCCTTCCTTTTGGTATTGCTCATATATGAAGAAAAAATTGTTACATCAGACTCTGGAACTCAAAATATTAAGAGAAAAAAACAAAAGAAGATTCATGTTAAATCCCTTGCTGATGAATATTGGCAGCCTACAAGAAACATGTGGGAGAAAGTTCTCAAGCTTAGAGTGTAAGTGGAATGACTTTTGCACATGCAGGAAAAAGCACGTCTAAAGACAGTGGTGAAGGCTGAAGGGAATGTGGGAGTTAGAAATCTGTGTAGGCAGGCCTAACAAGGTGGAGACAATTCTTTCTTTGCTGATGTTTTAAGGTAAGTCAAGAGAGTTTGGACATAAGCCACCGTGGTCGACTTTCTCCGTAAGGGACTTTTGCTGATACCTGCAGTGAATTCGTTAGTTGTCAATGATAATTGAATCGATTCAGGGTGTTTGCCTGGAAGGGATTCTACTTTCATTCTAACTTGCCAGGTTTTAAAAAAAATGAAACTTTACATCGGTCAGCTGAAATTGGTTTATGAATTGCTGGAAATCCCTAGACAGATTTCCATCAATTCAAAACATCATAGACAATCCTGTATTTGCAGTGGGCTTTGAGTTATTCACGAAATCCTATTGAACATCTTTTTTGCATTAATTTAGTGATATTTCTCACTGACGTCAAGGTGATGAAAAATAACACTAAACCTTACTTGGCTGACTGTGGAGAACTTGGAACTCTACCAGGCATGCTGCAGGCAATTTCTGGAAGGCAGGCAGGAAGGCAGGCAGGGGGACCTGGCATGCCTCAGAAACTACCTCAGAGATGAGCTTTAGAGAGAACAAGTCTACAATTATGGGAATAAAACTCAAAAATATTTAACGGCTGCCAGCAATTTCTGAAAAGCTATTAAAAATTTGAGAAACACACACCAATGATAGTGGTAAGAGAAAGTAGGTGCACTTTAAAAGGAAAAAAATCTGTATTTTGTTTATTTACCAGAACTTAAAGAGGATTTACTGTGTTCTGGGCACTTTTCTAGTGACTTTATGAATATTAATTCACTTAATATTCCTGACAACCCTCATGAAATGGGCATGATGATTATCCTTGTTTTACAAATAGTGATGATGTGGCATAGAGAGGTTGTTCATGGCCACATAGCCTGGTACTTTACAAATAGTGATTTTACAAATAGTGATGATGCTTGTTCGTGGCCACATAGCCCGGTACTGATCTGGGATTCAGACCTAAGGGAGTCTGGCTACAAAGTTTATGCTTTTAGCTACCATGCATGTTTCCCTTCATAAAGGAAATAGCGTTTTCTTTCAAGAGTCTAAACCCATTGTCTCTAACAGTACTCAGAATGACTTTGTCATGTGATAGCTTCTGCTGCATTCTAGTTTTACTAAGTTGTGCCTTATAAAACTGTTCTCTGATATTGTGGAGATAGCCATGTACCATGTCATGCCAGCACTATTAGAGGAAGCAGGGACAGAGACCGTGGGTAATGTGACATTGATGGTGTGATATTGCTTCCCCTCTCTGTGCAGTCGAAGGCTTGATGCCATCATATGTTAAGAGATTATAAATAGAAATAGTTTTCACTGCATAAACAGTGAACACAGACGTTTATGGACAATTAATGGACTACATAATTGTAGTAGTCCATTAATTGCAGACAAACTCACAGATTGTCTTTAGAGATCCAGTAGCTTCAAGAGATGGTAAGAAGCAGAAAGTCAGGATGTGTAAGCAATGTGTAAATGGCTTTCACATATGACTTTTCTCCTGAAACACACACCTTTGAGAACAAAATTATTATATTTGCAACAATTATATTGAGTATTCTGAATAAGACTTGTGTTTCTGACATAAGGGCTCTTGGTTGCTGGGTTTTACTTTGCACACATATTTGCCTGTCAGATTGGCACATTGCTTGTAATTGTTTCTCTCACTGTGTTATGAAATCTCCCTTTCTATCAATTCCTTTTCAGCCAATAGTAGTTCTCCAATGAGTCATGTGGCTAAATAAAGACAGGGGTTGCATTTTATGTAGCAGATGTCTTATCTGGTGGCTATAAGAATAGGCCATTTTTATTAAAATTTTCTTTTTCTTTTTTTATGGTTTAAATACTTTTTTAAAATTTTATTATGATTATACTTTAAGTTTTAGGGTACATGTGCACAACGTGCAGGTTTGTTACGTATGTATACATGTGCCATGTTGGTGTGCTGCACCCATTAACTCATCATTTAGCATTAGGTCTGTCCTCAGACTCTGGTATCCACCTGTCTTCTTGACATCTCCACTTATATTTCTAATGGACATCTCACATTTAAGTATCTACAATGACTATCTTTCTACCTGTGGCATTCTCTGTCTTAATTAAGGAAACTCCATCCTTCAAATTGTAAAAGCCTAAGCCTCAGAGGCATTTGACTTCTCTTTTTTTCTCATACACCTCATCCAGTTCAGCAAAGAATCTTGTCTCTACCTTTAGAATATGTCCAGAATCTAATCAGTCCTTATACTACTTGATGCCACCACCTATTTTGAACCACCATCTTCTCCTATTTGAATTGCTGTAGTTATCTCTATATTTATTCTTTTGCCATTCTCTAGCAGTCAAAGCAGTTCAGTAAAAATACAATTTGGCTAATGTCCTTCTTCTGCTAAAATCTCTGTTGTCTGCCCCTCTTTCAGAGTTAAGGTCGTAGTCTGTTAAATGACCTCTAAGGTCTGACATCATCTGGCCCTCGTTACTTTCTCTCCTACCGCCTTCACCCTCGCTTCTCTGGTCCAGCCACACTGGCTCATTGGTGTTTCCCATCCACCAGGCACACTCCTGCCTCAGAGCCCTTGCATTAGCTGTTTCCAAGGACTGGAGAGCTCTTCCTCCAGATACACCCAAGACAAATTCCTTCAGCCTCCTTTAAATCTTAGCTGAACTGTCACTTTGTTAATGAGGCTGGCCCTCTCCATCTTATTAAACTAGGACTCCCACTACTCCCAACACCTCTTCCCATTGTTGTTTCCCATGGCACCTGTCACCTAACAAATGCTGGAACTTAATTATTTATTACATTTATCATTTAGTATCTGTCTGCCCTGACTATAAAGTATACTTCTCAGGGGCAGGGGTCTTTGTTTTTCTCAATGAAACATCCTAAGAAACTAATGTAATGTCTGACACATAATAAATACTCAATATTTATTGAATAAACAAAAAATGAATTTAAAAATGCATGTTACATTGGACCTTTCTAATAAAACCATGCATAGCTACCTTGCTTCTCCATTCACTCTTGGCTAGCCACATGAGGGTTACAAATTTGTACTAACTCTATCTTTTGCTTTAATGCTTGATCATTTAAAACTTTAACCTCTTTACACTTCCTTTTAATACACTAGTTTGCAACATTGTCCTAAATATAGCATGCACCATTGCAATTAAATCCATCATGAATGTATTGTTATCTGAAGCACAAAAATAAATTCCTATAGAAACATCTAGCAGGTAGGGCTGGATTTGCTCTCACTTGATGAGTTTCATAAGTTATCTTTCTATTTGAAAGTCAAAAGGAATCACTTGCATCTTGATTAAAAAGAGCCGTAGCTTCTATTCAGAAATGGAAAGACGGACAACAATTCTGGTTCACTCAGTGATTCTTGCTAATGATCAGATTTGCTGCACAAGGATTCCAACCTTGCCTAAGAAGATGTGTATGGAAAAGGAGGATCCAGTGTGAAATCTCTTTCTATTTTGATTTAAGATGCTGAGCAATAAACAGTCCTTGAAGCTACCAGTATCCAAGGACACAGGTCCAGTGTTTTCCACCTTGTTTGAATATTCAGTTTAGGCAACACATGGCAGCTGGACTCAATCCTGTTGTTAGGATCATCCCTAAATGAAAGTGCCCAGTCATTACTCATGATCTGATTGGTATGCTCACAGAAGTGGGCCAACCAGCTTTCAGTCTGAGATTGCCTTTAATGGGGGAGAGGGAGAAGACTTTGGAACTCAGAGGCAGAAAACAAAGATAAACATAGAAACAGCATGGCCAAGTATTAGAATCATAGAATGCAGATGGGACAATTTTATCCTTCTACACTCAGCCCTAGGATTAGGTGGGACTTAAAAACCTGCAATGTCATCTGCATTGTCAGTTTGACACAGAGTAGAGCCAATTGCTTATAAACTCCTCTAAACGCATATGCCTTTATTCGAAATTGTAGTTGATTTGAAGGTAGCGCTATCCCTAAGTTGTCTAATATCCCTGTATTTTTTCACTAAGACAGAAAATACCGCAAAGCATGTGATTTCCACTTAACCAGTCCCTTGACTTTTAAATTCATAGTATTTTAATGCAGCAAACATTTGTTATTTTTGAGGGGACAGTACAGAGAGGTTGAGAGCATGGACTCCAGAGCCAGCTTGGCCCCTTCACATACTGATCATGTGACTCTGAGCAAGTTACTTAACCTACAATTTCTTCATCTGTAATATGGGAATAATCATTGTATCCATTTCATTAATTTGTGAGAACGGTATGAACTAATATTTTAAAATGGGTCAGAACAGTAATAGAAAACATGATGTAAGAAGTTGTTATTATTAAATTAACACTTCTCATCAAGATGCTCTTATTTTGGATGTAGGCTAGACATTGTGATTTCTACCTATGAATTAGGTCTTCCCTTCCTGAATATTTTTTTTTTATTTTTATTTTCTTGAGAGATGGAGTCTCTCTCTGCCACCCAGGCTGGAGTAGAGTGGCGTGATCTCGGCTTACTGCAAACTCCGCCTCCCAGGTTCAAGTGATTCTCCTATTCTCCTGCCTCAGCTTCCCAAGTAGCTGAGACTACAGGTGTGTGCCACCACGCCCAGCTAATTTTTGTATTTTTCAGTAGAGACGGATTTCACTACATGTTGGCCAGACTGGTCTCAAACTCCTGACCTCAGGTGATCCGCCCAGCTTGGCCTCCCAAAGTGCTGGGATTACAGGCCTGCATATTTTTAATATGAGGTTGCTTTCCTTCTTTAGTATGATGTACTACAGAGCAGGTGGAGGGCTGCTTTTACTACTATAAATCATTATCCTGTTTCTGCAGGAGTCCAGGGTGGGCTGCTGAATTAGGAGAGTATACAGTAATAAGGTTGCCAGGCGTGGAGGTCAGGGTGTATGTCTGAAAGGAGTTGCTGGCTTCACTCTCACCCTTTGCCAAAACTGCTCAATGAGTAACAGAAACCAAGACAGAAAGACATTGATAAAACATCCGAATCTATTACATAGCATGGTCTTTTAACTTTGGGAGATCAAAATATTCTACTAGAAAAATCTCATGAGCTCTAGGAACACACCACTTTTCTATGAATTCATTATATATAGGCCATGTATTTGTTTCCTCTTGCTGTGCAACAAACTTACCCCAAATTTGCCAGCTTAAAACAACGAATTTTTGTGAATTCATGATTTGTGAGATTCACGGAACTGGGAGCAGCTTAGTTGGATGGTTCTGGATCAGGCTCTCTCTAGGGTTACAGGAGTGGGCTGAGGCTGCAGCCATCTGAAAACTTGACTGGGCCACAGGATACCCTTCCAAGTTCACTCACATGGTCAATGACAGGAGGCCTCAGTTTTTTACCACATGGGCCTCTCCATGAGACTGCTCTCAACATGGCAGCTGGCTTGGCCCAGAGTGAGTGATTCCAGAGAGCATACAACAGAGCCCAAGATGGAAGCTGTAGTGTCTTTTATAACCTAATCTCAGAAGTGGCACAGCATCTGTTTTGCTCAAATCTGTTCATCACACACCATTCCTGGTACAATACAAGAGGGGAATGGAGGAGGTGTCAGGACTAGAGGTAGGAATTGTTGGGGGGGACCCTGGAGGCTGCCTACCACAGCCACATGGAACTTTCTAAGCAGGGATTTGTATCCCCTTTTTATGAATTAGGCTGTAGTCATAGAACAGTCTGAATTAAAAATAAAATGAAAAAGTTCTGTGTAATACCAGGTATTCTTCATTAAACATTGTGTCCATATATGCATAATATTATTTCATGTGTGTACACACACACAAAAAAACACATATAAGAAATGCAGAAATTAGTTCTGCTCAAACTTACTGAATCAGAATCTACATTTAAACAGATACCCAGATAATTTATATATAAATTAAGTTTAAGAAGCATCAGTGTAAGATAGACTATATTTCAAATGTTTTTAGTCATGTAATTTAATATACCCTGAAAATTAATTATGGAACAGAGCTAACTAAATTACCTATTATTAATACATTAATGTTTGATGCTGAATCTCTCTATCCACTCCCTTCCCCACCCTCCACCCTAACCCCTTCCTATATAGACTCTACACAGAAATACAGTTTGGCCCCAGAATGTGGAAGTCATACCAAAGCTTTTATTTATTTTTTTTCCCCTTACAAGAAAATAGGTGGAGTACTGCAATGACATTTTAAAAAACCGTAGTTTAAGATAAGGTTTGTTTTTATTGATTGCAGATGGTAAGAGACTTCCAAAGGATACAGTTGGCTCTAGGAAAAAGAAATCGTTTTGAAAATCATCAACTGGTATTTGCAAAATGTCATCAGGGACTTTCTTTTTCCCTCACCTAAAACAAATACAGACAGTTGTACATAAAGAGAAAGCTGTGTGTAAAAGCCAGCCATGTGTTTGAAATGATTCCATTTTTATAAGACATTTGAAGTACCATGACAGTTACACCGACAAAAAACTCAAACTAATTTGTTTTTGTGGTATTAATGAATCTGTATTGGTCTTGTTGGCACTGAGATTGAAATACCCACCCACAATTTCATTATAGGGTCAGTCCCTAAAGGGGAAGCCTTGAAGTAAAGGCATTATGCAGTCTGTAGCTTATTAAACAAGCCATCGAAATGTATTTTTCTCCAATTGCAAAAGTAATGCAAACTCATTGTAGAACACTTAAGAAATACCAACAACTATAAGGAAAAGTTATTTGAAATCCCACTGAAAAATAACTACTAAAAGAGATAATTTTTATTAATATTTTGACTTATTCCTTACTAGTCTTTTTCTATCATATGTCTGATATTTGTAATATATAAACACATATCATACAAGAGGGAAATGTCTAAGACTCCTCCTATGAGGAAAGAGAAATTAAAATGATGGTGTATTTTTACCATGCAAACAGAAATTCTGAAATTGTGGTGAGTTTCCTGGTGACCATTTCTGCTACTTGTATACTACCAAACTGACTCTGCACCCATCACCATTCTTAAAACTCTTTAGAAAATTTTCATCTCCTCCAAAAGATCCCTTGTACCAATTTCCCATGTCCTCCTCTACCCAGCCCCTAGCCACCACTGACTTACTTTCTGTCTCTGAACCAGACATAAAAGGCCATATATCAGATTATTCTATTTATATAAAATATCCAGAATAGGCAAATAGGAAAATATGCCTTCCTTAGTAACTGCCTTTTATGATATGTGACCTGGTGAAAGTTTCTTACAAAGTTAAACTTGGAGTTTGACATGGAGTCCATTTAAACATGGAGTTTAGTGTGGCACAGCAATTCCTTTTCTAGGTATATACCAAAAAATTTAAAACTATGTCCACACCAAAACTTATAAATGCATGTTCATAACTCCAATAATAGTTAAAAAGCAGAAACAACCTACATATCCATGACTCATGAATAGATACACCATGTGGTACATCCTGGAGAGCCTCTGCAACAGCAGCAACAGGAAACACAGATGATGGGTGAGCACCAGATGGTAGAGTCAAGAGTTTAATACGCTGAGGCAAGAAGGGTCAGTTAATCACTGGCAGAAGATCAGGGCCCAGGACTTTTGCTGTTTCTATGGATTCCTCCTTTCTCTTAGAATGAGAAATGACAGCCTTATGGTGAAATTTTTTAGCTGTTTATCATTTTCATAGATCTGATTCTACTAGTGTGATTTATGCTAAGCATAAATGGCCTAAGTTTTCTGTGGTTTTTTTGAAGAACATTGGAAAATAAGCCTACAAAATTCTGATTTTATAATAATGGTTCAGTCCAAAATAAAGGAATATATTCATAGAGATTAGCTGAAATTTTGGAGGATGAGTTACATACATCTTCTTTTCAGCGGTGCTGGTACTAATTCTGTCTGGAAGAAGCTGTACAACTGGGCAGGGCAGGTTGGTTTTTTGTTTTTGTTTTTTTGGGGACTAGGTCTCACTGTAGCCTCAACCTCCCCAGGCTCAGGCGATCCTCCCACCTCAGCCTCTTGAGTAGCTAGGACTATTGGTGTGTACCTCCACACCTGGCTAATTTTTGTACTTTTTGTCAAGATGGAGTTTCACCATGTTGTCCAGGCTGGTCTTAAACTCCTGGGCTCAGGCGATCCAAATACCTTGGCCTCCCAAAGTGCTGGGATTATAGACATGAGCTACTGTGCCCAGTCTCAAGTTTAAAGATATATTTTACCATCACTTTTCAAGCTTTTTGTCATGTGTGACAACAGAAAATTGAATTTCTTAATCCACTTACATTGAATTTAAAATCCACTTAGGAAAAGCTGGCTTCAGGTATTAGAATTCTTAACTCCTAGTAACTAGATATTCTAGCATATTTCATCTTCCAGATTGCATTGTGATTATAACAAGACACATTTTATGCATTTCAGTTTTCATCACAAGTTGGCTGAAAATCATGTTATGTACAAATATGACTTGATTCAATACAATTTATTGTTTGGGTATAATTTGAATTAGAAAGCCATTCTGTGTGCCTCTTACTCACTTATATTATGCTATTATGCTTTTGACATTAGAGGAAATACACTTATTTAAAATCCTCACAGATCCCAGAGCAAATGAAGAGATTTTGTTCTTTTAAAAATTGGAAGTAGTCTAGTTTTCTGATTGTATAATAACAATGTAATATATATTGTCTTTATTATTTATACTCACATACATAGATCACCTTTCCTTCAGAGATCTCAGATAACTTTTAAAAATAAACAGCTTTACTGATGTATAATTTACATATCATAAGATTTCCCTATTGTAAATGTATAGGTTCAATGAATTTTAGTAAATTTACAGAGTTGTACAGACGTCGACACTGCATAATTTTAGAACATTGCTGTCACCCCAGGAAGCGTCCCTGTAGCCATTAGCAGACACCTCTTCCCTTCTAGCCCCTGGCAGCCATTAATCTATTTCATATCTCTGGATTTGCATATTCTGGACATTAGATATAAATGCAATCATATAATTAAAGAAAAACTGACAAATTGTTTTTCACAGTGACAGCACAATTTTACATTCCTACCAGCAATCTATGAAGTTTCCAATTTGTCCACATTCTTGCCAGGACTTATTATTGTCTGTTATTTTAGCCATTCTACTTGGTATGAAATGGTATCTCATTGTGGTTTTGATTTGCATTTTCCTAATGATTAATGATGTTGAGTATCTTTTTATGTGCTTATTTGCCAGTTTTTTTTTTTTTTTTTTTTTTTGAGATGGAGTTTTTGCTCTGTCTCCAGTATGGAGTGCAGTGGCTCCGTCTCAGCTCACTGCAACCTCTGTGTCCTGGGTTCAAGTGATTCTCCTGCCTCAGCCTCCCGAGTAGCTGGGATTACAGGTGTGCACCACCATGCCTGGCTAATTTTTGTATTTTTAGTAGAGACGGGGTTTCACCATGTTGGCCAGGATGGTCATGATCTCTTGACCTCGTGATCTGCCCTCTTCAGCCTCCCAAAGTGCTAGGATTACAGGTGTGCGCCACCACACCCGACAGCCACTTCTATATCTTTGGGAAAATATCTATTCAAATGTTTTGCCAAATTCTTGTCATTTTATTGTTATACTGTGTTACTTTTTTATATATTCTGGATGCTAGGCCTGCATCAGACATATGATTTGCAAATATTTTCTTCATTCTGTGGGCTCTCTTTTTACTTTGTTGGGAATGTCCTTTGATGCATAAAAGTTTTGAATTTTGATGAAGTCCAATTGAACATGCCTGTTATATGTGATATAGTGAGTATATAAAAATAAGGTCATATTTGAACAGGTGTTTTTAAAAAGTCATTATTTAAATTGGAATTTCTGAGTGTTCAAGATGATTTCATTGAGAGAAAAAAAATGGAAAGCCATTTTAAGGCAAGGTATACTTGACTCCTTTGCAATTCAAAAGGGAATTTTTAAGTTCAAATATTTCCTCTTATTTCAAATATTAGTTTTCTGGTCCGAAGTGTTTTTTCTTTCCTTTGAGAATGTTAAGGAAAATTCTTAGTGTCCAATGCCAGAAAATACTGTTGAGGGTAAGATAGGAAATAGAATTTTCTGTTTTCTTAGGAGTTTGTTGGAGTGACTCATTCACCCAGTTTGGTATTGCTAGGAGAGGAAAATATTTCACATTCTTAAGGCAAGTCCCATCTCTTGCTGTTAAAAAACAAAACAAATTTAATGAAAGTTGTATTAGTCCATTTTCACACTGCTGATAAAGACATACCCAAGACTGAGCAATTTACAAGAGAAAGAGGTTTAACTGGACTCACAGTTCCATGTGGCTGGGGAGGCCTCACAATCATGGTGGAAGGCAAGGAGGAGCAAGTCGCCTCTTACACGGATGGCAGCAGGGAAAGAGAGAGCCTGAGCAGAGAAACTCCTGTTTTTAAAACCATCAGATCTGGTGAGACTCATTCACTACCATGAGAACAATGCTGGAAAGACCCACCCCCATAATTCAATCACCTCTCACTGGGTTCCTCCCACGACCATGTGGGAGTTGTGGGAGTTAAATTCAAGTTAAGATTTGGGTAGGGACACACCCAAACCATATCAGAAGTCCAATTTATTTATTTTTTTCTTGGTTTCTTATGCTTTTGCTGTCATATCTAACAAACCATTACCTAATCCAAGGTCATGAAAATTTATACATATGTTTTCTTCTAAGAGTTTTATAATTTTAGCTTTTAATTTAGATCTGTGATCCATTTTGAGTTACATTTTCTGCATGGCGAGATAAGGGTCCAACTTAATTCTTTTGCATGTGGACCTCTAGTTGTCCCAACCGACTTTGTTGAAGAAACTATTCTTTCCCCACATTTAATTAGCTTGTCACCTTTATTGAAAGTCAATTAACCACAAATGTAAAGAACTTTTCTATATTGCATCTTTTTTCCACACTGCTGACAGTAATTATTCCAAACTGTAGATTTGCTCATTTTTCTGC
The DNA here is from genome assembly GCF_000001405.40 of Homo sapiens. Lineage (NCBI taxonomy): Eukaryota > Metazoa > Chordata > Mammalia > Primates > Hominidae > Homo > Homo sapiens. The sequence goes on from NC_000009.12 coordinate 18,125,822, forward strand.
TACTAAATTTCTTCAAAGTCTTCCACGGACTCTGACAACAGGACTAAATCTGGCAGTATGCTGAGAAAGGGCAGGGGCTCTGGAATCAGCCATAGTTAGTTTGGAATCCAGTTCTACTTCTTATTGAAATTGTGACCTGGGACAAACTATTCAATTGCAACTAGAGTGTGAACATCATGCCAGTAGGAACCCTGCCTGACGTACCTGCCACCAAAACCTCAACACCGTCATGGAGCTGACACATCACTCACATTCAGAATGAGTCTAGTTTTCTCATCCTTAAAATGAAGATTACTGTAACTATTTCACAAGATTCTGGTAAGTATTAAATTCTGTAATATACTCCAGTGATTTTCTTTAACAATTATCTTAAATACAAAATACATTCAGAAAAGTACACAAATTGTAAGTATAGTGAATCATAACACCGTGAACATGTTTGTGTACCCACCATCCAGATCAAGTATCCCAGAATCTCTCTCACAAATTCCTTCTTACCACTATTCCCATTTCTCTTCCTTATAAGTAACTCATTCCTTTTAAGATTTAGTTCCAGTATTACCCTCCTCCCGGAAGTCCTCCTTTATCCTTCTATTTAGGGTCCAATACCTTTCTATATGCTTTCAAAGCCCCTTTGGCGTTGTCTTTATCACACTGTACTGCAGCCATCTGTTTACTTGTCTACCTCCTTACTTATTGTTGCATGCACCACACGTGGCAGAGTGTCCACCACTTGTAGTAGGCTTGCAATAGCCACTTGGGGAATAAAATCAGCTGATGTCATTTGGAGCCTGCCAAAACTACAAATATTTAATTTTGAACTATTATTATAATACTTTGGAAATCTTAAAGCAGTGGTCGTTTGGCACAGTAACACGGAGATGGAGGCAGACAGGTTAAAATCATGACTTGGGTAAATCTAGTATTGAATAGTTATCCAAACAGGTCTGTAGTTTTTAATTAGTTATCTCTAAATCTTTGAAAATATGTCTATGCTTATGCCTCTGGATGCAAAAACAGTATGTTGAAAACCCAGATTGCAACAAATAGTTGCAGTATGAGAAGATAGAGGGAGTTTCCTACACAACATTTTTTAGTTTATCATCGGTGGTAAGCATCATCGTAACCAGTATGCCTTCTGCCAGCCTGGGTGGGGAAGGAGAAGTGATGAGGCAGATCTTCCAAACTGTGTGTCCGTCAAGATGCTGGGCAGCCAGCAGGGAGGCAGCTAGGAGTTGTAAAGACAGCATTTCAGTGTGTAACTGGGAGCTCATTGTTAATGGTGTGTGACATATGGCACAGCTGTGAAGGTTTTGTGCCAGGCAGGATGAGCTAGTGCAAAAGCATGTGGAGACAACCAGGCCATTTAGACCTGAAGAGAAGCCTGTGCTTCAAGTAGGAAGAAAACAGGTGATAAAAGCCATTTGCCTTCATAGCATAGAGAAATAATTGTGATTAACTACCTAGACCACCTGATGGATTACACTGTACTAGATCCCTGAGACACCACTTTCTGATGTAATGGTCATGTAAAATGACTATGGGTGTGGGCATACGTGAATGGAGTGGGAGTGGATTGGAGAAAAAATTAATGAGAATTTTTAACAAATGGAGTGTGTGGATCTGTGTGTGGGGTGGTGCATGCATAGGCACATACACAACACACACACACACACACACACACACACACACACACACACAACACATGCTTTAATAGAAGGAGAATACTAACATTTTTACCAGTGCCAAAATGTTCCTCTAGCTTGGTGGGCTTGAAAAGTGATACATCCAGTTTAGACATTTGGCAGGCTGCATGTGGAAAGTTTTCACATCTTGTCAACCTTGTTTTAAGGAGTCTTCGCTGTCAGCACTGAGAAGGTTAGTGACCTTGGGAATGGGTGGGGAAAAAGGGGAGGTGTGTGTTGGTTTGGCAGCACACAGATAGTAGAAAATGGTCACCAGGAAACTTGCCATGTTTTGGAAGTATTGTTTAAAGCAAAGACTACCGGCATATCATCATTTCCATTTTGTTTTCCTCTCCTGATAGAAGTCTTTCATATGTTTGTCTCATGTTTCTTTGCTTAATGTGGCATGTAGCATGTTAAGATAGGACCTTGACCTTTTCTTAGAAGAGGCATTTGCAAATAGATTAAAGCTTAGGTGGTTGATAATTTTAGATGCTTTTCATTAAGAGATAACAGATTGCCTGTTGGTTGCTCAGTTTTATGTAAATTTTTGTCTAACAAATGACTAGTTGCATAAAGTTGCCAAATAGTTTGTGATATACTGAGTCAGAATTTTAGTTAGGTAGAAAGGCTTCTGGGTATGCAAACTCTCAAATGCATGTGAAATTTTGGGAGAATTCTATTAGACTGTAATTTTCATGGGATCTGGTAATAGATAATCAGAAAATTGCATTTTATTTCCTCTTAAGCTATCAATGGACCACCAGGGTAATGAGATTTGCATTTATAAACACAGCACCAATGATAGTATTTCTGGACATCTTCTTTGTTGATAGAAACAGCTTGAAGTTGCACAATAATTTTTTTTCCCTGGAGACAGGGTCTCACTCCTGCCACCCAGGCTGCAGCGTAGTGGTGCAATCATGGCTCACTGCAGCCTCGACTTCCCAGGCTCAAGTGATTCTCCCACCTCAGTCTACCGAGTAGCTGGGACTACAGGAACCATTTTGCCCAGGCTGGTCTCAAAATCCTGGTCAAAAGCAATCTGCCCGCCTCAGCCTCCCAAAGCGCTGGGATTATAGGTGTGAGCCACAGTGCCTGGCCCGACAGTTTGAACTATTGAGTATGGTACATGAATCCCCGTCTCTAATGAAATAGAGAATCACTAGGATTCTAGAAATTCAGTAATTCAGCTATGAAACAGAAATTAAGGATCTCTCTCTCCCCCCTTTTTTTCAATTCCCATTCCCTCTTCCCCATATTGTTCCAGTAAATAAGTAAGAAAGTAGGTATTTAGGCTAAAGCACCCTTATAAACATAACCCTTATAAACAATAGCAGAAAGAAGGTGGCCATAGAAGGCTTTTGTATATCTTTTTAGAAGAATATCAAGGTATAAAATATTTTCCTTTGAAAAAGAAAGAACCTATATTTTGCATGCATTATAATAAAAACATAGAGGCAATCTATAAAGTCTTCTATAAAACAGACTGTAATACATTAAAATTATGTCTCCCCCACTTTTCCAAACAATTGCAGAAATTTCCCATTTTAATAACACCTTATTTTAGCAATGGTATAATCTGTTTTATATCTATGTCTAGTGAAGAATAAACTCTGGTCAGCCTAGCATAATATTATGATTAAAGGAGACAAAAGGCCTACCTGCTAAATATATCTTTGCCTCTGAACACAATTCTGACTGGTGTTAAACTGAGAAATCCTAAAAGTCTCTTTTGAATGCTAATATGCTTCCTGGGAGTCCATATTATCAGGAGTGAGGTTCGGAATTGCAGGCCAATAGAGCTAGAGGAGAGCTGGTAGACATTTTGCACTATGTTCTTTTTAAAAATAAGAACATTGCAGCCCAGAGGGGAGTAATGGTTCTTTCAAGGTCACATGGTTTGTTGATGCCAAGTTGAAGCTGGATACAACTTTCCTGAAAGAACTCAAGGCCCCTGAGAAGACCTGCTTACCTCACTTTAGTTCTTTCCTAATTATCTTTTCAATATCATCCCTTTTCTGTGGGTTTTTATCTGTTAATTCTGTCAATTCACAGATGCAATGTGGGCCCATAAGCAATAAGACATAAGAAGAGATAGGCTTTGTAAACTTGTATATGTTTATTAAGTTAATCTTATTTAAAATGAAGTAACAAGATATTAAAGTACACCATGAACAGAAAAACAATTTTCCTTCATATTAGAAGAGAATGGATGACGATTAAATTCCTTTTCAACCCTGAGATTCTGTAACGCTGAGAGTCAGAACTGCAAAATGGTCAGAGCATAGGGTTGTATTTGGTGTGTCTTGCACGGCCAACAAGGAAGTAGCCTGAGGTCAAGAAACCTTCCCTTGTTCCCCAGGGAAACAGGGAAGCAGGTAAAGGAAAGGAAAGCTTAACTGAGAAGATGCTTTTAGTAACTGGTCCTTGTCTGCACTTGTTACTCTGAGCTGCCCGCTGCCAGCCTACATCAGTCGCATGCACTGGGAGTCTTGGTGAGGCAGCATGTTCCTGAGCTCAAGTTGCAGGCACTGCCATCCCCACTGCATGGGGCCCTGTCTCAGAGAGAAAAGAATGTGAAGCCCCACTTCCTGTGGAATCTTTGAGCCCCCTGCTAACTTCTTGCCATCACAGTAACCTCAGCTACTTATGCTTCTTGTCTCTCCTTGCTCCACAGGCCTCCCTCTGCCTTCACAGGGGCATTTTCACCTCGCATTAGTCATTGCGGGAAGACAGGAAGCACCATACCTATCAAGCAGCTCCTGCTTTCTGGCCTGGAAGAAACTATTAAGAATCAGGCCATGTTCTTGAAATGGAGAAAAGCATTTCAGGGAGAACAAATGTAAATTAATATTTAATAAGCACTATGACTACATTCTCATTTCCCAGTTTTTATTTCCTTAATCCTTTTAACTGGCTGTCACAATGACATTTCTGATGAAAATTTGACCAATTATTTATGCACATCTGTTATGCCCTTTTGGGTAGAATGGAGCATTCTTTCAGTTGTCCAAGGAGGGTCCAGACTTTCATAGATCTGATTGCATGATTTCCTGTAAGTTCATAATTTATCTTTACAGAGAGAAGCTAGCAGGTTTTTAAAAGACACGGATTATGTCTTTTAGATGGCCAGGAAAATACATTATTCAAGTATTTGGAGCATTTTAGGAATACAAACTACCAAATAAGACATAAAATTCAGCATTCCCACCAGACACATAGGGAACTTTTTTTCTTTTTTTAACAGACTGTTGCCTCCTCCAACTCCCTTAGGATGCCGTGAACAATCACTTTCTCTGCTACAGCCTTAGAACATGAGCAGACACAGCACAAAAACAGGGCAGTCCACCAGTGGTTTGGCAGCTTAAGTATCCATCATCAACTTTTCTGGACTTTCTTGAAAAGTAGTTGCCATTCCTGACTAGTGGTTTTACTCATTTCTATTGGAAACTAAAATCTGGGTGGGCTGGAATCCTCAAGAGCATGTTAAGAAGCCAGATAAATCAATGTCCCCATGGTATAACTAATCCTAAAAGTAGAAAATCCTTAGAAATAGAGTATGGCTCAATCTCTGCCATCCTCGAGAAAGGCCCCATTTGGTTCCAAATCTTGCATTCTTTCTACTGTACCACTCTACCTAAAAACTAAGTCTTGGTGTCATTGGCTATCTTTGGGTCTTACTTATTTTGAGTAAGTTATTTAAGTAAGTTTTGATAAGTTATTTTAACTTTTTGTGCCACATTTTATGGTATAGTAGGTCACTTGGGGATTCTCTGAGAACAAGACCCAAAATTATACCAGTATTTCTATAGGAAATTTGTCTTCAAATAATATTGTTTTAAATAAAGCTGGCATCTCCAAGAACATGACCACAGCATTACTGAAGTCAAGGTTGTATGAGTGCTGCAGGGTCCTGAGGCAGAGGTGCCATCACTGTTTGGGAAGGTTTCTTAGAGATGATTAGTCTCGTATGATGAGGGCATCAGATAATGCAAGGGTTAATAGAAATCAAAGAGGAGTTTCTTTTCCGAGATTTCACTTTGAGCTTCCAAGATTACTCTCTTCTTGACATTTTCTCTCCTAGTCTTCCATAGACTGACAAGGACCTCTCATCTTTTCTTATCCCTCATAAGCTCTTGATTGTGGCTGTTCTATAGAGGATTTGTGACCTCTCTCATCATTTCCCTCTGTAGTCTTTTGCTGGGACTGTGTACCCTTGACAAATCTAGGTGATGACTCCCGAATAAAACAGTGAAATAGAAGGGCCAATGGGTTGGGTTTCAGGAGATCTAGTTCACTCTCTAGGTGACATTGTGTGGGCCACCTTGCTTCCCTAAGGTTTCTTCATCTATTTAAAAAAAATGTGGTGGGCAGGGTGAGATGAACTGATCATAGTGAGGAGGTCACTTCCTTCATAGTTCAGGAAGTTCTTCAGGAAGAAAGTGAAATACTTCAACTCTAGAATCCCATCTTGTAACATCAGTGTTAATTCCTGAATTTATAGAATCACTCTGATTTGTCACCTGAGCTCTGATCTTCATTTCTATCTACTAAGGATCAATAATTTTTCCTTATGTGCCCTACCAGCCCAGAAACACAAAATGTCTACCATAGCAATCATTTTCCCCCACCAAACAAGATGCCCTACTTTACTTCCTGTTTTCCAAAAGTGCTGTCCCCGGGGAAAAAAGGCCTGAGTCCACATGGTTTTCTTTGATCAGTTCTTTTCCTTCATCTCCTACATCCTGTCAGCCACCCCATATGCCATATTTTAATTTTGAAATGCATCGTGTGTATATTTTTTCCCGTCTACCTTTTGCGTGTGTTTGAATCAGTGGCGTTAAGTACATTCACATTGTGTCCAACCATTACTGCTACCCATTTCCAGAACTTTACCATCATCCCAAACTGAAACTCTACCCATTGAACAGTGTCTTCCTAACTACTCTTAATTGTTAAATATCAGAATATCAGCATTTAATGGGCTCTTCAGGGTGATCTGCCACGGGTTAGATTTGACAGGTTAGATAAAGCAACCACAACCTAGATGGGTTCAACTGTGTACTCACCAGCTCTTCATTCTATCACTTCCAGATTGTATCACACTTCTCCAAGTGGGCTTCTTTGCCTCAGGCTTCTCCAACTTCCAGTCTATCATGTATGTTACTTTGAGCTTTATCTTTCCATTGTACCCTTTTTCCCCCCTTTCACTCCATGCTCAGAAACTGGAGTACTGTAAGCTTCTCAGTCACATTTCACCCAAACACACAGTCCAATTTCCTGCCATTTTTGTTGTTTATTGTCTACAATGTCAGTTTAGTGCTCCCCAAGCTCCCATTTAGTTATTTGGATTATAACATGTTTATTTTCCTTTCCTCTGAGATTCATCTTGTTCAAGAATTTGCCAAGGATTACGGAGATAGCGTTCAGACTGTCTCCCTGGAATAAGGAGGTAGGGTTTAGATTCTTTCACAGTACTAAGGAGCTAGTGTTCAGATTCTGTCCCAGGATTAAGGATTGAGGGTTCAGAATCTCTCTCAGGACTGTGGAGCCAGGGTTCAGACACTTCCAGGAATAAGAAGCTAAGGTTCAGACTCTCCTCCGGAATTAAGGGGCTAGGGTTCAGACTTTACTCCAGAATTAAAAAGCTAGGGTTCAGACTCTCAGGATTAAGGAGTCAGGGTTCAGATTATCTCCCAGGATTAGAGTTGGGATCAGACTCTCCTGAGGGCTCCAGTTAGGCTAATAACTCATCTGATGCAGCAGGGTAGTAAGATCGGCAGTGAGGGGTCACCTCAGCCAGTTTTGCTCTGACTCCAGATTGCCAGTCCCAGCTCTAGACAGTGATCCCTCTGTATCTCCTGCCTTAACAATAACGACCAGCATTATTGAGCTGGGTGGGCCAGGGTCTGGGCTAAACATTTTCATAAAGTATTTCATTGAATCTCATATATTATCTCCCTTTAAAAAAATCTGACAACTAAGTATTAAACTAGTGATTTTCAGTCCTGGCTGCACATTTAGAACACGTTAAATCAGTAATTGCTACTGAAACTAACTGATGTTCAGGCTGTATACCACGAGCTTTTGATTCTGTTGGCCTGGAAGTAATGGACCCCATTCAAGGTCTGATAGCCCAGGAACCTGCATTCACACCCAGGTCCCTATGGCTTCAGAACCCAAATTCTGAACCCAGAGTTCTTAGCCCTGTTCATGGATCAGAATCCCCTGTGCTTGTGTGTATGTATATATTTACACACACGGAAATCATTATGGTATTGGGGTAGGTAGGGTAAGAATTACTTAAAATATTTTAAAAAAACTATTTGGTTAACTCTAATGGGCAACTAGAATTGAAAACACAGCCTTAACCATGATACAATATTACATCTCATTAGACCTCATTCAACAAATACATAACTTCTTATCCATTAGTGTAAAATGGGAAGGGTGGTATGTTGGAATGTATTGAGAGAAGATGGAATAACAGTAACATTATTGTACTGTTGAATAGTAAGGAATGAAAATGGGACACATAATTCTTTAAGTTACCTACATTTGTAAGCCATTATTTGAAATAAACTCCCATTAAGCCATATCTGTGCATGCCTAGTTTGGCACAGTGCAATTCTGGTCATTTACTAGGAACTCCACATATGGAAGTATGCACTCATAGTGAAAAGAAATGGGGCTCTAACCTGAAAGGTTTTAGTGTGAAGATGTGTGGATGCTCTGAACTCAAGAACTGACAGGATGTCCGGTGTGCTGCTACTTATTTGAACTTCTGCAGAGGCAAGTTTGTTGTTGGTGCATGCCATTGGTACCACTTGATTATTAATATTATTAAGTTGATGTCTTGGGAGCATAGCCATTATCTAATTTTGGCTTCAGATTCAATTCTGGTTATTGACAAATGGTGGAATGGGAGTAGAGACTGACTTAGCTACAAGAAAGAAGCCCTAAGAGTATAACGTCCCTAAGGATTCTGTAAAAAGTGCAGTTATATAATTTGTTGAGATGAGTTAAGTGGTAATCATCCTGATGTTTGACATTTACAAATTCTTCCCATAGTACTAGACATTTAACTGAAGCACACATTTGACACTGAAGAAGTACTGTTCTATGTAATGTACTCAAAACTTGCCAGTGGGTGTGGTGGTTCTTTCTTTAAAGTAAACAGCCTTAGATTTACTAAAGTCATTATCGAATATAGGGAGATGAATTCACTGGAGAAGTGAAACCCAAGCATCTGAAATGATATTTTGATCTTTAAAGTAGGAAACAGAATGGCAGGGTTTGTTGTGGAGACAGACTCTTCCTTTAGCACAGACAATAAGGACATCAGCCAATTCTGAAGACTTGTTGGGGACTGCCAGGAAGGCTAACCATGCCACCATCACAACTTCAATAACTGTAAGGGAGTCAGTGTCATTAGAAAATTGCACTGATATTTCATCTGGGTAATTACACTGGTCTCTTCACTTAGAAAAACACGGGATCAGACAAGGGAATCAATACTGCCATTGCCTTTTCTTTTCTCATTGTTGATAATACCTGGTTTTCACCTGGGGCACAATCTATCTCTGTTTCTTATCTGACTGAGATATTTCAGTATTTGTAATTATAAACATCTGACTTAGAACTGGCCTGCATGTATAACTCCATATGTGGAATCTGCTCTAGTTAAGTAAAAAACATAAAACGCTGCAGTTAGGAAATAGTCACAATTGAATTCTTTTAACTGAGGGCTCCATACGTACTATGCATTCATATCAAGTTTTCAAGGATAAACTTAAACACAAAAACAGTGTTCATTAATAAGATTAATGAACTATGAGGAAAGCAACTCTTTGGGAATATAAGTCCAGAGGCTCAAAATGTAAAATGCTTAAAAAAATATATTTTCTGTGAATTGTATTGCTGAAAGGAAGGAGGGCATATTTTACTAGCCACAAGGTGGACAGTTACCACATCCAGTTGTTTAACACATCAGAAATGTAGGACTGCCAGGCATAGTGGTGCATGCCTGTAGTCCCAGATACTCAGGAGGCTGAGATGGGAGAACTGCTGAGCCCAGGAGTTTGAGGCCAGCCTAGGCAATGTAGCAAACCCTGCTTTAAAAAAAATACAGAGTTTTCTTTTATATATTAATATATAGGCATGTGTGTATACCATATGCATGTATATCACATGTATATCTATCATATGTGTATGTATCCTATATGTATACCTTGTATATACACATATACACACACCACCTAAGATGCCTCTGAGGATTGCTCTGTGGATATGAGGTGCTGTCTTCCTGAGGAGAAGCCAATTTCTCCATCACAGCTTACACTGATGCAGTGCCTTCCATGCAACAGGTACTATACCAAAGGCTTTATATGGCATACCCCTCACTCAATCCTCACAAACAGTCCTCTGAGAAATATAGACTTTCTCTCATTTAAGATGAGGAATCCAAGGCACAGATTAGTTCATTTATTTGCTCAGGATCATGTAACTCTGATGTACACAGCCAGGATTCAAACCCTCTTACTCTGTAACCCATGCCTCGCACTGCCTCCCTCAGTCACATAATACTGATGTGGAAAAAGGCAGTAAGAGCATTTACAAGGCTCCGTAAGTGAAGTAAGTTGCATAGTGGTTCCCAAACCTGGCTGCACATCAGAATCATTTGGGAAGCTTATTAAAAAATAAATATTTCCAAAGAATACCTTTAGAGAGTCTAATTAAGAACGTCAGAGGTGTGCATTGGGATTCATTTTCATAATTGCTCCCAGATGATTTCAATGCAGGCAATCAGCTGCCACTTGGAAACCACTGGATTAGACAGTAAATGTAAGCAAATTGCATTTAAGCAAGAGTGGCCTATATTCTCTAAAATCCCTGTAGTCATGGTATGTAGGTGTTAGGGCTATAATATTAACACGAAAAACAGTCCCTGACGTTGTAGGATGTTAGGAGAGATAACTGTGTAAACAGGTACAGAATGCAAGGGTGAAGTGCTTTAGTAGAGTAGGAAAGAGAATCACACCGCTATGGCACAGGAGAGAAAAGGGCTAGCTCTGTTTGTGGAAGTCAACTTGGGCTTCACAGAGAGGATAAGATTTATGTGGAACATTAAATTGTGTCTACAAACAAAAAAGAGAAGGAATGGCATTCCAAACAGAAAAGGCTGTGAGATCAAAAGCTGTGAAGTAGGAAAATAGACAGATATTTGGGCAGCAGCTGGGGTTGCAGTGTGGTTAGCCTTGTGTACTGTGGCAAGGAGTAAGACCTTATTGCTGGTAACCAGCAACCATTGGCATATTTAAGCAAGGCAGTACAGGACAAAGGCTGCCTTTTAAAACAGTCACAGAGGCTAATGTGTGAGGATGACTTAAAGAAGGCAAAATTGTAAGGAGGGTCAACAATGGGGAGGCCAAGCCATAGTTAAGGTGAAACAGGACAAGGCCTGAACTCTGAGGCAGGGTGTCTGAGTATCATGGGAAGGGAAGGGAAAGAGTTGAAGCAAGACATTTGAGAGATTATCAGCAGAAAATGATGACAGATCAGATGAGGGTGGACAGTTGTGAAAGATGAGGGCATACAGTCAGGGATGAAATCGGAATTTCTGGACTGGTCCATGCAATGATAGTAGCCCAGGTTTCTGAGGGAAAATCTGTTGTTGCTGGAGATTCTCAGTCTAGTCTTAGATTTTCTTTCTATTTATTGGCAGATTTTCTTTCATTTTAAATAGAAAATAAATTAACATAAGTTTGAAAACAGATGAAAATATAAATGACTTTATTTTTGAAAGAATTATAATACATATCATAGAAAGAAGTGTTTCTTTATCGTTGTATTCAGGCTAAACTGGGACTGGCTGAAGCCTTGAGCCTTCAATATTCATCTTTGGAAAACACATGGGGGTCTTCCAATCATTTAAAAAAATTCTAACAGACTAACATTGCAAGTCCAGGCTCCATTAGTCTCAGTGGTTAAACTTAAATCTCTTAACATGTAAGTCCTTCTGTAGTTGCTGTCCAGTAATAAAGTGGGTGATGGAATTTTTAAGAAAACACTTTATGGCTCTGCAATAGACGAATTTTTCCACTGGGATTTATATAACGACTTCGGAGAAAACTAAAACAATGTATAAAATAAAACCCTGTGGAAGAAAAAATAATTATAAAGAATTCCCACCTGAAATGATGGAATGCCTACAGTTGTAGAATTCTGTATTTTGTTTCACTATCTGTTTAATAATTAAAGGCCCTTTTAGTAGCCAAAAGTTCCACTTTAAAACACTGTATTCTAGGGTGCTAAGAATTTGGTGCAGAGCAGTAACTTTTTCCAAGTGTGGCAAGAGAAACATTCAAAAGAGAGGCATCTTTGACCTAAGACTCACTCAAGTAAATCTTGCTAGGGAGAGTTATTCTTATTGTTAGGTGAAGGATCTCAAGCTAGGGACCACCTAGTGGACAGCCGGACCAACTCTCCAGAAGCCCTGAGATGCATAACCTTTGGCACTGTGTTTTGAAATACTGTAGAGCAGGGTTTGATTCCCTGCTATGCCACTTGCTGGCCGCATGTTCTTCAGCAAGTAACTTAAACCTCCTGAGACTCGTTTCCTCCTCTGTAAGGGAGGGGTGATGGAACTCACCTCATGGGAGTATGGCGAAAAGTAAGTATTAAATGAGGCAATATGTGTTCAAATTGCTCTGTAAATGGAAAGGAATATGTATTATAATTATTATACTTTTAGAATTTTCTTAAAACCAAACTGTGTTTCAGGTTTTAAACCAGATATACATACATATCTTGCATGTGTTTTTTCTAGATAGATATCTCCCCAATTATCTCTTTTATACCCATGTATCCAGCAGCTAAGGATTTTAAGGCAGAGTATGCTACTTTTAGGGAGTAACGAACTTGAGGAGGCTGTAGGTTTGCAAACCTGCAAATTTGCTGAATTTTTGAAAATTCATTTGCATTTGAATTTATACTCCAGCTTCATAGTACACAAAGCAGCTGGTGTGCGGCCATGGCTACTAGTGCTGGGCATTGTTTCTTCTGTGATGTTCCTCCTGTGGAACACTGACTTTGAAAACACGTTTTCGTAGTGTGACTGTTCTAAATTTACCTTGATGATAAAGGAAACACTATAGAGACACAGTAAGCGAGTTCTAGGAGTCCCAGAGATCAAAAGGAAAAAAAGGAGGGTGAGGTTATGCTTTCTGCAGCATCCTCACGAACTCCTGCTGGAGCACCAGCATTCCAGTGAGATTATTTAGCTTCAAGTAGATCTTGTCTCGGGTGGTTGAAATGTCAAGACCAAGATCTAACGCTCTGCCTCAAGTGGATTGCACCATAGCCATAAGCCTCTTGCATGCCCTCATGAGTTTAAAGAGTGCATAGTTGACTGTGTGTATGAGTGTGAATATGTGTGTGTATGAGGAAGACTGATAATCTGGAGACGTGGATTTTACTTGTGTCTGCCACTAAGGAACCTTGCAGGAGATTACCTCACCTGTTTTAATTTCATTTCTCTTGCCTAGATGATAAAGGGTAGAATGAGATGCTCTCTTAAGATGTCTTCCTGTAACATCTTATGGTTTTTTGACTGATTGACTGATTGATTCAGCAAACCTTGAACCTTATGGAATTGTGATTCTAAATGCAGTGTTGAAATGGCAATCTTTCGTCAATGTAGTTTCTGTGTTCTGTATTCATGAGGCATATGTTGTTCCCTAAGTCAGTGTTAGATTTCCTCCTTTCACTCCCAAGGCAGAGGAGGGCACATGGCAGCATATTTACCTGATTCTACAAGGTCTCCTACACCTTGAAGTAGAACCGATGACATTACTTGTCAGCAGATTTAACAGCAACAAGAGTGTCTTCATTTGTGATGAATGAAAGCTTCCCAAAGTGGGTGAGAGAGAACAGAGTCAAAGGAAGGGGTGCCAACTTCCTTCTTTTGCATTCCACCTTCTGTTAACCATCCTATTCTGATAACCCCTGAGAAAATCCACAGAAGAGTTTTAATACCTCTAGATGGGAATCCTTCCAAGGAAGTGAGTTCCATCCAACTTTTAGGTATCCAAGAAATCATGAATTAATAGCTACTGAATATATGCCATGCTACATATACAAAATAACCCATATAGCTATCCTATGTGACTGCTATGTAGGTTATATTTTAACCTTATAAACTGCAGAAGTAAGACAAGATATAGACATGAGATCACAATTTTTTTCCCACTCATATTGGTCCACTTAAGCTTGAATTTTGAATTTTACATTAGAAAATTTCAAATATATATCTTGTGGTTCATCCCCTAAATTAAAATATGATTCCTCTTTGTTGGTTTCTTATGATTTCAGCCAGTCACCAAAGCTCATATCCTCCTCTGTCTCCAGAGACTGATGAAATTTTTAGGTTCTGGAAATTTAGAGGATGCTAATGATCTCGTATTCAAATAAGTCAAATAAAAATTTGCAATGTATTGAGCCAGGCATTGTAATTGAGAGAAATACCTAAGTGGCATGTATTCATTTATGTACCAACTATTTGCTAGGTGTATTCTGTGTGTAAATCACTGCACTGGGGATGCAAAGCTAAGCAAACCCTAGCCTACTCTTAAAGAATTTAACCCATAATAGGGAAGTTAGACTTGACAAAAATTACCTAAATACAAAGTAAAAGAAGCCATTGAAGTGGGAAAACGTTTCTAAGATGTTAGAAAAGGCTCTTTTTCTTTATCCTCTTTGCTGATGGCCCCCAAGACCACCCTCAGTTTCAGTGATTTGCCGAGACTCAGGACTCAGCATGTAGTCATACTCATGGCTATGATACAAAGTAAGATCAGCAAAGGGAAAAGGTGTATGGGGCAAAGTCCAGCAGAGACCAGGAGCAAGCATCCAAGAGTCCTGTCTCCCAATGGAGTCAGTACTGAATGAGCTGACTTTCTCCAGCAACAAGTTGGACACACATGTGTGAAATGTTGCCTACCAGGGAAGTCTATCAGAGACTCAACACTAGAAGATTTTTACTGGGGGCTAGTCATATAGGTGTCCTCTCCCTAGCACATACCAAAATTCTAGACTCCCAGAAGGAAAGGAGGTGTTCCATATAAATCACATTGTTTGTGCAACAACTGAGGCAGTGAGCCATTCATCATCAGTTCTGAGAATGGTGGGAGCATGCCTGAAATCCAACTTTCCAGAAGCCAACCAAGGACCAACCTAGTGAGCAGGCCTTTCAAAGGATAGCAGTCTCTGGCCTGGTATGTTAACTGTTTTCTGCACACCATCAAAAAATTATCATGGAAAGCAGTAATGGAAATAAAGATCCCAGAATAGTTAATGTGACAGAGCTGTCCAAAATTAGGCTACTTGGAAAACAATGAGAGGGAGGCAAAATTTCATGTAGCCATTTCATTCATCCTTTCATTTTTGTGGCCACCAAGTATTTGGTGAGCTCTGAAAAGAGAGTGAGCACCAGAATGGTTTCTTATTTATATGAATGTATCATGTGACCCAACACCCTGGAATCAGAATGATAGTTTACTTGGAAATTCTCACATTTTTATTGAGTGACTGATGCCAAGCCCTGGGCTCGAAGCTAGTAGTGTGAAGAGGTCAGAGCAGATTCCTGCCCTCACAGGGCTCACAGGTGGACACGGTTTACCTTCTCAACCAACCCCCACCCCATGCTCAATAGTGCTGAGCTCAGTGAGAAGGGGAGGAGAGTGGAAGAGCAGTTGAAGGAGGTTTGGGTTCCTCATCATGGACAGAAGAACATGTTAAGGCAGCAGTGCCTTAACAGCCCAGGGAACTATAGGCTGGGAAAGAGGCTCTAAGAAAACAGCTCTGGACACCAGCAACATGCTGTGCTGTCCCCAGAACACCAGGCCAGCTTTTCTAGAACACAGAGTCACAGGGCCTCGATTCAAGATTCTGAGGTTAAAGCAGTTGAAACAAACACAAGGCTCATAGTTGGAGAAATGAGAGCCCCCTCACTCCAGTTCAAGTAACCAGCTAGAGGCAGCACAGAGGTGTCTAGCACCCTACCTGCACAGCCTGGTGGTGGCCAGCACTTCTTCCAAGTAGCCTTCCATCACAAGGTTGGTGGCCTGCTCTTTGTGGCAGCCCCTCTCTCACTGGACTACAGAAGTACTTCTTGACCATTCGATTATTGGGATTAATGGTATATTCCTCACAGCATCTCCTGTGAGCATCTGACAGCATCTCCTGCACATCACATACTCCTGTAGATCTTGTCACTGACTCTTTCACCAACAGGCGTTACTGAGAAAGGAGGTACTGTGGTATTTCAAACTCAGGAAATTGACCAGATTCTACCTCCTCACAAACCACTGTGCAGCTGTGGTCAAGTGACTTCACTTTTCTAAGTCTACATCTTCTCACTGAGACACAAGGATAGCAGTACTTCCCAGGGCTGTGGCCAGGTTCAGTGAAACTTTACATCTGTATCACCTGGGATGGCCCAATATGTAGTAGGCAAACTCAGTAAGTGAGAGTTCTTGTCCTTTTTCCCTGCAGGAGCTTGCCTTGGATGTTAGAGAACACTGAGGAATGTTCCAATAGCTTTAGAAACAAGAGCTCTAGCAGTCCCCTGACCTCTTCCCCTTCTTTTTCTCCTGCCTGCGGTATCTTCTACCATCAAGTTACAGAATGAGTCTGGAGAGAACAGCTGCTTCTGTTGTTCCATGCTCCACACACAGAGCTCACCAAATACATTAGAATATCTGAGGTCAAGCAGCACCCATATTCCTTTCCCTCACTTGCTATTTCTTCAAGGTTCTTGCTGTCTTTGTCTGTGCTAACAAAGGACAAAGAAAAAGTCAGTGGAATAGGGAACAATGAAATTAAGACCGGCTCTTCTTTTCATAATATGCGTTCTTTAAAACCTTAGAAATCTCTTTTGCATCTAACTCCTGTTCTCCCTCCTTTGATCTCCATGGAGGGCACCCCCTCACCTAATTCTGTCCCTCAGGTTTTACAGTGGGGACTTGGAAAAGTATTTGGAGACTTGGAACAACTTATGAAGCAGGTGCAGCTGAGAAAACTGAGGCAGAGATAAATATATCTCTTGCCACAGTTCCACATCTAGCAAGAGGCAGATTTTTAACACGGAAGTCAGAGAATCTATGCATTTATCTATCACAGTATGCTGGCTCTCTAAAAAGGAGAGTGGCCTTTGACAAGAGATGACAACAGGGTTGCATCACAAAGCTATTGTCTTAACAAGTGACCCAGGCCATATGTATGTGCCATAGTGCCAAAGAGTGGTAAAATCTTCCGAACTTTAGAATGAGGCAGGGATAGAGTTCAAATCCTGGTTTAGCTAGTTTCTACCCTAAACTTTCTGAGAATTTGTTTTCTAGTCTATCACACCGGGGGGTAATGCTTACTTTTGGTATGGTTTTGAAGATGAACTAGTGTACATGAAACACTAGTCTGGGTTTTGGAATCCAGTAGGGACTCAGTAAATACTGGGTGCAATGAGGATGATGCAGGTCTGTCGATGGCAGTTTCACTCCAATGCTAACAGGGCAGCATTGAGCCTGGACAAAGTGGAATTTGTTGGAGTTAAACAAGCTTGTAATCAGAAGGCTTAACCACCTTCTACTCTCTGCTGCCATCTAGGAAAGTGGAGCTGGAGCCAGAGGACACACTCATTTTAAGACTCTGGATTGGCATGTTCCCCTTAAGGGGTATGCTCTGAGGAACCCCATGGAGCCTCTGGACCAAGTTCCCTTCTCCTTCATTTAGCAATTACACATGGGCTCTGGTCAATTGGTTCTAATTGAAGGATTTTAAAAAGTGGGTTTGCAGCTTCTCTCCATCCCAAGTACATCTTCCTTTCCCACAGTCAGTAACTTCCACTTCACTCTATTTTTTATGGCAGTTGGGGGTAAGGGCTGTGGAGCAGGACAATGTTGCTTAGCAGCGAATATCAGAGCTGCCGTGTGCTTTTGTGTTTTTTTTAAAGCCGGGTTTTTTGTCACTCTGTCTGATGGAATCATATTGGCATCCTCCCTTGTCAGAACCCCATGGGTCAAGTGTAGGCGTGTGCATGCTTTATAGATGGGTCCCCATTCCTGCCTGGTGCCTGCTCAAGATGATGGTTGCTGCTGGTTTTGTTTAACAGACACTTCATTCTGCAAATTCTCAAGTGCAAATCACCTTTTGTTTCTTTTATCCCTGGCAATAATGAAGGGCTGAACTGGAGCTTAAATAATTCTTTCAATGAATACATTAAACAGACTCTTTCATTATAGATGTTAGAGGAATGAAAATAATTTGCACAAAGCCACATTTCCTTCACAGAGTTTTAAAAGAAGTGAGGGAACTGCCATTGAGGGAACAATTAATTTTGTTTCTGTAGGAAAATGGGGAGGGGGCAGATAAAATATGTTTTAAGACTTTCCAAAAGATTTCTGGTGGGAACGTTTAACAACTGAGTAAAACGTTGCCTCAGGAAAGATAGTGCTATTTGGAGCTGTGTTTTTGTGGCAGTTTCTTACTATCTTCAGAACACATGAAGAATGGAACTCTCTCCTGATTTTGAGAGTTAAAACTTACTACAAGGACAAGTAATTTTGAAAGTGATGTTTCTATTAAGGCTATGGGATACACTTTGCATGTCCTAATAGTATATACATCTTTTTCTTTCTTTCTTTCTTTCTTTCTTTCTTTTTTTGAGACCGAGTGTCCCTCTTGCTCAGGCTGGAGTGCAGTGGCGCGATCTTGGCTTACTGCAACCTCTGCCTCCTGGTTCAAGCGATTACTCTGCCTCAGCTTCCTGGGTAGCTGGGATTACAGATGCCCACCATCAAACCTGGCTAATTTTTGTATTTTTAGTAGAGACAGGGTTTCACCTTGTTGGCCAGGCTGGTCTCGAGCTCCTGACCTCAGGTGATCCTCCCTCCTCGCCCTTCCAAAGTGCTGGGATTACAGGCACGAGCCACCACACCTGGCCCTAATAGTGTATATCTCTTTATGGCTAAACTTACACATATGTAAAATTGGCTATTTAAATTTTCCTCCTATTTCAGTGCCCCTTACATTCTTCCTACCATTTTCCTATTCCCCAGGTCTTCCCCATTATTTACTTTCTATTTTGGTTGGATTAAAACGAATTTTTGCAAAGATACTAGCTTTTTAGAAGCAGAGAATTTTAAAACTTTATGTTAAATGAGATAATTAAGACTTGTAGGAATGACAGAGTGGCCCAAAGTCACCCAGCTCAGAGGGGTCCATGTACTCCAGTAGCTTTCATTCAGGTGAGTACTCCTGCCAAGATACCTGGCCGAGGATAACACTCTGTTTCTAAACAGTGGGACTATGATGGAGTTACAGCAAAATGAACTCTGTCTCAGCATGATAAAGATATTTTCCTTCAGATCTTTGGAGCTGTCAGGTCAGCAGGCTGCCTCATAAAGATGCAAATGCATAGATAATAGAAGTGTCCAAACAGAGATTGTGGGAGCTGCTGTGAGAGCTGGAGTGAGGAGATGGCCTCATTCTAGTTAAGGGTCTACAACAATGATATCAATGTTATTTAGGTATAACCTGATCATTCTGACAGCTAAAGAGGTGAAACAACTCTTAGTGGCATTTATATGTTAAAAGTAGACTGTTGAGGATAGAAAACTTTAAAAGCTCAAAGAAAGAGACCATAAAGGTATATTAGTAACAAAAGAGTTGAGCGTTCTTAAGCAATACCCCATAGGTATTCAATGTTATGCACAATTGCTGTGACCATTTGTTTTCGGTTCTTTGAGGACCATGCAGGAGCTTATTTGGTAACTATTTGACAGGTTCTACATGTGCTGATCCTCAGTTTCTTGCGTTCTAAGTGACTCACATTAATAACTCCTAGTGCTTTACAAACTTGAGGGAATGTTAATCATCATGTTAGTTTTATTAATCCATTAATAACTGCATATAACCTACAATGATCCTTTCACTCTACCAATTTTAAAATTGCATGATTATGGTGCTGGAAAAATTGGATATTCGAAACATGCAACAAAATGAACCCAGACACAGACCTCATATCTTTCATAAACATTAGCTCAAAAGTGGATTATAGACCTAAGTGTAAAATGCAAACCTATGAAATTCCTTGACTATAATATATGAGAAAACCTTGAGTTTGGTGATGAGTTTTAGATGTTAATATAATACCAAAAGCATGATCCATGAAAGAAAATTTATAAGCTAAACATTATCTAATTAAAATCTTTTTCTCTGTGAAAGACAGTTACAAGAATAAAAAGACAAGCCCATAGAATGGGAGAAAATGTTTGCAGACTAAATATCTCATAAATGACTTGTGTTTAAGATAAACAAAGAGCTCTTAAAACTCAACAATAAGAAAACAAACAGGCAAAAACTTGAATAGACACTGCATCAAAGAGAATACACAGATGGAAAAATAACCATATGAACAGATGTTCAACATAATCTATCACTAGGAAAATGCAAATTAAAACCAAGGAGATACTACACACCTATTAGAATGACTAAAATCCAAAAACTAGTCAATATTAATTGTTGAGAAGGATACAAAGCAACACATTCTCATTCATTGCTAGTGGGAATCAAAAATACACCAGGTTTGAAAGATTGTTTGGCAGTTTCTTAGAAAGCTCAAAATAGTCTTACCATATTTACATACCATAGTTACTGTATGATCCAGCAATCACATTTTTAGGTATTTACTCAACCAATTTGAAAATTTATGTCCACACAAAAACCTGCAGTCAGATATTTATGGCAGCTTTATTTATAGTGATCAAAAATCGCAAGAAACCAAAATATCCTTCAATAGGTGAATGAAATACTATTCAGCAATAAAGAGGTATGAGCTATCAAGCCATGCAAAGGTATTGATGAATCTGAAATACATATTGCCGAGAAAAAGAAGCTAGCCTGAAAAAGCTACATAGTATATGATTCTGATTTTATGACATTTTGGGAAAGGCAAAACTGGATAGATCAATAGTTGCTAGAGGTTTTGAGGGAGGGAACAGGGTTGAATAGGTAAAACACAGGGGACTTTTTAGAGTGGTGAAATTATTATGTATAATATGGTAATGGCAGATACATTACACTAAGCAACACTTTTTTGTTAACACAGGCTATCTGCAAGGCATATGCTCAAACAATATTTGGTGAACATGCGGTCTTCAGTGAATGTGGTAGTGTGCCCTTATAAAGAACACACAGGATTCAAGGGTTTAGGAGATTTTCATTTATAGTCTGTATATACTTCTGTATTATTGAAAAATATTACAAGAATGCATTTAAATATTATACATGTTAAAGCATGAAATTTATTGTGTAGAATTTTATGGTGATTTAGTGCATTGCAAAGCAAATTCATTCTGTCCCACATTTCTAAGTGGCTAACACCTTTCTATTTCTCTTTCTCCTTTTAGACTCTATCTCTTTGAAGGCATGGATCTTACCATTGAATTACTTACAGGTTTTAGCATAGTTGTTTAAATATATTTAGGCACTCAAGAATATTTAATATAATAGTATTCCTTAATTTCTAAGAAAACACAGTCCCGTATTCAAATTCCAATTCTACCATTGGTCAGGGTACGTAACCTCTGAAACTTAGTTTGACCAAGTATAAAATATAAATAATAATACTGAATTCATTTTGCTGATTTGTGAGGATTTGATTCTAGCTATAGAAAACCTAGACTAATTTTTGATATAAGTTAGGAATGTAATAAATGGTTTTAAAGAAAGTGATGGCTATAGATGGATAGAAATAGTATAATATTTTAGTTAATCAGGAAAAAAGGTGGCTTAGCAACCAGAATAAGAAAGACGTTGGTAGGTGGTATGGGGACAAGATGGGAATGGCTCACCACTTAGCACCTATTGGACACAGTCTTGGTTTCCATCAGCTCATTCACTGCTTGGAACCAACTTGCAGCATCTATTTGCATTATTGCAGAATGGGTATAATTTGGGGGTATTCCCTCTTCCTATCTGCTCTTTACACTGGTAAGGCTACCCAAGAAGCAGATGTGCTTGATTTCTTATAAGTCTCATTTTCACTGCCATCAACTAAGCAGAATAGGACTTTCCATAGAGTCTTGCACACAGAATGGAGGCTCAATTGTTATTTTTTGGCTGACCTATTCTTTTGTTCCAAAAGACCAAAGCAACTGTAGAAACTGTTATCTAGAGGCTGTTCCATTCCATTGATTGAGCTTCAGGGTTCCACATAAGTAGGCATGAAAATGAACATAGGTGGTTTACAGTTCAGAGCACATCATTATATTTTGCAAGAACAGTGTATTCCACTATTCTCTACAGTTGCACAGCATGAAGCTTTTATCTCCATATTGGAGATACCAGCTTCTCTTTGGCATTTTAGGAAGTTTTTACCTGCCATTATCTCTTCTACTAGACTGTAAGACCATGGAAAAAAGAGACCATATTTATTTTTGTGTTCAACACCTCCAGCACCTGACACAGCTCTTATAATGTAGTAGAAGCTACATAAATATTTGTTGAAATGACCAAATCTGCTTCATCGATGTAAAGAATATTTTAAAACCCTAGAAACATAGTAATGTGTCTACAACAAAAACCTGACAAACTTTTAGATTTTAAAAAATAGAGTTTTGGTAGAGAAGGGAGTGGGCTTTTTGGAACTGAAGGGAAAAAAGCTCACATTTTTTCATGTCTACATAGTATAAACAAATGGAACATCCTATTTTCAGTTTGAGTT
Organism: Homo sapiens; assembly: GCF_000001405.40. Classification (NCBI taxonomy): domain Eukaryota; kingdom Metazoa; phylum Chordata; class Mammalia; order Primates; family Hominidae; genus Homo; species Homo sapiens. Next base: position 18,148,289 of record NC_000009.12, read on the forward strand.
TGAAAAAGAATGTTTGTTTAACATTCAGTCACCTACACTTCAGTGACAGCCAAAAAAAAAAAAACATGGATGATTAACAGGGTAGAGGAATTTATTTGGTAACTATAAAACAGAAATGTCTCTTAAAAAGTCAAGATCAGATACTAAAGTCAAGTCAAATGGGAATCGGCACAACTATAATTAAAATTTGCAACCTCTATGAAGAGTGAGTAAAATGTTAGAAGCATCCATGAATTCTAGAAAGGACAAGAACGAGCAAATTACAAAGTTCTACAGAAACTTACCTATAATAAATAAAGAATTTTTTATTTTATTTTTCCACTTCTCCCAGGATATTGATAACAGTTGATGATTAGGTTCCAGGTAATGAAGCTATAAAAATTAATAAGCAGGACCTTCAAATGACTCATTAGCTAATCCTTCATTATCCATTTTTTAATGGGTGACACATTTAACACATTTGGTAATATACTCAGGGGCACATTTAAACAAAAAGAGTTTGGTGAAGCAATTTGAAAAACATGTAAATATTTTTATTAGTGTTAAATTTGCCTAGATTCTAGTTGATTAAATATAAGATAGGCTCTAAGTCTATATGTAATACATGTTTACACTTTAGACCCTTTCCTTATCTATTCCCACTTTAGTGTTTTTGTTTTAACCTCTAAAAGGAAAAATCTTCTAGACTTATCTCACTAAAATTTTGTTTTATGATTATTTGCCAGCAGGTTCTCCAATAGAAAGTGTTTATGGAGAACTGGGAATTTTTAAGTGGCTTATGCTGTAGAGGAATAGATGATTGATTCCCCAAACTTTGGAGAGTAGCTCCTCTGAGCCAGGATACTCTGCTAGGGCTAGAAACTGGGAGATGAACCAGACCCTTCTTAGTGAGCTCGTCATCGGGCAAGGAGTCAGACTTACCGAGATAATGTTGAGTAAATATAAACCTATAGAGTTATAGGTGGGCACGCAAGTCAGATGGAACTGAAAATGTAAAGCCATAGAGGAGCAGATGATCATGGTGGGTTCAGAAGGCCAGAAGCCATCCAATGTTGCTAAAGCATTAAGAGCAAAGAAGAAAAAATGGTTGGAGACGAGTCTATAGGGATAAATGGAGACCCAACAGAAAAGGCTTTGGGGGCCTTTAAAAGGAGGTTAAGTTTACAATCTAGATAATTGTAGAAAAGTGGTACAATTTAGTACCACTTGCTACTGCAGTGGTTTCTGGAGCACAACATCACATCACCAGGGAGTGTGTTAGAAAAGCATCATCTCAGGCCCTAACCCAGACCTCCTGAGTGAGAACTGATAATATAATGAGATTCCCCATTGACATATGTACATCAAAATCTGAGAAACACTGCATGTAGAAGTGAAGAGTTGACACATGTCACGCCAGAGAGATGTGATTGGCACTGTTTTTTAGAAAGCTCACTCAAGCAACAATGTGTTGGACTGAAGAAAGGATAAGATTAGAAACAGAGAGACTATCAAGAAGAATGCTATAGTTGTCCAGGAGAGGGCTGACCAAACCTGCAGATGGAGCAGTCAAGTAGAAAAGATATTCAGGAGGCAGCAGGGCTAGGATATAGCAATTAATTTAATGTAGAGGGAAAAGAAAAGACAGATTATAGGCAGACTTACAGTTTCTGGCTTGGATTACCTGGGAGGATGTGGTACCAGTATGGACAGAGTTTGTAGAAGCAAGAACACATTTGGAAAGGCTGGACAAGAAATAAATTCAATTTGAATTATTCAGTTAGAGGTTCCTGGGAGACATTTGTTTAATAATGCTTAATAGGCAATTGGGGATATAGGTGTCTGGAATTTGAAATAAAGGTACATATATTTGAAAGTTGTCATTGTATCAGTGCTGTCTGTTTCCACGGTTATGAAAAAGATTTCCAGGAATAATTGGTAGAATAAGATAGTAGTGGTATAACAATGGAGCACCAGAGAGCAACAGCCTTTAAAGGATGGGCAGGGGAATACCAAACTATGGGGAAGACGGAAGACAGTCTGAAGGGTATGGTGTCATGGAAAGGAAAGAAGACAGTTTCAAGCAAAAGGGATGACCTACTAGGTCACAATTCATGCAGGTGAAATGAAGACTGGAAAATGCCTATTACATTTGGTATCTAGGAAGATATTGATAATTTTAGCCAGGGAAATTTTAGTTGGATGATGACATCAAAAGTCAGAGTTTCTGTTTGCTGAGTTTGTGGAGTCATGAAGTATAGTGAAGACTTCTTTCTAGAAACATGGCTGTGAAAGGAAGGAAAACCTTTGGCTAGTAGGAACAGGAACACAATGTGGAGAAGAGGCTTGCTCTTGCTCTCTCTGTCTTAAATATGAAGATATGAAGAGATGAGCATAGAGAAAAGAATCAATGGGAGGGAAAGAGTGACAATATAGAGGAGGGGGGAGAGTAATAAATAATGGAATGAGATCCCTTTGGGGACAGCAGTGGATGGAATTCAGAGTGCAGATGGAAGAGATTTGCCTTAATCAACAGGAAAGACAAGTTAACCCATGAGAGACTGAAGGAAGCATGGTTCAGGGGCACAGAAGTTTGGGGAGGCAGTGATTTTAGGGTATTCAAATCTAAAGGACTTATTTTTTTTTTCTGTGAAATAGGAGACAATGACATATGCATAGAAGGAAAGGAGGGGGCTAGTAGAAATGGGATCCCCAGTGGAGAATGAAGAAAGAAGCTAACCGGGAAGTGCAGTGGATGTGGGCAACATTTAAAACCATTCAACTCAGATTCTTGATTCTGGAAAATGTGTTATGGTGGCTTCTGTGTTACCTAGTCCATCTATTTAATGAATACATAGATCCAAATGTGTTTGAGTTATCCATCATCTGTGACCTTAATGCATGATCAAAGAGGCTGTTATTTAGATGCCTAAAAACTAGACAGTCCTCCAAAGATGCTAACAGCAAACAAAAAACCTTTACACAACTGTAATGTGGGGGGAGTAAATGTCACCACCAATTGCTGAACATCTATTCTATATCTACTATTATAGAGGATGTGGGAAGTAACCGTGGAAATACTAGCAATAATTTTAGCTAATTCACAGTTTCTCAGAGTTGGAAAGACTCTCAGAATTCCTCTAAATTTTTTCTTCAGCTCCTGTGTGAATGCCTCTGGTGCCAAGGTTTTCATTACCTACTAAGTAGCCAATGTTCAATATACTGTATTTGATTATTTGAAGTTGTTTTTTTTTTAATCAAGATAAGGGGCTGAATTCCACTTTGATGAACTATATGTGCCAAATTTATTTTCATTGTATTCAACAAACACAGTAGACATCCTAAGTTTAAGATACTTGTTCTTGGCCTTGCAGCATGATCAGTAGGTTAGGGCCCCTGGCCTTGGTATCTTTATAACATAGTAAGAAAGGTAAGATGAATTCCCAAATGGCCACAAGACACATGGCCCAAAACACATGTGGCCCAAAACACAAAAGGCCCAAAACACATACCATCAGATAAATAATAATATGCTGTGCTTTTTTTGTTTAAAAATGAGGTGCCAGGAGTTGTATCTCAATAAATTATGACATAAATGTCCCATATCCCCTTGCCAGTCTTCTTTACATTGGAATGTCCACACACTTTGTCAGCCAAGTGAGTCAGTCAAGGTGGAAATACTAATTCGTTTGAGTGGACATGCTCTACTAGCTCATACTGTGAAAAGAAATCCCTGGTATATATTACCAAACTCTGTATAGCATTTTATAGTTTACAAATCACTTTTCATAATTATCACCACTATTCTGTAAGATAAGTATTATTGTTCTTCCTCATTTACACATGAAGGACCTAAGATTCAGTTTCAGTAATTTACTCAAAGCACACAGCAGAGAGGTGGTAAACCAGGACTTCCACCCAGGTCCTGTGACTCCAGATCTCGCTACAAGAGCAGGACCTCTGTGGATTCTGTGGAGGGGAGATTATAGGTGCTTGGAGGATGCGTAGAAACAGCAGCCTTTAAGGACTGATGAGATTTTAGTAGAAGGAGATAGGAGGGATGGCATTCCAGGCACAGGGCACTGCAAAGTTCAGTATATGAATGCAGGAAATATAGAACACGCCACATAAGAGCCATGGTTCCATGCATGGATTTGGGAATCATCTGCCTAAAAGAGATGGCTGACTCACTGAGAGCTTAAAAGAATTGCAGGGCAAGAAACAATAGAAGAAAAGATGCCCATTGACAGAGTCCTGGGATCATCTATGGTTAGTTTGTTGGGTTGGAGGCCCAGGAGGACCCCCCAAATGAGAAACCAAAGGAATGGCCAGTGAGTTAGCATCATTCTCAGTTACCACAGAAAACAAGGGGGAGAGATTTTCAAGAAGGAGGATATGATCATAAGAGGGTGATGACTGAGGGCCAGTGGGTGGAAGACGAGCCTTGGTGAGCTTGGAGAGAGTGGAGTAGTGATGACAGAAGTCAGAATGTAAAGAGCAAGAATGCAAAAAAAAAGAAATCAAGGTAGTGGGCAGGACAGAGGCCAGTAAATCGACACTGTCTTAGAAGTACTTGAAGACAGCTCTCACATATTCTCACTTCTCCCCTTCTTAGGCAAAATGCCCTTGATTAATCCCACGGATTGTCAAATGCTTTCCAGATAACAATGATCATATTTTCTTTCTTTATAAATTGTTGGTTTGGCCAATGTCCTTCTTAAAGTTTGGCATCTAGAAATTAACTCCCTACCAGTGTTTATGATCTCTTCAGCATGAAGTAGAAAAAAAAGCCGTCATATATTTTGTTTCCTACACTGTACTTTTAATAGCAGCTCACATTTATATTAGCCACATTTCACTGTTGATTCATTGAGCTTGCAGTCAGCTATGATCCACGTCATCCACATCCTATACTTGCCAACTCTTTGAAGAGACAACCCAAACAGGGGATAGAGACACTGGAGCCATGGAGTGGAAAGGACATGACTGGCATCAAGAAATCTACATTTTAATCTATACTCTGACCCTTATTAGATAAATGCTCTTGGGAAAGTCGATCTACTTCTCTCTGGGCTCCAGAAGGAGCTAGATTAGATGACTTCTAAGCCTCTAATTCTAAAATTTATAAAATTAATAACTGATTTTTTAAAAAGCCTTCATTAATTTACCACTCATATATTTATAGAACTCAATTCTGTACCAGGCACTGCTAGGCTTTCAAAATAGAGTGGTGAGCATGATAGCAGTAGTCCTAATCTGTGGAGCTTAAAGCCTCATGGTCACATTTTGAGGCTGAAAGGTACTTGGTTCAATGCAGGGAAGAATGGGTGAGGACTGAAGCCCCTGACAGTGCCCTGAACTCATTTCTTCCAAAGGATGTGTGAAAGGCAGTGACTTTGATGACTTGTAAAATGCAGAATGAGGAATAAAGTCATTACGCTTAGAATTACATAAAGAAGTAATCACTTTATGTCATTTCACAGCTACCAAAACATGTATAGAATAACACAGTAAGCAAGAGAATAGTAAAGTATGATACTAAAATTTTTCCAGCCACCTAGTACTTACAGAAAGCCATAGGCACTTATATTGAGGAAGGAGATGTGAAGAATGACACCATCCATTAAGATGGAAATATCATTACACGGCTTTAATGTTTTCTACCCTAAAGGCAAAAGTAGTGAGGCATACAGGGAAATTCTGGCAGCAGGTAATTTTGAGATTTATAGCATCAGACACAAAATCACAGGGGCCTGCTAAAAGACTGTTATTCTTCCTCGGTGTCAGCTGAAGATCAGCACCTATCATGATCTTAAAATCCCATTTTTCAACAAATATGGATAACCTAGAAAGAAAAGCACCCCTTTTTTGTGCTTCTGAAAGCAAACGTGGGTTATGAAGATGAATTTTTCCTTTCCCACTTCAACATATGCTACCATGGTGTTCCATTGACCTATTGTTATGTAATAAACCAACCCAAACGTAGTGGTTTAAAACAGTATTATCATTATGTCCCATAATTTATGGGTTGACCGAGTTCAACTGAATGATTCTTCTGCTCCTTGTGCATCCACTGGGGCTGCACTCTTTGGAGAGCTTAGCTGGAATAGAATGTTCAGGATGGTTCAGTCATATATCTGGTGGTTCCGTAGGCACAGCTAGAGGCTGGGTTCAGCTGGGACACTGGAACATCTGAGTCTGTGTGAACAGTTTTAGGACATTTCCTATTCCACCCAGCCTCTCCACTTGGCTGCTTCATGTGTACACATATGTGCCTGTGCAGTGCTTTCCTGTCCATATGAAGATTATGCTCCCTTAACAGGAACAACATATTATTAATATAAACAAATGACAAAAGAGTAATACATAAATATATTCAGCAGTCTGATTCTCTTCCCCCGAGGAATACATGGACTGAATTTCAAAAATAACTTAGGACTTGAGAGACAAAAACAATTTTTTTGAAGAACTAGCTGCCATTTGTGTGAAGTACATCAAGAATGACAGAAATGGGTGGGAAGAAAAGAGTGGACATTGAAGAATGCTTGCTATGCATTAAGTAGAAACCTTCCCCTTTCTTAGGCATTTTCTTGAGATACTGAGTAAATATTTGAAATTCTTTAAGTTACATATACAATTTAAATACTGATATACATTTCTCCTGATTTTGTGTATTTACATTTTTCAGAGACAAGGCCATGGAGTGTATGGTGAGGGTTGCTGGTGGGTGGTGATGGAGGTGGTGAGTCACAGATATAAGAATTACACTACTTATAATGCCAAAGCACTATCTGTAGAGTTGTGCCTTGAACATTTTGTTTTTGAAGGGGAAATAAATCTGTTTGGGTCCAAATTATTTTCTTCTATTTTGTTTCCTTTGACATACTCACACATACTGATGAGACTTCTAGCCAGTAATAAGAGAAACTTTAAGGTTTGTGAAACAATGTGAGTTAGATTGCCCAGGAAATGATTTAATTTACTACTCCGACTTTGTATGAAATTAAATTCATTGCACTAACTGGATATAGTGAGGATCTGAAACACATCTGCCTTTTAGTGCTAGGATGAAGAGGAATGCTAGAATGGTAGTGAACTTGGAGCCAGTCTGGGTGATGATGATGGAGATAAAGTCAGAGCTGTCTGTCACCCACTAGTTCTGATCATTACTTCAAAACACTGTGGAGCAAGCTTGTCCAACCTGCGACCCATGGGCCTCATGTGGTCCCGGACAGCTTTGAATGTGGCCCAACACAAATTTGTAAACTTTCTTAGAACTATGAGATATTATGTCATTTTTTTATATCATCAGTTATCATTAGTGTTAGTGTATTTTATGTATGCCTCAAGACAATTCTTCTTCCATGTGGCCTAGAGAAGCCAAAAGATTGGACTCCCCTTCTGTAGAGCATTAACTGAGATGTCAGTGCAGAGAGAGAAGAGAGGAGCCCTAACAGAGTTACCATCGTTTCCTTGGCATCGTGGAGACTGGGTGGCCTGTTTTGATACAGATAGGGATGGCAAATTGCAAACATTAGGTCTAGTCCAATAGTACTTGGGTCAAAAGAAGAGATGCTATGAGTTTAGGTCCTCCTAGAATTTTGTCCTGCCAAGATAAGATTAGGAATACAAGAGATTTACTGGGAAAAAAGGTGAGGGGTCAGAGGATGCTGGAAGAGCTATCAGATTGCAGTGCATCAGACGGAATGCATGCCTATCTTTTGTGGAGAGAGGGAAGACAGAGGGTTGGAGAGGAAGAGTCTCAGACTGCAGCCTAGTGCTAGGAAAGTTTCTGCCAGACTGGGGAGTCTTTGAGCAGAATCGATCCTCAGAGAGCTCTGCCTTTCTCAAGAATGAACCTGCTGTAGTATCTCTGCTATGCTCAGTCATTGGAACAGCCCTCGGAAATCATGGCCTCAGTGCAAACAACGAGGTGGGTTCAGAATACAACATCTAGGGCCATCTTTTGGTTAAGATAACAGACTCCTCTGTGGCAGGAGATCTGGATGGTTCATCTTTATGGCCATGAAAGGAGCCAATGTAAACTAAGCAGGGGTGAAGAAAGAAGTTCCTTTGCCAATTTATCTTCAACTTGATTTAAAGTATGGGTGGTATCCTGACTTCCAACTCCTAAGCAACTCACTTTAGATAAGCCTAGATAATGATGTTGACCAATATAAACATTTGCCAAGTGTACAATCCAAAAAGGTTGATTTCTACCCCTGCATGTGTATGTAGACATTTTTATGTTCTTCTTCCTATTTTTCACCCTAACATTCTCCTCCAGTTAACTGTTCAACTCTCTGTTTTAATTCTTGGCATCGAATGAGTATTTTACATGTAAGATTTAAAGCACAGACATAAACACATACACACACACACACACACACACACATGCTTTGAAGACCAAGTCTATTTTGCCTTGTCATTAGAAGATGTGATAAAAATGTGCCCATCCACCTAGGATTGGAGTACAGAAGAGTCTAACTCTTATGTTTCATGTGTTCTTTCATTGTCTAAGTGTAGGTATGAATCATAGCTGTTATCAGCAATGCTTTCTGAAGCAGAGTGTATTTAGAACTCTTTGGAAACAGAATCCTGTTCCCTTCGTGAAAGGAATGGGGTATAATATGTTTTTAAATGTTTGGGGACAATAAGGAAGAAGATAATTGGCTTTATGTTTTGGGAAAGGTGCTGCCTTTCTTATTTGGCTGTTTTATCATCTTATATATGTCAAGGAAGATGTCTCAAAACCCATGTTCTCTCTACCCTACATCTAGGAAGGTGATGTCCTCCTCATCTAAAAAGTCAGCTTGGTGAAGATGGTTGCTGAATGTCTTCTCAGCATTTTCATTTCAGTGTCTGTGTTCATAACAAGTTAGAGAAATGCCATAGCTTGTTTATAGATCAATCCCACATTATACACAGTGCATGCCCGCTGATAAAATTCCTTTTGCTAGTTTTTCTTTATACACTGCTCTGTGAGAATAAGCTTCTTTACAGAATTGTTTGTGGGATTTACGTTTGATAGTTTTATTAATAGTTTTTAAATTTTGTTTTCTTTTTAGAATCCTGTCTTGTCAAGGTGTAGATATCTATCTACTTTAATGATAAAGTAGGTATGCCTTTAAACATAAGTTTGTTCCCCCCATAAAGGCTATTTTGCTAGGGTAATGGAGTTTCTTTTCATTGACATTCTGGGACAGATCTTTAAATTCAGCTACATCTGGTCACCTTGCCTCAAACCATATTATAGCTGTTTCCCTAAATCAGACCCGAACTAAGCAGGAACATCTGTACCAAGAATTATGAGGCCCAGCTGAACATTCTGGACCAGCATGTTCTATCTCACTTCTTTCAGCTCTAACCTCTTAGCAATTATCTTTACAATCCTTAGAAATGGTAATTAAAGTTGGTAGAAGAACAAACAGAATACTGAAATGTTTTTAAGCTCCAAACACCAGGTATATAAATGTCAATGGGTTAAATATGGTTATAAGAATGCTTTTATTAGCCACCCCCACGATCTTCTTGGGGATCATATTTAGCCTTTCCTTCAGGGAGTATAACACTGCTAATCAGCTTGCAGAGTTGGCAGCCATTAGCTGTGAACACCTGAAGCTACTTCAAGCATCTTTTTCTTCCCCCAGACAAGCCTGATAGAGCAGTATGTATGCATAGGTATATTGTCACTACAGAGTGTCTGTCTAAAAACGTTTAGTCACCCACCAACACAGCAACCAAAAATACTCACAGAGGTAAACAGAAGGTTTTCTAAGTGGACCCTTTCAACATTGAAAGCAGTTTATTCAGTGACAATGTCCTCCTGCTCTCTGTATAAATGGCCAGTTCATTGCAGAGCTGGCCAGAGGTTTGGGTGTGTTTGAGTGCATGCAGAAAGGGGTTGTTGATACTCATGTTTGATAAGCTGATTGAGCCTCTTCTGATTGGCAAATATGAGTTTAGAGATATTATAAATATCATTATTTTGGTACATATTCTTATAAACCTCCAGAGTATTCTCCTCCTACGTTGTAATGAGGAAATTTCTTTAGTAGATGTATATGCTCATGATTTTTTTCTAATCCTTTACAGTTGAATTACTGTTCAATTATTTCCCTATCTTGCTACAGTTGAATATTCCAACCAGGAATGAAGATTTTTTGGATTAACGGAAAGAGGCCCATTGAGGGTGGATCTGAATCCCATCCCCACCTTGACATTTAAGCTCATTAGAATAGTCCTACCAGGAGCAAGCTGTCAAAGTATTAATTCCCTTTCAAAAACAGGGACCCTTGTTTATCACAAGTGAAATTTACTGAAATCTGGTAAACTCAATTTATTACCAAATGGCAGACCATTCAACATCTTTAATAAAGTTGAATATATCTATTTTCATTTTTATTTAGAATCTATTTATAAAATTTAGGTACAATTTCATTTGGGAGTATGCCCATTTCTGACTTAGGATATCAATATTTTAGTCCTTTGTGTGCATGTCCTTCCAACCAGAAGTTAATTATACTTTCACACTGGGACCAGATTTTCCTTCCTTCTGTTGATCTCTGTGACACTTTAGTTTTCATGATTAGGTAGTAATGATATGGGTGGCAGGACTAGATTTGGGCTCTTCAGATCATGTGAGTTATCATTTCCTCCTAATACTTAGCAGTGGTCCTCAAAACTGGAGCTAGATTGTTTTGGCTCCAATAAATGTTTCTATTCAGCTATTTATCCATTAAACATTTGCATGTTCTACTTGTGCCAAGCAAGAACTCAAAACCTTGACATCAAGCATTTCAGTATCCACTGATATTTAAATATAGGTGTACATTCAAATAATACAGTGGCCAGTTACTTATATTGTTTGCATTATTATTCTGATCTACTGAGAATGTATAGCTTTACTATCTTAATTCTCAGTAAACTATGAATCAAAATACAGGCATAACATATTTTACAGAGTCCTTTTGGTAGGAAAAAAATTTTTAACCGTGTGGTTTTCAGCACTACTCTTCCTAAGTAATGTTGAAACCTAAGTCCTACCCATGAGACATGAGCTTGGCTATGATTCAGTTTTCACAGAAAAACTAAATGAAGAAAGAAGAACAATAAACTGATCATTTCAGGGCATGTTTGTATGTTTAAACTTCAGTTATTTCCACAGCTCTTCCTCCTAGCCTAGAAATATATGGCTGCCTCTCCCAGAGTTGTAAGAACTTTATAGCTACGTGGAATTTCTATTCATAATCAGCTCCCATCATAAACATTACAATTTTTATAGCAATTATGGCTCTTCTTTAATGATGGCAGAGGTTCCAAAAGACAAACCGGTTGCTCTGTATTTTAACTTTCCAAATTTCAGTCACAGCTCATAGAGTAAACTTGTTAGAAGTAGGAAAATTGGAGGGGAAATTTTTATCTTTTACACCAAACAAGTTAATTGTGAGCTGATGAGTCAGAATACTAATCAGTATTCTCTAGAGCCACTGAAAGTCAGGTCAGTCAAGAGAATGGTTGGTGCCAGGTTATGAACGAAGTGAGTGTGAAATAGAGTATAAAATGTATATTGCAGACATAGTTTGAGTTTCTGACTGCATCCCAAAGCCAAATGCAAAAGATTCTTGTTATTCAGTGACTTTTGTTTTTATTTTTAAACTACCTTTACCTCATTTTCCCTTTAATGAAGTAGAGAATAGAAAGTTATTTGATGACTCCCTAATTTCCTATATTTACCTATGTCCCTCTGAAACATCTCTAGATGATTGATCAATCAGTCCCATTCAAGAGAATTTGTTCTACAACAACAGATTTCTTCCATGACTTCCTGGATCTAATACAATTCTATTCTGGAAGCTGGTGTTTCTGTATTCCCGGGTTGGTTCTCTAAGGAATGCTTTGGTGTGCCATGAATCAGAAAGAGGGGTCACTGTTTGAAGCGGGAAATCAGATTGCAAGAAGGAGAAGCAATCTTCATCACAGGACACAAATTCTAGGCAGTCTTCATATGTCCTGGAGAACTATCCTTAGGAGTCTGGGAATCCCATGGGACAAGAAGGTGTTCCTTACCCTATTCCTGCGAGTGAATAATGGGGGTTGAATCCGGAAGAGATTTAAGTTTTTAAGAGATACTCTCTGGCCCCTAATCCTAACATAGCCATTAGCCATACATACAATTTCTCCACTTCTCATGCTTCTGTTTTCTCTCTGCAAAACTAACACCACTGAACCATAAGATGCAAAGGGATGCCAACTTTAATGCATTTTTATTGTACGCTAAGTACCTTAAAACTGCAAGGTGTTTTTTTACATATCAAATGTAAAGTAACCATGTTTTCCAGTCCCCAAATTGGGAATCCTGGTCTGAGCATGGGAAATACAATTTTCTTTATTTCTTTTTTTAATTAATTAATTAATTAATTAATTTTTTTGAGAAAGGTCTATTTCTGTTGCCCAGGCCAGAGTGTAGTGGCACAGTCATGGCTCACTCTAGCCTCTGTCTGCCAGGCTCAAGCAATCCTCCCACCTCATCCTCCTGAGTAGCTGGGACTACCTGCACATACCACCATACCTGGCTAAATTTTTTTTTTTTTTTTTTTTTTTAAGAGACAATGTCTCACTATTTGCCCAGGCTGGTCTGGAATTCCTAAGCTCAAGCATTCCTCGTGCCTCAGCCTCTCAAAGTGCTGGGATTATAGGCATAAGCCACCATGCCTGGCCAGGATTAAATAGAATTTTAAGTTTAGTTCAGAATTTTTGCCTTGATATTACATAAAAGTATTGGATAAATTGAACATCTTGATATGTATTATGAGACTTATAAAATGTGAGCATTTCTTGGGAAATACAAGCAGGCAGACATTCTTTCTTAAACAAATACACAGCTATAATTAAAAATTAAAGTATAAATAGACAAAATGTTGGCTGTTTATTCTTCATTGTTAGCATTAGTGAGTGTTCAGCCTTTATATTTGATGTCTTACTACCTCTTTTGGAGGATATTTGAGTCATTTTTGTCTATTTAATTGGTTTAGCAAAAGAAACTTCTTTTTGTAGGCACAGAAGTTTTCACAAAGAAAATGCAACTAAGTTCATTAGGCTTCTTTTCAAATTTTAGCTTTTAAGAATTGGCATCGAATAACTAAAGGTGATCACCATTTTGGATAATAGAATTCAAAATAGCCTTGGATTTTTGAAGAAATGTTTCATAAAATATGGGATTCAACAGGGATCAACATACATTAGTCCTTTCAAAAAACACCAAAATTAGAACATGTCAATTCTGGATTACTGTAAACCCAGTTCTTGATCTTTCTCAAAAAGAGAATTGCATAAGCACAGCCATTCCTTACCTAGAGCTTGAAGAGCTGTGAGTGGCCCTGAATAACAAGTCCATGAATTTTGAATGCACCCAGCAAGAAGTGGGGAAGGCTTCTGAGCAGGGGAATTACACATGGTCAAGACAGGCTTTGGAGTATATTTAACTGTGGACTGAAGGAATTATTGTCCTTGATAGGGGAAGAACTAACAGAAAATTAATTTTAAACGTAGCAGGAGTAATTTAGGTTAGCCAGAAGGCTACATTTCCATGAATCAGTTTTTGCAAGTTATACCTCTTCTTGTTTAGTATTTGTTAGTTCTTATGAAACTCAGTGTAGAAGAAGAAACAAGATAACCTCATTGTGCCCTGCCTTTCAGTGACTGTATTAGTTTTCTATTGCTGCCATAACAAATTACCACAAATTTAAAGGCTTAAAATAGCACAAAAGTATTATCTTACAATTTCTGTAGGTCAGAAGTCTGGCAAGTTATGGTTGGATTCTCTGGTCCGTGTATTACTGGGTTAAAATCAAGATATTGGCTGAAGATAACAGTTCTCATCTAGGACTGGGGTCCTCTTTCAAGCTTCCTTCTCATGCTTCCTACATGCCCCTGCCCCTCCCATCTTCAAGCCAGCAGTGGCAAATCAAGTCCTTGTTACACTTTAAATCTCTTTGATTTCCCCCTCTGTCACATCGCTGACTTCCTCTTCTCCCTCAGCCTGGAGAAAGCTTTGTTTTTACATACTCATGTGATTACATTGGGCCTACCTGGATAATCCAGGTTACTAACCCTAATTAGTAGTCTTAATTACATCTGCAAAGTCCTTTTGGCCAGGTAAAGCAAGTGTGTGTGACAGCAGAGTGTATAGGTGCTGGGGGCCAAGATTCTTTTTACTACCATCAGTCATATTGACTATTCTGTATAACAACAGAATTTTAAGTTTAATTAAGACCTTTTTGTCTTGGTATCATATGAAAGTATTTGATGGATTGAGCATCTTGATGAGATGCCATTATATATGTTATAGAAGAGTATACCCCTTTCCAAAAGACATACGGTTTAAAATGACTAATTTATTATGCATTATTTTCAAGAAGGTATAAATTAATATAAACATCCACATATTCATTACTGATATTAGCAATACCATAAAAAGGTATAAAATGCAAAATGTATGAGAGTTAAAAAGACAATGTGATATACCGTGTTCATTATAAATATTATAAATATGATTAAAGAATTTCATGTGCTAGAACCTTAGATTTTTACTTGTTCCTTGAGCAGAATGTGCTTTTGATAATAATAATGGCTGTTATTTACTGAAAGCTTACTATATGAAAGGCATCACACTAAGCATTTTACATGTTATTTCCTATTTTCTCAACAATGCAACATTGTTATCATTCCTGTTGTACAGTGAGTAAACTGAGGCATAGAGAGGCAGGAGGAGGCCTGGGTGAACTGATTATACCTTGAATGTATAGGAGTTACTTAACAATTTGCCTCTCACCAGAGGTAGCTTGAGTAGCTCAGTAGCCAAATGATAAAATGAAAAGATGAGAGTTTTAGAGTTAGACCTGTATTTGAATGCTGATTTCAACACTTACTGACTTGACAAATTCCTGAAACCCTTTGTGCCTTTAGTTCCTAATTTGTAAAATGTGGCTGATAACAGACACCTCTTGGGGTTGTCACAAGATAACCTGTGTAAAGAACCTGGAATGTGATAAGCTCTAGATGAAAGTTCTCCAATACCTCCTTCCGGAGCAGCTAAAGTACATCTGGTTCTAAAGCACTTGAATAGCCCAGGAAGTCAGTTCTGGGCTCAGGCCAGGCTTTTCTTATGTGGTAAATATTTAACTGGACATGGGGACCCATCTAGGTGCTGGGATCTATTGGACTAAGGATTGATCCCTGTGGGTCCAAGACACATATGAGTTCAGATCCATGGATAGCCCAATGGGATGAGTCTAGGAGCCTGACCATATTGGACCTGGCCACAGAGATAACCTGTAATCACTGGATTTTGAGATTGTACACCCGTCAGTTAAGAGGCACCAATTTAGCAGGGGATGTTCCTGGTATCCATTGGAGGAGCCACATGCCAGAATGTTCTAGTGGTTCTCGCATTAATATGTATTTGCGTGCATTGTTTTTGATTGCTCTAATCAGCCTTGAAATGAATCCAAGAGCTTTCTGCAACTAATTGCACAGTGCCCAATCCCTCCAGGCTCTGTCTGAAGGCTTAATTCAGCTACCTTATCTCTCTAGGTATGCGGAGACCAAAGCCAAGGGGCTGTTTTCCTGCGGGAATTTACACTGATTCGAAGAGAGAGCCTCCATGAAGATTTCCTGTCTGACCTCTTGAATAGTCACAAAACTGAAGACTCGGTACAGTGTCGCTTCTTCTACTTATTCACAGAAAACACTGAGGTTCAATGGCTGATTCTGACTTGTGGTGGTGGTTTTTAGCAAATCTGAAGAGGTTTGGATGGTATTTTCTCACATCTGTGAGAGGAGGGGGAGGCAAAGTGTAGGGCAGTGGACAGACTGTATAGGGCAACTTTCTGACTTTTCCTGGGTCTGGCAAGATTTAAACATTTTACTCAAGCGTTAAAGTTTGTTTGGGGCAGCATGTGGAGGATTCACATTAAGACACTGATGTTTTGCCAGCGAGTCTGAACATGAAATGGTAATAATTTAAATAAGTGAAGGAATAAGGAGATTTATATGTAAAGCCCAGATTGTTTTATGGGTCAGTGGAAATTCCACTGTCTTCCAATCCTGGCTTCTTTGTAGATATTCTTACTTCAAAGTGCTAGTGATATTTGTTTTATGAAAGTTTGTTTCTCTGGTGGTGGTTTTAGGGGAAAACACTCTAGAAAATGAGCTCTCAAATGAAAACAATAGTACAGTTGACTGGAGATGTCAAGATTACAGGCCTTTCTCTGCTTGCGAATCAAACTGTGATTTGTAATTTGGACTTCTTTGTGAGAATTGGACAGACAACTTGTGAAAGTTCTAAATGTGGTTCTGTATAGTGATGACCTTAGGCTCAGAAGTATTCATATTAGAATTAGAGGATGCCGTATATACAAGCTAGTGGGTTTCTTATCCAACATAAAAGGGTAGGATCGCAGAAAATAACATCTTAGAATACCCCCAAAACAAACATACAAGTGACTTTATTTCTACCTTCTGTACCCTAACTCTTGACTGCCCTCTCTCAAGAGTGTATCTTTTGCATATTGTGTCACATGTGTTTCTTTCAGACAGAGTAAATTGGCTCTCTTCATTGCCATTCACAAGGCACTTCTTATTGTTTTTGTCATTTACATTTTTTTCATGGTGAGCATTCACATCTTTCTCAAAGCATATGGCCCAGTGTGAGCAAGAATGGTGGTGGAGGTTCCCAATGGTGCTATAATACATTTTCATATGGTTCATATATTGGTTTTTTTTTCTCAGTAAGCCTGAATATGCAGAGCCTACCTTTTAAATTTTCTATGTTTGTTTACAGCTTTCTTTGTGATCTACTGTGGACCTACACATTGTCACCTAAGTTTTATTTTTCCTTCTTATGAAAAATATCTTGCAATTATATCTTAATTTTGTCCCATTTGCTGTTATGCGAAATCTGAAATATTTTAGCTCATATCGAGTTTGGTTTATGCAAAGTCCTGGCAAGTGCTGCTATATAGATACTACATGAAAACTTCATAAACAAGTCTAATTATTATATCATTTATGCCATAAAGGAAATTGAATAATATGAACTAATTAGGGACATAATGGAATTGTCACAGTAGTTCCACTGAAACCAATTTTTGTCACTTGGTAAGCATCAAAGGGTGTCATAAACATTATTATTACTACCTAATATTACATTGATTTCCATTAAAATGAAAACTGTCCATGCTGTTGAATTTCCTCAAAGGTAATTTATAATTACCTTTTAATAGTTATAATTAGCTTACTCATAGTAATTAAGTGGGTGGAGGCATTTTACCTGTTTTACCTAAAAGAGAAATTACCTACCAACACAAGTAGTCACTCCACAAAGCTGGAATTTTACAAGAAAAAGAGGGGAAAACAAGAAAAGTTCAAAGTTTCTCAACTACCAGAAGCTACTTCAGTCTCCCAATAAGTGTGTGAAATTCTAACAATTTCTGTGGAAGGTGTGTCTCCATACGTGAGAGCTTCATTTGGCCCACAGATAGAAAACTTTGAAAGTGTAACTTTATTTCCTAAATCAACATTAGAAGATGAATCGCCGTAATCTCCGTTTGTCAAGGGGAAGAGTTCAAACATGAGTTGCTACTCGTATTAGTAACCAGAAAGGTGGAATTCCCTTTCTTGCCCCTTATTTATGAGTTTCTGTCTTATTGGGAGGAGGCTCTTCAGCAGAATGGGAGAATCAACAAGAAACCTTCCTGGTATAGGTCACAAGAATCACTTGACAAAAGCAAGTCAGTGAGAGATGAAAAAGGTTGAGCAGCATACTCTGTTTGTACAAACCTATTTGATTTTAAGTATGTCTTCCCTAGTATCCCAAAGACATTTATGCACACGTTTCACCTCCCCTACCAGATTAGCAGCTCTGCTCCTTGAAGACAGGACCTCTGTTGATTCTCAGGTCCCTAGGATTTAGCCCAGCACTTGCTTCTGATAAATGCTCATTTGTGTTGAGGGTTTAATCACAAATGAATAGAGAATAGTCGTGGTGAGAAAACCCACCATGCCTATCCTCTATTGCCTTGTTGTTAACATTTTATATTGAAAACACTGAGAATTCCATCACGGAATATGCATGAAAAGGGCCTTATAAATGTGAACATCCTTCTAAATGCAAAGCATTCTTCTTAAAATGATATGAATGACTTCAGTTTTTAATGAGGTGATAAAAAAATATTTGGGATTATCTGTCACGACGTCTCTTCAAGCCAGTATATAGGTTTATCATAAGTAATGTAAACTCAGGGATGTTTGCCAACTGGAAATTGATAGTTGTGGAAGTAACAAATGTATCCCCAGCACATAGAGCATTTTGGACAGAAGTAGCATTAACTCTAGGAAACACCATGTCTCACTCCAGGTGAAAGTACTGCTATTCTAAGGGCTTTAACTTTTCTTCTCTCACACCCTTTCTTTACTAAAAATTCTTCCGGAAAAGTTTCTTTCAAAAATGTAAATAATGTTTGAAAACCAGAACAGCCTGCCTTATTTGTGGCACGCTTTAACCTAAAAAATTAATTTATTTTGACCAAAATAGGTGGTCATTTTGACCTTTCAGTGATACTTTCTCAATCCCTTCTCAACGAGGACCTATTGGCGTGAATTAACTTTTGCATTGCGTTAGAAAAACTTTCTAGCTAGCTTCCTCTCAGAGGGCTAATTTCGTTCTCTGCACTTTGAGAAGCTATTTAAGTGAGCCATTTGTCTAGAAGCCACAGCAGTCAACTAAACTTCCAGTGATTGCCTGAAATTCTGCATGTATATGATTTGCATTGTTTGCAGAGAAGAAATAAGATGTTTGTCAAACGCTTTTATTCGTTATTGAAATAGTCAAGACACAGATCATGTTGATTTTGATTGTAAGCTGGATGCAAAAACAGGATGATAATTAACAAAATTCATTAAAGAATGAGGTTTTCTTCAGTATGTAATTAGTGTACACTTCATTTGCCTGTAGCTTTGTGGTAAACACAGTGGTTATTGAAGCCACTATTGTACCTTGGTATAAAAGAGAAGTTATTTAAATATTTATACCAATTGAGGGGTTGAGTGTTCCTTTGAATGACTGGTAAAATAGAGGTGTCTTTTGTGAAATGGAGGTGAGCTTTCAGAAGGAGATCTTCAGAAATGCCTGCCTTTAATCACAGTGTGTAAAGAGTTTGTTTTTTAGGGCAAGTCATTAATTTGCTGAAAATCAACTGAAATAAAAAAATGCAATTTACTAAAAATGATTCTGCTTTAAAGTAAATTATATTTTCTCCGTTAGTTGGCTGCAAGGCAGGTAACTGGTGTGGGGCAGTATTATTTCTACAAACTGGAAAATTCACTCAACCAATACATACATTCTCAAGTAAAATGGAATATAACTATTTCCATGTATTCTTGAGGGACTCACCAACCTCCTCCCCACTCCTGTCAATAGAAATGAAATATTAGAATGTAAGCACTAGTACCTGAAGATAATTTAATTTGCTTAATTATATTTCTAAACTGGCTACTATTTTAGAATATTTAGTGGACATAAATTCAAAGAAAATAGAAATATGTCAGGAACATTTGAGTTACTGAAGAATGACTCACTCTTTCATTAGCATCTTCCCACTTGAATTCATTCAGCACATTCCTGACAGAATGTTTAGGAACAAATGTGATCTAATTGCTTCTTCCATAACTGTTTGTGGAATAAAGAGAAGAATGAACTAACATTTAATCGCAAATGTACACATGCTCTAAATTGCCTGTAACTTCATAAAGCTTTATTGATTAGTGACCATTATATTTTTTCTTAACTAGTTTTTTTTTTAATACTTTAAGTTTTAGGATACATGTGCACAACGTGCAGGTTTGTTACATATGTATGCATGTGCCATGTTGGTGTGCTGCACCCATTAACTCATCATTTAGCATTAGGTATATCTCCTAATGCTATCCTTATGCTATCCCTCACCCCTCCCCCAACCCCACAAGGGTCCCTGGTGTGTGATGTTCCCCTTCCTGTGTCCATGAGTTCTCATTGCTAAATTGCCACCTATGAGTGAGAACATGCGGTGTTTGGTTTTTTGTCCTTGTGATAGTTTGCTGAGAATGATGGTTTCCAGCTTCATCCATGTCCCTACAAAGGACATGAACTCATCATTTTTTATGGCTGCATAGTATTCCATGGTATATATGTGCCACATTTTCTTAATCCAGTCTATCATTGTTGGACATTTGGGTTGGTTCCAAGTCTTTGCTATTGTGAATAATGCCGCACTAAACATACGTGTGCCTGTGTCTTTATAGCAGCATGATTTATAATCCTTTGGGTATATACCCAGTAATGGGATGGCTGGGTCAAATGGTATTTCTAGTTCTAGATCCCTGAGGAATCGCCACACTGACTTCCACAATGGTTGAACTAGTTTACAGTCCCACCAACAGTGTAAAAGTGTTCCTATTTCTCCACATCCTCTCCAGCACCTGTTGTTTCCTGACTTTTTAATGATCGCCATTCTAACTGGTGTGAGATGGTATCTCATTGTGGTTTTGATTTGCATTTCTCTGATGGCCAGTGATGATGAGCATTTTTTCATGTGCTTTTTGGCTGCATAAATGTCTTCTTTTGAGAAGTGTCTGTTCATATCCTTCGCCCACTTTTTGATGGGGTTGTTTGTTTTTTCTTGTAAATTTGTTTGAGTTCATTGTAGATTCTGGATATTAGCCCTTTGTCAGATGAGTAGGTTGCAAAACTTTTCTCCCATTCTGTAGGTTGCCTGTTCACTCTGATGGTAGTTTGTTTTGCTGTGCAGAAGCTCTTTAGTTTAATGAGATCCCATTTGTCAATTTTGGCTTTTGTTGCCATTGCTTTTGGTGTTTTAGGTATGAAGTCCTTGCCCATGCCTATGTCCTGAATGGTGTTGCCTAGGTTTTCTTCTAGGGTTTTTATGGTTTTAGGTCTAACATTTAAGTCTTTAATCCATCTTGAATTGATTTTTGTATAAGGTGTAAGGAAGGGATCCAGTTTCAGCTTTCTACATATGGCTAGCCAGTTTTCCCAGCACCACTTATTAAATAGGGAATCCTTTCCCCATTTCTTGTTTTTGTCAGGTTTGCCAAAGATCAGATAGTTGTAGATATGTGGCATTATTTCTGAGGGCTCTGTTGTGTTCCATTGATCTATATCTCTGTTTTGGTACCAGTACCATGCTGTTTTGGTTACTGTAGCCTTGTAGTATAGTTTGAAGTCAGGTAGTGTGATGCCTCCAGCTTTGTTCTTTTGACTTAGGATTGACTTGGCGATGCGGGCTCTTTTTTAGTTCCATATGAAGCTTAAAGTAGTTTTTTCCAATTCTGTGAAAAAGTCATTGGTAGCTTGATGGAGATGGCATTGAATCTATAAATTACCTTGGGCAGTATGGCTATTTTCATGATATTGATTCTTCCTACCCATGAGCATGGAATGTTCTTCCATTTGTTTGTATCCTCTTCTATTTCATTGAGCAGTGGTTTGTAGTTCTCTTAACTAGTTTTATGCAAAGGAGAATAGTGCATTGATTTTGGAAGGGTCAGATGTTTTAAAAAGGTAAGTCATTCCTATTTAATCTTTGGTTTTTTGGAATGCTCACAACTATAACTTGAGTTGGCTACCAAAATTCTACCTTGGGCAAATACAGGGAGACAAGAAGCATAGATTTGGTTACAGCACATTTGCTACTTTGAGTTATATGATATTACAAAGAAAAAATCAGAACATCCTACATAGTTTGTAAAATCTGTTACCCTGTGGGGTTTTTAAGTGTTATTATTTGCCTGTATTTTACAAGACTTACCCAATGTATTATGTCTCTACCAGTAACGAACTATATACATAAAAAACCCTTTAAGTTTCACACATAAATATTTCATATAACTTCACATTTTCTGATTTTACTTTGTATTCTAAACTAATACTCTAAATCATTTCTACATTTTTATGGAAAGGAAAAAGGAAGCTGGGGAAGGCTGGATATGCACCAAACACTTTACTAAGGGATGTATATGTATTTCTCAGAACAACCTGAGGTAGGAAATAAATATCTACATTTGGCAATATAGAGCTATTTAATGAAAAATGGAATAAATATCTTGGAGAAATATAATTTTAGAAAGGTACCACTTACAGTAGTAACAAAACTATAAAAACTGAAGTCTGAAAGAGGTACAAAATGGAGTATTAACGAATAACTCAAAGATATAAAGTTAATTAAGACCACATTATTTACTTGTGTACACGTGAAGCCTATGGGACCAATAATTAATTTCATCTCAGAAAGGCAAAACAGATTTAAATAAGAGAAAGAGAAAAGAGGAAAGAGAAAGAAAAAGCCTGGATTGTTTTAAATAGCAAACAGCTTCCATTTTTTATTGTTTGAGATAGTAAACTACTGGTTAGCAGGCCCCTCTCAGAAAGGCCAGCCCATGCTCTGCCCTGGAGAGAATGGATGTGTCACATACAGATTCTCTAGGAGAGCTGGGCATCTAACTGTGGTGGATACATGACAGGCTTTCTCTCTACTGTTGTCATCAGGTTTCTGTGTTAGTGTTTATATTTCATTGTACCAGGAATACATCATCAACCTTATCAATATCCCTCAGGATAGAATTATAAATCCTTACTGAAAGATTATGGGATCTAATAAATGGAGAGATATAAAATGTTCATGAATGGGAAGTCTTAATGTCATGAGGATGCCAATTTCCCCACAAATTAATCCACATATCTAGCATAACCAGAATGATTTTGAAGAAGAAAAGGATGAGTGTTGCTCTATTTGTTACAAAGCTATAAGAATTAAAACAGTGTGATATTAGAACGTAGATAGACAAATAGAACAACATAGATAACTAAAGAACCTATAAATAGACACATATAAAAAAGAACTTGGTATATCACAGATGTGCTGTTAGAGATAATTGGTAAAGGATGTAATAAATGGTTACATAAAAACAAATTTCAGACATATTAAAAGTTTAAATGTGAAAAGCATGACCTTAAAACTTAAAAATGAACTTGTATAAGAATTTACTTAACTAGGACATAAAAAGCACAACCTGTAAAAGAAAATATTATACTTTAAATTATATTAACATTTTAATGGCATAGAAATTTAATATGCTTTAACATTCCATAAACAAGGTAAAAGGACAAGACACAAGCTGGAAGGTATTCTTTGCAATGTACATAACTGGCAAAAAAATATGTAATATATGAAGAACTCCTAGATTTTGAATATTAGCCCTTTGTCAGATGGACAGATTGCAAAAATTTTCTCCCATTCTATAGGTTGCCTCTTCACTATGATGATAGTTTCTTTTGCTGTGCAGAAGCTCTTCAGTTTAATCAGATCCCATTTGTCTATTTTGGCTTTTGTTGCCATTGCTTTTGGTGTTTTAGTCATGAAGTCTTTGCCCATGCCTATGTCCTGAATGGTATTACCTAGGTTTTCTTCTAGGGTTTTTATGGTTTTAGGTCTTACGTTTAAGTCTTTAATCCATCTTGAGTTAATTTTTGTGTAAGGTGTAAGGAAGGGATCCAGTTTCAGCTTTCTGCATATGGCTAGCCAATTTTCCCAACACCATTTATTAAATAGGGAATCCTTTCCCCATTTCTTGTTTTTTCACGTTTGCCAAAGATCAGATGGTTGTAGATGTGGAAACCATCATTCACACCTAACTAACACAAGAACAGAAAACCAAAGACAGCATGTTCTCACTCATAAGTGGGAGCTGAACAACGAGAACACATGGACACAGGGAGGAGAACATCAAACACGGGGGCTTGTCAGGGGGTGGGGGGCTGGGGAGGGATAGCATTAGGAGAAATACTTAATGTAGATGATGGGTTGATGGGTGCAGCAAACAACCATGGCACGTGTATACCTAGGTAACAAACCTGCACGTTCTACACATGTACCCCAGAACTTAAAGTATATATAAAAAAAGAACTCCTAGAGATCATTCTTAAAAAGATGAACAGCCCAATAGAAAAAAATGAATCATTAGAAGGACACATGGATGGCTAATACACATGAAAGAGGTTCTCAGCCTTACTCATCATAAGGGATTTACAAATTAAAATAACAGAAATAGCATTTCGTACCCATCAGATAGGCAACAAATTTAAAGGACCAACGAAGGCAGTTGTCAGTGAGAAAGTAAGGTTATGAGAAGCACTCCTATACTGCTGGTGGGAGCATAAATTGGTATAACCACTTTAAAGAGCAACTTGGCAGTGTCTATAAGGTTGAATATATTCATGTCCTAAATCCCAGCAATTTCACTTTAAAAATCTACCTTAGAGAAGCCCTTACACTTACATTCAATTAAGTATTGAATGTTATAGCCTAAAAATGAAAGAAAATCATGAATATCCATCAGAAGGTAAATGGGAGAATAACGTATTGCTTATTTATACAATAAACACTATATAAATAAATAACACATCTACATGTATTAAAATAGATAGATTTCAAAAATAAAATATTCAGGGGGAAGGGATACCATTTTACAACATGGCATCATTTTTTGCCATTTTAATGTTACATAAATCTTTATTAGATTTCATTTAGAGAAAATATATATAAAGACAGAGGTGCGAAAAATATGCTTCAACTTTGGGATGTTCGCTAACCTCTTTAGGCAGAGGAGGACAGATAATTGGGTTGGGATGCTATGCATAGTACACTTTAGCCCTATCTATAATGTGTTACTGATTTTTTAAAAATGATAATATAAAATGTTTCTATTTGTTTAAATGGCTAGTGGTTGCACACATATTTGCTTCATTATTTCAGTGTGCTTTAATGACTGAGATATTTTATAATGCATGTATAACAAAAACTTGGGATAATATCTGGCAAATAGAACAAAATAAATGGTAACTGTTTTTATTAGCAGTGGTTGAACTGGAAAATCACTGAAACATAAAGTGACAACGCTCGGTGCCCAAGATTTAATATATTTTTGCCTCACAATATAATTAAGCAATAGTCAAAAGTATGACAGCAGAACCCAACATCATGGGGCCTCCTATGAGTTCATGAACTGTGCCTCTAGTAAATAATGTCAGGATGATGAATCTCAGTACTGAAGGAGAGGGACTCTTTTTTTACACTTGACCTTTGGAATTAACGAAAACCATTATCCTTTAAGGGAAAAATAATTCTTTTTTCTTTATCAAGTTCTAATTTCCTTACAGCTTACACAGCCCCTATCTTTTATTTATGAGATGTCCTGCATTTGCTAGGATTCTGCCATTTATTCCAAACAACAAATAGATACCAAGATTAATTATCTAGAAGACATTGGAAGTAATAAAATGTGAAGCATTAAAAGCCCCAACACTAATGCAGACAGATTTTTAGGCTCAGACAACCTCTCAAATACAGAGTAAAATTCGGTTTAAAAAATGTTAACATTTAGTTAGAAATACATAAATAACACGTGTGAATTTTATTACTCTTTTGGGGGGCATTTTCACGTTTCATATTGTGAGGCCCTTCCGAAAGAGAACTTTGTCAATAATGGTGAAATTTCGGTTTTACAGAAATTCTTGCTAGGCATGAACTCCAACTTTTTTTCTTCAGGTTAGTATTCAAATTCCTGAGTTAGTCACCACTTAGAGTTAATGTTAAACAAACTAGAACACTCTGAAACGAATGATGAATATCACATATCTTTAGTATAGTTATAAATGTAAGGAGATGGATATTTGCTGCTTAACTTCGGAACTGTCTTAATAAGCATAAACATAAGACTTATATTATACCTCAGAAAACCACTTGAGGCACCAAAGAATAGTTTATTGCTTCCCTGTACTAAATGTCCTTAATATAAAGAGCAAATTCACCTTATGGAAAGGCAACTATCTTCCCAAGGAGTCCCTTAGTTGTTTGTAAGGTAATGCTGAAGCTATCAACCCGTGCGTTGAGTTTAAATGCCTATCCTAAATAGACCATGTCTGACTTAGTCATGTATGGAGGCACCATCCATCAGTAGTTGAAGGCAGTTGAAAAGGAGTGGTTGGGGATTCTTCTAGTGGTTGAACAAGGTCATTTGGCATCAGAGGTCTGCACAGAGGGGTGCTGAGTAGAACTGGAGTGGTCAGACAGCCTTCTGGAATCATATGATCAAAAGTCAGATATGTGATACCTAAATTTAAGAAAGTATGAGAGGATACTTCAGGCTGTGAGCAGTGACAAAATGTCCTTTTGATACAGCACACCCTCTCCTAGAATTTTAAAATTTTCTAATATGGATACACATGACTTTTTTTTTAGTTTTTAGAGTTAGTGCTATTTCAGAGTAGGTAGAAATTTGCATCTTTAAACTAAGATTGTAATCGGGCTGACCAACTGAAGTAAAACACTAACAAGACATTATTTAAAGAATAATATTATTAAGTGATGCAATTTCTAAATGTTCATTTTAAAATTTGTATCCTGTTTTCCCTGGTTGTTAATGGTAATTTTTAAGTAAGAGAACAATGTCGTAATTTTGCTAAATTTAAAAAATGGTAGCGTTATTACCCAATGGAAAGTTTGGGAAAGGAGAACAATTTAGTTTCTTGTGTGTGTTATTAAGTTCAGTTTCAACTTGATGTTGACAAGGAAGAAAATGAATATTAAAAGAATTAAAGATCTATATTGTTTAAACATATAAACGTTTCTTTTGCTAAGAGAAAATATCTGTATCTATAATTAAATTTTAACACCAACTTTGAAAATGTGGGATTTGATATCAAGGTGCATTTATAGAGCTGAAAACCTGAGGAGGGGTTGTGTTGTTGGGTTGAAGCTTCATTTCCAACTGGCTGTGAGACTTTAGGCAAGTCATAGAACTCTTTAAACCTTGTCTTCTTGACCTTTAAAATAAACATGTTCTGGATGATCTTGAACCCTAAGATATTGTGTTTCAAATTTGATATTTAATGGAAACTTTAAATTCTTAGAGTTCTTCCTAGTAGACTCACCTTCCTTCCCAGTTCTCCACAAACACCAGCTGGCTGCCCATCCATTCTGCAGACACTGTGCATTTATCAATATAATATTGGTAACGATTAATATGCACATTGCTCTTTACACAGTGGATACTTGTATGTCAAAGCTAATTATGTGCTTTTGGGATGTCGTATTCCTGAAACACAATTTAACATCAAAACACCTTAGTCTGATTCCTACTTAACTCTAATCTTGCTTCTGACAATATCCATTTAGAACTTCTTAGCTTCAACTTTCTGAGACCACTTTTTGTTTCATATCATATTATCAGTTCAGTGCCTTGCTCACAGGACTTCTTCTGCCTGGAATGTCTTCCTTCCCTACTCTCTAGACTTTCCTTTCTTAACTCAATCCAAGTCCTACCTGCTCCAGGAAGCCAGCTCTCATTCTGGTCCTCAGGGTGGCCTTGTCTCTCCAAAGTCCTATGGGTCTCACTATCTTTGCTCATGGAACCAGCCCATGGCATGCCTCCTCAGGCTGCCTGGAAGACTCTACACAGATATGGAGAATCCTTGACTCAGGCTGAGGGGCAGTCTAGTACCAGGCTCTTAATCTTCAGAGATGGAAGACCAAGAAGGGAATTTTAGTCCAAGTCTGGGAAAAGAAGAAGGTATATTGAGATTTCAGAGGGTAGGATTTAGGGAAGGGGCTAAGAAGAGGGAAAGCAAAAAAAAAAAAAAAAAAAAAAAAAAGGCAAACAAAGGTTTCGTTTGGCTAGAGGTGCAGTTGGACACAAGGTAATTAAAAAATTCAGACTAGGAAATAAGTCTGTGGTCTTGTTTCAAGAATGTTGTCAATTTGTTGTAGCGTGCTGCTGGAGACTGAAACCCTCCTATTTTGCAACTTTACTTATCATTTTATACATATAGATCATTTGCCCTAGCGTATTTTTAAGCAAGGAATATGTTTGACACTACTTTGTTTTTCCAGCCCATGGAACAGAATCTTAAGCAGGGTAAAAATAATAAAATAGTAACAACAATAGTAATAATTATTAAAATGTGAGCAATAGTAATGGGAGTATATATCATTTATTGATGCTATAGTGATAATAACTGTATTAATAACAATCTTGGTAACAATAATAATAATTATAGTTATTGACTATCATGATAGTAACTGTCATTTATTACCCTCTTCTGTATCACGTGCTGCCTTAAGCACTTTGAATACATATCTTCATTAATCTTAGAGAGAGGGTAACATTTCCCTCTCGTAATGGAAGAAGAAATGAAAAGCAGTTTTTCCAGGGTCACAAAGATCTGTTACTTAAGTTGTTAAAATGATGCAATTTAAAGAATACAGGAATTCAACTTAACAACCATTTACTGAGCATCAACTTTACTCAGCACCATAGTATAGGTACTAACAGGGGATATAAAAATGAGTTAAGTAGTCTATACTTTCTAGGAGTTCAGAATGTTAACATTTTAATTCTAACTGTTGGGATATTTTTGTTTTTAGGTCAGCTCACTGGGATAATGGCAAAGTACTTAGAATACAGTATCATTAATTCAGGATATATCATCCTGTTAATAGGAAAATCTTCAGAAACAGCGCTTGATTTTATTAAAGAAGTCTTAAACTCAGTTACATATGAAGCAGGTTCAAAGGAGTTGATGAGCACAGAAAATTTCAGGTAGACATTATTATAGTTTGCAATTATATTCCCACATAGGGCTATTGCTTTGCACCCTCAATTGCCTTTTAATGGATTTGAGCATTGACATATGTATGTTTAGATGGCTTCCTGACTCCATTTAGAAAGTACAATTTAGTAAATTGGTTTGAATGTAGGACCAGTTACCAGTGCTGGCTAGTGTACCAAGTTTCTATGGGGACTGTTCATCTTTATGTATTACATATGCCCCAAAGAATGAATGAATGCATGTGTGGAGAATGTGTATAGGAAGCTAAGTAAGTTGTTGAAAACTATGGTGTTGTGTGCTGGACACCAATCTGGTATAATTGTTATTAATAGTAGAAGAAATTCGCCTTAGCTTTTTATGTACCTTAACTTCCTGGCAATTAATAATGCATGACACTGATGGAAATGTGGCTAAAACGTTGCGTCATTTAATATTAAGTCCACCGTATGTGCCTGAAACTTCCCCAGACAGTGGCGTGAAAATAGACATTTGTTTTTTCCTTATGTAAAAGAAACTTTCCAGAGATAGAAATTTCAGGACCAGTATGATCAAAGGTGCTAGGGACACAGCTTATTCTACTTTCCTTCTAAGTCATCCATGCCTCCCGTTCGCAAGGATACTTGGTGATCCAAAATGGCACCAGAGCTCCAGTCATTACACCTATATTCCAGCCAGTGAGAAAGAGGAAAGGACAAATGGAGGAACGGTGCATATTAGCTGGCTTGTAAGAGATCTTCCGGTTGCTGTCACTCACTTTCTTTTTATATCTCACTGGCAAGGATTTGGTTACATACCCATGCCTAGGTGCAGGGGAATCTGGGCAGCCATACAGCTAGCTTAAGGAAGAAGGGAGAATGGGTACTGGAGTGAGCAGCTAACAGTCTCTGCCACAGTGATATAGTAGGTGAAACAATAATTGAATAAAATCCCCCAAGTGTGCACGATGAATACAAAATTCACTTGCCAGTGGCTTTAAAATTTTTGGCGGGTGATGAAAGTGTTTTAGAATTAGATAGTGGTCGGGAAGAGGAGCCCAGATGGCCGAATAGGAACAGCTCCAGTCTACAGCTCCCAGCATGAGCGACGCAGAAGAAGGGTGATTTCTGCATTTCCATCTGAGGTAGCGGGTTCATCTCACTAAGGAGTGCCAGACAGTGGGCGCAGGTCAGTGGGTGAGCGCACTGTGCGCGAGCCGAAGCAGGGCGAGGCATTGCCTCACTTGGGAAGCACAAGGGGTCAGGGAGTTCCCTTTCCTAGTCAAAGAAAGGGGTGACAGACGGCACCTGGAAAATCGGGTCACTCCCACCCAAATACTGCGCTTTTCCGACGGGCTTAAAAAACGGCGCACCAGGAGATTATATCCTGCACCTGGCTCGGAGGGTCCTACACCCATGGAGTCTCGCTGATTGCTAGCACAGCAGTCTGAGATCAAACTGCAAGGCAGCAGCGAGGCTGGGGGAGGGGCGCCCGCCATTGCCCAGGCTTGCTTAGGTGAACAAAGCAGCCGGGAAGCTCGAACTGGGTGGAGCCCACCACAGCTCAAGGAGGCCTGCCTGCCTCTGTAGGCTCCACCTCTGGGGGCAGGGCACAGACAAACAAAAAGACAGCAGTAACCTCTGCAGACTTAAATGTCCCTGTCTGACAGCTTTGAAGAGAGCAGTGGTTCTCCCAGCACGCAGCTGTAGATCTGAGAACGGGCAGACTGCCTCCTCAAGTGGGTCCCTGACCCCTGACCCCCGAGCAGCCTAACTGGGAGGCACCCCCAAGCAGGGGCAGACTGACACCTCACATGGCCAGGTACTCCAACAGAACTGCAGCTGAGGGTCCTGTCTGTTGGAAGGAAAACTAACAAACAGAAAGGACATCCACACCAAAAACCCATTTGTACATCACCATCATCAAAGACCAAAAGTAGATAAAACCACAAAGATGGGGAAAAAACAGAGCAGAAAAACTGGAAACTCTAAAAAGCAGAGCGCCTCTCCTCCTCCAAAGGAACGCAGTTCCTCACCAGCAACAGAACAAAGCTGGACGGAGAATGACTTTGACGAGCTGAGAGAAGAAGGCTTCAGACAATCAAATTACTCCGAGCTACGGGAGGACATTCAAACCAAAGGCAAAGACGTTGAAAACTTTGAAAAAATTTAGAAGAATGTATAACTAGAATAACCAATACAGAGAAGTGCTTAAAGGAGCTGATGGAGCTGAAAACCAAGGCTCGAGAACTACGTGAAGAATGCAGAAGCCACAGGAGCCGATGCGATCAACTGGAAGAAAGGGTATCAGCGATGGAAGATGAAATGAATGAAATGAAGCGAGAAGGGAAGTTTAGAGAAAAAAGAATAAAAAGAAACGAGCGAAGCCTCCAAGAAATATGGGACTACGTGAAAAGACCAAATCTACGTCTGACTGGTGTACCTGAAAGTGACGGGGAGAATGGAACCAAGTGGGAAAACACTCTGCAGGATATTATCCAGGAGAACTTCCCCAATCTAGCAAGGCAGGCCAACATTCAGATTCAGAAAATACAGAGAACACCACAAAGATACTCCTCGAGAAGAGCAACTCCCAGACACATAATTGTCAGATTCACCAAAGTTGAAATGAAGGAAAAAATGTTAAGGGCAGCCAGAGAGAAAGGTGGGTTACCCTCAAAGGGAAGCCCATCAGACTAACAGCGGATCTCTCGGCAGAAACTCTACAAGCCAGAAGAGAGTGGGGACCAATATTCAACATTCTTAAAGAAAAGAATTTTCAACCCAGAATTTCATATCCAGCCAAACTAAGCTTCATAAGTGAAGGAGAAATAAAATCCTTTACAGACAAGCAAATGCTGAGAGATTTTGTCACCACCAGGCCTGCCCTAAAAGAGCTCCTGAAGGAAGCGCTAAACATGGAAAGGAACAACAAGTACCAGCCACTGCAAAATCATGCCAAATTGTAAAGACCATCGAGACTAGGAAGAAACTGCATCAACTAACAAGCAAAATAACCAGCTAACATCATAATGACAGGATCAAATTCACACATAACAATATTAACTTTAAATATAAATGGACTAAATGCTCCAATTAAAAGACACAGACTGGCAAATTGGATAAAGAGTCAAGACCCATCACTGTGCTGTATTCAGGAAACCCATCTCACGTGCAGAGACACACATAGGCTCAAAATAAAAGGATGGAGGAAGATCTACCAAGCAAATGGAAAACAAAAAAAGGCAGGGGTTGCAATCCTAGTCTCCGATAAAACAGACTTTAAGGCCGGGCACGGTGGCTCACGCCTGTAATCCCAGCACTTTGGGAGGCTGAGGCGGGCGGATCACGAGGTCAGGAGATCGAGACCATCCCGGCTAAAACGGTGAAACCCCGTCTCTACTAAAAATACAAAAAATTAGCCAGGCGTAGTGGCGGGCGCCTGTAGTCCCAGCTACTTGGGAGGCTGAGGCAGGAGAATGGCGTGAACCCGGGAGGCGGAGCTTGCAGTGAGCCAAGATCCCGCCACTGCACTCCAGCCTGGGTGACAGAGCGAGACTCCGTGTCAAAAAAAAAAAAAAAAAAAAAAATACCTAAGAATCCAACTTACCAGGGATGTGAAGGACCTCTTCAAGGAGAACTACAAACCACTGCTCAAGGAAATAAAAGAGGATACAAACAAATGGAAGAACATTCCATGCTCATGGGTAGGAAGAATCAATATCATGAAAATGGCCATACTGCCAAAGGTAATTTACAGATTCAATGCCATCCCCATCAAGCTACCAATGACTTTCTTCACAGAATTGGAAAAAACTACTTTAAACTTCATATGGAACCAAACAAGAGCCCGCATCGCCAAGTCAATCCTAAGGCAAAAGAACAAAGCTGGAGGCATCACACTACTTGACTTCAAACTATACTACAAGGCTACAGTAACCAAAACAGCATGGTACTGGTACCAAAACAGCGATATTGATCAATGGAACAGAACAGAGCCCTCAGAAATAACACCGCATATCTACAACTATCTGATCTTTGACAAACCTGACAAAAACAAGCAATGGGGAAAGGATTCCCTATTTAATAAATGGTGCTGGGAAAACTGGCTAGCCATATGTAGAAAGCTGAAACTGGATCCCTTCCTTACACCTTATACAAAAATCAATTCAAGATGGATTAAAGACTTAAATGTTAGACCTAAAACCATAAAAGCCCTAGAAGAAAACCTAGGCAACACCATTCAGGACATAGGCATGGGCAAGGACTTCATGTCTAAAACACCAAAAGCAATGGCAACAAAAGCCAAAATTGACAAATGGGATCTCATTAAACTAAAGAGCTTCTGCACAGCAAAAGAAATTACCATCAGAGTGAACAGGCAATCTACAAAATGGGAGAAAATTTTTGCAAGCTACTCATCTGACCAAGGGGTAATATCCAGAATCTACAATGAACTCAAACAAATTTACAAGAAAAAAACAAACAACCCGATCAAAAAGTGGGCGAAGGATATGAACAGACACTTCTCAAAAGAAGACATTTATGCAGCCAAAAAACACATGAAAAAATGCTCACCATCACTGGCCATCAGAGAAATGCAAATCAAAACCACAATGAGATACCATCTCACACCATTTAGAATGGCGATCATTAAAAAGTCAGGAAACAACAGGTGCTGGAGAGGATGTGGAGAAATAGGAACACTTTTACACTGTTGGTGGGACTGTAAACTAGTTCAACCCTTGTGGAAGTCAGTGTGGCGATTCCTCAGGGATCTAGAACTAGAAATACCATTTGACCCAGCCATCCCATTACTGGGTATATACCCAAAGGATTATAAATCATGCTGCTATAAAGACACATGCACACGTATGTTTATTGCGGCATTATTCACAATAGCAAAGACTTGGAGCCAACCCAAATGTCCAACAAAGATAGACTGGATTAAGAAAATGTGGCACATATACACCATGGAATACTATGCAGCCATAAAAAAATGATGAGTTCATGTCCTTTGTAGGGACATGGATGAAATTGGAAATCATCATTCTCAGTAAACTATTGCAAGAACAAAAAACCAAACACCGCATATTCTCACTCATAGGTGGGAATTGAGCTATGAGAACTCATGGACACAGGAAGGGGAACATCACACTCTGGGGCCTGTTGTGGTGTGGGGGGAGGGGGGAGGGATAGCATTGGGAGATATACGTAATGCTAGATGACGAGTTAGTGGGTGCAGCGCACCAGCATGTCACATGTATACATATGTAACAAACATGCACATTGTGCACAAGTACCCTAAAACTTAAAGTATAAAAAAAAAAAAAAGAAGAATTAGATAGTGGTCATGATTACACAATATACTAAAAACTACTTAATTGTATACCCTTTGAAGGATGACTTCTATGAATTACATGTTGATTTTTAAAAAGAATCCTGTGGTCTATACAGTTTAAGAAGGGAAAACAAAGACTCAAAAACTTTATTCTCTAGAATATAAAGACAATAGTTTAAAAAAGAGTGGAGGCTCTCACAACATGTCTTGTGGCTCTGTTTATATAAGGAGAAATGCTCCCACAGTAATACTTTATGCCTGATGCTGGCCTGTAAGGCAAAGTGAGAGATAAATGGTTGAACTGCAGAGTGGCAGGTAGTGATAATAATAGTGATGAACACAGCAGCAGCACACATTTATTATTTATCAGACACTAAGTTATGAATGTGACATAATGGCAGACATTTCAGATCATATCAGAAATAATCTTATGAGAAAACTGAGGCACGGAGTGATTAACCACCTTATCAAGGTTACATGCTTTGTAGGTAGTAGAATGCGGGTTACAGTTCGGGCAGCCTGATTCCACAGTCCATAGTCCTGATTGCTATACTGCACTATATGCTGCCTCTAAACACTGAAGCAGGAGCCATGGACTCTCATTTACAAGTAAGGAAACTGAAGCTGAACCAGCTTAAATATCTGGCTGTAATGATCATATAGCTAGTAATAAGGTGTTACTGGGTTCAAAACTAGACCTAGATGATTCTAAAGCCATTAATTCCTATATGTTATTGCCTGCCAGGTAATCAGACTTTCTCTTTCTGCCAAAAGTGTCCTCCCCAACTGATCTTTGATAAAGGAGCAAACGCAACACAGTGAAGTAAAGACAGTCTTTCAACAGATGGTGCTGGAACAACTGGATGTCCACATGCAAAAAATTAAATCTGGGCATAGACCTTACACCCTTCACAAAAATTAATTCAAAATGGATTATGGACCTAAACAGAAACACAAAACTAAAAAATTCTTAGAAGATAACATGGGAGAAAACCTAGATGACATTGGGTGTAGTGATGATGTTTTATATAGAACACCAAAGGCATGATTCACGAAATAATTGATAATCAAGACTTCACTATAACTAAAAACTTCTTCTTTGTAAAAGATAATGTCAAGATAACGAAAAGGCAAACCACAGACTGGGAGAAAGTATTTGCAGAAGACATCTGAAAAAGCATTATTATCTAAAATATACTGAACTTAAAACTCAACAATAAACAAACAATCCAGTTCAAAAATGGGCCAAAGACCTTAACAGATACCTCACCAAAGAAAATATACAGTTGGCAAATAAGCATATAAAAATATGCTATACATCGTATGTCACTAGGGGGATGCAAATTAAAACAACAGTGAGATACCACTACACATCTATTAGAATGGTCAAAATCCAAACGCTGACATCATGCCACTCTAACTTATGTGCAACATTCAGTAATTTATGTAAAAAAGAATAAACCAGTCTTTATTTACAGGTTGGATGACATTGGACGTAACTTTACTATTCTAATTACAGCTTGAAGATTCTTGTATGGATAACTTTTCTATTATTTTGAATTTGCACTGAGAAATTAAATTTTATATAGTTGAAACAAGCGCAAACTAATTAAATACCGTGACTAGGGAAGGAAGTTTCAACGGTAATTTAAATCTGAGACATTGTTTTTCAGATAGGGTTTGGTCATAGAATAAACTCACCCTGTTGTCTTATTTCCCAGTGCTGTCTAAAAGAGGGAGAGATTAGTTCATCATCCAACAGATAATTCCGAAATGTAACAAATGCTGACAGAAGTGACAAGCATTTCATTTTCTTTGAATGGATTCCAAAGTTCATTCCACTTGCTGCATATATTTCTTGTTCACCAGATAACTGCTCCAAAGAGTGTAAAGTCTGATAGCAATTGTGGTGTAAAATTGTTATGCACACTAAATACTTTACCTATAACCTCTGCCTCGTGTACCAAAGGAGGGATAAGGAGCTGAACTTCTCGTGCCTGGAAGAGGAAACTAACTTAAACAAGTTCCAGACTGGTGGCTGCAGTGAAGGAAATATCAATTTTTCTCAAGTTTATCTAGGATTATTCAAGTATTTCCTACACAAAACTTTTACAAGAATTTTTTTTTAATCACCAGTATCAAAATTTTCCATAGGCAGTTAAATACCTAAGAGGATATGATAAGAGGATAGGATTTTTGCTTTTTGGAGTGAGTAAAGAAGGGAAACTTCCGCTTTTATTTTGCCTGTTGTCATTGGAATTTCACCATAGCCAAGTGCCTTGTCCTGGCCTACTGCCATGAGTAGGCATTCTTTAGTAACTGAACATTAGCCAGAGATTCCCTCAATCCACTGAATAACAAACTCGTCTCATGTAGAAATGACAGAGAGTTGATCAGTATTTTCACAACGCATCTATAGAAGAAAAAAATATGAGGCAGCAATATTATTTCTTGAAAGTAGTGACCTCTGGCTTGAGATTTCATCCGTATATCTAAAAATCACGTATTAAATACCTGGACTATTCAGAACATGGCCAAACTCAGAAAGTAATTAAAATGGCAGTCATAAAAATCACTGTAACTAACTCACGAAAGGCCCTTTGGTCTCCTGTTTTGGGTCTATTGTTCTAACTTTGCATTTCATACTAAGCAGGTTGATTAATTGACACAGGTTGAATCTCCCTTCTCTGAAATGATTGGCACCAGAAGTCTTTTGTATTTTAGGGCATTTTGGATGTCAGATTTTCAGATTGGGGGTATTTAATCTCTATGGCTCAAAGATTTTAAAGTAGCCCCTATGATCCTCACCTCCTGGTCTTTATAGCCTGGTGTTCATAATCCTTTCCCTTGAGTGTGGGCAGAATCTGTGACTGCTTCTAACCAATAGAATATGGCAAAGACGACAGGATATTATTCCTCTGATGATGTTGTGTAAGACACCCTCATACTAGAAGATTTGCTTGAGAGTCTTGCTCTCCTTCCTACTGGCTTTGAAGAAGCCAGCTACCATGAGTTTTACAGCCACAGGCCATGAATTCTTCCAACAACCTGTAAACTAAGAAGTAAACACTTCCCCTGATGAGTCATCAGAGGAGAACCCAGCCCTTTCTGACACTTCTATTTCAGCCTTGCAAAGCACCTGGCCAAGCTATGCACACGGTCCTGACCCACAGAAACTGTGAATTTATAAATGTGTATTATTATTAGCCACTAAGTTTGTGGTAATTTGTTATGCAGCATGGAAAACTAACACAATTGGTTTCTTAAACTATGAAACAAAGACATTGCTACTTGAATCAGGTAGGTACTGATAGCAACGAGAGAAGAGACAACTGACAAGGAGACAAAATTATCGAGAAATTATTAAAAAAACACTAGCTGTCTAAATCAATTTGGTATAGAAATGAATAGCTTTATACATCAGTATAATCTTTGAAAGCATAATTGAGTAACAAATGTGTGCATAATTATGACTCCAAGTTTACAAGCATTGGTTATGTCATGTAAAATACATGCTGTACAAGAAGGTAGAGATCTATGTAATACAATTGGGAAAAAAGTTTCACAATTATTGATGTGGCGTTGGATGTGTTTGACCATGGAACATGGAATAGTTTGAGAATTTAAAATTTACTCTAGGATTAAATGAAGGCATCATAAAATAAGTATTTATGGTCAAAGAATTACATATCCCTTTCTCACAGTGTGATATGTCAAAATCCTTATAGAATAGTAAGTAAATATTTTAAGTTATGATAAAAGCTTGAGCTGAGAATTCAAGTACCACGTATTTCTGTGCAGCCTGGACAACCTGGCCTCTGCTTCCAAGGAGAAAATATTCCTGGAATTGTAAACAAGACAGAATGGCTAATGATGGTTGTGGACCATAGGCTGGTTTTTCCTTAGATTGTAAGGTATGAGAGGAAGAGATCTTCTTGGTCTGTGAAACAGCTAGTAAGGAAACAACTACTATTGAGTTCTTATTTTTAAAAAAGCACAAAACTTGAAGCATGTTTCTATAACCTTCCTATAAACTTGCTTGAGGTTTGCTTTTTTTGGTCTTCTCTGCATCTCTTGACATTTGAAGTAGGATGATATCATGTGAGTAAATGCTGGCAATGTCCTTGATCAGGAATTTGAAGCTTTGTTGCCTAGTCCCTACCCAAATACATCCTAGTCATGTCACCTGCCTGAGACTTCATTTTGCCGACTGTAGAATGGGTATGTAATGCCCCACCATAAAAGTAGACTTTGCATTTCAGTCCCTTTGACAGAACTGCTTAAAAAAATTATTGCAATATATTTTGTGATTGGTTCTGATTTAAAATAAAAGTTGTCTAACATGTTTAATGAGATCTGTAGGATGAAAAGTTTGAGCGGGATCTCTTTCTGTAATTTGGAATTGCATTTCACATTTTATAAAACACTTTTCCTTGCATCCAGTCACTTGATCTTCTTGGTCATTGGTCATGCTGGGAAATTATTATTATCATATTGTGCCAGCAGTGCCTTCTTATCACTGTACAACACACACACACACACACACACACACACATGCACAAACACACACAAACGTGAACATATATATTATTGACGATAAGGATGGGTTTGTCCAGTACCCCATAACTGGTAAATGGTGGAACCAGGACCCAGACTCAAGACTTTCAACTCTAAATCCCATGTCTAACTCTGGAATACTTCAGTGGAAAGATAGCACTAGTGGAAGTGGTCATCTCTTGAGAGCAAAATTGTTTCTGGGTCACCATGCTGCATTTTCATCAGCAACTGTCATGTGGTGTTCCCAGTAAGTAACTCACATTTGGAGTGATGCAGCCCCTCAGTCATGGGCCTAACTAACTTCTCTCTGTTGATGCAGAGTTCTAGGCACACAGGGAAGCCCTTGTCATTATCTTCTTTCTAGTAACTACTCTCCATGGAGTACAGTCCTTATAGATGATGGTGAAAACACAATGTTTATCATTGTTCCTGGAGCCCTGAAGCTAAATAACTCCTATTTAAGGTATTGTTACTCTGAAAAACTGCATCAGATTTTAAATGAATTTCAAAGGTGTAAACCTGACCTGTCCATAGGTTCACATTGGGACTATTCAGTCTTTAAATGATTTATTTGAAGATCTAAAGGGCTTAAATACCCAAATATAGTTAAGATCTTGATAAGATTGCACAGTAATGTGTATAATGTGGTCCCTGTTTTGGAATAAAAAGAAAGAAAAAAATTTAAATATGTGTATACATTTATATGATCATAGAGAAACATAAAAAAGGAAGCCAGATTATTTATTTGGGTACACAAGAAAAGTTGGAATTTATTGGCTTCTTTTTAATATATATTTGGACTTTCTTCCCTGTAACAAGGATAAAATAGTAAGTTTGTAATTTAAAATTATACAATAAATATGTAATAAGAAGGAAGGATGGCAGAAAAAAAGCAGGTAGGGAAGGAAGGAAAATGAAAGTTATTCTTACAGTTCACTTGGACTTCATTTGCTAATTCAGAGACATATTTTATCTTGTCACTAAGAAGGAAATAAAAATATGTCATGTATAATTATGCAATGTATATATCCCGTGTTTCAAAAAATTTATTTAAATGCCATTTATACATTTTTGTGATATCTATTGCTTATGTTACTGAAATTTAAGAACATGAGGTTTTGATGGGTACTGTAGAGTGTGAAAAATATGTGATAAAGCCATTTATTCATTCATCCTTAGAGCTAGGTACAGAGGGACGGAAGATAAACAAAATATCATGCCTGCTCCTTGAGGCACAAAAAAAGAGAAACCCTAGGAAAGCTGAGAGGCTGTTTAACACAGATGATAAGTAGTTGGTACACCCACCACCAGCACAACTCCTTTTCCCCCCAACACATACATTCATGTAAAATCTGGAGTTGATTGTGTTACTTTTTCATATGGTTCCAGAACATCCTTCAGAGTCCCACTCAACCCTACACACCGGCAGTCTTTAGGAATTAGTTGGCACTGGCATTCAGTCAGTAGTAGAATTGAGAAGTTCCTGGGATTTTGAATTCTATGGGGTCTTTCCTGTCTGGCTTATCCCTTGTGCTTCCTCAGTGGCAAATGAAAACATGAACTATGCAAGTGACCTTTGATGAGACGCTATCTGGGAACATAATTGTCTTCAAATAGGTATACTCTAGAAGATGAATTTACTTTTACTAGATGAGAAAGGATGCAAATAGGTGAAAATCACTGGAAGACAACTCTTAGAGGATTTTCAGATATATTTTTAAGGGAAAATAGTGCAATAATTAGAGCTGCGCCATTAGGTGGTGAGTTCTTTATTGACAAAGCTACTTGAATGGATTCTGGCAGCAGCAAACTGCCGGGGATATTAGAAAGGGAAGATTCATGGGTCAACCCTCCTTGGTGCTTTCACTATATTTTGTACATATTCTTTATGGTTTCTTTACTTTATTGTTTTGTAATTATCTGCTTATCTATTTTCCTATGTATTTGATGATGATGATTAATTTGCTGAACACCGTTATGGGCCAGGCAGCATTAAGGGCTGTTGGCATCGTTTTTCATTCGCTACAAGAGTGTGAAGCAGAAAGGATCTCCATTCAACTAGTGAGGAAACTGAGGCTTGGGAAGGTTAAATAGCTTGCTTAGGTCACACTGTTAGCACCTTTGTGCTCTTTATCGCTGTACAGGTTCCCAAGACAATTAGTGGCTGAGCAATGCTTGGATGAGAATGGTAATAGGCTTGAGTAAATGGGAAAAGCTGTATCCTAAGTAAATCGTTTATATTTCCCACCAGCTAATTGGAGACAGGCGTTAAGAGGAAGGAATTAGTTCCACTCCACAGTTGCCAGGCTGAGTTGTGTACTGCTTCCAACTGAGGTGGGAGCTGGGGAGTGAGGGGATGCATGAGAACATTGTTCTAATTGAGATCGTAGAGAAAATTTGCTCTCAAAATGGCTGTGGATAGTCACACTGCAAATTTGTTTGAGTTAATTTCATTAATTAAAAAACCTTAAGTATTAGATAAATTTTACCATTGTCATTCACAAAGCAGCAGACTTCCCAGTTGATCTAAGCTGGTTCTATAGAAGGCTATGTGGTGTCTGTATAAGATTTTTCTCAAGACAACTAGCAAGCAAATACAAATTCTTATATCAGGCCAGTTCCTACAAACCTAAGAAGCCTTTTTATATATTCCAGAGGGCAAGATTTAACGCCCTTTTCCACCCCCAATTTGGTAAAATTAAATAAATAAATAAAACTTAAAAGTTACAGATATGTCATAGTTTGAAATATGTATGCCCTTCTTATTCCTCATCCATGGAGCTCCCTGCAACTGTATAGGGTAAAAGCCTGATAGCAACTAATTTTTACTAGGAAATTAACTCCTTCAGCTCCCACCATTATACATGTCTTCCACTCTATTATAGAACTGTGTTTGGCAAGATATGTTTTTTTAAAAAAAACTCCTCAAGTTTCTTTCTTTTATGCTGGCCAGTTCTGTGGACTTTTAAACTCTCTGAGAACTACCTTTTGAAAGGTTTTTGTACTCTAGCATGTATTATTCAATAAGTCATTCTCAACAAGTAAGTCAAATAAGCATATTAGTCTGTGTGCTGCATTTTAAAAGAGCCTGTTAAACTGGCTGCTTTTTGGCAGTTTGCCCAATTAAAGGTTGTCATAATGAATCTATCTAGAACAAGAATGAGCCTGGTCAGGTTTCAAATGAAATGTATGTTTTTGTATAAGTAACCTCTAAGGGGATCCAGCACTGCACATTGCATAATGTGATACAATAGTCACAGAAGCTCAGAAATTCAGGGGAATGAAGTGTAGCATAGTCCTCCAACTATGTCATAGATTAATCAAAATGGTTTAGTGTCAGCTTTTGCTTTCAAATTCCAGCAACTAAGAAGACAGCTTATTTTCATAAGGATATCATGATGTGTGTGTGTATTTTAAGTGGAATGTTATATGAATGAGTTACGCTTGTCCAACCAACTCTTTTTAATCCTTGACCATTTAAATGGAAAATCCATCTAAGCTGACTTTATTCCATGGAAGTCACTTTTCAGTGGGAGAGATTAGGAACTGTCATTGTGACCAGCACACTCTTGTACTTTAAACAGAGGACTCTTATTATGCTTGTCTGAATTATGTCCTTTATTTTGTTAATCAGAGTGCCTATTTCAACCCGATTTCAAGCCAGGCTTTTATTGATTGTTCCCAAACTGGGAGATAATTCAGCTATTTACAAGATAAGCATTGATTTCTCGCACTGAGTCTAACAGCAGCTTTCTCCAAATTTGAACCCATTAAATAAATCCTGCTGAAGAATTATAACTGTTGTTTGAAATGTGACTAAAAATTTGACTAAAATAATTATTGCATATTAATTTTTAAGTATTAAGCTTATTGTTTGCTCCCGTCCATTTGATAACCATTCTCCTTGGCTTAACAAACTGCTGGTTCTTCCCATCAGTGTTCATAAATTCCATGACAAGACTGGAAAGACCAGTTCTGACCACCCACCAATAAGTGGCGCTATGTCTTTGCCATTCCAGAGAAGTGGGTTTTGCTCCATCGTACCCCTAGGGCACATGAACCTACTTGTTTTCTTGTTAACTGGCCTACAGGTGTCAAAATAATCCAAATTTCCACAAGAAATCTAGAATGATGTTACAAGTAAGCAGATGAAAATTATCCTCTCATAATTGTTTTTACAGTGGTAAAGGGAACAGCAGAGGACTCCAAAAGAAATATTTAGGTCATATATTTCTGCTGGCAGGTGCCAGTTGAGGACTGGGTTCAGACTGGAATGCTTATGAGCAGGCCTAGATAGTTTGTATGGGTGGCTGCTTGCCAGGCAGTCATCTGGTCCCGGGGATAGGGGTCAGGGAAAGAAGAAACTGGCTGCTTGACCTTCCCCTGTTCCTATGCACCCTCTGAAAAATTGCTAGTAGGAGCTTCTGTTGATGTGCTTCAGCACTCCAGAGCTCCTGTCTTGTCCAGCCACCCTCAACCCTTGAGACTGAGGAGGACAGGCCCTGCATTGACTGGGAGGCCCAGAGAGGAAACTGGGAGACTGATGGCATCTCAGGCGACAG
Source organism: Homo sapiens (assembly GCF_000001405.40). Taxonomy (NCBI): domain Eukaryota; kingdom Metazoa; phylum Chordata; class Mammalia; order Primates; family Hominidae; genus Homo; species Homo sapiens. Next base: position 18,191,426 of record NC_000009.12, read on the forward strand.
AGACCAACCACACTAAGCCACTTTCTTCTTCAATCCATGGAGGCATAAACGTCAGAGAAGGAACCTCACAAGTTCAGCCTACAGCCTAATGAAAGTGGCCTGTTACCTTGGACAGGACCTGAGCCCTTAGCTGAGCCTCAGATCCCTGAACCCAAGAAGGTTCCTTAAAGGCTCTGGCCTTGGCAAGAAGACTTCTTCCCTGAATCTAATTACCAGCTTAAAGTTCACAGTTGCCAGCATGGATGCCCAACTTCCACAAATTTCCAGGCCCGATTATTAGTATATCACTTAAGACTGCAAATAATTGTGGTAACTGGCATCAATTCTTAGAGGGCTTTGTGAAGCTTATTATTCCAGTGACTTGTCTTACTTTATTTCTCAAAATATTTTGTTATGCCCATATTCTCTCTCCATTTCATGAAGTTACAATACAACACTTGAAGGGAGCCTTTGAAAAAGAGAGTAATAAAAGGGATTCTTAGAATCTTGCAATGAAAACCTTATTGTTACTTTAATTATAATTGTGTAACTGGCCCTCTGATAAGTGCAATTAAGATCTTCTTGTAATGAAATACACTGGGTATGATCGTTACGGTGTTTGACATTGATGGTATTCTTTCCTAAAAGTGGTACATTTCATGGTCATTTTCTCATGTTGCTATCTTCATGCTTAAAATTAATTAAGTCCATTTAACTTTTCTAATAGGAATATTTGGATTCTTTGTTGCTGACCTTTCTACTCTTGCAATGACTTATTATATTTCATCCTTCTATGCTTCAATAAATCAATAATGGTGTTTCTATGAAAGATTTATTTCCTAAGACTTTGTTTGATATTGAAAACATCACCACTTAGAGCATGTCAGGAAGGCTAAATTCTAAATTAAGTTGCTCTCTGTCCTGGGCAAAATCTCCTTATATTTCAGTTTCTTCAAATCCCCTAAAGAAGTCATATCAAATTGACTCTCTAGATTATGATTATAAACAGATCAAATGTAACACAACTTGAGCCTATCATGGGGCTGTTCAGAAATTCGTCCTACCATATGTGTCTAATGTTGAGTGGAGTATTAAGCTTGCTGAACCTTTCCATGATTTAATTGTCAAAATGGCTTTGGAAAAAATTAATAATATTTTGGAAGCTACAGTATTCTCCAGTGTTTTTCCATGGTACTGAACCATGATTTTTGGAGAAGACATTTCTAAATTTCTTTTACTGGATAATTTTTGGATCACCTAGCAAATATTCAGTACTACACTTTTACTAGACTCAAAAAACATTTACAGTACTGTTTATAAGAAGAATTAATACAGAAAAAAGTGCAAAACCAAAAATATACAATGCATGGTTTTAGAGAATGAAAGAAAAGACTGGCCAACTTAGAGTATTTTCATATCCCTATTCCTAGTAGGTTTTATTTATGCAATATGCATTTATTGAGCAGCTTATTGCAAGCACTGTATGAAACATATACTTTAAAAGTAGATCATTTCTGCTTGCTGCAATTCCTATTTTAACTTTATATATAATATACACAGGAACTATCTAACCAGAGAAATAAACGATATAAGGAATACTTCAAAAAAAATGTGCTGAAGACATTAAGAGTGTGATGAGTGACCATGGAGTCAATGTATTAGATCTAGATTTCCTTTTCCAGGTTTTTTTGGTTGGGCTAAATAAATAAATAAAGCTGCTCTTGTTTGGGTTTCCCATTCCTCTCAGAACTCATCCCCAGCAGATTCAAATAACTTTCAAGATTGTATTCAAACTCAAGAATCACTACAGGTGTGTCAAGTCACTATAAGATTCAAATCGTTTTGAAAAGATGACCCTGGGAGTGGTGAGATCAACATAGAATGCAAGTTGACTAGGAATGGGGAAGAATCATATAGAAATTATGTTTATGGCAGCCACAGTGGGAGGACATGATAACATGGAATATGCAGGGGAAGAGGAGGAATCGGGAACAGTTACAGTAGGATCCATGGTGCCTCTGCTAGCAATGGAGCTGTTCAGAAAAGCTCCTTTGCCTTGGAAGAAGCCTTTCTCTCCTCTTCTGGCTCTCTCTCTCTTCCTCTGGTTCTCTCCCTCCCCACTCTTTTTCCTTTATCTATTAAATTTCAGAGATTGCTTTGATGTCCAAATCCAGATGTGAGGACATGAAAGGAAGAGAGGAAAATAGAATAAAAGAGATAATGGGGAAATGGAAGGAAAAATAGAACTACAATTTGTCACACTCATCAAAAGGGAAAGGACAGGCCGTCTGTTTGGACAGCCTACTCCCATAGCCACATAATTTTCCTTTCACTGGGTCCCTGTATGGACTTTGAGAAGCAGATCTCTCTATGCCATAAACCTAGGGTTTTTTGGGGCAAAGACTGACTGCCCTTTTCTTTATCCTCCCAGTCCCTTATTATTTGAATCCCTGTATTAAAATTGTTTGCACACACTCATGTTTTATCAGATTTTCTTGTAAGGATGGGCAAAATGCATTACAATTCTCCACTGTATACATATACTAATTTAGTGCTATTTAGTAGCTTCTTTTTGTTGTAGGTAATAATAACAACCATGATGATAGCAGAAAAGAGCTATTGAATTTGGCGGGGAGAAATGTGACTGATAAACCTACTGAAGAGGACAGTTGGAGTGATAGTGAAACTGTAACTGGAAAAAAAATAGGGTTCTGAGAAGTAGGATGTGTAGGAAGAAAAAAAGAAGAGCATTTGTTTGAACTCAGTGCTAAAGTGATGACCTTAGTCTCCTCCTTTGACCGTGGGGGGAGAAAAAAGCATATTAAACCCTGAGAATAAAAAAGTGGCTAAGTCAAGTTATTTTTTTAAATAAGAGATTTGAACATATTTACAGGCAGAAAGGAAGACACCAGTAGAGAAGACATTGAGAAAGTTGACAGGGGAACACATGATTATTATAGCAGAAAATGAAGAGGACAGAAATTTAACAAAAGCAACATGCACCCTCCAAGGGCACTGCTGTCTCTCTCTGACCCCTGTATCTCATGGTCCCCTGCGCTGGTCCTCCTAGTTGTGCCAGTAACAATGTTAACCCGTCTTGCTTTCCCATTCCAGCTTGATGAAGTCATAGAAAGCATTCTCTTCAGGGAGAATGAGTTGAGATTCCTAAGAGCAAGAATCTTGCTTTCTTGCTGCAGAGGTCACCCTCCAGCATCTTTTTCTTCTTGCTTTTTCAACAGTCCCAGCAGTGTATATGCCTCGTGGCCCAGGGTCTAGGACTGTACAAATTGATATTTGTAGAACCCCAGTGCTGGAACCAAAATGGCAGAGGAGAAGCAGTGCTCCCCTGTCCTGCTTCTCTTCTTTTTCCTCCTCCTTCCCTCAAGCCTGCCTAGACTTTCTGTACACCCACATTCTCCAAGTTGTCCCGCCTTTATTCCTGGCCAAGTCTGCATTTGCTGTGACTATCCTTTGATTAAGGTACTTGACACCAAGGAGTGGGTGACACACAAGATACATCTTTTCAGAAGTTATTAGCTTCTCCAAAAAATGGCATTGCTACCTCTTCATAATGCCCAGTTTAAGAATGCATGAAAGACTAGTAATCAGTCCTTGTTTCATAATAGTTCCTATAAGATGAAAGGCTTAAATTAAATGATATATGGGAACCCTTAATATGGTACCTGTCATACAGTAAGCACTCAATAAATGTTGGCTGTTATTATTTATATTGTTTGTTTTGAGGAATGAGGGGTCACAGCCACCAGTGTCCATCAAACAGTAAAATTCGTAGTCAGTTCACTAGTTCTTCAATGGAAGTGGTTCTACCCTTGCGCAGCCTGTGTGTAGTCCTTTCTGTGGGAACAGACTATCCAATTGCTCTAGTGGTGTATCCTCCAATGCTTTTGGTGGCAAGGATCAAAACTGCCTCCGGGAAGGCCATCTGTGTGCCAGGCTACATGTTAGGCACTTTTATGATTTTATTTTATCCTCCTAACATCCTAAAAGACAGGTTATTGTAGTCTTATCTTTCTTATGAGGAGCTAGGGTCAAGGCTAAGTTCCATGCTTGTAAGCAGCAGGACTGGGAACAAACACAAGTTGTCTGACTCCACGTCTCATGCTGTTTCCAGGGACATAGTCAAAAGTTTTTTAAAAATTATTCTCTTTGAAGAAGTAATGATACATTTGCAAGGAGACATTTCTTCTAGTGGTGTTTTCTTTGGCCTTATAATCTGAAAAGAGCTGGTACTGGTTGACCTTTGATAGTTAAATCCATCACTGTAAAGCAATTTGTTTACAAGCAAATGCCATCAGCCATAAGCCCTATTGGTAATGGACATAAGACATTAGTGTCACACTTGAAAACTTGTTTATCTCATGGCCCTTTTAAGTGACTTCTGTTTACTTTGCTAAAATTGTAGTCATATGTTCATTTGGTAAGATGTTTAGCAGATTTTTAATTAGATGGCCATAGTGAGTGATTTCGTCCACACATTTTTCTCTTTTTTTGGAAATTATTTTAGCTGATTCACGTCCTGTGAAAAGTTAAAAACTGTATTTTTGAAACTTAAAAGAAAAAAAACAATTCATACATCACTTCCTATTTTCTGTTAGGACTGGTCAAATAAGTTTGTATATTTTAGAACATTGTGCCATTCCACGGGTGGACGTTTTGTAACACAGCTTCATTCCAGGGACGTTGCCATTCATCTACTACATAGAGCTTCAGTTTGTGGTACCTTATATGAAGTTAGAGAGGTCTCCAGATTTGCATTCCCCTTTCTTCCTACCCACTCCTAAACAAACTGCTAAGATAAATCCATTTGGCTGGGAATTAGATGAGCTACTGATGTGAATAATTTATAAAATAACATGAGTTTATTTGCATTTTAAGGCATACGTGTATGTGTGTGTGTGTGTGTTTATTCCTTACCTCATCGTAAAAGAGGAGTCCATGAAAGTTGTAGTTCTGGAAAACTTAGCTCAGAGATCTTAATGGAATAAATATATTCAGGCTTAATTGTAAAAATGTGGCTGTTGCAGCCAACCAACCAGAGTAGATGGGCCTCCTCCGGGATTCCTTGATGAAATTTGGGAAAAACTACCTGGTACGGCAGGGATGCAGAGAGCCTGAGCTTGGCCTAATCTCTGCTGGCCTTTTCAGCTTTTGATAGTCTCAGTAGATGAGGATGGCTTTATTTGGGGGTGCTCTTCAAACCCGATCATCTATACTCAACTTTTCAAGTTCTTATTTTCTTCCAAATCCTGATCACAGCCTCCAGTCTCCATGAATCTGATTCCGTGAATCTCTCCATTCTCATCTCACACCTCTCACTCCTTGCTTACTAACCCTAGTCCTTCAGTTCCTCACACCAAACTCCTTTGCACCTTAGGGACTTTGCCCAAGCTGTTCCCTCAGCCTGAATTGCTCTCTATTCCTGCCCTCAACCTGACCAGCTTCTTCATGCCCTCAGGCTTCAGCACAAGTGTCCCCTCCTCAAAGAAGCCTTCCAGAACTGTACTACCTAGAGTAGGCCCCTATAGCTTCACTCCCTCACACACATGCTAATTCTCTATCTTTGTCTCATGTTCGTTTCCTTCAAAGTGCTTTTAACACATCTGGCAACTGCATTTATCTGATTGTATACTTTTGTTTTCCTCTTTTTCTTCTACCAGTGAAAGCTAGGAAAGTAGAGATTGTGACTGTCTTATTCAGAGTAATGACTGAGTAAGCAAATGAATGAGTGAAGGAAGAAAATGCCTTTAAAAGTACGGCTTCTTTAAAGTAGTTTTTTCCAATTCTGTGAAGAAAGGCATTGGTAGCTTGATGGGGATGGCATTGAATCTGTAAATTACCTTGGGCAGTATGGCCATTTTCACAAGACTGATTCTTCCAACCCATGAGCATGGAATGTTCTTCCATTTGTTTGTATCCTCTTTTATTTCCTTGAGCAGTGGTTTGTAGTTCTCCTTGAAGAGGTCCTTCACATCCCTTGTAAGTTGGATTCCTAGGTATTTTATTCTCTTTGAAGCAATTGTGAGTGGGAGTTCACTCATGATTTGGCTCTCTGTTTGTGTGTTGTTGGTGTATAAGAATGCTTGTGATTTTTGTACATTGATTTTGTATCCTGAGACTTTGCTGAAGTTGCTTATCAGCTTAAGGAGATTTTGGGCTGAGACAATGCGGTTTTCTAGATATACAATCATGTCGTCTGCAAACAGGGACAATTTGACTTCCTCTTTTCCTAATTGAATACCCTTTATTTCCTTCTCCTGCCTAATTGCCCTGGCCAGAACTTCCAACACTATGTTGAATAGGAGTGGTGAGAGAGGGCATCCCTGTCTTGTGCCAGTTTTCAAAGGGAAATACCAAAAAAGAGCCCGCATCGCCAAGTCAATCCTAAGGCAAAAGAACAAAGCTGGAGGCATCACACTACCTGACTTCAAACTATACTACAAGGCTACAGTAACGAAGACAGCATGGTACTGGTACCAAAACAGAGATATAGATCAATGGAACAGAACAGAGCCCTCAGAAATAATGCCGCATATCTACAACGATCTGATCTTTGACAAACCTGAGAAAAACAAGCAATGGGGAAAGGATTCCCTATTTAATGAATGGTGCTGGGAAAACTGGCTAGCCATATGTAGAAAGCTGAAATTGGATCCCTTCCTTACACCTTATACAAAAATCAATTCAAGATGGATTGAAGGCTTAAACGTTAGACCTAAAACCATAAAAACCCTAGAAGAAAACCTAGGCATTACCATTCAGGACATAGGCATGGGCAAGGACTTCATGTCTAAAACACCAAAAGCAATGGCAACAAAAGCCAAAATTGACAAATGGGATCTCATTAAACTAAAGAGCTTCTGCACAGCAAAAGAAACTACCATCAGAGTGAACAGGCAACCTACAAAATGGGAGAAAATTTTCGCAACCTACTCATCTGACAAAGGGCTAATATCCAGAATCTACAATGAACTCCAACAAATTTACAAGAAAAAAACAAACAACCCCATCAAAAAGTGGGCGAAGGACATGAACAGACACTTCTCAAAAGGAGACATTTATGCAGCCAAAAAACACATGAAAAAATGCTCATCATCACTGGCCATCAGAGAAATGCAAATCAAAACCACAATGAGATACCATCTCACACCAGTTAGAATGGCAGTCATTAAAAAGTCAGGAAACAACAGGTGCTGGAGAGGATGTGGAGAAATAGGAACACTTTTACACTGTTGGTGGGACTGTAAACTAGTTCAACCATTGTGGAAGTCAGTGTGGCGATTCCTCAGGGATCTAGAACTGGAAATACCATTTGACCCAGCCATCCCATTACTGGGTATATACCCAAAGGACTATAAATCATGCTGCTATAAAGACACATGCACACGTATGTTTATTGCGGCATTATTCACAACAGCAAAGACTTGGAACCAACCCAAATGTCCAACAATGATAGACTGGATTAAGAAAATGTGGCACATATACACCATGGAATACTATGCAGCCATAAAAAATGATGAGTTCATGTCCTTTGCAGGGACATGGATGACATTGGAAATCATCATTCTCAGTAAACTATCGCAAGAACAAAAAACCAAACACCGCATATTCTCACTCATAGGTGGGAATTGAACAATGAGAACACATGGACACAGGAAGGGGAACATCACACTCTGGGGACTGTTGTGGGGTCGGGGGAGGCGGGAGGGATAGCATTGGAAGATATACCTAATGCTAGATGACGAGTTAGTGGGTGCAGTGCACCAGCATGGCACATGTATACATATGTAACTAACCTGCACAATGTGCACATGTACCCTAAAACTTAAAGTGTAATAATAATAAAAAAAGAAAAAAAGTACGGCTTCTCTGTTAGGATAGTCTCACTTTCCCTAGGAATTGAAATATGCAGGTCAGTGTGTATTTTGAAAATAAAAATAAAAAATGAATATATTATTGAAATAATGAACCCATCAAATATAAGACAATTGATCACTAAATGGAGCAATGCATTTTCCTTCCATATTTATTCAGAAGTGTTAGCATTTTCACAAGTAATATAGGGCAATGAAAGAAAAAACAATCTTTTTGAAGTGACCTAAGATTATGAAGTTATTTGTATTTTGACAGTTTTATCATTTTCAACTTAAATGAAGCTTTCAATAGCTCTTAATATGTAAAAGTTATACCTCCTGTGGCTTAAAGTCCAAAGCTGGGTAGTGTCTTTTTTCTGGAGAAAATGTAGCATTAAATAAGCTGATGCTGGTGGATATATTTGAGTTTTTTATTTAATTGAGTTTTAGCACATAGAGATATATGCTGATCCTCCAAGGTAGTTTGGTACAGGATGCAAGATTTATAAAATTCTTCATTATTGGTAAAATGTGTGTGCTAAGTAAGGATCAAACTGTTGTTATAAATTCTTTGAAAATAAATTTCACAATACAAATGGTTCATAAACTTGCTAAATTTTTTTTCCTGTTAGATTTGTTATCTGCAGTGTGGTCATTAGTCTTATATAAATATATGAATATTGTCTCCAAGCTAATTATAGCTTGTCTGATTATAATGAAATGATCTGATGGCTCATAATAATGATGGCTCTTAGCTAAACTTCCCCAAAGGCATTATTACTCCTGTTGAGAGAGAAGAGGAACCCAAAATAAAACAACTCAAGTAAACTTCAGGACTATGTAATATACCAAGTGAATACTTAAAAAAATGAATTTGGCTAGGCACAGTGGTTCAGACCTGTAATCCCAGCATTTCGGGAGGCTGAAGCTGGAAGATCACTTGAGATCAAGAGTTTGAGATCAGCCTAGGCAAAATAGCGAGACACTATCTCTATTAAAAAAAAAAAATTTGTACACAAGTCAGATAATATAATTTTGTTTTTTAATGTTTTGCTTTGATTATTATACTCTTATTCTATACTCATTTGATTCTCTTTTGGAACTGTATAAATTCTTTTCCATTGGAAATACCAAAGGGATTATTATGCTTGATTTTGAAGAGATGATTACACATGGTGTTTAAAAACTTCAGGCATCATTACATAACCCAAACACAGCTATACACAGATAATAAACGCATACATTTTTCTTAGTCTATACTATCATTTAACTTAAAGTTGCAAACATGGGTTATTATATGCATCCTTTGACTTTGAATGGCTGCCATAATTGTTTACTGAGGTAATATACCTTACCTCTCCTGCTTTTCTCTTTAGGGAAACCTTGTGACGTATAAAGTAATGTAAATTAATAGAGTACTGATTCAGAGCACTTTCCAAATGAGTTATGTTTAAGCTGAAAATTAATAAGTTTAATGTATATAAAATAAAATACAGGCAAAAATAAAAAACATACCTCTTTTTCTTCTTCATGTGATCCGAGTAACAGAATACAAGGATAAACAAAATAGGATAACTAATTACAAAGAAAAAGTCATGATGACCTCTTTCAGTATACTTTTTTGCAGAGATAAACATAGTGGCCCTCAGACTCATGTAGCTTGCATGGATTCAAGACAAAAGAATATCTTTAATGCTTGAGTTCTAGTCTTCACCTCTGCAAATCTTTCTCAACAGTGAGGAATGGTATCAAGTTATGAAATATTCAATCTGGAAAAATTCCTGATTGGGTCCCTTTGAAAATTCATCTATTTTGCTTGGTGTATTAAAACTTAAGATGTCAGTTTTTTACTGAAAGCATAGACAGTTTATCAAACAGTGTTTTGGAGTTTGAGGGAAGAAATTGATTTCCCACAGAGAGTGAAATTTGGTCCAGAAATGAATACAGCACATTGACTTTGTTAAGGAAATGTTTGCCTGTATCCATTTGGGAATCTCTTTGAGCAATAAATTTGATGATTCTAGCCATGTACCTTCCAGTATGTCTACTGTATTGGATGATGTCGAGTTATCTTTGATTAAGAAGAGCATGCTTTGTTATGCTAAATTTCTTTTTTATCATTATTCACTTATTTAGTTACTTTCATATAGTTTTTCTGATATTTTCTCACTAATAATAAGAGTTAACTTGGATTTTGCCATATATTCTTGGAAAGTTCCTAAGAACATTTTTTATTTTACTTTTTCTGTGCCCCACCTTCCCTACTATACAATATTACGGCCTTAGAAGGAGCAATGGGTTAAAAAACTTTTCATCTTGTTTTATTGCGATAAGAGCAGGAATTTAGGAGAATACCTCAGGGCTTTGTAAATATAAAACTAATAAAAGAACAAGAATAAAACCATTTTACTCTGCTCTCATTCTTATAGTGTAATATGTAAGAGCATGGGGTTTAGGATATAAAAGAACCTCAATTTGAATCCTGCCTCTGCAACTTATTGTTTGTATGTCTTTGAATATGTTATCAAACCTATTAACCCTTAGTTTCTCCATCTGCAACATAGGAATGATAATGCCTATATCATTGTTTTGCTTTGATCATTCATTGTGGATGATATGTATAAAACACTTAGAAATACCTGTGTAATAATTTATCACCACTGAATTTGGCCTTTTTCTCAAATATCATGCATTAAATTGACATACTTTCTAAATACACTATTTTATAAGAGAATAATTCAATATGATTTGCTGTTACCATATTCAAGATATACAGATTGTGATTGTTGGGTAATGTGCAGTGATAATGTACTTATTATGGTAACTGAAATAAAGTGGGTTGTAAACAAGTGTTAAAAATCAGTGCATTTCCCAGACAAACACAAAGTCACAGGGGAAAAATCGTTAGTGTAAAGTCAGAAAGAACTGGAGTAAAATTTTGCTTCCAACATATTAAAGCTGTGTGACATAAAGAAATTTCAACAGATTTCTTGATTTCTTCAGTTTGAAAGAACAACAACAAAACAAGCTATATAATATTCAAACAATTGTTTTAAAGATAATTTATGATAAAAACCAAAAGTATTATTTGAGACTTCATTCAGACAGTAGTTAATGTTCTTTCAATACGTGTGCTCAATCTTCAGTGGAGCTGGTACATAGTCCTACAAATGATGATCCCAGAAACATTTTAATTCTCTTTCAAGTTGGTCACATTCTTGGACTTTATTTATTACTTAAAGACTCTCTGCCCACTGGCATGTTATTCTGTCTCCCACACTTCTCTTCCAGCCCAACCTGTAGTTACTCCCTCATCTTCCAAGAGCCACGTGAAGGCTTCTCTGACTTCCGGCAAAATGAAGACTATGCATCCGTTGCACCCTGAACACACCTCTATCCTAGCACCTGTAACACTTCCGTCCCCTTATTTATCTGCATATATGCTTCTCTCTTCAAGGCTAAATGCACTCCTTGGAGGCCAGGATAGTGTCTTCTTTGTTTTTTTCATCTCCAGTTTCTGTCTTCAGAATAGACACAACCTTAGGTTGAGTGGGTTGAGTGGATGGAGAGATGGATAAGAGAAATAAACAGATTGTCAGATGACCTCAAGAGCTCTTTCCAGAGTGCTCTTTCCAGAGCTAACTACAGAAAGTAGTTAGCTGTAACCAGGGATGCTACCTCTTAGCAGGAGAGATTAGCCACAAACTCAATTCTCATGGGCCACAAATCATCTGAAGACTGGAACTCCCGAGGTCCCCAAGTGTCAGGTAGCCACCTTTCCCAGCTCTTTCCTGACCAGGTTATACCCAAGTTCAGACTTTGATCCCAAAGCTGTCCATGAATTGCACAAAGGCCGTGCTCATGCTCTGTTTATACAAAGAGGACAGTAAGCTCTGCTGGAGGCTCCCTGCTGAAGTCTAGCACCATATTTCATCCAGCTGCACTCTAGCCCTAGGATGCCTCTAATAGGATGCTGAGAGAACCAGGGACTATATTCACCGGCTGACGCTTCTGCCCAGACATGAGTTCCAGGCTGCACCATGTGATAGTGTTGGTGCTTCCTCCAAGTCCCTTTAACTAAAAATGGAAAAGTTGATTTGACAAAGTCATATTAAGTCCATATTAAATCTATTAAGTGATAATTAAAGAATACAGGGTCTATGTAATAGAGGAGATTGACTAGTATAGAAAGGCAGGCAGATAACTGTACCAAAAAGCCTAGGCTCAGGATAGATACTAGATCAGAAAAGAAAGTTGAGCACTGTGTGTCCTGAAACACAAGGTCCTAGAGTTAAGCTGTCAAGATAATAAAACATAGTTGATTATATAGTTTATGTGCATGCATATGTATTCACAAAGGATTTGAGGCACCTCACAAGTTCACATATAATAAGACAGAAAATGTGAAATAATAGAAAATCAAGGACAGGGAAAATACAGACTATCTGGAAAGGTAAGACTGGAGGGAGTGAGAAATGAAGGTATGTAAGCCACAGGATTAGCTGTGGTTAGTGCAAGTATGGCTCCGATTTGGCCTAAACTTCACACATAAACACCGTCAGTGGAAGAATCTGGCCTAAAAGGAGATTTTGTCCTACATTTCAGTGTTGAAATGGAGTTGAGAAGGAAAGAGGACCTCTGTGTTCTCCATGATTGTCACATTAGCAAAAGAAACACAGGTAATTTACTGGGGAGAGGGGAGAAGAAAGAAGCAGTGAAACTTACTGAGTCAGAAGTCTGTCATCTTGAGCAGGGCGCTAAGTATCACCTCCGATTCTCTTCTTAAGAACATATCATAAAACTAATGATACTATTTATTATCTACTGTGGGCTAGCTGCTCTTTGGACATTTTTCATTTATTACTTAACCCTATGTGATTGATATGGTTAGGCTTTGTGTCCCCATCCAAATCTCATCTTGAATTATAATCCCCATGTGTTAAGGGAGAGACCAGGTGGAGGTAATTGGATCATGGGGGTGGTTTCCCTCATGCTGTTCTCCTGATAGTGAGTGAATTTCTCATGAAATCTGATGGTTATATAGGTGGCTCTTTCCCCTTCACTTGGCACTTCTCCTTCCTGCCACCTTGTGAAGAAGGTGCCTTACTTCCACTTTGCCTTCCACCATGATTGTAAGTTTCTTGAGGCCTCTCCAGCCATGCTGAACTGTGAGTCTATTAAAGCTCTTTCCCTTATAAATTACCCAGTCTTGGGCAGTTCTTCATAGTAGTATGAAAACATACTAATACAGTGATAGATATAGTATGCACTTGAGAAATTTGAGAAGTCCAGTGACTTTCATGCCCAGCATGTTTATTGACACAGGTTGGTAAGACCCCTAAACCACCCTGCTCACTATAATACCAAACAAAAAAGTTCCTTCAATCATCTGAAGACTGGTTGCCAGCAGCCTTATAGTGTTCAGAATGATGTGTGTGAGTTTAACCAGAAATTTACAAGGGAGGGGAATCTATTGGCTATAGTCAATTAGAGGCTATCCAAAGGCAGCAATCTGGTTGCCCTGGGCAATAACTGTAATGTAAGATTTGAGAAGGTGCATCTACTCAGACCTGTTTGTTTGTTCTAGAATAAGCTTTTGAAAACATCTTTGTTCATTTATATCCACTGTATTATGGCATTCGTAGGGAGTAATACATTTGATTGAGTTGATTTTAGAGTTGGGCATTACAACAGACAAAATGCCACCAGTGCTATCATACCAAAATAATCTTTCTCAAGGTCTCACAATCTGAGGAAGAGTGGAACCAAATCCACAGTGGTGGAGCCACCAGGATAAGTTCTGGACATGCCTTGTGTCTCCTATCAAGGCTCTCTTCCAAGCAGAAACCAAGCTCAACCTATTTTATTAATGAGATCTGACAGAATTATTGCCTAGGGTGGCACATACACATTGATTTTACTATGTTAAAACAATTAAAAAGCCATCAAAAGACTTTTAGCATGACTCATAATTATATACACTATAATGCTCTTAGAAATAGTTTACCAATTTAATTGAATTCTAAGAGAAGAGAAGATCTAAGAGAAGTGAAAATGAAAATACACAATAACATCTTAGGATATGATTTTATAATTCCCAGAATTTGCATTTCCAAGACAAACTTATCTTTTATGGTTATCATTACTTTAAAATAAATACAGTAATGGATTTATGTTCTCCCTTTGTTTTGAGTAAATCTGGGAAAAAAAAACGAAAAGTTTTAATGTTTCTTATTATCTCTACTGAGCTTAATTATATTGTTAACCTTGAGAAAACTGACACACAGAGGGTCAGGGAACATGATCAAGGTTCCACAGGCGAAAAGCAAGCTAGGTCTCTCTGGTTCCAAAAACCTATGCTCTTCCTGTACTTCATGATGTTCTCTCCTGTGAATTCATTCATATTTCCTGGAGCAAGAAGATACTAGTATTCTCTCCCAAACTCATAGTCTCATGAGATTTAGGTTAAAGAGGCTTCTTCATAAAAGCCACGTACGGCCAGGCACGGTGGCTCATGCCTGTAATCCCAAGACGTTGTGAGGCTGAGGTGAGTGGATCACCTGAGGTCAGGAGTTCGAGACCAGCCTGGGCAACATGGTGAAACCCCATCTCTACTAAAAATACAAAAATTAGCCAGGCATGATGGCATGCGCCTGTAATCCCAGCTACTTGGGAGGCTGAGGCAGGGGAATCACTTGAAACCGGGAGACAGAGTTTGCAGTGAGCTGAGATCACGTCATTGCACCTCACCCTGGGCAACAAAGTGAGACTCCATCTCAAAAAAAAAAAAAAAAAAAAAAAAAAAAAAAAGCAGCCAAGAACCTAAATTTTGACATGGAAAATTCCCATCATGAGTTTTATGTTATCTTATTTTTCAATATGGATCATCTTTTCATTGCAGAAGCCCAAAGTTGGAACTTCCAGCGAGGAAGGTGTTCCTTAGAAGCTGATGTATTTTTTTGTGTGTGTGTCCTTGTTCCTTGCCTTCTTTGATTTGAGGAATTTGCCAGGTACACTATTTGATTTATATTCTTAGAGCAGTACATGTGATTGACGTGGAGCCCAGGGAGCTGGGTGTACTAGAGCAGCATGTCTGCTGCTCCCAGGTCCTGCGTTGCCCTCTCCCTATCTCAAATTTCCTTCACTCCTTTCTCTTTAATGAAGCTATCAGCAAAAACCTTCTTTTTTGTTCTCTATTGACTTCATTGAGTTCTCATGACCCCTACTGTGTGTTACTATTATAGTTTCTAATTATTTTATGCTGTGTCCCTCTCATCTTCACACTCCTGAAACACTGAGCAGACTTCTAGCCCTACATTAACCAGATCATGTCAAAATTATGTTACCACATCATTTTAAGCTCTCTGTAAGCTGTTTTATCCTTTCTCTATCTTTTAGGACTTAAAAAAATATTTGTTGATGCTTCTTTGAGAATATGAATTCCTTATAAACAGAAGTCATAATTACTTATTTTGCGTTCCTGACTTTTTCTTAGCTAGTACTTGGCCGTGGAGTTGATCCCTAAATTATCTAGAAATCTCTTGACCCGGACAGAATTGAAATCTGTCTCCTACGTGACCAGCAAGCAAGGAAAGAAAGTGGAGTGGGCTTGGCACGGTGGCTCACATCTGCTAATCCCAGCACTTTGAGAGGCCGAGGTGGGTGAATCACCTGAGGTCAGGAGTTTGAGATCAGCCTGGCCAACATGGTGAAACCCCGTCTCTACTAAAAATACAAAAATTAGCTGGGCGTCGTGGTGCATGCCTGTAATCCCAGCTACTCAGGAGGCTCAGGTAGGAGAATCGCTGGAACCTGGGAGGCAGAGATTGCAGTGAGCTGAGATCCCACCATTGTACTCCAGCCTGGGTGATAAGAGTGAAACTCCATCTCAAAGAAAAAAAAGAAAAAAGAAAGTGGAGTAAATGGAAGGGAAAGGAAGAAGGTAGGAATGAGAGAGAGGAAAAAGGAAGAGAGGAAAGAAGAAAAGAATAAAAGATTACAAGAATATTATAATGGCAATAGCTAACAATTATTGGGCACTTGTGTGATTTGTCAGACAGTACGTCTTATAATATGGTATCTCATTTCATGCTCTCAAAAAACCCTAAGCCTTAGGTTCAGTAACTTGCCTAAAATCACCCATCCAGTTAGTGACCAAACTGGGATTATAACTCAAGTCTACTGGCTAATCAATGGTGCTTGGTCAAATAGTTAGGTACAACTCATTTTAACAATAACTAATATGTTTAAATATGCATCAGACTGAAGTCCTGCATAATTTTAACATTGCATGATTCTCCTACAATAGAAGATAAGAAGTTAAACTCTTTAATGCAGATGAAAAGGTGAATCCATGGTCCGATGCTAGTCATTTTAGGCGCCCTTGTAACATGCGGTTCATATGTTAACTTTCGACGTGGCCTCATCTCTACTTTCTATTTTCTGTTTTTCAACCTCTTGGAAAATTTTTATTTGGTTTATGTATTTGTATAAGCGGGTCTCAGGTCCTTTTGAAACAATACAGAGTGTTAAAAAAGAAAGCAAGATAGGATAAATAATTATTGCACAATTTAGTCCTAAGAGGATATAAATATAGAGTACTAAAAAAAAACAAGATAGAATAAGTAAATATTGCATGATTTGGCTCTAGAGAGAAGCACTGTCTTGTATGTCAGGAGCGTAGGTTTTGGAAGTTCACAGACAGCACCTGGGAACCAGGTGAATGTCAGTTTTACCACTTGCTGTGTGTCTTTGGATAAACTGATGAACCACTCAGAGTCTCAGGTTTTCTTGCCTATGAAATGGAGACAGTGATGTACATTTTGTTAGGGGTACAAAAATAGTTGAAAACGCTTAGTCCAGTATCTTACATCTAGTAGGTGCTCACTAAGTGGCAGCTGCTATTATTTACAATAAATAAAAATAGAAAGGAATGTAACTCCTTGAAATATAACATGTACTTATTATCCCAGGTTAGAAAGAGGCTATGAGTCCCAAGTGGCAGTTTCTCTGTGTCTTTGGATAGGAAGCTGTGAAATTGCTCAACAAAATAAACACAAGGGAACTTTCTGACCCCTGGTGGCAGGATTCCTGAGGCGAGTCTGGGCATTGATGCTGGGAAATTCTTACTGAAGTTTGTGAGTTGCACCTGCAGCCCATGGATCATCAGATACACGGCAACCAATGAGTGTCCAAGCAGTCATCTGGGTCCTCAGGGCAAATGTCTTACTTTGCTAAGCTGAGATTAGAAGAAATTGATTTTACTTGGAAGACACCAGGCACAGTTTTAAGCGCTTCATAAATATTTTAGTCCTTATGACAATGCTATCAGTTAGGGGATATTATTATCCCCAATTTGAGGATAGTGAACCAGGCATAGAGGGGATAAGTGATCTGACTGAGAGCACATAGCCAGCAAGTGTGGAGTTGGGACTGTATCCCAGGCAGTGTGGACTTTTTTATTGCAATAATGAAGAAAATATCATAATAATATTTGTTTGACTTGAATGAGTTATGTTAGAGGATAAAACAGGAAAACTGGAAAGGACAGACCTTGATTAATGTTTAACTTTACCTATGCCTCTTTCTGGTTCTGTGGCCACAAACCAGACTTCTAAACTTGATTACCTCATCTATGAAATAGACATCATTGAACCTTGATTTTCTTATCTACAAAATGGGGAAAACAATGAATGACTTCACAGGGGTTTTATGAATATGCTCAAAGATGCTTGTGGATTGTGACATGCTATATAAAGGAAAATATTATTTACCATTTGTAATTTAGGTTTACAGTATGCCAAGATATGTGTCTGTGTGTGTGTGTCTGCGTGTTGTGAATTCAAATCTGCATTGTATAAATTTGCAAGAACATTATACAAGTGTTTTTTTGTCTTTCTGAAATGTTTGTTATATGTTTTGCTTACAGTTGAAAAAAATGTTTGAGACAAAAATGCACATAAAAATTACGTCAGACTTGTTTGTGATGGCTGAAAGAACCCATTTGGGTTTATTATTATGCATTATGTCATCATTAGAACCTTCACTATTGTTCTGGTGAATATGGCACATTTATGCATTTAACTTAACTCTGGGATGTGTAGTAAAATGCCTTTTTGTTATCGAATCAGTACCTATCACCCAGAGCTATGTGAACACTCATTGGAGACCTATTATAAATATTTAGACCATGGAACCAAAACGCAAACCCTGCCTAAACTCTGTGTCTAGATTTAGTAAATGGAGCTTAATTTTATAAAGCTAAAGGGAGGTCCCGATAAACTTAATTCTTGACTCTAAGTAAACCACCTGAATTCAGTTTAATTATCATAGCTTTTCTAATTAACAGGTTGATGATCTTTAAGAAATGCAAGTTTTAGCCTTGCTGATTTACTTTTTCTGATTGAAAGATACCCTTATTCATGTAAACACACCTCCAACTAATTTTTGCTGGGTAACACTTACTTCTCTCCTGATTATTTCCTCTTTGTTCTGTTTGAGTGACATCATAGTGGATAATTCATTTTGTTAATTGGTGACTTTGGTGGGAATTGAGTAGTACCTATACCAGCTTGCCTGTAGACAGTGAAAAATCATAACTGTTCTCTGGATCTACCTGTGTCAGATTATCTAGGCTGAGGATCTCAACAATAGATGTGCCTTGCCAGTACAGAATGCATGGAATAAGCACATTATTTCCCATATGTTATATGTATGTTTATGTCTCTGTTTAAAACAAAGTCTGCTTTATAAGTGGGCTACATTGCTATCTCATGTTTACCTTATAAAATGACCTTTGTTTCTGATGCCTTCCTTTTCTTTCCTTCACCAGCCTCTTTCTCTTAACATAATCACAACCAGGTAATGTCAGTCCCCAAGAGAATGAGCACATACATAGACTTTCCAGCTAATACTCCATTTTCTTTCTTTCCTTTCTCTTTCCCTCCAAATATAAAGTATAAATATAAAATATAAAACATGTCAGAGTTTTTAATTAATACTTTAATTAAAATTTTAACTCATTCATTAAAATTTTAATTAATTCATTAATAAGAACAACTTTTAACATATTACAACTAGCTTTAAATAGAAGTCAAAGAACACACACATATACGCTAATATTATATATTATTATATATGATATATATTAATAAATATATTATGTATGATATATTAATAAATATATATTAATTATATATGATATATAAATAAATATATATTAATTATATATGATATATATTAATAAATATATATATTAATTAATATTACCAGGAATGCTAAGATGGATTTGTTAGTAGATGAAAAAAATTATTAATATTCCTATGACAATAATCATTGCATATTCACCAAGATTCACTTGCATTTCTGTGGATAAGAATCATTGGCATTACTGTCAGTTTTCTATAACTTACAGGGTGGTAAAACAGCTCAAAGGCAACGAACAGCTCTGGCAGCTTAGAAGGGTATACTAGGCAGGACACCAGTAATTTTTTTTTTTGCCTATCTTAAAGTCTTTCACAATATCTCCTGATGCTCTTTTCTTTAAATAGTAATTGAGTGCCTGGCCAGGTATTATGCAGTAATCAACCACAGAAGTAAAATTTGTCACCATAGAGTTTAAAGGCTGTCTAGAGACAGAGACATTAGAGAAACACACAAACAAATGTATAGTTACACATTGTGATAAGTTCTATTAAAAAAAAAAAGGTGACAGAGGAGAGAAGCGACAAGGTGGGTCTGAGGAAGTGATATTTAAGCCATATTTAGGATGAGCCACAGCTGGCTGGACAAAGAGAGTCCCTAGACGACCTCTCTAACCCTGGAGCACTATTTAATGGTCCCAAATTTTTAAACACTCCTAATTTATTTTCTATCTCCTTTTCCCAAAAGCAATACACAGTCGCCAGTTTTCACACTTGCCAATTCCACTTTAAGAATGGTTTTAACTTTTTAACTCCATGGCTCTTTTTGTTAACTTCTAGGTCAGTGTTCTTTCAAAAATTTTGTGATCGTGACCACCCAAACAGTAAGAAATACAATGGCCCCCCTCCATTTTTTCCCTATTCCATTTCATTCTACAGATGTGAGTCTCAAGACCCATTTAATTTCATAAACCAAATGAACAGCCACCTACAATTTGAAAACCATTGTTCTAAAACAAAAATTTTATCTGTTTATTTTTGTATCTCTGTTATAGGATTTCTTGTTTAAAAACAGCAAACAAAACAAAAAACCTCTCTAGGACTCTCTTCTGAGCTCTGTCCTCTACTTCAGGGACTGAAAATCTTCTGCTGACAGACCACATGTCCCCACTCAGCCAAATTGACATCTGTGGGGAAGTACCTAAATCAATATCCAATGTGCCTTCAGTTGCAAAAATGTGGCAATCCCTTAAAAATCCTTCTTTTATTTTAGAAGAGAATTTCACCGTCCCTTCAGCATCTGAAGCTAAAGATACCTTCCATGTAATTTTATATTTATCTGTTTCCTTTACAAAACTTTGCACTTTACAAGTATTGCTTCAAATGTTCCATTGAAAATCAGATAGTGAAACTTACACATTCCCAAAGCAAAAATGTTGGAAATGTTTTTTACATTCTTAGGCCAGCCCTCAACAACCCAGTTAAGCTACAAACTGTGGGACTTCAAGTGCCCCTGTTTTCATGACAGTGTTTCTGCAGGAAGTGCATTTTGATTTTGACTTAGTATGCCAGGAATGAAAGTCTCATTCAAGGACAGAACCTGGGACTCTCCTAGGGTTGTATGAAAAGCAGTTAAGAGAAGAAACAAGTCCACTGTGACCAGATTTAGGCACCAGAAAAAATTCTGGAACCAAATCTGGACAAGGTGTGTGTATTAACGTGTATGTATTTGAGTCTTGCGCCCATGTTTAATCTACCAGTTCCTGAAAAAAAGGAAGACTTACTCCTGGTCCCCTTGAAGAAGACTGATTGCTTTGGGTTGATTGAACAGCAAACTCAAAGTCTCTGTGGTAGGAGGAAGATTGACGTGTTTATGAACTTTATGACCATGTTTGACCTCCTGGGCCAATGTTTCTTGTGTGACATGACAAAATTCCAAGTGTGTCCATAATTTTAAACACTGAAAAGGCTTAGGATAGATTATGTTCAGCAAATGTATTTATGACTAGTTTGATTTGACCAAACATATAAATGAAACAACTTCATAGAAAAAGTAATATTTTACTTGTCACTATGTCAAACAGCCAGATCTGTAGTGCTGGTCTTGGAGAAGACTGGATTGGCCAGGCTGAAGTGTAGTTTTAAAAGTTGTTGTTGTAATCACCAGTAAAATCCTATCTTTGCAATTGCATGTGCAATTGCAAATCCATATGCAAATTGATGTTGGGCCGTTGTAAAAATGTATACATTTCAAAAGTATGAGAGGCTACTACATCATAGCTTTCCCACAATGTGTAGTTAGAGTTTGAGTTGTCTTCCATTCAAAGGGAAGACAACTTCTAGCTCTAGGGTGCCTTTTGCCTTTTTGGTGTGGACGATAACCCTTAGGTCACACTGAGACTAGGTAAGATGTGCTTCAACATTCCCCACAAATTTTTTCCCCACAATGGTCATAAGATTGTAAAGATTTGGGAGAGAACAACACCTGAAAGTCTTATTTTAATTTTACCTTTTGAATAGAATTTGCAGTTCATTGTCCTAAATGCAAATTACTAGCATTTTGAGATGTGATTTATAATGGGAACTTCTATCTTTAGCCGTTAGTGTATTGAACATCAACTCAGCCTGACTTAATGCAAGACTTGACCATTTTATTTTTTGGCAGAAATTCTCATGAACGCTCACACCAAAAATTCACTTACCACATGACTTGAAAGAAAGAAACTGTAAGCTACAAGCTCTGCTCTTCCCTCTTTCCCCTCCTTGGAATTTATTTAATATCTTTTTCACCTGATTGGATGGTACACTATTAAACTGCTAAAGCCAGTGAGATTCTTGTTCTTTCCCCTTTTGTATTCAGGGAAAACATATTTGTAGGATCACGCTCTTGATTCATTGGAACTGTGATGATAACGGACATTTTCAGGGATTGAATTGGTGTTGGTATCCTTCGGAGAACAAAACACTGTGTTCCTGGGTGAGAAGACAGTCCTAAGTTGCAAACTCCCAGCGCCCTCTAGTGTTGTTTTCCGTTAGAACTTAGTGAGAAGCTAAACTTTTGCCTTTGAGATGATGCTGAAAAGGTGATTGAGCCTGGGACTAGGTATTAGTGAGCTCACACTAAAGCATAAAGGTGTCTTTTTGTTTTCTGTTACTTCATAACTGTAACTAGAAAATGAGGACGTTCTGTGCTGCTGTTTCAGAAATCTATTTCTTTGATATATCTCTATAGGGAATTGACGGTTTTCAAGATAGCACATACGGAAACCTCAGAGATAGAGGAAGTTGTACCTGAGAGATCTGAGACAGAATCTGAGTCCAAATAATTTTTTTTTGTCCTTGAGACAGAGTCTCGCTCTGTCGCCCAGGCTGGAGTGCAGTGGTGCGATCTCGGTTCACTGCAACTTCCACTTCCCTGGTTCAAGCAATTCCCCTGCCTCAGCCTCCCGAGTAGCTGGGATTACACGCCTGGCTTGCTTGCTTATTTATTTATTTATTTTAGTAGAGATGGGGTTTCACCATGTTGGCCAGGCTGGTCTCGAACTCCTGACCTCAGGCAATCTACCCGCCTGGGCCTCCCAAAGTGCTGGGATTACAGGCATGAGCCACCGCCCCTCGCCCAAAGAAATTTAATTGTAATTTTAAAATTTTACGTATTTAGTGTATTTTTGTTGTAAGAACAAAGTCAACTCTTAGTGATCTGTAGGCTTATTTTTCATGGTCAAGTTATCACCTGTATTTTCTTCTCTTTCTAACAGCAGTATTCCTCTTTTCTCTCCATCAATAAACCCAGAATTACATTTAGAAAATATATTTTAAAAGTTTTTAAATTAGATAAGCATAGTTATAGTACATGTTATCATAAAATCTCTTCGAAATTCAAATACAGTTTATTTTCAAGTAGCTTATTTGAAGTTATGTAGTGTGTTTGTTATTAGGATGTATAGCCTCCAATTCACCCAAAGCAATGATATTCTTTGGAACAATTCAGAGATGATGTACTTTGTTTTCTGAATCTGTCTAAATATGGAACATCCCAAGGAAATACATTGAAATTGACCTTAAAGCTACTTTTTGACATCTGATGGCGATGCCAACTAAATGTTACTAAAATGTTTAGATTAAATTTAGAAAAGATATACTACAACAATTATGTGATATAACAACAGTTCCACAAAGAAAGAATTGATAATAGTCTTTGCAGAAGCTAACTTTGAATTTGTGTATCCATGGTCATTTAATGTGAACTGTTGTTTGCTATTAATAATGTTTACAAAAGTTTTATTTCATAAAAACCCAGAAGTATCAAAGTAGAGTTACTTCATTTGATAAGTGATTTAAAAATATTTCAAAACATTTTAGAGAAAATAGTTTTACTACCTAGAAAGAAACTAGGAAGCCACACAAAAGCTTTCCAATAAATGTCATGCACTCTATAATGGGAAAGATTTACATGTATGTGACCCTGAATACACTTTCTGTAGACATTATCTTCTGCCCACCGTAGATCAGGCAGTAGTCTTTATTGAAAGAAGATTTTAACAAATTGAGCAACATCCTGCTGTGTTTGGTTTTCTTTATAACTCAGCATTGAAAAAATTGAAAAAACAACAACTAAATTCTTTATGGATTTACATATTACTTTGAAAGAGGGCAGAAGTTGAATGAGATGGCGATTGGAATGGTTAAATTAAAATATTGTTACATTTTGTATAGCCAATATAGTTTATCATTTATGATTATGTTATATTTGAACATAAAATAATACATAAAGTGGCCATCTCTGAATTTATTTTACTGTAATAATTTTGACAGTTCCAGTAGTTACTGCCTCAACATAAAGAAGTTTGTCAAAATTGAAAATACTGAAAATAATCTAACAACTATGATGATTCAAAAAAGATTATCTAATTTAGCATTACTGTCAATATAAGGAAATTTATGGGAAAACCTTAACTATAATAACTTAAGTATTTTATAAAAATGAAGACAAGAAATATTGTATTTTATGAAGTAAACATATTTATGAGTTATATATGTGTTTATGACTCATCTATACATTACTGGCCTGTCAAAAGAACTGCTGACATACACAGTAATAATGAATATCAGTCATCTTTGATGTCTTGCTGACTAGCAATCAAAAAAAATCCCATAGCTGCACTCCTTTTTTCAATTTTGTTGTCATAGAGGTATATTTGTCAAGATGGGAAGGTAGACTATTTTATTTAATGGTTTATTAGCTTGGCTTATAACTTTTAGACTATTTAGGTTTGTGGTGTGAGGGCCCCTGTGTGTTCTGTTTTTGCTGCTCTTGCAGATGCCAAGGCCAACTTGTAGGGAAAGACTCTGGGAGTGACCTTAAAGGCAGGGGGACCAGCTCCTGCTGTCCTCACGGAGAACTCTGATTCACTGCCTTTCATGTGAGACAGCTGCTACAAGAATGAAAGAGACACCACATGTCACTTTTGTCAACTCACCAAATGTTGGAATTTTGGGTTGTCTTCTTTCCAACCAAGAGAGAGTCCATTACGAGAACTGAGTTAGAGCCTCAAACCTTCGTAAAGATTAGGAAAGATTCTGTGAAAAAATCTGTGATGAGTCCTCTTGTAAAACCACCACTCCTGGAAACATTTCCAAATTCATTTTTAAATGTGTTTCCCCCACACATTCCATTGATTACTTGAACCAAGATATGTCTCTAATAAGAGAATCCTCAATGCAACTACATCCAATAATAACAATAATAAAATTACTAGGCTTGTGCTAAGTGAAAAATTTAGGTCCAACTTTTGTTGTTCGTTGTCAAAACTGCTCATATACACCCCCACCTGTGGGTGTGTACTGTTTTGGACAAAGAGTTTGCCTTTAATCTGAGATTGGAATAAGCATGAAGCATTGTGGTATAGTATTTCATAATAAGCAATTTTCAGGTAAGGCTGGAAGGAGAAATTCTGCCAGGTTATAGCTGTTGATCAGGCAGCTTTCACCACAATTCTTTTGCACTTGCAGTAGATGCCTCTGAAAGAAACACAGATGAAAGATTATTGACAGGAGAATAACTTAGCATAGGCATGAGGGGAGAAAACACCACACAGTTTAGGAGGTTGGCAGCAGCATCAAGCTCCCTCTGACAGGTAAGGCCCTAAAGCCAAGGCAGTGGAGCCAGCATAAGCCAGCCCTTACATAACAGATTTGGGCACGCAGCAGTGACATACAACTCTTGCTCTCCTTTTTTTTTTTTTTTTTTCCTTTTCTTTCAAGATGACAAACATTTCATAATTCTCTTCCATTTTCCTTTAGTTTTTTTCTCCTCCCTTCTACCCTGTCCTCTTGGTGAATGCTGACTCTAGACATTACTACCTTTGTTCTTGTTAATTTCAACTTTTTATTCAGATTCCATGTTAATAGTATTGCATGGTAGTTGAGAGCAAAAACGCTGGAGCCACACCAGCTACGTTGAAATCCTGACTTTACCCCTTACCAGCTGTGTGGCCTAAACTTTTATTTGACTCAGTTTTCTGAGTAAAATGGGAGTACTATTTGTACCCTCCCCTCCATTAGATTGTTGGGAGTTGAGATAGGGCTATGAGGAAGACAAATGAGGGGTCAAGTAGAGAATAAAGGACATGAGCTTTAAATAAGTGACCAGGAAGCCCCTCTAGGGAAGGGGCATTTAATCTGGGCTCTAAAGGAAGAGAGAGGGGTCAGTTACTTTATCTCTCTAGAGAAGCATTTTTGTTCTGTTGCCTGCTTTTTCAGTCAGAAAGTTAGGCCCTGGGTTCCACAGAAATGACAGCTAATAAAGTGTTTTTACATGTTCTATCATTATGCTGCTTATTCTTCATAACAACCCTGTGAAGTTTAGATGAGGAGCCTGAGGCCCAGAGAGGTTCCATGATTTGCCCGTGTGTTTTTTTCACTGCATCACTGTTGCTTCCCATCTTGGGTGCTTTCAGGCAAATGTTTCTTGAGGTGCCAAAGAAGTAGCATTACCCCTCCCCAGCTTTATTCCTCCCTTTCCTCCTCTGTCTGTCACCTTAGAAATCTTGGTATCTTGTCTTTTCTTTCCTGCTTTTTGGAATCAGTGAAGGATTCTGTGGCTTTCTTCTTTCTAAAATCTTAGTTGATCTCCATCTCCCTACTTCCTACCATCATATATCTCTGAGCAGATATATGGACCATGATGGACATGACAGGTTATGTCTAAATGTAGTTTTGGTTCCTTTGCATTCAACTCTTGCCTTCTTGCCTAATTATCTCTTCCATTAATGCCAAAGGCCATTTGCACCTGACTCATTGGTCATTGTGCTCTATGATCTTAGCCGAGACTGATGCTGGCTTCACTGGCAAATGGAGATGTCCTAGAAATGCGGCTAATGGCTGAATTGTTCACCACAGAAAAGGCATCCCTTTGATTTGGGCAGAGGAAAGTTGTTTTTTTTTTTCTGTGCCTTGAGGCAATGTACGTGCTGAGAAGTGAGTAGCCCACCCAACTTGGGAGTGGGGGTAAGGGTGTCTAATTGCCAACGGCTGGAATTTGAAGTTCTTTTTAGCAACCACCAAATTAAATCAAAACCAGCTATTAATCTGTTAATATTGATGTGGAAGCAGGAATATATTTTGAAGAAATATAAAAAATAAGAAAGTTTAATTTTGAGTTTTTCCTGACATTTTCAAAGTGCTTGCTTAGTATAAGTGGAAAACATACTTTTTAAAATCTCTAAAGCTACAGTCATCTACGATCAAATAGAATCGTAGCTGAAGATCCAAATATTGTAAATGAGATTTGCTCTAATTTTCTAACATATCCAACTGTATAGAAAATGCAGCAAGAGGTCCTACAAAATATCAGTACCTTTTAAAATACTCATGGACATGATTTAGCTGGAATCACCACTGAGTGAGGCATTTCATTTAATTTTGGATATTAAGTCCATGCTATTTGGCTGCTAATTCTTACTGTAATCATTTTTTCTGTCACAAATATATTGACTGCTTGCTAGTTTTTGTGATGAGCTTAATCATTCCTACACTTTAAAAAAAAGTTCAAACGTTACCAAATGATGTGAAACAAAAAGTAAACTGATAAAGTCTTTCTTTGATTACAAAGGATGCTGGAGAACTTCATGCTTGTTGACCATTTCTTTCTTTTTTATTAATTGCCTGTTCATATCTTTTGCTCATTTTTCTATTAGGTGATTGTTTTTATCTTATTGATTTATATGCATTCTTTAAATATTCTAGACATTAATCATTCATATATATAAGAGATATTATCTTTCAGGGTGTGGCTTATTTTTTATTTATGTTTTTGGAGCCTCTTCTTATATAAATGTAATTTTAATAGGTTGAATTTGTCAATCTTTGCATAATGATGTGTGCTTTTAATTCTTGTGTAAAAACCTCTTCTCTGTATTAATTCATAAAGTTATTCTACATTTTATTATGAAACCCTAAAGTTGTAATTTTCACAGTTAGATGTCCAGTTTATCTGGAATTTATTTAATAAATGATTTAATATAAGGTTCTAATTTGATCTTTTCTGATATGGATTACCAATTTTCCCATCTTGTTTACATTGATTTGTAGTGCTACATCTGTCATATATCAGTTTCATAAATATGTATGAATATATATATATTTCATTCTCCTTATTTTCATTACTCTATTGACTTATACTGGTGCCAATATTACATTTCTTTAATTGTTCTGGGTTTAATGAATCCCGCCATATTATTACTCTTTTCAAACTTGTCTGATTTTTTAACTCTTCAATTTGGATTAGAGTTTGCTTTTCAAATTCTAGAAAAAACTCTTTTGTAATTAGTATAGCATGGTGGGCCTTATAGATTATACGGATAACTGCTATCTTCATGATATTTTATCCTCTTACCTATGAATCCAATATATATTTACATTTTATTTTTATTTATTTATTTATTTATTTATTTATTTATTTATTTATTTGAGACAGTGTGTTGCTCTGTCGCCCAGGCTGAAGTGCAGTGGCACAACCTCGGCTCACTGCAATGTCTGCCTTTCGGGTTCAAGCAATTCTCATGCCTTAGCCTCCTGAGTAGTTGGGATTACAAGGATGCACCACCGTGCCTGGCTAATTTTTGTATTTTTAGTAGAGACAGGGTTTCACCACATTGGCCAGGCTGGTCTCGAACTCCTGACCTCAGATGGTCTGCCCACCTTGGCCTGGGATTACAGGCATGAGCCACTGTGCCCAGCCTATATGTACATTTAATTAAAGTAACTTTGTCTTTTAATAAAGTTTCAAATTTTTTCCCATAAATACTTAATACATTGTTAGGTTTAGGCCTAAGTTCTTTGTCACTTACAGTGTCATTATAAAAATATCTTTTTAAATTTAAATATTTTAATTGTTTGCTGATGATAGGGATACAACTGATATCAAGTGTACTGATCTTGCTGATCTTGTATCTAGAAATCTTGCTAAACTCTCATATTAGTTTTTTTTCTATAGACTTGCTTTGATTTTCTGTGTAAACGTATCAGAAAATAAGGACAGTTTTGTATCTT
Organism: Homo sapiens; assembly: GCF_000001405.40. Lineage (NCBI taxonomy): Eukaryota > Metazoa > Chordata > Mammalia > Primates > Hominidae > Homo > Homo sapiens. Next base: position 18,219,969 of record NC_000009.12, read on the forward strand.
CTTTTTCAATTTTTTATTTTATAATTGATTATTTTTTATTTCATTGGCTAGGACCACTAGCTACCTTGGCCTAGAGTATGATTTTATTGGGGGTGTTTTTAGTCTTTTACCATTAAATAGTTGTTTTCTGAACATTTGTCAGGTTAAAATGTTTCATATCACTCAGTTTGCCAAGATCAAATTCGTATCTTTACTAATTTTTCACCTGCTTCATTGATCAGTTTTGGTTTAGATATGATCCAGTTTTCCATTATGATGGTGAATTTGTTGATTTCTTTTCATGGAACTGTTTTGCTCTTACATTTTAAGCTTATGTTTTTAAGTACAGGAGGGTTCAGAATTTTTCTTTTGATAAAAACATGATAGATAAATGGTGAATTTCTCCTTTTACCATTATGTAGTGACCCTCATTTTTCTTGAAAATTATTTTTCCTTAAACTACATGTTTTCTGATTTTAATATAGCTATACAAACTTTTTATTGTCATTTTGTCTGTTTTTTAAAATTTTTCAATACCTTCATCTTTAGTGTCAGTATGTGTTTCTCTTCTAAACACCATATTGGATTTTCACTCTTGTTTTAAAATCAAATATGAGAATCTCTAATTCTTTAACTGGTAAACTTGTTGTGTAGTAGTTGTGAATACTGGCATGTTTTGATTTATTTTTACCGTCTTACTTGGTACTCTCTATTTTGCATGCATTTCCTCCTTTCTCTTCTGCCATTGTGACCCAATTTCCTCATCCTCTTTTTCTTGCTAATGGTTTTTCAGTAATACATTTTACTTATACTTTTTAAATTGTTACTCCTAATTTTTTTTTTTTTAAACAGAGTCTCTCTCTGTCACTCAGGCTAGAGTGCAGTGGCATGATCTAGGCTCACTGCAACCTCGGCTTCCCAGGCTCAAGTTATCCTCCTGCCTCACCCTCCCAAGTAGCTGGGACTACGAGCCTCTGCCACCAAGCCCAGCTAATTTTCATATTTTTTGTAGGGACAGGGTTTTGCCATGTTGCCCAGGCTGGTCTCAAACTCATGAGCCTAAGAGACCCACCCTCTTTGGCCTCCCAAAGTTCGGGGATTACAGACATGAGTCGCCATGCCCAGCCCGTTACTCCTAAATTTTAAGCATGCATACCTTGTTAAAGAAAATCTAAATTAGTAGATATCATGCCTTCCTCCTGAAAGGCTGTAGAATGTTTAATTTCAATCACCTCACTGTTTAGTTTTTTGGTTTTGCTTTGTTTTTAACCCCCGCAAATTGGACACATTATTGCTGTTGCTATACACAACAGTGTGACCAAGTGCAAATTTATTTTTGTTGGTCTTTTGGGAATGCATTATGTTTCTTTAACATGAAGATTTTATAATTTTCTTTAATTCTGAAGAATACTCAGCCTTTATGTGTTCACACAGTGCCCCTTCCCCACTCTGTTCTCTTATTCTAGGATGCCTGAGTTGTGTGTTGAAACATCTTATTTATCCTTCACATCTTTTAGCTTGATTTTCCTTCTTTTTATCTCTCTATACTGCACTAAGTTGTGTGCTTTGTGGATATATTTTCAGCCTTATTTTACTTTTTTTGAATGTAAGAGCTTGCCTATAAATTTTCCTTTAACAGTTCTTTTGCTACATTATGCATGTTTTGATATGTAATTGTTGTTATAATTTAGTTCTACGTATTTTCTAATTTCCATTATAATTTCTTCTTATTTAGAAGTATGTTTATAAATTTCCAAACATATTTATCTTTTTGTTATTGGCCTTGTACATTGTCAACTGTGTGTGTTATCCAGTTGTTGCTGCAGTGTTCTATATAAGTCCCTTAGATTAATGTTATTTTATTGGGGTTGGTGGCATTTTCATATCTATATTCTTGTTGTTTTATTTATGTCTTTTTGATTTATCAGTTTGTCAGGCATGTTAGAATTTCCCACCATTATGACAAATTTATAATGATTTTCTTCAAGTTTAGTGTTTGTTTTTTATATTTCAGACTCTATTATAAAGTACATTCATGTTTAGATTTGTATCTTCCCGAGTCTTAAAAGTTATATAACCATTTATACCCTCTTTATCCCTAGTAATAATTTTGCCTTGAATTCTATTTTATTCCATATTAAAATGGCTATCTATGATTTTGTTTGATTAGTATTTTCCTGTTAAATTTTTTCCATCTTTAACTTTCAGTGTTTTCTTTATGTTCTAGAAGTATCCTTTGTGTATAACATATAGCTAATTTTGTTTTTGCTTTTTTCTCAATCCAGTCTGATAAACTTTCTAAAATTTCAAAACTGGTCAATTTGTATAATTGTTCTTATTGTCATTTGGATTCATATTTTCATAATTTCTATTTTATCTGTTACTTTTTTGTTGCTACCTTTGGCTTGGTTTATTTTATTTATTTAATTTGGAACTTCTAGTTTCTATTCATTTTGTACTTATCTTGGCAATTGTGACATACATATTTAAATTAACATCATCTAAGGTTAATAAATATCTTTAATCACCTTACAAATAAATTCATTTGAAATGCTTTCACTTCAATCATCTTTTCCCAGTTTGCTTACTGTTTTTGTTTAGGATTTTAGTCCTACTTTGATTTTGTTTTTATCTCATAAATTAGTTATTAGCATTGTATATTCCAATCAGTATTTGTTTCAATTTACTCATATACTCTTTTTTTTTTTTTTTTTGCCATTCCTTTTTTCTTTTTAAACCTAAATCCTGGGAGAATTTTCTTTCTTCTTGAAATAAATAGTTTAGAAGTTTGTTTATTATGTATAGAAAACTCTTACCATAATTGTTTGCCTGCAAAAACATCTTTATTTTATCCTAATTCTTGAAAAGTAGTTTTCCTTGGTAGACAATTCCAGGTTGATATTTATTTTATATTTTTACTTTCCAGACATTACTGTACCATTTTTATCTCTTATGTGGCTATTGAAAATAGAGCTGCCAGTGTAATTTTTGTATCTGTATAGATAATCTGTCTTTTCTGTCTGCTTTCAAGTCTTCTCTTTGTCATTACTTTGCAGTTTTACTGTGAAGTATCTAGGTATAGATTTCATTTTAATTTATTCTTCCTCATTCATTTGGGGAGGGAGATTTCTAAATTTAAGGCTTGGTGTATTCATCAATTTCCAGCCAATATCTCAAAATCTGCTTCTTCTTCATTATCAGTATTACATGTTGAGCATCCGAAATCTGAAAACCCAACATTCTAAATGCCCCAAAATCTGAAATTTTTTGAGCACGAACATGATACTCAAAAGGAAATTATCTTTGGTCAATTTCAGATTTGGGGGTTTCAGATTTGAAATGATCGATCATTAAGAATAATGCAATTATTCTAAAATCTGAAAAATTCTGAAATCTGAAACAATTCTGGTTCCAAGAATTTCATATATGAGATACTCAACCTGTATCTCCTTTAAGAACTACAAATATGTAAGTTAGAATTTTTTTCATTTTATTTTCTTTACCATCTTTTTGCTTCTTTTGTTGTATTTGGTTTAATATGCATTTATCTCCACTTCAGTTCATTAGCCCTGTCCTCAATGGTGTCTAATCTCTTTAAATCTGACTTATTAATATAAATTATACTTTTCATCTCTAGAAATTCAATTTGTTTATTTTTCAAATATGCTTAGTTAGTTCTAATAATATCTTACTACTTCATACCTGCAAGCATTTTATTTAATCCTTGAACTATATTAAATATATCTGTTTTATGTATTGTACCTGAAAATTCTAGTATATGCAATGTATCTATCTTTAATTCTATGGTTGTTGCTTCTTTTGTCTCTCACCCATGGTAGCTTGTTTCTTTATGGGACCAGTGATTTTTTTTTAATTGTGAATACATTTTCTTTTGAACTTACCATGGGAAATTTTTGAGGCCTGGGTTTAACGTGTGTTCCTCCATAGAGGTTGTATGTTTTCCTCTGGTAGGCATTTGGGATCATTGCTAATCTAGGACTCTTTTATATTAATTTTTAAAAAGCCACAGATGTTAGGAATACAGATTCCAGAGAAGTATAAGTAAAAGCATTCTTTTTTTTTCTTCTTTTATCCTCTTTTCCAGAACCAAGCCAGAGCCTAGAACATGCCCAGTCCTTAGAAGCCAGAGATTTTTCCTGCTTCAACTGTTGAAAAAGTTGCCATTTGGGCATGGTCTTGGTCCCTTTGTGCTGCTTTAAGAGAATACCACAAATGGAGTAATTTATAAAGAACAGAAATTTATTTCTCACAGTTCAGAAGGCTGGGAAATCCAAGATCAAGACACCAGCAGGTTCGGTGTCTGGTCTCTGCTTTCAAGATGGTGCCCTGAATGCTATATCCTCCAGAGGAGGGGAGTGCTGTGTCCTCACATGACAGAAGGCAGAAGAGCAAAAATGGGGACAAAAACTCCCTCATCAAGACCTTTTATGATGATTCTGCCATCATAACCTAAACACCTCCCCAAAAGCCCACCTCCCAACACTATTGCACTGGAGATTACATTTCAATATGAATTTTGGTGGAGACAAAAATATTCACATCATAACATTCTGCTGCTGGCCCCCCCAAATTTATGTGCTTCTCACATACAAAATACATCAATTTCATCTCAATGTCCCTGAAAGTCTTGTCTCATTCCAGCATCAACTTTAAAGTCCAAGTCCAAAGTATCTTATGAACATCCTATGGATCCCCTAAAGTGTTACCTAGGCCACAGGTAGCCATTCCTCTAATTACCTCATTTGCCAGCGGCTTTTCTCATTATAATCTGTTACCATAGGTGGGAGTAGAGGACAGGCATGGTCACAGTACTCCTATTGAATAGTGATATAGCTGGGATTATACTATACTGACAGTCTCATAACTTCACCATATAATTATTTTGACAAGTTTACACAACCTTCTGTCCTTTTGGTGTTCCGTAATTTATTTTCCACTCTTTGTTTTGTTAATTTTTTCCCATTTTTTTCCATTATAAATACCTCATTATCAGCATCTTCATGCATAAAACTTTTTCTAAATTTCTCATCTTTTTAAGGTATATAAAACTGTTCTTGTAAACTACTTATTCCCTGCTTCTTAATTACTCTGGGATAAAATAACCAGACAAGTAAACTTTTAGAAGTAAGCCTAAGGTAAAAGTTAATAGGCTCTGAAGGAAGGTTAAATATATGGACTTTGTGATATTTTAACCTCTCAAAAGCATTTTGTGTTTTTCTTCTGCTTTCAGGCTGGTCCACATGGTGAATGTGGCCTGAAACATACCTTCCTCTAAAGTGTGCTAAATTTCTCAGGACCTGGTTGAAAAGCAAAGGACATCTTATAGCTCAGATTGTTAGTGTAGTTTAACAGAAGCTTAGACATAAAGTAAAAGTGCACTCGTGGAGATCCCACTGGGTTATGATTTATATCACTATAATATGCGAAAATGTATCTTGTCCTAACAAATTTCTCCATAGTGGATTTTAATAATGTGAGTAAGGATTTTTAAAACTTGGTGTTTCCAAAAAGTACATATTTATTTTTTAGATATATTTGTTAAAATCCTTCTACTAGGCAATACGTTATTAACGTAGATTGAATTATTTTTCATATTTAAAAGCAATCCCATCACATTTCTCTAAAATATTAAAAAACACTGAACTCTGACTCTTTTAGATAACCTTCAGTTATTCGCATGACTGAGTTTCTGTAATTTTAGCTTAATAGAAGTATTGATTTGTTCAGAAGTATTTTTAATAATGCTGAGGATAATTCATGCAGAGAAGAAAAAAAATTCAGTTTTGCTCTTGGGCCGTTAAAATTAAATATGATCATTTATGCAGTAATTATTGTTTCATATACTCTAATTAAAATTCCTGCATACTTATCTTTCTTTCTTCTTGCCTGAGGTGTGTATTAAAATAACAAAAGTCTTTGTGAATTCAAGGCCTGTATTTCAGTTTTTCTTATGTCTGATTAATTTTTTTCTGTGTAATTATTTGCCAAGCCTGGTAGGTGGGTGCTGGTTTCATAGTAAAATTTATGTTTTTGAGGAAAGTTTTATATTTAATAGGAATTTAGGTTAGTTCCTAGGTTAATATTAATTTAGGTTAATATTTAATAGGAGTTTTCTTTAGTCATGCCTGCTTTTTGTAAAGTGGTAGGTCCAACTAGCAGCAGACAAAGATGCCATTTTTTGAGGTAATGTAATTAATTGTGTTTCTTTTTAATTTTTTCAATTGACAAAAAATACATACATTTATTTTGTACCTGTTGTTTAGTTGTATTGCTGATCTTGGAAACGTACTTATACCCTTCATCGTAGCAGACCGTCTCTCTCAGATCCTCTCTTCCTGCAGCCTCTCTCTCTTGGTCTTGACATTCTCCTGGTCACCCAGGTTTGGAATGACAATTACTTTCTGACCTTCCCTTTTCCTCACCCCTATTGAGTCTGACATCAGTTCTTAGGGATTCTACTTCCCTTGTAATTCTTCTTGTTATCCTCTTCATACTCTTTATCAGATAAGGGTTTCATACATCTTTCCTGGGTGGTTACAGTCATATCATAGCTAGTCTTTTTATTTTCAGAACTTTCTACCTCCCTCCAGATATTTCAGTTTCATTCTTCCTTCTCATGATTCTGATCAGATCACTTGCCTACGCATAAGTCTTCACCTGCCCTCTCTTTACCTTAGCCTGGTGTTTGAGGCTCTCCCCATTCAGCCTTAACTGGTCTTTTCAGATTTGTTCCCTCCTATTCCATTTGGTCATGGGGCCAGTTTGTCCACTAGATTTGAAAGGACAGTGCCTAGGGCCCATTATACTTTGAGGGGTTCATTGAAATGTTTTATTTTAATGAATTTTAAAATCAGAAGAAAAAAATTAATAATAGTAATGAATAATAATCATGAATCCAGCATGAATATGTTTATTTGTTGACACAGTTATAAAATATAATTTTTAATATTTTTGATGAAGGATGGGGTCCACAAATATAAAAGTGCCTAGGGCCCATGAAAGTTTGAATGCATTCCTGTTTGCACACATTAAATTCTAGCCCAGTTAGATTTCTCACTGTTCCTTATACATTTTACCTGCTTTCTTATTTTCATTACTGTTATTCTTTTTACCTGGAAGGTATAGCCAGAGTTAACCCCTCCATTTTTTCCTAACAAAACATTACCCATACCTCAAAACACAAATGGTTACTTTTCCCTCAATTCTCCTCTAATCCCTCATCTGTACTATATCCATGCTAAATCGCTTATGTTCTGCATTGTCGTATATTTTTCAACTCAGCAGTTATGGAATACCTACCATGTATATGATGCTTGGCTCTGTGCATGTTTGCTCAAAGAGAAATCAGATACCCTACCCCAAGCAGATTCTCATCTTAGTGGGAGTGGGAAGATAGGAAAACAAATAATTATTAGACTATCATGTGATAATGCTACAGTAGAGGTACATTCAGAGTGTTCCTCTAATGTTGTCTATAGATTATAAACTCACGGCAAGGTAGTACATTTTATTCATTTACACTCAAACAGTTCTTACCTTAGAAACAAGCTGTGTTTGAAGCTATGTTTAAGCCTAGCTTACATACATCTAGGCCCCACTCTATGCAAGATGGCCATTTGTCCCCAGAATTGGCAGCACATATGCCTGTACATTGAAACATGTATGTCTTTTTCACAAAGGCTTTTCTGCCTAAAATGCTCATTAGGTCCTTTCTGTCTATTGAAGACTTAGATTAATCTCTTTGAAACCTTCCCTAGCACCCCCAGTAGCCTGATCACTATCTCCTCAACTCCCCTAGTGCCTCATATGGTATTATGTTATAATACATCATATCATCATTGTTTCAGAATGAAGAAGAAAAAGGCATAATTCATTGCCCCTTAAGGATACTGTGTCTTTCTTCATTTTTAAATCACAGAGCCTAGAAGGTGCTCAGAGCATGTTTGTCAAGTAAGTGCTGAAATAATATTAAGGTTCATTGTTTGGAACTCACAATGCATTCTTCCACTTTACCATAGAAGCATACTAGGCAAGCAGTTAGCTCCTCCAGTCCATCTTACAAGTGACTAACTAACAACATAACTGAAATATAAGCCCAATAGCCACGTTCCACCTAAATACCTTAGACTGCACAACAATGCATGCAAAATTTATTTACGAAGTCATTGGAGGATACAAAACCTTTTTCCATAGAGAGAGGATGTTGGCTTCTGCACTTGCTGTCTGGTGAAAGTGAGAGGAAAGTCGATCAGCTCTTAAGGCTTGATGATAGTTCCTGCGTGGTTTGGATAACAAGCTAGAAAAGTCAGTTATGGGCACTTGGGCACTGAAGGACCAGAACTCTAGCACATTGAGGAGGAGGAAAGGTGGGGCTAGAGTCATTTTGGCCAAATCCTCTCATGCTGCTTGGATCTGTGTTCTCATACAAAGGTAAATTCTTCTCCTTCTATTATTTATTCTTATTGGTTGATTGACAGGGTTTTGCTTTGTTGCCTAGGTTTAAGTGCAATGGCAAGATCATAGCTCACTGTGCCCTTGAACTCCTCAGCTCAAGGATCCTCCTGCTTCAGCCTCCTGGGTAGCTGGAACTACAGGCATGCACCACAATGTCCAGCTAATTTTTAAAATTTTTATAGAGACAGGGTTTCACTGTGTTTCCCAGGCTGGTTTTGAACTCCCGGCCTCAAGTGATCTTCTTGCCTAGGCCTCCTAAAGTGCTGGGATTACAGGCATGAGCCACACTATGTCAGGGGATTTTCTAATGCCTTGCTCTCACAGGAAATGGAAGTATAAGTCGAGTTTTAATTTCCTGAAACGTGTGTGATACTTATTTTACAGATGAGAATGCTGTGATTGTGATTCAGAGTTTTTTTGTTTTTTTTTTTTTTGTAGTTTGCTTGGGGTCACACAGCTCATGCTCTGTAGTCTCACACATTCTCTTTAGATGACAATTTCTTTCTCACTAAGCTTTTGGTTTTCTTCCTCTCTCGCTGTTTCCTTTGCTTGTTTCTCTTCACGCGCTTGATATAGCTTTCATTTTATAGACCTCCATGGTGGCATCATCCAAAAATTTAACATGGGTAATTATATAGCACCATATTTGCATAGGATGGAGAAGAGGCACTTTACAGCATATGCAAAAAAGAAAGTATTTTTGCTGCCAAAAATTAGTCCCAGTATTATTTTAGGAGGAGGTGAGCAGCTCGGATCATCCCTGGATCACTGCACACCATCTGGATGCAGCAGTTTAAGAGGAACATAGTCAACTGGTCACTATTTAAGGCAAAAGAACAGTATCATGTCAGGATGGAGAATCCAACTGTGTGAAGTAGTGTTGCAGGAATTAGGACGTTTCTGGTAGAGATGAGAAGGCCAAAGGGACATGATTATGGTCCTTAAATACCTTAAGGACTGTGATGTGACAGTGGCTTTACCTTTGTTTTGAATCGTGCCTGCCCCACCCTTCCACCCTGCCAGGAAATAAATGTAGATGGAGACAGATTTTAGGTTAACGTAAGGAAGAACTTTCTATAAAAAAACTCTTCTCTAAAGAAGAGTCTGTCAGAGGAGATTTTAAAATACGAGCTCAGTGACTTTTTGGCAGGTATGTTATAGAAGGAATGTGGGACACTGAAAAAAATTAGACTTAAAAAAGCTACCAAGTCTCTTCCAATCATAAAGTTCCATAATTTGATATGATTCTTTGAACGTATTTTCTCGTTCAACCAACATTTTTTTTTTTTTGATATGGAATTTCACTCTTGTTGCCCAGGCTGGAGTGCAATGTTGCGATCTTGGCTCACTGCAACCTCCACCTCCCGGGTTCAAGCAATTCTCCTGCCTCAGCCTCCTGAGTAGCTGGGATTACAGGTGTCCACCAACATGCCCGGCTAATTTTTTGTATTTTTAGTAGAGATGGGCTTTCACCAGGTTGGCCAGACTTGTCTCAAACTCCTGACCTCAAGCGATCCACTTGCCTCAGCCTCCGTAAGTGCTAGGATTACAGGTGTGTGCCACCGCACCCAGCCATTTAACCAAAATTTATTGACCAATATTCCAGGTACTTTATTCCCAGACAAGCATTGGTAGGTAAGATAAGAAAGAATTTCCCACCCTCAAATAACTAATCATTGCCTGGTGAAAACAAACAAAGCAAACAGGTAATTTTATAGAGCCACAGTGATAAGCAGTACAGTAACCCAGAGGTGAGACATCTTTGTAGATGCTATCCATACCCCTCTGATCTGCTTGGCACTCATCATATGCACACATGCTATTTGCTTTCTATTCTGAACACCTGTGACTCTCTAACTGCATGCTTTTCCTGGATTCAATATGATACCGGCCTACATGGGGAAGCCTGGAAGTTTTAGGGAATTCTGGACTAGTATCCAGAATGACAGTTAAAAGTTGGCTGGGAGAAGTAGGGGAAGTGTCCCCTGGGCTGAAGAGCAATGTGAGTAAAGGTCCAAAAGCCAGAGAAATACTGTTATACTTGGGGAAATGCCCTCATGTGGCTGGAATGTAGAATCTAAAGGGGAAAATGAAGACAAATGAGACCCTGGCACGTAATGGCTGCCTAATAAATAAATTATATCAATGAGACTGGAGCAAGAGAGTATACCATGAAATCTGCCTTCCTAAAATCTAGAGAAGAATTACTCTAAGAGGGGTCCTGGGAGCCATATGCATATCAAATGTTATCTGTAGACTGAAAGAATAATACAGAAAGTCTCAAACATACATGCATTACTTTTTCCTAAACATTATTATAATTAATTAATTAATTACAAATTCAAATAAATGACCAAACTCATGGTAGCTTTTGGTCATAAATTTTTAGGCACCAGATGTTAAAATTACATCCATTCTTCTGCAAGTAACTGAGAATGTATTTTATATTAAATGAGAGTTGAAAGGCTGAAATTGCTAACCTGGAGTACATATTTGTGCCTAGGATTTTCCTCCTTGGGGGAATTTTCTCATGCCCCAAGAGGACACCATTTATCAATTTTGTTTAAGTAATCGTGTGCTTAATGCACCACTTCCTTTCTTATGCCTCCTCATCAGCCTGGGCGTAGCTTTTCTCATACTGGACGTCCCAATACCTCAGACCAGCTCTACCTTTCTTGATGTCTTTTATTGCAACCCCCGGGCTTTTTACTTCTGCTCCTTCAGGGTAACTACTTGGAAACTACCAATGCCCACTCCACCTACTTGTCTCACTTCTCTGTACCCCTTGGTACCAAAACATTTCATATATGTTCTGTACTTGCTGTTTCATTTCTGCTCCTCCCTATCTCTCTAAATCTCATTCACATCTGGCTTTCACCCCTACCACACTACCAAAACTATCTTTGTCGAGATCACCAGTGATTTCCATATTATTAAACCCATTGGCCTATTTTAAGTCCTCAGGTTCTACGACCTAGAGTCAGCACTTGACAGGTTGACCAACCCCTCCTCCTTGGAATCTTTTGGCTTCCAGGAAAACACGTTCTCTTGGTTTTCCTCCTATTTTTCTGGTAGATGCTGCTAAGTTTCCTTTGCCTGTTCCTCCTCATCTCCAGGGCTCACAACTTGAATTGTTTCTTTACTCTCCATGTTGTTAGGTTCACATGCAGTCTCATGGCTATATGTGATCAGCACACTGAAACTTCTAAAATTTAACTCTGCTCTGAACAGCTTCCCTGGTACCCAGACTTGAATATCCAACTGTGATAGCTCCACTTGGATGTCTAAAAGGAATCTCCAACTTACGTGAGATAAACTCTGGATCTTCTCCCCATGTCAGTTAGTAGCTACTCTATCTTTCTAGTTGCTTATGCCAAAAACCTTCAAGCTATCCTTGACTCTCCTTGGCCAGGCTTACAGCAAATACTACTAACTCCACCTTCAGAATCTACCCTCAGTCTTACCACCTTTACTCATATCATGACCACTCTGGTCTAAGCCAACATCACCTCTCCCAGGAGGCAATAGCCTTCCATGCTTCCATCCTCACCTTGCTCCTAAAGCTTGTTCTCAGTAAGCAGCCAGAGTGTAACAGAGAGATGTCAAAACATAAGTCACATCGTGTCACCCCTCAGCTCTCCATGTCACTCAAAGTAAAAGCCAAAGTCAGAGCAGAGGCTGTCAGGCCCTAGAGGAGCCCATCTCCTATTTACGCACTGACCTTGATTTTCCTCCTATTCTTCTCCTCACTCACTCTGCTCTAGCCAAACTAGCTTCCTTGCTCTTCTCCAGACATGCCTGCCTGGATCCTTTATACTTGCTGTTCCCTCTACTTGGACTGCTCTTCCCCTAGATATCTACAAAGTTGTCCCCCTTGCCGAATTCAAATCTTTTCTCAAATGGCACCTTCTTTGACAGGTCATTCTTTTGGTAAGGTACTCTTTGACTGCCATATTCAAATTATAACTTCCCATCCTGGCCTGCAACTTCCCTTCTCCTTTCCTTGCTTTATGTTTTTCCGTTTAAAACTTCTGTATAATTTACCCACTTATCTTGTTTATTCCACAAGGATGTCATGTTTGTCCCTTTTTTTCGCTGATGTGTTTTTGCACCGAAAGAAGTGACTATTGCATAGTTAAAACTTAATAAATATGTGTTGATTGATTGATTGAATGAATAACTGAATGAATGGGTTTGGTGGAATGGGTCTCTGTAGTTAGACCTCTAGAGTTTGACTCATTCATATTCCTTCTATTTCTGCTCTGAATCATTCTGACAAATAGTAAATTTGTACACCAAACTTGTCTTTCTGTATGTACATGACAGCAGTGTCATTATCATCATGATGTTTTCTGGCACCTTTATATAGAAAAGTAGCATCCTGCTCAAGTGTAGTAACTGGTACAAAAGGCACTCTGGTTATGAACAACAAACTACTTTGATATTCAGCATATTAATATATTTTATAAATAGAATGGATTTTTATCTTTTCTGAAGGTCTTAGTAGCATGCAGGCTAGACTAGAGGAGAATCATAACAACCAAAATTGTACAGTACTTTAGAGTTCACTAAAGTCAAAGGTGGAAGACATTGCTATTATCATCTCTACATCTCATCTAGGAAACTCTGCGAGGTTCCTCAAGCACAGAGCTTGTCAATGCTGAAGCTAAAACAATAACTCAGACTCCAGAAACTATGTATGTTGCAGTACAAAATAACAAGCACCTCCTTAGATTGCGGCACACACACAAAAAGGAAGGTTCAGTAATCCAGAGAGCACCTTATATTTTCATCGTCAATTCACTATGTATTATTAATTTTAAAATTTTGTTCCTGGCATTAGTAATAGCAGATAAATTGGAAAGTGTAAGAATATGAAAAACAAAAAATAACCTGTAACTTCATCAGTAAAAGACAATAACCATTAACACTTCGATGAATTTCATCTTTTTTATCTTATCCTAGGATAAGTATATAAAGATAAGATCCTAAAATTAGAATCATGCTATGAGTCTACATGCTTATGGTGCATTTCACAAGAATCAAAAGATAGCTTACTGACTCATTCATCTAATATATCGGATGCCTGCTGTATGCCAGGTAGTTATCTAGGCACTGAGGTCGTATCAGTAAGCAAGGAAGACTCATTCCCTCCCACCTAGGAGCCTGTAAAATTGCGAGGTGAGACAGACAGCAGACAAAGAGATGAGAAATTGTGAAATAAGAGAGAAAAATAGCCCTTGAACACCTTATTGGAAAGAATGATGAGAGATGCTGTCAATCCCTAAAGGCTGAGAAGAAGCCAGCTGTGGGCATTGCCAGAAGCACTGTACTGCTGATGGACGGAACAGCACTTACACGCTTTCTTCTACAGAAATGACTTCTGGGTTTGGGGTTTAGAAAGGTTTGTGTGGCCCTGGGGTGGCTCATGAGAGGCAAGGGAGGCACAGTATGGTGCAGAGATTTGACTTCATCTCTCAAATTATTAAGTCCTTGAAGTCTTTTAAGAATAGGAGTGACACACCCTGATTCATATTTGAAAACCTGCATTCTGGCCAACATGTGAGCACTTGACTGTGGGAGGCAGAAGTGAAGTGAGAACGCCTGTGAAGGTTGGTGGCCAGGCAGATGGAGAGAAGTGCACACATTGGAGAACTATTTCACAGGTAGAAAGGACAGGGCTTGCTAAAGGTTTGGATGTGGGGGGTGAGAGTGAGAAAAACGAGGGACTCCAATATGATCCCACATTTCTGCATGAGCAGCTGGGTGCCTCGGAGGACTGGTGGTGCCAGTTACTGGGCTGGGGAAGCCTAGGAGCAGAACGTGTTGGCAGAGAACGAGTGTGTGAGCAGGTGTGAGAGGACTCAGAGTTTAATATAAAATATGTTGCTTTTGAAATATCTGGGAGAAATCCAGGTGGAGATGTCAGAGAGATAGTTGGATGGCAGCAGCTGAAAATCAAAGTAGAAACAGAGGAAACTGACATTTCTTGAGCTTCTGGTGTTCTAGATGCTGCTCTGATGTTGTTTAATACCTCCATGAAGCTTCGGAGCTAGTGTACCTGTTTAATAGACAAAGGCACTGCAAATCTGAGTGGTTGACATGACTTGTACTATTAATAAATGGTAATAATAGAAGTGCCAGAGCCAAAACCTGAATCCCAGTTTGCCTGGCTTCAAAATTAATTCTTGGTTCCCACCAAGACTGACAATTGTTCTCATTTGATTAACATTTAACTGAGCTAGAATTGGCAATATGGAAATTCAACCAAACACCTCTTAGGAGTGTTTTTAAAATGTAACAAAATATTCATTTGGTACAGTAAATTATAAAATGCCTCCTATGGATGTTTCAGAACCAGATTTGTCCTCTGTCTCACCATTGCATTTCCCAGTCTATTAAAAGTATCCAATACCTTGCTGCAATAGGTCAAGTACCAACTTTTTCATGGAGCCAATTTTAAAATAAACATTTTACTATAGAATAGTTTTAGATTTTTGGAAATGTTGCACAGTTATTATAGATAGTTTCCATATACCTCACACTGAGATTCCCCTGTGATTAGCATCTTCCAATACTGTGGTACATTTGTCACAACTAAGGAACCAGTGTTGTTTTATTGCTGTTAACCAAATCCTAAATGTTTTTCTGATTTCATTTCTCTTTCCCTAATTTTTTTTCTGGTCTGGAATCACATCCTGGATCCAGCATTACATTTACACATCATGTCTCCCTAGGCTCCCCTTGGCTAGGACAGATTCTCCGATTTTCATTGATATTCATGACCTTAACGATTTGGGAAAATATTAGTCAGGTATTTTCTCGAATGTCTGAAATTGGGATTTGTCTGATGTTTTCATCATGACTAGGTTGGTGTTACGGGTTCTTGGGAGGAAGGCCACAGAAGCGAAGTGCCCTTCTAATCACATCAAAGGTACCTGCTATCAATACGACTCATCATAGATGATGTCAAGCTTCATCACTTAGCTGAGGCAGTGTTTCCTAGGCTTCTCCACTCTAATGTTACTACTTCCACCCTCCCATGGAACATATTTCCATTGTCTTTGATTTCCTTTATATGCTTCTAGAGCTGCCCTGCTATACCTACACAGGTATTAGCTCTAATAATTAATAGAATACTGAGAATTTGCCAACCAGACATTGGGCTAAGTAATCACCTTGAAATAGCTCCATATGTAGTATACATATTTCCATTTTATAGGTGGGGAAAACCCCACCCATGTTAAGAGAGGTTCTATAATCTGCCCACAGTTACACAGCTTTTGACTCCAGGCTCCATGATCTCATTGCAGGAGTGGTGCTGACCCCTCCCTTTGCCTCCTGCATTGATCTTAGCAGAGCTCAAGATACAGTAGAAAGGCCAAGCTGAAGGTCCTGAAGACTTTACCATCCTCTTGCTGAGAATTTTTCACTGTATTTGGGGGGAATTCTTTAGCCTTCAGCATTCTGTTCTTTTCCTTTTACCATTGATTGTTCATTACCACATTGCTAGACACTAAGAAAAAGTAAATTCATGGGCAAGATGATGCTTTTGTAGGTTACTGTTCTTAGAAGTTGTCTTTCAATTTCATCTACTTGGATTCTAATGAAGATGATTTTTGAAGACCCATAATGATTGTTGCATATCCATTTAAATTCCAAATAATCAGTACCCTCACCCAAAATCTATCGGGCTGGAGTGCAGTGGCACAATCTCAGCTCACTGCAACCTCCGCCTCCCAGGTTCAAGCAATTCTGCTCCCTCAGCCTCCTGAGTAGCTGGGATTACAGGCACCCACCACCACGCCCGACTAATTTTTTGTATTTTTACTAGAGACGGGGTTTCACTAAGTTGGCCAGGCTGGCTGGTCTTGAATGCCTGACCCCGTGAACCACCCACCTCAGCCTCCCAAAGTGCTGGGATTACAGGCGTGAGCCACCACGCATGGCCTGTCTGTGGAGTTTTGACTGTGCCACTGACATGCTGTTGGTTCTAGCTGTATCTATATATTTCAGATTCCGGGACCCAGTTGAGTATGTCTGAATGAAAAGGCTAATACTGTCCATATCAAAAGCTGTTTCATCTGCAGTAGTACATAAACCTGCTTCCCTTTCCTGTGATGATGATGGAAAATGTGTGTTTGTACTTTTCATCAAAGTTGGGGGAAAATTCCATTCAGCTGTTATTTTTAGGTTGTTAAAAGAGATAAGCTGCAAGGCTATTAAATTCAGTATCTATTGATACAATCATGATTAGATCTATTAAGCTAATTTATTTCAGAAGCACAGGAATTAAATCTTAGCTATATTTTCAGCGAAGAAAAATACACATCCCATTATTATATATACTTTTGGAAAATGCAAATGCAGTGCAATGCAAACAATTGATATTGTTTACATTCCAGTGCTATTCAGTTTCCCAAAATGTAATAAATGTCTTATCTTAAAGAAATACAAAGGATCTGGTTCAGGAAACTTCCAGATTTATGTGCACCTACAATTACTGAATCACATGTTGCTAAAATTTTCATATTTTATATCAATGTAAGGGGCAGAATCTTTACACAGATAACATTTTTCCAGAGCCTGACTATTGCCCTATACATTTTTAAGCTGCCCAATAAATATTTAGTAACATTTTTTGTGTCTCCAAGTGAAAATAGATCCAGACAATAAACAAACATCACTAATGTACTTCTTTAATTCTTCTTTAATCTTAAACTCTACAGATTTCCAAGAGATCATGTGTCAGAAGCTGTGTCCCACATGGCAGACCATGAGCTCTCCAATGTGGGAGATGGGCCCACCTGGCTGCTTAAGTCCCTGGAATGACCACTGTGTGTCTTGTAGTTGGCACATCTGTTTACCAGCTCAGGAGGAAGAACATGACAGTGATGTTTACAGATACACAGGGGCACTGTGTACAGAATGAATCAATTCACTCTGTGTTGGCCCTTATAGATGTATTTCCATCTATATTTTTTGTTCTTATTTTCTCACTGTTCTCATATTCCGTGCTCTCCTGTTTACCTTGTTGCTTTTGGCATTTTGAGAAGTGTTTTTGTCTTCTTTGTATAAATGTTGTGGATAAAGCACTTAGAGGATTTCAGAGAAAGCTCACTACTATACAAACCTAATAAATCTACAACGTCCTGTTATATAGAAAACCAATACTGACTGCCTCTGAGATACAAATACTTGATTTACTTCTTCTATGTTATATAAGTGAAACATTACTATTTAGAAAAACTTAAGTAGTCAACTGAATCTTTTTTTGTTGTGCTCTGATGCATTTGAAAAGATTCTGTAACCTCATTAAATTATCCCATCCCATTTTACATAATTCATCAGTACTTAATTGTACACTGTTTTCTTCCTTTGTCAGTATTTTTTAACAAACTCTGTATTTGATGCATCCTGTGGTTAAGACAAAACAAAATTAAATGCAATTGTTTCTCTAAAAATCATGATTATTCCTTGGTTCGTTCTTTGAACGTTTCGTGGACTAAGCCAGGCACACTAGGGCATATGGCAGAGGAGGCAGAATGCCATTGCTCACACTGCTTTGCCCTCTAGAGGCTGGAGGGAGGGGCTTCAATGACTTTCCCTGAAGAACCACTTTTTACCTGGGTTCTAGATATTTCTCTTAAGAAAGCCACTTTTTGTCCACAGTTCTGACTTAGATTCAGAGGTCTGGGAGATGTTGACTGTTGCCTTTCATGGAGTAACTGCCATTGTGTTTTTTTAAGAGAGCTTTAATGAATGAGTTTTAGGACTATGTGGAAATTTCTGTGAAATGGTTAAGATTCTCCTATATAGTTTTGAAACTGGGTCATAGAAATACAGAAGAAAAAGAATTAAAATTCTTTCATTACACTTACAGTGACTCCATCCATTGTTTGCAGTGAGTAAGTGACTCATCTGTAACTCAGTATTTTGGGAGGAGGAGGAGGAAATGCCAAGTTCGAATCACATCCCTTTGTGCAGGCAGCAGAGTTGTAGGGGAAGGAGCTGGGCTTGCAGGGTGAGAGGTTGGGGGTCATAACTGGGTGCCAGTCTGTGTACTGTAGCTGTTACTTAATCTCTCTGAATATGTTTCTTCATTTGTAAAATGAAGCTAGAATGGCGTCATTAGGAATGTTAGGTGAGATGAGTCAGCACTGGTTTGACATGTAATAGGCACCAAAAAAATGAGTTTTCTTTCCCATTTCTTCTCTAATATCATAGAAAGAGAGCACTGAAAGGAACCAAATGACATAACTTTTTTTCTTTAAGTTGTGAATTGACGATTTATGTTTGTATACATTTATGGGATACAAAGTGATGTTATGATTTATGAATCTAATGTGGAATAATTAAATCAAGCTAGTTAATATAGCCACCACCTCAGATAGTTAACTTTTTTGTAATTGTAACATTTGAAATTTACTCTCCTAGCACTTTTGAAATGCACAATATACGCATACCTCAGAGATATTGCAGGTTCTGTTCCAGACCATTGCAACAAAGTTAATATCACAATAAAGTGAGTCACACAATTTTGTGGTTTCCCAGTGCATATAAAAGTTATGTTTACACTATACTGTAATCTATTAAGTTTATAATAGCATTATGTCTATAAAAATGAATATACCTTAATTTTAAAGTATTGCTAAAAATGCTAATGATTATCTGAGGCTTCAGTGAGTCTTAATCTTTTTGCTAGTGGAGGGTCTTGCCTTGATGTTTATGGCTGCTGACTGATCAGGGTGGTGAAGGGTAGGGTAGCTGTAATAATACCTTAAGACAACAATGCAATTTGTCACATCAGTTTACTCTCCCTTTTACAAAAGATTTCTCTGTAGCATGTGATGCTGTTTGATGGCATTTTACCCAAAACAGAACTTCTTTCAAAACTGGAGTCAGTCCTCTCAAACCCTGCTGCTGCTTTATGAACTAAATTTATGGAAATATTTTAAGTAATTTGTTGCCATTTCAAGAGACTTCACAGCATCTTCACCAGGAGTAGATTCTGTTTCAAGAAACCCACTATCTGGCTGGGCACCATGGCTCACACCTATAATCTCAGCATTTTGGGAGGCCGAGGCAAGTGGATCACTTGAGGCCAGGAGTTTGAGACCAGCCTGGCCAACATAGTGAAATCTGGTCTCTACTGAAAATAGAAAAAAACAAAAAATTAGCTGGGCGTGGTGGTGCATGTCTGTAATCCTAGCTACTCGGGAGGCTGAGGCATGACAATTGCTTGAACCCAAGAGGCAGGGGTTGCAGTGAGCTGAGATCATGCCACCGCACTCCAGCCTGGGTGTCAGAGTAAGACTCTGTCTCAAAGAAAGAAGGAAAGAAGGAAAGAAGAAAGGAAGGAAGGAAGGAGGGAAAGAAAGAAGGAAAGAAGGAGAAACCACTATCAGTGTTTATCCATAAGAAGCAACTCTTTGTTCATTCAAGTTTTATTGTGAGAGCAGCAATTTAGCCACATATTCAGGCTCCATTTCTAATTCTAGTTCTCTTACTATTTTTACATCTTCAGTGACTTTCTCCACTGAAGTCTTGATGTTCTCAAAGTCATCCATTAGGGTTGGCATCAACTTCTTCCAAACTACTATTGTTGATATTTTGACTGCCTCCCATGAATCATAAATGTTCTCAATGGCATCTAGAAAGGTGACTCCTTTCCAGAAGGTTTTCCACTTACTGTACCCAGATCCATTGAGAAATTATAATCTATGGCAGTTTTAGCCTGACAAAATGCATCTCTTAAATAATAAGATGTGAAAGTCAAAACTAATCCTTAATCCGTGGGCTACAGAATGGATGTTGTATTAGCAGGCATGGAAACAACTCTTATCTCCTTACATCTCTATCAGAACTCTTGGGTGACTAGGTGCATTGTTAATGAACAGTAATGTTTTAAAATGAATCTTTTTTTTTTTTTCTAAGCAGCAAGTATTAACAGTGGGCTTTGTATATTTAGTAAACCATGCTATAAATAGATGAGCTGTCATCCAGGCTTTGTTGTTCCATTTATAGAGCACAGGCAGAGTAGTTTTAACATAATTCTTAGGGGCCCTAGAATTTTCAGGATGGGAAATGAGCATTTTCTTCAACTTAAAGCTACCACTCTATTAACCCATAACAAGAGAGTTAGACTGTCCTTCGAAGCAAAGAACTGACTTCTCCTATCTGCTACTGAAAGGCCTAGATGGCATCTTCTTTCAGTATAAGATATCATTGAATATAAGATGCCATTGAATATAAGATATCAAAGTACTCCAGAGGGAGTACTCCCTAACATATCTTATACGGCTGTTTCATCTACGTTGAAAATCTGTTGTCTAGTGCAGCCTCCTTCATCAGTGATCTTAGTTAGATCTTCTGGATAACTTGCTGCAGCCCTGTATCAGCATCTGCTGCTTTACCTTGCATTTTTCTGTTATAGAGGCAGCTTCTTTCCTTAAACCTCATGAACCAACCTCTGCTACCTTCAAATTTCTCTTCTGCAGCTTCCTCACTTCTGTCAACATTCACAGAATTGAAGAGAGTTAGGGCCTTGCTCTGGATTAGGCTTTGACTTAAGAGAATATTGTGGCTGGTTTGATCTTCTCTCCAGACCACTAAAACTTTCCATATCGTCATTATGGCTGTTTCTTATTCCTGTGTTCACTGGAGTAGCATTTTTAATTTCCTTCAAGAACTTTTCCTTTGCATTTGACTAACTACTGAGTACAAGAAGCCTAGTTTTCTGTCTATTTTGGTGTTTGACATGTCTTCCTCACTAAGGTACATTTCTAGGTTTTGATTTCAAGTGAAAGATAAATGCCTTTTCCTTTCACTTGAACACTTAGAAGCCATTATAGGGTCATTAATTGGCCTAATTTCAACGTTCAATTATTCTTCCTCCCTTTCTTTGCTGTTGCCTCTGTAGAACCCTTTCTGGCTTCTCTTAATTTCACCTACCTGTATTCTTGATCACACTTTCTTAAGCTTCCTAGTCTTGCTCCATCAATGATATCTTGTCCAGGTTATCATTTATCTTGCCTTTTGCAGTAGAGCCTTCCTTTCAGGCTATTAATATTCCCTTCTCAAGCTCTGAGTAGACTAAAACAGCCAAAATGTGTTTCTTCTCTCTTTAAAAAAAAAATTTGTATTGCACATGTTTAACATATATAACATGATGTTATAAGACATATATAAACAAAATGACAAACCTTAGCTAGTCTAAACAAAAAGGAAAAGGCTCAAATGAAATCAAAAATGAAAGTGAAGAAGTTACAACAGATGCCTTAGAAATAAAAAAGGATCATAAGGGATTATTATGAGCAGTTATATACCAAAAAATGGGATAACCTAGAAGAAATGGATAACTTCTTAGAAAAATACAACATACAAAGATAGAATCAGGAAGAAATAGAAATCCTGAACAGATCAATAACATATAAAGAAATTGAAAAAGCAACAAAAACCCTTACAGCAACAAAAAACCTCATGCCTTCATAGTTGAATTTTACCAAATATTCTAAGAAAAATTAATACCAATACTTATGAAACTCTTCCAAATTACTCGAGGGGGAGTACTTCCTAACACATCTTATAAGGCCACCATCACCTTGATACCTAAGCCAGACAAAGACATCACAAGAAAAGAAAACTATAAGCCAATTCTCTGATGAACATTAATGTAAAAATCCTCTATAAAATATTAGCAAACTAAAGTCAACAACACATCAAAAAGATTTCATATCATGAACAAATGGGATTCATCCCTGACATGCAAGGCTGGTTTAACATATGCAAATCAATCAATGTAATATATCATGTTAACTGAATGAGAGATTAAAAACCACATGATTGTCTCACTTGATGCAGAAAAAGCATTCAACAAAGTCAAAAATCCTTTCTTAATAAAAACTCTTAACATTTTAGGTAAATACGGAAAATTCCTCAACATAATAAAGGCCATTTGGAAAAACTCACCGCTAACATTAGAATCAATGGGGAAAAACTGAAAGCTTTTTCATTAAGATCCAGTATGAAGCCAGGTTGTCTACTCTCTTTAATTCTATTCAACATAGTGTTAGAACTATTAGCAAGAACCATGTGACAAGGAAAAGAAATAAAAGGCATTCAAGTAAGAAAGGAAGAAATACAATTATCTCTATTTGAAGGTGGTATGATCTATTACATGTTAAAAAAACTCAAAGATACCACAAATAAGCTTTTAAATAAATTGATGCACTAAAGTTGTAGGATATGAAATCAACATATAAAAATCAGTATCATTTTTATACACAAATCACAACCTAATTGAAAAAATTGATAAAACAATCCCATTTATGATAGTTTTTTAAAAAATTAGGAATAAATTTAACCAAGGAGGTGAACAATCTCTACACTGAAACTATAACATTGATGAAAGCAATTAAAGAAAATATAAATTAATGGATTGATATCTCATGTTCATAGATTGAAGTAATTATTGCTGTTAAAACACCCATACTACCCAAATCAATATACAGATTCAATGCAACATCTATCAAAATCCTAATGGCATTTTTACAAAAATAAGACAGTCCTAAAATTCATATGGAACCATAAAAGACCCTGAATAGCCAAAATGTTTCTGAGAGAAAAATTAAGACATTACACTTTCTGATTTAAAATTATATTACAAAGCTGTAGTAATCAAAACAGTACGGTACTGGCATTAAAACAGACACATAGACCAGTGGAACACAATAGAGTCCAGAAATAAGTTCATACTTATATGGTCAACTAATTTTTGACAAGGGAACCAAGAGGATACAATGGTGAAAGAAGAGTCTCTTCAATAAATGGTGCTGGAAAATGGTTGCCACATTCCTTCTCTCTTGTAATTCTTCCAAAATATTACTCCTTCTTCTCTTGCCCTTTCTTATGCTCATTGATAGATGCTTAACAATCAGCTCACTCCATTACAGATGTGCTTCTATCCCCACCATCTCTAACCCTGAAGACTCTCAAAAATTACCAGTGATGCCTCGAGGAACAAATCCGATTATGTTTTATCAGCTCTCCTCACACTGACCTTTGAAATAACGAATGTCTTTCTTTGTAAAACTCTTTCCTCCCTCAGCCTCTCTGGTACTCTGCTTGCTTTGTTTTTGCTGGACCTCTATAATCATATGTTCATCCTGCCTTTCCCTCATCCTGCCACACAAATGTAGACTTGCCCCAAAACTGTTTCCTTAAGCCTTCCTGCTCTTTCTCTAAGCATAAACTCACATCTTCAACTATGACATCTTGGTAAACATTTTTCCAGTCAAGACTTTCAGTCCCATCTTCTGTCCACAGACCCAGGCATGCATACCCCAAGGCTTCCTGATATTTTCTTCCTAAATTATCCACTGCTGCTTCATAGCCTGAAATTGAACCCATCTTCCCAGGGAAGACGAGACTCTTCCTGAGCTTCTCTGCTTGTACCAGTGGCACCAACTTAGTCAAGTGGTCACGAATGCTTAGTCAAGTGGTCATGAATGCTTAGTGCAGTCATATGCTCTTCTTCAATGAGATGTCAAAGGTATGCATCCAACCTCTGATATGATTTTGCATTTTTCCTTTTTTTACCAACTGCTACTACCCCAGATAAGGGCTTGAACACTTTTGCTAAATGAAATAGAGAGAAATGATTTTGTGTGTGTGTGTGTGTGTGTGTACGTGTGTGTGTGTGTGTGGCCAATTCATAGCTGCCTACAACACTGTGTTGAGAAGAAATCAGATGTTGCATTTGGGAAAGGGTGCATTATCACCTGGCAATGTTTGCCAAGAGTGTGGAAGAGAGAATGGCAGCCTGTCTGGCACAGACTCTCTCAAGAGTTTTCTAATTGATCTGCTCACTTCTGACCTCTCCCTCATTTCTCTTCATGTATAAAACATTATAGATTATTCTTCTGAAAGCACAGTTCTGATGGCTCAAAATTGTCTACTACATTAAGGTATACATCCAACCTCTGATATGATACATCCTAGCCCAGAATCCAGAATTTTCACATTTTTCATCCCACACCCCATGTACTTCTCCAGTCTTTGGCTCCTCTGCTGCAGCCAAACTCAACTACTCTCTCCTTCCCAAACATTCTTGTCCTTGCTTCCTCCTCTTTACCCAAAATATATGATCCCTCACTCTTCCCCTTCACCCTTCAAGCATGAACTCATTTATTGCTTCCTTCTCGGGACTTTCTCCAATTTCTCCTACCTACTGGGCATTTTCTCATTTCTGAATCCCTTTGGTACATTCCAATTTTCTGATACAAATAAGCAGTGGTGTCAAATAGGATGCTGTGCACAAACTAGGTCACCCAAGTGTCTTGTCTGCTTACTCCTAATGAGTCATGCTCTCCCTCTCTCCTCTCTTATGGTTTAGATCTCTTGTCATTCCCCTTCCACCCTACTGTAACCTCATTATGGGCAGGAACTACATATACTCTATATCCTACCATGCTTCCTCGTAGTCGCTGGAGCATCTCCCATAGATTATTGTTTGATGGCATTGGATTGAACTGTCCCAAACAACTACTAAAAAGTAATGCTGTGTATTACTTTTTATTTGCATTTTATTTGAAGTGTCTGAAATGGAGTTTGTATCTGACGAAGACCATCAAGGTGGGAGTAACAAGTTAAGGTCTGTTGAGCTGTTACATGGCAGGTGTTAGATCAGGGAATTCCTACCTCATTATATCAGGGATGCAAACAAAGATGAAATCCAAAACATTACTAAGAGAGTCTACAGCAGCGCTGTCCAATGGAAATATAATGCAAGCCACATATGTAATCTAAAATTTTCTAATAGATGCATTTAAAAGAAAAGAAATAGGTCAAATGAGTAATTTAAAATATTGTTTTGACGTTCAATCAATATTTAAAAATTATAAATGGGATAGCTTATATTCCTATTGTGATAGTAAATCTTAGGAATTCCTATATTTTTCACTTACAGCATACGTCAGTTTGGACTAGTCGTATTTCAAGTGCTCCATAGCTACTCGGGGTTTGTGACTGCCTTACTGGGCATTGCAGGTCTAGAGTATCACCCAAGCAAAGGCACTTTAGGCTAATACAAAAACTGGAGTTGAAAATTGGAATTATGGGGTTGAGAAAAAATGGGTCAGGATATAACTGGGTAGTCCTTAGGTGTCCCAGTTGAGAAGTCAGGATTGGAGAAGAGAGTAGGTGGCATCCACCAGCCCTCCATTGAGTTCCCAGGACCTAGATTAGTGTCTAGTGGAAAATAAGAACACAGTCCCTCCTTTTTTTTTTTTCAATGAAAGAGTAAAATTAACAAAAAGCAAAGGAATCTGGTCTAAATTTTCTACTCAGAATGATGCATCTTGAGTAGCAACACAATTTACCACTCTGAGTTTTTAAACTTTAAATCAAGTTTCTGCATGCAAAATTTCATTTTTTGGTTGTCCTTTGCAATCAATTAGCCGCCACCTTAGAAACTAAAGTATCACCATTTTATTTTTTGTGGTCTGAATTGAAATCTTCAAGTCTTTTTAGACAAATTAGCAGAGACTACTGTTGCAAAAAGAATGGCGAATTGTTGCTATTACCATAAATTCAAAGTTATTTCATCCTATGTCCCTCTACCGGCTGCTGTGGGTAAATTACAGACACAGATTAGACACAGATTCTGCCCTTGGGGAAACTATAAACAATCAAGACTTTTATTTTTTAATAACCGTGTCATCCTCGAGCCATCTGGTGTATATTTAGAGTAATGTAATTTCTTCTCTTGCTTGGTGATACTGATATTGTACAGCAAATATATTGCATTTAGAAGAATAATTGGGTTAATTTCTGCATGTAATCCAACAGTGATTTAATCTTTCATTCTCTGTGAACCACAATAAATTCTGAATTAGTTCCAGTTTTAGAAAAGTCATAGAAAAGGGGGTATACTGAAAGGCCAATGTGTATTACCATTTGGAAACACAAGATGATTTTTAAAATATGTTCATCTATTAGGCTGGTCTAAGGGTACTTAAAGAAGAGAAAGATAAAAACATCAGATACAAGAAAAGTGGTATCTAAGCAAGGATAATAATAATAGTTATTATTTGTTGAGTATTTACCTATGTCAGGCAGGAAGTGCCAAAAAGACTTTACCTATATTTTCTTATTTAATTTTTATAACAGTGCTCTAAAGTATCTGCTATTTCACCCTTTTTAAAGATTAGATAAATGATTCAGAAAAATTAAATTACTCACCAGAAATTTCATAGTTGCAAAGTGACATATCTGAGATAATACTCTTCCATATGTTTTAATATGTGAATTGTAGCAGGAACATACACATACACACATGCACATATGCACATACATACATAACCACGGCACCACTATCAGTAACAACCACATCAAAATTAAACAAATACCTTCAGAAAGAATGGGCATTTCAGTAGGCCCAATGTAATAAATATATGGTGTGGAGAGGAGATTTTCTGACTGATAAATGCAAGACAATGTATTTATTACTGTTTCTAAAGCTCAATTCAGGAACTCCTAACCTCGGGTTTGACTGGGCTTCAGAAAAGTTCATGCAGTCATACATTTTCTACAGAATCTAGTTATGCATGTGTTTTTTTGGGTATTGGGGTCAATAGATTTTATTAGATTTAGATTCTCAAAGAGATACATGACAAAAGGGTTAAGAACAGTCACATTAATAAATATAACAATGGAGTGTTAGAGGCATGAGATGTATAGCATTTTATTCACAAATAATAAAACACAATATTATCCCATGTCCTAATATTAATAGTAACAGTAATAGCAAATATAGCATTTATAGCTAATGTAGTCATCCATTTATGACACTAATAAAATTATCAGGGTGCCCTAATGAGTAACAAGATATAGTAGATATCATAATAACTTATATTTTGAAGAAAGAATAAAACATCATTTATCTCTTTATTCATCTATTTTCATCAATAATTTTCATTCATTTGTTTAACAAATACATATTCAGAGCTAATGTTCCAGGTGTAAAGTTCTCTCTCTTGTGGAGTTTACCTTGAAGGGGGTACTGAGAAAAGAAATAAATACATATCAAATACTAAGTTGGTGGGAAGTGCTAAAATGAAAATTGAATGAGTGAAGTTCAGGGAACAATGGGAAATGATGGTTGTATTTTATTTTATTTTATTGATTGATTGAATGCTGGTCTTAATCTGGTGGTCCGAGAAGGTCTTTCTGATAAGGTGACATGTAGGCAGAGGCCTGAAGAAAGTGTGTGAAGAAGCCCTGTGGCTACAAAGCAGAGGCTTCAAGGAGGCCTGTGTGGCTAGACAGAGGGAGAGGCAGAAGAAGGAAAGGAGGGAGGGAGGAAGGGAAGGAATACCAGTTGTAGACAAAAGATTAAACAAGTGTATGTGGAAAGGGCAGCTTCTAGGAGGCCTTGCATGCCTGGTATATATATGTATATATATGGATTGGATACTAAGGTAGGAAGCTGATGGAGTGCTTTGTGCAGAAGATGGCTTGATCTGTCAGCCTAGGTGGTCATTTTATTTTCCTTTTCCACGGACTGGGGAAGACATTCCAAAGTTGCTTTCCTTATCTGTGGTTCATTCAAAAGGTTTCTCATTTGTGTACTGGCTGGGTGTATTTTAGTTACCAGGAAACCTATCCCTTATTTAAGCCTCAGCTTAATTGAATGTAAAATTTAAGGGATGCAGCTTTGAACATTGCTAGATGCCATAATTTCAATATTTCCAAAAGGAGTAAACCTGAGCATTCACGTTGCTCATTCTGTATGGCAGTGCAACATGAAAGCTATAATTGCAATAGCTGGAAGAGAGGAGGCTCACGTGTACCCCATCC
This sequence comes from Homo sapiens, assembly GCF_000001405.40. Lineage (NCBI taxonomy): Eukaryota > Metazoa > Chordata > Mammalia > Primates > Hominidae > Homo > Homo sapiens. Next base: position 18,248,283 of record NC_000009.12, read on the forward strand.
TTCCTTTCTGAAAACGGCATCAGACAGGGTCAAAGATGCTGGACTGTGGATTACGCGGTATGTAAAAAGCTTGGCTTCCCATATTTGCTATTCCAGACTGCTGCACTGGGACAAGAAAAGCCAAGGTGTATTCAGCCAGTTCAGGAGCCCATCCAGGGGCTAATTTCCAAAACACTGTTCTATGTTATTTGAGAAATACTAAGTCTGAACATTAACCAGTAGGTTGAGTACTAGACAGTGGTGCCCTGTAGTGTAAAAAAAAGAAATTTGTGGCAGTTAAACTCTTCAACCAAAGCAATGGAAAGAAAATAAAGCAGTAGCATATAAAAATCACAATCAGAAGGTTTCAGAGCCTCTCCAGGACTAGGATTCTTCCACGTGCCGTTCATTCAGTTCCTGGACTGCGGCAAACGCATCGTCCATTGCGGGGGGCCATAACCCTTTTTTGGTCTGTGTGCCTTGTCACTACAAAGAGATTCCAATTCCGATTCACTCTCTGACTGTCTCTCCCTCAATCTCTCTCTCTCACTGAAAACAAGATAGGATTAGGCAAGAATGTATTGTGTGTATTATATTTTTTCTTACATAGTTGAATAAATCTCAGCTTTTGAGTTGAGCAAAGAAAACAAAGTACTATGTGACATAGTAAGGAAAAGTTGTGAATGTAGCACCGTTCTGTACCCTGTACACAGTCTGAAAATCCATTTGAGTTTTTGGATAGATTTGCATATGGATTGAGCGACGATAGACTGATGAGAGGATTCTTGGATGTTGTGAGGAAAGAGCTCTAGATCCCCTGGAGGCATCCGTGATGCGAGAGAACCTTGCTTGGCCACCCCTCACTTTCAGACACGAAACAAGGAAGCCATGTAAGCAGTTGTTTCGTTAATCCCAAATAAGGAATAGCAAGTTGTCAGTAAAAAATAGAAATGATGGAGTATAGGTAGGATATTATAAAAATATTCCCATTTGCTCAAATCATAAATGCACATTCTAGACGTGTCAAGTGGAAATTAACAGCATATAAATGCATTTTTAATGGTTTGAGTCTCAGCTTATTACCTAAGTCTATAGAAAGTTATCACTTCTGTCAATAAGAGTCTTTTGAATTTGATACAAAATACTTCAAACCTACAGAGAGGGACATTACATATAGAGACATTAACATAGAGACATCAATATAGAGAGGGACGTTGCAAACACCAGTATACTCATCCCCAGATATAACAAATCTTACTATTTACCATATTTGCGTTAGGTTCTTTTTTTAGTAGATCAAGACATCCAGAAAAAAAATTAGGCTACTTCAGCCTACTGTTATTGTTTCATGCTTAATTAGAAGATTTTATATTTCATGGAAATTCTTATGTGGCATTGCTAAGGCCCTGTGAATCAAGAGTAATCAACCATTACATTTCTTGAAAACCCTACGGATACATAGGTCTCAAGGCTCCTCATGTTACTCTCAACCAAAAGCTAAAACCAAAATGTGTGCCTCAGAAACTATTGAACTGAAATATTTTTTGGAAGGGAGAGTTCAGGGCAGAGAGGTTGGCCTGGACTGTTATTGACTAGGGTGTGATTCATGGACAGGGACAGGGTTCTCCGAGGGGCAATCTCTAATGTGTTTGGAATCCCTGAGGTATTCCCCAATGGAATCATGTACTATGAGACTCCTCAAAAATATATACTTATTACAAATAAAATAGCATGCTAATGCTTACCTGTAATAAATACTATCTAATTTCCTGCCCCTTTGTATGTAAGTGTGAATTAGTCTTGAAATAGAAAAGTGTTATCAGTGTAGTTTACATGAATTAAAGTTCTTGCTTGCTACTATCTGTTGATAAATTTTCTCATTCTATTTTAAGTACATTTGAACTCAGACACACAAGCCTGCCCTCCAGTCATTCTATACATTTTTTCAATGGGCATTTTAATTCCTCAGGGTTATCATTGAGATTGTCTGTAACTGGAAGATGACTAAGGGTCTGAGAAATGTCTGACAAATGTCCAGTATTTCATGTGTTCAAATCCAGTAACAAGATGTGTAGGGACAGGATTGAATGCCTGTTCCTGACTCCCTCTTTGGGAGAGATATCTGGAGGGGTACCAGTGAGGACTGTGGTTCTCTTGAGATCAATGGGGAATAAAGAAGTAGGGGATGTGGTTGCCCTGGTTCCTGGTGAGAACCTAAAGAATGGAAACAGAAGAAAAGAATGTCCTTTTTCAAGACAGAGCAAAGGCCCAGCTTTAGACACTACCTTCTGAGCCCTAGAAAACCTGGGAATCCCCTCCCCTCAAAGAGCATCCTCAGCTACGGAGTTGATCTCGGTGACCTGGGAACACCTGAATCAGTGCTGTGGATGGCTGGGGCCCTGGGAAGTGATGCCCATGGAAGTCAGAAGTGTTCTCATGCCTTGCTCGTGGAAGAGGGGGCTTCTTGTTCCTGGGAAGCTGGGGATACAGTGGCGGTTTTCCACACCCCGCTCCATGTTCGAGGCTCCTCATTCCTGAATGAATTCCTTGCAGATGGTAAGAGAAGAAATGACTCGTTTTCTACCACCAGCCCGTTTGCCACTGCTAAGGAATCTCTACCAACTTATGTGTGAGTGCTAAAGAAACGCAAAACTCTGGTCAGGAGAGAATAATGACAACTCACTAAAGAAAAATATGATCCTGATGGGGAGCCCATGTGACTGTCTTAGAGCAGCAGATCTCAATGAAGAAATAGAAGAGAATGTTAACAAAAAACAGAAACAGCACAGAACTGTCAGGAAGATGTAATTAGGGTACCAAAATTTAACTCTAAAACTAAAAAAAAGTATAATTAAAAATTAATAGGTAAATGGATTAGAAGAATCATTACTGTAAAAACTGAAAATGTGATGTAGAAAATTAAGAGGCAGAAGTTGAAGTTTACAGAAAACAGACTTGGAAGACATATCTAGAACACACAGCATGCACTCATAAGAGTTCTAGAACAAGAAATAATTGGAGATAAAAACAGGAAAAATAATTAATAACATATAAAATAGTTTTCTGAAGACGGTGTTGAGTTTCTAGACAAGAAAGTTTTATCGAGTCCTGAAAGAAGCATTTTGATGTTTCCGAGTGACTTTCTAAACTTCAAAAGGACAGTGAAAAAAACCTGACAATTTTCTAGATAGAAAGTACAAGTTATCAACAAAGGATGTACTTCTGAATGGCAGGAGAATATATGACAGTATTATAAATGCTTATCCTTTAAAGTTATTTTAATTAAATTCATTTTCTATTAGAGTATCAATTGGGTTTATGTATTCTTTGTTTGCAGGAAGGGACTGGATAAAATGATTTCAAGGCTCACATGGAAGAAAAAGGGTGTGACAAGACCCAAGAAAGTCCTGGGAAAAGAGTTGTGTGTGAAGCTTGCCTTACAAATTGTTATCAGTTGTTTCTATAACCCTACTACAAACCAAACAGGATAGAGCTGGCACGGGCACAGAGAAAGATATTGGTGCAACACAGTAAATATCCAGAAATAGTTTCAAATATATGTGAGAAATTAAAAATTGACAAGGATGGCATTTCAATTCAGTGGGAAAAATTTGGTTCAACTAAATAAAACTGGATAGCATTGCTGACATAATGACTATCCAACACAGGAAAAAGCAAGCTAAACACCAATCCATATTACAAAATGAATTCCAGATCAATTAAAGATATAAATATAAAATATGAAATTAAAGATATTTTAAAATTTCCTACCAAGACAGGAAACCAAGATACTAAAAGAAAAAAAATGAACCATGTAACTTTTTAAATTGGATGATATAGTATAAAAAGAAGAAAGAAAAATGAGCGGTTAGGAGAAAAGTTTAGGAGAAAAGTTGCAGTACATAGGAAAAATGAAGGGTTAGTATCCCTAATATTAAGAGTTTCTATAATTATTTTTTAAAGACATATAACTCAGTAGAAAAATAGGCAAATAATTCGAAAGTGGAATCCAAATGGCCTATAGACATGAACATGGCCTATAAATGTGCTCAACCTCATTTACTGGTTACAGAAGAAATGCAAATCAAACTCAAAATGAGATACAGTTGCCCCTTGTTATCCATTGGGGGTTGGTTCCAGGACCTCCCATGGATACCAAAATCCTTGAATGTTCAAGTCCCTGATATAAAATGGTATACTATTTGCATAAATCTACACATATCCCCCTGTATACTTTAAATCACCTCTAGATTACTTATATACCTAATACAATGTAAAGGCTATGTAAACAATTGTTATACTATTGTTTAAGAAATAATGACAGGAAGAAAAAAGTCTATACATGTTCAGTACAAATGCAATTTTTTTTCAAAATTTTCTATCCACGGTTGATTGAGTCCACGGATACAGAGCCCGCTGATAAGGGGGTGCTGACTGTATTTTAAAGCCCATCATACTAGCAAAACTTCAAGAGTAAAATTATCTATTCCTGGTAAGAATGTTAGGAAATGAGCATCTTAAATGTTGCTGGTTGGGTATTAGTTGTCACCATTTTTGAAAGTTATCTTGCTGTATCTAATAAAATTTACAAATACATATGCTTTGACTAAGCTATCTAACTTTGGAGAATCTCTGGAAAGCAAGCAGCAGGAGATAAACATATGTTACACTATGTTTATTACCTCATTATCTTCCAGTCCTTTAAACTGTAAAGAAAATAAATTTTCACCATTAGGAAAATATTTGAATTGATTGTGGCATGTCCATACTATGGAATACTGTGCCGCTATTTGAAAAGAATGTTACATTTATGTCTGTCCATTTGGAGAGGTTTCTATGATGTAGATGTCATGATGAGTGAGGAAACCAAGGTGTAGAACAATATGTATGGTACTATCTCATTTCTAAACCAAATAAAAAGCTGAAACCTTACCTATGTCTATATATGAGTGTATATGTCTGTATGGGTATACATAAAGTGGTAGAAGGATGAACATCGGATGTTAACATTGGTTACCTCAGGAAGGAGGGAATGAAAGGGACCCTGGGTGGATGGAGATGACTAATTTCTCCTTTATACATCTTTTGAAGATTTTCTTGGTAACAATGATCATATATTAGTTTAGTGCTAAAAAATAACAAGAAAGTAAAATAATTCTAACTAGTTGTCTAATTTTATCAAAGATAGTGTAAAAAACTAGGCCTATATTTCTTTTCTAAAAATAGAATGAAAACTTCCACTTTCCCCCATTACTATAGGAAGCGTCGCTGATTACTTCCTAAACCCCAAGAACAGAAGCAGCTTACAAAAAATTGTAAGTGACCTGGGTTGTATATCTCTCACTGCTCTGTGGGCAAAGTCAGGGGAAAATGCTTCTTTCTAGAAGTTGTCAAGCTTCCCTGTGGTCTGTCTGGTTGGTTCCTTGTTTCTAGCTGGAACTGCTTTTCAGGTCTTTCATTTTAATCCAATTTGATGCTTTAAAGAAATTCTAGCTAGTAGGAGCAGCCCCATAATTTCCGGAGATCTCCCCTTAAATAACAATTCCACTAGAATCTTAGCTTCACACACACTACTAAAGCTGTAGTTCTTAGGTAGTGGGACGAGGCAAGCACCAGCAGTGATAATGGCATGCTTTTTGATGAGTCTTTGATGATATACAACTTTTCAAGCACATTGCCATCTTCATTCCTTTGGCAACAAATTTACGTGCCAATTCACGTGCTGACCCATCTGTGTGCAACCTGCCACTGTAGACCAGATATCATCGTGTTTGGGAGGCAGCACCTCCTCGAGTGATTAAGAGCCTGAGCTCTGGAGTCAGACTCCCTAGATCTGAATTTTACCTGAGCCACCCTGTAAGCTGTGTGGTCTTAGACTCAATTTCCTCCCCTGTAGGATGGGAGAGCTAATCACGTCCACCTCACTGGTTTGCTATGAGATAAACTCTATAAAACTCTTAACAAGTAGTGTGTTAGTCATCATTATTATTTGAGGGCTAACATTTACGGACGGGTGGCCACGTTTTCTTTTCATAGTATCTTAAACAGCCTCACCTATGGAACTACCGTCAATACTCTTTTTGGTTTTTTTTTTTTTTTTTTTTTTTTTTTTTTTTTTTGAGATGGAATCTCGCTCTGTCCCCCAGGCTGGAGTACAGTGGCGCGATCTCAGCTCACTGCAAGCTCCACCTCCCGGGTTCACGCCGTTCTCCTGCCTCAGCCTCCCACGTAGCTGGGACTACAGGCTCCCGCCACCACGCCCGGCTAACTTTTTTGTATTTTTAGTAAAGACGGGGTTTCACCATGTTAGCCAGGATGGTCTCGATCTCCTGACTTCGTGATCCGCCCGCCTCGGCCTCCCAAAGTGCTGGGATTACAGGCGTGAGCCACCGCGCCTGCCCCCCCGCCCCCCCCAGTACTCTTAAATACACTTTGCAGTAAGGAGAAAGTGTGGGAAGAAGAGAATTGTGAGTGGAGCATTTTACAATCATTTTTAAAATTAAGAACAGTTGGTATGTATAAAGTTATTAGCTATGTGGCAAGAAGGGGAAAATTTTGTCGGCTTTGCTAATTTACTTTGTTAAACTTAAATCTGATACATAAGGAGCTAAATTTATGACATTATCTAGAGCAAGAATTAAATTGGTAATCTTCCCTTGTCTTAGCAATAGAAACCCAATTTTCCAAAGCCAGCTCACCTGCGTTTGATGATCTATAGGTTATATTTTTTCTGTATTTAAAGTGTGACCTTACTGGATTTGCAAATGATATTGCATTTATTTTCATTAAATGTTTGAGTGAAAGTTTCTATATCTGACTTGTCTTCATTTTTCCTCCTAATAAACTTGATATTGTTTGAAATCTTGTTTGGCATTATAATATTAACAAATTCCAGCTTTTGGTGTTTTAGTGTCCTGGCTGTCAAGGGATGAAAGCTGAAGGGTCCCGTGTATTTGCACATTCGTAGGCTGTAACTCCACACAGAAACCACTAGGGGGCGCTGCCGCATTCTTTACCTTGTAGCAGGCGTATAAGCGGCAGGCGTATGAGCGTTTGCTAGCATCTTTAAATCATGTGTGTATGCTCATACTTAGAAAAAAAAAAAGAATGAGGCTTTGATAGTAAAAACAGACGAAACTCTCAGCAGGTTTCACATGTCAGTACTTAATTTCTGCAGAGTCAGAAAGAAGGCTTTGTTTTTTAGGCTGTACTCCTGTGACCAGCTACTTATGTTAACTTCTAGAAAAGCTTTGAGCATTTCTGTGACTCCCCAGTGCATTTAGCATTTCCTATGTAATAAGAAATAGGCCTTTTACATTACAGGATATGTATGAATAAAGGTGTGAAATATGAACCAATCATAAATATAGTGGTTTCCTCTCTAAAGGAAATATCTATGTTTGCAAATCCAGAGACAGGTGAAAATGAGGACTTTGTCTTTTCATATGCTGTTATTAAATCTTATTTATTTGGATGCAATTCATCGTTCTGTCGAAATCCCACTCCTTGCCCACTCCCTCCCACCTCTCTGCCTCTTTCCCTGGTCTCCAGCTGGCCCTTGGTAAGCCTTTCCATCTACCCTCTTTGTCAGAAGACTCAGGGAGTCTTTCTGACTACATAACTGCGAAGCAGAGATTATAATCTGTTTCTAAATCTGATTGTGGTCTTGTTTCTCATATGCAACTGACTTTCGCCCCCATCAAAGAGCCCTGTTTTTGATTTTTCATGTCTGGATGACTACAACATTATCTTTGGCAATCTTCCTTGTTTCCTATTTGAAGATGCTCTTCCAACCGAAAAGCATAATTTCTCTCACTCTTATCATGAGATTCCATTTCTTAAAATGTGACATAATGCTTCTCTGAGCATAGTCTACAAGTCTACATTCTGCACCTTTAAATTGAAGGTCCCCTTCTTACTCAGCTTCCATGACATGAAATCTCATAAATGACCTTGAGGAGGGTTTTATTCATGCTGGATCAAAGGCAAAGGGCATCGTACAGGCTGGGACGTTTGTCTAAGCATGAGAAGTTTGACAAAGATGGAAGACGCTAGGCAGGCAATAGGTTGGTTGCAATAAGAAAGGGCAACTTAGACCCTTGAACTCCTGACAGGGTTTCCAGGAGTTCCTCAAAGGTAGGGTGTAGGTACAGGAAAGAATGCAAAGTACAGTCCAATGAACCCTGAGGTTGGAGGATATAGATGCTTAATGGAGCTTGCAAAAGTCATTGTGAACCTTCTCTGTCTAAAACACTATCCTAGATGTTAGATGATGTTTTGAAAAAGAAATGGGCATAGACATGAATAGAATATGGTTTCTGACATCAAAGGAGTTAACAGCCCATTGGGGAAGACCAAGGAGCCAGTGCTATAGTAGGAGAGGGACAGAGAGGCTTAAGAGCTAATTCTGGAACCTACTAGCCTCAGGAAGTTTTGCTTCTAGCCCAGGATTCATTATTTACATGTGAACCAGATGAGCCAGCGGTGTTGCCCAGCAACCATCGTAATATACAGCCCGGGTGCTCTGATAGTGACATCTCCCTGTCAGCACTGCCTGTTCCTTGGGAATGTTTTCTTTGATTCATTTTCCCAAGAAATTTCATTAAGCCATATTCAAAGTAAAAGAGTTTTAAACCCCCACTGACTTTTACCCCTCTTCTGTGCTTGTACTTTATCTGCCAGAGAAGTCCCAGAGACAGCTGTACCCCTGCCTCAAGCTTACACATTCCATGAGAGTGGTTTTTGTTCATTAAAAATAATTTCCTGATATCTTCAACTTATCTTAAATTCATCCAAAAAATAAGCTTGATTGATGTACAGGTAGAATGTTGGATAGATGATAGGTATGAAATAAGTCAAATATAATAAAATATCAATTACAAAAATTAGATGTCAGGTATGGTGATCATCACAACACAATTCTTTAAATTTTCATATTTGAAATTTTTCATAAAAATGTTTTTTAAAAACAAAAAGTTATTTTGTAATTTTCTAATTTATCAAGAGTATCTTGCTACAGAATGGAGGAGATCCAAAAAGATAATGTGAAAGGCAGAGAATTCAAAACAAAATCCAACTCAATTAAAAATTTGCAATGGACTTGAATAGACATTTTCTCTAAAGATATACAGATGTTCAATAAGCGCATGAAAAGATGCTCAACACCCCAGTTATTAGGAAAATGTACAATAACACAACAATGAAATATCACTTCACACTACAATAGTTATTATTCCAAAATAATAATAATAACAACAACAGAAAATAAAATGTGTGGGTGATGATATGGAGATATTGGAATCTTCGTGCATTGCTGTTGGGAGTGTAAAATAGTACAGCCCCTATGAAAAACAGTTGAGCAGCTTCTCAAAAAGTTAAGCACAGAATTACTTTATCATCCAGCTATATTCTCTTTCTAGATATATACCCCCAAAGAACCGAAAGCACACACCCATGTTTATAGTGCATTATTCACAATAGCTAAAAGGTGGAAACAACAGATGAGTAGATAAATGAGGCCTAGACATAAAATATTATTTGGTCATAAAAAGAAATGATTCTGATAGAGTTATAATGAATCTTACAAATATGCTAGGTAAAATAAGGACAAATACTATGTGATTCCAATTATAGAAGGCACCTAGAATAGGAAACTTCATAGAGACAGAAACGAGAATTGAGATCTTCAGAGCAGAAGGAAGGAGGGAAAAAGGAGTTATTGTTTCCTGGGTACAGAATTTCTGTTTGGGATGATGAAAAAGTTTTTGGAAATAGATCTTGGTGATAGCTGCACAACAATGTGAATGAACGTACGTAAAGCTGCTAAGTTGTACTCTTAAAAATAGGTAAAATGGCAAATTTTATGTTATGTGTATTTACAAGTAATAAAATAAAAACCAGGTTTTTTGCTAAATTGTACACTTAAAAATAGGCAAAATGGCAAATTTTATGTTGTATGTATTTACCAGTAATAAAAGAACAACCAGAGTTCCTTTCTCAAACAAGATGCGTACGCAAGAAAAAGATCAATGAAAAGGCAAGGTGATATGCTAGTATGCAAAATGAGGTAAACGAGGAATTATCTGAAATAAAAGAAAAAGAGTTGGAGATGACAGAACATTGGGAGAAAGAGGGTTCTGAGCCAGAAAGCCACATAGGAGAAAGGAGGATGGGGAATGCAGGGAGAGCCTCAGAGCCTGCCAGGGCCTCCTTGTAATTGCAGCTTTCTCTGCATTCTCTCTTCTTCCCTTAATCTGCCATCCTTGCCTCTTGCCATTCTGTTCCAAAGGGAGAGGTCTCACCTAGCAGAGACAATCACATTCCTGTGTGGCCTGGATCTCCACACCCACCGCCAGTGCCTTCTCCAGGACCCTCATGGCACCAGGATCCCCGCCCGCATCATCGATCTTTCCCTGGCTCCTGGAGTCTTCCAGTAGCGCTTCTGTGTGCTTACATTGCTCTCTCAAATGAACCAACAAAGCCTGCAAATTCTGCCTGGTCCCTCACACACCAGGTTGTCTCTCATCTTTCTCCTTGTCATAACCACGCATCTTCACTTACTGTCTACACATCCTTAATTTTATTCAGTCTTTATTATACTTTGGCTTCTCTCCTGATTATTGAATGAAATTGCTTCTGCGTAGGTCAGCAATGACCTTCATCTTACCAAGTCCAGTGAACATTCCTCAGTCCTTACCAGAATTGCCACGATCATTCAACGCACTTGACGACTCCCTTCTTGACATAGTCTCTGCCATTGGCTTCCAGTTAAGTGACTTTTCTTTGACTCTGAGTCTTCACTGTTGGCTTCTGTTTCCTGCATATTTCTCCTGGCTCCATATTATATCCTCTTTCCTTCTCTCTACATTCATTTCCTAGGCAATTTCTTATGCTCATGTGGGCTTAAAACACCATCCATGTGCTTACCAAAGTCATAGCTTCCAGCCCAAACTTTAGGAATGAAAGGCCCATATAGCCAACCACCTACTACCCATCTTAGTTAAATTCCTCATCTACGCTTTGGGAAGCTGAGGTGAGCGGACCACTTGAACCCAGGAGTTTAAGACCAGCCTGGGCGACACGGTGAAACCCGTCTCTACAAAAAGTACAAAAAATTAGCCAGGCATGGTGGCACATGCCTGTAGTCCCAGCTACTCAGGAGGCTGAGGTGAGCCCGGGAGGCAGAGGTTGCAGTAAGCTAATATCCTGCCACCACACTCCAGCCTGTATGACAGAATAACTCTGTCTCAAAAAAAAAAAAAAAATACATATATCCTTATGTAGCATCACAAGCTTAATGTGCTCAGGTAGTACAGCTTACAAGGCTCCCAGGGGACACAGCCCTCCTCTTTCTGCTCCCCTCTCCCCCCATCACACCTCCTTTGACTTGTTAGGTTTCCATCACTTTGACTTTTCTGAAAGTTTCCTAAATGTGCCAAACTCAAGTTTTCTTGGGAACTGGGGTCTAATAACGCCTAATGCGCTTGTAAGATGAAATAAGGTAATAGGTGACGTGCTTAGAGTAATAGGAAATGGTGCCATTGTGTTATTTTTATTCCTATTCATGCTGGTTTTCTTAGTTAAAAAAATAAAAAGGGAAAGAACAATTATATAAAGTTCACAATTATGGTTGTTTCCTAGTCACTGTGAGATCATGATCTTTCTTTGTAACTACTTACCATTTTTAACTCATTCAAGGAGTTGGAAATAATTTGCTGATACTACCCCTCTGGAAGACTTGGAAATTAGTTTTTATCTTATTTTAACATTGAGAAAACTGAGGCTGGCATTTAAACCGTCAAAGGCATCAGCCAGCTCAGGGCAAATCTTCACACTATTATGTATTGTTTATCCTTGGGAAAGCTTTAATTCCATTTCAGCTTTCCAGCTAGCAATGTTGGCATTGCGTAGATACCACCATGGATGGTAAAAATGGGGACTGGCCAATTAAAGCCCCCTGCTGAGTCTTCTACCCACTGAACTAGAATCCTTACTTTCACACAGCTCAGAGCAAGCATGCTTCCAGTACCAAATCATTTGGCAGTCTTCAATGGCATGAAAAACAACTGTTTGTACAGCAAAATATTTTCCAGAGCTAGAAGCCCATAAAGATTATTGCCTTCTTTTTAGTACACAGAAATATTCCGCAAACATGACTGTCTCGGCTTTCAGCAATATGGCACCCAGCAGGGAGAAGGCTCTCTCCAATCCTACCTTGTTGTCCATTGTTGGGCTACCTGGGCCTAGGATCCTCCACGGTGCCTGCCCATCCTCCCACCAGTCAGGCTCACCATTGGCCATCCCAACCTGAGGAGAAAGAAAATCCAGCTGGTGAGGCTGGCCCTCCCTGCTAATGCAGGGGCCTTGGCATTGTTTCTGCTGCCAATCTGGTTGCCTACTTGTTGCCTCTGGAAGCCTGCACTTTCTCTGTGGCTTTTGTGGTCGTTTCCATCTGCCAGTGTGGTCCCTCTCCGAGGCACTAGTGTGCCAGACCAGCCTATTTGAATTGGTGCCAGGCCACTTACGGGGGAGGTGAAGCCAAATCCCATATATTTAAAACTGTAATGCTTTGCTTGTCCACCTAGCTCCCGTCTCCTGAAGTCATTAGTTGTGGTTTTACTTTACTGTTAAAACACTCTTCTTTTTTTCCTTTCTCTCGGCTCTGGCTATGTTCAGCTCTATATATTTAGCAAGTTGTATGTAAGTAGAGATTCTGCTGTTCTACTTAAATCTCCTCTTTTTTTCCTTTTTCTTTTTTTTTTTTTTTTGTGTGTCCTACAGAAAGAGAATGTGTTTCCTATTAAATGGGGGAAAGTGTGGGGCGGGGGGTGGGGGAAGATAGAGAGACCTGCTGTTTGACTAGAACGGAAAGTGATAGAGAGTGGCAGTCTGTCCAGCAACACAGGAGTAGGGTGAAGCCCATTTCTGTGGCCACAGGACAGATATCATCCCTGATCTTGTATTTCTTTGGGAAAATAGACTTGTGGTTGCTTGAGAGAGGCCTTTTGTGCTTCATTTTGCTTGACACATTTTAAGGCCCTTAGAATATCACAGGGATCCGTTTGCACAGCATCTGAGGCTGTGTAAAGATAAAGCATGGTTGTGCAATCTAACACAGATAAATAATAACATTTCCATCTGACAGCTGCATTAGGCAAGTAAAGTGATTTTCCTGAAATCCCTCAGGAAGCTCGAGATACATCTAGGAACACAACATGTGAATTCTAAGCCTCAGACTTTTCACCCATGGACACATTGCTCTGTCTCTATTTACTCTAGAATTCTGCACATATGTTTTTCAAGTAAATATTTGGTTCTGGGGAGACTTTAGAGGAAAATATTCCAACCTTTGACAGTTAAAGGTGCTGGATTAACAGTGCTATAGACCAAAGTCTGTCATTTATCAATACGTAGCCATTCCTTGAATAGCTGTTGTCCCACAGTGTAGCTGCTGTGGGCTTACACTGCAGGGGTGCTAACAGACCTTGTATTTACTAAAAGCAAGAAGAGAACTATTGTAGGTGGCACGCATATCATATGTGTTTTCTGGAAGCACCCTAAATAAAATCAAAAACGGAATTCACAGTATGGAAAAATATTCTTTGTGGGGTGACAAAACAGTTTCTAAATTGGTAAATATGAAGGCTACATGAAAGAAACATGGGCTGATGAGTCTCTACCATAAAACCTATGTAATTCATCCTCTGCAAAAATATGTGAATTTCCCATCTGACTTAAAACATGCAATTACAATATGTATGGTAACTAGACATGCCGGGACTTGTATAAAATGAGAATTTGACTAATGTGTTAGATATATATATAATGTGTTTGACTAATTTGATAGATATAGCCAGGCAAACCCTACGACTTCATTTTAGATAAATCTTACCAGAGTGAGGGTCACAAATTTAAATATTTTCAGAGCCTGGTAAGTAACTAAATGAGAGTAATGACTGGTGGAGTATACAGGAGCTAAGGATCATATATTAGGGGGTGGTGGAGACTGTGGCAAAATAGAACACCCAAGGCCCTTATAAAGGATGCAGTGCCCACAGCTTCAACCAATGCATGTCCAGAAGGAATGGAGGCCCAGTGTGGTCAGATCATCTGATCTTTCAAGAGAACGTGAAAATCCAGATTTTTACATAAACATATTATTTTTAAATGTGAATAACTAATTTTTAAAAATGTATACACTGTTGGCCAAAGAAAGCATATCGTATAAGAGACATTCTTCAGGGGATAGAGTACCACTGAGCTTCTTCTATTCTTGAGGGTGACAATTTATATGATGAAATATGGGAGCTTCTTGCAGGAGTTAGTAGAGAATGGAAAAACCCAGGGAAAAATGGGATGGTTTGGTATAATTCAGAGATTCTCATTTGGCACCTACAAGAGCAGTATGTTGATCACAAATAAAAAATCCTCCAAAAATATTTCAAATAGGAAAAGACCAAGGGAATTCCAGAAAAGTTCATCGGGGTATGTGTGCTCAAAAGATAAACTGATTCTGATTGGTTTCTGCAAGTAGGAGAGCAAGAGACTATATGGAATGTTCAAATGACAACAGAGAAAGTACTTTTGATCTGGTTGCACCAGGATCCACACTGAAAGAACACATCATTTGAACTAGTTGAGAGCAAAACTTGGAACTAGTAAGTGAAATATAAGTAACATAAACATCTGATTGATGAGTTAGTCTGTGCCAAGATAATTAAACCAATGAAAACTGGGTACAAGTACTGAGCTAATATGCACAGGATGTATAGCCCAGAGTTTGCTGACATCAGTAAAGTGATTGTTTCACTAGGAGGATCTTAGAAGGCATATGTTATTTATCTTTTTCATCACAGGCCCTAGCACAATGGTTGGCACATGAGAAGCCCAGAAAATGACCATTCAGTAAAGAAACCATAACCACATGATAGCACATTTTGGACTGAAGGGGACACAGGGGAGCAATGATGTATTTAGTGCCAGATTTAATGGCTACTTCTCAGTGCACATACTCTTCAGTGGAGGAGATCTAACATTATTGAAACTCCAGTCATCGTCTCCTAGAATTTTCTAATATCTCCCTTTCCTGATCTTTTCTTTACCTTTCTATTTTTCGGGCTTTCCCCCTTTAATCTAATTCCCTGGCTCCTGTTGCTTCCTCCGTGTGCCTCTTCAATGTTGGCGTCACCTGGTGTTGTAGAACTCTCAGCACTTCTCCCTCTACAGTCTTCTTTGGTGATCCCATCAACGCAGTCAGTTCAGCTCTCATTTATATGTTGACATCCCCACATTCCAGCCTGACCGCAAATTCCGAAGCCAAATTTTTAGCTACTATTGTGGACTGAAAGTTTCTGTCCCCTACCCCAATTCATATGTTGAAGTCCTAATCCCCAGTGGGGCTGTATTTGGAGATGGACCCCCTAAGGGAGTAATTAAGGTTAAATTAGTCATAAGGGTGGGGTCCTGACATGATAGGATGAGTGTCCTTATAGAAAGAGACTCGAGAAAGCTGGTTGCTCTATGGACATGCACCAAGGGAAGGCCACGTGAACACACAGGGGGATGGTAGCCGCCAACAAGCCAGGAAGAGAGCCCTCAGCAGAAATTGAATCGGTGACTCCTTGATCATGGACTTTTAGCTTCCAGAACTGTGACAAAAAAAATGTCTGCTGTGGAAGTCACTCAGTGTATGGCATTTTGTTAGGGCAACCTCAGCAGACTAAGACAGTTCCTGGACATTTTAATTAAATTAATCTATCTATGCATTAAATGCAACCTCTTTAAAAGAGAACTCATCAGTTAGCTACCTCCTACATTCTGTTGTCCTCCTGTCTGCTGTGTCTCCATTACTAGCATCTAGATTCTCTAGAATTTTTGGTCATTGTCTATTCCTCCCTCTTAATGACCTACTCAATCCAGTTATTTATTTATTATTATTAAAGTCCTAATAATTTTGTCCCTCAAATACCTTCAAATATAGTTTCTTTTTCTTGATTCTGGCTATCTCATCTATATTTTAGGACCTCACCATGTCTAGCTTGAAATTTCTCTTAATCGATCCTTAACTTCCAATGTATATTCTACCTTATATCCGGAATTATTCTTATAAAACATCTGATTGTATACCAGCCCTGACTCCTGCCCGGTGTCTAAGCAACTTGATACCACGTAGGAGAGCTCTCCTCTGAAGAAGTGTCCCATTCAGAATAACAACCTGTAGGGGCTGGGGAGTGATGTCCACAGATGGGATATGGAAGAAGTCAAAAGCCACAGGCACTGCCTCAGGAGTCCCCTTAACAAGGACCCCAAGGAAGCTGAATGAAACAGGCCCCCGACAGGAGTGAGATTAGACAGTAAAGAAGTAGAAAGTTTAACTTCTGGATGCCACAGGGAATTTCCACTTCCAATTTAAGGACTTAATGTTTATTACAGGTTATTCCTGGTGATTATAAAGCATACCTACCAAAATTGAGTTTGCCATAGATATGATGGAAGTAGCTAAATTTTTAAAACATCTCTGTGTCTCTTGTATAGGATATCAATTCTTGTTGGAGGCTCTGGACTCAGATTTAGACTGCATAGACTTAAGTTCTGGCTTCACCACCCATTGTATGTCTTTGGGCAAGTGACTTTACCTTGCCAAGCCTTCATTTCTCTGTTACATACATAAATAATGATAGTATGTTTTAATAATAGTAAATTGTCTTACAAAGTTGTTAGAAGGATTAAATAAAGTAAAGCACATAGCACAGTACCTGGCCTATGGGAAGGACTTGGTGAACGTTTACACTGGTGTTAGTCATAGCCACAGGAATAGTATTTTCTAATAATGTTTTAGTAAAAGTGCTAACAAAAGGCACTTTAAATTCTAGAGCTCAAAGAACTCAGTTTGAGAAACACTGACCTAAGCTCCAGACATACTGGCCTCCTTCTGCTCTTTAAATATGCCAGGCCTGTTGTACCTTGGGGTCGTTTCTCTTTCTGTCTCTTCTTCCCGGATACTCTTCTGCCAGAGCTCTGCATGTATTGCTTCCTCAGTTAATTCAGGTCTTTATTTCAGACTCATCTTCTTGGTGAGGCCCATCACCCCACCCATAGCCAGTGCTTCCTATCTATTCCTCTTCCTGATTTATTTCTGCTCTTGAATACTTATTACTAGCCTGGTATTTATTATACTTAATAGAAGAGACTTTTATTGTCTCCTTCTCCCACTACATGAAGCCAGGGATTTTTGTCTGTTTTGGTTCCTAGCACCAATAGAGTCTCAGTAACTATTTATTGAATGACTGAATGAATAAGCTATGGTAAAATCTTTAACATAAAGGTATATACCCTGAGCACAAAATGTTCATTTAACAGTGCCTGCTAAAATAAGATTTCTTTTTGCTATTTATTTTTTAAAAGAATATGCTAACTATTGTACTCATATAAGCATTGAGAAATTTTTGCCAAAAATGTCTTTTAAAATAATCTTAAATAGAATCATTACACATGGTATACAGTTCTAAAAGAAAGGAAGACAGCTAAATGTTTAGGAAAATGAAATTATGGAAAAGGGAGGTTAAACTGCAATGTATTATAAGTTTTCAGAATGGCACAGGATCAATGATGTTACCTAAATCATAAATATCACCTAGAATGAAAACCAATATTGTGAAAGTTAGACCTGGCTCCTGCCAACAGGGACATTTACTATTTTTTGAGTGATATTTGTGACATTAACATGGAATAACTTTAATTTAAAATAAAAAATAATTAAAATTTAAAGTAAAAATAATTTAAGAACTTTTTAAAATTTAAATTTATAAAGACCACTCTGGCTTATAGCATTATCATTATTAGGCACTGATATCCCAGAAGTGCAATTTACAAAGACAGCAGGCGCCACTGCTGCTCCAATTATACACTTCTCATTGTCTTGCCTTCTGCCTAGTAAAGCTTATTTTCTCATTTGTATTTCTTTGCTGGTGTAACTTTTTCACCTAGGTGAACTGTGGTTTGGTGGGAAGAATGCCTTAGCAAGGGCATGGGTCACATCTAGGAGACTATCACCTCCTGAAGTCACAGCAGACCAGAGCCTGGTCCTCCATCCAAAAATTCAACTGTGTTGGGTAATCCTGAGTCAGTCGGCCAAGAGAACTGAATGAGCCTCACAAACCAAACTGATTTGAGTAGACAGCAACAGATATGACTGTGGATATCTATTCATAATCAAAAATGATACTTCATGAGCTTCTGGTGTCTTAGGAACTATTGAGTGAGGGTCAGGCTCTTTCTTCCTGTCGATGAGCTCTGGGAAAGCTAAAACTTGAATCAAAAGTTCTATTTGTTTGTTGAGTTTTCAGAAATATAAAGCCAGAACAAATTCAAGTGTTTCTAAAGAGTCACCCTCCGGAAGGATGGCGTGGTTCCATGGTCCTCATCATGGTGATGGTCTCACTTCAGGGGCCCTATCGATTAACCCCATTGGACAAGACTCAGTAAACATGGCCAGCTTCTGACTCTTTGGAATTTTTTCATTTCTCACATTGACGGTTCCTTTTTTCTTTTAATAAATCTTTCTCCAGACAGATGAAAAAAGAGTTGATTAGGTTTCAGCTTGCCAAATTACAATCATATTCCAGGTCCAGGCTTCTTGCAATAACTTCTCGAGTCCTTCCTGTTGGAATTGCATTGTTTCTAACCTCTTCAGTTTCTCACCTGAAGACGACGTACACAGCAGGAATGAGTTTGCTCAGGTGCAGGGGAGATTGCACATGAGCAAGATGTTCCACAACATCTTGCCACTACTTCATTTGATCTGACTTCTCTGTGCTTTGCAAAAAGAATTGCAGTGGCATTTAGCAGGCCTATTGTACAGGATCTTACAAACATCACTTTATGTTGCTGTTCTCTGAAGTGAACTGGAGCTATTTTGAATCATGTCCGGACTCCCAAAGCCAAGTTAGTTGCAGTGTCATTTGGGGACTATTTTTCAGAGGCAATATAGTCAGTCATGCAACGATTTCTTACTTCATAGTATGAGTATCAGCCAAGCTCAGTTCCAGATGGTATTTAAAGGGTAGCATTTTGAGCTTTTATCTTTTATAGTTCTTACAGGTGAGAGAGCTGGTAAACACAGGACCTGACTCTTGCATGTGGCCAGATTGAATTCAGATTAGTTCATACACAGAAACTTATCAGAAACACATTTTTCTTGCCACCAGAAGAGAGGACAAATGGCAGGAAATGTAAAATTTGTGCATTACCATGCTTCAGCGCATGGCTTACAGAAATGAACCTGTCATTGTATTCAGGGCTGCAGGAGTTCTTACTTAGTTAAGAGGAAAGCACTCTACGAAAACTGAAGAAAGAATAGACAGAATTCTATTGATAAGTGTTCTAATTGTAAATAACTCAGTTCCCAACTCACCTTTAATAAGTATTTTTTAATAATTTGTTTTAAGTTTAGAAAAGTGAATTGTAAACCTTTCTATATTTCTCAGGTTACTCAAAGGCTATTAAAAAAAAAAAACAAAAACAAAAACAAAAAAACCTTAATCTGAGAAAAGACACTGAGCCCAGAAACCAGGATTTTGTCTTGTAGCGGCTTTGAAACATACATTCTTCTTTGAATGAAAGATTTCTTAGAGATTTTACTTTGCCTTCTAATTTCTCATAATCTCACAATATACAGATTTCTCATAATCTCAGAATTTCTCATAATCTCATAAGGTACAGATTTAAAAAATTTAAGTATTGTGCTTAGAAGTAAAATGTATTTAATTAGGAAAGATTGATTGATCTAAATATAGCCAAGAAGATGTGAACCTTCCTTTGGTATAATGTGCTGCATTAAATTGTCTTTTAGCATAAAGCTTTGGAAGCTGAATATTATGCTATATGTTTAGAATGCAATTTATTAGATACTTTAAGTCACTGTGTTTATTCTGATATCTCTATTTTGGCTTGTTTTCTATCATCTATATCAAAAATAGTTTGAGGTTGAGTCACTGCTACTTGTATTGATTATAATAGTATGTGAGCAAAATAACCCCCTTTTGGGGCATATTGGTTCCCAAACCACTGGTTTTCCCCCCTTCTTGTTAGTTTCTTTCTACTTTATTTGGTTTATCAGTTTTAAATTACAAAATCACAGCAGCTGCACAAAAATACACATGATGAGATTTCAGAATTGCCCTTTTATGTCATTTGGTAAGATATCAGTCATTTAAAGATATTTAGGAGAAGAAGGAGCAGGGGACATTGAAAACTATGACACATGTGTGAAGCATTCCCATCCTCTCTGGGCTGACAATGCCTCCATTCATTTCTCTAGACTCCGGGGAATATGTTCTTCCTTTCTTCCAGGAATGTGGGTTGGCCAGAGAAAAAGAGAAAGAGAGAAGGGCAGTAGAGTCCTCTCTAAATCATCAAATACCTTTCCAACTGACAGACTGGCTCATTCTCAGTGTGGACTTTAAAAGAAGGAAAGTTGAAATAAGTTATTTCAAAATAGCATATGGTGATTCCTTTACTAGTGAGATCTTTTGTTTATTCTTGAGATTGGAAATAAAAGCAATTGGGTCATAGTTCATTAGATTTTTTTCTTGAGTTCTTTTTCTCCTGTTGTATATAAAATTGTGCATCAAATTCCTTAAAAAATGAACATGTATATCTCAATAAGCTAAACTTTCAGTATCATTCAGAATCTCAAAGAACGCTATTGTAAGCAAAATATCCACCTACAAAATGGTATTTCTTATAGTTTTGAAGTTCTATACAAATCATTGTATATAACTTACACAGTCTATATTATCACATAGTATAAAATAAGAAGAAAACCAGATATATGTTAATTTTTAGTAAGCATTTACCTAACCATGATAAATAATCCTTATGCTACAAAGACTATTCTATAAAGTAATGTGATATATTATGCTCAATAAAATTTGTAGACTCTTGCTTCATAGTTATTTATATACATATCATTTCTCTCCAGCTATACAGTAAACTCTTTGAAGGAAGAGGTTAATTTACTTTTGAATTGCCCACAGAGCTTAGCATAGGGTCTCTGCATCATAAGTGCTTAATAAACATGTATTACATGAAGGAATAACATTGTAGGACCCATCTGCATGGATTTCTTGAGACCTTCTCTCTAGGTCCTACAAATAAACTTGACACTTTGAGTTCTAAGAAGATATATAACACATCAAATAAAAACCTGACAATTGAACACTAGAAAAAAATACCAAAGGAGAAATATATAATGGTTTTCTAAGAACAGATAGATGTGGTCTCATTATTAATAAATTTGGCAATGGTTTTCCTTCAAAACATAGAACCAATTAGATCATAATAATCTTGGTCACTAATTGGTTTTGCAAAAATGTCTCCTTTCATTTTATAACTGATCTACTTGAAAATGTGGTGAACCATAAAAGGCCATTTCCTTGGAAAAGAGTATGGACAAACCTCTTGCAGTTTTGTTTGGGTGATATTCAAAGCCAAACCCTAAGCCTTTCCCAGAACTTGAAACAAATGTTAGTGTTACCACAAACCAAAGGGGGAAACTCTGCAGAGAGTTTGTTTCCTCTTCATCCTTTTTTTTTTTTTTTAATTTGTGCATCCCAACTGCTTATTTAGATTTATTCTGCTTTCCCATGGGTGTGTTATTAGCTCAATACAGTGAAATCTCAGGGACCAGGTCTTTGGAACAGCAATTTTTGGAAGGTTTATAATCTAATGCCGTCTCTACAAGACTCCTTCCCATAATAGGCCAGAAGTGACTTTATCATAGTCCATATAGGCTGCTATAACAAAATACCATTGATTGGGGAGCTTCTAAATAACAGAAATTTAGTTCTCATAGTTCTGGAGACTGGGAATTCCAAGGTCAGGGTGCTAGCAGGTTTGGTGTCTGGTAAAGACCCACTTCCTGGCTCATAGATGGTACCATCTTGCTCTGTCTTCACAAGGTAGAAGGGACTAGTTAGTACTCTGGGGTACCTTTTATAAGGACATGAATCTCATTCATGAGGACTCAGCCCTCATGATTTAATCACTCCCCAATACCATCATCGAGAGGGTTAGTATTTCAGCATATGAATTTCCTGGGGAACACAAACGTTCAGACCATAGGAGACTTCTAATGGGATAATTCAGCTGGAATCCTAAAATCTGCAAAGGCCAAATTATCTTTGTATCCTTACCTAAATCCAAAAAGCCTTTGCTGAGAAGCTGAATCTTTGATAAGGTCTTTATAAAATGATAATAATTGAATGGAATGAATGCTAGCTGAGAAGTGTGAGTATTGCCTATATAATGCCTTATTAATATTTTTATAATAATCCAGTCAGCCTATTGCCTTATTGAAACTTTTATCCAGAAAGGCAACACAATTTAGATGTAGTAACCTTAAACATATATACTTTCAGAGGTGTGGTAGGGGAAGCTAACAGACCATCACAATTTCATGTTCCCCTTCCACAAGAGTTGTCATGGGGAAGTAACTCTTCAGCCAAGGACCACATTTTTCAGCCTCCTTATGTCTAATTCGGCCATTAGCTGGTTCTACCCAAGGGAAATATGAGTGGAAGTGATATATGTCATTCGGGCAAGTGGTGAAGAGAGAGATACATCTTTTGCATAGTCTCTTTCCCTGTTGTTCTGAAGAAAGAAGACTCTAGGACCCTAAGAAGGGAGTAGGACCACAAGATGGAAGGGGCCTGAGTCTCAGAATGACCATGCTGGTGGGTGGTTGGAAGGCTACCCAACTGGGAGCACCTACATTAGTCTGCATCATGAGCAAGAAATGCATGTTTATTGTTGTAAACAGTGGAATTTGGGAACTTATCTGTTCTAGTAACTAACATTGCTCTAACAAATAGAGGAGATAATAAAAATGTCACAAAGGTATTATGAAATCAGATTTTTATATACATATATATTTATTATACTTTAAGTTCTAGGGTACATGTGCACAACGTGAAGGTTTGTTACATATGTATACATGTGCCATGTTGGTGTGCTGCACCCATTAACTCGTCATTTACATTAGGTATATCTCCTAATGCTATCCCTCCCCACTCCCCCCACCCCACAACCCGGTGTGTGATGTTCCCTTCCTGTGTCCAAGTGTTCTCATTGTTCAATTCCCACCTATGAGTGAGAACATGCAGTGTTTGGTTTTTTGTCCTTGTGATAGTTTACTGAGAATGATGGTTTCCAGCTTCATCCATGTCCCTACAAAGGACATGAACTCATCATTTTTTATGGCTGCATAGTATTCCATGGTGTATATGTGCCACATTTTCTTAATCCAGTCTAACATTGTTGGACATTTGAGTTGGTTCCAAGTCTTTGGTATTGTGAATAGTGCCGCAATAAACATACATGTGCATGTGTGTTTATAGCAGCATGATTTATAATCCTTTGGGTATATACCCAGTAATGGGATGGCTGGGTCAAATGGTATTTCTAGTTCCAGTTCCCTGAGGGATCACCACACTGTCTTCCACAATGGTTGAACCAGTTTACACTCCCACCAACAGTGTAAAAGTGTTCCTATTTCTCCACATCCTCTCCAGCACCTGTTGTTTCCTGACTCTTTAATGATCGCCATTCTAACTGGTGTGAGATGGTATCTCATTGTGGTTTTGATTTGCATTTCTCTGATGGCCAGTGATGATGAGCATTTTTTCATGTGTCTGTTGGCTGCATAAATGTCTTCTTTTGAGAAGCGTCTGTTCATATCCTTCGCCCACTTTTTGATGGGGTTGTTTGTTTTTTTCTTGTAAATTTGTTTGAGTTCTTTGTAGATTCTGGATATTAGCCCTTTGTCAGATGAGTAGATTGCAAAACTTTTCTCCCATTCTGTAGGTTGCCTGTTCACTCTGATGGTAGTTTCTTTTGCTGTGCAGAAGCTCAAAGCTGGAGGCATCACACTACCTGACTTCAAGCTATACTACAAGGCTACAGTAACCAAAACAGCATGGTACTGGTACCAAAACAGAGATATAAACCAATGGAACAGAACAGAGCCCTCAGAAATAATACTACACATCTACAACTATCTGAACTTTGACAAACCTGACAAAAACAAGAAATGGGGAAAGGATTCCCTATTCAACAAATGGTGCTGGGAAACCTGGCTAGCTATACGTAGAAAGCTGAAACTGGATTCCTTCCTTACACCTTATACAAAAATTAATTCAAGATGGATTAAAGACTTAAATGTTAGACCTAAAACCATAAAAACCCTAGAAGAAAACCTAGGCAATACCATTCAGGACATAGGCATGGGCAATGAAATCAGATCTTTTTCCTATTCTCTGTTTTTGTTGAAATTTTTGGATTTAAACAGTGAAGGCAGGTTTTGAGTCATATTTCAGTTGTAGGATTTCTAAGAGAAGGCACACATGTTTCCTGGATACTGACCTATTCCTACCTACCACTTCACAGAAAAATGGTTTTCCTAGACATTGTGTTCACCCTAGAGGCTCATCTCTCTTCAGCAGACCTGGCCCTCTCTTAACCATTTTTTCCACTCAATTTCCATCTCCTCCGTGAAGCCTTTCCTTAGTACTAAAGAGATCATTTCTTTCTTTGAGCTCATAGCAGTTAAAATCTGCACCAACCTTTGTTTTGCCTTATGTACTGCCTAATGAGAGAACTCATATTAGTATATTATTTTTAATGGGTAAGTGCATTATTTCTTTGAATTATAAAGTAACAGTGGGGGAGAATAATAAAATGTTTTAAGTAATTGGCATTAAAATACTGAAAATAGACACTCATTCTTTTGTGTGCAGAAGGATGGTTGCAGGGACCAAAAGGTCCAGGTTATTTTATACCTTGTGGAGTCTCACTCTGTTACCCAGGCTGGAATGTGGTGGTGTGATCTTGGCTCACTGCAACCTCTCCCTCCCAGGTTCAAGTGATTCTCGTGCCTCAGCCTCCCAAGTAGCAGGGACTACAGGCAGGCACCACCATGCCTGGTATATTTTTTGTATTTTCAGTAGAGACGGAGTTTCACCATGTTGGCCAGTTTAGTCTCAAACTCCCAACCTCAAGTGATCCGCCCGCGTTGGCCTCTCAAAGTGCTGGGATTGCAAGAGTGAGTCATCACGCCCGGCCACCTCACAGTCATATTGACATCCATAGTAGAACACTTTTAGTTGTGTTATTGGATATAGCTGTCTCTGAGCCTTTTATGTTCTCACAAAAATTAAGACTTTTATTTGTAAGCAGAAAAGAGGAAAATTGGTAAGGGGCAGTGCAGGCATTTCTAGTAATTTTGGTTCTGCAGGCCCCCTGGTTACATTTATCTTCCAAATTTGAAAATATATTCTCAACAAATTTAGTCCTCGGCATCATTCTTATTCTACCACTGAGAGTGTCAAGTGTGGTACCATTAGGATGGCAATTTTATGTGTTGATCCCGCCTAAAAGCCAAATTCAGATTCATTTCACTCACAATGCCAACCATGTGGTCAACTTCATCCAGTTCCTTGGTTGTAACCTAGATTTCAATGGACAAAATGTAATGTGAAGGCTCCATATCTTATTACCTAATTCTGAGTGATCAGTCTTCCACTGTTGAGTATCAAATATCTACATTTATCATACCAGATCTTAATCATTGTCAACTGTGCAGAAAGATCCTTAGAGATTTTTTTATGCATTAAATTCTGGAAATTCTCAGGTACGTTTCCCTAAAATGCGTAAATCCTGCTGCTGTCCTGTGTGCATACATACAAATCATAATTTAAATGACCTATTTAAACTTTAGGTTTAGATAATTTGGAGGGTGAGTCTAGAATGAAGCTATGGAAGAGAAATTTTGAATGAAGGAATTTAGATATCTCTCACTTGTATTGCAAAAGCAAGAAGTGTGAGTTCTCATTCATGCAGTTTAGTCTGATTATTCCAGGTGTGTCATGGGAAGAAAGCTCGAATCTTTATCCCTATCGCTACGCATGGTTTATTTGATGCATTCGTAAAAATGTAGGTAATATCTAGTGCTCTTTCTTCTTGCATATTAAGCTTTGATTAACATATGGTAATAATGTAGCGTTGTTGAGTTGTCCAAATCTTAAAAAACATGAAATATGGAGTACAAAATCACACATGTGCAAACTGAGCTAATATTTCTTTCCCCCAAATAAGCAAGTTTTTCATCTAGATTATTTTCAGTTATAGAAATTGATTATATCCTCATGAAAAGAGTTAGTAGTTTGAAAAGAAATCTGCAATGTCTGAGGTATTTCATAATACAACAGAAATAGGCAAAATAAAAAGAAAATTTGTACTTAATGCAAAAAAAAATATTCATTATGCTCATTTAGAGAGAAACAAGTCTGAAAAATTTCAGCACCAAGGTTAATTTTTATTATATAATAAGTGCACAAAAACAGAGTTTGGAAAAGGCATGATTTTCAACCACTTTTTCTAGCATTAAGACTAAAATAAAAAAACTAAAATGAGGCAAATCGTTGCAAAAGAGACTATTATAAAAGATAGTAAGTAAATGTACACAGCATTCATTATATCATCCTGTTTGCAGCACTGCATTTGAGATTGTGTCAGCACTTCCATTGTAAGCCTGTACTTTGAGGAATTTGGAATTTGGCCAATAAAAGATCATTCTGAACTGAAAGTTGGCACAGAAAATTTCCTCCCATGAGCAAAAGTTGTTTTCATTATTTCTTCTTCATCATTGTCTTCTTTTTTCTTTCCTTTTTACAAAATTCCATGAAACCTCATCTGGTTGCTTTTAAGCTTGGATATCTAAAGTAAGAGAGCCAACCCAATGATTTGAAGACAATACATCTTTTGTCCATCTGGGCAAAATTTGTATTTGGCATTTTATGTGAAAGAGCCATACAATTCAATTGGGAGTATTTAAAGAAAGAGTAAAAACTAATTTCAAAAGACCTCTTAGTCATTACCTCTAATAATGAAGTTAAAAGGAACAAAATGAGGGTGAGAGAGAGCTTATTCACTTACTCCCATTATTGTGCGCATTACTTTATAGCTATTAATAAAAACTGTTCTTCACAGCACTTCTGCATAGTTTCATACCCATTTATTTTACAGCTTTATTGATGTATTTTATATATACAATAAAATTAGCCCATTTTAAGTGTACAGTTCTATGAGTTTTGGTAAATATGAATAGTCATCCAACTATCACCAACCACAGTCAAGTTTCAGAACAATTTCATCAGCACAAAAAGTTCTCTTATTCTACTTACCAGTCATTGCCCATCCCTAATCTCACCTTAGCCCTAGGCAACTACTGATCTGGTTTTTTTTGCCACTACAGATCTGCCTTTTCTAGAATTTTCTGTAAATGAAATCAGATAATATATAATGTATTACGTCTAAATTGTTTCACATAGCATGTTTTTGAGGGCCATCTGTCATCTTTAATGTATCAGTAGTCTATTCCTTCGTATTGCTGAGTAGTATTTCATTGTTTAGATGTACCAGAATTTGTTAATCCTTTAGTGAGTCATAGACATTTGGGGCTATTTCCAGTTTGAGACTATTATTAATAAAACTGTTATTACATACTTGTGTGCAGGTCTTTATGTAGGCGTGTTTCTACTTCTCTTGGGTAAATCCTACCTCAGGGTAGGATTGTAGGCTCCTATGATAAATGCATGTTCAAATTTATATGGAACTGCCAAACTCTTTTCAAAAGTGGATGTGCCATCTTGCATTTCCACCAGCAATATATGAGGGTTCTGGTTTCCCTACAAGTGTCTCTTCTGAAAGTTTCTTACTTAAAGTCTATTTTATCTGATACAGGTTTAGCCACCAAAAGTCTTTAGTTATCCCAGTGGTTGTGTACTGATACCCAACTGTGCTTATTTGCCATTTGTATATTTTTTTTAATGAGTTGTTTTTTCAGACCTATCACCCCTGCCCCTTTTTTATTGGGTGTTTGTCTTTTTATTATTAAGTTGAACGGCTTCATTAAATATTTTAGAAAAGAGTTCTTTGTCAGATATATGTTTAGCAAATGTTTTATACTAACGTGTTGCTTCCCATTCCATATTATTAATGGTATTTTTGATCAGCAAAACTTTTAAGTTTTATGAAGTGCAATGTATATATTTTCATTTATGGTTTATTTACTATGTGTCCTATGAAAACTTTGCCTAACTCAAGTTCTCTAAGATTTTCCCATTTTCTTCTCAAAGTTTTATAGTTTCAGCTGTTAGGTTTGGGTCTCTCATATATTTCAAATTAACATGTGTGTTATTCCATTTTGCATCTCTATAAGGGAATACCTGAGGCTTGCTAATTTAGCAAGATGAGAGGTTTATTTTGGCTCACAGTTCTGCAGGCTGTACAAGAAGCGTGCTGCCAGCACCTGCTTCTGGTGAGGTCTTCAGGAAGCTTACAATCAGGGCAGAAGGCAAAGGGGGAGGAGGTGGTGTATATCACATGATGAGAACAGGAGCAAGAGAGGAGGTAAGAGGTGCCAAGTTATTTTAAACAGCCAGATCTGGCATGAACTAATAAAGTGAGAACTCACTCATTATGGTGAGAATAGCACCAAGCTATTCATGGAAGACCCACCCCCAGGACCCAAACTCCTCTCACTAGGCCCACCTCCAACACTGGAGGTCACATTTCAACATGAGATTTGGAAGGGATAAAACATCCAAACCATATCAATGTGTATGCTGCATCCAGTTTTGTTGGTCTCAAGATTTTTAAATTTCCCTTTTAATTTCTTCTTTGACCGATTGGCTATTCAAGAACATGTTTGATTTCAATGTATTTGTGAATTTTCCAAGATTTCTCTTGTTATTTGTTTCTAGTTTCATACTATAGTGGCTAGAAAAGATACTTGATATGATTTTCATCTTCTTACATTTGAGACTTGTTTTGTGACTTCACATATGATCTATCCTGCATAATGTTCTTTGTTCACTTGAAAATAATATGTATTCTGCTGCTGTTGGATGCAATATTCTGCATATGTGTGTTAAGTCCCTTTGGTCTAAAGTGTTGTTCAAGTCCACAGTTTCCTTGTTGATTTTCTGTCTGGATGATCTATCCATTATTTAACATGCCATGTTAAAGTCCCCTATTAATATTGTATTGCTGTCTATTTCTCCCTTCAGTTCTGTTAATAATATTTGGTTTATATATTTAAATGCTCCTGTACTGGGAACATATATATTAAATACTCCTCTACTGGGAACATATATTTATGGTTTTTATATTGTCTTGATGAGTTGACTTCTTTATCATTATATAATGACCTTCTATGTTGTTTGTGATAGTTTTTAACTTAAAGCCTATTTTGTCTCATGTAAGTTTAGCCACCTCTGCTCTCTTTTTGTTACCAGTTACATGGGCTGTTTCTTTCTATCCCTACTCTTTCAGCTATGTGTGACTGTAAAGCTAAAGTGAGTCTCTTGTAGGCAAAATACAGTTAGAACTTTTTTCAGTCCTTTCAGTCATCCTATGTCTTTTCACTGGAGAATTTAATCTATTTACAATTTAAATAATTGCTGATAGGTAAAGACTTACTACTGCCAGTGTGGTAATTGTTTTCTGACTGCTACTTATTTCTGAAGGAACAAGTAATTTATTCTATTATTCCTCTCTTGTTGTCTTCCTTTGTGATTTTGATGATTTTTTTTGTAGTGGAATGGTTTAATTTCTTTATCTTTTTTGTATTTACTATCTGTGTCATTATCGTGAAGCTTACATAAAATATCTTACAATAGTCTATGTTGAACTGATAATTACTTCAACTTCATATAAAAACTCTCCACTTTAATTATTCTTCCCCTACATTTTATGTTATTAGTGCTGCAATTTTCATCTTTTATATATTGTGTATTCATTAGGAAACTATTTTATAGTTATTTTTAATACTTTATCATTAAACTTTTATAAGAATCAAAAGGTATTTATGCACTACCATTATGGTATTAAAGTATTCTGAATTTGACTTTTGATGTTTATAGTGGTTTTTATACTTTCATGTGTTTCATATTGTTAAGTAGCATTGTTTCGTTTTAACTTGAATAATTCCCTTTAGCATTTCTGGTACAGCAGGTCTAGAGGTAATGAACTTCCACAGCTTTTGTTTGTCTAGGAAAGTCTTCATCTCTCTTTTGTTTCTAAAGAATAGCCTTGCCTGGTACAGTATTGTTGGTTGGCAGTTATTTTTTTTCTTTCAGCACTTTGACTACATCACCCTACTCTCTCCTGGGCACCAATGTTTCAGCTGAAAAATCCACTGATAGTCTTATGGAGAGTCCCTTACATGTGACTAGTTGCTTTGCTCTTGCTACTTTCCAAATTCTCTCGTTGTCTTTGTCTTTTGGGTATTTAATTATACTCTGTTTCAGGGAAGATCTTTTTATAATTAATCTATTTGAGTTCTTTTGGGCTTCATAGATCTGGATGTTTATTTTCCACTTCAGACTTGGGATATTTTCTGTCATTATTTCTTTAAATAAGCTTTCTTCCACTTTCCTTTTTTGCTGATTCTCCTGGGAGTCTCATGCAAATTTTGACTTGCTTAGTGGTGTCTCATAAGTTCTCTAGGCTTTCTTCATTCTTTTTCTTTCTCTCTTTTTTCCCTTTTTATTCCTCTGACTGGGTAATTTCAAATGACCTGTCTTTGAGCTCACTGGTTTTTTTTTCTTCTGTTTCATCAAGTCTGCTGTTAAAGCTCTTCATAAAACTTTGCAGTTGAGGCATTGTGTTATGTAGTGCTAGAATTTTTGTTTGGTTCTTTTTATGATTTCTCCCTCTTTATTGAATGTCTTCTTTTGTTTATGCATAGCCCTCCTAATTTCATTCACTTGTATATCTGTGTTCTCCTGTAGCTCACTGAGCTTCCTTAGGATGTTTACAGTTGTCCCTCAGTATACATGAGGAATTGGTTCCAGAACTGCCCACATATACCAAAATTCATTCATAATATAATCCTAGTCAGCCCTGCAGAACCTACATGTATAAAAGTCAGCCCTCTGTATACACAGGTTTCATTTCCTGTGAATACTACATGTTTTATTCATATTTGGTTTTAAAAAAAAAATCTGTGCAGGTGGACCCACAGAGTTAAAATGTGTTGTTCAAGGATCAGCTGTATTTTGAATTATCTAAGTTTGTGGATGTCTATTTCTTAAGGGTCAGTTACTAGTGATTTATTTTTTCACTTTGGTGGGGTCATGTTTCCCTGATTATCTGTGATCCTCTGACCTTGCTTTTGTGTCTGTTCATTTGAAAAAGCAGGCACTTCTTCTATTCTTTTCAGACTGGATTTGTCAGGGAAAACCCTTCACCAATCGGGGAAACATGACACCACCAAAGTGAAAAA
Organism: Homo sapiens; assembly: GCF_000001405.40. Lineage (NCBI taxonomy): Eukaryota > Metazoa > Chordata > Mammalia > Primates > Hominidae > Homo > Homo sapiens. The sequence continues at coordinate 18,279,607 of NC_000009.12, forward strand.
ATAAGTCACTAGTAACTGGACCTTAAGAAACAGAAATCCACAACTTAGATAATTCAAAATACAGCTGACCCTTGAACAACATGTTTGAACTATGCAGTTCCATCTACACAGATTTTTTTTCTTTAACCAAATGTGAATTAAAAATGCAGTATTCGCAGATTCCATAGTTTCTTGGCAGGCCATCTTGTGGGGCTCACAGGTGCCAGCCTGGCACTAGGGTGGGCCAGCCTGGAGCCTGGGTCTGTGGGTGTTAGCCTGGATCCCGGGGCCACCAGGACCAGCCTGGTGCTGGGGTGGGCCTGGAGGTGGATTATAAGAACAGACCTAGGTCCTCAATCCACGTGCTTGCCTAGAGCCTATGCCTTTTGGGGCAATCTGGAACCTTGTTCCATGGGGCCTGACCTGTCACTGGGGTCCACTAGATAGGCCTGGACTCAAGGTCTGCTGAAGTAGGCTTGAACCCTAGTTTTTTTGAAGCGTGAGGGTATTGGAGCCAGTAGTCTGGAGCCTGGGTCCATGGGACCTGGCTAGGTACCAGGTGTGCTTGGAAAATGTATCTGAGGTGGCTGGTCTGGAGCCTGGTCTCCACTGGTGCCAGTCTGATGCTGGGGTGGGTCTGAATGCTGGGTCCATGGGTGCTGGCCTGAAGTTTAGGGCTGCAGGGGCTTGCTTGGCCTTGGTCAGGCCTGAAACTTGATGCTGACCTGGAACCTAGGGCCTAAGGGGGTGGCTTGGCACTGGGGTAGGCCTGGAACCTGGAGCTATCCATGTAAATTTTAATCAGCTTGTTTATCTCTCAAAAAAAAAAAAAAAGCAACTTTCTTTTTAATCCTACTGGAGCTTTTATTGACTGTGATGTATCTGTAGATCAGTTTGGCAAGAATTGCCATTTGAACAACATTGAGTCTTCCACTTTGTGAACATGGTGTGCCTCACTATTTTGGCAGAGTAGGAGGTTAAGCCTTCTTTAATTTATCTGAGAAATGATTTTTTTGCAGATTTAAGTGCTCGAGTTTTGTACATTATTTGTCACATGTGTTAAGGTTTTTAATTATTTGGCATTATAAATAAATTTTAAAATTTCCTTGTAAAATTGATATTAGTTACGTAGAAATATAAGTGACTTGTCTTTTAACCTTGTACCCTATGATTTTGCTAAATTCACTTAATTGTTCCAGTAGCTTTCCTTTGGATTCCTTAAGATTTTCTGAGACAAATATTTAAGGCTCTAAATCTCCCCATAGTTACTGCTTTAGCTGCATTCCGCTTTTTTTTTTTTTTTTTCCTGAGACAAGGTCTCACTCTGTCACCCAGACTGAAGTGCGGTGGCATGATCATAGCTCACTGTAGCCTTGAACTCCTAGATTCAAGTGATCCTTCCGCCTCAGCCTCCTGAGTAGCTGGGACCACAGGTGTGCACTTCTACGCCTGACTAATCTTTAAACATTTCTTGTAGAGACAGGTGTTCTGTGTGGGAGACGCATGAAGGGAGAAGAAAAGGCCCACATACACACAATACCTTTAAGGGTAAACAAGCTTTATCCCATGTAAATGGCAATGCAGATATAATAAGCAAATGATATAATAAGCAAATGCTATAATAAGCAAATTAATATAATAAACAAATGCTATAATAAGCAAATTGCAATGGGAAGGGGAGAAGGGAAAAGATATATATATATATTTACACTCACCAGACTATGGAGGATTCACCACCAGACTGGGAAGCAAGAGCCTGGGCTCCAGAGTCAGACACCGCACTCACCAGACTATGGAGAATTCAGCACCAGACTGGGAAGCAACAACCTGGGCTCCAGAGTCAGCCACTGATCCGTGCACAGACGATGAGAGGTCTCATGAAGCTTCGGTACAGTCTAGGACTCTAGCTCTTTTTGTAACAAGTTGTTTGGCATGAGACCCAGTCACAAGGGCCCTTCGCGACTGGGCTCAAGAAACACAAAAAGGTCAACTTATTTTTGCGATTGTCTATTGTTTTTCAGTAACTAAGGTATAAGAATAGATTGAAATAGAGATTTCTCTGAAACAACACTGGATGAACGCCTCAAAGGGCTCAGACAACCTGTTCCGGGACCATTGTTTGTGTCCATGTTCAATTGAGTTCACATTTAATATTTAACTTTTTCTCCACAGCAGGGTCTTCCTGTTTTGCTCAGGCTGGTCTTGAACTCCTGGCCTCAAGTGATCCTCCTACCTCAGCCTCTAAAAGTGCTGGGATTATAGGCATGAGCCACTGCACCTGGCCCCATTCTACAAATTTTGATTTGTTGTTTCATTTTTAGTCAATTCAATGTATTTTCTTATTTCTTCTTTGACCCGTAGGTTATTTATTTTTTTAATTTAATTTTATTTTAGATTCAGGAGGTACCTGTACATTTTCCTCACCTGGGTATATTGCATACTGGTGGGGATTGGGCTTCTAGTGTACCCATTACACAAATAGTGGACACCGTACCTAACGTGTTATTTTTCAATCCTTCCCCCGCTTTTAGATTTCCCAGTGTCTCTTATTTCCATCTCTATGTCCATGTGTACCCATTGTTGGTTCTCTGTTTCTGTGTTAGTTCACTTGGTATAATGGCTACCTGATCCATCCGTGTTGCTGCAAAGGACAAGATTTCATTCTTTTTATGGCTGGATAGTATTCCATGGTTTCTATATATCAAATTTTCTGTATCCAGTCAACTATCGATAGACAATTATGTTGGTTCCATGACTTTGCTATTGTGAATAGTGCTGCAATGAACATACAAGTGCAGGAGGTATCTTCTTTATATCATGATTTATTTTCGTTTGCTATTCATGGGTTACTTTGAATTGTAACAATATGTGGGAATTTCTCAGATTAATTTATATGACTCATTTCTATTTAAATTCTGCTGTGGTTAAAAAATAAAATTTCAGCTCTTTAAAATTTATTCAGGCTTGCTTTATGGCTTAGAATATGGTCTGTGCTGGTGAATATTCCATGTGCACTTGAAAAGAGTACGTGGCCGGGTGCAGTGGCTCACGCCTGTAATCCTAGCACTTTGGGAGACAGATGCAGGCAGATCACCTGAGGTCCAGAATTCAACACCAGCCTGACCAACATGGAGAAACCCCATCTCTACTAAAAATACAAAATTAGCCGGCTGTGGTAGCGCAGGCCTGTAATCCCAGCTACTGGGGAGGCTGAGGCAGGAGAATCGCTTGAACCCGGGAGACAGAGTTTGCAGTGAGCCAAGATTGCACCATTGCACTCCAGCCTGGGCAACAAGAGTGAAACTCCGTCTCAAAAAAGAAAAGAAAAGAATATGTGTTTGTTTTTAACCTGAAGTTTTCTATACATGTCAGTTAGTTCTGGTGGTTTATATAGTTTTTAAATCTTCTGTACCTTTTCTGAATTTTTGTCTACCTTTTCTAACAGTTGTTTAAAAGAAGAGAATTGAAATCAACTATAATTTTTGATGTGTCTATTTTCTTTTCAATCTTAATTTTTGCTTCATTTGTTTGGTTGCTTTGTTGTTAGGTGCATAAGTTTATATACTCTTATAATTGGTATATCTTTGATCCTTTATCATTATAAAATACTCCTCTCTTTCTCTAGCAATATTTTTGTCTTAAGATCTATTTTGTCTGATATTAATATCATCTCTCCAGTCTTATGCTCATCCTCTGCGTGATGTATTTTTCCATCCTTTTACTTTAAACCTATCTTTAACCAGGTGTAGTGGTTCATGACTGTAATGCCAGCACTTTGGGAGGCCAAGGCAGGAGGATCACTTAAGCCCAGAACTTTGAAAACAACCTGGTCAACATAGTGAGGCCCCATCTCTATAGAAAATTTTAAAAGTTAACTGAGTATGATGGTACACACCTGTAGTCACAGCTACTTGGGAGGCTGTGGCAGGAAGTTCGCTTGAGCCTGGGAAGTTGAGGCTGCAGTGAGCCATGATTGCACCACTGCAAACCACAGTGGTTGAAGGAATGAGAAACTGTATCTTAAAAAAAAAAAAAAAAAAAAAAAGGCTGGGTGCAGTGGCTCAAGCCTGTAATCCTAGCACTTTGGGAGACTGAGGCAGGCAGATCACGAGGTCAGGAGATCGAGACCATCCTGCCTAACACAGTGAAACCACATCTCTACTAAAAATACAAAAAATTAGCCAGGCATGGTGGCGGGCGCCTGTAGTCCCAGCTACTCGGGAGGCTGAGGCAGGAGAATGGCATGAACCCAGGAGGCGGAGCTTGCAGTGAGCTGAGATTGAGATTGTGCCACTGCACTCTAGCCTGGGCAACAGAGCAAGACTCCGTCTAAAAAAAAAAAAAAGAAGAAGAAGAAGAAGAAGGCTGGGTGTGGTGGCTCACACCTGTAATCCCAGCACTTTGGGAGGCCGAGGAGGGCAGATCACCTGAAGTCAGCAGTTCGAGACCAGCCTCACCAACATGGAGAAACCCCATCTCTACTAAAAATAGAAAATTAGCTGGGCGTGGTCACACATTCCTGTAATTCCACTACTCGGGAGGCTGAGGCAGGAGAATTGCTCGAACCTGGGAGGCAGAGGTTGCAGTGAGCCGAGGTCACACCATTGCACTCCAGCCTGGGCAACAATAGCAAAACTCCATCTCAAAAAAATAAAATAAAAAAAGAATTAAAAAAACATTTTTTAGATAAAAAATAGATGATGATACCACCACAGTTGCTTTTTATTTTCCCCCTTTCTATTCCAGACTTTGTCCATATGCTTATGTACCAATTTTAGCATATTCGGTTTTAGCAGTTAAATTTTTTCTACCATTAGAACTTTCCATCTTTATTTAATATTATATCATATACATTTTTGATGATGTGATATTTCAGAATTCCATGTTGCTTCATCAGAATTACTTGTATTACTTTAATGAAATGTCTGCACTATTTCTTATGATAAATGAGGAAACAGGTGTAAATAACAGAGTTAGAAAGTAGCAGCACCAGGTTTTGTAACCAGGCAGTCTGAGTCCAAAACTCACGGCCTCAAGTAATATGTCATCTGTTTCCTATGTGATCATGTTGAATTTTTGTTTAACATAAAGAAGAAAATAAAACTTAACTATTATTTCATAACCCAAAGATAATACTACTGCTCGTATTTTATTTCCTTCCAGACTTTTAATGCAAGTATGGATATTTATTTTTTATCCAGAAAGCAGCATATTATATATTGCTGTATTATCTGATTTTTCTCAGCTATCTGTTATTAATATTTTATATGAATAAATAGAAAACTATCCGTTATCATATTAATGGCAGTTTAGTGTTTCATTGTGTAGATGTGCCACAGTCTGTTTAATCAATCTAAGACTATTGAACATTTTGGTCACTTTCAATGTTTTTCTATGTTCAAACAATCATTCAAGGAACATCTTTGTATTTGTATCTTTGGACACATCTCATGATTTTCTTAGGGTAAATCCCTACAATGAATGGTTGGATATTCAACAGTATTTTTAAAGTTGTTTTTAAGGTGTTTGTTGGGTCTAGCTAAATTGTCCTACCAAAAAATAAATATATTCAAACTCTCAAAGGCAGTATATAAAAGTGTCCGTTCCTTTGTACTACATATTTTATGATATCATATATGCCAATTTTATAGTAAGGAATAAAATCATAATAGCATTTATTGAATTTTACTATATTCCCTGTGCTATGCTGAATACTTTATATGTTATCTAATTTAATTCTTATATGACCCTCTGAAATACATACCCCATTGTACTGATGAGAGTGAGGGTCAATATGAGAGATAAGAGAGTCAATAATTTGTCTAAAGTCACAAACATTAATAGAGTAATATTATACTCTATAGTGATCTGACATTAATTGTAGAGTTCTAGCTACTGCAGTTTATTAGTTTCTAGTGTGTTTCACCTTTTAAATACAATTATTAGCTATTTATACTATTTTGGAAACTCTGTAGCTATAACCTACTTTCATTTCAAAATTTTCTTTTTTCTTTTTTTAAAATTATATATAAGGAACCTTGTTGTGGCGGGGTGTTGACACTTTGTCATCATGTTATCCTAGTTTGTCCCTTTCCTTTGTTTATAATCATTTTGAATGGTTTAATTCTTACTGTAGTCAAATATACCACTCTTTATCTTTATTATTTTTACCTTTGATATTGTGCTTATGGCTTCTCCAATATTAGAATTTTTGCTGTTTGTTTCTGTTTTCTTACATATAACAGCATTATCAAGATATAATTCATGTACAGTACAATAAAACTCACCCATTTAAAGTGTGCAATTGACTGGGTTTTTTAGCATATTCATAAGACTGCACAGCCACCACTATGTTCTATCTAAGAACATTTTCATCACTCCCAAAAGAAACTCGATAGCAGTCATTCTCCAAGTTCCCAACCCCCTAGCTCTATGCAACTGGTTACTTTCTCTCTCTCTCTCTCTCTGTGGATTTACACCTGTATTTGTTTTGCTAAGTACTGTTTAAATAAGAAAAGAAAAGCATCATTTCTGTGTTGGAGGACAGTACTCAAATCAACCTTGTGGGCCAACCATGTTCTAGCAAACACTTTTCCATCTATGTGTGAAATTTGGAGGGAAATTGTTTAACGTGGTCTATATATCTAAAAACAGAAACCTAGTTATGATTCTGTATTCAGTCTAAGCACATTTAAACTTAGAAAAGTAGTACATAAAATGTTCATGAAATACATGAATGGACTCAGTGAATATGTATTAACTTATTTAACTTCCTTTGAATATACATGATGATGATAAACTTTTTGTTGGCTCCTTTCTATTCTTCTTTTTAAAAGATACTTGACTAGTTAGCTGGCTCCTGTTTGAAAATTAGAGGGTAGAGAGACAGGGTCAGAGAGCAAGAAATCCTTATAGCCCTGTAATAAACAGAACTTGCATCCAAAGATAATGATAGTAGATACTTTGTGTTTCTATAGCAGTTTATGGTTTTCAGATATAATCATTTTAATGCAGCAGTCCAGAAATATTGGAAAGTAATAGGGTCTTTCTGAATCTGTGCTCATACTTCATGTTAAATTCCCTAGAGTTATCAAAATAACTTCTAGGATTATGCATTATCAGGCCCATTCCTATAAGAGAATTTTCCATAGAAGAGAACACATTTCTTTTTAGTCTCCAAAGACTAGAAAGATTCCCACCTAACTATAAAAAACATATAATTAATTCACTAGACTAATTCACAGATTTTGTGTTTATGTTATAAAATATAGATTTTCCTTCAATCTCCCTTAAATAACAAAGAGAATATTCCTTTCAACTGCAATGTATATAAAATAGCATTTAGTCTTTGTGAATCTATTAAAAACAACTTAAGAGATAAACTGTATAAAACACTATCAGCCAGGATAGGCCAAGGGTAACAAATAATCCCAAATTCTCAGTGCCCTACACTAACAAATATGAGTTTCTTCCATTCTTCTGTTATATGTCTGCCATGGGTCAACTGTGGTTGTACCTCCTGCAGCCTCCCTCCAGGATCCAAGCTGATAATATGGCCTTGTTACTGGATATTGCCAGTATCACTGAAGAAGAAAAAGGTGACAAGCCACCTACAAAGTCTTAAAGCTCTGCTTGAAGATAAAACACTGTTTTGGCTCTCATTCCATTGGGCAAAGTAAATTACATGGCTCAGCCTGGCATCAATGGAAGTACATACGTATATACATATGTATGTATACACACACACACGTGTGTGTATATATACACATACATACATATACACACATACATGTATATATGTGTGTATATATGCACATACACATATATTTATATATCTGTAATATTTCTACATATATGTATGTGTATTTTACACATATATGTAAATGTATGTTCAGATATGTAATGCATGTATTTATATGTGCACATATGTAATATATTTACATATATGTAAAATACATATACATACATGTAGAAATATTACATATATGTAAATATATGTGTATATATACACACATATATGCATATATGTATGTGTATACATATACGCATATATGTATGTGTATACATATACACATATATGTATGTGTATACATACATAAATATATTACATATATGTACATATATTTACATATATATGTGAGTATCCCCCTTTGTGGTTCCCACAGGGAGATATATTGGGGTGCATATATATAGTCTTCCAGTTGGGAAGGATCCCACAGAACCATAGTGGAACACTAATATAATCATAGTAAATTATATTACTGTCAAACTATTCATTGCTCCTCTAATCCCATTCAAGTTTTTCTCCTACTCCCTGAAGTATATGTAATTAATGATAAGCTCAGCTTAGCAAATTAAAATGTACAGAACTTTTTTACTGACAGTCCTTCTAAAGTGTATTGAGATTGAGTTCTGCTTTGGATCATACCTAGGACTGGGCTTGAAAGAACTGAGCCTGAGCGGTGGCACTGGCTGTGGGGAGTGGAGAGAGAGGATGACAAACCAGGATGGGCAAAATAAATGGGGCACATGATTGGGAAATTCTAGGTGAAATAGGAATGAAACCTTATATCACATTCAGTCGACAATCTTGGAAGCTGCTGGCCAGTATAAACAGACCAACGAGAACGCATACACTGGAAATTAAGACAGTTATCCAATGAGAAATCCCAGGTCAATGTCTCCGGCAGTCAAAGCAGTTATCAAGAAAGAACCAAGTTGGGCGCACCATCTGGAGAAATCCTCTGGAGAAGGTTTATGTTACTACATATTTTTCTGTTTGCTTGTTTGCTTAGGTATTTGTTATTTTTTTTGTTCTTTAAATGTAGCAGTTCTGAATTTCTCAACTTTAAAGGACTATGTTACTTAGAAGGACTTCCTTTAAAACTGAGTTAGGTTTCTTAATATTGTATACATTACTTAGGTCATGTGATTAGCTGCTTTAGACATATGATTTGAGATTCTCTAAGTTCCCTTCATTCAAACTACTTCACAGAGGCAGAAGCCAGGAAGGCAAGAAGGCAGGAAGACAGGAAGGTAGGAAGGCAAACAGGCAAAAGGGAAAGGAAAAGAAAAAGATAAAGAAAAAAAGAAAAGAAAGTAAAAGAGGCAGCAGAGGCTAAAGAAGCCAGCCAGCTCTAGAAAGGATTCACAAAAATGAGAAATACCCTCAGGTCTCTTCAGCCTGATGGCTGCCCTGGCTGTTCCCAGGATAATTTGACAAGAACCAGAAACAAAGAGTATGATCTAAATCAGAAGTTAGGAAGCCAGTGTGGTATAAATGGACTAGTTCACTATAGAAGACAGTGTTTAAGGAACTGAATTGATTGGCATTGTGAAACTGTAGGTGAGTTCCTTAGTCTTTCTAGCCTGTGGTTTCTTTACTTTCAAAGTAATTATACCAGATGATCCTGAAAATTACTTTAAACTGTAAATTATATGAGTCTAAGTTAGAGGTAGTAGAATTATATATTAGTCTGGGTTCTCCAAAGAAATAGAACCAAAAAGATATATACCTAATACATATCTTATTGGTGTATATATATGTCTGTCTATCTATCTATCTATCTATCTATCTATCTATCTATCTACCTACCTATCTATCTATAGAGAGATATGGATATAGATATAATTACTATAAGGCCTTGGCTCACATTATTTATGGAGACTAAAGTCCCAGTTTCTGCACTTGGCAAGTTGGATACCCAGGAGAACTGATGGTATAGTTCCAGTCTGAGTTTGGAGGGCTAAGAAGTACCCTCACAGATACCCAGAATGATGTTTAACCAAGTAGCTGGGCATCTTGTGGCCCAGTCAAGTTCACACATAAAATTAACCATCCAAATTTACCAAAAGCCAGGACCAAGAGAAAGACTTGAGATAATGCAATGATACAGAGTTCAGCCAACCATAGGAATCAGAATACCAGGGTGGTGTATAGAGTTGCTGAGATTGTTTCCCAAGGAGCCAGTATTCTATTAACAGGGAAGACTGCTCAGTAGCCAGGACTTTATCTGCAATCAGCCAGAGAGGCTCAGTTACCAGAAAACCCTGACTTCTCAGATCTGGCTATGATAGGTATGATCATGTTGAGGAGGAAAGGATGACAAAATGATCTTTTTCCTGAGCTCTTTCCTCAAGTTTCTTTCATTTTTATTCAGCTGTTGATACCTAGAGAGACACCAGCTCTATTTTTTAATATTCGGGCCAAAGTATGAAAAACTTTCTTCTCTTGACTTCTCAAGACAGGCTGGAACTTTCAGCAAAGTTTCCAGTTTATAATTCAAAGGAAAACAACATGAAAACAAATACAATGATTGCAAAGGTAACCAGCTAGTGAGAAATACTGAGTTTTTTTTACCCTCTGGAGTGTGTTATGGCAAATGGAGATGATACCCTCTAAGAAAAAGTTAGCAAATCCTTCACAGCAGGTTCAAAGAGGATAATTTTTCAGTGTGAGTGTGCCTGTGCCTTCCAAGACCAAAAAGACTGGACTGTTTGGGAACCTTAATCATCAAGGGATATAAGAAAATGACAGGCAAGGATACATATCTTTTAATAGAAGAGGTGATTCAACTTGAACCCTCCACGTTCCTTGATAAAAAGCAAGAGTGCCTATACAGCACTCATCACCATTCCCATTAAGTCAGGACTAGGTTGATCTTTTCCTTGAAAGCCGCTATGCCAGGGGATTAGATTTTTTTTTTTTTCTAGTGCTGCAGGGGTGTGGAGAAATTGGCAGGAGCAAGATGACAAAGCAGTGAGAAGGGACAGTGAGGAGACGTGTATTCCCACTATTTGGTGTGCTGAGCCAATGTGAGTTCACCATAGATCACATGGACACCAAAGAATGTGGCTGGGGTTGAACCATCTTGCAAAAATTCTTTCCTTCCTGGCCCCACAAAGCTAATAGCCATGGTAGAGGCTTGGGATAGGGTAGGGAAGAGGCCAGTTTTAAAATGGCTCTCTCACATGGGGGCTGTGATGTAAAAGACCACAACAGGATCTTCCCCCAAACCAACATCCATACTTGATGAAAGAAACCAACCATGCAGCTAGAATCTATGCCATCTAGTATTAGACTAGAAAGGAAAACAACCAATGAAAGAAGGAATCACCACAGGCAGTGTTCCCCTTTACCCTACTTGATCACAGAGTGGTAAGGGCTCAGGGTTGAAAGCTGGCTTTTTTTGTGTGTTTTTTTTTTTTTTTTTTGAGGCAGAGTCTCGCTCTGTCGCCCAGGCTGGAGTGCAGTGGCGCCATCTTGGCTCACTACAAGCTCTGCCTCCCAGGTTCACGCCATTCTCCTGCCTCAGCCTCCCAAGTAGCTGGGACTACAGGTGCCTGCCACGGCGCCTGGCTAATTTTTTGTATATTTAGTAGAGTCGGGGTTTCACCTTGTTAGCCAGGATGGTCTCTGTCTCCTGACCTTGTGATCCGCCCACCTCAGCCTCCCAAAGTGCTGGGATTACAGGCGTGAGCCACCGCACCCGGGCCACTAAAGCTGACTTATGAATTGGGTGAGAGATGAGATTTTATCCTAAGTCATCTAGCTAGGGATATGTAGGTAAGCTGAGGAAGAAGAGAGGAAGAGGGCTCAGAATTAAATGAGACTTAATTTCTAAAATAAATGATACTAAATCCTAAGAACTAAAATGAAGCTTGATACCCATTGGTAGCAATTACTGGAAAATTAAAATTGATTTCATATTTATTCATGAATAAGTCAGAACGCTTCAATAATATCAGATGGTTCCTCAGGGAACAAAAGCCAGCTTACAAACTAGAGACTCTGATGCTCTCATTTATTCATTCACTCCATAAATCCTAGCACCTCTGGTATGCTAGGCACTATTCTAGGTGCTGAAGATATAGCAGCAAATGTGGCTCTTGTGCACTGTCCTCCTCAACTTACTGTCTTGAAACACCTACTTTAGCCCCAAGGTGATTGAACCATTTCGTGCATTTCATAATTGCCTTATGTAGACTCCCTTTGTCTGTCTTTATACTTCCCACTGAAGATCTGACTACTGGATTCTTGCCCACCATTATAATCAAGACCAAAAGACAATCTCTCCCCATCATCTCTCTCTCTCTCTCGGGTGCGCACATGCTCTCTCTCTCTCTCTCTTTCTCTCTCTCTCTCTCTCTCTCTCTCTCTCTCACACACACACACACACACACACACACACACATCCCTACCTGTCTTAGAGAGTCTCCTTAAATTCTGTTTCAGAGTCCAGAAAGCATACCTCTAGACACTAAGAATGCCGTTGCCTGTCTGGTGAGAGTCTGGCCCTTCACACAGGGATATGCCTTTACGCTTTGCAGCCAATGTTGTTCATGCAACATCTCATCAGCCATATTTTAAGAATTGTATCCATAAGGTAATAAGAACTGAGTGAAGTAGGTGGTAGCCCAGGGAAACCAGAGCAAGTGGAGAAGAACAGCAGAGCTGAGACTCAGAAGCAGAATTTTGTTAATCCTAGAAGACCAGCCTGTGTCAGAGCAGTGTTAGGCACTGAAACTACCTAAGTCATGAGCTGGTCATTTAGTAAATGGAAATATCAATCCAAAGAAGGATCTGGATCTGCGTGATCAGTCTCCAAGGGAAGCTTCAGGTGATCTTCTAAGAACCGTTAATTTAGAAGTTCATACAAAGTCCAGATGATGGGCCAAGCAGGAGAGGTGAACAGCAGGTAATTGGCAGAGGCCTTGGCCAGCTTGCCATCTTGGTAGCTGGAATGGGTACGATAGCAGTATGATGAAATGGTAAGTAAAGCAGTTAACAAGAAACTATCGTGGTAGGCAAATTCTCAGTGTTAGGGCCTGTGATGATTAATATTGAGCGTCAACTTGATTGGATTGAAGGATGTAAAGTACTGTTCCTGGGTGTGTCTGTGAGGGTGTTGCCAAAGGAGGTTAACATTTGAGTCAGTGGACTGGGAGAGACAGACCCTCCCTCAGCCTGGGTGGGCACCATCTAATCAGCTGCCAGTGTGGCTAGAATAAAGCAAGCAGGAGAAGATGGAAGAGCAGACTTGCTAAGTCTTCCAGCCTTCATCTTTCCCCGGTGCTGGATGCTTCCTGCCCTGGAACATCAGACCCCAGTTCTTCAGCTTTTGGTCTGTTGGACTTAAACCAATGGTTTGCCAGGGTCTCTCAGGTCTTTGGCCACAGATTGAAGGCTGAACTGTTGGCTTCCCTGCTTTTGAGGTTTTGGGACTGAGACTGATCCACCACTAGCTTCCTTGTTCCTCAACTTGCAGATAACCTATCATGGGATTACCTTGTGATCATGTGAGTCAGTGCTCTTTAATAAACTCCCTTTCATATATACATATATCCTATTAGTTCTGTCCTTCTAGAGAACCTTGACTAATACAGGGGCTCAAATCCGGTCATGGTTGTTGAGGAATTGGAGGTATCAAGATTAGAGTAGAACCAGCTGGAAAAAGAAGAGGAGGTATAATTAGTACTTTGAGGGAATACTAAGTGCCAGACATGATCTTATTCTTCTTTATGGCTGCATCGTATTCAGTGGTGTATGTGTACCACATTTTCTTTATCCAATCCACCACTGATGGGCACCTAGGTTGATTCCATGTCTTTGCTATTGTGAATGGTGCTACAGTGAACATGCAAATGCTTGTGTCTTTTTGGTACAACAATTTGTTTTCTTTTGGATGTTTGTCCCGTAATGGGATTGCTGGATCAAATAAGTAGTTCAGCAATAAAACTTTATTTTAATAAATTAAGCTGCCAGCTACATTTGGTCCATGTAGTTTGGTGACTTCTACAAGGAGGCATATGTCATCAAGAACTGGAGACTAGTTAACTTCAAAAATCATATTAATTGACTAGACCAGCAGTCATCATCTTAAGAATACTGTCTGGGCCAGTGCCGTGGGCCTGCTGGTAGCACAGGCCCTGGGTGCCAAGCTCAGCGGAGAATACCGAAAGGTATGCATAAAGAGTGAAAAAAGATGAACTTTCCTGACTTCACACTTTTTCTCAGGCCATACCAGAGTAAGCAAATGAAGAATCATGGGGAAGATAAGACACTGAGCACTTCATATGCAATTTGGCCTTATTTCCCCTCTGCAGGATTGTATGTGGGCTCCGTCCCATATAGGAAGGAAAATAACCTTCTGTTTAACTGGTTATTGTCAAGATGTATTACCTTCTGCCCATAAAGTGAGTCTTAGTTCTAGAGACTGCATGAGTTTCTTATATAGACTATACAACTGAAGGATTTGCAAGTACTAAATAAGGAATATGGTGCTTCTAATAGGCCAAAAATGGGTTGGAGAATGGGGTGGAGGAGGAGGTGATATATTACAATAGCCATATTAAACTGTACTAAACATAAAATAACAGGGAAAATATTTCCTTGAAGCTAATAGGAAAAATCAGTTACCAGACTCAGAACCATGAATCTAAGTTGTCATCCAGCTGCATGGGCTTACGAGGAGAGTTCCTGTGCTGAGGTTTTCATTATAAAACACAGAGGCATTACTGGGGATAAATGAACCAATATGAATGAAATACCTGTAATTGCCAACCTAAAATTTCACGCCAAAAATCGTCTGATTCCCAGGTTGATGTGGAGTGGTTTTCTTAAAGTTCAAAAAGAATCCACTTTATTAGTGGAGTGGGATGCTTTAGCAGGAGTGTATTTATAAACTTAGAATTCTTCAGGTTTCCTCTAATATTGGAAACAGAAATAAAAGGAAGTTCTTCCTTGAATTGCTTTTCCTGCATCTACTTATTGTGGTCTTTTGTTTTGTGTGCTAAAAATAACAGCAATGCTGCCCAGCCATAGGAGTGAAGAGAGCCAAAATCTTGCCCAGGTTCTGTGGCTGGGCTGGGAGCCCGTGTGACTGTGTTTTCCTGGGGCTGAGTACCTTTGTCTAATTCATCTGTCCAGGTGGGTTGCCTTTTTCCAGGTTTGCACAGAGGAGCCACATAGTCTAAGCTGGCACTGCCTGGTGGTGATATTGGAAGACTGGGCCTGTCTTGAACTGAGTGGGAAGGGAAAATGCTGTGGGAATGCTTGAGCCCTTTCTAAGGAAAGCTCTCAGTCTTCAGACTCCAGAGGGGGCTCTGAACTGAGCTGTGCACCCCCTTCTCTCATACCCCCAAGTTCTTCATTTTGAAGAATTTTTCAGAATAAAGTCACATAATAAATAATACCCGGTGGAAGGTGGGTAACTGTTGGAGGAAACTGACTGAACAAGTGTTTTATGGGAATCCCCATAGGTCATAAGAGTCAGAGGAAGGCCTGCCATGCTTTCTCTCATTTGGTTATATTAGATAGACTTCTATGTCCTTCTTCTATCTTCCCTCTTCCTCTTTGCTCCTTCTTCTGCTCTCTTTCTCCCTTCCTCTTATCAGTACCAAGATCAGCTTAGATCACAGCGTGTGGCTGTCTCTCCCTTCTCCTCCCAGGCACTCACATCCCATTTCCTCTTGCTGTATGTGTGTGTGGCATGCTGCTGCTGCTTAATGTCCTTAGAAAGCATCAACCTGTATGCTGCACTATATAACATGGTCACTATAGAATGGGCCACGCAACTTTGCAACCCAAAAGTGATGAGTTCATTAATTGTGGCAATGAGGGCCCAGGTCAGTAAATCATTAGCTTTACCGAGAGGTCACAGTGTACGAAGCAACAAATTGCCAACATAAGGAGAGGGCAAAATGGATGATATTAAAATAGAATTCAAGGATGGAGATTTTGACTGCAACCGTTATTCATTTTTTTTTTTTTTAGACAGAGTATCACTCTGTCACCAGGCTGGAGTGCAGTGGCGCGATCTTGGCTCACTGCAACCTCAGCCTCCTGGGTTCAAGCAATCCTTCTGCTTCAGCCTCCTGAGTAGCTGGGACTACAGGCATGCACCACCATGTCCAGATAATTTTTTGTATTTTTAGTAGAGATGGAGTTTCACCATTTTGGCCAGGATGGTCTCTATCTCTTGACCTCATGATCTGCCTGCGTCGGCCTCCCAAAGTGTTGGGATTACAGGCATGAGCCACGGTGCCCGGCTGCAACTGTTATTCTTAATCACTTTTGTGTCTTCATTCCCTTGGAAAATTTCTTGAATTTCATCCTGCCCAGGAATATGCCCACATTTTGCAAACAATTCTAAATAGTTCATGTACATACTCCAAGCATGGATTGACCTTAAAAATTCTTGCATTAGATAAAATCTGTAATGAATTTTACACAATATAATTAAGTGCCATCAAAAAAGACATACATTTGGATTTTTAAAAATGTATTAACATAAAGAAGAATATATGCCTTATGTTGGAGAGATCTGTCACGACCTTAATTAAGTGATATTAAGTGATTAACCTTAGTATTACTAATATAACCTAGTATTATGTGCCTCCTGGTAATGATGCAATATAACATGAAATGCATAATCAGTGAAGTATCCTGGCCAAAAATGTTTACCTTGCATCTAAACAAGCCTTTAGGCCTAACTTTTAGTTGACAGAAAATTCAGGAAATAAAGGGACAAGTTAATGATATTTCAAGGGAAAAATCAGACAAATTCAAAATATGAAACATTCTAAAGACAACTAGTCTCTTGAGCAAGTCAAGATCTTTAAAAAGCAAACAAACAAAACAGTTGTAGGGACTGTTCTAGATTAAAAGAGAGTATAAAACATAACCAAATATAATATGTGAAACTTGATTAGATTCTGCCTCAAATTGACAAGCTGTAATAAAATAAAAAAATTTGGATAACAAGGAATATTTAATATGCATTGGATATTATATTAGGGAATTATTTTTATCTTAGATTTGATAATGACATGGTGATATAAGAGAATTCATATTAAATAACTTAGAGGTTAATTGTCATGATGGCAAAGCTTTCAAAAAGTTCAGCAAAAGTAAACAATATTATATATCTATATTAAATATGGATGCATATACATATAAATAAATTTGGTAAAACCTTAATGTTGCATTATATTATTCTTTAAACTTTTCTATATGTTTGAAGTTTTCAAAATAAAAAGAAAAAATGAGTTACATACAGATATTTTTTAAAAGGGAATAGAACAATGAGTTTAGTTCCTATGTATTTTACTAGTTTAAAGTCCTTTGCTGGAATAGCTGGCTCTAAATAGTCCACAGAGCCAGGATTGAGCATTTTACTGTAGATCATCCTTGAGCAAGAAACCACAGTGTGGCTCTCTTGTGGTTTCTCTCATTTACGCTGGAGGTCAATGTAATTAAGAATCTGTACCTTTAAGGCTAAAAATGCAGCATTGCTTTGGAGGAGGACTTTGTATCTCAGAGGCTTAAACAATAGTTGCTGGCAAATGCTGAAGTTGAGTACTTTTTAAAAGAAAACATCCCAGAACTGCCACTGGCCACCACCACCACCTCCACCAGGCTCTTCTGATGTAATAAAAAGAGATACATAAAAGTTAAGGAAGTGTTATCACCTGAAGATCACATTTTCCAACTGGAATTTGCTGGGAAATAACAAAATTGGACTAACAGGGTCACGATTTTCCCACATCCCAGAGTCTAATTAAGTCAGCCCGTATTATCTCATGTCCCATTTGGTGCAGTCTGTGTAATGCTGCAGATTACTGGGGATTGCCAGGGACTTACTGCACAGTATTAAAGTGTATAGATAGTGACTTTTGGCGTTTTTGTTAGGAGGAACTGGTTTCAATATGCAGTAAGGCAACATCGTTTTACTCTCAATGGTTAGTTCATCACCAACTAACTTTTTTCTTTTTTTCTTTTTCTTTTTTTTTTTTAAGTCCTGAAAATAGCCTACCAAAGATTTGTCATTTCCTGCCTGGAGAAAGTTCTTCAGTATTTGTGTTTTTATAAATATCAGATGTGTAATCTCAGACGTGAACTTATTATAACTAGCCCCAAGGCATCATGAACTGCAAGTTGCCACACGAAAATTAAAGGGGTCAAATTCAAAAGGAATATGTGTCAAAAAGGCTCCGTAAAAGGTCATGTGCTTAATATGCATCCCTCAGGTGAACCTGCGGTTGCTGCAGAGCCTGCCATCTGTCTTTCGCTGCTGGTTAGGCTCCCAAATACCTTTTGTAGCCCCCTAGGGGTGAGTAGTGTCCCTTGGGCTCAATTTGAAGAAAAAT
Source organism: Homo sapiens (assembly GCF_000001405.40). Classification (NCBI taxonomy): domain Eukaryota; kingdom Metazoa; phylum Chordata; class Mammalia; order Primates; family Hominidae; genus Homo; species Homo sapiens. The sequence goes on from NC_000009.12 coordinate 18,297,736, forward strand.
ATATTAACTTGGCTCCTCTTAACTGAAGGGAAAGGGAGAGAAGTGTTTAAAAGACTTACTATCTCTTGGGCTCTATTTGCTCTGTTAAAAAATATTGTACCTAGTATTTCAGAAATGAGAACCCTTTGAACCGCAGCAAAAGTCTTCTGAGGGTCATTTGGTATCCTTTTGGAGCTGGGGATGTGATGCTATTGTTTTATTGGCAGCATTTATCATTCAGTCCCACGTCCTATTTCACCTGTTTCTTTAACATGAGATGATAAAGTAGCATCATAAAAACAGACCTGCAGGTTTGAATTAGTCTCCATTCTGCTAACCCATTGTTTGTCAATTGGAATCTGCCACAACCAGGCACAAATTCTGTGAGCTAGGACGTATTCCCGGAAAAGTAAAGAGACAGAATTCACAGCTCAGGTGAGGGTGGAGGGTAGAATAAAAGGCAAACTCCTGAGAGACTCCAATTAAGATAAAGGTATGGAGTATGGCAATTATTTACACACAGGAAAGGAGTGACAAGATACCAAAAGTACCAGAGAGCCGTGCAGGGTAAAAATAAAGATATACGGCCCATGAGTCTTACAGAGAAACAGACTCTTCTTGTTTAATTGAAGGGAACACCAGAAAGCAAAATCAGATGACAAAAAGTGTTCTTATCCAAAATGAAAGGAAGGAGGAGCTGCTTTGAATCCAGTAGCAGTAACTATGTGGCACAAAGCACTGACTGAATTTTGACCTAGAAACATAATCTCTGGTCCAGACAGGTCAGCTCAGAATATTTGAGTAAAAGACGAGGGTGTGTGTGTGTGCACGTGTGTGTCCGTGTGTTATTCAGTGCTTATTGTGAGCAACACTGAGCAAGTGTTTATGATCATTTAACCATTTCTTCTTCAAAATTACCCTATAAAGCAAGCACTCTCAGTATTCTCATTTAACAAGTTAAAAAAAAAAAAAAGGCTGGAAGTAAGCAGTTTTCTCCTGTAATTAGTGTCAGTCAAGAACAATAATAGGCCGGGCTCGGTGGCTCACGCTTGTAATCCCAGCACTTTGGGAGGCCGCAGCGGGCGGATCACGAGGTCAGGAGATCGAGACCACGGTGAAACCCCGTCTCTATTAAAAATACAAAAAATCAGCCGGTCGTGGTGGCGGGCGCCTGTAGTCCCAGCTACTAGGAGAGGCTGAGGCAGGAGAATGGCGTGAACCCGGGAGGCGGAGCTTGCAGTGAGCCGAGATGGCGCCACTGCACTCCAGCCTGGGCGACAGAGCCAGACTCCGTCTCAAAAAAAAAAAATAATAATAATAATAATAATAGCCGCCGTTTTTGCTAAGCAACATGTATACTTACCTCATTTAGTTCTCATAATAGCTGTGTGACATAAGTACCGTTGTTATCACCATTTTGCAGATAGAGGAACAGTCTTAGAGGAGTGGGTAAGCTTCATGAGCTCATACAGCTAATAAGTGTGAGAGCTAGAATTCAAACCCCAGACTTCTAGCACCTGGCTTCTGAGCCGCCACACTATTCTGCCTTTTTAGGTAGTTTTTACTGTATAAATTTGAACTCCCTCCCCAAGCATGTCTACATATATCTTCTCCATTGGCAGAGAAAATACTTTATCACAAAGTATTTCATATCTTATTTTTAAAATTCGATTTTAAATGAATGCCATGAAACAACTAGTCACCAGTTGGAATGGCAGTTTAAAGATACTGACCAGATAAAGGCATTAGCAATCTTTATTATTGCTTAGAACAGAGCTCAGGAAGTTCTGAGCTCCACAGATGAGAAGAGAGATCTCAGGGAGAGAACACAAGGAACAGGCTTATTTACGACTCCTGCCGTGTCCTCTCAGGGGAAGACAAATAATGGGACGTGCTCACCAGTTCATGCCTGGAATTCTTAGCTTGTAATGGAATTGGCTGCAAAGTCAAGACTGCAGAACCTGGGTGATGAAGGAGAGCCTGGGCGAGAGTCTCCAAGTGTTACAGGGTTACTGGAAGCCGCCAAAATAGGCCTGTGGACCACAGCTAGGCCAATAAGAGTGGAAGACTAATAGAAATCTGGAGTCTGTGAAATATGAAAGACATCTACACTGAAGCACATCAACTGGCAACATTTCAAAATACCAGGAAAGTCAGAAGGATCCTAAAGTATTTCAAAGAACTGGGGATTAGAATTGTATCAGCCTTCCTAGTAGAAACATTACTAAGTAGAAGAGAGTGCAGTCATGCTTTCAAAACTCCAAGTGAAGAAATAGGAACACTTTTACACTATTGGTGGGAGTGTAAATTAGTTCAACCATTGTGGAAGACAGTGTGGCAATTCCTCAAGGATCTAGAACTAGAAATACCATTTGACTCAGCAATCCCGTTACTGGGTATATACCCAAAGGATTATAAATCATGCTGCTATAAAGACACATGCACATGTATGTTTATTGCAGCACTATTCACTATAGCAAAGACTTGGAACCAACCGAAATGTCCATCAATGATAGACTGGATTAAGAAAATGTGGCACATATACACCATGGAATACTATGGAGCCATAAAAAAGGATGAGTTTATGTCCTTTGCAGGGACGTGGATGAAGCTGGAAACCATCATTGTCAGCAAACAATCATAAGGACAGAAAACCAAACACCGCACGTCCTCACTCATAGGTGGGAATTGAACAATGAGATCACTTGGACACAGGGCGGGTAACATCACACACTGGGGCCTGTCAGGGGGAGGGGGGCTGGGGGAGGGATAGCATTAGGAGAAATACCTAATGTAAATGATGAGTTGATGGGTGCAGCAAACCAGCATGGTACACGTATACCTATGTATCAAAACTGCACGTTGTGCACATGCACTCCAGAACTTAAAGTATTAAAACAAACAAACAACTCCAAGTGAAATGATTTCTAAAGCCGCTCTTCATGAATATATGTCCCTAAAACTAGGGAGTGAAAAACGACATGAGATCTAGTGAGCAGGAAATTTAATACAGGAAAAAAGCAAAGGAAATTTCTGAGATTAAGGCAAAGGGAAGTCCCATGATGACACCTGGGTAGCAAACCTACAGTACCCAGCCGAAATTGGAGCAGAAATGTGCAGGGCTCCAGAGAGAAGTTTACAAAAAAGTTATATATTATTTGATAGTTTTTAGCCATGTAGAAAATTATATTGAGACTATATTGAGAGACATTTTACATGTTTGGGGAAAATTGCCTATAGGTTCAAAAAAATTGAGCAGGCAAAAAAATGTACAATTATTTCAGTGGGAGTGGAAAGTTAAGAAAAATGTAATTGAGTCACTACTTAACTCCACAGTAAATACTATTTATATAGCCATAATAATGAAGCACTGAAAATGGATTCAATCGAAACTTATTTCATCAATCCAAGATACTTTTAATTGTAAGATGCACCATTATTTAAAGTGCCAGGAAGAAAGAAAAAAAGTATGACACACATTCATTATAAAGTGCATATAAATTTCAGAGATGTTAAAAGGTATAAAAACAATGCGTCTTGGAATCAATGAAATACAGTTCATTAGAATAATAAAGGAAGTGAAAAGAGCTAAAATACTTATCTCACATAATCAGAAAACAGTAGATAAATTTTAATTTGATGAATCAGGAGATTGCGGTACAGTAGTTCCCCCTTTTCCACTGGCGATCTGTTCCATGACCCCCAGTGGATGCCTGAAACCGCTGAGAGTATCAAATCTTTTATATACTATATGTTTTCCCACTTTTACATGCCTAATAACATTTAATTTATAAATTGTGCACAGTAAGAAAGTAACAACAATAATTAATGAAATAGAACCATTATGAATTATGACAATACACTATAATAAAAGTCATGTGAATGTGATCTCTCTCTCAAAATCTTATTGTACTCTCCTCGCCTATTTTCGGGCTCCAGCTGACCTCTGGTAACTGAAAAGAAAAGTTAAACCATGGATAAGGAGGGACTGCTGTACACACATAACCACTTAGAGGAAATACTAGAATACATTGCTAAGAAATTAGAAAATGTACTAACCTTATGGGGCAAGGTAGTGACAATGACGGAAAGCTATGTGCCAGAGTCTGTTGTCTTTATTTCTAAGTGTTCTAGCACTTTTTGTCCTTTGAAATTGTGTGTGTACATTATTTTGATAAAAATAGAACATTATTTGAATTTTAACTGCTAAATATTCCACATGGTTTGTGCTATCTTCAAGTCCCCTGCACCTCAGACACATGATCATAGAGGCCTCAGTATGTCCAAAGAGAAAGTCTGGGATGTTAGATTTATTTTCATCATAGTCAAAACCATGTCATCTTTAAGGTGTAGTTGAAGTCCCATTTCATTAAAGCTTGTCAAAAGGCCCTATATTATGTGACTTCTCTCTTTTTTGGGTTGCTGTTGTACTTTGGCCATTCCAACAATTCTTTATGCCAGAGTGTAGGATAGAATTTGGGAAAGGAAGAGGGAACTCCCCCTGCTGATGGGGGCTCTCAGGTCACCTGGGAGCATTTTCAAATTATAATCCTACCTCAATGAGATACTGATACATTTCCTAGAGGATACTCTCTGTCCAGCCCCACCCCATCAAGACCTTGCTGTCTAGAGGTATCACCACACTTAGTGATGAAAGTATGTGTTATACCTTCAGTATGCTGGGGCAAAAAAAAGTTGAGTGCTGTTGCATACTACTTAGCCCTTCGTTATAGGAGTTTTCTACTTAGATATGTGGATATGGGCAATATTTCTCCTTCTACATGTGTAGCTCTTGCCTCTATATCAAAATTGTAAAGTATTTGAAGGCCTAAACTCAAAATGCTCTGGTGCCAAACAGTGCTAGGTATAGAGTGAGTACTCTATAAATACACACTGGTTGATTTTAATATGACTTAAACCCTTTTTCTTGCTTAGGGCTGAAAAGAGTTAACTGCATGTATAACAGTCTAATAATCCTTTACTCATACTGCCTTTTAATGCTGTCTTATGTTTCTTACTAATGCTTAATGGTAAGATTAAGCATAAGGATCTTTTAAATTTTGTGCTTGGAAAGTTTATAATGAGAAAGTGCTCATTGAAACAAGGCAGTTTACTTTTTAACTTTAAAATGTTACCGAAGGCTTTTATATTTTGGTTGTTACTTTTTTGAGTGAGTGCATGGTGTATATGGGAAAGAGAAAGATGTAAGCTAATGAGATATCTTAGACATGAAGGTATCTGAAAAGCATTTCCAGAAAGGAGAGTTCAGTTAATAATGGTGCTTTAATACATAAGAAAAGATGCAGAGAAACTCACGCTTTTTTCTTTTAGCATTTATCAAGTATACTTAAATAATCGAAAAGATAGAGTATGGAAAGTGTCTAGCATTGTCTGGTTAGTTAGTAGGTACTTATTTAAAGAAAATAATGGAAATAGATGCTGAATACCAGGTTTGACATTTAGAGGACTCAGGAAACCCTCAAGGAGTGTTCATGTACAAAAGTAAGAGACCAAAGATACATAACTGTAATAATTTCTTTTTAAAGAGTTGTTGAATGTCCTGCCTCAAGTTGGATTGCCTACCCTGAAGACCTTTCTCCACACTTTGATCCTCCCAGGAGGCAGAACTAGTCAGGTCTTCCAGCCTCAGCCAGAGAATGAGATAGGTCTTTCTTCAACAGGTTTCCCACAGCTTCCTGTTTGGGATGCTTCACAGGGAAAGGGGAACATAAGCTGTTCCTTCTGGCAGCACAGGCAGTGATGGTTCACTCCACTCAGCTCAGCCCAAGGCCATGAGCGGGCTTCTTCAGCTACCATAAAGGTCAACAGAGTCACTGTGAGTGGGTTTCATGTTTAAGCAGCTCTCCACAGTTGCTGAGACATCAAGCTGAGGGAATGAGGGAGCTCTAAGGGAAAGAAGAGAATGACAAGAGTCAGGAGAGGAAGAGAGAGCGCGGAAAGGCAGGGATGGGGGTATGAAATAGTGGACCTTGCTGAACCCAAAGAGAATAAAGAACAATCCTGTCTAATGAGGAGAAGGGTGATGGTTTTATGGCCATTAATGGATTTAGCAGTGATATTTTTCTTTTTAATAATGCTGGAGTCCATTTGCTATTTTGACCTGGGCTTGGAATATCCTGCTTTTCTCTTCTGCACCCTGCTATGCTGTCTTCCTTTCATCCAACAGCCTTTCACTTCCTCCTTTCTCTGTGAGGCCTTTTTGGGTAGATCAGTAGGGAGGTGACAGCTCCCTTCCCAGAGCTCTCCACCCGTTCCGACAGTTACACTGCTCTGCACCAATAAAATGCATTTAACCTTGGCCTGTGGGGGATGTAAATCTTTCAGGGTCTATTTATGTATCAATTTAATATTTTTGTTTCCCTGTCTAGATGTCCTCTATGTGTCTGTCACTGTTATAAAACAGTGGCTTTCACTTTTTTTTTTCTGTTACAGAACACTTTGTTCAAACTCATTCTCACATAGAACCCAATTTGTTTGGAAAGCAACATGAACCTGGAATCTTTGAAGTGACGGTGGCAAGAAGGGGGTCTAGAGCTTGGCCCACTTCTTTCACTCCTGCCCCTACCCTCAACATGCCCTGAGGGGCCTCAAGGAATAGAGTTTTGAAAAAAAAAATACTTTTTATAAAAGAAAACCTTGTGAGCTCCTGGGTGTCGGAAATGTTTATTTTAATTCCACTGTACTGTGCCTAGTGTTATCATGTGATATTAAAATAGCAAAACCTGGTTTTGCTATTTTGCAAAACCAAATTAAAATTTGGAATCAATAATTAGTGGAGCAAAGGATTTTCTCAAAAACTCACACTTAAAAACATATATAAGCGTGTTATTTACCTACACTGAGGAAATAAACTACATCCAAACACATTTGGTATTGCTGATCTAGACAAGTTTGGTAGCACAAGGGCCTAAACTTTTTTTTTTTTTAGGACTATGCTTTAGTATGTTCATTATAAAACTTCCTCTCTAATGAATAGTAAGATTCTGAAAAAAATAGTATCTTTGTTACTTGTATGGAGTTGAGGCATATTCCATAACTCATATTTGCATTAATTCAAAATGACTTTCTCATGGGTCTAAATTAGGAAAGTTTTTACTATAAACTATTTTTATAAGAAATAGAAAAATGTTTCTGTTTTATTCTAAGAAAATATGTACTTAAACAGTGTACGTTCCTGGGCAAGATGGCTGAATAGGAACAGCTCCGATCTGCAGCTCCCAGCGTGATCTACACAGAAGGCAGGTGATTTCTGCATTTCCAGCTGAGGTACCAGGTGCATCTCATTGGGCCTGGTTAGACAGTGGGTGCAGCCCATGGATGGGGAGCTGAAGCAGGGTGGGGCATTGCCTCACCGGGAAAGTACAAGTGGTCAGGAACTCCCTCTCCTAGACAAGGGAAGCCGTGAGGGACTGTGCCATGAGCAACACTGCACTCTGGCCCAGATACTATGCTTTTCCCATGGTCTTCACAACCTACAGACCAGGAGATTCCCTTGGCTGCCTACGCCACCAGGGTCCTGGGTTTCAAGCACAAAACTGGGCGGCTGTTTGAGCAGCCACCAAGCTAGCTGCAGGAGATTTTTTTCATTCCCCAGTGGCACCTGGAAGACCAGTGAGACAGAATCGTTCACTCTCCTAGAAAGGGGGCTGAAGCCAGGCAGCTAAGTGGTCTAGCTCAGGGGATCCGACCCCCACAGAGCCCAGCAAGCTAAGATCCACTGGCTTGAAATTCTCGCTGCCAGCACAGCAGTCTGAAGTCTATCTGGGATGCTCAAGCTTGGTGGGGGGAGGGGCATCCGCCATTACTGAGGCTTGAGTAGGCGGTTTTCCCCTCACAGTGTAAACAAAGCCGCAGGGAAGTTCAGACTGGGCAGAGCCCACTGCAGCTCAGCAAAGCCACTGTAGCCAGACTACCTGTCTAGATTCCTCCTCTCTGGTAAAGGCATCTCTGAAAGAAATGCAGCAGCCGCAGTCAGGGGCTTATAGAGCAAACTCCCATCTCCTTGGGACACAGCACTTGGGGGATGGGGTGGTTGTGGGTGCAGCTTCAGCAGACTTGAACGTTCCTGCCTGTTGGCCTTGAAGAGAGCAGTGGATCACGCAGCACAGCACTCAAGCTCTACTAAGAGACAGACTGCCTCCTCAAGTGGGTCCCTGACCTCCATGACTCCTGACTGAGAGACACCTCCCAGCAGGGCTCAATAGACACCTCATACAGGAGAGCTCCAGCTGGCATCTGGCAGGTGCCCCTCTGGGACAAAGCTTCCAGAGGAAGGAACAGGCAGCAATTTTTACTGTTCTGTAGCCTCCACTGGTGATACCCAGGCAAACAGGGCATGGAGTATCCAGCAGACCTGCAGCAGAGGGGCCTGACTGTTAGGAAAACTAACAAACAGAAAGGAATAGCGTCAACATCAACAAAAAAGACATCCACACATAAACCACATCCGAAGATCACCAACATCAAAGACCAAAGGAAGATAAATACACGAAGATGAGGAAAACCCAGCACAAAAAGGCTGAGTATTCCAAAAATCAGAATGCTTCTTCTCCTCCAAAGGATCACAACTCCTCACCAGCAAGGGAACAAAACTGGATGGAGAATGAGTTTGACGAATTGACAGAAATAGGCTTCAGAAAGTGGATAATAACAAACTCCTCCAAGCAAAAGGAGCGTATTCTAACCCAATGCAAGGAAGCTAAGAACTTTGAAAAAAGGTTAGAGAAATTGCTAACTAGAATAACCAGTTTAGAGAAGAACAGAAATGAATGATGGAGCTGAAAAACACAGCACGAGAACTCATGAAGAATACACAAGTATCAATAGCTTAATTGATGAAGCAGAAGAAAGGATATCAGAGATTGAAGATCAACTTGATGAAATAGACCATGAAGACAAGATTAGAGAAAAAAAGAATGAAAAGGAACAAACAAAGCCTCCAAGAAATATGGGACTATGTGAAAAGACCAAATCTACGTTTGATTGGTGTACCTGAAAGTGATGGGGAGAATGGAACCAAGTTGGAAAACACTCTTCAGTATATTATCCAGGAGAACTTCCCCAACCTAGCAAGACAGGCCAACATTCAAATTCAGGAAATACAGAAAACCTCACAAAGATACTCCTCAAGAAGAGCAAACCCAAGACACATAATTGTCAAATTCACCAAGGTTGAAATGAAGGAAAAAATGTTAAGGGCAGGAAGAGAGAAAGGTTGGGTTACCCACAAAGGGAAGCCCACCAGACTAACAGTGGATCTCTCTGCAGAAACCCTACAAGCCAGAATAGAGTGGGGGCCAATATTCAACATTCGTAAAGAAAAGAATTTTCAACCCAGAATTTCATATCCAGCCAAACTAAGCTTCATAAGCGAAGGGGAAATAAAATCCTTTACAGACAAGCAAATGCTGAGAGATTTTTTCACCACCAGGCCTGCTTTACAAAAGCTCCTGAAGGAAGCTCTAAATATGAAAAGAAAAAAAATAGTACCAGCCACTGCAAAAACATACCAAATTGTAAAGACCGTTGATAGTATGAAGAAACTGCATCAACTAACAGGCAAAATAACCAGCTACCATCATAATGACAGGGTCAAATTCACACATAACAATATTAGCCTTCCATGTAAATGGGTTAAATGCCCCAATTAAGACACAGACTGGAAAATTGGATAAAGGGTCAAGACCCATCGGTGTGCCGTATTCAGGAAACCCATCTCACGTGCAAAGACACACATAGTCTTAAAATAAAAGGATGGAGGAATATTTAGCAAACAAAGGGAAAACCAAAAAAAAGCAGGGGTTGCAATCCTATTCTCTCATAAAACAGACTTTAAACCAAAAAAGATCAAAAAAGGCTAAGAAAGGCATTACATAATGGTAAAGGGATCAATTCAACAAGAAGAGCTAACTATCCTAAATATATATGCACCCAATACAGGAGCACCCAGATTCATAAAGCAAGTTCTTAGAGACAGACAAAGAGACTTAGACTCCCACATAATAATAGTGGGAGACTTTAACACCCCACTGTCAATATTACACAGATCAATGAGACAGAAAATTAACAAGGATATTTAGGACTTCAACTCAGCTCTGGACCAAGTGGACCTAATAGACATCTATAGGACTCTTCACCCAAAATCAACAGAATATACATTCTTTTCAGCACCACATAACATTTATTTTAAAATTGACCACATAATTGGAAGTAAAACAGTCCTCAGCAAATGCAAAAGGACAGAAATCATAACAAACAGTCTTACACCACAGTGTAATCAAACTAGAACTCAGGATTCAGAAACTCACTCAAAACCACTCAACTACATGGAATCTGAACAACCTGCTCCTGAATGACTACTGGGTAAATAACAAAATGAAGGCAGAAATACATAAGTTATTTGAAACTGATGAGAACAAAGACACAATGCACCAGAATCTCTGGGACACAGCTAAAGCAGTGTTTAGAGGGAAATTTATAGCACTAAATGCCCACAGGAGAGAGGGGGAAAGATCTAAAATCAATACCCTAATATCACAATTAAAAGAGCTAGAGAAACAAGAGCAAACAAATTCAAAAGCTAGCAGAAGACAAGAAATTACTAAGATCAGAGCAGAATTGAAGGAGATAGAGACACGAAAAACCCTTCAAAAAATCAATGAATCCAGGAGCTGGTTTTTTGAAAAGATCAACCAAGTAGACCACTGGCCAGACTACTAAAGGAGAAAAGAGAAGAATCAAATAGACACCATAAAAAATGATAAAGAGGATATCACCACCGATCACACAGAAATACAAACTACCATCAGAGAATACTACAAACACCTCTATGCAAATAAACTGGAAAATGAAGAAGAAATGGATACATTCCTGGACACACACCTTCCCCAGACTAAACCAGGAAGAAGTCGAATCCCTGAATAGACCAATATCAAGTTCTGCAATTGAGGCAGTAATTAATAGCCTACCAACCAAAAAAAGTCGAGGGCCAGATGGATTCACAGCCGAATTCTACCAGAGGTACAAAGAGGAGCTGGTACCATTTCTTCTGAAACTATTCCAAACAATAGAAAAACAGTGAATCCTCCCTAACTCATTTTATGAGGCCGGCATCATCCTGAAACCAAACCTGGCAGAGACATAGCAAAAAAAGAAAATATCAGGCCAATATCCTTGATGAACATTGATGTAAAAATCTTCAATAAAACACTGGCAAACCAAATCTAGCAGCACATCAAAAAGCTTATCCACCATGATCAAGTCAGCTTCATCCCTGGGATGCAAGGCTTGTTCCACATATGCAAATCAATAAATGTAATCCATCACATAAACAAAACCAATGACAAAAACCACATGATTATCTCAATAGATGCAGAAAAAAGCCTTGGATAAAATTCAACACCTATTCATGCTAAAAACTGTCAATAAACTAGGTATTAATGAAATGTATCTCAAAATAATAAGAGCTGTTTTTGACAAACCCACAGCCAATATCTTACTGAACGGGCAAAACCTGGCTGCACTCCTTTTGAAAACTGGCACAAGACAAGGATGCCCTCCCTCACCACTCCTATTCAACATAGTATTGGAAGCTGTGGCCAGGGCAATCAGGCAAGAGAAAGAAAGAAAGTGTATTCAGATAGGAAGAGAGGAAGTCAAATTGTCCCTGTTTGCAGATGACATGATTGTATATTTAGAAAACCCCATCATCTCAGCCCAAAATTTCTTAAGCTGATAAGCAACTTCAGCAAAGTCTCAGGATACAAAATCAATGTGCAAAAATCACAAGCATTCCCATACAGCAATAATAGACAAACAGAGAGCCAAATCATGAGTGCACTCCCATTTAAAATTGCTACAAAGAGAATAAAATACCTAGGAGTACAACTTATAAGGGATGTGAAGGACCTCACCAAGAACTAAAAACCACTGCTCAACAAAATAAGAGAGGACACAAACAAATAGAAAAGCATTCCATGCTCATGGATAGGAAGAATCAATATCATGAAAATGGCCATACTGCCCAAAGTAATTTACAGATTCAATGCTATCCCCATCAAGCTACCACTGACTTTCTTCACAGAATTAAAAAAAAAACACTACTTCAAATTTCATATGGAACCAAAAAAGAGCCCATATAGCCAAGACATTCCTAAGCAAAAAGAATAAAGGTGGAGGCATCATGCTACCTAACTTCAAACTATACTACAAGGCTACAGTAACCAAACAGCATATTACCGGTACCAAAACAGATGTATAGTCCAATGGAACTGAACAGAGGCCTCAGAAATACTGCCACACATCTACAACCATCTGATCTTTAACAAACCTGACAAATACAAGCTATGGGGAAAGGAGTCCCTATTTAATCAATGGTGTTAGGAAAACTGGCTAGCCATATGCAGAAAACTGGAACTGGACCCCTTCCTTACACCTTACACAAAAATTAACTCAAGATGGTATAAACACTTAAACATAAGCCCTAAAACCATAAAAATCCTAGAAGAAAACCTAGGCAATAGCATTTAGGACATAGGCATGGGCAAACACTTCATGACTAAAACACCAAAGTAATGGCAACAAAAAACAAAATTGACATATCGGATCTAATTAAACTAAAGAGCTTCTGCATAGCAAAAAAAAAAAAAAAAAAAAAAAAAAAAAACTATCTTCAGAGTGAACAGGCAACCTATAGAACGGGAGAAAAATTTTGCAATCTATCCATCTAACAAAGGACTAATATCCAGAATCTATAAGGAACTTAAACAAATTTACAAGAAAAAACAACCCCATCAAAAAGTGGGCAAAGGATATGAACAGACACTTCTCAAAAGAAGACATTTATGTGGCCAACAAATATATGAAAAAAATGGTCATCGTCACTGGTCATTAGAGAAATGCAAGTCAAAACCACAATGAGATACCATCTCACGCCAGTTAGAATGGCGATCATTAAAAAGTCAGGAAACAACAGATGCTAGAGAGGACGTGGAGAAATAGGAACTTTTTACACTGTTGGTGGGAGCGTAAATTAGTTCAACCATTGTGGAAGGCACTGTGGCAATTCCTCAAGGATCTAGAACCAGAAATACCATTTGACTCAGCAATTCCATTACTGGGTATATACCCAAAGGATTATAAATCATGCTGCTATGAAGACACATGCACATGTATGTTTATTGCAGCACTATTCACAATAGCAAAGACTTGGAACCAACCCAAATGCCCATCAGTGATAGACTGGATTAAGAAAATGTGGCACATATACACCATGGAATACTATGCAGCCATAAAAAATGATGAGTTCATGTCCTTTGTAGGGACATGGATGAAGCTGGAAACCATCATTCTCAGCAAAGTAACACAGGAACAGAAAACCAAACAGCGCATCTTCTCACTCATAAGTGGGAGCTGAACTATGAGAACAGATGGACACAGGGAGGGGAACATCACATACTGAGGCCTGTCAGGGGGTGGGGGGCTAGGGTAGTAATAGCATTAGGAGAAATACCTAATATAGATGAAATATTGATGGGTGCAGCAAACCACCACAGTGTGTGTATACCTATGTAACGTGCACATTCTGCACAAGTATCCCAGAACTTAGGGTATAATAAAAAAAAAAAGTATAATCCTTCAGAATGATATCGTTTTATCACTGTCATCTCCTGCTGAAGCTAGTAGAATCAAATAGCACGTCAATGTGTTTTCCACTCCAGAGTATCAAAGTTACCAAGGGTAGTAGCTGCCCAGTAGCTGGAAGTAGCAGAGTCAACCTGGCTCCATCACATTTATTCAATGTTGATCTGTACTGTAGGTGCTTCCCTAGGCCTGAACTGCTGAACATCATGAACAGATAGAATTGGCCTCAAGTCTCAGGAAGGCTACAGACCATAGAATCCTAATGGGATTCGATGCTGGAATCATTCATGATTTCAATAAGTGTTTCCTGAGCTTGAGCCAGGGAGCCCTGAATGTGTCATATTGACAAGGAGGCAGTCAGTCTCTGCCTTCAGGACTCTCACAGTTCAGTGGGGGAGATTGAAATGGGAACACATTTAAAATATATCTACAACACAGTATTACAAAGGGCTGCAATAAAGATCTCCCTCCTTCTGCCCACAGTGGTCTAGAGCTGTGGCTGAAAAGGCATTTGTCAAGTGGGCAAGGAAAAAAAAATGTATCCCAGGGAGAGGACAGCATGTGGAAAGGCACAGACAATTACATATCTGTTGAATGCCTTTTACGTGCTGTTCTGGGCACTAATGATAAAACAGCAATTAAAGTTCCAGTTCCCACAGAGCTTACATCCTAGTAGAATGAGAAAATGTGCAGTATTCAGGCAATGACAAATAGTTTAGTATAAAATAGGGGAAGTGGTGAAGATGAAATTAGGGGTACAGATTACGGATAGCTGCCATTTGAAGGGTCTTGAAGGACAAGCTTAGGAATTTGAGCTTTAACCTGTAAGGTGGTTCCATGGACTCTTGACTAGTTTATCATCTAGAGGGCAAGATTGGTGGCAACTTCCTGTGGATAAAATTAAAACCACCTGGTATATCTAAAAGCTCAGTAATATTCATCCTGGCATTTGCTTGAGCAAAAGTGCTGGAGTTGATTTTATATCCACTGTTGGATGGGTATTAAGTGCCACATCGTTGTATCTAAGAGGACTTAAAAAGGAGAAAAATTAAAATGAGAGCAGGAGTTACAGGAAATGGCTGCTAAGTGGTGGCCTTATGCACTGGCCTTGGCCTTGAACTTGAGTTGCTTTTGCCTGGTAGTGGTATGGACTGTGCACATAACTTCACCTGAGGTAGCCAGATGGATAACTGAGTATGCTATACCAAGACGTTCCCACTGGGTATTTTAAACATTCCTGGAGCAACACAAAACTTCTGTACAAAGCCTAGAAATGTGTAAGCTGGGAACCAATTTTTCATCCTCAGTTTAAAAACAGAAATCAAACCTGTTGATTCCTGTCTGCCCCCACCCCAGCCTCTCTGACTGTCTTAAGGTCTTTGAAAGTGCCCAACAAAAACTCTCTGCAAAGATGATTGATTGTTTTTAATGGCAGTCACTCTAATAGCTTAGACTCTAGTGGAAAGAGTGTTTTTAATGATATTTATATGAATGATGTGCTGCTTCTGGCCACCAGCCAGTAACGCATGCACTTCTGTTCTTTAGAGTACTAATAAGGGGCACTGATTCATTTACATTTGGCCAAAGACCTGGATTAAAAGTATAGTCTGTGGAGATAATAAAGGTTCTTCTTTTATACAGATCAAACTCATGACTGTGGCCTGAAATAGCTCTTTAACCAGTGATTCTCAAAGTTTTGAAGTGGGTTGGAATGACATGTGACTATTTGAAACACAGATTGCTGGGCTACACTTCCAGAACTCCTGATTCAGTAGGTATGGGGTAAGGCCCAATAACTTGCATTTCTAACTAGTTCTTAGGCAATGCTGATACTGTTCGTCCTCCAGACAACTCTTTGAGAACTATTTTTCTTGTATTCCAAATTTACCTGACTTACCGTAAAAAGAATTTTCAGGGGAAGAGTCCTTAGGTACCGATATTTTTTTAAGGCCCCAGGTGATTCACTGGGAAAAATGCTGTTACCTCACCCCAGGTGAGTTACATGATCATTATTTCTAACAATTTATTTTAACAAACATTTAAAGAAGTGGTTCTTAACTTTGGACACACATTAGAATCATAGAGAGTTTTTAAAAAATACCAATCACTGGGTCAAACCTCCAGAGATTTTGATTCAGTTGGTCAAATGAAGCCTGGCATCTGTCTCTTTTTAAAAGCTCTCCAAGAAAAGGATAGTCTTTCCAACAGACAGTGTTTGAAAAATCAGATATCTACATGCAAAAGAATAAAATTGGGCTCTCATACAGAATTTAACTTTATATTTTTAAAAAACTTAAATGCAACAGTCCTGAAACTGTAAAACTCCTAGGACATGAGCAGTGTTCTAGGAGTTTCCTAGAGGAAAGTATAGGGAAAGAAACCTCCTGACATTGGTCTTGGCAACAACTTGTTTGGTATGACTGCAAAAGTACAGGTAATGAAAGCAAAATAAATGGTAGGTTTACATTAAACTAAAGAGCTTCTGCACAGCAAACAGTCAACCAAATGAAAAGGCAACCTATAGAATGGGAGAAATAATTTGCAAACCATATATCTGATAAGGGGTTAATATACAAAACATATAAGGAACTCAAACAACTTAGTAGCAAAACACCAAATGACCCAACTAAAAAAAATGGGCAAAGGACTTGAATAAATGTTTCTCCAAGGACAACGTAAAAACGCCAACAGGTATGTGAGAAGATGCTCAATGTCTATAATCAGTAGGGAAGTGCAAATCAAAACCACAGTGAGATATCATCTCACATCTGTTAAGATAATTATTATCAAAAAGACAAGAGATAGCACATGTTGGTGAGGATATGGGGAAAAGAGAACCCTGGTTTGTACACTGCTGAAGGGAATGTAAATTAGTTCAGCCAATATGGAAAACAGTATGAAGATTCTTCTCAAAATTAAAAGTAGAACTATTGTGTCCGGAATTGGTGGGTTCTTGGTCTCGCTGACTTCAAGAATGAAGCTGTGGACCCTTGCAGTGAGTGTTACAGTTCTTAAAGATGGTGTATCCGGAGTTTGTTCCTTCTGGTGGGTTTGTGATCTCGCTGACTTCAGGAGTGATGCTGCATACTTTCGCGGTGAGTGTTACAGCTCTTAAGGCGGTGTGTCTGGAGTTGTTTGTTCCTCCAGTCCAGAGTTGTTCCTTCCTCCCGTCCGCAGTTGTTCCTTCCTCCCGTCTGGAGTTGTTCATCCCTCCCAGTGGGTTCATGGTCTCGCTGGCCTCATGAGTGAAGCTGCAGACCTTTGCGGTGAGTGTTACAGCTCATAAAGGCATGCGGACCGAAAGAGTGAGCAGCAGCAAGGTTTATCTCGAAGAGCAAAAGAACAAAGCTTCCACAGCGTGGAAGGGGACCCCAGTGGGTTGCCACTGCTGCCTTCGGCAGCGTGCTTTTTTTTTTTTTTTTTTTTTTTTTTTTTTTTGAGACGGAGTCTTGCTCTGTCGCCCAGGCTGGAGTGCAGTGGCGCGATCTCGGCTCACTGCAAGCTCCGCCTCCCGGGTTCACGCCATTCTCCTGCCTCAGCCTCCCGAGTAGCTGGGACTACAGGCGCCCGCTACCACGCCCGGCTAATTTTTTGTATTTTTAGTAGAGACGGGGTTTCACCGTGTTAGCCAGGATGGTCTCGATCTCCTGACCTCGTGATCCGCCCGCCTCGGCCTCCCAAAGCAGCCTGCTTTTATTCCCTTATCTGACCCTACCCACATCCTGCTGATTGGTCCGTTTTACAGAGAGCTGATTGGTCCTTTTTGACAGGGTGCTGATTGGTGCATTTGCAAACCTTGAGCTAGACACAGAGTGCTGATTGGAGCATTGACAAATCTTGAGCTAGACACGAAGTGCTGACTGGTGCATTTACAATCCTCCAGGTAGACATAAAAGTTCTTCAAGTCCCCACCTGACTCAGGAGCCCAGCTGGCTTCGCCTAGTGCATCCCGCGCCAGGGTCGCAGGCGGAGCTGCCTGTCAGTCCCATGCCAGGCGCCTGTACTCCTCAGTGGCGCCCGTCAGGGAGGCTCGGGCCGTGTGGGAGCCCAAGGGGGAGTGAGGAGGGGGGTGGTTCGGGCATTGGGGGCTGCAGGTCCTGAGCCCTGTCCTGTGGGGAGGCAGCTGAGGCCCAGCAAGAATTAGAGCGTGGCATGGGTGGGCCGGCAGTGCTGGGGGACCTGGCACACCCTCCGCAGCTGCTGGCCCAGGTGCTAAGTCCCTCACTGCCCGGGCCGGCCGCTCTGAGTGCGGGGCCCACCGATCCCGCGCCCACCTGGAACTCGCGCTGGCCCACGAGCTCTGTTTGCAGCCCCAGTTCCCGCCCGCGCCTCTCCCTCCACACCTCCCGGCAAGCAGAGGGAGCTAGCTCCGGCCTCAGCCAACCTAGAGAGGGGCTCCCAGAGTGCAGCAGTGGGCTGCAGTGCTCCTCAAGCACAGCCAGAGTGGACACCAAGGCCAAGGAGGCGCAGAGAGCGAGCGAGGGCTGCTAGCATGTTGTCACCTCTCTCTCTGATCTAGCAATCCTACTTCTCAGTATCAGGGAACCTGCCCCGATATTCATGTAGGTTCTTTTCTATTTTCCCTAAGCATCAGCTGGCTTGAGAAATAAAGGGACAGAGTACAAAAGAGAGAAATTTTAAAGCTGGGCGTCGGGGGAGACATCACATGTCGGTAGGTTCCGTGATGCCCCACAAGCTGCAAAAACCAGCAAGTTTTTATTAGGGATTTTCAAAAGGGGAGGGAATGTGCGAATAGGTGTGGGTCACAGACATCAAGTACTTTACACGGTAATAGAATATCACAAGGCAAGTGGAGGCAGGGCAAGATCACAGGACCACAGGACCGGGGCGAAATTAAAATTGCTAATGAAGTTTCGGGCACCATTGTCACTGATAACATCTTATCAGGAGACAGGGTTTTGAGGGCAACTGGTCTGACCAAAATTATTAGGTGGGAATTTCCTCTTCCTAATAAGCCTGGGAGCGCTATGGGAGACTGGGGTCCATTTCACCCCTGCAGTCTTGACCATAAGAGACGGGCACACCTGGGGGGGCCGTTTATAGGCCTATACCTCCAGGCGTGTATTCTCTTTCCCAGGGATGTTCCTTGCTGAGAAAAAAGAATTCAGCGATGTTTCTCCCATTTGCTTTTGAAAGAAGAGAAATATGGCTCTGTTCCGCCTGGCTCACTGGTGGTCAGAGTTTAAGGTTATCTCTCTTATTCCCTGAACAACTGCTGTTATCCTGTTCTTTTTTTCAAGGTGCCCAGATTTCATATTGCTCAAACACACATGCTGTACAATTTATGCAGTTAATGCAATTATTCCAGGGTCCTGAGGCGACATACATCCTGCTCAGCTGACAAGATTAAGAGATTAAAGTAAAGACAGGCATAGGAAATCACAAGGGTATTGATTGGGGAAGTGATAAGTGTCCATGAAATCTTTACAATCCACGTTCTTCTGCCATGGCTTCAGCCAGTCCCTCCGTTTGGGGTCCCTGACTTCCCGCAAGGAAGATAAAACAGTATCTCAAAGGGATATCTACACCTCCATATTTATTGCAGCGTTATTCACAATAGCCAAGATATGGAAATGACCTAAGTGTCCATGGATGGATGAGTGGATAGGAAATTGTGGAATATATTTACAAATGAATATTATTCAGCCTTTAAAAAGAAGACAATCTTGTCATTTGTGAAAATGTGGATGAACCTGGAAGACATTATGATAAGTGAAATAAACTAAATATAGAAAGGCAAATACCGTATGATCTTACTTATATGTGGTGTGGAATCTAGGAAAAAAGTTAAATCCATAGAAGCAGAGAGTAAAACAGTGATTACCAGGGGCTAGAGGAAGGGATGAGGAAAAGGGTAGATGTTGGTCAAAGGCTACAACTCTCCGTTATCAAATCAACAAGTTCTGGGGGTCGAATGTACAGCATGGTGACTTTTATTAATAATACTGTATGGTTTACTTGAAATTTGCTAAGAAAGTGTATCTTAAGTGTCCTCAACACACACACACACACACACACACACACACGTACATGAGCAAATTTTAACTAAGTTTGGTGATGGATGAGTTAGCTAATTTGATTGTGATAATCATTTCACAATGTATACATTTATGAAATCATCACATTTGTACACCTTGGATATATATAATTTTTGTTTGTCAATTATGCCTCAGGAAAGTTGGGGCAGGGAGCCCTTCAGGTATTTCTCATGTGCAGCCAAGGTTTGGCTGAAAGCCTGCTAAAAGGCCTTTAGTCCCCATCTTCACCAGACTATTTACTTCAGCACCCAGCCTGCTCACCCCGAGGTCTTCCCTTACACCCTTACACCTCTATCCCTGGCCTTGGTGGAGTGCTTCTCCTCTGCAGAAGCAATGTTTCCATCAAAACAGTTGGGACAAGATTGGGATTTAACAGTTTCCCCTGTTAGAAAGTAAACTTCCTGAGGGCAAACACCAGAGCTGAATTTTCCTCTAATCCCAGCGCCTAGAGAACCGGATTTAGCCAGCTCTTTAAGAAGTAAGCAGAACTGTTTTGTTTTCTGTGCTGCTTAGTGCAGGACAATATAGAGCAGATCTGGCTCTGCCCCTTAGCAGCCCAGAACACTGGACATGTTGGATATAATTTTAATCTTGCTGAGCCTCTGTTTTCTTTTCTGTAAATTAGACACCTCTTGGGCTAGTTGTGAACTTTAGAAGAGATGACTAATGTAAAGCATGTCTCATGATGCAAAGTGTGTCATAAGTGATTTAGTAAATGTGGGCTATTTTTATGTTATGCTAATTTGCATTGGTGAGTTCACTGTATGTTCTTCAACATTATCATTATGAGAGAGGTCATAGTTTATCTATACCTAGCAATGCATTTTAGAGAGTGGCCCCAAAGTATGCTTTATGGACGGGTACTTCTATTTTCTTGAGTTCTTAGACTAATGGTTTTCAAACTGTGGTCTGTGTCTGGTCTGGCAATATCAGCACTACCTGGAAACTTGTTAGAAATGTAAATTCCTGGGTGCCACACCAGACCCACTGAATCAAAAACTCAATTCTGAGTAGCAGTAATCTACGTTTCAGCAAGCCTTTCAGAAAATCTGGATAGACACTGAAGGTTACAAGATATTGGCTTAGAAGAACCACTGTTTAAAAACATTTTAGCAACCTGATATACATTCCTAATTCTTTCTGAACCACTGGTTCCTGACCAGAGGAGAGAAGGATGGCACCTCTTCCTTACAGTGGTGTATCACATCTCCAAGGAGCTGATATGATTGGAAAAAGTACCCCAGAGATTCTGATGTCTCCTCTAGAGGCCATGTTTCTCGTAGCTAATTTTTTTTTTTTCAAATATGGTTTTAGGCCATACTTTTGGCAGTGATTCAGATTCAGCAAGTCTAACGGCTGAAGGATATTATATGGATGTGTATTTAAAGGATATTATATGCCAAGCTGTATGCCAAGTGCTTTTATAGATATAATTTTATTTAGTGCGTGTGTCCACAACTTTATTATTGATACTTTACAAACAAATAAAGAGGCTGGGCACAGTGGCTCATGCCTGTAATCCTAACACTTTGGGAGGCCAAGGTGGGAGGATGGCACGAATCCAGGAATTTGAGACTAGCCTGGGCAATATAGCAAGACCCCATCTCAACAAACAATTTTTAAACAATTTTTTCTGGGAGTAGTGGCACGCCTGTACTGTAATGCCAGCTACTCCTGAGGCAGGAGGATCACTTGAGCCCAGGAGTTCAAAGCTGCACTGAGCCATGAAGGTGCCAGCCTGGGCAATAGAGTGAGACCCCAACTCTATTTAAAAAAAAGAAAAAGCCAGCTGAAGATCAGAGAATGTAAGCAGCATGCCTTTAATAACACATAATGACAGAGCTAGATGTAAACTTCCTAAATCATGTGGAAATGTCTCTTTCAATTATATTTATATTTTCCATTTATTTTATGTGGCCTCAGCCTATTGATCTTTGAAATGAATTAAATGCAAAACAGTCTTAATGTAATCATCCTGTTATTATCAATAACTTCACTGCTATGAACTATAGTAATAATATTTCTCCAGCTTCAAAAACCAAGGGATTTAAAGGTAAAGTTTTCTCTTCTGATAATGGCTGACTCTCCCTAGATAACTACGTAAACTCTCAAAAGATACAAAAAATAAAAATCTGAAGACTATGGGGAGAGATAAAAAGCCACCTCACTCCTTGGCTTGTAGCTCCCCCATCCAGGAGGGGGTCTGACCCTTAAAAGAAGAGCACTACGTTTGCTGAGATCCATATCTATAGATTTCACATGGAAGAACAACTATTAAAATGGCAGGTGAGTTCTCACCAGAATAGAGTCTATGGTTGGCAGAATAATGTTCACCTGCCCTAAAATGTGCACATCTTAATCACCTGAATCTGTGAATATGTTACCTTACATGGCAAAGTAAATGTTATAGATGCAATTCAGGATATGGGCATGGAGAAGGGGAGGTTATTCTAGATTATCCTGGTGGGCTCGGCTGGAGTCAGAGAAACATATGAGTAGAAGACAAAAGAGATTTGAAGTGTGATAGGACTTGAAACACTGTTTCTAGCTTTGAAGGTAGAGGATGGGGGAGTTGCAAACCAAGAAATGAAGTGGCCGCTAGAGTTGAGAACAGCCCTCATCTGACAGCCAGCAAGGAGACAGGGACGTTCATCCTGAAAATGCAAGGGACTGATTTTTGCCAAGAGTCTGGATGAACAAGAAAACAGATTCTTCCCTAGAGCCTCCAGAGGGAGTAATCCCTGCCAATACCTTGATTTTCACCATGTGAGTTGCTAAGAAAAGGAACAGTTAAACCATGCTGTACCTGAACTTCTGACCCACAGAACTGTGAGATGATAAATTTGTGTTGTTTTAAGCCACTAAGTTTGTGGTAATTTGTTATGGCAGCATTAGAAAACTGATGCTGAAGAAAATGCATCAATATCTTTAAAGTCCTGAGAGAAAAACAAGTCCACATATAGTTCTATATCCAACAAAAACATCCTTCATAAATGAAAGTGAAATAAACACATTATCAGATAAAGGAAAGCTGAGAGAATTTGGTGCCCGCAGATCTACAGTGTAACAACTGCTAAAAGAGTTCTTCAAGATGAAGGGAAATGATAGCAGATGGAACTCCAAATCTAGAGGAAGAAATTATAAATAAGAGGGTAAATACAAAAGACAGTTTTCTAAATTTCTTTTAAAAATAGCTGGTTTTTAATGCAAAATTCCAACATTACATTGTGAGGTGTATAAATGTATGGGAAATATATTAAAATATTAACACAAAGGATGAGAGAGGTTAATGGAATTATGCTGTTGCAAAGTACCTCTATTTCCTGTGAAGAAGTATAATATTAATTCTAAATAAACTGACAAGGGTGTGTATGTGTGTAGTAATATCTAAAAATTTGCAAAAAGATACAGTTAAGCCGTTAGAAAAATTAAGATGGAGTATTTTTTAAAATGTATATTCAAAAGAAGGCAAGAATAGGAGGCAGAAATATAAAAAGATGAGAAATAGAAAACAAATAACAAAATAATAGATATAAATATAACTGTATTACTAATTATATTAAATATTAACTGAATACATGGACAGAATGAATTAAACAGTAACACTCAATTTTACGTTGTTTATATGAAACACACTTTAAACATAAACCCACAAGTAAGTTTTAAGTAAAAGGATGGAAACAGATATGACATGCAGACAAGTAAGCATGAGAAAGTTGGCATGGCTCTATTAATGTCATACAAGGTTCATTTCAGGACAATATGTATCACCCAATATAAAGATATTTTGTAATAATAAAAGAGTTAATAAGAAGACAAAAGTATCATAAATGCATATGAACTTAGTAACAAAATTTAACAATGTAGAGAGCAAAAACTGACATATTAAAGGGAGAAAAAGGTAAAAATCTACAAACATGGTTGACGATTTTTAAATGCTCTTTCTTAGTGTTTGACAGCACAACTAGAGAAAATAAATCAGCAAGGATACGTAAGATTTTATCAACACTGTCAATCACCTTGACCTGATTAACATTTACAGAGCATACAGCCAACAACTCAAAATACATATTTTTGGCTGGGCGCGGTGGCTCACGCCTGTAATCCCAGCACTTTGGGAGGCTGAGGCAGGCGGATCATGAGGTCAGGAGATCGAGACCATCCTGGCTAACACAGTGAAACCACATCTCTACCAGAAACACAAAAAATTAGCCGGGCGTGGCAACAGGCGCCTGTAGTCCCAGTTACTTGGGATGCTGAGGCAGGAGAATGACGTGAACCCGGGAGGCGGAGCTTGCAGTCAGCCGAGATCACACCACAGCACTCCAGTCTGGGCAACAGAGCGAGACTCCATGTCAAAAAAACCAAAACAAAACAAAACAAAAAAAACACAGTTTTAAGTGCATTCTTTTCAAGTGCAGTTGGAGTATTTACCAATGCATCATATGCTATATGATAAACTAAGTCTCAGTCAATTTTGAAAGATTAAAATTTTACAAGATATGTTTTCTGGTGACAATGGAACTAAATTAGAAATCAATAATAATAAGATATCTAGTAAAAACCACCAAATATTTGAAAATTAAACATATATCTTAATCTGAGTCAGGTAAGACATCAATGAGAGATTAATAAATACTGCAAACTAAACTATAATGAAAATGTTAGAAATGGTGGAATGCAGCCAAAGTATTGCTTAGAGATTTATAGACTTAAAGAATAAGAAAGGTTTAAAATCTATCAGCTGAGTTGCCCCTTTAAGATTTTAAAAGAGGAAGAATACATTGAACCCAAAATAAGTAGATAGAAGGAAATAATAAAAATAAGAGCTAAAACCAATTATATAGAAAAAAATTAAGTTAAAGTCCAAACTACAATTTTTAAAAGATTAATAATTTTGTTAAACCATTAGCAGTACCAGGTGTGGTGGCTTACACCTGTAATCCCAGCACTTTGGGAGGCCGAGGTGGGTGGCTCATCTGAGGTCAGGAGTTCCAGACCAGCCTGGCCAACATGGTGAAACCCCGTCTCTACTAAAAGTACAAAAATTAGCCAAACGTGGTGGTGGGCACCTAGAATCTCAGCTACCTGGGAGGCTGAGGCAAGAGAATCACTTGAACCTGGGAAATAGAGGTTGCAGTGAGCCGAGATTGTGCCACTGCACACTCCAGCCTGGGTGACGAGAGCAAAACCCTGTCTCAACAACAACAACAACAAAATAAAGCAAAAAGAAAAACCGTTAGCAATACCAATAGAGGAGACAAGAAGAAAGAAAAAACACAAATCACCAATACCAGAAATAAGAGTGGTTATTATAGATCCATAGATAGTAAAATGATAAAAAAGAGTATCATCAACAACTTTATGCCAATAAATATAGCAACCTAGATAAAATGCATACATCAATGCAACTTTAAAATGTTACAAGAAAAAATAAATAGAAAATATCAATAGCTCTATTTCTATTTCCCTCACAAAACAACACACCAGGCTAGTTTGTTTAGACTAGTGAGTTCTATGAAGCATTTAAGGAAGAGCTAATACCAATCTTACACAAAATCTTTCAGAAAACAGAGGAGAGAATACTTCCCTATTTGTTTTGAGACCAATGTGACCCTGATACAAAATCTGAGAAAAAAGCATGCTGCAAGAAAGGGATATTACACATCACTGTATCTCGTAAATGTTTGCAAAATTCTCTAACAATGTGTTATAGATCAAATACAGCAATATACTAAAAAAGATTAATAGAACATTAGCAGCCCAATTAATCCTAGGAATGTAAGGTTGGCTTGACATTTGAAAATCAATCAATGTGGCATACCACAATAAGAGAATTAACAAAAAAACTATAGAATCAGCTCAATGGAGTAATAAAAATTATTTGACAAAGTACAACACCCATTTGTGATTTAAAACTTTTGGCAAATTAGAAAGAGAAGGAACTTTTTAAATCGGATAGACAGCATATAAGAAACCTAAAATTAGTATCACAGTTAATGGTAAAATAGTAAATCCTTTTCCCCTTAAATTAGAGCAAATCAAGGATGTTTGCACCTCTATACAATATTTTACTGGGTTATTAAGTCAGCACAAAAAGAAAAAAACCCATAAAATTAGCAAGAAAGAAGCCAAACTCTCTTTATTGACAGACAGCATGGCTTTATTGTCCTAAATCATCCACAAAAACATTTACAAGTAGCAAGATCATAGGAAACAAATTCAGTATACAAAAATCAGTTGTATTTCTGTATACTATCAACAAATAATTAAAATTTAAAAATACTTTTTTCAATAGCTTTAAACATATGAAATACATAAGGGATACATTTAACAAAATATATGCAAAACCTTAGCACCTAAAATCAGAAAGGACTGCTTTGAGAAATCAAATAGGCCTAAATAAATGGAAAGATATGCCATGTACGTGGGTTGGAAGATTCAAATTGTTAAAGATGCCAACTCTCCTCAAATTGACTTATAGATTCAGTGCAATCAACTTAAATTGCAACAGGCTTTTTTGTAGACATTGACAAGCTTATTTTGTAATTTATATAAAAATGCAAAGGGCTCAGAAGAGCCTAAAAACTTTTGAAATGAAGAATGAGATTAAATAGGATTTATACTACCTGATTTCAAAACTTAAGGTAATAAAGGCAGTGTGATATTATACTGAGAAGAGACAAAATAGATGAATGAAGCAGAATTGAGACCAGAAATATAGCCATATGTATATTTACTTTTTACAAAATCATCAAGTTAATGCAATGGGGAAAAGAAAGTCTTTTTAACATGTATCCTAGAAAAAAGTGGATAAACATATGGGAAAAATGAACATTGATCACTACTTCACACTCACACAAAACTTAATTCAAAATGGATGATGGGCCTAAACCTAAAAGCTAAAAATATCAAGCCTTTTGTAATAGCATAGGAGAAAATCTTGAGTATCATTGTGAAACAGAATACGCAAAGATTTTTTTTTTTTTTTTACAGGGAGCACAAACAGTATTAAACATAAAAATGAAAAAATAACACACTACATCAGGCTAGGTGCAGTGGCTCATGCCTGTAATCCCAACATTTTGGGAGGCCAAGGAAGGCAGATCACCTGAGGTTGGGAGTTTGAAACCAGCCTGACCAACACGGTGAAATCTCGTCTCTACTAAAAATACAAAATTAGCCTGGCATGGTGGTGTATGACTGTAATCCCAGCTACTAGGGAGGCTGAGGCAGGAGAATCACTTGAACCCGGGAGGCGGAGATTGCAGTGAGCTGAGATCGCGCCATCACACTCCAGCCTGGGCAACAAGAGCGAAACTCCATCTCAAAAAAAAAAAAAATACACTACATCAAAATTTTAAATGTATCTTCACCAAAAGACACCATTATGAAAATATAAAAGTAAGCCACATACTAAGGGGAAATATGTACAATACATATCTGATGAAAGACTTCTAAATCAATAATAATGAGGTAACCCAATTTCTTAAGTGGACAAAAAAACTTAAACACTTCACAGCGAAAGATATATGGACAGCCAATAAATATATAAACAATGTTATCAGCAGCATTCATCAGGAAAATGCAAATTATAATCACAAGAAAATATACACACTCAGTAGAATGGATATAATTAGAATACTGACATCACTAAGTGTTAGCAAGAATGCAGAGCAACCAGAATCCTCATCTGTTGATGATGACTATGTGAAGTGGTATAACCACTTTGGAAAAGGTTTGACAATTTCTTATAAAGTCAAACATACACCTACCCTATGACCCAGTGATTCTACTTTTGTATATTTACCTAAGGGAGATGAAAACATAACATCCACAAAAAGACATGCACAAAGTGTTCATACCAGTTTTGTTCAAGCCAGCCTAATGTTGGAATCACCCCAAAAGTCCATCAACAATAGAATGGGTAACACAGTTGTGATGTATTCATACCACACAGTATGACTTAGCAGTCTAAAAATAACTATCATTACATACATATTCATGTGGATGAATCTCAAACGTTATGTTGAGTGAAAGAAGTCAGACACAAAATAAGATACACTATTGGATATATGTAGGATATATATTAGTCTGTTTTTGCTGCTATAGCAACATACCACAGACTGAGTAATTTAAAAAGAATGGAAATTTATTTCTCACAGTTCTGGAGGCTGGGAAGTCCAAGATCAAGGTGCTAGCCTCTGATCTGGTGAGAGAGTATCCTTGCTGCATTCTCACATGGCAGAAAGGGAAGATAGTGTAAGCTAGCTAGGTGTTGCCTGAAGCCTCTTTTAAAAGGACCTTTGTTTTTTTTTTTTTTGAAACAGAGTTTTGCTCTTTGGCTTAGGCTGGAATGAAGTGATGCAATCTCTGCTCACTGCAACCTCCGCCCCCAGGATTCAAGCGATTCTCCTGCCTCCGCCTCCCGCGTCGCTGGGATTACAGGCATGCACCACTACGCCTGGCTAATTTTTGTGTTTTTAGTAGATACAGGGTTTCACCATGTTGGCCAGGCTAGTCTTGAACTCCTGACCTCAGGTGATCCACCCACCTTGGGCCTCCCAAAGTGCTGGGATTACAGGTGTGAGCCACCATGCCCGGCCTAAAAGGATCTTAATCCTAGTAGAGAGGAAGCAGCCCTCATGGCCTAATGACCTTGTAAAGGCCCCACCTCTTAATGCTGTCATAGTAGGAACAACTGAATTTTGGAGAGGATCAAGTTTCAACATGAATTTTGAAGGAGTCAAAAATATTCAAACCATAGCAGCTGTGATGTACTATAATAAGGCAAAACTTATCTATAGTAATTGGAATCAGAACGGTGATTACCTCTAAGGAGGAGGGCTTAACTGGAAGGAGGCACCAAGGAATTTTCTGGGGTTTTGGAAATGTTCTGCATCGATTGTGGTGGTGATGTGGATGTATTTTTTATCAAAATTCATCAAGTTATACACTTAAGATGTGTGCCTTTTTCCTATATGTAATTTTTTACCTAAAAAAAAAAAAGTGGAGATGGAGAGGAGTCAACAATTTGAGACTGGTTGCTATACATTTTTTAAAAAATAGGTCATAGTGTGCTGGCATGCTTTGTATTTTACTAACTGTAAGAAAATACATTTTATTATACATTTGACATTTAATATATATCAGGCATCTTAAATATTAATCAAAAATTGATTTAGAAACATTAGAACCTTAGCACATTCCTCTTGAGTAATGGATTTTCACACATTGGCCTTGCATGGTTCCATGCATCCCTTCCCCCTTGGTAAATGAATGCAACCTATTGAGGCTGTTTTGCAGATCAGAGCTTCATTTTCCATATACTTGACCACTTTATAGTATTTGAGTATTTCTCAGAATGCATTTTTCCTAATGTGGAGCTTTTATATGAGAATGTCTCTAATATAAGGCTACTTGCCATTATTTAAGTGAAATATGACCTGTTGCTTGCAACTGGATTTAAATGCTAAGTCAACCTTGAACAAAAAATTGAGACCAGTTAAATATTTTTTCAAAAGCCCTATTTTGGCTAATACAAAGGAAAATAAAAAGCCAATAGAATTTTATATTTAAGATCTGTTTAGCAAGTAGGGAATGATTATTTGGTTTGGAGTTGAGAGAAAATTTAGCGAAAGCTGATAAAAAAATTTTCAAATTACTGGTACTCTCCTTTTGAGTTTCATGGTAGGTCATTTTTAGTTATATGCAGCTTCTTTCTAAAGAGCAGTGACACTCTTGTTTCTGTAATAACTGGGCAGAAACCTTTGCTGTTCTGATATTGCATTTTACCAAATCAACTGAAACATAAATAGAATTAGATTTATGGGTGTTTGGCATGATGTCACACTATGGTTATGCTACTCTTGACCTAAATGATCTATTCCAAAGGAATGAACTGAGGAGACGCGTTAATGATCCCAGAGTAGAGTCAGGCCCTATGGGCATACTTTCTCTTTATTTTGGGGTATTTAGAAGCTGACCTTTCAACTCAAAACTGGGTTATCTGAGATCTTTCCTTGGCAGAATTGAAAGTCAATCAGCCCACGTAGGCATTTTTCCCCTCTTATCTGTGCAAGGTAACAGTATGTTCTCCTCATTTGTAGATGTAGATACTATAATAGCAACAAACTTGGGGACTTGGGGTTTCTAAAGCCACAGAGCGAGGCAGAGATCACCAATAGTTACACTTCAGGTTCCCAGTTCTTGTTCCAATAGTTTAATGTTTGTTTTGTTAGGCAAATGGACTTATAATCAGTTGATATGAGTGCCTTTGAGCTAATATAAGGGTGATTATAAAAGGTCTTGACTGAAAGCTTAAAGAGTTATACACTGAGTTTAAATAACCCAAAATAAATCCAATTAGGAAAAGAAATGTTAGGCAGAAATATAGCTTGCTTACCATTCTAACCAAGTTGGCTTTTCATTTATTCATTCAACCATGATATTTAGCTGTGTAGATTGTGGAAGCTCAAAGATATTTAAGATGGTTTTCCTGTTTTTTGTTTGTTTGTTTGTTTTTTCCTGTTTTAAAGTAACATATACTCTATTGTAAGAAAAAGAAATCCACACTGGAAAGCTTGAATTAAGTAACAGGACAAGATTCAAATAATGTTGTAGTACATCTCTCAAAGAAGTGTTACAAGTCAAAGATCATCAGAGATTATGCAGATTTTGAGAAGGAAACTGAATATCCAGGAAGAATTGAATCCTGTTTGCACAAAGTGCTTGCCTGGGTACCACTTCAGCTATTTATCCAATTTGTTACTTTTCACTGCTGTGGAGAGTGCATGTGTGTTCTCAGCCGAATATAATGACCCGCAGTTCTTATTATATGTATGTTTAATGGCTGGAGCTGCCTGTTATAACTCTTAACACAATGCATTATAATCAGTTATTTTCCTGTTTGTCTCTTTTTCTATATTCAATGTCCCTGAGGACATGAACTGTGACGTAACACCAACCAGCATTTATTAAGCTCTTACTGCATACCAGGTGTCATTTTAAATTTCAAGTATTTTCCATGTATTAACTCACTTAGCCCTCCTAATAACGTCATAACATAAGTATCACCCCATGTTTAGAGATGAGGAAATTGAGGCATGGAGAACTGAAGAAACATACCCAGAAGGGATAGAGAACATGTGGCAGAGCTGGGCTATGAAAACAAGCAGTCTGGCACTAAAAGATCATGCCTTAATCCATACACTGTGCCGCATCTCATCTTAGTGTCATTTGTGCCTAAAATAATGAGTGACACAGTATCATTGGCTAGATGAACACGTGGATGAGGAATAGTTTGTATAACTATGAGTTTTTAAAAGGCATCTGAGTATTAATAGAAGCACATGGGAAGCAACTCCAGAAAGGGTCACTGACCCTGGAGGATACAGAGTATACAGATGGTCCCCAGAAATGACAGGATGTCCCCAAACCATGGATGTCCTTATGCTTTTAGTCCTTCCTCTATTCCTCTCTGTAGCCACAGTTTACATTTTAGCTTGGATGATTGTCCAATCAAAGCTTTTTCAAAAAACAACCCCCCACCCTTTGCTATAGTCTGAATGTTTACATCCCTCCAAAATTTCCTATGTTGAAAGCTCATCCCCAGTGTGAGGATATTTGGAGGTGGGGCCTTTGGGGAGTGGTCAGGTCGTGAGGGTAGAGCCCTCATGAATGGGATTAGTGCCCTTATAAAAGAGACCACAGAGAGCTCCTTTGCCCCTTCTACCCGTGAGGACACAGTGAGAAGATGGCCATCTATGAAGCAGGAAGTAGGCTGTTACCAGACACTGAATCTTAATCTTGGGCTTCCCAGCCTCTAGAACTGTGAGAAATCAATTTCAGTTTTTTATAATACACCCTAGTTTCAGTTGTTTGTAATACACATTAGCCTAAACAGACTAAAATACCTTCACACTCACTCAAGTATTAAGTTCACGAAGAGAAATCTCATGGATATAAGTGGAAGAACATTTACTGGGATAGAGAAAGAACCAATTCCTAGAGATAAGAGTGTGACCCAAGGAGTCCTCCAAAACGTGTCCACTACAAGAATGTTAAATTTATACTTTTAAATGTTATGAAGTAAATGTCACTGGAGGATTTGTTATGTTTTTCTCATGGTTTAGGGACCTAAACTACTCAAATGAAGGCAGTACTTAAAACCCCTCATTCAAATAGGCAGTGGCTTATCTTTATCAGCCACACTAACCTTGTCATGTCCTGCAAGGAATCAAGCCATGTATCCCAAGTGCTGCGGCCAAAACCAAAGTTTTCATGTCTTTCCTCTGAATATATGGTATTCATCCATCAAAGCATTTATTTCCTCACTTATGTATGCATTCATTCATTCATTCATTCAGCAACCTTGCTATTCTTTGTTCTTTGCTTTGTATTTGCCACGGCTGGCACCAGGCAGTGCATATGCAGTGGCTAGCAGAACAGTCTCAGGCCATGATTTCTTGGAGTTTACAGTTTAGTGGTGTCAGTATATAAACATGTGTCTTAGTGATTATCTGTATATGTCATATGTAATTCTTAGGCATTTAATTTCTGAGTCTTGTTTTCTCATCTGCATAAGGGGGTTAAAACAGGTCTGGCCTTTTTCACATGATGAAATGAGACTTAATGTCAATAAAGTTCCCGATTTTAAATGTAAAACATAACCCAGAAATAAAATGTCCTTATTTAATCAGTTAGCTGACATAGATAATGTTGATACCTGGAGCTATCTTGCAAGGTAGTTTGGAGGACAAGAGAGAGTTTGTGAACCACTTGACACAGTTAAGTCTTCAATAAACGCTGCCTATTATTCTCAGTGTCATCAGTTGTTCAGAAATCACATATTAGGACTCAGTTTTCCAGATTATCTTCCTTCTACCCTTTTTCCTTCTCCCTGATCCTGCCACTCTTGCATCCATTGGCATTGTAGCCACCCCCTACAGTGACACAGTTGAGGACTGCCTTCCCAATCTGTATTCTGTGCTCCATCATAACCTTCTTTGTTTCATCAAAAAAAAAAAACTAAAATCTCTCATCCTATTCCCTCAGGGTCTTGCTTTCCATGTGGATGCCCGAGGCTGATGTTATCATTCCGAGATGAATTCTGTTGGTTCATTTGTTGTATGCCAAGTGTGTGCCAGGTGTTTTATCTCAAGTGTTCCTCCCAAGCAAATCTTATTTCCATTTTATAGACATGTGGGATATTATCCCAAATTCACAGAGTAGAAAGTGGCAAAACTGGGATCTGAGCTCTTTCTGCTGAATATAACACCTAGTGACTCCCTATAGACAAATATGAGTTATAAAGAAATACAACCTTTAAGATATGGCACTAAGCAAACCAATAGTTGGGGATTATATTTTACAAAACACATGGCTTTTGTAAAAGCAAATGCATAAAACTGCTGATTAACTGTTATTTACTGAGCACCAGTTACATGCCAGGGACTGTCCCAGATTTTCAACATACAGAGATGGATAAGCAGGATCTTGCTCAAAGAAGCTTACGTAGCTGGAGGAAGAGAAGTGAAGATAAAATCATGTGACTATGAAGTAATTCAGCCTCAATTGGGTATGGCATAGTCAGGGCATATTTCACGTGTAGGTTTTGGTGGAGGGTGCTCACAAACAGAGGAAGGAGAAAAAGTGGATCCAGGATAAAGTAAACAGTGTGAGAAGGCAACAAAGGTGTAAGACAAAGGAGCTGTTTGAGGACTGCAAGAAGGAATGTGGCTCAATAGAACAATATGTTCATGGAGAAGAGTGAGACAGGATGCTAAGGAAGTGTGTTGAGGTAAGCCAAACTGACAGAAAGGTCTTTGATGCTATGCTGAGGCATTCAGACTTGAGTCTATAACCAGTGAAGAGCCATAAAAAGTCTTTGTTTAAAACTGTATTTTAAAATAATAGCTGTGTGAGTATCATCTATCCCCACTGTGTTGGCCTATGGTTTTTAAGATACCACACATCAAATTGTGCCTCCCTCCTGGATATACTGCAGGGTAAAACCTTAGTATAATTCAGTCTGAATGAACAATAGTAATTAGTCCTGAACTATGCCTTGCTGTTATAATACAGTGCACATGGTGATAGCAAATAAGCCCCCAGGGACTCATAAACAAAATGAATGAATTATTGAAGTCCCTGTACTAATTTTATCTCTGGTGTAGAGGTTGAACTATCCATTAGAGCAATTCTAGGAAAAACAAAAACAAAAACAATTTGCCACAAGACCCCAACTTTTCTATCCTATTGCCACCTTTCCTTTCTATCTTGAATTCTATTTGAAGCTGTAGCTTTCCTAAATCAGATGCTAGAGTTTTAGTAGCTATGCATCAGTAGCTCTGGCATTGCTTGGAGTCTTCCTTAATCCAGCAATGGAACTAAAATGAAAATAGAATTACCAAAAGGGCAGATGCAGTATCTTATATCACTTTTATTATATTATATTTTAGCCACTGAGACAGGAGGGGAGAATATTATAGAATCAGCTTGCTGCAGTCTCGCCTGTAATTATATTTTTCCTTGATAAGGCATTGGCAAGTAGCCCACCAAAATATTGATGTGAAACTTGATCTCTCAGGGATGTGGAATTTCTCCAGCCCTGGGATTGAGACTGAGAGGTTTTGGAAGTGTTTGGCAGCTGTAGTAAATTCAGGAGCTGGAGGCAAGGAACAATTCTTCTAGCACAAGCCCAAAGTCAATATATTATATAACTACAAAAGGCACACTCCTCACTGTACTTTTATACTCTTCATTGGATCTTGTCCAGACCATGTTATCTTACATAGATGTAAACATACACTTTATGTACTATTTGAGAAAAACTGAGAGTCCTATAAAGTTTTTATAATTTTATATTTAGGGATGGGTATGTTAATTATAAGTAAAAATGAGGATTCAGAATTTCCCTCAAAATAAGGAGTGAAAAATTATCTGCATGCCCCATTTTATCACATAGTTTGAGTTTTGCCTTCTCTTGCTATCTTTTTTATACGCACCAGTCCAGTTTTCCTCCTTTTTTTAGAGACAAAATCCTGCTCTCTCACTCAGGCTGGAATATAGTGTTACAATCATAGCCCCCTGCAGCCTTGACCTCTCAGGCTCCAGCAATCCTCCTGCCTCAGCCTCCTGAGTAGCTGGGACTAAAGGCGCATGCTACCAGACATGGCAATTTTAATTTTTCCTTTTTTCAAAAAATTTGCTACAATATGGACGTACAGCATCAATAGAATTTGTTGATAACTACACAGTTATGGTTATAAGTTAAGTTATTTTAAATTAGAGCCTATATAGTTATTTCCCTAGGTGAAACTGCAGGCATTGTATCCTCTGGCCCATTGAACCGCCAGAGTTCAGTAAGAGTGTGTCAGAAGGCTGCTGGCAGAGTGAAAAGAGCATAAGGTTGGGATCCAGACACACCTGAATTTAAAATCCCAACTCTGGCACTTATGACCTGCATGAGCTTAACGAGCATCTGAGTCTGTTTCATCATCTGTAAGCGTATGAGGAATAAAATGGTATTATGTACAAGAAGCACCCAACCATTGTTGGCACCTAGCAGGCATTATTTTCTCCCATTTTCTTTTCTCTTTCCCACTTCAGAATGGCCAGAATACCAGGAAATTTACCTCACAGATTATCTAGCAAGTAAAGGATTTGGTGATCAAGGTTTTCAAAATGGCTTCAGGTGTGATTATTATTTTTATTTTTTTATGTTGCCATGTATTTATACCAAGTGATATGGTTTGGCTGTGTCCCCACCTAAATCTCATCTTGAATGGCAATCCCCATAATTTCTGTGTATCTTGGGAGGGTCCCAGAGGGAGGTAATTGAATCATTGGGGCAGTTTCCCCCATGCTGTTCTCATGATAGTGAGTTCTCAAGGTATCTGATGGTGTCATAAGCGTCTGGCATTTCCCCTGCTGGCACTCATTCTCTCTCCTGCCTCCTGTGAAGAGGTGCATTCCACTATGATTGTAAGTTTCCTGAGGACTCCCCAGCCATGTGGAATTGTGAGTCAAACCTCTTTTATTTATAAATTATGCAGTCTCGGGTGTTTCCTTATAGTGGCATGAGAATGGACTAATACAGCAAGCCAATTTTGTAAAAATGACTTCAGATAGCTTTACAAATAAATTCAGTTGGTTGAATAAATGATAGTACAGTAAAAAGTTAGAGAAACAGGGACAAAATACTCTAAACCAGTTGCTGTAACTGAGTACAATATTTGGTCAGAGAATTCCCCAAGGAATTTCCATTATATGTAGCTTCCATTATAAGAAAAAAACAAAGATGAGAGTTCATCAGAGGAGACAGATTTTACCCTAGAAAAAAGAAAGTTCTTATTTGAGTAATTGTGTTGAGATTCTTCAGAGGGATTACTGATTTAATATGACAGGCAATATTCTTAATTCACACCCTTGAGAATCTAACTAGAGCAGTCAGGCCTGACCATGGCAGCAGGATATATACAGGGTCTGTCCAGATCTTCCATTAGAGGCCCCAATTCTAAGAATCAACTAGCTTCACAAGCAACCCAGAGAAGACACTGTGCTAAGTGGAGATTTCCTAGGCATTAAAGTGAAACCAACTTTGATTCAAACTCAGATCTGCCTCCTACTATCCTTGAAGTTTGGACAAGTTAGTGTAGCTTTCAAATCATAGTAAAAAGTGATTAATATTACTTACTTCTCAGAGTGTTAGTAAGCATTTAATGAAAAAAAAATATGGAAAGGGAGAAGTGTGTGCCTAAATGGTCTGCCTTTGGTCCCAGGAGTGCCATTTTATTCATTTTCTAAGCACAATACAAATTGGAATTGTGAACCTCTGATTAGGCTCTATGTAAGCTTTTGTTGGAAAACCCTAAACAGAGAGATGGCTTTCAAGCTGTCAGCTCCTTAGCAAATGCTTGTGCATATACACGTGTGCACATATGCACACATGCAAGAGATTAGTTCTTATATATTACATTGTGAATTATGAAAAATTATACCAGAGAATTATGCCTATCCTGTCTTGTTTAAAGTGCTGCTGTTTGCACTTTAATTCCAAAATTATATTCTACATTATTGGCTGGATTGTAAATTTAAAACTCTTAGTCCTAATAGTGGTGCTATCCAGTCAATATTTTGTTTGATTTTTCAACACTGGACATACTTACAAATCATCTTCTATATAAACCAATTCATCTATCTAATTTCTGCATTTCTTCCAAATTCACATGGTAGACAGAATAATCTTCCAACAAATAGAGTCTGTTATCAATTTAGGTCACCAGTCTGGGACTTGGAAACAACAGAAACCAAATAGAATAAAGACTTCTCTCTTCTTTTATTTAAAGCTACCACTTCCATTATAAGAAAAAAGGAAGGATTCTAATTCATCAGAAGAAAGAGATTTTTGCCCAGTATCCAAGTCAGGGGCTAAAAATAATTCTCATTTGGTCAATTTTCTAAGCATTCCCTTTTCCAGTTCTTTATTTGGAATATTTTCTATTGCTTTATTAACCAAGACAGAGCCTCATGCATGTAATCATATAAACTTGAAGAATTATTTGTATATCATATATAATACAAATTCCTGATAATTTAGATCCCTTAATAACTTGAAGGTTACGTAAGGCATTATGAAACTACACCAGCATCTTAGTGTAATGACAAAGATAATCAAAGTGGTGATAACAGATCTTTGATAAAGATATGTCCTTCTTTCCAAGGGGCTCCATTTCTGGTAGAAAACAGGCAACATATTTACATATTTGTTTTTTTAAAAAATATATTGAACATGTCCCTAAAGTTATTGGGTTAAGACAGGCAGCAGGTGGAAAATATTCTAGGCAGCTATTCAACTTATTTTCCTCTCGTTCTTTTTTATTATGTTTATTTATTTTTACTTTTGTAGAGATGGGGTCTTCCTGTGTTGTCCAGGCTGGTTTTGAACTCCTGGTTCTATATTTACCAACAACCAACCTACTGACCACAGATTGATTCCAAACTGGGGAGGCAATATATCACAAAATTCATAATGGGGCTGCCACAGGTGGTAATCTCTACAGAAGTATTGTGTGTTTGATTATTGTAACCTAGTTTTCTGAGGACAGATGACTCCATAATAGAACAGATTCTGGACCCCTCCTAGGTGCTTCACATGTTCAAGACAATATTACTGTTCACTATTCCCATTAAATAACCTCATAGCTTTCCCACTTTAGAACCAGGTACTCCAAAAATAAATCTTCAAAAACAAAAATGTGAACTATCTATTCCATGTCTGTATAAGGTGGTGTAAAACATATATTAGTGCTGTTAGATTTTGAAAGTATTTGGAGGTGCTACCATATTTTACATGGGCTTTTATTACCTTTAAACTTTCATAGAATAACAAGATAATTGAATATTTGAATGTTTGCCTAATTGAATTTGGGAGGTTGTAGAAATGTTTCCAGAAAAAGAAACAAAAATTCTGGATTCCTGCCCTTAATATCTATAGGAAGGGCTATATTCTACAATTTTACAGGAGAGAATAATTAACCTAGCATTATGGGAGTGGCATTGAATCAAGTCTCTTTAAGGCACAGTCTTATATGAAGATGAGTAAACAAGTTCAGGTTTTATTTCATTGCACATAGCATAAACTGGAATTTAATACTTTACATAAGCCTTATCCCAAAACTTATGCCATTGAGTTTACATAAATCCTGGTGAAACATTTAAAGAGTTTGTGTTCCCGGTAGATGGACCTATGAAAGAGCTTAGAGTTGGTTTGGAGAAACATTGTTTTGTCTATAAGACAAAATTTAAGTAGCTTGTAAAGATTGCTTATGTTCCTTAAACATTTTGCTTTTAGGGGGACGATGTAATTTCATTTTTTTTTTTTTTTACCACAGGCAACAATTTTTCTACTTAAAGAAGGACTATCAGCCATGAATAGATCTAAGCTGAAGTGGAAAAAAAAGTGATCTGAATATGTAAAGTCACTCAAGAAAGGTACTTAGATTATTTCAGTTTTTCAAAAAGAAAGTAAAACTGTGAGAGAAAAACATACAATGTTGAAGATAACAATCTGCAGGGCTAAATATGTA
The DNA here is from genome assembly GCF_000001405.40 of Homo sapiens. NCBI lineage: Eukaryota > Metazoa > Chordata > Mammalia > Primates > Hominidae > Homo > Homo sapiens. The sequence continues at coordinate 18,336,527 of NC_000009.12, forward strand.
AAAAGTAGAACCATGTGGTTTATATCAAATTCTTTAGACAATACACAGTATTTTACATCATAGAATTTAAAATTTTTAATGTAGCCTAAGATCTGTTTTTATAGATGGGTGAAGTGGAAGGTTACAAAAAGTAAAAGGAACTCGGCAACTCTTGCCCTGCCTGTGTACTAAAAACATCAGTTCTAGCATTACTAGTATTAGTGGCACTGTTTGACAGTACATGCAAGTTAATGTGAATGTTGGACTAGATTTTAGATTTCTATTTTTGTCTATTTATAAATAAAGATCAGATTGTGTTTATAGAGATGGCCATCTCATTGGGACCATGTGGGAGCAAAGAAACTCTAATAATGATATTATAATAAATATCATGACTATGCACATAAACCTCACTGTGTGCCAGACATTGTTCCAAGCCTTTATTTTTATTAAGTTGTCTTTTGAATTAATGCAGTGGGTTACTGTGATGGTTAACATTGAGTATCAATTTGATTGGATTGAAGGCTGCAAAGTATTGATCCTAGGTGTGTCTGTGAGGGTGTTGCCCAAGGAGATTAACACTTGAGTCAGTGGACTGGGAGACACAGACCCACCCTCAATCTGGGTGGGCACAATCTAATCAGCTGATAGCACAGCCAGAATAAAAGCAGGCTGAAGAACGTGGAAGGACCAGACTGGCTGAGTCTTCCAGCCTTCATCCTTCCCCCATCGGTGTAAGACTCTTGGACTTACACTTGTGGTTTGCCAGGGGCTCTAGGGCCTTCAGCCACAGACTGAGGCTGTACTTTCAGCTTCTTTAGTTTTGAGGTTTTGGGACTTGGACGGGCTTCCTTACTCCTCAACTTGCAGATGGCTTATTGTGGGGCTTTACCTTGTGATGGTGTGAGTCGATACTCCTTAATAAACTCCCTTTCATATATACATCTATCCTATTAGTCCTGTCCTTCTAGAGAACCCTGACAAATACAATTATTATCCATATTGTTTCTTTCCTATCAGTATTCTCATTTTACAGATGAGGAAACTGAGACACAGTGAAATTATATAGTTAACCCAGGGTCACACTGCTAGTAAGTGGCAAAATCGGGAGTTAGACCAAGGAGACAAGTTCTAGAGTCTGCTTTACTGTTAACTACTACACTATGAGCTAAGGTTTAAACTCTTCACCTCATAGGCTAAATGTAATTAATGAACAAGTTTTTGTATGTTGATCATCACTGGTGCTGTAGTTCATGGAGAAAATAAATTCCTTCTGGGTTATCCACTGTGATTGTATCTTCAAAGAGAGACATCTGGAGACACAATACTGAAGAGTGGTAGAAGTACTGAATATATTATCGAACTTTGGAAATCAGCCAAACTTTCTCCCTGCCAAATGGGAATTCTGGGCTCCACCTGGGCTAGGTTCTGCAGCTGTGATTGGCGTGGGGGTGGTCAAGCCCGGCTTGGTTACAGGAGTGGGGCAAAAGATGAAGGGGTACAGGGAGAAAGATTATTTAGGATCCTGAGGATCAATGGAGAAAAACCATACAACTTTGTTGATTACTTTCACTGTGAATACATGGTCTACTACCTCAACCGGGCCCTCAGAGCTACTTTCAGCATTCTGTTTTCCGTAGTTTGCTTGCTCTTCCTGGGTTCCATAGTGAACTGTTTTTTAAATGATGTCTTCAAGCCACTGACCCTTAACTTTTCCACCGCACTCTCAGCATGGAGAAAAGAGTCATCAGCCTGGAATTCCCTTGGTCTCCTACCACCAACAGATGAATTTCCCACATGAGCATCCACCTTCGGCCCCTTTCCTACCTCAGTGGGCTTCCTTCCTATTAGTGTCTGGTTTTCTATTTCCATTCAGGTTCCTACCCTTCCTGCCTGCTCAGAGTCCTCACACCTTATGTAACTGATTATCCCCTTTTCTGTTTTTGGCTTTTGTTTTTTTGAGACAAGTTCTCACCCTGTCCCCAGGTTAGAGTGTGGTGGCATAATCATTGCTCACTGCAGCCTTGAACTCCTGGGCTCAAGCGATCCTCCTACCTCAGTCTCCTGAGTAGCTGGAACTACAGGGGTATGCCACCTTGCCCAGCTTATTTTTCATTTTTTACAGCTCTTCTTTTAGGTTCAGGGGTACATGTGCAGGTTTGTTACATCAGTAAATGCATGCTGCAGGAGCTTGATGTACAGATTATTTTGTCACCAAGGTAATAAACATAGTACCTGATAGGTAGTTTTTGAATACCCTCCCTCCTCCCACCCTCCACCTTCAAGTAGGCCTCACTGTCTGTTGTTCCCTTCTTTGTGTCCATATGTACTCAAAGTTTAGCTCCCACTTATAAGTGAGAGTATGTGGTATTTGGTTTTCTGTTCCTGTGTTAGTTTGCTTAAGATATGGCCTCCAGATCCAACCATGTTGCTGCAAAGGACATGATCTCTGTCTTTTTATGGCTACATAGGATTCCATTGTCTATACGTACCACCTTTTAAAAATCCAGTCTATCATTGATGGGCATTTAGGTTAATTCCATGTCTTTGCTATAGTGAATAGTGCTGCAGTGAACATACTCATGCACGTGTCTTTATGTCAGAAACATATTTAAACTAAAGAGCTTCTGCACAGCAAAATAAGCTATAACAGAGTAAACAGACAACCTACAGAATGGGAAAAAATATTTGCAAACTATGTATCCAACAAAGATCTAATATCCAGACGCTATAAGGAACTTAAACAAATTTACAAGCAAAAAACAACCCCATTAAAAAGTAGGCAAAGGACATGAACAGACACTTTTCAAAAGATGACATATATGTGGTCAACAAGCATATGAAAAACTGCTTAACATCACTAATCACTACAGAAATGCAAATCAAAACCACAGTGAGATACCATCTCACACTAATCAGAATGGCTACTATTAAAAAGTAAAAAAATAACAGATGGTGGTGAGGTTGTGGAACAAAGGGAACGCTTATACATTGTTGGTGGGAATGTAAATTAGTTCAGCCATTGTGGAAAGCAGTTTGGCAATTTCTCAAAGAATTTAAAACAAAATTACCATTTGTCACAGCAATCCCATTTTTGGGTACATACCCAAATGAATATTTTTTAACTTTTTTTACAGATGGGATCTCACTTTGTTGCCCAGGTCAGTCTTATGATCCTTCTGCCTCAGCATCCCAAAGTGTTGGGATAACAGGTCTGAGCCACTGCTTCAGGTCTGATTATCCCCTTTTCTTCTACCTCCAAACTCTAGTATCTGCTGGCTCCTTCCTACCAGCATTTAAATGTCTTCAAGATTGTCTCATTGTTTAAAGAAAAACCATTCTCCATCCATCCACCTCTCATTCTCATTTTCTGCCCCATCTCTCTCTTCCATATTCAGGTATCTTCAAAGAGTTGTCTTCACCTCCTATCAACCATTGATCCTTTGCAAACTGGATTTTCCCCTTCCCGCATTACTAAAATTCTCACAGCAAGGTCAGCAGTGCCCTTCCTGTTGATATGTCTGGTGGCCACTTCACATCTGATGTTACTCCTCTTCTTTTCACAGTGCTGATCACTTTCTTCTTAAAATCTATTGATGTCTTTGGAGGAAAGAGAAACAAATGGGAAATCTGGGGCTTCCCCAACACCACCTATTCTTTAGCTTTATTCTGTCTGGTTGTTTCTTTCTATCTTGTTGGCAGGTATCTTTTTCTTCACCCATTCTGGAATACAAGAATTTCTCAGATTCTGTCTTATGCTGCTTACTCTTCTCACTGTATAGTTTTTCTCTTGGTCAGTATTATCAAGACTTTAATTATCATCTATGTACTTACTATTCTTGAATTCATATCTGTAACCCAGATATGTATCTTGAATTACAAATCCAAATGTATATCCAACTCTTAATATCTCCCAGTTCTGCATATACTGCAAACACAATACATCCCAAACTGAGCTCATAATCTTCTCTTACATTTTTAAATTCTCTCTTCCTTTGTTTCCTGTGACTCAAGTAATCACCAAGCTCTATTAAGTCTATGATATGTTTTGTCTCTGTCTCCCTACCCAACTCTCACCTTTAATTGTAGTAATCTCCATGTGTTGTGGGAGGGACCAGGTGGGAGGTAATTGAATCATGGGGATGGGTTTTTCCCATGCTATTCTTGTGATAGTGAATAAGTCTCATGAGATCTGATGCTTTTATATAAAGGGGAGTTCCCCTGCACATGCTCTCTCTTGCCTGCTGCCATGTAAGATGTGCCTTTGCTCCACATTTGTCTTCCACCATGATTGTGAGTCCTCCCCAGCCATGTGAAACTGTGAGTCCATTAAACCTCTTTCCTTTATAAATTACCCAGTCTCAGGTATGTGTTTATTAGCAGCATGAGAACAGACTAATACAGTCTACTTACCTGTCTCTAAAATCTGTTTATTTTTTTCTTCATCCCCACTGTCACTACTGTCATTAGCCTAGACCATTAGCCTAGACCAGACCCCCACCAACTCTCAAGTGGGTGATGACTACAGTTTCCCAACCACTCTGCTGTTCTTAGGGTTTGTTTCAGCATCGCAGCCTGGCTGATCTGTCAGGAACACAAAATTGATCATTCTAGTCCCTATTTCAAACATCTTAGCAACTTCAAGTTGTCCTCTGGATTAAACCCAGACTCCTACATGATTTGCAAGGCTCCTCACAAGCTGGTCTCTGCTCATCTTCTCAGTTTTATTCTCTATACTCCTCTTTCAGGCTCTCTGGTCCAGTCTTAATGAAAAATTTTTCATCTCTGAAAGTTTCATGCTGTTTCTTTTGTCTGGGCTTTTGTTATGCTGTTCCCTTTGCCTATCCAACATTCTTCATTATACCCTTTATCTTCCTAACTTGCATTACTTCTTTATCTTCCTAACTTGCATTCATCTTTTAAGTTCCAGTTTCCAAATGACTTTCATTTTGGAGAGCATTTTCTGGCCTTCCACATCCAGAATAAATGTCCTCCATAAATAAATGTCCTCCAGAATAAATGTCCTCCATAGCCCTTTTGACTTCCTATATGATGGCACTTATTGCACTGTATTATAATTGCTGGCACTGTGCTTGGATACATAATTTATAAGTATTTAATAAGTATTTAGTTGAATAGCATAAACTGAATATTTTTTATTTTCTCTCATTTTAGAAATTAAGTCAGTAAAACTTGTCATCTATCACCACACAAAATAACCCTAAATTCATTATAGTTTTATATAACTTCCCTCTTTGATCTAATAGGCCTTAATGGATAAATGTTTACCCATTGCTTATGTAGACATAAAATAAGATATGCCAGAGGCAGGTAATGGGAGAGAACTGAACCAAGTGTGCATTAAACCAAAGTATTATGTTCAATGAAAAACAACATCTATAGGCTTTAAGGGTTAAGGTAAATGTATGCTTGGTTGATGTCCACTTTGGTTTGGTTAACATTTATTGGGCATAATATACCATATGATGCCGTATTCTGTCTGTACTGAATACTTTTTGTATGGAGGATTTATTATATGACCAAATAATGAATTAGGTAAAATATCATGCTGCCATTTTTTCCCACTTGCTGCCTCAAGCCCGATCTTACTCCCAGTTCTTCTTTTCTATGAAATTTTTCTTCTCCCAGTGTCTATACGTGGGGCTAGTCCCTGATTCGTAGAAAAGATATGGCTCAGGCCCAGTGAAATTGCAAGCTGATTACAACTTGGGAAAAATAGGCTTTTTCTTTTCCTGGATCTTCCTTTGAGTAATTGTTTTAAAAAATATTTAGACAGTATATAGGTCATTGACTTTAACTTTTATCTCATGGCTTTTATGTTGGTTAGTAAGTTTCAGACACTATTCTCAAGTATCATCTCAAGTGGTAAGAAGCATTTGGGCTACACAAATGGCAAAGAGAGTAGCATGGCAAAAGGACTAAGAGGAGGGTCCACTCGTTTAGGAAAGTTGTCTCATAGCTTGTCTCATTTTAGTTACATCTCTCTAAGTTAGAGAATTATATTAGAAAATATCACTTTTTACTTATTAAACGTATGTATATGTTTTAAGTGTTTAATCTTTACCTTTTGGCTTCTAACAGATTAGATGATGGTTTAGTGAGACATTTTAGGGATGAGGAGGTGGCCATCATGGCTAGTGCTGCCCAACGTTCCTCTTCCCGATGTGGTTGTGCATATTTAGAAAAGCTGAGACCTTTGAAAATCTGTACTGGTTGTTTATTTCTGAGTCTTCATTTGCTTTAAGTTATAATATTTAACATCTTCTCAAGGATTACCTCTCTGTGTTCTGAATTTAAAAGAAACTGGACTCAAGAAAGATTTCATCTGAAACTTCTGATCTCTCAATTTCTCTCTGCCAACAAACCCTAGCATGTCGGTACTTCCTGTAATATAGCTGCTGGTGCTCGGATGACAAGATACACTTCAGTTTAATGGAAATGAGCATAATTCTCACTAGACTGCACCCATTTTTCATTATCTTTAAAAAATGTGGGTTTTTTTGTTTTGTTTTTTTTTTGCCAAGGTTAGTAACTCACACCTGCAGTCTCAGCACTTTGGGAGGCTGAAGCAGGAGGATTGCTTGAGGCCAGGAGTTTTAGACCAACCATGGCAACATAGTGAGATCTTGTCTCTATAGGAAATAAAAGTTTTTCCTTAACATATACATCAACTGAGTGGTTAGTTTTGTAGGTCTTAAGGATTTTCTTTCTCTTTTAGGAAAGCTCCCCCCATATGCATTTTTTAAAGCATGTTTCTTCCCCTTTCATTTTTCAAACCTCATCCTAAGTCTCTACTTCTGTGCTTTCCTTTTCACCCTCTCTCTCTCCCTTGTTTGCATACTAATATCTAAAAATGAGGTTTTCTGCTCCATGATCTGGACCCCACCAGTGATCAATGAAGTGAGTATCAGTTACAAGCACAAGTCCAGCAGGAGCCAGTTTGGCTTAAAATCAACCTTCCTTGGTAAACCAAGAGAATATATAATCCTGATTGATTACTCCTAGGGAATATATTTGTGTCATTGGTAGTCAGTGCAATTGAACTAAAATAGTTCTTAATTCTAAACCCTCTTTTAGATTTTTACCTTCTCTCATGTCTATGCCACAAGTAAACGGTTTGGATAAAGAATGAGGAGATGAAAACTTATTTCAGAGCTTTGTACAGTACTGACTAGGTTGCACCATCTGAGCTCCTTAAGCTTCTTAGAATTTGTCTTAGAGGATGTAATAAACTGTGATGCATTGATCTGGCTTAGGGTCCCTGGGCATTTGTGCTTAAAGAATTCCATTTATTGAATCCTTGATTCTACAGCAGGTACTCCATGCTCAACCTATTATCAAAACAGCTTTATGTCTGAAAAATGTGATAAGCATGCTTCCCCAGGAAGCAGAGTTTATGATTCCGCCTATGCAAATCTCTCCTGAGGCCCAGGAGAATGTCTCTTGCTACAATCCCATGTGATTTCTTCATCTTTAGTACAAAGTACTGAATCATCAACTTTTCCCCAGAATTACTTCATCTTTTTCAAAAAAACCATTAGATAACAGTCCTAAAGGCTGTCTATGCAGTCCAGGTCTCACTTTCTTTGTCATGAGTGTAAAAAATGTTTTAATTACCAAAATTTAGGGTTTGGTTCACCCGAATACTGAAGTTCTTTTGTTTAACTAAAATTCCTTAGGCTCTAATGATTTTTTTCATTTATTTTCTATATCCTTCTCATAAAAAACTCTTCAGATTCTCAAAGGAGTAACCTTTTCCTTTTGCTGTTTAATAACATTTTAATTTTTTTTAATTAACAAAATTTATTTTTATAGAGATGGGATCTCGTTATGTTGTCCAGGCTGGTCTCAAACTCCTGGCCTCAAGAGATCCTTCTGCCTCTGCGTTCCAAAGCACTGTTTTTTGTTTTTTCATTAGGGGCACCTGGCCTTAATTATTTTTAATGACATATTCTGCACCATATCTATATGTATCTTTTAAATTTGGAAACCTTTAAGTGCACAATACACATGTGAGATTCACAAATAGGCTCTTGTTGATGGTAATGATAGAATAAATTTTAGCATTCCGTATGGAGAAGTCCAATCCCAAGTGTGTACAGTGACAATGAATTGGCGGTTGTTGAATCCTAGTGTTCCCTTTGGCCATTAACATTGATACAGGAGCAGCAAAGCAAAATCCTGGGGCAGACAGAAGTGGAGCTACAGGGCTGGGAAAATGAACAACTGTGGGGTGGAGGTGGAAACATCAGTAGCAACAGGCGCCAAGTCTAAACACACCACATGCTTGAAAACTAACATTCAAGACTTGATTTGAGTTCAGAACCCATGGGGTTCTGAAGGAAGCCCAGCAGGGGACCTTGGAAGCTCTTTCCTCATCCCAGTGGAGCTATTTAAGCAGAGCTCCCCTCGGGAGGCCCTCTTTTGACAGCCCTGTGGATATCCCTCCACTAAGCTCAAAGGCATGGTCCTGGCTTCCGACAAACATGAGAGTGGCCAGGTGACTCTGACCTCCTTCTCCTGTCCCTGGAGATTTGGTCTGATCATCCAGAGACAGTGTTATACTTTCCTCACATTCACTTTCACTCTGACTTCCAGTTCCCTACAGGATCTAAGTGTCTGTCAAGCATATCCATAAGTCAGACAACATATTGGCCACGGCCTAAATAAAGGAATATACAAGTTAACCCTTTTCCTGTTTAGAAAAAAAAAAGTGCAGCTCACTGCCAATGCTCATTTAATTGTACATAAACACAGTATTTGAGGCTGAAGCAAATCTAACTCATTTTCAATGTGAAAATAAAATCTAAAAACTGTTCTTAGAGTTGTTTCTAAGAAGAACTAACATCAGAAACATCCGAATCATCAGAATCCTCTATTTCAGAAAAAATTGAATTTATCAAATGAATCTTTGGCCAATAACTCTTCGAGAATGATGTTAACATCACGTGTAGGAATGCTATGTTTTCTAGGATTTGACATTTTCAGTGATCGAGAATTACTATATTTTATAAACGGAGATACCACTACTAAAAACAGAATGCTATAAAGAGTATGATGTCTTTTGTTCCAAAGTCGATACACTAGAGTGATGCAAAAATAATAATAAAATTAAGATATTTTGTGGCAAAGTTATCTTAGGGTAAACACTGCAGCGGCAAGCACCACTGGAGAATATCCTCAGGGCAGATGGGAAAGGGAATGAACATGCATCTCAGAGGTGAGAGGAGCTGCTTCTGTAGCAGCCACCATGGGGTTCCATAGCTCACATGCCATTGGCACAACACAGAACCCTGAGCTGCAGAATTGGCCCCTTAGCATCCAGAAGACCATGTGACAGGTGATACCCCAAATCAATGATGAGGAATTGAACATGGAGATCCACTCAAGGACTGCAGGCCCTGTAAACAAACAAGTCAGGGACTGCAGCCCACTCTGTAGCAGTGGTCCTGGCCCTCTCATGTTGCTCCTTTTGTGACTCTCTGGTCCTGCTCTGTTCCTGGATCAACCCACTTCTAATCATCTCCAATCTGTACCTTATCCCTGACCCTGTATGCTACACATCCATTAGCCTTCTGTTTCCTCAGGTTTTTATTTATTTGTTTAAATTTAACAAACACATTGATCTTAGTACTTTACAAACATGAATCCCTACAATGATGAGACGATGAGGTAATCCTAGTGTTACCCCCACTTTGTAGGAATTTGTCATCACTTTTGCCTATTAATGTTCCTAGACACTGCATATAGCCAGCCTCTTGGGCATCCAGCTAGTTCAGCGTCACTATTATCAGTCTTATCAGTGCCTTTCTCAGAGCAGGGTTGGATGGTACCCACTGTATGGTAGCAAAAGAGCTCGAGCTTTTGGAGCTGGGCAGTCTGGGTTTGCACTTCAGGTTTCCCACATACTAGCTGAGTGACTCTAAGCAAGTAAGGGTTTTCTCATCTGTAAAGTAGGAATCAAATCTACCTTGGAGAGTCATCCAGGAGGTTGAACATCCATATGAAGAAAACCCTAGCACTGTGCCTGGAACAGAAAAGCGTTTAGGAAATGATAGCTACTGTTACTCCCCCAGGAGTATAGAAAGTCCTGCTTGACTACATTGCACACAGTTGAAACTTTAGAAGTAAAAGTGGCCTTCGATTTTGGCTAGTTGGATTCTTTCCTTTTTGAATGAGGAAACTGAAGTCCAGAAATCTTTAGACGTTTTTGAAGTCACCCGCTAATTAACAAGAAAACAGAGGAAGAACTGAGGCCACCTGATTCCTTACAGTGTTTTTAACTACCACCACACCCTGCCTCTTCTGAACTCGAAAGGCTCAATCTCACATGGGCAGATCCCAAAACAGGAGATGATCTGTCAGACAATGGAAGGCCCCAGCACATTCTCCTCCTTCCATTCATTTTCCAGTAGAAGCAACTCTTTGCCTCAGACATCTTCAGATTCCGAGATTAATAAAGCTATTGTTAAGAGACAAATACACAGAGCTCTGCTACAGCTGCCTGCTTTTCAGTCACAGTGGTTTTTTGACTCAATTCCTCCAAGCTTTGCAGAGGCTCATCTTGTTTGAAAGAGAAATGTGCCTTAATCTCTTCTTTTCCTCCTTATGTGAATGGTCACCCCACTTGTAGGGCAATAAATGATATTGCTTTAGCTTATATTTATCCTCTTCCAATAATTTACAGATTGAAATTTACTTCTTAGAGACAAAAAAATATTCCTGGGGCTGAAGCTGAACAATCTGATGTCTCTGGTAGCAGGAATTTGGTTGTGGTAATATTGTTACCATATGGATTAATACGTAACTATTGAAAACTGGGATGAGAATTCCAGGGCATTTTACTGGGACCACCAAGATGATGAATGACATATTCAATTCTAAGGAACTGAAGTGAAGAAGAATTCTGCATTTTTAAATTGGAGTATCATGTCAAAATGAAAACCTTATTATAAATAAAAGTACATATACACATAGGAGCAAAACCTCTTCAGCTCTGGGAGGGATCTATGTGACACCAACATAGTTAGAATGTTTCAGAATTATTTAAAAAAACAATGAATCAGCACAGCTGTCATCATCATTTATTCCTTTCTTTCCCTATAATGAAGCACTGCTCCTTTTCCTCTCCCAAATGAAAATCAGTTGGGCATGTCCTAGAATATTGAACTATTTGGGGTTTTCAGGCCTTTTTGCTCATGCCATTTATCACTGAGGCTACTGACTGGTGAGCAATGGGTCCACCATTGTGCTCTAAGGAGATTTTTGTTTCAAGCACTGCTTTGTTTTAAGTTAGGTGTTGAATGCGGCATCAAAGGTAGGCAGGCAGACATTCAGAGGCAGATGTGGGCACATTCCCAAAAGTTCAGTGCCAAGGGCCTTGTGTTTCTTAACAGAGGTGACCTGGAAAGATTCCAAAAACAAGATGAAAACTACAAAGTTGAATTTGGTTAAAGGGAAGAAGAAAGGAAAGCATTGAAAGCTTGAATCCTGTTAACTTGAAAAGTTGAGTTCTGGTCTTTTAAAAGCTTCCTTCCAAAATAGACCCGAATTAGTTTAATCTCTCGCCAATTGTAGATTTAAATTTAGCTTCTCACACTTACTAATCTTTTTAGCAGTGAAAATAGCCATTGTTGCTAATAGGAAATTGATTTAGTATTTTCTGTTTATAATGAACTTTTAGTTAACTTGGATGGTTAAAACAAAGACCATTGTTACTGAATTTATTAATGGGTCCCTAGCTGAACAGATGGAGGGAGAGTCACGGGTTAGGGCCAGCACACAGAATCAGCCACATTTGCACACATCTTCCATCACTTCCACTACTGCTGCTTTTCATTTCAAGCACTGCTTTGTTTTAAGTTAGGTGTTTAGGATGAATTTTGGATTTTGGACAAGTTGCTTAATTTCTCTAAACCTCACTAGTGTCATCTATAAAATGGGAATGTTTTTGTGACATGTAAGTGAGCAAATGAATACGAAGTATAACACTTGCTACGTAATGAGTAGATTCTAAAATTCTCTAGAATTATTCCATTCATTCTATAACTCATAGACATGTTAAATTGCATATATTTGGAAAGATCTGGAAGTAGTATCAGGACCAACTGCAGACTTCCTTTTTACACATGAAGTAAGTGAAATAGAGTTGTCAGATGCTTCACCTGGGACCACGTGGCCCGTAAGTCACAAATTTGGCCAGAGCTATGGTGAGAATCCAGATCTTTACTTTCTTTCCATTGAACCTCAAAGTAGGTTCAATGTATAAGGCTATTTTTAATTTAACTGCCATAAAATAATGATTTTATAGTGATATAAAATGTGTATTATTACAGTGATATAAAACATAACTCCTACATAAAATAACAACTACCATTTATTGAACGTGTATTGCCAGTCATTTTACTAAGTATTTACATATATTATCTCATTTAATCCTCATGTTGACCATGAAGGCAAGTACTACTATTGTACCTATTTTTCAAAGTTGGAGAAAGTTAAACACAGGCAATTTAAATAATTTGTCCAAAGTCATACATTTTACTAGTGGCAGAAACATGGTTTGGATTCAGGAAATCCGTCCTTGGAGTCAGTGCTCTTAACCATCACACTGACTGCATTTGAATATTTGAAAATGGGAAGAAGATGAGGCACTTGAATATTTGAAAATGAGGAGAAAATGAGACTTATGTGGATTGTTATCGCTCTCATATACATGGGTGAACTTGGAAAACAATGAGGGCATGTTGCAAAGAACAGTAAATTCAGATAGCCACATGTTGGTCATCACAACTTTATGGCTGCCTTTAAATGACTCCCCAGAACACGTAGGTAGCTGTGTAGCTCTTAAGGAAGTTCAGGTGTCAGATGCCCTCTTTTCAGGTGTCAGAAGCTCTGTTTTCAAATGCTGCCTCTGTGTCTTTCTAGAAGACCAAACTTGTGTCCTCACACTTGTTGGGCTTTGGTTATCTATTTTATTAAAAGAATATGATAAACCTCAAGATATTATTGGGAGGATTTTAAAAGGTGTAATGCAATTGTGTGGCATATAAAACGGCCCCAGAGAGGGTCCCTGCCTTAGTGGAAAATATTTGGTATCCTTTTCTAGTTTCCCTGAATCCTCTACCAGCTTTAGAAAATTACACCTAGTAACACATTTACCCATTTCCATCGGGCTGGAATCTATTCAAGGCAAAATGCAGTCATTCCTGGGTCAGCCTGCCTGAGGCACAAGCCCTAAACACAAGACTGGACTGCAGACAATGATCCTCTCAAGGGTTGACTTAAAGGAGATAATTTCTACCCCACAAGCTTTTCAGAGCATTTAGCTTTTGGAAGCACACGTCTGTTAGTTTGAGAGATGCTTTCTATTAGGTTGGTGCAAAAGTAATGGCAAAAACAGCCATTACTTTTGCACCAACCTAGTATTTTTCTTTGAGGTTAGACCTCCAAAGACAAAGATACACAAAAAAGCACAATGTGTTGTTGGCCTGCAGTAACCCGGGCCTGAGCACAGCCAGAAATGGAAAAATACTCTCAAAGAGCTAGAGAATGGGGAGCAGATCTGAAAAGGGGTTTAACTAATGTGGCAAATGGCCCAGCACACACTCCTCTCTCCTGGTTTGTTTTGATACATCCCCACCTGGTCCCCAGGTGTGTAAGAACCACAAAATACTCTTCATGCCACTGCTCTGGGCCAGACTCATGCAGTGGGAGCCAGGCTGTGCACCTCGGAACAATGGCTTTATTCTTTCAGGTGCCTGAAGAGAGGTCTGAATGTAGAAGGAACTGCTGCTGCTAAGGGCAGGGGGGAAAAAGAGGTCATATACCTTGAGGAATTTGGGCCCAATGTAAAAAATCAGGAAGTTGCAAGATGCCATGTCGAAATGTGAAGCCGGTCCTTCCCTTCTAGCCTGTACCCCAAGTTTGAGATAATTGTGAAGGTGAATTGGCTGCATATTGAGAAGGGAAAGGAGCAAGGAGAAAACTTTTTTTTTCTGTGAAAACCCAGAAGTTCAAGTCTAGAAATACAAGGAAATTGTCAGAACAGAAAGGTAGGGGGTGTTCTTGACTCCACACAAAGATCTGTAGGAATAAAGCAAGTTCTGGAGAGTTTCTTTTGGCGTTAATTATTTCACACTGGAAATCATCACAAAATGGCAAATTCTGGAATTTCCACTTTTCCTTCACCTGAAGAGGGTATACATTTTTACTTTGGCCAGACAGAGACCTCATGTTATTAGAGACAGGGGTGAATTGGAAAGAACAGTTTTCCACCTCACAGTTTTATGGAATTGGCAGGAAAACTTTACTAGTCTCAAGGCAAAATACAGACTATGATATTCTCAAATTTTTCTATTAGGAGAAAAGGTGGCAAGAACTTCATAGAATTTTGTCTGAGGAGATTTGGCAAAGCATCATATAGATGTATATATGAAATTAAATTTCTTATATGGAGCTTTTAGCTATGGAGAAAACGAATTGCATCTCACATAAATGGGATGAGACTTAGCTATTTGTAACCTCGTTACAATGAAATAACTAAAATTGTAAAGAGACATTAAATAATAATCTGCCTGCCTAAACATGGGTTTTCTAGTTTGAAATGAATGCCTTGCATCTAGATTAATAAGGTGACGCAAGACACTACATCATCTGGCAGGGGAAGATTTAAAGCAGGTCAGGTTCCTTGGGAGGAGAGAAAAATAACTTTTAAGATGAAAGACCAAAAAAAAAAAGAAAAAAAAAAGAAAAAGAAAAACTTGTGTGTGGTCCAAACTTCTTTTTTTAAAAACAATTTGCCAAAGGTGTTTAAGCTGCATGGTGATAGTTTTCTCAAAGTTTTAATGATTTACTTGCAAGGCATGATTAGTCATATCTTTGACCAGATGAGGAACACATAAATAAAACCCCCTTTTTTTTTTAATCTTTGGTGTTTAATTCTGAGAGTATTGGGAAATGTGATGAGAGAAGGTGCATGTAATAATGCCTATTTCCCAAGGAGGGTCGAGAGAGTGTTGGCATTTGATTGCACATAATTCTTTAAAAATATAAATACTTAGTAAGTTTAGGCCAACAGGGGAAAGAACTCTGGCTAAAACAGGACAGACCTCCCAGAAAGCTTAAACTTGACCTTCTAATATCTGCTCTTGCAATGGGTACACCATGTAAGACCCTCTTAACCTGTGGCTCAGTCAAATCTTCTAATTAGGAATATTTTCTCTATTTATTGCCCTTTAAAAATACATGTGCTGGTCTTCCTGAAACCACATTCTTTGAAGCAACCAATGTGGTATAGAGTAGCTTTATCACCACAAAATTAGAGAGACCTTTTAAAGAAATACATTTCTGTAAATATTCTTTTATACTTCACTTGGTAGTTAGGGGGTATAGACAGTGGTTTCAAATATCAGTGATGACCTAGTTGTTTAATTACAGTCAATCACTCCGTAATTTGTAGCTTCTTTTAGAGTCATGAGAAATAATAGATGGGATTTCTTGTCCTAGTAGCTATGTAGTGGCTAGGGTTTAACAAACTTTTTTTTTTAGTATCTTAAGTTCAAAATATATAAAATAGATGTATTCTTTGTTCTTATTTTAAAATACACAGCTGTAGCTTCTATAGTGTTATCCTTAGTGCATCTTCAAATGGAAAACAAATAGCATATACTATAGATACTGATGCTAATGAGAAATCTCTTAACATTGTAAGAAGTGTTTGGAAAAGGAAACAAACAGTGAATTGTACAGGATTTCAGGTGTTACTATATATGGGGGAAATGGCTCGAAAGGCAGATACTGTAAGATTTGGAAATGATTTGTAAGTAGTCTTTGGATAAGGATGTTGTTCTAAATCTTCCTTCTACCCATCCTACAGATCAGTATCCTGAGAACATGTGCCAAGTCAAATAATTCCTCAATTCAGCTGACCTAGTGTCCTATTCTAGGCCTTGTTCTGTATGTAACTGTCCCAGTGCATGTCTTCTCTCTGGACAGCCAGCTTCTTCAGGTCAGGGATTACATTTAAATTTCCTTTCTATCCCAGTGTTAATGATAATTGTATGTGTATGTGTTCATGTCCCTTTGCCTTTGTACTTTATTAACGTATTACTCTATTTTCCACCCATATCTAAAAATGTACGCCATGTGATTCCATTTTGATTTATTCCCTACAGAAAACCATCAGATGATTTTATTTTATTTTTTATTAGGCAATAAATACACAGGGTACAAAAATTAGAAGTCATAAAAGGTTATGCAGGAAAAATACGTTTTTACCCTATTTCTCAATCAGTCAGCGTCCCTGGCAAGATGCAAAGTCTGTTAGATATCTTGTTTCTTAGGAATCCTCCTAGAAATATTTAACTTACATAAGCAAATAACATGTATTTGGTAGTCCATGACTAACCCCATTAGAGGCCCTTAATACAGTGAGAAACACACTGTGACAAGGTAGAGATTTCTTGGATGGCAGAGGCACAGACCCTTGAGTGTTAGCATGATATGCCCACTGAGCGCTCCTAAAGCATTAAGTCCCCCATTCTGGGTTCCTCTGTTATAGTGATTACTATGCATGGCTGTGCTTGACTTCAATGTCAGGCTTGCTTGTATCAGGGCACAAGGGAGGCCCTGAGGAACTCAGTTCATTTATATTCTTATCTCCTGGATATTATTTGTAGTGCTTCTTCATCACTGTGTTGAAAACAGTAGTAGCAGCAGTGGTAAAGTGGTTAATACCTTCATAGCACTTACTATGCACTAGACAGGGTTTTGAGTATAAACTTAACTCATTTAAACTAAAGTAAAATCAACCTTAAACCTGGACTCAAGTGTCTAGTTCTAGCACAACTTACTGAAGAATTTATTCCCACATGAACTGGATCAATAACTTTACATACTTTTGAGATAAATTCGTGGACATCCATAATATTTATGGAGGCTAAAAGGATTTTTTGGCATAATCCATGAAAGCACAGGTTAGGGTGAACATGGACATGCTCTTGGTCATAAAGCTATAATTTATCTGACTTTGAATTCAAATATTTTATGGGTTAAATATAGTTAGTAAGGAGGCCCATAAAGCTGTAACTTACCTGACTTTGGAATCAATATTTTATGGGTTAGATGTACTATTAAGGTTGCCCATAAAATTTCTATATTGCTCCACCAGGGCACAATGGAAAGTCATAGTCATATCTTCTGTTTTCACAGTTATAAGGTATAAACCAGAGGTTGCCATCTTTGTGTGGATGGGTGGGTGGATGAGCATATAAAATTCAATCTCCTTTTCCTCCAAAATGAAAATAGCCTTATTATGTCTTCTGATTACAAAAGTAATACATACATACTGCAGAAAACCTTTGAAAATTCAGTCAATTATAAAGAAAAATTAAAAGTCGTAATCTAACCTTACAGAAATAGAAGCCAGTATTAACTTTTTCCATTTTATATCTTTCCAGAGATTTTCTATACATGTATACATCTTTATTACTTGTATATAGTTCCAGAATTTTTTTCTATACATATATATATATATATATATACCTATAAATTTTGATTTTCTTTTTTTGCTAAAATAAGATCATGTTCAACATACTTTCCTTATATAATGTGATATATCCCATACATCTGTCTCTGGTGTAAATACATATTTATATTATCTTTTAAAATAGTTGTATAGTGCTCCCTTGTATAAATGTACCATAATTTAATTAACTAGTCATTTATTGATATTCTTTTAGATATTTGAAAGGTTTTGATAATATAAATAAATATTATTGTACATACATCTTTATCTCTATCCCTGGTTGTTTTTCATGTATTTGATTAAGTTGTTAGATAGGTTTTTAAACAAATGATATAACCCCATATTCCATAAGTAGAGTGATATCTACATATGGAGTGTAATTCATAAACTTTGCTGTTACGTTGGATGTCACTTCTTTTTATTTGAATTGAGAATCCATTTCTCCTGACACAATGAGATCACTGACATGTAGTAATAATGAAGATTTCATTATCCCTTCCTCTGTTCACTTTTGAAGAGGAATCTGGAAGGTGCAAATTGATGCCAGTGCAGACAGTAGGCAACACAGTGGTTAAAGGTGGGAGAGTGGTGTGTGTCTAATGTGGTTATGATGACTTAAAAATAAATATCTGGGTCAGGCGTGGTGGCTCACACCTGTAGTCCCAGCACTTTGGAAGGCTGAAGTTGGTGGATCAACTGAGGTCAGGAGTTTGAGACCAGTCTGGCCAACGTATAGTGAAACCCCATCTCTACTGAAAAATAGAAAAATTAGCTGGACATGGTGGTGCACGCCTGTAGTCCCAGGTACTTGGGAAGCCGAGGCAGGATAATTGCTTGGACCTGGGAAGCAGAGGTTGCAGTGAGCCAAGATTGTGCCAATGCACTCCAGCCTGGGCGACAAAGCAAGACTCCATCTCTATAAATAAACAAACAAACAAACAAACAAACAGACTAAGAAAATTGACAAAGCACCTTAATATTGCCCCTCTGTCCTTCATGCTGAGTTCCAGGGAGCCCCAGCAAGAGCAGATTTGGAAATCCCTAGTTTAGAATCTACACCTGGGAGACCCTCACTGAGGAGGTCCCTGAATCCTGCTGTTTCACCTTTTTGATACTGCATCTCTTTGTAGAATGGTATCACTGTTCTCCCTTTCTCAGGCAGTACTATAAAATGAACCAATACCAGTTATTTGAAGGTCCTTCAAACTCTAGAAGAAATTCTTTAATGGTGGAAAGCTGTAATATAAAGTATATATATTTAAATTTTTTATAACAAGTCTAAAGTAGGCTACATGTAGCCTTAGCTTTTTGTTATATAAAGTATGTGTATTTTAGGAGTATCAGCAGAATATTAAGCTGACTCAAAGATTGGAGGTGATATTTTCATCCCTCTCAGTTGTCATTCCATAGCAAGGATTCTTAAAATTGTATAAGCCCTTTTCAAATGAGAAGTTTCTAAAGCCATTTTGATGTATTTCTATAGTGTTAATGAAAGACATTGATAAAAATACATATAGTATCTAAAACTCCATTCTGTTTCAGACTAGTCCATGAATATTCCCCAAAGGGAATGTTAAAAGGGTTGTTTAGATTAATCTTAGTTTCTTTAACTTTCCCTAAATACACCAAGTAATGCTTCTTACTAAAAAAATTAAAAAATTAAAAAATGCTGGCCAGGCATGGTGGCTCACATCTCTAATCCTAGCACTTTGGGAGGCCAAGGTGGGAGGACTGCTTGAAGCTAGGAGTTCGAGGCCAGCCTAGGCAACACAACAAGACCCTGTGTCTACAAAATATATATACTGTTAATTAACCAGGCATGGTGGTAGCACAGGATTTTCTTCTAAGTTACTTTGCAAGCTGGGGACCTGCAGCCAGTGACGCCCTGCCTGGGCCTTGCTTGGCTGTGCTACCTGCTGCAGGAGATGGCCCACCCACTTGGCCCACCTGGGCTGTGTCTGACTTGAGCAGTGGTTCCCAAGTTCTTGTCCTGTGCCCAAGAAGAATGAAGATGCACTGACAATCTAAGAGTGAGCAAGGCGGGTAGTTTTACTGAGTGATTAAAACAGCTTTCAGTGGATGGGGGACATGGGGGTGTCTCCCTACCCAAAGGCAGGAACATCCCCTCAATGTGGCTGAGTTCTGGGGCTTTTTCTGGGCCCAGAATAGGGGAAGGGCAGGCAAATGGGAGCAGAAGTTCACAGTTTGGCTTGCAGGTTTCATCCAGGACCAGCAGGCTGTTCTTTCAGGCTTCGGGCTGTTTTTGGCTTGATGGTGGGGTTTCACCAGGGACCCGCCCCTGTCTGCCTAAGCATTTGGCTGCCTCCTCTTGCTGCCAGTGGCACAGGCCTATAGTCCTCACTACTTGGGATGCTAAGGCAGGAAGGTCAATTGAACCTAGAAGTTCAAGGCTTCAGTGAGCTATGATTGTGCTAGTGTATCCAGCTTGGGGGACACAGTGAGACCCTGTCTTTAAAAAAAAAAAAAAAAAAAAAAAAGGCTATCATCTGCAGCCTAAAAAATTTTATGCAGCTACTCAATACACAATAAAACACACACACACACACACACACACACACACACAACTTTCCTACTTCATTTTGCACTACTTTCTAGAAGGTATTAAAATGAATCAATAAAATTGACATATAACCAAAGTCAGGATGCAAGGGAAAAGCTCCATGATCAGAGAGATATGGTAACAAGAATGAATCTAAGTAAATGAAGATTTAGAACAAACTGCTGACTAGCTTCATAGAAAAAGAAAGTGCTATTGTCCATTAATTCATGTTCTAAGAAGCAGAAAACTTTTCACATACCACACACATGTAGACATCTGTGCTGAGATCTATCTATGCTGAGTTTAAAGTCCATCACTCCTAGTACAACTTGTCCTGGCTGATTCCTATAACAATTTCTTAGTAATGTGTACATGGAATCCTTTGAATACGTATTAAAGAATACTGTCAAAGCTGGGAGGCCTCAAATTTGTCACTGCCACCCATCTCTAAAGCCTACACACACATATCAGCCATACTGGGACATCTTTTTTTCAAATTTGCAAAAGTTATTGGATGCCTGAAATGTGTAAGTTAATGCTTTTTAATAGAAAGGACTCTAGAGTATATGCCCTAATCAGAAACCTCCTCTGGAGGCTCTTGGTTAAAATTGTAAGTAGGGCCACCCCAAGCAAAGTATTTTTTTTCAATTAGCTCAAAATAATCCTGTTGAAAAAAAGAAAACTGAACATTTTGATTAGGAGCTTTAATTAAATATATGTTGAGGTCCAACAATTGGTAATCCCTTTGGTAGAAGCACTATTAATATGTTCCGTTTCACTTCAGCAGAACATGAAAAAGGATGAGGATTGAATTCCTCTGTGGCATAGATTCCTAGAGGGCAGGGAGTTCTAGATCAGAGTCTTTTTAACCAGAGGAATACTTCAAATGCTTCCTAGGGTTCTTTGGTGAGTATTTTGCAAGCAGAGATTAGCTTAAGCATTGCTAGATTTTTTTTTCACTATCTCAAGTTTGCATAAGGATAATATTTCAGAATCTGAATCTAGTTCCTCTTTCTTTATCTGAATTGTATTCTTTAGTTGTATGTATTTGTTCTTAAGTATAGTCAAATATAGTGCCAAAAGCTCAATAGTCTAAGTATTGCCAGCTACAAGGTATAATATATATTTCATTTGTTTTTCCATAACCTAGAATTGGAAAACATGAAAATGAAGACCTGTCATTTACAATTATGCAGCCTCCATCTCTATATTTATTATTCTGCTAGAATGATACTGCTATCGTTTTAGACCTGAAACATTCTCTACCCTGTCCAGCTCTCTGCATATCCCTACCCCCACTGCCCCATAATGGATTAGACTCCAAAGAATATATTTTACTTTGTTGTTGTTCAGTCTAAAGCTCCTTCTCACCCTATTTTCCAAGGAGGCTGTATTGAATAGTGAATGAGAGCATTAGGCTTTGGACCAAATAGACCTAAATAGTTCAAATCCTGGCTGTTCCGGTGACTTAGACATGTTACTTTGGTCAAGTCAGTTAATCAGTTTTCTCATCTGCACATTTAGAATACCAGTATATACTTACAGTTGTGAAAATTAAGTGAGAAATATATTAGGTACATAACAGTGCCTGGAATAAGGGAGAGCTTAATGAATGCTAGTTAACTTCAGATCTATTTCCCCACATATTGAACTATATGGAGGAAATGATAGTTGGAGTCAATTATTTTTCTGTTCTTTGCTCCTTCCTTTTGTGGGAAAAGTAAGACCATTAAGAACATTTTTGCATTTTTTTATAGAGATAAAATCCATATAACATAAAACTCATTATTTTAAAGTATAAAATTTAGTTATTTTACGATATTCACGATGTTGTGCAACCATAACCACTAATTCCAGAATGTTTCCATTATTCCAAAGAGAAATCTCATACCCATTAAGCAGCAGTCACTCTCAATTCTTCCCCAACCCTTATCCCCTGGAAATGACTAATCAACTTTCTGTCTCTATGAGTCTGCCCATTCTAGACATATTATATAAATGTAATCATGTGATATGTGGCCTTTTGTGTCTGGCTTTTTAAATTTAACACAATGTTTTAAAGCTTCATCCATGGTATTGCATGTATCCATACTGCATTCCTTTTTATGCCTAAATAGTGTTCTATTTTATGCATATGCCATATTTGTTTTTCCATTCATTGTTTGATAGACATTTGGATTATTTCCTTATCTTGGCTCTTATTAATAATGCTGCTATGAACATTTGTGCACAGGGTTTTGTGTGAACTTACATTTTCAATTAGGACCATTAAGAATTTGCTTCCCAATATCACATGCTAACTAGTAGCGATTATTGTAATTTTCTATAGCAGACATTCAGAGTCATGGAGGGTGGGGTAGGGGTTGGGAGTGTCTTAAATTTCAGTGACTTCAAACAGTTTGAACACTCTTCTCTTTTTAGAATGCATGCTACAAGCAGATATACTGCCATGCTCTTATCCAGTAATTTAGGTAAAGTTAACTCAATAATAATTATATGCAATTATATAACATACAGGCAAACATATATGCATGCACATGCTGGGCTGAAGTGACTTTTTTAGTACAAAATAAGCTCTGGTCCTGCACTTACTTATTAAGGAGTTTTGTGTATAAAGATATCCCCTTCCCTCTATCGGGGCCCTTTTGGATCCCTTCAGCCTCCATCTTTTCCATTCTTCTGCCCCCATCTTTTCCATTCTTCTGCCCCCAGAATCCGATGCTGTCCTAAGAATGTTTGGCACCAATCATCTTTGAGAAAAGGTTACACAAATTAAATCTTTCACCAGGGACTTACAGTTTAACAATGTGATTCTTTTCCCAGAAGTAGTTCCACATTAAAGGAGAACAAAGTGAGGACAATGTTTGACCCAAAAGATGGTTACTAATGGTGGTTTCTTTACTCACCAGGAAGATATTTGAATCAAGGTCCTTGCCAGTGTTCATAGCTTCCCATTCGGATATGACTCTGAATGTCTGCTGTAGAAAATTACAGTAATTCCCATTAAGGAAATGACTGCTTTCTTCTGCACCAAGATTGTGTTTTCAGATCTTTTTCCATCTTTTGTAAGCCTTCACCCATTTTGATCATGTAAGATATGTATACAGCCTGATTCATATTATTTTTAACTTTTCTAAGGGTGTTCCTTATTAAAGTGTTGGCATTACCCTAGAAGTCCCCATTCAGCAGGGTTAATGCCCCACCTCCCCACCCGCCCCCCCGCCCACACAAAATGCCCCACCCCTGCTTTGACATTTGATACCTTGGACTCAAGTCTTGTTAAGTAACTTTGAAAAAGTTATTTAACCACTCTGAGCCTCATCAGTGTCCTCAGCTCTATGGCAATAATACTAATAATAATGTTAACCCTCCATAATTATTGTGCAGATTAGAGATTAAAACATCTAGCAAAGTACTTGGCACTTGATTAGTGCTCAATATATAGTAATTGTATTATTGCTGTTGCTCACAGTGAGGGGAAGTCAGATGTGGTTTCCTAGGTCCTGCCTATTTACAGAAGGTTCCTGTGTCTGGTGTAGCTTTCTTAGGTTATGCTCTGTCCTCTGATCCCCAAGCAGCTGCCTCTGTCTCTTTATCTCAATCACTTTAACTCCAGATTGAGTTGAATTGAATTGAAAGCAAAGATAAAGGAATAGTAACTTGAAGACACATGATCTACGAGCTACACAAAAACATGTTGAAGGGAAACAGACAACCTAGGAGTCCTGTCATGGTTTCAGTGCACTGGATTGCAGGAAGTCAGAAAACTGGGCTCCAGTTCTGGTTCTGTCATTTGCTAGGTGTAAGATTCTGGGCAAGATTTTTGAACTCTCTGAGCTTCAGTGCCCTCTTCCATAAAATGGTATTAACATTGGTACGACTTCATGCTTTGGGGTAAAGAGGTGAGATACCCTAAATGAATGATGACCAAATAGAGGCAACTGTAAATAAAAGATTTTTTATTTCCCCAGTGACTGAGGGGAGGCTGTTACTGGTTATGGGAACAGAGACATTAACACTCTTCAAAGTGGGGCAGTTGCACATGACAAAGAATTGTCCTGTGGCAGATGTCAGTAGCACTCCTATTGAGAAACACTGCACTTAATGAATATGTTTTTGAAATTTTAACATCTAACATGAAAAATCACTCCAGTGCCCACCAATTAATACATGGATTTCATTGACAGGGGTCTCTCTTCTTGTGTTCTGTGACTAGGATGTCTTGAGCATAATCCTAAACTTTTCATTTTCCCCCAGAAAAATGGACTCCAAAACAACCATTTTTAAGTTTCCCATCTCCTGCTTTCCCTGCCGCCAAATAAATGAACAAATCTCAATCTGAGTAAATCTCAGGAGTTAACAATTGGTAAGAAATGTATCTCAGAAAAATGGTGATTAGAATCATGAAATGAAGCTTGTTAAATGTGTTTTGAGCCCGTTGGAATGCAGGAGTTTTATAAAATACAAGATGGTATTGTTTTCCCCCGAATGTGGGTGCCTCCATGAGTTGTACTGTCGACAGGTTTACATTTTACAGCAGTATGTGAATAGCATGAGAAAAAACAAAACCATCTGTAATGTATCTAGGGTTCTTTTCCAATAAGTGTATTTTTCGATTATAAGGAGCATTAAAGTCACATTATAGAAAATTTGGAAAATAAAGAAAAGAACAGAGGAATCATCTATAATTATTCAACTCCTAAAATAACCACTATTAAAATGTTGATGTATTTCTTTTTAGTGTATTTCACTTGGTATATTCTCGATTTTCAACAACAGTTTTGTCATTGAACATTAAATCTAATACTTATATGATTCCTTTTGAAATTAGAAGTTGTTTTGTGATAAATGTCTTTATGGCTGCAGGCTTTGGGGGGAAATCGTAGGTTCTTGCATTTAAATGACTTTGAACTTAATGATGTGTTGTGCCTTAAAGCAAACAATAGGGAAATTATATTTTCAGCATCTAGAGTTGTTTGTGTTACACTCCGAAGCCACTTCTTTTTTTCCAGCTTTTAATCCCCTAGAGTACTTGAAGGAGCAGAACTATGAGAAGCAACACCACACTAATTTAGTTTTCATGCAGAGAAAGACTCTAGTGCTGGATTCAGATATTTTTGTGAGCAAATAAAAATCTCCGGAGACTTTGTAGCTTAGTGAATAAAGGATTGGCCTCCAACCAAACCCAACTAAATGAATTTGGTGGTCTCAGCTGAGTTTCCAGCAAGTTTTAGCCTGCATTACAAATTCATCACGCACAATTATGTGCAATTTGGCACAACTTCCAATCCCTGCTTAGTAGAGGCCCTCTGTTTGGGACAGAAGGGGAGCATAAAATACTTCTTGTGCCTAGAGGGAGCAGTTCTCTTAGGTCAAGGTTGTGTTACATATGGAAAGGGATGGGGTAGAAGTGTTGTCAAGCACAAAGAATCTAGGAATATGTGGGTACTGAACATTAGTTGTGTTTACCATTTGAAATTTCTCACTGTAAGGTTCTTCATTCAAACAGAAGATGACAGTTCTGACACCAGTGGGCACATAGATTCTCTCCCAGCTAAAACTGGAACAGGTGAGTTAAGATCCATACAATTTTGTTCTCACCTAACACTGGAATATAGAGCAGAATGCAAAAGCAGTTTAGAACGTAGTTGGAAAAAAAACTCAGACCTGATGAAGTGCCTAATATGTTGGAACAAATATATTAGGAATCTCTAGAAATATCACATATGTCTAGTATTGCAGTAATGCAGAATAATTGTTTGATTGAACATAGGCCAACTCAGGAAATGAAAATTTTAGCAATTAACTTACTTTCCATGGTCCATTCTTCTTACATTCCATATATTCAACTTGGGTTTGTTTTAATTATTTGGAGAGAAGTATATTGAATAGCTGAGTGTTCCTTGCTTTGTGTTCTAGTTCTTAAGGAGCTGGCATTTTGCTGGCAGTTCACTCTGCATAAGATGAAATGTATAGATTCCAAAACATATAATCCATAATCAGAGATCGGACCGTGAAGCACCATCAAATGTCATGCATTTTCTAGGTCTGGGTAGCAAGGTAAAGCCAGTCTGTGAGAGGTGCTAATTGATAAATCAAGATTTCCTTCTCTGAATGAGTCTTTCATCAGTGTCTAATTTAACCAGTATTCTGGTTATTAACTGGAATACTGAGACTAGAGTTTGCTGTTAGTTAGGCAAAACCTAAAATAGCCTCTGCTGATTGCATTATCAATAATTGAAACTTAATTGAAAGCAACAAACTGTTGATTTCTCTAACAGAGCAAAGAAATCCAACCAAGTAGCCAAAGGAAAATAACCCAGATAAGCATAAGGTTGACATTTCAACTCTTATTCCAAAAAACACTGGCATGGATATTAAACAGATTGTCTTTCTAATTTAGAACAAAAGGACTCAAGCTAGCCAAGAGGGCAGAAGCTGATATCAGAACTTCCTCTTTCAGTTTCACACCTAAAAGTGTTATGGGAGACAAAGCAACTGACGATGGAACCAGAAATATCCCAAGGCAGTTGGTGGAGTGGCAGCTCTAGCCTTCTCTTTCCCTGGGAAAAGTTAGTACCTTTCTGTCTAGATGAGGTGTTGACTGAGGGACCCACACCACTCCCACCAGCTAACCTATCAGGCATCCTGCCACAAATTGTTGGCCATGGCTACTGTGATTCTTCTGAGGTCTCTCCTAAGTAAACAATCATAAACTCAGTTGTGTAGGCAATCCAATTTCTCATTTGCCTATTATAAGCCGACAAGCGTATACAGGATTTAATTAATTCTTTGGGAGACAGCATGGAAAGAACTTGGGCTTAGAAGTCAGATTAATGTTCAGTTTTGCCTTGCCTCTTCTAAGCTGTGTGACCTTAAGTTAAATTATTTAACTTTTTGTGGTTTGGTTTGTTCATTCTTAAAATAGGAATAGATAATTCCTTACATTTTTAGTGAAGAATGCTTATAAACCACTTAACATAGAACTTGGCACACAATTGTAGGTATTACAGATGAACTTTTAAATCTTGCTATGGTACTTATGGTGAGTCCATGATATATAAAGGCAATAATACATAACAAAGCCCTTCTGATTAATGCTTGAGGAAGGGGAAAATCAGAGCTGACAACTCCTCCTTTCTAACATGTTACATCCTCAAGTAATACCTAGCTGCTTTGGTTCAAGAACAAATGAGAGAGGGAAATTAAAGGAGGAAGAGGTGAAGAATGAAACAAGCAAGATAAAGAGACTGCAGAGGTGCCTCCTAGAAACCCTTGATAGAGGAGAAGCAGGATTAAGACCACTAGAAATAGAGGAAGGAACATAGTTTCTAGCAACATGGTGTAAGCCTCCTAGACACAGAACACGTGAAGATACTGAAAAAAAAATTCAAATCACATTTTTTAATGCAAGTCTAAGCTGGAAATTAAAAGAAATTCCTAGAGGCAAAAATGAAGAGAAAGAGTGAATCTATCAGGGAAACGCTGAGCTGGAGTCCACTGCCAAGCCCTGCTAGCCTTATATTACCGGGACAAGAGACAGTGCCTAAGAGCCATGGATGAGTAGGAGGTCAGAGTGGAGACTCCTTCATAAGGCTGCAAAACCTCCCACTCAACCAAATAGCAGTACACTCAGTGAGAAAAACCACCTGGCAGAGGAACATCCTAATCTTCCTTGTCTTTACCATGACTCTGAATAGAAAAATTCTCTATAGGATGGCTATTCTCAAACACAGGTTTGAGGATCCCTAAAAAACTCAGGCGACAATTTTGGTTAAATTGTGTCCATGTTGATAATGCCTCAGGGGTAGAAGCAAACCCCAATTCTCTCTCAGACAATATAGTTTAATCCCTTAGCTTAAAGAATTCCCAGAGAAAACTCCAAGAGACACGAGTTCTTAACCAAACTCACTAAACCTGTGGAAGCCTTCAT
Source organism: Homo sapiens (assembly GCF_000001405.40). Lineage (NCBI taxonomy): Eukaryota > Metazoa > Chordata > Mammalia > Primates > Hominidae > Homo > Homo sapiens. The sequence continues at coordinate 18,364,547 of NC_000009.12, forward strand.
GAGGTCCAATCAGTAAAAACAATAACCTATATAAACAGACCCTCACAGAATATTGGAATTACCAGATACAGAATAACATGCCTGTATTAGGTCATTCTTGTACTGCTATAAAGAAATACCTGTGACTGGGTAATTTATAAAGAAAAGAGGTTTAATTGGCTCACAGTTCTGCAGGCTGTACAAGAAGCATACTAGCTTCTGCGTCTTGGGAGGCCTCAGGAAAGTTACAATCATGGGGGAAGGTGAAGGGCAAACAGGCAGGTCACACATGGCTGGAGCAGGAGGGAGAGAGGGAGTGGGGAGGTGCCACACACTTTTGAACAACCAGACCTCACAATAACTCACTATGCAGTACCAAAGCGGGTACTAAACCATTCATCAGAACTCCGCCCCCATGATCCAATAACCTCCCACCAGGCCCCACCTCCAACACCGGGGATTACAATTTGACATGAGATTGAGTGGGGACACAGAACCAAACCATATCAGTGCCCATATCCTATGACCCAGATAATGTACCCTATATAGGGTCTGGCATATGCTCCCGGAGATAATGTACAAGAATATTCACAGCAGCAACTTTCTTAGTAGCTCCAAACCATAACCAACCTAAATTTCCACCAATAGTAGACTAGATAAGCAAATTGTAGCATGTATTTTCAATGGAATACTTACCATTGAAGCCCATACAAATTAGTGAATTATAGATGTACTTATCGACATCATCAAAAACATCCAGGAATAAAAGGGAAGTAACAGATACTTATACCAAGTATGTTTCCATTAATAACAATTCAAAAGCAGCACACTCTTTAGAGATGCATTCATATGTAGAAAAACTATATGTAAAAAAATCAACAAAGCAAAGGATTGATTAACACAAAATTCAGTATAGTAGATACCTCAGAGTAGAGAGGACTCTGAGGCTGAAGGAAGGTACACAGGTGTTCATTTTTTAAAACTTTATTCAGACTGTCATGCACATCATATATATTCTTTGGATATATGGCAATTCCACAGTAATAAGCAAATAAAAGCAGGAATTAGAAGAAAAGGGAAAGAGGAACAAGAGCAGTTTTTTAGGCTAGGGTGAATTGAAGGGAAAAATTGGGAGATCCTAAAGTGGAAAAGGGAAAAGAGTGTGAGAGAAAGAAAATGGGGGAGCACGATTTACGGCAGGGGTGTCCATCCCCCGGGCTGTGGACTGGTACCTATCTGTGGCCTGTTAGGAACTGGGCCACAAAACAGGAGGGGAGCAGCTGGGGAGCCAGAATTACTGCCTGAGTTCCGCCTGCTGTCAGATCAGCAGTGGCATCAGATTCTTACAGGAGTGTGAACCCTATTGTGAACTGCACATGGGAGGGAGCTGGGTTGTGTGCTCCTTATGAGAATCTAATGCCTGATGATTTGAGATGGAACAGTTTCATTCCCAAACCTCTCGCCTGCCCTGTCCATGGAAAAATTGTCTTTCACGAAACCAGTCTCTGGTGACAAAAAGGTTGGGGACCACTGTATTTTGAGTGTAATCTCCCTTTGGCTTTTTTTTTGAGAAATAGTAATAATGATATAATCTACTTTTTATTTATTTTTGGGTGCTGGAGTGAGGTTCCTTTGAATGCAACGAAACATAAACAAGGCAGTTCAATTTATATGGGTTTATGCACATAAACCCATATGAATTTATATGGTCTATACAGCCTTTCTTTTTTGTGTTTGTATTTGCTTATACAAGTTTTTCATAGCAGAAAAAGATTGAGCGTGCATCAGCTTCCTTATATACATATGGCTGAAGTCATCTCGGTGCTACCTCGTGTGCCTTGGGTTATTTTTACCCTGTTTCTGTTCCCCTTTCTTTCATTTGTCCCATATACTATAATCCTCATTTATGTGTACATTTGTAAGCATCATCATATACTGCTTTCTCATTTTTGGGACACACAGGTTTTTATATCATAAAACCTCTTTGGAAAGTTGGTGGCATTTCATAATCAGCCTGTATATTCATTGTGGTATGTTAATATTATTTTCTTTTCCAACAAAAACACTATTATTTAAATGGATAGTGCCTCTGAAATCACTAATTTTTTTTTTTTTTTTTTTTTTTTTTTTTTTTTTTTTTTTAAGACAGAGTCTCAGTCTGTCACCCAGGCTGGAGTGCAGTGGCACCATCTCAGCTCACTGCAACCTCTGCCTCCCGAGTAGCTGGGATTACAGGTACCTGCCACCATTCCCGGCTAATTTTTGTATTTTTAGTAGAGACACCAATGGCCAGGCTGGTCTCAAACTCCTGACCTCAGGTAATCCACCTGCCTTGGCCTCCCACAGTGCTGGGAGTACTGGCATGAGCCGCCACATGCAGCCCCATCACCAACCATTTAAAGTGAAAAGAATATGAAAATAAATACTTATCTCTTACTCTTTTTGTCTCATTAAAGTGCATTCTCATTCAAGGCAAATTCATTTCCCCTCCCCTGAGCTCGCCAAGTATTTAAATAGTAACATTTCCTCATATCAACTGCTCTTGCTGCCTTTTTCTTCTTTAACTCTGTTTTTTCTACACTACCTAGAAAACGTGTATTTTTCCACCTACCAAAGTAATCTGCCCATTTAATGGTTCCTAGCAATGTCCAAGTTGACAAAGGTTATAGCCAAAAAATAACTGTGACAAGACACATGTAAATATAAGGTTTTATTTAAAACAAATCTAAGATACAATTCCCAGGAATGCATGAAATTTATGCTTTTTCACTTATAATGGACCATAAGAATTTAGTTACTGGAATTAAAATATTTCAGATAAGTGAATCTTTTAGATAACAGAAGATAAGATTTTTTTTTTTTTCAGGGACATTTCATGACATAATGGAAAGAAATGGAATTATGGCATGAAAATATCTTCCTGGGTCTAAGCCCTAGGGTTGCCATTTGCTAGCTGTGAAACTGGGAAAGCCAAAACTTCTAAGTCTGTTTTTGAATCTCTAATACTATTTTAAGACACTGATAATAGAAATAATTTAATATACTATGTATAAATATATATATATGATAGCTATGAGGTACTAGCCACTGTTGTTCTAAGCACTTTACATATTCTAATTCAACCCTCAAAATAACTTTATGAGCTACATACTATTATTATCACCATTTTGAACAGTGGCGGAAAGTTAGGAACAAAGAGACTAAGTAACTTTTAGGCACAGAATTACACATTTATCGGCACAGAGTTACACATTCAGTGTCAGAGCCAGGTTTTGAATCCAGGCAACGGATGGGTGGATGGATGGGCGGGCAGGTGGGCAGTCAGACATAGCTCTGAAGATGAAGGAGTCTTGTATTTATTTTTATTTTTATTTTATTTTATTTTATTTTTTGAGACGGAGTCTCGCTCTGTCGCCCAGGCTGGAGTGCAGTGGCGCGATCTCGGCTCACTACAAGCTCCGCCTCCCGGGTTCACGCCATTCTCCTGCCTCAGCCCCCTGAGTAGCTGGGACTACAGGCGCCCGCCACCACGCCAGGCTAATTTTTTTTTTTTTAATTTTTTTTTATTTTTAATAGAGATGGGGTTTCGCCGTTTTCGCCAGGATGGTCTCCATCTCCTGACCTCGTGATCCGCCTGCCTTGGCCTCCCAAAGTGCTGCGATTACAGGCGTGAGCCACCGCGCCTGGCTGAGGGAGTCTTTTAAAAGTGTATCACATGCTTTCTGGCCTCATCAATATGAAACATCAGTTAACCTTTTATTGCCACTACACGACTTTCACCATGAGCACATGTTAAAACACACTGCTGTACCAGAGTGATGCTCCCATGCTGACTGCTGTGGTAACAGGGCATGCCTTTGTAGAGATGCCTGCGGTCCATGACTGGGACAAAAGGCAGTAGAACTCATACTTGTTGCATAAGTACAGCATGTACGGCCATTTTCCTGCATATTTTATTTAGACAGATTTTTTTGTCACCATCTTACAGAAGAGGAAATTGACTCAAAGAGGGCAAGTGATTTGCCCAGTGTCTCACAACTCTTAGACAGTAGTGGCAGGATTGGAGTGTAGAATAGTCTGCCTCCAAAGTTTGCCTGCATTCTTTATGCTCACATGCTGCCTTTAAAGTTTTTTATGTTATTTTTAATGGGCAATCACAATTGTATCACATGCTGCCTTCTGTGGTGAGGTTAGAACCATCATCCTGGATGGTGAATATGTTTGATCAGTTTATAAGCCCATGTTATGATCATTTCAGTAACATTCATTTACTGCAGATATGTAAAAATTGTAGACATCAAGTAATGAAAAAATAATCACCACTGAGATTTTAGGGCACTACTATTTTCTCCAGGATTTTGTGAGGAAAGTATAAAACATGGTAGTTCACAGATGGTTCAAACTGATATGTGTTCTTTATACTTTGCCTCCTGATTAACTTTGTTTATACCCAGAATGAGGATTCCATTCTAGAGTTACTGTTCTTCACTTGCAGATGTGTCTAAATATGTCAATGAAAGGAACTGGAACTGTGTAATGTTATAGGGTAGTATTGAAACTGATCTATTAACTATAGTTTATATAGAAAAAAAGTTGGCTAATGTAATCCTTTTTAAAAGAGATTTCATGTTTTAAGAAAAGCTCATACTTCACTAGATATAGCATAGGCTCTTGAATTAGAGTTCTTTAGTTGAACTCACAACTCGACCTCACAGCTCTCTAGTTGTGAGATCTCAAGCAAATTAATTAGCCTTACTAAATCTTAGTTTTCTTGTCTGTAAAATGGATATCACAATTGTATCTATATCATATGATTGTTGTTAATTCAAGTGGCCAAGAAAATATGATAAAGTGTTCAATATCACTAATCATCAGAGAAATGCAAATTAAAACCACAATGAGCTACCATCTCACATCAGTCAGAAGGGCTGTTATTAAAAAGTCAAAAAACAACAAGTGTTGGTTAGGATGCAGAAAAAAGAGAATGCTTATACACATTGGTGGGAATGTAAATTAGTATAACCACTATGGGAAACAGGATAAAGATTCCCTAAAGAACTAAAAATAGAACTACCATTAGACCCATCTATCCTACTACTGTGTATCTACTCAAAGGAAAAGAAATTATTGTATCAAAAAGATACAATATTGTATCAAAAAATACCCATGCTTGTATATTTATTACAGCACTATTCACAATAGCAGAGTCATGGAATCAACCTAAGTGTCCATCAATGGATGCCTGGAAGAAGACAATGCGGTATCTATACACCATGGATACTATGCAGCCGTAAGGAAGAATGAAACTGTCTTTTGCAGCAACATTTTGCTTGTCTTATCATTACCTGGAGGCCATTAACCTAAGTGAAATAACTCAAATACAGAAAATCAAATACTAAATGTTCTCACTTATAAGTGGGAGCCAAACAATGTGTACACATGGACATAAAGATGAAAATAATAGATACTGGGGGCTGGACGTGGTGGCTCATGTCTGTAATCCCAGCACTTTGGGAGGCCGAGGCTGGTGGATCACCTGAGATGAGGAGTTTGAGACCAGCCTGGCCAACATGGTGAAAACCTGTCTCTACTAAAAATACAAAAATTAGCTGGATGTGATGGTGCGTGCCTGTAATCCCAGCTACTTGGGAGGCTGAGGCAGGAAAGTCACTTGAACCCAGGAGGCGGAGGTTGCAGTGAGCTGAGATCACACCATTGCACTCCAGCCTGGGCAACAAGAGCAAGACTCCATCTCAAAAAAAAAAAAAGAGGCACTGGGGACTCCAAAGGGGAGGAGAATGGATGAGGGTTGAAAAATTACCTGTTAGGTACACTCTTCACTATTTGAGTGATGGGTTACTAGAAGCCCAAACCTCACCATTACACAACATATCCGTATGAAAACCTGCATATGTACCCCCCCCGAATCCATAATAAAAATTTTTGTTTTAAAATGACACAACCTACGTAAAGCACTTAGCAGGGTGCCTCATGCACGCCAATGGCTCAATAAATGATAGCTGTTCATATTTGTATTGATAGCGTTGGTAACAGAAATTGTTATAGCCTTCATTTTATTTATCATTACTTATATATCTAAGCAGTATGTCCCCTTTTGGGTTGTGTGTGTATTTCATACATAAATAAGGTATGTTTGTAGAGCGTCTTTTTTTTTTTTTTTTTTAAGAAAGAAAGCACAGCTCTTTCCTATCATTCCAGCAATGCCAATTATGAGCCAGGCACAACTTTCTAACTAATTGGATGTAGATGAACACAATTGATATTACCCTTGCTTTTTTTCAGATAGAGAAATTGAGGTACATAATCCCAGGTGTTCATCTCAAATTATAAATTAGCATACAAATTGAGGGAAGTGTTGATGTATAAATATTCTAGATGTAGTCATTTTAAATTATATTGCCTTTTGGTCTGATTGTTACAAGACGCTGCCTTGAAAGCCATTGTTTAAGAGAGTAAAAGCTTTTTATTGGAATTCTTGTGACCTTCATATCCAATTATTTTTTTAATTGCTATATTTGAGTAACAACATATCTCAATTTAAAAACTAAATTCTTGCTTTAAGTAATACATGGATTCAGATAGAATAAGTCCTTAGTTTTTGTAATACTTATACAATTTTTATTCATGTTCTGATGCTTTGTTTTTTGAGCCATATGTGTGTATATGCATTATCTACTCTGACCTGGTTTAAAGATCTTGAATCAAGTTTGCTTTTTGATATAAAGTTCAGCATAGCTATCATGCATTCCATCATTAGAATAATACATTCTGATAAAACACCAAGTGTCTGTCTCCTGCAGTTTGGTATTTTAATAAGGGTGGAGTACATCTGAAACTTATATCACATTGCAAGCTGCATATATTGCCAAACCTTAAAAACACACTAGACACAAGAGGGAGGTCTTTCTTTTTAATGGAATCTGATATTATCTGAGTTGTTACACTTAGGTTTACTGGGTATTTTTATTTCTTTATAAATATATGTTTGCTAAAGCATAATAGTTTTATTATTGTGATAGGTTTATGTATTTCTTTGAACATATATTGTTAAACACAAAAGGATAGTAAAGTTATATCGAATAGGGTTTTAGAAGCATGAAATACATGCCCCTAAAAATTTATCAACTTTTTTTATGATGAATTTTTATGATGAATTTTGGAAAATGCATTTCACAATCACAAATAAATGTGGGCATTAGGATGTGAGGAGGCAAATCTTATTCTAGTTTAGAATCTCTCTCTGCTGCCAGATGTGGCTTTTGACAAAACCCAGAGAGCTTGAAGGGTAGATATGTTACATAAATAAAACGAAGTTTCTTCCCTACAAGGGCTCTGGGCTCAGCTCTGATGTTAGATCTCTGAACGTGCTTTCTCACCATCAGGCACCACAATGGGGATAATGTTCCAGGTAATTCTAACACAGGCAAAATAGCCTGTTTTATTATAAAATAAATTTTGCATTCCAGACAACAGAAATTTTTAATTAATACAAGATTTGGCTTGAATAACAAAGAGACTTGAAAGTCAATAGCAAATCCTTCAACTGCACTTCCTCAATGACTGATTTAGAGAGCAAAATCTGAGAGCTTAGAGGTAGCAAAATAAAATTTGTCTACCGTACAGCACTTAAAACAAGAGGGAATACATAACAAAGTAACCTAGAAACTGACTTAGAAAATGCAGCTCTCAGGTCTAGGTAGTACCAGCAAGAAAATCAATAAATGTCTTCATTAGGGTTTGGAGAAGAGAGGCCTGGGGAAGGATACGAATGAGTAACCAGAAAGGTAATCGCATGCCGTGACTGGGATTCTTTTGGAATAATGGGAACAGCACTTTGCAGTTTACAAAGACCTTTAAGATAACTATCTCATTTGATTGCCATGACCACCTTATGAGAAGTACAGAAAGAATCATCTACATTTCATAGCAGATCAAAAACTAAGGGAGAAGGAGGGGACAGAGGCTTCCCCAAGGTCTTAATAATGGGCTTGAACTGAGGTCTTCAGACCCCTAGTTCAGGCTCTTTCCATTACTACACAACCAAATTCCAAATTTCACAAGTCTAATTTTTCCTAAATTTAATGTGTGTTCACCAACATTATAAAAATACATAATCGCTAAGCTCTATCATCAGGGTCTTTTGGTTTGGCTCTTAATTGAAGGCTTGCTCCCATCTATCGTAGAGATAATACAGTAATGAAGGCTTTGGTTACATGTGGGGCTCTCTAAAATATATGCTTTCTGTATACCTAACCACTTCCTGATTCCAGATTGAAATATGGGACAAATCATAATAAAATAATAACCATAGCAAAAATAACACTAAATGGGACAAAGCAACAAACTATGGAATCATCTCACTTCCTCACTTATTCACAATGCTTGGGCTGAAGCCACACCATAAAGAAGATTCTGTCCTGGGCATATTATAACTCCTAAAGTGAGAGTGAGGCTGGTATCAGGGAAAGCCTGAAGGAGGCTAGCCGCATGATCCTTAGGGAATCCCTTACCTTTTGGAACTTCCTGCTATAATTTCTAAAATTATAGGTTTAAGTTGGATTATTTCTGGAGTCTATTCCCATCCAACTCTATGATTTAATTACTCTTAGTTGACCTTCTCAGTCCCCAGAAGTCTGATCGTTAATCCTTATGTCACAAAATAACCTATGAATTAATTGTCCCAGCTGACATTTATTGAGAATTTATTCTAGGCTGATCACAAGCCAAAGAGCTTTCCACTTTTCTGTGAGGTCATCTGGAATTTAACCTATTTATAAATGTGAAAAAAATGTGGCATCATTTAATGAAATTACTTAATCCTGATTATAAGCCAACCACTCTGCTGGATGGGTAGCGCCTTATAATATTCCAGTCATCTTTTGGTTTACAACAATCTTTTCATATCATCTTTTCTCCCTTTTTTTCTTCCTAAGGTGGCATCTGGATGCAGATTGGTTTGGCTCTGCCCTCGGAAGTTAGGAGTCATAAATTTGCAAACTGATTCTCCTCTCCCATTGTCCTCTGGGGTAGTAATACCTTCCATTATCTGCCAACAGGGGCTCTTCTAAACCCAACGGAGATTTTGGAGATCTACACTTGACACCACTGCCAACATCCAGCAGCCTAACCATGCCACACCAAAGAGTTTACTCAGCTGCACATTCCCCAGGCTAATACAAAGGACATAGCGTTGTCCCATTCTAGAGTGCCAAGTTACAAACAGGGCAAAATCTCCCTACTTTGGTCTTTCCTGCTACCCATAGCATTCTCCCTCTAGGATTTTCACCTAGCTACTAGGAGCAATAGGGAATGCCATGACACACATATCTCCCCACCTGTATCTCCTACCACTGTCCCCAGCTCCCCATAATCTCCAAGTCCTGAAAGGGATGATAGTAGCCAGCATGTATTGGGCAGTTATCATAGACTAGGAACTGGGCTAGGAACTTTCCATCTGGGGAGCTTTCTGCTACACCTCAGAATCACCTGAGGAGTTTCAAAATCATAAACAACCAGCCTTACCCAAGGAGATTCTGACTTAATTGGACTTGTGTATGGCCTGGGCATCAGCAATTTTAAAAGCTATCCAAATGAGCCTAATAGGCAGCACAGATTTGGAACCCCTTACCTTTGCTAATGCCTACTCTTTTTTGCCCTAGCATTTGCCCTGGTCCTTCCTTGGAGCCGTAAAGAAAGGTGCAGTTCTGAAAGAGAGATACTGACTTACCAATAGGGGACTATGCATTGACAGATATTTTATTTTATTTATATTTATTTAATTTTTTTTAATTTTTTTTTTATTTTTTGGGATGGGGTCTCACTCTGTCACCCAGCAATTGTACAGTGGTGCAGTCACCACTGTCTGCAGCCTTAATTTCTCAGGCTTGAGCGATCCCCCAACCTCAGCCTCCAAGTAGCTGGGAATACAGATTTGCACCACCTCACCTGGCTAATTTTTGTATTTGTTGGAGAGATAGGTTTTTGCCATGTTGCCCAGGCTGGTCTCTTAACTCCTGGGCTCAAGTAATCCTCCTGTCTCAGCCTCCCAAAATGCTAGGATTACAAGCATGAGTTACCACGCTTGGCCTGACAGATTTTTCTTTTTTAAACATTATTCCTGTTTCACCTACAAAACACACTTACTCCTTAAAGCAAACGCATTGTACAAATGAGTGGGATTCTATTCAGCCTCACCTGTCTACATGACCTAATGGTTTTAAAAAGCAGTAGGCTTGTCCATTTATTAGATGCACTAAAGAAGAAAATAGTATCAGTCACCTATCAACCACCCCTCTCCATTTTCACATCACTTATGCCAGGGCTAGATGTTCAACTGCTGGGGGATTATCCCCCTTGGATGAATGGAGCTGACAATGGTTAATAATAGTCAGTCTTTTGGGACTATGATTTGAATACTCTAGATACCTGTCAATTGTTTCCTAGATACCTGTCACTGGCATGGGTACCTTCGGTAGCTTTCAGGGCACTGGGAAACATCTTGCTCACTTCAAAGTAAAGGGATCAGCCTGGATCACCAGATACCCATCATATAGACAAGAAGAATGTGCCAGCCATAGTACACTCACTCCTGACCAGAGCTGAGACAACTCATGGAGCTCTTCCTCAGTTCCGCATTAGGAGAAATGAACTATTCTGATAGAGAATAGCCCTTACTGGTTCATTTATTCTAAGGCTGTTACATTAGAGGAAAGAGCCAGTCATTGTTTTTCTATGGATTATTACCTCAGTCATATCCTGTAACTGATTACTGGTGGGCTAATTGCTATTTTTTTTATTTTATTTATTTTATATTATACTTTAAGTTCTAGGGTACATGTGCACAACGTTCAGGTTTTTGGGCTTTACCTGCCTTAGGTAGACAAAATATAGAAGTATGTAAAGGTACATCATTTTTTTTGTCTGATTTGTGCTGACAAATACAAGTTTATTTTAAATTCATTATACACGATCAAACAAAAATGTACTAACTTCACAACATATTTAGTATGACTCCTCCTTCTGTGTCTGGAGTTGGTTCCTTCCGGTGAGTTTGTGGTCTCGCTGACTTCAGGAATGAAGCCGTGGACCTTCACGGTGAGTGTTACAGCTCATAAAGGTGGTGTGGACCCAAAGAGTGAGCAGCAGCAAGGTTTATTGTGGAGAGTGAAAGAACAAACCTCCCATAGCATGGAAGGGGACCCCAGCGGGTTGCCACTGCTGGCTGGTGGCCAGCTTTTATTCCCTTTTTTGTCCCTGCCCATGTCCTGCCGATTGGCCCATTTTACAGAGTGCTGATTGGTCCATTTTACAGACTGCTGATTGGTCCATTTTACAAACCTCTAGCTAGCCACAGAGTGCTGATTGGTGTGTTTTTACAGAGCACTGATTGGTCCATTTTACAAACCTCTAGCTAGCCACAGAGTGCTGATTGGTGCATTTTACAATCCTAGCTACAGAGTGCTGATTGGTGCATTTTACAATCCTCTTGTAAAACAGAAAAGTTCTCCAAGTCCCCACCCGACCCAGAAGTCCAGCTGGCTTCACCTTTCACTTCTTCTGTTCCAGAAATAATATTCTGCAGAAACTTCCCATGCAGTAAATAATACATTCCTTTTGCTCTCATTTCCCAAAGTAAAATAATCATAAACAGAATTTTAAGATATTTCTTGTAAGCCTTAGAGTTTATAAACATTCACTCATTCAAAAATATTTATTAAGAACATGGTTCTAATAGGAAAGATAAGATATGTACACAGATATGTATAATGCAAGATTGCAAGGAAATGTCAAGGGCTGTCACAGATAACATGGGTGAGGGTGAGAGGTGAGAGGGTGGAGAGAGAACCTGAAAGCAGTGAATTGAGGGAATGAAGAGAGAAGAATAACTTGAGAGATACTGAAGAAGAAGAAACAGAATTGCAAACAGCTGTTCACCTTCAACACAGAAAGCAGATGTAATAGAAATAAAAGACTTAGGGCCCGGGGCGGTGGCTCATGCCTGTAATCCTAGCACTTTGGGAGGCCGAGGTGGGTGGATCACCTGAGGTCAGGAGTTCGAGACAAGCCTGGTCAACATGGTGAAACCCCATCTCTACTAAAAAATACAAAAATTAGCTGAGCATGGTGGAACCCACCTGTAATCCCAACTACCTGGGAGGCTGAGGCTGGAGAATCACTTGAACCCAGGAGGCAGAGGTTGCAGTGAGCCAAGATCGCATCACTGCACTCCAGCCTGGGCGACAGAAAGAGACACTGTCTCAAAAAAAAAGACTTAATGTTGATGTTTGTTCAGATAGTCAAGAAAACTTACACTATTTGATTGACCACATGTCTATATGCCATTGCAAATACCCTTACAAATAGTTATTTAAAATAAAATACGTTTTTATTTAAATCTTTATTTTTATACATGTTGCTTATCAAACATTATCATAGAAATTTCATTTTGATTCAAGAGCAGAGCAACCAGTTTGTGAAAACAAATCCTCGAAATTCTCACAGGTAGAGCCTGATAGAGTTTTCTTCAAATTTATTGAATTTGACTTTATGAATATAGACTGAGAAGAAGTTTGAGACAACGGTTAAGACCATGGGCTCTGAAATTGGATTATATGGGTTCAAGCCCTCTCGCGTCATTTACTAGCTGTGTAAACTCAAGGAAGTTATTTAACTTCTCTATGGACTTCTAATCTGTAAATGAGGATAATGTAATTGCACCTCTTGCTTAAGTTTGTTATGAGAACTGCGTAAGTGCATAGAATAGTGTCTGGCTATAGTAGGCACTCAGTGAATATTATATTTTGTTTAAAGCATTCTTTCTGATAGTAGAATTATTGTCTACATCCAGATATCGAGATCTTAATTTTTTCAAGAGTGACTGTGAAAACTTAAATCATTGTTTAACTTAAATTCATTAAATGCAATGCAGACGTTGGCATTTCTAAGTATAAATTCATCAGGAGGGAATTTCAGTTTGTGCAACAGGACTACATTTGAATTGTGAAAGATTCACTTTTTTGTTGTTGTTTTGTTTTTGTTTCTGAGACAGAGTCTCACTCTGTCACCCAGGCTAGAGTGCAGTGGCGCCATTTTGGCTCACTGCAACCTCCATTTCCTGGGTTCAAGCAATTCTGCCTGAGCCTCCCAAGTAGCTGGGAATACAGTCGCGTGCCACCACGCCCGGTTAATTTTTTGTATTTTTAGTAGAGACAGGATTTCACCATGTTGGCCAGGCTGGTCTTGAACTCCTGACCTCAGGTGATCCGCCCACCTCAGCCTCCCAAAGTGCTGGGATTACAGGCATGAGTCACCATGCCTGGCTGAGAGATTAACTTTTATAAATATATTTGGAAAGGCCTAGTGGACATAGACTCCCTCCCCCTCAATTCTGTCTCTATACTCATAACCTCAAGTGGGCAATGTGTTTCTCAGCACCCTGAAAGCTGCTGGGGTGCCAGCGTTTTGGCACTTCACCTTCGATGAGCCCCCGATGATGAGAACTTGATTCTTCTCTGGGAAAAGGCATCTTCTTTCTTCCCTTTCTTTCTCTTCTGTGTAAAAGGGTGGCGAGAGGAGGAATTAAGATCGCTTTTGTTAACTCATATCTCATGGCTCTGAGGACAAGGGACCTGCTTCTAGTTCTGCCTTTGACCTAGGAAATAAGGCTTTAACCAAATTAAAATGCAAGGATTGTTATTTGAGGACTAACGGAAATAGTGTATGTGAAGCTCAGGTGTCTGGCACATAGTAAACACTCAATAAATGGTAGCTATTTTGAGTTATTTTTCTAAAGTGTAATGAGAGTAAGCAAGTAGAGACCTTGAATAAAGAAAATCTTTCAAGAGTCTTGGCACTAAGCCAGGGAGGGATATAGGATTGAGAGGTCTTTTTAATTTTGCTTACTTGTTTTATTTCTATTTTAAAGATGAGATATATCAACTTAAGATATTAACTTGAGAAGCACATCCAAACAGAAAAATGTCTTTGCTGATGTCTCTTCCATGATGCTGAAGTAGATCCAAATAATTCCCCTGGCAATATCCCATTTCTCACACCTCACCCTCTTCAGAACAAGCCTTTCTCCTCCTCTACCTACCCTTATCAGCTTTCCCTCCTTCTTCCTTCTCTTTTCTGGCTCTCATGATGCCCACTTTAGATCCTTACTATGTACATTAAGTTCATCTCTTTTTTCTTTCATTCCTTGGCTGCTTCTTCCTCTCTGGTCATGTCATCCTCTGACCAGTCCCATATCAATAAGTAGTTTTTTGTTGTTGTTTGTTTGTTTGTTTGTTTTTCATTACAAAGGTTAATGGGATCAAGACAGGGATAGGGAATAAACATAATTGATAGAGTAACGTCCTTGGAAGGGATAGGGTTGAGAATCCAGATGAAGAATTAGCTTTGGGCTGCAGGATACTTGGTCATCTGAAACCAGACAGAAGCAAGAAAAAGTAAGTAGAATATCAGATACTCACGAAGGAGTCAGAAACATGAGGGAGCCTCTACTTTTTTCTGTAAGGAAGGAGGCAGTGTCATCTTCTGAAAGTAAGAAGGGTAGTCACCAAGGTGAGGGGCTAGAAGGTGTTAAACAAAAATTATAGGAGGCCATCGTTTTGGACAAAGCTTCTGCACTAGGCCCCAACAGACCAGACCAAACCAAATGGAGTCACTCATGCTAAACGCCACATCATCAAACAGAAACTCTAAGGAAACAGATGGATTTCAAAACAGACTAGTTTTTTGTGAGATCGAGAGATTCCAATCTACCTGAGTCAGGGTAATGAGGAAATCCCCTCTGCTCTAACCCTTGCAAAAATGTAAGTTGAAGTAACCTGATATTAAGCAGTCAGCTTTTTTTTCCCCTATTGTTCAGTTTCCTTGTTCCCACCTTACAAAATCCACTGTTTTTGCTATTGCCCAGTGGGGGCTCTCATTCTATTTTGTAGAATGGAAGCTGCCAGATTCATGAATTACAAATGATAGACAATTAGATCTGTAACTAAATTTGTTGTTGTTTTGTCTTTTGACAATGGGAATGAGCTGAAGGACCAGGACAGGCATGGATAGCCTGGGAGAGGAAGCTGATTGGGCTGACGAAGGCTCTCCAGGCTGTCTTTAAAGTTTGGGAAAAGGAAAAAAGAAAAACTGGTTTTATACCGGATGAGAGCATAAAATAGAAAAATGATGACTATGAGATGAAAGAAAAAACATAAACTATGTCATAGAACAAAAAAGAAAAGGCACAATTACTGTAAGAAGGTGTAAAAGTGAGTGAGTAAATTAAGAAATGAGCAGCATTTCCCATTTTTACATTCTTGGGCCATTTCCTTTACTCCATCCTCCCATCGGGGATTAAAGGCTTTCATTAAAGCCCCCCTTCCTGTTTTCCCATTCCACGGGCATAAAGAAATAAAGCACATACGGAATGGGATCACTGAATTTTGGGAGTAGCCAGGGGCTGTTAAAATAAGAAATTGTTGACTATTTGCCTACTTTCCCATTTTCCTCATTCTTTCTTTATCCTTGCTGTCTCCTTTCCCCTCTATGTTCTTATTTCTTCATCTATTTTAACTGTTTTAAGATTTCTCACTGTTTATTTTAACAGCCTTTCCTCCACTTATGCATTCCCTAAGCTTTTCTTTTAATTTGAATGTTATATTGTCACTGTAAGACTCTAGAAATTAGAGTATGGGGGAAGAAGGATTACAAAAGATTAAAAAATTAGAAGAAATTGGCTCAATGAGAAACTGGAAGATTTAGAATGAATGCACAATTTGTGAAACAAAAAGAGAGGCATAATAAATGGGGAAGAAGCAGAATGAACGGAAGATATGAAATAAAGGTAGAAATAAAACATATTAAGGAAATAAGGGAATAAAAATTAAGGAATAGGTATATTTTACATAGATACTATACAGCAAATTTGAGTTTGATGTTTCTTCCCTCCCTTCCCCCACCAATAACCCTCATAGTCATTTTTCAGTTATAAATAATTTTTTACTCATTGGCTTTACTCTTCTGGTCATCCCATCTGGGAAAAGAACATAAAAAGTTGCCATTTACACATGAGGCAAAGAGCAGTTTAATGAAAAATCTGGGAGGGAAGAAAGTGCACATTTTCATGAATAAGCTTTCACATGACTTGGTCAATCTGGAGGGTTCACATTTTATATATTAGAACTTCATTTAAAAAAAGAATTTTGTGTTTTCATGTTTTTCTCATTAAGGCTGAGTTCACCTCCGTTTCTGTCCATTCTATTTTCCTCATTTACTACAGTCCATCAGGTGAACGCATGCCCCAAACAAATGCAGCATGAGCTGTTACAAAACGCAGGGAGAGGAATTGATCCTTCCCACCAAAGAGAACCCTTTATGCTGAAGGAGCTACAGACATCCCGATTGGTCTTGATGGAAAACCCCTGTGGGTAGCGTGTGTCTCCTGCTAGTTCATCTCCTCTGTCCCAGAAGGTGTGCTAGAATATTTGAGTATTTATGCGGTCTTCTCTAGACTGTTGAGTTCTTATTCTGGCTGAAATCATGAAAATGAAATGCACTTGAATGGGTGGAAATGCTTTGGGGTGAAATGATAATGTTTGTATGTTTGGTTTAAATAATGATGCTTACATTGGACTTTCCCTTTAGGCTAATCACTACATTAATTATCTGGGTTTTCCATTCATCTTTTCCCTCATGTTTAAAGTTTGATTTTCTTCTTGCTGTCAAAAATCAGTAGGTCTTTGTGTTTGGCTTTCTTACAGTATAATAGTAATATCAATCATGTCTACCATTTATTGAATACCTACTTTGTCCCAGGTACTGTTTGGATATTTTATCTTTAGTTTTTTGAGAAACTTTTGGGACAAATATTAGTCCTATTTTATAAATGATAAAGCTATGGCTTAGAAAAGTTAAGGTTCTTGCCCAAGGCATTATGCCTATTTTAGAATAGGGCCTCACCTGTGTCTGGGACATTGACTCCTTCACTACATGCTGTGACATAATCCCACATTGCTGGTTGAGATTGGGTTAATAGAACAGAAGCCTTCACTTGGAGAAGAAAGAATTTTCTTCTTTTTCACAGAGAAGGAGACGGTTCCTTTAATGAAATGCGTGTAGAAATGTGGAATTTACACTTGATGAAGGGCCATGATGTTACTGGCTCTGTAAAGAAGCAGGGAAAGAAAAATGAGCCAATTTTTAAAACTATGTATCACCGAGAACCCATTTGGAGCAGGAGAGGGGGGATTAGACTTTGATTCCCTTCACATGCTCCTGGTGAACTATCTCACCGTCATCAGTAAGGATGATTTTAAAGACAGCCAAGGGATGAAAGAAAAACATCAATGTTTGCACCTTTAATTTAAAGTGTAGTGGTTTTCGATGTTTTCTTTTTCCCTTCCCTAGCATGTAAAATACTGTTTCTAGACAGGTCAATGAAATATTTTTCCTGTACTACATCTTGGCTTCTTCCTGATTGCTTCTGCTTCTCCTGTAGCTGCTGGTACAAGAGAATGATAAAGCAGACTCATGCAATGATTGTGTAGATTGACTTGCTGCTAGAGAATTTTGACCGGGGGCAGGTAGCATGCTCTTCCTTGCAAAGTGCCTTGGAAAATGAGTGGCTTTTAAAACCACTTACCGTGATTATGTGTGTGTTTTCTAGGCTGGCAAATACAAAAGGGTGGCTCAAGTTCAGAGATCTGTTAAGTCTTTAGGATGTCAGTGAAGACTACGTCTTTCTGTAGTGAACTCTAGGAATGGTTATATTACTAGTTGCCAAGCATATTGCCACATCTCACAGTCTTATCACATGTGACCTTCTCATTTAGATTTGCTTGGAAATTTTAATTTTTCCAGAATCCTGGCAGGAGAGATAACTCCAAAATGCATGTCTAAATATAGCCACTTTTCCTTTCAACTGTGGTAAGATTACGTTTTTCTTTTTTTAATGGCGAGAACTGCTTTAGGGTGGGAAGAGTGTGAGGAATGTTTGTTTTGGAGAACCTCTACTGGCACATGGAGTCTTCGAGTACAGCAAAGAAAGAAATATCAGTATCTCCAGAGAAACAAAGGAGCCATAAAATCCAGAGCCTGTTTAGAGGTATGTTAATGGCAGGAAGGAGACCAGGGCTTCAGGATGTACCCTGAATATGTGTGAGACTGCATTATGAACGACATCACAGTGTACTTCTTGTGGTTTTCTTGCAATTACCCCTCAGCCCAACTGAACACCTACTGAAAAGAGATCTCCACTAACAGAGTTCTAAGTTATGATGAACAATGCTCATTATAACACAGCTCTGCGAGTCTGGTCCTCTGTACAGACTTCCAAATGATTTTCAGATGCCAAATTGAAGGATGACAAATATACAGAGGGAACACGTGAAAACTGCAGTAAGATCGCACTGAAACAGAACATCAAACAATAGAACATCTGAATAAATGTGAAGTAAACCCTGTGTTCTCTCCTTAGACATTTCTTTAAATGAGGTAGAAGGGGACAGCTAGACTAGGATCCATTTCTGGCCCAACCATGTACATACCATCCCTTTGAGAGTTTCTGAAATGCACTAAGATTAACTTTCCTAATCTATTAATTCTATATTATAGGACTGTGGGGTTTTGTGAGGGAAGGGAGTTATTAAATAAGGTAACTTAAATTACAAATGTCGCAAAGTCTTCTATACTTTCTTGTAGCTATTGTCTTTCCCTGACTCTTCAGGGAGTTTTCTGTAGACACTGCTTTTGGCTGTGGAGAAAGTGGTAAGGAGAGGACACTGTCACCCCGGGTTAAAGACTTTTTTCCTTTGAGTATATGTTTAAGGCATTTGAGTACGTGTTTAAGGCCTTTCATTTGCAAAAGGTAGGCCTAGGACAGAGAAATAGTTCTCTGATCATGGGGTCATCAGCTACCCACAGAGATCAGCCAAGCCAACTCAGACCAGAACTGCCCAGCTGACCCCCAGAATCATCAGAAAATTTTTTAAAGTGATAATTACTTTAAGCCACTGTGTTTCAGGGTTGTTTGTTACTGAGCAATGAATAACAGATGTGAGGCTTCTCAGATGATGGAAGCATCCTGGTTGACTGTCCCCTTGGACTAAGGTTAGATCCTGAATTAATCAGATCTTTGCCACAGCAAGACTATTTTAAACTGAAAGACACTGTCCTACCTTGAGGCTACAAATGAAAAGTAGTTTTTCTTCCAGCCAGTTAGAACTTGAGGGCCTGTGACGAGGCCAAGCTCAGGTATGGAGGAAAAATGTTACATTCCTCTACTTTTGAATACCTTTTTATGAAAATTGACAACAGTGCTCCTGAAACTTTACTGTACATATGAATCACCTGGGGTCTGGTTAATGCAGATTCTGATTCAGTAGGTCTAGAATAGGCCCCAGATTCTGCATTTGTAACAGGCTGCCAGGTAATGGTGATACTGCTGCTCATTGCTTTGTGGACCATATTTTGAGGCTTTACATTACCAAATGCTTAGTACCTGTATTAGTCTGTTCTCACACTGCTATAAAGACATACTTGAGACCAGGGCTATAAAGACCTGATGCTGGGTAATTCAAGAAGAAAAGATGTTTAATTGACTCACAGTTACATATGCTGTACAGGAAGTGTAGCTGGGGAGGCCTTAGGAAAATTACAGTCATGTTGGAGGGCAAAGGGGAAGCAGGCACTATCCTCACATGGCAAAACAGGAGAGACAGCGAGTGAAGGGGGAAGTGCCACACACTTTTAAACCGCCATATCTCATGAGAACTCATGATCACAAGAACAGCAAGAGGGAAATCTGCCCCGTGATTCAATCACCTCTCACCAGGTCCCTCCCCCAACATTGGGAATTACAATTCAACATGAGATTTCGGTAGGGACACAGAGCCAAACCATATCAGTACCTGATCATGTTGATGATACTTAGCAAATGTTAGGTCCTTCCTCCTTCAATGCCCTCATCTCTCTCTTTCACAGCTCCCTAAGAAGTCTTATTTGAAGAGTGTTGAATCCAAAAACACCCTCATAGGCATCAGGAATGGGGTACCTGCCCCACCGGGATGTGTATGTCTCATTCCTTTGCCTCCTGTAACTTCATAGGCAATCTTGCCATCTGCTGAATTGTGGTTGGATCTCTGATGTCCTCTGGGTCAAACCCAATAGGATTCCTTTTACCAGTGCTCCCTTTCCTTGACATTCCTCCTCCACTCGTCACTACAGAGCACCTTAATGCGGAAATGTTCTCCTCCCACTGATGTTGTTGTGCTTAATGAGCTCTCCTGATTGTACTTCCATGTCTCCTAGATCACCTTACTCTTTCCTTGTCTCTCTTATTTCTCCCATTCTCTTCCAACATGCCTTGTAAACATCTTGCAGAGAACTGCCTCTGTGTACAGCTTCTAAATCTACACTTTGGGACTTTATCTTCCAATATTTTGTGTCCACTCAGTAATACACATTCACTGAACTCCTCCTATAGTGCCAACTCCCTGGGGATGCAGACATAAATACTGTGCTTCCTTCCCTCCCAGAGCACACAGTCAAATGGGGTCACATTACAAGCAAAATTTGGATGGGCAGAGGCATTTAAATGATGCTATTGTGGAGAGTCTGGGCTATTTTTCTCTTTTACCCAACATAGAAAATCTGATCCACCAACTTTCCCACCTAAATCTTTCCTCAGAATTGACCCTTTGCCTGCATTTCTTGGACTATTCCCTGGGTGTCTGGCTTTATGATCCACCCAGATTCCCACATTATCCTCCAAGATCTAGTGTTGCCAATTGCCAGACATCCTTTGAGGGTAGGGGTGGTGTTACTCATTCTATGGTTAAATGAATGAAGTGTCTCCACTGAAAACAATGAGGAATTTACTTTGATATGGTTCTAAAAGATTTCTCTTACTTTCACCTTGCTCCTTGAGATTATTTCAAACAGTACGTTAGTCATAAAGAATTTTTAAACAAAAAATGCTGTTTATTTACATTTAATTTGAAGACAGGTAATAATAAAGAATTCAAGCTACCTAGCCCTTCCTTTTGCAATACCTTTTCCATACAAGAGTTCCAAAAGCTTTTAGTAATGTTAGCTGTAAAATGAATATTCAGTTTTAACTTCAGCTATGAAAAGAACGGTTATCCACCTTTAAAATTTCACCCTTCTTTTTAAAAAGCAAAAAATTAATTCTTAAATCCTTGATACATGATGAATTGTGGTTTTCCCCACTCCAGTAGTATTTGGCTGACATTTCACTTCATGCTTGTCACATTTATAGTCCCAAACTAGCAACACATGGTGCAGGAAAGGAGTTATAGGCAGTGGGTGGCAGGATTTGTTGTAAATGATGTGAGAATGTCGGTTACTCATTCTTGTTTCTCAAGTAGGTTTCTCCCCACTTGCACCTTCTCTATTCCAAGCTCAGATGATAGTAATAATTTTATGGCAGCATATAAATGCCAGCGAAGTCAAAGAATGCATAATAAAACAAGCATCCGAAAACCATTAATTCATCATATCTGTGCTTAACTGTTTTTTTAAATCAACAAAATATTATTTTAGCTCTAACTCCCTCCCTCTTTGTTGCAGGACTAGTGTTCTTTTAGGACTCACTGTCTAAGAGTTGCTTGATAAAGAGTGCTGAAGAATGTTATTTTAAACGAACTTGAAAATATACTGTTGGTTCATGGAAAATGATCACTGGTTTACCATTTCAAAATAAAGGGCAACAAAACGACAAATTGCTGAGTGTTGAACCTTCGATTTGATATGGTTCAGCTTTTTAGCTCTGCATGATTTCTCAACCATGATGGTTAGTGGTGAGGTAATTACTGGAGCCAGTGTAATTAGGGACTATATCACATTAAAGACACTGGAATACTTGGGTTCAGAATTACTTCTGTGTTCCCCACAAATTTGCTATCAGACTTCTTCATGCAAAATTTTAAAATGTTTCTCTCCTTTCTGAGAATTTTGAGAATTTCTTTATTTAATAAGGGGGCTCTCTTTTCCCTTTTGATTTTTCTACTTGACAGAAGGTTTACCTGGGCTCATTCTGTAATTTTGTGTACCTTTATCCAAATTTGCTTTTATTCCTTATATGCTTACCTAATAATCTGATCCAGCTTCTTCACTTTGTGACATTTTAATTTGATTTATATTGTATTCTGCATGTAGTCATCGTGTGTCTTTTTATGTTTCCCTGTTTAACATTTTCGGATCCTTTAGACTGACTCCAAAGAATTTCTTTGCTGTTTTGGATTTCTTCTCAGCAATCTTTCTCACTTATTTTTGAGAAAGCACAATGAGCTGAATATTAAAGACTATATTCTTTAATCGTCATCTTCCTTTCTTTAAAGCTCTAAATTTCATAGTTACCCAAATTTTCTATGCTTTCATGGACAAAAATCAAGGTGTCCAAGAAAGCAATTTGTCAGTACATACCAAAGGTCTTATAAATGATGTGGTAGAAGTATATTTATTGATGGGTAAGGGATGTTCACGAAATATTGTTAGGTGAATAAATAACTTTCAAAAATTAATATATACATTGGGATCTCATTTTTATGTATTTTTATAGATATGCTAAATATTTTATATTTAGGATATAATATATAGAAAGAAAAACCTGTGAGGATAGGTACCAATATAACAAACTGTTTTATTGTGAAATATTTAAATATATAAAATGTGAAGAAAACATATAAGGTAAATAAATAGTCATACACAATAGTCAACTTGTGTGCCCATTGCCAAGTTTCACCAGTCTTACAGACATATAGTAATGATACCATGGGATGGAATCCTCCTATACAGCCTTGCTATATTTCATCCCCTTCCTTCCTCCTATGCAGCCTTGCTATATTTCATCCCCTTCCTTCCTCACCCAAAGTATGATGATCCCAAAGGTAGTATTCATTATTCTCACGTGCATTTCTAAATTATTACTAAATTTGTAGGCATCTATAAATCATATATAGTATTAATGTTACATTTTTAAAATTATTTCACTTAGTATATAACACCACTTGCTTTTTTCTTAAAATCATGTTTTTGAGATTTATCCTTATTTACACACATAGTTCTAGTTTATTTATTTTCATTTGTTTTTTTAATTGATTTTGAATTTAATTGCATTATAATCAAATAACATTAACTATAAAATGGTTTTTTAGATTTTCTTTAAGACAGATTACCAGGCCATTTATTGTAACTGTAGGCTTGAAAAAGTATTCACACTCTAGAAGTTGAGTGCAGAGCTATGAATTAGTTGTTCACATTTTCTCTGTTCTAATTTTTTTGTTTTATCTATCTATCGAATGACATGTTTTTGAAGTTTTCCTCTAAAATTCTCAATTTCTTCTAATAGGTCTGGAAATTTTGCCTTCTGTATTTTGAGGCTGCATTGTTAGGTACATAAACATTCAAAATTGCTGTACCTTTCTGATGAGGAATTTATATCTTTTTTCATACGTAATGTTCTTATTTATGCCTATTAATGCTTCTTTGTTTGATATTTAACAAAATTAGGCCTGTTTTATTTTGGATAATATTCATCAACTAGTTTTTAAATCCTATATTTTGAACCTTTTTATGTCCCTGAATTTTACACATTTTTTTGTAAATAGATATCTGGATTTTGTTATTTTTTTTCTATTTCATAAGTAAATTTAGTCTTTTATACTTCTTATTAATGATTTATTTATATCTATTTATACTTAATTTTTTTGTTTTGTTTTATTTTTTGAGACAGGGTCTCACTCTGTCTTCCAGGCTGGAGTGCAATGGCACAATCACAGCTCACTGCTGCAGCCCTTACCTCCTCGGTTCAAGCAATTCTTCCACCTCTGCCTCCTGAGTAGCGGAAACTACAGGCACATACCACCATGCCTGGCTAATTTTTGCATTTTCTGTAGAGACAATGTCTCACCATGTTGCCCAGGCTGGTTTCGAAGTCCTGACCTCAAGTGTTCTGCCTGCCTTTGCCTTCCAAAGTGCTGGGATTACAGGCCTGAGCCACCATGTTCGGCCTGGACTTTATATTTAACAGAATTTTCCTTTGCTGCCTTTTTTTTTTTGTTTTAATTGCTTCCTTTCTAGACTTTTCATTTTCTAAATTTTCTCTGATCTCCTTTTTTCCTCTCTACTGGTTTGGAATTTAAGTATTCTATTTCGATTTTTTGTTGTTGTTGTTGTTGTTTAATAGCACTGAATTTTTTTTTCTTTTTTTTTGAGATGGAGTCTCACTCTGTCACCCAGGCTGGAGTGCAGTAGTGCCCTCTCGGCTCACTGCAACCTCCGCCTCCCAGGTTCAAGCGATTATCCTGCCTTAGCCTCCTGAGTAGCTGGGATTACAGGTGCCTGCCACCTCACCCGGCTAATTTTTGTACTTCTAGTAGAGACGGGGTTTCACCATCTTGGCTAGACTTGTCTTGAACTCCTGACCTCATGATCCACCCTCCTCGGCCTCCCAAAGTGCTGGAGTTACAGGTGTGAGCCACTGCAACCAGTCCTAATAGCATTGAATTTTAACACCTATATTTGACTTCAATAAATTTAAAATTTGTGAATATTTCTACCCTTTCTTAAATGATATAGAGATCTCAGATTTCTTTTTATTTCAATAATCCCAATTTCTACCTCTTTTTTTTTTTTAAGAAATTGAACAGAGTTTCAGATTCTTTGCTTAATTCCTGAAATATAAGACCTTGTCAAGAATATATATATTGGCCATGTCAATAAATTATTTCAAGAACTACTTTCTGTGTATCTTCTAGAAGATGTAAACTGGTTAATGTACATAACTCAATGTCATTCCAGTCACCAATCAAAAAATTTGCACTGATAATCAAGTATATTTCCAGAATTGTACCAAATATCCTGAGTTATGTAAAGAAGCTGGTCGCCCAGTTCTTTTATCCAATCAGAATGGCTATCCTGTATTCATATTATTGAAATCATTTCATCCAGACTTAGTGCAGCTAGTTGTGTTGTAGTTCTTATTAGGAATTGAACTCCATAATTCTTAGGGCTCCTCTTGTGTCATAGATCCTAAGTGTGGAGAGTTCATATGCAATATGTAGAGATAAAACTTCATGACAAGCCTAAACATAAAAAATTAAGCTACACATTCTCTTCATCAATATATTAATTTCTGAACACAGGAGTTAATCGTGGTGAGTACTTGATAAATAAAAATACAGATGGCCATCATATTATTGTTGGAATAAAAAGTAAATCCCATAAAGAGAAAAACAATTGAAATTACAATCTTATATTTAGTGGTTTTTAAGTCCAAATATTTACAGATATATAGCTTAAATGCCACAGAGAAGCACAATTTGTGCCACAGAGAAGCACAAATTGTCTTTTTACAGTGATAAGTCTCATCTTATGTATTCACCTATAGCTTGCATTGTTCCAGAAAGGGTTTTAAAGAAAACAATAGAATACAATATGTGCAATGAGATCAAATAAATCCTAAATGAGTATTTGATGAAATTTGGGCAGGTTAAAAATTAGAATAAGAATATTTAGTTTAAGCCAGATTTCAGCAAAATATCTACCATGAGATTGTATATATTTATTAGAAGTGAGATACAAATTTGGCTCTAGATTTTCTAGCAGCTAATATAGGGCAGGAAGGGGAGTTACTTACGAGATTCGTAGTGTCCATAAGATTAAAAAAAAATTGCTTGAGAAAAGCAAACCATTTCTGTTACAGAAACCAAGAGGTAATTTTCCTCCAGGTAATCATGACACACTGACACGTAGGGCATGCTAATCTTAACAACTAGCACGGTAACTTCTGCACTAAGATGCACAGGTGTTTTCTGGGCAGACAAGTGGCATCAGAAATCAACAAAGGCAGTCTGCAATATTGAGTTCTAAACTGAAGGGAATTTGTTGGAATGTCTTTCAGGCAACCCAAACTTCATTTCTCTCGGTCAGCTTTTGCTTATGTACTGCATGACAGTAAACAAGAGAGGTTTACCCCATGGTGAGCATCTGGAGTGCAGCTATTTTCCCTGTTAGTAAGCGTGCAGAGCCACATGCTGTAATCATCAGCTGTGCTGGGTCTGGCCAAAATCCTCTCAGGAGTGTTGACAAACTCCCAAGAAGAACACCTCAAGAGAAATCTTCCCCACCTCCCAGTGGAGGAAAACAAGATACTTGCATTCAGCACCAACGTTTTCTCGAGACACAACTCAGGACCCATTCTAGCATACAGATAAATACAAAAATACAAAAAAACAAAACAAAACAAAAAAAAACACCACCTCAAAACACTGACAATGAGGACCCACAGAATTTTAACCTTTCCTAGTATAAGTAAGTCTGTCCAAAAAAGCCCTCCAAGATAAACATGGTTGGATAATAATGTATGCTGAGATAAACGGAGGTGTTAATTTGTTTATGGTTGTTAACTATAGGCTGGATGTTGGGGTCATCTAATGAAAATGATTGCTTTGGCTATAAGATGAAGGAGCTACAGGAGCCCTTCTTCTTGGCAGTCATGAGTGAGAGGGGTCTCTTGTCGATTCACTCCATTGCTATTTAATAACAGCAAAGCCATGCCTTGTGCCTGGAGGAGGGAAATCTCATTTATTTTGTTGGACCTAAAACACTGGGGACACTTTTGATACCTAGACGCTGGTCATTTTTATACCTTTTTCCTATAAAAACTGTGATATTTTAAAATCTACTTTCTTGGCCTTTTCAAGTTTTAGAAGCCTTTTCAGTATAATTGCATCAAAATTACTAGAGATTTTTTAGTGGGAATTACATCCGTGTTATAATAGTTTGCTAAATTTCATAAAATTATATCTTTTATTTATTCTATAATGGAAATGATTTAAAGTCATTGTACTAGACAGGATGTTACATAGTTTAGTTGGTAGTTAAAACAATTTTTTTTTTAGAGACAAGGTCTTGCTCTGTCACCCAGGCTGGAGAGCAGTGGTGCCATAATAGCTCACTGTAGCCTTGAACTCCTGGGCTCCAGCAATCTTCTTGCCTCAGATATCAGTAACTGAAATATGGGATTATTGGGCCATTATATTCATTGGCACAAGAATGATTCTCATGCTGAATATTTCATGCTTCTTCCAGAATCAATGTTTAGGAGTAGATTTTGTCCTGAAAACCAATTTTCTTTAGTTTTTAAGAGAGTTTTTAATTAGGGAATGTGATTCAACAGAAAAGACAATGAAGACTCAGATGATTTTTTGTTGTTGTTGTTTAAGTCCTGAATCAACTACTTTTTTTCTTTCTTTTCTTTCTTTTTTTTTTTTTTTTTTGAGATGGAGCCTCGCTCTGCAGCCCAGCCTGGAGTGCAGTGGCATGATCTTGGCTCACTGCAAGCTCTGCCTCCTGGGTTCACGCCATTCTCCTGCCTCAGCCTCCCTAGTAGCTGGGACTACAGGTGCCCGCCACCATGCCCAGCGAATTTTTGTATTTTTAGTAGAGACCGGGGTTTCACCATGTTAGCCAGGATGGTCTCGATCTCCTGACCTCGTGATCCGCCCGCCTCGGCCTCCCAAAGTGCTGGGATTACAGGCATGAGTCACTGCGACTGGCCCTGAATCAATTACTTTCTAGATTACCTGGCACAAGTCACCTAAATTATAAATCTCAGTTTATTTGTTACAAATATGATTAGTAATAAGGGTCCTACTACTTTATGGTACTGATGTGATTACAAAATAATGTCATATGTGTGAAAACATTTAAATCACATAAAGTCACTGTTGCTTTAGTACATGTGGTTAATAAAGAGGCACTCACTAGCCTAGCTTCATGGGGATAAAAAAAGGAACAGTGCGGTAGGTTGTTTAAAAAGCTTTCTATAGTTCAAACTATCGTGCATGCAGTGGCATCTTAGTGCCTGCTCTCCAATAAGCATCTCTTTACTTCATCCTACATCTCCACTTGGCCTGGCGTGCTCTGCAAACCTGCTACTGACAACAGTTTTCCCTGCTGATAGCCCTTATCTTTATCTCTGTTATTTAGTATTTTTGAAACTTCTATCTTTGGCCCCTGCATTCTGGACATCCTTTCCAGGCTACCTGTGTGTACATGTTCAAACAAAGTAACCTTACACAACATAACCTCAAAAACATAGTAGGATGATGGAATCAACCAATCCTGTAGCTTGTAGAATTATGCAAAATAATTTATTTTCACATTTGTAAACTTCAGAGGATACTCTAAATTCATACAAGAAAAAAATAATAATCTTCTTAATTATGAGCCAGAGTGAGAAATATCAGCCTTCTTTCCTTTTCTTCACCTACCTCTACTTTGGGGCCTCCCTCACTTTTGTGGTAGAAATCAGGTCTTTGCTTCTGCCAGTCTTAGGCTACACATGGCTATTTCACATGCTACCTAAGGTAAAAAGATGCTTTACTTTGCATTTGACTACTAAATTCAGGATGATAATTACTGAATACCTGTCATATTCCAGGAATAATGCTGTGTGTAAGGGGCACATAATTTTCTCTTAGAGTGCTTATTGACCACTTGTAGAAAGGGTTTCTGCTTTGAGTATACTACTCAGGTTATTAGTGGATGCATGAATGTGGGAAGTGGGAAATTAAGGAACCTCTAAATTTTACTCCAACTTACACAGTCTATTATCCTTTATACAAAATATAATTATTTTCACAGATTATACACATACACAGTATGCTGGGGTTTTTTAAATTAGAATTATAATTTGAGCATTAAGAAGTACTGTTGCTGTTGCATTCCACTTAATTGCCTGTGAATGTATTACTTCCTCAAATGTTCAGGAGAGTTCATGGTTGCTTGGACCTGGTAGGGATTAAAGGGGAAGGTAATGACTCACCATCCCAGTTGTCTCAAGACTCACCCAGTTTTAGCACTAAGAGTTCCACATACTGGGAAACCCCTCAGTTCTGAGAAAACAAGGATAATTGGCTCCCTTAGAGAATGTCTGAGTCATAGTTCTTCTGATATGTTGCATCATTCAAACTTACTAAGGATGTTAAAGAAGACAGTGTGGTGGTCATTGAGGTTGGCTCCCAACATCCATTTCACCCTAGTAACCTTCTACCCTGTTGCTGTGTTTTGTTAGAGGTGGCAAGGGCTAAGGCAATTTGGGTCAAAGTGATGTTGGGAGAAGCTTGCTAGGGACTTCTGAAAATGGCAGTGCCTTACTTTTAAGAGAGAACATAGAAAGGCAGCCTTTCTCTCCTGTTAAATGCCCCAGTATTCCTGGCAGCCATCCCACAACCTTGAAGGAAACAAGGCTTGGAGGGAAGCCAAAAGTGAAGGCAGAGAAAACAAAGCCTGGGTCCTGGATGATACCATCCGGCTGTGAAATAAACCAACTCCACAGCCCACTGTACCTCTGACTACTAGTTGGTAAACAAATATCCTAATGTGTAAGCCAGTTTAAATAAGGTTTCGGGTTACTTTGTTTGTTCCAGCTAAAAGCATTGCAGATGATGATCATGGAAAGTAATAAAGCCTTTAATTACCAATTGTCCTGACTGAATGGGTGAAAAATGTATCTTGGCATAAGATGATGGTTACGCAGCGAAAGCAGAGCCATAAAGAGATTGTTGCTTTAACTTTAAAAGTACAACTAGAACAAGGATTTTTTTTTAAAGGAGAAGCTGAGAAACAATTGAATAGGCCATTGACCAATAAAAATTAGCGGGGGATTGCATTGTTTTAAATCCTCAAGTTGATTGTTAAAAATAGTGAAAAGTTTTTAAAGGCCATATGCTTTAAAAGGAGGTTAGATGCCTAATTCCAATAACAGAATCTGTCCACAGCACTGCTTTTTGGTCCTATGCCCCAGGAGATCCATTTTTGTTTGTCAGATGTTATTTGTTGAATGGATATGATATTCCTGACATTGTAAATGTAAGACCAAATCAAAAAGGATAGAAATATAAATGAATAGACCCATTCTGCAAGAGAGAGAGACAGAAATGGAGAGAGAATAGGAGAATAAGAGAAAGAAGCTTGTTATAAATTATTGTGCTTTCAACTTATCACAAAAAGCTCATTCTTGTATTCCCAAACTGCAAAGACAACAGGTTAAAATAATAACCTTGAGTGTAGATAAAAGAAAGTTGATTATAAATTCAACATGGGTTTCATTATTTGTTCTGTATTTTAAGATGACATTCATCATAAAGGCACACCAACCCCGAAAATAGTTACCAACTCTCCACTTTAGACAACATGAGACAGTATGAGAACAGCAGGTCTGAAAAAAGGAAAGCATTTTTTTGCATTATGCTATTAAATGGAACACTTAATCAGCTTTTTTGCCAAGAGAAAACTTCCCATTATGTTAAGTTCTAAATAGGGCTGTGGGAAAAAAGTCTGCAAATGGAAAGGCTGTGGAGATGTGTCTGTTGACTTTGGTTGTTTCATAAAGTGTTAAGAGAGTCAGCATTTGTCAAAGATTCTTGGAAACCTTGGTTTAAGCAATTCTCTTTACCTTTTTGTCTGAGATTTGATGTCCCAACTTGGTAAATAGTGCATTTTTCAGGACAGATCTGTCAGAGTTTCCTCTTGTTCTCCCTTCACTCCTGCTCCCCCTTGTCCTTAGGCTGTTGCCAGGTGTTTGAGTATTATGTCGGATCTCCAGCATTATGTCATGGAAAAGCAACAGTAAGATCTGTAAACTGCCTTTCAAAACAGTTCTCCAGGAAGCCAGTCTGAATTTACTCTGGTTTTTAAAAAAGAATCATGTGTTTGACCAGCAGTTGCTTTAAATCCTGCTTTTTTCCACCAGAGATAAAGAAATGAAAAATGTGGGTATTGGTTTTTGCTGGCAAGATGTCGATCTAAAGTTTGCAGCATTCAGCATAAAATAAATGCACATGCTTTATTCAGAAATCTCATCCATTGATAAATGGGATCATTTAGAGACAGGACTGGTAGACTCTACCTATTCTTCTCCAAAGGAAAGCCTTGAGGATTTGCACTTTGTATGACATAATGGAAACAGACCCATTTTCTGATAGGGTATTTATCTGGCAAAATTCAATGAATGAATGGTTGGAGAGTCAGTATAGAATCTGTTCTGGAGCTTCTGAAGCATCCCTAGACCAAATTATATCCTGAACTGTACAGGTCTATCATCCTTCTCAACTGCAAGTGGTCAAAGACCTCTGAGCCTGTGTATTTGAAACTGACTGGTGATGAAAAGTGTAGTTTAACTAGTCTTGATTCAGCCTGGTTTAAGTTGGACACATTTTAGTTTCTTTGGTCTGTGACACAGATGTCTGCTGGATGAGCACCATCCTAGAGGCTGAACTAAAATTTACAAATATGTCATTTTTCTGCATGGGTAATATATACATCAAAGAGGAAGTACAAGACCCCTATATGTTGTCTTCTGCTTTCCAGATGTTTCTGAAATTACTTACTCCCTTTTAGTCTGGCCTTTCTGTGGAAGGAAACCTTTGATGCTAATCAACATTTGAAGTAGACCATTGATGCTGAGAGTTCTTGGGGCTAGCTCTTGCCTCTGAAGAGAATTTGCATAGGTTATCTACTGTAACCCACAAGGCAGTCAGTGACCCCATACTTTATCCAACCTTAGAGCACTCTGGTCCTTTTCATTAAACTGTTGGCCTGCCTCTTAGGTGCTCCTGCCTTTGCACAGTCCCAGTTGATGATAAGACAGTTGGTGGCCATGGCTGTGGAGATTTAGCTCAATATGGAAGTAGTCAGAAGGTTGACTGAAAGCTGGAATGTCAGGGTGCCCCCTCCTGGACTTATTCAATATAAAAATTAGATTGTGACTTAGTTCAGAGGAAGTTTGCTATTAATCCATAAAATCTAAGTCTCTTGTGCTGCAGTTTTTATGTTAATATTATTTTAACCTAAAAATAAATATTCATTACTATTCTAATAAATAATAATTTAATATTAATTAAATTTTATATTAACAAATATTAAACTTTAATGAGTGAAATTATATATTAATTATATTAATTTATATCAAGTAATATAATTAAAATTAATATTAATTAAATTTTACATTAATAAATATTAAATTTTAATAAATATTTTTATAATATTATTTTTATGTTAATAATGTCCTGTGCAAATAGAGTACCAGCCTTTATCAGCTTAAAAACTGGGATCCCTTGCACAAAACTATGTCCTTGCTTTGCCATGGTGATCTCAACTCTCAAGGTTTAACCACTCACATTTTTAAACTCTATTAGTTCACTTAGTCACTTTTAAATTACAAGCATAAAAACTCAGCACATTTTTATGATCATGCCACTGCACTTCAGCCTGGGCAACAGAACAAGACCCTGTCTCTTTTTGTTTAAAAACAAAAGCAAGAAACAAAACCTTAGTACATTCCTAAATAGGGGTCCTAAGAAATGTATGCCTTGGTTCTATATGCACTATGCCTCTTTATATCGTAACATTGATCTGGCTCTTGTATTTTCTAACAGAATCCCTGATGATGATTTTTATTCTCTGTGCCGTGCTATTCACAGTGATCCTGGGATCTACTATTTTTTAACCCCTATGCATAAATTAGACATTATCACTAAGTTTAGGTTTGTTTAGATTTCTTATCCGATTTTTGTTTCCCCTTTTTCCCCCACTCTTTTACCCTTATCCACAGGTGGTATTCTTGAAATGATTTTCTAATAGTCTATGGAGTTATGAACTTAGAATGAGTTGAGAGTGCCTTGCTTCCTTTCCCATATGATATTATCATCCCAGAAGGAAATCCTGCCTCGTGGTATAATTCTTTTCAAGAAGAGAAAGGAACACATTCTCTGAGCTTTAAAAGTACTGTATTTCTTGAGTCTATGATACCATTGAATCCATGATTAAAGATGCTGTTACATGCACTCCAAAAAAGAAAAAAAGCTCAAGATGAAAAATCTAATAATAGACTTGCAATTAAGAGGGCTACATCATTATTATGTGAGTAAATAAATGAACAAACAAAACCACCGTGTGAAAAGAGACAGCAAGAAAATGTATTTCTCAACATCGGTACTGGTGGAGGAAAGAAAAACTTCTCCCCTGATTATTTGAACCAAAACCCAATACAAGTACATGTTTTCAGTCTGAATTCATGAAAGTGATTGTAAATCACCATTGGATTATAGGACATACCACAATTTCAGAGATGATGAAATACATTGAAAAAGGTTTATTTTTAAATCAATGAAACACACTAATTTAAATTGTTCAAAAGTTAGTGTTTGTCTATATTTTTCTTAACTTCTAAAGGTTTGGGTAAGCATCTATACCTCATTGTCCTACTCCAAACTGGATTTCCAGATGTCTTAAGGTCATTTATCACTGAATAAGCCTCTCTGGATTCAACTTGATGTTTTCTCCCAGCCTCCATAAAGATGGAATATTTTAGAGGCTAATGCCCATAATGAGGTGTGTACGTTTTAAAGACCCCAGGAGCAGTACAGTATTGTCTTGCTCAGGGCAGTGTACATCAAGATGTAATTGTCAGATGTAAAATGACACTGAAAGTACATTCAATCTAACAGCTGGCTTTATAGTATTGGTTTTCAACACTCTCTTTCCATCAGAGCCACAATAGACTATCATCTTACTAAATTTCTCAAATTAAATAGAATCAGCCTTCTCATTCACATTGAATGGTAGACTCCCAGTGAATACCCTGATGCTTCATGTAACATATGTGCGGTTGAATTACTCTGCTACTGACCCATAGGTCCTCCCATTGTGTCATTATGATAAAATAGAAGTATGAGGTCATATTGAGTAAAATAACTTAAAATGTTTTTGTTTAAGAATGACCTGAACACTGTGTGTTCATCAGATACAGCTATATGCAAATTTTCTTCTACTTTAGTCTAGATCAGAGTTTTTCACTCTGGATCATTAGTGCAGTTATTAATATTAATTAAATTTGGAAAATTCTATCCACTCTGTTCCCTTTCTTAAAAAGTCACAATACCCATTTGAATTTTAAATGCCTTGAAAGGCCCTGGGATAAGGAGATTTAACTTTTCACAGTCAACTTTTTACAATTATTTTCCCTTGAAACCATGTCTTTCACAAAAAATTTATTCTAATTTTGCTTTACATAATTTAAGGTGCTGTCTAGATCCCATTTATTCATTTTCACTCTATTAGCAATGATTAGAGAGGCAGATCTGGTAGGATCTTATAGGCTGTTTTAATAGGAGGTCACTGAAGGGTTTTATAGGTGAGTGATCTAATCTGATATACAGTAGGAGTAAGGAAATCAAATTCCCTCCATCAATAAAAAGTTCATTCATTTATTCATTTAACAAATGTTTAATGAGTTTCTATTATATGTGAGGCATTGTGTTAGATGTCAAAGAGTGAAATTCAGATGATAATGTAGATGGTACAATGTAAACCAATACAATTATAGCCATCCCAGGGGCTGGAATCTTAAGATAGTATGTTGAAGTGTAAGGGTAGGGAAATTCAGTTCAACAAACACATACCACAGAGCCACTTATGTGCTAGTTAGATGTTCTCTCCTGGGGTTACAGAGATGAATCCAGTACATTTTTAGCTCTTGGGGAGCCTACGAGCTTGTGGGTGGAGCCACATCTGTTCACTGCCAAGTGTCAGAAGCATTTGTAAATCAAGGGTTGAAGAAAGCAGAACAGTCTTTTCTTTGCCCAGAGATAATTCACAAACTTAAGGATTGAAGGAGCTGATAAATTTCTTTAGTTCCTCTGTCTGCTTTACATATATATATATATATATATATATATATATATATATATATATATATATAAAATTATTATTTTCTTTTTTTCTTTTTTGAGACAAAGTCTTGCTCTGTCACCCAGACTGGAGTGCAGTAGCATGATCTCGGCTCACTGCAACCTCCGCCTCCCGGGTTCAAGCGATTCTCTTGACTCTCAGCCTCCCAAGTAGCTGGGATTACAGACGCGTGTCACCATTTCTGGCTGATTTTTATATTTTTTTGTAGAGACAGGGTTTCACCCTGTTGGCTGGTGAACCAGGCTGGTCTCGAACTCCTGACCTCAAGTGATCTACCCGCCTCGGCCTCTGAAAGTGCTGGGATTACAGGCATGAGCCACCGCACCTGGCTACTTTACCTTTATTTTAAAGTCTTCATTTTAGAATACTGTATGCCATAGCTTTCAAAAATAATGCATTTTATTATCAAAGACTATAGGAAAACATAAAAAAGAAAATTTGAAGATTTTGCAGCCATGGAGCTGGCTTGTTCCAAGACAAAAACCAGGGTTTCCTAGAGTTGCCTTTGTTCCTGACAAATTTTTTGGTGTTGGTGCTGGTCCAAAATGTTCTTATAATCAACTCCCTTATTATAGGCAATAACTCAGGAAAGGACTGTGTTTATACATCAAAAACCACAATAACAACAACAACAACAAAACTAGTTAGATATACTGTAGCACTGAGGTGATAGTGCTATAGTGTGTCTAATTAGTGATGATTGATGAGTGCTTTACTTTCCAATAAAATGTGATTTTTAGCTACTGGCGCTCAAGATAATGTCTTTCACTATGTCATTGTACTTAAATCTAACCCTAGCAACTCCCTCTTTCCAAAGCCATTAAGTTTTTTCTTTTTTTTACCCTAGAACTTAAAGTATAATAATAATAAAAAAGAAATAACATACTTTTACATTATTGTCCTACTGTGATACTTATTTCTAAGTATGTGGACCATATACTCTGATCACCCTATCATATTTCAGTTGGTGATATCTCTTTCTTGGCAAGCATAGAAATATAATTCAGTCTTTTCTCCAGTACTGTTAATCAGAACAATTTTTGTTGATAGTTTTAAAAGTTTCTTTTAACTTCGGTACTCAGTATTTGTAATGTCATATAAATTTTGGGGATCATTATCAAACTTGGAAGGCCTTTACTATGTTTCGTTCATAATACGCTCTAACAGAATACTTGCCATTTATAGTATTGCTATGTTTGTGCCTACAAACTCAGGAAATCAAGTAAATTTTATTTTGTACTTTTCATAAAAATGTATGATGTATTTGCAATTGTACATAGAATACGTTTCGAACAGGAGTGAATTTCCATTTTGACTTGGTGTCAATGAAAACCAAACCCTCAGCTTAAAATGTGTATATGTCTAATAAATGGAGGAATTTTCTACAGACTATCTTTGGGTTCTATACGTTGCAAACCTTGCTTTTACTCATTATTCACGTATTTCTGATATTAGGTACCCCTTACATTAGGGTAGATCCCACTAGGATCTCTAGCCCTGTGCTTCGTGCCATGACATTAGGTGATTCAATATAGTGCGTAGTAGGAGTATTTCATGAAGCTCAGGACAGCTGGCAATAACTGTACGATACCCTGGAGTAATTGTAAACAGCATAAATACACCTCACTAAGTCCAAACTAAATCTACCCTAAGTTTAAATTTTCCTTAGCTGGATATCAAAAATATTCTTGATCCCTCCAGTGGAAATTGACCAGAGAGAAAGTAGAATGGCGAGGAAATTAAAGTGGAGAGAGACTGTGGCCATTAACCAACTGTGGTTTAAGTATTTTATTTCTGTGATAAATAAATAATATTTTATTTTTTGGAAAACTTAATGCTCGTATGAACACATTGCAAGGGCTACTCCCAAGGCCTTGGAACGCATGCCCTTGAGGAGTCTGAAGCTTTCAGTTCATTAGCTTTCCACCTCTGAGTTTTGTTTTTCTCATGTTACCAAGTGACATAGGCTTTTAAAAATCCACATTATACCTCTTCTCTATTGCATGGCTTCTGGCTACTCACAGTTTCTGTTGATTCCCACGGAGCCCAGTTCTACGTTCTGACTTCTCTTGCTGCAGCCTTTCAGCTTAATCTCTCACTGTTTACTTCTTTTCACTCCAGTAGTGGTTGGTTTAGTTTAAGTACCAATGCCTGCACCAGCTACCTGGGACCAAGCTGGGAGAGAGTAGAGGGACAGTATCTGAAGAGGCCTTCTCTGAAGCATCACCAAATTTTAACATCTGTAAAGTAGGAAAGTGAGTTAAGGAACTAGGACCACTGGGGTGGTAGAATCTGCCACCCTTGGTTAATGGTTGCGAGAACACATCTAAAGGAAAACCACTTCTCTATTGTGCTTCTTGCCTTCTTTTTTTTACAGTGAATCCTTTTCATCAAATATTAATAACTCTCATATTGATATATTACCTTTAAAATGGTTATAAATGCACCACTTTGGGAATATGTGTTCAGGGAGAGGAAGCTGTTCGCGTGATCTCAGCTGTGCTTCTGATATGCTTCCCCTTAATGGAAGCTGTGGGAGGACCGTTCTCACCTGCAAGGGTATGGGGGCAAGCAGGCTTCATGACCAGCATTTCTAGCACAAGTAAATATGTAAATATTAAATGTGCATATATCATATACATTTCTCATATCGCAGAGTCAATTATATCTATGGGAAGGAAAGCAGATTTCTTGTGAGCTATCTGGTGATAGGCGAACTTTATTTTCTTCCCACTCTTCTCATTCCTGAGAGTTATCACCGAAATCTCTGCCTTCACCCAGATCTTCCTATATCTGAGTTTCCCCTGAAACCATCCAGAAGGCTCATTTGTCTGAAATCATACTTATTCCACACCTGCTTTGCTCGATTATTTATTTCCTCAGTGAATATAACCATTCCTCTTCTACACCAGCTGCCTAAAATAAGAAGAAACCCTTTAAGCCTGACTTGTACTTTGCGCTTCTCATTTAATTGGTCAATAAAATTTATCAATTCTAAGTTGGAATATCTCTCAAATCCATCCATTTCTCTTTACCTTACTGCCACTGTCATTGGTGTGCTCTCATCTTTAAATGATGAATTAAAGCATCAGCCCTCTAATTGGCCACTCTTCTACCCATTTTGTCTCCTTCATTCCTGGTCTAAATCTTTTTCAGTTACTACCTAAATCATTTCCTCTAAGTCTCTAATCTCTTCTTGTCCTTCCTCTCCATAGAACCGTTTTCAGTGACTTCCTAGGGCTCCTAGGGTGAAGTCCAGATTTTTCAGCATCCCTATATCTTTCAGTCCTTTCTTGCCCTCTGTTTCCAGCCTTTCTCAACACCTTTCAGTACATTAAACATGACATGCTCTTTCTTGCTCCAGGCCTTTGGTCTTTTGGTTATCCCCTCCTGAAATACTTTCTTGTTCTTCATTATTCAGTTCAGGCACCATTCCTTCCAGAAAGCTGAACTTAGACACCATCCAGGGCCTGGAATTAGGGACTTCTAGCATATACCCTATACCTGTATCATGACTGCTATTGGGCTAGAATCACCATAAGAATTGTTGCTGCTATTGCCAGTATTCATCAGACATTTACTAGATGCTAGGTTCAGTACTCAACGTGCATTCTCATTTGATCCTCACAGAATCTTATGAGGTTGACTTCATTAATGTGCCCATTTTCTAGATGAGGAAGCCAGGGGTTTGTGACTTGATTAACCCAAGATGACACTGCTAGTAAATGGCAGAGCTGTGGTTTCAGTCTGGGTTGATCAAATGGATTGCAATGATAATTATGTTAAGATCAGTCTAAGCGCTGCTCATTTATCACATTTTCTCATTTTCTTGTAATCTTTTTTTTTTTATTTTTCCCCATTTTATTATTATTTTATTTTTTTGAGATGGAGTCTTGCCCTGTTGCCCAGGCTGGAGTGCAGTAGCATGATCTTGGCTCACTGCAACCTTCGCCTCCTGGGTTTAAGTGATTCTCTTGCCTCAGCCTCCAGAGTAGCTGGGATCACAGGCACACACCACCATGCCCAGCTAATTTTTGTATTTTTAGTAGAGAGGGGGCTTCACCATATTGGCCAGCCTGGTCTCGAACTCTTGACCTCAGGTGATCTGCCTGTCTCAGCCTCCCTAAGTGCTGGGATTACAGGCATAAGCCACTGTGCCTGGCCCTTCCCCATTTAATTTTAAGTTAGCTCCTCAAGGAAGGAGACCTTGACCAATTTCTCTGTCTCAATAGTTCCTAATACAGAGCCTAACACATGGAAAACTATCACTAAATAGGTGTTTAATGCCTGGGTCATAGATAAATAAATGAATTAATTAATAATTTTGGCACCCTAAAGACATTGATTACTTGGATGTAGAGATCTGTGATAGGTACAATTTGTCTTTCCTCACCACACTGTCTCCTCCATCTCATATTTTTGTTGCTCCTCTGACTGGCATGATCTTGTCCTTGAGTTTCTTCTGAAATTTTACTTTCTTTATCTAAAGTTTAATAACATTTATTATGTTACCCAAAAATATTTTAAATCAATATTCTTATGGTCTTCTACATATGTTAACTTTGAGGGCCTGTTGTTTTTGGTTGGGGGAGGGCAGGGGTTATAGTGATATGTGAGCCTTTTATGTAAAAATATACTTCCAAGAAATTTCTCAAATTGAGTGCCCCGTGGAAGGATCAATAGAAAGGAATAATGATGAGG
This sequence comes from Homo sapiens, assembly GCF_000001405.40. Lineage (NCBI taxonomy): Eukaryota > Metazoa > Chordata > Mammalia > Primates > Hominidae > Homo > Homo sapiens. The sequence goes on from NC_000009.12 coordinate 18,404,021, forward strand.
TTATAGCCTTCTGTTCCATCATTTTATGGCTTACAATAAAATAATGCTATAATCTTTATAAGGATGATGTTACTTATCCTTCTCTCATAGAAACTTCTCTCACAAATAGAATTCTATCTCATCACATTCTAGTTTCTCTGACTCTAAATTAATTCTTTTATTTCAAGTATCTGTGATAAGTTTATGCTTTTTTAAAGTTATTTTATAGAAACATTTTTATCTTGTTTCCTTCATTCCTCAATTTATTGGGCATGATTAACTCCTGAATACTTTAAGGCCTTCTTCATGATGTACTACCAAACAATGATGTGGAATCATGGCAGTTGGTCATCATGAAGGATTTTATGAATATTTGAATCTAAAAAGCCTCATTCTCCCATAGCTCAAAGAATGCAGGTTTTACGCATTTCTTTCTAACTGCTTTGAACCCATGGGGAGCACCGGTCTAAATCATGTTAGTTTGTTCACCAGGCTCAAGTCAGCCTCTGAGGTGGTGCCCTGTAATCTTGACCTCTTTCCGAATGGCCCAATGATGAATTCACCCAGGCTTTCCTTTTCAGCTACAGTTCTCCCAGCCGGCCTAAGCATCTTTTCACAAACAGTCTGAATATCTTAATTAGTTTTTCTCCTCTCTCACCACCTCCCCTGTCAGGATCCTGGCATTGTGCCCAGTGGAGGAAAAACAGTAAATTTCCATTAAAGCTCATCAGTGGGGTTTTCACTGGATTTCTAGGTGCCACCTTTGAGAGTTGCAAAGGCTCCCATTACAGAAGCTGCACAAACTAGGTGTTTTGGACTTCTTGGCTCCCTGGAATGGAAAACAATTACTCACCCTTTTATTCCACTTCCCCTTTTTCCAGGTTGTATCTTGTTGTTCCACATGCACCCCTCCCCAGCTTCTTTGGTTCATCTCTCTCTGTCTCTCCCTTTGCCCCTGGATTTAGTCTGCCATTGAGTCTGGCCAACAACTTTCTTGACTAGACTTGCCTTGAATCTCCCTTTTCCTTTATTTCCAGCGCTAGACCTCCGCAACTGGCCCCTAAATACCTGACGTGTTTGTCTCCCTCCAGCCTCATGATGTAAGAGTTGAGACTCTACCTGTATAGCTGCATCTTTTTCTTTATGGTGCTGTGCAGTTCCAACTATATTGAAATTGACAGAAAACACAAATCCTTATTTCCAAGGGCAAAGAATTACTTGACTTTCTGATCATGCCAGCCACAGCAAATACCTTCTATTCAGTGTCACTCAGCATCTACGCCTCACCCTCAGCACAGCTGCTGTGTTGTCTTCATTTACGTAGATAGAAGGCAACTAAGTTGTCTCCAGACCATGAGGTTGGTGAGAGGATGGAAATGGAAGACAATAGTGATGACACAGAAAGGTCAGGCAGCAGATGGCAGGGGCACTCTTCCAAACCTCTGTGAGTGTCTACAGTTTAAATTCCAAAATCATTCTACAGGTTTGGCATTGGGCCACCCTGGAATGCAGATTCCAATCAGGCCAAGCAGCAGTTGACGTGAGAGGAGGGAAAAAAGGTCATGCCATGCTCATGTTCCTGCAAGTTTTCTCTTTGGAGAGAAGAAAGGGCAAAACTTGGAAAAACAGAAGAATGAAAAAAAAAAAAAAAGACTTACCTTGGGCTCAAGTTAATTTAAAACTATTATGATGGTTCCTTGAAGATTACATATAGCAGTAACTAAGATTTTATACAATAATATGTTATGTTTAGATATAGAAGACCTTTAAAAAGACAGGGAGGAAACAAAATATCACTCATATTAATTAATGTAATCTTGTGGGTATTCTTCTTCACCTGACCATTTCATGGCCCCACATAACTTGGTTTGGCTCTATTTCTTTTTTTAAAAAAACAATTACTCTTGGGAACTATTTCTGCTCTTTCTAAGCAGAGAAACCTATAGATAAGTTACCCACATAATTTATCATAAATATCTTTAAACCTGGTTGCTTAGCTCTTCTTGAGAATGTTAGGTCTTGAACAAATTATAGTTCAGATACCCATGATTAAATTGGCAAGACTTGCAAGTTGAATGCAGTCCAGTCGTGTTTTAGAGAATTTTCTCCAAACACATCTTCTCTTCACTAATTCATAAAGATTTAGGTCTACAGAGCAATCTAGTTTTCCATTGCTGAATGCATGAGGGAGGAGAGAAATCACAGGGCCTTTGGTGAAGAATACCCTATTCAAAGAGTATGCTCATGAAAGTAAAAATAAAATGGTATGGCTCATTGGTATAAGACAGTTTTTTCTTTTCTTTTCTTTTCTTTTCTTTTCTTTTCTTTTCTTTTCTTTTCTTTTTTTGACATGGACTCTCACTCTGTCGCCCAGGCTGGAGTGCGGTGGCATGATCTCGGCTCACTGCAACCTCCGCCTCCTGGGTTCAAGCGACTCTCCTGCCTCAGCCTCCCACGTAGCTGGGATTACAGGCACACGTCACATTGCCCGGCTAATTTTTTTGTATTTTTCGTAGAGACAGGGTTTCACCATGTTGGCCAGGGTGGGTTCAAACTCCTGACCTCAACTGATCTGCCTGCCTTGAACTCTCAAAATTCTAGGATTACAGGCGTGAGCCACCATGCCCAGCCAAGACATTTTTTGTTATGGAAGAAATTTTAATGGAAAACTGCTCCTCTGTTTCTATTAATTAGTAATCTTTATTATTTAGATAAGCAATAGTCATTAATATTATCTATTGTATTCTACTCATGTTGCTTAATTGTGTTTTACTCCAATATGCACTGGAACCCTGGATACAGAATGAAGATTTGGGTACATGTCACTGGTCTGACATTTAACAAATGTGTGCTTGTGGGAAAGTTTTGTTTTTCCTCATTTGTAAAACAGGGGTCATAATAATAATATCTGCTTCTCAAGGAGGTTGTGAGAATTGAATTTGAGAATAAATGTGAAAAGCAGGTTTATAACAATAAAAGATTTATGTATTCATCCAACAAACATTTATTGAGTTTCTATTAGGCAACAAACACTGTCCTAGTAATTAGGACTATAAAAATGGAAATCAAATCCCACCTCTATGGCACTTTGCTGTCCAATGGAGCCCATATTCAAGCAGTTAAAGAATGAGATACTTCCTTGAATTAAAGTCTATACAAAGTGCAGGAAGAGCAAGGAAAGCACTCAAAGCTGCCTGGGGTTCTCACAAGAGCTTTACAGAGAAGACAGACATTTGAGCTAAATTGAAGGAGGAGGAAAATTTTGTCAAATGATTGAGCAGTGGAAATTGATCCTGTGAGAAGAAATAGAATGTGTGCAGACCCAAAAGCATGAGGGAACATGGTACATTTATCATCTGGAGCTCAGGATGAAGAACTGAGTTGCAAATAGAGATTTGGGAATTCTCATCATAGAAGAAGCAATTGAATCCTGGAATGAATGAGAGAAGAGAGTTAAGGATTCTTTCAGAGGGAAGATGGGGGATAAACATTGAGTAAACCCATGAAGAGGAGTGAGAAGTAGTAGCCTGGGAGGTAGACAGGAAGCCAGGGTAAAGCAATGTTTTGGCAATTAATGGAAGAGAAAATTCCAAGAATAAGGGAGTGGTAATAGTTTCAAATACAGCTGAGAGATCAAGCAAGGTATCTACTAAATTAAAAACTTAGATGTCTTGATCATCTTAATGAGGATCAGTGAAGAGGTAAGAAGTGGAAGCTTATTGCAATGTTTTGAGGTGTGTATAGGAAGTCAAAAGGTGAAAAGAGTAAGTATTATCTCACCTTTGGCTGAATATGGAAAGAGAAAGCTGAGATATTGTCAGAGAAGAATGAGAGGGTCAAAGATATTAGAGAATGTTGCCTCTTATTTCCAGCAGCTTTGCTAGGAGAAGAAGGAACCTTATGGGGATGTAACTAGGGAAGACTGCAATGTTATAGGGGATGTTTCAGTTCGAATAAAAAAGACTGTAACATTTTTTTAAAATTTACATACATATACTACATATATCTACATAATTTAGAAAATTTTGAGTCACTATGAAGTACATTGTGATGTTTGTATCAATTAAAATATGAGTAGAGTATTATAGCCTATGGCTAAAGATAGATTTTAGAAACATAGATAATTTTCTTTAAGTTCAAGCTGAGAGGAACAGCTATCCATCCTTTCATTTCAGAAGTATATTAAGGGCCAGGCGCTGTGGCTGACACCTGCAATCCCAGCACTTTGGGAAGCCAGGGTGGGAGGATCACCTGAGGTCAGAAGTTTGAGACCAACCTGGCCAACATGGTGAAACACTGTCTCTACTAAAAATATTTAAAAATTAGGTAGGCATGGTGGTAGGCACCTGTAATCCCAGCGACTTGGGAGGCTGAGGCAGGAGAATTGCTTGAACCCAGGAGACAGAGGTTGCAGTGAGCTGACACGGTGCCACTGCACTCCAGCCTGGGTGATAGAGTGAGACACTCTCCGCACCCCCCACCCACAGAAAAAAAAAGAAGTATATTAAGTACCTAGTATGTGCTGGTCACTATACTGGGCCCTGGTGATACCATATAGAAAAAACAAGTGCGTTCCCTGCTCTTCTAGAGCTTGCAGTCTAATGGATGAGGCAGACCCTACTGAAAATATTATAAAAACAATTATTGAAACAAAAGTATGTTCAGTTCTGTCTCATTCTAGATATGAAATCTCACACTTCTACTTTTCAAGTTGTTAGTAAATATCACAACTATCCCCATTGCTATCCACAAAGATTTCTCATTACAGCAGGCATTTATTGGACATAAAATGTTGTCAGGCAGTCAAGCATAAGAGAAAACAAGGAGTTGGAAGAAATATGTTCTGCTGTGATAGAAATAATTGTGCTAACTGAACCTAAACCTTTTAAGAGTAAAATATAATATAGGATCATATAAAATAAGTTTAAATGAGAGAGAGATCAAACAATTTTCATAGGAGTTTTATAGGTTTACTTTGATACACCTGAAGATTTTTTTCCTGCTCTTTTAACTTACTAAGATCATGGAAATTAGAACTATAAGGAATATTATTGATCATGTAATCTGTGAATCTATTTTTCAAATCGGAAGACTGACATCCAGGCCGGGCACAGTGGCTCACACCTGTAATCCCAGCACTCCAGGAGGCCAAAGCAGGCAAATCACCTGAGGTCAGGAGTTTGAGACCAGCCTGACCAACATGGTGAAAACTCATCTCTACTAAAAACACAAAATTAGCCAGGCATGGTGGTGCATGCCTGTAATCCCAGCTACTGGGGAGGCTGAAGTGGGAGAATCGCTTGAACCTGGGAGGCAGAGGTTGCAGTGAACCAAGATTGCGCCCCTGCACTCCAGCCTGGGTGACAAGATTGAAACTCCGTCTCAAAAAAAAAAAAAAAAAAAAAGAAAAAGAAAAGAAAAAGAAAACTGACATCCAAAGAAATGAGGGATTTACCTAAGATCCCACAACCTAATCAAAAACTGACATTCTAATCATATACTTCCATTTGCATGCCATGCAGTCATTAAAAATTAAGCTGTAGATTAATGTTAAATACAACAGGAAGATATACAGGGTTAAAATTTTTGATTATCACTTCTTTGTGATATTCTCAGTTTAAACTGTTTTTTTGTGTTCTTTTCCTAGTTCTATTATTCCCAGTTAAAACTCATGGTAGTCAGTTTTGGAGTCTTCAAACTAGACAGCCATAACATGTATGTATGTATACATATAAGTATCATGTATATATACATAACATATATGTATACATACATACATGTTATGACTCTCTAGAAGACTCCAAATTTTTTATATATATAATGAAAATTTATATATGTACCTATACTATATAATGAAAATTTATATATGTATACATATATATAGTGAAAATTTGTTTCTTTCCTATTCCTACAGATTATTTATTTTACTCTCTTCAAACTATACAGCTAGGATATACGTTATAATACAGTCCCAATTACAAGTATCTTTGCTTTCTTCCTGAGTTTAAATGAAATACTTTTAATATTTTAATATTGAGCTTGGCGTTTAATGTACACTTTTGTAGATACCCTTTATTACATTAAACAAATGTTTAATCCTATCCTTAGTTTAAATATTTTATTATGAATCATTGTTGAATATTATTAAACAACTCCTGGATCTAATTAGTCCCTGAATCTTTTTTTTTTTACTTCCTTTTTTTTTCTGTCAACTTTTATTTTAAGCTCAAGGGTACATTTGCAGGATGTGCAGGGTTGTTACATAGGTAAACGTGTGCCATGGTGGTTTACTGTGCAGATCATCCTATCACCTAGTTATTAAGCATCCATTAGCTCTTCTTCCTGATTTCTCCCTCTCCCCTGATGCTCTCCCACCCCCCACAGCCCCCAACAGGTGCCCAGTGTGTGTTGTTCTCCGCCATGTGTCCATGTATTCTCATCAGTCATCTCCCACTTACAAGTGAGAACATGTGGTGTTTGGTTTTCCGTTCCTGTGTTAGTTTGCTGAGAATAATGGCTTCCAATGACATCCATGTCCCTGCAAAGGACATGATCTCATTCCTTTTTATGGCTGCATAGTATTACATGGTGCATATATACCACATTTTCTTTATTCTATCATTGATGGGCATTCAGGTTGATTCCATAACTTTGCTATTGTAAATAGTGCTACAATGAACAAACATATACATGTATTAATATCTTAGAATTATTTGCATTCCTTTGGGTATATACCCAGTAATGGGATTGCTGGGTCAAATGGTATTTCTGCCTCTATGTCTTTGCCCTGAATCTTTTAATCTGTTAATGTATTTAATCGACTGGTAGATTTTCTGTCTTCTTCTTCTTTTTTTTTTTTTTTAGACACAGTCTTGCTCTGTCACCAGGCTGGAGTGCAGTGGTGCAATCTTGTCTTACTGCAACCTCCATCTCCCAGGTTCAAGCGATTCTCCTGCCTCAGCCTCCAAAGTATCTGGGACTACAGGCGCACACCACCACGCCTGGCTAGTTGTTTTTTTTTGTTTGGTTTTTTTTTTGTATTTTAATAGAAATGGCGTTTCACCATGTTGGCCAGGATGGTCTTAATCTCCTGACCTCATCATCCACCCACCTTGGTCTCCCAAAGTGCTGGGATTTCAGGCGTGAGCCACTGCACCCAGCCCTTTATTTATTTATTTATTTATTTATTTATTTATTTTTATTTATTTATTTTTTGAGACAGGGTTTCTCTCTGTTGCCCAGGTTGGAGTGCAATGGTGCAATCTCGACTCACTGCAGCATTCACATCCCAGACTCAAACGACCCTTCCACTTCAGCCTCCCAAGTAAGAGGGGTGGGACTACAAACGTGCCACCATGCCTGGCTAATTTTTGTTTTTTTATAGAGACTGGGTTTCACCATGTTGCCCAGGCTGGTCTCAAACTCCTGGACTCAAGTGATCCACCCACCTTGGCTTCCCAAAGTGCTAGGATTATAGGCGTGAGCCGCCATACCTGGCCTGATGGGTAGATTTTCTATGTGAAACAGACCTTAAATTTTTTCAATCAGTTCAAAATGATTATAATATATGTATATAATTTCTAGATTTATTATCAGAATCGTTATATATACAATAAAAGAATAGTAAAACACACCTAATGTTATCACCCAGCCTTAAAAAATATCAGTATTTTGCTATTCTTTCTTCATCTATCCTTCCATGACCCCCATTTTTTTAGTGTATTTAAAAGCAAATCTTAGACATCATGTCATTTCACCCATAAATATCATAATATGCATCACTAACTGGTAGGCACTTTTAGAATATGTAGCAGCCATCCCATTATTACACCCAAAACAATTAATGGAAGTTCCTTAATATAATCTAATACCTATTTTATACTCATATTTTCAGGAAAGTCTCTGAGGTACTTTTTATGTAATTTTGTCCTCTCCACATCATTATCTAAGAGGAGATTGATACACTGGAAATTGCACATCACATTTAGGTCTCTTAAAGCTTCTTTATAGCAGTCTCTATACCATTCATTCGCTTTTATTCAAGACATTGACTTGTCAGGGAAACTGGGTCATTTGTCCTAGAATATTCATTCTGGATTTTGCTAATTGCTTCCTCATGGCACCATTTAACTTATCCTTCTAGTCCCCACTTTTCCTGTTAACCAAAATTCAGATCTAGAGGCATTATTTAATTTAGGTTCCGTTTTTCCGGCAAGAACACTTCATAAGTGGAACTGTGCTTTTCCTATTGCATCATATTGTGATAGGTACAAAATATCTGATTGTCCAACACTGGTGATGTTAAGATTAATCAGTGGACACAGGTGGGATCAGCCATTGTAAAGTCCCCCATTGTCATTTACCTAATGGTTTTAGCATCCATCTACAATTATTACCCACATGTATTATTTCATTACTGGTTGTAAAATGATGATTCTCTCATTCTATCCTGAATCTTGCATTTATTAACTCTTTTTCATAAAAGAACATTTCCTTGTCAACTTTTTAGATTCACACAGGAAAGATAGGATAAATGCTTCATTCTTTTCCTTTATTTGTCAACTTTCAGACTATGTATTTTTGTCCTAACAACCACCAGTGATGATCTATGAGGTGGTTGTGGTTTTGCGTTTTTGCTACTATGGATTTTTATAGTTTTGATGTGTTTCCATCCAACAGAGTTATTCCTTTTGATTCTCAAGTTATCCCATATTAGGCCACTAGAAGCCCCTTCTCCATTTATTCTATTTCCTTTTGACATAATTTCATTCATGTTTAAAAGCCTCTGCTTTCTGGAACAACAAGATGTTCCAGGCTAAGCTATTTTTTTCTTGTTTTCTTGCCTTTATCAGATATAGAGTCAGCTATTTCTTCAAGAAGCTCTGGTTCCTTTAAATAGGTATGATTTGCTGATATTTCGTATGTGATTTTTGCATCTATATCCAAGAGTGATGTTAGAGATATCTATGTGTGTGTGTTTTCTATACACATTGCCTTGTCGTTTTTTGTTACCAAGTTTTTAGTAGGCTCATAGAAAAGTTAAGGCGTGTTTTACCTTTTTCTATACTCTGAACTAATTTGTGTAAGAGAAGAATTACCTGTTTCTTCAACTGCTTGTTTATTTACCTGTAAGTTCTCTAAGGATAATTTTTTTTTTTTTTTTTTTGAGATGGAATTTCGCTCTTATTGCCCAGTCTGAAGTGCAGTGGCGCAATCTTGGCTTGCTGCAATCTTGGCTTGCTGCAACCTTCGCCTCCTAGGTTCAAATGATTCTCCTGCCTCAGCCTCCTGAGTAGCTAGGATTACAAGCGCCCGCCACCACACCTGGCTAATTTTTGTATTTTTAGTAGAGATGGGGTTTCACCATGTTGGCCAGGCTGGTCTCAAACTCCTGACCTCAGGTGATCCACCCGCCTCAGCCTCCCAAACTGGTGGGATAACAGGTGTGGGCCACCATGCCCGGCCAGGATAATGTTTTCTTTTTGAAAACATGCTTATCTACCGATTCTGTGTCTGTAATAGTTATTTTGCCACCAGCTCAGCTGTGACTTCAACAAAAAAATAATTTTAAATATTTTCCATAGCATTTTAGGTGTTTTCTATTGGGAGAATTATCTCAGCACATCTGGTACAGTATATTGACTTATGATTTGTTTTTAAGGAAGGAAAGATGGAAGAAAAAGTTTCAATTACACCAGAGCCCAACTCTTCATTCTCTTTTATTATTGAATTGTTGTAGCTTCAAAGTCTTGGTTGTAAAGTCTCTTTCCTCACACAGCTTCCCGTCCCATTTTTCTTGCTTTCCATCATGGCAGAATTATTTGAGACATGTTTATGGGATTTCCAGCAGAGCTTTAAAATAAAAGATTGGCCACAGTATGATATCCTGGCTAAATTTTCTGTTTTTCAAATACTCAGAAGAAGAAAAAATGCACAATTCTGTCTGAACTACTAAATCTTTAGGAAAATTACAAAATCTGAATTGTTGGAGCATCACAGTGAGTGACAAAAGAGCAAAGGGACTTGCCAGTTGACTCAAGGCAGTGAGATGTTGGGTACAGCTGGTATTTTTAATTAGTTACAAAAGATATTTTCTCTACAGTTGACTATTCAAGTATGAGTGTAATAACGTCTCTAAGGCTAATATCATAAAATTTCATCACTTAATCAATTTTAATTCTAATTCTTCAAAAGAGGTTTACCCTTCAAAGAAGCTAAATCTGAGATGTCACATAAAATATGCTTATTAATGCATTTAGCAACATCTGGAACGTATTCTCCCTACTAATTGATTCTAAAGAGTTTACTGTAATGGAAAAGTAATCTTTTAACAAATGAGAGACTTCTTAATTATATTCAGATATAATCTTTATGTATTTTTTTCAACATAAACAGCTTCTATTAAGCATTTTTAAAAAGAAATAATAGTTTCCACTTCTGGACAAGATGGAGTAACAGAGACCAATTTACACTCATGCGTGAAACAACCAAAAAAACAAACAAAAATGTGTGAAACAATGGTTTTTAAGAAACCGGATGTCAGGCAGTGATCTCTCAATTATGATGAACAAATTAGGTAAGTCCTGCAATTGCTCTAACTTACTTCCTTGAGAGAGTTTTCAGGCTGTGGCTCAGGGAGGAAACTGGGCAGAGCCTGGAAATTTCCCTGAGTTGAGGAGTTGAACTTTGAAGCAGAAAGACCAAGATAGAGGCTGTACAACAGAGTACCAACAAGGAGATAATTATACAAAGAAACCTGAAAACCTGCAGAGAATCACCTTGAAGTATCCAGCAAAATACTGATCAGTACATGCCTGTTAAAAAACCACACATTATCAGTAAAAGAACTCCTCAAAAGGATTAGAGAGAGGAATACCGAGCACTCCCAAAGAGTGGGAGGTAATGCCTGTTCCCACAAACCAAACTGGAAAACACAATTTACAGGGTTTAGGGTAGACTGCTAGGAAAGTCTTGCCTCAATCATGGGGAATAATTAGCCCCAATCTAAATACAACTCTGGCCTTGCCTGACATCTCAAAAGCAAGACCCAGAAGAATCAGACTGATTCCAAGTAACTTAAATGCAGCTCAGAACAAAGCTTAAGAATGTTTACATAAATACAGAAATTTCTATACCCAACAAGATAAAATTCACAATGTCTGGCAGCCAATCGAAACTTAGCAGCAATGCAAAGAAGTGGGAAAATATAACCCGTAAAAAAGGAGCAAAATCAACCCATCACAACCACCCCAGAATTGTCACAGATGTTGAATTAGCAGACAAAGACATTAAAACAGTTTATATGATTGTGTTTCATAGGTTCAAAAAGTGAAGTGTAGACATAGAAGATGTATTTTTAAAAAACAACAAATCAAACTTCTAAAAATAAAAACTTTAATATCCAAGAGAAAACATCCCATGGACCATATTAGTAACAGATTAGCTGTTGCGGAAGAAAATAATAGTCAACTAAAAGATATACTAATAGAAAGATCCCAAATGAAATAGAGACATAGAATTGCAAAATTAAAAAGACAAAGTATCAGTCAGCTGTGATACAACTTCAGTTGCCTAATATATATGTAATCTGAGTTCCTGAAGTTGGGAGGGGGTACAGAGAAAATACTATTTGAAGAAATGGCCAGGAATTTTCCAAATTTGAGTAAAAAGAAAAAAAAAATCTACATATTCAAGAATCTCAACAAACTCTAAGGACAAAAAACATGAAGGAAGCTACACTAAGTCACATCCTAATCAAATTACTTAAAACTAGTGATAAACAGAAAATCTTAAATGCAGCCAGAGGAAAATGACATTTTATATAGAGAAGCAAAGTTAAATATGACAGCAGATTTCTCCTTGGAAACAATATATACAAGAAGAGAATGGAGCAGTATTTGTAAAATACTGAAAGGAAAAAAAGGTGATAATCTAGAACCCCAAAACCAGTAGAATATCTCTCGCAAATGTAGGTGAAACAAAAGCTTTTTCAGACATGAAAAGCTAAAAGAATTCATTACTAGCAGACCTGTACTACAAGAAATCTTCAAGGAAATCCTCCAAGCAAAATAAAAATTATGACGAATGGGAATATGGAGCTACAGAAAGGAATGAAGAACACTGGAAATGGATAACTACAAGGGTAAATACAAAATACTTTCTCTCATTATTTAAATGCCTATAAATGATAATCGACATTTAAACAAAACTAGCGTAGTATGGAAGTTATAACGTAGGTACCTAGTTCTCATGAGAGCTATTGTGATATCACTTGAAAACGGACTATGGTAAGTTGAAGAGATATACTATAAACCCTAAAGCAACCACTAAACTAACCCAAAAATTTTAGCTGATAGACCTAAAAAAGAGATGAAATGGAATTATAAAAAAATTGCTTGATCAAAATGAGGGCAAAAAAAGGAAGAGAGTAAACTAAGAACAGATAAAGTCTAAACATCCAATTGAAAGATAGAGATTGTCAGATTGGATAAAGAAAGTATTACCCAGTGATATGCTGCCTTCAAGAAGTATATTTTAAATAAAAAGACACACATAGGTTTAAAGTAAAAGGATAGAAAAAGATATACCATGCTAACTAACATTTATCAAAAGAAATCTACATTTGATATATTAATATCAGGCAAAACAGATGTCACATTAAAGAATCACACCAGGAATAAAGAATATCAGTTTTTAATGATAGAGGAGTCAATACATTAGGAGAACATAACAATTCTACTAATCCACATATTTTTAAAAGAGCTTCTAAATGCTTAAAGCAAAATCTGGGTAAAACCCCAGGAGAAATAAACAAATTCATAAAGTCAGAGATGTAAATACTCCTCCCTCAATAATTGAGAGAACAAATAGAAAATCATCAAGGTATAGAAGACTTGAACAACACAATCAGCTAATTGACATTTATAGGACACTCTGGACATTTATAGGATATTCAGTCAGAATACACATTCTTTTCAAGTGTAGATGGCACAATTACCTCAATAGACTGTATTCTGGGCCATAAAACAACTTTTCAATAAATGTAAAAAGATCCAACTCACACAAAGTATGTTTTCTAATTAGAATGGAACTAAATTAGAAAAGAATAACAAAAAGATCTCTGCAAAATTTTCAAAATATTTAGAAATGAAATAACCATTGCTAAGTAAGCCATGTACCAAAGAGGAAATCAAGGAAAATTATAACGTATTTTGAACTGAGATCCCACTAGAGCATTACTTGAGAGGGGGAATTTATGGCACTAAATTTCTGTTAGTAAAGAAAAAAGGTCTTCATACAATGACCTTGGCTGCCACTTTAAACTAGAAACTAGAAAATAAAGGCTAAATGAGAACTAAAGTAAGCAGGAAAAAAAAAAAAAAGAAAAAAAAAACAAAGATGAGGGCAGAAATTAATTTAAATTGAAAAACAATAGAGAAAAAATCAATAAAAATAAAAGCAGTTCTTTGAAGGAAACAACTAAATGGATAAACATTTAAAAAGATCAATCCAGAAAAAAGAGAGAAGAATTAAATTACCATATCAGAATGATACAGAGGCTATTACAGACTGTGTAGAAATTAAAAAGAGAATACTACAAACAACTCTGCTCATCTAAATTCAACAATATAGATGGACCAATTCCTAGCAAACCACAAACAACCAAAACTCATCCAAGATTAAATAGAATCTGAGTAGTCCTCTAACTATTTTAAAAGTTGAATTTGTAGTTAAAGTTTTGTCAAAAAAGGAACCTCCAGACCCAAATGGTTTCACCGCAATTTTTACCAAACATTTAAAGAAGAAATAACACCACGTCTACCCAATCTCTTCCAGCAGGTAAAAATGCAGAGAAAACTTCCCAACTAATTTTATAAAGCCAGAATGAGGCTGATACAAAAACCAGACAAAGATAATAAAAAATAACACTATAGAGCACAAAAATTCTCAACAAAATATTACCAAATCAAACTCAGCAATACAGAGAAGAAATAATACAATATGACCAAGAGCAGCTTATACTGGAAACTCTAGGCTAATTTATTACTTTTAGAAATCAGTCAGTGTAATCCACCACTTGATAGTGTAAAGAAGAAAGAAGAAGTAAAATTGATGCAGAAAAAGCATTTAACAAAACTCAATATTTATTCATGATAAAATCTCTCAGTCAGCTAGGAAAAGAAGGGAGTTTCTTCTAACTGATAAAGAGTATCTGCTAAAAAACCCAACCAAACAAACAAAAAGTCACTACAGGTAACATCAAACTTAGTGCGAAAGACTGAACGTTTCCCCCCCGGCACTGGGGAAGGCAGTGATGTCCAATCTCACTGCTTCTATTCAACATTGTACTGGGAGTCCTAGCCAATGCAGTAAGTAAGAAAAAGAAATGAAAATTATACAGATCAGAAAGGAAACAAAAGTACCCCTATTTGCATAATACACAGTTTTGATTGTCTATGTAGAACATCCCAAGGAATCTACCAAAAACTACTAGAAGTTTAAGTGAGTATAGCAAGGTAGCAGGATACAAGATGATTGGACAAAAATTAACAGTATTTCAATTGGTAAATGAAATTAAAAACCAATACTATTTAAGAAATAGGGATAAAATGGGGAAAATGATATAGGGCTAACAAAATATGTATGGGATCTGCATGCCAAAAACTAAAAAATGCTGATGAAAGAAATCAAAGAAGACCTAAGTAAATGGAAAGACATACCTTATTTATGGACAAGAATACTTGACATAGTAATGATGTTAATTCCCCACAAATTGGTCTATAGATTTTATGCCATTCCACTCACAATCCTATGAGGATATTCTGTATAGACACAATCTGATTCTACAATGTATGTGAAAGGCAAAGGAATAAGAATAGTTAAAACAATTTGGAAAAGACATAAAGTTGGAGGAATTACATTATGCAGTTTTAATACTTACTATAAAGCTTCAGTTGTCAAGACAGGGTGGTATCGGCAAAGAGAGAGACAAATAGATCGATGTAACAGAATAAAAAGTTCAGAAATAGATTCATATAAATGTGGCCAATTGATTTTTGGCAAAGTTGCGTAGCAACTCAATTGAGAAAGAATTGTCTTTTTAACAAATCATGTTTTTAAAATAGAAATCTACACATGCAAAAACAAATAAAGCAAAACTCTCAACCAAAACCTTATACCTTATGCAAAAATTAACTCAAAATGGATCATTTATCTAAGTTCAAAGTGTAAAACTATAAAACTTTTCAAAGAAAACCTAGGAGAAAAATCTTTGTGACCTAGGATTAGGCAAAGAGTTCTTAGACATGACTCAAAAAAGCATAATTCAGAAAATAAAAGATTGGTAAATCTTAATCAGAACTATTAATTGGACTTAATTGAACTATTTTTTTCTCTTGTAAAATGTTGAACATGTACTTACCATGTAACCCAGTAGTCCTATTGCTGGATGTTTACTCTAGAGAAATAGAAAATTATGTTTGCACAAAAACCTGTACATGAATATTTATAACAGCTCCCTTCATAAGCACCCCAAAATTCACCAAGATACCATTCAACAGAGGAATGGATAAACAGACTGGTACCTTTGTACTGTGGAATACTACTTAACAAGTAAAAGAGACACACTGCTAGACACACTACATGTGATACCTTGAATAAATCTCGAAAGTATGCTGAGTGAAAGAAGTCAATGTCAAAAAATTGCACACTGTATAATCTCATTTATTTGACTTTTTTTTTTTTTTTTTTTGAGATGGAGTCTTGCTCTGTCGCTCAGGCTGGAGTGCAGTGCGATCTTAGTTCACTGCAACCTCCGCCTCCCAGGTTCAAGCTATTCTCCTGCCTCAGCCTCCTGAGTAGCTGGGACTACAGGCGCACGCCACTACACCCAACTTATTTTTGTATTTTTAGTAGAGATGGGGTTTCACCATGTTGGTCAGGCTGGTCTTGAACTCCTGACCTGGTGATCCACCCGCCTCGGCCTTCCAAAGTGCTGGGATTACAGGTGTGAGCCACCGTGCCTGGCCTATTTGAAATTCTTAAAAAACAAAATTGCAGTGTTGTATTAGGTTGATGCAACAGTAATTACAGTTTTCACCATTACAGTTTCGCCAAATAGGAGGCTAAGCATTACTTTCGCCATTACTTTTAATGGTGAAAACCGCAATTACTGTTGCACCAACCTATAGAACAAATCAGTAATTACTAGGAGTTAAAATTGGGGTAGAGTTTGGCTATGGCATTTATAGGATGAACTGGAGAGGAGAGTCTGTTACAGTTATCCATATAGGAGGGGATAAGGGCTTGAACTAGAATGGTCTACTGATTATAATAAGACCACTGTAGACCCAGGACCAGCATTAGGAAATAGAAGTATATGTGTCTGGCATGGAATTCTTTATATGGTGATAGGGTGGACTCTTGGATGCTAACCTGGCCTTTCCTCAAATGTAGGTAAGAAAGGCAGCAAGCCTACAGCTCAGAATTTTTCTGACCTGGTGGATTTCTCCTTCCTCTAAGGCTGTCAGTACCTCCAAATATTGGGCATGCCTTTGTGAGGAACTAGGGTGGCATGGAGAGCTGTGCCCACTCACCTGTGTTATCTGGTGTATATTTATTCTTTCAGTGCTATTGCTGGTATCATTGATAGCAGGGGACCTGTTGAGCAGGAGAGGGTTTGAGAGGGAGGATGTTGCATTCAACAGGCAGCACATGGGAAGCTCTTTACAGTTTGCTGAATGAATGGGGGAATGAAATCCTTCAAGACACTTTAAAAGGTATATTCCTTAAGGTGCTTAAAATTAAAAGGACTAGATTCAGGAAAAAAATAGTTTTTGTCTCGAATGCCAACTCTGAATGGTAATGGGTGCCTAGAGCTCCCAGTTGAGTAGAAAATTAAGGCTGTGCCTTGGCCCTCTGAGAAAATGTGCCAGGCATAATCCTCAATGTCTGCCTAGATCATAGGAGAAGGAACGGAGGATAGGAAGCTAAGCAGAGGCTGAGGAAGAATTCAGATTGGGCAGACTGGGACTGGAACGTCATCAGCAAAGGTGAAAGTTGAAGCCTTTCCAGTAGATGAGCACCTGAAAGAGGAAATGCAGAGGGTAAGAGAGGTCCCACATCACTGGAATGCGTTCCCTGATCACCTTCCTCTCCTGTTCCCAACCAGCTTTCAGGTGGGCGGGAAGCTTTACATTCTTAAATCCTTGACTATTTATAATAATCTACTTCCATATAAAAGTAATATCCCATTGGTAAATATAGTATTGCATTTGAGTAACTCTGCAATACCTGTAATAACTACCATTTATTGAACACCTATTTTATTTCACACTTCATTCATACTGCAAAGTTCTTACAAGTTATTATCATTCTTTTCTTACAGGTGAGAAAACCAGCTCTGAAAGGCTAAGACACTTAGCCAACATCACAGAGCTCCTAAGCGATAGAGCCAGGATTCAAACATAGGACAGCAAAATTTGTGTCCTTGCTGCTATTAACAGCAAGGATTTCATTCCTCCATTCATTCAGCAAGCTGTAAAAAGCTTCCCATGTGCTGGCTGTTGAAAGCAACATCCTCCCTCTCAAACCCTCTCCTGCTCAACAGGTCCCCTGCTGTCAAAGATACCAGCAGTAGCACTGAAAAAGTAAATAGACACCAGAAACCGGGAAACATAGCTGTAGCTAGTCTTTAGACACATTTAATATTATGAGTACAGATTGCTGTACAGAATGATAATAACTTGTAAGAACTTTGCAGTATGAATGAAGTATGAAATAAAATAGGTGTCCAATAAATGGTAGTTATTACAGGTATTGCAGAGTTACTCAAATGCAATACCATATTTACCAATGGGATATTACTTTTATATGGAAGTAGATTATTACAAATAGTCAAGGATTTAAGAATGTAATATTTGCAGGATGTTTCTTTCATCATCATTTGCTGCATAATCCTAGCAAAGTAATTTTAGTATTAATTAGCTGAATGCTGCTGGAACTGGTGATAGCTTTGTGATACAGAACTAAATAAAATAATGGTAGTCATTTAAATGTTGTACTACCTCTTATAACTGCATCCAGCTCATCTCTGCTTCATTTCTCCCTGGTCTCCTATAAAATCTCCCTGGTGATTTTCTTTAGTTAAAAGTGCAGTATGTTCTCCCTATTGAATAATGTCATACACACACACACACACAAGCCACCTTAAACATGGAAAGTGTGTCTAGGATGTTTGCCACTTTGTAAATTTGGATGAGGTTCCTAAAAGTTCTAATCACATCAAAAGAGATACCCCTCTTTCTGAAGTAATTCTCTGGCATCTTCTGTGAGTTCTTCCTACACCTCACTGAATTCCCTTCTTCTAGACCATGAAATAATACATTGACTTCTCTCTGAATAATGTTACATTGTGTTTCTGTGGCATTCAGACATCCTCCCTGTGGGTTTTCATGTGGTTTGTCATGCATTTTTTTTGAACCAGCATTGGGCATGAACTGGCCCCGCTTTCCTGAGCCTCGTTGTTCACCCACACAGACAACAGGCTCCGCTACTCCTGCTTCTTGTATTTCACCACGCACTGTGTGCCCCTGCATGCCTCCGTGTCCTTTTACCATCTTGCGCTCACCATTCAGAATGCCTTTTCTAGTTTTCACAAAAACTCACCCTTCAAGAGCCCACTGACACATCTGGGAAGGCTTCCTGGGAATTCATCAAAGGGCGTAGATCCTTCTTTTTCTGTGTTCCTGCAGCATCCGGTATGGCCTCTGTCACAGCCTTCCTCATATAATCCAGTAACTGGTTGCTTTCTTGTATGTCTTCCCATCCCTAAAGATAACCAACAGCTCCCTGTGGATGAAGACTTTATCACTTGAGGGCAAGTGAGATAAACTTGCCCTCTAACATTCTTTCTCACAGTTGACAATAACACTGTGTTATCCAATAGTGTTAATTGCAGAGGCTTCTGGAAGATCCCACTTGCTTTCCAGACTTTGGTGTGTCCTGTGTGTAAGACCTTTGTATGGGATAGGAAAACTCCCTCATCTTGTAGTGACCAATTTCTTTAATTTCTTTCCCCTTCCTGGAAATCTCTTTAATTAAATTTTCCGAGGCCTTTCGCTGGTGACCTAAAGGCCCCAAGGGATTACTTGTGTAGGAACTAACCTGGCTCTGAGCCTAAAAATGGTTTATTGCTTCGGAGAAATTACTTTCTGGACAATTTAAACTGGATTTTCCTTCTGTATATGTTTTTAGATAATAATGGAAAAAAATCATAAATTACCCAGAACCTGGGAAAGAGGGTTTTAACCTTGTTATATGACATAAGTCACCTAATAGGAAATGAGCATTTTAAAAGATGCCAACAAAAAGCTGATAATCCTGAGTCTCTGGTCCAACTGATTCCCCGTTAGATTCACACTCTTATCCCCATTAATGGTTACATAGGTAAACATATGTACTCAGTCTCTTTCTTTGGTATTTTTTGAGAGAGAAGTCATTTAAGTGAATATGTATTCAACAAACCTTTCATGAGAATCTTTTGGAGGCGAGGCATTGTACTAGGCACTTTGAGGGATGCAGCTCCTTAAGTACAATATTGTCCCTACTAGCGAGGTAAGAAACATAAAGAAAGCAACATAAAAATGGCATTAGGCCTTGTGAGAAGTATAGGAGCACGCTTTTGGAGGTCAGAGAAAAAGAAGGTCACATTTGCCTGAGCTGCGTTAGAAAAGATTGGGTGTTGAAGCCAAATCTCCTGGTAAAATGTGCAAGAAATCCATCTTACTTGCAATGTAGGGACAAAATAGGATGGCTTCCATTATCTTTTAAAATAATTTGGAGATTTAAAATGTATACATATCTTCAATCCTAACTTTCATATCTTTAGTTTTCCAGTATGAGATTAAGATAAATATGTGCATGAATGGCACTTATCCTCAAAGTCTTTATCCCACAGGCTAATGGGCAGAGTCTTGGTATGTTAATAATGCTTCTGAAGAAAGAGCAGAAATGTAGCTGAACATGAGAATGTTTGAGTTACTTATTCAAAGATATGCTAAATTTAACCTCAAAGAAATCACTTTAGTGGTATCTCTGAATGTCTTCTAAAATAAGATCAATTTCCCTCTGTCTGGGATATTTTAGATATGGCCTTGCTTAATGGTGAAAGAGTAGACAAGAAGCTGAACTATTAGTGTTTCTTCCATTTCCAAGACTCTCTGATGACCCTCTCAGCCAATAAAGTACAAGCAAGTGGGGCTGAGAAACAATTAATTGCCCTGTTGAACTCATGCTGTAAGAGAAGTTGTGCAATGTCCGGGGACACATTCAGTGAATACTTTAGACCAAATACTGTGCTAAGCAGAGGGCCTGGAAAGGTGAATCTTATACAGTCCCCATGACAGCACTCAGCTCAGTGGGGCAACAGTGAACATGCATCTCCTACATTACCATCAATCAATATATAACATAATAAGTGCACAAAAAAAGTGAAAACAAGTACTATGGGGTAGATAATTCTCCAGGATAGCCTGCACAGAATGATCTCATTTGATAACATAAACCCCAAAGTTAGAAAAATGCAAGAATAAAAACACCAAACATATACAAGGGGAAGAAAGCTGTGCCCATATTGTCCTGTTTATTAGAAAGAATGAAGATTATTTATTCACTCACAGTCTAGAAAGAAGAGCTTTGCATTGTCTTTCTGGTAGTTACTTTCATGGAGCCATTCAGACCTACCCAGCCTCATGTATGATCAGGATGGGCCTTATTTTCAAGTGGAATCTTGAGGTTTTGTGAGGAAGTGTTCTACAGCCAGCCTTTCTGACCCACTAGGCTCTTTCATACTGTTATGGCGTTTGAAATGTGGTTCATCGCAAAAGAGTATGCCCTGGAGTATTTACGTCTTTTGGTCTTCAGATGACCTCTTATCCACATATCCACCCAGAAAGTGTTTGAATTACCACCTATGATCTGAATATTAGTTGGCAACTGGCTGAAAACAATGCTGAACTATTAAAGGAAGTCGTACAATGTTTACAAACACTACTAAAGGTGCTAAGAGGAGAGATAGGGCTGAAATTTGAAACTGATTTATCTGCTTTGCAATTTTTCTGTACAGTGTGCATTCTCTCTCTCTCTCTCCCCCTCCACTCCACTCTCTCTCCCTCTCTTCGTTTCCTCCCTCCCCCACTTCATCTTCTCTCCCTCTCATTTTATGTTCCAGCCCTCATCCTCCCAATCTCGTGTTCTCACCTAAAAAAAGAACTGTAAAATTATTAGAGTAATGTGAGTTTTCATAGTTGAGTAGAACAACCTTGGCAAGATAGGTACAAAATGCACACGTGCAATCTTACCACCATTTCTTAGCCAAATTTGCTACTCAATAGAGTTCTGTTAGAATAGCAAAAATATACCCTCTCCCAAAAATATACCCTCTGCTAAGCACCAGAAATCCCCAAACATTGCTAAAATATCCAAGAGCACTTCAAATGTCCGAAACTCTGGTTAAGTATAGTTCTTAGTTTTACAGCAATAGTTCTGTGTGGGTTTAAAAAAGAAAATTCTCCAGGCACAGCAGCTTGCATCTGTAATCCCAGCTACTCTGCTCAGGAGGCTGAGGAGGGAAGATGGCTTGAGGCCAGGAGTTTGAGACCATTATGGCATCATAGCGAGAACCCATCTCTAAATAAGTTTAAAAAAAAAATAGCTGAGCAGGTGGTGCATACCTGTAGTCCCAGCTACTCTGGAGGCTGAGGTGGGAGAAGAGCTTGAGCCCAGAAGTTTGAGGCTGCAATGAACCATGGTCACCCCACTGCACTCCAGCTTGGGTAACACAGTAAGATCCCTGTCTCAAGAAAAAAAAAAAAAAAAAAAGACGTGTATAGATTCGGAAAGTGAGGAGAAAAGATGTTCTTTTGGAAGGTAAAGGGTGAAAAGATGTTATTATTGAAAGATGAGACCATGAGAGAAAAATTTCCCAGAAAAGTGCCAACCCGTTTAGCATCAGATGTGGGATGCTTATATTTTCCCCTTTATGCTTAGTTTATTTCGTCAAAAGTGTGGCTGTAGTAATCCTAATCAGAACACTTTGCTGGAAGTTCACTAACCCCTAAAGTTCTCAGAATCATATAGATCAGATAAGGCAGCCTAATTTGGGGCACTACTTGGTTAAGAAAAAAATCCCAGGGATAGGAGGGAGAATCCCTGCCTAGGGCCCAGTCCACCGGCCAGCTATTATACATCCAGGAAGTCTCCATGACCCAAGTCATAGAGGGCTGGGATAGAAGACAGCTTTATAGGAAGAAACTCTTCACTTTGCATTCAAGTTACTCTCCCTCCCTAAAGGGATACCTGCATTTTCAAGTTCCCTTAAAGTTAGACTGGCAAATAATTCCCTAAGTATAAGAAAAGACCATGGTCAAATGTGTAAGAGGTATAAATACTCAGTAATTAATCTGCATTTGGGACTTAGCTTCTGCCTCCTAGAAGCCACCATAATTATGAAATTATCTACTAATAAGAGCTACTATTGGTTGATTTCTTACTATAGTTAGGAATTTTCTAGGCATTTTAAGTTCATTTTCTGCTTGTGAGGTAATGACATCTCAAATGATGAGACTTTCGGTAACCCATCAAAGATCACAGATTTAGTGTAGGGACATAGCTCTGAGCCCGGGGGGTTGCACCATTAACCAAGAAGCCATGCTGTCTCCTGTAAGGAAACTGAGGCCCAGAGATAATTTTTTACTTGCCCAAAGCAACTTGACTAGCTGAATTCAAACCTGGGTCCAAATCTTTCTAAATTTTTATGCTCGTAATCTGAAACGAACAACCTTATACACTAACCAAATGAAGAACAGGGAACAGTTTATCACTTTATTTTTTTCAATGAAAGCTGTTCCTTAATGAATCTGGCTAAGATTACAAAAGGTTTTATTGGGAGGCTTGGAGAACTGTAGTATCTTCGAAACATTTTTATCATTTTCTGTACACATCCCACATAGCACCTTGCTCTGAAGTCACAGCTCTCTTGACAGACTTTAAGCAGAATGGATATTTTGATGCTTCCATGATTATCATTCCCAAATGGTTTTTTCTTCCATCTGCCAGTCTAATCATCTAAGACAAATCTTGTAGCAAATTGAAAAACTTGTCATGAAATAAGTCTAACTAAAAGTTACTGCACACAGTTCTGAATTACTTAGGAATGAACTCAGGAATTATCAGCTATAGTTAGAAAGATCCCAGTTTAGATTTGTACTAATCGACTTGCTGAATTGCTGAAAAGGGACATACTCAGATGTGTTTTCAGTGGATGCTTTCCATGGCTTAGGCTAGGGATAATTCCTGTATTTTTGAATGAAAGCCACTTGATGGGTAGAAAAACAGATTCTCAAGCTATGTCATAGAAGTGTGTTACTAAAATATTTGGAAGGTGACTTCTATATCTAAACAAATTATAAGTCACCATAAACAGATATTATAGGAAGTTGATAAAGCAACAATGGCAAAAGGAAAGAGAAATTTTTTTAAGTTTTAATCATTTTCTGCAACTTGTCTAAGAAATCTGCTTCTTTTAGTGCAATTCAACTTAAACTAGAGGAGTTAACTGGCTTTGCCCACATTTTTCTCTTGCTCTCTTAAACTCTCAGGAGATTTTCTTGCTGAGGCAGGAGCCCAGGACCTGCCTTGAGGCTTGAAGCTTCAGGAGATAAGCACAAAGCCTTGCAGGTTACATTTTCCTAAACCTTTCAATTAGCTAAAATGTTTTTATTTAAGATGTGTTGGCTCTCAAAAGCAGAGGCGGAGCCTGCTCTGCCATTCAAAATGAACGTAGAGATGATGAGACTGCTCAGTTCCTACTCATTTCCCATGACTGTGTTCAAACGGATGTGCTTAGTTCTTGGTAAAGAGTAAAATGCCTCTTCCTTCTTCTGTGCCTAGTCCAGATCTTTGAAGTCTGATGTCTGCAAAGCTCTGCAGTGCCGGAGCTGTCAGGCAGTTTGCCACCCTCCTTCTCCACCTATCCTGTGTTTCCCAAACAAGGTTATTTCTTGAGGGCTACCCTTTGTTTTAAATATCTTACAGTCATCCAAGCATGGTAAAGCAATTTTGGATCATTATATAATTTTTCCACAAAATTCAATAGGCATTTATAAAATCTGTTGTGTTTGGCATTGTATTTGGCCTTAAAGAGGAAACAGAATATTTGGAACATAGTCCCTGATGAATGCAAGGATCTCTCTTGTTTACCAATAAAAAAGAAAAGAAATTATACAGATACAAGAATTGGGGCCGGGTTTGCCATCCCACATCTATCAGTGGCTCACATCTATAAATTCCAGCACCTTGTGAGTCCAAGGTGGGAGGATTGCTTGAGGCCAGGAGCTCAAGAGCAGCTTGGTAATATTGTGAGACCCCTATGTCTACAAAAAAAAAAAAAAAAGAAAAGAAAAGAAAAATTAATTAGCTGGGCAAGGTAGCAGGCACCTGTGGGCCCAGCTACTCAGGAGGCTGAGATGGGAGAATTGTGTGAGTCCAGGAGTTCAAGGCTACAGTGAGCTGTGATGACACCAGTGCATTCCAGCCAAGACCCTGTCTCAAAAAAGAAAAAAACAAAAAACAAGAAAAACACAATTGGAACATATCAAACAGTAGCATGTAAATAGAAGAAGGCAAATTGTGCTACATATAAAAATGAGGCAATCTACATGATTTTTGACCATTTCAACTGTGTATTTCTTTAATGTGCATAAATAAAAAGCCTCAGTTCTTTTGAATGCCTTCTTTCTTACTCATTCTGATCTTTAGTGTGTAATCCATAAAAGGCCATTGGGCCCTCCATAAATCTTCTTTAATTCAAAGCATAACTCTCAGAGTTCAAAAACTGAGCAGATTAGCTATTGCTGCTCCTCACTGAAATTGTCGGTGTATAAACGTCTCCCTGGAGTCACCACTACAGTCGGCATAAAAATAAATCAAAAGTCAGCTATAAGTTCCAATGATTTATCAATGAGTTTTTTAATGGTGTGTGTCTGAATTATAGCATTTTTACAAACCCCACCACCAGTTGCTATTTTCATTAGTTCATAGCATTTCTGAGTTTATGTATGTATATAAATATATATACATACACGTATGTGAATTTGCATCTATAAATTTTGCATTTCATAATGACATATTCTTTGCCACTAGATCAGCTATACTATTTTTGGAAACATTACTCTCTACTTGGAAATCATAACCTCTTAGTCAATCTGAATATGACTTCATAACTTTTATAGTTTTTACCCATACTTTTGCACAACCTTACTGTGATTGCAAAATAGCTCTGTGTGGTTAAGGGGAAAAAAAGAGAGTAACTTTGCATTACATACCCTAAAAATGCTTCGGAGTCTCTGTTTGGGTATTGGGATCTGGATATGTCTGATGTGTCTGTGTGCTAGTGTGAGCAGAAAATCTAAGAGGTTAAATAAGTGACGGTTTCTAAACCAAAACTTTGACTCTATTGCTTCTCCAGTTGCTAATTAAATTAAAGTCGAATACCCAGAACAATGCTTCCAGGATTCCCTCAATCCTGGAAAAAAGATTAACATTAACTTAAAATGCAGAGCAGCATTAATTTTATTCATTAGGCCTAAATAATGCTCTTATTAATTTATCATTCCCCTTTAGAAGGAGGGGTCTAAAAGTTCTATTGTTAAATGATAAGGATTTTTTCATTAAAATTTTTTATTCCATTTAAATTCTCTATTGACATGATAGTAATACGTTTTGATTTTTGTTTTTGTTTTTGTTTTTTTGAGATGGAGTCTCGCTCTGTCTCTCAGGCTGGAGTGCAGTGGTGCTATGTCGGCTCACTGCAACCTCTGCCTCCCGGGTTCAAGCGATTCTCCTACCTCAGCCTCCCGGGTAGCTGGGATTACAGGCACGTGCCACGACACCCAGCTAGTTTTTATATTTTTAGTAGAGACAGGGTTTCACTATGTTGGCCAGGCTGGTCTCAAACTCCTGACCTCAGGTGATCCACCCATGTCAGCCTCCCAAAGTGCTGGGATTGCAGGCATGAGCCACCATGCCTGGCCAATAGTAGTAAGATTTTAAACAGGACTTCTTAAAATTTTATATACACAAAAACCACCTGGGGATACTGTTGAAATGCAAATACTGATTCAGAAGGTCCAGAGTTGGGCCTGAGATTGCGCATTCTTAATAAGTGCCGGGTGGTTTCTAGACAACATTTTGAACAAGATTTTAAAGTATCTAAGCATGTATTGCAAAGCTTCACCAACAGTATTATTTTTCTGTGACCCACAATGGCTTCCCAAAGTGTGCTCGCCTGAGTTCTCCTTCTGATGCCAAGTTCAGCATTACTCACTCTTTTCTTACTTATATTAGAGGTTGCTAATCCAGAAGAATGTATCAATAAACCTTCCTATGGACTTGGAACTGATCTAGTTCTAACTTTTCTCCAGGTGTGTGTTTGTACAGACCTTAAAAATATTCTAGCGGTGTGTAGAAAACTAAAGCATGCTTTAGACACATATTTTGTGCATTTAAAAGGGTTTCATGTGACTTACTCCTGGGATCTCATCCCAAACTGCCTATACTGTTTCCCTAATCCCAAGCATCACACAACTAAAAGAGGCTTGTGAATTCCTCTATACCAGAGACACTAAGCCAAGGCCAATCCATTGTCTTTCAACTTCTCCTTGCACCAAGCACACATCCCTTGAGCTAGAACGAAAATTGTACATCTCAAAGGGATAAATAAATGTTTGCTGAAGGAGATTGAATGAGAGGGGCAGAAAGTTGAGGCCCCTTGTACCACTAACAGAATTGTAAGTACTTTTAATTGGGCAGGAAGTGGGTTAGAATGATTAGCCCCATAGTGATTTAGCCATAAATGATCTGTACAGACATAAAACAGGCTGAATGGGTCATATGACATTTGGATATATTAGGTCCCTACAGAGATGGTAGGGAAATGGTGCCAAACTGCCCAGATGCGTACACTAATCATTGAATGCCAGAGAGACTACGTGGGCCAGAGATGTGGAACAATGGTTACATGCCCTCTACTAGGTGTACACACTACACACATGCCACACCTGTGCCATCAAACCCTGGTCACCTACTGGACAATATCCACAAAGTAGATTTCATTCAAGACAGACCTAGGGGACCAGCTCAGGTTCAGAAATGCCCCAGAGGTGTTTTTACTTGTTGAGATGTTGAATTCATATGTCCAGAATGCAGATGCAGTAGAGTGCTGCTTAGGATGACTTTCAAGAGTCTGGCACTGTCAGAGGCAAATCCCATAAAATATCCCATTATTGGAAGAAACTAAAAGTGTATCAGTGTGGCTCATTTTTCACAAGTCTCTCTTAGACTAAGCTTGTACATATTCATTCAGAGACAATTATGAGCATCCTTTGAAATGTTTAAAGACCCAGATTTCTGAAATTTGGAAGACACTGCACTGGGGATAAGAATTAATATATAGGACTCTATACTAGAAACTCAAAATCTTAGACTTGGAAGCAACATTAGAGGTCATTAGTCCAAACTGCCACTCAAAGCTGGAATCCTCTTTGCTACATTCTTTGGCAGATGGTCACCCAGCCTCTGCTTGAACATTTCCAGAAGTCTTCACCTTCTTCCACCTTGATAAAGAAAATTTCTCAGCTGCCCCAAAGTCTTCTGTGTCTGAAGTCAACAGCCCCATTCTCCTAACTTTTCTTCCCATGACCAATCCTTACCCACCTAAATGAGTAGCAAATTGTCAAGATCCTTGTAAAAATGTGACCTCCAGGACTGAGCATGGTACTCATATGACCTGACTAGTACAGATGCAGCACAACTAATATCTATATAGGCTGGGTTGTTTTTTAAATTCATGTAGCATAAAAGTGTACAGTTTTCCACCAGCCATGACACTTCTGAATTTTACAAAGTTTATAGAAAACTGAAAGCCCATAGCATTTTCACATGAAAAATGGTAAAACTCTTTCTTACTCTCTATTGGATGATGAATTTTCCTTTTAAACCTAAATTCAGAATGTGACATATATCTCTTTAAAGAGGCCAGCTCATTAACTTTGGTCTGTTGTTCTGGTTGAAAAGAATTTTTTTTTAGCTACTCATCTCAGTTGTGTGCCAACCATAGATTACATAAAATAATCTCTTTTGTGTCTTTAATCAAATCACTGATGAAAATGTTGATCAGACCAACCTCGAGTCTTTCACATATCTCTTTATATTGGCATTAATATACTAGTTTCTATAGACCTACTAGAGAGCCCAGCACATAAGAAGTGCTCAATAAATGTTTGTTGAGTTAAATGTATAGGTTTTCACCATGTATGAATCTTTCAACTAGAATCTTATGTAGCTTACATTATTCTATGTTTCCCGTAGCAAATAACCAAAAATTATCAAATGCTTTGCTAAAATAGTCATATAGTAGAAATGAGCACTAGATTAAGCCAATAAAACCCACATTCTGAATCTTATGTAGCTTACATTATTCTATCTTTCCCATAGCACATCACCAAAAATTATCAAATGCTTTGCTAAAATAAAGTAGTCATATAGTAGAAATGAGCACTAGATTGAACCAATAAAACCCACATTCCAGTGGTTGCTTGCTGAGGGCCTCAGATAACCTCTTTTATTGTCCTTATTTCACCTTTGTTTGAAAAACGGGAATCATTAGTACCGGCTCTGAAACTCATACAATTATTATAAGGATCAAGTGTGACAACATATGTGAAGATAGTTTATAAATTATTTGTAGTACGATGGTTCTTCTATGAGTTAAAATTATGCCTGTACCTTTAGTTGTGGGATTTAGTGTCTTCAGACAGTAGCAAGTGTCCCTGCCTCCTTTGTTACCAATCTTGCTTTAGCTTTTGAAACTTTGACTACAGGAAACTATGTAGAGGTTTTAATTTGCATTTACTCAAAATATGCAACACTGTCTAATAGGATTAGAATGAAAACATTTTCATCTTTCTCACTATTTAAATCTTTTAAAATAACTTTGGCTAGATTTTTTTTAACCAACAAAACCTCCTGTTTGTTTTAAAAAGAATGGGGAAGTATAAATCCTGTAAAATGTGAATAGATGAGTAGGCTTTTATAAACCCTTCCCGTGCTGACTACAACTAAAAACAAAAACATAAAAACTTCATTTGTATGATTTTATCACTCAAAAGTTGTGGAGAGTTTTAATGACAGTACATTAATTCTTAATATAGATTCTATTGGAGGCCTATAATAACCAAAATGGTATCAATGTGTGCGTTCTTTCCCCTAAAAGAATAAATGTCTTTATGAAGTGAAACATAACAGAATGACTCCATATTTCCTCAGGCCTAGATTGGATAATTTTATTTATGAACTATAATATAAATTATTGGAATGTCTTAGGGTCTTCAATGGGTAGATTTAATGTAATATTGCCATTAAGAAAAAACAATTTTGAACTTCCCTGATGCGCTGAAATTGGGGAAGCCAAATTGCTTTTAATAGACTTGATCTTAATATATGTAAAGATGGTGATATACCTGAGCTCAAACTGGGCAACTACTCAGAAAGGTCGAATTCAAGGCAAAATTTGAAAAGGAAACCATGATTTTATCACCAGTTTTATATTAATCCCAGAGATCTGAGCAGAAAACTTCATTTATTCACTCAAAGCTAATTAAACCTAACTACTGGCTGCAATCTAAACTACACACTTAAGAGTAGACTAGGAAAGTTTTCAAATAGTTCCACAAGTTTTAACAAAATGACTCATAAAATTGTAACAGATCTGTTCCACAATGTGTATATGTCCTGACATATAGAAAATGGAATTTCTACTGGATTCAATACAGAATGTGTCCATATAATGCTTTGCTGTTTAGGGGAATGCTAATTGCAATTCTCATATCTTTTCACCAATCCAAAGAGCTGTTAGAAACTGTAAATTTTAGTGTTTCACACAGGTAGGTTATCATAACAAATCATCTAGCCAGGAGATGCTGAACTTTTATGTAACTTTTCCTACACAGGAAGAATAGCTCGTAGATCATAGCTTCAGCAGCTTAGAAAAGAGCAATTATAGAGGGAATACATGTGTATATTTAGCCCTACGTTTAGTTCTATCAAGGCAGCTCTTAAGAGACTCTAGAAGTTTTTAAAATTATCTTATTTAAAAGAATTCAGGGTCATAAAAGCTTTGGGCAAGGTCCTTATGGGCCCATTTTCATGAAAAAAACAAGAGGCTGTGCTCGGTTAGTAAAGAAGAAATGATATTATTCCCAGAAGCTCCACCATGCATCCCTTCTGTCTCACCTCCCAACCACAAAAATTAAAATTCAATTTTGGCAAATTTTTATGGAAACCTACAGTACGCCTGGAACTATTGTATACACTCTGTAGTAAAGAACAAGATAGACAAGATTCCTCATCTTCATGGAGCCAACTTTCTATTAGAGCAGGCAGGTGGGACACATGAGAACAGAAAATGAGAAAAAGAAAAGAAAATGTTCAAGAGTAATAAAGATTTTGAAGAAAATAAAATAGGTAGAATACCTGGACAGTTCCTGTAGATTAGGCAGGTGGTTAGAAAATTCTGCAAGAGGTATGGCATCTCTATCCTGAAGACAGAGTGATATTTTGGAAATGCAGTTGGTTAATGTCACTCCCACCCTGAATTGAAACACTCAAATGGCTCCTACAGTCTTTTACATGACTTGCCTGCCCTGCAAGATCTGGCTGAATCTACCTCTCCCATCTCATTTAGTACCCTTCCCCAGCTTGCTGGTATCACCTTATTCAGTATTCAGTTCTAGGTGCTTCTTCAAGATCATAACCACAGTTGAATTTTTCATGTATGTGATTCTTCGACTGGTGTCTAAGTCAACTACTAGACTGGGAACTCCATGAAGACAGGGACCACATCTGGCTTTGATCACCACTGTATCCCTAACACCTGGTGCAACATCTGGGTCACAATAGATGCTAAATGCATGCTTTGTAACTTGTGAATGCATAAAAGAGTCAAAGAGGGAGTTGAGATGTCATGGCACAGCATTTCCAAAAACCAGTCTGCTCTAGGATTATACAGTCTAGTAATTCTTTTCAAGAATCATTTTTAGAAAGGCTTATTGCTCACACAGTTATGGTATATTGAGTGCCTATTGTACAAGGACTTATATTAGATACTTTAGGAAATAAAAAGATGAAAATACATGGCCTCTGTCACTATAGAATTTATATCTTTAGTCTCTTCATAAGTGAGAAAACCTTAAGGTAGACTTTAGCAAATATTCATTTATTTGTCCAACCAATAAATGTGCCAGACACTGCTCTGGGGATGTCATGGTGAGTCTCTGACTTCACAAAGTTGTATTCTAATGGGGAAACCAGAATTGTTCAAATACTCACACAAATATGTAACTGCAACACTGATCTGTGTTATGAAGGAACACACTACTATGAGAATATATAGGAGGGGTTGGAAGTAGGGGCTCTGATCGATTTGGTTAGCTAGGAGACTTGAAGTCCAGGGAAGGGTTCTGACAGAGAGTATTCTAGGAGGAAATGGAAGTGAACTGGACCTTTGAAGAGATCTGTGAGGCCAGGACAGAGAGCAGAGGAATGTGGTGTATTAATCCATTTTCACAATGCTGATAAAGACATACCCAAGATTGAGCAGGCCTCACAATCATGGCGGATGGCAAGGAGGAACAAGTCACATCTTACGTGGATGGTGGCAGGCAAGGAGAGGGCTTGTACAGAGAAACTCCCAGTTTTAAAACATCACATCTCATGAGACCCATTCACTATCACGAGAACAGCACAGGAAAGACCCGTCCCCATGAGTCAGTCATCTTCCACGGGGTTCCTCCCACCACAGGTGGGAATTATGGGAGCTACAAGATGAGATTTGGGTGGGGTCATGGAGCCAAACCATATCATGCAGTTAGAAAATATTTGACCTTTTACTTTAAAGAGTAGGTAAACGTGTTTAAACAGATAATTTTGCATAAAGCTGGAAGGGCAGGCCAGGGAAACAGCAAGAACCAGATTTAACAGTAATAGAATTGGGGGCACCCTGGAGGGTTTGCAGGGGTCTAGATTGGTTTGAGGATTACAAGTCTGAAGGAGGCTAGGGGGAAATAAGGGCAGAAGTAGAGGCTGAAGAAGATTGTGCAGGACTGTAAATGCTCGGGGAAGGATGTGGGGCTTGCTTTAGGAGGAGGTGTCCAGCCACTCACCTCTTCCATTTCCTTCTTTCACACCTCTCTATGGTCAGTGTCAGAGAAAGGCATGGCTCTGGACCACATCCCATGCACCTCCTCAAGCACATCACTCTTTTCATGCTCTGCTCTTTTCCCAATATCAGCATCCTCTTTCTTGCTCTTGTTTATTTCACTTCTACTCAGTTCTTTTCTGATCAGGGGAACACTTGATTCTGTATCCTTCTTTACCTTGCACCACGTTGGCTCCCTTTATCTCAACAGACAAGCTCCTTCAAACAGTATTCTGCATGGCCTCTCTGCACTTCCCCAATTGCCCAGTATGTCTCCAGTCCACTGCTCCTTTAAACTGCCCTTGCCCAGGTCACCCATGGCCTACCTCTGTGTTGCTCAGCAGACACTTTTCAGCTCTTATTTTACTTTACCTCTCTATGAGTAATTGATGCTGCTGATTCCCCCCTCCTCCTGGAAAATCCCTCTTTAGTTTCCAGAACCACATCATTTTTTCTCAGCCATCATCATGGAATCCTTTCTCCTACACTGTATTATACAGCATTACCTGGAAGCAGACTCTGAGGTGGAGAGCTTCCTGCAAAAATGTTTGTTGCAGAGTGCCCTTGAGAGATACACCCGTAAGGAAGGCAGGAGCAGTAGGTGGAGGGAAAAGTTGACCCACCATAAAGTTGTAGCCAACCCTAACAGACACTCTAGAGCTAAAACAACCCTTCAGAACTGTCTCAAATTGAAGCCAGGGTGGCTCAGCCTTGTTATCTGAGCATCAGCCAGTCATTGGCTGTGGGTCACCATCTAGGATGGTTGTAATCTTGGACAAGGCAATTCTCGGTGGCTAAGAGGGATTCACATGGAGGGGGACACTCTGCGCATCAAAACTGAACTCACTATCTCCACTCCAACCCTCTTGCAAATCCACTGCTTATCTTCATTTCCCAACTTCCTCAATAGCAGCAACAGCATCCACCTACCTAGGCTGCCAGAGCAGTCTTCTCTCCATGTCCCGTGTCCAAATAGTCACCATGGCCTGTAAATTTTACATCATTCATATATCTTGTATTCAATCCCTTTGCTCCATCCCCAGTGCTGCTAGTTTTGTTCAGAGTCTGATTTGTCCCTCCAGTTTCTTCCAATGAGACCCCTTCTTCTAGTCATGACAGACTGCAGTCTATTACTCTGTTTTGCACAATGCTTAAAATCCTTAACTGCCTTCTCACTGCTACAGGGCCAAGTCTGAACTCCTTAGGATGTCACAGAAGTTGTCTACTGACCTGCCTTCCTAACCACCCCCACCACCTCCCTTTCTGAATTCTTTTTGAACTTGCTTCTAGCTAACTGGCTTTCTAGGGTCTGAGTTACAGAGATAACTTTTGAGAGTTAAAGAAAGCTACCCACAATACTAGATCATATTATATTTGGCAGTGATTTCTTCTCAGTGACAAACAAAGCTCTTGACCCAGAACAGTGATAAGCAAGGCATTTCATTAAATACCAGTATTAACCCCAGGAGATCACATGACCTTTTGAGCTTCCCAGCTTTGGCAAGAACACAGCCCCTGCCTGCTAGCTGGGCTAATCTGAGACTGAAAGTTGCCACTAAATCCTGATTAAGCATGACTTATGCCCCCAGCTGTTAACACTGATACACTCGCAGTGCCAAGACCAGGCGCCATTCCCCGGGCACTTATACACCCCTGTCTGCTAATGCCCGCTGCTGTTGCTGCCTGCTGGAACGGGAAGGAGAGGATCAAGGTCACTCTTGAGTCAGTGAGGAGCCAGGGAACTTTTGTTAACGCGTGCTTGATGGTGGTATGCTGGGTTTTGTTTATTCTCTGCATCAGGCCAGATAACATCAAGCAGAATCTAAAGTCTCTTCATTGGCGTTATGTGACCTGAAAGCATTTACTGCACGTTTCTAGTCTTAATCATAGGAAGAGAAAGGAGGGGGAGAGATGGAGAAAAAAAAAAAGGATAGGAATGATAAGAGAAATAGAGGGAGAGAAAGACTATCAACAGAACTTGTTATTTTTGAAAAATAACTTCTGGTGAAAATGGAGCTCCTCTCTGGAAAACACAGGCCAGTTTTGCTTTCAGAGTAGGGAGCTCGCCTTTTGATCTTTTGCTAGGAACCCAACACCGTCAGGGCAGCCACCCCCACGGACAGCTGAAGGCGGCCTCCCAGCCCCTCGGGTGGCCAGGGATGTTTTTGCTTTGGTGTCAGCAGGACCTGACGGCAGTATTTTGGAACCAAGGCTGGCTTCCTCCTCTCTCCGGCCCCATCCCCTTGCTCGGGTTTCAAGCGTGTCCCTTCCCGCACTGCCCTCTTGCATTCGCTTTCTTCTCGAGCTCGTGAATGTTACCCTAGAGGGGGCTGCAGCACCGCAGGCTTCCTCCTCGCCGCCACCATTTGCTGTTGTTGGCTGCGGCTCCGGGTGCCCGGCGCCAACTCCTCCGCAGCTAGTGAGGACCCTGCACTCAGCTTACCCAAACAGACGAGCCGGCGCAGAGTCTGCACACGCCGGGCAGCCCCTCTCGCTCACCCTCACAATTCTGAAAATGGAGAGGCTCATTGCACCACGTGCATTTCCCCAAGTGTGCACGGTCCACTACACCCAGGCACATGCAGCCTCGATTCACACCGGCTTAGCTCCAGTCCCGAGCCTTTGTCCCCCACCCGCATTTATGCACACTCCCCTGCTGCCAGTGATGGGTTGTTGACAGGTTTTTTTTTTTTTCTTTTTTCCTTTCCTTTTATTTTCAAAGTATCCATATTGGTTTCCTGCAAAATTCCTTTGGAGGCTTCCTGGACGTTGCATTCCGAAAGCATCTTACGGAACATGGTGTCGTCTTCACTACGTCATGACCGCCCTGCCAGGGACTTGTGTGTCCTGCATTGGCAAATTCCAAGTCCCTCATCATGGTCTAGAAACAAATCACCCCCGGTTCCTATGTCTTCATTTTCCTTTCATGTGTTCCAGTAAGGCATTAAAGAACAGATAACACTGTAACACTGAATTTGCTCATTGTTATTCCTTACTGAGGACACCCAGTTTGGGGGAATATATGGAAGATATCAGTAAATGACAAACATCTTTATAATAGCTTTGTTTTGTTTTGGACGGAGTCTGGCTCTGCCGCCCAGGCTGGAATGCAGTGGCGCAATCTTATCTCACTGCAATCTCTACCTCCCTGGTTCAAGCAATTCTCCTGCCTCAGCCTCCCGAGTAGCTGGGATTACAGGTGCGCGCCACCACACCCAGCTAATTTTTGTATTTTTAGTAGAGACGGGATTTCACCATGTTCGCCAGGATGGTCTCGATCTCCTGACCTCGTGATCTGCCTGCCTCGGTCTCCCAAAGTGCTGGGATTACAGGCATGAGCCACTGCTCCTGGCTTATAATAACTTTTTTAAAAAATGAAGACTTAAAATTGTATTTTGTTCACTGCTGTATTCTCAGACTCTAATGTAGTGCCTGGCTCTTGAATGCTTTATCAGTACTTATTGGAGGAATGTCAGGCAAGTTTCTAGGCACTTTATATTATTATCCCATTTCATCTTCATACAGCCGTTTGATAGATGACAAAAGGATAATTTGTGTGTCCAAGGTCATATAATCAGAAAGTGGTTGACTCCTGATTCCTCGTGTGGTCTGAGCCTAAGTTTTTAATCTATAGTACACTACTTCACACCATCCAGTAACTTACTATGTGTATTCAATTTTAAATTTGTACTCAATTTTAAATCTTCCTCAAACACCCTGAGATATGCTCACTGTGGTGCTAGCTAGCTAACCACTGCAGACCCTGCTTAAAATTCTCTTAAAATGTATTTATTATGTTTTTGGTAATATTCTCAGGTAGACTTCCTTGCATTATTCTTCTTGATTATGCTTTTACACATACAGGAGTTCTGCTATGGTACAATATGCATTTCTGGAAAACACCTTGCATCCTGGGAAACACACACTAGAACCAGACTCATGAGAAAATTAGATCGAGGTAGACCCCTCAGTACCCATGCAACTTTGTGAACAGAACACCCACAAAAACAATAACAAATCTGTAAAATCACTAGTACAGTTTAAAAGATGTGTTAGGTTTCTATAAATACTACTATAAATATAGGACTCTATCTTAAAACGTAAAAGTTTAATGACAGGGGAGATAAGGACCCATCCTGCTCATTCAATAAGCACAAGACACTGCAATCAGCATCTAGGATGCTGTAATTGGCCTAACAGTCCTACTTTATGAAAAGTATTTTAGGTTAAATTTTTAGGTAAATAAAAACAACACTTTATTTTAGTAAACACTAGACTTTATCAGATGTATAATATATATATATTATATATATCTTTAATTCAAAGTCAAATACTTCTTTTTTATAAGTAGGCTTTCCTAAAAATTACCGCAATTTTAATATGATGCATCATTTTGAAGAGATGGTCATATTTAAGGGCCATTTACTTTTTCCAGTAATTATTACTGACATATGAAAGTGGAAGAGGGGAAAATCAAGAGCTTTATTTTTACTTACCAGACTACCAGGAATTTCTTAACTTCAAAATCTATTTGGTTGAGCTATTAATATTTTAGCAAATAGGTTAATCTTTTTCTTAACACCATTTGTAGACCCATATTAGCGGCTCATCCAAACAAAGAACAACAATTTATGACAGGCAAAAGAGAAGAAAATGTTGGAATATTATTTAGCCATAAAAAGGAATGAAGCACTGATTTATGTCACAACATAGATGAACCCTGAAAACATTATGCTATGTGAAAGAAGCCGGACATAAAAGGGCCCATATAATATTATTCCATTTGTAGTTAATGTTCAAAACAGTCAAACCCATAAGATACAAAAAGTAGATTAGTAGCTATCAGGGGCTGGGAGTGGGGAGAGGAATGGGGTTTCTTTTGGGGGTAATAAGAATGTTATGGAATTAGTAATGATGGTTGTACAATCTTATACAGTCAAAACCACTGCATTGTACACTTTAATTCACTCACAAAAAAGTGAATTTTATGGAATGTGAAATTGTATCTCAATTTTTAAAAAGGAAAGAAAATACTGACTCCATTCATTCTTCTAATAGCTGGCCCTCTTTGGGGAAATCCAGACTACTGAGAGGTTTGTGTGGGCTGGTAAATATTAGTTCTTAGTCACAAGGCTGCTATACATGTCTCACTTCTAATCAGTTTTAAAATAAGACAGGATTTCAGATCCAGTGCTTTTTTTCTGTTGGGGATAGAAAGGAAGATCTGGGAAATTCACCCTGGACTGCCACGGGAAGGAAAAGAATTCACTACAGAAAATACAAACAAAGCTAAAGCCTCATGTGTAATGTCAGAAGATGAAGAATGGCATGATGCCTCTTCAAAGACCTGCTGAGTTTGTAAAAGGAATCCATTTTTTTTTCTATAATAGGAGATGCTAAGAAGACAAAAACCTTAAATATGTGTGTCCCAGGAGGCAGAGAATGTAATGCTCTCAGCCTGGGAGGGATAACATTTTGAAATACAGTTTCTCCAAATGGTTGAGAGAATACAGTTTTGATCTATATTACCTGGAACAAAAGGTCCTCAGTTCAATTTTTAACTAAGTTTTGGTGCTGCACAAGTGTGCAGACATTTAAAAGGCAAAATATATGTTGTAATAATAATAATTTTTAATGCCAAATGAAAACCCAAATCCACTAAATGGCTACTTTGGGATGGCTGGATGATAATGGTTATTATTCTAACACACCTAACAATTGTGAATAAAGTTTTGGCTATAGAAGAGCAGGTGGCTTTTTGTTATTACCTTGTGTATTAAAAGTTTCCTGTCCTTTAACACTCTCCATAGATGAAATTCAAAATATCTTCTGAAGACAAACGAGAGCTTTATTCTAAAAGAGCCATTGTATCAAAGAGTTTGGTTTAAACTTTAAAGGGAATGTTATACATCAAAGTAACTTAGGATGTGTGATAAGTGTATATTTTTATCTACATAGCAGACTCCAATCTTCTATTTTCCTGTAGTGAGATTTCCAAAGTTTGAGGAAAATTTCAGAGAAAGAGAGAAAAAAGAAAACAACTTTCATTCTCTAACATTTTGCCAGGTGTTTATTAAGAGGATTGATGTGGACTTGTAAAGGTTAAGTCGTATCTTCTATGCAGACTTTCAAAGGGAGTTATTAAAATTCAAAGCTGGGAGGCACTGGCTTTTCAAATGACTCTGCAAACAAGCAGTTCAGTTGGATGTATAGTTTTCTGTCTTCAAAAAGAAGGAAAAAAAATCATGGGTCCTCAATTTAGTTGTATATTTCTTTAATATTTATTGAGTCTCTCAAATGTGCTAGATATTTGCTTTTATAGTCTCAGATGATATTGACTACAGGATTTCACAATTAGTTGAGTAACATACCTTTAGCTGCTATGATAAGGAGAAGAACCTTACAGATTTTTCTTTTATCTTTAAACGTTTTAAGAAGACGGAGCTCCTGACAGCTGGCTTTGCTGTCATGCATAGACTGGGTGGTAAAAGGGAGCGCCACCTAGTGGCCTGCAAGTCATTTGGTCGGTGCTGCCCTCCAAGGGAGAGCAGGGCTAAGGAAAAGCAAATAGGATTTAAACTTCTCAGCCTTCTACGACCTGCCACAAACCAGCACAGTACCTGGTTTTATAGAACAGAGTGATGGTTCCGGCTCCTTCCATGCCAGCCCCTCCCTAGTCAGGACTGGTGTTAAACTTTGTCTTTACAAGCCTGTGCTTGCAATTTCTAGCTTTGCCATTGCCACTGACATCTGCTTAAAATGAAGGCTTTGGGGGCCTGGATATACCTCTCTCCAAATGGCCAGTCATAGAAGGCTTTGAAAATCTGGCCTTTGATGTATTTTATAGGGATAAGGAGCCATATATTAAAGTGAGCTCTGCTGCACACTCTAGGCCACATAACTGGGTCAATACTAAAGTTGTAATTTCATCTTCAGTTTTTGAGAAGCTTAACTGTTCTAGCTTTCCTGTTGCTGATGACATCATAGGAAGTCACTGATGAGCTGACAACCTTTTATGATCTAGCTGAGGATACATTACTTTTTGTCTTTCTCCTTCAGTGTATAATGAATACCATTGCTTACATAAATGTTAAAGAATTATCTGCAGGAGAAAACTGAACCTTCTCAGTAAGCCAGCAGTAGATTAAAAGGCAAAGTTAGTGAGGTATTCTTCTCAGGGTTTTATCTTTTGCTCTTTAGTAAGCCATGGGAGTTATAGGTATAGAACTCATTCAGTGTTGGAAGACAGAGAGTGGAGGAGTGTTTCTAAGAAAATGAATATGTGGAGATTATAAGAAAGAAAATGACTTCATAAATCAGTTCAGGGTGAATGAAAGTTTGGATACTTTGCAGTCCTTTTTCAGCCTAGGTGTGTACTGTACTGACTTTTAGTTTCTCCCCAAAGATATGGAGAAATCTGCTGTATATTTGTGGCCCAACTCATGAATTCAGTGTACATGGATTATAGCTCTGTTAAAACGATCTTAGAAAAGCTAGGACTTTCTCTGTACATAGACTATAATATTGTCAACATGCATTTGAATAGATTGTCTGTATAGGCCACAACAGAAATGGACCTAAACCATAAAGTAGTAAACCATTTTTTTATTAATTGGTGAAATTGTGAAGTATAAGTACCTGTGATGGAGATGATCTTGTGTTCTAATGACATAGATGTAGATTATGTTCACATTTAAGTAAGAGGAACAACTATGTTACTAGCATTTACTATAGAAATGATATTGTTTTTGTGAGGATGTGTCAGAAGTTATTTTACTTGGGGATAAAATAGACTAAATAATGCTTGCAGGGTTTACCATGATGTCTAGCATGTGTGACGATGGCTTCATGGTTTTAGAGAATTCTTAGAATCTTTATTTTTTTAGTTTTTGCAGTGAATGAGAAAAGAAAAAATTATTGAGAAACTACTAAGGGTGAGGCATTGTGCTGGGTGCTTGGCAAATGCCATCTTATTTAATCCTCACATTGATCTTTTGAGCTAATGGGTAATATATTCCTTTTATGGATGAGGCCATTGGAGCTCAGAGAGACTAAATAACTTGCCTAAGTTTGTTACTAAATGGTGGATATGGGATTTGAATTTAGGTCTTTCTGATTCCAAAATTCATGGTTCTCCAATGTTGACTTACATGTGAACAAAGAGAAAAATGGGTATTACGTATATGTAACATTTCACTAGACTCTACTATTTTGAATTTTAGCCTATAAGGATAAAAACATAAGGCTTGAAGATTGGCCTCAAGCAGATCCTCAGTATTTCACCTGTGCACACATTAGTTTCTATTGTAAGAATATTCTACTCCTTGAGAACAGGTTTATGTCTTTTGCTTTACCTTAAACAATTGGTAAAGGGAAAACAGATGCAGATAATAATAGTAGTACGAGTTAAGGCCAAAGGGATGGCACACAGGCAGGAGGGTATGGCAACATCCTTAAAACTTTTGTTCAAGTGCAGAAATGCCATATTTAATGTCTTTCCTCCTATTTATTAAAAGACATATGTCTATGTATCTTACCAAGAGACTAATAATATCAGCAACAGCTAACACTGTTGAGCACTTAATCTGATCCAGGCCCTTTTCTAAGTATTTAGCATGCCTTCTTAGGCACTACGATTACCCTCATTTCACAGGTGAGAAAACTGAAAGTCAGAGAGTTTAGGTAACTTATTTGCCTAAGGTCAAATAGAATGTTATAGATTCAGGATTCAAACCCAGTCAGTTGAACTCCAAAGCTCAAGTTCTTAAACACTGTGATATTCTTCAGTACAATAAATGTACACATTAACTTACCTTGCTGGGGATGTTTCCTCCTCAAGAAGTCTGAAATTCTTCTCGATTGTTCTGACAGTGATAACCAGTTTCTCTCTTCAGTATCTGTTTTGCCACCGCTAAAAGTACAGCCTTTGATTTGAGAGCTAAACAATCTGTCACCACCA
The DNA here is from genome assembly GCF_000001405.40 of Homo sapiens. NCBI lineage: Eukaryota > Metazoa > Chordata > Mammalia > Primates > Hominidae > Homo > Homo sapiens. The sequence goes on from NC_000009.12 coordinate 18,445,270, forward strand.
TTAAGCATCAAATATATGTTTTATCCTTGGGGAAAAATTAAGATCATGGATAATGAACTCTTTGACTTTGTTTGTTTAATGCAAAAATAAATTGAACCTTGAACTTGATAAGACAAAATCTTTAGAGTTCACCTACATTCCTACATACAAAATGATACCCTTGTGGTACATCTTTTAATCACAGTATATTTAAGAGTTCTTCAATATCCCATATTTACAAAACAGGTAGTTAATAGTAATATTTGGTATCTATATTATTCTGTGGTTTCAAAATTTTGTCATTCCATTTTATTGATGGGTAAACTGAAGACTTAAAAATATTGTGATAAACAAAGAGTTTACCAAATGTACACCAAAAAAGAAAATACTAACCAAGACTCATATACAAAATGCTGAAAGTATTTGATTCCCTACTTGACTGGAGACATCTTGAAAAATTTTTTTATCATCAGTTGAATTTTTATAAAACATTTTTAGTTTACCTTTACTTGAATGTATTTAGAAAATCCAATATTTTTTAAAACCTACATTTAATCTTTGTCATGTGAAAAAAGTACAATTATCAGAATAATCAGAATAATATACTAAGAATTATAAGGAGCTAGTAGTGACTATATGCACAATACTGTATCAAATATTTGTAAACATTTTTATATTTAATCCTTATAGTTACCCTATCATGTAGGTATTCATCCCCCTATTTTATAGAATAAACTGTGGTTCATGAAGATTAGTAACCTGCTTAAGACAATATAACCAGGAAGCGATGGACCCAGAGTTTGATTCCAGATTTCATCCCAGAACCCAAGATTTCTTCCTGTATTGAACAACATTTACATTAGCTCAATTGTGCGATTACCTCTAGCAGAAAGGTAGAGGTATAAATGTCTTACAGAGCAGGAAAAGGAAAAAAGAAACTCCACAGTGATCTTTTAGGATTGACGTTCCAGAAACTCTATATATGGGCTTAAGTCTAAGATGAAAACTAAATCTCACTCCCAAATTCTCTGTAGGAAGATATGCCTGGGGGAAAAAAATGTTGACATAAATATTAGTCTAGATTCGTGCTGGTATACTTGGTTTTCTGAAAGCATTTAAAGGCATGAACTAAAAATGTTCTGCTACTCTAAATTTGTTTTTGTTTCTTTAAAATGCAAAAATAAGCAAGTATGGGTTTTATTGATTTTAAAATCAATTAGAATTCTACCAGATTATAAAAAGTATCACAAAATGTCAACCAGCAAGGATGCCTGTGCAGGCAATTGGGCTGACATGTTTATTGTAATGTGAACGTGCAGAAACTGGACCATACAAAAGGCCAAATGGGTCCATTCCAAATCAATCTTTTAAAGCAACTTGAGGGAAACAAGGCATATTGGTCCTAGAACAAAATAGAATCAGCAAAGCCTTTGACGTAGATCTTCATACAGATAAAATGCATCTGGGTGCAAACACGTTTTTCTCAACATGTTCTTACCTATGTCATCTAAAAAATAGTATTCTTGAACTTTCGGGTAATAGTGCTTGTCTTAGAACAGAATTAGGCCTACCTTGGACCATATCCAAAGAGAAGGTTTGGTTCCAAAAGTACCTTGAAAGGAGTTCATTGTAACGTGATTTCCTATAAAGGCAGTCAGAAGTGTGGACTGAAGACAGTTTTGAGGGATAAAACTTGCTTTAAAATTTCAAATTAACATGAACATTTTTTTTTTTAAACAAAACTTTCCTTGTGCTGGAAGGGGAGGTGAGACAATCACAAAATGTGGGTCACACAATCACTATGTGGGTTGTTTACATAGTTTTTGACTAGTTTGGAACAGTGGTAGCAGAGAGTGTTTTGAACTCTGTTTACCACAAGTAACAAAATCAAAATAAATATTCAGCTGGCTTCATAATGAAGCAAATATTTTCTGTATTATATAGTAATGAAAGTCAGTGTGCATGGTAAATAAAGGTTGCTCAAGGGCTCCGTGAGAAAAAGCCAAATGCCGAATGACAGCCAGAATTCTACTACAGAGCAAAGAGAGCCTGGAAATGTGTCACAATCCCTGAAGCTGAATGTTGTGCCGTGTTTGGTTTGGTGCTTGCTTTATTTTGTAGAAAGGGGAAAGTGTTCAGTGCCGGTAGGACTGGCTTCATGCCCTTGGTGTCATTACTCATTGAAATAATGGGGAAAATGAGAGCCAAACCTGTGGGGAAGAGGGAGGGAGGGAGACTTCACAAATACCTCAGTTCAGTATTTAAAAGGAAGGGACAAAAATAGAACCACTAAAAGAAAGTAAAGCAATGACATTGTCCTGGATGGGGGAATCAGGCTGTTAGAGGCACCTGATGCAAAACAAAATGTCTCGCAATTATAAGTGTGTGTTTGGAGGCTTAGCAGGACATACACTGCTAAAGAGTCCTCAGGGAGCTCTTTGCTAGACCCTTTCTGAATGTCTATTGCTGTTCATTCTTTCTTGAAATAGAGTACCTTCCTCCGGAGAGTCTCATAAGCCTCTCTGCCAAATGAGTTTGCTTCCTTTCTCTATATGCATGCCCCTCAGGGGCCTGGTGACAGTAGCTCTTTGAATGCAGAAGAGCCCAAACTTTGATGTATAAAAAATTGCAGGTGTCGAGCACACATGGTTGTGCATTTGTGGGATGTGAGCAATTTGGTTTGGTTTATGGGTTTCAGTCCAAAGCTTTGAAAACTTTGGAAAACACTTTTCAAGACCACCAAAACAAGAGATTTGTGTGCGTGCTCGCTCTCGCTCTTTCTCTCTCTCTCTCTCTCTCTCTGCCATAAAGTATTTGCCCAGAAAACAAGAGAAAACAAAAATCAATTAATAAACAAAACCCCAAGCCTCAGTAATAAATTCTTTTATACACTTAGGAATACCCAGTTAAGAACCACTCTGGGTATTTTGTTCTTTTATGATGATTTTGTTGAGCTGCTCAGGAAGAATGTTAAGGAGGAGGCTTGGAGAAAGAAGTTTGGCATGGACAGTCAAGGTTCTGCTGCCAGCCAGCCAGTGTGGGAAGGACACAGGACACTGGATGAGCTAGCCATCCACCTGCTGTCAGGGGAAAATTATTGCTATTGTAACCACAAACTGAGAAGTTTGAAACTAGGACAATGAGATCAGGGCCAAATGTCACAACTGCCAGGGAGAAAAGGGAAAGAATTATAAAGGTCATGACCTACCTTTCCAAATTTTTACTTTTAAACCCCTAAAAGAATTTAGAAAATATCGACCACAGGCACATTTGTAAGTTGGCATTTAAAATTCATCATCATAAGTTGAAATAGTTGCAAAGGAAGTTATATCTGGAAAATTATAAATATTAATTGTAGATGTTTCTGCTAGAATGTAAATACCATGCCAGTTAGATACTCAGTTATTCATAAAAGTAAATATATTGGACATTTATCTCATTTTCTTTTCTCTTTAGACTCATGCTATCATAACGTAGTATATTTTATGATTGAAAGTTTTCCTCTTTCTGCAAAATAAAAAAGAACCAAAAGTATGGCTGCCCAGGTATACCTTACTGCAAAAAATATATAGAAAGTAAAATTTAATTTTAAAGTTTAATTTTAAAAAATGCTCTATGGTTACAAGGCTCGAATGTTTAAAATTTATGTGAGTGATATATTATTTCAAGTATTATTAATATCAAATAATAGCACAAATAATATAAATTTTTATACTATGCTTTATTGAAAATACTAAATAAAATATATGGGGGTTTTCTTTTCTCTTAAGTAGTTCATCAGTGGATAAACATTTCTTGCCAGAGTGAGACACAGTTACTCATAAATCCTGTTTTTAACTTCCGCATTTATTCATGTGAGTGAGAAGAGCACTGATTATATAAAAAGCATGAGTTGGGGGGATTTAGGGAGGAATTCTGAAATAGCATAAATTCTTTGAACTTTTTCTGAGTTGTATGTCAAAAATCACTTAGTAATTAATGATCAAAAATTAAATTTAGTTTATCAGCTAGCAACTCTATTATATAATTTAAAAATATAATTATATAATTTATATTTAAAAATCTAAATAGCTTGACATGCAAAATGATTTGTAAAACAGTGATTAGAGCCAACACAGTCGTAGAGCCATTTGCCTTCTTTCTTTCTGGAATGTATAATACTAAAGGGCTTTACCAAGACTTAACATATGACTATTAATTATATCTGTTGGTTTTTCTCTTAGAGGAAACTTGTTTAACTTAATATATTCAGAAATAATTAGGATAATTGAAATATAGCTAATATATCTTTGGCAATACATTTTATTTTGATAAAATGATATTATCACATCCTGTGTTTTAAATATACTGTTTCCAATACTTTGTAATTGCAAAGACACATATCAGATAAAGGACTTGTGTCTAGAATATGTAAAGACCTCTCACAACTCAGTAATAGGAAAATAACCCAATAAAAATTAGACAGAAGATCTAAACAGAAAATAGATACAGATGATAGATGCAGGTGTCAAATTAGCACATGAAAAGCTTTTTCAACGTTATTAGTCATTAGGCAAATGCACAGTAAAACCACAATAATACACTACTATATACCTAGTGGAATGGCTGGCATTTTAAAAACTGGCAGTAGTAAGTGCTGGCAAGGTTGCAGAAAAACTCTCTGACATGGCAGTGAGAATGCAAAATGGGAGAGTGCTTCAGAAAATAGGTTGGCAGCTGCTTACATTAAGTTAAATATACACCTAGCATAAAATTCAGCAATCCCATTCCTAGGTATTTATACAAGAGAATGAAAAGATTTCTCCATGCAAATATATGTACAGGAATGTTTGTAATAGATTTATTCATAATCACCAAGAACTGGAAGCAACCAAATGTCCATTAACTAGTAAATAGGTAACGAAATTATGGAACATCCATACAACGAATGTACATTCTGTGATAAAAAGTGGAGCTGGCTGACTACAACAAGACACAAGGGAATTTCATGGAGCGATGGAAATATTCTATATCTTGATTGCTGTGGTCGTTACATGATTGTATACATTTGTCAAAACTCATAAAATTGAATGCCCAAAATGGGTAGATTTTACTGTATTCAACTTATACCTCAATAAACTTGATGTTTTTAAAAAAACACACTTTATAGGTACAAATTTAGCTCACTCAATTAATGAAAATATATTTGCCATGTAAGTAAATCAGCAAAGTCAGTTAGGAAAAGGTCAATTTTATCTTTCAGTTGAAATGGATGTGTTAATATGTAGCTGCATGAAAACCATATCTCTTTTTAATTCTAGGAACCCAGATTCATATATACATATATAGATATATATATTATGTATACATATATATGTATGTATATATGTGCATATGTGTGTATACACACACACCACATAGAACTTTTCTGTGACTCAGAAAAAGTAAGTTAATCCCCTTTACCAAACTTACCAAACTCCCTTTGCTTTGTTGTCACTAGACAACCTCTGAAGTGATTCATTATTTGACAATAGTTGAGAGAGTAGGAAGAGGCAACATGGTTAAGTGAAAAATGTCATCATTTCCATTGTCCACTCTACAGTATATCTGGATTCAGAATATCATTACATAGAGTAAAATATCCTGCTTCTAAAGCCATGCTTTGCTTTTACAAAAAAATTGTATAAAACAGGGAAAGACAAGAACTGTAGTCTGGGTTTGTGGTTACTTAATTAAAGGAGTTTCATTTAAACCAGTATTTTGAATCATTCATTTGCTTGGGGTCCTGAGTTTTATACCCAGGGGTAAGACACCAAGGTAAGTTTCAGGTACTTTTGAAAAGTCAAAGAAACATGCTGTAAGAAGGGGGATTGGGATAGGAAGCCATCAGCACACCACAGCTGCATGTGCATTCTCCTGCCGTTCAGTTCAAGGAAAACCATTTTATCAAAGCTGAGAATATTCTTTTCCTTGAAACAATCATGTTTGCATACTCCTTGGAAAGATGTTGGGTACCTCCATGCATACCTCAATGTAAAGGGCATACTAGTATACCAATTTTTATGGTAAGATCGCCACATAAGATAACTTGCTGTCATTTTTTCAACCTAGCTTATAATTAGTTTAGAAGTGATTTTATGTCTACAATTTCCATACGATTTTATACCTGCAAATTGAACACAGCTTTACCTGTCTAAATATGGTTATGTGTACCTGTATTATAGCCATGTGAATGGACAGAAGAGAAGAATTGTGTTACTGAAACCATTACTTGAGCAACTTTCAGAAAAGCTATTGCCACTTACATAAGCATTAGCTTAAAATTTCTATTACTCAACCAGCTCTTGTGTAAATATACTTGTTTATCTGGCTACCCCGGAAATGAAACCTTACAAATTTCAGCTCCATGTGTTACTAATTTACTCTATCTGAACTCGTTGTTTTGTTGCACACAGTTCTTCTTCAAGCCTGAAAAGGATGGAGACTGTCTTAGTCCATTTTGTGTTACTATAACAGAATACTACAGGCTACGTAATTTACAAAGAAGAGAGATTTATTTCTTACAGTTCTAGAGGCTGGGAAGTCCAAGACTGAAGGGCCCACATCTGGCAAGGGCCCTCATGTTGCATGGTGGAAGATGCAAAGGCAAGAGAGGATGAGAGTGAGGGAGCAAGAGAGGTCCAAGCTCCCCCTTTTCTTTGAGACCGAGTTTCGCTTTTGTTTCCCAGGCTGGTGTGCAATGGCACAATCTCAGCTCACCACAACCTCTGCCTCCCAGGTTCAAGCGATTCTCCTCCTTCCTCAGCCTCCCGAGTAGCTGGGATTACAGGCAAGTGCCACCACGCCTGGCTAATTTTGTATTTTTAGTAGAGATGGGGTTTCTCCATGTTGGTCAGGCTGGTCTCAAACTCCTGACCTCAGGTGATCCACCCGCCTCAGCCTCCGAAAGTGCTGGGATTACAGGCATGAGCCACCGCACCCTGCCCCAAGCTCCCATTTATAACAAATTTACTCTCAAGATAATGAGCCCACTTTTATAATAATAATGTAATCCATTCACAAGGGCAGAACCTTCATGACCTAATCACCTCTTAAAAGTTCAACCTCTCAACACTTGCACTGGGGCTGACTTTCCAAAACATGAACTTGGAGAATACGTTCAAACCATAGTATTCTGTCACTAATCCCCGAAGTCACATCCTTCTCACATGCAATGTGCATTCATTCCATTCCAATAGTTTCAAAAGTCTTAACTTACTCCAGAACCAACTCAAAAGTCCAAAGTCCAAAGTCTAATCTAAATCAGATGTAGATGAAACTCCAGGCATGATTCATCCTAAGTCAAATTTCTTTCTAGCTACAAGCCTATTAAACTGAAGTTATCTAACTCCAAAATACAATGGTGGACAGGCATAAGATAGACATTCCCATTATAAAAGAAATAGGCAAGAAGAAAGGGGTTGCTGCCTCCAAATAAGTCTGAAACCCAACAGGGAAGACACTATTAAGTCTTAAAGCTGGAGAATAATCTTTGATTCCATGTCTCACATCCTGGGAACATTAGGGTAGAGGTTGGGCCGCCAAGGCCTCACGCAGCCTCATTCCTTTGACTTTGCTGGGCTTAGTCCACCAGCAGCTCACGTAGGTTGGAGCCCCAGGCCTACAGCTCTGACAGCCTGAAGCTGTAAGCTGGTAGCTCTATAGTTCTGGGTCCAGGGGTGGCCCCATTTCCAAGGTTCCAATAGGCTTTGTCATAGTAGGAGCTCTCCGCAGTGGCTCTGCCTTTGTGACAAGTTTCTGCCTGAGCCCCCAGGCTGTCCATGACATCCTTCAAAATTTAGATGGAGGAAGCCATGCCCGCACAGCTCTTGCTCTCTGTGCACCTGCAGAATTAACACCATGTAGCCGTTGCCAAGGTTTACAGCTTATACCTTCCAGAGCAGTAGGATGAGCCTCACCTGGGCCTGCTTGGGCTATAGCAAGGGTGGATGAGGAGCAAAGTGCCAGAATGCAGAGAGCAGAGACCCAAGGTAGCTCTGGGTGACAAGCCTGTGGAGGGTGCCTTGGGCTGGTCTCTCCAAACCATTCTGCCTTCCTAGAGCTCTGGACCTGCAATGGGAGGGGCAGCCATGAAGCTCTGAAATGCCTTCAGTATCATTCTCTTATTGACTTAATGATCCCTTCTATTATCTATCTATACTAATCTCCTTAGCAAATGGTCACTTGGCCACACCCTTGGTTTGTCATCTGAACATGCTTTTTTAATTTTTTTCAGGGCCAGGCTGAAATTTTTCAAAATCTTTTTAGTTTTGCTTCTCTTTTAATTCTAAATTATGTCTTTAAGTCATTTCTTTTCTCTTGCAGCTTACTTTATTCAATTAAAATTAGCCACACAGCTCCCTCAATATTTTGCTTGGAAATCTCTCCTGCCAGATACCCTAGTTTATCACTCTTAAATTCCACCTTCCCCAAAGTCCTACAGGATGGAAATAATTTAGCCAATTTCTTGGCCACTTATAAGTGGTTGATTAGGAATATGAAATGCAGATTTTTTTGTATCTCTGTAAACAGTTCATTCCATGAACTATCAGTGCTCTCTGTGCTATTAGAAGCAGAGTCCTTAGCATTTTTTGATCTAATCAGATTAGTGAGCAAATTCTAGAAACTCCCAAGCCAATTAAGGAAACTCATTCTTATAATTATCTTCCTCTAGAACCACTCGTAGTACCAAAATCTGTATTAGTCTGGGTTCTCCAGAGAGACAGAACCAATATCTGCCTATAGATAGACAGATACAGATATCGGTATGCAAGAGGCATATTAGGGGAATTGGCTCATGTGATTATGGAAGCTGAGAAGTTCCATCGCAGGCCATCTCTAAGCTGGAGACCCTAAGCATAGCTCAGTCTAAGTCTGAAAGCCTCAGAACCAGAAAAGACAGTGGAATAAATATCAGTACAAGGCCAAAGGCCTGAGAATCCAGGGGGCTGATGGTGTAAATCATATAATCCCAAGGCTGGAGAAGCTAGAGTTCTGATATCCAAGGAAAGGAGGAGGACACTGTCCCACTACATGAAAGAGAGAGAAAATTATTTTCTCTCCTTTTTTGTTCCATCCAGGACCCTAGCCGATTGGATGGTGCCCACCCACATTGAGGGCAGATCTTCCCCACTCAGTCCACAGACTCACATGCTAATCTCCTCTGGAAACACCCTCACAGACACACCCAGAAATAATGCTTTACCAGTTCTCCAGGTACTCCTTAATCCAGTCAAGTCAACACCTAAAATTACCCATCACAGAGACCAATGACTTGATGCAAATGTCTCGATATGTCTGGGAACACACCTATCCCTCTCAGTTATTGTTATGGCAATTCAGGCTTGCATTTTGTGCTACCAGGTCAGGATTCCAGAAAACAGAGTTCCAATCCCACTTTATCTCATTATTTCTGGCCCTTAATTTTTCTACTAGTTTATATTATTCCACCTTTTTAAAATAATGGAGCCGAGGCTAATGTGAATTTAAATTTTTATTGTGTTTTGTAATATAATTATTTTATATCAAAAATGAAATTATTACTGGTTTGCAAATTAGAAAAATGATTACAATCATAGGCAAACCCAACCACATTTATTTCAAAGGTACAAGTGAGTTTTTAGGCTTCATAAACTATGTATATTCTATTATTGCTCCACATATGGAGGTAAAACAAAATAGAATTTAATGTTTCACCTGTTTCACAAATACTGCAATTCTTCCCCACCCCCACCTTGCACAATTCATAGGGTGGGTGGGTGTGAATATTATCTGTATGCCAAATTGATTATGATTTTTACTATACTACTTCCTGTGGATCTCTAAAATTTATATTTATTGAAAACTGTTTAGTCCATCAAGTTAAAATTACTGTTTATTGCAAAGTAAGCTTTAGGTATGAGAAATTTAATATGGAACTTGATAGTCTCCCACTTAGTAACATTATGATTTCTTTCAGTATTTTACTGCTTGCTTATAAATACATTTTTTGTTAAAACAGAATAGCGTATTCATAGTCACGATTGTATACAGGTACAAATTGTTCACTTTTCTCAAACATTTGGAAGAAATACAAACAAAAACCATATGTTTTAAATATTCCACAGAATACCTTTCTCCCTTTGCTCATATGTTGCAAATGTTTCTAAGCTGGTACCACTTACCCCCCAGTTTTATGGCAAGTATTTCTGTATATATTCATAAATGCATTTTGCACTTTAATATAATTTTTTAAACCTAACGTTAAACTCCTAATCTTTTTTTTTTTAATCTTTAGGACAGCCATACAGGTAGGTCTCAGAGTCACCTAAAGAGCTTATAAGTTGCTAAGCAAATTGAAAAGTCCTCTCTAATTCACTTTCCTTCTTCAGACCAAAGTGCTCTTCAGCTGATCTAAACAGATGAGAATATAATCCGTTTTTTAAAAGCAGTGGTTTTTAAACATTTTGGGCATGGACCCAATCTAATAAAAGTTGCCAATCTCTTCCCACCCCCACCCCCAAAATGTACATACATACACATATACCCACACAATTTTGCATTGAACTTGGCAAGAATCACTATCCCCATCTATGTGGAAGGGGTTCAAGGATCTTATGTTAATAGCCCCCATTTTACAGTTTAAAGAAAGAGACCCAAAATGCTTGCTAGGTAACTCACTGTGTTTTGGATACTTTCTAATCCAAAAATTCTTATCTCTGACTAAAAGCCCTCCCATTTCAACTTGTTCTCTTCCTAGAAGTCATAAAGAACAGTTAGTCACCGTTACCTTTCATATTCTTGAAGGCCCTATTAAGCCATACCTTGGCTATGTCCTCACCAAGATAAATAATCCCAGCTAAGTGATTCCAGTTTGGCTATACCTTTTCTCAGAGACCCCATTATTCAATTATTAATCATCTTCATTGACTTCCTCTGAACAGCTTTCAAGTTTTTCATACTCCTTTGAGTTTATTGAGGCTATAATTATTCCTCAGACTCTAGCGAAGGTCTACGTAAGTGTGCATAAGTGGCCTTGGTCCTTAACAAGCCTTGAATAACCAATCAGTTGAGTGTGGCTCCCATGCAGCCTCCTCCTGCCACACTGGAAATCCTGAGCTAACACATTGCTGCATACTTCCTCAGTGGTACTCTTGATTGCTTGGTCCACTAGATTTTCCTTTTGGAATATATAAAATCTCTTACACAGGCTGCCAAGGTTGTGAGCTGCACTAGTCAGGGGTGTTATGGGAACATAACACCAGGGACATCATTGGCAGCCTGAACAAAGGTAAGTAGAGGCCCTTCCCTTAGTACCTAATGGATTCATTTAAAATTAACTTCTATAAAAGTCTTTCACTGCCTGGATTTCTTTTTATTCGATTACCACATTTCTATTTTGTTTTCTTTTCAATTTAGGAGATTTTTAAATAAGGACTAATTAAATATTAGTGCTCACGCCAACTTGCTTTAATTTCCCTAGAAACCCTGGCTTACCACCTTCCTGTTCACTGTGATCTTGGTTCAAAGGTCATCCCTGAACAGCCACCTCAATCTGATTTGCACTTCAACCCCACCATGAAGCTACTCCTGTTTGCTTTTGGTCATAGCACTCACTGCTATCTGAAATTACCCTGTTCATTTATTTAATTTTTTCCATACCTTTCTCCTCTGGCTGGAATGGAAGCACCACAGAATCAGAGATCTTACGTGGCTATCTCATTCATTCATTTAGCATCTAGAACAGTCCCGGACATAAGTGAGGCCCTCAGTAAAAGTATGCAATTTTTTGTTTTGAAAGAAACTGTTTCATCATCTGTTTATCATTTTGTCACCCCACATTTCAAAATCTTTAAACTCCACACACAGTGAAAAACTACTTTTCTATGCATTTTATTTATATTATACTGGAGTGCTGAAGCCTTCCCAGTTACTGAGCTAATGTTGAGATATTACTTTAAAAAAAGCAAAAAACTATTTTGATAAATGGTTTACAAAAGGGGAATAAATGAGGAATAGTGACACATCAGTTAAAATAAAATCACGGAAAAAATGTTTTATAGACATATATTAAGGAGGGAATAATTTCTTTCTTTTTTTGTTTTTAGAAACAGGGTCTCACTGTCTCCCAGACTGGAATGCAGTGGTGTGATCATGGCTCACTGCAGCCTCAAGCTCCTAGGCTCCAGGGATCCTCCCACCTCAGCCTTCTGAGTGGCTGGCTAGGACTACAATGCATGCGCCACCATGCCTTTTTTTTCTTAGTTTTTGTAGAGACAGTAGCTCACTTTGTCACCCAGGGTGGTGTTGAACTCCTGGCTTCAAATGATCCTCCTGCCTCAGCCTCCTTAAGTGCTGGGATTATAGGCATAAGCCTCTGCACCCGACCAGAAGAATTTCTATATGAGGTGTTTCCACTTCCAGAACTTCCCTTCCTGTCTTCAGGAAAGTAGTATGGGTTCTGAGTCATGCCTTAGACAGAAATGCGGTATGCTGAGGAGGAAAGAGGAGTTAGAGAAAGTGATAATGCTTTTCCTTTCCCCTAAGGATGCAAAAAGAATTCCTAATTGCAGTTTTCTATATGCATATTATACTTCAATACAAAGTTATTCAAAAATCTCTTGTCTGGCCTGTATTCTGTCTAGCTCATGCACAGTCACTGTTAGGCATAGCTGACATCCACCCTCCATCAAGCACTGAATAGGGGTTATACCTGTGTGTATGATCAAATCCATTAGATGGAAGAGATTGAGGTCAGTGATCTTGGCTTCTGGCATTCAGAATCAATGGATCTGTTTGGTGCTTCTTTCCTTTGAAGAAAGAAATCTTTCCATTCATACCCTACTCCTTTTTTTGCAATTGCATGGGATGCCCATAGGATGTTCAGGATTTCATAGAAGTAATTATAGAGTTTGAAGGGACCTTGAAAGGCTGTTTTCATTTAAACCAAGAGTTTTCAAACATTTTTTAGTGTGTCCCACTGGAAGAAATAAATTTTACATGATGACCTAGTGTGTATATACCTACACTGAAACACATACACACACACCTGAAATAAAAGTTTCACCAAACAATACATATCCTTACTATGTGAGATACACTCAATATTTTCTGTTCTACTCTGAACTATTTTTTATACTGGTTGTTACAGATGAAATTGACTTCATGACCTATTAGTGAGTGGATCACTGCCCACAGTTGAAAAATAATGATTTAACCATTCCACAAAACAGCTAATGTGAGATCTGAACAGTTTACCCAGTTTGCCCTAACCTTCCATAGACTTAGGTGTCTTCCTTCATGTCGAGTGTCAAATTCGCAGAGTCAATTATGTCCCATGATAGGTTCTCATTAGCTTATTTCACTAGATTTTCAGAGCATTCTTAGAGGAAAAAGGCTTTCTATTGTGGCTTTATATACCGGGAAAAAGATTCGATCCAGGCAGTGCTCAGTCAGTGAGGATTTTCTCTCCAATGACAAAATCCTGAGTGACTTTAAAAGGCACTGCTTCCCCATGGGTAATTATGGGTAATTTGTTTTTTAAAAAAGAAAACGCCAGAGTCATGAAATTCTAGAGCTTGAAGGGACTTTAACAAATCTAGCCCAGCCCTTTGATTTTATGACAAAAATATTTCCTTGCATGTTCTGAGGAGTTCAGAGCAAAAGTCCTGTTCCCTTATCAACAGTATTTTAAAAAACAGTATTTGCTGCCATAAGCTGACATATATTAAACAGAACCTTTGTGTTTAAAGAAATAACACAGGCCTAAAATTTTCTAGAATTATAGTTTAAAAGGGGGAAAAGGTGGGATCTTATCTTTGCCTTTTAAGGTTGCCATAATAACTGAGTTGGAGAAGCCCTATACTCAAAATCCACATTTGTGCTTGAGACAATAGTCCTATGCACATGGATTTTCCATTATTTAGACATTCATTAAATAAATATTATTTGAGAACTTAGTATCTGTTCTCAAGCAGCTTATGTTATAGTGAAATATAGAATGTTTGTTTTTTATATTACAAATTATATCATCCAGGAAATAATACCTCATAAACAGTGTATCTTTTGTATTTCATTGGTCAGACTTTATTGGTGTTTTATTGGACATAGTTGATGTACCACTCTCGATCCTAGTTTACTAGCATGGACCTAGACCTTTTGATTTCAAGTCCTCTGTTGCACTTGAGGCCTTACCTCACTAGTTATTTTATTTATTCAATAAATATTTATTGACTATCTTAGAATAGTCAAGCTTTGTTCTAGACACTGGAGTTACAGAAGTGAACAGGAGTCACCAAATCTCTGCACCCAGGGAACTTGCCTGCAAAAGAGCCCCATCATGACTTCGTTAATCCAGTCAGTTTACTAACCCCATCTGGCTTAGTTAATCAGACCCTTTGGGAAAGTATTGAACATTGAGCAGTATCAAATTTTACAAAAATTGATTCTCAAATCTCCAGCAGAACTAAGGAGACTAAAGTTTGAGGAGTTAGATGTATTAGGTAACTGTAAAAATTGAGAGCTTATTAACCCACATTGCTGAGTGTTTTGGAAAGCAATTCGTAAATATGGTTCTTCCCATTTGGTTTTAAACCACACAAGAATAATGACATTACTAATCAAAAATTGACAAAGAAACAGGGAGAGAAGAGAAGGATAAAAGGAAAGTGGGAGGAAGGTAGGCTGCAGGGGTGGATGATATCCTCAGAATGAAGAAGCAAGCAAGAATAAAATCAAGATTTGCCGAGAATATTATCTGAGTCATGAATAGACATAGTAACAGGAAAACCTACTAATGCTCTCAACTTGAATAGAGTTGACTCTAGTAGAAAAAGTGGGAAAACTGTTGGCACTCTCATTGCAGAAGTGCATTGTTTTGATGCTCTGACTCAAGTCTTAAGCATGACATTTCATGATCAGCTAAGCCGCTGAGCAACCACACCCTATTCTTGGCAAAAATATATATCATATTACATTACCAAAGAGAGCACAATGGAAAGTTTTTCAAAATAGTAAATAAACACCGTATCTTATTTATAAATCTTGTCAAGATTTTCGAGGACTTGCCCAACTCCACGGCGAAATCCCTGTCTGTTTGCTGCAGAAGATACAGCATGCAGAGTATCTGCCTGAACAGCCAGGTCCTTTTCAATTTCAACTTCTTCAGCCCTAACCAAGGGGGACTATCCTCTTTAGTGGTAAAAGTAGATCCAGGTTTTATGGCTGGAGAGAGTCCAGGGCACTCAAAAGTGAAGCAGACGGTTGTGAAAAATTATTTATGGCAGATTTTGTGATGCCTGTGTTGTACTCTGATTTAATAGGGGGGAAATGAAATCTGAAGCAGAGTGAATTCATTTTCCAAATTTTACTAGGTGTACATGCAGGTTTACACCAGGGTACTATCGCTACGCTCAGCTTCTTTTCATTGCTTTCATACTTTGCAAAAGTAAATTCTTCCCTGAACAGACCAATGAAAATACTGCATTGAGTTACCCATGAGAAGCCTCCAAGACAACACTTTTGACATCCATAGAGTGGACATTTCTTCTGCAACACATACAATGAATGACATCCTCTCTGTATAATGAACAAACTCACATTTCAGTGAAAATCACCCCTCAAGAAAGGAGAATAATAATAAGAAACCTAAATCAAATGGTACCTCAAATTGCTCTTGCAGACTCTTTATAAAAACATTTTATTGGCATGTGAGTGATAACATTGGCCATTTAAAGATATCAGAACACTGTCATTTTGCAAGGAAAATTAAATACATGTGTCCAATCTAATTTTTAACAAATGTAACTTTTAAAGAAAATCCTGATTATTTTTCCACACCTCATTTTTAAAGGGTATATTGCAAATCCAAGAAAGGTGCATCAAGAATAAGCAAAATAAATATTACTTCATTGTTAAGAAACATTTTAGTAAGTATTAGTTTTTACAGATTTTAGTAAATATCAGTACCAAATATTGCGTATATTTTAACATATATTTTAATCAAAATATGTTATTGTTGATAGGAATATTTCATGTGCATCATCTTTTTCTCTTTAATTTTGTGAGGAAATCAAGTCAATTTATCATTATGATTATTTTTCATGTAATTTTTTTAACATTTAATCGACAAAAATTGTATGTATTTATGGTTTACACATGTTTGAAATATATATACATTATTGAATGGCTAAGTTTAGCTAATTAACATATGCATTACCTCACATACATTATTATGGTTCTTATATTATGGTTGATAGACATGTTCAATATGTCATTTTTGTTCACAGACAGGGTAGACATAGATTAATTTTTCTTACCTTTTTATTTAATCTACCTAACCTCTTGTATTATTCCACTGGTATTCTAGAATAAAGTTTAAAGAAAAAAAAATTACATTCAGTTACAAGGCAGTATCTTGCCCTAACCTGTCCAGCGCAGACCTCAGGAGTGAGAGAAGGGAGAAATAAAACAAGGTACTGAACCACAATAGTAGTCTCTGAGGAAGCAGGCAGGAAAGGAAGTCGACACAAAGAAATATCATTTTGCTTCATTGATCCGTTGACTAACAGTTAGAAGATAAATAGTTATCCTTTGACATACATGGGGGAGATTGGTTCCAGGACACGCCCCCTCCACTCCCCCATTCCCTGACATCTTCCCCTTGCCGCATATACTAAACTCCGTGCATTCTCAAATCCAGCACTCTCAAATCTAAAACTCACATATGAAAACTTTCTATATGTGAGTTTTACATCCCATGAATACTGTATTTTCCATCAGCTTTTGGTTGAAAAAAAATCTGTGTATAAGTGGATCTGTACAGTTCAAGCCTTTATTGTTCAAGGGTCAAATGTGAATATGTTTACAAATACAGATGTATATATTTATATAAAGTCTCAACGTGTGCTTAAGGTATACAGAATATAGGTCTACATTTTATATATATGTGCATGTGTTGTGTAAAGTGTTAAAATAGTGAAATGTCCATTATTTATTACTGACTTTAAAAAACTGAATGTAATCAATGTCCTTGAAAACTCCTGTATAGAAATGAATTTATTCCTTCAACGAATACTTGATCATTCAACAAATATTTATTGAGCACTTATTATGTGCTGAGCCCTATGCTACATACTGGGGTACAGTGGTTAACAAAATGGAAATGGTTCCTGTCCTTATGGAGCTTACATTCTAATGAGGGAGAGAGACATTAAATATATAACACAAACAAATATAAATACAAATAAAATTTTTTATATAACTATGACCTTTGATAAGTTCTGTGCAAGAAAACCAATGACAGAAAAGTCCAATTCAGGGTGACAGACCTAGAAAGACCTATCTGTGGAAGGAAATTTTAAGATGATATATGAGCAATCAAAAGGATTTAATCAGTAGAAGAAGGAAAAAGGGGCCGGGCATGGTGGCTCACACCTAGAATCCTAGCACTTTGAGAAGCCAAGGTGGGTGGATTACCTGAGGTCAGGAGTTTGAGACCAGCCTGGGTAACATGGTGAAATCTCATCTCTACTAAAAATGAAAAAATTAGTTGGGCATGGTGGCACGCACCTGTAATTCTAGCTACTCGGGAGGCTGAGGCAGGAGAATCACTTGAACCCAGGAGGTGGAGGTTGCAGTGAGCCGAGGGAGCACCACTGCACTCCAGCCTGGGCGACAGAGTGAGAATCCATCTCAAAAAAATAAAAATAAAAATAAAAAATAAAATAAAAAAATTAAAGAATGAAAAAGGGAGCATTCCAGGCATCAGGAAGAGTAAGTGCAAAGGCTCCAGGAGCACAGACTCATACCCATCTAAGCTAAAATAACCAAATCCAATCGACATATTTGAAAATTTACTCCAGAGAAATATTTCTTTAATATTGGCTTTTCCTTTGAGTGAGGATGGCATTGTTGAAGTAGCATTGGTAAAGCTTGTGTCTTTTTTGAAACTTATGAAAAATTTAGTAATTAGACATGGTTAATCATACTTATTATCACATTGAGTTTCTGCAGTTACTTGGCACAAGATTTAAGAGTTCATACAGGGGAATTTCATTGAGATTGCTTTTACATAAGTAAATTTTGTAATTTTTCTTTTATCGTCTTTTTTCTCTTCTTTAAAAATTTTTTTGTGGTAAATATATGTGATGTGAATTTTACTAATTTAACCATTTTAGGTGTATAGTACTGTGGCATTAAGTATATTCACATTATTGTGCAGCCATCATCTCCATCTATCTTCAGGACTTTTAAAATCTTCCCCTGCTAAAACCCCATACCCCGTTAAACGTTAATTCCCCATTCCCCCTTCCCTCAGGCTCCTAGCAATCACCATTCTACTCCCTGTCTCTATGAATCTTACTACTCTAGGTACCTCAAATAAGTAGAATCCTACATGTCTTCAAGGCTCATCCATGTTGTAACATGTGTCAGAATTTTCTTCCTCTTTAAGGTTGAGTAATATCCCATTGTATGTATATATGGAACATTTTGTTGATCTGTTCATTTGTCAATAAAGACTTGGGTTGCTTTTATTTTTTGCTATTGTATTAATATATAACACTGCTATGAACATGGGCGTACAAATATCTGTTTGAATCTCTACTTTCATTTCTTTTGTGTATATACCCAGCAGTGGAATTGCTGCATCATATGGCAATTCTATGTTTAATTTTTGGAGGAATCAAACTTGTGCTTTTAAAATTCATACATTCAGCAAATGTTCATTAGACTCCTATTATGTGCCATGCAGCTATGCCAGAGGTGGGGAATGAATGAACAGGATGCACTGCCTTCCAGGCTGTCTCATGTGTGAGTAGTTGTTGTTGCTGTTGTTCTTTCTTTAGATGGTGATAATGATTTACTGTGGAATCATTAACTCTCTTCCCCAGCCTTCTTGAGACTATGTAGTGTATAATAAGCATGCCCTCATCATCCCAAGCTTCATTAACTTGAATTTCTGAGCCAGAGCCTCAAGCTAGATGCAAACATTACATTGTCATGTCATGACTCAGGCTATCTATAATACAACCCCTCTCCCTTCTGTGTCATATGTGGTAGTAGCTTGAAGAGAAAATTATTTCAGCTAAATCAGAGATTTGATTAACAAAAACCTGTACAAATGAAATTGTAGTATTGTTACACAAATTATACTATTGTACATTGTATTATATGAATTCTATTAAGATATTAAATTTGAATATGAGGTAAATAATTTTTCTGTTTGAATGACATTATTCCAATAGAAGTGATACATAAGAAAGGAAAATCCACTTTGAATAAGTTTTCTTACCAAAATGTGAAACTTTGAAAGTGTAGAATAGCCTTGGAAAATTTAATGAGTTATGACAGTCAACAAAAATTAATCACAATAAGGATAAAGAAAAACAATGTTTTCATCACCATAAAATCAATCTGATCCTTCTCCTTAAGAGAGTGGTTCATAGCCAATTTCCTTTTCATAATTACAGTGTTTTATTTTGTATGTTTATAACACCCCTTCTTCCAAACAAATTGAAAGCTCATTTAGCGTAAAATTGCAGTGCAAAAAAGACAGTATCATTTACATGGAGTGGGAAAATAAAAATCAAGAGAGAAAGGGTGAGATTTGTTTAAAACTATAGACTGAGAAAAGATTTAGCCATTGAGCATAGATTTTTCTTCTGAGCTTCCTAGTAGCCAAAGAAAAGATGGCATCTCAGAGAGTGATAGAGCTCTCATTATCAAAAAAATAAAACATAATAATCAACAACATATTTCTTGTATTTGATCATTATGTTCTGAGAATTCAATGTAGGGATTCCTATGTAATTAAGCTACATAAGCAAAATTATCCTAGAAAAGTTTACAGAATCTCAGGAGTATTCCACCTACACATGTTTCTACACTGGCCGTTAATCAAAGCCAGGGGCATAATGTTTATTCACAGACTTTCCAAGGCAGTTCTCCCAGAGGCCAGTATGAAATGGGCCAAGCTTGTAGCTTTCTGATTGTCTCAGCTGCCAGAAGGATATATAGCTTGGCCCGTTCCGTTAATAGTTTTGCTTAGTCCTGCCACCCTGTATTGCTTTAAAACATACATGTTGTGATAAACACACTTCTGTTTCTCATAAAAGTCTGGAGGTGGGCAATACAGAAGCATTGTGATATCCCAGAGTTTCAGGAAGCCAGGGCCGTTTTTCTGGTGCATAATATCCACTTCAAGGTTACTTCGTGGTTCTAGATGGCTGCTCCAGCCTTCACATCATCATTTCAGCCACACACGTGGAAAAAAGGAAAAAGGGAGAGAGGGTATGCCCCTCTCTTTATGGGCGTTTCTTGGAATTACACCCACTTGCTCCACTGAATGTCCTTAGTGAGAACTGTGTCACATGGTAACACATAACTGCCAAGAGAGGCTAAGAAATGTTTCTGTCCTGGGTGGCCATGTATGTTTGTACCAAAGCAGAAAAAGAATAGATATGGATGGCTAATATCTCTGCCACAGGTATCTTTTTGTTTTGTTTTGTTTTGTTTTGTTTTTGAGACAGAGTCTTGCCCTGTCGCCCAGGCTGGGGTGCAGTGGCACGATCTTGGCTCACTGCAACCTCCGCCTCCTGGGTTCAAGCAATTCTTCTGCCTCAGCCTCCAGAGTAGCTGGGATTATAGGCGTGTGCCACCATGCCCAGCTAATTTTGTTTTTTTTTTAGTAGAGATGGGGTTTCACCACATTGGCCAAGCTGGTCTCGAACTCCTGACCTCAGGTGATCTGCTCTCCTCAGCCTCCCAAAGTGCTGGGATTACAGGAGTGAGCCACTGTGCCCGGCTTCAAGTATCTTATTTAAAAGAACTTTTCATTCTCTTAAAACACAGATGGACGTTTAAGGAAGAAGTTTTTCCCCTTTATCCTTGGGACCCTGTGCTTTCCATAACTGCCAGTTTCTGTGCCAGGAAAACAGTTTTGGATTTTAACTTCTAGGAAATTGCACATGTAAAAAGAGATAAAATGCTGGATTTTTTTGAACCTATGTTTCTCTCAGTTGCACGTCATATTTTTCCCTCAGGACACCTGCATATATGGTAATGGTTTTATTGTTGTTGGCTTGTATTCAATTCTCCATGCTGTTATCTTATATTTTATTTCCTTCTTGCCATACTCAACAAGTTCCAAATTCCTTCATGAAAGTCTTTTCAAAAGAAAGGCTCACCATAATTTCAAGTAGGAAAGATGAAATACCCGGTTTTACCCACAAATTCCGTGTCCTTTCTGGAAATTTTAAAAATAAACCACAAAAAAATCATAAGTATATGAGGTAATGCATAAGTTAATTAGGTTAATTTAGCCATTCCATAATGTTCAAAACATAATGTTGTACACCATAAATATATGCAATTTTATTTGTCAATTATTTAAAATAAATAATTGTTTTAAAATGAACTATACTACAAATTAAATTTAGTTATAGGTTCTTTTTTATATTTATTTCATAGATTTTGGTATTTCTTTGTGACATAATATATAATTATGATATGAGATAATTTTTTTAACAGAGAAACTATTAATCTAGTTCATGTTAGCAAATATAACCAACATGGAGCAAGAATAAAATTGAAGACCATACAGTGATCTGTTGTATTTTAGGGGAAGAATACTCTGATTTTCCGTGGTTTAATTGCTGCTCTGAAATTCAAATTTCATTTCATTTTTGATCTATGTTTTCCCTGGTTTTCAGAAACCATTTTTTCTTTTGTAATTCTCCTATTTGCTTTTCTTTTTCTCTACTGTCATCTCTGTGAATATCTCATATGTTAATAACTCACATGATAATTTAACAAACATTTATCTAATGGCAGTTACGTAAAGGGTGCTGTACTCCGTTCTGTGAATACAAGAGTTTGTAATCTTGATATTTGCTTTCACAGAATTTACAATCTAGTTGAAGAAGAGTGACACACTCTACTTACAAACAGGGTAGCAGGTGAAAAGTACCTATAGATATATGAGACCCATTTTGTGGGGGAACAGAAAACTGAACTATTACTATTTGCTACTTAGATTGGTTAAACAATTAAATATTAAAATGCCAAATTAAAAAATAGAAAAACGTTTGCCACCACAGAGGAAAATAACTCTTAAAGCTTGAAGCAGTGGAAGAAATCAGAAATGAAAATGATCAGTAACTCTTTGACAGGTTTAAAACTTCTATACAATAAAAAACTAGTAAAACTAATTATATTAAAAATAAAACAATGGGAAAGACTTTTTTCCAATAAAAGGAGGGCTCATATCTATGATATATAATGCATTCAAATATATTGAAAATATTATTCCAGCAAATGAGCAAAAGGAGAAAGTTTTTAAAAAATTGCAGTTAGCAGAAGGCTTTGTGGAGGAGATGCCATTTGAGCTATATCTTAAAGAGTCAAAAATATAAATTTTAGCAAGGCAAGGATAGAAGGAGGGACCTTCCATGCAGAAGGGACAGGATGAACAAATACACAGTAGTCAAAGGACTTGAAGTAGTTGGGTAATATCAAGTATTTCAATCGAGGTGGAGCATGGCTTTCTATTATCCTGGGACTGGAAGCAGATCAGGGAGGTCCTTGAATGCCAAGCTGAGGAATTTGGCTTTTGTATTTCAATCCCACTCTCTGTATATTGTCTATAAATCTGTTAACAGCTCTTCACCTTATTGTCTGGCTCTGGTATAATTGTTTTATCTGTGGAGGATGATGTCATGGAAATAGAACTGAACTAGGAATTAGGGGCCTTGGATTTATGTATTACACTTGGGTTTACTATATGAATATTACAACCATAATTCAAACCTCAACAATTAAAATGATAAGTTTCTCTATTTCAAAAAGGCTACAAAAGACAGTTTATTTGTTGCCAAGATTCTCTGTAGCATTGTGCATTGCATACAGTAGGTGCTCAGTAAGTGTTTGTTGAATCTAATTCAATAACAAACCTCTGAGATCTGTGCCATAACTTCAGCAATGTAGAAAAAAGAAGATCAAGGACCGCAGGTTTGAGGGTACTGAACAAGTCTATCCTCCCGGTTCAGTTCAATGCTCTGCAATGAGTTCTGTTTTGTTTTGTGTTTTGTTTTGTTTTGGGGACAAGTATCTTTGAATTTGAATCTAAATTATGATAATATTTTTCCCAGAGTTTCATTAAATCTTTCAAATGCAGAAAAATTGAGAGACATGTCCAGTGGCTACTTCTATACCCACCACCTAGAATGGTACTGATTTATTATCTCCTACTTGTATCAGGCTCTGAGCTAAACACTCTACAAACCTCTCACTCTACTGCCCACAACTGCCTGACGGTGGTGAACATAACTCTCATTGTCCAAAAGCCTAAAACAGAACAAGCCAGCAAACAAACAAAAAAACCCTAAGCTCAGAAAGTTTCAGCAATTTATTTCCTTAAATCCCTTCGAGTAATAAATGCAACAGCTAAGATTTAAACTGTCTGGCTCCAAAAACTGAGTTCTTCCCATGGTACCAAACAGCCTCCAGAATTCCTTTCTTCTACTGACTGGGGTCACAGATTTTAACCAAGCACCTACAGTATGAGAAGCCCTGAATTAAGTCTTGTAGGGAGAACCGTAAGCCGAGGCCCTTGGGGCTTCTGCCATTTGGAGACGAATCAGATCAAATTTTACAATTGTGGAGTTTGTCACGTAAGCAACATGCTATGCTAGACACTTTGCAGGGAAAGAGAGGAAGACCATGGGACAAAGAATCTAAAATCATATTTTTTGCCCATTACACAACCTGCAGTAGTGAATCAGATTGAGTAAAAGCAGGAGTCTTACCTTTCTCTACTTTCTCTCTGCTTACTCTGTTCTCCACAGCTGTAAAGCCTTTCCTTAGTTTCTTTTCATTACCTAAAAGTCTGTGTATATCTCAAAGCCTTCTTCAGTTTCCATTTTCCTCTACCAAACTCCTCACTGAGTCCTTAAATATGCATTGACATCTCCCTTCTCTGAATTCTCATGGCCCTTTGCTTTACAAAGAGTCAGTATAGCTTAGTGGTTATGAACACAGATTGCTTGGGTTCAGATCTTGGCCCTTTCCCTCTTTGGAGATATGATTTGGGCAAGTACTTTAATTCTCTATGCCTCAGTGTTCTCTGTTAAAGGGGGTATATCAGTTGGGATTCTGTTGCAAAGAACAGAATTTATTCTTGCTAATTTAAGCAGAAAGTGATGTGTTATAGGATATTAAATAACACATAACATTTGAGTTACCAAAGAAAAAGACTCCAACTTGAGCTCTCTGAAGATTCCAGTGCTGCTTTACAGAAACACATCACCATGGGAGTTGCTGCCTCTTCCACAGCCAGGAAGTCATCTGCTGCTGAATGGAAAAGCTGCATGAAACAGCAAGAGCTGCAAGGGCCATGCCCACCTTCCCTGATCCAGCTAATAAATGCATGTCCCATGCCTGCCTCTTGACACCTGCAAACATAGCAACTGGTTAGCATGGTTACAAGAAAAACCTCATTGCTCTGTAGCCATTTTTACAAGCAGACAGAGCAAAGTGTAGTAGCTTCTGCCTCACTTCCTCCTTCCGAATTTTTGTAGTACTTCAGAGTGGCTAGTTCTCAATTCCATCCAGTACCCTAGCTGCAAGGGAGTCTAGAAAATGTTGTTTCTGGACTTCAGGCACTGGTTGGGATGAAGGACTGCTAACCCATCATTAAAAACATCTATGTGAAGTTAATAAATGTACCTACCCCATAGAGTTGTTGTAAGGATTACGTGAAATAATAAATATAAAATACTTAGAAAAGTGCCTACACATGGGAGACTCTCAGTGTATGTAGCTATTTTCATCTGTCAGCGTCTCAGATGGTAGTCCTGGGGAAAGTCAAACAGCCTTTGATAGAGCCCCAAATTTCCTGCCTGCTAATAACTTTGATGAACCCATTTTCTACGTAGGAGGACTGGTTTCCTCATCTGCAAATTGGGGATAATAATCACTCTCTAACTCCTAGAGTTTCTGTTCATATCACATTAGATCATGTGTGAAAGGTGATTTGAAAACTATAATGAATGCTCTAATGGCTTTGGTGTTAAATAGATACTAGGTGAGTTGGCAAGTTGTGGAGTAATGCTCAAATTTCAGTTCTGCCCCTGAGAATAGCAGTCTGCTTCCTATACTTTTATCTTAGTCGCCCTTACTTTATTTTTCAGAATTAACCAGGGAAATCGAACTTCACTGCATCCCTGTGGGGAAAACAAGGCTCAGATGCTGCCATAACCACTTCCTTAAAGAGGGGAGATTAGGCCCTGCCTAGCTCTTGAAATCCTCCCAGCCCTGAGTTCTTTCCAGGAGACCCTGTGTCCCCTATACACTGGTTTCTGCAGCTGACGGGCTAAGCAGAGAGGCTCAACCTGAAGAAAGAGACAGGTGGCTCCAGAGCAAGACTTGTAACGAATTCTCCCCAGGGAGAGAAATACCGAAAGTTTAGCTCACTCTTTCCTCCCATAAAGCACACTGAATGTTAACAGCTTGCTTCTGTCCAAGCTGGTGTCTTTTCAATTAAGTATTGTTAAATCCATACCATTTGGAATGATGCTTCAGACAGCCCTGACACTCTCTCTCTCTTGCTTCTGATTTCATTTCACCTAATATGTTGTGCATGGAGCCAGTAACCAGTATTATTCAGCTGCCACGGCTTCTGCTAGTGCTGCTGCTCACACACTTGCAGACGGTTTTAATTTAGATACCTGAAGAGGAAAAAAGGAATTTGGCCAACGCCCTGCTCAGATGCCGTAAGTGGCCTTTCCCCGGTTGCCATTAATATGGATCTAGATTACCTAAAGTTTTACATTACTTTTCCTAGGTGCTGAAAACGTTTTAGAAATGAGAAAGTCAAGACACATAGAAGCTGGAGGCTAAAATAAGATACTTTCCATCGTCAGGTAACATATACCCATGGTAAACCCTGGTAGCCTACTTTCCTTTTCCTATAAACATCCCCCTTCAACAACATCACTGCCAACATCTGAATATATGTATGTGTATACATCATATATAGATATAATGCATATATATGAATATGAGATGAGGGTGGATTTAGATTCGGTAAACCGTGGCTCAATGGCCAGTTCTAGCCAGCAAAGCTTTAGTCAAGTCACTTAACTTCTCTGAGCCTCAGTTTCCACGTACATAAAATGGGGTGATTACTTAATTTCAAAAAGTAGTCACAAAGGTCAAATGAGATCATAAATGTAAAATCACTTTGTAAACCATAAAGATGGCATGTACATTTTGGCCATCATCAAAATTAGTTCATGACCAAAACTTTTCCCAGTCACCTTAACCCAACTTGATTTTGTTCTCCCTTTTCTGAAGTTATAGTAAATTTGTAATTTCACCTGTACTGTGTAGCTCTGGATGTGCAATTGCTTTTCCTAGTTTCTCTGGGTATTCCCAAGAGGAAAGAAAATGCTGTGAGGAATCAGAAGCATGAGACAGTGTGGTGGGCATCCTCCAGGCATTCAACAGGTGATTGAGGGCTTAACTTTAAAATAGTATATTATTCGGTGACTTCATTGAGATGACCATCTTGCTGTACATTAGCATGCCCATTAAAACTTCAAGGCAGAAATTTCTGACTCAAAATACCTAGGCAGTATTTATTTGCAAAGCAGAAAAGAATCTAAACTAGCATGTAAGTGGTTCCCAGTTATTTTCTGACCATGCTGATTATTTTTCTGTTCCTCTACAAATAGTATCTCATCATTAGCTTTGTTGCTACTTTTCTTTCTCCCATTACCTATTCTTCCCTTTGGATCTGCTTAATGAGCAGGGTTTATGTGTGAAGAGGGAGGAGGTGGTATTAGGTAAAATGTTCCATTAATAGAACTAGCTGAAACTCTTCAGTTAATGACTGTGATAGGAGGGAAAAAAATAAACCCTTTAGCAGAAAGCTCTGGTGTGTAACAGAGAGACACATGTAACATAGCTTTATGAATGAAAGTTTATTTCAATCAATCACCTTTCTTTAATGTGATGAGGATTTCAGACAAAAACAATAGTGGAAAGACAAAGTTAAGCATTTTTACATCTACTTGTGAATACGCTTTAGCTTATGAGCATTAGCTAGTTTTTGAGAGATTTGTAAAACAAATCTTTCTAAAAGGGAAAAGCATATTTCAAGAATGGGCTCTCTTTGTTATGGATTTGTACTGTCCATTTTTCTAGGTCCACATACTTAATATTGAGAACAAAGGATAATCTTTGTATGACCTTGACTTTCCTAACAGCATGAAAATAGGATTTTTAAAGTTTCTCTCTCTTTAATTGATATACCATATGAAGTAGGTAACCTAAAGTTGAACAACCTGCTTTTCTTCACCTTTTTGAAAAGCAACGCAGCAGGTATGTACATAGGCAGACCTGCCTGTATTCACATGCCCATTATGGCTTGATCAGGTTTTCCATATTCGTGTGTTTCATACCTCTTGTCAGTATTTTTTAATAATGAAAGGAAAGAACATTAATTCTAAATGTCTTGTACCTCCACTGCATATATTTCTGGGCTATCAGGAGATCTGAAAAGGGAAAACGTCCTGATGACACACCTATGGCAATGTAAGGCCAGGGCTGCTCTTTTATTCTTTCAAAACTCAATGATTTCCTTTGCAGATAAGGGGAAATACATCCTTGTTTGACATTTGACACTTTTCTAAAACTGTAATAAAACCTTCCTCTAGTAGAGTCAAATCTCCCTTGCTGGTGGATTAAGCAGCTTCAGAAGCTTCCTGACCTTCTCGTTGCTGTTGCTGGCCTTGTCGTCATTTCACTGCTCATTAGCACTTCCTTCAGGGCTGGACTGGCCTCCAAGGTCATCCCATCCAACCCTCTTGCAATAGTGGATGGAAAAATGAGGTAAAACTCAGTTCAGCCTTTTCTGCATTATAACAGCTCTGATAAAGGACGTGGGTGAGGTGCGGAGGAAGCTGAAACTTGGTTAAAAGAAGGTTTGGGGATTAACTGAGGATTTAATTCATCCTTTCTTTCTCTCCCGTGGCTAAAATAGATAGTTGAGAGTTGGCAGTGCATCAAAACCAGGCTGCTCCTCAACCCCAAATTTCAGCCCCACTCATCCTGGAGTCTTTGTTGAGGGTTTCTTTTTAAACTGGGGGATCTAAGTTTCTAATTGTGCCTTTACAATTAGCAAATCTTAAATGCCTTCAATTGTCACTTTACAGAGAAGCAACTTGCTTTGTTTTTTTCCCCCCAAATTAAGTCCTTAATAACACAAAATAACTTATGCCACTGTTTAGGCTTAGTGAGGAACCTTCAGAAAATGTATAGAGTATTTATTTTGCAAGTCAAGAGAGAAAGTAAAGAGGAACTTTATGGAGGCGAAATAAAACAGTTGTACAGAACACATTTACAGGGCACATTAAGTCGGTTTTTGTCTATGGTTCTTTCCCTTTATGGCATATGTTATATATTGACAGGGATTAAGTTTCTCTCCTGAATGGAACAATACACAGTCACAGGGAGCTACTGTACTTTACAAAGCAACAGACATCAGCACAGGCAAATGGCAAATAGAAATGCATCTCACAAAGAACTAACCAGGTCCATGGGAAGCACAGTGCTTGGCTTCATCTTTTGCAATTCTGCATCTTTTGCATTTCCCTTCTCGCTCTGCTGCTCGCTCGCCTTTCTTTTTCGTCCTTTTCCCCCTTTTTTGCTCGCACCGTTACACTTTCTCTGTCCTCCTGGCTTTGTTATTCAGCATGTCTGATTAGCAGGAGCCTGATTGGCTGGCTGCCTGCTCCGAGAGAGATTCCATTCAGCTTACCCCCCACCCATCCACCCACCCACCCCTCGGTCAGGAAATGTGAGAGGGGCTGATGGAAGCTGATAGGCAGGACTGGAGTGTTAGCACCAGTACTGGATGTGACAGCAGGCAGAGGAGCACTTAGCAGCTTATTCAGTGTCCGATTCTGATTCCGGCAAGGATCCAAGCATGGAATGCTGCCGTCGGGCAACTCCTGGCACACTGCTCCTCTTTCTGGCTTTCCTGCTCCTGGTAAATGCCTTTTCATTTCAATGCATTGCTATTGCCATTGAGTCTGGGTGCTGTTGGGGGTGTGTGTGTGTATGTGTGTTTGTGTGTGTGTGTGTGTCTTTATCTTAAAACTCCAGGTAAAATAATTTACACGATTACAAAGAGAGAATACTCCTTCTAGAACTTTTAACCTCAACTTCCCAAGCAAGATAAAGTCTGCAAGACTTTCTGGAATTAGTTACTGCTATACAGTAATACTGATACTGAGACATGAACTTTGGGACATACTGCATGGAGTTTGGGAGCTGAGGACTGTATATATGGTGGTGTGTATGCTTGGAATTTGGATAACAGACATCCTGAAATTAAACTCACTCACTGTGGTGTTCCTGGAATTTTTTGATGGATAGGCTTTGCAGAGCTTGCCCGTACCGCCTTTAATGAATTACTTTCCATCTATGCACATGTACTATGGAACCAGGTAAAGAGGGGAATGAGAGCCTCTTTGCAGCCAACCCAGATTATGGCTCTTAATTACTGCAAGTCATTTATGGATAGAAGTTAATGCTAGGATTTATGAATTGAGGATTATGGCCTTTGATCTCAAATTTACTTTTAAAGAAGAAAAAGGAATGGTGACTTTTAGTACGGCTGATTGCCACAGTCATAGTGATAAGATGCTCTGCTCTTGAACGTCAGTACACATTGCATTTTTGACTCGAAGTAAATGTTCCGTTGTGACTCATACTTGGTTTTATGGGCAGAAAATGAACATTTACTGTCCAAAATAAATCTACACTCAAAATATTAATAGCAATGCACATTTTTTAAACCAGAGTGTTCTGGGCAGGCAGCTTAGTAAACCTCATCTGAAGGTTTGATTCCAAAATTTGCACACACTGATCCAAACAAATGTGATTGTAGTTTTTCCTGTCACATTTATAACATGCCAGAACTTCCTCAGAAGGTAACAAGGCAGGAAGAGAACAAGGTAAAAATGTAGCAAATGAATAGGTTGCATTGATTCCTTGATGGGGAAGGAATGTTTGTTCTGATTATATTCTGACAAATCTGATCTGCGCTATAATTTTGAAGTAGGGAAGAAAGCCATTTGGTACAAACTGAAAAAGTCCAGGAGATTCATCAAATAGAGTAATCAGACAGTGATTCAATATTTTATACATTCCCACTTCTTAATGATTTGCATCATTGTAGCTAAGAAATTATAATGCTGCATTGCAAGTGCTATAAATATAGAAATAAATTTTTAATTTTTCATAGAAATTTAAAGGTAAACTACATTTCAAGCATGAATGAACTATAAGTTTTAGCTGTTCTGAAAAATACAAAGAACAGAATGTTTAGGTATGCTTTATGACTTGTGGAGCAAGCGATTTATGAAAGGTGTCTCATTTTTTCCATATGGGATGTGTTACTTGTATACACCATTAGTTTGTCTCATCTTTCCTTCTTTGTGATTTTTTTAAGTGTGTGTTATTTTCCCATTATATTGCATCATAAAGCAAATTACCAGTATACATTACTTTTTTGATATTTTCATATGGAAGTATGATCTCATTATACTTTAGTAAAACTTTCCCATTCAGGAATAGATTGTTTTGCTATCCATTTGGTAAACGCATTATATCCCTCTGTGATATCTTGAATATTCATATATGTATTAGAGCATATAATTTGACTTATGTGGAATGAAAAGGTATGTATGCTTATTTCAGAAGGACTTAAAACATATCATATTTAAATTACAATAATTGTATTATAAAGATAAAATTAAAACAAACCTAGGTTTGTTTTATGCCTGCATTTAAATTAAGTGGAAATCTGAGAGTTATGCTACAAAAGGAAGAACTGACTGATGTTTACATACATCCCTTTGCCAAGCAATAACAGCATTAGTAATAGCTGTCATGTATTTTGTGTCTGAATGTGGCTAGTTGTTTGAAAATCATTACAATAAATCCTTACAATAATCATACAGATAAGACATTTTAAACCCGTTTTTTCAGGCAATGAAATAAGCTTGCATTTGAACCCAAAGGTCAAATAATGGAGAGAATAGAACATGTTTGCTTCGTATGGTGGTTGTAAATATTTAAGAACAATGAAAACAGTGGTGCAGGTTGGTCTGTACCCTTTGTTGCAGATATTTAGGCTTTCTGCATCATCTTGATCATTAAAGATATGTACAATATCATGAGCACTTGTTAAACTTGCTCATTAACTGCCCCCTTTAGCATTAAATTTAATTATTGGCTTAAGAGATTGTGACCTTTAGCCTGTTGTGTACTTGATTTAGAACTAGAAGTGTGGCATCATCAGCTCAACCTTCAAACTTGATAGAGAAATTGAATTGAGGGGCTTGTTTTTCCTATAGTCTTTTTTTTGTTTTTGTTTTCATTTACACATTGCAAGGATTCTGTCTATTCTTGGACTTATTTGGGGCAATTTCTAAAGGTCTCTGTAACTTAATTGGAAAACATCCTGTCTATTTTGTGGCAAGCCCAGTTTCTACCTTATTAAAATATCCCTCATTTCACTGACAGCTGAATCATCTGTATCATGACTAGGTTCTTGAGTGTGTACAAATATTGAAGGTTGTTCAGCCTTCATTCTGTCAAAATCCTTTCCCCTTGGAACTTATTTCTGAGAGGATGGGTGTTGAATCTATTTTACGTTACCACCCATATTTTCATGCACAGAACTTATATCATAAATTTATATTCTGGACACAGTAGGACAGTAGTACTGATCAAGAGATTTCATTTGATATTCAGGTGAAATTAAGCTACATAATGCCATTTTCTCAATCCTCCCATTCTGCTTTCTCGTATTTATTCTCTCTCCTTTGTCCCAATTGTTTAGCTCAAAAAGAATGTGGCAAAAACCATGACCGGCCATTGACATATGTGTCCATCTACACTTGAAGTCAAATCACTTCTTGTCAGAAAGGCATTTAATCAAATTTGCATTTGCCTTTTGTTTCTTTTAAACGGTTTTAAGCTCTTTTGCCTGCTATTGTGAGAGTTGCAAGAGTAACACTAGGA
Organism: Homo sapiens; assembly: GCF_000001405.40. Lineage (NCBI taxonomy): Eukaryota > Metazoa > Chordata > Mammalia > Primates > Hominidae > Homo > Homo sapiens. Next base: position 18,477,340 of record NC_000009.12, read on the forward strand.
ATTATAATAAAGTACATGTGTTTTCCTGTTGAATTTCTTTTTCTTCTCTGTACTAATTTATACATGGCAACTAGTCAAACACAATAGCCCATTCCCTTCAGTCCCTCTGGCACTCTCTCCCACTATTATCTAAGTGGATCTATCTTGGATGGGGAGAAGCACCCTTAGCTTGTGGAATGAATGTTAAGTCCCTTATTTACAGGAGACCGCGGCCTGTTCCAGCAGCATGTATGTCAGTGTGTTCATGTGCATGCACAAGCACTTTTCTATAATTGTTCACTCTACACAGATTTCTTTTTCTCAGACCTAGATTGTCTTTAAATCAAGCTTGAAGACTTTTCGCATAGATCTACAGAACGCTATGAAGCATTTAAAATTTAAAAATCACTTTCTTCATGTTTTTGTGAAGTTTCTTGTCTAGACATGGCCAGCTACATTTTTGTTTACTCAGGCTCCTGTTTTTAGTGTTTCAGTGTGTTCAGGACCACTTTCTGGCCCCCATTATTATTTTCACATAACACCATTTCTGTTGCTTCATATAAGTTGAGGGAAGAGTGTCCAATAGTGGTCACTAGTGAACTACAGAAGAATCTTGTTACACCAGGAAAGTTTTTCCTTGAAAAAGCATATGGAAATTGAAGTCTTTTGAGAGACAAAGAGAATGAATAAATAAATGCATGTATGTATTTGTGCATTTGTATGTTTTAATACATGTTGATGCCCATTTACTATTATGTATGTATAAATTGGAAAGCAGTCTTCTAACACACCATGGAGTAGGCTATTACTCTAACTTAGGAGATTCACATCTCCTAAGTTGATTCTATCCTACTAACAATATTACAGTTAGGGTTTGCAATTTTTATCAGTTAAGTGTCGTTAACTCTATACAAGTTACTCATGTTTTTTAAAAACTTAGTTTACTTGGGCTGTATTTTGCTTGGGGATTATATTAGCATGAGACATGGTCTGGTGTTTTGGTTCTCCCCTTTATTATGGCTTACTCAGAATATAATTTTAAACTCTTCCAGGAAAAATACTGGGTCCTATGAATTTCTGCTTTTCCCGAAGCACCTAGTAGAGTGCCGTGTAGATACAGTTTGTGAACTAAATGAAGAGAAAAAATGACTTACAGAGACTATCGAAGGGTTCTTTAATTCTTCATATTTTCAGTGATTCTTAAATTCATATGTGTAGTTCTGTTTCTTTGGTCAAGTGACAGCTCTGCTTTTAATTCATGTATCTTCCAGTTTCCAGGAATGACACGCTCTCAGGTCCAGCTATGTAAGTTTAATTGTGCCCTCCTCTCAGTAAGCATATTCTACTGTTTCTGTGGTCTCATGAGTAGAGTGACCCAGAAGTGACCTCTTCGTAGCATAAGGACCGGAGCCTTTTCTTGAGTGAGAGCATTCCTTCAATCACCATGAATAACCTACTGGTTAACTGTATTGAGATAATCACAGGAAAATGTGTCTAAATCAAGTTTTACAGTCTTGTCATTGTTACTAACTTTCTTCTTTTAGAGAGCTGGCTTCAAACTTTGTGTTTTCACCAGAATGAGACAAGTGCGTGTCATTTTCTGTCTACATCATAAAAACCATACCATGTGGTTGAATTTTGGCTTGATTGGCAGTACTGGCTCATGAGCGGCTTAGGACTGGCATACCAGAGGTGATGTAAGTCCTAAAGGATCCTAATTGAAATAGGCCAGCACAGCTGTGTGGGGAGCCTGCCTGCTAACTGGGGTAAGCTGTTGCTATCAACCCCTTCTTTCCATGAGCTCAAAAATAAATGACTAAATCTCCCCAATTCCCGAACTTCAAGATTAAAACCTACATTGAATAAAGCTTAACTGTTCTGTTTTGCCTCTCAGGGACTCTGTTAACTGGAGCACCCAGCATGGAGGGCAGTTAGTTAAGTTTTCTGGCCACGTCAAGAAGATGCCCAATGGCTGTAATCTGCAGCCAACAGTGACCTCAGGCTTTTTGTTTATTGTCTTTCCCAAGAAACTCAGTATTCATAAATCCATTAAAAAGTTTTGCTGTATCCACAAGCATTCTTTATTTTGATTAGAGAAATATATTTTATCTCATGAAGTAATTGTAACCTTTATTAGGAGAAATACCATAATTTCTGTGTTCAAATAGCCCCATCCCAAATTCTACCCATATATAGCTATGTGTACAGTCAGCGCTTAGTAATTGCTTGTCAGAAGGCATAAATAATTCATTGTAATCTCTAAAATATTTTATATGTAATTTTTATAGTTCTTGGGCTACTTTGCATTTATCTGTGCCATCGCCCATCTCTTACTTATCTTACACTTCTTTCTGTCCCACAAAGCTGTGGGGGACAGCAGAAGGTGTGACTTGTTCCTCCTGCCTCTTTCAGAATGCCTGGTAATTTGATCTCAATAAACGTGGGTGAATGAATAAATAAATGGAAAAATAAGAATGACTTGGCAAGAAAAGGTGAAAACAGGGAAAAGTACAAGTAGGAAGGAAAAATGTCAGCATTCATTTTACATGTGAAGCGTTTCACTATTTCTGGTTTTGGTAAGACCAAGTCATCAACGCTAAGAAACGCAAAAGAGGTATATATTCTGTATTCCTTTCTCTGTCTTTTAAATATACGTAGCCACACACTGAACAACAATTAACCCCTTTTGCTCTTGTTAATTAGAATGAATCATTTTGGATGTTTCATATATTTTTTATCCATTTAGTTCTCAAATATTTTTCCTTTTTCAAAACTTGTCCTCAGGAAGAAAACGATACTTACATTAGTCACAGTTTTGTAAAACTTGAAGGTACTTAAAATAAACTCTCATGTTAGCAGAGACAATGCTGTGGATTCACTAAAACCTGTTTCTTCTTGCTACTGGGCACAATGATAAACTGTATTTGCCAGCCTTCCCTGTGACTGGATGGTACTATGTAATTGAGTTCTCATCAGTGAAAAATAGCTAGAAGTACTATATGGCACTTGTAGGCCTGATCCCTCAGCCTATGTGATCCTCCAAGCATCAAACACTCTCTCTTTACCCACCTGCTGGATGCAGAGAATCCACTAGAAAAAACTTCATGACTCTAAGGAATGGCAAAGCCACCAAGTGGAAGTCTAGGTCCCTGAATGACTACATGGAGCACAGCCCCTCAGTGTCACTCTCACAGACTTACACTGTGAACATTCATTTAACCATGAGCAAGAAACAAACTTTGTTGTGTGAAAACCCTGAAATTTTGGGAAAGGTGTTGTTTGTTATGCTGAAAACTTTTAAGAAATAACATATGCTTCAAATTTAGATGCTATACATGCCAGTACTTACTCATAAGTAAGTACTAATACCGTTTTCCATTTATTATATGGGAAAAGAGAACTAACAAGATGCCACATCATTCTAATGGTGGTTTGATCTTTGCGGTTTGCAATTTACTGCATACCTGAAGTGTGATAAGTAGTTGGGGGTATGTGTCAGTACTACAGGGAAAATAGGAAAATGGGTCCATTTTTAAAACATAGAATCTGGAAGTGGATGAGGGAGTGGTAGAAAATGAGGAAAGAAAACCAAAGAGGCAAGGCTGTGGTGAAACAGTTGAAATCTCCTGGGACAGAGTGGGATCAAACAGTGAGGCCAAGAACATAGAAGCACACAGATCCAAGGGGAAGGCGAATATAACAGAAAAAGATGCTGAGAAGCTGAAACCAGGGTGCAACACTGAAACTGCTCCAAGGGCAGAATGTCAGAAAATCAGAGTGAACAATTCACAGAGAGGGAACAGACTCACAAAGGCAAAGTAAACAAATGTTTTGTACAGCGATATATAAAGTAAACCACACTTCTTGAATATCCCTAGTTTCAAACAATCTTTAACACATTTTTCTTGGAGGTGTCTGAGTGCCATGAAAGAACAGTGGTTTTAGGCTGGGTGCAGTGGCTCACATCTGTAATCCCAGCACTCTGGGAGGCCGAGGAGGGTGGATCACCTGAGGTCAGGAGTTCGAGACCAGCCTGGCCAACATGGTGAAACCCCATCTCTACTAAAAATACAAAAATTAGCTGGGCATGGTGGCAGGCATCTATAATCCCAGCTACGGAGATTAAGTCACAATCTCTACAGTGAAGAGCTTGGAAGTGTGTTGGACATTTTGTTGTCAAGAGTTTTTTTTTTTTTTAATTTTTCAAAACACAACTCTTCTGTAGGCAACAGTTCTGTGATGGACATTATTATTTTCAATTTCCCCACAAGCTGGTTCATCTTGTAAATAACTCTCTGCACCTGCTTAGACGCTGTTTGTTTAATCCTTTTATCCCTGTGTAAATGTAAATTATGGCTTTCCATAGATTATGAATGTGTTATTTTCAAATTATCAATCACTATTTGACTCTGAACATGAAAAGTTATTTTTACTGTTTCTATAGTTTATAGTCTCAATTTGTGCAACAGAACACACTGGAACAATTTTTTAGTTAATATTCTTTAGGGAAAAACTATTTTCAAGATAAATGGTTATCTTTGTGAGAATTACCATTATGTGTGACCAATGTCTAGAGAGTTTTCATCTGCCCCACTATCACTGGGGAACCTGCTGCCAGATTACAATCTGTACATAGTTTCCACTACATTGTGCTTTCTTGGCAACAACCAAAATCCACGCAAAAAACAAATAGATTCCATTTGGAATTATATTTCTGTCAGTGCAATTACTATATGAGGTTGTATCTCCCATCCTCATTAGAATTATACCTAAAGTTCTTATTAAAATAAATTAATTACAATAAGACCAAGATGACCTTGTGCATCAAAAGTAGGATAGTTGAAAGAAAGGGAATAGCAGAAAAATCACGTGCATGAACATATGCCGTTTATAATACAGGAGATTTATTCCACTTCTGAGGCAAGAAATTGCCGGACTCTAATAGTTTCACCACCTGTGAATTATTTGGGTGCACCTCATAAGCGGGTTCTTTCTTCTATTTGTTTAAAGAAATAAGTGGTATGTTTGCCAATTCTACACTACATTAATTTTCACGGAGTTTCCATTTTCATCTTCATTGCTTTTTCAGATTTTTTTCCAAAGCTTCTGCCATTCTCCAGCTAAAGCTTTGGGTATTTTCCCCTTCAATTTTTGTCCAGGGACTTTCTCTAAGTCAATTCAGTTTGTTGGCATAAATGTTGGGATGAAAAGAGCGTGATAACCTAAGACATCCTGACATAAATTCCAAGAGCACTACAGAAATGAGACAGGAAATTGTGAGCAACCTATAATAAATTCAAACTGTCCAATAAAATAAATATACCTCACTTTGTTCCCATAGTAAGGTATGGTAGGGTATCTGATTTCTCAGCCTCCTTTGCTGGCTGTAATCTCAGTCACCATTTGAAGTCTGTATGAGTATTGTTAGAATATTGTACTTCATCAATACAACTAGGAATGAAAAAGATTAATGGAAACAATAAGAACTCCTACTGTTCAGGTGTGCTTAAGTGAGATTTGGTGGGAACGTTTTCAGAACTAGCCGGTTCTTTTTTTCTAGCTGTTATAACCATTTGTCACTGAGACCTAATATAATTTCCCTGATATACTACACACTTTTAGTTCTTATTTGGGGCTTGTAACTGGTCTGAGATAACAAACATGCTTTGAAATTACTGTTATGAGGTTAATTGGCATTTAAATTCCCAGCCCATAGATTCATAGAATGGTTTTAGAATTAAAGGGAACCTTTGATGCATGCGGAATGTGACCTCAGTTGACTGGTATCTCTTTGAAGGCAGGGGTTTTGTTTTATTTTGTCCTGAATATCTTTGTATCTCTAGCACCAGACAAAGAGTTTGATATAGAAAAAGTGTTTGATGTGTTTGTTTGAATAAATTAATTAGTTGCCTATTCCAGCCCTTTCATTTTGCAGATAATTTAATTTAAAATAAATGTCTGTAAAGAGATTCGAGTTATATTTATCACGAGCATCTAGTACATAGGATCCAGATACTGGAATCTTGTGCTGTTTCCTTGTGTCTGTTCTCCTTCTATTGAGTTCATTCTCCTGTATTATACTGTGTGGCCCCTTTAGGACCTTTAAATAACAGCCATCATGCTGGCTTTGGTAGAGAGGGATTGAAATGTTGAAATGTCACATGCGGAAGAAACCAAGGATCGAATGAAGCTGCTGCAAAACAATCTTGAGTTAAAACTCAAAGATCGGCGTGGCGCGCTGGCTCACACCTGTAATCCCAGCACTTTGGGAGTCCAAGGCAGGTGGATCAGGAGGTCAGGAGATCGAGACCATCCTCGCTAACACGGTGAAACCCTATCTCTACTAAAAATACAAAAAATTACCCGGGCATGGTGGCGGGTGCCTGTAGTCCCAGCTACTCGGGATGCTGAGGCAGGAGAATGGCGTGAACCTGGGAGGCGGAGCTTGCAGTGAGCCGAGATTGTGCCACTGCACTCCAGCCTGGGCGACAGAGCAAGACTCTGTCTCTGAAAAAAACAAAAACAAAACAAAACAAAAAACTCAAAGATCATTGTTGGCTTATAAATATCAGGGTGACCTGGCAAGAACAGAGAACTAAAATCTGTAAAATACGGCTCTTCCCTAGAGTTATGTCATACCAATAAGCCTCATTTATCTTGTTTCCCTATTAATGAAAAATGTGGATAATTTGGTGATGTATGTGTGAAAATAACTTCATATGGGATCTTGCATGTAGCACGTCTCTGAGAAGTGCTAGCTTTCTTTCCTCCCTCAGTGCAAAATAGCATCTTCATTGAGAGCCTGCTATATATCAGGCACTGTGCTAGGTACTGGCTATGCTATATTGAACAAAACAGACATGGTCCTAAAGATGAGTCCTTCTACATAGAATGTCGGTAAGGATTTGGCACAGGGGTGAGGAAGACAGGAATTAATTGGTCAGTACTTTCCAGTGGTTTTATGTTGCTGTCATGATATTATTTTCTTTAAACTGTATATTTAACTATTGCTGATGTAACGGGGTTTCTGCCTAAAGAAATAGACACATTAATTCATTATTTATAGTGATTCAAGAAAGAATGTGTTAGAAAAACTCTAAATCTCTAAAGATTTATATTTAAGGTCATTTCTTTGACTTTTGCTTCTTTTTCCTGAAATCCTCTTTTTTAGGAATACTGAAACCTAAGCTTAATGGGTGTATTACTTTGTCTCTGTGTTTATTTGATACATAAACACCTGTCTTTTCAATCTAGAGCTATGCTAAAGTAGTAAAACCTTTAAACCAGTCCCTCTTTCAGGCAAATAAAAGGCCAGTCAGCTGCATATAGAAGGCTAATGACAGTAGGTTTTCCCACAAAAGGTTTGCTAACTTCAGTTTGCTGGTGCTGGGACTTTTATTAAGCAGGACTGTCTTGGCTGCAGGCTCCAGGATTTTGATTTTAAGAAACTCGATCAGTGGGTTTTGCCCATTTGAGAGTTCTAGATGATTTAAAGCAGTGATTCTCAGACTTTTGGATTTCATAGACTATTAAAATTTCAGAAAAAAAATAAGGCTGGTTGGCAGGTAGGTAGGAGTTACGGAAAGTAGAGACAAGTTTCTAATTTTTTGTATTGTTAACTAAGGACGCTAATAAAATAAATTTCTCTCACCATAGTTTCATCAATGAAATAACATTAGTTAATACTCAAGAGAGTACTTGCTTCAATGTAAGAAGCACTTTACATATACTGCATTAAATTATCTAATTCTCATAAGAACCCTATGGATGGAGCCATGACAATTTTCCATCTTGACAAGGAAACTGAGGCACAGAGAGGTTATGTAACATGCCTAAGATCACTCAGTCGGTAGGGGAAGAGTACAGATTCGAACCGAGGCAGAGTTCATTCATGTCTCAACTCTCCGGTTTTCTTTTACCAGTACAAGAAATTAAAGGTCATTTGAAAAAGCCAAAAGTCCCAGGTACATGATTTCAGAAGAAAAAAAATAACTAAACACATTTAGCCTTATGGAAAGCTAACCAATGTCCTTATTCTCTTTATTCTATGTGTCAACACATACTTTGTCATGGATTGGCCTGCTGTCTGCCAGTCACTTTCCTTGAAACACAAAGATAAACAAGACAGTCTTACTCCCCAGGAAGCTCACAGGCACCAAAGTTTTTAAAAAATAATAGACCGAGGCAGAGCAGAGGATATGAGTTTCTGTAGTAGCACAAAGAAGAAAACAAAGAATGGGAGGGATGCTGGCATTTTTCTGTCTGATGTGTCCCAGGCACTGTCCTAGTAGAGAATAACTCAATGGAAGTTCATCAGGCAGATAAGAGAGGGAAGAGGGGGCATTGCCAGCAGAGGGACTTGCACGGCAAAGGCCCAGAAGAAGGAAAGGGAAGGTAAGTTCAAGGAACAGTGAGTGAATCCCTATAGCTGGAGCACAGCCAGATCATGCAGGGTGTTGCAGGCCACCCCCAGAAGCTCTGACCCAAGTTTTTGTTTTAGAAAGACAGCTGGGATGGCCACATAGAGTGGAAAGGCCTGGAGAAGGGAGGCCAAAAGTTTCAAGATTATTACACCTCTCCTGGTGAGAAGCCACGAAGGCAGTAGCACCAGCAGCAGCAGTAGTGATGACAAAGAAGCGTAAACATCCAGCTGTAAGGCTACATAGTTACTGGTAGCAAAAACCTCTTGTGGGCTCCCTTTGCTGTACATCTTGAGGCCTCAGAGGCTCTTATAAAGTGCCAGCTGGGTGCTAGGGTTCTTTAGATCCCACTGTTTAGCATAGAACCAGGGCTTGGAACTGAGTCAGTGTTCAACAAATGTTTGCTGAATGAAAGTGTGAAAGAGTTAGTAATTTTATTCAAGGCCTCCCAGTTAAAATTTTTGACCTACAGTTAGGGATTATTTTTCCCAAATTATTGAAGGTATTCGGGAACAACCAATGTATCTGTATCCTAAAAAGTTAAGAACTTTCTGTCATTCAGCAAAGTGTGAATTCAGGCCCAAGTTTTCTGAAGAGACTGCCAAACTGTTGTGACTTAACCCTTTATTCACTCTCAGCGAGCTTTTAAAAATAGAGGCTATTTCAAAAGGGCAATCCTGGCCTAGCCAGCATGGTGGCCCACACCTGTAGTCTCAGCACTTTGGGAGGCCAAGGCAGGAGGATCGCTTGAGCCCAGGAGTTCAAGACCAACCTGGGCAACATGGCAAAACCTCATCTCTAAGAAAAAATGCAAAAATTGGACAGGCATGGTAGTGCGTGCCTGTAGTCCTAGCTACTCAGGAGGCTGAGGTGGGAGGATTGCTTGAGCTGGAGAGATGGAGGCTGCAGTGAGCCGAGATTGTGTTGACTGCACTCCAGCCTGGGTGACAAAGTGAGACCTTGTCTCAAAAAAAAGCGGAGTGGGAGTGAAAATCCTGTGCTTTTTGAAAGCTTTACCTCCCTCATGTAACACAAAGCCCATAACAGGGAGTCATTTTTGTACCTTTGAGTGATTATTGTTGTCTGAGGCTGTAGTAGTTTCCCATGTGTGATCTTCATCTGTTTTCTCACCAAATAGCGTCCTACTCCACTCCTTAGATTCATGTCACAATTACGAATCTTTACATGGGATGCCAGCAAATCTCTTTGCCCTGATTCTTGCAGCTTTTCACATTGTCTAACATAGGCATCACACGTGAAGTTCCCTTTGAAAACAGCTAAAAATGCCGGTAAAAGATGTAGCATTAATGGTCTAAATGTATCTGCCCTGATTAAATATTAATTGTGGTCTTCAGAAAATAATCAGGCCATATCTGAAATTCCTCAATTTATCATTTTATACTAAAAAACATGATTTGAAAAAATAACTCCTAAGTTATACTAAAGTGAGTTAAATGTCACATAAACTCTTTATATTGTTTCTTTATTAATCAGATTGCTAAGGCGTCAGATTTTTAATCAGGCATTGGAATCTCGTGTATAGAATTTATTTTCCTAATTATAAACGAATAGTCTCCACTGTGCATGTAGCTCTTTACACAGCATTAGTACAAAATTGATTATAGCTTGGCCTCACCTCATAAAGTAGATATGCTTTGGAACAGCATCAAATAGGTATTTATGTTTTAAATCACATGGTCCTTCTGACTTTCATTCTAATTTTGGACGATTACCACTTTTACTTTCCTTCCTCCTTCCCTGAAATTGACTGCAAACAGCATGAAAATGTCTTTAGACTTAGCAAAAGGGGAAAAAAAGTTAATTTCAGTCTCCTCCTAGGTGCCAAGTACTGTGCTATTTGTTTATGTATGTCGTGTCATATAAGCCTGACCACAGATCACAACCCATTTTACCGGTAAGAAAACTGAGTACCAAAACCTAAAAGGTGTTATGAATTTCCTAACTTTTCATGTATGCGTATTCAGTGCTTAGAGCAAACAAATCTTATTGAAATATGCAGTACAGATTATTTTCCATGTTGTTTGAACTATGTTTTTGGCCTTGGTTAGCAGGAGCCTCCCCAGTGTGCTGAGCGATTTCCACAGCTTCAGAACCAAGTTCATTGCAGTTCACAGCTTGTACCGTATTTCATCGATCCTAAGACACAAATTTTTTTTCTGATTATAGCAACTTGAATGAATTTCATAATTATAGCAGCCATAGTTTAGTGAGTGGCATTTTTAAAAGGGTTCGTAATGGCATATAAAATAGGAATGTCACTTCAGTCTATAGCATCTTAGGTTTGATGCAATGCTGTATCAGTCTTTCCAATATCTAACGAATAGAAGCAAAGCTAGGCTTAAGATTCAGATGCAGAAATACGATTATGGAACCCTCTCATTCCCTATCATCTGATGTGGATTATTCCCGCCTTTATTTACTGATCTCCCCAATCTGAGGGCCTGGAGAGAGTCTGTATGTTTGTCTTACCTTAGATCTGTTCTGTCACCTATCAAGATCAAAACCCTCTGCCCAGGACCTCCTTTATTCTTAATCTAGGGGCGCCTGTTTCCTTATCTGGAAGCAAGTGTACCATAATTCAGTAGCTTCCCACGTTTGGTCAGTAGCCAAATCAGCCAGACACTTGTTAAAATTATGAAGGCTCCGGCCCCTCCTACTTCAATGAGTATAGACCTCTGTGTATTTTATTAGCTTTCTTGGTAATTCTGATACACACCAACATTTGATAACCACAGAAATAGTGGTTAAGAGATAGACTGCCTGGATTTCAACCCTGGTTCCACCAGTGTAACCTTTCTGTCATTTTCTGTGCCCCAGTTTCCTTGCCTGTAAAACAGGGGTCAACAATGGCATGTACCTCAAAGGATCATTGTGAAGTTTAATAAAACAAGTCATGCAACCTACTCAGCACAGTACCCCACACAGGTAGCAGGTGCCCAATAAACATCAGCAATTATTACTCTCTCCCTGCAAGGCTGAAATTTCCCTACCTCATTCCAGAAACCAACCTCTTGTCTTTCCCTGGATTCACAGCAGCTGACAGTTTTGCCTCGTAACTACAGTCTTCCATGCAATCTCAAAGAAAGGGACTGAGAGGAAAAACTAAGATTGCTTTTGAATTTGTGGGGTCTGGAGCACATTGAAGCCAGTAAGTCTAAGACAGAATAAAGATAAAAGTTGGTTCAAGAAAGTCATCCAGTGAATTCACTCATAAATGCTTGTCTAATTTAGGGTTCTCAACCCTCTTCTGCATAAAAATCACCTCAGGAATTCCAAACAAAGTATCTGGGTGGCTGGCAGCCTCCATCCCCGCAAGAGATTCTGATACGGTTGGTCTGGGGAGAGACCCAGACATTGGCAATTTTCCCAGGTAATTTGAATGTATAGACAGAGTTGACAATCACTGATCTAATTGAATATTTAAAGGGTTCCAAAAACCTCTTAACTGTTAGTGGATATATCTCTTATATTTGAAGATGCTTTATAAACTCCCTTCCTCCCTGTGAAAATCAAAAACTTAGGAGCCCCTTGTCCCTAAAACAGGGATAATATACTGATTCCAGGAACTCCTGTAGTCAATGTGAATGCACTTTGTAAATTGTTAAGTCTATATGTGAGAGGAAGCATTCTGGTGCCTAATGTGAAGATGATCATCCGATCCTGTTACATAGCATGCACAAAGAGATTCAGAAATCCTCCAGTTACCAGGATGTCGCGTAATCTGAAGTATAATGCACCAGCCACTTCAATGTATACACTTTTCATTCAAAAAATAGGAACCATGAACATGTTAAATCATTTCGTAAAAGATAGAAGAAATTAAAACCTTCCTGAGCCCAATTTGAAGGGACAAAATAAAACATACGCTGAGAACATTCAGTCTTCCACACAGACTAGTCATCTCATCTTTTATTTTCTTTATTTTTCTTTTTCTAGATGGCCATTGTGTGAGATTAAGTATTTGGTCATATTTCCCACTGCTCTTCTCAGATAGCTAAATTTAATTCTTATCCAAATGACCGACTTACCCAACTGTATACCACTTATTTAATTAGACATAAAGAGATACTAAATTCCTCTCATCTGTTGAGGAAATGATGGTAACCTGGCTTTGTCTCCTACCCTTTAACAGAAACCTCATTTCCCCTTTTTTCCTAAAATGCCCATAAACCTTCAGTGCCTCATAGTAGTATTATGAGGATCAAATAAGTACGTGTAAGTACTTTGAAAACTGTAAAACCTTAGTCATCTCGTGCTCAAAAGCCTTCACTGTCTCCAGCTGTCTGGAGTCTACTCAAGGACCAATTCCTCAGCTGGGATCCAAGGCCCTGTCCCAAACCATCATTCCTATCTTATGTTCAGCTGTTTTACTGCATGTGTCCTGGCACACTGAGACCCATGCCACAGAGGAACTGGCCTGGCCAGAGCTGGAAGCAGGCTGGGGTCCCAGTTGTGTATCACATAGAAGACCACTGCAAGAAGAGTCTGAATGGGGGCTCTAGCAGACAGGGGGAACAGAAGGAAGCTACACAGCAGAAGCAGAATAGGTGGCAGAGGCAATTGATTGGAGGGAGGGAGAGGGGGTAGGTGAAGGGGATGAGGAGGAAGACAGAGGAGGCTGGAGAAAGGGGAATTGTTGTATAGCAATGTCTGTATGTTCATCACTATGCTAGGGGGAAAGACTGCTAAAATATTGGGGCCCCAAATAGCGAGCTTGGTTTTGGATGTGCTGAGTTTAAAGTATCAACAAAGCATTCAGGTAAGTGAAACTAGAATCCTGGAGATTGGAAGAGACGTAGATTTGTAAATCACATGCAAGGAGAAGACAACTCAAGTGAGGAAAGTGGATAAGATCAATCGGAGCACAGAGAGAACAGGGGCCTGAGGAAAGAGTCTTGGGGATGACAGCATTTGCTAGTCCAGATGAGTAAGAAAAGGCAGGGGACAAAACAGGGGAGAACTCGCTGCCAAAGAAGCCAGGGGAGCATATTCCGCAGCAAGATGTGAGGGAAAGTCATAGGATGTGGTGAATTACAGGATGCTGATGAATTTCAGAGGAGCCACGTCAGCCAAGCGGTGGGCAGAAGCCAGATTACAAAGCACTAGAGAATTCGGGAGTATTGGGGAAGTGGGTGCAGTGAACATGGGTTAGCCTTTCAAGAAGTTTAGAACTGAAAGGAAGGGAGGCAGGAGACAGGTTAGCCCTCACCACTGACAGAGTGGAGTGTAAAGGCAGGAAAGCACAAAGCAGGAGCTATGTGATAAAAGGGAGCTTGGTTTTAATAAAAAGAAGAGAAAGTGCTTTCGTCTTAATAGCTCAAAGAATGCTGATAGCAGCCGTGTGTGAAATTGATTTCTGAGGCCCAGCACCAGAGACAGAGAGGCTGTGAGGCAAATGGGGTAGTAAACCATGATTTAGCACCTTCACTTTCTCTGCTTATTACAAAACAGGCTTTAAAAAAGATGCCTGTGGTGTGCCTCAGCATTCTTGATATTTTCTGTGGCCAAGATCCATTTTAATATATTCCTGAGGCATTTTGGTAATTCTAACACTGCCTGAGACATTAATCTATTAACTTTTCACATTGCTAAGCATGTTAATGCAATTTAAATATTATTTCTCTTAAACAACATCGATGTGGAAGGAAAAAGAACTCTTCTTGCTGGAAACAAAAAGGTAACAGGCTGAAAATGCTTACACGTTGAAAGCACAATTAAGCTTTATAAACTCTCAAAGTATTTGCTTCTACTCTGCAAGCATTGAGAGCCAGAGATGGCTCACAAAAATCACAAAAAATCATGTCATGTTTCATGTACTGTTAATAATAAACATTTAATAAGTGGTTTTGCAGATGGCTCCTTAACATGATCATTTAATTTATAAATTAGAAGATGGTAGTCCTTCCCATATATACAATATCTGGATTATATTTTTCAGTTTAAAAATGCCAAAAGTATGCAGAATTTAGCCAGCCCCAAAACGTAAATATTTCTGTTGACTGGAAGATAGGAAGAGATGACTGCTATATTTGTCTCTAATCACCATTATTATTTCCCATTTTAATACAAGTAGAGCTGTACTATTTACAGATAATGATGACAAATTATAGTGGCCCGATAAGGACAGGTTCTTTTAGACAGTTATTTTAAATGAGGCACTTATACTACAATCTACTCTGGACAAGATTTTAAAGAAAAAATTGTAGGCTATCATGTTTTTGAAGTAAATACCTATTTAACTAGAGAATGCATGGCTTGATTGATGTAGTTACAACAAAAGCTATACTAAGACAATAGTAACTGACTCTCATTTATTATTGATAAAGGACTTAATATGTAGGAAAGCATTTTAAAAAACTAAGTTACACAGTAGGGAAGCACAATAACAGAGTTTCTGTTTTGATACAAAACAAAGTATGTCATGAAGATTATTGATATAGCACATTATAATACAAACATCACAGGAAGAAAAAAACATCATTCCTTAACACTTGGCTAGGAATTAAGTCAATATAGAAACTGAAAAACATCAAATAAAGCTGACTTTTATCTCAGCATTTGGGAGACTTTTGCTTACAAGTATTTATTGTTTTTCAAAGTATTAAAGAGTAAACTCTTATTAATAAAAAGTACAGAGTATAATTTAGCATTTCTTTTATTATTCAGAAGTCACTTTAGGATCTGCCATAGGTTCTGGATGCAGAAAATTGTATTAGCAAAGAAAGAAAGTCCCAGCAGAGATTCTCTGTTTCAAGAGTTGCTTTGTAACAAAACAATTCTTAGGACTGAAGCTGTAGGACTGCCTCTACTTGGATTTCATTTATTAATTGCACTGCACAACGTTTTTTCATGTATTAGCACTTATATTTAAAAAAATAACTCTATGAGTTACACAGAGCAAATGCTTATGTTCCATTTTACAAATTAGAAAATTGATTTGTAAATGTGCTTAAATGAAATAGACTAATTTAGAATCATAGACATTTTTGTAGCTAGAGGTGTCTCAGAAATTAGCCAAAATTCCTTTTTGTGGAAGTGACTAATCTGAGGCAGAGAGAACTAAGTTGCCTAAAATACCACAGCAGCAAAGTCAGGATATAACAAAAACACCACAGTGGCCAAATCCTGTTGCCTAGACTGTGTCCCTGTTTAGAAGTTTTTGCTATCAATATTATGTATGTACACTCTGAAACATTTTAAAATTAAAAGTGCTCACCAAAAACTCAGCAGAACAGTAAACATCCATTGAACATTAAACTCTGTATCAAGCCCTGTGTTAGATATTAGGGGTTAAGCTGAATATCACCTAGTCCCTAGCTTCAAGGACATTGTATTGATATTTTGCCTCTATTAATTTATTTTAACATGAGAGCTCTATTACTTGAATTGCAATATTTAGTTTTATGGAAAATCTAATGGAAATATGTTCTCCCGAGTCCAAAACTCTGACTTTAAAATGTGTGTTCAGATTTGCTTCTATCAGGTTATTTTTCCTGATTAATTCTGCTCAACTTTACATCTCTCTGTGATCTATGGTTATCTATGTATTGTACTAATTTTTACACTCATTAAAAATGATTTAATAAGTATTCTTTACTTCTTTTTAATTGGTAGAGGCCTATGCTTTTAATTAAGCCAGGACTTCCTCACCCACCTCTCTTCATTCTCATTCCCAGTTCTCTTTCTAATCCCAGCACACTCATCTTCAAAAGCACAGCTTCCCAAGTGCTGCAGAGGGATGAAAATTGTTTACTCAGTGACAGGCTCCCTTTGGCAAACAAGGATCTAGGACTTGGATAAAGCTAGATTAAGCCAAGATGTGACAGGTTAATCATCTTTCAGCTTTACACATTTTGGGTAAATTTAGAGTTGGCATAAAAAGACATGTGAATAAGCAGAAATGTGATCCTTTTTTTGCCCCCATGATTCAGATTCATTTTTGTCCTCTTCTGTTCCCTTGCTTATCTGCAGCTTCTGCATACATTTTTTCCCTCTGTCTTTAGATAATCTGAATGTATATGGACAAGAGTGAAAGCTGACAGCTGTTATGAATTAGACATTCAACTGCAGTTTGTCCTAACCTGCCTTGTGTTAATCATTCATTTAATGAATATTCACTGAGACCGATTACGTATCTGGTGTTCTACAAGGCACTGCGCATATTCAGAGGCATATTCATCTTTGTCACAGCTCTTAAGAAGCACACAGTCCACTTCTGGGGATAGATGTGTAAACAAGTAACTATACTGGGTGGCTGACAAATGCTAAAATAGCCATTTGTATCAAGTCCTAGCAATATGCTCAAAACACACAGGATGGCTGGGTGGTGGCTCACGCCTGTAATCCCAGCACTTTGGGAGGCAGAAACGGGTGGATCACCTGAGGTCAGGAATCAAGACCAGCCTGGGGAACATGGTGAAACCCTGTCTCTATTAAAAATACAAAAATTACCCGGGCATGGTGGCGGGTGCCTGTAATCCCAACTACTCAGGAGGCTGAGACAGGCGAATCGCTTGAACCCAGAAGGTGGAGATTGCAGTGAGCTGAGATCACACGACTGCACTCCAGTCTGGGTGACAGACTGTCTCAAAAAAAAAAAAAAAACCAGGCCAAGCAGTGATTGATTCTACCTAGAGATAAGAGAAAATTTTACTAGAAGATGGCAGTGGCATTGCATCTTAGAGCAGGAGCAGGAGTACACAAGTCAAATGAAATAAAAAGATGTGAGCAAGATGGTGAGGAGGGGAATCTAGGCACTATCAAGATCATGACCCGATTACTAGATGTCCTCACAGCACCTGTGTTACTGAGAATCATGACCAATTACTGAAGTGTAGAGGCCATGTATGATTACAAAAAGCAGGAATGAATCTAGAATGTTGATTTAGGGCCAGTTTATGAAGCGTCTTGTATGCTATGCTAATAACTTAGACTTTACCCTATATCCAATGGCTCTTCACCTTTTTTGAAGAATTTGATAAAAGCTATAAATCCTCGCTCCAGAAGTGTGATATAACACACATATGCTCAAAATGTGGCATAGAGTTTCTGAGAGTTCATAGCCCACCTGGCATTTATTAACACTACTAGGTCCCATCAGCTTTAGGCAGTGGAGCCATAGAAAATCTCCTAGCAAGGAGTGAACAGTTGAGCTTTGTATTCTAGCAAGATAACTGGGAATGATGAAGAGGACAGACTGGTGGGAAGAGAGGCTGGAGGTCAAAAACACCAGATGGGAAGTCAATTGCAAAGTGCCAGGCATGAATGGTAGTACCAGAATTAAGTCAGTGAAAGTAAGATTGGACGGGGTGAGAATGGAAGAGAGAGGGATTTCAGAAATGGAATTGATAAGACTTGATGTCTGATTAATTATAAATGATGTTGAGCAGTTAAATATTTTGTTGTTATCTCAATCTTCCCCACTAAACTGTAAATCCTCTAAAGGTGTTGCTGACTCACGCAGGACTCAGGGAATGAGCAGAAATGAAAACATAAGCATGCAGGATTAGAAACTTCACATTCATGTGAAAGCAACGCGTCCCTCAAAAGCCAAGAGGCAGAGGGCTATGAGGTAGGGTAGTGACCTCTGAGACTAATCACTGCTTATGGACATAAAATCAAATAAGGAACTGTTGAAAATAGTAAACCTGAGTAAGCAGTGATTAACTTGTTGGTTGCCATCTCTACCTTACATGGTTTCCTAGCCCCAGAGCACCTCCTAGATAGCTAAGAGACTAGGTTGGTTTGCTTTACATTCATAATGGGAAAGTATGACCAGAACCTCAAAATCAACCTACTCCCAAAACTGCAAAATTTGCCAGAGTGTTCCAAATATCCAGGCTACTGCCTGTAGTTACAGCTACAGGTTAAGCTAGAGGAAAATGTTATCTATTGAAGGTACAAAGATATGGTAATTGAGAGAGCTACTGCTTCTTAGAACAAAGTCATCTAGGTTGCAGGTACAGAGTTTTTGATGGACTTCATCTCCTAGTGTGTGTGTGTGAAGGTGGGGGAGTGATACCTATTTGAGCTGGAGAACAGAAGAAAGTCCCTGAAATTGAAATTACTTGGCAATTTTAAGTGACTGGATATTTCTCATGGTCTTGCTTTCTCCCCCACTTTATGCTTACTCTATGCCCTATGTACCTTTTTGAGAGACAAATGACAAATATGTAAACATTTAAAATAAAACGTATTTCCAGGCATTTCATCATTGATTAAATATTTGTTGAAATCTTACATTTTCTTCAAAATGACATTCTTAATAATTATTTCAATAACTGTAGATAACTCAAAAATAGAAAGCATCACCCCTGCCTTCAAAGAGCTTCCAGTCTAATTGGAAAGATAATTGTTATATAGAATGATAATCCCAAAGAGCTACAAAGTCTTGTTTTAATTTATTCTATACTGACTCTTTGTAAACTAGTACTACATAATGGGACATCAAGTAACTTCAGGTTAAGGAGAATACTGCAATACTAAGAGCTTATCATTCCACTTTTTCTGAGTAAGGAGAGCTGAACTTAAGCAAAAGTAGAAACAAGAATGTAAAAAAGAAGAAAGCATAATATTAAGCCAGGGAGAATGTTTTAAATTTCAATCCCACACATCCTACAATATCTGGATGGTATTTAAGAGAGAACGCATCCAATCATGAGTATAGGAATAGAACCTAAACCACATCCCGCATCCCATGGAACTTAATTCAGAACTATTACACCACATTTTTTTCTTGGCTCACATGGCACAATAGTCAACCAAAGAAAAGAGAAAGTTCTACCAAAACCAAAAGCTGACTTGTTTGAGAGTGACATGAAGTTAGCTAGTCATTTCATGCAGCTTCCCTATTATCAGTTATAATTTGGGTTTTTTTGCCCATCAAACCCTAAGCCATATTAATCTATTAACGTTCCAGTTTCCTCAGCAAATCATGAAATGAGATTTTTCTCCAACAGGAATTCTTCCTCTATGATTCCAAACCCCAACATGTGCTTTCCAGAGCCTCAGATGTTTCCTTAGTTCTACAGATGGTTTGTAAATTCATTTCAGCTCAATTTGCCAGTGCTGCAGAAAGTATCTATGGCTGATTGGAGTCACAGTTTGGACGGACCTCTGGTTAGATTAGATGGAAGTGGAAACTAAAACTTCTAACTGGCTCACCAGGAAGTTGGGAATTCACAAAAAGAGCAGAGAGAGAATTTCGTTTGAGGGGGTGTTTCAAACATGCCTGTTTTGGGGAGTGGAGGGTGTGGAAGCCCTAGGGGGTGATTCTTCACTGTTTTCCTTGGTGTTGGGCCTACATATTATTTTCCACTGGAGATTGGTTTTCTAAGTATAGGAAAAAGAAGAAAACAAAAAACAGCAACAGCAACCAGGAACAATTGTTTCATTTTTAGAACTCCAGGTAAAATGGCTAACGTTTCACACCTGAGGTGAAATAGTATCAGGGTTTAAAATATCCCTATAGTCCAGGGGCCAGGAAGGTGATGACTTCCTTCAAAAACATGAAATAAATGAATTTTTTTAAATGACTGTAGTTTCTACAGGATACAGTTCTCCTGTTTTCCACTTTTCCTTTGTAAAATACATGAATTACCAGCTTCAGGCTTCTACTCCTAATTGAGCACTCTCTAGGTCTAGAAGCTCAGCTATTATAGTTATTTTAAAGAAGATTATTATCACAGAAAAAGAGAAACAGACTGACAGGCTATTTCTAGTAGAAAATCTCCTTTAGTCTTCCAAATTAAAGGAGTTTGAAATCTCTATCAAAAAAATGCATTATAATATTTATATTAATATTCTCTCAGTCTTATGACAAAGCAGTTATAGTGTTTCCATTTGCTAAGTTTGTGCTTTTAAAGTAATAGAAACTGAGAATGATCAAATATTTTATCTATGCCTTCCCTTGAGATAAGCTGATTCAAAATATTCAATGGTCTGTCGAAAATTTCCTGAATACTAACCTTTGTTCATATCAGCAATTATTGATTTTAATTCAACTGGCTGTGAAATTGTGTTCTGTTGAAGCTTTCCAAAATGCCCAGAGGTTTCTCAGCAGTTTTCTAGAAGAGCTATAATCCAGGCTTGACCTTGGATAGAATACAAAATAAAATCAAGTTACCATAGTTCTGAAATGAAAACCTTACTGAAGTATTTGACATTGAACAGAGTCGGATTTTTGTTTCCTAAAAAGTGATGAAGCTGTTTTAATTTCATCTCCAAATTGTTGTCCCAGGACGAGAAGGAATTCTGAGGACAAAATAATTTTTTAGAAGAAAAGCAACACCATTCATTGTCATTTTATACAAAATTCACATACTGATAAATACTGTTTGAAAAGGAAAGAAAGGTCAAAATATGAAGCTAGGCAGAAAAAAAAAGATACAGACATAAAACTTGGCTTTACTAGATATTAACTATGTGACATGAGCGTGTGTGCATTTGTAGCATGGGGGTGGGGGCAGGGAGTGATAAAATAATTGGCACTAATATGCCAGAAACTATGCTAGGTACTTCACATGTGTTCTCTCTGTTAATCACCATATTATGAGAAGTATCAATGTTCCCCCCACCCCCTTTTTTTTTTTTTTTGAGATGGGATTTTACTCTTGTTGCCCAGGCTGGAGTGCATTGGCCCGATCTCAGCTCACTGCAACCTTCACCTCCTGGGTTCAAGCGATTCTTGTGTCCCAGCCTCCCAAGTAGCTAGGATTACAGGCAAGCGTCACCATGCCTGGCTAATTTTTTGTGTTTGTAGTAACGATGGGGTTTAACCATGTTGGTCAGGCTGGTCTCAAAGTCTTGCCCTCAGCTGATCCGCCCGCCTCGGCCTCCCAAAGTGCTGGCATGAGCCACCGCGCCCGGCCAATGTTCCCATTTTACACATGAAGAAACTCTGGCTTAACGAGATCTGACAACATGTCTAAGTTCAAGTTTACCAGTATATGACTAGGAAAGTCCGTCTCACTCTAAAGTCTGTGCTCTTTCTCCTGCAGCATGATACAGGTTGTTCAACCTCACAGCCTCAATTTTCTTATTTGTAAAATAAGGAAAAAAAATTCTCACCTGACCTGGGTCATTGTGAGGATTAAATACGATCATTTGTCTAAATCCTGGCATGCTTCCTGGCATGCAGGTACTTAAGAAACCCCAGTTTTCCCTCACCATCAACTCTCCAGGCTTAGTGCAGTTAGTCGCCTTAACAGGAATGCGCAAAAGCGCACTGGAATGTGTGCATAGATGCTGAGAAAGCAAAAGGGAGACAGGTACCCAAAAGTCCTCCTTGGCCTGTATAGCTTTTACACCCTGTTACAGAATTGACTTTTCTCTTCAGTAGCAAGGGACAGGCTTCATGCAGTGGCCTCTGAAAGACCATGCACTGTGTCACTGGCAGTTCATCATATCTCCCAACAGTGCAGCTGTGATAAGAACCAGATGATCCAAATTTCCTAAGCAAAGCCAGCAGCAAATATCATCTGGGAAGGCGCATGCCTCAGTATCCACACACTACGCTCTTTAAGAAAGTACATCAAAAAGCTAATGGACTTTTACAAGAGCCCAGTTACTGCTTAATGTCTGTGAGCTCTCAGGAGCAGGGAATCACAACCCCTACCACATACAGTTGGCGGCAGAACCAGTATTCCAAGTTGTTAAAGAAGCCAAGGATTAGATAAGATTTATAGAGACCTGATGTGGGTAGGGCAGCTAAAAATGGAATCTGCAGATTTGTTTCCAAAGCTTCAGACATGGCCAGGATGTTTCTGTGTATAGATTGCTCCACTTCGCATGGGCAGACCACAGGAAAAATGGTTCTCTCATCACTGGGGGAGTTGCCCCTCTTTTTAATATAGAAGTGTGTGACATCCATTTGATACAGCCACATACACAGCTCCAGATAACTTAAGCTAAATGCTGTCTGTCTGGAAGTGGAAAACCAGAGGTTCAGGTACCTTCTTGATGATCTTAAAATTGTGAGTGCCATTCTTTGCCTTCTCTCATAGCCCATTTTGTTACTTCTGACGATCTGTTGACATCTGAAAAACACTTCTCTTATACTATAACTTCAGCTGTTATATGACTTCAATTTTACAAAAAACTATCAAGCATTTCCTCAGCACCTACTTTTTTTTCATTTAATTTCATATAGCTTGACCTCTTGTTTTAACATTTGGAAAAAATATTTTCCAAGTACCCTGTATATGCGTGTCTCTGAGCAAATATAACTCTAGTCTTTTATTGCTAATTTCTGCTTCATCTTACATCTTTCATGTATTTGATAACCTGTCCAGGTTCCAATGAAAGAGGCTATGGATAAGTGGTACATAGGAGGTCATTCTAAGGTGAAGTGTCTATTGGGCAGTGAGCTGCAGGGAAAATATTGCTTCATGTGATTACTCAAATTGTTTAACTACTTGTAGCTGTCAGGCTTGGAGCTGTTCACCTGAGACTTTGTTGCTGCAATTGGCTCTGGAATTAACCACAAAACTGTCAGATGTAAACCACGTTTAGATAAGCCAGTAATGGCAAGAAAATGACACCATTCTGAGGTTGATGGATGTAGGAGAGCTCTTCTAGTATTTGTAGGAGGCATATAATGATCTGTGACCACAATCTGTATTCCATAAAATTGGCATTTACTGAGGCTAAGAACGTCTTGACTGGCCAGGAACGATGGATCAATGGAGTTGGGGGGTTGATTGCTGAGTTTCTGAGAAGACAGCAGTTGATTCAGGAGTCTTATCCAACACTACATTTAAAGGTCAATATGTGGCACCAAAGATCTAAAAATGGCTGAACTGTTTCTAAATTTAATAACTCAAGGGGCCTAGTCAACTTTCATAAAATTATAGAGCCAAAACTCAGGCGCTTCTTCTCTCAGTGGATTTCTCAAATGCTAGATCAAAACAGCTGCCAATTGTCCATTCTCACTCATCCAATGCCTGTAAAGTAAAATAGTTGCTGTAATAAGAAAGGGTTTTATAATGGCCTTTTCCCTCAAGTTCAATATGAGATGCACTCTAGACTTTTTATGATACATCTACTACTAGTGAAACATTGCCTTACATAAAGAACTTAATAGTTGTTCTTTAGTTCCTTGTCATTGATATTAACAGCTAAAGACCATCATCTCACATGACATTGCTGCTGAAATTTCCAGCAGTGGGGTCAGGGATAATCTTTTGATCACTATGTTCAATAGCATCCATAACCTTCCTTTTGAGACATTGAATTAAAATATTACATTTATCTGACGAAAATCATTGAAAAACATTGGCTGGCCTGTATAGAAGAGCTTAGATTTTTGATTTCAGAAGCAATCAGCGTTACTTTTAGGCGACCCATTATCTACTCTTTATTTTTCTTCTGCCTCTATTTCCCCTGCTAGATGCAATTCAAAGTTTACACTTTAGAAAATTGCTGCTGTAAAGTTAAAAGGACTGTACATTCAAAAGTAAAAGAGAAATGGGGCCGAGCGTGATGGCTCATGCCTGTAATGCCAGCACTTTGGGAGGCCAAGGTGGGTGGATAGCTCGAGCTCAGGAGTTCAAGACCAGCTTGGGCAACATAGCGAAACCTCGTCTCTATGAAAAATACAAAAATTAGCCGGGCGTGCCGACAAGCACCTGTAGTCCCAGCTACTCAAGAGGCTGAGGCAGGAGGATCCCTTGAGCCCAGGAGGTCAAGGCTGCAATGATCGTGTCACTGCACTCCAGCCTGGGCAACAAAGTAAGACACGGTCTCAAAAAAAAAAAAAAAAAAAAAGTAAAAGAGAAGAGAAATAAGCATGTGTTCTACCAGGGCCAGACACAAAATTTGTTTATAGTGAAGAAAGTCTTAAAAACTGCAATAAACAAATACTTCTAGATTTTAAATAATCAGAAAGGCATCTCTAAAAAGTCATTGCTGGTTATAGATGTAAATGTCTGGCACAGTTAAAAAGCAGAAAAATCACTTTCTCCAACATTAAACATGGATTCCATTGAAATGAATTATGTTTATTCTACTTGTTAAAAGAAAACTTAGAGTTTGTTCGACTTTGTGAAATAGACCTATGACTTGCTTCTGGGTTTGCATGAGATCTCATTCAGAGACATCGTGGGCACTTAATATGTGTAGTTGTGCTGAAACGTGTAATATGTGATGAGATAAGATGCTTAGCAGTGAAACCTCACCATTGAAGCTTTTAGTACTTCTTCAAACAAGGCACATGAAAAATATCAAGGAACTTTAGCACAGAGTTTGAAACAATTTGTTTTTCTAGAAAAACAAAATCACAACCATACATTATTTACCAAATATCTTACCCAGAGAACAGCCAGAGGGAAACTCTCCAAGGATTTGGCATTCGAGTGTTCTTATCTCATATGAAAATGCATTCTGCATGTGAATGCTGCGTGTGGATTTTCTTTAGTTTTGTTTTGTTTTGCTTTTGCAGTTGTAGTAACGGATAGCATCAAAGTTTGTAATCACTCATTTCAATTACTGCATGAATCCTAACGTTTGTGATACTGGTTTCATCAAAGTCATATTGAATTTGAGTAAAATGAGAGAAATCGCATTGCAGAGATATATATTTGTCACTTAAATAGAAACTGCTTCAGGAAAATACTGCACCTCTCTCAGTAGTCAGCAATCCTATCTTCTATTCACATGCGGCAAACAAAGAGTTAGATGATACACAATTAACTTTTTAAAATCTGAGGGATGAATTTAAATGGGCTATGGAGAAGAAATTTGTGTATGCATACATCATTGGCAAAGAGTCTTTTCTCTCTCATTGTTTAAGTTCTGAAAACAGAGCACCTCTTATTGCAGTGATTAAGGATTGATTTTAATAATCCTAAAAACCAGGCTTTGGAGCTCAATAAATTCTTCCTTTCAAAAGTACAGATTTTGGGGTTACCAAGGTGGCTCCGTTATCCATGCTTTGCCACATTTTATAGGAACATAAAACTGCTAGCAGATTACATCACCAGGCAGATGCAATATGACAAGAGGCTGCAAGGTCGTACTGTGGGAAAGTCAGGGATTTCAGGGAGATGATACTTTACAAGCACGGTGTCTCAACTAAACTCAAAGCAAAAAGCCTGGTGCCTTATCAGTGTACCTCCTGTAAACTTTCAGAGCCCATATATGTTTATACATATTAATAATAATTAATAAATAATGTTAAATAATAATAGCAACAAATGCTTATACAATGTAGTGTTTATTATTTAGGCCCTATGTACTTTTAAAAATGTATGTTTATATTTGTTTTTGTGCCAGTGAAATGTACTAACACAAAATTTAACATTTTAACTATTTTTAAGTATATATATTTATACACTGAACTATACATTAAATACATTCACATTGTTTTGCAATCATCACTACCATCCATCTCCAGAACTTTTTCATCTTCCCTAACTGAAATTCTGCATCCATAAAACAACTCCCCATTCCCCTCTCTCCCAGTGCCCCCCATTCTAGACACAGACACAGACATTTCTGTGTCTATGAATTTGACTATTCTAGATACCTCAGTAAGTGGAATCATGCAATATTTGTTCTTTCATGTCTGACTTATTTCACTTCGTGTCATGTCTTTAAGTTTCATTCATGTTGAACCTGCATCTAAATTTTCTTCCTTTTTAAGGCTGAATAGTATTCCATTGTGTATATATATATATATATATACCACATTTTGTTTACATATTCATCCACTCATGGACATTTGGGTTATTTCCACTTTATGTGCTTTTTATGTATCAACTCTTTCACTGCTCAAAAAGATTCATTGATTCATTCATTGTTGTAGTATCTTTATTATCTCCATCTTATGATAAGAAAACTAAAGCATATGAGATTGTGTAGGTGCCCAAGTTTATAGAGCTAGGAAGCTCTAAAGCCAGTATTCCACCCCAGGCTGGGTAGATCCACAGTTCCTGCTCCTAATCACTGTGCTATCTCATCTCCCTTTCCAATGATTCAGGAAACTAAGTATAGCATGTACCAGTTGGAAAACCATTTGTATAACATCCTAAGGCCAGGTTTTAAAAGTTCAAGTACAGGTTTTAAAAGTTCAAAGGAGTAGTCAGTTTAATAACCGCACCCCATAGCAACTGATTGATAAAGGATCCCATTACTACAAAATAAAAATTAGCACTCTGCTCCGGCACTAGTTCTAGGTGGGCTAAGTTCATTTTGCTGATCTTCCTATATAATATGTGCATGCATGTGTGTGTGTGTGTGTGTGTGTGTGCAGTAGCATGGTTATAATATTACCCCAATTTGTAAAAAGGGAAATTGGGGCATAGGAAGGTGGTAAGTTACTTGTTC
This sequence comes from Homo sapiens, assembly GCF_000001405.40. Lineage (NCBI taxonomy): Eukaryota > Metazoa > Chordata > Mammalia > Primates > Hominidae > Homo > Homo sapiens. The sequence goes on from NC_000009.12 coordinate 18,504,084, forward strand.
AAGGACTCGTAATAAAAAATAGAACTTGTACCCAAACTCAGATAATTTGTAACTCCAGAGCCTGTTCTCTTAACTATAGCACACATTTTATCTTTTTCTTGAATGTGAAGTACAGCATTGAGACCTGTACATAACCACAAGTATTCTTACAGTATATGGAAATTTTCCTAGAAAGCCTGTAAATAACCAGCAAGTCTATTTGTCAAGAGGCAATCCGTGCATTGCTAAAGTTATTTGTATAGTTATTCCAACGAGCACATCTGAAAACTAGGAATGCAGTTGCTTTATTAAAAAATTGTCGATGGTATAAAATATTGTTAGATTTTGGGAAGCAGTTTAGTGTGCACATGCCAAGCTTCTCAGGACAGAAATACCTCTGAGAGCAGCTTCTTTCCTTTCACTAAGAGATGAAGAGTACACTCATGAACCCTGAGCAAAATTGTGACTTCAATGCAATTGATTGTCTTCTAACCCAAATTCCTGTTTCTGGCTTCCTTTTCCATTTGTTCCATTTGTACAACTTCGTGCCCACTTCAGTCATTGCCCAGGGCCCTTAAATTTAAATATCCCTCCCCCTGAACATATAGGCATTATGAAATGGAAAAGAATCCGAGAATCTGATTGCGCGTTTTCATTCCTAGCAAAGCCACCATGTACACACACGTACAGGCCAGTCACATTTTAGAACACATGTTTCAGGGTTCCATGGGGGATATGATGCTGACCATTCTTTTGTTTCTCACAGAGTTCCAGGACCGCACGCTCCGAGGAGGACCGGGACGGCCTATGGGATGCCTGGGGCCCATGGAGTGAATGCTCACGCACCTGCGGGGGTGGGGCCTCCTACTCTCTGAGGCGCTGCCTGAGCAGCAAGTAAGTCCTGCACCCGTTGGGGGTCTTTGTGAGAACCAGAGGTAGCCGGTTTGAGGCATGCTTTTGTGATTGGGTTTATGGAGAACATTTTGTGGCTTACAGATCCAGATAAAAGAAAAGAATTAAAGGAACGTACAAATAATTAAATTTGTGTTCTTACGTGTTTTTATTTGTGTTCTTACGTCCATCTGCAGCTGGGTCTTTATGTACTCTTATCAGATGATAAGCAATAGAGAAACTTATCATCTTTACCAAGCAAATGTTATCTGTTTTCATGTTAGGACTGGAAGGAGTATTTATTGTTAGGAATGGTTCTGGAATTATTAGCTCTATGACATATTGTACAGTATTGGTGTTAGTAGCATATTGAGTTTATGCTGGATTTTTAGTGTTACCAAGTACTTTGCAAGTGAATAACATATTGGTTTATTTTTGTAGATGTCCTAATAGCCAGAAGTTTCTTAAAGTCATTCAGTTCAATGAATGATGAATTTCGAATATAAGGAAGTTTGGAAAAATAGAAGCTTCAGTGGGAATTGGGTCAGGAATAGTGAAAGGGATGAAGAAGGTAGACATGGGGGTGGCTAATGACATCTAAGCTAAAAGGAAAGGGCCTGAGGCCTTAGAATGGAAATTTTTACTTAGAGTAATAATTTAAAACTCCTTCTTGAGCTGTGTGGTCTATGACTAGATCTGTCTCCAAACTATAAAATATAAAGTACCATGGTAATATTTTTAATGAAAGATTTTATTTGACTATGAAAAGTGTTATGTATAGCAAGTAGGAGGTTTGCTCAAAATTACTGTATATACTATATTATAAAACGGGAAACAGAAAAAGAATTCTAGACATTTCATAAACAAATAGCAGAAAGTGGTGAGACAGAGGTTCAGAAAAATGTCAACTTACTTTAATAAGAGTGAGAATTTCTTGAAATCAGCGTCTGAGCCTTATTCCTTTCTGTCTCCCCAAGGCCTGCACAGGGTCTAACAGATATTAGAAGCCCGATAGATGGTTCTTCATTGAAACATGAAAGACCATTTTGGCTCCAGGGAGGTCTCACTGGAAATGTTATAACCTGAGATGTATCCAACAAGATACCAGATCAATTCTGATATTTGGCCACTGTGGCATTGAGGTGTGCACTAAAAATGGGTCAATGTGATTGTATTTACCAGCAGGTTTGTTTGTCTCATTTTTGAGGCCAGCTTCGAATCAACGAGAACCTTGAGCTGATAAGAAAGACTAGACTTTTGCTCCTTATGATTCACCTGCTCTCTTAATCTTGAATATACAAAACTTCCAAAATCTGCAATGTATGCTGCCACACGGTGATAATGTAACTGATAATATTCATACATCAGTAAAGCCAAAAAGTATAAATTTAGAATGTTCCTGTTATTTAGTTTTCTCAAATTAGCATCCTTGAATATTTTATAGAGGTGAGCCAAAACATGTGTCTCACAAAACTGATAAGAAACAAAGGGGAATTTTCATATTGTCTCAGTGATGTGTATGTCAGCTTGAGGTAGGATCTTTTACTGAGTGAGAGACTGAGAAGCAATTTAGGGAATACATTAAAATCACAAAATTCTGTCATTCAGCAAATAATCAAATATTGATGCCATGCGAAATTCAAAAATAAACAATTTTGCCACCTAGTAAGTTAAAGGTCTAGGTGTTAGGGCTCTATTATGATACTACAAAAGATATCAGTTGTCTTCTACTTATAAAGTATTAGAAAAGTAGAATGTAAATGCTGAAATTATAAACATATAGAAGATATGTCCCTATTTTACTTTCAAGTATTAAAAATATATATTCAGTAATCTCATACAAGGCTGACCAAGAAGCTTAAAAAATGGGGCGGAGGTTGACTACCCATTCTTTAGGAATTTGAAGAAGAAAAAAAGCCTCCAAATAGAAGGCATTTCCAAATCCAACAAGAATATAAAGAAATATTAGTTTCTTAAAAACCAGTGCTTAGTATGGACTGATACATTATCCACATGGATATGTTCTATACTTTTAAATTCTAGTCATTCTTTAGCAAATCAAAAACTTGTCATCATCATTAAACTCTGGAACAATCTGGATAGAAAATGTAATATATATTTTTAATTGTGAAAGAACTATTTATATATGCCCTATCATATATTTTGACATCATTCTTCAATAGGATTTGTATTATTAGGCTAAACTGTATTAATTCTGATCCTTGTAAGACAAACAACATAGAGGTTGATTTAGCTGTTCAATCTGAGATTCTAGTGGGATTTCTGGAGACAAGCAGCTCATGATATGACCACATTAGCATATTACCTCTGCGCCCTAATGAGTTAAATCTTACAGCTACAGATTTTAAAAGGAGCAAAACTAAGACTGAGTTAATCCCTTTGGGGGTGTATTGATTGTAGAAAATCTGCATCTCCAAGGACAATTTAAAGATCTACAGTGACTAAGTAAATACCTTTATAATAATACCAAATAAGTATGTTAACCCATTGAATGTTCCTGGATGCTATAATGCTGATTTTTAAAATATTAGTTGGTGCAAAAGTAATTGCAGTTTTTGCTATTACCTTCAATTCACCAACCCAATACTTTAGTTTTTATGGCAATTACACACTTATTTTCTAGAAAGCACAACACAACATGCTATTATTGAACAGCTTAGATAGTTCCTGCTTTGATTCAAGACTTTTGTTTATGTTGCATTTTTCAAAACAAGGCATGCGTATACACCTACAAACCCCCTACCCCACGCATGTATTTGTGTGTGTGCTGAGCTGTGACAGAAAATATATATCATTTCAAAAGGGTCTGACAGCTTCTGTTGCAGAGAACTCACCCTGGCAGGGGCCCTTTGTGGATACTAGTCAGACCCATTTACCCAGGGGAGACCTTATCCTAAGTGTCACTGGTCCTCAATCAAAATTCAGTTTGGCCAGGCACAGTGGCTCACGCCTGTAATTGCAGCACTTTGGGAGGCCGAGGCGGGTGGATCACCTGAGGTCAAGAGTTCAAGACAAGCCTGGCCAATATGGACAAACCCGATTTCTACTAAAAATGCAAAAATTAGCTGGGCGTGGTAGCGGGTGCTTATAATTGCAGCTGCTAGGGAGGCTGAGGCAGGAGAATCGCTTGAACCCCAGAGGCAGAGGTTGCAGTGAGCCAAGATCGAGTCACTGCACTCCAGCCTGGGCGACGAGCGAAACTCCGTCTCAAAAAAAAAAGAAAAAAAAAAATTCAGTTTTCTTTACCTGGGATTATTATGTTTGGAATCAGAGATTCTCAAATGTTTGTGTGTCCCTGGCTTTCTCTTCCTGCCATTCTGTATCACTTCACAAGTTTTATTAATATGATTTTAGCCCTGTATTTTCTCCTTTTTTGTGTGTAATGAAAGTGTGGAGCAAGTCCCCTTTGGTATCTAAAGGGAATCAGACATTTTGGATGATTTCATTTTAGATGATTTATAGTCTCCTCCATATATAGTTTGAATGCATCTGCTCAGGATCCTCCATGGAAGTGTAGTTGTCTTCATTATCTTTTAAGTTGTCAAGCACCTAAGAAGCTATTTGTTTTCTTGATAATTTTTATTTGCAATCTAGATCTTTCACTATTAACAGAAATTCCTGGGTTACAGCCTCATGTTTCAAAAAGCTAGCTTTCAGCTATCAAAGTTCATGGAGACACCTAGCATTCATTAAACTTTCAGTTATAGTCATGTATAAAAATTTTAATTTTCATTAAAATACATAACTCTAAGCAGTAAGAAATATTAAATAAGTACTTATAAAAGCAAAATATAATATTAATAAAATACATTCTAACATTTTTCTCATTACTACTTGACTGTAATTAGGTCATTGCTTAAATATGGCCCTAAATCAGTCCTTAGGCTGGATTTAGAATGTATTTTGACTCTTATAATTTAGAAATAGAGGCCGGGCGCGGTGGCTCACGCCTGTAATCCCAGCACTTTGGGAGGCCGAGGCGGGTGGATCATGAGGTCAGGAGATCGAGACCATCCTGGCTAACAAGGTGAAACCCCGTCTCTACTAAAAATACAAAAAATTAGCCGGGCGCGGTGGCGGGCGCCTGTAGTCCCAGCTACTCGGGAGGCTGAGGCAGGAGAATGGCGTGAACCCGGGAGGCGGAGCTTGCAGTGAGCCGAGATTGCGCCACTGCAGTCCGCAGTCCGGCCTGGGCGACAGAGCGAGACTCCGTCTCAAAAAAAAAAAAAAAAAAAAAAAAAAAAAAAAAAAAAAAAAAGAAATAGATATGTTCTGGGATATGTGCTCAGCTTTAAGACTTCGAATCAGTTTGATTTTTAAAGTTTTCAAGTTTTTTCCCTCAACAACTGGTTCTATCTATTCTAGTACCAGCAAGAATTTATTAGTTTACTCCCCTTACTTCCTTACGCTAATGGTAACTCTAATTGGTGTAGCAATTATTCATTGCCACAGTAATGCTGCATAAAAACCACTAATCCTCAGTGGAATATCAGATAAGGAATTATTGCTTGGCTAGGCAGCTCTGATGGACTTTGATGGTCTTGATCACATATCTAGGGTTGGCTGGATGTTGGCTGATCTAGACTGGCTTCATCTGGTTCAACTTGGGAAACCCAATTCTGCTCCACAAGTTCCTTATCCTCCAGCAGGCTAGCCTAGGCAAGTTCTCATAGTGATAGCAGAGGTGTAAGAGAGAGCAATTCCCAGTGCAAAGCCTGTTTCCAGCTTCTGTACCATATTTGCTAGTATCTCATTGGCCAAACTAAGCCATCCACCAAGTCCAGAGTCAGAATGGGAGAGCCAAATTGTTACATGTGAAAGCATGAGCTAGAGAGAGGGTGAAAAATTGGGACTATTCTTCAATCTAGCATGAATAGTCTTCTATGGCTTTCTTACTCATTTGTAATGGGATAATGAACTTCATGGGTTCTGTCTCATTTCTCCACTCCAGATCTAGGCATCTAAATTCAGTTCAGTCACCTTATATACCTTCCCAATAGGGAAAGATCAGAGTTTATGAATGTATATATGCTTAGAGGCCTAGCAGGTAACTGGAATGTATGTAGTAGCATTCATATTGAGTCCAAATAAATCCCATCTACCAGGTAAATTAACCTGCCAGGCCAATTTTCTAGCTCTAGTAATATGACCTCTTAGAGCACTCTCAGGTCTGATTATTTTTTCAAGTCTATCAGCTAATGATTATTCTATTCCCAATATGAAAGAAATGTAAAGGGAGGTAGATTACTTAGATTTTGTGGAATAAATGACAACTACTCAACTTCTGGAGTTAATTTTGTTCCCTGATGGACCGGGAGCTTGTGAGGAGACTTGGTTTACCCTCTGAGTACAGAACATCCTCTCTGAGTGATCTTTTGAAGGTTCTAGAAAAAAATTCAATGGAGACAAAGCAGAATGAAAACACAGGTACACATTAAATATAAAAGCCTTCATTCTCAACAAGCAGTACTTGATACTGGAGAAAAAGTTCTGACCCAGGAACATACTGAGTAGAATCCTTTCCTTGGTTTCTCCCCTACCCTTTTTCTGAGGTTTGCAGAAAGTAGGCAGTGCTTGATTTTCCAGGTTTATGATATTGGAACACTGATCATTGCCTTTATCTGCAACCCTGGTTTGAACAACAAAGAAAGACACTGTATAAACATTGTCTCTCACCTTTACTAATTTTGTAAGGTTATATGAGGTTTTATTGAGTAACTCTTATAATGTAACTTTTACTAATCTAGTATCGCTAAGTAGAATATAATACCTGTTTTTATTTTTCATTAATTAGAAAAGAGACTATACCTACTGGTGCTTGATGATGGACATTTATTTTATTTCAAATGAATTAAAGTACTAGGTACCTTGAGAAGCTGCTCCTCTCTCCAGTTCTTCACCCCCCTACTAAATACTCTGAAATAATATTTATAGTGAACTATTTGTCTAGCTTTTTAAAAAATATTTAATACTAAAGATCTATCTTTCAGAGCTCTAGGTTTATCTTCAGCCAGCTAATTTAGCTTTGCTCATAAGAAGTTCCAAATGCATAAGACAGTTAATATAATGTGTAACATTATCTGTCTCCCTGTATTAAGTCAATGCCAAGACCAGGCTCAAAGGAGGAAACTACCCCTCATTTGAGATGGCAACGAGTTAGATAGCTGGCTGCTCTTAGGTGTGATGTGAACCTTTGCACTGGTGACTAAAGAAGATTTAAAGGTCTTCTGAGACCTTTTTTACTTTCTGAAATGCCAAATTCATCTGCTAATGGTATAAATTAATACTACATTAATATTGTATTAAGAGCATAAATTAATACATTAAGAATACAAATATTATGTTAAATCTTAACTGATTCAGCAATGGGCTTGGCTGTTTCATATCTATCCAAATAGCAAAAAATGATCTTCTTATGAAGGATGGCAGAATTTTTTAAAAGTTAATAAATTTTGAGTTAAATATTAAAATTGAATTAAAAAGTTTTTGAGGTAATACGATTATTAGATGAGCAAGAAATAAAAATCACACAAGAGGTGCCTAAAACAAGTAAGATTATAGTATTATTCCAAAGGCATGTGGCTGCCAGAATGGTGTCAACATAAATACAGAAAAAGTAAAATAAATAGCCCCAAGGAGTCTTAGTCCACAGGAATAGGAAAGATCATTCTAAAGGTCTCATTTCATAATAATTGTGGTAAGAGAAAGTAAGCTAACTTCTCTGATTTTTAATTGCAAACACAGATATTCTGCCATGAAAATATTGATACACTAATATAGGCTTTAGTTAGCATCTTATTTCTATACCGTATAATAATAAATACCAAAAGAAAATTTTCAATGGTAAGATTTTGCTTCTTAAACAAATGTTTGTTTTTTTCTCTAAAAGACATCTCATCTCTATCATAACATCCAATTAAGATTCACAGGACTTGTTTTAAGAGGTTTTAGAACTTTCAGCTCAAGTGAGCCCCAAAGCAGGCTTTATCTGTTATTCTTCATCTGGTGTTATATGTTATCACCCTTGTTTTCCTTGGGAATGTTTGAATTTTTGTTTAAAAGAAAGATATACAAGTTCAGAGTGGGTATGACTACTCATGTCATTTGTATGAGATAGTCTTTTCATTTTGTTAAAGGAGATTGCATATTTTGGAACATATGCTTAAGAGTTTGCAGTTGCCTTCCTTTTACTTTTTGGGTTAAAGCCTAGTCTAAATATATTACCAAGACTTCTAATATTTCAGGTCATATATCTTAGGGGGGTGTATTGTTCCAAGATCTGATCTCCTTTCCGGAGGCAAATGCGCTAAGGCCAATGACTGAATGTTTAGGACCAATTTATGGCCTGGTTTATCCCATAAGCCAATTTGTTGGAATAAAAGATGGTTAGAAATGTGTTTGTTGTCCATAACATTTACTTGCCATATCAGGAATCTGTAACTCTTAGATGTCTTTTTCTGTTTATTAAAAAAAAAAATCCTTATGTGATTTGTTCAGTAGCCCTTCTAAAGTTTGTATATCTCCTCAATTTTAATTCATTCATTCAATAAATATTTATTGAATACCTACTATGTATTAAGCAAATTGGTAGGTATAATTAAGGATAGAAATCCCAAAGGGCCAGAGTCTCAAGAATTTACCAAATTATTAATTTGCCTCTGAGTTTCTACTGATTATAGTTGCAAGATATTTTAAGAACTAAGAGAAGTTCCCCCAGTTCTATAAATAATACATCTGTGGAACTGGGTTTTAAAAATATTTTATATGTATTGTTATTTTATTCTGGTAGCATCATTTTATATATTAATGCTTTCTTTTCCTAATTCAATTGTATGAATTCCTCCTTTTTTACAGTGCTTAGCACACAGCAGACATTCAAATGTTTAATAATTGGCTTTTAAACAGTATATGCAGTATTGTCATTTTATTTCTTCAATCTGTGCTTCAACTAAAGTGGAAGAAAACTATGTGATATTAAACATCTCTACAAAAGAATTGGGAACCTAATCCCTATACCACAGAACAAAGGTTGGTGGAACCAATTCTACTTTTGCAGAATTAAGAAAATATTTCAGACTTAGACCTAGACTGAGCTGGGAAGGATCTTAGAGCTAATCTCCTCTCTAATTCCCTCTTGGTTATTTCCCTTCCTCTTTTTATTTTTATTTTTTATTGTGGTAAGACAATTTAGCATGAGATCCACCATCTCAACCAAATTTGAAGTGTTCTATACAGTATTGTTAACTACACCAGCAGTGCTGTGCAGCAGATCTCTACAATTTAGCCATCTTGCATCACTGAAACTAGACTCCTTGAATGGCAAGTACTATTTCTCCCTCCGCCGCAACCTCTGGCAGCCTCCCTTCTACTGTCTGCTTCTATGTACTTGATTAGTCTAGATACCTTATATAAGTGGAATCACGTAGTACTTATCCTTATTTCTGACTTATTTCACTCAGGATAATGGCCTCAGAGTTCATTCATTGTTGTTCTTTCCCTTGCCGTGCAGACTGTTTACTTTGATAGTGTCCTACTTGCCTATTTTTGCTTTTGTTGCTTGTGCTTTTGGTGTTATAGCTGAGAGATCATTGCCAAATCAATATTAGGAAGCTTTGCCCCTGTATTTTCCAGTTGGAGTTTTATAGTTTCAAGTCTTATATTTAAGTCTATAGTCCATTTTGAGTTAATTTTTGTCTATGGTGAAATTTTGATAGCAATTTTATTCTTTCACATGTGGATATCCAGTTTTCCCAGCACCTTTCCCCATTGTGTATTCTTGGAACCTTTGTCAAAGATCAGTTGACTGTGTATGTGTGAGTGTTTTTCTAGGTGTTCTATTGGTGTATATGTCTGTCTTTACACCAAGGTGTCTTTACACTGGCATATCTTTACACCAGTACCATACTATTTTAATTTCTGTAGCTTATAAAATGTTTTGAAATCAGGAACTGTGATGCCTTCAGCTTTGTTCTCTCTCAATATTGTTCTGAACATTCCAGATTGTTTTTTGTTTCATATGAATTTTAGAACTGTTTTTTCCATTTCTATAATAATCAGTTACTGGGAGTTTGATAGGCAACGCATTGTATCTATAGATCACATTGGGTAACATGGACATTTTAACAACATTACTCTTCCACTCCATGAACATGGAAGGTTTTACCATTTATTTGTGTCATCTTTAATTTCTTTCAGTAATGTTTTGTGATTGTCAGTGTTCAAGTCCTTCACTTCCTTAGTTTATTCCTAAGTATTTTATTCTTTTTGATGTGATTGTAAATGAGACTGTTCTCTTAATTTCTTTTGTGGATAGTTTGTTATTAGTGTGTAGAATTGCAACTGATTTTTCTTTCTTTTTTTTTTTTTTTTTTTTTTTGAACGAAGTCTCGCTGTCTCCCAGGCTGGAGTGCAGCGGCACTATCTCGGCTCACTGCAAGCTCCGCCTCCGGGGTTCACGCCATTCTCCTGCCTCAGCCTCCCGAGTAGCTGGGACTACAGGCACCCGCCACCATGCCCGGCTACTTTTTTTGTATTTTTAGTAGAGACGGGGTTTCACCGTGTTCACCAGGATGGTCTCGATCTCCTGACCTCATGATCCGCCCGCCTCGGCCTCCCAAAGTGTGGGGATTACAGGCGTGAGCCACCACGCCCAGCCTGATTTTTCTATATTGATTTTGTATCCCTCAGTTTTACTCAATTTGTTTATTAGTCTTTCGTGAAGTATTTAGAGTTTTCTGCTTATAAGATCATGTCATCTGCAAATAGAGATAATTTAACTTCTTCCTTTCTTTTTTGGATGCCTTTTATTTATTTTTCTTGTCTTACTGACCTAAGACTTTCAGTACTCTTTTGAACAGAAGTGGCAAGAGTGAGCAACTTTGCCTTGTTCCTGATATTAGAGGAAAAGCCATTGAGTGTGATGTTAGCTGAGGACTTTTCACATATGGCCTTAGTTATTTTGAAGAAATTTCCTTCTATGCCTAGTTTGAGAGTTCACATCATGAAAGATGTTAAATTTTGCCAAATGATTTTTCTGCATCTTTCAAAGATGATCATGTGGTTTTTATTCCTCCTTCTGTTATGGAAGTAGTTCTTAATCCTAGTTACACTTTAGAATCACCTGGAAAGCTTTTAAAAAAAATACAGATATCTGGGCCCTACCAAAGAACAGTTAAATTAGGATCTCTTGGGGTAGATTCCTGACATCAGTAATTTTTTCAAAGCTCTCCAAATGATTTTAGTGTGTATCCAGAGTTTAAAATTGCTGCCGTCTCGAAGGGGGTGATAGTGCAATGATGAGGTTTATCTCTAGCTCCCTGAAAAAGTAGAGGTTAGGGTAAAGAAGAAAAGAAGAATTTTTGTTGTTTGTTTGTTTTTTGAGACAAGGTCTGGCTGTATCGCCCAGGCTGGAGTGCAGTGGTGCCATCTCGGCTCACTGCAACCTTTGCCTCCCAGTTTCAAACCGTCCTCCTATCTCAGCCTCCCGAGTAGCTGGGACGACAGGCATGAGCAATCATGCCTGGCTAATTTTTGTATTTTTTGTAGAGACAGGGTTTCACTATGTTGGCCAGGCTGGTGTCTCCCTCGTGAGCTCAAGTGATTTGCTCACCTTGGCCTCCCAAAGTGCTGGGATTACAGGGATGAGCTACCACAGGATTTTCTGATAAAGAAACTTCTTTTATGTTAAAAGGAGTTTCTGTAAAATGATCGAGTCCGCCATGTGGGAGAGAAGTCATGGATACAAGCATGTCAAGATGTAAGAGTGGGGATTGCCCTAGGTACTACTCTTTATCTACTTTTCTGGTACATACACAGTTGTCTAGTATTAGTCATCATCAGCCTTGCCCAAAGTATTAAATGAACTAAGTGATTTCTAACTTATTCTTTCATCCTTTTATTAATTAAGCCTACAAACATGATCCTTTAAGCTTCCAGCTTGTTGGTGAATGACCAGGTTAATGTCCTAGTGATTCTTGGGTAGTTTATGCAAATTCTCTGAGACTCACCTCTCCTTAAAGTCATTAAACTTCCTATCCACAGAGTTGAGTTGAGTTGAGTTTTCCATCTTCAATTCAGCATCCATCCCTCCAGCTCCTCCCTCACCTCAACTACCAAAAAAAAAAAAAAGAAAGAAAAAGAAAGATTTCCTAATGCTACTTGCATAATTTATTGAATTATTCTTCGGTTTGGGCCCAATTTGTAGAAAATAGAAAAGAGTTATCTGACCCTGTTTTCCTTAGTTTCAGTCACTGAGAAAGAGAGAGAAAGAAAGAAAGAGAGAGAGATGGAGACAGATACTGGATATTAAAAGCAAACAGAGGGTGGTCTGTCCAAATCATATACAATGGGGGATGGACAATTCACCTGGAGGCAGGAAGAATAACTTATAAAACACTAGGTGATATTACATCCATGCATGGATCATCAGCTGAAGCCCCTAACTAATATACCAACCTCAAATAGCTGCAGAGCCAGCCACTGCCTTTGGGCTTTGGAGTAGGAATCCCTGGTCCAGATAAAGACCCTTTCCTACTTAGGGAGAGAACCACATGTTGTGGGAACCAGAATTTGTAGCAGTGAGTTTCATTGCCTACTTTGTGGATTATTACTTCTATTTTATTTTTCATAAAACTACTGATTTTGAATATTGGCACCACTGTTCTCTACTTGTATGACATTGGACTAGATTTTAGTTTCTCTGGGATTTTGTTTGCTTATCTGTGAAATCAAGTGGGCAGTGCCTGGAACAGAACAAGTGTTCCATAAATATTTGTTGAACAGATATCCAAGGTGCCCTTCAACTCTGAAATGTGTGCCCCTAAAAAGGAGACAGTTTCTCCTCCAGATATGCAGTCAAGCCCATTTTGCTGTTAGATAGGAAGAGGAGCAAAAACTGCTCTTCATATAAATGGTTTTAAAGAAAAATGTTGTGACTCTCCAGACCCCTGTTTTGCAATGAACATCTGGGTGACATGGAAGGATTGGAGAACTTTTGTCTCTAGCCAAAATAATTCATAAATTTCTAGCTCAAGGCTTGTATCAGGAGAGGTTGTTAGAGTCCTAGAGTTTCATAATATACATTTTCCTCAAGGGGAAGATGGAAAAGTTGGACTTGATGTTGCTAAAACACATTTGTTTTTATTCTCATTCTTTGCCTCTTTTGGCTACTGAGCAAATGTAAGATCATTTGCAAACCTTATGGCATGTGTGTGTATACTATAAAGTGCATGTCCTTCTTGCTAGTGGATCTTAAGCCAAAGGCAGCAATCCCCCGGCCCCCACCCCTAGCCATCTTTCAGAGGAAGCAAATGCATTGCAAGGACAAACACAACTTATAATAAATATATGAAAATAAACGTGTTCATTAAAATAGAGCCCAATTTTTTTACTTTGGTAGCTATTTAATTTCATTTTAAACTTTTCATCTTTTTCTTTTTTTTTAATTTATTTTTTTTTATTATACTTTAAGTTTTAGGATACATGTGCACATTGTGCAGGTTAGTTACGTATGTATACATGTGCCATGCTGGTGCGCTGCACCCACGAACTCGTCATCTAGCATTAGGTGTATCTCCCAATGCTATCCCTCCCCCCTCCCCCCACACCACCACAGTCCCCAGCGTGTGATATTCCCCTTCCTGTGTCCATGTGATCTCATTGTTCAATTCCCACCTATGAGTGAGATTATGCAGTGTTTGGTTTTTTGTTCTTGCGATAGTTTACTGAGAATGATGATTTCCAATTTCATCCATGTCCCTATCATTTTTTATGGCTGCATAGTATTCCATGGTGTATATGTGCCACATTTTCTTAATCCAGTCTATCATTGTTGGACATTTGGGTTGGTTCCAAGTCTTTGCTATTGTGAATAATGCTTTTTCTTGTTATAGACAGATTTTAATCAGGTTTCTTGTAGAACAGATGTGAGGCCGAAAGTTCTTCATGGCCTGGAGTTATCTTTATAACAGTTCCTTCTGTATGTTTCTTCCTTCTTCCTTTGGCCATTTGTTCTTTCCTTCCCTCCTTCTATCCCTTGCTCCCTTCTTTCCTTCCTTCCTTCTCTCACGAAATATTTGTAAAGCACTAACAGTACACCAAGCATGTTGCTAGATTCTGCAGCTCAGAGACCAAACAGACTGCAAGGGAAAAAAGTAAATAATTGTCAAAAAATATTTACTATTTTTTATTTTAGATTCAGGGGGTACATGTGCATGTTTATTACATGGGTATATTGCATAATGGTGGGGTTTGGGCTTCCAGTATACCCATCACCCAAATATTGAACGTCGTACTCAATAGGCAGTTTTTCCACCCCGCCCCCCAACCCAGCCTTTCCTCTTTTGGAGTCCCCAGTGCCAAATATTTCCATCTTTATGTCCATGTGTACGCATTGTTTAGCTCCTGCTTATAGGTGAAAACCTATGGTATTTGATTTTCTGCTTCTGAGTTAATTCACTTAGGATAATGGCCTCCAGCTCCATCCATGTTGCCGTAAAGGACATGATTTCATTCTTTTTATGGCTAAGTAGTATTGATGGTGTATATGTACCACATTCTCTTTATCTAGTCATCCATTGATGGACATTTAGGCTGATTCTATGACTTTGCTATTGTGAATAGTGCTGCAATAAACATATGAATGCAGGTGTCTTTTTTATATAATGATTTCTTTTCCTTTGGTTAGATACCCAGTGTGGGATTGCTAGGTTAAATGGTAATATGGTTTTCTTTTCTTTTTTCTTTTTATTTTTTGAGACATATTCTCCCTCTGTCACCCAGGCTGGAGTGCAGTGGCACAATCTCAGCTCGCTGCAACCTCTGCCCCCCGGATTCAAGCGATTCTCCTGCCTCAGCCTCCTGAGTGCTGGGATTACAGGCATGCGCCATGATACCTGGCTAATTTTTGTATTTTTAGTAGAGACAGGGTTTCACCATGATGGCCAGGCTGGTTTTCTAAAAGTAAAAGAGGCATGGGTGCTACAGGATGGTGTCCTAGAACTTTAAAATGCTGGCCTTTTGCTACCTCTCTGCCTCCTCTCCTGGTGAGCTCTTTACCTACAATGTCCCTCCCTCCCCATACTCACCTGTGAAAATCCTAAATGTTATTTAAAGCCAACTTCACCTGTACCCCCTGAGTCTCACCATGCTATATTTGTGAGGAATTTGTTTGCATCACCTTTAATTCACCTTTACATAGTCTGGCTGTGTTATCGTTATTCATATGGTACTGTCTCTAATTACATTATCAGTGTTATGGTCTCAGGTTTTATTTTCCTTTTCTTTAAACCTTCTTGCCTTGCACAGAGTAGGTATCTAGTCACTGTTAGGTGAATTTACTGAGTTAAACATAGGGTAAGAACCTAGTGTAGTGCTCGAGGGAGCAGGAGGAGGAAGCGAGGGCTGAATCGCAAAGTCTCCTTTCTCCCATCACATTCTTGGGACTCCTATCACCCATATAGGACCTCCCACCTAAGATACTTCCTTTGTAAGCTATTGCCCTCTCCTCAATCTCTGCCTTTTCAAATTCCTTCTGTATTTAATATTCAGATCATTCCTATGAGTTGTTCACCAGGCATTATGCTGTTGTGTGTTCTATTCTGATTCGTGTGGATTTGTTCAAGTAAATAATAACTTTGATAAGAATCAGGGAGGCCACCATTTTTGTGTCTTTCACAGTGCCTTGCTTAGTACTAGTATAGACTGGATACCCAATGAATGTGTTAAGTGACTGCAAATTGGAAAACATTATACAAAAAGCGTGTTAACCAGGAAGCACTGCCCAGGACTCACTTTCCGCATTGGAGTGCTTATTGTACATTGTCTCATTAGATTTTTTGAGCAGTATGTTCAGAGCAGTTTCTGGCTTCGTTAGAAGCTGGGCATGACCTTTATGGTCTACAGTGTCATCATTCTCACCTTTTTCTTTTCTGATTACATGAGTATACTCCTCATTTTCATAACTGCAGCCCATATTTGTGAAAACTTGATGCTTTGCTATAGCATGTCTTTCTTTGAAGAACAGGCAGGGATATGTAAAATCATACTTGTTTGGAAAAAAAAATTGGCAGTGATTTTTCTAGTTATAGTTTAGACATACCAAACAGTCATAATAGCAAAAAGCCAATTTGAAACTTAAAGGACAAACTCCACAATTCAGCCTATAATATTCTCATGTGGGTCTAAATTTTAATTTACCAGCTTTGCAGCCTCCTAACTGTTGCTCAAAAATCTGTAAAAGTGCAGAGGTGCTTTCCTTGGTTCCATATGGTCGAGAGAAGATCAAACAACCAGAGAGGATGTTGTCTTAGACCGTTTACCCCAAACCTACATAATTTCTATTTATATCAAATTTAGTCTCCACAATAAGTTTTAGTAACTCTCTGGATATACATAAATCAGTGTTTCCAAGTTGGCACTACATTCAGAACATTTTTATAATGACAGATTAGGATAGAGCAGAAGTGTTGAATTACAAAACTGAGGTCACAAAAATATGTTATCTATGCCAAAG
Source organism: Homo sapiens (assembly GCF_000001405.40). Lineage (NCBI taxonomy): Eukaryota > Metazoa > Chordata > Mammalia > Primates > Hominidae > Homo > Homo sapiens. The sequence continues at coordinate 18,520,486 of NC_000009.12, forward strand.
AAACACTTTTAAGTCTAGTTCACAAGTTACAGCACCATTTTTCAATCTGGACCTTCACTCTCCTCTGATCAGTTTAAAATTGCTTTGAGAATGCGGCTTTAAGGCTGACTTTTCTTTTGGCTCCCTAGGGCCTTGTTAGTGCCTCTGGCACACTGGGATGAGCTAACATGGCACCAGGGATGTGTCTGTTCCCAGCCAGCTCACCTACTGATGGATGATGCCTGGCAGCATGCCACCTTGTTGTTTCTTGTATTATTACAACAGAAAGCATTTTCAAAAGCCACATTTATCAAGTCATCATAATTGTTTGGCTTGTATATCTATCTATTCAAAAAAAAAATTAATCTCTCCCTTAGTACTAATCTGTTTGAGCCATGTGATGTATCCCATGTAGAAAAGGCAGTGGAAAACTGCTTCTGCGTGGGATTCAGGGACCTTTCATCTAAATGCTTAGGAGAAAGAGAGATTTTTTATATATGCTTTTGAAAGTCCCAAAGCACCAAGAACCTCTGTTTCCGCCTTTCCACTGGTGGTTATATGTACAGGGGATGCATTTATTTCTAGCATTTTAGTGGCTTTGTTCAATGAAGGAGATTTAACCTCAAATGAGGGAAAAATGTGAATGTTAGCCTCAAAAAAGGACAAAGACACATTTTAATGTTTAAGGTCAGTTTCCATAGGCAGGTGTTACCAGGTTAAACATTACTTGTTATGAAGAACATTGTAAGCAAATTTCTTATTATTTGAGGTACAGGGTTATCTGGAAGCATGTGGCAGAGAGGAGGGGCCTCAAAGTACATTTTTAAAGTACTAAAAGAGTGTAATTAACTTGTTTGTAACACAAAGGATAAGTGCTTGAGGGGATAGATACCCATTTACCATGAAGTGATTATTATGCATTGCATGCCTGTATCAAAACCTCTTCTGCACCCCATAAATACATACACCTACTAGATACCCACAAAAATTAAAAATTTAAAAAAAGCATTGTCCTGAATAAATATATATTTATTCAATGTTTATTAAAAATAATTTAAATATGTTAATATTAATAAAGTACTCACTAGGGATGCATACTGGAACATGTCTAATTGTTTAGAGATATGATATATAATGAAGATACAGTATAAGCATGGTTATCTGCAGATACTTTTAAAGAAGAGACAGTGCTGAATTGCCTCCTCTTGTTGGGAGCAAGCCCCCTCAAAATAATGCTTTTACATAAACAAGTTTCATTGTAATTTTTGTTTATGATGTTATAAATTAGAATTAAATAATAATTATTTTAAACACAGAATAAAATGTAGAACATGATAGAATGACATTTTTAAGTACAAGAGTAAAGCAAAGCTAAGAAAAAGATTAGAATATGGGACTTGTGAAACCCACAGGGATGGCTTGTCATCTAACTCCTCTTTCTCTCCCATGTGAGGTAAGACCACAAGTAACCATCTCTTATGCACAGACTCCAGTTCTAGTCCCTGGGTGTTCAGCATCCAGTCTGAACCACAGATGAAGACAGTGAGCATCTGAGAAGAGCTTTACACACAGGGTCCAGTGGTTCATATAGTTTCCTTTTTCATGGTCAAGTTGACTGGTATCAAGTATTTCCTGAAAGAAACTCTTACAATAATGTGTCTGTGCTAGGGACTACTAGAGGGAGGAGGAGAGAGGGGGTGGTGAGCTGAAAAACTACCTAACAGGTACTATGCTCACTACCTGGTGACAGGATCATCCCTAACCCATACCTCAGCATCATGCAGTATACCCGTGTAACAAACCTGCACTTGTACCCGAGTCTAAAATAAAAGTTGAAATTATTTAAAATAATAATAACAATGTATCTGCAGAAAATGAAAAGAAGCTGACAGTACACTTGCACTTGTTTCTCTCAGTTGTTCTCACAATTTATTATTCCTCTTGAGTTTTTTGTAGAGTCTCAGGAATGTAGAATTTTTATTTTATTTTATTATACTTTAAGTTCTAAGGTACATGTGCACAATGTGCAGGTTTGTTACATATGTATATATGTGCCATGTTGGTGTGCTGCACCCATTAACTCGTTATTTACATTAAGTATATCCCCTAATGCTATCCCGCCCCCCTCCCCACACCCCATGACAGGCCCCAGTGTGTGATGTTCCCCTTCCTGTGTCCAAGTGTTCTCACTGTTCAATTCCCACCTATGAGTGAGAACATGCGATGTTTGTTTTTTTTTTCCCTGCAATAGTTTGCTGAGAATGATGGTTTCCAGCTTCATCCATGTCCCTACATAGGACATGAACTCATCCTTTTTATGGCTGCATACTATTCCATGGTGTATATGCGCCACATTTTCTTAATCCAGTTGATCATTCATGGACATTAGGTTTGGTTCCAAGTCTTTGCTATTGTGAATAGTGCCGCAATAAACATATGTGTGCATGTGTCTTTATAGCAGTATGATTTATAATCCTTTGGGTATATACACAGTAATGGGATGGCTGGGTCAAATGGTATTTCTAGTTCTAGATCCTTGAGGAATCGCCACACTGTCTTCCACAATGGTTGAACCAGTTTACACTCCCACCAATAGTGTAAAAGTGTTCCTATTTCTCCACATCCTCTCCAGCACCTGTTGTTTCCTGACTTTTTAATGATCCCCATTCTAACTGGTGTGAGATGGTATCTCATTGTGGTTTTGATTTGCATTTCTCTGATGGCCAGTGATGATGAGCATTTTTTCATGTGTCTGTTGGCTGCATAAATGTCTTCTTTTGAGAAGTGTCTGTTCATATCCTTTTCCCACTTTTTGATGGGGTTTTTTGTTTTTTTCTTGTAAATTTGTTTGAATTCTTTTTAGATTGTGGATATTAGCCCTTTGTCAGATGAGTAGGTTGCAAAAATTTTCTCCCATTCTGTAGGTTGCCTGTTCACTATGATGGTAGTTTCTTTTGCTGTGCAGAAGCTCTTTAGTTTAATTAGATCCCATTTGTCAGTTCTGGCTTTTGTTGCCACTGCTTTTGGTGTTTTAGACATGAAGTCCTTGCCCATGCCTATGTCCTGAATGGTATTGCCTAGGTTTTCTTCTAGGGTTTTTATGGTTTTAGGTCTAACGTTGAAGTCTTTAATCCATCTTGAATTAATTTTTGTATAAGGTGTAAGGAAGGGATCCAGTTTCAGCTTTCTACATATGGCTAGCCAGTTTTCCCAGCACCATTTATTAAATAGGGAATCCTTTCCCCATTGCTTGTTTTTCTCAGGTTTGTCAAAGATCAGATAGTTGTAGATATGCGGCGTTATTTCTGAGGGCTCTGTTCTGTTCCATTGATCTATATCTCTGTTTTGGTACCAGTACCATGCTGTTTTGGTTACTGTAGCCTTGCAGTATAGTTTGAAGTCAGGTAGCGTGATGCCTCCAGCTTTGTTCGTTTGGCTTAGGATTGACTTGGTGATGTGGGCTCTTTTTTGGTTCCATATGAACTTTAAAGTAGTTTTTTCCAATTCTGTGAAGAAAGTCATTGGTAGCTTGATGGGGATGGCATTGAATCTGTAAATTACCTTGGGCAGTATGGCCATTTTCACGATATTGATTCTTCCTACCCATGAGCATGGAATGTTCTTCCATTTGTTTGTATCCTCTTTTATTTCCTCGAGCAGTGGTTTATAGTTCTCCTTGAAGAGGTCCTTCACATCCCTTGTAAGTTGGATTCCTAGGTATTATTCTTTCTGAAGCAATTGTGAATGGGAGTTCTCTCATGATTTGGCTCTCTGTTTGTCTGTTATTGGTGTATAAGAATGCTTGTGATTTTTGCATATTTATTTTGTATCCTGAGACTTTGCTGAAGTTGCTTAGCAGCTTAAGGAGATTTTGGGCTGAGACAGTGGGGTTTTCTAAATATACAATCATGTCATCTGCAAACAGGGACAATTTGACTTCCTCTTTTCCTAATTGAATACCCTTTATTTCTTTCTCCTGCCTGATTGCCCTGGCCAGAACTTCCAACACTATGTTGAATAGGAGTGGTGAGAGAGGGCATCCCTGTTTTGTGCCAGTTTTCAAAGGGAATGCTTCCAGTTTTTGCCCATTCAGTATGATATTGGCTGTGGGTTTGTCATAAATAACTCTTATTATTTTGAGATATGTTCCATTGATACCTAGTTTATTGAGAGTTCTTAGCATGAAGGGGTGTTGAATTTTATTGAAGGCCTTTTCTGCATCTATTGAGATAATCATGTGGTTTTTGTCTTTGGTTCTGTTTATATGCTGGATTACGTTTATTGATTTGTGTATGTTGAACCAGCCTTGAATCCCAGGGATGAAGCCCACTTGATCATGGTGGACAAGCTTTTTGATGTGCTGCTGGATTCGGTTTGCCAGTATTTTATTGAGGATTTTTGAATCGATGTTCATCAGGGATATTGGTCTAAAATTCTCTCTTTTTGTTGTGTCTGTGCCAGGCTTTGGTATCAGGATGATGCTGGCCTCATAAAATGAGTGAGGGAGGATTCCCTCTTTTTCTATTGATTGGAATAGTTTCAGAAGGAATGGTACCAGCTCCTCCTTGTACATCCAGTAGAATTCGGCTGTGAATCTGTCTGGTCCTGGACTTTTTTTGGTTGGTAGGCTATTAATTATTGCCTCAATTTCAGAGCCTGTTATTGGTCTAGTCAGGGATTCAACTTCTTCCTGGTTTAGTCTTGGGAGGGTGTATGTGTCCAGGAATTTATCCACTTCTTCTAGATTTTCTACTTTATTTGCATAGAGGTGTTTATAGTATTCTCTGATGGTAGTTTGTATTTCTGTGGGATCAGTGGTGATATCCCCTTTATCATTTTTTATTGCATCTATTTGATTCTTCTCTCTTTTCTTCTTTATTACTCTTGCTAGTGGTCTATCAATTTTGTTGATCTTTTCAAAACACCAGCTCCTGGATTCATTGATTTTTTTGAAGGGTTTTTTGTGTGTCTATCTCTTTCAATTCTGCTCTGATCTTAGTAGTTTCTTGCCTTCTGCTAGCTTTTGAATGTGTTTGCTCTTGCTTCTCTAGTTCTTTTAATTGTGATGTTAGGGTGTCAATTTTAGATCTTTCTTGCTTTCTCTTGTGGGCATTTAGTGCTGCAAATTTTTCCTGTACACACTGCTTTAAATGTGTCCCAGAGATTCTGGTATGTTGTGTCTTTGTTCTCACTGGTTTCAAAGAACATCTTTATTTCTGCCTTCATTTCATTTTGTACCCAGTAGTCATTCAGGAGCAGGTTGTTCAGTTTCCATGTAGGTGAGTGGTTTTGAGTGAGTTTCTTAATCCTGAGGTCTAGTTTGATAGCACTGTGGTCAGAGAGACAGTTTGTTATAATTTCTGTTCTTTTACATTTGCTGAGGAGAGCTTTACTTCCAACAATGTGGTCAATTTTGGAATTAGTGCAATGTGGTTTCGAGAAGAACGTATATTCTGTTGATTTGGGGTGGAGAGTTTTGTAGATGTCTATTAGATCCACTTGGTACAGAGCTGAGTTCAATTCCTGGATAACCTTTTTAACTTTCTCTCATTGATCTGTCCAATGTTGACAGTGGGGTGTTAAAGCCTCCCATTATTATTGTGTGGGAGTCTAAGTCTCTTTGTAAGTCTCTAAGGACTTGCTTTATGAATCTGGGTGCTCCTGTGTTGGCTGCATGTATATTTAGGATAGTTAGCTGCTGTTGTTGAATTGATCCCTTTACCATTATGTAATAGCCTTCTTTGTCTCTTTTGATCTTTGTTGATTTAAAGTTTGTTTTATCAGAGACTAGGATTGCAACCCCTGCCTTTGTTTTCCATTTGCCGCGTAGATCTTCCTCCATCCCTTTGTTTTGAGCCTATGTGTGTCTCTGCACATGAGATGGGTCTCCTGAATACAGCACACTGATGGATCTTGGCTCTTTATCCAATTTGCCAGTCTGTGTCTTTTAATTGGAGCATTTAGCCCATTTACATTTAAGGTTAATATTGTTATGTGTGAATTTGATCCTGTCATTATGATGTTAGCTGGTTATTTTGCTCATTAGTTGACGCAGTTTCTTCCCAGCATCAATGGTCTTTACAATTTGGCATGTTTTTGCAGTGGCTGTTGCCAGTTGTTCCTTTCCATGTTTAGTGCTTCCTTCAGGAGCTCTTTTAGGGCAGGCCTTGTGGTAACAAAATCTCTCAGCATTTGCTTGTCTGTAAAGGTTTTTATTTCTCCTTCACTTATGAAGCTTAGTTTGGAGAATTTTTTTAACTGGCTCATTGGGGGCAACCTCCTGCAGTATAGCTCCAGTGAGTACTGAAATGCTCATTTGATGTGACAGGAGAAACTGTGTTCCAGTACTACTTAAAATCCCTTGGTGGGGTTGCAAATCCGCTTATCTTGTTCTAATCTATGGTCGCTCTAAGATCCACAGTCTAAATGGCCCAGGATCCCTGGGGCTTGAATTGCGAAACATGGCTTTATGTCTTTTCTCTTGTAAAGAGCTCATAGATTTCTTTGGATGACTGAAAGAAGAGAGATAGGCTTGTATTCACAGTGCTTTAGGAGTTTGAGGTGGGAGGATCAGTGGTACCCAGGATTTCATGGTTACAGTGAGCTATGATAGTGCCACTGCACTCCAGGCTGGGTAACAGAATGAGATGAGATGCTGTCTCAAAAAAGCAAAAGCAAAAAGAAAAAAACCAGATGGACCATCCTGCTTTAAAATTCTTTGCCATAAGTCCGTATTTGAAAAGCTAGTGATATTCAGGGAAATACAGTAACCCATTCTTGCTTAGCAACATTCTTTGCTTTTTAGCAATCAGAGATAAAGCCTGGGGTGCCATGAGCCTAATATAAGTGCAATTGTCCTTAAAAACCCAGAAGTGTTAAATGCAGAATGACCAGATTTTCTTGAAACAATGTATTGACATCAGGTATAAGTCTGGCTATGTCACCAGAAGGATCTATTGCTTAGTGAAGAGATGATAAGAATTTTAAAGTAAAGGAGCGATAAATCAAATGCATGCCCCTTTTTAAAAAGGCTTATATGAGAAGGGGGATGGGGGAACAAGAAGCTAACAAGTTGTTTGACCCTAGAGAAAAATCTTTTAATTTTTCATGTCATTTCACCTCTTCTCAGGTTGTTAAATGACAGTTGAAACTATAACATCAGGATTTTAAGAAGTGGAAGTTTAGATGGTGTATTATGCGTTAATGAGAGACAAATAAAGTATGTATCCAGTATATACTAATCTCTTAAGTGAATTAAAGACTGAATAATTCACACATAATAGCTTGTGATTGAGATTATTTCTATTTTTAAGAGAAGGAATTAAATCAAAATCTGACTGGGCAGGAGTAAAATGGTGATTAAGCAAATAAGGAATTTTTGTTGCAAATTTGAATTAGAATATATATATATGTATTCCACCCGCCCCCCTCAAGATGGAGTCTTGCTCTGTCGCCCAGGCTGGAATGCAATGGTACAATCTCGGCTCACTGCAAGCTCCACCTCCTGGGTTCCAGTGATTCTCCTGCCTCAGCCTCCTGAGTAGCTGGGATTACAGGTGCCTGCCACCATGCCCGGCTAATTTTTGTATTTTTATTAGAGACGGGGTTTCATCACGTTGGCCAGGCTGGTCTTGAACTCCTGACCTCACATGATCCACCTGTCTTGGCCGCCCAAAGTGCTGGGATTACAGGCATGAGCCACCACACCTGGCCCATTTTTTTATTTTTATTTTTATTTTATTTTAAGTTTGGGGTTCATGTGCAGGATATGCAGGTTTGTTACAAAGGTAAACGTGTGCCATGGTAGTTTGCTGCACAGATCAACCCATCACCTAGGTATTGAGCCCAGCATTCATTAGCTATTCTTTCTGGTACTCTCCCTCCCCACAGCCTCCCCAGGCCCCAGTGTGTGTTGTTACCCCCATGTATACACGTGTTCTCACCCCTCACGTATACATGTGTTCTCATCATTCAGCTCCCGCTTGTAAGTGAGATTGATTTTCTGTTCCTCCATTAGTTTGCTGAGGATAATGGTTTCCAGCTCCATCCATGTCCCTGCAAGGGGCATGATCTTGTTCTTTTTTATGGCTGCATAGTATTCCATGGTGTATATGGACCACATTTTCTTTTTCCAGTCAATAATTAGTGGCCATTTGGGTTGATTACATGTCTTTGCTATTGTGAATAGTGCTAGAAGAAACATACCTGTGCATATTACATTTTTATATTAAAATATATTCTAATACTTATATTTTGTTCTTTCATACTTGACCCAGTTTCTGAGTTCATAATTGATATAGTTCTGAACTCCCGAAACACAGTGCTGTAACTATTTTATAGTTTATATTGGGAGGACATATTTATTTAAATCCTCTCTTATCATTTGTCTATAGCTTTTCTCAGACGTCATTTTGGACTCAAATTTCAAATGTTTGTTTTCATCCCCAGAGGTAAATTTTACTTTGTTTAAATGTGAAAGAAATCACTCAGCTGTTTTATATTAACGACCTGTTAAAAAAAAGAAGGAAAACATTTTTTACTGCTTAATTCTCTGACAGGGATTTTGTGCCCAGATAAATGCCTTGGATGAAAAAATTCACACTTGGCAGGAATTAAATCCTTGTGGTGGAATAGTCACCTAGCTACTTATGTGAAATTTATATTCAAATTTCATAAATTTTAACTTTCAAAAATATAAGCTTCTCTGCACTGAAGTTCTTTCACATTGCATTTTACTGATGAACATGGTTTTCTTGGAGATGTTCCAATGTGTATCTACCTATGTTTTTCTAGAAACGGATTTACCAGAATTGAGAAGTAGTTTATAAACTGATATAATAACAACAAGACAGGTCAACCTCAGGCCTATTCCCTTCTCAGCTTTCCGAATTTTTAGCTTAGTGTTAGTATACTATGTATCTTGAGCACATCATGTTCCTTTTCTTATTGTTTGATAGACTTAGGAGTTAGTCACGCCTAGATTCCAATCCCTGGTTCACTTTTCTGTGTATGTAACTTTAAGCCTCAGCTTTCTCTGCCTCAGTTTTCTCATCTATTAAATAGGAATAATAAAATTTTGCGAGTTGTTGGAAGATTAGAGATAGTATACGCAGAATACCTAACACTGGGCCAAATATCTATAGTAGGCACTGAATAAATAGTAGAGACTAGTTAGTGTTTCTATTATAATCCACAATTTAATAGTAGAGACTAGTGTTTCTGTTATAGTTCACAATTTGATAATGTCTTTCAATAATGATCACCTTGCCATACTTAAGCATTACCACCTTAATATCATATTTCAGTCAAATTAAAGAAGCTCTCAAAAAAGTAATATATTAAAGGGAAGATAGTTCAGAGGCATCCATAAATTACCTGCAAATCCATATTAGGCATTAGACAACTACAGGATATTCTTTGGAAATTATGACAAGTGGGTTTTCTTTGCTTTGCTTTTGTTTTGTTTTGCTTTTCCTAAATAATAAGTATTTAAATCCATCTTTTACATTCTGTGCAGATATCTCCTATTATTCAGTGATGCCTGTAAAATTTGTGTAGGTATTTGCAGGTTAAAATATCGGGGAAAAGGCTCATTTAAACTATTGAAACAAGTATTTTTCTGCTTTGTTTTGTTTAGGAAGCAGTATCTCTGTAATAATCCCTTGGCATTTGAACAGAGCTTTTGTACATTATTTCAGTTGGTGATCCTAACTTTGTGCATAGGCTTTCCTAAATTCATTTGGCAGGTAAGGAAACTAAGACCCTAAGAGAGCAAGAGGTTTATGCAAGTGGAAGAACAAAATCTATATCCCAGATCTTCAGGCTCCTAATTCAGATTTGTTTCCATAATTTTTTTCATGGATATAAGGTTAGGTAAAAAATTTTTAAAAAGGATGAAAAACATATACTATTAAAGTCCCAATAGTTAACACCAGGGTTTACCTTTTAAAAGCAAAATCTCACCATTGAATCTCCTCCGTTTTAATACCTTCAGTGGTTCCCCTTTGTGTATTACAAAGTTCAAAATTAGTAGGTATTTCACTCACCTACTGCAATTCCCCACATAAACCCTAAATCCCCCGAAAACCAGAACTGTTTGAAAATCTGCAGGCATGCCAAATCTTCTTGTGCCTCTATGCCTTTGCTTAGTTTCTTCTCCATATATCCTTGACCTCCTTTCAATAGCTATTATATTTTTACATCTATTATGTACTTAATTAATTTATCTAACATCTACATAATGCTTACTGTGTCCTAGGCACAGTCTGAAGTGATTCACAAATACTAACTCAGTTAATTCTCATAATTCCAGGAGATAAGTAATATCATCCCATTTTACCAAAGATAAAACTGAGATATAGAGCCAAGATTCTAGAAAGCAGAGCCTATTTTTAAACTGGGTACTCTTAATCACTGCACTGTGGTACGTATGCAGCAGGAACTTCAAAATTGAAAAGCATACCACATTTTGCAAACACCAGTGTCTAGATGGGATGCTACCAAAGACCTTCCAGTTTTAGAATTCAATTACCTTGTAAATTTACCATCAGCTGGAACCTAGCTCTCATATTGTTGGAGTCAGAAACCTGATATTTTTCAGCAATAGCACCAAGAACACATCCTTTTCTTAGGGGTGTACTCACAATAACTCAGCCCATGAGATGAATATTTCAAACTAGAATGCCAGTTGATTAATTTACAGCAAATAACAGAACTGTCCATCACATGGACCAGAGTACTCATGTCAGCATGGCCAGCACTCTCTGTTCTCAGCAGTCATGAAAATCCAGATCACTCTTGGCAAGTAGCTTGATCAACCTGACACCGTAATGAGGGGTGGTACTTGGATGAGCTGAATAATCATCGGTATCAGTAAGGTCAGCATGAGTCATCTATGTGGAGATTGCAGCAGTCTTGTCAATGGGACATGCAGGACTTGAAATTCATTCGCCTTTTGTCTAGGACATTGCTGGACTGGACACTGACACACATGTGTCTTTGTCATGCTCCTTATTTCTATGGTTTCAATGTGTGGCCAGCCATTCCTTTTCTATTTTTAATGCATAGTAATAGTCAGTCTGATTACAGTCAAGTCTTTAGGAATGGGACCCTTTCTATATTTTTAAGATAGTCTGTGTATAATTGTGTTGTCAGATGACATTTTCCTTCTGGTAACATTCTCAAGACCTAATACAAATGCTATATGCATTTCTTACACCAAATTATATAATTAATTTTCTTAATAACAAAGACCAAGTCATATTCATTCTTCTTTGTATTCTTCACAGTAATTTCATTGCCAAACACATCACAGAAGCTCTGTGGACGTTTATTGAATAAAAAAGTAAATTAGGAGGCATTAAAGCATTGTGATCATGAGTGTGTGAGTTCCGAAGCCAGATGGCCTGGTTTCAAATTTTAGCTCTACAACTTAACAGTTGTGTCATTTTGGCAAGTTACTTAACCTTCCTAAGCTTCGGTTTTGTCATCTGTAAAATGGATATGATGATGGTACTCTATCTCTCCGGGTTTTTGAGAATATTAAATAAATTTATACATATAACAAACTTATAAATGTACCTGGAATTCTAAAACTACTAGGTATTAGTATAATCATTCTCACAGGATTTTGTAGTGTATCTTTACTTTTTAAAAAATGTGTGACATATTTTGAAAAGAGTATAGTACTGTTTTTCATGATTTAAGTGTCAGCATTGAACGTTTTATCAAAAGTTGATTGTTTTTGTTCATAGGAATGCAGTAAAATGGAAACTCTCATGTATTGCTGGTGGGAGTATGTAATGGTACAACTTTTATGGAGTGCATTTTGGCAATATTTATGAAGAGCCTTACAAAAGTTCATTCCCTTTAGTCTAGTAATTCTCTTTCTAGAAATTTATCTATTCAAAAAACACAGTCAGAAACTTTGATAAAACACATGCACAAAGATGGTTTACCATACTATCATTTATCAAACACCAAAGTGGAAATTACTTAAATGACAAATAATGAAAGAATAATTATGGAAAAAATTACATCAGTTGATAGAATATTATGTAGCTCTCAAAATGGTGTTTTTAAAGTTATTTAATACTGTGAGAAAATGCCTCCAAAAAATTTTAAGTGGAAACAAAAACAGGCTACAAAATTGCGTAAGTGATGTGATTTTTTTTATTTATACTGGAAAGGACTAAATAAATCAAAATAATAGTGATTGTCTTTAGATGAGGCAACTACAGGGGACTTCTTTTTTTTTCTTTTTGGTAATCTGTCTTTTCCAAAACCTCTGTAATGAGTATATATTTTATAAATAAAAATAATTTTTTAAGAATTATGACTTTCCACATTCTTAGAATTATGATTTTAAGACATGTTGAATATTAATTCCATTAATTCCAATTTATTTTCAAGATCTAAGTTTTTCAGTGAAATATATCTTCAATTTTATATCAGAAATAAGAAGAAAGGATTAATTGAATGTCAGTTTTTTCAGAAAAGTTTGTACTAATATTTATTTGATTAAATATGCACTAAATACTTATTTTGAAAATTTTTGAAACAAGATAAATACTTAGTTTCAACCCTTATAGAGAAATCAATTTACATCTATAACTTCTTTAAATCTGCTCAATTTGATTTTTAATAGTAAACCCTCTAAGAACATGCTTAGAAGAAAAGAGAGGCCCTTTTACTAGTATTTAGAGCAAATTTTTATAAGAAAATATTTCTGATTTTGAGCTTTTCATAAGTAGTAATATTTCTTTTTTCTTTTTGCAACTTAGGAGCTGTGAAGGAAGAAATATCCGATACAGAACATGCAGTAATGTGGTAAGTATAAGGTTCTGAGATTGTAATCATGTATTTTTGTTAGCACTGAATGGTGCTAAGCAGTTTTATATCCTGAGCAGGAAATCAACCAACTAGTATTTCACTGAGAGTTTTTATCTCATACTGTACTGATTATATGCAGGACTAAAATGATATTTTTAAGTTCCTCATTATAGACTTTTAATCATTTGAGCAGCTTGAAACTAACTAGACTATTTCAAAACAAGGACTCTACATTTCCTCCCTACTTTCTGCCTTTTTGCATATAGATCTCATGAGGATGAGTGAGAGGGTTGATAAAAGGGAAACCAGTTGGGGTATCATGAAATAAATATTTGTAAATCAAACTCAGATTTGACAAACTCATTCATTTATTCAACAAATATTATTCAGTGCCAACTATGTGTGAGGCACTACACCAGTACAAGAATAAATAACATATGGTCCCTGTTTTAAACATCTGTAGTATAGTAAGAGGTATAGAGAAAGAAGACAGATGTGCATTGCACATAACCACATTCTAGGAAAAAAATATCACAAATGCCATAGGAAATAAATAAAGTTCTTTGTGGGCTAAAATAGAGAGAAATCTTAAAGGAAAAGGTGATTTGAGATACAGCTTGGAGGACTGTGACTAGCCCATATTGGATTTGAAGGGTTGACAGTCAGTCCAATGGAGAGGACATAATGGGCAAGTTTGGAGGCAGGAATGTCTGAGCACTAGTTTCACCAGAGTTGAGTATAGCAGTATAAAAGAGAAGAATTGAAATATATTTTTGAGGTTATATCATAAAAAGATTCGAATGTTAGTCTTCAAAGTTTATATTAGTTCAGTGAATAATGGGAGTCACTAAGAGCAAGAGTATGATGTTACAGAGTTTCCCTTTTAGAAAGGTTAATTTTTTGGTGATACAAGGGTTGCACTGGAACAGGAAGTGGATGAGGAGCAAGAAGTAATGAAGGCTTAAGCCTTCATTAGTAGTCACAGCTACTCACGAGGCTGAGGCAGGAGGATCCCTTTAGCCCAGGAGTTCAAGACCATCCTGGGGAGCATAGCAAAACCCTGTCTCTTATAAGAAAGAAGAAGAAGAAGGAGGAGAACTTAAACCCAGAGGAAATACTAAATAGACACAAGAGAGATCAAAATTAAGTTGACTCTGCAAGACTTGAAAAGCATTTGAAATTAGAGTGATAAGTTGAAGCGGGAATAAAGGAAACAAAGAGGTATATGCATATTTAGGACTTTTGTACTTGCCGATCCCTCTGTTGAAGAAGCTCTTTCCTCAATATCATGGGCATTTTTATTATTCCACATTTCTCTTCCGCATTGCCCAGAAGATATTCTCTATGAGGGCTCCACCCCTGCAGCAGACTTTTGCCTGGACATCCAGGCATTTTCATACATCCTCTGAAATCTAAGCAGAGGTTCCCAAACCTCAATTCTTCTGCACACCTGCAGGACCACCACAACATGGAAGCTGCCAAGGCTTGGGGCTTGCACCCCCTAAAGCAATGGCCTGAGCTGTACCTTGGCCACTTTTAGCCACAGCTGGAGTGGCTGGGACACAGGGCACCAAGTCCATCCAGAGGCTGCCTAGAGCAGGGGGCCACAGACCTGGTCCAGGAAACCATTTTTCCCTTCTAGGCCTCTGGGACTGAGATGGGAGGGGCTTCCAGGAAGGTCTCTGACATGATCTGGAGACATTTTCCCCATCGTCTTGGTGATTAACATTCATCTCCTCATTACTTGTGCAAATTTTTGCAGCAGGCTTGAATTTCTCCCAGAAAAAAATTTTTTCTATTTCATCATCAGGCTGCAAATTTTCTATAGTTTTATGCTCTGCTTCCTCTTGAATGCTTTGTCACTTAGAAATTTCTTCTGCCAGATACCCTAAATCATCTCTCTCAAGTTCAAAGTTACACAGATCTCTAGGGAAGGGGCAAAATGCCACCAGCCTCTTTGCTAAAGCATAAACAAGAGTCACCTTTGCTTTACTTCCCAACAAGTTCCTTTTCTCCATCTGAGACCACCCCAGCCTGGACTTTGTTGCCTGTATCACTATCAGCATTTTGGTCAAAGCCATTCAACAAGACTGTAGGAAGTTCCGAATTTTCCCACATCTTCCTGTCTTCTGAGCCCCCCAAGTATCTAGGAAGTTCCAACCTTTCCCACATTTTCCTGTCTTCTTCTTAGCCCTCCAAACTGTGCCAGCCTCTGCCAGTTACCCAGTTCTAAAGTCACTTCCACATTTTCAAGTATCCTTATAGCAGCACCCCACTCCTGATACCATTTTACTGTATTAGTCCATTCTTATGCTGCTTTAAGAACATATGCAACACTGGGTAATTTGGAAAAAAGAGATTTAATTGACTCACAGCTCTTCAGGGGTGGGGATTGTAAGTAGGAAACTTACAATCATGGCAGAAGGGGAAGCAAACACATCTTTCTTCACAGATGTCAGGAGAAAGAAGAATGAGAACTGAGTGAAGGGAGAAGCCCCTTATAAAATCATCAGATCTTGTGAGAACTTACTATCATGAGAATAGCATGGGGAAAATTGTCTGCATGAGTCAATTATCTCCACCTGGTTCTTCCCTTGACACGCAGGGATTATGGGAAGTACAACTTAAGATGAGATTTGGGTGGGGACACAGCCAAATCATATCAGACTCTGACCTCATATTACTTAAAATCCATAGCACTCCATGAGCCAAAATCTTTATAGCTTGTAGAATCAAGTTGATGCTGAATTTTTTTAATGAGAATCTAGAATCTTCAAATAATTTGAAGCTTTATTTTCTTGCTTTTAGTGATAACAGAAGCAGCATTGCGAAAAAACACACAAAAAAAATTTTAAGAAAGAATATTTTCATGATCACATCCCAGTTTTTCAAATTTGGAAGTTTAGAACAATTCAGTTAAATATTCTTTGTTAGGTGCTTGATTTGGAAAAACTTGAGAGTCTCTTAGCTAAATCTCCACGGTCATCTTTAATCCCTGGACAGCTTCCTTGGGGCACTTCTGAACTACTTCATCTCCAAAGATTCAGCCTCTTTTCCTATTTTTTGTAGAACCGCTACATATAACTTGTTGGGGAGTTCGTATTCCCCAGGGTAATATGAGGAGTAGAAAACATCTCCCCAGTTTCCCTTTTTTTTTTTTTTTCCTGAAAAGCAGCTCACAGGCTTTTAAAAATTTATTGCCAACCACTCTATAAGTAGTATGTCAATACAAGAAAGTTAAAGTTCCCATAATGTTTGCATAGTTCTCATAGTCATGGTACTTTCTTACTTTCTGTGTAGCTGGTTCAAGAAGACTATTTTCATTCCTAAGGACAGAGTTTATCTAATCTTTCCCATTTTACAGTTCCCTGCTCTATTCTAAGGAAGCAGCAAGGTGCTCCATCTCTGGAAGGAAAGACAAAGATGCTATTGGTAGAAAATAGGTGTGAGCTAGCAAACCAGTCAAACAGGTCATTTAGGTCTCAGAGATTTCACCACAAGACTAAGTGAAGGAGGCTCTTAAAAAGGTTTTCTTAGGTCATATCTTCATGTTAAACCTCAAATTTGAACCCCTTGAACTTAATTAGGGATTTTAAAGTGACTTCCAATGTGTTTAGAGTACTTATAAACTGTTTTTTTTGCACTATCCTTAAGGTTCATATGAGTTGGTATTTAGGAGGCAGTGACCATAATTAGCAACATAATAGGCCACACTGCTTGTGGTAGCTGGTGATGCTCTTAATTTCTTTATTAAATTCTTTGTTGCTCACTATAACATTTTACTGTTTTTAAGACAACAATATGTATTAAGCCCAAGAATTCTTCTTGGTCCTGGGGTTCATTGTTAAATAAAACCAAGACCCAATTCTCCTGAACCTTTCATTCTAATGGAGAAAAAGAGATTACAAACAAGCATGGAAACAAATTATTTAAAAGGAAATATATCAGCAGTTGGTGCAATGCAGAGAATTAAGCTATTGGTAGCTAGTTCAGAGAGGAAGTTCAGAAAATCCACTTGAGAAGTAACACTTGAATAACAAGAAGAAAACAGCTATGTGAATACTTAAGGAGTAGCAATCCAGAAAGGACAGCTAGTGCAAAGGCTGTGAAGTACAAGAGAGTTTGCTGTGTCAAGGAAATCATAAAGCCAATATACCTAAAGTCTAGTGGGCAAGAGGAAGAGTATTGGAAGATAAGAAAAAATCAAAACCAGAGGTAGGTGGGAGCTAGATCATGCAGGACACTGTAAAGTACTTACGTTATATTTTAAGTACAAAAATTAGCTGCTGGATGGCCAGGCACCATGGCTCACACCTGTAATCCCAATGTTTTGGGGGTGGAGGGGTGAGGCAGAAGGGTCACTTGAGGCCAGGAGTTTGAGACTAGCCTGAGAAACATAGCAAGACCTTGTTTCTACAAAACAAAAACCAAATATTAGCATGCTGGTGTGCACCTGTTGTCCCAGCTACTAGAGAGGCTGAGGCGGGAGGATTGCTTGAGCCCAGGAGTTTGAAGTTGCAGTGAGCCTTGTTTACACCACTGCACTCAAGACTGGAAGACAGAGCAAGACCTTGTCTCTATTTAAAAAAAAAAAAAAAGAAGAAAGAAGAAGAAGAAGAAGAGAAGAAAGAAGAAGAGGAGGAAGAGGAAGAAGAAGAAGGAAGAAGAGAAGAAAGAAGAAGAGGAGGAAGAGGAAGAAGAAGAAGAAGGAGGAGGAGGAGGAGAAGGAGGAAGCTCCTGGATAATTTTAAGCAGGGGAGAGTAGAATGGGACTTATAATGAAAAAGATAGGTTTGGCTGCAGGCTCACTCTGGAGAATGGATGCAAAGCAGGGGGAAGAAGCAGAAATTCCAGCAGGGGGATCATTGCGGTAGTTCAGGTGGGTGCTAATGGTTGTGTGGACTAGAGTGGCTCTGGTGGGAGGATTTGGGTATGTTCTAGAGATAGAATGGCTTTTCCTAAGTTACGGTGCCTCATCCTCAATTTGACATGATTCACTCTTGTGATCTCCAGCATTGTTGTGTGAAACAGGAGGCAAAGGCCGCGGCATTATAGCCAGAGAGAACAGAATGATCATGGCAAGTTTATAATTTCTTTGAGCCTCAGTTTCTACACTCAAACAGTGAGAGATTTGAAATGAATGACCTCAAAGGTCCCGTCCACCTCTGAAATTCTATAATTCTTAAGAAGTATCATATCTGGGCTATACTAGATTTGGATCTGAATGCAGATTAATGAAGATGTCTATGCTAGTTTAGTAACTGGCATGACTATAGTGAAAAGATTCATAGCAAGGGATAAAGTAGAGTCAGAGCAAAGAGAGTCAATGTGGAGAGTGGAAGCAAAGTTCTCATCCTTGCTGTACAATTGACCATCCATCTTGACTGGTGATTCTCGTTGAGGTTGTGAAAATTCATGGCATTCACAGAGTTGTTCATGTGGTTATTAACAGTGGGCGTAAGGTAAATTCCCATTTGGTCTATTTGTCTATTTTTCTCATAAGGCCTTTGTATATCACAAAGTCAGGAAACACTTGGTGCTTTATGTCAAGGATCAAATGGAACATATGGAAGAAACAATGACGCTGCTACAGGTCTTCCTTGGTCAGAATTTGAAAGAAACTGTTGAAACAACATTCAGACCAGAGAAATACCCCTGAAGTCTAGAGAGATGCTCTAGTAAATAATAACAACTGCAAGAGTTGGTCAGTGAGCCAACTCTTTCCAGCCAACGCTTGGCTCTTTCCAGCCAAGAGCCACTCTAAGATGGGAAGTAGGCTACTAAACTTTCCCATACTCTAGTCCTTATTATTCTAGCAGTTGAAAATAAGGCATGATGCTACTTGCCAGGGCCATTTATTTTTTGCTTATTCGCTTATTCATTCTCTTGATCAATCAGTTTTAAAACAGCATTTATTGAACACCCAACTCCTGTTCTGTACTAGGGATATCAGGAGTTGCCACCATCAATAAAGAGATAGGCAGCCTGCCCTTGGGGGAAGTCAGAGGCTAGGAGAAAAGACAAATACACAAACACAAAACTAAATAAAGTATGACGCACGCTATCAGTATGGAGGTAAGAACAAAGTGCTAAGTCATGGAAGGACCATGTCTGATTCTTTCACCGCTGCATACTCAGGGTCTGGCATTCAGTGTCTGACACCATGCCTCTTGCACTGTGAACCTGGAAACGCAGAAAACTCACAGAACTGCCTCAGGTTATTTTGAATATTCAAGGGAAACATATCAAGACTTAACATATGTTGAACACTCTTTGAACTATTTGATCATGCTGTATTCCTTTCTATGACATCTCATCTTCGTAAAGCTGGGTTTGCTTTGATAAAAAGCAAGTACTGTGAGAAAAACAACATGGAATAGGAAACAAGAATGAGGATTGTCCAATCTGATTCCAGGCTTTGGGATGTAGTACAGGCACACACATCCCATTAATAAATAAATGTTATTTATGAATGAAGTAAAATAGTACTTTTCTCTCAAGTTATATGCATTGTTTTTTCAAATGGCTATTAAATCATCAGGACACAAATATATATTAAGTTGCTTGGACCTAACTGCTTAATAAATGGAATTGTTTGGTATTCCTGTTGGCCGGCCTAGAAGTACCACAAAAAACTCACCCAGACATTAATGGTGCTGTAAACAGAAATTAAGAGCCTCTGATCCAACTCACTGTAGTCATTCAACACATAGGATGAATAAAAAAATGCATGACATTCTAAATAAGGTGACAGTTGAGCTGAGCTTTAAAAGATGAAAGGGATTTTTTCAGGCTGCAATGAGAAAGAGAAAGAGAGAGGGAGAGTTAGTTTTCTGAAAAATGGAAGTAGAGTCAACAATATCCACTGGGATTTACCAGGTCTCAGGCACTTTTTCTAGGCACTGGCGTATAATATTAACAGAGAAAGATAATGCCCCTGTTCTTATGAAGCTTATATTATAGTGTGAGATGCAGATGATAAAGTTTTAAAAGAGGACAGTTTCATATAGTGAATGATTATGCTACACTTGATCTTAGCCAAAAGGCCGAGAAGCGATAGTGAATGATTATGAAAGAAATAAAGCAGAGTAATGGGATGGAGAGTGACACAGGGATGGAGGGTTGCTCTACCTGAGGTGGTCAGGAAATTCTCTCTGAGTTGACATTTAAATGTCCTTAGTATGTTTGGAAGGTGAGGCATGAAGGAGCCCAGCTTATTTGGGGGCCTGTGGGTCATTTTATCAGGTGCAGTACAAGGTATATTGTGGGGAAAGAAGTGGGATATTTATCTATGCTGAAGAGCCTGAACTTAGCCCCACATGTTATTTCATAAGGGACATTCTTAGCCCCTCACTCAGAGTGATGAGCTTTGGAAGAGCAGAAGGCTGAAAGAAAACTTGGTGACTCTATCTACCCCTTCTGTGCATTTCTCTTCTCCCAGGCCCGGTCTGCCAGTCTCAGGTGAAATATATCCAAGGCAGGAGAGGGATTTCTTAACCTCAGGTAGGAAGACTCTTAAGTGAGAAAGAAATTCTAATTGCAGGAACGTTGATTTCTTCCTAATAAATGTGCCAAATCCCCCACCTACTAGAGAGGGCCTCCAAGAACCTGGCTGCTGCTTCACCCTGCCACAGACGCACTCTCTCCAGTAGTGGACCAAAGAAATATACTTCTCCCCAGACCCATCCATGCTTCAATCTTTCCTGACCTACCCAGCTGAAAAACAGAAATTTCCCTCATACTATATAACCTCCCCTAAGATAGACATTGCTCTCATGTTAAAGTCAGATGGGACATGTCTTTTCTAAGTCACTTGATGAAGGCTTGATTTGTACACTGATACAACAAAATTGGGAGCAGGCTCTCCTATCTTTCAGAGTCTGCATGCATTCTGCATTTGGACAGTCTCTAAAAGGCTATTACGATGTATGAGTGGCAGGCGCAGTGGCTCATGCCTGTAATCCCGGCACTTTGGGAGGCCGAGGCAGGCAGATCACCTGAGGTCAGGAGTTAAGACCAGCCTGGTCAACATGGTGAAACACCGTCTCTACTAAAAATATAAAAATTATCTTGATGTTGTGGTGGGCACCTGTAATCCCAGCTACTCGGGAGGCTGAAGCAGGAGAATCGCGTGAAACCAGGAGGTGGAGGTCGCAGTGAGCTGAGATCGTGTCATTGCACTCCAGACTGGGCAACAAGAGCAAAACTCCATCTCAAAGAAAAAAAAAAAAAATTTATGGGTGGGAGGAGTGTGGAGAGTAATTTAAAGGATCTATTTTTCACTTTTTCAATCCCATGGATAATGAGGACTTAAAGCAGTGTTATGTAGCAGAAAGAACATGGGCCCTCTTGAATCCTGAGCTGCCACTTACCAGTTATGTGCTTTCAAACGCGTTTATTAACCTCTCTCAGTCTCAGTTTTCTTGCATATAAAAATATCGTTCTAATATATGTACAAACAGAAAATGTTAATACAATGTTAATGGTAATTTTAAAATTGGAAACAAATGGAGGATGGCTGGTTAAATAAGGTGTGATATGCTCATAGCATGGAATGCTATACAGTCATTAAAAAGATTAAGGTGGATCTATTTGTACAAACCTGTGAGTTCTTCCAAATTATCTTGTTAAAAGTTTAAAAAAGCAAATTGTGGAGTAATAACCTATAGTATGATCTCAGTTTTTAATAATCCCCAGAATGAAATGTGTCTGGTTGTGTGGCACCATCCCAAGGCATTGAAGGACACACATCCAACTGATCACCTAATACAGAGCAGGGAGGGACTGAATAAGTTAGGGGGACTTTCATTTTTTATTCTATATGCTTTTATAGTGTTTTAATTTTTTATAATGAACACATATTCCTGTATTTGTAGTATAATTTTAAAGAAAATACAAAACAAAAGAAGATGAGGTTGGGAGAAAACATTTTATACATAATTGAGTTTTTATTTGTTTTTGAAACAAAGAAAAAAAATACCACCTCCCAGAGTTCTGCTGAGGATTATGTGAGAAAATGTCTAAAATGCACTCAGCCTGGTACCTGACTCAGTCATGTTGGCTCTACTCTTCCTCATTACCTGTTATGTTTTGAATTATGTCCTCATTCCATTATGTGTTGGAATCCTAAACTCCCATACCTCAAAATCTAACTATATTTGGAGTTGTGGTCTTTAAAGATGTAATTAAGTTAAAATAAGGTCATTAAGGTGGGCCCTAAATCAGTATGACTGGTGGTCTTTAAAGAAGATATTAGGATGCAGACACACAGAGAGAAGACATGTGAAGACACAGAAGAAGGCTGCCTTCCACAAGCCAAGGAGAGAGCCCTCAGTAGAAACCAACCTTGCAGACCCCTGATGTTGGCCTCCTAGACTCCAGAATTGCATAAAAATAAATTTCAGTTGTTTAGCTCACCCAGTCTGTGGTATTTTCTTATGGCAACCCTAGTCAACTAGTATACTACCTTTCTTCAACTTCCTCCTCTCTTCTGACAAAGTACTGTTTCTGAAAGACTACATTATTTTTTAAAAACTGAAAATTAGATCACTTTGAAATTCCAAAGATCAGCCTTATTCTATGGCATCATGGGTAATTTCTCCTGATTGTTTTGCCAAGTGACAAGTTCCAGGTATTCTGGAAGGAGAATGTTAGACCTCATTTCCGGCAGAACTGCAGGCTTATAATGGCCCTTCCTTTGGACGAACTCTAGAAAAACAGACTTTCTATACAATGCCCAGTTATTAGGCTGGACAGTCAGGTCTCTGGCAACTATCATGGCTTGGCTGTTCTTTGGCCAAATACTTGATTGGAATTGCTGTATATTCTCAGAATTATATCCCAGGGGACAAATCAGTATCCACCAAAAGAAGTCTAACTTACTGTAAAGCCAAGATGAATGTAGGATGGTGACTAAACTCATTATAGGACATTGTGGTTTGTGTGTTTCTCCTTTTTGGAGTTGAGAAGAACTGCTGTTGCTAGAACAAAAGGATGTTCTTTAGGCAACACATCTGCAAAAAATCCTAATTTCTCTGATTTGACCCACAGCTTTTTTTTTTAATGCTAAAATTAGATAACAAAGGGAAACAATGTTTCTGAAAAGAGAAATGATGAGTGACTTTGATTGTTTCTCTGAGGGCAGAGCCCCTATCCACCCTGTGATAACATCAAGGCTAAATAAGCTTTCAGTATCTTGCAAATAAATTAATCTCTAAATGCAATTGTACAGCATGCCATGTGGACAACTGGAGGTTGACTTTGGTTCAAAACACATCATTTCTTTTTCGCTAGTTAAACACTGAACATTCAGAGTAATGGTTGAAAATATTTGCAGCAATTACTCTGGGAAAAAAAATCCTCATATTTTATGACTAACTGTTTTATCATTTGTGGCATAAAGAAATAAACATTTTTTTAATGATTCACAGATTCCTTCATTTGATGGATCTGGTGGCTATAGATCTCCCTGCAGTGCTTGCTGCCAGGCAGCTGGCCAAGTTCACTGGGTGCCCCCCAGCCCCAGTAAGTTAGGCCTTCTGCTTTTCCTCTCCTCTCGGCCTTCTTCTGACTGTGGCACACATTTCTTTTTTAATGCTTTTTCTGACATGTCTTTATTTTACTCCTCCTTATTCTCTCTCCTATCCCTTCTCCTTAATGTGTTCTCAATTTCTTATCCTCTGCTTCAACTCTGACTCTCTCGGGAGGGTTCTGGTATGAACACTCGTCAGTGGAAAGAATACAGGCTTGGGGGCTCTGTTACTTACTAACTTTGTGGTTTGGGGCAAGCTCTTCAACTTCTCGTAGCCTCAGTTTCCTCAATCTTGAAGTGGAAATAATAGTAATGCTCAGTTATAGTATTCCTTTATAGAAATCAGTGCAACAATGGAAATACATGGGAAATAACAAATTTTAGTTCTTTCTTCCACATTGCCTTGGTAAAAGCTAAGTGAGTGACACTCTTACAAGAAACAGGGCCCAGTGAAACCACAGCCCACAGTATCACATCAGCATTAAACATTTCCTTCCAGAAAAGTTATATTCCTTGGCTAAGGACAATTTCACTCTTGTTCATA
This sequence comes from Homo sapiens, assembly GCF_000001405.40. Classification (NCBI taxonomy): domain Eukaryota; kingdom Metazoa; phylum Chordata; class Mammalia; order Primates; family Hominidae; genus Homo; species Homo sapiens. The sequence continues at coordinate 18,544,371 of NC_000009.12, forward strand.
ACTCAAGGTGATATAATAAAAAACTCCAAATTGTTAGGGAACATATGAAAGGGAATATATTAGTAAAACTGATTTCTGTTTGATGGCATCTTTCTAGTATACTTAAAGGGCCATAGGAGATATTGTCCCCTAAATTGATCACAGTTTTTTTTTTCAGCCAGCATCATCCCATGGAGACCACGAGAGCGGGGTTTAGCAATAGTTGTAAATGACCATTGAGTGATATGAGCTGGCATTCCTGGCCTGAAGAGTCACACCTTCCAGCTCACTTGGGTGATGCTGACTGACAAGCAATCACCTATATTATTGTCTTGTGGATTGATGGCTAATGCCAAGCATCTACTTTCCTTGACTCAGTATGAATAGGAATGCCTACTTGGCCAACCCGTAATTTCCCTCAATATTGCCATGATCAGTTGTTATATTGAGACCCACTCAGCTAGAGCTAACTCCTATTATTAATGACAGAGTGATGACTAAATGCATGTATGAAGAAAAGAAAAATCATTCAACAGCTCAACTTTCAACTGATGAAGAGAATTAAGAATGAGACCATCATTTCCACAGGGTTGAAAATTATTAGATTGAGAAAAGCTGATATGAGTCCCCTCTCCTGGCTAGCTCCACGAGCTTAGGCAGACAGCTTTCATCTCTTTCTGCCACAATCCCCGTTATTGAAAATGACAGATAAAGACTGATTACATACCTCAGAGAGAACCTGGCAAAGTTATAGACTCATAGAATGTTAGAATTAGAGAAGAATTAGTATATTTGGGTTGTCTGCCCTGTGCCAGGCATGGTACCTTATGACCTTTTGCCCCAAACTCATTCAATTCTCACCACTACCTTGAAAATTGGGCATTACCTTAATTATACAGATAAGGAAATTGGAACATTTAAAGACATGAAATGCCTTATTTAGGCTATACAGCTAAGGAGTGGTCCTGTCAGGTTTGTAAATGCCGAAGCACATGCTCATTTCACCATAACACCAGGAGCTATATGGGTGATCTGGACTAATTCTCATTTAGTAAACAGCAAAACTGAGATCCAAAAAGTTTAAGGCTCAAGCATTTTTACAACATATGCTTTTTTTTTTAAGAAAAGAGATATTCAAACAAGTCTATTATAGCAATTATAATTCTTCAAGGCTAGAAGTATATGAACTGCTGAGAATTTTTAATGTGCAAATTAAATACAGCAGAAAAAGCAAATCCAAGAATCCTTGCTGAAAACATCTCTAATTCCCTCTCCTTTGAGCGTCTCTGCCTGTCAAGAGGATATAAATTTATTAAGTCAATACTCCTCAGAATTTACTTTCTCAAGTCCTAGTTTCTGAATTTCATAAAAAGGATGCTGGCCTCTAGTGAACCAGATAGAAGCTTGAAGCAGGGATTTGAGAATAATTTAGAAAGAAATTACTACTGCAGTTCATCCCTTGGCAAGGCCCTACGGAATGAAACCAAATAAGCTGCCATGCCTAGGTTGCTAACGTGCAAATACTTGCATGTGTTCAGCCTGGTTTCTGTAAGCCTAGAAACGATAAGCAGCATCAAATCTTCTCATTAACACCAAGATGTGCTGAAACTCAAGCAGCATGAACTTGTAGGTTTTTCCCTCCAAGACATCACTTTGTGCTGGGTACTATAAGCAAGGGCCATTATTTAATTAGTTAACAAGTTTTTGTACTATCATTCTAGCAGTCTTGTCCTTCTTATGTTTTCCTTTGCATTTTAAACATTCTCTTTCTTTTAAGAGGAAATTGTGAAACTTAAAGAGGTTATCTTTGAGGTTTGGCTATATTTTTCTTTATAATCTTGCTATGAGCAGTAACTACATATGGCTGTTGGAGAGTGTTTAGTTTGGGTTTCAACTCAGTTGAGAGTTTTGAGTGAAATATGGTCATCACAGTGGGAAGGCTAAAGAGGCATTATTATTTTCATTATTATTGGTTTTTTTAGAGACAGGATCTTGCCTGTCCCCCAGGCTGGGGTGCACGGGTACAATCACAGCTCACTATAACCTCAAACTCCTGGACTCAAGTGATCTTCTCATTAAAAAGCATTATTAGATTCCTTTTCCTTTGAATCTTCACTGAGTAAATATACTTTATAGCTCTTTAACACCCGTATCCAACAACATACCAACATCCCTTTCCCAAGCAGCATATTCATTACCAAAAAAACTTATTCCTTCCCCAAATAGAAATTTTTAAAAGAAAGATATCACTGTTTTACAATGTGTAATTTATACCTTTTTATTTTTTCTCCCATTAAAATATGACTAGGATTTATTTACTTTGAATTGTTATAGATATTGGAAGTAATTTAGACAAAACTGTCAATTCTTATAGAACAGTATTTTGAAAAAACTATTTTTAAGCTACTTTTTATATTTGACTTCGTGACTGGGCAATGAAGACAAGCAGCCAGATTTCCAGGCACACCACCCCTATTTCATTCAAAACAAGTCTGCTTTTAACTGCTGTATTTATTAGCATCCTATGTAGATTTCTTTGGAAGAAAAATAATCATTCAGCAACGAAAATAAAGTTTGAAAACACCTGCTTTATGATATCTCATAAGGTCTTCTAAATTTTACGTGGCTATTTCTAGGTAAGAAATTCTCCAATAAATGTCTATTCTGTACAATTCTAATTGCCAAGAAGATGTTTCTTAGAGCAAAATGATGTGTACTTTCTTATTACCATTTAATTTACTATAGCAGATCGTTTTTGACTACATGCAAAGCATTGCTCTAGGAGCAAATGAAAATAAGAAAATGTATGTAAGACTTTGTACTCTCAAATGTTTTAAAATTGGAGGGAGGAAGAGAATAAAGACAAAAATATAGATAGGATTTGATGCAGAGTAAGTTACAAAAGTACAACAGAAGAGCTCAGAGGACATCTATGCAATCTATTAATATCTTAATATCTATTCATCCTCTCCTTTCCAAGCAAGCAACAATCACAGATTAAATATAAAATGATAAAACCAGTGGCATAGCCAGGTTCAAAAGCAAGAGAAAAAGTCCATGGACCAAAAATGGAAAATAAATGCAAGATGGTGAATAGTGCTGATTTCATAGGCTTTTTGGCTCCAAGACTGAAATAAAGCAAAGATTGGCAGTAGCTTGACTCTGGTAGGATACCAGGGTTGAATTTCCTTCACAGAAGAAGCAGGACCTAAGCCAGGTAGAAAACTTGATGTCAGGAGTTTCGAGGAGGCTCTCTGTTGTGAAGAGCGGCTGTATATATATATAAAAAAAAAAAAAAAAAAAAAGACAGTTGCCAGTTGCCTAGAATGAGAGTTTTCTCTGAAATTGTGTGTCTAAAAGAGGCTGTTTGATAGACATAGATACCATATCATGAACTGAAACTCTACCAAGCCATACTTTCCCTCTGGGTCTAGACTTGCAATTTCTTCATTATGGATTAAAACCCAAAATTTTAGTACAGTATCTGATTCTGGACCGGGGGCCATGTGAACCGTATGGAGATAATCATAAAACCATTGGAACAGACAAAGACAGGGAGAACAAAAGGAAAACAAACAGCTTTTCACTAAAAATGAGCCTGCAAATAAAAATTCCAAAACATAGGAAAAAAATATATATATAATACCAAGAAAGACAACAAAATTAACGTTCACACCAGATAAAATTCTGTGAAACAGTTTGACAAAGACTTTAAAATTAATAAAGTCAATCCTCTTTATTGATGGATGCTTGCAATTGTGAATTGTCTACTTACTAAAATTTGCTTGTAACCCCCCAAATCAACACTTATGGCACATTTGTGGTCATTCATGGGCATGTGAAGAAAAGTTAAATCTTTGAGTCGCTGAATGAACATGTTCCCAGCTGTGGTTGAACAAGGGACACTCTGCCTTCCTGTTTGAGCTCTCATACTGTAAACAAGTGTCCTTTTGGCAGTCTATTTAGTGTCAAGTTTTTCACGTTTATTTTTGTGCTTTTTTGGTGATTTCATTGTTTAAAATGGCCCCGAAGCATATGCTGAAGCACTGTCTAGTGTTTGCAAGCTCAAGAAAGCTGTGATGTGCCTTATGGAGAAAATGTGTGTGTTAGATAAGCTTCCTTCAGGCCTGAATTACAGTGCTGTTGGATGTGAGTTTCATGTTAATGAATCAACAATCTCTACAAGGAGTGTTTAAAAAGAAACATACATTAAATAAGGTTATCTACAGATCAGTTAATTAAAATGTTGTGACCAGAGACTTGAAGGAACTGTATTTCTCCCTAAGTGCAATGGTTCATTATTTGCTAATTCAGCATTTATGGTGATTTTCTAGAACGTAAGTGACACAAATAATGAGTATTGACTTTATGTTGAAAAGAAACACATTAAGAAATAACAGTGCTTAAAAATAAAGAATAAATTAGGGAGTAAAGACAGAAATAAAGCATTAAATAGATAGATGAAGAAAATAAATTATTAGAAATTTGCAATTCAAAAATCTAGTAATTGAAATAAAAATTTATCCATAGATAGGATAAATTCCAAACAAGATGCAGAATCAGTGAAAATTTGAAGATAGAAGTTAGAAACTTTACCCAAAATATAGGCCAAAATTCCAAAATATATAATACAAAAGAGCCCTTAAGAGATACAGAGAGTGTACAAAAGGCTCCAATATACATCAAATAGGAGTGTTCAATGAGAAGGGGCAGAATTCCATTTAGAATATTCCAGAAAGGAAAAAAATAGTTATCAGACTAAAGTTGCAATGAAAGTGCTGAACAGGAAAAATAAAAATACATAACCAGACATATCATGGTCAAACATCAGAAGGAGATTCCAACTTTAGGATAAGGGGGAAATAGTAAAAGCTACCAGAGAAAAGACAGAGTACCCACAAAAGAATGAAACTTAGACTAAAGGCTGAAACTTCTCAGTCATAATGGAGTGTAAAAGATGAGTTAATGTCTTCAAAATATGAATGGAACATAACTGTCAGTGTAGAATTTTGTACTCTCAACTTTCAGTGAAGAGTGTAGGCAAAATACAAACATGTCCTGATCTACAAAGATGAGCATTAACTACCCATGGACTTTCACTAACATAACTACTACAGGCTACATTTGAGGAAGAAAAATATAGGAAAGGTGGGCAAAAAGCAAAACAATGGTGATCCCCAAAGGGGTATGAGAGTGTGTATATGTATGTATGTATGTATGCATGTTACATGGCTTCTCTTCAATAATATTTCTGGTATTCTTTTCCTAATGAGTGTCTGGGACTATTGAACTTCCCCAACCCTTTGAAGTTAGACATGACCACATATGTTGCTTTGGTCACTGAAATGTGGGTTTAAATGAGCTATGTTACTTTCTGGAGGAAGCAATCAAGGGACACTGTGACAGTCCCCAAGTTCTGTCTTTCTTGCTTTAGTGACCAACGAGTCTATGTGCCCTAAAACCTAAAATCTTGCTTCTCAAAAAGTAATCTGGGGTCCAGCAGCATCAACGTCAGCCTGGTTCCTGTGAGAAATGAATATCAAGTTTCATCTTTGGCCTGCAGAATCAAAATCTTCAGTTTAACAAGATCTCCAGGTGACTCGTATGCACATTAAAGGCTGAGAAGCTCTGTTCTATCAGATGGTCCTTCCTTTCCCAGCCTGGGTCACTGAGTTACCCCACAGATGACAGCTGCTCTGGAAAGACATTTTATGAGAAAGAAATAAATATTTGTTTTGTTAAACCAAAGAGCTTTTGGAGATGATTTGTATTTTCAAAATCACCTAACTTATCCTGACATCTACAGTTAATATGGTAACACAATGGTTCTCCAAAGATATCTATGTCCTGATCCCTGAAACTTGTGAATATATGTTACATGGCAAAAAGTATGTACTTCTGTAATTAAGGTTGCAGACCTTAAGATCTTAAGGTTGCAGGAAGTATATCCTGGAGTATTCAGGTGAGCCTCATCTAATCACACAGACTCCTAAAAGCAGAGCGCTTTCCTCAGCTGGAGGCAGAAATGATTGTAGCAAAAGAAACCAGAGATTCTAAGCACAAGAAGGCATTCATGTACTGTTGTTATTGGCTCTGAGATGGAGGGGGCCGTGGCAAGAACCGCAGAGAAGTTTCTAGGAGCTAATGGTCACCCCCAACTGATGCCTAACAATGAAGTGGGACATCTGTCTTAAAACCCCAAAGAACTGAATTTAGCCAACAACCTCAATGCATTTGGATGTGGATTCATCTCCGCAGCCTCTAAAAAGTAAGCCCTTCCAATGCCTTGATTTTGGCCCAGGGAAACGCTAAGAAAAGGACCCACTGAGCCATGCTTTATCTGGGTGTCTGTACACAGAATCATGAGATAATAAATTTGTGTTGTTTTAAGCACCTACGTTTATGATAAATGTTTATGGCAGCAATAGAAAACTAATATTATTAATCCAACTGCTGACCATAACTTTGGTGGGTTTTTTTAAAAAAACATATTTGTGTATTACTAACATTCCAATGTTTAGTGTGTGCTAAGATCCCTCTTGTATTTGGGAAGAAAATGGAAACACAAGATAAGTTTACATTTTTTGGAAATGCAAGTTTAGATGTACATTTTAAAATTTTAAATATTCAGTAACAGACTAGAAATATCATCTATAGCTTCCAAACTAACAGAGAAAATCTGGAGAATAAAGACAGCCTTACCAATTTAATAGAAGCTAGGAAAAGAGAGAAAAGAATCAAAAAGGATGGTAGACAAAAAATACAAAACAAAATGCCAAAGTTTTCCAAAGTGGTGGTTTCAATCCATATTCCCACCAGAATTATACTTGTTCTCTTTGCTTCATATCCTTGCCAGTGCTTGATATTGTAAGACCTTTTAATTTATTTTCCTATCTGTGGGTGCATTCCTAGAATATACCCAACTTGCTCATAATATATTATATTGTTTACATCTTGTTTTGGTTTCCTAATAATTTGTTTAGGACAATTTGCCTCTATGTTTATGAGTAATTTTATTTCTTATATAATTCTTATCTGATTTTAATAAAAGAAATTGGGACATGTTTCTTCTTTTCTAGTCTTTGAAAGAGTTTATTTTATATTGAGATTGTCTATTCCTTTCATGTTTAGTAAATCTTGCTTGTAAAATTATGAGAAGAGATTTTCTTTGGGGGAAGATTTTTCATTACCGCTGAATTTTTTTTTTTTTTTTTAAGTCTACATGCAGTATAGCCTAGTGCCCAAAGAATGAGTTTTGGAGGCAAACTGTCTAGATTCAGTCTCAGGTCTGACCTCCTAACTGTGTAGAAAGTCACTTAACCTCACGGTGCCTCAGTCTCCTCATTTGCAAAATGAGGCACATAGGGTCGTCGTGAGGATTTCATGAACTGATATATGTAAACATGTAGGTCAGTGCCTGTCACATAATAATACTATAAGCATTTACTTTTGTTGTTATTTCTCTTTCTTCTCGAATAGTTGTGTTTTTTGTTTTCTCTCACTTGTCTAAGACTGTTTTCAAGTATGATGCCTTAAAGTAGGTTGAACTTCTCTGTAACTTTCTCTTCAACTCTGGCTGTATCTGCATCTGTCTCCCTATTTGCATCTCTAATGGTGTTTGGGATTTCTTCTTTGTTAAGAAAGAAGAAATTCAAACTTCATCATTTAATGAAATTTGTCAGAATTTATTTTATTAATCTTTTCAAGTAGCAGCCTTTGGCTTTGTTGAGCCTATGGTTTTTATATTTTCCACTTCATTGATATTTATATTATTTTCTTTAGCTTACTTTCTTCAAACTTATTTTAGTGTACTTTTTGTAATTCCTTAGGTTTGAAGCTTGGTGTTTTACATTTCAGACTTTCTTGTTTTCACAGAAATGTTAAAATAAATACAGCTTTAGTTGCATCCCGCAGTGTGATAAAAAAAAATTTTCATTATCATTCAGTTCTAGGTATTTTTAAATTTCCATATGATTCCTTCAGGTCATAAATTACTTACAAATCTGTTCATTAACTTCTAAATACATGGGGCATTTACATTTTTCTTTATTAATCGCTAACAATTGCATTATGATTTTTCCAAAATGGTCTTTTTATTCCATTTCTTTGGAATTTGTTGAGATTTTGTTTGATGACCTGTTATCCACACTTTCTTGTAGAGAACATGTTTTCCTGCTCTGGAGTGTAAATTTCTATATGAGTATATCAAATGTTTTGAATGTGTTTATTAAATGTCCTAGTTCTTTAATAATTTTTTTAAAATACTTGAGAGAATGATATTTAAAATCTTCTTCTTTGTTAGGTTAATTTGCCAATTTCACCTTGTAGTCCGTTTGGGTTATTTTGGACTGTCTTATTAGGTAGATATACATTTAAAATTGTTTGATCTTTCTGAAGAAGCTAATCTTTCTTCATAAGTTAGTGACTGTCTTTATCAGTAGTAATCCTTTTTGCCTTAATGTATAGTTTATCTGATATAAATATTCACCTTTCATTTGATTAGATCTGTCTCTTACATCTTTTTCTACTCCTTTACTTTCCACCTTTCTTTATCTTTATGGATATTTAATGTAAATATTTTTAATTTTTAATCTTATAATCTTTGCTTTCTTCCATCTATTTGCTGTCACTATGGTTACTGATAAAATTACACTTATCTCTATCTTTAAATTTATGGATATTTAATGTAAACATTTTTAATTTTTACTTTTATAATATTTGCTTTCTTCCATCTATTTGCTGTCACTATGATTACTGATAAAATTAGACTTATTTCTGCCATCTTACTTTCTGATCTCTAGTTGGCCTGCTTTTCCAATGTTTCCTCTTTTCTTCTTGACTTCTTAGAGCTAGTCCCAGTCTTTTTTTTTTTTTTTCTTATTATACTCTTCCCTCTTCCCTCTACTGGTTTAAAAGTTATATATCCATTTCTATTTTTTTACTAATTACCCTAACTTTTAATATGCATACCTAAAGTTAAATAGTATTTATCCCCACCTATCAAATAATTCATGTCTCTTCAAACACTTTAGCTCTGATTAACCCCCTCAGATTTATGTGCTATTTTTGTCAAGTGTTTTAGCTCTATTTTTCTTAACTCACAGATTAGACACTTGATATAGTCAAAGTTTATTCAGATATACTTGAAAACATTCCACTTTATTTGATCCCATTTTTTCTCAGATCATAGATCTTCAAATATTACTTTCCTTTTATCTGGAGTATATCCTTTAGACTTTCTGTTAGTGAGGGTTCATTAGAAGTGAGTGCTTTTGGTTTTCTGTATTTTGTTTGTCTGAAATATTTGTATTTGGTGCTCTCTCTTGAAAGTTAGTTTTGCAGTGAACTTAACTCTACGTTGACAGTTATCTTGTCTCAACACTTCAAAGAGAATTATCCATTGACTTCTAACTACCATCGTTGCCATTGAGAAGCCAGCTGTCATTCTAATTTGTTTTTCCTGTATCTTTTCTGCCTGACTTCTTTTATTTATTGTTGGTGTTCAGTAGTTAGCTATGATCTTTGTAGAAATGAATCATTATTTTATTTTATTCTCATTAGACTTCTGAATCTGAGGATTTGTATTTTTAATTATTTCTGGAAAATTCTCACAAAATTATTTTCTCTATGTAATTCACATTTCTTAGTCTGTTATTAATGCTTTTTACATCTTTGTCTCTCTATATTGTATTTTATATAATTTCTTCAACACTTTCTCTCATTTAACAATATCTCTTCCCAGCTGTATCTAATATGCTTTTTATTCGACCTGAAAATTTATAAAAACATTTATATCTGCATGTATATGAGTTCTGTTTTTTTTTTAAATCTACATGATGACACCTGTTCTTTGGTTACTCTTTCAAAATTCTTCTTAAAAATGTCCATAAGCATGTTAAATTTTTTTATTTTGCATCCTGTGTCTGATAATTTCACTATCAGAATTTTCTGTAGGTCTGATTTTCTTGTTTCTGCTGTCTCCTTTTCACGTTGCCTTGTTTCCTCATGTTTTATGTTATCCTTATATGCTTTCATGATTGTTGGAATTTAAGAGGGAGTTCCTTGTAATCTGGTTTACGATGTGTACTTCCTGGAATAATTTACGTTTGCTCTTGAGGAGGATGTTGGCATAGGGTGACCCAATGCGAATCCAAGACCACTTTACATTCCCAAATGTCCGCACTAAGTGAATTGTTTCCCAAATTGTCATGAGTCCTATTGTTAGAAACTCTGAAGGAAACTTCTACCCCCAACCTTTACCCGTAGCCAACCTGAGATAAGCAAGTTTTCCTTATTATTTCTTTATGTGGATCTGAGTGGTTTTTTTTTTTTATTTTGCTTGTTTGTTTGTATTATCTCATTTTATTTTTTTTTTTAGAGAAATGGTAGGTTCACAGCAAAATTGAGCAGAAAATAGAGAAGTTTCCATATGTCTCTGCCTACCACATGTACAGTCTCCCCCACTATCAATGTCCTGTCCCAGAGTGGTACATTTGTTAGAATTAATGAGCTACATTGACACATGATCAGCTAAAGCCCATAGTTTACGTCAAGGTTTACTCTTGTGTTGTACATTCTATGGGTTTTCACAAATATGTAAGGAACATATATCCACCTCTGTAGTATCATACAGGATAGTTTCACTACCTTAAAAATCTTCTGTGCTCCACCTGTTCATCCTCACCTCCCCATAACCCGTGACAACTACCAGTCTTTTTATTGTCTCCTTAGTTTGGTGTTTTTTAGGAGCTGAGTATCATTTTCTTTTCCTAGTTTATTCCTTCTCTGAGGGTTTTGCCTTACAGTCCTGGCATTACGAGCAGATATTCATCTTCTTCCACAACTTGCCGTTCATAGACTTTATCCCCTGTTCCCTGCTTATAAAGACTGTTAGAATGGAAAGTTCAACACCACCAGAAACTGGCAGATCCTTTTAGAATCGACTTCCATCAACTTCCTCTCTGGATTTGTGCCTTTTTATTGTTTTTGTCTCTGAGGAAACTTCCTTGCCAGCCCAGCTGTGTATTAACAATTTTTTAAATTTTTATTTATACTTAAAGCTATTATTTTTAGTCACTTGTAGTGAGAAGCTTTCTCAGAGTTTCTAGTCCTACATCCTGTTGCAACTGGAAGGTCCTTAATTCATTCCTTGATGAATGTTATTTAGCATTCATTTTGTATCAGGCTTGGACGAGGCCCTTGGGTTTTCATTGTTTTGGAGGACACAGATAGAAAAAAACAACAATGTATTAAGTCCAAAGATGAAGGTATGCACAGGGTGCTATGGCATCCCAGAGGGAGTTGCCTCACACAGGCTGAGAATAGGGAGTTGTCAGAGAAGGAGACCAGGAAGTGACACTTGAGCTTTGAAGGAGTTAACCAGGGGAATAAGAGGTGACCATATTGGATCATGTCAGCCAGAGGAGTGAAACATTGAGAGAATGGCAAATATGCCAACATCAAGTGTGGGCTGGATGGTAACAAATACGAAGAAAAGAATCTAGAAAACAGGCAAAGCTGGGTCAGCTCCTCACAGAAACTTTGTGAGGTATTTATTGCATTGCCACACCATGTAGAAAGGAGAAAACAGTGTAAAAGTGTTCCTATGAACGTTGTGCACATGTACCCTAGAACTTAAAGTATAATAAAAAAAATACATATAAAAAAAGAAAGAAGAAAACAGAGACAGCTCAGCTCTCAGGATCTGTAAGGAACACTGATGACTTGCAGGGTAAGAAACAGAATTGACATTCTTTTTCCTTTACCGCCTTGCACAGAATCAGCCTTAAAGAAAGATAGAATAGGAAAGGAAGTTGCCTCTGTCCAGAAGTAATTGTCCACTTTTCAATTATCTGCCCCTCTGCCTGTAATTCTATCATTATAATAAAAGCTTGACTTATGGTCTTAGCATCTGTCTTTCCCCTTTAAACTGGAAGCATCATAAAGGCAGGTACAATAATTGACTTTTTACTATAGCTGAGTACTTGATAAGTGTCTCTATGTTTTTGAACATATGTGGTCAATAGTTATTGAGAGTGATTAAGTGGAAAGCTTTATTAATCATGCAAATCTTACTCTAGATGACTTTAATCAGTCTTTCCCCTTCTTTACCTTTATCTAAGTGTAGCCCACTGAAGGAAATGTAATTTTCATAGGAAGAAGAAAGGAAAATTGACTTTGGAGCCTAATACTATTCAGGATGAGGCTGGTGCTAAGAAGCTATGCTATAAGCCTCAAAGGACAATCTAAAAGCACTGGGTTTTAGAGGTCAGAAAACACATTTCTCTATTTTTTAAGTTTCTTAAAATATGTCCATGCTCCAAGATCAACAAACTAAGAAGTATGAGCACATTTGAACAAAGTTGAATGTTGTCATCCATTAAACTTATAACCCAGTAAATTTGGCACATGATATTGTTTGATTAGACTCATATGTTAAGCCATTCATATGTCACTTTAATTAAAATTATATTTAAAGAAATTATATTTAAAGTGGTTCTGGAGGCAGCAAGGCATGGCCTTTAACCTTCAGTTTGGAAAGAATTGTCACCAAATCTATGATGTGATGAAGCTTTTTGAGACCTGAAATACTTTTTTATGGGGTCAATTTATATACCATTAACCATGAACTTGGGTATCTGTAGGAGGAATTCTGATCTAGAAGTTGGAAAGAGATTAGGGAAGGAAGTGACAGGGTCATTAAACTCTTTCCATGGTTTTGTCCGTATGAACCCTACTTCTTTCCCCTCATTCCAAAGTCTATAAGGAAAGGCACAGATAGTCTTCACTGGTATCATGAAACAGTCTGAGAACTCCTTGCTTTCTCTCTTTGGACAATGTGACATAAGAGAACACCCTGTCTCTTGCCAAGAAGATTTGCATTAATGGTCAGGGTTAGAGTTTACCACCCAGAGAGGAATCTGGGTGAGAGGAGACTCTTTTCCATTCCAGTGATTAGAGAATAGATGTCTTTCTCTTTCACCCATAGACTTGGAGCTTTCTCTCAGGTGAGAACCACTTCCAGTTCTAGAATTGTTCTTTAATGAACTGATTCAATAGTGATTAAAATAAGGGCCTGACCTTGACTTTGCAAGAAATGACCCAGGTTAACCTTAAGTTGTATGCTACAAAAATGTTACTAAAAGAGGTATTTCAAGTCATTCATGGTGCTGTGTTGCATGCCGCCAGTAAAGGAGCATTGATTAGATATATTGCCAGGAAATACACCATGTTGTCAGGATTCACTGACAACCAAAAAGAAGTTAAGCCTGCAGACAATATCAAGTGGTTTGTTGGAGACTGGGAAGGAGAGAAGGTGAAGAGAAATGCTACAGTCTTCTACAAGCGGTCCATCATGGCATTTATCTTTTAATTGCTCTAGAAAGTGCCTTTTTCCATTTGTCTGATAAATGACTGGCATAAGAACCACATGTTCCATGAAGCAACTGCAATCTCCATATTTGCAATCTATCAATCTCACCCTTTCTCACTTGTCTTTTTTTTCTATTTAGCATGTTTCATTGTAGATTAAACAGATTTTATTCCCTGTTGCCTGGTAATTATATATAATTAAAAAGCACAGAGGAATGGGCATAAAAGCACAATGAAGTAATAATCATAGGAACAGTGTCTTATTTGAACTCACTGCTGAGGGAGAGTTGCTTTTTTAAAAAAATATACTTTAAATACTGGGATACACGTGCAGAACGTGCAGGTTTGTTACATTGGTATACACGTGCCATGGTGGTTTGCTGCACCCATCAACCCATCATCTACATTAGTTATTTCTCCTAATGCTATCCCTCCCCTAGTCCTGCATCTCCCAACAGGCCCCAGTGTGTGACGTTCCTTTCCCTGTGTCCATGTGTTCTCATTGTTCAACTCCAACTTATGAGTGAGAACATTCAGTGTCTGGTTTTCTGTTCTTGTGTTAGTTTGCTGAGAATGATGGTTTCCAGCTTTATCCATGTGCCTGCACAGGACATGAACTCATCCTTTTTTATGGCTACATAGTATTACATGTTATATATGTGTCACATTTTCTTAATCCAGTCTATCATTGATGGGCATTTGGGTTGGTTCCAAGTCTCTGCTCTTGTGAACAGTGCTGGAATAAACATATGTGTGCATGTGTCTTTATACTAGAATTATTTATAATCCTTTGGGTATATACCAAGTAATGGGATTGCTGGGTCAGATGGTATTTCTGGTTCTAGATCCCTGAGGAATCGCCACACTGTTTTCCACAATGGTTAAACTAACTTACACTTCCATCAACAGTGTAAAAGTGTTCCTATTTCTCCACATCCTCTCCAGCATCTGCTGTTTCCTGACTTTTTTAATGTTCACCATTCTAACTGGCATGATATGGTATCTCATTATAGATTTGATTTCCATTTCTCTAATGACCAGTGATGATGAGTTTTTTTTCGTATGTTTGTTGGCCACATAAATGTCTTCTTTTGAGAAATGTCTGTTCATATCATTTGCCCACTTTTTGATAGGGTTGTTTTTTTCTGGTAAATTTGTTTAAGTTCTTTATAGATTCTGGATATTAGCCCTTTGTCAGATGAATAGATTGCAAAAAATTTCTCCCATTCTGTAGGTTGCCTATTCACCCTGATGATAGTTTATTTTGCTGTGCAGAAGCTCTTTAGTTTAATTAGATCCCATTTGTCAATTTTGGCTTTTGTTGCCATTGGTTTTGGTGTTTTAGTCGTGAAGTCTTTGCCCATGTTTATGTCCTGAATGGTATTGCCTAGGTTTTCTTCTAGAGTTTTTATGGTTTTAGGTCTTATGTTTAAGTCTTATTCCATCTTGAGTTAATTTTTGTATAAGGTGTAAGGAAGTGGTCCAGTTTCAGTTTTCTGCATATGGCTAGCCTGTTTTCCCAACACCATTTATTAAATAGGGAACCCTTTCACTATTGCTTGTTTTTGTCAGGTTTGTCAAAGATCAGGTGGTTGTAGATTTGTGGTGGTATTTCTGAGGCCTCTGTTCAGTTCCATTGGTCTATATATCTGTTTTGGTACCAGTACCATGCTGTTTTGGTTACTGTAGCCTTGTAATATAGTTTGAAGTCAGGTAATGTGATACCTCCAGCTTTGTTCTTTTTGCTTAGAATTTTCTTGGCTATATGAGCTCTTTTTTGGTTCCATATGAAATTTGAAGTAGTTTTTTTCTAATTCTGTGAAGAAAGTCAATGGTAGCTTGATGGCGATAGCATTGAATCTATAAATAACTTTGGGCATGATGGCCATTTTCACGATATTGATTCTTCCTACCCATTAGCATGGAATGTTTTTCCATTTGTTTGTGTCTTCTCTTATTTCATTGAGCAGTGGTTTGTAGTTCTCTTTGAAGAGGTTCTTCACATCCCTTGTAAGTTATATTCCTAGGTATTTTATTCTCTTTGTAGCAATTGTGAATGAGTGCTAACTCATGATTTGGCTCTCCATTTGTCTATTATTGGTATAAAGGAATGCTTGTGATTTTTGTACATTGATTTTGTATCCTGAGACTTTGCTAAAGTTGCTTATCAGCTTAAGGAGATTTGGGTCTGAGACAGTGGGGTTTTCTAAATATACAATTATGTCATCTGCAAACAGAGACAATTTGACTTCCCCTTTTCCTATTTGTATACCCTTTATTTCTTTCTCTTGCCTGATTGCCCGGGCCAGAACTTCCAATATTATGTTGAATAGGAGTGGTGAGAGAGGGCATCCTTGTCTTGTACCAGTTTTCAAAGGGAATGCTTCCAGCTTTTGCCCATTCAGTATGATATTGGCTGTGGGTTTTTCATAAATAACTCTTATTATTTTGAGATATGTTCCATCAATACCTAATTTATTGAGAGCTTTTAGCATGAAGGGGTGTTGAATTTTATTGAAGGCCTTTTCTGCATCTATTGAGACAATAATGTGGTTTTGTCATTGGTTCTGTTTATGTGATGGATTACATTTATTGATTTATATATGTTGAACCAGCCTTGCATCCCAGGGGTGAAGCCAACTTGTTCGTGGTGGATAAGCTTTTTGATGTGCTACTGGATTCAGTTTGCCAGTATTTTGTTGAAGATGTTCACATCAATGTTCATCAGGGATATTGGCCTGAAATTTTCTTTTTTGTTGTTGTTTATCTGCCAGGCTTTGGTATCAGGATGATGCAGGCCTCATAAAATGAGTTAGGGAGGAGTCCTTCATTTTCTGTTGTTTGGAATAGTTTCAGAAGGAATGGTACCAGCTCCTCTTTGTACCTCTGGTAGAATTCGGCTGTGGTCTGGTCCTGGGTTTTTTTTTTGGTTGGTAGGCTATTAATTACTGCCTTAATTTCAGAACTTGTTATTGGTCTATTCAGGGATTCAAATATTTCCTGGTTTAGTCTTGGGAGGGTGTATGCCCAGAAATTTATCCCTTTCTTCTAGATTTTCTAGTTTATTTGCATACAGGTGTTTACAGTATTCTCTGATGGTAGTTTGTATTTCTGTGGGATCGGTGGTGATATCCCCCTTATCATTGTTTATTGCGTCTATTTGATTCTTCTCTCTTTTTTTCTTTATTAGTCTGGCTAGTGCTCTATTTCGTTAATCTTTAAAAAAAAAAAACAGCTCCTGGATTCATTGATTTTTTTGAAGGGTTTTTTATGTCTCTATCTCCTTCAGCTCTGCCCTGATCTTAGTTATTTCTTATCTTCTGCTAGCTTTTGAATTCCTGTTCCTGTTTTGAAATCCGTTCCTGTTTGCTCTTGCTTCCCTAGGTCTTGTAATTGTGATATTAGGGTGTCGATTTTAGATCTTTCCCACTTTCTCCTGTGGGCATTTAGTGCTATAAATTTCCCTCTACACACTGCTTTAGCTGTGTCCCAGAGATTTTGGTATGTTGTCTCTTTGTTCTCATTGGTTTCAAAGAACTTATTTATTTCTGCCTTAATTTCATTATTTACCCAGTAGTCATTCAGGAGCAGGCTGTTCAGTTTCCATGTAGTTGTGCAGTTTTGAGTGAGTTTCTTAATCTTAAGTTCTAATTTGATTGCACTGTGGTCTGAGAGACTGTTAAGATTTCTGTTCTTTTGCATTTGCTGAGGAGTGTTTTACTTCCAATTATGTGGTCAATTTTAGAATAAGTGTAATGTGGTGCTGAGAAGAACGTATATACTGTTGATTTGGGGTGGACGGTTCTATAGATGTCTATTAGGTCCATTTGGTCCAGAGCTGAGTTCAAGTCCTGAACATCCTTGTTAATTTTCTGTCTTGTTGATCTGTCTAATATTGACAGTGGGGTGTTAAAATCTCTCAATATTATTGTGTGGGATTCTAAGTCTCTTTTAGGTCTCTAAGAACTTTATGAATCTTGGTGCTCCTGAATTGGGTGCATATATATTTAGGATAGTTAGCTCTTCTTGTTGCATTGATCCCTTTACCATTATGTAATGCCCTTCTTTGTCTGTTTTGATCTTTGTTGGTTTAAAGTCTGTTTTCTCAGAGACTAGGATTGTACCCCTGCTTTTTTTGCTTTCTATTTGCTTGGTAAATATTCCTCCATCTCTTTATTTTGAGCCTATGTGTGTCCTTGCATATGAGATGGGTCTCCTGAATACAGCACACTGATGGGTCTTGACTCTTTATCCAGTTTGCCAGTCTGTGTCTTTTAATTGGGGCATTTAGTCCATTGACATTTAAAGTTAATATTGTTATGTGTGAATCTGATCCTGTCATTATGATGCCAGCTGGTTATTTTGCCCATTAGTTGATGCAGTTTCTTCATAGTGTCAATGGTGTTCACAATTTGGTATGTTTTTGCATTGGCTGGTACCGGTTTTTTCTTTCCATGTTTAGCGCTTCCTTCAGGAGCTCTTTTAGGGCAGGCCTGGTGGTGACAAAATCTCTCAGCATTTGCTTGTCTGTAAAGGATTTTATTTCTCCTTCACTTATGAAGCTTAGTTTGGCTGGATATGAAATTCTTGGTTGAAAATTCTTTTAAGAATGTTGAATATTGGCCCCCACTCTCTTCTGGCTTGTAGGGTTTCTGCAGAGAGATCTGCTGTTAGACTGATGGGCTTCCCTTTGTCAGTACCCGACCTTTCTCTCTGGCTGCCCTTAACATTTTTTCCTTCATTTCAACCTTGCCGAATATGACAATTATGTGTCTTGGGGTTGCTCTTCTTGTGGAGTATCTTTGTGATGTTTCCTGTATTTCCTGAATTTGAATGTTGGCCTGTCTTGCTAGGTTGGGGAAGTCTCCTGGATAATATCTGGAAGAGTGTTTTCTACTTGGTTCCATTCTCCCTGTCACTTTCAGGTACACCAGTCAAACATAGGTTTGGTCTTTTCACATAGTTCCATATTTCTTGGAGGCTTTGTTCATTCCTTTTTATTCTTTTTTCTCTAATCTTGTCTTCACGGTTTATTTCATTAAGATGATCTTCAATCTTTGATATCCTTTATTCCACTTAATCGATTTGGCTGTTGATGCTTGTGTATGCTTCACAAAGTTCTCATGCTCTGTTTATCAGCACCATCAGGTCATTTATGTTCTTCTCTAAACTGGTTATTCTAGTTAGCATTTTGTCTAACATTTTTCAAGGTTCTTAGCTTCCTTGCATTGGGTTAGAACATGCTCCTTTAGCTCAGAGGAGTTTGTTATCACCCACCTTCTGAAGCCTACTTCTGTCAATACATCAAACTCATTCCCCATCCAGTTTTCTTCCCTTGCTGGCAAGGAGTTGTGATCCTTTGGAGAAGAGTCATTCTGGTTTTTGGAATTTTCAGCCTTCTTTCACTGGTTTTTCCTCATCTTAATGGATTTATCTACCTTTGGTCTTTGATTTTGGTGACTGAATGGGTTTTGTTGTGGACATCCTTTTTGTTGATGTTGATACTATTCCTTTCTGTTTGTTAGTTTTCCTCTAACAGTCAGGCTCCTCTGCTGCAGGTCTGTTGGAGTTTGCTGGAGGTCCACTCCAGACCCTGTTTACCTGGGTATCGGCAGCGGAGGCTACAGAACAGCAAAGATTGCTGCCTGTTGCTTCCTCTGGAAGCTTCATCCCAGAGGGGCACCCACCAGATGCCAGCTGGAGCTCTCCTATATGAGGTGTCTGTTGACCCCTGCTGGAAGGTGTCTCTCAGTCAGGAGGCACAGGGGTTAGGGACCCACTTCACGAGGCAGCCTGTCCCTTAGTAGAGCTCTAGCGCTGTGCTGGGAGATCTGCTGTTCTCTTTAGAGCCAGCAGGCAGGAACGTTTAAGTCTGCTGAAGCCGCACCCACAGCCTCCCCTTCACCCAGGTGCTCTGTCCCAGGGAGATGGGAGTTTGATGTGTAAGCCCCTGACTGGGGCTGCTGCCTTTCCTTCAGAGATGCCCTGCACAGAGAGGAGAAATCTAGAGAGGCAGTCTGGCTACAGCAGCTTTGCGTAGCTGCGGTGGGCTCTGCCCAGTTCAAACCTCCGGGGGCTTTGTTTACACTGTGAGTGGAAAACTGCCTACTCAAGCCTTGGTAATGGTGGACGCCCCTACCCCCACCAAGCTCCAGCATTTCAGGTCGACTTCAGACTGCTGTGCTGGCAGTGAGAATTTCAAGCCAGTGGATCTTAGCTTGCTGGACTCCATGGGGGTGGCATCCGCTAAGCTAGACCACTTGGCTCCCTGGCTTCGGTGCCCCTTTTCAGGGGAGTGAATGTTTCTGTCATGCTGATATTCCAGGCGCCACTGGGGAATGAAAAAAACTCCTGCAGCTAGCTTGGTGTCTGCTTAAACGGCCGCCCAGTTTTGTGCTTGAAACCCTGGGCCCTGGTTGCGTGGGCACCTGAGAGAATATCCTGGTCTGCGCATTGCAAAGACTGTGGGAAGAGCATACTGGCTGGGCCGGATAGCACCGTCCCTCGTGCACAGTGCCTCATGGCTTCCTTTGGGTAGGGAAGGGAGTTCCTCAACCCGTTGCACTTCCCTGGTGAGGCGACGCACCACCCTGCTTGGGCTCACCCTCCGTGGATTGCAGCTACTGTCTAACCAGTCCCAGTGAGATGACCGGGGTACCTCAGTTGGAAATGCCGAAATCACCTGGCTTCTATGTTGATCTCGCTGGGAGCTGCAGACCAGAGCTGTTCCTATTCTGCCATCTTGCCAGCCCCTGCCTCACTTGTAAATAGAAACATAAGGAACTTGTTTTGCAACAGACCCAAGGAATAGTGGCAAGGAATTTATGTGCTGAAATAGCTCTCCTATACTAGTCCTTTTCACAACCTGACTTTCCACCACAAATATTTTGGTAAATGCAGTCTGAAAACAAAGCACTGTATAATTGTGTGCTTATAAAATGAAATTGTATGCCATGTTACAAAAGGATTATGAATTACTCCTTCAGATATGCTAATTTTAAGGAGGTGGGAGAGAACACTTATTTTAGACTATAATAAAAAATAATAGAAGGTCAGAAATGCTGATTTAAGAAAAGATACTGCTAAATTGGAGTGAATTCAAAGAAAGGGACTAAAAATAATAAAAAGCCTCAAGGAATGAATATTTTCAAAATTGAGAGAATTTAAGACTCTAAAATGACAAACTACAACCAGTCTTAGAAATACCTCTAGGGAACTGGATTCCAAACGTCTGCATTCTTCAAAAGAGAAAAAGTAAAAGCACTGAAACAAAAGCTACCCAGAGGAAAAAAATGAACTTTTAAAGCTAAATGTTTTTACTTAGATCAACTCTCAGATGCCTGGAAACATTAAAAACTAGCCTGGCAAACCATTTGTTTTCAGATAACAAGCTATAATAGAGCAAGGAAGGTGGGATTGATGATTCATTATATCACACATTTCATATCTTTTATGTCTGGACCTGAATGAAGACATTGGAACAGTTTAAAGCTTTCAATATACCTGTAACTAGTGTTCTCTTAGTAAACACATAGTAGGGCACACCCAAAGTTTGAATATATTAGAAAGAGTTCCATATTATTTTCAAGGTCATAGAGTTATAAAGGTATAATTTCACTGAGCATGAACTTGATCTATTGTAAGGTATTAAGATGGTTAATGACTAATTTTCACAAACACTCATTTCCCTTGAATATGTTATTTTCCAAAAGACTTGAGAGTTTGGGGGAAAAGTAAAAGAAATCTGTAAACCTTTTGCACCAGGAAAAAGAACAAAAGCAAGGAGTTTTAAACTATACCTAGTATACATGAAAATATGGTGCCCTAAGCCATTTAATCCTAGTTATGAAAAAAAAAAAAAAAAAGCCTGTTGGCCTTTTCAAAAAGGAGGGAAAATTAGCCAAGAACGGCCTTTACCTGCTATGGCACCATCCTCCAAAACTGACCCCACTTTCTGTTCTTTGCACTTACAGTGATGTGTTAGAGATTTAAATATTATGCTCTTAAAATGTAACAGAGTTGTCTCCACGCAGACTGTCTAGACAGGGCAGCAACTATGTCTGTTTAATTTCATTTTACATAGCAGCTAGCAATCTTGCACAAATAAATGCTTTTGATGATAATTTTGATGTTAGTATAATCAGGTGGCCAAAATTTGGGGGTTAAAGCTTAGTACTTTAATATGAGTACTTTATAGTGCGTGCTTACAACATTAAATGTTATATAAAATTTACAAATGTCTGGCTATTTTTTAAATAATAAAGGATTTCAGCACATTTTATGTTTCTTAATATTGGCCTGTTAAATTTGTTTACATGGAGAAGGAAATATCAGTCTGCCTATTCAGAAACTAGGCAAGACTCCCTAACCAACTTTCCTAGTGTCTGAAATGTATTAGTATTCTTGTAAATTTATTCTCGTAAATTTTTTTTGAAAGAAAGAAAAAAATTAGATATTCCATCAATTAGAAAACTAAGATTCAAATTCCTGCAAGACTTATGAAAGCAGCACTGGAGTTCCCACAATAAAAAATATGACGTCTGTTTCCTTTATTCAATGTGTTAGTCATTCTTTCAACAAATATTCGAGTACCTGGTATGTAACAGAAAGCCAAATGGGAAAAGATTGCTGTCCTTCTGGAGGTTCTGCTGTAGTAGACGAAGACAGACAATAAAATGTTAAGCACAGTAAATGAGTAAATTATCCGATATACTTGTGGGTGACTAAGTGTTATAGGAAAAAGGAAAGTTGAGCAGGATAAAGACAAATCAGCAGTGGGAATGGGATTGCAGTTTTACACAGAGTAGGCAGCCTAAGCTTTGTGGAGGTGATATTTGAGCAAAGACTTGATAAAGGTGAGGTAATTCGCTCCTCAGAATCTGGGCAAAGAGAATTCCAGGCAGAAGGGATGGATAATGCATGCATCCTAAAGTAAGAGTGTTCCTGGAATGTCCCTGAAGACACAGGGCCTTGATTCCAGAAAAATCAAGGGTGACTGGAGCTAAGTGAGCAAGGACAATAGGATGTGACAGGCCTGAGGGATGATGGGGGCTCTCATAAGACCATTCTGGCCACTGTGCTGACAAAACTTTCCAGGAGAGCAAGGGCAGAAGGGAAATTAGGAGACTATTGCAAGAACGCAGGCATGACATGATGGCTCCTTGGACTTGGTTGTGATCAGATTCTGTGTTTTTTGTGTATAGAAAAATAGTTCTGATGGATTGGATATGGAAGTCAAATATGGCTCTAAGGCAGTGGTTCTCAAAGCGGGTTTGCCAAATTAGCAACATTCGCATCACCTGGGATCTTGTTTGAAATGCAAATTATTAAGCCTCACCCCAGGTCTACTGAATTAGAAGCTCTGGAGGGTGGGGCCCCAACAATCCTGTATTTTAAAAAGGCCTTCAGGTGATTTTGATGTACGTTTAAGTTTGAAAACCACTGCTTTAAAGTTTTTGACTAGGCTGGGCAAGGTGGCTCATGCCGTTAATCTCAGCACTTTGGGAGGCTGAGGCAGGTGGATCTCTTGAGGTCAGGAGTTCAAGACCAGTCTGGCCAACATGGTAAAACCCTGTCTCTACTAAAAATACAGAAAAGTAGCCAGGTATGGTGGCACACACCTGTAATCCCAGTTATTTAGGAGGCTGAGGCAGGAGAATTGCTTGAACCCAGGCAGTAGAAGTTGCAGCGAGCCGAGATCATGCCACTGCACTCCAGCCTGGGTGACAGAGCCAGAAAAAAGAAAAAACAAAAAGGTTTTGGCCTGAAGAGTATAGAGTTGACATTGGGTTGGGGAATGCTGCAGGGAGAACAGATTTCATGGGGATAGCAGGAGGATCAGGGATTCAGGTTTGGACATGATGAGTTTCCAGTGTCTTAGATGTCCAGATGGCAAGTGAGCAGTTGTATACAGTAGTCCCCCCCTTATTCTCAGGGAATATGCTCCAAGACCCACAGTGGATGTCTAAAACTGTGGATAGTACCTAACCCTATAGATACTAACACAAATATATTCTTATACACACATACAATGCATGTATCTATGTACTTATGTAAGAAAATATAGATAATTTCTCATACATATATGAGATAAAGTTTAATTTATAAATCACATTGAGAAATTAGCAAAAATAATAAAATAGAATTTTAACATTTAATATTATTGATAGAATTTTTCTAACAATATGCTGTAAAAACCTCTATTGTACTATTATAACTCTATTGTAACTATGCAGTTATAACTCTATGCTATTATAACTCTACTATAACAACATGCTGTAATAAAACTTAAGTGAATGTGATCTCTCTTTCATTCTCTCAAAATATCTTATTGTACTGTGCTCACCTGTTCTCAAACTGTGGGTGACTGTGTGTAACTAAAACCCCAGAAAGCAAAACCACAGACAAGGGGGACTACTGTATATAAGTCTGAATTTCAAGCGAGGAGGTCTGAGTTGCAAATAGAAATTGAAACACTGATTTTTTTTTTCCGAGAACAAAATATAGTACATTGGATTTTATCGATGGATATTTGCTATTCAGTGCTTTCATCTTAACTTTGAATAAAAGATACAGAAAGCCAAGTAACAAAGACCAAAATATGTAAAAGAGGCAGCCCACCATCTACTTAGGTGTGCTAAAAGATTCGAAAGCTTTAGAGGATATATTTTCCAGAACATTTATCCATTTATTATAGAGCAGCCTTTTATGGTAATCTTTTCTGGTTTTACTGTCAGTAAATTGAGGATTCCTAATATTTTGAGGGTAAAACAACTGGTAACATTTTCTAACATCATCCAGTAGCTGGTAAATTTCCACGTATGTTTTTATCATAACGTGGTTATCCGCAGTTGTTGGAGGATAAAGTAGATGCCTTGCTAGGCAGTTCTAATTGCGTTTTCTTGCATAGTAACTGTTATGGAGAGTGAGTGATTAGGACAGTGTGGAGGGGCAGTATGGGGTTTAAGTACATTTCTAAGAGAGGAAAATTAAGTCAGAAGCATGGATTTTTTTTTTTTTTTCGGTTACTACAGTACATGTAGTCATCTGAATATGATTTCCAAGGTTCTTGATACTATCAGATACCAATATTGATTCTACACATAAAAGCATTAATAGGATGGCACTCATATAATAGGTTAAATGAAACAACAAAATTAATAGAATAGGACTACCACTGAATATTTAAGGGAAGAGGAAAAACAGAGGTATGTCTCTCTAAAGGAAAATGCCTTCTTTAAAAAGAATGAAAATAAAGAAAAATTAATGCTTCTCCTGACCCTGAATCTACATTATGTATATTTTTCAAAGCCATTTTAAAACCTTTTATATAGTGCCACCTTAGCTGCTGCGGTAGAATCTTGTACATTTCACCCGGTGAGTAAACTGGGAACCCTGACCCTCCTTTGTCTCACAGTGTAATCTGATCTACTGTCATCATCAGGGGACATCTGGGATCCATCTTATCTTTCCCACTGGATAGTTGATTAACCAGAAAATGTTTTGAATTGGATTCATATATGGCAGAACTCCATGGACTTTATGAATTATAATGGGAGCAAATAAAAGGTCAGCTTTTATTTTTGTGCTTTTAAAGAGGAGAGCTCTGACACGGTTAGAATTGAGTGCTTAAAACTCGGGGAGAGAAATGATTATATTAAATGGCTAAATACAGTAATTCGTGGGATCATGTTATTATTTCACAGAAAATAGACTTTTATAGTGAGGAAGCCTTAGCCCAGTAACATGACACAGAGCTGTCAAGCCACAGGTATATTTAGAGTTTATTGGAAATAGGCAGGAAACCAAGAAAAAAAGTCTTAGATTGCTTTCTCTTGCTCCATTTCTATTTGATGGCAATTCTGGAGATGTATGAGGGGCTGGATGTGGGAGTCTGTAGTCCTGTGCATCCCTCCCACACTATATTTTTTGCCAGGTTCTTGTTAGGGAATGGAATGCATTTGGTCCATATAACTACTAGACTTTTTGACTATTTTAATTGTCTCCATCAATGCTTTCTATGAGCCAAGTTCAGTGCAAAAATATATTAATACATGTAAGCATATTTAAACCATAATTCATTTGTTTTATTCTTTATTTTAAATATGCCAATTTAAAGTTTATTATTCTTACCACTAGGATATGATGAGAGCAGAAATCCCACATTATATATATTTAGTACATTCTACATTCAGTATTCCTTAAAGAAAACTACCTATCATGGTTAAAACTGATTACTTGTGGCATCAAAAAGCATCTCTCCAAAAGCTGATATTTCAAAGATGATGCCCAGAAAAAGATGGTAAGTATTTTTCAAAACAGTTAGGTTATCAGTTTCTAAATCTTACTTTTAAAAGAGTCAGGCACAGTGACTCACACCTGTAATTCCAGCACTTAGGGAGGCAGAGGTGGAAGGATAGCATGAGTCCAAGGGTTCCAGACCTGTCTGAGCAACTTCGAGACTTGCCTGGAGAATGAAGGGCGAGACCCCATTCGCCACAAAAGGAAAAAAAAAAAAAGACCAAAAAAACCCACAAAAGGATCAGGAAGTATAATGGTTTCATGGACCAATTTATAATTATA
Organism: Homo sapiens; assembly: GCF_000001405.40. Classification (NCBI taxonomy): domain Eukaryota; kingdom Metazoa; phylum Chordata; class Mammalia; order Primates; family Hominidae; genus Homo; species Homo sapiens. The sequence continues at coordinate 18,570,303 of NC_000009.12, forward strand.
AACCAAAACCTTTGTAGATGGTAAATCTCTATACAAATTATTTTTATTAGCATACTTGTGGAACAAGAGGCTACAATGACTACTTGAGTTTCCACTCTTGCAGCTGGATGATCCCAGATGCATTAGGGGTTCAATGGATGTCTTAAACTATGCTTGAAATGTTTTGGGTTCAAACAAAGAATGTTTGCCAAATCCTTCTTCCCCTTAATTTTTAAACATGTGTATTTCAAGGGAAATTTGATTCATATGTTTCTGATTCATTTACACTTAAATCATCAAAATGTTATTTTTGTAAAAGCTATTTGATGTCCAAGAAGCTTTCTGAACCTGTTTTATAAGTTTTCTTAAGTCCTTTTTCTTAAAACAGGAAGTTGCATTTTGCCAAGTACAAATAAACTCAAACACTAAAAAGGTTCAAGTTCAGTTTCCAACTCTGAACTCCAGGTTTAAATGCATTCTCAATTTAGCAAAATATATTTTCCCACCCCTACAAAAATATGGGTGGAAGGAAAGACAGTAGTGATAAAACTGAGTAAAGATGCTCATAAGCATTATTCTTCTCAGACCTATTTCTCTAGTTGTGAAACCATAAAACTTGTAACAGGTGTTCCTGAAGCCATTAGATACAGGTGACTTGCAAATAAGAACATCTGTCTGCATGTTGAGTCTCTAAGATGTGTCTAAATGTGTTTACTGTGTTTGTCACAGAAAACAGAACCTAAAGGTCTTAACATTTTAACTTCATTGGTTTACCTTTGACTGCCTTTAGGTCCTATTTTTCTTAGGAAAGGTGGAAAGAACCAACACAATTTATTGAACAGAGGGGAATCATAGGAGACTCTGTAGAGGTTTTATGTCTGTACTAAGATGATATTGCATTATCAATTTAAAAACATAATTGACACTTTTATCAGAATTGGAAACGTGCAGAAAATTTTCCCTGGTTCATATTAAGAGGTCTCTTAATTATATCTTCTGCTCATTAAGGCAGAGGCGATTCAGCCTGACCCTTCTAACTGTTTCACTTGTATAGAAAAAGGAGGCAAAGGAAATTTTAAGAGGAGTTTGGAACCATTTCAAACAATTTCCTCAATGTTCTGCTTTATTGTATTTCAGTATAATGAAGTACTGTACCCCCAGTACAATGTACTCTACTTCTTCTGTACTTGTACTGAGTAATCAAGTGACTCCTGGGATGATAGGTACTATCAAACGAAAATACTGTATTTAAACATTGCTAAACTGTCAGTTCAACTTTAGACGCTCCCATTCAATGACCAGGAACTTGTGGATCATATAAAGGTAGGTTTATTAAACATGCTAAGCAGGAGAGAGCAGCACCTTGACAGAGACTCTATCGTATCTCAAGTGGGGAAATTTAAGGAAGGCTACGTGTAGAGTTTGGGGGCAGTTGTTAGTTATAGAGTTGTTTTAGGGCAGAAGTTAGTAAGTGAGGCCTAGGCAGATATTGGTAGAATTTGTAAATTAGGCAAGTGGAAGTCTTATCTTTGGAATGTGAGTTCATTAAGACAATATTAAATCAGTTTCTCTGTGCTCTAGAACATATGGTCTGAAAGGAGCTTGTGTTAAACATTTAAAGTTGTTTGTGGCCAGTTGCGGTGGCTCATGCCTATAATCCCAGCACTTTGAGAGGCCAAGGCAGGTGGATCACCTGAGGTCAGGAGTTCGAGACCAGCCTGGCCAACATGGCAAAACCCTGTCTCTACTAAAAATATAAAAAAATGAGCTGGGTGTGGGGGCACATGCCTGTAATCCCAACTGCTCAGAAGGCTGAGGTAGGAGAACTGCTTGAACCCAGGAGGCGGAGGTTGCAGTGAGCCGAGATCACGCCACTACACTCCACCCGGGGAGACAGAGCGAGACTCCTTGTCAAAAAAAAAAAAAATAAAGTTAATTTGTATTGTATGTCATGATTTGACACAATTTACCTGTGTTGTAATTCATAATATAGTTTTGCTGGTTGTAGGTAGTTTTTGTTTTATTTTACAAAATAAACGTGTAAACAGCCTGTATAGCACACATATTTATTTATTTATGGATCTTAAAAAATTTAAACTGCATCCTATTATCTAAAAAATTAATAATTGGTAAATTTTATTCATACTCTTTTCAGACAATATTCAAAATGTTAAGCCTTGCTGGGTGCCTGTGTATCTGTACCTATGTTATATACATTATTCTTTTCCTCTGCTACTATGGTTTATTCACTCTGAGAACACATAATACTAACAGTAAAATGTCTTTGACATTTTATATTGTATTTTGAACAATTTCATGTTCATCCTAAATAAATATTTGTTTCTACCCCACATTGCCTAGAAAGAATTTGTGCTCCCTCAACTACCAGAGCGTTATATGCTCTTTAGTAGTATCACTAATGTTTTGGAAAAGAGTCAAAATTTTCAGTGCTGTTTTAGAATGCTTATTTAAAGGTAAAGAGATTTTTCAGAGAAAGAAACCTTATATAAGAGAACTCTCACAATGATAATGTAGTAACAGGGAACTGCTGAAGGCTACATGGAAATCCTTTATTTAAAACAAAAAATTAGAATAAAAGCCTTTCTACAGCTGGAGAGTCGACGACAGTCTTCCATGGTAAATTTTAATCTGAAGGCTTGTAGAATAAGATAAACCTATCAAAAAGCCCTTCCAAGGGATAGGCAATATTTGCCTTTTTAAAATTAAATCTTACCTGCTTTTACTGAGATTTATTATTCATTAGATAATGGCCATTGTTAGCCATAGTTTTACATTTTAAATTGCCCTTTATGAAACTTACATCAAAAAGATTCTTATTTTCCACTGATCTCTAACAATATAATTTACAATTCAAATTGAGAGAATCTCCTCATACTCCATCCCTTTGCCTTCTGTGGCCTCATTAAATAATCATAGTAATAGCTACCATCTACTCAGTATATTCCTTGTGCATATATTTGGCCAGCATGAGTTCGTGAACTTCTCACAACAACCTTGAGAGCTGTGCAGAGTTATTGCCTCTGTTCTAACACAAGACTAGGCTTCCCTGTGTTAGAATAGGGGCAATAACTCTGCACTGCATTGCAGCCACCCACCCATCTAAGGAGGAAGTCCATGCTCTTTCCATTCTGCCATGCTGCCTTAAGCCAAAGCAATTCATATATAAATGGTTTCATATTTTTTGTTCCCCATGTTTAATTCTAGATACTATGCAACCTAAGTCCTAGACAAAAAATTACAACTCCACAAAAACTTTTTGAATGAAATTTTTATAACTTTTTACTGCTAGTTATTCAAATAAACAATTGTCATAGCTCTCAATATCAGAACTGAAAGAGACAAATAATTTCAACTAATCCTCTGACTTTACTAGGTTCTACTTATGAGGAAGTCAAAATGATAGTACAGTGTGGAAGAATTCATGAACCAATAGACAACTTTCAAAAAATGTATGTCCCACCTAATCAGAATATCTATTTCAAGCCAATTATTTTTCCATTTAAACTCAATCAGAAAATGTATTTTGAGGTGATTGCTTTATCAGATTTCTACATTTTGCAAGCCAAATAATCATATAACCTCTAAGATGATATTATAAGTTCCATCTATCATGACCAGGACATTTGTTTTGCTTTCTAAGACCTAAGCAGACCATATAGCTGCTCTGGTTTCATGTTTGGGGGTATCCTCCTAACCTTTGTATGTCCTTTCTCTCTTTTTTCTCCAGGACTGCCCACCAGAAGCAGGTGATTTCCGAGCTCAGCAATGCTCAGCTCATAATGATGTCAAGCACCATGGCCAGTTTTATGAATGGCTTCCTGTGTCTAATGACCCTGACAACCCATGTTCACTCAAGTGCCAAGCCAAAGGAACAACCCTGGTTGTTGAACTAGCACCTAAGGTCTTAGATGGTACGCGTTGCTATACAGAATCTTTGGATATGTGCATCAGTGGTTTATGCCAAGTAAGTGCTGATTTGTTCTCATTCAACTTGTCCAGAGGGTTTCAATGTCTTTGTGTAAATGGTTTACATAGTCTCACTCTCTGAATCACTCATCTTTACACTTTTTAGAGTTTGTAAATGGTGAAAGATTTGAAAATTAAGGTATGATTTCAGTGAAAAGTACCAAGTGTTGTATTGTGCGAAGGAAAAGTAGACTAGAGTTATTTTTCTTTCCTTGAGTGTCACTTGAATATAAAAGAATAAAAATTTTTGAATAGTGTTTATCAATTATGTACTAGACTTTGAAATTATCCCCTGGATTGGCTATTCCTGAAGTGTGTGTTTGTGTTTGTGTGTGTGTGTGTGTGTGTGTATTTAGAGACTGGATTTTCATTGACTCAGTTTCAGAATAAATCAGGTAAGACCAATTCTAAAATCCCCAAGTAAACTGTAGGAAAACTTGCTACTTTACTATAATTTCCATTGTATTGAAAATTCAGACACACTGTAGAGAAAGTCATGGAAGAGCCAGCTAGGTTGGACTTAAGCCAGTTAAATCTTTAAAACAGGATTACAAAAAGGTTTGATTTCTGGTATCCATCCATTCATCAATGTCTACTCTAGGTAGGGAATTAGTAAGGTGAAAAAGGGTTTGTATGTTTGTCATGTCTTTGCCATCTTTATTTTCAGGTCCACTTTTTGGATTAGGATTACCAGTCTAGTTTTTGGAGCAAGCAGTTGCTATTGTTTTTCTGTGTGCTGTATTTGACTATATGCTTTTATATTTCATGAAGCAGACACAAAATTTTGAGAGTATTTGCCTTTTCCAACATGGTGTCAGCTGAAATTTTCTCTCTTCAGAATGTATAATATCACGGCTAGGAATGTAAGAGAAATATATGTTTTAGTAATTTGTTGTTTCAAATTTATTTTTTTAAAACTTACATCTATATTTGGATGTAAAGGCAAAAACTGTAGTGTAAATGACTATAAGAGATGTGAGATGTCAGGCAAGGTTTTATGCATGCAAGAGGGAAACAAACATAGTCAACCTTCCTAAAGTTTAAAATCATGAGGCAGAGAAACTGATGTCATATAGGAGTTTGTCACTGATGAAACATATCTTAAGGTTTCCTTATATACAAGAGATATATGAATTTCAGGTGTAAATTTGAATGTGGAATTTTACTATTTTAAAGCTAGAAAGGGCCTTAGAGTTATTCAATCAACATTCTAAAAAGCAATATATCTGAATAAATCATTTCTGATCTTTGCTATTTACTTCCTCCTCTAGGACTCTTAGTGGTAATGAAATGGAATTAGGGAATCTGAAAAATCTTTAGGAATAGTAGAGAATTGTAAAGCAAATAGATTTAGAAAGGGGACTGTGTTGTAGGGAATGGCAAACAAAAGAATAATAACTCCCTATGTATGTATACTGTTTGAGTAAAAGCAAGGAAGATTTCCATTTTAGAAGTGAAAAAACTGAGGACCAGAAAATATGCTTGATCTCCTGAAAGCTGTATGTTTGGTCATGCCAGAAATGGGACTAAATTCCACATCTCCTGAGATCCCATTCAATGTTATTGCTACTATATTACCCTGCTGAATGAACCAAAATAAACAAGACAGCTCAGCAAATTAGGTTTCATTTATTTCTTTTGCATGGGAGTTCAACGTGGCATATTTTTTCCTAAACTAATCCTGCCAGCAGGCCTCATGGTACCTTAGCAACTGAAAGAGAATCCTATCTCAGTTGCTAAGGAATAAATTTCATATATAATAAATATGGAGTGATAGTACTGGACTTTGGGTTACAAGTATAAACATGCTTTAACTTATATTCTTATGAGTATGACAGATTTGAGAGCAAATACGGTATAATTTGTAAATTATACCGTATTTGAAAAGCATTGTAACTTATACGTAGAAATAATGACTGGTTATTATTATTATTTTCTTCATTTATTTGTCTTGTTAGAGGCAATCATGTAGTAAAGGCGATGGAAAAACAAAGATTGCATTTAAGCACTAACAAGAAATTTAGTTTGGCTGGAGAGCCAGATAAGACCTAGCTATGCAGTAAGAATAGGGAGGTAGTTTGGGAGAGAAACATGGAGGCTTGAACGGCAGACAGGACTGTGGTAAACCATGGATGACCATAGTCTCACCTTGATAGAAAATGACAGCATAGCTATAGAAATTTGTCATTCATATGCACTAATTTATTTCAAGTATACCTGTTTAATACTCTTCAAAGAGCCACATTCTCAAGACTGGTTCTTTAACTCTTAAATAGAATCACAGAGTCCTGGACTTTTTAGAGCCAGAAGATAGCTTAGCAACTCACAGTTATTGCCGTTTCATAGAAGAGGAAACTGAGACCTGGAGACTGTCCTGAGATCACGAATAATTTGGGTGGCATGTGTTTGTTGTAAATTTCTTCAGGAAAGTTCTAGAATCATTGCTATTTATAATATATACCTAATTCTTACTCAGTAGTAATAGAGCATCATACGAGGTAGTAGTAGTAATGATAATAGCTTCCATTTTTGAGTGACTACCGTATCTAGGTACTTTATTTTTTTTTCAAATATTTACAGTTCTGCATGTTAGACATCATTATCCTTATTTCACAGATGAGGAAACTGGAGGCTCAGGTCGATTTTATATCTTGCCCAGAGACTCCCAGCTCTGTCTGAGTTCAAAACTCCTATTCTTTCCAGCGAGGCCAGGTATACAGAGGCGCAGACCATTTGGTAATGGTCCCCAGATTTGGCTGCCTATCAGAATCACCTGGAGAGCTCTTAAAAGACACAACTCTTAAGACCTGTCTTCCAGAAATTCAGATTTATTAATTCTATGTATTGAAAACACTTTTCTTATGATTCTATCATGGCCAGATTCACTTACAGATTGGAAAGCAGACAGAATTTAAAGTCAAAAGACATGAGTTGGGGCCAGGCACGGTGTCTCATGCCTGTAATCTGGGCATTTTGGTAGGCTGAGGAGGGCGGATCACTCGAGGTCCGGAGTTTGAGACCTGCCTGGCCAACACGGCGAAACCCTGTCTGTACTAAAAATACAAAAATTAGCCAGGCGTGATGGCAGGTGCTCGTATTCGCAGCTATTTGGGAGGCTGAGGCAGGACAATGGCTTAAACCTGGGAGGCAGAGGTTGCAGTGAGCCGAGATTGCACCACTGTACTCCAGCCTGGGTGACAGAGCAAGACTCCATCTCTAAATAAATAAATACAACATGAGTTTGAATCTAGCTCCTCTTTAACGAGCTGTGTAATCTTGGTCAAGATACGCAACGTCCCTAAGCTCCATTTTTCAATCTGTGGAAAATGAATTGTCTCCTAGACCATAGTGTACCAAAGTGAGAAAATATATGTGAAAATGTTTAATAAACTGTAAAGTGCTGTAGAAATGTAGAAGACTCTGAAAATTTTAAGTTGAAAAATATATTAAACTAGTGGTTCCCTGTATAAGATTTTATAACTGTAACGTTTCAAAAAACTTCCCAGGATGTGACAAGTAACAAACTTCTTAATTGGTTAGGTAATGACTTTAAAAAAAACAAAAAGAGACCTTCTACCATGTACTATCCCCATCATCATTTCACAATTGAAACGTTCATCACAAGGAAGTAGTAAGAACCCAGTTTCAGAATAAAGGACAATTCTTTGAACTGGAGATAGTTTGTCTTATGAGAAAGTTACTGCCCTTTACTTTTCTCTTTTTTTTTTTTTTTTCCAGAGCACAGAAATTGTCACTAATAGCACTTCACAGCCCAGCGTTTGAAAGCAGGGCCTTTGAGATGATCTAGTCCAGCCCCAGCAAATCATTGTATGATTTTCCCAGGATCCTATGGCTAGTTAATGACAGACTAGAAGGCAGAGAGTGCTGGTGTTTATCAACATTTTCTAATTATGCTCCTTACATTATTTCTTCAGTTTATCCCATGAGCTGAGATTTTGTCTAGCTGTAATTCTGTCATTAATATTATGAAAACAATAGGTTTAATGAATATACCTTTTCAAACCACATTCTCCCCCTTTCTCTCCCTCTCTCCCTCCTAGATTCTGACAATCATCCCCAGTGGGTGATTGTGTTATCCCTCTTCACCCTGCATCTCAGACTGAGAAACACTGGGATTCTTATTTGCTCACTATCATTCTAGACTAGATGAAGTTAGAGAGAAGGCTGAGCTAGGGAGGCAATTTGTCATTGTATGAATAGTTAAAGACAAGAGGCTCTGGAATCATACCATCTAGGTTGGAATCTAAGCTCCACCACTCATTGGCATGTGCCTTTGAGCAAGTTCCTAAGCCTCAGTTTTGTCATCTGCAAAATGAGGATAATAATTGTAAAAATAGGATTAGAAGGAAGATTAAGTAATCAAGTGCATTTAAAGTGCTTACTATGCCGCAATAAACATACGTGTGCATGTGTCTTTATAGCAGCATGATTTATAGTCATTTGGGTATATACCCAGTAATGGGATGGCTGGGTCAAATGGTATTTCTAGTTCTAGATCCCTGAGGAATCGCCACACTGACTTCCACAATGGTTGAACTAGTTTACAGTCCCACCAACAGTGTAAAAGTGTTCCTATTTCTCCACATCCTCTCCAGCACCTGTTGTTTCCTGACTTTTTAATGATTGCCATTCTAACTGGTGTGAGATGATATCTCATAGTGGTTTTGATTTGCATTTCTCTGATGGCCAGTGATGATGAGCATTTTTTCATGTGTTTTTTGGCTGCATAAATGTCTTCTTTTGAGAAGTGTCTGTTCATGTCATGTTGCGGCATTATTCACAATAGCAAAGACTTGGAACCAACCCAAATGTCCAACAATGATAGACTGGATTAAGAAAATGTGGCACATATACACCATGGAATACTATGCAGCCGTAAAAAATGATGAGTTCATGTCCTTTGTAGGGACATGGATGAAATTGGAAACCATCATTCTCAGTAAACTATCGCAAGAACAAAAAACCAAACGCCGCATATTCTCACTCATAGGTGGGAATTGAACAATGAGATCACATGGACACAGGAAGGGGAATATCACACGCTGGGGACTGTGGTGGGGAGGGGGGAGGGGGGAGGGATAGCATTGGGAGATATACCTAATGCTAGATGACGAGTTAGTGGGTGCAGCACACCAGCATGGCACATGTATACATATGTAACTAACCTGCACAATGTGCACATGTACCCTAAAACTTAAAGTATAATTAAAAAATAAATAAATAAAAAAAATAAAGTGCTTACTATGAGCTTGATAAATACTACTTGTATTAATTGTACCCAAGTTATGTCTTATCTTTTTCTTTTTCTTCCTTAGAGCCTTTCTGAGTACATGATTTAATATGGGTACACATACGAAAGGGGCACTGACTTCCCAATGAATGAGCAGACCTTCTGTTAATTTCCTATTGCAGTCATCTTTTGCAGATAGCTCCACATTGTACAATTATCAACTCCTGATCCAGGGCAGTGAATTGCATCCTGTACAGAGTTAATGAGCCATCACAAATAGGATCAGTTCTATTAGTACTGCTGTTATTCATTTATTTTCATTATCCAAATTACCCCTATTTATATTTGTTGTAAAGCACAAAGCCGGTTTCTGTTTTAAATATATTTTTTAAAAGAGTAGCATAAATGTATGGACAGAACATGTGCTGCTGTTAAAAATAATTTTGAGGTTATTTTGAAAGCAAATAGAGAAAAGTATGTTTTATTTTTGTAATTAATAGAATTCATCAGATGATACCTGATATATGTCAAAAGAAAAAGTATGATTATAAACAAGCCTTTTATCATGAATCTGCATATTTATAATATTGCTTATTGCTATTTCAAAAAATTAAGCATTTCAAAAAGGGAAAGAAGAATTCCTTTCAAGTAATGCCTTATATAATATTGTTTTAAAATGAATAATACAGTACAGAAATAAGCAATAAAATGAATCACAGAGTTTTGATGTCTTTATTCTGGCAACATCAAAATGAACCATATTTCTAACAAAGAAATTCTTTTCATTTTTAATAATTCCTGTGGTGAGTAGTTTGAAATGAATTGAATAGAATGATTATTTCTCCATCTCTGTCTGTGACCTAAGTCACTAGTATCAAATGTCCACCAGTTATTCCAAAGGTGATGATGTCAGAAATAAGGCGTTGGACATTTTTTCTTCTGTACTTTATAATCTAATTCCACATGGAAGCATGGTTTTTCTTAAAATATTTAATGCATAGTCTTTCTTATTCTGCTCTTTTCATAGCATAGTAAAGATAAAACTAACTACTACTTACTAGTTGAATTTCCTTAGTTTCTGAATCTTGTTTATGCATTCTTCCAACAATCTGCTGTATGTTGATTATTGAGGATATAAAATTGATTAAGATCTCTTTCCATAGGAGTGATACATTTTTAGAGTTATTGTGAAAAACTTTTAAAAATATATTTGTCTAACAAATTTTACTTAGGAATTAACAGTATGCTAAATACTGAAAATACATTAATGGACAAGAAGGATAGTCCCTGCCCTTCCAGAATTTTCACTGTGAGAGGAGATAAGTAAATATGAAAGTGTACTATAGTCACTATACTATACTGCCCTCACTGTAAATGGGGACCTCTTGCTAAAATACAGATTTGGTTTCATTTATCATCTGCTTGAATCATTTCAATTGCATTTTTTTTTTGCCTTCAGGTTAAAAAAATCCCAAATTCCTTTACATGGTGGCTTAAAACAACAGAAATTTATTCTCCCACAGTTCATGAGGCCAGAATTCAAAAATCAAAGTGTCATCAGAACCATGCTTTCTCTGAGGCTCTGGGTGGAATCCTTTGCCTCTTTTGCCTCTTCCTAACTTCTAATAGTAGCCATCAATCTTTACTATTTCTTAACTTGCAGCTGCATCACTCTAATCTCTGCCTCTGTTATCAAATGGCATTCTACCCTCTGTGTCTGTGTCTTCACCTCTTCTTATAAGGACAGCAATCATATTAAATTGAGCCCACCCTAACGGATTATGAATTCATCTCAATTTGGTTACATCTGCAAAGATTCTATTTCCTAAAAAGGTCACATTTATAGGCATCAGAGGTTTTGACTTTAGCTTATCTTTTGGGGGAGACACAATTCAACCCATGACAGCCAGCTGTCTGGCTCCCAAATTTACATCCTTCACATGTGACAAATATTCACCTGATCCCAATATCCCAAAAGTTTTAACCCATTTCAGAGTCAACTGTAACTCTAAAATATTATCAACTCAGAAAGTTCCAAATTCTATCAGCTGAATCAGCTATGGGTGAGACTTGGATATAGTGCATCCTGGGACATCATTTGTCTCCATCTGTGCACATTTGAAACCAAAAATAAGTTATCTGCTTCCAAAATACAATGGTGGGACAAGCAGAAGCAGATTCCCATTCCCACTCAAAAAGGGAAAAACACCAAAGAAAAAGGGATCATAGGTCCTAAGCATGTCTGATACCGAGCAGGAAAAAAATCCACTAGATTTCAAGGCCTGAGAATAATCCTTGTGGCTCAGTGCTTCAATCTATGTGCCTGCCAAGGAGGCAGCCCTTCCCTCTCAGCTCAAGGAGGTAGAGTCAGCCCAGGCTTCTGCATCTGTGCCTCAGACCTAAGAGTCATTCTTCTTTCACTTTGTCCCATCTCTGAGACATTTATTCTAGGCTGTCAGTATTTCTGCTGGTATGAAATTCTCAGAAATCACGTCAGTCTTTCTTGCAATTAACAGGTATCCAAGCCATCAAACAAGGGGGTCCTCTACAGTTCTTTTCTGAATAACTGCATCTCTATTCCTGGCTTCTGCTAAGATGTTTGAGGGATTCATGGGTCACATGCCTAATTTCTTTAGCAAATGGTTATCTAGCCATAACCTTGGCCCTGTTACCAGAGCACACTACCTAAATAAGCTGAAAATGTTTCAAATAATCAAATGCTAGTACCTTTTTGTTTAACAGTTCATCTCTCAGTTTATCTCTTGGCTCTCACATTTTACTATAAGTACCAAGGAGAAACCAGGCTGTAGTCATCCATACTGTGTTTGGAAGTCTACTCAGCTAAGTACGTAAGTTTATTGTTTGATATGGTTTGGCTGTGTTCTGACCCAAATCTCACCTTGAACTGGAACTCCTGCAATTCCCACATGTTGTGGGAGGAACCCGGTGGGAGGCGATTGAATTATGAGAGCAGATCTTTCCTGGTCTCTTCTCATGATAGTGAATGAGTCTCATGAGATCTGATGGTTTTGAAAAGGGAAGTTTCAGGCTGGGTGCAGTGGCTCACACCTGTAATCCCAGCACTTTGGGAGGCTGAGGTGGGTGGATCATGAGGTCAGGAGATTGAGACCATCCTGGCTAACATGGTGAAACCCCATCTCTACTTAAAAATACAAAATATTAGCCAGGTGTGGTAGAGGGCACCTGTAGTCCCAGCTTCTCTGGAGGCTGAAGCAGGAGAATTGCTTGAACCAGGGAGGCGGAGGTTGCAGTGAGCCAAGATTGCACCACTGCACTCCAGCCTGGGCGACACAACGAGACTCCATCTCAAAATAAAATAAAATAAATAAAATAAAATAAAATAAAATAAAAATAAAATAAAATAAAATAAAAAGGGGAGTTTCCCTGCACAAGCTCTCTTCTGTTGTCTGCTGCCATGTGAGACATGGCTATCACCTTCTGCAATGATTGTGAGGCTGCCCCAGCCACATGAAACTGTAAGTCTAATAAACCTCTTTCTTTTGTAAATTGCTCGGTCTTGGGTATGTTTATAAGCAGCGTGAAAATGGGCTAATACAGTAAATTGGTACCAGTAGAGGAGGGTGCTGCTGAAAAGATACCTGAAAATATGGAAGCAACTTTGGAACTGGGTAACAGGCAGGAGGAAAAAGTGGTTTCGTGGGCCGGGCCCAGGATCCCCATGCTGTGTGCACCCTAGGGACTTGGTGCCCTGCATCCCAGCTGCTCCAGCCATGGCTGAAAGGGGTCAAGGTAGGGCTCGGGCCGTAGCTTCAGAGGGTGCAAGCCCCATACCTTAGCAGCTTCCATGTGGTGTTGAGCCTGTGAGTGCACAGAAGTCAAGAATTAAGGTTTGGGAACCTCCACCTAGATTTCAGAAGATGTATGGAAATACCTGAATGCCCAGTCAGAAGTTTGCCACAGGGGTGGGGCTGTCATGGAGAACCTCTGCTAGGGCAGTGCAGAAGGGAAATGTGAGGTCGGAGCCTCCACACAGAGTGCCTACTGGAACACCACCTAGGAAAGCTGTGAGACAAGGGCCACCATCCTCCAGACGCAGAATGGTAGATCCACTGACAGCTTGCACTGTGTGCCTGGATAAGCTGCAGTCACTCAACACCAGCCAGTAAAAGCAGCCGGGAAGGAGGCTGTGCCCTGCAGAGCCACCAGGACGGAGCTACCCAAGACCGTGGGGACCCACCTCTTGCATCAGAGTGATCCAGATATGAGACAGGAGTCAAAGGAAATCACTTTGGGGCTTTAAGATTTGACTCCCCTGGTGGATTTTGGACTTGAGTAGGGCCTGTAGTCCCTTTGTTTTGGCCAATTTCTCCCATTTGGAATGGCTGTATTTACCAAATGCCTGTATCCCCATTGTGTCCGGAAATAACTAACGTGCTTTTGATTTTACAGGCTCATAGGCGGAAGGGACTTGCTTTGTCTCAGATGAGACGATGGACTGTGGGCTTTTGAGTTAATGCTGAAATGAGTTAAGACTTTGGGGGACTGTTGAGAAGGATGATTGTAATTTGCAATATGAGAAGGGGATGAGGTTTGGGAGGGGCTAGAGTGGAATGATGTGTTTTGGCTGTGTCCCCACCCTAATCTTACCTTGAATTGTAACTCCCACAATTCCCACGTGTTGTGGGAGGATCCCATTGGGAGGTGATTGAATTATGGGTGCAGGTCTTTCCTGCGCTGTTCTCGTGGTAGTGAATGAGTCTCACGATATCTGATGGTTTTAAAAAGAGGAGTTTCTCTGCACAAGCTCTCTTCTTTTGTCTGCCACCATGTGAGATGTCCCTGTCACCTTCTGCCATGATTGTGAGGCCCCCCCCAGCCACATGGAACTGTAAGTCCAATAAACCTCTTTCTTTTGTAAATTGCTCAGTCTCAGGTATGTCTTTATCAGCAGCATGGAAACAGACTAATACATCGCTGAAAGTTCTACTTTCCACTCAATGGCAGAAAATGACACAGCCAAGTTCTCTGCCACTGTATAACAGGACTCATCTTTCTTCCAGTATCCAATTAAATGTTCATCATCTCTTTCTAAGGCCTCACCAGAGTTACCTTTAACATCTATGATAATTAATTTTAGGTGTCAACTTGACCAGATTTAGGGATGCCTAGATAGCTGCTGAAGCATTGTTACCAGGTGTGTCTGTGAGGGTATTTTTGGAGGAGATTGCCTTGTGAATCAGTGGACTGAGTTGGGAAAATTTACTCAGTATTGGTGGGCACCATCCAATTGACTAGGGGCCTGAAAGAAAAAAAAGATGGATCCATGGATGATGTAGCAAGAAGGTCCTCACCAAATGCCGGCACCTGGATCATGAATTTCCCAGTCTCCAGAATTGTGAGGAAATAAATTTCCATTTATTATAACTTACTCAGTCTCAGGTATTTTGTTATAACAGCACAAATATACTTTGGTAACATCTATATTTCTATCAACTGTCTCTTCGATCTAGGTTTTTTTCTATGAAGCACCTCAAAATTCATCCAAGCTCTACCCATTATCCAATTCCAAAGCCGGAAAGTGACACTTCATAGAAATTCATTTATTTCGTAATATTTTATTTTTGTCACCGTAGCTGGGTCTTTTGTGTATTCAAGTATTATTTTTATTCATGGAAGGGATTCTTCTGATATATTAACATTGTTTTCCATCTTGCTATTCCATTTATGAAGTGAAAGAGTTTCTATGGCTTAATAAAAAAACTTTTTGGAAAGTTCTATCTGTTTAATTTTTCCTTTGAAATTAAGTGTAAGCTTCACAAAAATTGATGAGTTTGTTTTCCCAAAGAGATTCAGTGAAGTAAACAAGGCAGAGCAAATCTAAAATAGAAAACATTTTCAAATTTTATTATTTTTAGTGATGTATAGTTTTTTTAATATACTCATGCCCATCATTATGTGCTTCTTCTGCCAATTCTGTGGGATAACTTTATTTCCATTTTATAAATGAGGAAATTGAGGCTCATAGAAAGTCATACAACTGGAAAAAGGCAAAGTACACTTCAAATTATATTATTTCTATTATATGACACCCTTTTCTGTGAGACCAGCACCATCCTGATACCAAAACCTGGCAGAGAGAGACACAACAAAAAAAGAAAACTTCAGATCAATATCCTTGATGAATATTGATGCAAAGATCCTCAACAAAATACTGGCAAACCCAATTTAGCATCACTTCAAAAAGCTAATTTAGCATGAGCAACTAGGCTTTATCCCAGAGATGCAAGGTTGATTCAATGTATGCAAGTCAATAAATGTTATTCATCACATAAATAGAACTAAAGACAATAGTCCCAGATGCAGGAAAATACTTTTTATAAAATTCAACATCTCTTCTTGTTAAAAATTTAATAAACTAGATATTGAAGGAAAATACCCTAAAACAATAAGAGTCATCTATGACAAGCCCACAGCCAACATTATACTGAATGAGCAAAAGCCAGAAAATTCCCTTTTAAAACCAACACAAGACAAAGATGCCTTCTCTCACCACTCCTATTCAACATCATATTGGAAGTGCTGGCCAGAGCAATCAGGCAAGAGAAAAAGATAAAAAGCATCCAAATAGGAAGAAAGGAAGTCACACTATCTCTGTTTGCAGACAACATGATTCTCTGTCTAGAAAACCACATGGGCTCAACCCAAAAGCTCCTTAAACCAATAAACAACTTCAGCAAAGTCTCAGGATATAAAATCATTGTACAAAAATCATTAGCATTCCTGTACACCAACAACAGCCAAGCTGAAAGCCAAATCAGGAATGCAATTCCATTTATAATTCCCACAAAAAGAATAAAATATCTAAGAATACAGCTAATCAATTAGAGAGGTGAGAACTTTCTACAATAATAATTACAAACCATTGCTCAAAAAAATCAGAGATAACACAAACAAATGAAAAAACATTCCATGCTCATGGATAGGAAGAATCAGTATCATTGAAATAGCCATACTGCCTAAAGCAATTTACAGATTCAATGTTATTCCTATCAAACTACCAATGACATTCTTCACAGAACTAGAAAAAAAACTATTTTAAAATTCATATGGAATTTTAAAAAGAGCCCCATAGTCAAGGCAATCCTAGACAAAAAGAACAAAACTGAATGCATCACATTACCTGACTTCAAACTATAGTACAGGACTACAGTGACCAAAACAGCATGGTACTGGTTCAAGAACAGACACATAGACCAATGGAACAGAATAGAGAGCCCAGAAATAAGGCCACACACCTATGACCGTCTGATCTTTGACAAAGATGACAAACACAACCAATGAGGAAAGGACTCCCTATTCAATAAATGGTGCTGGGATAACTGGCTAGCCATATGCAGAAGACTGGAACTGGACCCCTTCCTTATATCATAGACAAAAATTAACTCAAGTAGATTAAAGACTTAAATGTAAAACTAAATACTATTAAAAAAAAACTGTGGAAGACAACGTAGGCAATACCATTCTGGACATAGGAACTGGCAAATATTTCGTGGCAAAGATGCCGAAAGCAATTCAACAAAAGCAAACATTGACAAATGAAATCTAATTAAACTAAAGAGCTTCTGCACAGCAAAAGAAACTATCAACAGAGTAAACAGATAACCCTACAGAATGGGTGAAAATATTTGCAAACTATGCAACTGACAAACGTCTATTATCCAGCATGTATAAGGAACTTAAACAAGTTTATAAAACAAACCACCCCAAGAAACCCCATTAAAAAGTGAGTAAAGGGCATGAACAGGCACATTTCAAAAGATGACATACATGCAGCCAACAAGCATATAAAAAAAGCTCAATATCATTGATCATTAGAGAAATACAAATCAAAACCACAGTGAGATACATGGTATACAAGGTGTGAAGACCAAATCAGAGTTACTGGGGTATCTATCACCTCAAACATTTACCTTTTCTTTGTATGGGGAGCATTACAATTCTTCTTTTCTAGCTATTTGGAAATATACAATAACTTATTGTCACTATAATTTTCCCCACTGTACTGTCAAATACCAGAACTTATTCCTTCTATCTGTGTTTGTATACTCAGTAACCAACTTCTCTTTATTGTTCCCCTCCTGCTTCCCTTACCAGCCTCTGGTAAATACCATACTGCTTTCTATCTCAAACAGATCCACTTTTTAGCTCCCACATATGAGTGAGAACATGCAATATTTGTCTTTCTGTGCCTGGTTTATTTCACTTAATGACCTCCAGTTCCATCCATATTGCTGCAAATGACAGGATTTCATTTTTTATGACTGAATAATATTCCATTGTGTATATATACCATGTGTCATAACCATTTATTAATTGATGAACACTTAGGTTGATTATATATCTTGACTTGTGAATAGTGCTGGAATAAACATGGGAATGCAGGTATCTCTTTGATGTAGTGATTTCCTTTCATTTGGATATATAACCAGTAGTGAGGTTGCTGGATCATATAGTAGTTCTAGTTTTAGTTTTTTGAGGATCCTCCATACTGTTTTCTATAATGAGTGTACTACTTCACATTCCCACCAACAGTGTGCAAGTGTTTCTCTTACTTTGCATCCTCACCAGCATTTGCTATTTTTGTCCTTTTAATAATAGCCACTCTGAGGCGAAATGATACATTATTGTGGTTTTGATTCGCATTTCCCTGATGATTTGTAATGTTGAGCATTTTTTTACATGCCTGTCAGCTCTTTGTGTGTCTTCCTTCAACAAATATCTATTCAGGTCTTTTGTCCATTTTTTATCAGAAATTTTTTTTCTTTGCTCTTGAGTTGAGCTCCTTATATACTCTGGTTATTAACTCCTTGCCAGATGGATAGTTTGCAAATCTTTTCTCCCGTTCTGTAAGTTGGCTTTTCCCTTTTTGTTTTCTTTGCTGTGCAGAAGTTTTTAGCTTAATGTAATCTATGTGTCTGTTTTTGCTTTTGTTTTCTGTGCTTTTGAGATCTTATCCAAAAAATCTTTGCCCAGATCCTTGTTGTGGAGCATTTCCCTAATCTTTTCTTCTAGTAATTTTACAATTTCAAGTCTTACATTTAAGTCTTTAATCAATATTGGGTTAATTTTATATTTACTAAAAAATGGGGCTCTAATTTTATTCTTCTGCATATTGATATCCAGTTTTCCCAGAACCACTTATTGAAGAGACTATTCCTTCCCCAGTGCATATTCTTGGGATCTTTGTTGAAAATGGGTTGGCTGTTGGTGCATGGATTTATTTCTGGGTTCTCTATTCTGTTCCATTGGTGTATCTGTCTGTTTTTATGCCAGTACCATGCTGTTGGGGTTACTATAGCTTTGTGCCATATATATACATATACATATATATATATATATATACATATATATACACATTTTTTTTTTGAGACAGAGTCTCACTCTGTCACCCAGGCTGTAGTGTAGTGGTGCAATCTTGGATCACTGCAACCTCCACCCCTTAGTATCTGGGATTACAGGTGTCCACTACCATGACTGGCTAATTTTTGTATTTTTAGTAGAGATGGGGTTTTGCCATGTTGGCCAGGCTGGCCTCGAACTCCTGACCTCAGGTGATCTGCCCACCTTGGCCTCCCAAAGTGCTGGGATTACAGGCATGAGTTGCCACACCTGGTCTTGTTAACAATATTAATTCTTCTAATCCATCAACATGGAATAGCTTTCCATTTTTTTGGTGGCCTCTTCAATTTCTGTCATCAATGTTTTAGTTTTACTTATACAGATCTCTCACTTCTTTGGTTAAATTTATTCTAAGGTATTTTTTCTTTAGTAGCTATTTTAAATGGGATTGCTTTCTTGATTTATTTTTCAAATTGATCACTGTTAATATATAAAAACACTATGGATTTTTGTATGTTGATTTTGCATCCTGTGATTTTATTAAATTTGTTCACAAGTTATAAGAGTTTTGGGGGAAAATTCTGGGGTTTTTCTAACTATAAGATTATGTCATCTGCAAACAAGGATAATTTGACTTCTTCCTTTACAATTTAGATGCCCTTAATTTTTTTCTTTTGACTAATTGCTCTGGCTAAGATTTCCAGTACTGTTTAATAAAAGTGATGAAACTGAGCATCCTTGTCTCATTTCAGGTTTTAGTGGAAAGGCTTTCAGTTTTTTCTGTTCAGTATGTTAGCTGTGTGCTTGTCATTTATGACCTTTGTCATGTAGAGGTAATTTCCTTCTATACCCAATTTGTTGAGGGTTTTTGTCATCTACAGATGTTGAATTTTATGAAATGTCTTTTCAGCGTCTATTGAAATGATCATATCATTTTCATTCTTGATTTTGTTCATGTACTGTATCATTATTAATTTGTAAATGTTGATCATCCTTGCATCCCTGGAATTATTCCCTCTTAATCATGGTGAATGGTCTTTTTAATGTATTGTTGAATTCTGTTTGCTAGTATTTTGTGGAGTATTTTTCCACATACGTTCATGAAGGAGCTTGGCCTGTAGTTTTCTTTTTGGTTATGTCTTTGTCTGGTTTTGGTATTAGGGTAATGTTGGCCTCATTGGATAAGTTTGAAAGTTTTCTCTCCTCTTTGATTGTTTTTTTAAATGTTTGGTAGAATTCAGCAGTGAAGTCATTGGGTCCTGGGTGTGACTTTGATGGAAGACCATTTATTACTTGTTTGATCTCTTTATTCATCATTGATCTGTTCAGTTTTCTGTTTTCTCCTGATATGTTGAATGTGTCAAGGAGTTTATCCATTTCTAGGTTTTCCAATTTATTGGTATATAATTGTTTATAATAGTCTAATGATCACTTATATTTCTATGGTGTCACCTGTAATGTTTCCTTTTTCATCTCTGATTTTAATTATTTGAGTCTTCTCTATTTTTTTCTTTGTTAGCCTAACTAATGGTTTGTTGATGTTGTTTATCTTTTCAAAAACTCAACTTTTCGTTTTGTTGACCTTTTGTATTAGTTTTTAGTCTCAATTTCATTTATTTCTGCTCACATCTTCAGTATTTATTTTCTGCTACTAATTTAGGGTTTAGTTTGTTCTTTTTTTTCTAATTCCTTGAGATGCATCATTAGGTTGTTTATTTAGATTATTTATATTGTTTTGATATAAGCATTTATTGCTATAAATGTCCATCTTAGTATCACTCTTCCTGTATCCCATAGTTTTTGGTACATTGTACTTCCGTTTTCATGTTTCTCAAGAATTTTTAAAAATTCCTTCTTTATGTATTGACTCAGTAAGCATTCAGGAGCATATTTAATTTCCATGTATTTGTATAGTTTCCAAAGTTCGTCTATATTTGTATAGTTTTGAAAGTTATTGATTTCTAGTTTTATTTCATTGTGGTCAAAAAAGATACTTGATATAATTTGAATAATTTTGAATTTTTTAAGATTTGTTGTGTGTCCTAATATATGGCTTATTCTGGAAAATGTTCCATGTGTTGATAGGAAAAGTATGTATTCTGTAGCAGTTGGATGAAATATTCTGTAAATGTCTGTTACACCATTTGGTCTAGAATATAGTTTAACCCTGATGCTTTTTTGTTAAATTTCTGTCTGGATGATCTGTCCATTGCTAAAAGTGGGGTGCCCTACTATTTTTGTATTGCCATCTATCTCTCCTTTTAGATCTGTTAAAATTTGCTTTATATATTTGGATGTGCTAGTGTTGGGTGCATATATATTTACTATTGTTACATCCTCTTGCTGAATTAACTCTTTTATCATTATATAATGACCTTTGTCTCTTTTTACAGTTTTTGACTTAAAGTCTCTTTTATATGATGTAAGTTGAGCTACTTCTGCTCTTTTTTGGTTTCTATTTGCATGGAGTATCTTTTCCCATCCCTTCACTTTCAGTTTGTGTGCCCTTATAGGTGAAGTGAGCTTCTTGTTTACAGCGTATAGTTGGGCCTTATTATTTATTCCATTCAGCCACTCTTTATCTTTTAATTGAAGAATTTAGCCCATTTACATTTAATGTTATTATCGATAAGTAAGGACTTCTTATTGCCATTTGGTTAGTTGTTTTCTTGTGATTTTGTAACCTCTCTCTTCCTTTTTTACTGTCTTTCTTTGTGCCTAAGTGATTTTTCTCTAATATTAGGTTGGTGCAAAAGTTATTGTGGTTTTGGACCATAAATTTTAAATCACTGTAACTAGGCTCAAACACATCTTTATTAACCAGAATAGGAGCCATTACAATCAGTACATTTTGGCCAATGAGAAATAAGTTTGTTTATTCCTGTAGCATAAAAATTCATGCTTCAGGATTTGACTAACTCTTGGAAAGCATTTTCTGCATCCTGCTGGTTGTGGAGGCATTTTCCCTGCAAAAAGTTATCGAGATGCTTGAAGAAGTGGTAAGCAGTTGGCAAGAGTTCAGGTGAGTATGGCAGATGAGGCAAAACTTATAGCCCAATTCATTGACTTTTGAAGTGTTGGTTGTGCAATATGCAGTCAGGCATTGTCATGAAGAAAAATTGGGCCCTTTCTGTTAACCAATGCCGGCTGCAGGTGTTGCAGTTTTCAGTGCATCTCATTGATTTGCTAAGCATACTTCTTTGAGATAATGGTTTCACCAGGATTCAGAAAGCTGTAGTGGATCAGATTGGCAGCAAAACACCAGACAGTGAGCATGACCTTTTTTTTTGGTGCAAGTTTGGTTTTGGGGAGTGCTTTGGATCATCTCTTGGTCAAACCACTGAGCTGTTCTTCATTGC
Source organism: Homo sapiens (assembly GCF_000001405.40). Lineage (NCBI taxonomy): Eukaryota > Metazoa > Chordata > Mammalia > Primates > Hominidae > Homo > Homo sapiens. The sequence goes on from NC_000009.12 coordinate 18,592,260, forward strand.
TTGTCATATAAAATCCATTTTTCATCACACATCACAATCCAATCAAGAAATGGTTCCTTGTTGTCGCACAGAATAAGAGAAGATGACATTTCAAAATTATGATATTTTTTCTGATCAGCTCATGAGGTACCCACTTATCAAGCTTTATCATCTTTCCAATTTGCTTCAAATGCTGAATGTCCACAGATTGGTTGCCATTGAGTTATTTTGCAACTTCTCATGTAGTTGTAAGAGGATCAGCTTCGATGATTGCTCTCAGTTGGTTGTTGTCAACTTTCGATGGCCGACCATTATGCTCCTCATCTTCAAGCCTCCTTGACTCCTTTGCAAAACTTCTCAGTACCATGCTATTTTCGTTACTATATCTCTGTAGTAAAATTTGAAGTCAGATAATGTGATTCCTCAGTTTTGTTCTTTTTGCTCAGGATAGCTTTGGCTATTCTGGGTCTTTTGTGGTTCCATGTACATCTTAGGATTGTTTTTTCTATTTCTGTGAAGAATGTCTTTGGTATTTTGACAGAGATTGCAATGAATCTGTAGATTGTTTTGAATAGTATAGACATTTTAACAATATTGATTCTTCCAATCCATGAACATGGAATCTTTTTTCATTTTTTGGTGTACTGTTCAGTTTCTTTCATCAGTGTTTTACAGTTTTCATCATAGAGATATTTCACTTCTCTGGTTAATACCTAGGTATTTTATTTTATTTGTAGCTATTGTAAATGAGATTACTTTCTTGATATCTTTTTCAGATTGTTCATTTTTGGCATATAGAAATGCTGCTGATTTTTATACATTAATTTTGTATCTGGCAACTTTGCTGAATTTGTTTAACAGTTCTAATAGTTTTCTTGTGGGTCTTTAGGTTTTTCCAAATATAAGATTATATAATCTGCAAACAAGGATAATTTGACTTCTTTCTTTCCAATTTGGAAACCCTTTATTTCTTGCAGCAGTTTGATTTCTCTAGCTAGGACTTCCAGTAGTATGTTAAATAACATGTTGGAAGTGGACATCCTTGTTGTGTTTCATATATTAAAGGAAAGCTTTCAGTTTTTCCCCATTCAATTTTATTTGTCTTCTCTAAGAAACTATTTTTGTTTCCTTGATCTTTTATATTGTTTTCCTCATTTCAATTTCATTTATTTCTGCTCTGATCTTTATTTTTTTACATCTACTAATTTGTGTTTGGTTTGCTCTTATTTTTCTAGTTCTTTAAGATGTACTGTTAAATTGTTTATTTGAAATTTTTCCTCTTTTTTGATGTAGGTGCTTATAGGTATAAACTTCCCTCTTAGTACTGCTTATACTGTATCCCATATATTTTGTTATGTCATGTTTTCATTATCTATAATTTGTTTCAAGAGGTTTTTCAATTTTCTTCTTAATGTATTCATTCACCCACTGGTCATTCAGGAGCATATTGTTTAATTTCCATGTGTTTGTATAGTTTCCAAAATTCCTCTTGTTATTAATTTCTAGTTTTATTCCATTGTGTTCAGAGAAGATGCTTAATATTATTTCAGGTTTTTTTTTAATGTTATGAGATTTGTTTTGTTACCTAACATATGGGCTGTCCTTGAGAATGATCCATGTGCTAAGGAAATTATGTGTATTCTGCAGCCACTGAATGAAATGTTCTATAAATATCTATTAGATCCATTTTGTCTTTAGTACAGATTAAGTCCAGTGTTTCTTTGTAGATTTTCTTTTTACCATTTCTTGTAGATGGTTTTGTTTGGTAATGATAAATTCCCTCTGTGTTTTTTGTTTTTTTGTTGTTTTGAGTTTTGAGGGTTGTCCTTTTGGTTTATTTTTAGTCTGGAAAAGTCTTTAGTTCTCTTTCATTTCTGAAGGATATTTTTACAGGGTACAATCTTTTTGTTGACATTTTTTTTTCCTTCAGCGTTCTGAGCGTATTTTCCCACTCCTTCCTGGCCTGTAGGGTTTCTAAGAAGTCTCCTTCCAGTTGTATTTGATCTCCTTTATAAGTTATTTACTTCTTTTCTCTTTCTGCTTTCAGGATTCTTTTCTTTTACCTTTGTGAATTTAATTATATCTGATTGGTGACTTTTGACTTTCCTGTATCTGGATACTTATAACTGTCTTCAGATTTGGACATTTTTCTGTTACTACTTTTTTGAATATTGTCTCTACACCTTTCTTTCTCAGTTCCCTCTTTAACACCAGTAACTCAAATATTTGCTTTTTGATGTCCTGTAGATCCCATAAACTTTGTTCATTCCTTTTCATTCTTTCTTTTCTGACTGTATATTTTCAAAGAGTCTGTCTTCAAGTGCACTGATTGTTTCTTCTGTTTGATTAATCCAGCTGTTTATGCTCTCTCTTACATTTTTCACTTTATTCATTATATGTTTCAGCTCCAAGGTTGATTTTTAAAAATTATTTTAATTTCTCTATTTAATTTCTCTGATAAATTTTTGAATGAACTCTCTGTCTCTTGAATTTCACTGATCATCCTTAAAACAGCTATTTTGAGTTATTTGTCTGAGAGGTCACACCTCTCCATCCCTTTAGGGTTGATCTCTGGCGTCTTGTCTGTTTGGTGCAGCCATATTTTCCTGAATGTTCTTGGTGCTTGTGAAAGAGCAACAATGTCTGTGCATTGAGGAATTAGGTAATTATTTTATTCTTCAAAGGGTGGTTTTCTTTGTGCTTGTCCTTCTTCAGAGGGCCTTCCAGGGATTCTAAGCTGACTGACTATGGTGTTCCCTGAGTCATTCACAGGTGAAGATGTCTCAGCACTAGAGGATGTTCCAAGCCCTATCTTGCCCACAAGTCTCACAAATGCTCAGAAGTTGATGTGGCCATCTGTCCCAGATGGATCTGGGGAAGATCCAAGGAGAGTAATAGGGCTATGTGGGAATGCTGGCCAAGGAACTGAGTGCAGAAGACTATCCTTTTGGCCCAAGAGAGGGATCCTTGCCTGTAGGCCTCTGCCCAGGTAGGATGGGTCCCTTACTGCAGTGAAAGGGGCTGGAGTTGAGATTGAGCATTTGGGGATCTTCTGTGAGAAGGAGGCTGGTGGTCTGTCTTATTGGATCAGATGGACATGCATCACCCAGCAGGTCCCTGCACAGACGGGAGAGTTCCTCAACTGCAGCAGGAGAGGCTGGAGCTGAGACTGGGCCCCCTTGAGATCTGCTATGGGATAGAGGCTGGAGAGCCTGGTCTTAGCTCAGAAAAGTAAGTTCCTGCACAGGTAGGATGGTTCTCCTACTGCAGTGAAAGGGCCAGGGCTGAGACTGGACTTCTTGGAATCTGCTTTGGGACAGAAGTAGATGAGCCTGTCAGGGAGGCTCAGACTGCCAGGCTTGACGTATGGACAAGTCTCCCTCTAAGCTGGGATCTTAGCTGAGGAAGGCTGGAATAGTGCCCCAGGGCAAATTTCGGGTCCACTGCCAAGGCCAATGTCAGCAAGCTGATGAGCCTTTCTACCAAGGCAGTAGTGTACACAGTTCTTTCTGGACCCCTTGGCAGATGATTTTGGTTGTAGGCTTAAGGCCAAATGCGGCTGTAGCCAAGCCCCTTCAGGGACTGGGCTGTTTCTGGGCTTGAACCCAGAAGCAAGTTTGGCAGAGCAGATCTGTCAGCTGGGTATTGGTCTGCACTCTCAAAATGACCCTCCTAGGTCATGGGCTCTGCTAGGCTTTCACAGACTCCTATCTGAATTCCAAGGCTCAAACAGAGAGACTTTTTACTGTGGATAGGTGCAGAATTGTTGTTGTGGGGGAATATGAGCAGGTTACCTCCTATTCTGCTATCTTGGTGACATCATCCCCACAGAAGACAGTTTTGAAACTGAAAGGGAATTTGAAATTTTGTAGTTTAATATTTCCATTTACATTTAAGATATCTGAAGCCTAAGTGGGTTCAATCAATTTTTAAAAAAGTTCTGCCGTGTGGGTCTGAATTAGGTTCAATGGGGACATGAACGTAAGTGTTATACCATCATGTCTTTAAGAAGCTTATAATTGTGTAGTGATGAGATTCAAACAAAAATAACTATAATCAGCAGTACGTGGTGTGGGCTTTAATTTTGTATCCAATCAGATACAAATTTGAAGTCCAGCTTCTGATCTTACTATCTGTGTGATCATGGACTAATTTACTAGGTTCTTTTAGCTTCAATTTTTTCATCTGTACAAACAGAGGTAACAATATCTAATTTTAATGAAAGCCAATATTTATTTATTTATTGGGCACTGAGCACTGACATGGTGCCTCAGCCTCCTGAGTAGCTGGGATTACAGGTGCGCACCACCACACCTGTAAGACACCGTGCTATGTAAGCATATGCCAGGCACTGTGCTATGTGAACATTTCACATATGTTACCACCTTTAATCCTTGTGTGAACCTATGTGAGGTGATATTGTTACAATTTTATAGAGGAGGAAAATGAGGTTATGAGAGATTTTGTATTGTTGATTTATTCATTCAACAGATTTTTATTGAGCATCTACTAATGCTAGACATTATGCTAAAATACCAGAAATGCAACTATGAGTACAGGATGCAATGGGAACATACAGAAGAAGTGAAACACTGTAATTCAGTTTTGAAGACGTAGACAAGGCTCTAAGGTCCAGCTCTAGGGTCACTTTCTTTCTCAGGAACTCATGTAAGTCCTTCAGCAAAACTCCTAGGGGAATTAATATTCATTTTCTTCTCTTAGCACCTGTTTCCTTCTTCTTTCTTTTGTCTTATATTAAATTTCATGACCATATAGCCAATTAGATTGAGAACTTCTTACTAGGAGAGACCACATATTACTCATCTTTAGTTTCTTTATATTATGTTGCTCAATATGACTGCCACAGCATGGATGGAGCAACGAGTCAATAAATCTCTCTGTTGGCTATTTTTGTCTCTTGATGACCAAGCCCTCCCTAAAACACATAAATTATTCATCTTAAATGTCTTTTTTATCTTTTAATATATTTGTGCCTTGCTCTCATTTCCTTCAGGCTGTGAAACAGAGCCTGTTGATGTGAGCTAAATTTTGCTGTATTCTAGGCTAGGAGTAATTTGTAATTTGGGATCTGCTGCCATCTACTCCTTATTTACCATGGCTTAGGATTAAATTGGATAATCTTCAGTCATATTTCTAATTATTTCAACTCTCTCTATTATTAATATGCTTATCAAGTTGTTGACCCTAAAATACTAGTCTTTCCAAAACTTGAAGTACAAGGTTTAAAAGTATATTAAAAATTTGAAAGATTTGAAACCTTGTCCTTGGCTTTTTGTTTATTTAAGTCAAATTAAAAATAGGCAAAGTAGAATTCAGGAAGCCTTTTTGAGACTGGGTGTCTTATGACACTTCATGTAATTGTTTAAAAAATGTTAAAAATCAAATTCAAATGTGAAAGACAATTAGTAATTATACATGGGCTAACTGGCATACTTCCAAGGAAATATCAAGTGAGGAAAGGGATGATTTTTTTTAATGTTGTAGCTACTTTAATTGTAAAGATCCTTAATGAAAAAAATTTAAAGCATCAAGTACCTTCCAGATTTTGAGCCTTTGAACATAATTGTACCCAAGTTTTAGCACATTCATGGTTGCCAAAGACTCCCTTGGAACAATCCTAATAAGGGCTGCTTTCCAGAGTCAGGAAAATCCACCCAGGCCCTAAAATTAGTATAATAAACCCCACCTGTCATCTCTATTGCCTCTTTGGTTAGACTGCCCTGAGGAGCCCAAATCAAGAAGGAACAAAGTGTTTTTGATGTGGACTGACTGCTTGTGATCCAAGAGAACACTTAAGATTCTGAAAAATCTAGGGAGAATGGCAAGCAATGATCTGTGTGGTTAATAGAACAACAAGGCCAAGACAAATTCAGAGACCCTGGGGATATTTTGAACCTCTCTACAAAGCTAATCGCAAATCAGTACCTTTGAAAGGGACCGTGGAGAAATTATCAGCTGAATCTCCTTATTTTGTTTTATTTTATTTTATATGAAACATAAAATATGACCAGCATCAGGGCAGGATGTGACTTACCCGAAGTCTCTCAACTAGCAAGTGGCAAAGCCAGAAACACTCAAACCTGGGTCTTCTGGCTCCAAGTCCACTGCTCTTTAATCTGAATGAAGTGAGAATGCTTTTTATGTGTGTTTTTAAGAACCTTTAAACAAAAAATTTAAAGTACTTTATTTGGATTATTTATTCATTTTTGTTCGTCTCTTTTTATTTGGATTATTCATTTTTGTTTGTCCCTTTCACCATTACTAAGTGCACTTCAGTCCCTGTGCTAAATTTCCCTCCCTTGTGGCCAGATGATCACAGGAACATTCCATTTACTTAAAAGTAGTTGTATTATTTAAAAAAAAAATCAAGTGGGAAACTTCACCAACAATGCAACATTCCAAAAACATAATGCTCATCATTTCCACTCCTGTAGAAATGCCGAGTGCAAACCCACTGCACCTGCACACCATAGTGATCTCAGGGTGGCCAAGAGCTGGTGGCTGACTAGTGCTGTGTGAGCATGGGTTTATAAATGCACTTGAGTACCAGTTTAGTTTCTTTGCCATCAGCGTTACAAGTGATTTAAGTAACAGATATTTCAGAGAAAGGGACGGGGTGGGCTGGGGAGGAAAGCTTGAGAAGAAGCAGCCAAAGTCACACTCAAATGAAAGAATATACCCAGTGTTTTGTTTTCCCAAGTTTTTGACTATACTTCATACTGTCCTCTCTGCCCCACAGGTTCTCATGGTGGGGGAGGATTTCTGTCTCCTCCCTACTCCTGAGGGTGACTGTCAACTTCTGAGGCAGAAATCTCAGTATTAGGGTTGATTGACAGAAAGATTTATTAATTTGTTGATGCACCCATCCATGCAATAGTCTTTTATTGAGCCACATGATATAATGTCCGTTCAGCAGTTTCCACTCTTGGCTTTTTTATTTGACACAAGTTAGGGATGAAAGGATTTGTTTTTTGAATAGGGTAACAAGGATTTGCTTTGCTTGGGTAAAAATACAATTTGGCTTGTTAAAGAGGCAAAGGCACACTTAGTGGTGAAGCAAGTCCAGCTCTCCTGGCACCTGTCTTTTCCTTTCTGAAGGTGTGCCTTGGGACAGGCATGGGCCTCAATTATTGAAGGGGTGGGTGCTTAGGAGGAGGTAGGATCATCTTGTCAGTTTAGAGGAGCACTGATTCTCCTCATGCATGGGTTTCTATTTTTTAATCTGGAGAAATATTTTTATGCTCACTTAAAACATGCTCTCTTAGGCAGTGGGTAGGAAGAATGGTTTTGTCAAGGCTATTTGGGTTTAGCCTCCCATTTTCCCAGTAGTAGTCTCCAAGTTTCTCCCTATAATTCAAAGTATCATTTTTTAGTTTTCTCCCTGAGTTTCGTGGCTCTAAAGCAGAAGTTGCAAACTAGCAATGCTCCAGCCAGATGCAGCCTATGGATAACTTCTGTTCTGCACCCATCATGGGCTTCTGTAAAAATTTGAATTAGTTGCCAGTATTTGAATATAATTAAATTATATTTATATAATTTATTTATAACTGTAATATTTCCAGTAAAAATCTGGATTCAAAACAGATTTTTAATCCTTTAAAAATCAGATCTGGCTGGGCGCGGTGGCTCACGCCTGTAATCCCAGCACTTTGGGAGGCCGAGGCGGGCAGATCAGAAGGTCAGGAAATCGAGATCATCCTGGCTAACATGGTGAAACCTCGTCTCTACTAAAAATACAAAAAAAAAAAAAAAAAAAAAAAAATTCGGATCTGCAGCATTTGGTCTGTACTCCAATACAGCAAACATCTGATAGAGCTGAAATGACACTGCTGCCTTGAGATGCTGCATACTCTTTGGGGCCTCTTTCACTCACTGCACAGCCTGGACCTGTAGCTATCTGCTTCTCTGATGCTTCCCCAAAGGCTATATAGGCTAGGTATTTCTAAGGGGAAGGAGAAAGAACTATTGTTATCATGATGGTAATGATAAGAATAGAAAAACGATCCTCATATATTAAGCTCTAACCATGCCAGACACTCCCAAGTACTTAACATGCTATTTAAACCTCAGAGAACCCCATCTACTGCCCAAAAAGTCTAGTTTTCTTGCCCAAGGTCATGTAACTTGTGAGTGACTGAATTAGGATTTGAACTCAGATCTGTCTGACCCTATAGCCTGTGCTTTTTATTTTACTGTACTGATTCATAGAATTATACTTCCCTCCTAGACAACCCTCCCTGAATTTTAAGCCCCTGAGAATCTATGACTGGATACCAAGAATTGGGGTCCCTACTTGCCACTGGTTTTTGGGTTTCTATGAGAAACAGTAGAAAAGAGAAGTTCTGATTATCACTGGTGGGGCTCCTTCTGCTTTCATCTCATCTAGCTCAGGATCAGCTCTGGGTGCTAAGGCATACAGCCATTCTCCTGAGTAAAAGGAACTCTTTGGAAACTTTTTCTACTAAATCAATTTGATGCCACATTAAAGGCTTTAAAAAGAACATTTGAGGTAAAGAGCAACTACTCAAATTTTTAAAATCTAAAGAAACAAAAATATAAACTCTTAGCCTGTACCTATGGTTGTTTCAAAAGAAAAAGAATAAATTTCTTATTCTTGGAACTATACATCTCATTTACGTTATTTTTCTTTCTTCCTGTTGATTCCAACCCCCACATCATCTTTAAAGCCTACTGCTTTTCAAATCCAGAGTATTGTCAATTTCCTATTGGTTTCCTTCAGCATTATTCTCCTTCACTTGTGTTTCTTTTCTTTCTGATTTCTCAAAACCTTAAACTAACTCTCTCAGTTTTCTCTATCTCCTTTTGAAAACTCTGGGAATACATTTCCTAATAGAGTTTCCTTCTGTATACTCAGCTCCAGAATAGGACAATAAGTGCCCTTCCTGGTGAAATACATATACTCTATTTTAGGATTCTTTTGGTTACAAGCAATAGAAATTTAGTCTGCTCAACCTAAGATCAAAAGGATGAATCATTGAAAGGATAAAGATTAATGACAAGAACATCAACTATGTATTTAGCAAAATAAGTATTGGGCAACTAGAACCAAACAGAAAGCTCAAAGGCCAGGCCTCAAGAAGCACAAGTGCCAGGGCAACTTTGAGGTCCTCAGCTACAGGTGTGCACAGATCTGGCAAAAAATAACTTAGCTCTAATCATATTCTGACTCTTTCTGTCTCCAGCCAATTTTCAAATTCCCAGGGAAGAGAGTCTGGCCTAGTCTAAGTGTCTCTATTACTGAATTAATTAGCCATGGCCAGGGGATGGAGTGACTAACACAGTCATGGCCAGTGAGGATTTCCTAGGGATGCTATAAGTGACCATGGGCATAGTGCCAGGTCTGTAATTATTTTTGTATATTTATTTCTAAATTAGGGATTTGGTCTATATGAAAGGTGATTTTATTAAATATGTGTAGCATATATCATACATCATAAATAATGTATAGTATAATGTAGCACATATATACACATTTATATATTACATTATACATTATAATATACATTATATATAGATGTAATGTAGCATATCTATACATTTCCATAGATATTATATATATAGTGTATATTGAAGTACATAGCTTCTGATGTATAGTAAAATAATTTGACAGAAGGTTCTTAGAACTTTTAAAAATGACATTTTTATTGGTTAGAGATTCAGTCTGAGAAATATCTCATATCTTTTCCTATAACAGGAAAGAATTTATTAAGGCAATAGTTTTGTAAATCTCATTAAAGTTTTACCATCTTCGTGATTGTTAGCAATTGTAAGCAGGGCAATGCAGTACAGGCTTCTGCATAAGAAATGTCTTCCTAGTTAGTGAATGGATGTGATTTCACTACTGCCTACTGCCTATGAGAAGGTAGTCATATCTTGAGTCATTCTTCTGCTGCCTTTACAATGAATTGCATCTTTTATGCTTTGGTGGATGTATTTGTTAGGCTGGGAGTGCTCAGAAGTTGATAATGATAGACAAGCCATGGAAAACTTCTGTCTTGGTTCATACTAAAATCTTTTTGCACTAGGACAAAACGAAACTTCTGCTGCAAACATGAGCCTCCTCTCTTCTTTAGCCAAAAGTTCACCAGGGTTCAAACAATTTCTTAATGGATTCCAGCAAGATTTTGTGGGGCTATAAGAAATGTTTCTGGTTTGCAGCGTAGAGGAATGTGTCTTGCACAGTACCAGCACTGGAATCAGGACCCACCTGGATTCAAGCCCCAGACTGGGCTTCTAATCTGGTTCTGATTTTGGGGGGACTTGGCAGCCTGCCTTTATTGTTCCAGGGTATTGCTGCCATTCTTTAATTCAGAGCTCACATCTCACCTCCTCCATCAACCCTTCCCAGGTTGTTGAGAAATCAGCCCCATCTGTACCCCAAATCTAGTACAAGTTCCTTTTATTCTCCCTCTCAAACAAATCTGTCAGACACAGTCACTTCTCAGTTGTCCATACTGATAAAGGAATACATTTCTGTAGGTAATCTATGATATCTAGTCTATGGAGACTTTTTCTTCCCTGTAGAAAGGTATCTGACACATGAAGTTAAGTAGGTCGGACAATGAGAACTGGCAACACTGGAATGCCCACTGAAGGGACTGTGTGTTTGTGTGGGTGAGTTTTCTCTGAATTTTTGATACTTACTTTCTAAATACTCCCATTTTTCTTCCTTAGATCAATAGGCAACTTCTAAGAGGTAAAAAATGAGGTAAATATTTTTACGTAAAATGAGAGCTAAGTTTCTGACTTTTGAAGAACATCAGAAAATAATATTTTAAAACACCAACTAACATCCACTTACTTTTGTTCTTCTTCAACCCCTATGGCTGGGTTTGTTGTTGTAATCATTAATAGTAATGGTAGGTGTTCCATGATTAAACTCTGAGAGCTTTCTATTCCTTTGTTGAATCCTTATAACAACAACTCTTGGAGGTATGATTGGTACCATTTTACAGGTGAAGAAACCAAGGCCTAGAAAGATGAGGTGACTTGGAAAAAGTTATGCAGCTAATAAATAGCAGAACTTAGATTCAGATTTAGATCCATCTGTCTCCAAAGCTATATGCTATGCTATGCTATGCTATGCTATGCTATGCTATGCTATGCTATGCTATGCTATGCTATGCTATGCTATGCTATACTGTGCTATACTGTACTATGCAGTATTGTTGGGTCCATATATGTCTTGCTCAGTAGAAGAACAGTGAGTGCAAACACATGGAGTTTTGTCCACATCTTGTTAGAAAGAGGCCATAGGACCAGCTGGTATTTAGGGCAGAGGCATCATTCCATACCTCCTCAACAACCAACCCACATAGCAGATGTTTACTTTTATTTGTTTCTATAATGACACAGCTCTATGTATTCCTTGTATTAGTTGCTTCTGTGTCTGTTGCTTTTCTGCCTCCTATTCTTTTTTTATTATAGTAAAATGTAACATAGATTTTACCATTTGAACCCTTTTAAGTATATACTTCAGGGACATTAAATACATTCACGTTGTTGTGCCATCTCCAGGACTTTTTCATCTTCCCAAACTGACACTCTATGCCTATTAACCAATAACTCCCTGTTAGAAATACCAAAATTGTTAGAAATAGATAATTGGTGCCACAAAGAAAAGACAGTACAGAGACAAAAGATCTCTCAGCAAGGCAATCTTTACTTTCTGCAGAAAGGGTGCTCAGTCGCAGATGGAACAATGGCGAGAGCACACCTGAACAAAGGAAAAGCAGGCATATTTATCCCTATGCATTTGGGTTGTCCTTACTGCTGTGTCCTGCATCCATTGGCTGGAGCTGGACCTCATATTCTGAAACTGACACCCAATTTGCTAACAGCCTAAAACTTTCCTAAATAGGTAAGTGCAAGGAAGAACAAAGAATTTGCTTACAAAAGGTTTAAGGAGGCAATAACATTTCCAAATAAGGAAGGGGCATAGGCTGCAAGCTGGAACGTGCCTGTGAGCATGTCCAACAATTACATAGGGTAGGGCTTAACAAAGAGTTATTAGCACAAAGCAAGGAGGCTTGAGGAAAGTTAGTCTTTAAAAGAAACTATTATTTCTAACACTTATGGTTTACTCTTTAACAAGAAGGAAAACTTTGAAGAGGAAACTTTCACTTTCTATGCTCCCCATTTTCCCCTCTTCCTAACCCCCAGTAATCACCATCTATTTTCTTTCTCTATGAATTTGACTATTTGGGGTGCCTAGTATAATGAAATCATATAATATTTGTCCTTTTTTTGTCTGGTTTATTTTACTTAACCTAAGGTCTTCAAGGTTCTTCTATGTCATAGCAAGTCATAATTACATTCCTTTTTAGAGCTGAATAATATTTTGTTGTATGAATATATAACATTTTATCCATTTGGCATCTATGGACACTTGGGTTGTTTCCCCCTTTTGGCTATTGTGAATTATGCTGCTGTGAACATAGGCACACAAGTGTATGTTCAAGTCCTTGTCTGCAATTCTTGTAGGTAGATAGGCGCAAAAGTAGCATTACAGAATCACGTGGTAATTGCATGTTTAATTTTTTTAGGAACAGCCATACTGTTTTCTGCAGGGCTGCACCATTTTACATTCCCACCAGTTCTGCCTCCTACTCATGCCTACTCTTAGTTTATGAAGCCCTCTAGAGCATAGCTGCTGCAACTTTTGAGTCTTTTACCCTTTAACAGCTAGGACAATACCATTCCCATAAAGAGTGTTGATTAAAAGACATGCTCACTGTAGTGGAGATCATGATACTAAAATTACTTCAGCTTCTCCAGGAGATTTACAAATGTTCGGCCATGGAACTCCTCTCACTTGTATTCTTCCCTACCTTTTTTCCCTCTTCTGCTCCCAAGCTCAGAAAATAACCATGAAAATAGTGAGATGCCTCTCTGCAGGAAAAAAATAAAAGTGTAACTGTGCCTCTTTGCATACCAATGGGGTATTTCAGAGAGTGGCAACCTGTTTATCTATGCAGTTGTTGATTTATGATCGCCAGTACATGTTTGGCAGGCTGAATCCACATCTGCAATTTAAATGACTGCTTACAAAATGAGCCTTTTTTCCCTAATATCCAATTAGGACCAAGCGCTGGCATTGTAGATGAAAAAGCGGTTATGTTGAAAACAGTTCTAATCCCAATTGCAAAAGAAGTTATCACTGGTGGAACTATCAGAAAAACACTTGCTTCAGGCATGCAATCTTGACAGTCTACACATTTTAAGGCAAGAGCATGTTTGTACTCAGCAATGGGTTCTGCACTCCACCTTGGGAAAGAAGAACAGAAAAGACAGCCTGCTTTTGGTGTAGGCCCAGAGACAGCATCAGGCCTCAGATGAGTTTCCCACGTAACTCTTCCTATATCCCTCATTTTGTAACTGCATCACCCCGGTACTATAATCTTGAACACTTTTGGTGCTAAAGCTGCCAATTTTCCTGATTTTGTGTAATTTTTTGAGGTTCACAAATAGAAACAAGTGTACAAATATTCCATTCACATGCTTTCTAAATGTTTTTATTTTACCTTTGACTGAAAGGGGTCAAAGCTGAGTATAAAGGTGCTTTGATATTGGAACACACTCTCCTTGCGTCACGCTTGACCCAGGCTGGGTGGTGGAAGCAGAGGTAGGTGCTACTTGTGTGAACTGTGTGTTCAAGTCAGCATGCTCTGGAATTGATAGTGTGTCATTCTGGGCTTTCTACCCCTTTCTGACACTGCGTGGTACAAACCAAAAGTTCACATTGGGGTCATGATTGCTGGCTTTTGGCAGGGCTTGGCGAGAAGGTCTCTGCAGGGTTAGGCCGCCCAGATGCGAGCTGTTTGGGCTGAGTTCAGTTTGTTTCCATTTGCTCCCTCTCCCTCCTCCCCTCTCCTCAGTCATGCCAACTGCTACTGGAGATGTTTTTCCTCTGTTTAAGGTAATAACCGAGTCAATGCTGAAGCCAAGCTATAGGCAAGCATTGAAAATAAATTTTCAAGGGGGTTGTTTTCATATTATTAGGAAAAGCCTTGGAATCTTTTTGAAAGTTTTTGTTTCCTGAGAAACTGCCCTTTGGGAATATCTTTGTTTTTTGAGTGCCTTTAGCTTGGTGCTGAGAAATAAACTTAGGAAATATGATTGAGATGTAGTGGGCTAGGTTTTTAAACAAAATGCTCTAAACATTCCCTCAAAAACCATTTCTCTAAACAGAGCGCTCGCATGAGTAGCTGATTAGTACATGTGGTGCTGCCTGACCTCTTGAGGATACACACTGTTTGCTTGAAAGTCCCCTGGTATATTAGGTGACCTAGTGTAATAGGAATGACATTTTTTAAAGAGACTAAATCCCAATTCTGTCATTTTCTAGATAGGTGATATAGGCAGTTGCTTTGGTTTTGTCACCTGTTCAGTTGCAGAGTTTGTTTTACAGGCTTCACGAACTCTGTAAAACACCTGACAGGACTTGATCCACACACCGTACTTCATAAACACCACAATTCCTTCCCCCCCAGTTTTCTTATTTATTGCCTCTTCTCGGCCTCAAGTTTGGTAAGTGAGAACCATCCGCTGCTGCAGTCTATAATTTCCTAATGTAATTTCCCACTCTTCAGAATAATTGTGGCTCACAGTATTTATTTTCTCCCTTCCTGCCAACTGAGATACAACCTCCATTCACTTGCCCTAAGACAAAAGGTTTTGTGGCTTCCAGCTGTGAAGACCAGATCTCACTGAGACAAACAACTGCTGTTATCTTAGGGAAAAAGACAAACCAGCCAACAATGAGCAATCCATGTAAGCCTTGCTCTTAACACACTCATTAAAAAGAATTTTGAAATTGAGGTTGGAAATCATCTGACAACTCAATGCCTAAATGTTGTGGGGAGCATGTTCATAAAAATTCTTCTAGTAAGAAATGTGTTCATCTCCCCTTTGATATGTATCCCAGCCTGTGATTCACTGGAACATGCCTGCACCTACAGAATATAGTTCAACTTTCGATTGTAAAATTTTAATGTTGAAAAACAGCCCGAAGTCTAGGTCAACACTCTGCCAAGAATTCACTTGAAACAACTGTTGAAAACCATAAAATTCGTGGTCAAATATGTTTTTCTATCGAATATGGCATTTGATAGACCCACTTTGTAGAATATGGGGACTTTTCAATTTAGATTCACATAGATATATTGAAAAGAACGCATTGCATATTTTTTTTCAAATGACTCAAAATTTTTTTAATTGACGCTGTATTATGCAATACATTTGAAACTATAATCTTTGGTGATGATTCCATGCAGCATTTTCATAATTTCTTTTATTATTATTATTATTATTATGCTTTAAGTTTTAGGGTACATGTGCACAACATGCAGGTTTGTTACCTATGTATACACGTGCCATGTTGGTGTGCTGCACCCATTAACTCATCATTTAGCATTAGGTATATTTCCTAATGCTATCCCTCCCCCCTACCCCCACCCCACAACAGTCCCCAGAGTGCGATGTTCCCCTTCCTGTGTCCCTGTGTTCTCATTGTTCAGTTCCCACCTATGAGTGAGAACATGCGGTGTTCGGTTTTTTGTCATTGCGATAGTTTGCCGAGAATGTTGGTTTCCAGCTTCATCCATGTCCCTACAAAGGACATGAACTCATCATTTTTTATGACTACATAGTATTCCATGGTGTATTTGTGCCACATTTTCTTAATCTAGTCTATCATTGTCGGACATAAACCACTTATTGCAAATTACATGCTTTTTTATACATAATACATGCAGAAGAAATGCAACGTGATGCAATATAGCCAAATTTGATTGTGGTGTGAACCATAAAAATTGGAAATGCCTTTTCTTCTTTTCCCATGGTCCACCATGAAGCAGTAAGGTTAGGGTACAGAAGCAGGTAATTTGGGTACTTTTAAGGGGATTTGAAGATAGCATATACACTTCCTGTGTTAAGGTAATTCTTTTTAACTAGTTTGGGACAACTGACTAAACACCAATAACTATTATAAAACTGTAGTGTTTAAAAAATTTCTGAACTTAAATATTCCAGTTACTACACGATTTAATTTCACTCTCTAATTAGATATATGCTGTGTGTTGAATTCTGTCAGATTTGGAATTTATAGTTTCAGCTGGATTTAAACTAGACTATAGCAGGAAAGAAAAAGAATTCATTTCTATGCATGTGAGTGGGGGGTTAGTGGAATCTTAATCTTTCTGAATGGGAAAATGTATGCAGTCCTTTCTTTTCATCTCAGCGCCTTTGAGTGAATTTGCTTTTGTCTAAAATGAAAGGAGAAACAGCTCATTTTTCCATTGTCATAATAGTGCAGTGATTCAGCAAAATGTAACTGATTATCCTGAACCCACAAGGCTAGAGTTAGAAAGAGTAGCCAAATTGCTACCTCCAGCTACTTCCAACTCAGTCCCATCACTATATCCAGCAGCTCACCTTTCATCTGGCTCTGGAAATTTGGGGATCATTAAAAATCAGCCAGCTCACTTTTCTCTTAGGATTTTGTGACTCCTGTTTGATTGGTTCATTGTTAATTCTGATTAATAAGAATTTAAATTCCCAACTTCCAGAAGACTACTTTTCCTTTTAAAAAGATCGTAACTGATTTGCTTTTGGCTTATTCATTTAGATTCAGGGATTCTTCTCCATTAAAATAAATAAATTTTGAATATCCCTTATACTAAGATGGGTTGCTGAATGCCCACTTTCTTTCATTACATTCAACTGGCATATTGATACATTCATATGGGCAGGAACTCCAAAGGAGAAAAAAGGAGAAAACTTGTCCCAGTCCCTGAAAATATGTCTTTCCCAGCACCTTAGGTTTTAGAAGAATGACTATGAGAAATCTCTATTTTGTGCTGACAGATAAATTTAATGATAGTTACTCGATTGTATATATTTGAAAGTGGTTCCTGAATTAACTCTGAAAAATCAGTAGTCCTGGAGTTGGAGAGCTAAGGAAGGATGTTTTCAGAATTCTAAACATTTCTCTTTAATTTGAGTAGAATGCAGAGGAGATGATTTGCTACTCCACAGCAATTTCAGAAAAGTATTTTTCATTTCTAACAGAACCCTACCAGAGGTCATTTCCCAAAGAGCCAACCATGCTTGCTGGTATTCCATTGGCTACTTTAGCAGGGTAGAGGGAAGTTAAAAAAAAAAAATTATCCAATGGAACTCCATCTGCTCTGACCTCTCAAGGAGAGTATATTCCTTCAATGGAATTTGAGTTGTGATCTTACTTCCTATATGCTGTTGTCAAATCCAAAGGGGCTGAAATAGATCTGAGCTTTTGCAAACTTGACCCTGTCTCCAGAGCTGTGGGACTTGGAGTCTACAGGTTCCCAGATCCCTAAGGCACCCTTTATAGCTTCAGATGCATTTCACATATATAATGAGAAAATACCTGCTATTTGCACAGTGACTACATATCCCCCCCCTAAAATAATCAACACACAGGGTCTGATAATTCTGGAGACTATGAAATAGAAGATTTGAAAATAGAGTTGTCTCAGAAATTCCAGGATAGTGGTCAGAGTTGTTATGTGCTAGGCAATGAACTGGATCTTTTTATATAAGCTATCACCTCAAATCCTTAGAACAAGTATATAAAATAGGTTGGATTATATAACTCACAAGAGAACTGAACTCGTACTGAGAGTGATATATTCAAGCCATCACATCCAGGTTGAGTTGTTGGTTGCACCACAATGTCATGCTGCCTCTTTTGTGGTTTAGGGTTCCACATCACATAGATTCTTGGTATAAATAATGATGTTCCAGGGTAAGAAGTGGCCAGGGAAGTGAACATGTGGATCAAAAACTGAGATGCAGCACTATGGTCTCGCTGGTCTTAAGTGTGACATTTCCAGAGGGGTAAATATACCTTTAGCAATTGTAAAGTTTATGGTAGAACTGGGGGTCATGTCATGGCTCTATTTGTTCTGTGACAGAGTAAAAATTATATTTTCTTAGCAGAAGAAATTTACTATTTCATCCAAATATTTTGTGCTATGGCTTTTTCCGCTGGGAAAGAATCTTACATTAACAACCTTTAGTTTCTCAAGCTGATCTGAAAATTCGCTGCCTTGTCCATGCATTTGAGATACTTTTGAGAGACAGAATTTTAGAGTTACTTTACAGATGATGCTTTTGCTTAAACTCTGCTTTTGATCAATTCTCTCCAGGCTCTACCCTAAAGAGACCCAATTTAGACAGATAGAAATGGCAGTAGAGAACCAGGAAGGAAAAAGGGTTATATTTGTTAATATTATCAGTTGAGGATGTCTTTAACAGACTTTGAAAGCAGGATATCGATAGCACTGTCAAAGAAGTTTCAAATTAATATAAAGTAATAAGTTTTGAGAGGTAACCAGGTAAGAGCCAAAGAATGACACAAGCCCTGCTAACTTGGAAATCTGAGATGCATAAACAATTGTGATGGGAGGAGAATTGTTTGGGGACATAGATAAATCCCTCTTCACCTTTCCTTTTCCATCCTCTCTAACGTTGACACACAAATGCAGCCAGCACACTATTGCTGTTGGAATATTGACTTCAGATAACATATCCAGACATGTAAACAAGAGTTTAATTGTGTGTAGAATTTTGTTTAAATTATGGACCATATCTGGAATTTAAAACTCTTTAAATATAAATTTCCAGAAAAATTTTCGGAGGTACACGTGTGAGTTCCAGCCATCATAGTAGAATAGCTACTTTGTGGTGACTTACTGAACAGACACATTCCAGTAAGATCCACATTTGTACCAGGGCAGAATACCAGCTGCTATCCTGTCTTCTCAACAAAGGACTCTTGTGTTTAAACAAAAACTGTGTACTGTATGCCCAGCAGCAGAAGGGAGTCTGAGCAGTGATGTCAAAGTATACCATGATGTCACCACAATTCACAAAGAATTACAGTTAATGCCATGTGAAGTGAGGCCAAATTCAACACTTTCCCTCTTGGGTACTTCACAGTCTGAGAGACAGAAGCAAGGCCAGAGGTCAGGCCTTTGTATAATTTTGTTTCGCATTCTCCAGACACCCTAATTTTGGAAGCAGGGGAGGGAGAAGACAGCCTGCTAAAGAGCAGTCCCTGACCATCTGCTGAGAATGAATTGTAGTGTCTGTATGCACAAATGTCTATACCAGGATAGTTCTTAGGATTTTTGCTGAAGACTACTAAAGAAACAAATTTCACCAAAAACAATACACAAAAAAATCCAGATGTGTTTAGCAAAAAATTTATGTAAGAATTTGTCCAAGACCCTGAAGTAAATAAGACGAGAACACAATAAATCAGACTGGGAGCACCTGAAGAGTTTTAATAAACGTTAGAAATCAGACTTACTTATTCTCTTTTTCCCTTTCAGAGTGTTTATCCAGCCATTAGATGGTTTAGATTCTTGACTTCAAGAAAGGCAATATAGGAAAAAATTATTTAAAATGTTTGCCATCTTAGCTCAAATAATAAAGGACAGAAATAGGACTCTTAAAAATTAGCACCTGGCAAAAGTTTATTCCTATGAAACCACGTCCTCCTCTATAATTTAACCACAGAGGCTGCCGAAGTTCCTACCCTTTGGTGGAGGTGGGAGTGTGTAGGTTGGATGCAGAAAGAGTGTGGCTTTGCCCCAGCCAGACCACCAGCCAAAGGGTCGGAGCTCACAAAAGGTAAAGGGAAGAGCCAGGCCAGGGGGTTGCCCAAGCTGAAGTCTATTAGGAAGAGCCAGGAATCAGGAACTCAGTAGATCAAGTACAAAGTGAATCTACAGATCCAGAGTTGGTGTCAG
The DNA here is from genome assembly GCF_000001405.40 of Homo sapiens. Lineage (NCBI taxonomy): Eukaryota > Metazoa > Chordata > Mammalia > Primates > Hominidae > Homo > Homo sapiens. The sequence continues at coordinate 18,612,077 of NC_000009.12, forward strand.
AGTCAGGGCATGAAGCCTGGGGCACTGTGCCTAGCAGGAAAGAAGTCAGAGGGAGGTACACTTGGAAATAATGAGCATTTATGCCCCAAGGCAATTCTGGAGTAGTGGGTGAAGGACCAGAGACATAGCAGGCAAGGTGACAAGTGGAAATTAAACTCTCAGATTACAGTGTTATAAAATGATTTGTCCTTAGAGATCTTTTTCTTTTAGAGAGTGTTCTTTTGGTCTTTGGAACCAGTGGCAGAGAGTTTAAATGGTAACAGCTGTTATGTTTTAGCTTGAGACAAAGGGGAAAATTCTTTGAAATCGCAATATATCCCTGTCACTTGTGGTGTTGCCTATAGGCTGAATCCATTCATTCATTGAACACATATATTTTAGTTGCTTGCTGTATGCCAGGCACTGTTCTAGGTGGACAGTGAACAGGGCATCCAAATATCATTGAAATACGCTTAATAAATATCAATGGAACAGAATAGAGAACCCAGAAATAAGACTGCACACCTACAACTGTCTGGTCTTTGACAAAAACAAGCAATGGGGAAAGGATTCCTTATTCAATAAATGGTTCTGGGATAACTGTCTAGCCATATGCAGAAAATTGAAACTGGATCACTTCCTTACACCACATGCAAAAATTAATTCACGATGGATTAAAGACTTAAGTGTAAAACCTAAAACTATAAAAATCCTGGAAGACAATGTAGGCAATACCATTCTGGACATAGGAACTGGCAAAGATTTCATGATGAAGACGCCAAAACCAACAGAAGCAAAAATTGACAAATGGGATCTAATTAAGCTAACAAACTTCTACACAGCGAAAGAAACTATCATCAGAGTGAACAGACAACCTACAGAATTGGAGAAAATATTTGCAAACTATGCATCTGACAAAGGTCTAACATCCAGCATCTATAAGAAATTAAACAAATTTATAAGAAAAAAACAATGCCATTAAAAGATGGGTAAAGGACATGAACAGGCACTTCTCAAAAGAAGACATTTATGTGACCAAAGAGCATATGGAAAAAAAGCTCAACATCACTGATCATTAGAGAAATGCAAACCAAAACCACAATGAGATAGCATTTCACACCAGTCAGAATAGCTATTATTAGAAGGTCAAAAAATAACAGATGCTGGTAAGGTTGTGGAAAAAAAGGAACACTTATACACTGTTGGTGGGAGTGTAAATTAGTTCAAGCATTGTGGAAGACAACATGGCACTTCCTCAAAGACCTAAAGACAGAAATACTATTTGGCCCAGTAATCCCATTCCTGGGTATATACCCAAAGGAATAGAAATTGTTCTGTTATAAAGGCACATGCACATGTATGTTCATTGCAGCACTGTTCACAATAGCAAAGACATGGAATCAACCTAAATGCCCATCAATGATAGACTGGATAAAGGAAATGTGGTAAAGAAACACCATGGAATATTATGCAGCCACAAAAAAGAATGAGATTATGTCCTTTGCAGGGACATGAATGGAGCTGGAGGCCATTATCCTTAACAAACTGACACAAGAACAAAAACAAAAAACAAACAAACAAAAACAAATACTGCATGTTATCACTTATAAGTGGGGGTAAATGACAAGAACACATGAAGACAAAAAGGGGAACAACAGACACTGGTGCCTACTTAAGGGTGAAGGGTGAGAGGAGGGACAGGATCAGAAAAAAACTATTGGGTACTAGGCTTAGTACCTGGGCAATGAAGTAATCTGTACAATATAGCCCACGACACGCATATACCTATGTAACAAAGCTGCACATCATGCACATGTACCCCTGAACTTAAAAGTTAAAAATTAAATATTATGACTGAGGAGAAATACAGCTTTAAATAGTCTGATCAAAGTAGATCTTATTGAGAAGGTATTAATTTTCTCAAACGAAGACTTCAAAGAGTCAGACAACTGCCGTCGAAGTGCCTGAGAAAGAGTGTTACAGCCAGAGGTAGCAACTCAGGGCTGTCCTAAGATGAGAAAGTGTTTGTTGTGTTTGAAGAACAGCAAAGAGACTGAGCCAGAGGAAGTGAGGTCAGAGAGGTCGTTCACATAGATGCTGTAGGACACTGTGGGCTGTTGTAAGGGTCTGGTGAACCTGCAAGGAAATTTGCTAGTCCTGGCTATGACTGCTAAACCCCAGAAGAGAGAACGCCAGGTGTGGGGAGGATGTGTATCCTCGTTCTGCGTGTCTCTTCATTGCCATCTAAACCTCAAGGGGAACATGGTATCTTATAGACTAGAGAGATGCTCATTGATGACACAGTGCTATTCAGCCTAGACTTCAACTCTGGTGACAACAAATCCTAGTAATGCGATTTGCGGCAAGTTGTGTTATCTTTCTGTTTCAGGTTTATTTTTGTGAAATAGACACAATTGTAGCTAATTTTCAAGGTTATTACAAGAATTGTGTGAGAAGCTATGTATCTAAAAATAGCAAGTTTTGGCAAACACTAGTTCACATTTCCTTCTGTAAGCAGGTTTCCCTCCTGTCTTTCTCCTCCTCCGTGCCCCTTTGACCTTTAGTTATACTGATCTTACTCCCTTTCTACTCTCACCTGTTCTGAGGAAATAATCTGATTAAAACCCCTCACCCTAGATTGAGACCAAGCCTACCACCTATATGTATTCGTAATAGCACCATAACAGCCAGCGTAATGCCTTATGCTCAGTTGATTTGGTCTAATTTAAGTATAATCAGCAACTTCATGTGTTACTCCTCCCAAGGGTATTGGAACAACAAACAGAGGACTACACCAGTGGTTCCCAACTTCTTAACACAAAGGAGCCCTTTATTTTTTTTTTCCTATGGGCCTTGTGTTTTGGAAGTTTCCATCTACTCAAAACACTGCATGTATTAAGTAATAATTTGTTTTCCCATTTTATAGCTAAAAGACCTGAGTTTGCAATTAAAAAATAAATACAGTAAGGGTCAGGATTCAGCTTATTTGTATAATGAGATGATTGGTGTTTTGGTGACCTTATGTAGTTTTATTGCAGATAAATATATTTCCATTAGGCTTTTGGAAACAGTAAACATAGCTCATGGAGCACTGTTACCACCTTTGCGAATTACTGGAGATTCTATTTTCTCATATTGGAAACCTTAGTTGTAAACCAAAAACAAAACAAAAAACAAACAAACAAAAAAACCAAGTGTGTAAAAGAGGGAATTTTGGTACCCATAACAAACCATGAGAGAGGTATGTATGCCTGCCTGTGTGGCAGGGGGAGGGGTAGGAGGTGACCGCAGGTGTTGTTGGGGCTGAGCCCCTTCCCCTTCACTTGCTATATGTGCTTCTGAGGCACAGATCACAGATGAAACCATCGTTCATCCCTGTGCGTAAGTGTAGCTCTAGAGGTAATGATCTTGATTAGAATATTCAAACTTGTTATTACCACTCACTATTGCCATATAAATATTGTATAGTATGCCTTTTCATGGTTAATGGGCATCCTACTATAATTTATAGTCAAAAAATCTCAAGGTGGAATTTTGGTTATGTTATTCACCAGCTATGTGACCTTGGGGAATTTATCTTCTCTGAACCTCAGTGTTATAATCTGAACTTGAAATCATTCAAATCTTAAGTTAAATAATGTCTATGGATAATTGTCTAAAAGGTAGGCAACCAATTCCTTTCTCTGGTTCTGAAATGGTAAATGGGTTTAGTTTCCTGATTTGACAACTATAGTCTATTGGATTCGGCTTCTAGAGCCCAGTGTCTTTACGAATCTGGAGCCACATAAAACCTCAGTGACAGAGAGTGCTGCTGCTGATTAGTAATATCTACTGTGGTCCTGGTAGGAGGTATAGCTGCACATGTGCCAGAATTTTGCCAGCCCTGCCCTAAGTACTCCAAAGTCTGCCCTTGGAGTAAATCAGACCATCATAATGCTCTTTACCTGGATGATTTGTTTTGGCTTCTTAAAAATTGCTTTTTTTTTTGGAGACAAAGTCTCGTTCTGTTGCCCAGGCTGGAGTGGAGTGACGCCATCTCGGCTCACTGCAACCTCTGCCTCCCAGGCTCAAACAATTCTCATTCCTCAGCTTCCTGAGTAGCTGGGGCTACAGGTGTTTGCCACCACACTGGGCTAATTTTATATTTTTAGTAGGGATGGGGTTTTGCCATACTGGCCAGGCTGGTCTCAAACTCGTGGCCTCAAGTGATCCGCCTGCCTTGGCCTCCCAAAGTGTTGGGATTACAGGCATAAGCCACCACACCCAGCATAAAATTTGCTTTTATCAAATGTCCCCTGACCATTAGGCTTCATCAGAGGTTATTAGAGCCACCTCTTTGAAACTGCTTGTATGTATTTGCTCAGATGTTATTGGGACATTGTTATATGACATTGTCTTTCAGAAGACTCACAATTAATGTGTATCTATTATTTTGGTACTTTAATTATGGTGCTCCCGAGTGGTTTTTGATTTATTCATTTATTACACAAATATTCATTGTCTACTATAAAGAACACATTATTGCATACATTTTCTAAAAGATCCAGTAGATTCTCTGACTCTTACAACTGCTTATGTGTTCCTATTTTCTAGGAAGCTCAAATCCAGATGTGACCTCCCCCCACCACATCTAGCAACTGTACAGGACGGCATAGTGTGCATTATGTTTAGTTCTCTCATTTCTAGATTTATCTTTCTTACCTTTGCCTTTTTGCTCCATTCACTCATTTGTTCTTGTGAATTTTATGGTTATTTATATGCTATAAATCTTTTTATTATTTAATGAAAGGTTAAGCATAAGCAAATTAATGAATATCTAAATCTTTTGAGGATGAGGTTAGAAATGCACTCCCTCCCCTATTTATTAAAATAATTAGTAAATAAAGGATAATCCATGTAAACCACACTGTTACCCATAAAGTTCTATCTAAATTAAGTAAATATAAATAAGAACAGCTATGGTCAGATTTGCACAGTTTAGTTTTCCATATTTGTCTTTCCCAGTGCTGAAAATAGAAAGCTTTAAAAGTTTCTTACCTCATGATGTTGGATCAAGAAAAGCTTGACATCACTGGCTCAGTATTTGATGCTAGATTGAGTTCCTTATGGGAAACCATTTGAAATGAAGCCATTGTGAACCCATCCTAAGAATGTCAGTCTGAGGCATGATATCTGCTTATGGATTATGTTTATTTATGTTCTCCAAATTATTAGCATGGTGATCTTTCTTTCTCCTGTGGCTACTAATGAAGACATTTTATTAAACATATTTCAGTGTCTAGAGAATTTCAGTCTTGCATACTGCCTGTTCTCTTGCTATCAGCTCTGTAAAGTGAAGGAAGAAACCCCTACTGCAGGCCTGATGCCTAAAATCTGCACGACATACTAAGTCTCTGAGCCAACTTGGATTGGATGCTATGATCCTAGTTTATTTTTTTTTTTGGCAGGGGGGAGGGGGCTGGGTCGGGGGGCAGTTCTCTCCCTCCCTTTAGTAAATCTGAAAGAAGAATAAAGAAAAATCATCAGTGTTAAGTGTGCTTGCTCAACTCAAAAATAAGACAAGTGGCTGCGTATCTTTGTACACATATATGTATATAAGAGAGGGTACAAAAAGCATACATTTAAGATATGAAAGCAGAAATTGATAACCCACTAGTGGTATCTAAACAATGAAAACACTATTAATTTGGTAAGTTTCAGGGTGCTATTTTGCCTTTCTTTAAATTTTTCTTGGAGCTTCTTACTTTTTTGTTACCTGAGATTAAAATATTGCAAAATAAGCAACACTGTGCAGTGATTCTGGATGAGGATGAGGTCAGACCACTGCATCCAGCTGACACCTCATAGTGGAGTACTAATAAACTGTATTAGACCAAAATATTCAGTTTTCCACTGTTTGCAAAAAAATTTCATGCAGTTGCCAAAGTTATGAGTGGTCATTATCTCACTTAAATGTTTTGTCCAGAATGGGGTGGGTCTGGGAACTCAGTGACCTAAACATTGCCTTCCATGACATTTCTCTAATAATTAACATCGGTGTACTTGGGAAATAGTCTCTAAAAAATAATAGCCCTTTACAGCAATTCTTGTTGATGCATCAGGGCAGAGGTTTAGGTTTAGCCTCTTGCTGTCATTTATGGTATGTCTGTTTCTTTGTGTGCACAGTTAAAAACACATGTACATATACATACCTACACACATGCATGCACACATTTTTGCAGACTCGTATGTCAATGGCTGCAGTCTAAGGTCGCCTATCTGTAAACTACATTGAAACTATTAGCAAACCATTATGTGTTTCATCGATTCAGCAGCGTTTATTGTGCATCTCAAATGTCTGATACTGGGCTGAGCAGCAGAAATATCAAGATTAGTAAAACACAGGTTCTCGGGTAGCCCAGGATGTTGTGTGGAGATAGACATGTTAATAAACTCAATGTAAGTTATATAATAATTTGAATTGGGTATACATGAAAAAAAAAACAAAATAATAGTGGCTTAGACACATAAAAGATTTATTCTCTCACAAAAAAAAAAAAAAGATGCAATCCGTCCAAGTGCGGTTCAGGAAACAGGATCTTTCTCTCTTTCTGCTCTGCCATTCTGAGTACAAGGCTTCCATTCTCAAGATTGTCTCATTTCCAAGATGGCTGCTAGAGCCAGCAGGAAGGTAGGAAGGCAGAGGGCAGAAAAGGCATTCCCCAGCCAAGTCAGCTTCTTTTAAGTAGCCTTCCCAGAAGCCTCACTTCTACTTTTATTTCAGTAATTATGATTTTTTCTCATGACCAATGAGAAATGTATTCTTTTAACTGCATATAATGCTAACCCAGATAAAATTGGGGTCCAGTACAAGAAAAATAAGAGAAGATGGATATTTGATGACAACCAGAAACCTCTGCCACATGGAGGTATGAAGAAACGGCTATGGAAACATACAGCAATAAGGCAGTTACCTCTGGAATCTGGACAGGCTTTCTTGAGCAGACGCCTGATTTGGGATTTGAAGGATGAGTAGGAGTTTGCCAAATAAAGAATAGGGAAAGAGTATTCTAGGCAAAAAATAATAGCATGTGCACAGAGGGCCAATTAAGCCCATTTTTGTATTTCTGTTTATTTTTCTCTCTGTTATTAATAGTAGGTCTTAAAGTAACAACTAATTTTAATTAATCTAATAGTTACTCAAAATCAACAGATTAAGATATGTCAAGTATGATTATCCTGATATCCCTGCAAACAATTTTCCACTTGGACCAAAGTAAGAACATTTTATCTGATATAAAGTATTCCACATTTTAAAAATAATTGAGTTAGAAGATTTTGGCATCTTGAAGAGGAATTGATAACAGAGAAAAGGAAGAAAAAAAAAACAATTGTGTCAGGGAGATGTTAGTCTTTTAAATTCTGAAGCTAAACAAAGCCCATTTAAAACTGACTTGGTTCATATCCTGGGGTCCGTAAACCCACACTGATAGCACTAAGTCAGGCGTCTAGCCAAGCTACTCTTAAAGTATGTCACCTCCTATTTAGCTATTCCTAATATTACCGTTGCTTTGGATCTGTGAAGCTGAATTGTTCTTTACTTAAAATGGTTTTGGAACCGTAAGAAATCTTTAGACTTAGAGAGAGATTTTCATGATTATCTCCTTTGGCTCCATTAGAGGCATCAGAGTCCGTTAAAAATTTTCCAGAGAAACTTAAATCCTTTGAGAAACCTGAAATTCCTATAGTTTAAGGAGTAAACCCAGTTAGATTTGGACGCCTGAGAGTGGAAATTCCTGTGCCCAATGCCTGCGCTGTCCTTCCACATGGTCAAGGATCTTGTCAGATTAAGTCCTCTTCAATCCCAAAAACCACAACAATAGTAGAGTCAATAATGCTTTGAATGTTGCCTAAATTAAAACTGTCATGCTTTCTCAAAGGATTTGGTCCCTCCAAGGCAATTAGGTTATCAGTTTTCTGATTTTTTTTTTTTTTTTTTTTTTTGGCCAACTTGGTTTTTTGCTTCCTCTCCAATTAGTTAGTATCCAGGCATTTCTAAAGGACATGGTGAACCTCATGTGACACCTCCCTTCCATTGTTAACTCTGACTCTTCATTCACATCTCAGCTCAAAAAAGTCTCTCCCTAAGAGAAATCTTCTCTTGCCTCCCTAATCAAATTGAATTCTTCATATTTTATGCTCTCAGAGTGTCATGTGTCTGTGTTTTATACCTTTTTTCATGATTATCATTTTACACTTATTGCGTGTGATGATTTGGGCACTATCTCCCTCTGCCACTAGATTGTAAAGTCTCATGAGAGTGGACCCATAGATGCTGAAATTCACCATTGAATGTTGCTCCTAGCACAGTGGCTGGCCCATAGCAGGTCCTCAATAAATATTACCTAACCGGTTAAATGAATTCTTTTATAAATAAAATACTTCTGTAATCCTATTTCACACTGTACTCAGAATATAACAGTGAATACAGAACTGATCAGCTCATGGGCGGGCCCATCTACAGATATGAATTTTGAAAATAATTTTACTGCAGTTATGTAGAAATACACCAAAGAAGTCTTAAGCCAGCACATGTTTGGCACTGCAGGGATGAAATTCGGTTGCTTTCTGAAGTGGCCTCACTGCAGCCTCTGAATAGATTGAGGCAAACTGCTCCTCAGCTACACTGAACCCATAGGGATAGAGCCCGTCTGCCTTTGTCCCTGACTTTAGAACTCAGCACCATGTTTTCCTGACATCTTTGCATTTAAAAAAAATGTACAGTTATTGAAGGGGTTGTTGCTGTTCATCTATTTTTAAAAGACGTTCATTTGCTATTAATGAAAAAACATACATTACCACATTTTAAAAATAGAGTACATATATAACACAATGTTAAATAATTATGTTTTTAAACCTTCATCTAAACATGTGTTTGCAATTATTATTAATAAGAGGAATAAAAAAGAAAATCAAGCCTCAATCCTCTGGTCATATTAACAACCAGATTTTTGAAAGGCAAGACGAACTGTGAGGACTTTATGAAGAGAAGCCATAAGTCCCTTCAGTTGTCACTACCATTATTTTATTTTGTCAAAGAGAGTAATTGAAATAGTTTGGGAGTAGAATAAATCTTTCCATATTTGATCTAACTAGAACTGTAAGCCATACAACCTGGCATAGTTTGGATTTGAATTTCTAAGACTCAGATATTAGAAAGTAAAGAGGAAAGACACAAATGGCATTGCCCACATACTTTATAAAAGCCTGTGATGTTGTTAAGCCTGATTTGGACCGGGCATAAATGTTTCACGAGGAGTCTTTAGAACTCAGCTGCTTATTAGCTAAGTGACCTTGGGTAAGACTCATGGCCTCAACTATAGAATGGAGATATCTTACTTGCATGGCTCTTTTGAGAATGAATGAGATATTTGTACTGTGCCTGATACAGGACAGGGTAAGGCAAATGACAGGGTCTTAGTGGTATTCATCCCTGCTGCCCTTCATGCAACCGTCCTCTTCCACACACACACACACACACACACACACACACACACACACACACAGTAAGTTTGTATCTGTTTGCTGATTCTCTCCTCTTTTTTAAGCTGGAGTACTAGCTAGAAAAGGAAGTATTTTCATTATTACTCAGCAAATATTTTTTGAGGGCCTACAATTGACCAAGCACTGTTCTCACTGCTTGGAATACATTAATTAACCCAATATACAAATCGCCCACCCTTACGCAGCATACGTTCTAACGAACCATGTGGAACATGGAGATCATTTATAAAATGTTTCCTGCTACCATTACCTCTTGGTTGTAGTTTTTGTCATTTGAGTGCATCATAATTATTAACATAGGAGTTATTCTTGAATTAAGGCCCTAAAACATCAATAATTCAGGATCTTCTCATCTCTCTTACTTTCTCCCCATCATTCCCTACCCTGCTCCCTATTCTCTCTCATTCTCTTTCTTTTACCCTTCTTTCTATTTGTATATCTGAACTTTGAAAACATCTTTACCCATGCTACCTTTTTTTCTTTCTTAGCTTGATTTAAATTCCAGTTGAATTCAGTCCCCTTCACGGGGTATGTTTTAGGCCCCTCAGGGATGAAGGGAGGGTTATTTCATGGTGATTGGCCTCATAATGGATTTTGCCATCGGTAGGTGCTTGGTTGAATTACACATCTCTCTTTCTTGTTAGATTGTTGGCTGCGATCACCAGCTGGGAAGCACCGTCAAGGAAGATAACTGTGGGGTCTGCAACGGAGATGGGTCCACCTGCCGGCTGGTCCGAGGGCAGTATAAATCCCAGCTCTCCGCAACCAAATGTAAGACACACAGAGATGGGCGACCTTTGGACTTGTTGACTTATCCTCTCCTGGCTTAGGTCTGGCCCCACTAAACAGCCAGGGAACAACACCTCCACCAAAACGATAATGAACCTGAAAATGTAGAAGGCTTCATGCTCTGGCATGTGAATTAGCTTAGGTGGGACAAGTCAGGTTACCAGCTGCAGTCCCAAAGAGGAAGCCTGTCCTTCTGAGGCACATCAGGAGTGAACCAGACATGGGGCTACAAATACTTTCTGTACAAACATGAGCTTTGCTGTCCAACATGAGGACAGACTGTATCCCAGCTCCTGCGTGATGTGTAGTGTGCTATGCCTGGTGGAAGATAACGAGGAAAGTGGGAAGATAGCACAAATTCACTCCTGTCACTGTGAAGTCACATGGCCTTCATTTACAAGGTGGTCTTTGGTCAGTACTAAAACAAGTCCTTTCAGAATTAATGTAGGGCAGTGATTACGTGACGTTTTGGATTTTTGGTTTTTGAGTTTTGGTGTTTTGTTTTTGTTTGTTTTTGTTTGTTTTTGACTGAGTCTCTCATTCTGTTGCCTAGGCTAGAGTGCAATGGGGCAATCTCAGCTCACTGCAACCTCCGCTTCCCGGGTTCAAGTGATTCTCTTGCCTCAACCTTGCAAGTAGCTGTGATTACAGATGCATGCCACCACACCCAGCTAATTTTTGTATTTTTAGTAGAGACAGGGTTTCACCATGTTGGCCGGGCTGGTCTTGAACTCCTGACCTCAAGTGATCCACCCGCCTCAGCCCCCCAAAGTGAGGGATTACAGGCATGAGCCACTGTGCCCAGCCTATATGAAGCTTTTTATTGACCTTTGTGTCCTGGTATCTCAATACTAGCAAAAAAAAAAAAAAGTGTACTTATTAGACATGTACTTGCTGAGAATTTCACACAATCGTCCCATGTAATTGTTATAACAACCTCATGAGCAAAGTACTATTAATCCCCATGTTATGGATGAGATAACTGAAGCTTAGCCAGATTATGGGACTTGCACAGAGTCACACAGTTGTAATGGAGCCAAGATTTGAGCTCAGAGTCTGATTCCAGAGCCTAAGCACTTACTTGTTTCTCTGGACTGGTCACAGCCCCGCTGATAGTCTCTGTGGTGGGACATTTGCAAAGCAGATAGATGGATCAAGGGAAGGTGCCTCAGATGTCTACCCAGTCAGGTCCTGCTAGGATAGATGGTACAAGTTCTCATGGTACCTACGCCAAAAATTGAGTCATTAATCTGAGGCATTTTATGATACACAGTCTGACAATCACTATTCTAGGCACTGCAGCAGATACAGATAGAAATAAGACAGCCCTTGTATTAAGGACATGCATTTTTAGAATTATTTTGACATTGCTTGGCATATTGTCTCCAGATTTTGCTACTATGCAGAATCCTTCAATAGATCCCTGACTGAGTATTTCTTTCCATATGTCTCTCTGGTTTGGGAAATGAGAATGAATATCTTTACTGAATGTGTTTTGTTATCTTTACTTGCTGACTAGCTGGAGGAAAACAATTGACATATGGAGAGTTTGTTGCTTTAAATGGACTTATAGGTCAAGGAAGAAAGGCAGATGCAGTTATTCTGGTATGCAGTGGAGGAATATTCTCAGAAGTCCTGAAAAGGCAGCTTGCCAAAGGATTAGCCTCGAGGTAAAAAGAGGAGGCAGAAACAAAGAATGGGGACTTACAAACACATGAAAAATTGGAGATACCAGTTTAGGGAACTCTGTACATTCTAACTCCCTTGGAAACAGTGGAAAATGTAATTCTGCAAAAAAAATAAAATAAATTTAAAAGATTCTGGCATATAGAATAAAGAATGAGGTAACTTAGACATTGATATAACACATTCAGGTGAGATTTTTCTTTGGTCATGTGGGTTGGTAGCTTCTTCCATAAGATGAAAAATTTCTAAAGTTAGAAGATGGAAACCAGAAATGGATAGAGGCATAATTCTCTTGTAAATCATGGTTGGATGTTAGAAAAGAGTTACATTTAAAAGATCACTCTTAAGAACTCTTCATGGAATGCTAAAAGAATTAAAATCCTCTAATTATTTCTGGCATGTAACTGAATCAGTGTTCATTATCTAGGAATCTAGGAATTACTGTTAGGTACAAAAGGAAATGTCATGCATGTGTGCAGTGATGGCTGTATAGTGTCCTGGGAGCATGTTTTTAATGGTAAAGGTGCTTCTTTATTCTCATGCCCATACCTTCTTGTTCTCATAGAGGATCTAGACTACTGTGCTCAGATAGACATTCCTCTTACCCTACTGTTAGGGAGGGATGGGTGACCTCTAGGGCCTGAATCACAAAACAAAGATGGAGAAGCTCCTAAGGAAGAAACTGAAGCAAATTGAGAGCCCTATATCATCTCCAAGTCTGCAAATAAATACCTCAATGAAAAGTGCCCTATTCAAGACCGACAGTAGGTAAATTATATAATACACAACCTGATGATTATACATACTGACAAAATGGAATTGATTCGTTTACCTTAGCACTGATGATGTCTCATGACAAAATGATTGATATCAATAAAGCCCACCATATGCATGCACCTCACCACAATCTATAGCAGATGCTGAACAAACTGCCTCACTTATGTTTCTCTACTCTGGAAGAATCTTCCATCTTATATTTACAGACTGTGAGGCGACCCACTGGCAGGGAACATGAGGCTGCTCTGCAGGGCCCAGTGGAGAAGCCAGGTGAGCAGTTCTCCACACCTGGAGGAGTCCTGCCAGATCTCTCCCCTGTCTTCTGCCAAAAGGCACTGTCAGCTCGCCACATGCTCTCTTCAAACTTCTGGCACTCAGATTCCCCACATTGAACTCACTTTCTTTCTGAACTTATATCCAAGTTTTTTTTTTTTTTCCCTTATGTTATCAAGCCTCAGAGGAACAAAGCAAAAACAGGAAAGTGGAGAAAAACCATGGTAGAATGTGCCAGAAGGATAAAGAGAAGTAGGAGAAGTTTATCAAATGGCTGCCATTTGCTGGTGATTTTTAAAAAATCATCTTTTTATTAAAAGACATTACAATTGCCTAATACAAATACAGACAATGGAAATAGAGCAAGATCAAAGTACTCTTTCTCCTTTCTTAAAGGAAAAGACTACCCACTGGTAGCACTCAGCCTTTTCATTTTTTCTAGTTACTTCTCAACTCCCCCAACCCAATAAAAATAGTCAAATATAGCTGACATTACCTTGCTTTTGATTCTTAAAATTTAAAAGTTCATTTCTCACAAGATTTATTGACTTATACTATGTTCTATATTTTCCAAGTATACTCAGAATATTCTTAGGGCTAGAGCCAGCCTATTTGCTATCAATTTGATATTTCCAGCTTTGCAGAACTCTCGTCTGTATCTGTATGTTTTGAAATCACCTGGAGATCCTAAAGCTCTCTCTCTACCTTTCTTGCATGGTGAGGTCACTTAACTCACTTATATCAAGATAAAATTAAGCTTTTAATACTTAAAAATGTGCTTCTCAGACTGTGGCTTATGCTGACGTATAATGGCTATGGGTAAACATATTCTTGGACTATCATTCTAGCTCAAAGATTTTGAGGTAAAGTACGCTTATAATAAAACACAGGCCTCTATGTTATAAAGTACAAAATACATATGGATTTTTTAAAGAAAGCACAAAACACTAAAGAAATTTCCACCTGCCCCTGGCTGCTTTGGGCTATCCTCACAAGCCACTCAAGGATATATTCATTCAACAGCACATATTTAATGGGCACCTGCTATATGCTGAGGAACTGTTCTAGGTGCTGGAAACAGCACAGAACAAAACAGACAAAATCCATTTATCTTCCTAGGAGCCATGGAAAAAACAAACCAGAGCAGGAGAACAGGAAATGGGTATAGGCTGCCAGCCACAGGTGATGCAGGGGAGCTGCAATTTTCAGTAAATTAATAAAGAAAGGACTCACTGATAACATGGCATTTAAACAAGGATCTAAGGGAAGTGAAAAGGGGTCACCATGCAGAAGTCAGGGAGAAGAAAATTCTAGGAAAAGAGAAAAGCAAGTGCAGACGTCCTGTGGTATTTGCATTCGGGATATATTTCATGAAGAACAAAGAAGCCAGTGTGACTAAAATGAGGTGAGTTTCAAAAAGGCTAGAGAAAATGATATGAGGCTGGGGGAAGAATGGCACAGATATTGTGGGGTTTTTTGTAAGTCTGAATGAAATGGGAAGTTGTTGGAGGATTTTGAACAGAGGAATAACTTGATCAGATTTCTGCTATACTGAGAATAGACTGTAGTTGGAAAGATATTACACTAAGCCAGGCCACAGATGACAATGGCTTGGACTGTACCAGTAGCTGTGGAAATGATGAGAAGTGATCCAATCATAGATATACTGCACCTGTATTTATTTTCTTTCTTTCTTTCTTTCTTTCTTACTTTCTTTTTCTTTCTTTCTTTCTTTCTTTCTTTCTGTCTTTCTTCCTTCCTTCCTTCCTTCCTTCCTTTCTTTCTTTTCTTTTTTTCTTTTTCTTTCTTTCTTTCCTTTCTTTCTTTCTTTTCTTTTCTTTTTCTTTCTTTCTTCTTTTTTTCTTTTATTGAAACAGGGTCTCACTCTGTCACTGAGGCTTCAGTGCAGTGGCACTATCACAGCTCAGCTCATTGCAGCCTTGACCTCCTGGACTCAGGTGATCCTCCCACTTCAGCCTCCCCAAGTAGCTGGGATTACAGGTGCACACCATCATGCCTGAGTAATTTTTGTATTTTTAGTAGAGATGGGGTTTTGCCATGTTGGCCAGGCTGGTCTCAAATTCCTGGCCTCAAGTGATCTGCCCACCTCAACCTCCCAAAGTGTTGGGATTACAGGTGTGAGCCACGGCACCTGGCCACCATTTTAAATTTTAGCCATTCTTATCAGTGAGTAGTGGTATTTCATACTTGTTTTTATTTGCATTTTCCTAATGGCTAATAATGTTAACATCTTTTCATGTTGTATTATCTTGCAATTGCTGCTGTAACTAATTACCACAGACTAAGTGATTTAAAGCAACACAAATTTATTATTTTATGGTTCTGGGGGCGTCAGAAAACTGAAATAGGTTTCACTGGGCTAAAAACAAGGTGTTTGCAGAACACAGCTCTGGAAGCATTGAGGGAGTATTTCTCTTTCTTCAATTTTGATTTTCCTGCTCCTGGAGCCTATGCACATTCTTTGGCATCTTCAAAGTCAGTAGCTTAGCATCTTCAGATCTCTCTCTGACTCAAGCTTCCTCTTCTGCCTGCCTCTTCCATATTAAAGAATGTTTGTGATTACATTGAGTCCACTCAGATCATCCAGGATAATCACTTAATTTTAAGGTGACCTGATTAGCAATCTTAATTCCATTAGCAACCTTAATTCCCCCTTGCCACATAATATTACACATTCACAGATTTAAGGACATATTTGGCAGGGGAGAGGGATACATTAGTCTACTTACCACAGTGTGCTTTGTTCATCTTTTGCATAGTGTCAGTTCAAGTCTGTTGCTCATTTTTAAAAAATGTGTTGCTTGACTTTCTCTTGTTGAGTTTTGGGAGTTCTTTATATATACTAGGTACAAGTCCTTTGTGGGATATTTGAATTGGAAATATTTTCTCCATCATAGCTTTTTTATTCAAAATTGCTTAATGTTATCTTTCACAGAGCAAAAGCTTTTCATTTGGATGAAGACCACGCTATCATTTTTTTTCTTTTACGGCTCATGCTTTTAATGTCATGTCTAAGAACTTCTTGCCTAAGACCAGGACACAAAGATTTTCTCCGTGTTTTCTTGCAGAAATACATTTCACCTTTAGATCAGTGACCTATTTTCAGTTATTTTTTGTATAAGGTGTAAGTTTGATAGGTAGCTTGAATTTTTTTTCGTATAGACGCCCAATTCTTCCAGTACCATTTGTTGAAAAAGACAGCCTTTTCTCTTTTGAATTGTCTTTAAACCTTGTCAAAAATCTATTGCCGTTTCTCTGAGGGTCTGTTTCTGGACTCTATTCTGCTATGTGTCTGTCCCTTCATCAATACTCCATTTTTTTTATTACCGTGGCTTTAAGGTAAATCTTAAAATGTGGTAGTGTGATTTCTCCAACTTTGTTCTTGTTTTCAAATTCATTTTGGCTATTCTATTCTGGGTCTTTGTCTTTCCATATAAATTTTACTATCTGCTTGTCCATATCTACAAAAAGTCTTGCTGGGATTTTTTTGTGTTAATTCTACAGATTGATTTGGAGGGGGTAGGAATTGACATCTTTAGCATGTTAAGTCACTCAATCTATAAGGTATGAGAATTTTATGTCTCTGTTTACTTAGGTCTTATTTTATCTCTTTGATTAGCCTTTATTAGCTTTCAGCATGAAGATCGCATATACTTTATATGATTTACATCTGTTGTATTTTTTGTAACTATTGCAAATGGCATTATATTCTCTTTTTTAAAATTAGAGATGAGGTTTCACTATGTTGCCCAGACTGAAGTGCAGTGGCTATTCACAGATGTAATCATAGCACACTACAGACCCACATTCCTTAGCTCAAGTGATCTACCTGCCTCAGCCTCCCAAGTAGCTGGGACTACAGGAGTTACTGCGCTTGGCTTGGCATTGTATTCTTTATTTCCATGTCCAATTATATATTCCTAGTTCACAGAAACATGATTGATTTTTGTGTGTTAGCCGTGTATTATGTAAACTTGATACACTCACTCAATACCTCTGAGTTTTTTGGTAGATGACTGGGATTTTCTCAATAAACAATCATGTTGTTTACAAGTAAGAGTGGTTTTGCCTCTTTTCAATTTGTAAGCCACTTTTTTTTTTGTAGTCTTATTGTACTGGCTACGCATGCAATACAATAGTGAATAGGAATGATGACAATGGAGGTCCTTATCTTATTCCTAATCTTAAGAGGAAAGCATTCAGTTTCTCACCATTGAGTATGATGTTAGCTGTAGGTTTTTATAAATGCCCTTTATCAGATTGAGGAAGTTCCCTTCCTTTCCTGGTTTGCTGAGAGTTAATAACATGAAGGGATGATGAATTTTATTAAATTCTCTTTTACCTCAACTGACAAAGTCCTGTGGTTTTTCTTCTTTAGATTGTTATTGTGATGAATTACATTAATTGGTTTTTAAATAACCAACTCTGCATTTCTGGGATAAAGTGTACTTGGTCATGGTGTATTATTCTTTATATAGATTTCTAGTTTGATTCGGCAGTATTTTGTTGAGGCTTTTTATCTGTGTTCATGAGAGATACTGGTCTGTCGTATTCTTTTTTGTATTGTCTTTGTTTGGTGTTAGTATTAGCACAAAATGGCCTCAAACGATGAGTAGAGAAGTAATTGCTTGTCTTCTTTTTTTCTGGAAGAGATTGTATGGAATTGAATATATTTATTCTTTAAATGGCTGCTACCATGCCCCAGTGAAATTTTCTGGATCTGGAGATTTATTTTTCAGTATGTAACCTTATGAACTTATGGAACACCATTATAGTAACTATTTTAATATCCATTCTGTGTTTGGATTGATTGATTTTTCACTTTAATATGTGCTGTTTTTTTTGTTTGTTTGTTTCTTTGCGTGCCTCATTATTTTTTGACTTGATGCCAGACATTACAAATTTTACTTTCTTGGGTACTAGATATTTTTGTATTTCTATAAATATCCTTGAGCTGTGTTCTGGGAGCAGTTAAGTTACTGAAATCAGTTTGAACCTTTGGGGTCTTAAAATGTGGTAGACAGGACCAAAGCCATGTTTGGTCTAGAGCTAATTGTACCCTTTTACTGAGGCGGGACCTTTCTGAGTAGACTACTTAATGTTCCATGACTTACAAAGTTTGTCACTTTGGCTGATGGGATAAGATACTATTCTCAGCCCTGTATGAGCACCGTGTACTCTTCTCTATAATTCTTTTGTGTAGTTCTTTCCCCAGGCCGGGTAATTTCCTCACACTTATGTATTGATTAGTATGCTGCTGGCTACTTTAAGGAAACCCTCTTGGGTGTCCAGAGTTGTCCTTCTGTATAGCTCTCTCCTTTCTGTTACTTTGTCCCAGAAATTCTAACTGTTTTTGTCTCCTTGGACTCTTGGCTTTGTCTACTCAATTCAGGGAATCTACTGAGCTCTACAGGTCTTCATACTTCCAAAGCTGTAGCCTAGGAACTCTATCAAGGCAGTAAGCTGGGGCAATGTTGGGCCTTATCTGATGTGTTTCCTGAGTATACAGAATTGCTGCCCTTTTTTGCCTGATGTCCAATATCTTAAAAACCATGGTTTCATCTGACTTTTTGATTGTTTTAGACAGAATATTAAATCTGGTTCCTGTTAGTTCATCTTTGTCAGAAGCAGAAGTCTTGGTGCTGGGCTTTCAATTCAGCTCTGCAATTACATAGAGCTAGCCAACTTTTGACTCCTTCTACGACAATGCAGTTAAGCACCTGTAATTCTGATTCCTCATCTCCCTACAACCTCCACAGCCATTTGGTTCCTAGAGGTTGAATGTGTTCCAATATTGTCTTATAATTTTCTCCCAAGCGGCTGACACTCATTTTGTGAGTTTGATACTGGCTGTTTTGATGTTAGCACCTGTGTAGGCAACGGTATCTATGTCAGGATTATCGCCTGAGTGAGAGGGAATATAAGATACTACTGATTGTGAGATGTATTCTGATTTCATATATGTTAAAGCATGAAAAGTTGTCCCTCTTGGAATCAATGAAATAGGGTATTTTGACAACAGAACTTTTTAACTGATTACATATAAAGATGAAGTAGAGGATGGCTCCAAGTTTTCTGGCCTAGGCAAATGGAAGGATGAAGTTCTCCAGATGGGAATGAGGAGGGCATCTTGTTTGGCCTGTCCAGTATATATCTTCTATTGTGCAATTACAGATAAACCAGGGAGAAAATTGAAAGCCTCAGATGCTCAACTTCTTATTTTGTTGGATATATTTTAAGAGTAATAAAACCGTCACGAAGATGTAAAACATACCATTTAAACCTCCTCAAGATTGGCAGACTATTTTTATACATAGTCAATTGTATTTTAAAATGACTCTCTCATTTTTAAAAATAAAATAAAATAAAGTGTCAGCTCCATAGGCATAGAGGGAAGAGTCTTTAAAAACATGAACTCATCAACGGATCTAAAAATAAGATAAACTCAGATATCAGAATAGGAAATTCTGTCTTTCAAAATATTATCCTCATCACCTTTCTCTGACACAGCTGTGAATCACGCAGAACATCCACATATGACAAGATTTTAAAATGAATATAAAATATTCTATATAGAAAGTTGTGTGATATACATATAGATAGATATTTTTTAAAGAATACTTTTAGGTACAGTCCTTGGGAAGAATTTTCTTGAGAAAAGACATTTGCAACCCATATCTGTGAAATGACAGAATTTATGATTCCCATGGAAATTTTGTTCATTGAATGGAGAAATGGGTTATCTGGTATCTGAAGCAGATCATTTAGAATTGTTGATTAATAAGCTAGAAATATGTCCTGAAGACTGGCATCATGGTTCAGTCAACAAAGCCAGAATAGATTAGGGCAGATGCACTCAATCGTAAAACAGTGTGCCTTTGTAGGAAAGGGCACCCAGAGGAATGTGCAGCACGGTGGGAGAGGATGTGGCCCCTGCCTCGCCAGCTATACTAATGGCATTAATCACCAAGGAGGCAGGTGTTGCCACCAGATTGCTCTCACATCCTAAGAGATCTTAAACACCACTCTGTGCACAATATTGTAATAGATGCCAAGTAGAAGCATCTTCCAATCCATCCCAAATCATTGAGGATTTATCAGAAAGTGAGACAATTATTAATACATAAACAACTCAAAAGTGGCTTTTTATGAACATGCAGAAAATGAAATTTTTAATTGTTTTCCCTATTTTGTTTTTTGTTAAATTAAGAGTACTGTTCCTTAAAGTATGTCCTAAGATATATCAGCTGATTTTAACAGATGACACATAAGAAAAAGTTTTTATGGATAAACATCTTAGGTATACACGGGGTTAAATAGAGTGAAATGGGTTTCTTTGGTGCAGTGCTCCTAAAAAAATGAATGAATATGCTTTGGGAATTTCATCTGTGGGGTGTAGTATTTTGTATTTCCCCCATATTTTATCTTAGATCCCTTTTTCAGGACCATCTCGTGGGGCTAGTGCTTTGTTTATCTTCTTTGTCACTGAATCCCTAGTACCTAGCATGGAGCCTGACACTAAAAGACACTCAAAAAATACTTGTGGAATAAAGTAATGAATTTGCAGATCGTTTAATGTCTGGCCAGGGGTCCATCAGCCCTTTTCAGAATAATATATAAGAGAAGGCTGTGGCTCTTCCTACTTCTGTGCCATGTGCTGCCAACTGCTAGAGTTTGTACCAGCCTGACTTGCTTCATTTCTCTTTGACTAGGTGAGTGCAAGGGGCATCAGGAAATACTATTTCACCTGGTCTACTTTCTCCATATACCCTCTTCCTCAACAACTTTCTAGGAGGTTCTTCTCCTCTCTTTTTTGGGGGTGCATGCTAATGTTACCACACCCTGTCTTCTTTAGGGAACATACAGATATTACAGCATCAGCCAAGAGCTAGGGTATTAATGTTCCAGTTTATGGAATGTGAGTCACTTCCCAGCAGAGCAAGAGGGAGGCTGCATGAGCTGTGTGTGGGTCAGAAGACTGCTGCTGAGCATGGCAGGGCCAAACAGAAAGCTTTCCTTTTACTTGCACTTTATTTGAACTGTGGGTAAACAAAGACTTTCTATTTCTAGAAAGTCCCATTGTTTTAACTGCTTTGAGTTTCTTTTGCAAACTTAAAAAGTCATGTCTTTATGCAAGGCGTTTAAAGCTCTGTAGGCCCAGTCTCGGCCGGGTGTGGTGGCTCACTCCAGTAATCCCAGCATTTTGGGAGGCCGAGGTGGGTGGATCACAAGGTCAGGAGTTCAAGACCTGCCTGGCCAAGATGGTGAAACCCCGTCTCTACTAAAAATACAAAAATTAGCCGGGCTGCAGTGGCAGAAGTCTGTAATCCCAGCTACTTGAGGCTGAGGCAGGAGAATCACTTGAACCCAGGGGGCGGAGGTTGCAGTGAGTCAAGATCACAATCATGCTACTGCACTCTAGCCTGGGTAACAAAGTGAGACTCCATCTCAAAAAACAAACAAACCAAAGAAGCTCTGTAGGCCTAATCTTAACTTTTTTTTTTTTTTTTTTGGTTCCTTTTCTATATTCCCCTTACACTTTTTTCTGTTGTTGTTCTTATATACCACAAATTCTTAGCTCTCTGAAATTCAACAATGTATGACATTAAAAACAGCTATAAGATTTTGTCATGAGTGGAATATTCAACTTTGTAGAGAACTCGATAATGTAACCTCTCCAGGGAAGGAATTGGGAGCATATGATTCTTTTTTCTCATTCAACAGATAATGTGCTAGGGGCCTTGGAGAGTTGAAACACTATTTAAAAAAAAAATAGTTTTTCAATCCCTGTCCTTTAAGAGATTTGGGGTAGAGAGAGGAAAATAATGTTTACAGAATACTTACTGTGTTCCAGGCTATACATCCCTATATCTAGATTCATGTCTATATTTATATCTAGTCACGACAATAGTATAAGGCAAGTTTTGTTTTCCCTGTTTTACAAATGAGGAAACTGAAGATCAGAGAAGTCAGGTAACTTCTGAGATTCACTAATTTAAACTAAATTCTCCTAAAGATAGGATGATAATATTAAGGTTCAGAGAAATTGAGTAACAATTGGGATTATCTTATTTAACCTAAATCCTTCCAATGATAGGATAATTATGTACACTGTTAAAAAAAAATATGTCTGAACAGGCCAGGTGCAGTGGCTTACCCATGCAATCCCAGCACTTTGGGAGGCCGAGGCAGGTGGATCTCTTCAGTTCAGGAGTTCAAGACAAGCGTGGGCAACATGGCAAAACCACATCTCTACAAAATTACAAAAACCATCTGGGCGTAGTGGTGTGCACCTGCAGTCCCAGCTACTTGGGGTGCTGAAGTAGGAGGATCTCTTGAGCCCGGGAAGCTAAGGCTGCAGTGAGCTGTGATCACACTGTGATAGCGAGACCCTATCTCAAAATAATAATAAGGGCTGAGTGCAGTGGCTCACGCCTGTAATCCCAGCACTTTGGGAGGCTGAGGTGAGCGGATCATGAGGTCAGGAGTTCGAGACCAGTCTGGCCAATATAGTGAAACCCCATCTCAACTAAAAATACAAAAATTAGTCAGGCGTGATGGTGGGCGCCTATAATCCCAGCTACTTGGGAGGCTGAGGCAGAAGAATTGCTTGAACCCAGGAAACAGAGGTTGCAGTTGAGCCAAGATCACACCACTGCACTCCAGCCTGGGTGACAGAGCGAGATTCCTCAAAAAAAAAAAAAGAATATGTAAATATATATATATATATTTATATATATAAATATGTATGTAAATATATATTTAATATATATATATTAAATAAAAAAGATAAGTATGAACAAAGAATCACACAGGGCTTCTGAATATGCTGGTAAATATTTTAAAACCTGCCTTTCTCTTGTCTTCTGAAGTGCCTTTCTATCCATTTGATCTTGGACTATGCATTGTACTTCCCAGAAATTTCATTTGTTCATCAGAAAATCCTCTGTGCCAATGTCAGAAGTTTTGGGTGAGGGAGTAAATAGTATAATTTAGGTGAAATTTAACCTCTGCAGTACCATAAAAATATAAGATACTGTCATTACAAATGGAGTTCTGAATAAGAATGCCTGTGATGGTATTTGAGATGCATGTAATATAGCTCTAATTTTTAAAAATGTCTGTGTCTAATGAATTTAAGCTCAATTTATAAATAGAGTGAAAAGAAATCTATTATAAAGTGATCTGTGGTTCAGTCAATTTCTAAAAAAAAATTTTAAAATAGAGTATAGTGTAGAGAAATGTTAAGAAACACTTATGGGGTGCTCACTACATATAGTATTAGGAATAGATATTGTGAAGGATATTTAAGAACTAGAAGGCATGATTTCTGCCCCTGGGGTGTTCAGCGCATACCAATATATCTTCCACTTCTCTTACCTGTTCTACTCATCCAAGATACTCTGCTGGAGAGAAGTCCAGATTTTGATGTAATAAATTCATCCTTTAAACATTATAATGTATTTTTATGTTTTAATTCAGCCCAAGTGTTTTTGATCATATAAGACCAGATTTTAAAATCGAAAATGAAAACTTGCAAACCAATTTTTCAGTATATCAAAATTCCTATTTTTTAAAAGGCCAAATCCTCTAGGAGTTAACTAGTGACTAGCATCTTTGGCATATTTTATTTTGAGCAAAGTGAAAATGTTGATTTCTAAATATTGGCCTTCACATTTCAAACACTTAAAAAAACTGTAGTTTTTAAGGTATGGAAGTCAGTGCCTTTATTTAGAAGGCAATCAATAATTTTGTGTCAAGTGACATGCTTTTAAGATTTTGCTTTGTTTCTCTCTAGCGGATGATACTGTGGTTGCAATTCCCTATGGAAGTAGACATATTCGCCTTGTCTTAAAAGGTCCTGATCACTTATGTAAGTAACTCCATTGTTTTCCTTTGGGAATTGGGAATTGTAGTCATTATTATTTATTTTGTCTTCCCAGAAAAGATTAAAACACAAGAATACAAATCTTTCTACTCTATCATAATATGATATTTTGAGTACCTCTGTTTATCTTTTAGCTGCCTGATGAGATGGCAGAAACCCCTGTAGTAATTATCTTTAACCACAGTCATCCTGAAAAATACAAAATAGATGCTCCCAATGGGTTGTTCATGGGTTAAGCACATGTTTATGCTCTTGCGAGTGTTATATCTCATTCTCTTTCTTCTTCCTTTCCAATCTCAATCTTTTTTTGCCTTGCCTCTCCTTTTTTCTTCTTTCTTCTAACCCACTTCTCTTTTCTTCCTTTATTCTCTTTTTCTACCTACTTTCATGTTTCATTACTTCCATCAATCCAGAGGAACATAGAAACACCAAACAACCTTAACACTGTAGAATTTAAAGAAAACCATCATGGTGTAATTAAGCATCCCATGTTTTAAAGAAAATTCAGGGACCTCATATCTTAAAGATAGCTACTGGGATTCAGGATTGAATGGTAATCATAACCCCAAAGATCAAATGGCAGCATGGCTCCTCCAGGGTTTGTGCAAAAATTGATCTTCAATCATGCCAAGGCAGCAGTACAGAGCCACCTATTTCTTATTATTTAGTGTTGTTTAGATACAGACCTGTAAATTACAAGAAGAAAATTATAGGCTATAAACAAAGAAGAGGATGGGAGGGGATATGGTAGCATTTTCTGTAAAATTCAGTTTCACTGAAAGGCTTCACTTCAGTTGGTTCCTTGAGCATTTCTGATTTCCTCCACTGTGATTGTTCCTGGGTTTCCACAAAGCCATCTATCGTCTGTCCTTTCTCCCCTCCCACACAAATGCCTGTGAAACCAATTTAGATAGCAAGTAGTATTTTTTAGTAGTTGGATTATGAATGAAATCACGCTAAAAAGGCAAACAAGAGGAAGACAAATTGAAGCCCATAAAAGTCAAGATAGCCTACAGTAGTCTTTCTAGATATAAAAATAAATACATGTCATGGAAGAGGTGGGATTTGAAAGGCCTTGTGAAGTAAAAGAATAAGTAAGGTACAGTTCAGGCAAAACCAGAAAATGATGATTAAGTCACCTTCTATGGATTCAAGTTTGTTTCTAATCCTGAACAACCCTGTAAAATACAGTGTTCACATGTCAAAAGATAATGTATGTGTGTGTATTATTACCACTCAAATGATTCATTTTTCCCCATTTGAGAACTGGAGAGGGCTAACTGTCCACTAACTCTCCACTCAACTAACTCTCCACTCAAAAATAGTACTTTTGTGAGCAGTAACAGATACTGAAATAAAATATTCAGGCCAAGAACATCACCAAGTGGGGGACTGACTCTTCATTGCGGAAGAAAGAACCCATAGGAGTAGATTTAAGAGGGAAATTTATTTTTATAAATGTATTAGTCTCATAGATTTCATAATTATGTGATCACAAAGAAGCTGAAGAATTGGCCTTGTGTGATTTAATTATCCTAAAGATTTGATGAAAAGCAAACTGGAACCTGCTTTTTTCTCCCAACAAACATACTATTGGTAGCATATGTATAGCTAAATCATTTTTCCTTGTGTGTTCTTTTTTTGTATTTGAAATATAATTCAGCAAAATGAATGTGGGAGTGAAAGATACCCTGTTTCTCTTTTGCTCTTCACTCCCAGAAGCTGGTACAGTGTGAAACCAACCTTAAATATTTTGGACCAAACCAGAATAAGATGAGGCAATCTAGTCTGCCCCCTTGGCTCATCTTTAATTAGAGGTACCTTGAGAAGGACAGCTGTAAGCCTCTTGATAAAATGGAATCAGATGCTCAGATCAGGCCTACAACTGCAAGATTTTCCCAAAACTAAGTTAATTGATGTCCTAGAAATATTTCTACAAGTGCCTGTGAGGCAGTTTGAGGAATGAAGGCTGGAGGAAGGAGATTTAGTGCAGTTGCTTTCCCCTGATGACAACAACGTGATTTCCTCCCTGCAATATTCCTTTAATGTGCCCTGTATTTTTCGGTGGGATCCCCTCTGTTCTGGGGCAAGGGAGTGAAGCCTGGCCTACTCCAGAAGAAAGTCTCCACAGACTTCATTTGAGAATCACTGGGCATTTAATTGAACACCAAGGTTTTCCACTTGTTGATATTCTTTGCAATAGAGAACTACAAGTAGACCCCCTCTACAATAATGTAATACAAGTACTTTAGGTACTTGAGTGCCTCCAGAGACCTTAAAATTGTTTTAACCCAGAGCCCCATCCAAGCACTCCATTTTTCTGCTGAGGAATCTCTGCCAAAACCAAACGTTCTTGTCAAGTTTTGGAACCCATTAGCCTTAGTCCATCCATCTTTCTTCGTGCAACATAACAGACAGTTGTTCTAAATCACCCCTCAGTCACATGAGAACTTAGTCTTCTCTGAATCACACAACATAATTACCATCATCCCCAGCATGCTCTGATTTTCTACAACAAAACATGCTTCATAGGCTTTGTCATTGGCCAAATCTGGATTTGAATGCTCCAGAAATCAAGGTTTTTTTTCTATCTCAAGCAGTTATGAAATACCTTATATATGCATAAAGCTGAACTAAGTATCAAAATGGATTTTAAAAAGAAAATACTGAAAATGATAGTTCTTGTTCTTACATCACTATCGTTTCTTCATTTTGAGCAATAGCATCAGTGCAGTAAGTAACCAGAAAGTATAAATAAACACAGGCTAATGCACGAATATAAAGTCATACGGGTACTGAGGCAACTCAGAGATACACCCTGGATCTTGTAGAGCAAAAAGAAAACTGGAGGGTATCCTAGGCTGAGGGCCATCAAGATTGAAGTCAAAAAGAGACATATGAGAATTGGTTTAGTCAAAGGAATAGGGTTGCAGTAAAGCGGGATGCCCAAATAACATCATCTGGAGAGTCAAAGATTTTTTTGACAGGAACCCTTGAATGCCTGGCTAATGACTTTTGAAATAATTTCAACTCCAGCATAAATTCCTATGTGACTCAGCAGTGCCTGTATAGTTTGTTGATATCACAATTTCAATTTTGTCAGCTATATAAAGAATGATGTGTCTCCCTTACCTAGCTCTAAACATTGTTGCATGAAATGTGCTTGCCTGTGGTTGCCCTAGGAACATCTTTCTCTCATCTTCACGTGTTTGATCATATAGATCTGGAAACCAAAACCCTCCAGGGGACTAAAGGTGAAAACAGTCTCAGCTCCACAGGAACTTTCCTTGTGGACAATTCTAGTGTGGACTTCCAGAAATTTCCAGACAAAGAGATACTGAGAATGGCTGGACCACTCACAGCAGATTTCATTGTCAAGGTGAGCCCTATTTAGATACCTCCTTTTCAAGCCACATCCCAAATGATGTTACTTATAATTTCCTGAGCAGAGAGCGATTTTTGGTTCTGACATATGTTTGGAAAGCCCGTTTGTTACCCAGGAAATGTTTAATCTGAGGGTGTTGAGCTAGCTGCATCCTGGACCTTATGAGGACATATGATATTTCAAGGTCATAGAAAATCTTTATTATATAATTAATACAATCTTTATTATGTAATTAATAAAATAACCCCACCTAAGAGGCCAATGTATCATAAGTTGGTGGCTATAGATTGTTTTTAAAATAGTTTGGATACAGTCATTGACTTATATAGGCTATCCTCAGTAAAAGAGAAAAACAAACTAATTATCCATCATCTTGGTCAACTGATCATTCTTCCAATGGCAAGCTCTGTTTTCTTTTGTGCTGGCAAGAAAACTAAGTTGTTTCCTTCTATCAGAGCTTCCCTAGTCTTCAAGGTAATATAAAACACATTGCTGGAAGCAACATGCACATTCTGCTGGAAAAGTGCACACACTAGAAGAACTTTTGGGAATCACAATAAAATAAAACATATTTTTTCCTTCAGTAGGTCAGGAGCACCTGAAGGATTTCAGCTGTAAAGCTGTAAAACTTGTAATGTGTCCAGGACTCCATAAATTTTTCATCATGGGACCTGGAGCCAGAGGACATTTGATTTAAGCTAAAGCTTGATGACCCCATGGCAGCTGGAAGTAAGAATGCATATAGGAAAATGCAATAGGCAGTAAGGTTAGAGGGAGAAAGGTTCCAGAATACTGTCCTCCGTCTCCATCTGCATGGTAGTTCTTTTTAATCCAGTCCAGACGCCAGCCACATGAACGTGAGCAAGAAGCTACAAGCCATCCGAGGTAGCTCACAATAGAAATGATGCTGTAGGTAGTTAAATGATTTCTGTTAAGCAAGAAAATCCAGTAAAGAAGTGAAAGATGTCTTTATTCTTTGAAGCCCTTGGAGTACCATTAAATAGACCAAGTATACTATAGTAATTTCCCTAGTGGCCTTGTGAGAGTTAATACACATACTGAAATTATATAACTGGATTCAAGCAATATTGCTTACATTGGAACAGCTCACAGCATTGTCAAATGTGTTACATCTATCCAGTTGCCTTCTGCACATCACTGCTTGAATAACCCATAGGCACAACAAGCCCGACATGCGTAAGTTTAACTTGAGCCCCAGAAACCTGCTTTATCATCTTTATTTTTTTAATCTTATAAATGAAGACACTGTCTGCCCAGGCAAATCAGAAACCTTTGATTCACCCTGATTTTCCCTTCTATATGCCACCGGTCAGACTTCATCCAAACTATCTCTCAACATTGGTTTTTCTCCTCCATCCTTGCTGCCACTGCGTTAGCGCAGGCCTTTACTTTTTCTCATCTGAACTAGTACCATGGACCCTGAGCTAGTTTACCAGCCTCTGATTTCATTGCCTATGTTACCTTCAGAGTGCGTTTCCTAAAATCCCTTTCCTAATCCTTCATAACCCCTCACCTTCACTCATTGCCTCTAGGTTAGAAGACAAATCCATAGCCACAGTATCTGCTACTCTGGTTTAGCTGGATTGTGCCCACCTTTCCAATCTCACCTTTGACTTTTCCCCTTCTGTTTCAGACCTGAATGCCGGGCAGGTCCCCCAGCACCTTACACTCTCATAACTCATTACCTTTGCAGGATGCTGTGCCCTCTACCTGGAATGCTCTTATCTTGTCTTCTTCCATTCTCTTCACTACCTCTTATTTCTTCTTCAAGATCTCCTCCTTCCAGGAGTATTCTTTGACTCTACCCCAAATTTCTGTCTGTATCTCCCCACCTCTGTGTTCCTTGAGAGAAGAAACTGAATTGTATTTGTCTTCATATCTCCATAAGAAGAACCTAATAAGCACTAACAACTGCTGGATAAATAAAGAATTTTTGCCACACAACAATTGTTTAAATAGAGCAGATGCTGACATCTCTATTATACCCACAAGGAAACTTAGCTTCAGGAAAGTTGAGTGACTTGCCTGAGTTCACACTGATGGGAAGCCAGCACTGAAAATCACATCTCTTTACTTCTGGTCCAGAACGCTTTTAATATTTTGTGTTGCTTCTAAGAGTATATATCTTTTTCTTCAGTGTTTCTTTAGAAAACACTGGGAATCAAATAAATGTAAAGTTATTCTAAGATAGATTATGTAATTCTTAAATTAGTTTGCTTAAACTTTAAAAGGAGCCAGATTATTGAAGTACGTACAGAAAAAAAGAAGAAAATTATCTTTTTTCTAGTACTTCGTAATGAAACAACTTTCTCTTCCCTAATTTTCCTCAGAGAAATAGCTGAAAACAAGATATTACTATTATTTATCAGTTTTCATGACTTAGCTTTTATAATTATATATATCATATGAATTAAGCTTTCAGTAGCATTCAAAGTATAGTCTCTTTTGCATTATATATATAATACATATGTATAGTTGATTAATCAAATTCTCTTTATAGATTTAAATGGCCATGTACCTAAGTCTCAAACCAACCTCACCTTGACAAACGTCATTAGAAACACCAAAATCCATCTTCACAATCAGCAAAATAGCATCATCCTTGAGATGGGGTCATTACCCTGGTGATCTGGTGGTATGAAGTCAGGTGATTCAGAAAGTGGAATAAACCAAACATACAGCAGAAAGCCATCAGTGTGGTGCTTACACAGAGGCCATGACTATCTGGGTCTTCACAGAGAGCTATCCAACAGCTATCTGAAGATTTTTTTTTCTTCAAGGCATGGCAGGATTTTATTTTTGAGATGTGGACATTGTCTTAAAACAGTGTAATTGAAACAAGTTCTCTTTTAATTTTTATTAATTAATTTTTAATTAATGAGTAAAAACTAGATTCATCATATACAACATGTTTTCAAATATGTATACTTTGGGGAACAGCTGAACTGAGCTAATTAACATATGTGTTACTTCACATATTTATCAATTTTTTGTGTTGAGAACACTTAAAATCTATCTCTTGGCAACTTTCACAAATACAATACATTGTTATTAACTGCAGCCACCGTGTTGTAGGTAGATCTCCTGAACTTATTTCTCCTAACGAAATTTTGTATCTTTTGACCAACATTTCCCCCACAGTTCACTTCCACCCCAACCCCCTGGTAGCCAATATTCTACTCTGTGTTTCTATTAGGTCAATTGTTTTAGATTTGACACAGAAGTATTATTAATATCACGCAGTATTTGTCTTTCTGGGCCTAGCTTATTTCATTTAACATAATGTTCTCCAGGTTCATCCACATTGTCACAATGACGGGATTTTCTTCTTTTTTCAAAGCTGAATAGTATTCCATTGTGCATACATATTACATTTTGTTTATCTGTCTGTTGATGAACACCTAGGTTGATTTCACATCTTGGCTGTTGTGACTAGTGCTGCAGTGAACACGAGAGTGTAGATATCTCTTCAACATACTGATTTCATTTCCTTCGAGTATATACCCAGGAGTGAGATTGCTGGATCATATGGTAGTTCTGTTTTTCAAATTTTTTTAGAAATGTTTATACTGTTTTCTACAATGGCTGAATCAATTTACATTCCCACCCATAGTATCAAAGGGTTCCCTTTTCTCTACATCCGTGCCAATACTTACCTTTTGTCTTTTTGATAACAGCAATTCTATAAGGTGTAAGGTGATATTATAGTACTGAATGCCTTTCCCTGATGATTAATGATGTTGAGCATTTTTAAATATGCCTGTTGGCCATTTGTATGTCTTCTCTTGAGAAAAGTCTATTCAGATCCTTTGTTTATTTTTCAGTCAGATTGTTTTCTTGCTATTGAGTTGTTTGAGTTTCTTGTATATTTTGGGTATTAGCCCCTTATCAGAAGTGTGATTTGCAATTTTTTTTCCATTCTGTAGGTTGTCTCTTCACTCTGTTGATTGTTTCCTTCACTGTGCAGAAGCTTTTTAGTTTAATGTAATCCCATTTATCTATTTTTGCTTTTGTTGCCTGTACTTTTGGGTCATATTCAAAAAATTGCCCAGACCAATTGCAGATTGTCACCTATGTTTTCTTCTAGTAATTTTATAGTTTCAGGTCTTACACTTAAGTCTTTAATCCATTTTAAGTTGATTTTTGTGTATAGTGTGAGATACGGGTCTGATTTTATTCTTCCACATATGGAAGTTTTTCCAAACACTACTGTCCTTTTCGCAGCAACTTTGTCAGAAAATCAATTGGCCTTAAATTTCTGAATTAACATCTGGGCTGTCTTCTCTTTCATTGGTCTATGTGTCTGTTTTTAGACTGGTACCATGTTGTTTTGATTACTATAGCTTTTCAGTAGATTTTGAAATCAGGTCGTATGATGCCTTTATCTTTTTTCTTTTTTGTTCTAGATTGCTTTGGCTATTTGGGGTATTTTGTGGTTCCATTTGAATTTTAGGGTTTTTTTTTCCATTTCTGTGAAAAATGTCATTGGAATTTTGATGGAGATTCCATTAAATCTGTAGATAGTGTTGGGTAGTACGGACATTTAACAATATAAATTCTTCCAATTCATAACACATGATATCTTTCCATTAATTTGTGTTTTCTTCAATTTTTTCATCAATCTTTTATAGTTTTCAGTGTCTTTCACTTTCTTGATTAAATTTACTCCTAAATATTGGGGGTTTTTGGTAGGTATTATACCTGGGATTGTTTCATTAATTTCTTTTTTGAATGGTTTGATATTAGTGTATAGAAATGCTATTGATGTTTATATGTTGATTTTTTTATCCTGCAACTTTACTGAATTTATTGATTAGTTCTAAAAGTTTTTTGGTGGATGCATTATATATTAATTTAAGCAGTGCATTGCTTTTTGAAAAAGATATTGCAGGAATCAGAATGGCCACTTGTCAGTATCTCCATGGAATTTTATTTTTTTTATTTTTATTTTTTTAATTATTATTATACTTTAAGTTTTAGGGTACATATGCACAATGTGCAGGTTAGTTACATATGTATACATGTGGCATGCTGGTGTGCTGCACCCATTAACTTGTCATTTGGTATTAGGTATATCTCCTAATGCTATCCCTCCCCCCTACCCCCACCCCACAACAGTCCCCAGAGTGTGATGTTCCCCTTCCTGTGTCCATGTGTTCTCATTGTTCAATTCCCATCTATGAGTGAGAACATGCAGTGTTTGGTTTTTTGTCCTTGCGATAGTTTACTGAGAATGATGATTTCCAATTTCATCCATGTCCCTACAAAGGACATGAACTCATCATTTTTTATGGCTGCATAGTATTCCATGGTGTATATGTGCCACATTTTCTTAATCCAGTCTATCATTGTTGGACATTTGGGTTAGTTCCAAGTCTTTGTTATTGTGAATAGTGCCACAATAAACATACGTGTGCATGTGTCTTTATAGCAGCATGATTTATAGTCCTTTGGGTATATACCCAGTAATGGGATGGCTGGGTCAAATGGTATTTCTAGTTCTAGATCCCTGAGGAATCGCCACACTGACTTCCACAATGGTTGCACTAGTTTACAGTCCCACCAACAGTGTAAAAGTGTTTCTATTTCTCCACATCTTCTCCAGCACCTGTTGTTTCCTGACTTTTTAATGATTGCCATTCTACCTGGTGTGAGATGGTAT
Organism: Homo sapiens; assembly: GCF_000001405.40. Taxonomy (NCBI): domain Eukaryota; kingdom Metazoa; phylum Chordata; class Mammalia; order Primates; family Hominidae; genus Homo; species Homo sapiens. Next base: position 18,645,101 of record NC_000009.12, read on the forward strand.
CTCATTGTGGTTTTGATTTGCATTTCTCTGAGGGCCAGTGATGATGAGCATTTTTTCATGTGTCTTTTGGCTGCAAAAATGTCTTCTTTTGAGAAGTGTCTGTTCATGTCCTTCACCCACTTTTTGATGGGGTTGTTTGTTTTATTCTTGTAAATTTGTTTGAGTTCATTGTAGATTCTGGATATTAGCCCTTTGTCAGATGAGTAGATTGTTAAAATTTTCTCCCGTTTTGTAGGTTGCCTGTTCACTCTGATGGTAGTTTCTTTTGCTGTGCAGAAGCTCTTTAGTTTAATTAGATCCCATTTGTCAGTTTTGGCTTTTGTTGCCATTGCTTTTGGTGTTTTAGACATGAAGTCCTTGCCCATGCCTATGTCCTGAATGGTAATGCCTAGGTTTTCCTCTAGGGTTTTTATGGTTTTAGGTCTAACGTTTAAGTCTTTAATCCATCTTGAATTAATTTTTGTATAAGGTGTGAGGAAGGGATCCAGTTTCAGCTTTCTACGTGTGGCTAGCCAGTTTTCCCAGCACCATTTATTAAATAGGGAATCCTTTCCCCATTGCTTGTTTTTCTCAGGTTTGTCAAAGATCAGATAGTTGTAGATATGCAGCATTATTTCTGAGGGCTCTGTTCTGTTCCATTGATCTATATCTCTGTTTTGGTACCAGTACCATGCTGTTTTGGTTACTGTAGCCTTGTAGTATAGTTTGAAGTCAGGTAGTGTGATGCCTCCAGCTTTGTTCTTTTGGCTTAGGATTGACTTGGCGATGTGGGCTCTTTTTTGGTTCCATATGAACTTTAAAGTAGTTTTTTCCAATTCTGTGAAGAAAGTCATTGGTAGCTTGATGGGGATGGCATTGAATCTGTAAATTACCTTGGGCAGTATGGCCATTTTCATGATACTGATTCTTCCTATCCATGAGCATAGAATGTTCTTCCATTTGTTTGTATCCTCTTTTATTTCCTTGAGCAGTGGTTTGTAGTTCTCCTTGAAGAGGTCCTTCACATCCCTTGTAAGTTGGATTCCTAGGTATTTTATTCTTTTTGAAGCAATTGTGAATCGGAGTTCACTCATGATTTGGCTCTCTGTTTGTCTGTTATTGGTGTATAAGAATGCTTGTGATTTTTGTACATTGATTTTGTATCTTGAGACTTTGCTGAAGTTGCTTATCAGCTTAAGGAGATTTTGGGCTGAGACAATGGGGTTTTCTAGATATACAATCATGTCATCTTCAAACAGGGATAATTTGACTTCCTCTTTTCCTAATTGAATACCCTTTATTTCCTTCTCCTGCCTAATTGCCCTGGCCAGAACTTCCAGCACTATGTTGAATAGGAGTGGTGAGAGAGGGCATCCCTGTCTTGTGCCAGTTTTCAAAGGGAATGCTCCCAGTTTTTGCCCATTCAGTATGATATTGGCTGTGGGTTTGTCACAGATAGCTCTTATTATTTTGAGATACGTCCCATCAATACCTAATTTATTGAGACTTTTTAGCATGAAGGGTTGTTGAATTTTGTCAAAGGCCTTTTCTGCATCTATTGAGATAATCATGTGGTTTTTGTCTTTGGTTCTGTTTATATGCTGGATTACATTTATTGATTTGCATATATTGAACCAGCCTTGCATCCCAAGGATGAAGCCCACTTGATCATGGTGGATAACTTTTTGATGTGCTGCTGGATTCGGTTTGCCAGTATTTTATTGAGGATTTTTGCATCAATGTTCATCAAGGATATTGGTCTAAAATTCTCTTTTTTTGTTGTGTCTCTGCCCGGCTTTGGTATCAGGATGATGCAGGCCTCATCAAATGAGTTAGGGAGGATTCCCTCTTTTTCTATTGATTGGAATAGTTTCAGAAGGAATGGTACCAGTTCCTCCTTGTACCTCTGGTAAAATTTGGCTGTGAATCCATCTGGTCCTGGACTCTTTTTGGTTGGTAAGCTATTGATTATTGCCACAATTTCAGATCCTGTTATTGGTCTACTCAGAGATTCAACTTCTTCCTGGTTTAGTCTTGGAGAGTGTATGTGTCGAGGAATTTACCATTTCTTCTAGATTTTCTAGTTTATTTGTGTAGAGGTGCTTGTAGTATCCTCTGATGGTAGTTTGTATTTCTGTGGGATCGGTGGTGATATCCCCTTTATCATTTTTTATTGCATCTATTTGATTCTTCTCTCTTTTTTTCTTTATTAGTCTTCCTAGTGGTCTATCAATTTTGTTGATCCTTTCAAAAAACCAGCTCCTGGATTCATTAATTTTTTGAAGGGTTTTTTTTCCCCCATTTCCTTCAGTTCTGCTCTGATTTTAGTTATTTCTTGCCTTCTGCTAGCTTTTGAATGTGTTTGCTCTTGCTTTTCTAGTTCTTTTAATTGTGATATTAGGGTGTCAATTTTGGATCTTTCCTACTTTCTCTTGTGGGCATTTAGTGCTATGAATTTCCCTCTACACACTGCTTTGAATGTGTCCCAGAGAGTCTGGTATGTTGTGTCTTTGTTCTCGTTGGTTTCAAAGAACATCTTTATTTCTGCCTTCATTTCGTTATGTACCCAGTAGTCATTCAGGAGCAGGTTGTTCAGTTTCCATGTAGTTGAGTGGTTTTGAGTGAGATTCTTAATCCTGAGTTCTAGTTTGATTGCACTGTGGTCTGAGAGACAGTTTGTTATAATTTCTGTTCTTTTACATTTGCTGTGGAGAGCTTTACTTCCAAGTATGTGGTCAATTTTGGAATAGGTGTGGTGTGGTGCTGAAAAAAATGTACATTCTGTTGATTTGGGGTGGAGAGTTCTGTAGATGTCTATTAGGTCCGCTTGGTGCAGAGCTGAGTTCAATTCCTGGGTATCCTTTTTGACTTTCTGTCTTGTTGATCCGTCTAATGTTGACAGTGGGGTGTTAAAGTCTCCCATTATTATTGTGTGGGAGTCTAAGTCTCTTTGTAGGTCACTCAGGACTTGCTTTATGAATCTGGGTGCTCCTGTATTGGGTGCATATATATTTAGGATAGTTAGCTCTTCTTGTTGAATTGATCCCTTTACCATTATGTAATGGCCTTCTTTGTCTCTTTTGATCTTTGTTGGTTTAAAGTCTGTTTTGTCAGAGACTAGGATTGCCAACCCTGCCTTTTTTTGTTTTCCATTTGCTTGGTAGATCTTCCTCCATCCTTTTATTTTGAGCCTATGCGTGTCTCTGCATGTGAGATGGGTTTCCTGAATACAGCACACTGATGGGTCTTGACTCTTTATCCAATTTGCCAGTCTGTGTCTTTTAATTGGCGCATTTAGTCCATTTACATTTAAAGTTAATATTGTTATGTATGACTTTGATCCTGTCATTATGATGTTAGCTGGTAATTTTCCTCATTAGTTGATGCAGTTTCTTCCTAGTCTTGATGGTCTTTACATTTTGGCATGATTTTGCAGCGGCTGGTACCGGTTGTTCCTTTCCATGTTTAGCACTTCCTTCAGGAGCTCTTTTAGGGCAGGCCTGGTGGTGACAAAATCTCTCAGCATTTGCTTGTCTATAAAGTATTTTATTTCTCCTTCACTGATGAAGCTTAGTTTGGCTGGATATGAAATTCTGGGTTGAAAATTCTTTTCTTTAAGAATGTTGAATATTGGTCCCCACTGTCTTCTGGCTTGTAGAGTTTCTGCCGAGAGATCCGCTGTTAGTCTGATGGGCTTCCCTTTGTGGGTAACCCGACCTTTCTCTCTGGCTGCCCTTAACATTTTTTCCTTCATTTCAACTTTGGTGAATCTGACAATTATGTGTCTTGGAGTTGCTCTTCTCGAGGAGTACCTTTGTGGTGTTCTCTGTATTTCCTGAATCTGAATGTTGGCCTGCCTTGCTAGATTGGGGAAGTTCTCCTGGATAATATCCTGCAGAGTGTTTTCCAACTTGGTTCCATTCTCCCCATCACTTTCAGGTACACCAATCAGACGCAGATTTGGTCTTTTCACATAGTCCCATATTTCTTGGAGGCTTTGTTCGTTTCTTTTTATTCTTTTTTCTCTAAACTTCCTTTCTCGCTTCATTTCATTCATTTCATCTTCCCTGACTGATAACCTTTCTTCCAGTTGATTGCATCAGCTCCTGAGGCTTCTGCATTCTCCACGTAGTTCTCGCGCCTTGGCTTTCAGCTCCATCAGCTCCTTTAAGCACTTCTCTGTATTGGTTATTCTAGTTATACATTTGTCTAAATTTTTTTCAAAGTTTTCAACTTCTTTGCCTTTGGTTTGAATTTCCTCCTGTAGCTCGGAGTGGTTTGATCGTCTGAAGCCTTCTTCTCTCAACTCGTCAAAGTCATTCTCTGTCCAGCTTTGTTCCGTTGCTGGTGAGGAGCTGCATTCCTTTGGATGAGGAGAGGTGCTCTGATTTTTAGAGTTTCCAGTTTTTCTGCTCTGTTTTCTCCCCATCTTTGTGGTTTTATCTACTTTTGGTCTTTGATGATGGTGATGTACAGATGGGTTTTTGGTGTGGATGTCCTTTCTGTTTGTTAGTTTTCCTTCTAACAGACAGGACCCTCAGCTGCAGGTCTGTTGGAGTTTGCTAGATTTCCACTCCAGACCCTGTTTGCCTGGGTATCAGCAGCGGTGTCTACAGAACTGCAGATTTTCATGAACCTCAAATGCTGCTGTCTGATCGTTCCTCTGGAAGTTTTGTCTCAGAGGAGTACCCCGCCGTGTGAGGTGTCAGTCTGCCCCTACTGGGGGGTGCCTCCCAGTTAGGCTTCTTGGGGGTCAGGGGTCAGGGACCTACTTGAGGAGGCAGTCTGCCCGTTCTCAGATCTCCAGCTGCGTGCTGGGAGAACCACTGCTCTCTTCAAAGCTGTCAGACAGGGACATTTAAGTCTGCAGACGTTACTGCTGTCTTTTTGTTTGTCTGTGCCCTGCCATCAGAGGTGGAGCCTACAGAGGCAGGCAGGCCTCCTTGAGCTGTGGTGGGCTCCACCCAGTTCGAGCTTCCAGGCTGCTTTGTTTACCTAAGCAAGCCTGGGCAATGGCGGGTGCCCATCCCCAAGCCTCGCTGCCGCCTTGCAGTTTGATCTCTGACTGCTTTGCTAGCAATCAGTGAGACTCCGTGGGCGTGGGACCCTCTGAGCCATGTGCGGGATATAATCTCCTGGTGTGCCGTTTCCTAAGCCCATCGGAAAAGTGCAGTGTTTGGGTGGGAGTGACCCGATTTTCCAGGTGCCGTCTGTCACCCCTTTCCTTGGCCAGGAAAGGGAACTCCCTGACCCCTTGCACTTCCTGAGTGAGGCAATGCCTCGCCCTGCTTCGGCTCGTGCACAGCGCGCTGCACCCACTGACCTGCACCCACTGTCTGGCACTCCCTAGTGAGATGAACCCAGTACCTCAGATGGAAATGCAGAAATCACCCGTCTTCTGCGTAGCTCACGGTGGGAGTTGTAGACAGGAGCTGTTCCTATTCGGCCATCTTGGCTCCTCCCTCCTCCATGGAATTTTATTGCCAAAATATCATTTTTGTTTCTTTAAAAGGAGAAGACTTTTTAGTGCAAAAGGAAGATTTTGTGACAGTGAGCAATTGTTATATATTGCCCTTAGTTCTAAAATAATGTTTTGGAATATCCTTCTCTTGCCACCTTTAAAACTAGACTGAATTCTCATCTTGCTTCCTAGAGCAGCGTTTCTTCTAAAAATTTTAAACTTGTTCCGTTGGCTCTACATACATTTTTGTCAATGCCAGTTTAGTGTGGTAGAATAGATAATCTGCTGCTTACTGGGTGTGTGACCTTAAGAATATTGCTTTGCCTCATCAAACCTGTTTACTCTTTTATGGAATGGTAATAAAATACTCCCTACTCTTGAAGGAGCCTTTTTGAGGGATTAAATGAGATAATGTATATAAAAGTGGATAGATCCAAATTACTTACTTTCCATCTTTTTGAAACACTTAAACTTTCAGTCAAACCAATCACTATACTCTATCTAAACAACAGCAGGAAGCTGCTTTGCTGAAGATGGTGAGAGGCTGCCGCATTTACCAGTGGTATACCCAGGAACAATGTGGCAGATGTGGCCATTCAGATAAATGGCTATGAGAGCAGACTGGGGGTGACATCTGTCAGTACATTAATTATTAGAGATGATCTGGCCATCATCTGGATAACTGGCTGACTTAGTATCCCCTCCCTCCCTTACCATGCCATGTGCATCTTTTCTGAAGCTGCAGACCCAAGGAAAGAGAATGACTTTCCCAGGTAGAAGAGTCCTCCTTAGTCATAGGTCCATTCTTCATTAGAACCTCCAACTCAGCTCTACCTGTTAAAGCAGCTAAGATATTTTGGTACATATTCTGGTTTTGCTCACTTGAAAGATCTATGCAGAAAGCCGGATTAGACAGAGAGGAAGGTGATCGATGAATATCTAAGCTACCAAAGTAGCAGAAACACACAGCAGAAGAGAAAATAATAGCAAACTCAGAGCTAAGAGCACTAACTCATAATTCATGCACTGATAACAAGAGAACACTTATTTCCTGCAGAGGACAATTTTTAAAAGGTATTGCATATCTATAGTTGGAAAATTTGGTTAGGAAGAGTGGCATCATTCCAATTGTTACCAAAATTGCATCTTGGAGAATTCTAAGGGAACAGAAACTTTGCGATTTCTGCTTGCATCAGTTAGAGTATTAGGCAAAGATGATGCCTTCATATTTTGTTCTAGATAGCCTTGAACATAACCTTGCACACAATTTAGGATACAAAACTTGCTTTTATTATAAGAGGTAACAATACAAGGAGTCTGGAGAGAAATCCCATGTCCAAAATAATGGGAATTTATTAAGTTTATAAAATTATATATATATATATTTCCTTCATTTAGCAGATGATTGATACATGAGGCAGATTGACCATCCTATATAGTATCTTCCCTCTCCTAGCTTATAATGTCATTTGGAAGATAAAAGACTAGATAGACAGTTTTGAAATAGTGATACATATCATTGAATACTAAAGAAAGAAAGACACATAGTGAAAGCTATAGATATGCACTACAAGCTAATATGCTTAAGAAAGCCTTTGTGGTGGGTGGATCACTTGAAGTCAGGAGTTCAAGACCAGCCTGGCCAAGATGGTGAAACCCCATCTCTACTAAAACTACAAAAATTGGCTGGGCGTGGTGGCAGGCATCTGTGATCCCAGCTACTCGGGAGGCTGAGGCAGGAAAATCGCTTGAATCCAGGAGGCGGAGGTTACAAAGATTGCACCATTGTACTCCAGCTTGGGTGACAAGAACAAAACTCCATCTCAAAAAAAAAAAAAAAAAAGGAAAAAAAAAGAAAGCCTTTGTGATACTGGGCAGCCTGTAAATCTTGGGTAGGATTGAAATACAATTAGTCCTCTACTTACAATAACCAACAACAAATTTTTTACTTTATTTTGGTGAAACAGCAATATGCATTCAGTAGAAAATTTATTTCAAGTACCCATACAACCATTCTTTTTTTCACTTTTAGCACAGTACTTAATAAATTATATGAAATATTCAGCACTTTATTATAAAACATGCTTTGTGTTAGATGATTTTGCCCAATTGTAGCCCAGCACATTTAAGGTAGGTGTGGGGAAGCTGGGATGTTTGGTAAGTGAGGTGTGTTAAATGCATTTTCAACTTACAATATTTTCAACTTAAGATGGGTTTATCAGGATATAACCCCATTGTAAGTTGAGGAGCATCTGTAACCAATTCCTTTATCCGCTGGAGGCTGAGGTTTGGCCAATGTGTAATCCCAGATTGGTTTCACCCTGACACCCAGCCTGTTTCTAGACAGTCTCCCCATTTCAGTCAACCCATGCTTATAAAAGGGAAAACCATTGTCCTAAGCCATGTGTTCTTGAGAGGAAAAGTTTAAATCAACTGTAGGAAAGAGAAGAAGTGAATAGTAAGTACTGGTTCATTTTCCTACCCAACTTTTAGAGGTAGTGACTCTGCCAATATGCCCCTTTTGCTGATAGATGCCAAGCGTTTAGAACTGAGCTAATCAGAATATACTGCATTTCTTGTTAGATTTCACACATTATTTTGCCCATCACACAGCTAGGTTTAGGATGCAGAGACAGAGAACTGGTTCCTCATCTTTCTTTCACTCTTGAGAGTTGCAGATCCCTGCCCAATCCTGCCTCGCTCCCCACCACCACAATATTAAGTTCAGCTCTGGTCATTGGTTTCCTGTCCTCCTCCTCCATCTGACCACTGGGACAATCCTTCAGGAAGGCTACAGTCTGCTTTGCCACTCAGTATCTCCTTCCTGACAAATCTTTGCCACCTTCTTCGTTCTTTAGACAACATTATACCTGTTGTTTCCAGAGAAGCATCTCTGATCTACTGCCCTACTCAAGGGTTGTGGGCAGCATTAATCATAACCCTGAGCTAGGTAGGTTGGGCACAGTGGCTTATGCCTGGAATGCTGGCACTTTTGGGAGCTGAGGCAGGAGAACTGCTTGAGCTCAGGAGTTTGAGACTAGCCTGGGCAACTTAGTGAGACCCCATTTCTATGAAAAAGAAAAAAAAAAAAAAAAACTCTGAGCTAGGGGCCTATGGGCTGAACTGCACTATTTTCCAATATGGAGGTCTGGAGTTCTAGAAAAACTAGAAAACTCTATAAGAAGTATAGAGGTAAAGTTGGGTACTAACATTTTTTAAAATCATTTTTAATCTGCTAATGCCTAATCTTAGCATTTCCAACTGTTAAAATTATCAGGTATTTCAAACAGTGAGACAACTGAATCTGTTTCATTCCCATAGTAAGTAGCATTTTGGCAAGCCCTCTTCACTATACTGTCCGACCTAAAAAGACAGCCTTCCAAGGAGGGTAGAAAGTGCTCTTGGGGTTGGGTGTGGTGGCTCACGCCTGTAATCCCAACACTTTGGGAGGCCGAGGCGGGTGGATCACCTGAGATCAGGAGTTTGAGACCTGCCTTGCCAACATGGCAAAACCTCGTCTCTACTAAAAATACAAAAAATTAGCTGGGCATGGTGGTGGACACCTATAATACCAGCTACTCAGGAGGTTGAGGCAGGAAAATTGCTTGAACCCAGGAGACAGAGGTTGCAGTGAGCTGAGATCACGCCACTTCGCTCCACCCTGGGTGACAGAGTGAGACTCCATCTCAAAACAAAGTGCTCTTGGATAAACATTGTTTTGTAATAATATTGCTTCCATTTATGAATTTTATCATTTGATGATAAAATCAAGTGATCAGTAACATCTTCAAGGAAACTGGCAGATGTATATAAAAAGATAATGACTCATCTAATAATTTATCACAAACAATAGTTAGAAATTTCAAAAGTACCTGAAAGGTATATAATTCAATTGTGTGTTCATTCATGCATTCGTTTATTCAGCCATTGTTTGGATACCTACTATGTGCCAGACATTGTAGATGATGCTGAAAAATGATGAGCAGGATAAATGTACCTGCCTCCATGGAGTTTTCAGAATGTGAAGGAGAAAGATAAGATCACAATTATTTCAAAATTAGGTATTTATAGATATATAACTGCTATAAGGAAGATTTTATTATTGTTGCATATCTTTTCAAGCCCAAACAAAAGCATTTTAAAATAGTCTTAACAGCAGTTCCTGAGGATACAGTATCTCTGTCAACTACCAGAACAGCCAAAAATTGAGTCTAGTAGACTGACACATTTAATCAACAGATTTACCAGTTTTCCATGTTATTCTCTCCCTAGCAGGCATACTGATGTATGTTCACTGTTTCCAAGCTTTCCAAAGTCATGACATCCCTGTCGCTCTGAGAGCAGTGTGACCAAGTCACATAACACTGTGGATCCCAGCTCAGAGATACACAGTAGTGGTTCACCTGTGGCTTCCTTTTGCCTCCCTGTCCTCATGAGAGCAGCGACTGAACAGCTAAGCCAGGCTGGGGGGACCCCTGACTGCCAGCCCCCTTGCTGGCCCATCTGAGGCACAGCTTCTACATCAGTGAGAGAAAGAAACTTAGGGAAAATCCCAAAGCTCACATATTGCCTTTTGCCAGTGAAAAAGGAAAAGATGCTTTAACAGTGCTTTCTCTGGAAAAGCCTTTGTGTGCTTAATGATGTCTTCATGTGCTTATACTATCTCCTTGATTCCTTGAATTTTACATGGAATTAAAGCTCAACCATAACCCCCCATACACATTTCTATGGCCCTCCAGCTCTGTCATGACAGTGCAGTCAATTGCTATGGAAAATTTTTGTCTTGTCTTTTCAGGTTAGTGTGAGAAATCATTATGTTGAATTAGAAACACTGAAACATTGTGATTATAGAAAGAAGAGCTTGGTTCAAATACTCTTTTTTATTAACATAAGGAGGTCAAAATTACATATACCAGATGTGTTTAGCTCCCTAAACCAAATGTGTCAAACTGAAGCTTTCTAGAACAGAGTTTCTCCAAGTATTATGATGTTATATCCTCCTCACATTGGCTGTAAGAAGCTAAGATTTTTTTCCCTTACTTCCCAGGACTCAGGTTAACATTCCAAAAAGAACATCTGCAAAAACAAACAAAAAAAGTAAAAAACAAAAACAAACAAACAAAAAAACCTCATCTCTTTGAATCTAAACAAATGCTCTGGTCTTTTATTTTTTCATGAATCTTGTGTTTAAATGAAAGTTTTTTTCTTATAACTTTCCAGTGTGATAACCACACACCCCAAGAGAGCTAGAGGCTTTTGTGAGCTTAAAAAAAAAAAAAAAAAAAAAAAAAAAAAAAGAACTTTCCAAGGAATGTGATTAATACTACATCCCTAAGCAAGCAATTAGGTACCCTTGTATCTGACACATAAAAATGAGAAATAGAAATCTATAGGCAGTGCTCTTTTTTTGTGAAAGACACTGCATTGCTTCAGCTGTTTTTCTTTTAAAGTAGGGAATGGTATCACTGTTTATTCTAATTAGAAAATACGTAAATGCTCTACAGGTCAAAATCCCAGGGTATGAGACATTCTGTAGGGTTTCTCTCTTCCTTCTTTCCACCCCTCTCAGACTTTCTGAGAAACATTTCCATATTCCCATCTAAACTCCAAAAACTGATGTAGAGTTTAGCATCCATCACTTTTTCTTGGCCCTGTTTCTTCAATATTCTTATTTTCCCCCTGCATCCGAGATGTTTAATCCACTTGTTAAATTAAGTAGCACAGAAATAGGGCTATTTTTAAAATAATCTGAAGGCCAAATCCATCCATTTATCCTACATTATGGGCAATTAAGAAAATGGTAAGACTTGGCCAGGCACGGTGGCTCACGCCTGTTATCCCAGCACTTTGGGAGGCCGAGGCGGGCAGATCACGAGGTCAGGAGATCGACCATCCTGGCTAACATTCTGAAACCCCGTCTCTACTAAAAATACAAAAAATTAGCCGGGCATGGTGGCAGGCGTCTGTAGTCCCAGCTACTCGGGAGGCTGAGGCAGAAGAATGGTGTGAACCCGGGAGGCGGAGCTGGCAGTGAGCCGGGATGGTGCCACTACACTCCAGCCTGAGCAACAGAGCAAGACTCCATCGCAAAAAAAAAAAAAAAAAGAAAATGTTAAGACTGAAAAACACTTAACAAATACTTAGGGCAAGTGGTTCAGTTGGACTCTGATACTTCTCTAATTGTTGTAATGTAGAGTAAGAAGTAATCCTCTCAATTGTCCTTGGAACCTCCTTATAAAAAGTAGTCCAAACCTTGCCCAACAGTCTAAATGTTGTATCATTCTGTCTTCATGAAATTGTTGACATAAGGTACTTTTTCCTTCTCTTCAGTTTATGTTTTCTCAACCTTGTACTCTTAAGAACCATTAAGGACTTGTCTCACATACCCCCTTTAAAAAAAAAAAGAAATTGCAATTTCCATTAAGTACCAGTTTTATTTAAAAGCAAATAAATTGTTTTTAAGTAAGTAATCGTTTTTATGACATAAATTTGTGTTTTCAGTTTGATTCTTAAACCATCAACATTTGAATTACCTAGTTCGCTGGGCATGGGCCCAGAAGTTTGCCTTTTAGCAAGCATCTAGTTGGTAACTTCGCACACTAAATGGACAAGAAGCCCAATATGTGTCTCTGAATGGGAAGTGTTATTTAATTCTTCAACTCGTCTTTTTTCTTAACCAAAACCAGTATCTTTTATTTTCTGCAGTATATAATTTTCTTAGAACAAATTGTCTATTTCTGAATCTACATTTTAAAATCCACATAATTTTATCTATTATACCAAAGAGGTTGGAAATAAAGGACGGAAAGGGAATACAGGCTTGGAATAAGATGATAGTGAAATCACAAATTGAGATATTGTTCTCCCTTGCTCTGTGGCAACAGAACTCAGAAGATAATGATAGTGAAAGCTTATGCAAGGACCATTCACTGGTAAAATGGTAGGATACATGATACTGCCATTGCCACTTCTCCCGCAGTGCAGTCCCTCACACAGCCTAAAACCATCAGCACTACCATATACTCTTGTTCGAAGCTGCAAGGGACCAGAAAGCACCGCACTGTCACATTACTTCTACTTTCCTGTTGACTCCTGCAGATTCGTAACTCGGGCTCCGCTGACAGTACAGTCCAGTTCATCTTCTATCAACCCATCATCCACCGATGGAGGGAGACGGATTTCTTTCCTTGCTCAGCAACCTGTGGAGGAGGTAATGGTGTTCACTTAGTCTAAAAACTGTTGGCTTCTGTGAGGAAATACTTGGGTATTATAAGAGTAGAGTTACTTCAGCATGGAAGAAATTTTGTGCTGTCTTGGACCAGATCCTTTCTTCTGAACAGAGTGGAATCTCGAGGCCCTCCTGTAAGGCAGATACCTCCGCCAAGATGCCAAAGACATTTTCTGTCTGTAAAGTCCCATTAGAGGAAACAGTCTTTTTTTTTTTTTTTTTTTGAGACAGAGTCTCGCACTGTCGCCCAGGCTGGAGTGCAGTGGCGCCATCTCGGCTCGCTGCAAGCTCCGCCTCCCGAGTTCACGCCATTCTCCTGCCTCAGCCTCCTGAGTAGCTGGGACTGCAGGCGCCCGCCACCACGCCCGGCTAATTTTTTGTATTTTTAGTACGGACGGGGTTTCCCCGTGTTAGCCAGGATAGTCTCGATCTCCTGACCTCGTGATCCGCCCACCTCGGCCTCCCAAAGTGCTGGGATTACAGGCGTGAGCCACCGTGCCCGACCGAGGAAACAGTCTTTACTTCTCTCCTTGATTTTGTAGAAGGCCAGAGCTAGAAATATTCTAATTTGGCAGCAGTTTGGTCCTGAAGCAGGCAGGTCCATTCACTTACATATAAACTACTCATGTGGTTGAAGTAAAGTCATCTATTTAGCAATCAATTAAAGAGTGTTTATCAGGCTTACTTAATTAGAGAAAATAGTTTGCTACCAGGAAAAAAAATCTCTGCATTTTAGACTTAGGCTCAGTTATTTTTCAACTCCACCCCATCATCCATGCATTAAAAGAAATGCCATTCGTTTTATTCATTAAAATGCATCTCTCCTGAAAAGTCACAAAATAAACTCCTGTCTCTGCTCCATCATATTTGTAACACGAACAGCATTTTGTGTTACTAGAAAAGGCTTTTGTGTTACTACAAAAGGTTATTTTTCCTCATTTTCTGCTCATCATAATTATAGTGTTTACATAATAATTGCATTGAATTTCCCAATAATTTATTTAGACATTTCCCTACAGCAAATCATTTAGTTCCTTTAACTTTTATGCTTTTATAATACAATGAATAACTTAATACCTAAGTATTTTTCTCTTTTCAAATTATTTTCTTGGTATAAATACTCAGGAGTGAGATTGTTAGATCAAGGAATTTCAGAATTTTTGTGGCTATTGGCACACATTACCAAATTCTTTCCAGAAGGATAACAATCAGTGTGTGAATATTTTAGATTCATTGCCAACTGAGTCAGTGTTTGTGGATTATTGTTTTTCTAACGTAATGGATATAAAATTATATGTCTATTCTTTTGAAAATTAGCACATCAAATAAATTCTAGCTCTAGTTTCATAGAAGCCAGTTAATTGGCTGACTTTAAATAGCTAATCCACAGAAGTATCACTATATTAATTTGACAAGATATAAAAGGATAGTACCTGAAAATGGAGACAAATGATTACCCATAAATTTTTGGAAAACATTGTATGATGTAATTCATCTTTACCTATGTTGTTTCTATCTACACAATGTAAACAAACTACTGAAAAATGTGGTTCTATGGAGCAATGTTGGATTTTAGCTTAAAAGAAGTCAGTAGAAGTGCCATGAAGTACTTTTACTCAGTTGATAAAAAACTATCAATTCAACACTTTAAGCATTTCAATAGAATGAGTGTTTCTAGTTGTTCCATCTGTCATGGATAGAAAATCATTTAGCTGGCCAGGTGCAGTGGCTCACGCCTGTAATCCCAGCACTTTGGGAAGCCAAGGCAGAAGGATGGCTTGAGGCCAGGAGTTCGAGACCAGTCTGGCCAACATGGTGAAATCCCCTGTCTCTACTAAAAATACAAAAATTAGCTGGGTGTGGTGGCGCGAGCCTGTAATCCCAGCTACTTGGGAGGCTGAGGCATGAGAATTGCTTGAAACCAGGAGGCAGAGGTTGCAGTGAGCCAAGATCATGCCACTGTACTCCAGCCTGGGTGACAGAGCAAGACCCTGTCTCAAAAAAAGAAGAAAGAAAGAAGGAAAATCGCTTTGTTTAAAAATGAACTGTCAATTACTTTGATGTTCCATGGGAATACATTATTTTGATATTTTTACTAATGACTGGCATAGGAAATAGTTTCAAGGAAAGAATCTAAGGTTTGTTTTTTTTAAAAAAAAAAATGAAAACCATGCTTTGTGAGAAATAGCACTTCAGTTATATGCACACATAGAGCTGCTATTAGAGTGTGATGTCAGCAACCTTGATAATCGTTCATTACATAATAGGGACATTGATGTTAGATTTACATGTATCTTACTTCTTTGGGCCTCATTTTCCTCACATGGAAATGAAGAAGTAGAACTATCAGTGGTTTTCAGATGTTTCTGGGTATCAAATCTTGCTTCAAAGGAAACCTTAACTATGAAGCCAGGATAAAAGGAAGACTGTTCTGAGTGAAGATGTGAGGGATGTGGAGACCAGCTGTCCTTCCACTTTATTTTGAAATGTACTGAAGTTACCAGCTTGAAAATTACTGAAGAAATGATCTCTAAGTTCTCTTCTCTGTTTCTGGTTCCAGATTCAACTGGTTGGACATTTTGCTTAGTGTAAAATTTGCTACTCCAAATACCTTATAAAACTTTAGAAAACATGATTATCTGATGATTTTGGTCATTTCCTTCATTTTTGCTCTAACTCTTCATTTTATACACGCTATAATAGCTTCAAAGCAACAGGTTTAGGCTGACAAATTTTGATTTTGAAGAATAATCATCTCAGATTAATAATTTACTGCATTGTTCCTGTATTTTACTACATGATAAATTCTGTCCCTGTGTAGAAATTATTATCTGGAAAATTATAAAATAATTAGCCTGTTATAAAATTAGATGCTTTTAGAGTACAGTGTAATTGAAAAGTAAAAGTGCATTTACTTACTTAAAATGTCATTTTGCTACTTGATTTTTTTATAAAACAAATATTGGATAGAAAAAGTGTTCTTATCCATTGCTTTCGTTACTTTTCATGCTTTTCATCTTTATAGTCAAATTTTAAAAGGCCTTTTTTTTAGGGTCTTTAATGAACAATTAATTTCTGTGGGTGGTCTGAGAACACAGCCTTAAGCCAGGAAATCTGGCTCATAAACCTCCTTCTGATTTCCTAAAATCTTTTGCAAGTCCCTTAATGATTTAAATCTTGCTTCCTAATATGTATTTAGCAATAACCGTGTTCAACCCACCTGCTAGGGATAATGTATTTGGCAGATTGATTAGGGTAAGAATGATATAAAAGGCCTAATTTTTTAAAATTCTCTATGCACATTTATTTTTCACCCCGAGAATCTAAGTCTTGATCACCACCCTACCAGAAATCCACAGGACAATAAAAAGGCAGGTAGGAAAGATAAAACATATGAAAAGAATTAACTATTACTCAACAATACTTTTTTTAAGAGAGGCTTCTTTAAACAGTGACAATTTGTGGGTGGAGGCTAAGAAATATTCGCTAGAGACTTTTTAAAGAGAATGACAGAAGATTTTGAATATAACAAAAATGGAACAGTAACAGGGAGGTGTTTTTACTAATTCTGCAGGGAAACAGGATTCGTGATGTCTACTGTTGGAATCTCAATGGTACATTTACTCAACCCACTCAGGTTGAATTTGGGCAAAAATAATGTTCCCAGGCATCTGGTGGAACCTGATCCTGTGCTGGCCCCCCATGTGCAAGGGGAGCAATGTGGGATTTATTTTGTTTATCTATTTGGGAGTTTATTCTCCCTAGTGCCCCAGGTACTAAGGAGGCAATTTAGCATTCTTGTATAAGATGGTTGGTAAATCCTGATGATCTTTTTTGGACACAGAATTCTGCATTATATTTTTAGATCATATAAAAGAAATAACAAGAACAGTTCTTACCAGAGTCTTATTATCTGGCTGGGCCCTTAAGTAGTTCAAGCCTAATTATATAATGTAATTATTAAGATTTGAGTGGATTACTTGAGAAAAGCACAGTACTTGAGGTCTGCAAAAATTAATGAGCCTTCCAATTATGTGTCTTTTTTCCTGGAAATGACTAAGGCATTGGGGAATAATTTCCATTGATGTGAGCTGGCCAAAATGCATAAAGAAATATATTGCATTGGCATGTACATTTAAACTTGCCTGGATGGTTTGATACTACAGGTTATCAGCTGACATCGGCTGAGTGCTACGATCTGAGGAGCAACCGTGTGGTTGCTGACCAATACTGTCACTATTACCCAGAGAACATCAAACCCAAACCCAAGCTTCAGGAGTGCAACTTGGATCCTTGTCCAGCCAGGTCAGTCAAATTTGCTAGTTCATTTGTCATAAACATAACTCAAGTTCCAAATAGGTTATTTAAATTAAAATGAAACGTTTTAATTAAAAATAAAATGAAATTAAACATCAATAGTGTTGCTGTCCAGTGTTCATTACTAATCACGTGTTATTAGTACCCATACTCCTTGCTCTGGCTGCTATGCGAGGCCATCTCGGAGTCTACAGACTCCCCTTTTATAAAGCAGCAGGTGACATGCTCTTCAGAGTCATTTTCTCTTCTGATTTCCTTTCATTCTGGTTCCTTGTTTCTTTCCTTAACAAGGTCCAGGCCAATGGACCACTCAACGTTCTTAACCAATGTGATGACACAATGTTCTCAGGATTTTTTCCATTTTATCTCTATTCCCGATCAGGGACAAGATCAGAGCAGACCATATTTCAGGGCCACAGCTGATCCCTTCTAGCCTGTCCACACTGATTATATAGAGTCAAAACAAGCCTTAGAACAGTTCTGCTGCCTTTGAACATACTCAGTCTTTGCTAAAGAGAAAGAACTTATTCTCGGTAGTCAGATTCTTAAAAGGTCTTTGAAAGTAGAAGCTTTAAACAGGCACTTGACACTTTCACACATGATTATTTGCTTTTTGGAAACTACAGTTAGCCCTCAGATTATCTGCAGGGTCAAGAATCTGCCTGATGAATGAATTATCTCAAGTGAAGAGTAGTCATGGAAGTGCAGGTCAAGAATCTTTTCATAGGTGTAACGTTTGCCTTTGCAGTCACAATACTTGCTGGTGATTCTCTTTAGTATAGTGTAGCTTACTCATCCTCAACTTATGAGAGAGAATATAAGAAAAATCTTCCCCTAGAAAAGCAATCAGGAATACCAAAAGACAAAGATTCATTTTCAAACTCCTTGGATTTTTGAGAAACATCTCAATGTTATTTTTTAAAATCATACTATACTGATGATGTATGCATAAAAAGAAAGCTTCATCTCATTAAAATATGACTTGGGCAATGTCGATGCAAATCATTCTATTTTGAGGTGATAAGCAATGCAATTTTAGTTTTTGTTTTCTGCTGTCAATTTCTTGAGGTGTATATTCCTCTACTCTTTTATCTTTATATTTATGACTGTTAAGTTCTACATGTGATATGAAATTGCTGTTATTAATTAATTCACAGGAACCATATTCCCTACCTCATAAAAGTGAACTCAGAATAACAGGTTTTCATTAAAAGAACAAAAAGAATAGATATTTTATAATTGTAAAATTTAGGTGAAGTTTAATTTAGCATCATATTACATCAGAAAATTATATATTAAAAATTGGATACGACATAAAAACTGAATAAGGTGTTGAAATTGTGCTTGGATTTCTTTATTTTGGAAATCTTAAGGGTTTGAACTTTTTAGCCAAGACAGTTATAACCCATGCAATTTGATTTCATTTTAAAATTATTCTACTTATATATTTTTATGCATAACTGTAATAGGAAGACCAGTGTGTGAAAGGCACAGTTATCCTAATTCAGACAGGTCAAGTCAGCCCTAGAGAGACCTTGAAAGTCTTTTACACATTTCCATGAAAATTTGTACGTGTATTTCTAGGAGAAATGACAATTTCACTTCCCACAACTTCATAAAGCTTTTTTCCACAAAGAAAAAAAATGTCAATCAAGAGATGGCCATGGAAGAGAGTTATGTGAAATAAAAGCATTTTGTTAACAATTTGAAAGAAATGTTTATAATAATGTTTACTCAATCTTTCTTGCCTCTGATTTTTACCCACTCTTGTCTGTTGGAGAAACTTTTTTGGCCTATTTCTTATTACCCAAAGCAAAAGGCCATTCTGCAGTGAAAGAAGTCTGCCTGTGCAATTTATGCCTTTTCTATGTCCAGTGTTATTTTAAAACATTTATTACAGCACATGAGTAAATGTTGGGACAGTTGGCTATGTAAAAAAGAAAGACACAAAGAAAGATAAGTGAGAAAAGGGAAAAGAAAAAATAGGCAAATGTCAGGAAGCTGCTTTTTTTTATTGAAGAAGTAATTAGACAAAGCTGAGAAAATTAAGACTTAGCAGTAGGAAAGGTCTAAGGGACAGCTGCTTCCGAAAATGTAAGTACGCTACTCTGAGGTTAAGATACTTCAGAAATTGCCATGAAATTCATTGAACTCTTTTGCATACCTGGAATCAAAGCAACCCTTCTGAATTCTAAGAGAAAATGAGAAGTGATGACCTAAGAAAATTAGATAGAATAGACTCCAGAAAATAGATCTGCTCTTCCATCAGACAGTGCAGAATCAAACCCCCAGGAAGCTGTTTTCTCACTCAGATTTAATGGTCTAATAGTAAAATCGAGAGTGAACAATGACATTCAACCAACACTTTTGTGTCCAAATTTAGAAATTCCCAAAAGGGAAAACCAACGTTCTTGGTATAAAGTCACATGTTTTTAATTTCAAAAGAAATTTATTATATCTAGCCACTGAGATATTTATTCATTTTTCCTGAATCACACTAGGATTTTTACCTATTTTAGTATTTAAAAGTAGAGTCCCTTGTAGTAAGAAAAGAGAAGGAAAAAGTAAAAAATAAATTTAAAAAGAAAAGTCCCAGTTAGACAGCCAACTTTATTCCCTATCAAGGCTTGCATGTGTCATTGACAGCAAAAACCGCATTAAACAATTAAGTCTATAACCTTATATTTATTACTTTACCCTTCTGGGCTTCCATTTTCTCACCCACCGAATGGGAAGAGAGGGTCATTTGTTGTTAAATTAATGGTTTTCAAACTGTGCCCACAGAGCCTGTTGTTCCACAGTTTTTTAAATTAAATTTTGTTTTATATATTTTAAAGTATTTTTAAATAATAATTCACAAAAATATATTCAAACATGTTAAGCAACTAATTTTAACTGATTCACACTAAGTTAAATTATAAAAATTATCACAATTTTAAGTGTTGTACTACCGAAGTAAATGCTTTTGCCCTCATCATTAAGTTCCTCAGTTATGTCTAGTTGAAAAAATAACTATCCTAAGATTGCAAGGTAAGCTGTAAAAACAGTTTTCATTACAAAACACTCTCTGTGATAATAAGAATTTTCTCATTACTACATATCTAAAACCAAAACAAAGAAGAAATAAACTAGATATGGCTACCAGTAGCCATAATCCCTGATATCCACTTTTTGTGTTTACCAAAATAGCTTCCCTATTCTCATTATTTTGCTTTATAATAGGTAAACATTATACATTTGAACTAATCAACTAAAATCATAAATATCATCAGTATTTGGTCTATATATTTTGGTCTTTTACACAATATAAAGCCTCCCAATGACCAGGATGTTTCCAGTCACTGCATGTGATTGTGTCCACAGTCCCTTCCAACTTCAAACTCAGTGACTATAAATATCAGTCATTATTTTAGTTTTAGGAAGTTTACAACAGCTTCCTAAATACATGAACAACTTCTAGGAATTGTCTCAAATCAACAGAGAACAGGCAACCAGTGGCATGGAGGGGTCTCAGGAATATCTCACTCTACACATCTGTCTATTTTTTGGTTCTCATTCTCTTTTCCTTTTGTTCCCACCATCTTCTTTCTTTACTTTCCCATCTCATTTTTTGTTCCTCCTCCTTACACTCACTGACAACATCCACTGGATTCCATGGTGGTGGATTAGTTCATCTACTAGTTCTTGAGGCTGAAGAGATTGTTGACATCTCGCCTATACTCTTCAAAATACTTTTTATGTTTTCATGGCTTTTTTGCTGATTCTAAATGCTAACTTAGAAATATTGATAAGTTAAAAGACTGTAATGAAAACAATGAACTCACTAATAATCCCCAATGCCCGCAGATAACCTCTGTTAATGCTTTTGCTATATTTCTTTCCAGTCTTGTCTATAGCTCATAACATAATTGAGATCATACTTTATACAGTAGATACTTGGCATTGAATAATTTGGCATTCTTGGTTCTCATTCTTCTAAAAGCAAGCCTGAATATCCATGACACATAGTAACTCGACATTGTGCTGAGGTAGGAATTTAAGTTCACTGGACTATAAGACCAACAATTGAGCCATGCTGGCTGCCCAGCAGTTTCATCCCAAGAAGGCTTTGTTGCTCTCTGCTGGTGTCATTTACACAGTTATTTTTCTGAAGTGATAAAACACTTTGTTTCCTGGCCAAAAGTGGTAAACTAGGAGCCAAAATTTAATCCTTATAAGGGAAGTGAAGAGAAAGTAAAGTATAAAGATTTAATGACTTTTAGATAAAATTAATAAGGCTTTTCATTAGAGACTCAGAGCTATGACATCACTAAGCCCATCATATGCTCTGTACACAGTGTATTACATGTTCTACTGGTAGTCCCAATGGGCATTCCCAGAAGTCCAGAGACACACCCTCCTGCATGTCAGGGATCTACCACGTTTGTTTTCTGCTTCATACATTTAACACTATGTTCTGTATGCTTTCCCATGTGACTAAGACATTTAGGATCTAGTAAAATGTAAAATCCTCTCTTGTGCCTACCATGGTATAAGCAAAGCTTCTGTCTTACGCCAATGGAAATATTTTTGGAATTTGTGCAATGATGTGTGGCATTTTTACCTCTTGGGTGAAAGGTCAGGTCCATCATGTGGCCAGAAAGCCTCAAAGTATAAGCCTGTGGTTCAGCAACAACTAAAAAGGCATAGCATGAATCCAGCTAATAAACACCTTGATGTTTCAAAGCAGCTTTAGATGTAAAATATACAACATTTAGCCTTACATATCTTAATCTGTGAGATGGTGAGACAGTTAAGGCTGTCTGGAGGAAATTGTGCAAGTTACACTTTGTGAGACAATCAGAGAACCACCTTTGCAGATTTTCTTTTTTTTTTTTTTTTTGGCACAGACCTTTAGTTTTCTCTCCAAGGCAGTAATGAAGGGGGCTTAAATTGGCAAGAGGTGGACAAGTGAAAAAAGATCTCACTCATCACACTATCACGGCCACAATTATTAGCAAACAAATCTGTTTCTAGCTGAAACTGCATCCAGATTCCCCCTTCCCTCAAGGAATTCAGAGCAACAGTCCTAAGCAAATGCCCAAACTTGTATACCCCCAAGCGGCAATTCTTGGCAAGTTTAAGTGAACTTTTTTTTTTTTTTTGTCCAGCTCCATTTAGTTTCACAGTAAATTGCATAAATTGTCTCTGGCCAGGAACCAAAAAAAAAGTCTCAAATTCTAATGCAACTATGAAGAAATACCCTGTATTAGAACAAGTGTTATGTGTAGTAGGCATGTAAAAATACTGATTCTCACACCAACTTGGTGACCAACTAGTCAATGGCAATATAGCCTGATGTTTAGGAGTGGGAGCTTTGGCATAAAACGTCCTGGCTTGAGACCCTGGCTCTGCCACTTACTAGTTGAATGGCCTTTGGCAAATTCCTTATTCCCACTAAGCCTCAGATTTTTCATCCTACGAAGTGAGGATAATAACAATACTTACCTCATAAAGTTGTCATGAGGAATACATGGCATAATACATTTAAAGAGCTTAGCAGAGTACCTGACTCATGATAAGCGCTCAATAAATGTTAGCTGCAGCAGCTATATAATGACTAAGATCACGGTTATGATGATGTTGATGTTAGCTGAGAGAAACTCTTAAGCTCTCCAGAAATCAGCTTTCTCATCCATGAAAGGAAAAGATGGAATTCTAGAATTCTGTATGGGTCTAGAAAGATGGTTCTCTGTTTGTTGTTTTAACAACAGGAACTGTAAGTCCTAGGAAAATATGATCTTGAGAGTAAATCACATTTATCAGATTTTTTTAAATATAATGATCACAAGAAATTAAGATAATTGGCAACTCCTGAAGTCTCAGTTCACAAGTGTCTGATAACCTCTACTTTACCAGCTGTGAGACATTGCCATTTAATTTACATGGGACTTAGGCCAGGTATGTCTCCAAAAAAAAAACTCAGTGTAAGGACAAGAAATGGTTGACTTATTTAGCAATTACTGTATAATGAAATGTTTTCTTAATTATGGAGGTCTTTAGTTTTACTACAGTAAGTAAATGATTTAGAAAAGTAACAACTTCTTACCTTTTGATCAACCTCATTTAAGTAACTGCTTTGTGCAGCTAATAAGTAAACAATAAGAAAAAAATACCCATAAAATCTCATTTCCACATTCATGTATTATTCATAATGAGATAAATGATACAAAGTTAGGGTGCTTCTTAGAATGCATGATCATACCCTTCCCATGCTTATAGATACACCACACATCATCAGACAATCACATAATCAACTATAACTCAATTATCTGGGAAATTCAATTTACTACAAAGCCAGATCATTCCTAATAGTAGTATCACTTCTTATAGTACACTTTAAAGTTTTTTAAAGTGTAATTATTTGTGTAATTCTTTTAATTGGCCTGTGAGTTAATAGAGTAGGTATTATTTCCATCCTTATTTTTAACTTCCGTCTGTCAGTTTGTAGCCAAAAGACTTTACTAGCTAAGTAACTTCTTATCTAGGCCTGAGTTTTGCCCTCTGTAAAATAAATATAATATTCCTGTCAGAGAGTAACTGTGAGAATTAATAAGACAACATATGTAAAGTCCTTAGTGAGGTGCCAAGCAGTCACCAAACATCAGCTATCATGATTGAATTGAGAAACAGACTGGTAAAACAACTTGCCCAATGTCACTTCTGTTTGAAGTTTATAAGGTGCCTTCACATCCATTATCTTATTTAGTTTTACAGTCCCTAGGTTAGCGGGCTGGGGGTTGTCACCTTTATTTTACAGATGAAAAAACTGAAGCTCAGAGAGGTTAAGTGTTAGGGCCACTTGGCAAAAGCAAATTGGGATGTGGATCTAAGTTCTTCCAGTTCTACAGTATCTCTACATAAAGACAGGCATAAAGGCAGGCAACCTGATGCCTGGTGCAGCCTTCATGCCATCAAATCCCACAGTCATCCTTGTTCTGCATAATGCCTTAAGCAACCTATGAGATCTGGTTCCAGCCCAACGTAGAACAGCACAGCCAGCACAGAACCATTAACCATAACAATGCCAAGTCTGGGTGTTTGAATTGACCACATACCCAGGTTAGGCAAGCCTCTTTCATGTAAGTGTAAATACTGACGTTTACTCAAATCAAACAATGGCTAAATCACTCAGTACAGAAAGAAGTAAACAAAGACCAAGGAAATATTAGTCCCACTTATTTAAAAGCAGTTCAGAAATTACATTCATTAATACCAAGAATGTTTAACCCCACAAATGTAGATGTGAGGAAGTATTCAATGATTTGACCCAAATTATTAAAACTCTTCAGTATTTAGTTTATTACAGAAAATGAATTTGTGTCCAAAAAACTGTTTTCAGATCTGCATAAAGCAGACTCCTTTTGATCTGATTTCGGTGGAAGCCCAGATAAATGAATGTTGCTGCTTAGTTTATGGTTTTTTAAAAATGGGACCTAATTATAGAATATTTTCCGATTTATGGGATCCCAACGTGCCTCTGTAAATGTTAGGGAAACTCTCTGTGTTTTAAGAAGTCATGAAGTGTCACAGGAGGTAAATTTTGAGAGAATTATCTTAGTTCAGTGGTTTTCAAGCTGTGGCCCAGTAAGCTCTGAGTTCTACTCTTAGCATACACTAGGAAGGGGCAGGTAAGATAGAGTCCAATAGCATGGGTTTCCAGGCACCTACTCTTACTTCATCTTAAAACTTCTGATCTCATCCAGTACTTAGTTTTTGCGGATGGCCAAACCTTGATGTAAGGTATTCAAGGTTACATAGAAAGAAAGTAGCAGAGAGGAGTACTGACCTTCCAACTCCCAGCCTCTCAGGTGATCCTTTTCCTCATTATGGCCAGATCCTCCATGCTTTGCTACTCACGAAATAGCAAAGTGCTTGTATGTCTTCCAACTTTTTATTACTTCTTTCCTGCACCCTTCTAAACTGTTGCTTAGAAATAGGCTGGTTTCTATTGCCCTGAGGTTGTCTAGAGAAGATGGAGCACCATTTTCTATACAAGAGACCCTTCTACTACACACAATTTTGTTCATTTTTTAAAATATAGTCACCTATTTTGTGAAAGGTTCTGTGCTTGGTGCCATGGCAAAGGCAAAAATGAATCAACTAGAGTCTGGGCCCCCACACTGTCCAGGGCAGGTTGAGTTGTCCAAAGCAGCACGGTATCTGAAAGACACATGAGAAAGAGAGAAGAGAAGATCTTGTTAAAAGCTTTCAGAGTTATATCTGGGAGATAGCCAATGAAAAGATACAGAGGTAACCTAAGCAGGATGGAAGCATAGTCACTAATCTGTCCTTTCTCTGCTCACATCAGCCAATCACCCCCGCTTGCCTGAACAGCCTTCCTAAACTGCCAGACCACTCTCCATATCAGACTGCCCTCTCTCAAAGATGGCAGGGCCAGCAAAAGGCAAGACGTGGGACTGAATATGTGCACAACAGTGGCAGTTTGGGAGTTTCTTTCCTTCCTTTCCTAACTAGCTTTTAAAAACTTGTTTTTGCTTTTTTGTTTTAATTTTGGATGTGGTTGCATTACTTGCCTTTGCATCTGCACACTGATGACATAAGTTCACTCAATGATTATTTACTAATCACCTGTGTGCAGAACACTGTCCTAAGAGATGCAGTAAAGAACCAATATAGCTTCTGCCTCATGGTGATAAACTAAAGAAAAACTTGTGAAATAGTTAGAAGTTAGTACAGTTGGCCCTCAGTATCCATGGGGGATTGGTTCCAGGACCCACCCCACCCCCACCTCCACAGATACCAAAAGCCACAGATGCTCAAATGCCTTCCATATATAAAGTGGTGTAGTATTTGAATGTGACTTATATCCACCCTCTGTGTACTTTAAATCATCTCTAGATTATGTATAATACCTTATAAAATGTAAATGCTATGTAAATAATTGTTATACTATAATGTTTAGGGAATAATGGTGAGAGAAAACATCTGTACATATTCATTACAGACGCAACTATCCATTTTTTTTCTTCAAATATTTTCAGGCTATGGTTGAATCCGTGGACGCAGGACCCATGGATATAAAGGGCCAATAGTACACAGTTAAAAGTGAGGAGAGGAGTTAGTATTAGGGGTGTTAAGAAGAAGGAGAGCGAATTTCTGGCTAGATGTTAAGAGAGAAAATAGGCAAGAATTTAGGAGAAGTAGCATTTGACTAAAAAATTTCACTGGGCATTATGGAACCATGTGAGTCTTCTAAATGGTGAGGTGAAGTATCAGGTGCTTTGGCAGCAGAGTAGGCTGGATTGATTTGTTACGAGACTGGTATGAAAGTGCCCAAACTTGTGTCAGGAGGAGATCTACTTGGCAAACATTGCTGGTGTCGAGATGACAACTGGAAGAACTGAGTGGTGAAGGTAGCCCCAGTGTACAGTGGATAGGAGAATTGCCATGACTGAATGGTGGTCGTGATAACAGGAGAAGAAGCAAGGCCAAATAATGAATTGTCTGGGATGCACTGAGCTTGAAAAGCCTAGAGCACATCTAGTTATCAGGAAATCAGAAACGAAGATTTGCAGTTCCAGAGAAGAAGCAAGAGGTCATGAGAGATTCACTGAGAGAAACCCTTGAAACCATGAAAGGATCTCTTTATGGTTCATTTTCATTATAAAAAGAACAGAACCGGCCGGGTGTGGTGGCTCATGCCTGTGAGGAGGCCAAGGTGGGCAGATCACGAGGGCAGGAGATCGAGACCATCCTGGCTAACAAGGTGAAACCCCATCTCTACTAAAAATACAAAAAATTATCCGGGCGTGGCGGCGGGCGCCTGTAGTCCCAGCTACTCAGGAGGCCGAGGCAGGAGAATGGCGTGAACCTGAGAGGAGGAGTTTGCAGTGAGCCGAGATCGCACCTCTGCACTCCAACCTGGGCGACAGAGTGAGACTCCATCTCAAAAAAATTAAATTTAATTAAAAAAAAGAACAGAACCCCGGTAAATTAGGTGCCCATGGAGTTAACTACTTTAGGATTTTTCTTGTAGAGAGAGATGTATCTCAATAGTTATATTCTACAACTGAGCAGTGTGAGCCCAATTTTGGCTTGTTTTTTTTTTTTTAACACTGGGGACTCTGTTCTAAAGTAGCATCTTAGATCACTTCTGCACAGACTCAATGATCTTGAAGTAACGCATGGAATTTGAGGTGATGGCCTCATTTCATCCACTTCATAGTTCCAAAGTTTCTGTCTTTTCTTTCTTAGATTTGAATTTTTTCATACTTGAATATTCTAATTGTTGTAATTGTAAAAGGTGATATATTATAGAAAGCTTAGAAAACAGAAAAACATTTAAAAAGAAAGCAAAAAGTACTCATAATCCTAATACCAATAACTAACCACTGTTGAGAGTTTTTTATATGTGTGTGCATATATATGCATGTATACATCTGTGTGTATACATGTGTCACATGAACACACATATGTAAGTTATGAAAATGCATAGATATGTACACCATCTATATATTTTCTCATTATGGTCAATCATATTGTACATTCTATTTCATATTCAATTATTTTTAGTTGACATTACATTTGAGCATTTTTCCATGTCATTAAAAATGACTCAAAAACCATTATGTCCATGTGCTGCATAATGTTTCATTATATAAACTTGTCATAACACTGAATCATTCTCCTGAATTGTCAATGGACAATTCAGTAAGACATGTATTTTGAGAGGATGAGGTGGGATGCCTTTTCTACTGATAGCACATCACTCCAGAATGATCACTTGCTCATGCTCACCTTCTCTTCTTACCACCACAACCCCTGATGATGGGGATATTAGATGGAGTCATGTTACTGCCCAGTGTAAGAGAAACAATGTAAGAACTGTGTGCCTGGTGGTCAGCATAATGAAGGCACTGGAGAATGAGTTTTACCCCCAAGCCAACTGTTTCTTCTATCTTTTCCCTTTGTGACCATTTTTAAAAATCATTTTTGCCTCCTTCACCACACCCCACATATTCAGATGCATGTCTGAATGCGTGCATACATGTACACACACCCACATCGAGACCTAAACATGGGGAGAACTTCTTAAAGTCCCGAAATTACATTCTTTTTCATTATTCTTTATGATTCACACTTTGCTTAAGAAAAAAAAAAAGTAAGCAATAGGAAGTTAACTTCAGGCAAGCTTGCTTTCTCCCAGCAACAGTGTAGTGAAAGGCTAGGGCCATGGCATGAACCCCAGAGAGAGCTGAGCCTATGTACACGAATATGTATTAGCAGGACTGGACAGAGCACCATTGTTTTGATAGCTTTCTGTTTTCACAGGTGCTACAGAGTCACTTTATGAGTCTTCACCATGACCCATGTCATAGAAGACAAATATAGCTATAGTTTTGCTGAATCCAGGTTTAAAGTTCCTTGTTCAAACAAAAACATAATTTCTAAATCGGTCCAAAGCAAAGTTCAACGTCTTGAATTTTGTACACTCTCCCTTTTATTCTCCTTCACTTCAGCTTGTCTCCTTCAGTGTTACTGCCTCCATTTTAAATATCATCAGCTGATAAATCAATTGACAGAGATCTGCAACAGTTTATTCTAATATTGAAGATGACAAATTACAGCCATAAATTTTTTCAGGAGAGAAGGCAATGGTATGCATTTCTGCATTTAGAAATTGATGTAGCATG
Organism: Homo sapiens; assembly: GCF_000001405.40. Taxonomy (NCBI): domain Eukaryota; kingdom Metazoa; phylum Chordata; class Mammalia; order Primates; family Hominidae; genus Homo; species Homo sapiens. The sequence goes on from NC_000009.12 coordinate 18,673,782, forward strand.
AATAAAGATACTAGAGTAATGTAAAATATAATTTCAAAGTCAACTTGATTTATTCCTTAATTGACTACTATTAGATAACAGTGTATGTACAAACTTACTAGAAGGACTGTGGAAGAGGATTGGCATTCTTTAAAATATAGTCCTTTTAGAAAAAAAAATTCCCTTTATTACTAGATGTAAGAATGATTCTTACTAGATGTTAGAATGATTGTAACATGAGGAACGATTGAGCTTTCACCTGATTTCTTATCATCTGTCAGAAGGTAGAAAAAAATGGGATGGTTCACTCAAAAAAACAGAAAAGGTTAAAGGCTGTTCATTTCATTCTTGTGTGAAGAACTGTGGGATTTTGAGCATGCCCAAAAGGCAGCATCCCTTTTCTTATACATTGTTACTGAAGGTTAATACACACACAGGCACACACACACACACACACACACAAACACACACATCATGAAAATTTTCTCACACAAATGAATATAAAAAACTTATTTACACAAATAAATACAGAAAATTTAGTCATGTAAAATAAATAAGTTAGTACTCCAATGACCTTCCCTCCTGGAAATAGATATCCATCTTAAATGCTTTGTTTCCTATTTTTTAAATAACAAAATTTGACTTCTCTCATGTATCCCCTAACCTTTCAGTAATTTCTTCAGAAACTATGCAGGCCCCTTTATCCCTCTCTCTCTCCTTCTTACCTTTCATCATCTCCAGCCAGTGCTATTTTTATCTCTGTGATCCACACTCACGGCTCACTGTTTCTACCCAAACACCTGGGTTTGCTAGCCATATTTTATAAACCTACTATATCATCTTATATCAGAGGAATGGGTAAAAATGGAAGTATTTATTTATTAAAATATAAAGATCAACATATTTATATTGAATATATCAATATTATATAGATATATAAATAGATGCATCCATCTATCCCAGAGGCACAGATAGAATACATGAGTTCCTTCAATACCCCAAAGAGGGGCTTTCTATCATTTATCAGTTGCAAAATAAGCATCTTCCACTTATGCACTACCATGCTCTACATCTGTGCATCTCCATCTCCCACTCTTGATGAAGGTGCTGTTGCACTAGCGGTCTTATCCAAAACCCATGAATCATTAGTCCTCCACAAACCAGAAAACAAGGCCTCTGCAGGGACCCACCAGTCTTACCAATTGGAGACTTTAGTTGAAATCAGTGAAGTAGGTCAGAGTAGTTTATTGGCATCCTAAAGGCCTCCAGGAACCTCCACACAGCCTATGATATATCTTGTGGATCCTGAGCATTCACTCTGTCTCTAAACCTCACAGGTTTCCCAGGGTCCTAGAGGTACTAACAAGCCATGACAATCACAACCATCACTGCAATAGCAGTTAACACTGTACAATATTTTATAGACCACAAAAACCCACTTTTCATAATATCTCATTTTAACTGCCTACCTTTATTTTGGTAGGAAATTTGCCTTTGCTAATAGTTGCCTACTATGTTCAGTAGTTTCCCCCTCCCCTTATAAAATACCCAAGTGGCTACTTTCCAAGTATTAGTGAAATCCCTAGATCTGCCAAGAGAAGAAACCTAGCTAATGCAGTTACATAGTATTGTCAATTCTGAAGTACATATTCTCCAGCTTGAATAGCTCTCTCTTTCATCAGAAGTGAGACAGTTACTGTAATTGCTTGGCGAGCATCTGGAAGTAACATGAATAATGATGATAATAATAATGACCTCATAGGATGTATAATTTGGGGATTAAAGAACATTTACAATCTTATGGTGTCATAGTTAATGATGAAGTGCCAAGTTTTGTTGCCACCACCCTTTGCAATGGTATTTCCTGCTTGGATCAGAGAACTAATTATAGTAAATGGTGCCCTTTCAAAGAACTTGCCCCATCCTAAAGCATATCCTGGCATAAAGATATAAAACTGTTTTAGTGTTGTTTTATAGATACAATTTATTAATGTTATTTTGCATTTGTATTAAAAATTTGTATAATGTAATCATTTAGTGTTTATTTTATTGTGTGTACCTTCTACTCAGAGGGTTGGCATTATTGTTCCTAACAGTGACGGATACAAGCAGATCATGCCTTATGACCTCTACCATCCCCTTCCTCGGTACGTAAATCAATCATCCTGATGTTAGAATTAGCAAATTAGTCTTCTGCTGCTTATCTATATATATAGAGATATACATATACATAGAGAGAGAGATTATATGTTTTTAAGATGGTAGATGGTATATTTTGCAATCCATCCTGAGTTCTGCTTTTGAATAATACTAGCCTGCTCAGACTGTAAGCTTATCATTCAAAAACCACTTTAAGGTAGAATCATGTTACACTGGAGTGAAAACAGTAATTCACTCTGATTAGATACAGTTTATGGGTTTATATTATGTCTTTCTTTCCCTCCCTTTGTTCTTTCCTATTTTTCCTCTCAATAGGACCCTAGTCATTAAAGCACTGTTGCTAACTATTAAACAAACAAACACTGCCTAAAGTATTATTGCACTACCACTAACATGGAATTCCAGATGTGATATTATTCTGCATAGGGGCTTTAAATGTCCACTTTTTATTTCAGATAAATTATAATTAAGTATAAAAGGCAATTTTTTAATATTCTTATTGTTCAAAACATTTTAGGAGACATTTTTTCTAAACAAAATTCAATGTGCTGCATTGCTTTTTTAAAGTACAGTACTTTTGAAAACTAGAAAAAAGGTAATGAAAGTAACTCAGGAACTTTTAAAAGAAAGTGTTCCCTTTATAATATATTCATAAGAAAACCGGAGAAGCTGAAAAATACTCTAGCTACTGAGTGTGTTCACTGCATTGGAAACAGCTCCACAGAGAGCAGAAATTAGAATTGGGATTGAAGTAGACCTATGCTCTATTTTCTTTGCTTATTTGGCCCTCAGGGAGTCAGCTGCTATTTAGAACCAAGGGTTTATATCAGATCATAAATGGTTGGAGTAATCCACAGCAGCCTGCTCCATCTCAAATTACACCAAGCCCAGAAAATAATTTTATTTTGAACTGTAAGGGTTTGATGGAAAAATCTCCAAATACATAATGAATTAGAATCCAAATAGAGGTCCCTTGACGTCATCTAGTGCAACTCCCCATTGATGCTTCATTCTCCCATTTCTTCCCGAACAATCACAACCATATACCACAGATATGTTAAATATATATTTACGCAAATATGCATTCATATATTCAATGCATATGTATTCACACATGTATATACACATCTATCGATGTTTATATAATACATATATACAAGTGAAAGTTGTCATCCAGCATCTACTTAAATATGTCTAGTGACTGGCAGGGAACTCATTTTTCACCTAATGATCACATATAGGAAAGGAATTTGACTTATACTAGATATACTTCTTGTTTTTCTTGTTATTTTTAACTCTTTCACTACGTGGCTATGTCATTAGTCAGCTCACTCCTACTTTCCTATGACTATATTGATAAAGACAATAAATAGCTTTAGAATGTTCCTAATGTATCATTTTTCTGGTTTTATCCAGAACTCTTGACCTTGAAAAAATAATGAAATAGCAAAAAATTAATTTTTTGAAGTAATGAAAATAGCAAATGATTAATTTAACTGAACTAAGATTTCATTTGGTTTCAATTTCTGTATCTGTGAAATAAATGTTCATAGGATATATGTATCTGTTTGTATGAAAGCCATACATTTCATTATTTCAAGATAAAGGTAAAGTTGGACCTCAGGAGTAAGCAACGTCAAGTTTATGTTTTTCCTGTAAAGGCAACTCCTAGATTTCTGTTTTATCTGTGATCTCTCTTGTTTATATTTCTCTGGCATAACTAATGCCTATATTAGGTTAAAATTGATTTCTTATAGGTTGGGATTTTTCTCCAAATGCCTAAATCCCAATGGTATATTAAAACGATCCTCCTGGGTGTGTGTTTGTACTATGTCCTTGTATACACTCTTGGCATGTCTATGTATCACAATGGGAAAGAACAATAAATTTTATTTCTTACCCCCTTGTATGTCTGATACTGAACTAGTTATAAAGATAGATATTCAGCTTTATTGGCAAAGTCTTAGTAAATGGAAACTATTTTTACAACTGTGTTTTCATTCGTAAGAAGAATTAAGGCTCAAAAATGGTTCTCAAATGGCAGCTACCCACTGATCAAGGCCATTTAAATTATTTAAATGGGGTTAAGAACACAGGTATAGATACAAAACACAATTAACATATTTTTACCTTGTTCTTTCCTGCTTTCAGTCCTTGACTGTAACACATATCTGGACATAATATGAGAATGTAGTCTGAATAATTGTCTTGATTTATAATTAATCTATGCCACTCTTGTGCATCCTGCTTAATTTGAGAATTTCTTAAACACACTCTGTGTTTAAAAAAATTAAAAGCCAAAAGAGGCTAAATGTATGATGTATAAATTCATTCAATGTTCTCCAGGATAAGATTCTTGGATATGTCTTTTTTTTATTCCAAGCACTTACCTGGTTACCATCTTCAGATCTCCTGACATGCTCTCTCTCAGCTTTTGTTACGCTTTCTTTAAAGTACACAAACATGTTTTACTTCAAGATTCCACATAACCCTATTATTATACAAGTATTCACATGATAATTTTCTACGCATAGAACTGTAGTTGTATGCTGGGACCATAGTATAAATTTTTGAAATAATATTGCCTCATTTGTCTTTCTATGATCACTGACATTGAAAAAGATACTTACTGCTATTTGTGAAATTACACTATGGTCAGGTCCAAGTGCTGAGACAGAAATAAATCACTCTCCCTTTAGTAGGGTCAAGCTTAAGAATTTTAGAGTACCAATTAGAAAATGTGCTCTTTTATAGCATCTTAATATTCTAAGTGATTAAATGTACATTTAAAAACATATTCCTACTTCACTGTCAGATCAAATCTAATGTGAATACATACTTATGTATTCAACCCAACTTTAATCTGAATCAGGCCTGATATTCATCTCCAGAAGGAAGCCCTCCAGAGATTTATGTGGAGACAAAGGAGAATTGGTCTTACCCATTGGGAAGAGAAACTCTCTACAGAGCTACTTCATTCTCTTGAAAGAGATCAGAAAGTCTCCCAAGGGCCAAACAGAGGGCCTCAGTTTCCCCACAATGACATTTTCTTATGTGTCTCCTGGGGAAATACACATAGGAAAATATTGTATTTGGCAGCATGTCTTGGCTTTTGGCAGGCAGATAACAGTTGTTGCCTAAACTTGAACAGTGCAGAGAAAATGTGAAGGAAAACCCTTTGTAACTAGGAAAAACACATGATTCAGGCTCATGCAGAAGAGAAATCAAACTCACAATGTACACAAAAAACCCGCCTACAGAATAATTAATGTCTCAATGGTGTGCCTGTGCAACATTTTAAAATTTTAACTATTCAAATGGATCAACCCAGTGACATTTTGTTTCTCTCATTAAAATTATATCTCTCATAATTCTAAGAGAAATCTTAAATCTCCTTAGCAATCCTCATCAATAAGCAGAATATATGTAAAAAAGACCAGCTCAACTCAGTCCCAATGTTTCTGTTTTTAGAAATTCTACATTCTGTAAATCTACAGGAGGAGAGAAGAGAATTTGGCAAAGATATCTCTCTGCATCTGGGACCTAATGCTTCAGAGCTGTGTAAAGCTCTGAAAAAAAAAATCAATGGAAGTCTCTTAAATGTTTTGACAATATTGTTATTTTCTACCTTACTTAACTATATGTCTACTTTCAGATGCCATTAGCCTTCCAACTCAAACCAAACCTCTTCACAGTTCCAAGAGTTACTTACTGGAGGAACTCTAACTACCAGTATCCCTCAACAGTTAGGGAATATGTAGATAATATTAACGCTTCTGCTCCTCAGCTTAATAATGATAGCACAGTTTGAACATCAGAATTGTGCTGAATCTAAGTAGTCCCAAAGCTGATGATTGCAGAAGCAAAGGAGAGTCTTTTGTTTACCTTGATCTTTTATGAGCTTCTTCTATTAAAAAAAATACCTAGAAGTTAAGTAATAAAGCATTACATTGAAAATAAAAAGTATCTGCAGGTGCAAACCATTAGTGTTAACTGAGTATACCACTTTAGTCTTGAGATGGATACTTAATGAGTTTAATGAAAATAAATTTTATATATACATATCCTGAAACTATGGGAGAAGGACAGAACTACATCCTACATCTTCTGAGTAGGTTACAGACGGCACACATATCTTTGTGGACAGCTCTCAAAACTGTAATGGCTTACATTTGTATAGAGCTTCACGGTTTGCAGAGCCCTTTTGCCAATGTTGAATCCTTCTCTCTTACTCATCAGGTTTCAGGCAATAGATGGCTTTTGGTTTTCTGGACCTTAGCCTCTCAGAACCTGATTATACCAATAGACATGGGGAGTGGGTTGGTGGACCAGTCACTGAGGAGGCTTAGCAATGTGCATGTCTGCCCTGATGACTCCCCTTGCTTCTGTAGGTGGGAGGCCACCCCATGGACCGCGTGCTCCTCCTCGTGTGGGGGGGGCATCCAGAGCCGGGCAGTTTCCTGTGTGGAGGAGGACATCCAGGGGCATGTCACTTCAGTGGAAGAGTGGAAATGCATGTACACCCCTAAGATGCCCATCGCGCAGCCCTGCAACATTTTTGACTGCCCTAAATGGCTGGCACAGGAGTGGTCTCCGGTAACTGTGCCTTCTTTCTTTGTTCATTAGGAGAGTAAGTCCACTCTTCCCTCTCATCATCATGGCCCCACCGGGTACCCTGAGCAGCTCCACACTCTTCTTGAGGTGTCTAGAAGCCTACCAGCTTAGCTCCTGGAGTAGGAATGCCCCAAATCCAGCATGACCAAAAGTAAATGATGTTTTTTTAAAGTGTCTTTCTTCAAGTTTCTTCAAGAAGCCTCTATTGTTCCCCAGATAATGTTCCCTCAAATAGCACGGGGAAGCAACTGCCTTTCAAGGGTAATTGAGGCTGAATGAATGATCCCGAATCTGTAAAAGCTGCTTTGATGATAGAGCTCAGTAGACCAGAAGTTTGATTTCATTTTGTATGTATTATGCTTTGTATCCGAAAGGGTCTAAGTGGATTAATATTAAAACTATGTATATTAATCATTGGAGAAGGGGGAAGAGGAAATGAAAATAGCACAAAAATTAAAATTGGAACGAAGTAAGATAATTAAAACAAAAAACTTATAGATGTTAGGAAACCTGCTGTAATTAAACATAAAATGTCATTCAGGGTTTCCTGACTGCTAATGCAGAAAGGAAAATCGTAAAGGAAACAGAAAGATGAAATAAGCCATTGTGCCCTCCGCCTCAGAAATGACAAAAGACTCTTCACTGAGCCCTGTGGCTTCATGGCAGCAGATCAGAGCTGTGACATTTTCTACATCTAGACATGCTACCAGACATGGGGAACCATTAGAGGTGCAATCTACATTGGGCATCTGGTCATTCAATCTGTTTTTTTAAATGTTATTTTTGCCTTTCAATGTAATCAATTGGATTAACAATGCTGCAATATAATTTAGCTATAATCGTAGTTTAAATTTTTTGATATCCATGTAGGGGTATTTCCCATATTTTTGGAAGTAGCGGTCATTAGCAAAGTAACTAAATAAAATACAGTGCTGGTAGTCAAAATTAAGCACACTCTACAGTCTCTTTTCTCCTTTCTTCTTTTTGGTGCTTGGTTTGAGACTTTGCACACAGTGGGTACTTAAAGATTGCTGACTGATTAATCCAAAGCTATGGAATTGAAAGTGATTTAATTTTCAGCGAGCTTCACCTCAAATAGCCAAATAGAACAAAGATCCCTTGACTGGTAAGAAGTGGTATAAATTTACCAGGAGTCCTCGTGTGGGGGGGGGGGGCGGGGAAAAAGAAAACTTAGATTAAAAGTTTTCGATGGGAAGTGAAGAAAAGTAAACAAGGCTTTGCCTACGAGTCTCCTCTCTCTTGCAATCTCTTTCCAGTGCACAGTGACATGTGGCCAGGGCCTCAGATACCGTGTGGTCCTCTGCATCGACCATCGAGGAATGCACACAGGAGGCTGTAGCCCAAAAACAAAGCCCCACATAAAAGAGGAATGCATCGTACCCACTCCCTGCTATAAACCCAAAGGTAACTTGACAGGTGCTCTATTACCAGCCTGTTAATTGTTGTGTGTAGTCAGGTGTGTTTTAAACTCCTTGGAATATTTTTAAGTATCCCAAGTATTCTTAGTAAGAATTCTTTATAACTTAAACTCTACTAAAGGAATTTGATTATCTTAAAGAATCTTTCAAGTGATTTTGATTGCAAAATTTCATTAACCACTACATGTAGAAATATATTTATATAATTATCTCCCAAGTCATAAAGTTGTTTGAGGACTATTGCTGAAGAATACGGATGTACCTGCTTAAAGGGAGACCAGATATTCTAGAAATATATGTTTGATTTACTATCCACATTTCTTGCCTTTAAAAACAAGGGAGTGAATCCAAGTATGTCTATTTTGCTAAGGCTGAAGTACATTGGGAAGTCTCATACTTCAAACTGATGAAACAGAAAACTGTCACTTTTTATATTGAAAATTAAAACATTAATATGAGACTGAATTCCAGAACCATAATTTAAAATATATCAGAATTTAAAAGATATTGCAATAATTTATAAAAAAGAAATTTTAGGAAAGTGTAGAACTAAGCATTTAGTGAGCCAGACTTATAATTACACTGGATATCTCAGATTAGCAAGAATATGAATTTGATTTCTGTACAAGTATTGTTACTTGTCTGTGTCAATGGAAAAGAAAAATTCAAAGTCACAAACCATTCAGAAGTAAAGAACTCTTTAAACCCCCTTTAATTTTTAATATTAAATATGGCTCCCATTTCTTTATTTTTTAAGCCATTAAATTTCTCTGAAAAATCAGTCACAGTGTAGCTCTTTATTATACTATAGGTGGCCCTAATTGCAACTGAATGGCATCATAAAATCTAAATTAATGATATAAAAGGAAACAAAAAAAAACAGAAATCCTGATTAACTTTAATAAATGCATCTCTCTCGAAGCCTTGGTTTCCTCCTCTGTAAAATGGGTGTAATAATAGTATCTAAATCAGAGATCATGCGTAGGTTAAATGAGATATAACATAAACAGGGTGGTTAACCTAGTGCCTGCAATATAGTAACTTCTACATACAGTAAGTTACTTTTAACTCCTGACTATCGTCAGTGCCCTCAACTATGGGAGGAGGTTGCCACAGGTGCGTCTGACAGGATTTAGTTCAAAACAGCAATAAAGTATTACAAGCTTACTATGAGTGCCAAACTGAATGCTTCCTTATTGAAAGACAGAGAGCTAACTATGCCACCAGAGACAGCTTCATTTACTGAGGTTTTTTTTGTTTTTTTTTTTTGAGACGGAGTCTCACTCTGTTGCCCAGGCTGGAGTTCAGTGGCGTGATCTCGGCTCACTGCAACCTCTGCCTCCCAGGCTGAGGCGATTCTCCTACTTCAGCCTCCGGAGTAACTGGGATTACAGGCGCATGCTGCCGTGCCCAGCTAATTTTTTGTATTTTTTTTTTTTGGTAGAGACGGGGTTTCACCTTGTTGCCCAGGCTGGTCTCGAACTCCTGAGCTCAGGTAATCGCCTCGGCCTCCCAAAGTGCTAGGATTACAGGCGTGAGCCTCCACGCCCAGCCGACTGAGTCATTTACTGGGATAGTTGGAGTAGTTGTAAAATGATGTATGTATAGGTACGGTGTTGCTGTGTTTAAAATGTTAGCAAATCATTTTGGCTTTGGCAGTTTTATATTTCTCACTTGCTTTGTTTTTTGACTATAAATAATTGCTGTGCATAGAGAACAAGAAGTGATGCCCCTAACTTAAAATAGTCAATTGTTTATTAGCTTTATCTTTACCAAGCCACTTCAGAGAAAGAAAAGCAGTTTGCAGTTAACTATCAAGAATCAAGTCTGGATTTTCACAACCAAGGAGTGAGCCTGGCTCTCTAAACATCATTAAAATACCATATAATTCTATGGTGCATATATGTATAGACATATTTCTTTCATCTTTGCAATTGTATGTTATAAAATGGTGATAGAGCATCATTGGCTCATACTATAAAGGCAAATATCCCCATAAATGACCCTAATAAATATGCTAGAATGGGAATCTTGGCAGTTACTTCTGTAAGAGCCGTTAGAACATCCCTCTTCATTTTTCTCCTCCACAATTTTTTTCCCAGGAAGTAACTAGGAAGTTTGTTTTGAATTGTTTGGCCAAAGCTAGATAAATAGGTGAAATAAGTCAAATTATGTGTTATGAACCCTCATTTGCACATATTCCAATTGTCAGTGAGCCTTGGGGTAGTACTGAATGAGTCAGATATCTAAATCAATGTTTTGTGAATTTCAGAGTGAAAGAGTTTGTTTTTGGCAATGTGACATAGATCACACTTAGCTAAAAGGCAAAAAAAAAAAAGTTAGAATTTATGAAAATATCACAATATAATTGACTGTACTTTGTTTTCCAAGGTAAATGCTGCTCTATCTTTTCAAGAGGGAATGGTAAAAAGATACTTCGATGATTCTTTATATGCATATTGAGCTAGTGCTCCTACACTTACAACTTTCATAATAAAATGACTTTCCTTTGCTATTCATCATAATAAAGAGAAAGCTTGCACACAAACTAGTATTATTAAACATTTTAAAATTCGACTTTATTTTTCTAGATATAACCATCATCAGAGGCAGCAATTTACCCAAAAACTTATTCGTGTTGGTCAACGTAGTAACTTCTTGGTGAGGAGAATAAGGAATTTTCCTAAAATCCCAGATTGGTTCTAACCTCTTCTTTTGTATGTGCATGCACTGAATTCTCAGAGAAACTTCCAGTCGAGGCCAAGTTGCCATGGTTCAAACAAGCTCAAGAGCTAGAAGAAGGAGCTGCTGTGTCAGAGGAGCCCTCGTAAGTTGTAAAAGCACAGACTGTTCTATATTTGAAACTGTTTTGTTTAAAGAAAGCAGTGTCTCACTGGTTGTAGCTTTCATGGGTTCTGAACTAAGTGTAATCATCTCACCAAAGCTTTTTGGCTCTCAAATTAAAGATTGATTAGTTTCAAAAAGTGTTTGTCAAAGCTGATGATTGCATTGTAAATACTTCTGTTTTGCCTAAAGTAAGAAAATGAAGGTGTAGTGCTTACCCTCTTCTCCAAAATCTGACCTCCTCTCTTCTCTGCGCAAGGGGCCAAAGGTGAGAAGGCCCAGGCTGCAGCTGATGATATAACATAGATTTGATGCCAAAGTCTGAGCTGCTTTTCACACTCTCCCAGTTTTGCAATACAGTCACAAAAATTAAAGAGCAAGTAAAGTATACCTGAGGGCAAAGGAAGTTCATTAACTTTTCTTTTCCCTTTCTTCCTGGGATTGGTATCAGGGATGGACCTGCTTATTTGCCCCACTTGATTATGTCCCATGTCTACTCAATTTTATCAAGTCCATGGAATCTGTAAAACCGTGAGGCCCAGATTTGCCAGTGTCTTCAGAAGAGGAAACAAATAGGAGAGACAAAAGTAGATTAAGTGGATGATTGATAAGTTTATGTATTGATTTCATTAGAAAACACTGATAGGCATAGCTGCTACATCACTTTTACAAACGAGGGGATACAATTGATTGAAAAATTTCATCTATGACCCAAGAAATTTCTCAGGTTGAAAAATTTTCTAAATTAATTCATTTAATGTAAGTTCTAAGCTCTGTGCTATTCACTGGCACTTAAGATAACTCATCCACCCTCCAAGAGTTAATAGTGGAGCATGTAGGATATAAAATGATTTCCAAATTTTACTGGAGATATAAATTAACGTTGCAACCTATTTAAATGCAATTTAGAATTTTCTCAGATTCATTCTGTTTGAATCTAAATCTGATGTGGTTTGCCAGAACACAACTGTGTTCCTGAGTGCACAAGAAATCCAAAATATAGATTTGTACCATAACCAAAGGTCACTTGTAAAGAAACTATATTCTGTCATTTGATTTCACATACACCAAAAGGATGCACACATTAGAAAACACTTTTTTTCCCTATTTTTTTTTTTTGAGATAGGGTCTCACTCTGTCACCCGGGCATGGATGTAGTGGCACGGTCATAACTCACTGCAGCTTTCACCTGCCAGGCTCAATGAATTCTCTCACCTCAGCCTACCGAGTAGCTGGGACTACAGGTGCAGGCCACCACACCAGGCTATGTTTTTAATTTTTTTTGCAGAGACTGGGGTTCTCCATGTTTCCCAGGCTGGTCTCAAACTCCTGACCTCAAGCAATCCGCCTGCCTCAGCCTCCCAAAGTACTGGGATTGCAGGCGTGAGCCACAGCGCCTGGCCCGGGAAAACACATATTTTTACTTAGAAGGATAATTAAGCAAACATAAATTATTTCTGTACTGTAAAGTTACTACAGCAAACTTTTTGACTTCTTTGAGAAAAAGCAACTAACCACTGCAGAACTTTGGAGGAAAGGGAGTGATTAAAGATCACAGTGTAACCTTGGAATGAAAATATAAAGGCTTACAATTTTTTGCTTCTCCTCTGCCAGTACCTGATTTGACAGGCCTTTTTGTTGCTGAGGAGTAAATAAGCAGTTCTTTTTAGGGGGGCATTAATAACTTCTTAATCCAGTAAGGTCCTATTTAAGACACAGAAAGATGCTATGTAATTAGAGCTGGTGACTCCTTTTATATCCTATTGGGTTAAATCTATTTGAAACCAGTTATGTTTTATTTTACCTAAATAAACTCTTTTCCCCTTGTACACTGTATTTTGTCACTTGGACTAAAGCGTAATCCTATGTATAATCTTGCGTTCTGGCTGATGGTAAATAATAATACAAAATTGAAAGTAAATGGAAACATCTTACATCGATAAGCATCTTCCCATTATTAGATGCCTTTCAGATGAAAGCTATCAGTGGAGTTTAATGCATCCACAGAAGCATTACATAGACCATCGTCAACCATATTTTGTCATGAATATTTTCTACTAAAGATCCGATTAAGATGCATTACGTTTAACTTTAATCTTAATAAAATCTTTAAAGTAGTTAAAAAAGTTTTAGCCATTGAAAGTATAGCCATATATTAAACTATTAAAATTTACTCTTAGTGTAATGAAATTGCCATCTTGGCATGATTAATCTGAATTGGAGTAGATTGTAATTGGAGTGCTGGTGCAGGGTAAGGGAAATGTATACTATTGTGCTCAGAATAATAATTACTTTTATACCAAAATAAAATAAATGACAGCTGTAGAATAATGTAATGAAAGGTATATGGTTTCTACATTTTAATACACTTTATGTGTTTAGTGCACTGCACCCTAAGAAACGTCCTAAGTGTCACTTTTTTTTATCTATATTGATTTTGAATTTAAAAAACATAATGTTGCATGGCCTTAATTCCATCTTTTCTTAAACCACATAGACCGTTTCTAAATGTATGTAACAACCTATAATTACTCTCTGAAGCATATTGAAAAAATGATCAACTGTCAGCAAGTCATTCCTTCCCCCCACCAAGGAGACTCACACTGCTTAAATTAAATGGTAATGTTTAGAAGCTGTGGCTGTCACTTCTGAACTGCTACAGTGAGGCAAGAACAGTGGTCCACAACTATTATCTCTTGCTTTGGCTCCAGCTAACATTGGAGAGTTCTGTGGTAAAGCAGTAAATATCATTTATTTCCGTATATGGAAAGTGAAAATATTATCACCAGCCTATCTCATTATGTAATACAGAAAAATCACCAGATGAATGTCTTCAGCTTATGAAGATAACCTTGTTCGATGTTAGATACTTTTAGTAAACCCAAAATGTAAGGACAAGATTGGTTAGCACTCAGGCCAAACATATGTTGGGAAGTAACCGCTTTAAGATGTTTAGAAGAAAACAATGATAAAAGACTAAAAACTGAATTGCCAAGAAATAAATAACACGTTATAGACCAGAAGAATGTACCAACAGCCAACATTGTGGTTGCAGTAAACACCATGCACAAGATATAAATCCAGATATCAATTTCATAGAACCACTGAAATAAATATGGAGATTGGCTCACATGGTGGTAATATGTAGATAGATTCATTATATAAAGCTGAATCTTCAACTCAAAAATACTTCTACATGTTGATTTTTTTTCCCTCAACAACAGATTGGTTTGTTATGACACATCTGATTCATGTGGTAGAAAGGTAGGAATATTGTGATGAATACATATATGTATGTATGTATATATATATATATATATATAGAAACGTAGTCTCACTCTTGTCGCCCAGGCTGGAATGCAATGGCGTGATCTCGGCTCACTGCAATCTCTACCTCCTGGGTTCAAGCTATTCTCATGCCTCAGCCTCCCGCATAGCTGGGATTACAGGTGCCCACCACCATGCCCAGCTAATTTTTGTATTTTTAGTAAATAAGAGACAGGGTTTCACCATGTTGGCCAGGCTGTTTTGAACTCCTGACCTCAGGTGATCCACCCACCTCAGCCTCCCAAAGTGCTGGGATTACAGGCATGAGCCACCACACCCAGCCGAATATATTTTCTAGGTATGTACAACATGAGGAATTTAAGACCAGCCTGGGCAACATAGCAAGACCTCGTCTCTACTAAAACTCAGAAAACTTAGCCAGGCATGGTGGTGTGTGCCTATATTCGCAGCTACTCAGGAGTCTGCGGCTGGAGGGTTGCTTGAGCCTGGGAGGCGGAGGCTGCAGTGAGCTGAGATCTTGCCACCAAACTCCAGCCTGGGTAACAGAGCATTTCAAAAAAAAAAAAAAAAAAAAAAAAAAAAAAATATATATATATATATATATGACTGTGACTAAGAATGCCTAATCTCCTGGGAATGCAGCCCAGCCAGTCTCAGCCTCATTTTACCCAGTGCCTATTTGAGATGGAGTTGCCTGGTTCAAATGCCTCTGACTGTTGAGGTAGACTTCTACAATTACTAAGACTCTGGGAGAGTTCCATTTTTCCGAGGGTAATAGCAGTGCCGTGCTAGTACTAGAAAAGGGGGGATGGGAAAAATACTGATAAAATTATCTTCTGTTAAAGTTCAAACTATGTCATTTCGAATTTCCCTCCAGCTGTTGAGAGTGTTGTTAGATTTAGGATACATCATTTAAATGCCAGATTGAGCCCATCTGGTTGCTTTCATGGAAAAATATATAGGAATAGCTTTCTAGGTCTTTTTGGAAACTCTCAAAAGTGTACATTTATTTGGTGGGGAATTGGAACTACAAAGTGGTAGTACAATTATATTTGTTAATCAGGTGGAAGCTAAAAAAATTACTGACAGGTTTCCCATCTCTTATTTTTATACCGTAGTTTTAGTCTTGGTTGAGATGTATGCATAAACATCACTATCACCTGACATGTATCACCCACGCAAGTACATAGTGTGACCCTTCTGACAGCTTAATTTCTTGAGGAAAAATGATACAATGATGATCCCTAGGACATTTAAAGAAATGTTGTTGGATAGGAAGTCATTCAGCTTACCTTAAAAAGCCTGTTCTGACTTGGGACAGGAAGGAAATTGTTCATTTCCTTAACTCCTTCAGGCAACTAACAGGCCACCTAATGCCCTAGAAGGTGTAATTTGCTAAGGGACTCATATTTTTTAAAAAAAAGGAAAAAGAAAAAAGAAAAAAAGGTATAGTCTGGATGCTTTAGGTGCTCTTCCTGATCTCCAAAACAAGGCATCCCAGGTAGAGAAAGTGAGGACCAGTGCGGCACTTAGGGAAGCCAGGTTCTTCCAGATATATTTCAGTTGCCGTAGTTCTTCAATGGCTCAGAAGAAGCAATGGGATATGCCAGTTGCTTTGGACACAGTGTGGCCAAGATAGCAATTTTATCCAGATATTCCCTTGTTAAATAGCTGGCATTCGCCAGGTGGAAAGCCTTAATGATGCCATTTTTTCAAAGGTAGGATTGGGTAGTCCTTGTGCCTTGATCTTGCTTTTTAAAAGATCTTGAGTTATCTTATTAGATTTTCAGTCAACGGCTTTGCATGGTTAGGAGACTATGTTTGTGCTTCAACAAAATAGTCAGGGCTTAAATGTATTGCCATAAATAATCTTGTTGTGAGCCATTACAAAAAAGAAGACAAAGAGGAAGAAAAGTAAGTAAGCAGAAGGCAGCAGTAATATCTGGATGCCAGATGGCATCAGCTTAGCAATGGGGTTTATTCAATAAGAAGCAAAGGGAAATTCCTGTCATGCATCTGTGAACAGAACCCAGAAGGAATTAGATGCATATAGAAAAACCAATAAGAGTCACCATGGTGATTCTGTAGTCATTAAATGCCTTGTTTATCTTGTTGAAAATAGTACTTAAAGATATAATATTTAAGCATATGTTTTCATTAGTCCATATTTATACCCAATAAGTAGTCTAAGAATGTAGATGGCTTAACTCAGTGGTTAAGAATGTGAATTCATATTTTTTAAGTGGCTAGAAATTTTAATTGTGTGACATGTGTTTTTATATCCCTCCTCAAAATGTAGTGAACCAAACATCATTTATGGGTCCATATAGTGTTACTATTTATATTCTAAATATAAGGTACCTGAATTATATTCTCTTCATGAATCTCAGGCCACAGAAAAGTAACAATGAATATCTTGTTTATGTGTAGAAACAGGTGAGATGATTCATGATTCTTAAGAAATCTAAGATCAGGAAATTTAAATACTGTTTGCAGATCTTTCAATCAATAAAAAGAATGTTCAAGCAGCAAAGAGTTGAGCATTAGAATTATAAGATTAAAGAGCACTTAATTTTGAAAACTGGCATATGGTAGAGGTAAAGCCTCACACTGGCCAGACAGCATCAACCCTTCCCCTCCAATAGTCTTGACTTCTCTCACTTCCAACACCTTCCTTTCTGGCCTCTTCCCTATTCTCTGCAGCAGCAAAGTGCTTAATATAATTTCTTGGGCTAATTCCATATTCTAGATGACTTTAGAGAGCCACTAGACTTGCTAAATTGTTCACACCTCCTAATGATGGAAGCTAAACTTACCTATAAATCCCTTGCCCTATGCCATGCTATGTACCAGGTGCAGGTATTGCAAAAATAACCAGTCTTTGCCCTCAAGAAACTGTTAGTGCATTCTTATCACAAGAGCAATAGGATTGTGACCAAAGTGTTGAGTACTGGTTGTCTATCCACAGACTGAAGAAATGAGCTAGCTGTCTTTAAGAAATGCAATTTGATGTTTGGATATCATATCATGAGAGAGTTACTGATTTAAAAAGGAGTTCAGGAGACTTATTTATTGAATTCCCAAATTCTCTACTAGCATATATCAGAATTGCATCTACCTCTAAGATAAAATATCAGATAGTTAAGCTACTACATGGTAATGCATAAAGATAAGAACTAAGTGATAAAAGAATACAATGTATACATTGAAAGGGTTTGAGGGGAATGTTGATATGAACCGATGTTTGACAGATTATGATCAAACTGATTTGAGTCTGGCTTTGATTCCAGAACTAGTACTTGGGGAAAGAGATATGATCTTTTTACATAGCAAGTGATCAGATATTTTGTATCATTATGTGTACCTCAGTTATTCCTACCTATATGTTAAAAACAGGCTATAGAAACTACAGATAATTTCCTAAAATTGATTTTTTTCAGATGCATTAAGCTGCCAACTGGGTGAGTTGGTGAGGGGTGAGTCTCTGTATTTGTATGCCCTGACAAAGATACAATCCTGCTGGAATCAGAGTAAAAATCAAGTTAATTTTTGATCATACCTCCATGCAGGACAGCTCTGCACAGTGACTAAAAGTGTGGGCCCCAGGGACAGAGAGCTTGTGTTTCAATCTTGACCTTGGGAAAGTCATTTAACCCCATATGCCTCCATTTATCACCTGTGAAGTGAGGTAATCACTACCTCATAGGGTTCTTCTGAGGTTTAAGTTAATCTGTGTAAAGTACCTGGTATGCAGGAAGTGCTATGTATATAAATTTTTGTTGTGATTAGGCCTTTTCTAGCATCATTCATTTTCCTAGAGAATCTTTAAGGGAGTTAAGATGTCTAATAACCACTTAATACAAATGGAGAAATTGAGGCAGCTGTTGTATCTGCCTCATACATCTTGTATCTAATGGCATTTGAGAGAGAACAACAATATTTAACTCAAAACTCAGCTAGTGGGTTCCCAGCTTACACCACCTTACTTCCTTTCTTCGTCTACACTTCTGAGGGTCTTTGAAGACTCACTTATAAGCACCATACTTTTAATTTAGCCCAGAGTTTATTTTTAAGGGACAAATCTTTATTTAAATAAAAAGAGATTTATGAGTAATTACAAAAATGAGTAAGAAAAGTTCAGAAGCTGCCTGGGTGAAAAAGCAACCTCTCTCTACTCTGAGTTAAATATACTTGATCTCCATGCGCAGAAACAGCAGAATCAATAATAAACTCAAGAGAGCAGATAGAGCCGTTTTTTTGTAGTCATTCCTTGATTGCAAACCAAGAAGTTCTAAATTTATCAGTCCCTCCCTCTGTCACCGCAGTTGCTCGTTCTGTGGCTACTTTCAGAAAGCTAAATCTGAACTGTCGCTTAGCAGAGCCCTAGAGAGTGACAAAGACAAATTAATGGGATCCTTGTGTGCCAAAATAAAGTATGCACCCTGTCACCACCAATATATGTTAAGTCCATTAAGGTCATTTTTAATGAACTGAACTTTTCATTGGAAAGCTTTGCCAAACATGTTGAATTAAGGGAAAGAAACCTCACAAAATTACAAGATAAACTAATTTCATTCCATGTAAAGAAGAAATGGTACATGAAAAGTATTGAGTTTCCAATATTTTAAATCTTTATCAAAGTCAGGGAAAATGTTATGCATTTAAACTACATTCCAATATTAAGCTGAGAACTACAAATGCAGTGATAGCATTGTAAGCTGTGATGGCATCTGAGTCCCTGGGATGTGGCCTTTTAAGTAGACTATTTGCAAGGAAAAGCAAATTTTCAAATCATTTTCTGTTCATTTAGATCAGAAAAGCAAAGAGAAAGAAAGATGGTCTGAAACAAGTGTCATATCCTCACTTTTCATTTCTGAAAGGAATAATTTGGCTTTATTTGTATCTGCTACGTGGAGTGAGTAGTCTTTCTTCCTTTTTTCCCAAAATTTTATGGATGTTGAGTTTTAAAAAGTAGACAAAAAAGACAAAAGCTCTCCTTTGGGTTTCTCTAACCTAGGAACAGTTCCAAAATGCTCCAGCGCTTCACTGCTGAGTAGCTGATGGCATGATAAGGCAGTGTTTGACCAGAGTCCTGTAAAAATTATTGAAGTCAGCATCTGTCTCAAAGCTGCCCCTTAATTTTTTTATTCTTCAAAATGACATTTTATTGATATTTCACTGAAGTGTGATAGACACAGAATTTCAACTTACCTCAAGCTACATGACTATCTAACAACCCATCAAGATGAAATTCGGCCGGCATATACTGCATAAGTATAACTATAAGAAATATAAATGAATAAGCCCACTGTGGCTGCTCAGTTTGGGTATAGTAACTCTAACCTTTTCCTGCTGTAGGAGTTTTCTTATGGTTTCTATAGCCATATGAAACTCCTACAATAGGAAGAGGTTTGTATTTCCTCATGCCAATGCCTAGAACAGAAAAATATGACTTAGTTTCTTAGAGTCTTTTGGCTGTTGCCTCTTTATCTAGCCTGGTTTCAGTCTTTGGCCCTAAGAATAAGCACAGTACCAAGTCAATCATAATATTAACTCTTATCCTTCTGTTTATCAATCCATTTATTTCTTTGAAAAATTATTTATTGAGCTGCTATTATGTGAAGTTCTACCTTCATAGAGATTTGGTCAAGTGAGGGGGACAATTATTACATAAAGATTTGCATTGTGATTATCAAAGACTGGTAGCTGTTCTAAGAAAATGGAAAGATGCTCAAAGATGTTAATAGGGGACCTATTAGGTCTGAGGGTCAGTGCATTAGTCTCTTCTCACATTGCTGTAAAGAGCTGTCTGAGACTTGGCAATTTATAAGTAAAAGAGGTTTCATTGACTCACAGTTCCACAGGCTGTGCAGGAAGCAGAGCTGGGGAGGTCTCAGGAAACTTATAATCATGGCAGAAGGAGAAGGGGAAGCAGGCACATCTTACATGGCTAGACAAGGAGGAAGAGGGCAAAGGAGGAAGTGCTACACAATTTTAAACAACCAGATCTCGTGAGAACTCACCATCACGAGAACAGCAAGGGAGAAATCTGTCCCCATGATGTAATCACCTTCCCCAGCCCCCTCCTCCAACACTGGGGATTATAATTTGACAGGAGATTTGGGCAAGGACACAAATCTGAGCCATATCATCCTGCCCCTGGCCCCTCCCAAATCTCATGCCCTTCTCATGTTGCAAAATACAATCATCCCTTCTCAACAATCTCCCAATTCTTAACTCACTTCGGCATTAACTCAAAAGTCCACAGTCCAAAATCTCATCTGAGACAAGGCAAATCCCTTCTTCCTATGAGCCTGTAAAATAAAAAACAAGTTAGTTACTTCCAGGATACAATGGAGGTACAGGCATTGGGTAAATACACGCATTCTAAACGGGAGAAATTAGCCCAAACAAAGGGGTTACAGACCCCGTGCAAGTCAGAAACCCAGCAGGGCGGTCATTAAATCTTAAAGCTCCAAAATGATCTCCTTTGACTCCATGTGTCACATCCGGGCCACACTGATGCAAGGGGTGGGCTCCAAAGGCCTTGGGCATCTCCACCCCTATGAAGTTGAGTGCCTGCAGCTTTTCTAGGTTCATGGTGCAAGCTGTCAGTGGATCTACCATTCTGGGGTCTGCAGGATGGTGGCCTTCTTCTCACAGCTCCACTAGGCAGTGCCCCAGTTGAGACTCTGTGTGGGGCCTCCAATCCCACATTTCCCATCCATACTGTTCTAGTAGAGGTTCTCCATGAGGTCTCTGTTCCTGCAACAGACTTCTGCCTTGATTTCCAAGCATTTCCGTACATCCTCTGAAATCTAGGCAGAGCCTCCCAAGCTTCAACTCCTGCCCTCTGTGCACCCAGAGGCTTAACACTATGTGGAAGCCTCCAAGGCTCATGGCTTGCACCTTCTGGAGCAGATGCCTGAGACATATCTGGAGCCCTTTTAGCCATGGCTGGAGCTGGAGCAGCTGGGACACAAGGAGCATTGTCCCAAGGTTGTGCAGGGCAGTGGAGCCCTGGGCCTGGCCCATAAAACCATTCTTCCCTCCTAGGCCTCCAGGCCTGTGATAGGAGGGACTGCCACAGCTCTGAAATGCCTTTGAGGCATTTTCCCCATTGTCTTGGCTATTAACATTTGGGAAGGGCTGCTGTGAAGGTCTCTGAAATGCCTTCAAGGGCATTTTCCCCATTGTGTTGGCTATTAAGATTTGGCTCTTTTTTACTTATGCCAGTTTCTGTAGCTAGCTTGAATTCCTCTCCAGAAAATGGGTTTTTCTTTTCTACCACATAGGCTGCAAATTTTCTAAACTTTTATTATCTGCTTCCCTTTTAAATATAAGTTCCAGTTTCAGGTTATGTCTTTGCTCATGCATGTGATTATATGCTGTTAGAAGCATCCAGGTCACATCTGGAACACTTTGCTGCTTAGAAATTTCTTCCACCAGTTACCCTAAATTATCACTTTCAAGTTCAAGGTTCAAGGTTCCACAGTGCCTGAGGTGCCTGAGACCACCTCCCCCTGGACTTCATTGTCCATATCACTAGCATTTTGATTACAACAATTTACCAAGTCTTTAGGAAATTCCAAAGTTTCCCTGATCTTCCTGCCTTCTCAAACTCTTCCAACCTCTGCCAGTTACCCAGTTCCAAAGTCATTTCCACATTTTCAGCTATCTTTATAGCAATGCCCCACTTCTTGATAGCCATTTTCTGTATTAGTCTGTTCTCACATTGCTATAAAGGACTACCAGTACTGGGTAATTTCTTTAAAAAGAGGTTTAATTGATTCATATTTCCACAGGTGGTACAGGAGCCATGGCTGGGGAGGCCACAGGAAATTTACAATCATGATGGAAGAGAAGGGGAAGCAGGCACATCTTACATGGCCAGAGAAGGAGGAAGAGGGCAAAGGGAGAGGTGATACACACTTTTAAGCAACCAGATCTCTTGAGAGCTCACTATCACAAGAACAGCAAGGGGAAAATCCACTCCCATGGTCCAGTCACCTCCCACCAGGTCCCTCCTCCAATATTGGGGATTACAATTCAACAGGAGATTTGGACAGGGACACAAATCCAAACCATATCAGCCAGCAAAGCCCTCTTTGAGAAGGGACATATATACTGAGACCTGAAAGATGAGTGGGAGTTATTCCAAACAAAGAGAAGGGAAGAGGGTGATCCAGGGTGCAACCCGCCCATGCCAGAATCTTGAGTCAGGAAAGCATTGACCACATTGAAGGAAGTAAAAGAAGATTAGTGTGGCTGGAGAGAGTAGTAACTGGGGGAAAATGGTGGGAGATGAAGATGGAAAATGCCGTAAGATAACCAAGATAACCTTGGGAGAAAGTTTGTCTTTTTTACCTGGGGACAGTAGGAGACAATTAAAAGCTTTACATTTTAAGATTCCCCTAGCTACATCATTAAGAACAGGTCAGTAAGGAGTGACAGAGGAAGAAAATAGACCAGTGGCTATTGTGGTAGTCCAGCAGAAAGACGATGTTATCTTCAGTGATCAAGGTATGCGTGGCAGCCCATGGCAGGACAGTGA
Organism: Homo sapiens; assembly: GCF_000001405.40. NCBI lineage: Eukaryota > Metazoa > Chordata > Mammalia > Primates > Hominidae > Homo > Homo sapiens. The sequence goes on from NC_000009.12 coordinate 18,696,660, forward strand.
GGTGATGAAGAGCACCAACTGTGGAGCCAGCCTGCCAGAGTTCAAGTCCTGACAATACCATTTACTCAGCAGTGTGGCCTTAGAAATCATTGTATTCCAATATTATCATCTAGAAATTGAGATGAAAGTAGTACTATTAAAATATAATTTTCAAAAGGGTACAATCATAAGTCTCATGAAAATATAAAATAATCACATGTCAAAAATATTATTATTATTATTATTATTATTATTATTTTGAGATGGAGTCTTGCTTTGTCGCCAGGCTGGAGTGCAGTGGTGTGATCTCAGCTCACTGCAAACTCCACCTCCCGGGTTCAAGTCATTCTCCTGCCTCAGCCTCCCAAGTAGCTGGGATTACAGGTGTGTGCCGCCACACCCAGCTAATTTTTGTATTTTTTTTTAGTAGAGACGAGGTTTCACCATGTTGGCCAGGATGGTCTTCATCTCTTGACCTCGTGATCTGCCCACCTCAGCCCCCCCAAGTGCTGGGATTACAGGTGTGAGCCACCGTGCCTGGCCAAAAATTTTATTTAACTCACAAATTATTGAGGAAGCCAATGTGATGTTAAAACTAGTTCAAATGAGAATTTGATTTAGAATAAAGTATATATTTTCTACCAGACAAAACCATTTGCAGTGCCATGAACAGAAAAATACATATATTATTATGGACAAGAAACATCTGTATCACCACCAGACCTCTACAGGGAAACTTCTATCTCTATGGAGTTGCAAAACAGACTAGCAAAGACCATCAAAGGCTCCTAATTCCATAGAACAAGACCACCCCTGGAAATTTGCTAGAAAATGCCAGCAGTTCGTTGAAAAGACAACCAGTAATCTCTTTTGCCTATTTCAAAATGTTTCCAACAGTACCCATCTCCCAACAATGTCATAATGAGTTGTATATGTAAAATGCATAAAGCATGTAAGTGTAATGTTCACTTATTATTGCTATATTAAGGTGGTGGTAATGGAAATGGAGAGAAGTAAATGAGTTTATATATATTTTCAAGGGAGAATTTAGAGAATTCGGCAATCAGTTGAAAGTGAGATGTGAAGGAAATTGAGGGGTCAAGAATAACTCCTGATTTTTTACTTGAGCAATTAGGTAGCCATTAAAATCCTTTGCTGTGGTGGAGAAGATTGGAAGACGATAGGGTTACTGAAGGGAGAAATCAGGAGTTCCATTATGGACATTTTAAGTTGGAGATTGAAGCTGCCTTTGAAACTTAAAAGCAAAAATGTCAAGAAGGAAAAAATAGCAATGTGAAGTAGTTAAGAGCACAAAACCTTACTAGTTGTGTAACTTATGCTTCAGTTTCCTCATCGGTCTATTAAATGGTAATAATAATAGTTTTATCTGATAATGTTCTTGTTCAGATTTAATAACTTTTATTTATAAAGCACTTAGAGTAGTGCCTGGCACATAAGAAACACTAAATAAGTTTTTGATAAATACATTAATTAAATTAATGTTTACTTTTTTCAGAGAAGAAAGTTCTAGAATAGAGATTAAATTCTTAGAAGCTTCATGTACACTGATGGTATTTGAAACTAGGAATCATTGATGAACACATTGGAAGATAGCACAAAGCCAAGTCCTGAGGCACTGCAATATTTTAATTTTTTTTTTGAGACAGAGTCTTGCTCTGTCACCTAGGCTGGAGTGCAGTGGCATGATGATCTCGGCTCACTGCAACCTCCACCTCCTGAGTTCAAGTGATTCTCCTGCCTCAGTCTCCCAAGTAGCTTGGGCTTGCAGGTGTATGCCACCATGCCTGGCTAATTTTTTGTATTTTTAGTAGAGATGAGGTTTCACCATGTTGGCCAGGCTGGTCTTGAACTCCCGACCTCAAGTGATCTGCCAGCCTCGGCCTCCCAAAGTACTGGAATTACAAAAGTAAGCCACCATGCCTGGACTGTGCCACTGCACTCAGCCAATATTTTGAATTTGAGAATAGAAGGACCTAGAAAAGGAGACTGAGAAGGAAGTAACCAGAGAAGAAAACCAAGAGAGTTTGGTGTCATGTAATTCAAGAGGAAGAAGTATTTCAAGAAGAAGTACTTGCAAGCAATGGTCAATTATTTTGAATGCCATTGGAAATGAGACAGAATGAGGATTAGATTTGTTAAGAATAGCAGACAGTAAGGCCTGTGTTCTTAGAACCTGATACCAATCTTCCCCCTGGCCTTTTTCTTACTGTTAAAGAAAAGCAGCCTCCTGATGGTCAGTGGGACCCTCCGTTAGTAAGACTCCTTATAATGTCTTGTCTAGAACCATATCAGAGAAAAGAGAAGGCAGAACTTCAAGATGACTTCAACAAAGTGCTCAAACATCAAGATCCCAGGCTTTGAAAGAGCCAGTAGTCTCTGGATGAATTGGAACTTTCAGAGAACTCAGCCCCTGCAACATTTTCCTCTAGCATAAAGTCTCTTTGAAAGGAAAATGTGCTCTTTAATGCAGTCAGCATTTTGTTTTTTAACCCAACTTCCATCACTGAGCATTTTCTGCAAGAAAGACATTCAGGCATTCTTGCAGAGAGGCCAGCTGCCTCTCAACCCAAAAGAGCGTCATTGTCATGAGAAAAAGTCTGTTTGTTACTTGGAAAATGCCTGTAAATATAGCTTTTCCATGTGTTTTGCTGGGTTTTTTACTTTTTTTTTTTTTTTTTTTTGAGAGACTGGGTCTTTCTTTGTAGCCCAGGCTAGAGTGCGGTGGCACAATCAGAGCTCACTGTAACCTTGAACTCCTGGGTGCAAGAGATCCTCCCACCTTAGCCTTCCTGGTCACTGGGACTACAGGTGTGTGCTACCAGACTCAGCTAACTTATTATAATTATTATTGGTAGACATGGGGTCTTGCTATATTGCCCAGGCTGGTCTCAAACTCTTGGCCTCAAGTGATCTTCCTGCCTTGGCCTCCAAAAATGCTGGGATTACAAGTGTGAGCCATAGTGCCTGGCCACTTTAATATGTTTTTTAAATTAAGTTCTTCTGTCAAATTATTACTGGTTAGCAATATTAGACAGGGACACTCAATCTTTTTCTTTTCAAGTAGTTGTATTGGTGGCTGCTTCAAAATTATCATTTGTTTTATTTTAATTTCCAGGATCATTATATTTTTGATTATTCTCCTGGGGCACCTTACAGTGCTGAAGATGCCTCATAGCCTAGGCTTGACACTTGAGGATTTGAGAAATCTATGAAAAGAAGTGGTGCTGTCAGATGTTTTGAGGAGTGATGTCCTAGAACCTTTGAAAAATTTTGCTTAGAGACCTCAATATGAGTTGCATAACTAGCATGATTTATTTGCAGTTCCAGAGAATTGTAAACAACAGCAGTTGAGAAATATTTTCATAATTCCACATTCAGATTAAATATCCTTGAGTAAAGATATTTCCTAATAAGTTAGATTCTCATTTATGTGGAATGATTTAGGCGTGGTTCTAAGTAAATTTAGAGGGATATTTTGGATAAGTATTATCTCAAAACTTTAATGCTCCAGCTATATTTTAAGAATGCCTTAATATTATAGATTTTACAAGTAATTTTAAAATTCCTAAAGTGATTCAATTGAAGAGTTTCCCTTCCATTATAGCATTCCAAATGGTGTTTGCTTACTTATTTTAGAGGGTTTATTTAAAACTTTTTTTTGACATCATTGAGAGGCATTAAATAACTAAAGAGTTTTTACACGAGATCTTCTCATCTCATGTAAAAATGGGAAGTAGATAAGAGTAGAAATACAAAGAAGGTGTTTCCTTTTCTCTCTTCCAAGTTTCTTTCTCATCCAGTAGTAATTTTTTCCCTATTTATCCAAAAGCCTCTTCAGATGCCAAAATGTGCAGCTTAGGTTTAGTTAACTGCACTTTATCCTAAGGTTTTTACTCCATTAATGTCTCAAGGATTGCCCAGAATCAGGGGAAGGATCAACTTTTCAAAGTTTAAAAAATATATATAAGAATGAAGATTGGGTTAAAAAATGATGAGGCAATATGGAATTACATATTTTACCAGTAAAGTATGTAAATTTTTTGGTCCTAAATAACATATTTATGGAAAAGACTTGATTCAGAGTAGAATTACTTATGACATATTTTCTTTTTCCAATATACTATTTTCCAGATCCCTCTGTGGCCACTTGTTAATGATAAGATTTTTAAAAGGGAAAATCCATGATTCTCATGTAAATATAAAATGAACATCTGACAAAGATTTAACCTACCTCATTAACCAATGAGGGAACCAATAAGATGTTACAGCCAATTCAAAGGAAGTTTAAAAACCCTATTTATTTAGGCAAATATGAATGCCCAAATGAATTTACAAATAGATGCAAAATTGGTCTAGCTACAGGGCAACAATCAACTGCATTCCACTAGACACAGTTAATCTGTATTTCTCTGGGCAGGAATCATTTGCACTATCAATTTCTTGCCACTTAGAGGGTGGTAAAATATAATAGCTCAAAGTCAATGAAAGGCTAAGACAACCTAGGAAGAATGCACTTAACAGAGTTATCCAGTAATCAGTAATCTTTTGGGTTCTTTTTTTTTTTTTTTTTTTTTTGAGACAGAGTCTCACTCTGTCACCCAGCAGGCTGGAATACAGTAGCAAGATCTCAGCTCACTGCAACCTCCACCTCCCGGGTTCAAGCAATTCTCCTGCCTCAGCCTCCTGAATAGCTGGGATCACAGGCTCACACCACCACACCTGGCCAATTTCTGTATTTTTAGTAGAGACAGGGTTTCGCCATGTTGGCCAGGTTGGTCTCAAACTCCTGACTTCAGGCGATCCGCCCACCTCAGCCTCCCAAAGTGCTGAGATTACAGGCATGAGCCACTGTGCCCGATTTTAAACTCTAATTTTTCTCACATATTATTCAGTTTATTCCCTTCTCTTTTCTCACCCTACTGTCATGCCACCACTCACATACACAAACATACACCAAATCAAACAGGTAAAGAGAAATCCACAACCTCTATTGGCTCATGGCTTGAAATGTAATAAGATTGAAAACCTATACCTAAATTGAGTATTTTTAATGAGACTTCCTGCATGTTTCAATTTGCATTTTTAAATTAGGGCATGAAACTAGTGATAGCATCAAAATAAGACACCTATAAAGCTGTTTTTATTTTTAATAATCCCAATGATTTTTAAAACAAACATATATGAGAAAGGAAGAGAGAGGAAAGTAATAGGATAAAAGGAAAAGTTAATTTTCACATTGTATTACTCCATTTTCACATTGCTGAAAAGACATCTCTGAGACTGGGCAATTTACAAAAGAAAGAGGTTTAATTGGACTTACAGTTCCATGTGGCTGGGGAGGCCTCACAATCATGGTGGAAGGCAAGGAGGAGCAAGTCACATCTTACATGGATAGCGGCAGGCAAAAAAGAGAGCTCGTGCAGAGAAACTCCCACTTTTAAAACCATCAGATCTCATGAGACACATTCACTGTCATGAGAACAGCACAGGAAAGACCCGCCCCCATGATTCAATCATCTCCCATCAGGTCCCTCCCACAACACATGGGAATTATGAGAGCTACAAGATGAGATTTGGGTAGGAGCACAGAACCAAACCATATCAAATATGTTAGTTACAGGCCATGTAGACATACACCTAGAGGCTAGTGCTAGCTAATATCTGTGGTGACACGAGACTAATCAACCAAGAGTAAGTTGTTTTTGTTTATCAGTATATTAATAAAGTGATTATTTTTATTATTTCAGTGCATGCTTCTAACTCTATACTAGTCACTAATGAACTTTTAAACCATTTAGGGATTTTATAAGTGAATTTTATTGTCACTGTTTTCTATTTCATAAAAGAGACTATGGTAATTACTCTAATTAAAGAATATATTTTTTTCTTAATGAAAGGAACAATTAAGCTTGCAAATAGAAGGCCAGCCAGAAGCATTAATCATTCATTTGCCAGGTGTGGTTTGTTGTTGTTTTAATTTCCTGAGAAGGAAAGACTAAATACAGAATTCATATCAGTTACTTGTGAAGTTTACACCCATCTTTTAAAGAAATAATTTGTCAAACCATTCTTCATTCATCCAACAGTAGTGTTGCTAACAAAAAGAGTTTTTTTTTTTTTCAAGCCGGAGTCTCACTCTGTCACCCAGGCTGGAGTGCGGTGGCACGATCTTGGCTCACTGCAACCTCCACCTCCCGGGCCCAAGCAATTCTCCTGCCTCAGCCTCCCGAGTAGCTGGGATTACAGGTGCCTGCCACCATGCCCGGCTAATTTTTGTATCTTTATAGAGACAGGGCTTCACCATGTTGGCCAGGCTGGTCTCAGACTCCTGACCTCAGGTGATCTGCCTGCGTTGGCCTCCCAAAGTGCTGGGATCCCAGGCGTGAGTGCCCGGCCGACAAGAAGAATTTTTAAACTTCCCAAATTTTAACCTTTTTATTGTCCATTTTTACATGAAAGTGATTAATGTACTGATTTAAAAACAAAAAAAAATTTCCCTCTATTTTAAAGGTCCCTCTTTAAAGCTTCTAGCTCAGCAAGTGCTGTTCGAGATGAGACTTCTAAACATTAGAATTAAACCTCCTAACTCACTTGCCTGCCCTCTCACTGACCTCGCTTCCTCCCACTTGTGGCCAGAAAACTCAAGATAGTAAATACAGAGCTGGGAGATCTAGGGACTTGGGGAAAAGCCTCCTATGAAAAACAGTTATTATTCATTTGTCCATTTGCACTATCAGATATTTTTCTTTTGAAACATAATCTCCTGCCTTCAACAAAAGAGACTATATTATATTATACACTGTATGCACTAGAGAAATTAAGATGACTGCCAAAGGACAGCACCACTTAAAAACCAAATTGTTTTTAATTGGTGTGAACTCGATGAAGACCTAAGGATAGTGGATTGGGAGATAAGCCAGTGAGGCTGTTTTACATTTGATAAAACTCTCATTTGGGAGACATAAAACAGATGTTTATTGTTTTTGCTATTAACCCTAGATGTCTAGATAGTAAAAAATTACACACGTGCATGCGCACATACATATATATATATATATATATATATATATATATATGTTTTAATTGAAGCATGATGCCTTAAAATAACTTTCAACCATTGCAACAAGTTCATGGGGCTTCAGTAGAATGGCCTTTCTATTTTATGTGCTTTTGGTATATCTTCTTGGTTCTGGAATGACATCAAATGCAAAGTCATTTATATTATAGACAAGCAGAGCTAAGAGTCTAGTTTGTGCATCATTTATATTCTAGATCTTATCTGGGGCTCGCTTTGAAAACACAAATCAAGTTGGCTACTTGTCATATTCCATAAGCTTATATATGTGAAAAGAGATGGAAACTAAGACCTAAAATAAGTTTGAGGATTATCTATAGATCTCAATGCGTTTGTATCTCTACCAAATGTTTTTTTCTATAGCAGGGGTTGGAAAACTACAGTCCACAGGCCAAATCCAGACCCTTCCATCAGCATCCCATCACACCCTTTTTAAAACTAAAGTTTTATTGGAACACAGCCACACTAATTTGTTTACATATTTCATTCCACAATGGCAGAGTTGAGTAGCTGCAACAGAGTTCACGCAGTCCGCAAAATCTAAAATATTTTCAATCTGTCCCTTTATAGAAAAAGCTGGCCAGCCCTTGCCCTGTTATAATGGTTCCTAAAGAGGGCTCTTTATAAGCAACAGAACCATAATCCTTACTGCATAGAAAAAGCTGGTAGGGTGCAGTTCTTTTTGAGATCTTGCCATCTTTCTGATTCGAAAACAAAGTTTGGTACCACACTATTAAAGAAGTATTATTCATCACACCATTGTCAAAGTTAGCAGGCTAATCATTTGCTTTTGTGTCTTCTTACATACAAAATAGTTGAGCATGCATTTTCCTTTGTGTCTGCATCTGTGTGATAAAATTAAATGCTTGTGTATCTGTTATGATTCTTGTCACAGGAGCCAGGTAGGTGGATGTGGATGTGTAATAAAAGGGTTAAAATGATTTTGATAGCAGTTTTTGGTTTTATGTTCCTAAAAAGCTCCTGCAGGGGTCATTTTTTAAAGCAAGAAGACTTTTTAATCTTTTAGGATACCATTTTTTTCCAAGTTCTCTAGGTGCAAAAGGTGGAACAAAGAAGTTAAAAGGGTGAGAGGGAGGTGAAATTGTGATGAGATTTTCTTGGGATAATTCTGGGTGGCCATTCTACCCTCATCCACCTTCCTGACAAGGTTATATGGGGACCTTTGTTCTCTCCTAGTGGATGACTCTTCAAAGGTAGCTGGGGTCAGGCCTTTTTCAAAGGGTCTCTTGCCATGCCTCAGAGCACTGAGTGCTGCTTTGGGGGAATTCTTATCTTCTGAGCAGACCACCCCTGTTCCACATGAAGCCCAGGCTCAGGCCCAGGACACATCTTTGTTGTGTTCCTTCCAGTTTGGAAATTTGGATTGGCTTGCTATTAGAATTTCAATTTCCCTGAACCAGATCTGAACCATTTGCACTTGCTAGCATTTAATGCTATAACCTTCTTATCAGTTCTTTCATTGTCTGCCAAAGTCAAGGTTAAGGAGCCAGGTTTGCATGCCTCTGCAGCACGACTCCCTGTGAGAAAGCAATAGGATCATGGAAAAATGAAAAATAAAAAATAAAAAAATTATCCCAAAGTTTTTGTCTGAATTACACTAACTTTTTGAAACTATTAGTGGTTGCTTCTGGGCTTTTTTTTCCTAGGCCCCTCTCAAGGTCATTATAGTTATGGCCACGGTTGATTAATGAAGATGGGAGGACATTTTTGGAGATTTGGGTATTTTTCTACGTTCTAGAGAAAAACTCAGAAGTTCTTACTAATGTAGCTTGTTTTAGGGGACTGGGTGTGAGGATGTTGAGCACACTTGTCTGAATGCAAAACCTCTCATTTACAGTGGTATGTGTGGATTTACATGTGTAGCACGGCTTTTCTCTATGATATAAAAAGAATTGGAGCTCAGACTAATTCAAAGAATGTGTAACGAACAAGACTTTGCACCATTCTTGGAAACTTACACACAAAAATACCTCCTTATACATATAAATAAATCTCGGGAAGCATATTGAACAAAGAAAGTTACAGAATATGAGAGCCAGACTAAAAAAGAAACAAACTTCCTTAAATATCTCCAAGGGCTTATTTTGTTATCAGTATCAGTCTGCTATAAGAATAGCCAGCAACTTGCAGGAGGCACAAGTGATGGAGTCACAGGGCAAACCCCAAAACTGAGGTCCAGCCTGGGTGGGACCTCATGGGTTCTTGGCTTCATGCAGGAAGGAATTCAAGAGCTAGCTGACGAGCAAAGTGAAAGCAAGTTTATTAAAGTAAAGGAATAAAAGGGTGGCTACTCCATAGGCAGGGCAGCCCTGAGGGCTGCTGGTTGGCTATTTTTATGGTTATTTCTTGATCATATGCTAAACTAGGGGTAGATTATTCATGAGTTTTCCAGGAAAGGAATGGAGAATTCCTGGAATTGAGGATCCTCCCCTTTTCAGACCATATAGGGTAACTTCCAGACATTGCTACGGCATTTGTAAACTGTCGTGGCACTGGTGGGAGTGTCTTTTAGTATGTGAATGTATTATAATTAGTGTATAATGAACAATAAGGACAACCAGAGCTTGCTTTCATTGCCATCTTGGTTTGACAGGATCTGGCCGGCTTCTTTCCAGCATCCTATTTTATTAGTGGGGTCTTATAAAACAAATTCCTATCTCATTGGAATTTAGAGTGAGGAGAAGAAACCACCAATTCCCTGCTTGGAAGAGCTACCACTGTGGGTGCAAAGTAGGGAGCAAGCAGGTGGTCTCTGGAATGTCTTGCAGCTGGGAGTTCATGTGACATTCATGAAGCAAGCAACCCAGAAACAGTGGCAAAATCGCTTATGAACTAAACTGAAGCGCCATCACAGGACAGGGTGGAGGAGCCCTGAGTACCCCTGGGACAGCTCTGGGCACTGGAGGCAGGTGGGATGCAGCCCCTCACAGCCCCCATGGCTTCCTGCCTGGGGCTTCTCATCCTGTCCTCTTGTTTGCTTGCCGACTGCAGGTTCATCCCAGAGGCCTGGTCGGCCTGCACAGTCACCTGTGGTGTGGGGACCCAGGTGCGAATAGTCAGGTGCCAGGTGCTCCTGTCTTTCTCTCAGTCCGTGGCTGACCTGCCTATTGACGAGTGTGAAGGGCCCAAGCCAGCATCCCAGCGTGCCTGTTATGCAGGCCCATGCAGCGGGGAAATTCCTGAGTTCAACCCAGACGAGACAGATGGGCTCTTTGGTGGCCTGCAGGATTTCGACGAGCTGTATGACTGGGAGTATGAGGGGTTCACCAAGTGCTCCGAGTCCTGTGGAGGAGGTAAGAAAGGGGGCTCTGGCTCAGATCCCCGCCATCTTCTTGCTCATTTTCTCTCTCTGCATGCAGCTGGATCATGTGACTGCCTCAAATCCAAGAATGATAAGCAGGAGGAGGAGGGGAGGCAGCCATTCTAAATGTAAAGCACACTGAATCAAACACAGATGTATTTGTCTCTTGGCTCCAGTGGCTCTCAGACTGTCAGCTGTGAGTGGCCAGTACAACAAATGCTTTGGCTTTCAGTTGTCATTCTGATGTCTTGCAACATATCATCGTGTATCTGGCTGAGAAACACAGTTGACACTGACCTGGCCGTGCTCTCAACATTGTTTTTTTGATCTCTGCCCTTGCCTCAGTGCATGCAATGTGAACCAAGACCCAAGAACAAGTCGGAGTCCCTCCGATGTACTCAGCTGATTTCCCAAAGTAATATCTGTTTACATCTCGAGGAAGGGTGTCTAAAAGGTAATTGATACAGTGGTTACCTGGAGCTGGAAAGGAGTTTAAAGTTCAAAGTCTGACCCCACCCCCATCTTACAGATGAGAAAACTAAGAATCAAAGAAACAAAGTGATTTGTTCAAGATCATACAGCTGGTGAGCGACAGAGCTGGGACTAGAACAAAGCTTTCCTTTCTCTGCCTGGAGCCTTTCCATCATACCACACTTTTTTAAGCAGCTAGAGAATTCTTGAAGCTTTCTCATTATGAATATCAGTTAACTCACGTTAAATGTTTCCACATATATCCATCTGGTTCTCCTTGGTGTATTCCATGGTGATAGAACAGTAGATTCAGTGATTCTTTCAGATGTTATGAACAGGATTGTAGTGGCAGAGGAAGGCATTGAAATCAACAACTGATTCTTCAAGATTACGAACTTTCTTCCCACACTAAAAATACGGTAGATTCATATTGACACCATCTCCTATATCTACTCCCAAGAGAAATTTTAATAGATGAGGGAGCGCCAGCTGATTTCTTGCCAGATCTTTCCCTGGCTATTAGTAACCCCTTTGAGCATGTTGAGATTCTGTTTTCTCAGCAAAGATTCTTAATAACCGGTGGAAAAAAGCACTAAAATGATTTCCCAAAACTGTTTTCTAAACCATGATATTTTGGAAACTTTGAAAAGGCATCTTTTGTCATGATTGAGAACGTAAGAATAAATGCACCACACTGTTCACATGTAGTTGAAAAGGAATGAATAGTGGAACAAGTACTAGCAAAGAATCAATTTTCTCCAGCAGGTCTTTTAGTAAGCATTTAATAGTGCTGACCTTGAGGTTCTTGTTTGTTTCCACATCTTCCAGTTTCAAACCCTGGAATTCTGAAGTGTTTTAATGGAGAGCCCTGGTATGTTAAAACCTAAATTCTTCCAAATGATTCCGGAAGACAGTTTCCTGGAACTCAGTGAATGTAACTGTGTTCATATGGGACTCTTCACTCATTTTGAGAACGTCTTTTCTTTCACGCTTAATGAGAGAGAAGTGTTAAATAAGCTTTGGTGATCTCTGGAGCCTGGGCAGGAGCTGAGAGATCAGGTAGAAAGGCTGTTAGCCAGCGGCTACAGTTGCTTCTTTCCAACATAGCAGATGACTCAGCATTCAGATGGTTGTGCTTTCATCCCCAATTTCCATGATCACCTGAATTGAATGATCATTATTTCTAGTCTAAGACAAATGTGCTTTAAAAAATTATTTATGGTCTCTCAGTTATAGTTCTCAGTTACAAGTCAAGCCTGGAATTTTATGAACAGATGGAAAAAATAGATACAGTAATGGAATATCTAAATAACCAGATACCTTTTTCTTTAAGAGTCTAACCATTCTGCTGACCAACCAAGGGTATAAAATTTGAAGTGTCGAGTGTATGTGGAGTGTATTTAATTTAAAATGTTTTTAGAAGATACTGATTTAGAAATAAGATTTGGATGTTTGAGATACAATTGATCTCTACCTATAGAAGCTAAGTGTTTTTATATAACGTAAATTGTACATCCTTTATATCCAAAGCAGGGTAAAGTTACTGAAATCTCTTAGGTCTTTAAATGTCAACAACTGAACCTACTTACCTTCAGTTATGTCACTGTGCCAAGGTAATATATTTAAGCCTAAAAAGTTAGAGTCGAAAATTCCAAAGTGATGAAAATATGCTTGGGTTATATGGTCCATATGATGCCCATATGCACTAAAATTTATTTTGGTATATAGGACGTGTATATTTTCAAGTCTTTGTTCGACAGTAACATTTTACTGTATTATCAACTTTGATCTTTCACCAAAATGTCACCCACAAGGTTATATATATTTTTAATTATTTCTTCTGAAGCCAACCAAAAATCTGCAGGATTAACAAATAGATTTTAAATCAATTTTGGGTTGTAGAGCCAGTCAGGCTAATTTTATTGTTTTTGTAATCTCAAGAGATGAAATTGGATAGACAGAAAAGTAACCTTTCACCTAGCAGAGGTAGCAACCAGAAGGAACTAGTTAGTAATTTAGTCTGTAGTTGGTGGCTGTGTTTCCCTGAGCTGTCATCAAATATCATGTAACAATTATACTATTCTGGGAGATATAAACACTGAAAATCCCATTTTCTGGAAGATCGAACGCAAGCCTAACCTGCTCAGATCTGTATCCTGTGTCCAACTGTCACTTCCTTGTTAGATTTTAATTTCCCACATGTGAACTGATAGGTGTTATCAAGGAAAACAACTCTGAGCCTGATCAGCTTTATTGTATTGAACTCCTAGACAGTAAAATCCACGTTAAAATCTAGCTGGGGGAATACTTGACATTGACTTCAGCAAAAATGGAAGATGAAGCCTTGTACCTGTTGTTCCCCTTTTCTTACAAGTCCTCTCTACTTTTTGCTTCTGTCAAGAAAGGAAAACCCAGAATCATCAAGTACTGTGCTTAAACATGTTCTCTGTCGGTTTACAGTGTCCTCCTGAGAGCATATATTAGCTCTTTTGGAAAGAGCACAAACTTGATGAGCTAACTTCTCACATCGTGCCTGCCTCCCATGGGCCAACTCTACTGTGAACTCCAAGGTGAAGCCCTTAGAGTTTTTCCCTCCTCCAGCTTCCCACACTCCCAGTTCCAGGGCGGCTCTGTCACTCCAGGTTCATGCTCCCCAGGCAACCCATTCCCACCTCCCCTCAGCCTCAATTGCATGCTGTGCTTAGAATGCCCTGCCCTTTAGCCATTGCATTTGTTCATCCTACAAAAATGTATTGAGTGTTGACCACAGGGCTGGCCCAAGATACTCCTTAATTATGACAGAACTTCTGTCCTTAGTTTCACCCACCACACTGGGCTCCACCTAAGAAGGATGAGGCAAGTGGTCCCTGTGATAACAGAGATTTAACACACAGCACTGGGGAGGCCTAGAGCCTTGTTTTAGAATACTTCAGATTAGAATGTAGTAACTCTGGACTGCTTCTTAGTCTCAGCACTTCATCACCCCATGGGTTATTTTAATCTTTCAGCTATGATTATTGGTTTGGAGTTATGTAAATTTGTGTTTGACAAACCTAAGAGAGGAGATTATTGGTGTCTTTCTAGAAATGTAGCCCTTACTTTCCCCATTCCTTGCAGTCTTAGAAGGGCCTAAGTTTTGTTTTGTTTTTTTTTTTTTTTTTTTACAAAATTGAACTATTTTAATTAAGGGTTTTAGTTTACATTTGGCCACCTCAAAGTAGTTGTAACATTGGGTTGGTCAATTTAAATACTGTGGCTCCTTGTTGGATGGACACAATCTTTACATCCAAACGTTAATGCATACAAAGCAACATGGCATTGTTAAACAAAACAGCAATACTTACTGAATATTGGGCCTTGTGACCAATTCCATATGATTAAAATTACTTCCCACATTCACACCCACAGTACTCGTCCACCATTTAAAATCTCAACCAAAACGTTACACATATGAAACAATCACTAACAGGCAAAAATACTAAACCTGTATATTTAGTATTGCAGATACACTTATGCATGAGCAAGGAAGCAATTCACAGTGATGATCTACAGCTGCAGAAGCCTGAAAATGATTTACAAAAATTGTTACATCATTAAAAAATTGTTTGAAAATATACATTTCTTGTTGTAGGCACCCACTGTATACATGACTATAAACATTGTTCCTTATGTAAACAGAAAAGGAAACATATAATAAGAAATTTCAGGCAAGGAGCCAAGATGGCCGAATAGGAACAGCTCCGATCTACAGCTCCCAGCGTGAGCTACGCAGAAGACGGGTGATTTCTGCATTTCCATCTGAGGTACTGGGTTCATCTCACTAGGGAGTGCCAGACAGTGGGCGCAGGTCAGTGGGTGAGCACACCGTGCGCGAGCCGAAGCAGGGCGAGGCATTGCCTCACTCGGGAAGCGCAAGGGGTCAGGGAGTTCCCTTTCCTAGTCAAAGAAAGGGGTGACAGACGGCACCTGGAAAATCGGGTCACTCCCACCCAAATACTGCGCTTTTCCGACGGGCTTAAAAAACGGTGCAACAGGAGATTATATCCCGCACCTGGCTCGGAGGGTCCTACGCCCACGGAGTCTCGCTGATTGCTAGCACAGCAATCTGAGATCAAACTGCAAGGTGGCAGCGAGGCTGGGGGAGGGGCGCCCGCCATTGCCCAGGCTTGCTTAGGTAAACAAAGCAGCTGGGAAGCTCGAACTGGGTGGAGCCCACCACAGCTCAAGGAGGCCTGCCTGCCTCTGTAGGCTCCACCTCTGGGGGCAGGGCACAGACAAACAAAAAGACAGCAGTAACCTCTGCAGACTTAAATGTCCCTGTCTGACAGCTTTGAAGAGAGCAGTGGTTCTCCCAGCATGCAGCTGGAGATCTGAGAACGGGCAGACTGCCTCCTCAAGTGGGTCCCTGACCCCTGACCCCCAAGCAGCCTAACTGGGAGGCACCCCCCAGCAGGGGCAGACTGACACCTCACACGGCCGGGTACTCCAACAGACCTGCAGCTGAGGGTCCTGTCTGTTAGAAGGAAAACTAACAAACAGAAAGGACATCCACACCAAAAACCCATCTGTACATCACCATCATCAAAGACCAAAAGTAGATAAAACCACAAAGATGGGGAAAAAAACAGAACAGAAAAACTGGAAACTCTAAAAAGCAGAGCGCCTCTCCTCCTCCAAAGGATCACAGTTCCTCACCAGCAACGGAACAAAGCTGGACGGAGAATGACTTTGATGAGCTGAGAGAAGAAGGCTTCAGACAATCAAATTACTCCGAGCTATGGGAGGACATTCAAACCAAAGGCAAAGAAGTTGAAAACTTTGAAAAAAGATTTAGAAGAATGTATAACTAGAATAACCAATACAGAGAAGTGCTTAAAGGAGCTGATGGAGCTGAAAACCAAGGCTCCAGAACTACGTGAAGAATGCAGAAGCCTCAGGAGCCGATGCGATCAACTGGAAGAAAGGGTATCAGCGATGGAAGATGAAATGAATGAAATGAAGCGAGAAGGGAAGTTTAGAGAAGAAAGAATCAAAAGAAATGAGCAAAGCCTCCAAGAAATATGGGACTATGTGAAAAGACCAAATCTATGTCTGATTGGTGTACCTGAAAGTGACGGGGAGAATGGAACCAAGTTGGAAAACACTCTGCAGGATATTATCCAGGAGAACTTCCCCAATTTAGCAAGGCAGGCCAACATTCAGATTCAGGAAATACAGAGAACGCCACAAAGATACTCCTCGAGAAGAATAACTCCAAGACACATAATTGTCAGATTCACCAACATTGAAATGAAGGAAAAAATGTTAAGGGCAGCCAGAGAGAAAGGTCGGGTTACCCTCAAAGGGAAGCCCATCAGACTAACAGCGGATCTCTCGGCAGAAACCCTACAAGCCAGAAGAGAGTGGGGGCCAATATTCAACATTCTTAAAGAAAAGAATTTTCAACCCAGAATTTCATATCCAGCCAAACTAAGCTTCATAAATGAAGAAGAAATAAAATACTTTACAGACAAGCAAATGCTGAGAGATTTTGTCACCACCAGGCCTGCCCTAAAAGAGCTCCTGAAGGAAGCGCTAAACATGGAAAGGAACAACCGGTACCAGCCGCTGCAAAATCATGCCAAAATGTAAAGACCATCGAGACTGGGAAGAAACTGCATCAACTAATGAGCAAAATAACCAGCTAACATCATAATGACAGGATCATATTCACACATAACAATATTAACTTTAAATGTCAATGGACTAAATGCTCCAATTAAAAGACACAGACTGGCAAATTGGATAAAGAGTCAAGACCCATCAGTGTGCAGTATTCAGGAAACCCATCTCACGTGCAGAGACACACATAGGCTCAAAATAAAAGGATGGAGGAAGATCTACCAAGCAAGTGGAAAACAAAAAAGGCAGGGGTTGCAATCCTAGTCTCTGATAAAACAGACTTTAAACCAACAAAGATCAAAAGAGACAAAGAAGGCCATTACATAATAGTAAAGGGATCAATTCAACAAGAAGAGCTAACTATCCTAAATATATATGCACCCAATACAGGAGCACCCAGATTCATAAAGCAAGTCCTGAGTGACCTACAAAGAGACTTAGACTCCCACACAATAATAATGGGAGACTTTAACACCCCACTGTCAACATTAGACGGATCAACAAGACAGAAAGTCGACAAGGATACCCAGGAATTGAACTCAGCTCTGCACCAAGCGGACCTAATAGACATCTACAGAACTCTCCACCCCAAATCAACAGAATGTACATTTTTTTCAGCACCACACCACACCTATTCCAAAATTGACCACATACTGGGAAGTAAAGCTCTCCTCAGCAAATGTAAAAGAACAGAAATTATAACAAACTATCTCTCAGACCACAGTGCAATCAAACTAGAACTCAGGATTAAGAATCTCACTCAAAACTGCTCAACTACATGGAAACTGAACAACCTGCTCCTGAATGACTACTGGGTACATAACGAAATGAAGGCAGAAATAAAGATGTTCTTTGAAACCAATGAGAACAAAGACACAACATACCAGAATCTCTGGGACACATTCAAGGCAGTGTGTAGAGGGAAATTTATAGCACTAAATGCCCACAAGAGAAAGCACAAAAGATCCAAAATTGACACCCTAACATCACAATTAAAAGAACTAGAGAAGCAAGAGCAAACACATTCAAAAGCTAGCAGAAGGCAAGAAATAACTAAAATCAGAGCAGAACTGAAGGAAATAGAGACACAAAAAACCCTTCAAAAAATTAATGAATCCAGGAGCTGGTTTTTTGAAAGGATCAACAAAATTGATAGACCGCTAGCAAGACTAATAAAGAAAAAAAGAAGAATCAAATAGATGCAATAAAAAATGATAAAGGGGATATCACCACCGATCCCACAGAAATACAAAGTACCATCAGAGAATACTACAAACACCTCTATGCAAATAAACTAGAAAATCTAGAAGAAATGGATAAATTCCTCAACACATACACTCTCCCAAGACTAAACCAGGAAGAAGTTGAATCTCTGAAGATAGACCAATAACAGGATCTGAAATTGTGGCAATAATCAATAGCTTACCAACCAAAAAGAGTCCAGAACCAGATGGATTCACAGCCGAATTCTACCAGAGGTACAAGGAGGAACTGGTACCATTCCTTCTGAAACTATTCCAATCAATAGAAAAAGAGGGAATCCTCCCTAACTCATTTGATGAGGCCAGTATCATACTGATACCAAAGCCGGGCAGAGACACAACCAAAAGAGAGAATTTTAGACCAATATCCTTGATGAACATTGATGCAAAAATCCTCAGTAAAATACTGGCAAACCAAATCCAGCAGCACATCAAAAAGCTTATCCACCATGATCAAGTGGGCTTCATCCCTGGGATGCAAGGCTGGTTCAATATATGCAAATCAATAAATGTAATCCAGCATATAAACAGAACCAAAGACAAAAACAACATGATTATCTCAATAGATGCAGAAAAGGCCTTTGACAAAATTCATGCTAAAAACTCTCAATAAATTAGGTATTGATTGGACGTATTTCAAAATAATAAGAGCTATCTATGACAAACCCACAGCCAATATCATACTGAATGGGCAAAAACTGGAAGCATTCCCTTTGAAAACTGGCACAAGACAGGGATGCCCTCTCTCACCACTCCTATTCAACATAGTGTTGGAAGTTCTGGCCAGGGCAATTAGGCAGGAGAAGGAAATAAAGGGTATTCAATTAGGAAAAGAGGAAGTCAAATTATCCCTGTTTGAAGATGACATGATTGTATATCTAGAAATCCCCATTGTCTCAGCCCAAAATCTCCTTAAGCTGATAAGCAACTTCAGCAGTCTCAGGATACAAAATCAATGTACAAAAATCGCAAGCATTCTTATACACCAACAACAGACAAACAGAGAGCCAAATCATGCGTGAACTCCCATTCACAATTGCTTCAAAGAGGATAAAATACCTAGGAATCCAACTTACAAGGGATGTGAAGGACCTCTTCAAAGAGAACTACAAACCACTACTCAAGGAAATAAAAGAGGATACAAACAAATGGAAGAACATTCCATGCTCATGGGTAGGAAGAATCAATATCATGAAAATGGCCATACTGCCCAAGGTAATTTATAGTTTCAATGCCATCCCCATCAAGCTACCAATGACTTTCTTCACAGAATTGGAAAAAACTACTTTAAAGTTCATATGGAACCAAAAAAGAGCCCACATTGCCCAGTCAATCCTAAGCCAAAAGAACAAAGCTGGAGGCATCACACTACCTGACTTCAAGCCATACTACAAGGCTACAGTAACCAAAACAGCATGGTACTGGTACCAAAACTGAGATATAGATCAATGGAACAGAACAGAGCCCTCAGAAATAACGCCGCATATCTACAACTATCTGATCTTTGAAAAACCTGAGAAAAACAAGCAATGGGGAAAGGATTCCCTATTTAATAAATGGTGCTGGGAAAACTGGCTAGCCATATGTAGAAAGCTGAAACTGGATCCCTTCCTTACACCTTATACAAAAATCAATTCAAGATGGATTAAAGACTTAAACGTTAGACCTAAAACCGTAAAAACCCTAGAGGAAAACCTAGGCATTACCATTCAGGACATAGGCATGGGCAAGGACTTCATGTCTAAAACACCAAAAGCAATGGCAACAAAAGCCAGAATTGACAAATGGGATCTAATTAAACTAAAGAGCTTCTGCACAGCAAAAGAAACTACCAGCAGAGTGAACAGGCAACCTACAAAATGGGAGAAAATTTTCGCAACCTACTCATCTGACAAAGGGCTAATATCCAGAATCTACAATGAACTCAAACAAATTTACAAGAAAAAAACAAACAACCCCATCAGAAAGTGGGCAAAGGACATGAACACAGACTTCTCAAAAGAAGACATTTATGCAGCCAAAAACCACGTGAAAAAATGCTCACCATCACTGGCCATCAGAGAAATGCAAATCAAAACCACAATGAGATACCATCTCACACCAGTTAGAATGGCAATCATTAAAATGTCAGGAAACAATAGGTGCTGGAGAGGATGTGGAGAAATAGAAACACTTTTACACTGTTGGTGGGACTGTAAACTAGTTCAACCATTGTGGAAGTCAGTGTGGCGATTCCTCAGGGATCTAGAACTAGAAATACCATTTGATCCAGCCATCCCATTACTGGGTATATACCCAAAGGACTATAAATCATGCTGCTATAAAGACACATGCACACATATGTTTATTGCGGCATTATTCACAATAGCAAAGACTTGGAACCAACCCAAATGTCCAACAATGATAGACTGGATTAAGAAAATGTGGCACATATACACCATGGAATACTATGCAGCCATAAAAAATGATGAGTTCATGTCCTTTGTAGGGACATGGATGAAATTGGAAATCATCATTCTCAGTAAACTATCGCAAGAACAAAAAACCAAACCGCATATTCTCACTCATAGGTGGGAATTGAACAATGAGAACACATGGACACAGGAAGGGAACATCACACTCTGGGGACTGTGGTGGGGTGGGGGGACGGGGGAGGGATAGCATTGGGAGATATACCTAATGCCAGATGACAAGTTAGTGGGTACAGCGCACCAGCATGGCACATGTATACCTATGTAACTAACCTGCACATTGTGCACATGTACCCTAAAACTTAAAGTATAATAATAATAATAATAATAATAAATAAAATAAAATAAAATAAAAATTTTAAAAAAATAAAAAATAAAGAAATTTGAAAAGTCTGCCCATTTCCTTCCCAACAGATATTAAAGGCAATCTGTTGAAGACATTATACTGAAAGGACTATCATATTTTAAAGACAAGATCACTGTCTCCATAGGTTTTTGAAACATTTTTAAAAACTATATAGCTGTATTAATTAGAGCACTTATTTTCTACAATAATAGTGACCTTAAATTTCTTTAAAAAAATTACAATAAGCTACAAGTATCAAAGAAGCAAAGTCATCTAGAGTAGTCTACATAGGAGCTCTTTGGACTTTGTTTTATTATGGTAAAATAGTGGTGCTTTTAGGATTTACATTATTGTACTCTCCAATACAAAGTATGAGT
The DNA here is from genome assembly GCF_000001405.40 of Homo sapiens. Lineage (NCBI taxonomy): Eukaryota > Metazoa > Chordata > Mammalia > Primates > Hominidae > Homo > Homo sapiens. The sequence goes on from NC_000009.12 coordinate 18,717,645, forward strand.
GAGGGTTAGAGTATACAGTACACCATTTTCATACATGTACAACGTGGGTGGATGAAGAATGTCTCTTAGCAGTAATACTGGATGTAGTCTCTGCTTTTACCAGCTGCATAATCTAGGACTATTATATAAGTAAAAATCTCTCTTGTGAAGCTTGAAAGTGATTAGAATGTGCAAACTGATATAGTAGCTTTCATATGCTCTTAAAGGGTACCACCACAGGAAAGTCCATTTAAGATGCTGGTAGGTTTAACAAAGTTGGAGTGTTGGCACTATTGAATTGGACAACAGTTCTTCAGAGCTGACTCAGAGCTGCAATGCACTTAGTACATTAAAGCAGCTGACATGATGACTTTTTGCGAGCCTTCCCAGGCACTGGAGTTTTTCTGTTAATCTGCCGCACTAGGTCATAAAAGATCTCATTAACATTTATTTTGAATTTTGTAGAAGAATCTAAGAATGCACAGTTGTTCCATTGTCTTGCTAGATTTTTGACCTTCTTCCTTCCCTACAGCTCTTTCATCTTCCAAGTCATACTTATTACCAACAAGAATCATTGGAACATCATCAGTGTCTTTAACTCAAAGAATCTGTTCTCTCAAGTCTTGCAAATCATTAAATGTGGACTGTGCTTTGATGGAATAAACTAATGCAAAGCCTTGTCCATTTCTCATGTACAAATCCCTCCTTGCTATACATTGTTCCGTTCCTGCAGTATCCAAGATTGCAAGCATACACTGCTGTGCATCTACTTCAACTTGCTTTCTATAAGAATCTTCTATCATAGGACATATTTTTCAACAAAAATTCCTTGAACAAATTGTACATTCAAAGCAGACTTTCCAACGCCTCCTGGGCCAAGAATGACTAGCTTATACTCATGCATGATGCAAACTTGTCGAAACCTAGTACCTCTCACGCTGTCACCGGGTTCCCGCAGCCAGTGTCACTCCCTCCGGGTTGCTACTCTCGGCACCACAGCAGTCCTGCCGCTGCCGCCGCCGCTCCAGCTGGTTTACACACCTGACTCTGGGCGAGGTTTGGCATTGTCCAGAAGGGCCTAAGTTCTATCAAGAAGGAGTTCACAAAGTGGAAACACAGGTCACATCACTTACACACCTTCACACACACACCTGATCCAGTCACTTTCAAGTAAAGCATGTGACAAGCCCACGGTCACTTCCTGCCTCAGGATCGTTGACCCAATTTCATAAGGTTTTCAACAGCTGAATAAAGGCAAAATATGTTTTATTTTAGAGTCTCATTTAGAATCTCTTGAATACTACCAAACAGGTAAATGAGTTAAAAATTTAATTTCTAAGATAACCACAGCTCTAGATTCTGTATGGGATAGAAAGCTACATCCAGTGACTTCTCATCACTACCTTAATAATACTAGACTATTCCAGTGGGAAGTATCAGTGATTATATCAACTGTTTCTTATGAAGTGTTTGGCTGTGTCGTCATACCATGAATTTCAAATGGCTCATCCCATCTACAACCAAGAGAACACCCTGCAGTCAGCATTACAGAATATGATGGAATAATTTGAATGTCTAATAGAAATCTCAAATGCTCCACCCTGAACTGGCCATGATATATTTAAATTAAATTTTGAAGCTCATAAACAATTTAGAAAAAAGAAAATGTAAAGATACCATCACAGCCACAGGGTAAATATTGTGATTCTTTTTTTATTTTTATTTTTATTAATTTACTTTTGAGACGGAGTTTTGCTTTTCTCACCCAGGCTGGAGTACAATGGTGTGATCTCAGCTCACTGCAACCTTCATCTCCCTGCAACCTTCACCTCCCATGTTTCAGCAATTCTCCTACCTCAGTTTCCCAAGTAGCTGGGATTACAGGTGTGCACCACCATAGCTGGCTAATTTTGTACTTTTAGTGGAGACGGGATTTCACCATTTTGGCCAGGCTGGTCTCGAACTCCTGACTTCAGGTCATCCGTCCACCCTGGCCTCCCAAAGTGTTGGGATTACAGGCATGAGCCACTGTGCCTGGCTTTGTGGTTCTTTTTTTTAAAAAATGTTTAATTTCTCAGACTTACAAAGAAGAAAGGTGATTTGGACTCCAGCTGAGTCACTTTTTAAATGATGGCCTTCCTAAGTGGACTAGATCAATGTCACATCAACCTAGGAAGTATTAGCTGATGATTGAGCTGATGACTTCTTGGAGAAACACAGCATACGTGGGAGGAGAGCAGCATGGTGGGTCAACTGTACTATACTAGGTAGTATCTGATGAAGCAATGCAGAAAATAAAGCAAGGCAATATATGTGTATTTATGTATATTGCTAATTACATGGATAGTCCCAGACTCTACTATAACTATATATAAATGTCCAGCTATAGATAGGTATCTTTAAATGTAAGTATCTTTATATACACAGCTATGTATGTCTGAAGGCAAATTAGTGAGAATGTCCTGTCTTGCCTCTTCACTCAAACTGAGCTCTGCTGAAATGATTCCAGACAAATGTCTAGGTTATTCCTAAAGATCTCCAGGGAAGTAGATATGACAGCCTCTTAATATTTTTAAATATTAAGTCTATCAGTCAGTACTAAGGGCACAGCCATCCTCAGCTTTACCATTTACAACTGTATGAACTTAAGCAGGTCTTTTCACCCTTCCCAGCCTGTTTTCTTATCTGTTAAATGGGAATAAAAATAGTGCTTACTTTGTGCAGTTGTTGAGAGGACTGAATGATGCATGCCAAGCTCTTAGCGTTGGTACCTGGTTAATAATGGGCATCCTGTATATGTTAGCTACTGTTATTATGACTGGGCATCAAAATGAAATGTCTGGTCATTACATTGCTCATTTAAATGTCTCCACAAGGGGACCAGGTGCAATGGCTCACGCCTGTAATCCCAGCACTTTTAGAAGCCGAGGTGGGCAGATCACTTGAGGTCAGGAGTTCGAGACAGACTGACCAGCATGGTGAAACCCCATCTCTACTAAGAATACAAAAATTAGCCGGCCATGGTGGCACACGCCTGTAATCCCAGCTACTCGGGAGGCTGAGGCAGGAGAATCGCTTGAACCCGGAAGGCAGAGGTTGCAGTGAGCTGAGATCGTGCCACTACACTCCAGCCTGGGCAAGATTCTGTCTTGAAAAAAAATTTTAAAATAAAATAAAAATAAGTGTCTCCCCAAGGGCCCTGCAAACCACCTTGGAGAACTTCCCAGTAACCTTGTGCCAGTCACTGCTCAAACTCCTGTTTCACTAGCTCTGAGTCAGGGCCTGCGGGTGTCAGTGGGAAGGTTGTTTTCCACGGCTGTGGTTATTATGCATCTTATTCTCCTTCTTTGTTCCAACTTCCAAGGCTGCCCTAGGTCACAAAAGAAATGAACCAGAATCAGAAGGCAAACAGCAAAGACTGGAGTCCTAGATTCAAGACCTCAAGAGCCCAGCAGTTTACAGAATTCTGGATATAAAACATGGCCTTGGGCCTCCCTTCCAAATACAACGATTTCCTTTCAATTAAAATATAAGATGTGAAGGTTTTGGGCCCCTTTTTTGCCACCCTGTGCTCCTTGTTCATTGAAGTATCATGTTCCAGCATTGGTGGCATTAGCCTCGTGGCATTTTTTTAAGCATTTCAAGAGTCTAGGTAGCAGCCTCTCTTCTGTGGGGGAGTTGCCCTCCTCAAGGAGCATGCTCACAGAGGCAACAAGCTTATGAATACTTTCTCCCAGCTCAAGTGATGCTTGACAAGATTGGCAGTCCTGGGCTTTAAACTGCCATCTCTGACATACAGCGAGAGTCCTACAGAACACAGGGACCTCCCACCAGCTGCCTTGTCTACACTTCATCACCCCCCACACACACACCCACTTTGCACTCTGGCCTGACCGTGTGATTTGTACACAGGTGTCCAGGAGGCTGTGGTGAGCTGCTTGAACAAACAGACTCGGGAGCCTGCTGAGGAGAACCTGTGCGTGACCAGCCGCCGGCCCCCACAGCTCCTGAAGTCCTGCAATTTGGATCCCTGCCCAGCAAGGTAAGGGATGTGTGGCCTGCCCTGCTGTCCAGGGGCACGTACAGAACTGGGCGCATCTTTCAGTGGGCAAGACTGTAACACTTATTTGTTACTCAGTGTTTTGAAAACCAATTAGCATCAGTTCAAACTTTTAGTCAAATCCACTTAAGTTTAATTGAAACCAGGGCTTTGGAATTCTAGCCCAGTCAATGGTCATGCCAGAATCTGGAAGATACCGTGCATTCACTTGAGCCTGTGGCATGGCTGGTATGTGTGTGTGCCACGCAGTTGCTTTCCCCTAAAGGGAACATGAGGTGACAACAGACTTCATGGGCTCTGCCACCTTTTAGCCTGTGTCCTAAGCACTCACACCATAGTAATGAACTGGTCTGTGAATTGCAGAATATAAGGGCCTGAAGCAACTGGGTGGTATAATTGATCCACTGTGAAATCTATATGCACACAGCATGCAGATTCATCGTAGCATGCTCTGGGGGTGTGTGTGTCATTCCACATGCGTAAAATCAATTAGAGCATTTCATTGTTCAGCCCTGCCTGGGTCTCATTATTAGCCAACATTGAGTCACAGCCTTGATTGAATTAATCAATCCAATCACTGCTTCAGTCCCTACAATTTTATGGTGTCTTGAGAAACTTGCCTTCTAGATACTTCTTTTTGAGCAAATCTCATCTATGGGTTTGGAAGGGAGACGTTTAAGAACTAAATCCAGACTTTCAAATCTGCTGATGGAATGAAGAAATGTTGCTGAATAGGGTCAGATCCTAGATAAAAGGGGGAATGCTGATTTTGAATGATAGTTTTTCTCTTTCTGCAAAGTGTGTCATGTAAGAAGTAGTTAATACCTGTATTGCTGTCAGGCATTAACAATAGTTTGCTGGTCACGATGATGCACTGCTTGTATTATTTCCCAGCTGGCTAGATTCCTTTCTTTGGGACTTGGAGGGTACAGATCATAGTCCTCCTCCAATCACATGGAGGCACATCCCATGGTGACACTCCTCCTGCTAGTCACCAGAGTTGTTCTGTATGATGATCTGAATGGTGGACCAGGGCATTCCCCTCTTCAAATACAGAAGTTAAGAGGGCAACTCATGCTATATTCTCCAAGGCAACCATAAAATCAGTCAGCCACTGCTTTGGAGAAGCACCCAACCCATGAGAACAGCAGTCAACAAGATAGAGTCAAAGTCAGGTCCTGTACATGAAATCCTGAGTAACCTCGTTTTCTATCCCTGCCCCACCTGGTTCCACATTTCTGTCCTAACTTCGCAGCTCTCTAGTTGTTGAGCCTAAATGTGTGGGCAAAGGGCACCAACTTTTCTATTTGACTACAGTCCTGTCATCTAGGAAGAAGCAGTATCGACTCAGCATGGAACGCCTGCAACGTTCTTTGTTAGGCAACCAAGAGGCCTGGCTTCTCATCCTGCTGTCACCAACTAGCTCTGTGGCCTAGGGCGAGGTGTCTGCCCTTTATGTTTCCACATCTGCAAAGTGAACTGGTTGTACCTGATGATCTGAGATCCCATGACTTGCTCACATGTCCCATGATTCTTTATTTTGTAGGCAGAAGCATTAAACAGCTACTCCTGCTGCTGTGTGCTAATCATTCCTGTAATTTCTGTTCTGCTTATTTGCCATTATTTGAAAAACATGCAAAAGGGTCTTTCTAACCACATTCCTGTGTTGTAACAACACCCAAATGCTGAGGCAGTGCCGAGGAGTCAGTGCCTGGGACTTGCTTAAAACTGCTGGGACTCGTGGTCCCTAAACCCTTCTTTGAGCACCAAAACGAATAGGACATGAGATGTTACTTCTCATTCTCAAAGTACTAACTATGTTTAAGTTACAAAAGGTTAGGTTATCCTGTGACCCTTTTGTTGACTCACAGACAAGAACAGTTGTTGAGCTTAATGTTGTCGCATTTGCTCCAGATAAACTCAATTCTCTGATTTCCCACCAGCCAGCTGTCAAGCCAACAGGCAAGACCTCTCACTGGGCACAGCCAGGAGTTTCTTGGGTCGACCATACACATTTAAACATTTGTAGAAGGTTGCTAATTGCAACAATAAAGGGGACCAAAGTATAATGGCCTAATCTCATCCAAGAGTCAAAACAGATTTTCCCCCTAAAAATGATAATTGTATAGAGGTGCCTTTCCTGTGGAATATCTCACTCTGATGTCAGAGAAAAATCTCTCCTTCCCTTCTCCTGGTGTTCAATGTATACAGAAAATAAAATGTGTTTGGTAGGAGCATAATAGTGTGTTGTTTTCCCACACAACCCACAACCTCTGTTCTGTTGGGAGCAATTTAGGTCTTTAATTCACAATTCTTACTCCACATGGTTCAGCGTTCCCTGTACATTTTTGTGTGTCTTCTGATGGGATGCAAGTTTCTAGACCGTGTCCTTTGGGGTCTTGGTCTGTGCTGCTATGCATGTGTTTAAAAAAATACCATAGCATTTTCAGTGGGACATAACAAAATGACATTTCAAGTCTTAGTCACTGGGCCTTTGTCTCTGAGAGGTCACCCCCTGGTTAAGATAAATAGCTTTCCCAGGCAGTTGTTAGTCCCACTGAACACCAGTTAGGGAGCCACTTTTTTTCTTGTATGTAGTCAGAATTATCAGATCACATGGAGAATACCAAAGGCCCTAGAGGGCAAGTCCAATCTGCTTAGCCAGGCTTTCTAAGATTAAACTTGGCTTCTCTTGACTCTGTGTGATGGCAGGGATTGTTTCAGAAGCACATGTCTAACTTTCACCAGGTTTAGGCAAATACATCCTCATACCTGGTTATTCACAATAGGAAGATGTCTTCTCAAGCTGGAGGTATTCTGACTGTTCCAATTTGTGTGTTTGTGTGCATGTAGTGCCTACATTTTTTAGAACACTTTTTAAAAATAGTCATTTTCTGTTAGAAGAGTACTAGATTTTAGAGTTCTTGCTATCAGCTTTGTGTCTGAATCCTCCTTTCTATATTTCTGACACCTAGTATAATGTTTGACACATAGTAGATGATTATTAAGTGTTTATTATATAAATGAGTATGAAGGACCAGGGCCAAATTTATAGGTAGCAATGTTTGGACCATATTATCAATGACAGCTGGGAAGACCTCAGTGCTTTCCCTCCTCTGCATCCTCCTTATCCCTTCTCTCCAACCTTCCAGATGCTGTTGATCCTTTCCTTAAGCTTAAGGATTTAAATGCCAACTTAAAACATAAATAGCCTCAGGATTGAACCTTTTTTTTTTCTTTTGAGACAGAGTCTCGCTCTGTTGCCCAGGCTGTAGTGCAGTGGTGAGATCTCAGCTCACTGCAAGCTCCGCCTCCCGGGTTTACACCATTCTCCTGCTTCAGCCTCCCAAGTAGCTGGAACTACAGGCGCCCACCACCACGCCTGGCTAATATTTTGTATTTTTAGTAGGGACGGGGTTTCACCATGTTAGCTAGGATGGTCTCGATCTCCTGACCTCGTGATCTGCCCACCTCGGCCTCCCAAAGTGCTGGGATTACAGGCGTGAGCCAACGTGCCCGGCCAGGATTGAACCTTTTATGTTATCATGTATGTATGGCAAAGTATCCCCCAAGTAAGGATACAAGGACAAGCTTTAATAGAAAAGAGAGGGACAGATGGAGGTTAAGTAAGTTATAGGCATTACCCAGGGAGGAATTTGATTGTCGGGAAAGATGGAAAGTAGTATATGGAAGACAGATGTTAATCCCTTCACAACTTTGCCTAAGATTAACCATAAGCAGTTAGGACCATTTTTGCTTGTGAGCTGCCAGTGAGAATTTTCCATCAAAGTTAATGAGTAATTTGTGTGTCTAAAAGCCATATCATCCACCCAGTCCTTCAGTGGTGAAACCAGCTCGAGGGAGAAATACCCAAAAAGGACCTAAGATCAGTCATTAAAAAAGAAATCAGCCTCCTATTCCTAATAAGGAGGTTTTCTGTGTTATAATTATACAAGGAATACATGAATATTCTCATTCTTTAAAACTCAAGCACAGCAGAATAAAAAAAAAAGAAAGGTATACCTTCCCTTATCACCACCATCTTCTTCAGTTCTAGTTCCTTCTTATACCCAGAGATAACCATTGTTAATGCTTTGCTACATACACTTCCAGATAGTTTTCTATGAATTTATATACATATAAGAAGATATACAAATAGATAAAGCTTTTTCCCTTTGTAAATGGGATTTTATTTTGTATATTGTTGGGAAATTTGATTTTGCCATTTAATATTATGCACTAAAAATCTTTTACATCCCTGAGACACCAAAATAAAAGAACCAGCACATTGATTTAGACCTACTCTGTCACTTTCAGCTATCTGACCTTCAAGAGGCCATACACCTTTTGAATCCTCAATTTTCTCATCTCTGAAATAGGATCATAGTAGGCACTCAAAAAAATTCATTATCTTCTCCTTTCTTTTCATTTTCAAACTAGTACTTCTAGTTTAAAAGAAAACGTGATTTTTAAAAATTCAGGACTTAAATTTTATTAGATGTTTTTATTTAACTAAAGTCTTAATACTTAAGCTTCAGTCTGGGCGTGGTGGCTCACACCTGTAATCCCAGTACTTTGGGAGGCCAAGGCAGATGGATTGCTTAAGATCGGGAGTTCAAGACCAGCCTGGACAACATGGCAAAACCCTATCTCTATAAAAAATACAAAAATTAGCTGGGTGTGTGTTGGTTGAGGGGGGTGCCTGTAGTCATAGCTACTTGGGAGGCTAGAGTGGGAGGATCACTGAACCCAGGGATGTCAAGGCTGCAGTGAGCTGTGATCACACCACTACACTATTGCCTGGGTAACAGAGTGAGACCCTGTCTCCAAAAAAAAAAAAATAAGCTTTAGCAACTATCTCCCTGGTTTACAATAGCAATGACATGAGCAGCCCAAGGAAAAGCAGAAAGTACTACCTTTAAAAAAAAAAGTGTATGACTGTTATTAATTATAGCATTTGATAGCCTGGCCAGTGTGTGTTGAAAAGATTTGGTAAACGTATGTGGAGGAGGAGAATTAAGTAAGCAATGAAAGCCAGATGCTGAAAATGAAGGAAATTCCAAGCAATTTCTGCAGCTTTGTTCTAACATACTTTTTAAACTAAACTTTTATTTCTGTGCAACAGAGAACAGCTGAGTGGTACAGAATAGATAAACAGGGAAGGGAGAAAAAGCTCATAATTCCAGGAACAGTACTTGGTTTCTGCCCTCCCCCTGCCCCAGCCCCAGTCTCTTTTCTCAGACCTAGGATGGTTCTTAGAACCAGCAAGAGCTATAAACGAAGCTTGAGAATCCCTGTTTGAAAGGAGAGAGTTAAGAAACACGTCTGAAAGGTCACAGAGTCTTCTCTTTAAAAGCATACTTCAGAATGCCTATTTTATTATACACTAACAAAATCCATGTATACTAGCAGCAAATGATTTCCAATTTCCAATTTTCTTTTATATTAGCTTACAATGGCTAGAGCAGAAGGTGCTGCCTTTTAACACAATCATATTTTAATTTATTTGATGGAGCTTTCAAAGCCTTGCAGGCTCTTCCTCTCTGACAACTTGTTTTAAAGGTTACTGTTTCAACATGCTCTTGAAATATTGGTTTATCTTCTGCTGTACTCCTAAATTTCCATACGCTGCCTTTTGGCTCTGTCCACACTAACTTTTAAGTGCTTAAAGCAAAAGTACACCAGAGCTCACTGGCATCCACAGAAATTGAGTCCATATCCAGGCGCCTTTGAAGAGTTAATGCTGTTACTACTGTCATCCCCCTTGGTAAATTCAGATGTACTTACACTGTCTCTCTGTTTTCTTCCATTGATGGATAGGAATCTGCCATAGCCTGTTCCTTAATGGTTGGGCCTGACTGGGCCAGTGGGAGTCTCTTTTGTTTCTCTAGTGGGACTGTATTGGCCCAGTGATCACAAATGTCCCCAGCAGCATTTTGACATCAACAAGGGTAAAGGTTATATGTTTATTTGCCTCAGGGCTAAAATGTTTATTTTTCCTAGATATTCTTTTCCATGTGTGAGCATGTGTGACCATGGAAAGGAATATCTTTACATCACCTGTTACATCAATCTTGAATCTGTGAGAAATGAGCTTTGATGATATCACTTTGCGGCTGGGCACAGTGGCTCATGCCTGTAATCCCAGCATTTTGGGAGGCCGAGGTGGGTGGATCATCTGAGATCAGGAGTTCAAGACCAGCCTGGCCAACGTGGCAAAAACCCGTCTCTACTAAAAATGCAAAAATTGGTCGGGTGTGGTGGCGTGCCCCTGTAACCCCAGCTACTCGGGACGCTGAGGTAGGAGAGCCGCTTGAACCCAGGAGGAGGAAGTTACGGTGAGCCAAGATCATGCCATTGCACTCCAGCCTGGGCAACAGAGTGAGACTCTGTCTCAAAAATAAATAAATAAATAAATAAATAAATAAATAAATAAATAAATAAATAAGACAACTGCCTTGCATGCATGTATTTAGTTGCTGCATGAGTTTGGGGTAAAAATCAAGGGGTTAGGTCTACCTTCCCATCATGTCACCTGAAAGCATATATGATATGACTCATTCTAAAGAGATAGAAACATCAGCATTAGGAAAATCCATGCAATTACATCCTGAGAGGGAAGCTTTTCTGGTTTCTTAACATCTATGTGATCGGACAGCACTTTAGACCACATAATTCTGCCTAGACTCTGGGAAATGTCTTTATATAGACCGTTGGTTAACGTTAACTTTCTGCACAAATATTAAAGCAGAGAGTGTTTTTGCATCCCAATTCAGAGAAAAAAAAAACACACACACACACATAACAAGCATCTTTGTGTCTGCTTGTATTTGGTTGTCACGGATAACGAGAAGACAAAACCCTGTCCTAAAGGAGTTACCAGTTAATAGATGAAGAAGATTTAAAAATAGTAACTTTATGAATAGGGCAAGCATGGAGTTCGGTGGAAGCTTGAGGCTGAGAGAAGGCTTCCTGGAGGAGGCAATGCCTATGCTGAATGGTAAGGCCTAAGTAGGAGTTATCCAAATGAAGAAGGAAGATGTTGCAGGCAGAAGGAAAACCATGAGCACAAAATGAAGGACAAAAAGTGGAAGCCAGTGTTAGAGAGTGGACGGAGGCCAGATCCAGGAGAGTCCTGTGTGCCAAGTTAAGTTGTTTAGACTTTATGTCCTATGGGCACTGAAGAGCCATTGAAGGATATTAGCCAGGGGTGTGGAACCGTCAGATTTGCTTAGAGAAAGATGAGTCTGGCTGCTCATCCAAGAAAGCTAAACTCTGAAAATGGTGGTTAGCTTTTACTGTAGGCACGTTTCCTTTTTCTCATGTAGAGTCAAAAATAAATAGTGTGCTCTGTGTGATCTGGACCATAACATTTTTTCATTGAAAAATTAATGCCCTCCTATCCCAGGTATGTTCACATTGTGATTGCTCCTATGATCAACCCAGTGCATGTTGACTTGGCCTAGCCACCTGGCAGGAGGAGGATACAGCCCCAAGGAAGGGTGTCAGGGCGTCATGAGTGTTGCAGCTATCTGATCCCTGGCGGCCTTTCCAGCTCTAATATTCTGTGATTCTTTGAAGGTAATGATAATTATCCACAGAATTGAAGCTTTTCAACAAAGAAGGAACAATTCTAATCAGAAAAATACCTTGAGTCAAATTTAAGTTCCAAAGACAAAGCACCTCTATTAGTTACAAAACAGGAACTGGCTTTAACTATAAAGAGCCACGAGAAGTCTGCAGGGAGCAAGACCTACCTGGCCATAAGAAAAATGTAGGTGAAAGCATTCAGGCAGCAAGGATGGCTCAACATTGAAATGCTGAATGTTTTTATAATGCCTTAATGGTGTTTGTTTATGTGTAAAGGGATACAAATATCCTGCATCCGTCCATTTATAATGTTACGCTGCCCTTTAAGATAACTAGAATTTCTCTTCCTTCAGTCTCCACTGAACAAATGTCTATTGAATGCCTGCATTGTGCCAAGCATTGTGTGGGAGATACAGTAATGAACAAGACCCACTTTGTTCCCTGCAGCAGCCAAAGCCGGAGTTTGGGAATGGTCCTGGAGGGGTCACTCTATTTTCTAAATCTTGGATGCCTTAAGTGCTGCTCTTCTTAAGACACTTATTATCTTAAGCCTCCTGAGTTCTTCATTGCACTAAGAGTTGATGTATCTGTACCAGTTATCAACCTCATTGTTCATAAGCACCATGAGAATGGAAATATCACCAGCAGATAACTTTCTTCTGTGGATATGGTGATGAAACATTGGAGTTTTATAGTTCAAAACCTTCCAGCTTACAAATCAATCAACAGTAGCAGAGTGGAGTTTCCCAAAATAAATCTTTTTTTTTTCTAAGTTTTTTGCTTTCCTTACAATCTAGTGTTTCCAAAGTCCTAAGGTAACAATTTAAGAGCAGGCAATAATTTGGCTGATGCTTTGAAATGATGATTATTGCTTCCTAAGTATACAAGATGCCTTCTTTGGAAATTTTGAGCAGAAGTCCTCATGAACAATTTGACGAGAAGAGTTTTTCTATTGACCTTATAGTTAGAAATATGCTATATTACTATGTTCCTTAAACTTGGAAAACAAAGTAGGAAAAGGACTTGAGAAAGAGGTAGAGAAAAAGAGATGTTTAAGTGACATAAAAATGAGGGAGTGAAAAAGAGAATGCTCTGATTTGTATCCAGTAATCTGGCCGATACAGTTCAGGAACAGTTCATACTTGTGAAAATATTATTCCTGTCATGGCGCCAGCCAAGGTTAGGCAGTTCTTAGGTTATCTGCTGCAGGTGCAGAAAGATCTGTCACAAAGCAGAGCCCAGCCAGCTACCTTCTTTTTCATAGTGAATTCTTCCGTCATTCATGTCTTTTCCATTCCCTTTCTCTTCTTCATTTTATCTAGTTATCTTTATCCAGGGCTGCAGTGCACTTAGGTGTTTATGTCAGGGACACAAGGAAACCTAAGGGAAGAATGATTGTCACTGCATTAACACAGCTCCCAGACCTGTAGATGCTCATTACCTTCTCATGAGGCTTCAATTTTTACATGGGGAGTTACTGTCCTTGAGGCCTAGACACGCACAGACACAGGCCGTGGGCTGCATGCTGGAACAGCTGAAAGTGGTGTCTTCTCTGTAACTTACTGCTATTGACTCTGGTCACTGAGTGGATAGACACAGACACCTTTTCGGCTGCCTAAAGGAGCTACTATGTGATTCACAGAGGTAGAAAGGGCCCTCTGCCCGAGTTGCCTGGAGCTTGACACTTACTCCACTATTAGTGAGGCTGTTAAATACCAAGCCGTGACTTATTTTGATCATATATATGCCTCTAGAAGAGATGGCTGATGGTCATCTCAGCATGGTTTTTCTTTTTTTACCAGATATGATTTTTCCCAATGGGGGAATCTTGGCAATTTTTAAGAATTGGGGAATTTCAGGAGGACAAGACCAAGAGGAGACTTGGCAATGTCAAAGCTAAATATTCCCCACCAGGAGTAGAGATACTGCCTGGAAAAAAAGAAATATCATAGGGTTTTAAGATCAGACAGATGTTGGCTTTCTCACTTGCTCTGTAGCATGGGCTGGTGTATTAGGCTGTTCTCACGTTGCTATAAACAAATACCTAAGGCTAGGTAATTTATAAAGAGAAGAGGCACTGGGTGTAGTGGCTCATGTCTATAATCCCAGCACTTTGGGAGACTGAGGTGGGAGGATCACTTGAGCCCAGGGGTTTGAGACCAGCCTGGACAACATTGTGAAACCCTGTCTCTACAAAAAATACAAAAATTAGCCGGCCACAGTGGCATGCACCTGTTGTCCCAGCTACTCAAGAGACCGAGGTGGGAGGATCACTTGAGCTCAGGAGGTCAAGGCTGCAGTGAGCCGTGAGTGCACCATGCAGTCATGCCACTCAAAAAGAAAAAAAAGGAAGAAAAAAGAAAAGAGGTTTAATTAGCTCACAGTTCTGCAGGCTGTACAGGAAGCATAGCAGCATCTGCTTTTGGGGAGGCCTCAGGAAGTTTCCAATCATAGTGGAAGGCAGAGCAGGGGTAGCATGGGCTACTACTTCACATGGTGAAAGCAGGAGCAAGAGGGACAGTGAGGAGGTGCTACATACTTTTAAATGACCAGATATCACAAGAACTCACTATCTTGAGGATGGTACCAAGAGGATGATACTAAACCATTCATGAGAAGCCATGCCTATCATCCAACCACCTCCCACCAGGCCCCACCTCCAACATTAGGGATTATATTTCCATATGATATTCGGGCAGGACAAACTACATCAGCTGGCCACGTTACCTCTCTAAGACTCAGTTTTCCTTATCTGTAAAACAAAGATAATTATCCCAACCACAGAGCAGGGTTGGTAAGGATGATCGCATATGTAAAACACTTAGCTAGTTCCTACCTCATAGAGCAGGCACTGATATAAATAAGGATTTGCTAACACTCTTACTTTTCTATGCAGGAAACCATATGATATAGACCTTCATAATAATTTTATACTCACCGAGTTTATTCTGAAATTTTCTTAACCCACTAGTATGGGGCAGGGTAAAGCGAAGCTATGGATAGAACCTAGCTTCAAGCCAGCTTTCTGTACAGCCCTCACCAGATCTCTTAGGCAGTTAGACAACAGGAAGCAGGGCAGCTTGTCATCATGGGGTCCTGAAAAAGGAGTACTTGTTGGGACATTCCATTTAATGTTGACACCTAATCCAATAAGGTGTGTTTTGTAAGTACCATAATGAGATGATAAAATGGTAGCAGGGGAGACAGAGTCCAAAGGGTCATTAAAAAGTTAATATCCTGTGTGACATGACTGAAGGGAGGAAGGTCCTTTGACAAGAGGTGTGATCCTGAAATGAGCCGCTGTGTCCCGATGGCCAGAAAGGCCTGGGATAAGGCAGGAAGAAATCAGGAAGCGTCGATGAATTGTGTTATTCCTAGCGTTGTCTCCTCTAATGTTTGTGGGAGGGAAGAAGAAGAAAGTGAGGAAGGAAAGAAGGAACAAAGAGAGTAAAGGAAAGAAAAGAAGGAAAAAAGGAAAAGCCACATCATGGTAGAGTTAAGGCACAGGGCATCTTGTCCCCATATCCTTGCTGACCTTCACAGGTCATCTTTGAGCAAGGTATGGCTTCCCTAATAGCTTCTATTTATTAAGCACTTACAATATGCATGGCACAGTGCCCATCACTTTATATACATTATTTTGATTAATCTTACCCACAATTTTATGAGAATGATTCCATTCCTATCCTAACTTTACAGCTGAGGAAACAGTCTTTAGTGAGATATCTTGTAACTAGCCAGTGGCAGGTCCAAACTTGGAACAAGGTATATTTAATTCCAAAGCAGTTACTGAGAACCTGAGGCTGTCTGTCCCTCTGTCACTGTGTTTACAGATCCATCCATCACCCCATCTGTCTCTCACACTGTCCTGGGTACTGTGCTGTAACCGTGGGAATGACCGCAGTGTAAAGAACCAACTCTAGTCTCATAGCAGCGTACAACCTAGTAAACTTCACAAGTTAACAAGGTCTGCTTTCTTCATCTCTATCAGATAACCTTCATCTTATACTCTCAGTTACCAAAAGTAGGACTAGGCTCTTGGAGAAAGTGAGCATTTGAAAGACAGAGTAAAAAATTCATTAGAGTACAGATTTCTCAGAGCAGAGCCCAACACATAGGAAATGAAGCATGCTAAAAGAGGAGTCTAATAGAGCTAAAGTGAATGTCTTCAACCCCACCACTGAGTTATTAGGCAAAAAGCTCATTTCCTTAAAAAAATAGAAAGAAATACTAAGACATGCAGAGAGGTGCTTTGCTTATAGATCTGGAAGAAGCTTTGTATCTTTGTTCTGCCACTGGCTTAGCTTATGCTTTGGTGATGCTTGTTCATGTTGTAAATTACCGACACCACCACTCCCCCCACACACACACTCACTCGCTCACTCTCTCTCTCTGCCCCCCACCCCACTTCTCTTCTCTTTCCCCAGTGCAAACCTGGGTCCTTGCCTCCTTTTCTGTGCTACTCTCTTTCTGACTTTCCTAGTGCCTGTTCCCTCTCTCCCCTGAAGACTTATTCTCAGTCACCTTGCCTTTTGACTACCCAAATTCCCAGCTGACCCTTCTCTGTCACTTGTACGGGGTACAGTCTTCTCACTTCCTTCAACTCTTTTTTTCTCACTCTCCACCACCCCCACCCCCATTCATTCAACTCAACTCAGCTAAGAATTAGGAAAACAAAACTACCTAAACTAATTCACACTAAGGTGTAAATGACTGATTCCTATCCCTTTATTCCAGCTGTGAGAGCATGGGCTTATAAGTCCCGTAAATCAGGGTTAAAATCCAATTCATATAGTATGCTGCCTCTTTGGCCTTGGGCAGGTTGTTGAACTTCTCAGGGCTTCAGTTTCTTCCTCTTTAACCCCAGAGAGTGGTTGTGAGGAGAAGTGTGTTAAGCGCTTAGCACAGTGCCTCGCTCATACTAAGTACTCTATGAATGGTAATAGAGATTAGTTTTGGGTTTTGTAGGGTATTTTACGTATCTTTGTAAGAAGCAGTCCTTGATTGGAGGATGTAGGTGATCTGTGTGTACTTTAGAAAACTGTGTTCTCACCTTTTTTCCTGAAGAAAAGACAGGCTCCATTATAGAGGAAAGGGACTGCCCAGTCTAGACCAAGAATGCCCAGCCTTCATTATCTCCTCCTATTTGCTCTAATCCTTGGGAGGGTGGGCATTTTCTACTGGTTAAGAGAAAATCCAGCACAGCTCAGCAAACATTTATAAAATTCTTACTGTGTCATAGGTTCTGGAGAAACAATAAAGTCTAGGACATAGACCCTGGGCCGCGCACTAACAGCTTATTAGGAAACCAGTATACAAACAGTTACAAGGCAGAGCCATAACAGTCATGTTAGAGATATCAGCCAGTGTCTTATGGAAACACAGAGATGATGGATTCACCTAATCCAGGTTAGAGAAGGTGACCTTGAGAAGGTAACCACGAGCTGAGTCTCTTGTTCTTAGAGCTGGTAAAATATTTTTTCTTAAAAATCTAATCACACGTGTGATTGATATACTAATTAGATATTCCCCCAGAGTCCCAATCCAGGCTTTCCAAGAAACCTCAGGGCAGTTTTGTGCTGTGCCTTCCATCCCCTTTCAGTCTTCCAGGTAAGCCTAAAATTGCTTGATTCCACTGTGTAAGAGTATCTCTAGTTACTCTCAGTGACCAGGAAGCTGATAGATTTTTGTCCTGTAACCACATAATGCAATAATCATTATGCCAACTGTTAAAAATGGATCAAATTAACTTTTATTAAACCTCTGTCCCTATGGACAACACTGGAACTTGAAGCCTCACAATTTATCTATAGCTTTCATGTGTTCTCCAAGGTACCATGCTGCCTCAGACACCTCTCATGGCTCAGGACATGCAAGAGAGAGACCAAGAAGACAGGGAAATGTATTTATGTTGCATTTCAGGCAATGGTGAAAAACTATGGAAGACAGAAGGACCACATGGTTCATGCAATCCCAATGACTTGCCGTCTCCCTCAGCAGTAAACTCAAGAACTCTTGGGTTAGAATGTTTTGCGAAGTTTTCTGAGTTCCGTGAAACTAGGTGTTATAGAAGTATAAGATACTGAATTATTGCTCTCTCCTTATTTCTTGTTTTAAGGCATCCCTTCATCCCTTGCCACATGAGATATTTCAAAGGGTTGGTTTTCAGAGCCCCACTATCTGATCAGTCTTCAAAATGCTTGCTTATTGTGCAGATGTCATTGGAAGATTTGCTTAACACAGAGAAACAGCAATGCTACAGAGACCTCTCAGATGTGGAATGGACATTCAAGTTGTTTTGAAGTTTAAAGAGTAAAAGTGTCAGGAAATGTATACTCTGGCATTAGTAAAACCCCACATGTCAAACATGGGTTACCCCTTTATCAGAGTCAAAAGTGTAAATGGGAGGACACCGTAGATCATTACTGAATGTGCTCAGGATGCTCTTTGAGAAGTCAGACGGCATTCTTTTTTCTTTTTTTTTTTTTTTTTTTTGAGACAAGGTCTTGCTCTGTCGTCCAGGCTGGAATGCAGTGGTGTAATCATGGCTGACTACAGCCTCAACCTCCTGGGCTCATAAAGCTTATGTAACTGATGCACTTACTGGGGAAATTCTCTCAAATTAAAAAAAAAAAAAAATGTGTAGGTGGGCAACAGACCCCCCACCTCCTTCTACCATACTTTTCCTGCCTCAACTTCCACCCTAGACTAGTATGCCAACAAAAATCAGAGAATGTGATGAACAGAGTTTGCACAGTTTTAAATATCATCATGCTGTAGAAAACCACAGAAGGAAACTGATATAAACAAGACATTTATTGATGTAAAGCCACCAAAACTAGACTATTTATCAATGTTGCTTTCATGAGAAAATGATGCCAAAATTCTAATATGAAGTAGAGGCTGCTTTGGAGCCAGATCTCCCTCACAAGATGCGCCCCACTGTCCAGTTTGACTCTGTGGCTTTCGGGGGTTAGGGAGCATAAACGGTAGGCCATTTGTTCGCAAGTGAGGGGAGACAAGTGAGTAAGATGACAGTTTGGGGGACAGGAATGCTTCCATTTCTCTCTTCTTTTTTCTGTGTTACCTGCTAGGTACTACCATAGGCCTTGGGAAGGCACATCCCAGGCACACCTAGAAACACCTTATGTGAAAATGGATAGTGTCAGGCACTTTATCTTTAACTTAATAGAAGTTGACAATGTAACTGACCCATGGTGGAGTGAAGTGAAACCACATGTGGGCTGGATTGACCCTCCCTTGATCTAGAAAAGAAAAAGTGCTGTTTTCCAGCTCACCCTTGCATACCTAACTCCTTCAGCAGGGTAGCTCTGCATGACAAGGTTGGCAAGAGGTAGACTACTTTTTACCACACATGGTCTTACTGCAGTTGTGTGTTTGTATGTGTGTAGAAAGTGGTCCCATGGATTATATTCCTTTCTCTTAACATATACAAAAATAATGTTGAAGTCTGATATATTTGAAAATATCTTGCTACATTGTTTCATCCTCAAATGTGTAAAATTATCTTTCCATTGTCTCTCTGTGCAGAGGTAAACTTTAAATGGAAGCCTACCCCAACATTTATGCCATTTCCATAACTGTGTAATTATTTGCTACTTACCACATTTTGGGAGCCCCAAAACCCTCCTCTGTAAGCAGACTAGTATCTGAAATAGATGCATTTTCTGAATATCAAATGTGCCCACTTGTCCACATAGAACTCTCTCTGCCTGAAAGGCCAATTAAAAAGGTGAAGTACAGGCCAGGCGTGGTGGCTCACGCCTGTAATCCCAACACTTTGGAAGGCCGAGGCAGGTGGGTCACCTGAGGTCAGAGGTTTGAGACCAGCCTGACCAACATGGAGAAACCTTGTCTCTACTAAAAATACAAAAATTAGCCGGGCGTGATGGCACATGCCTGTAATCCCAGCTACTCGGGAGGCTGAGGCAGGAGAACCACTTGAACCCGGGAGGTGGAGGTTGCAGTGAACTGAGATCACACCATTGCACTCCAGCCTGCCCAACAAGAGTGAAACTCTGTCTCAAAAAAAAAAAAAAAAAAAAAAAAGTGAAGTACAAGGAAGACTTCCACTCCAGAGCCCCATGCCCATGCCAGATAATATGGATGGATCATATCACTTCACCAGTGAGTCCATGATCTTCAAGAGGCCTTGGGATTCCTTCACTTCTAGTGATTGAGGGATGATTGTCACATGAAGAACTTGGTGCATGTCAAACTCTCATCACTTCCCAATAGGCTTTATTGGCACTATTAGTCCTATCGATACCAAAAGATCATATGGCTTCATTCTTTATATTCCAAAAAGCCAGAGTGGTAAGAAGTTTAGCTGAAAGATGTGTCTAGAATCTAAAAATTTGACAAATGAGTCTCCCTTAGTGACTAGGGTTGTAGAATCCCAGAATGTAATTCAGTTAAATTCTCCCATTTTATCTGTGAGAAAAGAGAGGCAAATGTATTAAGCAACTTGTCCAAATAGACACTGGCTGGCAAAGCTCAAAGCCTGAAAAGTAATGTTTTCCAATTTTGAGCTCAGTGTTTATCATAAACTGGAAGAACCAAGAGCTCCTTTAGTGATTCGGAATGTAGTATCTAGAGCCAGACTTCCTGAGTTCAAATCCTGGCTCCACCACTTACTGTGTCCTTGAGCAAGTCATTTAACCCCTCTCTGTCCTCATTTGCTTATCTATAAGATAAAGATTTTTAAAAGTACCTACCTCATAGGGGTTTTGTGCAGATAAATGAATTAATATATGTTAAGCATTCATGTGAGTTCCTGGTTAATTAAGAATAGATTCTATATTTGAGTGTTTCAGTTGCTAAAAATGCACTAAGAGCTGGAATCAGGTGATAGAATAGGGGACCCAGATGGTCACTAGACATCATATATTTTTCACTAGGATAAGAAAGGATTTTCTTACAGCCGTGCTGTGAGAAGTTTTGCGTTTTCTCTATATCTTAGTCTTTAAAACTATGGAAAGGAATTGAGTATGATAATGCAGTTACCCCAGGTAAAAATCTTCTATGCTTTCAAACATGTGCGTAGCCATCAATAAGAAAAGGATTCCTTGCTATCTGAGAGTGAAAAGTAGAGGGTAAGGGGTCAACTAGACAATGAGAGTGGGAAAGAAAGAAGATGGTTGCATTCATAGAGTTTGAGGATTTTTCTAGTAATTTAGTATAAAGGAATGAAAGTCAAGAAATAGGAATTCAGCTGACCTCCGTGTGGCTGGCTTGGGGTAGAAACACTCTCCATGTTTTTTTGCAACTTCTGTGTAATCCAATGTTCTTATTCAGAATCTAATTGCTGAGTTGCCCCCACTGTTTCTGTTTTCCTAGCTGGAAAAATAGATAATCTGCTCTGAGGATCAGAGGGCAACTAGAAAATTCTCTGTGGCCTACAGAATGTGAGGCTGCATGAAGCAAAACAATGAAATATTGTAAATGTGGGAGGCAAGCAAAATTAAATAGAAAAATAGTTACTCTAACTTGGGTATAGCAATAGCAGTAATTCCAAGCATAAGCAAAAAGGAACTCCAAAGACCAATTCTTTCTATTTTTCTCTCTTGTGTATGAGAAATATTATAACAATGATAGCAATAATAATGATGGCAGCTACCGCATGGTATTTTGTTTCCAACACCTGTACAAGCTAGAGGCTAGCAGGGAAAAACACAATTAAGAACTCTGGAGTGAGACTACTTAGGGTCAAATCCTAGATCTCTTACAACTAGCTATGTGAACTCGGCCAAGTTACTTCAATTGCCCTATATATAAAATGGTATAATAATAGTACCTATATCTTAGGGTTGCCATGAGGATTAAAGGAATTAGTACATGTGAAGTTCTTACAGCAGTACCCAGCACATAGCAAGCACCCAATAACTACTGGAAGCTATTATTGTAATTATTGTTATCATCCTTATTTTATAGATAAATGAGTTGGCATTCAAAAAGGGTAACTTTCCCAAGGTCATAAAACACAGATGGAAGTGGATGGTATGTTGAAATTCAAAGTTCTGGGGCAGTCTGGTTCTTGACATTATGCTCACATGTCTCCTACTTAGTAAATACAACTTAGGGATTTAGGCCAATTCATCAGTTCTATCAGATCCAAGTGTGTTTAAAAATAGTGTCCCAGGGATAAAAGTCCTAGCAATAAATGAGAATCATGGATAATCAAAAACAAATGAGGGATTTAATAAGCCAATATAAATCCTAATATGAGGGTTTCAATTTATTCAGGCTTCATTCTGATAATAATCCCTTAACTCGCCCTGAGGTAACAAAACATCAAAGAGTAAAACATGCATTCTACATGAAGAGATCTTTGAACCTAACTTGAAAAATCAGTTTAGGTCACTTTTGTGTGGTCATATATAAAAACATTTGTGGAAAGCCTCATTCTCACTCCCCACGTCAACACCCTTTAGGGCTAGAAAGTGCAGGGGCTGCTGTTCCCCATATCCTGTGAATAGAACATCTGTGTGAATAGGAAGCCTGTGCAAACAGCAGGCACTGCCCACAGGGGTGTGTATGTGTATGTATCACGCATATGCATGTGTATCAATGCCTGTGTGTATATGTGTGTACATGTCTACTATCTGTGTGTGTGTGTGTGTGTGTGTGTGTGTGTGTCTCCCCAGCCCTGAGGGAATTAATCACCCCTGCATCAATAGCTAGCTGCTTCGTCTCCTGTCTTCTCACATATCAAACTCCTGAGACAGAGACAGGGAGATCTCTGCATGGGAAATGGCTTCATCTTTTGCATTCCTCTGCCAAGCCAGGCTTGAATTGGTTTCATGGTCTGCTTAAGCAGGGTTGAGGGCCTACTTGAAGCAACATGTCACCCAGTGCTGTGTCCTGCCAAACTTCTCACTAAGGCTGGCAAATCTCGGGACAGACAGGAAAAGAGCCTGCTGGCCATTCCAGCACTCAGCGGATTAGGGGAGGTCAAGAAGCCTAATCTATGAGGCTGTGAGCTTGAACTGTAGTGAGCTGAAGTCACCTTTGTCATTAAGGGTTTGGCTGCCCAAAGCACCACTGCTTCCCAGTCTCCCCCACCCGCACCCACCCCTACATAATTATATCAAGGAGAGAAGAGAGGAGCAAGAACTAGAGTTTTCCAAGGATTTACTAGGCTTTCTACTCAATGTTCCTTTCTTTTTTTTTTTTTCTTTTATCTTTTTTTTTTTTTTTTTGAGAGGAGTCTCCCTCTGTCACCCAGGCTACAGTGCAATGGCGCAATCTCAGCTCATTGCAGCCTCCACCTCCCCGGTTCCAGCGATTCTCCTGCCTCGCCCTCCCAGGTAGCTGGGATTACAGGCACACAACACCAAGCCCAGATCATTTTTGTATTTTTAATAGAGACAGGGTTTCACCATGTTGGCCAGGCTGGTCTCGAACTCCTGACCTCAGATGATCTGCCCACCTTGGCCTCCCAAATTGCTAGTATTACAGGTGTGAGTCACCACGCTCGGCCTCAATGTTCTTTCTAGTCCTGAGCATGGGAATTTCAAAGTCCCAGTTCCCTGAAGGCTTCATGGAAGCATTCTTATACCTCATTCTGCCTGGAATACCTTCTTTTTACTTCTGCCTTTGCCTGGCTACCACTTATTCACCTGTCAAGACTCAGTCTGGATATCACCAATTTTAGGAAGCCATTGATGATACTACCTCATTCCTCTCAACTCCCAATCTATGATTCTGTCTTAGATTGTACTTATCTGCTTCATAGACTAGACTCTGTGCCCCAAGGAAATAGGGTAGAGGTCTGACTCATTTACTACTCTGTCTCCTTACATAAAGCCTGGCACACAAAAAGTGTTCAATAAATACTAATTAAATGGATAAATAAATGAATAGCATTTGTTACAGTATCTTATGGTTGTCTCTAAAAACCCGTAAAATCAAGAATATTTTGAAAATCTCTATGTCCCAATCATTCAGCATAATTCTCAGTACATACTAGATTTTCAGCAAGTAAATGCATGAATACGAGTACACATACACATGTGAGTGGCTGAATAGATGGGTAGAATTAAAAATAAAGTCTGTAAGACTGCAAAGACAATTATCATGAAAGGAAAGAGGAGGCAGAATCTTATAGAAGCTAATAGAATCAAAACTGTGGATCCTGACATGAAGACTGGCCTTCCCAGGCATTTCACTTGTAGAGAAAACTCATGAATATAAATGTCCAGAAAGATTTCTATTTGCAATGTAAATAGATGGATTAAAAACTACTCAAAAGAACTAACTCAAGGGAGTGTATTAATCTGCTGGGGCTTCCATAACAAACAAACTGGGTGGGTTAGAATAATAGAAATGTATTCCAAGACTAGTGTCTGAAATCAAAGTACGGACAGGGCCATGCTCCTTCTAAAACTTGTAGGAGTAGGGGCCTTCCTTGCCTCTTCCTATCTTCTGATGGTCTGCCAGCAATCTTTAGCATCTGTCAGCCTGTGAATGTGTCCCTCTAATCCTCCTTTGCATGGCTATCTTCCCTTCTGTGAATCTATGAATTTGCTTCCAGCTTTTCTTGTGTAGGGTGTTCTTCAGGTTGCTACTTCAAGGTCAAGGTCTGATTCAAGCCCTTCCTCTTCCAGCAGTGTTGCCCTCACCATCTCAACTCATTCAACTCAACCCTCCTTGCAATTTGATTGGATTTACTGCCATTTACATTCTACAATACTTACTATGTGGCTGTTCTAAGTAGAGTGCTACAGCATCTTATCTGACGCATAGCCATCTTCCCCTCTGTGCATGTCTGTCATGGTGTCAAATTTCCCCTTTCATAAGGATACCATTCCTATTGGATTAGGATCCACCCTAGTGACCTCATTTTAACTTAATTATCTCCATAAAGGCCCTATTTCTAAATAAGGTCACATTCTGAGGTACTAGGAATTAAGACTAATATATCTTTTGCAGGAACACAATCCAACCCATAATAAGGAGAAATACTTAGGTTTGTAGGGTTTTAGTGAGTAATGCCACCTACAAATCAGTAAATAGAGACATTTATAGCCTGATTGGATGAATGTCAAATTATTTCCTTAATCCCAAGGCACTTGATCCTAAATCTTAAATGCCTTGTGGTCTACTTGGGATGATAACTAGGGGGAAAAAAACATTTAAGCAAAGAGAATTGTGTCAGATTAAATGCTATAGCAGTTTACTTAGAATAGCTGTGTAGTAAGTATTGCAGAATGTAAATGGAAGTAAATCCAATGGAATCTCAAGGACGGTACAGTTGATGTGAGCTGGGATGGTGAGGGAAACCTTGCTGGAAGAGGAAGGGCTTGAATCAGTCCTTGATCTTGAGGTAGGAACATGAAGTCAGGAAAAGCTGGAAGCAAATTCACAGATGTGAAAGAGAAACATGGTGTATTGGGAAGCCAACAAGTGGCTGTGCCTGGCAGAAACTCACTCTGTATAAAGGAGGTAATTCTAGAAAAGAAAAAGGGTTCATTTAGTGGAAGGTTTTTAATGTGAAGATGCTAATCAGTTAATATAAAATAGAGACAAACTGCAATAAAACCCAAAATATGGTATTAGAGAAGAAACACAACAATAGAGGACACCATTCATGATGCGAGTAATTTCTTCTATGATCTTGACCACCACAAGGAGAACAACCCTGGAACTATTTTTAACAAGAAATTTATACCTAGAAATCTAGACAAACCACCTAACATATCAAACTCCTTGGAGTAAAAATAACTTTGCAGATCATCTACCCTACTAATTTGTTTCTCAAGAGGCTCATATCTGAATTATAACAGCCAGCAGGAATTCTAGCTCATTTTAATGTGCTATCACTCAGAAGACAGGGTGATCAGAAAATGGGAACCAGAACTTAGAAGTTTTAATTAAATCAAGCTCTGTGTAGGTGAACAGGCACATTAGTATTTTTGGACAGTGGGATGTCATAGAAAAGTGTGTTAGAGTGAGGGAAGGCTGAAGACACTTTATATAATTGGACCTAGTTTTGGTGTTATTCTGCTATTTGCCATGTTCTGTAAAGGAAGTAGGTTTAGATGCAAATGGCATGCTAGTAATGAGATGGTAAATGTATATCTTGCTGCAAGTGCCATTTTTTTCAAGAGCTATTTATTAATTTACAAAATAGCAAAGACGGTTTGACAAGAGTCATATGTAATGTTGGTAACATTGATTTTATTTTTTTTAAGTTATTTTAGAGATGACTTAGAAGGTGTGGCAAATTGGCGTGGCCAAACTGTTTTCAAGCAGAAATAAGTGCTTTGCCACTTCAGGTGTTTGATAATCTTGGCTCTCACTATTTTTACGGAGCCAAAACCTCACAGCGTGCAGGCAGACTTCCAGGAGAAGTGTGGCTGTATCTACTATTTCCTGAGCCGTGCAAGTTACTGTTTGATAGACAGCCCCCGATTCTCATGGTGTGATTTATCATACATGTTTCTGGTTAATTTTTGGCTTTCAAACATATTTTTGCTCTTTAATGTCTAATATCTCCTTTGATCTTTTACTTTATCTTTTCTAGGCCTCTTTTAAGGGTTTTCTAGAATACAGTGGTTTTAAGGGAGGAGTAGCAAATCCATCTGTGATCGCTGGGTATAACTGCTTTTCTGACTTTGTCTATTTCCCTCTCTCTGTAACCCTTCGTGATTCACTCCTCCAGTCCTTAGAGACTGAGCAGGGTAGAGGAGTAACCCAAGTGCCCATCCCAACTTTGGGAAAATCACTTGTTTCTCTGAGCCTTGGCTTGCTTGTCCTAAAATGGAGATGATAATGCCTGCTTGCTTACTTCAGAGTTAGGAGGATGAAGTGAGATAACATAAACAGTCTTTGGGAAGTGCAATTCATCAGGTCAATGCAAGTAGTTATGAGCACCACAATGCACGTTTTCTGAACTCTTGCAGTCCTCATGGTTTAGCCAAATAGTTTAGCAGTTCGCTCATAACTGTTACCTAACATTCTTTGCTATGTCTCCTGGGCTTTTGTCTGCTTTCTCCATCTTTGCTGAAAGCACCTTAAAGATGGTAAGCATGGTTTCCACTTCTGGATCTGTCACAATGCTTAGCAATGAATGCTTAAATGAGAAACTAAGTTGAACATGTCACAAATGTCCTTCTCCTCAGTCTCCAAAACCTATGGCTACTTTCTCTGACTGACTTTAGGAAGCTGCCTCACTCTACTTACTTGTTTCCCATCCTCACAATAATCATCTCTGCATTCAACAAACATTTACTGAGCATGCAGTAATAAAAGTTCATATTGGCTAATACTTACAGAGCCCTTCATCTGTACCAGGCCCTGGGTTTCACCCTTTACATGGAGGTTCTCACTTGAACCTCATAACAGCCCTGGGAAGTAGGTATTGCCATTATTCCCATTTTAAATATGAGTGAATTGTTAAGTAACTTCCCCGAGATTATTCAACTGCAGGGTGGCAGAGCACAATTCATTCGCAAACAATCCGATCTTAGAGCCCAAGGTCCTGTATTATGCCTCAATATCTGGGGGATTTCTTCAGTCTTCTATCTTTCATATAGTTGACATTTTTGAAGAGTACAGGTCAGTTACTTTGTAAAACGTCTCTCCATGTGTGTTTGCTTGATGTTTTCTTGTGATTTTTGAATTTTTGACAGAAATAACACAGAAGTGTGCTATGTTCTTCTTAGTACCTCATATCAGGAGACAGATGATGATGATGTGTCTCATTACTGGTGATGTTCACTCTTATCACTTGGTTAAGATGATGGCCAGCCAGGTGTTTCCACTGTAAAATTAATAAATATGTAGCACTTAATAAGTAACAAAGAAGTATTTTATGGGGGACAATATGAGCTAAGTAGATATCCTGTTCATCATTAACCTTTGACCCACTAGATTTAATATTGATTGATGATTACTGCCTGAGTCAATTATTATTATGATGATTGCCAAATGGTAACTTTATAAATTCTGTCATTCCTTCTAGATTATTAATAAGCATTCTACTCTAAGGTAGTTTTCTCTTCTCTCTGGTTTATTTATTTATGAATTTCCACTTTGCTCAAAGGATTAAAATATATTACTATCAAATTGTCCCAGACAGGACCAGCAAAAGCCCTTTCAAGCTGGCCCCTATGCCCTTTTGACATATACCCCATCATTCTTTGAGCACTTCTCAATTTTCTGGTACAACATACTATTTCAGGCTCATTTTTTATTCTCCCAATTCCTGCCCAGACGTCAGCTATTTCTACAGAAATTGATTCCTTTTAATGGAGAATGGTATTTAGAACCCAAGATCTGGGCACTCGATTTGCTTGATACTACTGGGATGTCATTGCTTCTAGGCCTTTCAGAGAGAACTAGGAAATACTGTACACATATATGTATAGTTGTATATACTCATTTATATCTGTTGATATATCTGTGTCTATCCATCTATTAAAAACCATGAGTTCATACTGTTTGCAACAGCAATTCAATTTTACTAGATTTATCTTAGTCTTTCCACTTCACATATTTGTAACTCTCTCCTCTGACAGTAAGAAATCTGGCTCCCATTATTTTTTATGTATTTATGTGTTTGTTCACTCCTCCCTGAATATTTGACTCCCAGCCATCCTGGCCCAGCGCTGACCCCTGTCCCAGGCCAGAGGACCACTCCCCACCAAACCTCACACTAAAGTTCAGTCCCTACAAAGTGGAAGAGGAAAGGAAGGAAGAAGAAGAAGGAAAGGCCAGTTTGAAAGTTCAACTCCAGACATGCAGTGCCCCGTTGCCCCCAGGGAGCAAGGCTGAGCCCTGGACATACTAGCTCCCCACCTCCACTGAAAGCTCAGCTTGACACCAGTGGAGGTTTTTAATCAGACAAAGTAAGGTGACCAGATTCACATTTTTGAGTGACATTTTGGTGGCTGTGGCCTTAGGGAGAAATTGGAAACTGAGAGATTTAGAGATAAATTGGGAGCCACTAATGACAGTCCAAGAACCTGAAAGGGAGATGCATCCTGAAGGGAGATGCATCCTAGACCCTGTACGTGCCCCTCCTTAGGCTTTCTAGAGTTGGCACACTTAGTGGTGTCTAGTTTATTATTGTCAGATTGCTGTCCACCTCCCGACCTCAGAGGCATTCTAAGGGAAACAAATATCTTTGGAAGACAAGAAAATCACAGGACAGAAGTGTTGGGCAGAAATGTCACACAAGTTTAAAGAATACTTCTAAAAAATAACTTCAGTTTACAATAACTTCAGTTTGCTCCTAACCAAAACTTCATTTTACATTTCTGACTAAAGAAAAACTTTGCTGCAAAAGTCGAGGTAAAAGAAGGTTCTTAGGGCATAATAGCTCAGGGTGGGAAGGGTCTGCCATTAGAAATTATGAACATTTATACCAGCAATAAACAATGAGTTTCTGGAGGCAACAGTCATCACCCTCTCTGAAAGAGCAGAGGAGCAAAACCTTGGCAACTCACATAATGAGCCCTTGTCCAAAGGAAGGCAAAAAAAAAAAAAAAAAAATTCCTCCTTTTGTATAGCTAATACAAACACAAGCTGCCAAGAAGGGTCAACCATCATGGGTCGTTGATTACCCATATTAACCCTGATGGCTGCCTTTACAAAAAACTAACACTTGGGGAAGACCACACTCTGCCTTTGCCCATTTGGCTGCCAAGTACACTGCTGCTTTACTGAAATAACAACTGCAAGTGGATTCATGGCCCTGGGTGGTATCAGTGTGTTTGTTTCTATTATTTAGAAATAGATCTGTCATTTTGTCACTTGTGATTTTCTGAAACTATAAGCACAGGAAGCCCAGCATTTGCCACTCAGGTCTATTAATACTTTGTTCTATTGACCTTAAGAGAGAGTATAATATAATAATTAGGCATGCAGGAGCCAGGCCGCCTAAGTTTGAATGCTGATTCTCTTGTTTACGAGCTGTGTGACTTTGGACAGGTTACCTAACCTCTCAGAGTCTCTGTTAGCTGATCCTGTAAAATGGGGAAACTTACAGTACCTTTATCACTAGTAAATAAGTCAATATATGTTCCCACATCTTAGGTAAGCTAAGTTCTGGGCTCTGCTGAGACCTCAGTGAATGAGGCTCGGATCATGCAGAACTGAGGTTCATAAATCCACAGAGCTGGTCCCATGATAAGAAGCAGCCCCATTCTCGGTGCCTTTATGTCCATGTCATGGTGGACTTGGGTGTGACTCTGGTGGCATGGCATTGAGGAATACCCAGCAGCAGGCATTCTGGGCCATGATTTGAATTCTCCAGGCCTCAGCTCCTGCTTGTTAAAATAGAGAGGATAATAGTACCTATCTCAGGAAGCTGTGGACAGGAATAATGCATTTAAAGCAACTAGCACAGAATCTGGCTCATTTAAGTACGATATAAATGTTAGTATTACTATTGTTATTGGTGACCATGTGTGATGTCAGCTGGATTGTGGTCACGTCACAGTTTTTAGCTCATGCATGGCTAAGGGTGCTCTGCCCAGCCCAAGTTCAAGGGCTAGCCAGATCCAGGCAGAGAGACAGGACCACAGTCTAGTAGGCTGGACTTTAGGCAGAACTCCAGCACTGTCCGGGAAACAAAGTGGCAATTAGGAAGCCAAGCTGAAAGCTTAAAATCCAGTTAAAGTGACAGGCCAATCCAGGCACACTTGAGGCTGGGCAAAGGGCAGGAAGACTAATTCCAGCCATTAAGGTGGAGGGAGACCCTATGTCTCCTGCCTGCCCCTGGTCAGAAGTCAGTTGTTCAGGTACTGGGCAGGGTCAAGCCAGGAGGGCTTCAGCTTGATCTGTCAACTCATGGAGGCTTTCCTGCAATCAGGTTTTGACAAAGGGGACAGAAACAGGGAGAAGAAGGGCTCAGAGGAAAGAAAGCAGTATAGTAAAAGAATGCTGGGGAAACCAGCCTCCCAAATATTTTGGCCAAGAGCCCAACCATGAAGCTAAACACCTGAAGCCTAGGAGCTGAAAGAAACCATAGCAGTCATGTTTACCACCCTCCTTATCTAGGGACACAATCCTTTAGCCAAAACCACTGGGGCAGATGTCTTTCAGATTCCAAATTTTTTTGTACTTTAGAAAGATGTTAGGATTACTAAGACATAAATTGTATAACACCCCTAGCAATTTCTGGGGGAAAAACACCATAATCCAACAAGCTAATCTTGCTGTGGTAAAATGTATAAATATTTACACAAAGTGGGATGCAGCCTGTCAAAAGCATGTCAATTCAGATCCAGTTTGTCACGAAAAGAGTTTACACCACACTGAAGGAAAATGTGTGGTGTTCAGAGCTCCTGGGACCTTGAAGTTGGGAGTAAACAGTTGTGTAGAGGACATAACTAAGATGTCCACCAGCCATGTGACTAATCCAGAAGTGCACACACAGTTCACTGCAAATTCAACTCAGTTTTTCACTGCATACTACTGAACATCTGCCAGGTCCCAGGCACCATGCTCAACACTGAGGTTCTGGTCGTGTATTCATATTCAGAGCTGCTATATCAAAGTACCACAAACCAGGTGGCTTAAAACAACAGAAATTTATTGTCTCACAGTCATAGAAGCCAAAATCAAGTTCAAAATCAAGGTGTCAGCAGGACTGTACTCCCTCTGAAACCTATAAGGAGAGTCCTTCCTTGCTTCCTCTACTTTCTGGTGGCTCCCGGCACTCTTCGGCATTCCTTGGCTTGTAGATGCATCGCTCCAGTCTCTGGCTCTGTCGTCGCATGGCATTTTGCCTGTGTGTCTCCCTCTTTTCTTATAAAAAACACAGTCGCATTGAATCAAGGGCTCACCCTACTCTAGTTTGACCTCATCTTAAGCGATTACATCTACAGTGACTCTATTTCCATGTAAGGTCACATTCTGAGGTACTAAGGGTTAGGACTCCAACATACCTTTTTTTGGAGACACAGGTCAACACATAACAAGTGGTAAACCAAAATAGACATAGCCCCATGCTTTCATCAAGCTAGCAGTCGAGTGGGGAAGTCACATTACAAGTATGTTGAGAATTTCCAAAGGGGGAAGTATTAATGGGACCATACAGTAAGAGAATTTTACCCAGTTGAGGGTTTCCTCTCTGAAGAAGTAGCATTTTAAATGGAAAGGAAAAGATGAATAAAAGCCAAGCAAAGAGGGGAAAAAGGCACTAATGCCCTCACTCTCTGATGCCTAGACCAGATCCCCTGTCCTCCTTGCACCAGGCTTCTGCAGAAGCCAGGCCCCAGAACCTCAGAGAAAGACTCTAAGTGTATCCCAGGCCACCACTCATAGCCAACCTTGCCCCCAGGCCGGCTCTGCCTGGCCTGCATTTCCTCTCTCAGAAACAGCCAAAGGCACAGAACGCACGGAATAGGGCATCAGCCCCCAGCAAGACCCAGGCCCACACTTGCAGGCTCTCTGCAAAAGAGAAGTAGGGAAGAGTCTCTGCTTTCCCTTCATTGGCCTAAGTTGATTACAATATTTTTTACCCAGAATCAGCAAAGTCCTTAATATACAGACAGCTTCTGCTGACCTCCGTCCTTGAGAATGCAGTGCACTTTTATCAGGGCAGGCAGATATGTCTGTTTTGTGAGTTTTTCTGAGCAGTGCTCAAGTGGCCTCATGGCTGCCAAAAGGCCTCTGCTTCAAGGTCCCAGGGGCTAAATTTCTGCCAGAAATGGTGGCAGAGTTTGGGGAAGTGAGGATGTAAAGCCTCTACTTTGATGAGCTTAACCTTGGGACAGAATTAGCTGTGTAGGCAGCTATTTTATAAGACATACAAAGAGGGTTCACCAGCACTGGCCATGGATGTTAGATTTTGTTTTACACCCACAACATTTTAGTATTTCCCTTGAGTGGAAAGAAAACCTTTTTTTAAGCATAATACCTGTAAGGAAAGTACACACAAATCCTATGTGTACACTTGGTGACTTTTCATAAAATGGACCCAGATCCAGCCCCTAGATCTAGCAAACACCCCAGAAGCCCACCCCACTCTACTCCTCTTCTAGTTTTTACCCACCGAGGGTAACCAATGTTCTGGCTCCTAACACAGTGGATTAGTTTTGGCTTTTGAGCTTATGATATAAATCACACAGTATCAATTTTTGTGTTTCTGGCTTTGTTCATTCAATTTTATGTTTGTGAGATTCATTTATGTTGTTGCTTATTGTTGCAGTTTATTCTCATTGCTTTATATAATCTTGTGTGAATATATCATAATTTTTTATTCATTCATGTGCTGATGAACATTTGGGTTTTTCCAGGTTTGGGCTATTATGAACAGTGCTGCCATGGATATTCTTGCATATGTCTTTTGATGAATATATGCAAATTGGGGAGAGGTATATACTTGTATTTGGTTGTCTATTGCTGCATAACAAATTTCCCTCCAAACCTAGTAGCTAACAGTGACAATAAACATTGATCACCTCTCACAGTTCATGTGAGTGAGGAATTTGGAGGCAGCTTGGACAGGCAGTTCTGGCTTGAGGTCTTTCCTGAGGTTGCAGTTATCTAAAGGCAAGCTTGGGGCTGGAGGGTCTGCATTCAAGGTAGCTCGCTCACATGGCTGGCAAGTTGATGCTGATTATTGGTGGGGAGGCTGCAGTTTCACACACGAACTTTCCTTAAGACTCTCTGGGTATTCTCATGACATCGTGGCTGGCTTCCCCACCACCGTGAGTGGGCAAAGAGAGAGCATCAAATTGGAAGCATTATCCTTTTTGTGACCTAGCCTTGGAAGTCACATAGCATCACTTCTGCCTCATTCTATTCATTAGAAGTGAGCCACTAAGTCTAGCCCATACTCAAGACTTCACCTTTGGAAGGAAGGCATGGCAAAGAATGTATGGATGTATCTTAAAACCAATAACACCACAATGTTTTAAAGCTTATAATTAACTCAATCTAAGGGTTTAAAAATAAGAGAAGTTTATAGAAATTTACACAAGGATCTAAAAGAAATAAATTCAAGCCAGCTTCTCTTCTTCTATTCATTTAAAACTTTGCAAATGTCCATAGAGTTTTCAAGGTATTTTTTGGAGACAGCATGGTACAATAGAAAGTGCAGAGGCTCTAGAGCCAGAAACAACCAAGTCTGAATCCTGGATTCACTACTTACTAATTAGGGGTACTTGGACAAGTCAGCCTCTTGGATTTCCAGGTTCCCTCAACTGTAAAATGAAGGTAATCAATAGAGCTTATCTCATATTGTTCTGGAGGCAATTAAATGAGATAATGTGTTAAGGTGCCCTCTATGATGGGAGGTCTCATCGATTTGCTCATTTAACCAATAACATTAACTATCTAAAAGGTGTTCTGATGGACCCTGCAAGTAATACAAAACTGACTCAGATGCGGGCCCTACATCAGGAGGTATACACTCTAGCAGTGCCCTTGACAGGTAGAATAACTGTAATACAACTGAGAAAATGGTCAGTGTCTGGAGCAAGTATGGATACAGTGTTTTAAATATGGATTATATTTGGATATATAGAAATGAAAGACATTTTGAAGGGCAAGGAAAGGGCAAAAGATATTCCAAATTAGAAATACAACTTGCACTTTGGGAGGCCGAGGCGGGCGGATCACGAGGTCGGGAGATCGAGGCCATCCCGGCTAAAACGGTGAAACCCCGTCTCTACTAAAAATACAAAAAAATTAGCCGGGCGTAGTGGCGGGCGCCTGTAGTCCCAGCTACTTGGGAGGCTGAGGCAGGAGAATGGCGTGAACCCGGGAGGCGGAGCTTGCAGTGAGCCGAGATCCCGCCACTGCACTCCAGCCTGGGCGACAGAGCGAGACTCCGTCTCAAAAAAAAAAAAAAAAAAAAAAAAAAAAAGAAATACAACTTGCATAAAGACACAACTAGAAAACCATGGGGCATAACTGGAGAATAACAAACAGATTATTACAGATATGGCTAAGCTTAGTGTAGATGAAAGGAGGTAGTGGAAACAGGTTGGAAAGTTAGTTACATGTCAGAGCAGTAGGAAAAGATTGAGTGCATACACTTAATATTACAGTCTGATGAAAAACATTAAGGCCAAAAAATTTTCAACCAACTTTCAGGACAAAAGCTAGGTGGGACTAGCTACTAGAGGATCTACTTACCATGTTTTCTTGGCCAATTCCTGTTTGTAAAATCTTTGTGCCTCAGACTGTAAACAGAACTTTCTAAAACTGATCTTTAGAAGATGCTTCTGACGTACAGCCTGAGCCACTGAGCTTTGTCCTTATCATTCCCAGTTTGTAGGCTGCATCAGCAGGGAAATGCAGTGGGATTGTTTTCATAGGCCCTTAGCTCACTATAAACGTACTTCTCAAGTCTTGGCCCTTTGGAAATGGCCAGTTCGTGCACTCAACTCATCTGCGTATTTGAGTGCTACATCCAGATAATGAGCCACTCTCTTCACTTTACTTCCCTTCAAAAAGACTGATCGATGGAGCAGCCTTCATTTCTGTTACATTATCCAGTCCCAGGCAGTGATGATGTTTAAACGTAAGACAGAGACGTTTCTATGCAGCAATGGAACTTTAAAGGAAGCTGGAGCCAATGACCTTTCACTTTGAAGCCAAAGAATTACAAGCATAAAATTTTCAGTCTTGCTAAGAATTGGGGCTGGAGAAATTAGCAGAAAGTCCTCTTTAAGCCCCACAATTCAGTATGTGGTGCCCAAAGCCTTTATGTACTCAATCTATGTCTCATTTAGCACTTCCCTCTTATTTTGATGAAGTTTATATGTGCCATCAGAATAAACATGGTTGTAACCATTATTGGTGATTTTGTGGGTAAAAATTGGATATTCCATTTTATCTCCCTCTTTGCTTTAATGTAAATGAATTCTAGAGCATTAAGGGAGAGGATAGATTCTAGGCTTAAGATAGAGCTGCCAGCCAATCTTGGGCTGGCACTTCCCACTTTCCCAGTTAGGGGTTTTAACTCCATTTGAGTTCATGGGAAACATTCTCTGCACAGGTACTAAGGGTGTGTCCTCTTCCTCTCTGATTTCTTCTCAGGTGGGAAATTGGCAAGTGGAGTCCATGTAGTCTCACATGTGGGGTCGGCCTACAGACCAGAGACGTCTTCTGCAGCCACCTGCTTTCCAGAGAGATGAATGAAACAGTCATCCTGGCTGATGAGCTGTGTCGCCAGCCCAAGCCCAGCACGGTGCAAGCTTGTAACCGCTTTAATTGCCCCCCAGCCTGGTACCCTGCACAGTGGCAGCCGGTGAGTTCTGAAGTTACTCAATATTGGAGCTTTTGTTTGCAACAGTGACTCAAAAAAGGGATGCTCTCTCAGAGTGGTTTTGTCCAGGGATGTTAAAGGGATGTTCAAGATCTGCTCATTTCTCCCTTCTTAGTACTCCCCTAACCTGATTTACATCCAGATCTTTTAATTACAAATATCATGCTTTTTCTACTGTATCACACCCCAGTGACCTCCAAAAGCAATGCAGATGACCCATCTGTTAACCTGAGCATATTTATGACAAAGCTGTCACAAAGCTAAGGAAAATTTTTTAAAATCAAGACAATGTGGTGGGTTTGCCATAAAGCTAAATTTGTTCTTAATTTACACCCTTTCTAGTTTTTTTGCTGTTTAAAATTCTAAGAAATAAGGGTAGTAGGCAATGATTTTTTTTAACATCATTACTTAGCAATATAAGAAGTTAGAAATGCTGAGCCAATTCCAAGTATTTTTATTTTCCTGGTCCTGTGAATTCCAAAAGTCTGGGAACCACTGTTTCAAAACAGGGGTTGACAAACTGCAGCCCTCAAGCTAAATCTAGCCTGTAGCCTTTCTTGCGTGTGTAAATAAAGTTTTATTGGAACACACCCATTATTTTACGTACCGTCTATGGCTGCTTTTGCACTACAAGGCAGAATTGCGTGGTTGTGATAGTGAACATATGGCTCATAAAATCTAAAATATGTGCTATCCCTTTACAAACAAAATTTCTGATCCTGCACCAGGCATATATAATAATAACACAACTATTTTATCATAATTTCCTATCTAAAAATAATATGCATTTATCAAACGTTAATATTTTTGCATGCCTTTTAAAAACACAGGATTTTAGGTTGATTGCATACAATCTTATTTTGCAGTTTGCTCCCTATTAGGACATAAGACACTGCTTTAAAGGGACAACAAAGGCCACAAAAGTAAGCATGAAAGGTGGAGGAGACATACATCTCTGTTTCACTGAGACAGTTTCTTCACTCTCAAAAGTGTCCCAATTTGGGTGATAAAGGATATAGTCATCAGTGGAAAAGGAGAGAGGACGACAGCTCACATACCATTGCCTTGTGCAGAAGGGTCTCCCATTTCCAGGCAGCCACGTGTCCTCTGTGCTTTCTCCTAATCATTTGGCAGAGCCCCTCCCTTCTCCTTGCTCCTTGCCCATCTTGGAGCTGTGGTTTAGTAAAACACTCAAAGAATCAAATACTGATGAATAAGCAAAACACTAAGTATGAAGCCTCTGGCAACAGACATTAAATATATATTTTCTTTTAGAGCTTAAATGTATATGGCTAAGTTCATTAATTCCATGATACTATGGATGGTTTGTGGAAGAGGATGTCATATATTTTGAACACCAATGTACCAGCGCTTAAGAAATGTATATTATCGCTCACCAAGCTGAAGTAAATCCTCACAACAATTCAGTTAAAATAAGGTTTTATTAGCCTTACTTTAGGTTTGAGGAAACTGAGGCAAACACAGCTAGCAAATTTAGGGTTGGCTATCAACTCCGTCTTATGTGACCCTTTCCACTATACCAAACCTATTGTGTATGGCTAAAAGGCCTTTCAGGGATTAAACATGAGCACTTTTGTTTTACAGATGATGTAACTGTGGCCTAGATGTAGGCTTCCTTAAGATCATAAAACCTGGACCAGAACCCAGGTCACCTGATTGCTAGTGCATTTATACTAAGTTACCTCTAATTGGAGTGAATCTATGACCTTAAACGGCAC
Source organism: Homo sapiens (assembly GCF_000001405.40). Lineage (NCBI taxonomy): Eukaryota > Metazoa > Chordata > Mammalia > Primates > Hominidae > Homo > Homo sapiens. The sequence continues at coordinate 18,755,266 of NC_000009.12, forward strand.
CACTAACCCATGCCAATCCTAATAAAAGGTGAGAAACCATCTCAAATCAACCTCCACTGTTGAAATTGTTAAGTCCCCATATTATTAGTAGCTTGTTGCTATTAGGTACATAAGTTATGGATAAAATGTTTACTGAATGATGAAATGAATGAATAGATGAAGAATGCTCCTTATAGGCCCTGAAAATGCTGACTTTACATCTTCCTGATATGTTTTTTATGGTTATAGGTCTTAATATCGTCCTAGTCTTGAAATGCAGTGAAACATCAATGTCTTTTTGATAGCCACACGTGCTGCTGAATAATGACATTGACTCATGATGCTTTTTCAGTTTTTAGGGCACAGCCATATATATGACCTTTTTTTGGTCAATTGCCATCACCACCACCTGTATGCCCAGCATCCCTATTTGAAACAGTGGACTTCCAAAGAATCACTTATTCTTAAATTTTCATCTACTTTGGGCCTGCGAAGATATGAATTTACTTTGAAAGCTTTTCTATTTCCTTCTTTTTGGGAGAAGCATTTGAGGATGAGTCAGGTTTAAGTTCATTCTTCAGGTTGGGAAACTTAATAGTAAACAACTGTTTGAAGTTCATCCAATGCATCAGTGACTACAGTTTAATAGGACCTTTAAAAAGTCTCTTCTTTCACACCTGAGACACAATAATTGTGAAAAATAGTCAAACATAACAAGAAATAAAGAACATAGAAGGTCAGCAGTGTTTCTACCCTCCAGAGACAGCCCTGTTAATGGTTTGGTGCATAGGGTCTGTTTGTCTAGCATGGTGAAACCCTGTCTCTACTGAAAATATATATATATATATATATATATATATATATATATATATATATATACAAAAATTAGCCTGGTGTGGTGGCGGGCACCTGTAATCCCAGCTACTGTGGAGGCTGAAGCAGGAGAATCACTCATACTCAGGAGGCAGAGGTTGCAGTGAGCCGAGATTGCACCACTACACTCCAGCCTGGGTGACAGAGCAAGACTCTGTCTCGACAAAAAAAAAAAAAAAAAAAAAAAATCTTTGATCACTTTTAGAAATCTCTAAACCTGGAGTAAACAATAAACTATTTGTCTTACATTATTTACTGGAATCCAACTTCTTTGGCTAAGTTTTGTTGGGAAAAATTAGCTATTGCTGACTGCTTGTGAGAAGAAACCATTGTTTATATTGTATGGTGCAATAAGTCCAGAGTAACTTCAGGGATCCCTAGGCTAGTTGGCTGTGGTTTTAGAACTCAGCTTAGTTACGACACCAGCTGTTGAAAATCCATTGCCTGGTTAGCCCTGATTCCTCAGCAATTCTTACTGGGAAAAGGGAACTTGGTGTACACTCACCTGGTCTTTTCCATTTAGCAAGGATCTGCCAGAGGATACTGCTGAGGTCTCCAATCCTTCAACACCCAACCTACAGCCTCTTTCTTACAGAAGAAAAGGAGATGGGGGATCACATGTTTCGTTTAAAGGAATACAGATAACAACCTGATAGACATTGCCCGTTTGAGGGGAGAAACTCTCTCTCCTCTCTGTGTGAACACAGTGTTACCACTGACCTCATGTGTATGTTTCTCTTTCTGGGGGGAAGAAAACATAAATTATGTAAATTGTCATCTGCCAGATAGGAATGCAACCTTCTTTGTTCTTTGTAGAGTATTTGTCTGACAAATGGCAAATAGCCAATATTTACACATTCTGCAGGTCCGGAGAGGACCTAGCATGGAGTTCAAGTATTGATGTTAAGATCTTGTTTTAGAAATTAAGCAGAAATGAAACAGAAATCTAATTCTAGCTTTGGTTGTTAGGGGACCATTTTTATTTCAGTTCTTCCTCTTAATACTCTGCCCTTTGCTTTTCCTCTCTGGTCTGTGGGAAGGATTCATTTCATATTTATCCTTACCAATTTATTAATAGCTTTAATATCTTGTTAGTTTATATTTAGACAGCTTTTGAACACTTATTTTATGTGCATGTAGTCCTCTGCATCTTCTGCAATTTATTAAATACACTCATCATCATCCTCCTCCTCCTCCTCCTCCTCCTCTTTGGTGTTGGTTATAAGTAACTTATTGCACACCTCATAAGGGATCATATCCCACGGGTGAGTTACAACACTGTGATTGAGAATCACTGTTACCTATACCACAATTTAGTCTGAAACACTTTGATCATGACAGTCTACTGCTAGGATTTTTCTCAGTGACTCTAAAGCCAGTACATGTCTTGTTCAGGCCTTCATCCCTCTGCGCATCTGTCCCTGCCCTGTCTCCAGGCATGGCTCTCCCATCCCTGCTTGTATACTCCCCTGCCCGCCTACCATTTCCCACTCCCCTGTGCTGGTCAAGGCCCAGCAGAGAGCCTCCCTCTTCTGCAGTGACTCTTCTATTATCCTTCTACACTGAAGCCACATGGTGTTCAGGGGCAGACAGCTAACTTAACAACCACGTTACCCACTCAGGTGCTTTCTCATGACTTCTGAATTAGACCACAAGGTCAATGAAGGCAGAGACCAAGTCTCAGACCCCATAACTCCCAGGACACATCTGCAGAGCGTTGACTTTGGTGTTAGAAAGGTACATGCCCATTCTGCTGGTGTCATTTATTGAATACTTGCTACATTTCAGGAGCTGCTGCTTTTGATAATGAGAGCATCACTTTCTCTGTGTTCAGCACAGCTCTAGACACTTTACATATTTAACTTACTTAATCCTCACTATCCTATGTGATAGTTACTAATATTATCCCCATTTTGCATGTGAGGAACCTGAAGTATTGTGAGCTTAATAGGAATTTGAACATTCTCTTTTAACACTCATTCGCTGCACTTGGCCTCTCTTGAGCCTCACAGCAACCTAGTGAGGAAACCAAGTCACAAGGCTGGTAAATGTGAAAGGGGCCCTGTGTGCTTCAAACTCATTTTCTTTTTCACTATGCAGTATGGCTTTCCCAAGACTTCTTTACTATCTGCTCTTAACTGTTAAACTGTGAAGACATCTGGTAACAGTCCTAAAATCAGCAGTTTACAGAACACTCGGTATTTGTTGCCTCTATCCAGGACAGTTCATCTGTACGTTGGCTTCCTATTGCTGCTGTAAAAAATTACCACAAACTTGGTGGCTTAAAACAACACAAACTTACTCTCTTATAGTTCTGGAGATCAGAAGTCCCAACTCAATCTCACCTAGCTAAATTCAGGGGAACCGCAGGCCTGCGTGCCCTCTGGAGATCAAGGGGAGGGTCTCTTTGTCTTTTCTGGCTTCTACAGGCCATATGCTTCCTTGGCTCATGGCCCCTTCCTCCATCTTCCTCCCACTGCTAATTCTGTCCCTTCATCCTCTCTCTCTGACTCAGACCCTCCTGCCTCCCTCTTCTAAGGACCACTGTGACTACCTCAAGCCTACCTGGATAATCCAGGATCATTTCCCCCTCTCAGAAGCCCTCATCACATCAGTAAAGACCCTTTTATGCACAGGGTAATGTGTTCACAAGTACCGGGGATTGAGATGAAGATATCTTCGGGGGCCATTGTTCAGCCCATCACCACCTGCTATATTGTGAGTGAAGCACTTAGTCCCCACTAGCACAAGCTCCTTGAGATTGGGAACCTGTCTTCCACTACCCTTTTGCCTCTCTATATCTAATATATCAATGTATATATCATATGCATCAATATTCCTTCATTTGTTTTTGTTCTAAAAATTAAATTGAAACAAGGAATTAAAGAAAAAAGGTGCTGAAGGGTTAAACTGAAAAGAATTGGTCCACTTTGAAACACAATTTATATTTCTCTATATTGCATATGTTTTATGTTCAAGATTGCGTCCACCCAACTGTACACACATGTTGCACACATCTGTGCAGAGACAGAAACAATTGCCACAATCTCTGGATCCCTGCCTTGCTTAAAACTGTGACAGTGTTGCCATTTCCCTCTAAACCTTTCTTAATCAGGGTCACAATTGAAAATGCCTGCAGTTCAACTATGTAAAAAAGCATAAGGGAGAGGAGTCCCTGCTAGTGATACAAAGAAAAAGAGAATTTTAATGATAACTATAAATGCCTGAGAATTAAAGTTTTCATTTTCTAGATTTAAACATACATACATACCTTCAAGCAAAGACAAAAATACCTTTGGTTTGGATTAGAGAACTGAATTCTGGCAGAGTCACATAGTAATCAGTTTTGTTATATTCCAGTGACTAAAATGTAAATCCACATAAGTTAGAGGCTATATTTATTTAAAATTTTCTGTCCCAGGGAGGAAAAAACTCTTAGGATGTTTATCTCATTTTCAATAGTGTATTTCATAAGGAAATGGACACTTGATCCTATCTTTTGAGGCAGCAATAAACATAGCAAAACAAATTGAAAGTCCAGCTTCACATGTGGTTGTTTTTGTTTGTATTTATTAGCAGGAAGTTCTTTGGCATAATTGCCCTGATTTTGATGGATGTGCAGCTGCTTGCTTCACACCATAACAAGAATGTAAAACCTTGAAGGTACAGTGTACACCCCTTGTACTTCCAGAGTCAAGAAAGCTTGAGACTAGATGAACAAGGGAATTCTAATCCCCAAAATGGCTGAAGTAAGACTTCTGTTCTCATTTTAATAATTATGTTTAGTAAGTGAGATTCCAGTTCTCATTTTTCTTTGTTTCTCTAGGCCCTAATTCAGTTTGGCTCAGCTATGACCTCGACTGTGTGCATAGCACCGTGTCTAACTGCCTTTGGGCTCCCTCAGTCTCACATGTTTCTAAGTTACCTCAAACTCCAAAGGTCTAACACCAAGCTTAATACATACCTGCCTGCCACCCCTTCCCCCATTAACCTGGTCTTTCATCATTGATCATTATCAAGTAGGTGACACCACCATCTGTCCTGCTTTCTACCTGGAAACTTGAGCCATTATGAGCCTCACGCATCCTTCACGCTTTGTCAACATCTATACCCTATTTTATTCCATCTTCTATATCTCCCCCACCACTCTCTTCCTTTCTAATCCCTCTCCTTACAATCAACTCATCAAACCCTTACAAACAGTCTTTTACTTGATCTCCTTGTCTCATCTTGCCTAACTCTCATCCAGTGTTTCCCAACTTGGTATTGATGATTCTTTACCACAGGTTCTCTCTTCAAGCCTTTAAAATATAAATATGCATATAAATATGCACTGAGAACCCCTGCATAGGGTTATGATATGCAGTGTTACATAGACTTATTTTACCAGGAAGCCCTTTCTCCATGGCACACCTATTAATACCTCACAAAGCAGTATTGTTTGGAACTTACTGGCCTATGCTGCCTGAGTCATTTTCTACAAATTGGATCATGTTACCCCCTACTTTGAAACCCCTATTGATACCTCATGGTTTTAAGATTATGTCCAAAGGCACTTCACCATGTGCTCCTAATCTAATGTCTCAGAATAATTTTCCACCTACTCTTCTTCATGGACCCAAATGGTGCACCGTCTAAGGACTGCTCTGAGTCATCAGAACATGCCATGTCCCTTTGCACCTTCAGTGCGTACACACAATCTTGCTATGCCAGCATCCTCATCTCCCTGGAAACTGCTCATGTGTCACTGCTGTCTAGAGCTTCCCTAATTTTCCCAGAGAGATTTAATTGCACTCTTTGTTGTATTCCCTTTTTGTAAAACTGATCACATTGTATAGTAAGTTTTTCTCCCTCACTGGACTGCAAATATCTGAGGCTTAGTAACCATTTTTTATAAATCCCCAGCATCCAATACAGTGCCTAGCACTCAGTGGGTACTCAATAAATGTTTGGTGAAAGAATGAATGAGTGAATGAAGAAACAAGTGAAGTGAGTTGGAAGTTGTAAGCAGAGTGCAGAGTCCATTATGTTAAATGAAAAGTTGGCCTTACAAACAAAACATAAACATCACTTTGTGTTGGGTTCAATAATGTTAGTAAAAATATCAAGGAAATCAACTCAGCTCTCAGTAAATTAAACTACCAAGAAGAAACCAGAAATTTCAATACAGGCAGAATTTATTAATGTGCTTATCATGGGAAAATCTTTAAAAGTACAGGACACTTGGGCCATTGTATTTTTTGTGTAGAGACGTAATTGTTTTCCTTATTGTGTATTTTTTACTTTTCTTATAAAACGAACCCATGACCTCATATCATGAAACGTGTATGGCAGCTGGTATAAGCAATATAGATACTATTTTTCTTATGTATTTTGCTTATTACATATATTTAAAAATAATGCCCCTTACTGGAGATTTATCTCTTCATACTAGAATATTATTTTAAATGATGACTCATAAAGGCAAACATTTTTTATTTAATTTCATTAATTTTCTCTTGCCATTGCTCCTTTGGAAACATTTTTTTCTTTGCATCCTGCCTCTTGCATAAGAACTGTTGGCCTCACCGGGTCATCTTAGCACATTCACAAAGTCATCACAGACTTTGGAGCCTTGACTCCTTTCAAATTTCATCTTCTACAATTTTTTAAAATTTCTAAAAATGCCTTTCATCAATGCAAACACACTGAAGAAAATTTGAGAACACAGACAAGATAAGCATTTAGGAGCAAAATCCCTGACATTTACTCAGCTAGATGGCTGCCTCCCATACCTGGAGCGTCAGACTCTCCAGCAGAGCCCACACCTTCACTGGGTGAAACCCACTGCTGCCTTACTGCAAAGCAGCTTCTGGCTAATGATAAAACAGCCTGATAAAAGGTAGATGATCAGCCCATCAGCTGGATGCCTGTTTTACATCTTTTTAACATCTGGATTTGGAGCTCTTTTGCTCATCCAATCATCAATTCAACAAACATTTATGAAGTGCATGCTCTTTGCCAGATACTCTACTAGGCTCTGGGGAATATAAAGATGAATGAATTCCCTTTCCTCAAAAGACTCATAATCCTGTGTGCATGCAGGGAGGGAGAGGAAAATAGCGGGCACATAAACAATGAGCCCTTATAGAAGAGATAAGATACCCTTCTAGGTCAGGGTGGGTTGGAGGTGATTTGTTTGCCAAAATGCAGAGGGGTTGGAGGAGGCTTTAATGAAGAAGTGGCCTTTAAAAAAAATACCTATTTTAAATTAATTCTTGTGGGTAATAGTATATGTATTTATGGGGTACATGAGATGTTTTGATACAGGCATGCAATGTGAAATAAGTACATCTTGAAGAATGGGGCATCCATCCCTTCAAACACTTATCCATTGAGTTACAAACAACCCAATTACACTCTTTTTAAGTTTTTTTTAATCTACAGTTATTATTGACTATAGTCACCCTATTGTGCTATCAAATAGTAGGTCTTATTCTATTACATATTTTCATACCTATTATCCATCCCACCCTCCCCCTCAGCCCCTCACTACCCTTCCTAGTCTTTGGTAACCATCCTTCTTCCGCTCTCTATGTCCATGAGTTCAATTGTTTTGATTTTTAGGTCCTGCAAATAAGTGAGAACATGTGATGTTTGTCTTTCTGTGGCTGGCTTATTTCAGTTAACATAATAACCTCCAGTTCCATCCATGTTGTTGCACATGACTGGATCTCATTCTTTTTATGTTTGAATAGTACTCCATTGTGTATGTGTACCACATTTTCTTTATCAGTTAATCTGTTGATAGACACTTAGGTTGCTTCCAGATCTTAGCTATTGTAAAGAATATATACACTGCAACAAACACAGTAGAGCAGATATCTCCCTGATACACTGATTTCCTTTCTTTTGGGTATATACCCAGCAGTATGATTGCTAGATCATACGGTAGCTCAATTTTTACTTTTTTAAGGAAACTCCAAGCTGTTCTCCATAGTGGTTGTACTAATTTACATTCCCACCCACAGTGTATAAGGGTTCCCTTTGGTCCACATCCTCTCCAGCATTTATTATTGCCTGTCTTTTTGATAAAAGCCATTTTAACTGGGGTGAGGTGATATCTCATTGTAGTTTTGATTTGCATTTCTTTGATGATCAGTGATGCTGAGCACCTTTTCATATACCTGTTTGCCATTGTGTCTTCTTTTGAGAGATGTCTAGTCAGATCTTTTGCCCATCTTTTGATTATTAGATTTTTTTCCTACAGAGTTGTTTGAGCTCCTTATATATTCTGGTTATTACTCCCTTGTCAGGGTAGTTTGCAAATATTTACTCCCATTCTGTGGGTTGTCGCTTCACTTTGTTGATTGTTTCCTGTGCTGTGCAGAAGCTTTTTAACTTGTGATTCCATTTGTTCATATTTGCCTGTGCTTGAGGGGTATTGCTCAAGAAATTTTTGTCCAGACCAATGTCCTGGAGATTCCCCCAATTTTTTTTTGTAGTAGCCTCTTTGTTTGAGGTCTTAGATTTAAGTCTTTAATTCATTTTATTTAATTTTTGTATATGGCAAGAGATAGGGGTCTATTTTCATTACTCTGCATAGAGATATCCAGTTTTCCAAGCACCATTCATTGAAGAAACTGTCTTTTCCCCAGTGTATGTTCTTGGCACCTTTGTTGAAAATGAGTTCACTGTAGCTCTGTAGTTTTGTTTCTGGGTTCTCTATTCTATTCCATTGGTCTATATGTCTGTTTTCATGCCAGTACTATGCTATAGCTGGTACTATTGCTCTGTATTATAATTTGAAGTCAGATAATGTGATTCCTCCAATTTTGTTTTGTTTTGTTTTGTTTTGCTTAGGATAGCTTTGGTTATTCTGGGTCTTTTGTGGTTCCATATGAATTTTAAGATTGTTTTTCTATTTCTGTGAAGAATGCTTTTGACATTTTGACAGGGATTGCACTGAATCTGTAGATTGCTTTGGGTAGTAAGGGTATTTTACCATATTGATCCTTCCAATCCATGAACATGGAATATTTTTCCATTTTTTGATGTTCTCTTCAATTTATTTCATCAGTGTCTTAAACTTTTCATTATAGGGATATTTCACTGCTTTGGTTAATTCCTAGTATTTAAATTTTGTGTGTAGATATTATAAGTGGAATTACTTTTTAAATTTCTTTTTCATGTTGTTCACTGTTGAACATAGAGAAATACTGATTTTGGTATGTTGATTTTGTACCCTACAAATTTACTGAATTTAAATTTCTTTACCAGTTCTAATAGTTTTCTTGTGGAGTCTTTAGGTTTTTCCAAATATAAGATCATATCATCTGCAAACAAGGATAATTTGACTTCTTTCTTTCCAATTTGGATGCCATTTATATCCTTCTCTTGTCTTACTGCTCTAGCCAGGACAAGAAGTGGCTTTTGAGCTGGACCTTCAAGCACATCTTGGAAGTCTCTGGGTGAACAAAGAGCTGGCAGGCATTGCTCATGGACTGAATGACATGATCAAAGGCAGAGCAGAGAAGGTGTCTGTGTGCCCAGGAAAGGGCAAATTGTCCACTGTAGCTAAAGCATGGGCACATGACAGTATGTCAAGGAATGGGCTGGAAAGCTCCATGCAGATCAAAGTGAAGGGCATTGTCAGGAGTCTAGACTTTATCTTCTTACCATTGATAATATCCTAAAAGCTTTATGTATACATCAAAATTGTAAATGACAATTTTTTAAAACTTTTCTTGCAGCTGTTTTATCAACATGTTGTTACATACCTATATACTGTTGGAGGTCTGTGCCTTAAATCAAGTCCTATCTGCAAACTGATAACCCAGTTGTGTTATTTTCAATGAGTAATCACTCTATAGTACAATTTTATTACATCTATACCCTTGAAATAAGACAACTTATGTTCATTATCTACTTCCTCAATTTGAAAGAGAGAGAAAATTAACCTACATTTTTCTTTATTGCCAAATTCACTAAGAAACTCTAACTGAACAGCTTGAATCTGAGAACTGTTCTTATTTAACTACTTGTTTATTGTGGAGCATTTATCAAATTGAACAGAAGCTATGTGCTTCATAAAAATATTTAGAAAAAAGAAAACTTCAGCCACTACCCATTGAAGAGATCCATACTCCTACAAATTCAGCATCACTAGTGAAGTATCTAAAATGTCAATCACTGGGTAACAGAAACTTTGGGAGCATGTTCTTTATGTCTGAAGGACTCAATAGGACCCATGAGGAATCTGAGTGTGAATTATAATCAAAGGATTAAATGAAAAGTGGCTTGATGTCGTTTTGAGGTTTAGGAGATAATAATTTTATGAACCAGCTATTATTTCTCTCAGAGAAAAAAAATACACTGCATTTTCAACAGTGTAAATATTTATGAATCATTATCAAAACACCATATACTCCCAGAACTTATTGTAAAATGTCACTCCACTGTTCAGCTCATACCCTGACCACTTCCTTACTGGGAAACAAACAAATAATTAATTTTAAAAGAAGGAAAAGGAGAGAGCATGTGTAAGAAAGAAAACTAGAGGTGGATTCATTCAATCCTAATGTTTATTATTAAAGATGTAATGATATACTGGGGAAAAGTTTTAAGTGAAATTCTCAAACACTTAATATGAGCAACAACAGAAGCAAAATCTCTTCCTTCATAGAGCTAATGGTCTAAATGGGTGATAATTTCTGAAAATATGAGAGCTATTATAAAAAATAAAATGAGGTAATGGTGATAGAGACTGCTTTGACTACTCTAGGTAGGAAGGTTAGGGATGGCCTCTCCACACAGCTGAGAATGGAATTGAACCTGGATTATTCAAGAGACTCAGCCACATGAAGATCTAAGAGAAGAATGGTGCAGGTAGAGAGAACAGCAAATGCGAAGGCCCTGTGGGAGAAACAAGCTTGACATGTTTGAGGAACAAAACAACAAAAAAAAAGTCTGGCTGGAGTACACAGGGAAAGGGGGGGTGTCGTAAAATATAAGATTACAGAGGTGTACAACGCTTCTCTTGCTCTGCTATACATTCACCTAGCTAGAACCATGCTTGGTTCATGATTGGCATTTAATAAATTTATGTGGAATGAATTAATAAAGTTGGAAGGATTTAAGCTAGACAATGTCTAAGTTCCACCAGGGCAGGAACCAGAATCTGTAGCGGTTTGCAGGGCAGGGTTAGAGGAGTATAGATTATATTCTCATTGCAAGGGAACGTCATTGGAGGGTTTTAAGCATGGAAATTGTGTGATCACATTTATGCTTTGAAAACGTCACTCTTGCTATGGTGTGGAGAATAGAGTGTAGAGAAGACAATATGGGGTTTCCAACAGGAGGAAGGAACTCTTTTTCAAATGATCACATTTGAGTGTATCATCTATATCCTGCTAGAAACGCTATTTCTTAGTCCATTCCGGCTGCTAAAACAAAATACCGTAGACTGAGTAGCTTATCAATGACAGAAATTTATTTCTCACAGTTCTGGAGGGTAGAAAGTCCAAGGTCAGGGTGCTGGCAGATTCGGTGTCTAGTGAGAACCCTCTTTCTGGTTCATAGATGGTGCTCTGTAGCTGTGTCCTCCACATGATGGAAGGGGCAAGGCAGCTCTCTGGAACCTCTTTTAGAGGATACTTATCCCATTCTTGAGGGTTCCACCGTCATGACCTAATCATCTCCCAAAAGTCCTCACCCCTAATACTATCACCTTGGGAGTTAGGATTTCAGCGTGTGAATTTAGGGGAGTGGCAGGGAGGACACAGACATTCAGACCAAAGCACCAATAAAAGGCAAGAGATGATGGATTATGGTATGCTGATTTCTTATTTATTTTAGAAGTATAGCTTATATGTTTTGTAAGTAAACCTGACCTTATTTGGCCATGACTTGGATGTCAGGGGAAGGGTGGTAAAAAAAAGGAAAAACTCAGGGGCCAAAGTTTTTGTCCTGGATGTGGCACAATTAAATGAATGGGGAAGACTGAGAGAGAAGTAGGTTTGGGATGAGGTTGGAAGGGCAGTATTAAGAGTTCCATTTTAGGCATGTTTAATTCAAGATGCCTATTTGCATTTAAGTGGACATGTTGAGTAGGCATAGGGGAGAGGTCAGAGCTTAAAATTAAAATTTTTGATTTATCAGCACAAACTTGTTTCTTTCCAACAATTGTGGTTTCAGAAAAATTACAGTAAGTTCATGGAAGAATCTTAGTAATTCACAGAATGGAAAGTATTGTGGAGAATATAGTCCCCAAATTTGGCAAATCCTTAGGAGTCAGTAATCCACGTGGTTAGTTGGCTACTTATAAAAAGAAAGAATGAACAAGAAAAGTTTAGAACTGATCTGATTATAGTATAACTTGTTGGTTCGATGTAAGAATTTGACAGCAGTAAGAGAAGGTCGAACCTAAAAAATCATGCAAAACACTGTAAAACTAAATTTAAAACCTTAGTTATCCATAGCAACAGGATTATTCTAGATAAATGGAATTCTTAGCCACTAATTTAAATTTCTCCTAAGTACCAACTTCAATTCAATGCCACAGACATTTATTGAGAACATTCACAGGAGGCATTATTCTAGGCAGTGCGGGTACAAAATTAGTTAAAGAAGTGAAATCCTTTAATGTCTTATTGAATTGCTACCAAATGAGGGCTAAAATTAAAATTTGCTTCTTCAATACAGAAGAGCCCACAGAGTCACTGAAATGAGCCACAAAGAAGACAAAGGCTTAGGCCAGTTACTTGAATCATTAGCTCTGAGACCATAGATTTTGTTCTTAATCAAGCCCAAACGACACACTAGAAAAGCCCTTAGAAGGAGCTGGTAGGACTTGTAATGAGTAACAGGTGGTCTAGCTTCATGGCATTGTCTAAGAGCTATGTTTAAATGTTGCCTCTCAGAAATCAGAGTTTAGGGAGAACTCCTTAAATTTTCCAGGGTCACTAGAATATAGATGAACTACTTTAAATTCTACTCTCCAACCTGAATCATGGGCTGGCTCCTGCCAGTCAGGGATGGTCACAAGAGTGGAAGCTAAGAATTGAATGGCAAAGCCCAGTTGGGTGAAAGACTAAGACCAGGCTCTCGGCAGGCTTGGTGCTGATCAGGCTGGGAGCCCTCCTCATGAAGCAACGGTCACACTACCCTCCATTGGGTCTGCAAGCACGCAGGAGTTGCTACAACCACGGAGGAGAGAAGCTGAGTTTGGACTTTTTCTCCAGCTGCGTCCAGAGCATGGTGTCCAGTAGGAGCTTAGCAAATGTTGCAATGAATGGCAATAAACAAATTCTAGCCCCTGTGTGGCCTTCATTGGATTGTTTACCTCTCTGAGCCTCAGCTTTTTTTTTTTTTTTTTTTCTGTAAAGTGGAAATAAGACCTAGCTTGTAGGGTCATTTCACATTTTTTGTTAGCCTTCAATGCTTCAATGGGTAGGTAGTTGATCCCAGCACTAAGAAAATACATCCTTTTTCCTAGGGGACTCAATTATTTTTTTAAATTTGAAATGAAAAAAATAAAGGTTTCTCACCATTGATTTTAATAATTTAAAAGACTCTAAGACTAAAAGGCTTAACTAGACAAAGTTGATTGCTTTTCTAACATCATTATCCACTAGCTCTGTGACCTCAAGCCATTCACAACTGCAAACAAAAGGCATGTTTGCTCCGGTGGGGTCCAAACAACCACTGGTCGTAACAGAGACCTCTCTGGGTCCCGGATTTTCCTTTCCATGTTTATTACCATTGGGTATGGTGAGAGAACATTCATTTGTAGAAGTGGTTCTAAGCCCTGGAGACACAATAGAATTATCTGGGGAAAAATTACTTGGAAGAAGATTATACCGATATCTTTCTTAAAAACAAAACAAAAACTGGTACCTGGGAGCCACATCCCAGAATATCTGATTTGATGGGTCTGAAGTGAGGCCCAGGCATCGGTACTTTTTAAAAGCTCCCCAGGAGACCTTGAGGTGCATGCAAGGTTGAGACCACTGAGTAAGAAGGTGAAAGCTGGGCTGCAGCTATGTTCTGACTGTACCCAAGGACACTGGTATCACCATCATAACCTTGACTGCCGGCAAAAAACCCCATAGCCATTCTGAGTACAACTTACTAAACAAAGACCAACGTGAGTTCTGAGAGGGGCACTCCTCCAGCAAAGCAGGTACTTCAGCACAAACTCTCACGCTTTTTAAAACCAGGCTTGATCTCTCAGCAAGCCCAAAGGCAGCAAGCTAATGACAAGAAACTATTCTGGAAGAAATCAGCAGGCTCCCTAAAATTTTACAATAAAATATCCCCACCACAGAGTAGTCGTGGGTTGAACTCTTAGCTAGGGTTATGTCAGACTGAAAGTGATAGAAAACCCAAAATAACATTGGCTTTAAAAAGATAGAAAAGTCTTCCTCTCTCACATAAACACAGACAGTCCAGAGCAGATATGGTGGTTTCACAGTCAGGAAGCCAGGCTTCTAACTTTTTGTTTGTGACAGCCCAAGATGGAAGCTTACATTTCAGACATCACGTTCACATTCCAGCCAGCAGCGAGGAGAAAGAGAAGGGAAGAGATGCCACACCATCTTTTTGGGCACTTCCCTGAAAGCACACACAACCCTTCCGTTTATATCCCATCGGCCAGCATCAAGTCAAATGGCTGTGTCTGTCTTCAAGGGAGATTGACAAATATAGTCTTTATGCCGAAATGTGGTATGCCCAGTGAAAAGCTGGGGACTCCTTTGCTCTGAAAAGGAAGGGACATATATTTGAAAATAGCCAACAGTCTGTGCTTCAGGGGGCCTCCCTCCCACTTCATGCCCCTGGATCATAACTATTCAGTTACATGTAAACAATGTTTTATTGGGGTTCCTCTGAAAACCACTGACATGAGGCCATTTTTCTTGCATCCCAAATTTCAGTGGCTCTGGCTCCCACTGCCCTAAGAAATCATCAGTCCTGCAAGAAGAGTATTCCAGGGGGGTCCTTAAGAAAACCAGACCCTAAATCTAATGCCCATTCCGTGTGGTAGAGTGCCTTCACTTAGAGAAAGGGCTGTCTTTTCTGCAAATTAATTCCTCCAGATTTATACTGATGGCGGGAGCTCTCTCCTGTTCATTCTGGAAGCAGCACAGATTATTTTCCCTGGATCGTAAATATGCTGAACACTCTATTATACTAACCTTTTAAACCAGTTGTCTTGGATGGGACTGCAAATCATAGTTCAGGAGCAACTTTCTAAGATTTAAAGGCCCCAGAAATTCCTGGATGCTCTAGTTAAATACCTGGGATTAAGAGTGGAGAGGGTAGATCTTGCTACAAAATTCATCTCAAAGAGAAGAAACAAAATCCTTTGGGCCGATTCCTGGTTTTTCTTCTTCTTCTGGATTTTTTTTTCTTCCTTTACTCTGCCAAATTAAGATAAGAATTAGCAGTCAGACTGCCTTCCCATATTGGGTCTACTTTTTCTTCTTTCCTTCTTTCTTTCCCCAGTGTTCCAGAACGTGTGGCGGGGGTGTTCAGAAACGTGAGGTTCTTTGCAAGCAGCGCATGGCTGATGGCAGCTTCCTGGAGCTTCCTGAGACCTTCTGTTCAGCTTCAAAACCTGCCTGCCAGCAAGCATGCAAGAAAGATGACTGTCCCAGCGAGTGGCTTCTCTCAGACTGGACAGAGGTATGTATGTTCCTCCGAAGAGAATGAAAGAGATCCAAGTAGGAAAAGAAGGCACCCCAGACATATACATAGAAAAGGCAAGAAGAGAACAAAACAATCTTCCTAATATTATGGAATAGTATTTTTGTAACCATATATACCGTAGTGTGTAACTAGCTTTTAACGAGGCTGCAGGGACCTGAGTTACGCAGCCAGCCCTTACCCAACAATCGGAAGCTTGGAATTGTAAATGGGCTCCTCGTGGAACAAAACCAGACCTCATTGGTGCTGTTTTGGCCCCAGGATTCTTTTCCACACACTGGGTTCTTCTCCTTCTATCTCCACACCACCCCCTCCTCCTGACCTCCCTGTACCTCTTACTCCCAGATGTTTCTGTCTCTATTCAGGAAGGGCAAAGCCTCTCTAGCAAGTCTCTTCCAAGTTACTGGACAATAAAGGACATGATTTATTAGGAAAAGAAGGCCAAGGAAATCCTGCCTGTTTACTGTTAGTTTCCTGGCTCTAAAATACTTCAACTGCTTCCTATCAAGAGAATTTGATTTCCCTTGTTGTCCTGCACTTTGGGAAGTGATTGCTTCAGCATTCACCATTCCCGACTTTATCTGCTAAGTTAGAGACATACCTCTGACTAACCTATCTTTCTAAATAATGCCTCTCCTAATTCTAGCGTACGCCAATTCATTTACACCTAGCTTCAAGTCCTTTGTTTTCAGCCACTACCACTTCGAGTTGCCTTCGACTTCTCCACCTCCATAGACCTGTGTGTCTTCCATGGAGAAGTCCCCCAAAATTGTTGCCTCACAAGAAGATTTAGCCAAGAACAGAATCACTAGACCTGAAGTGAAAATGTCTGTAAAGCCAGATTCAAGACCTTCCTTTTTCTAGCATATAAGCATTTGAATTTGCCTTCCTAACCCCAGTGCCTTTTTTTTTTTTTTTTTTTTTTTTTTTTGGATAGTATACAACTCACAGGAGGGAGCTGCTGCTGCTTGAAATACCTCACAGAGATACTTGCTTACAGAGGGCAAAGCGGCCTGTGAAAATTAAGATCCAGCTCTCTCAACATAGGTTCTTAGAATTCTTGCCCATATCTTATCAACCCACATAGAATTCCATGAGATGGTGCCTGCTAAGTGCATTGCAATTAAGAGTTAACTTACATTACGACAGGTTTTATAACTTGGCAGTAAAACTGCTTCTTGTGGTATCTCATGCCAAATGTCTCAGAACGTTTGGGGAATTATTTTCTCATGCTTTCTAAATTTGATTTCAAGATATAAAGTGTGTAAAATGAGCATGTGTACATTTGTGTGTGTGTGCATGTGCATGTTAGTGACAATTTTTCCGTGGGAATGTTGATTTGGGGTATGGCATTTGAAGAACAGAGGTAGGTGTATTTGCCAAGTGGCTCTAGGTGAAAACATTCTCTCAGTGGAGTATTATAAAAGGAATTGCTCCCCTAAATCTATCAGGTAATAGTCTGTCATGAGTGGACTGCTGAGGAAGGGACTTGTGTGTGTTATAATTGTCTTCCTGTGTTCCTGGAGTTTGTGGCCTTTGAAGCATATGAGACAGAGAAGATTCAGAAAATGTTCTTTTGTGCCTGCAGATTTGAGGGGGACCTTTGAGATTTTGGGACTAAGAAAAAGGTCCCATTGGTCCCATTAAGTACAGTAGGCCTTCAGAACAGTATCATGTGTTGTTAAGAGTTCAGACTCAAAGACAGGCAAACCTAGGTTCAAATCCTGACTCTGCCACTTACTGGCTGTATAACCTTGGGCTAATTATTTAACCTTTTTGGCTTTAGGTTGCTTATCTGTATAATGGAAATATAATAGTATCCATCATGTAGGTGGGAGGATGAAATTAAATATAATTTAATATATATTGCATGTAAAATACTTTGTGCCTACTAAAAGTGAACCCTTATGATTGTCTTCCATTTGGGCTCACTTGTCATGAGAAGGAAAGGAAATGAAAGGAAGCACTCACCATGGCTGGCTGGGCCTGAGGCCACAGCTTAGGTCTCCTACAGGCTCTCCTGGTCTTCCTCAAGAGGAAGTTCTATTTTGGGAACTGGGAGGAGGTAGCCCTTATCCAACGAATGTTACTAGCTTCTGAGCTATCTGGGTTAATGAATGGAGATTCCAAACATTGAGGAGGGGCTGGGAATGGTGGGAAGTAATCACTGAATTGTTGGGATTAAACTCAAACTGGTGCCATATTGAAGTGCTCCTGGAGGTGTTCACAAAGGCTCCACATTGACCCTGTCATCCTTATGACCATTCCCCTGGCCGTCTGGCTGAGATGAGATGTGCATGCCACACCTCCCATGAGACTGCCCTTGGAGAAGGGAAGACCTAAATGATCTATGGGTGTTTTTCATCCTCCACTATCTGGGCTCAATCTCATGGTTACTGCACAGAATCCCATAGAGACAGAATTAAGCCAAAGTTTTAGACATTTCAAATAAAATTACTTACAGATTCTATTCTGGAAGTAAGACCTCTCAAAAGGCCATACTTCTTTTCTCTGAAAGAAACCCTCAATCTCCTGAAAGAGTTTGATATTAAATATTTTTAAATCCTATTTTATGGAAGTTGCTCCTTTCCCCCCAAAAAAAATTCTAAAAGAAAGAATAATTTTAGAGCTAGAAGGAGCTTGAAAGATCCTATAGCCTAATTACTTTGTTAAAAAATTAAGACCACAGAATGCTTTATCAAATCAAATGTTACTATGAAGCCAATAATCTTAAACAGATAAAATTAGAGCTGTTTTGGTTTAAGTTTGAGTAGGGGTCTCAGATCTCCAACGGCTGGGTCTCCTCATCACCTGAGAAGCCCCCGAATCACTTCCTCAACATAGTTATGGAACACAGTTTTAAAATCCCTGCTCTAGCTTAGCTTCCTTATTCCAGAGATATGGAAATTGAAGCTAGAGAAAGAGCTAGACTTGACCAAAGTCATAACCCAGTCTTCTGACCTGAAACTCTGTTTTTATGTTTCTACTTAGCAGCCTTAAAACGACCATGCTCTTTTAAATTTTCAGGCTTCTTACTTCCATCCCACCTGATCCTTGGATTTAGCGCTGTCATTTACAATAAAATAAGGAATGGGTGGAATCTGGAACCCATAATTTTCAGACTATAAAAGCAATGGGTTTGATTCTCACCACTATCCTTTGCATCTTAAATTTCTTTCAGGGTAGCATATATCACAGCACATCACACAGAATAGTGTCACTTCAATATGTTAGCATATAACACTTGAAAATATAAGATCATTTTTTGTTTGTTTTTTAACCATCATTTTTCAAGTTAACGTGGCACACTCCCACAGCCCTCATTCAGGCAAGCCTGGAGATGACAGCCTCCTTCCCCGATGCCCTGCCTCCCATCCATCTCCTGCTTGCATCCCTTCCATACAATGTTGCCAGATTAACCTTCTCAAAACACCTCTTTCATCATGTCACCCCCCTCTTCAGTGGCTTCCCACTGCCTTATGGACCAATTACAAACCTCTTGTCTGAAAATTAAAGGTCTCCAAACTAACCCTCAAGCTCCTGACACTTAGAACTTGAGCCCTCTGTTCTGTCAAACTGTTCTGTCCCATGCCTGCCTTGGGACTCCTACACTGAAATTATTATCTTTTTTCTGGAAATTTCCCTGTCTCCCATCTGATCCCTGTTTCTCTGCACCCACCCAGACTCCAATCATCTTCAAGACCTTGGTGAGGAAATCCCTAGTGTACTATAAGCATTACATTATTGTTACCATTAATTTTATACTACTTTACTTGTCTTCTAATTGTATGTTTTTACCAAATTCTGTAATTACAATTCTATAAACAGCTTTATTGAGGTATAATTTATATATTATAAAATTTGACTTAGTATGTTTTTAAGGTTTATCTGTGTTGTAGCACATATAAGAACTATACTCCTTTTAATGGCTGAATAATATTCCACTGTATAGATATGGCATATTTTGTTTATTCATTCACCAGCTGATAGGTATTGGGTGATTTTCACTTTTGGCAATTATGAATCATACTGCTATGAATGTTTGCACACAAGTCTTTGTGTGGATGTATGTTTTTGTCTCTCTTGGGTAGATACCCAGTAGTAAAATTGCTAGGTCTCATGGTAAATTTACGTTTAACTTTGTAAGAAACTACCAATCTGTTTTCTAAAGAGGCTGTATCATTTTACTTTCCCACCAGTAATGAGTGAAACTGCTAATTTTCCATATCCTCACCAACACTTGTTGTCTTTTTTTTTTATTATTATTATGGCCATTCTAGTGGATATGAAGTTGTATCTCATGGTGGTTTTGACTTATATTTCCCAAATGGACTATTTCATTTTAACAATGCATTTGGGATTTTCCCCTCATTTGAATGACAGCTCTTTGAGATTAGGAACTATTCTTGCACATCTTTTCTTCTTAACATCTAGCACCCTACCTTAGACAAAGTAGATTCATAACTACCTAATGCTTGACACTAAAATATTGTCACTTACTTGTGAAGGAAGGAAAAAGGAATTAGCAATAATTGTCATTTCTATGTATGGCATTTAAAATATATTATCTCACTTAATTCCCAGGCTTGCAAACTAAGCATAAGTGGAAACAGACGAGAGAATTTAAGTAACTTGCCAACTAGTGAAATACTGAGCTGGGATTTAAACACTCCATAACTCTCTAACTCTGAAGCCCAGACTATATATGTAAAATAGATAAAAGGTCTTCAGGAAACCTCAGAGTAGAAAATCTTAGAGTGCAAAATGTCTACAAGATGGGCAGGTCTTCCACATTGTGACCTCATAATTAGTATTTCTATCACAGTGGTTATTGCTTTTCCAAGCAAATTTCTCATATTTTGATGAGTTTGACAGTCTATTAAAAAATTAGCTTCTAGTTCCCAGAATTTATGTGCATTTGGCCTTTCTTTCTCCACCAGTGTTCCACAAGCTGCGGGGAAGGCACCCAGACTCGAAGCGCCATTTGCCGAAAGATGCTGAAAACCGGCCTCTCAACGGTTGTCAATTCCACCCTGTGCCCGCCCCTGCCTTTCTCTTCCTCCATCAGGCCCTGTATGCTGGCAACCTGTGCAAGTAAGTATGTCAGGGCTCTGGGAATGGGGAGATGAAACCCACACAGCAGCAGCTATAGCCACCACGCCGTGGCCTTCCCTAAACTCAAGACCTGTGGGAAATAGTGGGACAGTAGAACCCCATGGAGGGCTGCAGGCAGGAGAGCTCAGCTGGAGACGGAAAAGGAATCTTAATTACACGTGGCCAGGCTAAATTCTCCTCTCCACTGGAAAAACAGTTTGCAGGGGGGTAGAGCAAAGTTCACTTGCTGGCATACAGAGATCTGGAAGCTGGAGGCAGTGTATTACTAATGATGTCTAATGTTATCCACTCTGGGGTTTTAAACGACTCTAAACAGATTTGTTCTGTTTAATATTAATCCCTAGAGCCGCAACACTTCTAGGCTGTCCTTACCATGTCCTTTAGGGCTCTGGTGCCTTGCAGGACCCAGAAGGCAAACATTTAGCGGAAGACATTCTCCTCTCTGTCCTCTGCCTCTTTTTATGACGTTGATTTCTTGTTTAAAAATTATTTTAATGAGAGGAAATGCTTTCCCCCGGGATCCCCCTCCATCTAGAACTCTGCATCTCAGCTTCTAGGAGCAACAAGGCCCAGCAGGGAGACATTGGGTTGCCCACTGCATCTCATTAGTTCTGATTGTGGTGGCAGCTTGATGGTCCACAGCCGGGAATGAGGTCCTCCCGAAAAACACAGGCAGTAAAGGATGGCCCCGGCCAAAATAAACCCCGAAGAATACTTTCTCTCCCGTCCTCCGGCACCTTCGTCTCTCCTTCTCTTCTCCACTCTGGCTCTTTCCTTTGCCCCTCTCTCCTGGCTGCATCTCACTCTGGGTTTTCTCTCTCCCCACCTCTTTCTCTGTCCCTTCGGGTTCGCTCTCCTTCCAGGGCCCGGGCGGCCATCCACGAAGCACAGCCCGCACATCGCGGCCGCCAGGAAGGTCTACATACAGACTCGCAGGCAGAGGAAGCTGCACTTCGTGGTGGGGGGCTTCGCCTACCTGCTCCCCAAGACGGCGGTGGTGCTGCGCTGCCCGGCGCGCAGGGTCCGCAAGCCCCTCATCACCTGGGAGAAGGACGGCCAGCACCTCATCAGCTCGACGCACGTCACGGTGGCCCCCTTCGGCTATCTCAAGATCCACCGCCTCAAGCCCTCGGATGCAGGCGTCTACACCTGCTCAGCGGGCCCGGCCCGGGAGCACTTTGTGATTAAGCTCATCGGAGGCAACCGCAAGCTCGTGGCCCGGCCCTTGAGCCCGAGAAGTGAGGAAGAGGTGCTTGCGGGGAGGAAGGGCGGCCCGAAGGAGGCCCTGCAGACCCACAAACACCAGAACGGGATCTTCTCCAACGGCAGCAAGGCGGAGAAGCGGGGCCTGGCCGCCAACCCGGGGAGCCGCTACGACGACCTCGTCTCCCGGCTGCTGGAGCAGGGCGGCTGGCCCGGAGAGCTGCTGGCCTCGTGGGAGGCGCAGGACTCTGCGGAAAGGAACACGACCTCGGAGGAGGACCCGGGTGCAGAGCAAGTGCTCCTGCACCTGCCCTTCACCATGGTGACCGAGCAGCGGCGCCTGGACGACATCCTGGGGAACCTCTCCCAGCAGCCCGAGGAGCTGCGCGACCTCTACAGCAAGCACCTGGTGGCCCAGCTG
Source organism: Homo sapiens (assembly GCF_000001405.40). NCBI lineage: Eukaryota > Metazoa > Chordata > Mammalia > Primates > Hominidae > Homo > Homo sapiens. The sequence continues at coordinate 18,777,542 of NC_000009.12, forward strand.
GCCCAGGAGATCTTCCGCAGCCACCTGGAGCACCAGGACACGCTCCTGAAGCCCTCGGAGCGCAGGACTTCCCCAGTGACTCTCTCGCCTCATAAACACGTGTCTGGCTTCAGCAGCTCCCTGCGGACCTCCTCCACCGGGGACGCCGGGGGAGGCTCTCGAAGGCCACACCGCAAGCCCACCATCCTGCGCAAGATCTCAGCGGCCCAGCAGCTCTCAGCCTCGGAGGTGGTCACCCACCTGGGGCAGACGGTGGCCCTGGCCAGCGGGACACTGAGTGTTCTTCTGCACTGTGAGGCCATCGGCCACCCAAGGCCTACCATCAGCTGGGCCAGGAATGGAGAAGAAGTTCAGTTCAGTGACAGGTGAGCCTTGTAGCTAACCTGGTCTTGGGAGGGAGGCAAGGGGCCACATCTGGCCCAAGTCACACTACTTACACATTCTTCAAGGTGTTTCCAGGGGTAGGGCTTAGAGCTGGCCTCGGGGACCCCATCATGGGGTGCAGGCCCTCTCTTAGCACTGATAGACTACTGGAGCAAAGACAAGCTATTTCATTTTTCTAAACTGTCTGTTCTCATCTTTATAAGGAAATAGCAACATTGCCTACCCACTCCTATCCCTGTAGGATCCCAAAGATAAATGAGATACTCTCTGGATAGCTTTGAACTTTTGGCAGAAAGACATCATTCCAGGCCAAGGCATTATTATGTTACTACTCTGTAAGATGAACCATGGAAAAGCTTTGACACTGGAACACTGACTCCGTGTGTGTGGTCCCCCAGGGCTGGGCAGAGAATGCAGCCAGCACCTGCTGTTTCCCATGGGTGAGCCCATCGTGTATCTGTGCTGGACAAGGCTGTTTGTTCCAGAAAGCTTTTATTCCCAGTGGGACCTGTGATTGATTATCCTAATATCTCCTGTTGTCTCTGTTTTGATGTATCATTATCAGGATGACAGCATGTATCACTTCCTTGTCTCTCTGGGTCATAGCCATTCATAATGTAGAATCAATAGTGGTAGTAGAATTAATAATATTTTTTACCGCTACCTGTGCCTTACTTTGTACATATTTTGTCTCTTTTAATCTTTACAGGGGCCCTGGCAATGAAGATGGTTGTCATTAATTGATTAGTGACTATCTGCCAGGCAAATGTAAACTCTTTATGTGTTTTATCTCACTGAATAGAAGTGGATACAATTTTTATCCACACCTTATAGAACAGGAAATACATAAAGTTAAGTAATTTACTAAAGGTTGTATTTATTATGTGGCAGAGCTACGATATGCAACAAAAAGAACTTCCTTATGGGTAGTCACTTTAAAGAATCACGGAATCATAGTCCTCTAGTCTAGATTCCTCATTTTAACCTTCTATCTTCTCAGAATCCAAGCATAATGCTCTTTTCATTAAGTCTATATCTAAATGCTATTGTTTGACTAATAGTCTTCTCTGGCTTGCTAGCTTTTGGTAAGGAAGGAAAGAAGCCAGCATTTATTGTTCCAGGCACTATGCCAAGTTTATTTATAAGTAACTGCATTTTTTATTCTAACATTCAATCCACATGATTGACATTATCCTCCAGTTTTACGTAGAAAACCAAGGTTCAGCAGCTCACCCAAGATCACATTTTAGTAAGAGCTGAAACAAGCATTCAATATCAAGTTTATTTGATTCCAAGGAAGAGTTCTGTCTACTCTTCTGAGACTCGGTGAATAGATATATAATAACTTTTGTCCATCCTGCACACATCATTTTTTGCCTTTGTAATGTCAATAATACTGCCTCTCAGCCTTAGTACTTATAGACCAAATACCTTTGATAACAATACTAAGTATTATTTCTTTGTGCTCCAACTGTATGCCAGACATAGTGCTCAGTGCTTTAAAGGCATTATCTTGTTTAATTTTCCCTCAAGATCGTAGGAACTAGTAGGTACTACTGTAGTTACCACATCTTAGATAGAAAGCTGAGGGACAGAGGTTGGACCCACATAGAAACACTGGAAATGGTCTGAACACAGGCAGCATGCCCCAGAGCTTGTGCTTTTAACCTGCCCCTCTGTCCACGCCCTCCAGCCCCCACAACTCATACTTTCCTTAATCAGCTTAACTGCTCTTATCCCTGTCATTTTCTCCAAAAAATCCTTATAACATGGTTGGAAAGATTTCAGTCGAGCCCTTTGAGGTCACTGAGTGGCAGCTCCAGTGTGTGGACCCAGGGTGATGAGGGGTGGCCTGATACTCAGTCCTATCGGTGCACCTGCTGTACCTATTACACCACTATGATGCCCTCTCCTCTACCAGCCAGTCAGTTTATCAAGTGTAGGTACAACGTTTTATTTCTATCCCCTGGGCCTATTGCCTGGGATTGGTACTATTGGGATTGAAGGGAATCACGACTGGCTGCATGAGGGAAAAGATGGAAATTAACATCTTCCTACTTCCTCCTAAAAAGCTGTGGAACGAGACAGGGCAATGGGAAGGGGTCATCAGGACTCTGCTCAGCCTTTGCCTGCAGGGAGAACATTGAGCCCCTGGATTAGAGGTCCTGACAATTTCTTTGAGTGTTGGAGACTTTTTATGAAATCCAAGGCCCATGGCCCATCTAGGTCACCTGGTGACTGCAGGAATGATGTGGAAGGAGGTAGACAAGCATTGAGGGGTCCAATCTGATCTTGCCAAGGCCCTGCACTTTTCACGGTCTTAGTCTCTTCATTTCATAAATGAGGAGACTGTACCATATCATCTGTGACATCCCTCCTACCTCCTTCCCTCATTTACGGAAGGCCACGGAAGGTTAAAACTCATATGCTGATGGGAGAACCTTGACCACAGTAACTTCAGAAGTTGTGGCACAAGTTGTTTCTAAATGCTCCACAAACAGGCTCAGTGATCACAAGAGTTTGAGAAGGGCAAACTTAAGGCTAAACAGATGTATGTACTGCTGGATTTTATGTCTATTTTTTTAATATCACACTTGATTTTTTATTATAAAAGTAATAAAAGGGCTATAAAACAATTCAAATATCTAAATCTATAAAAAGTACAAGCCTCCCTCTTCCCCCCAATGCTCCCAGAGGCTATCATTCTTAATAATTTGGTATACATCCTTTTAGAATGTTTATATATTTTACTGTATTACATAAAAAGCATATATGCACACATAGGATTTGGGTTTTTTAATAGGATATTAGTCATGTTCAGAAATGTGACTGGTTTTTACTTAACAGCATGTCTATGAGATGTTTTCATAATAGTAGGTAGAGGTCTATATTACCTTTTTTAACAGCTGATTACTGTTCCTGAATGCATTTAACTATCCCCCAACTGAAAATTATTTGGGATTTTTCTTTTTATTTTACTCTTTTAAGCATTCCAATGTGTGTTGTGACTTTCCAAGTGGACAATATAGTATGCTGTGGTTTCAAAGTTCTCCTTTAATCACTGAACAATTTTTCGGCTTAGTAATCTCAGGAACACCAATAATTCTTGAAATAGCACTTAGGAAACACACTTTGGCCCTTTTAATTTTTACCTTAATGGGCATTGAGAGTCTAACTCCAATGGCTTTAAGATGGAGAAGGTTCAGTGGAATCTTGATAGAAACAGAGACGTGGCAGCCAGGTGCAAAGAACACTAAAGCACTGGGCCTAGGCAAGCAGAGGGAAAGTCCTGGATTCTCCATCATCCAGGACATCGTTGTGGGGGAGGGTAGCACTAAGAGGGTAAGAGGGAAGATACCTGAGAGGCAGGAACAAACAGTTTTTGCTGCCATCACATTTTTTATTTTTCTGGATCTAGGCTTGACTAAGCTTTTCAATGCACGTTAATGGCATGTGGTAAGGAAAAATAAGACATTTCCCTTTCTGACCTTTGACATCACAATTTTTCCATTTTTGTTGGCTGTTCAATAAGAAATACGGCTGGAGCTTAGTTTTCTCTATCTTTCAAGTTCTGTTTAAGAAAAGAGTGAATGTATCTGCACAGATCATGCAGGAGGCACAGAGCTGCCATTAGGACTGCTTTGCTGTGGGCTGTTGGTGACCTTTCCTGTGTTGGGTTTCATTGCTTGTCATCATTACTATGTCTGGTAGTGGTTCAGAAATGCTCATTTATTTTCAAACAGAAGTGCTGAAATGTCCAGTGTTATAGTTCAGTTAGTCTGTTTTTGCTAAAGGCCCAAATCTACCTTCTGAGCATCTGCAAGATTCAGCTGTGTGTTGGTCTGTGGGACTTTGCAATTTGTTAAAGTATCCTCCAAATAGCATGAGCCAGCAAGATAGGTCCAGGTCAGAAAAAAGTGAGAGAAGTCTGTTATTTCTTTGCTTTTAAATATTCCAAAGTTTGATTTGAAAGAATTTAGTTTTAGAAAAGAATCACTAATAATTCTGATACTACTGTGTCTCATCATTTATATAACTTACTAGTTGAAATTCACATAGTTCTCAGAAATGCATGTCTGTCAACTTCTCAAGCAGTCGTTTACAGGGTGTCCTTAGTGTGTTATGACTGGCTGGTTCATCATAATCCCTACTTCCTTTTTCCTTTATTCTGCAAACAATCTCATGCCTACTCTAAGCCAGACTCTGTGTTAGATACTAGGGATGGAGGAAAAGAAGATTCATTTCCTGTTGATGAAATTCAAAGTCCAGTTTGGGAGCCAGAGGAGTAAATGCAGTATTATAAGTGCTAAGAAAGAGGTATGCATATTTATTCATTGCTTAAGTATTTACTAACCTAACTATAATATGCCAGGTATACATCGACTTGCTGGAAATATTGTGATAAATGAAACTATGTTCCCTTGGAGTTTACATGCATTTGGAGTTCTGCTCAAATGGCACATATTGGAGAGAACTTCCTTGTCCCTGTATCTAAAAGAGCACCGCTCATCATTGTCTATCCTTTTAACTCTATTTAGATAATTTTATTCTCTGATATGTTACATAAATATTTGTTGATTGCCTTTCCGCAAGGCTAAAGACTTTCTTTACGGCTGTATGCCCAGTAACCGGCACCAAACGTACTAAATAATAGTGAATGAATTAACAAATGAATGGAGCAAGGCAACAAACACATAAAAGTAAGCAAGAAAAAGATCAGGTGGTGATAAGTGTCAGGCAGAAAATTAAAACGGGTATAATAAGAGAATGATTTGGTGACCGCTTTAGATGGATGTGCTAAGGAGATCACACATAAGCCAAGATCTATCTGAATGATGACCAGTGCCCAGCACTGTGATGTGAGGAGGAAGAACACTCCTGGACAAGGGAAAGGCAGTGCGAAAACCCTAAAGCGACAATGACTTTGTGTTGAAAGAACTCAAAAGAAGTCCATTTGGCTGTAGTAAGGGAGGCAAAAGGTAGAGGTGGTATGGGATGAGGTTGTGAGGGTAACTGGAGACCAAGGGAAGGGGTTCGGGTTTTACACTGAGTACTACAGGAAGAATTTGGAGGATGTTAAACAGGAAAGTGACATGATCTGATTTGCATTTTGCAGATTCACATGGGCTAACTTGTGGCATGTGGATTGTAGAGGCACATGATTGGAAGTCGGGGGCTAGTAAGGGGCCATTGCAGTAGCCCCTACAACACTATTGATCTTTACTGGGCATTAGATACATTGAGATGATAAATAAGGCAAGAACACTTCTCTCCAGCAACTAAGAAACCTTCAAGTGCTGGTGTAGGATGAAATAATGTAGGACCCCAGTTTGTATTGAACTCCAACTGGTAGAATACTTCTCTTTTAAACTTTTAAAAGTAGATTGAAGAGGGATTCAAAAATCCAACGTGCATAATAATTAACAGGAGCTTGTTAGAATGTAGACTCCCACATCCTCCCCTACCATTAGAAACTCTTTCTACGGTAGGGACCCATAATTTGGAGTTAAACAAGCACCACAGGTGACTCTGAAGCCAGATTCAAGGATCACTTTGAAGAAGCACAGGTTTGCTTTGTCAGCTCTAGATTATCACAACAGCTTCCTAATTCATATTTGTATTCTTTAGACCAGGGGTTGGCAAATTACAGCCAGTGGCTTTAACATCTTTTAAAGGATTATTAAGAATGGCTTTTAAAGAGTTATTAAAAGAGCCAATGAAATTGAGCACAGAGCTGTTAGGTTAACTTGCTCAAGTTCTCACACTTAATAAGTGGTAGAGCTGGGATTTGAAACCAGGCATGTAAAGGGTTATTAAAAGAATGACTTTTACATTTTTAAAAGGTTATTAAAAACAAACAAAAAATTATAATATACAACAAAGACTACAGGTGGCCCTCAAAGCCTAAAATATTTACTATCTGTCCCTTTACAGAGAAGTTTACTGCCTCCTGCTCTAGACCATTCACCATGCTACTGCCAGAGCATCTTTCTAGCAAACCTGTCCATGCTGCTTTCATGCTTAAAAATTCGTTTCATGGCTTGTCATCACTTGAGGATAAAGTCCGGATGCCTTGGCTTTTATCATTTGACATCCAGTTATCTCTCCAGCTTCATCTCTTACCATATCCTTGACCTCATAGAACTGAGCTCTGCTCTTCAGCAGTACACAAATACTTGCTGTTCACAAATGTGCCTGGGGCCTTCTGACCCACTTTGTCTGGCTAACTCCTGCCCTTCCTTACAGGAAGCCTATCCCCAAAGCCAGGTCAGATGACCCCCTCCATCATCCACATAGTACCCTATGCATAATACTCTCTCGGCCTTACCATTGTGTATTAAAATTAGCTGTTAGTTTTTCTGGAGTTTATTAATCATTCTCAAGGGCCTATATTTAAGAATGTGTCTTATTTTCTCCGTAATTCTAAGAACATGATAGACACTCAACAAATAAAAAACTGAATGAATAAATAAAGGAATGAATAGTTGGATGCCCACGATTAGGAGGGAGGTTTTCTTATTGTGAGGAGGCTGCGGTCTGCAAGGTTTTTTATAGTCTGGATTTCCTATGCCATTGTGGAAGAGTTCCAGAGTGATACCTGTTCCTAACCAAACATTTCTGACTTGCCCATATGTTCTCCACTAAAGAAGTTTCAGGAAACCCTGAGATTCTGTGACACAACTGTGCAATTTGAAAAGCACTGCTGTAGTGTGTATAAGTACAGAGTAAATCTCCTATCACATCCCGTCTCCCACCACATCCAGGCCAGTGGAGAAATCATCAGGCTCATCATCACAGGTAACATTTATAGAGCACTTACAATGGGCTTCAGGTGTTCATTTATCCTCACAATAACCCTTTGAAGTTACTATCCCAATTTTACCGATATTGGAGTTGAAGCACGGAGATGTTAGATTAACTCGCTCAAAGTCTCTCACTTAAAAAGTAATCGAGCTGGGGTGAGGCGCGGTGGCTCACGCCTGTAATCCCATCACTTTGGGAGGCCGAGGTGGGCAGATCACGAGGTCAAGAGATCGAGACCATCCTGGCCTACATTGTGAAACCCTGTCTCTACTAAAAATACAAAAATTAGCTGGGCATGGTGGTGCATGCCTATAGTCCCAGCTACTTGGGAGGCTGAGACAGGAGAATCGCTTGAACGCAGGAGGTGGAGGTTGCAGTGAGCTGGTATCGTGCCACTGCATTCTGGCCTGGGTGACACAGTGAGACTCCGTCTAAAAAAAAAAAAACTTAATGGAGCTGGGATTTGAATCCAAGGCAGTCTGGCTTTTGGAACTATTTCTTTTTATTGATTATAACCTTAGTTGAATACAGGGACTTGCCACTGTTTTATAAGAAGGCCACTGGGGTCAACTAGACCCAGCATAAATTAACATTCAATATTCTAGCCAACTGGCTTCCAGCTGATGAGGCTTTTGTTTTTATTTTGGCATAACTGCTTTAAAGATAGCCTTTTCTTCTACTGATAGCGCTACCTTTATATATACACATGTGTATGCAAATATGCACTAAATTAGGCACTCAATAAACATTACAATTGCTACATTTGTGTGTGTCTGTGACTGCACATGTTTACAGTGTTGATGGCTCAGGCACATGTGTGGTTAGAGACCTAGACCACAGGCAATATGAAGCTAAACTGTTCCTCGCTTTCAGTCATTCTATATAAACACTGAGCACACATTTGGAGATGAGACTCAGGCAAAAGCTAACTCCAGTCTGCTTTTGGATAGAGTATAACACCCCTAGCCAAAGAACCTGGTAAATTTTCCTTCTCTACATCTAATACCAGGAGGCTTACGTAATATGGACAAATATATGTTCAGTATTCCTACGTCTAAATCCAGTTCTAGAAACAATACCTGGAAGGGCAGTGCTGACTTCCTTGTAGAAGAGCCAGATTCTCCAAAATTGGCACTGCACATTGGATTACCAAATTAGGAAAAATTACTGGATGAGGATTGATCATTCCCCCAAGAAACACCTACATACTGCTGATAGCACCACACTGTCAGGGAAGGCCTTGCTTACCACTTAACACTATTGAACCAGGAGTAACCCAAAATCACAGATTCCTCATAGCTCAGCTGATTTAAGTCTGTAAGCTTTTAAGTAAGACTTTCTTTTCTTTTCAAAAGGAATGCAAGTGAACTTAAAGAATAATATGAAACTAGATGCTTGAAGAAAATACTTATTTCTTCCTGTGGGTGGGAGGTCACTCCCAGGTGATACTCCTACTAACATGGAATCCTAGGGAAATGGCTAAGTCTAAGGAATTTCAGCCTTTTAATCCCTAAGCCTGTTCCCTGTTTTCCTTCTCTTCTGGGCCTAGGTGTTCCCAGCTTATCCTCCCCAACCCCTTCAGCCAGAGGAGCAACCTGATGGCACATCAGTTAACACAAAGGGCAGCCCACGGTGGTAGGAGACAGTAAGGCTGGAATCAGAGCAACTTTGGCACAAATCCCAGTTCTGCCACTTAGTATTGTGAGTCTACTTTTATCTCTCTGAACCTTGGTTTTCTTATTAGTTAAACTAAAATGATACTAGTACAATTAGGCACTTTGATTCTGCCCTTCGGACTAGCAGAAGTGCAAAGAACAGAAATAATGTCTGTAACGTGCCTGACACACAGTGGATACTCATTTGCCAGTATCCAAAATCATTGTCATTTAGACATGGGGCCATTGTATCACACTGTCTTCCAGGACATCTCAAACTAAGAAGCTTCACTCTTATTTGAGGAACATCTAGGTAGTTGTTCAAAGAGTTGGGTTAGCAAGGTTTCTAGGAAAACAGCGTGATGGAGAATTATCAGCCTAAATCCAGGCATCATGAGGGGATGTTGATATTCTACTGACATTCTTTGCTATCATCTCTGAGCTGATAGGAAAGTGAAATCTGTAGCCTCTAAATGATTATATTTCCCAGAAAGTTTTGTACAGTGTTCCAAAGTGGTGCTGAATAGGAGATGAATTAAGGCATATTTGGAAGTCTTTAACTTGGGCAACTCAGAGTATCAGCAGATGGAAACTTCTCAGAATGGAAGTGAAGATCAGATGGGAAATTCCTCCAGGGTCAATTTCAGAACCATAGTTGTGAATAATTCTCTATGTACAAGTCATAAGCACATGAAATGCAGTTTCCAAGTTTGCAGATAATATAAAAACTAGAGGCAGGGAAGATAGGGAAGGAAAAACAAGCCCATTTCAGTTTGGTTTGGCTTGTTTCCCTTATAGAGCTAAAGGAAATGGAGATGACAAATGTTTTTCCCAGTTGAAAAGTGTAAGAATAGCAAGCCAGAGAAAAAGAACCGTCCCAGTAAATACATAAGCCTCACAAAAGAAAAGTATTGAGTGTCAACACAGTGGTCGCAGAAATGACCATCATGAATCATGCAGGTGAAGAGCACTGGAGGATAGTAGACAACCAGTGGCAAACAGACAGTACTAGTGAGGCTTAGAGTCAGGCACTATCTATTCCCTGAAATGCTAGGGGATCTCCAGAGATCCCCCTAGCAGTTAGTTTACTCTTCCTGGAAGAGTGGTCCTAGCACATGGCAGAGTTCCAGAAAAGTGGTTAACTGTTTTAGTATAAATAAGGATGTCACTGAGATAAACCAGAAATGAAAATTTTTCCATGTTATATGCCAGAAGTCAGCAAACTTTTCTAGTAAAGGGCCAAATAGTAAACATTTTAGGATTTGCAGGCATCAGGAGTAAGGAATGACCTTTGACTGTTCTTAAACTGACTATACTCAACTCTGTCATTATAGTGTGAGAGCAGCCATAGATAATACTTTAATCTATATGCTAGTTTTCCAATAAAACTTTATTTATAAAAGCAAGTGGTAATTGGCTGCAGTTTGAGGACCCCTATCCCTAGTGGATAGGAAATCCAGTCAGTCATTTCATGCAGAGGTTTGTAATTTGAAATGAGTTACCCAGCAAGCAGATAAAATACACATATTAGCAAATTCAAGACTCTATGAACTTCTGAAAGAGAAGGAAGTTAAAGGGTCTGGCAAAAAGAAGAAGACCAGGGTTAAGAATGTGTGGTCAGGTGGCCTTTCCCATTCCTAAAATATTTTCTATACTTCCATCTGAGCAATCATGAAGCTTCTGGCATTAAATAACTTTTAGTTGGCAATTACATTAAAAACAGCAAAGGTTAAAAAAAGTTGCCCTAGCCAAATGGTGATATGAAACTCTTCATGAACCTCAAATCTGTTGCCCAAAATTTTTGTACAAAATAAAATTCTCCCTTGCAAGCCTCTGGGCTACTGTAATTTTTGGTTTCAGAAAAATAATCCTGCTCACGGAGGAGATCTCAGAGCATTCCTTTTGCCTCCCGTTTGAAAGTATCTAAAATCCAGAATATTTTTTAGTGATTGTCTATTTCCCTAAGTAACTACAAACCTTGACGTTAATTACCCCCCCGCCCCGCCCCCGCAACCACCGAAAATGAGGCCAAACCATATGCCTGCCAACTAGGCCCCGGTAGATTCCTGGATGCTGTCAGTTTAAGAACAGTCAAAGGTTATTCCTTACTCCTGATGCCACCATGTACTAGCTGAGCAAATTGCTTCTGTGAACTTTTGCCTGCTCTCTAAAATGGGAAAATAACATCAATCTAGTAACATGGTAGTAAGGATTCAATAATAAAAAGCATATACATTTGCCTATAAATACTAGCACCCGCTCCCGCTTTGTGGTAGATTCCATTATCCTAATCTAAGGAATCCCTAAGCAGAAAAATACCCATTTTAGGATAAGGAAAAGACTTCACCATCTGGTCCTATAAATAGGAATTTGGGGCTAATGTTATTTGCACAAACTTTGCTTACTTGCTCCTGAGTTCACTGTTTTCCAGCTCTAACTCATTTGCTCTTGTTTGTATTCCTTTCTGAAATTGCAGAATTCTGGCTTTTTTTTTTTTAGTGTTCTAAAATTTCAGTATTTGGTTATTGGTGTTAATACAGTTATGGAAATAACTAGTTGTCCTTATTCAGAGATTCCTGAGTCAAGAATAGAATTAAGGTAGTTGCCAACCCAACGTGCTACGTGGCCTCACTTCTTGCTCCTCTTTTCTCCTCCCTGGTCCCATGCACAGCAAACCCTTTGTTCCCTTTCTATACACCCAATTTATGTTTTTTCATTGAAATCTCTACATTTCTCATTTCCCCATGTCTTCACGACATCTAGAATTTATAAGCCCTGGCATGAAGAGTGAATGGTAATGATCATGGCGATGTTAACAACTGTAACAAAATCATAATCACCTACATTTCTGTAGTTTTTTACTACATGCCAGGCACTTTTCTGTGTCCTTTAAATACATTAGCTTATACAGAACTCTCACAACAACCCTAGGTAGGTACTATCATTCTCATTTTATAAATGAGGAAACTGTCACTGAGAAGTTAAGTAAATTACTTGCCCAAGGCTACAGAGCTGCTAAGTGGCAAAGCGGGGATTTGATCCCATCATTAATGGCTCCGGAGTCTGTCCTCTGAACCACTGTCCGCTATGCTATATTGTGGATATGATCATTTTCAGCCCCGTTGCTTTGAAGGTAACCAAATGAGTATTTATTATGTATTTATTTAGTGTGCCAGCACTATGCTGAATACTGAAGAGAGAACTATGAATGAGATAATAATTTATAATCTCACTGAAGAAATGAGACACTGTTGATTGAAAAAGGCTTCGTAGTGGAGTTTTAACAACTAGATCAGGAAACAGACAGATTCTTGTGTAGTATAGCAGCACAAGGAAATAGAACTAGAACTTGTTCTTAAGGGAGGGGGAGGAGGAGGAGCCTGTCTTTAGCCCCAAGCTAATGACAAGGAGAGTCAAAGAGGCCATCTTGACTAGAGTGACAAGTTTGTATTGGGATGTGGGGCAGATAAGTTTGGAAAGAAGAGGAAGCTACTGTTCTACAAAGAAAGGATACACCCACAATTTCTAGCTTCCAGTCCTGTGTTGAGGCCTACAATAGGTTTAGGAAAGCGTACCAGTCAGAATGAGAGGCCTGAGGTGGCACAATAACATATCCCAGGTAGTAGATGGGCATTTCTCTACCCAGAACCTGAATATTTTGTCTGACAACTAGAAATTCCAAGAAGGTTACTTAGGTTATGTGTACCATCAAAAAAAAATCATTTATTAGCTTTATCTGGTGTTTAAACTGAGACCTTTTTACTTGGAAAACAGTAAGAATGAGTCTATATACTCTTCTATGAGATCTTCGCAAGAACACTGTGAGGTCAGTATTAGCCTCAATTTATAGAAGAAACTTAAAGGCTCACACAGTTGAATGACTTGCCTAAGGCCCACCACACGACTCTAGACTGGAGTCCGAGTCTCTTGGTTCCAATTTGGGAAGTCTTCCCCTCCACAAGGCAGCTCCTCATAGCTGGGCATGGAGATCAATTTGAGAAGTAGGTTCACACAAGACAGTGGTGTCACAGTTGAGCCAAAGATCCAGAGGACCCCATGATGCCAACCTACTCACAGAACTTCCAGAGACTTTCCTTTATACACCCGGAGCTGCCTTTGTTTCAAATAAGAGCCCTTAAGCACTACACATTCCAAATGCAGAGGAGATGATTTATCCTGAAAGAGATTATACTTGGTAGAAATGGCCTGTGAGCATTTGGTCCATATCTTATTCTCATGCATGACAAGGATTTTTACTTCTGTACTAAAACAATTTCTTGCACCCTCTCGGCTGGTCCTTAATTTGTAGCATGCTTGTGAAGGCATATTGTCACATAGAAGCTTACAAATAAAGGCCCCCAGAAAAACAAAACCGCTCCTTCATTTTCTGGCTAGAAGTAGGGTCAAAGAAGTAAAGTAATAAATTTTAGGCTAGAAAAATAAAAAGTGTGGTACAGGTCTGGGAGGAAGTCAAGGAGTATTGATATACCTAGCATGACCACAGTACCACTTGCTATGTAGGTCTTAATTGTACCCATTCTATGTCCCCACATCCTCTGGTTCCATAAATTCCAAAACAGCTCCAAAGGAATCCTATAGGTTTTGTTTGGAAAGCAGCCCTATGTTTCTCTGCCTGCTCATTCTAAAGCAAGCCTATCAAATTTGGAAACTAAATATAAACTGACAGAAATCAGCAACTAGCGAATTAAGCTAAATTAATAGAGTAGACTACTGAAATACAAAGAAAATGTTTTTTTCCAGGAATCTCTCTCTCTAGTCGCCAGGCTAGGTAAACTGAAGCAAGCCTCCGTCTCTGCAGCAAGCCTTTCCTTTGCCTGGCGGTGCTTCCCAGAGAGCCCTGCATGGGACCCCCCTCCAGAACTACTGCTCCGCCTAGTGGCAGCCTTCAAGCCTTCATCTACCAATTTTATGGGCATATTGTATGTATAATAACAGGAGTCAAATCCTCCCCCATCCCTGAAAGGACTTATGTCTTAGTGGATTTTAAGAGAGAGGGAAATAACATGCAAATGGGCCAAATGTACAAAGAACACACTGTGGGCAGCTTTCTAATTACAAGAAGAAAGCACGACTAAACAGTTGAGTCTTATGGTGGTCCCAAAGGGATTATAGGGTGGAAAAAAAAAAGTGCTGGACCAAAAACATGAGATTCTACTTCAAATCCTGACTCTGCCCCCAAATAACTATGTACCCTTGAGCTAGACAGTTCCATTTTATAAATATAAGTGACTTTTATAAGTATACACAATAAGTGAGAAATTCAGGCTTTCTCCCATGTAGATTCTGTCTTAAGACAATATTTAAGACTGTTTTTATGAAAATAAATACTACAGTTTCTCTATCTATGTATATAGTGTTTATGGAATAATAGACTATACAAACGCTAAATCTCATGATCTACATGTCACCGTTTCCATTGCCGCTACTCCTATTCTAGTTCAAATCCTTACCACTCTGTGCCCTCTGTGATGGATCACCTCCCTTCCTTTCATCAGCCTTGTAGGAATTCTTTTCCAGGCTTCAGACATGGGCAGAAAGCATGGTGGCTTACTTAGTGCCTGGAGAAACCAGTGTAACTATAAAAACTAACCCCCACCTAAAAATAAATGGGCCAGGGTAGGAGAGGGTTACATCCTCTGCCTGAAATCAGACAGGTGCAGTAGTTGTATGCAAAAAAAAAATGATTCTAATATGGAGATCTAATAAGTTGCCTAGGGGAAACTGGCCAATATCATGTGCCCCTCTCACTCCTTCCTCACAATTTCCTCATCCTCCCTCCTCCCTCATGGTTAATTTGCCATTCAGAGTGTGCAGCATTACCAAGAAAAGAGTCATTGGAAATACCAAAAGAGGATCTAGAAATTCCTTATATACCCCAGTTTAACAATTCCCTCTGATGAGCAGGAAAACAGACTTCAACTGGATTTTAGAAGTTGGTAAACTGAAATAGAGGAAGATAATGAGATTTGCCAATGGCCATTACTTAAATCATAGTAGGACCAAAACAAAGTTCAGAAGAACTATCTTCTAGCCTCCTGCTGCGAGTGTCCAAGAACCGTTTTCTGTAGGGACAAGGGAGATGTTTCCAGTGCCAGGGAGCCAGCTACCCTAATGGGTTTGGGAACTTAGCATATTTTAATTTCTACCTTTGCCATGTGGTGAAATTGAATAGTGATCTTCTGAGTTCCATCATTCTCAGTTCTATTGAAACTTGACTAAGCCTGCTTTCATTATTATTTAGAATTTTTGTGAAAGCATAAATATTCCTGGGACATCCTAAAGCTTTAAATCATAAAGTTGATTTTTAATTTTCTAATCTAAAACAGCTTGAACACCTGAAGAGACTTAGCAATGATATTACATTATGTTGCATCTGATAAGATTCCTTCAGGAAACAGTCATACTATGATCTAAAATATTGTATGGTTTACCAAAGATAAGTAAATTGTATAGTCATCTTTCTCTTATTAGCTTCTTCGAAATAAACTAACATGTAATTGTTTGACTTTGAGAAAAAAGCAACTAATGTTTGATGGATGAGTGAATGAATGGTTGGATGAGCCATAACACAATCTCTCAGTGAATGTATGGGTGGATGAGCTATATCACAAGCTCTCAGAGGCTTCCTTTCATCCCTCACAATGTTTCAGCTCTAGTTGAATGCCACAAAACTTGAGGGTCTCCAGTAATAGTGGTGATGATCTGGAATAGCACTAAATCAAGCACAAATCATTCAAAAACTTCCTTTAACTAAGGTGTCTATTTCCTTCCCCATTTTACTAGAGCTGCCCATATATAACTCGATTGATTGATGGAAGCCTTACTTCTACTTCCTGCCTTTCCTCTGACAGGAGGTAAGAATAAGCAATGTAGTAGGCCCAAGGCCAAAAGCTGAGCTGAGGAGATCTCATTCACTGCCAGACTGGTCACCCACCTCAGAATAATTGACAGCTGATTAGAAGTGGTGCTGAAATGCAAATGTCATACAGCCTGGAGAGACCCGGCAAGGGAAATAGTGAGGAAAGAATTGTATAGTGGGAGAGTGTTGCTGGGGCAGACCTGACTTCCAGGCTTAATCTTACCACAGAGTCTTAATGAGTTCTCCCCACATTTCTGTTGTTTCCCCACCCTCTCACTTTCTTGAAAAACAACCCCTATTAACTGCTTACCTCCTAGGGAAGGATGCTAGCATAATATTGGGTGAACAGTTTTTTGAAGCTTTTGAAACTAGGGAGGTTAAAAAATCACAAAGCTAGAAATGACTAGCTTCAGGATCCCCAAAACTGGCTACTGAGCCATTTCTGTGCTATCAAATAAACTGTCAACCTAAAGTACCTGTCAGGTCTAGGCACCGGATCTCTGAGCTTCTGAGCTTCTCCATTGTCCCTCCAACCCTTCTAGATTCCCTCCTCCACATACACATTCCAGTTATCAGCCAGCCTCACTAAGTCACCAAGACATCAGGTTCAAGTGATCGTTAGTCATTAATTAAGCTGCCATAATGTCACAGGTACTTTCTAGAAATGGCATAAATCTAGAAAAGAAAAAACAGACTTGGGTGGAGTGGGTTTGAAGCTCACTGTAGGCACTCACAGTTTGATTCTTTTAAGTCTTTTCAGATTAAAAAAAAAAAAGTCTGAAGTAGACTGTGATTATTCTGGAATTTTCTCTCCATGACCTTGAAGGGCAAGTTTTGACTTTATTCTACTGGGAACCTACTCTACAGAGAGTCCCCTGTAGTAGTGGGGAAAATAAAAGCAATAAATAAGACCTGAAGAGGATCACATGAGCCCAGGAGTTCAAGACCAGCCTGGGCAACTTGGCAAGACCCTATCTTTACGCAAAATTTAAAAATTAGCTGGGAATGGTAGTGCACCCCTGTGGTCTCAGCTACACAGGAGGCAGAGGTGGGAGGACTGCTTAAGCCCAGGAGTTCAAGACTGCAGTGAGCTGTGTTTGTGCCTCCACACTCGTGGGTGACAGAGCAAGACCCTGTCTCAAAAAAAAAAAACAAAAACAAAAACAAAAAAAAACAAACCTGAGTTTTGTGCCCCATAAGATTTACAGCTAAATAAAGACAATAGATGTATATATGACTACACAGCGGCTGTGACACAGAATTTCCTTCAAATATGTGTAAGATCCTCTCAATATGCAATTCTTGGCTTTTTCTCTTCTACCTGCAAACCTGAACAGATGTCTGTCTGGTTGTTTTTTGTTGTTTTTTTTTGTTGTTGTTGTTTTTTGAGACAGAGTCATGCTCTGTGTCCCAAGCTGGAGTACAGTGGGGCAATCTCAGCCCACTACAACCTCTGCCCCCCACGTTCAAGTGATTCTCTCACCTCAGCCTCCCAAGTAGCTGGGATTATAGGCATACACCCCCATGCCCAGATAATTTTATTATTTTTGTAGTTTTAGTAGAGACGGAGCTTTGCCATGTTGGCCAGGCTGTTCTTGAACTCCTGGTCTCAGGTGATTTGCCCGCCTCAGCCTCCCAAAGTGCTGGGATTATAGGCATGAGCCATGGTGTCTGGCCAAGATGTCTGTCTTGATCTCTGGAAGCCCTACGTTCTTTCAACCATCCAACCAAGCTCCACTTCTCTTTTGTAACTTTGCTTTTTCCTTAATAAGCCTTCCCCAAATCTATCTGTACCGTTTGTTCTAGCATCCCCCCTTCCCCCGGATATCTGTGTGTGTTATATGTATTTGGTGCACATATGTTGTCTGGTCCAGCTGGTAGCATTTAGATCAAGTAATCCACAGGCTGCAAAGGCAATGGGAAACCTCCTTATTTGAGATCACTACCACAGTCACATTAATCAAAGAGGCAAGAGAGCACAGGTTCTTGATTGTCCTTGTAGCTGGTTTGTCTCTGTTGTTAAAACAGGGTTCTGCATACACCCTGAGGTTCCTTCCTGCCTTACCAATATTGAATGCCAAAAAGGAGTCAACTGACTTGACCAGGTCTATATTTCTTTTCTGTCGCTCCAGGATTCTTCTACAGCCAGATGATTCCTTACAGATCTTGGCACCAGTGGAAGCAGATGTGGGTTTCTACACTTGCAATGCCACCAATGCCTTGGGATACGACTCTGTCTCCATTGCCGTCACATTAGCAGGTAACCCAAAAATCCCTGTTCTGTTCATTTCATAAACCTTTATTGAATGAGTGCCTATAGTGTGTCAAACAGGCCCAGAGATGCATAGATAAAGGAGACCCAGATCCCATCTTCAGGGAGTTTGTAATCTATAATTACAACAGCAGTGTAGTATGAGGTAGAATGAAGTGCTATAACTGATAACCAAATAGTATGCAAGGACAGTACATTCCTGCCAGGAGGTCTTAGGGTTGCAATGAGTGGAATTTTGATAAGAGACAGGGATATTTCATGCAGAAAGAATAATGTGAGCAAAGGTGATGTGTGCAAATCAGTAGCATGTTGGAACATGAATTGTGAATTATAATCATTGAAGACTCTTTTGGATCCTGTCATCTCCTTGTTCCACCTGTTGCAAGAAAGACTACGACCCATAAATAATTGGAATTCTGTGGTCATGGCTTGAAGCAGGAGTGTTCCCCAGTACTTCTCTCTGAGTCTGCTTTATTTCATCCTCTTGCTCTAATGCACTGCCAACATTCCCCTTTATCCATTGAGGTTAGACAATACATTCTGCACATGGTGACTTAAGAACATTGCAACTCAGAGTACCATGTCTCCCATAGTTGTGGTCTTGTAGTAAAAGACATGTAGAGCTTTTATAAAACCTCTTTGCATAGGACAAACCCATGCCTTTGAAACGGAAAGAGAACTTAGATACCAGCTGGACCAAGGCCCTTGTTTCTCAGAGGCCAGGCAACCCGAGGTCACACAGCTGCTCTGCTAGTGGCGGGGGAAGAAGGGAACTGGAGTCTCCTAACTCCCAGCTCATTGTTCTCCCTACTTCCCCACTGATCTGAGAAAATAGGATCCATCCTCTCAGATCTGGGCCATCCAGTCTTTGTGGCTGTGTTGCATGTGTTTGTATTTATTCTTTTCAATTGCTGCTCTCATCAGATGATTCAGTAGATGCTAGAAAAGCCAACATCACCCCACACTGACTTCATCTGTCCCTGCCAGGATTATGTTGTCATACTGTACTCCAGTCACACATGCTACCCCCTTGCATATCTGTTTAGCAACAGTATTCCTGCCCCCATGACTTCAGGCTGATCTGGGAAGGGACCCTTAGCAGGCGGCTTTGCGGGGAAGATCAAAGTCAACAATGAAGAAGGCAATTTAAGGAGCCCTGGGCCGGATTAAAGACTGATATTATTAATGCCTATTTTTTGTGAATAAAACATTTGCTTTTCTTCTAATGTATTCCAGTTGCAATCTTTATTCCCCTCTTTATACAGAGTCCAGATGCTCAGCACCAATCTTGTTAAATCTCTCCTGCCATCCACCCTCCAACCTGCTTTAGCAAGGGCACTGCTGACATCTTTCCACTTGCTGGCAGATAGTGGCTCTTGCAGGATTAATTCTCTTGTTTATATTAATCCAGATATGGTTCAGCTCTATCACAGACTAAATGCCCTTTGTTCACCCGAATTTAATACGATTAATAGAAACCTGTCTGGAATTAAGCAAGGCAATTGTAACATCAGGCTTGCCTTCAGCTCTTTGAAGAGGGGTTATTGGAGGCTGCCAACAAGTTCAAAGCCAGGGAAGAGAGACAGAGCAGCCAAAGAGGCACCAGGGAAGGGGAGGAGAGGGGCTGCCTGGT
Source organism: Homo sapiens (assembly GCF_000001405.40). Lineage (NCBI taxonomy): Eukaryota > Metazoa > Chordata > Mammalia > Primates > Hominidae > Homo > Homo sapiens. The sequence goes on from NC_000009.12 coordinate 18,797,170, forward strand.
GAAGTATGACTACAGACACCACACCCAGGGCATAGGGAGCTGCATCCTTGCACCTTAGCTGCTAGGGTTTGTATAGGTCTGCTGGAAAGTCTATCAAGCAGTCCCTCTAAAAACAAAGGCTCAAATGTACATTGCCTTAAGACTGTATTTGTACCCTTACCTGAGTTTATCATCCACACCTGTGCCAATGTCTACACTCACAGTGTTAGGTGGTTCACCAGCTCCTGTTGTGAGCACACCCTCTGCCACATGTTGTGGAACCTACAGCAATAAATAAAACCTGTGTTTTGTGGTCCCTGATGCTTACAGAGGAGTGAAGGCAAGCGATGGATACCCGGCTACCTAGAATTGGGAGAAAGTTGCAATTTACTTCAAATGTATGCATGGAGACCCTGCTTAGTAGGTTATAAGATATAATCTGAACATAAATTAAATTGGAGGGGTGGGGGTGAATGAGTATCAGGCATTTCTAAGTTTTATTGCCAGTTATACTCCTTATTAGCTGTGTGATCTTGGACAAAGTATATAACCTCATTGAGTCTCTGTTCTCATCTGTAAAAATTTAACTAACATTATTTTACAGGGTTGTTGTGAGGTTAAGTAAGATTGCACGTGTGAAAAAGCACTTAACCCAATGCCAGGCACATTGTTCATACTCAATAAATGTAAGCCTCCTTTCTTTCTCTAGCTCTTCTAGAGTGAAACAACCTGAAAACAATTCTAAAATGTGCAAACCATTATCCCAACTCTGCTTCCATGTATCTTTCAGTATGTGTCTTAACACTGAGATTTTTCAAGTATGAACTTAGAAACTGATTCAGTTCACTTGCAGTCAAATCCTCTTGATGAATCTCAGCACTACTATGTTTTTATGGAAACTGCAGGGGTTTTTTCCTGGACTTTAGTATTAATGTAGGCCAAAGAGGAAAAAAAAAAAAAACTTTGAGCCTCAAGATAATCAAGTGTCCCCATGATTTTATAAGGAAAGTATGGACTTGTGTGTTGCCAGTGTGCCTGCATTTACCAGATGCAGGGAAATTTGTTCATAATGATTCACAAAAGCAGGCATAGCATGGCAGTTAAAATCATGGGCTCTGGAGCCTTAGGGTCTAGGTCTGTATCCTGGCTCTGTCACTTCCTAAGTGTAACCTTGAGCAACGTCTTTATACTCACTGACTCAATTTCTTCATCTGGAAAGTGGTGCTAATAACAGCACCTGACTCAGAAAGTTCTCATGGAGATTAAATGCAATCATTCATAAAAAATGTTTATAATTGTGGCTGGCATGTAGCAGGCACTCAATATTTGTTAGCTATTATTATTGAGAGAATAATACATACAACAAAAGCCAACTTATGTTTACAGTGGGAGAGACTCCTTTTCAGGGACCAGGATGCTCACAAACCCTTTGTAGAGCAGCTCTCTGAATGTCTCAGTGTCAAATAGGGAAGCTAGATTAGCCATCTGGAAAGTACTTGGGGTGCCTGGATTCAGAGCAAGGGAGATGGCTTGTGATGAATATTTCACGTGGGCAACAGAGAGAGACGCCTGATGGGCTCTCCCTGGCCCACAGCAAGATGCCTGCCATTGAGTTTGCCCCGTCCCGTAGATCTGGTGTCTTGCCAATTCTGCCTCTCAGATTCATTTCAGTTCTACTTCTTATTCTGTACACAAGTTTTCTTTGAACATGTAAACACCATTTAGTTTTAGACATAGAATACAGCCAAACCTTCCTTGCTCTGCCCTGTTTGGCCTATAAAATACTGTCTTTTGTGCCTTTTGCTCCTCTCTAAACTCTTCCATTACGTGCTGATTTTATCTTTAAGTCTCAGGGATTTGGGAGTACCTTGCAAGTGTCTCTCAGCATGGAGATGGCCAGTGTTTCCCTCCCTACCTCCCTGGAACAGCCCATGGAACTCACAGCCATTTAGACCAAATGGCACAAAATTCCTCCCTCTAAATTCACTTAGCTGGATGCCTGTTTCACTGCTCCAAGTGTAGATGAAAGTAGCTTAGGAGGGGAGGATTGCAGGGAGGAGATTATAGGAATGTCACCAAAATGTCACATACCTAACACTTTGAAGTATTAATTACTTTGTGTTCAGGAATAAACAGGGCTAGGTAAAGGAGAGTCTCTGATGTGTGCAGACATAAGCACAGAGATTGGAGAATCATCTTGGCTGTTAAATTCAGCACTCAGCCATCTTGCTCAGAAATCTTCCAAATCCGAATGGCCTAGGCAAACTTTTGAAGGAAAGGAAGTAGTTTCCAGGTAAATTGCTTCAGTCTGGATCCGTGGAGTTTAGCTGTACTTACCAATGCAGATAAGGGCCTCTCCAGGTATGGAGCATTGGTGAGGTCATCGACAAAAGGGAAACATTTTTGGTTGTTATTGATTTTATAAGATCACAAAAGAGATACTGTAAGGCCTGCCTGACATCATCAATGGGAAATGAGAATAAGATGAGGGCTGAGGGATGAGTGTATCTTTCATTGAAAGGAGAGAACACAGATGAGCTCATCTGACATTTTCACAGGAAGGGAGAGACAGAAAATATTTCTCCTTTCCTAGCATGTTTTTTTGCTCTTTATGAGTTGAATAACTGATACACATTGTGTCTAATAAAGAGATCACAGAAACCTCACTGGGAAAATAAAAATAAAAGGCAATCATTTTTTAAAATTCTTCTTCCTCTGTCCCTCCCCATCATGATTTAGTAGCTACAATAAAAGACAAGTGATTGTGTAAGCTTATCATAATGTAAGTCACTTCAAATTAGCATTTCTGAATTTTTCACCCAGCAGTTCTGTTAACAAAGGAGAGTTTTGCTTCATAAAGAGTTAGGCTCACAGAGGACCTAGTCAACAATACAAAGGCTAACAAAGGAAGATTTGCTCCCATGCACTAGATCAAAAGGAAAAGTGGCCCAGGCACGGTGGCTCATGCCTGTAATCCCAGCACTTTGGGAGGCTGAGGCGGGCAGATGGCCTGAAGTCAGGAGTTTGAGACCAGCCTGGCCAACATGGCAAAACCCCATCTCTACTAAAAATATAAATATTAGCCATGTGTGGTGGCAAGCGCCTGTAATCCCAGCTACTCAGAAGGCTGAGGCAGGAGAATCGCTTGAACCCGGGAGGTAGAGGTTGCAGTGAGCCAAGACCATGCCACTGTACTCCAGCCTGGGCAACAAGAGGAAAACTCCATCTCAAAAAAAAAAAAAAAAAAAAAAAAAAAGGAAAAATGGACAGGTTTGACTGTTCTCTGGGCCACATGGTAATAGCGACTGACTGATCTAAGCTGCCATCAAGGAGATTTCAATATCTGATAGAATACTGAATAGCTAAGACCCTTAAGTTTTTCTCAGTAAGTACAGATGTAGAGAATGCCCACCAAAGACCCCAAGCTTTCATAGAACTTACTTAAAACTGATGAGAGTATAGCAGGAGAATCTCACTGAGCTCCCCAGTTGACTAGAGGAAATAAAAAAGAAAGTATAAGTGGTCCAAGTTGGCACATCTCAGTCTCAAAAAAGCAATTCCAACATCTATTCAATGGAATGCAGGAAGGATGGTGGTTGGACAGGTGGTGGGATATACCACATCCTTGGTTAGTGGTTTCTAGAGAGGCCGCAGCATCACGTGGCTGTACTAAGTATGGGGTCCCTTGGCTAGGACTCTGTAGTGGAACATGCGAAGAATTTGTGGCAGAACCACTTCTGGCCTTATTCTACTTAGACGCCATCAACATCAATTAAATAATTAGAAGAGGTAATGGTAGTAATCTGAGCAACCTGACCCACTGACATTGGCAAAAAAATATCTGAATATTGAAAGAGAATGGTAATGGAAACAAGGATATGAGAAGGAAGGCATGCAGCCTGGGAATGTCTGGGAAAAGGCAGTCTAAGCCCTACCTACTTCCTCAAGTGCTAAGGGCCCTGTAATATTTATGCTGAAGGCGTGCCAACTAAACAGAATTTCAAGGGCACAAAAATTCTAATTCCTTCTCATCTTTTATGCAAGGCAATTAATTAGTAGTCACAATGTTGACCCTAAAAAACAAAGACAGGCAAAATCAGGTTAAAACTATTTTTTCAGCTTTATTGAGATATAATGTACATATCACAAAATTCTTTGTGAATGTGCAATTTAGAGATTTATTTAGCAAACTTATATAGTTATGTAACCATTACTATAAAGTTCTTTACCTTTTTTGAACTTTTAGGTTCAGGGGTTGAATCTCCAGGTTTTTTATACAGGTAAACTCATGTCACAGGGATTTGTTGTACAGATTATTTCATCACCCAGGTACTCAGCCTAGTACCCAATAGCTATTTTTTCAGCTCCGCTCTCTCCTCCCACTCTCCACCCTCAAGTAAGCCCCAGGGTCTGTTGTTCCCCCTTCTTCGTGTTCATGAATTCTCATCATTTAGTTCCCACTTATAAGTGAGCACATGCAGTACTTGGTTTTCTGTTCCTGTATTAGTTTGCCTCCAGCTCCATCCATGTTCCTGCAAAAGACATGATCTTGTTCCTTTTTATGGCTGCATAGTATTCCATGATGTATATATACCATGTTTTCTTTAGCCAGTCTGTCATTGATTGGCATTTAGGTTGGCTCCATGTCTTTGCTATTGTGAAGAGTGCTGCAGTGAACATTTGTGTGTGTGTGCCTTTATGATAGAATGATTTTATATTCCTCTGGGTATATACCTAATAATGGGTTCTTTACTTTTAACAGCTTTATCAAGGCATAATTAACATACCATAAAACTCACCCACTTAAAGTATACAATTCAACAGCTTTTCATATATTCAGAGTTGTGGCCGGGCACAGTGACTCATGCCTGTAATCCCAGCACTTTGGGAGCCTGAGGTGGAAGAATCGCTTGATCCCCAGGAATTCAAGACCAGCCTGGGCAACAGAGAGAAATCCCATCTCTACAAAAATAAAAATCAACACAGGTGTGGTGGCACATACCTGTGGTCCCAGCTACATGGGAGGCTGAGGCAGGAGGATAGCTTGAGCCTAGGAGGTTGAGGCTGCAGTGAGCCAATACCACTGCACTCCAGCCTGAGTGCCAGAGTAAGACCCTGTCTCCAAAAACAAAAAAAACAGGAGTTGTGCATCCATCACCACACTCAATTTTAGAACATTTTTATTATCCCTAAAATAAACTCCACACTCTTAGCTACTACTCCCTAATCCTCCCATTTCTTTCAGCTCTATGCAACCACTAATATACTTTAAATCTCCATAAATCTACCTAATCTTGATATTTTATATAATTAGAATCATACAGTATATGGTTCTTTATTTCTTCTTTCACTTAGCATAAAGTTTTCAAGATTTATCCATGTCGTAGCATTATTCTTGTTTATGGTAGAATAATATTCCATTGTATAGAATAGACCACATTTTATTTCTCCATTCATCAGGTGATGGGCATTTGGGATGTTTCTACTTTTTGGCTATTATGAATAAAGCTGCTATGAAGATTCACGTACATGTTTTTATGTGGACATATTTTTTATTTCTCTTGGTTATACACACCTAGGAGTGAAATTTCTGGGTTGTTTGGCGCATTTATGTTTACTATTGAAGAAAGTGCCAACTATGTTTCAAAGAGACTGCACCACTTTACATTTCCACCAGCAATGTAGGATAGTTCAGTTTCTCCATATTCTCACCAACAGTTGTTTTCATCTATCATTTTAATTACAGCCAGCCTCATGAGCGTGAAGTAGTACTTTATTGTGATTTAAATTACATTTTAATATTGACTAATGATGTCAGGCATCTTATGTGTTTATGAGTCATTTACGTGTCTTCTTTGTTGTGGTGACAACTTTGGTGATGTAGAAGGTGTATATGGCCTGCGTATTTGCTTTTGCTGCCATAACAAATAACCACATACTTAGAGACTTAAAGCAATACAAATACCTTACAGTTCTGTAGGTCAGAAGTCTAATACAGTCTCATCAAGATGTCAACAGGCTTTATCCCTTTCCGAAGGCTCTAAAAGAGAATCCTTTTCCTCTCCATTTGAGTTGTTGGCAGAATTTAGTTCTGTGAAACTTAGGTCTATGGTCTGTGTTTTCTTGCTGGCTATAATCTGAGTGCCATTTCCAGCTTCTAGAAGCCACTGAATTCCTTGGCTCATGGTTTCCTTCCTCCATCTTCACAACCAGCAATGGAGGGCTGAGTTTTCATGTTGCCCAACTCTGATATTAAGAGCTCACATGATTAGACTGGGCCTACCTTGATAACTTAGAATAATCTCCCCATTTTAGGTTCAGCTGATTAGCAATGTTAATTCTTCCTTAGCCATGTCACAGGTTCCAGGGATTATGACATAAACATCTTGGAAGGTCATTATTCCGCCCACCTGTCTGAAGGGCACAGCTCATTTTCATCTGACTGCTATCCCCCAAAAATAAAAATTTAATGTTGCTAGACTTTCTCACGATTTTAGAGACACCAAACCAAAAAATGTTTAAAAACAACACTTTTTTTTAACTCACCATTTTTAACTGAACTAATTCAAATTTTTAAAAATCCTTTTTTGGGTAAACATGTCTGTGCTCTGAATATAGCCTTGAGGCTACCAATACCCCCTGGTTTGTATTTCATTTTCTATATTATCTGCTCATATATTACACCTCACTTTCCAGATAGAGTCAGAGTGTTATTCAAAGGGTAATCACAATTTATTTGATTAGATTATTCCAACAAAAACAATGTAATAATTTGGATGGAAGGGGAACAATTATTTTTTACTATTACTAAGAAGCCTACTGTAATAATAGAATAAGTAAGATTCTAGGGAAAGTTTTTGCTTCATTGCCAAATTTAGAAGCAGAATAGGACTATGAACCTCTTTCCCGTTATAAACAGAGGGATTTAAATAGCTGCTCTCTTGGGTCTCTTTTAGACCCAAGAGTTCTATGAATCTCTTGCACATATAATAATGAATGATAGCATTCTCTACCATGACTATCAACTATTAACTCCCTTTACCTGAAATTCTGACGTTGAAAATTGACTCTGTTGTATTTTGGGGAATGGAAGACTAGATGGCAAAGAAGTAGTACAGCTTTTGTGATGAAGTCTTGCAAGAATAACAAATGAAAGGAAAATGTCTCAGAGAACTGGTGAAGACAAAGGGTACAGGGTAAATAGAGCTGACTATTGGTCAAATGCTGACTCAGGAGGCTGGAAATAGATGTAAAGGAGGCCTTGCAAGAAGGTCAGCAGGGAGTTAAAAACTCCTGCACTATAAAATGCAAAAGACATTGGGAAGGAAAACTAGACTAAGAAAAGATCTTGCATGTTAATATAACTATTATTTGTAACAAAGCAACTCTTATGGGAATTGTCAGGTAGTGAGATCCAGAAAAGCTTCTGGCCAGCAAGGAATAGTAATGGAACATTAATATTCAGAATCCATTATTACTAATATCAGATGGATAAGATATTGTTGGTATTTATAAGGGTTTTCCTAGCTCATGCTGATTTTAGTCCCTCAAAGTTTATTTGACTCATGAGTCTTAAATTCTTCAACTGGAAATTTTCATTTCAGAGAAAATTTGAAGATTTAATTCCAGTGATCCTTGTGAGAAACCTGTGACAATTCTAGTATAAGCAGAGTCTAGCATTTCTTAAGACGTTTCTTTGATATACTCACTCTTTGTAAGGTATTGTTCATTGATTAAATCTGGATTAAATACAATTTGCTCAGTTTAGGGTGTTAAAAATGTGTTAAATTTATAATACTTCATTGCTTTAAACTAAAATATTACCTTATACTGTACTCAAATATTGCTGTATACTCAAATATTTTAATTAGTAGACATCACTGTCTTTTTTGTGTTTTAAACTGATATTTGGATCTTCCATGGATATCACAACTGTTTTCTTGAACTCTAATGGGGGTCACCCAGGGAGTCAATCTGGCATATGTTGTTTCCTAGCATTTCTAGAAGTGGGTACTTTTTGGAATCTTCAACAAGGCCAGCCATGGTGTGACTTTTAAGCTCTCCGCATCTGTCCAGATATTGTTACCAGTTTACAAAGAATCTGTTGTATTTAAATTATTTCTTCTAATTACACTGGAATTCTCAGAGTTGTTCAAAATAGAAGCAGTTTAGTTCTTTCTAACAAATGTATTACCTCTCCTCTTACCTGTCTTCCTCTTTCTTTTCTTTAACGTTTTGCTTTCTGTGTTTTCTGTATTCATCAGAAGGTCCCAGCACTGCTCCTCACAGAGTTTTGCCATTGTGTTATAGCAGAGATAGTGCTGGTGATAGCTAGCATTTATTCAAACTTCCTGCTGTGCTAAGCCGTTGTTCTTACAGCTTTGCATGCATCCATTTACTTACTCCTCTCAGCCACTGTAGAAGTAGAAAACTGAGGCACAGAATTTAAATAACTTGCCTAAGGGTACTTAGCTATACTATGCAGAGATGAGCTCGGGACACCTAACCTGTAGACAGCCCTTTCTCCTGCCCCTGCCCCTGCCCCCTGCAGGCATCACTAGCTCATCGTGTGTTTTTGCTCTTCAGCCCTTATGAATGTAACTCGGAATCCGTATCTGCACAGTACTCCAGGAAAACTCTGTCAGTCATTAGATTTGGCTTCAGGATCTCAAACCTGTTTGCTGTTCGTGGGCCCTTTCTGAAGCTCTCATGAAATCTCCAAACCTGCCAAATCTGCCCAGCCTGCGGTCCTTGTGTCTGTTGTTGCCCCGTTTCCATTTATCTTCCACAAGTCTCTCTTCACCCTGAGAATGAATACACATGCACACCTCCTAGCCTAAACTGCCTTAGCCAAACAGAGAATCTAAGTCCTTGAAGTACAACTCATTTTTGATGGCAAAGACTAGGGGAAATTATTTTGAAGTATATTCGTGACTTACAATGTTAAAGGAATGGAAGGAAGACCCATTGGATCCATCCATTCAGGGTCAACAAACGTTCATTAAGCCTGGGTTAAATGGCACTTACTAACTGTTACAGAAAAACAAACCTATAAATATATGATGGGTAAAATATGATAGTTTATTTCTTGCTCACATAAAGTCTAAAAGAATTGCACAACAGAGTTTTTGTACTTTGGGCCAAGAAGTGGCACACTTCACGTCTGTTCATGTTCCATCTGCTAGAACTCAGTTCCATGCTCATAGCTAACTGCAAAAAGGCTGGAAAATTATCTAGCTGTGTGCACAGGAAGAAGAGGAAAAGGGTTTGGCTGATAGCAAGTCACTCTCTGCCATGGCTTCTAAAATGGAAGGCGGCATGGCAGTTTAAACAAAGTTTCTATTAGCAGAGGCCTGGGATTCAGCCCTGAGTAAACAGTGCTTACAATGCTCTCTACTCTTGGCTTCATTCAAAAAACAAACTTTCCATCTCCTCTGGCTTCTCTCTCAATCACCTTTATATTAGGCCAAAGATATTTTTCAAACACATATGTTCAGATTTTTTCCCACTGAATTTTGATTTTACCCCAAATCACATAGGAGAGAGACCTGAGCCAGAGCCCAGACTATGTGCAAGAATGGATTTCTGAGCATTGCTCCAGGGGTTACTCATCTGTCCCTGCCTGTCTCTCCAGAGGTCCTCATCCTTCAGGATCAAAATGGTGCCTGGTTGGCTGAACACTTCTGTTTTAAAGGCATCACAAGGCCATGCTCCTTCCTTAATGGCCTTCACATCCTTGGATGCTGACGTACGAGTTTTAGCCATATGTCAGGCTCTCCTGTTGTGTAAGAGCTGCCCTCGTTTACTGTGAGGCTCTATTTCCCCTGTTACATTACTTCTAACAGGAACTATAATCCAAAAGCTGTACTGTGGGTACAATGAGGTCTGAAGGAACCGTGCAAAAATGATTCTTGTAATGCTTCTGTTTCTGTGTCTGACTATCTTGGAGGGGCTTCACTTCTCATATTGGGCCTGATAAATTGAAACGCTTGCCTTTATTTCGGTTTCCTTATTTTTTCTTCAATTTATACAGATACAAAACTTGGCATATTCTCCTTCTGTTTGTATGGCTCTCATTCAGCTATAACACAAACAAATTTACAGATTAAATGAAAGAATGTAAACCCTATCAATTTCTATAAATTAACACTATTCTGTGAGCTGATGCTGACTTGCTAAAACTAAATGGCTGTTCACAAAGCATACATAGTACAGGCCGGGCGCGGTAGCTCACGCCTGAAATCCCAGCACTCTGGGAGGCCGAGGCGGGCGGATCACGAGGTCAGGAGATCGAGACCATCCTGGCTAACACGGTGAAACCCCGTCTCTACTAAAAAATACAAAAAATTAGCCGGGCGCAGTGGCAGGCGCCTGTAGTCCCAGCTAGTCGGGAGCCTGAGGCGGGAGAACCGGCGTGAACCCGGGAGGCGGAGCTTGCAGTGAGCCGAGATCGCACCACTGCACTCCAGCCAGGGCGACAGAGCGAGACTCTGTCTCAAAAAAAAAAAAACAAAAAAAAAACAAAGCATACATAGTACTGACTGCTGAGGCGCGGCGCATTCAGTGGAGGGCTCAGTAATGCTGACTTAGCTCTCAGCACCTTTTTCTGTTTTTCCTATTCTGAAAGCCCTTTTGGTACAGCGTGCCATGGCTTTTGTTATCTTAACACAAATGTATAATTTATCATTTCACTCCTTCTCTGCATCTATGTTTTTTTCTCCTTAGTTAACTTCTATGGTTAAACTAGTACTAGTTAATATCAATGTGATTGTAATCGTGTCCACAAACATAGGTACTGGCAATCACGTGGCAGTCATCACACAGCAGTAATCTATTAGTAGGTGATCAACCAGGTGATCTAAAGTAGGCTTATGTTGATTTTTTTTAAGTTGGCCACTAAAATAACAGCTCCAGCTTGAAAAATTGTAATAGAGATCTAGTGGTGTCTCAAAAGATAATCTCTCACCAGGAAGAAGAGGAACCAGTTAAAGAAAAACTAAAAGAGTACAATGTATTGAATATCAAACCTGCCTCCATAACAGAATCACCTAGGAACTTGTTTAAAATAGAGATTACAGCTTGTACCCTGTCACCTGAGATTCAGATTTAGTAGTTCTGAAGTGGGACTCAAAATATATGCTAACGTTTTTCTAATAGGTGTAAGAGGGTCAATTGATTAAGCAACATTATTTTCATTAAAATCTCTATTGATTATAAATACTTGGATAACTTTGTGCTTTGTCTTAACAATGGATCATGAAAGTAATAAGAATGTATAAGAAGTAGCCTGTGCTAACAACAGTGATCCTCCTGACAAGAAAAAAAGGCCATTACTTTCCAGCAAAAACTCAATATAATTAATTAAGGGCTGGATTTCATTCAGTGACATTTGAATTTTATAGCTATACACTTGCAGCTATAAAAAACCACCTTTATTATTAAAATTCCTGTAGGAAAAATAACTTGGTAATTGTGACTCTAAAGCTCTCTGGTCCCTAACCTCATTTTCCCCACTGGCACAGTTGTTTTTATAACACAGTAGAGCAACTCTTGTATTATAGCAGGACAGATTATATTTTAAACAAGTGCCCTGGGAATTCTGAGGCAGCCAGTCCACAGACAAAGATTTGGGACTACCTATCACAAGCACCAGACTTTAGGTCAAAGATCTGGGCTCCAGTTCAGCCCTATAACTTGCTAGTTCTGTTGCCTTGGACAAACCATGGGGCCTTTCTGAGTCTGAGTTCTTTGTGTATGTAAAAGATAGTACTGTTGTTTCTGCCTCTCAGGGTTGTTATCCAAAAAATCCAGATAATGCACATAGCACACCATATAAACACATATTTTCACTTAACAGATACTTATTGAGAATCTACTAGGCGCCAGGCCTAGGTGATAGAAATAAAGAAGACAAGAGAGATGTGATCTCTGATGTTATCAAAATTACATAATGAAGTAGCAGGGGCTGGGGGGAGATACACAAATATAGAAGATAAATTCTGTTAGTTCTAGTGCTTATGAAAAAAGTAAAGTTGTCCCCATCTAAAGTATACATCTCTTCACCTCCATACCACACACAGGGATGCATGCTTTATATGGAGTGGTTAGAAAAGGCCTCACTAGGAGGTGTTATTTGCACAGAGACCTGAACGACCGGAAGAGAGCCGTGCAGAAGTCTGTAGGTGGAAGATGTCAGGGACAGGGAATGGCCAGGGCTGATGTGCTGCTGTGTTGGAGGAAAGGAAGGCCAGTGTGCTGGAGCACTGTGATTGATGGGGAGTGTGGGCTAAGTGAGGTAGGTGATATAGACCACTGGGTCTTAATGTACAAGGGACGGTTGGTCATGAAAAGGAGCTTGAGGCCGGGCATGGTGGCTCACTCCTGTAATCCCAGCACTTTGGGAGGCCAAAGCAGGTGGATCACCTGAGGTCAGGAGTTCGAGACCAGCCTGACCAATATGGTGAAACTCCGTTTCTATTAAAAATACAAAATTAGCTGCATGTGGTGGTGCATGCCTGTAATCTCAGCTACTCGGGAGACTGAGGCAGGAGAATTACTTGAACCCAGGAGGCAGAGGTTGCAGTGAGCTGAGATCCCCCCATTGCACTCCAGCCTGGGCAACAAGAGCGAAACTCCATCTCAAAAACAAAAAAAAGAAAAGAAAAAGAGCTTGAAGTTTTGTTTTAATTGTACTGAAAAGGGACTGGAAAGTTTAAGCAGAAAAGTTGTATGGTTTGATTCATGTTTTAGCAAGATCACGCTGGCTGCCATAAAACTGTAGTGAGGGAAGAGTGAAAGTCAGAAGACCAGTTAGTCTGTATAGTAGTCCAGCCAGAGATTATGGTAGCATTAGATCATAGCAACAGAGATGCTGGTGAGATGCAGGGGTAGATTTGGAGTCAGAGCTGGGTAGCTCTAACTCTGAGTAGGGAGGTGAGGTCATGTATACCAGTGCTAATTCAGTATCATTCCAACTGCTTCCTCCCATTGTGGCCATACATTTACTATGCTCAACAATCATTATAGTACTAAATCACTCATCAGATGATACATAATCTCAAATGTATGGAATATAAGTTGTATAAGGAAAAAGGCCCCTGAACAGTCAAAATAGAGCCTATGCATGCATTCCAAGGTGAGCTTCTCAGAACATTATTCAAGTTTCTGCCCTTGAACACAGTTCTGATGAGCTTAATTACCTATGCCTAGAAGGCAAATAAAATGGCAAAGAAGAAAGAGGGATAGCTTCTATTATGAGGCTGTGGGACGGTACAAACAGGAATACAGGATAAATAGATGTGGGAGAAAACAAAAAATATAAAAAGCAAGTATAAGACTCCAAAGGGCATTTCTGAATTAAGGTTTTCTTCACATTTAATGAAAGCAGAGAAGAGTGAATATCACTGTAGAATATCCTGCCTGTAACATGGTTAAAACAAAATTAAATCCACTTAACTTACAGAAGGTTAAGCTTGGGTTATATGAATATGATCTCATGGGGACCCAACTTCCCCAAGGTGTTCAATGAATGAGTCTTTTCATTGTATTTTGTAGTCATGTGCATGAAGTTCTGTATTTTATTCCCAGCTGATAAAGGCCTATTAAAACACAATGTACACAGGACTTCGACTTCTGGAAAGATGGCATAGTTACACTTTTCCCTATTCTTACTGCTAAGTACCACTAAAGGCCCTGTACATTATATATAAAACACACATAAGGAGAATAAAAAGTAAAGGGAAGAAAGCCAACTGACCAAAGACCTTGGAAATCAAACTGTAAATTTGTTGGGTTTTCTTTTTGCCTCATAAATCACAAACTTGGAGTTCAAGAAGCTGGCTACTGGTAAACACCAATGAGTACCAAAAAAAAAAAAAAAAAAAAAAACAAACACCAGCTAGAAACCTTCTCTCTCTAACAAAAGGACTAGGAAAGGGGAAGCATAGCAAGACAGAAAACCTTTAGAAAATTCTACTCTATGCTAGCCAAATGCCACCGAAAACAGTGTGTCCACCACTACCTGCACCAGCAAAGGCTGAGCAGGGAGCCTAGATTCCCCACCAGCCAGCCTCAAATGAGGTGCCCCCCAACCCTCATGGAGGGGAGTATCAGAGATTTTCAGTCCTCGTTCATTACACCTACCAGAGTGTAATGTGGAGACCACATGGGGAGCCTGGAGTTCCACCTTCACCCTGCCGTGCCCACCTTTCCCTCCCCACTGGGGTGGTGTAGAGGAGGTCTCCTGGAGAGTGAGGACTTGTACCACCTGCCCAAGGTGAGGAGGCTCCTCCCACAGCTGTGTAGTGGGGACTATGTGGGGATCCAGAACTCCCACTCCTGCCCAGCAGTAATGAGGAGTCCCACACTTGGGTAACAAAAGAGGCCAAGTGGAGAACTTGGACTTAACCTGCACTGGGTAGTAACAAGGAGGCATCTCCCTGCTCCCAAGCCTGAGTGGTTTTATAGAAAGCAGCTAAAACAGAAGGTTTACATAAGATCCAGAGTCTCATAACTAAAAAAATATACAGGCTTCAATTGAAACCTAGACATCATGAAAAAACCCACCTTCATCACCCTTATTCATTGTAGTGCTAGAACTTCTACCCAGTGCAGTAATGGAAGAAAAGGAAATAAAAGGCATAGAGACTGGAAACAAAGAAATACAACTTGTCCCTATTTGCAGATGAAATGATTGTCTTTATAGACAATCAAAAGAAAACCAAAATAATTAGGTTAATGTAACAAAATATAACAGGACTTGTATCTCAGAAACAACAAAACTCTGATGAAAGAAATTAAAGAAGATCTAAATTAAAGAAGATAAATAGACATATTTATCATGGATTGGAAAACACAACAAAGTCAAGATGTCATTTCTTTCCTAATATACATGTTTAATCTAATTCCTGTCATAATCTTACTAATATTTTATACATGTAGAGAAGATTATTCTAAAATGTATATGAAAAAGCAAAGGAACTAGAATAGCAAAGAGGCAGGAGTAATCAGCCAACCTAATTTCAGAATTAGTTATATAGCTACAATAAATAATATTGTGTGATATTGGTAGAGGGACAGACACATAGATCAGTGGAACAGAATAGAGAACTCAGAAACAGATCTACACAACTGTGCCCAGCTAATTTTGACAAAAGTGCAAAAGCAATTCAATGTAGGAAATATAACCAATAAGTGGTGAGAGAGCAATTAGACATCCATAGTCAAAAAATAAATGGGCTTTGACCTCTTATCTAAATGTGACCTCTCACATCTTACATAAAAATTAACTCAAAATATATCACAGACTTAAAGGTAAAATGTAAAACTATAAAACATTTAGAAAAAAATAGGAAAAATCATCAGGACCTAGATCTAAGTAAATAGTTCTTAAACTTGCTATCAAAAGCATAATCCTGTTTTTGCTTTTGTTGCCTATGTTTTTGGGATCTTATCTAAAAAATTGCTGCCCAGACTAATGTCATGAAGTGTTTCCTCTATGTTTTTTCCTAGTAGTTTTATCATTTTGGGTCTTACATTTAAATCTTTGATCCATTTTTAATTTTTATGTAGTAAGAACTAGGGGTCTAGCTTCAGTTTTCCCAGCACCATTTATTGAGGAGACTGTCCTTTCTCTGTTCTGTGTTCTTGGCACTTTTGTTGAAAATGAGTTGGCTGTAAGTACGTGGATTCATTTCTGAGTTCTCTATTCTGTTCCATGGGTTTATGTGTCTATTTTTATGGCAATACCATGCTGTTTGGGTTACTGTAGCTTTATAGTATATTTTAAAATTAGGTGGTGTGATGCTTCCAGCTATGTACTTTTTTTTTTTTTTTTTTTGAGATGGAGTCTCACTCTGTCACCAGGCTGGAGTGCAGTGGCACAATCTCAGCTTACTGCAAACTCTGCCTCTTTGGTTCAAGTGATTCTCCTGCCTCAGCTTCCCAAGTAGCTGGGAGTACAGGCTGTGCCACCACGCCCAGCTAATTTTTGTATTTTTAGTAGAGATGGGGTTTCACCATGTTGGCCACAATGGTCTCAGTCTCTTGACCACATGATCCGCCGCCTCAGCCTCCCAAAGTGCTGGGATTACAGGCATGAGCCACCACACCCGGCCCCCAACTTTGTACTTTTCGCTCAAGGTTTCTTTGGCTATTTGGGGTATTTTATGGTTACAGACAAATTTTGAGATTGTTCTTTCTATTTTTGTAAAGAGTGTCATTTGTATTTTCACAGGGATTGCACTGAATCTGTAAATTGCTTTGTACAGTATGGACATTTGAACAATATTAATCCTTCCAATCCATGAGCATGGGATATCTTTACATTTATTTGTGTCCTTTTCAATTTCTTTCATCAATGTTTTATACTTTTCAGTGTAGACATATTTCACCTCCTTGGTTAAATTTGTTCCTAAGGGGTTTTTTGTAGCTATTGTAAATGGGATTGTTTCCTTGATTATTTTCAGGTAGTTTACTATTAGTATATAAAAACACTACAGATTTTTGTTTGTTGATTTTAAATCCTGCAACTTTACTGAATTTGTTTGTTCTAACAATTTTTTAGTAAAGTTGTAGGGTTTTCTATATATGAGATCATGCCATCTGCAAACAAGGACAGTATAACTTTTTCCTTTCCAATTTGAATGCCCTTTATATGGTTCTCTTAACTAATTGGTTTGGCTAAGACTTGCAGTACTATGTTGAAGAAAAGTGGTGAACATGGATATTCTTGTCTGGTTCCAGATCTAAGAGGAAAAAATTTCAGTTATTCCCCATTCAGTATTATATTAGCTGTGGATTTGTCATATATGGCCTTTATATTCCTGAAGCCTTCTCAACCTAATTTGTTATGAGTTTTTATCATGAATGGATGTTGAATTTTGTCAACAGCTTTTTCTACATCTATTGTCTTTCTTATAATAGCCATTCTAACTGGGGTGAGATGATACCTCACTGTGGTTTTGGTTTGGATTTCCCTGAAGATTAGTGATGTTGAGCATATAGTTTTTGTCCTTCATTCTGTTCATGTGATATATCACATTTGTTGATCTGCGTATGTTGAACCATCCTTGTGTCTGTAGGATGAAACTTCTTCATGGTGAACAATCTTTTTAATGTGCTGTTGAATTTGGTTTGCTAGTATATTGTTAAGGATTTTTATATACATGTTCTTCAGGGATCTTAGCCTGTAGCTTCCTTTTTGTTATTGTGTCCTTGTTGGTTACATCCAACTGAAAAGCTTCTGCACAGCAAAGGAAACAATCAACAGAATAAAAAGACAATCTACAGAATGAGATAAAATATTTGCAAACTCTTTATCTGGCAAGGGATTAATATTCAGAATACGTAAGGAACTCCGACAACTCAACAACAACAAAAAATAATTTTCAAAAATGGACAAAAGATAAAAAAGAACAGGATCAAATTCTTTGTAGGAACATGGATGGAGCTGGAGGCCATTACCCTTAGCAAACTAACGCAAGAACAGAAAACCAAATACTGCATGTTCTCACCTATAACTGGGAGCTAAATGATGAGAACACGTGGACACAGAGGGAAACAACAGATGCTAGGGCCTGGTGGAGGGCAGGAGGAGGGAGAGGATCAGGAAAAATAACTATCGAGTACTAGGTTTAATACCTGGCTGATGAAATAATCTGTACAACAAACCCCCATGACACAAGGTTACCTATGTAACAACCCTGCATATGTGCCCCTAACTTAATTAGTTAATTAATAAGGGCAAAAGACCTGAATAGACGTTTCTCAAAAGAATACATACAAATGGCCAACAGGCATATGAAAAAATGCTCAACATCACTAATCTTCAGAGAAATGTAAACCAAAACCAAAATGTGATATCACCTTACCTCTATTAGAATGGGTACTATCAAAAAGACAAAAAATAGCAAATACTGGCGCAGATGTGGAGAAGAGAGAATTCTTATACATTGTTAATGGGAATGTAAATTAGTATAGCCATTATGGAAAACAGCTTAGATGTTCCTCAAAAAATTAAAACTAGAACTACCATATGATCCAGCAATCCTACTCCTGGGTATATATGCAAAGGAAATGAAAACAGTAATCAAAGTGATATCTGCACTCCAATATTTACTGCAGCACTATTCACAATATCCAAGATATAGAATCAATCCAAGTGTCCATCAACAGATGAATGGATAAAGAAAATATGGTATATATGTACAGTGGAATACTTTTCCACCATTAAAAAAAAAAAAGAAAAAGAATGAGGACAGGCGTGGTGGCTCATGCCTGTAATCCCAGCCCTTTGAGAGGCTGAGGTGGGTGGATCGCTTGAGCCCAGCCAGGAGTTTGAAACTAGCCTGGGCAACACTGGGAAACCCTGTATCTACAAAAAAATACAAAAAATACAAAAAAAAAAAATTCTATCCAGGTGTGATGGTATACACCTGTAGTTTCAGCTACCCAGGAGGCTTAGGTGGAAGGATCACTTGAGCTTGGGAGGCAGAGGCTGCAGTGAGCCAACATCACACCACTGCCCTCCAGCCTGGATGCCAAAGCAAGACCAACCCTGTCTCAAAAAAAAAAAAAAAAAAAAAAAAGAGAAAAAAAAAAGAAATCCTGTTATTTGCAGCAACATGGATAAACCCGGAGGTTATTATGTTAAGTGAAATAAGCCAGGCACAGAAAGACAAACTTTTCTTTTTATGGATCATGCTTTTCAAAATTTTTTCATTGACACATAATAATTGTACATATTTATGGGGAACAGTGTGATTTTTTTGGATACATGTATACATTGTATAAAAATCAAATTAGGGTATTTGGCGTATCCAACACTTCTTATATTTATCATTTCTTTGTGGTCAGGACATTCAAAATCCTTTCCCCTAGATATTTTGAAATATACACATAGTCACCCTACTGTGCAATATAATACCAGAACTTATTCCTCCTATGTAACTATAACTTTGTGCCTCTTGACCAATCTCTCGCTATCTTCCTCTCCCCGCTCCCTTCCCCAGTCTCTGTTAACCACTATGCTACTCTCTACTTCTATAAGATCAACTTCTTTAGATTCTACATATAAGTGAGATAATGCAGTATTTCTCTTTCTGTATCATTTCTTTTTTGAGACAGAGTCTCACCCTGGAGTGCAGTGGTGTGACCTCGGCTCATTGCACCTTCCACCTCCCAGGTTCAAGTGATTCTCATCCCTCAGCCTCCTAAGTAGCTGGGATTACAGGTGCATGCCACCACACCCGGTTAATTTTTGTATTTTTAGTAGAGACGGGATTTCACCATGTTGGCCAGGCTAGTCTCAAACTCCTGGCCTCAAGTGATCGACCCACCTCAGCCTCCCAAAGTGCTGGGACTACAGGCATGAGCCACTGCACCCAGCACTCTCTATTATTTCTTATAACTGCAAGTGAGTCTACAATTACCTTAAAGTGAAAAAATTTAATTTTAAAAAAGGGCCCTGTAAAACATGATGTCGAGGATTATTTGTTAATTTAATGATTAGAATGCATAAATCATCTCAATTTGTATAACATGCTCTGTCTTCAAACTCTTCAACCCTTGGTCTTTTTTTTTTTTTTTTTTTTTTTTTTTTGCAAGTTGTAAACATTTTTTAAATTTAATTTAATTTTAAAAAATTTACAAATAATAGTTGTGCATATTCATGGAGTACATAGTGATGTTTTGATATAATTAATATATGGTGATCAGATCTGGGCAATTAGCATATCCATCATTGCAAACATTTATCATTTCTTTTACTGACAACACTGCGGTAGGTAGGTAGGTAGATGCTTTTATACTGTGCGCTTGCAATTTTTCAAGAGAAAACATAGTTAGTGGCAAAAGTCTGGGTAGACCAGCCATGCATTGGTGGTTAGCCCATATTTCAAAGGAGTGCCCCAATTTCCACAGTCACCACCAAGTAACATCTCATATTCTTTCTTATCTTCAGGAAAGCCACTAGTGAAAACGTCACGAATGACAGTGATCAACACGGAGAAGCCTGCAGTCACAGTCGATATAGGAAGCACCATCAAAACAGTGCAGGGAGTGAATGTGACAATCAACTGCCAGGTTGCAGGTGAGAAATTAATGTTCATTTGTTCACACGTTAATGGAGCCCTGTGCTAGGTTGGGGATACAAAGACAAATTAGACACAAATTCTACTCTCAGGGATATAGTGCTAGTAGGAAAGCCAAAGCATGAACCTCAGTCGCTCTGAAAGTAGAAAGTGCTACAGAAATTTAGAGGAAGAAAGATTAATTCTGACTGGGACAGATAGGTAAAATTGATCTTTTTATGTGTATGTTTTTCTTTAATCTTAGCCTTCCATACAGATAGAATGTGAACCTGCAAAGATGGGGGCAAGGAGTTCCAAGTGGACACAGGAGAGTGATAAATTCATGGAAGTAGAAAATCCTCTAGGCTGTAGAGAGAACTGGGTGAGCTTTGGTCTGGGTGGAGCCCAGAGTGCAGAAATGCAGGTGGGAAGTGACATTAAAGAGCCATGCTTCCAAAAGACAAAGCCACCAGCATTGAAGAAAATGGATTGAGAAGGGAAATACTAGGACAGAAAGGCCAAGTAAGACCCATCACTGTAGTTTAGAGGAGAAGTCATGGAGGCCTGAACTCAGGGCAGTGAGGATGGGAAGGTAACGACTGGATGGACATGAGAAAGATGGCAAGAGGTAAGACCAACAGCAGCGTGGAGCTTGCTCGAATCAGAAGTGGGCAGGAGTTATTAGAGAAGATAGCCAGTGGAGTTCTGATACAGGCATTGCTCTCAGGTGGGCCTTGCAAACTCAGAGGTCAACAGGGACCAGGAAGGCACAGTGAAGCAAGGAGTAGTAGACAAGAGGGGGTGGTAATATGCTCTGTATAAAAATATTTACCTTCAATTAAAAGACAGAAAACACCTACATATAGCAGAATGAGGCCCAGCTACTATTTTTCCCTTCATGTAGACCACTCATTTGTCATGTGTGCCCTAGGGGTTTCACTGCCACAATGGGATGAAGAAATGAATGGTTCTTGTGCCATTGGGCAACTAGTCTTCTGATTGCTGTCCTCATCAGATATACCCCACAGTGGCATGGCCACACCAAACCCAGGTTCCCCGATCATACCCTGTCTGCAGAGTAGATAGGCAGTGGCACCCCCATGCTTTGGTGGTTGCTTCATCTTAGATCTTCATCATATGAAGGTTTACCTCAATTTGTTACTTATAAGACATGAAAACCCATTTTAGAGTAAGTAGGAGGAATATCTTAACCTAGGGCTTACTGTTTCCGAATAACAGCCAAGTCTGATTTTCTCTGAAATATTCTGATAGCTTTAGGCTATCTGAAATATGGCCAGACCTGGTGGCTCACGCCTGTAATCTCAGCACTTTGGGAAGCTGAGGTGGGCAGATTACTTGAGCCCTGGAGTTGAAGACCAGCCTAGGCAACATGGCAAAACCTTGTCTCTACAAAAAAATACAAAAATTAGCCATGTGTGGTGACGCATGCCTATAGTCTCAGCTGAGGGAGGCTGAGATGGGAGGATCGTTTGAGCCCAGAGGTCAAGGCTGCAGTGAGCCATGGGCATGCCACAGCACTCCAGCCTGGGTGACAGAGCGAGACCCTATCTCAAAAAAAAAAATTAGGATATCTGAAATATAAATATATCTTTGTAAGTGTGCATTAGCTTTGCCTTTGTAAAGCTTCTCATGGCCTTTGTGATGTTTCCCTTCCAGCCTCATCAGTGAAATCTAGAACCAAGTCCCTTCAGCCCCTGTACTCCTAGATAGGGAGTAAGACAAAACCCCTGACAGGGGTTGGCATGAATGAGCTACCCCTCTGTGCAGGGATTAATGGTGGTGCCAGTAGAGCCCTTTCTGCAGAACCATCACCCCTCAACACACACCTGATCACTATGGACACATGCTTTGGCGATGAAACACTGGTGATATGATGGACCATGTTGTGTATCTTCTTGAGAGGTGGAACTGGTAGGAGTAAAAGAATAGGGGAGGGGCCAGGCATGGGGACTCACACCTGTAATCACAGCACTTTGGGGGGCCAAGGTGGGTGGATCACCTGAGGTCAGGAGTTTGAGACCAGCCTGGCCAACATGGTGAAACCCTATCTCTACTAAAATTACAAAAATTAGCCAGGCATGGTGGCAAGTGCCTGTAATCACAGCTACTCAGGAGGCTGAGGCATGAGAGTCACTTGAACCTAGGAAGCAGAGATTGCAGTGAGCCGAGATCGAACCACTGCACTCCAGCCTGGGCAATAGAGCAAGACTCTGTCTCAAAAAAAAAAAAAAAATAGGGGAGGAAAGTGCAGCAAAACAAGGAAATGGGCATTTAAAGGAGATTGAGAGGACCAGAATCTGGTTGAGGAAGTATTTACGTTGGGGAGCCTAAGATATTAAAACGAGCTTTGGCCACTCTATTGTGCCGCCTAGGGCCCTCTCTCTGGGACTTCATCCAGAGGCTCACTTGATAACCTTATAGTGAGAACCTGATATACCTAGTTTTCCCTGGCTATGACATTGCAGTCTTTATTTTTGTTTTTATCCATAAAACCATCTGTATTAATGCTGATTAACTAAAATAATTATTTGTATATTTGTCCTTATTCCTCTTGTTAAACAAGATACTCATTCAAAGTAGGTGGGAAAGAGCCTGCTTATAATTACACAGTGAATTTGCTGGACAAGGAAATCATCTGTGAGCTTAGTCTCCAGTTAAAACACTGACAGCTATAATGCTAAATGCCAAATGGCAGAGGATTACTTTTACTTTGCTGCTATAAGCAGCTCTTAAGGCTCTTTCCTTACTCTTGGTCACCTCTATCCCATTCCCAGTCAGGCAGCTTAGTGACCTCCTGATTGGTTAGGTGGGATTCTCTAAGCACCAATAACACTGCCAGTAGGTAATACTCTAGCTTGAGAATTTGCAACCCAGATTCTCGTAATAGACAGGGAAGAGGGACTCCATAAGGGCCTGCTTAAAGCAGTATTTTATGTCATATTCATTCATGTTATTCATTTAGCAGTTTTTTATGGAGTATTTAATCCAGGTTAGATCAAATTTCTCCTAATCCAAGGAGCCACAGATAAACAAGATACAATTTTCAGGAAGCTCACAGTCTGGGAAGGAGAAAAGTTATGAAATATGTAATGATAATACAATGTGATATGTAGATACGGTTGTTGTTTTCTTATTATAAAATATTAGAGTATTAAAGAAATTTTAGAAAACACAGAAAAATTTAAGAGTCCAAAAAGGAAAGAAAACAGCTTGTTCAAAGTCGTTCTCTCCAAACTCAACCACAGCTGACATTTTATTAATTTCCTTAATGATTCCCTTTTATCCTGCTTTATTTCCTCTCAGTAATAAACATTTGTCTGTGTCATAAGCATAATTTTAATGGCTATATAATAGCCTATATTAAGAATATTATGTAATTTACCTAGACCAACTCACATGTTTGAATTGTTAGCAGTTTTTCATTAAACAACTTTTTGCGTACATGTGCTTTCAGCTTACAAAATGCAGCCTCACATTCTTCCCAATCCTGAAGCATCAACAGCATTAGGCAATGAGTATGATAGGCTTTTTCTTGAAAAGTGACCTAATCCACTGTATCACTCCCATGCTTGTTCTCTATTTGTTCTCTGAAGAGGTCAGAAAACTGAGTCGGCGATAAAGGATCAGGGGAAGAAGCAGTGTTTCAGTAAATGGGAACAGAATGTGCAAAGGGCCTGAGGTAGAAAGAGCATGCTGCATTTAAAGAAGTAAAACCTGGCTGGTGGTGTGGCTATAATATCAAGAGCAGAGAAGAAAGTAGCATATGAGGCTGAGGAGGTGTGGGTAGGCAGGGGCTAGATCTTACATGTTCTCATAGATTATGGTACAGTTTAGGTTTTTCTCCTAAAAGCAAAGGAAGTATTTGAAGGACTTACTTAGGAGATAAAATCAGCAGGACTAAGGATGCAGAAATAGTTCAAGAGTCAGTGATGGGTGGTGTATTAGGATAGATTAGACTCTGGTATCAAGTAGACCCCCAAATGTATAATGGCTCAAATACAATAGAAGGTTTATTTTTGCTTATCTAAGAGCCCAAAGAGTACACCTGGTCATCTGGAGAGGATCTGCCCCCACAGTGTCATGCAGGGTCACAGGATGCTGGTGGGTCTGACATCTGGAACACATGCCTTCCAAGGTCTCCATAGGGGTTACCTCTATCCTATCAACCAGGAGAGGGGAAAACAGAATACGGAGGATGGTTGAGAAGGCTTTTAAGGGCCACGCCTGGAAGGAGCATACATTAAGACTTTTCACAATCCTTTAGTCACATGGCCACGCACAACTACAAAGGATGCTGGGGAAGGTAGGCTCACTGGGTACTCAGGAAAAAGAGGGAAACTGGTTTTGTGAACAGCTATCGTTGTCTGCCACAGTCAGTATGGAGAAACGTGGAAGGCTGGAAACCTTCTTTCCAGACTGCCTTGGTTTTTTAGAATAATTGACAAGACTGACAGTTGAGTTACTGTATCCTTTCTCTTTTCTTTCCCTAAGCCACCCTACCTCCACACCTCCTAGGAAGCTTCTAGAATTTCCCATGTAAAGGTGCACCTTTGAGTGGAAACCCCACCTTGAGATGTTGACACACCGCCATGGTGCAGGCAGCCTTCCAAATGTAATAAGGGATCCAGTTAACAAGAATACCCTGTCTGGGACTTTTTAAAAAAGAATATTTTAGCATCACCCTACCTGGCAGCTCCATGGACATCAAAGGCACTGGACCTTGTAATCATATCAAGTTACCACCCAGTATGACTAAGCTCTTTTACTGATCCTTTCAAGCAGCAGGGAGAGCATGGGGCTGTTGAAAAGATACACCACAGGGGAAAATGCAAACGTGGGTTCTTTTCCTTCGCTGTTTTAAGATACAAATAATACCAGGGAGGTTAGCATGTGGAGCCTATCCAAGTAGCTGGTCCACAACAACATAGCTTTTGGATTTTGTTCTGTGGTAGAGCATATTTTCTGTCATTTTCAGGTGTTTGTTTTTGTGGCATTTGCTGTCACACTACAGCAGGCTAGAAAAGATCATCTCCCGCAACCTGACCAAGCTTCTCAACAAGAAAGAGCTAAAAAGCCAGAACACATGGATTCTGGAACCTCTCTCCTGACAACACCTTGGTTTTACAACCACAGCAGAAACATTAATTCTGAAAGTAGAAAGGAATTAAGCCTTTGACAGTTCAGAAATAGTAAAGCAGCAGTTCAGATTTTCTCTCAAGAGTCAGGCTAGTATAATGGCAGGCGGTGTACACTTGTTAAGATGGGGACTGTTGGCATTAAAGGTATCTCAGTTTGAATCCCCACCCTGGCACTGGTGGGTTACTGATTGGCTGTAGGGTAGGGAACTGGGGGGAACAGAAACTCTTTTCTGATGTAATGATGTAATCGTTCAGGCATCCAAACAAATGTGACCTTAGGCAGATTTCTTAATCTCTATGAGACCCTTTTTCTCATAAAATGGAGTTATTAAATAGTACCTGCTTCACAGGATCATTGTTAAAAATAAGTGATTGTGTTTATAAAATGTTTGACTTATAGCAAATGTTCAATGTTATTTCTCCGTTTAACACACTCAGGATACGTTTGCATGTCTCAGTACACTCCGATGTTGAGGTATTCT
This sequence comes from Homo sapiens, assembly GCF_000001405.40. Lineage (NCBI taxonomy): Eukaryota > Metazoa > Chordata > Mammalia > Primates > Hominidae > Homo > Homo sapiens. The sequence continues at coordinate 18,822,859 of NC_000009.12, forward strand.
GAACATCAGTATTAGGCATGTGTATCACTACCTTTTCAAGGGACTCTGTGGAACATTCAAGGGCTGGTGACGTTTTTTAAAGCGTCGTTGTCATCTCCTGAGAGAAAAAGAAAAAAAAACTTTATAACACCTCAATTATTGTTTTCTATTTCCTCATTCTACATGCGTAATGTCAGAGCCAGTTATGGAAGGACTGGCTGTCACTCCAAGGTGTCTTAGTAATATCATTCTCCACCTAAGGCCCACAGTTCCAGGCAGGAAGTCCTCAAAATGTGGCACCAGTAACAATACCTACATCGGCAAACTCATAATGCAGATCTGTGCTTGAATGAATCTGAGAGAGGTTTGCCAGTAGATTAAAGAATGATTCCCACTTAATTTCTCTTCCCTTGGGACTGCTGTCAGGTCCATGGTTCCAGGTTTACAGAAACTGGAGGTTTCTTCCTCCACCCTGCTATTCTGAACGTTTCCATTTCTCCCATGAAGTCCCCTGCTGTCACCAGAGGAATTCAGCCCTTTTGGTTTATATCCAGTCCTGTCCTCTCAAACAAGCACAATTTTAGAACGGCATGAGATAGACAGACATCAAGGGAATGGAAGAAGCTTGCAAGCCATTCCTGGGGGAGTGAGAAATAGCTCCCAGGTCTGCTTCCATCCCTGGGTTCTCTCCCTTCTCCCTCTGTTCCACCCTCCCTTCTCCCCTCTGTCACTCTCACTCTCATTTTCTCTCCCCCTGAGTCTTTGTGTTTGCTGCCCACAGCCCTCCTCAAAGGAAGATGCAGGCAGTAAGTGCTGCATGTGAGCAATGTGAGGGAAAGAGGATGAATAATGGTAGAAAATGGTTTGCAGGGCCGGCATGGTGGCTCGTGCCTGTAATCCCAACACTTTGGAAGGCCAAGGCAGGTGGATCATCTGAGGTCAGGAGTTCAACGCCAGCCTGGCCAACATGGCGAAACCCTGTCTCCACTAAAAATACAACAATTAGCTGGGCGTGGTGGTGCACGCCTGTAATTCCAGCTAACTTGGGAGGCTGAGACAGGAGAATCGCTGGAACCCAGGAGGCAGAGGCTGCAGTGAGCCGAGATCATGCCACTGCACTCCAGCCTAGGTGACAGAGCAAGACTCCATCTCAATAAGAAAGAAAAGGAAGGAAGGAAGGAAAGAAGGAAGGAAGGAACGAAGGAAGGAAGGAAGGAAGGAAGGGGAAGGAAAAGAGGAAAAGGGTTTGCAGGAACTCATTTTTCCTTGTTCTTTCAGGAGAAAAATAGCTAAGAGTGCATTTCTTCAATTTACTTCTGAGGCTGTCTCCTAAATGCCGTGGATTTTTTTTTTTAAATGGGAAAAAAACTAAGCTCAGGGTCCAAAGTCCAAGCTGGCATGGACAGGCATCATGATGCTCTTGCTCTCCCTAGTGGTGCTGCAATGAAAAATCAGCTGTTCCACCCCTCACCTGTGTCTTTTCTCCAGGTATCTTTAGAGATGATGCCAACCTGGCCCCTCTTACACACTTGAGCATAAAGTATCCTACTGTTAGAGCCAGATTAGCGTGTGCCTCTCTCTGATGTGACAAGGCTGTGGTATCCAAGTCTCCACCCACTTTCGGTAGCCCTGCCTCTCTTTCTCTAGCCAATTTCAAGGACACGTAACAGATACACAGGCAACTCTTTGAAGACACTCTGCATTCTCAACAGAAGGCTAGCCATTAAGGGCAAACTGCCCTTGCCCCAAAGGCAAAAACCAGCCCCAGCTCAGGGAAAACACTAGACCACTAGACTAAAGGTCTGGCTCCTTGGCCATTCTTGGCTTTGACCCCATTTCCCGGGACTTGACCCTTTTTTTTTTTTTTTTTTTTTTTTTGAGACAGAGTCTTGCTCTGTCACCCAGGCTGGAGTGCAGTGAGGTGATCTCGGCTCACTGCAACCTCTGCCTCCCAAGTTCAAGTGATTCTCCTGCCTCAGCCTCCTGAGTAGCTGGGATTACAGGTGCCCACCACCATGCCTGGCTAATTTTTGTATTTTTAGTAGAGACAGGGTTTCACCATGTTGGTCAGACTGGTCTCAAACTCCTGACCTTGTGATCTGTCTGCCTCGGCCTCCCAAAGTGCTGGGATTACAGGCATGAGCCATCACGCCCGGCCAGGACTTTACACTTTAAGCATGCCCTGGATACATGCCAGTGAGTTCTATAAATAAACTGTGTGAGCTGGGTCAGCAGGCTGAGTTGTGTAGGGGAGGGTGCTTTCTGCTCCCTAGAGACCTGTGAATCCGTGCCACATATCTTCAGTCTCTCAACATACTCAGAGCCCAGCCTCCTATAGGATCCTCCTAAAACAGCATCTAGGAAGGCTCATCCTAAACTCTCAGGGCCTGTTTTCCAGCATGTCAACCACAAGGAAACTTCCTGAGGAATTCATGGGGTCCCTAGAGCACAGAGCCTGGCTTCCAAAGAGAGAGCCCATCCCAGGTCAGCAGATGATCTCCCCATCCCATCTCTCTCACAGAAAATAAACTTGGATTGTGGAAAGAGTTGAGCACTTTCCTTTTGTCCTTTTCCTGTGGTTCTACTGATACTACCATTTCATGTTCTCTTGCTCTGAGAAGATATGCAGGCTTCCAAAAATACAAGCAAGTTTTCTACATAAGAGTGTCAACTCCAGTAGCAATCTAGCAGCTTCCATTTGTCTAGTTCATACATATATTTTAACGTTGTATAGCTTTGCACTTTTTATTAAAATATATCTATACAGAAAAGTACATGTATCATAAAGGTACCAAGTGAACACTCCCCACCAGACCAGCCCCCGGTCAAGACACAGAGCATCGCCAGTGGCCAAGCCACTTGTCCCATTTCTCAGTCACAACCCCTCCCCATTCATTCCACTGACTACTAACAGCATAGATTAATGTTACCAGGTTTTTTTTTTTTTACTTACGGAAAGGAAATTATACAGTATGTACTCTTGTGTCTGCCATCTCTTACTCAACATTATGTTTATTTCATGTAGTTTCATTTTCACTGGTGTATACATTTGGTTCTCATGTTTTTCAAATACATTTTCTCCAAAGAATTTGGGTACTCTCCTTCCACCTTGGCAAGCCCCCCCTGCCAGCTTCCTGTTTCCTCCTCTTTGTACTGGCCTCCCTCTTCCTGTCTCATCACTGTAAGTTTAAAAGGCAAAAGATCTGGAGACAACTGAGATGTTTATCTTGTATCAACATTTATTCTGATTCTTTGGTCACCCTGAAGTCTATATCCTTATCCTACCAGGCTCTGGACATTATTTAATCTGGCCAAAGCCTGGTAGAAGATGTCCCTGTAGAGCAGCCCCAGGGAAGGGGGATTCAAGAAGCTATAAATGCCTCTGGGCTCACCTGAATGTGTTTGACTGATGAGTGGGGTTTTTTGTTTTTTTTTTTTCTTCCTAGGAGTGCCTGAAGCTGAAGTCACTTGGTTCAGGAATAAAAGCAAACTGGGCTCCCCGCACCATCTGCACGAAGGCTCCTTGCTGCTCACAAACGTGTCCTCCTCGGATCAGGGCCTGTACTCCTGCAGGGCGGCCAATCTTCATGGAGAGCTGACTGAGAGCACCCAGCTGCTGATCCTAGGTAAACACTTCAAAGCTGGCTGCCTCTGCTGCACCCTGTTGGGAGTGACTATCTAACCCACCCTCTACCTCCTTTGTGCCCTAATCCAATTAAGGACATAAAAGGTAAAATTGATATCCCTTCACTTCTTCCCAATTTAGGGCCTTTCGATAGAACACAAACTTTGAGCCCAAACAAGAGCTTGAACCTTGGCTCTTCCATTTACTAACTGCCTGGCATTGGGCAAGTTACTTCACTCTGCTAAGCCTTAGATACTGGTCTCTATGCGGAGACTCCAGACAGGAGGATTGCAAGGGCAGAACAGGTATCTCAAACAGAGATAACCTAATTAAAACAATTGTCCTTAACTCTTCCTGCATTAAGGACTTCTTTGAGAATCAGATAAAAACTATGGATTCCTCCTTCTAGAAAAATTCATACATGTAATATTTTTCATATAATTCCAGGAAGCTTATGGTCTGGTCCATCTAAAGTCTCCACATGTACCCCTAAACATAAGAACCCCTGATTAAAGACTCTGGCATGGCTCCTGGTATAAAATGGGTGCTTAAAAATAATTGCTGGGACACCATCCACCATCTGATTATTGCCCAGTTCTGGACTCAGCCATGTTGCAAGCTATAACCGTTTTTGCCCCCTGGACTAGGGACACCCTGCTGTTCTTCCCCCACTGAGTCTGGGTGCTAGGGAGATAAAGTTAAAAAAAAAAAAAAATTTTTTTTGGCTTTCTCAAAAAAAAGAGCAATTATTAGAGCACTTATGCTCTAATTATGCTCTTTCTCACCTAGAGAAAGCTGTCATTCTAAGGAAAAAAGGGAAAGATGTAAGAAATAATAATTCATGCCACACATACATACATAAACATACATTACAGACTTCCTCAGGGAAAAATATTTAAACTTTACACTTCTGTTTTCACACCGAGAGTTGAAGATATACCAACACATAGGTCCTTCTAGACCCTGCCCACTCAGATTTCAGAGAGGCCCAAACGGGTTTTCATCTCACTGGTGGCTGCATAAACCTCCAGCCATCTTAAGAAGCCACAGAAAACTGGCTCAGAGAAAGATGTTATTTGTTTTGCGCTGGGTTTCATCCAGCTGAGCTGCTAGTCTGGAGCCCAGAGACCAGGGAATATTGCCCCACACTGAGTTACGGTGCTTACCAATGAGATTTTTCTCCCTAATAATCCTTCCTTATTGTCTCTGCTAACACAGATGAAAGTCTAAGATGTATGGCTGCTACTGTGGCTTTGCCAATGAAGTGTGTATGTTCTGTAGGCAGGTGCTTACTGCATTCCAACTCTAATACAGTGTAGCAGTGAACACGGTGTTCGAAGAGCAAAACATCTTCCCCATTTTCATCAAACTTAATGGGGAAAAAAATCACTGTCAAGACTCTTAGGTTTAAGGCTTTTCTTGATCACAGTTCTTGGTTTATTAAGGAAAGTTTGTTAGCTTTTAGCAGGTACTTTATGAACATCAAAGCAATGTCTCATTTAATCTGCAAAAATGTAGCTTAATTTTTAAAGGGGGCATTTTGTGGATGAAACTGAGATTTCACCCCAAGTTCCGTGACTTAACCTGTACTATGAGGACTTGAAATGCAGTAAGGCAGACTTTCATCCATGTATTCATATAGTCCATTGGACAGATATTCATTAAGTGTTGCCATTTTATGTTGCTGACATTAAGTTCCATGTCACCTGGACACTGGTAAAGTTTTAGGAGAAATATAAGTGGTGGCCTCTACCCCTGGAGAATTTACAGTTTTCCTGGGAAGAGCAAATGGACATGCACTGAAAAGGAAAATTACTTTCAAAGCTGTAAGGACATTAGGAGGGGCCAACAATTGGCCCAAAAAGAGCTGATTGTTTTGAAGATGGAAAGTACCCTCCCCTTTTTGCTCTTAGTAAATAAGCACAGCTTTCATGAGTTTCAAGAGGAAGTATTGAGGAGGAGAGAAAGAGAGATGCTTTGAGTAAACTGCCACCATCAGTTCCTAAAATCATGGTATTCCAGAGTAGAAAGAGATCTTAGAAAGGAACCTCATTTTGTAGATGAGAAAACTAAGGCTCTGAGGACTTAAATGACCTAATTAGTGAATGACAGAGGCATGGCTCAAACTGAGGGTTCCTGAACCCAGGCATGATGTTTTTCTCTATGCCATATGAAAAGGATTCTTTTGAAAGTATATTTATATATATATATATATATATATATATATATATAAAATGTGTGTGTGTGTATATATATATATGTACACACACACACATATGTAATCTCTAGTTCATCATTGTTTTCTCTATACAATGGTCTTTGTCAGTCAGACAGAAAGACTGAAGGTATGTTTTTCAAGTAGACTCAGGCACCATCATGACTTATTAATTCACCAGCCCTAACAAGTGCCTTACAAGGTGCCAGGCACGTAGTAGGGCTGTTGCAGAATGCTGTTGAAATGACCATCCATTTCAAGAGCAATACTCCTGGGCTGCTGCTTCCATTCCAACAAGTGCTCTGGAGAAAAAGGTGGGAGCTGGCCTTGGGAGTGTAAATTGCAGTTCCTCAGGAGATGCAGGAAGAGGGGAAAAGGGATCTGCTGCTTTTCCAAGAGAATCTGGGATCATCCCACCACTAAGTTCAGCAGGTTCTTGGCTCTTTATTTGTCCAGCAGAAATGATAAGCCACTATATATTTCCCATTTTAGTCACTTTTAGCATTAACTGGGAACTCTGATGACTTCAGCGCTGATTCCTTGTAAGATTCTGAATGATGAAGCATCGCATAGCAACATTCTCCTCCCTGCTTTATCTAGGTCCTACTTAGGCATAAAAATCCAAACCACAAAGCAAATTAACTCACCAACTTCACAACTGCATCTTTTGCTTCATAGAAAAGGGTCCTTTTAAATAAGAAATTCCCGTGGTGTTTATCTGTGTGGACAATAACAGAGTGCCTCATTCTGAAGACTGTTACTAGAGCTAAATGAAAAATGGACTGAAATGTATTTAGCACAGAACTTGGCATAGTAAATGCTAAAATTCACTTTTTTAAAAAAGTGTCTTTATGATATAGTTTAACTTATCTACAAATGTGTAGGTACCCAGTGATCTAAAGTGAGAAACCCCTGAACTTGGTATGCCTGCTTCTTCTTACTGACCTTATTATTTCAGGCATCAAATACCTGTATTAAGTTTGAAATTCAGACTCACCTTGACAGGGACTCCTCTATAGGAAAAATAATGTTAAAAGGCAACAATAGTAATGCCTATCTTACATATACGCATACATGTGCACACACATGCATACCCACCTCTTCCTCTTGCCTTGACACAGCCCTGTGCTTTAACCTGCCTGATCCACCCTCTGCCTTCTCACAGATCCCCCCCAAGTCCCCACACAGTTGGAAGACATCAGGGCCTTGCTCGCTGCCACTGGACCGAACCTTCCTTCAGTGCTGACGTCTCCTCTGGGAACACAGCTGGTCCTGGATCCTGGGAATTCTGCTCTCCTTGGTGAGTCTAACCCTCGGAAACATTGGGCAGAAAGCCAGGACTGGACAGGATTTATGGATGGGTGACTGTTTGCAGGTGGGAAGGAGGCAGCAGTCGGGGGTGGCCAACAGGGAATCACTAAATTGCCTACAGAATCCAGACTCACCAGTGGAAACTTGGCTGACTTTCCATATGAGGTGAATGCAGTTGTTAGTCTGGACTCTGTGGCTTGTCTAGATTCCAATATGGCTCCTTTCTGAATCCTCTTGGGTTGATGCCATAGTCCAGATCCTCTCAATCAGATTGACTCTTGAAACTTTGAGAAAGTTACAGCAGTAAAGAACAGCTCCTATATCTCCTCTCCTCTTGCTAACCATTCCCCAGTACTCCTCCATGATCCCCTGCCACCTAAACTAGAGCAATAATCAACTTTCGAGGAGAAAGTCAAATATCAGCACCCTCCAAAAGGAAGACTATACTATTTAGACCAGCTTTCTGTAGATATAGCCTAAAGCCAACCCAGATAGACTCCTCAAGGCAAGTGCTGAACTAATTTCACTAAGTACAACCTCCCTGTCATCTAGTGTTGGAAACCTTCACCAAGTTATTTCCCACATGGGTAGTGCCCTCTGGTAGCAAGGAGTTGTACGAGGGCATTCAAGTCCTGGGCCCCCACACGAGAATCATGAAGATGCCGGAAAAACCTTCACACATGACCTCTGGAGACGGACAAGGTGGAAGAGAAGAATTCTTCTGCCTTCAAAAGGCCTGGTGGGGGGGTGGGGAAATAGGCCTATACATGTGCAGGGACAGGGAATATATGAGAAGTTTCTGTACCTTCCTCTTGTGCTGTGAACCTAAGATCTAAAACTCCTCTTTAAAATAAAACAAAAAGCCAAAGCCTACAAAGTGGGGAAAATCTTCATACTAAGTCTATGTGATCCCAAATGTTGACAATAACAGCTAGAATTATTCCTGTGGCTCAAAGTTTAAAGCTTCTGTATTCTTTTACCCACCAACTAGCAAGGAACAGGAGGCCAGTGGGTTCCCAGTCGTATTGGTGATGACTTATCAACATGGCCACAGGGGCCTGGTATCTTTAGGATTAGAGCACAGAAACATGACCCTCAATTTTCGTTTTCATCTGAAACTTGCAAAGAATCTTCACAGCTTATCAGCATATGGAAAAATCTGATTTCTCTATTTTTGACTTGAGTAAAAATAAGACACAGGGAAAGTAACAAGTAGCCCTATTCTGTTGCCCATGATTTATACAAGTTTGGCACTGAGTTTTTCTATATCTTGTTGATCAGAATTAATAGAAGCTTCAAATTGCATATTGCCTTTGGCTTACAAATAGTAAACTGACTCCCAGTGAAATGTGCGTTGTGAACTTCTTTATTTTAGAATCACTATGAGAAACTCTCATAACTGTTCATCACAGCCTGGTCACAAGCAGGGTGGCAGCAATTGTTTATTTTCAAGTTCAGTAACTCTTTTGGGTCACTCAGGTGCCATTTAGCATGCTGGAAAAGTTAGCCTGTTCATATTTTTTCATGATAGCTTTACTTTCAGTCTCCCTTATTCTGGAATAATATTTTGTTTCATTTTAGCCATGGGCAATAAGAATTTATTGTACTTTATGTTGCCACATTCCATTGCTAGTTTGTGGTGCTTTGTTACCTTAGGCTGGTATTTAAATCCAGCAGTTAAGAGACACCTTAAATTCCCAGTCCACATCCAGACTGCTCCATTTGAATGAGACAGTGAGTCAGTATTCATAAAGTCCCTGAATGTAACTGCCTGGACCAAATGAACTTGAATGGTGAATGTCAGTGTCACGCCAGCACTATAGAACTAGGAGACTCACATGGAATTGTGGAGATGAATGAGAAAATGATGTCAAGTATCAGGACTCTGAGAAGTAGGTTGAGACAGGCAGAGCCTCATTATGATGCTTTGGAGCTGAGCACTGCAGAATGGGTGGGATTCAAATAGGCAGAAAGGAAGAGAAATGGGCACTCAAGGTGAGGAAGATTCCATGAGCCCCAAGATGAAAAATGTGCAAGATATGTATCAGATGTCTGTTCAGAAACAACTGTAAAACACCATTGCTTTAAGACTGATGACAGGCAGCTAAACTGGGATAGAAACTAGGCCATCAAAACGAACAAGCCTCAGCCACAGCTTGTCCATTCAGATTTGGCTCAGACCCTCACCCCAACAATCCTAATGCCCTCCTTCCATCCTGAACTTCCCCAGCTAGTACCTCATCCTGGTCTTAGTCCAGTGGCTCCCATCTGGACAAGCTCCCATCCCTGACTCCTATAGGTGGCCCTTTCAGACCACAGTGTGCGCTCTGGGTATGAGAAATAAGCCAGGGAGGCTGGAGAGGAGGTTTTGTGTAGGGTTGCTGAGAAATTAACATCAAACTGTGGAAGCCATGAATATAAAACAAAGGAAGTAGATGTACTACCTGGGGAACGGGAACAAATCTTTCGAGGGTTTTTAAATAGGAGAATGACATACTAAAAGTAATGTATGAGAAGAATTAATCTGGTATTCTGTAGGAATAATCGATAGTGGGAGAGATTTAATGAAGAAACCCTATTTTGAGGATAACAGAATTCTAGACCAAGGTGGAAATACATGGCAAAGATACTGTTAATCACTCCTCCCACAGCCAAGACATCCCTAGTCAGTCGTGACATTCTTTTTCACTCAGCTCAGGCACTGCCTTGGAATTCATTTTAATGTTCTTACCAAGCCTGGTGGTAGTTGATATATACAGGATGAAAGCCATTCACCAGCCTTGTTGTAGCCAGTGAGTGGTGAGATGCCAGCCACTGTATGTTTCCTCTATGTACGAGGTCAGCTGGCTGTAACAGCCTTACAGAACTTCATGGTTCTGTGGCACAGGAACAGTAACTCATAGACCCTGATTTTCATGTTTCCCAGCAGTAAGGGGGGAAAGGAGAGTTGGAGTTTTTTAAGCCATGTGTCAGAGCTCATTCTTCTTCATTAAGTCTGGAGTGTTGAGATCCCCAGTAGGTGAGACTATTCCAGAACTGGCTGTTTTAGTTATCGGACACCCTGGTATTGATTTCACCTCAAGCCACTGCTACAACTCTCCAAAGGGAATGTTGCCTGAGCAACACATGCACAGGCCCACCTGGGCCTCACTTTTCCATAACTATAAAAATGAAACCTTGGGACTAGCAAGTGCTTGTTGCTCTCATACTCTTGACCACATGGCTTAGACATAGAAATGCCCAGTAGAGGGTTGAATGATATTTCTGTCTTTAGGTCTTTGAGGAATTGACCACTGTCTTCCACAATGGTTGAACTAATTTACACTCCCACCAACAGTGCATAAGCATTTCATTTTCTCCACAACCTTGCCAGCATCTGTTGTTTTTTGACTTTTTATTAATAGCCATTCTAACTGGTGTGAGATGGTGTCTCATTGTGGTTTTGATTTGCGTTTCTCTAATAATCAGTGACGTTGAGTTTTTTTCATGTGATTGTTGGACGCATGTATATCTTCTTTTGAAAAGCGTATGTTCACATCTTTGCCCACTTTTTAATGCAATTGTGTTTTTTTGTAAATTTAAGTTCCTTATAGATGCTGGATGTTAGACATTTGTCAGATGTATACTTTGCAAAAATTTTCTCCCATTCTGTAGGTTGTGTTTCCTCTGTTGATAGTTTCTTTTGTTGTGCAGACGCTCTTTAATTAGATCTTGTTTGCCAGTTTTTGCTTCTGTTGCAATTGCTTTTGGTGTCTTCATCATGAAACCTTTGCCCATGCCTATGTTCTGAATGGCAATGCCGAGGTTGTCTTCTAGGGTTTTTACAGTCTTGGGTTTTACATTTAAGTCTTCAATCCATCTTGAGTTAATTTTTGTATATGGAGTAAGGAAGGGACTCAGTTTTAATCTTCTCTATATGGCTAGCCAGTTATCCCAGCACCATTTATTAAATAGGGAATCCTTCCCCCATTTCTTGTTTTTGTCAGTTTATCGAAGATTAGATGGTAGTAGGTATATGGCCTTATTTCTGGGTTCTCTATTCTGTTCCATTGGCCTATGTGTCTGTTTTTGTACCAGCACCATGTTTTTTGGTGACCATAGCCCTGTAATATACTTTGAAGTTGGGTAGCGTGATGCCTCCAGCTTTGTTCTTTTTGCTTAGGATTGCTTTGGCTATTAGGGCTTTTTTTGGGTTCCATATGAATTTTTAAATAGTTTTTCCTAGTTCTGTGAAAAATGTCGTTGATAGTTTAATAGGAATAACATTGAATCTGTAAGTTGCTTTAGGCAGTATGACCATTTTAACAATGTTGATTCTTCTTATCGATGAGCATGGAATGTTTTTCTATTTGTTTGTGTCATCTCTAATTTCTTGCAGCAGTGTTTTGCAGTTCTCTTTGTGGAGATCTTTCACCTTCTTTGTTATTCATTTATAAGATACAAATACTTCTTTATACGTTTGACCCATATTTGACAATCTGGTAGTTGATATTCAATATATAATACATATTTAAAGTTTAAAATATGATGTTTTGATATATGTATACACCTGTGAAATCATCACCACAATCAATATAATGAACATATTTTATCAGCCCCCAAAGTTACCTCATATCCCTTTGTAATTGTTCCCTCATACCCCTACCCCCACCACTACTGCTCCCACCCTAGGTGAACACTGATCTGATTTATGTCGGGGTAAACTAGACTGCACTTTATAGAATGGTATAGAAAAGGACTAATGCCTTTGGGATATTTTATTTCTTTCACTCAGAATAATTACTTTGACATTCATCCATATTGTAACATGGATCAACAGGGCATTTCTATTGCTAATTAGTATTTCATTGTATATACTACAGTTTGTTTAATCAGTCACCTGTTCAGAGACGGAATCGTTATTTTCAGTTTCTGGTTATTACAAATCTGCTGTGAAATTCATGTACATTAATCTTTGTATGCACACATAGTTTCATTTCTCTTGGTTAAACACCTAGGAGTGAAATGACTTGCTCGAATCATAGGTATATATTTAACATTTTAAGAAACAGCCAAACTGTTTTCCAAAGTAGTTGTACTACTTTACATTCCCGCCAGCAGTGTAAGAAAGTTCTGAGTTCTCCTTGTCCTCACCAAAGCTTACTGTAGTTGGTCTTTTGCATTTTGGACATTTTACTGTGTGTGTAGTGGTTTCTCATTGTGGTTTTAATTTGCATTCCCTTAATTACTAGTAGTGTTGAACATGTATTCATGTGTTTATTTGCCATCCTGATTTCTTCTTTGGTAAAATGTCTGCTCAATTTTTTGGACCTTTATTTAAACATTGAGTTGTTTACTTATATCAAATTTTCAGTGTTTTAATATATTTTGAATGTAAGTCTTTTAATGAGATATGTAATTTCCCAATACTTTGTCCCAGTCAGCAGCTATATTTTCATTCTCTTAACAGTGTCTTACAAAGAGTAGAAGATTTTGATTTTGATGAGGCTCAACTTACCCTTTTCTTAATTTTTTAAAATAATTTCAACTTTTATTTTAGATTCAGGAGGTACACGTGCAGGTGTGTTACATGGGTATATTTCCCAATGCTGAGATTTGAGGTATGATTGATCCCATCACCCAGATACTGAATATAGTACCCAATAGTTTTTCAGCTCTTGCCCTGTTCCTTTCCTCTCTCATTAGTAGTCCCCAGTGTCTACTGTTGCCATTTTTATGTCCATGAGTACCCAATGTTTAGTTCCTGCTTCTAAGTGAGAACATGTGGTATTTGGTTTTCTGTTCCTGCATTATCCTGCTTAGGATAATGGCCTCCAGCTGCATCCATGTTGCTGCAAAGGACATGATTTCATTCTCTTTATGGCTGCATAGTATCCTATGGTATATATGTACCATATTTTATTTATCCAATCCACTGTTGATGGGCACCTAGGTTGATTCCATGTCTTTGCTACTGTGAATAGTGCTGCAATGAACACACAAATGCACGTGTCTTTTTGGTAGAATGATTTATTTTCTTTTGAATACATATCCAGTAATGGGACTGCTGGATTGAATGATCGTTGTGTTTTAAGTTCTTTGAGAAATATCCAAACTGCTTTCCACAGCGGCTAAACTAATTTACAGTCCCACCATCAGTATAAAAGCATTCCCTTTTCTCTGCAGCATCACCAGCATCTGTTGTTTTTTGATGCTTAAATTGTAGCCATTTTGACCAGTCTGAAATGGTATCTCATTGTCTTCTTTTGAGAAATGTCTGTTCCTGTCTTTTGCCAATTTTTAATGGGGTTAGTTGTTTTTTGCTTGCTCAGTTTAAGTTCCTTATGTATTCTGAATATTAGACCTCTGTTGGATACATAGTTTTTGAATATTTTCTCCCATTCTGTAGGTTGTCTGTTTACTCTGTTGATAGTTGCTTTTGCTGTGCAGAAGCTCTTTAGTTTGATTAGGTCCAACTTGTCAATTTTTTGCTTTGTTTCAATTACTTTTGAGAACTGTTTTGGTTACTGTAGCCCTGTAGTATAGTTTGAAGTTGGGTGGCATGATGCTTCTATCTTTGTTCTTTTTATTTAGGATCACTTTGGCTATTCAGGCTCTTTTTTGGTTGCATATGAATTTTAGAATAGTTTTTTCTAATTCTGTGAAAAATGAGGTTGATAGTTTGATAATAATAGCATTAAATCTGTAGATTGCCTTGGGCAGTATGGCCATACTAATGATATTGGTTCTTCTAATCCATAAGCACGGAATGCTTTTCCATTTATGGATGTCATCTATGATTTCTTTCAGCATTGTGTTTCATAGTTCTCCTTGTGGAGATCTTTAACCTTCTTGGTCAGATATATTCCTAGATATTTTATTTTTGTGTATTTTTGTGTTGCTATTGTAAATGGCATTGCATTCTTGATTTGGCCCTCAGCTTGAAGGTTATTGACATATAGAAATGTTACTGATTTTGTACATTGATTCTGTATCCTGAAACTTTACTGAAGTCATTTATCAATTCCAGGAGCCTTTTGGAAGTCTTTAGGGTTTTCTAGATGTATAATCATATAGTCAGTGAAGAGAGATAGTTTGACTTATTTTCTTATTGGGATGCCTTTTATTTCTTTCTCTTGCCTGATGGCTCTCACTAAGACTTTCCATTTATTCTTTTAGGGCTCATTCTTTTAGCATTGTATTTAAGAAATCTTTGCCTACTTCTGTCTCAAAGACGTTCTCATATTTTCTTCTAGAAGTTTCATAATTCTAAGTTTTAAGTTAATTTATCTTTAGTTAGTTTTGTATATGATATAAGCTATATATTGAAGTTTGTTTTTATACATATGGACATCTAACTTATCCACTACAATTTGCTGAAAATATTATCCTTTCTCCACTGAGTTGCCTTTGCATCTTTCTGGAAAATCAATTGTTCTTATATACGTGGGTATATTTCTAGATCTCTATTCTATTTCATTGTTATGTTTGTCTCTTATACCACATTCTACTTAATGCCCTATAAATCATAAGGTCTGGCTTGTGGAAACAGATACTATTCCCTACCCTGTGTGAGCCTCAGACACTGGTACTTCTAATTCTTTTAAGTGGTTCTTCCCCTACTTCACACACATGCCACCAATACGCATTCTGCGCCATACTCAAGGGGATCCTCTGCAGATTTACAAAAACCACGTGTTTTTATAAGTACAGTTTTACTGTAACAGAGCCACACCCATTAATTTACCCAAGTGTTCTGTGGCTGCTTTCATATTACAACAGCAGAATTGAGTACGTGTGACAGGCACCATGTGGCCCAAAAACCTAAATTATTTCCTATCTGCCCCTTTACAGAAAATGTTTGCCAACCCCTGATCCGGTCCCTCTACCTTATTATTGGAAAGGACACCAAGGTCTTATGGGAGTCGTGACATATTCCCTGTTTCTAAGGATCACATCTTTCCTACTGTATCTCTGTGTCCTTCATCCTGTCACTGGCTTAGGCCTCCATGAGGTCAAAGACCCTAAAAGATGCACTATATTAGCCTGTTTTCATGCTGCTGTTTTCTTCCCGAGACTGGGAAGAAGAAGAGGTTTAATGGACTTACAGTTCCACATGGCTGGGGAGGCCTCACAATCATGGCAGAAGGCAAGGAGAAGCAAGTCACGTCTTACATGGATGGTGGCAGGCAAAGAGAGAGCTTATGCAGGGAAAACTCTCATTTTTAAAACCATCAGATCTCATGAGACTCATTCATTATCACAAGAACAGCATGGGAAAGACCTGCCCCCATGATTCAGTCACCTCCCAGCAGGTTTCTCCCATGACATGTGGGAATTGCAGGAGGTATAATTCAAATGAGATTTGGGTGGGGACACAGCCAAACCATATTACACACACACACACACACACACACACACACACACACACACACGCAAAAACCTAGAGGAGTAGAAATTGTCCTCAGGAAGGTAGGGAAAGAGAGAAAAGCTCTAAAGAGCCTGGAGTTTCCTCAGAATTAGATAGCCTCAGGTGGCTCCAGTTTAAAAATAAATAAATAAATAAATAAATAACTAGGCTGGGCATGGTGATTCACACCTGTAATCCCAATGTTTTGGGAGGCTGAGATGGGAGGATTGCTTGAGGTCAAGCATTTAAGACCAGCCTGGGCAACACAGCAAGACCTTATCACTACAAAAATTTTTTTAAAATATAACTAGGCATGGTGGTGCAGGCCTGTAGTCCAAGCTGCTTGGGAGGCTGAGGTGTAGTCCTAGCTGCTTGGGAGGCTGAGGTGGGAGGATCACATGAGCCCTGGAGGGAGGCTGCAAGTGAGCTATAATCTGCAAGTGAGCTATAATCGCACCACTACACTGCAGCCTGGGCAACAAGTGAGATCCTGTCTCTTTTTTTTAAAAAAAAAAAAAACCTAAAATATGTAATTACATGTGGCTTAATAAAAACAGTGCCTTTTTCCAGCATCTTACTTAGGTGCTGTTCAAGTATCTTTCAGCATACATTTGGCCCACCCCCTCTTTTTAGCAGCACACTCTCCTTTTTTTTTTTAATTTTATTATTATTATACTTTAAGTTTTAGGGTACATGTGCACAATGTGCAGGTTACTTACATATGTATACATGTGCCATGCTGGTGTGCTGCACCCATTAACTCGTCATTTAGCATTAGGTATATCTCCTAATGCTATCCCTCCCCCTCCCCCCACCCCACAACAGTCCCCAGAGTGTAATGTTCCCCTTCCTGTGTACATGTGTTCTCATTGTTCAATTCCCACCTAT
Source organism: Homo sapiens (assembly GCF_000001405.40). Taxonomy (NCBI): domain Eukaryota; kingdom Metazoa; phylum Chordata; class Mammalia; order Primates; family Hominidae; genus Homo; species Homo sapiens. Next base: position 18,839,266 of record NC_000009.12, read on the forward strand.
GAGTGAGAACATGCGGTGTTTGGTTTTTTGTCTTTACAATAGTTTACTGAGAATGATGATTTCCAATTTCATGCATGTCCCTACAAAGGACATGAACTCATCATTTTTTATGGCTGCATAGTATTCCATGGTGTATATGTGCCACATTTTCTTAATCCAGTCTATCGTTGTTGGACATGTGGCTTGGTTCCATGTCTTTGCTATTGTGAATAGTGCCGCAATAAACATATGTGTGCGTGTGTCTTTATAGCAGCATGATTTATAGTCCTTTGGGTATATACCCAGTAATGGGATGGCTGGGTCAAATGGTATTTCTAGTTCTAGATCCTTGAGGAATGGCCACACTGCCTTCCACAATGGATGAACTAGTTTACAGTCCCACCAACAGTGTAAAAGTGTTCCTATTTCTCCACATCCTCTCCAGCACCTGTTGTTTCCTGACTTTTTAATGATTGCCATTACTAACTGGTGTGAGGTGGTATCTCATTGTGGTTTTGATTTGCATTTCTCTGATGGCCAGTGATGGTGAGCATTTTTTCATGTGTTTTTTGGCTGCATAAATGTCTTCTTTTGAGAAGTGTCTGTTCATGTCCTTCGCCCACTTTTGGATGGGGTTCTTTGTTTTTTTCTTGTAAATTTGTTTGAGTTCATTGTAGATTCTGGATATTAGCCCTTTGTCAGATGAGTAGGTTGCGAAAATTTTCTCCCATTTTGTAGGTTGCCTGTTCAATCTGATGGTAGTTTCTTTTGCTGTGCAGAAGCTCTTTAGTTTAATTAGATCCCATTTGTCAATTTTGTCTTTTGTTGCCATTGCTTTTGGTGTTTTAGACATGAAGTCCTTGCCCATGCCTATGTCCTGAATGGTAATGCCTAGGTTTTCTTCTAGGGTTTTTATGGTTTTAGGTCTAACGTTTAAGTCTTTAATCCATCTTGAATTAATTTTTGTATAAGGTGTAAGGAAGGGATCCAGTGTCAGCTTTCTACATATGGCTAGCCAGTTTTCCCAGCACCATTTATTAAATAGGGAATCCTTTCCCCATTGCTTGTTTTTCTCAGGTTTGTCAAAGATCAGATAGTTGTAGATCTATGGCATTATTTCTGAGGACTCTGTTCTGTTCCATTGATCTATATCTCTGTTTTGGTACCAGTACCATGGTGTTTTGGTTACTGTAGCCTTCTGGTATAGTTTGAAGTCAGGTAGTGTGATGCCTCCAGCTTTGTTCTTTTGGCTTAGGGTTGACTTCGCGATGTGGGCTCTTTTTTGGTTCCATATGAACTTTAAAGTAGTTTTTTCCAATTCTGTGAAGAAAGTCATTGGTAGCTTGATGGGGATGGCATTGAATCTATAAATTACCTTTGGCAGTATGGACATTTTCATGATATTGATTCTTCTTACCCATGAGCATGGAATGTTCTTCCATTTGTTTGTATCCTCTTTTATTTCGTTGAGCAGTGGTTTGTAGTTCTCCTTGAAGAGGTCCTTCACATCCCTTGTAAGTTGGATTCCTAGGTATTTTATTCTCTTTGAAGCAATTGTGAATGGGAGTTCACTCATGATTTGGCTCTCTGTTTGTCTGTTTTTGGTGTATAAGAATGCTTGTGATTTTTGTACATTGATTTTGTATCCTGAGACTTTGCTGAAGTTGCTTATCAGCTTAAGGAGATTTTGGGCTGAGACAATGGGGTTTTCTAGATATACAATCATGTCATCTGCAAACAGGGACAATTTGACTTCCTCTTTTCCTAATTGAATACCCTTTATTTCCTTCTCCTGCCGAATTGCCCTGGCCAGAACTTCCAACACTATGTTGAATAGGAGTGGTGAGAGAGGGCATCCCTGTCTTGTGCCAGTTTTCAAAGGGAATGCTTCCAGTTTTTGCCCATTCAGTATGATATTGGCTGTGGGTTTGTCATAGTTAGTTCTTATTATTTTGAGATACATCCCATTAATACCTAATTTATTGAGAGTTTTTAGCATGAAGGGTTGTTGAATTTTGTCAAAGGCCTTTTCTGCATCTATTGAGATAATCATGTGGTTTTTGTCTTTGGTTCTGTTTATATGCTGGATTACATTTATTGATTTGCATATATTGAACCAGACTTGCATCCCAAGGATGAAGCCCACTTGATCATGGTGGATAAGCTTTTTGATGTGCTGCTGGATTCGGTTTGCCAGTATTTTATTGAGGATTTTTGCATCAATGTTCATCAAGGATATTGGTCTAAAATTCTCTCTTTTGGTTGTGTCTCTGCCCGGCTTTGGTATCAGGATGATGCTGGCCTCATAAAATGAGTTAGGGAGGATTTCCTCTTTTTCTATTGATTGGAATAGTTTCAGAAGGAATGGTACCAGTTCCTTCTTGTACCTCTGGTAGAATTCGGCTGTGAATCCATCTGATCCTGGACTGTTTTTGGTTGGTAAGCTATTGATTATTGTCACAATTTCAGTTCCTGTTATTGGTCTATTCAGAGATTCAACTTCTTCCTGGTTTAGTCTTGGGAGGGTGTATGTGTCGAGGAATTTATCCATTTCTTCTAGATTTTCTAGTTTATTTGCGTAGAGGTGTTTGTAGTACTCTCTGATGGTACTTTGTATTTCTGTGGGATCAGTGGTGATATCCCCTTTATCATTTTTTATTGCGTCTATTTGATTCTTCTCTCTTTTCTTCTTTATTAGTCTTGCTAGCGGTCTATCAATTTTGTTGATCCTTTCAAAAAACCAGCTCCTGGATTCATTAATTTTTTGAAGGGTTTTTTGTGTCTCTATTTCCTTCAGTTCTGCTCTGATTTTAGTTATTTCTTGCCTTCTGCTAGCTTTTGAATGTGTTTGCTCTTGCTTTTCTAGTTCTTTTAATTGTGATGTTAGGGTGTCAATTTTGGATCTTTCCTGCTTTCTCTTGCGGGCATTTAGTGCTATAAATTTCCCTCTAGTCACTGCTTTGAATGTGTTCAAGAGATTCTGGTATGTTGTGTCTTTGTTCTCGTTGGTTTCAAAGAACATCTTTCTTTCTGCCTTCATTTCGTTATGTACCCAGTAGTCATTCAGGAGCAGGTTGTTCAGTTTCCATGTAGTTGAGCAGTTTTGAGTGAGTTTCTTAATCCTGAGTTCTAGTTTGATTGCACTGTGGTCTGAGGGACAGTTTGTTATAATTTCTGTTCTTTTACATTTGCTGAGGAGAGCTTTACTTCCAAGTATGTGGTCAATTTTGGAATAGGTGTGGTGTGGTGCTGAAAAAAATGTATACTCTGTTGATTTGGGGTGGAGAGTTCTGTAGACATCTATTAGGTCCGCTTGGTGCAGAGCTGAGTTCAATTCCTGGGTATCCTTATTAACTTTCTGTCTTGTTGATCTGTCTAATGTTGACAGTGGGGCGTTAAAGTCTCCCATTATTGTGTGGGAGTCTAAGTCTCTTTGTAGGTAACTCAGGACTTGCTTTATGAATCTGGGTGCTCCCATATTGGGTGCATATATATTTAGGATAGTTAGCTCTTCTTGTTGAATTGATCCCTTTACCATTATGTAATGACCTTCTTGGTCTCTTTTGATCTTTGTTGGTTTGAAGTCTGTTTTATCAGAGACTAGGATTGCAACCCCTGCCTTTTTTGTTTTCCATTTGCTTGGTAGATCTTCCTCCATCCTTTTATTTTGAGCCTATGCATGTCTCTGCGCGTGAGATGGGTTTCCTGAATACAGCACACTGATGGGTCTTGACTCTTTATCCAATTTGCCAGTCTTTGTCTTTTAATTGGAGCATTTAGTCCATTGACATTTAAAGTTAATATTGTTATGTGTGAATCTGATCCTGTCATTATGATGTTAGCTGGTTATTTTGCTCGTTAGTTGATGCAGTTTCTTCCTAGCCTCAATGGTCTTTACAATTTGGCATGATTTTGCAGTGGCTGGTACCGGTTGTTCCTTTCCATGTTTAGTGCTTCCTTCAGGAGCTCTTTTAGGGCAGGCCTGGTGGTGACAAAATCTCTCAGCATTTGCTTGTCTGTAAAATATTTTATTTCTCCTTCACTTATGAAGCTTAGTTTGCCTGGATATAAAATTCTGGGTTGAAAATTCTTTTCTTTAAGAATGTTGAATATTGGTCCCCCCTCTCTTCTGGCTTGTAGAGTTTCTGCCGAGAGATCCGCTGTTAGTCTGATGGGCTTCCCTTTGTGGGTAACCCGACCTTTCTCTCTGGCTGCGTTTAACATTTTTTCCTTCATTTCAACTTTGGTGAATCTGACAATTATGTGTCTTGGAGTTGCTCTTCTCGAGGAGTATCTTTGTGGTGTTCTCTGTATTTCCTGAATCTGAATGTTGCCCTGCCTTGCTGGATTGGGGAAGTTCTCCTGGATAATATCCTGCAGAGTGTTTTCCAACTTGGTTCCATTCTCCCCATCACTTTCAGGTACACCAATCAGACGTAGATGTGGTCTTTTCACATAGTCCCATATTTCTTGGAGGCTTTGTTCATTTCTTTTTATTCTTTTTTCTCTAAACTTCCCTTCTCACTTCATTTCATTCATTTGATCTTCAATCACTGATACCCTTTCTTCCAGTTGATCACATCAGCTCCTGAGGCTTCTGCATTCTTCACGTAGTTCTTGAGCCTTGGCTTTCAGCTCCATCAGCTCCTTTAAGCACTTCTCTGTATTGGTTATTCTAGTTATACATTCGTGTAAATTTTTTTCAAAGTTTTCAACTTCTTTGCCTTTGGTTTGAATTTCCTCCTGTAGCTCGGAGTAGTTTGATCGTCTGAAGACTTCTTCTCTCAACTTGTCAAAGTCATTCTCCGTCCAGCTTTGTTCCATTGCTGGTGAGGAGCTGTGTTCCTTTGGATGAGGAGAGGTGCTCTGTTTTTTAGAGTTTCCAGTTTTTATGCTCTGTTTTTTCCCTATCTTTGTGGTTTTATCTACTTTTGGTCTTTGATGATGGTGATGTACAGATGGGTTTTTGGTGTGGATGTCTTTTCTGTTTGTTAGTTTTCCTTCTAACAGACAGGACCCTCAGCTGCAGGTCTGTTGGAGTTTGCTAGAGGTCCACTCCAGACCCTGTTTGCCTAGGTACCAGCAGCGGTGGCTGCAGAACAGTGGATTTTCATGAACCGCGAATGCTGCTGTCTGATCGTTCCTCTGAAAGTTTTGTCTCAGAGGAGTACCCGGCCGTGTAAGGTGTCAGTCTGCCCCTACTGGGGGGTGCCTCCCAGTTAGGCTGCTCGGGGGTCAGGGGTCAGGGACCCACTTGAGAAGGCAGTCTGCCCATTCTCAGATCTCCAGCTGCATGCTGGGAGAACCACTGCTCTCTTCAATGCTGTCAGACAGGGACACTTAAGTCTGCAGAGGTTACTGCTGTCTTTTTGTTTGTCTGTGCCCTGTCCCCAGAGGTGGAGCCTACAGAGGCAGGCAGGCCTCCTTGAGCTGTGGTGGGCTCCACCCAGTTCGAGCTTCCTGGCTGCTTTGTTTACCTAAGCAAGCCTGGGCAATGGCGGGCGCCCCTCCCCCAGCCTTGCTGCCGCATTGCAGTTTGATCTCAGACTGCCATGCTAGCAATCAGCAAGACTCTGTGGGCATAGGACCCTCCGAGCCATGTGCGGGATATAATCTCCTGGTGTGCCGTTTTTTAAGCCTGTCGGAAAAGCGCAGTATTTGGGTGGGAGTGACCCGATTTTCCAGGTGCCGTCTGTCACCCCTTTCTTTGACTAAGAAAGGGAACTCCCTGACCCCTTGCGCTTCCCGAGTGAGGCAATGCCTCGCCCTGCTTCGGCTCATGCACGGTGCACTGCACCCACTGTCCTGCACCCACTGTCTGGCACTCCCTAGTGAGATGAACCCGGTACCTCAGATGGAAATGCAGAAATCACCCGTCTTCTGCATTGCTCACCCTGGGAGCTGTAGACCGGAGCTGTTCCTATTCGGCCATCTTGGCTCAAGTGTCGGCAGCACACTCTCCTTAGTGAGCAAGCTCCCATGCCTCCTTCAGAGGAACTCCTCACAAATCTCCATTGGAGGCACATGTCAGCCCCACAGAAAGCAAACAGCACCAGCCTTTTCTCATGCCTTGTGATTTACCAAGAGGAGGAAGATGTGGGCAGTCATTCCAACCTGAGTGTACAGAGTGAAGACTTTCCATGAAAGAATTCATTGTGCCTGGTGCTTCTCCCTGGTGGGAGGCTCAAGGGGGCACAGCCAACACACATGGTGGCACCAACATGCTCACCAGGGCCACAGGCCCATCATAGGCAGGGCCTGCACATGTAGCAGCTCCACTTCTTAGAGCCCTTCCAGCCATGCAAAGCCTGGCAGTGAGGCCACAGCTCACACATTGCAGTTGGGCAGTGGTATTCTGACCACCCAAGACAGGCAGCTTATGCATTTTTTTCTCTGCTTATTCCTCTGCTGAGAATTGCAGAACCCAGCTGGCATGAGATGCAGTTCAGACATCCCTGCTAAGAGCGGCAAGGCTCTTGTTGACCCTAAATCTCATGCAAAAAGGTGAAGGAATTACTTCTTTCTCCAACACTGAGGTTAAGACTGGGACAATATAATATAATATCACGCTGGTATGAAAACTGTGTTTGGAATACAGGACCCAGGCCTGGAGTCTAAAGGCAGAGCTCACAGTGTTCACATGTAACCCTCTCAAAGTAGGAGCGTATATGAGAAAACAGTTGAATAAATATTAATATCCAAAGTTGAAATTCATGATAAAGGGCCTAGGAAAGCACTGTCTCAAAGATAGTTCCATTTACTTATTCAAGAAGTATTTACCAAGTGCCTAATATGTGCCAAACAGTGTACTGTGAGCCAAGGACACACAGTAAATAAGATAAATACAAACCTAGTCCTCATTCATTTATTCAAAAAGAAGTATTGAGCATCTATTTACTATACCAGGCACTGTTCTAGGTACTGAGGACACAGTAATAAGCCAAACAAATTGATGTTTGTAGTCCTTTGCAGTGTGATTCCAGTGGGGGCACTTAGAGTCTGATGGGAAAGTTCAAGTAAGAAAAGCACGATGGAAATGGCAAGAGCTGGGGGCTTTTCAGGTCTCAGCTTGGCCAAGATTGCTTTGAGAAACCAATGTTTGAGCAAGACTGGAAGACTGGATAGAGGTTACCCAGGTGAGGAGAGGGGACGAGCGCTTCAGGTAGAGGAGCCGGCAGAGGTTATAAAGAATGAAAATAGAAAACCTTTCAAGAACCTTTTTGGTCAGAGGTAAGGGGGAGTGGCCTTAGACAAGGTTAAAGAGGGAGGTGGAGCAAATTGCTGGTGCTCTGTAAGATATTTACACTTTGCCCTAAGTGCAATGGGAAGTCTTAAACAGCTTAAAAACAAGAGAGAGAGGTTGTCTAACTTGCGTTTTTAAAAGCTTATTCTGACTGGTGTGTAGAGGATGGTTTTTTAGGGGAAGAGGCTAGATAGAGTCCCCTGTTTAGGAAATTGTTGCAGTATTCCAGGTAACCATAGATTACTGTGGCATAAAGTACAGAGGTGGAAAAAAATGGACAGAAGTAGATGAATTCAGGGATCTGTAAGAGGTAACTTCAACGGGACTTGGTAAATAGATTAACATGAGAAGGGAAACATCAGCCATAGAATGAACAGAGTCTCAAAGACATCAGATTTGGGGGGTTTTTCTCACTGAAACTCTCATGTACCTCCTAGTGGTGGTGACACATCCCAGACCACTCAAGCCAAGATGTTAGAATAAATTGAGAGCTACATGGGTGTGTAATGCAGAATGTGTAGTTATAAGGAGGAGAATACCCCAAAGCTTCTGTTTGCTAAGTCCTGCTCATTTCCTTAACATCTACCTGCTCAGGCTTTATTAAATGCTAGGTCCTGTGCCTTTCTCCCAGTTTTTGAACAGCTCAGAAGTGTTAGGACAGACAGAAAAGTCAATCATGAGTGTGAGAAAAGCTCTATAGGCTGCACAGGAAATCAAAAGGAACAGGAGTGGGGACTGCTTTCTTTGATGAAAGGGTAATTGGGGTGGGGGTAGGGGGCATTTAACAGAGGAACTGCTCAAGCTCAGCCTCAAAGGATGAGGCAAAGTATTCCATGCACTGATACAACAGACACACTTACTGAGTTCCTTCCATGTTTTCAGCACCATTGAAGGCAGCAGAGACAAAACAGACAAAAGTCCCTCCTCTCATAGAACTGATGTTATAGTAGGAGAAATAGAAAATAAACGTATACAGAAGCAAATGGCATCATATGGTAGAAGTAATAAGTGCTATAAAGAAAAATAAAGCAGGATAAGAGGGAGAGGTGGTGCCTATGTGGGAAGGAGGTTCCAATTTAAAATACAACAGGCCAGAGAGGGCTCACTGAGAAAGCAGTTCTTGAGCAAAGACATGAATGTGTGCTCTTGAGCCTTCACATGTCTGGAGAGAGAAGAGAGGAGAAGAGCATCCCAGGCACAGGAAGAATGAGTGCGGAGTTCCGCCTGCATGAAACGTGCATGCCTAGTGTGTTCCAGGAACAACAAAAAGGCCAGTGTGGCCACAATGAGGTAACAGAGGGAGTACACAGAAGGAGAGAAGATCAGAGAGGCAACCAGGCAGAGGGCAAGTTGTGTAAGGCCTTGTAAATGGTCACTTTAAAGCAACAGTGAGAGAAAAATCTATAAATGCTCACATTTATAAACAGATGCAATATTGCATTGAGCATCATGGGCTTTTCCAGCATTAGACAGGGGCAGGCAGAAGTGATTTAGTTTATTGGAAACCATGTGGCCAACTGAATGTTATAGAGCTGACTCTAGTAAAACAGAGGCTTATCAGGCTGGCTCTGGTACAAGCCGATATTGCTGATTTAATTTGGCTCACATGTGCTGGGCACCTGCTCTGTCTGCCTGGCCCTGAGCTTCTGCAGGCATGTGCCTGGCCATTTCCTTCATCTAGTAAGAGGGGATCCCCATTGCACAGTAGAGTCAGCTGGGAAGTTTAGAAAAAAATATTCCAACAGAGACCAATTAATTCGAGATCTCAGGATGGGACAAGGCATCAGTACTTTTAAAAAATGATTCTCAGGGATTGAGGAGATTTTACAAGTTACTTCTCCGTCTTCTACAACCCATGTATAATAGAAGCTGGAATGGAAATATGGCGTGCTTAATCATTTAGAATATTTTAATCTGACATTCAAGGTTCTTTGCTATTCAGACCTAGCCTTTACATCCATCCTTCCATCCTATTTCTCTCTCAGGTAATTCCTTTGTTCCAGTCAAACCTCTCCCTCATACTTGCCATGGCCTTGAGCCTCATGTAACTTCCATGCCTGGAATACCCTCCCCTACCCCACCATATCTATCTAAATCCTAAAGATTTTCAAGGCACAGATCAGGCCCTCCATGCAGCCTCTTGGAGCACCCCAGCCTGGAATGATCACTCTCTGCTGACTTCCTGAAGCACCTACTCTAGACCAGAGTTGGGCAAACATTTTCTGTAAAGTGCCAGATAGGAAATAGTTTAGGCATTGTTGGCTATAAGGCCCCTGTTGCGGGTATTCAACTCTGCAGTTGAAAAGTGAAAGCAGCCATAGACCATAAGTAAATGAATGGGTATGTCTGTGTTCCAGAAAACTTTATTTACAGAAACAGGACTGGATTTTGCACTCGGGCCATTCCCTTTGATAATATCAGCCTATCTCAGATAAACGAAGCAAGAAAAAGGAAAGAGATTTTGCCAACTAATGAACCAAAACTAATGAAAAGAGCATGAACTTTGGAATCAGAGCTGAGCTATGGTCAAACCACATAACCTCAATGAGTCTGCCTTTCTCATCAACCTCAGCTCTATGTCACCAATGTGATACTTAGCCTATCACACCTTATATTATTGGACATATTTCTTACGTCTGTCATGTCTCCCAGCTAGATCTAGGTCCTGGGGATAGAAGAGGCTGCATAAGTATTTTTAAGTGATTTAAAACAGGACTAGGTGGCAGGGCCTTGACTTGGAAGGCCTCTTGAATTGTTTTCATCTCTCATTTCTATTCTAATTGTAGCTTTATCATCCGTCCCACATACCTCCACCCTTCACCCCACCCGCACATTTCCTATAGCCTGGATTTTTCTTGTACAGCCTGGATCGGGCACTTCCTGGATCCAATTATGTGATAATGCAAACAATGACAGTTAGTGAATACCCTGGGCCACAGCTGTTGGGAAGCCATTTTTTATCATAATTGTTTGGAAGACTAAGGGCATCACTACTTCCTCTCTTAGCGGTGGGAACAGCAAGTTCTGATGGTCAAAGGTTAGGTAAAAATTAATCCACACTGCAGACCCACCCAACAGGTGGCAAGGAAGGTGATGCCAAGGAAGGACAGGGATGCCGGGAAGGGGAGGACTGGCCCCCTTGAGGAGTGGGAAAGGAAGACGGAGGGAAAGGGAAGGACTCATGTCAAAGAGACACAAGTCAGCATCTGTTTCCTCATTTATACTGGAAGGCCGAGGTTTTATGTCACAAGGAAAATGCTTTTGATTTCCTAAAGCTTTGCCCACAAAGAGAAAATGCTTTGCTATTAAGAAGAAAGGTCAGCATTTTGTAGTTATTTATGGCTCCTGTTTATATACTTTTGTATTTTTTTAAATAAAATCCAAAGTGGAGTATAGAGACCCCATAGGGACTGCAGAAAGCTCTATACATACAGTGTAAAACTAAATTGTCATTTCAGAGGGCATTTACAAGGAAGCCACAGAAAGGAATACAGCAGTTCTTTGGACTGAAATGCACATCCATAAATATAAAAAGACACCAGAGCATAAGTGACACTTAAAATAGTTGGACATGGAAAGCAAGGCAGTAAATGTCACTGCCTAGCCACTGTTCTAAGCCATAGCGAGCACCCAGGCATGGGCTTATTTAAAGACGCTAGATAGGAAATGAGGACCTTGAGAAAACGCACTCACACTTGCTCCTGCCCTTTCCTGGCAGCAGGACACAATTCCCAGGCCCATGTGCCCTCCCTGCCATGTCCAACAGGAATGATGTGAATGAGTTTCATGTCCCTGAAATAGACAGGGATTGAAAGTCCATCAGTGGGAAAACAAGGAACTCTACTCTTTCCCCAATAAATCCTTCCTCAGCCCTGAAACAGCCCTTGAGAATATCTACTCTTGCTCTGTGCCCCCTTGTGTTTGGTGGTGCTATAATGGCAGTTTTACAGCACTATCAGAGCCCAGAGGCTGACTGTAGAAGAGAGGGCAGGATTATGGCCTAAGGCCTTGATGTGATCTATGAAGGGAGAGGCAGACCCTACTGCCTTGGTTCCAAGCCAACTTTGTAGGAGACAGAGGACAGGGCACCTCAGTCAGAAAAGCTGTTTCCAAATCCTCAGCATCTGATTCCTCATAAATAAAGGCTCTTGGCCCTGCCTGCTTCTTGAAGTAGAGGGATCGGGTAAGTTAAGATTTCCCTTAGGGACCAGGTCCTGGAAGCAGAAATAAAGAAGGTAAATTCTAGCCCCAGTCAACCTACCGTTTTATTAACTTACTCATTTTATGCTGTTTTTACTTCCTCTCTGTATTTGCTAATTAATTTAACTTACTTTTTAATTGAGTTCCCTTTGACAAAACCAGCCAATCTCAGGTAAATTAAGCAAGAAAAAGGAAAGAGTATCTGCCCACCCAGCTCACAGAACTAATTATAGTAAGGGTTAAATGAGATGCCATATGCAATGTGCCCAGTTTAGTGCTTGCTACAAAGTAGATGCTAATAATTGCTAATTTTTTTTTACCTGTTCTCTTCCTTGTTGAAAAATCTAAGTTCATTCTCTTTCTCACTGTGGTCTACCACAAGTTCTTCCATAAATTATAGGATCAGAACTTGATCACCATTGTGAGTGTAAATTACTGACCAAAAAATCATTCAGGAGACAGGTGCCATATGGGAAGTTTCATTCTATGCCAAGCTCTCGATGGGAGCAGAGATGTGCAAGGTGTGGCCCCTGACATCAAGGGACTTCATATCTAGTTAGAAAAGATCAACACAGAAGCAATGGTGAGAAAGCAGTATGAGCAGGTGAGAAAGGGTAATAAAGAGAGTGCTGAATACCTGCTCTATGAATTTATGATCGAGGAGGAAGGTTGTAGTGCTCCCCTGGAAATTCTATTTCCATCTAGCTGTTAGCAGCAGCAAATCCATACAGGTCTGCAGCAACTTAATTCTTGCCTCCTTAGAGGAATTAATTCATTCCAGGAGCATAAGGCAGAGTGAGAGACTGAGGCAAATTTTAGAGCAGAAGTGAAAGTTTCTTAAAAATTTTCAGAGCAGGAACAAAAGGAAGTAAAGTACATGTGGAAGAGGGCCAAGCCAGCAACTTAAGAGATCCAAGTGCTCTGTTCAGGGTTGGCGTGGGGTTTTATACATTGGAATGATCCCATGGTTTGTGTCCTGTCTCTTCTGATTCTTCCCTTGGGGTGGGCTGTCAGCATGAGCAGTGGCCTGTCAACACTTGGGAAGGGCCACGTGTATAGTGTGTTTACTGAAGTTGTGGGCATGCTCACTTGAGGCGTTTTTCCCTTATCAGTCAAACTTTCCTAGAGGAAGATCGTGTACCAGTTAAACTCCACCATTTTGCCTCTTAGTGTACATGGTTGAGCCCACTGGCCCAGCTCCTGAGATTTTATCAGGAAGCTGCTGATCACCAGCTTCAGGTGTTTTCTCCTAGGAGACTGCCTTTCCCTGGCACTGGATGCAACCAATTATCATTTTAGAGAGACAGTTTAACCACTGCCTGACCATCACCTAATGGTTGCGTGACATTGCTGAAGGGGTGCCCTCTTCTGCCTTGCTCGTGTCTGCCTAACTACCTACTCCAACAAATCCATCTAACCCTATGCTCTCTACTGGGGTCCTTTACATGCACCTTAGAGCTTGCATAGCACTGTAGTTGGGAGCAGCCTCCGGAGCCAGAATGCCTGGCTCTGCCACTTGCTAATAATTGCATGACCTTGGGCAAATTATGGAAGTCCTCTCTGCCTTTGATTGTTAAAATGGAGGCAATAACTGCATATACCTCCAGGGTTTTTGAAAGGAATAAATGAGGCAGTATATGTAAAGCACTTAGAATGGTGCCTTCCCACATAGTAAATGCTCAGTTAACATCAGTCATTCTTATTTTGGTAGTACTTGCTCTTGCCCCTGGCCACTGGAAGTGGAAAAATCAGGAAAGTTAAGAATGCCCTCAGAAGCCAGATCCTGGAAGCAGGAATAAAGAAGAAGAATTCAGGCCCCAGTAAACCTATCTTCTCATTAACTTGTTCATTTTATGCAGTTCATATTTCCTTTCTCTATTTGTTAGTTAATTTAACTTTTTAGTTGAGTTCTCTTTGATAATATCAGCCTATCTCCGAAAAATTAATCAAGAAAAAGGAAAGGACTTTCGCCTACTAAGGAATCAAAACTAATGAAAAGAGAATGAACTTTGAAATCAGAGTTGCACTATGATCAAACCACATAACCTTAATGAGTCTGCCTTTCTCATCAGTATAGTGGGTTGATAAACTGACCCTCAGGACTGATTTGAGAATCAAATTAGATTAAATATATAAAAACAGTTTGTAAACTGTAAAGTACGCTATAAAACCTAGTTGTTGCCTTATTCCTAGGGCTAGAAGCAAAGATTGCTGGTAAGGTAGGATTTCTGGGACCCCATGGAGAAGGCAGATATTCAGGGAAGATTCTGGACCACTTGTGAAGCCTGCCTTTCTAGCCAGGAGCAGTTTCCTTACTTGTTCTTTGCTACACACTGAAATATAGATGGTATTGTTTCTTTAAGGAACCTGGAGGTTGGGGAGATGCTGGCTGTCCTGGAGAGTGCTGTTCATAAAATGCAATGACCTCATGGCATCTGAGTAGACTTCATGGGGAAATGGGACCTAAACAACAGATGGGGATTAGACAGGCCAAGACAGGAACATAGGTGAGAATTAGACATCTCTCCATGTGTGACTGCCCAACAGGTTGTTTTTGCCTGCTGGCCAGGTGGAGCCAATTTATTAAGACAGGGGCATTGCAGAGCCAGCTGAATGGGATACCAGCGTTTTAGTACTCAAATCAGTTCCCCCAAAATTTGGAGTCTAGGGTTTTTCAAGGATAGTTTGGTGGGTTAGGGAATGGGTACAGCTGATTGGTTAGGGATGCAATCCTAGGGTTGTGGGAAATGGTCCTTGTGCATGCTCAGTCCACTTCTGGGTGGGGCCACAGGACCAGTTAACAGGTCCAAGAGGAGTCATTGATCATCAGAAATGCTGGTAATCATTTACATCTTCACCTTAGGAGAATTCAGGCTCCTCTCATCCTCCTAACCTTGTGGTGGTCTTTCATTAACTTTGCAAAGGCAGTTTAGATTCAGGAAGGGCTATTATCATTTAAACTATAAACTACATGTCTCCCAAAGTTATCCTGGCCCAAGCCCAAGACTGATTAATGGCAGTTTGGAGGCAAAAGGCAAGATACGGGTTGGTTAGATCAGATCTCTATCACTGTCTTAATTTTCTCACTGTTATAATTTTTGCAAAAGCGATTTCACATGAAGGGGAGGAACACCAAGCAAAGAGATAAGTTCCTGTTCTAAGTCCAGTACTTGGCCTGTGGAGTCTACTTGTATTCACTCTCTGTGTGTGTGTGTGTGTGTGTGTGTGTGTGCGCGTGCATGCAAATAGTTGATTATAATAGAATCAAAATACACGCAGGATTTGTCTCCAAGATATTGTCTACCACTGTTGGAGGTGGGGGGGTTGTAATCTTTCACCTTTTCATGTGCCACATCCTGCTATGTTTTAGAAAAGTTTGGGAAAGTGGAGTTCAGCTAATATTGTGGAAATTAAGTGACTCTCATCTCCTATAATTAGCTACAGTTTTTCCTTTCACAAAGCAAGAGAATCACTATGCAGCTTCTGCCTTATAATATCTTTTTGTCTTCTAGACAAGAGTTTTGAAATCATCCCTAACACACATATGCACGCACACACACACACACCCCTTCCTCTCCTTATTGCCCAGTGGTATTGGCATTGATATTGTTAATACAACCGTAGGTTCCCTGAAAAAAGCAGCTAATTTGATTGTACTTTGTTCTTGAAAGGAGAAAAAGAGAAAGGTATGGTTTTCTTTGGGGCACCAGTTTGTACATGATTTTCTTAATTTCAAAAATATACCATACAGATACACAAGAAACTTGGAATACTGGTTGCCTGTGAGAAGAGGAACCAGGTAGTTGA
Organism: Homo sapiens; assembly: GCF_000001405.40. Classification (NCBI taxonomy): domain Eukaryota; kingdom Metazoa; phylum Chordata; class Mammalia; order Primates; family Hominidae; genus Homo; species Homo sapiens. The sequence goes on from NC_000009.12 coordinate 18,854,495, forward strand.
GGGAGATGGGTGTGAGGAAGACTTTTCACAGCATTTCCTCTTGGTACCTTTTAAATTTTGAATCAAGTTTATTTCTTGACTATTCAAGAATAGATGAATAGAATGGATGCTAGAGATGTCGGTAGCAGAGGCAAGGTGCAAAGGAGGGAGGAGAGAGGGCAGAGAGAAAGAGCTAGAGAAAACGAAAGAAAGAGAGTGAATAGCTGGGCTCTAGAAATTAACATAATAAGCCTCTGACTCTTGGAAACTGGAGAGGGTGGAAGAACATGGAAAATGTCAATCAACTCTCAAACAATTGTTCAGTGACATGGACCATATTATGACTATCATCAATCCATAGGAATCATTAAATCTATTCTCAAAATGCAATCTAATATTCTCCAAAGAAATATAAAATTATTGACGAAGGTTATAATTGTAAATTATTTTGATCAGATTGAATTACCCCTCCCCATTTTCCAGGGTAAGTCTCAGGGTGAGGTCTTCAGAAATAGTCATGCCACTGATGCCTCTTTGAGTGGGAACCTAAAGTGAATTAGGATTGGGAACCTATATTCTTTTGCACTTCTACTCTGTGCCAAGAATTCTGATATCTTGACCATCACAGAGCTTACAGATTTGGGTTTTCCATTCCACAGAGCCTCAGAAACACGAGGCTAACAGCTTGGAAAACAACTTCCCTTTGCTGGTAGAAAGAAGGCCGGGGAAAATAAGCCAGAATCACATCTTGGCACGAATAAAATCCCAGTAAGGAACACACTGGTATAGTTGGACTTGGGGTTTTTGTGTAACTGTTTTCATGAGCATTCTGGGAGAAACATTTTGCCAGAACATCCCTGTGCTAGGGTTATAGGTAACATTCCTGAAAATAGAAAAGGATTCTTGCTCTTTTTGAAAAATTGTATAGTTTAAAAAGGATTTTGCTGACCATCTGCTGTTCTCTACCCATGAGAACCTATCAAAGCAAATCTTACAAAATAGATCAGGCCAGAGGTAGGGTAGGCCAAAGGAGAAAATGATGATAACAATAATTGTATTCGTGTTCTAGAAACATAACCTAGTAATATGTCTATATCTGTTTAAGAGTTCGAACTCTTTTATCCTTCACCTTCAATATTTTATCTCTGAAAGGATGTAGAAAGACCAGTTTAGCTCATAAAACATCATTCTATCAGGAATCTTTTTATGTGAAAATCCATTATGATTATGGAATTCTTCGTTTCTCTGTTGGCAGTGCCTGCTCAAAAATAATGAGCTCCCTGTACATTTTGTTTCCAAGGAGATAAGACCAAAAATTCATTCAACGCCCTGTCTAGAACCTGGCAGGGACCATTGTGTGTAATGTGTGACTCTTTGAAGTGGTATCAAGAGAGATAAACCAGCACAAGCCTGTGTGTCTGATGTCCTGCCAGCTTCCTGAGCCCAGAAAAAGAATTTAGGCACAGAAGAAAATGACCATGGCACTCTTACATGCACAGTAAAAACTGCACCTCCTCTTAATTCTTCTCCTTGTAATCCTGTTGTTCTCTACATTAATGAACTTTCCTGGCATCTCAGATTCTTACTGAAAGGCATGTTCAGAAACTGGTTCATGATAGTTCGTAAAACAAATACCAGGGAGATAGGACCATGAGATTTTAATGAAGAGCTTCTGCTAAGCACACTGAAATGATGCCAAAAATGGTATAACTGCCGAGATAAAAATATTATAAAAAGTTAAATTGGAGGAAAAGTGAAGGAAAACAATGCTTTTGTTAAGCAATCATTACTTTTTTTCAGGATCTAAACATCTTTTATACAAACCTTGATTATGAAATGATGGTTTTTGGTTCATTCATATATAAGTATTGCTTATTCAGATGATAATAATTGGCTAACTAAACTTAATTTTAAAGAACTTTTAGTTTTTTAGTCTTATTGTTGACATAGCAATGATAAACTGGTTGTTGCCAAATGATAAGAAGGATTTTTTTTTTTTTTTTTTTTTGAGACGGAGTCTCGCTCTGTCGCCCAGGCTAGAGTGCAGTGGCACAGTCTCAGCTCACTGCAACCTCCATCTCCCAGGTTCAAGCGATTCTTGTGCCTCAGCCTCCTGAGTAGCTGGGGTTACAGGCTTGTAACCCTGGCTAATTTTTGTATTTTTAGTAGACACAGGGTTTCATCGTGTTGGCCAAGCTGGTCTTGAACTACTGGCCTCAAGCAATCCTCCTGCCTCCGCCTCCCAAAGTGCTGGGATTACAGACGTGAGCCAGTGTGCCTGGCCCAAGAAGGATTTTTTTTTAATTTGAGAAGAAATCAGCATTCAAATAAAACAAACTTACTGCGTTACAGACTTTGAGTTGTCTGTGGTATTTAATGGATAGACAAGACACTTATTTTCAGAGCAAAAGCTGGTTGGAGAAAGGGGGAAAATTGTTCAAATGTCATGCAACACATTCAAAGAACTGTAGAACAACCCCGTTTTCTGAGCCATCGGCAATTTCACCTTGGATGCTCATGTTTATCACTTTCCCGGTCCTCCAAATCCTGAGGTCTCAGTGGATAGAGCAGGTTTTTTTTCCTTTCTTTTCACATGTTCTACTTCTTGGTTTGAGACACGAGTTTCAAGACGTGGTTTGAGACTTGGTTTCTTTCTTCTTTAATATACTTTTGTTTTGAAATAACTTCAATTTTACAAAAGAGTTGAAAGTGGAATACAAAGAACTTTTTCTACCTCATCCATTCGGGAGTAAGTTGCTGACATAATACCTCATTGCCCAGTGCATATTCCTTCAAGGTTTCTCAGTTATCCCAATAATGTCTTTAGTAGCAAGAGAATTCCTCCCCAAATCACACATTGCATTTAGTTGTCATGTCCCTTCTGTTTCTTCAAACGAAAACAGTTCCTCGGGCTTCCCTCAATTTTTATGACCTTAACGCTTCTGAAGATGATAGGCCTATTATTTTGAAATATGTCCCTCAGATTGGATGTGCCTGATGTTTCCACATGATTAGATGAGTCTTTGTTGTGAGACTTTGGCAAGAACATCACAGAAGTGATGCTGGGCTCTTCTTATCACACCCAATCACATGATTATGATTTCCTTTATACCATGACTGCTGATGCTAATGCCAGTCTCTTGATTAAAGTGGTATCTTCTGACCTTTTCCATTGCAGAAGTTAAGTTCCAAAGTTTTCCTTTGGAATTAATACGTCTTTTGTGAGGAGGTCCCCTGGGACTGTGGCAAATATCTCATTCCTCATTGAACTTACCTGCATGAACTTGTGGCCTCCTGTCTTATCCAATGGGCTATAATCTATGCTATCCTAACTTCTTTTATTTTAAAGTAAAACATTCCCCAGATGCAGCCAATGTGACTTTAAGATGACTCATATCTTTTGACACGTTCATATCATTCTTTAAGAACTTCATTACTTTCTGGCACAAGAAGATATTCTAGGTTCATCTTGAACTTTCCCTGCTCCAGCCCTAGAGAATAGTATTTAGACACCAAGATTTCAACATCAAGTAAGTTCATTGCTACTGATGTGTCACTGCTCTCAGTACCCAGAATTTAAAAAAAAAATGCATATATCTGTGCATGTATAGCCATATACACACACACTAATATAATCATTTCTATATTAATCTATACATTGAGTCATGAGTCCTCCCTTGTATGTCCAACTCTTACCCAACACCACAGGATTTATTTTTTTCTTCTTCCATATTTGTAATTCTCTGGCACCCACTATCATTAACACACTTTCTTATGCGATCAAGCCCTCCATATAAACAGCCTCCTACCATTGCTGCCCCCACCCCCACACAGATGCTGTCCTCGCCTCACTCAGGTTCTACATCCCTCCTCAGGTCACCACTGCACCCCTGGTTTAGATGCCCTTTTCACTCTGTTCAGCCTCAACATCCCATCCTGGACTACCACGGCTCCCTGTCTCCCTATGAACATTGATGAACATTGTCTTCTTTAGCCTTGCCTAATGGGTTTCGACTGAACCATTTAAGAAAAGAAAGCAAAAGTATGAGGAATTGCTGAGGATTTCTGAACAGAAACCCTATTGTTTCCAGGCTTAGAAGCTAGTCGGTGAAATGGGTAGAGAACAAGAGGAGTAGGTGCTGGGCAATGCCCAGCCTCTGTGCTCCACGGTGCAGGAAGGATCTGCTTGGCCAGATCCCTGATTATTGCCTTCCTGGCCAGGCACTTGCTTACGTCAAATCTTACCTATCTGCCAGGCTGGGACATGATCTCAGGTCTTACCTTTGTGACTTTGAATAAGAGAATGCTGTCATTGGTACCCCTTCCACTCCCGCTTTCTGGTTCAGGGGTATTTAACCTGGGGTCCACAAGCTTTGGGAACTCCATAAGCCCTCTAATATATGTGCAAATATGCTTTTCTCTGGTGAAAGAATCCAGAACTTTATTCAGTTTCTTAATAGATGCATTACCCAGCAACATTAACTACTTGCTCTACATCAAAAGGTTGACAACAAATTCGGTCTTACCAATAATTAAAGAAAAGCAAATAAAATGAAATACTATTTGCCATAAATAGGTTGGTGAAGATGAAAAAGTTTGTGAAATCTGTATTAACTTGATTGCAGCTGTAACAAATTACCATAGATTTAGTGGCTTAAAACAAGACACATTTACTCTGTTACAGTTCTGGAGGTCAGAAGTCCAAAACAGATCTTACTGGGCTAAAATCAAGATTGACCAAGATGTTTCCTTCTGGAGGCTCTACGGGGAAATATATTCGTCTTTTCCAGCTCCTCAAAGCCACCTGCATCCCTTGGCTGTGGCCCTTCTCCCATCTGCAAGAATGGCAGCATAGCATCTTCACATTTCTCTCTGACTCGCTATCTTCCCCATTATAAGGCCCCTTTTGATGACATGAGGCCTACTTGCATAATCGAGGATAATCCCCCATCTCAGTATTCTTTCTTAATCACATTTGCAAAGTCCCTTTTGTCATGTGAGGTAGCATATTCATAGGTTTCGGGGATTAGGGTGTGGATTTCTTTAGGGGGGCAGTTATTCTGCCTATCAGAAGATCAAAGAATTAAATAATATATACTATCATGCATTGTTGCCCAAAACGTAAATTAGGATAACATTTCTGAAGGGCAATTTAGCAATGTATATCAGTATTTTCAAATGATACCTACTGAGCTATCAGTGCTACTTCAGTCATGTAACCTAGGGAAATATTTGGTCACAGAGATGTATGTACTAGGAAATTCACCACAGCGTAGTTTATATTAGTGAAAAATTGGAAACATGTAATTATCTATAAAGAGTTGATTAAAGATTCTTTTTTTTGCTTCATAATGGTGCTGATTTTTTTTTTATTTCAATATCTTTTGGGGTACAAGTGGTTTTTTTGTTACATGGATGAATGAATTACATAGTGGTGAATCCTGAGATTTTAGTGCACCCATCACCCATTTAAAGAATGAGGTAGACTTACATTCATTGACAAGAAAATTGTCCAAGATTTATTAATCTGCCTAATGATGTGTGTGCATATGTGTGATTGGAAAGAGAGACATTCAGATCAATTACGTCTGAGAAGTGGGACTTGAGGGATTTTTGAATTTTTATATTTTTGTGAGCTTTTAGTCTATAATGAACATGCATTGGTATTTTTTAAAGTAACAAGTTGGATCTTTTAATTAGAAAAGAAGGTATTGAATTCATCTTCCTTGTCTTGTGAAAATGGCTGCTTTCTTTGGGGGTAAAAATATATCTTGCCCAGGCAGTTAGTGGTTTTACTAGGCCATTTGTTCTCAGCATACAGAAACTCAAATGATCTCATACCCTCGACCAGGGGTTGGTCCTGAAGGCAAGTCTAGACCACCACCCCTTTATAAATAAGATTTTAGTGGGGCACAGCCCCACCCATTTGTTTATGTATTGTCTATGGCTGATCTCAAGTTACAATGGCAGAGTTGAGTAGTTGTGACAGAGACCATATGGCTCACAAAGTCTACAATATTCACTATCTGGCCCTTAAAAAAAAAAAAAATTGCCAACTCCTGCTCTGGCCTTCTTACCAACAATGACAAACATCTTTTGACTACTTTGTTTTTAATAATTTTTTGACAAGAGTGAAGAGTCAGATGGCAATATGTAAACACCTTATTGTAAACACTGTTCATTCCCAATTCCCACCCCCACCATCATAATTCAAAAATAAATTTTAAGGGGAAAAAATCTCATTACTGTAGGAAAAGGTTGGTTTTCCTTCTCTATATTCTAGGGTTTCTCAGCTTTGGTCTTTAGAGAGATCTAAGAGCAAACTCTAATGAAATGCTAATTGTACATTTTAAAGCAGAATACAGGTGCCCAGTAATGTTACTGGATAACAGGCATAATTTCTGTCCCACAGTAAGCGTACTTGCTCTGTCCACGTCTGGATTTAGGCTTTCAAATCTGCTGTCCTTGGAATGCCTTTGAGAAGCTCTGTGGAAACTTTAGTTCTCACTTCCATTCGTTATGCAGAGATCACATACACATCCCTCGTTTCACAGAGATCATATACACATCCCTCATTATACAGAGATCATATACACATCCCTCGTTATACAGAGATCATATACACATCCCTCATTATACAGAGATCATATACATATCCCTCGTTATACAGAGATCATATACACATCCCTCATTATACAGAGATCATATACACATCCCTCTTTTGATACACATTTCCCATTCTAGACCCTCCACCTTCATGCAATGTGAGTGCTATGGAAAATAGGGAAGCCCAAAAAGAACTGATTCAATCAAGTTATCAATTCCCAGCAGAACAGCATGTGCTCTGCCTCATCCAGGTCTAAATTGGCCTGAATCCCAGGTTGCCTAAGGAGACTGCATTGGTTTTAGGGCTCCTAAGTCCATGTGAATCTCGGAAAGGTCAGAATTGGACCCAGGAATCTGAACCAGGCCACTTCTTCCTTAAGCCATCAGAGAGTCCACTAAATGCTCCACAGGAGTCTCTGGAGTATATAAATCCAAGGCAAACTGAGAACCACACCCAAAGAAGATTAGGAGCCAAAACAAATCAATACTAGAAATGTAGGTTGCAAGACAAATAGCAGGCATTTGGACAACTCTCTGCCCTTCAGATGCCCATCACACTGATGCTGTGACGTTTCCAGTAAGGGCTGTGGATGGATTTCTGATGTTTCTTTATAGGACCTATCTATTTATGGGTCCTTGAAAAACCATTCGCTCTTTGGGCTTGGCTGCCAAAGGCCAGACATCACTTGCCAGAGCATATTCTTATCCCAGGAGCGAGCCAGCCAGATCCTTTCAGACACCTCTGTCCTTACTCCTCCTCCTGCTCCCTTGCCATGGCTCTCATCCCTACTTCAGCTCACCACTCAACTCTCCCCCGTCTTTACTTCCCTCACATTGTTTGTTATTTTCTTTCCTTTGTTGAGAAGTTTCTGGAGCCTCAAGACCCAGGAGACTAATGTGGGAATAATAAATCCAGGAAAGGTCTTTGCGTTCCCCTGGTAGCTCCACCCCCACTGCTCACCGTGGAATTCCTAGTCAGCAGCGGCTCCTTCCTGTGGCTTGCAGCTGAACCCTGTGCTGTGCCCAGTGAGGCCTCCCGGGATACGTGCTAGGAATATTAGCCATTCTTCATATCCACTGCTATGCTGTGGCTTTGGTTCAGCAGAAGAGAAATGAAATGGGATGTAGACAGGGCTGTGAGCGAAGGTTCTTTTTTTGTGTTGGGGTAAAGGGCGTTATTTCTTTTGCAGAGGCTCTCACCCAAAATCAGAGCAAAACTTAGCCTGAGTTCCTGAGGCATGCTGGCTCGGAGCTGCTGCTGGCTTTTGTTTTTCCTCCAAGCTGATCTGTGTATTTTCTAGCTTGCCTTTCCATTGGCTGGAGTGAGGGGATGAGAACAGCTATATCACTCAAGAGAAGGGAATATTCATAGAGTCCGCAGGTTTTCCTCTGAAACTGTTGTTTTCTTCTCAGAGCAGTAGCACCTTGATTATAGAGCGCTTCCTTGAAAGTCCTAAAATAATGTCCTATTTCAGACCAAATGTGAAACATCAATTTCATTCCTTACAGAATCTAATCTTGGTGTGCGTGATAGATAAGTATACACAGAGAGGGGAATTTCTGACCTAGGACTCTCCTCAAAAGTATGGTATGACCCAAGTATGATCCACATTCTAGAGTTCATTAAAAGGCCATCTCATCTGTGGATTGAAATTACTTCCTTAGCTCCAGGCAGCCTGCAGCCAGGCCTCCCTAGGGTCATCCTGGTCTTCCCTCCTGCAGGCCAGGTGGCACCTGCCAGCAGCCTGAGGGTAGAGTCAACTAGGGACTTATAAACCCAGAAAGTTGAAACTTTAAAAAAAATGCTGATGTGTTTTTAAAAGGTATATTTTATGCCAAGAGCCTACTGGCAGAGAAGGACTTATGGGAACCCTGTGTATTATCCTCATGAGGTAGGTTCAATTCTGATCAACAGTACTGTGAACTTTTAAAATTGGACTAATTTCCTAGAGCCTGCCTGCCTGCTACCCCCTAGAGGTGGCCCAGTCAATCCTGGAGAAGCATGCTGTTTAACACGGCCAAACTCTATCTTACAGTACAGTCACATTTTCATAGTTGTGTGTGCAAAGTATCAGGAGCAGGCATCTCATCTTCTTCACCTGTAAGAGAATAACCAAGTCCTAGGGTATGGGTGAAGGTAGTAACCACACAGTAACCCAATCATTTTGGAAAATGCAAGGCCTTAATCAAGTCATAAATCTGGATGGAGCTACTTTTCATGCTGAGAAATATATCAAGTTCTTCTACCAGATGCCCAGGATCATGGGAGACGTTAGCATACCCCCTGCCAACGGAAACCCAAAGCTTACGCTAGGGGTGAAGAGACATTTGGGGAATGGAAAATGGGCTTGGATAGTTTTATTTTTCCAGGAATGTCTTAAAGTTAGTTTTCTTTGGGAAAATGTACATGGGAATCATCTTGGCCCAGTTATTTGACCAGCTTATTGGGAGGTCCCAGAAATCGGAGTGAAAATTAAAGTTGCTTGTCTTCTCCCACAGCCTTCTAGGGTCCAGCTGACAAATGGAGGGAGTAACTGAGTTTTTCCAATATGAATTAATCATTCCTCTCAGCCAGCTGCTTGGTGCCAGCTCCCACTCCTTCTAAGCTCTTTAGCGACCATCTCTGCCACCCAAGAGAATGCCAAACCAGAAATGGAAGGAGCCAGAAAAGGCACTGAAATGACTTCCCTACTTTTGCTCAGTCACCCCATGGCCTTAGAGTGAGGCCCGTACACACCACATACCACGAGCAAAATGGAGATCCCTCTATAAAATTTACAGGACTGAGTGTTTTCCAGTTTTGGAAAATTAAATTAAGGAAAGGACTCCCAGACTGACTACACCAAGTGCCAAGTTTCATCCCGACACACATCATTTTTATAGTAAGTTTAACTCTGTGAAAAATAGAGGATTGTAATGAAAATGCTGACAGGCCTGGAGCCAGCTCATGAAGTAATAATGCCACATCTTTCATACTTTTACACAGCATGTCCTAATCAGCCACAGCTTTCTTTTCCTTTAGAAAGCAGTTAAATACGTGAAAATTCCCAGAGTACTACTTTTTCTCCTCCTCTTTTAGATTGTATATTCTTATTTTCAGAGCATTCTTCCCCGTGAACTGGGTTCAGTCCATTTACAGCTTTTACTCTGTGCAATCTGTTTATCAAGCTCAGGTGCCTTTTTCTGAGCTGTTTGGCTGGAGAGGGGGAAGAGGAGAAAAAACGTGCACTCAGAATTCTTGCTTCTGCTTATTAAGGCTAGGAACACATCAAAATGAACTTTGGCTGTGTGGCTCACTCAAAGTGACTGGCAGCTAATGAATGCCTGAGCTGGCTTGATCTATCCTACAAGGAAGCCCACAAATTAAGCCACTGGCCAAAAATCTTGGTGATTTTCAGACCTTTGAATCAACAAAAAATCCACTATATAATGACCCTTGTATTGTGAATTCAGAGCTTCTTTAGAGACAGGTGCCACAAAGGCAACCTTATGCTACCAGTATTAAAGTTAGCATCTTCTGCTGAGGGTGCGAGGAAGTGAAGCCAGAGATGCCAGGGCTCCCAGTTTTCTTCCCCCATGTCCTCATCTGTCCAACTCAGGCTGTTTCCCTGAGTCAGGCTGTTTAGTCACAGAAGCCAATGTAAAATCAAGAGACAAACATGCAGAAAGTCAGTGAAGTCAATGGGAAAAAGCAAGGATGTCAATTGGTGGCACATTATAGGTTACATCTGGACTGATGCCCTGTCCTTGCTGGAGGCCATTGATTCTGTCATAGTTGGAGCAAATAATGAGGGGAACCCCCTGGTCTTTAGTGTTTCCTTTTCCCTATTTCATGTCAGTACTTAGGGATGTTAGACCCATTCAGAGAGATGTCTTTTCTGGTGTTTAAGATTAAAAAAAAATCAATCACACATTTTTTTTCTCCTATTATAACTTTGAATATTTTGTTATATTTTTCCAGTCTCTTTTTTTAATTATACTTGAAGTTCTAGGGTACATGTGCACAACGTGCAGATTTGTTACATATGTACACATGTGCCATGTTGGTGTGCTGCACCCATTAACTCGTCATTTAACATTAGGTATATCTCCTAATGCTATCCCTCCCCGCTCCCCCCACCCCACAATAGGCCCCGGTGTGTGATGTTCCCCTTCCTGTGTCCAAGTGTTCTCATTGTTCAATTCCCACCTATGAGTGAAAACATGTGGTGTTTGGTTTTTTGTCCTTGCAATAGTTTGCTGAGAATGATGGTTTCCAGCTTCATCCATGTCCCTACAAAGGACATGAACTCATCATTTTTTATGGCTGCATTGTATTCCATGGTGTATATGTGCCACATTTTCTTAATCCAGTCTATCGTTGTTGGACATTTGGGTTGGTTCCAAGTCTTTGCTATTGTGAATAGTGCCTCAATAAACATATGTCAATCACACATTTTTAGAAGGGGGCAACTTCATGTATAATTTGGTTTTCTTATTGGGTACATCTGTCCCATTCTAAACTTTTCATACTTTCCAGCTATTTTTTAAAAAATAGATGAAACTAGGGAGAGGAAATCTTACACATATGTGAATCACACCTGGCTTTGGCTCAGTTTAGAACCACTTTAGGCCTAGGAATGGGGCCTAAAGACAATATTTTCTTTCAGTGGTTAAGAAGGGTTGATAGAGAGAGGCCTTCTGCTGCCAGAACTCTCATTAGAAAGCAGCCTTGCCAAGTGCTGCGTCCTCCTCAGCCACCTCACTAACCCAAGCCCTTTAATAGCTGAGGCCTGGAGAGGAGACAGCACTGTCACTGCCTGCTGATGGCCTCTTTCCTGGGGTGGAAATGCTCCGCATATACGTAGCTGGGAGGGAAACAGAAAAGAGAGATGCTAGCCCCCTGCCTTAAATACTGTGAACTTCTTCGTTGAAGGAAAGGGAGGGTTGGGAATGGTTTATTATTTGGCCTCTCAAAGGTGTGGAATACATTATTAGCACGTGTTTTTTGGTGTCCTTGTAAATGGCACACAGAGAGATTGCTTGCCTTCAAAAACCAAAAAAAAAAAAAATGACGGATACTTCATTTGTTTTAACAAATGAGAAATGTCCGTGACAGAAAGGAACCTGTTAAAAGCCAGGTTTTCTCATTAGCAGTGAAACATGGATAATTATTCACTGGGAACATACACAGTGGGGATTCATGTTAAATTCCTTATTTTGACTGTTGCTGCTGGCAATCCATAGAGAGCACTGTGTACACACAGAGACATGCACATAAATATGTACATAAAATTACAGGGGCCTGTACTACATGTGCTGAGAATACCAATTCTGAACACAAAGTTTTTATAAAATAAGCTACGTATTTAGTTGAAAGCCTTGAAAAACAGATTAGTGACAGAAAAGGCAGATGGCTGACAATTTTGTTCATTTACTTTGGTTATAATTAATTTATTTTGATCTTTCCCTTTACTGTTGAAAGTGGACTTTCCTAAAAGTGTTTCCAATTCAAGATGAACAGTCATGCTTATTAGAAGCACATTCCCTGAGGTCACTGTCCTGATGTGAAGGGAAATACAGTCACCTCTACAGCAGAGGGACATTGCCTCAGGAATGAGAGGCTATGTTAGGATTGTTGTAGTTAGGATATACATTCAGCAACTTTTAACAAAGACTCCCAGCAACAGTAGCTTAAAGAAGGCAGAAGTATATTCCAATTTCAAGTAACGGTCCAGAGGAAGATGTTCCATGCCTGGTCTGACACCATATCCTCTAGAGACCAAGGCAAAATGTCTTTAATCTCCTCTTGCTCTGACATCTCTGGAGTGTTGCCCTTATCCACCTAGGCCAGGATGGCTTGCTGTACATACATGTTCTCAACAGCAGGATAGAGGAAGAGGCAAGAGGAACAAATCCTTTTAAAGACAGGTTTCAGGAGGTGTGCACAGCCCTCTCCCTCTCTACTAAATGTAACCACATGCTCCACACTTTCTTGCAAGGAAAGTTGGAAAAATCTCTATTCCAAGAAACTATGTACCTCAAGTTCAGAGGTTCTTTTCCAATAAGAGGAGGACAGATATGAAGGGACTAGCAGATTCTGCCACACACAGCAACCAACCTAAAGTTGTCAGAAGCAAAGGTATTGAGCACAAATGAAAGTAATCTCTGAATGCAACAGAGCTGCATGAATGAAAGTGAACCTACCAGCAGGAATTTTTAAGTTGGACAGATTATAAAATATTTGGGAAAATATGTTTAAATAGGCTGGTACAGCAATTGTTTTAAACTTGTTAAAACTTTCTAGAAAATAGAGCTGAATAGGCAAAGTATGTAAAAGCAATTGTTTAGACACAGAGTCATTCCTGATGATTTAAACAGTGCAAATGTGTTTTTCTTTTTATTATGGGTAATTTCACATATATACAAAATAAACCTGATGGTATATAAGAGAACCCCCATGCCCTAATCACCACCTTCTGCCATTCTTATTTCATTTGTACTTTCACCTATGCCCCACTCCATCCTACTCAATGATTCTTTTAGGTAAAATGTATATACATTGAAATGCGTACATCTTTTTTTTTTAGATGGAGTCTTGCTCTGTCGCCCAGGTGGAGTGCAGTGGTGTGATCTCAGCTCACTGCAACCTCTGCCTCCTGAGTTCAAGCAATTCTCCCGCCTCAGCCTCCTGAGTAGCTGGGACTACAGGCGCCTGCCACCATGCCAGGCTAATTGTTTGTATTTTTAGTAGAGATGGGGTTTCACCATCTTGGCCAGGCTGGTCTTGAACTCCTGACCTCGTGATCCACCCACCTCTGCCTCCCAAAGTGCTGGGATTACAGGCGTGAGCCACCATGCCTGGCTGAAATACATACATCTTAACCGCACAATTTTAACAGACACACACCCATGTATTCACCTTGTCTAACATATATTTGACTACTTGATTTTTTTTCTAGTCTTTTTACTCTCTCTGCTTTACTTTGGCTAATTTCTATTATTATATCTTGGATTTCACAGATCTTTTTCTATAATGTTTCATCTGCTATTGATCCTATCCAGTGAATTTTTTATTTCAGAAAATATATGTCATTTCTAGAAGTCCAATTGATTTTTTATTACTTCCACTTTCTTCCTCAGTATGCACACATTTTTCTTTAAATACTTAACATATTTTAACACTCTGTTTTAAGATCCTTGTCTACCAATTCCATCATCCTTGTCGTTTCTGGATTTGTTTCCATCGACTGATTTTTGTCCTCATTATGTATTACATTTTCCTCCTTGACTTGTCGAGTAATATTTGGCTATCTACTGGTCAGTGCAGATTTTACATCAAATGTCTAGGTTTTGTTGTCTTCCTTTAAAGATTGTTGGGGTTTTCTTCTATTAGTTAAGTTATTCAAAGTTAAATTTGATGTTTTTAAGCATAGTTAGAGCAAATCTAGAGTAGCCTTTACCCTAAGGCCTTTCTGGGGTCTCTATTAAATGCTCTGGATGATCAACAATTACATTCCACTCTTGCTGGTCAGAACTCAAAGGCCTTCCAGCCCTATTTGAAGTTTGGAAAATATAAAGCTCACAGCTTCCTGGTTGCTCTTTGCTAAACCTTGCAGATTTTAACCTGATGCACGTACATCTTCAGTTGGGCAAAATCTCAAGAGGAATTTATGCAGATTTTGGGAGCTCTTTTTCTGTGTAGCACCCTCAACTCCGGAATTCTGCTCAATAGTGTCCAGTTGCCTCCGCCTCTTCAAACTCTCTTCTTTGTCTCATCAATTTGTCTAGACTATTGTGCTCTGTTTGGGATATCCCTCTGTTATGTGTTGAATTGTATCCCCACAAAAGATGTTGAAATCCTAATCTCCAGTACCTGTGGATGTGCCCTTATGTGGAAATAGGGTATTTGTAGATGATCAAGTTAAGATAAGGTCATTCATATGGACCCTAATCCAACATGACTGGTGTCCTTATGGAAAGGTGAAATTTAGATATACGCAGACATGCACACAAGGCAGAACTCCATGTGAACATAAAGACAGAGCAGAGTGATGCATCTGCAAGCCAAGGTACACCAAAGATTGCCAGCAAACCACCAGAAACTGGGAGAGAGGCATGAAACAGATTCTTCTCTCACAGTCCTCAAATGGAGCCAACCTTGCCAGCACTTTCATCTCGGACTTCTAGCCTCCAGAACTATCAGACAATAAATTCATCTTATACAAGCCAAGGCCACCCAGTTTGTGGTACTTTATTATGGCAACCCTAGAAAACTAATACACCCTTCCATGCTTTGCAGCTCACAATGTGCCTCCAGGGAAATTGCAGAGCTCACCTAGTCTGTTTCCTTTCTTCCAGGGATCACAGTCCTCTAGTTTCTGTTGTCTAATACCTGAAAACAGTTGTTTCATACATTTTTATCCCATTTTCTAATATTTATGGCAAGAGAATAAATTCAATCCTGTTGTTACCTCATCATAGCTGGAAGCAGTAAATTTCATTTTTAAAGGAGGGTTTATCTAGATGAAAATTCCGGGTTCACCAGTTTATGTTTCCCCAGCATTTTAAAGTAATAGTTCCATTATCTCCTGGTTTCCTTTGTTTCCTATAAGAGGTCAACCATCATTCACATCATTGTTTCCTTACATGTAGTCTAGCTTTTTTTCTGTCCTGGCTTTCAATATTTTTTCTTTCTCTGCTATCTACTAATTCCAGCAATTTGACTATGATGTGCATAGGTGGTTTGTAAACTTTTTAGAACTTTCAGATTTCCCAAAATTTGGGAAGTTTGAGGATTTTATTTCTTCCAATATGTTTTAGTTATTTTCTTCTTTCTTTCATGGCCTCCAATTAGACATATATTAGACCTCAATTTTTTTTCAATTTTTTTCTGTTTTTCACAATGGATAATTTATGTGGAACTTCAAGTTTACTGACACTCCTGCCAGCTCTAATCTTCTGTTAAGATTGTCTAGTAAATTTTTCATTTCATTTTTCATATTGTTAAGCTCTAGAAGTTTTTATAGTTTCTACTTGTCTACTGATACATGCCATCTGTTCATTTATTATGAGTGTATTTTCATGTCCTTAAACATATTTATAATAGCTGCTTAAAGTCAGTGTCCACTCACTGCAGCATTTGTATCATCTCAGGATTGGTTTCTGTTGACAGCTCTTTTGCTGAAATATTGGTCTCATTTCCTGTCTAGTGGTTTTTGATTATTCTTGTCAACTGGTTTTGAACATTATAGATGTACGGATATAGAGGCTCTGAATTATGTTATGTTCCTCTGAAGAACATTTATTTTTGGTCTAACAGGCAATTAACTCAAACTCTAGCCTCTATCTTCCCTGCAGTGGGCAGCAACTGAAATCTCTGCTCTGTTCTTTTAGCTTCTACCTGCTGCTCTTTTGCTGGGTCCTCTGGGGTCTGCCTGCTAAAAATCTAGTAAAATTTATGCAGAAATCTGAAATTCATCGCCTTTGTTGCTCTTCTGTGACTTGCTTCTAAACTTACATGCTGTCTTAACAGCCCCCAGACTCTGACCTCTGAAATCACAAGCCAATAAAGTTATAAGCTTTCCAGCTCCTTAAGCCATTTTCAGGCAAAAAAAAACACAAGCTGGTAGATTATACCTGTTGCAATTGCCAGGTTTCTAGGCTAGATACCTGTCCTATTTCTGCCACTGTTTTTGGTAATTCTTCAATGTTTTCAAGTAGTAATTGTTTTTCTCGGGGTTTGTTTTGTTTTTGTTTAGATTTTATGATTGCTATCTGCAGGAAGGTAAGTCCAACTAAGTTATTCACCATTAATGGAAGCTAGACTCCTCAGTCAAGTTGTTTTAAGAGTTTTCTGGCCAAGATCTATTCATTCTGTTTTGCAAAATTTGAAGCATTGTTACTCAACCTCTTTTCTAATTCTTTATCTTCTTAATAACCCAGTTGTTAGTATACTTCTAAATATTCAAGATCCAGAAGTAAATGCTCTCCTAAATTATATAAAGAGATAGGTGTCCATGGCATTAAATGTAATATTTTGATTATACAAAATGCTTTAATTTCTGATTTCACTACCTTTGGATTTTTTATCATTCCAACGTGAGTCAGAATGAAGTTCACCTTCTATATTACCAGAGGTGGGGAGCCTATTATTAGAAAAATATGTTTGGTCAGTTATTTTCATAAACAAATGAAACCATTAATCCATTCCAACAATTCTTATTAGCCACTTATTTGCCATCTTGCCTCTTTAAAATTTTTTGCTTTCTAAGCTTCCATGTTATTACATAGTCTCAGTTTTCCTCTTCTCTCTCAAATCATTTCTTCTCAGGCTCCTTTGATATCTCTTCTTCCTTCTTCAATCACTGAATTCTAGAGTTCTTCCAGTGTTTCGTCCTGAGGACTGATCTCTTGTCATTGATTATTTTGTCCACACATACCTATAAGACAAGTTCCCAAAATCTGTGTCTCCAGCTCTTATTTCTAACTGGCTTCCATCTTTATCATCCTGATGGATTTTTTCATCTTGGGGTTCCATCACAACCTTTAAATGAAAGAAAATTAAAACTACATTTTTCCATCCACAGGGGTGGTGATAAGGAAGAGCTTCTCTTACTGACTTACCTATTTCTGTTCATGGTCTCACTCGTGTTCCAAACTCTTTAGCTCTTATTTGCATCCTCCCCTTTCTTCCTCACATTCCATCAGAGCTGCTTTTGCAAATATGTCTCTCTTTTTTGCCAATTTGAACTGATACAGACTCTCTAAAGCTAGTGCATCTTGCAAAGAACCACCTTAACGATCCTTCTAAAGCCAACCTAGATAATACCACTTCCCGTCTTCAGGCGTCTTCAGGCATCTTCAGGGATTCCCAAAAGACCAGATTCTGGCCTTCAAGGCCCTCTCCATTACAACTCCTACCCACAATGCTGGCTGTATCTATGTTTCCCAAGTTCCAACCAAGTCAGTAGTTTTTACTCCCAGCCACACTACAAGTTTTCTCATCTTTGCACCTTTGCTTACACTGCTTCTTCCAGAATACCCTCCCCTTCCTACTGTATATCCCTGCTCTCTGCCTGTATCATTCCTAAATAACCTTCTTTTTTTTTTAACAGATAGAATATAATAGGACTTGGTTAAACAAGTATTGGAGAACTGCAAAAGTTCTGTGATACTTACAGAGCAATCATAGAGGTAGCAACTGCTGAAAGCAGCTACCATCACTAGGGCTGAGGGAACAAGGGAAGAGGTTGGGATTATTAGAAATTACCTTTTTTATTATTAATTTCAGTAGGTTTGGGGGGAACAGGTATTGTTTGGCTATATGGATAAGTTCTTCAGTGGCCTGATTTCTGAGATTTTGGTGCACCCATCACCCAAGCAGTGTGCACTGTACCCAATGTGTAGTCTTTTATCCATCACCCACCTCCCATGCTTCCTTCCGAGTACCCAGAGTCCATTGTATCATTCTTATGACTTTGCATCCTCATAGCTCAGCTCCCACTTATGAGTGAGAACATAAAATGTTTGGTTTTTGCATTCCTGAGTTACTTCGCTTAGAATAGTGGTCTCCAATTCCATTCAGGTTGCTGCAAATGCCATTATTTCATGCCTTTTTATGGATGAGTAGTATTCCATGGTATATGTATACACCACAGTTTCTTTATCCACTCATTGATTGATGGGCATTTGGGCTGGTTCCGTATTTTGCAGTTGCAAATTCTGCTGCTATAAACATGCATGTGCAAGTGTCTCTTTTTATATATAAAGACTTGTTTTCGTCTGGGTGGATACCCAGTAGCAGGATTGCTGGATCAAATGGTAGATCTATTTTCAGTTCTTTAAAGAATCTCCATACTGTTTTCCATAGTTCCACCAGCAGTGTAAAAGTGTTCCTTTCTACCACGTACATGCCAACATCTATTATTTTTTGATTTGCTGATTACAGCCATTCTTGCAGGAGTAAGGTGGTATCACATTGTAGTTTTGATTTGTATTTCTCTGATAATTAGTGATGTTGAGCATTTTTTCAAAAGTTTGTTGGCCATTTGTGTATCTTCTTTTGAGAATTGTCTATTCATGTCCTTAGCCCACTTATGGATAGGATTATTTGCATTCCTTATAGATTCTGGATATTAGTCCTTTGCCAGATGCATAGTTTGTGAAGATTTTCTCCCACTCTGCGAGCTTCTGTTTACTCTGCTGATTATTTCCTTTGCTGTTGAGAAGCTTTTTAGTTTAATTAGGTTCCATCTATTTATTTTTGTTTTTATTGCGTTTGCTTTGGGTTCTTGGTCATGAAGTCTTTGCTGAAGCCAATGTCAAGAAGGGTTTTTCCAGTGTTACCTTCTAGAATTTTTTATGGTTTCAGGTCTTAGATTTAAGTCCTTGATCCATTTTGAGTTGACTTTTGTAGAAGGTGAGAGATGAGGATCCAGTTTCATTCTCCTACATGTGGCTTGCCAATTATCCCAGCACCTTTTATTGAATAGGGTGTCCTTTCCCCACTTTATGTTTTTGTTTGCTTTGTTGAAGATCAGTTGGCTGTAAGTATTTGGCTGTATTTCTGGGTCATCTGTTCTGTTCCATTGGTCTTTTTATGCCTATTTTTATACCAGTACAATGCTGTTTTGGTGACTATGGCCTTATAGTTTGAAGTCACGTAATGTGATGCCTCCAGATTTGTTCTTTTTGCTTAGTCTTGCTTTGTCTATGTGGGCTCTTTTTTAGTTACATATGAATTTTAGAATTGTTTTTTCTAATTCTGTGAAGAATGATGGTGGTATCTTGATGGGAATTGCATTGAGTTTTTAGATGACTTTTGGCAGTATGGTCATTTTCACAATATTGATTCTACCCATCCTTGAGCATGGAATGTGTTTCCATTTGTGTCGTCTATGATTTTTTCAGCAGTGTTTTGTAGTTTTCCTTGTAGAGGTCTTTCACCTCCTTGGTTAGGTATATTCGTAAGTATTTTAATTTTTTTTGCAACTATTGTGAAAGGAGTTGAGTTCTTGATTTGATTCTCAGCTTGGTTGCTGTAGTTGTATAGCAGGGCTACTGATTTGTATACATTAATTTTGTATCCTGAAACTTTGCTGGATTCATTTATCAGTTCTAGGTGCTTTTTGGAAGAGTCTTTAGGGCTTTCTAGGTATATGATTATATCATTGGTGAACAGCAACAGTTTTACTTCCTCTTTACCGATTTGGATGCGCTTTCTTTCTTTTCTTTCTCTTGTCTGATTGCTCCGGCTAGGGCTTCCAGTACTATGTTGAAGAGAAGCGGTAAAAGTGGGCATTCTTGTCTTGTTCTGGTTCTCAGGGAGAACTTTTCCCCATTCAGTATAGTGTTGGCTGTGGATTTGTCATAGATGGCTTTTATTACCTTAGAGTGTGTCTCTTCTATGCCAATTTTGCTGAGGGTTCTAATCCTAAAGCAATACTGGATTTTGTCAGGTGCTTTTTCTGCATCAATTGAAATCATGGGATTTTTTTATTTATGTGATGTATCACATTTATTAACTTGTGGATATTAAACCATGCCTGCATCCCTGGTATGAAACTTAATTGATCAAGGTGGATTATCTTTTTAATATGCTGTTGGATTTGGTTAGCTAGTATTTTGTTGAGGATTTTTACATTGATGTTCACCAGCGATACTGGTCTGTTTGCTTTATGTCCTTTCCTGGTTTTGGTATTAGGATGATACTGGCTTCATAGACTGATTTAGGGAGGACTCCCTCTTCTCTTTTTTTTTGGAATAGTTTCAGTAGGATTGGTACTAACTGTTCTTTGAATGTCTGATACAATTCAGCTGTGAATCCATCTGGTCCTGGACTTTTTTTTGTTGGCAATTTTTTATTACCATTTCAGTCTCACTGCTTGTTATTGATCTGTTCAGAGTTTCTGTTTTTTCCTGGTTTAATCTAGGAGGGTTGTATATTTCCAGGAATTTATCCATCACCTCTAGGTTTTCTAGTTTGTGCATGTAAAGCTGTTCATAGTAGCCTTGAATGATCTTTTGTATTTCTGTGGTATCATTTGAAACATCTCCCATTTTGTTTCTAATTGAGCTTATTTGAATCTTCTCTCTTCTTGGTTAACCCACTAATGGTCTATCAGTTTTGTTTCATCTTTTTAAAGAAACAGCTTTTTGTTTCATTTATCTATTTTTTGTTTCAATTTCATTTAGTTCTGCTCTGATCTTTATTATTTCCTTTCTTCTGCTGGGTTTGGGTTTGGTTTGTTCTTGTTTCTCAAATTCCTTGAAGTGTAACCTTAGATTGTCTATTTGTGCTCTTTCAGACTTTTTAATGTAGACATTCAATGCTGTGAACTTTCCTCTTAGCACCACCTTTGCTGTATCACAGAGGTTTTGAAAGACTGTGTCACTATTATTATTCAGTTCAAAGAATTTTTTAATTTCTACCTTGATTTCATTGTCGACACAACAGTCATTCAGGAGCAGGTTAATTACCATGTATTTGCATGGTTTTGAAGGTTCCTTTTGGAGTTGATGTCCAATTTTCTTCCACTGTGGTCTGAGAGAGTACTTGATATAATTTTGATTTTCTTAAATTTACTGAGACTTGTTTCATGGCCTGTAACATAGACTATCTTGGAGAATATTCCATGTGCTGATGAATAGAGTGTATATTCTGCAGTTGTTGGGTAGAATATTCTACAAATATCTGTTAAATCCATTTGTTCTAGGTTATAGTTTAAGTTTATTGTTTCTTTGTTGACTGTCTTGATGACCTGTCTAGTGCTTTCAGTGGATTATTGAAGTCTCCACAATTATTATGTTGCCATCTATCTCATTACTTAAGTCTGGTAATGATTGTTTTATAAGTTTGGGAGCTCCAGTATTATGTGCATAGTTAGGATTATGATATTTTCCTGTTGGACTAGTCCTTTTATCATTATATATGTCTCTCTTTGTCTTTTTTAACTGCTGTTGCTTTAAAGTCTGTTTTGTCTGGTATAAGAATAGCTACTCCTGCTTGTTTGGGGTGTTCATTTGCATGGAATACCTTTTTCTACCCCTTTACCTTAAGTTTATGTGAGTCCTTATGTGTTAGGTGAGTCTCTTGAAGACAGCAGATACTTGGTTGGTGAACTCTTACTCATTCCGCCATTCTCCATCTTTTAAGTGGAGCATTTAAGCCATTTGTATTCAACATTAGTATTGAGAGGTGTGGTACTATTCTATTTATTGTGCTAGTTGTTGCCTGAATACGTGTGTGTGTGTGTGTGTGTGTGTGTGTGCGTGATTGTTTTATAGGTTCTGTGAGATTTATGCTTTACAAAGTTCTATTTTGGTGTATTTTGAGGATTTGTTTCAAGATTTAGAGCCCCTTTTAGCAGTTCTTGCAGTGCCGACTTGGTAGTGGTGAATTCTCTCAGCATGTGTTTTTCTGAAAAAGACTATCTTTCCTTCATGTATGATGCTTAGTTTCACTGGATACAAAATTCTTGGCTGATAATAGTTTTGTTTAAGGAAGCTCAAGATAGGACCCCAATCACTTCTAGCTTGTAGGGTTTCTGCCAAGAAATCTGCTGTTAATCAGGTAGGTTTTCCTTTATGGGTTACCTGATACTTTTGGCTTGTAGCTCTTTAGATTCTTTCCTTTGTCTTGACTTCAGATAACCAGATGACTATGTGCCTAGATGATGATCTTTTTGCAATTAATTTCCTGGGTGTTCTTTGAGCTTGTATTTGGATGTCTAGATGTCTAGCAAGGTCAGGGAAGTTTTCCTCGATTATTCCCTCAAATATGTTTACCAAACATTTAGATTTATCTTCTTCCTTGGGAACATCAATTATTCTTAGGTTTGATCTTTTAACATAATGCCAAACTTCTTGAAGGCTTTGTTCATTTGTTTTAATCTTTTTTTTCTTTGTCAGATTGGGTTAATTCAAAAGACTTGTCTTCAAGCTCTGAAGTTCTTTCATCTACTTGTTTTATTCTGTTGAGACTTTCCTGTGTATTTTGCATTTCTCTGTGTCCTTCATTTCCAGAAGTTATGATTGTTTTTTATTTATGCTGTCTATTTCTCTGGAGACTTTTCCATCCATATCCTGTATCATTTTTTTGATTTCTCTAAGCTGGTATTCACCTTTCTCTGGTGCCTCCTTGAGTAACTTAATAATTAACATTGTGAATTCTTTCTCTGGCAACTCAGAGATTTCTTCTGGGTTTGGAGGCGTTCCTGGTGAGCCAGTGTGATCTTTTGGGAGTGTTTTGTCATAATACCAGGATTGTTTTTCTGGTTCCTTTTCATTTGGGTAGACTATGTCAGAGGGAAGATCTGGGGCTCAAGGGCTGCTGTTGAGATTCTTTTGTCCCACAGGGTGCTCCCTTGATGTGGTGCTCTCCCACTTCCCCTAGGGATGGGGCTTTCTGGGAGCTGAACTGCAGTGATAGTTATTTCTCTTCTGGGTTTAGCCATCCAGTGGAGCTACTGGGCTTCTGGCTGGTACTGAGGAGAGGCTGTGAAGAGTCTTGTGATGTGATTTGTCTTCAGGTCTCTCAGCCATGAATACCAGTACCTGCTCTGGTGGCAGTAGAAGGGGAGTGAAGTGGACTCTGTGAGGGTCCTTGGTTGTAGTTTTGTTTAGTGTGCTGGTTTTGTGTTTGTTGACCTCCAGCCAGGAGGTGGCACTTTCAAGGATCATCAGGTGTGGTAGTATAGGGAGTATACAAGCTTGCCCTAGGGTCACCTGGATAAGTATTGGGGTTTCTCAGGCAGTGGGCAGGGCCACAGATCTCCCAAGAGATTATGTCCTTTGTCTTCAGCTACCAGGGCCGGTAGAGAAAGACCATCAGGTGGGTGCAGGGTTAGGCGTGTCTGAGCTCAGACTCTCCTTGGGTGGGGCTTGCTGGGACTGCTATAGGGGATTGGGTGTAGTTCTCAGGCCAACAAAGTTATATTCCCAGGGGGATTATGGCTGCCTCTGCTATGTCATACAAGTTGCCATGGAAGTGGGGAAAGCTGGCAGTGACAGGCTTCACCCAGCTCCCATGCAGCCCGAAAGGCCAGTCTCACTCCCACCATGCCCCACCAATAGCACCAAGTTTATTTGCAGGCAGCCAGTGAGCAGGGCTGAGAACTTGGCCCAGGCTACAAGCCTCCCAGCTGAGAAAGCAAGCAGCGCTTTCAGGTTTCACACCTCCCCACCTGTCGTGGCTTCTGTGCTCCTATCTGCACTCCCTGTTAACCCCCCTCCCCAGGATTCTGTCCAGGAAACTTCATATCCAGTCAAAATTGTTACAAAGTTCATTTGGAAATTTCCTACTCCTTGTGGTCTTTCCCCAATTCCACTGGCAGCTCTCTCCAAGGACCCCTGTAAGACAAAGTCAGAAATGGCTTCCCCAGGAACTGAGAGCCAACAGGGCTCTTCCCACTACTACATCTACCCCTACATTTTTCTCAGCTCTCTAAATTAATCTCAGCTCCTGGTAAGGTCAAATCCTTCTCCTGTGATCTAGACCTTCAGGTTCCCCAGTGAGGATGTGCATTTGGGAGCAGATTCTCACCCTCTCACACTTTGGGCACTCCCAGTTTTTTGGCTGTTCTCATGGCACCTGCAGTGGCAAGCTGCTTCCTTGAAAGGGTCTGCGGATTCTCTGGCCTTTCCTGGTATGTTCCTGTGGTAGTTCTTGGAGCAGAAAATCACAATGTGAGTCTTCACATGCTGCTCTGTACATCTGAGTGGAAGCTGCAAGTTAGTTTTGTCTCCTATCTGCCATTTTTCCCCTCAGGATTATTAGAATTTCGAAGCTTGGAGGAGAGGCCACAAGGAGCTGAGACTCAGAGCTCTGCAGGGAGTGGGAGGTGCCAGTTGCTGCTAGGATCTCTGAGAGGGCACAATAAGGCAGCCTCTGAAGTGTGGGAAAAGCAAATTGCAAACTAGGACCAACTACTGACAATGGAACCAGCTGCACTGCCAGGTTGAAAAGCCTAAATAACCTTCATATATAACATTTCTTCCATGACCCCATCATTGGCTTAGTTCCGTTTCACTATATGTCAACCCAAGCAATATAGATTTAAATAGGTCCACTTTGCCCTGGCACTTGGCTTTGTGGGAGAGAGAAGAGGAGGGGTGAGAATGAATTTGAGATGATGTTAAGACATTTGGGAACCTAAAAGCACCTTAAAGGTTATTTCATTCGAACATAAATGAACCTTTAAAATCATCAAATATTCTCACTTGCAAATTAGAAAACTGAGACCAGAGAACCCTACTGAAACCTAGAGTTCTCCTTCAGAGTCATGAATCTGTGTAACTAACCTTCACAGTAACAACACCAGGATTTTTTTAAAATTTTTCCACAAAACTGATCTTAGCCTTGATAAGTTTCAGAGGCTTTACAGTTACATCCTCAAGATACTTTACTTTGGGTTCAGTTACAGACCACTGCAATAAAGCATATACTGCAATAAAGCGAGTCACACAATATTTTTTGTTTCCCAATACATGTAAAAGTTATGTTTACACTATATTGTAATCCACTAAGTGTGCAACACCAATACATCTAAAAGAAAACACATACATGCCTTAATTTAAAAATACTTTATTGCTAAAAAATGCTAACAATTATCTGAGCCTTAAGCAAGTCTAATCTTTTTGCTGGTGGAGGGTCTTGCCTTCATGTTGATGGTTGCTGAATATTGGAAAGATTCTGGCAGTTTTTAAAAGACAACAACAATGAAGTTTGCTGCATCGATTGATTCATCTCATGAAAGAGTCCTCTGTAGCATGTGATGCTGTTTGGTAACATTTTACTCACAGTTGAACTTCTTTCAAAATTGGTGTCAATCCTCTCAAACCCTGCCACTGCTTTATTAATTAAGTTTATATAATATTCTAAATCCTTTGTCATCATTTCAACACTGTTCACAGCAACTTCACCAAGAGTAGATTCCATCTCAAGAAACCACTTTCTTTGCTCATCCGTAAAAAGCAACTCCTCATCCATTCAAGTTTTATTATGATATTGCAGCAATTCAGTCACATCTTCAGGCTTTACTTCTCATACTAGTTCTCTTGTTATTTCTACCACATCTGCAGTGACTTCCTCAACACTGAAGTTTTGAACCCCTCAAAGTCATCCATGAGGGCTAGAATCAACCTCTCCCAAATTCCTGTTCATGTTGGTATTTTGACCTCCTCCCATGAATCATGAATGTCCTTAATGGCATCTAGAATGATGAATCCTTTCCAGAACATTTTCTATTTACTTTTCCCAGATCCATTTTAGAAATTACTATCCATGGCAGCTATAGCATTATGAAATTTGTTTCTTAAAGAGTAAGACTTGAAAGTTGAAATCACTCCTTGATCCATGGGCTGCAGAATGGATGTTATGTTCGCAGAAATGAAAATAAGAATCTCCTTATACATCTCCATCAGAAGTCTTGGGTAGACAGGTGCATTGTCAATAACCAGTAATATTTTGAAAGAAGGCTTTTTCTCTGAGCAGTAGGTAACAAAATAGTGATCTTAAAATGTTCTGTAAACCATGCTATAAACAGATGTGCTGTCATCCAGGCTTTGTTCTTCCATTTATAGAGCACAGGCAGATTAGATGTAACGTAATTCTTAAGGGACCCAGGATTGTTGGAACTAGAGATGACCATTGGCTTCACTTTAAAGTCACCAGGTGCATTATCCCCTAACAAGAGAGTCAGCCTGTCCTTTGAAGCTTTGAAGCCAGGTATTGACTTCTCTCTAGTTATCAAGCTCCTAGATAGCATCTTCTTCCAATAGAAGAGTGTTTCATCTACACTGAAAATCTCTTGTGTTTAACATAGCCACCATCATCAGTGATCTTAGCCAGATTTTCTGGATAACTTGCTGCTTTAACTTGCACTTTTATGTAAGAGAGACTGTTTCTTTCCTAAAACCTTATGAACCAACCTCTGCTAGCTTCCAACTTTTCCTCTGCAGCTTCCTCACGTCTCTCAGCCTTCATAGAATTGAAGAGAGGTAGTAGGGCTTGCTCTGGATTAGGCACTAGATTAAGGGAATGTTATAGCAGGTTTGATCTTCTAACCAGACCACTAAAACTTTCTTCGTATCAGCAATGAGACTATTTTACTTCTTATCAATTTTTTTGTGTTCACTGGTGTAGCTCTTCTAATGTTCTTCAAGAGCTTTTTCTTTGCATTCACAACTTGGCTGTTTGGAGCAAGAGACCTGTCTTGGCTTTTGACATACCTTCCCCACTAAGCTTAATCATTTCTAGCTTCTGATTTAAAGTGAAAGATGTACAACTTTTTCTTTGTCTTGAACACTTAGATGCCACTGTAGGATTATTAATTAGCCTAATTTTAATATTGCTGCATCTCAGGGGATAGGGAGGTGGCCCCAGGAGAGGAAGCAAGATGGGCAAATGGCCATTCAGATGAGCAGTCAGAATACAAACATTTATCAATTAAGTTCATCTTTTTATATGAGCATGGTTCATGGTACCCCAAAACAATTACAATAGTAACATCAAAGATCACTGATCACACATAACCGTAACAGATAATAATGAAAAGTTTTGAAAATTTTACACAGAGACATAAAGTATGCACACACTGTTAGAAAATCATGCCAGTAGATTTGCTTAGCACAGGGTTGCCACAAACCTTCAATTTGTAACAAATGCAGGATCCATGAAGTGCAATAAAGCAAAGTACAATAAAGTGAGGTATGCCTGTATTATGAAGGCAGCTTCTCAAAGGCCTGTTAGTTGCTTCTCCTGGGTCTTGAGTTCCAAGAACTCCACATCCATGGCAGGCCTGCCCTTCGAAGCATCTCTACCCTATTCTCATCTGCACGAGGAATAGCAGGCTGGGAGGCCCTGGGAACAAGACCAAGACCCAAGGCTCAGATGGGCCAAGAGAGGTTTCCTGGCTACTCACTATGGCCTCTGATTCCAAGGAGGAGGGAGGAATTTGGATGTGATTTTTGTGCAAATATTCCTCTTATTTAGTATTCCTCTTATTTAGCTGACTAAGGTTTCTAGCTCCCAGATAAGTTCTTCAGCCATAGTGACCAACCTAGGGGCTGCTACCACTCCTTTTTCTGCCTAAATACTCTCTCAGAAAATCCTAAGGCAGTTGGGAAAATGAGGACTATGAGAAAATATGAAAGATTCCCTGACAAATGTGCTTAGGAGTAGTAAGGTTCATATTTACCGACTAAAATCTCATCAGCCTCACCAGGGCTGACCAAACAGGATTCATGGAGCCAGCACCTTGATAGCATATGGCCCTTTTTTTTTCCTTCAAAGTAGATGTGATAGGGAGACACGCATTTGCCTATTTCAGTCAGGCTAAAAAGCTTTATTTGTTTCAGCTGCAGTTTCAAAAGTATATTTGCCTTCATACACATATAGTTTTCCTGGCTTTTATTGGAAAATGGAACGAGCATTTTACTCCAGGCTACAATTAGGGTTGGAGGGTATAGGTGCCCGGATCCCAGGAGATCCCCAGTGGACTGACTTCTCTCCCCAAGGCCATTTCTACACTCATTTCAGAACAGGAGTGCAGTGACACCACCATGGACCTCGTGGCATGTAGATGCCTAGATGCCGCCAGGAGCTTGTGGTGAGACTGCTTCTCCTGAGTACCTTGAATAAGGTGATACAGGGCCAGGCAAGGTGGCTCACACCTGTAATCCCAGCACTTTGGGAAGCTGAGGAGGGAGGATCACTTGAGGCCAGGAGTTCAAGACCAGCCTGGGCAACATAGCAAGACTCCATCTCTACTAAAAAAATTAATTAGCTGTGTGTGGTGGCACATGCCTGTAATCCTAGCTATTTGGGAGGCTGAGGTGGGAGGATCACTTGAGCCCAGGAGTTCAAGATTGCAGTGAGCTATGATTGCACCATTACACTCCAACCTGAGCAACAGAATGAGAGCCTGCCTCAAAAAAAAAAAAAAAAAAAGAGGATATAGGTCAGGTAAGAGCTGGGTCAGCACACAAGTAGCAGCTCTGTCCTATTCCAGGCCTTCAATCCATTGGCCAAGTGGAAAAGCTGGAAGATACCTCTCCCTAAATGTATCAGTTAGCTATCACCTCACACATACACATGCTGCATTTTAAAAAGCCCAAACTTGGTGACTTAAAACAACAATCAATTGTTCTTACTGATCTTACTTAGTTCAGCTGATCTAAGCTGGGTTTGGCTGGAGTGACTTGACTGTTCTCCACATTTCTCTCATCTTCCTCTTGGGATCATCAGGCCAGTCCCGGCATGACTTTCTAATATAATGGCAAAGGCACAACAGCACAAGCAAAAGCTCCCAAGATCTCTTGTGGTCTAGGTTTGGAACTGGTACATTATCATCTCTGCCTCAGTTTTTTATTGTGGTAAGAGATACATAAAATTTACAATTTCAACTCTTTTTAAGTGCACAGTTTGATGCCATTGCATACATCTACCTTGTTGTGCAGCTATCATCACTGTCTCCAGAATTTTTTCATCAACTGAAACTCTGCACTCCTCCTCCCTCCCTTCTCCCAGCCTCTGGTAGCCACTATTCCACTTTCTGTTTCTATGAATTTGGCTGCTCCAGGTACCTCATATAAGTGGAATCATACAATATTTGTCCTTTTATATCTGACTTCCTTCATTTAGCATAATGTTTTCAAGGCTCATCCATGTTGTAGCATATGTCAGAATGTCATTCCTTAAGGCTGTATAATATTCCATCATACATATATACCACATTTTGTTTATCTACCCATTGATTATTGGATATTTGAGTGGTTTAAATCTTTTGGGTATTATGAATAATGCTGCTATGAACATAGGTGTACAAATATCTTTTAAAGTTCCTGCTTTCAATTCTTTTGAATATATACCCTAAAGTGGAATTGCTGGAGCATATGATAATCCTATATTTAATTTTTTGAGGGGCCACCATACTGTTTTCCACAACAGCTGTTCCATTTTATATTCCCACTAGCAATGCACAAGGGTTCCAATTTTTTCACATATTTGCAAACATTTATATTTTGGGTTTCTTTTAATAATAGCCATCCTGGTGGGTATGCAGTGGTAACTCATGGTGGCTTTAATTTGCATTTTCCTAATGATTAATTGAGCATCTTTTCATGTGTTTATTGGCCATTCATGTATCTCTTTTGGAGAAATGTCTGCTCAAGTCCTTTGCTTATTTGGGCATTTGCCTGAACCGGGTTGTTTGTTAGTTATCAAATTTTAAGAGTTCTTTTTATATTCTGGATATTAATCTCATCAGATCTATGATTTGCAAATATTTTCTCTCATTCTGTGAGTTGCTTTTTCACTCACTTGATGGTGTCTTATGATGTGTCAAAGATTTAAATTTTGATGGAATCCACTTTATTTTTTCATTTGTTGCCTATATTTTAGTGTCATATCTAAGAAATCATTGCCAAACCCAATGTCATTAAAGTTTTCCCCTGCGATTTTTTTTAAGAGTTTTATGCTTTCAGCTCTTAGGTTTAGGTCTTTCATCCATTTTGAGTTAATTTTTATATATAGTGTAAGTCATTTGTTCACATATGGATATCCATTTTCCCAGAACCATTTGTTGGCAAGACTGTCCTTTCCCCATTGAATGGTCTTAGCAACCTTGTCAAAAATCATTTGACTACATATTTAAAAGTCTGTTTCCGGTCTCTATTCTGTTCTTTTGTTCTCTGTGTCTGTTTTATGCCAGTACAGTACTGTTTTGATTACTATCACTTTGTATTAAGTTTTGAAATCAGGAACTATGAATCCTCTTTGTTCTTCTTTTTCAAGGTTGTTTAGTTATTCTGGGTTTTTGATATTCCATATAAATTTTAGCATGAGATTCTCTATTTGCAAAATATATCATTGGGATTTGATGGGGATTGCATTCAATCTGTAGATCACTATGAGTAGTATTGACATCCTAACAGTATTAAGTCTCCTAATCCGTAAACATGAGATGTCCTCCCATGAATTTATATCTTCTTTAATTTGTTTCAGCCGTATTTTGTCGTTTTCAGTGTTCAAGATTTTTGTCTCTCAGTCCATTTTGTGCTGCTATAACAGAATACCTGAGACTAGGTAATTTATAATGAACAGAAATTTAGTGGCTCACAGTCCTCCTTTGCATCCTCCAAAAGGGAGGAAAGCTTTGTCTTCACATGCTCTTCAAAAGCACAAAGAGACAAATAAGGGCTGAATTCACCCTTTTATAATGGCATTAATCCAACCCATGAGGACAGAGCCCTCATGGCCTGATCACCTCTTACTACTGTTACAATAGCAATTAAATTTCAACAGGAGTTTTGGAGGAGACAAATATCTGAACCATAGTAGCCTCCTTGGTTAAGTTTATTCCTAAGTATTTTCTTCTTTTTGATGCTGTTGTGAGTGAACTTGTTTTTCTTTTCTGATTGTTATTGTAACATCTGTCTCATTTTTGTCATCTAAATAACTCACATGGCCAAAGCCAAGAGGGGGAAGTATAACCGCTTTCTCATGGGAGGGCACTGTCAAGTGGCATGGGCTAGTCAGCGGATACATGAAGGAGTGAAGAATTGGATCATATAACACTACATCCCATACTGAGCTTCCAGGGGTCCATTTTTAGGTTATCTTTTTAGAACCCTCCCTTCCAAATAGTCTGCTCCTACCCTCTCACTACTACCTCAGGAAAAACAAAAATGAAGGGGAAAAAAATAAGTGAGCAAAGAAACGAAGGAGGTAGCAAGGTGCCCAGCTGAACAAGTAGCAGGTATGGGGGAAAGAACACGGTCCAGGCGTCGGATAGAAGGCCTGCCGCACAATCTCAGGAAGGTCTCCTAACCTCTCTAGGCCTCTGTTTCTTCCTCTAGTGGTGAACTAGATGATTTCTAGGGATTCCCAATCTTGTGTAAATTTTAACAGTTCTATCTCTGGATTCAAAAACAAGAAATGCTAGGCCAGGTGTGGTGGCTCACTTCTGTAATCCTTGCACTTTGAGAGGCTGAGGCGAGCAGATCACTTGAGGCCAGGAGTTCAAGAACAGCCTGGCCAACATGGTGAAACCTTGTCTCTACTTAAAAATATGTATGTGTATATATACATGTGAGTGTGTATGTGTATATATATATATATATATATATATATATATATATATATATATATACACACACATACATATACATACATACAAGTATATACATACATACACACACACAGAAATTATCTGGACATGGTGGTGCACACCTGTAATTGTAGCTACTTGGGAGTTGGAGGTTGCTGTGAGCTACGATTGCACCACTGCACTCCAGCTTGGGTGACCGAGCGAGACCCTGTCAACAAAGAAATGAAACATTAGAAAAAATCCCTTCTCTCTATAGTTGCATAGGCACCCACACATCCACAGAGGGTAGCCGCCTGTCTTAGTCCAGTCAGGCTGATATAACAGACATATAAAAACTAGTGGCTTATAAACAAACAAAACAAATTTGTTTTTTACAGTTCTGGAGTCTGGCAAGTCCCAGATCAGTGCAGCCGCAGATTTGATATCGGTGAGGGCTTGCTGTCTGCTTCATAGATGGCAGCTTCTCATTGTGTCCCACATGGTGGAAGGGCCAAGGCAGCTCTCTCCAGGGCCTCTTTTATGGGGACACTAATCTCATTCGTGAGGACAGAGCCCATGTGACAGAATCACCTCCCAAAGGCCCCACCCTCTGATACCATCACCTTGGTGATTAGAATTCAATATGAATCTAGGGGGTATACACAAACCCTCAGACTATAGCACCATCTTTGTGTCTCGTATCTCATCATCTCCTGCCTTGCATCTGCAGTTTTATGAGTGTACTTTCTAAAAATCTTATACCAGCTGAGATCTCCCTAGAAGAGGGAAGATAGTCTTAATTATCTTAACTGTCCCCAGAGCAGTAGGTACCAAACAGATGTTTTTCTAAGTGAACTGAGGGGGAAAAAAATCTATAGATTCTTTAATTTTCAATGACTTACTGCATTTTACACTTCCAAAGAAATTCTCTGTGGAAGGTAAGTTGCTGGGGCACAACAGCAAATTCAGCAAGTACCCTGACCTTCAAGGAATTTCTCTCACAACTGCAACCTGTTTATCTTACCGATTCTATGCTACAAAGTCTTGGGTAGACATTTGAGTTTATTATATCAAAATATGTTTGATGGCTCTGTAGATGTGTATAATATTGTACATGTCCAGTGCAGGCTTGGCAAAAGCCTTCAGAAGACAAAGCCTTATGCAGAAAAAAGATCCATGTCTAAAATTGCTTTCCTAGTCTCTGATTGGAAAAATCTCATAACAAGTAAAATGAGGGAATATGATACTTTTACCAAATCAAGTTTGTTTCTTAACTATTACTATATAGTATGGTATTTTTTCCCAACATATCGTATTTGAAGAAGGAATTTCTGTCAGAAAAAAATCACTATAAGAACTACTTACCTTGAAAAAACTGTTCAATGAATGAAGATTAATTGTATCTTTTTTTAAAGTTAGTATAGGGACATAAACAGAAAGAAACAGGTACTTTTGTTATCCAGTAATTTTACTTAATTGAATGAATCATAGTCACCCTCCTAGAAATTCAGAGAATAAAAACATCTCCTGTTTGCTCAGGAATGGCAAATGTAATAAAAATGCCACAGACAAGGCCACATTGTGTGTACAATTTCTAGAGCCACACAGACAGTAAACCAGTGCACCAGCAATGTGTTCCTTATGGCTTTACTAAGGCTTACTTCTTTTCCTCTCCTTCTAGGCTGCCCCATCAAAGGTCACCCTGTCCCTAATATCACCTGGTTTCATGGTGGTCAGCCAATTGTCACTGCCACAGGACTGACGCATCACATCTTGGCAGCTGGACAGATCCTTCAAGTTGCAAACCTTAGCGGTGGGTCTCAAGGGGAATTCAGCTGCCTTGCTCAGAATGAGGCAGGGGTGCTCATGCAGAAGGCATCTTTAGTGATCCAAGGTAAGAAACCCTGCAGACTTTGCATACTGGACTTGAACAAGAAAGCCCACTTGGGAATCTAACTATCTAGCAGAACAAAGAGATTTCTGATCTCCAGTGGTACTCAAGGCATGAAAACCAAAGCCATGCCATGTTTCCATACAGTGAGACCCTACTTCTGTCAACATGGCCCTTCAGAAGAGCCATCATGCCCCATCCCAGCAGAACCTGGAAAAGCCAGTGCTGCCTTCATAAATAGGCCCTTCTGCTTTTAATGCTGCTG
Organism: Homo sapiens; assembly: GCF_000001405.40. Lineage (NCBI taxonomy): Eukaryota > Metazoa > Chordata > Mammalia > Primates > Hominidae > Homo > Homo sapiens. The sequence continues at coordinate 18,888,306 of NC_000009.12, forward strand.
TTGCTCAGGACCATGGAAACACCACTATATATCAAAGTCAGATGTGATTCTTTTATGCTGATTTAACTAGTACAGATCTCACACACACAGAGTAGCCTGTTTGGTTACTGCCTCCTGCCTGGAGAGACAGGCCTGATGCCAGTGCCTGCTGATCATTCTGAAGAGTCTTCAGCTTTAGTCATAAGCTGAGGGCTTTCCAGGCACCTTTCATTTGGCCCTGGCAAAGAACAGACTGCGAAGCCCACATGGCTCATGCATTAACCTTCCAGGAAAACAGGCAGGTCAGAAAGCCTTTGGGTGGGGCCTGGCCTTCACTGCACCAAGAAAGAGTTGTAAATGAGGCCCAATCAGTGGGAAAGAGGGAAACTGGCCTTCTTATAGTGTTTTCCATAGGCTTGTTCGACCTGTGGCCTATGTGTGATGTATTCCAAAATGAAGGATGTGATGGGAAGGGACAGAGTTTTGTGCCAATACGGCACAAAAAGATGAAGAAAGGAGGGAAATTTTTCTAAGCAGTTAAGTTTTCTTCTTAAATATCCTCCTTCACCATTTGGCTTTTCAGACAGGAAAACAAATGTTTTCAGACAAGAAAACAAATTTTCTTGGAGCCAGCTAGCCTCTGCTGAAAACCAGAAGCCAGGGCCTATTTGCAAGACTTGTAATATGCAACTTTGCAAATAAGCACTCAAAATTTACCATCTCACCTATCAGTGAGTCCCAGACCCCCAAAGCAACTGGCTTTCTTACTGACATCATTGTCTCATGTAAATAAGCACTCTCTGCATAGGCTCTTTTGGGTAACATTTGCAAAGTCCAGCTCAAATCTGTACTGTGATGGTTAAATATTTGCTATATTTATATATCTTTGTAGAAAACAAAGTCACTTTCTGGTGAACCAATGAGGAAAAAAAAGTACTGTAGCCAATATCTTTAAAAATAAGATGACCTGTGGCATTAATTGTGCACTCTTTTATGTCAGACACTGAGCTACTTTACTTTCATTATTTCCTGTCCCCACAATAACTTGGTGAGGTGAGGTTCACTGTATTCATTTCATGGCTGAGGCCCCTAGAGACCACGTGACTTCCCCAAATAGTTCGGGAATGGTTCCCTGCGAGGAGCAGGGCCTCATTTATAATAGCTCCTCTCCTTCAGGCCACAAATCCACCCCTGTCACCTTCTCCCTGCCCTGCTCAGAAGGAATTCAGAGTGTGGGCAATTATGCTATATTCTTTTCTACACTGCTCCTCCTCCCATGACAGATTACTGGTGGTCTGTGGACAGACTGGCAACCTGCTCAGCCTCCTGTGGTAACCGGGGGGTTCAGCAGCCCCGCTTGAGGTGCCTGCTGAACAGCACGGAGGTCAACCCTGCCCACTGCGCAGGGAAGGTTCGCCCTGCGGTGCAGCCCATCGCGTGCAACCGGAGAGACTGCCCTTCTCGGTGAGTGCAGCGGACACTGGCTCAGACCTCCCCACCCTAGGAGGAGCCCTCCCTGTTAGCGAAGTCAGTGGCCAGCCCTTCAGTAGCACTGTGCAGGGAGAGATGCCAGCCAAGGAGCTGTTCTTCCCTCTAGGCACAGGCTTATCAGGCCTCTCCACCTTGCTGAAAATATCCTCAGACTATGCCACCTCTCTCAGCTTTGTTTATTCCTCACCCCACTAATGGCCAGCCAGGTTTCCCAAGTCCCTAACGGGGTCTGTTCAGGGAGCAAGAGCTTCCCAGGCCCTGGCAAGCCATAGACGCCCCCCATCCTACAGTAATCAACTGACTCTGAGTTGTTTGTAGAAAGCAATGTCTTTTCAATCGAAGGGCTGAGGAAACAACGATTACTGGGTTCTGCCCACCCTCCAAGTCTAACCTTAAATACCCATGCTAATCAGTACTCCAGTTCAGTTGGGGAAATCTTATCTTCCTCTTTTCTACAAAGGCTTGCGTCTCACTAAAGTTGGAATAAATCTCTGTTTCTGACAGTAGCCTCATGCTCTGCATTTGGGTCCCTTGTGTGGCCCAGAGTGACACCTAAAGCCTCTGCCACCTTCCTTATGCTTCAAGAGGCTATGAGTCCCCCTGTGCACCTCATCCTCTGTCCTCAGCAGTAGTTAAATGGATAATAGATGGGCTTGGAGTTGGCACTGGTGCAGTGCTGAGAGCCTGGGGGGATGTGGCTCAGCTCTCAAATGCCCCTTTACTACCTATCTGTAGGACTTTCATACAATACTTAGGCAACTGCTTTCTGTTTTGCCAGCTGAGTCATAAGGAGCAGCTGAAACCAGGAGAGATTCGATGAAATATGAAACATGCTCATTAATATCAGCAGTTTGACTTGCTGACGGGAAGGTTTCCACAGGAATGATTAATGTCCTTTTATACCCTTCCTGAACTGTAACATAGCCTGGCCCGCTCCTTTCTCAAACCCCCCCCACCCCAGCTCCTGAAAAATTGCTGAAACGTATATTTGGAAATAAAAGTTGATGGAAATGCAGGCCTGACATTCACCAGGGATATAAGAGGCTGGAAAACTGCCCTTGCCAAGCTGTGCAAAATGAAGAAGAGATCTTTGATGTGCCAGGAACTTTCTGACTTGATTTGGTGATGGTCAGAGTCAATCAGCTTAATTTACTTCTGCAAATGAAATAATGGCTCTGTTTTCTTGGATTTCAATGCCCCCGGGAGTTTTTAAACACCTCTTGCCTGCTTCCTAAGTGGCTCTGCTCCTGTGGGTTGGAAATCTGCGTTCAGTCATCCCTCCACAAGGCAAAAGAGCAGGGAAGTGGCCACAAAACTAAGTAAGTCACAGTCCAGATTTAGGAGGAATTTGCTCCCCTTCCCTGCTACATGCCTCTCCTGAAAGCCAGATGTGGCGCCGCTTGGCTAGGACGAAGCCATAGGTTCACCTTTGACCCGTTTGCCTGCCAGGCATTTGGAACACTTAGTATCCTTCTTTGCATGTGAACAAGTGTTGCCCTGGTTGTCTCTTTGAGATACAACTGGGTAACCCCGCTGTGACCCAGGTAGCTGTTTTTTAACCGTTTTGTTAGATAAATTTTCTCCATCACTAAAACCAAAGAGTGGGATTTTTTTGTTCTAGATTACATGAGCAACAGTCTCGCGATTTCCCCAAGCTCTCTCCTTCTCTTTGAGAATTACCACAGGGTGCACACATGCAACAAGAATCCCTGCCTGTTTGTATATGGACCGAGGATTTCCGAGTGTTCCTAGTTTACAGGTGGGCTTTGTGAGAAAAGTCCATCGGTCACAGTCTCACTTTTGGAACCTAACATTCAGAGAACAACTATTTCTACCATGTATGCAGCCCTCTGAGAGGTATAAGACCTATGGACTGTCACGCGGTCACGCCAAGAGATGGAACTTTACCTGTTTCTGAGAGATTGACCAAAATGTGCAGCAGGAAGTATACCGAGCACTACCAGACAAAACCTTGACTTCAGTGAGGCCCAGATTACTTTCCAGGTCAGGAGGTGACACGAATTTGGATCTGACTTCCCTAGAACAACTGTCTCTCCTGTCACATGCTTGGATCTCCTTTAGGAAGTACCAACACTGCAGTTACAAAACAACAAATTTATTCTCTTACAAGTTTGAAGGCCAAAAGTCCAAGATCAAGGTATCTATCAATCAGGAGGATCACATCACCTCCAAATCACCTCCAAAGGTTCTAGGAGAGAATCCACTTCTGGTGGCCCCAGGTGGCTTATGGCCACATCACTCCACATTCAGCCTTCATGGTCACATTGTCTCCTCCTCCACCTCTCTGTATGAACACTTGTTATGGCAGGCATTTAGGGCCCAGCCAGATAATCCAAGATAATCTTATCTCAAGTCCATAATTACATCTGGAAAGAACCTTGCCACATAGCATTCACAGGCACTAGGGATTTGACATGGATATCTTTTGGAGGAGTCATTTTTCAGCCTATCAATCATCTTTCCAAGTAAATACTGTAAAAAGGGCCTTGGCCCCAAATTAGTGGCAAGAGCAGGGATGTCGGTGGGGAGGAGGTCTCTTTTCCCCAGGGCCTGTCCCTTTAGGGCTCTCCTGACACTTCTTCCTCTCCCCAGGTGGATGGTGACCTCCTGGTCTGCCTGTACCCGGAGCTGTGGGGGAGGTGTCCAGACCCGCAGGGTGACCTGTCAAAAGCTGAAAGCCTCTGGGATCTCCACCCCTGTGTCCAATGACATGTGCACCCAGGTCGCCAAGCGGCCTGTGGACACCCAGGCCTGTAACCAGCAGCTGTGTGTGGAGTGGGCCTTCTCCAGCTGGGGCCAGGTGAGGAGCCAGAGAGGTTGTTATTTGAAAGCTAAATCTAAAGGAATGGACCCTGCCACAGTAGGAAGTGAAATGCTATCACTGCCACTGCCACCTCCTCCTTTCACATTCTGATTGGCCAGGCATAGCTTTTGTGGGTTGTCCAGCTGAGACACCCCCAGAGCAGCAGGCTTTTAATTCTTTGTGTAATTCTATGAACCAATGTGATTGAATGAATGTTTTTAGGCAGTCAGCAACTCAAAACATCTTATAATTGGCCATCTATACATTATTACATTTATGTCCTCCACTCCCACCCCCAGGTGTGTCCTTTGGAAAACAATCACCGGCGACTTTCTATTAAGTTAACACACTGTGGCCACCTTTAATGAAAATCAAATGTTTTTGGCCATAGAGTTCACGTTCCATCTCGTAAGCCATTTGTGTCCCAGGTAAGTTGAAGCTACCGCTCAATGCTAGCCAATCAACATACCTAGCTGGAGACTCCTTTCTGGAGCTTCTACTAACCCCTCCTTATTTCCAGTGACATAATGTATATGCTTCATAATCAAACAGGCATGAGCTCCCTTTGCCAGGGGGAATATCGTCTTTCTCCTACCTGGAAAAGCCTGCTTCTCATAGGTCACATTCATCTCAAGACAGCTCTGGTTCCAGGCCCTCGAGGCTTATTGGCAGTTTGTAAAATTACAATAGCAAACAGATCCGGCTACAAATGACAGATGTTTCTGCACTGTGTCATCAAGGTCACTCAAGGAGGGACGTATGGTGCACCAGTGATTATGTTTCCTAACAGAGAGAAAAATACATAGGTCTTGCTCCCTTTCTGCATTCCTTCCCCTCAAAAAATTCACCCCCTCCTCCTCTTTTCTACAACCCTCCAGGCCAGTACGTGTCGAGCTTTAATGTGAATCACCTGGGAATCTTATTAAAGATGCAAATTCTAATATGGTAGGTCTGAGGTAGAACTGGGGATGCTGAATTTCTCAAAACTTCTGGTAACATCAGTGCTGCTAGTCCAAGGGCTACGCTTGAAAGAGTAGCAAGGCTTGAGGCATTACAGATTGCAGACAAATACTTCATCTCACAATCCTGTTGATGTTTTTCTGCTGATAATATTGCTGATATTGTGCTTCAAACTGTAGATGCTTCTCAAACCTCCACATTCCACTCCTGTGAGACACAAAAAAATCCTTTTGGAATAGTGTTATGCAAATGTTTTTTCTTCTGCCTACCTTCATGAAGTCTATGAAAACCATGCTGATTTTAGTCCAAGTAAAACTAAGACCACCTTCTTAGCTCCAACAATCTGGCTTCATGTAATAATTCAGCTTTCTCCTTTTAATCCAACATACATTTATGGGACACCTGTCTTGGGAGGGGAATGTGTCCCATATAAGCATGTGTGAAGAAATGAAGGGAAAAGCAGCCCACAATATTTGCAGGAGAATGAGGTGACAGAATAGAAATAGAAATGTGGCCTGGAAAGCAGGTGCAAGACCATAAAAGGGTCTTGTATGCTGTACAAAGAATTTGGATTTTATTGTAAGTGCAACTACAAAGATTTTTAAGAAGGAATGGCACAATCAGACTTTTAAGATTACTGTCTGGCCAGGCACAACGGCTCATGCCGGTAATCTCAGCTACTCAGGAGGCTGAGGCAGAAGGATCACTTAAGAGGTTGAAGCTGCAACGAGCTGTGATCATACCACTTTCACTACTCCAGCCTGGGTGACAGAGCAAAACCTTGTCTTTTTTTTTTTTTTTTGAAAAAGGTATGCTGTCTGCAGTATAGTGATCAAATTGGCAAGTGAAAGGACTACAGAAAGAGAAACCTAATCTAGGTGAGCAATTATGGTGATGAGAATGAAGGTATTGAGCAGTACCAATGGAGAGGAATCCATTTCCTCTTTATAAGCGTGATTCGCATGGCTTCCATGATCCATTGGATATGAGGGATGAGAGAAAGGAAGGAAGTCAAAATTTGACTGGAGGTTCTGAATTGAACAACTAGATAGGAATACAGAAAAAAAAGAGGGTGGATTGTTGCTATATGGAATTGTTTGGGACATGTTTAGTATGAGATATCTAAGTACAGATGCTCATTAAGTAGTTGCACATATAGGTCTGGGACTTAAAAGAGAGCTATGCTAAACACTATCAATTTGAAAGTCATTAGTATACAAGTGGTGGCTAAGAATCATAGATGGTATCACCCAGAGAGAGGGAAAGGATCAGATTAAGAAAAGGCACAGGACAGAACCCTGAGGAACACAACACTAATTAAACTGGGGGAAAAAGAGGAAAAAGATTAACCTAATGAGTAGGAAAATTCACAGAGACCAGTGGAGGAGCTTTTTCCAGAAGGAAGGAAGTCAATGGTATAAAAATACATCCAACAGAATAAACAAAATACAAATTAAGCATTGGCCTTATTTTATACATACGGTGCATATTCAAACTTGACTGACAGGCAGTTACCTGTAACTCTGTGAATGGCAGTTTCAGTGTAAAAGTAGGCACTGAAATCAAACCAGCAATAGGTTTAGTTACAAATGAGAGTGGAGGAAATAAGTGCTTCCAGGGACACATTACTCCTTCAAGAATTCCCAGTGTAGTCAAGGGACATTAGCAAAATGGCAAATTAGGACACTCCAAGTCCATGTTCTCTTATAGAAGCATCAAAAAAACAACTAGACACTGGCTAAACTAACCTTATAAGTGCTCTGGAAAACAGCCCAAGTTCTACAGCAACCAAGCAAACAGCCAATAAAGAAACAGCCATCTTTAAGATGATAGGAAATTTCCTGGTATTTTCGTTCATCCTTGCCCCACCCCCTCCCCCCAATGTGGCATGGTTTTGATCTTAACAACGTGGCAGCCACTACTTGTGAAATCTGCAGAAGGAACACAGACCTGCAGACACCTGGGAAAAGAGATTATGGGTGGAGACTGACCCTCTATGCAACTGACGCTCTAAAGTCCCAAGGACAGCCTTGAGTGAGACTCTGGGAAATTAAGACACTCAAAAGCAGCTATGTATATGGAGAAGGCCCATACACACCACATAAAAGAAAGATCTGAGAAGACCTTACGCTTTCACCTCAGACTGATTACTATGCTCAGAGTATACCCAGCTAATCAGTGATGGATTGCCCAATCACAGAGCCAGTCTACAGAGAGTAGGAGAAATGGCTATTTTTCAAATGCCCAATTTTCAGCAATAAAATCACAAGCCATACAAAGAAATGGGAAAATATGGCCCATTTTAAGGAAGAAAATAAACATAGGCATTGAACATTAAAGACAAACACTTTAAAACAACTATCTTAAATATGCTAAATTGGGAGCTGAAAGTACTAGAACTGAATTGAAAATTTTACTGGCGGGATTCAACAGCAGATTTCGCAGGCAGCAGAAAGAATTTTCAAACTTGAAGATAGATAGGCCAATAAAAATAGAAGAAAATAAACAAACAGAGTCTAAAAGAGTTGTGAGACACCCTCAAGTGAACCAACATATACATTTTGAGAGTCTCAGAAGAAGAAAGGAGTTGAAAGATTATTTGCAGAAATAATGGCCAAAAACTTTCCAAATTTGATGAAAGACATGAATCTACAAATCCAAGAAGCTAAACAAACTCTAAGTTGAAAAAGCCAAAGGGACCCACACTAAGATTAAAATCAGTCTTAAGAAACAAAGAGGGAATCTTGAAAGCAGCAAGAAAAGCAACTCATTGTGTACAAGAAATTCTCAATAACTTTATAAACTGATTTCTCAGCAGAAACCTTGCAGGACAGAAGGCAGTGGAATTATGTATTTGAAGTGCAGAAAGAGGGGGAGGGGCCAAGATGGCTGATTAGAAGCAGCTGCAGTCCACAGCTCTCACAGAGAGGAATGAAAATGGGGAGTCAATTTGGCACCTTCATCTGAAATATCCAGGTTCTCTCATTGGGACTGACTAGGCAATCAACTTGACCCATGGAGAATGAAGAAAAGCTGGGTAGGCCACTGGCCCACCTGGGAGCAGCACAGAGCCAAAAAACCTTCACCCCCCAGCCAAGGGAAGTGGTAAGTGATTGCACAACCCCACCCAGGAAACCACACTTCTCCTACATATCTTTGCAATCAGTGGATCAGGAGATCCCCTAGTGAGCCAATGCAACCAAGGCCTTGGGTTTGACACACAGAGCTGTGCAGTCTCAGCAGAGCAGTTGCTCAGGCTCACACAGAGACCCAGGAGTCTTTCAGACTCAGGCCCTGGGAATCCCAGCAGACAAGCAGCATCATTCTGCAGGCCCCACTTAACATGGCACCTCAGAAGTTAAGACCCACTGGCTTGGAATTCCAGCTGCCTGCCGAGTGCATCAGGCTGGAGACTGCCTGAGACAGATTAGTTCCTGGGGGAGGGGTAGCCACCATTTCTGTGCTTAGGTCAACCCAGCTGTTCTAGCCTGCCAGTTCCAGTGAGTCCTGGCAGCCCAGGTGAGGAGAAGTCCCTCACAACACACCTGCTGTGCCAGATAGTGGCCAGAATGATTGTTTAAGTGGGACCCTGATCCATCTGGCCTCCCTGCGGGAATTTCAGCAACTCCAACCTGGGTTATACTAACAGATGTCTGATCTCTCCCTGGGACAGAGCCCCCGGGGGAAGGGGCAGTGAGTCTCTGCCCTTGAGTTACTCAGCCTTCCCAGGACTGCCAGGAGAGTCCAGGCAGTCTGGACAAGGAAGGGTTCCCCACAACACAGCACAGCTGTTCTACCAAAAAAACAGCCAGACTGATTCTTTAACTGGGTTCCTGATCCCATCCCTCCTGACTGGGTGAGACCTCCCAACAGGGGTCTCCAGACACCTCCTACAGGAGCATCTGGGCCAGCAACAGGTCAGTACCCACCTGGGACAGAGCTCCTAGAGGAAGGGGCAGGCTGCCATCTTTGCTGTTTTGCAGACTTCACTGGTGATACATCCAGGTAAGGGGAAAACCTAGGCAACTAGGGCCTGGAGTGATCCCCCAGCAAACTGCAGCAGCCCTACAGAAGAGTGGCCTATTAAATAGAAAACAATAACAACATCATCAACGAAAAAGACCCCACAAAATCTCCATTCAAAGGTCAGCAACCTCAACAAAGGTAGATAAGCCCACAAAGATGAGAAAGAATTAACAAAAATGCTGAAAACTCAAAAAGCCAGAGTGCCTCTTCTCCTCTAAATGAATCCAACACTTCTCCTGCAAGGGCACAGAAGTGGGCTGAGGCTGAGATGGTTGAATTGACATAAGTTGGCTTCAGACGGTGGATAGTAGGCTGGGTGTGGTGGCTCACATCTGTAATTCCAGCATTTTGGGAGGCCGACGCAGGTGGATCACAAGGTCAGGAGTTTGAGACCAGCCTGGCCAATATGGTAAAACCCCATCTCTACTAAAAATATCAAAAAAAAAAAAAAAAGTTAGCCAGGCATTGTGGCGGGCACCTGTAGCCCCAACTACTCGGGAGGCTGAGGCAGGAGAATCACTTGAACCCAGGAAGCAGAGGTTGCAGTGAGCTGAGATCATGCCACTGCATTCCAGCCTGGGTGACAGAGCGAGACTCCGTCTCAAAAAAAGAAGGTGGGTAATAACAAACTTCGCTGAGCTAAAGGAGCATGTTGTAACCCAATGCAAAGAAGCCGAGAATCACAATAAAACAGTAGAGGAGCTGGTAACCAGAATAGCCAGTTTAGAGGAGGAGCACAATGACCTGATGGAGCTGGAAAACACAACACGAGAAATTCACAATGCAATCACAAGTATCAATAGCGGAATAGACCATGCAGAAGAAAGAACCTCAGAACTTGATGACTATCTTTCTGAAATAAGACAGGCAGACAAGAATAGAGAAAAAAGAATGGAAAGGAACCAACAAGACCTCTGAGAAATATGGGACTATGTAAAAAGACCAAACCTATGACTGATTGGGGTACTTGAAAGAGACAGGGAGAACAGAACCAAGTTGGAAAATCCAGCACCACATCAAAAAGCTTATCCACCATGATCAAGTTGGCTTCATCCCTGGGATATAAGGTTGGGTCAATAAATGTCATTCCTCACATAAGAAGAACTAAAGACAAAAAACACAAGTATCTCAATAGACACAGGAAAGCCCTTTAATAAAATTCAACATCACCTTCATCTTAAAATCTCTCCAACTAGATATTGAAGGAACACACCTCAAAATAATAAGAGCCATATTTGACAAATCAGCAGTTGCTATTATAGAGAATGGCAAAAAGCTGAGAGCATTCCCCTTGAAAACCAGCACAAGACAAGGATGCCCTCTCTCACCACTCCTAGGCAATGTAGTATTGGAAGTTCTCGCCAGGGCAATCAGGCAAGAGAAAGAAAGCAAGCATATTCAAATAGAGAGGAAGTCAAATTATCTTTGTTTGCAGATGATATGACCCTTTATCTACAAAATCCCATCGTCTCAGCCCAAAAGTTTCTTAAGCTGATAAGCAACTTCAGCAAAGTCCCAGGATACAAAATTAATGTGCAAAAATTGCTGGCATTCCTATACACCAACAACAGGCAAGCAGAGAGCCAAATCATGAATGAACTCCCATTCACAATTGCTACAAAAAGAATAAAATACCTAGGAATACAGCAAACAAGGGAAGTGAGGGACCTCTTCAAGGAGATCTACAAACCACTGCTCGAGGAAATCAGAGAGGACACAAACAAATGGAGAAACATTTCATGCTCATTGATAGGAAAAATCAGTATCATGAAAATGGCCATACTGCCCAAAGGAGTTTATAGATTCAATGCTATTCCCATTAAACTACCATTGACATTCATCACAGAATTAGAAAAAACTATTTTAAAATTCATATGAAACTGAAAAAGAGCCCGAGTAGTCAAGACAATCCTAAGCATAAAGGACAGAGCTGGAGGCATCACACTACCTGACTGCAAACTATACTACAGTAACAAAAATAGGAGGGTACCGGTATAAGAACAGACATATAGACCAATGAAACCGAATAGAGAACTCAGAAATAAGATCACATACCTACAACCATCTGATCTTTGACAAACCTGACAAAAACGAGTAATGGAGAAAGGACTCCCTACTTAATAGATGGTGCTTGGATAACTGGCTAGCTGTATGCAGAAAATTGATACTGGACTCCTTCCACACACCTTATACAAAAATTAACTCAAGATGGATTAAAGACTTAAATGTAAAACCCCAAACTATAAAAACCCTAGAAGAAAATCGAGGCAATACCATTCAGAACATAGGCATAGGCAAAGATTTCATGATGTAGATGCCAAAAGCAATTGCAACAAAAGCAAAAATTGACAAATGAGTTCTAACTAAACTAAAGAGCTTCTGCTCATCAAAAGAAACTATCATTAGAGAGAACAGACAACCTACAGAATAGGAGAAAAATTTTGCAATCTATCCATCTGACAAAGGTCTAAATCCAGTCAAGAGGAACTTAAAAAAATTTACAAGAAAATAACTCCATTAAAAAGCAAGCAAAGGACATGAACAGACAGTTCTCAAAAGAAGACATTCATGTGGCCAACAGTCATATGAAAAAAAGCTCAACATCACTGATCATTAGAGAAATGCAAATCAAAACCACAATGAGATAACATCTCATGCCAGTCAGAATGGCGATTATGAAAAAGTCAAGAAACAGATGCTGGTGAGGTTGCAGAGAAAAAGGAACACTTTCACACTGTTGGTGAGAATATAAATTAGTACAACCATTGTGGAAGACAGTATGGTGATTCATCAAAGATCTAGAGGCAGAAATACCATTTGACCCAGCAATCCCATTACTGGGTATACACCTAAAGGAATACAAATCATTCTATTACAAAGATACATGCATATGTATGTTTACTGCAGCACTACTCACAATAGCAAAGGCATGGAATCAACCCAAATGCCCATCAAGGGTAGACTGGATAAAGGAAATGTGGTACATAAAACCATAATACTATGCAGCCATAAAAAGGAACAAGATCATGTCCTTTGCAAGGACATGGATAGAGCTGAAAGCGTTATCCTCAGCAAACTAACCCAGGAACAGAAAACCAAACACCGTATATTTCCACTTATAAGTGAGAACTGAATGATGAGAACACATGGACACACTGGGGGGAAACAACACACACTGGGGCCTATTGGCGGTGGGGGTGGGGGTGGGAGGAGGGAGAGCATCAAGACAAACAGCTAAAGGATTCTGGGCTTGATACCCAGCTGATGGGATGGTCTGTGCAGCAAACCACCATGGCACAAATCTGCACATGTACTCCAGAACTTAAAGGTTGAAGGAAAAGAAAGAACTATCAAAGACTTGGTAATGTAAAAATATAAGGACAGCCAAAAACAAAAGAGAGTCTGGTGCCTCCCTCCCGTCTCTTACCATGTGACAAGCCAGCTCCTCTTGCCTTCCTCTATGATTGTAAGCTTCCTGAGGCCTCACCACAAGCAGTTGCTGGTGCCATGCTTCTTATACTGCCTGTAAGACCATGAGCCAAATAAGCCCTTTTTCTTTATTTAAAAAAAAAAAAGAAAAATTATAAAGTACAGAAAGAAAAAACTATTAACCAAGAATTATCTGGCAAAACTGTCCTTCAAAAATGAGGGGGAAGTTATGACATTCCAGGGAGCTTGTTGCCACTATTCCTGATTACAAGACATATTAAATGGAGTCCTTTGAGTTATAATAAAAAGATGCTAGTTAACTCCAAGCCACCTGAACATATAAAGACTCTCCAATAAAGGTAAATAGACGGGCAGACATTAAAACCAGTATTATTTTGTTTCATAGCTCCACTTTTTATTTTCTATAGGATTTCAAAGAAATGCATAAGAAGTAATTATAAATCTGTTAGTGAATATACAGCATATAGATATAATTCTCAAACCAATAATGTAAAGTGGGGATGGGAAACAGAGTGGTATACATGTAGAGTTTTGTATGAAATTGATATCAAAATTCAAATTAGATTGTTATAACTTTGGGATATTATATGTAATCCCCATGGTAACAACAAAGAAAATATGTATAGCCAAAGAAGAATGAGAAAGGAAGCAAAATTTGTCACTATAAAAAAACAACTAATCACAAAAGACAACATAAGTGGAGGGAATTACAGGGGAAAGCTATAAGATGTACATAAAAACAAATAATAAAATGGCAAAAGTAAGTTCTTCCCTATCAGTAATTACTTTAAAGGAATCAAACCCCCAAAGGCATAGATTGGCCTAGTAGATGTTAAAAATAAAAAAGACATGATTCAACTCTATGCTGTCTACAGAATACTTGCTTGAGATCTAAAGAAAAAATTAGGTTGAAAGTGAAGGAATGGAAAAAGTTATTCCATGTAAATAAAAACCAAAAGCTGAGGTAGCTATACTAAATCAAACAACATAGACTATACAGTGATAAAAGGGTCAATATACCAAGAACATATAACAATTATAAACATGCATGCACCAAACATCAGAGCCCCAAAGTATATGAATCAAACATTGACAGAATTGATGGGAGAAATAATTAGTTCTATAATAGAAACTTCAGAAACCCACTTTCAACAATCGATAGGACAACTAAACAAAAGATCAGTAAAGAAACAGAGCAACTGAACAATACTATAAACCAATTGGAGCAACAGACATACAGAGGACTCCACCCAATAACAGCAGAATACTTGTTTTTTCTCAAGTGCACATGAAAAATTATCCAAAAAAGGACTATATGTTATGCCAAAAAATAATTCTTAATACAGTTCATAAGAATGAATGTATACAGAGTATCTTTTCCAACCACAGGGAAGGAAACTAGAAGTCAACAGCAGAAGTAAACTGGAAAATTCACAAATACGTGGAAATCAAACAAAACACAAACAGTAAATCAGTCAGAAAAGAAATAACAAGGAAAATTAGAAAATACCTTAAGACAAGTGAAAACAAAACCACAACATACCAAAATATATGGAGCACAGAGAAAATAGTGCTAAGAGAAAATTTTATGGCTGTAAATGCTTACATTAAAAAAGAAAGACTTCAAATCAACAACTTAACTTCACACCTTAAAAATTTATAGAAAATGAGCAAACTAAACCTAACGCTAGCAGAAGAGGATAATAAAGATTAGAGAATAGTAAAGAAAACTCAGCAAAACCAAAAGTAAATTCTTCAAAAAGACTAACCAAAATAGACAAACTTTTAGCTACATTGGCAAAGAAAAAAAGAGAGAAGACTCGAATTCCTAAAATCAGAAATGAAAATGGAGACATTACTACCAGTCTTACAGAAATAAAAAGGATTGGCCAGGCACGGTGGCTCATACCTGTAATCCCAACACTTTGGGAGTCTGAAGCAGGCAGATCACTTGAGGTCAGGAGTTCAAGACCAGCCTGGCCAACATGGCAAAACCCCATCTCTACTAAAAATACAAAAATTAGCCAGGTGTGTTGGTGGGTGCCTGTAGTCCCAGCTACTTGGGATGCTGAGGGTCAGGAATTGCTTGAACCCAGGAGGTGGAAGTTGCAGTGAGCAGAGATCACACCACTGCATTCCAAGATTCTGTCTCAAAACAAAAACATAAAAAGAAAAAGAAAAAAGAAACCAAGTATTAATCAAAAGTAAAGTAGACTGGAAAATTCAATCATGGTATGTTCATAAAATAAAGTGCTATACATCAATGAAAATGAACTTCAGTTATATACACAATACATAGTAAGAAAACACCAAATACAAAACAAACATGAAATATGGTTCATTTATGTAAATTTCAAAAACAGGCATAAACTAAACTGTTTTAAAAGTTAAGTCTCAGTGGTTACATGTGCAGATGAGGAAAGAGACTAGAGAGTAGACACAAAGTAGGCTCCTGAGTTGCTGACAGCATTTTATTTCTTCACGTGTATACAGGACTAGCTACATAATTTGTGGGGCCCAGTGCAAAATGAAAATGTGGGGCTGCTTGTTCAAAAACTATAATGAATGTCAAGGTTGACAGTAGAGCATCAAACCAACCACAGTTTCCTTCTAAGGGGGTAGAGACATCCATGCAGCTAGCTTTGCTTCTCTACAGTTGTCCCTTGGTATCCACAGGTGATTGATTGGTGTCAGGAGCACCTGCATATATCAAAATCCACACAAACTCAAGTCCTGCAGTCAATCTCACAGAACCCGCATATACAAAAAGTTGGCCCTCCACATACATGGGTTTCACATCCCAAGACCTTTGGTTGAAAAAAAAAAAAAATGTATAAGTGGACCTGCCCAGTTCAAACCCATGTTGTTCAAAGGTCAACTATACTCACTCTATAGTAACTCACTGAGATATACTTCATGTTTTAATCACTTTTTTTTTTTAGAGATGGGGTCTCACTATGTTGTCCAGGCTGGAGTGCAGTGGCTATTCACAGGCATGATCATGGTGCACTATAGCCTCAAATTCCTGGGCTCAAGCTTACTCTTGCCTCGGCTTTCTGCATAGCTGGGAATACAGGCATCCACCACCACACCTGGCTGTTAATCAGTTTTCTGTATGCACACTGTACTGCACAATAAAAAGTTATTTTTTGGCCAGGCACGGTGGCTTACACCTGGACTCCCAGCACTTTGGGAGGCCAAGGCAGGCAGATCACCTGAGGTCAAGAATTCAAAACCAGCCTGACCAACATGGCGAAATCCTATCTCTACTAAAAATATAAAAATTAGCCGGGTGTGATGGCACATGCCTGTAGTCCCAGCTACTTGGGAGGCTGAAACAGGATAATCACTTGTACCTGAGAGGCAGAGGTTGCAGTAAGCCGAGATTGCACCACTGCACTCTAGCCTGGTGACAGTGAGACTCCATCTGAGAAAAAGAAAAAAAAAGTTATTTTTAAAAATACGGTTAAAGAGAGAAATTTTAGCCACTCAGGAGGCTGAGGTCGGGGGATCAATTGAGCCTGGGAGGTGAAGGCTGCAGTGAGCTGAGATTGTGCCACTGCACTCCAGCCTGGGCAACAGAAAGAGACCCTGCCTCAAAAAAAAAAAAAAAAAAAAAAAAAAAAAAAAAAAAAAAGGTCCGTTTATGTGTATTTTACGATTTAAAAAAAATCCCAGTCATTGGTGTTAAGGGGGCTTTTTTTTTTTTTTTTTTTACATTTACCCCAACCCTCCATGTGTTTGTGAATAATAGTGTCAAACTGGGCCCTTCAGAGTCCAGAAGAGCAATAATTCGCCTTGGGCACAGCTGTCTGACCCAAGAGAGCTACTTTTACCTTAAATCCTGCTCTTTCAGTGGTTCTTAACCTTTGAGGTCATGGATCCCTCTGAGTACTTGATGAAAGCTAGAGGGAACCTCTTGCTAGAAAAAAGCCAATAAACACAAAACTTTTGCTTATACTGTTAAGGATTAACACCCCAGCACCACCCCCAGTGGAACCCTAGGGATCCAAAGACCCCCAAGTTAAGAGCCTTTGTTCTAAAGTGACCTCCATGGGATGCGTATCCTCTTGTTTTACTGAAATAGCAGATGTTGGCTACATGTTGGCTAAAGGCCTGCTGCTTTTGTATTTCACAGACAGTTGTTGCTAGGTGTATTTACTGTGACAGGGTCAGGCTCCATGAACTCTGGGGAAAGTTTAACAATCTCCATGAGCACATAGCAAGAGAATATGAGGGAGGACTCTGCATACCTAAGTCTGCTTTCTGTTCAGTCATCCTAGGTTTAACCTGCAGAAAATGAAGCCAGGGTAAGAAAGGATGGAGTTGGTTATTTGGATGACTTTAGCAAGAAAACGATAAACCATATTACCCTCTCTGCACCGAAGGGGTGGAGCTATTTAAGGGTCTTCAGTTCTAAAGTCTACTGCCACATTCCTAGCATATTATGCCAAAATATCTTTCATATGATTAATCTGAGAGGAGCTTGACGTTCTCTTACTGGTTCTACACTACCATTAGCCATTTGCTGGCAGAATGCCCACAGACCACAGGAAATCTAACCATCCCATAAAGAAAACGTATCAGTGAGTGTCTTTTAGTTAGCCCAAAGAGGGGAAAGATGAATGGTCTGAGAGCCTCCAACAAGACCTACACAAGGATCGTGCATGCCATGCAGCCCAAGCACGGCGGCCTCCACCCTTGACTTGGCTAATGTGCGGTATGTTACCTTTTTCTGCTTTCCAGTGCAATGGGCCTTGCATCGGGCCTCACCTAGCTGTGCAACACAGACAAGTCTTCTGCCAGACACGGGATGGCATCACCTTACCATCAGAGCAGTGCAGTGCTCTTCCGAGGTAAGAGAAAGCCCTGAATCTCCTTTTCCCAGCCCCATGTCAACAGCACGGAAAGATGGTGCTGAGTGAATGTTTCTCCTCCAACTAACTTACCACAGTCCCAAGCCCTGCCTGGGACTCCATCTCCATTCACCGCAAGCCACTGGCCTCCCCAGAGGCAGATGACTCAGTGTCGGTCTTGTGCTTATCTAATGGGCTAGGCTGGGCTTTTCTCTCTTAGTGATGAAGAGTGCAAGGGTGTTATTCTTCTGAGAGAGGCCTCATACCTCGAGAGACCTGCACTAGCCCCAGGGTGGTCAGGAGGTGAGGTCTGCACAGCGGCCACCAAGTCTCAAAGGCTCAAGCCCCTCACTCTTGTTGATCTCCCTCTAGAAGTTAGGCTAAGATGAGAGCCCTTGTTCCTGAGTCTCAACCTACCATTCCTATCCAGTCCCCATCCTTATGACACTTCCTTATAGATGTCCCCCTGGGGCACGGGGACTCACCACCCCCACCTAAGAGCCCAGCCTGTGAGACCAGGCTCTGCCGGTGTCCACATGGGGAGAGCTCATTCTTTAGTCATGCAGTGAGATCCTTATTCATTACAGAGAAGAGCAGATGGAGGCCCAGTAAGAGGAAATAGTCTTCTTGAGATCATATGGCCTTTTAGTAACAGCACAGAAATCAGAATCCAGGTCTAGTAACGCTGAAAGTTCTTGAGGAACCACCTAACATTTCTGAGTTTGCAGCACTATTTTCACATCTGCCCTGATTCAGCCCCCACAGAAGCAAACCTTAACCCTGCCACCATCCTCCTGCAGGCCTGTGAGCACCCAGAACTGCTGGTCAGAGGCCTGCAGTGTACACTGGAGAGTCAGCCTGTGGACCCTGTGCACAGCTACCTGTGGCAACTACGGCTTCCAGTCCCGGCGTGTGGAGTGTGTGCATGCCCGCACCAACAAGGCAGTGCCTGAGCACCTGTGCTCCTGGGGGCCCCGGCCTGCCAACTGGCAGCGCTGCAACATCACCCCATGTGAAAACAGTATGTTCCAACCCCAAAGAACCTTCTGCAAATTCCCCATAGAGCATCGAGTGCAGAGAGCAGTCCCTGGGACCGACCCTGAGCATAGGGCATGGGGTCAGCTTCCCCAGGGATTGTGAGCTGGTGGTGGAGTTGAGCATTTCAGTGGGGTGCATGGGTGTATGCAGAGAGGTGTATATAAGCATGACAGGGTATGCCCCAAGGGCTTCCATGATCTCCATCCTGGCCCTGAGAGAGCCAGGTGCTATTGGCCCAGTGCTGGAGGAAATCAGCCTCCAGTTCCCCTGCAGTCAGTCTGGCTGGTGCCCACAGGGTCTGACTCATCAACAACTCTCAGGGGCCAGGCTACTAAACAGAAAATGCTGTTAACTCTAAAGGAGCACAGAGTGCCTCCTGCTCAGCCAACCAGATCTGCGCCCATCACACCTCTGCTTCTCACCCAACAAGGACCA
Source organism: Homo sapiens (assembly GCF_000001405.40). Lineage (NCBI taxonomy): Eukaryota > Metazoa > Chordata > Mammalia > Primates > Hominidae > Homo > Homo sapiens. Next base: position 18,907,365 of record NC_000009.12, read on the forward strand.
GCTGACCCCCTCCCTCCCAACCCCACAGGCATCCCCTGGAACTGTCCAGGACCCCCCAGCCTTGGAATTTGATACTCACTTCACTCCTTCCTCGTCATCCCAATACCATCATTTGTATTCCAGTTGGGAAGGAGTTTATTTTTTTCTTCCTCTGAACCCAAATCAGAGGTACTTACCCATGAGAAAGGTGGCAAAGCTTGAGGCAAAGAGTAGGAAGTAAAAACCAAATGTAGCTGTGCAGTTTTCTCCCCAACTGGGCCTCACTGAGCAATAAATTCCCAACACTAAGGCAGACGCCATGTAGGCAAATAGCCCACTTCTTTTTACACGCTGGGGGATGGATGATCTTTGTACTCGGGTAGTGTTAACCCATGTTTGTGTCAGTGGCTCACCATGCTCAGAGAGCGCCAATATTCAACGCACATAGTTAAAACTTACCAAACCAAGTCAGCACAATATTTAAGACCATCTAGTCTGTGCCAACACTGAACTAGAACGTCCTGGTGCTGTGTTTAAGGCATGATGGGTAGAAGGAAGAGAGACTGGAGGGCACATGAAAATAAAGCTTAACAGAGAAAGTAGGCCCAAGTGCCTGGGGATGGGGGCACCCGACGCAAGTCTCACTTCACACTCCTGCAAAGTCGGGGAGGATGCAGTGCTGGGAACCATCTTGAGGAGGAGAGTCATTTACTTAAAATACCAAAACCCACGGGAAAAGGCAGGTTTGCCTAGGGGGAGAGGTGATCACCTAGGAGATGAGGTAATCCCAAGAAGATAGAGAAAACAGGCACCTTCAGGAAGTAGAGGGAGCTGCAGAAAACAAGCAGACAGCCCAGGGAGGGGCCCCATCATTCAGCCAGACAGCTGCAGGCTGGTGCCACCCCTGCTGTTGGCAGCCTTGGGGAGCAAGTGGCTGAGCTCTGTCAAAGTTAGGCTGGAGAGCGGTGGCCAAGGCAGACCCCAGGATGTACCCCAGTGGCTGAAACCCCCGGCTGCACCTCACACAGGCTGCGTTCATTAGTCTCTGTTTCACATCTCTTTTCTGTCTCCTCTCCCGACCCCGTCCTCCTTTCCCAGTGGAGTGCAGAGACACCACCAGGTACTGCGAGAAGGTGAAACAGCTGAAACTCTGCCAACTCAGCCAGTTTAAATCTCGCTGCTGTGGAACTTGTGGCAAAGCGTGAAGATAGGGTGTGGGGAAAAACTCTACCCTGGCCACACGAAGGACTCACGCAACCACCTCGGACAGAACCTAAGCTTTCTTCATTTTATTTATTTATTTCCCCCTCCCCACTCCACACACACCCTTCCAACCTCCTCCACCTCCACCTTCAAGCATAAGGACGTCCGCGTGTTTTCTCTTTCAGTTAGCTGGAGGACAGGATGTTGGGAAAGGAAAGGACAGATGTCTAAAGGAGGTTGCAGAGCAGGCCAGGCAGACAGTGGGGGCTCCCTTGAAGAGCTTCCTCCCTCCCAAACCTGGGTCTCAAAGACCTAGAAAGAGGCAGGCACAGCCCCTGCGGACAGCAGGGAGCCAGAAGGTTTGTAGCCTATTGGTGCAAACATTGGACAAATTCCTGTGTCTTTCCTAGAAGCGCACTATCACAAACACAGGAGTGTTTTGCTCCTTTGTCTCCTCTTCCCCATCTATGTCCCTTTAGTCACAGTTAGGACAAATGGGGAGGGGACACCATGCTGAGGCAGAAACTAGCCCAGAACTCACTCAGTTCTTCTAGTGGGTGAGTGCAGAGAGAGAAGAACTCAGATCACCAGTAGGGAGAGGTAAAAAAGCAAACAAAGCAGGCTCTAAGGCACACAACATTGCAGAAAATGAGGAAGGGAGGGGAGGGAAGGGACAGAAGCAAAAAGGAGCCTGTGGTGTTCCCCAGTGGGGCAGGGTGAGCAGGGGCTTCCAGGCTGCATGAGGCTCATGGACCAGCTCTGATCCCATGCATGTGCGCATGCTCAGAGCCCTGCTGCCCACAACAGAGCACTGCGCTGCGTGGGAGTCCCCACTTCCCAAGCTATCAGAGTCAACGTCCTGCCTGTGCAGCTGCAGCAAAGCCAGTGAGAGGTGGGTCTCGCCATGCAGTAAGGCCACCCTGGCACCTCTTTATCTAAATCCGAAGTCCCCTAGCCCCGCACTAACTAACTGCTGCTGTGGGCCAGGGCCATTTTGAGCATGAATGGCCCAGGTTTTTTGCCTTCTAGGACCTTTGCTGCTCCACCGAAGGGCCAGGGACTATGGTTAACTTATCAACATCAACCCATTAACTAGTCACTGTGCCAGAGAGTATCTGTCAGGCTGTCAGGTTGTAGCAACCTCTTCATTCCAGAGCTGGCCCAGGGACCGGGGTGGGACAATGGGTTTATGCGTGTCCACAGTACACCCTCCCTCTCCCAGCCTCCACCCCAGGGTCTGCAGGTCCTCCGGCATGTAGTATTTATCTAGCAAGGCGGGGTGGTGGAGGCAGCACCCTGGCAAAGCAGCTCACACACTGCAGCCACACTCATCAGCTGTGGTGAGGCGGCTGGAGCAAAGTCAAAGTCATGCAGCAAAATGAAAACTCTGGGACTCTTCGGCAAAATCCTCATTAAGCCGAGCAGCTTTGGCCAAGTAATTTTTGCCTCCTTCCCTCGCGTGGCCTGAGTTTAGGAGCAAGGGTGGCCAGAGTCCCTTACCCACAGATAAGCCTCCCCTCATGAAATGCCACTCACCCCGGGCTACCATTGACATCAGGGCTGCATTTCCAGCCAGCCTGGAAGTAAAATTTGAGAGGAAGACAATATTAATCTGTGTCCCCACCTAGTGAGCTGTGGACAGGTTTAAGTTGGGTCTCCTTCTTCTTCACCACAAAAACAGGCTCTAAGAAATCATGTTACTAAAAAATCAGTGTAAAGTCTGTTTAAAATAAAAAAGAATGTTTTCTATGTCTGTATATCTTTTGTGAATATTTATTAGGATTTCTTATTAAAAAAGTGCAATATTAATAATTGTACATTGTCATCCAGAAACAAAACTATTGGGGGGACTTTATTAACTAACTTCCTGCAGTTGTGTTCCTGTAAACTCAGTAGTGATTATTATATTTTTCCTATTTTTAATAGAACCTGGTGTTTAACTCTGGATCCATTCACTGTACAGGATGTGTTGTAAAAACTAACATGGGATGCTGAGGCAGTAAGAGGGAATTCATTTGTGGCATAATAGTTATGCATGGAATGATAAAGACAGACAAATTCCATACTACTACTAATGTGGTTAATTATTTCTAGTTCGATAGTGATTGAAAATCAGTGGTCACTATTTACATTTCCTAAAGAGCAAGCATCCTCCAGCTCCATGTTGGGTTGGAGCAGTTGGCAGTGGGTCTCAGTGAGCTGGCAGAACCTAGGTTTGGGTGGGAAGCAGAATGCTCGTTGCATGAAATGAATGTACATTTAATGTTTGTTCTGTGAATTGCAACTCAGCAGCACCACAAGACAATGAAGGCTGCTGGCTAATGTGGAAGGAGGCACTTTCTCCTCTAAAACACAAAACTGTATTTGTATTTTTTGTACAGATAATACAGCTTATTTATTTAAATCTTGTCGTCTGAGTCTCTGTTAAACTCAGCCTTCCTTCCCCTGGTGGTTTATGCAGGGAGCAAGAGAAGTCCCTGTCAGTTGGGTGGTTCCCAGCCAGTTATTTGCGTCTGGCTGAAGTGGAAGGATTGCAGTTTTCATCTTTACACAGGAAGCTGGGGGCCCATGCCTAGAAGTGCTAGCTCTGTAAATAAACCCAAAGAAGCTGCGTTTGTAGATGTACACACATTCAGGCTGAGTGCAGCCAAATGAGACGACAGTTAACTCACTGACAGCCCTATGTGGTGGGAAGATGGGAGCCACAGTACCTTCGGGAAGTGAAGCAAACAGGGACATCGCTTGGGAGAGATGCAGACTTGGGTGTGGAATTATCCTCACTCATCAGGCTTCCTACCAACAGAGACACACACAGCGGGAGGCAGCTGCATGGTGAAAGTTCGGATGTATGCTATTAATAAAGACTAACACTTATAGATCACAACTACATTTAATCCTCACATTAGCCCTATGATTATCTCCATTTACATATGGGAAAATAGCAGCCCAAAGAAGCCCAAGGTCACCCAGCTGGGGGAACTAGGATTGAAAGTCAGGCAGTCCTACTCTAGCCGAAGACTCGATTTGACCCACCATGCTGCCTCCAACCCCGCTGCCTGCAACTGCTGTGCCACAGCCACCTTGGGCACGCATGCCATTCTTCCCTACTGCTTTAAGGTCGGTCAATGACAGTAACAGGACATTTTACTGAAATTGTCACTTTCTCCTACCCTAAAGGCAGTTCTTTTACCATGATAGCACTTCTAGCTCCCTATTTTTAAAGCATTTTAATAAAAACAGCTACTGTAGGAAGTGCGGGGGGGAAACAAGCACACCTGTAGAACTCTTTATAAACAGGCCCTAGTGAAAGGGCAGCATGTTGCCGGGCGGAGAAGATGTCCATGCAGAGTCTATGGTGAGAGCTGCTCCAGAAAGCCCAACTCCAGCCGGTCTGCCAGCAGCTCGCCCCGGCACACCACAGGCCTGTCGAACAGTGTGAAAATATACCAGAAAGCTCTTCTTGACATTTCAGTTACTTTTTTAAGAGGTTTTAGGTTTTGCTTTAAAGAAAAAGCCAATGCTAAAACTATACCTATTCACAGACCAGCAACCAAACAATGTCTTACAGAGGCCCCACGGCAGGAGGGAGGAGCTGGAAATGCCAGAGCAAAAACCCAGTAAGGCTCAAATGGTGGGAAGGGCCCCAATACAATGTATGTAAATTTTTCCAGCCAAAAGCACAGAGTCCTTGCTTAGCCTCAAAGATTTCCAGGAAATCCCTGATCCCATTAAGATCAGAGTGGTCGACAGTCACTGAATCTCATTTATGCCTCAGTTTCTTCTTCCTGCAACAGCATACCTCATCAGGTAGGGCTGTGTGAAAACCATTAGTTAATTCACATTGAACTGCTTGAACCCAGGAAGCAAAGGTTGCAGTAAGCCAAGATCACACCACTACACTCCAGCCTGGGTGACACAGCAAGACTCCATCTCAAAAAAAAAAAAAAGCTTGGGGGGTATCTGGCATATCATCGAAGCACTTATTGACTGTTAATTGCTATTATCATCAGCATCATCTAAGTTACCTTGGAAGAAACAGGGAGATGAAGGGCAGGGCTGACAGAATTTTTGATATTTTACATTACTTCCCATTGTCAGCTTTGAAAGACTCTCCCATGTTTCCATTTTTAATTGAGAAGAAAATCAATTGCTCCTTCAAAGCTCAATACTACACAACAGCCAGGCACAGTGGCTCACACCTCTAATCTCAGCATTTTGGAAGGCCAAGGCAGGAAGATCCCTCGAGGAGTCTGAGACCAGCCTAGACATGGCGAGACCATGTCTCTACAAAAAAATTTTTAATTACCTGGGTATGGTGGCTCACACCCGTAGTCCCCAGCTTCTCAAGAGCCCTGGAGCTCAAGGCTGCAGTCAGCTATGGCCAGGCTACTGCACTCCAGCATGGGTGACAGAGTTAGACCCTATCTCACAAAAAAAAAAAAAAAAAAAAGAAAAAAAACTACACAAAAGTATAAACAAGAAAGACATCAATGAACCAAGTTCTATGTGTTGGAAGAAAACCTATCAATCCAGGTAGCCAACTCAAAACCTCACCAAAAAACTGACAAACTTCCAGAAATATTACCTCCCAGGAGAAATGTTATAATTCCAATGTACTGCCTAGACTCAACTCAGAACACCCAAATGTACACATAACTACCATTTCCTTCAAGTAACTAAAAAGTATGGAGAAATATTCATTCATGGGCAAATATACAAGTAAAAGCTAAAACTAAGGGTATTTCACTTGCAAGTGGTTGAGTTTTTCATAAATAACATGCAGTTATCCCCTCACTTCATCCTGCAAATGAACCCAAAGAAATAGTCCACCTTTATTGATGGTTTTCAGCTAAAATGAGACAAGTTAGATTTCAATCATCTGTTAGTGGCATTCCCAAAAGAATTCAAAGCCATCTACAAAGGGTCAGGGAATGGTGGGGTAGAGAAAAAGATGGAGCACTTCAGAAGTAACCTAATGAAAACTGACCTGTTAGGTGAATTAACCCAGGGAAGGATAAATCAGGAAACAAAATAAGGCATAACTCCCCTTTGGTCTTGTCTCTCTGTGTTCCTCATTTTGTTCCGTAAACCCACTATAACGTATAGACTTCAGGATTCAGATTCAGTCTGCACTGAATGTGAGTTAAATCAGAGAAGGTTATATCTACCCACATCACATACTGCCAATTAGGACAATATTGGTGTTGATTGATGTAAGGCCTTGAAGTAAACAGTAAAGACTTGAATACCCAAAGAATTCTACAATCCTCCAAGTTTAACCTCAAATTATTGTCTGCTCCCCACTCACCCAGTTCACTTGGAGATGCTTTTACAAATCAAATGTGTATGAGCTTGTCAGAGACTGTTCTCTTTGGCCAAACCTCAGTTTATTCATAGCACCCCAAGATTTTCAGCTGTTTTGTTGCTACCCCAAAACTGAAAGGCAGATATTGGTAATCAAGCCTTTGCTAAAAGAACTGGGCTGCTGCCTTGTCAACTCGTTTTACAATTTCACTCAGATTCTGTAAAGCACCTGGTCCCAACCAAGCACGTGTCACACCTCTGATAACACAATATACAGATGTCACTCACCTCTGTGTTTTCAAAAGGCAAATTCCATCTCCAACCTAGGATTTCCCAGGCTGCCCCTAAAGATATGGTTTATATGTGTATAAACAGAAATTAAATGTGAGGTTTTATGTGAGTGAGGAAAAAGCAGACAGTCAGGAATGGTTCTCCTGCCGAACATAAATAATGTTTGTTTAAGCAGAATGCTTAGGAGAGCCTGAGAGATTGCATGATCAACATTCAGACCAGAAAGCAGAAAGCCTGGGAAACCTGCCTCCCTCTCCGGAACTTCATGATGGCCAGGGTGGCTATCGTTAGAATGTTACGTTACAAATCCTGTGAAGCATAGTAGACAAGCTGTGAACAACTTAGTTACCAGGTGAGCAAGTTGAGGAAATGTCTAGTGGTGAAGCCCAGGAGTGTAGTGATAAAGCTTGGTTTTCTTCTCCTAAGCCCTGATCATCATTTTTTAAATAACAGTAGAAGGGCCAGGAAATGGCTTGGCTGAGGCTAGTGAAGAATGGCAAAATTGTTCTTCAGTCACCCATCTACAGACAATCCCTGAATTACGATGGTTTGACTTACAATTTCTCAACTTTACACAATGGTGCCAAAAAAATACACGTTCAGTATACTTCTTCACTGACAGTGGGGCTATGTCCAAATAAACTCGTCATAAATTTAAAATACTCTAAGTCAGAAACACACTTTTCATTTCTGATATTTTTGACTTATAATAGGTTTATCAAGACATAACTTGATTATTGAGGAACATCTGGGTTCTGTCTCATGGCTGGAGGTCAGCATGTCTCAGTGCCAGAGCACAGGGCAGGTGCCAGCTCCATGGACTCCTGAGCTGAGTTTCTTCAGCCTGCACACGCCCCTCCCTACTACAGTGAAGAGATTCAAGGTAACCCCCTAAAAGCAGGCCCCCATGACCTGAATCCTCCACACTCTTTGCACAGTGAGGGTTTGCCTTCGTACTTGGCCAAGTATGAAGCAGGGATGGAAAACAACCAAAGTCCTCATCTAGCCCTGGTGGTCCTCGCTCAACCCTTCCCAGATGAGTGTCCATCCCTTCTCATCTCATCTTCTTCTCCCTGATTTCTTTTTCCATGACATACCTTTCCTTTTCCTCAGAGTTTAACACACTTTGCTAAGCACCAACTCTGGGCTCCAAGGACACAGGGATGAGAGCCTAGTCCCTGCTATCAGGGAGCTCACAGTCTAATTGGGAAACAGACACATCCCACAGCAAATGACAGTGTGTCCTACCACAGTTATGAAGTCCAGGTTCTGAGGAATCTCCAGCTCTTCTCCCTCATTTGGCCCCTTCCACAGTCAGCACCCAGTGATTGCTCTATTTATTCGTAATCTTCTCTCATTGAGGCATTTGCAAAGGTCTTCTAACTGGATTATTTAAATCTACTCTGGTCTCTACCAATCCACTTTCCACACAACAGCTAAAACTATTGTTATATTGCCTATAAAACTTCAGTATAAACTGATATATATGTATAAAATTAACTTAAATCTGTACTCTTGGGGCAGTTAGATAACATTTAAAACACCCAATCATAAATCCACCCTCCAGAAGTGGCCATCCGAAGTATTTCAAATATTATTATCTAAATCTGCACTAGAAAGTTCATTAATTATACAAAGTTTATTAGTCACACAGTAGTAAAATACGCTGTGTTTGAGGACTGGAGAGAAGAAACGAACATGACTACCCTTGTACAGATAATCTGAGAATCCAGCTACTATCGTTTGAACGTGCCCCTACTCACTCCAAAATTCAGCTGTTGACAATGTGGTGGTATTAAGAGGTGAGGCTTTTAAGAGGCAATGAGGTCATGAGGGCTCCTCCTCTCATGAAGGGGGTTAAGCTCCCTAAAGAGACTTCACAGAGGGAGTCCATTTCCTTTCTGCCCTTCTACCTTCTGTCATGTGAGGACACAGCATTCCTCCCTTCTGGAGGATGCAGCATCAAAGGCGCCATCTTGGAAGCAGAGAACAGTCCTCACTGGCACCTTGATCTTGAACTTTCCAGCCTCCAAAACTGTGAGAAATAAATGTCTGCTCTTTATAAACTACCCAGTCCGTGGTACTCCTGAGAGCACAAATCAACTAAAACACCAGCAAACCCAGTAGCCTGATGATCCAAGTCTAGTGTTGTCTTTGGTTCTATGTGCCCAACTCTGTTTGCCTGGTCTGAAGAGGGAAGTTTTTGGCTAATCTTACTTTAGGAACATTCACTTTAGAGTAACTAACCATTTATCAGGGTGCCTAGGGTTGGACAATAAGACTTATTCAAGTTCAGGGAGCAGGTTACACAAGTACTTTGGACCAGTTTGCTAGCATTTATGCCCATGCCAGAATTTGGACTGAGACTTGTTTTCATTGTAACACACCACCTCAGGTACTGAGACTGTGTGGGTGGAGACGCAGCCTCAGCCTCTCATGGATGGGAGCTACCCATCTTCACCATGATAACTTGGGAACTGCTGATCAACAAAAATGGCTTAAATCAGTTCATAAAAGACCTTCCCAAAACACGGTTTGAATGTTATCAGTCCTGTGCTTTAAAATCTTTATACCTTCCCACTGTAGTTAGGACTGAACTCCTTAAAATATCCTGAAGCACCTTACAACAGCCCAGCCTCATTTCTGGCCACTCTCTCTGGGTGGCTGGCCTCAGTTCCATGAAGGCCCCATTCTCCTTCCACTCTCCACCTTCTCATGAGCCATGGAATAGCAACCACCACACCCACAACCATCCACTCTTGTTAAATCAGGGCAGGGCAAATATGGAGGCTACAAAATCCATGTTACATAAAGTCTTTAAATATTGACCAATTATCCAATTCTTTTCCCCACCGCCTTGCAGCAAAGGCAGAGAGCTGGGCCCCTCCATCTTTGATAGCCTTTAGAGTTGGATGCTGCCTGAGATCCAGAGTCACCATCAAGGGTACAGAATCCTATCTTCACAAAGCTACCTGCCCCCCTCACCTCTCCTCCATTTCCCCATGGCACACTTCCAGGGCACACTAATTTCAGGGCCAGGTCTGGATTTGTGGTGGAAACATAAAATTATATTATTTATTGTATAATTATTTACAACCTCTCTTCTTCTAACTGATCTTTTGTCTTGCTGAAAAACTGATCTTTTGTTTTGCTGAAAAAATGATGGGTGGGAATACAAAAGAAAGTGACCAAGAGAAGACTAAATTGCATGACATGATAAAGGATGAAGAAATCCTAAGGGACAAGATCTGGCTAATTGGCTGGAGAGGCCTGGGATGAGGAGACACAGGAGAAAAGGGAAGGAAGGGAAAGAAAAGGGAGGCAGGTCACATTTCAGCTGATACTCACAATCTCAGGAAGCTATTCCCACTGCCTGAGCTAACTCCCATCCTCCCTTCTCCCTCAAAGCACACAGCACAGCTACTATTACTTATCCAACCCTGGTGCTGGTAACCTTGACTTTAGAAAACCCTTCCTCGAGGATGTCAGAAAAGACCCCTTTCTCCCTAAAGGCTGTGGGACAGAAAAGGGAAACAGAGGAAAGGCTTTCAGAAATCAAGGATGTTGCAATCACTTCTCAGGGACCATGGCAGGAAGCAGAAGTGCAAGACCTTCTTCACTGCAGGTTCTCCTCAAATCCCCACCATACCTCAATTCCCAGAAGCAGCTTGTAGCGATCCCACCCTCATCCTTCTCCATGGATGATAGTTCTGTCCTTTCAGTCACTTAAACCCAAAATTGTGGCATCGTGCTCAGTCCTCTTATTCCCAGCTCACATCCAATCAGCAACTTCATGTGGCCCGCCTTTGAAACACATGCAGAACGTGACACTTTTCTCATGGCCCCCACTTCTCCCCACCAGGTGTGAGCCTGCATTGCCTTCTATGGAATAAGCCTTCTACTAGGCCTTGCTTCTACCTGTGCTCCCCTACAGCTGGTGCTCCCCTACAGCATGTGCTCCCCTCCATAAGCAATCAGGGTGACCACAGTGATGATTTTCACAGACACCAGATCTTGGCACTTCTCAGGTCCAAGCTTGATGTTGGCACCCCTCAGAATATGAGCCAAATTCCTGGCAATAGCCTGTGAGGTGCTCACTGGCCTCCTCACTGCTCTCTGAACACAGCTAGACAGAAACATGCCCACCTTAGGGCCTGTGCTCTAGCTGCTCCCTGACAGACACTTGGCTCCTTCTCTCATCTCCTACTTCAGGCCTCACAAATCTCACCTTCTCAATGAGGCCCTTCCTGATTGCTCCATTAACTAAAACCTGTGCCTCCCAGAACCTGAGCCTCTTCATCCCAATGACCTTTTCCTTGTTGCCTTCTGACATATCAGATCATTAATATGCTTATTATTTAGTATGTGTTATTTTAATTATACATTATATAATTGCTCATTATTTATTATGCTTATTTATTATTAATGTTTATCTCCCCCTCACTAGACCATAAGCTCCACAAGAGCAGGATCTGAGTCTGCTCTGTTAACTGATGTAGGCCCAAACACCCAGAAGAGTGCATGGCACCCAATAGACGTTTTTGGAAAGAATGAATAGGTGTAAGTACATATATATGGATGGATAGGTGGATGGATGGGAGGGAGGGACGGAGGCAGGGACGGAGGGAGGGAGGGAGGGAGGGACGGAGGGAGGGAGGGACAGAGGGAGGAACGGAGGGATGTGGTCAATGCTATGACAAGGCATTCCATCCATCCTGATGACCAGAGCTAAGTCAGCTGCGAGGGTTTGTGGAGGAGGAAGTAGGCAGATCTATGAGGTGGCGGTTTACATGACAGGACATATGGAGGGAGAAGACAGGGTTCCTGAGTCCCCACCTACCACACAGGGAACTCACTGGACAAGTAGAGAAAATGAACGCCTGGAAGAAGCTGAAGACCACCTGGGGGCCATCTGGGCAGGCTCCCTGGGAGGTGCCCTGGGACAAGAGAATGTTAGAATGACTGACCCAGGACTCTGAAAGAGGGGCTGCACAGGGTGGGGAAGGGCACTGTGATAGTCTTAAGTCAGGCAGGTTCCCGGAGCCCACGGGAAACAAAAGTAGGAGTCTCATGGAATCTTCCTGAGCTTCTTAACCAAGAAGATAAATGCTTCCTAAATACCATCGTTTGGGGTTTTATAAGACAGACTCCAAGATGTGACTATGTGTTACCAAATCACAAGACAAAAATATGTTTTTCCTTGGTGTATCCAAAGGAATTGTTTTCTAGAGTGAAGAGAATCCAACCTAAAGTGATTAACTGTTTCAAACCAAGAACTTAAACACTGAATGATCTCTTCAAATAACCTTCAACTCCTGGCTGTAATCATTCCTTTTTACAGATTAGTCTTATAAATAAACATCGTGTAAAAAACCCCCATTGGAATCTAATCAACATTTTTGTATCTGTGTTCCCAGAAGCAATTATTGAATAGATCTGGATGCTAACTCTATATTAGGTACAGTGGAAGATCATACACAAACACACACACACACACACACACACACACACACACACACGGTTACTGTTCCTAAAGTTTTTTCAACCTATTTCTTAGGTCATACACCTGTAAACTGCATGCCCCTTTAAAAGTATTCCAAAATTCATTCTTTTCTCTCAATCTGAATGAAGAGATTATTCTTGCATCTCTCTAGCGCTCCCCTTCTTCCAAGGTACCGTTCAAAAACTACTGTCCACAAGGTTTGTTTTACAAACCTCATTTCCTCTAATCCCCTGAGCAATCCTGTGAGGACTTTGCCAAGTTGTATGACCTCTCTGAGCCTCAGTTGCCTGCCTGGAAAGGCAGGAATAACAACAGAGAGGGGTTGCGTGGATTGAATGAGATGGGATGTGCTGGTGCTTTTAGAACTCGAAGGGGCTTTACGCAAGTGATACTCGCATGAGTCCATTGTCCATCATAAATGAATTTTCCCAGGCCCTCTGTGTCCTGCATTTTGGCTGTACCATAACCTCTCATTTATCAAGAAGCCAAATGATCTAAACTGTCAACAACCAGGATATTTTAACACTCAGAGCTGACCCTGAGAAGCTACAGGATCCAATGAGATTTCTGAATCATAAAAGATAGATTGAACTACGTGTCTGCATGGCATGTGTATTTTATTGTATTCTAAACTTATTTGAAAAATTTATGATGAGTACTTGGCAGTACTTCTCCATGTGTGTTCCAACAGGTTTTACACAATAAAAGGGCTCTCTCGTCAGAGCTGAAAAATGTTGCTTCCTCCTGCTCAATGTTCATCCCTCCCTTCCCTGGAAACTACACCTCAGTTTTCCTTTGGGGACCCACCCCACCCCTTCAGCCCTCATGCAGTTCATGTAGTTCACACGAGATTGACCCCACACATACACACTGCTCCGTCCAGGGGTGGACCCCAATTCAAGCCTGGATGATTAGTATCTTCTATTGCTACAATGATCAGCTCAGGGATCAGCATAAAACTCAAGCCCAGCAAGACTCAATTCAGGTACTTTTACTGGAACCACTGGGAAGCAAAGGCCCTTTTCTCTCCATTGGGATTACTAGCTAAAAGGATGTTGTAAGGCCTATGTAAGAGGGCATTGTAGAAGAAAACAAAGCCAAAAGGTGAAGACCAAGACCTCACTGTATCCCTGACACCCCTGGTTCCAGCTATGCCTAAAGTCAACAGAGAAAGCCCTAGACTGTTCAACTGCCTGAACCAATAAATCCTCTTTTTTGCTTAAGCACTTGTAATTGCAAGAATGCTGATTCATACACTGGGTTATACAAAGTTAAACAAGGTTTCTTTACTATAGGGCTTCACAGAGCCTTCAAAATATTAACATGCATTATGAATCTCCAACAGGGAGATATAATATACAGCACTACTCAAACTTATGTGTCCAGTGAATTTTTTTTGTAAGACCATATCATAAGGCTTGTATTCCATAGAAAACACCTTGGGAAAGGCTAATACATATTACCTATAGGTTAACCGAATATTAAAATACTACAAATCCCTATTCCCTTATTATTCTGGATAAATGAGACAAATGGGAATTCATTTATCCAACACTGTTGATGCATTTTTCCAGACTTTAAAAATGTATGTATATAATTTTTTATTCTTTTTTACTAAATTGGGGTCATAAGCACAAACCATGGTATATTTTTCCAGACTTAATAAAACATGTGTGTATATACAGTCTTTTTTTTATTATTATACTGGGGTCATAATTCCTGAGCTGCTATACTTTTGAGTTCTGCATTTTAAAATATTTTGGGCCTCTAGTCTCACTGCCAAGCTATCAGCTGTCACTTTGCTTTGTTTAAATGTGTCTACCTCTAGCAGCAACCTCTAGTGCTCTGCTGTGAGCTAGTAAACAAAATGAAAGAAACTCAATGGAATTGTGTGTTTAAAAAACAAAAGTCGGGGACGGGGGCAGTGTGCTGAGAGTAAGAGCCAGGGTAGGGGTATGCACTGAGTAGAGTACCTAAGTTTCTGTACGTGAAATCTCTGTCGATGTGTCGATGATTTTGGCAATTTAAAAGTCACTTATTTCCAGGTTCCTGCCTTGGTTTTGGACAGCTAAAGTTTCTAAATAACTGACCTTTGAAGATGGGAATTGTTATACTACTTAGCCAAGAAAAGAACCACTCCAACTTGATAGTAAGCACTGAACTCTGCTTAGGAACTTTAAAATGAAAAATTCTTTTTTTAAGGCCAGGAGCATTCATAGTCCAAAAATTCCATTTCTTCATAAGTCATCCATTGGCACAGAAGTCAAATTTCAGTCATTTTTCAGGCATTTTTTTCTGCCTATAACTCTCAAGTCACTGCCTGTTTAAAGGGTATTTGCGGACTCCCCTGTTTTATGATCTTATAATAAAATAGATGGGGATTTGAAGCAACAGGGAGGTAACTAAACTCCCTTGTTGTCGTTGTAAGTATAGCCTTGGCCTTAAGAAGGTAGGCAGAGGCATAGGCAGGCAGGCTGGCTGGTCTGGGTAACATGAAAATCAGTGTTAGATTCAATCACAGCAGTGGAAACTCTCAAGTCTTTTTATTTGCATCAGGCTGGGTTTGCAGCCACACTTAGAGGGTTGACAAGGAAAATGCATCAAGATTTCTCATGTAAGTATCTAAGGATCCAGAGGCTTCAAGAACCAGGGCACCTGCAGCCCAGTAGTGTGGCTGAAAGAAGGGCCTAACCTCGCATTGCCCTGATGCGTTTTCCAGATTCCGGAGCACATGTTCTGGAAGGGTCACGGGCTCCGGGGCTACTGTTGCACCCTCAAAGTGGGGAGGAGCCAAGTACCTGCTCAGACAGCCATGTGCAATTCTAAACCTGCTCTGCCAAAGAAAACACCCCTGTCTGCCCCAACCCCAGCATTTATGCTCAGAAAGGCCTCTGTCTTCCCACTTTGAGGGCTGCTGACCAGATGTGGACCTGGGTGAAGGCAGGGCAGGTCTGAGGAGCCAGGAGGTCATTAATCCTCAATTAGGACTGTGCACACCCCTGCCTGCTCCACCTACTTCCTCTTGACAACTGCACAGCTAAAAAGCACTTTCAGAGGAAATGGATCCCTCAGTTCATCTTCTGGACGAGTCATTTTGGAAAGTGTTTTTGTGCAGATCTCATTGCCCTGGGCCAGTTAGCTCCACTCAGAGGCCAAGGCAGGCAGATCATGAGGTCAGGAGATCGAGACCATCCTGGCGAACATGGTGAAAGCCTGTCTCTACTAAAAAAAAATACAAAAAATTAGCCAGGCGTGGTGGCGGGCATCTGTAGTCCCAGCTACTCGGGAGGCTGAGGCAGGAGAATGGCATGAACCCAGGAGGTGGAGCTTTCAGTGAGCCGAGATCGCGCCACTGCGCTCCAGCCTGGGTGACAGAGCAAGACTCCGCTAAAAAAAAAAAAAAGGCAGAAAAAGGAGGGTCTTATTCTCAATATCTACGTTACTTCATTTCAATTTTAGGGCAATGAGACTATAATGAAAAGGCAGTTAGAAGTCACACACAAAAGCCAAACCCTAAGATGGGACAGGCAGTGCTGGCTCCCTCAGCTCAGACCCCAGCCAGGACTGTTGCCCCTGATGTCAGAATTGGGCTGTGGTGTCTGCTCAGCTGCCCCTGGTCTGCTGATGCTATCTGAGAGGGTGTGGAGGCAGACAGCTGGAGCAGAGGATGGAGGTGGGAGAGCATAGCCTCAGGGAATGGCCTGGGGTTCAGGGGTTAGCAACCCCTCCCAGGGTTCTCTTCACCTGCACACACCAGTTAGCCTGGTGCTTATTCTGCTCCAGGTTTGCCCTTCTGCCCAGTCAGAGCCAAAGTCACCCTCCAGGTATGCTTTGCAGTTGAGAAGACTCTGGTAAAAGCCCATGAGCGCTTCACCCCCTCCAACTGGCTCTAGGCCAGGTCTAGCAACGGGCTGCCTGCCTGTGCTTACTCCTTCCCACTCCTCACTCACATGATACTAAACCACAGCAGAGGAATAATGAAATATAAAATGCCATCATGAAGAAAATGGGAGGAATGTCCTCAAAGGACAAGGGATTTCAAGAAACCTGAAGAAGGCAGGTGAATGCTGGAGTGATGACTGACAAATGTATAAGAGGAAGCCACAGCCTGGAATGAAGACACGGCCAGGGAGCTGGAGCTGCAGAGAATGGGGTCTATGGACAGAAGCTGGTGGGGCTCAGGATTTGAAATGACAGGTACCACAGAGGGCAGGGGAGCAAGTGGTGCTATAATCAGGGGCATCACTAACAAGGGACCTATCCTTCCCCATCCTCCAACCACTGTCCGGCACAAGAGCTTGAAGCCAGGCCAAAAAATGAGGCTCATCTTTAAAGACATTGATTCCTGAGAAAATGCAGCCAGCAGTAGAATGAAGAGTCCTTTAAGCTGATTTGGTGCTATATTCAGACCTTAATGGGGAGGGGATTGGAAAGTGAATTCCTGATCCCCCCAAAATGAAGGCAAAGTACCAGAATCTCCACCCACACAGGTGGCCCCAGTGTAACGTGAACCAAAGGACAAGGCCTACCCTGGTCACCTAGCCTGCTGACAGGATGGCAGACCTGCCCATAGCCTGAGGTTGTCAGATACCACCATCTTAAGAGGACTGCATGCCCAGCAGACGCCCCTGGGCACCGTACCCTAAACCAGCAGACCACTTCCAGCCAGCCCAGGGCTCCACACAAAGCCCACTCTTACCAGCCAATCAACCTCACTAGAGAATGTCCTTTCCTCTGATAGACTAGAATTCACCATCTTTCAGCTGTAAAAGTTCGACTCTCATTTTCTGCCCCAGAACCTCATCCCCAAGAACCTACTCAATCCTGCATTGAAACAGCCTTCCTGCATAGCCATAACACTTTTTTCCCTTCTGTTCTATTATATTAATATCTTTGACCTCTAGTCATTTTTATTTAATGGCACACCTAAAGTTTTGGGAACCCTGGGCTAGGGTAGGTGATTAAGCTCCCAATTCATTCTCGTAAGTGGAAGATATGCAGTATAAGCATGTGCACACATTTTTGAGAGAAGACAACATGTTTGAAGGTTTCCCGTTGTCAGATTTGTTGAATCAGATCATACCAGGTACAGGGCAGTGTGTGCACATGTGTGTGCCTGTCCTTTCATCACAGAGCCTTTTACCAGCAAACTCAATATGGAAGCCCAACACACAGACCTGCTAAAGAGGTGCATGAATTAGAACTGAGAAGGAAACCAGTGCCCCATCTGCTCAGCTCCGCTTTCCTCCTCGTGGCCCAGTTGCTTTCTCAAACCAGATTTCCAGGAAACATAGTTAGCAACCCTGACACAAAACAACTAAAGAGTAATTCACCTGTATGAGGAAAATACACATATATTTTATTTTGTAAAATATGTTAAATAAAAAATGAGCAGTTATCCTTACCTGCACACTTGTAAACACTGACTGATGAAATCATAAGTAGATTCAGCCAGTCCCAATTCAGCAATTGTCTTCCTCATCCTCATCTACATTTAATGAGAGTTAACTGTGAGTCAGGACTAAGTGACTGACATATACACTATCATTCAATCCAAACAGCAAAACCATGAGGCCAGGATTGCTATTATCCACATTTTCACATGTTGAAGAATTTGACCAAGCTCTCATAGCTTGTGGTGTCAAGGGCCAAGGTGCAAAGCCAGGTCTGGACTCCAAAAACCTTGCATGCTCTTCACTAACATGAAGAGGCCCCAGATAGGCACTTTGTATTTTTTCTGTATTTTCTAAGTGTTTTATTTGTATTAATCACTTTCATAATATTAAGAAAATTTTAATTTGGAAGCCAAAAAAAAAGAAATAGGTAGTAGGGGGAGAGTTGGGTTTTTTTTGTTTTTGTTTTGTTTTGTTTTTGTGTTTTTTTTTTTGAGACAGAGTCTCGCTCTGCCTCCCAGGCCGGAGTGCAGTGGCGTGATCTCGGCTCACTGCAAGCTCCGCCTCCCGGGATCATGCCATTCTCCTGCCTCAGCCTCCCAAGTAGCTGGGACTACAGGCGCCCGCCACCACGCCTGGCTAATTTTTTGTATTTTTAGTAGAGATAGGGTTTCACCGTGTTAGCCAGGATGGTCTCAATCTCCTGACCTCATGATCCGCCTACCTCGGCCTCCCAAAGAGAGTTGGTTTCTTAAGACCAAGAAGAACAGGCAAGGCAGGGATGCCCTAGGGTGGCCTCTCCAGCCTGGGGTCACCATGAAGATGGCCTCATTACAAAGGCAAAGCTCAGACAAAATTCTTCACTCCAACAGGGTCTGTGCTCCTCAGTCAGCCAGGTCAATCCCATCCTTCAGCTTCTTCCCTTCCTGTCAATTGATAAAATTAGGAAAGCTTATTAGCCTTGATGTTACCAAACACTGTCATATAATTATACTGAGAGGAGAGAAATCTGCCAAAACAAAGCATGTCTAAAGTTGATGAATCAGCACATAGCAGTATATGCATATTATTTAGGAATGTGAATAGAAGTATTAGCAAAATAGATAATTTAAAACTGTTCTCTCTGGGGAAATATCAATGGGGGAAGGCTAAGCAGCTGGGACATAAGAGATTGCTGTATTTTTACAAGCATTTTAGCACTATTTGGCTTTTCAAATGAAGTGCCAATATTTTTTTGATTTGTTAAAAAAAAAAAAGTAGTAATAATAAAACCTACCCTTCTTAGTGTAATCCTTTAGCTTAATGAACTCCAGTAGGCTCAGACAGAAGGTGGTTTGATGTGGTTTGTGGAGCCAGGAGATCTGAGACACAGAAGATGGGAGGCGCCTGGTGTTGTGGAAGAGCCATGGGTCAGAAAACCTGGATTCTGACCTTGGCTCTGCTGCTCCGTGCTGTATGGCCTTGGGAAAGGTGCTTAACCACTCTGAGCCTTTCTACCCCTAAGGGCAGGCACTCAGACCCCATACAAACCAATGAGAGGATTAAATAACATAGATCCCAACCCAACAATGAAAACAAAGCTCATGGTGAGGATGCAAGGTGTGGGGACCTGCGAAGCCTGGGTCAGGTGGGTGAGAGCCATGGAAAGACAGAGCCCTAGATAGAAAGGAACAGGCCCCTGGTCCCTCCACCAGGCCCTGAGCCCAAGCCCAAGGCTTTAGACATGAGCTGAACTCCCCCCACCTTCTCCATGCTACTCCCAAGTTCCCTGAGACCATGGAGTACATTTCAGGATTCTGTGAACTCGAGAGAGGCAAGTGTCCCAGACTTAAGTCTACGTCCCTCTGTGAGGCTCACCCAGACCCATGAGCTCACCTAACTGGCACAAAGTCTTTCCTCAATTCTGCCCAGTTAAAAAAAAAAATCTGCAAGTTAATTGGCTGTATCGGACCCTCTTTAACAAAGTCCCTCCTCAATTTTGCTCAGTTAAAAAAATATAAATAAGATAACTTTAAATTACTTGGCCTTAGAAACAAACGTGGTAAAAACCTTAGGCTCAGGAGAGAAACTCCAGGGCGGAATGTGGCTCACCACTATGTTAAACTTTGTCACAGGTCTGGTCACAGCTGTCATTTTAGGACAAGCACATCCAGGCTCTCCAGAAACCAGGCCAGCCTGGGGAAATTTCTTCCAGGCTCTGAGCATTTAGAAGAGCCCACAGCTTTTGCTCACAGCTCAAGGACCAGGCGTCGACTGCCTGGTTGCCAAGGGTGCTTTTTCTCCCTCCTCTCCCTGGAATCATAGCCTGTACCAGCTTGGGGTTGGGGAGAGGTCTGGTAGGTTCATGCATCACTGCCTCCCTCTTTCTTTCCCTCCATCACCTGTGACTAAAGAGATCCACACCCCATCGAACAGCACTATTCTTGCTGGTATGTCATGCAGTGAAGAGGTAGAAGGATGCTTTGTGAAGCAGCCCTGCACAGAGAGAACCCAAAACAAGACTCCAGACCAGGCCCAAGGCACCTCCACCAATACTGATACACAATGGGGGTGCTAGTATAAAATCTCCCAAAGGTCCCAAGCAATACGGACTACTCTCTGCATAGCCAGCCTACAGATTCATTCCCCCCAAAATAAAATTTATTCTTTGGCGCTTCATACTTGGCAAGGGTTAATCATTATGTCAGTTCATACAATGATTAAATTAATAAAATACATCTGGATCAGAGAAACCCTCACAGACCAACTTTGATTCCATAAGCACAAAGTAAAGGACCTGAAACGGGGTGGGGATGCAGTAAAGGAGAAGGTAAGGGGAGTTAATTAGCCGGTGATTAAATGTCATTTTCCCTGAGTCAAGTGATTCTCATTTTATTCAAGTGCTCTGGAAGTGGTGAAGGTTTTTTGTTTTTTGTTTTTTGTCATTTTAGGGAATTCTTTTTTGTCCAACAAATAATTCTCAGTTGTCTGCTTTTAAAAGTACTGTGTAATTTCTAAATTACTATTTTTCAAAATCAGGCTAACACTTCCAACTCCCTCTGGTTGGGGTTTTCTGAATCATCTACAGAAAGATGGCTGCTCTGCTGAGAGCCTGCCTGGGAAACTGGTTTGTATATCCTGTGACCCAAAGCATCCACTTCCTCAAAGGTGTAGCCAGGAGGCTCAGGATATGAAGCTAGGCACCTGCCCATTTCCTTGGGAGTAAAGCTGATGGTGTAGGTGGTCTGGCTTTCCACAGGGACATTTCCTCGAGGGCCAGACCAATGAGGCTTACAGCTTTTGGTATTGATAGGCAGGTGGGGCACATAGTGGGCCCGAGTGGTGGTCAGGCAGTCCAGGGGCTCGGTGGGCAAGTCCAGCTGGGGAACGGGCTTGACTGGCTCTGTGCGCATGCTGGACCACTGCTTGTAGTCATCCTTGGTGGTGGAAGAGCCTTCAAAGCGACCGCACTTCTTAATCTGAAGTGCAGGTCGGCAGGACTGAGCTGGGGCACCCTTAGGGCATGTGTAATGGGCCTGCACTGTTGTCAGAAGATCCATCCTGTCTTCGGGAGGGACGTAGGTGATGGGAGCTTTGGAGAACATCCGGGGCATTGGCCAAGCTTGGTACTTATCTCGAAACTCAGTGGTGTTACAGAAAGGCATGTCTAGCCCAGGAGGCCTGGCTAGAGGTTTCAAGCTCTTGGCAGGCTCCCCCATCAGGCCCCGGTAGGATTGTTTTTGAGTGGTAAGGCTTTCAAAGGGGATTTCACAGGGCCTGAACTTCTCTGCTTCATGCACAAAGCGCTTCTCCACGGGGTGGGCCACATAGCTCATCTTGTAGTTAGTCACATCCTCCAAGGGGATGTTACAGAGCTTTGGCATGGCCAGAGGTTTACAGCTTATGGTCTTCACAAGGCCTTTTATGGGGTAATCGTCCTGGTGTGTGGTTCTGTTATCAAACCTGACTGATGCCGGCTGGTATTTGTGTTCCAGACGAAGTGGCTCTCGCCTTGGTTGGTTCCAAGGCAAATAATCAGCTGAAATTAAAGCAGAAGAGGTAATTAATAATAAATCAAGTCAACCAACTTGCATATATTCTACAGAGCCCCAAGGTCTTAAGGCAGTCTCCGATGAAGTGTTCTTTGAGACAAAGAAAGAACAGAGCACATCCCTGCTACCACTTCATTCAAACACCTGATGTGTCAACTTTATGGTACTTGCAGGCAGAAGAGACAAATCTACAGGAGCTCTCATCACACCCCACAATACTGCATGCAGGGATCTTAGAGGGTCCATGGTCGTGAGAGGATCCAGGGAATCCATTCCTGCAGAAAAGTTCAACCACTAGCTTACTCTGACAACACTTCCTTTCTTCTGTGGAGAAGGTACTTTCTCTGAATCAGCATGGAAGGAGTGAGAAGATGCATGTGATGTAGTGAGATAGAAAATTCACAACCCACCACTGGTGGGCCACCAGCCAGATGAACCAGGCCTACCTGGTCGTCTGTGGAGTGACAGCCCACTGTGTCCCTGTAATCCTCACATGTAATCCACATAAATCAAATATGCTGCTCCAAGGGAATAGGGCATTGTATTGGGTGGTGAGAGAACAGTGGCTGCCACTTATATAAAACTTATTACATAACAGGCAGTATTCTAAGTGCTGTATATATTAACTCACTTAATCTTCAGACTGTCCTAATAAGGTGGGTACTATTAATGCCAGTTTTATAGATGCAGAAACAGATATACAGAAAATGAGGGAATTTGTCCCAGCTCACTTGGCTAGAAGTGGAAAAGCACAAATGCAAATTCAGACCCAGAGCCCACGATCTGACCCACTCTACTCTCTGGTTCTAACAGTTAGGGAATACCAACTACATGTCGGTCAATTGTGCTCAAGTCTTTCCATACATGATCTTGTTTCATCTTCACAATAACCCTTTGTGATGGGTATGATTCTCTCCATTCTACAGATTTCTAAATACAAGGCTCAGAGGAGCTAAGAAACTTGCCCAAAAGTCACATGGCTAGTGAGGTGAGTTGGAATTTAAACCGTATTGTTGTCTCCAAAGCCATGTTCTTCTGATACCTCATATCACACTTAGGGGCATTTTATTTCCAGATGGAGTAAAGGTTAAAGAAAAAAATAATCAGAGGGAAGATTTTCAGGAGGAAAAGAACTTCAGAATGTTTGAAGAATGAGAAGAACTGGCCAATCTAGATGTCCATCTCCAGAGGAACCTCTGCTGTGGGGCTGGAATGGCCAACATAATGGGAGGCCTGGACCCCAAGGAAATCTGCAGTAGAGATGGCCTCCATGCATCTTGAGGACCAGATACTGTCTTCAGGCAGCACTGTAAGCCTTTGAAACTGGCTTTGCCACACAGACCATCAGGGCCAGCACACCAAGACTGAAAGTCTAGGTGAGAAAAATGGGATGACAAACCATGTGATTCAACTGCCTTGGCACTGCTGGAACTTTTTTTTTTTTATTTGAGATGGAGTTTCACTCTTGTTGCCCAGGCTGGAGTGCAATGGCACAATCTCAGCTCACCGCAACCTCCACCTCCCAGGTTCAAGCGATTCTCCTGCCTCAGCCTCCCTAGTAGCTGGGATTACAGGCATGTGCCACCGCACCCGGCTAATTTTGTATTTTTAGTAGAGACGGTGTTTCTCCGTGTTGGTCAGGCTGGTCTCGAACTCCCGACCTCAGGTAATCCGCCCACCTCGGCCTCCCAAAGTGCTGGGATCACAGGCGTGAGCCACCACGCCCGGCCTACTGCTGGCATTCTTTCAAAATACTTGACTAACATCCAAGACCTAGGTTGCCCCATCAGGCCCATAAATTACCAGATTTAAATTAGCCCTAGTGAGCCCTCTGAATCTATAGGGAATTCTCTTGCTTACTGCTGTACGAAAGGTTAGAAAAAAAAGCTGCTTCCCAGGAGCCTTGGGTATACACACCAACACTAGTGGAGTCCGCAGGCACAATTTGTAACAGTTTTATTGAAATCTAATTTGCATAATAAAAGGTACCATCTGAAGTACACAATTTAGTGACTTTTATGGAGTTGTATATCCATCACCAAAATCAAGTTATAGAGTATTTGCATCATGCCAAAAATACCAATTATCTTCATTTGTAGTCAGTCTTTACTCCCATCTCCAGCCCCAGGCAACCATTAATTTGCTCTTGGTCTCTATAACTGCGCATTTTTTGGACATTTCATATAAATAGAATCACCCAATATGTAGCGTTTTGCATCTGGCTTCTTTCACTTAGTGTAATGTAATTGAGGTTCATCCATAATGTAGCCTGTATCAGTAGTTCACCTTTTTATTGTTGAATAATATTATATGATACCAAATTTTGTTTATCATTCACCAATTGATGGACATTTTGAGTTGTTTCTACTCCTTGGCTATTATAAAGAAATTCTGCTATGAGCCTTTGTGAAGAAGTCTGTGTGTGAACATATATTTTCATTTCTCTTGGGTAGATAATAAAGTGAAATTGCTAGGTTGTATAGAAAAATCTATCTTTAGCTTTTTAAAAAAGATACTGCCAAATGTTCTCAAAGTGGAGAAGTAGATGTGCCATTTTACATCCCACCAGCAACGTATAAACATTCTCATTTCTCCACATCCTTGTCAATATTTGTTATCATCTGTGTTTTTAAATTATTATAGACATTCCAATGGGTATTTAGTAGTATCTTGCAGTGTCATTTACATTTCTCTAATGACTAATGATGTTGAGTATCTCTGCATGCACTTATCCGCTCTTCATGTGCTTTCATTGGTAAAATATTGAGATGTTTTGCCCATTTTAAAATTAGATTGTCTTCTTATTGAGTTATAGAATTCTTTGCATGTTCTAAATACAAATCTTACACCAGGTATGTGATTTACAAATTTTTTTCCAAGTCTATCACTTCTCTTTTCATTTTCTTATTATTTTAACAAAACACCCACCTGACACCTGACTCTTTTCATTTCTTAATGGTGTCTTTCTAAGTGCCCAAAGGTTTTGAATTGCGATAAAGTCCTATTTATATCTTTAATAAATCATGCTTTTGATGCCATGTCTAAATTCTTTGCCTGTCCCAAGATATCATAGATTTTTCTCCCATGTTTTATTTTGAAACATTTATAGTTTTAGCTATTACATTTAGGTTTCTGACTCTTTTGAGTTTGGATGCGGTAACTTCGTCTTTTTGCATGTGGATATCCAACTGTCCCAGCACCATTCATCAAAAAGACTATCCTCTCCCACACTGAAGTGCCTAGGCATCTTTGTGAGAAGTTAACGACAATAGACATAAAGGCTTATTTCTGTACTCTCAACTTAGTTGCATTGGTCATTATACTTGTCTTTGTGTCAGTATAACTGTCTCAATTGCTGTAGCTTTATAATAAAGTTTTGTAATCAGGAAGTGTAAGTTTTACAACTTAGTTCTTATTTTTCAAAAATACTTTCAGCTATTCTGGTTTATTTGGATTTCATATATAAAACCTAAAATTACTTTGCCAAGTTCTAAAAAGGAAAAGGAGCCTTCTGAGATTTTGATAGGAATTGCATTGAATCTACAGATCAATTTGGGACAACTTTACCTTAATAGTATTGAACCTTCCAATCCATGAACACAGAATGTCCATCATTTTTGTTCAGATTTTAATTTCTCCCAGCAATCGTTGGTAGCTTTCAGCATGCAAGACTTACACTTGCTTTTTTAAAATTTTATTCCAAGATTTTATTAATTTTGAGGCTATTAAAAAGAGAACAGTTTTCTTGACTCCATTTTGATTGTCCATGCTAGAATACAGAAACAACTGATTTTTATATATTGTTCAGTACTGACATCTCGCTGAACTCATGTATTAGTTCTGGTAATTTTTTGGATTCCTTGGTGTTATCTGCATACAGGATCATGTTGTCTGAGAATAAAGACAGCTTCGCATTTTCCTTTTGAGCCTAGATACATTTACTTGTCTGCTTGCTTTTCTTGCATTATTGCACTAGCTAGAACCTCCAATACAATATTGAGTGGAAGTGGTGAAAGCTGACATCCTAGCCTTGTTCTCAATCTTAGGGGGAAGCCATTTAGTCTTTCACATTAAGTATGATGTTTTAGAAGTACAGATTTTTTTTGTGAATGCCCTTTATCAGGCTGAGGAAGTTTCCTTCTAGTCCTAAGCTTGTTGAGAGCTTTTATGAGTGTTGAACTTTGTCAAATGCTTTCTATCAACCAAGTGGCTTTTTTCTGTTACTTTATTAATGTGGCATATTAATTGATTTTCTGATGTTACACCAACTTTGAATTCCCAGAATAAATCTCATAGTTTTATAAATATTGATTCTGTAATTGTCTTTTAAATGAATTAAAAGAAAAAAATATCTTTTTAATGATTTAAGAAGAAAACAAAGAAAAGTATATATTTACCTAATTACATTTACCAGTATGCTTTACTACTTTTTGTGTAGATTTGTGCTGCCATCTGGTATCATTCCCTTTTAGCCTGAAGGATTTCCTTTAGTACTTCTTGCAAGCTAGGTACCTGTAACTTCTCTCCATCCTTATCTGGGAATGTATTTTGCCTTCATTATTGAATCATAATATCACTAGATATGAAATTCTTGAAGGATAGACTTTTTTCTTTCAAAACTGTGAATATGCAACCAACTGCCTTCAGTCCTCCATTGTTTCTGAAGAGAACTTAGCCATTAATAATGTCATTTTTGGGCCGGGCACGGTGGCTCACGCCTGTAATCCCAGCACTTTGGGAGGCCAAGGTGGGCTGATCACGAGGTCAGGAGATCAAGACCATCCTGGCCAACATGGTGAAACCCTGTCTCTACTAAAAATACAACAAATTAGCCAGGCGTAGTGGCGGGCGCCTGTAGTCCCAGCTACTAGGGAGGCTGAGGCAGGAGAATGGTGTGAACCCGGGAGGCGGAGCTTGCAGTGAGCCGAGATTGCAGCCACTGCACTCCAGCCTGAGTGACAGAGCGAGACTCCGTCTCAAAAATAATAATAATAATAATAATAATGTCATTTTTCTATATGTGATGAGTCATTTCTCTTTTGCCTCCTTCCAAATCTTTGTTTTTGGCTTTCAACAATTTGACTATGTTATGAATAGATGTGGATCTCTTTGTACTTATTCTATTTGGATTGTGCCTCTTGAATGTATTAATAAACATTTTTCATAAAATTTGGCAACTTTCAGCCATTAATCTATCATTTTTCTGCCCCCTTCTTCTCCTTTTGGGGCCATGATTATGAGTATGTTAGTACACTTTATGGTATTCCACGAGTCTGGTTTGGACCTTTCTCTTAATTTTTTTCTGTTCTTCAGATTGGGAATCTCTATTGAACTATCCACATTTTTGCTGATTCTTATGCCAGCTCAAATCTGCTGTTGAGCCCCTCTAACGAATTTTTTATTTTAGTTATTGCCCTTCCAACTCCAGAGTTTTCATTTGCCTCTTTATTATTTCCTGTTACTGATACTCTCTATTTGATGAGCAATTGTTGTCATACTTTTATTTCTTTAAATATGCTTTCCTGTTATTCTTTGACCATATTTATAATAGCTACTTTGAAATATTT
This sequence comes from Homo sapiens, assembly GCF_000001405.40. Lineage (NCBI taxonomy): Eukaryota > Metazoa > Chordata > Mammalia > Primates > Hominidae > Homo > Homo sapiens. The sequence goes on from NC_000009.12 coordinate 18,934,636, forward strand.
GTCTGCGATGTCCAACATCTGGGCTCCTGCAGAGATACTTTCTGTTGACTGCTTTTTCCCCCACCATGCATGGGTCATACTTCCCTTTTTCACATCTTACAATTTTTTTGTGTAAAACACAACACTTTAGATAATATGCTGCAGCAACTCTGGATTCTGATCCCCATTGGGAGTTGGTTTTACTTGTGTTTAGCTTACCTGCACTAATTCCATAGAGTCTTATCTTCCCTGCAGTGTATGGCTACCGATATTTTTGTTCATTTTTTTCTTTTTAATTTGTTTTTGTTTTTAATTTGCTTGTTTGTTTTGAGATGGTGTCTTGCTCTTGTTGCCCAGACTGGAGTGCAGTGGCACGATCTCAGCTCACTGCAACCTCCGCCTTCCCGGGTTCAAGCGATTCTCCTGCCTCAGCCTCCTGAGTGGCTGGGATTACAGGCGTCCACCACCACACCCAGATAATTTATTGTTTTCTTTTTTTGTATTTTTACAAAAAAATACAAAACCTCCTGACCCCATGATCTGCGCACCTGGGCCTCGCAAAGTGCTAGGATTATAGACGTGAGCCACCTTGCCTGACTTCTTAAGGGTCACTCTGTCAGCATAGTTTAGTGGTCAGCCAATGATTGGTCAGAAGTTAAACTTAAGAACTTTAAGCCAGTAAGGCATTCACACTTTGCCAATGGAGCTGTGTGTGGGTTAGGAAAAACACATACAAAGATCAGGCAGTTTATAAGTCTCATTTGGCTTTTACTTCCTATTGGGCTTTCTCATGCCTCCCCTACACAAGCACTAGGCCTAACTAGGGATGATTAGGGATGATAAGTTGATAGATGGGCTCCTCTCTGATTGCCCTTGAGCCTGCATGTAGCCTTGCCCATGTGCACAGCCTTCCAGACTACTCAACCAGGGATGATGAGTTGATAGATGGGTTTCTTTCTGATTGCCCTTTAGTCTGCACACAGTCTTGCCCATATGCACAGCCTTCCCGACCACCAGGAATACATATGAGCTTATCAAGACCCACTGTGTCTGTCTCATTCTCTGAAGCTCCCTTCTTACATTCCTAGCTGGTTTGCTGGTCTGTTGCTTGCCACAACTAGCACTGCAGCCTCAGACTAACTCAGAAGTTGTCTTCCCTGATTTCTTGCCATTAAGCTCACTATTGTTTTTATTGAAACTCCTGGGGATGCACTCTATTCCCAATCAAGTCAGGCCCCACTGACAGCACAGCTGCTTGTTTCCACAGCCTAGCCTGCTCCGGCAGAGCCACTACATAAATGAAACAGCAGGGGTGGGGATGGGGTGATGGAAGCAGCCCCAGAATAAAACATCACAGACTCCTAGTGTTAATAACCAAGGTGCCACAGTTTCTTTAATAAATGCTTCTCAATTTTTTTGCATACCAGTGGCTGATTTCCAGAGTCTAGAAATGGTTGATTTTCACTGTTTTGTCCAGTTTTGTCATTGCTTTTTGGGAAGAGGATTTGCCAAGCTCCTTACTCCTCATCTCCAGAAGTCCTGATACCACCCCCTCATCCACCAGCACGCTCTTAAGTTTATTTTAGGCTGATAATACTACCAACTATTTATCTAAAATTGGCTTCATTTTAATTGAAAATCTAATCTTTCTCCAAGAGCCATTAACGGCTCTATCAGCATCTTGAAAGCATTAGGGGGCCTTGGAGGGAACCATCTTGCTGAATATAAACCACATGTTTCCTGCCCACCCCGGCCCCCAGACTCCTGGCCTTGCTGAAACGGAGGCATCTACCTGTAGATGCCTACGCACTCCCTCAAGGTACTTGGGGGTGGGGAGGACAGGGCTTTTCTGGCTCTCTTCTGTGATGGATGAAGTGTTAACAAAACAGGTTTCTAAGCTCAAAGTTGCCTCATGTGATTTCTGATACCCAACAATATAGTTGAAACCACATTATTATCCAAGCCTCCCGACTTCCTCCACCCAGCATTTATTACCAAAAACCTCTACAGGACCCTGAAAAACCTCAGAATTTCACATGACAAACTATTCATATGCCAGTAAAGCCCTTCAGGGCCAGAGTGTCATGTGGGTAATTGGCAAGAACTTCTTTAAAAGGGATTCCATTCAATAATGTGCCTTTAAAAAAACAGCTAAACCTAAAGCTGAGCATCAAGTAATTACACTCTCAATCTTTCCAATTGCACAGTGTTTTGAAAATGTCACAAATTACAACCAAATGCCGCTAAAGCATATTTTATTGGTGGTTTTCTGGACCCCAGTAAAGGTGCTGGCCATAGAGTGAAAAGGGGAAAAAAAGATTTCATATTTTTTCTGTGGAACAAATGTAAGCAGAGCATATAGACAAAATCTAGATGGCACCCACTGAAACATGTATTTAATAACCTTGGTCTTTGGTTTCTCTTTGGGTGGTAGAGGAGGAAGAGAATCAACGTATGGTCATAAAACATGAAGGTTGTTATGGAAAAGACTTAAGAAAGCAGCAAATTTTCACAAGACACAAACATGTCACCCAAGGGGTGATACACCAAGAGATAAGGGCGTGACCCCTCATAAATGCATGGGGTTATTAAGGACTGACCCAACCAAATGGTAAGTGGCATGGGCCTTCTCAATCCTCACTTCTGCTCCTGGCCAGGACCCACAGGGTAATAGCCTGGGTGGGGATTTGTGTAGATATGCCAAACTCTGTCACCTGGAGCCCTTGTAAACAATGGTTCAGAACCATTCATCCATTGAGTCCCTCACTTGACACACTTTGTTGTGTCATTCCCTGTGTTCGATGCTGGGAATACAGATGTTGGGCATTCAAGGCACAGTTTGGGAAGCCCTTCTATCACAGGTGAGTGACAGAACAAACAAACCACTTCAATTAATAGAATAAAAGTATTTGCTATAGTCTGAATGTGCCCCAAAATTCATGTGCTGAAACTTAATCCCCAATACGGTGGTATTGGGAGGTGAGGCCTTTTGGGAAATGATTGCATCATGCAGGCTCCACCTTCATGAATGGATTAGCACTGCTATACAATGACTGGAGGGAGCTAGCCAAGGCCCTTTTTTCCTTCTGGCTTTCACCACATGAGGACACAGCAACAAGGCACCATCTTGGAAGCAGAGAGCAGACCCTCACTGGACACCAAACCTATCAGCGCCTTGATCTTGAACTTCCCAGCCTTCAGAACTGCGAGAAATAAATGTCTTATTTATAAATTACTCACTCTCAAGTATTTTTGTTACAGCAGCACAAATGAACTAAGAAAGTAGTATTCAAAAAAAAACCTCATAAGACACACATGTTGCAAACTGGTACCCATAGGTTAATCTAACTATAAGTGTTTCCTTTAGCTACATACTGATTTGTTTTAAAATCGGAATTGCAGAGGAAAACTATGAACTCCAACCTCAAATGCACATGTTCCAAGAACAAAAACCCTGTCCATCTATGCATGCCTGGTTCTGAGCAGTCCAGTTCAGACTTGACTGGTGTTCATTTATTAACTCTGTTTAAGTAGGCAAGCAGTTAAGAGGTACCAGAAGTTTAAGGAAACTGAGGAAGAAAATAGGATTTTCTCAATTTTAACTTTGTCAGTAGGGAAGTCAGCCATTATATTAGTCAGTTCTTGCACTGCTATAAAGAAATGCCTGAGATTGGGTAATTTATAAAGAAAAGCAGTTGAATTGGCTCATGGTTCTGCAGGATGTACAGGAAGCATGGTAGCATCTGTTTCTGGGGAGGCCTCAGGGAGTTTTACTCATGGTGGAAGGCAAAGTGCAATAAGGCATCCTACACGGCAGGAGCAGGACAGAGAGCGCGAGTCGGGAGGTGGGGAGGTGCCAAACGCTTCTAAACAAGCAGATCTCAGGGGAACTCACTCATTTTACAGTACTAAGGGGGCAGGGGGGTGCTAAACCATCAAAAACCGCCCCCATTATACAATCACCTCTCACCAGGCCCCACCTCCAACACTGAGGATTACAATTCAACATGAGATTTCATGGGGGCAGAGACCCAAACCCTGTCAGCCATGATTCAGTTTAAGCTGTGGAATACTCACTCTTCTGTAGTTTGAAGAGGACAGCCTGAGATGTAGCTGTATGGACAAAGGGAGAGACAGGGGAAAATGGCAGTGAAAGAGATTAAACAAAGAGTACTGCTGGGGTGTGGTGGGGTGCATGCGTGCGTGCGTGTGTGTGTGTGTGTGTGTGTGTGTGTGTGTATGTGTGTGTGTGTTGAGCGGTAAGTAGTCTGCTGGGGAGAAGTAGGGAGGACTTCTCTTTAAATGCTACATATAGACCTCCTCCATCCTTGCCAACCCCCAAGACAAGCAAGGAGCATTTTTCACTCGCAGACCTCTCCCTGCACCTAGGGCAAGGTGGAAGAGAGGGAACTGAACTGACAGGCAGGAGCTCTGAAGAGTCTCTCCCTATACTAAGATTCATAAACCAACAGGGCCCACAAAGACAGTGTAGAGGAGAGGCGAGTCCGCCATCGGATATGCCATATCACAGTCCCTTATTCCCTCCACCCATCGTGGAAAGCGCTTACTGCAGTTTCATTCCTCTATCCCACTAGCTCAATGTCTGTGCTGCCTTATTTCTGGTCTTCTTGTAAACACTGGATTAAAAAGGAGAAGAATGCATTCAGTAGAGGCAAAAGTGCCCCCCAACACCCTACCCATGGTCATACACCTGGTTGTATGGACTCCTGTGTGGTGCCTGCTGTGAGAGGGTAATTGGGAAAGAAAAAGACAAACAGATCCCTGCCCCTTGGAGGTTACAGCCTGGCCATTAAAGGAAGCATTAAAAGTACACAATGCATGATAAGACAGGGGAGTGCAAGGCACCCATATAGCATCCAGCCTGACATGGCGGAAGGGCTCAGAATGTGATCTTTCAGCTGCTAGCTGAAAGGATAAGTGCTAGATTAAGGAAGCAGAAGGATTCTATATAGAAGGCATCACATGTGCTAAACAAATGCCCTGAAGCAGAAAAGAAATGTAGGAAGGGACCTGAAAGAAGGCCCTGAGGCTGGAGCAGAGGGGCTTAGAAGACACCAGGACTTCCAAGGCATCAGAGGAGGCAGAAAAGGTTTGGGTTTTTATCGTAATAGGATCATATGATTTGATAAAATAATATGATTTGATAAAATAATGATTTTATCGTTTGATAAAATGATATGATTAGACAAAATAATGATTTTATCAAATGATTATCTGAGGAGTTTTATACAAAGGAGTGGTCAGATCAGATTGCCATGTATAGAAGACTGCTCTGCTCCCTTTCTGTGGAAAATGAGTAAAAGCTGACAAGACTGGAGATATGCTCAGGTGTGTGCCCAGGTGTAGACATGGGGAAAACAGGATTAGGGCTTTGCTAGGAGGAAACAGCAAAAGGGCTGAAGAGAGAGGGACTCTCGGCTATCAGTAGGAGCTGGGCTCCAAAGATAGGCCATGAAGTAGAGACTCCATGGGGAGGGACAGACACAGGAGCGGCTGGTGGTAAGAGGGAGGATTAAGACGTCAATGGACTGGAGGTCCCAAAAAGGCCAAGGACTGTCGTGGTGGGAGGAGATAAGAGGACAAGCCCAGAGGACAGGATGCCGATGTGCACAAAGACTTCAGAGGTGGGGCCATTTCAGGGTATGATAACATTCAGAATATTAGTCAGTTCTTGTACTGCTGATAAAAGGTGGCTTGACCAAAGGTAGCTATCTATGGGGGAGTGTTAGAGGAAGAAGCTAAAGAAAATAAAAGGGCAGAGCCCAGGTTGCTGAAGAGGCCCACGCCAATCCAGTCTTCAGTTCCTGGAAGAATCAGAGAAACTCAACTAAGCACAGGGTCCTCCAGGATGACAGAATTAGAGGCCCTTCTAGGAGCTCACATCCCTCCAACCTCCCTACCTCCACCACCCTCTTCACCCTAAATGCTTGGCTTGACTAAATAAAAGTGGCCCTCTCTATTCACAGCATTTAGAGGTCCGTGAACTGTTCAGCTTGTCCTCCTAGGGCAAGGCAAAGGTTGGTATCATAAGCATGAGTTATTGATTACAAACCTGGTCTCCAGTCTCATGGTCTCAGTCTTTGCAGCTGAGCTCCATAGAGTGGCTGTCTGCTAGCAAAACACATATGACCACGTATCTTGTCTCTCCACTAGGCTAGAAAGTCAAGGGCAGGCCATTATGCTTCCTTCAGTTTCTAGGACCACACCTCATAGGTAATATCAATAGATACTCAATAAAGAAAGAAGCAATCCTATTTATATAAAGTTCAAAACTGGCGAAACTAATTTAAAGTATTAAAGGTTAAAATAATGGTTATATTCTCATTGGGGAGGGTAACAGAAATGGAGTAGTAATGTTTTATCTCTTGATCTGGGTACTGTTTATATGGATTTGTTCAGTGCAAATTTATTGATCTCTATAATTATAATTTGTATACTTTTCCATATGTATGTTACATTTTGATATATTTTTTAAACATGTGAATGAATCAATCACTTAATCAGTGGTAGAAACTAACTTAGCCTGAACTTGAAATGCTTCCCCCAATATAGGATTCAAACTGCAAGCTAAGGCAGGGGTTGGCAGATATTTTGTATAAGAGCCAGGTATTAAGTGTCTTATGCCTCACAGACTGTAGTGTCTCTGTCAACAACTACTCAACTTTGCTACTATGCTAAAAAAAAAAGTAGCCATCGATACTGCGTAAATGAATGAATATGGCTGCGTTCCAATAAAACATGAACACTGAATTTTCAATTTTATATCATTTTCACAGTCCTCAAATTATATCCTTTTGATTTGTTTTTCAATTATTAAAAAAAAATGCTTAACTCTTCTTAGCTCTCCAGCTATACAAAAACAGGCTGCTGGCCAGATCTGGCCCGTAGGAAGTAGTCTGCCAACTCTTGCACTAACTGAGTATGCACATAAAACACATTTCCTGGCCCGCACACAGGCTCAGCCTGTCTTTCCCCCAATCTGCCCCTCTGTGCTCTCCCACCTTTATAAGTAGGCAAACACTCCATCTTGTCGCTACATGGATATTTACTGTCCCGAGGTTTGATGGGGTCCACTCGACAGACAGGGTAGGGATTGTAATCTTTCTTATACGTCGTGAGCAAATCCATATTCTCTTCACTCGGGACGAACTGGTCATACTGGTGGACCTTCACTGGTGCCACTTTGTGAGGCCCAAAATCTCTCCTGTAAGGAAGCAAGTGCATGCTGTTGGGGTCCTTGGCTTGCGATAAGGCTTATGTTTTCTGCTCAACCCAACTCTACAAACATTTGCTGAGAAGTCCTGTTCTACTCTACCTGCCTTCCCTCCTCCCCCGAACTGTTTCTCCTCTATTTCCCACTTTTGAGAAGGGTACCATCAATTCCTTCTCACCCAACTCAGACACCTGTATTCATCTTTGACCTCCTTTCCTCACGGCCCCAGAGTCTATCACCACCAGTGCCCCTCCACCTCATTGGTTTTTCTTTCCCCTTGGTCCAGATCCTGACAATTTCTCACTAACAGCCTGCCACCTGAGCTTCCTCCTTCATTCCTACCACTTCTATTCAATCACCATAATGTGGCCAGAATAAACTCTCTAAATGGAAATCAGATGGCTTTCCCCAGTTTAAAACTCTTCCAGGTAAAATTCAACTTCCTGGCATAATTTATAAGCCTTTCTGGACCTGGCTCCTGCCTGACTCACCCTTGTCTCTCACGATCCCCACCCCACCTGAAAACCCTGCACTCCAACCACAATGCCACCGTTTCTACTGCTGCGCTCTCCACCTTCCTTCCACCCAACCCCTTCACTGCGGAGGTATCTTCCTTTCAGGTGCCGCTGCCACCTTCTCTGTGTTCCCAAAAGCTTCTCCTGCTAATGTTTATCTCTTTCCTCTACTTAGCCTACAGAAAACCCAGAAGAGGAAAACAGTGAAATAACTGGAAACCCTGACTCCTTCATTTCTCTGCTATCTGGTGTCTGCGCCCCCATTGTTTCAGGGAGTACCAAAACAATAGGATCGAAAAAGTATAATGGTCTTCACTAAACAGGAAGCAGTCCCTCCCCAAAGCATCCCAGATAAAAAGGCCCAGATGCTCACTGCAATGCCCACCAGGAACCGCCCTAAGGAGCCAGGGCTTAGCTCGGACTTGTGTTGCCCTCCAGGGCACTCGCAACTTCCCACCTCTCAATGCTAACATTTCCCTCTGAAGGGTGTCTGTTTTACACAACAAACTGTTTTTGCCTGGAACCCATTTATTCAACTGGACAAAGGGAAGGTAGATTTTTCCTGATGGTGCTTGCCAGAACATCCCTGTCAAGGGAAGGGGAAGGTTTCCGGACAGGAAAACGTTAGGCCCAAACACCAATAAAACCCACTTCCTGGCCAAAATCTGGAGCAGCATTACTCAGCCATGCTTGACTAGCAAAGGTAACACGCTCCACTGTAACCTGTCTTGCGTGAATTATACACATGATTGTCAGTAAACCCGAACCGGGTCCTGAAAATGCTTAGTGGGATGGGAGAAGGAAGTTAGGAAGCAGGAGAATTAGTCTCTCTAGGGCTCTAAGGAGGAAATGGGAGATGCTTCAGTTGAACTCCCCTAACACCCTCTGGGTAGATTTAAAAATATATCTTAGCGGCAGTTATAGGACATTCAGCCTGGGCTCCCTTCCTAGGGGCCCTGCTGTTAGCCTGAAGTGTCTGGAAGCTGACTGTACATATCGGGGCTTATGGAGGGAATGGACTGAACAAGCAGCCAAGGGTCAGCTCCTACTTCTGCTGTTCTCAGTGAGCAAGTACTACACCCTGGTGTCTATTCAGCACTAAACCAATTGTAGCAGGGAACTAAGAGGGTAAGTCCTTAGGCTACAAAGACAAATGAAAATGCCCAGAAAACTCCATCTGAAAACCAGCTGAGTGGAAAGGGACTCTTGGTCAGAAAGTGTACATTCTAAAGGGAGTGCTCCCAAGGGAAGTTGAGCTCTCCTCACTCTCAGAAGGGATGGACAGGTTTCAAGGCAGCCTGAGACCACACATTCCTAAACCCTTATAAAAGCCTGTGCTCAGTGATGGCTACCTAAGCCTACACCCTATTCATTTCCAAGGAGTATCAGGAGGTACCAAGGGCATGCAGTGAGGAACAAAGCTGGGCGCCTGAGCTGCCGTGCTGAGCCCACCCAACCTCAGAGCATCTAGGGATGCTTTCCAGTTGTGAGGCTGCCACTCTCAGGGACCCTGCACACAGAGTCCATAGCAGCCTCTTCTGCAGTTACTCTGACCAAGAGGACCAGCTTCCTCTCAGGGATGCCGCAGAAACCTCCCTTCAAAGGCTGCCAGACTCTTGAAAACTAAAGCACGCTTATTGCGCATCTCCCACGGCTTCTACCGGAAAAGAGCAGACAAAAGCCCAAAACCAAATTCACCAGTTCACAGACTATTCTGAAATTGGTTTCCCAAAGACAAAAGCCAATCGCCTTTTCCAGTATAAAATTTAAGTTCCTTTGTAAGTGTTCCTCTATGGTTTAATTTATTGATCAGCCATAACTAAGGCAAATGATTATGGGGGGTGGGGGGAAGCGGTATCTACTTCTGAAGAGAAGAAAAATTTTAAAGTTTGACTTTTTTATAACCTACCCAAACATAGTTACTGTGGCTTAGGAGTGAATTTAATCAGAATTTATGTGTTTCCTCATTATGTTTTTATGTTGAGAACATTCACTGAAACCTGTCATTAACCGCAACATAACTGCATGTCCCCAATCACACATAATCTTACAGCCTTTAAATTCACGTAAAAGAAAAGTCTATATTTTAGTCTCCCCAGAATTGCTCCAATTAACTAGCTTTTCTTTTTAAGAACACTGGATCTCCCCTCTCTTTCTGTGGTACATTTCCCAGTCTCTGTGCACATGTGACATGAACCAAGAAAAAGAAACTGGTCAGAGAAGTAAGTTTCTTTTAGGTAAGTAGCTATAAAAGTTATAGAGTAGGGAAGGCCAAGAGTTAAACTCAGAGTTAAGTAAAAAGTTGGAGTGGTCCTGCTGGGGAAGTCATAACAACTTGACTTCAAATCATTTAGCAAAGCTGAAGAAAGGTGTTTGACAACTCTCTGACAAAAGGAAAGAGGAAATAACGTAACAGTGAGCTAGGGTCCTGAGCCTGGCAGTGGGAAATGAAGATTTTCACCATGACAAAGGGCCATGCAACACTTTTTTTAAACCTGTTTTTAATGTTTATTTATGCAAACTTGAAGATATATTAGTGTGTCCAAGTAATCAATTATATTAAAATGGAATCCATCTTAAAAGGAGTTCCTCCTCTTGGCCAAAGCCAACCTCTCTCACCCCTGCCCTCTTTCTCGGGAATCTCATCTGCAGACCATCTCCTAGGCCATGCTTTTCTCTCTTCCTCCCTACTGCCTCCTTTCTCCATTGAGTGTTACCTCCCATCTTTAAAGGTAAAGAGTAAAACAAGACACTATCCTCACTGAGCTCCATTCTCCTCCAGTTTTCCCTTCTGTCTTCCAGAAAGTGTTGTCTACAAGTACAGACTTGCCTTCCTCTCCTCATGTCCCACCCATCAGATCTGATTCCCCTCACTCCTGGATACTCCAAGCATCACCTTGTTTTCCAGACCCAACCGCTGCTTCTCAACCTTATCCCACTGTGGTTGTTCATAGCATCCATCCTCTCACTCAATTTTTCAATACTCTCTCCCTTGACTTCCGTGATACCACTCCTCATGATCTTTTCTCCATGTCTTCTATGGGGTTCTGCTCTTTGTCAGTTGATTTGATTGACTTTGTCACTTCTATATGCTATTCTCAAACTTCCCAATGTCAAAAGGCACCCTTCTAGAGAAACTATTCTCCCATCCTAGGCAGCTTGGGGAGTCCATCCCATTGTGCTGCAAAAGATCCTTGGCTGAATCACAGGGTTTGATTCATGCCCCTGGTCCTTATGGGACACAGAGTCCTCCTTACCTTCACTATAACAGATGGGATTCCAAGCCCATGCACTCCAGAATCCAAGTTACATAGCACCTGTCTTCTCCTCTGCCCTCTGAGTCCCTCAACTCCCACTAAGGCTGAGGCAAATATCTGTCACCACTTCATATAAACCCTAGGCAAACTATTTCAAATGACTTTAAAGCTCTAAAAAGGTAGATTCTGGGGAGAGCCAACAGGTGGAAGCAGAAAATGGCACTGTGTGAGGCTTCATTGCTTAATTTTCCATTAACTATTTAAGATTCAAAGCTTCCAGCCTGAAGGTCAGCTCCAGTCTGTGCAAGGGAGGGCAGCTAAAAGGCAGATCTTTTAGGTAATCACCTTTTCTTGACTACAAAAACCAGAAGGCTGGCCGGGCACGGTGGCCCATGCTTGTAATCCCAGCACTTTGGGAGGCCAAGGCAGGCGGATCACCAGATGTCAGGAGTATGAGACCAGCCTGACCAACATGGAGAAACCCCATCTCTACTAAAAATACAAAATTAGCTGGATGTGGTGGGACACACCTGTAATCCTAACTACTCGGGAGGCTGAGGCAGGAGAATCGCTTGAACTCGGGAGGAGGAAGTTGCGGTGAGCCGAGATCGTGCCACTGCTCTCCAGCCTGGGCAACAAGAGCAAAACTTCATCTCACCAAAAAAAAAAAAAAAAAAAAAAAAAAGAGGACCAAGTTTGAAGCAACCACGGATGCTGCAAAATGAGGAAAGAAACCTGGAAATGAGAGAGTCAAAGACAGGAAGCCCTAAATTCTGTACATAAACTGGGCCCAAATCTCTGCATAACCTCACATATATGGGGTAGATTCCAAGCTAAAGAACTGAAGTGAGATTTGAGCGGCCACCCAAGACACAGAGTTTGCATTGTAAATCAAATCAGGTTACCTGCCTGCCAAAGATAAAAACACTTTTTAGAGGAATGCAAACAAACATCTAAGGTGTCCACAATGTAGCAACATTCTCACTGTACAAAAATCAACCCAAAATCTGACCCATGCTCAAAAAAGAAAAAAAAAAGATAATTATGGAGACCAACTCCAAGCAGACCAGACATTGGAATTAGCAGATAAGGATTTTAAAGTAGCTTTTTAAACCATGCTCATTAAGGAAAGCAAAGTAAGGCCATAATGAATTAAAGGATAGGAAATTAGGTAAAATAAATAGAAACTATATAAAACAAGAATCAAATGCAAATTCTGAAACTGCAAAATATGTGAAGTAGAACATTCACTGGATGGCCTTAATCACAAAATGGAGATAAGGGAGAAAAACTTGAAGTTGAAACTAGGTTAATAGAAACTATCCAATCTGAAGAACAGAGGACGGGGAGAAAAGATTGGGGAAAAGAAGTGAACAGAGCATCCGTGAAAGAAAAATTACTTGAAGAAATAATGGCCAAAATGTCTACAAATTTACTCAGAAATACAGTATAGACAATTCAAAGGCTCTGAGATTGCCCAAGCAAGTCCAGTGCCGAGAACTCTACCTACATTGTGTTCACACTAATTCTCAGGCCCAGGCTATGGAGGCTAAGTATATGCCCAGTGGTACAGCTCTGAGTAAGAGAGTCAGGTGTCTCTTTGAACAAAAAATATATATATAAAATTCAATGGGCAGTGCAAGACTCAAGCCTGCTACTAACTCTCTTGTTTCTTTCCTGACCTTTGGGGAGGATACTAAATGCCCTTTCTCTCTTAGCTCTTCCCTCCCTTACTCTCCTTGGTTTACCAAGGAGTCTTGCAAATAAGTGATAGAGTCGATGCTACCAATTCCCTGCCGTCTGCCTTTCAGCCACACCCATCAAGTCTGAACTCAATTCTATCTCCTCACTCTGTGCCTCCATTCCACTCTACCCATGGTCCCACTCCCTTTAGGATAAACGTCTAACACCATTGAAGACTCACCTCTTTCTTCTGATGCTGCTCATTTTGCCCATCTTTAGCGAGCTGGTTTAGCTAACAGAATGTCTCAAATTGGGATCCAAGTGTTTTACATGGTGACATGCCTATGGGGAAATGAGGCTGGAAGTGCAAACCTCTTATTCATAAATTGATCTCAGGTCTATCTGAAGTAAAGGCAGATTCTACACCAGAGAATTACCAAGGGCTGCAAGAAAGAGTTTCACACTAAGAATGGCTGGAAATCACAAGCATTCCCCTCATGGCACCTGCTGTAAATCCCCAAGATTTATGGTCAGTAAGAGTTGTGTGCAGTTATAATCATGCCTCACGCTGGGATGATAACCTTTCCAGAAACCAGGTGTTTTTTTGTGTCTGGGCTTAATCACCAAACCCAGCAAAGCCCTGGACCACGTGACTTTTTCATTCAGCAGGTGGGAGCCTCATGTCCAACCTCAGAAACTAAGCAGGGTCACTGTTTAGATAAAGAAGTGGGTGGGATGTTCCAGTAATAAGAGTGCTAAGAGCAGAGGGGTGACGACAATCTGCACAGACACAAGGGTGTGCAGACACTGGGCTGTGCAGACACTGGGCTGACGCATCCCTTCCCCTGTAAGCCTCTAGGGGAACACCCAGATGGTAGCTTCCCTACATTTCCTGACAGTGGCATAATTTTGTTCTCGGTCTATGAACAGTAGTGCCTATCATGGCAGGCACAGGGTTGAGAAATAATGAAATTGTGGTAGAAAAGAGAACACAGATGTCTTCTACTCATTTCCCCTTTACTTCTCTTTTTAGGGTAGGAAATAAAAAGAGATTCATATCTGCTCCTTTTCCTCCCTGTGGACAACCTTGATCCTGCCACTTTTTCTTTTTAAGGCCCTTATGTTCATTAACAGCTTATTTTGGAAATTCTTGCAGAATCTGCTTTCCTCTACTTTAGCCACATTTGATGTACATGGTATTTATTGTTACTCTGACTCCGGCAGGGGCAGAGGGGCCTTCTGGGTGATATGTTTATTGTTTTAAGTGACACAAGGCAAGGATAATTTAGGACAGGTCAGAGGGTAAGTTTTTGTTTAGCGAAGCACCATCAGGAGGAGGGAGGGTACCTGGAGTTGCATCTGGGGGCCTCAGAGCTAGGTGTTGGGGCAGGTCTTCCGCCCCAGACCAAGGGTTTGTCCCCATTCTCCTAAGCTTTGGGCAGCTAACAAAGCAACCTGCAACAACCAACCTTCAAAGCATCCCTGTCTATACTTTCAGGATAGGAAATATATCAGTGTCTGAAGCCAACTAGACATCTCACAAAGTCTTCTTCATTTCCTGCAAATTGGATATAAAGAGATAAAAAGACCCACACCTGGAGACCGAACAAGATATTTGCAAGCCACCCCTCAGTACTACTCTCACCCTTTCCTACCGATTACATGTCCCTTATACATGTGCCTAGGACTCTTACTTGGTGTTGACCAGGGTTTCCTAAAACAAAAGCAATGCTCAGAAATGGTTCACACTTCTTATTATGGTCTTTAGACTCTCAGAGACAAAGAATACTGTTTTCCCAGCAAAATGAAGCCCAAACTTTAGTGTTCATATTGTTTAATAAGTCATAGGTTGAAAAAACAGCAGCATAAACTACAATGTTTTAATACATCAGGACACACAAACACTGCACTTAAACCAAATCATTTAAGATACATGCTTAGAATAAATATAATCATCTGGCCTTAGCAATATAGCAAAACCTTGTCTCTACAAAAAGTTTAAAAATTAGTTGGGCATGGTGGTCCATGCCTGTAGTCCCAGCTACTAGGAGACTGAGGGGCAAGGATCACTTGAGCCCAGAAATTCGAGGCTGCACTGAGCGATGATCACACCATTGCACTCCAGCCATGGCTACAGAAGGAAACCTTGTTTTAAAAAAAAAATTTTTTTTAAGTGGCCTGATTCAAGTCAAGCATCAGACAAGGCCCTCAACTCCCTCTCATTCTCAAGCCCCTGTCCAGTGGTTTCCACTAAGCTCAGGAATCCTTTGGCCTCATTTCTCCCATTGTGGGTGCTCCTGCCCCATTACCCAGACTGGACTTCCCGTGGATCTAGAAGATGGCAGCATTGTGTAGAGAAGAGCACCTCCAACTCACAGTCTCAGATGTTTCCAGTCCTATTCTGGAGAAAACCTGAAGGCAGAATGAATTAGAATGGTTCTGCTTCACCTAGACCATCTGGGACCTTTACTAGCACAAAATCATGAAGCAAAAGGGAGCAATAGGAAGAAAAGTCACCAGGTCTGAGGCACCGATGTGCAAGCATTGTGCTGGAACAGTCAACATTCACCATCATCTCCACCTCACAGCAACCCTGCCCTTTAGGGATGAGGAACCGGGAAGGCAGAGAACACATCAATCTTTCAGGGCTCAGCTAAGGACAAAACTATACAATCTGAGACTGCCCAACTGCACTCAAAGATGTTTCCACTCTACTAGATCACCAGTCACAGGTCACTAACTGAGTTGTCCATGGCAGATTCTGCAAGAGCCTTGCTTATAGACCAACCCTGAACTGATAACTTTTCTGCACCCCCTCAGTAGAAACACCTCTGCAACGCTAATATACTGAACCATGTGGCTCAGCCTCTGCACAGACCTAGAGCTAAACAATCTTAGTTTGGGAGTCAAGAATAATTTAAAAGCAAAACATTATTTGTTCATCTTTCTTGAAGAACATTCAGGAGAACCCCAATTCAAAATTTACAGCAGCATAATTTTAAGGGGAGAAAAAAAAGCTCATTTTTTCTCTATTGCCAAGTTCCCTTTCACCACCACCACCACCATCCCCCACCTACCCAAGCTGGCCTGGAGCTTTTCATGTAACAAAGCCCAAAACTTGCTTTTCAGCAACATCCCCCACTCTTTCCATCCCTTAAATATTTTTCTTAACCTCCAATCCTATATTATATAGATTAATCCAGCCTTTCCCCACCCTTTACTTCAGCAAGCAAGAATCCTTTCTCTTTAACAGAGAATTTGGAAAAAACTGAGAAGGCTCATAAATGCAGGATATTCCTTCAGAGATATAGTACATTAAGGCATTAATATCATATGTTGATACTGCACATTAATGCATTAGCACTGCACATTACATTAATATTATACATTAGCACTGCATGTTACTCCATTAGTGTTGTATGTACCTGCATACATTAATACTGTTTGCCCTCACCTTGATGTAGTCAGGCCTTCCATTGGTATAGGCCCTTTCTGGTACTCCCGCCTTGGCTTGAAGGACTCTCTGGGCAGGTAGGAGTGATAGAAAGGGTAGTTCTCGGTATATTCGGAGAGAAGACATGGTTTCTCTGTTTTATCATAAATCTTGGTAGGGAGATGTGGACAGTGATGCCGCCTATAAAAGACACAGAGTTAGGTTGATTACCTTCTTGGGAGAAAAAAACCCAATTTCCTAAGAGTACTTCCGCCAAATGTGACTCAGACTGTAAAATCATGTGACTGCCAACATTGAAAACCAGAATTCAACGGTTACTTTTTTCCACTAAACTACGTGAAGTGGCCAGAATATAAAGGTGGTCTGTAACTACAATTGGTTAATAAAAATTCCTTGGATCAGAGAATTACACACAAGCTGTCACACATGCCACATTGCTTGTGTAAGCAGGGAAATATTTCCATACCATAATAGAGAAATGGCTGTGTCCCCAAGCTCTCCGAGTGCCACCCAGCTGCCCCAGGTCCTCCCCTGAGGTCTCACAACAGCCCAGGAATTCAGGGCTTACTACTGACCTAACAGGGTGCTCCAAGGCTCTCCAATAGGGCCAGCCAGTGTCTTTTGTAACTGGTTAGCTCCTGGGTCAACTCGGAATATCATCACTGTACACAAATGACATCATTCAAAGCAAAATCACCTTAGTTCTGAGTCCACCAGACACCACTGACTATGTGAAACCACTTTCACATTGAAAGTCTCCCTCATTTATTCTTTCAGGTCTCACCTCAGTTATTACAGCCTTAGAAAGACTTCCGCCAATCATCTTATACCCAGGATCCACCTCGCCGTCGTATCCCCTCTCCCCACTACTCTTCCCTGTGTGTGCACATATTTTCTCCCATCACCCTGTGTATGCCTGTCCCATCACTTATAGCTACCTGTGACTGGCATGTCTGTTGGCAAGTTTGTTTATTGTCTGTCTCATCTGTCAAGCTCAGGGCCTTTATCAACCTTGTTCACTGCTACACTGTACGTGTACACTGTACATTTTTCAACCTTGTCCACTGTTCATCGTACATGATGTACATCTCTATATATCATATCCTAAATTTTTCATTCAGTAAATGTTTACTGCATACTGGCACATTCGGTAAATATTTATTGAATGAAAGACTGAGTGTATACGTGAATAATTAAATAAACTTTATACCTAGTGATGAATGAATTGAACAAATGATAAATAGTATTTAGCAGTTAAAATTTATAGTGAGCTTTTCCATTTTACTTGCATGGTAGTAAATGAAACTTACTTATTTACTTACTACTTACAGCTGGACTGAGTCAGCTATTAAAGCTGTCAAAAACTAAGTGAAGGCATTTTATCAATTTTGTGTGTGCCCACAATCTTCACAATCCAGCTGGGGTCCCTCTCATCATCAGGCACCAGCACATCAGCAAAAACTCCATGCTGGTGTTTTCCAACTTAGCTACCTTCATGAATGGCATAGCATTGTTTTCCCATTTTCACACTGGACTGATTTTTCATCACAGAAATTAAAATGCAATACTTTGGGGAAGTACATGGGGGAAGGGAGATAAAATGAGAGAAAGAAACCAAGAATTCCTCACTGCTCTAATGTAAAGCTATTTTCCAGGCAACAGCTGGCATGCTGCTCCTGCTAGTAAGTTCAACCTTTTATATAAATATTACTGCCACCACTGTTGTTACTATGTACATCTCGTCCATCTACTCTCCAGAGAAAATCATCAACACCTGTACTGTTCATATGGCTAGAATTGCATATTAACAAGTACCATTAGAGATATCCCTACTTATTTTCTTCTCACCTATAGATTTGTTATCAGAAATGCCTTAAGAAGGCATGAAATTGCCTGATTTACTTTGTATTATAAAAGCAGTATTGATTCATGGTAAATATTTTAGATATTCCTCATCATGTACAAGGAAAATCTTCCACAAATATGCTGTCCTTATAGTATAAATATCTAAATTTCACAGTGTTAAATACAATCAAGAAAAGTGTGCTTTTTCTTTTTCAGCATGCACATTCTTGGCACTTAGTGTACAAAGCTATGTATTTCTATTTTATACCCCTTTAATAAAATATCTCCTAATTGTTGGCAAATAAATTGAGAACTTTAAAGTATCTTCTGCACATTCAAGAGACAAATTGTTATGTTTGCATAGTAAACCAATGACCCATCGCCCACAGCGGATGCATGTTAAATATTATTGCCATTTCTGTGCTCACAATCGGTCCGACTATCTGAGATTTCAATTTAAGCCAACTAGTACCCTATCATTTTAGGATTCCGACAAACCTCAGATCGAAAGCCAAGAAGCACTGGCTACCAAAAATACCTCTGCATGTATATTTTATTCACCCACATTCTAAAAGAAAAGTCAAGATTTTATTCAGGATAACTTAGTTTCAGGCACTTATAATAAAATGGGCTCCACAGGCAGAGTGATTACTTTCCCTTTTCAGTGCCCCTGTTTTTTAAACTGGTAAAACTACTTTCATATAACCCCCTTTCCATATTGTTACTTTTAAAAAATGTAACACACTCTAAGGATTTATTCCAAAAGAAAAATAAATTTAATGGCAATATACTGCAATATGATTGGCATCATGAAAGGAGATGTCAGTACAGCAACAAGCTTCTATCCAGACACTGATGTTCCATTAAATGGAATTATATCAACATATTTATAGAGCAGACTTTGACTTATTGCTGGTTAACTGAAACCTTGTCTCACTTTGAAATATCAAAAACCCTTATGCAAAAATAAATGTTTCACTGCCTGAGTGTGCTCATGGAGTCATCTCCTTTCCCTACCTGCACCATGAATGCCCTGAATACCCCTCCCAAGATACCCAGGACCATGTCTTCTCATTGGTGATCAACCCAACCCTCATTAACCAGGAATCCCTCAAGGACAAAGATCAAGTCTGACATCTTTTTGTTTTGGAAGCTAGCCAATATTATATACGTATTTAATAGATGGATAAACAGTGTGTAAGAGGATGATCTGCTAAAAGAAAGATATCTAGAAGTTATCAAGGAACAGAAAATAATTTGTTCTAACATTAGTAGAGCCAAAAAGGGAAAGACAGATTTCTCAACGTTTAAGAACTAATTAGTATCTAAAGAAAGTTTGTAGAATTGCCCTGCCTAGGGCATTTAAAAGTAAGCTTGGCAGCCATGATCCAAAGAACTGAAACTTCTTCAAGCTCTGTGATACTTGGGTCGTTCCAAGAGCTGCCCTCGCCACCTTGCTCAGGTACATCCACAGACATACCCAGATGGATCCATAGGCCGGGAAGGAAAAGGGAGAGAGGAGGTTTCTTTAGCCTACCAGAACTCTCTAGTCTTTCCACTCCAGAATTCACAATTCCCAGGGGTAAAAGGACATAACACTGACTTTCTGATACTTGGAAAAGAGAGTAGTAGAGACCTTATGATGGATCTCAGAAATAATTAACAATACTTGATTCTGTTAATTGTTAATAAATAATTAACAAAACTTGGAGCATTGGCTCCAAGCTAGAATCACAGAATTTTTTTTTTTTTAAGACAAGGTTTCACTCTGTCATCCAGGCTGGAGGGCAGTGGTGCCATCACAGCTCACTGCAGCCTCGACCTCCTGGGATCAAGCAATCCTCCCACCTCAGCCTCCCAAGTAGCTGGGACCACAGACACGCAAAACCATGCATGGGTAATTTTTGTATTTTCTGTAGAGATAGGGTTTCACCATGCTTCCCAAGCTGGTATCGAACTCCTGAGCTCAAGCAATCCACCTACCTCAGCCACGCAAAGTGCTGAGATCACAGGCATGAGCCACCACACCTAGCCTAGAATCACAGAATTTTTAAATTGAAAGGGGGCATGGGAAATATCTGTTCTAGTATCTCCATTATGTTATGTAGATGAAAAATCTGAAGTTCCGAATGATGTACATGAACCAGTCATAGACATAGGATAGGCGTCTATCACTTCCAAAGGACTAGGTACATTTCCTGACATACAACTAGCTCAAGTCATCTATGACTCTCAGGCAATCCTAGAATGGATAACAGAACTTTAAGAATATAACAACTGCACTGGTACACTGGTACACAGGTAAGAAAAAAAAGTTAAAAAAAAAAAACAAGAATATAATAGGTTCCTCTAGAATAACATCATCCAATGGAAATAGAATGCAAGCCATGTCATACACGTCATTTTTAATTTTCTATTATAGTAGCCACATTAGAAGGGTAAAAAAAAGCCAGGCATAGTGGCACCTGCCTATCGTCCCAGCTACTCAGCAGGCTGAGGAGAGGGGATGCTTGAGTCCAGGAGTTCAAGGCTGTAGTGTGCTATGATCTTGTCTGGGAATAGCCACTGCACTCCAGCCTGGGTGATGTAGTATCTCTAAAAAAAACTAAAAAGTTTTTTAAAAGGTAAAAAGAAACAAGTGAAATTAATTTATTAATGTTTCATGTGACCCAATATACCTAAATTATCATTTCAACATCCATTTAAAAATTATTAATGAGATATTTTACTTTCTTACTCTTTCTTACTACACTTCAAAATCCAGTGTGTCTTGTACATTTCCTTCAGTTCAGACCAGACACATTCCAAATGCTCAACAGCCACATATGGTAGTGGCTTCCCTATTGGAAAGTGCAGATCTAAAATTCGAAGGTACAGACAAAAGAACTGCAAGCACTTGGGTACTGGAAGTTTACTCTAAAAGTGTAGGAAAGATAAAAACACTAAAAAATACTTTTTGTTGATTAATACAATATCCGTCTCTTTCTTAGGCTTTCTCTGACCTGTCTTCATATGGCATAATCAGAGGCACTAAAACAAATAACAAATAAAGCAGTCTTTCTTACTTCCATAATTCATCTCAATCTATAGCACCAAGTTTCGGTTTTATGCACTTGGAACACTAGCTGCAGCTGCTCACTTTCCTGCCACTCTCACTTTTCTCTGTCTTCAAGGCCCATCTTCAATGCCACCACTCCCACCCCTGCCTCCCCACAAAGCTGCTGAAGATCCCACTACACAGTTACTGGCTATGACTCTTCTGCTCAGAGTGTGCATGAGATTATGTCCCCACCTCTTCTTCTACTGCACAGCCTTGCATGAGCCTCTACTTTTAAACTTTTTTTTTTGTCTTTTAGAGACAGGGACCGACTTTGTCACCTAGACTGGAGTACAGTGGCACAATCATAGCTCACTGCAGCCTCAAAATTCCTGGGCTCAAGCAATCCTCCCACCTCAGCCTCCTAAGTAGCTGGGACTACAGGCATGCACCACTGCACAACCTGGCTAATTTTTTTTTTTTTTTTTTTTTGTAGAAATGGAGTTTTGCCATGTTGCCCAGGCTGGTCTCAAACTCCTGGGCTCAAGCTATCCTCCTGCCTCAGCCTCCCGAAGTGCTGGGATTACAGGTATAAGCACCATGACCAGCATCAACTTTCATGTTAAGAATTTTCATGGCTGCAAACAAAGCTGTTCATCAAAACAAATCCATGACCATTTCCCCTGCAATCAACTGGCAGCTTGAATAGTAGCTGGTATAACGTGACTTTGGGCTTTTCAAACTTATGAACTTTCAATAGTTTTTTAGAATCTAATCTATAAAAAGGACAGCATCTTGTAGGATACTTATGACTTGTCTTGCCTCCACCAGTCTTCTGGATCCCCTGCTGAGCCTAGCCTCATGTGGGCAGTGAAGAGGGTTCTCCTTCACTCGAGGAGGCAGGGTTCATAGTGGAAAGGGGCTCAGAGGCAGGAAGATCTGGTTCCAATCCTAGCTCTGCCACTGACTACTTGTGTAACATTGAGAAAACCACTTAACTCCTCCGAACTTCAATCTTCTCCTCTTTAATCTGCAGATAACAATTTCTACTACTTAGTATGATTATGTGAATTAAATCAGGTACTGGAATTCAAATGCCTAGCCCTGTCCAAAGCAAGCAGGCTGTAATTAAAAGGCTAATTTGTGGAGCAATTACTACGCACAACACGGGCTAAGTGTTTTATATATTATTGCATCTAATCTCACAGCAATGCGATGAGCGAGGCACTATCATCACCATTTTACAAATAGGAAAACCAGTGCTATGAAGATGTTATCCTCCTCAAGGTCACATAACCAGAAGGTGACAAAGGCACAACTGGACGCCCAGGTCTGCCTGATTTCAAAGCCTATGCTTTTAAATCACAGCCGTACACAACATGGCTTGATGGAATGCCAGCCTGTACCAAGTAATTCTCTTTTCTGGCTGCTCCGATAAACCTAAGGGCAGCAATAAATAGTATGTCTGCCCTTCCAAGTTCCCTCAGCTACACTCAGAGTCTTCCAAGACATCCTCCTCTTTCCCACTGACCTAAAAATATCCCAATACAGACCAACAAATAGATTTAACTCCACTCCTCTTTAAAATTCTGATCTTTCCCACAGAACTTTCTTTGCTGCTTAAACGAGAGTGTCATTAGATAAAGCAATAACGGTAATAATCAGGGAAATAAAATGGAACGCTAGATGTAGAAGAACCCTACAGATCGGCCAGCCCTACCACTTCAGTATACAGATGTGGATGCTGAGTTACTTCCCAAGGTAACACAGCTGGTCAGCAGCAGCCTTCACGCCAGGGCCCAATCACCTCCCACATACCTGACCTCCACTTACAATCCAATTTCAAACCCAAAGTTCAGACTCTTAAAGGATTTGCAGCCCATTTTTCCTTTTTCCCAGTAGTTGAGAGCTTGTGACCTGTCACAGCTGCTGTTCAAGGGAGGAAAGCAGTGCAGATAATGCATTCCCCATCTAGGAGAGGGGAAGCTGCCCAGGATCGCCAAACACCAAGTCATAAAACTCATCATTCCATGCCAATAGCTTAGAATGATTCTAGGGTGCCTGGAATAGCGAAAACTCTGGATACTACAGGCAAGGCCTTCTCAAAGAAGGATCTATGTCTCTGGAATGGTGTTTTGTCTTAACAACCCCCACAACCCAACTGGCCTCAGGGAAAGAGTAAAGCCCACACTTTTCCTAAAGTGCATTTGTGTTTACCTGCAGTGGTTTATAAACTTTTAAAATATGTATTTACTAAAAGTTTTTCTATTTAATTTATGATATACCCAGAGGCCAAAGGACAAGTAAACTGCAAAATATAACAACTTTTGGACATAGATATACTTTACAGCAATCTTGAGGCAAGATATCTCATACTCCCTACCTACACCTCGTCTGTAGAGATCTTTAAAGAATCAGAACAGTGAGAGAAATCTGAATAACTCCAGCTTATACTCCACTCATGGTGCCAGTGAAATGATCAGGGATCATAAACCAGATCCTAGCCAGGTGCGGTGGCTCATTCCTGTAACCCCAGCACATTGGGAGGCTGAGGTGGGTGAATCATTTGAGGTCAGGGGTTCGAGACTAGCTTGGCCAACATGGTGAAACCTTGTCTCTACTAAAAATACAAAAATTAGCCAGGTGTGATGGTGGGCACCTGTAATTCCAGCTACTCGGGAGGCTGAGGCAGGACAATCATTTGAACCTGAGAGGCAGAGGTTGCCCTGAGTCGAGATAGCAACACTGCGCTCCTGCCTGGGCAACAGAGGGAGACTCCGTCTGAGAAAATAAATAAGTAAACCAGAACTTCTGACAAGGACTAACCCCTCAGGCAACCAGAAATTGGATAACAGAAAGCAGGGCCAACCCCTGAAGTATAAGTCAGAGAAAAGCAACTTTAATGGTTATTTGGTACGCATATAACAAAGAGATGCAAATGATATACCAACTAGCAGTCGCTGCCTGAGTGCCACGCTGGAAGGATTAAGAGGCTACCACCAAGTTTAGTGAAAAAGACTACCTAGATCAATTAAGCCACGCCAGCCAAAACGCTGGGTTAGGATGGGGGTGGGGTGAATATCTGTGCAGGAAGGGAAAGGAAGAGAAGAGAATTCTGAAGGAAATGTCTCCAGGCTGTTGAACATGACGACTTGCAGAATCATACGTTTGGAAGACATCTGGAACAACAACGAAGCCATAAAAATATGAATGAAGTTGCTCGAAGAGAAGAGGAAGGAATAAAAACAAAACCTTGGAGAAACCGTATTTGCGAAGAAGGAAAATAAGTTTCTGGGGGAAAAACTGACAAAAAGAGTAAGAAAACTCTGTCACAGGGATCAAACAAAGAAACGACTTTTATATGTTTAACAGTTTGATGCCACAGAAAAATCAAAAGTCATGAGGGCTGGGAAAAAGACATCTTATTTGGTGGCTAGAAAACAGCTTTAGTAGAGCCGCTGGGGTGGGGACAAGGACTCAGTGCTGAAGAAGTGGTTCAACAGACATTCTGAAAAATCTGGTGGTGAAAGCAGCAAGAAATTACCCAGGAGGTACTTAAGAAATGTTAACTCTGGGGTGGTCATCATGGGGCAGTGGGTGGAAGAACTAAAATCAGATCATCTTGCAAATACAGAGAAACAGATTCGCAGATAGGAATACTCTGATGAACAAAAATAATCGGTGGAAAAAGAGCCTGGACTGGCAAGAAGGCATGATTAAAGAGGGCAGATGGATGACATTAAAAAGACAACTTGAGAGGGGAGAGAAGAATCAGAGCCAGGTCTGCTGGCCTCGACCCAGGGCATCTACAGACAGAGAGTGCACGAGGCAGGACTAGAAGCTAGGAAGAGATTCAAGGTGTAGTTCATGCCTGTAATCCCAGCACTATAGGAGGACAGGGCCGATGGATCACCTGAGGTCAGGAGTTCAAGACCAGCCTGGCCAATATGGTGAAACCCCATCTCTACCAAAAATACAAAAATTGGCCAGGTGTGGTGGCAGATGTCTTTAATTCCAGCTACTTGCGAGGCTGAGGCAGGAGAATCACTTGCACCAGGGAGGCGGAGGTTGCAATGAGCCAAGACTGCGACATTGCACTCCAGCCTGGGCAACAAGAGTGAAACTCTGTCTAAGAAAAAAAAAAAAAAAGATTCCAGGTGTGTACAGCGTACTCTAGGGAGTGTGCTGAAGGGGATGTTAAAGAGCTGCAGGCTTGATTCCAGGAGTAGTAATGCCAAGGAGAGGCCCTGCTGGACACAGCTGGCCCAGTGCTGGGACTTTCATCAGCAGCAATGCAAGGCTAAGGACAGGTGATAGCAGATGCTGATGAGAGAAGCCCTGTTGGAATGGGCAGGCAGGCATCAGGCTGAGTGGGCACGAGGGATGCCAGCAAGAGCCAGAGCTGAGGGATGGGAGAGAGCAGCAAACGATATGTTCAGCGGCTACTGGAGAGCACCTCATGGGCTCTTCCGGCCCCTCCCCCCTTGGCAATGAAAAGGAAAAAGAGTTTCTTCTGTGAAAAATATTTAGATTAATTAGAGAAACCTCTTCAAGAAGGTACAATTGGTGAAGCCATCCCTGGGACGCGTGGGGTAGGATTTTGCCAATGGCCTCATCACCTCAGAGGGAGACACAGAAAGAAACATGTCCACAACTCTTTCAATTCTTGGAGAGCCAATCCTCTGGGGGAAGGAAGATACCACTCTGGAATGTTCTATCTCTTCACTACTCCTTTTTATGAGGCCCGGGGAACACTCTGCCTGGAAGCCTATTCCTAGCCTTCCCTGTTACTTCCCTGAAATTTCAGAAATCCCTCCTACCAGGTCTTCCTGGACCCCCTGTCAGGTCCATATTCATGTTACTCTTCCCCACACATGCCTGTAATCCCAGCACTTTGGAAGACTGAGGTGTGCAGATCCCTTAAGCCTAGGAGTTTGAGACCAGCCTGGGTAACATGGTGAAACCCCGAATCTACAAAAAACAACATACAAAAGTTATCCAGGTGTGGTGGCATGTGCCTGTAGTCCCAGCTACTTGGGAAGCTAAGGCAAAAGACACATGAGTCCAGAGGGTTGAGACTGCAGTGAGCTGTGTTCGGCCCCCTGCACTCCAGCCAGGACAACAGAGCAAGACCCTGTCTCAAAAGAAAAAAAAATTGCTGAATTAATCGAAAGAATACATACTTTATGATTTAATTTATATGAATTTCTAGAACAGAAAAACTAATCTTTAGTGGGAAAAAAGTCAGATAAGGGGTTCCCATTGAGAGTGAGAGAAGAGAGTGAGGGTGAAGGGGCATGCAGAAATGTTCTGGAGTGCTGGCAGTGTTCTTCATCTTCATAGGGACTTGGGTTAAATAGGCACATGATTTTGTCAAAACTCAGCAAGTGCACCTCAAGATTTGTTCATTAAATGCTAAGTTTCTTGCAAAAGAAAAAAGAACAATTATTGAACTGTACTTAAGGAAACAAATGCTAAAGTATTTAGAGGAAAATTTTGCTTGATCTCTTATTTACTTTGAAATTCTTTCTTTTTTTTTTTTGGAGGTGGGGGTTCTCGCTCTGTCAGCCAGGCTAGAGTGCAGTGGTGCAATGACGGCCAGCTAAGTACAGCCTCAACCTCCCGGGCTCAGGCCATCCTCCTGCTTCAACATTTCCAGTAGCTGGGACCACAGGCATGTGCCACCACGCCTGGCTAATTGTTTTTTGTTTTATTATACTTTAAGTTCTGGGATACATGTGCAGAACGTGCAGGTTTGTTACATAGGTATACATGTGCCATGGTGGTTTGCTGTACCTATCAACCCATCATCTACGTTAGGTATTACTCCTAATGCTATCCCTCCCCTTGCCCCCACCCCTCAACAGACCCCAGTGTGTGATGTTCCCCTCCCTGTGTCCATGTGTTCTCATTGTTCAACTCCCACTTATGAGTGGGAACATGTGGTGTTTGCTTTTCTGTTCCTGTGTTAGTTTGCTGAGAATGATGGTTTCCAGCTTCATCCATGTCCCTGCAAAAGACATGAACTCGTACTTTTTTATGGCTGCACAGTATTCCATGGTGTATATGTGCCACATTTTCTTAATCCAGTCTATCATTGATGGGCATTTGGGTGGGTTCCAAGTCTTTGCTATTGTGAATAGTGCTTCAATAAACATACGTGTGCATGTGTCTTTATAGTAGAATGATGTACCTATCCTTTGGTTATATACCCAGTAATGGGATTGCTGGGTCAAATGGTATTTCTGGTTCTAGATCCTTGAGGAATTGCCACACTGTCTTCCACAATGGTTGAACTAATTTACAATTCCACCAACAGTGTAAAAGCATTCCTATTTCTCTGCATCTGTTGTTTCCTGACTTTTTAGTGATCACCATTCTGACTGGTGTGAGATGGTATCTCATTGTGTGTGTACGGTTTTTTTAGTTTTTCTTTTTCTTTCTTAAGATGGAGTTTTGCTCTTGTTGCCCAAGCAGGAGTGTAATGGCGTAATCACTGCTCGCCTCAACCTCCACCTCCTAGGTTCAAGTGATTCTCCTGCCTCAGCCTCCTAAGTAGCTGGAATTATAGGCATGTGCCACCACACCCGGCTAATTTTTGTATTTTTAGTAGAGTCGGGGTTTCTCCATGTTGATCAGGCTAGTCTTGAACTCCCGAACTCAGATGATCTGCCCGCCTTGGCCTCCCAAAGTGCTGGGATTACAGGCATGAGCCACCGCACCCGGCTCTCATTGGGGATTTGCATTTCTCTAATGACCAGTGATGAGCTTTTTTTCATATGTTTGTTTGGCCGCATACATGTCTTCTTTTGAGAAGTGTCTGTTCACATCATTCACCCACTTTTTGATGGGTGAATTTGTTTAAGTTCCTTGTAGGTTCTGGGTATTAGCCCTTTGTCAGATGGACAGATTGCAAAAATGTTCTCCCATTCAGTAGGTTGCCTGTTCACTCTGATGATAGTTTCTTTTGTGTGCAGAAGCGTCTGTTCATATCGTTCACCCACTTTTTGATGGGGTTGTATTTTTCTTGTAAATTTAAGTTCCTTGTAGATTCTGGGTATTAGCCCTTTGTCAGATGGACAGATTGCAAAAATTTTCTCCCTTTCAGTAGGTTGCCTGTTCACTCTAATGATAGTTTCTTTTGCTGTGCAGAAGCTCTTTAATTAGATCCCATTTGTCAATTTTGGCTTTTGTCGCCATTGCTTTTGGTGTTTTAGTCACGAAGTCTTTGCCCATGCCTACGTCCTGAATGGTATTAGCTAGCTTTTTTTCTAGGGTTTTTATGGTTTTACGTCTTACGCTTAGGTCTTTAATCCATCTTGAGTTAATTTTTGTATAAAGTGTAAGGAAGGGGTCCAGTTTCAGTTTTCTGCATATGGCTAGCCAGTTTTCCCAACACCATTTATTAAATAGGGAATCCTTCCTCCATTGATTGTTTTTGTCAGATTTATCAAAGATCAGATGGTTGTAGATATGTGGTGTTATTTCTGAGGCCTCTGTTCTTTTCCATTTGTCTACATATCTGTTTTGGTACGAGTACCATGCTGTTTTGGTTATCGTAGCCTTGTAGTATAGTTTGAAGTCAGGCAGCATGATGCCTCCAGCTTTGTTCTTTTTGCTTAGTTTTAGGATTGTCTTGGCTATACAGGCTTTTTTTGGTTCCATAAGAAATTTAAAGTCGTTTTTTCTAATTCTGTGAAGAAAGTTAATGGTAGCTTGATGGGAATAGCATTGATTCTATAAATTACTTTGGGCAGTATGGCCATTTGTATGATACTGATTCTTCCTATCCATGAGCATGCAATGTTTTTCCACTTGTTGTGTCCTCTATTTCCTTGAGCAGTGGCTTGTAGTTCTCCTTGAAGAGGTCCTTCATATCCTTTGTAAGTTGTATTCCTAGGTTTTTTATTCTCTTCGTAGCAATTGTGAATGGAAGTTCACTCATGATTTAGCTCTCTAATATTAGTGTATAGAAATGCTTGTGGGTTTTGCACATTGATTTCTTATCCTGAGACTTTGCTGAAGTTGCTTATAAGCTTAAAGAGTTTTGGGGCTGAGACAATGGAGTTTTCTAAATATACAATCATGTCAACTGCAAACAGAGACAATTT
Organism: Homo sapiens; assembly: GCF_000001405.40. NCBI lineage: Eukaryota > Metazoa > Chordata > Mammalia > Primates > Hominidae > Homo > Homo sapiens. Next base: position 18,963,751 of record NC_000009.12, read on the forward strand.
GACTTCCTCTCTCCTAATTGAATACCCTTTATTTCTTTCTCTTGCCTGATTGCCCTGGCCAGAATTTCCAATACTGTGTTGAATAGGAGTGGTGAGAGAGGGCATCCTTGTCTTGTGCTGGTTTTCAAAGGGAATGCTTCCAGTTTTTGCCCATTCAGTATGATACTGGCTGTGGGTTTGTCATAAATAGTTCTTATTGAGATATGTTCCATCAATACCTACTTTACTGAGAGTTTTTTAATTTTGTCAAAGGCCTTTTCTGTATCTATTGAGATAATCATGTGGTTTTTGTCATTGGTTCTGTGTATGTGATGGATTATGTTTATTGATTTGCAAATGTTTAACCAACCTCGCATCCTAGGAATGAAGCTGACTTGATTGTGGTGGATAAGCTTTTTGATGTGCTGCTCGATTCGGTTTGCCAGTATTTTAGTGAGGATTTTTGTATTAACGTTCATCAGGGATATTGGCCTGAAATTTTCTTTTTTTGTTGTGTCTCTGCCAGATTTTGGTATCGGGATGATGCTGGCCTCATAAACGGAATTAGGGAGGAGTCCCTCTTTTTCTATTGTTTGGAATAGTTTCAGAAGGAATGGTACCAACTCCTTTTTGTACCTCTGGTAGAATTCAGCTGTGAATCTATCTTGACCTGGGCATTTTTTTGGTTGGTGGACTATTAATTACTGCCTCAATTTCAGAACTTGTTATTGGTCTATTCAGGGACTCAAATTCTTCCTGGTTTAGTCTTAGGAGAATGTATGTTTCCAGGAATTTATCCATTTCTTCTAGATTTTCTAGTTTATTTGCAAAGAGGTATTTATGGCAGTTTATATTTCTGTGGGATCAGTGGTGATATTCCCTTTATCATTTTTGACTGTGTCTATTTGATTCTTCTCTCTTTTCTTCTTTATTAGTCTGGCTAGTGGTCTACTTTGTTAATCTTTTCTAAAAACTAGTTCCTGGATTCATTGATTTTTTGAAGGGTTTCTCATGTCTCTAACTCCCTCAATTCTGTTCTGATCTTAGATATTTCTTATCTTCTGCTAGCTTTTGAATTTGTTTGCTCTTGCTTCTCTAGTTCTTTTAATTGTGATGTTAGGGCATTGATTTTAGATCTTTCCTGCTTTCTCCTGTGTGCATTTGGTGCTATAAATTTCCCTCTACACACTGCTTTAGCTGTATCCCAGAGATTCTGGTGCATTGTCTCTTTGTTCTCATTGGTTTCAAAGAATTTATTTATTTCTGCCTTAACTTCGTTATTTACCCAGTAGACATTCAGGAGCAGGTTGTTCAGTTTCCATGTAGTCGTGCAGTTTTGAGTGAGTTTCTTAATCCCGAGTTCTAATTTGATTGCACTGTGGCCTGAGACACTGTTTGTTATGATTTCCATTCTTTTGCATTTGCTGAGAAGTGTTTTACTTCCAATTATGTGGTCAATTTTAGAATAAGTGTGATGTGGTGCTGAGAAGAATGTATATTCTGTTGATTTGGAGTGGAGAGTTCTGGAGGTGTCTATTAGGTCCACTTGGTCCAGGGCTGAGTTCAAGTCCTGAATATCCTTGTTAATTTTGTCTTGTTGACCTAATATTGACAGTGGGGTGTTAAAGTCTTCCACTATTATTGTGTGCAAGTCTAAGTCTCTTTGTAGGTCTCCTAGAACTTGCTTTATGAATCTGGGTGCTCCTGTATTGGGTGCATATATATTTAGGATAGTTAGCTCTTCTTGTTGCATTGATCCCTTTACCATTATGTAATGCCATTGTCTTATTTGATCTTTGTTGATTTAAAGTCTGTTTTATCAAAGACTAGGATTGCAACCCCTGCTTTTTTTTTCTTTCCATTTGCTTGGTATATCTTCCTCCGTCCCTTTATTTTGAGCCTATGTGTGTCTTTGCATGTGAGATGGGTCTCCTGAATACAGCACACTGATGGGTCTTGACTCTATCCAATTTGCCAGTCTGTGTCTTTTAATTGGAGCATTTAGCCCATTTACATTTAAGGTTAATATTGTTATGTGTGAATTTGATCCTGTCATTATGATGCTAGCTGGTTATTTTGCACATTAGTTGATGCAGTTTCTTCATAGTGTCATTGGTCTTTACATTTCGTTATGTTTTTGCGTGGCTGGTACCGTCTTTTCCTTTCCATATTTAGTGCTTCCTTCAGGAGCTGTTGTAAGGCAGGGCTGGTAGTGACACAATCCCTCAGCATTGGCTTGTCTGTAAAGGATTTTATTTCTCCCTCACTTATGAAGCTTAGTTTGGCTGGCTATGAAATACTGGGTTGAAAATTCTTTTCTTTAAGAATGTTAAATACTGGCCTCCACTCTCTTCTGGTTTGTAGGGTTTCTGCAGAGATCTGCTGTTAGTCTGATGGGCTTCCCTTTGTGGGCAACCCAACCTTTCTCTCTGGATGCCCTTAACATTTTTTTCATTTCAACCTTGGTCAATCTGATGATTATGTGTCTTGGGGTTGCTCTTCTTGTGGAGTATCTTTCTGGTGTTCTCTGTATTTCCTGAATTTGAATGTTGGCCTGTCCTTCCAGGTTGGGGAAGTTCCCCTGGATTATATCCTGAAAAGTGTTTTCCAACTTGGTTCCATTCTGCCCGTCACTTTCAGGTATACCAATCAAAAGTGGGTTTGGTCTTTTCATACAGTCCCATATTTCTTGAAGGGTTTGTTTTTTCCTTTTCATTCTTTTTTCTCTAATCTTGTCCTCATGCTTTATTTCATTAAGTTGATCTTCAAACTCTGATATCCTTTCTTCCACTTGATCAATTTGGCTATTGATACTGGTGTATGCTTCACCAAGCTCTTGTGCTGTGTTCTACACCTCCATCAAGTCATTTATATTCTTCTCTAAACTGGTTATTCTAGTTAGCAGTTCCTGTAACCTTTTATCAAGGTTCTTAGCTTCCTTGCAATTGGGTAGGAACATGCTCCTTTGTCTTGGAAGAGTTTGTTATTATTCACCTTCTGAAGCCTACTTCTGTCAATTCGTCAAACTCATTCTCTGTCTAGTTTTGTTCCTTTACTGGTGAGGAGTTGTGATCCTTTGGGGGAGAAGAGGCATTCTGGTTTTTGGAATTTTCAGCCTTTTTGCACTGTTTCCTCCTTACCTTCGTGGATTTATCTACCTTTAATCTTTGATGTTGGTGACCTTTGGATGGAGTTTTTATGTGGGCATGCTTTTTGTTGATATTGATGCTATTGCTTTCTGTTTGTTAGTTTTCCTTCTAATAGTCAAGCCCCTCTTCTGCAGGTCTGCTAGAGTTTGATGGAGGTGCATTCCAGACCCTGTTTGCCTGGGTATCAACAGAGGAGGCTGCAGAACAGCAAAGATTGCTGCCTGCTCCTTCCTCGGGAAGCTTCATCCCAGAGGGGCACCTGCCAGATGCCAGCTGGAGCTCTCCTGTATGAGGTGTCTGTCTACCCCTGCTGGGAGGTGTCTCCCAGCCAGGAGGCCTGGGGGTCAGGGACCCACTTGAGGAGGCAGTCTGTCCCCTAGCAGAGCTCGACAGCTGTCCTGGGAGATCTGCTGCTCTCTTCAGAGTTGGCAGGCAGGAACATTTAAGTCTGCTGAAGCTGCATCCACAGCCACCCCTTCCCCCAGGTGCTCTGTCCCAGGGAGATGGGAGTTTTATCTATAGACCCCTGACTGGGGCTGTTGCCTTTCTTTCAGAGATGCCCTGCCCAGAGAGGAGGAATCTAGAGAGGCTGTCTGGCTACAGTGGCTTTGCCACACTGTTGGGGGTTCTAACCCAGTTCAAACTTCCTGGCTTTGTTTACACTGTAAGGGGAAAACTACGTACTCAAGCCTCAGTAATAGTGGATGCCCCTCCCCCAACCAAGCTCGAGTGTCCCAGGTCAACTTCAGACTGCTGTGCTGGCAGCAAGAATTTCAAGCCAGCGGATCTTAGCTTGTTGGGCTCCATTGGGGGAGGATCCGCTGAGCAAGACCATTCGGCTCCCTGGCTTCAGCCCCCTTTCCACGGGAGTGAATGATTCTGTCTCACCAGCGTTCCGGGCACCATTGGGGTATGAAAAAAAAAACTCCTGCAGCTAGCTCGGTGTCTGCCCAAACAACTGCCCAGTTTTGTTCTTGAAACCCAGAGCCCTGGTGGTATAGGCACACAAGGGAATCTCCTGGTCTGCAGGTTGGGAAGACCGTTGGAAAAGTGTAGTATCTGGGCCAGATAGCACTGTCCTTCACGACACAGTCCCTCACAGCCTCCGATGGCTAAGTGAGGGAGTTCCCCAACCCCTTACGCTTCCTGGGTGAGGCGACGCCCCACCCTGCTTCTGCTCACCTTCTGTGGGCCTCAGCCACTGTCTAACCAGTCCCAATGAGACTAAGTGAGTACCTCAGTTGGAAATGCAGAAATCACCCACCTTCTGCATTGGTCTCACTGGGAGCTGCAGACTGGAGCTGCTTTTATTCAGCCATCTTGCCAGTCTTCCCTTTTTTGTTATTTGTAGAGATGAGGTTTCCTCATGTTGGCCAGGCTGGTCTCGAACTCTTGGGCTCAAGCAATCCACCTGCCTTGGCCTCCCAAAGCACTGGGATTACAGATGTGAGCCACAGCACCCAGCCAGAAATACATTTTTAAGAGATGCATGGATAATGGGATGAATAGATGGAGAGATGTGTCAATGTTAATGATAGAATCTAAGTGACAGATACGTAGCCATTCACTTTTAAATTCTCTTAAGTTTGTTATACACTTGAAGTTTTTCAAAATAACATTTTGGGGAGAAATAGAAAGTGAAAAAAAGTTTCTAAAACTCCTTGGATTTTTTGATGCGATAGATAGTGGCATCATGGTTAAGAAAATGTCCCCCTTTTTGTTTTTTTTTTTTGAGACGCAGTTTCACTCTTGTTGCCTAGGCTGGAATGCAGTGGTATGATCGCAGCTCACTGCAACCTCCGCCTCTCAGGTTCAAGTGATTCTCCTGCCTCAGCCTCTGGAGTAGCTGGGATTACAGGCACACGCCACTACACCTGGCTAATTTTTGTATTTTTAGTAGAGATGGGGCTTCCCCATGTTGGCCAGGCTGGTGTCGAACTCCTGACCTCAGGTAATCCACCCACCTCAGCCTCCCAAAGTGCTAGGATTACAGACATGAGCCCCTGCACCCAACCAAAAATATCCCTACTTTTAGAGAAGCATAATAAGGTAGGTAGGGGTAAAAAACATGGCTGGCTGGCATTGATGGATGGCTGGGATTGATGGATGAACCCAGTGTGGCAAAACCCTGATCATTGTTGATGCTGGAAATGGGGGCCCACTCTGTTCTCTTTTTGCAGTTTTTTTTTTTGTCTAAATTAAGGAAATATGTATACAAATCCCTAAGCAGTGGGGCCTACATGAAACAAGCGCGTATCTGCTTAAGTAAGAGCTTCCTTGAGGCTAATAGGCTTTAGTCCAACCACCTGGGTAAAACAGGCTCTTGATTTAAGCTGATGATAAATGCAGAGCCAACAACCAAAGGAAGCTTCCCTTCTCACACTCTGAAGTTTGTGTCAGCTGCACTAGGCTTGTTCCCACATGGCCTTTTAGTGTCCTCCAGCCAAAAAACAGCAAGCTCTCTTGACTGGAGTTTCACTCTCTTCACAAGCAATCTAGGACCCTGTGAATTTCGGATGAAACCCAACAGCTGTGCTAAACAAATATTTCCAAGGCTCTCTTCCAGGCACTGCAAAAAACACCCAAAGCCCCTCTAATCCCTATTTTAAAACAGTAACTGTTCATGACCCACTATCTCACCCCTATCCAAGACTGGGTTGCTTGCACAGCACACTGTAGATTACTTTTATCACAGCATTAAGTCCACAATATTAAAAAATGCTTTTTTATCACCCAAACTAGATTCCTTGGTGAGAAAGGGGGTATCTTGTTCACTATTATATAAACAGCTAAGCACAATGCCTGGAACATCTACACACTTAATATTTTTGGATGAACAATTTGTGAAACACACTCAGTTTCTAGAGCTTTGCTACACAGTCTTATCTTATTCTTTCTGCAGCCCTGAGAGCTAAGCAGGGCAGAAATTATTACTTTTGCTATGGCTGCCGCCACCACCAATATCCCAGATGAGGAAGCAAGGCCAATGGGGTTAAGAACCTGCTCAATATCATAGAACAGTCCATTTTAAAACCAGGGCTAATGCCTCTTTTGCTGACTTCTAAAAGGATGCTCTTTTCATTACATCTGATTCCTCTCTGAGGAAAATTCAAGTTGATGTCTCAGACTATAAGGACACTCCTCTACCCATAAGCACAGAGCTTGGAGATGGGGGTTGTATGGCCTCTGCCTTACTAAGCTTGCAAGTGGATGGGACCCAGTGAGCATGGCTGATACTTGGAAAGCAGGGTGTGTAAACAGTTGGATAAATGCCACCATCCATATAGCCCCAGATGTTTGGCTTGATGTGTGAACATGTTAAATGTCTCATAAAATTAATTAAGATAAAAATGATAACAGTTATGCTATATACCATGTTAATTTCTACCAGCCAGCTGACATCAACCACTCAACATGTATTAATCTGCTTCATAATTTCTCCCTCCACAAGTCCCTTTCCTCATCCTGCATAAATAACAATCAATTGCTGTGCTTTCACTGCCCCTTTCTTGGGGATGCTCAGGTATTGGCTAGGATCACCCTCAACTGTTACCTTTGAGGTCAGATTAACCCCAAGCAGTTCATAAAAGACTCCTCCTGTCCTCTCCTAGCTTCAAGTTCAGGCAAAGAACTGGAAGTTCTGGATGAGTCTATAAATAAACACTGGCCCTAGGCTGTGGTCGCTGCCACTGCTCCCTACCCAAATCTATCTACACGCATATGAGATACAGCCCTAGAGTTGTGCTTTGAGTCTCAGCAGGTGAACTGGTGACAACTTGAGTGGGGCCAAAAGGCCCAAAGGACTAGATTCCTGGAACAGTTGCATTTCATCTCCTTCAAGAGAATGTCCCAGTGTCCCAGCATCCCTCTCTGGGGTACAAGTATGCTTTTTATGACATGGATGGAATTATTGGAAGTCCTGGAGTCCTCAAGTGCCTTCTGAATTACTGTTGCTAAGCAGCTTCCTAGGCATTTCAGTGTTTATAGTTGTCCCATTGCCTTGAGCCCCAAAACTTAGCCCGAGGTCTCTTAGCCTCCGTGTCAGGTTTTCAGTGCCAAGGTCTCCCTGTGTTAAGGTTTCAGGAGTCTTTCCTTCTCTAAACGTGGCCCTGTCTCATGCTGCAGGTAATGGGGAGGATAAATGGGTTCCCTGGGTTTCCCTGTCCCCTCAAACCCCCAACCCCAGTCCGACCTGCACCAGCCCTCCTACCCAACCCATACCTTTTCCTACCTGAACAGCTACCAAAGGGAGTGATTTTGCCCCGAGTGGGGCCTTTCTGCAGCAGCAAGTGGCGGAGCAAGATGTGCAGACAGGAAGATCCTGACTTGGTAGCCAATGCCAAATTCAATTGAGCAGCGAGGATTTTCTCCACTGCTCGTAAGCTGCCAAAACTGAATATTCCCCATGCCCCACTGCTGCTTGCCTCAATTCTCCAAACTTTCAGAATTCCAACAGATAACCAAAATCTCAACTGTTGTATCTTCCATCAAAATGTATCAGGGCTAATCTATATTTTCTGTCTCTACGGAGCTTTTCAAAATAGGAGCCAAATCCCCTATAATGTCACTAAAGCAAAAGAAAGTTAATTTAAACAATGAATGGAATGATTTTAGAAAAAAATGCCCTCATTTCACTACATTTATTCCTCTGAGTACCAAAAATATTTTTCAACAAGCATGTGATTCTTAGGGACCTAACTCACTGTTATAAGACACCCCCTACTTTCCAAAACAAGTAGGAGGCTGGACTTCGAGTTTAATTATTACCACAGCTGAGCAGCTGGAATGAAATTACTTCCCTATACTGTGTGTTCATAATTCAATATGTCAAAGTTGTCTCTGATTTCACTAATGGTTTTTTTCTCTATTTTTCCTAGATGTTTAGCCCAAAGGGAAACTTTTTAAGTCATCCCTTTCCAATTGTACTTTTTCAATATATTCTCACTGGAAATTAAAATTTACAGATAGTGTAAAACCCACTCCAATAAAATATAGCACTGTAAAATGTTAAAGGTAACCCACTCTCACCCCCAAATATCCTGCTTTATATGGATTCACTAATAATAACAAAAGAGCCAGGTTTTGCTTTTGTTACTTGACAAAACAAGAAGATTTCTAGTATAAAGAACCACGCTGGAAAAATTGTACTTTTGGTTTATATGTTTTCATGAAAGTCAGAACTTGTTAAACCCCTTGGGCTTCTGGAAGAATGCAGAGGATTTAAAGAGCATTTCTTACTGGACCTCCCAGATGCTGGCAAAGTTCAAGGGAATGAAGAGGTGTTAGGAGAAAACAGGCAGATATACACATACAATGGGCATTCATTCCATTTTTTATTTCTGGTAGAAGATAGCCCTTCTTTACAAAAAATAAGATTCACAAAAATAAAATTCTCAGCTTTCTCTAATCTTTGCAAAGTAGCCCTCTTCTTTTTCTCATCTCAAATTACTGAAGAAACAAACACCATACCTTTCTATTAGACTGGCTGAAGACTGCGCTCCATGAGACCTTTGCCTTTTGTTCATAAATGTGTAGAATTTGTGCACCAATACATTTGTACACCTTCAATGATGACAATATGAATATTTGACATTTGCATTGACTGTGTGCCAGGCACTGTTCTTACCTGTTTATCTGTATTATCTCAATCTTTACAATCTTATTAGAACAGAAGGTCTACAAAAAAACTCAAAACCTGAGGTTGTGAGTCATGCTACATGAACAGTCTAGGGCTACAAAGGACCCTCATAGAACCAGATCAGCCACAGAAGGGCATTCAAGAGGAAATGGACCTGGAGTCTCCAACTCTTAGGCTCTAAGAAGCCCAGCGTACCAACAGAAGGGCCTCCTCCAGCTTCTACAAAATTCCATCTCTTTCCTTATACTCTCCTCTTTGCTCTTCCTTTGTCCAGCCCCTACATCTTGTTCTCTTCTTGGTGCCCACACTGCACTAAGCCTCGAGTCCTTCCGGGCCTAAGGCCATGGCCATTTCCAACCCAGAGTACACATGGGGAGGCAAAGTCCATTCACAGAAAGTAGTGGCAACAGCCTCCGGTACTCAGGATCCCACCCTCTGCCACCAGACAAAGGAAAAGTGAAAAAAACACTCCCCACAAGCCCTCTCACTGACTAAAATCAGGGCATAAAGCCACCCCTGGCTGCACGGGGAGCTGCAAAATCAAAGATGTGGAGTCAGAACACTGGAAAATAGGCAAGAGAAATCAGGTTGGGAAAGTAGTTCAAGTGACCACCCAACAGAATCTGTTCTCAAAATGAGTCAACAAAAATAACGTGTTTTTATTTATTGTCAGTGTTGTACAGGTAGTTACCAGGTAAAGGTTGGTGAAAACTCTAATGGAATAACTGGTTTTAATTATGCATAAAATGAGCTTTGTGCATATTTATGTACAACTGCAAACTACTATAGAAGAATCATCTAAAGTACCAGCACCTTTAAAGTGGCATTCAATACAGCTGCCATACAGCTGCACATCTCAGTAGTGTTGTAGACAGGTATCACAGGACACTGCATGCCAAGTGAAATTTCAGAAACACATAGGTAGATAGGAATGATTTTCTCTAGAGCGTTGCCTTGTATTATCTCTAGTGCACACACACAGGAATCTCAAACAAAATGCAGCCAAAACCCAGACGTGTCTTGCCCTTGTTATCATTACACATCCTGGTTAAATGGCCCTCATGTGCCTGGTGCTGCACTGGATAAGACAAGCTGGGTGTCTCATCTGTCAACTGATTCCAGACCAGAGTTTCTTTTGGCTCACCTGGCTACTTAAGCTGGTATCCCTGGTATCTGATCCCTTTCCTCTGCAGATTTCCAAAGCTACTCACTTGGGTGAAAAGAGACAAAAATCTTCTCAGATACAGAAGGTGTTTAGTCTTACCTATTATATCCTGATCACCTGATTATCCCACTGTAATATTCACAAGTTAAACAATGTACAATTTTGTCTTTTCATTTATTGCCCACTTATTCATTCATCCATATGACACTCTCAAAGCTCTTGTTATATGTCATGTACTATGTTGGGTAATAATTAGAAAGAAAAATAATGTACATACTTCCTTGCCTTAAAGGAACTGATCTATCATGTCCCATCTTCCCTTCTTGACATTGGTGCTCAGTATCCAAAAACTTGGGGCCCTTATGTCTTATGTTGGTGGCAGTGTGCCCTTATGGCCAAGGAAGCAGACAGTAAGGGGTTGTAGGTACAATGGGGCAGGAGAGGCATCCAAAATAGTTAAGAAGACTGGTTATGTTTTACAAACCAGTAAATACATTCAAAATAGAAGGAGCCAGGTTCTTATCCTCAAAATCTACTTCTAAACATGGAAAGAAGAAAGCTAGAAAGACCTCTGGAGTGTTGGAACGGAATTGGAAGTATTGGTATGAACTGATGGGTTTTTAATATACATGCAGAGATACGGAAACAGTTATTTTCCATGTGTTTGTGTGTATTATGTATATGTGCACATTGATATGTACATTGTGTGTGTATCTATATAGAAGCAACAAACACAGTGAACAATCAGACCTTGGTTTCTAAATATTAACCTCAAGTAAAAGGAGGGAGAGCTGTTAGAGAAAAAGTTTGAGGGTTGAGGTAGAGAAATACAAGGTAAGCCTGGAACATCTTGTGTCAGAAAGTCAGGAAATGCTGAATGGATAATGGACATATGTCAAAAGGACATGGGAGCCAACTGGAAGGAGCTCAAACAGGGAATAATTTGAGTATTAAAATAAATGATGATAGTAATAGGTTATAACCCACTGAACAAAACAGATCAATGAGTACATACTGAGATATATATATACATGTATAAATGGGGGAGAAGAGAAAGCTCTTTCTTATAGAATGCCAAATAATAAATGTAGAGGAAATGATGAAAATAAGCCATCACCATTTGGCAACCATGGTGGTGACAGTGGTAGATTCAGGTGGATTCATTCAACCATGGATGGATGCTAAGGCTGATAGGCAAAGTTTTGATAACAAACAGGATATTGGTATAATATCAGAATCTCCATCATAATCAAATACAAAGGGAACATGGTGACTTTACAGTGGAGAAATCTGGCAGACTCTCAACCTTGACCATATGATCAAGGTTAGCATCATCATGACTGTGTAGGGTATGGCTAAGGGGCAAGAAGGTGGGGAGGCTTCAAAGGCGGTAATACTTGAATCAGGTGTTGAAGGATGAGGCAGCTATGGAGAAATAAGAGGCAAGAGATTTCCAGGGGAAGTTGGGCAGATGCAAAGCCATGCTGGAGTGACAGCATGAGTGCTGGGGAAGCAAGGAGGCTGCAGGCTGGGGAAGCAGGGAGAGTGCAGGCTGGGGAAGCAGGGAGAGTGCAGGCTGGGGAAGGATAAATGGTTCTGGACAGGCAGACAGAAACCAGATCAAGAAGAGTCTTATGGACCATGCTTAGAAGTTCAGACCTTGCCCTCTTAGGGACGATGTGGCACACCTGCTGCTACTACCGCTCTGCACATATGTCAGACATGTCTAATCACAGCACTTTATGCACTTCAGAGCACACCCATTTCAGACAGCCCTGCCAATTGGCACCTGAAATGGAATCATTTGCCCTCCCTACTCTAGGCAATGAGAAGGTTTAGAGGATTTTTAACAGGTGGCAGTTATGATTTGCACTTGTGTAACAAAGCTAGACCCTGATATCAGTGTCAATTGATCAAAGGATAAACTCCAGGCATAGTGACTAGTGAGAAGGCCTCTACAGCAGTCCTATGCATTGTATAAATGAGAGCGTACAAATTCATACACTATGTAAATGAGACCATACAAAGTCAGATTTGGTTCAAACCCCATGCTTTTCTCTAGCCATTGTCAGAGCACATATTATGGTGGAGTGAGCACGTAAAACATTCTTCGACCAAGAAAACCCAAGGCCCAGCAGAAGCTGAAAGTTGTGCTGAGCGAAAAGTGAGACCCAAAAGAAAGAACTACAGCTGAAGTGGAGCAGACAGACCAAGAGAGATGTAAGTTTCACTCACCCTTGAACTCCACGCAAACAGAATTACAAAGTAACTACAGCAGTACTTTAGCACCTCGGCACTACTAGACTACTTATCATTCCCTGCAATACTTAGGTGTTCACTGAAAAATTATCATCGAAAGGTAATCAGTCACAGTGCCTATGTCTTAGGAAAAAACATGATATTCCAATATTTAAGTTAAAACACATAGATGCACCCATGTGTGCACACATATGACATAATTAGGAAGCACTCTAAGCCAGGATATGGGCAAAAAATTATTTTCTTGGGTTTGAGGGGCAGCTGAGTACTGAGTAGAGTAGAAAGAACTGCATGGGACTGGGGTTCATCTCTTCTCTAGGGCTGAAAAACTTGAGGGCTGAAAAAGGTTGTCTTTTCTAACATAATAATGCTGACTCCTAACTTCCCTCTCAGAAGAAAATAGCAGAAAGATCAGGGAGAGAGCTCTTGCTACAAGCACAAACAAATCAGGCTAAATCCTTCTGCGTGTGGGTCTGTGAGGGTAGCAGCTCATGTTGTGGCCAGAAACTTGGTAATATGATTGAGAAAACTAAAAACACATTTTAAGTGAAGTCCTGGGGTGCACACAGCATTCTGCTTTAAGATGCTGACTGTTTTTGAAATAAAACTTTAAAACATGCCATAAAAAGCAACTATTCCTCTGGGGAAAGAGTGGCCTAAAGTGTCTTTGATTGTAACTATGGGAAAGACTTTCATCCGCACTCTTTACGAGGTTAATTGTAACTCTCCCCCAAGCTCAGGGACGCTTTCCTGAGTCTTGTGGTTGTAATCTTACACGTTGCGTGATAAACTTTCATTTTCCAACGAGGACATTCCAAAATGTTAAAAGTCATGGCTCCAAAAACAGTCAAATGAGTGAAAGCTGATAAGAAACTGGTTTAGCTAGTGCATACATGCACACGTGTGCACACAGCCTGCCGTCCTCCAGCTACACCAAGTGAAAGTCCTCAAGTTTCATCAGGAACGACCCCACAAAACCACAAACCAAAACAAATGTGAAGCACTTAGCACAATGCCTGGCTCACGGCTGTTATCATCATCATCTTATCCTTTTTCTTCATTATTGCTAATGGATTATAGCTCAGTATTTAGCTGTCACTGAAAGAGATTTATTCCATCCAATGAGGTCATCTTCGTGGACTATATAACCACTGAAACATCCCTATGGAATCCCGCTGTGGTTGCCTTCTCTTATAAACTGGCATGAGACAGTTATAATAAATTTGTTGCCTGTAACAGAAACTCCCACCATGCTGTTTTTCACAATTCTTTTACATACAAAACCTCAACTGAAAACTGTGGTTCATAGTTTCTTCTCAGATGCCAATAGGAATTAATCTGCCATACTTCAGTGTCTCCCTTATAGCAGGCTCACTAGTAATAATTTTATTACCATGTGTAGATCATTTACCACATGCTGGGCATACTGCTAATAGCTTTTGTGCTTATTAACTTATTTCATCTTCATTACAACCTCATCAGATGCTGCCGCTATTATTCTCATCTACATAGGAGGTGTCTAAGGCTTACAGAGGTTAAATCATCCAAGATCTTTCGTTCGGTGAGATATATAGCTGATAAGGGGTGGAATACAAATTTAAACTAAGTGTTTCTGAATCTAAAGTTCATGTTTGTTTTCCACTAGATTGTAATTACTAAATAAATGATTCTTAACTTGGGTTCCTTGAACTTCAGGGGACCCATGAGCCACTTGGAATTGTATGAAAATGGCATGTGTATATACACATTTTCCTCAAAGAAAGTCCACAACTGCCAGGCGTGGTGGCTCACGGCTGTAAATCCCAGCACTTTGAGATGCCAAGGCAGTGGATCACTTGAAGTTGGGAGCTCCACACCACTCTGGGCAACATGGCAAAACCCCGTCTCTACCAAAAAATACAAAAATTTACTTGGCATGATGGAGCGTGCCTGTAATGCCAGCTACTCGGGAGGGCTGAGGTGGGAGAATCACTTGAACCCGGGAGGCGGAGGTTGCAGTGGGCCTAGATCATGCCACTGCACTTCAGCCTGGGTAAGAGAATGAGACCCTGCCAAAAAAAAAAAAAAAAAAAAAAAAAAAAAAAGTCCAAAACGATTGTTCCAGAGTCGGGTGGAACTAGATCTTATCATTAAATTCTGTGTCACCATTCCCCTCATTGCCCCTAGCACTCAAAAGCAGTGCCTGGTCATGGTATGTACTCAACTACCAGCTCTCCAATTGACCAAATTCTCTTCTCAGGTCCTTTCTTGGATCCACCCCCAACCCCACAATGGAAATGCAATGAGAGTGATGAATTTTTTTCAAGGCCGCATTTTGAAGCCATGCATGTGTGAGAGCTCCTAGCACGCTTCCCAAAGCTCAACCTTTCACAGCCACTCACATTGTGAAACAGCAAACAGGACCCTGTCCTGCCTTCTCACCCCAGAAAACCAAACATCTGTTTGTTCTGGCCTGAAGAGCTCACCTGCTGGGGAGGAGATGCCCAGCTTGGAATAGCACAGCACATCTGGCCCTTCCTGCCTGAGCTCAAACTCCATTTTCAGGGTCAGCTGTCAAGTAATCTTCTGCTTTATAAACAATCTCACATTTTAATAAGAGCCATTGTGCAAGGTGAGCTTTTGAAATAAAGTTGGTTTTCAGTCTGCAGCTGCACTCGCAGATGCCCCACTTTCTAACTGAACCCTGAATAATGGCTGTGAAAATAATTGCCCGTTATTGCATTTTTGGCATGCCCACTGTGCACCAGGCACTGTTCTAGATGCATACATCCATCATCCCCAATTTGCAAAATAACTTAGGAAGATATTATCAACAGTTTGCAGATGGAGAACCTGAGTCCTGTCAGAGAAGCTAAATAATTTGCCCAAGAGCCAAGATCCAACCCCATGTTGAGCAGACACCAAAACCGTATCAATCCCCAACTCTTCATGGGCTCCCACTTTCTCATGGACCTGAAGTTACTCTCTTTTCAAAGAAAGTTTACTCCAGTTGAAAAATAAGAAAGACTCCAAGGCCTCAGCATCTTTGCAGCTGCAAAGGAATATTTCACAAGCCTCTACTAAAATGGGATAGCATCAAATTTTTGCTTTTACTCTTCACAAATAAAGGTAAGGAAACTTAGATTATATATGTTGAATCTATTCTAGTACCTCATTGAAAGCCATGTTTGAATGTCTACTATTCAATTATACACAGCAACTATAGGTCCAAAGCACTAGGCTAGACAATATGAAAAAACCCAAGATTGAGATAGACTTGCAGCCTCCCCTCACAAATAGATTTCCCAATTAACTGAGCAGATTATTATATAAATTGTTGAATATACTACTAAAACAAGAGGAAGAATTCCATAGCATGCTAAATGGACCTGAGAAGAAGGAAATAAAGACATACTTGTTTTCATGTGAGGGTAG
Source organism: Homo sapiens (assembly GCF_000001405.40). Taxonomy (NCBI): domain Eukaryota; kingdom Metazoa; phylum Chordata; class Mammalia; order Primates; family Hominidae; genus Homo; species Homo sapiens. Next base: position 18,979,355 of record NC_000009.12, read on the forward strand.
AAAAATGTGTAATAAACTCAGCCTTTGTGAGGAAATTTCACCAGAGCTGAGAATGGGTCAGATTTTACACCTCAGTCATGACTGGACAATGGTGAATGGGGGTATCTGTGCAAAGAGAAGGATTTGAGCAAAGGCTCAGGGAGAAGGCAGGGGGCACGTGGTGGGACAGTCCAGAGCCTTTGGCCTGGGGATATGCATGAGGCTGAAAGTCACACCAGGAAGGGCTGACTCAGCTGTTGACTTCAGACTCTGGATTGGGAGTGATCTCATCAGCTCTATTTTCCAAGGAGATTATTCCAGCAAGAGTGTATGGGCTGAGAGGATAACAGCCTAGAATTGGAGGCAGCATAGTGGCCCACGCCTATAATCCCATCTACTAGGGAGACAGAGGCAGGAGGATCACTTGAGCCTAGATGTTTAAGGCTGCAGTGAGCTATGATTGTACCACTGCACTACAGCCTGGGCAAAAGAGAAAGACCTCATTTTTCTTTTTTTAAAAAGAGTCTAGAAGTGGAGAAACCAATGGCAGTTGTCTGGCTATGAGATGATGAAGACCTACACTAAAGTGTGAAAAAGAGAAAATAAAGAGTTAAGAGACATTTCACCGGGACTTAGTGACAGACTGTACTGGGCAAGTGAAAGGAAGGGAAACAGAGCCTGGTGGTATAACTTTCTGAAACGGGGTGTTTAGAAAAGGGAGTCTACTTGAGAAAGGAAAGGACTTCAGATTTTTGAACATGCTGGACTTGCTCAAGTGTTTATTCTTCATGATTAACAAATTAGAATAATTAAAAAGCTTAATTTAGGCAGAGGCCTGAAAACTGGGTTATTCTAGAGTCATTTTCATGCTGTGAGACTGCTGAGCTCATTCATAAAGCTCTGTTTCTGGCACCTTTTGACAAACTCCCAGACTCCACAGTAGGAGTTTAGGCACTGCTTGGGAGTGTGTGTTTAAGCATACAAATCAGAAGTATAGTGGGAGGTGGTATATGGCTGTGGTAGGTCATATTTGGAATCTGTAGTTTGAAAGGAAGCTTCAGGAGATGAAGAAGTTGAGTTTTAGCAGCTCATTAATCCTCCAGACTCACCAAAACTGGCATGTGACTTCCTTCCTAAGGAAGGCCTTGCCAAAAGGAGAATGTTTTGTCCCAGATCTGAGCAGCAAGGTAGTGGCGGGGGGAGGGAGGGAGGGAGGGAAGAGGAAGAAGAGGAGGAGGAGGAGGAGGAGGAGGGTGTGCACCAGGCTGGGGCTAAAGAAATGTTTCAGACTGGCTGGGCCCTGCCTGCCTTCTGGGATTTTCCAGATATACTAGCCCTCTTTAGTTTCCTGGCAAGTCACAAAATTTTTAAATCCTATATGTCTTATAATATTAAATAATAGCACCACATTTGCTTTGTGGGAGGAGAAGCATATTTTTAAAAAACTGAAAAAAAAAAAAAAAAAAGCCTGGAAAGCACAGAAGGGTATAAGGAAAATAAAAACTCATCGAGAACCCTCACCGCTCATCCATCAGTTAACATCTTGGTATGTTACCTTCCATTCTTTCCCACCTCCATTTTTTACATTGTCGGGAGATTTTCACCTTTAAAATGTGCTTATCCTGGTAGAGCGTTACCTAAGTGCTAAGGAATAAATTGACGCACGGATTTGTGAAATTCAAATCTGACCAGCCACTAGCCCAATCAATACCTGACAGCAAAGCAGGTGTAAAGTGTTAAACCAACTTCAAAGTCTTTCCAAGGAAACTCTGGAAATAAACCTGAAGACCTCTGCAAGAAATCACTTTAACAGTAGTGCTTCTCCACAGTGCTTCTAGGTTATTTCTTTGTGATTGCGATAATTAAATACCTTGTTAATGGAAAGAAGGGAAAGAAAGGAAGAGAAAGCCCCTACCCACCCCCACTCTTAGTTATAAAATACTTTCTAATAGTCTCATAACAATACTTTCATGTCTATTAAATTTCAGAACTGGTCCACACCAATTTCCAAACAAGTCTGGAAACTGAGGCAAGTGATTTATCTAAGGTCATACGTGTGGTTGGTGGCAAAGCAAACACTAGAACTCAGGCTTCCTCCTGACCCTTACCCCCTTTTCCAGAGGGGCTCCCTGAGCAGATCCTCTGGGTAAGAGGCCAGGCTAAAGCCCCTCACACAGAGCCCAGAGCCCTCACAGCATCAATGTCATACTAGTGATTCTGGCCACTTCACTAAGCCAGCATGCAAAAACAAAAATCCACTCTCCTTTTCTGTGCCTCTGTGTTTTTCTAATATATCTTTAGAACAGGCATTCACAAATGGGGGTGATAACTCCTGAGGGCCTGGAATGTGCCAGGAGCTCTGCCAAAATGCTCTCACTTTGCATCCTCACAGCAGGCTCACAGGGATTGGGGCCCCACCTCACAAGTGAATAAAAAATAAAAAACAAAACAAAAGAAAAACTAAACAGAGGGGCTCAGCAACTTGCCCAAGGGCCCACCGTAAGTGCCAGAACCAAGATTTCAATTCAGCTCTCCCCAACTCCAAAACCCTTTTCCTCTACATCTTGCCACACTCAAGTTTAAAGGCATTTGGCTTTGCAGCCTGGATGAGCCGGACCCTGACACAAGAGAATGAAGAAAACACCATCCCAGCACAGGCTCCTTGCTCTCTAGGCCTCCCAGACCACGCCAGAGCGACCAGTACCCTTGACAGCCCCTCACATGCTTCACTCTGTGTTCTCCCTCCATTCTGAGAACCTTAGATCTTCATTCACCAGGGTGACCTGCAGGATAGGAACTCAGAGCCCCTCCACCCAGCTCAGCCAAAACCTGCCACAATCCTCAATACTAAGATGTCCAACCAATGAAGATACAGTTGCCCCCAAATCTAGAGATAATGCAAACCCATTGGCCATTAGTCCCAGGCACCAAGACAAGAAAACATCTCACTATAAAACAGCCTGATGAATTTCAATGTCACATTTCTTGGAATTCCGAGGCAATTTTTATTGGGTAATAAAATTCCCTCCCCAGGGAAGGTGTCCGAGGGAGACCAAATCTGGGGCCCTGCCAGGAGCTCTGACACGTCAGGGCAGGCAACCAGTCTCCTAGGAAAAGCTCTGCAAAGTACAATGAAACACACAAAACAAAAGGACCCGGGACAAGAGCTGCTGCCTCCAGGGTCTTCTGTCACTGGATGACTTCCAACAGAGTCACCATGGCAGAAGGGGTTACTCTGAGCAAACCTTTCCTTCTGGTGACTTTGTATATAACGTCAGTTGGGAGGGAGAGCAATAAGCTGAGGCTGACCAAACAATTCAATTAGTTTTTCACTCAGATAACTTTTTTACCAAAGCATTACATTCACCTACATTAATTCACTGGATGTAGAGATGTCTGCTTTTGAACATAACTGCTTTTGAAGACTTGCTGAGTAACATATCTTGGAAATCTTACCTTAATTCATTCACTGAATTTCTATATACCAAGCCTGTGATCATTTATGGAGATACAAACTAAAAGCTACAGTCTTAGACTTCAGAGTCCAATCAGGAGAAACAAGTATTTATGCTACAAGGTAATTGTTTTGATAGATGTATTTCATAAAGCTTAGTGTGAACACTAAGGATGCTGGGCACCTAAATCAGCAGAGGAAATCAGGAAGGGCTTCAAACATGAGGTGACGCTTGGGCTAAGTAGAGTTAGCCAGACGGACCATTAGCAGAGAGGTTATTCAAGGAAGAAAAAAGGAAAGGAAAAAAAAAGGAGCAAAAATACAAAGTGTATTAGTCCATTTTCATACCACTATAAACAACTACCTGAGACTGAGTAATTTATAAACTAGAGAGGTTTAATTGACACACAGTTCTGCAATGGCTGGGGAGGCCTCAGGAAACTTAAAATCATGGCAGAAGGTGAAGGGGAAGCAAGGCATGTCTTACATGGCAGCAGGAGACAGAGCGAGGGGGTAACTGCCAAACACTTTTAAAGCATCAGATCTTGTGAGAAGTCACTACCATGAGAACAGCATGGGGGAAACCACCCCATGATCCAATTACCTCCTGCCAGATCCCTCCCTCAACATGTAGGCATTATAATTCAAGATGAGATTTAGGTGGGGACACAGAGCCAAACCATACCAAAAGTTTTTATAATATTCTAAATCCTTTGCTATTATTTCAACAATGTTCACTGCATTTTCACCAGAAGTAGATTCCATCTCAAGAAACCACTCTTTGCTCATCCATAAGAAGTAACTCCTCATGCATTTAAGTTTTATCATGAGAGTGCAGTAATTTATGTCTTCAGGGTCCACTTCTAATTCTAGTTCTCTTGCTATCACCAGCACAACTGCAGTGACTTCCTCTACTGAGGTCTCAAAGCCCTCAAAGTCATCCAAAAGGGTTGAAATCAACTGCTTCCAAACTCCTGTTAATGTTGATATTTTCACCCCACTCCCACGAATCACTAACTTTCTTAATGGCGTCTAGAATGATGAATCCTTTCCAGAAGGCCAATACCAGTCAATGCCTGGCTTCCAATCTTCAAAGGACATGCTGACTCTTGTTAGGAGTTAACCACATTCTATGGCAGCTACAGTTTTACAAAATATATTTCTTAAAAATAAGACTTGAAAATTGAAATTACTTTTTGACCCAGGGCTGAAGAATGGATGTTATGTTAGCAGGGATAGACAATATTCATCTCCTTATACATCTCCATCAGAGCTCTTGGGTGACTAAGTGTATTGTCAATGAACAGTAATATTTTAAAGTTATCTTTTTTCTGAGCAGTAGGTCTCAATAGAAGGCTTAAAATCTTCAGAAAACCATGTTGTAAAAAGATGTGCCATCATCCAGGCTTTACTGTTCCATTTATAGGGCATAGGCAGAGTAGATTTTGCATACTTCTTAAGGGTCCTAGGATTTTCAGAATGGTAAATGGGCATCCGCTTCAACATCAAGTCACCAGCTACATTCGCCCCTAACAAGAGTGTCAGCCTGTCTGAAACTTTGAAGCCAGGCATTGACTTTTCCTCTCCAGCTATAAAAGTCCTAGATGGCATCTTCTTCCAATAGATAACTGTTTCATCTACACTGAAAATTTGTTGTGTTTAAAATAGCTGCCTTCACCAGTGATCTTAGCTAGATTTTCCGGATAACTTGCTGTAGCTTCTACATCAGCACTTCCTGCTTCAACTTGCACTTTTATGTTGTAAAGAAGGCTTCTTTCCTTAAACCTTGTGAACCAACTTCTGCTAGCCTCAAATATTTCCTCTGCAGCTTCCTCACCTCTTTCAGCCTTCACAGAACTGAAAAGAGTTAGGGCCTTGCTCTGGGTGTTAGGCTTTGGCTTAAGGGAATGTTGTGGCTGCTAAAACTTTCTCCATATCACTAAAACTTTCCCCATATCAGCAATAAGGCTATTTGCTTTCTCATCATTCATGCGTTCACTGGAGTAGCACTTTGAATTTCTTTCAAGAACTTTTCCTTTGCATTCACAGCTTGGCTGTTTGGCATAAGAGGCCTAGCTTTCAGCCTGTCTTGCCTTTCAATATGCCCTTAACTAAGCTTAATTGTTTTGAGCTGTTGATTTAAAGTGATAGAGGTGCGACTCTTCCTTTCACATAAGCACTTAGAAACCACTAAGTGCTTTAATTGCCCTAATTTCAATTATTTGTACTAATTTCAAATATTTGCCCTATTTTCAGATATTTTCAAATATTTGCCCTAATTTCAAATATTTGCCCTATTTCAATACTGTGTCTCAATGAATAGGGAGGCCCAAGGAGAAGGAGAGAGATGCGAGAATGGCCGATTGGTGGAGTAGTCAGAACACACACATATTTATCAGTTGTTTGCTGTCTTATACGGGCGTGGCTCATGGCACCCTAAAAGAATTTAAATAGTAACATCAAAGGTTAATCACAGATCGCCATAACAGACATAATAATTAAAAAGCTTGAAACAGTGTGAGAATTAGCAATATGTGACAGAGACATGAAGTGAGCGCATGGTATTGGAAAAACAGCAGACAGAATTCTTCAACACAGGGTTACCACAAACCTACATTAAAAAAACACACTATCTGCAAAGTGCGATAAAGCAAAGCACAGTAGAACAAGGTATGCCTATGCACACAGTGTAGCAATCAGAGCTGGCTAGGTTGTACATAGAGGTAAAATTCATTTTTTTGTTGGCTTTTTCTAAACAGAGCAGCAATTGACTGGAGTTACAGGGCTCCTCGAGTGTACTCTCCTGGCAAAGCTGCCCAAGGATGGGCAGAGACCCAGCACCTCACGATGGAGCCCAAGGGCCTCTGCAAGGAAAGGAGGTGAGAGCACGCAGAGCCACCACTCCGACTCCCCTGCCCTTTCTGTTCCGGCAGCTGCATTCCAAAGGCTAATGAGAACAAGGTGCAACATGGTTTAACAATTTTGATACATTCCTTAGCAAAACATAATTTCTTTAAAAACACATAGACTGCATTACAGTGACTCCATCAGGCAAGACACATGTCAGGGAAAAAGCATGAGAAAATTTGGCAGGTATGTCTAACGTGTCAATAAATTAAACAAAGTTTATTTTCACAAAACCAAATGGTCAGACTTGCTCATGGTTTCCTACCAAGAAGTAAGAATTACTCCCTAGAGACAGTAATCAAAGCACAATTAGACCAGGCCTGGAATTTTTTTAAATATACTATCCTTTCTTCACACATGATTGCACTTTCATTCTTAGCAGAGATCCTTAACTCAAAGAAATACTAATGGGCTTTTCTAGCTTTGGGTCCTTCTGTGATAATATGCAATCATAACACAGATTTTAAAAAAAGCAATTCATTTACAGCTACTACTACATATCCTTCACAATGTATCCATTCATTTATTCATTTAACAAATAATGGCATGGCCTATTGGGTTGGTCTTTTTCATACACAGACAAACAGAAAATCTTTTTTCCTAATAATGTCAAAATGTTTTAGCCCCTGGGCAGGAATTTATCACCCTTAGAATATTCCATTGAGGTCCTATTTGAGTAAAAGTTTTTTTAGTAAAATCAAACTATTTTAACAGGATAACTGTATTTTCAAAATGTAGTAAATGGTCAAAGAACAGAGAGACCAATCGAGGAAGGTAAACACAATTTTAAAACAAACCAGATTTAAGATGAATGATAGTATTTGCCACAGCAAATAAAATGGGAATTTGACCTTATGAAAAGAAGTGACATTTTTCCTGTAGCATAACAGAACTCAAGGAGTCTTCTCCAAAGGAGAAAAAAAAAAGGGGGGGCGGTTCCTCATCATCGTGTCTACAAAGACTGAAAGAAAAGTTTACCTGAAAATATCTACAAAATTCCAGAAAGATTCAATAGTAGGAAGCAAGGGGGCAAAGACTGTCACATACAGTTGTGCAGGTTGCATACTGCACAAGAGTGACACATCTAAGAGGGCACTGTTCACTTCAAAGACATTGTTAGGTTGTATATTCATTTTGACAATGTTTTGGGGACAACAGCAAAGGGCATTGTTTTAATAAAATCAGCATGACAATTTTCTGACAAATGGAAGTAAAATGTATTGAGGAAGGGGTGCCCGTTTCTAATTTGCATAAAGACTTCATGTGGGCTAGCTGTGTCCCAGATAAAGAAATGATGGTTAATAGATACAACACAATTCAGATGATTCCTTGGAACAAATTGCTGCATTGAATCAACTTTTCAACCCAATGCTTTGCACACAAGCACTCCATGAATGTTTATTAAATAAACAAAAAAACAGCAAAGTGATTGTCAGGCACAGTCCTCTCAGGTGATTAACAAGGATGTTACTGGAGACAGTGTCATGATTTCATTGCTATAGAAGCCAATTATCTCAGCACAGAGAAGAACTGGGAAACTTCAGATCTCACCCCTTCACCCAGGGAGAGCCGCATGTTTTCTCTCCCTCTTCCTCATACTCCAAGAACAAACTCCAAGATGACAGAACTGCAGGATGGCAACAGCCCTGATCACTTAGCCATGGCACAAAGGGAGCCTTCGATTTTTCATGATTAAGAAATCTTCATTATAACTGAGATTTCAGAGTTTATTTGTGACTGCAGCACAGACTAGTATTACTTAACTAATATGCTAAGGCAAGGAAATATGATCCAGCTTTTCCTTTCGATGTGATTTCCTCAGGTAGTCCACCCGCTCAGCCTCCTGTGACCTCCTGTATTCAGTAATGTTATGAGGGCAAGGGTGTGGGTAAGCAAGAGCAAAAACTCGATTCTCTTCCTTGGGCCTGGTATGGTAGCCCATGCCTGTAATCCCAGCACTCTGGGAGGCTGATGCAGGAGGATTGCTTAAGCTCAGGAGCTCAAGGCCAGCCTGGGCAACAGAGGGAGACCTCATCTCTACAAAAAAAAATAATTAGCTAGGTGTGGTGGCACATGCCTGTAGTCCCAGCTACTTGGAAGGCTGAGGTGAAAGGATTGCTTGGGCCTAGGAGGTTAAGGCTGCAGTGAGCAGAGATGGCACCACCCCACTATAACCTGGGCAACAGAGTGAGACCCTGTCTCAAAAAAAAAAAAAGAAAAAAAGAAAAAAGAAAACCAGCTCTTCCTCTCTACATCTTCATAACTGATGACTGAAGTCTTCTATGAGCACTCCACGTTTTCAGGCACTGTAATGGTTCCCTTCAAGGGTAATCCCAACTTCTTTAAACACTACTCTAAGATCCCTGAAATAATTTTACTAGCATCTGCTTAACTACAGAGAAAACAGCAGGCCCTTACAGCTTATTTGAAAAAGCACAGAATGAGCAGTCACAGATTTTAGTTTGAGTTTTGCAACTTCCTAGCCACAAAGTGGCTCTGAAAGTGAGTATCAGCAATAAAAAAGCATTTATCAGTGATAAAGAGCACAGCATCTTCTGTGAGCATCAGTGTCCTACTCTTCAAAAAGGATTACATTATGAAACAAGTGAAAACATTTTGAAACAGAACATATAAGCATAAACATTAACAACAAAAAAGCATCCATTCAAATTTCCCTAGGTATCCAGGGCTATGAGTCACCCAAACCCCTAAATGTCCTTCCAAATCCTAAGGTGAGCAAAAGTGTTCCCAATTAGACATTTAGGAATGTCTTTATGTGTATGTATTATGTTAAGCTATATGCACAAGGCTAATAAAATTTCAGCTTACATCTGTATGGCATTCTACAGTTTATTAAGTTCTTTCATATACATTAAATCATGGCAAAGCTGTGCATTTTATACGTTGAATGTATATTTTATAAAGCACTTGGGCCCTTTGGATAATCAATGTATGCACTATATGCATGCCCATTGTATGTAACAACGAGTATAATGCTATTATTTTAAATTATTACAGTGATGTAAATTGCTGTATCTTTACTTTTATAATATATTAGTAACCACATGTATGATTTATGTGATGCTGAGCACTTTGTCAGGAATAAAACCCCTAATTAAAACTAGACTCCTATGGGAAAATATGATTCGCTTTATAATGATTCACTTTACATTGGCTTCCAGATCATACAGCAACCCAAATCATGGTGTACCTGAGCATAGTTTGTGAAAATAATTATTAATCAGAGGGGAGTATAAAAACCTTTGGGAACTACCTCTGTGTTGTGAACTTTCCCCTATAGGATGTATGCCTTTTTATTTTAATAAGAAGTAAGATCATTTTACTTTAAAGGGACCAAAAAAAACAGCTATAGAATGAGTTATATTGGTCAAAATAGGGTATGACTGATCACTCCTATCATCTATCATTACTTGGAAAATGGCAAATATCCCACCTCCTTTTAATGGCATCATCTGAGAATGGCTCTGAGACTAGCAAATTAGTAAAACAAATACAATGATGCCAAAACAGAACATTCGATGCCTCTTTCTTTTCCTTCCCTATTGCTTTTAAGTGAAACTGAAGAGCAGGCTCCTACATCGGATACCAAGTGACTAATTCAATTAAGCTCAAACTGAAGTCCTGTTTTATATAGATATTAATACTGTCTGCATTGATGTTTATAAAAAGCTTTGAAATTTTTTAGGTATATTGATGTTATCTGAAGCCTAAGTGCTCAAATAGCCATAGTTACTAATGCAGATTTATCATAGAGAACTTCAAAAATATACATTTAATGTATACAGATGACCAATTCATACAGAGCATGAGCTAAAGGAAATTTACTTTTTTAGCCATTATGCACACACACACACACACACACACACCCATCTCGTGATACTTCATTCTTCAAATGTTTAGTACTTTCAGGCTTTTAAAAAAAAATAAACAACTCATAAGTTATATAATCACTAAAAGAGCTAAGAAGTGGAACATCAAATTCACTTCAGACCATGTTGAAATAAAGTCTTTAATCTGAACTGTGTCACTCCAAGTGGGTTCTCAGCATGTAGGTAGCAGGCAGCTTTTCATGGTGTACAACTTGAGGGACATGATAAGCTGTTTACCTGTCCAAGAGGAACTTCAACATCATGAGTGAAGTGGCCAACATTTCAGCCATTGCTCTTACAGATTGTAACCTTTGAGGACCAAGGGAGATGAGAGAAAAGGAATTAATTTTTTTTGAATATGCACCACATACAAAAGGAGTTTCTTTACCTATGCTATCTTACTTGAACCATAAAACTGCCTCTTGGCAGGTATTGCCACCTTTATTTTGCAAAGGAGAGAGAACAGATGTTCCAAAGGATTAAGCAACTGGCCCAATGCCACATAGGTACGCTCAGTGGCAGACTGAAGCTACATTTGATTTCGGTGCTGCCTACCCTGCGCACACCAAGCAGGAGTCATGGACTTTTTTTTTTTTTTTCCTAACAACTACCAAATAATCCACACCCTACTTCCTATAGCCTATAATGACCGGCATTTAAAAGCAAGAAAATCAAGATATTCAAAGGGTATAACAAACGCTCCCAGTTAAAATGGCAACCTCAGAGAGAGCCAGTCAACACACATTAACTCATGACAATGGGACAATTTTACAGATTTGACTTGCTTGTTGCTGAGAACTCTGTCAGAAAATTAAACCCCTAATTAGAACTAAATTCCTAGCAGGACACCGTGGCTTATGCCTATAATCCCAGAACTTTGGGAGGCCAAGGTAGGAGAATTGCTTGAACCTCAGAGGTTGAGGCTGCAGTGAGCCATGTTTGCACCACTACACTCAAGCCTGGGTGACAAATATGATTTGCTTTACAACAGAGGTCCCCAACCCCTGGGCCATGGACCAGTACCGATCCGTAGCCTGTTAGGAACCAGGCTGCACAGCAGAAGGTGAGTGGCAGGCGAGCAAGTGAAGCTTCATCTGTATTTACAGCCACTCCCCATTGCTCACATTACCACCTGAGCTCTGCCTCTTGTCAGATCAGCAGCATCATAGGAGTGCAAACCCTATCAGTGAACTGCGCATGCAAGCGATCTAGGTTGTGTGCTCCTTATGAGAACCTAATGCCTGATGATGTGTCACTGTCTCCATCATCCCTAGAATGGGACCACCTTGTTGCAAGAAAACAAGCTCAGGGCTCCCATTGATTCTACATTACAGTGAGTTGTATAATTATTATATATTACAATATAATAATGATAGAACTAAAGTGCACAAGGCGGGGCATGGTGACTCACATCTGTAATCTCAGCACTTTGGGAGGCCAAGGCAGGTGGATCACCTGAGGTCAGGAGTTCAAGACCAGCCTGGCCAACATAGTGAAACCCTGTCTCTACCAAAAACACAAAAACTAGACATGCAAGGTGGTGCATGCCTGTAATCCCAGCTGCTCGAGAGGCTGAGCCATGAGAATCACTTGAACCTGGGAGGCAGAGGTCATAGTGAGCCAAGATTGCACCACTACACTCCTCCAGCCTGGGTGACAGAGCGAGACTCACACATGCACACTTATGTTTACTGCAGCACTATTCACAAAAGCAAAAACTGGGAACCAACCCAAATGTCCATCAATGACAGACTGGATTAAGAAAATGCATCACATATACACCATGGAATACTATGCAGCCATAAAAAAGGATGAGTTCATGTCCTTTGCAGGGACATGGATGAAGCTGGAAACCATCATTCTGAGCAAACTATCACAAGGACAGAAAACCAAACACCGTACATTCTCATTCATAGGTGGGAATTGAACAATGAGAACACCTAGACACAGGACAGGGAACATCACACCCTGGGGCTTGTCGCGGAGTGGGGGAAAGGGGGAGGGATAGCATTAGGAGAAATACCTAATGTAAATGATGAGTTAATGGGTGAAGCAAACCAACATGGCACATGTATACCTATGTACCAAACCTGCACATTGTGCACATGTACCCTAGAACTTAAAGTACAATTTAAAAAAATTAAAATAAAAAAGTGCACAATAAATGTAATGTACTTGAATCATCCCCAAACCATCTCCTACCCCCACCTGCCAGTCCACAGAAAAATTGGCTTCCACAAAACCATTCCCTGGTGCCAGAAAGTTGGAGGACTGCTGCTTTACACTAAGATTTTGAGACCTTTGGCTACCAAACCCTGCTTGAAGAGGCGTCTGTAAAAACTCAAGAGACTGCTAAGTTTAAAAGTGTTCCAGGAATGAGCAAGTCAGAGTCTATGAATGATAACATTGAATGAATGCTATTTTTTAAGGTCTATCCCAAAATGCCAGGCACGATTTAATCCTCAGAACCCCCCAATGAGATAGGTGTGATTTGTCACAACATCCCATTCTATAGATAAGGGAAATCAGGCTGAAAAGATTTATAAAGTTGCCTATTCCCCACTACATATCACTTTCCTGGGGCTGCCATAACAAAGTCTCAGAAACTGAGTGGTTGAACCAGAAGTTTATTGGCTTACAGTTCTAGGGGCTAGAAGTCAAAAATCAAGGTGTCAGTTCCTGTGAGTGCTGTGGGTGAAATTCTGCTCCATGTGTTGCTCTGAGCTTCTGAGAGGCTCAGGTGTTCCTTGGCTTGTAGCTGGGATTCTCCCTGTGTCTTCACATTGTCTTCCCTCTGTCCATGTCTGTCTTAGTGTCCAAATTTTCTCTTTTAATAAGGATGCTACTCATGCTGGATTAGGGCCCACGCTAATGAGCTCATGGTACCTCAACTACCTCTGTAAAGACTCTTTACCAAATAAGATCATATTTGGAGGCTGGAGCATTAGGACTTCAAAATCTTTTGAGGTGGCACAATTCAATCCATAACACACAGCTAGGAAGTGGTCAGGTTGCAAGCAGTTAACCACTACTCTCCAAACCTGGCACCTCCTCAGGGAGGCCAAAGTGAAGGGCAGAGGAACTCCAAGTGAGAGAGTTTGGAGACAGACGTTGGCACATTGGAAGAAGAAAGAATGAGGGAGATGACTACGATCTCATGAGTGTGTATATTCTAATGACTTAAGAGCTATTTTTTTTTTTTAGACAAAGTTTAGCTCTTGTTGCCCAGGCTGGAGTGCAATGGCATGATCTCAGCTCACCGCAACCTCCACCTCCCAGATTCAAGCAATTCTCCTGCCTCTACCTCCTGGGTTCAAGTGATTCTCCTGCCTCAGCCTCCAGAATAGCTAGGATTACAAGCATGCACCACCACACCCAGGTAATTTTATATTTTTAGTAGAGACAGGGTTTCTCCATGTTGGTCAGGCTGGTCTTGAACTCCCAGCCTCAGGTGATCTGCCCACCTAGGCCTTCCAAAGTGCTGAGATTACTGGTGTGGGCCACCATGCCCAGCCAGAACAATTTTTTTTTTTTTTACTTTAAGTTCTGGGATATATGTGCAGAGTGTACAGGTATGTTACATAGGTATACACGTGTCATGGTGGTTTGTTGCACCTATCAACACGTCATCTAGGTTTTAAGCCCCGCATGCATTAGGTATTTGTCCTAATGCTCTCCCTCCCCTTGCCCCCCACCCCCAGATAGGCCCCGATGTGTGTTGTTACCCTCCCTGTGTCCATGTGTTCTCATTAAGAACATATTAAACAATTACCTCTCACATCTGTTGAGGGCTCATCCATGATCATGCTTGCTATGTGGCCAGCACTGCGCTAATCCTGCAGAAGCTACAGGACTCAGCCTCAGCCTCTGCCTTCAGTCAGCTTTCCTTCTTATGGCTCAGCCAGTTTGGAGGGTGAGAAGGTGCAGACATGTCCCATGTAATCACCAGAGTGAAAGACGTCGCATCAAAGACTGTACAGGAGAGGTACAAGTTACAGTGCACTGAAAACACAGAGGAGCACAGCTTTTATTTCCATTCCAGATGGCTTCAAGAGAGAACAGGCTCTGCTGTGGGTAGGATTTCAACAGAAAGGGGGTATAAGGTAAGAATGTAGAAGGCAAGGCGAACCAACAGTCATCAAGACCTTCATATGGAGACCCTAGGCTGGGGGGTTCTCATGTAAGCTACCATATTACCATATTCAATCCTTAAAGTCACCCTATGCCATCAATATCATCCCCAATTTACAAGAGAAGCAGCTAAAACTTGGGAAATTCCAGGGAGGGGGATAAGTCCAGAATCCTAACCCCCAACTCAGCTGAAATACCAAAGGTCTTGGTAGCACATAACTCAGGTACCTGGCTTTCAAGAGGTTGAAAAGAAAGGCGAACCTACAAAATGAGTTAAACCAAATCAACTTATCATTTCTGACACTAAAACAATGCCAAAGTATGGCCCAGAATGAAAAAATTAGAGAATCCTTTTATCAAAAAATATCAAGTCTGTTCAAATTTACTGCACTAAAATAAAACAGGTTACTGTAGCCAAAAATACAGGAAAAATTCAGACAGGTGTCAAGCAGTCATGTTTAAAAAATGGAAGTGATCATGCCACCAGCAAGGGTAGCTATGCCTATGTGGGTGTGTTTGTGTACGTGTGTTTTTACATGTACATTTTCTCCCTTAAGCCACTGAAACCTTAGGAAAATTTTATGACGACAATGTGCCATGTACGTAAAAGATGGATGGGTTAAAGTTACTGTTTTCTTAGGATCTGTCCGGCATTTGACAGCCATGCACCAGTGCACTATCTGGAAAGATTTAGGACTTTTGCTGTAAAATTATTTATTAGTTGTTATTTATACTACGTGCTCACTGGTAGACCACCCAGTGTTGTAACAATAAAAGCAGTCACGCTGCATCTCTCCAAAACAAGCAAAAGACCAAGGGGGCTGTTTCTGGGTGTCACCACTGAAGGATGTGGCTTCCGGCAGGGAAGTATGTTCAATGTTTTGAAGGTGCTGCAATCCTAACAGAGACCCCGGGAAATGGAAACCGCCTGGGCTCAGCAGGAGCACTCTGCTCGGGTAAGCAGTCCTCCTCTCCCGGCCTTAGTTGTCACCTACAAAAGGAAGGGCTGCCCCCAAAGTCCCTAAGATCCCTTCCCCTCTGAATTCTAGATTGTAAAAGACTGAAAGCTATTAGCAGTTCCACACTAACCCCCAGGATGCAATCTGGGGCTAATCTCAGTGCCTGGGGGCCTCAGGATCTGACAGGCTGCCAGCATCTCCTCTACATCCCAATTGGACCTGTTAGTGAGCTAACAAGACATGTTTGAACATTCTTAAAGGCCTCAAAAGAAAAGCTCCTTGTGCAATGTTTAACTTTATTAAATATGTCAAGGTTGTGGTTCCATTAGACCATCCAGGAAGAGACTGAGTTTTTCTTTTTGAAATGCACAAAATAACTATAAAATGTCACACTTCTACTACTTATGCTTATTTAAGTAAATAAGCACCAAAAATAAATTAACTAATAAAACAAGATTCTCCCTCCCTTTTCTCCCCCCAAAAATACCTTTGGGGATTTGTAATTATTTCCCTGTCTAAAAACCTAACCTAATGCAGACATGTCAATATCCTCTTCTTAAGTACACAGGATTATTCCATATTAATCCTCTCCTTTCTAGCGATCAGTATCTATCTCTCTCTCAGGCTGAAGCTGGCATCAGCCAGTCTCACTTGTGGGATAATTAATTCAGGGAACTTTCCAGAGGTCTTAGGTCAGCCTCCTAATTTTTCCAAGGCTGAAGTAGCCCAAAGCGGTTAAAAAGTTATCCGTCCAACCAAGGTCACCTAGGCTTACTGTCTGAAGTAGAATTTGTGATTCCAAGCCCTGCTCCTCTCCCACTAAAGAAGAATGTTCTCCTAGCTTGCAAGAAAGAACACAAGGGGATGCTGCTGCTATTCCCTTTTTTAAGCCTTACTCCTGTTTATGATTCCTAAACCTGGCTGCATCCCAGTCACTTCCAGGGACAAAGTCCCCAAGCCTGATGAATCTATTCACAGAATCTACAGTTTTTTCAAAGTCCCCACAAATAATTCAGGTTTAGAAACCACTGCACATTCATACCAAACACAAAAATAAAGAAAATAAAAACACAATATAGAGAACTTTAATAATTTTTTTCCTTTCCAAAAGTTTTATTATATAAGCTGGGTGTGGTGGCTTTTGCCTGTAATCCCAGCATTTTGGGAGGCCACATTGGGAGGATCACTTGAGGTCAGGAGTTTGAGACCAGCCTGGCCAACGTGGTGAAACCCCATCTTACCAAAAATACAACAACTAGCTGGAAGTGGTGGTGTACGCCTGTAATCCCAGCTATTCGGGAGGCTGGGGCAGGAGAATCGCTTGAATCCAGGAGGTGGAGGTTGCAGTGACCCAAGATCATGCCACAGCACTCCAATCTCAGCAACAAGAGTGAAACTACATCTCAAAAAAAAAAAAAGAAAAGAAAGTTTTATTATATAAATGTCCAAACATATTCAAAAGTAGAAATCATTTAATGAATCCCCAAATAAGTATCATCCATTCCTCACAATTATCCAGATGTTGCCACACTTGCTTTATCAATCCCCTTTTCTTCTTCGCTGCAGTATTTTAAAGTAAGTCCCAGAAATCATCCTTATATACAGCCATCCACCACTTAATGACAGGGATACATTCTGAGAAATGCATCATTAGGCAATTTCGTCATTGTGCAAACATCTCAGAGTTTACTTATGCAAACCTTGATGGTGCAACCTACTATAAACCTAGGCTATATGGTATAACCTATTGCTCCTAGGCTGTAAGCCTGTACAGCATGTGACTACACTGATTACTGTAGGCAATTATGTATCTAAGCATACAAAACGTGCAGTGAAAATACAGTATTAAATCTTATGGAACCATCATCATATATTCAGTCTTTTGTTAACCAAAATGTTCTTATGCAGCACATGACTGTACTTCAATATGCATCTCTACAAAAAAAGCATTTGGTAAAATTCAACATCCTTTCTCGACAAAAAAAACACTCACTAAACTAGAAATAGAAACGTCATAACATGATAAAGGCCACGGATGAAAAACTCACAGTGAACATCATACTTAATGATGAAAAACTGAAAACTTTTTCCCTAAGATCAGAAACAAGATAAGGATCCCCACATATATAACTTCTATTCAACATAGTATTTAAAGCTCTAGCCAGAGAAATGAGGCAAGAAAAAAAACATAGTAAAAGGCATCCAATTGGAAAGGAAGAGGTAAAATTATCTCAGTTCACAAATGACATGATCTCATATGTAAAACCCAAAAAAAAAATCTAGGCAAATTTAGGAGGCACTTCCAAGATGGCCGAATAGGAACAGCTCTGGTCTACAGCTCCCAGCGAGACTGACGCAGAAGATGGGTGATTTCTGCATTTCCAACTGAATTACCTGGTTCATCTCATTGGGAATGGTTGGACAGTGGGTGCCGCCCACAGAGGATGAGCCAAAGCAGGGCAGGGCATTGCCTCACCCAGGAAGAACAAGGGGTTGGGGGATTTCCCTTTCCTAACCAAGGGAAGCCATGAGTGACTATACCTGGAGGAACCGTACACTCCTGCCCAAGTACTGCACTTTTCCCACAGTCTTCACAACCAGCAGACCAGGACATTCCCTCCTGTGCCTGGCTAGACAGGTCACATGCCCACAGAGCCTTCTCACTGCTAGCGCAGCAGTATGAGATCAACCTGGGATGCTGGAGTGTGGTAAGAGGAGGGGCATCTGCCATTGCTGAGGCTTGAGTAGGTAGTTCCATGCTCACAGTGTAAACAAAGAGGCAGGAAAGCTCAAACTGGGCAGAGCCCACCACAGCTTAACAAGGCCTACTGCCTCTCTAGATTCCACCTCTGGGGGCAGGGCATATCTGAACAAAAGGAAGTAGAGAGCTTCTACAGGCTTAAATGTCCCTGCCAGATAGTTCTGAAGACAGCAGTGGTTCTCCCAGCATGGCATTCAAGCTCTGATAACGGACAGACTGCTTCCTTAAGTGGGTCCCTGACCCCCATGTAGCCTGACTGGGAGACACTTCCCAGTAGGGGCTGACAGATACTTCATACAGGTGGGTGCCGATCAAGGATGAAGCTTCCAGAGGAAGGTTCAGTCAGCAATATTTGCTGTTCTGAAGCCTCTGCTGGTGATACAAGGCAAACAAGTTCTGGAGTGGACTTCCAGCAAACTCCAACAGACATGCAGCTGAGGGGCCTGTCTGTTAGAAGGAAAACCAACAGAAAGGAATAGCATCAACATCAACAAAAAGGACATCCACACCAAAACCCCATCTGTAGGTCACCAACATCAAAGACCAAAGGTAGATAAAACCTCTAACATGGAGAGAAACCAGAGCAGAAAGGCTGAAAATTCCAAAAACCAGAATGCCCTTTCTCCTCCAAAGGAACACAACTCCTCACCAGGGAACAAAACTGGATGGAGAATGACTTTGACAAGTTGACAAAAGTAGGCTTCAGAAGGTTGGTAATAACAAACTTCTCCCAGCTAAAGGAGTATGTTCTAAACCATCACAAGGAAGCTAAAAACCTTGAAAAAAGGTTAGATGAATGGCTAACTAGAATAACCTATGTAGAGAAGAGCTTAAATGACCTCGTGGATCTGAAAACCACAGTAAGAGAACTGCATGAAGCATACACAAGCCTCAATAGCCAATTTGATCAAGCAGAAGAAAGAATATCAGCAATTAAAGATCAAATTAATCAAATAAAGTGAGAAGACAAGATTAGAGAAAAAAGAGTGAAAAGAAATGAACAAAGCCTCCAAGAAATTTGGGACTATGTGAAAAGACCAAATCTATGTCTGATTGGTGTACCTGAAAGTGATGGGGAGAATGGAACCAAGTTAGAAAACACTCTTCGGGATATTATCCAGAAGAACTTTCCCAACCTAGCAAGACAGGCCAACATTCAAATTCAGGAAGTACACAGAACACCACAAAGATACTCCATGAGAAGAGCAACCCCAAACACGTAATTGTCAGATTCACCAAGGTTGAAATGAAGGAAAAAATGTTAAGGGCACCCAGAGAGAAAGGTCAGGTTACCCACAAAGGGAAGCCCATTAGACTAACAGCAGATATCTCTGCAGAAACCCTACAAGCCAGAAAAAGGGGCCATTATTCAACATTCTTAAAGACATGTTCAACCTGCAACTTCATATCCAGCCAAACTAACCTTAATAAGTGAAGGAGAAATAAAATCCTTTACAGAAAGCAAATGCTGAGAGATTTTGTCACCACCAGGCCTGCCTTACAAGAGCTCCTGAAGGAAGCACTAAATACAGAAAGGAACAACCAGTACCAGCCACTGCAAAAACATGCCAAATGGTAAAGACCACTGATGCTATGAAGAAACTGCATCAATTAATGTGCAAAATAACCAGCTAGCATCATAATGACATGATCAAATTCACACATAACAATATGAACCTTAAATGTAAATGGGCTAAATGCTCCAATTAAAAGACACAGACTGGCAAATTGGATAAAGAGTCAAGACCTACCTGTGTGCTGTATTCAGGAAACCCATCTTAGGTGGAAAGACACACACAGGCTTAAAATAAAGGGATGGAGCCGTCTGGGATCTGAGGAGTGCCTCTGCCCAGCGACCGCCCTGTCTGGGATGTGAGGAGTGCCTCTGCCTGGCCACTGCCCCGGCTGGCAAGTGACGAGTGCCTCTGCCTGGCTGCCCCACCATCGGTGAAGTGAGGAGCACCTCCGCCCAGCCGCCCCACCATCTGGGAAGTGAGGAGCGCCTCCACCCGGCTGCCCCACCATCTGGCAAGTGAGGAGCACCTCTGCCCGGCCGCCCCACCATCTGGGAAGTGAGGAGGCCTCTGCCCGGCCGCCACACCGTCTGGGAAGTGAGGAGCGCCGCTGCCTGGCCGCCACACCATCTGGGAAGTGAGGAGCGCCTCTGCCTGGCTGTCCCACCATCTGGGAAGTGAAGAGCCCCTCTGCCCGGCCGCCACACCGTCTGGGAAGTGAGGAGCGCCTCTGCCCGGCCGCCACACCATCTGGAGAGTGAGGAGCACCTCTGCCCAGCTGTCCCACTGTCTGGGAAGTGAGGAGCGCCTCTGCCCGGCCGCCACACCATCTGGAGAGTGAGGAGCACCTCTGCCCGGCTGTCCCACTGTCTGGGAAGTGAGGAGCGCCTCTGCCCAGCCGCCACAACATCTGGGAAGTGAGGAGTGCCTCTACCCAGCCGCCCCACCATCTGGGAAGTGAGGAGCGCCTCTGCCCGGCCGCCACAACATCTGGGAAGTGAGGAGTGCCTCTACCCAGCCGCCCCACCATCTGGGAAGTGAGGAGCACCTCTGCCCGGCTGTCCCACTGTCTGGGAAGTGAGGAGCGCCTCTGCCCAGCCGCCACAACATCTGGGAAGTGAGGAGTGCCTCTACCCAGCCGCCCCACCATCTGGGAAGTGAGGAGCACCTCTGTCCGGCTGTCCCACTGTCTGGGAAGTGAGGAGCACCTCTGCCTGGCCGCCACCCTGTCTGGGAAGTGAGGAGCGCCTCCACCCGGTCGCCCAAATGACTGGGAAGTGAGGAGCGCCTCTGCCCGGCCACCCAACTGACTGGGACGTGAGGAGCGCCTCTGCCCAGCCGCCCCACCCTCTGGGAAGTGAGGAGCGCCTCTGCCCAGCCACCACCCTGTCTGGGAAGTGAGGAGCCCCTCTGCCCGGCCACCCAACTGACTGGGAAGTGAGGAGCGCCTCCACCTGGCCGCCCACAGTCTGGGAAGTGAGGAATGCCTCTGCCAGGCCGCCCCACCGTCTGGGATGTGAGGAGTGCCTCTGCCCGCCCACTGCCCTGTCTGGGAAGTGAGGGGTGCCTCTGCACAGCTGCCCCCCTCTAGGAAATGAGGAGCACCTCTGCCCATACGCCCCACCATCTGGGAAGAGAGAAGCACCTCTGCCCAGCCACTGTGCAACCCTCCAAGTGTGAAGTGACAGCCTTGTGTGTGATCCTTCTGCCCTCCCCAAGTTTGCATTTTTGATATTAAAGTTTACTTTTTAATTAAAAAAATAAAAATAAAAAAATTAAAGGAATGGAGGAAGATCTACCAAGCAAATGGAAAGCAAAAAAAAGCAGGGGTTGCAATCCTGGTCTCTGATAAAACAGACTTTAAACCAACAAAGATCAAAAGAGACAAAGAAGGCCATTACATAATGCTAAAGGGATCAATTCAACAACAGCAGCTAACTATCCTAAATATATATGCACCCAATACAGGAGCACCCAGATTCATAAAGCAAGTTCTTAGAGATCTACAAAGACACTTAGACTCCCACACAATAATAATGGAAGACTTTAACACCCCACTGTCAATATTAGACAGATCAACGAGATCTGTCTAATTAACAAGGATATCTGGGACTTGAACTCAGCTCTGGACCAAGCAGACCTAATAGACATCTACAGAACTCTCCAACCCAAATCAACAGAATATACATTCTTCTCAGCATTACATCACACTTATTCTAAACTTGACCACATAGTTGGAAGTAAAGCACTCCTGGGCAAATGTAAAAGAACAGAAATCACAACAAACTGTCTCTCAGACCACAGTGCAATCAAATTAGAACTCAGGATTAAGAAACTCACTCAAAACTGCACAACTACATGGAAACTGAACAACCTGCTCCTGAATGGCTACTGGGTACATAACGAAATGAAGGCAGAAATAAAGATGTTCTTTGAAGCCAGGTGCGGTGGCTCACACCTGTAATCCCAGCACTTTGGGAGGTTGAAGCAGGTGGATCATGAGGTCCAGAGATTGAGACCATCCTGGCTACCACAGTGAAACCCCGTCTCTACTAAAAACACAAAAAATTAGCCAGGTGTGGTGGCGGGCACCTGTAGTCCCAGCTACTCGGGAGGCTGAGGCAGGAGAATGGCATGAACCCGGGAGGCGGAGCTTGCACTGAGCCGAGATCGCGCATTGCACTCTAGCCTGGGCAACAGAGCAAGACTCCGTCAAAAAAAAAAAAAAAGATGTTCTTTGAAACCAATGAGAACAAAGACACAACGTACCAGAATATCTGAGACACATTTAAAGCAGTGTGTAGAAGGAAATTTATAACACTAAATGCCCATAAGAGAAAGCATGAAAGATCTAAAATCGGCACCCTAACATCACAATTAAAAGAACTAGGGAAGCAAGAGCAAACAAATTCAAAAGCTAGCAAAGGCAAGAAATAACTAAAATCAGAGCAGAAATGAAGGAGATAGAGACACAAAAAACCCTTCAAAAAAATCAATGAATCCAGGAGCTGGTTTTTTGGAAAGATCAACAAAACAGATAGCCCACTAGCCAGACTAATAAAGAAGAAAAGAGAGAAGAGTCAAATAGACGCAATAAAAAATGATAAAGGGGATATCACCACTGATCCCACAGAAATACAAACTACCATCAGAGAATACTATAAACACCTCTAAACAAATAAACTATAAAGTCTGGAAGAAATCGATAAATTCCTGGACACACATACCCTCCCAAGACTAAACCAGGAAGAAGTTGAATCTCTGCATAGACCAATAACAGGTTCTGAAATTGAGGCAGTAATAGCCTACCAACCAAAAAAAAAGTCCAGGACCAGATGGATTCACAGCCGAATTCTACCAGAGGTACAAAGAGGAGCTGGTACCATTCCTTCTGAAACTATTTCAAACAACAGAAAAAGAGGGACTCCTCTCTCACTCTTTCTATGAGGCCAGCATCATCCTGATACCAAAGCCTGGCAGAGACACAACAAAAAAAGAGAATTTTAGGCCAATATCCCTGATGAACATCGATGCAAAAATTCTCAATAAAATACTGGCAAACCAAATCCAGCAGCACATCAAATGCTTATCCACCACAATCAAGTCAGCTTCATCCCTGGGATACAAGGCTGGTTCAACATAGGCAAATTAATAAATGCAATCCATCACATGAACAGAACCAAAGACAAAAACCACATGATTATCTCAATAGATGCAGAAAAGGCCTTCAATAAAATTCAACACCCCTTCATGCTAAAAACTCTCAATAAACTAGGTACTGATGGAATGTATCTCAAAATAGTAAGAGCTATTTATGACAAACCCACAGCCAATATCATACTAACTGGGCAAAAACTGGAAGCATTCCCTTTGAAAACTGGCACAAGACAAGGATGCCTTCTCTCACCACTCCTATTCAGCATAGTATTGGAAGTTCTGCTGGGGCAATCAGGCAAGAGAAAGAAATAAAAGGTATTCAATTAAGCAAAGACGAAGTCAAATTGTCTCTATTTGCATATGACATGACTATATATTTAGAAAACCCCATCATCTCAGCCCAAAATCTCCTTAAGCTGATAAGCAACTTCAGCAAAGTCTCAGGACACAAAATCAATGTGCAAAAATCACAAGCATTCCTATACACAAAGAACAGACAAACAGAGAGCCAAATCATGAGTGAACTCCCATTCACTATTACTACAAAGAGAATAAAATACCTAGGAATCCAACTTACAAGGGATGTAAAGGACCTCTTCAAGGAGAACTACAAACCACTGCTCAACGAAATAAAAGAGGACACAAACAAACGGAAGAATATTCCATGCGCATGGATAGGAAGAATCAATATTGTGAAAATGGCCATACTGCCCAAAGTAATTTACAGATTCAATGCTATCCCCATCAAGCTACCATTGACTTTCTTCACAGAATTGGAAAAAACTACTTTAAAGCTCATATGGAACCAAAAAAGAGCCCACATAGCCAAGACTATCCTAAGCAAAAAGAACAAAGCTGGAGGCATCATGCTACCTGACTTCAAACTAAACTGCAAGGCTACAATAACCAAAACAGCATGGTACTTGTACCAAAACAGACATATAGACAAATGGAATAGAACAGAGGCCTCAGAAATAACACTACACATCTACAACCATCTGGTCTTTGACAAACCTGACAAAAATAAGCAATGGGGAAAAGATTCCCTATTTAATAAATGGTGCTGGGAAAACTGGCTAGCCATATGTAGAAAGCTAAAACTGGACTCCTTCCTTACACCTTAAACAAAAATTGACTCAAGATGGCCTAAAGACTTAAACGTAAGACCTAAAACCATAAAAACCCTAGAAGAAAACCTAGGCAATATCATTCAGGACATAGGCAAGGGCAAAGACTTCATGACTAAAACACCAAAAGCAATGGCAACAAAAGCCAAAATAGACAAATGGGACCTAATTAAACTAAAGAGCTTCTGCAAAGCAAAAGAAACTACCATCACAGTTGGCAACCCACAGAATGGGAGAAAAATTTTGCAATCTATCCATCTAACAAAGGACTTATATCCAGAATCCACAAAGAACTTAAATTTACAACAAAAAAAACAACCCCATCAAAAAGCAGGCAAAGGCTATGAACAGACACTCCTCAAAAGAAGATATTTATGCAGCCAACAGACATATGAAAAAATGCTCATCATCACTGGTCATTAGAGAAATGCAAATCAAAACCACAACGAGATACCATCTCATGTCAGTTAGAATGGTGTTCATTAAAAAGTCAGGAAACAACAGTTGCTGGAGAGGATGTGGAGAAATAGGAATGCTTTTACACTGTTGGTGGGAATGTAAATTAGTTCAACCATTGTGGAAGACAGTGTGGTGATTCCTCAAGGTTCTAGAACTTGCAATCCTGTTACTGGGTATATAACCAAAGGATTATAAATCATGCTACTATAAAGACACATGCACATATATGTTTATTGCGGCACTATTCACAATAGCAAAGACTTGGAACCAACCCAAATGTCCATCAATAATAGACTGGATAAAGAAAATGTGACACATATACACCATGGAATACTATGCAGCCATAAAAAAGGATGACTTCATGTCTTTTTCATGGACATGGATGAAGCTGGAAACCATCATTCTTAGCAAACTATCACAAGGACGGAAAACCAAACACCACAACTTCTCACTCACAAGTGGGAGTTGAACAATGAGAACACTTGGACACAGGGCGGGGAACATCACACCCTGGGGGCCTGTTGTGGAGTAGGGGGCAAGGGGAGGGATAGCGCTGGGAGAAATACCTAATGTAAACGATGAGTTGATGGGTGCAGCAGACCAACATGGCACATGTGTATCTATGTAGCAAACCTGCACATTGTGCACATGTACGCTAGAACTTAGAGTAAAATAATAATAAAAAGAAATGCAAATTTAACATGAAAAAAATTCTAAAAACTCTTTGAACTAATAAATGAACCCAGGAAAGAGGTGCAGGGTACAAAACCAACACACTAAAATCAGTTGAATTTCTGCACACTAACAATGACAATCTGAAAATAAACAATTTCATTTACAATAATGTCAAAAAGAATGGAACACTTAGGAATAAATTTAACCAAGGAAGTGAAAGACTTTCACATTCAAAAAACTACAAGACATTGCTGAAAGAAATTAAAGAAGACAAATAAATGGATAGACACCCCATGTTGATGGACTGGAAGTCTTAATACTGTTAAAATGACAATATTACCCAAAGTGATCTACAGATTCAATCAAGCCCTATCAAAATCTGTGGCCTTTTTGGCAGAAAATCCTATTCTGAAGTTCATATTGAATCTCAAGGGACCCAAAACAGCTGAAATAATCTTGGAGAAAAAAAAAATGACCAAGTATAAAGACCCACACTTCCTGATTTCAAAACTGATTACAAAGCTATGTAATCAAAACAGTATGATACTAGCATAAGGACAGACATATAGACCAGTGGTATAGAATAGAGCCCAGAAATAAACCCTCACATATATGGTTAAGTGAGTTTTCAACAAAGGTATCAAGACTATTCAATGTGGGAAGGACAGCCTTTTTTAACAAATGGCACAGGAAAAGTTGGATATCCACACACAGAAGAATGAAGTGGGACCCTTACCTAACACCACATACAAAAACTAACTCAAAATGGATCAAAGACCTAAGCATAAGAACTAAAACTATACAAACGCTGAGAAGAAAACATAGGGAAAAATCATGACATTGGATTTGGCAATGATTTCTTGGCTATGACATCAAAAGCACAAAACCAAAGAAAAATAAATTGGTCTTCATCGAAATTAGAAACTTCTGTGTAAACAACGCTATCAAGACAGTGAAAAGGTAAGCTACAGGCTGGGAAAAAATTTGCAGATCTGATAAGGGATTAATATCCAGAATATGTAAGAATTCCTACAACCCATGAAAAACAAAATCAATTTTAAAATGGCAAAAACAAAAAAAACAAACAAACAACCCACCTTGAGTAGACATCTCTCCAAAGGAGATATACAAACGGCAAAAAGGACATGAAAAGATTTTCAGTATCACTAGTCATTAGGATAAATGCAAATCACAATCACAATCAAATACCACTTCACAACCATTTGGATGGTTATTATTTTAAAAAAGAAAGAGAAATGTTGGCAAGGCTGTAGAAAAATTAGAATCCTAGTGCGTTGCTGGTGGGAATGTAAGATGGCGTAGTCTCTGTGCAAAACAGTATGATGGTTTCTCAAAAAGTTAAACATAGAATTACCCTATGATCCACCAATTCGACTTTCAGGTATGTATCCAAAAGAACTGAAAGCAGGGACTGAAACAGATACCTGTAGACCAATCGCAGAAGCATTATTCCAATAGCCAGAAGTAGAAACAACTCAAATGTCCATCAACAGATAAATGGATAAACAAAATGTGGTGGTAAACACATACAACAGATTATTCGGTCTTAAAAAGAAATAAAATTTGGATGCATGCTACAACATGAGTGAACCTTAGAGACAAATTGCTAAGTGAAATAAGCCGGTCACAACAGAACAAATATTGTATGTCTCCACTTACGAGGTACCTGCAATAGGCAAATTCACAGACAGTAAGTACAATAAAGGACACCAGGGCAGGATGGGAGGGAGGGGTAATGGGAAGTTATTTTTGTTTAAACAAGTACAGAGTTTGGGATGATGAAAAAGTTCTGGAAACAAATAGTGGTAACAGCTGCACAACATTGTCAATGTTTTGATATCACAGAATTGTACATTTTTAAACTGGTTAAAATGAGGCCAGGTGTGGTGGCTCATGCCTATAATCCTAGCCCTCTGGGAGGCTGAGGCAGGAGTATCACTTGAGGTCAAGCGTTCAAGACCAGCCTGGCCAAATGGTGAAACCCCGTCTCTACTAAAAATACAAAAATTAGCCAGGTGTGGTGATGTGCACCTGTAACCCCAGTTACTCGGGAGGCTGATGCAGGACAATCACGTGAACCCGGGAGGCAAAGGATGCAGTGAGATGAGATTGCACCACTGCACTCCAGCCTGGGTAACACAGTGAGACTCCATCTCAAAAATAAAAATAAAAAAAATAGACCAGGTGCTGTGGCTCATGCCTGTAATCCCAGCACTTTGGGAGGCCGAGGCGGGTGGATCATGAGGTCAAGAGATCGAGACCATCCTGGCCAACATGGTGAAACCCCATCTCTACTAAAAATACAAAAATTAACTGGGCGTTTTGGTGCACGCCTGTAGTCCCAGCTACTCGGGAGGCTGAGGCAGGAAAATCGCTTGAACCCGGGAGGCAGAGGTTGCAGTGAGCTGAGATCGTGCCACTGCACTCCAGCCTGGTCAAAGAGCAGAACTCCATCTCAAAAAAAAATGAAAAAATAAACTGGTTAAAATGTTAAATTTTAAGTTACATATTTTATCACATTTAAAAAAACAAAGAAGTTCAACTTTTTAAAATACGGACTTTTTGGATCTAGCAATATATCTTTAAACACTTTAGAATCTGTGACCTGAAAACTAAGTCTGACTCCCTTCTTTTAGAAGTTTAGATTCTCCTTCCCTCTGTGCCATTCCAGAGTTTTACCCTAGGTAACCAACTTCTGTTTAGAACAGCAAAACATTACTTTCTTTTCTTAGGACTCATTTCTACAATCACCATCTAAAATCAGGAGTCAACAAACTATGGCCTTAGAGCCAAATTCAGCTTGCTACCTGTTTTTCTACAGCTTGCTACCTGTTTTTCTACAGCTTATGAGCTAAGAATAATTTTTACATTTTAAAATAGTTGAAAAATTAACAGGGATATTTCACGACACGTGAAAATTGTATGTAATTTCCATTTCAAGGTAATAAATTAAGTTTCATTGGAACACAGCATGCCTGTTCTTTTATGTATTGTCTATGGCTACTTTTGTACTACAAAGACAGAGTTGAATAGTCACAACACAAGGGATACAGTCTGCAAGTCCTCAAACATTTACTACCAGGTCTTTTTTTTTTTTTTTGGAGACAGGGTCTCTGTCACCCAGTCTGGAGTACAGTGGCACCGTCTCAGCTCACTGTAGCATTGACCTCCCAGGCTTAAGCCATCCACTCACCTCAGCCTCCCAAGTAGCTGGGAGCTGGGACTACAGGTGCATGCCATCACACCTGGCTAATTTTTGTATTTTTAGTAGAGAGGGGGTTTCACCATGTTGCCCAGGCTGGTGATCTTGAACTCCTAAGCTCAAGCGATCTGCCCACTTTGGCCTCTCAAAGTGCTGGGATTACAGGCCTGAGCCACCATGCCCAGCCTACCTGGTCCTTTATAGAAAAAGATTGCTGATTTCTGATCTAAATTATCAACTCAGTAAAGGACGAAATGCAGTGTCAAATTCCACTGAACTTCCCTTTGAGCTAACCACTCAGTTGTTATTTTTAAAGATCCAAGCAATAGGGCCATTCTCAGATTGAACTGACCTTTACTTTCACAAATCAAAATGGCAATTTCTGGAAGGAGCAGAAAGCTATTTTGAAGCCCATGGTAAGAAATTGAGGGTGAACAGGGGAGGAGAGAGGCTTGCCATATTTGAAGAGTTGAGTGATTGAGGCAGAAAATGCTAGATACCTACCCGAATATTTATCTTCCTCTTTTTCCTTAGCAAAACAATCCCCAAATAACTGTGCCAGCTGTAAAGTCTTCTATAATACTTCTGTGAGGTCTCCTTAAAGTGTGTGCATGTGCTGTCATACTAACCCCACTCAGCCCGACTATGACGACACTGGATAAGAAACAGGACAAATCAGAAAGGAGAAGGAGGGGACCCCCAGCCACTGCAGGGGACTTTTTCCAAGGGCAGGTCCAGGAGCAACTGTGTCTGGCAAACATACCTGTTCTCTGGGAGCCCTTTTCAGCATGCATGCAACTTAGCAACTCAGCGAGGGGAAAGCTGATCACAGCACCGGAAGTTCATTAATCACCAAATTGAAAGCAATTGATCATCTGGCTAATTGATGGGTCAGTTTAGTCCAAATTCATTCATATATGCAGCAAACTATTATTTCCAAAAATGTCTAGTTCGCTTTCAAATAAACAAATATAATTTATTTTAATCAGTACCCCCACACAGCAACAGCAGACAGAATTAAATCTGTCTTGCCTATAATTTTCCTCCCCTGTGTTCATGGAATAAAAACTATGCAAACAAGATTGGGCTAAAACTATTTTCTGTATTTTTAGAGTAAAAAAAAATCTTCACATTGTTTTTCAAATCTGCCAAATTTAAAAAAAAAATTTAATCCCAGCAGAGCTAAGAAAGGTAAAAAGGGAGTTTCAAAACTAAGTCACCCCAACCATCACAGCAGAAAATTTTCCAAGCTGAGGTTAATTTTTAAGCATGGGGAGTCCTGCCACTTCTGTGATTGCAGCTCCAGTTGAAACTAAAAACTCAACTAGGAATACCCGGAGATATAGCCATGATGATATAAACAGCTCAAAAAGAAGCCCCCAAGTTATAAGACGTGGCAAAAAGGGGGAAGCTGCAGATGCTTTTTGGGCTCTGGGCAAACTCCCGAGACCCCAGGTGGAAACTGTGAAGTAATAGAAACAATTTGGTATTTAAATCTGTGCAGAGAGGAGTACACAGAATGAAATGGAACAAGCATCAGGGAAAATTGAGATTTCTTGTGGTGTTATTCCCCAAGTGGAAGCACTCTGCCTACTAAAACAGCTGTGAGAAATCCTGACCTGCTTACACTCTTTCATTACCAAAGCCAGTCAGATTTTCCTTTACTCATGCAATTTCCATCACCTCAAAAAGAATATTCACCGTCTAAAGAGGTGAAGTCCATTAAAGTTTTGGGGTTTTCTTTTTTTTTTTTTGAGACAAGGTCTTGCTCTGTCACCCAGGCTAAAGTGCAGTGGCACCATCTCTGCTCACTGCAACCTCCGCCTCCTGGACTCAAGCTATCTTTCCACCTCAGCTTCCCAGGTACCAGGAACTACAGGTGCATACCACCACATCTGGCTAATTTTTTTGTATTTTTTGTAGAGACAGGGTTTCGCCATGTTGCTCAGGCTGATCTCGAACTTCTGGGCTCAAGGGATCCACCAGCCTTGGCCTCCCAAAGTGCTGGGATTTCAGGCGTGAGCCACTTTGCCTGGCCTACATTTTTAATCTAAAAAAAAACAACAACAACAACAAAAACACCTTATATAAAAGTTGAAACCTAGTAAGGTTTATTTTCACTTATCTGCACCTTACCCTTCCCAGGACGTTCTAAAACTCCTCAGGCAACCAGTGCCACGTGCAGTAGAGGGGTGGCCCTGGCACATGGTCATGGCCACATTTTTAGGGCTGGAACCCACATTTCCTGCATGCTTCTGAATCAGTCTTTCCATCAAGCTCCCTTCTGATGGGAAATAAAAGATAATCCAGGGGCTATTTGCTGTTTCTTTACACACCTCTGGTCCTACTAAACAAATATCCCATGTAACCAGGTTCCATATTTCTAGGAAAAAAAAAAAAGAAACCCTATAGTCTTTTAGAACCTGGCCAAGAATGTTAGGAGCAGAAAGATCCTGACCACCCGAAACAGTGAAGTTGTCCCAAAGCCCTTTCTTGTTAGTCCTGGTAAAGGCCCTTCTGTACTCTTTACTTGTTTATATAGAAATATATTATTTGGCTAGCTGACTCTCCAGAATAGAAGCAACTTATTTTAAAAACGGGTTAAAAAAGACAATTACAGGCAGGTAAGCTTATCAAAGAAATCAAGAAGGTATACAACAGTATTCTAGGAAATTTTCTTTCAATGTGATTACCAGGGGCAGTGAGGAGGGGAAACCTTTCCTTTCTCAATAGGACCACATAAAGGAAACCTTTTATTAGACCCAATTACTATAATTACCACCAAATATTGAACATTTAGCTATATGCCAGGCTGTACATTAAGTGCTTGACATACATTACCTGGTACAATCTCTTCAATATCCCCATTTTACACATCAGGGAACTAAGGCCCAGAAAGGTTTTTAAAAGTTCACATCTGTCTAACTCCAGAGTCTCTAACCTCTTCACTACACTACAGTATCCTGCATTGCTTTCTAATTGTTTTATGTAGATGTTTCAGTTGCATAGATTTTAAATTCCCTAAAAAAGTAAAAGTTAAGTATTCTACTTACCCTAATAGCACCCTAAACCTAAGCCAAGTTCAGAGCACTAAAAAGGCTTTTAAATACATGCGTGACTGAACTTCAGTATCAAATAACTCATTTTCTGACTGTCCCATTTCTCCAAATCCTATCAAACTACCTGCTGAGGCATTTGAGCCCATTGCCACTTTCTAACGAGGGAGGCAAGAATGGGCACAACCCCACAGTGTCACTAAACACTCATGCCCTGCTTCATCTCTTGCACTGGGAACCCCAAGGCCATAGATGACTTAAACAAAACATGGCTGAAAGAGACACGCCCGATGCACATGCAGATTGTCCCCTAAATTGAGCACATGAATAAAACTTACCCAAAGTTTTCATAAGCATCCAAGTTTCTTGTGTGCCCAGAGCTAAACCCTAAATTGTAGGGCCCAAGGCTAAGTCAACATCCTATCGGCAAATTGGTGGAAAGTAGGGTCAAAACTAGGATTTGGATAGATGGGTAGATACACCGACTCAGTATTAGTTTTACCTAATGGAATATGGCTATGTTATTCAACCCAAACTGATGGAAAAAATTACCAGTTTTAACAACCAAATCCAGTTTTTAAATAACACAAAATCTAAGTATGCCAATTACGAACCACTTCAGCTCTTTCTTCCTCCCTCCTCTTCTTTCTCAAATTCCATATTCTTACTAAACCATTTCAATTTTACCATTATTAAGCATAGATTTTTTTTTTTTTTTGAGATGGAGTCTCATTCTGTCGCCAGGCTAGAGTGCAGTGGCACAATCTCAGGTCACTGCAACCTCTGCCTCCCAGGTTCAAGCAATTCTCCTGCCTCAGCCTCCCAAGTAGCTGGGACTACAGGCGCAGGTCACCATGCCCGGCCAATTTTTGTATTTTTAGTAGAGACGGGGTTTCACCATGTTGGCCAGGATGGTCTCGATCTCTTGACCTCATGATCCGCCCACCTTGGCCTCCCAAAGTGCTGGAATTACAGGCGTGAGCCACCACGCCCGGCAAGGATAGATTTTTTTTAATGAGAGAGGAAAAAAGATGAGGCATATAGATGTTTGTTTTCTTTTGACCAAAGGCAAATAAAGAGAAGAAAAACTAGAGAAAATAAGATTTAGAGCCTTTTTCTCTCATCTATACCACTTACCATCTGGGGGTTAAGAGCTAGTTTTACTTTCTGAAACCTCTGCAATCTCTTTAGGGACAGTTAGAGGCGCTAGGGCGCCTCACCCCTAATCCTCCCCAAATCCTTAGGTCTGAATTATTAAAATAATCTGTAATAGACAACTGTAAATAGGACCTAGAGTGAAAAATGCTACATGTGAATGTAATCAACTTTGTGGTGTTGGTATATCTAAAGATATGTCAATGTGGCACGAACCATATGGGGGACGGTGGGCACAGAGTTAGATGGGCAACTCTAGCAAGGTACCTACAAGCACTGTCTGGATAAGGAGGCCTGGCAGAGGGGCTCAACCCACCCAGTCCCTAATCTCAGAAGGATACATCAGAACGTGCAAATGGCAGCAGTCCCCTTGCTTAGAACTCAGACAAGCAACCTGTGATTATATTTTGGCTTACTTTTAATTTTTCTAAACAGAAAGTATACTCTGACCAGCAAAAATGAGTTTCTAGGCACTCTCAGTAGATCTGTCTCATTCTAAATAAATTGGCATTTCAGTTTACACAGCAGTCTGTATTAGCCAGGTTAATATTAAGGGAGGCGCTGCGGAGCTCAGGGGGCTGCTCTCTCAGGGTGCTGACAGAAATCAAGATTCTGCACCAACAAAAAGCACCATCAAGTAATGCTAGGCTGTGAGGTTGTTTCTATAGGTCACGCTTTTCTCTAGAAACAACCCTGCCTCATCAGGCCTCTGCCAACCTTTCACAACCTCCACCTAGGCTGAAGGTGGCTCCAGAAGCTACACACAGGCACCTCTTGCATGCCTTTTCATCAAACTGGCCTTCCAGATAGATCCTGGAGGGGAACCACACCAAAAAAAAAAGGAATTTGTGAAAGACTAAATACACTTGATCTTAGCCAAAAGGCCGAGAAGCGATGAAAGACTAAATAACAGCACAAGGCATAAGGCATAAGGCATGGCAATTCAGCACACGAAATGCAGGTGGGTGCCTAAAGATCTTCACCACTGCGGGGGTAACAAAGCCAGGCTATAATAGCAGATTTTGCAACGCCAGTCCCTTTTACTTTCTTAGAGATTAGATTGCCCTCTTGTGGGAAATAGGAGGGGAAAGTTTCACAGTATTTCCCCTTACCTTTTTCCATGATGGCTATAGATAGAACACATCCTGTCTCAGGGCAAGAGCTGACCATTACCATTTAGGAATGCAGTCACAATACTGTCACGTCTTTTGGTATTTCAGAAGAAACTAAAAGTACGGATTTTTTTTTTTTTTTTTTTTTTTTGAGACAGAGTCTGGCTCTGTCACCCAGGCTGGAATGCAGTGGTACAATCTCCGCTCACTGCAACCTCTGCCTCCCGGGTTCAAGTGATTCTCCTGCCTCAGCTTCCCAAGTAGCTGGAATTACAGGCGTGCATCACCATGCCTGGCTAATTTTTGTATTTTTAGTGGAAACGGGTTTTCACCATGTTGGCCAGGCTGGTCTTGAACTCCTGACCTCAGGTGATCCACCCGCCTCGGCCTCCCAAAGTGTTAGGATTACAGGTGTGAGGCGCCACGCCCAGCCCAGATATTTAAAACTCATGAGATTTTACATGTTAGCAGCCAATATGCACTTTTTAGAAAAAATATTTAGCAGGCACCCAGTTCGTGAGCTGGGCATGTTAGTCTGTAACAGAGTCTGGTGAGTCTGAAATACAGGTTGTCAGTATAGTTAATAACAACGTATGAATAAAGTTAGTATACAGAGAGTTAAACGTCCTCAGGATAGTTTGGTGAGCCTGGAACACAGGCAGCATGAGGAGGAATGGCTGGAAAGGTAGAGTAGGGGCTTGATTAAGGGTAGAATTTGTTCTGTAATCAATGGAGAACTATCAAAGGCTTTAAATTGGCAAAAATCACCGGGTACGGTGGCTCACACCTGTAATCGCAGCACTTTGGGAGGCTGAGGTGGGCAGATCACTTGAGGCCAGGAGTGCAAGACCAGCCTGGCCAACGTGGAGAAACCCTATCTCTACTGAAAATACAAAAACTTAGCTGGGCGTGGGGGTGGGCACCTGTAATCCCAGCTACTCGGCAGGCTGAGGCACAAGAATCCCTTGAACCTGGGGGGCAAGGTTGCAGTTAGCTGAGATCACGCCACTGCACTCCAGCCTGGGCAACAGAGCGAAACTGTGTCTCAAAAAAAAAAAAAAAAAGTTAATTAATTAAATTTTAAAAATTTAAAAAAAAATTGGCAAAATTGCCTGATAGGAGTTTTAGAAAAATTGCTATCGGAAATATCACTGACTAGCCCCAGATAGAGGAGTGAAAATAGAACCAAGTAGCTCAAAGAAGCCACCAAACATACTTTGAAACTACAAGATGCTTTGTCAGTGGATAGGATCTTCTTTCATAGATTTAAGACTTCCTCTGAGAGGGGCTTAGAGGCTCAGGAGGTCCACAGCTTTGTCACAGGTATTACCTACCTGTTGTCTCCTCCGTTCCTGGGGAACAACTGAATGTTGGACAACATCCAACCATAGAGGCTCTACATGAAAAATAAAGCCAGTGCTGCTGAGGGTCAGTGTTCCCTCTTCCTGCCGGGGTTAGGAAGTCAAGACCAATAAACAAGACCAGTGAAGAGACCTCAGAGATCGTGAAAACATAAAAACCTCCCCTTGAGTTTTCTCTAATACTTAAGGGGGTGGAGAGTAAACGATCCTTTCCTGAGAAAGATGTAAGGCAAATCAGAGCTAAAAAACGAGAGAGAGTACTTCTGCTGATGATGATGAAGGGCGTTAAGTGCTGGTGTCACGTGTCAAAGCTGCTTCCACACAACCCCTTCCAAAAAAGCCTAAGGACAGACAGCATCTTTACCTTGCTTCTTTTTAATCAATAACTAAAAAGATTTGCAAGTCTTAAAATTGTATCCCTTCCTATGTCAACCAGCCCGGAGTACAATGGCATGATCATGGCTTACCGCAGCCTCAAGCTCCTGGGCTCCAGCAATCCTCATGCCACAGCCTCCCAAGTAATTGGGACTACAAGTGTGCACCACCATGTCTGGCTAATTATTTTTGTTTTGTTATTTTTTGTTTTTGAGACAGAGTCTCATCCTGTCACCCAGGCTGGAGTGCAGTGGCGTGATCTTGGCTTACTGCAAGCTCCGCCTCCCGGATTCAAGTGATTCTCATGCCTCCACTTCCCAAGTAGCTGGGATTATGTGTGTGTACCACCACGCCCGGCTAATTTTTGTATATTTAGTAGAGATGGAGTTTCACCACGTTGGCCAAGCTGGTCTCAAACTCCTAACCTCGAGTGATCACCCACTTCTGCCTCCCAAAGTGCTGGGATTACAGGCATGAGCCATCACGCCTGGCCCTTTTTTTTTTTTTTTTTAAGAGACTGAGTATCACTATGTGGCCCAGGCTAGTCTGAAATTCCTGGCCTCAAACGATCCTTCTGCCTCAGCCTCCCAAGTTGCTGGGATTACAGATATGAGCCATGGCACCCAGACATATCTCTTCTTTTTGAAAAAACACACCTTTGTGTTTTTGAGGTTGACACTCAATGAAGTAACCATGTGTTTTTTAAAGTGTAGTCCATCACCCACCTGCATCTGAATCACCAAAGTTGTTAAAACTTGCAGATTCCTGAGCCTCAGACCCACAGAATTAAAGTGTATGAAGTAGGGCCCAGAAATTGGCATCCTTCAAACAGCTCTCCAGTTGATTCTCAGGTACACTGAAGGCTGAGAATACTGAAGATTCAGACATTCACATGCAGGGGAAGGGCACCATCATGAGAAAAGCTTTGTCCCTCTCCAAGGACAATAATATAAGATCCATTCCTGTGATAAAGCCATTAATGCAAGGCTATAAAAGCATAACCCGGCCAGGCATGGTGGCTCATGCCTGTAATCCCAGCACTTTGGGAGGCCGAGGCGGGTGGATCCACTGAGGTCGGGAGTTCGAGACCGGCCTGACGAACATGGTGAAACCCTGTCTCTACTAAAAGTACAAAAATTAGCTGGGCATGGTGGTGCACGCCTGTAGTCCCGGCTACTCAGGAGGCTGAGGCAGAAGAATCGCTTGAACCCAGGTGGCGGAGGTTGTAGTGAGCCGAGATTGCGCTACTGCACTCCAGCATGGGCGACAGAGCAAGACTCCTTCTCAAAAAATAAATATGTAAATAAATAAATAAAAGCATAACCCATGGCTTGAGAATGCCTCTAGCCCAGTGATTCTCAGGTGGGGGCAATTTTGCCCCCAAGGAAACATGTGGCAATGTGCAGACACATTTTTGATTGTCAAAAGTGGGGTAGGTGCCACTGGCATCCAGTGGGTAGTGGTCAAGGATACTGCTAAACACCCTACAATGCACAGGACAGGCCCCACAACAAAAAATGTCCATTGGTGCCACAGATTAGAAACCCTGCTCTAACCTAAGTTGAGCCTTTTCATAAATGAATACAGAAATGTAAACAAAAGTTATTATTTTTCGCTAGCCATTTTCTTTTAACTATCTAACATCTGACTTTTTTTTTTTTTTTTTTTTTTAGCTACCTAACATTTTTTGAGATACCTTTCGTTTGATGAATTCCCACCATATTCATCTTGTGGAAGGCAGTGCCCACCCGCCACTACAGAAACCAAAAAGTGAGACGCCCCTGACAACCACCCACCTTCCTCTGTGAGGCCTGAGCATGTGACCAAGGCCTGGTCAATCAGAAGCTCCCCTCTGCAACTTCAATGCAGACCAATTGGGCCTGGCATGGTGGCTCATGCCTGTACTCCTAGCACTTTGGGAGGCAGAGGTGGGCAGATTGCTTGAGCCCAGGAGTTTGAGACCAGCCTGGACAACATAGTGAGAACTTGTTGCAAGGCAAAGGCAAAGGGCAAAGGCAGAAAGAAGAGAGAAAGAAAAAGAAAAAAAAAGATCAATTGATGCCAAAAAATCTGGAGTGACACTGGAGAATACAAGGGGAGGGACAAGAATTGAAAACCTACCTATTGGGTACTCTGCTAACTTCCTGAATGACAGGTTCAACCACACCCCAAACCTCAGCATCACACAATATACCTTCATAACAAACCTGTACACATACCCACAGAATCTAAAATAAAAGATGAAAAAATATTTTTTTAAAAAACTGGGGTGACAGTGAAGAATTCATTCTACAGACAGGGACACTGGCAGCACCAGAGCATGGCCAGTGACAGTTGTTGCAGCTACAGCATGCTGCACCAGAGCAGGCCTTAGCGGCTGGCTCACCAGTCTCTGCAGAGTGATTTGGGCTGTGGCTCTGGCCTTCTGGCCTCTCCTATACCTGTCCATATTCCAACCTTGCCTCTCCACACTTCTGCAAACTGCCCCACAGCCTTTTGCTTAAACAAACCAGTGTCCATTTTAGTTACTTCAACCAAGAATCCTGAATAATATAACCATTCCAGGAGCTTTCCCTGGTCCATCATTTAAAAATATCCATGCCTATCTCCTACACCTTCTAATGCAAGGATTAAATGCCTAAGAAGCTAAGAACACCAAAACAAAAACCTTAAATCCACATGTGATGATTTCAGGCATGCACACAAGTGAACTACTGGCATAGAAAACATGGAACTGGCTGTGCACAGTGGCTCACGCTTGTAATCCCAACAATTTGGGAGGCCAAGGCAGGAAGATCACTTGAGCCTAGGAGGTGACGATGACCCTGGGCAACATGGCAAAATCTCATCTCTACAAAAAATACAAAAATTAGTCGGGTGTGGTTGTACACACCTGTAGTCTCAGCTACCTGGGAGGCTGAGGTGGGAGGATCACTTGAGTCTGAGAGTTTGAGGTTGCTGTGAGTCATGACTGCACCACTGCACTCTAGCTGGGGCAACAGAGCAAGACCCCATCTCAAAAAAAAAAAAACAAACAAACAAAAACACCACCACAGAACCATTCTCCATGTTTTTGTTTTTTATTGTACTATATCATGTAAAGTTATTTATGATTCTTCAAATTCTTTTTGGGGAAGAAAAGCCTCTTAAAATTCATTTCTAGATAGAGCAGTGGAAGAGAAACAGGAAGTCTTGATTCATGTAAGTGTCAGAATTTCAGGAACTGCCATCGTTGGCAGGAAGGTGCAAAGAAGGCTTCCAAGACCAGAACCCAGTTTAGGAACAGCTCCAAGGTGGGTGTGAAGTGGTACATTAGAAGAGAAACATGGGTCATTCCAGCTTTGCAATGGAACGTGTTTCAAAAGTCAATACACGCTGTTGGAAGCCTGAAATACATTTCCCACAAAAGTATTGCTTCACGTCATGGCTAGAGTCCCAGGCTAGCCCATAAAAGCCTCCTTAACATGAACTGCTACATGCAGACATAATCAGGGGACGTTGTGGAAACAACAGATGAAGGTTTTTAATACAGTACCCAAAAGTTATCCAAGGACTCTCAGAAAAGCAGAGGCACCAGGTAAAAAGGCAGATTCAGTAGGAGCAGTGGTTAGAGACAGGACGCTGAAGTCTGGGTATGTGCTTTATATGTTAAATATAGCTGCCTTAAGAACCTTCTTATGCCGGGCATGGTGGCTTACACCTGTAATCCCAGCACTTTGGGAGGCTGAGGCTGGTGGATCACCTGAGGTCAGGAGTTCGAACCCAGCCTGACCAACATGGAGAAACCCTGTCTCTACTAAAAATACAAAATTAGCCAGGCTTGGTGGCGGGCACCTGTAATCCCAGCTACTGGGGAGGCTGAGGCAGGATAATCACTTGAATTTGGAAGGTGGAGGTTGCAGTGAGCCGAGATCATGCCATTGCACTCCAGCCTGGGCAACAAGAGTGAAACTCCATCTCAAAAAAAAAGAAAAAAAAAAGAACCCTCTTAATTTTCTTGGTTTTTCAAGTGCATATGGATCTCAGCTTATTCTTCATATCACATGTACCCATAGCTCTCTGTAGAAGCCTTTCAAGTCCGATGATCATATTAAAATAAATGCTCTTCTTTGCTGAGACATTAATGACAAATTAAGAAAAGAAAAAAGGCTCTTCTGTCTTTCCAGAAATCTAGGTTTCTAGTGTTGAAAGTGATCCTAGAGATAATTTTGTCAAACCTCCTGCCCAATGTAGGAGCCCTTTCCATAGCATCTCACAGACACACACCCAACACAAGAGTCAGAAA
Organism: Homo sapiens; assembly: GCF_000001405.40. Lineage (NCBI taxonomy): Eukaryota > Metazoa > Chordata > Mammalia > Primates > Hominidae > Homo > Homo sapiens. Next base: position 19,019,435 of record NC_000009.12, read on the forward strand.
AAGTATACTTCGGCCGGACAAGGTTGGCTCACACCTGTAATCCAGGCACTTTGGGAGGCCAAGGCAGTTGTTTACCTTGAGGTCAGGAGTTTGAGACCAGCCTGGCCAAAATGGTGAAACCCCACCTCTACAAAAACTACAAAAATTACCCAGGCATGGTGGTGCATGCCTGTAATCCCAGCTACTCGAGGGGCTAAGGCAGGAGAAATCACTTGAGCCAGGGAGGCAGAGGTTGCAATGAGCCCAGACGGCACCACTGCACCCCAGCCTCGGCGACAGTGAGACACTGTCTCAAAAGAAAAAAGAAAGAAAGAAAAAGTAGTCTACTTCAATTTCTTATGGTTCTAACTGTTGCAAAATTCTTTATTAGTATTGACCCCAAATCCACTTTCACGCAATGACCACTCATGGGTCTTGGTTCCACATTCTGAACAACCCAGAACAAGTAAAAGCCCTCTTCTGTAAACTACAGCATTCAAATACTACGTTATTATCCATCTATCTCCTGCTGTTGTCAAGTTCAAGTTTTCTCACTTTCAGAATGCATTCCATATAAACTGGCCATCCTGGTCACCAGCAGGTATTATTAAAAAAAAAAAAAAAAGTGTCCACGTGGAAAGCATCCTTCAGTTGTGGTCTGACAAAGCAAAAGTCCAATGACTGGACACTCTACCTCCATTGAGCGTAGCACTAAGTTAATGCTTCTTCACAGCCACATCATACCCTCAGATCACATAAAACTGTAGTGAAGTAAAACCCCAAGATCTTTTCACAAACTGAAAAGGCCAAGATAAACCACCTCCATTATGACTATGTGTAATTGATTTTTCATCCCAAATGTAAAACTTCATGCTTACTCTTGCTAAGTTCCAGTTTGTTTGGGGCCCAGCATTTCAGCCTGTCGAAATAATTTTTTTTTTTTTTTGTGAGACAGGGTCTTGCCTTGTTTCCTGGGCTGGGATTCAGTGGTGCGATCTCAGCTCACTGCATCACTGCAACCTCCGCCTCCAAGGCTCAAGCCATCCTCCCACCTCAGCATCCCCAGCACCTGGGACTACAGGCACGCACCACCATAACCAGCTAATTTTTTGTTGTTGTATTTTTTGTAGAAACAGGGTTTCACCATGCAGCCCAGGCTGGTCTTGAACTCCTGGGCTCAAGTGATTTGCCCACCTCAGCCTCCAAAAATGCTAGGATTACAGGTGTGAGCCACTGGGCATAACCAAGATAATTTTGAATCTTCATTCTGTCATCTATTATGCTTGCTATGTTCTTCTCACTTTGTGTTCTCAGCACACTTGATAAGGATGTCTTCTGTGTCTTCATCCAAGTTTTGATTAAAAATGTTGAACATGACAAAGCTAACAATAGAGTTCTAGGGCATGGGGATATTGTTCCAGTATCACTAACAATGGTGACATTGTTTTAAGCAGGTAAAAAGCCATCTGTTGAAACTCTTCTGGCCTGCTTGTTCAATGACCTGGGAATCCACCTAACCTAATATTGTCATCCAACCCATCTTTCACTAGCTTTATCCACAAGATTATCTTGGCAAGAATTGTTGCAAGGCCAATTGTTTCCTCTTAATTATTTTCTTCCAAACTACATCTTTATTACCTAAAACTGCTCTCCTCTAGCTGCCCAGTTTGTTCTATGTGACCTCACCCCTCCTGATGCTCAGCTGATTAGACCACAGGAGACAGCCTCATGCCAGAAGAGCCACCTGTCACAGGCTGGACCCAACCAGGAGCTCTTTTCTGTGGAATTTGGAAACAGCACATTAAACTCTTTAGTTCTCTGAAATGAGAAGTGGTATGAAGCTAGGGCTGGGGTAGCCACAGACAGCCAACGTGCAGAGGAAGTCAGAGTACCCAGAAGAAAACAGATCAGACACCGCAAGAGCCATAAGGTCCGAGAAAGACACATACTCCCAACTAGCCATTAAATACTTTTGATGAACTCAGGAAAACATCTGTCCACCTTCAGGTCTGTGCCCCATGTCCCCTTTTCCCTGACTTCTCTTGAGGTCGCCAGCAGAGGCTGTAGAAGACCTCTGCAGACACCTTCTGGGCCCTGACATGGAAGTTCTCTGGACCTGAAAAAACACCGCTATAGATGATGGGAATCCCACTGTCTGAGGATCACTGATTTTTGACAGTCTAGAGATATTCAAGGACCTGAACAAGTTCACAAAGCTTGTAAGTAATTAAATCCAGGACTGCAATCCCAACAGTCATAGTGAGAGGTGAAGCCAGCTGAGCTTCTGGGTCAGGTGGGTACTTGGAGAACTTTTGTGTCTAGCTAAAGGATTGCAAATGCACCAATCAGCACTCTGTAAAACTGCACCAGTCAGCAATCTGTGTCTAGCTAAAGCATTGTAAACGCACCAATCAGCACTCTGTAAAATGGACCAATCAGCACTCTGTAAAATGGACCAATCAACACTCTGTAAAATGGACCAATCAGAAGGATGTGGGCAGGGCCCAGTAAGGAAATAAAAGCTGGCCACCCAAGCCAGCAAGGGCAACCTGCTCAGCAGTGGCAACTGGGTCGGGTCCCCTTCCCCATTGTGGAAGCTTTGTTCTTTTGCTCTTCACAATAAATCTTGCTGCTGCTCACTCCTTGGGTCCGCACTATCTTTATGAGCTGTAACACTCAGTGTGAGTTTCTGTGGCTTCATTCCTGAAATCAGCAAGACCACGAACCCACGGGGAGAAACGAACAACTCCGGAGGCGCCACCTTTAAGAGCTGTAACACTCACTGCAAAGGTCTGCAGCTCCACTCCTTAAGTCAGAGAGATCACCAACCCACTGGAAGGAAGAAACTCTGGACACATCTGAACATCTGAAGGAACAAACTCTGGACACACCATCTGTAAGAACTGTAACATTCACTGCGAGAGTCTGCGGCTTCATTCTTGAAGTGAGTGAGACCAAGAATCCACCAGAAGGAACCAATTCCAGACACAATAGCATGTTCTTCCCCTAATATTACTCACTGCCCTCCCATGTGAAGCAAGATAAAGAACAGGGTATTCAATTGACTCTGCTCTTCATTTGGAGCTGTTGTTCACAGATTGTATGTAGAGTTTTTTTCATTTGCAGAAGACTTGAAATGCATCATACTTGAAAGAGAAATTGGACCATTATGGGGAAAGATAGTGATTTTTAAAAATAGTTACTCATAATGGGTAGTTTCTAAAAGTTAAGTTATTGACCAGCACTGGGAGAAACTTAACTGATTTTTTACATTACAACCCCAATTTGTTAACATTAGAATGAAGGGCTTTTGGATAGTCTAGATATTTAAAATATAAGGATATATTTTGCTTAGCAGCTAATTTGACAGCCATTTAGAAACATTTTTCTTTCCTTTTAGAGAAACAACCAGAGAAACTTCAAAGTTACTTTGAACAAGCTGGTAAAGACAATAAAACAGAATAGTAGGGTATGCTATGCAGGGAGTACGTCTTTAATCCCCAGAGTCATTGTTTTGAAGACTTGCAAAGTTCAAAACTGAACAGCAACTTAACCTTAGTGTTTGTTAATGTCAGTATGAACTCACAAAGCCTAATAAATGCTGGACTCAAGTGTAGGCATCCCAGAAAGGGCAGAGAGCCTCCCAGAGTATAAGGAGTAGATGAAGTCTTTGCAAACCATTCTTATCATCAATATTTAATCAAGCCCCCCAAACACCAGATTACATCCCCCCCCACCCCCCCGCCCCACCGGAGTTAATTCTCTGCAGGGCATTTTTTATTACATGCAAGTTAGTAAACAATCCTAACTCTCTTCTCTAGGGTGCGAGCTCCACAGAGCTGCTGGCAGGATCTCCCACTCAGACTCAAGTGCTCAGGCAAGTACACTTCTTCATTCTTCATTGCCTAGAACAGACCTTTATGCTTATTTAATAACATCTACCTATGCCTTACTGTGGATGCACGCATTGTTCTACTTGCTTAATACTGATTCAATCCTCTCAATAACTCTGTTGAGTCAGGTTCTATCTCCCTTTTACTGATGAGAACGCTGAGGTACACAGAAATAGAAACTTCACTGTGAAATGGTTTAACATGACACAGTTAGGGAGCAGAAAGGCTGGGATTTGAACCAAGATAGGCTGGCTCCACAGTCTGCGCTTGGAACTGCAATACTCTGCCACTTCTCGTAGTCAATCATCACTTAATCATGTGTTAAATCAAGTTAAGAAAAGTGACAAGAATGGAATGGAGATAATATATCTTTAAGGAAATATTAGCAAACTACAAATCCACTCAGAAAAACCAAAACATTAACAGATTTAAAGTCAGCCTAATTCAGATATTGGGCATTTCTGAAGAAGAAAGAAGGAAGGAAGGGAGGGAGGAAAGCAAGGAAAGGAAAGAAAGGAAGGAAAGGGAGGAAAGGAACGAAGGAACGAACAAAGGGGGCCAGGCACAGTAGCTCCTCACACCAGCACTTTGGGAGTCCGAGGTGGGAAGATTGCTTGAGCCCAGGAGTTTGAGACTAACCTAGGCAACATAGTGACACCTCATCTCTATATTTTAAAAAAGAAGAAGAAATGCTACTCTTTAAGGCTTTTTTTTTTTTTTTTTTTTTTTTTTTTTTGCGGGGGAAAAGACTATTTATCTATGTTACTCTCCAGCTCAAAATCCATCCATGGCTCTTTGCTGGCGAGTTCACATTCTGAGACATGTAAGAGTCCCTCTGCAATTTGCCTCCAGCAAGCTTCCGGCACGATCTCCTGCAGGCTCAAGTACTCAGGCAGACATGATGTCTTCCGTGTCTCTCTGACTGCCCTGCCCTGCAGCAAGGGCAGCCGCACTAAACCCCAACATACCCTTTCCTCCAGGGCCTGTGCTCCTCTCCCGCCTAATCCTCACACCAACCTTAAGAATATCGCAAGGACAAAAAACCAAACACCGCATGTTCTCACTCATAGGTGGGAACTGAACAATGAGAACACATGGACACAGGAAGGGGAACATCACACACCGGGGACAGTTGTGGGGTGGGGCGAGGGGGGGAGGGATAGCATTAGGAGATATACCTAATGCTAAATGACGAGTTAATGGGTGCAGCACACCAACATGGCACATGTATAGATATGTAACTAACCTGCACGTTGTGCACATGTACCCTAAAACTTAAAGTATAATAATAATAAAATTTAAAAAAAAGTGGCAGAGCCAGCATTTGAAACCAGGCAGTCTCACTCCAGCTTCACTTTCCTCATCACTTCTCCATCCTAAAGCCTTCCCCGGCTACCCCATCCCAAAGCGCCTCTCCCACCCCTCACATCCTACATCACTTGTTTTATTGGTCTCATTCATCTAAGGGTAGCTGTTTCCACCCCTCCACCACCCATCCCGAGACATGTCATCTTTCCAAATAAACTATAAATCACCTGAAGGTCAGTAATAAATATTTTAATATCAATGGAGGGAATGACGTTTAAAACTGCCCACTACAGAACAGAATCAGAACATGTTACTCTGAACGGATCCATCTGCAGACTATAAGGTCGAATAGATCATGTTTACTGCTGTAATTGGAATATGAAGTTGTACTCTAATAATATCTGAAATTTGACATATACCCACTTGTACTCATTTTATAAGATGAAAGGTATTTATGAACAATTAAACATTAATTCTGATATCCAAAAAAGGCCATTTTTAAGGAGCATAACATAGCTTAACATGAAAAGTACATGAAATCTACAATAAAAATTCAATCTTAACGTGAAAGTTTTTCTTTTTTTTCTTGGCATCTCTATCTGGATTCTGCTAAAGATAAGTCATCAGCAAGTATCTGTTAAAGGCTGTTCTTTGTGTTTTTTTTCCTTAATCAGAATTTATGAAGTCAATTTTATTTAAATTAAAAATAAGAATTCTTCTTAAAACATGTAATATGAAACCAAGTCCTCAATTTTTTTTCCTTCCTCTTAATGTGTAACAGAGACTCTAAGAAAATAAAATCTAAGGTTAAGGAAATTTCCATCGATATGAAGAAAATATTTTCCAAAATTAAAATAACAAGTTCCTCCCTGGTTAACATAACTGATTTAAGTTGCAGATACATGGCTGCCCCTGAGATCACCTTCCTCCACAAGCTCTGTGAAAGGGCCAAATCCACATCCTTTTCAGCAATTTTTGAGTCCTCTATGGGACTACCTTTTTTATGAAATGCTGCACATACTACCAATGCTTCATAAATATTTCATGATACATTAACCAGTCCTGGAATTTCCTGCAAGATTGCACAAAATCTTTAAAATGGTGCACTGTAAGCTGTAAAATAATCAGATATAAAAGTAAGCTATATCAATCCCTTCATTAACAATTTTTTACAAGAATTTTAGAAAAAGTAGTGTTACTACATTTTAATCTCAGGAGGGAGATTTGCTATTTATATTACTTTACTAAAAGGCTTTTAGAATTACACTTTTTTTTTTATATCAGATACTATTTTCTCAGTTGGACCAGAGCCTTCATATTGTACTCTACAATCAAAAATGGCCCATTGTGGGAGTTGGGGGAACTAATTAAGTTGGTTAATGGATACAAAAATAAGTTGGATAGAAGAAATAAATTACAGTGTTTGATAATACAGTAGGGTGACTATAGTTATAATTTGCCATATATTTCAAAATAGCTAGAAGATTATTTGTAAGCTTCCCAATACAAATAAATGATCAATGTGTGAAGTGATAGATATGCTAATTACCCTAATTTGATTGTTACATGTTATATGAATATATCAAAATGTCACTTGTACCCCAGAAATATGTACAATCATTATGTATCAATTTTTTAAATGGTCCAGTGTGACTCGAAAATAGACCAGACTATAAATTTTAACACCTAGCAGTGTCTGATACCCAGTAAAATATGAATAAAATTTAATTGATTGACCTAAATTGTGCCTGAAGCTTAACATGTTCCCATATATTAAAATTAATCTCAATGTTTCTATTTCCTTATCTGTAAAATAAAAGAGCTAGAGACCACTAAGATCCCTTTCAGCTTTAAAAGTCTGATTAACGTTTTACTTTACAGCAACCCTGCCTTGCGCCACCCACTCCCCCACCTAACCACAGTTTCAAATTTAGTCATCTGGGAAAGAACAGCTCAATAGACTGAAAACATCGCCAGGGAAAAGAGAGGCTAAAATCAAGGAATCGAATTTCCAAACTAAGCAATGCTTCCCATGTTGAGGGACCCACAGTAAGATAATAATATATGGGAAAATACTTTTTGAATTTTCAAAATACTGTAAAGATGGAAGGTGGTTTAATATTATAAAATGCTGGGCCGGGCGTGGTAGCTCACACCTGTAGTCTGAGCACTTTGGGAGGCTGAGGTGGGTGGATCACAAGGTCAGGAGTTCAAGACCAGCCTGGCCAACATGGTGAAACCCCATCTCTACTAAAAATTCAAAAACTAGAAAAGAAGATGGCAACCGTGTGGGATGAGGCCAAGCAAGATGGAACTGGGGTGGAGGTGCTCAACATGTCCACGGAGGAGATCATCCAGCGCACATGGCTTCTGGACAGTGAGATCAAGATCATGAAGAGTTAACTGTTGAGAGTCACCCATGAGCTCCAAGCCATGAAGGACAAGATCAAAGAGAACAGTGAGAAAATCAATGTGAACAAAACCCTGGTGTACCTTGTCTCCAACATCATCGAGCTCCTGGATGTTGATCCCAATGATCAAGAGGAGGATGGTCCAAATATTGACCTGGACTCCCAGAGGAAGGACAAGTGTGCTGTGATCAAAACCTCTACACGACAGACATACTTCCTACCTGTGATTGGATTGGTGGATGTTGAAAAGCTAAAGCCAGGAGACCTGGTGGGTGTGAACAAAGACTCCTATCCAATCCTGGAGACACTGCCCAGAGTACGACTCGCGGGTGAAGGCCACAGAGGTGGATGAGAGACCCACGGAGCAATACAGTGACACTGGGGGCTTGGACAAGCAGATCCAGGAACTGGTGGAGGCCACTGTCTTGTCAATGAACCACAAGGAGAAGTTTGAGAACTTGCGGATCCAACATCCAAAAGGGGTGCTGGCCCCCAGGGACGGAGAAGACCCTCCTGGCCTGGGCCTGTAGGGCACAGACTAAGGCCACCTTCCTAAAGCTGACTGGCCCCCAGCTGGTGCAGATGTTCACTGGAGATGGTGCCAAGCTAGTCCGGGATGCCTTCGCCCTGGCCAAGGAGAAAGCGCCCTCCATCATCTTCACTGATGAGCTGGATGCCATAGGCACCAAGCACTTTGACAGCGAGAAGTCCGGGGACCGAGAGGTGCAGAGGACGATGCTGGAGCTTCTGAACCAGCTGGATGGCTTCCAGCCCAACACCCAAGTTAAGGTAATTGCAGTCACAAACCGGGTGGACATCCTGGACCCCGCCCTGCTACGCTAGGGCGGCCTGGACCGCAAGATCGAGTGCCTGGGCCAGAATCATGCAGATCCACTCCCAAAAGATGAACGTCAGTCCTGACGTGAACTGCGAGGGAGCTGACCCGCTGCACAGATGACTTCAACGGGGCCCAGTGCAAGGCTGTGTCTGTGGAGGCGGGTATGATCGCACTGCGCAGGGGTGCCACGGAGCTCACCCACGAGGACTACATGGAAGGCATCCTGGAGGTCCAGGCCAAGAAGAAAGCCAACCTACAGTACTACGCCTAGGGCACGGCAGGCCAGCCCCGGACTCGCGGCTGAAGTGCGCAATAAAAGATGGTTTAGAGGCAAAATAAAACAAAACAAAAAAAATACAAAAATTAGCCGGCCGTAGTGGCGGGCGCCTGTAATCCCAGCTGCTCGGGAGGCTGAGGCAGGAGAATCGCTTGAGCCCGGGAGGCGGAGGTTGCAATAAGCCAAGATCGCGCCATTGCACTCCAGCCTGGGCAACAGAGCGAGACTCCGTCTCAAAAAAAATAAAAAATAAAACTCTTCGGAGTAGCATTTTTTCAATAACAGGAAATGCTGGAGATAATCAGATGCAATTGGAAACATTATACTCTCATATACAAAATTAGAGTTACTCTATTCAAAGCACTCCCCCACCATGTAGCTTCTTAAGTCAAGATAATTAAGTGGTACATTAGTTTCAAAAAAAATTTAGATGCTGACCTTACTGTTTCTGCAAACCACAATACTCTGCTTTTTTGGTGCTGATTATGTTGAAAAGAGAATATTATGACATTCTATGGTAATAATTCCAATTGCAAGATTTTGATCTTCAAGGAAAGAAGTAGAGCATTGTTGTGGAGGCAAAGCCTTGAGCTTGACGCAGTAAAATATGTCTGATTTTTTTTTTAGCCCAGCAAAGCTCACTGAAAAGTTTTACAAGTGATTGGAATCTTTAAATTTAGACATTTGAAACACTTTTCACTTCGTAATCTGCCATCTACTCTGAAAGGCGTACCACTTTCCTGAGCTCTGCTGGACCCTAAACTCTAATTGCTCATTTTAGAAAACTAAAGATAAATCTATTTAAAAATAAAATAAAATCCAGAACTCCAAAGGTTTTGCTTTTCCATTCAGGCTGATTTGGTTTAACCCGCAGTGAGAATTGATCAGGAAACGTCTGCCATCTTGTGGCCAAATATAAGAACTTGCTCCAAGAGAGTCACCCATTGGTGGCTTTTCCTCAGCAGCTGTGGGCAGCTGCTCCTGCAGATGGACACCTTTTTATCCAGGCCTCTGAGCATCTCCAGAGCCCACTCGCCAACAAGTACAATGTCCTCAAAAGTTAAAGTTGAAAGGACATTAAAGAATTATTTGCTCAAGAAAAACTTCGGAAGAAGAGAATGTGAGAGAGAAGGGGGAATAAATGTGCCTCTCTCCCTCCCTGGCAGCCCTGAGGGTCTCCACAAATCTCCAGGATTAAAAAATGGGGGAACTGAAGCCCAGAGAGAACCAGTGACTCACTCAGGAACCCCGGTCTCCCCCTCCCACTCAAGGGCGCTGTCTCTGACTTCTTCATGCATGCTTGTCTTCCAGATTTCCCATTGCTTTTTCCCATGACCTCAGACTGGAAAAGCCAAATATAGACTTCCACAGCTTAGAAAACACCTATAAAATTCCTCGCTCCATCCCAACCGGTCACTGAGCAGATTTAATTGGGGTGGGAGGGATTTAATTGGGGTGGGAGAGATCAAGACTTCCAAATAATGAGACTCAAGATCAGTGTTGTCCAACAGAACTTTCCGCAGTGATGGAAACACTCCCTATCTGCATGTGCCGGTATGGGAGTGACTATACTCGAGTAGCTACTGAGCACTTGACATGTGGCTTGTGCAGCTGAGAAACTGAATTTTTAGTTTTATTTAACTTTCATTTATTTAAATGAAATTGCCACAGCTGGCTACCATACTGGACAGTACATCTCTAAATCTTACATTCCTAACCCAGTCCAGCATGTTATGACCTTGACAAACAAAAAACGCCATCCATTCATTCAAAAAGATATGTGTTAGCTGTTAATAAAGAAAACTGTGTTGCTATGATACAGTGCACACACAAAAATAGAAAATATCTGTTTTCCCAGCGTACATATAATTAATCGAGGATATAAAGCATGCTGATGCATAGAGGATGAGAACACGGAGCGGGGTTTTTCTTTGATGGGGAGCCACAGGGCTGGGTTAACAGGGAACTTGCAAGTGAAACCGGGCCTTACAAGTCCAGCAGGAGGAGGGAACATAGGTATTTTAGAGAAAGGGAAAGGATAAGGATCAGAAAAGGGACATCAGCAGGTCCACTCAGGGGATGCCAAGAAACCTGATCCAATTCAAGGTGTAGTTTCATGTAAGGGAATCATGGGAGAAAAAAAAACTAGGAAGGTAATTTAGGACCAGTTTCCAAACACAAAAATGAGAGAACCAGGGAGGTTGTAACCGGAATAAAAGGGAAGGGACCAATTAAAGAAAGATTACAATGGAGGAGGGACCCAGACTTTAGAAAAGAGTCAATGTGCCAGGCTCGGTGGCTCACGCCTGTAATCCCAACACTTTTGGAGGCCAAGGTAGGTGGATCATTTGAGGTCAGGAGTTTAAGACCAGCTGGCCAACATGGTGAAACCCCATCTCTACTAAAAATGCAAAAATTAGCCCAGCATGGTGGTGGGTACCTGTAATCCCAGCTACTTGGGAGGCTGGGGCAGGAGAATCGTTTGAACCCAGCAGGCGGAGGTTGCAGTGAGCAGAGATCGCGCCACTGCACGACAGAGTAAGACTCCATCTCAAAAAAATAAAAAAAATAAAAAAATAAGAAGAAGAAAAAGATTCAATGTTCTGTTTGAGGGAGAGTAAGAGATGATTCAAAATTTTCACCCAGGGTGAATGGAAGATTGCTGGCACCATGAATGGGGCAGATACCAGAATAATGTTTGAAGGTTGTTGAAGTTGAGATTAATGAGACAGATGGATCACCAAAGCACTTTGAGAAGATGAAAATGAAACTGGAATTCAGAAGACAGGAGAAACTATTGGCTGAAACCATAAAATGGAGGAGAAAATACAGGATGAGGAGAGAAGAAAAGGAGAAGAGACACAAGAACAGACTCTGCTTCCAATGGAAAGTGACTCCTTTGCAGGGACAGAATGAGAACAGAGTCAGAGAAGGAACACCCAAATGAGTCATAACCCTACTGCAGGGGCAGGAGGGAGACTTCTCACTATATATGCTCTGCACCTCTTAATGAGCATTCTGCCTTCCTACCTAGACTGCACGCTGTGCAAAGATGGAGACTATGTCTTATACATTCAATCCCAATGCCTAGAACAATGCAGGAGGACACAGGAGGGTAATGTAAAGCATCCCAGTAGAAAGAAGGCCTTAGTGGCTCATGCCTGTAATCCCAGCACTTTGGGAGGCCGAGGCAGGCGATCACCTGAGATCAGGAGTTCAAAACCAGCCTGGACAACATGGTTGAAACCCTGTCTCTACTAAAAATACAAAAATTAGCCAGGCATGGTGGCATGTGCCTGTAATCCCATCTACTCAGGAGGCTGAGGCAGGAGAATCACTTGAACCCTGAGGCATAGGTTGCAGTGAAGCGAGATGGCACCACTGCACTCCAGCCTGCGCAACAGAGCAAGACACTGCCTCCAAAAAGAAAAAAGAAAGGCGGCCTTAGAAAAAAAGGTTTTGCTTGGTAACATGTAGTCCTAGACTATACACTGCTCTGGCCCCACTTAACAAAGCTCAAAAGCAAGACCCACGTTTGTACATGATCTAGTTCAGTGAGTCCCAGTCCTAGCAAATGGCCAGAATCACCTTTAGACAGTTGACAGGGCCCACTCTGAGAGTATCAATTCAACGGCCTGAGCAACTGATAGTTTTCAAACTCCCTGTGTGATTCTAATCAGCAGCCAGAGTTGGGAACCATTTATTGATGCCAGAGATATAGAAGGTTGCTGATCCAGTTTTTAGAGTGCCCTTTAATTCTCCACACTACTGATACCATTTTTATATGCATGTGTCATATTTGCCCTTTTTTCAGATTTCAGGACACTAACATATTAAGCACAATCCATGTACCAGGACTCACATACATGATCTTAACTCTTACAATAGTCCTATGAGGTACGTATTGTTGGTACAGATGAGGCGACTATGACCTGGAGTTTAGTTACCAATCTAAGATCCCACAATTAATGACAGCCCAGGAAAGGTGACCTCAGAACCCTCTTGCCTGTTGCTCCTCTGCTGCCCACTCCCTGCCCCAGCCAAGCAGAAACCCAGCTGCCCTGGGAAGCAGATAGAAGGAGCCTCTAAGAGATCATGTGAGTGACAGCAGACCAGTCAGCCCGTGGGACTCTGACTAAAGTCCATGATTTCCCCCAGGACCACCTTTACTGCGCTTCCACCCAAAGATGGTCCTTAAAGGTTAGAAGGGAGACCTGGCAGGCCAGGCGACTGTGAAAGTAATGTTTTCATTATCCTTATTCAACTCTACACAATGTGGAACAAGTTTTACTAATACCTTATACTTCTCTGACAAAGTAACAATCTCTCTGAATGAGAAATTCAGTTATACTACAGGAATTCTCCTCCCATCCTATCACTTTCCCAAAAGGAGCAAGACTGGTCCCACTGGGCCAGGTGTTCTCCCTCCTTGGCTGACACTTTCTGGGCTTCAGGGAAGGGAGTGCAGACTGCGCGGTCACGCCCATTTTCAACCCTCCTGCAGTTCTCAAGTGAAGCGGCACAGAAGGCCCGAAAACAGCCACATTCGCCAGAACTGATGTGGCGTCCGCGGGCACAACGCTAGTTGACACAATTGTGGCTTAAAAAACGTAGCAAGTGGACGAACCCACCGTGATGCCGCCTGATGAAGCAGCTGGGGGAGGCTTCCCTTCCTCGGGAGTCTGAAAACCCAGGCTCCCCCAGCCTTGCCCTGGGCGTGGCCACCTTACCCGCAGGAGCACAGTTCACAGATGCACTTCGTCTTCATAGGGGCGATCCTGAGGCCCTGACGTCCCCTCAGAGCATCGCCAGCTGCAGCCGACTCCTAGACCCCAACCACCTGTCTTGGGGCACGCCCAGGCTCGAGGGTCTTGGCAGGTGTTCTGTTTACTCGAAGGAAAATTTAAGTGGCCCTTTTGCAATGTCCTGTCGTCTGTTGCCCTCCTGGAGCTGGCCTAGCGCGAGGTAGCAGCAGGGGGCTTGCACGCGCGCCAGCCCGGGAGACCTCACCCTGCACGCCACCGCCCCGGCCTCCGCAGTCCAGACTTAAGCACCTGGAGCGGCTGACTGGGCCCCAGGAAGCTGCGGGGTCCGTGCCCAGGTAGCCTCTGTGATGTCGCCAGGGCCAGGAGGGGCACGCCTCAGGTGGCAATTACATCACAAGAGCCGCTTGTGAGGTCGGGAAGCTCCCAGCACCTCACTGGCAGGCCCAGGACAGGGGTTCCCCGGTGAACCTTGGAAAAACCTGAAAAAGGTGGAAGTCACTAGAAAGCTCCTGGTGCAGTAAACGGTCACACGTGCAGAAAAGCTGAAAACTCCCTCACCATCACCTTGGGTGGCATTTGCTATCTCTAGGATCCATGGTGCCCCCTCTTAGGGGAATACAGCCTTGACTTCCAAAAGGCTTGCCTTGAACAGGGTTTCCAGATCTTCCTGTGGAAACCTAGGCCTTTGGCTTCAGATGTCTGTTAGAATTGCTCTCACCCACAGACCTGCGCTCTTGAGAACACAGTGGTTTAAGAGCGCCCAGGCCTTCACTGCTCAGGTGGGTTCTCAATCACTTCTCCAGATGCTGGTAATGATGCCTTGAAGCAGGCGTTCTCAAATTCTAGTTGGCATCAGGACCACCTGGCTTGATGAAAACCAGATTGCCAGACCCCACCCCCAGTTTCTGATTCAGTGTTTCTAGGGTAGGCCAAAGACTTGCATTTCTTACAAGCTCTCAGGTAATGCTGGTTCTGCTGGGCCACGGACCACACTTTAAGAACTACAGCTTTTGAGGTTCCTTTACACCCCCTGGAATAGTGTTTCTTCAGCTTACCTGATCCCGAGAGCACACCCCCACCCAGAAGTCTCCCTTGCATCAAAACCTCTAGTCCGGGAATCTAGCTTCAACAAGAAGCCAGGTGATTCTGGTCATGAAGCAAGTTCAAAAGACACTGCTCTGGCCAGTTGTTTGGACTTAAAACATTTTGACTTCCTGCTTATGGGAAATGGGAGCTTAAAGTATTGACAATCTTTATGCTTTTCTTTCCTATGCTTCCTAACTCTTTCCATTCATTTTAGTGAATGAGTCAGTCAGAGGCATCTTGGACTGCAAGACACTTAATATTCAGAGGGTTTCTTTTTGTGTGGGGGGGGTTAGGTTTTTTCCTTCAGTAATAGGCTCTAGAATAGAGGTCAGCAAACTATTGTCTGCAGTTGGCCACTTGACTCTATCTGGCCATTGAGCTAAGAATGGTTTTCATATTTTTTAATGGTTGAAAAAATTAAAATAATAATATTACATGACAAATGAAACTTACCTAAAATTCAAATTTCAGTGTCTGTGAATAAAGTTTTGAATTTTTTCAAAAAATTTGTGTAAACATTCCCGATTTTGCCTCTTGGCCCACAAAAGCTAAAATATTCACTATCTGACATTTTACAGAGAGAGAGTTCCAACCCCAGTTATAGGAAGTCAGCAAGGTAGATTCAGACAGGAGCAAAGCTTATTGATCATTCTTAAGAACAGTGGGGTGGGAAGCTGCTCCTTGCCTTCCCAGTAGGAAGTCAGAACTCTACAGGGGAGGATGGAAACATGGCCAGACAAAAAAGAGGTGGGAGCTATTGGAAGTCAAAGCAAAACCTGCATGCCATCCATTGCCATTGACAGAGAACATCACACAGTCCTTACAGAGGAAATACAGTGCTGGACACCAGCCTTCTCTTGATGGCTGCCTAAACATTATCCATAAATCTTTCAGCAGAAGAATGCCTGTTCATGCCCCCTGCCATTCAAACTGCCCTTGTGGGTGGCCACCTTGTCAACAATCATGGTACTCCCCACTTCCTCCATCCATGCCCTCAATAGAGGGTAGAGATCTTGAAAGATGAAGATGGTGTGGACAAAATAGCCTCAACAATGATATACCTAAAGATCAGTGCTAGACAGTAGGGACAACCTCCCCTCACCTAGTTACACTTACTGTCCATCTTTTGTTACATCCAGCCAAACTTACCCTGACCCATCTGATATGGTTTGGTTCTGTGTCCCCACCCAAATCTAATCTTGAATTGTACTCCCATAATTCCCACATGTTGTGGGAGGGACCCAGTGGGAGATAATTTGAATCATGGGGGCGGTTTCCCCCATACTGCTCTTATGATAGAGAATAAGTCTCATGAGATCTGACGGTTTTATCTTCATTTTTCTCTCTTGCCACCCGCCATGTAGGAAGGGTCTTTCACCTCCCACCATGATTCTGAGACCTCCCCAGCCATGTGGAACTGTAAGTCCAATTAAACTGCTTTATCTTCCCAGTCTCAGATATGTCTTTATCAGCAGCATGAAAATGGACTAATACAGTAAATTGGTACCAGCAGAGTGGGATGCTGCTGAAAAGTTACCCAAAAATGAGGAAGCAACTTTGGAACTGGGTAATAGGCAGAGGTTGGAACAGTTTGGAGGGCTCCGAAGAAGACAGGAAAATGTGAGAAAATTTGGAACTTCCTAGAGACTTGTTGAATGGCTTTGCCCAAAATGCTGATAGCGATATGGACAATAAAGTCCAGGCTGAGGTGGTCTCAGATAGAGATGAGGAACTTGTTGGGAATGGAATCCAAGGTGATTCTTGTTATGTTTTAGCAAAGAGACTGGTGGCATTTTGCCCTGTCCTAGAGATCTATGGAAGTTTGAACTTGAGGGAGATGATTTAGGGTATCTGGCAGACGAAACTTCTAAGCAGCAAAGCATTTAACAGGTGACTTGGGTGCTGTTAAAGGCATTCAGTTTTATAAGGGAAGCAGAGCACAAAAGTTTGGAAAATTTGCATCCTGACAATGCAATAGAAAAGAAAAACCTTCTCAGCAAACTAACACAAGAACAGAAAACCAAACACCACATGTTCTCACTCATAAGTGGGAGCTGAACAATGAGAACACATGGACACAGGGAGGGGAACATCACACACTGGGGCCTGGCGGGGGGTAGGGGGCTGGGGGAGGGAGAGCATTAGGAGAAATACCTAATGTAGATGATGGGTTGATGGGTGCAGCAAACGACCATGGCACATGTATACCCATGTAACAAACCTGCACGTTCTGCACATGTACCCCAGAACTTAAAGTATAATAAAAAAAAAAAAAAAGAAAGAAAGAAAGAAAAAAGAAAAGAAAAACCTGTTTTCTGAGGAGAAATTCAAGCTGGCTGCAGAAATTTGCATAAGTGACAAGTAGCCAAATGTTAATCCCCAAGACAATGGGGAAAATGTCTCCTGGGCATGTCAGAAATCTTCACAGCAGCCCCTCCCATCACAGGCCCGCAGGCCTAGGAGAAAATGGTTTCATGGGCCGGGACCAGGGTCCCCATGCTGTGTCCAGCCTAGGGACTTGGTGCCCTGCATCCCAGCTGCTCCAGCCATGGCTGAAAGGGGCCAACATAGAGCTTGGGCCATGGCTTCAGAGGATGCAAGCCCCAAGCCTTGGCAGCTTCCGCATGGTGTTAAGCCTGTGAGTGCACAGAAGTCAAGAATTGAGGTTTGGGAATCTCCGCCTAGATTTCAGAGGATATATGGAAATGCCTGGATGTCCAAGCAGAAGTTTGCTGCAGGGTTGGAACTCTCATGGAGAACCTCTGCTAGGGCAATGTGAAAGGGAAATGTCCCTACTGGGGCACCACCTAGTGGAGCTGTGAGAAGAGGGCCAGCATCCTCCAGACCCCAAAATGGGAGATCCACCGACAAATTGCACTGTGTGCCTGGTAAAGCCACAGACACTCATTGCCAGCCCATGAAAACATCCAGAAGGGAGGCGGTACCCTGGAAAGCCACAGGGGAGGAGCTGTCCAAGACCATGGGAATTCACCTCTTGCTTCAGCGTGACCTGGATGTGAGACATGGAGTCAAAGGAGATCATTTTGGAGCTTTAAGATTTGACTACCCTGCTGGATTTCAGACTTGCATGGGGACTGTAACCCCTTTGTTTTGCCCAATTTCTCCCATTTGGAATGGCTGTATTTACCCAGTACCTATATCCGCATTTTATCTAGGAAGTAACTAGCTTGCTTTTGATTTTACAGGTTCATAGGTGGAAGGGACTTGCCTTGTCTCAGATGAAATTTTGGACTGTGGACTTTCGGGTTAATGCCGAAATGACTTAAGACTTTGGAGGGACTGTTGGGAAGGCATGTTTTTTGTGAAATGTGAGGACATGAGATTTGGAGGGACCAGGGGTGAAACTATATGGTTTGGCTCTGTGTCCCCACCCATATCTCATCTTAAATTGTACTCCCATAATTCCCACATGTTGTGGGAGGGACCCAGTGGGAGATAATTTGAATCATGACAGCAGATTACCCCATACTGTTCTCATGGTAGTAAGTCTCACAAGTTCTGATGGATTTATCAGGGGTTTCCGCTTTTGCATCCTCCTCATTTTTTTCTCTTGCTGCTGCCATGTAAGAAGTGCCTTTCACCTCCCGCCATGATTCTGAGGCCTCCCCAGCCATGTGGAACTGTAAGTCCAATTAAACCTCTTTTCCTTCCAAGTCTCAGGTATGCCTTTATCAGCAGTATGAAAATTGACTAATACACCATCTAAACTTCCCTAACCCTGGTATCAAAATTTCCTCCCCTAGGAACTGTTTACTGTAACTTGCTATCAAGTTACATCAAACCTTTCTGGGTACTTTTCTATAAGCTCTCTCATCTGTCTCTTACAACTGACATAAATCTATCATGCCCATATTACAAATCAGAACACTGAAGCCAGGAGGTAAACTCATTCAATGAGTACTAGATCTGGGATTCAGATTCAGATGGTCTCAAGCTTTTCCACCCAATGAAAGGACAAAGAATAAGAATAAATGGCTGTGTATCATGAAAAAATGCTCATCATCACTGGTCATCAGAGAAATGCAAATCAAAACCACAATGAGATACCATCTCACACCAGTTAGAATGGCAATCATTAAAAAGTCAGGAAACAACAGGTGCCGGAGAGGATGTGGAGAAACAGGGACACTTTTACACTGTTGGTGGGACTGTAAACTAGTTCAACCATTGTGGAAGGCAGTGTGGCGATTCCTCAGGGATCTAGAACTAGAAATACCATTTGACCCAGCCATCCCATTACTGGGTATATACCCAAAGGACTATAAATCATGCTGCTATAAAGACACATGCACATGTATGTTTATTGCAGCACTATTCACAATACCAAAGACTTGGAACCAACCCAAATGTCCAACAATGATAGACTGGATTAAGAAAATGTGGCACATATACACCATGGAATACTATGCAGCCATAAAAAATGATGAGCTCATGTCCTTTGTAGGGACATGGATGAAATTGGAAATCATCATTCTCAGTAAACTATTGCAAGGACAAAAAACCAAACACCGCATGTTCTCACTCATAGATGGGAATTGAACAATGAGAACACATGGACACAGGAAGGGGAACATCACACTCTGGGGACTGTTGTGGGGTGGGGGGAGGGGGGAGGGATAGCATGAGGGATATACCTAATGCTAAATGACGAGTTAATGGGTGCAGTACACCAGCATGGCACATGTATACATATGTAACTAACCTGCACATTGTGCACATGTACCCTAAAACTTAAAGTATAATAATAAAAAAAAAAGAATAAATGGCTGTGTATGTGCAGCCAGCCCTTGTGAGGGAGCAGGGTGAGGCAAAGCCTTTAAAAAAATTAAAAAAAAAATGGTAACTTGAATATCTTTGAAACCACTATAAACAGTATTTTATCTTAAAATTTTCATTTACTTCTTAATATGGACATCTTTGTTTAATGTTTTCCCTAAAATTTTTTGTAAAATTAATACTCAGTGGTGCTGCACAATTTTTATTCTGTGGCCTTATAACTCACCCAACCCCAAACTTATTGCTGTATACCATCTGAAAAGCAACTCTTTACAGAACATTGTTTAAAGTGGTGAGATCACACCACTGCACTCCAGCCTGGGCAACAGAGCAAGACCCTGCCTCAAAAGAAAAAAAAAAAAGAAAATATTAGCAAACTGAAACCAGCAACATATAAAAAGGATTAAACACCATGACCAAGAGGGATTTATCCCAAGAATACAAGGTGGTTTTAATATTGAAAAACCAACTGTGGTTAAACGTTATTGCTGTTGCGCTGCTTTATTTAATGCGCTGTGGAACAAAATAACGGTATTGTTGGGATGTGATTATAACTCTAGGCTTTTAGCTCTCAAAGTTTGAGGTTAAAAAAATGTTAAAAGATGGGAGTTAAAGTTTATGTGTATGATGTGATTTAGCTATGCAGAAAATATTTAAGTTGGATGTACCTGTTTTATGTACATCTACTGTACTTCGTCCCTCAAAGTTTAGTCCTTAATAGTTTCTCAGTGTTCAGGTTACCTTGAGAAAGGCCATGCTTAGAGAACTGATTTCTCATTTGAGAAATTTTAGTATGGTTTGAAGAAATCAAGTGATAAAGGAGTATGCTGAATATGCAATAATTTACTTCTACCAAGTGCTGCATTTTAAGAACCTAGATGAAACAAGTAGTCGGTTGGCTTCATTATGTTTTATGTCTTTGAAAGAGATGCAGGTCTTGGAATTTGCTTTTTTTTGAGATGAAGTCTCGTTCTTGTCCCCCAGGCTGGAGTGTGATGGGGCCATCTCAGCTCACTGCAACCTCCGCCTCCCAGGTTCAAGCAATTCTCCTGCCTCAGCCTCCCCAGTAGGTGGGATTACAGGCGCCTGCCACCACACCCAGCTAATTTTTGTATTTTTAGTAGAGACAGGGTTTCACCATGTTGGCCAGGCTGGTTCTGAACTCCTCACCTCAGGTGATCTGCCCGCCTCGGCCTCTCAAAGTGCTGGGATTACAGGTGTGAGCCACTGTACATGGCCTGGAATTCACTTTTTAAATGTTATGTTCCAACCTTATATGTTCCAAGGCACGGTGCACTGTGAATCTTTTATTTAAAAAAACTGTAGGTGCTTTTATTTATAATTTGAATGATTTATAAGATGCTAAATGAATTGCTTTTGTACTTAACCATTGTAATCCAAAGGATAAGGGTAGAGTTTACATGCTTTTCAAAAATTTTTGTTAAGAAACAGCAAATGAATGGTTTAGGATTTCAAATACTGATACCCTCCTGACACATGAGCATTTGGGAAAGTCAAGCACCTAATACGACTCATTTAGCATGGGTGAAATTTGATTAAAGATGTTAGAAAATGTTTTTAAAAAGAAAAAGGGCTGAGCACAGTGTCTCTGGGAGGCTGAGGCACATGGATCACTTGAGGCCAGGAGTTCGAGACCAGCCCGGCTGACATTACAAAACCCCGCCTCTACTAAAAATACAAAAAATTAGCCAAGCATAGTGGCACGCACCTGTAATCCTAGCTACCTGGGAGGCTGAGGCATGAGAATCACTTGAACCCAGGAAGCAGAGGTTGCAGTGAGCCAAGATGGCGCCACTGCATTCCAGCCTGGGCAACAGAGTGAGATTCTTTCTCCAAAAAAAGAAGAAAAAAAAAGAGAGAGAGAGAAAGAAAGAGGACATAAAACTATATATTATACAATTCCACTTATATGAAGTTTCTCAAGAAGGTAAACCTATACAGACAGAAAGCAGACCAGCAGTTGCCTGGGTCTCAGGGTAGAAGCAGAGATCAAATACAAACAGGGAGAAGGGAACTTTTGGGGATGGTGGAAATACTCTAAAATTGAGTGGTGGTAACAGAACTATATACTTACGTACAATAAATGAATTTTATAGAATTAAAATTATACCTCAATAAAGCATTAAAAAAATCTTGCAAAAATTCCCTTTCAGAATAAAGGGCATCCAAATTGGAAAAAAAAAAAGTCAAATTATCGTTGTTTGCAGATGATATGTTCTTATATTTGGAAAAACCTAAAGGCTCCACCAAAAAACTATTAGAATTGATCAACAAATACAGTAACATTGCAGGATACAAAACCAACATACGAAAATCAGGAGCACTTCTACCTGCCAACAGTGAACAATCTGAAAAAAAAAAAAAAAAAAGTAATCCCATTTACAATAGACACAAATAAAATTAAATACCTAAGAATTTAGTTAACCATGGAAGTGAAAGAGCTCTACAATGAAAACTATAAAACACTGATGAAAGAAACAGAAGAGGACACAAAAAAGTGGAAAAATATTCCATGTACATGGATTGGAAAAATCAATTTTGTTAAAATGTTCATGCTACCCAAAGCAATCTACAGATTTAATGAAATCCTTATGAAAGTACCAATAACATTCTGCGCAGAAATAGAAAAAACAATCCTAAAATGTATATGGAACCACAAAAGATTGAGAATAGCCAAAGCTATCCTGAGCAAAAAGAACAAAATTGGAGGAATCACATTACCTGACCTCCAGTTATACTACAGAGTTATGGTAACCAAAACAGCATGGTACTAGCATAAAAACAGACACATAGACCAATAGAACAGAAAAGAAAAAGCAGAAACAAATCTATACATCAAAAGTTAACTCATTTCAACACAGGTGCCAAGAACATGCATGGGGTAAAAACAGTCTCTTCAATAAATAGTGCTGGAAAAACTGAATATCCATATGCAGAAGAAGGAAACTAGACCCCTATCTCTTGCCATATACAAAAATAAAGTCAAAATGGATTGAAGACTTAAATCTAAGACCTCAAACCATGAAACTATTACAAGAAAACATTGGAAAACTCTCCAGAACATTGGTCTGGACAAAAACTTCTTGAGTAATACCCCACAAGCACAGGCAACCAAAGCAAAAATGGACACATGGGATCATATCAAGTTAAAAAGCTTCTACACAGCAATAGAAACAATCAACAAATCAAAGAGACAACCCACCGAATGGGAGATAATATTTGCAAACTACCCATCTGATAAAAAATTAATCAGAATATATAAGGAGCTCAAACAACTCTATGGGAAAAAAATCTAATAATCTAATTTTTTAATGGGCAAAAGATCTGAATAGACATTTCTCAAAAGACAACATACAAATGGCAAACAGGCATATAAAAAAGTGCTCAAAATCATGGATCATCAGAGAAATGCAAATCAAAATGACAATGAGATATCATGTCACCCCAGTTAAAATGGCTTTTATCCAAATGATGGGCAATAACAAATGCTGGCAAGGATGTGGGGAAAAGGGAACCGCTGTACACTGTTGGTGGAAATGTAAATTATTACAACCACTATGGGGAACAGTTTAGAAGTTCCTTAAAAAGCTAAAAATGGTACTATCATACGATTCAGCAATCCCACTGCTGGGTATATACCCAAAAGAAAGGGAATCAGTATATCAAAGAGATAGCTGCACTCCTATGTTTGTTGCAGCACTGTTCACAATAGCCAAGATTTGGAAGCAATCTAAGTGTCTATTAACAGATAAATAGATATAGAAAATGTGGGCCAGGTGCAGTGGCTCACACCTGTAATCCCAGCACTTTGGGAGGCCAAGGCAGGCGGATCACCAGAGGTTGGGAATTCAAAACCAGCCCGACCAACATGGAGAAACCCCGTCCCTACTAAGAATACAAAATTAGCCAGGCATGGTGGTGCATGCCTGTAATCCCCGCTACTCGGGAGGCTGAGGCAGGAGAATCGCTTGAACCGGGGAGGCGGAGGTTGTGTTGAGCTGAGATTACACCACTGTACTCCAGACTGGGCAACAAGAGCAAAACTCTGCCTCATAAAGAGAAAGAAAGAAAGAAAATGTGGCCAGGTGCAGTGGTTGATGCCTATAATACCCGCACTTTGTGAGGCCAAGGCGGGAGGATCACTTGAGCCCGGGAGTTTGAGACCACGCTGGGAAATATAGCAAAACCCTGTCTCTACAAAAAATACAAAAATTAGTCAGGCATGGTGGTACACACCTGTAGTCCCAGCTACTCAGGAGGCTGAGGTGGGAGGATCACTTGAGCCTGAGAGGCAGAGGTTGCAGTGAACCAAGACTGCACCACTACACTCCAGCCTGAGCAACAGAGCAAAACCCTGTCCCCCCAAAAAAGAAAATGTGGTACATATACACTATTCAGCCACAAAAAAAAAGAATGAGATCCTGTCATTTGCAACAACATGGATGGAACTGGAGATCATTATGTTAAGTGAAATAAGCCAGGCACAGAAAGACAAACTCTGCATGTTCTCACTTATTTGTGGGAGCTGAAAATTAAAACAATTGAACTCACAGACACAGAGAGCAGAAGAATGGTTACCAGAGGCTGGGAAGGATAACAGGGGGGTTAAGCGGGAGGTGGAGATGGTTAATAGGTACAAAAAGTAGTTAGAAAGAAGGAGTAAGACCTAGTAGGGGCCAGGCATGGTGGCTCACACCTGTAATTGGAGCACTTTGGGAGGCCAAGGCGGGCAGATCACTTGAGCCCGGGAATTCAAGAGCAATCTGGGCAACATAGTGGGATCCTGTCTCTACAAAAAATACAAAAATTAGCCAGGCATGGTAGTGCGTAACTGTAGTCCCAGCTACTCGGGGGCACTGATGTGGGAGGATTGCTTGAGCCCAGGAGGTGGAAGCTGCGGTGAGCAGTGATCACAACACTGCACTCCAGCTTGGGCCACAGAGTAAGACCCTGTCTCGAAAAAAAAAAAGACCTAGTATTTGATAGCACAACAGGATAATTATAGTCAATAATTTCATTGTACATTCAAAAATAACTAAAAGAGTATAATTGAGCCTGGCACAGTGACTCACGCCTATAATCCCAGCACTTTGGGAGGCTGAGGCAGGCGGATCACCTGAGATCGGGAGTTCGAGACCAGTCTGGCCAACATGGTGAAACCCTGTCTCTACTAAAAATACAAAAATTAGCCAGGTTTTGTGGCAGGTGCCTGTAATACCAGCTACTTGGGAGGCTGAGGCAGGAGAATCACTTGAACCCAGGAGGTAGAGGCTGCAGTGTGTCATGCCACTGCACTCCAGCCTGGGCAATGGAGTGAGACTCTGTCTTAAAAAAAAAAAACAATTGGATTGTTTGCAACACAAAGGATAAATGCTTGAGGGGATGCATACCCCATTTACCATGATGTGATTATTATGCCTTGCATGCCTGTATCAAAGTATCTCATGTACCTCATAAATATATACACCTACTATGTACCCACAAAAATTAAAAACAAAAAAAACTTTTCAATTCTCTTTGGGTATTACTTACTATCAAATTATCATTATTCCATTTGAGCATTTTAGATTAAGATCTCTCCTATTTCCAAGAAAGCTGGCAGATTGAACACACGCATTTATCTTTCTCCAGAATCCCACAAACATGAGACAAATAGGATGAGATGGCAAGAACAAAAAATGGGGTAAGAGATCATAAAATCAAAATTTTTGGAAGCGGGAATGCACAAACAAGAATGGTAAGTGACTTAGCTGACTCAAGAAAGCTGAATCCGGCGGGCGCGGTAGCTCACGCCTGTAATCCCAGTACTTTGGGAGGCTGAGGCGGCAGATCACAAGGTCAGAAGATCGAGACCATCCTGGCTAACACGGTGAAACCCCGTCTCTACTAAAAATACAAAAAAATTAGCTGGGTGTGGTGGCGGGCGCCTGTAGTCCCAGCTACTTGGGAGGCTGAGGCAGGAGAATGGCGTGAACCCGGGAGGCGGAGCTTGCAGTGAGCCGAGATGGCGCCACTGCACTCCAGCCCGGGTGAGAGTGCGAGACTCCGTTTCAAAAAAAAACGAAAGCTGAATCCTTAGCCAGTAGTAGGGAAAGCCAAGGAGCAACATTTTTACCACAGAACCTCCAAATGGTTCAAGAATCGGTAGCATCAGTGAGAGCAGAGACTGCACTAAAAAGGAGGGATTGTTTGAAGAGCTCTTTAAGATGCAATTAGACGGCCGGGCGCGGTGGCTCACGCCTGTAATCCCAGCACTTTGGGAGGCCGAGGCGGGTGGATCATGAGGTCAGGAGATCGAGACCATCCTGGCTAACAAGGTGAAACCCCGTCTCTACTAAAAATACAAAAAATTAGCCGGGCGCGGTGGCGGGCGCCTGTAGTCCCAGCTACTCGGGAGGCTGAGGCAGGAGAATGGCGTGAACCTGGGAAGCGGAGCTTGCAGTGAGCCGAGATTGCGCCACTGCAGTCCGCAGTCCGGCCTGGGCGACAGAGCGAGACTCCGTCTCAAAAAAAAAAAAAAAAAAAAAAAAAAAAAAAAGATGCAATTAGACTTACAGATCCCCTCACAATTTCACATAGCTGGGCAATTGTCCGTCTCTCATCTAAGACTAGCAGTTTTTATTCCCTGCAAAGATGCAAAGAGTAAAACAGGGGGTCTCTGGACTAGGGAAACACCAGAGACACAGAGGACTGAAGTACCATATTGTAAACAGGATTAAGCTGGCCTATAAACTGAATATTAGCAACCTAGCTTTCTTCTCCCACTTAGTAACCAGAATGCTATTAATCAGGCTTATACACACCCCATCCCAGTAGAAGAATCCTGGGAGAATCTAACCAGCCAAAGAGCACAGGTCTAAATGAGGCAGGCGGCAAGACTTTCTTCAAAGAAATGGCCCAGTCATTTTAATGAACCTGATAGTCTTCAATGCTACCCACGGGTTTTTAAATAACTTTAAATAGGAGCAGACAACCAATGATCACTGAACAAATAAGGAAAGTTTCTAACATGAATATGCTCTATGATTTCCATAAACTACAGCAAAGGCCATTTTTGAACTTCTTTTACTGCCGGGCGCGGTGGCTCACCAACATGGAGAAACCCCGTATCTACTAAAAATACAAAAGTAGCCGGGCCTGGGGGCGCATGCCTGTAATCCCAGCTGCTGGAGAAGGCTGAGGCAGGAGAATCACTTGAACCTGGGAGGCGGAGGTTGCGGTGAGCAGAGATTGCGCCGTTGCGCCTGGGCAACAAGAATGAAACTCCGTCTCAAAAAAAAAAAAAAAAAAAAAGGAGAACATAAGGAGAACATACAAACAAAAGAAACTTGGAAGAAACCAAGACTAAACGGGATAAAAACTTTTTCTTAATGTTACTATTATCCTCAGAGAGATAAAAGAATATATTTAATCCAAGAAAATAATTTTATGTTTTTAAAAAGAACAATTAGAACAGCCTGTGGAAATTAAAAATATGATATTAAAATTTAAAACTCCAAAGAGTTGGAAAATTAGGATGAGAAAAATCTCCTGGAAAGTAGAACAAAAAGACAGAAATAGAAAATAAGAAAGGGTTACCAAAAAAATATTTAAAAATTAGGCAGGCCAGGTGCGGTGGCTCACGCCTGTAATCCCAGCACTTTGGGAGGCCGAGGCGGGCAGATCACCTGAGGTCGGCAGTTCGAGACCAGCCTGACCAACATGGAGAAAGGAGAAACCCCATCTCTACTAAAAATACAAAATTAGCCAGACAAGGTGGCACATGCCTGCAATCCCAGCTACTTGGGAGGCTGAGGCAGAAGGATCGCTTGAACCCGGCAGGCAGAGGTTGTGGTGAGCTGAGATCATGCCATTGCACTCCAGCCTGGGCAACAAGAGCAAAACTTCGTCTCAGAAAAAAAAAAAAAAAATTAAGCATAGTGGCACACACCTATAATCCTAGCTACTTGGGAGGCTGGCATGTGAGGATCCCTTGAGCCGAGGAGGTGGTGGCTGCAGTGAGCTATGATCTCACCACTGCACTCCAGCCTGGTTGACAGAGAAAGATCCTGTCTCTAAAAATAAATTTAAAAAATTTTTTTAAAAAGAAAAGAAGGCCAGGCGCAGTGGCGCATGCCTGTAACCCCAGCACTTTGGGAAGCTGAGGCGGGCAGATCACTTAAGACCAGCAGTTTGAGACCAGCCTGGCCAACATGGTGAAACCCCCTCTCTACTAAAAATACAAAAATTAGCCAGGTATGGTGGCAGGCATCTGTAATACCAGCTACTCGGGAGGCTGAGCCGGGAGAATGGCTTGAATCTGGGAGGCGGAGGTTGCAGTAAGCCGAGATAGTGCCACTGCACTCCGGCCTAGGCTGCTGAGCAAGACTCCATCTCAAAACAAAAACAAAAACAAAAATAAAACTTAGCCAGGCATGGTGGTGGAGGCCTGTAGTCCCAGCTACTTGGGAGGCTGAAGCAAGAGAATCTCTTGAACCCAGGAGGTGGAGGTTGCAGTGAGCCAAGATCGTGCAACTACACTCTAGCATGGGCAACAGAGTGAGACTCTGTCTCCAAAAAAAAGAAAAAAAATACATTAGAGGAGACTCCGTAAAATGTGATATCCAGACCTTAGGAGTATTCACATGACAGAATAGAGGAAATACATCATCAAACAATTCAAGAACATTGTTTAGAATTCAAGGGCATGGTTTCCAAATTAAAAGACACATTGGAGAGTCCAGTACAATGCAAATTTGGGCTCAACAATGCCAATTATCATTAAGTTTCAGAACACTAGAATAAGAAAATTTCGAATATGTTTTTAGAGAGGAAAGAATAGATCAAAACCAAGAAGCAGGCATCAGACTACTGGCTGCTAAAAGACGATGGAGCAACAGAGCAATGCCTCCAAGACTCTGAGGAAAAATTATGTCCAACCAATCAAGTGTGAGGGTAAAAACAAAGAAATTTTCAGACATCCAATCTCTTGAAATTTTTACTCTCCTCATACTTTTTATCTGGAAACTATTGGAACATGTGTTCCACCAAATGAGCCAAAAATGAGAAGATGTGAAATCAGGAAAAAGAATACCCAACTCGAAAGAACGGGGAAGGGAAACCCCAGAATGGTGGTGAAAGGCGATCAGATAAGAAGGCTCCAGAAGAGGTAGCACCAAGGAGATGAAACTGAATACATTGAGAGGAGATTTTCCACATACTATATTGTATTATGGAATTTCACTCTATGATTTCCATAAACTACAGCAAAGGCCATTTTTGAACTTCTTTTACTGCACACGTTAACAGTAGGAATTAAAATATTTTTTGAATAAATGAAAGAATGGAATACCTGAATTTGTACAGTACAGTATACACTTTGATAAGGGCTTTAGGCCAGGCACGGTGGCTCACGCCTGTAATCCCACACTTTAGGAGGCCGAGGCAGGTGGCTGGCTTGAGTTCCAGACCAGCCTGGCCAACATAGTGAAACCCCGTCTCCACTAAAAATACAAAAATTAGCCGGGCGTGGTGGCAGGTGCCCACAATCCCAGCTATTTGGGGGACTGAGGCAGGAGAATCGCTTGAACTCAGGAGGCGTAGGTTGCAGTGAGCTGAGATCGCGCCACTGCACTCCAGCCTGGGCAACAGAGTGAGACTCCGTCTCAAAAGAAAAAAAAAGGACTTTAAGGTAGATACAGAGGCTTCAGTATCCTGATGACTCTCATTCATTCTGTATGAACGATACTGGCGACACTGATTCACTCATCTACTTGAAGACCAAGAGCAGAATCATATTATGCTTTGAGAGGGGCACAGGGTAGCCTATTGTTAGGCAAATAGACCGCAGCAAGATTGTCTAAAACCAAATTCCATTTCATCATTTAGTATCTGTGTAACTTGGTCAAGTGACTTAACCTCTCTAACCTTTGATTCCCTAACTTGAAAATAGGGTTATTAATTCACAGGGTTACTGTGAGGATGGAACTAATGCCTGGGATTCCACATTATCATTTCCTCGAGCTTTGGAATTCTAATTATAAATTCTAAAGTCTGAGATTACGGAAAAGCAGATGTGAGAAAGGAATTAAAAGCACCCACTGGAAGCCAGGATGTCTCCTAGGAGGGACTTGCTATTACCTAGCTGCGCAGCAACAGGCAATCGCTTGCCTACAAGTCTCACTTTCCGCGCCTGCACAGTCTCCATCTGCCCTGCCCTTGTACTCACTGGGCCGGGCAAGCTGGGGAGGCCTAAGCGGACTGGGAAGTTAGGCTTTCCCTCCACTTCACCAGTCGGCTGCCCCTGCGGAAACCGGCCCGACACACCTCGCTCCTAAAGCCAGTTGCGGTGGTGGTGGCGGTTGGGGCTTTTTTTGGCCACGAGAGGGCAGCATTTCCCCCGGCCAACCACACACGTACCCCTAGCAACAGCAAACCCAGCTGCAACAGAACAAAAGACCGAAGTCCTCGAGCTTCCCTTCCATCTTAGGGCTCACGCCGCCCCGGTTAGGTTTCATTAGAGCAGCGGCTTTTCAAGGCTCGTCGGGCACGGAGGGCGGAGCGAGGGAGCTCTCGCGAGATCGCCGCCGGAAGTGGGTGGTGGCGGGGACGCAGCGGCTCCCTCCCGGAAAGCGAGCGTATCTCCCGAGCCGTTGCCACTGACAGCCGCGGGCGCTCCCATCTGAGTAAGAGCCAGCCCGTCCGCGGCCTCTCCAGCCCCGGGTTCGCGCTCTCGACTCTCCTGCCTGCCCAGCTGCGCGGCGGAGCGGAGCGAGGCGCGGCCTGCGAGTCCCCGGCAGCCCCCGACCCCTCCCTCGGCGCTGCGTGTAGGCCGCGCCCTCAGGCCCAGTCCGCGGTGCCCCGGCGGGTGATGCCAAATACAGCCATGAAGAAAAAGGTGCTGCTGATGGGGAAGAGCGGGTCGGGGAAGACCAGCATGAGGTCGATAATCTTCGCCAATTACATTGCTCGCGACACCCGGCGCCTGGGGGCCACCATTGACGTGGAACACTCCCACGTCCGATTCCTAGGGAACCTGGTGCTGAACCTGTGGGACTGTGGCGGTCAGGACACCTTCATGGAAAATTACTTCACCAGCCAGCGAGACAATATCTTCCGTAACGTGGAAGTTTTGATTTACGTGTTTGACGTGGAGAGCCGCGAACTGGAAAAGGACATGCATTATTACCAGTCGTGTCTGGAGGCCATCCTCCAGAACTCTCCTGACGCCAAAATCTTCTGCCTGGTGCACAAAATGGATCTGGTTCAGGAGGATCAGCGTGACCTGATTTTTAAAGAGCGAGAGGAAGACCTGAGGCGTCTGTCTCGCCCGCTGGAGTGTGCTTGTTTTCGAACGTCCATCTGGGATGAGACGCTCTACAAAGCCTGGTCCAGCATCGTCTACCAGCTGATTCCCAACGTTCAGCAGCTGGAGATGAACCTCAGGAATTTTGCCCAAATCATTGAGGCCGATGAAGTTCTGCTGTTCGAAAGAGCTACATTCTTGGTTATTTCCCACTACCAGTGCAAAGAGCAGCGCGACGTCCACCGGTTTGAGAAGATCAGCAACATCATCAAACAGTTCAAGCTGAGCTGCAGTAAATTGGCCGCTTCCTTCCAGAGCATGGAAGTTAGGAATTCCAACTTCGCTGCTTTCATCGACATCTTCACCTCAAATACGTACGTGATGGTGGTCATGTCAGATCCGTCGATCCCTTCTGCGGCCACTCTGATCAACATTCGCAATGCCCGGAAACACTTTGAGAAGCTGGAGAGAGTGGATGGCCCCAAGCACAGTCTCCTTATGCGTTGAATATTGCCAAATGCTCTTTCTGAAAATGCTGAATTGCCTTTTTTGTTTGCATCCTTTATTTTTAATATTCATAATGTCGTGTGCTTAAAAGTGGGCTTTGAAGTGTGTGCTGCTTACTCCTTTCATCTTTCTCCCCGCTTCCCCAGTCTTTAAACATTGGACGCTATTTACTCAGCTACCCAGTAGAGCTTGAAGCTGACCTTTCTGAGAAGTTGGTATGGTGTAACACTAAAGTAGGTGGTTCGTGTGTGTTCTCATTACCTGGTTATGATAGATATGCACATCAAAGCCTTTACCAGTATCTTCCTGTATTCCGTATCAGATTGCAAAGACGGAATGTTACTATTTTATCAGCAAGGTATTAAAATGCATTTATAAATTCTTCTTGGCTTCATTCATGAATAAACGTGTTAGCAATTTAAAACATGTCCTTATTTGAAATAACTTGAAAGTGCTTAATATGCAAATCTAAAAATTCTGACTGCCCACAAGTATTGCTTGACTGGCAAATTTGATTCTGTGAATTTAGCCCCCAGCACTTTAGTGATGTTTGGTAACAGCTGTAGAAGCGCTTATGCTATGGACTGAAGCTAGACCACCTGAGTTAGTATTCTGGTCCCTTCACTTACTAGCTCTGTGAACATGGGCAAATACTTAATTTCATTACACTTGTTTCCTCATTGGTAAAATGTGGGTCAGAATACTACTTTATAGCCAGTCGTGGTGGCTCACACCTGTAATTCCAGCACTTTGGAAGGCTGAAGTGGGAGGATCACCTGAGATCAGGAGTTCGAGACCAGCCTGGGCAATATAGAGAGACCCTCTCTCTACAAAAAAAAATTTTTTTTCATTAGCTAGGCGTAGTGGTGCGTGCCTACAGTCCTAGCTGCTTGGGAGGCTGAGGAGAGAGGATTGCTTGAGTCCAGGAGGTAGAGGCTGCAGTGAGGCATAATTGTGTCACTGGCCTCCAGTTTGGGTGACAAAGCAAGACCCTATCTCAAAAACAACAATAAAAAACCACTTGATAGGATGTTTAAAAGGATTAAATTCAACATGGTAAGTATTTAGGAATGGTGCCTAGCGCATAGCATACTCTGTTAACTACCATTACTACCTACTGAGCCATTCTTCCCCAAATTACTGGATATGAAACCTATTTGAATATTTGATCCCTTACTAAATGTCAGGTGTTCTTAAGCACTTGTGCATTTATCTTACTGAATCCTCACAACCTATGTGGTAGGTTACTTTGATCGCTATTTTAGCAGATGAGCAAACTATGATCTTATTAAGGTCATACAGCTAAACCCAGGCAATCTGACTACTGACTCTCCTAATCATTACACCCCATTACTTCCATTGAAAAGTTAACCATAAGAGTCATAGCTTTTTATTTATTTTTGGTTTGTTTGTTTGAGACGGAGTCTCGCTCTGTTGCCCAGGCTTGAGTGCAATTGCGCGATCTCACTGCAACCTCCGCCTCCCAGGTTCAAGCCATTCTCCTGCCTCAGCCTCCCAAGTAGCTGGGACTACAGGCATGTGCCACCACGCCCAGCTCATTTTTGGTATTTTTTAGTAGAGACGGGGTTTCACCACTTTGGCCAGGCTGGTCTGGAACTCCCGACCTCAAGTGATCCACCCATCTCAGCCTCCCAAAGTGCTGGATTACAGCCATAAGCCACTGCACCCGGCAATTTTTTTTGTTCTTATAACTTGCACATATCAGCACTGATGGGTCCTAGCTTTTTAAATGTAGATTATTCCTTCATATAATTCCAAATTTACATAGTGGGTAAGCTGAAGCCCAGGAAGCTAAGTGACCTCCCTCAAGGAATAGAGTTTCACTCATTTTGGGCAAGATCACTTTCCCATTTGTATTTCTCTAGAAATTGGATAATACTGAAACAGATTCTTAGATCACCTACTTTTAAGGAAGGATTCTGAGGTTCCTAATTTGGATTGGCAATGTGGTGTAGTAAAATGGACAAACAGATCTAAAATGTCCCATTCCACTTCCAGCAATAGCTGCCTTAAGGATTGTTTGAAAAGAAATCTAAGTATTTTAGAGCGAAGAGACCTGTGATCAACTCTAAGCCTTTCATTTTACACTCGAGGTGCTATCTTTGTATGGACAGTAAACATAAGTGATAGGGCTTTAGAATTTCTAAGGCTTTATAAAATTATTTAATGTTCATTAAACCCTTTCTAGCAGCAGATGTGGATGACGCTACTCATGAAGAGTAAGAAGCTATTCAGGTGTAATTTATAAAAATTACCTAATTAGGGCCATTGGCAATACATTAGTATAAAGACTCCAGATGTGTAAACTGACAGTATAGATATAACCTTAAAAATTCATTTTAAAATACTATATACTGTAAATCTAGTAATTAAAATGGAAGTAACAAAATATGTTGACCTGAATCACTGAACCTCTCAAATTTGTTGATCAGGTTATTAATATAACTTTACATGTGATCATCTTATGATTTGCAGGGGCATAGTTCTTTTTGAGATTATATAGGAAATTCCAGAGCCAGATAGTATAAAATATTTATTGAAAACAACAGTATTTAAAACATTTACAGAGAGTCCCATAGAGGATTCTCAAATATTTTAAACTTAGGATGCAGACTGCTATTCACAATGCATAAAGAAAAAGGTGATCTCTAGAGCAACTATGTATCTGCAACATAAAAGAAACATTTACTTCAATGCTTTTACATTGAGGAAAACGTCATTAAACGTATTTTAATTTTAGTACTCTCACAGTAGGAAGATAATAGTCTGCTTTTACACAGGTCTCCAGAATTCCTGTTTTTCCTTTAGATAAATTTGACTTCATAGTCAAGAGTCTCATGGTAAAGAAAAGGTATCAAAATACTCATATTTTTGTTTTCAGCTCAATTTCCCCCAAATGTTAACTTCAGCTATTCTTTATTCCACTTGATGACATTTTTCATGTTTAGCAACATTACATGGTTGTCCTCTTTAAACATTTAAAATAATTAGAACATTTTAGCATTATCTCAGGTTTCAAGCTGATGTATGTCAGTTTATATACCTTTGTATCTTACAAATAGTAAAACAAAGTACATTCTATATGTCTGATATTAATGTAATAAGAAATCCACTTAGAGTAATAAATTAGCCCTCTTTACCATTTATTCCATGATATAGGAGGCAAACAAAACAATTCCAAAACTTAAATATTGATAAAGATGACACATGGCCTTGGGGTATATGTATGTGTGTGAATACATACTCCCAACACACATTTACATAGGTGTATATGTATTTATGCATGTATGTGTATATTGCTATAACTAGAAAGACCACATGCAACCATAAAAAATATATAATAAAATCAATTCGTGGGATATTAAATGAATAAAAAGATAAACCATAGGAGATTTCAGAGAAGGAGTAGGCACATGGATATAAAAAGCGTGGATTAAGACTTCAAGACGGAAGTGAGATTTTTTTCTGAGGCTTAAAAGAGAGCTGTAATTGTGGTAAACTAGTAGAGGAAAGCAAGGTATTCCTGCTTCAGGAAAATTGTATATCAAGACCTCTAAAGACCCATGCTCACTGAAGCATTTCAGTAAAAAAATGGGAGATTACAGCGGAAGGGGGAGTAGAGGAAATCCGTTACAGGGGAACTTACATGCCTTTAAATTTGAACTCTATTTTAGAATTAACAATGAACAATCAATGGAATTTTAGGCAAGGAAGTGACCCAATCAAAACAGTTCCTTAAGATCAAAAGGTAACTATGTAGGAGATACTGGATAGGGAAAAGGCTGAAGGCAAAAAGCTGCCATCACATTGGTTTAGGAGAAGAAAGTGACAGATCTGAGATACTTTTTGTTTATGGTACTGGCATATGAAGAACAGGAAAGAATGCCAAAAACTTTCAGCCCATCACAGGTATAACTCAACAATGTGATTTTTACAAATCCAAAATGTCTACAGACATTCTGCTCTTTTGATTCTCAGTAATTAAGGGTTTCTCAGACTTGGGTGGCCAACTTGAGCTTCCCTATCAGATAGTTACCAATCTCTACCCAAGTATATATGCAACAACGTACCTGCTTCTTAAAAGTACCACAGGGTTAAATGTGAATCTCTATTTCCTAGCAGCAGTTCTCAAACTCTTTCTCGAGCTTAAGAATTACCAAGGAAGCACATTTAAAATATAATTAAATGAAATAATACACATTAAGTGTCTAGCAGTGGCTTTGGCACTTCTGCAGATGCTGATAAGACAGTATCACATGCTAAGTTAAGATTTTCAGATACTGAGTTTTCTTAAAGCAGACTAAAGGTTTCCCCATAGACCTGCATAGTCCCTGATTTGTTTTATTAACTAATAAAAGAAAACAGCAACTTAGGAGAAGATTTTTTCTTTCTCCTTTTCCATTGCAAAGAAGGTAGTTACATGTGCTTTCTTTTGTCTTTTCTCACAAAAAGATGGGTCTTCACACTGGGACAGGACAACCAACTTAGAGAAAGGCAGCCCAAGATAAAAGAAATAACTATTAAGCCATCTACTTCCATAAATTTCCCCTCCACCTTCTTTCCTTGCCAGTTTTTTGGGGGCTAGTGGACAAGATTTTGATGGTAGTGAGATGGGGTCTACAAAGGGTATTGTAGGTACTATCACCCTTCCATTGCCTGTTCCATTCCTCCTGGTTCACAGAGGGCAATAGTATGTGTTCACTTGGATGCTAGACACAAGTCTTTTTCTAGGCAGGGCACCTGAAGGAGTGAGGCAGGAGACTGCAAGTGTGACAAGTTATTTAACCCCAAGTTCAGTTTTCTCAAGTTACTGTGAGGCTATTCTGTAGGGACTGGGGGATTCTGATGGTTGTTCCTTGTTCCTTTCCCCCAACAGGGAGTACCTCACAAAAAAACCCAACAACAAAACAGACTAATGAAAATTTTAATTTATATTTTTGTTAAAATATAAAAGTAGCATTAAATTATCAAAGTCTAAATTAGACTAAATATAAATGTTATACAACCCACTGAATGGATTTATAGTTTGACAGTGTTCCTTGCAAGTGTCTACTCATCTTCCATCTTTTTCCTTTTTTTAAATCATTCTGCCCCAGTCTTCACTTAATCATCACATGCACTTTATTCCATCAAACATCACTTCTCAGGATCATTCTACCTGAAGAATCATTAAGCCTGTTTAGAGCTTTTCCAGTCTTAAAATTTGTCATCTTGACTACACATCCCAAGGTACTACTTTTCTCACTTTTTCTGGTTAGCCAGAATGTTCCATTAAGAAACAATAAAAGTTGTATAGTTCTCTAAGATGAAAGATTAGTATATTCAATGGCTATTATATTAACCATTTAGTGAACATACAACAAAAACTATCCTTATATTAATTGACTGAAGTTATAACATAAGAAATAAGTTACACTACTACTTTGTCATTCACTTAATGCTTACAAGATTACTCAAGAAATCAAAATGGCTTCCCATTGCTTGACGTTTGTTGTCCAAATACTTCACATTTCAATCTCATATACCTACAAAGAGGAAAAAATCCAAACATACTTTCCTTACCTAAAAATATTAAAGAAGGCTAAAAGGCATTAGGAATTTTTTTAAACCTTGAAAAACAGTGTTACACTTCCAACATGTATTTAAGTTGTAATTCATTTTCTATCCTGTGGCATAGCTTCAATTTAAGTGCATCATAGTTATATTAAATGGGTACGTCTTCATCTTGTCAAGTCAGACGGTGGTTCTTTTGCATCAAGGCTCTTATTCAAAATGTCTTCTTCTGCAAATTGATTTTAAAAAAGTATAAGCAAACATTACAAAGAAAAATAAACAATAGATTCCAAGCAATAGCAAATTTTAGTCAATACAAAAAAGGTTCATAGCTTTGCAAATACTTGATTATGATAAAATTATTATTATTCTCACCAAAGTACCCTCTTTCTCCAGAGATCAATACATTCCTCCCAGAGTACTTTTTTTTTTTTCTTTTTTCTGCGACAGGGTCTTGCTCTGTCACCCAGGCTGGAGTGCAGTGGCACGATCGCAGCTCACTTCAGCCTCAAACTCCCAGGCCCAAGCAATCCTCCCACCTCAGCCTCCTGTGTACCTGGGATCACAGGCATGCGCCAACGTGCCCAGCTAATTGTTTAATTTTTTGTAGAGACATAGTCTCCCTGTGTTGCTGAGGCTAGTCTCGAACTCCTGGGTTCAAGTGATCCTCCCATCTCGGACTCCCAAAGTGCTGGGATTGCAGGTGTGAGCCACTGTGCCCAGCCAAATACTTTTCAATATGGCAGTGTATAACTATTATGGGCAAATCAGAGTATGTAATGAATCTGTATCACCAGATCCTTATCTCTCTTAATGAGCTACAAGAGCAATTTTTTTAACCTTTTATGAGGAAAACATTCAAACATACAAAAGTGAAGAGAACTGTGATTAACTCAATATATCCATCACCTAGCTTCAATAATTATTAATACTAACTGTTATGAACTGAATACCCCCAAAAACATATGTTGAAGTTCTAACCCCAGTACCTCAGAATGTGACCTTATTTGGAAATGTGGTCATTACAGATATAATTAGCTAAGTAAGATGAGGTCATACTGGAGTAGGGTGACCCATTAATTAGCTAATATGACTGTGTCCTTATAAGACAATACACACACAAGGGAAGAATACCATGTGACAATGGAGGCAAAGATTAGAATTACACTGCCACAAGCCAAGGAATGCCTGGTGCTACCAGAGGCTAGAAGAGGCAAAGAAGGATCCTCTTCTAGTGGCTTCAGAGGGAACATGGCCCTGTCAACACCTTGATTTTGGACATCTAGCCTCTAGAACTTACTGTCTCCAGAGACAATAAATTTCTGCTGTTCTAAGCCACCCACTTGATGGTGCTTTGTTATGGCAGCCCTAGGAAACTAATACACTGACCTGGCTTCTTTTATTTCTACACCCCACCCCCAGATATTACACCATTATAGTGATGATATTTAAAATTGGGTTTCTCAAGTGTTTAAAAACCACCTTCCACTGGGCAAGATTTTGATGACATTTACTTTTCAGTCATTTGTATTATAAAACCTGTAAGCTTCAGATTGGGGGGGCTTTTTTTTCCCACCCCTGTCTCAAATCAATTGTAACTATATATACATAAACAGAGATTCTGAAAGGACCTGTCCAGTGAGGGATCATTCCCCTCATCCTAAATGAAGGAAGGGGGAGCACATTAACAATAAAGGTCATGCAGCATTCTTTGTGTACTGGTTTTATCAAAAGTTGAGAGAAAACTTCAACAGGTGAATATGCATAGGTCTATTTAAACCTTACCCTTTAAATTAGGTAGTTCTCCAAGACTACATGCTATTGTGGTTCTCAATCTTTGTTCCACTGGAGAAAACTTAATTAGTGGTGAAAGAGACCGTTTTCTTTCACCGATGGACGTGCGTAAAGATGGCTTTATATGCTCAGTATGCAAATCACAGGTGTCCAAAAAGTTAAGCGTATCATCTGTTTGTACATTTTGGGGAGTAGGGCTCAATTCTGGTTTGTGTCTTTCGGGTGTTTGGGAATTCGAGAGGTAAGATTCTTCCCTTTTCTTGGAAAGAGATTTCTTCAGAGCCTCGTATCTACTGCGAAGAGCCTGTAAATTAAAGTCTGATTCTGGAGTAGTCTGTCTCCCTCCCACAACATCTTCTAGAAGAGTGCCACCATGCATAGGACTATTTGGCTCCAGTTTAAAATTGGCCTCTGAACTACTGGAACTATTAAAACTTAGATGACCAACTTCTTCCGGGAGAGTTTCGTGTAATATGCCAAAATCATTATCTTTAAAACTCTTAGAACTAATTCCACTTGATATCTGAAAAGAATTCCACAACATAGTTTTATTTGTGGAAGGTTTGTTACAAGAAACTTCTAAGTGGTCCAATATTTTCATAAACTCCTCTTCACTGCCACCCATCACATCTATCCTATTGCCGACAGCAGGGGAGAATGTCTCCATTCGGCTAGTTTCTGAAAGCTTGGTGAAGGCTAAACATTCCAAATCTTGCTTGCAAATTACTTTCTTATTTAACAAATCTGACTGATTTTGTGTTGGTGGTTCATCTATGTGACTGGTCAGCACATGTTTCTGAGGCACACACTCGCAATCTGAAATAACTTTCTCTTCAGTCAAATGAGACTGGCCAAAATCTGATACAGTGGTTTCTAAGAGAAAATCAGCCATGCTAAATTCTCTTTGATTGTGCAACACAGGTAATGATTCTGGCAATACTTCTCTATGTTCAGCATCCATTTGAATTGGTTCTTTAGTTCTGTTTTCTTCCATTTCAATAGCTTTTCTCCATGAGCTCCTAATTTCAGTTACTAATTAAAG
Organism: Homo sapiens; assembly: GCF_000001405.40. Lineage (NCBI taxonomy): Eukaryota > Metazoa > Chordata > Mammalia > Primates > Hominidae > Homo > Homo sapiens. Next base: position 19,059,012 of record NC_000009.12, read on the forward strand.
GGGAGAAAAACACAGTTTACTAACATTCCCAAACATAGAGCATGCAATGAATCATTTTATTTCTAACACTGAAGATAAAGCTCCTGACTCAGTACATGTTCCATAAATATACTGGTTGGATGATAAGCCTCCACAATATAACAAATCCCAACATCGAAGAACCCCATCTCCAACTGCTCGCACAAATAAACACATATAAAGACAGCTGTTCCTGAAATATGCATCCAATTTTACACAGCACATATGAATTACATGTATTAAAAAGACCTTTTCTTGTCCATCTAAGCCACAGTTTGGCAAACATTTTCTATAAGGGCCAGATAGCAATATTTTAGGCTTTGCAGGCCATCCATTCTGTCAACTACTTAACTCTGCCATGATAGCATGAAAGTAGCCATAAACAATGTCAACAAATGAATATGCTTATGTTCAATACAATTTTATATACAAAAACACACAAGGTGGGGCCAAATTTGGTTCATAGGCTATAGTTTGCTGACCTAGGCTGTGGCTCAGTTCAAACTGAATTAAATCAGCAGCAAAACAGAAATTATTTAATTACTCAACCAAGATGATGTGCCTACCTAAGGACACCAATATCAGAACTTTGCCTACACAAATTACAGGTTATAGGAAAAAAGGTATTGGGCAGTTTGACTCATTTGGGAGGGGTAAAGACCTCCGCACACATGGTTTATGGCTGATGCTTCTGGTTGATGACTGGCAGAACACAGCCTATGTACTCTATAAATATGTAGATCACAGGTCAGACCAGGAGGCAAGAGATTTTTTTTTTTAAATGCTCAAATAAGATCTTTCTAGATAAAAGCAAAGTATAACAACAAAGACAAAATTGTACATTATCAAAATTTTATATCTCTGTATATTGAGTACACTGAAGGCACAAAATACTGCTAAAAGACTGTTATGTGAGAATGCCCACACTTAGTACGTCGATTACAACAGCATAAATAAACAGCCTTTGGCAACTCAGCTAAAAAGATCTGTCAGGCCATGGTTCTAACAGTGGTTATGTCGATGAAAGAAAAAAGTAACAGAAAGCATTATTAACTTACTCAAGTTTTCTGGAGTACGGGGAATCTGATTCCTTGTTAAGAAGGGGTTAGAACCCAGAGAGTCAATTAGTTCCTCTAATTTTATTTCTTTTCCTTCAGAGAGCTGTGGTGAATCAGATAAAACTGCTCTGGCAACCTAAAACAGAAAAGAAAAAGTAAAGCAAAGATTACCAAGCCCATTGGTAGAATGCAACAAAACCCCTGATAAGGATAATAAGCACTTCACAGTCAGCAGCCCCTCCCATTGCAGACAACACAAAAATAAGCAACAAAGAAGTTCCCCAACAACTCTGTATAGACCATCCAGGTACAATCCTGTAAAGTGAAATGAAACACTGAAGTATTTCCTCATCTTAAATGGATATCCCATTATAAAGGAGAGAATAGATAAGAATCTTTATGCTGGGAAGATTTAGAGGCAGTTCCAGTTGTGCAGTGACCTAAGCTGCTGTCTGCCACAACTGTGAGCTTGACAGCTCTGTATTCACTAAAATGACTAGTTTTAAAGGAAGCAGACTCTTCTCAATTATAATCAATTTGGACAGTGACATCTCTATTAAGAAACAGAATCATTCTGACAACATACCTCTTCACCAGAAACCTATTATCACATCTTCATTACTGAAAAAAGCATACGTACATTCTAAAACTAAAAAAGTATCCAATATCAAAATAGTGCTCTCTATTAAATATCAATAAAACCGAAAAAGAAAAAACATGCAAATTAAAAACTCTGCCCCCGACATCACTAAAAAATAAACTTCTTGAAGCCATAATTAAATTGACCCAAGAGGCCGGGCATGGTGGCTCACGCCTGTAATCCCAGCACTTTGGGAGGCCGAGACGGTCGGATCACTTCAGGTCAGGAGTTCAAGACCAGCCTGACCAACAACATGGAGAAACCCCATCTCTACTAAAAATACAAAATTAGCTGGGCATGGTGGCGCATGCCTGTAATTCCAGCTACTCGGTAGGCTGCAGCAGGAGAATCGCTTGAACCCGGGAGGCGGAGGCTGCGGTGAGCCAAGATCGTGCCATTGCACCCCAGCCTGGGCAACAAGTGCAAAACTCCGTCTCAAAAAAATAACATAAATAAAATTTAAAAATACAAATAAAATTGGCCCATGGAAAAAAAGGGCTTCTCCCTCAAGAAAACAGAGTGCTTCTGGGAATTAAAACACTAAATATCCCCTGTCATAAACACTCTTAAAGAAAATTAATTTTACTTTCAGAGCTTCATGAAATTTTAAGACTTTCCTCTTCTATCTGATCCCATTGCTAATATAAATTCTTTTAATCAGAAAATGTGTTTTTCCTTTCAAAATTAGGAAAGTAAAAAATACTAACCATCTTTACTTTAGTGTAGAGTCAATGAAGAGAAACAATAGAACTTTAGAGATTTAAAAGTACTTAGGGACCATGAAACTAGACCTCATGTTACAAACAAGAAAAATAACTGACATCCAGTCAGGCATGGTGGCTCATGCCTGTAATCCCAGCACTTTGGGAGGCCAAAGCTAGAAGATCACTTCAGGCTACGGGTTCGAGACCAACCTGGGCAAAAGAGTGAGTTCCCAACTCTACAAAAAATAAAAAACTTAGCCAGGCAAAGTGGTGCACGCCTATAGTCGTAGCTGTTTGGAAGGCTGAGGTGGAAGGATCCCTTGAGCTCAGAAGTTCGAAGTTACAGTGAGCTATAATTACACAACTGCACTCCAGCTTGGGTGACAGAACAAGACCCTGTCTTAAAAGAAAAAAGAAAAGTGTCTGACATCCAGTTCTCTTATTTGGACAATGCTCATTTAGTTTGATCAGGAATGCAATAAAGGAGGGAACTCTAATACCTGAATTAATATCTGCTAAACCAAATTTTTCTTTCAGTGTCTCAGGAATAAAAAGTAACACTGATTTTCTGGCTGCTTAACCAAATTCAAGCAATGCTAAAGCATGTTGTGGAAAACATGTACTAAAAATAACATTAGCAAATAACTTCAGAATTTAGCTTGAGTGAAATGAGTTCTGTAATGCTGAGCAATGGTAGTATTGTGTGGTCACTTACCAGTAAAAAGCAGAATAGTGTTAAGGGAGGGGGCTGGTTAGGAAAATCAAGTTCATGAACAACAATGCATCTAATCACTTCTGAAATATTTTAGACAGCAAAAAGAACAAAACCTATGCTCAGTGATAATGATATGATATTGCAGTGTGTTCTAATATTCAAAAAAAAGAGGAAACTCAGCTAAGCAACAAACAACACTGACAAAAGTATTTTAATATAGTATAAACACTGGGTACATTTATCTAACCATGTAATGGTTAATCTCCAAAATTTCTCAAATGTATCATTTGTATACTTTCAGGTAATGTTTAAAGAATGGGAAGTGGGTTCTAAACCACAGATGTAATATTAGCTAAATAAGTTTATATTAAATCTATTCTCACTTTTGAGGAAGACCAATTTTGCTTTAACCATAATTTTTATTATCTGTAGCCTTCTTTATCCCATATTACCCGAGGTAATCAATAATTAACTGTATTTCGCTTAGGATCCCAACACCATTGAGAAAATATTTGTTTTTGATTTTGTTTTTTGAAACAGGGTCTCAGTCTGTCACTCAGGCTGGAGTGCAGTGATGCAAACACAGCTCACTGCAGCCTCAGTCTCCTGGGCTTTAAGTGATCCTCCACCTCAGCCTCACCAGTAAGTAGCTGGGACTTCAGAGACACGCCCCCATGCTCAACTGTTTTTTTAATTTTTTTGTAGAGATGGGTTTCGCCATGTTGCCCATGCTGGTCTCGAACTTCTGGGCTCAAATGTTCCTCTTGCCGAAACCTCCCCAAGTGTTGGGATTACAGACATGGGCCACTGTGCCCATCCAATAACTGATATTTAAGTATACTCATTACAGTCTTTTCTCACCTCTTCTACCAGATGATCTTGCTCTTTTTGAAATGGATCACTTTTTTTAGCTGGCAAAGACCCTCCAAATGCACTACTCTCTGTATTCTTTGCAACATCTGATAATGGAGAATTTTCCACTTCAAATTCTGGTATTTTCTTAGAAATTGCTTCATTTTTTTCTTTGGGAGTTCCCATCTTTGTGTCCTGAAGAAGACAGATATGTAATGTTAAACCCTTAATAATCATGGCTGATCCTGAAGCTGTCTTCATTAGCAGTTCACTGGTTATCATGAACCTATAAAAGGTTGTTAATACTATTGTGAAATTGTATGTCACTGGCAGAATTAACTAATTCCAATATTCCCACTTAGCAATAAGGAATATAAGTAGATATGGTACAAAATGTACAAATAGTAGAAAATGTGAAATTAGAAATTAAATTTAACTGTGGTATCAACAAAAATAAATAATATTTTATAATTTAGTATGGTCCAGAATTAATTGAGACTTATTTTAAAATATACCTTTTCAAGTACTGTAACACTGTTTCTATCTGATGATGAAACTGACTGCGACAAGAAAGAGGCAGGGCTAAAAGGAAAAAAGACAACAAATCCAAGTTATAAGGAGAAAAGAATTCCATTCCCTTTACGAGTCTATTCTAAAATCTGTCTGCCCCGTATCTGTCCGTTACGATTTCACTCAATTCGTCCCGGTCATCAAAAGGCAGTTTATTCTAGGGAGGCATGGTGACAAGTAGAGCAGTATTTCAGCCCAATTTGTGTATCAGCCTCCCAATTATGAAGACTTTACTTACCACATACTGAGTCAACAATATTTTGATTTGAAAGAGTTAAGTGACTTAATGAATACTCCACAACTTGAACACAGGTTAAAAACAGATTCAATTAACTAGAACTGCATTATTACAATGTCACAGGTTCCAAATCACAGTTTCTTTGTAGCAGATCCTTTATTTTATTTTTTTTTTTTTTGAGACGGAGTTTCGCTCTTGTTGCCCAGGCTAGAGTGCAATGGCGCGATCTTGGCTCACCACGACCTCCGCCTCCCAGGTTCAAGCGATTCTCCTGCCTCAGCCTCCTGAGTAGCTGGAATTACAGGCATGCGCCACAACACCTGAGTAATTTTGTCTTTTTAGTAGAGATGGGCTTTCTCCATGTGAGTCAGGCTGGTCTCAAACTCCCGACCTCAGGTGATCCGCCCACCTTGGCCTCCCAAAGTCCTAGGATTACAGGTGTGAGCCACCACACCTGGCCCAGCAGACTTATTTTTAAGATTCTCTTGATACTTCATATCCAAAATCAATTTCTCATATGCTAAATTTTACTCTATAGCAAACATGTTACAGTTTCACAGTAATGTCATAAGGTCAGAGTTTTAGTTTGCCACATTCTGTTGTATTTGTTAATCTTTTGTATTCCCTTGCCCTTTTGGATAAATATTAAAATTTATGCAGCTTTTCATGCTAATTATAAAATGTTATTAAATTCTAAAATCTTCAAAGAAATGGTAACTTTTTTACTTTGGTCTTAAAAACCTTTAAAAGTTAAAAGCCTAAAGCTTTTCTACTCTAGTTACTATAAGACAGGATTATCAAAGACTGCTTTCAACAGCATGCATGTTGGTACTTTCCTTTCTTCTTATAACTAGAAGTACAAAATTAATAGCACTGCAAATATTTTATATCATAGTAAATGTAATTTTCAAACTTTTTCAAATATGCACTCTTAGAGTCTTTGCCTACGTTCCAAACATAATTCAAAATCACTGCAATCACTCAAGCTTCAACGTAGCATTGACAAAATATAATCCAGATATCAAAGGCAAAGAATTGATCATCTACTAGATTTTGAGGGAAACTTAACATTAAAATTATCAAAAAGCCCCCTGAAACAGAGCCAGCAATCTATGGACCAATGCCACTAAGGTGCCACCACCACAAGAAGGTAAGGACAAAGGCTATGTCTTTCCCTAAGGCTATTCCCAGAGGCTAACACAGTGGTTGGTAGTGCAATACATACATGTTAACTATTTGATGGATTGATGGAATCGATGAGTAAATGCCACTTGAGAATGGGGTTCTATAGGTGACAAGTGTTTCCATTTGAATGATTCTTGTGGAACCTTATAGCAGAGAACAATGGAAACATTCTGTACCCTCCCCTCTCTCATTTCTGAACTGGCAACATGCTATTAAACCTGCTAACATCATAATCTAAGACAAGTTTAAAGCAGCCCTGGCTCAGTCTTTATACTTCGTCCATTTGCCATGCCAAGATTGAGGCCTATGAAATCCTAGCACTGTAACAAAACAGAAGGATGGTGATCCCCTTGTGGAAATTTATCCTAAGGGAAGAACAGAGAGAAAAAAGAGGAACACACTTTTTATAGTAGTAAAAAATAAAATTGAGAGAAAATTCAAGTCTACAAATAAATGTAGTGTTACAAAGCTATTATCAATGAAAATTGGTTAATATGTTATTTAAACATACAGACAGCCAAAAAAAAATCACAACCGTTTATACTATGTTAATGTTTTAAAATTTTGGGCTGGGCGCGGTGGCTCACGCCTGTAATCCCACCACTTTGGGAGGCTGAGGCAAGCGGATCACCTGAGGTCAGGAGTTGAAGACCAGCCTCGCCAACATGATGAAACCCCATATCTACTAAAAATACAAAAATTAGCCAGGTGTGGTCATGGGCGCCTGTAATCCCAGCTACTCGGGAGGCTGAAGCAAGAGAATCGCTTGAACCCAGGAGGCAGCAGTTGCAGTGAGCCGAGATCGTGCCATTGCACTCCAGCCTGGGCAACAGGAACGAAACTCCGCCTCAAAAATAAATTAATGAATAAAATTTTGTACTTTAGAATTCTGCATTTTAAAATTTGTATTTAGATTGTATCCATCCTTTGATCACAGCCAAAAATTTTTTTTTTTTTTTTTTGAGACAGACTCTCACTCTGTCGCCCACACTGGAGTGCAGTGGCGGGATCCTGGCTCACTGCAACCTCCGCCTCCTGGGTTCAAGCACTTCTCCTGCCCCAGCCTCCTGAGTAGCTGGAATTACAGGTGCCGACCACCACACCTGGCTAATTTTTGTAGTTTTAATAGGGACAGGGTTTCACCATGTTGGCCAGGCTGTTCTCAAACTCCTGACCTCAGGTGATCTGCCTGCCTCAGCATCCCAAAGTGCTGGGATTACAGGCATGAGCCACCATGCCCAGCTAGAGCTAAATTTATATATCGTGGTATACAAAGCCTAGATAAGAACTTGGCGGGGCGGGGGAGGGAGTTACAAGTGATTCCTTAAAAACTTTAACCAATTATTTCTCATTTTTATTTGTTGCTGTTGTTATACCAATAATTAGGAGAAAAATAAAAATAGAAACTATAAAAAGAGAAAGATATGAGACTAGAATTCAATTTCTAACACAAATGACATTTAGCTGGCACGTATGCAAGATCATACTGCCCTCCTTATCTTTGAAATGTGGTATAGGAGAAAACATAGAAGTTAGATGTCTAGAACAACAGCATCATTACCGTTAGAAATATCATGGAACTCCCCCCCACACACACAAACACAAAAAGCCATTGCAAAGAATGCTAATGCTCACAGTGTACAGCAAAGGCATCACCAATTGCTGAATTCTGGTTTTAAGTATAATGCAGCCTCTCGCTCTGATCAGAACCAGAAATGGAAGCCAGGCAAGGTGGCTCACGTCTGAAACCCTAGCATTTTGGGAGGTCGGGGTGGGAGGATCACCTGAGCTCAGAAGTTTGAGACCAGCCTGGGCAACATAGTGAGACCTCATCTCTACAAAAAAAAAAAAAAAAAAAAAATTTAATTAGCTGGGTGTGGAGGTGCATGCCTGCACTCCTAGCTACTTGGGTAGCTGAGATGGGAGGATCACTTGAGCCCAGGAGATCAAGGCTGCAGTGAGCTATGACTGCACCACTGCACTCCTGCCTGGGTAGCAGAGCAAGTCCCTTCTCAAAAAAAAAAAAAGCCAGCAATGAGATTTATGGAAAAGACTACATATCTTTTGGTATCCATGAATGACAACTGCATGTGATAGGGCTGATAACACTCTCTAAAAACTACATTCTTTCCATGCTTTTTTAGTTGAATAGTTATATTGATCATATCCACATATGAATTTCCCAGTTAACTACATTATTACTGATAAAAGATGATGTATTGCAGATAAAATAGTGTAATTGCTGAACTACATGCAAAAAAGGTATTATCTTCTTTCATTAAGTACAGTCCACCTATGTTACATATTACTGATGGAACATGTAACTACATATACCTTTAACAGTGAAGAATTCTGAGCAGACTACTTCCACGTCCCAGAAACTTAGCTTTTCACAGGCCTTCTGTTTTATTCTGATATCTAGCAATGATAATCTTTTATATCCCATTAACCATTTATCCCTCACCACCAGGCCTTCCCCTACCTCCCTTCAGTATTTCAAATCTATAATTAAAATAATCAGAATATAACTAAAAGATTCAGGAGCTTAGAAGAAGACAGATGTGGAAATCAAAGTATATCTAATAGACCTTCTTTTTCCTATATTAAGAGTTTCCATTTGAACTAAATTCTTAGGGGTTGAGTTTCTGGCTCTTACAGAATTCTGATAGTATCTTGGTACAAAATTCTTCAAAAAGAATTTTGTTTTTCTTTTTCAGATAGAGTTTCACTCTTGTTGTCCAGGCTGGAGTGCAATGGTGCAACCTCGGCTCGCCGCAACCTCCGCCACCTGGGTTCAAGCAATTCTCCTGTCTCAGCCTCCCAAGTAAGTAGTTGGGATTATAAGCATGCGCCACCACACCCAGCTAATTTTTTGTATTTTAAGTAGAGACGGGGTTTCACCATGTTGGTCAGGCTAGTCTCGAACTCCTGACCTCAGGTGAGCCACCCACCTCAGCCTCCTAAAGTGCTGGGATTACAGGCATGAGCCACCGCACCTGGCCCCCCAAAAAAAAAAGTTATCTTGAGGTTTAATGGGGTTCATGAATAAAATCTGCTATATATATTAATCTAGTATCCCTATCAATCTTTAGTCCAGCAAAACACCTTAATCAAAATATTTAGTTTGCTCCCTCAAGGAAGACAAATCGAAAACATAACTGAGTTTGGGAAGCACCAACCATACCCTCCCCTAGCCTGCCATAAAAAGAACTGTGATATGAGTGTAAAATGGGTAGGCCAGTAACTTTACTATCTCTTAACACCAGGTCCTCAGAGAAGATTTCATTATTTTTCTTTAGGCACTCAAAAAATTAACATCAAATCCAGATAGACTAAAATATGGTTCTTCCACAACTAGTCCTGACTGCCTGTGAACTAGATTACAGGTCCTCAGAGAAGATTTCATTATTTTTCTTTAGGCACTCAAAAAATTAACATCAAATCCAGATAGACTAAAATATGGTTCTTCCACAACTAGTCCTGACTGCCTGTGAACTAGATTACTGCAGAACCAATTACCAATAACTCAATTTTACAAAAAAAGTTTTAACTCTGGTTAGTGTTACAGCTTATTAACTTACTAAGATGGCATAGAATGATGAGTGCTTCATTTAAAATTTAGGATTTTCCTTTATAATTTTCCTAAGTATTTTATTTTCATCTGTCCCTCATCTACTTGGGGAAGTTGTAATGAAAGACACCTATTTAGGTTAAAAAACAATTAAAAAAAAAAAAACTAATAAAGGAAAGTTTCGTGTTTGATTGCTACTTAATAATGTTTAATTTCAATGAAGAACTAATATGTTCCCCAATCGGATTACATACATTTAGTTCACAGATTTTTTGCTCATATAATCTGTAATTAGTCCAAAATGGGATAATAGAGAAAAAAAAAGGCAATAAAGAAAATAGGAATATTACTGGAGGAAGTTAGAACAAAATCCAGTTTTTTCATATGTTAAATCTGGTGGTTATAGTAAATCAGAAGTTGTCCAATTTTTTTTTAAGCATGGAACTCTTCTTATCGAATAGTTTACCAAACACCACAATATATAACATATATAAAAGAGCAAGTTGCCCAAGGCTAAAGTGGGAAAAGGCTGGACCAGCCACGGGTTATGTTAGATACATCCACAGCACCAAATGGCACTATAGGATGTAGTCTGAAAACTATCTGGACAAGATGATCTCAAAGGCCCCCAAACACTTGAACTTAGTTTCAAAAAAGTTCACATACATAAAAAGGCAAAAACTCTCAAATTTGCATTAGATAATTTCCAAATAATCCCCATGAAACTCAATATTTAGATAAAGAATAGAAGAGGAAAAAATGCCCATGTATCATAAATGTTGGATCTTTTCTGAAAATGTGGGTCTATGGTAGAAAAATATTGTCCAGTTAAAAGGGCAAAATTGGCCGGGTGCGGTGGCTCACATCTGTAATCACAGCACTTTGGGAGGCCAAGGCGGGTAGATCACCTGAGATCAGGAGTTCGAGACCAGCCTGGCCAACATGGTGAAACCTCATCTCTACTAAAAATACAAAAATTACCCAAGTGTGGTGGCAGGCGCTTGTAATGCCAGCTACTTAGGAGGTAGCCTGAACCCAGGAGGGGAACTATTTGAACCCAGGAGGCGGGGATGTTGCAGTGAGCCAAAATCGTGCCATTGCACTCCAGCCTAGGAAACAAGAGCAAGACTCCATTTCAAAAAAAAACAAAAGGCAAAATTATGCACTATCCCAGAGTAAATAAGATTGGAAACTGGTTTAAGATGGGAATAAAATTAATATATAAAAAAATCAATATAAAAATCAAATTTGGGTCAGGCACAGGAGGTTATGACCATAATCCCAGCACTTTGGGAGGCCCCGGCAGGAGGATCACTTGAGGCCAAGAGTTAAAGACTAGCCTCTGCAACCCAGAAAGACCACACCTTTTGTTTTTCCTTTTAGTACAGACAGGGTCTTGCTATGCCTGTACTGGTCTAGAACTCCTGGGCTCAAGCGATCTTCCCACCTCAGCCTCCCAAAGTGCTAGGATTACAGGAGTGAGCCACTACATCCAGTGATTGGTGCGTTTTTACAATCCTCTTGTAATACAGAAAAGTTCTCCAACTCCCCAACAGACCCAGAAGTCCAGCTGGCTTCACCTCTCAGTTCCATCTCTATTTTTTATAAAATAAGAGTTTTTTAATGTTTAACAAAAGAAAATCAAATTTGTTTTACCTGTTGGCTAGATCATGTAGCGCTCCCAAGGTATCACTGTCTCCTCTGCAACCATTTTCTTGGTTATGTTGCTTATGTGCATCTAAAGAAATTTAAAAATTGGTTACTCTTTAATTATGTTTGTACATTCTAACATTCAAGGATTCCTTGAAATTCGAGAACAACTTGTAAACAGAAGAAAACAGAAAAACCAAAATATGAACACTAATAGGAAAACATAATTATTCAATTGATAAGTATAAAGTGATGAGCAGAAAAGTAATAGAGAACATCTAGCTTTTATAAAAGAAATGATGGCTAATACTAAAACAAGTTACTCAAAGACTAAGAATCCATAATTCCCCAGTGTTATATGCTTCATGTTTACATACACAGATCATGAGATTATCACAAAAGCCAGCAAGGCCAAAAAGTTACAGTCTTAGCATATTTCAGTGCACATTTATGGTATCAGTCAACCTATATATTTATTCTTCAACCTATGACTGAATAACTACATGCTACTACCATACCAACAATGGAAGAAAGAAATGAAAGATGGAAATGTTGCCTCCGAAGAGTCAGTCTAGGAAAGGATAGTGATGAGTCAAGTGTTATGTTATACTTCTACAGTATTATGACAGAAGTATATACAGAATTTAAGGAGGCAGAGGACAGACATCCAGCCCAGACTGCAGAGTGGGAAGAAGGCATGAAGGTACTGAGAGAACGAGGTACAAGTTGCTATGATGGAGCACAGGGTACATCCAGTGGAAGCATGGTGGGAAATAAGATTGGTAGAGAAAGCCATGACTGGATTACAGAAGATCTGATATTCCAAGGGCTCGACCTCTTTCATCATGTTACCTTCTGAAAGGCTTTCCCCATTTGTACATGTCCAAGTGGAACAGAAGCCATAATGAAAGATGACACCATGAAAAACAGGCAGTTACAGAAAAGAAGTAAGGATTACAGAGGTAAAAAGTATATACCTATGACTACTAAATACTAGACAGACAGGTCAAAAAGCAGATTAAACATAACTAAAAGATAAATCAGTGAGTTATAGGAGGTATCTAAAGAAAATACCTAGAATGAAGCCATGAGATACAAAAAAGTTGTAAATATGAATGAGAAGTTAAAAGATATGAAAGACAGAATTAGAAGTCCCAACAATAGGAGTTTCAGAAGGAAAGGATCAAAAGAATAAGAGATAAAGTAATATTTTAAGAGATATTGGTGAATAAGTTTCTAAACTGAAGATATGAGCTTTCAGAATAAATAAGCACACACAAATCCCAAATAGGCTAAATAAAACAAAACTACATTTAGATATATCCCAGTGAACCTGCATAATACAAAAGAAAAATATTTTCTTTTTTTTTTTTTTTTTTTGAGACAGGGTCTTGCTTTGTCACCCAGGCTGACTGCAGTACCACAATCATGGCTCACTACAGCCTCGACTTCCTGGGCTCAAGCGATCCTCCCACCTCAGCCTCAAAAGTAACTGGGGCCACAGGTGCATGACACCATGCCCAGCTAATTTTTTGTGTTTTTTTATAGAGACAGGGTTTCACTTTATTGCCCAGGTTGGTCTCCTAGGCTCAAGCAATCCTCCTGCCTCAGGCTCCCAAAGTGCTGGGATTACAGGCGTGAGCCACCACGCCCAGCCAAAGAAAAACCTTAAAAGCAACCAGAAATCAAAAATTAACTAACTATAAATGGGCCGAGCCCAGTGGCTCATGCCTGTAATCCCAACACTTTGGGAGGCCAAGGTGGGCGGATCACCTAAGGTCAGGAGTTTGAGACCAGCCTGGCCCCGTCTCTACTAAAAATACAAAAATCAGCTGGGCATGGTGGCACATGCCTGTAATCCCAGCTACTTGGAAGCTTGAACTAGGGGAAGCGCTTGAACCCAAGAGGCAGAGGTTGCAGTGAGTGGAAATCATGCCATTGCACTCCAGCCTGGGCAACAACAGTGAAACTCCCTCTCAAAAAAAAAAAAGAAAAGAAAAATTAACTAACTACAAATGGGCCAGGTACGATGACTAACACCTGTAATCTCAGCACTTTGGGAGGCCAAGGCGGGCAGATCACTTGAGGTCAGTAGTTCAAGACCAACCTGTTCAACATGGTGAAACCCCGTCTCTACTAAAAATACAAAAATTAGCCAGGTGTGATGGCACACGCCAGGAATCCCAGCTACATGGGAAGCTTAGGCAGAAGAATTGCTTGAACCCGGGAGGCAGAGGTTGCAGTGAGCTGAGATTGTGCCACTACACTCAAGCCTGGGTAATAAAGACTCTGTCTCAAAAAAAAAAAAAAATTAACTACAAATGAATGACAAGTAGACCAAGAGCAAACAGCCTCAAAAACAACAGAAAACAACGAGATTATATCATGGAAGTCTGAAAGACAAATAAATGTCAATCTAGAATTCTATATCCAACTAAACTATCATTCAAAAATGAGTGCAAATGAAGACATTTTCAAAGAAAGAACGAGAATTTTACTATTCAGAGTCCAAGAACTAAGCATATACTTTGAGATACACTTCTCAAAAGGAGAAGAACAAAAGAATAGACCAAAAAAGTCATTAATCGTGTTGCTCAATTTAAACATAGTAATTGTTAAAAACAATTTCTATCAATGTCATTAAAAAAAGACAGGCATTATTCTAGAATAAAAGTTACTAAGAAAATAAAACAATCACATGTAATGAACTAACCCTCCCTGGATCCTTGTTTGAAAAATACAAACATTAACAAAGAACCTTTTGGAAGATAATAAAAAATTTTCATTTATAAACTTTAAAAAAGAGGAAGAACAATATTACATATTGTTTATAGGTCTATACATATGTAATAAATTTATTTTATAAACATACATCAGAATAAAGATTAGATTCAGAATAGTGATTACCTCTGTGAAATCAGTAAGGAAGGTGAAGAAAGGTGGATATCCAAGGATTAACTACATATGTACCTTTTAAAAAACCTAAAGTGAATATTGCAAACCTTTGCCAAAAAAAGGTGTTTAATAAACAAGTATTTATAATATTATTCTCTGTACTTTTAAATATGCTGAAATATAATTCTAAAAAACATTTTTAAAGTAAATTAAGTAAGATGCAATATGTAAGGTATAGGAAGGCGGAAAAGGTTGTTTTACCACAAAAAATATAATGTTGAAGTAGCCCAGCTCAGATCAAGGTTCTATACTAGGAAAAAAAAAAAGGACTCCCAAGAGTACAACTTCCAACTGGACTTCCTAAACGGACACATTTTCCCTCAGTATAAAGGCAAGTAGAGAAACCTCCAAATGGACATGAGAATTTCATAGATTCGAAGGGGTAAACTAATCCTGGCAAGAGTGCAAAAGCCCTTTCCCAACTGAAATGAAAACACAACACAACCCTAAGAGCTCTGTTGACTAGTGGATCTCCAAAAAAAAAAAAAAGAGAGAAATAATTCAAAAATAAAAAATAAAAATAAAAGAGATAAAAACAAAGCCAAGAGCTATCAAAAGAATTCTACCATAATTAAGGACTGTCCAAAGCCACCATGGAACCAGGATGCTCTATCTGAAGCTCCCCCTCATTTATCAAACAATGCAGCCTTTTATTTTTTTAAGAGACAGGGTCTCATGCTCACTTCAGCTGCACATATATTAAAATTGGAACAATACAGAGATTAACATGGCCCCTGAGCATGCATAACACTAATTTTTAATTTAAAATAAAAGTTTAAGTTAAAATTTAAGAAAAAGGGCCAGGTACGGTGGCTCACACCTGTAATCCCAGCACTTTGGGAGGCTAGGCAGGCGGAATGGCTGAGCTCAGGAGTTTGAGACCAGCCTGGGCAACACGGTGAAACCCTGTCTCTACTAAAATATAAAAAATTAGCCAGGCATGGCAGAGTGTGCCTGTAATCCCAGCTACTGGGGAGGCTGAGGCAGGAGAATTGCTTGAACCCGGGAGGCGAAGGTTGCAATGAGCCGAGATCGCACCACTGCACTCCAACCTGGATGACAGTGAGATTCTGTCTCAAAAAAAAATCAAAAAAATTTAAGAAAAAGAGAAAGAAGAGAGAGAGGGTCTTACTCTGTTGTCCAGGCTAGAGCATTGTGCAGTGGAGCAGTAATAGATCATTGCAGCCTTGAACTCCCGGGCTCAAATGATTCTCCTGCCTCAGCCTCCTGAATAGCTAGGACTACAGACACACACCACCAGGCCTGGCTAATTTTTCATTTTTTTGTAGAGAATGGGTCTCACTATGTTGTCCAGGCTGGTCTCGAACTCCTGGGCTTAAGCAATCTTCCACCCTAGGCTTCCCAAAGTGCCAGGATTATAGGTGTGAGCTGCTATGCCCAGCCCTATGCAGACTTTTCTATGTCTTCTCTTCTGGTTGCACCTAAACTGAGCCTTGCTCTCTGGTCTATAATCTTTCCCAACCAGTGTCCTCCCCAAATACACCTGACTCTCAAACCAATTACCTATCCCAGTGATTAAGTCCTGTGCTAACTGCTGTCATGACCTTTCACCTAACTGAACTACAGCCTACAACTATTACCTGCTCCAGTTTGGCTATAAAATTTGTTTTTTATTCATTCATTCCTTATCTATCCTCTATTTACAGAACCTAATTGTCTTGTACACATGTGCTAATTAACACAGGTTAATTATTGTACTATTCTTTCATGTTAAAAAAAATTGTGAGCTTCCACAAAAAACCTGTACAGAATGTTTATAGAAGCATTACTCATAATAGTCAAAAGGTGAAAACAACCCAAATGTCCATCAACAGATGAATGGATAAACAAAATGTGGTAGAGGATACAATGGCATGTATTCATAGAAAAGGAATGTAATACTGACTGATACATGCCACAACTTAGATGAACTTTGAAAACGCTATGCTAAGTGAAAGAAGCCAGTCACAAAAGTCTATATATGATATGATTCCATCCATATGAAAATCCAGAACAGGGAAATCTGGAGACAGAAAATATCTTCATAATTGCTTTGAACTGGAGAAGTGAAGGGGGATTGGGGGGTGATAGCTAAAGGGTATGAGGTTTCTTTTTCAAGTGATGAAAATGTTTACAATTGTGATGATGGTTGCACATATTTGTGAATTTAGCAAAAAGCAAGAAATTGTACATTTTCAATGGGTGAATTGTATATGTGAATTATATCTCAACAAATCTGATTTTTAAAAATTGAACGCTGATACATGCTACAAGATGTAAAAAACTTGAAAATACTGCACATGTGGTGCCTCACACCTATAATCCCAGCACTTTGGGAGGCCAAGGAAGGAGAATTGCTTGGAATCAGTTTGAGAAAACATTGTGCAAAGTTAAAAACAGTGCAAGTGAAAGAAGCCAGAAACAACAGGACTCATATTATATGACTTCATTTATATGAAATATCCAGAACAGACAAATACATAGAGATAAGAAGTACATTAATGGGCCAGGCACAGTGGCTCACACCTATAATCCCAGCACTTTGGGAGGCCAAGGCGGGCGGATCATTCGAGGTCAGGAGCTCAAGACCAGCCTGGCCAACATGGTGAAACTCCGTCTCTACTAAAAATACAAAAAAAATTAGCCAGGTGTGGTGGCGCATACCTGTGATCCCAGCTCCTCAGGAGGCTGAGGCAAGATGGTTAATTGCTTGAACCCAAGGTAGAGGTTGCAGTGAGCTGAGATTGCGCCACTGCACTCCAGCCTGGGCAACAGAGCAAGACTCCATCTCGGAAAAAAAAAAAAAAAAAAACACAAGTACATTACTGGCTGCCAGGGACTAGCGGGGAAAATGGAAGTGACTGATTAGTGGGTTAGAGGGTTTTTTTGAGATGATGAAAATATTCTGGGGGCTGGGCTCAGTGGCTCATGCCTGTAATCCCAGCACTTTGGGAGGCTGAGACGGGTCAATCATTTGAGCCCAGGAGTTCAAGATCAGCCCGGGCAACATGGTGAAATCCCATTTCTACAAAAAAAAAAAAATATAAAAATTAGACGGGTGTGGTGTCCCAGCCACATGAGAGGCTGAGGTGGGAGGATCACTTGAGCCTGGGGTGGTCAAGGCTACAGTGAGCTGAGATTGTTCGACTGCACTCCAGCTTGGGCAACAAAGTGAGACCCTGTCTCAAAAAAAAATAAAAGAAAAAGTTCAAGAACTAGATAGTGATGATGACTGCACAACATTGTAAATGTACTAAATGCCACTGAGTTATATACTTTGCAATAACTGAAATTGTGAATTTTATGTTACATGCATTTCACCACAATAAAAAAAAATGGAGGAAAAAGATAAGGAATTTAAAGAACTATTATTATAATGAAAAAGAATGACAGGAAGGAGGTTTCAAAGAGAAAAAAATAAATAAATAACCAACCTGGAAGTGAAGCAGGATACTGACAAAGAATACTCTTTGCATACACTTCTTCTGAGGCAGGATCAAACGAAAGGGGAGACATTGGTGGTAAAAGATCTACAGACTTAAAACAGAAAATTCACAATTTTGAAGTAAACATATTTGCTAACTACCACAATAACAATACTGAGTTAATCTATGAATAGATTATCTTCTCAATAAGAAAGTCAGAATTACCAAGAATGTATCAGATAACTATTTTTATTTATTTATTTTTCTTAAAGACAGGGTCTCAGTCCCTCGCCTAGGCTAAAGAGCAGTGACATTATCATAGCTCACTGCAGCCTCAAACTCCTGGACTTAAGCAGTCCTCCCACTTCAGCCTCTCGAGTAGCTAGGCCTGCAGAGACACACCACAACACCCAGTTTTGGGGGTTGTTTTTGGTAGAGATAAGGTCTCACCATGTTGTCCAGGCTGGTCTCCAATTCCTGGCCTCAAATGATCCTCCTGCCTCTGCCTCCCAAAACAGTGGGATGACATGTGTGAGCCACCACGCCCAGCCCTATAACTATTTTTAAAGCAGAGTACAACATTAGGAGCAAGGGGGATTACTTAGTCCTTGAATTTCTCAAACATCATAGTACCTCACATCAAGAGGAGTCTTGTTTTCTGGCTGGGCACAGTGGCTCACGCCCATAATCCCAGCACTTTGGGAGGCAGAGGCAGGTGGATCACCTGAAGTCAGGTATTCGAGACCAGCCTGGCCAACGTGGTAAAACCCCATCTCTACTGAAAATAGAAAAATTAGCCGAGCGTGGTGGCGGGCACCTTTAGTCCCGGCTACTTGGGAGGCCGAGGCAGTAGAACCACTTGAACCTCGAAGGCAGAGGCTGCAGTGAGCTGAGATCGTGCCACTGCACTCCAGCCTGGGCAATAGAGCAAGACTCTGTCTCAAAAAATAATAATAATAATTGTTTTCTTTTTCATACAATCCTTCGAATCTAAAAATATTAACTCTAAATAACAGCAACTTATGGATATTATATTATATATACATTTAGAAAAATTACAGAAACCATAACATAGAAACTTTAGACTCAAATGAAAGATGACATACATACAACATTTCTAGGTCATTTGTAACACAATAAATTCACAAATTGCCATATATGAAACTATTCTCCAAAAGGCAAATTGGCTGAGTGTAGTGGCTCATGCCTGTAATCCCAGTACTTTGGGGAGGCCGAGGCAGGAAGATCCCTTGAGCCCAGGAGTTTGAGACCAGCCTTGGCAATATAGGGAGACCCTATCTATAAAATTAAAGAAAAAATTAGCCAGGCTTGGTGGTGCAAACCTGTAGTCCCAGCTACTCAGAAGGCTGAGGTGGGAGGATTGCTTGAGCCCGGAAGTTCAAGGTTACAACAAGCTATGATCATGCCACCGTACTCCAGCCAGCTATGATCGTGCCACTGTACTCCAGCCAGCTATGATCGTGCCACTCTACTCCAGCCTGGGCAACAGAGCAAGACACTGTCTCAAAAAAAAAAAAAAAGGTGGGTGGCGGGGAGGGCAGGGGCAAGTCAACATTACTTACTGGAGTCCAACCTTTAATTAGACTGAAAGGAGACAAACCAAGAAATTCTTTCCACTTTTTATGCCATTCTCCTTGCTTTTCAACAACAGAATGTCTTATAGTTGTGAGATCATCTTTTATTCTATACCTATAATAGCATAAAAAAACTTTATTCAAAAGATGATACAAAAAAAGCACTGAGTAAAATTTAAGAAAATAACAATAGTTGTAGAGAAGTGGAAGGAAATAGAAGTGAAAGTTCAATCAATATACCACATATAAATTAAATAAACTCTCACAGGTGAATATTCAGAACCTAAAATACCTTTCTCTTTTTATGACCATAAAGAAGGCCGGGGGCAGTGTCTCATGCCTGTAATCCCAGCAGTTTGGGAGGCCAAGGCAGGTGGATCACCTGAGGTCAGGAGTTCAAGACCAGCCTGGCCAATGTGGTGAAACCTCATCTCTATGAAAAATACAAAAATTAGCCGGGCGTAGGGGTGGGTGCCTGTAATTTCAGCTACTAAGGAGGCTGAGGTAGGAGAATCGCTTGAACCCAGGAGGCAGAGGTTGCAGTGAGCCGAGATCGTGCCATTGCACTCCATGCACTCCAGCCTGGGAGACAAGAGTAAAACTCCGTCTCAAAAATAAAAAATAAATAAATAAATAAATAATTTTAAAAAATTAGTTTAAAAAAAAAAAAAAAAGACCAGAAAGAGGCCGGGTATGGTGGCTCACACCTATAATCCCAGAACTTTGGGAGGCTGAGGCAGGTGGATCACATGAGGTCAGGAGTTCAAGACCAGCCTGACCAAAATGGTGAAACCCTGTCTCTACTGAAAAATAATAATAATACAAAATTGGCTGGACATGGTGGCATGCACCTGTAATCCCAGCTACTCAACAAGCTGAGGCAGGAGAATCACTTGAAATCAGGAGGCAGACGTTGCAGAAAGCCGAGATTGCGCTATTGTGCTCCAGCCTAGGCAAAAAGAGGGAAATGCCGTCTCAAAAAAAAAAAAAAAAATACACGAAACAATAATACATCTATTACTCCATTTTATTATTTTTTTTTCTTTTTTTTTTTTTATTGAGATGGAGTCTCACTCTGTCACCCAGGCTGGAGGAGTGCAATGGTGCAATCTCAGCTCACTGCAACCTCTGCCTCCCAGGTTCAAGTGATTCTCCTGCCTCTGCCTACTAAGTAGCTGGGATTACAGGCGCACGCCACCACGCCTGGCTAATTGTGTCTTTTTGGTAGGGACGCAGTTTCCCCATATTGGCCAGAATGGTCTTGAACTTCTGACCTGAGGTGATCCACCTGCCTCAGTCTCCCAAAGTGCTGGGATTACAAGTGTGAGCCACCATGCCCAGCTACTCCATTTATTTTTAAGATAGAAGTTTTTCCTTGCTCTAAACTTGAGTAGAACTTTCACTCCCACTCTCTGTCCATTCCTATAAGCAGCCCATACTTTCTATTCTTTCTGGTTAATAAAAAAACTGTTCGAAAGGCTGAGGCAGGCGGATCACCTGAGGTCAGGAGTTCAAGACCAGCCTGGCCAACATGGTGAAACCCCATCCCTACTAAAAATACAAAAATTAGCCAGGCGTGATGGCGCGTGCCTGTAATCTCAGCTACTCGGGAGTCTGAGGCAGGAGAATCGCATGAACCCGGGAGATCACACCATTGCACTCTAGCCTGGGCAACAGAGCAAGACTCTGTCTCAAAAAAAAAAGGGGCCTGGCTTGGTGGCTCACGCCTGTAATCCCAGCACTTTGGGAGGCCGAGGCAGGTGGATCATCTGAGGTCGGGAGTTCGAGACCAGCCTGACCAACATGGAGAAAACCCATCTCTACTAAAAATACAAAATTAGCCAGGCGTGGTGGCACATGCCTGTAATCGCAGCTACTCAAGAGGCTGAGGCAGGAGAATCACTTGAACTCAGGAGGCAGGGGTTGTGGTGAGCCAAGATCGCGCCATTGCACTCTAGCCTGGGCAACGAGAGCGAAACTCCGTCTCAAAAAAAAAAAAAAAAAAAAAAAAACTTTCCTAAGGTTTTAAGATTAGACCCAACAAAAGAAAACTACAGAAAAGCTAAAATTATTTCACAAAAAAATTATTCAGGGCAAATCATTTATTCCATTAATTTTCCTTTTCCTTTCTGCTTCATGTATATCTCCAAGAGTTGATTATGTAAGATTTTTGAGTATTAGAATTCTCATACTTGTTTGCCAAAGCTGAAGAGCTATTAAACTTATACAAGTTTTGTTGAGAAAACCACCCTACTCCTCCCACAGTAAAATAACAGATCTTTTTAGTGTACCTCATATGTTTCAGATCTGATAATCTTTCCTTCTGAAATTTGGTCTCTTTTTCAAGGTAGTGAAGGTCTACCGTCAATCTTGCTTGATCAGCCTGACAACGTTCATATTTCATCACCTTCAAGACTTCATTTAATAACTGAATAACTGTTAAGAGGTTCAGTTTTCCAGCCTCATAAACATTTCCTATGTGCAACTAAGGAATCAGGAGGAGAAAAAAATTGGTGAACTATAGGTTGTTACAACAAACTATTACATAAAAATATTTATGTTTTTTACTATTAAAGTTTACCTTAAAGAAGAGGGAAAGGCCAGACGCAACGGCTCACACCTGTAATCCCAGCACTCTGGGAGTTGGGGGTGGTGGGGGCGGATCACCTGAGGTCGGGAGTTCGAGACCAGCCTGACCAACATGGAGAAACCCTGTCTCTACTAAAAATACAAAATTAGCTGGGCGTGGTGGCACATGCCTGTAATCACAGCTACTCCAGAGGCTGAGGCAGGAGAATCGCTTGAACCCAAGAGGCAGAGGTTGCAGTGAGCCGAGATTGTGCCATTGTACTCCAGCCTGGGCAATAAGAGTGAAACTCCATCTCAAACAAACAAACAAAAAAAAAAGCGGGGGGAAAAAAATCAAATACCCCCAAACATAAAATGACGTAAATAATTTTGGCCCAGTGAAAACTACTAGGAAAGAGTAACATGCCTTGCTACATTTTTTGCTACATTTTTATATTACACAAAAGGTTGAAAACTAGAATAAAAGAAATGTTAATAGATGGAAAGAAAAATAAAGATTGAGCAGAAACAGCAGGTTTAGTGAAAAGACCATAAATTCATTTTTTAACAGAAGTTACAAATCAATGACCCCTAAAGGCTGTATCTGTACTTAAATATGTTTCTTTGGCTTGCACATTTCTATGTCTTAAAATCATTTGAATTAGTTGCCAATTTTTTAATTTTAATTTTAATTTTTTTTTTTGAGGCAGAATCCCACTCTGTCTCCCAGGCTGGGTGCAGTGGCTCAATCTTGGCTCATTGCAGCCTCCGACCCAAGCATTCAAGCGATCCTCCCACCTCAGCCTCCCAAGTAGCTGGGACTACAGATGTGCACCACCATGCCCAGCTAATTTTTGTATTTTTAGTAGAGACAGGGTTTCATCATGTTGGCCAGGCTGGTCTCAATACCTGACCGCAAGTGATCTACCCTCCTCAGCTTCCCAAAGTGTTGGGATTATAGGTGTGAGCCACCATACCCAGACAGTTTCCAATACTTTTTAAATCATAGATTTCACACAAAAATTATGGGCCAGGCACACTGGCTCACGCCTGTAATCCCAGCACTTTGGGGGCCGAGGCAAGAGGATCATTTGAGGTCAGGAGCTCTAAGCCGGCCTGGCCAACATGGTGAAACCCCGTCTCTACTAAAGAAGTGTCTCTCTTCAGAGAGTCACAACAATATTTTATCTTTGTATCTCTCCAGTATATAATAGATGCTTGATGAATTGTGTTTTCTAAGAAAACAAAAAAGTAAGCTATCCAGATAATGTCCCATAAGCAAGTGGAAATAACTGGATGGAGTTTGGGTTGATGAGGAGAGACTGCTGAAGTCATGAAATTGGTAAGAAAATACAAATACATTTATAATGACGGAAAGAAAAAGAGGGCATTAAAAGAACCATGGAGAACATTATTTAATGTTGCTTTACAAGCAACACTTAACAGCATCAAGATAAAACACAAACCAGGGGATGGAGACTTTTTAAAAGGACATTTGGCAATTAGGAGATCACTGTTGTTGCCTTTGAGAATTTATAATGAACTAGTACAGTATCATCTTCCTACTAAGAAACTTCATACTGTCTGTACTATATGATGTAGTACTGTACAGGTAAGGGGCAATTAATAAAAGTGAATATAAATATACACACCTTTAACAGTATCACTCCTTATGAAAGTTTTACTAAACACACTCATAGAAATAAATTCTGGCCGGGTGCGGTGGCTCACGCCTGTAATCCCAGCACTTTGGGAGGCCAAGGTGGGTGGATCACCTGAGGTCAGGAGCTCGAGACCAGCCTGACCAACATGGAGAAACCCCGTCTACTAAAAATACAAAATTAGCTGGGTGTGGTGGCACATGCCTGTAATCCCAGCTACTCGGGAGGCTGAGGCAGGAGAATCTCTTGAACCTGGGAGGCGGAGGTTGCAGTGAGCTGAAACCACGCCACGCCATTGCACTCCAGCCTGGGCAATAAGAGCAAAATTCTGTCTCAAAAAAAAAACAAAAAACAAAAAACAAAAAACAAATTCTGAAAGCAGAAGAACATTGCAAGAAAATATACAATTACATGATAGGAGTTTTCTCAAAAGCTTCCTTAATATCAAATGCTTACCTGAAACATTTGTTTCTCAATTTTGTCAAGTAAGAGCCTTGGAATATTAATAGCAACATTAGTTCCATCTAAAGCATATTGGTTAACAAGACTAAGGACCGAACTAACAACTTCTCTCTCTTTTTCCAAAAACATGAGCGTTTCATTCACTGAAGCCCACAAAGACCGAACCTTTGGAAACAGAAACAAAATATTAAAGTCCACACATAATCTGTACATATTTTAAAAATGTAAATGTATGTTCACTCTTAGTAACAAATTTCCTAGAATGATTTCTAGTAAGAAAATTAAATAATTATACTTTAATAGTTTAAAAGTCCCTTTGGATATTATTTCCAAAGGGAATTTTTAAAAAAATGTATCAGGAGAATCTAGCTCACTATAATTTTCAAACAAATCTAAGAATTTTTTTGTTTTCAGAGATGGGGTCTTACTATGTTGCCCAGGCCAGACTCAAACTCCTGGGCTCAAGCAATCTTCCCACATCAGCCTCCCAAGTAGCTGGGACTACAGGCACGCACCACTGCACCCAGCTCCAAATCTAAGAAATCTTATACAAGATACAATTAGCATTTTCTATATGCTGACATGTAATTAATCGAATGAAGATCATTCAGGGAGAAATAATTTTAAAAATTTTTCAAGAGAAGCCGGGCGCAGTGGCTCACGTCTGTAATCCCAGCCCTTTGGGAGGCCGAGGCAAGCAGATCACGAGGTCAGGAGATAGAGACCATCCTGGCTAACACGGTGAAACCCCGTCTCTAATAAAAATACAAAAACTTAGCCAGGCGTGGTGGCAGGTGCCTGTAATCCCAGCTACTCGGGAGGCTGAGGCAGAAGAATGGTGTGAACCCGGCAGGCGGAGCTTGCAGTAAGCCAAGATCGCGCCACTGCACTCCAGCCTAGGGGACAGAGCAAGACTCCATCTCAAAAAAAAAAAAAAAATTTTTTTTCAAGAGAAAAAAACTACTACATCTCAATTTTAAGTCATTCAGTTTGAGGAAGTTAAAGTGTAAAAAATTATGCCTCATTAAAAGCAAAAAATCTTAGGCATATACTAATCTATATTCATTAAAATTGATATACAAGAATATTTAGGCACGCACAGTGGCGCATACCTGTAATCCCAGCTACTCAGAAGGCTGAGGTAAAAGGATCCCTTAAGCCCAGGATCCTTGCAAAAAAAAAAAAAAAAAGAATACTCATAGAATGTCTATTTGTAACAATCAAAAAGTAGAATCAATCCAAAGGTCCATCCAGAGTAAAAAGGGTACATTGGTGCTATATTCATAAAATAGAACACTAAGCAGCAATGAGAATAAACATACTACAATTACACACAACAGCATGGATAAATATCATAAACAATGTTGAGCCAAAGTCAGACACAAAAGAATATATTCTATATACTGGCATTTATATGAAGTTCAAAAACAGGCAAAACTAATCTTTAGTGTAACATGTGAGGGCACTGTTTCCCCGTGGGGGCAAACAGTGTAAACTAAACAGGTTCAAGGAGGATTCTAGGGTGCTGGTAACATCCTATTCCTTAAATGATGATGGTTACATGGACTTGTTCACTTTGTGAAAATTTGTCAAGCTATATACTTATGAGTTACACATTTCTTGTATATATGTTATGCATTAACAGAATTTACAAAAGAGGGAGGGAGGTGGAGAAATATAATTATACACATGTTCTTCCTGCACGATAAAAATACAATATTAAATATCTCTAATTAGTTCACTTTTTTTCTTTTTTCTTTTTTTTTTTTTTTGAAACAAGGTCTCACTCTGTCACCCAGGCTGGAGTGCAGTGGCACAATCTTGGCTCACTGCAACCTCTGCCTCCCAGGTTCAAGTGATTCTTGTGCCTCAGTCACCCAAATAGCTGGGACTACAGGTGAGTACCACCACACCAGACTACTTTTTTATTTTTGGTAGAGACAGGGTTTCACCATGTTGGCCAGGCTGGCCTCAAACTCCTGGCCTCAAGTGATCCAACCATATCGGCCTCCCAAAGTGCTCACAGGCGTGAGCCACTGTACCCCCGCCTCTTTTTTTTTTCTTTTTTAAGACGGGTCTCGCTCTGTTGCCCAGGCTACAGTCCACTGGCACAACCAGAGCACACTGCAGCCTTGAGCTCCTGGGCTCAAACAATCCTCCTGCCTCAGCCTCCTGAGTAGGTGAAACTATAGGTGTGTGCCACCCTAAATATCTCTGACATGTTGTATGGCAAGGTAAAGTTGTTCCCAAAGGAAGACTCATTGGCTAGCAGTCTAGAGGTCTCACAGAATGGCATTTCCTTGATGAATCTGTAATTGTCCAGGATCTGGTTCTCATATTTTCCAAGTCTAGATTTTTATCTTGACAATGGCTCAAAGTTGACTGTACTCAGGGAAAACAAATATGAACCAAACTCAGAAGAGACTGATGTGAAAACTTTAATAGGTTCTGCAAATTATTTTAATTATATAATTTGCAATCAGAGATTCATTAAATGGAAAATTCCATGAAGGAAGTGACTTTGCCTTGCCTGTTCTCCTCATTGTTGTAGCCCTAATGTCTACGAGATACCTAGCACATATCAGATGATCAATACATTCACTGAATAAAAATATTTCCTGAAGAGGGCGCTAACCTTTACAGGTGACAATGTGCCTTGGAAGCCAAATTTATACCCACAGCAGCTTGGCATGGCAATCACAGAATCACAACAAAGAGCTTGAGAGAGATTTTATCCAAAAAAAAAAAAAAAGAAAACCTAAGAAAATACTTAACTCACATCAAAGCCAAACTCTGGAGGCCTCAGATCATTTTCATTTGTCAGAATCCTCCCTCCTGCCAAACCAGACTCATTTTGATTCCTCATTTTCCTTTCATACTTAACATCTCCCTTCAGTTAATCCATTTTATTTAGATAAATTAATACCACTGACTAGGTTATACTACAATCAAGCAGAGCTTTTTGTACTGGGGTGGAGAATTTCAAATTAATCATGTCTAAAAACCCTTTTGAATATAATTAAGCTTATGAACTATAAGTTCATTTTTCCATTATATTCAAGTGTTTTAGAGGCACTCTATCAATATCTTTATATATACAACCTATGAGTTTTAAAAAAAAAAAAAGTAATAGTACTATAAAAAGAAAGGGGACCGGGCGCAGTGGCTCATGCCTGTAATCCCAGCACTTTGGGAGACTGAGGCGGGCAGATCACCTGAGGTCAGGAGTTCAAGACCAGCTTGGCCAACATGGCGAAACCCTATCTCTACAAAAATACAAAAATCAGCTGCACATATTGGCACACACCTGTAATCCCACCTACTAGGGAGGCTGAGGCAGGAGAATTGCTTGAACCCAGGAGGTGGAGGTTGCAGTGAGCTGAGACCACGCCACTGCACTCCAGCCTGGGAGAGTGAGACTCCATCTCAAAAGGGGGAGGGGAGGGGGAAGGGGAAGGGAGGCTGGGCGCGGTGGCTCATGCCTGTAATCCCAGCACTTTGGGAGGCCAAGGCATGCAGATCATCTGAGCTCAAGAGTTCAAGACCAGCCTGGCCAACATGGTGAAACTCTATCTCTACTAAAAACACAAAATTAGCCAGGCGTGGTGGCGCATGCTTGTAATCCCAGCTACTTAGGAGGCTGAGGCAACAGAATCACTTGAACTCAAGAGGCAGAGGGTGTAGTGAGCCAAAATCATGCCACTGCACTCCAGCCTGGGCAACAGAGCGAGACTCCAACTCCAAAAAAAAAAAAAAAAAGTGGTAAATAGACTATAAGAGTCCCACTAATTAAGCAAACACTGCGTATCACAGAATTTTAAAAGATTAAATTTCTCCTTTTATAAGTTGTCTCACCTTTTGAATTTTTTCTTCCATATTACTGTGGTCATCATAGGGTTCCATTCTAATAAAAATTAAATAATCTAATTAGTCATATTAAAAATCACATGGTAATTTAATATCCAAAGAGCTAATTAGTCTGCAAATCAACCCACCAACAACCACCCCAACAAAAAATAAAATTTAATCTGAAAGCGATAATAATTTATTAGGAAAACTGGATTAGCAGTCATAACTATGCTCTAATCCTATCATCATCTGGCTATTGATATATTATTTTAATTAATGTTTGTGGGAGTCTGTTTCCTAGCCTGTAAAATGCAAGAGCTAAACTAGTATCTAAGGCAACTTCTAGCTCTAAAAGTCACTTACTTCTTTATTTGGTTTTCCAATCCTATACATTCAGATCTCAAGTTTCGTACCTGCTTAACTGATAATCTGCAAGAAAACATACAAAATGACAACTATAATACCATTACGATTAATTAGTATAGCCCACTTCTCTATTTTCCCTTTGCATATCCTTGTTTAAGGCCTCTGGGTACAGCCACCAGCAAGCTAAAGGACTCTAGACTCTCTTTATCACACAAGTGATTCAACATACAGGCTCCTATTGAGATGGACCTAGGACTCATAGGTTAGTATATCCTCTCCGATTAAAATGATGGAGGTTAGTAAGACGACTCTGCTCTTATCCTCATCTCACATACCCAGGAATAAATTTAAATGTTATCTAATACAGTCAGGCAACATTTCAGTTAATTTCAAAGGATTCTATAGCTTTAGTAATATATAACAAAGCATTCTACAAAGTTATCCTACTGTAACTGTTTACAATTGCAAAAAAGAAATTAGGCCAGGTGCAATGGCTCACACCTGTAATGCCTATATTTTGGGAGGCTGAGGCAGGAATGTGGCTTCAGGCCAGGAGTTTGAGACCAGCCTGGCTACAAAGCAAGACCCTGTCTCTACAAAAAAATTTAAAAATTAGCTGGGTGTGGTAGAACACGCCTGTACTCCCAGCTACAGTGGGAAGATCACTTGAGCCCAGGAGGTCAAGGCTGCCGTGAGTCATAATCATGCCACTGCACTCTAGTCTAGCTAAGCAACAGAGCAAGACCTTGTCTCAAAAAAAAAAAAAAAAAAAAAAAAACCACATGCACACACAATTATATACAACCTATTCTTTGAGAGTAACAGCCTTGTCTGTCCTGTTTAATTCTGTAATATCAATGCCTAAACAGTATCTGACACATAGAAGAAACTCCAAGAAAAAAAGATATGCTGCATAGATGAACCTAAACATAAAATAGCATTAAGTGGTTTAAAAAAATGATGGACTACCTACCTGAAAGAATATCTGCTTAATGAAATATCCACTAACAGGACTAATAGACATTAAAAGTAATACACTGGTAGGGTACAGTGGCTCACGCCTATAATCCCAGCACTTTGGGAGGCTGAGGCGGGTGGATCA
Organism: Homo sapiens; assembly: GCF_000001405.40. Taxonomy (NCBI): domain Eukaryota; kingdom Metazoa; phylum Chordata; class Mammalia; order Primates; family Hominidae; genus Homo; species Homo sapiens. The sequence continues at coordinate 19,088,196 of NC_000009.12, forward strand.
CCTGAGGTCAGGAGTTCGAGACCAGCTTGGCCAACATGGCGAAACCCCTTCTCTACTAAAAAATACAAAAATTAGCTAGGCATGGTAGCATGCACCTGTAATCCCAATTACTCGGGAGGCTGAGGCAGGAGAATTGCTTGAACCTGGGAGGTGGAGGTTGCAGTGAGCCGAGATTGTGACACTGCGCTCCAGCCAGGGCAACAGAGTGAGACTCCGTCTCAAAAAAAAAAAAAAATAGTAATACACTATGGCAATATGCAAAAATTTACAGAATGAAATAGCAAGACAAAAAAGGATACGAAATAAAATAAACACTACAATTACAACTTTAAAATATATTTCCATATTTTACAAAGCACATAAGAAAACTGAACTTTTTAAACTAAAGTGGGCCGGGCACAGTGGCTCATGCCTGCAATCCCAGCACTTTGGGAGGCCAAGGCAGGCGGATCACTTGAGGTCAGGAGTTCGAGACCAGCATGGTCAACATGGCAAAACCCGGTCGCTACTATAAATACAAAAAAAAAAAAAAATGAGCCAGGCGTGGTGGCAGGCGCCTGTAATCTCAGCTACTCAGGAGCCTGAGGCAGGAGAATCGTTTGAACCCAGAAGGTGGAGGTTGCAGTGAGCCAAGATTGCACTACTGCACTCAAGCCTGGGCAACACAGCGAGACTCCATCCCAAAATAAATAAATAAATAAGTAAAGTGATCTTTTCTTTTTCCCTAAAGTTTTAAAATATTTTAGGCAGAAGTTATCTGACTATAGCCAGCCACAGTGGCTCATGTCTGTAATCTCAGCACTTTGGGAGGCTGAGATGGGCAGAATACGTGAGCTCAGAAGTTTGAGATCAGTCTAGGCAACATGGTGAAACCCCGTCTCTATTAAAAATACAAAAATTAGCTGGGCATGGTGGCCTGCGCCAATAATCCCAGGTACTCTGGAGGCTGAGGTGGGAGGATGACTTAAGCCTAGGAAGCAGAGGCTGCAGTGAGCCGACATCGCGCCACTGCATTCCAGCCTAGGAGCCTGGGTGACAGAACCAGACCCTGTCTCAGATAGGGAAAAAAAAAAAGAAGAAGAAGTTATCTGACTTTAAAATAGAAAGATAACCGCCAAGGTTTTCAGGTAGGCATGGATTATTTCTCCTGACATTATATTGGTGACATCTGTTCAAAAGAAAGAAATTATTTTCTAACTATCAAGGTACTACTTACTGTGCATTTTCCTGATATTTTTGGGTAACACAATCTTGTCTTTGCAAAATTTGTAAAAATCTGCTACGTGCGAAATGGCATCTGGCAATGCATTTGTGCAAGTCCTGTGGTTTTATGTTAAATGTCTCTACAAAATGATGAGAAGAATCTACACAGAACACAAATAAGATTATAGAAAACAGGCTGGTCTGATAGTAGTGGGTTATCAGAAATGAACATTAGTGTCACTAACGTTGGTGGTATACAATCTCCCACTGCTAAATCTGATTGACTTTTAAAAAAAGGAAAACAGACTTACAAGCTAATAAATACCAAAAATGTTGAATTTCAATATTAAGAAATTAAATTAACATCACGTAACTAACAACTCCCCAAAAGCTAGTATACCACAAACATATAACAACTAATGTTTTGTTTTGGTATTTTGGGTTGTTTTTTTGAGACAGGGTCTCACTCTATTGCCCAGGCTGGAGTGCAGTGGCACAAGCATAGGTCACTGCAGCCTCAACCTTCCGGGTTCAAGCAATCCTCTCACCTCAGCCTCCAGAGTAGCTGAGACTACAAGCACGCACCACCATGCCCAGCTAGTTTTTTTTTTATTATTTTTTGTAGAGACTGGGTCTGAAGGTGTTGCCCAGGCTAGTCTTGAACTCCAGGACTCAAGGGATCCTCCTGTCTCAGTCTCCCAGAGTGCTGGGATTACAGGCCACCACATTCAGCCTGACACAACTAATGTTAATGAAAGTAAGATGACCTTTTTTTAAGGCAGGCAACTAAAAAAGATTTCTAAAGGCGAGTTATTTTACACAATTAAAAATTTTCAGAGTGTATCCACCTAAAAAAATTCTTATTATAATTTGAGATATCTAGAAATACATTTATATCCGTAATAGTGTATTTATTTATAGATACCTCAAATTATAATAAGAGCTACTTTGCTTCCAAACAGAATCTTTTCTTTTTCTTTTTTTGAGACGGAGTCTCCCTCAGTCACCCAGGCTGAAATGCAGTGGCGTGATCTCGGCTCACTGCAACCTCCGCCTCCAGGGTTCACGCCATTCTCCTGCCTCAGCCTCCCAAGTAGCTGGGACTACAGGTGCCCGCCACCACGCCCGGCTAATTTTTTGTAATTTTAGTAGAGACGGGTTTCACCCTGTTAGCCAGGATGATCTTGATCTCCTGGCCTCATGATCCGCCCGCCCTGACCTCCCAAAGTGCTGGGATTATAGGCGTGAGCCACCTCGCCCAGCCATAGAATCTTTTAACAAAGGAAGAAAGTCAATATAAAAAGATAAGAGGAGATCACATCATCTCCATTGCTGCCATCAGTTTACTTTTCCTCCTAGTAAGACCAATAGGACAGGATAACCAAATAAAACCACTGTTCATTTCTCAAACAATTCGTCACTGTGTTACTAAAAACCAGAGTAGACCTGAGAATAACTCATGTAAATATTTCAGAGTTCAGGTTTTTACCTGTAATAAATCCTACTTTAACATGGTTCAATACAACAAAAACATGAATATTCTGAAAATCAGGGACTTCCACAATGTATTAACATTGCTTATCCAGGTTCTAGCATTGCCTCAGAGAAACCACCAGAATTGGCCGGGCGCAGTGGCTCAGGCCTGTAATCCCAGCACTTTGGGAGGCCGAGGCGGGTGGATCACAAGGTCAGGAGTTCGAGACCAGCCTGGCCAACATAATGATACCCCATCTATACTAAAAATACAAAAAAATTAGCAGGCATGGTGGCGCATGCCTGTAGTCCCAGCTACTCGGAAGGCTGAAGCAGTAGAATCGCTTGAACCCGGGAAGTGGATGTTGCAGTAAGCCGAGATCGCGCCACCGCACTCCAGCTTGGGCAACAGAGTGAGACTTCGTCTGCGAAAAAAAAAAAAAGAAACCACCAAAATTTCTAAATATTTAACAGGAAATGAGTGTACCGAATTTAGAAGTTATCTAGACTCTGAACACGTTGACTGGAATTGGTTTAAATCCAGAAATAGGACAATCCATGCTTAGAAGTCTTATGCCTTATTAAATCCAAACACACATATTTTATATAAAATAGTTTGTATTACATGTAATTGGGGCAGATCATCCAGTAGCAGAAAAACTGGAAACATTCTTATATTACATTTGTAATCCTAGCACTTTGGGAGGCCAAGGTGGCAGGATTACTTGAGACCAGGAGTTCGAATCAAAACCAGCCTGGGCAACATAGGGAGACCCACCCCATCTCTTAAAAAAAAATAAAACTTTTTTGAGACTGAGTCTGCTCTATCACCCAGGCTGGAATGCAGTGGTGCGATCTTGGCTCACTGCACCCTCTGCCTCCCAGGTTCAAGCGATTCTCGTGCCTCAGCCTCCCAAGTAGCTGGGATTACAGGTGCCCACCACCATGCCAGGTTCATTTTTGTATTTTCAGTAATGACAGGGTTTCACCATGTTGGCCAGGCTGGTGTCGAACTCCTGACCTCAAGTGATCTGCCTACCTCAGCCTCCCAAAGTCCTGGGATTACAGGCATGAGCCACCACACTCAGCCAAAAAATAAACATTTTTTTTTAAGTACAAATTGCTCTTAAACATGAAACAATTTTCAACCTCACTAATAAAAGAAATACAAATTAAAACTATACTGAGATTCCACTGGAACCTATCAGACTGAAAAGATTAAAATGTCTGGTCACATACGATGCTAATAAGCCTTTAGGAAAACAGACATTATCCATACAATAGTGATAAAAGTATCAGTTGTCGCCGGGCACGGTGGCTTATGCATGTAATCCCAGCACTTTAGGAGGCCAAGGCAGGAAGACTGCCTGAGCACAGGGGTTCAAGACCAGCCTGGGAAATATGGTGTAACCCTGGTATTAAAAAAAAAAAACAACAACAAAAGGCCTGGTGTGGTGTCTCATGCCTGTAATCCTAACACTTTGGTGTAATCCTAACACTTTGGGAGGCCGAGGCAGGCGGATCACCTGAGGTCGGGAGTTTGAGACCAGCCTGACCAACAGGGAGAAACCCCATCTCTACTAAAAATACAAAATTAGCCGGGTGTAGAAGTGCATGCCTGTAATCCCAGCTACTCCGGGGGCTGAGGCAGGAGAATCGCTTGAACCCAGGAGGCAGAGGTTGCGGTGAGCCAAGATCGCGCCATTGCACTCCAGCCTGGGCAACAAGAAAAAAAACTCCGTCTCGGAAAAAAAAAAAAAAAAAAAAAAAAGCCAGGCGCATTGGCTCATACCTGTAATCCCAACACTTTGGGAGGCCCAGGTGGGCAGATAATCTGAGGTCAGGAGTTCAAGACCAGCCTGGCTAACATGGTAAAACTCCATTTCTAATAAAAATACAAAAAATTAGCCAGTCATGGTGGCAGACACCTGTAATCCCAGCTACTCAGGAGGCTGAGGCAGGAAAATTGCTTGAACCTGGGAGGCAGAGGTTGGAGTGAGCCAAGATCACAGCATTGCACTCCAGCTTGAGCGAAACTGTGTCTCAAAAAAAAAAAAAAAAAGAAATGTTTCCCAACCCTTGTATTAGAACATAATAAAATAATATAAATAGTAACTGTGTTTATTATGAGAAGATTTTAAAGTACACTTCCAGTAGAATATTAACCATTTCCTTTTTGGGGTACATTAATGTTTTAACTTACCTTGATTTTACTAAGATCTCTTCACGATTTAAAAATTGTAAAGAACAATAAAAATTTAAGAATCAAAACAAAAAATCTTTTATAAGTTGAACTTACTTTTAGAATTGGATTTAATATATTTCATTGCAACAAATCTTGCAAAATGATACATCAGATGAATAAACTTAGGACCACCAGGAGAAAGAAATAGTGAACCAACAACTTGAGGAAAGCTACTTCCACATTCACCCTATGAAGAAAAGAAATAAGATGATTTGAAGACCTTGTTAACAATAACTCTTACATTTACATCACACTATTTTTGTTAAAGGGTGTGACAGTCTTGCAATAGAAGTCCCACATTTTCATAAGTACTATGCTATAGGTTGGCGTGGGGTTCCCTAGGACCTCTTCATAGCACAGTGGCTTGGACACATCCAACTGTGCAGCAGAGTGCAAAGCAAAGTGGGTAAGGCCCCCAGGCCACTGTCTCCTCATCACACTATTTTTGAAGCATAAAAGAATTTGATCAGGGCTGGGTGTGGTGGCTCATACCTGTAATCCCAGCATTTTGGGAGGCCGAGGCAGACGGATCACTGGAGGTCAGGAGTTCAAGACCAGCCTGGCCAACATGGTGAAACCCCGTCTCTACTGAAAATACAAAAGTTATCTGGGCATGGTAGTACATGGCTGTAATCCCAGCTACTCAGGAGGCTGAGATGGGAGAATCATTCGAACCTGGGAGACAGAGGTTGCAGTGAGCCAAGATTGCGCCATTGCACTCCAGCCTGGGTGACAGAAGAAGACTCTGTCTCAAAAAAAAGTAATAATAAAATAAAATAAAGAATTTGATCAGAATTATTCCTTTTAAACCACAAGTTACATGTTTTGGTTTTTCTAAACTCTACGTGGACCTGGTCAGAAAAAACAATTATAATGATACAGACACAATCATTGATACTATCTGGGCAAACAAACTAAAATAATATACGGTTGGAAAAGTTTTCTTTAAACAAAAACTGTGCTATAAACGCTCAGGAACTCTAAAGCCTATTTTCAGTACACCTGGCCAGCAAAGCTGGTTTCTTCGAAATATATAGAATCCCAACCAAAAACCATCAAAGAAGACTATTTTAACTAATATTTCCTTGCTTATACTGATAGCATTAAAGCATTAAAAGGATTTCACCTCTAAAAAGTTAAAGAGTTAAAGTAGTTTTTAACTTCTTAAAGTCTGTATCTTCTAACAAAAAGAATACTTACAGAAATCCTTTTTATCCATTCACAGCAATGTTTTCGGAATTCAGTGTCACTTTTTTGGTCAAATGGGGGCCAACAAAATCTGGAAAACAAAAATAAAAGCGTAAGGACTATGCACAACAATAGCCAAAAAAAAAAGCCTCAGCAAATTTTTTAAAAATCAAACTTATTTCTAATACCAGAAATATTAATGCATGGCCAAGCGCGGTGGCTCACACTTTTAATCCCAGCACTTTGGAAAGCCAATGCAGACAGATCACTTGAGGCCAGGAGTTTGAGACCAGCCTGGCCAACATGGAGAAATCCCGTCTCTATTAAAAATATAAAAATTAACTAGGCATAGTGGTGTGCGCCTATAGCCCCAGCTACTCGGGAGCTGAGGCACGAGTATTGCTTGAACCCAGGAGATGGAGTCTGCAGTGAGCCAAGATGGCACCACTGCACTGCAGCCTGGGTGACCCTGTCTCAAAAGAAAAAAAAACCATTAAAGTGAAATGAATTAAAGCTAACCTTCTTAGATAACAGCTAGAGAGACACCAACCTGTGAGAAATTTAATTTTTTTATTTATAAACATCTATAGGGTTGAGTTCTGTGTCATACAAATAACTAAAATGTATTAAATGAGGGAATGAACAGCTATAAAAATTGCTGAAAATCAGCTAAAGACAACAATCTCAATGGATCCACTGGACTAGTGCATAAAGACAATATAAATAAATTAGTAAATTAAGCCTGAAAAGAAATAGTAATCTTGCCAGAGAGAAACATAAACAGATATATATGAAGAAGAGAAAAAATGGCATACAAGATTATGACTCCTAGAGATAATCCTTATCATAACTGTGGGTGCTATTATTTTGTGGCTAAACAAGACAGAAAAACATTAAAAAGAGAAGTTTTGCTTCAACTTTGGTCAAAAATATTAGGGTTTAAAATTTACCTACTGCTTTCCTTTCACAGTCAGGCTTTTCCAAATTTTTATTCTGAGGCATAATTATTTAAGGCCTCATACCTTTTCTATAACTACATTCAGTATTCACAGAAAAAACTGAGCATGCATAGGAAACAAAAAGACTAAAAGGCTAGAATGTCAACAGTGATACTCCATGGTTGACGGGTTTCAAAACAATTTTTACATTTTCCTATATTTTCTGAATTACTTAAAATGAGCCATAATGTTGATAATCAGCAAAAAAAAAAAAAAATTAAAATCTGTTTTTATTTGGACAGAAGAAACCCTATACCTTAATAATAGGGAATTCCAAAAAATCATCCAAACATACCTATTATCCTGCATACTCAGAACTTTAAATAAAAGCAAAATATTGAAAATAGATTATCAAAAATGAAAATAATGCCCTAAGCGATAGACCTACTTGTTGCTTTTCTATATAAAAGATTGATGGTACAATATAAATATCAAAATAAATTTGAACACTTTTTTAGATAGCAGAAACACAAATCACATGCAAAATAACTTAGGACTGAGACTTGTGGGTGCTTACATTTTTATCTCCTTCTTAAACTAATATTCAATAGCATATAACAGTAGAGTAAATGTAATAGGAATGATTTTTGCCTAAAGCAATTGATGCTTTAATATATCAATGAAAAAAATAAGGATTTACAGATAGCCGTGTAGACAAAACAACACTGCCTATAGGAAAAGTAGTAAGGCACAGAGTACCGAGCAAAAAAAATTGGGCAAAATCAAGTTCATACGGATTGATATCATTTAATTGTTTTGCTAACAATAATTTGCTTAATTATTAAGACCGTAAATAAAATGTTAAGAAATCTATAAAAACTATATTACTTATAAAATACACAATGATTTTAAGATATGTACCAAAGAAAAAAATCACCCAGATTTATAAAGATTAAGTATTAAATGTATAAGACTCAAACCTGAATTTTGTAATATTCATTCAAAACAACAGTCAAAGGCCAAGTTGAAATTCTGGCTTATGCCGGGCGTGGTGGCTCACGCCTGTAATCACAGCGCTTTGGGAGGCCGAGGCAGGTGGATCACCTGAGGTCAGGAGTTTGAGACCAGCCTGACCAACAGGGTGAAACCCCAGCTCCAATAAAAATGCAAAACTTAGCTAGGCGTCGTGGCAGTCACCTATAATCCCAGCTACTCAGGATGCTGAGACAGGAGAATTTCTTGAACCCAGGAGGCAGAGGTTGCAGTGAGCCTAGATCACGCCACTGCACTCCAGCCTCGATGACGGAGTGAGACTCCGTCTCAAAAAAAAAAAAAAAAAAAAAAAAAGGAGAGAATTCTGGCTTGTATCAAAACGCTGTCCATTTTCAAATTTGGAAAGAAATTTAAGAAAATGAAATTATTTTTCCTTACTTGAAAACTTCTTTGGTGAGAGACTGGTCCAGAACTTGAAACAAAAAATAAGAAATTATATGAAAGGCATCACGGTTCAGCTTGTCAAACATGTTCCTAGTGGTTAAAAATGAAATAGAAATAGAAAAAGAAAAAGGTTAATAAGCTAAACATCATCAAAAGCTGAGTAAGACTTTGACACAAATTAATGTTTTCATTCTCTTCAGGAAGTCAAGGCAAATTAATTTTTCTCATTCATGTGTATTTTATAACCAGTAAGAAAAACATACAAGCTTTCATTTTCTAATTCTGAAAACACAGATTCAATATAAGACTGGCAGAACTGGCTTTAATGAAAACACTCTACAGAAAAGGAAGGAAAACCTATTTCAAGAGAAACATGCCTTATAATGGTAACAACCTACATTTACTGAATAACAATAAATAGCTAATATTTATTAAGAGTACATGTTAGACCTAAAACCATAAAAACCCTAGAAGAAAACCTAGGCAATACCATTCAGGACATAGGCATGGGCAAGGACTGCATGTCTAAAACACCAAAAGCAATGGCAACAAAAGCCAAAATTGACAAATGGGATCTAATTAAACTAAACAGCTTCTGCACAGCAAAAGAAACTGCCATCAGAGTGAACAGGCAACCTACGGAAAGGGAGAAAATTTTGCAACCTACTCATCTGACAAAGGGCTAATATCCAGAATCTAAAATGAACTCAAACAAATTTACAAGAAAAAAACAAACAACCCCATCAAAAAGTGGGTGAAGGATATGAACAGACACTTCTCAAAAGAAGACATTTATGCAGCCAAAAAACACATGAAAAAATGCTCATCATCACTGGCCATCAGAGAAATGCAAATCAAAACCACAATGAGATACCATCTCACACCAGTTAGAATGGGGATCATTAAAAAGTCAGGAAACAACAGGTGCTGGAAAGGATGTGGAGAAAGCACTGATTTGAAATATGTCACCTCACCCTAGAGTCCAGGGTCTTCACTACTAGATTTTTATTTCCAGAACCATCTTTATAACATAATGCTGGCAATAGTTTTTATTGTGCCAATTACCCTAATTAATCAAAACAAAGCCTAAAAAAAAAAAAAGTGAAAACAAAAATGAAAGAACACTAAACCCTTTAAGAAAATGTCACACAACTATAAGGAATCAAGAGTTAACTTAAACGGCAAAGCATGAAATTTCCTTCCAAAAAATCAAATCAAGTGAATTTCTGACTTAGGATTACTATTCTCTTGCGTAAGTTCCTATGCCTATCCATTTGTCAAACAACACTTTTGTCCTTAGAACATCTCTACTCTTCAAGTAACACAAATGAAGTTCCATCTATCCTACTTCCTTACCATCTCTCAAACCTGTTGTTTTTTCACAAAGTACCTTGTTCTCTTCTCTTTGACACTTATTGTAATTTGTAATAAGATATTTGTTGAAGATTTGTTCCATCGCTAGACTAAAATTCTGTAAGGGGTCGGGTGCAGCGGCTCACACCTGTAATCCCAGCATTTTGGGAGGCCAAGGCAGGCAGATCATGAGTCAAGAGATTGAGACCATCCTGGCCAACATGGCGAATCGCCATCTCCACTAAAAATACAAAAATTAGCTGGGCGTGGTGGCGTGCACCTGTAATCCCAGCTACTCAGGAGGCTGAGGCAGGAGAATCGCTTGAACCCAGGAGGCAGAGGTTGCAGTGAGCCAAGATCGCGCCACCGCACTCCAGCCTGGCAAAAGAGCAAGACTTCGTCTCAAAAAAAAAAAAAAAAAAATTATATAAGGGAAAATTTATATCTATTCTCTTCACCACTGTATAGCCAGGTCCAATACAGTGGTCAATAAATATTTGTTGAATGAACAAATAAATGAATCACCTCTTTTTATTCCTACTGCCACTTTAGTTCAGGCCTAAATAATTAACTGCAAAGCGCTTCTTCCCCTTCTATCTATTCTCTGTAATGCAACCATATGATTTTTCCAAACTGCAAACCTTTTGGGCAAATACCTTGGAATGGATTGTTGAGTCATACATTATGTTTAACATTTAAAAAAAGTGGAGCCGGGCCCGGTGGCTCACGCCTGTAATCCCAGCACTCTGGGAGGCCGAGGCAGGTGGATCACCTGAGGTCGGGAGTTCGAGACCAGCCTGACCAACATGGAGAAACCCCGTCTCTACTAAAAATACAAAATTAGCAGGGCATGGTGGCGCATGCCTAAAATCCCAGCTACTCCAGAGGCTGAGGCAGGAGAATCGCTTGAACCTGGGAGGCGGAGGTTGCGGTGAGGTCATGCCATTGCACTCCAGCCTGGGCAACAAGAGCAAAACTCCATCTCAAAAAAAAAAAAAAAAAGAAAAAAAGAAAAGTGGTCATACCACTACAGGGTCATAGAAACAAAAAAATCATAAACTGCAAACCAAAGAGAACGTATACGTATAAAATGTAAGTGAATAAAAAATAATGGGGTTTTTTTTGTTTGTTTTTTTGTGTTTTTTTTTTTTTGAGACGGAGTCTCGCTCTGTCCCCCAGGCTGGAGTGCAGCGGCGCGATCTCGGCTCACTGCAAGCTCTGCCTCCTGGGTTCACGCCATTCTCCTGCCTCAGCCTCCCGAATAGCTGCGACTACAGGCGCCCGCCAACACGCCCGGCTAATTTTTTGTATTTTTAGTAGAGATAGGGTTTCACCGTGTTAGCTAGGATGGTCTCAATTTCCTGACCTCGTGATCCGCCCATCTCGGCCTCCCAAAGTGCTGGAATTACAGGCGTGAGCCACCGCACCCGGCCTCTTTTTTGTTTTTAAGAGACAGGGTCTCACTCTTGTTACCCAGGCTGGAGTGCAGTGCTACCATCATAGCTCACTGTAGCCTCAAACTCCTGGGCTCAAGCAATACTCCCACCTTGCCCTCCCATAGCACAGGGATTAACAGGTGTGAACCACCATGCCTAGCCTAATTGCATTTTTAAGAGACAGGGTCTCACTATGTTGCCCAGGCTGGTCTCAAATTTCTGGCCTCAAGCAATCTCCCACCTCAGCCTTCTGAGTAGCTGGATTTACAAATGCATCGAGCAATTTTAAAAGTAACTTTGGCAGGGTGCAGTGGCTCATGTCTGTAATCCCAGCACTTTGGGAGGCTGACGCGGGAGGATCACTTAAGCCCAGAGGGTCAAGACCAGCCTCCACAACACAGTGAGAACCCATCTCTACAAAAAGAATAGAATTAAACTTAGCTGCCCAGGTGTGGTGGCTCAGGCCTATAATCCCAGCACTTTGGGAGGCCAAGGCAGGTGGATCACAAGGTCAGGAATTTAAGATTCCGCCTGGCTAAGATGGAGAAACCCGGTCTCTACTAAAAATACAAAAAAATTAGCCAGGCGTGGTGGCAGGCGCCTGTATTCCCAGCTACTCAGGAGGCTGAGGCAGAGAATTGCTTGAACCAGGGAGGCGGGGGTTGCAGTGAGTCCAGATCGCACCACTGCACTCCCGCCTGGGCGACAGAGCAAGACTCCATCTCAAAAAAAAAAGAATTAAAACTAGCCAGGCGTGGCAGCAGGCACCTGTAATTCCAGCTATTCGGGAGGCTGAAGTGGAAGGAAGGATCGCTTGAGCCCAGGAGATGGAGGCTGCAGTGAGCCACATTCAGGCCACTGCACTCCAGCCTGAGAGACAGAGCCAGACTATCTCAAAAAATAAAAACAAAAAAGTAAATTTAATGCCACATCCATGTTGAAAGCATTTAAAGTGGACATGTGTTACAAGATGGTGGATCCTGCAGAGAAAAGGGAATGCTTGTACTTTGTTGGTGGAATGTAAAGTAGTACAGCCATTATGGGAAACCATAGGCTCCTTAAAAAACTAAAAATAGAAGTACCCTATGATCCAGCAATCCCACTGCTGGGTATATATCCAAAAGGAAGGAGATCAGTATATGAAAGAGGCATCTGCACTCCCATGTTTAGTGACACATTATTCACAATAGTCGAGATACAGAATCAACCTAAGTTGAATGGATAAAGAAAACAGATGAATGGATAAAGAAATTGTGGTATATATACACAATGGAATATTATTCAGCCACACAAAAAGAAGAAAATCCTGTCATCTGCAGCAACATGGATGGGACTGGAGGTCATTATCTTAAGTAAAATAAACCAGGCACGGAAAGACAAATATCACATGTTCTCACATGTGAAAGCAAAAAAAGTGGACCTCATGGAGGTAGGGAGTAGAATGGTGGTTAACACAGTCTAGGAAAGGAAAAGGAGAGAAGGAGGGAGGAAGAGAAGTTGATTAATGGGTACAAATATACAGTTAGATAGAAGGAATAAGTTCTAGTGTTCAATAGTACATAAGTGAAACTATAGTTAAAAATAATTTATTGTGTATTTTAAAATAGCTAGAAAAGAACTGAAATGTTTCCAACACAAAGGAAAGATAAATGTTTGAGATGATGGCTATCCCATTTATCCTGATCTGATCCTTATACATTGTATAAGTGTATCAAAATATCAAAATTTTATATCCCCAAAATATGTACAACTATGAACATAAATAAAACAGGCCAGGCTCGGTGGCTCACATCTGTAATCCCAGCACTTGGAGTGGCCAAGGCGGGGGGATTGCTGGAGGCCAGGAGCTCAAGACCAGCCTGGGCAACATGCCGACCCTAGGCATGGTGCCACGCACCTGTAGTCCCAGCTACTCAGGAGGGTGAAGTGGGAGGATCGCCTGAGCCCAGGAGTTGGAGGCTGCAGTGAGCTGTGATCGCACAACTGCACTCCAGACTGGGCGACAGAGTGGGAGACCCTGTCTCAAAACAAAAAACAATGGCTCATATCTATAATCCCAGCACTTTGGAAGACCGAAGCAGGAGGATTGCTTGAGCCCAGGAATTTTGAGACCAGCCTGGGCAACATGGTTAGCTACTGTCTCTAAAATAATAATACTTTAAAAAAATAGAGGCCGGGCACGGTGGCTCACGCCTGTAATCCCAGCACTTTGGGAGGCCGAGGCAGGTGGATCATGAGCTCAGGAGATCGAGACCATCCTGGCCAACATGGTGAAACCCCGTCTCTACTAAAGATACAAAAATTGGTTGGGCGTGGTGGCAAGTGCCTGTAATCCCAGCTACTCGGGAGGCTGAGGCAGGAGAATCGCTTGAACCAGGGAGTTGGAGGGTGCAGTGAGCCGAGATCGTGCCACTGCACTCCAGCCTGGCAACAGAGGGAGACTCCATATGAAAGAAAAGAATTCCTCTTGGCCTACAGTGGGAATGATTAAATAGAGATACTGGCTAAAGTTGATAAAACAGAAGTGGAAAAAGTAGGGAAGGGGCTTTTACTTTCCATACTTTTCTTAAAAGGGTATTTGTTTTTAATACCCTTCTCCGTTGTTTTATGCTAACTCCAACATGCCTTACTAATTAAAAAATTAAAAATTATAAAATTAAACAACCACCTTCAAAGGCTCCCTTGAGTCCAAAAGGTGTTTTGTACATATGGTTCCCATGCTCTTCCACTACCACCCGCCATCCCTCCCACTACTTCACAGACCACCCCTCCACCACATAGGCAGAGTTAAGCTGCTCCTCCAGTCTTGCACTCTCCCCATCTGCAGACTTTTGCACTCCCCTACAGAGCGCTTCCGGCACTCTTGCATTATTTACTGTCTGTCTCTGCCCCTAGGCTGGCAGCAACTGGGAGTAGGAACTTTGGAGCCAATGCCTGGCACAGAGTAACTGCTCAACCAATTCTGATTAATCAACCTCCGGGGTCTACAAAAGGGGGAGTCCCCCGGCGTCCCCCGGTTCAGGCTCCCTCGCCCCGCCGGCCCCGGCCTCCTTACACTCCGAGGTGCGTGTGCGACACGATCTTTCCGCAGGCAATGGTTGCCGGGCCTGGCTCGAAGCCGAGCGCCTGCAGATACATCCAGAGATGCTCCTTCTCGAAAGCGGTGACCGAGGCCGAGCTCATCCTCGCGGTAGGCACGGTGGCTGCAAAGAAAGAAAGCGCAAGCCCAGGGGACTCGGAGGGCCCTCAAGATCCCTCCCTACGGTCAGCCTGAGGTCGCGGTGGTCCTTCCATTGCCAACGCCTGCTCCTTTCACGCCCAGAGCGATTTCGCCTCAAAGGGCCTCACAACCTCCGGGAAATTGAGTTTCTAACGGTATAGTGCGGCCACCACTGCCTCAGCGAAGCCACCACAAACCGAGACTCCCGCCCTTAAGGAAGAGCAGTGTGCGCCGGCGCCGCCAGGCGTCCGAGGGAGGAGGGACTTCCGGCAAAGACTATATCTCCCGCCATGCAATGCGTCCTTCTCTCCTCCCTTCCGGCCATGCCCAGCCAAGAAACTGCAAGACCCACCGGGCATTGCGCGGCCAGCGACTTGCTCTGCGCTTGCTTAACCGCTGTCGTGCCCAGATCCTCGGGCCTTCGGGTTTCTGATTCTTGGTTAGTGGGGTCCATTTGCTTGTGTATCCTAGTTGTTACGTCACAAAAAAGCCATAAATGGAGCACTATGCCTCGGTGTAGAGTTAAAGCATTGGTTCCATCCTCCGCTATGCTCACTGTGACTCTAATCAAGTCACGTAATCTCTGAGCCTCATTTCTGTCGTTAGCGAAATCTATGTCCTCAAATGCCGGATGTTCCTTTTCCTGCTTTAAATGAAATCTGGCTCTATACTCCCCTGCAGTCCTGCAGTCTTTTTTTTTTTTTTTTTTTTTTTTGAGACGGGGTTTCGCTCTTGTTGCTCAAGTTGGGGTGCAGTGACGCGATTTCGGCTCACTGCAACCTCCGCCTCCCGGGTTCAAGCGATTCTCCTGCCTCAGCCTCCCGAGTAGCTGGGATTAACAGGTGTCCGCCACCACGCCCGGCTAATTTTTTTGTATTTTTAATGGAGACGGGGTTTCACCATGTTGGCTGGCTGGTCTCGAACTCCTGACCTCAGGTTATCTGCCGGTCTTGGCCTCCCAAAGTGCTGGGATTACAGGCGTGAGCCACTGCGCCTGGCCGCCTGCAGTCCTCTTAATTTTTTTTTTTTTTTTTTTTTTTTTTTTGAGACGGAGTCTAGCTCTGTCTCCCAGGCTGGAGTGCAGTGGCGCAATCTCGGCTCACTGCAAGCTCCGCCTCCCAGGTTCACGCCATTCTCCTGCCTCAGCCTCCCGAGTAGCTGGGACTACAGGCTCCCACCACCACGCCGGGCTAATTTTTTGTATTTTTAGTAGAGACGGGGTTTCACCCTGTTAGCCAGGATGGTCTCGATCTCCTGACCTCGTGATCCGCCCTCCTCGGCCTCCCGAAGTGCTGGGATTATAGGCGTGAGCCACCGCACCCGGCCCGTCGTCTTAATTGACAGCTGTTGCCTACCACAAACCCCACTGACAACAGGGCCTGGAAGTGGATTGGGTAACCTGCTTTTAAGTCTCATTGCTACCTCTGGCAATGATTGTCTCCTGCCTCACTAAAATCACCTTAATAAAAGAGAGAGAGGCGGGGCACAGTGGCTCACGCCTATAATCCCAGCACTTTGGGAGGCCAAGGTGGGCGGATCACCTGAGGTGGGGAGTTCGAGACCAGCCTGACCAACATGTAGAAACCCCGTCTCTACTAAAAATACAAAATTAGCCGGGCGTGGTAGCGCATGCCTGTAATCCCAGCTCAGCTACTCGGGAGGCTGAGGCAGAAGAATCGCTTGAACCCGGGAGGCAGACGTTGCAGTGAGCCAAGATCCTTCCACTGCATTCCAGCCTGGGCGACAAAGTGAGACTCTGTCTCAAAAAAAAAAAAAAAAAAGAGGAGAGAGAGAGAGAGAAAGAAAGAAAAGCCACTAAGTTGCCCAGGCTGGGCTCGAACTCCTGGGCTCAAGCGACCTGCCCACCTTGACCTCCCAAGGAATGAGCCACCGTGCCCAGCCTAAAAGCACCTTTTGAAGTTTATGCTATCACCCATAGCTTTTCATTATGGAGGTCATCTGTAAGATCTCTGACTCCATTCTGGTGGTGCACGCCTGTGGTCCAGCTGCTCAGAAGGCTGAGGTGGGAAAATCACGTGGGCCCTGGGAGGCTGAGGCTGCAGTAAACTGTGATTGCACGACTGCACTTCAGCCTAGTGACAGAGCAAGACCCTTCTCAAAGCAAAAGAACAGCCACAAAAAAAAAATCTCTGACTCCTGTCGACAAAAAGAGTCAAAGTCTGTAAAATTGTTGCCGGAAAAAACAGAGTCCTGATCCAGACCCAAAGAGAAGGTTCTTGGATCTCGTGCAGGAAATAATTTGAGGTGAATCACAGAACACAATGAAGGAAGCAAGTTTATTGGAAACTACTCCGTTGAAGAGCGGAGCAACCTCAGAAAGCAGGCGGAGGAACACAAGGTCCTTTGTTACTGTCTCTGCTTGTAAGAAACTATAAAGAGCTGTGATTAAACTTGGAATGCGCAGATGTGCTCACTAAAGGTAGGGCTATTGTGCTTTCAGAGACCATTAATCTTTCAACCTAAGCTTGCTCATTAACGTCATCTTTAAGTAAAGTGGGCTGCTCTTTAGAACATCTGGACATTCTGCAGGCTTAGTGGGAGATGTCCTGTATGGCCATAAATATTCTGTAATTATAATTGGTGGCCAGCTTAGAATGTGGCTATTTTTAAACCATAAGCATTAATTTTATAGGAGCCTTGTAAGTGCCTAGCTACTTTAAGATGGAGTCACTCTAGTCATGTTTTATTAAACCAGAGGTCTGGTAAGCAGGGGTTCCTCTAACAGAATATTTAAAGAGGTTTATTCTGAGCCAAATATGAATGACCATGGCCTGAGGCACAGTCTCAAGAGTTCCTGAGAACATGTGCCCAAGATGATGGGGCTATAGCTTTGTTTTATACAGTTTTAGAGAGACATAAGACATCAATCAATACACGTGACGTATACATTGGTTCTGTACAGAAAGGTGAGGCAACTCAAAGTGGTGGGTTCAGGTCATAGGTGGACTCAAAGATTTTCTGATTGGGGCGGATGTGATGGCTCACACCTGTAATCTCTACACTTTGGGAGGCCGAGGCAGACGGATCACTTGAGGTCAGGAGTTTGAGACCAGCCTGGCCAACATGGTGAAACCCCATCTCTACTAAATATACAAACATTAGCCGGGCATGGTGGTGCGCACCTGTAATCCCAGCTACTCGGGAGGCTGAGGCAGGAAAATCGCTTGAACCCGAGAGGCTGAGATTGCAGTGAGCCGAGATCACACCACTGAACTCCAGCCTGGGCGACTGGGTGAGACTGTGTCTCAAAACAAAACAACAACAACAACAACAACAAAGATTTTATGATTGCCATTGGTTTAGAGTCAAGCTACTATCTAAAGACCTGGAATCCATAGAAAAGTTTCTAGGTCAAGATAAGTGGTTGTGGACACCAGGGTTAGTATGAAGTCTCATAGGTGGCCACCCAAAAGTACTAGAAGCTGGATGCGGTGGCTCACACCTATAATCCCAACACTTTGGGAGGCTGAGGCTGTGGATTGCTTCAGCCCAGGAGGCAGAGGTTTCAGTGAGCCCACATCATGCCACTGCACACCAGCCTGGGCAACAGAGCAAGACCCTGTCTCAGAAAAAAAAAAAAAATTTAGGCTAGACACAGCGGCTCACACCTGTAATCCTGCATTTTGAGAGGCCAAGGCAGGCAGATCACCTGAGGTCAAGAGTTCAAGACCAACCCAGCCAACATGGTGAAACCCCATCTCTACTAAAAAGACAAAAATTAGCTAGGCATGGTGGCAGACGCCTGTAGTCCCAGCTACTTGGGAGGCTAAGGCAGGAGAATCCCTTGAACCCAGGAGGCAGAGGTTGCAGTGAGCTGAGATCACATGCCACGCCACTGTACTCCAGCCTGGGTGACAGAGCAAGTATTGGATCCTCAGTTAATCTCTTCAGGATTGGGAGGGCCTGCCAGGGGAAAGATCTACTTATTTATTTATGAGACGGAGTCTCACTCTATCGCCCAGGCTGGAGTGCAGTGGCGCCATCTCTGCTCAGTGCAACGTCTGCCTCCTGGGTTCAAGTAATTCTCCTGCCTCAGCCTCCCAAGTAGCTGGGATTACAGGCATGCGCCACCATGCCCAGCTAATTTTTGTATTTTCAGTAGAGACGGGGTTTCACCGTGTTGGCCAGGCTGGTCTGGAACTCCAGACCTCAGGTGATCTGCCTGCCTCGGCCTCCCAAAGTGCTGAGATTACAGGCGTGAGCCACCAGCCAGCTTCTTTACAGATGTAGATTTCTCCCCATAAGCGACGACGTTGCAGGACCATTTCAAAATATAACAAAGAAACATATTTTGGGAAAAAATATTTTGATTTCCTTCTTTATCTGTCATGTGATATTATGCTAGTCAGGTTGGAAAGTAAGCTGGGTTATATAGGCTTCAACAAAACCCATCTGATGAGATTTTTATGGCTTGTAGGACATGACTCCCCAAGTTCTGTAGATAGGAATTTGGACAAGAAAGAAAAAAGATCAGAGTTTAGTTCTCACTCACTAGGCCTCATTCTAAGATTTGGCAGCTAGGCGCAGTGGCTCATGCCTGTAATCCCAGCACTTTGGGAGGCCAAGGCAGGAGGATCACTTGAGGCCAGGAATTCCAGGCTAGGCTGGTATTCTTCTGCCTCAGCCTCCTGAGTAGCTAGGATTACAGGCGTCCACCACCACACCTGACAAATTTTTGTATTTTTAGTAGAGACAGGGTTTCACCATGTTGGCCAGGCTGGTCTGGAGCTCCTGACCTCAAGTGATCTGCCCGCCTTGGCCTCCCAAAGTGTTGGGATTACAGACGTGAGCCACTGTGCCCAGCCTAATTTTTTAAGGTTTTTTGTTATAGAGAGAAGGTCTTACCATATTGCCCACACTGGTCTGGAACTCCTGGGCTCAAGTGATTCTCCCACCTTGGCCTCCCAAAGTGCTGGGATTCTAAGTGTGAGCCACTGCCCCCGGATTGCTTCTACAGTTTACTCCCTTAACTAATACTTTTTTTTTTTTTTTTTTTGAGATGGAGTCTCACTCTGCCACCCAAACTGGAGGGCGGTGGTGTGATCTTGGCTCACTGCAACCTCTGTCTCCTGGGTTCAAGCAATTCTCCTGCCTCAGCCTCCTGAGTAGCTGGGATTACAGGCCTGTGCCACCACAGCCCGGCTAATTTTTTTTTTTTTTTTTTTTTTTTGTATTTTTAGTAAAGACGGGGTTTCACCATGTTGGCCAGGCTGGTTTCAAACTCCTGACCTCAAGTGATCCACCCGCCTTGGCCTCCCAAAGTGCTGGGATTACAGGCAACTAATACTTAATGCGGCTCTGTGCCAGGCACTGCTTTATGCTTTTCACAAATGTTAACTATTTAATCTTCAGAGCAAACTTAGCCCTATTCCTGTTTTACTGATGAAAAAAATGAGGCATAGAGAAATTAAGTAACTTGCTGAAGGTCACACAGTAAGCAGCAGAGCCAGATTACAACCCAGAGTCTGAGCCCTTACCCATCATGCTATGCTTCCTCCCAGGTGACCTGCTTTTAGTCACATGCCCATCACTAGGCTAAGGGAAAGCAAAAACCTTGACCACTATACCCACTGAGACCTTCAAAAGAAGCATGAATGAATCATGGGAGACCAAAAGACAACAAATGTTCACTATACCAGTGGGAAAAAAAATCATGAAGTCAAGATTATACAGCCCAATTTTCATTATAAGTATTTCAGCAATTAAACTTTAATTATATTAAATGATTATATGACACAGAACTAGGATCTCTTACAAAAGTTTAGATCAGAGTGTCATTGCAATTAAGACCAATGTAGCCAAAAAATAGATTAACACTCTTCAAAGTCACAGGAATAAAAACAGGAAGTTTAATGTAATACAAATTGCGTATTCAACCAAAAGGGGTATTTTATTGTTGTTAGTTATTCAACATCTTGCCCTGAGAGGACAGGGCCATTAGCATGTGAATTATTTGATCCGTTCTCCTCTTCCAAAGCTATAATATCTGGAATTTCATCAGTCTCAGATGTCAAGTCTATGGTGGTGAAATCAAACACCTGTAAAAGAAGAATCTTGGATATTGAAACAAACACCGATGAAGTGAGTTGTCAGGTCCATCTGAGCTCATGGAGACTTTAGTGCATGTAGGTGAACCTTGCTTTGTCCATAGCTGTGCTTTTTGAAAAGATGTTTGTGGTCTTATTCCTGCAATTCCCTCATACTATAAAAGCACTAAGGAAACCTTTTAAAAAGGAAACTAACTAGTGGTGGAACCTAGTCAATGAAGCTTTTTTAAAAAATACCAGATATAAAGCATTTTTTGTTATTCAACTATTAATCTATTACTTTCTTAAAAACAATAATACCCCACTTTTCCATAAGCAAGTGTCTAGGCAAATGTTTAGCAACTGAGGAAACAAAAGGTCTTTTTATGGTTGAAACAGCCATCACAAAACCCTACCTCTTCCCTGCACAGGAAAGCCTTTAGGGACAAGAAACTCTATCAAATTTTATTTTATATACAATTTCGATAAGCTAGGTAATGTTTCTTAGCAAACAACAGATTAAAACAAGAAAATTAAGGCCAGCTGCAGTGGCTCACGCCTGTAATCCCAGCCCTTTGGGAGGCCGAGATGGGAGGATCACGAGGTTGGGAGATCGAGACCATCCTGGCTAACACGGTGGAACGCTGTCTCTACTAAAAATACAAAAAGTTAGCCAGGCGTGGTGGCATGCCCCTGTAGCCCCAGTTACTCAGGAGGCTGAGGCAGGAGAATCACTTGAATCCAGGAGCAGTGAGCCGAGGTTCACCACCACTCCAGCCTGGGCGACAGAGCGAGACTCTGTCTGAAAAAAAAAAAAAAGAAAGAAAAGAAAAAAAATTAATAACATAAAACGTATTACCAAAGGCTAGAATCTTGATAGTGGAGGAAAAAATGTAGCTGATTACCTAACAGAGGAAAAAGAGCTAACAGCAACAAAAATCCCTCAAAAAGACCAGGTGCGGTGGCTCACGCCTGTAATCCCAACACTTTGGCAGGTGGATCATGAGGTCAGGAGTTCGAGACCAGCCTGGCCAACATGGTGAAACCCCATCTCTACTAATAATACAAAAATTAGCCGGGTATAGTGGCAGATGACTGTAATCCCAGCTACTCGGGAGGCTGAGGCAGGAGAATTACTTGAACCCAGGAGGCAGAGGTTGCAGTGAGCCAAGATTGCACCACTGCACTCTAGCCTGGGTAACAGAGCAAGACACTGTTTACAGGAAAAAAAAAAAAATCCCTCAAAAAATAGAAGGAAAGAGGGAAATTGGGGAGTTATTGTGGGTTTTTTTGTTTTGTTTTGTTTTAGATGGAGTTTCACTCTCTCCCCCAGGTTGGAGTGCAGTGGCGTAATCTCAGCTGTCTGCAACCTCAGCCTCCCAGGTTCAACTGATTCTCCTACCTCAGTTTCCCGAGTAACTGGGATTACAGGCGTGCGCTGCAACCATGCCTGGCTAATTTTTGTATTTTTTAGTAGAGATGGGGTTTCACCATGTTGGCCAGGCTGGTCTCGAACTCCTGACCTCAAGTGGTCCAACCTCCTTGGCTTCCCAAAATGTTGGGATTACAGGCGTGAGCCACTGCACCCAGCCTGGAGTTATTGTTTAATAGGTACAGAATTTGTGCTTAAGATGAATATAACGGTGATGGTTGTATAACATTGTGAATGTGCTTAATGCCACATAATTGTACACTTAAAAATTGAAAAAATGGAAATTTTGACATTGGATTTCGTTTTGTTTTGTTTGTTTGTTTGTTTTGAGATGGAGTCTCATTGTCACCCAGGCTGGAGTGCAGTGGTGCAAACTCGGTTCACTACAACCTCCACCTCCCAGGTTCAAGTGATTCTCCTGCCTCAGCCACCCAAGTACCTGGTATTACAGGCGTGTGCCACCACACCCGGCTAATTTTTGTATTTTTAGTAGAGATGGGATTTCACCATGTTGGCAAGGCTGGTCTTGAACTCCTGACCTCAGGTGATCCACCCACCTTGGCCTCCCAAAGTGCTGGGATTACAGGCATGAGCTACCGTGCCCAGCCAGCTCTACTATCTTTTATATGGCACTCTCAAATGGCACTTTCATAAAATCTGTACCAGCTAAAAACCTAGAAAGTATATTATGTATCAAGACTAGGCTCCCTTGTGAGATTCAAAGCCTTTCATTATATTATATTTCATATTATATCTCTAATCTGCAGGCCCAGTTTAAGCAAGAAAAACATGAGAAGAATCTCAGGCAATTCTGTCTACCTCCCACTGCAAACATTTTCCCCTCGACTGCCTTCCTATCACTTCACTTAGTCATCTTACTGACAATCTTAACAATTTTTTTTTTTTTTGAGACGGAGTCTCGCTCTGTCGCCCAAGCTGGAGTGCAGTGATGCCATCTTGGCTCACTGCAACCTTCGCCTCCCAGGTTCAAGCAATTCTTATGCCTCAGTAGCTTGAATTACAGGAGCGAGCCACAATGCCCAGCTAATTTTTGTATCTTTAGTAAAGACGAGGTTTCACCATGTTGGCCAGGCTGCCGTTGAACTCCTGGCCTCAAGTGATCTGCCGACTCGGCCTCCCAAAGTGCTAGGATTACAGGCATGAGCCACCGCACCTGGGCAATTTTTACAATTAAAGATGTACTGTGTTAATCAGCAGTTTCATCTGTCAAATTCAACGAAGTATAGGCTGCCTGCCTCTCACCACCAATTAAGAGTATAATTTTCTAATTCAGTCTTTTCCTTCTGAGCACTCTATTCCTGACTCTCAGCTTAGGATGGTTGGTTAGAAGTCCTTAACCCTCACCAGTCCTAAAAATACGACCTGGGACTAGCCCAGTGAGGGTCAAGTTGACACCATTTTTTTTTTCAGGAGTTAATAATTTCTAAAACTAAGGTTTTAGAAGTTCAGTCCTAAAGAAGTTCATTTTGGGGTGGAGGGAGTGGGGTAGCATCAGAATCTCAAAAGGTAACCAAGAAAGATACCATAAAACAAGTCTTTGGCTTAAGCTGACCTGTAGCCCTATATCTTATATAAACCAAATTTTAGCTTTTTCCTTTTCACTTCATTAGTTGTTTTTTTTCCGCAGCCTTGAACTCCTGGGCTCAAGCAATCTTCCTGTCCCAGCCACCTGAGAAACTGAGACTATAGGTGCATACCACTAGGCCCAGTTTCATTAGTTCTTTAATACCTATAACTGCCTTATCAAAGTGGATGTATTTTCCTAACCATGAGCTGGTATTATATACTCACACCTTGAACTGCCAAGTTAAAGATACTACATGTCACTGTCCCACAGATGATGTCCCCATGCCTCTAGCGCAAATTTAAAAAGCACACCCCCATCCTCAACACTCACTTCCATCTGTTGAGGCAACATTAACTTAATAGATGAGAAAACTAAGGCTCAGAGATTAATGGCCAATGCATCATATTCCTTTGCATTTTTGCATAGGACAAACTAGAAAGACTATGTTATCATTACAGGCAAAGGAAAAAACATTCTTGAACACTCCCTGAGGCACACCATGCCAGGTTTCATGCAGTCAAATGTTGACGAACCTGCCATGGTTACATACTATGTTAGCCTTAGTCAGTATTTTCCCTCAAAAGAACTGTTTTCTGGAGGAAAAAAAGTCTGTAAAACCAAAATTTTCTGCCAGTTTATGCAACAATGAAGCTGCAAGATGTGAGAACACAGGCCAGGTTCAGTAGCTCATGCCTGGAATCGCAGCACTTTGGCAGGCCGAGGTGAGTGGATCACTTGAGCTCAGGAGTTTGAGACCAGCCTGGGCAACATGGTGAAACCCCATCTTTACAAAAATACAAAAATTAGCCAGGTGTGATTGTGCATGCCTATGGTCCCAGATACTCAGGACACTGAGGAGGGAGAATCGATTGAGCCTGGGAGGCGAAGCTTGCAGTGAGCCAATCACACCACTGCACTATTGCCTGAGCAACAGAGCAAGAGCCCATCTCAAAAAAAAAAAAAAAAAAAAATGCCAGAACACCACAAATCCTGAGACATGTTGACAAATGAATGAAATGCATGTAGACACAAACTTGAAACACAAAGACAGCAAAACCATGACCAATGTGCACAGCTCACAGCAAAAAGCAAGGGCTGCTGGTGCTCTTCTAGAAGCTAAGGATGTTCTACATTTTATTCTGCCCCTGCTCAGGAAGAAGAGCTTTGAGACCTCTCTCCTTTTCATAAGCTATTCAGTAAGGACTACAATTCTTTTTTTTTTTTTAATTTGTACTAAAGTAACACACTATAACTCTTATAATAGGGAAACACAAAGGTGTATGTTCAGGATAAGAAAGCATGTGTGGCCAGGCGTGGTGGCTCACGCCTGTAATCCCAGCATTTTGGGAGGCCGAAGCGGGCAGATCACTTGAGGTCAGGAGTTCGAGACCAGCCTGGCCAATGTGGTGAAACCCCATCTCTACTAAAAAGACAAAAACTAGCCAGGCATGGTGGTGCACGCCTATACTTGGGAGGCTGAGGGCAGGAGAATAGCTTGAACCTGGGAGGCGGAGGTTGCAGTGAGCTGAGACCACACCATCACACTCCAGCCTGGACAACAGAGCAAGACTCTGCCTCAAAAAAAAAAAATTAAGAGGCAGAGGCCTAGAAAATGCCAGTCACTGGGAACAGGAAGGCAAGTGAGTGACTAGGCTCTGTCCTGGAAACCCATAAATCACAAAAGTCCATCCTTCCCAGAAACCAGAAGCTCCTTATCTGCAAAACAAATCCTAGGGATTTCCCACCTACTCTCCAACTCAACTCACCTGTTTACTGATTTCTGGAGTTACAATGAGAAGAAAAAATTTGTAACTTGATAAAAACTTTTTTTTTTTTTTTTTTGAGACAGGGTCTGTCACCCAGGCAGGAGTGCAGTGTCACAATCTCGGCTCACTGCAACCTTCACCTGCCTTGGTTCAGGGGATTCTTGTGCCTCAGCCCCCAAGTAGCTGGGGTTACAGGTGCATACAGCCATGCCCAGCTAATTTTTGTGGGGTTTTTTGTTGTTGTTATTTTTGGTTTTTTTTTTTTTTTGAGATGGAGTCTCGCCCTGTCGCTGGACAGGCTGGAGTGCAATGGCGCAATCTCAGCTCACTGCAACCTCCACCTCCCGGGTTCAAACGATTCTCCTGCCTCAGCCTCCCGAGGAGCTGGGATTACAGGTGCACGCCCCCATGCCCAGCTAATTTTTGTATTTTTAGTAGAGACAAGGTTTACCATGTTGGCCAGGCTGGCCACTGTTGGCCTCTCCTGACCTCTTGATCTGCCAGCCTCAGCCTCCCAATGTGCTGGGATTACAGGCCGTGAGCTACCAAGCCCGGCCTAATTTTTATGTTTTTAGTAGAGACTGGGTTTTGCCCTGTTGGCCAGGCTGGTCTCAAACTCCTGACCTCAAGTGATCTCTCCACCTCGGCCTCCCAAAGTGCTGGGATTACCAGCATGAGTCACCGTGCCTGGTCGATAAAAAACTTTAATAAACTCACTCACACCAAAGGAACATGTAAAGTTATGTGCCGCTTCCTTGTTTTCATGGAGAGAAAGGGGTGAACCAGGATAGAAAGAGACTAATTTGAGTTAGACTTCCCAGTTCTGCTGAGGGCAGCCCTGCTTACCTTTTAGCAGGGACAGCCAGAAGCATGTAGCTCTATTTCACATTTTTTTTTTTTTAAGACAGAGTCTCACTCTGTTGCTCAGGTTGGAGTGCAGTGGCGCAATCTTGGCTCACTGCAGCCTCCACCTCCCAGACGCAGGGGATTCTCCTTGCCCAGCCTCCAAGTAGCTGGGATTATAGGCGTGCACCACCAGGCCAGGCTAATTTTTGTATTTTTTGTAGAGAAAGGGTTTCACGTTGTTGGTCAGGGTGGTGTCGAATCCCTGACCTCAGGTGATCTGCCTGCCTCGGCCTCCCAAAGTGCTGGGATTACAGGTATGAGCCACAGCGCCTGGCCTATTTCACAAGTTCTGAGACTCACTTTTAAAAACTAGTTTGACATATTTCATCTGTGTGACAAGGAGATTCAGGATGGTTCCTAAATAACCAATGTTGAATGGACTAGAAGTCTGGATACCATAGGCAGGAGGTAAGAAGAACCTTTTTCTACAGGGGGCTTAAAGTCTTTTTACTTCTAATTAGTCTCACATGGTCTTCTATACGTATGTCCCCAACAACAACTGAGGTTAGTGACTTTTTCCCAAAATGACAACACAGTAAGTTAAGTCCAGCTAAGGCTGGACAGTGAAGAATCTCCCTTTAGGACTCACGCTTTAACTGGTTCCCTGGCAAGAAATGCCCAATGCCTTTACATGATGCTGATTTAAACAATCACTCACTTCCTTTCAGCTCTGATTCCTTTTCAGTGAGGTAGTCAGACATGACTAGGCCCTTTTACTGGTTTAAAAACCCACTCACAGGGGTCCAGTAAGTTGGCAAACAAAGAGGGCCAACTGTCACCTAGTAAAATTTGAATATGCACATTAGCTTTTAATTTGTTTTAAATCTGTTATCAAGCATCCTATTTTTTTTTAATTTGTTATCAAGCATCCTATTTTCTTTTCTTTTTTTTTTTTTTTGAGATGGAGTCTTGCTCTTTCGCCCAGGCCAGAGCGCAGTGGCGCTATCTCGGCTCACTGCAAGCTCTGCCTCCCGGGTTCACGCCATTCTCCTGCCTCAGCCTCCCGAGTAGCTGGGACTACAGGCACCCGCCACCGTGCCCGGCTAATTTTTTGTATTTTTAGTAGAGATGGGGTTTCACCGTGTTCGCCAGGATGGTCTCGATCTCCTGACCTCGTGATCCGCCCACCTCAGCCTCCCAAAGTGCTGGGGTTACAGGCATGAGCCACAGCACCCGGCCAAGCATCCCATTTTTAACATTAGCCTTCTAATGTTCTCACTCTGCCAAACTCCCCAACAGGCCAATTGAAATTCATGTATGTATAATAACTCTGTCATGCAGGTTAAGCAGCTCTACGAAAGCAACACACAAAGCATATGGAACAAACAGCATGTAACTGGTCTATCCTGCAGTGAATTTTATTGAATTCAAAGGTAGTATTCCTATTTGAGAAATGAAAAACTAAAATCAAGTTTTACAAGCAAGCATCATGAGATAAAGCAGTGAAGACGCCTTTTCAGATCACACCAGAGCAGACACCAGTTTCTACCCCAGCCCACATGAAGATGTTTTTATTCAATACAAACAGTAACAGAGGCAACACAATGGCCATAGAATGAGAACATAAGTGCATTTGAATTTTTTCTGAGTTCTGGCTATAGGCTCTGACAAGCCTATCATTCTTTTCTTACCAGGTGAACAGAAATCATCTGCTAATGCCAGAAACTTTAAAGCTCTTAATTCAGCTGGAAACAACTACAATTGAGGGCCTTTATACTAGCTACTTGCTTCCCAATTTAGGGTTGCCTAGCAAGTTAATTTCAACATAACAAAAGGTGTCATCTGTCTGGCCACAGCATGCACTAGTGATAGGGGCAGGTTTAATGAGTTTTATGCTCAGATCGCTGGGTCTCCTGGCTGCTCTTGTCCATCTCTGCACCTTGGTCCTGAGCATTCTGAGACTCAGTCAGCTGAGGATAAAAGGGACCTACCAGCCAGTTGAGGGGCGTGTTGTTAACAAGATAATCCATCACGTCATCTAAAGATTCCTTCATTTTCTGCAGCTGCCCCTTGCTAGAAGTGAGGAGGCTGTCAGACACTTCTTTAAAGGAGGCAGCATTGCGGAACACTGAGTAGATGTCGCCTGCCATCACCCCCATGTGCTTGGCTTGATCTTGGATGTTCTGTGGTACACCTTGGATGTTGGACAGGAGGGTGTGGCACGTGGTCTGGAGCTGCTGAGTCAGGTTGCGGGCAATTGCAAGAGTACGTGACTCAATGTGCTAAAAATAAAACTTAAAATTAGCAGTGGATCCAACAGTGCTATGTATAAATTAGTTCGATGACAGTAGGCTGGTTATGTGTCCACCACATATGTGGATTCTTTGGCTTTTAAAAATCCTCATTACAATGCCGAGTGCAGCAGTATTATTCACATTTCATAGATATGAATATAAGCTTAGAGTTTAAGTAGATGGCTTCAGTTAACAACTGGAAAACAGCTGGGTAGGGATTCGAACTAGTGCCTGAGTCTCCAAAGTTCATCATCTTAAACTGAAGAAACATATTAGGTAGGGGAGACCCAAAAGAATGGAAATATCCTTCATGTTAGTAGTGTAATGTATATATTCCCTCCTCAAATAAAATGACAAGACATGAACAAACAGTTCATATTGACTTCAGAGCTTTTGGGACACAAAGAACCACTTTCTAGGACTATAAGAGGATATTTCTTTTCCCTTCCTTCCTCCCTGCTTCCCTTCCTTTTTCTTTCTTTCTTCTTTCTTTCTTTTCTTTTCTTTCTTTCTTTCTGAGACAGGGTCTCAGTCTGTTGCCCAGGCTGGAGGGCACTGGCACAATCATGGCTCACTGCGGACCCGACCTCTCGGGCTTAGGTGATCCTCCCACCTCAGCCTCTCGAGCAACTAGGACTACAGGTGCACACCACCACACCCTGCTAATTTTTGTATTTTTTGTAGAGATGGGGTTTCACAGTTGCCCAGGCTGGTCCTGAATTCCTGGGCTCAAGTGATCTGCCTGCCTTGGCCTCCCAAAATGCTGAGATTACAGGTGTGAGCCATTGCACCCAGCCAAGATGCTATGCCTTCCCTCTGGAACCTTGGTCACCTTATTGCCCTTTCACCTAGTTTATTCACCCATTAGTTCTCAGCTTACCATTCATCTCTTCCAGAAAGCAATGTGACTCAACTACCCCCACTCCAAGGCTGCCTGAGATAGTCTTCCCATATGTTTTCTTTTTTTTTTTTTTGAGACAGAGTCTTACTCTGTTGCCCAGGCTGGAGTGCAGTAGCATGATCTCGGCTCATGGCAACCTCTGCCTCCCAGGTTCAAGCTATTCTCCTGCCTCAGCTGCCCGAGTAGCTGGGACTACAGGCACGTGCCACCATGCCTGGCTCATTTTTTGTATTTTTAGTAGAGACAGGGTTTCACCATGTTGGCCAGGATGGTCTCGATCTCCTGACCTCGTGATCTACCCGCCTCGGCCTCCCAAAGTGTTGGGATTACAGGCGTGAGCCATCGCGCCCAGCCAATAGTACCTGTATTTATGCCGTTAAACAACAACCGGACTTGGCTACTCTGAGTGTACTGCCTATGAGATAGCCCTCTTCTGCAAGGAGCATTAAAAAGGCACAAAATAGGACAGCATGGCTGGCTGTATCCCCTGTTAGTCTGTACCCATTATGAGGGCAAGGCCTGTGTTTCTCATTTAGTTGTATCTCACTTGGGGCATATGTATACTCATAGGTTGTTAGATAAAATTATTCGCTGCCTAGTTTTGCTTTTCTGCCACATAACTAGCCACCTATGTACATGGTATTGTTCAACCTTTTGATAGAGAAGAGTATTCTAAGACATAGTATGGAAAAATTGAAATGAAAAGTCTGATAAGAACTTCTTCAGCAACCAACAAATGACCGTCCCAGTCATCTTACCTCAGCACAGTGGGACTCATCAGTATCATCATATCCAATGCTCCTTTTCCACTCTACCCATGAGAGGTAGAGCTTATCCTGAGCATCCTGAATTTTCTGATTGGCACTATACACATTCTTCCTGGCAAATTCAATCTAGACACATTGAAACAAGACAAAGGAACACACAAGTCAGATATTCACGTTAGCCTGTTTGCAGATGTATGATGTAAATCAGGCAACATAAAAACTAAGAATTTCCTGGAGTTGAATAAGATCTATTCCTGCTATCATTATTATTTATTATCAATATGTGTAAATTAACCAAGCAGTAGTAGCTCTTTACTGCCTCTATTTAACTATTAAATCACTGACTCCACATTTACTTCCAGTTTAGCACAGGTAAAGCAACTAAAAAACTACAAAAAATTTTTTTTGAGTGTCACTCTGTCACCCAGGCTGAAGTACAGTGGCGCGATCACAGCTCACTGAACCTCCTTCTCGTGCCTTAGCCTACCGAGTAGCTGGGATTACAGGCATACGCCACCATGCCCAGCTAATTTTTGTATTTTTAGTAGAGACAGGATTTCACCTTGTTGGCCAGACTGGTCTCGAACTCCTGACCTCAGGTGATCCAACCACCTTGCCCTCCTAAAGTGCTGGGATTATAGGCATGAGCCACCACGCCCAGCCAGCAACTAAAATTTAATGTGTACATGAGTAAAGGATAAGTTAGCATTACAAAACAGAAAGGAATTTGACCTTCCTCTTCCCTGTTGCCAACCACTATTTCCCCTTCTAAGAAGAAATGGTTTTCTCATGGCAGTACAGAATGGTACATACTGTTCTTTAACTTGGAAACCTTTAATGGCTACACAGTAGTCTATTGTGATATATCAATTTAATTAGTCCTGTTAGTGGATGTGCATTGTTATAGTCTCTTGCAACTTTAAACAAATATACACATCTGTAAGATAAAAAGTAAAACAGCTCCAAGTGTAGGTATGCTTGTAACTTTACTAAAACTGTCTCTTGAATCAGTCCCTTAGAGCAAGAGCTGCACAAGTGTGGTTCTTTCTCTACACCGTTGCCAACAGCCACATTTCCCGTGTGGCAGGACAAGAGAGATGTCAGTATTTGACCCCTCAGAGCGAGATTAGCATTGCTTCCTATATTTCAACTAGTTATACTTCCTTTTTCTGTGAGCTGTCTCCATATTCTTTGTCCAGTTTTCTATTGGGTTGTTTGTCAACTAAGAATGAAATTCTTGGATTTTGTGATTACATTTAATTCTTGGGCCTAGAGATAAATGAACCCACTTCAGACACCTTAAAATAAAGTTTTACTCACCAGGTGAACAGTAGAATGGAGCTGAGAAATGGTCTGTTGGCTTTTTTGCTTAGCTTCTTTAACCCTGCTGAGAGCCTGCTGGTAGGCACGGGAGTGAAGCTTGGTAGACAGGGATCCCAGTCTAACATAATAACTTGGCTTCTGAACCAGATCAAATCCTTCAACTTTTTTTGCTTCTTTTTCTGAAGTTAGAAATAAGAGACAAAAAAACTTAAGGGATCACAGTGACAAGTGATAAGGCCTGGACTCTAACCTGGGTCTTGACTTTCTTACTTCTACCCAATCACTTAGCAATCATGCAGTCATTTTTCCAAGACTGCTCACGTCTGCTGCTGGACTTGACTACCCTGAACATATTACTGTATCTGATACACACTGCATGCATCTACACGTTTCTCCCACTAGAGTAAACTGCTTTTTTTTTTTTGGAAACAGGTCTTGCTTTGTTGCCCAGGCTGGAGTACAGTGGCACAATTTTGGCTCACTGCAGCCTCAACCTCCCGAGCTCAACTGATCCTCTCACCTCAGCCTCCCGAGTAGCTAGGACTCTAGGAACAAGCCACCATGCCCAGCTAATTTTTGTGTTTTTTAGGGTTTCGCCATGTTGCCCAGGCTAATCTCAAACTCCTGAACTCAAGCGATCTGCCTGTCTTAGCCTCCCAAAGTGCTGGGATTGTAGGCATGCATGCACCATTGCTCCCAGCCTAGAGTGAACTTGAGCGGCATGGTACCTGGCACACATTACCTAATGATGATTCTTTGTAAGGAGGATTTTATAAAGCAATCCATTAAAGACTATCCATTTACAGAAAATATTTTTCAAGGCCAATTTTTGCTAAGGTTTCAAAACTTACTACGTACGATTCAATGTGAACTTTATGATTGCTTTAGGAAGGAAAATCTATAGAGGCAAAAAGATTAGTGGTTGCTCACATCTGTAATCCCAGAACTTTGGGAGGTCAAGGCAGGTGGATCGTTTGAGCCCAGGAGTTCGAGATCAGCCTGGGCAACATAGTGAGATCCCATCTCTATAAAATTAAATTAAATTAAAAAGGACTGACTGCAAACAGGCATGAGGATCTTTTGGGGTAGCAGAAGTGTTCTGAAACTGGATTGCAGTGATGCTTGCACAACTGTGTAAATTTAGACTCAAGATGAGAGTATATGTCAATGAAGCTGTTTAAGAAAGATTTAATATAAAACAGTATTTCAAGATAAAATTCCAGTTACCTAGTTCTTCCTCAGTGAGAGGGAGGTACTGTTCTACCAACAGCTCTGATTTGGTGAGTGCATTTTCTACGCCACTGCTCACGAGCTGCATCATCCGACTCCCCAAGACTGTGTTAATGCTGCCACTGACCACAGACTTGGTCTTCTCCACACTGCCAGTCACTGCCCCTTTGGTCTTGTCCATCACCCCTGTGATCGTGCTGGCCACAGAATCCTTGGCCCCAGTCACAGTAGTCGTCACAGCATCTTTTGCCCCAGTCACAGCGCCTTTGGCATTGGCAACAATCTGTAAGTAGAAAAGCAGATCCCCTGGCTGGTGAGAAAAATGAGCACAAGGACATACCTAAGGTCTTAACTAAGGCAGCACAGCTGAAGAGTTAAAGAAGGAATCTAGTCCTCTCACTCTAGCTTTAGGTCTTGGGCAAGTCACTAAGAGTTGATGAGCCTGAATTTCCCTATCAAGTATATCTGCCCTACCTGCCAATCCTTGGGAATTGCAGGAGGAGCAAATGAAGTAAACAGATATGAAATTTGTCTGTTTGCCAAGGCTGCAGTGAGCTGTGATTGTGCCACTGCACTCAGCCTGGGTGACAGAGCAAGACCCTGTCTCAAAAAAAAAAAAAAAAAAAGAGAAGAGAAAAGAAAAAAAAAGAAAAGAAAAGAAGGTAAGTTATATAGCTTATTCCAAAGTCACACAAATCCAGAGAGGAAACTGAAGATCAAACTATACCTGGCCCTCGGGGTGTTATTAGTATGCAGTTATTATACATGGCAGGGCATGGTGGCTCATGCCTGTAATGCCAGCACTTTGCAAAGCTGAGTTGGTTGGATCACCTGAGGTTAGGAGTTCGAGACCAGCCTCACCAACATGGTGAAACCCCGTCTCTACTAAATACAAAAAATTAGTTGGGCGTGGTGGCACATGCCTGTAACCCCAGCTACTTGGGAGACTGAGGCAGAAGAATCACTTGAACCCCAGAGGTGGAGGTTGCAGTGAGCCAAAATTGCACCATTACACTACAGCCTGGGCAACAAGAGCAAAACTCTGTCTCAAAAACAAACAAACAATGACAAAAAAAATTAGCTGGGTGTGGCGGGGCGTGCCTGTGAACCCAGCTACTGGGGAGGCTGAAGCAGGACAATTGCTTGAACCCAGGAGGAAGAGACAGCAGTGAGCCGAGATTGTGCCACTGCACTCCAGCCTGGGTGACAGAGCAAGACTCTGTCTCAAAAAAAAAAAAAAAAAAAAAAAAAAGAACACAAGTTACCAACATTTAAAGAAAATATCCGAAATGGAAAATAACTCTCACCATTAGCACAGTCTCAAGCAATGTAAGTGAAAAATTTAAAAGATTTGCACAAGCATTCTAAAGGCTATACACTAAACCTACCTATAGTTGTGTACCACATAATATTTTGGTCAGCGATGGACCACTATTCAATGATAGTCCCATAAGATTATAATGAACTGCCCTATAACAGGTATACTTTTTTTTTTCACTGTACCTTTTCTAGTTTAGATACACGAATACTTATCATTGTGTTACAGTAGTCAGTGTAGTCATGCTGTGCAGGTTTGTAGCCTAGAAGCAAGCAACAGGCTATATACCATATAGCCTAGGTATATAGCAGGCTATACACCATATAGCCTAGGTATATAGCAGGCTATACACCATATAGCCTAGGTATATAGCAGGCTATACACCATATAGCCTAGGTATATAGCAGGCTATACACCATATAGCCTAGGTATATAGCAGGCTACACCACAAGTCCCTAACCCCCGGGCCATGGACCATTACCAGTCCATTACCAGTCCATTACCAGTCAGAGGCGGCATTAGATTCTCATAGGAGACCTAACCCTAACCCTCTTGTGAACTGTGCACGTGCATGCTCCTTATGAGAATCTAATGATAAATATAGTGCACTTGAATCATCCCAAAAACACCACCCACCCCCTGCTGGTCCATGGAAAAACTGTCTTCCATGGAACCAGTTCCTGGTGCCATAAAGCTTGGGGACCACTGGGCTCTACCATCTAGGTTGGTGTGAGTATACTCTGTGATGTTCACACAATGGCAAAATCACCTAATGTGCATTTCTCAAAATATATTCCCATCACTAAGTGACAGATGACTGTATTTAGATTATGAAAAGACACAGAGCTATATTTTTCCCTAACTGGTATCCTTTTGTGCCATTCTGTATTCTTAATTTGAAACAAAATTTTAGGACATTATCTGAACCAAAGGATCACCAGGACAGACAAGCCTATCATTTTTGTCAACACTGGCTAGCTATCCCATATGGATGGTAGTTCCTGGCAGCATTGTACAAGCCAGGTGAGAAAAGGTTATATATATCACGTCTGCATTTATTTAATACCACAAGACAATCAGTTACTTGAGACAGCAATTTCATTTATAGGAGCAAAGACACAAACTGATAGACAACACACTAAAAGTTTTCTAATCCAAAGGAGGCTAGTTCTTCTCTGCTTCGTAGATACAACTTGACAACAGTTCAGGAAGTAAGGAAGTGGCCATTATTTTTCAAACATACATCCAGATCCAGGTTGGGAAAACAAGTATTTGCCTGTTTGTGATATGTACAGCTTGTTTTAACAGATAGAAGATGAAAACATGTGAAGTGTCAAGTCTCAGCACTTTTGTCCCAAGCTCACCTGAGTTGATGGCTGATTCAGAATAGGCAGTCTCTCCTCAATCCTGTCTAGCCCCTTACAGGCATAGGTATTGGCAACTGCAACTAGAATCACAAATGGGAAAATGTTAATGTAGTACTATAGGTATAGAATGAACACACATTACCATAGGCCTTATAAAAAATGGCAATAATGGGCTGGGCACGGTGGCTCACGCCTGTAATCCCAGCACTTTGGGAGGCTGAGGCAGGCGGATCACGAGGTCAAGAGATCGAGACCATCCTGGCCAACATGGTGAAACCCCGTCTCTACTAAAAATACAAAAATTAGCTGGGCGTGATGGTGTGCGCCTGTAGTCCCAGCTACTCAGGAGGCTGAGGCAGGAGAATCGCTTGAACTCAGGAAGCAGGGGTTCCAGTGAGCCAAGATGCATCATTGCACTCCAGCCTGGGTGACAGAGCAAGACTCCATCTCAAAAAAAAAAAAAAAGGCAAGAATGTTGATCTTATACAACAGAAGGCATTGCCTGGTTTATCTAGTTCTGACAGGAAGAGGCCTGGCAAGTTGCTGGCAACTCTCTTCTAAAGGTAAGGAAATATGGGGGTGTGAGGGAGGAGCAGGCAGAGGCAGTGACAGGCCAAACAGGAAGCTGGCTCTGAAGCTTCTTCCTTATCAACTGGCCCCTAATGTTAATGCCAAGAGTAGCCGGGCTTTCCCTGAACTGTCATTCAGAGAATAAGGTATCTGGAAACTCTCTCAAAATCGGCATTCCCATGCTAGTTTAATCCCTACCTACGCTTACTTCAGCACAGGTCAGTGTATTTGGGGTCCTCAGGAGGAAAGAGTATGCCAAGACCACCCTGGATCTCCCTAACAAGGGAGATTTTAGTGTGAGCTTCCCACTAAGAATACCAAACCAAGTACTAGTACCAAATTCATTTAGGAAGTAGCAGAGTTGGAATGGCTGGTCTCTAAAGGCTCCTTATAATCCTAAAAGTCCCTGGCTTAACCATTTGAAAGAATGATTTAAATCTTTATTCAAAAGCAGTTCATGTTGTGGAGAAATTGGAGCCTCCATACAGTGTTGGTGGGAATGTAAAATGGTACAGCTGATTTGGAAAACAGTCTGGCAGCTCCTCAAAAGCTTAAACAGTTATTATATAACCCAGCAATTCCACTCCTGGGTATATACCAAAAAAACCTGAAAACATGTCCACACAAAAACTTGTATACAAATGTTCACAGAAGCATTATACATAATCTCCAAAAGTAGAACGAACCCAAACATCCATCAGTTGAAGAATGAATAAATATTGTCTGTCTAGACAGTAAATTACTATTCAACAATAAAAAGAGATGAAGTACTGATATGATGTGACAAGACAGATTAACTTTGAAAACATTATGCTTAACGAAAGAAGCCAATCACAAAAAAACCCACACATTTTATGATTTCATTTATAAGAAATATCCAGCATAGGCAAATCTATAAAGACAAAGTAGATGAGTAGCTGCCTCAGGGTGGTTGTTAGGAAATGGGGAGTGACTACTAAGTATGAGAGTATGAGATTTCTCATGGAGTATGACATTTCTATTCTTTATTTCGGTAAAATATACATAACAAATTTCACCATTTCAACCATTTTTAACTGTGCAATTCAGTGGCATTAAGTCCATTTACAACATTATACAACCATCACCACTATCCATTTCTAAAACTCATTCATGGCCAGGCATGGTGGCTCACACCTGTAGTCCTAGCACTTTGGGAGGCCGAGGCGGGCGGATCACCTGGGGTCAGGAGTTCCTGACCAGCCTGGCCAACATGGCAAAACCCTGTCTCTACTAAAAATACAAAATTAGCTGGGCATGGTGGTGTATGCCTGTAATCCCAACTACTCAGGGAGCTGAGGCAGGACAATCACCTGAGCCCGAGAGGCAGAGACTGCAGTGAGCAGTCTCAAATTCCAGGCCTCAAGCGATCCTCCCATCTAGACCTCCCAAAGTGCTAGGATTACAGGTGCAGGCC
This sequence comes from Homo sapiens, assembly GCF_000001405.40. NCBI lineage: Eukaryota > Metazoa > Chordata > Mammalia > Primates > Hominidae > Homo > Homo sapiens. Next base: position 19,125,573 of record NC_000009.12, read on the forward strand.
ACCGTGCCCATCCTCTGGGGGATTTTTAATTAAAGGATCATAAACATCTGCCAAAGCTATGAAACAGGCCTTCTGTGGACAGGCGCGGTGGCTCACGCCTGTAATCCCAGCACTTTGGGAGGCAGAGGTGGGTGGATCACAAAGTCAGGAGTTAAGCCTGGCCAATATTGTGAAACCGCGTCTCTACTAAAAATACAAAAATTAGCTGGGCATGGTGGTGGGAGCCTGTAGTCCCAGCTACTCGGGAGGCTGAGGCAGGAGAATCACTTGAACCCAGCAGGCAGAGGTTGCAGTGAGCCAAGACTGCGCCACTGAACTCCAGCCTGAGTGATAGAGTGAGACTCCATCTCAAAAAAAAAAAAAAAGGAAAGAAAAGAAAAGAAACAGTCCTCTTACGGTAATGAGGGTCACCTGAAAGTTTCTAGGTAAAGGCAGTGTATGCCCCAGGAAGGGCTGAGGAGTTCCAGATGTTACTGCTGTGAGCTCAGGGGCTCGCCACTGACCAGTCCCTTGACTTGCATCTTGAAAAATCAGAACTCACTTTGCGGCTCTAGCTTCTGGATGATGGGCAGAGCACTGGTCATGGCCACGGAGGTGATGGTCTTCACACCGTTCTCTGCCATCTCACACACAGACTTCAGGTAGGGATACTGGTCCTTTGTACTGAGATAGGCTGAGGACATGAGGTCATACGTGGAGCTCACCAAGGGCAGGTTGACCACCCGAGTCACCACACTCTGCAATCAAAGTAGGGAGGGTATGCTTATTAATCTCTCAAAACACAAAAGGAGAGAAAGTAGACAAAGGCTACTCAAAATTCATACCGGTTGTGGATCAACTGCAACGGATGCCATTTTTCTTCCTGGAGAAAGAAATCTGCAGAAAAGAGACTTATTTCAGAACACCGGGATAAGACTCTCCCAAATTCATTCCCCAACCCAAGCAAATGCTGATTACAAGTAGAGAAAAATGCAGGGTGAGCTCCCTGTAGTCTTCTGCACTTCTTTCCTCTCTCCAGCTCTCCAGGTCCCCCTCCTGAAAGACCCACACCCACACAACCCCACTCCCTCTTTTGAGGCAAAGTTTCAGAGCTTATGTGTAAACTTGCAATACTCAGGAGGGAGAAGTAAAGTTGTTGACATACTTCTCTTGTTTCTCCGAGTATCTGTTAACAAAAATGCTAGCCAAGCCGGACGCGGTGGCTCACGCCTGTAATCCCAGCACTTTGGGAGGCCGAGGGGGGTGGACTGCTTGATGTCAGGAGTTCAAGACCAGCCTGACCAACGTGGTGAAACCCCGTCTCTTCTAAAAATACAAAAATTAGCCGGGCGTGGTGGCGGGCGCCTGTTATCCCAGCTGCTCTGGAGGCTGAGGCAGGAGAATCGCTTGAACCCGGGAGGCGGAGGTTGCAGTGAGCCTAGATGGCGTCACTGCACTCCAGCCTGGGCGACAGAGCGAGACTCCGTCAAAAAAAAAATGCGGTTTTCTAACGCGTTTCCCTTTCGATAATGTCCCTTCGACAAATATTGTTTTCCCACAACCACCCAAGCAGGCCAAGGGACATTCGATAGCAATCGCCCTAAATCTGTTGGCAGGAAAGAAGCCTCAACGCACAAAGGCAAGGGTCGAAAGCGCGGGTTCAGCAGACCGCCCCTACCCAGCCAGGACCTGGAAGCCGCGAGGCGAGCGGGGGGTCTCGGACCATCACCCCCGCGTCCCGTCCACCTTTGAGCCCCGCGGGGAGCAGAGCAGCGGTCCCAAGGCCCCGGGGAGCCCCCCACCCCAACTGGGCGCCGCTGGGGGCCCGGGACCGGTTCGCTGGGGCACCCACTGGGCGCGCACTCACCGACGGACTGCAGCGAAAGGCGAAGAGCAGGCGCGTCCCGAAGACGACTCCGGCTGCCACGACCCGGTCAAAGCGTGGGGCCCGCGGGCGCCCGGGCTATAAACCCCGCCTCGCCGCCCCTCCCCAAGCCTCCGCAGCACGTGACCCGCGGCAGCACGCCCTGTCCCAAGCCCGAGTGTCACCCTCGGGCACGTCCCGGCGCCCTCCCCCAACGCCGGCCCTCCTAGAGTGGTGGGGGCCCGGTCGGGTTGAGAGGGTGTGCTGCCTGGGCGAGGGGCCCCGCCACGGGGAGAGGAGCCTGTCGGGAGCCGGGCGGGGGCCCGGCCTGGGGAGGCTGGGAGTTGGAGGTAGCCCTGCCTGGAGTCGGGGCGCTGCCTGGAGTCGGGGCGCTGCCTGTGGTCGGGGTCCTGCCTGTGGTCGGGGTCCTGAGAGGCCCGGGGCAAATGGGGATGGCGCCCAGGCCGGCTTTGGGGTTTTGAAAAATGCAAACAAATTCACACCAACTTGTTGAACGGCGTTAGTCCTCAGAATAGAACTCTAAAAATGGAAGCGGTGGCTCACGCCTGTAATCACAACACTTTGGGATGCTGAGGCGAGAGGATCTGTCGAGCCTAGGAGTTCGAGACCAGCCTGGCGAAGATTTTTATTTTATTTTAAAAAATAGCCCAGCGTGGTGTCGTGCGCCTGTGGCCCCAGCTACCTGCGAGGCTAAGATGGGAGGATCGCTTGAGCCTGGGAGGTCGAGGCTGCAGTGAGCCGAGATCGCGTGGCGCTGCACAATGGCTTCTACGCTGTTATTTTTAGCGAAGTAATAACTTTTAAAAGTTTTGTGGCGGCTGGGCGCGGTGGCTCACGCCTGTAATCCTAGCACTTTGGGAGGCCGAGGCGAGCGAATCACCAGCCTGGCCAACATGGCGAAACCCCGTCTCTCTCAAAATACAAAGAAAGCAGCCCAGCGTGGTGGCGCGCGCCTGTAGTCCCAGCTAGTCCCGGCTGTTTAGCGGGGTTGGGGGCAGGCGGGTGGGTGGCTGAGGTGAAAGAATCTTTTGAGCCCAGGTGGTCGAGGCTGCAATGAGTCGAGATCGCGCCACTGTACCACTGCACCCCAGCCTGAGTGACTGAGACCCTGTCTAAAAAAAAAAAAAGAAAAGAAAAAAGAAAAAGAAAACAAAAAACTTAACTCCAGATCACTCCAGAATGACAGCTGCCTAGGGTTATGTGACATAGGCAACTTTATACGTGCAGGGTTATGCATTGTTTTTCAAAGACAACTTAAAACGTCATCTGAGTCCCAGTTGTGTTTTTTTGTTGTTGTTGTTTTGTTTGTTTGTTTCTTGTGTAAAACGCACAGATTTGGAACGAGATTATTTGAGCAGACAAGTTGCGCCAGCGCCCGAGGCCAGATAGGGCTCGTGGGACTTCTTCCCCCGTGAGTGGCGGGGGATTTCCAGATGAAGCTGTCCGGCCTCGGCCCCCACTCCCCCCCCCCGGCCCCCGACACAGCTCGCAGGGAGGATACAGCAGAGAGGAGGGTTGGGAGGTGGGAAGGGAGCAGGCGCTGGCGCCGCGGGTCCGCCCCCTGAGAGGCCCACAGCGTTGGAGTCCCTGGCTCCAGCCAGGAGGGACTGGCTTTGTGAAGCTTTGGAGTTGTAACTGTAGGAAGCTCTCAGAGACTTTTACCCCAATTTGTTTTCATTTTCTGTTGTTGTTGTTGTTGTTGTTGTTTTTTGAGACGGAGTCTCGCTCTGTCGCCAGGCTGGAGTGCAGTGGCGCGATCTTGGCTCACTGCAACCCCAGCCTCCCGGGTTCAAGTGATTCTCTTGCCTCAGCCTCCCGAGTAGCTGGGACTACAAGCGCGGGCCACCACGCCCAGCTAATTTTTGTATTTTTAGTAGAGACGGGGTTTCACCATGTTGGCCAGGATGGTCTCGATCGCTTGACCTCGTGATCCGCCCGCCTTGGCCTCCCAAAGTGCTGGGATTACAGGCGTGAGCCACCGCACTCGGTCTAACCCAGTTTCTTAACCAATCTTGCATGCACACAGATACTGTTGATCATATTTAAAGCTCCAAACGGACCCATTAAAATGGTATCCCTTATCCCATTATACCTGAATATATAATAGTACTTACTTAGCAAGAAAAATTAAAGTATTTTTACCCCTCCTCCCCACATGTAATTCAAAATAAAATACTAAGCCATAAATACTGAACCATAAAATGTTATGAAGTCCAAAAATGTTCTGGTTTGGGTTTTTTCCTATGTTGCCATCTTCAGTGTTTTAAGTAATTAAATTATTATGTTTTTCTTTTCTTTTTCGTGTTCCGGCGCTGTTTGTTCCCTAAGCAAATGTTTGCTCTGCTTATTGATAATCCATCCCTGCTCTAATGACCTCTTACTTTGCATCAGAAGACTCTCGCCCTTTCACCTACAAAATGCCTCCATCTTTTCCTTTTTTGTTTTAAACCTGTGAGTCATTTCCTCACTTAAGGCTGAGCAAGCTTCTTTTTGCTTTTATTTGCCTGTGAAGCAGAGGGCCCCAGGGAATAATTTTGGGAACAAGAGACTCTTCAAGCCCACAAAGGATGAAGCACATCAAATTCTGCATCCCCAACTGTTTTTCAGCTTCGTGAGTCTGAGAACATGAAACCAGTGGCAAGAATAACACCCAAGGTGAGATGTGTAGTGAAGGAAACCAAAAAATTTTACCCCAAAATATACTTCTTTCACATATTTTGAGATATGGCTGTTCAGAGGACCTGCAGGCGGAAGTAGTCCTACGAAGCTGTTTGGTGTGTGTGTGTGTGTGTGTGTGTGTGTGTGTGTGTGTGTGTGTGTGTGTGAGAGAGGCTTGCAATATACAGAGAAAATCTGCATTGATGCAGCCAGGTGCTCTCTGAGGTTTTCCCTCGTCCAGATATAGGAAAGGTTAATGGACAGTCTGACACCTTTAAAGGTCTGAAAGAAACATCAACCATCTATTCTTTCCAATGGCTACTACCTGTGAGGTTTCATCTACATGAGCGGTCCCCAACCTTTTTGGCACCAGGGATAGGTTTCATGGAAGACAATTTTTCCATGGACCAGGGCAGGGGGATGGTTTTCAGGATGAAACTGTTCCACCTTAAATCATCGGCATTAGATTCTCATAAGGAGCCGCAACCTAGATCCCTTGCATGTGCAGTTCACAGCGGCGTTCTTGCTCCTAAGAGAACCTAATACCAGCTGCTGACCTGACAAGAGGCAGAGCTCAGGCGGTATTGCTCACTCACCCGCCACTCACCTCTTGCTGTGCGGCCCTATTCCTAACAGGAATGTAAATGGCCACAGTGTAAATGGCCCAAAGTTTGGGGACCCCAATCTACATAATGAAATGACTTTTGCTAGCCAAGTTTCCATTTCTGTCTTGCCACTAAATCCTGATTTACCACCATTCTCTGAGCCCCCAAACTTTCTGTAACCTCAGGAGGGGTATATAAGCTTCTGAGCCCACTGAGAGGTGGAGTAATTACTCTGTGGTTCCCCCACATGCCCAATAATACATTTACGTCTTTTTATAATAATACATGTATATCTTTTGACCTGTTAATTTGCTTTCCGCCAGTTGATTTTTCAGTGAACCTCCAGAGGACAAAGGAGACGTTTTTCCTTGGCCCCTGCAGTAGGTTGCCATTAGATAGGGTGTGTACAGTGTGGCAGTCCTGGGGAGTGGCAGGACATTACCAAGGATTTGGCCAACCTGAGATTCCTGGAGGTTTTCAGGGTTTTGTTTGGTTCCCTCCAGGATTCGATTTACCGTCATTCAGCATCTGGCTCCTGTCTCTTTCTCACCAGCTTCTTCTCCGGACTTTACCTGTGTGAAAGGAAAATAAATCTTGGGACCCCAAAATCACTGAACCAAAGGGAAAAGTCAAGCTGGGGACTGTGTCACACAAACCTCCTATTCAAAGATAAGCTACATAAGCCAGGCGCAGTGGTTCATGCCTGTAATCTCAGCCCTTTGGGAGGCTGAGGCAGGCGATCACTTGAACCCAGGAGTTTGAGACCAGCCTGGGCAACATGGTGAAATCCCGTCTCTACAGAAAATACAAAAGTTAGCCGGGTGTGGTGGCATGCGCCTGTAGTCCTACTTGCTGGGCTGAGGTGGAAGGATCATTTGAGCCTGGGTGGTCAAGGCTGCAGTTGGGGACCGCTATAATGGAGACACTGCACTCCAGCCTGGATAACAGAGTGAGACTCTGTCTCAAAAGAAAACAAAACAAAAAAGCTACATACCTCCCTCATAATTTGCCCACTAGGAAATTCCTTGTGGGCCCCAAGATCTTTACCCTAAAAAGTTCTGTTGAATTTCATCCTCACAATGTAAATTGATAGCTTATATTCACAGATGTGGGACATAGGACAGAACACAATAGCATCCCTCTGCTCACCTGAGACAAATTAATATTTGATTGCTCCCTCTGGCCTATGTTTATTTTATCTTATTTAAAAATGCAGATTCACTGAGCTAGATGAATGCGTGACTATTCCTCTACCCCCCCATCTCACATGTCAATGGCTAATCAAAGACTCAAAGGAATGCAACCATTTGCCTCTTACTGGCCCACACCCCTTAACAATTTCTCCTCTCCCCAGTATCCACTCCTTTCCCCTTTAGATATTGAAACCCTCAAAATCATCTTTGGAGAAAGGCACAGACCTGTCTCCCATGTGTGTGTCCTTACCCTTGGCAAAATAAACTTCTAAATTGATTGAGTCCTGTCTCAGATACTTTGTGTTGCACCTATCTTAAACTTTAAGCTCTAGTCACACAGATTTACTTACAGTCCTTTGAACACATCCTATTATAGGATTCCTGTATGTCATTGCTCATGCTGTCTCCACCTTGTTCACTGGGAATTTATCCTTCAAATTCCCACCTGAGGGTGGTGGACAGATGCCACCACCCCCAGGAAGACCTCCCGACTACCTTAGATGGAATCTATCACTCAGACATCTTTGCACCTCTGTACTTTGTACATTTATGCTTGCCTTTTTTTTTTTTTTTTTTTTTTTTTTTTGAGACGGAGTCTTCACTCTGGAGTGCAGTGGCACGATCTGGGCTCACTGCAAGCTCCGCCTCCCGGGTTCACGCCATTCTCCTGCCTCAGCGTCCCGAGTAGCTGGGACTACAGGTGCCCACCACCATGCCCGGCTAATTTTTTTGTATTTTTTAGTAGAGACGGGGTTTCACCGTGTTAGCCAGGATGGTTTCAACCTCCTGACCTCGTGATCCGCCTGCCTCAGCCTCCCAAAGTGCTGGAATTACAGGTGTGACCCACCGCACCCGGCCTATGCTTGCCTTTATCACACAATATTATTTATGTGTTCATACATTCTTTTTCCTTGAGGTCAAAAAACTTTTTTTCTTTTTGTAACCTCTAGTTAACATATAATAATGCCCGCACTGAGCAGGTGTTCACTAAGGTGTTGAATAAATAGTTGAAACTGTTTCAGCTTGTGAGTGCCCAATAATTTTTTTATAAATATTTCCTATTTTTTATTTGTTCTTTTCTTTCTTTCTTTCTTTTTTATTTATTTTGTGTTAGAGATGTGGTCTCACTATGTTGCCCAGGCTGGTCTTGAACTCCTGGCCTCAAGCAATCCTGCCTCAGCCTCCCAAAGGGCTGGGATTATAGGCATGAGCCACGGTGCCTGGCCCCAACTTATTATTTCTTAGAAGTCACTCTTAATAAAATTATCGTGGATTATCAGGTTAACCAGTACTCATAACTGACCTATATAAATGCTTTGCAGCAGTGGTTCTCAAAGTGGGGGTCCTGGGTCAATAGCATTAGCATCACGTGGGAACTTAGAAATGCAAATTCTCAGGCCTCACCCCAAACCTAGTAAATCAGAAATTCTGTGTGTGGGCCCTGCAATCTGTGTTTTGATAATTCCTTCAAGTGATTCTTATAATTTCTAAAGTTTGAAAGCTACTGTTTTACAAATGTGTTTTCTCATGGTGGTCTGGAAACTATCAGAATCACCGAAGATGTTTGTCAAACGTTATGCCTCCTCCCCCAGACCTACTGAGTCAAGATCTATGAGGGGTGGGGCCCAGAAGCCTGCATTTGTGACGATAGGTGCCACCACTTTACTCTTCACAAAGCACTTTCCCATGTCGCTCATATTTGAGCCTCACAACAGCCTGGAAACTTGATGGAGTGGGGTTATTACTCCCATCTTAACAGTAAAGAAACAGTCTCAGATAAGTTATATGATCTGGCTATAGTTTTATGACTAAGCAGCAAGCTAGGCAAAATTAGATCCCAGGGGCATGACCTGGGCTAGTTACCTAATTTCTTTTTGTCTTAGTTTCCTCATATGTAAAGTGGAGATAATAATAGCTCTTCATGTTTTACGTAAAGGTTTTATAAGGCTGAGTGCGGTTGCTCACAACTATATCCCAGCTCTTTAGGAAGCTGAAGCAGGAGGGTTGCTTGAGCCCAGGAGTTCAAGACCAACCCAGGCAACATAGGGAGACCCCATTTCTACAAAAAAAATACAAAAGTTAGCCAGGAATGTTGGCGTGTGCCTATAGTCCCAGCTACTAAGGAGGCTTACGCAGGAGGATCACTTGATCCCAGGAGGTAGAGGCTGCAATGAGCCATGATGGCGCCACTGCACTCCAGCATGGGCAGCAGAATAAGAAGGCCTCAAAAACAAAACAAAACAAAAAACAGTTATATGAGTGTTCATTGTACTGGTCTTTCAGCTTTTCTGTGGGTTTAGAAAACTGTTTCAAAATGAAAAGTTTAGGTTGTTATACAGTGATAAGAGAGAATGAAGAGACCCATAACTAACCACATATATGCAATGTAATGTAAATGAAATGAAAGCAGTTACCTACAGGTTCATACCATACAAAAACAAAGTAAGCTCTGCTGTAAAAAGTAAGGATGGTAGTTGTTCTGCAGGGAGTTGGGGGTGGGAAGACTAGTGACTGCTAGGGGCCTTTTGGTGCTGGTAACTTTTTATGTCTTATTCTGGAAGCTAGTTACATACATGTGTATGCTCTTTTGTGAAAATTCATCAAGCTGTACACTTATGACATATATGTTTTTGTATGGATCTTACACTTCCAATAAAAAGTTGTGAGCTGAGAATGGTGGCCGATGCCTATAATCCCCGCATTTTGGGAGGCCGAGGCAGGAGGATTGCTTGAGACTAGGAGTTCAAGACCAGCCTGCATAACACAACGAGACCCTATCTTTATTAAAAAAAAAAATTTTTTGGGGGGGGACAGTTTTGCTCTGTTGCCCAGGCTGGAGTGCAATGGCGCAATCTCGACTCACTGCAACCTCTGCCTCCCGGGTTCAAGCAATTCTCCTGCCTCAGCCTCCCGAGTAGCTGGGATTACAGTCATGTGCCATCATGCCTGGCTAATTTTTTTTTTTTTGAGATGGAGTCGCACTCTGTTGCCCAGGCTGGAGTGCAGTGGCATGATCTCAGCTCACTGCAACCTCCACCTCCTGGGTTCAAGCGATTCTCCTGCCTCAGCCTCCCGAGTAGCTGGGATTACAGGTGCCCACCACCACGCCCGGCTAATTTTTGCATTTTGAGTAGAGACGGCGTTTCACCATGTTGGCCAGGCTGGTCTCGAACTCCTGACCTCAGGTGATCCACCTGCCTCGGCCTCCCAAAGTGTTGGATTACAGGCGTGAGTCACTGTGCCTGGCTAAAACAATTTTTTTTTTTTTAAGATTGGGTCTCACTCTGTCGCCCAGGCTGGAGTGCAGTGGGGTGATCTCTGCTCACTGCAACCTCTGCCTCCTGGGTTCAAGTGATTCTTCTGCCTCAGCCTCCCGAGTAGCTGGGACTATATGTGCGCACCACCATGCCCAGCTAATTTTTGTACTTTTAGTAGAGACAGGGTTTCACCATATTGGCCAGGCTGGTAAAAAAATTTTTTTAATGAAAAAAAAAAAGTTGGCTGGGTCCGGTGACTCACGCCTGTAATCCCAGCACTTTGGGAGGCCAAGGCAGGCGGATCACCTGAGGTCAGGAGTTCGAGACCAGCCTGACCAACGTGGAGAAACCCCGTCTCTAATAAAAATACAAAATTAGCCAGGCGTGATGGCGCATGCCTATTGTCCCAGCTACTGGGGAGTCTGAGGCAGGAGAATCGCTTGAACCCGGGAGGCAGAGGTTGTGGTGAGCCGAGATCGCACCATTGCACTCCACCCTGCGCAACAGGTGCAAGACTCCATCTCAAAAAAAAAAAAAAAAAGAAAAAAAAAGAAAAAAGTTTTGAAAAGTTGAGGAGTAGAAAAATAACGGTGATTACTTCATAAGACTTGTGGGGATTAAATGAATCAATTCACTCAACAGAATAATGCCAGGCACATAGAAATGGTAGCTATTATTCATGGTTTTTTGTTTGTTTGTTTGTTTGTTTGTTTGAACACACCCCGAGAACTGTTGCCTAAGAAAGCCTTCCTGGGCATTGAGCTGAAGAGAGCTCAGCTCACAGGATTATTGGAAGGGACTTCAAGGGACCAGTAATATCCCAGGCCCTTTCCAGTCTGCCTTCCTAGACTAAGAAGTATAGGAGACTCTGCTGGAAAAGCCACCTTTTCTAGAGTTTGTATTATAGCAACTCAGGCTTCTTTGGGTATGTTGCTGATGCAAAGTAATATTGATATAGCAAGAAAAAAAAATCTGGCAGTGGAGTTTCCTCTTCCAGAGACAAGACAACAGCCTCCCTTTCTTCCCATAATTTCTCGTCCCTCCCCCAAGAGCTCCATGTGCTCCAGCTACAGCCACCTGCATCCCTTTCTTCATTAAGCTCATCCTCCCTGTCATAGCTCCTCTTCAGATATACTGCTCCCTCTGTCTGTATTGCCTGACCCTCTGGAAAACTCCACTTTCTCTGTGTAGCTCAGCTTTTCACCTCTCTGAGGCGCTCCCCAGCCCTAAATCATAAACTAGTAAATGGCAGAGCCGGGCCCTGCATAGGGTTTGTCTAATTCTAAAGTCTACATTGCTACTTCTGCTAAGTGTGTGCTCTTGGGCAACAAATACACTTAACCTGACAGGCTTCAGTGTCCACATAGACATCATAAGATGAAGGAATTAGACTTGATGATATCTAGGGTTCCCTTCAGTTGTGTTGTCTTAATCAAAAACAACAACAAAAACAATTGCTTACATTGTATATGGCTTTATAATGTCCTTTCCAAAACATTATCTCAGACAGGTGACTTTTGCTATTCTCTTGTCACAAGATAGCTCTATCCAATCACAGAGGAAAGTTCCTATATTCATTTCTTCTTTTCTTTTCTTTCGTTCTTTTTATTATTTTGAGACGGAGTCTCGTTCCGTTGCCCTGGCTGGAGTGCAATGGCACAATCTCGGCTCACTCTAACCTCCACCACCCGGGCTCAAGCAATTCTCCTGCCTCAGCCTCCAGAGCAGCTGGGATTACAGGCGCTTGCCACCATACCCGGCTATTTTTTGTATTTTTAGTAGAGATGGGGTTTCACCATGTTGGCCAGGCTGGTCTTGAACGCCTGACCTTGTGATCTGCCCACCTCAGCTTCCCAAAGTGCTGGGACTATAGGTGTGAGCCACCGCACCCAGCTTTTTTTTTTTTTTTTTTTTTTTTGAGACAGAGTCTCTCTGTGTCACCCAGCTGGAGTGCAGTGGTGCGATCTCGGCTCACTGCAACCTTCACCTCTCGGGTTCAAGTGATTCTCCCTCAGCCTCCCGAGTAGCTGGGATTACAGGCGCATGCCACCACACCTGGCTAATTTTTGTATTTTTAGTAGAATTGGGGTTTCGCCATGTTGGCCAGGCTGGTCTCAAACTCCTGACCTCAGATGATCCACCCACCTTGGCATCCCAAAGTGGTGGGATTATAGACATAAGCCACCATGGCCGGCCTCATTTCTTCCTTTCACCTGAGCTTGAAATTAGATCAAACTACTTTTCTTATGAATCAGAGACCAAGATAATGGGGTTACAAGTTACCAATCAGAAGGCCAGATGATTTCTGTTTTGACCAGTTCAACTTCCATGCAAACTGGTCAGCAGCAAGAACAATTTCTTGGATGACTCAATTACTCAGCATTCTTAATCACCCCTGAACTTGATCCTCTGCTTTTCTTTTTGTGTTTCTTCTCCAAATACCATGAAGAGGAAAAGGCAATGCCTTTTTCACATGGACCTTGTTTTGACTTTGTTTCCAAAGAGACCAACCTCCTTCTCCCCATCTAAACCAAGTCTTTGAGCCTGCCCTGGCCCCTTCTCTTTCTGAAACAGGTAATTCAAGCAAAAGGATTCAAAAGATAGACCTTGTCAATTTCAAATCTATTTCTCATCTAGACTACTTGTCTTCTCTATTTTGCAGCTAGCTGTATGTTTGAGATCTCATAAACTGAAATTATCCTGGGCTGTCACAATTTCAAGTATTTTTATTCTCTTTACATGAATGTGGTTGTTTAGTGAATTCATAATTGTAGCTTGCTTTTTATTATTTGTTTATATCCAATTCATTCTCCACCACACAAAAGATTTAAACTGCCTTACAAAAACGCACAGATTATAGGAGGAATAAATTTTAAGTAGGCAAGAAGAATAAAGCAAAGAGAAATTAAGAAGAAGATTTTAGTTTTCTGGGTTTTTGTTTTGTTTTGTTTCGTCTTTTTGAGACAGGGTCTTACTCTGTCACCCAGGCTAAAGTGGAGTGACATAACACTTATAGTTTTTATATTGTCATCACCACATCAAGCAATTAAGGTTCACAATAGGAAAAACTCATGATTCAACAAAAATGAAGAAACAACTCCTAATCTACTGTATACAAATAAGGTGTGCACTGGAGCTTATCAATTACAGTAAGCTCTTTTGTGGTTTCTTAGTGGAGCATTGTATAATGGAAAAACCATTGACTTTTTTTTTCAGGCAGCCACTGAATCAGAATAGGTTCAGAGAGACTCCTGAAAAACCACTGACTTTGAAATCAGATTCCCAACTTTGAATCCATGCATACTATGGTGATAATAATACCTACCTCAAAAGATCATTGTGGAGAAAAATACGACAGTGTATATAAAAACCTAAACATAGTACAAGGCAAGTAGTAGTTTCTTTTCTTTTTTTTTTTTTTTTTGAGATGGAGTCTTGCTCTGTCACCCAGGCTGGAGTGCAGTGGTGCGATCGTGGCTTACTGCAAACCTCCACCTCCCGGGTTCAAGCGAGTCTCGTGCCTCAGCCTCCTAAGTAGCTGGGACTACAGGCACGTGCCACCACCCTCGGCTAATTTTTTGTATTTTTTTAGTAGAGACGAGGTTTCACCATGTTGGCCAGGATGGTCTCGATTTCCTGACCCAGTGATCTGCCCACCTCAGCCTCCCAAAGTGCTGGGATTACCGGTGTGAGCCACCATGCCTGGCCTGCAAATAGTAGTTTCTAAATCTTTGTTATTTCCTGTCTCCTTTTAATTTTGCTTTGATCACAGAAAAATAGAGCTAACTACAATTTGGGTCATGAGAATTATAGAATTTTTGAGCAGGAAGAGAATCTGTTGATGGTCTTATCAGTGGGTCTCTGTGTGCTTCTGTGTGCATGACAATGGCCTGAGCACTTGCTAAAAATGCAGATTCTAGGGCCTCATCTCCAGAGATTGTTATTCACCTGATCTAGGACACAATCCAGAAACTTTTATTTTATTTTTAAATGATTAATTAGTTTAGTTTATAGAGACAGTATCTCACTCTTTTGCTCAGGGCTGGTCTTGAACTCGTGGGCTCAAGCGATCCTCCCACCTTGGCCTCCCGAAGTGTTGGAATTGCAAGTGTGAGCCACCCAGGTCATTCTGATGCAGGTGATCCAAGAACCACAGATTAAGAAACACTGCGTTCAAGTCAGACTCTTCATTTACAGAGGGTTACAGCAATCGAGTTATTTGCCTAAGGTACCACAGCTGGCAGATTGAAACCAGGACCTGGGGTGCATGACTCCACGGCCTTTCCTCCATGCTGCATTGCTTCCACAATGCATATAAAAATACAACTAAACAATAAGTCTATTTCACCTCATCATTTTTGCATAAATTGCCCTTTATGGCTGGGCACGGTGGCTCACACCTGTAATCCCAGTATTTTGGGAGGCCAACATGGGTGGATCACTTGAGGCCAGGAGTTCAAGACCAGCCTGGCCAACATGGTGAAACCCCATCTCTACTAAAAATACAAAAATTAGCCAGGCATGGTGGCACATGTCTGTTTTATACATTTTTTTTGTTTTTTGTTTTTTGTTTTTTACAATTTACAAAATACCTTCTCATGTGAAGTGGGAAGGACATGTTTTTCCTATTCTGTCCTCTGCCTGAAAGAGATTAAGTTACCTGTTCAAGTTTCCCCAGTTTGTAAGTATAGAGTTAGATCAAAGATCCTCTCTACAACCTTTGAAGCCAAAGTTTTTTCAGTTATATTATGCTGTCTCTGAGGGATAAATGTCTGAAGGTCCCCAGTGAATGTTTGTTGAATGAATGTTGAAAGAAAGAGCAAGAGGGAATGAGGTAATGAGAAAGAAAGACAAAAAAAAAAAAAAAAAAAAAAAAAAAAAAAAAAAAACACTGAGCATTATTCCCTTAAGGGGGCCAGAAAGGAATTGTTTGTTCTTGGTAGATAGAGAAGGCTATGTAAAGTTAACATCCCCCTCAGGCCGAGCGCAGTGGCTCACACCTATAATCCTAGCAGGAGTTCAGGACCAGCCTGGCCAATATGGTGAAACCTTGTCACTACTAAAAATACAAAAAATTAGCCGGGCATGGTGGCACACGCCTGTAATCCCAACTACTCGGGAGGCTAAGACAGGAGAATCGCTTGAGCCTGGAAGGCAGAGGTTGCAGTGGGCCAAGATTGTGACATTGCACTCCAGCCTGGGCAACAGAACGAGATTTCCTCTCAGAAAATAAAAAAGAACAACTCCCTCAACACAGACAGACACACACACACACTTCTTCCCCCACACACTATTGAAGCAGCCATTGCAAAATTGTAACTGAGACAGTGAAAGAGATCTGACCTAACCAACATCATCTTGCTTCTCGCCTCCAAGCTGTCCTTGTTCACTCCTGGATGTAGGCTGAACTAACTTTAGGAGGAACTTAGTTTATAGTTTAGAGGTTTTGTTTTTTTTGTTTTCGTTTTTTTGTTTTTTGATACGTTGTTTTGCTCTTGTTGCCCAGGCTGGAGTGCAGTGGTGCAATCTTGGCTCACTGCAGCCTCCACCTCCTCAGTTCAAGCGATTCTCCTGCCTCAGCCTCTGGAGTAGCTGGGATTACAGACATGTGCCACCACGCCCTGCTAATTTTGTATTTTTAGTAGAGACGGGGTTTCTCCATGTTGGTCAGGCTGGTCGCAAACTCCTGACCTCAGGTCATCCACCCACCTTGGCATGCCAAAGTGCTGGGATTACAGGCGTGAGCTACTGTGCCCGGCTATAGTTTAGAGTTTAAAGCAAAGATGATAACACCCCTTTCCCAAAACAAACCCCCTTCTTGCCTAGGGACTAGACTGCCTTTGTAGGACTGTCAAATTAGCTGCAAGATTAGAAATTATGGTTTAGGGCCGGGTGCAGTGGCTCATGCTTGTAATCCCAGCACTTTGGGAGGCCGAGGTAGGTGGATCATGAGGTCAGGAGTTCAAGACCAGCCTGGCCAAGATGGTGAAACCCCATCTGTACTAAAAATACAAAAATCAGCTGGGCATGGTAGTGGGTACCTGTGATCCCAGCTACTCAGGAGACTAAGGCAGAGAATTGGTTGAACCCGAGAGGCGGAGGTTGCATTGAGCCGAGATTGTGCCACTGAACTCCAGCCTGGGCAACAGAGCGAGACTCTGTCTCAAAAAAAAAAAAAAAAAAAAATTATAGTTTAGTAGTCATGAAACTGGAGGCTACACGACTCTGACCCTCTCCAAATTGCTCCTGGGAATAACATCACCTAAATTTTAGGTTTATTGTAAAACCTAAAACCAGTGCTTAAGGTATTTTGCGGATCCTTCACTTGATGGATCAGCTGGCACAACCTAGATCAATAAACTAGCTCATCTGATCTTATAGCCCTCCCACCCAGGAACTGACTTAGTGCAAGAATACAGCTTTGACCCTATGATTTCATCTCTGACCTGACCAATCAGCACCTCCAGATCACTGGCTTCCCCCTACCCACCAAATTGTGCTTGAAAACGCTGATACCTGGTGGGCCAGGCACGGTAGCTCACACCTGTAATCCCAGCACTTTGAGAGGCTGAGGCAGGCAGACCACCTGAGGTCAGGAGTTCAAGATCAGCCTGACCAACATGGAGAAACCCCGTCTCTACTAAAAATACAAAAATTAGCCAGGTGTGGTGGCATATGCCTGTAATCCCAGCTATTCAGGAGGCTGAGGCAGGAGGTTTGCTTGAACCCAGGAAGCGGAGGTTGCAGTGAGCCAGATCGCACCATTGCACTCTGGAATAGCTGCCTCTGCAGTTTTGTTGGAGGCAAGTGCTGTTGCTAGCCACGTTTGGGAAAAAAACAAAAAACAAAAAACAAAAACCCTGAAACCTTTTATTTTGGCTCAGTATTTTTTTTTTTTTAAGAGGCAAAGTTTCACTGTGTTGTCCAGGCTGGCCTCAAACTCTTGGGCTCAAGCCGTCCTCCTGCCTCAGCCTCCCATGTAGTTAGGACTACAAGTGCAGGTTTGAGAAGCCATGTCCAGTTCAAGCTAGGCTTCCTTCATTTTTGTGAAGATGCCTGATCCTTTCATTTCTGAGTCCTGTTTTTTGAGAGCCAGTAGGAAAGAGGAGTAGGAGAAAAGGAGTGATTTTTTATATATATTAGTACGTTAATTTTGGAAAGAGAACTGAGCTAAAGTTTCAGGAATAACTTAACCATTATATTCACTGTCTATACCTCAACATTCCAGCTATGGAATTGCATTTGGCAAATATTCTTTTCTTAGGTTGGCTTCTGACAGGGCTAATATTAGTAGTTCTTAATGACTCAAAAACAACTGAGGGAGTTAGGGGTACTATGACTTTACCAATCAGTGCCAGTGTATCTCATTCTCTGAGTTGGTAGAGTGAATCCCTCAAGGTCAGGATTAATTTTTGTCATCCCTGGACAAGTCATTTCTTTTATCTGGGCCAATTACTCAAAGTTCCACATTCAACTTAATATTTCATTAAAGAAAAATCCAAAAGGCTTCACTATGTGAAGACAGAGGGTTACATCATGATTTCCAAAGTTTAGCAAACATGTGATTACCACACTACTTACAAATGTTATGAAATCCATCAAGAATTCAGAATTTATCTTCTAAAATGTAAGGCTATATTGATGTCAAGTCAGCCTGATGTAATTTTAACAGATCTCTAAAACACACAAAAAATCATCTGATTGAGGCATGCAAAGAGGCAGAGAAAAATAAAAGAAGAAACAAAAAACAAATCAATGGCCGGGTCTGGTGGCTCAGGCCTGTAATCACAGCACTTTGGGAGGCTGAGACAGGCAGATCACTTGTGGTCAGGAGTTTGAGACCAGCATGGCCAGTGTGGTGAAACCCCGTCTCTACTAAAAATACAAAAATTAGCCAGGTATGGGGTCTCATGCCTGTAGTCCCAGCTACTCGGGAGGCTGAGGCAGGAGAATCGCTTGAAGCTGGGAAGCAGAGGTTGCAGTGAGCCGAGATCACACCACTGCACTCCAGCCTGGGTGACAGAGCAAGACTCCATCTCAAAAAACAAAAACAAAACCAAATCAATCTGTCTTTGAAGTTAGAGCACTGCAATGAAAAAATAAAAAAGGTTTGTGATCCAAAGTTATGCTGTAAGAATGGCATCTACCATAGCAACAACACTTTTCTTTTTTTCTTTTCTTTTCTTTTTTTTTTTTTTTTGAGATGGAGTTTCACTTTGCTGCCCAGGCTGGAGTGCAGTGGCATGATCTCGGCTCACTGCAGGCTCTGCCTCCTGAGTTCAAGCAATTCTTCTGCCTCAGCATCCCAAGTAGCTGGGATTACAGGTGCCTGCCACCAGGCCCTGGCTAATTTTTTGTGTTTTTAATAGAGACGGGGTTTCACCATGTTGACCAGGCTGGTCTCGAACTCCTACCTCAGGTGTTCCGCCCCCCCACTCCTCCCAAAGTGCTGGGATTACAGGCATGAGCCATCGTGCCCAGCTGAAACATCACTTTTTTCTTTTCTTTTCTTTTCCTTTTTTTGAGACAGAGTCTTGCTCTGTTGCCCAGGCTAGAGTGCAATGGTGCGATCTCTGCTCACTGCAACCTCCACCTACCAAATTCAAACGATTCTCCTGCCTCAGCCTCACCAGTAGCTGGGACTACAGGCGTGTGCCACCACACCGGCTAATTTTTTGTATTTTTAGTAGAGACGGTGTTTCTCTGTGTTAGCCAGGATGGTCTCGATCTCCTGACCTCATGATCCGCCTGCCTCGGCCTCCTAAAGTGCTGGGATTACAGGTGTGAGCCACCGTTCTCAGCCTGAAACATCACTTTCGTAAGCTTCCAGAAATGTTCAGGCTTAGGCTTTAGCAAATGAAATCACTCTAGTCTACTGTCGGAGAAGAAGAAACAGTCCATTGCTCTGAAACTAAAATACAGATCAGCCATGAATCTGCCCTTGTTGACATTCATCACTCAGATTCTGATTAGATATAACTAACAGAAATGGAATATGAACTCAGAAACACTCTGCCACCCCTCCACTCCCTATATTAACGCACCTCAGGCTGGCTTTATAGGTCTACAGATGTAACCCTGGAAATGTAGAATGGCTAAATCCAAACGTCTCTAGTTAACCAAGAGCTGAATTAAATTAATGTCATACATATAATGCATCTTGATTTTTTTTTTTTTTTTTTAAGACAGAGTCTTGCTCTGTCACCCAGGCTGGAGTGCGGTGGCATGATGTCGGCTCACCGCAATCTCCACCTCCTGGGTTCAAGTGATTCTCCTGCCTCAGCCTCCTGAGTAGCTGGGATCACAGGCGCCTACCACCATGACTGGCTAATTTTGTTTTTGTTTTTGTTTTTGTTTTTGTTTTTGTTTTTGTTTTGAGACAAGTTTCACTCCATCACCCAGGCTGGAGTGCAGTGGTGTGATCTCGGCTCACTGCAACCTCCACCTCTTGGGTTCAAGCGATTCTCCTGCCTCCCGAGTAGCTGGGACTACAGGCACCTGCCACGGTGCCCGGCTAATTTTTGTAATTTTGGTAGATTCGGGGTTTTGCCATGTTGGCCAGGCTGGTCTCGAATTCCTGACCTCAGGTGATCTGCCTGCCTCGGCCTCCCAAAGTGCTGGGATTATAGGCGTGAGCCACTGTGCTTGACCAATTTTTTTTTTTTTTTTTTTTTGAGATGGAGTCTTGGTCTGTGGCTCAGGCTGGAGTGCAGTGGTGAGATGTGGGTTCACTGCAACCTCTGCCTCCCAGATTCAAGCGGTTCTCCTGCCTCACTCTCCCAAGTAGCTGGTATTACAGGTGTGTACCACCATGCCTGGCCAATTTTTGTATTTTTAGTAGAGACGGGATTTCACCATGTTGGCCAGCCTGGTCTTGAACTCCTGACCTCAGGTAATCCACCCGCCTTGGCCTCCCAAAGTGCTATGCATGAGCCACCGTGCCTAGCCCAAAGTGTGGTTTTTAGATGGATATTTGTATCAGATTCTACTTAATGCTCATAGAACTAAACAACTAACAAGAGAAGTCACTGATGAGTGCTAAATTCTACCTAGAACTTGGTTACAGAAAGCCTGTAATTGGATGCAGCTCACTGTCCTAGAAAATCCAAGCAAAATTTTACACATGTATGTGAATCAAGGACTCCCACAGCAGCTTGGAGATTGTCAGTTAGGGAGTCTCAAACTGCAAGTTAATTCATGAGCCAAAACATATTCTCTCAAATGTTCTGTAAAAGTGTGGATGTGGGAGCATAAACTCAGCAAAGCAGCCACACTGTTACAGAATGAGTAAGAATCTAGGGGGCTGGATGCGGTGGCTCACACCTATAATCCCAGCACTTTGGGAGGCCGAGGCAGGTGGATCATTTGAGGTCAGGAGTTCGAGACCGGCCTGACCAACATGGTGAAACCCCGTCTCTACTAAAATACAAAAAATTACCTGGGCAGTAGTGGCATGCACTTGTAATCCCAGCTACTCGGGAGGCTGAGGTGGGAGAATCCCTTGAGCCTGAGAGGCGGAGGTTGCAGTGAACTGAGATCAGGCCACTGCACTCCAGTCTGGGTGAGAGAGTGAGACTGTGTCACAAAAGAAAAAAAAAAAAACAAAACACACACACACACACACACACACACACACACAAAGAATCTAGGTCTCTATCTCCTTTCTCCAAGCAACATGTATCCCTGAAACACAAGGACTACTCTCTGGAACTGCTTAGTGGCTGGTGCACTGAGTGGGTATGCCCAAAACGCACATGGTTTTACTTGCATGAGGGAGTCGAAGTTTAACTTGCAGGTTTCCCAGTAATTGTTTACAAAAGGGTTTCTCCTCAAGCCACCACTACAGAATATCCTTGCTAGGCATAAAAAATATGGCCCCTTCCCTTCACATGCTCATAAGAACTTCAGGGATGCTTGGGCAGAAACCACACCTAGACCACCATGTTCTTCTTCCTCTTTTTTTTTTTTTTAATAGAGACGGGGCCTTGGTATGTTGCCCAGGCTAGTCTCAAACTCCTGGGCTCAGGCGATCTTCCCACCCCATCCTCCCAAAGTGTTGGGATTACATGCGTGAGCCCCTGTGCCTGGCCTATCACCATGTTCTTGCCAGCTCTCCACCAGGTGAGCATATGAGGCTCATAACCAGTTCTTATTTATTTAATGGAGGGTGGGGGAGATTCTGATTGGGGTAGTCTCGGACTGAACTAAATTTTAATATATTCATGTTAAATAAATGATTTGGCTACCTAATTAATAACACAATTTCCTGTGAAAGATAAAAATCAAGAACTGAAGACTATTTCCCAGAAAAAGAATAGTGGTGAATTTGTTACATTTATTCTTTCTCTCTCTCTTTCTCTCGTACCCACCCATACACACAGATTGAGACATACACTCCAAACTGCCAAGGAATCTGTTTGTGGTGCAATTTTTGGAAGTCGAAGATATTGCACATTTTAAGTCACAACCTGGCTGGGCACAGTGGCTCATAATCCCAGCACTTTGGGAAGCCGAGGCAGGCGGATGACTTGAGCTCAGGATTTGGAGACCAGCCTGGGCAACGTGTCAAAACTCTGGCTCTACAAAATATACAAAAATTAACTGGGTGTGGTGGCATGCACCCGTTATCCCAGCTACCCAGGAGGTTGAGGTGACAGAATGGCTTGAGCCTGAGAGGTGGAGGCTGCAATGAACCAAGACTGCACCACTGCACTCCCTCCTGAGTGTCAGAGCTGTATCCTGTCTCAAAAAAAAAAAAAAAAAGACACAATCTGCTTCAAAATCAGAAAGCATGCCATCTCGAGAGATATACCAAATAATTGGCAATGGTGATCTGGGATAGATGGGCAGGGATCATAAAAAAACTTCCACACTTTTCATATTATATATTTCTTATAATGTTTGAACATGTTTAGTGAGCCTATATTTCTCCTTTTGTAAGCAGAAAGTATAACACAGAGAAAGTTTAAAAACAAAAGCAGCATGCCACCTCTCTTAGCAGTGGACCACATACTACCATCATTCACTTCATGCCGGACTCCTTGTGATAGTTCTGCCTGTTCATGAGAATCCCTGATTCACAATCTCCAAGCAGCTGTGAGGGTCCCTGAAAAGATTTGGCAGCTCCTTACCAGTCCTCTGAATGGGTAGAAAATCATGCAGGCACAGTGGCTCACGCCTGTAATCCCAGCACTTTGGGAGGCCAAGGTGGGAGGACCACAAAGTCAGGAGTTCCAGACCAGCCTGGCCAACATAGTGAAACACTGTCTCTACTAAAAATACAAAAATTAGCCGTGTGTGGTGGCACATGCCTTTAATCCTAGCTACTCGGGAGGCTGAGGCAGGAGAATCGCTCAAACCCAGGAGGCAGAGGTTGCAGTGAGACGAGACCGCACCACTGCACTCCAGCCTGGGTGACAGAGCAAGACTCTGACTCAAAAAAAAAAAAAAAAAAAAAGGAGGGGCTGGGCGCCGTGGCTCACGCCTGTAATCCCAGCACTTTGGGTGGCCGAAGCGGGCAGATCACGAGGTCAGGAGTTTGAGACCAGCCTGGCCAACATGGTGAAACCCCATCTCTACTAAAAATACAAAAATTAGCCAAGTGTGGTGGTTTGTGCCTGTAATCCCAGCTACTTGGGAGGCTGAGGCAGGAGAATCGCTTGAACCCGGAAGGCAGGGGGTTGCAGTGAGCTGAGATCTCGCCATTGCACTCCAGCCTGGGTAACAGAGCAGGACTCCGTCTCAAAAAAACAAACAAAACAAAACAAAACCAAAAAAATCACACATGCAGATACCAATCTGGGACAAAGTAGAAGCCCTTGGGCTTCCTTTCCTTGTAACCTTTTCCCTCGGGTCTGTCAGGACTGTCTTCACCATCAGAATGAGCAGTTTCCCTGTGGGTCCTTACCTATCTTCTCACCCCCATGTGCCTTTTGTTTATGGTTGATTTCCCAGGCCTCTCTGCAAATGGCTAAGGGACACAGAGGTTTAATCTGGTATTGACTGTCAACACTAACAAACCTCATGCTTAGTGAAAGATGTGCTTAGAACTGAACTGTTAGGTAGAGCCCTAAAAATGTGTGGAGAAAGAATGTTGAAGATGAGGTGGGGAACTTTCGTGCTTTTGGGCATGGAAACCATTTAGCATAGTGCACATTGGCAGGATGTCAAGAAACTGTTTTCCATGACGCCCAAAAGAATAATATACTGTATTCAAGGAGGCCCTGGCAAGTGTGCAGCCCTGTATTGAGTAACATTAGGGAATCAACAGAGGTAAAATTAATGATCCCTCGGCTGGGTGCAGTGGCTCATGCCGGTAATCCCAGCACCTTGGGAGGCCAAGGCAGGTGGATCATGAGGTCAGGAGTTCAAGACCAGCCTGGCCAACATGGTGAAACCCCATCTCTACTAAACAAATACAAAAATTAGCTGGGCGTGGTGGCGCACACCTGTAATCCCAGCTACTAGGGAGGCTGAGGCAGGAGAATCTCTTGAACCCAGGAGGTGGAGGTCGCAGTGAACCGAGATCACACCACTGCACTCTAGCCTGGGTGACAGAGCAAGACACTGTCTCAAAAAAAAAAAAAAAAAATTCATGACCCCTGCTCTTGAAGAGCCCAGAATATATAGTTAGTAACTGAGATCTCTGTTGTAAACAGGCAAGGCAATACTGTTCTCTCTCTTTCTCTCTCTCTCTCTCTCATGGTGTGTGTGTGCATGTGTGTAAGGTACTGATTCCTTACTACATGGACTCAACAAGACCACCTCATCACCAGTCTGCTACATAGACAAGTTCCTTGAAGACATTCTTCATGTCTTCACCAAGTCATGTACTGATGGCCAAGCCTTCCCTTTCCTGTGGCCCTCTGGCTTTGGCACACTCCTCCTCGTCACTAGCCACACTTGCTGTCGCTGTGGGGACGCACAAGCAGAAGGGCTGCTTTCACACACCTCAGCTTACCCCAGTTGCTTCAAACTGCTCTCCACCTCCCTTGCTTGGTAGCCTTTCTTCCATGCATCATTTCAGTGTCAGCCACTGCTAGATTATTAGCCCTTGAGGTCTCCTGCTTTCTTTTCCGGCCAAGCACACTTCAGGAAGAAAGCCATAATTGTTCTGACAAAACGTTCTGTTCAACCAGAATGAACTCAAAATGGAATTCTGGGAACTCAGGCAAACAACTATTGCC
Organism: Homo sapiens; assembly: GCF_000001405.40. Classification (NCBI taxonomy): domain Eukaryota; kingdom Metazoa; phylum Chordata; class Mammalia; order Primates; family Hominidae; genus Homo; species Homo sapiens. The sequence goes on from NC_000009.12 coordinate 19,149,336, forward strand.
AATCAGGTTGCTGCCAGCCAACTCCAAGAACAGTCTAGAAGTAAGAGCCTGCTGATTGCTCTGCCTCCTCCCACCCTATGTCAAATGGTGTCGTGCTGACAGCTGACAATGTCTCCATTCTCCTGATGACACCATTTCAAAAGACTTAAACCATCTCCTCCTTTGACCAGCATGTGTGGGTTTATGACGTTCCTTGCCAAGCCACAGGGTAATCTGCAAATGGTAATTCTCCTGGCCTGAGTAAGTTCCCAGAACCCCTAGGTTGGCCATATAATTACAAACTCCAGAGCATTAATAAAGACAAGGAAAAGTGAAGTGGCTGGCTCATGCCCATAATCTCAGCACTTTGGGAGGCTGAGGCATGAGGATTCTTGAGCCCAGAAGTTCCAGACCAGCCTGGGCAACATAGTGAAACCTCATCTGTATAAAAAAATACAATAATTAGCCAGGTACGGTGGTGTGTGCCTGTAGCCTGTAGTCCCAGCTACTAAAGAGGCTGAGGTGGGAAGATCGCTTGAGCCGGGTTGCAGTGAGCCGGGATCAGGCAACTGCACTGTGGCCTAGGTGACAGAGCAAGACTGTCTCAAGACAAAAAAAGAAAGAAGAAAAGTGGAGTGGACAATGGAGGAGGACAAATTATTTTACAAAGAACAACAACAACAAAAATACCTTGAAATCTTCATAAACACTAAATAGCCAGGCATGGGCCAGGCATGGTGGCTCACACCTGTAATCCCAGCACTTTGGGAGTCTGAGGTGAATGGGTCACTTGAGGTCAGGAGTGTGAGACCTGCCTGGCCAACACGGTAAAACCCTGTCTCTACTAAAAATACAAAAACTAGGGCCCGGCATGATGGCTCACACCTGTAATCCCAGCATTTTGGGAGACTGAGGCAGTTAGATTACCTGAGGTCAGGAGTTTGAGATCAGCCTAGCTAACATGGTGAAACCCCGTCTCTACTAAATATACAAAATTAGCTGGGCGTGGTGGCGCACGCCTATAATCCCAGCTACTGGGGAGGCTGAGGCAGGAGAATTGCTTGAGACGGGGAGACAGAGTTTGCAGTGAGCCAGGACTGCTCTCCAGCCTGGGCGACAGTGAGACTCCGTCTCAAAAAAACAACAACAAAAACCAGCTGGGCGTAGTGGTGCACACCTGTAATCCCAGGGCTTGGGAGGCTGAGGCAGGAAAATTGCACGAACCTGGGAGGCAGAGATTGCAATAAGCTGAGATTGCCCCACTGCACTCTGGCATGGGCAACAGAGTGAGACTCCGTCTCAATAATAATAATAAATAGCCAGGCATGGTGGCATGTGCCTGTTGTCCCAGCTACTCATGAGGCTGAGGCAGGCAGATCACTTGAGCCCAGGAGTTTAAGAGTGATCATAGGAGATCACAGTGCTGTCATGCACTATGATCACACCTGTAAATAGCCACTCACTTCAGCCTAGGCAACACAGTGAGAAGCTGTCTTTCTCTCTTTTTCCTTTTTTTTGCGGGGCAGACAGGATCTCACTCTGTCACCCAGGCTGGAGTGCAGTGGTACGATCTCAGCTCACTACAACATCTACCTCCCAGGTTCAAGCGATTCTTCTGCCTCAGACTCCCGAGTATCTGGGAGTACAGGCATGCACCATCATACCCAGCTAATGTTTTGTATTTTTAGTACAGACAGAGTTTCACCATGTTGACCAGGCTGGTCTTGAACTCCTGGCCTCAAATGATCCACCTGCCTCGGCCTCCCAAAGTGCTGGAATTACAGGTGTGAGCCAGTGTGCCTAGCCAATTGTTATTTCTATGCCTATGTAATATGCCACACAGAATCACATGTATATGAAAATATTTTTAATAAAGTATTCAAAATGATAAGCTAGTAGGAAAAAAAGATTTGCCTATCTAATGACTCAAGTTGAAATGAATTTCTGAAAACAAAGACAATATATTGCAGTGATTACAAGCATACCTACAATCACCCAGATCTATGTTTGATGACAAAATAGTATTCAACTTGTAGGAAATGCCTCTAAGAGAAAATGGGAAGGAGCCAGGAGAGGCTGGCAGGCCCATCAGACTGCGATGCAGGCCTCAACCCAAGTGAAGAAGAGAGGAAAGGAGAGAAGGGTGGGTAGAAGCACGTTACATTATAGTGTACTCTAAAGAAATTTCAGTGAGGCTGTGGGAGCACCCCAGTCATCAGAGGAGTCCCATATCTCCAAAGTATCACCCTGCCTTAATATCCCTGCCACACTCTGTCACTGGCTGAGAGTAGCCCATGGGTGTGTGGCCTCAGCTCACATGTGGTGATGGAATTCAGAAGGCAGCAGGGGCCCTCAGTCAATTGCTCCCCGCAGTTAGAAGGATATCTGAGCGGTGTATCTCATGGTCACCACACTCAGTTTTCCCCTTTAGTAAGACAGGACAAAATCCTTGCCCACTTGCCATCCAGAGAAATTGGATGACTCAGAGAAGGTAATGTCTGTAAACACTTTGTAAACTTTAAGTATGGAACAGGTAAAATATTCCTTACACAGGACTATGACCCAGTCGTGATGTGTAGCTCTTCACTCCCTATCTCTGTCTACATCCTTTAACACACACCTATGAGACCTCCAGTCTGCCTCTGGCTACCCAACCTAGATACTTCCTGAGCTCAGCCCTGTCTGGAACGCAGGAATGGAAAATACAGTCCTTTGGGTCATAGCTAAAAATGTCCTCAAATAGATCCAGCCAGCTGGCTGTGCATAGGTCAATTCAACCTCATTATGTACCACTTCAATGAAGCTGGACATTGACCTCTTTGATAACCAAGGGCCATGCACAGCAAATTCTGCAACTTAATGATTAAACTGCTTAGAAGAGAGGCAAACTATTAGACTTTGAGAGCTCTACGTTTTTATTTTGATTTTATTTATTTATTTATTTTGAGATGGACTCTTGCTCTGTCTCCCAGGCTGGAGTGCAGTGGTGTAATCTTGGCTCACTGCAACCTCTGCCTCCCAGGTTCAAGCAATTCTCCTGCCTCAGCCTTCTGAGTAGCTGGGATTACAGGTGCTTGCCACCACACCTGGCTAATTTTTCTATTTTTAGTAGAGATGAGGTTTCACCATGTTGGCCAGGCTGGTCTCGAACTCATGACCTCAAGTGATCTGCCTGCCTTGGCCTCCCAAAGTGCTGGGATTACAGGTGTGAGCCACCATACCTGGCCATAATTTTATTTATTTTTGAATAGGTAATACTTACACATGATCTGATATGCAAAACCTACAAAAGATAATACAGTGAAAAGCCTCCCTTCCATTCTGTCTTCTACTCACAAAGTTCCCCCTTGCTGGAGGCAATCAATGCTATCCTTTCTTTTCTTTTCTTTTCTTTTCTCTTTTTGTTTTTTTTTTTGAGACAGAGTCTCTGTCTGTTGCCCAGGCTGGAGTGCAGTGGCGATATCTCGGCTCACTGCAACCTCTGCCCCCCGGGTTCAAGCAATTCTCCTGCCTCAGCCTCCTGAGTAGCTGGGACTACAGGCGCATGCCACCACACCTGGCTATTTTTTTTTGTATTTTAGTAGAGACGGGGTTTCACTGTGTTGCCTAGGCTGGTTGCAAACTCCTGAGCTCAGGCAATCCACCTGCCTCGGCCTCCCAAATTGCTGGGATTACAGGCGCGAGCCACCGCACACAGCCAATGCTAACTTTTTCTTATGTATCCTTTCAGAAATATATATATATATATATATATATATAATTATTTTTTTTTTTTGGTATGTTGTCTCTCTCTGTTGCCCAGGCTGGAGTGCAGTGGTGCGATCTCGGCTCACTGCAACTTCTGCCTCCCGGGTTCAAGTGATTCTCCTGCCTCAGCCTCCTCAGTAGCTGGGATTACAGGCGCCTGCCACCACACCTGGCTAATTTTTGTATTTTTAGTACAGACAGGGTTTCACCATGTTGGCCAGGCTGGTCTTGAACTCCTGACCTCAGGTGATCTGCCCGCCTCGGCCTCCCAAAGTGCTGGGATTACAGGCGTGAGCCACCGCGCCCAGCCCTCAGAAACATTTTATGTGTATTTCTGCCTCCAAAATAATTTCTAAAATTGCTAAAAGAATGTCCCTTAGAGAGTAACTAGTGTTCAGACTGGGCTAATGTTATTTACATTCCTCTATTTTACTCTAATGTATCTAATTTCAACCTTATTTGGAGGCATATTTTTTCAACATTTCACTCTGAAGATTTTTCAAACATACAGGAAAGTTGAAAGAATTGTTCAGTGGGGCCAGGTGCAGTGGTTTACGCCTCTAATCCCAGCACTTTGGGAGGCCAAGGTGGGCGGATTACTTGAGGTCAGGAGTTTGAAACCAGCCTGGCCAACATGGAGAAACCCCGTCTCGACCAAAACTACAAAAATTAGCTGGGTGTGGTGGCAGGCACCTGTAATCCCAGCTACTCGGGAGGCTGAGGAAGGAGAATCACTTGAGCCCCAGAGGTGGAGGCTGCAGTGAGCTGAGATCACACCACTGCACTCCAGCCTGTTAGACAGAGCAAGACTCCATCTCAAAAAAAAAAAAGAAAGAAAGAAAAGAAAAGAAAGAAAGAATTGTTCAGTGAACACCCACACTCCCACCACCTAGATTCTGCAATGACTAATTTGCTACATTTACTTTAGGTATTGCTATTATTATTCTCATTTTACCGCTGATGAAACTGTGTCTTGTTGCAAAAGCTTCTAATGGTATCTTGCTTAATCTTTTTTTTTTTTTTAATTATTCCAGCATTTCAACCAAGGTCCAAAGAGATTAACGTTCCCTGAGAAGAATTTCAATCCAGTTTCTTGTGTCCGAATATGGTCTGTAGATAAGGCCCAAAGAACACAAGTTCTCTTTTTCACTTGTAATTGCGCCATCCTTTGGCCCTTATCATTCCACGTGGTGCTGTTCTCCCTAACAGTTTAACCTCCCTCAGCTGACCTCCTTCTTCTTGAAAGCATGGTAGCTTTTAGGCATGTGAGGGAAGCAGACCAGGCATCCCAGCTGACTCATCTGTTTTTATCTCAACAGCCTACATGGACAACCACTTTTCTACTCACAGTGTGTGGTTCACAGACCAGCCGAATTACATCATAAATGCACAGTATCAGGCCCACCCAGACCTATAGAATGAGAATCTGCCATTTCACAAGATGTCCAAGTGATTCCTATGCACATGCCACATCATTACAGTCTCACTTCAGCCATGGTTAAAAGGAGCCCAATGTGATTTACTGGTCATACGTGGAAAAAAAAAAAAGAGTAGTTCATGACATTTTTCTTGATCAGCCATGGTAACTCATGTCTGTAATCCTAACACTTTGGGATGCCAAAGTGGGATGATCACTTGAGGCCAGGAGTTCAAGTCCAGCCTGGGCAACATAGCAAGACTATAAAGAAAAATAAAGACATTTATCTTTAAAACAACCTTTCCTTCTTCTTGTTTTTACATCTCATTTGCCTCTTTACTCCCTTTCTTCACAACCTGTAATTCCACTTATTGAGCCTGCTGTGTATGCTACGTATGAGGAACATTATTGCTAACCCTCAGAGGTTTACAGAAGATGTTTTATTCCTAATTTACAGATGAGGCTCAGAGGATTAGAAATCCACCTAATATTAAACAGCTGTAAATATTAAGTATGTTCTTTTCCAAGACCTACTGCTCTCTTTCTACTGTAAAACAATGTATTTCCAAACTCTGGCAATTGTCTCAGCCTAGACGTTTCCCACTAGGGCCAGAGAGCTTATGTCTGCCTGTCATCAAAGGCTTGTGGACTTGTCTCTCTCTCAAGCCTCTTTCTCATGTCTTGTTCACTACTAGTTGACCTGGATCTTGTTCTTTTAGCTCCCAGGCATCAACCAGGTGTTCTATAATCTAAGAACTTAGGTAACACCTGTGCATTGTAATGATAGCCTCCTACAGATGGTGAGAGGAGGTGGGAGTGAGAAGATGACAGACAGGTGAAGAAATATTTGGCGAGGTAGGATGCACTCTGCCAGGGCATGCCCCATTTCAACCTAAATAAAGAGCTCAAATAGCTGTTGTGCATATGGTATCTTGCTAATGCCTATGCTGGGTACAGAGATCTATAAAATGTAATTCCTGCCCTTAATAAGGATAATTAATCCAGCAGGGGAGCTAGAACATGCACACATAAAAGCCCCATGAACAAAGTACAGCAGGAACATAGAAGAGAAGCTGCTTCTGGGTGGTGAAATAGATGATTACAAAGAGCATGGGATGGGAGGCAGAGAGCCTCTCAGGCAAGGGGAGAATGTGCAGAAACAGAAGGAAGGAAAAGCACCTTTGGGGAGTCTCCTGCACAGAGCCCAGGGTGGCTGATGGAGAAGGTATGTTAGATTAAGGGGGAAGCTTGGGAATGCCTCATAGGGAGTCACTGAAGGTTGATAAGTAATGTGATCAGAAGTGGGCAGTTCGGTTACTACTTTGGCAGAGAATGTGGCTCAGAGCAGACAGTGACTAGATTGAGCAAGGTGACAGATTCATACCTAGAATGAAACTCAGAGAACAGGTAGACAAGCAGCTTTCAAACTTTTTGGCCCTGAAACCCTTTGTACAAATGAAATGTTAGTCAGCCATTGTAAACAAATAGATTAAAGCTAAATTACTCTGGTTGGAATAAGTGGGAGGGAAGAACTGAGTTCTTTCCTTCCTCTCATTTCTTTCTTTCTCTCCAAGTGGATTCTGAAGGGGCTTCTTGTTTGAAAATCAATGATCAAAGGGCTTAGCAAACCACAACCAGCTCCTGCCTGCCACCTGCTTTTGCAAATAAAAACCTATGGGGATACAGCTATGCCTCTTTGATTTCATATTGTCTCTGCCTGCTTTCATGTTACAATGACCAAGCTGAATAATCAGGACAGGGAAACCCCATGGTCCACAGAATTGAAAGTATTTGCTATCTGGCCCTTTAAAGACAAGGTTTGCCAACCTACCATCTAGGGCTTTATTACAATGCACAGGTGTTACCTATGTTCTTGGTCTGTGGTCTAAGTGTCATCCTTAGACACCAGCACACATTGTCCCTCTGTGCACAGATAGCTCAGGGTGGTGAAGGTTGATTTAGGAGTCATTGACAGCCAGGCGCGGTGGCTCATGCCTGTAATCCCAGCACTTTGGGAGGCCGAGGTGGGCGGATCACCTGCAGTCAGGAGTTCGAGACCAGCCTGACCAAAATCCAACATGGAGAAACCCCGTCTCTACTAAAAATACTAAATTAGCTGGGCATGGTGGCACATGCCTGTAATCCCAGCTACTCGGGAGGCTGAGGCAGAAGAATCACTTGAACCCGGGAGGCAGAGGTTGCGGTGAGCCGAGATCACACCATTGCTCTCCAGCCTGGACAAAAAGAGTGAAACTCTGTCCACCCCCCCACCCCCCCGAAAAAAAAAAAGGAGTCATTGCCTTGGAATTAGGAGTTAGGAGTTGTGTGAGATGGCTTATGATCAAGAGAGAGGGTCCAGAGAGAAAAGAAAGGAGGTTCTGAGAAAACCTTCAGTAATGGCTAGATTTAGAGAACAGGCTGAGGGAATCATAGGAGAAATCACTGGGAAAAGTACCAATTCTCATTGATGCCAGAAAATTATGACACATTGGGCCGGGTGCAGTGGCTCACGCCTGTAATCCCAGCACTCTGGGAGGCCAAGGCGGGCGGATGACAAAGTCAGGAGATGGAGACGATCCTGGCTAACATGGTGAAACCCCATCTCTACAAATAATATAAAAAATTAGCTGGGCGTGGTGGTGGCGCCTATAGTCCCAGCTACTCCAGAGGCTGAGACAGGAGAATGGCGTGAACCCTGGAGGAGGAGCTTGCAGTGAGCCGAGATCGCGCCACTGCACTCCAGCCTGGGCAACAGAGCAAGACTCTGTCTCAAAAAAAAAAGAAAAGAAAATTATGACACATTGAAAGCCTTTTCTTTCTCCTTCTCCTTCCTCTTCCTCTTCTTCTTCTCTCTTCCTCCTCTTCTTTTTTGAGCAGGATCTCTCTCTGTTGTCCAGGCCAAAGTGCAATGGCACGATCGCGGCTCATTGCAGACTTGACTTCCTGGGTTCATCCTCCCACCTCAGCCTCTCAAGTAGCTGGGACCACAGGCGCACACCACCACACTTGACTAATTTGTTTGTTTTTTTGAGATGGAGTTTTGCTCTCTTGTTGCCCAGGCTGGAATGCAATGGTGTGATCTCAGCTCTCTGCAACCTCAGCGCCCTGTGTTCAAGCGATTCTCCTGCCTCAGCCTCCCGAGTAGCTGGGATTACAGGCATGCGCCACCACGCCCAGCTAATTTTGTGTATTTAGTAGAGAGGGGGGTTTTCCATGTTGGTCAGGCTGCTCTTGAACTCCCAACCTCAGGTGATCCACCTGCCTTGGCCTCCAAAAGTGCTGGGACTTTTTTTTTGAGATGGAGTCTGGCTTTGTTGCCCAGTGTGGAGTGCAGTGGTGTGATCTTGGCTCACTGCAACCTCCGCCTCCTGGGTTCAAGCGATTCTCCTGCCTCAGCCTCCTGAGTATTACAGGCAAGTGCCACCGTGCCCGGCTAGCTCTTGTATTTTTAGTAGAGATGGGGTTTTGCCATGTTGGTCAGGCTGGTTTTGAATTCCTGACCTCAGGTGATCCACTCTTGTTGGCATCCCAAAATGCTGGGATTACAGGCGTGAGCCACTGTAGCCAGTCATCTTACTTTTTTTTTTAGTTGACATAAATGTCAGGCAAGTTACTACACAAACTTGAAAAATGAATGAACATCCTTTTATAATCCCAACCTTTATGTGCCCGATTTTTACTCTGTGTATCTTGCAAAAGGCCTACAGAAATATGCTTTCACAATTGTTAATTATTACTTAAGATACAACATTGTGATTACTGAGGTTTGCCTCAAAGCAATTTTCCTTTTTTCTTTTTTTCTTTCTTTGAGATGGAGTCTCGTTCTTGTCACCCAGGCTAGAGTGCAGTGTTGCGATCTCAGCTCACTGCAACCTCTGCCTCCGGGGTTCAAGTGATTCTCCTGCCTCAGCCTCCTGAGTAGCTGGGATTACAGGCACCCACCACCATACCTGGCTAATTTTTGTATTTTTAGTAGAGACGGGGTTTCAACATGTTGGCCAGGCTGGTCTCAAACTCCTGACCTCAAGTGATCTTCCCACCTTGGCCTCCCAAAGTGCTGGGATTACAGGCGTGAGACACTGCACCCAGGTGCAGTTTTCTAACATGGTTGTTTTACTGATGGCTTCTTTTTTTCTTTTTCTTCTTTCTCTACTGTAAGCCTAAGTCATTTACCAAGTGTGGAATATTCTAAAGGTAAATCATTAACAGTTATTCTCCAAGACGATGTTATGATCAATGTTACCCTCAAGTGCTCCCAAGAACAGTTTTTTTCTTTTTTTTTTTTTTTGAGATGGAGTCTCGCTCTGTCGCCCAGGCTGGAGTGCAGTGGCGCAATCTCGGCTCACTGCAAGCTTCACCTCCCGGGTTCACGCCATTCTCCTGCCTCAGCCTCCCGAGTAGCTGGGACTACAGGCTCCCACCACCGCGCCCGGCTAATTGTTTTTTGTATTTTTAGTAGAGACGGGGTTTCACCGTGGTCTCGATCTCCTGACCTCGTGATCCGCCCGCCTCGGCCTCCCAAAGTGCTGGGATTACAGTGTGAGCCACCTCGCCTGGCTTTTTTCTTTTATTTATTTGAAAGACAGTCTAACCTTGTCATCCAGGCTGAAGTGCAGTGGTGCCACCATGGCTCACTGGAGCCTTGACCTACTGGGCTCAAGTGATTCTCCTGCCTCAGCCGCCTGAGCATCTGGGACTACAGAGGCAAGCCACCACGCCTGGCCAATTTTTCATTTTTTGTAGAGATGGAGTCTCACTATGTAGCTTAGGCTGGTCTTGAACTCCTGCCCTCAAGGGATCCTTTTGCCTAGGCCTCCCAAAGTGCTGGGATTACAGGCATAAGCCACTGCCCCCACCCTCCCAGAACAGTTTCTTAATGGTATACAAACTGTAACTCCAGGCTGGGTGTGGTGGCTCACGCCTGTAATCCCAGCACTTTCAGAGGCCGAGGCGGGTGGATCACGAGGTCAGGAGATCGAGACCATCCTGGCTAACACAGCGAAACCCTGTCTCTACTAAAAATACAAAAAATTAGCTGGGTGTGGTGGCACGCGCTTGTAGTCCCAGCTGCTTGGGAGGCTGAGGCAGGAGAATCACTTGAACCTGGGAGGTGGAGATTGCAATGAGCTGAGATCGCACTCCAGCCTGGGCGACATGGCAAGACTCCATCTCAGAAAGAAAAAACAAAACAAAACAAAAAACCAAACAAACTGTAACTCCAGTGATCTGTACCAATGATCTTTCCAGATTAGTACTGTCTGGTTGAACTTTCTACAGTGATGGAAATGCCCTGTGTCTGTGTTGCTCATACACTAGCTGCCAGCCAGGTATGGCAATTGAGCACTTGAAATGTGAATAATGTGGCCGGGCATGGTGGCTTATGCCTGTAAACCCAGCATTTTGGGAGGCCAAGGTGAGTGGATCACCTGAGGTCGGGAGTTTGGAACCAGCCATAGCCAACATGGCGAAACCCCGTCTCTACTAAAAATACAAAAATTAGCCAGGTGTGCCGGCACGCGCCTGTAATCCCAGCTACTCAGAGGCTGAGGCAGGAGAATTGTGTGAACCCAGGAGGTGGAGGTTGCAGAAACCTAAGTAGAACTTGCAAAGGGATATAGAAATGAAATAGTGTCAGTTCTCAATCTCAAGGAGCCTATGTTCTACAACAGATTATAAACAGCAAAATGTACTACATGGGGGATGGAATGTGATCTACAGAGAGAATCAGATATACCATGCCTTGAGGACACAGCTGAAGAAGCAGCTTATTTAGAGTCAGAGTGGGAGGAGGACTGAGGTCAGTGTTGCAAGGACGCTCTCACAAAGCGGGTGGATTTGGAGCAAGGTCTTTAACCTCTGCTTCTTGGGAGGCTATAGCATGTAGATCGCTTGAGCCCAGGAGATCAAGTCCAGCCTGGGCAACATAGCAATACTCTGTCTCTTAAAAAAAAAAAAAAAAAAGCAGGGTGTGGTGGCTCACTCCTGTAAGCCCAGAACTTTGGGAGGCCAAGGTGGGTGGATCACCTGACGTCAGAAGGTCAAGACCAGCCTGGCCAACATGGTGAAACCCCGTCTCTACTAAAAATACAAAAAATTAGCCGGGCATGGTGGTGGGCGCCTGTAATCCCAGCTACCTGGGAGACTGAGGCAGGAGAATCGTTTGAACTCGGTAGGTGGAGGTTGCAGTGAGCTGAGATCGTGCCACTGCACTCCAGCCTGGGCGATACAGTGAGATGCTGTCTCCAAAAAAATTATTTATTATTTTTTAATTTAATTTAATTTTTTCGAGATGATGTCTTGTTCTGTCGCCCAGGCTGAAGTGCAGTGGCACGATCTCAGGTCACTGCAACCTCTGCCTCCTGGGCTCAAGGGATTCTTTTGCCTCAGCCTCCTGAGGCAACAGCTGGGATTATAGGCATGCACCACCATACCTGGCTAATTTTTTTATTTTTAGTAAAGATGGGGTTTTGTCATGTTGGCCAAGCTGGTCTCAAACTCCGGACCTCAAGTGATCCACCCACCTCTGCCTCCCAAAGTACTGGGGTTACAGGCATGAGCCATCATGCCCAGACAAAAAAAAAAAAAAAATCTAATAAAAAAATAAAATGGGGATAATAACAATAGAGCCCACCTCATGAGAGTATTACCTAAAGGGCTTAGAACAATACGTAGTGTGTGGTAAGGACTCTATCAATATTAATTATTAGTATTTCCACAAGATGAAAATTATAGACCAGTGCTGTTTTTTATGGGTGAGATAGAGGAGTTTTGGCCAGTCCCAGTCGCTCATGCCTGGAATCCCAAAGCAGTGGAAGACTGACCCAGGTGCATCATTCGAGGTCAGGAGTTTGAGACCAGCCTGGCCAACATGGCTGAAACCTCATCTCTGTTAAAAAATACAAAAAATTAGCTGAGCATGGTGGCACGAGCTTGTAATTCCAGCTGCTTGGGAGCCTGAGGCATGAGATTCGCTTGAACCCGGGAGGCAGAGGTTGCAGTGAGCGGAGACTGATCCACTGCACTCCAGCCTGGGTGACAAAACAAGACTCTGTCTCACAAAAAAAAAAAAAGAAAGAAAGAAAGAAAGGAGTTTTAACTTTACACGTATTTGCTAATATTTATGAAGTGTTTAGATATCTCAAAATCAATAAAGAGGATTATTAGGCCCACCTGCAGTACTCTTAATAATTTCAGGGAATCAGCTATCTAGGTGAAAGTTCACAGGGAAGTACATGTCATTGTAACACAAATTAGACCAAAGTTCAGGAAGAGACAGTTACTGAGTCATTTATCTGTCTTATCATAAGACCAGTAAGCCTCTTAGCACCACAAAGTAGATGTAACATTTTAACAGGAAATGACTCCAATCTAGAGCAAAGTTAGTCCCATGCACAAAGTGAAAGGTTGCACAACACAAAAAAGATCTGTGCTACGTGTCACACATGATCAGGTGGCGTATTGCTCAAGATGCTGGTATGCAATCAGTCTTTGCAAGAGTCAGATCATTGTCTCACCTTAGGAAAGGCTTTCCATGTGCCCTAGAGAGACACTTTCCCTTTCTGGGTTACTTCCTAAAGTACATTCACCTTAACTTATAAGAAAAGGAAATCTTTCTCAAGTGCTCTGAGTTTATTATTTCCCTTTTCTAGACTCTCATCAGGGTCATCTGCATGTGGATGAGGTTCCCAGAGAGGACTGCTGGAGGACATTGCATGTTTATGAATTTCACAGGTATTCAAGGGTGGCTGCACCTGGAGCTGGGAGCTGAGCATCAGGAAGATTAAAACATAAAGTATGCTCATCAAATTGAGAGGAGTGGGCCAGGCACGATGGCTCACACCTGTAATCACAGCACTTTGGGAGGCCAAGGCAGGCGGATCACCTGAGGTTGGGAGTTCGAGACCAGCCTGACCAACATGGAGAAACCCCATCTCTACTAAAAATACAAAATTAGTGTGGCATGGTGGTGCATGCCTGTAATCCCAGCTACTCGGGAGGCTGAGGCAGGAGAATCGCTTGAACCCAGGAGGCGGAGCTCGAGGTGAGCTGAGATGTCGCCACTGCACTCCAGCCTGGGCAACAAGAGCGAAATTCTGTCTCAGAAAAAAAAAAAAAAAATAGGAGTCAGGAAGAATCATCTTCTCAAGTCAATTAACAACATTGGGAGGCAGTGTGGTGCCACAGCTTAGTGGCTTTACACTCAGATTTGGTTTATAATACTAGCTTCACCTTTGCAAAATTCCATATGTACCAGGTAATTCACAGCAGCATTGTTTACAATAAAAAATGACTGGAAAGATACTAAATGTCCATCGATACGGAACTAATTAAATAAATTATGGGTATGACAATGTGGAAAGTTATCCAAATGGAAAAGCAAGATACAGAGCAGGGTATAAATTGTTACCCTTTGTAAAAAAAAATAAAACGGGGGAATTTTTTTTTTTTTTTTGAGACAGGGTCTTACTCAGTTGCCCAGGGTGGAATGCAGTGGCATGGTCACAGCTCACTGCAATCTCTGCCTCCTGGGCTCAAGCAATCCTCCCCCCTCTGCCTCCCAAGTAGTTGAGACTACCGGCACGTACCATCACGCCCGGCCAATTTCTTTTATTTTTAGTAGAGATATGATCTCATTATGTTGCTCAAGCTGGTCTCAAACTCCTGAGCTCAAGTGATGTTCCCGCTTTGACTTCCCAAAGTGTAGAAATACTTACTTAATAGCTGCTTGTTCAGTAAGTATCTCTGGAAGGGTATTGAAGAAGTTAGCAATGCTGATCGCAGTGGCTCACGCCCATAATCCCAACTCTTTGGGAGGCTGAGGCGGGCGGATCACTTGAGGCCAGGAGTTCAAGACCAGCTTGGCCAAAAAGGTGAAACCGGTCTCTAATAAAAATACAAAAAAGTGGCCGGGCGCAGTGGCTCACTCCTGTAATCCCAGCACTTTGGGAGGCCAAGGGGGGGCGGATCACAAGGTCAGGAGTTCGAGACCAGCCTGACCAAAATGGTGAAACCCTGTCTTTACTAAAAATACAAAAATTAGTCAGGCGTGGTAGTGCACACCTGTAATCCCAGCTACTCAGGAAGCTGAGGCAGGAGAATCGCTTGAACTCGGGAGGTGGAGTTTACAGTGAGCTGAGATGGTGCCATTGCACTCCAGCCCGAGTGACAGAGCAAGAATCCGTCTCAAAAAAAAAAAAAAAAAGAAAAAAGAAAAATTAGCCAGGTGTGGTGGCACATGCCTGTAATCCCACCTACTTGGGAGGCTGAGGCAGGAGAATCTCTTGAATATGGGAAGCGGAGGTTGCAGTGTGAGCCGAGATCCGGCCACTGCACTCTGGCCTGTGTGACAGAGTGAGACTCTGTCTCAATAAACAAAAAAAGATTAAAAGGGAAGTTTCGTGTATTTTTCAATTTTGAACTATGACTGTCATCTGGTCAAAAATTAAAACAACCATTTTTAAAGAAAAAGTAAAGGAGCATCTGGTAACAACTTACAAAATGAAAAAAAAAAATCCCAGCTTTCTGGCTGGGCACAGTGGCTGATGCCTATAATCCCAGCACTTTGGGAGGCTGAGGCGGGCTGATTACTTGAGGTCAGGAGTTTGAGACCATCCTGGCCAACATGGTGAAACCCTGTCTCTACTAAAAATACAAAAACTAGCCTGGCGTGGTGGCATGTGCCTGTAGTCCCAGCTACTCTGGGGGCTGAGGTGGGAGGACTGTTTGAACCCAGGAGGTCAAGGCTGCAGTGAGCTATGAATGTGCCACTGTACTCCAGCCTGGGCGACAGAATGAGATGCTGTCTCAAAAACAAACAAAAAAAGAATCTCAGCCTTCCTTTTTACTAGCTATGCATCCATGGACAAGTTATTTAATGTCCACAGGGCTCAGTGTCCCTTTGTATTAAAGGGACCTATCACCTAGGTTTGAACGAGGATTAACTATTAATGTGCAATAAAACATTTAGTATTATAGGGCCAGGCGTGGTGGCTCATGCCTGTAATCCCAGCACTTCGGGAGGCTGAGGCGGGTGGATCACCTGAGATCAGGAGTTCAAGACCAGCCTGGCCAACATGGTGAAACCCTGTCTCTACTAAAAATACAAAAATTAGCTGGGCGTGGTGGCGCGACCTGTAGTCCCAGCTACTCAGGAGTCTGAGGCAGAAGAATTGCTTGAACCTGGGAGGCCAAGGTTGCAGTGAGCCGAGATTATGCTATTGCACTCCAGCCTGGGTGACAGAGTGAGACTCCGTCTCAAAAACAAACAAACAAAAAATTTAGTATTATATTTACATTAGTGATATCATGCCTCACACATAAATAATAAACATATATTAGCTACAAACAATATATTTTTAAGATTCTGGGACTGGGCATAGAGGCTCATAACTATAATTATGTTGGTAGCCGTAAGTGGTTTGGTAGGCCAAACTTTGGTAGGCCGAGGTGGGCGGATCAGCTGAGGTGAGGAGTTTGAGACCAGCCTGACCAACATGGTGAAACCCCAACTCTGCTAAAAATACAAAATTAGCCGGGCTTGGTGGCGCATGCCTGTAATCCTGGCTACTCAGGAGGCTGAGGCAGTAGAATCGCTTGAACCCAGGAGGCAGAGTTTGCAGTGAGCCGAGGTCATCCCATTGCACTCCAGCCTGGGCAACAAGAACAAAATTCCGCCTCAAAAAAAAAAAGATTCTGGTCATGAAGGCACTACTGAGGTGACAAAGATATATGCATATATGGAAGATACATACATAACATAAATCCCCACCATAGTTATCAGTAACTCCACTCCTGTTTCTCTTTTTTTTTTTTTTTTTTTTTTTTTTTTTGAGATGGGGTCTTACTCCGTCACCCAGGCTGGAGTGCAGTGGTACAGTGATGCAATCTTGGCTCATTGTACCCTCTGCCTCTTGGGCTCAAGCGATCCTCCCACCTCAGCCTCCCAAGTACCTGGGACTATAGGCACATTACACCACGCTCAGCTAATTTTTGTATTTTTTGTAGAGACAGAGTTTTGCCATGTTGCCCAGGCTGGTCTCAAACTTCTGGCTACAGGTGTTTCTCCCACCTTGGTCTCCCAAAGTGCTGAGATTACCAGGTGTGGGCACCGTGCCCAGCCACTAACTCCACCCTTCCAATAGTTCAAGCCAAAAATCTTGGCATCATCCTTGAATCCTCTCTTTCTCTCATACCCCACATTGAAGTATCAACAATATCTGTTGATATTATTTTAAAAATATTTCTAGAATCTAAACCCTTCTCACCACTTCTTGTATACCACGCTGGTCCAAAGCATCATTTTTTTTTTTTTTTTTTGAGACAGAGTCTTGCTCTGTCACCCAGGGTGGAGCGCAGAGGTATGATCTTGGCTCACTGCAACCTCCGCTTCCCAAGTTCAAGCGATTCTCCTGCCTCAGCCTCTAGAGGGATTACAGGCATGGGCCACCATGCCTGGCTAATTTTTGTATGTTTAGTAGAGACAGGGTTTCACCATGTTGGTCAGGCTGGTCTCGAACTCCTCACCTCAAGTGATCCACCCACCTTGGCCTCCCAACATGCTGGGATTATAGGCACGAGCCACTGCACCTGGCCTAAAGCATCATCATCTCTTGCCTGGCCTTCTACAATAGTTTCTTTAACTAGTCTCTTATGGAACCCCCACCTGCCCCCTGGCCCCCTGTGGAAAAATTCATCTTTTTTCCCATACTTGTATATAATTGATATTGTTTGGATCTATGTCCCCACCCAAATCTCATGTTGAATTGTAATCCACACTTTTGGAGGAGGGACCAGGTGAGAAGTGATTAGATCATGGGGGTGGATTTCCCCCTTGCTATTTTTGTGATACTGAGTTCTCACGAGTTCTGTTTTTTGTTTTTTTTTTTTTTGGTTTATTTTTTATTTTTTATTTTTTGAGATGCAGTCTTGCTCTGTTGCCCAGGCTGGAGTGCAGTGACATGATCTCAGCTCACTGCAACCTCTGCCTCCGGGGTTCAAGCAATTCTCTGCCTCAGCCTCCCGAGTAGCTGGGATTACAGGCGTCCACCACCACGCCCAGCTAATTTTTGTATTTTTCGTAGAGACAAGGTTTCACCATCTTGGCCAGGCTGGTCTTGAACTCCTGACCTCGTGATCCCCCTGCCTTGACCTCCCAGAGTGCTGGGATTACAGGCGTGAGCCACCGCGCCTAGCCGAGATCTGGTTGTTTAAAAGTGTGTAGCACTTCCCGCTTTGCTCTCTCTTCCTCTGCTCTGGCCATGTAAGACATGCCTCCTTCCTCTTCACCCTCCGCCACGGTTGTAAGTTTCCTGAGGCCTCCTCAGCCATGCTTCCTGTACAGCCTGCAGAACCAGGAGCCAATTAAACCTCTTTTCTTTATAAATTACCCAGTCTCAGGTAGTTCTCCATAGCAGTGTGAGAACAGACTAATACAATAGTTTTATTTTTTTTATTTTTAAAAATTTCAACTTTTATTTTAGATTTAGGGGGTACATGTGCAGGTTTGTTACATGGGTATATTGTGTGATGCGAAAGGTTTGGGGTGCTATTGAACCTGTCACCCAAGAAGTGAGCATAGTACCCAATAGGTAGTTTTTTTACTCCCTCCTCTCTCATAGTCCCCAGCATCTATTATCTCATCTTTGTGTCCATGTGTAACCAATGTTTAGCTCCCGCTTGTAAGTGAGAATATGTGGTATGTGGTTTTCTGTTTCTGCATTAATTTGCTTAGGATAATGGCCTCCAGCTGCATGCAAGTTGCTACAAAGAACATGGTTTCATTCCTTTTATGGCTGCATAGTATTCCATGGTGTTCTGTGTGTATGTGGTTTTTTTTGTTTTTTTTTTTTTTGAGACGGAGTCTTGCTCTGTCGCCCAGGCTGGAGTGCAGTGACACGATCTCGGCTCACTGCAACCTCCACCTCCTGGTTCAAGCAATTTTCCCTGCCTCAGCCTCCCAA
Source organism: Homo sapiens (assembly GCF_000001405.40). NCBI lineage: Eukaryota > Metazoa > Chordata > Mammalia > Primates > Hominidae > Homo > Homo sapiens. Next base: position 19,167,438 of record NC_000009.12, read on the forward strand.
GTAGCTGGGACTACGGGCGCATGCCACCACACCTGGCTAATTTTTGTATTTTTAGTAGAGACAGGGTTTCACCATATTGGTTAGGCTGGTCTCGAACTCCTGACCTCGTGATCCGCCCATCTCAGCCTCCCGAAGTGTTGGGATTATAGGCGTGAGCCACTGCACCCAGCTTTCCATGGTGTATATATTTCAAGTTTTCTTTAACCATTCCACCATTGACGGGCACCTTTTGGTGGAGTCTTTAGCGTTTTCTAGGTATAGAATCATATTGTCAGTGAAGAGAGATAATTTGACTTATTTTCCTACTTGGATGCATTTTATTTCTTTCTTTGGCCCGGTTGCTCTGGCTAGGACTTCCAGCACTGTGCAGAATAGGAGTGGTGAAAGAGGACATCCTTGTCTTGTTTCAGCTCTCAAGGGGTATGCTTCCAGCTCTGGCCCATTCAGTATAATGTTGGCTGTGGGTTTGTTATAGGTCTTATTATTTTCAGGTATTGAAATTCCATTCTTTAAATGGCATCACTGAATCCTTTGTTCAAAAAACCCTTCAGAAATGACTCAGCTCGCTCACAGTAAAATCCAAGCCTTTAAGACATGATCCAGCACCACTTGCTTCTTTGATTTGAACTCCTACTCTTCTTCCCTTTACTCACTCCAGTTGAATCGCGTATGGGCCTCCTTGCCATCCCATGAGCATGCCAAGGTAGGAGATTGTAACACATATCTCTTTTTCAATTTTTTTCTTTTTTTTTTTTTTGAGACAGATTCTCACTCTGTTGCCTAGGCTGGAGTGCAGTGGCGCGATCTCGGCTCACTGCAAGCTCCACCTCCTGGGTTCACGCCATTCTCCTGCATCAGCCTCCCAAGTAGCTGGGACTACAGGCGTCCACCACCACACCTGGCTAATTTTTTGTATTTTTAGTAGAAACGGGGTTTCACTGGAGATTGTAACACATATCTCAGAAAATGAGAGCTCAAGCCAAAAAAAGATTTATTAAGAGTATGAAGGGCTGGGCGCGGTGGCTCACGCCTGTAATCCCAGCACTTCGGGAGGCCGAGGCGGGCGGATCACGAGGTCAGGAGATCGCGACCATCCTGGCTAACACGGTGAAACCCCGTCTCTACTAAAAAAAATCCAAAAAAATTAGCTGGGAGTGGTGGCGAGCGCCTGTAGTCCCAGCTGCTTCGGAGGCTGAGGCAGGAGAATGGCGTGAACCCAGGAGGCGGAGCTTGCAGTGAGCGGAGATCGAGCCACTGCACTCCAGCCTGGGTGACTAAGCAAGACTCTGTCTCAAAAAAAAGAAGAAAAAAAAAAAAGAGTATGAAGATTTGTACAACACAATTAAAGCAGTTCCTCAAATGACCTACATAGAACTCTGAAACCAAATATTAGAGAAAAAACTTTTTCTTTTCAAGCACAAAGGATTACTTAATAAAACTGACAATGTACTAAGCCAAAAGAGAGGTCTTCTTAAATTAAAAAATCAATATTATATAATCCAGATCCTCAGATCAGAATATAATAAAGTAAAAAACTGATAACAAAAAGATAATTTAAAAATGAATTAGAAAATAATAATAGTTCAAAAAATAGCAAAACACCCATATTTATGCAGCCTTTGACTTTCAAAAAGGAACCAAAGCAATCCAATGAGTAAATGAAAGTAATTCAATAAATTATGCTGCATATCCTTATGGAAAAAATAAATCCCTTCCACCAGCTCATAACACACAAAAATCATTTTGAGATAGATCATAAACCTAAATGTAAAGCTAGAACCATAAAGCTTTTAGAGGAAACATGTGAAAATAACAGCTTGACTTGTGAATAGGTGAAGGTTTGAGAAAGCAGTAGACTTCATCAAAAAGAAATACTTTTGGTTACCAAAAGCCACCATCGGCTAGGCATGGGAGGCTGGGGTAGGAGGATCACTTGAGTTCAGCCTAGCCTGGGCAAAATAGGGAGACCCATCTCCACAAAAAATAAAATAAAATTAGTCTGGCACGGTGGCACGTGCCTGTAGTCCCAGCTACTTGGGAGGCTGAGGTGGGAGCGTCTCTTGAGCCCGGGAATTTGAGGCTGCAGTGAGCTGTGGTCGCTTCACTGCACTCATCCTGAGCAACAGAGCAAGACCCTGTCTCAAAAAACCAAAAACCAAACAAAACATGCTGAACGCAGTGGCTCATGTCTGTAATCCCAGCACTTTGGGAGGCCGAGGGAGGCGGATCATTTCAGGTCAGGAGTTTGAGACCAGCCTGGCCAACATAGTGAAACCTCCTCTTCACTAAAAATACATTAATTAGCCAGGTGTGGTGGTGCGGCTATAGTGCCAGCTACTCGGGAGGCTAAGGTAGGAGAATTGCTTGAAGCTGGGAGGCAGAGACTGTAGTGAGCTGAGATCATGCCACTGCACTCTAGCCTGGGTGACAGAGTGAGACTGTCTCAAAACAACAATAAGCCATTTTTTTTTTTTTTTTCCTGAGATGGAGTCTTGCTCTTGTTGCCCAGGCTGGAGCACAGTGGTGAGATCTCAGCTCACTGCAACGTCCGCCTCCCAGTTTCAAGTGATTCTCCTGCCTCAGCCTCCCAAGTAGCTGGGATTACAGGCACCCACCACCACACCTGGCTAATTTTTGTACTTGCAGTAGAGATGGGGTTTCACCATCTTGGCCAGGCTGGTCTTGAACTTCTGACCTTGTGATTCACCCGCCTCGGCCTCTCAAAAGTGCTGGGATTACAGGCGTGAGCCACTACGCCCGGCCTTTTTTTTTTTTTTTTTTTTTTGAGATGGAGTCTCGCTCTGTGCCCAGGCTGGAGTGCAATGGCTCGATCTCGACTCACTGCAACCTCCATCTTGCGGGTTCAAGTGATTCTCCTGCCTCAGCCTCATGAGTAGCTGGGATTACAGGCACATGCCACCACGCCCAGCTAATTTTTGTATTTTTGTTAGACATGGGGTTTCACCATGTTGGTCAGGCGGTCTCGAACTCCAGACCTTGTGATCCGCCCACTGCGGCCTCCCAAAGTGCTGGGATTACAGGCATGAGCCACCGTGTCCAGCCCAACAAGCCACCACTAGGAAACAGATGCAAGCCACACACTGGGGAAAAATTATTAACAAAATATATATCAGATAAGGCTGCAGTATCTAGGATATATAAGGAATTCCTACAACTCAGTAATAAAAAGACAACTCATTTTTTTGAAAGGGAAAAATATTTCAATAGATACTTCACCAAAGTAGGTATGTGGCTGGTCGTGGTGGCTCACGCCTCTAATCCCAGCACTTTGGGAGGCCAAGGCAGACAGATCACCTGAGGTCAGGAGTTCAAGACCAGCCTGGGCAACATGGCAAAACTCCGTCTCTACTAAAAATACAAAAATCAGCCAGGCATGGTGGCGTGCGCCTGTAATCCCAGCTACTTGGGAGGCTGAAGCAGGAGAATAGCTTGAACCTGGGAGGCGGAGGTTGCAGTGAGCCCAGATCATGACACTGCACTCCAGCCTGGGTGAAACACACACAGACACACACACACACACACACACACACACACACACTAATAATAATAAAAAGAAGATATGTGAGTGTCCAGTAGCACATGAAAAGATGGTCAACATCATTGGTGTTCAGGGAAATGCAAACTAAAACCTGAATGACATACTGCTACACACCCACCGGGATGGCAAAAATTTTTTAAATAGTGAGGATGTGGAGCACCAAAACCTCATACACTTATTAGTGGTCATTAAAACTTAAAAGTATTTTAAGAAAAACTATTTGTGACTTTCCTCTGAATTTTCTTCATATCTATCAACATACACTACAGGCAGGCAAAGAGGAGAAGGATGGGGGCAGTGGGGGATGGGAATCTCAGGAAAAATGGAAAAAGTTTTCCAAGGACGGAGGTGAAACAGAGAGAAAAATAATGGGAGGAAAGTAAATAATAGAGACAAGAGGAAAACAGTAGGAGGCAGAAGCAAACTGTGAGCTACAGAAGGAAGAGGCAGTTAGGAGGAGAATAGACATGTGAAATCAAAGTGTGAAAATGAGATGATATATAAAGTGCCTAAAATAGCACCTGGCATATAGGATTACATAATATTCAAATACAGTTATTAACTAGAAATCAGAGGGAAAAGTAAAAAAATGTCAAGTATTCTATAGCTGCTTTTTTTTGTTTTTTTTTGTTTGTTTGTTTTGTTTTGTTTTGTTTTTTGAGACGGAGTCTCACTCTGTAGCCCAGGCTGGAGCGCAGTGGCGCAATCTTGGCTCACTGCAACCTCCGCCTCCCGGGTTCAAGTGATTCTCCTGCCTCAACCTCCCAAGTAGCTGGAATTACAGGCATGGGCCACCATGCCCAACTAATATTTGTATTTTTAGTAAAGACTGGGTTTCACTATGTTGGCCAGGCTGGTCTTGAACTCCTCACCTCGGGTGATCCACCCACCTTGGCCTCCCAAAGTGCTGAGATTACAGGTGTGAGCCACTGCACCCAGCCGATAGCTGCTTATTGAATAAATGTTTAGGTGCCCTAGTGATGCATAAAGTACATTGGTTCTGTAAGTGTTCTGTGCTAAATTAGCATTGTATATTGCTAACGTTAGTTCCCCCCAACCCCATAGTTCTATTTCTATCTTAATTTGAGCCTGTTATTGTTTTAGGTCTATTGTTGAGGCAGCAGCAAGGAATATTCAGGATGTAATTTGGTTTCTCATTTCCTGGCAACAATCACGTGAGAGGCAAATGAGAGGCTTTTGCTGAAAGGCTTTTTAAATCTGTAGTAATGAGAACAAATATTAAGTAATCCACTTGTGGATAAATAAAAGTTGCAGTGCTATGATTCAATCTTCATCTGATGAAACCAAAGTTCATTATGAAAACATAATTACACTCAAGATTCTGTACTGGGGCAGGGCTTGGTGACTGATGCCTATAATCTTAGCACTTTGGGAGGCCGAGGCAGGAGGATCCCTTGAGCCCAGGAGTTTGAGACCAGCCTGGGCAACATAGGGAGACCCTGTCTCTATCTTAACAACAACAAAAAAAGATTCTGTACTGAAATGTGATGTGAGGTTGGAACACTTACTGCATGGGAAAGTTGCAGGCGATGTCTGAGTTTCCCTGTGCAGGTTGTGAAACATACAACCAATTAAAAATTACTTTATGGCCAGGTGCGGTGGCTCACACCTGTAATCCCAGTACTTTGAGAGGCCGAGGCGGGCGGATCATGAGGTCAGGAAATTAAGACCATCCTGGTTAACACAGTGAAACCCCGTCTCTACTAAAGATACAAAAAATTAGCCAGGCGTGGCACGCTCTTGTAGTCCCAGCTACCTGGGAGGCTGAGGCAGGAGAATCGATTAAACCCAGGAGGCAAAGGTTGCAGTGAGCCAAGATCGCGCCACTGCACTCCAGCCTGGGCAACAAAGCAAGACTCAGTCTCAAAAAAAAAAAAAAATTACTTTAAAGCACTCCTCAAGTATAAATAAATATCAGCATTCTGAAAAATGAAGGGGACTGAAGGTGGTGAGTGCCAGCACATTTTTCTTCCCCAAGAGGAAAAAGAGATATGGCAAAGGATGCCGATTGAATGATAAGATGCCTAGTGTGGTTGGTGCAGGACTACCCTCATGTGTTTGGCAGTATAAGCGGGCCTTTAATCACCCACCTGCCGGTTGTCATACTTCGCATCACCCCTCTCCCCATCACGGGGAAGGGGAGGACATGTCCCTTCCCCAACTCGTGTCTGCCAAAAATGCATTCATGCTACTATTGTTATTCCTTCTCATGCCAAATCTCATCTGTTTATTAGCCTAGGACCTGGGGCAGGGGGCAGTAAGGTTGGGGGATCACTTGAGCCCAGGAGGTCAAGGCTGAAGTGAGCCATGATAGTGCCACTGCACTCCAGCCTGGGTGACAGAGCGAGACCATGTCTCAAAAAAAAAAAAAGACAGAAATTTCTAAATTGTCTTCTATTAACAGTAATCATAAACCAGTGTACACTCTCACTAAAAATATATGAGAATGCCTATTATTCTAAACCAAATATCAGAACTGTTGATATTTACCATGTAAGTTAAAATAGCATCTTTTTGTAGTTTAGTGTGCATTTCTTTTATTATGAAGAAGATTGGGAATCTTTTCCAGAATTTGGGGAGGTAGGTGGGTAAACAAACACAATACAAAAGTACTGTGACAAAGAGTTTTCTAGGAAGGTCAGATAAGGTCCCACAGAGGAGGTGGCATTTGATCTAGGTCCTGAAGGATGAGGGGGAATTCCGCCATGGAGCTTATTGATCCTGGTATGTAGTCAGCCAAAATGTTCAACAACTATATGTTGACTTAAGTGATAAAATCAGCCAGGTGCAGTGTCCCACGCCTGCAATCCTAATCCCAGCACTTTGGGAAGCTGAGGTAGGAGGACCCCTTGACTGCAGGTGTTCAAGACCAGCCTAGACAACACAGGGAGACCTCATGTTTCCAAAAGACACAAAAATTAGCCTGGTGTGGTGGCCCGCGCCTGTAAGTCCCAGCCACTCTGAAGGCTGAGGCAAGAGGATGACTTGAGCCCAGGAGCTTGAGGCAGCAGTGAGCTGTGACTATGTCAATGTACTCCAGCATGGGGAACAGAGACTCTGTCTGAAAAAAATAAAAAGAAGTTATAAAATTGAGATGTTTGGGTTGAGGTGAGAGGATTGCTTGAGTCTAGGAGTTCAAGGTTGCAGTGAGCTATAATTGCACCACTTCATTCTAACCTGGGCTACAGAGCAAGACCCTGTCTCCTTAAATAAATAAATAAATAAACACATATATAAGACATATAGGCAACAAGTTTTCTGGATGGCTAAGGGGATTTTTTGCTATACGTGGCAAGACACTGACACACAAATACCAGTACACGATTAAGCAAGCCACCCAGTATGACTGGGTCAGTCCCGGGGGAACTGGGCAGGAGCTTTATAGTGTACATCTGGTTTCTTCTACTTTTTGGATGTTGAGCGACATCTAATGGCCAAATAGGAAAAAGTCTATGTTTTCAGTTTCTTCTTTTCCTTTCCTTCTTTCTTTCCCTTCCTTCCTTCCTTTCTCTTTTTCTTTCTTTCTCTCTCTTCCTTCCTTCTTTCCTTTCTCTCTCCTTCCTTCCGTCCTTCCTTCCTTGTTTCATTCTCTCTCCTTCCTTCCTTCCTTTCTTTCTATCCCTTTCTCTCTTCCTTCCTTCCTCTATTTTTTCCTCCCTCCCTTCCTTCCTTTCTTCCTCTCCTTCCTTTCTTCTTTTTCTTTTCTCTCTGTCTCTCCCTCCCTTCCTTTTCTTTCTTTCTTTCTTTCTTTCTTTTTTTCTTCCTTTCTTTTTTTGACAAGGTCTCACTCTGTTGCACAGACTGGAGTGCAGTGGCACAGTCACAGCTCACTGCAGCCTTGATGTCCCGGGTTCATATGATCCCCCCACCTCAGCCTCCTGAGTAGCTGGGACTATAGGCATGTGCCACCACGCCTGGCTAATTTTTCCGTTTTTTGGCTGCCCAGGCTGGTCCAGTATTTTATTTTCAAAGAAAATTCTCTTGTAGGAACACATACACAACCTAAAAAAAAGTTTCTCCAGATTTAAGGAAAACTTGAGTCTTATTTTTCCCTGTGAACATAGAAGAAAACTGAATAAATTAGAGGTAAGCTAATTTTTTTTTTTTGAGACTATTTCTCTCTTGTTGCCCAGCCTGGCATGCAATGGCAATGATCTCGGCTCACTGCAACCTCACCTCCCGGGTTCAGGCGATTCTCCTGCCTCAGCCTCCCGAGTAGCTGGGATTACAGGCATGCACCACCATGCCCGGCTAATTTTTGCATTTTTAATAAAGACGGGGTTTCACCATGTTGGTCAGGCTGGTCTCGAACTCCTGACCTCAGGTGATCCACCTGCCCTGGCCTCCCAAAGTTCTGGGATTACATGCGTGAGTCACTGCACCCGGCCAGAGGTAAGTTAATTTGTGTGGTAATTTTCTTTTCTTTTTTCTTTTTCTTTTTTTCTTTTTTTTTTTTTGAGACAGAGTCTACCGAGTCTTGCTCTGTCACCCAGACTGGAGTGCAGTGGTGCAATCTCAGCTCACTGCAACCTCTCTCCCCCGGGTTCAAGCGATTCTGCTACCTCAACCTCCCAAGTAGCTGGGATTACAGGCGCCTGCCACCGCGTCCGGCTAATTTTTGTATTTTTAGTAGAGATGGGGTTTCAGCATCTTGGCCAGGCTGGTCTTGATCTCCTGACCTCGTGATCCACCCACCTCGGCCTCCCAAAGTGCTGGGATTACAGGCGTGAGCCACTGTGCCCGGCCTTGTGTGGTAATTTTCATCAAATGAAATAGAAAAAAAAGATGTTAGAATTGGAAGAGACCTTACATCCAATCTCCTCATTGTGTCAATAAGGAAATTTATGTCCAGAGAGAAATGATTTGCCCAAAGCCACACAGCTAGAGAGTTATTAATGCTGTAATATAGTCGTGATTTTGCTACAATGAAGAGAGGAACAGTGAATATATTTACCCATCCATTTGCAAAGCAAAAAAAAAAGGGCAAATACTTTCTGATTACTTTAAAACCTAATAATGTATAATATTGGCCATGCATGGAATTTAATACTATAATGCTCAATAATATAGTAGTTACTGGCAATTAGGGTCTTGGCCTAGGGTATTTGATTTTTCAGGCCAATAGTGGACAAAAACAGACAAATTCCTATGAATGCCAGACTACATTTCAAAAGACCCAAGTAAGATTTTGACCTCTGTAACCTGAGAGTTGCTTCCCTAATATTTCTCTTTGCCTCTTATCTGACAATAGGCAAAGTTGAGGTAGGAGATGAGTATCAAACCACATCATTTAATCAACCAACCCGTAAACATGTATATATCCCCTTTTGTATGTTTAGCATCACAAGGATTGTGGGGACACAACTGTATACATAATGGAGAACAAGTCATGGTGAACTCACTTCTCCTACCTGTTGATAGGAGTTGAATCAAAAGCAGCTTTGAGGTAGAAGGGAAGTTACAACAATACTATAACCACTCTTGCAGATATATTTATTAACTCATTGGTAAGTATTTGTTGAGTATCTACTATATACCAGTGCTAGGGATACAACAGAAATCCAGACCCAAACTCTCCATGAAGCTTATAACCTGGTAACTATATGCCAACAATTGTGATAAGTGCTACAAAAAGAAAGTACTGACCGGGCGCGGTGGCTCATGCCTATAATCCTAGCACTTTGGGGGGCCGAGGCAGGTGGATCACCTTAGGTCAGGAGTTCAAGACCAGCCTGGCCAACATGGTGAAACCCCATCTCTACTAAAAATACAAAAATTAGCCAGGCGTGGTGGCACATGCCTGTAATTCCAGCTACTTGGGAGGCTGAGGCAAGAGAATCACTTAAACCCGGGGGGTGGAGGTTACAGTGAACTGAGATCGCACCACTTCACTCCAGCCTGGGCGAAAAAGCGAAACTCCATCTCCAAAAAAAAAAAAAAGAAAGAAAAAAGATGATGCTTTGGACCAGAGTGGTATAGAAGGAAGTGGTGAGAAGGGTTTGGATTCCGGAAATATTTTTAAAATAATATCAACAGATATTGTTGATACTTTAATGTGGGGTATGAGAGAAAGAGAGGATTTAGGGATGATGCCAAGATTTTTGGCTTGAACTATTGGAAGGGTGGAGTTAGTGGCTGGGCACGGTGCTCACACCTATAATCTCAGCACTTTGGGAGGCCAAAGGGGAGCGAAATGCTTGAAGCCATGAGTTCGAGACCAGCCTGGGCAACATGGCAAAACCCTGTCTCTACAAAAAAATACAAAAATTAGCTGGATGTGGTGTGGTGTGCCTACAGTCCCAGCTACTTGGGAGGCTGAGGTAGGAGGATCGCTTGAGCCTGGGAGGCAGAGGTTACAGTGAGCCAAGATTATATCACTGTACCACTGCACTCCAGCCTGGTGATAGAGTGAGACCCCATCTCAAAAAAAAGAAAAGAAAAAGAAAAAAAGTGGAGTTACTGATAACTACAGTGGGGATTTATGTCATGTACATATCTTCCATATATGCATATATCTTTGTCACCTCTCAATAGTGCCTTCATGACCAGAATCTTTTTTTTTTTTTTTTGAGACAGAATTTTGCTCTTGTTGCCCAGACTGGAATGCAACGGCACGATCTCAGCTCACTACAACCTCCACCTCTTGGGTTCAAGCTATTCTCCTGCCTCAGCCTCCCGAGTAGCTGGGATTACAGGCATGCACCACTAAACCCAGCTAATTTTGTATTTTTAGTAGACAGGGTTTCATCATGTTGGTCAGGCTGTTCTCGAACTCCTGACCTCAGGTGATCCACCCGCCTTGGCCTCCCAAAGTGCTGGGATTATAGGCATGAGCCACTGTGCCTGGCCCCAGAATCTTAAAAATATATTGTTCATAGCCAATATATATTTATTATTTATGTGTGAGACATGATATCACTAATGTAAATATAATATTAACGGCTTTTTTGTTTGTTTTTGAGACGGAGTCTCACTCTTGTCACCCAGGCTGGAGTGCAATGGCACAGTCTTGGCTCACTGCAACTTCTGCCTCCCAGGTTCAAGTGATTCTCCTGCCTCAGCCTTCCAAGTAGCTGGGTTTACAGGCACCCAGCTAATTTTTGTATTTTTTTGTAGAGATGGGGTTTCACCATGTTGGCCAGGCTAGTCTCAAACTCCTAGCCTCAAGTGATCTGCCCGCCTCAGCCTCTAAAAGTGCTGGGATTACAGGCATGAGCCACTGTGGTGCCTGGCCCTGAATTTTTTTTTTTTTTTTTTTTTTTTTTGAGACAGAGTCTTGCTCCATTGGCCAGGCTGGAGTGCAGTGGTGTGATCTTGGCTCTCTGCAGCCTCTGCCTCCCGGGTTCCAGCGATTCTCCTGCCTCAGCCTCCTGGGTAGCCGGGATTCCAGGCACACGCCACCATGCCCAGCTAATTTTTTTTGTATTTTTAGTAGAGACGGGGTTTCATCATGTTGGCCAGGCTGGTCTTGAACTCCTGATCTCAGGTGATCCGCCTGCCTTGGCCTCCCAAAGTGATGGGATTACAGGTTTGAGCCACCGTGCCCTGCCACCCCTGAAGTATTTTTAATTGGACAGATTTTCTTAATTTTGAAGAATCAAATTCTTTAGGATCTGGAGATCCACTTCATTCTTTCTAATCTGTATGGTATATCACAGGATGTACCATAATTTAACCATTATCTCGTTTGATAGACATTTAGATTGCTTCCAACATTTTTCCTACAACTAAAACATCTTTACCACATATTTTCAAGCATATGAATAAGGACTTAAATAGGAGAAATCCTTTAAAATACTTTTGTTTTGTTTTTATTAGTTGGTTTTGAGACAGGGTCTCACTCTGTCACCCAGGCGGGAGTGCAGTGGTGCGATCACGGCTCACTGCAGCCTCGACCTCCCAGGCTCAAGCATCCTTTCGCCTCAGCCTCTGAGTAGTTAGGACTAGAGGCCCTCGCCACAACACTCAGCTATTTAAAAACAATCTTTAGTAGAGATGGGGTCTCACCATATTGCCCAGGAAAGTCCTGAGCCCCTGAGCTCAAGCAATCTGCCTGCCTCCAACTTCCCAAAGTGCTGGGATTACCGGCATTAGCCACTGCGCCCGTTCTCCTGTAAAATGCTTTCTAAAAGCAGGAGGCTGAGGCAGGAGAATCACTTAAACATGGGAGGCAGAGGTTGCAATGAGCTGAGATTGCACCATTGCACTCCAACCTGGGCAACAAAAGTGAAACTCTGTCTCAAAAAATAAATAAATAGGCCAGGCATGGTGGCTCATGCCTGTAATCCCAGCACTTTGGGAGGCCAAGGCGGGTGGATCACCTGAGGTCAGGAGTTCAAGACCAGCCTGGCCAACATGGTGAAACCCTGTCTCTACTAAAAATACAAAAAATTAGCCCGGCTGTGGCGGGCGCCTGTAATCCCAGCTACTCAGGAGGCTGAGGCAGGAGAATCGCTTGAACCAGGGAGGCAGAGGTTGTAGTGAACTGAGATCATGCCATTGCACTCCAGCCTTGGCAACAAGAGCAAAACTCCACCTCAACAAATAAATAAATAAAAATAAAAATAAAAAATAAAAGAATCAATTTGGCTGGGCACTGCGGCTCATGTCTTTAATCCCAGTACTTTGAGAGGCCGAGATGGCGGATCACCTGAGGTCAGGAGTTCGAGACCAGTCTGGCCATCATGGTGAAACCCTGACACTACAAAAAATACAAAAAAAAAAAAAAAAATTAGCCAGGCATGGTGGTGGGCACCTGTAGTCCCAGCTACTTGGGAGGCTGAGGCAGGAGAATCGCTTGAACCTGGGAGGTGGAGGTTGCAGTGAGCCGAGATTGTGCCAAAGTACTCCAGCCTGGGTGACAGAGTGTGACTCTGTCTCAAACAAAACAAAACAAAAAAGTGAGGCTGGCAAGGTGGACTGATAAAGTCATAAGGCCTCAAACACTAGCCGACGGAAATTAATAAGTAGGCAGTGAAGTCCCACTGAAGATTTTGAGGAAAGCAGTGACAGAATGACATACTAAAAGCAATATGTTAGGAAAAACCATTAAGGAGAAATTTCCAAAACTTGACAAGCCACCATGATTTTTTTTTTTTTTTTTAAACAAGAGTCTTGCTGTTGCCCAAGCTAGCATGCAATGGCACAATCTCAGCTCACTGCAATCTCTGCCTCCCAGGTTCAAGTGATTCTCATGCCTCAGCCTCCCAAATAGTTAGGATTACAGGTGTGTGCCACCACACCCAGCTAATTTTTTTTTTTTTAAACAAAGTTTTGCTCTTCTTACCCAGGCTGAAGTACAGTGGTGGGGTCTCGGCTCACTGCAACTTCTGCCTCCTGTGTTCAAGCAATTCTCCTGCTTCAGCTTCCTGAGTAGCTGGGATTACAGGTGTGTGCCACCATGCCTGGCTAATTTTTTATATTTTTAGTACAGACAGGGTTTCACCATGTTGGCTAGGCTGCTCTCGAACTCCTCACCTCAGGTGATCCACCTGCCTTGGCCTCCCAAAGTGCTGGGATTGATTACAGGCATGAACCGCAATGCCCAGCCAAAGTTTATATTTTTAATGGAATCATATGAAAGTAATGTTCCTATCAAATGGTTCATTTATTTGTAGAGATGTTAGCCAGTATTTTTTTTTTTTTTTTTGAGATGGAGTCTCGCTCTGTCGCTCAGGCTGGAGTGTAGTGGCGCCATCTCGACTCACTGCATCCTCTGCCTCCTGGGTTCCAGCAATTCTCCTGCCTCAGCTTCCTGAGTAGCTGGGATTATAGGCAGGCGCCACCTTGCCTGGCTAATTTTTTTTTTTTTAGCAGAGACTAGAAAAAATGTTTGGCCATATTGGCCAGGCTGGTCTCAAACTCCTGACCTCAGGTGATTCACCCATCTCAGCCTCCCAAAGTACTGGGATTACAGATGTCAGCCACAGCACCCAGCCCCAGTATTTCTTTGAAATACAAAATATACACTATCCTTTTCTTTTTTGCTGCTCTAGGGGAAAATGTACATACTATCTTAAGGCAAACACAGAATATACTAAAACTAAATGCTGGCTAGTTATAAGATAGGAATTTGGCAGGACTTGTTTCACAAGACGTAGGTCACAAAGACCCTGCTTATAAAACAGGGTGCAGTAAAGAACCCAGCCAAGGGCTGGGTGTGGTGGCTCATGCCTGTAATCTCAGCACTTGAGAAGCCAAGGTGTGAGGATCGCTTGAGGCTAGGAGTTCAAGAACAGCCTGGCAACATAAAAACAAAACAAAACAAAAAAACAAAACAGTTAGCCAGCTCCCTCCCAAAATCAAAATCAAGATGGCAAAGAAAGTGACCTCTGGAGGACGTGCGCAGTGGTTCACGCCTGTAATCCTAGCACTTTGGGAGGCCGAGGTGGGTGGATCACGAGGTCAGGAGTTCGAGACCAGCCTGACCAACATGGTAAAACCCCGTCTCTACTAATAATACGAAAATTAGCTGGGCCTGGTGGCGGGCACCTGTATTCCCAGCTACTCAGAAGGCTGAGGCAGGAGAATCGCTTGAACCTGAGAGGCAGAGGTTGCAAGTGAGCTGAGATCTCGCCACTGCACTCCAGCCTGGGTGACAGAACAAGACTGTCTCAAAAAAAAAAAAAAAAAAAAAAAAACAGAACGTGACCTCTGGTCATTCTCATTGCTCATTATATGCTAATTCTAATGCATTATCAGCGCCCTGAAAGACACTCCCACTGGCACCATGAAAGTTTACAAATGTTATGGCAACGTCCCTAAGTTACCCTATAGAGTAGGAGATGGGGAGGACCCTCAGTTCTGGGGAACTCCCCACCCCATTCCAAGAAAACATGAATAATCCACCCCCTTTTCAGCATGTAATCAAGAAATAACCATAACTATAGTTAGTCCAGCAGTCCGTGCTTCTACTCTGTCTATGGGGTAGCCACTGTTTCATTCCTTTACTTTTTAATAAACTGGCTTTCACTTTATTCGGTCCACTTGCTCCTGTTTTTTTTTTTTTTTTTGAGACAGAGTCTTGCTCTGTTGTCCAGGCTAGAGTGCAGTGGCATGATCTCCGCTCACTGCAACCTCCACCTCCCTGGTTCAAGCAATTCCCCTACCTCAGCCTCCCGAGTAGCTGGGATTACAGGTGCATGCCACCACACCCAGTTAATTTTTTTGTATTTTTAGTAGAGATGGGGTTTCACCATGTTGGCCAGACTGTTCTCGAACTCCTGACCTGAGGCAATCCACCTGCCTCAGCCTCCCAAAGTGTTGGGATTACAGGCATTAGCCACCATGGCCTCCTTAATTCTTTTCTGCCAAAAGTCAAGAACCCTTATGGCCTCCTGGGCTGATCCCCAGTTTGGGGAGTTGCCCTGTGACAGTTAGAGAACCCAGATGTCTTTATATTGTAAAATTACTTTAGGTCTTTGTGCCGACAGTTTGAAGACAGCTGTCAAAGGGGACTTCTAGCTCTGGGCTCCAGTACATTAAATAAGAAATATCCTGATGTACCCCCAGATCAACCTGCATTAGAATCACTGTAGGTATTTTTACAAATATAGGTTCTGAGGCCCCACCGCATACCCACTTAATTAGAATGGGGAGAAGGGGAGTCTGTGGTTTTACCAAGCTTTGTGAATGATTTTTAAGCATTCTGCTGCATTGCTTTCTAAACCCAGGCCTGTTTCCCACACTACTGTAATCAAGAGGGAACACTGAAGTTTCCTCAGTTCCTTCCTGTTTTTTCCTGTTTCCTTCTGCAGTGACCAACACTATCAGAAATGGCATTTTGGCAGGGACAGGGAGTACAGGAATGGAAACAGGAAAGGCATAAACAAGACTCCTCCTCTGCCCCAGGACTCTCTCCTGTGGGTCACATTACCAGTGAAGGCTTGTGAACTCTGATTTAGCTAAGTTAATTTTGTGCAAAAAAATAAATTTTGGCCCGGTGCGGTGGCTCACACCTGTAATCCCAGCACTTTGGGAGGCCGAGGCAGGTGGATCATGAGGTTAGTTCAAGACCAGCCTGTCCAAGATGGTGAAACCCTGTCTCTACTAAAAATACACGCAAAAAATTAGCCAGCGTGGTGGTGGGCGCCTGTAACCCCAGCTACTCGGGAGGCTGAGGCAGGAAAATTGCTTGAACCCAGGAGCTGGAGGTTGCAGTAAGCCGAGATCACGCCACTGCACTCCAGCCTGGGCCACAGAGAGGGACTCCATCTCAAAAAAAAAAAAAAAAAAAGAATTCTGGGGAGTTGTAGTGCTTGTTAAAAACAGATTCCGGGCCGGGCGCAGTGGCTCACGCCTGTAATCCCACCACTTTGGGAGGCCGAGGTGGGTGGATCACAAGGTCAGGAGTTCAAGGCCAGCCTGACCAAGATGGTGAAACCCCATGTCTACTAAAAATACAAAAATTAGCTGGGTGTGGTGGCGGGTGCCAGTAATCCCAGCTATTCGGGAGGCTGAGGCAGATAATTGCTTGAACCCTGGAGGCGGAGGTTGCCAGTAAGCCAAGATTGCACCATTGCACTCCAGCCTGGGCAATAGAGGGAGACTTCATCTCAAAAAAAAAAAACACAGATTACAAGGTCCTTTAGTAGAGATGATGATACCTTAATCTAGATGATTCAAATGTAGGTAGCTCTCAGAACACACTTTGGAGAACAATGACTTAAATCCAGTGAAGAAAATCTCCAAGAAGCTGTGACAATATGTGGTCTCTTGAAATCTAGAGATTGGTGCTACATGTGATGGCTCACCCCTGTAATCCTAGCATTATGGGAGGCCAAGGCGGGTGGATCACTTGAGATCAGGAGTTGAGACCAGCCTGGCCAATATGGTGAAACCCCATCTCTACCAAAAATACAAAAATTAGCCAGGTGTGATGGCGCGTGCCTGTAATCCCAGCTACTTGGGAGGCTGAGGCAGGAGAATCGCTTGAACCCAGGAGTGGGAGGTTGCAGTGAGCTGAGATCGTGCCACTGCCCCTCAGCCTGCACTGAGCTAGACTCCATCACAGAAAGAAATCTAGAGATTAGCTACTGAATATTGACAGCTTTATCTTCCCAACTAGCAAAACGATCCCTGCTAGAAGGAACAGATTCATTTTGGAAAAAGTATTCAGTAATCTCTGAAGCACAGAAACATTTTTTTCATTCTTGCTATGCAAACAGATTGTTGGCCTTCTTCAGTGAGGCAGGCCAGGACAAAATCTCAGCAGGCCCTTTCGACAGCATTTCTCCACAAATCAAATTAGGTCAAAGAGAAAATTCAGAGCAGTCTGAGGAAGGGAAAAAAAAAGCCCTGAAATGTGTTATAAAACTGGTGGGCAGGGGACAGGGGAACATCCCACCTACTTTGTTTGCTCTGGTAAAGGCTGGTGGCTTGTCACATGAACCCCAGGCCTTCCTGTTCTCGGCAGCTGCCTTCTGAGTCACTGTGGGCTGCAGGGGAGGGCCCCCTAACATCAGGGAACATAACAACCATATGACTCTTAGGTGAGGCCACTGCGCCAGGCCAATTCAAAAATTAAAGAGCGACTACATTGCCGATTTTCATTTATTTTAAGAACTTCTTTACTCCGTTTTTGTCTACAACTGCAAATTAGCAGAAGACAAAAAACAAACTAGTAAGTGGAATTCACATCTGGTAAGTGAGAACTGGTGCCAGTCCTATTAGTCACCAAGATCACTTAAGGGTGGAGTGCACTAGCAGGATAAAACATTAAACCAAAAGCAATACTTCCTTGTAACAGCTGGAGTTTCCTAAGAAATTTTTAAAATAAAAACCTAGAATGCCTAGCAGGCAAAATACCATAGTTAGAAAAGTCAACCTTTACTTTTCTCTTTTGATTGTAGTCAACTGTTGCATAATTTTTTTTTTTTTAGGCAGAGTCTTGTTCTGTCGTCCCAGCTGGAGTGCAGTTCACTGCAACCTTCGCCTCCTGGGTTCAAGTGATTCTCCTGCCTCAGCCTCCCCAGTAGCTGGGACTACAGGAGTATGCCACCAGGCCCAGCTAATTTTTTTTTTTTTTGTATTTTTAGTAGAGACAGGGTTTCTCCATGTTGGCTAGGCTGGTCTCGAACTCATGAACTTGGATCATCCACC
Source organism: Homo sapiens (assembly GCF_000001405.40). Classification (NCBI taxonomy): domain Eukaryota; kingdom Metazoa; phylum Chordata; class Mammalia; order Primates; family Hominidae; genus Homo; species Homo sapiens. The sequence continues at coordinate 19,185,118 of NC_000009.12, forward strand.
TGCCTTGGCCTCCCAAAGTGCTGTGATTACAGGCGTGAGCCACCGCGCCTGGCCTGTTGCAGAATGTTGCTGGGTATATTATATTATACTATGTGAATTAAGAATTCTCTATTAAACAGTTTTAAGTTGTAAGAAAGCCACCCTAAGTTTAAAACTTTCAGTCTTTTAAAACTGATGCATTAAAGAACTACTCCAAATAAGAGAAACAACACTGAGGTGTGATTCATTTGAACTTGAGTCCCGGTTCCTTAACCCAATGCCTGGATGCTAGAGATGTTCAATAAAGACTTAATGACTGCATAACCAACTTATTAGCTGTAGAATAGTTATAATAATTAACTTCCTTGAGCCTTTGTTTTCTCTTCTGTGATCAGGGAAGAAACCTCTTCTGTCTACCTCAGAGAATTTTTGTAAGGATCAAATAAAATAATGTGTGTTTAAGTTTTGATTTCTTTCTTTTTTCTTTTTTTTTGAGATGGAGTTTTGCTCTTGTAATCCAGGCTGGAGTGCAGTGTGGTATGATCTCTGCTCACTGCAACCTCTGCCTCTGGGGTTCAAGCGATTCTCCTGCCTCAGTCTCCCGAGTAGCTGGGGTTACAAGTGTCCACTAACACGCCCGGCTAATTTTTGTATTTTTAGTAGAGATAGGGTTTCACCATATTGGCCATGCTGGTCTTGAACTCCTGACCTCAGGTGATACGCCTGCCTCGGCCTCCCAAAGTGCTGGGATTACATATACAACCTTTTTTTAAAAAAAAATTATTTTTATTTTTATTTTTATTTTTTGAGACAGAGTCTCGCTATGTCACCCAGGCTGGAGTACAGTGGGGCAGTCTTGGCTCACTGCAACCTCCGCCTCCCTGGTTCAAGCGATTCTTGTGCCTCAGCCTCCCAAGTAGCTGGGATTACAGATGTGAACCACCACACCAACTAATTTTTGTCTTTTTAGTAGAGACGGGGTTTTGCTATGTTGGCCAGGCTGGTCTTGAACTCCTGGCCTCATGTGATCCACCCGCCTCAGCCTCCCAAAGTGCTGGGATTACAGGTGTGAGCCACTGCATCTGGCCAATACAACCTCTTTTTTGATTAGAGCTTTGAAATTGGGGTAGGTTTACTGAAAATAGAACTGTACCAGAGAATTGCATCTGAAATATGCAAAGCTCACCTGGATATCTCAATAGCATGGCAATAACCACCCTATAACCTTTTTAAAAATAAATCTCAGTGGAAGTGATGCTGAAATCTCTCCTTAAGGTCCTCTTTCTCAATCAACTATAATTCAGCAAACATTAAACTTCAGTTACCCGGAAAAAGATTAGGTAATAAATGTGTTAATCATAGACTGGATCATAATCAGCACCGTCACCTAAAGAATACTCACCCCTTAAGTAATCCAAAAGAAAACTAAGAAGCAAAAATCCAGGGTTTGTTTCTCTATAACCAAAATAGAAGAATGTCCATAGTCATTACTGAGCATTAACCATTTGAAGATCTCCTTCCTTTTAACCTCAAGACATTATAATATCTCTTCCTTACTGTCAGGAGACCTAGAGTCCTGTCCTGGCTCTGTGCCTATAGTCATAAGTTGATCTTATCCTTAAAAACGTAAAAATCTTTGTCTTTATTTTGGCCGAGCATGGTGATATATGACTGTAATCCCAGCACTTTGGGAGACTAAGGCAGGTGGATCATTTGAGGCCAGGAGTTGAGGACAGATCGCTTGAGACCAACCTGGCCAATGTGGTGAAACCCTGTATCTACTAAAAATATAAATATTAGCCAAGTGTGGTGGCACACACCTGTAATCCCAGCTACTTGGGAGGCTGAGGCACAAGAATCGCTTGAACCCAGAAGTCAGAAGTTGCAATGAGCCCAGATTGCACCACTGCACTCTAGCCTGGGTGACAAGGAGTGAGACTCTGTCTCAAAAATAAAATAAATAAATAAATAAAATCCCTGTCTTTATTTTGAAACCAGAACAAAGGACACAGTGTGATCTTTGCAAAATCACAGAATCTTGAGCTGAAAGAAGCTTAAAGTTTATCTTGCTAAGTAGTTACTTTTTTAAGCACAATTTTTATTTTTATTTTTATTTTTTTTCAGAGATGGGGCTCAAGCTGGTCTCAAACTCCTGGCCTCAAATGATCCTCCCACTGTGGCCTCCCAAAAGGCTGCGATTACAGGCATGAGCCACTATGCCCAGCTCAGAACTATTTTATTCAAACAAAAAAAAATTTTTTTTTTTTTTGAGACGGTGTCTCGCTCTGTCACCCAGGCTGGAGTGCAGTGGCGCAATCTCGGCTCACTGCAAGCTCCGCCTCCCGGGTTCACGCCATTCTCCTGCCTCAGCCTCCCGAGTAGCTGGAACTACAGGCGCCCGCCACTACGCCCGGCTAATTTTTTTTTTTTTTTTTTTTTTTTGTATTTTTAGTAGAGACGGGGTTTCACCGTGGTCTCGATCTCCTGACCTCGTGATCCGCCCGCCTCGGCCTCCCAAAGTGCTGGGATTACAGGCGTGAGCCACCGCGCCTGGCCTCAAACAAAAATTTAAGAAGAGGAAAGCTAAACAGCTTTGGTTGAAGAAAGGTAGGTTATTCTGTGGCTGTCTGCTGGCCTCCCAGCCCCTCTCTGCTGTCCTTCAGGGAAGCCCTAGGACTCCACAGCACAACTTGAACCACTGACTTAGTCTAACCTTCTCATTCATTTCATGGATTGTTAAAACTGAGATCCAGAGATATTTAGGGACTTTCCGAACTAATGTAAATAGCAAATTCAGGACTGTTTAGTTGTATCCATGGTCATAACGAACATTTATTGAATGATTTACTGCTGTGTTTCACTTGCATCATGTCATTCATACTTTTTCTTTTTTTTTTTTGACACAGGTTCTTGTTCTGCGGCCCAGTCTGAAGTGCAGAGGTGCGATTGTGGCTCCTGCAATCTCTGCCTCCCAGGCTCAAGCGATCCTCCCACCTCGGCCTCCCAAGTACCTGGGACTACAGGCATACGCTGTCACAGCTACTTTTTGTATTTTTTTGCAGAGACGGGGTTTCGCCATATTGCCCAGGCTGGTCTCAAACTCCTAGGCTCAAGCAATCCTCCCGCCTTGGCCTCCCAAAGTGTTAGGATTACACGCGTGAGCCACTGTACAGGGCTTTTTTCTTTTTCTTTTTAGAGACAGGGTCTCACTCTGTTACCAGGCTAGAATGCATTGGTTTGTTTGTCACTGATTTGTCACTGATTTGTTTGTTTCTGAGATGGAGTCTCACTCTGTCAGCCAGGCTGGAGTGCAGTGGCATAATCTCAGCTAACTGCAACCTCTGCCTCCTGGGTTCAAGCGATTCTCCTGCCTCAGTCTCCCGAATAGCTGGATTTACAAGCATGAGCCACCATGCCTGGCTAATTTTTGTATTTTTAGTAGAGACAGGGGTTTCACCATGTTGGCCAGGCTGGTCTTGAATTGCTGATCTCAAGTGATCTGCCCACCTCAGCCTCCCAAAATGCTAGGATTACAGGCATGAGCCACCACACCTGGCCCACAGCTCACTGTTGATACTGGAACTAGAAAGAAATTATTTAGGCCGATACTGAGGGTTCTTACCAAGTAGCTCCTAAATCATTTCTTTTCTAACAAAGAGCAGCCTGAAAAATTGAGCTGCAGACATAAATAAGCAAGCTGGAAGCTTGCATAGGTAAATGCCAACAGCTGTGCCAATAGGAAAAGGCTAACTGGGGGTGGGGCATGTTCAACATGGAGGCTCCATTTTCCCTTTTCTTTGTCAACCATGTGTACAGTAAAGAAACAGGCAACATGGCTCCGGCCAGATAGAGGACCATCTGCATAATAAAAGATTCGGGTGGGGTAGCCAGCTTCTTTGCGTGCTATGTAAATGGCACACCTGGTCCATCCAATCTCTCGGGCACTATGTAACTCAGACACTGCCTCCACAAGCTTGTCTACAAAACCCTTTGCGTTTCACCATGAGACCAAAAGTCCCACTCAGGAGCCCCTCTCTCTGTAAGAGAGAGAGGTATTCCCTTTTCTCTTCCTTTTGCCTATTAAACCAATGCTCTTAAATTAACTTCTTATGTGTCTGCGTTCTTGATTCCCTTGGCATGAGACAAGAAACCTCTGATATTTATCCCAGACGGCAACAGCGCTTCTCTGTGACTTCAAACTCCTGGGCTCAAATGATCCACCCGCCTCAGCCTCCTGAGTACCTAGGACTTCATGCACCACCATGCCCTGCTAATTTTTAACCTTTTTTTTTTTTAGAGACTGGGTCTTGGTATGTTGCCTAGGCTAGTCTCAAACACCTGGGCTCAATTGTTTCTCCTGCCTTGGCCTCCCAAAATGCTGGAATTACAAATGTGAACCACTGTGCCCAGCCTTTTATTATCCATTCCTTAAAATAACCCTTAAACGTATAGGAACTGCTGAGATCAATTTGATAAGAAAAGTGAGAAGATAGGTGAATTGCCCAAGGTCACCCAGTCACCGTGTTGTCTTCAGTTGCTTTATCTATAAGAAGGATCTGGACTAGATAATTTCTGAAGTGCGTGCTAGTGTGCACCGCTAAAATTCTATGGCCATAATTGCAAGTTGTGAGACTGGTTCTTACAACTAAAAGTAATTGTTACCTTTAGAATCAATTATGCATTTCTGAGGCGCTTAACTATTTGAGGCTTACAGAGGGACATTTCAAGATGTTTCGTTGGAAATTTGAAAAATGAGTACCAAAATCTAAAAAAAGAAAAAAGAGAGTGAAGATGCAATCATTTCAATTAACCAGTCAGGGGAGTCTAATAACCTCTACCTGTGAGCAAGTAATACCACGAATCCATTGTTGGTTGATGCAATAAATGGTATTGCAGGGGATTAGAACATCCTACCCCACCCCAAATATGTCACTTTCAAATAAGATTATTTTGAGCTGAAGACAACTGAGAAATAGCTGATGCAGAAGAAGCTCCTGGGGCTCACACCTGTAATCCCAGCACTTTGGGAGGCTGAGGTGGGAGGATTGCTTGAGTCCAGGAGTTTGAGACCAGCCTGGGCATCACAGTGAGACTCTGTCTCTACAAAAAATAGTAAAAATTAGCCTGGCGTGGTGGTACATGCCTATAGTCCCAGCTACTGAGGAGGCTGAGGTGGGAGGATTGCTTGAGCCCAGAAGGTTGAGAGTGCAGTGAGCCGTGATTGTGCCCATGCACTCCAGCCTGGGCAACAGAGCAAGACCCTGTCTCCAATTAAAAAAAAAAAAAACCTCTTGGGCTTCTTTCCTCTGTCTGGCTAAGAACAGGATATAAATTGTAAGGGTGTCTCCCTTCCCCTCCATGAAAAGGAGAACAACTCAATCATTCCTGACTCTTAGTCCAGACTAAGAGGACAGGAATCAGACATAGCACTGAAAGAGGAATCCACATAAAAAACTTTACTAAGATAACCTTTGGCTGGGTACTGTGGCTCAGGCCTGTAATCCCAGCACTTTGGGAGGCCAAGGTGGGTGGATCACTTGAGGGTAGGAGTTCAAGACCAACCTGGCCAACATGGTGAAATCCCATCTCTCTTTTTTTTTTTTTTTTTGAGATAAGGTCTCACTCTGTCACCCAGGCTGGAGTGCAGTGACATGATCTCAACTCACTGCAAACTCTGCCTCCCAGGCTCAAGCAATACTCCCGCCTCAGCCTCTCTGAGTAGCTGGGACTACAGGAATGCGTCACCATGCCCAGCTAATTGTTTTGTATTTTTGGTAGAGATGGGGTTTCTCCATGTTGCTCAGGTCGGTCTCGAACTTCTGAGCTCAAGGGATCTGCTCACCTCTGCCTCCCAAAGTGCTAGGATTACAGGCATGAGCCATTGTGCCTAGCCTGAAACCCCATCTCTACTAAAAATAAAATAAAATAAAAATACCTGGGTATGGTGGCAGGTGTCTATAATCCCAGCTATTCGGGAGGCCGAGGCAAGAGAATCACTTGAACCTGGGAGGTGGAGGTTGCAGTGGGCCGAGATGGAGCCACTGCACTCCAACCTGGGCGATGGAGCAAGACCCTGCCTCAAAAGAAATAAAATAACCTTTATCTTCCAGTGGTTTCTCCCCCACATATTTACCTCCCCACAGTTTGCTGCCCCTAAAAGCTGTAACCCCTTTCTCTTGTCACTTCTCTACAGATATATTGTTCCATGTTAAGATGCTATATAAGCCCTGGATTTTAACCACCCCTTTGAGTTACTCATTACTGAGTTTCTCTTGTGTGTATGTGTGCTGTACATGTTAAAAAACTCTGTTTTTCTCTTTTTATCAGAAAACAGAAAACTGTTTTCTCTTTTATCAGTTTGATTCCCAGGACTCCAGCTGGAGAACCTAGGAGGGTAGAAGAAAAAGGTTCGTGTGTGTTTTTCCATCCCCTACAGTGATGGTGGTACATTATTTTGGTTTTGATCTCTGTGGTCAGGGAACAATTAAGTAAGTGATGACAAGAGGTAGGGAAAAAAAACTTCCTTTGCAAAGATTATTTAGCAGTAGAAGTAACAAAAAGATGAGTTGCAAAAAGTAAGTGGAGTTTAAGAACAGGCAAGTGGTAACAACAGCAGGTAATGACTGAGACAACGTGATAATGATAAATTTAGAGAAATGTCTTATTATGTAAATAGATCCATTAGCAATAAGCAAAATTTTACTTTTTGATCAACTTGACTGAAAAGATAACTTTTGGCCCAGGCGCCATGGCTCACACCTGTAATCCCAGCACTTTGTGAGGCCAAGGTGGGCAGATCACCTGAGATCAGGAGTTTGAGACCAGCCTGGCCAACATAGTGAAACCCTGTCTCTACTAAAAATACAAAATTAGCTGGGCGTGGTGGCACATGCCTGTAGTCCCAGCTACTCGGGAGGCTGAGGCAGGAGAATTGCTTGAACCCGGGAGGCGGAGGTTGCAGTGAGCCGAGATTGTGCCACTGCACTCCAGCCTGTGCGTCAGAGAAGACTCCGTCTCAAAATAAATAAAAAGATAACTTTTTACATGAAAAACAAAATGTATTACCCCAATAATTCTGGAGCCATTGCGATGATCTTGCAAAGAAGAGAGTAGTGTTTTTATTAAGATAACCAGTTCTTGAACTTTGACCAGTGTATTATACATAGACAAGACTTCATCTGACATCAAAGTAGTAGGACTCTTTAATCACCCTATTTTATTATTTCAAATAACATTTAAACTCAAGGATAATTCACTACTTCCCTTGGTTTGAATTTTCTGCATACAGAGTTAGATTTCTTATCTCTCTGTGTATACATGCCAACCTAAAGAATGTGGATTTTTTTCACTCAAAGAGGAAAATGACTATGATTTTAAAAATTGGCATTATAATTCTGTTCTGCCTCAGAGTTCTTCCTCCCAGCCTTGTCCCTTCCCCCATTCACAGTGTATCCTTTGCTCCAGTAATATCCAATTTCCTATTGTTCCCCAATACATTCTGTCCTATCTCTGTAACTTGGCACATGCTGTTCCCTCTAACTTCCCTTCTTACTCTTCCCTACCCTACATACCTGGCTAACTCCTATTTACCCTTCAAAGTTCAGCTCAATTAAGTATCACTTTCTCTTTGAGATCTTTACTACTATAAAACTGTAATCAATATTTTTTCTTCTTTGTACATATATTTGCATACATTCCTGATTGTGCCCTTAGTGGAAATGATTAGAAGTGGACTTCCTGTGACGGAAATTCTCTTAAAATAGTCATGAGTGATAAAATGTTTGTAAAGTCAAGCAGTTCCTGACTTGCAAATGACAGCACAAACAAGCAGCCCCTTGTGCTTCACTATTCTTGCTCCTGGGCCCTTCTGCTGCTGCTACCTGCTTCCCTTTCATAAATGCCCCAGCTATTATTTCTGGAGGAGCTTTTAAAGGTCTGGCCCAGCTCCTCTTCTTGTGCAAGAAGTCTCCTCTGTCTCTGTTGCCCTGGAGCTGTCCACCTGCCTTACCCACATCCTACCTCTCACAGCAGACAGGGGCTCCAGGCTATGGAATGTAAGATGAAAAGGAGAGAAGTTATCATTTGAGCCCGGGAGGCGGAGGTTGCAGTGAGCCAAGATAGCGCCATTGCACTCCAGCCTGGGCGACAGATGAGACTCCATTTCAAAAATAAATAAATAAATAAATAAAAAGGAGACGAGTGGTCAGATTTCAGGGACTAAACAAACATACTTTCAAGGCTTAGAAAAAGTTTTTACATGACTTATGAATTTGCTAAGTATTGGTAGGGCAGCCTAGGAACTGCAATCTCAACTCACCATTACATTTCAACTTCCTTCAGTCTCTTTGGGAAAAGGTATTTATTCATGTATTCCTAAAAGTGACCAATATGTCTTGTTTGGGACTTTTCTGGTTTTAGCATAGAAAGCACTGAGCTGATATCGCACCACTGCACTCCAGCCTGGGTGACATAGCAAGACTCTATCTCAAAAGAACAAAACAAAACAAAAATTCCAATTTCAAATCATCTCTTTGTGACCGTATGTGACTGTATGCTTTCAGAAAAATCCAGATCACCTCTTGAATGTTTTGCTGCTTAGAAATTTCTCCTGCCAGATGCCCTAAATCATCTCTCTCAAGTTCAAAGTTCCACAGATTTCTAGGGCAGGGGCAAAATGCCACCAGTCTCTTTGCTAAAGCATAGCAAAGTGACTTTTGCTCCAGTTCCCAAAAAGTTCCTCATCTCCACCTGAGACCACCTCAGCCTGGACTTTATTGTCCATATCACTATCAGCATGTTGGTCAAAACCATTCAACAAGTTTCTAGTAAGCTCCAAACTTTCCCACATCTTCCTGTCTTCTTCTGAGCCCTCCAAGCTGTTCCAACCTCTGCTCATTACCGAGTTCCAAAGTCACTTCCACATTTTCAGGTTATCTTTATAGCAGTACCTCACTCTGTTAGTACCAATTCTCTGTATTAGTCCATTCTCATATTGCTATAAAGAACTGCCTGAGACTGGGTAATTTATGAAGGAAAGAGGTTAAGTTGACTACAGTTATGCATGGCTGGGGAGGCCTTATGAAACTTACAATCATGGTGGAAAGAGAAGGTGAAGCAAGCACCTTCCTCACAAGACGGCAGGAGAGAGTGAGCGCAGGGAAAACTGCCACTTTTAAACCATCAGATCTCATGAGAACTCCTTCGCTATTATGAGAACAGCATAGGGGAAACCACCCCCATGATCCAATCACCTCCCACCAGGTCCCTCCCACAACACATGGGAATTACAGTTCAAAATGAGATATGGGTGGAGACACAAAACCAAACCGTATCAATCCCCAATCCTCTTCTCATCCTGTGTGATCTGCCCTGGACAATCTTACTAAGTTTCCATGACTTCAACTCTCATCTGAATACTGAAGATTCCCAAATGTAGCCCAGCTTTTTATTCTGACCTCTGTTCTCTATTTCCACCCTCAGCTGGAACATCTGTACTAGGATATGCATTGGTATTGTAGACATAGCTAAAACCCCATCACTAACATCATACTTAATGGTGAAAGATTGAATGCTTTTCCTCTAACATCAGAAATAAGACAAGCATGTCCACTTTGCCACTGCCATTCAACGGTGCACTGGAGGTTCCAGTGAGGGCTATTAGGCAAGAAAATAAATAAATACAAGGTCTCCAGATTGGAAAATAAGAAGTAACACAATCTCTACTTGCAGGTTGTATGATCTTGTATACAGAAAATTTTCAGGAGGCTGAGGCAGGACAATTGCTTGAACCCAGGAGGCAGAAGTTGCAGTGAGCCGAGATCACGCCACTGCACTCCAGCCTGGGCGACAGACGGAGACTCCATCTCAAGAAAAAAAAATTCTCTTTCATCAAAGGTGGTTTATAAATAACAGAGGAGATAAAGTCAGTCTTTCCAGCCGGGCACAGTAGCTCATGCCTGTAATCCCAGCACTTTGGGAGGCCGAGGCGGGCAGATCACGAGGTCAGGTGATCGAGAGAGAGATTGCAGGGAGCCAAAATCATACCATTGCACTCCAGCTTAGGCGACAGAGAGAGACTCCGTCTAAAAAAAAAAATTTGCTGGGTGAGGTCTGGCGCAGTGGTTCACACCTGTAATCCCAACAGTTTGGGAGGCTGAGGTGGGTGGATCACCTGAGGTCAGGAGTTCAAGACCAGCCTGGCCAACATGGTGAAAACCCATCTCTACTAAAAATACAAAAATTAGCCAGGCATGGTGGCGGGCCCCTGTAATCCCAGCTACTCAGGAGGCTGAGGCAGGAGAATCACCTGAACCCAGGAGGCGGAGGTGCGGTGAGCCAAAATTGAGCCACTGCACTCCAGCCTGGACAACAGAGCCAGATTCTGTCTCAAAAAAAAAAAAAAAAGTGCTGGGTGTCGTGGCATGCAGCTGTGTAGTTTAGCTACTCAGGAAGTTAAGGTGGGAAAAGGGCTTGAGTCCAGGAAGTTGAGGCTGCAGTGAGCTATGATTGCACCATTGAAGTCCAGCCTGGGTGACAGAGTGAGACCTTGTCTCAAAAAAATAAATTAAAAACAAAAATACAGCTGCCCGTGGTGGCTCATGCCTGTAATCCCAGCACTTTGGGAGGCTGAGGTAGGCAGATCACCTGAGGTCAGGAGTTTCAGACCAGTCTGGCCAACATGGTGAAACCTCTTCTCTACTAAAAATATAAAAATTAGCAGGGTGTGGTAGCATGCACCTGTAGTCTCAGCTACTTGGGAGACTGAGGAAGGAGAATCGCTTGAACCCTGGGAGGCGGAGGTTGCAGTGAGCCGAGATCACACCACTGCACTCTAGCCTGGGTGACAGAGCAAGACTCTGTCTCAAAATAAATAAATAAATAAAATACAAAGAAATACATTTAACAAAAGAATTGCATAATGGGTACTCTGAAAACTACAAACATTGCTGAAATAAATTTTAAAAGATCTAAATCAATGGAAAGACATCGTATGTTCATGGATTGGAAGACTTAATATTGTTAAGATGGCAGTACTCCCCAAACTGATCTACACATTTAACACCACTTCTCTCCAAATCCCAGCTGTCTTCTTTGCAGAAATCAACAAGCTGATTCTGAATAGTTTGGAAATGCAAAGGACTAAGAATCGCCCATACAATCAGGAAGAGGAAGAATAAAATTTGAGGACACATACATTCTGACTTCTTATTTATTTATGAGCCAGGGTCTCGCTCTGTCCCCCAGGCTGGAGCACAGTGGTGCAATCACAGTTTACTGCAGCCTCAAACTACTGGGCTCAAGTGATCCTCCCACCTCAGCCTCCTAAGTAGTTGGGACTACAGACTCTTACCACCATGACTGGCTTTTTTTTTTTTTTTTTTTTTTTTTTTTGAGACAGGGTCTTGTTCTGTCACCCAGACTAGAGTGCAGTGATGAGATCAGGGCTCACTGAAGCCTTGACCTTCAGGCTCAAGCCATCCTCCTACCTCAGCCTCCCAAGTAACTGGGACTACAGGTACATGCCACTATACCCAACTAATTTTTTGTTTGTTTGTTTGTTTGTTTGAGACAGTTTCACTCTTTGGCCCAGGCTGAAGTGAAGTAGTGTGATCTCAGCTCACTGCACCTCTGCTCCCTGGGTTCAAGCGATTCTCCTGCCTCACCCTCCTGAGTAGCTGGGATTATAGGTGCTCACCACCATGCCCAGCTAATTTTTGTATTTTTAGTAGAGACAGGGTTTTGCCATATTGGCCAGGCTGGTCTCGAACTCCTGACCTCAGGTGATCCACCTGCCTCGGCCTCCCAAAGTGCTAGGATTATAGGCGTGAATCACGGTACCAGGCTTCAACTAATTTTTTAAATTTTGTATATATTGGGTCTTGCTATGTGGCCAGGGCTGATCTCAAACTCCTGGGCTCAAGCTATCCTCTGACCTAGGCTTACCAAAGTGCTGGGATTACAGGGATGAGCCACCATGCCCAGCCTGCATTCTGATTTCTGAGTAAAGAAAAATAGCTCACAGCAGTCTGGGACATTGAGATGCAAAATTTATTGAGTCCAGAGAGACATGAGTATGTCAAGCTCCCCCACCCACCCAACATACACGTCCAGGGGGGCAACTGTTTAAAGGGATTTGGGGCCGGGCACGGTGGCTGACACCTGTAATCTCAACACTTTGGGAGGCAGAGGCAGGAGGACTGGTTAAGCCCAGGAGTTCCAGACCAGCCTAGGCAACATAGAGAGAACCCATCTCTACAAAAAATTAAAAAAACAATTAGCTAGGTGTGGTGGTACACACCCAGATACTTACAGGGCTGAGGTGAGAGGACTGCTTGAGCCTGGGAAGTGGAGGCTGCAGTGATCAGTGATTGCACCAGTACGGTCCACCTAAGCGAGAGTGAGACCCTATCTTAAACAAAACCAAAAGCAAAAACAAGCCAGGCATGGTAGCTCATGCCTGTAATCTCAGCACTTTGGGAGGCCAAGGCAGGTGGATCCCCTGAGTCCAGGAGTTCAAGACCAGCCTAGATACATGGCAAAACCCTGTCTCTATAAAATAAAATAAAATAGAATTTAATTAAATTAAAAAGAAAAGTCAACGCATAGCCAATTAATAGTTTATGTTATTTTATGGTAAATTCTTGGTAAACAACTTAGGAACTACCTCTTCTTTTTTTCTTTAAAAATTCACTTGTAGGCTGGGCATGGTGGCTCACACCTGTAATCCCAGCAGTTTGGGAGGCCGAGGCAGGCAGATCACGAGGTCAGGAGATCGAGACCATCCTGGCTAACACAGTGAAACCCTGTCTCTACTAAAAATACAAAAAAATTAGCCAGGCGTGGTGGCGGGTGCCTGTACTCCCAGCTACTCGGGAGGCTGAGGCAAGAGAATGGTGTGAACCCGGGATACGGAGCTTGCAGTGAGCCAAGATCGTGCCACTGGACTCCAGCCTGGGCAACAGAGCGAGACTCCTTCTCAAAAAAAAAAAAAAAAAAATTCACCTGTGACTGCTGCTGATCATGGCATATATTCAAGGCAACTTAATTAAAGGTCCCAGGTTGCAGTCCTCAAACTTGACCCATATAAACTATCTTTTCAACAAATAATGCTGAAACAAGTGGATGCCACATGAAAAAAAAAAAATGAAGTTGGAACCCTAGCTCACTTCACATACAAAAATTAACTCCAGGCTAGGCATAGTGGCTTTGTCCTGTAATCCTAGCCCTTTGGGAGGCTGAGGTGGGAAGATTGCTTGAGCCCAGGAGTTCAAGACCAGCCTGAACAATATAGTGAGACTTCGTCCGTACTAAAAATAAAAATATTACCTGGGCATGGTGGTGTGTGTCTGTAGTTCCAGCTACTCAGGAGCCTAAGATGGAAGGATCACTTGAGTCCAGCAAGCTGATCATGCCACAGCACTCCAGCCTGGGCAACAGAGCAAGACCCTGTCACACCAACACACACACACAAATACCCTGTCTCTTACAAAATTGTAAAAATTAGCCATGTGTGGTGGCGAGCATCTGTAGTCCTAGCTATTCAGGAGGCTGAGACAGGAGGATTGCTTGAGCCTAAGAGTTTTGGAAGTTGCAGTGAGCCAACTGCCATGATTGTGCCATTGCACTGAAGCCTGGGCAGTTGAGCAAGATCCTATCTAAAAAAAACCCAAATAAATAAAATCAAAATGGACCATACACCCAAATGTAAGAGCAAAAACTATTAGAGTTTTAAAAGAAAACTTATGTGTACGTATTCAGGAGCTTTCATTAGACAATGGTTTCTGGGATATGACATCAAAAGCACAAACAACAAAAGAACAAATGAATATATTTGTCAAAAGACAAAATTACAACACATTAAGTTTAAAAATCTTAATTGTTACTTATTTGTGATTCTAAACTCAGGCAATATATCATTCTATAAAACAGAATGAGTCTTCCAATGAACAAAGCAGAAGAGATTGCTTTTATAAACAGGCAGAGAGGACTTCCTTATCATGCCAGAGATAGCTTTTATAGAGAGGCAGAGGGGATTTCCTTATCATGCCAGCTAAAACTGGCCTGTTTGAGGATTTGGCTATTCTCTCTCTCTCTCTCCTGATTTCTCAGAAGGTCAGATAAAGATCTTAGTTTTGACTTAGTGACATGACATGCAATTTCAGCATAAGTAACTCCATTTTGGTGGGGTCTGTTAGGCCTAGGGCAGGAACTCAGTCCAACTCAATGGCCTCCTGTAAATTTTATTCTACATATTGAACATCACCGAAATATAAAACTTTTTCCTTCCAAGGACACCATCGAGAAAATGAAAAGCCAAATCACAGAATGGGAGAAAATATATGCAAATCATATATCTAATAAGGCTGTTCTTTTTATAGTGTAGATATATAAATGGTGAGGATATGGAAAAGTTGGAACTCTTGTACATTGCTAGAAGAAATGTAGGATGGTACAGCCTTTGTGGAAAACTATTTGGTGGTTCCTTCAGAAGTTAAAACACAGAATTAACATATGACCCAGAAATTCTACTCCTAGGTATATATCCAAAAGAATTAAAAACAAGTACTCAAATTCTGTTTTTCGAGACAGAGTCTTGCTCTGTTGCCTAGGCTGGAGTGCAATGGTGCAATCTCAGCTCACTGCAACCTCCACCTCCTGCATTCAAACGATTCTTCTGCCTCAGCCTCCCGAGTAGCTAAGATTACAGGTACCCGCCTCCTTGCCCAGCTAGTTTTTGTATTTTTAGTAGAGATGGGGTTTCACCATGTTGGCCAGGCTGGTCTTCAACTCCTGAGCTCAAGTGATCCGCCCACCTCAGCCTCCCAAAGTGCTGAGATTACAGGCTTGAGCTACCCTGCCTGGCCAAATTCTTATATATCATTGATCATAGCAGTATCATTTATAATGGCCAAAAGGTGGAAAACACTCAAATTTCCATCAAATAATGAATGAATAAACAAAACGTGGAATAGCCATACAATGAGTTACTATCCAGGCATAAAGAGTACTGATACATGCTACAACATGGATGAAACTTGAAAACATTACACATGTGAAAGAAGCCAGACACAAAAGGCCACATATTGTATGATTTCATTTAAATAAAATATCCAGTATAAGCAATCTATAGATATAAGAAGGAGATTAGTGATTGCCAGGGGCCGAGAAGAGGGCAATGGGAGTAACAGGGTTTCTTTTCTTTTTCTTTTTTCTTTTTTTTTTTTGTGAGTCTGATCTTATTTATTTTTTACTCACTTAGAAGTAGAAGCTCGCAGAGAGGAAAGTCTGCGTCTCTTCACAATTTGTTCCTGGCGCTTTTCCTTAGCCTCCTTCATTCTCTTGCCAAAAGCTTAGCATATTCTGCAGCGTCTTCCTTATTTTTCTTAGTATGCTGCTTCTTCAGAGCAATACACCGCCGTTTGTGCTGCAGGACACATGGAGTAACAAGACGCTGAATCTTGGGTGCTTTGGTCCTAGGTTTCTTACCTTCTTTAAGGGCTTTCTTTAGAGAGATTGAAAAGTTTATGGATTCTGCTAGCTCTTTTGGGTCCCAGGTGATGAGGCACCATAGTATCAGTCAGTCCAGGAATATCCTTCTCTCCTTTTTTTACAATAACCAAGTTGAGAATGCTCAGATTGGCAACCACAATGCAACCATGAACTGATTTTCCCTTCCTTTCTCCAGTTCTCCTTGGTCTGTAACAGGAATGCCCCTTACTCAGTAGCAGGTGGACATGGCCATGGGTCAAGACACCCTGCTTCATGGGGAAACCTTATTTGTCGTTCCCACCACTGATTCGGACCACATAACCCTTCCATTCTTCACCCAGTGTGTCAGCAGCAACTTTTGTGGCCGTACGTTTCTCATAAAAAGTACGAAGTTTGCATTCATCATCCATTTCAATGAGTTTCTGGCAGCCAGTGGCTGGGAAGGAGATGTTCAGCTTCATCTTGAAGC
This sequence comes from Homo sapiens, assembly GCF_000001405.40. Taxonomy (NCBI): domain Eukaryota; kingdom Metazoa; phylum Chordata; class Mammalia; order Primates; family Hominidae; genus Homo; species Homo sapiens. The sequence goes on from NC_000009.12 coordinate 19,201,055, forward strand.
ATCCTTTTTTTTTTTTTGAGATGGAGTGCAGCAGCGTGATCTCGGCTCACTACAACCTCTGCCTCCCCAGTTCAAGCGATTCTCCTACATCAGCCTCCTGAGTAGCTGGGACTACAGGTGCGTTCTACCGCGCCCGGCCAATTTTTGTATTTTTAGTAGAGGTGGGGTTTCACCGTGTTAGCCAGTATGGTCTCCATCTCCTGACCTCATGATCTGCCTGCCTCGGCCTCCCAAAGTGCTGGGATTACAGGCATAAGCCACCACGCCCAGCCAACAGGGTTTCTTTTTGGAATGATGATAATGTTCTGGATTTAGATAGTGGAGATAGCTGCACAAGTCTGTGAATAGGCTAAAAGACATTGAATTGTACAGCTTAAATTGGAGAATTATGTGTTAAGTAAATTGTATCTCAACAAGGGTTTTTAATTTCCCAAGGCTTGGGTGAAAATCAATGGGTATAACTTTCAATATAAGAGTTGGAAAAGTATCATAAAAATGCTAACAGTGACTAGATAAGATGATGCATGTTCTATCTTTCTAAATGGAAGACATATCTTTACAATATGAGTTCCTGCCTAAGATAAAATGGGTATTTAAATATTGTATTTAAATGTTCTAAGTGTCAGACTTCCTTTCTTTAGCTTTTCCACAGATACAGAATTTTAGCTCTGGCTCAAACTCTGCATGTAAAATGAGAATAGAAAAATGTGACTCTTAAACTACAGATATTTAATAAAGACTAATTTGCAGACATCAAGGTGAAATAAAATGATTAATTTTTTAAGATATAAAGCTCATTGTTCAAATAAAATCCAAGTTCTAAAATCTTAGATTGTATGAAATGGATGTGAAATGGATGAAAGTGTTATGAATGGCGCTGCTTTGCTTGAGGTACTCCTTTATCTCCACTCCTCCAAACACAAACATATCAGGGCAGGCAGGTCTAAGCAGCTCCTTGGAGCACAGTTTAAAAGGTCTGAGGGACTCTAGCAGCCCAGTTGGCCCTAAATTGTGTAGTCTTTGGTAAGGTACAGAAACTCCATGGGCTCCTGACAGAAAACTCCTGTTTCCTATTTGTCAGATAAAGGGGGCTAAGCTACAACTCCTTGAAAGCCCTTTTCTACGGTCGAAGTCTACAATTCTATGATCCTGAAAAAGCTAAAATAAAAGCTAGTAGCCACTGGCTTCTAAAATGTTTACCAATCACCCCAGAGCTTAAGGAACAAAGATCAAAACAAGCCTTGGGCTATAATCACCTTATCCAAACCTACAAAATAAACAGCAGACTAAAAATAGAGAGGGGTAAGTCTTATTTCAAAGTGAAATGATCTGAACAAAGGGCAGCTGGTTTTCACGATCTTTCTTATCTCTTAGATAAAGTTTGTTAATGGGCCATAAATACACAAAGGGTCTGGTTGCCAAGTATCCCTGCAAAAGGGAGGAGAGGCCATATATCACTTCCTGGGGGATGGGAGGGAGTAGCATCTCAAGGAGAAGTAGCACAAAGGCCCCTCCTGAGATAGGAAACAGGCCCTGGGTCAGGCAGCTGTGGGTCCGGCAAACACCCTCAGATCTCAGAACAAGAAACCCGTTGAAGGCGGGGCACAATGGCTCCTGCCTGTAATCCCAGCACTTTGGGAGCCACAGTGAGGCTTGAAGCCAGGAGCTAGAGACCAGCCTAGGCAACATAGGGAGACCCGCCCCCCTGCATCTGTCTGTCCAAACAATTTAAAAATTAGCTGGGCACAGCTGGGCACGGTGGCTCAGGCCTGTAACCCCAGCACTTTGGGAGGCCGAGGCGGGTAGGATCACGTGAGGTCAGGAGTTCGAGACTGGCCTGGCCAACATGGTGAAACTCCATCTCTACTAAAAATACAAAAAATTAGCCGGGCGTGGTGGCAGGCGCCTTTAATCCCAGCTACTTGGGAGGCTGAGGCAGAGAGAATCGCTTGAACCCAGGAGGTGGAGGTTGCATTGAGCTGAGATTGCACCATTGTACTCCAGCCTGGGCAAAAAGAGTGAAGCTCCTTCTCAAAAACAAAACAAAACAAAAATTAGCTAGGCATAGTGGCATGCACCTCTAGTCCCAGCTCCTCGGGAGGCTGAGGTGGGAGGATGGTTTGATCCTGGGAGGTTGAGACTGCAGTGAGCTGTGATCACACCACTGCACTCCAGCCTGACGACAGAGCAAGACCCTGTCTCAAAAACAAACAAAATACATATGTGTGTGTGCGCATGCGGGCGTGTGTGTGTGTGTGTAAAACCTGTTAAAGAGCTGGGGGCTGGGTGGAACAGAGATTGTGCTGGCCAAGGTGGGGAGAAGCTATATACTATATGGAGGACAGGACAGCCCTCACACAGAAACACCTGAAGGAGCCTCAGCTGATATTCTCCTGATGACATAGTCTAACTCCTTGCACTCAAAATGGGATCAGTGGACCATCAGCACAGGCAGCATCTGTGAGTTTATTAGAAATGCAAAATCTGGCCAGGCGTGGTGGCTAATGTCTGTAATTCCAGCACTTTGGAAGGCCAAGGTGGGTGGATCACCTGAGGTCAAGAGTTCAAGACCAGCCTTGCCAACATCACGAAACCCCATCTCTACTCAAAATACAAAAAACATTAGCCGGGCATGGTGGCGCACACCTGTAATCCCAGCTACTCAGGAGGCTGAGGCAGGATAATTGCTTGAACCCAGGAGACGGAGGTTGCAGTGAGCCAAGATGGTGCCACTGCACTCCAGCCTGGGTGACAGAGTGAGACTACTTCTCAAAAAAAGAAAGAGGCCAGGCGTGGTGGCTCACGCCTGTAACCCCAGCACTTTGAGAGGCCAAGGTGGGCGGATCACGAGGTCAGGAGATCGAGACCATCCTGGCTAACATGGTGAAACCCCGTCTCTACTAAAAATACAAAAAATTAGCCAGGCACGGTGGCAGGCGCCTGCAGTCCCAGCTACGCAGGAGGCTGAGGCAGGAGAATGGTGTGAACCCGGGAGGCAGAGCTTGCAGTGAGCCGAGATTGCGCCACTGCACTCCAGCCTGGGTGCAAGAGCGAGACTCCATCAAAAAAAGAAAGAAAGAAAGAGAAAGAAAGAAAGAAAGAGAGAAAGAAAGAAAAGAAACGCAAAATCTCAGATCCAACACACACCTACTGATCACAGTCTGCATTTTACCAAGATTCCTGGTGATTGCCTGTGCATTAAAGCTTGGGTGTAGCTGGAAAAGTACCTTCACAAAGACATCAACCATGCTGGTTTTACCTAGTGATTAGGGAAAACCCTGAGCACTCAATCCATTGTATCTATGAGTTCCAGCATTTTTTTTTAAAGAGGGTCTCCCTCTGTTGCTCAGACAACAGTGCAGTGGTGCAGTGCAGTGCAGTGGTGCAATCTCCACTTACTGCAATCTCCACCTCCAGGGCTCAAGCGATCCTTCACTTCAGTCTCCAGAGTAGCTGGCACCACAAGTGCCATGCCACCATGCCCGCCTAATTTCTGTATATTTTTGGTAGAGATGGAGTCTCACCATGTTGCTCAGGCTGGTCTCCAAGTCCTGGCTTCAAGAGATTTTCCTGCCTTGGCCTCCCACAGTGCTGGAATTACAGGCCTGAGCCACTGCGCCTAGCTGTTAATTATATCTTTATTTTATTTTATTTATTAATATTATTTATTTTTTAGTAGATACAGGGTTTTACCATGTTGCCCAGGCTGGTCTTCAAGGCTGGTCTTGAACTCCCGGACTCAAGTGATCGGCCCACCTTGGCCTCCCAAAGTGCTGAGATTACAGGAGTGAGCCACCGTGCCCAGCCTCCTTATTTTTTTTATTTTTATTTTTTCGTGAGACAGAGTCTGGCTCTGCACCCAGGCTGGAGTGCAGTGGCATGATCTTGGCTCACTGCAACCTCCGCCTCCTAGGCTCAAGTGATCCTACTACCTTAGCTTCCTGAATGGCTGGGACTACAGGTACAGGCCACCATGCCTGGCTAATTTTTGTAGTTTTAGTAGAGATGGAGTTTTGCCATGTTGCCTGGGCTGGTCTCGAATTCCTGAGCCCAAGCCATCCACCCTCCTGGGCTTCCCAAATAGCTGGGATTATAGAAGTGAGCCACTGGGCCCAGCCCTGGCCCTACCTGTATCTTAAAAAAAAAAAAAAAAAAAAAAAAAAAAGGTCCAGGCATGGTTACTCACACCTGTAATCCCAACACTTTGGGAGGGGAGGTAAGAGGATCACTTCAGGCCCTGAGTTCAAGACCAGCCCAAAGGCTGGGCGCGGTGGCTCACGCCCATAATCCCAGCACTTTGGGAGGCCGAGGCAGGTGGATCATGAGGTCAGGAGATCGAGGCCATCCTGGCCAACATGGTGAAACCCCGTCTCTACTAAAATACAAAAAAAAAATTAGCCGGGCATGGTGGCATGCACCTTTAATCCCAGCTACTTGGGAGGCTGAGGCAGGGGAATCGCTTGAACCCAGGAGGTGGAGACTGCAGTGAGCCGAGATCACGCCATTGCACTCCAGCCTGGCAACAGAGCAAGACTCCATCTCAAAAAAAAAAAAAAAAACAATAATAATAATAATAATAATAAAAGACCATCCCAGAAAACAAAGTGAGGTCCTGTTTCTACAAAAAAATTTTTAAAAAATCAGCTGATTATGGTGGCACATGCCTGTAGTCCCAGCTACTTGGGAGGCTGAGGTAAGAGGATTGCTTGAGCGAGCAGTTGGAGGCTGCAGTGAGCTATGATTGCACCACTGCACTCTAGCGTAGGCAACAGAGTGAGATCCTTCTGGAAAAAAAGAAAAACAACTGCACATTATTGGCATGGCGGTATGCTAGGACCACACTAGGCTGTAAACTCCGTGAGGGCAGGAACCATGCCTGGTTTGTTCAACACAATATCCCCAGCATGAATTTGGCATGCACCTAACATATGGCTCAGGAAATATCTGAAATGAAATATCTGAATATTTGAATGAAAGACAAGTTGAAGTGAATGAAAGGCAAGTTGATTCTCCATGAACATATCATTTTCAGGTATGTTCTCCACGGACATACCTGAAAATGGAATAGACATTAGCTGCACTTAGATGAAACTACTCTGCTTTAATCCCTGGATTTTCATGAAATCAAGGATGAATTTACCTGACATTGAAAAGGACCATGAATCTTGTGTGAGTTGATATCGTATGATGTTTATCATCATAACTTAATTGTTTTACATTGAATTTTAATATTTATTTTTTAATTTTAATTTAATTTTATTTATTTTGAGATGGAGTCTCGCTCTGTCGCCCAGGCTGGAGTGCAGTGGCTCGATCTCGGCTCACTGCAACCTCCGCCTCCTGGGTTCACGCCATTCTCCTGCCTCAGCCTCCCGAGTAGCTGGGACTACAGGCGCCTGCCACCACACCTGGCTAATTTTTTATATTTTTAGTAGAGATGTGGTTTCACCATATTAGCCAGGATGGTCTCGATCTCCTGACCTTGTGATCTGCCCGCCTTGGCCTCCCAAAATGCTGGGATTACAGGCGTAGGCCACCGCGCCTGGCCTTTTAATTTTTATTTTTTTGAGACAGTTTCAGAAAAGAAGTTTCACTCTGTCACCCAGGCTGGAGTGCAGTGGGGCAATCTCAGCTCACTCCAACCTCTGCCTCCCGGGTTCAAGTGATTCTTCTGCCTTAACCTCCCAAGTAGTTGGGATTACAGGCATGCACCAAAAAACCCAGCTAATTTTTGTATTTTAGTAGAGACATGGTTTCACGATGTTGGCCAGGTATGGTTATTATTATTTTTTTTTAGGGACAGATTATCACTATGCTGCCCAGGCTGGCCTTGAACTCCTGGGCTCAAGCAATCCTCCTGCCTTAGTCTTGCAAAGTTCTTAGGGTTACAGGTGTTAGCCACTATGCCCAGCCTAGTTCAATAATTTCAACTTTACCATAATATGAGGAAAACTTGAGCGTAATATTGGTCTGTCTTATCTGTTCCAGTTTCTCAAATACTTTTTATTTTTACAGAAAGGGTCTTGCTCTGTCACCTAAGCTGGAGTGCAGTGGCATGATCATAGCTCACTGTGGCCTCAAACTCCTGAGCTCAAGCCACACTCTTGCCTCAGCCTGCAAAGAGCTGGGATTACAAGTGTGAGCCACTGTGCCCGGCATAGTTTCTGAAATGCTTTTAGAAATGCTACTTATAGCAGCATTAGCTGTAAAAAAGGCCCTGTATGTGAGTCCTGCCATGGGAGGCTTGGGCAAATACTGGGGAAACAGGAAGTTTATCTTTGGCCCTTTCAGGATTAAAAAAAAGAAAAATTTGAGTGTAATATTTGATACATACAAAAGAATGTGTTGTTAAATATAATAGAATAAACACTCTGCTTAAGAACAAGAACATTATCAATATGAGGATTTACTTCCTTTTGGGATCTTATGCGAATTTCTGAAAAGGTCTGGGTTCTAGCTGCCTAGCATTAACATAAAAGGTTTGAGAAATATACATTCAATAAGCTGCTATCTGATAATGGCTTTAGATTTTTCTCATCTTTGAGTGTATAATTTTTTTTTAGTTTTATTTTGTAGAGGCAGAGTCGTGCTATGTTGCCCAGGCTTGTATCAAACTCCTGGCCTTAAGCAATCAGCCTCCTAAAGTGTTGGGATTACAGGTGTGAGCCACCACACCTGGCCTCATAAAAATTGCTATAGCATTTTTTTTCTGATAATAGAAGTGTATATCTTTCCTGTAGAAAAATTTTAAAATAGGTTAAAGTATGAAGAATATAAAAATAACCATTATATCCATTCTCTCCAGAAAATTATTGTTAACCTTTTAAAACACACACACACACACACACACACACACACACACACACACACACACACGAATACATTTTAATAGCTAGCTTGAGTTCCTTTCAAGACAAAAAGATATGAATATTTCTTGTGGAATTTCAGGCACTGTTGCAAGCTGGCGGGAAATCTATCTGGGGTAAAAATCTTCTCAAATTGTAGCAAAGTATTTGCATTTCCAGAAAGACAGCATTATATTGATATTCCCAAATAGTCAGATATTAAGTAACTCAAACAGCTCTGGGCCCATGATATCAGTGTTAATAATTTGACATTAGGTGGGCGCGGTGGCTCATGCCTGTAATCCCAGCACTTTGGGAGGCTGAGGTGGGTGGATCACCTGAGGTCAGGAGTTCGAGATCAGCCTGGCCAACATGGTGAAACCCCGTCTCCAATAAAATACAAAAATTAGCCGGAGGTGGTGGCGCATGCTTGTAATACCAGCTACCCAGGAGGCTGAGGCAGGAGAAATGCTTGAACCTGGGAGGTGGAGGTTGCAGTGAGCTGAGACCACACCATTGCACTCCAGCCTCGGCAACAAGAGTGAAACTCCATCTCAAAAAAAAAAAAAAAAGAAAAGAAAATTGACATTGTAATTCAAACAAGTTGGCATCAAATTCATATACTCACAATAAGGTTTTATAAGAGCATTTAGGCAACTTCATGTTAAGTAAGCATATGCCTGGTGCCTTGTGCATTCATATGTCTGCAGATGAACATGTACCTGGACTAATGGGTGGTGACACAATCAGGAAAGGTGAACAGTGAGACACCAGAACAGAACTAGGATACAGAAAAACCTTAGTGCCTCCTGCTAAACTAGTGGTGAACCAGACAAAACTGTGCAGGCAATTGTCTGTACCTGGGGAGCAAATGAGGAGATGAGCATTCAACGAAAGGCAGATTTCAAGTGTGTATCACAGGAATGTCTTTTCTTAGTTCAGCAATGACAACTAGTCTAGCAGGTTCTTCCTGCCTTGTTGGGGGAAAAGCCTGTACAAACAGATAACTCTTGCATAATGTCTTTTGGATTAACAAATTTATGTTTTTGTGTGAGGACCCTTCACCTAAGAAGAGATCATATCAAGAGACTAAGAAAGATGCTTTTCTACCTGAGGTAATATTTCCCCTGTAGTTTTAGTCTCTAGGGCTTAAGAAATAACATCTGTTTACAAGGTTTGTGGGTGGAGCTTGGGGGTGTCAAGTTCAGGAATTTTGAATTAGATACAAGCCCAGGATGGAACAAGAATTTAAAAAAACATGCCAAAGATAGGATCCAAAATATGTAGAACCAAATAAACTAAAATCAGAATCCAAAGCTAAGTTCACAAATCACATTGTCAAGACGGAAAAGATAAATAGTAAGATTCAGAATACAAACGGAGTACAGGAAGACTGGTTTCAAATAGCGAAGCTTCTGTATATTTTTCTAAAGAGGGTTAAAAATGTAGACAGTCACCTTTGTGAGTGGATCTGGCAAAGCTGGATGAGAGATGAAGTAACTTCATCCCTCATTTGGCCAAAGGTTCATATCTGGCAGCCAACCCTGATACCTGACTACATAGTATGTTATGGATTAAATCAGCCAGTACAGGTATTTAATAAACAATGTTAAGCAAATAAATTAGTACACCTTACATTTGTTTAAATCGTTATATTGAGAAGGAGTTCCTGATAATTAATTTTTAGTTATAACATTTGTAGGTAGAAATGATTGTGTGCTCACTTGGAAGAAGTGAGACAGAGTCTTGCTCTGTCGCCCAGGCTGGAGTGCAGTGGCATGATCTTGTCTCACTGCAACCTCTGCCTCCCGGGTTCAAGCGATTCTCCTGCCTCAGCCTCCCAAGTAGCTGGGACTACAGACACGTGCCACCACGCCTGGCTAATTTTTTGTATTTTTAGTAGAGAGGGGGTTTCACCGTGTCAGCCAGGATGGTCTTGATCTCCTGACCTTGTGATCTGCCCGCCTTAGCCTCCCAAAGTGCTGGGATTACAGACATGAGCCACTGTGCCCTGACATATAATTCTTAATAGTCCCCACACTTCATGCCAATGTAGTCTCAAAATTCTTCTGGTAGCATGAACTCTATAAGGATTTTCTTCATCATAATCAAGTTCAGACTATTCTCTTGCTACACAAAGTGACTTCAAGAGTTTATTTAGATTTAGTTTTCCTAATTTCCCACCTTGATCAGCTAAAGGGTTTTTAAATCAGTTTCCTCTCATTGCTTTGTTCTCTTTCCACTTGGCTTTAGAATAAAGAGATGATAGTCACAAAAACACATCCTTAGGTTGACAGAGTAAGTTCCAGATCCACAGGGAATCATTTGCTATTCTTCTTTTAAAAAGAGCAAACTCCCTTACCAGTAGAAATCCAGCTGTTCTTTATTTGCTTTTGTTTCCTTCAGAATCTATTTCTGATAGACTATCTTATTTTTTAATTTATTCCAAAACATAGTCTTCATTTAAACATTTTATAGCTTTCACTAGATAACTGTAATATGTGTACACTGAATACGTGTACACAGTTAAGCAAACTGAAGACCTCATCAGCCTTTGTGGTGTTTTTTCTACACACGTGTATGCATATGAATATTCACACAAATTTAAAAAGTGACCTTCTGGTGCATATATATGTGTGTGTGTGTATGTGTACACATATATTTGTGTGTATATGTACGTATATATATATGTGTGTGTGGGTGTATAATTTTTTAGAAGAGGTTGCCCAGGCTGGAGTGCAGTGGCACAATCTTGGCTCACCACAACCTCCACCTCCCAGGCTCAAGCCATTCTCTCGCCTCAGCTTCCCAAATAGCTGGGACTGCAGGCAGGCACCATTATGTCCGGCTAATTTTTGTATTTTTTGGGGGTAGAGACAGGGTTTCACCGCGTTGCCCAGGTTGGTCTGGAACTCCTGAGCTCAAATGATCTGTCTACCTCAGCCTCACAAAATATTGGGATTACAGGTGCGAGTCACTATGCCCAGCCTGGTTGCTGAGTTTTGATTGGCTGACATAGGTCACGGCCAAAGGGTTGATTCAGGTGGCATTAACAGGAACATTAAAGTCCCAAAGTTAAGTAGATGTGTGGGTTTTCCCGGAACTCAGAGTACATGTGTCACCCAAGTTTAAGTGCAGTGGTGCAATTATGGCTCACTGCAGCCTCAACCTCCTGGGCTCAAGCAATCCTCCCCATTCAGCCATCCGAGTAGCTGGGACTACAGCTGTGTGCCACCATGCCTAGATAATTTTTAAATTTTTTGGCCAGGCATGGTGGCTTATGCCTGTAATCCTAGCACTTTGGAAGGCTGAGGCGGGTGGATCACCTGAGGTTAGGAGTTCGAGACCAGCCTGGCCAACATGGTGAAACCCCATCTCTACTAAAAATACAAAAAATTAGCCGGGCGTGGTGGCGGGTGTCTGTAATCCCAGCTACTTGGGAGGCTGAGGCAGGAGAATCACTTGAACCCGGGAGGCGGAGGTTGCAGTGAGCCGAGGCTGCGCCACTGCTACTCCAGCCTGGGCAATAAGAGTGAAACTCCGTCTCTAAATAAATAAATAAATAAATATTTTGTAGAGATGGTGTCTCACTATGGGCTGGTCTCCAACTCCTAAGCCCAAGTGATCCTCCAGCCTTGGCCTCCCCAAGTGCTGGGATAACAGGTGTGAGCCACTGCACCCAGCCCTATTCATTTTTAAATATAAATTACAACTAATAATATTTCTAATTAAAATAAGGGGTAACAATTCTAGGTGTACTAACTTTGGGGTAGATGAGGTCACTAGAGGTCAGCTGCTAGAATCCCTGCTTTTTAAAAAATTTTATTTTTGAGATGGAACTCTGTGAGACAGAACTCCTGGCCTCAAGTGATCTATCTGCCTCGGTTTCCCAAAGTGCTGGGATTACAGGCATTAGCAACCACCCCCGGCTCCCTGGCAGTTTCTTCTGCCAGTATTTAGTCACTTCATATAAGAATGTTCCTTCTTAGAAGAGCAATATTGATAATGTGCCAGGGCTCTAGAGTCAGACCTGGGATCACATTTAGGCTGAAGGTTGCTGTGGACTTGAGCAAATTACTTATTCTCTGAATTCCAAATTCCTTATCTATAGAGAAAATAATAATACCTATCTCACAGGGTTCTTGTGAGTCTTAACTGAATCAATAGCTATAATCCTGGCAGCTATTATAATTATTATTGTTTATCAAATTTTCATTCATGTATAAAGCAACACAGTGCCAAAATCCAAAAAAAGTTGCCCTCAATGAAAATATTCTGGGCCGGGCGCGGTGGCTCACGCTTGTAATCCCAGCACTTTGGGAGGCCGAGGCGGGTGGATCACGAGGTCAGGAGTTGAAGACCAGCTTGGCCAAGATGGTGAAACCCCGTCCCTACTAAAAATACAAAAAATTAGCCAGGCGTGGTGGTGGGCACTTATAATCCCAGCTACTCAGGAGGGTGAGGCAGAGAATTGCTTGAACCTGGGAGGCGGAGTTTGCAATGAACTGAGATATTAAAGTAATTCAAATTTTAATCTGTTTTGTTTTGTTTTGTTTTTTTGAGATGGAGTTACGCTCTTGTTGCCCAGGCTGGAATGCAATGGTGTGATCTCGGCTCACGGCAACCTCCCCTCCCAGGTTGAAGCCATTCTTCTGTCTCAGCCTCCCGAGTAGCTGGGATTACAGGTGCACAGCCCAGTTAATTTTTGTATTTTTTTTTTTTTTTTTTTTAGTAGAGATGGGGTTTTACCATGTTGGCCAGGTTGGTCTCGAACTGCTGACCTCAGGTGATCTGCCTGTCTCAGCCTCCCAAAGTGCTGGGGTAACAGGTGTGAGCCACTGCTCTTGGCCCCTTTTGTTTGTTTGTTTTTTGTTTTGAGATGGAGTCTTGCTCTGTCACCCAAGCTGGAGTGCAGTGGTGTGATCTCGGCTCATTGCAACCTCTGCCTCCCGGGTTCAAGCAATTCTGTTGCCTCAGCCTCCTAAGTAGCTGGGACTACAGGTGCGCGCCTACATACCTGGTTAATTTTTTTGTATTTTTAGTCAAGATGGGGTTTCACCATGTTGGCCAGGCTGGTCTCGAACTCCTGACCTCATAATCCGTCCACCTCGGCCTCCCAAAGTGCTGAGTTTACAGGTGTGAGCCACCGCCCAGCCTGGGACTTTGCTTTCATATAATTTCAATTTCTAAAACTCACTGGAATTAATATTTTTAAAACATGCATCAAGTTCAACATATAAGCAAAAATCATTCTAACACTTTTGTTTTTCACTTTAATTGAATAAAGGGAGAGCAACTGGCAGGGGAGACTTGGTAGTGGAGGGAGACAACAGGGAAGGCTGGGTATGAAATAATGTTCTGGATGGGTATATACGTAATAGTAAGGAAAAGAAAAATTCTGGCTATGAATAAAGTCTTAAGTAATCAGATAATTGGGAAGCTACCACCAATCCCAATTCCTGTCTCCAGGAACCCTCTTTATTTTATTATAGTTTTTTTTTTTTTTTTTTGAGATGGTGTTTCGCTCTTGTTGCCCAGGCTGGAGTGCAGTGGCGTGATCGTGGCTCATCACAACCCCCGCCTCCTGGGTTCAAGCAATTCTCCTGTCTCAGCCTCCCAAGTAGCTGGGATTATAGGCGCGCACCATCACACCCCGCTAATTTTGTATTTTTAGTAGAAACGGTGTTTCTCCACGTTGGTCAGGCTGGTCTCAAACTCCCGACTTCAGGTGATTCACCCTCCTTGGCCTCCCAAAGTGCTGGGATTACAGGCATGAGCCACCGCGCCCGGCTTTATGCTTTTAATTAAGTGTCTTGTAGTCCCCAAGAGTTAGGGAAGTAGTGGGAACAGACTTAGAATTTCTGAAGAAACCTGTTTTCTTTTTTTCATTTCTTAACTAATGATCCCCATTAGGAGCTATTAGTACATCAAAAGAGTATGAAAAGTGGCAATTAAACTTGGCGACTAAACACAATTTCGCTTTGACGAGCTAAAAAAACATACTTTAATAATCCTTAATGAAGGCAGCAGTAAATAAACCATTGAGAATTAACATATTCAAGCCAGTTAAGACAGAATTTGCTAATGTGCTGTTCTCTTTTACATATTAAAGGTTACTGCTGTCACAGAAGTGTTCCTATTTAATATTTAAAGCTCTGACCCAACTCAAACAACTTTCTTACATATATGGCACAGGGAAGAAATATGGAGAGTAAGAGGCCCAGAGATTTCAGACATGTTCAGGCATATCTGCAGGATTGGAGAGTTAGGGCCAGTTGGGGTCTACCTGCACTAGGGTTTCAGTAGTCCCATGGAGAGAACAATGACCAGAAACATGGAGGCTGAAGATTGTTGGAGACAACAGACTTCTAAATGCTCCTGTTAATTATTTTGTTTATTTATTTAGAGATGGGGTTTTGCTATGTTGTCCAGGCTGGACTTAAACTCCTGGGCTCAGGCAATCTTCCTGCCTCAGCTTCTGTAGTAGTTAGGACCACTGGTGCAGGCCACTGTTGCTAGCTCCTTTTACTTATGTGACTGATTCACCAACAAATAGTTATGGAATATTACTACTGCTCTAGGTAACAGGGATAGAATGGTGAATAAAATAGTTTCTGCCCTTATGGAACTTACATTGTTAGTAGGGGAGATAGGGAATAAACACATAAATAAATAATGTCAGTGACCAGAGTATGGGAAGAATTTAAAATAGGCCGAATGATAGAGAGTAATGTGCATGCTCTTTTAGACAGGGTGGAAAGGGAATCCCTACTTGGGAGGCTGAGGCAGGAGAATTGCTTGAACCCGGGAGGCGGAGGTTGCAGTGAACTGAGATCGCGCCACTGCACTCCAGCCTGGGCAACAGAGCGAGACTCTTGTCTCAGAAAAACAAAACAAAACAGTTACAGTGCCTAACACTATATTAATTCTTTTTATTCTGGCACCTCGCCGGAATGTTTGGCCAATAGGCACTCAATAAATAGTTACTGAAACTCTTTATCATAACGTACCAGTAAAACCACTGGCATCTCAGCCATAGGTAGCTGCTTCTATTTAATGTGGTTTACAAAATTGTATCACATATTTTTAAATTAAAACAGCCTTCTTTTCCTCCAATTTGAAACATGGGATTTTTTCTGCTCTAGTTTCTGGCCTGTTTCGGCTCAGGATCAGTTGGTTGAAGTCCCCTGCCACCATATAGTGGTAGTTGTCCTGTCTCTACCTGTTGCTATGTTAAAATGAAGAAAACAGCTTCCCCATTTGTGTTGAGATGTGTAATATGATTAGAATGCATAGCTTCTTTTTCCATCTCCAGTGATTCCTCTACTGATATGGTTCTACCATTTATTACATCTTTTTTTCCATAATCTCTTTCTCCCAGGGTACCTGGCACAGTTTCTCTGGATTAAGGCATAGAATGGTGTGGATGATATGCCAAAAATCTAGGAACTCTCTCTCCTCCAGGTGAGCACCTTCCCCCTCTAGTACACTGCTTAAGGTATCATTGCCTACCCTTCTTAGTTGCTCAGTGCATTTTAGTCACATCACTACCTTGCCATTCCCATCCCTCTACTTAGAATCTCTTCTCCCAGGTATCTTCTGTGGCTACTTCATTCATGTCTCTTTTCAAATGTGATCTTCTCAGAGAGGTCACATTTGAAAATAGAATAGGCCACACCCAGCCTATTTAATTTAATTCTTATAAAAACTCTAAGGCCGGGTGCAGTGGCTGATGCCTGTAATCCCAGCACTTTGGGAGGCCGAGGCGGGCGGATCACCTGAGGTCGGGAGTTTGAGACCAGCCTGACTAACATGGAGAAACTCCATCTCTACTAAAAACACAAAATTAGCTGGGTGTGGTGGCACACACCTGTAACCCCAGCACTTTGGGAGGCCGAGCCGGGTGGATCATTTGAGGTCAGGAGTTTGAGACCAGCCTGGCCAACATGGAGAAACCCCCTCTCTACTAAAAACACAAGAATTAGCTGGGCGTGGTGGCACATGCCTGTAACCCCAGCTACTCTGGAGGCTGAGGCAGGAGAATCGCTTGAACCCAGGAGGCAGAGGTTGCAGTGAACTGAGATTGCGCCACTGCACTCCAGCCTGGGCGACAGAGTGAGACTCTGTCTCATAGAAACAAAACAAAACAAAACAAAACAAAACAAAACAAAACAAAAAAACCCTCTAATAAGTCTTACAGGCCAGGCGTGGGGGCTCATGCCTGTAATCCCAGCACTCTGGGAGGCCAAGCCGGGCGTATTACCTGAGGTCAGGAGTTCCAGACTAGCCTGGCCAACATGGTGAAACCCCGTCTCTTCTAAAAATACAAAAATTAGCCAGGTGTGGTGGTGCATGCCTGTAGTCCCAGCTACTCGGGAGGCTGAGACAGGAGAACCACTTGAACCTGGGAGACAGAGGTTGCAGCGAGCTGAGATCACGCCATTGCACTCCAGTCAGGGCAACAAGAGTAAAACTCCATCTCAAAAAAAAAAAAAAAAAAAGCCTTACAATAACAGTAAAATACATCAGTTACTATTAGTACTATTATTATTTGCATTTCACAGATGCAAAGACCAAAGCTTAGAGAGATTACACAGCAAATGGTGGAGCTGGGATTTAAATACAGGCAGTTTTACTCCTAATTCATTACACAGAGTGTTACAAGTTGCTATCTTATTCTTGCTGATGTCACCCTGTTGTTCTCCAAGGTTAGTACTGTCTAATGAAGCTTGGACTAAAAATGGTTTGTTCCACTTATCTTGTATTCATTACTGTCAGTTGAAAGACGCCACTTATCAGTGTCCTTTTTGATTCTGCTTTGAGGGCAGTGGTGGAGACAGCTGATATGCATTCTGTACCTTTCTATATGTCAACCATATTCTAGCCCTTAATCCCAAGATCTCAATTGGAGAGGAGTCTTTCGAGAAGGAGGAATGGTCAGGTTGTTGGAGGAAGTTTGAACTGTGAAGTAGAATATCTAATTGAGATAGCAGCAATGCTGGCAGGAAGAGATGGAAGCCAGTGTTAGGATGGAGAGAAATGGCAGTGAGGTGATAATGAAAATGCCTAATGAATTTTGTTTGGTTTTCATTTAATCTTTCAACAATACCACAAGCTAAGTACTTAACCTGAGAGGTTAGACAAACTTGCCCAAGTCCAAGCTGGTAAATTGCAGAGCCAGAATATGAACTCACATCTGTTAGTCCATATTGTCTGAAGTGTCTGTCACAAGGTTAAACCATTATAACTGCCATTATTTGGAAAAATAAAGATATTTATGAATAATGTATATTGCCAGTTCTGCTAAACGCCACCTTGCCAGGCAGGAAAATTAATCTCACAGAAAGCAAGGTGGCTGAATTTTAGCACATAGTCTAAAACTTGGCACTTTCATATAAAGGAGAAAGTGACAAACTTTAATAAGGCACTTGGTAGGGAAAATTTTTATCTTAAGTCCAAATTTATCTCCATTACAGTTAGTATATGTGCTGCCAAAGCGAGCACATCTCCATTACAGTTGAAACCATGTTAGTGAGAAATGTGTTTGAAGAGGGCTGCTGCGCGCAGGACAAATAGAGTCCTTGAGAAACTGATTATTCTGTTTTATTATTGAGTGCTATTCCCTGCTTCTTCCAACCTTGTAATGCTCTTAAGGCACAATGTTATAGGAAAATAATTTAAAACCAAGAACTTATTCTAGGAAGGACTCCCTTTCCAACAAAGAATTGAAATAGTTTAGTTCTAGGAAGCCTAAGAATTTCCTGCATATCTATGAAATAACTATTAACACATTATTTTTCCTCAAATCAACTTTATACATAACTATTTAAACAGAAATCTCAAAATGATCAGTGATACAGGTTACACATGGCTCTCAATCAATAGGCTATTTATTTATTTATTTGAGACACAGTCTCACTGTGTCACCCAGGCTGGAGTGCAGTGGCGCAGTCTTGGCCCACTGCAACCTCCGCCTCCCGGTTCAAGCGATCCTCCCACCTCAGCTTCCCGAGTACCTGGGATTACAGGTGTGCACCACCATGCCCAGCTAATTTTTTGTATTTTTAGTAGAGATGGGGTTTTGCCATGTTGCCCAGGCTGGTCTCAACCTCCTGAGCTCAGGCAATCCACCTGCCTTGGCCTCCCAAAGTGTTAGGATTATAGGTGTGAGCCACTGTGCCTGGCCTAGGCTCTTCAGTTTATGTTACAAACTTTTTTTTTGAGATGAGGTCTGGCTCTGTCACTCAGGCTGGAGTGCAGTGGTGCAGTCTCTGCCTTCAGGGCTCAAGCCATCCTCCCAGCTCAGCCTCTTGAATAGTTGGGACTATAGGAGTATGCCAGCATGCCCAGCTAATTTTTGTATTTTTTGTAGAGATGGGGTTTTGCCATGTTGTCCAGGCTGGTCTTGAATTCCTGAGCTCAAGCAATCTGCCTGCCTCGGCCTCCCAAATTGCTGGGATTACAGCTGTGGGTCACTGTGCCCGGCAAAATTAAAACAAAAAAACTAGCCATTTTTGGGAAATGCAGGCAGTCTCTTCTTTTTTTTTGAGACAGGTCTTGCTCTGTTGCCCAGGCTGGAGTGTGGTGGTGCCATCATAGCTCACTGTAACCTCAAACTCCTGGGCTCAAGTAATCCCCCCGACTCAGCCTCCCAAAGTGCTGGGATTAGGGTATGAGCCACTGCCACTGAGCTCAGTTGTGAATATTTTTTAATGTATTTGTTTGTTAAATCTTAGAAATTTGGCTGTATTGAACAATATTTTATTTATTTGAATAATGATGACACTTCATTCCTTTTATCAAGTAACGTTTACAAACCATTTGTTCTGATCAAAATGGAAATGGCAATTTGCTGTAATTATTATTAGGAATATTTTCATCAAAATTTCCACCTTCTCTCCAGCTAATCAAATTCCACCTATGCTTCAAGAACCACTACAAATCCCACTCCTTGATGCCCTCTCAGATGACTCTAGCTCAGTGGCTCTCAAACTTATCTGTCCACTGGAATCACTTGTGAGCTTTAATAAATACTGATGTTTGTGTCCCAACCCAATAATTTGTGATTTAATTGGTATGAGATGTTGCTTCAGACTTTTTAAAAGATCCCTAAGTGACCCTAATGTGCAATGAAGTCTGAGAAACATTGCTGTAGCCTTTACTTTTTCTTACTTCCTTTACTGCATTCACAGTCAGTACCACACAATCAGTAACTGTTTTATGCTCCTTAAACTTTGTTTCTCTAATTGCTATTTAAGTTCTTTAGAGATGAGCATAACTTATGATTTTTACTCCTAGTGTGTCCAGCATGGTTGTAAACACAATCTGCCATGGCATTCTGCAAGGTAAATCAGGTAAACCTACTTAGTTAAAAAGAACATTGTGGTTTGCATTAGTTTCCTTTTGCTGCTGTAACAAATTACCAAAAGCCTAATGGCTTAAACATGAATTTATTATTTTATAGTTCAGTAAGAGAGAAGGCTGACACAGGTACCACTGGGCTAAAATCAAGGTGTCAGCAGGGCTGTGTTCCTTTCTGGAGACTATGGGGAAGAATCCACTTCCTTAGCCCTTTCCAGCTTCTACAGCATGCCTATATTCCTTGCATCATGACCTCCTCCCACCCTCAGAGCCAGCAACACTGCATCTCTCTGACCATTCTTCCACTGTCAATATCCCGCTGACTCTTCTGCCTCCCTCTTCCACTTTTAAAGTCCCCTTCTGTTTATATTGGGGCCATCTGGATAATCCAGAATGATCTCTTAAAGTCGTCTGATTATCAACTTTAATCCATTTGCAACCTTAATTCCCCTGCCATGTTTTTTTTGAGACAGAGTCTCACTCTGTCACCCAGGTTGAAGTGCAGTAACGCGATCTCAGCCCACTGCAATCTCTGCCTGCTAGGTTCAAGCAATTCTCATGCCTCAGCCGCCTGAGTAGCTGTGATCGTGCCACTACACTCCAGCCTGAGTGACAGAGAGAGACCCTGTCTCAAAACAAAAGAAAAAGACATCGGCCGGGTGCAGTGGCTCACGCCTGTAATCCCAGCACTTTGCAGGGCCGAGGCGGGTGGATCACAGGGTCAGGAGTTCGAGACCAGCACGGTCAAGATGATGAAACCCCGTCTCTACTAAAAATACCAAAATTAGCCAGGCATGGTGGTGGGTGCCTGTAATCCCAGCTGCTCGGGAGGCTGAGGCAGAGAATTGCTTGAACCCGGGAGGCGGAGGTTGCAGTGAGCCGAGATCGTGCCACTGCACTCTAGCCTGGGCAACAGAACATGACTCCATCTCAAAAAAAAAAAAAAAAAAGAAAACAAAGGAAAAGAAAAAGACATCTAATTTAATACACATTGTTGATTCATTAACTTCAGACTCACCGCCAAAGGCGGTATAACTCGTGCCTGGGCACAGCTTATCTAATCCATCTTCTCTCCACACGGCACATCACAACCTTCCTGTGCCTAGGAATAGTAACCAGCACTTCGGCACTACCCTTTGCGGCCATTTTAAACAGCAAAATTACCAACAAAAAGCACAAATGCAAAAAATATGGCACAAAGTAGACTGTGAAAAGGACCACTTGTTTACAGTTTGAGAGCTGAAATAAGAAGGCAGAGTTTTGCCTTGTTTAACATCAGCTGGGAATGTGAATGTTGAGTGACTCAAATTTTTTTTTTTTTTTTTTGAGACAGTCTCCCTCTGTCGCCCAGGCTGGAGTGCGGTGGCGCGATCTCAGCTCACTGCAAGCTCCGCCTCCTGGGTTCACGCCATTCTCCTGCCTCAGCCTCACAAGTAGCTGGGACTACAGGCGCCTGCCACCATGCCCGGCTAATTTTTTGTATTTTTAGTAGAGATGGGGTTTCACTGTGTTAGCCAGGATGGTCTCAATCTCCTGACCTCGTGATCTGCCCCTGCCCGCCTTGGCCTCCCGAAGTGCTAGGATTACAGGCATGTCACCGCGCCCAGCCGAGTGACTCAAATTTTTTGCTTCTTTGTACATGCCCATGAATGACTGAAAAGGCCATATATATTGATTTTTAGCTTACAAATACATTTTAGAAAGTAGGTAAATTCACAAGTATGGAATCCATGAATAGTATGGATCCACTGTATATCCACCTCCTGTTCCTATGCCTGACACACAGTAAATGCTCAATAAATATTTGTCCAATAAAAAGCAGAACCAGGCTGGGCATGGGGTCACACCTATAATCCCAGCACTTTAGGAGGCCAAGGTGGGAAGATTGCTTGAGCCCAGGGGTTCCAGACCAGCCTGGGCAACATGGTGAAACCCTGTATCTACAAAAAATACAAAAATTGGCCAGATGCGGTGGTGCACGCCTGTTGTCCTAGTTGCTAGTGAGGCTGGGGTGGGAAAGTAGCTTGAGCCTGGGAGGTCAAGGCTGCAGTGAACTGTGATTGTGCCACTGTACTCGGCCTGGGTGACAAAGTGACAGTGTATTATTGTTATAATAACAATAATAAAAATGGTCTTTATCTTAGCTGGTGTGGTGCGTCATACGTGTAGTCCCAGCTACGTGGGAGGCTGAGGTGGTAGGATTGTTTGAGCCCAGGAGTTGAAGGATGCAGTGAGCTATGACTGCTCTGCTGCGTTCCAGCCTGGACAACAGACCAAGACTCTATCTCTAAAATAAATCAATAAACAAATAGGCCAGGCGCGGTGGCTCAAGCCTGTAATCGCAGCATTTTGGGAGGCTGACGTGGGTGGATCCTTTGAGATCAGGAGTTAGAGACCAGCCTGGCCAATGTGGTGAAACCCCATCTCTACTAAAAATACAAAAATTGGCTGGGCGTGGTGGTGCACACCTGTAGACCCAGCTACTCTGGAGGCTGAGGCAGGAGAATCGCTTGAACCTGGGAGGCAGAGATTGCAGTGAGCCGAGATTGCGCCACTGCACTCCAGCCTGGGCAACAGAGTGAGACTGTCTCAAAAAACAAAAACAAAAACAAATAAAATGTTTTTATATTTTAGAGATATACACTGAAATATTTAAAAATGAAATAATATGTATTTGTTTCAAAATACTTAGGGGGGGGTGAGGAGTCGGTGGAAATATACACGACACAAGATTAACATGAGTTAGCCAGGCACAGTGGCTCACACCTGTAATCCCAGCACTTTGGGAGGCCGAGGCGGGCGGATCAGTTGAGGTCAGGAGTTTGAGACCAGCCTGGCCAACATGGTGAAAGCCCATCTCTACTAAAAATACAAAAATTAGCTGGGTGTGGTGGTGGGCACCTGTAATCTCAGCTACTCAGGAGGCTGAAGCAGAATCGCTTGAGTCTGGGAAGTGGAGGTTGCAGTGAGCCAAGACAGCCCCACTGTACTATAGCCTGGGTGACAGAGCTAGACTCTGTCTCAGAAAAAAAAAAAAAAAAAAAAAGATTAACATAATTGTTGAAGCTGAGTGATGGATACAGAAAAGTTTACTACTATTTTTGTTTATGTATTATTGCTTTGTTTTCTATTATATATATATATATATATTTTTTTTTTTTTTTTTTTTGAGACAGAGTCTCGCTCTATTGCCAGGCTGGAGTGCAGTGGTGCGATCTCGGCTCACTGCAACCTCCACCTCGCAGATTCAAGCAATTCTCCTGCCTCAGCCTCCCGAGTAGCTGGGACTACCGGTGCGTGCCATCACGCCCAGCTAATTTTTATATTTTTAGTAGAGGCAGGGTTTCACCATGTTGGCCAGGAAGGTCTCAATCTCTTGACCTTGTGATCCACCCGCCTCGGCCTACCAAAGTGCTGGGATTACAGGCGTGAGCCACTATGCCTGGCCAAAACGAATGCTAGTATTTTTAAAATTTAATCTTTTTTTGTTGTTGTTTTTGAGACAAAATCTTGCGCTGTCACCCAGGCTTGAGTACAGTGGCAAGATCTCAGCTTACTGCAGCCGTGACCTCTTAGACTCAAGTGATCCTCCTGCCTCAGCCTCCCGGGTAGCTGGGACTGCAGGCGTGCATCACTACAAATGGCTAATTTCTTTTGGATTATTTTTTTTTTTGAGTAGAAACAAGGTCTTGCTATGTTGCCTAGGCTGGTCTTGAACTCCCGAGCTCAACCAATCCTCCTGCTGCAACCTCACAATGTGTTGGGATTACAGGTGGGAGCTACTTCACCAGGTGTAATCTTTGAAATAACACATATATTTCTGGATCCACGGTCAGGACAATTTGCTATGATGTGAGGAACATCAGAACTGAGGCCCAGAAAAAGTGGTTCGGGGAAGCAGGTAAGAATCAAGCTCAGTCAGTACAGACAACGGTCCTCTAAGGTGGGAAACAGGAACATAGCTAACTATTGTAGACGGATGTGGACAAGTGCCACTTAGGGAAATTGGCCATATTTGGAGGTAAATGCTAAAGTAGTAGTCAAGTCAGCACAGACACTAATACCCAATAGTGGGGAAAGACTGAGGGCAGAGGACTGTTCCATTCACATAAAATACTTTAGGGAGCCCATAAAAGCCAGCTATGGGCCGGGCGCAGTGGCTCACGCCTGTAATCCCAGCACTTTGGGAGGCCGAGGCAGGCAGATCACCCAAGGTCAGGAGTTCGAGATCAGCCTGGCTAACATGGTAAAACCCCGTTTCTGCTAAAAATACAAAAAATTAGCTAGGCGTGGTGGCGCACCCTTGTAATCCCAGCTACTTGGGAGGCTGAGGCACAAGAATCACTTGAACCTGGAGGCGGAATTTGCAGTGAGCCGAGATCGCACCATTGCACTTCAGTTTGGACAACAAGGGCAAAACTCCGTCTCAAAAAAAAAAAAAAAAAGAAAGAAAAAAAAAAAGCCAGCTATGGGCAGCAGGTCTTATGTCTCAGATACTCATATAGACTATCTTCCTGCCCATTACTCCTTTCTCTGTCTTCCTCCCTCTGCTAACGCCTGCTCTTCTTTATGACCTATTAAGATACTGTTCTCAGGATCACTTACTCTCCTCCCACTCAAGATGAGAAGCCTCGTGACAGTCCTTCCCACTCCTTGCCCAGCCACGTTTGGCCTGTAGGCCTAGAAAAGAAAGCTAGATAAAGAATGTGCTGAGTACCAAGAGACTCTAGCCCACTTTGATAATGCTGAGACAGAGTCCTAGCAAGATAAGATATGGGAGGGAGCACAAAGAGAAGAGTGTGCTAACACTCCCTGCGAAGGGTGGGATATTCTGGGTCATTTAAATAGGAGATTTAGTGTTTAATAAAACAGATTTAGTGTTTGTTGATGTTACTTAACTTAAAAATCTAAAACAGTGGCTAACGGTGCCTGCAGGTGTGAAGCACTGGGCCTTCAAATACTATGTTTTCTAAAATTAATGAGTTGGGGGACTGGAGCCAAATAACTCGCCAGTCTACCACATGCAGATTACATATTGGAAAGTGGAGACCAGGCTTGAATTTTAATGCTGTGGAGGCTCTCTTAGGAAATCTCGAACAAGTTACTGTTTGGTGAGCTATGTGACTTCTGAGGCTGGCAATCAATCAATCAATCAAAAGAACTTTGAAGTGAGTAATTTCTCCTCAATATGTAAATATGAAATCACCAAAACTGAGACTGAGGGACTCTGGACAACTCAGTAAATTTGGCTGGGGCTTAATTTCCTCATCTTATCAAATCAGTTAATTAGAATAGATGATCTCTAAAGATTGGCATTCAGCTCCAAACTTCTGATTCCATAAAATACTTAAAAAAGAAGACTTTTTTATTACAGAAAAATTCAAAAAGCCATAAAAAGGAAAGGAACTCTTAAGTACCAATCACCCAACTTCCACATGTGTCTAATCTTTTTTACCTAACCCCTACCTACTCCCTTCTCTTTCCCGCACTCCTCCCCATCTCCCACGGATTATTTTGAAGCAAATCCTAGACAACATATGAAACACACTCTTAACAAATTTCTCTTCTATCAAAGGTGGTTTATAAATAACAGATGAGATAAAGTCAGTCTTTCCGGCTGGGTGCAGTGGCTCACGCTGTAATCCTAGCACTTTGGGAGGCCGAGGTGGGTGGATCACGAGGTCAGGAGATCGAGACCTTCCTGGCTAACAGGGTGAAACCTGTCTCTACTAAAAATACAAAAAATTAGCTGGGCGTGGTGGCGGGACCTGTAGTCCCAGCTACTCGGGAGGCTGAGGCAGGAGAATGGCGTGAACCCGGGAGGCGCGGGTTGCAGTGAGCGGAGATCGCGCCACTGCACTCCAGCCTGGGCGACAGCGCGAGACTCTGTCTCAAAAAACAAAAAACAAAAACCAAAAGTCAGTCTTTCTACTTTTCCTACTTTTTCTTACTGCAATTGTAAACACTATCATTATGGTATTAAAATAAGCTTGGATCAGCATTACAGGATGCCAAGTCATATGCTGAATGAATCCAATCATATTCACTAAAAGAAGAGCTACCATTAATGAGCACTTGTTACCTTCCAGGTACTGCTGTATTAGTTATGTGTTGTCGTGTAACAAATTATCCCCAAATTTTGCAGCTGGAAAGAAGAAGCATTTATTACCTCACAGTTTCTATGACTAAAGAATCCGGGAGTGGCTTAGCTGGGTGATCTGGATCACGGTCTCTCAGGACGCTGCAATCAAGATGTTGGCTGAGGCCATGCTCATCTCAAGGCTCAGTTTGGGGAGGATCCACTTCTAATCAAAATCACAAGGAAACCTGATGGCATGGTACCTAGTTTCCCCAAGAGCAAGCAATCCAAGAGGATGAGACAAAGAATTTAAGACTGAAGCCACAGTCTTTTATCATTTCATCCTGTTAGAGTTATCCTATCAGTTTTGAAGTACTCAGTGTATTAGAAACCAGTCAGTAAGTTCACCCCACACTCAATATGAGGGGATTACACAAGGATATAAATGGCAGGAGGCAGGAATTGTTGTAAACCATACTGAGAGGCTGCCTATCACATGTGCTGATTATTGATTCCTGAACTGATGTGTTTAATATTTATAGCCTATTGTAAATTAATAAATGATCTTCTTTGTGAATATCATTCTACTTACTTTACAGATGAGGAAAAGTTAAGTAACTTACCCAAGAACAGAGAGAAAGAAAGTGAGAGAAGCACAGACTGATTTATGCCAGGCATTCATCAATTATTATTATTATTATTTTTAACTTTTTTTTTTTTTTGAGACAGGGTCTAGGTGTCACCCAGACTGGAGTGCAGTGGCACGATCTTGGCTCATTGCAACCTCCGCCTTCCAGGCTCAAGTGATCCTCACACCTCAGCCTTCCGAGTAGCTGGGACTACCGGCATGCACTACCACACCCAGCTAATTTTTTGTATTTTTGGTAGAAATGGGGATTCGCCATGTTGCTCAGGCTGGTCCTGAACTCCTGAGCTCAAGCGATTTGCCCACCTTGGCTTCCCAAAGTGCTGGGATTACAAGCTTGAGACACCACACCTGGCCCATCAATTAGTTTCTGAGAGACTATAATATATATGAGTTACTCTGCTAGATCCTAGGCATCCAGAATAAAAACATATAAATACACATCTGTGATATATATTACTCCTGCCCTCACAGGGCAATGATTAGAAGTTTTTGAAGCGGGGCTGGGCATGGTGGCTCATGCCTGTAATCCCAGCACTTTGGGAGGCTGAGGCGGGCAGATCACGAGGTCAGGAGTTCAAGACCAGCCTGAACAACATGGTGAAACTCCGTCTCTACTAAAAATTACAAAAATTAGCCGGGTGTTGTGGCGCGTGCCTGTAATCCCAGCTATTCAGGAGGCTGAGGAAGGAGAATCGCTTGAACTTGGAAGGCAGAGGTTGCAGTGAACGAAGATCACACCATTGCACTCTGGCCTGGGCGACAGAGCAAGACTCCATCTCAAAAAAAAAAAAAAAAAAAATCATGTTTTTTTTTTTTTTTGAGACAGAGTCCTGCTCTGTCGCCCAGGCCGGAGTACAGTGGTGCAATCTCGGCTCACTGCAACCTCTGCCTACCGGGTTCAAGCGATTCTCCTGCCTCAGCTTCCTGAGTAGCTGGGATTACAAGCGCACACCACCACGCCCGGCTAATTTTTGTATTTTTAGTAGAGATGGTGTTTCGTCATGTTGTCCAGGATGGTCTCAAACTCCTGACCTCAGGTGATCTGCCCGCCTCGGCCTCCCGAAGTGCTGGGATCACAGGTGTGAGCCACCGCGCCCGGCCCCAAAAATATCTTAAGGAAATTTTCAACATTTTCATTCCACTCCTTTGTGTCACAGTTCCACGGAAATCTGCAGTGACCACGCCCAGTCAGAAGGCAGCAAGAAGGAGCTTTCTGCTAGAATGTCTGTGTTCCCCTCTTCGATGGGCTGATTTTTTCCTATGCATTCTTCTATCTACATAGGCCCAACTAAAACTGTGACACTATAATCATTATAACAATTATGTTGATATCGGGCTCTCCGACTCTCCTACTTTTTATACAGTCAAATATTATTATTATTTTTTTGAAACAGGGTCTTGCTCTGTCCATCAGGCTGGAGTGCAGCGGTGAGATCTCGGCTCACTGCAATCTCTGCCTTCTGGGTTCAAGAGATTCTCCTGTCTCAGCCTCCCTAGTAGCTGAGATTACAGGCACCCACCACCATATCTGGCTAATTTTTGTATTTTTAAATAGAGACGGGGTTTTATCACATTGGTCAGGCTGGTCTCAAATTCCCGACCTCCGGTGATCCACCCACTTCAGCCTCCCAAAGTGCTGGGATTACAGGCATGAACCATGGTGCCCAGCCTTTATATTAAAATTTAAAATGAGGCCGGGTGTGGTGGCTCACACCTAGAATCCTAGCACTTTGGGTGGCCGGGAAGCAGGCGGATTGCTTGAACTCAGGAGTTTGAGACCAGCCTGGGCAACGTGGCAAAACACTGTTATCTACCCAAAAAAAAACAAAAACAAAAACAAAAAAAACAAAAAATTAGCCGGGTGTGGTTGGTTGCGCACGCCTGTAGTCCCAGCTACTTAGAAGGCTGAAGCAGGAGAAGCGCTTGAGCCTGGGAGGTGGAGGTTGCAGTGAGCCAAGACGATGCCATTGCACTCCAGCCTGTGCAATAGAGCAAGCCTCTGTCTCAAAAAATATATATATATATAAATATATATATATAAAATTTCAAATGAACTTATTTCAGTTCTGGGCCCCTAAGCATGCAGTTGGGAAGGTTGCTGAATCAAGAACTTCCAGATCTGAGAACAGTTAACTCACATGAAAAATTAGTCCCAAAACATTCAAGTTCATTCTATGAAATTTTTGGTGGAAAATGGCAGTGAAAAATCTATGGTAAATCTATAGGACGATTAAGATAGTGAGAAAAATTAAAGAAAATCCTAAGCCTTCCATTGCAAAGTGAGAAAAATCAAGTCAAGTGGAAGAGAGATACTGGCCTCATCCATTTTTCATTTCTGTGGGTGCCATAAAAAAAGAGAGAGAGAGAGAAAAAAAAAAACTCTGAATCCCTGAGAGCTAATTAAATGAATGTACCCATTAAGAAATCTTGTCTTGGTTGGGCACGGTGCCTCATATCTGTAATCCCAGAGTTTTGGGAGGCTGAGGTAATAGGATTGCTTGAGTTCAGGTGTTCAAGACTAGCCTGGGCAATATAGTGAGACTTTATATCTTCCCCTAACCCCCCCAAAAAATTAGTGGGGTGTGGGTGGGTGGTTGGCACAGGCCTACCATCTCAGCTATTCGGGAGGCTGAGGTGGCAGGAAGTTAAGGCTGCAGTGAACCCTGTTTGTGCCACTGCACTCCAGCCTGGGTGACAGAGGGGGGGATCCTGTGTCCAAAAAAAAGGAGGGGGCGAAGAAATCTTGTCTTTCCTTTTCTAGTTGGGATGAGGAAAAATTAAAAAATATATATGTAAATAAAGAAAGAAATCTCGTTTATATTGCTTTAAAACTGCTAATTAATTTAGACTTTGGGAAAGAAGGAAAAGAAGCCCACAAGCTAAATTTTGTTTCACTGTTTCTTTTCTTTTTTTTCTTTTTTTTTTTTTTTCTGAGGCAGAGTTTTGCTCTTGTTGCCCAGGCTGGAGTGCAATGGCGCAATCTCGGCTCTCTGCAACCTCCGCCTCCCAGGTTCAAGCCATTCTCCTGCCTTAGCCTCCCGAGTAGCTGGGATTACAGGCATGCACCACCACGCCCGGCTAATTTTGTATTTTTAGTAGAGACAGTGTTTCTCCATGTTGGTCAGGCTGGTCTGGAACTCTCGACCTCAGGTGATCCGCCCGCCTCAGCCTCCCAAAGTGCTGGGATTACAGACGTGAACCACCGCGTCCGGCCCACAAGCTAAATTTTGAAGTATTAGATCCTTTCTTAAACTTTTGCTCTTCGGATTGTCAATGTCAAAGATAGTTTCCAGGGGGACCAAATTGGCCCCAAACTGTTATTAAATAAGCCTTAACTTTTATTGCTGCGCATTTCTTCTGAAATCAATTCTGACTGCTTACGTGGTTAGAAAAATAGTTTCTGCTATTGAATATAAAACTCAAATTATCCATGGCTATGCAATAAACTTCAGAAATAAATGGACAGCAGTGCATTTATGACCCAGGTATAATCTCACATTTTTATGCAAAAATACAGATTAAATAAGGAGAGTGTAATTTTCAGGAAAATGATTATTTATGTGGATACTCACCAGATATGCAGAAATCTTACCAGTTCTGATTTTGACCTGCCATGGAATCTGAAGTCATTCGCCTTTTTTTCCCCCCAGAGGTAAAAAAGTTATCTCTACTTCAAACCATTTCCTTCTTCCTAAATAACTAGTAATTGCTTTTTCATTTACTATGATAACTCAAAAACGTTGTTCAAAAATATCCTGCAAAATTTGCATTATAGAGAAACGACTCTGCAGGCGTCTGTGTCGATAATGAGGCTACACTTAGGAGGCGTGAGGGTACTGACTATGCAAATGAGCGATTTCTCCATTAGGAATTCCCATCCCCAAATCTGGGCCGAAGGAGAGACACCGAGCGCGGCCAGGGACTCACATGGTGCACTGGAGCCAAGGGGTTTCGGGAAGGGCCAGCGCGCGGGTCTCTCTAGAGCCCTCTACTCATGCGTGGGAATTCCAGATTCCTTCCCTGGGAAGGAATCTTCACGTATCTCCCGGCACTGTCCTCAGTGACCTTCAGCCACTCGGCATCACTTTCCCTGTCTTTGAAAACTCCGAGAGAAGCAGCCGCCACCTGCCTCAGGCCAAGGCAATAAACCCACATCACACCGCCAGTCTGAGCCCTGCAGGAAGGGGTGCACAGCGGCCTCCAGAGCGCTTTCTCCCCAGCTCTGTTTCTGCAGGCTCGGCCGCGCGAACGCTGAGGAGGGGATCGGAGGCCCGCAAGGCTCAGACCCCGCGCCCCGCGGGGGTCGCACAGGGGTCGGGCGGGGGAGGGGAGCGGTGGCTGCAGGGCCTCGGCCCTCCCCGGGGGAGGGGCCTGAGCACCGCACCGCCCCCCTCCTCCCTGCGTCTTCTCCCTCCCACCCCCCGCCCTTTTCCACCCGCCCCCGCAGGAGGAAAGGGAGAGGGAGGGGGAAAAGAAAGTGCTGTTTTGTGGAAAGGGGCGGAAGGCGGGGGAGAAAAAGGGAACAGAAACATGGCGGTCAGGTCTTGGGACGGCTGCGCCGCGGGCAGCTCCTAGGCGACGCGCCGCCCGCACTGTCCGACGGCTCACAGCGCGGAGGCACCCGCGCGGGCCAGCGCTCCGGCCATCGCCCCTGGCTGTAGGCGGCGCCCCTCGGAGACCCTGCCCGCGAGGCGGCGCAGGCGCAGACCGGACTGAGGCGGCGGCGGCCGCTGGAGCTAGTCCCCCGCCCTGCCCTGCCGAGCGCGCCCAGTCCGCGAATCCGGTGCTTTCTTGCCCCAGGAAGAAGCCGTGTCGGGGCTGCGCTGACAGAGGAGCAGGCAGCAGGTGAGGCTGCGGCGCGGGGCCTTTGGCGGAGGAAGCCTGCGCCGTGCCCTCGCGGGGCCTGCGCTGCAAGGCTGGGAGGGCGCGGGACAGGTAGAGCCCGGAGGGCTGAGTTCCGAGTGGCTGGCCCGCGGGGGGTCGCCGAGGAGGCGGAGAGTGGCCGCGGCTGGCGTTCGTGGCCTAGTTTCTCCGCGGTTTCCGGGGGCGGGGAGTCCCCGGATCCTGCGGGATGCAGTCGGGGAAAGGCTGCCCCTGAAGAGCCTCCCCGCGTCGCCCGCCGGGCCCATGAGAATCGTTTGCGTACAAGCGCGAGGGGTCTGGGCCCGGGGGACCGCCGGGGCGACGGCCGCTTTGGTGGGGGCCGGGGTGCGGAGGGAGCAGGATCGGGGCTTCCCAGAGGGGGTCGAGGCTGAGAGAGCGGAGAGCTAGAGCCAGGGGTGGCGGGCAGTCTCGAGAGGAGTCGGGGGACTGAGAAGTGTCGGGGACAACGGGGAGGAGGGGGACCTGGGCAGGTGTCTCTGGTGAATTGAAGACATTTCCTTCTCTGTCTTACGGTGGCCGATCCTCAGGGCTTCTTTGTCGGGGATGACTTTCTAGGAGGGCAGTATCCTTTTAACTCTGGAGTGACTAAACACAAAACCAAGGAATGAAGTCCTAAGGCTGACTCCTGTAAAGAGCTGTAACTTTTTCTGTTTTAAGAATGCTGTCACGTCTTTTTTTTTTTCCTCCCCTTTTCTGCTTGATAGACCTTTTCCCTCTCGAAGACCGTCTTTTATCTGCACTAATAAGGAATTACCCAGTTTTTAAATAGTACCGCCTCCTTCTCCCCTTATGTATGTTTGTCACACGGGAAAATTTAGGGTAGTTACCGCGGGTACTTGTGCAAATTTGAGGGAAAGTGTCATTTCCAGTAGTGAACCCTCAGCTGTCTCTTTGTGCCTCCGAGATACTGTCAAGCGTTGTAGCCTGAGAAATTGACCCACTGAGCCTGCTTAATTGTGTGCAAACCCGTGTTGAGGCGTTCTTCCTAGGCCCTAATTTACGTAGGAATAGGTTTTCCCTTCCGGTCTGTGTATAATGAGAGGGGAGAACGTTAGTGCTAAGGCGCTAAGTTCTGGATAAATACTTGATTTGATGTGATAGTGTGTATTACTCTATCAGAAATGCAGAGCGTTGTATGATTTTTCTGTGTACACGCGATAAGAGCAATATTAGTTGCAAAAGGAAGTTTTCATCTTTGAACATTAAAGGTATCCTTTATTCTTGATCACTATAGCATGCAAAAAAGAAACTATATTTTCTGTCCTGTTCTTTGTATTACTGTTAAAGAGTTGGTAAACTGCCGTCTTGCTGTGAGACTGGGAAGTCGGCAATGAAGTTAGATTTGTATTCATGAACATGATCTGCCTGTCATATAGGCTTGCTTTGACTTGTTTTTTTTTTCAGTAGTGGCAAAGGGTTTTCTGCCACTCAATCCACACTTTCCTCCGCATTGGTATCTCCGTTGACCATTTTGCAAAATAGTTTATTGAGATTAGGGGTCTGATCTTTTGTATAACCTGTTGTAGTGAACTGATCATATGCGACTTGACTTTGGCCAATAGTACCTCGTGCAGTGTACAGTACTACTATTTAGACTTACTGATTTGGGTAATAGAAAAGCTATGATGTTAGAAATGTTGTCGTTGTATATTGGAGAAATTTTGAAGTTGCATATTGGAGTAATTTAGTCCTGTATGCTTTGTAAATGAGTGCATTCTATTGTCGAGAGTAAATACAGTATTTTGTAGTATAAACTTAAGCTTTTAGCTGAAGAAATTGGCAGCATAGTTGGAGTGTGGAGACTATTCTTAAAACGCAAATGTTTTAAATTACAAGGAACTGTAGTGGTGTGTAGGCTGTAACAATTCCTGGTGCCAAATTTGGGAGATTATTTGGTTGAGCTACTTTCTATAAAGAAACATATTAAGTATCTGCAATAAAAGTGGATTTGTAGCTATACACAAGGGATTTTACATTATAAATAATAACTCAATAAGGCACCTTTCTTTGCTCTTTGTGTATCTGCCAGTTAAGACCAAAACATCTCATATTTTCACTGGAGCTTCCTGCCAAAACAAATACTGGTTTTGCATTGGCTTTGCTGCTCAGTTTGAAAGCTAGGGGAATCTCTTAGAGCCTACTCTGGTTCTGGAGGCTGCCTGATTAAAAAAAAAAAAAAGAAAAATTGAAAGCTAGGTTTCAGTCATATGCTTGCACCTTAAGTACAGGTTGTAAAGTAAAAAAGAAAGTTGCTGAGTCAGTGGCAGGTTGTTTCATTTGTTTTTTTGATTTGCAAAACGGAATTTCTGTCATAATTTGAATTTCCAGTGTAATATGTTTGCTGAATAGCAAGGGCAGATAAGCTTTCATAATAACTGAATTAAAATGTTAATTTTCTTTATACTGGTGCCATAGATTGTCAGTTTGACAGACGTAGCAAAGGGATGCCTTGTTGGAATGGGAAATTCCTTTTTATCAGCTAAAATTTGGGGAAAGGATTTTGCATAGTACAGCTGGTGTAAAACAATAGGTCTTTAGCATCAGATTGTAGGATATTCCAAAATTAGGCAGTTTTATTATTTGAAATTTGAAACTTAATATTTTGCAGGAAGAAGTTTAAAGCTTTAAAACATTTTCTACATTTGTTAAGTATGTGGATGTAATAGAGCTTAACATGGTATTTGAAACCTTTTTTTTTTTTTTTTTGAGATGTAGTCTCGCTTCGTCACCCAAGCTGGAGTGCAGTGGTGTGATCTCGGCTCACTGCAGCCTCTGCCTCCCAGATTGAAGCGATTCTCCTGCCTCTGCCTCCCAGATGCAAGCGATTCTCCTGCCTCAGCTTCCCAAATAGCTGGGATTACAGGTGCCTGCCACCACGCCTGGCTAATTTTTGAATTTTTAGTAGAGAAGGGGTTTCACTATGTTGGCCAGGTGGCCTGATGTCAGGTGATCCACCTGCCTACGCCTCTGAAAGTGCTGGGATTACAGGTGTGAGCCACCACACCCAGCCTTTGAAAACTTTTTATTGGAAAAAATGTAACATGATTAAAAGAAATTCAAAAGAAAAAATTTAAATTACTCTCCCCTATCTAACACTTATATTTTTCTGTACTCTAATGCTGTTATACTTCTATAATGTAGTAGTATAATATTCTAATCCTGTCTGTGCTTGTGTATAATTCCGTGATTAATGTTAATATAATTGTCTTTTAATTTAACATGCTTTCCCTGTTGCTGTATATTACTGTTATTTTATGGCTTTTAATAGTCCAAAGTTTTATTTACTGCCTCAGTTTATTTAACCATTTCCATAGCTTAACATTTTAGTAATTCCACTTTCTTACTCTGATTGTTATTTTTATTAATTTTTTTTTTTGAGACCGAGTCTCGCTCTGTTGCCCAAGCTGGAGTGCAGTGGCGCGATCTCAGCTCACTGCAACCTGTGCCTCCCAGGTTCAAGCGATTCTCCTGTCTCACCCTCCCGAGTAGCTGGGACTACAGGTGCGTGCCACCACGCCTGGCTAAATTTTTTTATTTTTAGTAGAAATGGGGTTTCACCGTGTTAGCCAGGATGGTCTTGATCTCCTGAACTCGTTATCCACCCACCTTGGCCTCCCAAAATGCTGGGATTATAGGTGTGAGCCACAGCACCTGGCTGTTTTTTTTTTTTTTTTTTTTTTAACACGGTCTCACTTTGTCACCTAGGCTAGAGTGCAGTGCATCTCAGCTCACTGCAGCCTCTACCTCCCGGGTTCATGTAATCCTCCTGCCTTAGCCCCCTAATAGCTGGGACTATAGGTGCGCGTGCATGTGCGTGCATCACCCCACTTCACTAACTTTTTGTATTTTTTGTAGAGACAGCGTTTTGCCATATTGCCCAGGCTGGTCTTGAACTCTAAGTTCAAGCGATCCACCCATCTCAGCCTCCCAAAGTGCTGTGATTACAGGCGTGAGCCACTTTGTCTGACCCATACTTTTTTACTCTTAAAATAATGCTATAATGAAATTATTTTGCTAATATGATGGTCCATGGGTCTATGCCAAATTACTTTTTGAAATTTTGGGAAAGTCAACTTTCTTTTTTTTTTTTTTCTTTCTTTTTTTATTGAGATGAGTCTTGCTCTTGTCACCGAGGCTGGAATGGTGCAATGGGGTGATCTCAGTTCACTGCAACCTCGGCCTCCCAGATGAAGCAATTCTCCCTGCCTCAGGGTCCCTAGTAGCTGGGATTACAGACGCCTGCCACCACACCCAGCTAATTTTTGTATTTTTAGTAGAGACGGGGTTTTGCCATGTTGGCCAGGCTGGTCTTGAACTCCTGACCTCAGGTGATCCATCCGCCTCGGCCTCCCAAAGTGCTGGGATTACAGGCGTGAGCCACCACGCCTAGCCGAAAGTCGACTTTCTTTGAATTACTTTCTTTGCAGTGGATCATTAGGGCTGCTACAATATAGTATTTAATTGAGAACTGAATTGAAACAAGGTGAAAGGCTGTAGATGTGCATGTATCACTTGCATTCATTGAGTGAAAATCAAAATATAAATTCATAATTCTGTTAATAACTTGCTACTAGTTTGTGTACATTAACTTATGATATAAGAAGTAATGTAATTCTTATACTCTTATACTTAAGTAATATTGTGGGGCTTAAATGTTTTGAAGTGTTCTTTGTTTCATTCAAACCTAATTATCTACCAATCCAGATTTATTATCTGTTGGTTTACAGAAGAGTCATCTTTTTTTTTTTTTTTTTTTGAGACGGAGTCTCGCTCTGTCACCCAGGCTGGAGTGCAGTGGCGTGATCTCAGCTCACTGCAAGCTCCTCCTCCCGGGTTCATGCCATTCTCCTGCCTCAGCCTCCCAAATAGCTGGGACTTTAGGTGCCCGCCACCACGCCTGGCTGATTTTTCGTATTTTTAGTAGAGATGGGGTTTCACCGTGGTCTCGATCTTTTGACCTTGTGATCCGCCCGCCTTGGCCTTCCAAAGTGCTGGGATTACAGGTGTGAGCCACTGCGCCTGGCCAGAAGAGTCATCTTATATATCTTTGTAATATTTTAATTTGTTTTTGTAATATTTAAAGGTTGTTCTCGAATTGAGTTTTTTCTTTGTTATGTTTTTATTTCTTTTTTTTTTCATTTTATTAGCCAGGAGATATTCTCATCTGATAATCTAGTTTTTTATTGTGTATATGCAGTTCAATTATCTCTTAATTTAGGGATTCTTAGATCTTAAAAGCATAAATGTTATAAATCTTTTTTTAAATTATGGAAAGAGGATCTATTAAAGAGGCCCTTTTCTATCTGCTAGGAATAATAATAAGAATAATATAAAAAGGTGACTAGTAAGGTCTAATAGGTTAAACAGCCCTATAAATAAGCACCGTAACTACAACACAACAAATATAGAATGGAGCAAAATATGCTGCAGGAGCAGAGGGAAACACTTGTGTAGTGTGGATTAGAGAAGGTTTACATAGAATAAGACATCTGATTAAAAACTTACAACTTGCTGTAAAAAGGCGTGAAGTAATGAAAAAATGTGATGAAGTTTATTAATATGCAAGTAATTTAGAGGGAGTGGGTATGAAGCTGGAGAGTAAGTAGAGGCTGTGTCATGAAGGGTCTTACAGTCAAGTAAGAAATTAAGACTATATTGTAGAGAACAGGGAGCTATTGGAAGATTTAAGCTGTTAAATATTTTGGCTCCATTAAGAGGGAGGGATTGGGAGAGCAGTTTGAGTGAGACCGCAGGTTCATCATCCAGAACATCTTGAAGGCACCTAGGCATGTATTGAGAACAGCATGGTAGGGGTAGAAAATAATGGATAGACTTGAGAACTGTTACATAATACAAACATTTCCTGTGGCCCACAGGCCATGTCGCTTTAGCCTTATCTTCTTGCCCACTGTGTACCTGCCACACCAGTCTACTTTCAAATTTTTTCCCTCAGAGCGTTTGCATATATACTATTCCATTTGCATGCTACTTTTTCTAAAAGATCATTTCTGGTCCCCAGTCACATTGTCTAGTTAGGGAGATGAGTTACTATCTATTCCAGCATCTTGCTGTTTTAATATGTAGAATTTCTTTCTTTTTCTTCCTTTTTCACATTTGTTCCTCTTATTATTTGGGCAATTATAGGCGATTTGACTTTTTTTTTTGGAGACGGAGTTTTGCTCTTGTTGCCCGGGCTGGAGTGCAATGGCACGATCTCGGCTCACTGCAGCCTCCACCTCCTCGGTTCAAGCGATTCTCCTGCCTCAGCTTCCTGAGTAGCTGGGATTACAGGCGCGCACCACCACGCCCGGCTAATTTTTTGTATTTTTAGTAGAGATGGGGTTTCACCATGGCCAGGCTGGTCTTGAACTCCTGACCTCAGGTGATCCGCCCACCTTGGCCTTCCAGAGTGCTGGGATTACAGGCGTGAGCCACCACGCCCGGCCGACAGCTTTTAGATTCAGGATTTTGTTTTTTGTTTGTGTTTTTTTGTTTTTGAGGCAGAGTCTCGCTCTATCACCCAGGCTGGAGTGTAGTGGCGTGATCTCGGCTCACTGCAACCTCCGCATCCCGAGTTCAAGCGATTCTTCTGCCTCAGTCTCCCGAGTAGCTGGGACCACAGGCTTGTGCCACCACGCCTGGCTAATTTTGTGTGTGTGTGTTTTTAGTAGAGACAGGGTTTCAATGTGTTAGCCAGGATGGTTACGATCTCCTCACTTTGTGATCCGCCCGCCTCGACCTCCCAAAGTGCTGGGATTACAGGCGTAGCCATCGCACCCAGCCAGGATTTTCTTTATACACAATCATTTCTGCAGAGAAATCCAGTTGTACTTACTCATTTCCAATCTGTATGCCTTTTTTTCCTGCCTATTGCCGCTGGCTAGATTAATGCTATCCTCTAGAAATATAATATAAACCAAATATGTAATTTAAATTTTATATACCCCCACACTAAAAAAGTAGCGATAAGTGAAATTAAATTTAATGTATTTTTAATTTCACTACATCCAAAATATTATTCAATATGTGTAGTAATTTCCTAGGGCTGCCAGAGTAAATTACTGCAAAGTGGGTGGTTTCTAACAGCTTAAATTTATTTTCTGACAGTTCTGGAAAGTAGAAATATGAGGTCAGGGTGTCAGGAGAGCTGTGCTCCCACTGTAGGCTCTAGGGAAGACCCCTCCTTGACTCTTCCTCTGTTTCTTTCTTTCTTTTTTTTTTTTTTTTGAGATAGAGTTTCACTCGTGTTGCCCAGGCTGGAGTGCAATGGCGTGATCTCAGCTCACCGCAACCTGTGCCTCCTGGATTCAAGCGATTCTCCTGCCTCAGCCTGCCGAGTAGCTGGGATTACAGGCATGCACCACCATGCCCGGCTAATATTGTATTTTTAGTAGAGACAGTGTTTCTCCATGTTGGTCAGGCTGGTCTCGAACTCCTGATCTCAGGTGATCTGCCGGCCTTGGCCTCCCAAAGTGCTGAGATTACAGATGTGAGCCACTGCGCCCAGCCTCTTCCTATTTCTAGTGGTTGCTAGCAGTCCTTAGAGATATAGGAACTAGTTAGGTTTTCTCTTTCCTTCCCCTCCCCTCCCCTCCCTCTCCCCTCCCCTCCCCCTTCTCCTCCCCTCCCCTCCCCTACTCTCCCTTCCCCTGCCCTCCCCTCCCCCCTCTCCTCCCCTCCCCTCCCCTGCCCTCCCCTCCCCCTCTCCTCCCCTCCCCCTCCTCCCCTCCCCTCCCCCTCCTCTCCTCCCCTCCCCCCTCTCCTCCCCTCCCCTCCCTTCCCCTGCCCCTTTTTTTTTGAGACAGAATTTCGCTCTTGTGGCCCAGGCTGGAGTGCAATGATGTGATCTCGGCTCACTGCAACCCCCGTACCCCGGGTTCAAGTGATTCTCCTGCCTCAGCCTCCTAAGTAGTCGGGATTACAGGCATGTGCCACCACGTCCATCTAATTTTATATTTTTAGTGGAGATGGGGTTTCACTATGTTGGTCAGGCTGGTCTCGAACTCTTGACCTCAGGTGATCCACCCACCTCGGCCTCCCAAAGTGCTGGGATTGCAGGCAGGAGCCACCTTGCCTAGCCTATAATATTCCTTTGTTCTTTTTTTAATGTCTAGAGGACCTGTAACGATATGCCTTCTATCATTGCTCATATTGGTAATTCCAGCCTCTTGCTTTTTTCTTAATCTACAGATACTGATATTTATTGTTTCTTGTTTATTTTAAATTTTATTGATTTCTGCATTTTATGTTTTTTCCCTCTACTTCCCCTTGATTTAGTCTGCTTTTTTTCCCCGAGCGTCTTGAGGTGGACATTTATGTCTTTAATTTTAGAACTCTCTTATTTTCTAATACAGGTGCTTAAAGCTATGAATTTCCTTCTAAATACTGTTTTAGCCACATCTCATAAATTGATTTCTTCTTTTCATTCAGTTCAAAATATTGTTTAATTTCTTTTGCAGTTTCTTTTTTGATCAGGGGTTATTTAGGAGACTATTATTTAATTTCTAAATACTGGAGAATTTTATATAGTATCTTTATGTTAATGATCTCAAGTTTAATTCCATTGTAGTCAGAGAACATGCTGCATAATTTATATTCTTTTTTTTTTTTAAGATGGAGTCTCGCTGTGTCACCCAGGCTGGAGTGCAGTGGCACTCCCCATCTCTACTAAAAATACAAAAGTTACTCACTGCAACCTCCACCTCCCAGATTCAAGCAGTTCTCCTGTCTCAGCCTCCCGAGTAGCTGGGATTACAAGCGCACACCACCATGCCCGGCTAATTTTTGTGTTTTTAGTAGAGATGGGGTTTCATCGTGTTGGCCAGGCTAGTCTTGAACTCTTGACCTGAGGTGTACGCCTGCCTTGGCCTCCCAAAGTACTGTGATTACAGGCGTGAGCCACCGTGCCCAGCCAATTTATATTCTTTAAAATATTTCCATGCTTGTTTTACGGTCCAGCATATGGTTTATCTTGGTGAATGTTCTATGTGTGCTTGAAAAGATGGTTTATCTTGCTGTTGTTGGGTGCAGTGTTCTATAAATAACAATTATGTCAAGTTGGTTGATAATGTTCTTCAGATCTTACATATTTTTAATAATTTTCTGTTTACTTGTTCTGTGAATTATTGCATCAGTGAGGAGTGTTGAACTCCCTGTGATTGTGGAGCTGTTTATTTCTCCTTTCAGGTATGTCAGTTTTTGCTGCATGCACTTTGATACTCTCTTGTTAGATGTACACAGTCATAAGTAATTTAACTAGGGGGATACATTCTGAGGAATGCATCATTGGGCAATTTCTTTATTGTGCAAGCATCATATAGTGTACTTACATGATCCTAGATGGTGTAGCATGCTACTCTTGTAGGCTATAGCCTATAGCCTATTGCTTCTAGGCTACAAACCTGTACAGCATATTACTGTACTGATACTCTAGGCAGCTATAGCATAATGGTGAATATTTGTGTATCTAAACATAGAAAAGATACAATAAAAATACGGTATAAAAGGGCCGGGAACCAGGCACAGTGGCTCACACTTGTAATCCCAGCACTCTGGGAGGCTGAAGTGGGTGGATCACGAGGTCAGGAGTTCGAGACCAGCCTGGTCAACATAGTGAAACCCCATCTCTACTAAAAATACAAAAATTAGCCTGGCATAGTGGTGTGTGCCTGTAGTCCCAGCTACTTGCGAGGCTGAGGCAGGAGAATCACTTGAACCTGGGACACGGAGGTTGCAGTGAGCCGAGATCATGCCACTTCACTCCAGCTTGGGCAACAGAGTGAGATTTCATCTCAAAAAACAAAAAAAAAAAAGGCCAGGCATGGTTGCTCACACCTGTAATCCCAGCACTTTGGGAGGCTGAGGCAGGCAGATCACTTGAGGTC
This sequence comes from Homo sapiens, assembly GCF_000001405.40. Lineage (NCBI taxonomy): Eukaryota > Metazoa > Chordata > Mammalia > Primates > Hominidae > Homo > Homo sapiens. Next base: position 19,240,757 of record NC_000009.12, read on the forward strand.
AGGAATTTGAGGCCTGCCTGGCCAACATGGTGAAACTGTGTCTCTACTAAAAACTCAAAAATTAGCCTGGTATGGTGGTGGACGCCTGTAATCCAAGCTATTTGGGAGGCTGAAGTAGGAGAATTGAACCCAGGAGGCAGAGGTTGCAGTGAGCCGAGATCACGCCACTGCACTCCAGCCTAGGCGACAGAGTGACAGAACACAACAGAACACAGAACAGAATGGAACGCAGAACAGAACGGAACACAGAACAGGACAGATATGAAAGATAAACGTGGTACACCTATAATAGGGCACTTACCACGAGAGGACCTTGCAGGAGTGGAAGTTGCTCTGGGCGAGTCACTGAATGAGGGGTGGTGAATGAATGTGAAGGCCTAGGATATTACTGTGCCCTACTGTACACTTTATGAACAATGTACAGTTAGGCTACACTAAATTCATCAAATTTTTTTCTTTGATCAATAGTAAATTAGCTTATTGTAACCTTTTGACTTTAGAAGCTTTAAAATGTTTGTTGTTTTTTGACTCTCGTAACAACACTTAAATACAAACGCATTTTACAGGTGTACAGAAATATTATTCTTTAAATCCTTATTCTGTAAGCTTTTTTCTATTTAAAAAATGAATTTTTTTTTTAGAGATAGAGTCTCGCTATGTTGCTTAGGCTGGCCTCCAACTCCTGGGCTCAAGTGATTCTCTGGCCTCAGCCTCCTGAGTTGCGTGCCACTGCATCTGGCCTTTTTTTTTCGTTTTTCTTTTTTTTTTTACTTTTTAAACTTTTTTGTCGGAAATGAAAACATAAGCGCACACATTAGTCTAGGGCCCACACAAGGTCAGGATTATCAATATCAGTGTCTTCTACCTTCACGTCTTGTCCTACTGGAAGGTCTTCAGGGGCAATACTCACGTGGATCTGTCTGGACTACCTCCTGAAGGAAACTGCCTGAGGCTGTTTTTAGGTAGCTTTTAAAAAACATAAGTAGAACGGTGACTCTCGCCTGTAATCTAAGCACATTGGGAGGCTGAGGTGGGACGATCGCTTGAGCTCAGGAGATTGGGACCAGCCTGGGCAACACAGTAAGACCTCATCTTAAAAAAAAAAAGTAAGTAGAAGGAGTGCACTCAAATGATGTTTAAAAGTATGACATAGGTTGGGTGTGGTGGCTCATGCTTGTAATCCCACTGCTTTGGGAATCTGAGATGGGCGGATTGCTTGAGCCCAGGAGTTTGAGACCAGCCTGGGCAACATGTATCCACCGTTAAATTATTGTGAGAAATAGTTTCACCTCCATGAGATTATTCTATTTCAGCTCTTAAGCCCTTTCTGCCTTTCCCCAAGCCCTTGGCAACTACTGTTTTGTACTATTTCTATAGTTTTGCCTTTTCTGGGATGTCTTATAATTGAAATCATATAGTATGTAGCCTTTCTGGACTAGCTTCTTTCACTTAGCAATATACATTTAAGGGTCCTTTACATCATTTTGTGGTTTGCTAGCTCATTTATTTTTATTGCTAAATAATCCATTGTATGGATATATTCCAGTTTGTTTATCCATTCACCTGTCAAAGGACATCCTTGGTTCCAGGTTTTGGTGATTACGAATAAAGCTGCTTATAATCATTGTGTGCAGGTTTTGTGTAACTATAAGTTTTTAAATCAATTTGGATAATCAAATACCTCAGCAATGTGATTGCTGGATCATATGGTAGGCCTGTATTTAGCTTTGTAAGAAACTGCCAAACTGCCTTCCAAAAGGGCTGTTTTATTTTGTATTTCCATCAGCAGTGAATGTTAGAGTTCCTGTTCGCATTTTCATTCGTATTTGGTATTGTCAGTTTTTTTGATTGTAGCTATTCTAATAGGTGTGGATTGGTATCTCATTGCTATTTCTTTCTTTTTTTTTTTTTGTTTTTGAGACGGAGTCTCCATTTGTTAACCAGGCTGGAGTGCAATGGCGAGATCTCGGCTCACTGCAACCTCTGCCTCCTGGGTTGAAGTGATTGTCCTGCCTCAGCCTTCTGAGTAGCTGGGACTATAGGCGCATGCCACCATGCCCGGCCATTTTTTGTATTTTTAGTAGAGATGGGGTTTCACCATGTTGGCTAGGCTAGTCTCGATCTCCTGACCTCATGATCCACCTGCCTCAGCTTCCCAAAGTGCTGGGATTACAGGTGTAAGCCACCATGCCTGGCCTAAGTTTTTCCTTTTTAAAGTTAGCTTTATTGAGATATAATTTACACACCATAAAATTCACCAATTTAAAGGGGGGTATCTTGATGTTTTCCAGTAGATTTACAGTTTTGCAATCATTAGCATAATCTAATTTTAAAGGATTTTAATCACCCCAGAAAGAACCATTGTATACATTAGCAGTCACTCTCCAATCCCTCTCTCCTGGACCCCTAGCCCTAGATAACCACTAATTTATTTTCTGACTTTATAGATTTACCTATTTTGGACATTTCATAGAAATGAAGTCATACAATATGTGATCTTTTGTAACTGGCTTCTTTCATTTAGGATAGTGTTTTTCAGGTTCACCTATGTTGTAGTATGTATCACTCCTTCATTCCTTTTTTAAAAAATTCTGACAAAATTAACATAACATGAAATTTGCCATTTTAACCACTTAAAATATGTAATTCAGTGGTGTTCGGCACATTCACAATGTCATGCAAGTATTACCACAAACTAAATGTTCCCAAACGTTTTCATCATCCTAAAAGGAAACGCTGTACCCGTTAAGCAGTCTCTCCCCATTCCCAGTCTCCTAGTCCCTGCTGCCCAGTAATCTGTTTTCTCTCTCTGTGGATTTGCCTATTGTGGATATTCCTACAAGTGGACTTAGGCAATGTGTGACCTTTTGTGTCCAGCTTCTTCGACTTAGCATAATGCTTTCTAGGTCCAGTAGTACTTCATTCCTTTTTATGGCTGAATAATACTACGTTCTATAGAAACACCACATTTTGTTTATCATGACTTGATAGGCATTTACATTGCTTCTACCTTTTGGCTATTCTGAGTAGTGCTGCTATGAATATTTACATACAGATTTTTTTGTTTGTTTTTGAGACGAAGTCTAGCTCTGTCACCCAGACTGGAGTACAGTGGCACAGTCGTCGCTCACTGCAGCCTCGACCTTCCAGGCTCAATTATCTTCCTGCCTTAGCCTCCTGAGTAGCTGGGACTGTGGGTTTGCACCACCACATCTGGGTAATTTTTAAAAATTTTTTTGTATAGTCAGGGTCTTACTGTGTTGTCCAGGCTGGTCTTTTTTCTTCTTTTTTTGAGATGGAGTCTTACTCTGCCGCCCAGGCTGAAGTGCAGTGGCGCAATCTCGGCTCACTGCCGCCTCCGCCTCCCGGGTTTAAGCGATTCTCCTGCCTCAGCCTCCTGAGTAGCTGGGATTACAGGTGCACACCATCACACCTGGCTAAATTTTGTATTTTGAGTAGAGATGGGATTTTGCCATGTTAGCCAGGCTGGTCTTGAACTACTGACCTCAGGTCATCCACCCACCTTGGCCTCCCAAAGTGCTGGGATTACAGGCGTGAGCCTTCTCGCCTGGCCTGCTTGTTTTTAATTTGTCCTATCTCTTGTTTGTTCCTTTTTGGATTACTTGAGTATATTTTAGTATTCCATTTATCTTCACATTGGCTGATTAGCTATATGTCTTGATTTTTAAAAGTAGTTGCCTTGGCCGGGCGTGGTGGCTCACACCTGTAATCCCAGCACTTTGGGAGGCTGAGGCGGGAGGAGCATGAGGTCAAGAGATCGAGACCATCCTGGCTAACACAGTGAAACCCCATCTGTCCTAAAAATACAAAAAATTAGCCGGGCGTGGTTGCACGTGACTGTAGTCTCAGCTACTTGGGAGGCTGAGGCAGGAGAATCGCTTGAACCCGGGAGGTGGAGGTTGCAGTGAGCGGAGATCGTGCCACTGCACTCCAGCCTGGGTGACAGAGCGAGACCCCACCTCAAAAAAAAAAAAAAAAGTAGTTGCCTTAGGGTTTATAATATACACCTTTAACTTTATGTATAACCTGGGACTCTTAATTCAGTACAGTTTCGTTCTCCCCATCTGTGTCTAATTTTCCTCACAAAGGGATAATGCTAGACCTCCCTTACTGGGTTGTTATGAATATGAAATGAATTACTAGATGTGAAATACTTTGAGCACAGCTCATGTTTTTATTCATATCAAGAATAATAGAAAAAAACTTTATTAGAAGTTCTTCAGTTTGCAGATCGCAGGTTTCTTTTCTAACCTACCTTAGCTGTCTGCATGCATAATCACACCCTAGACTAGTAGTTCTCAATTCTGGCTGTATATTCTAAATGGGCAGCTTAAAAAATATTGATAGTAGTGGGCCACCTTCAGAAATTCATATTTTATTGGTCTGATTTTTTTAAAAAAGTGTTCCAGGGCCAGGTGCGGTGGCTCACGCCTGTAATCCCAGCACTTTGGGAGGCCGAGGCGGGCAGATCACGAGGTCAGGAGATCGAGACCATCCTGGCTAACAAGGTGAAACCCCGCCTCTACTAAAAACACAAAAATTAGCTGGGCATGGTGGGAGGCACCTGTAGTCCCAGCTACTCGGGAGGCTGAGGCAGGAGAATGGTGTGAACCCGGGAGGCGGAGCTTGCAGTGAGCCAAGATGGCGCTACTGCACTCCTGCCTGGGCGACAGAGTAAGACTCAGTCTCAAAAAAAAAAAAATGTGTTCCAGGTGGCTCCAATGTATAGTCAGGACGGAGAACCATTACCCTAGACTTTATCACCATGATCTGTAACTTAAAAAATTGTAAGCATTGGGCCGGGCGCGGTGGCTCACTCCTGTAATCCCAGCACTTTGGAAGGCCGAGGCGGGTGGATCACGAAGTCAGGGGTTCGAGATTAGCCTGGCCAACGTGGTGAAACCCCGTCTCTACTAAAAATACAAAAAACTAGCCAGGCGTGGTGGCATGTGCTTGTAATCCCAGCTACTCAGAAGGCTGAGGCGGGAGAATCGCTTGAACCCAGGAGGTGGAGGTTGCGGTGAGCAGAGATCATGCCATTGCACTCCAGCCTGGACGACAGAGCGAGACTCCGTCTCAAAAAAAAAAAAAAAAATTGTAAGCATCTAACTCTGACCTCCACTTCCTTTTCTACTAACTCACATACTCCAGTACCCTATTTTGATATTTCTTGGAATCCAATTTTTTTTTTATTTTTTCAGTTCTCTCACTGGACATTTCTTGGATTCCATCAAGACCTCCAGGCCAGTAGCTACGCCATTTTTTCACTGTCCATCATTCTCCTCATATATTCTCTTCTTAACTTATCCAATTATATTGATTCATTTAATAAAAATTTCAGTAAGTATTAGTGTTCTGTATGTACCATTCTGTGGTGTTGAGTGATAAAACTCTTGTTCTTCTCTTCCTTCATTGTAATCAAGGCAAAACTTCAACCCCGATTACACTCAGTTCTTTGTCAACTCTGTAATTCCTTGAACCTGAGCAGTGGAGTGTGGCTGGAGAAAACAAATACGCTAGCTCGTCTCACTTTAAATTTATGACCACACATATCTATTGTGCCTACACCATTGCTGTGTCTGCTTGTCCTTCTACTTTGTTTGCTAAGAAGACTATGTAATCTCTTTCCTTCTAGACTCTTAGCTGTTTTTTAGAAAATTATTATTATTTTTTATAATAGAGATGAGGTCTCGCTATGTCAAGCAATCCTCCCACCTTGGCTTCCCAAAGTGTTGGGATTGCAGGTGTGAGCCACTGCACTGGGCATGTTTGTTTGTTTATTTATTGATTTAAGTATTGCACATAGTGTTTTTATTCTCTGCAGCGAAAATGATTCCTACTTGCAGACCACTTTTTTTTTTTTAAGCCAACTCATCTATGTTCATCTATGTTGTGACTTCTTGTGTATTTAAGGATTTTGCTTCTGGGTTATCTTCGATATTTTTGTTTTTGTTTGTTTGTTTTATTTTTATTTTATCTAGACCTGCACATCCCCTGTATTATTTTTCCTGGCGAATCATTTTTCTTAGCATATGAACATGCTATAACTCTTAATTCTCTAACTTCAATAGGGATGGCAAAAGGAAAAAAACAAAAACAGCTCATTTCTCACACACACCTTTCCTTCTCATTTATAGCAAAATTTGTCAGAAAGAATTGCTCATTCTCAGTATCTCTACCCTCTAAGATTCCATTTTTTCCCCAACTCTTTCCAGGCTGGCTCTTTTGCACTCCCACCAACTGAAATCACTCTTGTCAGTGTTCTCAATCCGTAAATTACTCTGCCTGTCATCAGCATTTGACACAAGTGATTGATCAGTTCCTGTTTTATAAAAACTTTACTTGGTTTTCTGGATGCCATATATTATCTTTATTCTTTCCTAATTTATGGCAGCTCCTTCTCGGTCTTATTTTCTAGCTTCTCTTTCCTCACCTGAAGTTTGTTGTATCACACCTAGACTTAGGCTTTGTAACTTTTCTTTATCAGTATTCGTCAGTTAGTATTTGACAATTCTTTGAGTATCTTATCTAATGCTATGGCTGTAAGCATTATTAATTTGCTCTTGACTCAGGCCTTGACATGCCTTGACATCTTCATTGAACTCCACACTATAATGGACTGCTTTTTCGTTTTTCAAGACAGGGTCTCATTCTGTCACCCAGGCCGAAATACAGTGATGCAATTATAGCTCATTGTAACCTTGAATTCCTGGTCTCAAGTAATCCTCCTGCCTCAGCCTCCTGAGTAGCTAGGACTTTAGGTGCATACTACCACACCTGGCTAATTTTATTGTAGTTATTGAGACTGGGTCTTGCTGTGTTGCCCAGGCTGGTCTCGAACACCTGGCCTCAGGCATCCTCCCACCTTGGCCTCCCAAAGGACTAGGTTTATAGGTGTAAGCCACTGTGCCCTGCCAGGACTGCCTTTTCTACATCTCTTGAATATTTTAGTAGGCATGTCAATTTTAACTTGTCCAAAAAAGAATTATTGGTTTATTTCCTCAAACCTACCCTTTTCTCAGACTTTACTCTCTCAGTAAATGGTACTATCGTTTACCCACTTAAGCCACAAGCTGGAAATCATACTTGCTTTCTCTTTTTTCCCCTTTTACTTCCAATCCACCAGCAGCAGCTTTACCTTCAAACTATATCCCCAATATTATAATTTCTTGCTGCTCCCACTCCTTTGCCCTAATATAAGCCATTTTTATTATCTCTTTTCTGGGTTATTTTAATTGCCTTCTATCTGCTCTCCCTTGCTTCCATTCTTTTCTCCTTCTAGTTTGTTCTCACAACAGCTAAAATGAAAAACATAAATGGTAACATGTCACTCTCATTTGAAGGCCCCTCATAGTTTTTCATCATATTTAGAAAAAAATCCAAAGACCTAGTCTTAGCCTAAAAGGCCTTACTTCTTTTCTCCTTCACTGACCTCATCTCCTACTACTCTAAGCTCAAGAGCCACTGGCCTTGCTGTTCCTCAAAGACCAAGTTACTTACTGCTTTAAGGCTTTTATTAATTGACTTTTTTCCTGCCTGGAATGTTCTTCCTTTATTGTCATATGATTTGCTTGCTCCTTCATGCCACTTAGGCCCCTGCTTAGATCTTACTTCTTTTTTTTTTATTTTGAGATGGAGTCTTACTCTTGTTGCCCAGGCTGGAGTACAATGGCACGATCTTGGCTCACCGCAACCTCCGCCTCCTGGGTTCAAGCGATTCTCCTGCCTCAGCCACCTGAGTAGCTGGGATTACAGGCATGCGCCGCCTCGCCTGGCTAATTTTTGTATTTTTAGTAAAGATGGGGTTTCTCCATATTGGTCAGGCTGGTCTCGAACTCCCGACCTCAGATGATCTGCCCGCCTCAGCTTCCCTAAATGCTGGGATTACAGGTGTGTGCCTCTGCGCCTGGCTAGATCTTACTTATTTACTTCTTCAGAGAGGTATTCCCTGGTGACACCATAAAAATAGGCCCCTCCCTTCCACTTTCTCTCTGTTTTGATTTACTTTTCTTCATAGCACCTATGGTTTTTTTTTTTTGAGACCAAGTCTTGCTCAGTCACCTAGGCTGGAGTGTAGTGGCACGATCTCAGCTCACTGCAGCCTCCGCCTCCTGGTGATTCTCGTGCCTCAGACTCCAGAGTAGCTGGGATTACAGGCGTGAGCCACTACGGCCAGCTAATTTTTGTATTTTTAGTAGAGATGGGGTTTCACCATGTTGGTCATGTTGGTCCCGAACACCTGACCTTGGTTGATCCACCCTTCTCGGTCTCCCAAAGTGCTGGGATTACAGGTGTGAGCCACCATGCCCGGCCACACAGCATCTATGTTTTTGAAAATATAAGTTTACTAATTATTTTCCAACCGTAATATAAGCTCCATAAAGACAAGTATTTGGTATTTTCATTGCTTTAATTCCCAGCATTTAAAACGATGTTTGAGACCCTGTCATAAGTTATTAATATACCAGTAGTAATTTTTGTTTTTTTTTTTTGAGATGAAGTCTCGCTCTTATCCCCCAGGCTGGAGTGCAATGGCACGATCTTGGCTCACTGCAACCTCCACCTCCTGGGTTCAAATGATTCTCCTGCCTCAGCCTCCCGAGTAGCTGGGATTACAGGTGCCTGCCACCATGCCCGGCTAATTTTTTTTGTATTTTTAGTAGAGACAGGGTTTCACCATGTTGGCCAGGCTAGTCTTGAGCTCCTGATCTCAAGTGATCCACCTGCCTCGGCCTCCCAAAGTGCTGGGATTATAGGTGTAAGCCATCGCGCCTGGCCACCAGTAGTAATTTTTTAACAAACACAAGAACTCCTTTCCCTTTAGCCACAAAACAGTAAAATAGTTATGAATAATCCAAGCAAAAAAGTGTGCAAGACCTGAGTGAAGAAAATCAACAAATTCATTTTATGTGTGTGTGTTTGTTTTTGACATGGGGCCTTGCTGTTTCACAGGCTATAATGCAGTGGCACTTACGGCTCAAACAATCCTCTTGCCTCAGCCTCCTGTGTAGCTGGGATCACAGGCATGTGCCACAACACCCAGCTAATTTTAAATTTTTTTGTAGGGGCTAGGTCTCACTTTGTTGCCCAGGCTGGTCTCAAACTCCTGGGGTCAAATGATCCTCCCACTTCAGCCTCCCAAATTGCTGGGATTGCAGGCATGAGCCACTGTGCCTAGCCAGGTCAAGATTTTTTTCTCAACTCTTTATGTCAAAATACTGTCTTCAAAAGTTATATGTGGCTGGGCGCTGTAGCTAATACCTGTAATCCAGTGCTTTAGGATGTCAAGGTGGGACGATTGCATGAGGCCAGGAGTTTGAGATCAGCCTGGGAAATGTAGCAGGACCTCCATCTCTACTGTACTAGTCTGTTCTCACATGGCTGACATACCCAAGTGACTCACGCCTGTAATCCCAGCACTTTGGGGGGCTGAGGCGGGTAGATCACCTGAGGTCAGGAGTTCAGGACCAGCCTGACCAATATGGTGAAACCCCCATCTCTACTAAAAATACAAAAATTAGCTGGGCATAGTGGCGTGCACCTGTAATCCCAGCTACATGGGAGGCTGAGACAGGAGAATTGCTTGAACCCAGGAGGTGGAGGTTGCAGTGAGTAATTTTTGTAGTTTTTGTAGAAATGGGGTTTCGCCACGTTGACCAGGCTGGTCTTGAACTCCTAATCTCAAGTGATCTGCCCCCGCTCAGCCTCCCAAAGTGTTTAGATTACAAACGTGAGTCGCTGCACCCGACCCCAAAGTCTTAACTCATTTTGACATTAACTCAAAAGTCCACAGTCCAAAGTCTCATCTGAGACAAGGCAAGTTTCCTCCGCCGATTAGCTTGTAAAATCAAAAGCAAGTTAGTTACTTCCTGGATTCAATGGGGGCACAGGCATTGGGTAAATACAGCCATTTCAAATGGGAGAAATTGGCCAAAATGAAGGGGCTACAGGCCCCATGCAAGTCTGAAATCCAGCGGGGTGGTCAAGTCTTAAAGCTCCACAATGATCTCCTTTGACTCCATGTCTCACGTCCAGGTCACACTGCTGCAAGAAGTGGGTTCCCATGGTCTTGGGCAACTCCACCCCTGTGGCTTTGCAGGGTACCTAGCCTCCCTCCGGTGTGCTTTCATGGGCTGGTGATGAGTGTCTGCAGCTTTTCCAGGAGAACGATGCAAACTGTGGGAGGATCTACTATTCTGGGGTATGGAGGACGGTGACCACCTTCTCACAGCTCCGCTAGGCAGCACCCCAGTGGGGACCCTTTGTGGGGGCTCCCACCCCACATTTCCCTTCCACACTGCCCTAGCAGAGGTTCTCCATGAGGGCCCCGCCCCTGCAGCAAATTTCTTCCTGCCCATCCAGGCATTTCCATACATCCTCTGAAATCTAGGCGGTGGTTCGCAAACCCTAGTTCTTGACTTCTGTGCACTCACAGGCTTAACATCATGTGGAAGCTTCCAAGGCTTGGGGCTTGCACCCTCTGAAACCATGGCCTGAGCTGTACCTTGGCTCATTTTAATCACAGCTGGAGTGGCTGGGATGCAGAGCACCAAGTCCCTAGGCTGCACACAGCAAGGGGATGCTGGGCCCAGCCCACAAAACCACTTTTTCTTTCAAGGCCTCTGGGCCTGTGATGGGAGAGGCTGCTGTGAAGACCTCTGACATACCTTGGAGACATTTTCCCCCTCTGTCTTGGGGATTAACATTCCACTCTTCGTTACTTATGTAAATTTCTGTAGCTGGCTTGAATTTCTCCTCAGAAAATGGGATTTTCTTTTCTATTGCATTGTCAGGATGCAAATTTTCTGAACTTTTATGCTCTGCTTCCCCTGTAAAAGTGAATGCTTTTAAGAGCACCCAAGTCACTTCTTGAAAGCTTTGCTGCTTAGAAATTTCTTCTGCCAGATACCCTAAATCATCTCTCTCAAGTTCAAAGTTCCACAAATCTCTAGGACAGGAGCAAAATGCTGCCAGTCTGTTTGCTAAAACGTAACAAGAGTCACCTTTGCTCCAGTTTCCAACAAGTTCCTCATCTCCATCTGAGACCACTTCAGCCTGAACTTTATTGTCCATATCACGATCAGCATTTTGGTCAAAGCCACTTAACAAGTCTCTAGGGAGTTCCAAACTTTCCCACATTTTCCTCTCTCCTTCTGAGCCCTCCAAACTGTTCCAGCCTCTGCCTGTTACCCAGTTCGAAAGTCGCTTCCACATTTTCGGATATCTTTTCAGCAGTGCCCCACTCTCCTGGTACCAATTTACTGTATTAGTCTGTTCTCACGCTGCTAATAAAGGCATACCTGAGACTGGGCAATTTACAAAGGAAAGGGGTTTATTGGACTTACAGTTCCATGTGGCTGGGGAGGCCTCACAATCATGGCAGAAGGCAAGGAGGAGCAAGTCACGTCTTATGTGAATGGCAGCAGGCAAATAGAGAGCTGGTGCAGGGAAACTCCCTTTTCTTTTAAAACCATCAGATCTCGTGAGACTTATTCACTTCCATGAGAACAGCATGGGAAAGACCCTCCCCTGTGATTCAATTACCTCTCACCAGGTTCCTCCCATGACATGTGGGAATTGTGGGAGTTACAATTCAAGATAAGATTTGGGTGGGAACACAGCCAAACCGTATCATCTACATTAAAAAAAAGATTAACTGGGTGTGGTGCTGCACATCTGTAGTCATAGCTACTCATCAGGAGGCTGAAATGGGAGGATTGTTTGAGCCCAGGAGTCTAAGGCTGTGGTGAGCTATAATGGCACCACTCTACTCTAGCCTGAGTGACAGAGTGAGATCCTGTCTCTTAAAATAAAATAATTATTTGGATTAATTTTTCATTCCTTTCAATGTGGTTGTGTTATCAGTTTGATAGCTTCATTGGCTCACATATCTTTATTGGTAAAGCTAGGCATTTAACCAAATCAGCGTGTGTATACACACACACACACACACACACACACACATACTTTTTTTTTTTGGCGTAGTCTTCCTCTGTCACTCAGGCTAGGGTGCAGTGGCACTATCTTGGCTCACTGCAACCTCTGCCTCCGGGGTTCAAGTAATTCTCATGCCTCAGCCTTCCAAGTATCTAGGACCACAGGCACGAGCCGCCACACCTGGCTAATTTTTTGTATTTTTAGTAGAGATGGGGTTTTGCCGTGTTGGCCAGGCTGGTCTCAAAACTCCTGACCTCAAATGATCTGCTCCCTGTGACCTCCCAAAGTGCTGGGATTACAGGCGTGAGCCAGCATACCCAGCCAGTCAGTATATTTCATAATGGAAATTAAAAGTGATTCCTCTCTTGACTTTTAACCTTTAGATGCATATGCCTTCTTACGTAGTGTTGTTTGGACTTCTTAATGTTTAGAAGTTTTTAATTAGTTGCCAATATTTTAAAACTTGGACATTTATATAAAAATCCTGATTTCTTTAAAAAGGTAGAAAGGAAGCTCTGATTTTTCCAAGTTCATTTGGCAACTATTGGATGGTTCCTAGTAGTAGTGGCAGCCTGCATTCTCTCTAGTTCCCACAACTCTTAATATCATGCCCAACGCCTTTTAGGCATTTGTTATTTGCATCCCTTCTTTATAACCCTCTTATGTATAAAACTTTCAGTGGCAGGTACAATGGTAGAGAATTAAACTAACTGCCTTGTGTTCTGAAAAAGGAACTGATTTTATCTGAAATGATTTCAGTTTTGTAGTTCTGTGACCCAGTCAACATGACTTTGATAATGCTTTCTAATGGTAGTTACCAAGCCCCTATTTTAAATTGCTTAAATGTAGCAAATAGCTTTGATAAAACTGTACTTTCTTTGTGGTTTAACAAAGTTCATCATTCATTTTGCATGGTTTGGGTTACCAGGGAACATACAGCTGTTTTTGAACCTTTAAAAAATATCTTTTATTACAATGAGAGGAATTACATGAACTGCATTTAGTTTTTTTTATCTTTTTTTTGAGACAAGGTCTCACTCTGAGCGACCTAACCCAGTGCATTTAGTCTTGTAATTGAAGTTAATAGTGTTTTGTTGATATTAATGGCATTTATTAGAATGTGTGCTGTTCTAAACAGTAAGGTGGCTGAGCAAGGTGGCTCATTCCTGTAGTCCCAGTGCTTAGGGAGGCTGAGGCAGGTGGATTGCTTGAGCCCAGAAGTTCAGAACCAGCCTACGCAACATAGTGAGATACCATGTCTACAAAAAATACAAAAATTATAGTTGGAAAATGAATTTTAATTGTTAAACTGTATATCTAAGTTGATTTTTACAAGTCGTTTTATTTTTTCTTCAAAAGCTTTTGTTAATACAAAGTATCAATATGGGTATGGCGAAAGAGAACTCTTGTACCCTATTGGTGGGAATGTAAATTGGAACAGCCATTATGGAGCACAATATGGAGGTTCTTCTCAAAATTAAAAATAGAACTACTGTACAATTCAGCAATCCCACTTCTAGGTATATATCCAAAGGAAGTGAAATCAGTAGATTGAAGAGATATCTGTACCCCCATGTTAATTGTAGCATTATTCACAATAGCTGAGATGTGGAAGTAACGTTAGTGTCCATCGACGGATGAATGTGTAAAGAAATTGTGGCATACACACACACAGCAGAATACTATTTAGCCATAAAAAGAAGGAAATCCTGTCATTGGTGACATTATGGATGAAACTGGGAGATATTATGCTAAGTGAAATAAGCCAGATACAGAAAGACAAATATTGTATAGTCTCATTAATATGTGGAATCCAACAAGTTGAACTCATAAAAGCAGAGCATACAAGGGTGGTTGCTAGTGCCTGGGGAGGAGGTAGGGGAAATAGGGAGGGGATGTAATGTACAGCATGGTTACTATAGTTGATTATACTGTATTGCTTACTTGAAATTTGATAAAGAGAGCAAATTGTAAGTGACCCATGGTCACTATGGGTGGTGGTGTTGATTGTGTTAATTTGACTGTGGTAGTCAGTACATAATGTGTATATATATACCAAATCATCATTTTATATACCTTGAATGTTATATATATATTTTTTCAATTACATGTTTTAAAATTAAAAAGTTGGCCGGGACCGGGTGTGGGGGCTCGTGCCTGTAACCCCCGCACTTTGGGAGGCTGAGGCGTGTAGATCATCTTGAGGTCAGGAGTTCAGGACCAGCCTGGCCAATATGGTGAAACCCTGTCTGTACTAAAAATACAAAAATTAGCCAGGTGTGGTGGTGGTGGAGGGGGGGCCGCCTGTAATTCCAGCGACTCGGGAGACTGAGGCAGGAGAGTCACTTGAACCCCGCTGGGGTGGAGGTTGCAGTGAGCCAAGATTGTGCCGTTGCACTCCAGCCTGGGTGGCAAGAGCGAAACTCTGTCTCAGTCTCAGTGGCTCAGGAGGTGGAGGCTGGAGGGCCACTTGAGGCCAGGAGTTCAAGACCAGCTTGGGTAGCATAGAGAGACCCTGATCTCTACAAAAGTTAGAAAAAATTAGCTGGATATGGTGGTGCGTGCCTGTAGTCCCAGCTACTCAGGAGGCTGAGCTAGAAGGATCACTTGAGCCTGGGAGTTTGAGGCTGAAGTGAGCTATGATTGTGCCACTGCATTCCAGCCTGGGCAACAGAGTGAGATCCTGCCTCCAAAAAAAAAAATTTTTTTTTAATGTAAAAACCATCAAAATACTGTTATCTACACATCACTAATGTTTACAATCAACAGGTTTATACATTTATTTTAGGTAAATCTAAAGGCATCCTATATATACATTTTATGTGAGAGGAAAGTATTAATAAAATCTGAAATTGAAAAGTAGCTTTTATTTCATACAGACTGGTTTTTATCAGGAATGAAGAAGGGTAATTTTTTAATGCTTTTTTTATAATGATAAAGGAATTAGTTGAAAGGATATAACAATTCTTAATGTTTATGCCTTTAATAACAGTTTCAAAATACATGAAGCAAAAACTGATAGACTGAAAGGAGAAAAAGACAAATCCATAATTTTAGTCAGAGATTTTAATGCCATTCTCGTACTAGTTGATAGCACAAGTGGACAGAAAACCATCAAGGATGTAGTAGACTTGTTACAACACTATTTACTTGACTTGATTTATAGAGCCCTCTGTGCAACAACAGAGAGACATTCTGCTAAAGTGCACATGGAATATTCATCAAGACAGACCACATTCAGGCTGAGCATGGTGTCTTAACTCCTGTAATCCCAGCACTTTGGGAGGCCAGGGTGGGAGGATTGCTTGAGGCCAGGAGTTCAAGACCAGGCTGGGCAACATAGCAAGACCCTGTCTCTGCAAAAAAATAAATGAAAAAAAAAAAAAGACCAGATTCTTAGCCATAAAACAAGTCTTGATAACTATGAAAGAATTTGGGTTATACAAAGTACATTCTCTGACCATAAGGCATTTAAGTTAGAAATCAGTAACAGAAAGATTCTTGGAAAATTCCCAAGTACTGAATTTGGAAACTGAAAAACATACTTTATTTTTAAAAAAATTTTTCTTTTTTTTCTTTTCTGTTTTTTTTTTTGTTTTTTTTTTTTTTTTTGAGATGGAGTTTCGCTCTTGTTGCCCAGGCTGGAGTGCAAGGGCGCAATCTCTGCTCACTGCTCACTGCCATCTCCACCTCCTGAGTTCAAGCGATTCTCCTGTCGCAGCCTCCCGAGTAGCTGGGATTACAGGCATGCGCCACCACACCCGGCTAATTTTGTACTTTTAGAAGAGAGAGGTTTCTCTGTGTTGGTTAGGCTGGTCACGAGCTCCCAACCTCAGGTGATCTGCCCGCCTCAGCCTTCCAAAGTGCTGGGATTACAGGCGAGAGCCACCACGCCTGGCACTTGCTTTTCTTTAAATTTTATTTTTTTACTCTTTAAAATTAAATCTGTGTCTTTTTTATGTTATTTTTTATTTTAATTTGTAGTTTTTTAGTAAGAAACCTCATCCGAGAAAAAATACTTTAAAATTATCTATTGGGCAAAGAAAATATTTTTTAAAAAAGGAAATAAAACAAGGCCGGGTGCAGTGGCTCACGCCTGAAATCCCAGCACTTTGGGAGGCCGAGGCAGGTGGATCACGAGGTCTGGAGATCGAGACCATCCTGGCTAACATGGTGAAACCCTGTTGCTACTAAAAATACAAAAAATTAGCCGGGCGTGGTGGCAGGCGCCTGCAGTCCCAGCTACTCAGGAGGCTGAGGCAGGAGAATGGTGTGAACCTGGGAGGCGGAGGTTGCAGTGAGCCGAGATCACGCCACTGTACTCCAGCCTGGGCGACAGAGTGAGACTCCGTCTCAAAAAAAAAAAAGGAAATATATTTTGATCCAGGTGAGGTTTCAGAAAACAGAGTGAAGAAAAGGAAAAAAAGGAAAAAAGAATTAAAGTTTAAAAAAGAAAACGGCTATAAAAAAATATTCTGAACAGAATAAAAAGAAGGCCGGGTGCGGTGGCTTGCACCTGTAATCCCAGCTACTCAGGAGGCTGAGGTGTGAGAATCGCTTAAACCCAGGAGGCGGAGGTTGCAGTGATCCAAGATCACATCACTACACTCCAGCCTAGGTGACAGAGTGACACTCTGTCTCAAAAAAAAAAAAAAAGAAAACACAACATATCTAGATTTGTGGGGTACCACTAAAACATTGCTTAGGAAATGATTTGTAGCACTAAATAACTAAATTAGAAAAGATCTCAAATCATTGACTTCAGCTTCCACCTTAAAAAACTTGAAAAAGAAGAGCAAATTAAACTCTACATAAGCAGAGAAAAGAAAATAATAAAGATCAAAGTAAAATTCAAAGAAATATGAAACAGAAAAGCAAGAGAAAAATCAATGAAACCAAATGTGATTTTTAAAATGGTTAAACTTCTAACCAGGCTGATCAGACATAAAAGAGAAGATACAAATTACTGATATCAGAATTAGAGAGGTGACATCACTACATATTCTAAAGACACTAAATGGATAGTAATAGAATATTATGAACAACTTTATGCCAATAAATTTGACAACTTAGATGGAATGACAAATTCCTTGAAAGACACAAACTACAAAAGTTTATTCAGGAAGAAATAGGGGCTGGGCAAGGTGGCTCATTCCTGTAATCCCAGCACTTTGGGAGGGGGAGAATCGCTTGAGCCCAGGAGTTTTAGACCAGCCTGGGAAACATGGTGAGACCTCATCTCCAGAAAAATAAATTAACTGGATGTGGTGGTTCATGTCCACGGTACCAGCTACTTGAGATGCTGAGGTGGGAGGAACACTTGAGCCTGGGAGGTTGAGACTGCAGTGAGCTGTCATTGTGTCACTGCACTCCAGCCTGGGCAACAGAGTAAGACCCTGTCTCAAAAAATCAATCAATCAATCTATCTATCTATCAATCAAGAAGAAATAGGCAAGCCAAATAGCCTCGTATGTGTTAAAGGAATTGAAATCATAGTTTAAAAATCTACCCGCATAAAGATCCAGACTCATGTAATTTCACAGGCAAATTCTATCAGACGTTTAAGGAAGAAATAACACCATTTCTCTACAACCTTTTCCAGAAAATTGAAGAGGAGGAAATTTTTCCCAACTTGTTCTGTCATGTTAGCATTATCTTGATACCAGAACCAAAGATATTACAGGAAAACTATATGCCAGTATTCCTCGTTAACATATATAAAATTTCACACAAAATTGTAGCAAATAGAATTCAAGAACATATAAAAAGGATGACAGATCATGACCCAAGTGGGGTTTATGCCAGAAATTCAGGATTGATCTATAACTTGAAAATCAATGTAATTTACCATATTAACAAATAAAAGAAAAGCCATAATGATCTCAGTAGATGCAGAAAAAGTGCTTGATAAATTCTAATATCCATTCTATTTTCTTTAAATTTTAAGTTTTTTTTTTTAAAGACAGATTCTTGCTCTGTTTCCAGGTTGGAGTGCAGTGGCGTGATCTCGGCTCACTGCAGCCTCTGCCTTCTGGGTTCAGGAGATTCTCCTGCCTCAGCCTCCAGAGTAGCTGGGACTACAGGTGCACGCCACCAGGCCCAGCTAATTTTTGTATTTTTATTAGAGACGGGGTTTCACCATGTTGGCCAGGCTGGTCTTGAACTCCTGACCTCAGGTGATTTGCCTGCCTCGGCCTCCCAAAGTGCTGGGATTACAGGTGTGAGCCACCCTGCCTGGCCTAAATTTTAAGTTTTTATGGGTACATAGTAGGTGTATATATTTATGGGATACATGAGATATTTTGATACAGGCATACAGTGTGTGTTCACATCAGGGTAAATGGAGTATCCATCACTTCAAGTGTTTATCATTTCTTTGTTCGAACATTCCAATGGTACTTTTAGTTATTTTAAAATATACAATAAATTATTGTTGACTGTAGTCATCCTGTTGTGCTATCAAATACTAGATCTTATTCATTCTAACCCTATTTTTGTATGCATTAACCGTCTCCATTCCGCCCCCGCCACCTCCCCACTGCCCTTTGCAGCGTCTGATAGCTATTATTCTATTTTCTGTTTCCATTAGTTTAATTGTTTTAAGTTGTAGCTCCCACAAATGAGTAAGTGAAGTGAAAACGTGAAGTTTGTGTTTCTGTGCCTGGCTTACTTTACTTAATATAATGACCTCCAGTTCTATCTATGTTGTTCTAAATGACACAATCTTGCTCTTTTTTATGGCTGAATAGTACTCCGTTGGGTATATATACCATATTTTCTTTTCTTTTTTCTTTTTTTTTTTTTTTTGAGATGGAGTTTTGCTCTTGTTGCCCAGGCTGGAGTGCAGTGGCGCGATCTTGGCTCACTGCAGCCTCCGCCTCCCAGGTTCAAGCGATTTCTCCTGCCTTAGCCTCCCGAGTAGCTGGGATTACAGGCATGTCCCACCACTCCTGGCTAATTTTGTATTTTTAGTAGAGACGGAGTTTCTCCATGTTGGTCAGGCTGGTCTCAAACTCCTGACCTCAGGTGATCCGCCCGCCTCGGCCTCCCACAATGCTGGGATTACAGGCGTCAGCCACCACGCCTGGCTCGAATGCCACATTTTCTTTATCCATTTGTCTGTTGTTGAATAACTTAGGGTTGCTAAGTTGAAGCAACTTAGGTTCCTTCCAAATCTTGGCTATTGTGAATAGTGCTGCAATAAACATGGGAGTGTCAGTATTTCTTTGATGTACTGATTTCCTTTCTTTTTGGTATATATCTATCATAGGGGATTGCTGGATTGTATGATAGTTCTGTTTCTAATTTTTTGAGGAACCTCTATACTATTCTCCATAGTTACCATACTAGTTTGTGTTCCCACTAACAGTGTATGAGGGTTCCCTTTTCTTCATATCCTTGCCAGCATTTGTTATTGCCTGTCTTTTGGACCTAAGCCATTTTAACTGGTGTGAGATGATATCTCATTTTAGTTTTGATCAAAGAAATTTTGATGCATTTCTCTGATGACCAGTGATGTAGAGCACCTTTTCGTATACCTGTTTGACATTCATATGTCTTCTTTTGAGAAAAACCTATTCAGATATTTTGCCTGTTTTTAAAACTGGATTATTAGATTTTTTTCCTGTAGAGTTGTTTGATGTCCTTATATGTTCTGGTTATGTTATGTTATGTTATGTTATGTTATGTTATGTTATTTTTGAGATGGAATCTTGCTGTGTCACCCAGGCTGGAATGGGGTGGCATGATCTCGGCTTACTGCAACCTCCACCTCCTGGGTTCAAGCAGTTCTCCCACCTCAGCCTCCCGAGTAGCTGGATCTACAGGTGTGTGCCATCACACCCGGCTAATTTTTGTATTTTTAGTAGAGACGGGGTTTCATTATGTTGGCCAGGCTGGTCTTGAACTCCTCACCTAGGTGATCCACCCGCCTTGGTCTCCCAAAGTGCTGTAATTACAGGTGTAAGCAACCATGCTCGGCCTATGTTCTGGTTATTAATACCTTATCAAATGGATAGTTTGCAAATATTTTCTCCCATCTGTAGGTTGTCTCTTCACTTTGTTGATTGTTTCCTTTGCTGTGCAGAAGCATTTTAACTTGATGTGATCCTATTTACCTATTTTTGCTTTGGTTACCTATGCTTTTGGGGTCGTAATCAAGAAATCCGGTCTGGATGACAGAGTGAGACCCTGTCTCAAAAAGAAAAAAGAAAGAGATCTTTCCCCAGACCAGTGTCCTGGAGAGTATCCCCAATATTTTCTTGTAGTAGTTTCATGGTTTGAGGTTTTAGACTTAAGTATTTGTCTTGATTTGATTTTTGTATATGGTGAGAAATAGGGATCTAGTTTCCTTCTTCTGCATATTGATATCTAGTTTTCCCAGCAATATTTGTTAAAGAGACTGTCCTTTCCTCAATGTCTGTTCCTACCACCTTTGTCAAAAATAAGTTCGTTGTAGATGTATGGATTTATTTCTGGGTTCTCTATTGTGTTCCATTGGTCTCTGTGTCTTATTTTAATGCCACTGACATGCTGTTTGGCTACTATAGCTCTAGTATAATTTGAAGTCAGATAATGTGATTCTTCCAGTTTTGTTTTTGCTCAGAATAGCTTTGACTATTCTGGGTCTTTTGTGGCTCCATATAAATTTTAGGATTTATTTTTCTATTTCTGTGGAAAATGTCATTGGTATTTTGATAGGGATTGCATTTAATCTGTAGATTGTGTAGTATGGACTTTTTTTTTTTTTTAAACAACTTTGAGTCTTTCAATCCATGGACATGGAATATCTTTTTCCTTTTTTTTGGAGATAGGGTCTCACACTATTGTACAGGCTGGAGTACAGTGGCACAATCACGGCTCACTGCAGTCTTGACCTCCTAGGCTCAAGAGATCTTCTCGCCTCAGCCTCCTCAGTACCTGAGGACTACAAGTGAATCCCACCAGGCCGGGCTAATTTTTTTTTTTTTACTCTTAGAGACAACTTCTTGCTATGTTGCCCAGCTTGGACCCATTGGCTCACTCAAGCAGTCTTCCCACCTTGGCTTTCCAACATGCTGGGATACAGACATGAGCCACCATGCCTGGTCTCTTTCCGTTTTTTGTGTGTGTGTTCTCTTTAATTTCTTGCATCAATTATTTATTGTTTTAGTTGTAGCAATTTTTTACTTCTTTGATTATTAGGTTAACCTTAACTTAGGTTAACTTATTAAGTACTTTATTTTATTTGTAGATACTGTAAATGGGAGTACTGTTTTCATTTCTTTTTCAGATGGGTCATTGTTGACATATGGAAATACTGATTTTTACTGATTTTTGTATATTGATTTTATATCCTGAAACTTTAGTGAATTTATTAGTTCTTTTTTTTTTTTTTTTTTTTTTTTTTTTTGAGACAAGTCTTGTTCTGTCGCCCAGGCTGGAGTGCAGTGGTGTGATCTCAGCTTACTGCAACCTCCACCTCCTGAGTTCAGGGGATTCTTCGACCTCAGCCTCCAGAGTAGTTGGCACTACAGGCGTGTGCCAGCATGCCTGGCTAATTTTTGTATTTTTAGTAGAGATGGGGGTTTCACCATGTTGGCCAGGCTGGTCTTGAACTCCTGACCTCAGGTGATCCACCCACCTCAGCCTCCCAGAGTGCTGGGATTAGAGGCGTGAGCCTCTGTGCCTGGCTGAATGTATTAGTTTTCATAGTTTTTGGTGGAGTCTTTACATTTTTCCAAATATATCATATCTTTTTTTTTTTTTGAGACAGTCACCCAGGCTGGAGTGTAGTGGTGCTATCTCGGCTCTCTGCAACCCCCACCTCCCAGGTTCACATGATTCTCATGCTTCAGCCTCCCAAGTAGCTGGGACTACAGGTGTGCACTCCCACACCCAGCTAATTTTTGTATTTTTAGTAGAGATGGGGTTTTGCCATATCGGCCAGACTGGTCTTTAATTCCTGGCCTCAAGTGATCCATCTGCCTCGGCCTCCCAGAGTGCTGGGATTACAGGTGTGAGCCACTGCTCCTGGCTACATTTTTGTATTTTTTGGTAGAGATGGGGTTTCACCATGTTGGCCAGGCTGGTCTCAAACTCCTGACCTCAAGTGATCCACCTGCCTTGGCCTCCCAAAGTGCTGGGATTACAGGTGTGAGCCACCATGCCTGGCCTCATATCATTTATAAATAAGAGTAATTTGACTAGTTCCTTTCCAATTTGGATGTCTTTATTTCTTCCTTATGTAATCGCTCTAGCTAGGACTTTCAGTACTATGTTGAATAACAGTATTGAAAGTGGGCATCCTTGTTGTGTTTCATATCTTAGAGGAAGGCTTTTAATATAATACTAAATGGGGAAAACAGTCTGTTATGGGTCTGTTGTATATAGCTCTT
Source organism: Homo sapiens (assembly GCF_000001405.40). NCBI lineage: Eukaryota > Metazoa > Chordata > Mammalia > Primates > Hominidae > Homo > Homo sapiens. The sequence goes on from NC_000009.12 coordinate 19,263,091, forward strand.
ACTGTGTTAAGGTATGTTCCTTCTATAACCAATTTTTGAGAGTTTTTGTCATGAAAGGATATTGAGTTTTATCAAATGCTTTTTCAACATCAATTGAAATGATCATATGGTTTTTGTCTTTTATTCTGTTGATAGGCTGTATCACATTGATCGATTTGTTTATTTGGAACTATCCTTGTCTCCCTGGTTTAAATCCCACAGGGTCATGTTGAATAATCTTTTTAATACGTTGTTGAATTTGGTTTGCTTGTTGTTTTTTGTTTGTTTGTTTATTTGTTTTTTTGAGACAGAGTTTCACTCTTGTCACCCAGGCTAGAGTGCAATGGCATGATCTCGGCTCACTGCAACCTCTGCCTCCTGGGTTCAAGCAATTTTCCTGCCTCAGCCTCCCAAGGAGCTGGGATTACAGGCGTGCGCCACCGTGCCCTGCTAATTTTTTTGTGTTTTTAGTAGAAACAAGGTTTCACCCTGTTGGCCAAGCTGGTCTTGAATTAGGTTTGCTATTGTTTTGTTGAGGAATTTTGCATCAATGTTCATTGGAGATAGTGGCCTGTAATTTTCTTCCCATTTTTTTTTTTTTTAAGACAGAATCTCGCTCTTGTCACCCAGGCTGAAGTGCAATGGCACGATCTGGGCTTGCTGCAACCTCTGCCTTCCGGGTTCAAGCGATTTTCTTGCCTCAGCCTCCCGAGTAGCTGGGGACTACAGGCGCCCACCACCACGCCCGGCTAAATTTTTTTTGTATTTTTGGTAGAGACAGGATTTCACCATGTTGGCCAGGCTGGTCTCGAACTCCTGACCTCAGGTGATCTGCCCGCCTTGGCCTCCCAAAGTGCTGGAATTACAGGTGTGAGCCACTGCGCCTGGCCAATTTTCTTTCTTTGATGTGTCTTTGTCTGGTTTTGGTAACAGGTTCATACTGGCCTTACAGAATAAGTTTGGAAGTATTCTGTTCACTGTTTTTCAGAATAATTTGAGTAGGAATGGTATTAGTTCTTTAAATCTTTGGTAAAATTCAGCAGTGAAGCCATTAGGTCCTGGGCTTTTCTTGGCTGGGAGACTTCTTACTACTGCTTCAATCTCATTTTGTTGTTGGTCTTTTCAGGTTTTGGATGTCAGTATGGTTCGGTTTTGGTAGGTTGTATGTTTCTAGGAATTTAGCAGTTTCTTCTACGTTTTCCAGTTTATTGGTATATAGTTGCTCATAGTAGTTCCTTTTTTTTTTTTGAGACGGAGTCTCACCCTGTTATCCAGGCTAGAGTGCAGAATGCAGTGGCGCAATTTCGGCTCACTACAACCTCCACCTCCCAGGTTCAAGTGATTCTCCTGCCTCAGCCTCTTAAATAGCTGGGATTACAGGTGCCTGCCACCATGCCTGGCTAATTTTTGTATTTTTAGTGGAGATGGGGTTTCACTATGTTGGCCAGGCTGGTCTTGAACTCCTCACCTCAAGTGATCCGCCTGCTTTGGCCTCTCAAAGTGCTGGGATTACAGGCGTTAGCCACCATGCCTGGCCAGTAGTTTCTAATGATCTTTTGAATTTCTGTGGTATTGCTTGTAATGTCTCATCTCTGATCTTATTTATTTGAGCCTTCTCTCTTTTTTTCTTAGTCTGGCTAAAGGTTTGTCCATTTTGTTTATCTTTTCAAAACACCAAGTTTTTTTTTCCTTTCATCTTTTGTGTTTTTTCTGTTTCAATTTGATTTATTTCTGCTGTGATCTTTTTCTTCTACTAATTTTGGGTTTGGTTTGCTTTTGCTTTTCTAATTCTTTAAGATTCATTTTTAGGTTGTTTATTTGAAGTTTTTCTACTTTTTTGATGTAGGCACTTTTGCTATAAACTTTCTTCATAGTACTGTTTTTGCTGTATCCTGTAGGTTTTAGTATGTTGTGTTTCCATTTTCATTTGTTTCAAGAAATTTTAAAATTTTCTTTCTTTTTTTGAGACAAGGTCTCACTCTGTCACCCAGGCAGGAGTGCAGTGGCACAATTACAGCCACTGCCACCTTGACCTCTTGGGCTCAGGAGATTCTCCCACCTCAGCCTCCTAAATAGCTGGAACTACAGGTTTACACCACCAGGCCTGGCTAAGTTACTGTATTTTTTTTTAGAGTTGAGGTTCTACCATGTTGTCCAGGCTGGTCTCGCACTCTGGGGCTCAAGCAGTCTGTCCCCCTTGCTCTCCCAAAATGCTGGGATTACAGGTGTAAGCCACTGTGCTCGGCCAATTTTTTAAATTTTCCTTCTGAATCTCTTCATTGACCCAGTGGTCATTTAGGAACATATTCTTTAATTTCCATGTGTTTACGTAGTTCCCAAAGTTCCTCTTGTTACTGATTTCTTTTTTATTTTTATTTATTTATTTATTTATTTTTTATTATACTTTAAGTTCTAGGGTACATGTGCACAACATGCAGGTTTGTTACATATGTATACATGTGCCATGTTGGTGTGCTGTACCCATTAACTCATCATTTACATTAGGTATATCTCCTAATGCTATCCACCCCTCCTCCCCCTACCCCACGACAGGCCCCGGTGTGTGATGTTCCCCACCCTGTGTCCAAGTGTTCTTATTGTTCAATTCCCACCTATAAGTGAGAACATGCGGTGTTTGGTTTTCTGTCCTTGCGATAGTTTGTTCAGAATGATGGTTTCCAGCTTCATCCATGTCACTACAAAGGACAAGAACTCAACCTTTTTTATGGCTGCATAGTATTCCATGGTGTATATGTGCCACATTTTCTTAATCCAGTCTATCATTGTTGGACATTTGGGTTGGTTCCAAGTCTTTACTATTGTGAATAGTGCCACAGTAAACATATGTGTGCATGTGTGTCTTTATAGCAGCATGATTTTTAATCCTTTGGGTATATACCCAGTAATGGGATGGCTGGGTCAAATGGTATTTCTAGTTCTAGATCCTTGAGGAATCGCCACACTGTCTTCCACAATGGTTGAACTAGTTTACAGTCCCACCAACAGTGTAAAAGTGTTCCTATTTCTCCACATCCTCTCCAGCACCTGTAGTTTCCTGACTTTTTAATGATCGTCATTCTAACTGGTGTGAGATGGTATCCCATTGTGGTTTTGATTTGCATTTCTCTGATGGCCAGTGATGATGAGCATTTTTTCATGTGTCTGTTGGCTGCATAAATATATCTTCTTTTGAGAGGTATTTGTTCATATCCTTCACCCACTTTTTGATGGGGTGGTTTGATTTTTTCTTGTAAATTTGTTTAAGTTCTTTGTAGATTCTGGATATTAGCCCTTTGTCAGATGGGTAGATTGTAAAAATTTTCTCCTGTTCTATAGGTTGCCTGTTCAATCTGATGGTAGTTTCTTTTGCTATGGAGAAGCTCTTTAGTTGAATTAGATCCCATTTGTCAATTTTGGCTTTTGTTGCAAAAAACAGGCTGCATTGCCAAGACAATCCTAAGCCAAAAGAACAAAGCTGGAGGCATCATGCTACGTGACTTCAAACTATACTACAAGGCTACAGTAACCAAAACAGCATGGTACTGGTACCAAAACAGAGATATAGACCAATGGAACAGAACAGAGCCCTCAGAAATAATACCACACATCTACAACCATCTGATCTTTGACAAACCTGACAAAAACAAAAAATGGGGAAAGGATTCCTTATTTAATAAATGGTGCTGGGAAAACTGGCTAGCCGTATGTAGAGGGCTGAAACTGGATCCCTTCCTTACACCTTATACAAAAATTAATTCAAGATGGATTAAAGACTTAAATGTTAGACCTAAAACCATGAAAACCCTAGAAGAAAACCTAGGCAGTACCATTCAGGACATAGGTATGGGCAAGGACTTCATGACTAAAACTGATTTCTTTTTTATCACATCGTGGTCAGAGACCTATTTGACGTACTTTCAGTTTTGTTTTTTTTAATTTTAAGACTTTTTGTGGCCTAATAGATGCTCTGTTCTTGAGGATGTTATATATGCTGAGGAGAAGAATGTGTATATTCTGCAGCCGTTAGATGAAATGTTCTGTAAGTATCTGTTTGGTCCATTTAGTCTATAGTGCAGATTCAGTCAAATGTTTCTTAGTTTTATGTCTGGAAGATCTGTCCAGTGCTGAAAGTGGGATGTTGAAGTTTCCAGCAATTACTGTGTTGGAGTCCATCTCTCTTTAGCTCTAATAATGTTTACTTTATATATCTGGGTGCTCCAGTGTTGGGTGCATGTGTATTTATAAATGTTACATCCTCTTGCTGAATTGACACCCTTATTATATAATGACCTTCTTTGTCTCTTTTTATGGTTTTTATCTTAAAATCTGTTTTATCTGATACAAGTATACCTACTCCTGCTCTTTCAGTTTCCATTTGCCTGGAATATCTTTTTTGACCCCTTTATTTTTAGTCTGTGTGTATCTTTATAGGTGAAGTGTGTTTCTTTTTTAAAAAATTTTACTTAAAGTTTTTTTGTTTTTTTAGAGACCGGTTCTCACTTTATCCCCCAGGCTGGAGTGCAGTGGTGTGATCACGGATTACTGTGACCTGAAACTCCTGAGCTCAGGGGATCTTCCCACCTCAGCTTCCCAAGTAGCTAGGACTACAGGCACATGACACTGCACCTGGCCAATTTTTCTTTATTTTTTATGGAGACAGGGTCTCACCATCTTGCCCAGGCTAGTCTCAAATTCCTGGGGTCTAGCAATCCTCCTGCATCAGCCTCCTAAAGTGCTGAGATTGTAGGCATGAACCACTGTGCCCAGCCTGTTTCTTGTAGGCCGCAGATGGTCGGACTGTGCTTGTTTAAATCCGTTCAGCCTCTGTATGTCTTTTGATTGGAGAATTTAGTCTGTTTACATTCAATGTCATTATTGATAAGGACTTTCTACTACCATTTTGTTATTTGTTTTCTGGTCTTCTTTTCCTTCCTTCCTTCCCATCTTCCTTTATGGGAAAGTGATTATTTTCTGGTGGTATGTTTTAATGTCTTGCCTTTTATGTTTTGTGTATGTGTTGTAGGTTTTTGGGTATTTTTTTTTTTTCCCGTACAGAGTCTTATTCTGTCGCCCATGCTGGAGTGCAGTGGCATAATCTCAGCTCACTGTAGCCTCGACCTCTCCGGCTTAAGCCATCCCTGCACCTCAGCCTCCTGAGTAGCTGGGACCCCAGGTGTGCACCACTATACCTGGCGAATTTTTGTATTTTTTGTAGAGACGGGGTTTTGCCATGTTGTCCAGGCTGGTATTGAACGCCTGAGCTCAAGCCATCTGCCTACCCCCACCTCCCAGAGTTCTGGGAATACAGGCGTGAGCCACCGCACCTGGTTGTAGTTATTATTTTTGATAGGTTCATCTTTTATTCTTTCTGTTTGAGATATGAGTAGTTTACACACCAGAATTACGGTGTTAATATTCTCTATATGTTTGTCTATGTATTTGCTATTACCAGGGAGTTTTGTATCTTCAGGTAATTTCTCATTGCTCATTACTGTTCTTTTCTTTCAGATTGAAGAACTCCCTTTAGTATTTCCTGTAGGACAGGTCTGGTGTTGACGAAATCCCTCAGCTTTTGTTTGTTTGGGAAAGTCTTTATTTCTCCTTCATGTTTGAAGGATATTTTCAGTGGATATACTGAAAATACAGGATAAAAGTTTTGTTTTTTTTTCAGTACTTTAAATATGTCATACACTCTCTCCTAGCCTGTAAAGTTTCTACTGAGAAGTGTGCTGCCAGACACATTAGAGCTCCTTTGTATGCTATGTGTTTTTCTTTTGCTGCTTTTAGAATCCTTTCTTCATTCTTGACCTTTGGGAGTTTGACAATTAAATGTCTGGAGGTAGTTTTGAGTTAAATTTCCTTGCTGTTCCATAACCTTCTTGTACTTGAATATTGATATCTTTCTCTATGTTTGGGAAGTTCTCTGTAGTATATCTCTTTGAATAAACTTGGTACATACTTCTCTCTACCTTTTTGTTAAGGCCCATAACTCTTAGATTTTCCCTTTTGAGGCTATTTTCTAGATTTTGTAGGTGTGCTTCATTCTTTTTTATTCTTTACTATTTTGTCTCCTCTGACTGTATTTCCTTTCTTTCTTTCTTTTTTGTTTTGAGATGGAGTTTCGCTTTTGTTGCTGAGGCTGGAGTGCAATGGCGTGATCTTAGCTCACTGCAACCTCTGCTTCCGGGTTCAAGCAATTCCCCTGCCTCGCCTCCCGAGTAGCTGGAATTACAGGTGCCCGCTACCATGCCCGGCTAATTTGTATTTTTAGTAGAGACAGGGTTTCACCACGTTGGCCAGGCTGGTCTCGAACTCCTGACCTCGGGTGATCTGCCCGTCTCGGCCTCCCAAAATGCTGGGATTACAGGCCTGAGCCACCGTGTCCGGCCCCTTGACTGTGTTTTCAAATAGTGTGTCTTCAAGCTCATGATTTCTTTATTCTGCTAAATCAATTCTGCTGTTGAAAGACTCTGATTCATTCTTGTTTATCAGTTGAATTTTTCAGCTCCAGAATTTCTGCTGGATTTTAAACAATTATTTCAATCTCTTTTTAAAATTCATCTGATAGGATTCTGAATTCCTTCTCTGTATTATCTTGAATTTCATTGAGCTTCTTTAAAACAGCTATTTTGACTTTGTCTGTCTGAAAGGTCACACATGTCTGTCATTCCAGGATTGGTCACTGGTGCCTCATTTAGTTTGTTTGGTGAGGTCATGTTTTCCTGTATGGTCTTGATGCTTGTGGATGTTTGTTGATGTCTGGGCATTGAAGAGTTAGGTATTTATGGTAGTCTTCACAGTCTGGGCTTGTTTGTACCCATCCTTCTAGAAAAAGCTTTCCAAGTATTCAAAGGTAATTGATTGTTTTGATCTAAGTCCTTGGTCTCTATAGCCGTATCTACATTAGGGAGCACCTTAAGCCCAGTAATGCTGTGACTCTTGTAGACTTATAGCTGTATGGCCTTAGTGGTCTTGGGTAATAGCCAGTATTCCCTGGATTACCAGGCACAGTCTCTTGTTCTCTTTCCTTATTTTCCCCCAAACAAATGGCATCGCTCTCCATGCTGAGCTACCTGGAGTTGAGGGGAGGAGTGACACAAGCACCCCTGCAACCACCACCACTGGGACTGTGCTGGGTTAGACCTGAAACCAGCACAGTACTGAGTCTCATCAGTACAGTAATATTGCCTGGCTACCACTGATGTTTATTCAAGGCCCAAGGGCTCTTTATTCAGCGGGTTGTGAATCTAGCCAGGCTTGTGTTTTTCCCTTCAGGGTGGAGGGTTCCCTTTTGGCCTAGGATGGGTCTAGAAATGCTGTCCAGAAGCTAGGGCCTCTAGCCTCTGGAGTTGGGAACTTTAGGAATCTACTTGGTGCTTTATTTTACTGTGGATGAGCTCATACCCAAGTTGCAAGACAAAGCAGGGTTTTTCTATTTTGTAACATAGGTTGGCATTACATTCTTTTTGAAGGGTGAATAATACTCCATTGTAGGTTTATATCACATTTTTAAAAATCCATTCATCTCTTGATGGTTACTTGGGTTGTTTTCACCTTTTGGCTATTGTGAATAGTGCTTCTGTGACCAGTGATGAACATATTTGTCTATTGGTCATTTGGGTATCTTTGGTTACCATTTATCTTAACAGTGTACCGGATGTTCTAGCCAGTGCAATAAGGCAAGAAAAAGAAAAAAAAGGCAGCTACAATGGAAAGAAAGAAGTAAAAATTGTCTTTATTCACACATACATTATGTGGAAAGTCTGATAGAATCTACAAAATTGCTCTAAACTAATAAGTGATTTTAGCAGGATTGCATTATATGAGATCAATATGTAAAAATCAATTGTATTTCTATATAGTAGCAATGAATAATTGAATTAAAAATAAAATGATGCCATTCACAGTAGCATCTAAATTATTAAGTACTTAGGAATAAATCTGACCAAAGATGTGGAAGACCTGTATGTTGCAAACTCAGAAACATCGCTGAAAAAAATTTAAAAGATCTAAGTAAATGCAGAGATTAACCTTGTTCATGGATTAGAAGACTCAATAACCCTAATTATTTAATGCAGTCCTAATTAAAATCACAGTAGGCTTTTTTTTTAGGTAAAAATTAATATGGATTCTTTTTTTTTTTTTTTTTTGAGACAGTCTTGCTCTGCCACCCAGGTTGGAATGCAGTGGCGCAATCCTGGCTCACTGCAATCTCTGCCTCACTAATTCAAGTGATTCTCATGCCTCAGCGTCCCGAGTAGCTGGGATTACAGATGTATTCCACCATGCCCCACTAATGTTTTGTATTTTTAGTAAAGACTGGGTTTGTCTATGTTGGCCAGGCTGTTCTTGAACTCCTGGCCTCAAGTGATCCGCCTACCTCTGGCCTTCCAGATTGCTGGAATTACAGGTGTGAGCTACCGCCTCTGGCCAGTAAGTGGATTCTAAATTGCTTATTGAAATGCAAAGGACCTAGTATAGTCAAAAAACAGTTTTGAAAAAGAACAGCAGTGAGGCCCAGTGAGGTGGCTCACGCCTGTAATCCCAGCACTTTGGGAGGCTGAGGCGGGCGGATCACCTGAGGTGGTTGAGTTAAAGACCAGCCTGACCAACATGGAGAAACCCCGTCTCTACTAAAAATACAAAATTAGCTGGAGTGGTGGTGCATGCCTGTAATCCCAGCTACTCGGGAGGCTGAGGCAGGAGAATCGCTTGAACCTGGGAGGCGAACGAAGGTTGCGTTGAGTTGAGATCGCGCCATTGCACTCCAGCCTGGGCAAAAAGAGTGAAACTCTGTCTCAAAAAAAAAAAAAAAAAGAGAAAAGAAAACAGAGAAACAACAGCTTTCAAAGCTAAGGCTGCCTGATTTCAGGACTAATTATAAAGCTACAGTAATCAGAACCATGTAGTACTGGCATATAGACACATAGATCAATGGAACAGAATAAAGAATCCAGAAATAAATTGGATGCACATGTTGAGCAATTGACTTTTGAACAAAGGTATGAAATCATTACAGTGGAGAAAGGATAGTATTTTTTTTTTCTTTTTAAATAAAAGAGAGACTGGCCCAGGCATGGTGGCTCATGCCTATAATCCCAGCACTTTGGGAGGCCAAGGTGGGCGGATCACCTGAGGTCGAGAGTTTGAGACCAGCCTGGCCAACATGGGGAAAGCCTGGTCTCTACAAAAAATACAAAATTAGCCAGGCGTGGTGGGACATGCCTGTAATCCCAGCTACTCAGGAGGCTGAGGCAGGAGAATCACTTGAACCTGGGAGGCAGAGGTTGCAGTGAGCCGAGATTGCGCCATTGCACTCCCGCCTGGGCAACAAGAACGAAACTCCATCTCAAAAAACAAAAACAAAAACAAAAAACAAAAAAATGTTTCCCAGGCTGGTCTTGAACTACTGGACTTAAGCAATCCTCCCTCCCACCTCGGCCTCCCAAAGTGCTGGGATTAGAGACATGAGCCAATGTGCCTGGCCAGAATAGTTTTTTCAACGCAGGGTCCTTGAAAAATGGGATATCCATATGTAAAAAAATGAATCTTCATTTATACCTCACGCCATATGCAAAAATCAGTTTAAAATGTATCGTAGACCTAAATGTAAAACCTAAAATTATAAAACATTTAGAAGAAAATGTGGGGGAAATGTTTTCTTTATGACATTGGATTAGACATGTTTTTTTATTTTTATTTTTATTTTGTTTTTTGAGATGGAGTCTTGCTCTCTCGCCCAGGTTGGAGCACAGTGGCGTGATCTTGGCTCACTGCAGCCTCTGCCTCCCGGGTTCAAGTGATTCTCCTGTCTCAGCCTCCTGAGTAGCTGGGATTTCAGGCACATGCCACTACGCCTGGCTAATTTTTGTATCCTTTTTTTTTTTTTTTTTTTTTGAGATGGAGTCTCGCTCTGTCACCCAGGCTGGAGTGCAGTGGCGCGATCTTGGCTCACTGCAAGCTCCACCTCCCGGGTTCACGCCATTCTCCTGCCTCAGCCTCCAAAGTAGCTGGGACTACAGGCACCCGCCGCCACCATGCCAGGCTAATTTTGTTGTATTTTTAGTAGAGACAGAGTTTCACTAGGTTAGCCAGATGGTCTCAATCTCCTGACCTCGTGATCCACCTGCCTCGGCCTCCCAAAGTGCTGGTATTACAGGCGTGAGCCACTGCGCCTGGCAATTTTTGTATTTTTTAGTAGAGATGGGGTTTCACCATGTTGGCCAGGCTGGTCTGGAACTCCTGACCTCAGGTGATCCACCCACCTTGGCCTCCCAAAGTGCAGGAATTATAGGTGTAAGCCACCACGCTTGGCTGACATGATTTCTTACGACATCGCAAGCATGATCTGTAAGAGAATAGGTTAATAAATTGGAGTTCATCAAAAACCTCTGTTTTTCATAAGACCCTGTAAGAGAATAAAAACACAAGCCGCAGACTGGGAGAAAATATTTGCAAAGCATATGTCTGATAGATGACTTGTCTCAAGAATACATAAAGAACTCAAAACTCATGAGAAAACAACTCAGTTAAAAAAAATGGACAAAAGATTTGAACAGAAATTTCCCCAAAGAAGATATATGGATGGAAAATAAATCAATGAAAAGATGTTCAGCATCAATAGTAATTGCAAATTAAAACCAGAAGTTGATATCAGTACATACTGATTAGAATGTCTAAATTAAAAAGACTGATCTTACAACGTGTTGAAGAGGATGTAGAACAATTGGAACTCTCAAAGCTGACAAGAGTGAAAAAAATGGTACACTCCCTTTAGAAAACTATTAGGTAGTTTTTTAGAACTATATACACCTAATCCAGCCATCCTGTTTTAGGAATTTACCCAAGACAAATGAAAGCATTATGTCCATAAGATTTGTACATGGGTATTCACAGCAGCTTTATCTGTGATAGTTTCACACGGGAAATAACCTAAATGTCCATTAATATAGGTGAATGGATAAACATTGTGGTATATTCATTCAGTAGAATACCACTCAGTAATAAAAGGGAATGAACTGTTGATACAAGCAACAACATGGATTTATCACAAAATAATTATGATGAGTAAAGAAGCCAGAGAAAAAAGAATACATACTGTATGAGTCTACTTATTATATAAATTCTAGAAACTTATCTATAATGATAGGAAGCTGATAACTTGTTGCCTGAGGAGGAGAAATAATGAGGGAGGAACAAGAAAATTTTGATGTTGATGGATATGTTTCTTTCTTTTTTTTTTTGAGATGGAATTTTGCTCTTGTTGCCCAGGCTGGAGTGCAATGGTGCGATCTCGGCTCACCGCAACCTCCGCCTACCGGGTTCAAGCGATTCTCCTGCCTCAGACTCCTGAGTAGCTGGGATTACAGGCATGCGCCACCGCACCCAGCTAATTTTGTATATTTAGTAGAGATGGGATTTCTCCATGTTGATCAGGCTGGTCTCAAACTCCCAACCTCAGGTGTTGCACCCTCCTCGGCCTTCCAAAGTGCTGGGATTACAGGCGTGAGCCACCGTGCCCGGCCTGGATATGTTTCACTATCTTGATTGTGGTAATGGTTTTATTGGTTGTTGTTTCTTATGCTCTATCTGGTATTTTTAGATATAAAAGATTTAATGATTCCTGAGCTTACTTATTTTACATGGTATTTATGGAAAGTTTAATTCTTATAAAGCACAAGAGTTCTAACTGGATTGTTGAGAAACTGCTTTAATGATATTTATTACTGTTACCTTAATTTTTCTGATCTTGGATCTTGACTGATGATGCACTCAATTTATTTAAATGTGGAGTTTAGCTCTAAGACTCCTGTAACTTAAAAGAGAATGATATTTTGAATGATCTGAATATTGTTCATTAAGTACATTTTGCTCAAAGGAAAATACCGTAGTCCACCTCTGACAGTTTAGTATTATTATTTTTTTGAGATGGAGTCTTGCTCTGTTGTCCAGGCTGGAGTGCAGTGGCACGATCCTGGCTCACTGCAAACCTCTGCCCCCCAGGTTCAAGCGATTCTCCTGCCTCAGCCTCCCGAGTAGCTGGGATTACAGGTGCCCACCACCACACCTGGCTAATTTTTGTATTTTTAGTAGAGACAGGGTTTCACCATGTTAGCCAGGCTGGTGTCAAATTCCTGACCTCAAGTGATCCACCCGCCTCGGCCTCCCAAAGTGCAGGGATTACAGGTGTGAGCCACCAGGCCCGGCCTTTTTTTTTTTTTTCTTTCTCTTTTTTTTTTTTGAGACAGAGTCTCACTCTGTCTTCCAGGCTGGAGTGCAGTGGCGCAATTTGGGCTCACTGAAACCTCCGCCTTCCGGGGTCGAGCGATTCTCATGCCCCAGCCTCCCGAGTAGCTGGGACTGACAGGCGCACACCACCACGCCTGGCTAATGTTTATTTTCATTTTTATTTATTTTTTGAGATGGAGTTTCTCTCTTTCACCCAGGCTGAGGTGAAGTGGAGCAATCTCCGCTCACTGCAGCTTCTGCCCCCTGGGTTCAAGCGATTCTCCTGCCTCAGCCTCCCGGGTAGCTGGGATTATAGGCGCCCCCCACCAGGCTCAGCTAAATTTTTGTATTTTTGTAGAGATGGGGTTTTGCCGTGGTGGCTAGGCTGTTCTCGAGCTCCTGACCTCAGGTGATCCACCCACCTCCACCTCCCATAGTGCTAAGATTACAGGTGTGAGCCACCATGCCCAGCCTAATATTTATATTTTTAGTAGAGACAGGGTTTCACCAGGTTGGGCACACTGGTCGCGAACTTAAGACCTCAGGTGATCCACTTGCCTTGGCCCCCCAAAGTGCTAGGATTACAGGCATGAGCCATCGCGCCCGGCCCCAGTTTAATTATCCTTAATAGAATATGAGAAGATTATAGTTGTATTACAGATGAATTGATGCTGTTAACTTGTACTTTTGCTTTTACCAACTGACAAGATGATAAAAGCAGGCTTCTTCTCAGAATGGCAATTTGATTATAAATCTAGCTGGGAAGTGTGCTAGTTGATGATTGTTAACTCAAGGATATATTAATTTTTGTCAGGATAAAGTATTTTATTTTATTGGTATCTTTCCCCTCCCTCTTCTAGAAAATACAGTAGCAGCCATGATAGAAGACAAAGGACCAAGAGTGACAGACTACTTTGTCGTAGCTGGTCTCACTGACACATCTACTCTTTTGGATCAAGAAATAAATCGTTTAGATACTAAGTCAACTGGACCTAAAGCTCCAATTACAGACATTGCCATTATTATCAAATCAGCTGGAGAAACAGTACCTGAAGGTTACACCTGTGTAGAAGCCACTCCATCAGCTCTCCAAGCAAACTTGAACTATGGAAGTCTGAAAAGCCCAGAACTTTTCCTCTGTTATAAGAGAGGGAGAGATAAACCACCGCTTACAGATATTGGGTATGGTGACTTCTTTTCTTTGCTATAGTGAAGGAGTAAAATTTATTTAAGGGCCATGGAAGTAGGAATTTGAAATCCTTGATAGTTTTATTATTACTGATAGTTTATTATTATTGATAGTTTTATGGTTACTTCAGGATTCATTATAGTAATATATTACATGCCAGTATCCACCCTTACTGAATTTCTTTGCATTGCCTTGAATTGTTAGATCATTTGCTTTCAAAAGAATATTGAAATGAAGACATTTGACCCTAAAGTGTCATTTTGTTTCTGTTGTACTTATCAAATAAGATTATTAATTAAACACAATAGAATGAGAAGCTATAATAAAGACACTATCATTTTAAGGAGTTGCTTGGGTTATGTAATGAGTTTTTGTGAAGACCTGTACTTGTTTAACTAAAGAGCAGTCCTATTTTAAATACAGTTGTAACGTGTGGCTTTCAATGCTGGGAGGAGGGTGTTTACAGATAAGTGCTACAGTTTTCATGAAGTATCTAGTATCTAGTCTACCAGTGAAGGACATTCTTTTTTGTAAATGCCTACAAAGGTCCACCCTTTCCCCAAATGGCTACCTTGACTCTTCTGTAAAAAGGATGTGCTTTTAGAATACCTATAACACTTTACCATATATACATGTGATGTATTGGGGTGTTTTGTTTATTATCATTACCATTACTAAAATATAGATATTTGGGAACATCCTGGCAAGTATTTTAGGATCAGCTTATCTATTTATACAAAATGTGTAGTAGGAATTTTGATAGAGATTACATTAACTTTAGATTAATCTGCAGAGTATTGTCATCTTTACAATATTAAACGATTCAGCTTGTGAACGTGGAATGTTTTCCATTGGTTTAGGTCTTCTTTAATTTCTTTCAGCAACATTGTGTATTTTTTAAATCTGATTAATTTTATTTCTAGGTATTTTATTCTTTTGGATTCTATTATAAATAGTGTTGTTTTCTTAATTTTTGGATTGTTTGTTGCTGGTGTATAGAAATAGCTGATTTTTGTGTGCTAATCTTGCACTCTGCAACTTTGCCGAATTTATTAGTTCTAATAACTTGTGGGTTCTTCGGGATTTTTTTAAATATATAGGATCATGTCATCTGCAAATAGAAATAGTTTTACTCCTTCCTTTGCAGTTTGGATGCTTTGTGTGTGTGTGTGTGTGTGTAATTACTCTGGCTAGAACTTTTAGTATGTTGAATAGCAGTGGTGAAAGCAGGCATCTTGTCTCATTCCTGATTTTAGGTGGAAAGCTTTCAGTCTTTTACTATTGAGTATGATGTTAACTGTAAATATTCCTTAAATACCATTTATCATGTTGAGGAAATGTTCTTCTATTCCTAGTTTTCTGAGAGATTTTATCAGGAAAGTGTGTTAAATTTTGTCAGATGCCTTTTGTCAATTGAGATGATCATGTATTTTTTCTTCCTTTGTTCTCTTAGTGTCATGTATTACATTGATTTTCTTTTGTTGAATCTTTCTTTTAATATAACTATGATACCATACCTTAAAAAATGATTAATTCCTTAATATTATCACATATCCAAATTTTTCTAATTCATGAAGCCTTTTTTTTCTTTTTTTTTTTTTTTTGAACACTTGGTTGCTGGTTGTTCTCTTTTTGTTGTTGTGGTTGTTTTTTGTTTGTTTGTTTTTGAGACAGAGTCTGGCTTCGTTGCCCAGGCTGGAGTGCAGTGGCGCAATCTTGGCTCACTGCAACCTCCGCCTCCCGGGTTCAAGTGATTCTCCTGCCTCAGCCTCTTGAGTAGCTAGGATTACAGGCGTGCACCACTATGCCTGGCTAATTTTTGTATTTTTAGTAGCAGAGACAGGGTTTCACCATATTGGCAAAGCTGGTCTTGAACTCCTGACCTTAGGGGATCTGCCTCCCAAAGTGCTGGGGTTACAAGCGTGAGTTACCACACCTGGCCACTGATTGTTCTCTTTATAGTTGTTCAGGTATTAAGGGGTAGCCATTTGACCACCACTTGTTACGCTCATCACCCACTCTTGTTGCATTAGAGCTCTGGCGAAATTGTTATAAAGATCCTCATACTCCATGGAAGTCGGAATCCACGAAGGAGTGTGTAACAACTCAGGCTGAAAAAGAGAAAAAAGTTTAAAAAGTCCTCATTTTCAAATTTTTAAAACCAAAGGATGATTTGTCTTTATCTTACTTGACCTTTATGCAGCATTCGTTTAACTCCTTTAGTATTGTCCATCCTATTTAGCTACTGTAGTTTTCCTTCAAGTCAGTATAGTTAGGATGGTGATCTTTCAGCTTTATAGGGTCATTGAGCATATGAGCCAGGTTAGAAAGACAGGGTTCAGAAATGACTGGGAATTGGATTAATAAAGGCCCCCTCCACTCTGCCCCCCCAGAAGCTTGACTTTAAGGGAAGGGGAAGATAGTTAAGGGCCTAACTATTCAAATTGTAGCCCATGGACCAGTATTGTCCAAAAGACCTGGAAGCTTGTTAGAAACTCAGAAACTTAGGCACTATTCCAGACCTACTGAATCACAATCTGTATTCTGGTCCAGTGTGGTGGCTTACACTGTAATCCCAGCTAACCTGTAATCCCAGCACTTTGGGAGGCCGAGGCAAGCGGATCACAAGGTCAAGGGATCAAGACCATCCTGGCCAACATGATGAAACCCCATCTCTACTAAAAATACAAAAATTAGCTGGGTGTGGCAGTGTGCGCCTGTAGTCCCAGCTACTCAGGAGGCTGAGGCAGGAGAATCACTTGAACCCGGGAGGCGGAGGTTGCAGTGAACCAAGATCACACCACTGCACTCCAGCCTCCCTAATCCCAACGCTTTGGGAGGCTGAGGTGGGAGGAGGATTGCTTGAGGCCAGGAGTTCACAAAAAATAAAAATAAAAATGAGCAAGGGCCCGGTGTGGTGGTTCACGCCTGTAATCCCAGCACTTTGGGAGGCGGAGGCAAGCCGATCACTTGTGGTCAGGAGTTCAAGACCAGCCTGTCCAACATGGTGAAACCCCCTCTTTACTAAAAAAATACAAAAATTAGTTGGGCATGGTGGCGAGCACCTGTAGTTCCTGCTACTTGGGAGGCTGAGGCAGGAGAATCACTTGAACCCAGGAGGTGGAGGTTGCAGTGAGCCAAGATTGTGCCACTGGGCTCCAGTCTGGGCAACAGAGTGAAACTCCTTCTCAAGACAAAAAAAAAAAAAAAATTAGCAAGGTGTGGTGGCATGCACATGTAGTCCTAGCTACTCAGAAGGCTGAGGTGGGAGGATCACTGGAGCCCAGGAGTGGCTCCGATTGTGCCACTGTAGCACTCCAGCGTGGGCAACAGAGCAAAAGACCCTGCCTCAGAAGAAAAAAAAATCTATTTTTAACAAAATTCCCAGAAACAATGGTTTAAAATACCTAGAGGGTGAAGATATATGAATTCAAGGGTTGTTTTTTAACCTTCCTCTCAGGGAATAACCTAGAACATTTTCATATTGAAGGAAGAAATCAGTGGAGAAGGAAGGGTAGGAAATATAGGAAAAAGATATTTTATAGAATAAAATTATTGAAGGGATGATGTTAACAGCATAGGTGACTGGATTAGCTTTTATTTGAAGGGGCCGGCCTGCCTGCTTGCCTTCCTGCCTTCCTGCCTACCTGCCTGCCTTCCTCCCTTCCTCCCTTCCTTTTTTTTTGGACAGAGTCTCGCTCTGTCCAGGCTGGAGTGCAGTGGTGCGATCTCGGCTCACTGCAACCTCCACCTCGGGTTCAAGCAATTCTCTGCCTCAGCCTCCCAAGTAGCTGGGATTACAGGCACCCACCACCACGCCCAGCTAACTTTTGTATTTTTAGTAGAGACGGGGTTTCACCATGTTGGCCAGGCTGGTCTTGAACTCCTGACCTCGTGATCCACCTGCCTCTGCCTCCCAAAGTGTTGAGGTTACAGGCATGAGCCCCTGTGCCCCGCCGGAAGGGGCTTTTCCTTTGAGAAGAAGAAAGTAAGTTAAAATGGGTGTAAACACAGAGTATTGGTTGCAGTGGAGTGACATTAATGGTTTTATTGTTCTGTTTTTTTTTCTCTATGGTTTCCTTAAGAAGATAGGTAATATATATCCCTAAGGATGTAGGATAAAATTGTGGTAACCTCCATGTTAGTTGAAGGGAAACCAGCCAGGTACTTATTTTGTGTTCCAGCATTCACTGTTCCCTCTTTTAGGCATCTTTTTTTTTTAATTAAAAAAATTGTTTTTTTTAATATATAAAAATAAGGAGAATTTTTTTGAGACAGTGTCTCACTGTGGTTGCTCAGGCTGCAGTGCAATGGTGTGATCACAGCTTACTGCAGCCTCCGCCTTCTGGGCTCAGGTGGTCCTCCCACCTCAGCCTCCCGAGTAGCTGGGACTACAGGCAAGCACCACCATACCCGGCTAAGTTTTTGTAGTTTTTGTAGAGGTGGGGTTTCTCATGTTGCCCAGGCTAGTCTTGAGCTCCTGGACTCAAGCAATCTGCTCACCTCGGCCTCCCGAAGTGCTGGGATTACAGGAGTGAGCCACTGTGCCGGGCCAGTCGTCTTTTAGAGTCCATCTTTTGACAAGCCCACCTGCCACCCCTCCCATACAGTCATGACTGAAAGATGTGAATCTCTGCAAAATTGTTGTTGCTTGTGATACAACTTAAAAATAAAATGATGACTTACGTAATTATATGTAGGTGCTTTCAGATTGCAAGTGGCTTTTTCATACACATCTTGCAGTTCCTAAGGCTTCTAATTTTTGTTATGGTAGTTTATTGATACAGATTTGCTAGAGTGTATGGTTGTCCTTAAGCTAATCATGATGGTTAATATTTCTCTCCAGATCAAATAATTGTTAATGTCTGGTGACTTAAATGTTTTGGCCTGTTCTCCTCACTTTCCCCCCACTCTTTCCTCACTCTAGTGTGAAGGGGTTTGGAAAACCTATTAGCTTCTGTATTTATAGTAGGAAAGCCTATTAGCTACTGGAAATACAGACACCCATCTCATTAAGTTTAATATGAAACACTGTTGCTAAACTTTTGTCTTTTTTACTGTTTTATAAACTGAGATGAGGTATTTATAAAAATAGTACTTTTCTCTAGAAAAGATGTTAAGTTAAAATATGTAAAATCTGATATTCCCATAGAAATACCGTATATACTATAAAGTACAATCATGTATCACTTAACGATGGGAATACATTCTGAGAAATGTGTTCTATGGCGATTTTGTCATTGTGTGAACATCATAGAGTGTACATACACAAACCTAGGTGGCATAGCTTACTACATATACAACTATAGCCTATTTTTCTTAGGCTGCAAACCTGTACAGCATGTTACTGGGGTAATAGATACTGTAGGCAACTTACACAGTGGTGAGTATATGTATATCTAAACATAGAAAAGGTACAGAAAAATCTGGCATAAAAAATAAGTCACACCTGTATAGGGCACTTACCATGAATGGACCTTGCAGGACTGGAAGTTGCTCTAGGTGAGTCAGTGAGTGAGTGTTGAGTGAATATGAAGGCCTAGGACATTACTGTATACTACTATAGACTTTAGTAAATTAACTTTAGCTTTATTATAGCCTTTTTACTTTATAAACTTTTAAAGTTTTTGTTAATTTTTTTGATTCTTTTGTAATAATACTTAGTTTAAAACACTTACCATACAGCTGTACAAAAATATTTTTCTTTCTTTAAATCCTTATTTTATTAAGTTTTTTTGTATTTTAAAATTTTATTTTAAAAATTTATTCTTTTATTTTTTATTTTTTGAGACAGGGTCTCACTTTGTTGCCCAGGCTGGAGTGTAGTGGTATAGTCTAGGCTCACTGCAGCCTCCACCTCCTGGGCTCAGGCGATAATCCTTTCACCTCAGCTTCCTGAGTAGCTGAACTACAAGTGTATGCCACCACTCCTGGCTAATTTTCTTTTTGTAGAGATGGGGTTTCGCCTTGTTGCCCAGGCTGCTCTGGAACACCTGAGCTCAAGTGATCTGCTTGCCTTGGCCTCCCAAAGTGCTGGGATTACAGGCATGTGCCACCACGCCTGGCAAAAATTAAAAAAAAAAAAAAAATAATGGGGTCTTGCCTTGTTGCCCAGGCTGGCATTGCACTCCTAGGCTCAAGTGATCCAGCCTCAGCCTGCTGAATAGCTGGCACTAGCTTGGTTTTTAAACTTTATTTTTTGTTTTTCTTTTTCTTTTTTTCTTCTCTCTTTTTTTTTTTTTTTTTTTGAGACAGAGTCTCACTCTGTCTTCCAGGCTGGAGTGCAGTGGTATGATTGGGGCTCACTACAATCTCTGCTTCCTGGGTTCAGGTGATTCTCCTGCCTCAGCCTCTGGAGTAGCTGCGATTACAGGCATCTGCCACCACACCTGGCTAATTTTTTTTTATTTTCAGTAGAGACAGGGTTTCACCATATTGGCCAGGCTGGTTTTGAACTCCTGACCTCAAGTGATCCACCCATCTTGACCTCCCAAAGTGCTGGAATTACAGGCGTGAGCCACCGCCTCTGACCAGTTTTTATTTTCTTATTTTGAAATTTT
Organism: Homo sapiens; assembly: GCF_000001405.40. Classification (NCBI taxonomy): domain Eukaryota; kingdom Metazoa; phylum Chordata; class Mammalia; order Primates; family Hominidae; genus Homo; species Homo sapiens. The sequence continues at coordinate 19,283,047 of NC_000009.12, forward strand.
TTGCAAAGATGAGGTCCTCCTATGTTGCCCAGGCTGTTCTTGAACTCCTGGCCTCAAGCAATTCTGCATTGGCCCCTTAAAGTGCTGGGATTATAGATATGAACTACTGTGCCTGGATTTTTTTTTTTAACTGTTTAAACTATTTTGTTAAAATTTAAGACAAAAAGACACATGTTAGCCTAGCCCTACAGAGTCAGGATCATCACTATCTCTGCCTTCCATCGCCACATCTTGTCCCACTGGAAGGTCTTCAGGGCAGTAACCCACATAGAGCTGTCTTCTATGATAAGAATGCCTTCTGGAATACCTCCTGAAGGACCTGCCTGAGACTGTTTTACAGTTAACTTTTTTTGTAAGTAGGAATATACTCTAAAGTAATGATAAAAGGTATAGTATTGTAAATACTAGGTGATAAGAATTTCTCAGCTCCATTATAATCTATGGCACCACCATAGTATATGCAGTCTGTGCTTGCATCATCATTATGTGGTGCATGATTGTATAGTATAATTTAAACAGGGCAGTATGTTATCTTATATATCAGATGCATTTCTTTTTTCTTTCTTTTTTTTTTTTTTTTTTGAGACAGAGTTTCGTTCTTGTTGCTCAGGCCAGAGTGCAATGACCCGATCTTGGCTCACTGCAACTCCGCGCCCCCTCACCCCCACCCCCGCCAGTAGCTGGGACTACAGGCACCTGCCACCATGCCAGGCTAATTTTTTATTTTTAGTAGAGACGGTGTTTTTCCATGTTGGTCAGGCTGGTTGCGAACTCCCAACCTCAGGTGATCCGCCCACTTCTGTCTCCCAAAGTGCTGGGATTATAGGCGTGAGCCACTGCGCCCGCCCAGATGCATTTCTTGAGACACAGAATCATAGACCATACGAAGTTCTTATTTTCTTCCCTTTGTCAGATTCATTGGCTTTCAACTGATTTGTTTCTCCAGTTCTTTTGTTTTTTGAGAAATTTCAAACATGTGAAAAGTTGATAAACTATTATAATACACAAGTATCCTTTTCTCCTAGATGATAGACTGTAGAATAATGAACAATATACTTGTCACCTACAAATTGACATTTTTTTTCATTTGTTTGCTAAGCTAATTGAAAGGAAGTGGGAGCCAGTGTGCCTAGCCTATTTCTTTCTCTTAAACAAAATGTAGATACTCTATACCCTATTTTGTACTTTGCCTTTTTCACCTAAGAGTATATACTGGCAATCACTCTGTATCTGAATATAAGATCTTCCTCATTTTTTGTGTGTGACTGTATAATACTTATTTGTGTGGATGTATTTACTTTATTCAATGAAACCTCTACTGATGGACATTTGGATTGTTCTCAGTTTTGTGCTATTAAAAGAATGCTTTGATGAATAACTGTGCATTTATTGTTATGTATTTGTGGAGGTGTGTTTTCAGGTAGATCCTAGAAAAAATTGCTGGATTAAAAGATAAATGTGTAAATAATTTTGTTAAATGTTACTAAATTTTTCTCTATAGTGTTTGTGCCATTTTATATTCTGCCATATATGTGTTTTTTTAATCCACATCCCATCAACAAAGTATGTGGTCTGACATATTTTTTGTCAATCTCACAGAGATTAATGGTGTATCAGAGTAATTTCATTGAGGTTAATCATTGCTCCATAAGTTTAAGGGGCGATTTTCTTTATTCTTTTGCTTATACTATAAACAGATTTTTAATCTTTACCTTGATTTTTTTAAAGGAAATTTTTTATGTGTTAGGAAGATGAGCTTTTTGTGAAATAAGTTGCCAAGTATTTTCTTCAGTCAACTTGTCTTTTATCTTGGCTTATGGTGTTCGTTGTCATGTAACGTTTATTTTATGTAGTTTATTTTTCTACTCCCATATTTTATTGGTACTGGATTTTGAGTCATAGTCTTTTCCCACTGCTAGATATACTTTTAGCACTAGTATGATTTAATTCCTTATGTTTAGATCTGTGATCCACCGGGGGATCCCCTTCTGGTGTGTAGTGTGAAGTATAGACAGAATTTTATTTTTTTCCAAATAATATTTTTTTCCAAATAACAATCCAGTTATCTAAGTCCTGCTTATTACATTTAAAAATCCATTCTTCCCTTAGTATATTGAGAAATTACCTTCATGATAGACTAGATTTTTCTTCTGTTTCATTGTCTTTCTGTTCACTTCCTTGCTAATACTCTCCTGATTTAAATAAAGAGGCTTTATAGTACATTTTAATATTAGTTGGGTTTTAACAGCTTTATGGAGATACAATTCACATGTCATACAGTTCACTTACTTAAAGTGTACAATTCAATGGTTTTTAGTATTGTTTACAGTGTTGTGCAGCTACCACCACAATTAATTTTAGAACATTTTCATCAGCCTAAAAAGAAACCCCATACCCATTAGCAGTTGCTATTTAGTATTCTTTCCCACCTTCTACCCCTAGGTAACTATTAATCTACTTTCTGTCTGTATGGATTTGCCTATTCTGGACATTTCTTAAAAACTGAATCACTGTATGTGGTCTTTGTGACTTTTTTTTTTTTTTTCACTTAACATGTTTAGCTGCTTGTGCTTTTGGTGTCATATCTAAGAAGGCTTTGTCTAACCTAAGGTCACAAAGATTTATTTCTGTTTTTCAAAGAGTGCTATAGTTCTTACATTGATTTTGATCCATTTTTAGTTTTTTGATGAGTAGTATAAGGAAGGGGTCCAGCTTCATGCTTTTGCAGGTGGATATCCAGTTATTCCAACACTACATATTGAAAAGACTATTCCTTCCTGATTGCATTGTCTTGGCACTCTTGTTGAAATCAATTGACTGCAAATATAAGGGCTTAATTTTGGACACTCCATTTTATTCTGTTGATCTATATGTTTATTCTTATGCCAATACATTGCACTGATTACTGTAGATGTGTGGTAGTTTTGAAGTAGGGAAGTGTGAGTCCTCCAACTTTCTTCTTTTTCCAGATTGCTTTGACAAGAAAAAACAAAAGCAGCTGGGGTTTAAATAGGAATTGCATTGAATTTATTGATCTATTTGAGGGTATTGCCAAAGGCAGCTGGAATTTAGATAGGAATTGCATTGACTTTATTAATCTATTTGGGGGTATTGCCATCTTATCAATTTTCATTAATTCATTTTTCAGTTTTCATTAATCAAATTGAAGATTGAATTAATCAGATTAATTCAATTTTCATTAATCTATTTGAGGGTATTGCCATCATTGTCTTTTTGTCCATAAGCATGAGATGTCTTATTTATTCAGCTCTTTAATTTCTTTAAATAACGTTTTATAGTTTTCAGAGGATTTTTAAAGCTAAAAAATTGACAAATTATGAAGCGAATTTTTATGAAAACATCTGAATACTTGGTGAAACTTCTAGGAATTGACCTGAAGATGTTTGTGGTGTTGCCCCTTTCTTTTTTCATATGTTTCTTATAATAAGCAATACAAAATCAAGTTGTTCAATCCTGTTTACACTTCTTAAATTATGTTTTGGCTTTTGAAAAATAGTTTAGAGACTTGTAGTTCCCAAAGGAATAATTTTAATTTTGGTTTCTAGTGAAGATTTGGGAAACAATAGGAGAGACCAAAAAAATTTTCTTTGATTTCAAGAAGAAAACCAGCATTAACCTGAAATGCATGTACTATATATATGTACATATGTATGTGTGTATGTATATATCTATATCTATTTCTTCCCCTTCCTGCCATGCAGAGTTCTATATGAAGGGAAAGAACGGCTTATTCCAGGATGTGAAGTGATCCTAGCCACACCCTATGGTCGCTGTGCCAATGTCAACAATAGTTCAACTACTTCACAAAGAATCTTTATCACTTATCGAAGGGCTCCTCCAGTTCGACCCCAGAATTCCTTGGCTGTAACTGATATCTGTGTTATTGTAACCAGTAAAGGAGAAACTCCTCCTCATACCTTCTGCAAAGTTGACAAAAACTTAAATTGTGGAATGGTAAGAATAAAGTTTTCATCTTCAAAGTTTCATATGAAACCAAAAAGGGATACGTTTTGGATTCCTGTTTACTGTTGGGTATATACTCACATTTTATATTTTCATGATGCTTGTTTTTATTTTTCCTAATTTTTATGATTTGTAATAATTTTTAAAGTCCTATCCCATGATTTATAATAATTTCATCTTTAAGTCAGGGATATTTTTGAGGGAGTAAATCCTAATATTGTCTGTGTTACATTAACAAAGGTTTTATTCACTTTTGGATTTCAGTGGTGTCTTCAGGGACAACTGTGGGGTTAGAGTGGGTAGAAGCTCTCCTTACATTCATTTATTCATTCATTCATTCATTTGTTTGCTTTTTTTATTTTTTTGAGACAGGGTCTTGCTTTGTCGCCCAGGCTGGAGTACAGTGGTGCAATCACAGCTCACTGCAGCCTTGACCCCCCACCAGGCTCAAGTGATCTTCCCACCTTAGCCTCCCGAGTAGCTGGGACTACAGGATAGTAGAGACAGGGTTTCATCATGTTGGCCAGGCTGGTCTTGAACTCTTGACCTTAAGTGATCCACCTCCCTTGGCCTCCCAAAGTGTTGGAATTACAGGCGTGAGCCACCATGCCCGGCCTGTTTTTGTTTTTGAGACAGGGTCTCCTTAAGTTGCCCAGGATGCTCCTGAACTCTAGGGCTCAAGAGAAAATATTGCAGTTTTGCATACTTATTTTTTTTTTTCAGACGGAGTCTCGCTCTGTCGCCCAGGCTGGAGTGCAGTGGCGTGATCTTGGCTCACTGCAACCTCCACCTCCCAGGTTCAAGCGATTCTCCTGTCTCAGCCTCCCAGGTAGCTGGGGCTACGGGCGTGCGCCACTACGCCCACCTAATTTTGTATGTTTAGTAGAGATGAGGTTTCACCATGTTGGTTGGCCAGGATGGTCTTGATCTCTTGACCTTGTGATCCACCTGCCTCAGCTTCCCAAAGTGCTGGGATTACAGGCGCAAGCCACCACACCCAATCCATGCATACTTACTCTTTAAAAGGACTGTAGTGAAGAAGAAAATGAACATAAATGTTTGATTCATAGTTTTTAAAGACTACAGCTTACTTTTGGTTCAGATTTACTTTGAAAAATATCTTCAGGTCAAACTAATATTAGCTTAATGTTGTATAGGCGGAGATGACAAATGCACCCAGAACAATTAGTGAAGACAGGGTTGCCTCTGGAGGTGATGACCTCATAGTCCTCCAGTGACCCAAGTCTTCCCCAATTTGGGCTCCAGTGCACACTCCGTTTTGTGCTGTGTCTTACAAGAAGGGGCAATCTCTGAGTGATTGTGAAATTCTAAATCTTTTGAAATGGCCTTCATATCAGTTTGATTTTTGTAGCATTGTTTTCTTACTCTCTTATTTTAGTGTTCTGAACTTCATGCTTTGCTGTATTTTATACTGCATAGTTCATTATATAAACGTTTTAAATAGACTCTTCTGAGTAAATAAATGAATCTTTAGTTGGTATCCAACAAAATCAATTTCTTTTCACTCTTTTGTCTTTTTTATAAACCTAATTCATGTTTTACAGTGGGGTTCCAGCGTGTTTCTGTGTTATAAGAAGTCTGTACCTGCTTCAAATGCAATAGCATATAAGGCTGGTAAGTGAGTTAAAAAAAATTGTCTCAATTGCTATAGTTATTGGTGCATATTAACATTTGGCTAAAAGAGATAAAGTATGCTCCCTTACATAGTTTGTAGAATTGATCTATTCATAAAATTATCTATAATTTTAGCATATAAAGATATGTGTTTTCTTAAATACATATACAAGATATATTAATACCCCCACCAAACATGCTGTTAATTTAATTTAAACATTTATCTAAAGCAAACATATGTGGAATAAACATTCAAGCTTTTGGTCTACGTTAATAGACTTAACAGTATAATGGAAAGTTGCTGACTCTCTGACCTTTTATATTTTGGCAATCAGAAAGGTGTCAAACTGCGTCTTTACTTCTTATATTTCCTTCTCTTATCTCTTTGTGTCTGATTTGAAACCACATGTTACTTGCCATGAAAGGTGGACTTGCTTCCTTTCTCCTTTGTTGCAAAGAATCAGCTATATGGAGGAGAGGAGGGCCTGAGAAACTTTTCTGCCATGAAGTGTTTGAGAAATCTATCGCCACATTCTTACTGCACATTAAAGTGTCAAGGGCTGTAAAGATTTAAGTGTCACGTCTTCATTCCACTGGTATGGTGGGATAAAAACTGAAAATACAGGTATGCTCCAGTTGTAAATAGAAAAGATACTGGAATACTTCTTTGTGAAAAGAAGCAGTGCTAATTACTATTTGATTATGCACAGTTCTTGAAATAAAGTTTTACTTCAGGGAAGTCAGGCAAATTCATATCCAAAAAATCGTGATTTTCATAAAAACATTCATACTAATGAACCAAACCATTTAATTTATAATATAAAAATAATGGCAACGACTAACGTATAAAATTCAGTATCATTTTAAAATCTGATACTGTAGGCTGGGCATGGTGGCTCACGCCTGTAATTCCAGCACTTTGGGAGAGTGAGGCGGGCAGATCGCTTGAGGCCAGGAGTTTGAGACCAGCCTGGCCAACATGGTGAAACCCCGTCTCTACTAAAAATACAAAAATTAGCCAGGCGTGGTGGCACGCATCTGTAGTCCCAGCTACTTGGGAGGCTGAGGCACGAGAATCGCTTGAACCCAGGAGGCGGAGGTTGCAGTGAGCCGAGATCACACCACTGCACTCCAGCCTGGGTGACAAAGCAAGATCCTGTCTCAAAAAAAAAAAAAAAAAGTGATACTGTTAATACTGCTGTAATATGTTGATTATGTGTGATGTCCTTTTTTTGTTGTTGTTGTTGTTTTTGGTGGAGAAAAGATATCACTTAAAAAACTTATAGAAAGAAACTGTACCAAAGTATTCAGTTATTTGATATGAGACACTTATTTTAGAATAGAGAGTTTTAGATACTGAATTTGGGCTCAAAATTCTACTACTGATTTTGAAGTTTTTCACTTAGAGATGGTCTATATATTGATGACCTTAGAGGCTAATGAACAGATGCCATGTAGCTAATTTATTCTGTGGGTCTTCATTGTGGTTCTCAAAGTGTCACTTGCTCCTACTTTCTGGGTCTCACATACTCTGTACTTAGTCACAGTGTTTCTGTCTCATTTACTTTTCATGTTGCATGCCTTTTACACTGCTTCCCTCTTAAGATGAGTTTAGGGGCTGTGATAATTTCTGTTGCCTCAGCATTATTTCATAACACTTGTCTCTTCCCTGAATTTTTCACAGAAGACTAACTGAAATAGTTGGTAAATTTTTCTGTATGTTTCTTACCATTTTCCACAAGGTGTTGGCATGTGTAGAAGAAAATACATTAAGATTGGTGATCAAGATTGGTTGAATGGAATCTCAACTAGTATATTAATACATTTTAAATGTTACAATGAACTGTAAATTCATGGGTAAAATATCAGGGGTAAACTTATTTTAGTTTCTGTTATAGCAAGGGGGAAATCAATTTTAAAATACCACACAAGTATTGCCATGAAATTCGGCATTAAAATATTCCATTAATACCTATCATATGCAATTTATGGAAAAGTAACTATTTAAAAAATTTATTGTTGTCTCATTCTTCAAAAGGTTTAATTTTTAGATATCCAGAAGAGGACTATGAGTCATTTCCACTCTCAGAATCAGATGTACCTCTTTTCTGCCTTCCTATGGGAGCTACTATTGAGTGCTGGGATCCTGAAACCAAATATCCACTTCCAGTTTTTTCAACTTTTGTCTTGACAGGTTCTTCAGCCAAAAAGGTATGTTTTTGTCTCATTGATTAAACACATTTTGTCCATGTTTTTATTTCATAAAAAGGTTAATACAAGTTTTATTTGAATGTTAGGATTATTTGGACATGATACATTTTGGTTTAAATTTACACTGTCATCCCCAAGGTGAGAAATCAACATGAAAATTGCTATCAGGATATTGATACCTCTGGAACTTCTACAGAAGCAAAGATAAAGTCTCTCTGGATAGACACCTTCAAAACCCAGGTGTCAAGATGAGATGATTATGACAGATCAAGGACATAGGTACCATAGAAAGAATCGACAGACACAATTAAAAAGCAGGGTTAGACCCTCAAGACATTGAAATGACAGAATGACAATATAAAGGATGTTATAAATTAAAATATCATTGAGATGACCTAAGAACTAATGGAGGGGCTCAAAATATCAAGGAAGGAACAGGATATTTTGAAAAATGAATAGATTGGGAAAAGAATCAAGTGTTTAGAAATGAAAAATATGGTCCTTAAAATTAAAAATTCAGTGAATGGGTTAAACAGCAGAGATAAGGCCAGGTGCGGTGGCTCACGCCTGCAATTCCAGCACTTTGGGAGGCTGAGACAGGTGGATCACTTCAGGCCAGGAGTTCAAGGCCAGCCTGGGCAACATAGCACAACTCCGTCTCTACTGAAAATACAAAAAATTAGCCAGGCTTGGTGGTACACGCCTGTAATCCTGGCTACTCGGGAGGGTGAGGCATGAGAATTGCTTGAACCCGGGAGACAGAGGTTGCAATGAGCTGAGACTGCACCATTGCACTCCAGCCTAGGCTACAGAGCGATACTCTTTCTAAAAAAAAAAAAAAAAAAATAGCAGAGATAAGACATACATGAAGGGATAATTAATGAAGTGGAAGATAGGTTACCTTAAATGTGGTACATACAAATGTAAAACATAAAAGGAGTTTTAAAATGTAGCAGATAGAACTAGAAGGTCTAATAGATATTTAATGAGTTACTGAAGGAGAGACTAGAAAAGGACAAGGCTACATCCTAAGAGCTAATGGTTGAGAGTTTTCCAAGGTTGATGAAAAAATTGAGTCTTCAGGTTAAAGATGTACTCTGAATCTGCAGCAGAGAAAAATAAACAAATAAGTAAATAAATAAATAATCCCACCTCTTTTTTTTTTGAGACGGAATGTCACTCTTGTTGCCCAGGCTGGAGTGCAGTGGTGCGATCTCGGCTCACTGCAACCTCCACCTACCAGGTTCAAGTGATTCTCCTGCCTCAGCCTCTTAAGCAGTGGGATTACAGGTGTGCGTCACCACGCCCAGCTAATTTTGTATTTTTTTTTTTTAGTAGAGACAGGATTTCACCCTGTTGGTCAGGCTGGTCTCAAACTCCTGACCTAAAGTGATCCACCTGCCTCAGCCTCCCAAAGTCCTGGATTATACAGGTATGAGGCACCATGCCTGGCCTATCCCGCCTCTTATTATATCATGGTGCTATCATGGAACACCGGAGACAAAACAACTAGAGAGAAAAGACATTTATTGTCTTATGTAAAACATATATTGTATATAACAGTAATAATGACATAAACTGATTTATAAAGAAGAGAAGGCAAAAATAAACAATATTCAGTATAAAAAGCTGATAGCAGTAGAAATTTCAAAATTGAAAACTTTCTTTTCTTTTTTTTTTTTTTTTGAGACGAAACCTCACTCTTATCCCCCAGGCTGGAGTGCAATGGCACAATCTGGGCTCACTGCAACCTCCGCCTCCCGGGTTCAAGCGATTCTCCTGCCTTGGCTCCCCGAGTAGCTGGGATTACAGGCACCTGCCACCACGCCCGGCTAATTTTTGTATTTTTAGTTGAGATGGGGTTTCACCATGTTGGCCAGGCTGGTCTCGAACTCCTGACCTCAGGTGATCCACCTGCCTCAGCCTCCCAAAATGCTGGGATTACAGGTGTCAGCCAATGCGCCCAGCAAAAATTGAAAACTTTCTAAGGAAATTTAATAGGCGATTTTATTGAAAAAATATATAATCTGAACTGACTCATGCAGATGAAACAAAATACATCTGTGACCTCATTCTACAGGTACAGGCTACACCTTTATAACTACTGTGATAAAGATAATATATGTAAAGTATCCAGCATAGTGCCTGGAACATAGAAAATACTGAGTGAAGGTCAATATTATATTAACTTGATTGCCCACTACTAACTTGTTAGCTTAATAATCATTTACAATTTCTCCTGCTGAAAGTAGTAAATATAACTGAAAATTTTAAGATCTTCAAACATTAGTTACCTAATATGCTTTGGCAGTAGAGAACAATAAAGTCTCATTTGAGATGTGGGTACTAGGTGATCTGCTTGGCTTTTTCATTGTTTAGGGGATATCAACATGTAAGCATTGAGGTGTGTAAAATTTAGGTATTTGTCATTGCTTGTTAAAAACTTTGAGATCACTTTGAAATAATTATATCTGGGAATATTGTGTGTATAAAGGCAAGGGTTATAATGAAAAAACAGTTGGCAAGATTTATAAAATACAGAAGTAAGGATTGATTGTTGGGAGAAGGGGATGGGTTAAAAACTTTGAGATCACTTTGAAATAATTGTATCTGGGAATGTGTGTGTAAAGGCAAGGGTTCCTGTGATATATATAATGACTAAACAGTTGGCAAGATTTATAAAACACAGAGGTAAGGATTGATTGCTGGGAGAAGGGGATGGGTATAGTGATAGAATTTCTTTGCAGTGTTTTAAGGAATGGGCAGATCAGAGGAAGTACCAAGGCTAAACAAAATACATAAAAGCACAAAATTATGAACTAGTCTATATGCCTGGTAGCTCTGTATTGTTGAAAAGCAACAGCAGGTACTGTGAGGAATTGAGAGCATCATGCCACTTACACGGACTGTGGCATTTTACCTGTAATGGGGAACTTTTGAAGGATGAGATATTACCTCTGAAGGACTGTTTCTTCAGTGTATTTTTCACTAAAATACTTTCTCTTCTGACTTGAGACCAGTTAGGGCTTCAGTAGTTGCTTTGATATGTGGTAAGTGGAAGTGGAATTGAACATGACTTCGAAGTTTCTACCTTGGGAATTGTGTAGCATGACTGAGTAAGATTAGGAATATTGGATGAAGTGTTTAGATGATGAGCTCACTTTTGAAAATATTGGTTTGAGATGCCTGTATGACATCCAGGTGGAGATTAGTGAGTAGTCATTTTGAAAATAGGAGTCTGAGGTTCAGGGGAGAGGTCAGGTAGACCTAGAGATAAAGATTTGTGTTTTGTTAGTATAATGATTATAGTTAAAACCATGAGAGAATGAAATGTTCCAAATAGAAGTGTGAAGTTAGAACCTTAGGGAATGCTAGTATTTAAATGATGGGTGACATAATTGGATCTAGTATAGGAAAGAGAGAAGTAGCCAGAAAGCAGAGAAATTTGTACTGTCAAAGACAGCAAAGGAATAAAGAGTTTGAAGACAGAGGAGTGTCAGCTTTATCTTGTGTCATACAAGGAAAGGGTGTGGAGGAATTGAACCTGTCAACATTGCTGATGAGAAAGTCAAATGCTGCTGCTGTGGAAAACAGTTTGGCAGCTCCTCCAAAAGTTAAACTTAGAATTACCATATGATCGAGCAGTTTCATGCCTAGGCATATACCTAAAATAATTGAAAGCAGAGACTCAAACAGATACTTGTACGCCAATGTTTGTAGCAGGGTTATTCACGATAGGCGGAAGGTGGAAACAACCCAAACGTGCATCAACGTATGAATGGATACACAAAATATGGTATATATATATGATGGAATTATGATTTCTTCCTTAACAAGGAATGAAATTCAGATATTTGCTACAATATAGGTGAATCTTAAAAACATTATTCTAAGTGAAATAAGCCAGACACAAAAGCATAAATTTTGTATGATTCCTCTTATAGGAGGTACCTAGAATAGCTACCCTTATAGAGATAGAAAGTACAATAGAGATTACCAGGGACTTGGATTGAGGGCAAGAGAATGGGAAGTTACCATTTAAGGGTTACAGAGCTTTTGTTTGGGGTAATGAAAAAAGTTCTGGAAATGAATAGTGCTACTGGGTGCACTGCATTGTGAAGGTACTTAATACCAGTGAATTGTACACTTGAAAATGGTTAAAGTGGTACGTTTAATGTTATATATATTTCACCCCAATTAAAAAAAAATCACAGGCCGGGTGCAGTGGCTCATGCCTATAATCCCAGCACTTTGGGAGGCTGAGGCTGGTGGATCACCAGGTCAGGAGATAAAGACCATCCTGGCTAACACAGTGAAACCCCGTCTCTACTAAAAATAGAAAAAATTAGGCCGGGCGCAGTGGCGCACGCCGTAATCCCAGCACTTTGGAAGGCCGAGGTGGGCGGATCATGAGGTCAGGAGATCGAGACCATCCTGGCTAACACGGTGAAACCCTGTCTCTACTAAAAATACAAAAAATTAGCTAGGTGTGGTGGTGGGCGCCTATAGTCCCAGTTACTTGGGAGGCTGAGTCAGGAGAATGGCGTGAACCCAGGAGGTGGAGCTTGCAGTGAGCCGAGATCGTGCCACTGTACTCCAGCCTGGGTGACAGAGCAAGACTCCATCTCAAAAAAAAAGGAAAAAAAAAATTAGCCAGGTGTGGTGGCACATGCCTGTAATGCCAGCTACTCGGGAGGCTGAAGCAGTCACTTGAACCTGGGAGGCGGAGGTTGCAGTGAGCTGAGATTGCGCTACTGCACTCCAGCCTGGGCGACTGAGTGAGACTCCATCTCAAAAAAAAAAAAAAAAAGAAAAAGAAAAATCCACAAAAAACTTAAGTTGAGTGAGATCATTAGAGTTCATTCTCTAATGCTTAAGTTGTAAGAGGTTACCATCCATTTTTGTATAAGATACATAGTTGAATGTATAAAATTGCAGTGGAAAAAATCTTGAGGGATTTATATCAAAATCTGGTTATCTCTGGGACAGAAATTTGGGTGAGATTTTTTTTTTCATAATTTATCTGTATAAGTGTACTCCAAGCAAATATTTCTTGTGTAATAAGAAAAAAAGAGAAGTTAATTTTTTCAAACAAACTCAAATCTTATAACAGAATTCTGTTACTCTTTAGGTATATGGAGCTGCCATTCAGTTTTATGAACCTTACTCTCGGGAACTTCTATCAGAGAAACAGCTTATGCACCTGGGCTTGTTGACGCCTGTGGAGAGAAAAATGGTCTCCAAATCCATCAATACAAACAAATGCATTTGTTTACTCTCACACTGGCCTTTTTTTGAAGCTTTTAGGAAATTTCTTATGTTTATCTACAAACTTTCTGTGTCTGGACCACATCCTCTTCCCATTGAAAAGTATGTATAATGATTAGAAAGATGGCTGGTGGAAAACTGGGTATATAAATATATACATTTGTTTGTGTAATTTTTAGCAGCAAAGTTGGAAGGGAAGGAAGCCTGCATTTAACTGAACTTTTTTTTTTTTTTTTTTGAGATGGAGTATTGCTCTGTCACCCAGGCTGGAGTGCAGTGGTGTGATCTTGGTTCACTGCAACCTCCACCTCCTGGGTTCATGCAGTTCTCTGTGTCAGCCTCCCGAGTAGCTGGGATTACAGGCACCTGCCACCACGCCTGGCTAATTTTTGTAGAGACAAGGTTTCACCATCTTGGCCAGGCTGGTCTTGAACTCCTGACCTCATGGTCCACCTGCCTCAGCCTCCCAAAGTGCTGGGATTACAGGCATGAGCCACCAACTTTTTACTTACTCCCTTCTTCGCCTGAATCATTGACTGTGAGCTTAAAATTGGATAGTAGTGGTAAGGTTGGCCAAATAATAATCCTTTGAGAATTCAGCTGAAGAAGTAACTCTTATAAATTATATTGTGAGTGTTCTTCTTCCTATTTATTCTCTAATAACCAAGAGACAAATAGTTACTGCTGCACACACACCCACCAATGCAAGTGGCCATTCCAAATTCTAACCGTAATACCTCTCTAAAGTGATGTAGAAATTAGTCGGAATGAGTTAATTGATGTTAAAAGTGGAGTTTTGGTTTTAGCATTGACAGAATTATTTGAGCTTTCTCTTTAATTTTTAATTCTTTTTGTCATGCGATCTTTCTTTCCTAAGAAAGAAAAATGTATGTTGAGCTACTCTTTTTTAAAGCATCTTTTCTGATTTCTAGTGGCGCATTGACTTCTGTTTATGATAGTTTATAATTTATGTATCCTGCTAACAAACTAAAAAGTGTCAAGAGCTGTAATGTATTAAAGTATGTGTAAGCTTAGATGTTTCTTACAATTTCAGAACTTTTACATTATAGCAGAAAGAATATCAGTGAAACATACTAGTTTAGTGGATAAGGTAGGGGTAATTATGTGAGGGTTTAAAAATAATGCTGTCCAAAAATCAACTTTAAAAAGAGTGAAGTACTGTGCATAAACTCATCATAATTTGATATTGAAATATGGTTGCAACTTTCATTTTGTACTCTTGAAATGGCAGTTTAATGATTTATAGTTCTGGGTTTAACTTTCAGCTGTCAGATTAATTTAAAGTTTATTGAAGTAAAATGTAACATTAGTGTCAAGTTAGCAACCTTTTGAAAAATTAAGATTCTATGAATAGCTTGTGATAAAATCAATGTATATAATCAATATTTTTTTCAGTTGAAGTAATATGTTGCGTTTTTATGGCTCCTAAGAGCTCCAAACTTTGGAGAAACTTAAGAAGCAATTTTTATAGGTGCAAAAATAGAATGGGTAGGTGGTTCATCCAGTGTTAGAGGAGTAAATCTGGGATTAAACTGAATTTTAGTGTAAATTCATTATAGCACAGTTAGTTGCTCCCTGTACTGGCACAGATAACCAGGGCTATAAAAATTCACTTCTTTCATGAAAACTATTTTTATGTTATTTTTATTTGTTGGGTAATGATAGGGGATATAAATAGACTTTAAGTCAGGAAATACATTGTGTATTTCAGAAGTTTAATGGGCATGGATAAATTCATTTACATGGAGCAAATTTACTTACTTAGCCTACATTTTAGATAAATGGCCATGTCATATCTGGGATGATATATAGTGATATTTAAGATTTGTTAAAAACTGTGATGCATTTAGAAAAGTAATTATTATATTTATTTCAAATTTTTTTTTCTAGGCACATTTCACATTTTATGCAAAACATCCCTTTTCCTTCACCACAAAGACCGAGAATCCTTGTCCAGGTAATCAAAAGAGAGTATATTTGGGGAGAACTTTGCATATGCTCACCTGAGTCATTGCAGAGTGGATTCTGTATACCTTTGGGTTTGAGGTGGAGCAATATGCATTCATAAAGTCCTTGGATTTTCTGTGCTTTGTAGCTTTACTGAACACCCTTTCTTACTGGGTTTTGGATTTGAGTGTACTGAATTGGAATAATTATAACCCTTGGTTCATAACATTTTCATTTTTGGCCCATGCATGACCTTTATGTAGCTAGTTTTAATAACATAAAACCCAGATTATGTTTGGGCATGTTTTTAATACCAGATTCTCTAATAAATATTGAATATAAAATGAGCAATGGTTGGAGGAGGTTAATTTAAACAAGGTCTATAATAGTACTGTGCTAAAGGACCAGTTTCTTTTTATTTTCAGTAAGTAGCAGACGTAGGTAGGTGTACAGCTTGTGACATATGCAACATGAACAGGTCTATATCCTCTCTATAATAATAGTTCTACTGATCACATGCTTGGATATAGGAGAGAGGTCAGATTGTCATAAAAGTTGCTTAATGGTTTGCTCTTCATTTATATACTGTATCTTTCTGGACCATAACAATTAACTTACTGACATACTTAACATACTTTCAGTAGCACTGATCTATAGAGGGAAGCCATTTAAAAGTTTTTCTAAGACATTCTTAACATTATGTATGGTGGGATTAAGTCAGATATTGTTGATCTTGAATGTTATTTCAGTTCCACAAGTATTTACGTGCCAAGCAACTGCCAAGTGCCTACAGTCTGTTGAGTAAATGAATTTGAAGCTTTTCAGAAGCAGTAGTTCCATAAATTTTAAATAATTGTACTTTAACCAATTAAGTGAATCAAAATTCAGTCAAATTAACCATTTAATGAAAAAGAACTAATGTAACACTTCTGAGTAAATACAGCTATCATTTTATATTTTAGTACCTGTTTCCAAAAGTGTGTTTGCATATTAAATTATTAATGTTTTCAATATTACCTTTGATCTAAATATATAGATTTCAAAAGTAGTTTTGAAACTTATCTCTTGGTTTGGTTAATTTATCTTTGGTTAATTTATCTTTTTTTTTTTTTTAAGCTGTCAGTCCATGATGCATTAATATTATCACAGCCAGTTTCTACACCTTTACCACTAAGGTAATTACTGGTATTTAAAATGATATATTTATTCAGTTGGAGCAGAATGCTTTAAAATATTTTAGTGATTAGTATATTATTAATATATTAGTGATTGTTATTTTACAATTAACTTTATTAGTTAAAACTAGGCAAAAATAGCCTTAATGTTTCTGACTTTGGTAACTGGGTGGATGGTGGGGCTATTTTATAAATGGGAACAATTAAGAGAGTTGCAAGATTGGATGTAGAGGATACTTCCCTTTTCTTCTCATCTCCCCTTCCCATATCCAGTTCATAACTAAAGGTTTAAGGTGAGCTGATTTTAACCTTTTAAATGTCTCAAATCCTTTTACTTCTTTTCATCTGCATCATAGTAGGCTTCCTTGATGTCTTACCAGACTATTTCACTATTAGCCTCTTAATTGGTACCTTTTTACTTATCTTCCTTTAGTTCTTTATCCACCCTGTAGCCAGTGTGTCCTTTTGAAAACGCAAATATAATAGTATATTTCAATTTCAGCCTAATCTGTTGCTGTTTTCACCCTTTCCCTTACTATGCTTTAGTCACAATAGATTTATTTCAATTTCTTGGCTATGACAACAGCTTTTTCTTGCCCCAGGGCCCTTGCATATATTGTCTGTCACCCCTTCACTCCCATCCTTGTCTCCATTCTTCTGAGCTCAACTCAAATGGCTGTTCAGGAAAATCTTTCTTGATAAATGCCTTTTATTACCAGAGGATGAGTTTAAATCACCCCGTTATCTATCTTATTAAATTTGCTACTTTTCATTGATAAATAAGTAAAGACTAGAAATTAACACTAGACTCTCAATCTGTTGATACTTTAATAAGCAAATCTTAACATATTTCAGCAAAATAGTTCACAATGATCTACTTTTCTCTTTTTTTTCCCTAGTGGAGCCAACTTTAGCACCTTGCTAATGAATCTGGGTCCTGAGAATTGTGCAACACTGCTGCTCTTTGTTTTACTTGAGAGTAAAATTCTGCTGCATTCTCTTAGGCCAGCTGTCTTGACTGGGGTAGCTGAAGCTGTTGTAGCTGTAAGTATAGAATTTTCCTTTTAGTACAAAATTACTGACATAATTTTTACTCCAAAGGGAAATTTTCTTCAAAAACAGCAACTTTGTAAACAACAACAAATTTAAAAAAAGGAACTTTGAAAAATTTCCAGCCCAGTAAAAGTTGAATATAATCTGCTGGCAAAGAGAAGTAGGAAATATAAAGAAAACAAAGGTGATTTCTATTTTAGGAAAAACGTCAATTTCCAATTTTTCATATTTTTGAGTTCTTCCCAGAGTAAAAACTATATGATTATATAATAAAACCTGAGAATGAAGCTGGTTGTATTGAGAGGCTCTGGCCAATTTCAGCTGTTCTAAAATTATGCAAATGATTACATGGTTAATTTCTCCCTATTTTAACTTTTAATAATTGTGAATCAGTAATATACAGGAAATTCTAAGTGATTGTGAAATAGGATAATATACAGAGGCTTAGCTCTTGTGTAAAGCGTAAATAAAATTAAATTGTTAAATTGTTAAGAAATTAAAGTTGTTCCCTGCTTAAAACCCTTTGGCTTCCCATTGCACTTAGAATGAAGTCTGATTGACAGGCATGGTGGCTTACACCTGTAATCCCAGCAATTTGGGAGGCTGAGGTAGGCGGATCACCTGAGGTCAGGAGTTCGAGACCAGCCTGACCAATATGGAGAAACCCTGCTCTACTAAAAACACAAAGTTAGCCGGGTGTGGTGGCACATGCCTATAATCCCAGCTACTCAGGAGGCTGAGGCAGGAGAATTGCTTGAACCCAGGAGGCGGAGGTTATGGTGAGCTGAGATCACACCATTGCACTCCAGCCTGGGCAACTAGAGTGAAACTCCGTCTCAAAAAAAAAAAAAAGACTGAAGAATGAAGTCTGATTGTATAGGGCTTTATAGGCCATTGTATAGAACTTTAGATGGTCCACTTCTCCAACCCTATCACCCATTAGTTGTTTAATTTAAAATAGCTGACTCTCTTCTCTTCCCTTCCCCATTTTAAGAATGTAAGTCTCCTGGGAGTAAGGACCTAATCTCTTGTTTACTCCTGTATTTTCAGCACTTGTTACAGTTGCCTAGCACAGAGTAGGCCCTCAGTAAATACTTGTTAAAACAACAAATGGGGTATGTCTCCAAGATCTTAATCTGGTTGAAGAAGTGCTGTTAGGACTGAAAACAATAGTAACCATATGAGAAAGCTTCCAGGAGGATCCTCATTAAGTATTACTTTTCCAAGTCATCACAGTTGTGTGTGAAAGCAAAAGTTGTTAGAATATGAAAATATTTGTTAATGAACTGACCAGTTCTAGAAAGTTCCCACCCAGGCCAGGCACAGTGTGGCACACACCTGTAATCCCAGCACTTTGGGAGGCCAAGGCAGGCAGATCACGAGGTCAAGAGATCGAGACCATCCTGGCCAACATGGTGAAACTCCATTTCTACTAAAAATACAAAAATTAGCTGGGCGTGGTGGTGCACGCCTGTAGTCCCAGCTACTCGGGAGGCTGAGGCAGGAAAATCGCCTAAACCCAGGAGGTGAAGGTTGCTATGAGCTGAGATTGCGCCACTGCACTCCAGCCTGGTGACACAGCAAGACTCCGTCTCAAAAAAAATAAGTTCCCACCAAAATATTCCTTACTAAAACAGTGTTTATTGAAGCCCCTTTGTCAGAATCGTGGTGGCCAAGTCTTTTGATGGATTTCAGTAGTATGGTGCAAGAACAGCTGAAAAAAGTGCTACATGGAATTGGTAATCATATGAAAAATGCCAGAGTATATGAGGTTTATGCAACTGATGTTGGAGAGCTGTCTGAATTGCATGCAAAATTATTTATAAGTCATGATTTGGTAGTTATGCCAGTTACCATTTGAAGAAGAGAACATTGAAAAGAATGGTTACAAAACAAATGCATCAAAAGGAGAATGATTTAAATATCAAAGAATATCAAAGAATTAAGGGAGACCCATAGCAAAGATTGATAAAATGTACAAGTGCTTTATAAAAAGTGACCCTATAGTGTTGCAAAAAGGCAAAGGTGAAGAGAAGGATATCATATTTTGCTAGCATATAGCTTTTTTTCTAAGGTTTCTTAGATAGTTGGAGGTGTAACATACCTTTTGTTGAAAAGGAGATAGTTGTCACTCAAGGAAATCTGAAGTCCTTGCAGGGTCCTTTGTGAGTGATAGTTGCAGATGTAACATACCTTTTGTTGAATAGAAGATAATTGTCACTCAAAGAAATCTGAAGTCCTTGCAGGATCCTTTGTGAGTGATAGTTGCAGGTGTAACATACCTTTTGTTGAATAGAAGATAATTGTCACTCAAAGAAATCTGAAGTCCTTGCAGGGTCCTTTGTGAGTGGCTCTGCCCTTCAGCAATCTGATCTTATTTTCCACTCCTCTTCCTCTTGCTCACTCTTCTCCAGCATTCTGGCCTTACCATCCCGGGAGCATTAGGCATTCCCCATACCTTAAGGCCTCTGCCCTAGCTGTTCCTTCTCATTAAAGCACTCTTCTCTTATATATCCCCTTGGCTAAATCTCTCACCTTCTTCAGGTTTCAGCTCTGTTGTCACTTTATTAATGAGTCCTGTTCTGTTTGTCCTAATAGAACCTGCTTTTCTTCTCTTCTGCTCTGAACTCTAATGTCCTTTACTTGGCTTTACTTTTCCTTTTTTTTTTTTCATAGCACTTATTACTTTCTGACATATAGGTTGAATATCCCTTATCTAAAATGCTTGGAAAGAAGTGCTTTGGATTGAGGACTTTTTTGGATTTTGGCATGTTTGCAGAATACATGCTGGTTGAACATCCCTAATCTAAAAATCTGAAGTCCTAAATGCTTCTGTGAGCAATTTCTTTTCTGTGTCATGTTGGTGCTCAAAAAGTGTTGGATTTTGCAGCACTTTGGATTTTGGATTTTCAGGTTAGGGATGCTCAACCTGTAGTATAATATTTTATTCCTTATGTTTTTCATTTATTTTCTCTCTTCCTGCTAGACAAGGTGTTTGCAAATGGTGGCCGAATCCTGCCTGCCAAATCCTGCCTGCCACTTGTTTCTATAAAGTTTTATTGGAACACAGGCCATTTATTCATATATTGCCTATGACTGCTTTCATGCATGACAGCAGAGTTAAATGGTTGTGACAGAGACAATATGGTTCACAAGGCCTAAAATATTTACTGTCTTTTACAGAAAAAGTTGCTGACTTTTATCCTAAACTATAAACCTCATGAGGAGAGTGATCTCTTTCATTTATTGTTAAGCTCTCATTATGTAGAACAGTGATTGGTACATAGCAAGTGCCCAAATATTAAGTAAATAAATGTTTGAAGACAAAATTCCAATCCTGAATAACCCTCTGTAATAGCTGGCAGGGGTAGTAAGCGTTATAGGCATTTCTTTGGGGTGAGTGATGACAGATAAGGGTGATAATTGAACTAGACCTTAAAAGATAACAGGGATTTTTATAGTAGAAGAAAAACATTATCATCAGTAAAATTTTAGTACTAGCTAATTATTAAATTTTTTTTTGTAAAATTTATTCATTTATTTAATTTTTTTGTGGAGATGAGGGTCTCACTCTGTTGTCCAGGCTGGCCTTGAACTACTGGCCTCAAGCAGTCCTCCTGCCTCAGCCTCCCAAAGTGTTGAGAATCACTGCATTTGGCCTTAACATGTTTTAGTCTTTTTTAAAAAACATCAAAACCTGTCTTTTTTAAAAAAAAAAAAAACCCACAAATGATGCAATTGAAGTAAAGCTTTGTAAAGGAAAATGGGTAAAGATTCTTGAGGAATGTTTTTTTCTCTTTTTTCTTTTTCTGTCTTATCATGTCTAGATAGAGGAATATTTTATATTGATTTTTTTTTTTTTGAGACAGAGTCTTGCTCTGTTGCCCAGGCTGGAGTGCAGTGGTGCAAACTCGGCTCACTGCAACCTCTGCCTCCCGGGTTCAAGCGATTCTCCTGCCCCAGCCTCCCGAGTAGCTGGGATTACAGACATGTGCCACCACACTCAGCTAATTTTTGTGTTTCAGTAGAAACATGGTTTGTACATCTTGGCCAGGCTGGTCTCAAACTTCTGACCACAAGTGATCCACTCACCTCAGCCTCCCAAAGTGCTGGGATTATAGATGTGAGCCACCGTGCCCAGCCAATTGACAGTATTTTTAAGATGTCAAACATCACTGATGTTTATTTGAAGAGTTACGAATTTTTTTTTTTTTGAGACCGAGTCTCACTCTGTCACCCAGGCTGGAGTGCAGTGGCACAGTCTCTGCTCACTGCAAGCTCCACCTCCCAGATTCACGCCATTCTCCTGCCTCAGCCTCCCGAGTAGCTGGGACTATAGGGGCCCACCACCACGTCTGGCTAATTTTTTGTACTTTTTTTTTTTTTTTTTAGTAGAGACGGGGTTTCACCTTGTTAGCCAGGATGGTCTCGATCTCCTGACCTTGTGATCCACCCGCCTTGGCCTCCCAAAGTGCTGGGATTACAGGCGTGAGCCACCGCGCCCGGCCATGAATTTTTTTTTGTTGAGCTCTTTAATTATCTGTTAGCATTCCCTGGAAAATAATTAGTTTTTTTTTTTTTTTAAATCCTGGATGCTTTTAGTTGGATTTTGATCTGAGGTAATTTTGAGAATTAATAGGTGAATGAAATGTGTAAGAGTTAAAGATAATAAGTTTATTTTATGATATTTGGGGCCATTTTATTTTATTTTGATTCTTTCCATAAAATTGGAATGTGTGCTTTGTATAGATACTAGAAGAATTAACATGCAAAAAGCTGTTAGTATTTTTATTGTGCTTATGATCATCGTCATGGCTTGAAAATTTTAATTACATTTGTTCTTAGCATTGCTTAGTAGTATTTTATAGTCATTTAGTTTTGGAATGAAGTTTAAGGTAAACAAAACAGACTTAACTGCTTTTCAGTGGTCCCTTTTCAGTAATACTAGTTACTTATATATTTTTTATTGCAAATTTAAAATTTGGTTAATTTTTTAAAACTTTTTCCCCAGATGATCTTTCCATTTCAGTGGCAATGCCCATATATTCCCCTTTGTCCTCTTTCACTGGCTGCAGTGCTTAGTGCACCTTTACCATTTATAGTTGGAGTTGACTCAAGGTATTTTGATCTTCATGACCCACCACAAGATGTTGTTTGCATTGACTTGGATACGAACATGTTATATGTGTAAGTTGATTCATTTTATATTATCTCCCATTTATATTTTTCACTATGTAGAGTTACAGTTCTTTGAAAGCATCTAGAAATATGCTATTTTTGGTAGTTGTTAAATCTTCGTCTTAAATACAGCAGCTCTCAACCAGGGCAGGTATCAGAATCTGGGAATGCTGTGTGATTTGGGAAAAAAAAATGTTCAGTATTATAATAGTTTATATTTGGGTAACAATATTAAATGTAAGCAGGAGATATTTATGTTTATCAGAAGAGACTATGAGTTGGAAAAGTAATGGTTAAACACTGCTTTCAGAGCTCAAGAGATGATATGCTTTCTGGGTTTAATTCAAAATCCATATGTAAGTAAAATGGGTTTACCCATTGGAGATAAAGTTTGGCTACAGTATAGGGTGATATTATACCATTTGCTTAGTTGTCGGGATTTTAATTTTATAAGGATCTGTTGTTTACTGCTTAGAAATTTATATTAAAAATCAGTGATAGTTTGTGTTTGCTGAAGGTGATAATTAAGTACAGCAGTGGTACAGCTGAGGGTTCAGAGAGTAGCAAACTACATTAATAAAAGAAATAGTTCTGGATGGATGTTTAAGGGTTACCACTTCCCCACCAAAAGTGGGAAAGGACAGTAAGTATTAAAAATGTTCTTATGTTGGTGCCAACTTCCAGGCCGTAGAACGCTTTTATTCTTTACTGTTTGAGATTGGTAGAAAATGAAGAGAGAAATATTTTGGGTAAGGCCTGAATAGTTCCAACAGTAGAATTCGTTGGGAAAATATTTTTATGTGAACCAAAAAAATAACCTAAGGGAGGAAGAAAACATTTGCTATAACTTAAAATATAATTTTGACATGGATCTACCATTGTATTTTGAAACTGTATAGCTATAGTGGCTCCTTATGTATATTTAGATTTACTTACAGCTTGAAAGTAATGAACAACTTGCATGAATTAGTTTTTTGTAGCACACATTTTATTGTTTGTAGGCTACTCTCCCTGAAAAACAATTATTTCAGGAATGTATTCATTGTGGTACTTTTAGAAATGATTATTTGTGAAGTTAATACTCAGATTTTTTACCTTATTTTATTTTTATTCTGAATAAAATAATATGGAGATTCTTAATTTTGCGCAGTTTTGAGTAACTTTTATAAAACTTCTGGTAATCAAAACATTATTTTCTAAAATAAATGTGAAGTGTTTGCACAATTGTATTTATTTATTTATTTATTTATTTATTTATTTATTTATTTATTTATTTTGAGACAGAGTCTCACTGTGTTGCCCAGGCAACAGAGTTGCAGTGGTGCAATCCTGACTCTCTGCAGTCTCCGCCTCCTGGGATCAAGTGATTCTCCTGCCTCAGCCTTCCGAGTAGCGGGAATTAACAGGCGTGTGCCACCACACCTGGCTAATTTTTTTGTATTTTTAGTAGAGATGAGGTTTTACCATGTTGTCCAGGCTGGTCTTGAACTGCTGACCTCAGGTGATCCACCCACCTTGGCCTCCCAAAGTGCTGGGATTACAGGCATGAGCCACTGTGCCCGGCATGCTCAATTGTGTTTAAAGAATTATAAAATGTGCCCAGGTGTAGTGTCTCACACCTTTAATCTCAGTACTTTCGGAGGCTGAGGCAGGAGGATCACTTGAGCCCAGGAGTTTAAGGCCAGCCCGGGCAACTTGGTGAGACTCCATCTACATAAAATAAAAAATTAGCTAGGAGTGGTGGTGCGTGCCTGTAGTCCCAGCTACACAGGCAGCTGAGGAGGAAAGATCACTGTAGTCCAGGAGGTCGAGGCTGCAGTGACCCATGTTGACCCACTGCACTGCAGCCTGGGTAACAGAGCAAGACTCTGTCTCAAAAAAAAAAAAAAAAAAAAGAAGAAATACCTCCAAATTATACAGAATAATGTAAATAACTTGTATCTATTCACCACAACTTTATTAAGAAATAGGCCGGGCACAGTGGCTCATGCCTGTAATCCCAGCACTTTGGGAGGCCGAGGCAGATGGATCACCTGAGGTCAGGAGTTCAAGACCACCCTGGCCAACATGGTGAAACTCCGTCTCTACTAAAAACACAAAAATTAGCCAGGCATGGTGGTGGGCGCCTGTAATCCCAACTACTCGGGAGTCTGAGGCAAGAGAATTGCTTGAACTGAGGAGGTGGAGGTTGCAGTGAGCGGAGATCATGCCATTGCACTCCAGCCTGGGCGACAGAGCGAGACTCTGTCTCAAAAAAAAAAAAAAAAAGAAAATATTAGCAATAAATCTGAAATCCCTAGATAGTCCTCCACAACCATATTTTGCTCCTTTCTCCCAGAGAGGAGCTCCAGATCCAACCATCATCTTGGATAAACTCCAAATCCAACCATCATCTTAGATTTGGAGTTTATCACATACATGTATTTTTCAAACATTTATTATATATATATTAATCTAAATAAAATTTTGTTTTGCATACTTATAAATTTTTTTCTACTTGAATAGTTTTCTGTGAATTACTTTTTTGCTCACCATTCTTTGTGAGGTTCATTCAGTTCATTTTCAACAGTGATCAATGTTGATGGACATCTAGGTTGTATCTAGATCTTTGATGTTAGGAACAAAGCTGTTCTGATCATCGTATATATTTCCTTGAGTATATGCTCAGGAATTCCTCTGAAGCATATACCTGGAAGCGCTAATGTTGCTTGGTAGGGAATGAGCATTTTCAACTTAATAGCTAATACCAGATTACTCTCCCAAGTTTACTCCGTCCTCAGCAGATGAGAGTTCTCTTTGTTTCATATCTTTGCCAACACTTGTGGTGACTTTTAAATTTTTTACCAATTTGATGGTAATGGTATTTCACTGTGGCTTTAATTCACATTTCCTTTATTAGTAGCAAATGGAGGATTTTCATATCTTTGTGCCCCTTGGTTTTCCTCTCCTGTGAATTGGATGTTCCTTTTGTTGGTACATTTTCCTGTTAGATTGTTTGTCTTTTTCTTTTGATTTGTAGAAATTGTATATATAATCTGGAATTAATTCTTTGTCTGCTGTATGCATTCCAGATAGCTTCTCCCACATTGTGACCTGTCATTCCATTGTGTTTATGGTATCTTTTGATAAACAGGGGCTCATCTTAATTTATCAAATTTATTAATTTCTCTTTATGGAGTACTGTTTTTGGTTCTTGTATATGAGATATTTTGCCTTGAGGCCATGAAATACTATCATGGTTATTTCTTAAGTTGTGAGGTTTGCCTCTCTCATTTAGTTATTTAATTCAGCTAAACTTGATGTGACATATCAGTTTCTACATTTGTATAAATATGTATCTGGGCTAATTCTTTTCCTTTGATTTGCTTCAATCTCTTGCCAGTATTATACTGTCTTAATGGCTTTAAAATTAAGTTGTCTACAACATGAATGAACCTTGAAAACATTATGTTAAAAGACCTTATATTATAATTCAATGAAATGTCCAAAGCAGACAAATCTCTAGAGGTAGAAAGTAGATTGATTAGTGATTGCCTTGGAATGAAGAGGATGGGAGTATTGGAAGCTAAGTGACTATGGGATTTCTTTTTGAGGTGATAAAAATATTCTAAAATTGCTTGTAGGCCGGGAGTGGTGGCTCACGCCTGTAATCCCAGTACTTTGAGAGGCTGAGACGGGTGGATCTCCTGGGGTCGGGAGTTTGAGACCAGCCTGACCAACATGGAGAAACCCCATCTCTACTAACAAAACAAAACTAGCCGGGCATGGTGGTGCATGCCTGTAATCCCAGCTATCCGGGAGGCTGAGGCAGGAGAATTGCTTGAACCCAGGAGGCAGAGGTTGCAGTCAGTTGAGATCGTGTCATTGCACTCCAGCCTGGGCAATAAGAGCAAAACTCCATCTCAAAAAAAAAAAAAAAATTGATTGTAGTGGTGGTTACACAATTCCGTGAATATGATAAAAACCATTGAATTGCACAGGTCAAATGTGTGAATTGTATGGTGTATGAATTTATATCTTAATAAAACTGTTTTAAAAAGTCATGGTATGAGACTTTTTTTTTGGCAATGTCCATGGTGAATCCCCTTACTCCTGTTCTTTTTAAAAATTGTTTTGACTCTATTTGGTCTTTTGTTTTTCCATGTAAATTTTAATACCATCTTATTAAGCTCCACACAAAATTACATTGGGATTTTTGTTAGAATTTTTTTTTTTACCTTTTAAATTTTTTTTAATTGATATCGTAATTGTATATATTTATGGGGTGCAATGTGATGCTTTGGTGTATGTATACATCATGGAATGTTTACCTGAAGTGGTTAATATATATTGTATTTATAGATTCGTTTGGAGGCAGATGATACCTTTTTGACACACGTTGAAAATATGCACAAGAAATATGACCCATGAATGTGATATTTCACTTCATTGGTCTTTTCAGAATTTTTTGGTGAACTTTGTGTTTTCTCCAGAAAGATAATTCACATCTTTTGTTAGACTTATTTATTCCTAAGTATCTTTCAGTTTTTATTGCTACTGTAGATGGTATTTTAAATTAGACTTTCTACTTGTTGCTAGGAAATGTAGTTGATTTTTATATAGTGGTCTTATATCTAGCAACTTAGTTGAATTCCTTTTTTAATTTGTATATTATCTTCAATTTTCTGCCTATAAACATCACATTTCTCTACTTACACTATCCTAATGTATTTTAAAATTTTTTATCTTAATTCTCCAGCTAGGATCGCTAGTGTAATGTTGAACAGAAGTAGTTATAGTTGGTATCTTGTCTTGTTTCTAATTTCAAAGGGGATACTTTGAGCAGTTTGTCATAAAGTATGATTATTGATATACAACAGGGATTGACATCTGGCCCAAAGCTTGTTTTTGTAAATAAAGTTTTATTGGAACACAGCCATGCTCATTCATTTACATATGGCCCATGCCTGCTTCCATGATGCAACAGCACATTTGAGTAGTTATGACAGAGACTGTATGGTCCTTAAAGCCTAAAATATTTACTGTCTGGTTCTTTCAGTAAAAATTTGCCTATCCTTCCTCTAGAGTTTTGATATCTTAATTATAAATTAAGGAATTTACCTTCTACTTCTATGTCATTAAAATTTTTTTTAAATCATAAGTAGATACTGAATTTTATAAATACTTTTTGTGATCTTCTTATAGTTGATAAGCGTTGATGATTGGATGTTCACGCACATGTGTGAGATGTGCCTCCTACAACTTGATGTTGGCATATTACCTGTCTGATGTGAAAGGAAAAAAAAAACCTTTTTGTTCAGCTGTTGAGATGAGCATTTTCTCCTTTACTCTGTGTGGTAAATTACATTATAAAATCAATTAGTAGTAGACAGTCCTTGTATTCCTGAAATAAACATCATTATAGTGGATTAAATTTGCTAAGAATTTAAGATAATTGCATTGATGTTCATAAATGATATTGGCCTGATGTATGGCTTTTTAGTTGCGGACCATACTTTGTATATAATGCTTTTATTTTTGTAGACTTTAAATATTCTTTATTTTTATCAAAAAAATTTATTTGACTTATGTATTACATTAAAGTTTGTCTTTTGAATTTCCAAAGTTTTTTTCCTTTGTTTGACAGAGTCTTGCTCTGTCTCCCACGCTGGATGGAGTAGAGTGGCCCAATCTTGGCTCACTGCAACCTCCACCTCCTGGGTTCAAGCAATTCTTGTGCCTCAGCCTTCTGAGTAGCTGGGACCACAGGCATGCACCATCATGCCTGGCTAATTTTTTTGTATTTTTAGTAGAGACAGGATTTCACCATGTTGGCCAAGCTGGTCTGGAACTCCTGACCTCAGGTGATCCGCCCACCTCGGCCTCCTAAAGTCCTAGAATTATAGGCATGAGCCACTGCGCCTGGCCCCCACAAAGTTTATTTTCTCTTAAATGCTAACTCCGTTGAATTGTGATCAGAACATTCTCTGTTACTACTTGTTGAGATTTGCTTTGAAGCCAAGTATATCGTCAGTTTTTGTAAATATTCTATGTGAAAGAGTTCCTAGAAATTGTCAAAAGACCAATAACTCTATAGAAAAATAGGCAAAGACTATGAAGACTTTTCACGGAAAATCAAATAAGCTTAAGCTTATTTAATGCTTAAGCACCTCACTCATTATAGGAGAAATGCCACATTAGTTCTTCATGTTGATACTGCTTTTTCACTTTTCAGATTGGCCAAAAAGAAAAAAAAAATTCAAAATGAAATGCTTAAATAGCATGCTATTTGAGGATGATGGGAAATAAGCAGTCTTTATGCATTCACTGCAGTTAGAAGTGAGATATATATGATGACAGCTTCTATGGAGGATATCTGGCAACATTTGTCAAAATTACAAATATATATACTACAGCAATTCCACTTCTAGGAATTGATCCTAACATTTTATTTTGTATGAAATCATGTTTGTTCAAAATAGAAAAAGAAAAATCCAGATGTCCCAGACTTGTTAAATGGCTCCTACAGTGGAATACTACTGTAGCGCTGTAAAATGAGCAAGGATGCTTTCTGTATTGGGAAAAAAATCACAAAAGATATTTTGTTTTTGTTTGTTTGTTTTTGAGACAGAGTCTTGCTCTGTCGCCCAGGCTGGAGTGTAGTGGCGCGATCTTGGCTCACTGGAATGTCCACCTTCCAGGCTCAAGCAATTCTTATGCCTCAGCCTCCCGAGTAGCTGGGATTACAGGCGTGTACACCGTGGCCACTTAATTTTTGTATTTTTTGTAGAGATGGGGTTTCACCATGTTGGCCAGGCTGGTTTCAAATTGCTGGCCTCAAGTGATATGCCTATATCAGCCTCCCAAAGTGCTGGGATTAAAGGTGTGAGCCACCATGCCCGGCTACAAATTATTAAATGAAAAAAATCAAGGTGGTAATTGTGTATTGCAGTGTGCTGCTACTTGTGCAAAAGAAAAGGCAGGGAATAGTTGTATTTACTTGTATCTGCTAGTTTTGGAATAAAGACACATTAAAATATGCACAAGAAACTAGTGATTATGTATTATGGGGGTGAGGGAGCTGAGCAGACATGGAACAAGGGTGTGTGTATGTGTTTTAAGTTATTTTTGAGCTGTGTGATCATACTAAAGTTTTAAAACTCCCAGTGTGATGGTGGATTTGTCAATTGCATTTTATAGTTATTTGGACATTTGCTTTATGTACTTAATTAAGGCTGTGTTATGAGGGACACTCAAGTTCAAAATGGTTCTGCAGTGAAATGAATACTTTTGTCTTGTAGCCACTTTAAAAAAAATCACTGATGCTCTTTTTGTTAGTTTGTGCTTTTCTTCTCATTAATACGTTATGTTAGATATATTATGTTTGGTATATCTTTTCCCATCCCTTTAATTTCAGATATTCTGTGCATAGTATATAACTGGCATTAAAAATCCAATCTAACATTTGTCTTTTTATTGAAGAGTCCATTAATTTACATATATTGTTATATATTTGAACATTTCTGTCTTATTTTGTCCTTTTTGTTCTGCTGTTATTCTTTTCTCTCTTTCAGATTGAATGAATTATTCTGTTTTTTTCCCATCTACTTACCTAAATGTTATATTATGTGTGTCTATAATTTCATATTTATGTTCCTTTAATGATTCCTCTTAATTTTTTAATATGGGTACTTAGAACTTAAAATTAATATTTTACTCTTTTTTTAAGCAGTAAAGTAGACTTTAAAATACTTTAATTGGCAATATCCTCTTACTCTAATTGGTACAAAAACAATGAATTTTACAATTGATGGCCCCTTAGATTAGATGAAATGTAGTTCATCTACCCACAGTAGCCCTGTATATTAGGTACATTATCAGTCCTCATTTTGCAGATCAGAAAATTGAGTAACAGACTAGTTGACTGATGTATACAAACTCACACAGATAGTAAACGTCAGGGCCAGATTACAAATGGATGTTAATCCAGACGATAATGACAGTATTTTATTTGGGGGTGGGGTTAAAAGATAGCACTAAAATATTAGACAGCGATTACATAAAATGAGAGAAGTTGATCAGAGTTAAACTTGACATGCCATCACTTTTAAGACACAGTTTCAAGAGACGTTAAAATATGTCTTTTAACAGTACCAGACACAAGGGAAGTGTTAGCTCTTTTATTAGACGTTTATCCTTACAGAGAGGATATTATGTTTGCTTCCATTCTGGTGGCATTAAGCCAGGGAGCACTTGAAGTTAGTTATTTTGACTTACAGTTTCTTGTGCCATGCCAGTAGCGTGCTGTCAAACTCATAACCCATTAGTTGGCAGGCATATAGTAATGAATTCTCAGGGGAGATCCCTCCCCTAATCAAAATCCAAGCTGAGGGAGCTAAGCTATGAGGACACAAGGCATAAGAATGATGCAGTGATTAGCTAGGTATGGTGGCATGTGCCTCTAATGCTAGCTACCTGGTGGGCCGAGGCAGGAAAATCGCTTGAACCTGGGAGGAAGAGGTTGCAGTGAGCTGAGATTGTGCCACTCCACTGCAGCCTGGGCAACAGAACGAGACTTCCCCTCAAGAGAGGGGAAAAAAAAGAATGATACAATGGACTTTGGGGACTTGGGGGAAAGGGTGGAAGGAGGTTGAGGAACAAAAGACTACACATGAGGCCAGGCGCAGTGGCTCATGCCTGTAGCCCCAGCACCTTGGGAGGCTGATGCAGGCGGATCACGAGGTCAGGAGATCGAGACCATCCTGGCTAACACAGTGAAACCCCGTCTCTACTAAAAATACAAAAAATTAGCTGGGTGTGGTGCCACACGCCTGTAGTCCCAGCTACTCAGGAGCCTGAGGCAGGAGAATCGCTTGAACCTGGGAGGTGGAGGTTGCAGTGAGCCAAGATCGCACCTCTGCACTCCAGCCTGGGCGACAGCTCAAAGACTACACATGGGGTACAGTGTATACTACTTGGGTGATGGGTGCACCTAAATCTCAGAAATCACCACTAAAGAACTAATTCATGTAACCAGACACCACCTGTTCCCCAAAAACCTATTGAAATTTAAAAAACATTGACATATTTTGTTAAAATAAAAGATGTAAGTATGCAAAAAAAGATTCCAAAATGCAATGACTTGCTTAGAAAAAAAAACTGCATGTGAACTGCACTGAGTGCTAAAGAAAAATAATACAAAATAGAACCTGATTAAAAAATCATTTCATTAATAAAGGTACAACCAGTGTTCCAGGTTGATCCTAAAGCTGGAATCTCTGCCCTTTTCATTATGCCATGCTACATTTAGAGAAACCTAAGCAATTCACTGACTTAGGTAAAGGGCTTACAACTGTAGCATTTTGGGTTAAAAAAAGAATCAGGCTGAGTGCAGTGGCTCATGCCTGTAATCCCAGCACTTTGGGAGGCCGAGGTGGGCGTATCACATGAGGTCAGGAGTTTGAGACCAGCCTGGACAACATGATGAAACCCTGTCTCTACTAAAATAAAAAATTAGCTGGGCGTGATGGCGCGCCCCTGTAATCCCAGCTACTCAGGAGGCTGAGGCAGGAGAATCGCTTGAACCTGGAATGCGGAGGTTGCAGTGAGCTGAGATCGTACCACTGCACTCCAGCCTGGACGACAGAGACTCCGTCTCAAAAAAAAAAAAAAAAAGAAAAGAAAAAGCTGAGCCAGACTTTCAAGGGTACCAGTTTTATTTGGAAGTTTCAGTTCTAACATACTTCTTGGTGAGACTGAAACTATGTGTCCTGTTCTGTGAGAAGCCTTTAAAATCCAAGGCTGTCTGTTAATCTTCAGGGCAGATGTGGCCTTGGTGTTACTCTGGGTTTTCAACCCGTGAAGATGTCCCCAATTTTCTTGCCAGCTTAACCATGAATTTTAAAGAAAGTTTGTTATATTTATGCTAACTTTTGTAAGAAGAGGGCTTTTTAGGCAGTTGTCTGCTGTATTTTATATTCTTATATTCTTGGAATATATATATATATACATGTATGTATATACATGTATATATGTATGTGTATATATATACGTGTATATATGTATGTGTGTATATATACGTGTACATATATGTATGTGTGTGTATATATATACACACACACATATATTTTATATTTTCGGAATATAAAATTTTGGAAAAAGAAGCTTTTAGTAATACCTTTAAAAATGGTCATCTCTATGGCTTTGGGGTTTTTTTTTTTCTTTTTGAGACATAGTCTTGCTCTGTTGCCCAAGCCTGAGTGCAGTAGCGCAATCTCGGCTCACTGCAACCTCCGCCTCCTGGGTTCAAGTGATTCTTCTGCCTCAGCCTCCTGAGTAGCTGGGACTACAGGCACACACCACCACACCCGGCTAATTTTTGTATTTTTAGTAGAGACGGGGTTTCACCATGTTGGCCAGGCTGGTCTGGCTTTGGTTTTTATTGTTTCATGATCATAGATTATATTGAATAATGGCGTTATGATTATTTTTAACTGTGAGGGCTGGATGAACTACATGTGCTTTTAATCCTTACTTAAATTCCAGTTCTTGTCTTTGGGCACACAGCATTTTTGAAGCCTACCAGTAGGTAGTTTGAAGTCTCATGTCAACTAGGTTTGACACTTAGAATATTATAATTCTAAAATGTAACTTTTGAATCTAGACTTCAGTGTTGTATTCCTAACTCCAACATTGAAAATATATGTTGGAAGGTTAGAATGAGATGGCTAAATTTGACAGAGGTCGATTGAATGAAAAGAGAACTTCCTTGAAATTCACTTATTCAAATTGTTTGCATCAGTTAAGACTGTAGTAAAAACATCTTTTCCATTTTCTTGTTTTAGGTTGATGCAAGAATTTTGTCTAGTAAAAGCAGATTATGAATAACACATTTTATGAATTTTGTTCTGATTTAATAGATCAGATGAAAAGAAGAACATGAACTGGAAGCAACTTCCCAAAAAGCCGTGCAAAAATCTACTTAGCACCTTAAAGAAATTGTATCCCCAGCTGTCTTCAGGTAATGTGAGGGAAAAGGAATATTATTAATGAAGGAATGTATACGAGAAAATTCTTCTTAAATTTAACATAATACCATTTTCTGTTTTTATTTCCTTTGTTAGTTCACCAAAAAACTCAAGAAGGCTCAGCGATTGACATGACTCCAATTGAAGCAGATTTCTCCTGGCAAAAGAAGATGACACAGCTTGAGATGGAAATTCAAGAGGCATTTTTGCGCTTTATGGCGTCTATTTTAAAAGGATATAGAACATATCTCAGACCAATCACAGAGGCTCCTTCAAATAAAGCCACAGCTGCTGATTCATTGTTTGACCGACAGGGTGAGTAGCATTGAAAGTACAATTCCTTTTATTGAGGTGAAAAATATTTTATATTTGATGTTGCTGCCAAGAAATACTTATTGTATAAATTATTACAAATTCACATTCAAATATAATGAACCTCCATGTATTTGTAACCTAGCTTTATGACTAGAATTTCTTGTAATTTTTATAGCCCATTTTTCTCCTGAGAAATCTGAAACTAGAGATATTTAATTATGAAAAGTCAAAGATGTTACCTATATTTACAATATCTTGTAGTCAGTTATTTTAGTAGAACATAACTGGAGATTTGCCTTCAGGTATTTCCTCAATTTTGCATAGTTCCTTGGATTTGTACACTTTTTTTTTTTTTTTTTTTTAATAGAGCAGAGTCTTGCTGTGTTGGCCAGGCTGGACTTGAACTCCTGGCCTCAAGTGATCCTCCTCCCTGGCTTTCCAAAATGCTGGGATTACAGGTGTGAGCCACTGCACTTGGCCAGATGTGTACACTTTTGGCTTTACAATTAGTTTGTGCAATGAGGGCACTACATTTTAACCATTTTTGACTAATGTAACTTTGTTCCAGGGAAAAACGTATACTCGTTATTTTTAGTATGTTTTGTTTTAGGGAATTATAGAGATTTTTGTTGTTATTCAGCTACTGTTATATATGTAGTAGCAATCTTACATCTATATCAATATTTATGTGAAATTATTTTACTTCTCTGTGCTTTTTACCTAGTGATTACTTTAAAAAAAATCTGTATTTTCCCAATAATCCTTTTGTCCTTTATCTTTTCTGCTTTAGTGTAACTTACCACTTAAATATTTAGTTACTACTTACTGGCTAGTTATTATGTAGGAATATAAAGAAGTATAAAACCTAGCTCTATGGGATCTTAAATGGAAAATAATTAAGATATTTTAAAAATAGAACAAGTACTCAAGAAAACATATTTTACACAGTTTTAATTTGGAAGTTTTAAGAGTTCAGAAAAAAAAGGGATGTTCTTCCAAATATTCCAGTATTTCAAAATGGGTGTTTTGGAAGACTTCGTGGAAGAAGCATGACTTGGAAGAATGGGTAGAATGGAGATAAATGGAGAAGAACAGAAAAGGCTTTCTGGAAGTCCATAGGCATTAAGAGTCAAATCTGAGTTAGAATTTCTACTTTGTTATTTATAAAGTCTTCCTGGAGCTTATTAAAGTTTTCTCTAATGGGCGCAGTGGCTCACGCCTGTAATCCCAACACTTTGGGAGACTAAGGCAGGCAGATCACCTGAGGTTACGAGTTCGAGACCAGCCTGGCCAACATGGTGAAACCCTGTCTCTACGAAAAATATAAAAATTAGCCAGGTGTGGTGGTGTGTGCCTGTAATCCCAGCTATTCGGGAGGCTAAGGGAGGAGAATCACTTGAACTCGGGAGATGGAGGTTGCAGAGAGCCAAGATCATGCCACTGCACTCCAGCCTGGGCGACAAGAGTGAAACTCCATCTCAAAAAAATTAAAAAATAAAAATAAATAAATAAATAAAGTTTTCTCATTAATAAAATGGGGGTGATACCTACTTCATGGTTGTGAAGATTAAATGAGAAAATATATGTGAAGCAATTGTGCTAGTACAAGTACTTTAAAATATTCATGATAACAGCTATTATCATTCATGGTAATAACAAAATGGAAATAGCCTCAAGAGGAAAAGCACAAGGTCTGCGGATTTGTTTGCTGGGGCTGCCATAACAAAGTACCACAGACTAGGTGGCTTAAACAACAGAAATTATTTTCTCGTGGTTTTGGAGGTTAAACTGAGATCAAGGTAGTTAGCAGGTTTGATTTCTTCTGAAGCCTCTTCCCTTGGCTTGTAGATAGGTATTTTCTCCATGTGGTCTTCCTTCAGTGTTTGTTTTATGTCCAAATATCCTCTTCTTACAAGGCTACCAGTCTTACTGAACTAGGATCTACCCAATAATCCTCATTTTAGCATAATTACCTCTTTAAAGACCCTGTCTCCAAATAGTTACATTCCGAGGTACTAGGGGCTAGGAACTTAATATATAAATTTTGGGCCAGGTGCAGTGGCTTATGCCTGTAATCCCAGCACTTTGGGAGGCCAAGGCAGGCTGATCACCTGAGGTCAGGAGTTTGAGACCAGTCTGGCCAACATGGCAAAACCCTGTCTCTACTAAAAATACAAAAATTAGCCAGGCATGGTGGTGCATGCCTGTAATCCCAGCTACTCAGGAGGCTGAGGCAGGAGAATCGCTTCATCCCGCGAGGCAGAAGTTGCGGTGAGCCAAGATCACTGTACTCCAGCCTGGGCAACAAGAGTGAAACTTCATCTCAAAAAAAAAAATATATGTATATATATACACGTATATACACATATATGTATATATATATATACACATTTATATATGTATATATATAAACATATGTATAAACATATATAGTATATATAAACATTTGTGTGTATATATATACACATATATACACACATATATATACATATATATACACATATATATATACTTATATATACACACATATATATACACATACATATATATATACATATATATATACACACATATATATATACATATATATATACACACATATATATATACATATATATATATAAATTTTGAGGGGGACACAGTTTCACTCATGACAGCACATTTGGGAAAAAAGATTAGATGGTACAATTTGACCAGAGTGATGAGCTTTAGAGGTGCTGTGGAAGATAAGGCTGAAAATAAGATTAGGCTCAGATTGTGGGTAATTATAAATGCCAGATGAAGAATATGGATTGTACGGAAGTGACATCACTAAAGGAATTTGAAAAGATACTTACTCAGTTTCTAGGCCCTAAAGTTTTATTGTAAACAGTCCAGCATTTGGTCTACTAGGGGACACAGACATTAGACAAGAAAAAAATGTAATACTAACTATCTTAATAAGTGTGTTTCGAAGGAAAGTATTGGTTACAGTGAGAGTGCTAGTTAGGTCAGAGAAATATTCCTTGAAGAAATAACAAGGAATATTAGTGTCCTAAGGTATCCTTTAGTGTGCTACTTTTAAGTTTGGGCCCAAAAAAAGCAATAGGAATTAACTAGGGATTTTGTATATGTGATTTTGGCTTAATTTATCCTTATGTTGTTATTTACCATTTCTTCTGCCACTTGTATTCCTGTAAACTTGTGGTAGGTTCAAGAGCTGCAGTGTCCGGTAGAAATATAACGTAAGCCACATATAAAATTTTAAATTATTTTAGTAGCCACAATAAAAAAGTAAAAAATAGGGGGAAAATAGTAGCATTTCAGCATGTAGTCAGATTTTTAAAATCATTGATGAAATCTTTTACTTTTTTCACAAACATCTTTTTTTTTTTTTAAAGACAGAGTCTTTGCTGTGTTGCCCAGGTGGAATGTAGTGGTGCAGTCTTGGCTCACTGCAACCTCTGCCTCCCAGGCTCAAGTGATTCTCCCGCCTCAGCCTCCCTAATAGCTGGGATTACAGGCGCGCACCACCATGCCTGGCTAATTTTTGTATTTTAAGTGGAGATGAGGTTTAGCCATGTTGGCCAGACTGGTCTCGAACTCCTGACCTCAGGTGATCTGCCTGCCTCGGCCTTCCAAAATGCTGGGATTACAGGCGTGAGCCACTGCGCTCGGCCCACATCTTTGAATTCTGGCATGTATTTTTTAGTTAGTGTGTCTTAATTTGGGTCAGTTACATTTCAAGTGCTAAATTGCCATATGAAGGTAGTGGTTACTGAATTAAACAGTGCAGATCTAGGGGCTTGGTTAAATTCAGGTTTAATTCTCTTGGCAAGAAGTGCCAAAATACGTGGTGCTCACTTCTTCCTATTGCATCATCTTATGAGGCACATACATGTCTGGCTGTCCTACTTTTAGTGTTCCTAATAGGTTTAAAGTGTTGTTACCCTCACTCATTCATTGTAGTTCACCCATCAGCCTTTGACTTACTTGGTCTAGCAGCCTTTGCTGATCATTGCCTGGATCCACTAGAAGGAAAGAAAGCCTTTCATTATAACTTGTGGAGAATAATTTATTTCTATTTTATTTAAGCTTTTCTCTACTAATTAGTATCTAAAAGGGATGGCAGTCAGGACCACAGCATCAAAGAAAGAAAGGCTGCAGAGAAAACCATGTTTGAAATGGTGGCATTAACCAGGTTATGCAGGATCTTTTAGGATTAGTGCTGGTTTCAGTTTTTATCCTAAGAGTAATTGGAAGCCTGTAAAGGATATTTCATTAGGTAATAGGATCAGATTTGCATTTTTTGAAAAGTCACTCTTTGAAATGTTAAAAAGAAGAATCTCCTTGGCTTCCATACAGAGATTGCACTGGAGACATTGAAGCATGGATCTACTAATTAGGAAGTTGTCACATTGGTTCTAGGGATTATTAGAGGTGACCTGGATTAATTGATGATAGTGTGAATAGAAGAGTGATTTTTTTAGGAATTAGATTGAGTAGAACCTGGTGATTGAATATGGAATGTAAGGTAGAGTGGGAGATATCAAGAGCACCTTTGAGGTTTTTGCCTTTAACAACCAAGTGAATGGCCATGCCCTTTATAAGAAGTAAAACAACAGAAAAAAGGGAAGGAGCAGATCGAAGGTTTTTTTTTTTGTTTTGTTTTGTTTTGTTTTTGTTTTTGTTTTTTAGATGGAAAAAAGAGACTTGAGTATGCTGATGAGAAATAGCTAATAGAGGCCAGACGCAGTGGCTCACGCCTGTAATCCCAGCATTTTGGGAGGCTGAGGCAGGTGGATCACTTGAGGTCAGGAGTTTGAGATCAGCCTGGCAAACATGGCGAAACCCTGTCTCTACTAAAAATACAAAAATTAGCGCATGCCTGTAGTCCCAGCTACTCAGGAGGCTGAGGCAGGAGAATCACTCGAACCTGGGAGGTGGAGGTTGTAGTGAGCCGAGATCACGCCACTGAACGCCAGCCTGGGTAATAGAGTGAGACTCCATCTCAAAAAAAAAAAAAAAAAAAGAGAAATAGCTAATAGAGAGGGAGATTTATCCTGAGAACACTGGAAGGGGCTGGAATCCTGAAGTCATGTGATGGTTTGTCCTTAGATAGGAGGAGGGACATATCCACTGTAAAAAGGCAGAAGGAATAAAGGATAGCTGTTAAAGAGTCATAAATTATGTAGTGAGATAGTGTACATAGTTTCTATTTAATGATCTGCATTTTCATTGCACTGAAGTATGCTCATTTCGGGGTGCGGAGGGGGCACAAAAAACATGAAGGGAGAGCGCATACAAATTGGAAATAGTTGTGAAAACATGTGAAGAGGAAAATTAAATTGATTCCAGAAATGTAGTAGGGTTGTTGGTGAGGGATGAAGGTATAAGTGCTTCTGATCTGCCTAGTTGTGGAACTTTTTTTCCCCTTAACTTGTGCTCAGCCACCCTAATGCAGATCCAGAGAAGGCAAGTAGTACATTCCTCCAGAGCTGGGTTATGCTAGGTAGGTTTAACCAAAAAGACAAAAGAGCAGAGGGGTTGAGAGTATTGACAAAACAGTAATTGAAATGATGGATATAGCATGGAATCAGTATTGGACGGAGAAAGAAGTGAAGATGGGAGGATGTACATAGAAGTAAAAGGGCCAGTGGAGGCCAGGCGCGGTGGCTCAGGCCTGTAATCCCCGCACTTTCGGAGGCCGAGGTGGGCGGATCACGAGGTCAGGAGATGGAGACCATCCTGGCTAACACAGTGAAAAATTAGCCAGGCGTGGTGGCGGGCGCCTGTAGTCCCAGCTTCTCAGGAGGCTGAGGCAGGAGAATGGCATGAACCCGGGAGGCAGAGCTTGCAGTGAGCCAAGATTGACTGCACTCCAGCCTGGGCAATACAGTGAGACTTCATCTCAAAAAAAAAAAAAAAAAAAATAAGGGGGCCAGTGGATTGGAGATTTCCATGAGCCTTCCCTCTCTGCTCCCTGCACAAAAAACCCAAAAAACCCTAAAACACTTAGTAGAAATACTTAATTAAGGAGACCAGATAGGCAGAGCTAATGGGCTGGGAGTGATGTGAAAAAGAGATTTGAGAGGCAATGTTGTTTTGAATGCTGGCAAGGAAAGTCAAGGGACTGTGACTGTGTGTTGAAGTTGGTGATTGAGGTAGGATGGAGCATAGGATCACTGAAAATCAAGGAATGAAGGCTGGGCATGATGGCTCATGCCTGTAATTCTAGCACTTTGGGAGGCTGAGATGGGAGGATCACTTGAGGCCAGGAATTCGAGACCAGCCTTGTCAACATAGCAAGACACCCATCTCTTAAAAGAAAAGAGGCTAGGTGCAGTGGCTCACGCCTGTAATCCCAGAACTTTGGGAGGCCAAGGCGGGCTGATCACCTGAGGTCCGTTCAAGACCAGCCTGGCCAACATGGTGAAACCGTCTCTACTAAAAATACAAAAATTAGCCAGTCGTGGTGATGGGCACCTGTAATCCCAGCTACTCAGGAGGCTGAGGCAGGAGAATCACTTAAACCTGGGAGGCAGAGGTTGCAGTGAGCCAAGATCACATTACTGCACTCCAGCCTGGGCGACAGAGCTAGACTCTGTCTGGAAAAAAAAAAAAAAAGGAATGAAGAAGAATCTAAAGTGTTTTCATGGTTTGTGCTTCTGGGTGTGGAAGAATGATGGTGGTAGGAATTAGAAAGGAGGAGACCTTGAATCAGATGCCTTGGTCTTCAGTGAATGAAGGAGTGTCCCTGAAATCAATAGATGTCTACGATTAATAGAGGAAATTGTGGAATAGTCAGATGCTTGAAACTTTAATGAGCAGAAATTTTAAAAACACAATACAGAAATAATGGTCTTGCAACATTAAAGAGGAAGGACATTGACTCTTTGGAAATTGACCATGGACTCAAGAGTATGCAGAGTATCAGAGAAATTTCTACTTAAAAGTTGTAGAGCTGGAGGTTCCTTATAGGGGATTTAGATTTCAGTGAAGAGTTTGATAGAAGTATTTTTCGTGGTTTAATTAGGCAGAAGGAGCTATATATGCAGTTACCACAGGTTGAGCTTCCCTAATCTAAAAATCCAAAACCTGAGATGCTGCAGAATCTGAAACTTTCTGAGGGCTGACATTATGCCACAAGTGGAAAATTCTACACGTAAGTACTTAACACACACTTTGTTTCATGCACAAGATCATTGAAAATATTGTATAACATTCCCTTCAGACTGTGTGTATAATGTATATGTGAAACATAAATGAATTTCCTGTTTACTTGGGTCTCATCCCCAAGATATGTGATTGTGCACATGCAAATATTTCAAAATCTTAAAAAAAAAAATCCGAAATCTGAAACACTTTTGGTCCCAAGCATTTCAGATAAGAGATACTCAACCTATAGAAGCTTCTTTTTAAATATGGATATATATATGTATATATAAAGAGA
Source organism: Homo sapiens (assembly GCF_000001405.40). NCBI lineage: Eukaryota > Metazoa > Chordata > Mammalia > Primates > Hominidae > Homo > Homo sapiens. The sequence continues at coordinate 19,324,272 of NC_000009.12, forward strand.
ATGTAATATAGATAAGTACAAGTTTAATGTTTCCTATAATATCGAATTCCAGTTTAAAATTTGAATTTAATTATATTTTGTTTTCCTCAGGATTTTTAAAAAGTCGAGATCGTGCCTATGCAAAATTCTATACCCTTTTATCCAAAACACAGATTTTTATTCGTTTCATTGAAGAATGCAGTTTTGTAAGTGATAAAGATACTGGATTAGCATTTTTTGATGACTGCATAGAAAAGGTAAAAGTTTGTACTTATACTAGTGTTTAGAAAAAAAAGTTTGCCTTACCTGTGTAATTATCATTGTTATTGTTAGTCTAGAGTGATATAAGGAAAACAGAGTAGGGTTGTGTATGTGTGTGTATGTGTTACCGATTCTGGGCTGAATATATGAATAAAATTCTTTGTGGTTTCAAGTTTCTACCACATATAGCCAATTTTTCTATTCTTTATTCATTGATCCATTGATTGAAACAGCATCTCATTCTGTTACCCAGGCTAGGGTGCAGTGGCATGATCATAGCTCATTGCAACTTTGAACTTCTTGCCTGAAGTGATTTTACCACCTTAGCCTTCTGAGTAGCTGGGACTACAGGCATGTGCTACGCCCAGCTAGTTTTTTTAATTTTTGGTAGAGATGAGGTCTCACTGTATTGCCCAGGCTGGTCTCAAACTCCTGGGCTCAAGTGATCCTCCCGCCTTGGCCTCCCAAATCCTTGGGATTGCAGGATGAGCCGCCATGCCCAGCCAGTAAATTTTCTCTTTAAATCTCACTTTCGTTTTACAACTATTGAGTTGTAAAACTAAGAACATTTTCTTGAGCCTTGTGAGTTTATATTTTTTTAATTTAAATGAATAAGATTTAGTTTAAGATTTAGGTTTTTTAATTAAAAAATGTTTAGTTTTATGGGTAATAGAAGTTCTATGTTCTTTTGTTTTAATGTCTTTCCAGATTCTTTTGCCTAATATGTTTCTTTTGTTCTAATGGAGGGTGGAAATACGTTAAATTTTAAAGCTTTACCCACCCATCCTAAGGAAGTTAAAATTGATTCTTGACTTAGTTATAATTTTTCCTAACTTTTAATATAATTCTTATTTTTGCTAAGTAGATCTTGGGGCCAATTGTTTATGCAAACTGTATATTATATAACATTTGAGATTGTATCCAAAAAAAGTTGAATATTATGACATTAATTTTTATGGCCCCCTCATGATTCATATGCCTTAGAAGATTTAAATAATTTTCTCCTATCAGTGTGATCCAAAATTCCAGGGATATAATTAAAACTATTCAACATTTTTGTTTATTTACAAAATTGATATTCCAGTATCTTCCAGTTATATGAGAAGTTTAATGTCAATCACTAATAAAGGGGCTTAATAATAATGAAATTTTTTATTTGAGAAGCCAGATAACCTTGTGATTGGTCATCTTTTGTCTTAAGGTTTACAAAACAACTAATCAAAATAGTTTTCTATCCTAATAGCCACAAGTAAAAAATTATGCTTTAGCCTAAGAGTATGTATTCAGCCTAAAAATATACTGTGCATGTTTTGTATCAGCTGGTACTGAAAAGGGGTAGTTTTTTTCTAAATCAGAATGTAAGATAAAAATGTCTATTAAATTCATAGTGGACATTTTCATTAAGAATCTGTTTTCTTTTTTTCTAGTTGTTTCCTGATAAAGGCACAGAGAAAACAGATAAGGTATGTTTTTCTTAGATTTTAAGGGTTGAAATTTCAGAATTAGATCTTGTTTGTATGCAAATTAATTGGGGAAAAATAATGATTTTCAGGTTGATTTTGATTCAGCAGAAGATACCAGATTGATAGAACTAGATGATTCACAGAAAAGTGAGCATACTGTATTTATAATGCCGCCAGAGCCACCTCCTGATGATGGAAAGGACCTGTCACCAAAGTACAGGTAGTAGGAAGTTTTAAAAGAGCTTAATGGCACAGCCTATCAGTTTCTTTTAATTTTTATTAGTAGATATGTATATTAGTCTTTTGTGAAACTCATTTTCAGTATTAGTTCAGTGAACTAATGTAGATAAATATTTTATGGAAATGCCACTAGGTGTTATAATTTAAGAATTGGATGGTATTGTCAGATGTTGATCATTGTTTACCTTAGTGTTTGTATTTTAATCTTTAAAAGTTTCAATTCTGAAGAAGAAAAATGATACTTTTATGAGGCTCCCTGCTCCCTTTGGGAGTTTCATTTTGAAACAAAGACTGTGAAATTCTTATGAATTAGTAATTTACCAAGAAAACTTAAGGTAGAGGGCCAGGAATTTATTCTTTATTAAGATAAAGGATAGGATTTGGATGTGACTCTTTTAAGAAATTAGAATGGATTTTGTAGTTTTTTTATTGCTATAAATTTAATAAACTTAGAAAATCAAACCAAAATGGAAAACTAATACATCATTCTAGCACCAATACTTGTGTCTCTTAACAATTGTAGGTATGTATGTATCATGTGGATGTGTGTGTGTATGTATTGCATGTATGAGTTCATCAGGTAGATTCTCTTTGTAATCTATGTTTGCCTTTAGTGGTCTGAACATTTTCCCATGCCATTAAATATTTTTGTGCCTTATCATTTGTAATGACCACATTGTATGCATTTATTATGATTTATTTAACTAGCCTCATGGATTTGTTTGTAGTTCTTTGCTATCTATATCTTTGTTATTTTCTTAGGCTGCATTTCTAAAAGAATTTCTAAAATAGAAAGTAAAGTAAGTACATCCCAAAATAGAGAATTAATGTATAATATCAAGAGGACTGGATCAGAATGAGGAATGTATCTGGGATTGAATGGCTTGATTAAATACTATTTTGATTTCATGTTAACTATAGAATTCTTTTCTGCTTTGGCTTAACTACAAGAAATTGGAATCCAGATATTGACAAACAAGATAAAATCAAATATGGAAAGGCGCTATATTCTGGAAGAAAATTGGCCAAAAGAAATAAGTAGACAATTTCCAAGAAATCCAAAGTCAATAATATAAAAATATGTTATGGTTTTTTGCATTCAAAGAAATGCAAACCAAAATGATGAATAGAAACCTTTGAGATTGAGAATAGGTTATGCTAGTAGTTAGAATGTATGTTTAAGTATAATCTTTTTTGAAATAATTTGATATTAATTATAATAATTTTAATTCTTTTGATAAACATGGACCTAGCAAATTCTATTATTGGGTATTTGTCCTATGAAATTAAGCAAAGGTATTCACAAAGATATACATATGAAAATATTTAATTGGAGAAATATAGAAACAGCCAACAACCTAATAATGTCCAGCAGTGAAAAACTGCTTAAATTGTGGTACATCCTTAAAATAAAAATTTTATGGATTTTTTTTATTTTAAATACCTATGCAAGGTAATTTTATGAAGAAAAACATAAAATTATGAAGTATACTAAAATTTTTTTAAACATAAATTATTGAATACATGGATTATCTTGAAAGAGTTATTTCTCCCTTTAAGTAAGATATCAGAGTTTTCTGTGTTTTAGAGATTGATTGAAAATAACAAATAGGGTGGGGAAGAGACAAAATTTTCATGAAGGTAGTCTCTGTATGTTATATCATTTAAAAATTTTGAAAAAGTATTTTTTCTATATAAGCATTTAAAATAATGTTGGATACTATTTGAAGTTTAGAAATATTTGCCTAAACGCTGGAATAATATGAAGAGTTGGTGTGTTTTAAATCAGCAGTTCTATTTTTTTTTTTATTTTAGTTACAAATACTTTCCAAGACTGGACCTTAAGCTTTTTGACAGACCGCAGGAGTTGAAACTTTGTTTTAGTAGACACCCTACTGGGAATAGCATTACAAAGAGTCCACCTCTCATGGCTAAGAGAACTAAACAGGTCAGATATTCTTTATCTAATACATGTTCATTTAAGATGTAAAATATGTATATGTGATATGCAGCTCATAGTTTAGAATGATCACCCACAACAACCATTTGAAGACTCACTTTGGTTGTTATTGAATTTAACTAGATTTCTTGCAAGCCTACTTAAAATATCAAGTCTGGGCCAAGCATGGTGGCTCACGCCTGTATCCCAGCACTTTCAGAGGCTGAGGTGAGCAGATCACTTGAGGTCAGGAGTTAGAGACCAGCCTGGCCAACATGGTGAAACCCCATCTCCATTAAAAATACAAAAATTAGCTGGGCGTGGTGTCAGGCGCCTGTGATCCCAGCTACTCGGGAGGCTAAGGCAGGAGAATCGCTTGAACCTGGGTGATGCAGGTTGCAGTGAGCTGAGATTGTGCCACTGCACTCCAGCCTGGGTGACAAGAGTGAAACTCCATCTCAAAAAAAGTCTATATATGTGTCTGTCTGTCTGTCTGTCTGTCTGTCTATCTATCTATCTATCTATCTATCTATCTATCTATCTGTCTATCTATCAATCAAGGCTGAAGTTTTTGAATGCTTATATTTATGCTTTAAGATAATCTGTAGGAATTGGCCGGGCGCAGTGGCTCACCCCTGTAATCCCAGCACTTTGGGAGGCCGAGGCAGGTGGATCACCTGAGGTCAGGAGTTCGAGACCAGCCTGACCAACATGGAGAAACCCCGTCTCTACTAAAAATACAAAATTAGCTGGGTGTGGTGGTTGCATGCCTGTAATCCCAGCTACTGGGGAGGCTGAGACAGGAGAATTGCTTGAACCTGGGAGGCGGAGGTTGTGGTGAGCTAGGATTGAGCCATTGCACTCCAGCCTGGGCAACAAGAGCAAAATTAAGTTTTAGAAAACTTAATTAAAATATAATTCATATACCATACAGCATACCCACTTAAAGTGTATGATTTAGTGGCTTTTAGTATATTTACAGGTTTGTGCAACTACCACCACAATTAATTTTAGAATATTTTCATCAACCCCAAAAGAAAGTTTGCATCCTTTAGCCATTAACCCCAATTCTCAATCCCCAGCAGCCCTAGGCAACCACAAGTCTGTTTTCTGTCTACAAATTTGTCTATTCTGAGCATTTCAAGAGTAGAACTGCATAATATGTATTCTTTTGTGACTGGCATCTTTCATTTAGTGTAACATTTCAGGATTCATCCACGTAGCAGCATATATCAGTAATAATTTTTATTGCTGAATAATATTCCATTGTGTGGATATACCATATTTTATTTGTCTATTCATAGACATGTGGATACTTCCTACTTCTTGGCTATTATGAATATTGCAAATGAACATTTGTGTATAAGTGTTAATATGGATGTATGTTTTTATTTCTTTGGGGTATATATCTAGGAGTAAATTGCTATGTCAGATGGTTACTCTGTGTTCAACCCTTTGAGGCACTTCCAGGCTGTTTTCCAAAGTGGCTGCTCCACTTTACATTCCCACCAGTAGTGTATGAGGGTTCCAGTTTCACAACATATCCTTGTCAATTCTTGTTATTGTTTGTCTTTTTGGTTATAACCATCTAGTGAGTAAGAAGTTGTATTTTAAATTTGCATTTCCCTAATGGCTAATGTAAATATACTTTATTCCAAGTATTACAATCCAAAGGGAGTTAACTTAGGACAACCTAGACATCTTGCTTTACTACTATATGTGATTTAGGTATAAAGAACTAAGCTGTGGTTACGTATGAGTTAAAATTAAACATCCTTTATACATACACTGACATTTTGGGGATATTTAAAATGTGGAAAATTTCACAATGAAAATCTTAGTTCAGGTTTTACTAATTTATGGGATAGTCCCCTAAATCCTAGAGATATCCTGAGGTATTTCCTAATTTCATACAGTTCATATTTCTTTCAATGTTGTCTGAAGAGAATACTAAAGAATTTTTTTTTACTGTTACCAGCTAACAAAAGGCAAATTTCTAAAACGAGAAAATTTTGCTAACTCAGCCTCTAAATCTCATTTATAGCAGAATTTTTTTTTTCAGGCTAACTGGAAAAGAAAAGAACCATAGGATCTTAGAAAAACAAGGGCATGTATTTTTAAATATGTACTGAAGTGTCATGGAGATCGAGCTCAAAAGTAAAATTAATATACCAAGTTGGTTTTTTTTTTTTTTTTTTTTTTTTAAGATGGAGTCTCACTCTGTCATCCAGGCTGGAGTGCAGTGGCACGATTTCGGCTCACTGCAACCTCTGCCTCCCAGGTTCAAGCGATTCTCCTGCCTCAGCCTCCTGAATAGCTGGGATTACAGGCGCCCACCAACACGCCCAACTAATTTTTGTATTTTTAGTAGAGACAGGGCTTTACCATGTTGGCCAGGATGATCTCGATCTCTTGACCTTGTGATCCACCTGCCTCGGCCTCCCAAAGTGCTGGGATTATATACATGAGCTACCATGCCCAGCCCCAAGATTTTTTTATTTAGAACATAGACTAGCAAGGAATCTTCAGTGCAGAGCATAAAATGGCATTCTGATATATGTGATAGGTTCTGTAGTTTCTGGGAATATATATAGTTTGGTAAAGCTCAGCAGATGGCTGGGCACGGCAGCTCACGTCTATAATCCCAGCACTTTGGGAGGCTGAGGTGGGCAGATCACCTGAGGTCAGGAGTTCTAGACCAGTCTGGCCAACATGGTGAAACTCTGTCTCTACTAAAAATCTGCACAAAAAAATTAGCTGGGCATGGTGGTGGGTGCCTGTAATCCCAGCTACTCAGGAGGCTGAGGCAGGAGAATCACTTGAACCCGGGAGGCAGTGGTTGCGGTGAGCTGAGATCACGCCATTGCACTCCAGCCTTGGCGACAAAAGCAAGACTCTGTCTTAAAAAAAAATAACAAAGAAAACACCAAAACTCACCAGATGATTTTGATACCTAATTTTCTCTTCTACCTAAATCTGAATGAAAACCAGAACTAGAAAACATGACTATCAAACTATTAGGAAAGTTTATGTTGACTGCAAAGGAATAGGTCCTTTTTTTTTTTTTTGAGATGGAGTATCGCTCTGTCGCCAGGCTGGAGTGCAGTGGCACAATCTCAGCTCACTGCAACTTCCCACTCCCTGGTTCAAGCAATTCTCCTGCCTCAAACTCCCGAGTAGCTGGGACCACAGGCACATGCCACCATGCGCGGCTAATTTTTGTATTTTTAGTAGAGACTGGGTTTCACCATGTTGGCCAGGCTGGTCTTGATCTCCTGACCTCGTGATCCATCTGCCTTGGCCTCCCAAAGTGCTAGGATTACAGGCATAAGCCACTGCACCTGGCCAGAAACAGGTCTTTTTTAAGGAGTCTGTCAGTGAGGGAGTTAACATAGACTGTAGCTTGGGAAGACAGAGTGGAAATCTTGGCAGGAGATAGCCTAGAGCATCTTAAACTTTAGTGAAGAGAAGAGTGAGAGGAATATCACTTTTTCACCCATCAAAAATGAGTTCCTTCTTTGTAAAAGACATGAGCCATTCTATTACAAAAAGATGAATGATCTTTGCTCTTAATTTCTACTCTGTTAAGAGACACATGCTTGCTAACAAATAGATTTGGTATAGTATGAAGTATTACTGTAAATGAATGTTCAGGGGAACCATTAACACTGATAAGCAGGAAGCCACTCACAAAAGTCAACTTTGAAGTGCTTGATTTTAGGGGGTCAAGTTTTACTTAAATTCTCCTCTCCCTTTTCCTTCTCACTTCTCCCCTCACCCTAATGAATTTTAGTAAATATCATAATATTTTATTCTCTTTCTAGGAAATAAAAACAGCTCATAAATTGGCGAAGAGATGTTATACAAATCCACCACAGTGGGCCAAGTGTCTGTTTAGTCATTGTTACAGTTTATGGTTTATTTGTCTTCCGGCCTATGTTAGAGTTTCTCATCCTAAAGTCAGAGCACTTCAGCAGGCATATGATGTACTTATTAAGATGAGGAAAACAGATGTGGATCCCTTAGATGAGGCAAGTATAACAAATTGACATTGTTTCTAAGGTAAATTTTATTTTTGTACTTCTAATAAAATTTGGGTGTAAGTTGCTTTAAAGTGTGCTCAAGCATTTTCATTAAGCAGGAAAGGTAAAACTATTACTGTTTCATGGAGCTGGTGCATATTACTTGTTTATTTTTTATTTTAATTATTGATTTGTTTTTGTGACAGAGTCTCACTCTGTCACCCAGGCTGGAGTTCAGCAGTGCGTCCTTGGCTCCCTGCAACCTCTGCCTCCCGGGTTCAGACAGTTCTTGTGCCTCCCGAGTAGCTGGAATTACAGGCACATGTTACCATACCTGGCTAATTTTTTTTTTTTTTTTTTTGTATTTTTAATAGAGATGGGGTCTCACCGTGTTGGCCAGGCTGGTCTCAAACTCCTGGCCTCAAGTGATCTGCCTGCCTCAGCTTTCAGTGCTGGGATTACAGGCATGAGCCATCACATCCGGCCATGTTTGTTTATTTTTAAAGAGATGGAGTCTCACTCCTCTCTCGCCCAGGCTGGAGTGCGGTTGTGTGATCATGGCACCTGGCATATGGTTTTTCTGTTTTTGATTTTTTTTTTTTTTTTTTTTAAGGGATGGAGTCTCACTTTGTTTCCCAGGCTGGTCTTGAACTCCTGGCTCTTGAACCCCCACCTTGGCCTCCCAAAGTGCAGGGATTACAGGCATGAGCCACTGTGGCTGGCTTCATTTTATTCTTAATATAACTTTATTGGGGAGCAGATAGGGAATAGGCTTTTAGTAAGTGGCTCTCCACTTAGGACCTGTGTCCTAAGGTGAGTTATATAATCTATTTAAAAATATATTTTTTATTTATATTTAAATATATATATATACTCGTGCCCAAGCTGGAGTGCAGTGGCACTGTCACAGCTCACTGTAGCCTAGAACTTAAGGGCTCAAGTGATTTTCCTGCCTCAGCCTCCTGAGTAGCTGGGACTACAGGTGCACACCACCACGTCTAATTTTTTTAGTTTTATTTTTTGTAGAGATGGGGTCTCGATATGTTACCTGGGCTGGTCTCAAACTCATGGTGTCAAGCCATCCTTCTACTTGGCCTCCCAAAGTGCCAAGATTATAAATATGAGCCACTGCACCTGGCCTATGGAACCTATTTGTGTTTTGGATTATCTATTAGAAAATGTAGCTTTGAACTTCTCAACTTTGGCACTATTGATATTTTGGCCCACACAATTGTTTATTTTAGGGGCCTGTCTTGTACATTGTGTAGGATGTTTAGTAGCATCCCTGGCCTCTACCAACTGTATGCCTCTCTTTCCCTGCACAGATCATGACAATCAAAAATGTTCCCGGAGAGCGAAATTGCTCCTGGAGAACCACTGAGGTAGATAATAATAGTTAGCACCTTCATCATAAGGTTAGTTTGAAGGTTAGTTAAATCAGTTAATATACTTAAAGTGCCTAGTTCATAGTAAGCACTCAGTGAATGATATACTAGACATTTTCATGCATTTTCTCTCTCAAGCCTTAGAAACCATCCTAAGAAGTAGATACTGATATTATCCAGCTAATGGCTGAGGAAACTGAGGCACTTATTTAGCTTTTTCCAATGCTGTTTTTCCCTTTAAAAATTATTTTTGGTGTTAAGATAACTATAAATGATGTTTTGAACTAGATTAGAATTAAAAATGAAAAGTCTTTGCTAATAATGTTACAGTATATTTAACTGTCTTCTCATTCTTTTAAAGACAAATCCTATTTGTTCTGTAGGCATTTTGGAGATACTGTCTTTAATTCCTTTGGCATTGAATGGAAAGCATAGTGATTGGGGAGAGAGAGACTTCAATTATACTTGATTTTATTTATATTTATTTATTTATTTTTTATTTAGAGACAGTTTTACTCTTTTCCTCCAGGCTAGCATGCAGTGGCGCAGTCTTGGCTCACTACAATCTCCGACTCCCGGGTTCCAGCAATTCTACTGCCTCACTCTCCCAAAGTAGCTGGGACTACAAGTGCGTGCCACCACGCCTGGCTAATTTTTGTATATATTTTTTTGTAGAGATGGAGTTTCACTGTGTTGGCCAGGCTGATCTCGAACTCCTGACCTCAGGTGATCTGCCTGCCTGGGCCTCCCAAAATTCTGGGATTACAGGCATGAGCTACTGCTCCCGGCCTCTATCCTTGATTTTAGAAATGAATTACCTCTCAAATTATGAGGAGTAATAGTCTTTCTCTTTGTATAGATTTAGTTACTCAAACAAATGGAACATGGACACATATGTCTTATATGAAATGGTTAATAATGATGATACTTGCATTAATGAATAGGTTTGTTTTTGGGTTTTTTTTTTTTTTTCTTTTTTTTTTGAGACAGAGTCTCACTCTGTTGCCCAGGCTGGAGTGCAGTGGCGTGATCTGGGCTCATTACAACCTCTACCTCCTGGCTTCAAGCGATTCTCGTGCCTCAGCTTCCCAAGTAGCTGGGATTACAGGTATGCACCACCATGCCCATCTAATTTTTGTACTGTTAGTAGAGATGGGGTTTCACCATGTTGGCCAGGTTGGTCTCGAACTCCTGACCTCAGGTGATCCACCCGTCTCAGCCTCCCTAAGTGCTGTGAGGCGTGAGCCACTGTGCCCAGCCTGAATAGGTCTTAAAAATAATTTGCTAAGATGCTCAAAGCAGAACAAAGGAGAAAATACTGCTTAATAACTTCATGGAAAGAATTCAGTAAAATCTCTACAATTCACAGATAGATTAGTATACTAATTACTGACACTGATTTTTTTTTTTTGTTAGGTGTGCTATCGAGTAGTGATGCAGCTTTGTGGACTTTGGGGTCATCCTGTTTTAGCAGTGAGAGTCTTATTTGAAATGAAAACTGCTAGGATAAAGCCTAATGCTATTACTTATGGTTATTATAATAAGGTAAGTAGGATCGACATTAGGCAAGATGTGGTGTTTATTAAGAATGATTATTTTGTATACCTTTAGTTATTCATGAAACTCCTATTAAAGGAAGTTTTGGGATATAATTTTTTAATAATTTTTATAATTATTAAAAATTGACAAAAAGTATATATATTTATCATGTACAATATGATGTTTTGAGATATGTATATTGTGGAATGGCTCAATCGAGCTATTAAATAATTAACATATGCCTTCATTGTTTTGTGGTGAGAACACTTCTAATCTCTTAGAAATTTTCAAAATACAATACATTGTTATTAACTGTAGTCCCCATGTTGTTCAATAGATTTCTTGAATTTATTTCTCCTACTGAACTGAAGTTTTGTATCCTTTGACCAACATCTTCCAGTGTCCCCTTTCCCCTTACCTCCCAAAGCCCCTGGTAACCATACTTCTAGTCTCTGCTTTTATGGGTTTCACTTTCCTGGATCTCATATATATGTGAGATCTTGCGGTATTTGTCTTTCTGTGCCTGGCTTATTTCACTTACCATAATGTCCTCTGGGTTCATTCATATTGTCACAAATTACTGGGTTTCCTTTTTTATTTCAGGCTGAATAGTATCTCGTTGTGTATATATACCACATTTTCTTCATCCATTCATACATTGATAAACACTTAGGTTGATTTCATATGTTGGTTATTGTGAATAATGCTGCAATAAACATGGGAGTACAGATCTCTCTTCAATATACTGATTTCATTTCTTTTGCATATCTATACCCAGTAATAGGATTGCTGGATGATATGGTAGCTCTAGTTTTAATTTTTTGAGGAAACTCTATACTGTTTGTGAGGAATCTTTTTAATGGCTGTACTAATTTGCATTTCCACCAAGACTGTGTAGGGGTTCTTTTGTCCACATCCTTAATCAACATCTTTTGTTTTTTTTGACAATATTCTAACAAGTATGAGGTGATAAGATATCTCATTGTAGTCTTAATTTGCATTTCTCTGATGTTTAGTAATGTTTAGCATTTTTTAATATACCTCTTGGCCAGTATAACTTTTTATATTTGTGTATATATATATATAAACATACACACACACATATATGTATGTATTTTTAAAATCAGATATTGCTAATGAACATTATTTTTACCCTTATTTTACCTTTAGGTAGTCTTGGAGAGCCCGTGGCCTAGCAGTACCCGCAGTGGTATTTTCTTATGGACGAAGGTACGGAATGTGGTACGTGGCTTGGCACAGTTTAGGCAGCCGCTTAAAAAGACTGTGCAAAGGTCACAGGTCTCCTCAATATCAGGTAATACATGTGATTAGAAATATAATTCCTTACTGAACCATGAGCTTTATAGGCATATGAATTTTTAGCTATGTGAAGTAGAAAACTTAAATTCCGGTAGACATTTTCACATACATTTAAAGACAGATTGTCTTAGTCCAAAATTATTTTTGTTTTTTTCCAGAAATTTAGAAAGTGTTCTGCAACTATAAATGAACTGTGGGTCAATCATGTTTAGTTTAAGAGATTATCAATGCATGAGTTATTGAACTGCTATTGTCCTTATCTTTAGCTCTTCAAAATGTCACAGGTGGAAGTGATGGGGACACGGTGAGCCACGGTAGTGTGGATAGTTCTAATGATGCTAACAATGGGGAGCACACAGTCTTCGTCAGAGATTTAATCAGGCTTGAGTCCATTGATAATCACTCTAGCACAGGTACTAAAATCCAGATTTTACTAACCCTTCACTTACTCTCATGTTAAATCTTTCCTTTTTCAAAAAGCTTCTTCCATTCTTGAGTTTGTGTGATATGACTACTTTAAAAGTACTGTATGCTTACAAGAGAAACAATACGAGTCTGCAGATGACTTCTGTTTATTTCCTATAGTACAAAATTAGTATGGGAGTGCTGTGCACAGTGCTCTAGCATGATGCTTCTTTGTATTTGTTTATCATTAGTTTGTGAAAGTGTATGCTATAATTAGGAATCATGAGCTAAGGAACTTGAAAATTAGTGACACAACTTGCAAATCTTTTTAAAAAATTAAATAGAAAATGTATCTTAAAACTTCAAGAGTATGAATATTAAAGAGGGAAGGAAGGAAGTCACACAATGAGAAAAAGTATTCTCTTTAAGTTACATTTTTTAAGATCTGAGAAGTTATTGAAGCTGCTTTTATGTACATAGCCATGGGAATAATCCCTCTCCTCTGAAGTTAGAAATAAGTGTAACTAAAGTAGCACGTTGTGCAGATATATGTGTGTTACATATCCTTCTTCTTGTGTTGTTTTTTTGTTGTGGTTGTTTTTAATATCTCAAGCCTTCCTTTAAAAAGAATTCTGGGTCTAATTCCTGTGCTTCATCTGATGAACTTGTCTCAATGACTGAAGTTTCCTTTTCTCTGCTCTTTGTTGCTTTGCTTTTTGCTCTGTGCTGTTTCTTGGTGCTGCATTTGTCCTTGGCTGTCATGGTGTGGGGTGCAGACAGACTTATATGACGTGAAGCTATGGATACACGTGTGCATTAATTCTACCCTTGAATGTTAACCACATCAGGTAATTTCCCATTTATTAGGTTAAATTTTGCTGACCTGCAAGGGTGGGGGAAAGACCTTTCATTGTATTTTAAGTTTGTTTTGAGTGGTAAACAGTTTTCATTTTCTTGCCTTTTCTCCTTCAGATAAATGTAATCATATATAGACTCTTGAAAATATCCAGCTAACTTTTTATGGTCAGTTTGCAAAGCATGTTTGTTATCTTATTTGAAAATATATTATGCCTTGCTAAAATTCTTATTTTGAGGTTGGTTTGTAGCATCAGTGTGACAAATAGTGTTATAGGCATTGAAGAATTAATTGTTTCAGCTGTTAAGGTGGTGTGGCCATTGCTTTCCAAAACTTATCTGCTGAATTCTTGTGCTAAAAACAACCTTCACATAATTACAGGAGCATGTGTAAATTTGAAAGTCAACATAAAGCTACAGGTTACAATCCTGTTTGTAATTAACTTCCTCAGTTTGCCATCATGTTTGTATATTATATTAACAAATAAGAATTTTTATGAAACTTTTATTTTAAAGCCACCATATTTTATTTCCTCTAGTATTTTTTTCATGATACTTGTAGAAGAAATGGGCTTCATGTATAAAAAGCAAAAAAATATATTTTTTTGTATGAAAACGTTTACCAGGAATAGTAATAGTAATACATAAACACCTTTCCCCTTATTCCTTCAGATTTTTAAGTTTACCTCATTATAGAGGCAATTTACTCCTTTAATGGAAATACCAATCTCCTAGTAATGCTGGGTAATTGGTATAAAGACTTCAATAGTTGGGCACAAACCTTCAGGTCCCCCTTATATATATTTTAGCTGCATTTCAAATGACCGAATGCCACATACTGAATTTGCAGTGATGGTGTGTCTCTGTAGAACTTCTGGCGATGCCATTTGATGCTTTTGGAGTCTTCAGCCCAGGTGCTTAAGTTGCTCATTTCATTAAGGATTATCTCGTGGAATCTTTCCACTTGGTACCTGGTACAGAGTCACTTAGCTGTTAGGGGCATGTTTGGTTTTAATTCACCCAGGTCCCAGCCTAGTGTTCATTTCATGGCACCACATTGCTTTACCAGACTTTTTGAGGGAGCTAGTAAAAAAGTGACTGAAGTTAGTCATTCTAAGTAGTAGTATTTAAAGACATTTAATTCTTTTGTTGTATGGCAAACCCAGAGTCTGAGTGGCAGTGTAATAAGTGATGGAAAATGGAGGTACTGCATATGTTATTTTATGTGTCTTTTATTGACATCTTTATACTGTTTTCTCTAGTACCTGATCTTAGTTTTGATTTTAAAGTATAGAAGTATAAAGTCAAAAAAGACTTTTAAAATATTTGAAATAACTTCAAACTTACAGAAAAGTTGCAAGAATAATACAGAAAACTCTCATATCTTTTATCTAGATTCCCTTGTTTTTAGTTTGCCACATTTCCTTTATTATTTTCATTCTGCATGCATGCACATACCATTTCTTTTTCCTAAGTCATGTGAGCAGGTTACATACATCTTGCCCTTTTACCTCTTTATTATTTCAGTGGCATTTTCTCTTGTATATAACCACACTTTGGTTACCAAATTCAGGAAAACATTGATATACCACTTTATAATTTATATTCCAAGTTTGTCAGTTATCCCAGTGTTCCTTGTGGTACTTTAACCCCCTTTCTTTAGTCTTCCTTAACCTGGCATAGTTCTTTAGCCTTTAAAAAATCTTTTATGACCTTGGCCTTTTTGAAGAATTCATTTTAATTATTTTGTGGAATGTTTCTTAACTTAGGTTTGTCTGTTATTTCCTAGTGTTTAGGTTATGCATCCATGGGTGTGCTACGTAAATGATGTTGACTCCTTCTCAGGTTGTCACGTCCTACAGGCACACACAGTCTGACCTTCATCGGTGATATTAATTTGGATCACCTAGTCTCACTATTGTCTGGTTTCTCTGTGGATAGTTACTATAATATTTTTTTCCTCTCAGATGATAAGCTATTTTTGAAAGAACACTCTGAGACAATGTGCTAATATCCTTTCTCATGACACTTTCTCTTTTAAATTTGGCATCCATTGATGATGCTTGCCTGAACCAGTCATTACTATGATGGCTACAAAGTGGTGATTTTGCCAACTCTATCACTGTTTTCATATTTAGAAGATGATATTGTAGTATATAGATAATTCTCCATTCTCTATTTTTTTCTTATTTATTATCAGTATGGACTGATGTACTCCTGTTTTATTCATTGAAATATAATTCATTACTGTCCTTATTTGGTCCTCAGATTATCCCCGTGTTGGCCAGTGGGAGCTCCTTTAAGCTAGTTTTTATGTCCTTTAGATATTCTCCTATTATGTTTCTGAGCACTACCTTTTTGGCACAACAGAATGTTCTAGCTCAATCTTGTACCTTCTCTGTCTGAGCTCTGGAATCAGCCATTTCTTCGGGGATCCCAGGTTCTTTTTCATGGGGAATAGATTTTAGAAGCCAAGATTTGGGCTCAGTGTTAACATAGTGTTACTGCTTCTAAACTTTTTTCCTAAGCTAGAAAATACGTGTACTGTACATAAAAAATAATTTCAGAATTGTCACACCCATTTCTCTGTCAAAAACAAACCTACTAAGATGTTCAGGATTTGTCTGTTACTCCCAGGCTTAGGGTAGATACTCAAAATAATGTGTTCAAAGTTACTTGGATTAGTCCTCCCCTGGCCCTTTCAGTGTGATTATGTTATTCATGTGAAATACAGTTGGCTTCATTTGTTTCCATTTGCATTCAGTTGCACCCCTTCTATCTTACTGATTTTATTTTTTTTTTAACATGCAGAAGTGTATTCTATCTCCAAAGATAAAAGCAATACCATAAGCCATACATAGAGAAGTTTTCTCCCTCTTTATTCATTGTATCTTATTTCCCCCCAACCCTGGTAGGTAACCATCTTTACTGTTTTCTGGTTTATTTTGCCTGCATTACTTTTTGCAAAAGTAAGCAGATATATGTGTGTTTTATTCTTACAGAGAAGTTAGCATTCTGTAGACACGGTCTCCAAAAGAGACTTCCAAACATCTTGTCTAAATCTTTTTAATTTACAGATGAAGAAATTAAGATGTAGTGCTTCCAAATGTGTTTAGTCTTTGATGTTCCTGTTTCTACTGTTCTTTGCGGCTTATCATTATTTTTAAAATGTTCTGTGTTCCTTGTGTGCTTTCTTGTCTTCCTTTTGTCTAACCGTAATTGTGTAGATCAGTGGAATTTTCTTGTGATTTTTATATATGAATTATAAGTATATGAAAACATTTATATGTAAGTCTGCATTCTTTTTAACAGGTGGTCAGTCTGACCAAGGATACGGGTCTAAGGATGAACTTATAAAGGATGATGCAGAAATTCATGTGCCTGAAGAACAGGCAGCAAGAGAATTGATAACTAAAACAAAAATGCAAACAGAAGGTTAAGTACTGATATTTACGAACTTTACTTAGAATAATACCTGTATTATTAATAATTAAAAGTTTATCTTAGTTGATAGCTTTGATGATTATTTTCACAAATGTAAGGTCTGGCTCCTAAGATGCTGTGTACTGTTACATAAGGTAGATTTTGGTAGTCTCTGAAGTTTTAAAATTTAAGAGAACTTTCTTTCTTTCTTTTTTTTTTTTTTTTTTTGAGGCAGGGTCTTGCTCTCTCGCCCAGGCTGAGTGCAGTGGCGAGAACATGTATTACTGCAGCCCTATCTCCTGGCCTCATATGATCCTCCTGCCTCAGTCCCCTGTCAGCTGGGACCACAGGCACGTGCCACCACACCCAGCTAATTTTTTTATGTTTTGTAGAGACAAGGTCTCACCATGTTGCCCCGGCTAGTCTTGACCTACTGAGCTCAAGTGATCTTCCTGCCTCAGCCTCCCAAAGTGCTGGGATTACAGGTGTGAGCCACCACACCTGGCTGTAAGATACCTTTAGAGACTCTGTAGGTCAGCCCATAATTTTCCAGGGAAGTGTGACCCATTGAGGTATTTGCCAAAATTACATAGCTACTTTTGACAGAACCAGGACTAAACTTTGAGTTATTAAAACTTCTATTTTAGTGCCCTTTTTAATTCTAAAAGGCTCTTTCACTAGCAGTCCTTCAAATATCTAGGTGCATAGTTTTCATTGGTAGGTTAAAAATAGTCTATGTGGGCTGGGCG
The DNA here is from genome assembly GCF_000001405.40 of Homo sapiens. NCBI lineage: Eukaryota > Metazoa > Chordata > Mammalia > Primates > Hominidae > Homo > Homo sapiens. The sequence continues at coordinate 19,341,852 of NC_000009.12, forward strand.
TGGTGGCTCACGCCTGTATTCCCAGCACTTTGGGAGGCTGAGGTGGGCGGATCACGTGGTCAGGCGTTTGAGACCAGCCTGGCCAACGTGGCGAAACCCCGTCTCTACTAAAAATACAAAAATTAGCCAGGCATAGTGGCAGCACCTCTGTAATCCCAGGTACTGGGGAGGCTGAGGCAGGAGAGTCATTTGAACCTGGGAAGCGAAAGTTGCAGTCAGCCAATATTGTGCCATTGCACTCTAGCCTGGGCGACAAGAGCAAGACTCCATCTCAAAAAAAAAAAAAAAAAAAAAAAGTCTATGTGGTTTTTCCCGGTTTTTATAGGACTCATTAAGGCAGAGATAATTTGTTGTAATCATTTTATGAAAACATGGAGGAATATTTTGGCTTATGGAATAAGACACTCTTCCTGTTCTCTATCACAAAAGTGTACTTTCTTTAATGTTATTTATTTTATACTCCAGAGTTATGGAGAAACAAGCCCCTCTCCATTTGCCAAGTGATGAGAAGGAGAACTGAAGGCCAGAGACTTAATTGATTCACTAAAGAACATTTATGTTAGGATTATTGAATGCTAAAACAAAGCATTTATTTCAGTTAATATTGGCAGCATTTATGGCATAAAGTAAACCAGACACAGTCTATTTTACTTTGTGTCTAAAGTAAAATAGACACACTGACTGTTGGAGAAAAATACATACAATATCTAAAAGTCAATATATGGTTTCTGTTTAATATTGGCAAAAGTAGGAATGATAACATCCAAATATTTTTTTCCAGAGGTGTGTGATGCCTCTGCTATTGTGGCAAAACATTCACAACCTAGTCCAGAGCCTCACAGTCCTACTGAACCTCCTGCATGGGGCAGCAGTATTGTGAAAGTTCCGTCTGGTATATTTGATGTCAACAGCAGGAAAAGTAGCACTGGTGAGTCTTTACATTTTGGTTATTAAATATTTAAAATATACTTTTATAGACTCATATGTGTCTTTAATGACATTAAATTTTTGACTTAATTGTAATGAACATGCTAAAGAGCCAGAAGGGACTTTTGAATTCTCTAAATCGGCTAAAGAAATTGAAAATATTGTTATTTAAAGGTGTTTGATTTTTAAAAGGAGTATTTAGTGTGTTTGTTATTTGGAATACCCTTTCCTGTTGTGGTGCCTGTCCACCGTTTGGCCACTCTTTCTCATTATAGATAATAAGAAAGTGTACTTTTAGGGCTTCCTGTATGCATCATGAACAGGCAGTGATGTGATCAAATTCCAGAGGGCTTATGAGTGGCAGGCTAATTCCTATCACTGAAGGGAAATGGAAGAAAAAGATTCACGTCATTTCCCCTCTACACAGATATGCCAGTGGATCTTTGATTTTGGCCATTGTTATAGGTACCCCAAGCCATTTTTTATTTGTGATTAAGTGTTTGTACTAAATAACTCTGTGTGTATGACTCCCTTGAATTTGAGTTTTCTACTTTCATTATATATATAGGTCTCCCAAGACTCTTATGGCACATATCCAAGTATATGATTTTAAAAGACAATGAAATTGGCCTGCATCCTTTGCCCTTCATTAGTGGTGGCTGCAGTTGACTTTTCTGAAGTTGACTGTCTTGTCTGAAAATGTATCTATTGTATGACTGTACAGAAATTAATTTGTTCAGCTTCTTAAACCAATGTAAAAGTACTCCTTGTTCTTAAAGTCTTTTCTCTTTGTATTTACCGTGACTCCGAGTTTCACTCATTACTTGTTTGGGTAGTGCTCAAGAGGTGGGGCTAAAGATTTTTTGAGAAAATAATTGATATATACATTGCAGATTCCATTTTCCTAACCTCTTGATAGCAGAGATACTGGGGAAAAGGAGGGAAGAGTTTTCTTCGTCAGAGGCTTAGAATCCTCTCAAAATATTGAACTGGACATCGTCTGTGGACTGTTGTGTTTCCTTCCCTTTTAACTTATTTTCATATTAAGAACGAAGGGCGAGGATAATGGGGCTTTTGTCAGTATAGCAAATTTTTTTTAAAAAACATTGAATAAAATGTGCCGTTAAATTCCTTGGAAATACTATGAGAACCAATAATATTTGCAAGGATTTGTTTCTCAAATATTGGGACCAGCTTTCAAAGCAGGTACATATTTTGAGTTGTAAAATAGGTTAGTTTAATTCCCGTGAAGGCTTAAAAGAATATCTCTAAATGCTTATTCTGATTAATTGATATGATTATCAGTACTAACTTGAAAGATTAAAAAGAACCTTGAAATCAATCTTGAAGTTTAAAAGAAAGATCTTATCTAAGACAGCTTTTTTCCTTGAAGCACCCAGATATTGTTATGCTTTTTAACAAAACAAATGATGTGACTACAGTAAAAAGCAATGGATAAAAAAGAAAACGAAGGAAAAGAAAAACACAAATGAGAATCCTAAATATGAATAACTCAGGCTGCTATACAGTTCCACAGACTAGGTGACTTATAAACAACAGAAATTTATTTCTGCCGGGCTCAGTGGCTCATGCCTGTAATCCCAGCAATTTGGCAGGCTGGAGGGAAAGATCGCTTGAGGCCAGGAGATTGAGGCTGTAGTGAGCCATGATTGCACCACTGTACTCTCCACCCTAGGTGACAGAGCAAGACCCTAACTTTGTTTGTTTGTTTTTGAGACAGACTCTCACTCTGTCGCCTAGGCTGGAGTGTAGTGGCACAGTCATGGCTCACTGCAGCCTCAACTTCCTGGGCTCAGGCAATTGAGGATTCTCCCGCCTCAGACCCCCAAGTAGCTGGGACTACAGGCGAATGCCACCACATCTGGCTAATTTTTGTATTTTTTTGCGGAGACAGGGTTTCTCCATGTTGCCCAGGCTGGTCTCGAGCTCCTGAGCTCAGGTGATCCGCCTGCCTCAGCCTCCCAAAGTGCTGGGATTACAGGTGTGAGCCACCATGCCCGGCATAACCCTAACTTAAAAAAAAATAAAAGAAAGAAATTTATTTCTTATAGTTCTAGGGGCTGGAAAGTCCAGGGTTAGGGTGTTAGCATGGTGAGTTCTGCAGAGGGCCCTCTTCCAGGTTGCAGAGTGCTAACTTATTGTATCCTCGTACAGCAGAGAAGGAGAGAGCTCTCCTTTAAGGGCTCTAATCCCATTCATCAGGGTTCCACTTTCATGATCAAATTATCTTTCAAAGGCCCTGCCTCCTAATACTGTCACACTGAGGGTTAGGATTTTAGCATGTGGATTTTGGCGGACACAAACATTCAGTCCATAACAGGTAGACTTAAGTTCTAATAATGATTCAAATAGGAAATAACAGCTTTTGGTCTTGGAGTGAAACAAATTGCATGGTAGCCAAGAGTAAAAGACTGCTTTCTTTTTCCAAAGCTGGGGGAAGCTGCTATGGCCATTAGCATATTTTTTCTCTACCTGATCAAATAAGACTGACTTCTGTGAAGGCTAGGATTATGTCTGTTTTATTTGCCTTTATATTCCTAGCACCTCATATAGTGGCTACTAGTAGACGTTTAGTATTTGTTGAAGAAATGGATATATCTGAATAATTTTTTAACCACTCAGATTTTATCAGCCTTCTTAGAATTTGCCAGTGCTAAGCATTCCATTCCGGATTATTTTACTTTACAGCAGTAAGACTTTGAGTATAGCAAATATACAATTCCTATAAGATTACAAATTTGCTTTTTGCAGAGTAGATTACTGGCAAGTATTTGTTGAATTGGATACAAAACTAAGATGGAAGAGATTCTTTCTTTTTCTGTATTTTAGTGAAGAACACAGGTATATCCATCTATCATATGTTGCATGATTTGTTTTTTTAAATGGGTGTTTATATAAATATAGGATGAAAGACAGGTTATACATTAAAATGTCCCTGGGAGGCAAGTTTTAAATAGCTTTTCCAGTGCACTTTTTTTTATACTTTCTTTATGGCCTCTAAATTTTCTGGATCTTTTATTCTGAGTATATGTCACATTCATAATCAGGAAAACAATAAATATTTTAATAAAAGTTAACTTGGAAAATAGGTTCATTGTTAATATTTTACTTTCCCTTTTAGGTAGTATATCAAATGTGCTGTTTTCTACTCAAGATCCAGTTGAAGATGCAGTCTTTGGCGAAGCTACTAATCTCAAGAAGAATGGTGATAGAGGAGAAAAAAGACAAAAGCATTTTCCTGAGAGGAGTTGTAGTTTTAGTTCTGAAAGTCGAGCAGGAATGTTGCTTAAGAAGAGTAGTTTGGATTCGAATTCAAGTGAAATGGCTATCATGATGGGAGCAGATGCCAAGATTCTCACAGCAGCATTGACATGTCCTAAGACTTCTCTACTTCATATTGCAAGAACCCATAGCTTTGAGAATGTTAGCTGTCACCTACCTGATAGTAGGACTTGTATGTCTGAAAGCACTTGGAATCCTGAGCACAGATCATCTCCGGTGCCAGAGATGCTTGAGGAAAGCCAAGAACTCCTTGAGCCTGTGGTTGATGACGTACCTAAAACTACTGCAACAGTAGATACATATGAGAGTCTACTAAGTGATAGTAACAGTAATCAGTCCAGAGACTTGAAAACAGTATCCAAAGATCTGAGGAATAAGAGAAGTAGTTTATATGGTATTGCTAAGGTGGTTCAGAGGGAAGATGTTGAAACTGGACTAGATCCTTTGTCTCTTTTAGCCACTGAATGTACAGGAGGAAAAACTCCTGATTCTGAAGATAAGTTGTTTTCTCCAGTTATTGCACGTAATCTGGCTGATGAAATAGAAAGCTATATGAACCTAAAAAGTCCCCTAGGTAGTAAATCTTCTAGTATGGAATTACACAGAGAGGAAAACAGAGAGTCTGGCATGACTACTGCATTTATTCATGCTCTAGAGAGGAGATCAAGCCTACCTTTAGATCATGGTTCACCAGCACAGGAAAATCCTGAAAGTGAAAAGAGCTCACCTGCAGTGTCCAGGTCTAAAACTTTTACTGGGCGTTTCAAGCAGCAAACCCCCTCTCGAACTCATAAAGAACGTTCAACTTCTTTGTCAGCACTGGTGCGTTCTTCGCCACATGGCTCGTTGGGTTCTGTAGTAAATTCTTTGTCAGGGCTAAAGCTGGATAATATACTCTCAGGGCCCAAGATAGATGTCCTGAAATCTGGTATGAAACAAGCAGCGACAGTAGCCAGTAAGATGTGGGTAGCTGTTGCGTCTGCCTACAGCTACTCAGATGATGAGGTAAGAAAGCTTTATGTGTGTAGTCTGTCTGCTATTGGAGTGTTTATAGTATCTTTCTAGAAATATATGTATTCTTGTTCAGAGATTTCTGTGCCCAGGCTGGAGTACAGTGGCATGATTTTGGCTGTCTGCAACCTCTGCCTCCCGGCTTTGAGCGATTCTCTTGCCTGAGTAGTTGGGTCTATAGGGGTGTGCCACCATGCCCAGCTAATTTTTGTATTTTTAGTAGAGATGAGGTTTCACCATGTTGGCCAGGCTGGTCTTGAACTCCTCACCTCAGGTGATCCAACTGCATCAGCCTCCCAAAGTGCTGGGATTACAGGCATGAGCCACCATGCCTGGCTGATTTCTGGTAACTTTGGTTTTTATATTTTGCATAGTCTATCTAATATAGAATAGTCTATCTGTAGTCTATTTTGTGTAGTCTATCTGATATGGAATGTTTGTATATCTTTTTAAAAATATGTGAAGGATTATTAAGACAGTTCTGGTAACTTTGGTTTTCATATTTAAAAACTATGCATATTTGGTTTCTTTCTTGAAGTAACTTGAACCGTATATGTAAGGAAGTTAATAATGTAGAAATAGAATATTGGGACCATTTTATAATTCCATACACTAGTCTAAACTAAAACATTATTTATTTCTTTGAAAGCTCTAATGATTAGTGTTTGAAGTTAATAAAAATGCCATGTTATATTTGTGTAGCATTCACTTTTAAAATAATTTTTACCTATGTAATCTCCTTAATACATATGAAGTCAAGCTGCAGCTTAATCCATGGATTTCATACCACATGGCAAAAATAATTGTCTTTAAAAAAACGTTATACATAGAGTTAATCATTAGATCTTTTGGTAAAAACAAAAGTGGGTAAGTTTTGCTTGTTTTACAGAAAAAAATTGAAATTTCACCTTGTATGAAATTGTATAGTATTTGAGTACTTTAGTAGATAAGGCAGATATGTATAATGTTTGCTCTCGTTATTTAACAGTATGTCCTAGGTACTGTTATAAGCTATATGTCTGGTTTTATATATGAATATATACAAACATAGGTATTTGTTTAATTTTCACAGCAACCCCATGAGGGTGGTACTGTTGTTATCCTGATTTTGTAGATGATATTTGAAACTCAGAGAGGCTAATTAGCTTCTCAAGATGATACAACTAGGGAATAGTAGAACTATGATTTGAAGTCAGAGAGATTGGCTCTAGAGTCCATGCTCTTACCTTAGAAGCGATATCTCAGGAGAAGATACCAAAGAGCAATATATGAAAAGAGGTTCAGGTTGGGGGCTATCCAGAAAAAAAGCAAAGCAGGTGATATCTAATTTAGGATTTGAAGGATAAATTTGACATTTGGGGTTAAAGCTGTAAGAAGAGTGTCAGAAGAGTATATCTGAAAGAATAATGTGAAATGGCTTGGAAGCTTAAAGCATCATGTACTTTCAAGGTAATATAATCAATTTCAGATCGTAAAAGGTCTAAATTGGAATTAGAGACGTGGGAAAAAAAATTAGACGTATAAGACTTTTATACCATTTGAAGGAATACTTTATAGACAAAATAATAATTGAATTAAAAGTATAGTATTGAACATTATAAATTAACTATTTTGTATTTAAAGAGCTTACGAGGTCAGTCAAGGGAAGGCGAAATAAAATAGCTTCCAAACTGTCTTAATCTGGCATTATGATAAAAAAGAAAAAAAAAAGTGTATCATTTTATTTTATTTTTTGAGACAGGCACTTGCTCTGTTACCCAAGCTGGAATACAGTGGCACAGGGATGGCTCACTGTAGCCTTGACCCCCTGGGCTCAAGCAATCCTCCTGCCTCAGCCTCCTGATTGCTAGGACTCCAGGCGTGCCCCACCATGACTGCTAATATTTTATTTTTTGTAGAGATAGGGTCTTGCTATGTTGCCCAAGCTGGTCTTGGACTCCTGGGCTCAAGTGTTCCTAGGTCTCCCAAAGTGCTGGGATTACAGCCATGAGCCACTGCACCCGGCCTTTGTTTTATTTTTGAAATTTTATTGAGGTTGGTTATGAGGACTCATGCCTGTAATCCCAGCACTTTCAGAGGTTGAAGTGGGCATTTGCTTGAGCCCAGGAGTTTGAGCCTAGCATGGGCAACATGGTGAAACCCCATCTATACAAAAAAATACAAAAATTAGCTGGGCGTGATGTCATGTACCTGTAGTCTCAGCTACTCCAGAAGGTGAGGTGGGAGGATAGCTTGAGCCCAGGAGGCAGAGGTCGCAGTGAGCCGAGATCACACCACTGCACTCCAGCCTGGGTGATAGAGACCCTTTCTCCCTTGCCTCCCCAAAAATTATCTGTTAAAAACAGAAGTACATTACACAGGGATATGTGGACTTGGAATATGTGACACTGTAAATTCCAAGTCACTGTGGATCTTGTCTTGTCTTTTCATTGTTACATCCCTGGCACCAGTAAGCAGTACCTGGCAAAAGGCAAATAGGAGATACCTAATAAATATTTACACATGAAGGAATGAATGAAAAGTCTATAAAATGTTTTTAACTTTCATCCCGAGTTTAAGGAATTAATTAGAGGTATATGTAAAAATAGAGGAATTTACCAATGTAATTTATATAAGATTGAAGCATTTTGAATGTTTAAGCAACAGGGGAGTTAGTAAATACATAATAGTATATCAGTAAAACAGATTAGTTCACAGGTGTTTAAATAATTAGAAGAAAATTTAATGACATTAAAATAATTACATAAGAAGTACAGGTGAAAAACAATATTCTAATTTGTAAAGATTTATATGATTTTATATGTATGTTTTAAATGACTAGAAAGATGTATATCAAGATTTTGATTATATTCTCTGACTGTTGATATCATAAGCATTTTTCATTCCTTGTTTTGCTTATCTGTATTTAATTTTTTAAAATCATGTAACATGGTTTTATAACAAGGAAGACACAAATCTTTCATTTTTAAAGCAAAAAAACCTGATTGTTGAAATGTTTTCTACCTAAAGCTTCAACAATCACCTATGTAGTTAAGAACTACAGTGTTTGAAACTTTATTCATGTTTCTTGGCTCTAATATTGATATTTGTTATTCTGAACATTCAGATTCCCAGCCGAAATTATCACAGCAGCTTTATTTGAAACAACTCATATTATCCATATTTTCAGATTACATAATTAAAAGTTAAAGAAGTTTAGTAATTTCTGTAAGTTTACATATCTAATAAATGGTGGAGAACAAGGTCACAATCTGGCTGTCTGATTCAAAAACCCCTACTCTACTTGTACTGGGATTCCTGATTCCATTGGAGACAGTGGGCTCCCTAGAATTCTGTTATTTTATAAGATTCAATATTGAGAGACACCCAGACCTCCCACATACACCTGAGGCACACCACGATCTTTCTTAAAGTATTGTTGCTTATGGCTTGAATGTCTTAGAGTGTGGAAGTGAAATAATAGTGAGGAGATTTCATGGTTTTGAAAAATGTGGGGATGATGATTTGTTTAAGGATTATAGAGTTTAATTTTGAAAAGGGTAGAGTGGGTATAATCCCACTGGAGAAGGTATTATTTATGTATGTGGAATTTTTTTTTTTCAATTAAAGGAAGAAACTAATAGAGACTACAGCTTCCCAGCTGGCCTAGAAGACCATATTTTGGGGGAGAATATATCGCCTAACACAAGTATCTCAGGGTTGGTCCCCAGTGAACTTACCCAGAGCAACACAAGTCTTGGCAGTAGCAGCAGTAGTGGAGATGTAGGAAAACTGCATTATCCAACAGGTATGGGGAAGGATTATCCTTTCTTCATTTGCTTTATAATAGTTTTTGCTTTTTTTTTTTAATTTAAGAGACGGGGTTTTGTCTTGTTGCCCAGGCTGGTCTCGAACTCCTGGGCTCAAGCAATCTGCCTGCCTCGGCCTCCCAAAGTGCTGGGATTACAAGCGTGAGCCACAGCGCCTGGCCTGTCTTTGCTTATTTTAATTTAGATGCCTGTAACTCCCCGCTCAATAAGCCCCATTTGTTGAAATGATTGAGAGATTTTTAATACTAGCCGCCTTATGATCTATTCTGATCTTGTATGATTTATAACTACTGTGGTCACCTACTGCCTTTGTTTTTAGTTGTATATATTCACGGATTATATCATTAGTTCTCAAACTTTGGCATGCATCAGAATAATCTGGGAAATTTGTTTCAAAATAAATGCAAATGTCCAAGCCTAACGCTAAAACTTCTGAGACTGAATTTGTGAGATGGGGCCTTGGGAATGTGTATTTTTAAGCAGTTCTCTGGGTGAATCCGATGTATACCAGAGTTGGAGAATCACTAGGATGTGTCATTGAAGTTTCTTACTCCATGTTACTTTTTAAAATTATAATTCGGTTCTTTTTCTCTGACTTTTTACTGTAAAAATTTAAAATGTCCAAACCGGACACAGTGGCTCATGCCTGTAATCCTAGCACTTCGGGAGGCAAGGCGGGTGGATTGCCTGAGCTCAGGAGTTCAAGACCAGCCTGGGCAACACAGTGAAACCGTCTCTACTAAAATACAAAAAAAATTAGCCAGGCGTGGCAGCGTGCGCCTGTAATCCCAGCTACCTGGGAGGCGGAGGCAGGAGAATCACTTGAACCTGGGAGGCAGAGGTTGCAGTGAGCCGAGATTGTACCACTGCACTCTAGCCTGGGCAACAGAGCGAGACTCCATCTAAAAAAAAAAAAAAGAAAAGAAAAAAAAATTTCAAATGTCCTGAAAGTTGAAAGAATCGTATAATGAACAATCATGTATTTTCCACCTAGATTTAATTAACTATTGTTAACTTTATCTCTTTCTATGTATGCATACATTTTTATACTGAGCCACTTGAAAAACAGTTGCAGACTTTATTCTGTGTCCCCCCTAAATACTTTGGCATGCATTTTCAAAAAACAAGGACATTCCTTACTTAAGGTATTACGATGTATATTCCTTTGTAGGTGAAGTTCCATTTCCAAGAGGCATGAAAGGGCAAGACTTTGAAAAATCAGATCATGGTTCTTCTCAAAATACCAGCATGTCTAGCATCTATCAGAATTGTGCAATGGAGGTAAAAGTTCTATATTCAGTTCATGATAAAGTAGCTGTAAGCATATTTTTATTTCAGAATGGCATTTAACAGGATTCTAAGATACCCTTGTGGACAGTATAATAAAATAAGTCATTTTGTTGAATTTGCTTGATGTCTTATGTAAGTAAGACATTGAACTGGTAGTTTACCTGTGAAATAAAAGAACTGTTATTAATAATTCCAAATTTGATCAGTAGAATAAAAAAAATCCCATTATCTCAAGAGAATTCCTGTTAAGATTAATTTTTATTAAACGTTCTCAGTGTCTGCATTTTTCTGTTTTTAGGTTTTGATGTCCAGTTGTTCACAGTGTAGAGCTTGTGGAGCTTTAGTTTATGATGAAGAAATTATGGCTGGATGGACAGCAGATGACTCAAATTTGAATACAGCTTGTCCATTCTGTAAAAGCAACTTCTTGCCTCTTCTCAATATAGAATTCAAAGATTTGAGAGGTTCTGCAAGGTTAGTCTTATAAAAGCTCTCTCAAGAAGTAAGTACCCTCAAAAAACACGACTTCTGGGAGAAGAGTGAAATATTCCTGGTATGCTCCAGGTCTGCCTTCCTGTCTGTCCTTCACCTTCAGTATTTGAGTAGCAAATACTAGTAATGTGGGAGTCTACTTTTCCATTTTATTTAAAGTAAGATTATCAGCCGGGCTCCGTGGCTCATGCTGTAATCTCAACACTTTGCGAGGCCCAGGTGGGAGGATTGCTTGAGGTCAGGAGTTCAAGACCAGCCTGGGCAACATGGCAAGACCCTGTCTCTACAAAAGATTTTTTAAAATTAGCTGGGCATGGTAGTGTGCACCTGTGGTAGCAGTTACTAGGAAGGCTGACATAGGAGGATCGCGTGAGCCCAGGAGTTTGAAGCTGCAGTGAGTATATATTTTAGAAGAAACAAAGGGGAAAAAAAGGCTTCAACTCTTCTCTTGTCACTTGCACGTCCTAGTAGTATTCTGTGCAGTGAAATGACCAAATTCTAGGCAATAGATATAAGACTAGCTGATCTATAATTATACATAAAATAATTGAGAGTTTGGTGACTCTGTGCTGACCTAGGGAATTATACTTAATATTCCATTCATTTTATGGAACAAATTGAACTTTTTATTTCCTGCCTTTAGCTGCTTTAAAAAAAATACACTGCCAGGTGTGGTGGCTCACACCTTAATCCTAGCACTTTGGGAGGCCCAGACAGGTGGATTGCCTGAGCTCAGGAGTTCGAGACCAGCCTGGGCAACACAGTGAAACCCTGTCTCTACTAAAATACAAAAGATTAGCCAGGTGTGGCGGCGTGCGCCTGTAGTCCCAGGCACCCGGGAGGCTGAGGCAGGAGAATTGCTTGAACCTGGGAGGTGGAGGTTGCAGTGAGCTGAGATTGCACCACTGCACTCCAGTCTGGGTGACAGAGAGAGACTCTGTCTCTGAAAAAACAACAAAAACATTTAGGCTGGGCATGATGGCTCATGCCTGTAATCCCAGTACTTTGGGAGGCCGAGGCAGGCAGATCACTTGAGGTCAGGAGTTCGAGACCAGCCTGGGCAACATGGCAAAACCCCATCTCTACAAAAAAATACAAAAAAGGTTAGCCCGACACCATGGCACATGCCTGTAGTCCCAGCAACCAGGAGGCTGAGGCAGGAAAATGGTTTGAACCCAGGAGGCGAAGGTTGCAGTGAGCTGAAATCACACCATTTAATTGTAGAGGTGTTTCTTCTCTGTTTTTTCTTTTAGCTTCAAGGGTGGAGCTAAGTCAAATCATACTCTTTAATTCCTGACACACTATCATCTTTGGACTGTGCAAGGGCCCTCTCGTGTTTATCCTCCTTTCCTCATTCCCACCCTCATTCCCCTATTCTACGAAGACACTGACTCTGCTAAGTGTGATATATATCTAAATTTACTTCTTTTTATTGCTCTATTTTAAATCTGGGTTACTATATGTACATCTAGTTTATTCCTTTTCTTCTACAGGAAGTTAATATACCTTTCTACTTATCCATTATTCTAGTGTTGGGTACTTCAGTTACTTTCAGTTCTCTGTTACTACAAACACCACGGTAGTAATGCAGTGCACTGCAAAATACATGTCCCCTTTTGGACTTGTGAAGTAGTTTCTCTAAGAAAACGATAATCCTTGGAGTAAGATCATTTTCATACATGATTTTAGTAAACACAAAATATTGCTTCCTAGACGGCTGCACTCCCACAAGTAGTACCCAAGAATTCTCATTTCTATATAGCCTTACCAGCATTTGGTATTATCACTTTTTAAATTTTGGCATTGTTTGAATTTCTCTTGATACTGACAAATTTGAGTGTCTCTTCATTACTTGTTATTCTAGCCTTTTTTTTTTTTTTTTTTTTTGGAGACAGAGTTTCACTCTTGTCGCCCAGGCTGGAGTCCAATGGCACAATCTTGGCCTACAACGTCTGCCTCCCAGGTTGAAGCGATTCTCCTGCCTTAGCCTCCCGAGTAGCTGGGAGTGCCCACCACCATGCCCAGCTAATTTTTGTAATTTTTGTAGAGATGGGGTTTCGCCATGTTAGCCAGGCTGGTCTCGAACTCCTGATCTCAGATGATCCACCCACCTTGGCCTCCCAAAGTGCTGGGATTACAGGCGTGAGCCACTGCACCTGGCCTGCTCTAGCATTTTCTATGAATTGGTTGCTTATGTTCATTGCCTATTTTTTTTTTCTTTTTTGGCTGTTTGTTTTTTTTTTTGAGATGGAGTCTTGCTCTGTCACCCAGGCTGGAGTACAGTGGCGCAATCTTGGCTCACTGCAAGCCCCACCTCCCAGGTTCATGCCATCCTCCTGCCTCAGCCTCCCAAGTAGCTGGGACTACAGGCACCCACCACCACGCCCGGCTAATTTTTTTGTATTTTTGGTAGAGACAGGGTTTCACCATGTTAGCCAGGATGGTCTCGATCTCATGACCTTGTGATCCGCCCACCTTGGTCTCCCAAAGTGCCGGGATTACAGGCGTCAGCCACCATGCCTGGCCATTCATTGCCTATTTTTCTATTGATCTTTCTTTTTCTTGTTGATCTGACTTGAATATTATTGATATTAATTACTTGAAAGCATTAATTTTGATGTCATCCATTAATTTTTTACCTTGCAATTTGTGCTTTTGGAATCTTGTTTTTAAAGTTGTTCCCTATCCCTAGGACCTGAAATTTTTATCCTTGAACGTTTTTGCTTATATTTTACTTTTGATGTTTAGGTCTTTAATATATCTTTATTCTACTTTTTATATATGATGGTAGAGATCCAGCTTTCATTTTTCCTCCATGTAACAATCCAGTTATCCCAATATTATCCACTAAATAACCTATCCTTTGCTTACTGCTATATGGTGTCACCTTTATCATATTTCAGTTCCCATGTATACCTCACTTGGTTCTGCATTTTCTTGCTGTTTTTCTTAATGCCATGTTGTTTTCATCACTTGGTCCTTGTGTTGTATCTCTGGTTAGTAGGGTGAGTTCCCACTCTTGGATTGTATTGTTATTATTTTTTGTATGCTTGCTCTTTCCTGTGAATTCTTAGAATAAGTTTGAGGTCCTCAAAAAAAATCCAACTAGAGTTTTCTTTGAGATTTATAGATTAATGTGAGGAAAATTGACTTTTCTATTATTATTATCTTATCTGTGAGCCTGGTATATCTCTGTATTTTTTTTCAGATCTTCTTTTATGTCCTTTAACACAGGTTTAAATTATTCTCCATAAGTCCTATACTTTTTGAGTTAATTGTGTTTTTAAGCTATCGTGACAAGCATTTTATTTTATATTTTTCAAATTGGGTATAAAGGAGCATTATTAAGTCTGTCCCCTGAATATGTTGTTATAGAAAATTTCAAGCTTACAACAAATTTTAAAGGTTTTTTTTCAATGAGCACGCAAATATCTACCCCTGCGTCCTTCAATTTACACTTTACTATACTTAGTCTATCACCTATCTGTCTCTCCACCAATCTATCTTAAATTTTTATTCATTTGAAGGTGAGATAGAGATATTAATACATTTCTCCCCCAAAGACTTTGATATGCATATCATTAGAGTTCAGTATTTATTGACAATTTTTTTATTTTGAGATAAATTGATATACAGCAAAATGTACAAATCTTAAACATACCATTTGAAGAATAAATGCATGTATTTGTGCAAATTAAACCCTTAGAAAACATTACCATTACCTCAGAAAATTCTCTAAATGTTCCTTGCAAGGCCCTTCCCTCCTCAAGTCCCACCCAAAGAGAGAAGGAGAGAGATAAGATGTAAATAAAACAATGAACAGAGAAGAAATGATTAGAAACAAGATGGAGATTTATAAGTGATAAAAGACATTATAAGTAATTATAGGTTAATATATCTTAAAGTGCTGCTACTGCAGCTCTTTATTTTTTTTTTTAACTCAGGAAATTAATAAAATATTTTGCTTTCCCTCTTCCCTCACAGTTTTCTTTAGTGGTTCTCAAAAATTGGAATATCATTTATTGGACCATTTCCAACCTTGTATTTGAAAAGTTTAGGATAGGAGGGGAAGAGAAAATGAGAGCAGGAATGTGTGTGTGTGTGTGAGAGAGAGAGAGAGAGAGAGAGAGAGAGTGAGAGTGTATTGGAAATAGGCCGTGTTTTCCTTCTGGATTATATATAATTTTATTAATGACTGCTTTAGCAATAAAATGATTCTAAATATGATAGAATTTTAGAAAACTTGAGGATTTTTAAAGGCTCTTTTTCCCCCCTTTTCCTTATGTAGCTTTTTCCTGAAACCAAGTACCTCTGGTGACAGTTTACAAAGTGGAAGCATTCCATTGGCAAATGAATCCTTGGAGCACAAACCTGTATCCAGTTTAGCAGAACCTGACTTGATCAACTTTATGGACTTCCCAAAACATAACCAGATCATAACTGAAGAAACAGGCTCTGCAGTTGAACCAAGGTATCAAAGGGTACAGAGACCTCTTTATGTAGTAATAAATGGGGTACCCTTGTAAAAATTCTGTCTCTAAAGACAACCTGACTCATATAGGCATAAGTTCTGGCATTTAAGAGTACATCTTAACTTATTACCACATAGTGTTTAACGAGCTAATGAATGAATCTGATGATAAACCATTTTTGAACTAAGTTTAATATTTTACAGTTGTCTTTTACAAAATGAACTTCTCAACAGTAAAATATTTCCCTTTTAATATAGTCATTGCCAGTTTCCAGAGGCGAAATGTTCTCTTTCTGTGAAATGTACACTTGGCCCTTAAATACTAATTGAATCAAACATTTATTGAGACTCTATTGTATGCTAAATATTATGCTAAGCTCTAAAAATAAAAAAGTAAATATGACTGGGTCTCTCTCCTTAGGTGGATCGTGGCCTAGTAGAGATTAAATACTTGTCAGTGTCTTTATTGTACTTATTTGCATATAGCATACTTCTAGGTAATTTTGTTTAATAAAGATGAAATAATATTTGAGTAAAGCAACTGAATGGGTACTTTGTCTTTTTAAAATAATACCTGTATATCTACAATATGTCATCTTCCCACCCCTCACCAGAACCATCTACTCCATCCTGTTTTTCTGACCAGTTTTACAAAAATGGTTGAAGGAAATGCAATTCTTACAAGGTGGTGCTGATTCTTCTTAGATATATTTAGTAGACTCAAGGTCCATTGTAGAAAATACTCTAGCTCTACAGATTTAGACTGTTTTTCAACATGAACATAGCATTTCTTCTATATTTATTTTTAAGTGATGAAATAAAGAGAGCCAGTGGAGATGTCCAAACTATGAAAATTTCATCTGTGCCTAATAGTTTATCAAAGCGAAATGTGTCTTTGACTCGAAGTCACAGTGTTGGAGGCCCATTGCAGAATATTGACTTTACCCAGCGACCGTTTCATGGCATCTCAACAGTTAGTCTTCCAAATAGTCTGCAGGAAGTTGTGGTATGTAACAACAACAACATTGTAATTATACTGCATACACACCTAAGTATATAGTAGAACATTATAAATTCTTCTGTAGTGGACTTATTTTAATTACATGAAAAGTGATAGAGTTTTTCCATAAACAAATAACTTTTTATTGTGGAGAATTTCAAATATGTACAAAAAGAAACAGTATAATGAGTCCCCCATCATCTAGCTTCAGTTATTTTCAGTTTATGGCATTCTTCTTTTATGTATATTCTCATTCAGTTCTCTCTTTTTTTGAGATTATTTTGAAGCAAATTTCAAACATCACATATTCTGTTAGTAAATATTTCAGTATGTATCCCTGAATGATGAGGACTTTAGAAAAATATAATCACACTGCTTTTATCATACAAAAAAAACCCCAAATAATAGTATCAAGTTATTTAGTCTGTTCAAATTTCTGATTGTCTCAAAAATGTCAAATGCATATGTGTGCTTGTGTATGTGTGGGTTGTAGTTTGAGGAATCAGGATCAAATAAAGTCAGTGTATTGCACTTGGTTGATATAGTTTTTAGTCTTTTTGAATCTGTAGACTCTTTTCCTCTTGCAATTTATTTGTTGATAAAACTGGTTAGAGTACAGTTTTCCATAATCCAGATTTTGCTGATTGCAACGATAAAAGTTGGAATTTGTGTCCGGAACCTTGATCAGATTTGGGGTTTTTGTGTTAGTGTTCATTTGCTTGTTTATTTTTGTAAGACGATTTCATCAGTGGTGGTATGTTCCTCCCAGCAGGAGACATAAACATTAGTAGCTATTAATGCCTTAATGCCTAGATAAAGTAATTCATTAGGAGCTATAAAATGATAATGGTCTCATTCTGTCATTTCTTCCTTATAATAAGGAATACATAAACAGAAATTTCCCTATGTCTCTGTTAGATTTTCAAAAGATAAAATTTATAGTGGAAAGGCAGGTTAAATGCTTGATTTTTTCCTTTTATTTAGAGTTTTCAAAATAGCGAGTTGAGTCCCTGTCATTCTCCAAGGTCATCAATTAATTTGGAGGAATAGGGTATCATTATGAGCTCATTGATTTCAACATTTATGTTTAATTAAGTAATTAATTTTTAGAGATGGGGATCTTGCTTTGTTGCCCAGGCTATTCCTAAACTCCTGAGCTCAAGTGATCCTCCTGCTTCAGCCTCCCTAATAACTGGAACCACAGGCACACACTACCATGCCTTAAACATTTATCTTTATATCTATTGCTGTTTTTATCGTTGTTCATGCTTATATTATTCTCTTTGGTCAGCTAGAAGCCTCTAGAAGTTAGCTCATTAGTCCTTTTGACACAACTCTAGTAGCATTTTTGTAATTTTTAAAAAGCTTTCTTGCTTTCTTATATGACAAGATGTTTTATGCTTATGTTATATACTTTCTTACCCAGACCTAGAATCAGCTGTTTCTCTAAGAAACTGTGGGTCCCTTTAGAGGGAAATGGTTTTGGAGACCACAGTCTAGGCACCAGGGGGACTCACTGTTGATGAGAGAGTCTTAAACATTTTATCCTGATTATAATATGCATAACTCACAAAGTCTAGGTTGGGTCTTTTTTCATTTCTTATTTTATTTGAATTATAAAAATGCTATTTCTTTAATTCCTTCAGTTTTTGTTGCAATCAGTTGTAAAAGTGAGTTAAGTCAACAAAGAATATTAATGCAAAAGATTGCCCCATCAGTTTAGAGTTGTAGGAGGAAGATAATGTCACACAGTTTTTACACACATACATTACTATAAAGCATCTGAAATGCAAATATTTCTTATAAAAATTGAAAAAAACCTAATACATTCAGGCCATTGCTCTCAGTGTGATAGAGAACATGTTTTAAAGAGTCTGTTGATTAATTTTCTTTTGTAATGATTTAACTTAACAGTATTTAAGTATTTTCTTTTTTAGGTTTTCATTCATTAGCATATTCTCTTGCATGTAGCAATGGTCCTAAAATAACTGATTTAAAAAGGATAGAGAGGCATTATCTCATTGAGAAGTGCTCTTGAGCATACAGATTTAAACAGATAATATTAATTTCTTTTTGTATTTTTTTTAAGGATCCTTTAGGAAAAAGACCCAATCCTCCCCCTGTTTCTGTGCCCTACTTGAGTCCTCTAGTACTCCGTAAAGAACTTGAATCTTTGCTAGAAAATGAAGGTGATCAGGTGATTCATACATCTTCTTTCATCAATCAACATCCAATCATTTTCTGGAACCTCGTTTGGTATTTCAGACGTTTGGACCTTCCTAGTAACTTGCCAGGACTTATCCTCACATCTGAACATTGTAATGAAGGTGTACAGGTAGGGTGCCAACTTTTATACTTACATTAGTATTCAGTAGGATGAGGCTTAACTTCAAGGTCCTGAAAGTATACAACAGTAGCAGCTTAACAAGACAGATTTATTTCTCTCTCACTTAAAAGTTTGGATAAGCAGTCCTGGAATGGTAAAGTGTTAGGAACCTAAGATCCTTTTATATTTTTGTTTAGCTATGCATATCCTCCATTTCCAAGTTCTGCTTTTGGTCCAGGATGGCTGATTACCTCCAAGCTGTCACATCTACTTTCTATCCAGCAGTTAGGAGAAAAATGGATGGAGAGGAGAGTATGTCTTTTTTCTTAAGGGATAGCTCCTGGAGTTGTAGATAATATTTCTACATATATTTTCTTGGCCTGAACTCAGTTATTAGGTCATATCTGTCTGCAAGGGTAGCTAGAAAATGTTGCCCAGGCTGGAGTGCAATGGCGTGATCTCGGCTCATTGCAGCCTCCTTTTTCTGGGTTCAAGTGATTCTCCTGCCTCAGCCTCCCGAGTAGCTGGGATTACAGGCACCCACCACCACATCCAGTTAATTTTTGTATTTTTGGTAGAGATGGGATTTTACCAGGCTGGTTTGAATTCCTGACCTAAGGCAATCCACCTGCCTCGGCCTCCCAACTGCTGGGATTACAGGCGTGAGCGACTGTGCCCGGCTGGTAGCTATTATTCTTAACTGTTCTGTTCCCAGCTGCAATTCTCACAACCACCTTATTTGAAAGGACCCATATTATCCATATTTTTCAGATGTTATAATTAAAAGTTAGAGAAATTTAGTAATTTCTGTAAGGTGACATACCTAATAAGTGATGGAGACCCAAGGTCACATTCTGGCTGTCTGACTTAAAAGCCCCAACTCTACTTATACTGGGATCCTGATTCCATTAGAGACAGTGAGCTCCTAGAGTGCTTTATTTTATAGGATTAATATTGATAGACACTCAGGCCCTAAACATATACATGGGGCAAAATAAAATCTTTCCTTAAAGTACTATAAACTCTAGTTTGATTAGGTAGGTGAAACAAAATTATTTGGTAAGGTAGTAGAACCTCTTGCACTTTGACCTTAAAATTTGCTGTAATGGTAATTAATCTTTCTACAACCATCATGCCAGTTAGCTAATTGTCATCCCATTTCTTAAAAGTCACACTGAGAAACCTTGACCTCAGAAAATAATAATAACATTTGTCATCAGACATTAATAAAAATTAAAATTTTGATTCTGAATTTTAGGTCCAGAATTTTAAAAGGACTCATCTGTTTTATATAATCAAGCTTCACTAGATCTACTGGTAATTGTTATTCTCGGGATACTAATACTTTCTTTTGATTTCTTTTAGCTTCCTCTGTCATCTCTGTCCCAGGATAGCAAACTTGTGTATATTCAGCTGTTATGGGATAATATCAACCTTCATCAGGAACCAAGAGAACCTCTGTATGTCTCATGGAGGAATTTTAGTAAGTAAAATAGAATTAAAGACATAACAGCCAGGTGCAGTGGCTCGCACCTGTAATGCCAGCACTTTGGGAGGCCTAGGCTGGCGGACCACTTGAGGTCAGGAGTTGGAGACCAGGCTGGCCAACATGGTGAAATCCTGTCTCTATTAAAAATACAAAACTTAGCCAGGTGTGGTAGCAGGTGCCTGTAGTCCCAGCTACTCAGGAGGCTGAGGCTTGAAAATCGCTTGAACCTGGGCAGCAAAGGTTGCAATGAGCTGAGATCATGCCACTGCACTCCAGCCTGGGTGTCAGAGCAAGATTGTATCTCAAACAAAACAAAACAAAACAAAGAGTTAAAGACATAAAAGACTCAAAATGGGAACAACTCAAATACGCATCCATAGGTGACTGGATAAGCAAATTGTGGCACATTCCATCCATACTGTAGGATATTGTTCTGCAATAAAGAATGGACTGCTGGGAAGAAAAAAAAGAAACAGAATTAAACTAAATTCCCCTAGAGTTAAATATAGAAAAGCAAATTATTTTGCTTTATTTTTAAATTTTTAATTAATTCAAAGTGATTTGCTGTTAAAAAAAAAAGTACACACACACACACACAAATGAAAAAGTGGTTTGCTGTTTTACTGACCTGTTTTTTAATTGTGACGGGTCTCAACTGAGTTGAGTAATTTTTTTGGTGATTTTTCTATCAAGTAAAAATTTGGTTGGCTATTTTGAGAGTAAATTCTATATAGCAGAAGAGTAATTTAGATGTGTTGGTATAGGATCATAAGTTCAGCTGTATTAATGGTTACTGACTGGTCTTAAGGGTTCTGGCTTCATTTTTAATCTTTTAGAGTATATTTTTACAAGGTGTTTAAAGAGTTATTATTCATGTATTCAAAAGCCTTGTGAATCAGTAAGAAAAATACAATTCAGTAGAGAAATGACCAAATGATATTAATAGGTAATTCATATTAAAAACATTAAGCAGCTTTCAAACTGTATTAGTTTGCTAGGGCTGCCATAATAAAATACCACAGACTGGGTGGCTTTAACAACAGAAATTTATTTTCTCACAGTTCTGGAGGCTGGAAGTCTAAAATCTAGAAAGGGATCAGCAGGTTTGGTTTCTTCTGAGGCCTCTCTTTGGCCTGTAGATGGCTGCCCTCTTGCTGTACCCTCACATAACCTTTTCTCTGTGTGTGTGCATGCACATGCACACATTCCTGGTGTCTCCTTTTCTTATAAAGACATCAGCTGTATTAGGTTAGGGCCCCACTTGGCCAGGCGCAGTGGCTCATGCCTGTAATCCCAGCACTTTGGGAGGCCGAGGGCGGGTGGATCACGAGGTCAGGAGTTCAAGACCAGCATGGCCAAGATGGTCTTGGTCATCTCTACTAAAAATACAAAATTCAGCTGGGCGTGGTGGTGGGCACCTGTAGTTCCAGCTGCTCGGGAGGCTAAGGCAGACAATTGCTTGAACCCGGGAGGCGGAGGTTGCAGTGAGCCAAGATCACTCCAGCCTGGGCGACAGAGTGAGACTCCATCTCAAAAAAAAAATTAAAAAAACATTAGTGCCCCACTCTTATGTCCTCATGTAACCTTAATTATTTATTTAAAGGCCTTATCTCCAAATAGAGTCACATTGGCAATTAGGGCCTCAACATATGAATTTGGGGGTGACACAATTCAGTCTGTAATATAAACATATTTTAAAAGCTCAATCATACTAGTATTAAGTGAAATATAACTTTATATTTTAAAAAAGGAAAATGTAGGCCTGGCACGGTGGCTCATGCCTGTAATCCCAGCACTTTGGGAGATCGAGGCAGGTGGATCACTTGAGGTCAGGAGTTCAAGACCAGCCTAGCCAATATGGTGAAACTCTGTCTCTACTAAAAATATAAAAAAAATTAGCCAGGCTTGGTGATGCACGCCTGTAATCCCAGCTACTCAGGAGGCTGAGGCAGGAGAATTGCTTGGACCCGGGAAGCAGAGGTTGCAATGAGCCGAGATTGCGCCGTTGCACTCCAGCCTGGGCATCGCAGCAAGACTCCATCTCATAAAAGAAAAAAAGGATAATGTGGCTGGCGTGGTGGCTTACGCCCGTAACCACAACACTTTGGGAGTCCAAGGCAGGAGAATCCCTTGAGCCCAGGAGTTCTAGGCAGCAGTTAGCTATGATTGCACCAGTGTACTCCAGCCTGGGTGACAAAGTGAGACCTCCCCGCCTTCCTGTCTGTTAAGAAAAAAAAAAAGGAAAACATAAACTTGTAACTGTCAGGTTGGCAAAAAACGTTAAAGATGAAGATTGTTTAAAAAAATTTAAAGATTGTTGAAGATGTTTGGGGAACACTTTCATATACTTTTAGATGTGTAAAATGATACATTTCTGGAGAACAATATGGCAGACATGTAGATTTCATATGTGGATACCCTTTAAACTCAGGAATTGCAGTTCGAGAACTCTGTTCTATAGAAATACAGTACACAGCTAACTGTTTACACAAGGATACTTACTGTAAGATTTTTTTTTCTTTTGAGACAGGGTCATGTCTCTATCTAGCACCCTGCTCATAAAGCAGGAATGTCACTCTAAAAGAAGGGCCACTGTTCCCAGCCCCAGCTCCAGAGCAGTGGCTTAGAAATTTTGCCCAGGGGCTGGGCACGATGGCTCACGCCTGTAATCCCAGCATTCTGGGAGGCCAAGGCGGGTGGATCACCTGAGGTCAGGAGTTTGAAACCAGCCTGGCCAACATGATAAAACCCCGCCTCTACTAAAAATACAAAAAAATTTGCCAGGTGTGGTGGTGGGCACTTGTAATCCCAGCTAGTTGGGAGGCTGAGACAGGAGAATCAGGGAGGCCTGGGAGGCGGAAGTTGCAGTGAGCCGAGATCGTGCCACTGCACTCCAGCCTGGGCGACAGAGTGAGACTGTCTCAAAAAACAAAAAGAAAACGAAAAAAAAAGAAATTTTGCCCAGGGGGAGAGGCAGGTCATAAGAATAGAGAGCTCTGAAATTTTCCCTAAAGGAAATTATTTTATTTGGAACAGAGTGTGGAGAAGTTTAAGCCTGAGAGCACTCTCAAAAACAGTGGAGATTTTGGTCAGAAGGCCATTATTACCCTGATACAAAGACCAATGACATCATAAGAAAATTAAAAATCAGTATCATTTAGTAATATAGACATAAAAATCGTGAATAAAATACTAGCAGATCAAATCCAGCAATATATAAAAATGATTTTACACCATGACAAAGTGGGATTTATCTCAAGCATGCAATTGTGGTTTAACATTTGAAAATCAATTGTGTAATATACTATCAATAGAGTAAAGGACAAAATTCACGTGATCATCTCAGGAGGCACAGCCAAATCATTTGGCAAAATCCATCACCCTTTGTTTAAAACACTCATCAAGCTGGGAATAGAGAAGATCTTCCTCCGCCTGGTAATGGGCATCTATGAAAATCTACAGTTGATACCATACTCTTAACATACTTTCTCACTAAGTACAAGTGTAAGACAAGGATGCCCACTTTTGCCATTTTTATTTACCATTCTACCAGAGGTTCTAGCTAGAGTAATTAGTCAAGAAAAGAAAAGGCATCCAAACTGGAAAGGAAAAAAGTAAGTGTATCTATATTTGCAGATTATATGATAAATGATATTTATTTTTTCTATATATATAATATATAGAAAATTCTAAGGAATAGACACACACCTAACATATTATTATACACACACACCATATTAGAACTGCATAAGTTCAGCAAGGTTCCAGGCTATAAGATCAGTATAGAGAAATCAACTATTTCTATATCTTTGAACAAATAATTCAAAATGAAACTAAGAAAACAATTTTATTTATTTATAATAGCATTAGAACAAAATACTTATGGATAAATTGAACCAAAGAAATGCAAAACTTACACTCCAAAAACTTAAATAATTGTTGAAAGAAATTAAAGAATAAGTAAATGGAAAGAATCCAATGTTTATGGTCTGGAAAAGTTAATATTATTAAGATGGAAGTAGTCCTAAATTGATTTACAGATTGAATGCAGTCCCTATCAGAATTTCAGGTAGCTTCTTTACGTAAATTGACAAGTGAATCTTGAAATTCATATGGATGTTCAAGGGACTTAGAATCACGAAAACAATCTTGAAAAAGAACAGTGTTATAGGACTCACAGTTCTTCAATTTGAAAACTTACTGCAAAGCTACAGTAATCAAGAAAGTAAAATACTGGTGTAAAAAGAGACATAGGTTGATGGAATATAGCTGAAGTTCCAGAAATAAACCCTCACATGTATGTATGGTCAGTTGCCTTTCAGTGTGAAGACCATTTAAGATAGTCTTTTCGGCCGGGTGCAGTGGCTCACGCCTGTAATCCCAGCACTTTGGGAGGCCGAGGCGGGCGGATCACGAGGTCAGGAGATCGAGACCATCCTGGCTAACACGGTGAAACCCCATCTCTACTAAAAAAATACAAAAAAATTAGCCAGGCGTGGTGGCGGGTACCTGTAGTCCCAGCTAGTCGGGAGGCTGAGGCAGGAGAATGGCGTGAACCCAGGAGGCGGAGCTTGCAGTGAGCCAAGATTGCGCCACTGCACTCCAGCCTGGGCAACAGAGTGACTCTGTCTCAAAAAAAAGAATAGTCTTTTCAACACGTGCTGGGACAACAGGCTAGCAATAATAAAAAGAATGAAATTGGATACTTCCTCAAATCATACATAGAAATGAACTAAAAATGGGTCATAAACCTAAATGTAAGAGCTAAAACTATAAAGCACTTAGAAGAAAACATAGGAGTAAATCTTCATGACTCCGTGTTAGTTAGGCAAGGCCTTCAAAAAAAGCAACAAAAGCACAATCAACAAAAGAAAAAGTAGATAAGTTGGATTTAGTCAAAAGAAAGAACTTCTGAAATTTAAACCATCAAAAAAGTGAAAGGTCAATCGACAGATTGGGAGGAGATATTTGCAAATCATATCTTAAAAAGGATTTGTACCCAGACTATGTAAAGTACTCTTACAACTCAGTAATAAAAAGGCAACCCATTTTTAAAATGAGCAAAGGCTGTAAATCAGTAGTTCTTCAAATAAAATGTTCAAATGGCCAAAAGCTCATGAAAAATGCTCAACAGCACTAGCTGTCAAGGATATGCAAATCAAAACCACAAGGAAATAACACTTCATACTTACTAGGATGGCTATAATAAAAAAAAATAATAACGAGTTAGTGAAGATGTGGAGAAAGTGGAACCCTCAGACACTGTCAGTTAGAATATAAAATTGTGCAGCTCCTTTGGAAAACAGTTTCACAGCTCCTCAAAATGGCAAACCATATGAGTTACCATATGATACAGCAGTTGCACTCACGTATATACCTAAGAGAAATGATGTCCACATGAAAACTTGCACATGAATGTTCATAATAGCATTTGCATAATAGCCAAAAATACGGAAACAAATGTCTATCAGTCTATGAATTGAGGGCTGAGCGCAGTGGCGCACGCCTGTAATCCCAGCACTTTGGGAGGCTGAGGCCGGCAGATCACTTGAGGTCAGGAGTTCGAGACCAACCTGGCCAACATGGGGAAACCCCGTCTCTACTAAAAGAAATACAAAAATTAGCTGGGCGTGGTGGCACATGCCTGTAGTCCCAGCTACTTGGGAGGATGAGGCAGGAGAATCACTTGAACCCAGGGAGGCAGAGGTTGCAGTGAGCTGAGATTCTGCTGCTGCACTCCAGCCTGGGCAACAGAGCGAGACTCCATCTCAAAAACAAGAAAAAAAAATTATGAATTGATAAATAAAGTATGGTATATCCATACAATGGAATTTCATTTGGCAACAGAAAACAATGAAGTACTGATATATGTACAACACAGTTGAATCTTGAAACCACTCTAGAAGAGAAACCAGTTGTGAAGGAGCATAGATTGTATTATTCCATTTATATGAAATATCCAGAATAAGAAAATGTATAGAGACAGAAAGTAGATTAGTGGTTGCCTAGGGCTAAGGGGTTGAGATGGGGTTTCTTTTTGGGATATGAACATGTTCTAAAATTGATAGTGATGATGGTTGCACAACTTCATGAATATACTAAAAACCATTGAATTGTGTATTTAAATTGGTGTAATGTTTGGTTTGAGACTTATCTCAATAATTGTGAAATTATAGCATAGTGTGAAGATTAACACTATTCAAAGTCTATCATTTAGCAGGTGGAAGACCTAGGATGAAAACTCATAGCAGCCAGTATTTCCTGTTATCATAACAGAGGACTTTGCTATTTTTTTTTTTTTTTTTTTCGGTTTAACACAAATGAACTATTACCAGTTGTCTTTATTTAGGGGCGGTGTTACACAATACAATATAATTAAATGTATAATGAAAAAGACAATCCGCCTGCCTCAGCCTCCCAACGTGCTGGGATTACAGCCATGAGCCACTACACCCGGCCGAATTACGTTCCTTCTAATTAGCACTAGACTCTGCTATATTTAACAGAAAATAACAGAGGCTGAAACAGGTAAAGATTATTCTCTCATATGAAGTTATTAGGCTAGGCAAATCAGGCTAGCACTTTTGGAGGCCAAGGTGGGAGGATCACTTGGGACCAGGAGTTTGAGACTAGGCTGGGCAACATAGTGGGAGCCCATCTCTACAAAAAATAAAAATAAAAAATTAGCTAGATGTGGTGGCATGCCCCTGTAGCCTCAGCTACTCGAGGCTGAAGCAGGAGGATTGCTTGAGCCCAGGAGGTCAAGGCTGCAGTGAGCTGTGATTGCACGACTTCACTCCAGCCTGGGTGACGGAGTGAAAAACTGTCTAAAAAGTTATGAATTACATCATGTTGTACACCATAAGTAAATACAATTTTTACTTATTGATTAAAAATAAGGCTAGACATGGTTGGCTCATGCTTGTAATTCCAGTGATTTGGGAGGCTGAGGCAGGAGGACTGCTTGAGGCTGAGTTCAAGACTAGTCTGGGCAACATAGCAAGACCCTATCTCTACAAAAATAAAATAAATTAGCCAACTGTGATGGTGCATGCCTGTAGTCCTAGCTATTTGGGAGGCTGAGCAGGGAGGACTGCTTGAGCCCAGGAGTTGAAGGTTACAATGATCAGCCACTGCACTCCAGCCTTGGCAACAGAATGCGATCCTGTCTCCAAAAATTAAGTAAATACATTTTTAAAAAAGAAAAAAAGTTATGTACTAGACAGTCTAGTACTGCTAGACAACTCCTCTGTCATCAGGGATCCAGGTTCCTTCTGTTGTACCTGCTTTTATGGCTGCTGGAGTACAAGCTATCACATTCCAGCCTCAGGCAGTAAGCCACCATATATTAGAAGAGAAAGGCAGAGTGACAGGTCTGCCTGTTTGAAGGGAGCAAGCAGGAAAAATATTTTTTAGTTGGGCACACTGCCACATAATTTTACTAGTAGTGGGGAAGTGCTATTGGTTAAGCAAGGAGAAAATGCGACAACTCTGGAGAAAAAACTTTTTAAATAATTGGGACTGGGACTGGGCACAGTGGCTCATGCCTGTAACCCCAGCACTTTGGGAGGCAGATTGCTTGAGCCCAGGAGTTTGAGACCAACCTGGGCAACCTGGTGAGACCCTATCTCTACAAAAAATACAAAAATTAGCTGGGCATGGTGGCATACATCTGTAGTCCCAGCTATTTGGGAGATTGAGGTGGGAGGATCACTTGAGCCTGGGAGACGAAGGTTGCAGTGAGCCATGATCACATCACTGCACTCCAGCCTGGGTAACAGAGTGAGATGTTGTCTCAAAAAAAAAAAAATAATAATAATAATAATAGTAATAATTGAAAAAAAACTTACTGTGTTCTTATTGTTAGATTCTGAAAAGAAATCATCTCTCCTGTCAGAGGAACAACAAGAAACAAGCACTTTAGTAGAAACCATCAGGCAGAGTATTCAGCACAATAATGTTCTTAAACCCATCAACCTACTTTCACAGCAAATGAAGCCAGGCATGAAAAGACAAAGGTAATAATCCAGTATTTTTTGCTTGCCACCACTCAGTCATTTCATGTTTTTAAAAAAATATCTTACTTTTAAAAATATCTCTAGTTGTCGAAGAAACACATACTCATTGCAAAACATCTATTGTTTTAAGTGCTACACAGATATATACATTCCTACTTGAACACAAACACATAATAAAAGTGTCTGGGGGCTTGGCACGGTGGCTCACACCTGTAATCCCAGCACTTTGGGTGGCCAAAGCAGGAGGATTGCTTGCTTGAGCTCAGGAGTTTGAGACTGGACTGAGCAACATAGCAAGACCCCATCTCTACAAAAAATAATTTGTCAGGGGTGGTATGTGCCTGTGACCTCAGCTACTTGAGAGGGTAAGACAGGAGGATTTCTTGAGCCCAGGAGGTCCAGGTTACAGTCAGCTGTGATCACACCGCTGCACTGCCACCTGGGTGACAACAGCAAAACCCTGTCTCAAAAAAAAAAAAAGAGTGGAAATAGATTCCATTTTAAGAAGATCATTCATTGATCTAAAGTGTACTGTCTTTTGGAAACATTACTGCTGTTTGCTGGAAACCTATAATTATATTTATTAACATTGATAAACTTACGTACCACTTATTCAGGGCCTGTGATACCCACACATCTTTTCTTTTGTTGGACATAAGAGAATATGGGAATAGGAGCAGAAACAATGTAGCAAAGAGATAGACGCAGTGAACTACAAAGGATATGGAGTTATTGTGCTCCTGTCACTATTGTCTGCTAATATGCTCAGATTAGTACTCATCCCCTCCTCAACATAAGTGAATTTTGCAGTAGAAGCTTCAGAATAGTGTGCGTAATCGCGTATATCAAACATTCCTAATGTTTCCATGGTCCCCTTCAAGTTTTTTAGGTCATGGCATCTTTGAAGATAATCTCAGAAGTGACAGGGCAAGAATTGATAATGAAAATGGATGGATCCATTTTTACTATCAGTAGTTGAGGTAGAGATGACCTTCTTCACAGTCTGTAATATGAGTAGCTTGCTTCAAGCATCTGTAGTTTAAGGACAGGAATGTAATATTAGAAATGTCATATTATGGCTTCTGAAGCTTCTAAAGAAAGTGATACCAAGTGTCACTAGAATCAGCCTTACGTCTTTTTTTTCTCTGTACATCAGTGCATTTCTTAAGTTTTCCTGTCATCTTTAACAACTGAGTCATGAAGCTCACTTTTAGTGTTTCATTTGTAACATTTTAATGCTCACAAACCAAATAAAGGTGAACTGTCCTTTGCTATTGGGTTAAATAGTAAAGAGACCACACCACCTTTTACATTGTTTGTGTCAAGGGTTTTAGACCCCTAACTTACTTAGAAATTAATCTGTTACTTTGTCAAGTGACAAAAGATGAGAGAAGACTCTGCTTTTGTAAATTTTATTTAGAAATTAGAGTTAAAACAGTTATGTATTGTTGAAATGTAATAAAGTTAAGCCATTTTTGTTACTAGTGTGAAGCTTTATGCCCATTAACTATGTTTTAACTTTAATTTGGAATAGAAACCTGCAGGAAGTTACAAAAATAGTACAGAATTCAATGTAGCCTTCACACAGCTTCCTCCAAATGTGACACCTCATATAACTAACTGTAATGTAATATTAAAACCAGGACATTGACATAGTTATATTACTATTAACTAGATGACAGAACTTAATGTCTTCACCATTAAAAAAAATGCATCTGTGTTTTTATGCTATTTGCCCATTGACTTTTAAAACATATTTGTTTTATAGGAGTTTATACAGAGAAATCCTCTTCTTATCATTAGTGTCTCTAGGAAGAGAGAATATTGATATTGGTAAGTTGGTTAATAAAAGATTATGAAAGGAAGTTTTACATTTTATTTTCAAAAGTAATTTTTAAAAATGTAGCTGGTATGTATAAAAGATTTAAAAGATTTCTACTTCTAAATATATAGTTCAAATACATATAATTTGACTCAATACCAATTTGAAATGAACGGCTGTTGTCTTTCTTAACAAATTACAACTTCATTTTTGAAAATTTCTTTCAGAGGCATTTGACAATGAATATGGAATTGCATACAATAGTCTGTCTTCAGAGATTCTTGAAAGGTTGCAGAAAATTGATGCTCCACCAAGTGCCAGTGTCGAGTGGTGCAGGAAGTGTTTTGGAGCGCCTCTCATTTAAATAGAGATTCACTAGAATGTTGACACACAAGGCTTGGGGATTAGATTTCATCTGGAAACATTCAAGTTTTTTTTTCCAAATCGTAAGAACTGGTGAATACGGAATTGAAGTAACTCTTGGGGACAATATATAATGAATTATGATTCATATTGCATTACCTTGAAATATGAAGTGCCATTTGAATGTCCCAGGGCTTATTAATATTGAAGATTTTCAACCCCTGAACTGCTTTTCTGCCTCTGTGGAAAACTACTTTGGGATTCTTCAGTATTTGTAGTAGTTTGATAGAAATAATGAGGAACCATATTCATTCTAGGCATTGTTTATATTTGAAGTTACTGAGTTTGAGGAATGGCAAATTAAATTTGCCTAACCCCCAAAACAAATGAAATATCTCAATTATAAAAGCAACATGGCCGGGCACGGTGGCTCAGGCCTGTAATCCCAGCACTTTGGGAGGCTGAGCAAGGTGGGTGGATCACTTGAGGCCAGGAGTTCGAGACCAGCCTGGCCAACACGGTGAGACCCTGTCTTTACTAAAAATACAAAAATTAGCCAGGCGCACCACTGTAGTCCCAGCTACTCAGGCTGAGGCAGGAGAATCGCTTGAACTGAGGCAGAGGCTACAGTGAGTGGAGATCACGCCACTGCAACTCCAGCTTGGGTGACAGAGTGAGACCGTCTCAAAAAAAAAAAAAAAAAAAAAAGAGAGCAACATATTTGTGTAAGTTTGTATATGTGTAGGGCTGTGTAGGTATGTGTATATACAGCCATATTCTAAGTGTATATTTATTAAAATAGATTGCATGTTGCAATACGGTTTTCTGAAAGGGGTCTCATTGACTATTAAATAAATGACTACTACTAAACTTGTCTGTAGTCATTAATCTTAAAATTACCTGAAAATCTGATGACAGCTGCCTTCCCTAACTTTAATGTATTAGGTTGGCACAAAATTAATTGTAGTTTTTGCCACTATTAATGGCAAAAACCGCAATTATTTTTGTACCAACATAATACACCTTTCATATTATGTATTATCTTGCTTAATGGGTTTTATCTTGATTATCCAGTTACTTCCATCCTCTTCCCAATGTTAATTTGCAATAGTTTTAAAATGGGAACAAATGAATCAATCATCAGATAGTTAAAATGAAATTAAATCAGCTGCCTAATAATTTATGGAATTCATTGGAATGTGCTTAAAATGCTAAAGTGTATGTCATTGAACATGAAATCTTTTTTCAGGCACATACATTGTTGGTATTGATGACTTTTTAAAACCTGTGGGATAAACTTGCACTGCACACGGAAGTTTTATTCTTGTATATTTAGATTTGTATGCTTGTGAGTAAAAATGTGCATTTGTAAATACTGTGTTTTTAGGTTGAATCAATTAAGTCTTAAAACTGTAAATTTATTAAGCTTGTTGCCAGTAGGTTTAAGAAAATCATGATCTCACATGCCTCACTTTGACATTTATCATGCCTTTTATTAAAAATATCCCTTAGGAACAGTAAGTTTGCCTTAACTCTCTGCATGGTTTAAAAAGCCATTGGTTTTGTGTGTGTTTACAGTAATTATGCAGATGACTAAATGAGTTGACACAGTAAAATTACTTCCATATGGTACAGTAACAACCTAACTCCCTTCTACCTGATGTAACCATTTACAAATTATAGTTATTGTACCAGTCTTTCAACATTTCAGGGTTAATCTGACCTATGCAGAATTCTAGTGTGAATTTATTGTGAAAATGCTAAATGAAACAATTTGTCAGAAATTATGTACAATTTTCATTACCTTCAAAATGGATCTTTTGCACTGTCTGAGAGTATATATTTTTGCAACTCAAGACTTGGTACTAGTTTTAATACTTAACACTTACTGACCCAACAGAAGTTTGGAATTACCTTGCATATAAAAATTGAGGTTGAATAAAATGAAAAATTGTTGTTTTCTGTTACATTAAGCCTCTTGAAATCTGTAATCTTTAGAATCCCAATATTTTGTTTTTTCCATTCCTTCACTCGTAACTTGAACTCAAGTTTTCACTTACTGACGCGCTTCCCATTAAAAAAAATCTGTAAAGATCTCTACCTTGAAAACTTTAGTCTGCTGCTGCCATTTAGATATTGGGACTGATTTCTTGTTATAAATTTTTAAAGGCTTTTTCCAATACCCACCACAGAGAGGGTACCACTAAAAATTTACAAGACAAAAACATTATTATGGAAAGATTTAGAAGTACCTGGAATGACTTGTAGCACTGTATGCAACTTTAATCCTGATAACTTCTAAAAGCAATCTTTCAAATTAGTCCAGATTACTCAGCAGTACCTTATATTGGTTTGGGGTTCGATAGCGATTTTTTTTTCTTCCAACGAACGAATTGTACAGGTTGATCACAACCTGCATAGTTAACGACATGTCAGAATGACTTGCGTGTGTGTGGAGAACTGGGTATGGTGGCTCACGCCTGTAGTAATCTCAACACTTTGGGATGCCAAGGCAGGCGGATCACTTGAGCCCAGGAGTTCAAGAGTAGCCTGGGTAACATAGCAAAACTCTACAAAAAGCACAAAAACTAGCCGCAGTGCACACCTGTAGTTCCCAGGCGGTCAAGGCTGCAGTGAGCCATACCACTGCTCGCCATCCGGGGCGTAGGAGTGAAACCCTGTGTCAAAGAAAAAAAAAAATCTAAGGAAAAACAGACTGTCCTTATTTTGTGGCTGCACTCAATTTTCAGAAAGCAGGGCGGTTCTCATGTTTTGTGCATCATAAACAAGAACTGGTTAATATAAAACTTTGGACCATAACACTGGACTCACCTTGTGGCTTTTAAGTTCCTCTCTCTGCTTGTGCTAAATTTTTTTTTTTTTTTTTTTTTGAGATGGGAGTCTTGCTCTGTCGCCCAGGCTGGAGTACAACAGTGTAATCTTGGCTCACTGAAACCTCAACCTCCCTGGTTCAAGCGATTCTCCTGCCTCAGCCTCCCGAGTAGCTGGGACTACAGGCATGCGCTAATTTTCGTATTTTTAGTAGGAACGGGGTTTCACCATGTTGGCCAGGCTGGTCTTGAACTCCTGACCTCAGGTGATCCACCTGCCTTGGCCTCCCCACCTGGCCATCCCCTTTGCCTTTTAAGTTCTGCATATTATTATTGATTGCCAACTAAGATTCTTTTCATGTTATGTAGCTTTTTAACACCATGTAGTAAGAGGAATAGTTAAGAATCTTAGTAGGCATCGAGGGACTGGCACTACCGGCCTAACACCTGGGAGCTTTTTAGTAATGTAAAAATGTGGGTCCCCACTCCTCTATCAATCACTATCTGCGCCTTAACCAGACCCCTAGGTGATTCACATGTACATTTAACATTTAGAACTCTGCTTTGTAAAGCTATTATTACAGTAATGCCAACAAAGAGCTTGCATTACTTCAACCTTAAAGCCTAATGTGCCACCTTCTAAAGATCCTGATATTGTCACAATAGGCTAGTCAGCATAGAACTGTTAGAAAAAAGTACATACTTTGTGCATTTTTCACTGATCCAAGAATGTTTTTAGTCATTTCCTTTTCAGTGTGTGAACAGCCTAACAATTCACTGGAGTTGAAAAGCTTTGTTAAAACAAATTTGAAATGGCTTAAAAACCATTTAGTGGATGGTATCCACTAAAACTAGGTATCCACTAAAACTATGCCTTAAAAGTTACCTTTTAAAAAAGACATGTTCATCTTCACAAGGTCAATTTTCATGTATTAAATTGTGTATAGTGCTTTAAAGAGCTATATTCCTCAAAAATAAACTATATAAAAAAGATTAATAGTCCTCATCATTTCCCCTAAGTTCCATGCCATTCTGAAGAGGCAGGTGTCTTATGCTCAGAATCCCTTCCTGTGCCACCCATCCCCTGAAAGGAACCCCTGTACACTGACCTTGTCTTCCACTACCACACACAATAGGTCTGACTTTATCCACCATTGGAATACCATATATACATATCCCCATTTTCTATGACCTAACTTTCCCTCTCTTCATTTATGTAGTTTTCTATCAGCAATGAAAAGTCAACAGAGATCAGAGTCTGATCTTATTTATTTGTTACTCAAAAAATCTTATTTCTGACTGGATTCAGACTTAGAAGTAGAAGCTCGCAGAGAGGAAAGTCTGCGTCTCTTCGCAATTTGTTCCTGGCGCTTCTCCTTAGCCTCCTAAACAAAACAAAACAGCAAACAGTTAAGGCCTTTCTGGGTTAAAGACGCAAATCCAAAGCCAGGTCGAACTCCTCCCACCCCCTCAAATCATCTTAGACTAACCTTCATTCTCTTGGCCAAAAGTTTAGCATATTCTGCAGCCTCTTCTTTATTTTTCTTGGTACGCTGCTTCTTCAGAGCAATACGCCGCCGTTTGTGCTGCAGGACACGTGGAGTAACAAGACGCTGAATCTTGGGTGCTTTGGTCCTAGGTTTCTTACCTAAAAATTCAAAGGACTCAATCATTTCAATATTTGTTTTGTTAGAATCCACATCTACTTTAAAAACATCAGAAATAAACGTAAGCTTAACAGCATCTATGAAAACCTATAATGAGGCCTTTAAAATCAAATCAGAACTATTCTAAAATGCTTTTTGCCCCTCCACAGAAATCTAGAAGATTGGTTAAATATTATAAAAATATAAGGGAAACCAAGTCCTGAAAAATAACCAGGCTAACTTTTACTACCTTCCAGTTTTACTAAAATACAGTGGCATTATGTTAATATATAACTGTGCATAGTTAATTTGTCTGTGAAAACCACTTAACACATTATCTACATAATCATCCTGCCATACTTTTAAATTTGATGTAAGCTTGCATCTCTATTTCCTTTGACAATTCCTGCCAATTCAGGGGTAACGTTAACTATTAACATCAGATTAGGTGGCATGTTGTTAAAGTATCTTCATTAATCTGATCTGTACTCCAAAACTGCTCATGGATTACAGATCTGCATTGGAGCATAGGCCTTTTCAGATGTATTTGTTTCATGGACACTTTGTAGGAGTTAACTGCCTTAGGCTAAATGCTCAGATGTTCAGATTCTGCTAAAATGTTAAGCCTCCTACTATAGACATAAGAACCATCTAAAAATACCCATCAACCAGACCACGCTTGTATTATACGGATTATTTCCAGGGCTATGATTATGGGCAACTGCCACCTATTTGTCAATTGCTTTTTTTTTTTTTTTTGCAACATCAGCTTCATAAGGGTAGGAATTTGTCTATACTGTATTCTCAGCACCTTGAACAGTACCTGTGCTCAAGTAAGTGTAATTACTGACTTAACAGACGTATACTATCTATGCCATGTATGTTAAGTCACACCAGTCCTGAAAACCAAAATCCAGAGAAATTCTTTCAAATTTTGTCAGGAAAACCCAACCTTGACTGACATGCTGTTTATTTAACATAAATATCCCCAAATTTCACCACAGAAATATTGCTATTTGAGGTCCTCACTGGTGAGTATGTTGTCTACTATATGGACAAAAGTTCTTAAAAGGTAAAGCTCCAAAATCCCTAACACCTGCTCCCTAGTATTCTGAGTAAGGTCTCTAACTTCTAATTCTCACAACTCTTAACTATTGTTATCCATATCCTACAGATGAAACAGAAGTTTAAAGCAACTTCTTTTGTAAGCCAAAAAATAATTTTGGGCTGGGTGTGGTGGCTCACGCCCATAATCCCAGCACTTTGGGAAGCCAAAGTGGGAGCATCACTTGAGCTCAAGGGTTCAAGACCAGCCTGGGCAACAGTGTGACCTCATCTCTTAAAAAATATTAATAATTTAGAACATCTGATATAAAATTACAAAGTGTGTGGTGCTAATAGTCCCAGAATTCTCAAACATGTGACTCCTAAACCAGATAGCAATGACCTTAAAGTCAGGTTATTTTTGGATAATGTATACATCAAAGATTCACAAGCAGATTTTCAACGAAATTACTGCACTCTACAAGGCACTGGATATAATAAGCAAGGATTAACACCAACTGGGTATGCTGGCCACCCCCAAATATTTTCTGTAAAAACTCCAAGTGAATAGTGCTAAGGCCTTCCAAAGGCACATATTTATCTTCTGATATGCACACAAAATGATAGACAAATTACCAAAATTAAGCAAGCCCTAATTGCATAATCCCTCCTACCTTCTTTATTTAAGGGCTTTCTTACAACATACTGGCGGACATCATCTTCTTTAGAGAGATTGAAAAGTTTGCGGATTCTGCTAGCTCTTTTGGGGCCCAGGCGGCGAGGCACTGTAGTATCAGTCAGTCCAGGAATATCCTTCTCTCCTTAGAAGAAACAGTTGAAGAGATTTTAATTCAACAACTTCCTTAAGAATCCTAAATCAGAATGTTTAATGTTGAATTGATGGTAGAGAAACAAATCCATTGGTCTGTAAGTCTGGATACTGCAAATGAATAAGCATTTGGACAACTGGCTTTAAATCAATTTCAACGAAAATTGAACACAAGTAACCCTCACCTTTTTTTACAATAACCAAGTTGAGAACGCTCAGATTTGCATCCACAATGCAACCACGAACTGATTTTCTCTTTCTTTCTCCAGTTCTCCTTGGTCTGTAACAGGAATGCCCCTTACTCAGTAGCAGGCGGACACGGCCATGGGTCAAGACACCCTGCTTCATGGGGAAACCTTGTTTGTCGTTCCCACCACTGATTCGGACCACATAACCCTGCAAGAGCATACAATGAATGACACATTTACTATTTCTATTCCAAAATTATACAGTACAGGATTGTGACCTCTGTGAACACACCTATATGAGAAAGTATAATTATGAAAACCAATTTGAACTTAAGCACGTTTTCTCTGTTCAGTGAGTTTTGTCTATATTCCCAACTTGTCAAGTTCAATTATCAAATGTCTTTCAAGTCGCATTTCTAACCGATGTTTTATTAGAGATAACAGCACTAAGAAGATAAAATATCAAACAGCAACAAACAAATCAGATACAACCCTTTTTGGCACTTTGGGGATTATGAGGACAGCTATGTGACATATTGCCAAATGCATGATGCAGGGCAAGAATTATGTTGATGTAAACTTTACGTATATTTTATGGCTTACTCTACGTCCCCCCCTCCAAGGTAATACCTCTAACTTTATAAAGTGGCATTCGGAAGCAACTTACCAAAGGTCAGAAGCCAGAACCCGGAGTCTGAACCCCATTCCAAATACCAGTTACCAATGGCGTTTACCGTCTCTGACTTAAATACCTGCAACAATTTGTCAACTTTTACCTTCCATTCTTCACCCAGAGCGTCAGCAGCAACTTCTGTGGCCATACGCTTCTCATAGAAAGTACGAAGTTTGCGTTCATCGTCCACTTCAATGAGTTTCTGGCAGCCAGTGGCTGGGAAGGAGATGTTCAGCTAAGGATTAAAAGGGGGGAAATAGTTTACGAAACTATCTATACAGGTAATTGTAGAGCCATCTACAAAGTTAATTCCACTGCAAAAAGCCTTTCATGTTGCCTCCACACAAGCAGGAAATATAAGATGCCGACTGTACTCACTAAAAGCACGTGAAAGCAGAGTAGCAGTCAAGAAGCGCCGCACTCAGCAGGACGTTTTCCCCTCAAGCCCCGCGGAATGACTCTGGGGGCGAGGGCACTCCGCAGCCGTTCACCCTCCCGAAGCAAGAAAGCCGGGGTCAAGAGCCGCACCACAGGCCTGCCGCAAACTGGGCAACACGCCGCATCCGTCCCGGCTGGGCGCGGGGACGCCACCATGGCGCTCCCGGCCCGCCGCGGCTCCAGCCGCAATCGCCTGCCATCCGTTCGGCCAAAAAGCTCCATGCCCCAGAAAGGCGAGCCTTCTCCTACTTGAGACCCTTCTCCACCTAAAGCCAGGATCCTGGAGTGCTGGAACTGAGGCAATGCCGCGTTCTGGGACTCGATTCACGTTCCCCAAACCCAGTCTAACACTCGCCACCATCACCTACCTTCATCTTGAAGCAGCTGAACGCCTCCGAGGCGCCACGGAAAAGAGGGCCAACTTCCGCTTAGCGCAGGTCACATAGGCGCTTTCAGTTCTCGCGAGATGAGCAGAAGTACGGGATAGCGGAAGTGAGCATGGGTGGGCGGTACTTCCGGGCGAGATTAATCAGGGCCTGGGAGGTAAAGTCGGTTGGGTGTGGGTCTGAGGTTGTGCCAGTGGTGGTAGTCTGGTAAGGCAAACCCGCGTGTAATTCTGAGGGCTAACCCCTTCCCTGTCTAGTCTTTTCCACGCTGCCTGGGTTTTGGAGCTGGGCGCCAGCGGAGCCCCACTTCTGTCCCAGGCACTTTGCATCTGACGGTACCAAAATAGGAGGGCAAGGCCGGGCGCGGTGGCTCACGCCTGTAATCCCAGCACTTTGGGAGGCCGAGGCGGGCGGATCATCTTAGGTCAGGAGTTCGAGACCAGCCTGGCCAACATGGCGAAACTCCGTCTCTAATAAAAATAGGTAAAATAGCCAAAAATAGGTAAAATAGCCAGGCGTGGTGGGGGGCGACTGTAGTCCCAGTTACTAGGGAGGCTGAGGCACGACAATCGCTTGAGCCCAAGAGGCGGAGGTTGCAATGAGTCCAGATCGCACCACTGCACTGCAGCCCAGGCGACAGAGAGAGACTCCGCCTCAAAAAAGTTCGAGTTCGAGACCAAGTAAACAAGAATAATTTTTACTATCTAAAACTATCACATACCATCTCCCCACTTTAGTGTCACAAAGGTTTGAGTTTAGGACTGTTTTACATTCGAAGTTGAACGATTCTACTGAATCCTCTTTGATCATCTCACATTAATTCATGGAATCTTGGTGAAATGATGCTTTTTAAAATCTGAGTACTGTGTGTCATTTTTTTGTTGAGGTGAAATTGACATAACTAGTCATTTTAAAGTGAACAATTCAGTGGCATTTAGTACATTCACAATGCTGTACAACCACCATCTCTATCGATACAGTTCCAAAACATTTTCATCATCCTAAAAGAAAACCCTGTACCCTGTTAAAGCAGTTGCTGCCCCTTCCCCATTTCGACCAGGCCTGGCAACCACCAATCTGTGTTCTGTCTCAGTGGATGTACCTACTTCATAAAAATGGAATCATACAATATTGACCTTTTGTATCTGTCTTCTAATCTTTTGAGTCGTAGCATGTATCAGTACTTCACTGCTTTTATGGCTCAATATTCTAGTGTAGATATAGACTGCAGTTTGTTTATC
This sequence comes from Homo sapiens, assembly GCF_000001405.40. Classification (NCBI taxonomy): domain Eukaryota; kingdom Metazoa; phylum Chordata; class Mammalia; order Primates; family Hominidae; genus Homo; species Homo sapiens. The sequence continues at coordinate 19,381,449 of NC_000009.12, forward strand.
CATTCCTCCATAAATAGACATTTGGGTTGTTTCTGCCTTTTAACTACTGTAAATAGTTCTTCTATGTTTGAGTACTTGTTTTAAATTATTTTAGGTATATACCTAAGAGTGAAATTGCTGGGTCATATAGTAGTTCTATTCTCAACTCAGGGAGAAACTGAAACTGTATTCCAAAGCAGCTGAACCATTTTACATTCCCACCGGCAATGTATGAGGACCGCACTTTATCAAAATCATGGCCAACACTTGTTATTTTTTTAATTTTTTAAAAATTTATTGTAGGGACAGGGTCTCGCTTTGTTGCTCAAAGTGAGATCCTGTTGGTCTGGAACTCTTGGCCTCCAGCATCCTCCTGTCTCAGCCTCTGGAGTAGCTGAGACTCATTGTGGTTTTGATTTGCATTTCCCTAATGACTAATGATGTTGAGCATGTTTTAATGTGTTTGTTGGCCATTTGTATATCTTCTTTAGAGAAAAGTCTGTACAAGCTCTTAGCTCCCCCTGTTATTTTTATTGAAGTAGTGGGAGTAAATTAATGTGAGGCAAAGAGAAAGTCTAGAACTATGGGCTAGTTTTTTTTGTTTGTTTTTCCTTTTAAAAATATTTTAGGGTGGCCAAATGCAGTGGCTCACACCAGTAATCCAGACGCTTTAGGACGCTGAGATGGGAGGATCTCTTGAGGCCAGGAGTTTGAGATCAGCCTGGGCAAACATAGTGTCACCCTGTCTCATTTAAAAAAAAATTTTAATGCGTTTTTAATTGTGGGTAAAAAACATATAACACAAAATGTATCATCTTAACCATTTTGAAGTGTACACTTCTGTAATGTTAAATATATTAACATTGTTGTAAAATAGATCTCCAGAACTTTTTCATCTTGCGAAATGGGAACTTCATACTCATTAAACAACTCCTTTCCCCCTACCCACGGCTTTTGGTAACCATTCTACTTTCTGTCTCTATGATTTTCACTAAGCATCTCATATAAATGGAATCAAACAGTAGTAGTTGTCTTTTTGTGACTGGCTTATGTCATTTAACATAATGTTCTCAAGGTTCATCCATGTTATAGCATGTGACAGGATTTCCTTCTCTTTTAAGGCTGAATAATACTCTGTTGCATGTATATACTACATTTTGTTTAACCATTCGTCTGTCAATGGACATTTTGGTTGTTTCCACCTCTTGGCTGTTGTAAATAATGCTGATATGAACATGGGTGTGCAAATATCTCTTAGAGACAGACCCTGTTTTCAATTCTTTTGGCTATCTATCCAGAAGTGGGACTGCTGGATCACGTTAGTTCTATTTTGAATTTTTTGAGGAACCTCTATACTGTTTTACATATGGCTGTACCAATTTACAGTCCCACCAACAGTACACAAGGGTTCTTTGCCTTTTTTTTTTTTTTTTTTTTTTGAGATGGAGTCTTGCTCTGTCGCCCAGGCTGGAGTGCAATGGCACGATCTCGGCTCGCTGCAACCTCTGCCTCCCGGGTTCAAGCGATTCTCCCGCCACAGCCTCCTGAGTAGCTGGGATTACAGGTGCGTGCCACCATGCCTGGCTAATTTTTGTATTTTTAGTAGAGATGGGGTTTCACCATGTTGGCCAGGATGGTCTCAAACTCCTGACCTCAAATGATCCTTCTGCCTTGCCTCCCAAAGTGCTGGGATTACAGGTGTGAGCCACTGCACCTGGCCCACACTCTTAATATAACAGAATATTTAATTACATCAGTTTCCCATCAACCTACCAAAGTCATTTAATAATTATATTGGCCATTTCCACTGATTGGCAGGAGTCTCTCCCATGGTTTCCACTGCATCATTTTTCTTGCCAGACTTAGTTCATTTTTAGCCTGCAGAATCGCCTCTTCTATTTGACCACCTTGAAGTTGGTCTTCTGATTTTTTATTTTTATTTAATTAATTAATTAATTAATTTTTGAGACAGAGTCTCACTCTGTTGCCCAGGCTGAAGTGCAGTAGCATGATCTCGGCTCACTGCAACCTCCACCTCCTGGGTTCAAGCGATTCTCCTGCCTCAGCCTCCCAAGTAGCCAGGACTACAGGCATGCACCACCATGCCCGGCTAATTTTTGTATTTTTAGTAGAGACAGGGTTTCGGCATGTTGGCCAGGCTGGTCTCAAACTCCTGACCTCAGGTGATCCGCCTGCCTTGGCCTCCCAATGTGCTGGGATTACAGGAGTGAGCCACTGCGCCCGGCTGGTCTTCTAATTTTTTAACATCTGGTTCTGCTTTAACCATAGCCAGTGTCTCATTTGTAATCTGTTCTGTATACTTTCTATATGCTACATTTTTAGGGATTTGCTCAAGAACATAAAAAAATCTTTGTATACAATATTCTTAGCCTCTCCTGTGGACTCTCGCATACAGCCAATCCCACAAGGCCAGTGGTCTCTCTTCAGCACACCCGTCATGACTCTGGCTAATTGAGAAAAAAAAAAAAAGATTTGTGTGTGTGTGTGTGTGTGTGTGTGTGTGTGTGTGTGTGCGTGCGCGTGTGTGTGTAGAGATAAGGGCTCCATATGTTGCCCAGGCTGGTCTTGAATTCCTGGCCTTGAGTGATCCTCCTGCCTCAGCCTCCCAAAGCATTTGTCCATTTTAAAATCGGGTTTTTTAATATATATTCAGGAGACTAAACTCTTATTAGATACGTGATGTGCAAATATTTTCTCCCATTCTGTAGACTTTTCGCTTTCTTAATAATGTTACAGTTTTTAATTTTAAAGCCCAATTTATATAATTTAAAAATTGTTGTAGATCATGCTTTTGGTTTCATTTAAAAATACGTTGCCAAATCCAGTGTCATAAAGTTTACCCCTATGTTTTAAAATCTAATCTTAAAGACTTACCCTATGTTATGGTCTTAGTTTTTATATTTAGGTTATTGATCCGTTTTGAGTTTATTCTTAAATAATTGTGTGAGGTTGGGACTCCAGCTTAATTATTTTGCAGATAGATGTCCAGTTGTTCCAGCACTATTTGTTGAAGAGACTATTCATCCCTCATCGAATGGTCTTGACACTCTTGTTGAAAATTAATTGCCATAAATTTATAGGTTTATTTCTGGACTGTCACTTCTATTTCCATGGTCCATGTGCCTATCCTTATGCCAGTGCTATAGCTTTGTAGCAAGCATCAAAATAAGGAAGTAAGAGTACTCCAACTTTGTTTTTTTTCAAGATGGGTTTAGTTCTTAAGGATCCTTTTCAATTGCACATGAATTTTAGCATCAGCTTGTTCATTTATGCAAAACATGCCATTGGAATTTTGATGGGGATTGCATTTAATCTGTAGCTCAATTTATGGAGTACTACCATCTTTATAATATTAAGTCTTCCAACTTATCAACACAAGATGTCTTCTCATTTAGTTATGTGCTGCATAACAAATTTTGGTCAATTACAGACCACACATACAGCATTGGTCCCATATGATAGGGAACTGGAAAATTCCCATCACCTAGTGACACCTTGATGATCCTGACCCCATCTAGGCCTAGATTAATGTTTGTGTGTCTTAGTTTTTGACAAAAATGTTTTTTTTTTGTTTTTTTGTTTTTTTTTTTTGAGACGGAGTTTCACTCTGTCACCCAGGCTGGAGTGCAGTGGCACGATCTTGGCTCACTGCAACCTCCACCTTCCGGGTTCAAATGATTCTCCTTCCTCAGCCTCCTGAGTAGCTGGGACTACAGGCGCCTGCCACTGCGCCCGGCTAATTTTTTGTATTTTTAGTAGAGACGGGTTTTGGCCATGTTCGTCAGGTTGGTTTCAAACTCCTGACCTCAGGTGATCCGCTCACCTCGGCCTCCCAAAGTGCCGGGATTACAGGCGTGAGCCACCGCGCCGGGCCGGGTATATAGATTTGAAAGCTCAGTGTTGGCACAGTGAAAAAGGTGGGCTCTGAGTAAGGGCCTGTGTTAGTTTGCAAGGGTTGCCATAACAACTGGCAACCGACAGAACCATAACAACTGGCAACCACAGATTGGGTGGGTTAACCAACAGAAATTTATTTATTTATTTATTTTTGAGATGGCGTCTCACTCTGTCACCCAGGCTGGAATGCATTGGCGCAATCTCGGCTCACTGCAACCTCCGCCTCTTGGGTTCAAGCAATTCTCCTGGTTCAGCTTCCCAAGTAGCTGGGACTACAGGCATGTACCACCATGCCCATCTAATTTTTGTATTTTTTAGTAGAGACGGAGTTTCACCTTCACCATGTTGGCCAGGCTGCTCTTGAACTCCTGACCTCAAGTGATCTGCCCCCCTCAGCCTCCCAAAGTGCTGGGATTACAGACGTGAGCCCCCTCGCCCGGCCAGAAATTAATTTTCTTAAAATTCTGGAGGCCAGAAGTCTGAGGTCAAGATGTCAGCAGGATTGCTTTCTTCTGAGGTTCTCTCCTTGGTTTATAGGCTGCCATCTGCTCTCTGTGTCTTTCCTCTGTGTCTGTCCTAATCTCTTCTTATAAGGACACCAGTCATTGGATTAGTGCCCAACCTGATGACCTCCTTTTAACTTAATTACTTCTTTTAAAACCCTATCTCCAAATACAGTCACATTCTGAGGTACTGAGGGTTAGGACTTCATCATATGCATTTTTAGGGGGACACAGTTCAGCCCATAACAGGGCCTGAAGGCGGAGTCTTTCAGCCACGAAGATACTGACTAAACAGAATTACATCTCTGTATTCAATAGTATTAAATTAGTGATCCCAGGCCGGGCACCATGGCTCATGCCTGTAATCCCTTTGGGATGCTGAGGTGAGATGATTGCTTGAGGCCAGGGGTTCAAGACCAGCCTAGGCAACAAAGCAAGACCTCATCTCTGCAAAAAATTTTTTAAACAAATTAGCCGGGCGTGGTGGTGCTCACTTATCATCTCAGCTGCTTGGGTCCCAGCTTCTTGAAAGGCTGAGGTGGGAGGATCGTGTGAGCCCAGGAGGTTGAGACTGCAGTGAGCCATGATCACACCACTACACTCCAGCCTGGGCCACACAATGAGACCCTGTCTCACAAAATAAAAATAGAGTAATCCTAAGAGCAATCAGTATAGGTAAATTTACCCCTAACTCATTATATGAGTTTTTCAAGTGTTTTGGGGAACAGGAATGTTTTCCAAAGGGAGGTAGAAATACAGAAACTAAGAGTAGTATGGGAGGAAGTAAGTTCGTGCATTTTAGTAAGCTGTCTCCTTTCTGGCCCAAATCAAGGAAACAGGAAGAATAAAAAAGGTCATTTTAGACACAAAAAACTAAATTTCAACAACAATTCCTACTTGTAAGGAAGAAACTAATTTTGAAACATGCCAAGCTGTGTTTGGGAAAGGAAGTTAAATCAAAGACCTGAATCTAGGAAAATTCCTTGGCATTATGTCTGCAACTATATCCAGTAGCAAGAATTACAATAGATTACTCACCCCTTGGGTCAGGGACGAAGGAATGTTTTTGCAAAGTTGCAGAAAATAAAATCTGGCATATATTTATTAAAGACTTGGTAGATAGGAAGAAGAGGGGAGGTCAGAAAAAGTGCAAGAGTAAACCTATTTTTTTTTTGTCAGATCAAGTCTCTGTATCAAGGCACTATATATATTCTTTTGGTCTCATGTATTTGTATTTCTTCATAGTTATATGATGTTGGGCAACTTATTCCTGTCTTAGTTTCCCCATCTGTAAGATGAAGATAATACCTTATTCATAGACTTCTTGTCAGGAATTAACTAATACATTATAAAAGTTAAACAGTTCTTGGTACATAGTAGACTCTCAATAAATGTTAACTATCCTCATCATCACAACCACCACCATCCTCATCATCGTCATTATGCCAGCACCTCTGACTTTGATCATGTGGTTTTCGCTGTGAGCAGTGCCTTCCTTTCTGTGCTCCATCTGCCTGGTTTTAGTCGTACTGCTTCTGGCAGTTTTTCCTGAGAATTCCAACACAAGTTGCAGAACCTTGCTGCAAGATGGAAGCCTGAACTTGGTGCTGAGGTGTTCTGGATTCATTCAAATGGTGGACAGCCATGGGGAGAGCCCTCAACAACATTGTTGAACAAATATATGCTGAGCACTGCTTTATGTCAGCACCAGGCTAGCAGCAGGAGATAGAGATGAGGAGTGATGGCCCTTGCTTCCAAGGAATTATTTATCTAATGGAAAAAGAAACATATAAATAGATAAAGAGATATAACAGAGGTATTTAAAAGGCACTGTAGTACAGCAAAAGGCAGAAATAATCTAAATGTCTGAATCATCCTCCATCAGCCTAAAAATATGCTGGACTATTTTCTTTCTTTCTTTCTTTCTTTTTTTTTTTTGATGGAGTCTCAGTATGTCGCCCAGGCTGGACTGCAGTGGCATGATCTTAGCTCACTGCAACCTCCGCCTCCCAAGTAGCTGGGATTATAGGCACCCGCCACCACACCCTGCTGATTTTTGTATTTTTAGTAGAGACGGAGTTTCACCATGCTGGCCAGGCTGGTCTCAAACTCCTGACCTCAAGTGACCTGCCTGCCTCAGCCTCGCAAAGTATTGGAATTACAGGCATGAGCCACCATGCCCAGCCTGCATTTGTAATTTTGATAAATACTGCTACATTGCTCTCCATAGGATTGTTCCAATGTACACCCCTACTAACAATGTATGAGAGTGCCTGATACCCTAAAGTCTTACTAAGTGCTGCCAAACTTTGGAATTTTGTCAGTCGGAGGAAATACATGTTATTTCAATGTAGTTTTAGTTTATAGTTTTGTTACTGTGAATTAAGCATCTTGTCATGTATTTTTCTGTTCCTGTTTTTCACTCATTTTTTTTCTGTTGGATTGTTAGCACTCTGTATGTAAGACAAATTAGCCCTGCATAAAAATTCCACATTTTCCCCAATATGTCCCTTCCTTCCTTCATAATTGTATTAAAATATAATTCACGGCCGGGCGTGGTGGCTCACACCTGTAATCCCAGCACTTTGGGAGGCCGAGGTGGGCGGATCACTTGAGGTCAGGAGTTTGAAACCAGCCTGGCCAATATGGTGAAACCAGGGAGTCGGATGTTACAGTGAGCCGAGATCATGCCACTGCACTCCAGCCTGGTGGCAGAGTGAGACTCCATCTCAAAAACAAAACAAAAAACCTAAGTGAAAAAAGACAATCAATAGATGCCAATATGAGCCATCACGTTCCCCAACTTCAAACTATACTACAGGGCTACAGTAACCAAAAGAACCTGGTACTATTGGCACAAAAACAGACACATAGACCAATGGAACAGAGGAGAGAGCACAAAAATAAGGCTGCACACATACAACCATCTGATCTTTGACAAACCTGACAAAAACAATCAGTGGGGAAAGGACACCGTGTTCAATAAATGGTGCTGAGATAACTGGCTAGCCATATGCCGATGACTGAAACTGGACCCCTTCCTTACACTATATATAAAAATCAACTCAAGATGGATTAAAGGCTTAAATGTAAAACCCAAAACTATAAAAATCCTGGAAGACAACCTAGGCCATACCATTCTGGACATAGGAATGGGCAAAGATTTCACGACAAAGATGCCAAAAGGAATCACAACAAAAGCAAATATTGACAAATGGGATTTAATTAAACTAAAGAGCTTTTGCACAGTATAAGAAACTATCAACAGAGTAAACAACCTACAGAATGGGAGAAAATTCTTGCAAGCAATGCATCTGACAAAGGTCTAATATCCAGCATCTATAAAGAACTTAATTTTACAAGAAAACCACATTAAAAAGTGGGCAAAGGACATTAACACTTTTCAAAAGAAGACATACACGCGGCCAACAAGCATATGAGAAAAAAGCTTAATATCACTGATGATTAGAGAAATCCAAATCCAAATCACAGCGAGATACCATCTCACACCAGTCAGAATGGCTATTATTAAAAAGTGAAAAAACAATAAAAGTTGCTGGCAAGATTGCACAGGAAAAGGAATGCTTATACACTGTTGGTGGGGGTGTAAATTAGTTCAACCACTGTAGAAAACAGTGTGGCGATTCCTCAAAGACTTAAAAACAGAACTACCATTCAACCCAGCAATCCCATTATTGGGTATGTACCCAAAGGAATATAAATCATCTGTCATAAAGACACATGCACACGTATGTTCACTGCAGCACTGTTCACAATAGCAAAGACATTGAATCAACCTAAAGGCCCATCAATGGTAGACTGGATAAAGAAAATGTAGTACATATACACCATGGAATACTATGCAGCCATAAAAAAGAATGAGACCATGTCCTTTGCAGGAATATGAATGGAGCTGGAATATGAATATCCTTATCAAACAAACACAGAAACAGAAAACCAAATACCGCATGTTCCCACTTATAAGAGGGAGCCGAACGATGAGAACACATGGACACATAAGAGGGGAACAACACACACTGGGACCAGTTGGGAGGTGGAGGTTGGGAGGAAGGAGAGGATCAGGAAAAGTAACTAATGGGTATGAGTCTTAATACCTGGGTGATGAAATAATCTGTACAACAAACTCCCATGACACAAGTTTACCTATGTAACAAATATGCGTATGTATTCTTGAACCTAAAATAAAAGTTAAAAAAAAGAAAACAAAAATCAACAAACACTTGAAAACTAAACCACATACTTCTACATGATCTATGCATCAAAAAGGAAGTTTCAAAGGACATTTAAAAATCAGTTGAACTGAATGAAAATAAAAATAAAATCAAAATTTGTGGGACGCAGCTAAAGCAGCACTGAAAGGGAAACTTATAACACTAAATGCATATATTAGAGGAGGCAAAAACCTCAAATCAATAAGCTAACCTCCCACCTCAAGAACCTAGAAAAAGAAGAGTAAAATAAACCAAAACCAAGAAGATGGAAGGAGATAATAAGGTTAAAAGCAGAATAGAATGAAATGGAAAATATCATAGAAAAAAATCAATAAAATAAAGAGCTGATTCTCTGAAAAGATCAATAAACTTCACAAACAACTAGCAAGACTGAAAAAAAAGATGCAAATTGTCAATATCAACAATGAAACAAAATAACCATTACAGGTCCTGCAGACATCAAAGGGATTGTAAAGGAACACTACAAACTCTACACACATAAATGATGTGTGTAGATGGGTATATAGCCATGGAAATGGATGAATTCCTTGAAAACTGCAAATGACCACAACCTCACCCAATATAAAATAGGTAATTTGAATAGCCTTATAACTATTAAGGAAATGTAATTCATAAGTTAAAAGCTGTCCGAAATCTTCAGGCCCAGATGGTTTTCCTGGATAGTTATACCAAATATTTGAAGAGGAATTAAGAGCAATTCCGTACACTCTCTTTCAGAAAATAGAAGAGGAAGGAACACTCAATGAACACATAAAACTAATTTTATGAAGCTAGTATTATTATCTTGATGTCAAAGCCAGATAAAACCAGTACAAAAAAGAAAACTATAGGCTAATACGCTTCATAAATATAGACACAGAAATCTTTAACAAAACATTAGAATATATAATTCAGCAATGTATATAAAGAATTATATACCATGACCACGTGGGTTTTATTCCAGGGATGCAAGTCTTTCTTAATATTAAAATCTCAATCAATGTAATCTGCCACATGAACATAGTAAAGAAGAAAAATCATATCATATCACTAAATGTACAAAAAGCATTTCACAAAATTCAATATCCACTCATGATAAAAACTTTCAGGAAATAGGGAAAGAAAAAAAATCCTCAACCTGATGAGGAGTATCTACAAAAAAACCCACAGTTGATATTATACGTAATGATAAAAGACTGAATGCTTTCCACCTAAGCTCAGGAACAAGGTGAAGATGTCTTTTGTCACCACTCATGGTTATCTACTAAGGAAATTCCAAGGAATCTACAAATTCTTATAAGTAATAAGTGAGTTCAGGAAGATCACAAAATACAAGCTAAAATACAAAAATCAATCATATTTGTAAGCACTAGCTATGAACATGTGAGCACTAATTAAAAATGCAATACAATCAGTCAAGGAAATGAAATCTAATAAAACATGTACATTATTTAAATGATGAAAAGTACACAATGTTAATGAAAGACATCAAAAGATCTAAATTAATGAAGAGACAAACTGTACTCATGGAGTGGAAGTTTCAACACAGTAAAGATATAAATTCTTTTCAAACTGATATATATGTTTAATGCAATTCCCATCAAAATCTCAGGAAAATTCTTTATAGATGTAGACAAGATTATTCTAAAATGTATATGGAAAGGCAAAGGAACTAAAATAGCTAAAAACAATGTTCAAAAAGAAAGTGGAAGGAAACAGTCAACCTGATTTTAAGACTTATTATAGCTGCAGTATAATAAGTCTATAATAATAATATATAATAATTATTATATATATAATAATAATATATATTATAATATTATATATATAATAATATATAATATTATTATATATAATAATATATATAATAATATTATATATATAATAATATATAATATATAATAATAAGACTATATGTTACTGGTAGTGGGACAAATACATAGATACATGAATAAAACAGAGAACCCAGAAGTAGATCCTCACAAATATGTCCACCTGATTTTTTGACATACTTGAAAAAACAGTTCAATGGAGGACAGATAATCTTTCAACAAATGATGCTGAAGCAATGGGACAGCCATAGGGAAAAAAATGAACCTTGACCTAAGTCTCACACATTATACAAAGATTAAACCAAAATGGATTACACACTTAACTGTAAAATGTAAAACTATAAAACTTTTTATTTTATTTTTTTTTATTTTTTTTATTTTATTTTTTTTTTTTTTTTGAGACGGAGTCTCGCTCTGTCGCCCAGGCTGGAGTGCAGTGGCGGGATCTCGGCTCACTGCAAGCTCCGCCTCCCGGGTTCACGCCATTCTCCTGCCTCAGCCTCCCAAGTAGCTGGGACTACAGGCGCCCGCCACTACGCCCGGCTAATTTTTTTTTGTATTTTTAGTAGAGACGGGGTTTCACCGTTTTAGCCGGGATGGTCTCGATCTCCTGACCTCGTGATCCGCCCGCCTCGGCCTCCCAAAGTGCTGGGATTACAGGCGTGAGCCACCGCGCCCGGCCTATTTTTATTTTTTTGATATAGGGTTTCACTCTGTCACCCAGGCTGGGGTGCAGTGGCACGATCTCAGCTCACTGCAACCTCCGCCTTCTGGGTTCAAGCGATTCTCCTGCCTCAACCTCCCAAGTAGCTTGGACTACAGGTGCGTGCCACCACACCTGGCTAATTTTTTGTATTTTTAGTAGAGACGAGGTTTCACCATGTTAGGATGGTCTTGATCTCCTGACCTCGTGATTTGACTGCCTTGGCCTTCCAGAGTGCTGGGATTACAGGCGTGAGTGACCACGCCCAGCCTTAAAACTTTTTTTTTTAAATAGGAGAAGATCTTCTAGATCTAGGGGTAAGCAAAGAATTCTTATTTATTTATTTATTTGAGACAGAGTTTCACTCTTGTTTCCTAGGCTGGAATGCAATGGTGCGATCTTGGCTCACTGCAACCTCCGCCTCCTGGGTTCAAGCGATTCTCCTGCCTCAGCCTCCCAAGTAGCTGGGAATACAAGCACTCACCACCACGCCTGGCTAATTTTTGTATTTTTAGTAGAGACCAGGTTTCACTATATTGGCCAAAACTTAAGTCATAAAAAAAGGAGAAACTGGTAAGTCAGACTTCATCAAAATTAACAAATTTCTTTCTTTCTTTTTTTTTTTTGCTTTTGGATACAGGGTCTCACTCTGTCATCCAGGCTGAATACAGTGGCAGGATCATGGCTCACTGCAGCCCTGACCTCCCAGGTTCAAGTGATCCTCCCACTTTAGCCTCCTGAGTAGCCTGGGACTACTGATGCGCACCACCACACCCAGCTGATTTTTTTTTTTTGTTTTGGTAGATAATGGAGTCTCACTACGTTGCCCAGGCTGGTCACAAACTCCTGGATGCAAACAATCCTCCTGCCTCAACCTCCCAGGGTGCTGGAATTACAAGTGTGAACTACCATGCCCAGCCAACTTTTACTCTTAAAATATCCTGTTAAGAGAATGCAAAGACAAACTACAGAGTGGAAGAAATTATTTGCAAAGCACATATCTGACAAGGGCTAGTATCTAGAATATACAAAAAAAAACCTCATAAAACTCAACAGTAACCTTACTTGGTAAGAAGCATATCAAACTTTTCTTCAGAAAGTATGCAAACAAGAAAAGAATATTCTAAAATATTTAAAGTGTTGAAAGAAAAACCTACCAGCCTAAAATTCTGTATCTAGCAAAATTATCATTCAAAAGTGAAGGAGAAATAGGCCGGGCAAGGTGGCTCACGCCTGTAATCCCAACACTTTGGGAGGCCGAGGCAGGTGGATCACCTGAGGTCAGGAGTTTGAGACCAGCCTGGTCAATATGGTGAAACCCTGTCTGTACTAAAAATATAAAAATTAGCCAGGCGTGATGGTGTGCCGGTACTCCCAGCTACTCGGGAGGTTGAGACAGAAGAATCCCTTGAAGTGGGGAGACGGAGGTTGCAGTGAGCCGAGATCTCACCACTGCACTCCAGCCTGGGTGGCAGAGTGAGACCCTGTCTCAAAAAAAAAAAAAAAAAAAAAAAAAAAGCCAGCTCAGTAGCTCACACCTGTAATACCATGTAATCCCAGCACTTTGGGAGGCCGAGGCAGGCGGATCACGAGGTCAGGAGATGGAGACCATCCTGGCTAACATGGTGAAACCCCGTCTCTACTTAAAAAAAGAATACAAAAAATTACCCGGGCGTCGTGGCGGGCGCCTGTAGTCCCAGGTACTCAGGAGGCTGAGGCAGGAGAATGGCATGAACCTGGGAGGCGGAGCTTGCAAGTGAGCCGAGATCGCGCCACTGCACTCCAGCCTGGGCGACAGAGTGAGACTCCGTCTCAAAAAAAAAAAAAAAAAAAAAAAAAAAAAAGTGAAGGAGAAATGAAAACTTTCTATGCATTAAAAAATGGAGTATACTTGCCTTGCAAGAGATGTTAAAAGAAGTTCTTCAGAGAGAAGGAAAATTATATAGGTCAGAAACTCATATCTAAATAAAGAAAGAGTGCTACAGAAGGAATAAATGAAGCCAAAATAAAACAAACAATCCAATTAGAACATGAGCAAAAGATATGCAGAGAATTTCACTGAAGGAGTTATGCAGAAGGCTACTAAGCACGTGCAAAGATATTCAACATCATTACCTATTGGGGAAACGTATATTAAAACCACAATGAGATATTATTACACAACTATCAGAATGGCTGAGATAAAAAACAGTGACAACACCAAATGTGGGGATGTGGATAAACTAGGAAATCATACGTTGCTGGTGGGAATGTAAAATGGGATATTCACTCTGGAAAACAGTTTGTCAGTATCCTAAAACAATAAACATGGAATTACCATGAAACCCAGCAATTTCACACCTGGACATTTACCTTAGGGAAATGATGAGTTGTATTTACACCAAAACCTATAATGAATGTTGATATGAGCTACTATTTGTAATAGCAAAATGTGAGAAAAAGAAAAAAAACCCAGATGTCGTTTAATGGGTGATGATGGTTAAACAAATTGGTATATCCACACCATGGAATTCTGCTCAGCGATAAACAGCAAGAGCTATTGATATATGCAGTGAATAAATATCCACAGAATTATGCTTAGTGAAAAAAAAAGCCAATTTGCAAGGTTACATTCCATTTGATTCCCTTAATATAGAATTTTCAAAATGACAACATTATAGACACCCAGATCATGCAAATGGACTGATTCCCTTAGGAGAACGAAGACCGTATCTACCTAGAGACTGGAAGAAGACCCTTCTGGGCCTGACAAGAGCAGATAACAATTCTGGCAACAATTGACCCTGGGGTTTCAGCAGGTCCACAGGTGGAAGTTGAGAGTGGGATTTAATCTGGTTGAGTTCATCTTCTGGTAGGAAACCACACAGAACCCAGGAGCACCACCAAGATGGCAGGGGGAGCTGTGTGGCTCAGAGACACTAGGGCCCCATCCTCTTCCTGTTCCTCATTGACTGGCTGGAAAGGTGGACACTAAAAATTCATGACTCGTTTGTACTTAGTTGAAGTATGGAAGGAGATAACATATTATTTAGACTCTCTCCCTCCTTCTCCTTCCTTCCTTCCTTCCTTCCTTCCTTCCTTCCTTCCTTCCTTCCTTCCTTCCTCTCTCTCTCTCTTTCTTCTTTCTTTCTTTCTGATAGTCTTGCTCTTCTCATCCAGGCTGGAGTGCAATGGCGCAATCTCAGCTCACTGCAACCCCCTGCCTTCCGGGTTCAAGCGATTCTCCTGCTTCAGCCTCCTTAGTAGCCGGGATTACAGGTGCACACCACCATGCCCGGCTAATTTTTGTATTTTTAGTAGAGACAGGGTTTCATCATGTTGACAAAGCTGGTCTCGAACTCTTGACCTCAGGTAATCTGCCCGCCTCGGCCTCCCAAAGTGCTGGGAATACAGGTGTGAGCCACCGCACCCGACTACACATATTATTTTCTAAAAATGTCACTAATCCTGTGAAAGACTCATTTGAAATGCTTGCCCTAAAACACATTAATAACTTTTTTGATGTGATGAGAGATCTAAGTACTTGTGTTGTGTTCATTTTGAGAACCATCAAATATTTCTAAGATGAAATTTCTTTGAATTTTCACACTTCAGAGGAGGGTCAAGTGTCTCCTAACTACTGTATCATTTGTTCCCCAAGCTGCATTTTTTTTTTTTTTGAGATGGAGTCTTGCTCTGTCGCCCAGGCTGGAGTGCAGTGGCACAATCTCGGCTTACTGCAAGCTCCGCCTCCTGGGTTCACACCATTCTCCTGCCTCAGCCTCCCAAGTAGCTGGGACGACAGGCGCCCGCCACTGCGCCCGGCTAATTTTTTGTATTTTTAGTAGAGGCGGAGTTTTACCATGTTAGCCAGGATGGTCTCGAACTCCTGTCGTGATCTGCCCGCCTCGGCCTCCCAAAGTGCTGGGATTACAGGTGTGAGCCACTGCGCCCGATGAGAAAGATTAAAGATCTTTTTCATGGCTTCTTGGTGGCTGGCCTGCAACTTTCCTGGCAATGACTGCCCCTATTGAACATACGACATTTCAGATCCTTACCTTTATGTGTTATGATTAGAGAATGAAGGGTGAGCTCACTGGTCCTTATCTTTTCCACTGCCTTTAAGGCCCTGACATACTTAACCCCCTCCTTTTCAGTAGACAATATTTTCTCCCACTTCTTTCAGAAATATGAACTGCTTTATCTTCTCTCATCCTCAAAACGTGTCAAGGTATTCATATCTATCACTCTCTACATTCCCCTCTTTCTTAGCACAGGGTTCTGTTAGGACATTTGATTTTAAGTCACATAAACCCAACTCCAACTAGCTTAAACAAAAATGTGACTTTACTATAAAGTTTCCAGGGTATCTTGGGAAACTTTGTATGTGGTTGGATCCTGGGCATATAGCTGGAGCTAGGGACTCCTTACCACCTCTTTCTATACAGCCTTCTTTGGGACAGCATCATTATTCTCTCTACTGTTAACTAGTTCTGCTTGCCCAGCCATCTGGTGGCATAGGCCACCAATAGTGCCCAGGTTTATATCTCCATTTCGTCAGTCAACCATGTGGAACTGGAAGAGCTCGATTCTGATTTGAAATTCCCACAAATGCATTCTGATTAGCCAGCTTAGATCACGACTCACTCCTGGACCAATGAACGTTAGCCACAGAGTCAGGTCACAGTGTATACCATGGTTGTTCTTATGGTAGCCATCTGAACGGAGTTGGGGGTTGGGGGAAGGTGGGAGGTGGGCTGTCCTCATTGAATAAGAAGAAGCAGAAGGTCTTGGAAAAGGAAGAGATGCCAGGAGAGACAGAACAATACTTGGCTACTCCATGCCATCCCTTCTCTTCAGGCAAAATGAAAGATCTTGAACTTTCAATTCTATCTCTTCTCATCTTCTTCAGGATTTAGTTTAATTAATTACCCTTTTATATTTTTTGTTTTTTTTTAACACTAGATTATACTGCAATAAGTTACGCTTTTTTCTTTTTACATTTTGAATATTTCTACTCAAGCTCCTTTTCTTTAGGCTTACATTTGCTCAAGAATCTCTTATACCAAAGGAGCATCCCATAACCTGTCTTCAAGCTCCGGCCCAATCTATGTACCTTTTTTTTTCTGCCATGTAAATGTCATCTGCCCCATATCACACTTTGCCCCAACCTGGCCTTCTCCCTCTTCATTTCCTTCTTCAATGCCACCTCCATTTTCCCAGAGTGTTTTTTGGTTTCTGAAAGGCTGAACACAGGCAGAGTGAGGGAAGGATGAAGTCTACAGGCCATTGTGATGCAGCCCTTCCAGCAGGTGTGACAGGTAGTCTCTGATGTGCCACTGCCCACTCCCTCAGAGCCCGGCCCCAAGAGGCCCCTTAGATTGTAGAGCATAACACTGACCAGTCTCTGACCTTTCTAGCTTCCTGGTTCCAAAGAGTCTGTGGCCACAGTATCACCTGCACCACACCCACACAGCTGATAATCAGCTTATTTACCAAAGTTTCCCTGGGAACAAGGACCTTCTCATGAAGAGAGAGGGTGGGTGCCCTCTTGGAGAGGTTGTTTGCTATTTGCTCCCTCACAGGGGTAACCTCCCATTGCCAGTCCTGTGCCCTCTGGAATGAAGAGGAAAGGTAACAACCACAGGCTGGGCCAGAACTGCTTTATTTTTTTGAGACAGAGTCTTGCTCTCTCACCCAGGCTGGAGTGCAGTGGTGCGATCTCAGCTCGCTGCAACCTCTGCCTCCCAGGTTCAAGCAATTCTCCTGCTTCAGCCTCCCCAGTAGCTGGAACTACAGGCACGTGCCACCAAGCCTGGCTAATTTTTGTATTTTTAGTAGAGAGGGGCTTTCATCATGTTGGCCAGGCTGGTCTTGAACTCCTGACGTCAAGTGATCCACCCACCTCAGCCTCCCAAAGTATTTAGATTACAGGTGTAAGCCACCATGCCCGGCCAGAACTGCTTTCTTAAGGGTACCCATAGGTAAAGGCCAAGCCCTCGCCCTCACTCGCCAACTTGTGTTCTCGCAGCTCTCGGCTATGTTGGTGCTTGTGGGGACAATCACGTGAAGCCCTTTGCTTCTTTGGTTTAAAAAAAAAAAAATCTCTTGTTTTTTTGAGATGCAGTTTTGCTCTTGTTGCCCAGGCTAGAGTACAATGGTGTGATCTCGGCTCACCACAACCTCTGCCTCCCGGGTTCAAGCGATTCTCCTGCCTCAGCCTCCTGAGTAGCTGAGATTACAGACTTGTGCCACCACACCCAGCTAATTTTTGTATTTTTAATAGACGGGGTTTCTCCCTGTTGGTCAGGCTGGTCTCAAACTCCCAACCTCAGGTGATCTGCCCGCCTCGGCCTCCCAAAGTGCTGGGATTACAGGTGTGAGCTACCATGCCCGGCCAAAATAAAACTCTTTTATTATGAAAATTTTAAAACAGGTACAGAGTAGAGAGACTAGTTTAATGTGTTTACCACCCACTTTTCACAATTATCCATTTGAGGCCAATGTTGCTCTGTCTATACCCCCATAGTGACACTCTCCTCCTTTATTTCAAAGCAAATCCTAGATCATATACTTTATGGGTAAATATTTCAGTATGTATCTCTAAACAACAACTTTCCTTTTTTGTTTCTCTCCTTTTTTGTTTCTTTTTGGCTTTGCTCAAGTTTATTATTGAGGTATGATTTACATGCTGTAAGTTGCCCTTTTTAGGTTAATTTTGAGGTTTTATAAACTCATTCAGCCATAAAACCATCACAATCAGGATATAGAACAGTTCTGTCACCTCCCCAAATTCCCCTATATCCCTTTGAGTGAATTCCCCCCCAACCCCCATGCAACTACACAACTGTTTTCTAGTCCTATAGTTTTCTATTTTTCAGAATGTCATAAAAATAGAACATCCTACAGTCTGTAGTCCTTTGAAATGTCACTTTTAAAAACATAACCATTATACTGTGATCACTTCACCCCCAATCAATAATTCTCTAATATCAGATATCACATTTCCACAACTGTCCTAAGAAGTATTTTTTTACAAACTGATTTAAGACCTACATCTACACATTGCAATTGGTTGTTTTGTCTCTCAAGTCTCTTTTAATCTATAGGTTTCCTCTCCATCTTTTGTTTTGTTTTGTTTAAGAAATTGGGCTGTCACAGTTTCTCATAATCTGGATTTTTATCAACTGCATCTGCATGTTGTCATTTCTTCTGTTCTCTATAGTCTTGCTATTAAAATATGGTCCATGGACCAGCAGCATCTGCATCACCTGAGAGTTTGTTAGAAATGCATAATCTTGGACCCCACTCAAGACCTATTGAATCAGAATCTGCATTTTTAACATTCAACAAGATCTATGGCTGGGCATGGTGGCTCATGCCTGGAATCCCAGCACTTTGGGAGGCCGAGGCGGGTTCACCTGAGGTCAGGAGTTTGAGACCAGCCTGGCCCACATGGGGAAACCCCATCTCTACTAAAAACACAAAAATTAGCTGAGTGTGGTGCATGCCTGTAATCCCAGCTACTCAGGAGGCTGAGGCAGGAGAATCCTTTGAACCTGGGGGGCAGAGGTTGCAGTGAGCCAAGATTGTGCCATTGCACTCCAGCCTGGGTGACAGAACAAGACTCTGTCTCAAAAAAAAAAAAAGATCTCCACCTGATTCTGTCCCTGTAAAATGGCACTGAGACCTAGTGTGTTGATCTGGTTTAGGTTGGTTGGTTTGTGGGTTTTTTTTGGCAAGCCTATATGGGTGGCATTGCACCCCTTATTTCTCAGCCCTTCCCACCTGGTCCTCTCTAGGTCTCTCTGACTGCTCCTGCTCCTTGTCAGCCAGGACCTGTGTCTCCTCATAACTCAGGCTTCTGTAAATGTAAGTGTGTCCAAGGAGATACATTCCACATACTACCCCCAGACCTCCATTCTCTTTGTCTAGTATGGCTTTCAGGTATCTCGTCTAACCTCCTGATTTACAAATCTCCTCTCTAATCCTGACCTGTCCATGGTCTCCTAACTTGCCTTTTCAGTTGCCAAGAGAATATCTCTTCCCAGATATTCTTGCTGCTAATACTAATTCTCACTAGCCTGCACCTTTAACTCAACAAGTCAAAACATAAATCACTGCTTTCCCTTCTATTTTCCCTTTTGGATTAGTAAATTATTTTCTGATCACTCAGCCTAGACTATTTGAAGCTGTCTTCTATTTTTTCCGCTCTTTCATGTCTGATCTCTAATCAGTAGTTTAGTTTTATTAATCCTCCTGTATTTGTCAGCCCTCATTACATTATGCTGGGGTAAGAGAAAATCCCTCCAAATCTCAGTGGTTTGCAGCACAAAGTTGTTTTTTTTTTTGTTTTTTTTTTTTGAGACGGAGTCTCACTCTGTCGCCCAGGCTGGAGGGCAGTGGTGGGATTTCGGCTCACTGCAAGCTCTGCCTCCTGGGTTCACACAATTCTCCTGCCTCAGCCTCCCGAGTAGCTGGGACTAAAGGCACCCACCACCATGCCCGGCTAATTTTTTGTATTTTTAGTAGAGACGGGGTTTCACTGTGTTAGCCAGGATGGGCTCAATCTCCTGACCTTGTGATCCACCCGCCTCAGCCTCCCAAAGTGCTGGGATTACAGGCATGAGCCACCACGCCCAGCCAACAATGCAAAGTTTTATTTTTTGTTAAAGTTATATGTTGGCTGTAGGTTGACTGAAGGTCTGGTCTTTTTCATTCCAGGATCTAGGCTGAAGAGCAGCCCCAATTTGGGATACAGCAGAGGGAATAAAAAGGAATGGTAAAACTAGGAATAGCTTTCAAAGTTCAGTCATGGTGTAAATCAGTTCCATGGCTGATCTGGTTTGGGTGTCTCCCCACCCAAATCTCATCTTGAATTCCCATGTGTTGTGGGAGGGACCTGGTGGGAGGTAATTGAATCATTGGGGCAGGTCTTTTCCATGCTGCTCTTGTGATAGTAAGTCTCACGAGATCTGATGGTTATTATAAGTTGGAGTTTTCCTGCACAAGCTCCCTTTTTGCCTGCTGCCATCCATGTAAGATGTGACTTGCTGCTCCTTGCCTTCTGCCATGATTGTGAGGCCTCACCAGCCATGTGGAACTGTGGGTCCAATAAACCTTTTTCTTCTGTAAATTGCCCAGTCTCAGATATGTCTTTATCAGCAGTGTGAAAATGGACGAATACAATGATCATAGCAAATGAC
Organism: Homo sapiens; assembly: GCF_000001405.40. Taxonomy (NCBI): domain Eukaryota; kingdom Metazoa; phylum Chordata; class Mammalia; order Primates; family Hominidae; genus Homo; species Homo sapiens. Next base: position 19,401,801 of record NC_000009.12, read on the forward strand.
AAAGCCAAGTCTCATATTCATTGACTGAGAAAGTATGTTCAAATATCTGGAATCAATAGTATAATCTATCACAATTGCCATTTTGTATTTCAATTGCATCCCTTATTTCAATTCTCTTTACCCCTGCCTTAAACTTCACTTCTCTCAGCTTCCTCAAGGAAGCCTTCTCTGATGCCCTCAGACTAGGCCACATCTACTGCTATTGGCTGTTGTGGAATTTATACTTCTCCTTCATGACACACGTGAGACAACTGCAATTATTTATGCACTTATTTAATTTCTGACAGCCCCTAGACTGAAAGCTCTGTGAGGGCAGAGACAGTGTCTGTTTTGCTCATTATTTAACCCTTGGCAGCTAGAAAAGTATCTGGCATAGAGCAGCATGTAAAGGAATGAATGATTGCCTTAGTCATGCCCATATCATCCTTCACCTGGTTTACTGAAAGGCCTTACCAGTAGTTTTGGAAATCTAATTTATTTTTCTGCCATCAGGATTTTCTTTCTTAAAGACTTACTCTTGGCTGGGCGTGGTGGCTCACACATGTAATCTCAGAACTTTGGGAGGCTGAGGTGGGCAGATCATTTGAGATCGGGAGTTGCAGACCAGCCTAGCCAACATGGTGAAACCTCATCTCTACTAAAAGTACAAAAATTAGCTGGGTGTGGTGGTATGTACCTGTAATCCCAGCTACCTACTTGGGAGGCTAAGGGGGAGGATCGCTTGAACCCTCCAGCCTGGGTGACAGTGAGAATCCATCTCAAAAACAAAACAAAACAAAACAAAAAGACTTACTCTTTATATCATCTATTGGTTTTCTAGGTCAGGTTGTGCTGAAGTTTCCTGAATGTGTATGCTTTCTCAGACCTCTATCCTTTTGCATGGGCTGTTCCTTCTGTAGGATTCCCTCCCTCCCCCCAGTGCTCTGCCTGGTAAAATCCTGTTCATCTTTTAACTTCAGTTCCGAGGCTACCTCCTCTGCAAAACGTCCCATGACTCTCAGTGCAGACTTGGGCCCCTGCCCTTCTGCTTCCACATATGCACCTCCATTTTAGCAATTATCATGTTTCATTCTAAACCCAACATTGTGGTTTTCTAGCGCAGATTAGAAAAAGGAGAGTGTTGTGGGAAGTGAGGGACCCCGAATAGAGGGACTGGCTGGAGCCACGGCAGAGGAAACATAAATTGTGAAGATTTTATGGACATTTATCACTTCCCTAATAATACTCTTATAATTTTTTATGCTTGTCTTACTTTAATCTCTTAATCCTGTTATCTTCATAAGCTGAGGATGTACGTCATCTCAGGACCCTGTGATGATTGCGTTAACTGTACAATTTGATTATAAAATGTGTGTTTGAACAATATGAAATCAGTGCACCTTGAAAATGAACAGAATAACAGTGATTTTAGGGAACAAGGGAAGACAACCATAAGGTCTGACTGCCTGTGGGGTTGGGCAAAAAGCCATATTTTTCTTCTTCCAGAGAGCCTATAAACAGACATGCAAGTAGGAGAGATAGCAGTAAATTCTTTTTCTAGCAAGGAATATTAAGACCCTAGGAAAAGAATTGCATTCCTTTGGGGAGGCCTATAAACGGCCGCTCTGGGAGTGTCTGTCTTATGTGGTTGAGATAAGGACTGAAATACGCCCTGATCTCCTGCAGTACCCTCAGGCTTATTAGGGTGGGGAAAAAACTGCTCCCTGGTAAATTTGAGGTCAGACTGGTTCTCTGCTCTGGAGCCCTGTTTTCTGTTGTTTAAGATGTTTATCAAGACAATACGTGCACAGCTGAACAGAGACCTTTATCAGGAGTTTTTGATTTTGCCCTTTGCCTTGTGATCTTTATTGGCCTCAGAAGCATGTGATCTTTGTTCTCCTTTTTGTGCTTTGAAACATGTGGTCTTTGTGACCTACTCCCTGTTCGTACACCCCCTCCCCTTTTGAAATCCTTAATAAAAGTTGCTGGTTTTGCGGCTCAGGTGGGCATCACGGACCTACTGATATGTGATGTCACCCCCGGTGGCCCAGCTGTAAAATTCCTCTCTTTGTAGTCTTTCTCTTTATTTCTCAGACCAGCCGACACTTAGGGAAAATAGAAAGAACCTATGTTGAAATATTGGGGGTGGGTTCCCCTGATAGGATAGAGGTTAACATTGTGGTTTTCCAGTGCAGGTTAGAAAAAGGAGAGAGGGAACAGCAGAGTGGTGCAGTGGAAGCATACCTATGGGCCCATAACCCAGAGGTTGATGGATGGAAACCATCCTCTGCTAGCTTTGTGATCTTGGCTGGGTGTGGCTGCTCACACCTGTAATCCCAGCACTTTGGGATGCCAAGGTGGGAGGCTCACTTGAGACTAGCCTGGGCAACATAGCAAGACACCGTCTCCATAAAAAGGAAAACAAAAACAAACAAACACACACACACACAAGAGAGGCATTTCTAAATAGAGGCCTGCTGACAACAGCAGAATTTACCACTGATGGCCTGTCAGTAAAGGAGCGGTGCCTGTCCCAGCTAACACAAGCACCTTCTGCAGTGGCTGCAGCAGTGTTTCCCTAGTGAGGACCTACTTCCTACAACTCTCATCTACAAGTCTGAGCCTGAAAACGACCTCAGATTTTAGCAAAACAAGCACAGTCTTGCTGGCTTCTTCTGTTTTCCTCTGAGTTGAAGGGGTCCAGGGCAGACTCAGAGCCCCTGGTTTCCTCATCATGAGCCTGAGCATGAGTCAGAATCACCTGAGGGCTTATGAAGCCAAAGGTTGCTGGGCTCTATCCAGAGTTTCTGATCCAATAGTTCTAGGGTGGGGACTGGAACTCACATTCGTAAAAGATTCCCAGGGGATGCTGCTGCTGCTGGGCTGGCCTTAACCACTGGCTTAACAATGGGCCACAAGCAGGACCACAGTGAAAAACTCTAGTCAAACAGGAAGATACAGAAAACTTCATCCTTGATCAGGCACTTCTTGCTTCATTTACACAGGTGCCTGCATTTTTTACCCAAGGGAAGACTTTGTGACTTGATAATTTCCACTTGTGGAACCAGTTGAACTGGATATTTACTATCAGATATTTACTTATACCAAATAAACATTGTTATACACTATGTAAAAATAGAAGGTGCTGTCATTCTGAATTCCTTGCAAGGGCTGTTCCTTCAAACTTGCTCCCTTGTGGATCTGTATCACTGAGTCATGTAGGCCAAAAGCATCGTAAGCCAAATAGTTGGAACTCAGTAGTTCTGTTCCTTGCTGTCACTGCATCCTTCCCTCAACAAACTTAGTTTAGAGTAGACATCAGAATTTTGTATTCAACCACTAGCAGTAGTTTCTAAGGCATCATGCAATTAATATAAATCAATTTTAAAATTTATAACCTCCTGATAGGCCCTCTTGTTAAATTACCAATGTTGTATTTATTTTAAAAATGTTGGCTGGATGCAATGGCTCACTCCTATAATCCTAGCACTTTGGGAGGCTCAAGGGATCACTTGAACCTGGGAGTTTGAGACCAGCCTGGGCAACATGATGAAACCTTGTCTCTACAAAACATACAACATTTAGCTGGGCATTGTGGTGCACCCTTGTGGTCCTAGCTACTCATGAGGCTGAGGTGGGAGGGTCGCTTGAGTCTGGGGTGGGGGGGTCAAGGTTGCAGTGAGCTGAAATTGCACCATTGCACACCAACCAGGGTAACAGAGGGTTACCCTGTCTCAAAAAAAAAAAAAAAAGTTAACAATGTTAACAATGGGGAGAGCTATGAAAACAAAATTTTAGAGACAGTGTGACTCAAGTACGGTTTCTGTGCAGTTGTAATTAGAAGGAACCAATGTGGCTGACTGATTTTGAACTACAATTGTCACTGACAATAAGAGTTACTGTGGAGGATGAAAAACTCCCATCATTCCCTTAGCAAGACTTGGAAAGAAGGATGAATTACATTCAGCAAATTTAATATTTCACTGGTGCTAAAACTCACATTGTTTTGCGTTGTTAAATCTCTGAAATCCTGATGCATTTTACCAAGAATGGCATTTTATGATTATGGTTGGCTAGGTCATGGTTGTGATGTGGTGTCACTGCCTGCATATGTACAGACTTGGTGGTTATTCCTGGTGGGATGACTTGGCAACTGTAATCTCCATGTTTCTCTCAACAGATTATATAAGGACCATCTGGAAAAGAAACATGCTGCCTGTTGTCTGGAAACCTTCCACTGACACCTTCAGGTAAGATCAGGAGAGTCCCAGCATCAAAATTTGTAAAACAGGTGTCAGTAGTTTGCAAGAAAACAGTAGTGGAATAGTTTTAAGAAATGCTGCATTATTAGCACATAGTAATTAAGGACACAGAGGACATTTCTATATGAATGACACAGACATCAATGACTATAAGCTGAAAAATGACTCAGAAGAACAGAGATTCTGAATGTAAAGAAATTACAGGAATTCTTTAATGAATTTATTTTTGCTTATACCTTCCTTCTTAGGTATGCACAAGAGATGTATGATAACAATGTAAGTCTAAGTCTGTGCTTGTTCACTAAAAATTCTAAATGATAAAAAAGTATTACAAATAGTTTAATTGGAAATATTTCTTTTTTTTTTTTTTTTTTTTGAGATGGAGTCTCGCTCTGTTGCCCAAGCTGGAGTGCAGCGGCGCGATCTTGGCTCACTGCAACCTCTGCCCCCTGGGTTCAAGCGATTCTTCTGCCTCAGCCTCCCGCATAGCTGGAGGTGCCCACCATCATGCCCTGCTAATTTTTGTATTTTAATAGAGACGGGGTTTTGCCAAGTTCACCAGGCTGGTCCCGAACTCCAGACCTCAGAAGAGCTGCCTGCTTTGGCCTCCCAAAGTGCTGGGATTACAGGCATGAGCCACTGCATCCGGCCAGGAACATCTTTTTAACAGCAACTTTCAATCTTTTTAGTCTGAGGACCCCTTTACACTCTTAAAAAATATTGAGAACACCAGAGAACTTGTGGTTTATATGGTAACATCAATAGTTACCGCATTAGAAATTTAAACAGACTTTTAATACCAAAGAATCACAAGCACATATTCCATTAGCTGTCGGAGAGATAATGACATCACACATCATGTATCCTCTGGGAAGTTCCAATGTACACTGGTAAGAGAATGAAAATGAAAAGAAAGGGAGGAACCACACTTTGAGAATCTCTGGCATATAAAATAATGGTTTTTTAAAAATACCATTATATTTTGATGAATATGGATATATTTCCAAGTAAACTGTTGTTGGAAGAAGTAAAATATTGACTACAGGGAAAATTCTATTGCTGAACAGTTGGTGTAGCATTTTGAGACACAGAAATTAACTGATGTATCTTTCTTCTGTGGCTGTGGGAAACATCCACCCCAACCGCCCTTCGTTTTTGAGATGGAATCTCGCTCTGTCACCCAGGCTGGAGTGCAGTGGCGCGATCTCGGCTCACTGCAAGCTCCGCTTCCCGGGTTCACGCAATTCTCCTGCCTCAGCCTCCTGCGTAGCTGGGACTACAGGCGCCCGCCACGACGCCCGGGTAATTTTTTGTATTCTTTTTTTAAGTAGAGACGGGGTTTCACCATGTTAGCCAGGATGGTCTCCATCTCCTGACCTCGTGATCCGCCTGCCTCGGCCTCCCAAAGTGCTGGGATTACAGGCATGAGCCACCGCGCCCGGCCCTCAACCGCCTTTCTTAGGTGGCCAGCTCACTCCGGGTATCCTGTAGGTCTGGGTAAATCAACCCTAGGGGAAGGTAAGAGTGTATCTTCTACTTGGGTTCTGGAGGGCAGTGGAATTGCCCGTAAAGCAGGAGGAAGGGATAGAGGTTGGGACAAAGATGAAAGGAGGAGTGTGGTTTGGCCCCTGGGGGACAAACCTGGATTTTCTAGAGACTAGGAGAGGCGGCGGGGCTTGCAGTTTTTGTCAGTGATGGAGATCTCTGGGGACTTGCACATGGCTGTGTGGGTACTGGTGGGCAGACAAACACTTGGTGCAGAGGACACTGAAGCACCACCCAGGGTCCTGCTGGGCAGTCAGGCCCAGAGAGAGGGCAGACCCTGGGGAGTTGCTGGCCTTTAGGATACCCTGCGGGTCCGAGCAAGACGTCCTAATGACAGTCACCAATGGGCTGCTGCCCAGGGCCTCTTCTGCCGCTGTCCTGACCTAGAATCCTACAACCTTTCAAGGAAGGAGAACGGGAGCCACCACATACACACAGAGGGTGGCTTTCCTCTAGGGATCCTGGGAACCAGATTGGCTTTCATTTACAAACCGCAGAACAGTTACAGAAGCAAAAGAAGGTAGTTATGACTGGATCTGAGGACATCTTGCCTGAATTGAATTTCCAGCTCTGTCACTTGCTAATAGAAGCCCCTCACAGGGTCTCTGCTGGGCACACTAAATGAGTGATACATGGAAACTCTTCAGACAGCACCTGGCATGTGTATGTTATCTATCACCTCTTGAACCTCGATATCTTGGAGATGTCATAACTGCCACACTACATCCTCTGCAGTTTGGGATGGCTGACGTTTGACCCTTTGCCTAAGTCCCCATATCGAAGGCTAGATTAAGCCTTAACGCTGGAGCCAAGGGGAGGGAGGGCAGGAACGTACTCTAAATAGAAGTGCTCCCCCGGGGACTGGGCGGCCCAACCTGCTCCAGCAGCCGGGAAGGTCTTCCTGCCACAGTGACCGCAGCGAGTGGCGTCCGGCCTCGGAGGGACTGAGGGCACTTCTCTGGTGTAAGCACTGGCGTCCAACGCCGGACGCAGCAAAATCGCTGCAAACTCTGGGTCCAGAGAGGTCCAGGTCCTCCCGGGTTTCTTTTTATTTTAAATTTTTTTCCAGGGAGAGTTCTGGCGCTCCTTCAATCGGGGGAGGCTGCGAGTCTGAGCCAGGAGATGGGCGTGGGCAGGCGTGGGTAGCACCATCGAGGCCCTGGCCACCTGCCGGGTGCTGGGTAGTCTGGAAGAGTCTGGAGCCCGGTCTCCGCCTCCAGGCGCCCCACCCTGGACCCCTCCTCCACGCGGGTCCCGCCCCACGGTGGGCGTGGCTTCCAGGGGGAGGGGCCGGGGAGGGTCTGCGAACGAGTAACCTCCCGCAGGCGAGGCGAGGCGGGGCGGAGCGCGGGAGGCCAGTTGGGAGGCGCACATCCGGCGGTTACCCGGTGCTTCATAAAGCCGCTTTCGCCGCTGGCTGTCGCCGCGTTTTGCCTCCGCAGCAGCTCTGGGCTCTTCTCAGCTGCGCGAGCAGCTGCTCCAATGCCCCGGAGTGGCCATGGGCGCCCCGCACTGGTGGGACCAGCTGCAGGCTGGTAGCTCGGAGGTGGACTGGTGCGAGGACAACTACACCATCGTGCCTGCTATCGCCGAGTTCTACAACACGGTGCGGGGCGCGGGAGCGGGGAAGGCAGGCGGGCCAGCGGGAGGGGGCTGTTCCCGCGCCGCAGCGTCTGGAAGCTGGACGTGGGTCTCTGCGCGCATCTGGGGGCATTCTCTCCAGGGGCTGAGTCAGTCCACACCCCCTCCTCGGCGCGCTCCTTTCAGTTCTCCATCTGTCCTCCTCTCCTGTCCCCATTCCCGACAGCTGGGCTCATCTTCCTCCTGCTGTCATTTGTTTTGTGATGGTCCTATTGTCTTGTTTGGCCCCCACGCGTCCAGGAACCAGGGGTCTGTGTCAGCCCATTCTCCTTGTTTGGGTCAGCTGGGGGCGGTGAACCTGCCGGGACAAGTCTCTTCCTCCCCTGGGATCTCTGTGGCGTGACGCACTTGGGTCGCATTGTGCTTTTTTGCCCTGAATACCTGCTCTCGGAGTGCTGGGAAGAGCACGCCCCCCGCAGGTCCCCGCGGCTGGGGTCACTCCCACCAGGCAGACTTGCCCCACCCCCAAGAACATGCCTATAATGGTCGAGTTATTTTTGGTCAGAATCAAGTTAATTACTACTTGTTTTTTTTTCTTGCCTTTAGTGTCCTGTCTTGTGCAAGCCGCTAATTCAACTCCCCCAGGACTGTGCTTTCTCCAGTTCTGAAGTCTGAGGGATGAAAGGAAAGTTTGGGAGTGATAATGTGCGGGTTTTGGATTTGCCTAGGTCCCTAGATAAGGGTGAGCAGAAACTTCCCCATTGCAGAATCCTGTGTGATTTTAGTTCTTGTGGTAGGGAAGGGTTGCAGCTGGGAGAGGAAATGCCTCTTATTTTGTGTATGTCCATGGCTCAGAATCCTGGTACAGAATGTGAGACTTTGCGTGGTCATTTCTGTGGCTTATCTTTTCACCGCCCAAACAAGGGAAACAGGAACTCCTGGTTTGGGTCATTGTGAATTTGAGGTTGTTGTTTAGGACTTTTCCTTTTGGATTTGCTAGAGAGAATGTCTTCAGCAGGAGTCAGGTGCTTACTGCCTGCAGGAATCTCAGATGATCTAGTCCCTGTCCTTTTATTCATCTGATGAGAAAACTGGGCTCTTGAGGAGGGAGCTGTCATGCTCACATTTCTGGCATGGCTGGGGCCACAATCCAGAAGTCTGGGCCCTTCCTTCCCTCAGTGCTGAAATCCATGGCTGGCTTCCACACAAACACTCCTGCTCCTTTTTTTATGATTAGGTTGGTTCCTTAAGAAAACCTAAGGCTGGGCGTTGTGGCTCACACCTGTATTCCTAGCACTTTGGGAGGCCAAGGCAGGTGGATCGCTTGAATCCAGGAGTTCGAGACCAACCTGGGCAACATGGCGAAACCTCATCTCTACAAAAAAATACAAAAATTAGCTGGACATGTGGCACACACTTGTCGTCCCAGCTACTTGGGAAGCTGAGGTGGGAGGATCACCTGAGCCTGGGAGTTGAAGGCTGCAATGAACTGAGATCGCGCCACTCCACTCCAGCCTGGGCAACAGGGTCTCAAAGAAAACCTGGCCCTCTGCTGACCACAGATACTGTGAAAGACAGTGGAAGTGGCCATGACTTATGTATTGCATAACCTCCCAGAGCATGCTGTCAGGGGTAAATAGTTGCACACAGAGGATGGGCTGGAGTAGTTCTGGGTACTTTCAATAAGGAGAAACACCAGTGGTAACACAAGCTGTCCTTTTGTAAATAAAGAATATAGTGAAAGAGTAAGGATTTCACCAGAGTTCAAGAAGAAAAGACAGCTTGATGACAGGTTCTCACACACTTAGCAAGATTATTCTCTGTGCAGCCTGGGGTCTACAGAGAGGGTCAACCTTGGTTATTTTGGCCAAAAAAGCTAGTGTATGGCTTCTCTGAGTCTGTCTTGAAAAGTGTCATAGGGCTGGATGAAAGGGAGAGTTTGTCTTTACTTTTAATCTAGTCCCATTGGAGCCGTTACTCTATGTAGTGAGTGCTAAAGTCTTTTTCAGAAACTAACTGTTGATCTTCAGCTGCATTGTCTGGCTGATGAGCCCAGCTGGCCCATCTGACAAACTTTATTCCTTGGAATACTCATAAACCACAAAATTTGCTCTGGCAAAGCAGAGAGCGTAAGGTGTCAGAGAATAAGGTCATTGCCTAACTTTGTTGAGTGTAGGTCCAAAGAATTTAGCAAAAAACGTTTCTTCCCCTCTGTTGCTATTTAAAAAAATTTTTTTTTGAGATGATCATGCTCTGTTCCAGGCTTGAGTGCTGTGGTGCGATCTTGGCTCACTGCGACCTCCACCTCCAGGTTCAAGCGATCCTCCCAAAGTGCTGGGATTACAGGCGTGAGTCACCATGCCCGGCCTTCTTCCCCTGTGTTCTTACGTACTACTTATATTTTGATGCTTATCACAGGACATTCCCATGCTTATCTTACTCCTGTGTTGAGAAAGACAGTAGACTGTTATGTGGTGATAAATATCGTCTTAAATCCTCATAATAAGGCAACAGGTCTAATTACCCAGTTTATAGGAAACTCATAATCATTACCAGTTTTGAGAAAAAGTTGGAGGAATTGACAATGTTAAATCAGGAGAAGACCGGGAGAGGGATCTAGAACCTTCTTAATGGGTCTTAGGGGTAGCACATCACTACTACACCTTCAGATACTACTGTCTACCATTACTTAATTGCTATGTGTTGAAGCTCTGCTGGGTACTGTATACTCATTCTAGACAATGGGTGCTATTTATTATATCCATTTGATAAAGATGGAAATTGGGGCCTAGAGAGTTTATGTAACTTGCTGTGGTCAAGAGCATAGCACAGCTGAAGTCAGAACTTGGTCCATTTGACTCTACCAAGAGAGTTATCTTGAAGCTATAAGTGCCACTGTAACTAACTTAGATTTATCTATTTGGCATAGAATAGATATTTATTATTTAGTCATTCCATAACTTAAAACTCCTGTCTTGGGATCATTTTATCTCTAGGATAAAACTCATACTTTTTGATAGGAAAAAAGTTTATTTAAAGTAGTTTGTAAAATTACTGTTTATTGTAAAAGTAATATGATCATGGTAAAAAATTTAGAGTATGTAAGTTGTAGAGTGAAAAATAACCTTCTGTATCTTTCTAGATATTTTCTAGGCATATAAAAAGCACATGTATCTGTGTGCATATAAAATACGCATGTATAAGGCTGGGGGCAGTGGCTCATGCCTGTAATCTCAGCACTTTGGGAGGCTGAGGCAGGCAGATCATTTGAGGTCAGGAGTTTGAGACCAACCTGGCCAACATGGTGAAACCTCATCTCTACTAAAAATACAAAAATTTAGCTGGTTGTGGTGGTGCGTGCCTGTAAGTCCCCGCTACTCAGGAGGCTGAGGCAGAAGAATAGCTTGAACCTGGGAGGTGAAGGTTGCAGTAAGCTGAGATCGCGCCACTGCACACTCTAGCCTGGGCAACAGAGCAAGATTCTGTCTCAAAAAAAAAAAAAAAAAAACCAGCATGTATGGCGTAATCACGAATACTTGAAGTTTTTTTCCAAGATGGTACTGTGTAAACTCTTATGTACCTTGTGTTTTTCACTTAATATGTCTTGGAGATATTTCCATATCAGCTCATATAGTGCTCTCTTCCTGTTTATAATGTTTATACAGTACTCCCTTTAATGGATTGATCATAATTTATTTATCTAATCAATCCTTATTGATGGACATTTCATATAGTTTCTCTCTGTTTTATTGTTTTCATTTTGGTTTTTGAACAGTGATTCAGTGAATATCCTCATTCATGCATCTGGATGTACTTTCGCAAGCACTAATCTTAGATGGGGATTGCTGTGTCAAGGAGGATATTCAGTTTAAATGCTGATAATTATTGTGAAATGGCACACTAAAGAGAGTGCACTGATTTGACTTCCACTGACAATGTTTGGGCATACAAAACATTTTGCTTTGGCCTCTGCAAATTTCTGTTGCCTCAAATTGTATCATCCTTTGCTTCAGCCAAGCCTAATATCTCTTCCATGAACATGTAATTTCCTTTCACAGCCTTTTACTTGTGCACATTTTATACTGTTTCTTCTATATACAAATTTTATTAATTGAGTTCCTTTTTATGTTTTAAGATTTAAGACCCCCTGGCTGGGCGCGGTGGCTCACGCCTGTAATCCCAGCACTTTGGGAGGCTGAAGTGGGAGGATCACTTGAGGTCAGGAGTTTGAGACCAGCCTGGCCAACACGGCGAAACCCCATCTTTACCAAAAATACAAAAAACTAGCCAAGTGTGGTGGTGTGTGCCTGTAGTCCCAGCTACTAGGGAGGCTGAGGCAGGAGAATTGCTTGAACCTGGGAGGTGGAGGTTGCAGTGAGCCAAGATGAGGCCACTGCATTCCAGCCTGGGTGACAGAGCAAGATTCCATCTTAAGGAAAAAAAAAAAAAAAAGAAAATATTTAAGGCCCCAGTCACATAGACCTAGCCACTTTGGAGAAAAGCCGGGTCTGCCTTTTACCTGAGCTTGGCCTTTGGGGACTCTGTTGCTCAGCAGGGACTTGAGGACAGAAGAAAGTCAACTGATCGCTGAAAAGAATCTTGAAGCAAAATACATGCATAAAATCAGCTCATGATCTGTCACTTCCTGCTCTGTCCCCAGTCATCAAGATAAATAGAGCTCTCGTTATATGCCAAGTCCTAAGTCCCGCTCTCTTCAGGCTGAATCTATCGGTCGATCCATCAATCTGAGCATTTGCTGGGCAACAACTGTGTGCTTATTCCAGAGACCAGCTCTGTAAATAGTCATATGGGTGGTGAGGGCTATGATAGAGGTGTGTACAAGCCGCTGAGGGTGTTTTTAGTACTGTGCATGGGATTGATGTACTGTGAGGATAGGGTGGTGGTTTTGCAAGAAGGCTTCTGAATAGAGTGACCAAACTTGTCCTGGGTTTTTGCCTGAGACTTTTCTGATTTTAAAACTGAACGTCCCATGCCTTGGGAAGCCCCCTCAGTCCCAAGCAAACCACGACAGTTGGTCATCCCAGGGGCAGAAGTAAAACAATGGAATGGGTAGTTAGGAATCAGCACACAATTAAGATGGACAGACAATCCACTCAGCCAGGGTAAAAGTCCTCAGCTGTTTATGAACCTGCTGTCCAGAATATGTACAGCCTGTTGTTTTGTCTTTATTTACCCTCTGTCTGGAAAGTGCACATTCAGATGCATCAGGATGAGACTGCAGTATGTTCATGAGATTATTTTGTAGCAAATGTTATGTGGAAATTCATAGAATGAAGAACTTTCTAAGGAAATAATACATTTTAAAAATTGTGGGCTAGGCGCAGTGGCTCACACCTCTAATCCTAGTACTTTAGGAGGCTGAGGCTGGCAGATCACTTGAGCCCAGGCTGAGGCTGGCAGATCACTTGAGACCAGCCTGAGCCACATGGCAAAACCCTACCCTGTCTCTACAAAAAATGTGAAAATTAGCTGGACATGATGGCACATGCCTGTGGTCCCAGTTACTCAGGAGGCTGAGATCAAGGCTGCAGTGAGCTGTGAGCATGCTATAATCTAACAATAGGCTTTAAAATGTACTCCTTGAGAGGCGGAGCATGCAGTGAGCCAAGATCGCGCCACTGCACTCCAACCTGGCTGACAGAGCGAGACTCCGCCTCAAAAAAAAAAAAAAAAATTGTAGCCCTTGAGTGCACTATTCTACAATTTCAGCGACCAATACAATTTTGAGGGATACATCTCAGTAGAGATGGATCCATGAGTCCATTTTTAAACCATGACTGATTTGCTTTTTTGTATTTCTTTTGGTGTTCCTTCATCTTTTTCTCTTGGGGAAAGTCTCCCACTAATTTGTTCTTTTCCTTTCCATATGTTGACGTCTTTAAAAGGTACAGTGGGGGCCAGCCAGCCTTGGTAGATGGGCTAGGCAGAAGAATAATGTAATTTCAGTATTATTTGAAGCATATGGCAAAATAGTGCTTCTAAATGGTGCTTCTAATATGCACATTTAAAGAAACTGTTTGGGCCAGGTGTGGTGGCTTATGCCTGTAATCCCAGCACTTTGGGAGGCTGAGGTGGGCTGATCACTTGAGGTCAGGAGTTCAAGACCAGCCTGGCCAACATGGTGAAACCTCGTCTCTACTGAAAATACAAAAAATTAGATGGGCATGATGGCACTTACCTGTAGTCCCAGCTACTTGAGGAGAGGCTGAATCAGGAGAATCGCTTGAACCTGGGAGGCGGAGGTTGCAGTTAGCCAAGATTTCGCCACTGTACTCTAGCCTGGGTGACAGAGTGAGACTCCATCTCAATAAATAAATAAATAAATAAATAAACAAATAAATAAATAAAAATTAAAAATTAAAAAAAAGTTTTACATATCATAATTTTGCTGTAGGTGTGATAAATGACTTCATGCCTTTGCAAATAATATATAAATACATTTAAAAGTGATTAGTGTGTCCATTGCTGGTGGAAATATAACCCAAGAAAGCCATTGCGGGACAGCTTGGGAGTAGATAGTTGCACTTAGCAGAAGCAAGGTAGATTGAGAGGACTTGAGGCACTAAAGATCTTCTGGGGTAGAAATCGCAATGCATTATATTTCTCAACATTATAAGTGGGACTGTAAATTGGTGCTCCTTCCACTGGAAAATGGCTAAACTGCTCCCATCTGCCTCACTTACAGCAAGTGAGCTAAATCTTTATTATCTAGGATGAAAAGGTTTGCAGTGCATATTGTTGAAGGAGAAAAGGAAGCTGCACGATGGGAATGTTAACAATATGTGACATATACGTACCTATTCATGTAAATGTGAAGAAAATGAGGACAGTGGTTATCTCTGGGGAAGAGGCTAGAAAGGAAACTTTATTCCTTTTTTTTTTTTTTACAAGAACACATTCATGTATATGAAGGGAGAAAGATCAGGTTTTAAGTTACCTATGGTATAACAATTCCATTTTTCTTCTCCTCTTTCTTCACTCCCTTGATCCGCCTTCATCTGCTCCTTCTCCCCATTCATCTCCTTTTCTTCCTTTTATTGCTAGTTTAACAAGAGGAAAGCCATGTTTACATCAAAGCCAAGAAACTGGTCATATGTGCACAGTGTGTGATGCACAGTGGGTGATGTGATTCACAATTTTTAGATGCTAGTGGAGGAGTTAAGCCAAGGAGGTCAGAATGTGGTTGAATGAGTTGGGGTTGAAAATCAGCTGGGAGCAGTGGAAGGAGCCGGGCTCTGTGCAGATTGGCTCTCTGACTTGAGCCAGCCCTGGAGCCTTTCAGGGCCCTCAGCTATATCCCTTTGTAAAACAAGGGATGGTTTTTATTTATTTTTATTTTTTATTTTATTATATTTTATTTTTTTGAGACTCTTGTCGCCCAGGCTGGAGTGCAATGGTGTGATCTCGGCTTACTGCAACCTCCGCCTCCCGGGTCCAAGTGATTCTCCTGCCTTAGCCTCCCGAGTAGGTGGGATTACAGGCGCCCGCCACCATGCCCAGCTAATTTTTTTTTTTTGTACTTTTAGTAGAGACAGGGTTTTGCCATGTTGGCCAGGCTGGTCTCAAACTCCTGACTTCAGGTGATCCACCTGCCTCAGCCTCCCAAAATGCTGGGATTACAGGCGTGAGCCACCCGTGCCCCGCCTAAGGGATGGTTTTTAAGATCCTTCTTAAAATAATCCTTTTTTAAAAGACCCTCTTAAGGGTCTTTGATTCTTAAATGATTCCACTGAAAGTTAAGTCAAATTATCTCTGTTTGCAGATGACATGATTGTATGTTTAGAAAATCCCATCCTCTCAGCCCAAAAACTCCTTAAGCTGATAAGCATCTCCAGCAAAGTCTCAGGATACAAAATCATTGTGTAAAAATCACAAGCATTCCTATACACCAATAATAGACAGAGAGGCAAATCACAAGTGAACTCCCATTCACAATTGCTACAAAGAGAATAAAATACCTAGGAATACAACTTACAAAGGATATGAAGGACCTCTTCAAGGAGAACTACAAACCACTGCTCAAGGAAATAATAGAGGACACAAACAAATGGAAGAATATTCCATGCTCATGGAAAGGAAGAATCAAAATCATGAAAATGGCCATACTGCCCAAGGTAATTTATAGATTCAGTGCTATCCCCATCAAGCTACCATTAACTTTTTTTCACAGAATTAGAAACAACTACTTTAAATTTCATATGGAAACAAAAAGCCCACATTGCCAAGGCATTCCTAAGCCAAAAGAACAAAGCTGGAGGCATCACGCTACCTGACTTCATACTACAAGGCTATGGTAACCAAAACAGCATGGTACTTGTACCAAAATAGATATATAGACCAATGGAACAGAACAGAGGCCTCAGAAATAATGTCACACATCTACAACCATCTGATCTTTGACAAACCTGACAAAAACAAGCAATGGGGAAAGGATTCCCTATTAATAAATGGTGTTAGGAAAACTAGCTAGCCATAATCAGAAAACTGAAACTTCCTTACACCTTATACAAAAATTAACTCAAGATGAATTAAAGACTTAAACATAAGACCTAAAACCATGAAAACCCTAGAAGGAAACCTAGGCTATACCATTCAGGACATATGCATGGGCAAAGACTTCATGACTAAAACACCAAGAGCAATGGGAACAAAAGCCAAAATTGACAAATGAGCTCTAATTAAACTAAAGAGCTTCTGCACAGCAAAAGAAACTATCATCAGGTTGAACAGTTAACCTACAGAATAGGAGAAAATTTTTGCTATCTATCCATCTGACAAAGGGCTAAATCTACAAGGAACTTAAACAAATTTACAAGAAAAAAAACAACCCCATCAAAAAGTGGGCAAAGGATATGAACAGACACTTCTCAAAAGAAGACATTTATGTGGCCTACAAACATATGAAAAAAGCTCATCATCACTGGTCATTAGAGAAATGCAAATCAAAACCACAATGAGATACCATCTCATGCCAGTTAGAATGGCGATCATTAAAAAGTCAGGAAACAACAGATGCTAGAGAGGATGTGGAGAAATAGGAACACTTTTACACTGTTGGTGGGAGTGTAAATTAGTTCAACCATTGTGGAAGACAGTGTGGCGATTCCTCAACAATCTGGAACTAGAAATACCATTTGACCCAGCAATGCCATTACTAGGTATATACCCAAAGGATTATAAATCATTCTACTATAAAGACACATGCACAAGTATGTTTATTGCAGCACTGTTCACAATAGCAAAGACTTGGAACCAACCCAAATGCCCATCAGTGATAGACTGGATAAAGAAAATGTGGCACATACACACCATGGAATAGTATGCAGCCACAAAAAAGGATGAGTTCATGTCCTTTGCAGGGACATGGATGAAGCTGGAAACCATTATTCTCAGCAAACTAACACAGGAACAGAAAACCAAACACTGTATGTTCTCACTCATAAGTGGGAGTGGAACGAGAACACATGGACACAGGGAGGGAAACATCACACACCGGGGCCTTTTGAGGGGTAGAGGGCTAGGGGAGGGATAGCATTAGGAGAAATACCTAATGTAGATGATGGGTTGATGGGTGCAGTAAACCACCATGGCACGTGTATAGCTATGTAACAAACCTGCACGTTCTGCACATATATCCCAGAACTTAAAGTGTAATTAAAAAAAGAAGAAAGAAAGTTAAGGGCTTTGATCATAACAATGAATAAAAGCCTACTGCTGGCCGGGTGCGGTGGCCTGTGCCTGTAATCCCAGCACTTTGGGAGGCCGAGGAGGGTGGATCACCTGAGGTCAGCAGTTCCAGACCAGCCTGACCAACATGGTGAAACCCCATCTCTACTATAAAAATAGAAAAAAATTAGCTGGGCATGGTGGCTCATGCCTGTAATCCCAGCTACTTGGAAGGCTGAGGCAGGAGAATTGCTTGAACCCAGGAGGCGGAGGTTGCAGTGAGCCGAGATCGCACCATTGTACTTCAGCCTGGGCAACAAGAGCAAAACTCCATCTCAAAAACAAAACAAAACAAAACCTACTGCATATACAGTATAGTACTTAGATCCTTGTCCTGATTCCTCCATGCCTGCTTCTTGGTAAATGAAAATTGACCACATTTCTTTTCTTTTTCTTTTTTTCTTTTCATTGATCTAAGAAAAATTGGCCACATTTCTCAGACTGGTGACTGTATACCACCTGGGACGTCTCAGACAACTTGTCCATATTCTTACCCAAGGTCACTAGTCGCACATAGCACTCCTATGTGGGAAGGAGAGAAAGATCCGCAACAAAGTGAACCAACTAAAGGCTGAGCATGGGAGCTCACACCTGTAATCCTGGCACTGTTAAAGATTGAGGCAGGCGGATCACTTGAGGTCAGGAGTTGAAGACCAGCCTGGCCAACGTGATGAAACTCTGTCTCTACTAAAAATACAAAAATTAGCCAGGAGTGGCAGGCGCCTGTAATCCCAGCTACTCTGGAGGCTGAGGCAGGAGAATTGCTTGAAGCCAGGAGGCGGACATTACAGTAAGGTGAGATCGTGCCGTTGCACTCCAGCCTGGACTAGTGACAGAGTGAGACTCCATCTCAAAACAAAGCAAAACAAAAACAAAGTGAACCAACTAGAAAAAGGTACCCCTTTCTCCATAATGATACAGCCCCACTTAGGTATTTCAGACCTGGATTTTAACCAAAGGTAACAGCTCTGCTCCCATTCTGCCCCTGACCAAGGATCTTTTTCTCCTCCTTTGACTTGCATTTCTCTCCCACCCATCTTTCTCCCGTTTCTAAAAAGTGTCATGCTTACCCGCTCTCCTCCCCAGATGGTGGCAGAGGCAGGCATTGGTCCTTGAAGCTGCCAGTCCTCACTTGCCCTATGCCTCAAGTTCTGGGGTTTGCTGAAGCATTCTATTTAGTTGTGTACCAGTGTGGTTTCTTAGGTCTGGTAAAGCTCTTTGGCCCTGCTCACTTCAGTTCTGTTCAGGTGCCCACCATCATGGTTCTTTGAGACGTCCTCTAAGTGACCATTGTGTATTGTCCAACATGAGTAACCGCTCTTTTCTTCTGAAAGCCCTGTGCCCTTGGCTTTGCACAGTTCATCAACCCTATTCACCTATTTTTGAATGTGATTTTTGTTTGTGTTTAGTCCAGGACCCCTCCCACCCCATCCCGATGGGTGTTACTCATGTAGACTTAGCTGTCATCTTCACATTCGACATACTTCTTCTCTGTGCTCAGTCCTGTACAAGGAGCCCCTCACTCCACAATTAGAGATGAGACTTAAAAGCTGAATGTTCCTACCGCTTCATATCTTCTAAAATAGCTTAATTTAAAAACAAAAGAATATAACAAGTGTTGGCAAGGATGTGAGAAATTGGAACACTGTACATTGCTGATGGGAATATAAAAATGCTGCTGTGGGAAAATGTTTGGTGGTTCCTTAAAAAGTTAAAAATGGAATTAGTACACCAGCTAGTGCCTTAGTCCGTTCATGCTGCTATAACAAAAGATCTTAGACTGGGTAATTTATAATAACAGAAATTCATTTCTTACAGTTCTAGAGGCTGGAAGGTCCAAGATCAAGGTGGCAGCAGGTTGGGGGTCTGGCAAGGGCTCCCTGCTTCAAAGACGGAGTATATGCTACACCCTCACATGGTGGGAAGGGTGAATACCTCCCTCAGACCTCTGTTAGAAGAGCGCTAATCCAATTTAACACCTCCAAAGGCCTCACCTCTTAGTACAGTTGTGTGATGGGGATACGTTCTGAGAAATGTATTGTCAGGAGATTTTGTCATTCTATAACATTATAGACCATACTTACACAAATCTAGATGGTATAGCTTTGTACACACCCAGGCCATATGGTATGGCCTATTGCTCATAGGCTATAAACCTGTACAACCTGTTACTGTACTGGACACTGTAGGCAACTGTAACACAACAGTAAATATTTGTGTATTTAAGCATATCTAAACCTGGAAAAGTATCAGGAAAAATGTGGCATAAAAGCTCCATTATAATATGGGTCCACTGTCATATGTGTGGCTCATTGTTGACTGAAATGTCATTTTGTTGCAAATAATGATACTATCACATTGATGATTAAGTTTTAACATATGAATTTTGTGTGTGGGGGTGACACATTCAGACCATAGTACCCAGCAACAATTAATGTATGAATAGACAAAATAAATGTAGTATATCCTTTCAATGGAATGTTATCCAACCATAAAAAAGAATAAGTTACTGGTATATGCTGTAATATGGATGAACCTTAAAAACATTATGCTAAATGAAAAAATAAGCTAGATACAAAAGGACATATATTGTATGATTCCATTTATGTTATGTGAAATATTTAGAATAGATAAAATCATAAAGACAAAAGGCAGATTGGTGAATGCCAGGGGCTGAGGGAGGGAGAAATGAGGAGTGACTGCTTAATGAGAATAGTGTTTCTTTTTGGGGTGATGAAAACATTTTGGAACTAGATAGAGGTGATGGTTGCCCATTATGAAATGTACTAAATGCCACTGAATTGTACACTTTAAAATGGTTAGTTTTATGGTATGTGAATTTTACCTCAATTTTTTAAAGTTCAGAAAAAAAAAGCTTTGAGTCTGTGAAACAAACAAACCCCAAAATCAACCAAACAAAAAGTAAGTTAAAAAAATTAGGGATGAGTTTCCAATATGACAGTCACTGGCCACATTTAGTTGGCTGTTGAGCACAGGAAATGTGCCTAGCCCAAACTGAGGCTTGTTGTGAGTGTGAAATTTACACTGATCTTCAAGGCTTTGGTATGAACAAAATAATGTAAACTAGGCTGGACGCGGTGACTCATGCCTATAATCCCAGCATTTTGGGAGGCTGAGGCAGGAGGATTGCTTGAGGCCAGCAGTGTGAGATCAGCCTGGGCAACATAGTGAGACCACCATCTCTACCAAAAAAAAAAAAAAATTATAATAATAAATAAAGCCAGGCATGGTGGTGCATGCCTGTAATCCTAGCTATTCAAGAGGCTGAGGCAGGAGGCTCCCTTAAGCCTGGAAGTAGGAGGCTGCAGCAAGCTGGTCCCACCACTACACTCTAGCCTGGTTGACAGAGTAATACCCTGTCTCTAAGAAAAAAAAAAAGTAAACTATCTCATTAATGATATTTAATAGTGATTACATGTTCAAATGACAATATTTTGAATACATTGCATTAAATAAGATAGATTATTAAAATTTTTAAAAAGTTGAATGCCCATGGAGACATAACAGAGAGGCTTAAATCCATACCAAAATCTGCAAGATAAAATAATATCATTTTAAAGCTGGGAAGAAACTTTCAAATATAATCTTTACTTAAAAATAGGTTTTGGTTAGGATGGGAAAGCTGACAAAGGGCAACGAAGGGGGAAACTAGAAAGAGTCCTCGCTTTGTGTAGGCACAGGGGAAAAGGCTGGCTTGGCTGGGGAGGATTATTGGGAGCTGGACAATGTCCAGTCTTTTTTACGCCTTCATTAAACTTTTTTTTTTTTTTAACCATTATTTAATACAGACCTTATCTTTAAAAACACAAAAGCAGGCGGGCGCAGTGGCTCATGCCTATAATCCCAGAACTTTGGGAGGCCTGAGACGAGTGGATCACCTGAGGTCAGGAGTTTGAGACCAGCCTGGCCAACATGGTGAAACCCCGTCTCTACTAAAAATACAAAAATTAGCTGGGTGTGGTGGTGAGCGCCTGTAATCCCAACTACTCGGGAGGCTGAGGCAGGAGAATCGCTTGAACCTGGGAGGCAGAAGTTGCAGTGAGCTGAGACTGCACCAAAGAACTCCAGCCTGGGCTGTAAGAAAGAAACTCTGTCTCAAAAAAAAAAAAAAAAAAAGTAAATGGAGCCAGGCATGGTGGCATGTACCTAGTCCCAGCTACTTGGGAGGCTGTGGTGGGAGGATCACTTCAGTCCAGCCTGGAAAACATAGCTAGACCATGTCTCTTAAAAAAGGATTGTGAAAAAAATAAGTGCAAGTAAATTAGAATGATTCATAATTAACCTTGCAATAAGAATTACTGGTTAATTCTTATTTAATTCTTAGTTAATAAGAATAAGAGAGGAGCTTGGGCAGCATCCATAGACTGCAGTGTTTTTATAGCTACTCCTATGATCAAAGAAGCAGCAGGGAGCCTCTTAAATGGTCATTTAAAAAGCTTTAAGTTCTCCTGATTGTATATCTGTAGTCAAAAGAAGTGTCAGAGGCTGGGTGTGGTGGCTTATGCCTGCAATCCCAGCACGTTGGGAGGCTGAAGCAGGCAGATCACCTGAGGTTGGGAGTTCCGAGACCAGCCCGGCCAACATGGTGAAACCTCATCTTACTAAAAATACAAAGATGAGCCAGGTATGGTGGTGGGTGCCTGTAATCCCAGCTACTCAGGAGGCTGAGGCAGGGGAATTGCTTGAACTCGGGAGGTAGAGGTTGCAGTGAGCCAAGATCGTACCACTGCATTTCAGCCTTCCAGCCTGGGTGACAGAGTGAGACTCCATCTCAAAGAGAAAAGAAAAAGAAAAAGTGCAAGAGCTTAAACGAGATGTGTGACCACATTTATCCCAGTTTGCAAGGACATACTTGGAAGAGGCCACTTTATTTTTTGCCCTTTTTACTTAATACTCATCTTTCTGTTTTACATTTTTTTCCTGCAGATCAGCAATGTCTTATTTTTCATTTTACCGCCCATCTGCATGTGCTTGTTTCGTCAGTATGCAACATGCTTCAACAGTGGCATCTACTTAATCTGGACTCTTTTGGTTGTAGTGGGTAAGTGGAGTCATTTGGGAACACGGACTTAATGGGGTGGTGGGATGGGGGTAGAAGGAATTCCACACACTTCCTCTCCCCTTTGAACATAATGTTTTGTAAACTGAAGTCACTCTGAGGTCTTAGCAAACTTTTTTTTCCCACTTGCTTGAATGCAGGCTTGATAACAAAGTTGGCATTACTGTCACTTGCGTGCATTTGAGACTTCATTTGTGTAGTAGCTATTAGGGCTATGCCAGTGCAATTTTCTGAACGTCTGAAGAAAGTCAGGTGAAACAACTGAACTCTGGGGAGGCTGGTTTCTAATGGACTAAAATTAAAGAAAAAAATGTAGATGTTTGATCCCTCATTGTTTTGTGAAATACTTGTGTCATTTCCATTTCCTCCCACAGGCAGCCTGGGAATTCTTAACAGTGAAGGAATGTTGACTTTTATTTACTGCCTCTTCCCAGAAAGGCTCAGTGGATGAAGACAGAATGCGTTTAACTGTGGAATTGTTAAAGTTCTGATGTGCTGATATTTGGGCCCTAGTTGAAATCTTCTTTCTAGACTGGAGGCATGCATGCTTGGGTGGTGTGAGTTTCTTTCTTCAGTTTCTTTTTTCAGAGAGAGAGTGATCTGGTGACTGTGTTAACCATTGGTGAAAGGACTATCCTTAAGCAGTGTATTGAATTTGTGTCTCTTCTGTGGTGACCTTTTTTTATTGGTTGTAATTGATTCTAGGAATTGGATCCGTCTACTTCCATGCAACCCTTAGTTTCTTGGGTCAGATGCTTGATGAACTTGCAGTCCTTTGGGTTCTGATGTGTGCTTTGGCCATGTGGTTCCCCAGAAGGTATCTACCAAAGATCTTTCGGAATGACCGGTAAGCTTGCACTAAACATTATTGCATTTACCACTAGGTGCAGTACCCAATATAACAATGTATATATGAAGAAAAATAGCACATGATTGAACTCAGCCTAGTGATGAGCTTATCATATACTTGTTCAATATCTACTGATTGTTTTTATGATCTGACAATATAAGTAAACTGACAGATTAAAGAGAGAATTTTAATAATGCAGAGTGCATCACCTCTCTGTACCCAAAGTACATCACCTCTCTGTACCCAGTGGTTTAAGAATTAGCAAGAGTGGAAAGACCTTCAGTGGGGGTGACATTACTGAATGCTTATTCAATACTCTTTGATTTTCTGCTACAACATTTCCTTGAGACTAATCCAACTCCACCAGTTTTATACATATGAAGTAGAATCCAGACTGATGAACTGGTTCTTGGAGCTACAGATACTGTAGTTTTCAAGTTGCCTTTTTTTTTGCTTCAGATGAGAGCTGTGCACCTGCGTGCGTGCGCGTGCACACACACACATACACACTCATATACTGTATATATGTTCAAACTGGAAACCCAGAATTTCAGGAAGGGATGCATTTTAATAGCCATTGTGTTAGGGTTATACAGGTATTCATCCAGCAAATATTTTTGAACACTTATATTTTACTGTGCATTTTGCTAGGCACTGGAATATCACAGTAAACAAAACAGCAGTCTTCCTCTAATGAGCTTACACTGAAGTTGGGGAGATTACAAATCAACAAACAAGTAAATAATATAATATTAGGATATGTTAGGTACTGTGATGAAAAGTGAAGCTGATAAGGGTATAGTGGTGACTTAGGGTGCTGATTTAGAGTTTGGTCAGAGAAAGTCTTTCTGAGGAGCTGTGTGAGGTTTGTTACTATCTAGAGGCACAGAGGAGATTCAGCCCAATGAAGATGAGAAACGCTCCTGGAACACATTACCCACATTTTCTGTAGGACACTGTTTTGTCAAAATATACATATATGGCTAAATAGTCTGAAACTATGGATTCAGTGAAGCAAACGGTATGTGCCCATGGAAGAGTTATACCAGGAAAAGAAAATAATTCATTACAGTTTTACTGGCACTCTGAAAAGGAACAGGAGCTGTGAAGCTGCTGAGGACTAAGGCTGCTGCTATCTGTGGACTCAAATGGAGAAGCGTCTATGAAAAATGCTGGCTGCAAGGGGCACATTATATAATTCTATGTGTGATATCCTAATTTTAGAATGAATGAACTAAACTCTTTCTGAGTATGTTTTTGTATTAGCACAAAAATGCCTGGGAGGTGAGGACACCTAACTACAGCCATTGGCTGTTCTTGGGCATTGCCAGCAGAGAGGAACAGCCGCTTTTACCTTTCATCTGAACTGGTTGACTTTTTTTTTAAAAAAAAAAAAACAAAATTAACACATTAATCTCTTTCTTTCTTTCTCTTTCTTTCTTTCTTTTTCTGTCTTTCTTTCTCTTTCTTTCTTTCTTTTTCTTTCTTTCTGTCTTTGTCTTTCTCCCTCTCTTTCTCTCTCTCTCTCTCTCTCTCTCTCTCTCTCTCCTCCTTTCCCTTCCCCTCCTTTCCCCTCCCTTCCCCTTCCCCTCCTGTCTTGAAAGATACCCACCAGTCACCATGATGCTTTCTCTAAACCTGGTGTACGTTAGATTGAGAGCTGAGGAATCGCTTTTCTCAGATATCTTATTTTTCAAGTCTGAGTAAGAAATTGAAGAAATGGGAATAAACGTTTTGTGTATTTGTTTGTGACATTCTTGAGGCCTGGGTTGAAATTCCAAGGGACAGTTTTTAATGTATTCCTTATAGAAAACCTTTTTTTTCTTTTCTTTTCTTGATTCTTGGAGGTAGGGGGAAAGTTGTTTGAGCAGGAAAGAAGAAAATGGGGTGATGACATTGGTAGTTAAAGCTTACCAACTTTAATAATGAAAACAGAGCCAGTTGGGGTGGTGCACGCCTGTAGTCCCAGCCACTCAAAAAGCTGAGGCAGGAAGATCTCTTGAGCCCAGCGTGGGCAACACAGTGAAACCCCATTAAAAAAATAGAAAAAAAATAATGAAAGCATATTGTGAGGCAGAGTTGTCTGTGACTATTGGGACTTTTTCATCACCAGCAGCCTGCAGCATTTCTCTGGGGAAGATGTGAAGATATAGCCACTCTGTCCTCCTTTGGAGGCACTGGGTACCATATGTGTATATATCCCTGGCTTTGGAAGCAATCTGGGTTTGAATCCTAGCTTTACAACTTGCAGACTGTATGACTTGTCTTGACTCTTTCTATTTCCCTATCTGTAAAATTAGGTAAACAATAGTGTTCATCTTTGAGACGATCCTGTAGGGCACTTAGCATAATACTAAGCAACATGGAGAGGGCTCAGTCAAAGTTAGCTCTCCTGACTGCCTGGGGCATGGAGAGGAGAGTTCTGCCTAGCATTTCTGAGATATGCATACAAATCGATGGAGATAATGTACATTGACAATTTTAATGAGCAAAGAAATAAAAGGTACATGTTAAGGGAAAAGTAAAAAAGGATTTCAAGTCTATTTGCACATCTTCAATTTTCCAGTGACCAGGGAGGGCAAGAAGGCCAAGCCCCTTTGCTTGTACTTCACTCCCCATGACACGGGACAGGTGGCAGCTCTGCAGTGGAAGTGGCAGACCAGACCAAAAAATTCATGTCAAAACCAGGATTTCTGTAGATCAGGGATTTCCGGTTTTTCTGCCTGAACTTACCAAATAGTAAACGTTTATCTCCTTTTCTTTCTTTCTCCCTTCCCTCCCTCCCCCCCTCCTTTCTTTTCTCTTCTCTTCTCTTCTCTTCTCTTTTCTTTCTTTTCTCTGAGACGGACTGTCTCTCTGTTGCCCAGGCTGGAGTGCTGTGGCACAATCTGGTCTCACTGCAAGCTCCACTTCCTATGTTCACGCCATTCTCCTGCCTCAGCCTCCCGAGTAGCTGGGACTACAGGCGCCCGCCACCACGCCTGGCTAATTTTTTGTATTTTTAGTAGAGATGGGGTTTCACCATGTTAGCCAGGATGGTCTCGATCTCCTGCCCTTGTGATCTGCCCACATTGGCCTCCCAAAGTGCTGGGATTACAGGTGTGAGCCATCATGCCCTTCCTTTCCTTTCCTTTTTCCTTTTTCCTTTCCTTTCCTTTTTCCTTTTTCCTTTCCTTTCCTTTCCTTTCCTTTCCTTTCCTTTCCTTTCCTTTCCTTTCCTTTCCTTTCCTTTCCTTCTCTCTCTCTCTCTCTTTCTTTCTCTTTCTTTTCTTTTCTTTTTTTCTTGATCTAGACTTTGCTGGAATATTCTTTTTTGTTTCATTTTGTTTTTTCTTTTTTTGAGACAGAGTTTCACTCTTATTGCCCGGGCTGGAGTGCAATAGTACGATCTCGGCTCACTGCAACCTCTGCCTCCCAGGTTCAAGTGATTCTCCTGCCTCAGCCTCCCGAGTCGCTGGGATTCCAGGTGCATGTCACCACATGTGGCTAATTTTTGTATTTTTAGTAGAGACGGGGTTTTGCCATGTTGGCCAGGCTGGTCTCGAACTCCTCACCTCAGGTGATCTGCCTGCCTTGGCCTCCCAAAGTACTGGGATTACAGGTATGAGCCACCATATCTGGCCTTTGCTGGAATATTCTAAACACACATTAAAAACAGTTTTAATGTGAGATTTTTGGAGAAGAGACAGGAGAGTGTGGTGGCTAAGTAAGTTTGGATCAGACAACATGGCTTTGAATAACAATTAACCTAAAAAAAAAAGGCTCTGGGACCCTGTTTTGCTTGTCTATAAATTGGAGATGACAAAAGTATCTTCCTGATGGGATCAGAAATACATGGGAAAATTACGTAAGGCCTATAGTACAATGGCTCACACAGAGTAAAGACTCAGTAAGTTCTGGTGGTTATTATGAATGGCTTATGGACAAGTGGGTTTTTTTTTTTTTTTTTTTTTTTTTTTTTTTGAGATGAAGTCTTGCTCTGTCACCCAGGCTAGAGAGCGGTGGTGCGATCTTGGCTGACTACAACCTCTGCCTCCTGGGTTCAAATGATTCTCCTGCCTCAGCCTCCCAAGTAGCTAGAATTACAGGCACTTGCCACCATGCCCAGCTAATTTTTGTATTTTTAGTAGAGACAGGGTTTCACCAGGTTGGCCAGGCTGGTCTCGAACTCCTGACCTCATGATCCGCTCGCCTCGGCCTCCCAAAGTGCTGGGATTACAGGCATGAGCCACTGTGCCTGGCCTGAATTTTTTATTGATATGTAATAGTTGTACATATTTTATGTAGGGAAATTATTAATGTTCATTATGTCAATAGGATATAAATGTTGGGTTTATAGAAAAAAACTTTCTTTCATCTTGCCTAAAATGTCCTGAGACTCTTTAGGACATATACTGAATTGCTGATGGTTATTAATAATTTTTAGAGTTTTTATTTTAAGAAAAAAATGAGAACAAGGAACTATTATAGGCTAATTGTATCTACTTTTTTTGTTTTGTTTTTTGGAGACAGGATCTCACTCTGTTGCCCAGGCTGGAGTGCAGTGGCACAGTCATGGCTCACTGCAACCTCTGCTTCCTGCGCTCAAGTGATCCTCCTACCTCAGCCTTCCAAGTGGCTGGGACCACAGCTGCCTGTCACTGCACCTGGCTAATTTTTGTATTTTTTGTAGAGACAAGGTTTTACCATGTTGCCCAGGCTGGTCTCAAACTCCTGGGCTCAAGAGATACTCCCACCTTGGCCTCCCAAAGTTCTGGGATAACAGGCATGAGCCACTGTGCCCAACCTTGTATCCACTTCTTAAATAATTTATTCTGCTATAGTTTTTATGATTTTATCTTTAGATAAAATCCACTTTATTTTTTGAATCTTGAATAGCAAGGGAGCAGTCTGGGATCTGCCCGCCCTGCTAGCATTCTTCCTGGATGAGTTGAGGCTGGAATCTTAAACTCTCTGGGCCTTAGTGCTTTAGTTATAAAATAACAGGGTTGAAGTAGCTCTCTGAGGTCCGTTTCATGACCAAATGCTATATTGCTGTAACTATCAAGGGCTGGCTGTTCTAAATAGATTATGTTTTGGTAGCTTATAGCAGTGGATCTTAACCAGGGACATTTCCAGTTCTTATGAGACATTTATAAAGCTTGTGGACATGTTTTTGGTGGTCATTACGATGGGAGGTTTTATCATCTATAAATTTCATTTCATTTCAGAAATGAAATGAAATTATCACTGCTTTAAAGAGTAGCCAATGATAGTGGTTTTCAAGCCTATACCCTGTGTCCCTTTTTACTGTGTAAAAAAGCCAATGATAGTGGTTTTCAAGTCTGAAAACAAAGCTTTACTTTGGTTAAAAGGGACACAGGCTATAGGCTTGAAAACCACTACTTTAAAGGGTAGTAAATGATAACAGTAACAGCTTTACTATAAAAATATTTTGATGATGGTACTGGGTTGTTAGATTTTGGATTAGAGAATACAGGAAGCAGTGATGCTAAGGGTTTCCTGACCTTGTGTTTCAGTGTGAGACCCTAATGGGCTGGAAAGTTGAAAACAGGACCAGAGGCTGTCATCAATCACAGTTTAGAAAAACACCCTGTTGGGGCCTCTTACTCCTGGATATTTCTAGCTCTCTTGTACCCAGGGCCTCTGTTGACTCTGGGGTCTGCTGGGCTGGCTGACTGGTTTTCTGCTGGCCACATAGCCTCTGTTTACTTCTCCCGGCTGCTTGTGTTCACAGGATGTCCTTGTTGGCCAGCACATTCCTGTACACCTTCTGGACTTGACGTGGGGAGGCATCTGCAGATGGCCTCCCTAAAGAAAGCATGTTTTGCAGCTGGGTGCAGTAGCTCATGCCTGTAATCTCAGCACTTTGGGAGGCTGAGGCAGGTGGATCACCTGAGGTCAGGAGTTTGAGACTAGCCTGGCCAGCATGGTGAAACCCCATCTCTACTAAAAATACATAAATTAGCTTAGGGTGGTGGCAGGTGCCTGTAATCCCAGCTACTCCGGAGGCTGAGGCAGGAGAATCGCTTGAACCCAGGAGGCAGAGGTTTCAGTGAGCTGAGATCGCACCACTGCTCTCCAGCCTGGGTGACAGAGTGAGACTCTGTCTCAAAAAAAACAAAAAAACAAAAAACCCAACAAAACCAAACAACAACAACAACAAAAACCCATGTTTTTTTCAAGCTTACTGCCTTTAAACCATTTGGCAGTACTCTGTGGAGCCTTTGGTGATTGCAACAGCAGCTCAGTTACGTTTTCCCTGAGAGTATGATATCAACAACAATAATATTATTTAAAGTGGTATTTATATTTAAAATGATGGTAAGGATAACAGTAATAATGAATTTTATTAGTACATAATATGTACTGGGCACTGTGTTAATGCTTACAAAAACACTGTGAGGCAGAGTGTCTTAATTTTTATGTGGGAAAGGCTCAAAGAGTTGAGTTACTTGCCAAAGGTCTCACAGCTACTAAGCAATGGAGGCAGGATTTGAATGCATATCGGTCTCACTGGAACACCTATGCCTTGAATCACTCTGTTACCCTCTCTGACCTGTGCGTAATTCTTAAACCGCTGGGTACAGAGAGGTGATGCACTTTGGGTACAGAGAGGTGACGCACTCTGGACATTTCTGATTATGTGTTTATCCTAATGAAAAAGGCCCAATTGCCTTGGCATGCGTCAAACCCAGTGGAAGAGTTATTGTGGGTCCCCAAGGGCCCTGCACGTGATGGCTGTGGGCCCTCACCCTGAGGCTGGAGCAGGCGGCCTTTCCTCCAGTAGACGAAGAACAGCAGCCGAGGCCAGGAGAAAAACATGCCTCTCCTGAGGATTAGCTGCCTGGAGCCTTTCCCACATATATTTTTTCCTCTGGTAGAGGTTCAGAGCTATAATTCCTGTTCATTCCAGTCTGAAAGTTGGCAGTTTGATCAATGATTTCCTGTGCCTTGATGATGAATGGCTTTCGTATTTAAAAGATAAATTTGTATTTTGAGGGTTCAATGCCCTTTGATTTCTTTATAATGGAATTTCATTCAAATTGGCTTCTTAACTGTGACCTGTTCCAGGGGCTCTTGGCCAAAGTAAATTGTGCTAATGAGGAATAACAGAAACTTCAGGAAAATCATGTACTCCTAAATTGAAGTCATGAATGAGGCCTTGGAAATCATCTAGTCCAGCCTTTTCGTTTTACAGATAAGGAAATGGGTCCCAGGGAGAGAAGAAAGAGCGTGTCTAGGATCACGTCGCCACTTCCGGCTCTTTCTACTGAAATGACCTCCACTGAGGGGTGTGAAGATAGTATCAATTATTTGTCTAAGACTTGTCATTTCAAAAACTTGTCGATGTAAATTCTAGTGCATACTAGACTTGTAGGTTGTCAGTAAATATAGACTATTTTTTCTTAGTCTATTGGAATTTTTTCTTAAAACTTTTTTTGGGTGTGCTAGACATGTAGGACAAATTTTCTTTTAAACTAGGTTGCTTTATGGTTTGTGAATGGTCTCTGTTTTACTTATGAAAGTTATACATGTTCACTTTGTAGAACGGGGGGTGACAAACTATGTCCTGTGGGCCAAAAGGGTTCTGTTTTGCAAATCAGGTTTTATTGGCACCCAGCCATGCTCCTTCATTTACTTATTCTCTGTAATGACAGAGTTGAGTAGTTGAGACCTTAGGACCTGCAAAACCTATATATATATGTGTGTGTGTGTGGGTGTATGTGTGTGTATATATATGATTTATTAAATATAATTTTTATTTAATATAATTACACATATTTATTAATGCACATATTTAATTATACTTATAACCATATAGTTATGCTATATATAGATATGTATAATATAGTTATATATAAAATATATAATATATATTCTTTACACATATATATAAATATATTTAATTAAAAATATACATATATAAAATTTATTTTATTTTTAGGTTATAGCTTACTGTAAACTCAAACTCCTGGGCTCAGGCCATCCTCCTACTTTGGCCTCCCAAAGTGCTAGGATTACAGGTGTGAGCCACCATACCCAGCCCAAACCCAAAAACCCTTCATAGAAAAAAATTGTTAAACCCTGCTGTAGAACGTCTGAAAAAATACAGAGAAATCGAACATCTGAAAACATACGGAAAAATCGCACGAAGAAAACAGCTATCCATATCTCACCTTCAGTGAAGTAGGTTGACTGTAATTTTACCATTCTCATGGCCAAATAATTTTGAAAATATCTGATTATTTCCTAAGGCTAAGTTTCTCGAAGTGGAATTCCTAGGCCAGTGAGTGTGAGTGGCTTTTTTTTTTTTTTTTTTTTTTTTATTGATCATTCTTGGGTGTTTCTCACAGAGGGGGATTTGGCAGGGTCATAGGACAATAGTGGAGGGAAGGTCAGCAGATAAACAAGTGAACAAAGGTCTCTGGTTTTCCTAGGCAGAGGACCCTGCGGCCTTCCGCAGCGTTTGGGTCCCTGGGTACTTGAGATTAGGGAGTGGTGATGACTCTTAATGAGCATGCTGCCTTCAAGCATCTGTTTAACAAAGCACATCTTGCACCGCCCTTAATCCATTTAACTCTGAGTGGACACAGCACATGTTTCAGAGAGCACAGGGTTGGGGGTAAGGTCACAGATCAACAGGATCCCAAGGCAGAAGAATTTTTCTTAGTACAGAACAAAATGAAAAGTCTCCCATGTCTACCTCTTTCTACACAGACACGGCAACCATCCGATTTCTCAATCTTTTCCCCACCTTTCCTCCCTTTCTATTCCACAAAGCCACCATTGTCATCCTGGCCCGTTCTCAATGAGCTGTTGGGCACACCTCCCAGATGGGGTGGTGGCCGGGCAGAGGGGCTCCTCACTTCCCAGTAGGGGCGGCCGGGCAGAGGCACCCCTCACCTCCCGGATGGGGCGGCTGGCCGGGCGGGGGGCTGACCCCCCCACCTCCTTCCCGGACGGGGCGGCTGGCCGGGCAGAGGGGCTCCTCACTTCCCAGTAGGGGCGGTCGGGCAGAGGTGCCCCTCACCTCCCGGACGGGGCGGCTGGCCGGGTAGGGGGCTGACCTCCTCCAGGACGGGGCGGCTGGCCGGGCAGGGGGCTGACCCCCCCACCTCCCTCCCGGACGGGGTGGCTGCCGGGCGGAGACGCTCCTCACTTCTCAGACGGGGCGGCTGCCGGGCGGAGGGTCTCCTCACTTCTCAGACGGGGCGGCCGGGCAGAGACGCTCCTCACCTCCCAGACGGGGTGGCGGCCGGGCAGAGGCGCTCCTCACATCCCAGACAGGGCGGCGGGGCAGAGGCGCTCCCCACATCCCAGATGATGGGCGGCCGGGCAGAGACGCTCCTCACTTCCTAGATGTGATGGCGGCCGGGAAGAGGCGCTCCTCACTTCCCAGATGGAATGGCAGCCGGGCAGAGATGCTCCTCACTTTCCAGACTGGGCAGCCAGGCAGAGGGGCTCCTCACATCCCAGACGATGGCCGGCCAGGCAGAGACGCTCCTCACTTCCCAGACGGGGTGGCGGCCGGGCAGAGGCTGCAATCTCGGCACTTTGGGAGGCCAAGGCAGGCAGCTGGGAGGTGGAGGTTGTAGCGAGCCGAGATCACGCCACTGCACTCCAGCCTGGGCGCCATTGAGCACTGAGTGAACCAGACTCCGTCTGCAATCCCGGCACCTCAGGAGGCCGAGGCTGGCGGATCACTCGCGGTTAGGAGCTGGAGACCAGCCTGGCCAACACAGCGAAACCCCGTCTCCACCAAAAAAATACGAAAACCAGTCAGGTGTGGCGGTGCGCGCCTGCAATTGCAGGCACTCCGCAGGCTGAGGCAGGAGAATCAGGCAGGGAGGTTGCAGTGAGCCGAGATGGCAGCAGTATAGTCCAGCTTCGGCTCGGCATGAGAGGGAGACCCTCTCTTTTTTTTTTTAAGACGAAGTCTCGCTCTGTCGCCGTGAGTGGCTTTTTGAACCTTGGTACTTAGCGCAGAATTTCTTTTCAGCTTGTATTTCTGGCAATGCCTGTACCTTGCTAACATTAAACAAACAAACAAACAAGAACTCCTTTTCTAATGGATTTGGTTTTGCTTTCATGGATTCAGGGGTAGGTTCAAGGTGGTGGTCAGTGTCCTGTCTGCGGTTACGACGTGCCTGGCATTTGTCAAGCCTGCCATCAACAACATCTCTCTGATGACCCTGGGAGTTCCTTGCACTGCACTGCTCATCGCAGAGCTAAAGAGGTAGGTGCCATCATTCCTGCCTACCCTTAGCTGTCCCCGTGCTGGGAACACACCAGTTCGGGGCTTCTTTGCTGTCCTGTAGCAGAAGAGGAGTTTTATTCCTTGTGAAGAGTTAGTTGCTGACTGTTGGATGGAAGCAATTTGATGGTTTGGTTCAAAATACTGGTAATCTCATTTTCAGTAGGAGGGGAGCAGCTGTTGAGCAGATGCAGTGCATCCCACTGATCACAAGCTAGCTTACCAGGACCATCTCAGTACCTAGATCAAGCTGTCTAGACTTAATTCTGTAGAAAAGAAAAGTCCTAGAAAGGTTATCGCATTCACACACAGAAGGAAAAAGAGGAAGGGGGCAGGGAAAGTGAGTTTGTATCTATAAGGAAATATGCACTTCAGGTGGACTGCAGTTGACTATGATACTTTCTCTGAGGCTTAATGTCTCATTTACAATCTATTAGGTAAAGGTTTTGCTCTTTGCATTAGCATTTTCTTTTGGGAACTTGTGTACTCAAATGCAAAAATCAGCTGGGCATGGTGGTGGGCACCTGTAATCCCAGCTACTCAGGAGGCTGAGGCAGGAGAATCGCCTGAACCTAGGAGGCAGAAGTTGCAGTGAGCTGAGATCACACTGCTGTACTCCAGCCTGGGTGACAGAGTGAGACTTGTCTCAAAAAAAGGAAAAAAAAAGCCGGGCGCAGTGGCTCATGCCTGTAATCCCAGTACTTTGGGAGGCCGAGGAGGGCGGATCACGAGGTCAGGAGATGGAGACCATCCTGGCTAACACAGTGAAACCCCGTCTCTACTAAAAATACAAAAAATTAGCTGGGCATGGTGGCGGGCGCCTGTAGTCCCAGCTACTTGGGAGGCTGAGGCAGGAGAATGGTGTGAACCCGGGAGGCGGAGCTTGCAGTGAGCCGCGATTGTGCCACTGCATTCCAGCCTGGGTGACAGAGCGAGACTCTATCTCAAAAAACAGAAAAAGAAGAAAGAAGAAAGCCCTTCTTTTTTTTTTTTTTCTTAATAGAGACAAAGTCCCACTGTGCTCAGGGGTTCTCAAACTCCTGGCCTCAAGCAGTCCTCTTGCCTCAGCGTCCCAAAGTATTGGGATTGCAGGTGTGAGCCACTGCAGCCAGCCTGCCCTTCCTTCTTGAATCCCTTGCAGTCTGGCTCCCCTCCCCATCTTTAGTCTGAAATGTTCATTCAAGAGTCACTAATGACGTTTTTTAAAAAACTAATTTTATCAAGTAGCTCATATTTTTTTGTAGATAAATTGGAGAATATAGACAAGCAAAAAAGAAATCTGTCACTTATTCAGGAAAATTAATATTTGATAGTACTTGGCTCATAGTTTTTATGTACTAAATAAAAATAAAATAACCAAACCTGCCATTTGATAATGACTGTTAGCTTTTTGGTGTATCTTGTATCTTCTTACAGCCTTTTTTATTCTTTGCCATCTTTAAAAAAAAATCTAGCTGTATTTTTTTTAAATAAAAATTAGCTCATTCTCGTATGAGTTAATCTGAAATTTGACTTTCTCACTTAGGAATGTATTGTAGTCCTCCTTCTCTGTAAATCAATACAGATCTAGGTCCTCGTTTTAAATGGCCATGTAGGATTGTAATTTACTTTTAATTTATTTTAATTAGTCAACACATTTCCTGTTTTTGACCATTTAGGTTGTTTCCAGTTTTTCATTATTAGAAATATCTCTGTGATGAACATCTTTGTGTATCTTTGTGCACTTATTACATTATTTCCTTAGGCTGTGCTAATGGCCTTCTACTTCCAAATAGAATAGCTTGTTTTCAGTGCTCCCTATCCTTGGCTGTCTGAAGAATCTGACACTGTCAGCCTCCTCCCTCTCTGAATTTTCTTCTTTTGGCTTCTCTGATCCTGTGTAATACAGGCTTTCATACCTGACTGTTCCTACTCTGCTCCTTTGCTTCCTAAGGTAGGCATTCTCCAAGATTGTGTATTCAACCTTTTCTGTTCTTGAAAATCTCATTCACCCTCTTGTGTTCAGCTGTCATCACTCTGCATGGTTTTCTGCAGTCCATCCTCGTCTCTTTCCTGAAGTCCAGTTTCATATTCCCAGCTATCTGCTGGGTATCCCAGTCAGAGCCTTCCTAAACTGTAATAGGCAAGATTACTGTCTTGGCTGCATGCCCTGTTTGCCTACGATTTCCCTCAGTGCCTTTCCCAAATTCTGTCTTAGAGTCCCCAAATGATTTTAATGGTGTCACTATTTTCTGACTCCATTACACTTGAAATCCTACAATCATTGGGTCCCTCATCTCCTGCCACCTCAGGTGATTGCTGGATTTCATGGAATCGCCCTCTGCAATGTTTCATCTGTCACCTCCTCCCATATCCATTGCTCCACCCTCACACCCCTCCAGAGGACCATTGCATTTGCTTTCTAACCAGTCTCTTCTTCCTCCAATCTCTTCTTTCAGACTGTTACTCCCTTATCCTTTACAAAAACCTTCAGTGGCGCCTCGTTGTCTAAGCTTCCCTTAGAGCTTTTTCTTCCTCTGTTTCCTTCTGCATGTCCTATGACCAACCAATTTGGACCACCTCCTTGTTTTCTGGTCTTCAGATCTTTGCTCATACTTTCTTCTCCCCCTGAAATGCCCTTTCCTACTACTACTTTCCAAAATCCTACCCCTTCTGCAATGTGCATCCTAGACACCTGCTCCTTCACGAGGCCTTTCTTAACCCCTTCTTATCCCCTCAACCAGATGTAATTGCCCTCTTCCTAAACTCTTTGTGCTTTTACATTGTACTTAGCGCATTCTCTCTTAAATATAGATACTTATCTCCTTTTCTTCTCATCTTCCTCTCTGATGTTGTGTTCTCAAAGGCAGTAATTTTATTTTGTGGAACTCTGAATTTTCCATGGTGCCCATTACCTCTGAAAAGTCAAAGGTCTGTATCTTGCTAATGACTGGGCAAGATACAGAGTTATGAAATTTCTTGAGACTCCCTCAGTTTAGTGGAGCATGGGTTATGGGGCTAGAAAGTCCTGAGTTTGGGTCTCAGTTCAGGCTTTTACTAGCCTGGAAACTTTGGGCATTTACTTCACTTACTTAGGTCTTACTGTCCTTATTTGAAATTGAATAATAATACTTAGATCTCATAGTCTTGCAGTAAGGATTAAATAAGATATTTAGTCTAGTATCTGTCACATGGTAGATCTCAGCAAATACTTGTTGCCTTTCCTTTTCCTTGCCACTATGTTTCAGCAAGTATAGCTAAATCATCTGCTTCTTCCTATTGTATCTGTTTTTTAGGGATCTTACCTTTATTATCCAGGAACTCTCCCTAATGTGCCTTGGGTGAAGATGTTAGTTGAAGTGACTTCTCTGCCGTGTTTGTGGACCTGGAGGGACTGGCTCCTGGGCCTTTGGCTCCATTTGCATCCTCCTCTAGCCAACTCTGGATGTTAACACATCTTAAAGCTCTTTGGCAAACACATAATTAAATTGCTGGTGACAACATCTGAAATGATTTCCATTTGTAGCATGCAGTCCAGTGATGCTAGCTTATATTAGGCTTGAAGTGAATAGAATGTTCTGGATTTAGCTCTGTTTCTTGAGAATTCACTGCAGTCTAGTTTCATTGTAACTCTTGAGTGTAATAATATGTTTTAGCTTATAATTTTGTTATAAGAAAAGGGAAAGGGAAAGGTTTTTTGTTTGTTTGTTTGTTTTGTTTTTGAGATGGGATCTTGCTCTGTTGCCCAGGCTGGAGTGCAGTAGCATGATCATAGCTCATTGCATCTTCGAACTCCTGCACTTAGGTAATCTTCCCACCTCAGCCTCCCAAAGTGCTGAGATTACAGGTGTGAGCCACTGCACCCAGCTGAGAAAATATTTTAAGTTCATAAGACCTAAAGAAGAGCAAATGGAGGACACAAGTGGTTAGGGCAGATTATTATGCAGTTTAAATAAATTCTACTTCACAATTGTGATCTTTACATAAGGAAATATATTTTCCTTTAATATTCTAATCTTTGTAAATAATTACATAAGAAATAATTTGTTTCATGCTTAAAATGTTCTGCCCTGGAAAAGCTAGCCATCACTAAAGCTAATTGGTCTTCATCATCACATTAACAAGTGGTAGTTTCATGGCAGGTAAACTTTCTTCCATTAGGGTTGGTCTTCTACGAATTGATTATTCCCTCCACTCTCCTATGTCCATTTCACTCCTGTACATTGTCCTCTATATTGCTGCTCCCTCTCTAAAGGGGCTTGCTTTTTTTTTTTTTGGAGACGTAGTCTCGCTCTGTCACCCAGGCTGGAGTGCAGTGGCAAGATCTCGGCTCACTGTAACCTTCACCTCCAGGTTCAAGCAATTCTCCTGCTTCAGCCTCCCCAGTAGAGTAGTTGGGATTACAGGTGTGTGCCACCATGCCTGGCTAATTTTTGTAGTTTTAGTAGAGACCCAGCCTAAAGGGGCTTTCTTATCAGCCTGTAAACACATCTGAGTCTCTACTGCCTTCTCAAACACCCAGCCTGGACTAATCCACATCCACATCTCTAGCTACTACCCTTTCACCCTTGCTGTCATAGCCAAACTTCTTTAAAAGCTCCATCGGCTGGGCTTGGTGGCTCATGCCTGTAATCCCATCACTTTGGGAGGCCGAGGAGGGTGGATCACGAGGTCAGGAGTTCAAGACTAGCCTGGCCAACAGGATGAAACCTCATCTCTACTAAAAACACAAAAAATTAGCTGAGTGTGGTGGCAGATGCTTGTAATCCCAGCTATTCGGGAGGCTGAGGCAGGAGAATCACTTGAATCCAGGAGGCGGAGGTTGTGGTGCGTGGAGATGTGGAGATCACGCCATTGCACTACAGCCTGGGCAACAGAGCAAGACTCCATCCCCCCGCCCCCAAAGAAAGCTCCCTTTATCCCTTACCTCTCATTTACTCTTCAACTCTTGCCAATCTGGTTTCTGCCCCTACTTTGTTACCCAAATCCCTCTCTATAGGCTATACACCCAGTGATCAGTTTTCAGACCCCCCTGTATCTTATGTATTATTCTCTCGGCTGCTCGCCCAATTAGTTCTCCTCACCATGCTTGAAATGTTCTTTGCCATGGCTCCTGTGATAACACATCCTCCTGGCTTTCCCACTACCTCTCGGCAGCTCCTTTTCAGTCTCTTGCGTAGACTCCTACTTTTCTACACAGCTTTGCATGTAGGAATCCCTTAAGGTGCACCCTCAACTCCCTGCTTGCTATGGTCTGAATGTTTGTATCTCCCCTGAATTCATATGTTGAAATACTAATTAATAAGGTGATGATATTAGGAGGTGGGCCCTTTTGGAAGGTGTTTAAGTCAGTGGGGGTAGAGCCCTCCTACATGGGATTAGTGCTTTTCTAAAAGAGGTCCCAGAGAGCTGCCTTGGCCCTTCTACCATGTGAGGACACAGCTCTAGTAGGTGTCATCTGTGAGGAATGGCCCTCACTAGACACTGATTCTGCTGGCACCTTGATCTCAGACTTCCCAGCCTCTAGAACTATGAGAAACAAATTTCTGTTTTTATCAGCCACCCAGTATACAATGTTTTGTTATAACAGCCTGCATGGATTAAGACACTGTTTTTCTCCCTTTTTACGTCCCCCTGAAAGATCTCCTCTACTTCTGTGGCTTTAATTCCTCTACATATGTGGATGACTCCTAAACTTACGTCTCCAACCCAGTCCTTCCTCTTAACTCTACTATTATGTGTCTAGCTGCCTGCCTAACCTGTCTAATTCCATGTATCACAGGCATCTCAAATTCAACTTGACCAAACCCAGATTCCTGATCTGCCTTTTCTAGCTCTGATTCTCTTCATCATATTTCAAGTTGCAGAAAAGGGGAGCACCATTTACCCAGTTACTGAAGCCTGAAACCTGGCATCCTCTTCCTTCCCCAAACATGCCATTTCAGCACATTTTTCTTTTTCTTTTTCTTTTTTTTTTTTTTTTTGAGACAGAGTCCTACTGTGTCACCCAGGCTGGAGTGCAGTGGCATGATCTCACAGCTCACTGCAACCTCCGCCTCCCGGGTTCAAGCGATTTTTCTGCCTCAGCCTCCCAAGTAGCTGGGACCACAGGCATGTGCCACCATGCCTGGCTACTTTTTCGTATTTTTAGTAGAGATGGGGTTTCACCATGTTAGCCAGGATGGTCTCAATCTGCTGACCTCATGATCTGCCCTCCTTGGCCTCCCAAATTGCTGAGATTACAGGCATGAGCCACATGCCCAGCCCTGAGCACAGTCATTTTTCTACCAGTCGATGTTGCAATGAAGATAAAGTTCCAAATCCTTGACATGCTCCAGCCTTCCCCTGTGAGCTGATCACTCCCACAAGAAGCTCCTCTGCCTTCCATCCTCAGCCACTCTGACCTTCTGTTTCTTCTGGGGACCCTGCACCTGCCAGCCCCAGCCCCTTCCTTATTTATGCCATCCCTTTTTCTGGCCCTCTTGCTTGGCTAACTTATACTCATCCTTCAGTTTGGGCTGAGCTATTTATATGCTGTTCCAGGACCCTGAACTTCTCCTTTATGGCACCCATCCTGATTGTAATTATATTATTTATATTGTTTTGTTTGTTGTCTGTCCCCTCTGCTGAACATCGACTTCACATAGGCAGGGACGGGGTCTCTTTTTTCACTGCTTTGTCACTTACCACACCAGTTCCCAGCCAGGAAAAGAAAAGACGGTTGTTTCCCTGCTTTGATAAAATACCCAGACAAAAGGATGCCCTTATTGCTCTTAGACCTCTTTCCCGAATCTTCCCTGGTTGTCACCTGCAATGATGTTATGTCTGAGTTGAATGTTTCTCACTGCACGCTAGTTTGCTCAGAGGTAATAGAGGAGGAACTGTTTTCTCACTTTCTCTTTCTCTTTAGCCTTTATTCCTAAAGCTTGTTTCTAGTCATTTCTTTTAACCAGCTTCCTGAGAAGTATTTCCATTGTCTTTTCTGAA
This sequence comes from Homo sapiens, assembly GCF_000001405.40. Classification (NCBI taxonomy): domain Eukaryota; kingdom Metazoa; phylum Chordata; class Mammalia; order Primates; family Hominidae; genus Homo; species Homo sapiens. Next base: position 19,442,069 of record NC_000009.12, read on the forward strand.
CTCTCCCTTAGACCATGAGAAAACAAAAGTTTATGCTGATTTTGGGTCATGACCTGACACTGAAATTGGTGGTGTTAAGTACATTGCCGAGTAACTCAGATACATTGATATTTAAAAAAATACTTTTTCTGATTATAGGAGTGATTTTATTGTTAAGAAAAAATTGAGAATATAATCAAGGGTCTAGAAGAGAAGAAATGGGAGAGATTCAGACTTTTCTCTTGTAGAATAAGGTCCTGCTGTACATGTGATTTTTGTCCGCCCTTTTTCACTTCACATTGATATTTTGATAAAAGCCCTGAGAAATGGGAGTGAAACCTAATGGACCGCAGCTTTGGACAAGCCCCGAGTGCAAATAAGGCTGGTCAGCAGCTTCTAGCAGGATCTGCTTCTTCTAGAAGCAGAGAAAGGTAACAGGCTGCCCTGAGACCAGGCTCTACAGAGCCTCCCTCCTGCCTCGTACATGCCAAGCCGGCCCTGTCCTGGCACTTACAGTGACTAACGGCCGGGCACCTCCCTCTCGGTTGATGCCCTCCATGCAGGACATCTCCAACACATTGCTCTCCGTTCTGGTGTGTTCCTTAAGCCAAACTTTCTAGGTTTAATTTCACTGGATGTTCATAGATCCTCGTGTCCCAGACTAATTGTCTATGTATTTGTTGATATTTGTTCTTGCCTATTTTCATTTTATTTTTTAAATTCAAGGCAAGAGGCCTATTTATTTTGTATTTTATAGTGCCTAGCATGGAATTTGGTGCCCAATAAATACTTTTTTTTTTTTTGAGATGGGGTCTCGCTCTGTCGCCCAGGCTGGAGTGCGGTGGCACTATCTCGGCTCACTGCAACCTCCGCCTCCTGGGTTCAAGCGATTCTCTTACCTCAGCCTCCCGAGTAGCTGGGACTACAGATGCATGCCATCATGCCCGGCTAATTTATTGTATTTTTATTTTTTAATTTTTAATTTTATTTATTTATTTTTTGAGACGGAGTCTTGCTCAGTCGCCCAGGCTGGAGTGCAGTGGCGCGATCTCGGCTCACTGCAAGCTCCGCCTCCCGGGTTCGCGCCATTCTCCTGCTTCAGTCTCCGGAGTAGCTGGGACTTCAGGTGCCTGCCACCATGCCCAGCTAATTTTTTTTGTATTTTTAGTAGAGACAGGGTTTCACCACGTTAGCCAGGATGGTCTTGATCTCCTGAACTCGTGATCCACCTGCTTCAGCCTCCCAAAGTGCTGGGATTACAGGTGTGAGCCACCACGCCCGGCACATTTATTGTGTTTTTAGTAGATACGGGGTTTCACCCTGTCAGCCAGGATGGTCTTGATCTCCTGACCTCGTGATCCCCCGGCCTTGGCCTCCAAGAGTGTTGGGATTACAGGCATGAGCCACCGTGCCTGGCCAATAATCTTAAATAATCTAAAAATAATGTTCTGCCCAAATTACAAATTACCAAATTAGGGTCCATTTATGCATAATTTTATCCATTAATTCAGGAAGCATTTAACAGTGCCTGGCACAGTTGCCAGGCATGGAGTATACATTAGTGAATAAAACAGGGGTAGTTCCTCTGGGATTCTAGGCTAGTTTGTTTGTTTGTTTGTTTGTTTATTGAGATGGAGTCTTGCTCTTGAAGCTCAGGCTGGAGCAGTGGTGCGATCTCAGCTCTCTGCAACCTCCACAATCTGGGTTCAAGTGATTCTCCTGCCTCAGCCTCCCAAGTAGCTGGGATTACAGGCATGTGCCACCACCCCCGGCTAATTTTTGTATTTTTGGTAGAGACGGGATATCACCACATTGGCCAGGCTGATCTCCAACTCCTGATCTCAAGTGATCCTCCCACCTTGGCCTCCCAAAGTGCTGGGATTACAGGGGTGAGCTCCCGGCCTCTAGGCTAGTTTAATACCAGATGTTACACAGATAATAAATTCATAGTTTCAACTTGTGATGAGAGTTATGAAGGAACATGGCAGGGTGCCCTGAGAGAATGCGCTAAGGCAGGGGTGTCCGCTCTTTTGGTTTCCCTGGGCCATATTGGAAGAAAAATTGTCTTAGGCCACACAAAAAATACACTAATGATAGCTGATGAGCTAAAAAAAAAAAAAAGAAAAGAAAAAAAAAAAGAAAGTCGCAAAAAAAAAAAATCTCATAATGGTTTTTTTTTTTTGAGACGGAGTCTTGCTCTGTCCCCTGGGCTGGAGTGCAGTGGCGCGATCTCGGCTCACTGCAAGCTCCGCCTCCCGGGTTCACGCCATTCTCCTGCCTCAGCCTCCCGAGTAGCTGGGACTACAGGCGCCCGCCACCACGCCCGACTAATTTTTTTGTATTTTTAGTAGAGACGAGGTTTCACCGGATTAGCCAGGATGGTCTCGATCTCCTGACCTCTGGTCCGCCCGCCTCGGCCTCCCAAAGTGCTGGAATTACAGGCTTGAGCCACCGCGCCCGGCATAAAATCTCATAATGTTTTAAGAAAGTTTACAAATTTGTGTTGGGCCTCATTCGAAACCATCCTGGTCGGCATGCAGCCTGTGGGCCACGGTTGTGGACGAGCTTGCACTGAGGGGAGACCTATAGTATCTGGCATTGTGTGTGGGAAGAAGCCTGGAGACTGAGCCCTGGAGAGAAGGAGAGGGTGGGTCAAGGTGAGAGATGAGCTCTTTTTGAGAGGGAACCAGCCCAAAGGCGAGGCATTCAAGGTAGAGAGTGGTAATCGAAAGCGAGAAATGGAAATTGTTATCTCTTTGTTTTAGTAACTGGGAATGTAAGTCTCCCCATGTCATCGGCCTCTATTCTTTCTAAAAACTTTTCAAGGGATGTATTTAGCCTTCCTACAAGAGTATTTTGATTTGTTTTTGAACAGGTCTTTCTGAACCTGTCCCACTTTTATTGATGCTTTCGCTGATGTTTGTGAAAGGCATCTGGGAAGGGCACTAGCCAGTCAGGCTTTTAACACCTGTCTGTGGGTTCAACAAAGAGGAATTAAGCTTCTTCTCAATTGCAGATGTCGTGTTGTATTCTGGGTCCCATAGGAGATCTTGACTGACCCAGGAGTGGTCCCCTCCGGGAAGAAGGACGCTCAGCCACCAGCTGCCCCCAGGTGTTCGTCCCCAGGGGTAGAACTCACCCACTTTATGAGCAAGTCTTTGTCAAGGAAAGAAGACGGCAATTGAAATTTTCATTGAGCTGTTAGCATTTTTTTCAGAAAACCATTTTGTCCCAGTGTGTGTAAGAAGTTATTCCTTCATTCAACACATGTTGAGTGCCTTCTGTGTCTGGCACATTTCCAGGTGCTGGGATACAGCAGTAAACAGATTCCATGTCAGTGGATAAACACACACTGGAAACACATAAGTGAAACACAGAGGGTGTCAGGGAGGTTATAATCACTACCTAGAAAATTAAAGGAGGGAAGGAGGCCTTAGGGAGAGTCACCTGGGAGGTGGAGACAGGTGTTGAAATTGTTAAAAATAGCATCAGGAAAAGGCTTACTGAGTGACATTTGAGCAAAGATTTACATGTGAGGGAAGAGCATTCCAGGCAAGAGGGCACAGTGAGTGCTATGGTCTTGCAGGAGCATGCTTGGGATATTTGTGGAACAGCACAAATCCTGCAGTGGCTTGAGTATGGGCAGTGAGAGGGAAGAGTACACACGAGAGGAGGTGAAGGGGAAAAGGGAAGATCATGCATCCGGGGCCTTGTGGCCACTGTGAATACTTTGGCTTTCCCTCTGGTTAAACAGGAAGATGCTGGAGGCTGTTAAATTGGCTGTAGGGGCAAGGGTGGAAGGAGACTCTGATGAGATGGCGGTAGCATGGATCTAGATGGAGGTGGTGGAAAGAGGTCAGGTTTGAGATATTTTGAAGGGAGAGCTGATGGACTAGATGTGGGCTATGTGAGAAGGAGAAAGATTGGGAGAAGAATAGGTTATGGACTTGTTAAATTTAGATCCATATTAGGGTGCTCGTGTCAAAAATGTAGTTGGGTGTATGAGTCTGGAGTCAGGAGAGAAGCCTGGGTGGGAAGGGTGTCTGTGAGCCATCTGTGTACATATGGTATTTACATCCATGAGACTGTGGAGTGACTGTGTGTTGGGTAAGAACTTCAGTGTCTTGGGGTTGTAGGCATGAGAGGAACCAGCGAAGGAGACACAGGAAAGGTGGCCAGCAAGGAGGTGGAGACAAGGTCTGACGATGAGTGACTCTCTGGACCCCCGTGCAGGTGTGACAACATGCGTGTGTTTAAGCTGGGCCTCTTCTCGGGCCTCTGGTGGACCCTGGCCCTGTTCTGCTGGATCAGTGACCGAGCTTTCTGCGAGCTGCTGTCATCCTTCAACTTCCCCTACCTGCACTGCATGTGGTAAGCCCCTGCTAATGGGGAGGTGGCCGGGGACAGGTGTGTTTGCACTTGCTGTTGGGCTCTGTTCACCCTGCAAGTGGTGCACAGGTGTCCTGTGGGTTGCTGGCTTGCTTCTCTCCTCAGGTGGACGGTCAGATGGTTCAGAAGCCACTGAAAGCACACTTTGTAAAAAGCTGAATTGACTCCAGGGAGCAGGCTTAGCCGGAACGAAAGGCCTGATTGTCATGCTTAGGTCTGCAGTCTTTTACCTCTAACTCCATTATTAAAGCCTAAAGGAGCTTGAGAACTGAACCTGTAACCTGAGCTCTAGCTAGGTGTTGGGGGAGGGGAGAGGTAGGGGAAAGCTGGGGAAAGAGGTGATGTGAGGGCTGGGAGGGTCCTCAGTGGGAACCCCACCTTTAGGGCCTGAGAGACCAAGTGCAAGGAGGGGCCGCACTGGCCATTTAGAGACATTCTCTTCCATTATTTCTATAAGTGGGGACAGAAGACCAGAGAGCTAAAGTGAATTGTTTAATGTCACCCACCTGTTTCTGTAGAAAACAACCTTGGAGTTCAGTAATAGCACATTGGAGCGTCTATACTTTGGAATGCTCAGGATACACTAAGTTAAAAAAAAAAAAGCGGGTTACAAAATACATGCAGAATCCGATTCTGAGAAAGCTGGGGGAAATTGGAGTGGCTTTCTTCCTAGGAACTGCTTCAGCCTCAAACCCAGAGTGATCTTTCCTTTCTGTCCTCCAGGACTTCTGATTGCAAAAGATCACAAGGAGGAGAAATCTGCTGTAGGTTATCCCCTATAGGTAGGAGGAACCCAGAGAGGAATTCTAGTGGTGAAGAAATGGAAAAACTTTGTTAGATCTAGATTCAGGAAAAGGTTGACTTCTATCCAGAGATAGGCTAAAAATATACAATTTGATAGAATTCACTTAAGTTCCCTTGCTCATGTGAACTTTGATATATTTGCTATGAGACCCACCCTACTCTAAATTTAAGACTTGGGGACTTCAAGGAGTGTTTGTAAAAGACAAAATTCAAACAGCACAAGTTGGAGTTTACCGTCTTAGGATCCATTGCTCGATATTTTTTAGATTCAACTCAACTAATACTAGTGAATTTATATAGTTTATATATTTGTTGGGTTATAATTTCCAGATAACAAAATGTACAGATTTTAAGTGTATATTGTGAATTTTGAGAAATGTATACACTAGGTAAATATGACCTCATTCAAGATGGTCATTTTTATCTAAGTCCCCTGTCACACATGATTTAAGTCAAATTCGAAATTTAAACTATGTAATAATTTTGACTCAAACTTAATGTGTTTCTGAATTTGGTATATTTCTGCTTTGTTTTTCAAAGTTGAACCATATTTTCTTTCCAGTTATAAAATGACATATTTTTTATAACAAATTTAAACAACATAGAAGTATAGAAAGAATGGCTCTCATAATTCTATCCCCCAAAGAAACATAATTATTAACAGTCTGATGTATATCCATTGAGATTTTATATGTACACACACACGCACACATATATATGTCTACTTTTAAAAAAAATAGCATCATTCTATACACGATGCAAACTTTTTTTTTTTTTTTTTTTTGAGACAAAGTCTCACTCTGTTGCCCAGGCTGGAGTGCAGTGGGGTGATCTTGGCTCACTGCAATCTCTGCCTCCCGGACTGAAAGTGATTCTCCCACCTCACCCCCTGCAGGGAGCTGGGACTACAGGTGCATGCCACTGTGCCAGGCTAATTTATTTTGAATTTTTTTGTAGAGATGGATTTTTGCCATGTTGCCCAGGCTAGTCAGAAACTCCTGGGCTCGAGCAGGTCCACCTGCCTTGGGCTCCCAAAGTGCTGGGATTACAGGCATGAGCCATTGAGCCTGGCCCAAACTTTTTTTTTAACCAAATACTTAAATCTATACTACATAGATCTAATGCTATACAGACATCATTCCATACCAATACATATATATAATCTTCATTTTTGTGTCTAATAAATGCTTCATAATATGGACACTTTATAATTTATTTAACCAACCTCTCTCTGATAACGGACTTTGAGGTTATTTCTAATTTTCCACTTTTGCAAACACTTTATAATGAACATCTAGATTGATTTGAGTTTCTGAATATTTTCATATGTTAAATTAATATTATATATTGCTAAATCCAGAGAAACTGTACCATTAACACTGTTTACTGAAGTCTGTAAGAGAGCATTTTTTACCCACACTTTCACATATACTGGAAACTCTTAAATCTCCATTAACCTGTTTGAGAAAAATTATATTTTGTTTTTATTATTATGTCTTTTTAAAAAATTAGTATTTTTGTTGGGCATCTTTTCAAATGTCAATTTGTGATGTGTATTTCCCCTTTTAATTTTCTTTGTCTGGTCTATTGAGTGTTTCTATTTTTAAAAGTTCATATCAGCCGGGCGTGGTGGCTCACGCCCGTAATCTCAGCACTTTGGGAGGCCGAGGCAGGTGGATCACCAGGTCAGGAGATCGAGACCATCCTGGCTAACACGGTGAAACCCCGTCTCTACTAAAAATGCAAAAAATTAGCCGGATGTGCATGTAGTCCCAGCTATTTGGGAGGTTGAGGCAGGAGAATCGTTTGAACCTGGGAGGCGGAGATTGAAGTGAGCTGAGATTGTGCCACTGTACTCTAGCCTGAGCAACAGAGTGAGACCCCGTCTCCAAAAAATAAAAAATAAAACAGTTTATATTCAGCATCTAGGCTTGGCACATAGTAGACAGTCATTACTAGCTACGTAACTATGTGCCACTTATGCATATTTGCAACATTTTCACAAGTACAGAGAATAATACATTGAACCCCCATATAGGCAACACCCAGATTCCATAACTATCAACACGAGGCCAATCTGGTTCATACCATTCTCACCTACTTCCCACCCTGACCCTGATTAATTTCTTTAGTGTTCTTTGTATGTAGGGATTTAAACTTTGTCATATGGTACAAATATTCCCTGCCCCCCTGCAGTTTCTCATTTGTCTTTCAGTATATTAATATTTTTGTGCCATACTGGTTTTAAACTTTCATATTGTCACATCTGTTAATCTTTTCTATAGGATTTCTGGATTTTGTGTAATTTTTAAAAAGATCCCCTCCTCCCCAACATCAAAGTTTATAAAAATATTGTCTTTGGGCTGGGCGCAGTGGCTTACGACTGTAATCCCAGCACTTTGGGAGGCCGAGGCAGGTGGATTACCTGAGGTCAGGAGTTCAAGACCAGCCTGGCCAACATGGTGAAACCCCCTCCCTCTCTACTAAAAATACAAAAATTAGCTAGGTGGGCCTGGTGGTGGGTGCCTGTAATCCCAGCTACTTGGGAGGCTGAGGCAGGAGAATTGCTTGAACCCAGGAGGCAGAGGTTGCAGTGAGCCGAGATTGCACCATTGCACTCCAGCCTGGATGACAGGGTGAGACTTCATTTAAAAAAAAAAAAAAAAAAAAAGGATTACATGCTTTTAAATGGTCTATTGTTCGATAAAGTTTAATATAAATTTAAAACTTTGTACAGGTACAGTGAGGATAAATTTTTTAAAATTTCCACTAAACTGCAAAAGTGGTTTAACCAACATAAAATTATTCCTGATGAAGGACATAAAATATCTGTAACCAGTTGTTAAAGTGAGAAGGTGGGTTCTAATCAGATGTGCTCAGTTACTTCCATCTTAGCATCTCTGTTGTAAATCCTTGGGCCTCAGTCTTCTTGTTTGAGGCCCAAAGGCATTTATTTGCACATTTGTTCCTATTATCCAGCAGGACTATTTAAGAACATTCTAAAACGGGTCCCAAATTGCTGAAGATTTATCATCCTGCTATTCCAGGGATTGTTGGTAATCTTCATCCTTTCCTAATTAGAAGAGGCCCCTGGGCTGCAACTACAGTCAGCAAGGTGCGTGGGTTAGACCGGAAGAAGGAGCAGGCTAAACTCAGGGCAGCGGAGTCTTCATGCTCATCAGGTTCTCACCTCTTGTCTCCCTCTGCAGGCACATCCTCATCTGCCTTGCTGCCTACCTGGGCTGTGTATGCTTTGCCTACTTTGATGCTGCCTCAGAGATTCCTGAGCAAGGCCCTGTCATCAAGTTCTGGCCCAATGAGAAATGGGCCTTCATTGGTGTCCCCTATGTGTCCCTCCTGTGTGCCAACAAGAAATCATCAGTCAAGATCACGTGATGGCAAGATGGTGGCTGGCTTCTCTGCTTATCGCCCCTCATGCAGTGGGCTTCCTTTGCTAGGAAGACAGCCAAGGGAGTTCGAATAGTTGGGGTGTGGGCTATCTTTTCAAAAATCTATTTGCTGGGGCTCTTAATTTCTTTAGTGTTCTTTGTATGTAGGGATTTAAACTTTGTCATATGGTACAAATATTCCCTGCCCCCCTGCAGTTTCCCATTTGTCTTTCAGTATGTTAATATTTTTGTGCCATACTGGTTTTAAACTTTCATGTTGTCACATCTGTTAATCTTTTCTTTAGGATTTCTGGATTTTGTGTAATTTTTAAAAAGGTCCCCTCCTCCTCCCTAATGTGTCTGTGGACCACCTGGATTCCACTGTACAAGGGGAAAAGTGTCTATTCCTTTCCCAAAGATGGAAAATGGAGGGCTTAGGGACACTAGATGCATCTTTCTCAGCATCACTTCCAGATGCAGTGACTTGTTGGGCTGCGTCCTTAATGGCCATGGCAGAGCAGTCCCTTGGGGGATCCAGCCCTGTACAATGCATCTCTTCCTGGAGAAAGCTGGCCTGCTCCAGACCCCACCATTCCCAGGCGCCCTTGGAGTGGACTCTACTGATGACAGACAGACCCTCTGAGAGACAAGACCCTCTGACTCTGTGATGGAAGATGCCAGAGATTTTCCTTTGGGGTAATTGTCCTTAAACAAAACCAAACAGATGAAACACACACAGGACTTGTGGCTAAAAAGGCTAGTTTTTCACTTGCATTTCTCAACTAACCCAGGTTTTACATGCATCTGTGAATCCTTTTACTACTACCTCTGTGGAGAGATGGAGAGACTTCAGATAAACGTGAAGCTAATGAGTAAAACCCTCTCTGCCAAAACCTACACTCCACTTTAGGCCCTTCTTGAAGATGAGCACAATTTTTAAATACTGAGCACAATTTTTAAATACTGACATCACTTCCTCTTCCCCCTCCCACCCCAGCTCAGCAGCCTCAAATCTACAGAGAAGAAGAATTATGGCATGAACATTCCCACAGACCCACCATCTTTAAGACTTGACCTCTGTAAGTTTACCAAAGGGCTCCTCACAATTGTGGTGGGGGTTCTGGTTCAAAATTTGGAGCAAACATGAAGTTTTTGGAAACGTTTTCTCATTTGAAGCCTCCAGTATGCTGTACTATTCTGGAAATTACCTTCAAGAGTCTCACTTCTTGTTTCTGTTGTGTTTTCTGTGGGCATCATGTTCTTCACGCTTGCAGTAGAAGGTGCTTTCTCGGTTTCCCAGAGTATCCAACGGCTCACCTTTCTCAAGTGCTGGCAGTAGCTATGCACTCACGGGCTGGTTTGGGTCGCTGGTGCAGCAGCGCAAATCTGTTGCCTTCTGAATTTTTCTCACCTAATGTGACACTGGCTACAATGAATCTTCTCTTCATCGGGCTGAATGAAAGATTCAAGAACCATCTTCAAGGTGCATGGTGGGAATTATCAACCTCAGGGATACTCATTTTAACTCAGGCGTGTCCTGCTTTGTAACATTCCATTGTTGGGAGAGGGCAGGACAGGTGTGTTCTTCTGTGGGCAGGAGTCATGTCACTGTCCTACATATGTAAGAGTTGGGAAGGTGACGATTTTTGACACATCCAGGAACTCTTACTCTAGTTAGAATTTGTACCAGATCCAAGGTGAAAACCCCAATAAGCAACTGAATTTAGAGTTTAAAAATGAATGACTTTATGCTACATCTGTGGTTATCAAATTATATAGGTTGTTGAGAAGCAGAACGCTGTTTGTAGTAAGAAATCTTTGTGGAACCCCAGTGTGTGAAGTAAATTGTATGTTATTAAATTTATTTAAGGTTAAATTTATGGCATTTACTTAATAATATATGAGGTGGTGAAAATGCAAATTAACAAATTGGTAATTTCCAAGGTAGAAAAATTAGGTGTTGAATGAATGTATATGTTGGTTTATTATAGTTTTATATATATATAGAGAGAGTGTTTTGTTTTTGAGTCAGGGTCTTGCTCTATTACCCAGGCTGGAGTGCAGTGGTGCAGTCATGACTCACTGTAGCCTCTGTCTCCCAGGCTCAAGTGATCCTCTCACCTCAGCCTCCCCAGGAGCTGGGAGTACTGGTGCGTGCCTCCACTCCCAGCTAATTTTTGTATTTTTTCATAGAGATGGGGTTTCACCATTTTGCCCAGGCTGGTCTCAAACTTCTGGGCTCAAGAGATTCGCCCGCCTCGGCCTCCCAAAGTGCTGGGAATAGGCATGAGCCGTCACGCCTGGCCTAAAAAATATTTTTAAAATGATCTTTGAATTAAATATTCGTAGAATTTCTAATGTATCTCTTTGAGACCTAGGAGGTTGATGGAACAGAACTGCTGTTAAGTCCTTTGGGTTTCAAGTCTAGAATTTTTTAAAGGCAAATATCAGCTCATTCTTATTTTAGATTGACCTTATCAGGCATGGATTCTGGTCTCATCTACTTTATGGTATAAATGCTCCAAGGTAGGGGGTTTGGTATATATTTTAAGCCCGGCTTTTTTTTTTTTTTTTTTTTTTTTTTTTTTAATGTGAGAAGCAGAATGTGCTTCTAGAAACTGGTTTTAAAGAGATGAGCTGAGAAAGAAATGTGGAATGGAGTATATTTGAGGAGGACAAAACATAACTTCACTTTTGAACAGAAATCACTCTAGCTTGCCAGCATGGGATGTAAACCAAGAGAGTAGAAATATACCCATCTTATTTTAAGTTGGGTTTATGGCATCGCTCATATATGTAAAAGCACTACAAACTCTTTAAAGAAAATTGGGAAACTACAGAGAAGTCAAAGAAAAAAAAAAGTAACCCATATTTCTATTGCCCAGGTATAATCCTTGTTAATATTTTGGTTTGGTCTCCTCTTTTTTCCCCCAATATAGTTGTAAATAAATGATGTCTTTCAGAGTTGACATTTATCCTGTAGCTTGAATGGCATGTAAATGCCAGTTGTATATTTTTTCATGAAGTGTAGGTTTGGAATACACTAGAGTTAGCTATATGCTTGAATGCTGATCACTGGATTCTGAGACTGACTACTGAGTCTACCTTTTTAATCAAGCCTAACATGAATGGGCTCCAAAAAGTAATGAATGTAATTGTACTTTTTGATGTGCCTCTGCACTTGGCTTGGTGAGTCATCATAAATAGCTGTTAAATATGTGACTTTACAGATTTTGATATGTTCAGATTGTAAAAAATGAATAGTTTATTTCATTAATTGATGGGCAGTCAAGAATCTCCCTCCCTTCAGTAGGGCTGACACTTAGGAGTTAGGTCATGGTTGTGGTTACTTGGCATGGCTAATCAGATTTTGTTCTGGTCAGAATTTGCCCAAGATCAATACCCAGCAGAAACTGGAGTTAGGCTATAAAAAACCATTCATGTTTCCGAGTGATCATTTCAGTCAGCGATTCATGTTTTACAGTGTTTAGTTGTTGATTATTAGAAAAAGTAATATTTTCTTCCCTTTATGATTACATCATTATAAATCAAGTCCTTCCATGAACACATTTAAGGTGTGTGGAGATGAGATCTCTGAATCCATTTGGGGATGGGCTGCATTTTTGGGGAACTCTATGCCTGTCCAGTGAAGAGTGCCTAAAACATTAATTATAGATCAAAGATGTTCTGTTGAGGGACAAAGCTTGATGGTCATCAAACACAAGGCTTTGTAAAAATACGACCACCTATTCCACTTACTGGATCTGTCAGGTGTGTAAAACTTCTCTCGCCAGTTCATCATGCTTCCATGAGCCCTCAGGACTGGGATTTGAGCCTTCCTGGCTCTTTATCCCTTGGGGCAGACATGGAACCATCTCTGAGGGACCAGGTGGATGCTGAAGCTCACCCAGTCAGGGCCCCTCTCCTAGCTCCTTTTACACTGAAATTAATCTGAAAGCTTTCATAGCCAAGGCTTTGCCTAGGTGCTATTATTCCAGCTGGCCAAAGAGAAGTCTTGGGCCAGATTGGGATTCTCAATGGATTTTATAGACATAATTCCCCTGCAAACTTAAAAAAATAAATAACCCCTACTTTATAGGACTAATTGTTTGAATTGTATCTTTCTCTGTATGTTAAACCAGATTTAAAACTATTTTATAACCACAATATGTAATCAGAGCAATATAGTGTTTTCAGATATATACCTTGTTTTATACCTTATGTAGGTGTCCTACATAAGGGTGGCATGCCCACTGGCTGTGGTAAAATTTAATCCTCATTGCTTTGGGAGTGACTTAAGGCCTTTTGAAGTGGAGCTTTTGCACTTTATACTTTTTCTGTGAACTATGATAACTATATTTGATATTAAAGCTGTAAGTGGCATTTTCAGCAAATGAATATGTACATGTTTGTGTCTATTTCCAAAATGATTTCTGAACTATCTGCAGTGAAAATGTATCTGATGGATTGTAGAGCAAAGCACATTGCCTAAATTCATTTGTTAATGAATTGGGTACCATTGTTATTAAAAATGCGTAAAGTAATTGTTGTTCCTTGTTGGTTTCTTCTCAGAGCTGTGAAATTAACACATGAAAATATTTCCAGCATAAAATACCTAAGAACAGTTTATTTTTACTAAAACTTCTATAGTCATGTCATATAGATATAAATCTCAAATATAGGCCTGGTGCGGTGGCTCGTGCCTGTAATCCCAGCACTTTGGGAGGGGAAGGTGGGTGGATCACCTGAGGTCAGGAGTTCGAGACCAACCTGGCCAACATGGCGAAACCCCGTCTCTACTAAAAAAAATACAAAAATCAGCTGGGCATGGTAACTCGCACCTGCAGTCCCAGCTAGTCAGGAGGCTGAGGCAGGAGAATCACTTTCACCTGGGAGGCGATGGTTGCAGTGAGTCAAGGTTGCACCAATGCCCTCCAGCCTGGGTGACAGAGCGAGACTCTGTCTCAAAAAAAAAAAAAAAACCCAAAAATCTCAAATATAGAATACAGTTCATTTATGCTGGATTTCATCAAATCACTAGAAGGAAGATCGTGACATTTTAAAATCATAAATTTAGCAGGAAAATTTTTACCTACTTCTTTTAATTTTCTGTGGCAGTTTTTTAAACTGAAAGGACTCACAGATCATCAGATTTAGAAGAATAGTCTGGGCACAGTGGCTCATGCCTGTAATCCTGGCACTTTGGGATGCTGAAGTGGGTGTATCGCTTGAGCTCAGGAGTTCAAAACCAGCCTGGGCAACATGGTAAAACCCTGTCTCTACCAAAATTACAAAAATTAGCCAGGTGTGGTGATACACACCTGTAGTCCCAGCTACGCAGGAGGCTGAGGTGGGAGGATTGCTTGAGCCTAGGAGGCAGAGGTTGCAGTGAGCAGAGATCGTGCCACTGTGCTCCAGCCTGGGCCAAACAGTGAGACCATTTATCAAAAAGAAAAAAAAAAAAGAAAAATCGTAAGAGAAGAAAGACTGGATAAGCATTATCTGTATCATTACAGTGGGTTTTTAGACTTTTTTTTTTTTTTCTGGCAGAGGTGAGGGGACAAGGAGTGGCCCCATAGTTGTTTGGCAATATAAAAGCTGTAGGAAAACGTCCATGTAGAGGTTGAGTATCTCTAATCCAAAAATAAAAAATCAGAAATTCTCCAAAACCTGAAACTTTTTGAGCACCTATATAAAAATCAAAGGGAATATTCCTTGGAGCATTTTAGACTTCTGATTTTTGGAATAGGGATGCTGTATAATGCAAATATTCCAAAGTCTGATATCTGAAATCCAAGCATTTCTGGTTCCAGGCACTTTGGATAAGGGACATTCAATCAGTATATAATTTTCTGGGGGTTCAGACATCTCTAGTAGCCCATCCAGGTAAACAGCCTCTGCCCAACAGGAGACTAAGCAAGCACTCAAATCCTTTTGGTGCTGAAATTGGTTACTCAGTCTTCGGGACTGAACTTTTTTGAGGCTGTGGTCAGGGACAGTGGCTGAGGAAGTTGAGAGCTCTGCTTTTGGGGCACTGGCACGGGTGTGTGTGCCTCTCTCCCCGACAGTCTGGATTATTTGTTTCTCCTCTTGGGTGACCTCTTTTTCTGAGTCTGGCTGGGAGTTGATGCAGCCACACCTGCTCCCTTTTCCAGATTGCCCTTTGAAGACCAGAGCTCAGGGGCTAGCCTCTCCCACTCTTTTCTTTAAAGGACTTTTCATTAAAAGACATTACATTGAAAGACTGTGTTAAAGAACTATACTACAAAGGGCTGGAGTGGGCAGACCCAGGGTTCTGGCAAGTGACATCTTAGGGCTCCTCAACAAACTGGGAACTTAGATTTTTTCCTTGCAGCCTCTTTCCTGGTTTACAGTTTCACAGTTCTTAAGATGGTGTTTGGGTTTGTCATACCGTTCTGTCTACTTTTGTATAGTTGGATTTTTTCATAATAAGAACTTAAAAGATACGGTATTTGAGATTTTGTTCTCCACTGTCTCCAGAGCCGGTTCTCAGCCTCCTTTCCGGCCCCGTTTTAAGAGGGCTGGCAGCCCCTCTCTCCCAGAACTTATCTTGTCTCAAGTGGCACTTCTGTCTCTAACTGTCTCCAGCCTGGCGACACCTAGTTTACCTGGGAAGTCTTCTCTTTGGGTGTTAACTCACAAAAAGGAAGAGATCACCCTCACCTGGGTTTTTATTTATTTTATGCTTCTCATTAAAACAAAACATTTGATTCAGCTGCTTTGGCAATTGAGAGCAGAGACCAAAGTGCTATTTTTAAGATGTAACAAATAACAGTAGTTTATTTTTATATTCGGGCTAGTGATAGGAAACTGGCTGAAGGTAAGGCCAGGAGCATGAAGTAATGGAAAACATACAGTGGCGCTGATGATATTTGGGAGAGAGGGTTTCCTGTGAACAAAGAAAGCCATTAGCTACTGGGTGGGAGGGACGGAGACGCTCCTGGAGTAATACTGCCATCTTGTGGGTTTTTGAGGCATTGCTATGTGGCGCAAGCGAAGCCCTTCCCAGTTCCTAATCATCCCAGAGATCACCAATTGTCTCAAAACGCCAAGTTATGTAATCTCTTTCTGGGCCCAGGTATGTTTCCCTGCATTTTTCCAAGCATCTCTCTCCCTTCCTTTTCCTCTCCTCTCTTCCCTTAGAAATTCAGTTTTCACCCCCCACCCCGGGTGTTTTAGAGGTTGCCCAATGTGAAAGCAAATACTGTTGTTGGCTCTCGGTATTCGTGGTTCCAGGACCCCCCAACCCCCATACCAAAATCCCAGAGGCTCCAGTCTCATACATAAAATAGCATTGTATTTACATATTACCTATGCACGTCTTGTGTGCTTTAAATCATCTCTGGATTACTTATAATACCTAATACAATGTATATGCTGTGTAAACAGTTGTTAAACTGCGTTGCTTTTTATTTGTATTATTATTTATTGTTGTGTTATGATTTTTTACTGTTTCTTTTTCCCTGAATATTTTCGATCCATGTTGAATAGGTGGATGTGGAACCTGAGGTTACAAAGGGGCTGTATTTAAAACCAATTTAAGGTAGATGTGATTTAAAGGAAGTTTTGTGTTTTTGTTTGTTTATTAGATATGGGGTCTTGCTGTGTTGCCCAGGCTGGAAGGTAGGGGCTATTTACAGGCTCCATAATGGCACACTACAGCATTGACCTCCTGGCCTCAAGCGATCCTCCTGCCTCAGCCTCCTTAGTAGCTGGGCCAAAAGGCACTAGCCACCGACCAGTCTGGAGGAAGTTTTTAATCCACTGGAGTGAAATTTAACTTTTGGGATTAATAGCTCAATTTACACAAGTCAAATGTCATTATAACTCAGATCTTTTTAAAGATGAATCTAATTTAAATCAACACTCAGCAAGTGTCTGTGTGGTATTACCTATTATGCTGCCTGCAGAGGGTTATGGGGACGGATGGAGCAGCTCAGATCTGGGGAGGGGAGAAGGCCACTGACTCTGCCAAATCCCCGTAGTGGAGAGGAATCAACAGTGCTAGGGAGGCAGGAAGGAGAGAGTGGTGAGTTTTCACCAGGGAGGAGCGAGAATTCTAAGCTTTAACTGATAAACCATGAGCCACATATAATACGGAATTTCAGTCCAGTGAAATAATTGGTCGACTCCCTAGGAATATTATTGGTAGACTCCCTAGGAATTTTCTTACAAGCAAACCTTATTTGACAGCCCATCACATAAGTTATCTTTCACATAAATGGTCTCATTTACTCCTCTCAGCTATTTTGCGAGGCTGGCATTACCATTATTCCTGTTTTGGGTACGACTGGAAATGTATTTTGACCACTGCTATTGCAAGGATGTGAACCCAGGACTTTTGACTCTTAGGTTTAATTCTCTTTCCACAGAGGATTTATGGCAAATGAGTTAAAGGTTTTCATATAGGTGGGCACCAAATTGGAATTGTCAGTTTCAAAACTGTCCTATTAGTACAAATAATTGGGTAAAATACAGTTGGCCTTTCATATGCATGGGTTGTGTATCTGTGAATTCAACCAGCCTTAGATTAAAAATACTTAAAAAATTCAGTGTTGAATATGTAGAAAGTATTTTTTTTACAGCTTTTAATTGTACCTTTATTCAACTTAGTTCATTAAAAATGTACTTGTTTTAAAGATCCTGCAAATAAAGTGACCACTCACTAATGTGGGCTATAGGTCACCCCTCAGCATGTTATTTATTTTTTTTTAAAAAGCAGTATGTCTTATAGGAATCTTACTGATCACACAGTAGTTACAATAATGTCAGATGTGATGTATACATTCTAAATGAGACAGGCTGGTTAAGAATTTACATAATGTAAAAATATACATATTAAAAGTTAGCCAAGTGGACAGATGCATGCAGTGGGGAGAGCAGGTGACAGGAACTGCTTTAATGATCAGTACAGGGCCCAGATGCAAGGAATCTGGGTTTCCCCTATTATAGTAAATAGCTTTCACTAATGTATACAGGAATTCCATACACATCTAAACACACGAGGGTAAGTTGTGACTTGCTACATGTACAGTCTAAAGTGGTGTAACTGTGATCTTCCTGTGATACTCCCAAGAAAACTAAATAGTGGACCCCATGCAGGTAGTGGGAAGCACTGGTCTTTTATCACAGGTTGAACCTGAGGAGGTTTAACTCCTGACATTAGTATTTGTAAAGAGTGTATGACTCCTTTTTCTATGTTTTCTCCACAACTGACATGCATTCAGTGTGGGGGAATTCTGATGGCTATTTGACCTATCAGTGATAACTGAACTACTATTAAAAATGTGGGAACCTTTTCAATAATATTGAATTACACATTTAACATTAAAAAAAACAAAAACAAAAACATGGATCATCCATGGCTTTAAGCCAGAAGGTAGAAGGGAGTGTGTCTGAATTTTAATGCTTTTAGTTATACTATTCTGTGGTTTCTACCGCTGTCCTAAAGAATGACACTGGTACACTGCTTCTTTCCATACCAACACAGGCACTAGTTTGAACTCAGACAAAAGCTGAAACAGAAGAAGTGCCACTCTTTCTCCAGGGTCTTTTGAGAAACTGGATCAAAATTATAAATTACTCAAGTTTCCTTTTCAGTGGTATCTTTATGTGTGTAACTAGAGAACAAACCAAATAAGAAATGTCTACCCCTGCAAGAGTGTGGACTTTGGGTGTAGTTCTGTTAGGAGTCAGGAACCTCGAGCAGCAGTTTACAGTCAGGGCTGTTTTCTTACACACACCCCATTTACCCTGCGTTTGTGCCAACTATTACGGCAAATGCGTTTTGCAGGGATTATGCTTCACAGCTGAGGCCTACAGATCCTCTTAGGGAGATTTCTCTAGCTGAGTAGAAAACTTCTATCCGAAAAGGCGCTGGGTTCTGTGAACCTGAAGAGAAGACTCAGGGTCTCTCTGAAAGCCTTTAAATTACTGCTGGAATTGGAAGTTCCTATTAGTGAGAAAAGAGCATTAAAATAACTTGAAGGTCTATTTTATTGGCAACTTAGAATGCAAAGTATTTTATTTTTAAACTTTTAAAATTTGAAAACAAACTAGCCTACATTAAATCATATAGTTTCCAAAGCTGAACGTTCTCACTTGGAGCTCAGTTCTGCCGCTTGAAATACAAACACAACTTCTAACGCTCCTAGGTGGGAACACTACTGTTTGATGATCTATGATTAGATGAACTGATCGATCTCAGTTGGCAACACCCCTTTTTTCCCTTGGTAAGGGTTTAAAAAATTCTAGAATAGATGCATTTTTCTAGTTTTACACTGACAATTTCATCCCATACGTCTCCTGGGAGGCATAGACCATGTATAGGAATCCATCTTCATCCTTCTCACTCTCATACACCTCTGAGACTGGTGTGGAGACGCTCACCATGCTATGTCCGTTCACCACCAGGAGGAAGGCTTGATTAGCATTGAGCTGTAAGCGCCTTCTAATTATCTTGATGAGCTCACTCATGTTGACGTCTCGAACGTCAGGTACAAGGAACTTCGTTTTATCCAGGACAGGAAGCTGCTTCTCACCTTGGTATCGTTCTGTTATCACCGGGCTTTTGGCTGGATGCTGCTCTTGAATAAGTCGGACATCTACTCTTTGTTGGAAGGTGCGGCGCTGCTTGAAGGTCTTCTCCGCTGGCCTGGTGCGGGGATCCAGGCGGCGGCGGCGACGGCGCGAGGGTCCCCGCGGCTCCTGGGGGCGGCGCGGGCGGTAGAAAGTATTTTTTCTTGTCATTCTGGAAGCAGTACAATGTAACAACTATTTACATAGCTTTTACGTATAACTAATGTAGAGATGATTTAAAGTATAGGGGAGGGCTGGGAGCGGTGGCTGGCGCCTGTAATCTCAGCACTTTGGAAGGCTGAGGTGGGCGGATCACTTGAGGTCAAGAGTTGGAGACCAGCTTGGCCAACATGGTGAAACCCCGTCTCTACTAAAAACACAAAAATTAGCCTGGCGTGGTGGTGCATGCCTGTAGTTCCAGCTACTCGGGAGGCTGAGGCAGGATAATCGCTTGAACTCAGAAGGTGGAGGTTGCAATGAACCGAGATCGTGCCACTGCACTCCAGCCTGGGTGACAGAGCAAGGCTCTGTCTCAGGAAAAAAAAAAAAAAAAAAAAAAAAAAAAAAAAAAAAAAGGGGGCGGGGGGAGAATGTGTATAGGTTATATACAAATACTGCATGATTTTATGTCCTGGACTTGAGCATCCTCAGGTTTTTGTAAACGGCAGCTAGTAATCAAAACCATCTGCTGCTTAACAGTCCTGGATGCTGGTACTGCCTGTGGCCATAGTGAGGAGTCACAAGCTATCTCTCTTTGCTCAGTGACAGGTCTGCAAGTCTCATTATTTCCTGGCCATCTCTATTGGATGCCCATAGACAACTCACATTTGCCTTTACTTATACCTCTCTTAAATCTGGGCCTTGTCCACTTTCTCAGTGAGTGGTGTCACTTTCCATTCAGTTGGCAGAGGCAGTCCCCACCTCCCTCAGTTGTCTATATCCAATCTATTTTGAGACAGGGTCTTGCTCTGTCACTCAGGCTGGGTGCAGTGGTGTAATCATAGTTCAAGGCAGCCTCACTCTCCTGGGCTCAGGGGATCCCTCCTGCCTCAGCCTCCTGAGTCACTGAGACCACAGTCATGTGTCACCATGCCTGGCTAATTTTTAAATTTTGTCTCTTTATGTTGCCCAAGCTGGTCTCAAACTCCTTGGCTCAAGTGATCCTCCTGCCTTGGCCTCCCAAAGTGCTGGAATTATAGGTGGTAGCCACTGTGTCCAACCCATATCCAATCTAATAGTAAATAAATCCTTTTAATTCCACTTCTCCAATGTCTCAAATCCATCCATTTTTCCGTATCCTGGAGAAGGTGCCACCTTCTATTGCCCATCTGTCCTGCTGGAGCCACAGCTGTCTTTCTAGAGAGAAATCTGACAGTGTCCTTCCTGCTCAGGCCCCACCAGTTCCTCCCCATTGCTCTTAGAACAAAACAAACCTGATTGGAGACCCTGAGTGTGATCTGAAGTCTCCTCCACGATCTGGTCCCTGCCTTCCTTTCCAGTCTTTCTGGTTTTGAGCATCTCCCCCTTGTCCCCTTCACTCGAGTCTCTCAGAGCTTTGTGTGTTCTTCCTGGTCTTTCACATGGCCTTTGGGCCTGTCTCCATGGCTGTGTAACAGATCACCTCAAAACTTAGTGGCTTGAAACATCAGAAATTTATTCTGTCACAGTTCAGGAGGCCAGAAGTCCAAAATCAAGGTGTGGGCAGGGTTGGCTCCTTTTGGAGGCTCTGAGCAAGAATCTGCTCCATGTCTCTCCTTCCACTGTCATGGGGCTTCTTCCTTGTGTCCCTGTGGCCTTGTGTCTAAGTTTCTCCTTTATCTTACAAAGACATCAGTCATTGAACTTAGGGCCCACCCTAATCCAGTATGACCTCATCTTAACTAATGACATCTGCAAAGACCCCATTGCCAAATAAGGTCACATACTGAGATTCTGGGTGAAGGTGAATTTTGGGCAAACGTTATTTGAACCACTCACTACACTGTCATGTGCCAGGAATGTGGAATCCCCTCCCCACTTTTAGCTAAAACCGCCAGAATGGATTTAGCGTTGTGGAACCTCTAGACTCCTCCCGTGTGTGCACGCACCTTGTATGCACACATAGGTGCACACTGACAAGTGCTGGCACACACATGCCCAGGGCTTCCTCTTTCTCTCCCATGGTCCCTGGTGAAATTTCCTGTAATACCTTTTCATGCCCTCCCTCCGAGGCGGGGAGGGGTACCGCTATCTACAACCAGCTGTGGAAAATACCCCGAGAAGCAGTGAAGGGAGGCAGCACTAAGGAGGAGAGGGGTGTGGGCTGAGCTAGGAAAGAGGAGGTTTTAGGAAGCTGGCCTGGGGGTTCACTTGGAAGAAAACCTGTTCTCTTCCCAAATCTTAGGATGTCTGGTGGGATAAAGCCATCCAGTCTGGCCTCTCCCTACCCGCACCGCCTGGCCTCCTCATCTTTGTATTCCCAGAGACAAACCCAGGGCCTGGGAGACTGAATCCAAACATCAATTTACCAACCAATCAATCCGTAGAGCAGCGGTCTCCAACCTTTTTGACACCAGGGACCGGTTTCATGGAAGACACTTTTTTCCACAGACTGGAAAGGGCTGGGAGTGTGAGGTGGAGAATGGTTTCAGATGGTTCAAGCTCATTACATTTATTGTGCACTTTATTTCTATTATTATTACATTGTAACGTATAATGAAATAATTATTGTAATATAAGAATAATAATTATTATTACATTGTAATATGTAATGAAATAATTACAACTCACCATAATGTAGAATCAGTGGGAGCCCTTAGCTTGTTTTCCTGCAACTAGGTGGTCTCATCTGGGGATGATGGGAGACAGTGACAGATCATCAGGCATTAGATTCTCATAAGGAACATGCAACCTAGATCCCTCCCATACGCAGTTTACAACAGGGTTCACACTCCTATGAGAATCGAATGCCACTGCTGATCTGACAGGAGGTGGAGCTCAGGCGGTCATGCTTGCCTTCGCCCCGGGGCTCACCTCCGTCTGTGCAGCCCGGTTCCTAACAGGCCACAAAGGGGTACTGGTCTGCGGCCTGGGGTGTGGAGACCCCTGCCTTAGAGCAAAAGAGTTTTGGGGTGTGGTGAGAATACCTTGCCCGGGTGAGGAAGGCTTCCTGGATTGGAATGCGGCGTCCAAACTGATACCTGACGGGCAGCGAGCACTAGGCCAGGGGAAAGGTCTCCAGGCTGCCAGACCGCTGGGCAGATGATGGCTCTTCTGTCCACGGCACCTGGTTGGATGTCAGGAGTACTGAGGAGTGTGTGTGTGTGCGTGTGAGTGTGAGTGTGTGCGTATTTTTGTGCAGAGCAAGCGTGAAAGAAGCCAACAGGAGCCATACCCATGAGTTGAAAATATCAGAAAGGGGAGCTATGACCTGCAAGACACATTGTGAGTGTGGTGTCTTGGCCATTGTCCGCTGGGACCACAGGAAGGTCAGGGATGCACTTCTGCTTGGTCCTACGGCTGGCAGTTGGGAGATGCGGGCGTGGGGAGCGGAGCCCGATGAGTGTAGTGTCTGGAGCGGACTGGGAGCAGCTCGGCCTGGGTGTCCGAGGAGCGGGCGGGCGCTGCTCCGGGCGCCCACCAGGGGGCAGTGCTGCCGGGCGAGAGCGCGGTGGGCTGAAGGGCGCGGGGCTGCGGGGCTCGGGGGTGTGGGACTAGAAGGCGCGTGGCTGTGGGACTAGGGGCTGGCGGGCGCGGGGCGCGGGGCGCAGGGCTGCGGCGGGGGCGGCCAGGGCGGCTTTTGCCTCCCACGCAGGCAGGAGAGAGTTCTTGCGTGCCTGCCTATACTCGCCGCCGGGCATGTTTCCAGGTGAGCGGACCGTGCTGACTCTGGGCTGCAGAAATGCGCCCCCAGAGGAAAGCTCTGCGCTTTGCGGGAGCTCTTTAAAGCCAAGGTTCCAGAGAATGGATTTACCCCAAAGCTGATAACGCTAACGCTTCTGCCACCCCAAGGCCGTGTTCATGCATATATCTATACGAGATTCCCTGAAAGTGTGTATGTTTCAGGCCCACTGGGCTCTGCCTCTTGGTGACTCCACTCCAGGTTTCAGTTTGGTTGGCCCCTTGACGGTCTAGATCCCTAACCCCCAGATCCACCAGAGCTACTGAGAAACTGGGGCAAGCCTCCACAGAGACAAGCGACTTGGGGTATGTGTGGGTATATGGGTGTGGATGAGAGAGTGAGCGAGCGAAGGAGTTCAGCAGTATAGATGCCAGTAGCACCTACCCTTCCAGTTGTGACAACCTAAAGTGTCCCAAACATTGTCAAATGTCATATATCTGGCGAGGAGAGCCGGGAGTTGTTCCTGGTTGAGAACCACTGATTTAGAGATTGTAGCTTTCCTTTTCCATTGCTGCTTATGGGTTAAGCCTCACGTCTTTTCCAGAGGGGTTGTATTGTGACTTGTACAGCCTCTTCCCGGAGATTTCTACCCACCAAATTGAAAGGGTCACAGGCCGACTCCGGGGGTGAAGAGCCTGGGTTCAACCGAGGAAAGGGCCAGGGGCCTCCTTTCCTCCTGTGGCCTCGGCTGCAGCCTGCGAGCTGGGGAGAAAGTAGCTGCTGGCCTGGCCGGGGGTGCTGCGCTCTGCTCCCAGTTTCTCTCTTCCAACAGTTAGAACATGAAAGCTGGAAGCGATCCTAGAGGGTGTCTAGTTCAACACCTGCCCCTTCCCTTAAAGAAGTGTTTACGATGAGAACACTGACATTCAGAGCCCTGAAGCGTGTCTTCCAGGGCTGCGTAGCTTTTATGAGGTAGAAGACCAGGCCCAGGTGTCCTGACTTCCAGCCTAGAGCTTTTACTGCTCCATGGGCAGCCTCTCTGAGTCCCCTATTAAAATGCAGTCCCCCTGGAGGGCACACACCATAAACTAGATGAGTGGCTGCCTAATAAATGACCCTGAAACTTAGTGGCTTGAAACAAAAATAAATAGTCTCTCAGTTTCTCTGGGTCAGGAATTTGGGAGCAGCTTGGCTGGGCAGTTCTGCCTCAGAGTCTCTCATAACTTTCAGTGAGATGTTGGTCAGGGCTTTTGAGTATAGACTTTGGTCAAGAATCTTCTCTTGGCCGGGCACTATGGTTCACACCTGTAATCCCAGCACTTTGGGAGGCCATGGTAGGAGGATCACTTGAGGCCAGGAATTTGAGGCTAGCCTGGGCAACTTGGTGAGACCCTGTCTCTACAAAAAGTACAAAAATAAGCCGAGTGGGGTGGCATGTGCCTGTGGTCCCAGGTACTTGGAAGACTTGGGTGGGAGGATTGCTTGAGCCCAGGAGGCCAAGGCTGTAGTGAGCCATGATGGCACCACTGCAACTTCAGCTTGGGTGACAGAGTGAGACCCTGTCTCAAAACAAAACAAAAACCCACAAAAATCTTCCACAAAAATCTTCTCTAAGCCTCAATTTTCTCATCTGTAAAATGGAGATAATAACAGAAGTTATTTCATAGGCTGTTATGAGGATTAAAAAAATAATTCTTTTGTGGCAGAGATTTTCAATTTCTTACTCTAATATCACTTCCTCTTTCTTCCTTTGTAATAGAAGCTCCAATATTTAGCTGGAAAGTTGGCTGCCTGGAATAAAAGTCTCCATTTTTCATCTTTTTTTGTTTTTCCAACCAGTTCTGTCTGAAGACATGTATAGAAGTGGTATATGGCACCTTTCAGGGAACTTTCTTTAAAAAACAGTATCTCCATTTGCTCCTTTTATTTGTTGCCCTCCTCTACTCTGCTTCCTGGAACGTGGATGTGATGGCTGGAGCTCTGGTTGCCAACTTGGGACACAAGGATGAGCATCATACCCCTGGGATGATGGAGTGATGGACAGGAAGGAGTTTGGGTTCCAGAAAGTTCTGTGCAATTGTCATACCAATCTTGCACTGCCTAGGTGATAGAGAAATAAAATTAAACTTGTTTTTTTCGGCCGGGCGCAGTGTCTCGTGCCTGTAATCCCAGCACTTTGGGAGGCCGAGGTGGGTGGATCACTGGAGGTCAGGAGTTGGAGGCCAGCCTGGCTAACATGGCAAAACCCCATCTCTACTAAAAATACAGAAATATTAGCCGGGTGTAGTAACACACGCCTTTAATCCCAGCTACTTCGGAGGCTGAGGCGGGAGAATCACTTGAACCCAGGAGGTGGAGGCTGCAGTGAGCTGCACTCCAGCCTGGGAGACAGAGCAAGCCACCATCTCAAAAAAAAAAAAAAAAAAAAATTCCCCTCTTGTGTTTTAAAAAATCGCCCTCAAACATTCTGCTATCCAAGAGAAATAAACTTTTATCTTGGCCAAACAGGTATTTTGTGCTTTCTGGTTCATGCAACTGAACTGAACATCCTATATGCTTACACTGTTAGCAAATGCCTGGTAGTCAGGAGGTGCTCAGTACCCTGGTAAACATTTTGATTTCAAAGCTGGGGTCAAACCAGCCAACCAAATCTCATAACCTGGATGTGGGGAGAGTAAAGGGGACAGCCAGGACAGTGGAGAAAGAGCTCTGGGGTCAGGAGACCTGGGTCACAGTTGCAGCTCTCCTCTCTCCACCTCAATTTAATTTTAATTTTATTTATTTATTTATTTTTGAGATAGAGTCACACTCTGTCACCCAGGTTGGAGTGCAGTGGTGCAATTATGACTCACTATAGCCTTAACCTCCCAGACTCAGGTGATATTCCAGCCTCAGCCTCCTGAATAGCTGGGACTGTAGGCATAGGCTACCACACCCAGCAATTTTTAAAATTTTTTTGTAAAAACAGGGTCTCATCGTGTTGTCCAGGTTGATCTCAAACTCCTGGGTTCAAGCCATCCTCCTGCCTCGGCTTCCCAAAGTGCTGGGATTACAGATGTAAGCCACCATGTCCAGCCTCCATTTTATTTTCTTTAATTGAAAGGGGCTAGAATAGCTCAGGAGTTTTCCAACTTTTTATGGCAGTAGGAATTGTTCTTCAAATGGAAACCAATATATAAAAAAGATTTAAGTAGAACTTTGGATCTATCTAATCCTTTTGGTTCCATCCCCCAGACTGCCTTGGGGTGATCCTCAAGGCTTTAAAAGGAGCATAATTTGAAAAACACAGAACAGACTGATTCTCCAAATTCTTTCCAGGAGCAACAGTCTATGACTTTAAGGGGCTGAGCTGAGCCGGAAAACATGGTCAGGTTTTCTAGAATGGCCATAATCTGGGGTAAGGGTGGTGTCAAGCTGCTTCGAGGTCCTGGGTTCCCATGAGGCCTCTGGCTCTAAGTGTGCTGACAAACCTGTGGCTTCATCGCACAGTGAAGAAAAGCACATTAATTCATAGTCAGGTGGCCTCAGGAGTCTTCTTTTTTGTAGATCTAGGCTATATATCACATTGCATTAGCCAGAGGTCAGTAGACATCATCAAAAACAACAGGAACATGGGAAATTTCATTTTGCTGGTGCTGCAGGATTGAAAATGTCAGCTCTCTCTGGCTACCTGGTGAAGGAATTATGCCATGGCTCAAGAGATGGGGATGAAAACCTTAGCTCATCATTTGAAAATTGTGCATTACAGACTTTGCTGTGAAATATAAGCATTGCTGTAAAATGCAAACATCTCTGTCCCATTGTCATGGTCACTGTTCATCGTTGAGGTCAATAATAGTGTAATCACTGGGTTATGTGAGGACGGGATGAGGTAATACATGAACATTCAGTGACAGGTTATTGACTGTTTCTTCTTTAAAGACCAAGAGTTGGGTTTTAGTATTTTTCTTACTAAGTTGCAAGAACTTTTGGTAAGGAAGTGAGCCTTTTGAATACAGTATTTACTGCAAAATTTTCCCAGTTTCTTGTTTTTAAATTCTGGTTGTTATTATTATTGGTATTTAACACACAGATGTTGAAAGTTTTAAGTAGTCAAAACTGTTGACCTTTTCCTTAAGAACAGCAATTATCCAGGTGTGTGCCAGCCATCCAGGCATGAATGCCTCTGAAGTCCTTTTCAAGCATTGGCTTATTGAGTCCTCATAACAAGCCGAGGTAGGTACTACCACTGTGCCCATTTTATGATCAAGGCAGTGGCCCTGGGTACATTCCCCACCTAGCACATCCCCCGATGCCACATGCCCATTGGTCACAGAGGCTGAAAGATACCAATATCCTTTAAGGAGAGGCAGCAAATGAACATGCAAACGGGGACAGGCCTTGGGGCGAGGTGGGGACACAGAATCTCAGTGCTAGCCTCTGTAAAGTTTGAAACAGCCTTGCAGGGACTTCTGGTAAGCCAAACAGGGTGTGACATTCTGAGAACCACAGATAAGTTCTTTTACTTTCTTATACCCCATGGCCAGAAAAAACAGATAAGTTCTGAGGCCTACCTAGTCTGGAAGAAAAATAGGAAAGAAGTATTAACCAGAGCATTTCTTGATTCCAGATTCTCACTGCCTCAGCCTGGAGACCAGGATGGCACCCCCAAGTCCTTTCAAAGTCACCTGCAATGGAAACTCTCTTGCTTTTAGTTTTTCCCAGGACAGTCAGCCAACCAACCACTGGGTCTGGCAGGTTGTGCTGTGGAATAGAGGCTGGAGCCCTGATTTGAGCTTGCAGAGGACTGGTCCTGCCATGTAACAGCTTTGTGAGTTTGGGCACATGAAATTGCTTTGTAAACTACAAAGGGCTGTGTGTAAAAGCCTAAGGTGCCATGAATATCAGACTGGTGACAAGTGACCACCTTCCTGATGTAGATACTGAGGAGCATTTTTTTTTCTTTTTTACCATGCTTTCATCTGCAGCATTGTTTGATGACTGCCCCAAACCCTCCAAGTCAAGTGAATACTTCTGAGCAGGCTGTAAAATCCATCATTGGGCCACTTTTCTTCTTCCAAACTGTACACAACCCACACTGAATACCTGCTTCCCTCTAGGCCTGGGCACTTCTGTTCCCTTTGCCCAGCATACCTTTGTCCCTCCCCACATTTTCAACACTTGTACTTCTATTTTTCCCTTAGGACTTCATTCGTGTATCACCTCCTCCAGGAAGCATTCCCTGATAACACCCTGGCCACATCCCTGGAGGCTGGTTTATATGCCCTTCCTCTGTTTCCATAGTGACTTCTATTTTCTACTTACCATGAGGCACATCACACTGTATCTGTCTTTACCACTGGATACGTCTTGTTTATTCTTCTATTTGCAACGTTCTAGAATCCCTGAATATTTGACAACGTATGCTTTCCCTCTACCATATGGCATGAGTGAGACCAGGGTTGGAACAATGGTGCGTGCCTGTACAGTGGTATGATTTAAGCTACTTGCTTGGCCTCTCTGTGTTTGCATAAATGGAAGATGAGACTAATGATAACTGAGACTTAATATGGTAGCTGTGAGGACTATGAGAATCCACTGAGAGCGGAGTGAACCGTGCTTGGTACAGAATAGTGGTAGGATTATGGAATTCAAAACGAGGCAGCTGTTGTTGTCATCAGTGTATGGCTGGCCTGGATCCATGATACTGATGTGACACCATTATTTATATTGTGGGTCAGATTCCTCCATTCTTGTGGGTAAGTTCCATGAGGGAAGGTCTTTGTTCAGCTTACAGCTGTATCTCTGTAGCTTAGAATAGTGCCTGGAACATAACGGGCAGTTGGTAAATGCTGGTTGAATGAGTGAATGAATGAGGTACCAAGAGACCCCATGGGATGATTAATCTTGATGGCCAGTCCAGTGTCCCCTGGCGTCCAAGACTTCTTTTATGCCTTATAATCTGGCTAGTGTGTGTCTCCAAAGAGCCTTCATTTAGCCCAAACCAGAGGTTCCCAAACATTTTTACCAACTGTCTTCTTTATCATAAGTTTGAGGAAAAAGTTATTTCTCTTGAAGAGAAAGCAAGAAGGAAGAGAACGCCCTGTTTTAACCTCCAGTGCCAAACGCAGCCTGAAACACACACGCCCACACAGCTCCTGTTCTTGGGAGAGAGGCACGGTAAAGTGGCATCTGGAAAAAAAACCCAGTTCAAGCCAAATTTGTGTCAATCCCTTCTCTGTCAGCCTGTGCTTCCAAGCACGGTATACCAAGATGACAGTTCCACCCAGCTTTCTGCTTTTTCTTCTTTCCAAAGAGAACTTTGATTAAAAAGAATCTTAAGATGCCTGGAAAGAAATTTCTAGCCTACAGACCAGCATTGTCTATGATAACTTTCTGTGATGACGAAAATGCTCTGTAATGTGTGCTGCCACTAGTTACTTGTGGCTGTTGAGCACTTCAGGCTGGTGTGCCTGAAGAGCTGAGTTTTCAATGTAATTTTAATTAATTTAATTTAGATAGCCACATATGATTAACGGCTACGGAGCTGGGTGGACGGGACAGTGATGTGTGGCTGAGCGGAGAGGGCTGCAAAGGGGGTCTCAGATAGGGGTCTGACCCTGGAAGTCTTCTCTTGGCCCTTTCTGGGGGACTGGAATCAAGAAAAGGCCAAGAGCCTCTCAGTGCTTTTTAACATAGGTGCCCCTTGATCAGCTTAGAATAAGAAATGAGGTCACATTCCTTTTAATGTTCAAACCACATGACTTATGATAAGGGCGTCATGAGCCCTGATCATGCCTCACTTTCTTCTCTCACCGAGGGGGATCTCCCTCCTGGAAAAATCTCACACACTCCCTCCCTGGGGACTTCCTTGGTCCTGGGGCGGGCAGTGTCATTACTCTCATCACCAGGAGAGAAAATCAGGAATTCTCGTTCTCGGCTGCTACTGCCGCCTTGGTCACTAGGTGTCACCAGTGGTCCTGCAGCCCACCAAAAGGAAGGCGGCCACACCAGTTGGCAGGTCTGGGGACAAACCTGGAGGCTGCGGTGGAGGGAGAAGTTGGCTTCCTGAGGGGGTGAAACTGACACTCACAACCGTACTAGATGCACCAGATCAAGTGTCGTGGTGTGGGGGAACGTGGGCGATAGGGTTCTGGGACATTTGCCGTGTGACTGTGACCCGTGTGACCCGTTTTGGTCGTCTAAGGGAATAGTTTCTGCCTACATCCTGCTGAAAGAAGTGGCTTTTGGAATGCCTGCCCTCTTTCTCAATGGACCCCAGCAGGCAGCCCCCTTATGAAAGGGAATTGTTTGATGTCAGTGCTCATCCCAGAGCCTGAGTGCTTAATATTCCCCGTGGTCACCCACTTTTGAGGGAAAGTGGCTTCAAAGCAGGAGTGGTGACAGACCTGGCTCCTGGTCCCCACACTGCTGACCACTTCTGGTGTGACTCAACCTTCCATTCCCACCCCCAACTCCCGCCCAGCACCTGTACCAGAGAGAAAATAAGACCTGCTACACATTTTGGTAACTTTTTGCTCTTGACAGTAAAATAAGATTTTACTTTCCTGACAGCTCAGAGTATAGTAGGGGCTTAAATACTTGCTAGCTGACTGAATACTAGTTAGAGGGTTATTAATGTAGGTAGGGGAGAACTGCACTTTCTTTCCAAGTGAGATTCAATAATACGTATCTTGCCCCCAACTTCCTGGAGTCGGAAAGAGTATGGTTTCATTATAGCCTGGCCTCCAATCAGCTGTGTAATTGGGTATGTCACTTAATCCTTCTGAGCCTCAGTCTCCTCATATACAAAATTAGGGCGAAATCTAACTTTCAGATGGGGTGATGGTTAGTTTTATGTGTCAAATTGGCTGGATGATGGGGTTTCCAGATATTTGGTCAAACATTATTCTGATGTTTCTGTGAGGTAAGAGCATTTCTGGATGAGATTAAGGTTTAAATTAGTTAATATATATATTTTTTGAGATGGAGTTTCACTGTTTTTGCCCAGGCTGGAGTGCAATGGCATGATCTCGGCTCACTGCAATCTCTGCCTCCCAGGTTCCAGCCATTCTCATCCCCCTGAGTAGCTGGGATTATAGGCGCCTGCCATCATGCCCAGCCAATTTTTGTATTTTTAGTAGAGACAGGGTTTCACCATGTTGGCCAGGCTGGTCTTGAACTCCTGACCTCAGGTGATCCACCTGCCTCAGCCTCCGAAAGTGCTGGGGATATAGGGGTTAGCCACTGTACCTGGCCATGGATTTTTTTTTTTTTTTGAGACAGGGTCTCAATCTATTGCCCAGGCTGGAGTGCAATATGGTGATCATAGCTTGCTGCAGCCTTGAACTCCTGGGCTCAAGCAATCCTCCCACCTCGGCCTCCCAAGTAGTGGAGATTACAGGTGCATGCCACCGTGCCTGGCTAACTTTTTTATTTTGTTTTTTTTTTAGAGTTGGGGTCTTGCTATGTTTCCCAGGCTGGTCTTGAGCTCCTGACCCCAAGTGATCCTCCTGCCTTGACCTCCCAAAGTGCTGGGATTACAGGTGTGGGCTACCATGCCCAAATTGGTAGACTTTAAGTAAAGTAGGCTCCCTCCATAATGTGGGTAGGTCTCATCCAATCAGTGGAAGGCCAAAATAGAACAAAAGAAACTTTCTCCTACTTCTCTAGCAGATGGCTTCAGACTACATCTGCAACATCACCTCTTCCTGGTTCTACAGCAGATGGCCTTCAGGCTCAAACTGGAATATCAGTGACTGGCTGGGTCTCCAGTCTACTGGCCTTGACTGGAACTGCAGCATAGACTCTTCTGGGTCTCTAGGCTGCCAGCCCACTCCACAGATTTTGGACTTGCCCATTCTCCATAATTGTGTGAGCCAATTCCTTCTAATGAATCTCATCTATTCTTTTCTTTTCTTTTCTTTTCTTTTCTTTTCTTTTCTTTTCTTTTCTTTTCTTTTCTTTTCTTTTCTTTTCTTTTCTTTTCTTTTCTTTTCTTTTCTTTCTTTCCTCCCTCCCTTCCTTCCTCCCTTTCTCCCTTCCTCCCTTCCCTTCCTGTCTGTTTTGCTCTTGTTGCCCAGGCTGGAGTGCAATGGCATGATCTCATCTCACTGCAACCTCTGCCTCCTGGGTTCAAGTGATTCTCCTGCCTCAGCCTCCTGAGTAGCTGGGATTACGGGTGCTCACCACCATGCCCAGCCAATTTTTTTTTGTATTTTTGGTAGAGACAGGGCTTCACCATGTTTGCCAGGCTGGTCTTGAACTCCTGACCTCAGGTGATCCACCTGCCTTGGCCTCCCAAAGAGCTGCGATGACAGGCATGAGCCACTGTGCCCGGCCAGTAAATCTCTTTCTATATAGTCTCACGTTCTGTTGGTTCTGTTTCTCTGGAAAACCCTAATGCCGATGGCTATGGGGATTAACTAAAATTATAGTGTAAAAGCATCTGGTACAGTATCCAACCAGTACCAAAGTATCTAGTAGATGCCCAATAAGAGCTACTTTGCAACCCAGCTTCCCAGTTTTCTTGGTCAATTATTAAATAGATTCCTCAGGACAGGAAGAATACTTCCCCTAGACCTGGAAATCCGTCGGCTAGTCTGCCAATGTTTGTCACTTTCAGTGGACCGCCGGGCTCTGTCCCATTTTGTGATGCAAACATTTCCCAGGGTGCCTCTCTCCCTCACCTGGCTCTAGTCTCCTAGGTCTCAGAACAAGAAGGCATGTGCCTTTCTTTGTTCCCTGTTCACTAATTGCTTCTGGGTGGGTAAGAGTGGGAAGAAGAAGATAATTCCCTCCTCCTCCTCCTTATCAATAGTCTCCATTAAGCCACACATAGATGTGGTATCTGAAAGGTGAGAGGGTGGGTTCATTATGCTTCTTCAGACACATAAGACCTCTTTTCAACTGAGTGCTTCTTACCAATTGATGGCAATCAGTAGAATTATTTTTAGCATATCTGAAACCTTTCTTTCTCCTAGTACACTTTTTTTTTTTTTAACAGAAATGCATTGTCTTGAAGTTCTGGAGGACAGAAGTTCAAGATCAAGGTGTCAGCAGGCTTGGTTCCTTCTGAGGGCTGTGAGGAAGAATCTGTTCTATGCCTCCTTCCTGACAGCAGGTGGTTTCCTGGCAATCATTGGTGTTCCTTGGGCCATAGAAACATTACCCTGATCTCTGCCTTTATTTTCATATGGTGTTCTTCTTGGGTGCGTATCTGTATCCAAATTTCCCCCTTTTGAAAGGACACCAGTCATATTGGATTAGGGGTTCATCCTATTGTGGTATGACCACAGGTTAACTAATTACATCTGTAATGATCCTATTTCCAAATAAAGTCACATTCTGAAGTACAGGGGGTTAGGACGTAGCATATAAGTTGTAAGGAACCCAATGCAACCCCTAACAGGTGCTATTTTAGAATTCTCTTCAAGTGGTTAGTTCTTGAATCTTTCTGACATAATCCTAGTTATCTTCAGTAGCTTTATTGTTATTAGGTAAAACAATGGGTTCCAGGCTCATCTTGCACATTTCTGTTCCAGGCTCTTCTTGCCCAGACCTGGACTCAGCCATTCCTCCAAGAAGCCCTGTTTGTGTTTATTTTTATAGTTTGGTGAGAAATTGTATTTCAAGACCATAATCTGGGCTCTAGGGTTGCTCACTGCTACCAGGTTGGCTCTTGTTTCTAGCTCTTTTCAGTGGACAGGTTTGAAAGTCATGTGAGGGGCTAAGAGTTTCTCTCTGTAAATGGTTCTTAATACACAAAGTTCGTTAGCCCTTGCTGACCTTAAAAATTTCCCAGAATTGGCGGGGCATGATGGCTGATGCCTGTAATCCCAGCACTTTGGGAGGCTGAGATGAGTGGATCACCTGAGGTCAGGAGGTCGAGACCAGGCTGGCCAATATGGCGAAACACCCTCTCTACTAAAAATCCCAAAAATTAGCCGGGTATGGTGGTGGGTGCCTGTAATCCCAGCTATTTAGGAGGCTGAGGCAGGAGGATCACTTGAATCTGGGA
This sequence comes from Homo sapiens, assembly GCF_000001405.40. Classification (NCBI taxonomy): domain Eukaryota; kingdom Metazoa; phylum Chordata; class Mammalia; order Primates; family Hominidae; genus Homo; species Homo sapiens. Next base: position 19,476,048 of record NC_000009.12, read on the forward strand.
GGGGGAGGTTGCAGTGAGCTGAGATTGCACCACTGTACTCCAGCCTGAGTGACAGAGCGAGACCCTGTCTAAAAAGTAAAAAATAAAAAATAAAAAATAGTTTCCCAGAATTGTTCTCCACAGGAAAGGGTGTCAGCTTTGCTGTCTGAGCCAAACTCTGGTTGAGTTGACAATGTTCTACTGACCTAAATCCTCCCATTGAAGCTTTCGTTACAAATAGCACAATTTCTTCACCTCTGCTCCCCGTGGCCACATGGCTGCCACACAGGGCTCAAGTAGAGGCTGTCTCCCATTTTCAGGGGGTGAAGTTGTCCCTGGTGACAGCTCGAATGCCCCCGAGTCTGTTTATCACCTGTTCATGTACCCCTGGCCCACTGTGTGCTGCCTACTCTGGCCCTGCCACGCTGTTCCCCCTCCCCTTCAGTGCTCCCCCAGCTCCTCTCCAGTTCCCACAGCCTGCAAGAGCCACAGTCCATCTCAGTCTTCTTGGATTACTTAGGCCTTCATGTGTCTCAGTTCCCAAATCTGTGAAATGGAAGGAATCGTACCCACCTCATCAAGCTGGAAACTTAAATGAGTAACTACCTAGTATAAGGCTTAGCCCAGACAGGCCTCATCAATTTTAGCTTTTATTTTTTATTTTATTTTATTTTTTTTTGAGGTAGAGTCTTGCTCTGTCACCCAGGCTGGAGTGCAGTGGCGTGATCTCAGCTCACTGCAACTTCTGCCTCCCGGGTTCCAGCGATTCTCCTGCCTCAGCCTCCCAAGTAGCTGGAACTGTAGGTGTGTGCCACCACGTCCAGGTAATTTTTTATTATTAGTAGAGATGGGGTTTTACCGTGTTGGCTAGGCTGGTCTCGATCTCCCGACCTCAGGTGATCCACCTGCTTCAGCCTCCCGAAGTGCTGGGATTACAGGCATGAGCCGCCGCGCTTGTAATTACATGCGTGAGCCACCGCGCCTGGCCTGAGTTTTTATTTTTACTCTAGCCCAATAGTGCTCCATTCTAGCTGCATATTAGAAATACCTGGGGAGGTTTTCAAAGAAAATAGTGATGCTTAGTCCCTACCCTAGGAGATTCTGACTGAATTGGCTGGGCACTTCTTCCTTCATTCCTAAGTGACAGTGGTGCAAGGCGGTCGTGAGCGTGAGCACTCCCCTCAATGTTTGGGAGTGGTGAAGGGTGGTTAGGGTTTACCCCAGAATATTAGACATCTCTTTTCCCCACTACGGGAATTCCTCACAGTCCATCTTTCCCCTTAGGTGAGACCCTTCTCCGCGCTTTCCTTTGTTCTTGTTCCAAGTTCTGTTGGCCACTCTCAGTTGGCAGACAAATTACTATCACGTTCTCATTCAGAGATAGTTTATTTGCTTGCAGTGTTTTCCTTCCCCACCATTTCCAGGGCATCTCCACCTTTCATACAGAAAATGGCCCATCGAAGTATTTTCCTAAACTAAAGAGAAGTCTTCTTCTTGTCTCTGATGATTTTTTTTTTTTTTTTTTTGAGATGGAGTCTCACTCTTGTTGCCCAGGCTGGAGTGCAATGGCAGGATCTTGGCTCACCATAAGCTCTGCCTCCTGGGTGCAAGCGATTCTCCTGCCTCAGCCTCCTGAGTAGCTGGGATTACAGGCATGTGCCACCACGCCAGGCTAATTTTGTATTTTTAGTAGAGATGGGGTTTCTCCATGATGGTCAGGCTGGTCTCAAACTCCTGACCTCAGGTGATCCGCCCGCCTCGGCCTCCCACAGTGCTGGGATTACAAGCGTCAGCCACCGTGCCCGGCCTCTGAAGATGTTTTATGACAATAACCACAGTCCTTTTTTTGTATGCTTTTAATTTTAGAAATTAACGTAATTTATATAGGTGCAGACAATTCACAATTACAAAGATATCAAACCAACCTAAGTGCCCATCAACTGAGGAGTGGGTAAAGAAAATGTGGTATATATACACCATGGAATACTACTCAGCCATTAAAAGAACAATATAATGTCTTTTGCAGCAACATGAATGGAGCTGGAAGCCATTACTCTAAGTGAAATAACTCAGGAATGGAAAAACCAAATACCATATGTTCTCACTTACAAGGGGGAGCTAAGCTATGTGGACACAAGGGCAAACAGAGTGTTATATTGGACACTGGAGACTCAGGGGAAGGAACCGGGAGAGGGCTGTGGGTTAAAAAGTACATACTGGGTACAACGTACACTACTCGGGTGAGGAGTGCTGAAGTCTCAGGTTTCAGTGCACCAGTCACTTGAGGAGTGTACGTTGTACCCAACATGTAGATGAATTCTACACAATTCATCATGTAACAAAAAAACATTAGTACCCTGGTATTCCTAAAGTATAGAAAAAAAGGATAAAATAAATAAATAAATAAATAAATAAATGGGTGCAGAATTATAAACCATATGAATGTACCTTAATTTTAAAATTTCCTTTTGCTGAACATTTAACATTTCTAATTTTTTGATATTATAATTACTGTAATAATGAACACCTCTATGTACACATTTGTACTCACATATCTGATTTTTTTCCAGTGTGTTGAATCGTGGAAGTTAACTTTCTGGATTAAAGATTATGTGTATTGTTACGGCTTTTGAAATATATTGTTGCCAAATTGCCCTCCAGAAAAGTTGTACTGATTTACAGTTTTATCCTCTGTCATGGTATATCTTTCTTTGTGTATTTTTTCAACATTTTGCACATTTTTACAAATTGTAAAATATATCACACATACAAAAGTTTATGTGACATATACATACATTTTAAAAGACTAAACAAAAATAAAAAACCACTGTGTTCTCATATCTCAGCTGTAATGAACTAAAACATTACCAATATCTTTGAACCTGTCCAAGGGGTGACTGCCTCCTTCTGGTTTGTCCAGAACTGTCCTGGTTTTAGCACTGAACGTCGCAGGTCCTAGTTAACCATTTAGTCTCAGCCTGGACAGCTGATCACCGTACCCCTATGTGCTTCTCTCCAAATCTACCTCCTCCCTCCTCCAAGGGTATCCTGTATGGACTTCTAAATAATGTACTCTGAGGTTTTTACTACATAAATGGAATCACATGATATGTTCCTTTTGTGAGTTGCTTCCAGCCAGCATTGTTTTTGAGCTTCATCCTATTGATATCTATAGCCGCAGTTCATATAGTTTTTCTGCTGACTGCCATCCATTTGATGAATACATCACCGTTTCTCCATCTTCTGTCAATAAACATTGCAGCTTTTGTTGCTGTGAGCTGCACAGCTCTGAACAGTCTTATCTGTCTCCTGGAGCAAAGGTCCAAGAGTTTCTCTAGGTTATTTTCCTAAGTGTTAAATTGCTAGAGGACTTACATAACCTCATCAGAAGTGCCAAATTGTTTTCTAAAGAAGTTGTGCCTATTTCCATCCACTAGCAATGCATGAAAATAGCTGTTTTCCACACCCTCATGAAGCAGTGTCTGACTTTGAAACTTTAGCCATTGTGGTTGCTATGAAATGGTATTTCATTGTGGGTTTAATTTACATCTTACTGATTACCAGTGAGATTGAACCTCTTTTCAGAGGTCGATTGGCAATTTCTGTTTCCTCTTCTGTGAAAGGCCTGCCTGCATTGTTTGCTCATTTTTCTATTGGGCCAGTTGTCTTTTTCTTACAGATTTGTGGGCCCACTATTTTTTGTTTTTATCAAGGTAAAATCAGGTTAAATTGGCTTTCAGAATCAGTCTGAAGGGATGAAAATCCAAAGGACTACACCTATTTAAGGGATGGACATATCAAAAGACAGAATGAAAATGCTTGTTACACAGTCCCTTCAGTCTTCTTTATCTGCAGATGGCTAATATTTTATGCTTTAAGAAATAAAACCAACTAACATTATCTTCTGCTCCAGTGGTTCTCAGCAGCATCCACATCATCTGTAGACTCATTAAAATGAAAATTACTTGGCCCCACCAACAGCCTACTGAATTGGGAACTCTGAAAAGAAGACCCTGCAATCTGCTTCAACATCCCTGCAGTGATTTGGATGCATGCCAAGTTTGGGAGCCACTGTTCTACATTGTCTCCTTGTCCCACCTGGTGGATGGAGAACTGACCATGACCTACCATTCTACAGGTCATCATCATCCTTCCACCTACAAATAGACATTAGAAAGTGTTTTTTAAGAAAAGGACAGATATTTGGGGCCCCAAGAATGGGATTTTTGGTGGCCCAGCTCAGATTGCAGGGTATTCAGTTTATGGACTACTTATCCTGTCAACACTCTAATGTCAAAACTTGGACCTAACCAGACCATTCTCTCTGCCCGAAGGAGGCATTAAAAAGAAAAAGGCAAAAAGATGGGACGTCCTGCCTGCGTGGGGAGATGTTTTCAGGGATGATGTCCATGTTGTTTTCTTCGGGTGTGTGGGTTGAGATAATTTCTCTGCTTTTGGTCCAGGAGAGCGTTCCTTGTCCTCTCCCACTCTGGCGAGGCTGGGGCAGCTTCCTCTGAGGCTGTTCCCCAGTCAGGCACCACTGAGCCGGTGCCAGTAATGAGCAGTGACCAGAAGTCTGCTATTTGCTCCAGGGCCTGTGTCTTCAGCACTTAGGTTGCCCTTCTCTGGATTCCTTCTCTTTGAAACCACCCAGGATAGCTGCATCTCAGGTGACTCTCATGGCTCACTGAGGGGCAGAGTCAGCCACAATCTTTATTTTGTTTTATTATTATTTTTTTGAGACAAGATCTTGCTCTGTCACTCAGGCTAGAGTGCAGTGGTTTGATCATGGTTCACGTGGCCTTGAACTCCTGGGCTCAAGCAATCCTCCTGCCTTAGCCTCCCCAGTAGCTGGGACTATAGGAGTGTGCCACCACACCAGGCCAATTACTTTTATGTTTTTACATTTTTTGGTAGAGACAGGGTCTCACTCTGTCACCCAGGCTGGAGTGCAGTGGCATAATCAAACCTCACTGCAGCTTCAAACTCTTGGGCTCAAGACATCCTCCCACCTCCGCCTCCCAACTGGCTGGGACTACAGTTACATAGCACCATGCCTGGCTATTTTTTTTTTTTTTTTTTTTTAGAGACGAGCATCTCGCTATGTTGCCCAGGCTGGTCTTGAACTCCTGCGCTCAAGTGATCCTCCTGCTTTACCCTCCCAAAATTCTGGGATTACAGGTATGAGCCACTGCGCCCAGCCCACACTGTATTTTAAAGAGTCTTGATTGTGCCTGGTTAGCATCACTTCTAATACAGCTACATGAGTCTGTCTGGCTGCCAAGCTGAGAAACTCCTTGGATTTGCAGGAAAGTGACTTCAAGCATGCTGGCTGATGAGGAGGTCTTCCTCATCTGTGCACATGGAGGTGGGGTGGAGGGATTGAGTGGTGCTTATGGAGATGTGAAAGTCAGGAACTGCTTTGACACCTATTCTCAGCACTTTCTGGAGTCTCTTTTGAAACTTAAAATGACCCCTTTCTCTTAACTGTTTCCTGCACACACAGCAGCTCTCAACCTCAGCAGCCTTTCGTGTACCTCCCCCATGTCTCCAACTAGTTGGACCAGGAATTTACCCTGACCCAAGTTAGGCCTCTCGGCAACCCTGCCCCAGGAGTCTGGACTGAGACAGCTGGCCTGGGTCAGCGTGGCAGCCTGCGTCAGTGGCCGTGTTTCTTGTCCTGTGGACTGGAGCAGTGGAGGGTATGTGGGATCTGTAGAGTGAGAAAAAACGAACAGCTGTCGGAGGAGCAGGGAGTCTTGACAACTTTCCAGTTCCTTCCTGAAGTCCAGCTCTATAATTATATTTTGGGTCCTGTGTGGAGAGATACTCCTGCACCATTTGAATACATTTCTGAAGATGCTAGATCAAACTGTATTCTGTTACTTAAAACCAAAAGAGGCCTAATGCACACAGGAGTAATCTCTAAGAAAAACTGTTGGGTAGAGTTAGATCTTATGAAGCGCTGGAACTGCACAGCGGCTTCCCCAGCACACCCCCTTTCTCCCCTGGAGGCTGCATCCACTGTGCTGAGTGGCCACGCCGTTTAATGCTGTGCCCATCAGCAGAGGGACCCAGCTACCACTCGATTTAGTAATGCATTTCCTTTCCTTACCACAGTAGCCCAACACATTTGAGGAAAAAGAATCATGAAAATTTTGTCTTTTCCACTCCCCCGAACCCCCGCCTTTGAAATCACCACCACAGCTGCTAACAGAAGCGTCTTTATGTAGAATGTGTTTTGCCCTTTTGGAGAAGACAAAGAATTATTAAAAGAGCAGACAGCTGCTTGTACTGGCAAGAGAATGAGAAGAGCTTGTCAGCACTCACTCTTCTACCCTTCCTCAGCTGAATCACCACCGTCTTCCTCTTTACCTCATTTTGCTCTCTCTTTGCCTGGTCCAGGAGCATAGAGGCCATCACCCTACCCTTTTGCCTCCAACTCTGGGAAAACAGAACAGTCTAATCTCTCTTTCTCTGGTTAAACCTGCATAAGTCTCAACTCTAATACTTTAAGCAAGTCTGACAGTTGATAAACTTCACCTTGACTCATAATCATCCTGTCAATCTCTCTCTTTAACAAACATACAGATCACTCAATGTTCCAAGATTCATGTAAAAAGAAGTCTTTTGTTTTAATCACTGAGAACTTCCGGAGAAAAGAAGAAAGGTGAGTATGAAAGTTTCTGGTTATTTTCCTGTATCTCTGGGAAAATCCATGGCAGCTTTGTATGCTGAATTTGCTAGTTACTAAATTGTGTGATTTTTTTTTTTGAGACAGGGTCTTGCTTTGTCACCCAGGCTGGAGTGCAATGGTACGATCGTGGCTCACGGCAGCCTCAACATCTCAAGCTTAAGTGATCCTCCTGCCTCAGCCTCCCAAAGTGCTGGGATTATAGGCATGAGCCACCACACCCAGCCTGAAGTATGTGATCTTGGGCAAGTTATTTAATGTTTTTTAAGATTCCCTTTCTTCACTTGCAAACTGGGATAAAGATAATGTCTATCTCATGGGAATGTTGTGAAGATTAAATGAGATAGGACAATGGGTCTCAAACTTGGCTGTACATTAGAATCACCATAGGAGTCTCGAAAGTCCAACTGCCAGGGAGCACCCAGACCAGTTAAAGCAAAATTTCTGGGTGTGGGAGCCAGCCATTAATATTTTTGAAATCTCTGTAGATAGTTCCAATGTTCAGCTATATATGAGAGACAGTGAGATGATACTAATAATAAGCACTCAATGAGTAATTGCAGCTTTTATTAATATAATTAAAAATTGAGTGAGAGTTTCCCAAATTTAATAGACTGCTGAAATTGAGGGCTTACAGGGACCCAGATTCATTTTTTCTTAAATTCATCTATCCAACAATGACTGAGCATTTACTATGTGCTAGGATCTGTGCCAGACTCCCCCTCTCCAGTTGATAGTAAAAATATCATATTGCCTTCAAGATGAAACTCAGGTTCTTTAGGATGACCTGTCCTCCCCATCCCTTCACACCCTATTGGCTGTCAGTGCTATGGCCCACATGCTGGTAAGTTCCAGCCGCTCTAAACTACAGGGTCATTTCAGGCCCTCCTGTCCCTGTGCCTGTCCTCATGCTCTTCCCTGTGTGTAAGATGTCCTTCCAACACATCTCCCCTGCCTTTCCACCTGGCCTCTCTCATAGGATAGAATTCCTGATATGGAACCTGAAGAAAAGATGGGTGCCACTATGATTTGAATGTATCCCCCAAGTTTCATGTGTTGGAAACTTAATTTCCAAAGTCATATGTCAATGGCATTTGGAGATGGGGCGTTTGGGGGGTAATTAGGGTTAGAGAAGGTCATCAGGGTGGGACTCCCATGATGGGACTGTTGGCTTTATAAGAAGATGAAGAGAGACCTGAGCTGGCACCTTCTTGCCCTCTCGCCATGTGATGGCCTCTGCCACATTATAATGCAGTAAGAAGACCTTCACCAGATGCAGCCCCTTGACCTTGGACTTCCCAGCCTCCAGAACTGTAAGAAATACATTTCTTTTCTTTATAAATTACCCAGTCTGTGGTATTTTGTTCTAGCAACAGAAAATGAACTAAGACAGATGCCCAGCACTGCCTGGCAGTCTCCACCCATCCTCTCAGATGAATGAGCTGGCCACTGTCCTATCAGTCTCAAGATTCTTTGAGCATCCTGCAGTGGGTGCATGATTAGTTCTCAGGGTCTTCTTTCTGTAGAAGGGCTGGGCAACTCTCTCTTTCTGTTTTCTGTCAGGCCTCACTCTGGTGGAAGACTGCTCATGCTCAGGCAGGCTTCCTTTCCTTTATCTTGCTTACCAGGCTCTAGTGTTCCAGGATCCTGTGGAGCTATTCCCCAGGGCCCCTCAAAGGGAGAGAACCCTTCCTCTTGAACCATTCACAGGAGCAGGGCAGCTCAGAGCCATTACTTGGAACAGCCGGAGAAGCTGGAGGCTGGATCTCCTGTGGCCACCACATGAAATCCCATGAGGTTGGCAGCCTTGGGGGAATAACATGACTTTATGACCATGGATAATCCCTGAAGACTGTTCTGCTATCTCCAGAGGAGAAAGACCTCCAACAGCTCTGCACTGCAGCCACCTAATGGGTGAGGGGCTGTGATGGCTGCCACAGCTGTGGCAAATTCTGCTGAAGTAAAGACTTCCATTAGGAATCTTCTCACCCCTTCCTGGCTTTGAGCTGACCTCCAGAGTGGCCCTGCTGAGAAAGTTCTAGTCCTTTCTCTCCATCTCCAGCTCTGTCAGGAGGTGCCCCCAGTGTATAGATTTGCATGTCCTCTTACTGAACCTTCAGAGCTCTTTCTGTAGGGGCTGGCTAGGAAGATCTTACTCAATGTTCCCAGTACACACCCACAATTCCACCCACCCGTAATTCTGGCACTTCCAACCCCAGGCCTGTGCCACTGGGTGAAGTCATCAACTTTTCAGGCAGGCACAGGGTGATGCCTTCCTTCTGGCTTGGTGAGGGCATCCATCCTTCAAGATTCATATTCTATCATTGGCATTGGGGAAGGGGAAAGGAACTACTATTTGAATTGTTACATGTTATCTCACTTAAACTTTTGAAAAAAAATGTAGTGGATAATTAGCCCCGTCTTTCAAAAAAGGAAAGAGATGCTTCCCAAGATGACATGGTTGGAAGACCAGTTAGATCTTGCTGTGTTGCAAACAGTCCCCAAATTAGTGGCTTAAAACAACAACCAGTTATTTAGCTCACAGTTTTAGAGATTGTCTGGCTGTCAGCTGGATTGTTAGGAGTAGGGCACAACTGGCCACATGATTGCTCTCATGCTCCTACAGGCTAGCCTGGGCTTGTTCACATGGCAGATTGGTAGGATTCCAAGAGGAAGAGTGGACAGGTGCAAGGCCTCCTGATGCCTAGGCTTGGAACTGGCACTGCACCACGTCTACCATAATCTGTTGGCCAAAGCAAGTCATGAGGCCTGCCCAGATGCAAGGGTAGGTGAAATAGACTCCACCACTAGATGGAAAGACCTGCAAAGTCATATTGCAAAGGGGAGCACGGAGAGATAGGGGTGAGAATTGGGTCTACTTTTGCAATCAACCACAGTTGTTAAGTGGCAGAAGTAGGATTTTATTTTTCAATGATGAAAATAGCATATACACATGAGAAAAATTCAAATGGTACACAAAAGGGAAAATGAGGATGAGAAAGTCTCATTTTTACTCTTGGGATAGGAAAACACATTCTAAGTCCTACTCTCCACATGTAAACACCATTAAGGGTTTTGTGTGTATTTTGATACAATTATTTTGTACATATACATAAATGGGGGTCCAATATATCCACGATGCTATAGCTCACTATTTTCACTTAACAATATAGCTAAGAGCTCTTTCCATAGCAGCACAAACAGAATTACTCCATTCCTTTAAATATCTATATAGCAGTCGACTGAATAAAGGTACCATGTTTTATGCAACTACTTTCCCTACTGGTGGACACATAGGTTGTTTCCAGTTTTTGTTGTGACAAACAATGCCAGAGTGAACAACCTCTAATGTTCTCTGTATACTTGTAGATTAGATTACTAGAAGTGGAATTTCTAGGTCCAACATCATATTCAATCCTTGATCTGATCCGTTCTCAGAGCGTATGCTCTTTCCAAGAGGGGTCTCTGGTTAACAAGTGTTTGTCTAGCTTTTTCTTCTTATTTATTTATTTTTTTTCAGACAGAGTCTTGCTCTTGTCACCCAGGCTGGAGTGCAGTGGCACGATCTCAGCTCACTGCAACCTCCGCCTCCTGGGTTCAAGCGATTCTACTGCCTCAGCACCCCAAGTAGCTGGGATTACAGGTATCCGCCACCACACCTGGCTAATTTTTTAATTTTTAGTAGAGACGGGGTTTCACCATGTTGGCCAGGCTGATCTTGAACTCCTGACCTCAGGTGATCCACCCGCCTCGGCCTCCCAAAGCGCTGGGATTACAGGTGTGAGCCACCGTGCCCGGCCAAAAAAATTTTTTTTTTCGAGATGGCTATGTTTCCCAGGCTAGTCTTGAACTTCCAAGATCAAGCAATCCTCCTGCCTCAGCCTCCCAAGTAGCTGATATTACAGATGCAAGCCACTGTGCCTGGCTCCTGGAAGCTACGTTAGAAAATTCAACATAGCCATGGACCACTGTGCCTATATGCACACATGTGACACATGCGTATGATCTCTCCAGACCTCTTCCTTCTTGGGCAGGTTTGGGAGTCTAGAGCCATGCATTATTAAACCCTTCCAAGAAGATCCAGATTAGTTGTCTTTTCTACTTCTTGCTTTATGAATATTTTTTTGAGATACGTACTACTTTATTACGGGCCAATGAGAAAAGAATCCTAGTAACAAATATTAACATACAGACGATGGGTTGCATCCAAGTGAAGCCCTAATGTATAAATGAGCAAGGATTTCATAAGCTGTGCAAATAGAGATAAGCATAGGAGAATTAAATGAATCATCACACAGCAAATAATAGTATAGGCCTATTGTCACATTGAGGAATTCTATTACATGAATTCCATCTTTGTACACAGCAACTTTAACAGTTCATGAACATTAAGTACAGTAGCAAATATGCAGTGAAGAAATTTCTTACAACTGTATTATTATTATTTTTTTTGTCCAGGCATGGTAGCTCATGCCTGTAATCCCAGCATTTTGGGAGGCCTAGGCGGAAGGATTCCTTGAGCCCAGGAGTTTCAGACCAGCCTGGGCGACATAGGGAGACCCCATCTCTATAAAAAAAGAATTAGCCAGGCTTGGTCGTGCATGCCTGTGGTTCCAGCTACTTGGTGGGCTGAGGTGGGAGAATCGGTTGAGTCTGAGACGTCAGCTGCGATGAGCCATGATCATGCCACTGCACTCCAGCCTAGGTGACAGACCCTGTCTCAGAAACAACAACAAAAACATATTTTTAAATCTTTAATATTATTTTTGCAGTTCTTCATGGATCTGATGCCTACATGCTATCTGCCTGGGTGCCACTGGAGCTCTGAATTTTACATACCAGGTTATGTATGGACTTAGCTCTATTATGAACAGCAGGTTGGTGACATCAGAATCTGGAGGTGGCATGCAAGCACACCCAGATACCTCACTCTGTTTCTCACAGCCCTCACTTATGTCCCTGAGTAGATGAAGCCAATAATTCTGCAGAAGGGAACAAACAGCAGGAGGCCCATTTCTGTGATATGAGGATCCTGCACTTAGGGCTGTTCAGCGGATAGGTTACAAGGGTAGAGTTCCAGATAATGCAGTTTCATAAAAGTAATTACTTAATGGTTTGAGTTCTTTATAGAAGTATAGGCATGTGCCTCAGACTTCAAAGCAGGAAGTACCCAGTCTCCCATCTGTTTCTTAATAACGCAGATACTGCTGTTGTGAAAAAGGCAGAGTTCTGGAATATTCCCACTGTTATAGCTCAAGGAAAAATGTATTTTCCTATGGTACACTGAAGAAGGATGAACTCAAAGGCTAATCATTGACTAGTCACATTAAAGTGTTCATTTCTTCTTAGTGCCCCTTTCAGACAGAAGTGCCTTGGATGAAAGTTAAGAGACCTGGGGCCTGATTCTTCAGCCCGAGCCAGTGAGCAGGACACAGAGAAGCACTTGTGCCCTCATCAGAAGAGTTTCATGCTGAATGAGCTCCGAGGAGTGCTAGAGGAATTACCCTGTGATTGCCCACCAGCTTCCCCTTGTTCTGGGATCTGAGAGGAGGCAAGATAAGCCTCCCTGTAAAATCCTCACACCTGCTTAGAGTCTGCCCCATGCTGGCTATGCTGCCACTTTGCCCATCTTTCCCCCACACTAGACAACATTAATCCATGATGATAGCTATTCCAGCAGAGCCAGAATCTGGTTTCAGAGTCTTTTTCAAGATAGCTCTGTAGGCAGCCACTTTGGATCATCCAGTCAGCATGAGAGAGGAGACTTGTTTGCAGTCCTGCTTCTGAGTGAATTTGTCTAAAAGCAATTCTAAAATCAATGTCCAGAGAATAGGGTTAAGAGGACATTGGGGAGGGGAAGGGCAGAGTCAGGGCTACTGGAGAACATAGCTATTACTTAGGTGGGGCTGCCCCATGGCAGCCCAGGTATAATATGCCAGCCTTCAGATAGGCCTGGTGATCTCTTCCCATTGTATTTCCCCACTGTGTGTGTGTGTGTGTGTGTGTGTGTGTGTGTGTGACTGTGTATCCAAGACCCAAGATAACTGGCTGGAGCTGTGGGTTCAGCCTGCAACCATGGAGCAAGAGGGATCCCCCTGATGGAGATCAAACTGATGTCCTTGATTGCCCTAGTGTGGTTTTCAACCAGCTAAGCTAGCTTGTGACCAGCAGAGAAAAATAAGGGCTCATTGTTCAAAGTGTGGTCCGTGGCCAGCTTGTTGGCCTCCCTTGGGAATGTGTTAGAAATGCAGAATTTCAAGCCTCATTCCAGAGCTACTGAAACAGTGATTTAGAGGCCAGGTGCGGTGGCTCACACCTGTAATTCCAGCACTTTGGGAGGCTGAGGTAGGAGGATTGCTTGAGGGCAGGAAAATGAGACCAGCCTGGGCAACATTTCAAGATCCCATCTCTTAAAAAAAAATAGCCAGGCATGGTGGTTGATATGGTTAGGCTTTATGTCCCCACCTAAATCTCATCTTGAATTATAATCCCCATAATCCCCACATGTCAAGGGAGAGAGCAGGTGGAGGTAATTGAATCATGAAGGCAGTTTCCCCCATGCTGTTCTCGTGCTAGTGAGTGAGTGCTCACAAGATCTGATGGTTTTATAAGGGGCTCTTCCCCCTTTGCTTGGCGTTTCTCCTTCCTGCCACCTTGTGAAGGTGGGTGCTTTGCTTTCCTCTTTGCCTTCCACCACGATTGTAAGTTTCCTGAGGCCTTCCCAGCCACGCTGAACAGTGAGTCAATTAAACCTCTTTCCTTTATAAATTACTCAGTCTTGGGCAGTTCTTCATAGCGGTATGAAAACGGACTAATACAGCGGTGCATGTCTGTAGTCTTAGCTGCTGGGGAAGCTGAGGTGGGAGGATCGCTTGAGCCTAAGAGATTGAGGCTGCAGTGAGCTCTGATTGCACTGCTGTACTCCAACCTGGGTGACGGAGCGAGATCCTGTCTCTTAAAAAAGAGATTCAAAATTGAAATCATTTTAACAAACCATGCAGGTGATTAATATGCACATGAAAGTTTGAGAAGTACTGGCTTAGAAAAGTCACCATGTAGCACAGTAACTTCAAACTGATTAGAATTTTAAGGGTCTACTATGTGCCCAGAAATGTGCTGGACTTTGGTAGATACCAGTGAAGTATGTGACAGGCTCTGTCTCTGAAAGTAGCTTGGTGAGTGTAAAGGCACCATGCAGAGCACAGACTGGAAAGAGAACCCTGTTTTTGTGCTGCTTTTTATTTTCCTTTTTCCTCTGCTGTTAATTATTTTATCCTTATAGTGATGACAAAAAAATTCCTTTAACTCTTATGTTGCCCTGCATTGCATAGGCCCTAATACCCAACTTTCAGAATTTCTCTCAATTCTCTTGGTGGCTTTGGAGGCTTGTCTCAGTCCTTTCACTCCTCATCCTCACCATCTGTTTCTCCACCACCTTTCTGCGGGCCCCAGGTTTGGACCAAGGCCTTGCTTTTGCAGAGCACACTGATAGGGCATTTTTCCACCTCAGCTATTGCTGATTTGCTTATTCTATTGAAAACGGCTCAGAATCTTAGGCAATTCATAAGGCTTGGAGTGGAATTGCAGAGTGGAACCTGCTTACTGATAAGAAGAGACAGTCTTATTCAATAGATCCTTAATTGGCGGGGCGGGGGTCCTTCACCTGTTCTGAGATCTATTAAACAGCTCCTTGGGCTGGGTTTCCCGTCTATGAGCGTGCTGAATGGCCAAGGCACAGATGCCAACTACATTCACTAGATGACATACACTATTATCTGTCTTCTCCATCTTCGGCAGGTTTGCCACTCTAGACTACCATCTCGGGAGACTGCACTGCACTGCCCAGCACCAAGTAATGCAAGATCAGTTATTCCTACTACGTTCATTGCTATGGGTCAGTTTCAATGGTGTAACTGTCTGATATGTCCTCTCAACATACAGAACAGCGATTAGGAGAAGCAAGACAGGGTGTCTCTAAAGTCTGTCAAGTGGGTAAAAGATGGCTGCTGAAGTGGGTTCCATTTGCCTTCTCTGTCCTCTTTCAGGCCATTAGCTTGTGGTATGGGGCACCTCACACTGCCATCCCTGGCTTCTGCCAACTGCCAACATTCAGGAAGGCAGGCTTCTTTAAATCTGAGTCTGTGGATTAATTGCATTTTCTTAGACACTGTTAAGAATCTGTCAGCATTTCCATTAAGAAAAGATTAATAAGATGACAAATTGCTAGCTCTGTCAATGCTCTTTTGTGTTTTTTTCCCCCTGAGGATTATTTTGGGTGAAGATTTCCACTCTTGAGGCATTGTTACACAAAACTATATGATCCTCCACTCTGCAATAGAATAGTCACTAACCCCATGTGACTACTTTAAAGTAATTTAAAATAAATGAAAGATTTAGTTTCTCAGTTACACCACATCTGCAACCTTCCTTTATTCCTTTCTTCTCCTTTGTGTGTGTGTGGTTTTTTTGTTTTTTGTTTTTTTTTTGAGACAGGATCTTGCTCTGTCACTCAGGCTGGAGTACAGTGGTATCATAGCTCAGTGCAGCTTCAAACTCCTATGCTCAGGTGATCCTCCTGCCTCAGCCTCCTGAGTAATCGGGACTACAGGTAGGCACCACCATACCTGGTGAATTTAAATTTTTTTTTTTTTTTTTTTTTTTTTTTTTAGATAGGGTCTCACTGTCACTCTGTCAACCAGTCTGGAGTGCAGTGTTGTGATTTCGGCTCACTATAACCTCCGTCTCCCAGGCTCAAGCGATCCTCCCACCTCAGCCTCTCCAGTAGTTGGACTATGGGCATGCACCACCATGCCCAGCTAATGTAATTTTTTTTTTTTTTGGTATCTTGTAGAGATAGGTTTTCACCATGTTGCCCAGGCTGGTCTTGAACAACTGAGCTCAAGAGATCCGCCCATCTTGGCCTCCCAAAGTGCTGGGATTATAAGCATGAGACACCACACCTGGCCAATTTTTTTTTTTTTTTTTTGTTTCAAGTTTTCACAGTGTTGCCCAGGCTGGTCTCAAATCCCTGGCCTCAAGCAATTCTCTCACCTCAGTCTCCCAAACTGTTGGAATTACAGGTGTGAGCCACAGCACCTGGTCACCTGCAACATTTCAAGTGTTCAATAGTCACGAGTGGCTAGTGGCTACAGACAAAGGACATTTCTATCACAGTTCTTTTAGACAGTGCTAAGAGTGGCCCAGTAGAATTTAGAAGAAAGACATGGTCTTCTTTGTCACATGGGCCTTAGTCCTAATCTCATTTCTTCTAAGTAGTGAGATGACTTTGGGCAAGTCATTTGACTTCCCTAAGGGCTCAGTTCCTGCGTCTGTTAATGGGGTACTTCTACTTGCATAACAGGGTCCTTCTGAGAGTTCTGGCATCAGTGCTCAATTGGCAATAACCTCCTTTGTCCTGCACCTCCTGCCAAACAACCTATTTCTCTTAATCCCTAGATCACCTGTATTACTAGAAGCTCATTTTGAGCTTGAAGGTCTGGCCAGGAGCAGAGGGAATCACCTTTCCCTCAATGGTAGAGAGGGGAATTTGTGATATCCTGAGATTCTAAGATTGTGATACCTGCCCAGGCAGGGAGGGGATAGGCTTTGCTTCTTCTGCACACCTTGCCTTTATCTCAACTCATTTCTTCTCTCAGTCACTGCCTGAAATGAATGAGTGTGTTGAAATGAGTAATATTTGGAGTTTCAAATGAATAATTGTTACATAAATCATTAGTTCTCAAATTTTAGTGGACATCAGAATCACCTGGAGGGCTTGTCAAAGCACGGATTTCTGGGCTCCACCCCCAGAGTTTCAGGGTCTGCAGGTCTGATGTGGGGCCTGGGAATTTGTGTATGCATTCCCAGGTGCTGCTACTCCTGGTGGCGGTCTGCAGTGTACCTGAGTCATGGAAGCTGGAGCATTTTTATAAGCAAAGATTAAATTGTATCCTTGCTTTACACAGAGGATACCCAGCACGTTCTTGAGGGCATGAGAATTCCTTATAACATTGTTATAATTGTGATTTCATTGTCAAAATAGAAAAGATTCACCCCGATTGTGGATTATAGATTATCTTTGTTTCCTTCATTTTTTTTTTTCTTTTTACAAACCCTTGTATCAAGAAGTGCTGACTTACAATAGAGGACGGCGAGGGAGCTGCTCTGCTACATACAAAATTCCCAGCCAGAAGCAGGTGGTCTACCAGTGGTTTACCACCAGGTTCCCCACAAAACTGGCAGTGCATGAATGGCATAGATGACGGTCTCCAAGCCAACTGCAGCATGTAGATTTCAGTGCCTGCTTTTGCATTTGTATGTACAATCACATTATTACCAAGCAATTTCCAGAACTGGCAACATTTGACTTTTGACCTAGTGTTTCTCAAATTGTCTCTTCCCTTTCTGGTGATACCATGGCTGTAGCTGGACCCCTGGGCCTTCCCTATCCCTGCTCCTGTTTTGTTACTCCCAGGCTACTTGGTGGGAAAGTGAGACATTTCATTTTCAGGGCATTTTTGGTGGGTGAGCGTCGTAATCTACGATTTTGCCTGTAGAGGGCAGCAGCACCAAGAACTTCTGGCTGCATTTTCAGTGTCAAGCGTCAGCCTGGTATCTCTCTGTTCCTTCCATCCCTCTTGTCACCTTGCCCTTTTTTTCTGGAAGTCACATCTAAAAAAGATATTTGCAAAGTACCCCGGTTGCCTCGGCAACTGGTGCTCAGGAAGGCGGCCTGGGGTGTAGCAGCGGTGTTGGCTGGACGCCCACCTGCTTTCAGCGTGGCTGAGGGGACTGCCCCCACCCCACAGCCTGGCCACCTGGCAATGCCCAGTGACTGTGGGAGGTGGCTGTCTGGGAAGCCTGTTCTCGCTGCCGACTTCTGGGGCTTTGCTCGCACATATCCTCTTTTGCTTTCTTGTCCCCAAAATGCCTCTTCCCAGAAAGAATCTGAGTCAGTCTCTCGTCATTAGATTAGTTCCTGCCAAACTACGGCAGATGTCAAAGCAGCTGATAGGAAGATTATGATTCTCCCTTTCGCAACCCCAACAGAAAAAGCGGAGTAAAGAACCCGAGCGGAGAAGGTTGTCAGGCAAAGTTCCGATGAGGAGGGAAGATGGTTCTATTTTGGCAGCTCAGTAACCATATTCCCATTCCCTCTGCCCCATTCAACATGGAGATGCAGGAAGGAGTCCCCCTTAACTCCCTGTCTGAACAGCCCAGGATCTTTGGATTTAATGTTGCCTTAAAACAAGAACAGTTTCCTTTCTTTCAATAGACACCCCTTGACTTGGCCCACATGCTTGTGGATGTAATGGATTTTCTGAGGAGTATTTTTCCTGGTCTAGTGCTGTCTTTCCTGCATGAACTCACTCATACTCTCTCAGTTGCACACACGGGTTTCAATTTATCTTCTTCCTGTCAGACAGCACCTGTTCTGTCACAAGTGAGCGATAACTCCTGACAATTTCTTCTCCTGAGGCTCACAGGGAAGGAAGTTCTCTGAACCTCCTGGTTGAGGAGCCACTCTGCAGTGGTCTCAGGAGTTCATTTGGTTTGGAACCCTCCTAGTGTAACCCTACTCTTGTCCCGGAGTGAACCCTTTCTCCTTAAGGAGATGGCACAAGATCTTAGACACATCTTAGATCCAAGACCCCAGACAAAATGGCTCAGTTCAGAAAAGACTCAAGTCATCAGGATGGTAAAGTGGGCTCAGGAAGTCCTGCAGCCACCTGGGCATCCTTTGTGGGGAAGAAGTCAGCAGTGGCCCCAGGAAAAAAAACTAGATCAAATCCAGGGGGTCAGGGCAGAAGTGGCCTGGCCTTGTGTTGTGCCAAACCCCTATTAACCTCAATAGGGAAGGCACTAGGTTCAGGAGGCTGAAGAAGAGACTCAGAGCCAGCAAAGGAGACATGGTGTTTTTTTTGGAGATGGAGTCTTTCTCTGTCACCCAGGCTGGAGTGCAGTGGTGTGGTCTTGGCTCACTGCAACCTCCGCCTCCTGGGTTCAAGCGATTCTCCTGCCTCAGTCTCCCAAGTAGCTGGGATTACAGGCACGTGCCACCACACCCAGCTAATTTTTGTATTTTTAGTAGAGACAGGGTTTTACCATGCTGGCCAGGCTGGTCTTGAACTCCTGACCTCCGGTGATCCCTCCTGCCTTGGCCTCTCAAAGTACTGAGATTACAGGCATGAGCCACCATGCCCGGCCAATGTGGGGGTTTTATTAGGGGCTCACATACAGGGGAGAGAGTCCAGTGGTGGTGTGCTGGACAAGATAGCCACCTTACAAACAGTCCAGTGGCAGCAGGCTGGGCAGGAAAACCGTAACTGCTTGCAAACAGTGTGCAGTTTAAATAGCGTTTTCACCTAACACCCTCCCCTTAATGACCTCCACCTGGCAACCTTTGTTTAGCCCAAAACTCAGGGCCTCAATCCCTTGTATGGCCCGCATTCCATGGGATGGGTGGGGGGCTCGGATGTTCATCACTGATAAGGTATGAATCTCCAGGTTGGCCATGCCGGATTCCTTAGCTTGAAACACACATTCAGATGTGTCTGCCATACAGGGTCATCCTCAGGGTCTGCTTATGTTATTGCTATCAGGTGTGTTTACCCTCCACGCAGCATGTATCATGCAGCCTGTATCAGCCACAAGTGTCCAGGTGGGAGAGCAACTGGTGGGGGCGCTGTGGCAGCGGGCAGGAGGGAGGGAGGCTGACTGGTGTTGGAATGCCTGTGCCTCTCTGTTGACTGCCTTTTCCCTCCTGGGTTCTACTTCTCTGGTCTCTCACGCCAGGCATCCCCTAAGTCTTTCTTTCCCATCAGAACTTTCCTCCTTTCACACTGAGGTGCAAATGGTTGATAACAGTTGAGAGTGACAGTTCCTGAGAGCTTTCTCTGTACTACCGTTTTAAGATAATTGTTTATAATAGAAAATGTCAATCATGTAGAAACAGAATAGCATAATCGACTCCTGAGTAGCCATCATCCAGCCTCAACGATTAACTTACAGCCCACCTGGTTTCTTCCATACACCTAGATTACTTGGAAGCAAATCCAAGCCATTTCTTTTCAGTATGTGCAGAAGGCTCTCTTAAGTCCCAATGTGACCATGCCACAAGCTGGTGAATGACATCTGGTGGCAGGATAGGGTCCATGCTACTCCCTGGATTAGAACAGGTCCTCTGCAATCTGGTGCTGACATCTCTCCACTTCCCAGGAGTCCCTACATTTTCAGCTATGCTCAATGTTGTTCTCCCAAACATCACATTTAAAAAATCCACCACTTAGAACTCCTGACCTCAGGTAATCCACCTGCCTCAGCCTCCCAAAATGCTGAGATTACAGGTGTGAGCCACCGTGCTTGGCCTGGTCTTGCCCTTACTTTCAATGGCAAAAACAGCAATTACTTTTGCATCAAGCTAACACTATTTTGTCTTCCTCTGTGGACAGTGAAGTGGTTGAGAACAGGGACTGAGACTTATGTTCCCTGGTGCCACAGTGTTAAGCCCTGTATCTGGCACATCACACGTGTTGAATCCCTGTTGTTGAATGCGTGAATGAACACAGGGCATTCTGCACGATCACTTGGAGAAACTCGAGATGAACTCCTTGTGCCAGTTACAATTTCCAGAGAGATCAGGGTGTTAGGCTAAATCGGATTCTTAATATTTTTTTCCATCCAACACTGCTGTGGGTTATGGACCACTTCCTGAGTGGAGGGCTGTCTATGGCTCTCACATGGAAGAACACACTGGAGGGGTTGGAGAGGGCAACTGGAAGTGGTGGGGGCTGGGTTTGACACAAGTAGTTTGAAAAAGCCTCCTATTGTTTCAGGTGCCCTTCAGGTACAGCCTGTTGGTTGAGAATCATTGAGCTGGAGAGATAAGGTGCTAGGGCAAAATTCTAGGCAATAGTCCAGAGATGGACAGGGAATTTGAGGATGCTGCGCACAGACACAGTCTTCCTTCCATCTCTCAGGCTCTTTTGAAGACCATCCCTGAATTAGACCAATGAGAATGAATGGCACTATTTTCCCCACAAAAAACGTGTTCTTTTTCTTCCCCCATGAAGTCTAGTGGAACTGATACTGAGATTGATTACACATTTGAGTGAGCTCCTGGGAAGAAACAGGGAAGTTAGAATGTTTACAACTTTCCCTGCCCTGATTCATTTCAAGGACATGGGTCATTAGCCTCTGCCAGCAGACAGAGATAGGTGCATAAATTCCGACCATTTTGTGATCAAATGTGGGCATAACGTTTTTTGATCCTTGAGGTGATTGTTATTATTTACTGGAAATTCCATTATTAAATTCCAGCAGCAAAAGTCTTTCTCTTCTTTTCTCATAGTTCTCACTAATTAAAACCTGCTATTAGTCATTGTCTGGCTAGAACTTAACTACTGACCTAACCTAAGCCTTTTAAACAAGAAGCTTTTTATCACAGTTCTTCAGATACTCTGGCTTGTGAGTGGCAAATCCTCAACCCTGACACCCATGTGCATCACGGCTCGCTGTGAAAACACCCTTGTTAACATGTAAAACACCTCCAGTGCATTTTGACTATTGCAGCAAAGACCATTCGCAAAATGAAAAAAACAGACCCTAATATCCAGTTCTGTTGCTTCATAGTGTGACCTCAGAAAAGTAAAATGGCCTATTTAGTTCTCATTATCCTCACTGACAGGAGAGACTAGAACATGGCAGTTAGGTTTTCCTTTGCATGCCAATGTGACAGGCTGGTAGCAGTTTCTTGGAATGTTCTGCTGAGAAAGGATAGTGGGAAGTGGTGCTGTGTTTCATTGCTGATGGGATCCCATGGGTAAGGGATCATGAGTGGCAAGATTTACCAAGTGTTTATCAATTCCAGGTTTGCAATATCTTAGGCCTGTCCCTGTAGAGAGATACAGAGTGTGGTTAATGTTCTAGTTGGCCCTAAAGGCAAAATTGACCAGGCAGTAGTTCAGTATTTCAGTATGTTTTTTGTAGGTATACATCATCACAGCCTCCAAAAGATGTGGGAATTCCGAGGTCTTTGGTGCACTTCAGAATTTTTAATGTCCTGGATGACCCTGCCACTTAGACTGAAATAAAGTCCTTCTTGGTATGTGCTTATTAACCAGGCCAGGCTATTAGATTCCCAGGTCACCTGGTATATTGCTGGATTAGGGTAGGTGGGGGGACGAAGACCAGTGGCATCCCAGGAAGCAATGGGTTTTCTGATGGATGTAGTATTATTAGAGTACTAAGACAATTAGGATATATGTAATCTTTAAGCTTAGAAAGTATTCAGATAACCCAACAAAGAACTCATGTTAGAGGTTTTCTGAATCTTAGAGAGGTTATATAAGTGTTCAAAGTCACATGAGGTGGGGAGGAGGGAGCTAACATCTTTTAAGAGCCTGTTATAAGCCAGGCACTTTATGGAGTTATAACTCAATCTTTCCAACAGCCCTGTGGGGGTAGTAATATAGTAATAGTATTACATAGGCAAGAAACTGGTGATTCAGAGTCATGGAATAACTTTCACATTGTTGCATAAGGAGAGACACAGAAAGTCAGTCTTCCCAACAGTCTGGATTCTGATCATAGTACACTTTGTGTCAAGACTTCTGTCTATTTCCTAACTTCCCAATTCATGGGGACCCCAGTAACTTGATACTTCTGACAACCAGGAAGTGGTATTAAAAAAGACCCATTCGTGATAAAGATGTTTGTAAGCCAACTGTCAGTATAAATAATTGCTATGGGAATTTTGAAGATATTAAAATTGAAAAGGGTTTTTAAGCCATTTAGAAGTATTTTTTTATATTCAAGTAATTGACAAGCTAATCAAAACTTCTTTATTAACATCAGGTTTCCCAAGTACTTCTGTAGGTCATTTATTGCTCACCAACTTCAAGAAATATTTAAAAGCCATAAATAAGAGTTATGCTTTCTTTTAAAAGGCTAAGGACTGACTATACAAGAGGTTAATTTGGCTACCTAGACAAAGTAAAAATAAGGAAGAGTGGACTTGGTGCTTCCAAGTGAGTTGAGGATGATAGAAAACAATTAGACCTGCTCAATTTGCATTTCAAGTCTGTCTCTCTGTCCAGAGAAGGGTTTGTGTCCTGAAGAAGATAAAACCAACATCAGTAACAGGGAACAAAGCCATTTGGGAAATAAGATGATAAAACTATATGGAAACAACTTAAGTGGTTGTAAGTCTCAAGACCTTGGGCAATGACCCGGAAGGGTAGTGAGACGAGAACTTTGTGTGTGAGAGCTCCAGACACCTGCGTGTTAACCCTCAGCGTACAGAGGAAAACAAAGACGAGCAAAACAACCACAGTCTTCAAGATGGAGAAAAATATTTCACGAGTATACTGAAGACCAGCTGGCTTGACGTTGGTTGAGGCCAAAATCTAGAGAACGTTATTAAAACAGGCTCCTTTTTTTTAAAATTATACTTCAAGTTCTAGGGTACATGTGCAGAATGTGCAGGTTTTTTGCATAGGTATATATGTGCCATGGTGGTTTGCTGCACCCATCAACCTGACATCTACATTAGGTATCTGTCCTAATACTATCCCTCCCCTAGCCCCCCACCCCTCCGACAGGCCCCAGTGTGTGATGTCTCCTCCCTGTGTCCATGTGTTCTCATTGTTCAACTCCCATTTATGAGAACATGTGGTGCTTTGTTTTCTGTTCCTGTGACAGTTTGCTGAGAATGATGGTTTCCAGCTTCATCCATGTCCCTGCAAAGGACATGAACTCATACTTTTTTATGGCTGCATAGTATTCCATGGTATATATGTGCCACATTTTCTTAATCCAGTCTATTGTTGGTGGACATTTGGGTTGGGTCCAAGTCTTTGCTATTGTGAACAGTGCCACAATAAACAGACCTGTGTGTGTGTCTTTATAGTACAATGATTTATAATCCTTTGGGTATATATCCAGTAATGGGATTGCTGGGTCAAATAGTATTTCTAGTTCTAGATCCTTGAGGAATTGCCATACTGTCTTCCACAATGGTTGAACTAATTTACACTCCCACCAACAGTGTAAAAGTGTTCCTATTTCTCCACATCCTCTCCAGCATCTGTTGTTTCCTGACTTTTTAATGATTGCCATTCTAACTGGCGTGAGATTGTATCTCATTGTGGTTTTGATTTGCATTTCTGTAATGACCAGTGATGATGAGCTTTTTTCCCCCATATGTTTGTTGGCTGCATAAATGTCTTCTTTTGAGAAGTGTTTGTTCATATCCTTCACCCACTTTTTGATGGGGTTGTTTTTTTCTTGTAAATTTAAGTTCTTTGAAGATTCTGGATATTAGCCCTTTGTCAGATGGATAGATTGCAAAAGTTTTCTCCCATTCTGTAGGTTGCCCATTCACTCTGATGGTAGTTTCTTTTGCTGTGCAGAAGCTCTTGAGTTTAATTAGATCTCATTTGTCAATTTTGGCTTTTGTTGCCATTGCCTTTGATGTTTCAGTCATGAATTCTTTGCCCATGCCTGTGTCTTGAATGGTATTGCCTAGGTTTTCTTCTAGGATTTTTATGGTTTTAGGTCTTATGTTTAAGTCTTTAATCCATCTTGAGTTAATTTTTGTATAAGGTGTAAGGAAGGGATCCAGTTTCAGTTTTCTGCTTATGGCTAGCCAGTTTTCCCAACACTATTTATTAAATAGGGAATTGTTTCCCCATTTCTTGTTTTTGTCAGGTTTGTCAAAGATCAGATGGTTGTAGATGTGTGGTATTATTTCTGAGGCCTCTGTTCTGTTCCATTGGTCTATATATCTATTTTGGTACCAGTACCATGCTGTTTTGGTTACTGTAGTCTTGTAGTATAGTTTGAAGTCAGGTAGCATAATGCCTCCAGCTTTGTTCTTTTTGCTTAGGATTGTCTTAGCTATGAGGGCTCTTTTTTGGTTGCATATGAAGTTTAAAGTACTTTTTCCAATTCTGTGAAGAAAGTCAGTTGTAGCTTGATGGGGATAGCATTGAATCTATAAATTACTCTGGAGAGTATAGCCATTTTTAGGATATTGATTCTTCCTATCCATTAGCATGGAAAGTTTTTCCATTTATTTGTGTCCTCTCTTATTTCTTTGAGCAGTGGTTTGTAGTTCTCCTTGAAGAGGTCCTTCACTTCCCTTGTAAGTTGTATTCCTAGGTATTTTACTCTCTTTGTCGCAATTGTGAATGGGATTTCACTCATGATTTGGCTATTTGTCTGTTATTGGTGTATATGAATGCTTGTGATTTTTGCACATTGATTTTGTATCCTGAGACTTTGCTGAAGTTGCTTATCAGCTTAAGGAGATTTTGGGCTGAGATGATGGGGTTTTCTAAATATACAATAATGTCATCTGCAAAGGAGACAATTTGACTTCCTCTTCTCCTAGTTGAATACCCTTTATTTTTTTCTCTTGCCTGATTGCCCTGGCCAGAACTTTCAATATTATCTGAATAGAAGTGGTGAGAGAGGGCATCCTTGTCTTGTGCCAGTTTTCAAAGGGAATGCTTCCAGTTTTTGCCCATTCAGTATGATATTGGCTGTGGGTTTGTCATAAATGCCTTTTAAGATATGTTCCATCAATACCTAGTTTGAGAGTTTTTAGCATGAAGACGTGTTGAATTTTGTTGAAGGCCTTTTCTGCATCTATTGAGATAATCATGTCATTTTTGTCATTGGTTCTGTTTATGTGATGGATTACATTTATTGATTTGTATATGTTGAACTAGCCTTGTATCCCAGGTATGAAGCCCACTTGATCATGGTGGATAAGCTTTTTGATGTGCTGATGGATTCGTTTTGCCGGTATTTTTTTTGAGGGTTTTTGCGTCAATGTTCATCGGGGATGTTGGCCTGAAATTTTCTTTTTTTGTTGTGTCTCTGCCAGGTTTTGGTATCAGGATGATGCTGGCCTGATAAAATGAGTTAGGGAGGATTCCCTCTTTTTCTATTGTTTGGAATAATTTCAGAAGGAATGGTACCAGCTCCTCTTTGTACCTCTGGTAGAATTCGGCTATGAATCCATCTGGTCCTGGACTTTTTTTGGTTGGTAGGCTATTAATTATTGCCTCAATTTCAGAGCCTGTTATTGGTCTATTCAGGGATTTAACTTCTTTTTGATTTAGACTTGGGAGGGCGTATGTGTCCAGGAACTTATCAATTTCTTCTAGATTTTCTAGTTTATTTGCATAGAGGTGTTCATAGTATTCTCTGATGGTAGTTTGTATTTCTGTGGGATCAGTGGTGATCTCACCTTTATCATTTTTTTATTGCATCTATTTGATTCTTCTCTCTTTTCTTTGTCTGGCTAGTGTCTATTTAGTCTGTTGATCTTTTCAAAAAACCAGCTATCGGATTCGTTGATTTTTTTTTTTTTTTTTTGAAGCGTTTTTCGTGTCTCTATCTCCTTTAGTTCTTCTCTGATCTTAGTTATTTGTCTTCTGCTAGCTTTTGAATTTGTTTGCTCTTGCTTCTCTGGTTCTTTTAATTTTGATGTTAGGGTGTCGATTTTAGATCTTTCCTGCTTTCTCTTATGGGCATTTAGTGCTATAAATTTCCCTCTACACACTGCTTTAAATGTGTCCTAGAGATTCTGGTATGTTGTATCTTTGTTCTCATAGGTTTCAAAGAATATCCATTTCTGCCTTCATTTTGTTATTTACCCAGTAGTCATTCAGGAGCAAGTTGTTCAGTTTCCATGTAGTTGTGCAGTTTTGAGTGAGTTTCTTAATCCTGAGTTCTAATTTGATTGCACTGTGGTCTGAGAGACTGTTTGTTAAGACTTCTGTTCTTTTGCATTTACTGAGGAGTGTTTTACTTCCAATTATGTGGTCAACTTTAGAATAAGTGCAATGTGGTGCTGAGAAGAATGTATATTCTGTTGATTTGGGGTGGAGAGTTCTGTAGATGTTTATTAGGTCTGCTTGGTCCAGAGCTGAGTTCAGGTCCTGGATATCCTTGTTAATTTTCTCTCTCGTTAATCTGTCTAATACCGACTCCCACTATTATTGTGTGGGAGTTTAAGTCTCTTTGTAGGTCTCTAAGAACTTGCTTTATGAACCTGGCTGCTCCTTGCTGGGTAAATATATATTTAGGATAGTTAGCTCTTCTTGTTGCATTGATCCCTTTACTATTACGTAATTCCCTTCTTTGTCTCTTTTGATGTTTGTTGGTTTAAAGTCTGTTTTATCAGACACTAGGATTGCAACCCCTCCTCTGTTTTTGCTTTCCATTTGCTTGGTAAGTATTCCTCCATCCTTTTATTTTGAGCCTATGTGTGTCTTTGCACATGAGATGGCTCTCCTGAATGCAGCACACTACTGAGTCTTGACCTTTTATCCACTTGCCAGTCTGTGTCTTTTAATTGGGGCATTTAGCAGGTTTACATTTAAAGTTAATATTTTTATGTGTGAATTTGATCCTGCTATTATGATGCTAGCTGGTTATTTTGCCTGTTAGTTGATGCAGTTTCTTTATAGTGTTGATGGTCTTTACAATTTGGTATGTTTTTGCAGTGGCTGGTTCCAGTTGTTCGTTTCCATGTTTAGTGCTTCCTTCAGGAGCTCTTGTAAGGCAGGCCTGGTGGTGACAAAATCTCTCAGCATTTGCTTGTCTGTAAAGTATTTTCTTTCTCCTTCACTTATGAAACTTAGTTTGCCTGGATATGAAATTCTGGGTTGAAAATTTTCTTTAAGAATGTTAAATATTAGCCACTCTCTTCTGCCTTGTAGGGTTTCTGCAGAGAGATCCGCTGTTAGTCTGACTGGCCTCCCTTTGTGGGTAACCCGACCTTTCTCTCTGGCTGCCCTTAACATGTTTTTTCTTCATTTCAACCTTGGTGAATCTGATGATTATGTATCTTGGGGTTGCTCTTCTCAGAGTGTCTTATTTCCCGAATTTGAATGTTGGCCAGTCTTGCTAGGTTGGGGAAGTTGTCTTGGATAATATCCTGAAGAGTGTTTTCCAACTTGGTTCCATTCTCTCTGTCACTTTCAGGTACACCAATCAGAGGTAGATTTGGTCTTTTCACATAGTCCCATATTTCTTGGAGTCTTTGTTTCTTTTCGCTCTTTTTTCTCTAACCTCGTCTTCTCACTTTATTTCATTGAGTTGATCTTCAATGTGTGATATCCTTTCTTCCACTTGATCAATTCGGCTATTGTTACTACTGTATGCTTCATGAAGTTCTTGTGCTGGGTTTTTCAGCTCCAGGTCATTTATGTTCTTGTCTAAACTGGTTATTCTAGTTAGCAATTCATCTAACCTTTTTTTAAGGTTCTTAGCTTCCTTGCGTTGAGTTAGAATATGCTCCTTTAGCTCGGAGGAGTTTGTTATTACCCACCTTCTGAAGCTTACTTCTGTCAGTTCATCAAACTAATTGTCCATCCGGTTTTGTTCCTTTGCTGGTGAGGAGTTGTGATCCTTTGGAGGAGAAGAGGCATTCTGGTTTTTGGAATTTTCACCTTTTTGCACTGGTTTCTTCCCATCTTCATGGATTTATCTACCTTTGGTCTTTGTAGTTGGTGACCTTCAGATGGGGTTCTAAGTTGATGTTGATACTATTCCCCTCTGTTGGTTAGTTTTCTTCCTAAGAGTCAGGCCACTCTGCTGCAGGTCTGCTGGAGTTTGCTGGAGGTCCACTCCAGACCCTGTTTGCCTGGGTATCACCAGTGGAGGCTGCAGAACAGCAAAGATTGCTGCCTGTTCCTTCCTCTGGAAGTTTCCTCCCAGAGGGTCACCCACCAGATGCCAGCCAGAGTTCTCCTGTATGAGATGTCTGTCAGCCCCTACTGGGAAGTGTCTCCCAGTCAGGATACATGGGGGTCAGGGACCTGCTTGAGAGGCATTCTATCCCTTATCAGAGCTTGAATGCTGTGCTGGGAGGTCTGCTGCTCTCTTCAGAGCTGCCAGGCAGGGATGTTTAAGTCGGCTGAAGCTGTGCCTACAACCACCCCTTTCCATAGGTGCTCTGTCCCAGAGAGGTGGGGGTTTTATCTATAAGTCCCTGACTGGGGCTGCTGTCTTTTCTTCAGAGATGTCCTGCCCAGGGAGGAGGGAATCTAGAGAGGCAGTCTGGCCACAGGAGCCTTGCTGAGCTGCGGTGGGCTCTGCCCAGTTTGAAGTTCCCTGTGGCTTTGTTTACACTGTGAGGATAAAACCACCTACTTGAGCCTCAGCAATGGTGGATGCCCCTCCCCACACCAAGCTCAAGTATCCCAGGTCGAGCTCAGACTGCTGTGTTGGCCGTGAGAATTTCAGGCCAGTGGATCTTAGCTTGCTGGGCTCTGTGGGGGTGGGACCTGCTGAGCCAGACCGCTTGATTCCCTGGCTTCAGCCCCCTTTCCAGTGGAGGGAATGGTTCTGTCTCTCTGGTGTTCCAGGTGCCATTTGCCACTGGGGTATGATAAGAAAACTTCTGTGGCTAGCTCGGTGTCTGCTCAAATGGCCGCCCAGTTTTGTGCTAGAAACCCAGGGCCCTGGTGGTATAGGCGCTTGTGGGAATCTCCTGGTCTGTGGGTTGCAAAGACTGTGCGAAAAGTGCAGTATCTGGGCCGGAGTGCATAGTACAGTCCCTAATGGCTTCCCTTGGCTAGGAGAGGGAGTTCGCTGACCCTTTGTGCTTCCCAGGTAAGGCGATGCCCTACCCTGCTTCAGCTAGCCCTCCTTGGGCTGTACCCACTGTCCAACCAGTCCCAGTGTGATGAACTGAGCATCTCAGTTGGAAATGCAGAAATCACCCGCCTTCTGTGTTGTTCGTGCTGGGAGCTGCAGACCGGAGCTGTTCCTTTTCCAAAACAGGCTCTTAATTATCAGAACAAGAAGTGTTGATCACCCCAGCAGGCTTTGGGTTTTCCAAGAACACAGGCCAGAATTATCTCATACTCTTTTCTAGTACATTATACTTTGGTAATTATGTCTGGATTTTAGCAGTGAGAGTCTTAAAATAGCAAACACTTTAAAAATTATTATGGGCCAGATTTTATCCAAGCATCTTATATTATCTCATTTAATTATGTCATCCACATTTGAGGTAGATACTATTATTTTCATTTCATAGATGAGGAAATCAAGGCCCTGAGATTAAGACATCCTATGTAGGGCCCATATGTCATGTCCTGAGGTAATTCAGTATGAAGGGCCCATGTGTCATGTCCTGGGGTCGATTCTCCAAATGGTAAGTAATGGTACTGTGACTCAGCATCAGTTATTGTATCCTGCCCGAGATGGTAAATCTGCCCGTTAGTTGGGTGACTTTTCAAAGCTTGGGAAAATGTTATAGAAATACAGAGATAATGAGGTAAATCAAATTTGTAGTATTAATACTTTGGTGTGGTTTAGGAATATGTTTTATGATCATTTGGATATTTTGTGTATATTTTAAGGTGTTAAGGAATCCAGCATATTGGATAATCTGATTGCAATTTGAAATGTGTAATTTTTATTAGACTCATGATACTAATTTTAAAGATGTCATAGATTTTTATTAGGTTTGTAAATGGTATTGAAATGTTTATTATAACCCAGTTTACTAAATTTGGTTTCATTTATTACATTAATTGCTTAGAAATTGATTAAGTGCATAGAAAATTTTGTTTTCTAGGATTCTGTCAGGCTTTTGGAGTGCTTGAGAAAATCAGGTCTGTTAAATGTGTAAAATTTAAAATGCCTGAGGGAATTTAATTAACTAAATTTATAAATTGGATTATTTAAAATTTAATCTTTTATACTTAGTTAACTGAGGTAATCAAAGAAAAAGACACCATGAATTCTTATTTATTTATTTTTTAAGATGGAGTCTCACTCTGTTGCCCAGGCTGGAGTACAGTGGGACAATCTCAGCTCACTGCAACTGCCTCCCGGGTTCAAATGATTCTCCTGCCTCAGCCTCCAGTAGCTGGGACTACAGGTGCCCACCATGACACCCGGCTAGTTTTTGAATTTTTAGTAGAGATGGGGTTTCACCATGTTGGCCAGGCTGGTCTCCAACTCCTGAACTCAAGTAATTCCCCCGCCTCAGCCTCCCAAAGTGCTGGGATTACAGGCATGAGCCACCGTGCCCGGCCTGAATTCTTATTTTCATATAAAATATTAGATTTATAACAAGACTTTTAAGTTGAACTTCAAGGCTTAGGCAACACTAGTCCTTTGAATTTACACTTTCAATATATTTAATTGATTAAAATTCAATTGCTTTGGAGTAGTCCCTTGAGTGTACAATGTTCCCACAGATATTTAAAAGCTCAAATGATATTAGTAAGCACTCAATAAGTGGTAGTTACAGATGGTCCCTCAGTCCTGATGATTCATTTATCTTAATGATTTTTGACTTTACAATGGTTCAGAAGCAACGCACTTTCAGTAGAACGTCAATAAATTATATGAGATCTTCCACACTTTAGTATAAAATAGGTTTTGTGTTAGATGATTTTGCTCAACTGTAGGCTAGTGTAGGTGTTCTGAGCAACTTTAATGTAGACTAGGCTAAACTGTAATGTTCAGCAGATTAGGTGTGTTAAATGCATTTTTGACTTAATATTTTAACTTATAGGCTTATTAGGATGTACCTCATCATAAATTGAGGAGCATCTATATAATTAACAGTAACTCTTGCTTTCCCTGTTGTCCCCTTGAATCTCTGCAATTAAACTTCCATGACCATGTATGTATTTCTTGTGACCCTGAGGGTCCTGATTAGCCACAAGTAAGAATTACTCCAAACAAAACAATACTTCTTTGAGTCAATAATTTTATTACTATTATTTTTCACACTGAGGAGACTTAGTTACATAAAGTGATATTCTATGAATTGATTATCAGTAGTAGAAGCACAAAGGTATGGACAGTGAAACAAGAAGAAACACCCTTTATCAGAATGAAGTCCATGTGACAGAAGTACATACTTCAGACAGCCTATGTACAAATAAGTAGAGCTTCCTGTCTATGTACAGACATATTCACAGAGAATAAACTGACATAGTATCACCATGTATCTCATCATCCAGTGAAAATTACGCATAATAAACACAACACATACAAAATGACAGAAGTAATTTGGAAGTGCATCCACTGGATTTTTGTAGGGATGAGGATAGGGGTTACAATGCTCCTTTAAAACGGAGGCGAACAAAGGAAGCATGAGACCACGTCTATCCTAAAAAAGATCCTTTACAAAAATGGCATTCTGATATTTTTAACATAACCTGTCTAAAAGACAGTTTATATGTTATAGAGCAAATGTCTATGTTGGCGTCAACGTTGACAACATTTTCTTTGTTTTAACCGTATCTGAAGAACAAAAGTATAATTTCTCTTGCTTTTAGTGCTAGCAGCAACTTCACTGAATCAGGAAGGTAGCTTTTGCTATTCTTAGCTTTGATGGCTTTTTAAGTATGTGGATTGCTTGATGGTGGAAGCTGTTGCTTCCGGAGTTTTTTGACTTGAGCAGAAGAAATATCAAGGCTAGATGCAGGGTATATATGTGTACTTTGTGTTCAGGGTTCAATAGCGCAATTCAGTAACTGAGGCTCCCTCTTCCGAATAGAGTCTCAGCCCTTTAGAGAAACTCTTCAGACCACAAAACAGCCTCTAACAGAGGAATATCACTGGCCCTTGGTTCAGATACCCTTTCTTTAGGGCAATTTGGCCACTTAAGCATAAAATTGATGGGGTTGTCCAGTTTAGTACCCATGTTTACTCTATATGGACAATTTAGGTACCCAGTTCTGGTGGATTTCTAGACTATTAAGTGCTTTTTAGTAATTACTTTTACTCAAATTACATAAAAGGGCTGGGTATGGTGGCTCATTCCTTTAATCCCAGCACTTTGGGAGGCCAAAGCAGGAGGATCTCTTGAGCCCAGGAGTTTGAGACCAGCCTGGGTAACATAGTGAGACTCCATCTCTTAACAACAACAACAAAATTAGCCAGGCATGGTGGCATGTGCCTGAGGTCCCAGCTACTCAAGAGGCTGAAGTGGGAGGATCGCTTGAGTCCAGGTGTTTGAGGCTACACTGAGCTATGATTGCACCACTGCACTCTAGCCTGGGTGACAGAGCAAGACCCTGTCTGTTAAAAAAAAAATTATATAAAAATTTGTGATGAAGTTGAAACATTAAAGTTTTTAGTTGTGGGGACATCTTTATATATGTGTGTGTAAACAGTGTACCATACTAGGTTAGAAATTGTGTATTTTAGCGGAGAGGAGGAAAATAACCACCAAAGCATTATGAAATCTGCTGCTTTACATGTCCTCCCAAGGAAGGTTAGTAATTTAGGCATAAGGAATTATTGATAAATTGTATACCTCTATTTCCCATTTTTATAAGGGAACTTCTTAGACCCATCCTATATTTATATAAAAGCTCAAACACATCCTACATTTCCCAGGTATATGTTTGCTAATTATCTATTTCATTTTCCATATGGGTGAACTTTGCTTTATATAACAAAATGGATTCCTGAAAAAAATCTACAATTTTAAAATAATTTCCATGTAGTATTAGAACTTGCTAAAGAAACTGTAATAAGCTATTTTGAAAACGAAGACTGCTTTTGTGAAATGAATAATTTCTTTGATTTTCAAACAGTTTTATTAAAGCACACATCTAAAATGTATAAGTAGATTAGGATTGCCTAGAACAATAATTGTAGTTAATAAAAAATAGAACAGATAAACTCCAATTTACAATAAACAATACAAAACAGGAATGACTCATGGACTGCTTATTGATTGACTATATTCAGAAGCCCTGAATATATGTATTATTGGTATTTTATGGCTTTAATTAAGACAGTTGTCTCTTATGAAGTACTATAAAGTGCAATATTAAAAAATTAAAAAACCCAAAAGGCATCCATTGTCCTTCAGTTTTATTCTGATAAGAATTGGGGATTTGTTTAATTAAATGGCAAGAAGTTATCTACCCTTAATTTATGCATGTAATTTCATCCTTAAAATAATTTTATTCAGGATTTCAGACTTTTTTTACTTTTCTGTTTTTTATGACATGATTTTAAAAATTAGTATTTTCTTTTGGTTAGCTGAGTATTTTGGAGAACTGTTAGTCTCCAAGGCCTTAGTTACTTATGGATCCATTATGAAGGAATATGCAACCCAATATGTAAGAATGCAGAAACAAATTCCCATCCTTTTGGTGAACCCTGGCCCATGAGATCAATCAGTAGCTTTACAAATCCTATCCAACCTACCACACAAAAGGATATAAACACACTGCAGTACTGGTTAATAAGTGGAGATCCAATCATTTATCCCAGTTTCATATTTAAAATAAAAATATTGATTCCTCTTGATAAATTAGTGGGTAAGTACAGGCCCAGAGTTTTGGAGTAATCTAAAGTGGTGTCTCCCCAATTTTGAGTTCTTTGTGAGTCTGAGATTATGACCTAATGACCTTAAAAGCAGTTTGTGACCTTGACTTCACCAGAGCTTCATGGTCATGCTGCACCCAGTATAGTTCAACACTGTTCAGACAGTGATTATCATTAGTCATAAGGTTCCATCATTTAAGAACAATATAAAGAACTTAAAAAGGCTTAGTAGAGAGGAACTATAAAAATTATTAAGAGGGTTAAAGACTCAAATAAAAATCTAAAGATAATTTTAATTGAAAATAGGTAAAGAGTCACATAGCGGTAACTTCCAACTATGGGGCAAAGAGTGAAGAGTGCCCAGATGCAGTTACTTTTTGCCAAAAAAAAAAAAAAAAAAAAAAAAAGTTAAGTCATTAAGTGGATGGGTTTGGGTTAACTTGGAGGGAGGCTTTTCTTGATGCTGATGGTTGTTAATCATTGAGCTGGGTCACACCAGCATCTATGCTGGGATCTCCCCCGTAAGAGGACTGTCCTTTGGATTAGCGTGATAGGCTAGACAAACCCTCTTAATGGAATTAAATCTTTGGTGGAAGCCTAGGCAAACTCCATGGCATTCTTTCAGACTTAGATATTTGTCTGTTTTTAAAGATTTTATTAGGTTTTCCAGTCTGTCAATGAATGATCTGGTAGAAGTGCTTTGGCTTAGATAATATGGTGCTCTACACAGTCCCTCACTGTTCGTACGCTAATTTGAAAACAGTTGCCTAGCCTGTCGTAATTGCAGGGTCATTTTTGCCTCTCGAATGCTGCCTGACTTGTGGATTTGCTTGTCCTTTGTAGCTGCTTCTTACTCTTTCTTAAGAAATCTGTCCCTAGCCATATTAAGGGCCTCTGTGGAGTTTGGGTGGTTCTGAGCAAGGCTGGTGCCCCATGTGTGAGGAAGGCATGCAAAATGCCAGTGTGTACATTAGCTGGGGGGAGTCATTGTGGAAAACAGATTCCTTCCAGAGCAAACATGAGTGTGCCTGTGATTTCTACAGACGACTACATGCTCCGGGTGATTACATGCCACAACCTGCGCAGGTCCAAAGCTCCTGGTGAAAAAGGAATATTGCCATGGTGTAATCATAAGTAATAGAGTTGAGCTGGCTGTGAGTAGTTCCCTTATTGCTTTTCTTGTTTGCTATATATTTAAAAAATATGAAGCTCTGAGATTAAAAATGAAACGCAAAGACAGAGGCAGAGGCAGAGTCAGGGAGCTAACAGTAAATAGAAGGTGGAATAGGGCAGGGTTACTTTTCTTACCCAAGGTCTTCCTGAGATTATTTTTTAAAAAAATCTAAAACTGTATATGGGCTCTTGTAATTGGCTAAACATAGCCTGATATTTGTTACTGTTTTAAACTACATAGGGATATATTTCCACGTGACACTTGTTTTCTTGGAATCCTAGGAAATTAATATCTCCTTTCTTCCCTTTCCTTATTATTCTATTTTTTCTCCTACCCCTCTCTTAATGACAAGGCCTTACCTAATAATTGAAGACAGTATTGTTGAGACAGGTATAGGGGTTGAGGAGGTATCTTTTAAAAATATTAAGCCGGATCGTTAAGGAATATGTGGCTTAGCAAGAGTGAGCACTGACTTCTATGCATGCTTTCAGGAGACAGTAGTTTTCTCCAGAAATCACCCTGAGAACAGCTTCACTTTGTTTCTTCTGGAACACAGCTGCCACCTATAATAGGGCCACCTACTTACCAGAAAAACAATCTGTCCAGGTGCAAGGAGGCATAGCATCCACATAATCTCGCGTGTGTGTGGGGGTGTGGGTGTGTGTTTGGTAGATGTGGGGAGGAAAGCACACTGCCATGTTCTGAAATGCCTGCCATCAGACCCATGTTAGATAGTCCAACGCAGTAATTTCTGCAGAGCATTTAATGCAACTTCCATCTTCTTCAGCTCTATCTGGCCAGCCACTCTACCAGGTGTCTTTTCTTTGGTCAACTTTTTGTTAAAGTGGTCTGGGGGTGGGCTCCCTTTGTAGCTCATCTCTTCTCTCACTGTTCCAGAGGCCTTTAAAAGCTATGTGCAGTGGTGGGGAGTTTGCCAACTCTCTCCCTGCCCAGGAATGGATGTACATTAACATTGTCAAATGTCTAATCAGCGAGGCAGCTGCGTTTTGCTGAAAGGGCTCCAAACCACCTGATTCATGTCTTCCCTATAAAATAAATTATGATGGCCCTTGTCAGGTGACACCTGTTAGAAGCCTTACAAAGCATTTTTCCTGAATATAAAACAGTCTCCGCCTCTTTTTATAATCTTCTGGGCAAGGCTTTAGGACATTCTGCTGCATCTGCCGAGGGTATAAACAACCCTATCCCTTAGTCCCTGCATATATCATTGCTCTGTCACTGCCTGACTCAGTTTAGGTCCTGGGAAGCTGCATAAACACCATCTGATCTTCAGCTTCAGTTCATCAGGATCTGGTCAGGTGCAGAGGGCAGCTGGAGTTGGCATGGGCATTCTCAGATGCAATTTAGGAGTTTCTATTTGGGAATTGTCAGTTTGAGCCAAGCTGCTCTGCTGCCTTGGAAGTATGGGGGAGGGTAGGCGGTGACAGCAAGCAAGACCTGCTCGGTTTGCTGTGAATAAATGAAATCATTTGCGTGCAACTCATTTATTTTAGATTGATTAGTACAATGTTGGCTCTTGAATTGTTGATATCTTTTATACCCTGCTCCAGAGAAGCAAAGAGAGTATCTGCAGTCTAAATTTTTGCTTTGTATTTTCTGTTGTGTATTCTTTGCCTCTATATCAGCATTAGGGATATGGCTGACCGATTTCCTTAAGGCTATAAATTGATATTCTTAGGGTGGGAAAATATGGGTACATATGTGTATATTTGTAAATATATGTGCATGGAACAAACAACCTTATGAAATCAGGAAGAAATGTTCCCTTTGGTTTGTGTGCATGACTTTCCTTTTCCTTGACTTTGGCAAACTTGATGCTCCCTGCTTTAGAATCCTGAATGTGATAGGGTCAGAGGGTGATGATGTAAGTCATATTATATGTGTACATATAGATCTGGTATAAAGATATATATATATATATATATATGTATATATATATATATGTATATATTTATATATGTATATACACAGGCATGCAGGAAACGAGTTAGAGATGACCTGTTTTGGAAACCACGGTGTGGAAAGTTCTTATAATTATGCCAATGATTTGAATGGTTTAAAGACCCATTGTTGAACTCTGTACACATCTCTCTGAATTTACCCTGGCTCAACACATAACCACTTACAGACACAGAAATGAAGGGAAAGCAAGGGCAGGCTGTGGAATCACTTGTGTCCCATCCAGTGAGGGAGCAGTGCTGTTGTAGGTCAGGCTCAGTGCACATGACTGATGTGGGAACGGGGCTTGGAAATTTTGTCTTCTCAAATGCAACTTCACATGAAAGACCACAACACTTCCTGTGAAGTGGAGCTCCGAGACAAGCAAAGGGCACCATAGCTGCTTTGATCAGCCTTCACTGTAAGCTGGGAATAAATGGGAGGGAGTGAGGAGGCAGAGGGAGGATCAGGAATAAGAAGAGGGCGGCATCAGGTCTCCTTCAACTTCTGTTTTACATGGTCTGTTTGCAGTTGAGTCAGTCACCTATTTAAACCTTATTTCAAACAACGCACCAGTCAATAATATAAAATTCACACAATAACCAACTTGGTTGCCCTTCAAGAAATACACAGGGAAAACAACTGGAGTTTTTAAACGTAAAGTTCACTTCCTCATTCTTTCACTCTCTAAGGAAGCAGGACAAATTCTTGCCCCAGTACAAAGTCCTGACCTTGATGAATGAGATTCATTCCCATTAGGTGGCAGGTTCCACTCAGCGCCTCTATTGGATGGTGTTTCAATGTCTTGGAAGGCATTGTCCCACATCTGAAGACCCCAATCTGCCGAGTTGGAGAGACTTGAAAGCCAGCCTCCGACTGGCAGCCATCTTGATTTCTTGTTTTCCCAGGGGGCCTCGGGTTTGAAGTGCTTTTTACTTCTGGGTGAAGAGGAATGATGGGCATTTCCTGTTATTGCCATGCTCTGTGGGGTGAGCTGAGGTTTTCTGGAAGGAATACTGAGCTTGATCTGGGGCTGTCAGGTTACCTTTCCTCTTATTCTGCTGTGAGTTCTGCATCCTGTCCTCTTATGTTAAGAGGTATGTGCTCACAACAAAATCATAGCAGGCGTCAATGACAGAATAGATTGGAGATAGGAACACATATGGTGAAATTTCCCATATGCCATATGTACCAACTTAGACGTAGGATGGGTACAGAATAATGAACCATCCTTGATTCAATTTTT
Organism: Homo sapiens; assembly: GCF_000001405.40. Taxonomy (NCBI): domain Eukaryota; kingdom Metazoa; phylum Chordata; class Mammalia; order Primates; family Hominidae; genus Homo; species Homo sapiens. The sequence continues at coordinate 19,514,433 of NC_000009.12, forward strand.
CAACTGATTTTAAGGAAAGCATGACTTGGAGAAAAGAAAAGTGCTCTACATAGTTTTCCATTGATTCAGTTTGCCTATTTTTTCCCCCTTGCTGGCTTTATTTTCGACTGACATAGATCTGAGAAAACACACAAGGTGTCATACAGAACTTGGGGGCGTGGAATATTTTAATTTCATGCATTCAATGTAATGTTGAGCAAAATCAAGAAATCAAATTGTTGGAGTGAATAGCTTGAAACCAGTATAAGGAAGCTGTCAAATACCGTGTACTCTAAAACTTAGACAGAATCCCAGATAAGGTCTTGATGGAAGAAGAGACATAGATGTTACAAGAACTTTAACCAAAGCCTGGTCCTGGTACCACTCGACCTGGCACTCAGAAACCTTCCTGGGGTGCACTGAGTGTGCAAATGCCTTTCCAAGCATCGCTAAGTTGCCTCAACCCAAGCAGTGCTGATCAGAGTTAAGTTAGTGCTATTGGGAATAATGATTTCTTCAGACACTAAAGCCCTTTATGACTACACTGGAAAACGTTTTAAAGAACTATGCCCTTACATCCCATTAGGTGGCAAGGCCCACTAAGCACCTTTACTGGATGACTTCTTATTGCACATCTAGGCTCTCTTGGCAGCCCTTAGCATCAAAATATATCTACATGACAATCACAGCTAAACTTACCCCTCTTCTTTTGATGATAATGGGACATGCGCTGGAAAAATACAGGTTCAGTTTATATAGTCTTGCTGTCCTAGAAAAAGCACTAATTTGGTTTGTAGTCATATTTTCTACTTGCATGCTGGGACAATATAAGAACAAAACAAAACAACCCAACCCTGGTTACCTCCCCACTTCCCCAAACCAAGCCACCCAGCCTGGGTTTTTACCTCTTTCTGTCCTAAGTACCCTGAGTTTCTTGGTCAGGGTACTCTGGTGGAGGTGGGCAGATAGTCTCTCTGTTTGGCTTGTAGGAATGTTTTGGAAGGCTCAACTCAGGGCCCCTACAGACCTTCTCCACTAAGCCCTCCTCCCTGCAAGCTATTTCCCTAAACCATCTACCTTACTAGGCAGGATCACAGCAAGTCCAAGGTAGGCTGAAGGTCACAGCAATGCTACCTTTGTCTTGTTGGTTCCATTAGTTCACCTCTTGTACTTAAGAGGTAAAGCCCAGACTGCAAGTTGATGCCCCTCTTCAAATAAGTACTATAAATATACTAGAGCTATCCCTGAAAAGATGCATTTGTACTTTTATATATATCTGATTTTATATATATATATATAATTTTTCTTTGTCTTTATTTACAGGTATGTACTAATCTATAGGTATGCAAGGAGAGGTATAGTACAGGAACAGGCAGGATTTGTGTGTTCATGTGCGTATATTTATAATATGTGTATTTATAGATATATATAGCCTGTGTCCTTGTTTGCATCGACTGTACCTCCGACCAGCGAGGTGTACTTGTCAGTGGTGAATAGGGAGAAGCCCTGTATTGACGGTTCTCTTTGTCTTTTACATGAAGTCATTTCAGTAGGCAGGGTGGAAGCAGCCTGTGAAGTGAATGGGCCCAGTGTGAATCCATCTCTCCTCAAATTCACCAAGGAGGGACACTTGGCACCCAGGGCTGTGTGCCAGCTGCCTCTTCTCAAGAGGTCAAGGAGCCCAGAGCCCAGAGTGTGGAGGGACCATTCATGCTGCTGGTGCAAGATATGGCTTTTCCTGCTAGATGGAGACGGGGCATGTAAGAATTCTGTCTTCTAGGAGAACGCTCACCACCAGGAACACAAAGTAGAGGCCAAACATGATGAAGCCCAGGATTTTGTTCATTCGCCACTTGCAGAGGGCGATAGAGAGGATGACGAAGAGCAGCATGATGAAGAGAAGGACGATGGCACAGAAAAGGCCATTGCTGCTGACAGCCACTGGCTGGAATCTGTGAATGACGGTGTACAGGAGCCAGGGCAGTGGGAGCCTGTGCAGAAGTGAAGCAGGGCAGAGGGGAGTGGGAAGACAAGGGAGTAGTCAGACACGTTGAAGAAGGCAAATATAACCTATTATTACCTTCTCAGGAACTCTAAACTGAAAAGGGTGTCTTGTTAGGTTCACTATGACTCGGGCATGGTTGGCCCAGGAAACCACTTTATAAGGAAATAAGACTTTAAAAACCTTTATGTCCTGACTGAATTCAGAACAGGGAGAACAGTTAGACAACATCAAAGACATGACTGCTGTGGGTGATTTCTACATTTGCGAATTTGACTGGAAATTATTTTGTTTCCTTCCTAGTTGAGATTAAAATGTTGCTTTCAGTCCTAAAAAGGTGAATTCCAGGATTTGCACAGGGTGAAGGGAGCAGGCAGGTGCAAAAAAGGCACAGAAATGAGTGGTGAAAATGAGGAAAAAATTAAAAAATGGAGACAAAGAATAGCAATGACTTAATAGTCTAAAGGCAAGTGAAATTAAATGATGGTGGTTGGGGGCCACGATACAATATCACAGGCTGAAGTTTATTCTGGGAAAGATGTTGACAATTGTTTGATGAAAAATTGGTCTTTCTGAAAGATTTAAGGAAGGCAGTATCTTACATTTGTGATGTGTGTGTTTTTCTTAAAAAAAACTTTATTATATATTTTTATACCTGTTTTCTCCCTTTTCATTCACCTTTTAAAATCTGAGGATCTCTTGTGTTTCCTATCGAGAGTGGTGATCCTGAAAGACCTCAGGAGAGCTAGTTTCCACTACACCACAAGCATTGACTAGAACTCTGGGAAAGGAAGATGGCTGGAAGTGCAAGGCTCAGGGAACATGGGCATTTCCAAGTGGCTGGTGATAGGCATCTGGCTCTACCCATCAGCCTAATGACAGCATGGTGGCTAAGGAGATACCTGCTTGGCTAGCTGAGCTTTCTGAATGACAAAAGCTAAGGGAGGTTCAGTTTTGGCCTAGACTCAGGGTGTGGGAAGAGGAGGTACTCTTTTGAAACATTACATTCTTCAAAGGAAGAGAGAAATGATGAGGGTGAAAGGGGCAGTGAGTTTACTCATCTGCCTCCTGTGCTGGAGAGACGGCATTGGAAGGCAGAGCCCGTGCATTGTGGATCTTTGAAATTCCAGGCCTGGTACATGCAGCCCCTAACTGGGTGCATATGTTAACCTGGGCCAAGCTGAAGTGATTGATGTGACTGCCTTGTGGGGATCAATACCGGCACTTTGCCCAGTAGAGTCTGGCCAGGAGGTGCTTCTTTCTGTGAACTTGTTGGGGAGGGGTTCCAAGCTTGGGAACAAGGGGTAATTCCAGTTCTTAGCAGGAGGGGGCAGCCTTGGCATCCTGGGGTCAGCAATGAAAAGTCAGAAAATGGAAGGGGAGTGCCTGAGAGTGGGGGTGATGGCAAACTGAGAGCCATTGACAGGGACTTGGCCTGGGAAACTCTTTTCCCATCCCTTGTGAAGAAAGACCAAAACCCATTTTATTCTTATTAAAACACACACACACACACACACACACACACACACACACACACACACACACTCTCACACTTCTAGTGAAGTTGAGTTTAATCGCACTATAAATGGCTTGCAAAAACCTTTCGGGGGAAAATGACACTTTTCATGCCTTTTGGTCTATTAATTCTATCGTCAAGAATTAAGTATAAAAATAACTGAAAATGCAGATTAAACTTTACTCAGAAAATGATCATTTCAGTGTTATTTTGAATAATAAAAAGCTGAGTATCTCTAATAATCTCTAATAACAGGGAACTAGTTAAATAGTAAATAAGTAAATGTAATGTTATATAGCTGTTTAAAAAATCACAAGCTTAGAATGCTACAGGAAAATAGCCATAATATAATTCTAAGCTAAAGATGAAAGATGCATACATACACACAAATAGCAATGTAATTTCAATCATGTGAAATACACAAGAATTTCAAAAGGTTGGTGAGTTATTGATCTTTAAGCTTTATTTTTCTTTTCTTTCTTTTTCTTTTCTTTTCTTTTTTTTTTTTTTGAGATGGAGTCTTGCTCTGTCGCCCAGGCTGGAGTGCAGTGGCGTGATCTTGGTTCACTGCAACCTCCACCTCCTGGGTTCAAGCGATTCTCCTGCCTCAGCTTCCCGAGTAGCTGGGACTGCAGGCGCACGCCACCATTCGTAGATAATTTTTGTATTTTCAGTAGAGACAGGTTTGCACCATCTGGGCCAGGATGGTCTCAATCTCTTGACCTTGTGATCCGCCCACCTCAGCCTCCCAAAGTGCTGGGATTACAGGTGTGAGCCACTGCGCCCTGGAGCCTTATTTTTATTTTCTAAATCTGTGAGTATATGTTAATTTTAGAAGCATAAAGAAAATGCTGGCAAAGCTATGAAGAAAGTTTCACACTTAATATATTGCAATGACATCACTCAGTATATTGTCAAAAATGTTGTCAGCTGGTATAAATTCTTGGGAAAGAACTTTTTGGAAAAGAAATGTACAAGACATGTCAATACCCATTAAGATGTTCAAAATATTTAGTTCATTAATACTGCTTAAAGGAATTTATCCTAACAAATAATTAAAAGAGGAGGTTTTTCTGCATAAAGATGTTGATCAAAACTCCCATAGCAGAAAATTTTTAATAATCCTATAAATGATAATGAAAAAGCCACTGAAAAACAAGAGGGAATATTTGAAGCCACAAAATGTTATGAGCTATGAGGAGTCTTAGAAAAATGGTTATGATTTACTAATTTATTCATAGATGCCTCTCTATGCCAGGCATAGATTGCTTTAAAATGGAAAAATAAAAGCCTTCCAAGTAGATAAAACTGAATATTTTACTAAGAAAACTTTGTGAAATATATGGAAGAGAACATACAACAAAGAAGTGTTGTTTCCGAGTAATAGGATTAGGAGTGATTTTTTTTCTTTAAACTTCCTTGTGTGTGTGTGTGTGTGTGTGTGTGTATGTATACAACTTAAGAATAATGAACAAAAAGCATTTTGTAATTCTTCATAATATACTATAGAGCATTACTATTATTTTTTACAAGAGATTGACCAAGAACTCTACCAGGAATATTTGGACCACGGAACTGAGAAACACTGTTTACAGTAGGTACAACTTCCTTTAAAACATACACCTTTTAAGGCATTCATTCATCCATCCATCCATCCCACAAACACTTGTCAAACAACTACCAGTGATAGCAATGCAGTAAGCTCTGATGAGTTCCTGCTCTTGGGATGCACAGTCTAGCAGGCAGATATACCAGGACAAGAGTAAGATGTACAGACAGTTTTTAGGGGCAAGAGCCTCCAAGTCAGGCCCAGGGGAATCAGAGAAATCAGGATTTAAGTTGTCACTAAAAGGGTAAGTCAGAGTTTTCCAGTCAGACAAGCATGGAGAGCTCTTCAGTGGGGGCTCACGTGTAGTTCAGACAGTGAATACTCACAGCAGAGTTTTATGCACAGAGAGTGCTACAATTGATAGCACAGACTCTTTGTTCAAATCCTACCTACCTCATTTACTAGTGTGAACTCTGGGCCCTTCAGTATTTTTATCTGAATAATAGGGGTGATAATACATACTTCATAGGATTATTGTGTGGCTTAAATGGAGAAAAACATACACACAGTGCACATGGTAGACACTGTATGAAAAACAATATGGTCATGGAAAGGTGGAAGACAGAACAATATTTAAGATATTCAATGAGAAAGTAGGTGTTTTTAGTGAGGTTCCAAACTCAAGTGTTAGGAGCCCAGTACTCCTGGGAACGTAAGGATAATGTCTTATATCTTATTCTCTCAGGGTACTGATGTTAAGTTTATTTGTCAGACTATTTTTACTTTTGACAAGTTAAATAAAATGGTGGAGATCGCAGCACCTCTCCCCAGTCTGATTCACTTTAGTGATTATTCATACTGAGAGCTCATGTTTGCTTCATTATAAGAACAGGTCTCACCTTCTGGCTTTCAAAAAACCTGGAATATCTTCACCAGTACAGATAAACAAATGGTAATGCCAAGACTGTCAGTATTTTCCAAGGAAGGAAACAGGATATGTATGGTAGGCCTATGTTTTCCCCAATCTGCCTTAAAATCCAAATCTCACCTTAGGCTGGTGGGGACTTTAATTAAAATTAGAATGTGAACCTTCTTATCATGAAGCTATCACGGTATCTCAGTTCCACTTGAATGTTGTTATATAAGTGAAATTCTAAAGTATTTCCTAAAATACCCATTCTGTATGTAGGTATGTGCTTCTGCTTGTCTAGGGATGACTTATTTTTCATTAAGTTCTCTGAAATGAGAAAATGAGAAATAGAATTGGGGAAATGCAATGGTATTCTCAATCTTTACTCTGTATTGGTATTGGTTAGTCTTAGGTTCAGAGATCCTGGTCATGTCTTTCCAGCTTCTAAGAAGACAAAGACACTGGTGGAGCTGGTGCACACCTTTGTAGAACTACCTCTACTCACCCTACAGTGATGTCAAAAATGTTGCTTCCAACAGAGCTGGACACAGCCATGTCCCCTAACCCCTTCCGGGCCACTATGACACTGGTGATAAGATCAGGGATGGAGGTCCCAGCAGCCAAGATGGTCAGGCCCATAATCTCTTCACTGATGCCAATTGTCTCTCCAACCTAAATGTCAGGACAGGAATAAACATCTCAGTGTTTGAAGTTACAAAATCATAAAAATCACAAAAATTTCAATGCGACCTCCTTTTAATGCATTTCTATACTGTGCTATGCAAAGTGCTGAGATGATAAAGATGAATAAGCCACAGTCATTGCTAATAGAGTTTATGCTTTTAGGATATTCAGACCCAAGGCATCAGGAATGTTCACATGAAAATTAAACAGATAATCTCAAAAAAGAGCTCTAGAGGGCTAGAGTGTAGCCTTTATATGGTGCTTTCTAAGATTGAGTCAGGGAAGCTGCAGGATTAGAGGTAGAAAGGCCAATTGGCCATGGAATCCAGGGGGCAGCACCTGGCAGTGGCACCAAGTCCTGTGGAAGATTTGCCCTTCAACTTACTACCAAAACCAAGGACTGACACCCAGGGTCTCCATTCTCCTTTAGCATCTCCTAGTGTCTATAATCTATTCTGAAACACTTCAAGATGCTATAATTTCCACTGGAATCTCGATTCTGGGTGTTTCGGGTTTTGGTAACACATAGCAAAGCAACTGTGGAGAAGCAAAATCCAGAAAATCAGAGGACCTGGGTCCAAGATCTGGCTCTGGTATGTGTTAATTTCTTGACATTTTGCTTACTGTACCAATTATATGTCATTGATCCTCACTTTCTCATCCATAAACTGGGGATAATAATACCTACCTTACCAGGTACTTGTGAGGACTAAATGATAATCTGTGACAGACTCTTTGTGAATAGTACATTATTATTGAAAAGCAAGGGGAGGGTGGCTATTACTTTTTTTCTTTTTTTTTCTTTTTTTTTTTTTGGTCTTTTTCTTTGCCTTTTAAGACTGATGAGTTCTATTTTGGAAGGTTGGTCTAGCCTCACGTGGAAGCTCCTCCATTCTCTTGAGCAATTTGTTTGTCTTCTTGGGACTTTTTAGAAAAACTTACTTATTTTCTTTAGAGATGGGTTCTTGCTCTGTTGCCCAGGCTAGAGTGCAGTGGCACAGCCACAGCTCACTGCAGCCTCAACCTCCTGGGCTCAAGCGATCTTCCAACCTTAGCCTTCAGAGTAGCTGGGACCACAGGTGAGCACTGCCACACCTGGCTAGTTTTTTTTAGAGATGGTTCTTACTATGTTGCCCAGGCTGGTCTTGAACTCTCGGCCTCGAGATCCTCCTGCCTTGGCCTCCCAAAGTTCTGGGATTACAGGTGTGAGCCACTGTGCCTGGCCTCTTGGGACTTTTAAAACCTATTCATGTTTTGCTGGACTTGGTGAAGTGTGGCTCTGAAAACCTTCAAGATAATGCTTTCCATCTGGTTTCCAACAGGTTACCTGATGATGTCCAGCATTTTTTGAAAAAATTTAAAGGGCCAAAATAGCATATAAGAATAAAGCCTTTTAGGGAATAGAATACACTCATTTCTAAATCCTTTTTAAAAAAATTCTTATTTTTATAAGAAATAGTATGATTCCTACTAGCTTAAAAGCATATTTTTGTTTTGATGGTCATGCCTGCTCCAGAGCCTGGTGAGCTGAACTAGCTTACCCTGTCCTCATGGGACACAGAATCACTGCTCCCCATTAGTAAGTTCCATGTATGCAGGATCCTCACCTTGGTCACCACGATCTCCCTAGTTGACAGAACATACACAGCCTGATACATGGCAGGCTCTTAATACTGATTTGCTGAGTAAGCAAATCAATCTGCATACCTAGGTGATTTCACTAGTATGTTTTTCTGCTGATTCTCCTAGAAAAAGTTCAATAAGACTTTTGCACAGGAGTGCCCTATTTGAGCAAAATATTCTCAAATTGTCAGTTTTTTGTTAGATTTGGAGTGAAGCATTGCCAAAGACTGAGCAGATGCTGACTAAACAACTGTTACTGTCGGCAAGTTCCAATCTGTTTAAAACATTCTTAATAATTAAATTCTTGGAGGGAATTCTAAAGTAGTGACTGAAAAATTATTTGCTGGGCACAATGCCATGCACGGTAGTTCCAGCTACTCGGGGGTTGAGGCACGAGGATCACTTGAGCCTGGACATTTGAGACCAGACTGGGCAATATAGCAAGACCTTGTCCCCGAAATATAAACAAAATAATTTGTATTTGGAGTTTGAATGCTACTATATACAGGAAAACATAGGAATTGAAGAGGAGAAAAATGGTGGTGTGGTTAAGAGCACTGGCTTGGGAGATGACAGTGCTGGGTACAAATCCTAGCTTGCCACTCCTAGTGCAAGTTAGACAACTTCCCTGAGTCTCAGTCTTTCCTATCTGTAAAATGAGGATAATATCCACTCAGAATTGTTGATGACTATATGTGAGATGCAAATCATACAGCACAGTGTCAGGTATAAAGCAAATGTTAAATAAAAATCTAGTTTTTTTTTTAACTTAATATGTTTTTTTTGAGACGGAGTCTCGTTCTGTTGCCCAGGCTGGAGTGCAGTGGTGTGATCTCGGCTCACTGAAACATTTGCTTCCTGGGTTCAAGTGATTCTCCTGCCTCAGCCTCCCAAGTAGCTGGGATTACAGGCATCTGCCACCATGCCTGGCTAATTTTTGCATTTTTAGTAGAGATGGGGTTTCACCACGTTGGCCAGGCTGGTCTCGAACTCCTGACCTCAGGTAATCCGCCTGCCTTGGCCTCCTAAAGTGCTGGGATTGCAGGGGTGAGCCACGGCACCCAGCCAAAAAACCAGATTTTATAACTCAGACATTACTCCTTTCCCTCTCCAATTTATTAGACTGTCAGGTGTCTGGCAGCAGGAACAGAAGTGGGCTTACTGGGGCCAATTCACATCATGGAAAACTTCATGAGAATTTTCATTAGACATCAAACCCCTGGTGAATCTGTGTGGCTCTAGAAAGCCTTTTGTGGAAGAAGAACTAGTCTTCATAAGCTTGTTTTGAGTACATTTCACTCAAGTTAACTTTTGTCAAATCAGTAAAGATGATGGGCACATGGACGGGACAGTACTCTGAAAAATCAGGGAGCATCAGAGAGGCTTAGAGCTTTTAATAGAAAGAACATCAGCAGTCTTTTGGGGGAAATTACTTCATTTTCAAAAAAAAAAAAAAAAAAAAAAGCAAATTAGGCCACTCAGAGGAGGCCAAACTCCATGCTGCTCCCAATATTTTGTGATGCAGTTCTGTGCCTTGGTTTAAGGAGGATCTGAAAGAATGCTATAGTGGCTAAATGAGACACAAGGTCTTAGTTGACTCTTAAAATTAATTTCTAATATTAGATGCAGGATTGACTTTAACTACAGGTTGTCATCACCCATTAAATTTATTAAAGTGCAAAAACAATAAGAAACAAGAACAACAAAAACAAAAGATAAAGGCAAAAAAAAAAAAAAAAGCCAAGGGCAAATTATGTTAAAGCATTGTAGGTGAAGGGCATTTATTTTTTGCCAAACAGTAGCCAAATTATCAAATAGCATTTATGATAAAAGTGTTGATAACAAAAGAGTTGAACACTATATAACTGCTATGGATTTTATAGTTCAGAAGTACAAACAACAGAATTAGAGCTAGACTTCTTGGAACAGAATCTATTTTGTTCAGCTGTCTGGGTGTTTTTAAAGAAGTATTTGTATAGGAGAAAAGAGAAACTTCTCTTCCATCAATGAAAAGTAAGGCTTCCATTTATGGCTTTCATTCGTCTTGGCTTTTTAAAATTATTATTGTTTCAGCCATTGAATTTGTGTTCCTTTTCTTTGAAAGAATGGAAAGAAAACAAGACTGGAATTAAGGTAATCATTAAAAAGAAAAAGATGGAACCCTGCATGATGTTTTATAAAACGGCAAAAAAGAAATATCTGGGAAACAACATATCCCAGCAAGTTAGAAAAACACCATTTTTTCTTTATTAGTACATGAAGAAATAGAAGATGATTATTAAGAAAAACTATTATATGTTATAAATGGCAAACAGTCCTTTCAGCCTGGACATCTGGAGGCTGAAAACCAGCCCACCTTCTGCTGTGATTTCTGCCAGGTGTTGGTAGCAAATGTCTCTCAATGAGTGTATAAAATAATGACTCCAAGGCACAGAGAACTTGCTCAGGAAGCCAATGATTTTTTGGAAATATCCAGGAAGAGTAATCTGAAGTCAAATGTCAGTAAAATAACTGTGATATGAATAATATAAAATATCATGTAGAAATAAGACAGTGTATCAGCCAACATTTTCTGTGGATTTTGCTAGTAACATGTATTCTTTTAAAAACCAAGGTATGCTTTACATAGAGTAAAACTCATTCACCTTTTTAAAAAGTGTACAGTTCTGCAAGGTTTTTTTTTCCTATTTCTTTACTTTTTTTTTTTTTTTTTTTTTTTTTTTTAAAAGACAGGGTCTTACTCTGCCACCCATGCTGGAGTGCAGTGGTGTGATCTTGGCTCATTGCAGCCTTCACCTCCTGGGATCAAATGATCCTCCCCACTCAACCTCCCGAGTAGCTGGGACTACAGGCGTGTGCTACCATGGCCAGCTAATTTTTTGTATTTTTGTAAAGACAGGGTTTTGCCATGTTGCCCAGGCTGATCTCGAACTCCTGGGGTCAAGGGATCTGCCTGCCTCAGCATCCCAAAGTGCTGGGACTACAGGCATGACCCACTGCAACCAGCCTGCAAGTTTTTACAAATGTATGCAGCCATGTTTCTCCACATCCTTATCAACACATGCTACTGTTTTTTTTTTTTTTTTTTTTTTTATAGCCAACCTAGTGGTTGTGAAGTGATATCTTGGATTAGTTTCAAACAAGTTTATTGAGATGTAATTTACATACCATAAAATTTAGCCATTTTAAAGTGTATAATTCAATGGTTTTTAATGTATTCAGAGTTGTGCAGCCTTCATAATTTAGGTTTTGAACTTATTCATCATCCCCAGAAGAAACCCATACCCACTGGCAGTCACTCCCCATTTTCCCCCAACCTCTCCAATCCTAGGCAACTATTAATATTAACCTATTATATGTCTCTATAGATTTGCCTGTTCTGTATACTTCATATAAATGAAATCATATGATGTGTCCTTTTGTAACTGGCTTTTTTCACTTAGCATAATATTTTCGAATTTCACTCATGTTGTAGCATGTATTGGTACTTCATTTCTTTGTACTGTGTAATATTCCATTGTATGGATATACCATATTTTGCTTATCCATTCATCAGTTGATGGACATTTGGGTTGTTTTCACTTTTTGGTAATTATGAATAATGCTACTTTGAACATTTGTTTACAAGTGTTTGTGGACGTATGTTTTCATTTCTCTTAAGCCTATTCCTAGGAGTGGAATTGCTAGATCATATGGTAACTCTATGTTTAATGTTTTGTGGAACTGCCAAACTATTTCCCAAAGTGGCTGCACTGTTTTACATTCCTATCAGCAGTATGTAAGGATTCTAATTTCTATACATCCTCATCAACACTTGTTAGGTTCTGTCTTTTTGATTATACCCATCCTAGTGGGTGTAAAGTGGTATCTTGTTATGGTTTTGATTTACACTTCTTTAATTAATAATGATGTTGAGCATATTTTCTTGTGCTTTTTAGCCATCTGCGTATTTTCTTTGGTGAAATATCTGTTCAGATCTTCAAAATTAGGATACTTGAAGATGCTTGCCTTCCTATTATGGAGCTTTAAGCTTGTATCTTGGATACAAGTGCTTTATCAGATATATATGATTTGCAAATATTTTCTTCCAGCCTGTGGTTTTCCTTTTCCTTTTTAATGGTGTTTCCTGAAGAGCAAAAGTTTTAATTTTGATGAAATTAATTAATCAATTTTCTTGCTTTCATGGATCATGCTTTGGTATTGTATCAAAGAACTCTTTGCCTGGCTTATGGTCATACAGATTTTTTTTCTGTCCTCTAGAAGTTTGACAGCTTTACAAACTCTTACATTTCAAACTATGATGTGCTTTCAGTTAAATTTTATGTAAAGTATGAGGTAAGGATCTAAGTTTATTTATTTTGGCATATGGAAATCCAATTATTCCAGCATCATTTGTTGAAAAGTCTATTCACATGTTCTCAGTATATATTTCCTTATTTCAAATTTCTATATCTTATTTATGTTGCCAAGTATAATAATTTTAGGATTATATTAAACAAAGGATACAAGTGGGAAGTTTGGAATTTATGTAGTTTATAATAGAGATTAAAAGTATGATTTTTGGAGTTGCAGAGTCCTGGGTTAAAATCTCAGTTCTACCTATGTGATTTTGGGTAATCTTACCAACTTTAAGCTTAACTTCTTTATCTGTAAACTGTGGATAATAATAGTACCTGCTTCATAGGCTTTGAACCTATGTATAGGGTTACTGTTAAGATTATAAAGACAAAGGGATGTGAATTGTTGGGTGTGTAGGACATACTCAATTATCAATAGTTACCACTATTATCTTTGAAAATGTGAAACCCTTGAATCTTACTCTTCATTCATGTTTTTCAATAATGATTACTGAGAGTGTATTCTTGTGATGGGCATTGTGACTCATATTGAGTTAAAAATAATAACAATACATCATCATTTATGTAAAGTGAAGCTCAAGGAAGAGGCTATTTTGTCTCCAGATGCTTTCCTAGAGCCAGTTTTAAACTGCTGGTGAGAACGTGAGGTGAGTGGCTGCTCAAGATAAAGTCAGTACTACTGAACCAGGCAAAATCTTGACATTGCTCTCAGGTCTGGGTTGTCCTGGTGTCTGTCAGGCTGCAGAGGCAAGAAGTAGTTAGACTTGCCTGCCTCCACATGGCTGTCCAGAGGCTATGCTGATTTAATTCCATGCTACAGCCAGAAGACTAGGGAAAGTTAAGTGGATAAATTCCTCTAGTCCTGGAATGCTAACTCGTCTGTGTCACACCCAATACTGTTGTGGCAGTTGCAGAAAGCAAACACAATGATTAAACACTTGACAATCAGGACTGGAGAAAAACAAGGCAGAGGCATGTCACTATCAAAATCTTACCTGGTGCGCCCACCAGACCATCAAGTAAGAGAATACTGCAATCCAGGTAATGGAGCCAAAGAACGTGATGGGAAAAAACTTCCTCGATGACTGAAAGACAACCAGGAAGAGTTGAGAATATCAGTGTTATCCATTGAGACTGATCTGGAAATCCAAAGCTAAAGCCACCATTGTAGCAATTTCTCTAGCATTTCCTGCATCTTAGTAGGATTGGCAATCAAAAGACCCTACTCACTCCTGATCAAGCTGGGACAGTAAGATTCTCCCTTGGAGATGTGAAATTGATAGGAACTGAGTGATCACAGTGCTGGCTCCTGAGATGGAAATCTTGAAGAGAATGTCTGTTAGTTCCTGCTATTAGATGTTTAGATTCCCTCTGCTCTTGTCCTTTCTAAGGCCTGGTTTTTTGGCCTTTCCTTCAATATTAACACCATATTCTCCCTCCTCCTTTTTCTTTCTTTTGCTCCAGAGTTTGTCAGAATCAGTTTCTATTGCTTGCAAACCATGAATCCTAACAATCCATATGCCAGGAAACCTATGGGATTAATTCCATTGAATAAGAAATGGGAAGGATCAGCAGGTTTAAAAATAGATTGACTCATCTTACAGTACCACAAATTATCAAGAAAGTCACACAGAAAAAGCCACCACCACAACTTTTATAGATTCTGGATGATGGCCATTCTCCAGGACACTGGAACCACCCATGGACCAGAGTAGACAGAGGCAGAAGCGCCCAATTGTACTGATTTCCACTGAGATGGCAGATCAGACATTGCTCTCAAGAATGTTTTCTCTCCTGTTCACCACCCCAAAATATATTATGTTCAATTCTGCTTCTAGAAGTAGACTTTATGCTATCTCAGGCATAAAGTGTGAGCATTTTTAAAGTTTCCTAGAAATAGCCAAAAAATCAGACACTTGAAATGCAGTGTTTCTTACCCAGTCCCACTACAGAGAAACCCAGGCTTGCACTGTAGTGGTGTTCTTTTGATGTCCTTTGTTGAAAAATTGGGGTCTTTTAAAAACACACTCAGACAGCACAATGCTGTCAGAGAGCCTCTTGCCTATTATTGCCAAACACTTTATTTGAAAGCTTTCCACGTTGAGAAACAATCCCACTTTTTGCTTTGATAATGCCATCCAATTTTATCTAGAGAAATGAATTTTAGAGTTGACTTGTATGAAAGTAATCTCAATTGTCCGAAAGGCTGACCTTGGGCAGTCACACAGAACACGTTCTGTCATGGCTTTTGAGAGCTCCATTAAAAGGAAAAGATAAACTCATACATGGTAATCTTTTGAATATCAATAATGATGAACACAGTCTCTATTGCTCCAAACCAGGCTTATGTTTTCTTTACTAATTTCAAGTTTTCAATATATATTTCTTATGATCATTTGCATGGTTCTGTTAAATTTTACCCCATACATTTCTTTAAATGATTGCTGTTTTGTGGGGCCGTTTGTTAGCTTGGATGACTGTAAGACCAAGCAGGTTTGATTAAATCGGGGGAGGGCATCAGGCCACAGTGAGTAGCCAAAACCTTACCCTCAAATGCTTTTCCCTGCTCCCTTTCTTTCTTAGAAGAAAAATATTTTGGACAAGGACTCAGACCCCTCCTAGGGACCTAAGCGCTTTAATGGGTAATGGGGGAAATAAAAAGGTAATCATTTTTTTAAAGTGGAGTTGGAGACCTTCGTTTTTTTTTTTTTTTTTAAGATGGAGTCTCACTCGGTCACCCAGGCTGGAGTGCAGTGGCATGATCTTGGCTCACTGCAACCTCTGCCTCCTGGGTCAAGCAATTCTCCTGCCTCAGCCTCCTGAGTAGCTGGAATTACAGGCACCTGCCACCACACCCCACTAATTTTTTTGTATTTTTTAGTAGAGGCAGGGTTTCACCATGTTGGCCAGGCTGGTTTCAAAATCCTGACCTCAGATGATCTGCCTGCTTCAGCCTCCCAAAGTGCTAGGATTACAGGTGTAAGCCACCGCACCCAGCCATTAGATCTTTACTTATAAAAGCAGCTTTTTTTTTTTTTTTTTTTTAAGCTAGGAAATCAGCCGGATTCTGGAGACCGAATTCCCTGAGCCAGTGCTAAGAGATGAAGTTTTCCAAGGCATTTAGCTTATTAAAGTTCCCATCCTTTTCATCTGGTCACAGTCACTGTTTCAGGATCCTACGTGCAATGAGGGTTTCATCTTCCATGGCTGTGCTCTGTTACAGGAAAGAGAAGAACCCTCTTGCCACGTGGGGTCACGTGTGTGATTAGAGCCCCAACCAATGGTTGATTCTGGGCAATGTATGAGGACAATGAAAAGCTTTCTACATGCCTTAAGGTGTGGCATAAGTACTAGATGTCCTAGGAGAGTCCTCATTTCATAGATTGCTCGTTTTCCAGGTTAGCTCATTTACTAAATGTATAATTATTATTTTAACTTTGTACCTCTGCCTGTTTATTCTTTGAGATAACTTCACAAGTCAGAATCAAATCATTTGAACATATTTCTCATCTGAAAAATATCATAACTGAGCTACAGAAAATTCCTAGCCAAAAGGTATAAAGCAAGGTATCAGAAAAGGAATTAAAGGAACTAAATTCAAATCAACATACTAGGGAAAACCTCTCTAAATCAATATTTGATGCCCATGATTCTTAATCAAGAAGCCAATTAGTAATTAATGGGCATCGAACCATACCTAATGTTGCATTAGGGGCTCAATGAAGAAGGCTAAAAATATTCTTTGTGAATTTTCAGTCTTCATCATAAGCTAGAGGTAGATAAAGTCTGAGAACTTACTCTGTACCCAGATCCTGAACTAGAGATAAAATTCAAACTAGGTCAGCCTGACTGTACCACACGTGCTCCCAATATCTAGATTATACTGACTCTTTCCTAAAGAAAAACAGGGCCAATAATGCTCAAAATATACCCCGCCATATACATAATGATCATGATCATGATCATCATACCAGGCTCTGCTCTGAATGTCAGAAAATTAAAAAAAGCATCAGGGAAGTAGAAACTAGCATTCCAGCTGTATGGCCATCTGCCTCGCCCAACCTCCCATGTTGTTCCTGCTTTGGAAGTATCAACGTTTCATTCATCAGCAGTTGGGCTAAGTGTTTCCTAACTGTTGAACTACTTTACCATTTCCATTTTCACACCCCAGGTAATCACTTCTTTCATTTTTCTTGGACCATTCCCCTTACTTGGACAGCATGGTCTCATTCCAGACATCTCTGCCCAGTAGCAACTGTACAGTCATTTAGTTACCAGTGTCATTGGAAGGAAGAAAATAGCTCTTGGAGCCAAGGTCTAACATGACAATTTATGGTTATAGTAATGGGGGTTCATCCTGCCATCTGCTGGGATGGACCTCATACTAATTAGCAAATAAGCAAATTGCATCCATGTGCTGGCCATTTTGTGCCCATGTTGTGGTTTACTTACATAATTGACAGTGGATGCTCTGATTAGAAGCTTTTGGTACATCAGAGTGATATCGGCTTGGCTTGGAAAAAGATGCTGGACATTAGCTGGTTGTACAAATTAGCTATATCCTTACTGATTTAAATTCAACAAATATTCACTCAGCATCTACTCTGTGTAAGGTTCTGGGACATATATTTAACAAAGACCCCCCCCCACCCCCCAAATCCTACTAAAGATTTAAAGTGTGGTCTCTGGATTAATATGACTGGTATTGAAATCTCTGCTCACAAATTACCAGCAATGTGACCTGAGACAAATTATTTAATCTCTTTAAGCTTAGGTTTCTTCATCTGTAAAATGGGAGAAATAACATCTAGTTGTTTTGAGGACTTCATGTACATAAAATGTCTAGCAAAGTACCTCGCACATAAGTGCTCAGATAATTATATTTGTTATTAGACAATATAGTCATGCCCTTGTATTCATGAGGGTTCCACCACCCCTGAGGATACCAAAATCTGCAGATGCCCAAATCCATAATATGAAATGGTGGAGTATTTACATATAACCTTTGTGAATCATCCCATATACTTTATTTATTTATTTGTTTGTTTGACAGAGTTTCCCTGTTGTTGCCCAGGCTGGAGTGCAATGGTGCAATCTTGGCTCACCATAACCTCCACCTTGTGGGTTCAAGTGTTTCTCCTACCTCAGCCTCCTGAGGTAGGGTTTACAGGCATGGGATTACAGGGATGTGCCACCATGCCCGGCTAATTTTTTGTATTTTTAGTAGAGACAGGGTTTCTCTATGTTGGTCAGGCTGGTCTCGAACTCCCAACCTCAGATGATCCTCCTGCCTCGGCTTCCCAAAGTGCTGGGACTACAGGTGTGAGATACCTCACCTGACTCCCATATACTTTAAATCAGCTCTAAATTATTTGAGGCCGAATAGAATGTAAATGCTATGTAAACAGTTGTTAAATTGTATTGTTTTTATCTGTATTTTTTACTGTTGTATTAAAATTTTTTTCCTGAATATTTTCAATCTGTGATTGTTTGAATGCAGAGCCTGCAGATATGAAGAGCCAACTGTATTCTCATTTTAGTTTTTAAGAGATAAAGAAACTGATAATTGGGGAAGTGAACATGACTGTGAAGACCTGGCCCAGAGTCTTGGCTTTGCGTCTTTCTAGCTGGGTGTGCTTGAATAAGTCACCAAACCTCTGTGGGTGTCAATTACTTTATCCTTGTTAGACCTTGCTTGGCACATAGTAGACACTGAATAGATACTTGATGAATCAATGAATAATAGAAATTGCAAACATCTAGCTGGGTTCTCAGGTTCCTTCCTAGTTCTAATGGGTCATGTTTTCATATCTCATTAGATGCATTCTTGTTTTGCAGGAGTATCTATCTTAGTCATGAGAGAAGATAACTTTTTCGGTCCTTAGTTTATTTTCAGTTTTCATCAAAGACTTGGTCCTCATTGAAGTTTATATTTTAGTTCTTTTACTTTGGAAACAAAGCCATTAATAAAACTGTAAGTGTAAAGCCCATATTAATTATGTGAGCTGAAATTATGCATGGTTCAACAAACACTGTCATACAATTTGCATATAAATGAAGCAGAAATAAAAGCTAGTGGGAGTACTATATACTCTGAAACTATAAGTATACATGAAAAAATCATGTTTTCCTTGTAATTACTGTCAAGGTTTGGTATGTTCATCTTCTTGGGCAATCAAAATCTACAGAAGAGGCAGAGCTGCCAGGCCCTAAGGAGGGGCAAATATGTATTAGTTAATTTTTCCCCTCTCTTTCCTCTCCGTATGTATTTTCTCAAGAGGTCCCTGTGGAAGCACATAAGTTCTATGGTGGACTGCAAAAATGGGCACAATACTTTGCTGCTCCTCTCATCAAGAGGTGAGGTCTATTTTTCCACTCTTCGAATCTGGGCTGGCCTTATGACTTGCTTTGACCAAAAGAATGTATTGGAAGTGACAGCGTGCAAATTTCAAACTAGATCTCAAGAGGGCTTTGTAGCTTTCATACTTGCTGCTCTCGGCACTTTGCCATTATGTGACTAAGTCCAGGCTAGCCTGCTTTGAGATAAGAGAGTATGTGGAGCAGAGACAAGCTGTTCCAGCTTCAATAGCCCTGTACCAACCAGCTCCCAGCCATTAACTGAGCACCACTAAGACCAGCAGCTGAACTGTCCAGCTGAGCACAACCCAAATTGCCAATTCACAGAATTATGGGCTAAAAAATGTCTTGTATTAAGCCACTAGGTTGGGGTGGTATGTTACAAAGCAAAAGATAACTGATACAAGGTCAAATCTAACAAAAATCTTCTAACTAAGCATGATCACTTACTGGATTTGTGTCAACTGGCATGGTTTCTTTCATTTGGCATATTGTATATGCAGAATACACCCATATATCTTCCAAACCAATATGCTTTGTGAATAAACTGGGACCGTCCTGGGTAATCTGGGATGTAGGATCACTTTAAATGTGCAGTAGCTTTTTTGATGGTTATCTCATGCTTTCCTTAATCACAGAATGTCATGGCTGGCAGGGAATCCAGAAACCTTCTGACCATTTATTCACAGAGGGGAAAAAATTCGGTCCAGAGTTGAGAAGTGCTTTTCCTAATGTTGTACAGCTAATCAGCTGTGGGGGGAAAACCCATCACAGTCAATGTGGTACAATGAAAATGATCTGGAGTCAGGGGACTTGGGTTCAAATCCAGCTTCTCTCACTAATACAGCTGTAAAGTCTTGCTCTGTGGTTATATGTGGCCATGCCTGGTTTCCTTTACTAGACTTAGAGTGCCTTAACAATATAAATTGTACATTTTTTGTCTTTGTATCTCTTTTTTTAAATACACTTTAAGTTCTTGGGTACATGCGCAGAATGTGCAGCTTTGTTACTTAGGTATACATGTGCCATGGTGGTTTGCTGCACCCATCAACCTGTCACCTACATTAGATATTTGTCCTAATGTTCTCCCTCCCCTAGCCCCCCACCCCTTGACAGGCTCCAGTGTGTGATGATCCCCTCCCCGGGTCCATGTTATCTCATTGTTCAACTCCCACTTATGAGTGAAAAAAATGCGGTGTTTAGTTTTCTGTTCTTGTGTTAGTTTGCTGACAATGATAGTTTCCAGCTTCATCCATGTCCCTGCAAAGGACATGAACTCATCCTTTTTTATGGCTGCATAATACTCCATGGTGTATATGTGGCACATTTTCTTTATCCAGTCTACCACTGATGGACATGTGGGTTGGTTCCAAGTCTTTGCTATTGTGAATAGTGCCACAATAAACATATGTGTACATGTGTCTTTATAGTAGAATGATTTATAATCCTTTGGGTATATACCCAGTAATGAGATTGCTGGGTCAAATGGTATTTCTAATTCTAGATCCTTGAGGAATTGCCACACTGTCTTCCACAATGGTTGAACTAACTTACACCCCCACCAACAGTGTAAAAGTGTTCCTATTTCACCACATCCTCTCCAGCACCTGTTGTTTCCTGACTTTTTAATGATCACCATTCTAACTGGTATGAGATAGTATCTCATTGTGGTTTTGATTTGCATTTCTCTAATGACCAGTGATGATGAGCTTTTTTTTCATGTTTGCTGGCTGCATAAATGTCGTCTTTTGAGAAGTGTGTCTGTTCATATCCTTTGCCCACTTTTTGATGGGGTTGTTTTTTTCTTGTAAATTTAAGTTCTTTGAAGATTCTGGATATTAGCCGTTTGTCAGATGGATAGATTGCAAAATTTTTCTCCCATTCTGTAGGTTGCCTATTCACTCTAATGGTAGTTCCTTTTGCTGTGCAGAAGCTCTTTAGTTTAATGAGATCCCAGTTGCCAATTTTGGCTTTTGTTGCCATTGCTTTTCGTGTTTTAGACATGAAGTCTTTCCTAATGCCTATGTCCAGAATGGTATTGCCTAGGTTTTCTTCTAGGATTTTTACGGTTTTAGGTCTTAAGGTGGAGTCTTTAATCCATCTTGAGTTAATTTTTGTGTAAGGTGTAAGGAAAGGGTCCAGTTTAAGTTTTCTGCATGTGACTAGCCAATTTTCCCAGCACCATTGATTACATAGGGAATCCTTTCCCCATTTCTTGTTTTTGTCAGGTTTGTCAAAGATTAGATGATTGTAGATGTGTGGTGTTATTTCTGAGGCCTCTGTTCTGTTCCATTGGTCTATATACCTGTTGTGGTACCAGTACCATGCTGTTTTGGTTACGGTAGCCTAGTTTGGAGTCAGGTAGTGTGATGCCTCCAGCTTTGTTCTTTGCTTAGGATTGCCTTGGCTATACAGGCTCTTTTTTGGTTCCATATGAACTTTAAAGCAGTTTTTCCAATTCTGTGAAGAAAGTCAGTGGTAGCTTGATGGGGACAGCATTGAATCTATAAATTACTTTGGAAAGTATGGCCATTTTCATGATAGTGATTCTTCCTATCCATGAGCAGGCATGTTGTTCCATTTATTTGTGTCCTCTCTTATTTCCTTGAGCAGTGGTTTGCAGTTCTCCTTGAAGAGGTCCTTCACATCCCTTGTAAGTTGTATTCCTAGGCATTTTATTCTCTTTGTAGCAGTTGTGAATGAGAGTTCACTCATGATTTGGCTCTCTGTTTGTCTTTTTTTTTTTTATCTGATTCTAAGAAATTTTCTTTTTTTTTAATTTTTTATTTATTTATTTTTTTTTATTACACTTTAAGTTTTAGGGTACATGTGCACATTGTGCAGGTTAGTTACATATGTATACATGTGCCATGCTGGTGTGCTGCACCCACTAACGTGTCATCTGTCATTAGGTATATCTCCCAATGCTATCCCTCCCCCCTCCCCCGACCCCACCACAGTCTCCAGAGTGTGATATTCCCCTTCCTGTGTCCATGTGATCTCATTGTTCAATTCCCACCTATGAGTGAGAATATGCGGCGTTTGGTTTTTTGTTCTTGCGATAGTTTACTGAGAATGATGGTTTCCAATTTCATCCATGTCCCTACAAAGGACATGAACTCATCATTTTTTATGGCTGCATAGTATTCCATGGTGTATATGTGCCACATTTTCTTAATCCAGTCTATCATTGTTGGACATTTGGGTTGGTTCCAAGTCTTTGCTATTGTGAATAATGCCACAATAAACATACGTGTGCATGTGTCTTTATAGCAGCATGATTTATAGTCATTTGGGTATATACCCAGTAATGGGATGGCTGGGTCAAATGGTATTTCTAGTTCTAGATCCCTGAGGAATAGCCACACTGACTTCCACAATGGTTGAACTAGTTTACAGTCCCACCAACAGTGTAAAAGTGTTCCTATTTCTCCACATCCTCTCCAGCACCTGTTGTTTCCTGACATTTTAATGATTGCCATTCTAACTGGTGTGAGATGATATCTCATAGTGGTTTTGATTTGCATTTCTCTGATGGCCAGTGATGATGAGCATTTTTTCATGTGTTTTTTGGCTGCATAAATGTCTTCTTTTGAGAAGTGTCTGTTCATGTCCTTTGCCCACTTTTTGATGGGGTTGTTTGTTTTTTTCTTGTAAATTTGTTTGAGTTCACTGTAGATTCTGGATATTAGCCCTTTGTGAGATGAGTAGGTTGCGAAAATTTTCTCCCATGTTGTAGGTTGCCTGTTCACTCTGATGGTAGTTTCTTTTGCTGTGCAGAAGCTCTTTAGTTTAATTAGATCCCATTTGTCAATTTTGTCTTTTGTTGCCATTGCTTTTGGTGTATTGGACATGAAGTCCTTGCCCATGCCTATGTCCTGAATGGTAATGCCTAGGTTTTCTTCTAGGGTTTTTATGGTTTTAGGTCTAACGTTTAAATCTTTAATCCATCTTGAATTGATTTTTGTATAAGGTGTAAGGAAGGGATCCAGTTTCAGCTTTCTACATATGGCTAGCCAGTTTTCCCAGCACCATTTATTAAATAGGGAATCCTTTCCCCATTGCTTGTTTTTCTCAGGTTTGTCAAAGATCAGATAGTTGTAGATATGTGGCATTATTTCTGAGGGCTCTGTTCTGTTCCATTGATCTATATCTCTGTTTTGGTACCAGTACCATGCTGTTTTGGTGACTGTAGCCTTGTAGTATAGTTTGAAGTCAGGTAGTGTGATGCCTCCAGCTTTGTTCTTTTGGCTTAGGATTGACTTGGAGATGCGGGCTCTTTTTTGGTTCCATATGAACTTTAAAGTAGTTTTTTCCAATTCTGTGAAGAAAGTCATTGGTAGCTTGATGGGGATGGCATTGAATCTGTAAATTACCTTGGGCAGTATGGCCATTTTCACAATATTGATTCTTCCTACCCATGAGCATGGAATGTTCTTCCATTTGTTTGTGTCCTCTTTTATTTCCTTGAGCAGTGGTTTGTAGTTCTCCTTGAAGAGGTCCTTCACATCCCTTGTAAGTTGGATTCCTAGGTATTTTATTCTTTTTGAAGCAATTGTGAATGGGAGTTCACTCATGATTTGGCTCTCTGTTTGTCTGTTGTTGGTGTATAAGAATGCTTGTGATTTTTGTACATTGATTTTGTATCCTGAGACTTTGCTGAAGTTGCTTATCAGCTTAAGGAGATTTTGGGCTGAGACGATGGGGTTTTCTAGATAAACAATCATGTCGTCTGCAAACAGGGACAATTTGACTTCCTCTTTTCCTAATTGAATACCCTTTATTTCCTTCTCCTGCCTGATTGCCCTGGCCAGAACTTCCAACACTATGTTGAATAGGAGTGGTGAGAGAGGGCATCCCTGTCTTGTGCCAGTTTTCAAAGGGAATGCTTCCAGTTTTTGCCCATTCGGTATGATACTGGCTGTGGGTTTGTCATAGATAGCTCTTATTATTTTGAAATACGTCCCATCAATACCTAATTTATTGAGAGTTTTTAGCATGAAGGGTTGTTGAATTTTGTCAAAGGCTTTTTCTGCATCTATTGAGATAATCATGTGGTTTTTGTCTTTGGCTCTGTTTATATGCTGGATTACATTTATTGATTTGCGTATATTGAACCAGCCTTGCATCCCAGGGATGAAGCCCACTTGATCATGGTGGATAAGCTTTTTGATGTGCTGCTGGATTTGGTTTGCCAGTATTTTATTGAGGATTTTTGCATCAATGTTCATCAAGGATATTGGTGTAAAATTCTCTTTTTTGGTTGTGTCTCTGCCCAGCTTTGGTATCAGAATGATGCTGGCCTCATAAAATGAGTTAGGGAGGATTCCCTCTTTTTCTATTGATTGGAATAGTTTCAGAAGGAATGGTACCAGCTCCTCCTTGTACCTCTGGTAGAATTCGGCTGTGAATCCATCTGGTCCTGGACTCTTTTTGGTTGGTAAACTATTGATTATTGCCACAATTTCAGAGCCTGTTATTGGTCTATTCAGAGATTCAACTTCTTCCTGGTTTAGTCTTGGGAGAGTGTATGTGTCGAGGAATTTATCCATTTCTTCTAGATTTTCTAGTTTATTTGTGTAGAGGTGTTTGTAGTATTCTCTGATGGTAGTTTGTATTTCTGTGGGATCGGTGGTGATATCCCCTTTATCATTTTTTATTGTGTCTATTTGATTCTTCTCTCTTTTTTTCTTTATTAGTCTTGCTAGTGGTCTATCAATTTTGTTGATCCTTTCAAAAAACCAGCTCCTGGATTCATTGATTTTTTGAAGGGTTTTTTGTGTCTCTATTTCCTTCAGTTCTGCTCTGATTTTAGTTATTTCTTGCCTTCTGCTAGCTTTTGAATGTGTTTGCTCTTGCTTTTCTAGTTCTTTTAATTGTGATGTTAGGGTGTCAATTTTGGATCTTTCCTGCTTTCTCTTGTAGGCATTTAGTGCTATAAATTTCCCTCTACACACTGCTTTGAATGTGTCCCAGAGATTCTGGTATGTGGTGTCTTTGTTCTCGCTGGTTTCGAAGAACATCTTTATTTCTGCCTTCATTTCATTATGTACCCAGTAGTCATTCAGGAGCAGGTTGTTCAGTTTCCATGTAGTTGAGCGGCTTTGAGTGAGATTCTTAATCCTGAGTTCTAGTTTGATTGCACTGTGGTCTGGGAGATAGTTTGTTATAATTTCTGTTCTTTTACATTTGCTGAGGAGAGCTTTACTTCCAACTATGTGGTCAATTTTGGAATAGGTGTGGTGTGGTGCTGAAAAAAATGTATATTCTGTTGATTTGGGGTGGAGAGTTCTGTAGATGTCTATTAGGTCCGCTTGGTGCAGAGCTGAGTTCAATTCCTGGGTATCCTTGTTGACTTTCTGTCTCGTTGATCTGTCTAATGTTGACAGTGGGGTGTTAAAGTCTCCCATTATTAATGTGTGGGAGTCTAAGTCTCTTTGTAGGTCACTCAGGACTTGCTTTATGAATCTGGGTGCTCCTGTATTGGGTGCATAAATATTTAGGATAGTTAGCTCCTCTTGTTGAATTGATCCCTTTACCATTATGTAATGGCCTTCTTTGTCTCTTTTGATCTTTGTTGGTTTAAAGTCTGTTTTATCAGAGACTAGGATTGCAACCCCTGCCTTTTTTTGTTTTCCATTGGCTTGGTAGATCTTTCTCCATCCTTTTATTTTGAGCCTATGTGTGTCTCTGCACGTGAGATGGGTTTCCTGAATACAGCACACTGATGGGTCTTGACTCTTTATCCAACTTGCCAGTCTGTGTCTTTTAATTGCAGAATTTAGTCCATTTATATTTAAAGTTAATATTGTTATGTGTGAATTTGATCCTGTCATTATGATGTTAGCTGGTGATTTTGCTCGTTAGTTGATGCAGTTTCTTCCTAGTCTTGATGGTCTTTACATTTTGGCATGATTTTGCAGCGGCTGGTACCGGTTGTTCCTTTCCATGTTTAGTGCTTCCTTCAGGAGCTCTTTTAGGGCAGGCCTGGTGGTGACAAAATCTCTCAGCATTTGCTTGTCTATAAAGTATTTTATTTCTCCTTCACTTATGAAGCTTAGTTTGCCTGGATATGAAATTCTGGGTTGAAAATTCTTGTCTTTAAGAATGTTGAATATTGGCCCCCACTCTCTTCTGGCTTGTAGGGTTTCTGCCGAGAGATCCGCTGTTAGTCTGATGGGCTTTCCTTTGAGGGTAACCTGACCTTTCTCTCTGGCTGCCCTTAACATTTTTTCCTTCATTTCAACTTTGGTGAATCTGACAATTATGTGTCTTGGAGTTGCTCTTCTTGAGGAGTATCTTTGTGGCATTCTCTGTATTTCCTGAATCTGAACGTTGGCCTGCCTTGCTAGATTGGGGAAGTTCTCCTGGATAATATCCTGCAGAGTGTTTTCCAACTTGGTTCCATTCTCCCCATCACTTTCAGGTACACCAATCAGACGTAGATTTGGTCTTTTCACATAGTCCCATATTTCTTGGAGGCTTTGCTCATTTCTTTTGATTCTTTTTTCTCTAAACTTCCCTTCTCGCTTCATTTCATTCATTTCATCTTCCATTGCTGATACCCTTTCTTCCAGTTGATGGCATCGGCTCCTGAGGCTTCTGCATTCTTCACGTAGTTCTCGAGCCTTGGTTTTCAGCTCCATCAGCTCCTTTAAGCACTTCTCTGTATTGGTTATTCTAGTTATACATTCTTCTAAATTTTTTTCAAAGTTTTCAACTTCTTTGCCTTTGGTTTGAATGTCCTCCCGTAGCTCAGAGTAATTTGATCGTCTGAAGCCTTCTTCTCTCAGCTCGTCAAAATCATTCTCCATCCAGCTTTGTTCCGTTGCTGGTGAGGAACTGCGTTCCTTTGGAGGAGGAGAGGCACTCTGCTTTTTAGAGTTTCCAGTTTTTCTGTTCTGTTTTTTCCCCATCTTTGTGGTTTTATCTACTTTTGGTCTTTGATGATGGTGATGTACAGATGGGTTTTCGGTGTAGATGTCCTTTCTGGTCGTTAGTTTTCCTTCTAACAGACAGGACCGTCAGCTGCAGGTCTGTTGGAATACCCTGCAGTGTGAGGTGTCAGTGTGCCCCTGCTGGGGGGTGCCTCCCAGTTAGGCTGCTCGGGGGTCAGGGGTCAGGGACCCAATTGAGGAGGCAGTCTGCCCGTTCTCAGATCTCCAGCTGCGTGCTGGGAGAACCACTGCTCTCTTCAAAGCTGTCAGACAGGGACACTTAAGTCTGCAGAGGTTACTGCTGTCTTTTTGTTTGTCTGTGCCCTGCCCCCAGAGGTGGAGCCTACAGAGGCAGGCAGGCCTCCTTGAGCTGTGGTGGGCTCCACCCAGTTCGAGCTTCCCGGCTGCTTTGTTTACCTAAGCAAGCCTGGGCAATGGCGGGCGCCCCTCCCCCAGCCTCGTTGCCGCCTTGCAGTTTGATCTCAGACTGCTGTGCTAGCAATCAGCGAGATTCCGTGGGCGTAGGACCCTCTGAGCCAGGTGTGGGATATAGTCTCCTGGTGCGCCGTTTTTCAAGCCGGTCTGAAAAGCGCAATATTCGGGTGGGAGTGACCCGATTTTCCAGGTGCCGTCTGTCACCCCTTTCTTTGACTCGGAAAGGGAACTCCCTGACCCTTGCGCTTCCCAGGTGAGGCAATGCCTCGCCCTGCTTCGGCTCGCGCACGGTGCACGCACACACTGGCCTGCGCCCACTGTCTGGCACTCCCTAGTGAGATGAACCCGGTACCTCAGATGGAAATGCAGAAATCACCCGTCTTCTGCGTCGCTCACGCTGGGAGCTGTAGACCGGAGCTGTTCCTATTCGGCCATCTTGGCTCCTCCCTTCTCTCTGTTTGTCTTTTATTGGTGTATATGAATGCTTGTGATTTTTTGCACATTGATATTGTATCCTGAGGTGCTGAAGTTGCTTATCAGCTTAAGGAGATTTTGGGCTGGGACAATAGAGTTTTCTAAATATACAATCATGTCATCTGCAAACAGAGACAATTTGACTTCCTCTTTTCCTAATTGAACACCCTTTGTTTCTTTCTCTTGCCTGATTGCCCTGGCCAGAACTTCCAATACTATATTGAATAGGAGTGATGAGAGAGGGCATCCTTGTCTTGTGCCAGTTTTCAAAGGGAATGCTTCCAGTTTTTGCCCATTCAGTACGATATTGGCTATGGGTTTGCCATAAACAGCTCTTATTGAGATACGTTCAATCAGTGCCTACTTTATTGAGAATTTTTTAGGATGAAGGGTGTTGAATTTTTGTTGAAGGACTTTTCTGCATCTGTTGAAATAATCACGTGCTTTTTGTCATTGGTTCTGTGTATGTGATGGATTACATTTATTGATTTGCATATGTTGAACCAGCCTTGCATCCCAGGGATGAAGCCACCTTGATGGTGGTGCATAAGCTTTTTGATGTGCTGCTGGATTTGGTTTGCCAGTATTTTATTGGGGATTTTCGCATCGATGTTCATCAGGGATACTGGCCTGAAATTTTCTTTTTTTGTTGTGTCTCTGGCAGGTTTTGGTATCAGGATGATGCTGGCCTTGTAAAATGAGTTAGGGAGGATCCCCTCTTTTTCTATTGTTTGAAATGGTTTCAGAAGGAATGGTACCAGCTCCTCTTTGTACCTCTGGTAGAATTTGGCAGTGAATTCATCTGGTTCTGGACTTTGGTAGGCTATTAATTACTGCCTCAATTTCAGAAGTTGTTATTGGTCTATTCAGGGATTCGACTTCTTCCTGGTTTAGTCTTGGGAGGGTGTATGTGTCCAGGAATTTATCCATTTCTTCTAGATTTTCTGGTTTATTTGCATAGAGGTGTTTATAGTATTCTCTGATGGTAGTTTGTATTTCTGTGGGATCAGTGGTGATATCCCCTTTATCATTTTTTATTGCATCCATTTGATTCTTCTCTCTTTTCTTTATTAGTCTGGCTAGCAGTCTATCCATTTTTTGATCTTTTCAAGAAACCAGCTCCTGGATTCATTGATTTTTTTTTTTTTGAAGGGTTTTTCATGTCTCTATCTCCTTCAGTTCTGCTCTGATCTTAGTTATTTCTTGTCTTCTGCTATCTTTTGAATTTGTTTGCTCTTGCTTCTCTAGTTCTTTTAATTTTGATGTTAGGGTGTCGATTTTAGATCTTTTCTGCTTTCTCTTGTGGGCATTTAGTGCTATAAATTTCCCTCTACACAGTGCTTTAAATGTGTCCCAGAGATTGTACGTTGTGTTGTTAGTTCTCATTGGTTTCAAAGAACATCTTTGTTTCTGCCTTCATTTCGTTTTTTACCCAGTAGTCATTCAGGAGCATGTTGTTCAATTTCCATGTAGTTGTGCAGTTTTGAGTGAGTTTCTTAATCCTGAGTTCTAATTTGATTGCACTATGGTCTGAGAGACTGTTTGTTATGATTTCCATTCTTTTGCATTTGCTGAGGAGTGTTTTACTTCCAATTATGTGGTCCATTTTAGAATAAGTGCGATGAGGTGCTGAGAAGAATGTATATTCTTCTGATTTGGGGTAGAGAGTTCTGTAGATGTTTATTAGGTCTGCTTGTTCCAGCGCTGAGTTCAAGTCCTGGATATCCTTGCTAATTTTCTGTCTCATTGATGTGTCTAATATTGACAGTGGGGTATTAAATCTCCCACTATTATTGTGTGGGAGTGTAAGTCTCTTTGTGGATCTCTAAGAACTTGCCTTATGAACTTGGATGCTCCTGAATGGTGTGCATATATATTTAGGATAGTTGGCTCTTCTTGTTGCATTGATCCCTTTACCATTAGGTAATGGCCTTCTTTCTCTTTTGATCTTTGTTGGTTTAAAGTCTGTTTTGTCGGAGACTAGGATTGCAACCCCTGCTTTTTTTTTTTTTCTTTCTATTTGCTTGGTAAATCTTCCTCCATCCCTTTATTTTAAGCCTATGTTTGTCTTTGCATGTGAGGTGGGTCTCCTGAATACAGCCACTGATGGGTCTTGACGCTTATCCAATTTGCCAGTCTGTGTCTTTTAATTAGGGAATTTATCACATTTACATTTAAGGTTAATATTGTTATGTGTGAATTTGATTCTGTCATTATGATGCTAACTGGTTATTTTGCCTGTTAGTTGATGTTGTTTCTTTATAGTGTTGATGGTCTTTACAATTTGGTATGTTTTTGCAGTGGCTGGTTCCAGTTGTTCCTCTCCATGTTTAGTGTTTCCTTCAGGAGCTCTTGTAAGGCAGGCCTGGTGGTGACAAAATCTCTCGGCATTTGCTTGTCTGTAAAGGAGTTTATTTCTCCTTCACTTACGAAACTGAGTTTGCCTGGATATGAAATTCTGGGTTGAAAATTCTTTTAAGAATGTTGAATATTGGCCCCCACTCTCTTCTAGCTTGTAAGGTTCCTGCAGAGAGATCTGCTGTTGGTCTGATGGGCTTCCCTTTGTGGGTAACCTGACCTTTCTCTCTGGCTGCCCTTAACAATTTTTCCTTCATTTCAACTTTGGTGAATCTGATGATTATGTGTCTTGGGGTTGCTCTTCTCAAGGAGTATCTTTGTGGTGTTCTCTGTATTTCCTGAATTTGAACGTTGGCCTGTCTTGCTAGGTTGGGGAACTTCTCCTGGATGATATCCCGAAAAGTGTTTTCCAACTTGGTTCCATTCTCTCCATCACTTTCAGGTACACCAATCAGAGGTGGATTTGATCTTTTCACATAGTCCCATATTTCTTGGAGGCTTTGTTTGATCCCTTTCATCCTTTTTTCTCTAATCTTGTCTTCTCACTTCATTTCATTAAGTTGATCTTCACTTTCTGATATCCTTTCTTCTGCTTGATTGATTCAGCTATTTATAGTTGTGTATGCTTCACAGAATTCTCATGCTGTGTTTTTCAGCTCCATCAGGTCATTTATGTTCTTCTCGAAACTGGTTATTCCAGTTAGCAATTCGCGTAACCTTTTTTCAAGGTTCTTAGCTTCCTTGCATTGGGTTAGAACATGCTGCTTTAGCTCAGAGGAGTTTGTTATTACCCACTTTCTGAAGCTTACTTCTGTCGAGTCATGAAACTCATTCTCCATCCATTTTTGTTCCATTGCTGGTGAGGAGTTGTCATCCTTGAGAAGAGGTGTTCAGGTTTTTGGAATTTTCAGCCTTTTTGCGCGGGTTTCTCCCCATCTTAGTGAATTTATCTACCGTCGGTCTTTGTAGTCAGTGACCTTCGGATGGGGTCTCTGAGTAGATGTGCTATTCCTATTTTTTAGTTTTTTTTTCTTTTTTTTTTGTGACAGAGTCTCATTCTGTTGCTTACGCTGGAGTGCAGTGGTGCAATCATGGCTCACTGCAAGCTCCACCTCCTGGGTTCATGCCATTCTCCTGCCTCAGCCTCCTGAGTAGCTGGGACTACAGGCACCCACCACCACGCCTGCCTAATTTTTTGTGTTTTTACTAGAGACGGGTTTCACTGTGTTAGCCAGGATGGTCTCAATCTCCTGACCTTGTGATCTGCCCTCCTCGGCCTCCCAGAGTGCTGGGATTACAGCCGTGAGCCACTGCACCTGGCCTAGTTTTCCTTCTAACAGGACCCTGTGCTGCAGGTCTGTTGGAGTTTGCTGGAGGTCCACTCCAGACCCTGTTTGCCTGGATATCACCAGAGGAGGCTGCAGAACAGCAAAGACTGCTGCGTGTTGTTTCCTCTGGAACCTTTGTCTCATACGGGCACCTGCCAGATGCCAGCCAGAGCTCTCCTGTATGAGGTAGGTCTGTTGGCCCCTACTGGGAGCTGTCTCCCAGTCAGTACACATGGGTGTCAGGGACCCACTTGAGGAGGCAGTCTGATCCTTAGCAGAGCTTGAACGTTGTGCTCTCTTCAGAGCCAGTAGGCAGGGACGTTTAAGTCTGCTGAAGCTGCACCTACAACCGCCCCTTCCGCCAGATGCTCTGTCCCAGGGAGATGGGGGTTTTATCTATATGTTTGGGGGTACTGCCTTTTTTTTTCAGTGATGCCCTTGCCAGAGAGGAGGAATCTATAGAAGCAGTCTGGCCACAGAGGCCTTGCTGAGCTGCAGTGGGCTCCACCCAGTTTGAACTTCCCGGTGGCTTTGTTTACACTGTCAGGGTAAAACTGCCTACTTAAGCCTCAGCACTGGTTGACACCCCTTCCCCCACCAAGCTTGAGCATCCCAGGTTGACCTCAGACTGTTGTGCTGGCAGCAAGAACTTCAAGTTGTGGATCTTAGCTTGCTGGACTCCGTGGGGGTTGGACCCACCAAGCCAGACCACTTGGCTCCCTGCCTTCGGCCCCTTTTCCAGGGAAGTGAATGGTTCTGTCTCACTGGTGTTCTGGCACCACTGAGGTATGGGAAAAAAAAAAACAACACAAAACTCCTGCAGCTAGCTCAGGGTCTGCCCAAATGGCTACTCAGTTTTGTGCTTGAAACCCAGGACACTGGAGGGTATCTTCTGGTCTGTGGGTTGCAAAGACTGTGGGAAAAGCACAGTGTCTGGGCCAGAGTGCACTGTTCCTCATGGCACAGTCCCTCACAGCTTCCCTTGGGTAGGGGAGAGAATTTCCTGACCCCTTGCACTTCCTGGGTGAGGCGACACCCCACACCCCACCTTAGCTGGAAATGTGGAAAAATCACCTGCCTTCTGTGGCGATCTCGCTGGGAGCTGCATACTGGAGCTGTTCCTATTTGGCCATCTTGCCAGCAACCCTGTCTTTATGTCTCTTAAGCACTGGCCAAGGCCCAGTGTTTGGCACATAATAGGTGCTCAATAAATATTTGTGAAGGAAGTTGAAAAAAACCAAAGTGTTCTTCCTAAGAGTCTTATTTCTGCTTGGAATAGCACAGAGTACTCAGAAAAACAAAAGAAATCCAGTCCATTCCAGGGCTAGCACTTGGGGGAGCAATGAAGTAAAGCCCCGCTGGCTACCCTGCCCATTCTGCAGGTGCTGGCTCTCAGAGGGGGACTGCACAGGGAGCAGTGGACTGGGGACAGCTCTGTTTTCTTGCTCTGTGCCTCTCCGGATTGTGGCATCAGCCAGAGCAGTTGTCATGACCCACGTAACGACTGCCTTGATTGATTTTTGTTGGTTTTCCAAAAGTTACCAGTTAGGAAGTTGGGAGCTTTTGATCTTCCCTAACAGCTTCTTTGACGTTTCAACTAGGATTACCAAGAGGATAAACACTTTGCCAGCCCTTTCTCTGAGAGTTCCTCCCAATTCTGAGAGTCAAGGGCCTTGACTTACTGGCATCTTCCTCCCATTCCTGCACATCTTCCTGAGTGCCTCAATGGTTGTATGCAAACATCCTCTCATCAACCAATCTGCCCCCATCTTCTGGGGGCCACACCACATGAGGCCCCTTTTGGGAATTTAGAAAACTGTATCTGTCTCCCTGATTTTCCTCCCTAGGGCCACACAAAAGCATTGGACTAAACAGCAGAGCAAGAGAGAGAGAGAGACAGACAGAGAGAGGAGAGACAATGCAAGCATATCTTAGAAATGTCAGTGTGGTGTGAGCCAAGAAAAATCAAACACATTCAGCTATTTGGTT
Source organism: Homo sapiens (assembly GCF_000001405.40). NCBI lineage: Eukaryota > Metazoa > Chordata > Mammalia > Primates > Hominidae > Homo > Homo sapiens. Next base: position 19,547,932 of record NC_000009.12, read on the forward strand.
GTGGGTTTTCAGGAAGCCAGGCCTTTGCATAGTGCAGATGCTGTAAAATGGTATCTTGAATAAAGAAACTTAAATATTGCTTTAAGTGAGCCACACCTGTGTCATGCATCCTTTACCAGGAAACCTATACTGCTGGGAGTCCATACAAGGAGTCCTTTCTTGTTGTCTACTTGACAAGACATGGCTCTCCACTAGGCTGCATTATTTAAGGGCCAAGGTAATGGGATGGGGTTTTTCTTCTGTCTTTTTCAAATGAAGGAGCTCTTGAAGACTTATGATAAATTATGCTGGAAGTTATCAAAATATTCTATTCCAAGTGCTTTTAGAAATGATTTTTTTTAAATGATTTTTTTTTCTACTTTGTGGCATCACTAAATATGAAGCAAAGCCCAAGCCATGTGGTCACATAGACCTGGGTCTGGATCTCAGCCCTACCTTCTAGGAAATGACCAGGTATAAATTAACTTCTTTGTGCCTAAGTTTCTTTCTACTTATGCCAACAATATACATATTCCTACCCTAGATGTTTCCTGAAATTACATAATATAGTTTACTGTGGACCAATAACTCAAGGCCTTGGGCTCTCAGGGTTGGGAAGGACTTTTAGAATAAAGGCTGGCAAAATGTTCATCCTCTTGCCAATCTGAGTTGAAAGATCAAGAAGGTATTAGACCAGATCAAAGTCTCCTGATTGGCAACTGTGGCAAACCAACAGGAATCAATCAAGGCAGTTGGTTATGACGACTGCCCTGGCTGATGCACCTAACAAGAAAATGGAGCTGTCCACAATGCTCTCCTCCCTGTGCAGTCCCCCTTTGAGAGTCAGCCCCTGCAGCATGGCCAGGGTAGCCACTGGGACTTCTCTCATTGCTCCCGCCAAGGGCCAGCCCTGGGATGGACTGTATTTCCGAGTATACTGTGTGCTGTTCCAAACAGAAATGAGACTCTCACGAGGAACATTTAGTGCAGAATCTGATGCATATTAGGTATACAGTTTTGTTGAATGAGTTTGTGTGTGTGGTCCTATACTAAGAAGTAGAGCTGTTTCTCCTTCCCTCTCCTTAGTTCTTTCACCTCTGGGGCAATGGCCCAAGAACTCACTTCAACAACAGTGGGTGGGTGTATTCTCTTGATTTGGTCTATACTCAGGTTGTAATTTGCTGATGTTGTTGCGTTCGGAGCACCCAGTATGTGATAATGGTAGATAATAAAATCGATTAAAGTAATGATAGTAAACATAGTCGATTAAAGTAATGATAGTCACAAGAATGTTCAAGAAAATGTGAGTAACCTTCCTGCTTCAGACCTTCAGTTGCCCTTCTTACCTTCTCAGAGACAAACGCTGTGGGGGTTTTAAAACATGTTTGCAAATTCTTTGACACTCTTCCCAACAGGAGAGTGATATGCTATATGACACTGACGTATTCTAGGTAAACTTTTTGTTTCCTCCCCCTTTAATCAAGACACACTTAGGACTGCTTTGGTCAATAGGGCATAGCAGAAGTGAATCTATGTAACTTCTGGGACTGAATCATCACAGACCATGCAGTTTCTGCCTTCTGTCACTGCAACATTCACTCTTGGAGTCCTGACTGACCTCTTATGTAAAACATTTCACTATCCTGAGGCTACCATGCTGTGAGGAAGCCCAAGTCACATGAAAAGGCCATGTTTAGGCATTCCAGTAGACCGTCCCAGCTGAGCCTAACCTTTGAATCATTTCTGCCCAGGTGCCAGAAATGGCAAAGAAGCCTCCAGATGATGGTAGCCCCAAGATGAGATACACATAACCCTTCAAGTCTTTCTACTTCAGGCCACAGACATAATGGAGCAGAGACAAGCCATCCACAATGTGCCCTATTCAAATTCTTGATCGACAGGATCCAAGAAAAGACTAAAAGGATGGTTGTTTCACACCACTAAGTTTTGGGGTAGTTTGTTATGCAGATTTGATAACCTGAACAATCAGTGTGATTGTGTGTCTGCTCAGAGAAATCTGTATATTCTTAATGTCACTTTCTCTTTTTCCTTAAACTTAAATATTTTTTCTTGTTACATAATAGTTGTACCTATTTATGGGGTATATGTGAGATTTTGATACAAGTGTACTTCCTTTTTCCTTTTAACACAAACTGAAGCAGACTATGCACCCTGTTATGTACCATATGTTTTACAAGGGAACTATTTTTAAAATGCTTTACTTACAGGTTTGCGAACGTCAGGTAACGTAATCCAGAGAGGAAACACTATGGGGAAAACAATCAGAAACGTGACTTGCTTGCGGGTTTCAGAAGGCCAGGCAAGGCTGAGAGGCTGGTCCTCCTCCTCATCAGCGGTCTGTGGTAGAAAAAGAGGTAAAATTAAACAAACAAAAAAATAAAATGTACACAGGCACAACAACAGGAGCACAGAACAAAGGGGAAGCTCCATGTCTTATCAGTTTTCTGGACTCGTTCCAGTAGCTTCATATGTGTGATTTTGAGATTTGTCACAGTCTGAGTCCTAGGAACAAATAATACATTGTCCAGCCATGAGCATGTAAGAATTTTCTTTTATCTCCTTGAATGCTCTTCAGTTTCTCATGTTCATCAACTGATTATTCAACTGGAGTGGGCTACAACTACAATTCACGAGCTTCTTATAACAAACTATATCTGTGGAGGAAAAGACTTGATGACCACCATCTCCCCATCTTTCCTTCTCCTTGAAGACAGAGTCACAAGCTTTCAGGCTCCTTGGGAAGGAGAGCACTGATAAAAAATATTTCTTTTTCTCTTTTTTTTTTTTTGGAACACTGATTTTCATCAGGCAAATGAAAGTAACCACAGAAACAATTCAGTAATACTACTAAGAGAGATTAACTTCCCACTGGCCTTGGAATAGCTAAGTGCATTGATTTTTGTGTAGTTGTGAGTTTTTTTCTTTCATTGATATTTTACGTATTTCTGGGGTAAATGTATTTTTTACATGCATTGAATGTGTAATGATCAAGTCAGGGTATTTGGGGCCTCCATCACCTTGAGTGTTTATCATTTCTATGTGTGGTAACATTCCAAGCCCTCTCTTCTAGCTTTGGAATATATAGTGTGTTGTTGCTAGCTACGGTCACCCTAGTCTCCTAAGGAACATTAGGACTGATTTCTTCTATCTAACTGTAAGTTTGTACCCATTGACCGACCTCTCTTCATTTCTCCCTGTCACCCCCACACCCTTCTCAGGTTGTGAGTTGGTCACCTGCTTAACCACAGCTAAATTCTAAACCATTGTACTTGCAGCCAAAGACAACTTATGCAAACATATGTCTCAGTCCTCAGAAACAGAAAATACAAGTCAAGCAAGACAGTGAACCTGCACGGGGTGTCGGAGCCAGGGAACAAACTTCAGAGTCTCTGACTTGGCAGCCAATGGCCAGCGTTTTATTTGTCAGCCACTGAAGTCAGTAGCTTCTGAAGTCAGGGCTAGAAGAGATGGAGGGGGAGGGTCTGGGCCCAGCAGGGGGTGACCGTTAGCCTGTCAGCTGAGCCCTCAATACTTCCAAAACAGCACTGTAGACATCATCAATCACTCCCTTCCCTGCTTGTTTGAAAATGAAAGTGCAGCAGTGGACCACGCATCAGATCTAAAAATATCAACAGGAACTTTTCCACTGATGCTTCCTTTTGAGACCATATAAATAACTTTAGAAAGCTCCTACCCCTGGGGCTCTTGCTTCCAGCACCATACACTTTTCAAACAGTAACAGCGCCCCCCTCCAGCACCTGTGTCCCTACAGAGGTGGCATGAGGGGCAGGCTCAGGTCAGCTGGCCTTGAGGAGAGGTCAGGGCTGGGTGAGAGGCCGGGCTCACAGCAATGCTATGTCTTGTTTATTTATCTGGCAAAACTGAGGTACTGCAGAAAGTATGTATAGTGTTTTATACAATCTCTTCAACTCTCCCTAGGAGTTACAATTTGAAATAATAATTTAAAAAAGGGATGCGAAGCCATATTGAAAAGGGTTAGTAACAACAGGTTCTTCTGCTTTGGGTATATGTCCTTGGCAGTGGGTAAAAGAATTTGTAAACAGCAAATATGGTGGAATTAAAGGGATTAGGTATAATAATAATAAGGCAGCATCAGGAAGTTGACAGTTTATTTTGGTACCCTGGATCCTTTTTAAATATACACCTCACACTCCCTATTTCTTTCTATGCAATTCACATATTATTCCATCCATTGCTTTCTTTCTTCCATCCTGAGGGCTCCCATCTTTGGTGGAAGCTTGGTGTGCTGGCTCTGGTCCCTCTTCTATGCCACCTCTGTCTCTTCCTTGTGGATATAGCAGGTGTAGAGAATATCATTCCCTATTGGGCTCACCAGCCTCCCAAGGTGTCAGCTAGCTACGTGAATAATCTTTGTGTCATGGGGCCAATGTGGATTAAGGAGACAGGTATATTTTCCTGTCTGTTCCCTCCCAGATATGATCCTTCTTGTTTAACCCAAATGAATGACTTTCCCCTTACCTCCTGGCAGATGCCCCAGAAATAGGCATGGGAGCCTTGGGGTACTGCATCATTCTTAATAAATACCCCATCTCACATGAGAGATGATTTTTTTTTCTAGCAGAGAGTCAGTCAGCTTCCCTGAAGACCCATCAAGCTGATGAGTTCATTAAGGCTCCTCCCCATTCTGAGATTGATGCCTCCCCCTAGCTCTGTTCATCACTACCATCCACAATCTAGCAACTTTTCTCTCGACTTCAAGCTAACCTTTTTCTGATAAAACACAAAAGCAACTCTTTATGACTCATATCATTTTAATGACACCAACAGATGGTGACATTTCATCAATAACCCTTCTGCTTATAACCTACGGATTAGCTCCTTTCTCCATCTGCCAAAGTCACCAGGCAGGCATTGCCACTAGCAAATAGCAGAAAATAATAATTGTCTGTTTAGATGTATAAGCTCTAAACACACTACTGTCCAATGCAAACAATTAACTATATTGAACAGCTTCCAAAGCTGCATTGGAGGTAGCTGTTGCTAGGGCAGAAATGGACTAGGAGAAGAGACTATGTCTCAGGCTGTGCCAACAGGGCTCTCCATGGAAACTTCACAGCCTCCTGGGGGCCAAGTCCTGCTACAGGGAAGTACAGGAACCTAGAATCCTGGGGTGGATTTGAGAGGTACCCCAGGAGCAAGGCTGTTGGCATACATTAGGTGAAATTATCTTTGCCAAGTAAAGTCTCACTCTGGCTCAATGGGAGGCAGTTTGCAAGCTGGTTAGAGAAGTGGAAGAAAAAAATACTGTTCCAAGTTTGAGGCTTATTTTGTCTTTGTTCAAACTGGATGCTCCAGGGGAGAGGCCACTGAGGTTAGGGCAGTGATTTTCCAACTTTTCCTAGAGTTGTGGTATGCTGGCTTTGACCTTGTGACAACTCACCCTTACCTCCTAAAATTTCTGCAGAGTGTCCATAGAAAACAAAACAAAGCAAAATGGTCCAGAAAGGATTCAAATGGCTTTTGATATGAGGGCTTAAAATAGTTTGATATCTGCTGGGGTCTCTGTAGAAGCCTTAGAATTGTGTAAAGCTTTAGGGCCTTGTAATCTTTGATATGAAAAATCTGACACAAAAACATATGACTTTAAGTTCCCACATGGTGGGTGGTGGTGTGTTGGTTGTCAGAACTTAAAAGAGTCAGTGCAGCATGCTGGGCAGAGTAGGTGGTAGAGAATCAGGAATCCTGAGTTCCAGTGTCTGCTCAGGCTGTGATTCCTTGGGTAGTTACCACCAACACCTGCAAGCAGTCACTAAGCACCTACAGGTGCAAAGCACTGCATTTAATTCTAGGACTCCTGCTTTCAAGGAGTCTTGGATTTAAAAGGTGAGACAGAACAGAAGATTCCAAAGAATTACTGCAGTATTTATCCAGTTACAGGGCTGCTGGCCGGTTAACGTGGCAAGAGACTACTGCTTGTCTTCCCGTATCTATTCTGCCTATTATGGACTGAATTGTGTTCCCTCCAATCATGCCCCTTCCTTCTCCCCCACCCAAATTCATATGTTGAAGCTGCAACCCCCACCAGTACCTCAGAATGTGACTTATTTGGAGATAGGATCTTCAAAGAGGTAATTAAGTTAAAACAAGGCCACTAGTGTGGGTCCTAATCAAATCTACCTGGTGTCCTTATAGGAGAAGATTAGGACACCTAGAGAGACACTAGGGGTTCCTTTGCACAGAAGAAAGGCCACATGAAGATGGGGACACAGCAAGAAGGCAGCGGCAGCAAGCAAAGGAGAGAGGCCTCTGAGGAAACCAACCCTGCCAAACACCTGCTGCTTGGACTTCTAGCGTCCAGAACTGTGGTAAAGTAGCTTTCAACAAAAAGTGATACAAATAAAAAGCAATACAGTGTAACAACTATTTACATAGCATTTACATTGCATTAGGCATTCTAAGCAATCTAGAGATGATTTAAAGGATATGGGAGGATATATATTTGTTATATGCAAATTCTACCCCATTTTATATCAGGGACTTGAGCATCCATGGAATTTGGTAACCTTGGGGATCTTGGAACCAGTCCCCCACGGATAGCAAGGGATGACAGTACTGCCTTTATGCTTTAACAAATGGAAAGCTTGCTTTTACCTAGGCTTGGAATAAAGACTCTGGTTTTCAGCCTTCTCGGCAAGGTGTGGCAATGTGATTAAGTTCTGGCCAAAGGATGTATTGGAAGTGTCCTTCATACAACTTCCTGGATCTATCTTTAAAGGGTGCGGATGCACCCTTCCTCCTTCCTTCCTCTTTCTTGCTGGCTGGAGGGGACATTTTGACCACAGCAGAAGATAATCTTGGGCCATGGGGTGGAGGAACAATATATGAGGCTCTGAGTTTCTGACACCCATCAAGGGCCATTCGTGCCCTGGACTGCCTATACTGACTTGAGAGATAATCAGAAACTGATGACTGATGGCAATGCTTCCGGGATAAAGGCACCCACATGCTGTGACTGCATTTGCTGAGCAGCCTGGGATCACTCTATGAATTACATAGGAAGCAGGAATCTGGTCTCTCTATAAGATATCTTATTAATGCAGGTCAGGGGGCCACATGTTAACACTAGACTAGGTGTCAAAATGCAGGACTTAACACTGGTTTTCTTGGTGTTTATAGGAAATTCTGCCCAAGTCATGCACCCACTTCACATCACAATATGTTCTTTCTCACAGGGATAATCAAAAGGGCACTCTTAAAAAAAAAATTATCTTATTCAAGCCATTGTTATTTTGGGTTTTTAGTTCTTTACAGTGCAAGTTTATCCTAACTGATCTAGTGTTCTCTTTATGAGGACTCAAGGGAGAAACAGCTCTCAAATCTCAGCACTAAGAAAAGTCAGACCTCTTCTGAGAAACTGAAAAATCTTAGAAATACTATGAGTCATGTAATCGATAAGATTCTTTCTGTGTTTTGTTCACTGGGGAGTTCAGAGCCAAATTTGTAACCTGTACCCAACAATGACAGTGGTGGATCTGTGCTCACCATGTTGCGGTCTTAGTACTGTCATTTCTCATCCTGGGCTGTATTTTCTCAAAACCATTCATTTTATCCTTTTTCCTCAGATGTATTTTTGTAAGTAGCCTCGAATCTTGTGAAAAAAGGTGAGGCAGGCGTAAATAAAAAAAGTAACATTCTTCAGTGGTGTAATAGAAATTTTAGTGTAACTTTATCAGGTTGAAAAGACTTGAGAGTTGGGCTTGGTGGCTCACACCTGTAATCCCAGCACTTTGGGAGGCCAAGGCAGGTGGATCACTTGAGGTCAGGAGTTTGAGACCAGCTTGGCCAACATGGTGAAACCCCATCTCTACTAAAAATACAAAAATTAGCTAGGTGTGATGACAGGTGCCTGTAATCCCAGCTACTCAGGAGGCTGAGGCAGGAGAATCACTTGAACCCGGGAGGCAGAGGTTGCAGTGAACTGAGATCTTGCCACTGCACTCTAGCCTGGCAACACAGACTCCATCTTGGGGAAAAAAAAGACTCAAGAAAGAGAATATACATGTTATTCTAAGTGACAACTGGTAACAAATTGATAACTGCCTTCTAGGACTCTTATCAATACCGAACATTGAAATCTGGAGGCTCGGCCATCAGAACTCTTACACAGCACAGAAGACGAGTTTCACGGGTCACTCAGCATCTACTGGAAGGGTAAAATCAGCTTGCCTTTATTTTTATCTGGTAAATGGGAGGTACAGCAGTAGCTGGTCCAGATGCTCATAGCATCATGATAATCCATTTAGCTTCTTTGCATGTACATCTTACACTTTTTCCATTTGAATTTGGTATAGAAGTTTGCCCCCAAATAAACATCAGGTCTTCGGTGGAGAAGCCTGAGTTGGATTCACCAGTTCAGAGGTTGCCTCAGAAGCCAGAAAAATATTTCTTGGAGGCAACCCGGTTTCTTATTTTTTGTCTGTGAAGGGCACTGAGCAAGATTCCAGAGTGAAGGTGAGCCCACTTTAACACAATCTCTCCTATCAGAGAATTAAAGTGAAAACTCAGGAGGCATCTGAAAATAGGCCTAATTCAAGTTCAGTTTTATTGACTGGTAATAACATCTCATCACCAGTTCACAAGGAGCAATCTCGGAGGATCACCCAGGTTTGCCTAAATCCCAGTTGAGGCTTGATTCAGGCTGGGAGTGAAGTTCTTACATCTCTCCCCCGGCTCACTGTAACACTTAGGAGTGCTACCTCTTATCATTGGGAAGCCTGTTCAGTGTGGAATGATGCTGGGTCAAAATAGAATGTCAGCACTTACGTATTTTACATAAAAACATAATTCATTGACTTTAAAAACACTAGTGCCTCTCACTGCCTTCTAGGCCCCACCAGACGTTAAACACTATGTTATTGCAAGGCAGAGCTCATTTGTCTCCTGGGATGTTTTAATGTGGGTTACCTTCCTGTACAAGAACTTCTTACTCAATTAATCATATGGACAATAATAGATCACAACAGACAAGCTGCAATCATAGATGTCTGCAGTCATTTAGGAGCTTTAGGCCCCAAGAAAAGGAGCTCCAGAATTTCAGAGTAGGTAAGGTCCTGTCCTTGAGACCAGCCCCCTCATTTGATGGGTAGGGAACCTGAGATGGAGTGACCTGCTGAACAAAAGTGACAGTGCTAGGCCAACCCTGAGTAACCCCTAAGTCCCAGCTTAAGGATCTTCCCCTATTCCACACTCCCCACTTTCCTCAGTTCTAAAAATAGATATGAATGGGCTTTACATCCAGTTATACCAGGATTCTCAGCTTTGTTTTGTAATAAATTAAACCCATTAAAATAAAAGCTAGGTATAGCAAACATGAAGTGTAGGAGTTCAGTCAGGGTGGTGGGAACAATTGTAAGAGGAAATTACAGGAAAGAGAAGCAAACCTTCTTGGAAGGCCTGGGGGTGTTTTACAAAGCTTTGGGGAAGAATGAGCCGAAGGCGGTGGTTCTTATCCTGGGGCAGAGGGCGAGAAGTAGGTACAAAATAATACAAGGGAGTTTATCTGAATAGCTTGTTTACTCATGTCTCCAGAAACGTGACCTTTAATCATCCATGTGTAATTACCCTGTAGTGGTGTTGACTCAAAGCCTTTGTCATTAAATCTGTGCTGAATAAATGCTGGCAGGGCCAGCTAGTCAAGGCATGCAGCTGCCACAGCTCTGAGTGGCCCAGCCCCCTAGCTGCTCTTTCACTGAATATTGGTGTCTGAGTATGTTATTCATCCATCGTGCAGCCTGGGTCTGTGGGTCAGACCCCAGTAATGAAACATTTAATTGACTTTTTTTTTTTTTATATTTTCTTGAGCCTAAAACTAATTTCTAATGGTCTAAATGGCTCACATTTCTTTTTTTTTTTTTTGAGACAGGGTCTCACTCTGTCACCTAGACTAGAGTGCTAGAGTGCAGTGGCATGATCTCAGCTCACTGTAGCCTCCATCTCCCTGGGCTCAAGCAATCCTCCCACTTTAGCCTCCCAAGTAGCTGAGACTACACGTATGCACCACCATGGCTAATTTTTGTTTATTTTTTGTAGAGACAAGATTTCACTTAGTTGCCCAGGCTGACTCAAGTGATCCTCCTGCCTTGGCCTCCCAAAGTGCTGGGATTATGGGTGTGAGCTACTGTTCCAGGCCTCACATTTCCTTAAAAAGCTGATAAGAAACATCTGAATGTTGTATTCTTTTCCTTTTCTCAGAGTCATATAACATCCACGGCAGCATTGAAAGTGAAATGAAGGGCAGACCTGGGGGTGTGTGGAGAGTAGGGGCCACTGAGATGCCCTCTTCTCTCCTTTAGCTTACTGAGTAACATCTCCAAGTTCCTAGGTGCAAATTTAAAAATGAAGTGCAGGTGCTAAGTCACCAATGAACATCAGGACCTCAAATATAAGTTAGGAAGAAAGACTTGTCTTTTAGCATCTCTACCCAAGAAAAAGGTATAGAGATTTAGCTCAGTCTGATGTAGGGAGGAGGTGGCAACCAAGTGCACTATGGCCAAAATGAGGGCTTGTGATTTTATGTGCACTTCATTGCTGATGGCACCCCTGATTCCCATAACTGTGGATAATCTTGGTCTGGCTACTTCTAAAATGGATATCTGGGGGACACTGTAGAAGATGGATTAAGCCCTTTATAACAATAAACTTTCCTGGGGCTAACTTTAGCAAGAACTGAAATAGGAGATAATTTTCAGACTTCAACATTCAGTGTTCAAAGGCCAACAGAGCCCCATGAGAAGAATATGCACAACAAAAACAGCATCATCTTTAAACAAGGAACTATCCTGCTTCTCTTCCTACCTCCCTCCTCTTTCATTATTGGAGCATTGAAAATACTCTCACTGACAAAGGCGGCATGTTTTATTTTTCCAATTAGGTTTCCTTGGAAACTGGTAAAAAGGTATGTGCCTATATAGTGAGTGTGTGGGAGGCTCCTAGGAGAAGACATCTTGAGAGTGTCTTACCTAATTGCAGGGATGGTTGGAGAAGGGATCGAGAGACAAAGACCCACTTTTCATATGGTTTTCTACTAAATAGGAAGTCAAGCCCAAGGCTGTCTTAAATACCCATTCTTTTACAACATGGTTGTTATAAAATTAACTAGGATAATCCAGGAAGGCACTTACAAGAGTATTTGGCACATAGTGAACACTCAAACATTCAAACAAATGTTACTTAATTAAAGTAAATATTTAGAAAAATAATTTCTTCAAAGACATGTAGGAGAAAAAAAGCTTGACTAGGTGAATTATAACATTTCCAGCAATATGATTCTATAATTATTTGATTTGAAGGTGGAAAATGCAAAAATTTTGTACCTCCATCTATCCACTTACCCAATATTTATCAAGCATTCATTGACTTTAGTGATATCAATAATTTCTTATTCTCTCAGGCAATGTGAATAAATAGAAAGCCTTTGTAAATAAGATGAAAGGCAAAATTTCACAGCACTAAGGAGAAAATACGATTTTATTCCAGTAGGCAAGCTTTAAGTAGACTTACTATCAGAAACAAAGCTTCTAAGCAGGGGGCAAGACTCATAATATTGTGACATCTTAATTCTGTGTTTTGTGCAGAGCTGAAAACAATGGTAGAGTTGGAACTCTTGAAGGTAAAATTACCAAAAGTGCATAGTCACACTTTGAAACAGGGAAACGCTCTGAAATCAACAACTATTTGCCAAATGAAAGGTGCCCCCCCAGAAACATTCCATAGAACACTCTCCATTTTGTAAGTTTAAATCACACTACACATTTCACAAAGGAAATACCTATAAACTCCCACCCAAAACAGTGGCTGGCTCAGAAATAGTAAGTTATTCTCACCTCCATTGTTTCCTAAACATATTGCCTAATTAGTGGGATCAGCATACTAATGACCTTCCTTATGTCAATGGACTACAAAAATAGAACATTATACTTGAAATTGAAATATGGGAGACTGACCCATAAAATTATTCACTACTGGGTTGTGGATCATTTTGGTCTCACCGACCCAAACACCTGACCTCACAATCTCTAAGTGACACATGGAAAATGAACTTTTGGGACCCTGAAACTGTAGTTTAGGACTTGCCAAACAAGGTGTGCTGTGAGTCACTTCCAAAGCAAACCCCGAGTTCAGGGATGGCTTTCCTAAGGGCTCTAAGGCTGAGGATAAAGCATCATTTGCTTTTCTTCTTTGAAAAGGTATGAAAACAGGGAGAGTCTGGAAGAAGAAAAACCGTTAGACCATATGATAGAAACCAGAGAGCTGTATTCAGAAAAGTTCAGTTACTCAACTCTGATGTCAGTCCCTACTGACTGTTATAGACTGAAAGTTTATGAGCCCGCCCCCCACCCCCAATTCATATTCCCAAACTCTACTCTCTACACTCCTCTGTATTCAGAGATGAGGCCTCTAATGAAGTGATTAAGGTTAAATGAGGTAATAAGGGTGGGGCCCTGATCCAATAGGATCATAAGATATACCAGAAGGCTTGTGCTCTCTCTCTGTCTCTATGTCCCCCTCTTTCCCCTCAGGGTGCACATGCACCAAGGGAAAGCCACGTGAAGACATAATGAGACAGCAGCCATCTGCAAACCAAAACGGAAGCCCTTACCAGAGACTGAATCTGCCAGAACCTTGATCTTGGACTTCCAACCCCTAGATCTGTGGCAAAATAAACTGTTGTTTAAGCCACCAAGTCTCTGGTATTTTTTTCTGGCAGCCCCAGTAGGCTAATACAATGCCCATAAGGATGTTTATCTTTTTCAAAGGTCTCATTTTTGAATAGATCTTTTTGCTTTGAAATAAATCATTGTGTTCACTTAGTTTATTTTTAAATTGTCCCTTTTTTCCACTCATTCTTTATTGAGCCATAGAAAGATCTCTATCTTTGTTCTTTTAATTTCTCAATGTCTTTGCATTTGTGTGTGTGTGTGTGTGTATATATATATATATATATAGAGAGAGAGAGAGAGAGAGAGAGAGAGAGACAGAGTCTTACTCTGTCACCCAGGTGGGAGTGCAGTGGCATGATCTTGGCTCACTGCAACCTCCGCCTCCCAGGTTTGAGGAATTCTCTTTCCTCAGCCTCCCGAGTAGCTGGGATTACAGGTGCCAGCCACCACACCTGGCTAATTTTTTTTTGTATTTTTAGTAGAGGTGGGTTTTTACCATGTTGGCCAGGCTGGTCTTGAACTCTTGACCTCAAGTGATCCACCCACCTTGGCTTCCCAAAGTGCTGGGATTACAGGCGTGAGCCACCACACCTGGCCTGTATTTGTATTTTTTAACCAACTAATTCTCTCTACTCTGTTCTTATCCTCTACTTTCCTATCACTTACCTCTTATCCATAAGATAAGTGAAAAAGAGGTAAGTTTACGTGTTTCTTATTGGAAGGCAATGCCATCTGAAACATTTGTCTTGCCTTCTGTGTGAACATCCTAAACCAACAGAGCTAACAGTTAAGTGGAAAACAGACTTTTTTTTTTTTTTTTGAGATGGAGTCTTGCTCTGTTGCCCAGGCTGCAATGCAGTGGTGTGATCTCGGCTCACTGCAACCTCCGCCTCCTGGGTTCAAGGGATTTTCCTGCCTCAGCCTCCCGAGTAGCTGGGACTACAGGTGCGTGCCACCACACCTGGCTAATTTTTTGTATTTTTAGTAGAGATGGGATTTCACCCATCCAGGATGGTCTTGACCTCCTGACCTTGTGATCCACCTGCCTCGGCCTCCCAAAGTGCTGGGATTACAGGCGTGAGCCACTGCTCCTGGCCGAAAACAGACTTCTTAAAAATGATAAATCGTTGCTTGCCTGATGGTAGAAAATAGTATACTCCCTTTATAATACCATCATATGGTTTGTTTTATATATAGATGGAAAAAATCAAGAATTTGGCACCCTAAACACAACATGAGAAGGTTTCACTCAGTAATGGCCTCCTGAAAACAACTTAATCTTCTTGGACAAGACTCTGAACTGAAATCAAGGTTTCAAAATATTTTGTTGTGAGTGATGAAGCTGTCTGGACCTAACTTTTCCGAGAGGCCAAGAAACCATTCTGTAATCCTGCAAAATGGTTTCTGAAGAGTCTGGTGAAATGCAACTGTTATCCCTCACTTTGCATTTTGCTCCAACGATTCTGAGGTGCAACTTATGGATGAGACTGATTTCTTTCCATATTGCTGTAGTAAATTGGTTTTTGTTGTTTTCATGGGCTTTGTAAATCTTGCTGATAAAATCCATAAGTGATTTGCTAACATAAAAGCTAACTGGAGAAACATAAAAAATAATTCAAAAATCATTTCATCTTATCAACTGGATTAAAATTAAAATTATTAGAAATACTAATGATAGTATTTCTTTCCAGAGTGGTAATGGAGTTTTTTTCCTTTTTATTAATAGCCCTTAATGTATCTTATGGGAACAATTAATAGACATTCTTCAAACTCCTTCAGAAAGCCCAATGACAAGTGGCATTTTTACCAGCGAGATTCTCAGCGAATATATAATTCTTTGTCAATATTCAAATTAAGGCAGAAACTCTAGAGTCTGATCTGTATCTATTTCATCTTTTAAATGTGTTGAAAGGCCTCTGAGTGCATCTTAAGCAGTTGGTAAATATTTTTCAGGTCATCACATACAGGAACTGGACCCCAGTTTTTCCTAAAAAAATATGTATGTACAGATGACAGAAAAAAAATTGCCTTCAGAAAATGGAACCCATGTGCCAAGGCCTGGTCAGTAAAAAAATCCCTAATTTTTGCTTGTTTTATAATTTGTCTTAGGTTTTCTCTGACACTAGTGGATTTCTTTTTTAAGGCAGTCATAGTTCTAATACTGTTCAGGCCTTGAAAAATCCAATCTAGGCTGGATTATGGTGGCTCACACTTGTAGTCCCAGCACTTTTGGAGCTCTGGGTAGAAGGATCGCTTGAGGCCAGGAGTTTGAGACCAGCCTGGGAAACACAGCAAGAACTATTTCTACAAAAGATTTTAAAAAATTAACTGGGCATGGTGGTTTGCACCTGTAGTCCTAGGTACTTGTGAAGCTGAGGTGGGAGGATCACTCAAGCCCAGAAGTTGGAGGCTGCAGTGAGCCATGACTGCACCACTGTACTCCAGCCTGGGTGATGGTGCAAGACCCCAACTCTAAAAAAATAAAAATAAACAGTCTGATGAAGAGTCTTTTGATATTCTTATTTCTTTCACTATTCAGCTTTGGCATCTCTCCCCCAGCACTGCTCTTGTGTTCTAGTGGTGTCAGACATAAATACACACACACCGCTTTTCACCAATGCCTCTACTTCTTGGGTGGCAGAACCTCTTATTATACTTCACTGATGTTCCAGGAGATTGAAAAACCAGGGAAATGCAATTCTTGCCTATTTATTTTTAAAGTTTGAAAATGGTGGACCTGACTGTTACCCCTTAATTAATTATTTAGAAAGGCGACTTTCTCTTTGGAGGTTCCCAAACCCTGTATTAAACCTCACCACTGCTAAGCACTTAAATGTTTGCTTACTAAGGATAATATTTTAGGAAGAAAGACATCATATGAATTCAGGTACCGTATGCTTGGATAATCTTAGAAATCCCTATCAGAGCTAACATTTTTTGACCAACATTTATTACGAAATCTTCCAAAGAGGGTCTAAAATCATAGCTGCAACTTTAAACAACAGTGACGATGCCAATCTGTAACAAAACTTCTGATTTTTATAATGACCTTCCTCCCTCCCTCCCTTACTTCCTTTTCCAACAATCTGTAACAAAACTGTTGGTTTTTATAATGACCCTTCCTTCCTTTCATCTGTAACAAAACTGTTGGTTTTTATAATGACCCTTCCTTCCTTCCTTCCTTCCTTCCTTCCTCCCTCCCTCCCTCCCTCCCTCCCTCCCTCCCTCCCTCCTTTCCTTTCGATGGGGTCTCCTTTGTAGCCTAGGCTGGAGTGCACTAGGGTGATCATGGCTCATTGCAGCCTCTGCCTCCTGGGCTCAAGTGATCCTCCCACCTCAGACTCCAAAGTAGCTAGAACCACAGGTGCACACCACCATGCCCTGCTAATTTTTTGTATTTTTGGTAGAGAGAGTGTTTTTGTGATGTTGCCCAGGCTAGTCTCAAACTCCTGAGCTCAAGTGATCCACCTGCCTCGGCCTCCCAAAACTGGGATTGATTACAGGTGTGAGCCACCATGCCTGGCCATGACATGTTTTTTAAAATCAACCTCAGAGAACTAAATTTAATAGTAGGAAGATATTTTTGAGCATTTCTCTTTTTAAAAAGAGAAATTAAAAAACCACACTCACTTCCATCATGTTTCCCCTACTCATTCTTCACTTAGTGACATAAAACTCAAACATTTTTATCAGCACCATGAGGCTTTATAAAAGCAGATCTTAAAAACTCCACTGAGTTTAGGTAAAGATAACAGTATGGAGAAATAAGTCAGAGCTGAATTCCTAAGAAGAGAAAGAGCTTAATATGGCAAGGTAATATTTGAATTGTAAAGTAAGAATAAAATCACTTGCATATTACACATTCTCTGTCTTCAGTCATCTGTTATCTACCTACCTATCTCTCTCTGTATCTATCTGTCTATCAATCAATCACATTCCTAGGAATGTCATTTTCTTATATAAATCTGTTTGCCCACAGGTGCATTTGGGAAGCTCTTAGCCAAAGCAGGGACAATTCTGATTTCCCTAAGGACAGAAGGAAATCTTAGAAGTGAAATGAAATAAAAACTGCAACACATAAAAAGCCGTCTCATGCTACATGAAAATGTAGGACACAGTTTTTAAAAGTTGAATTTTTAGATTTTCGAATCTAAGGAATTTGCAAGTCTCTCCCCCTTCTACCCTCATTGTGAGCGTATTTAAATGGTTTTGATGTGTCACAGCAGCAGGGATTATGATGCAGCAGGCAGGCAGTTTTGCAGTGTATGTGGGCCAAGTGCAAATCACCCATCTAGATTGGCAAAATTGAAATGTAAGAAAATGCTGGGTTCTGGGTGGGAGAGCATATTGCCTTGAATTGTCTTTCAAACCTGGCTAAATTCTCAACATCACTGGAAGCATTCCCTTTGAAAACTGGCACAAGACAGGGATGTCTTCTCTCACCACTCCTATTCAACACAGTGTTGGAAGTTCTGGCCAGGGCAATCACGCAGGAGAAAGAAATAAAGGTATTCAATTAGGAAAAGAGGAAGTCAAATTGTCCCTGTTTGCAGATGACATGATGATTGTATATTTAGAAAACCCCATTGTCTCAGCCCAAAATCTCCTTAAGCTGATAAGCAACTTCAGCAAAGTCTCAGGATACAAAATCAATGTGCAAAAATCACAAGCATTCTTATACACCAACAACAGACAAACAGAGAGCCAAATCATGAGTGAACTCCCATTCACAATTGCTTCAAAGAGAATAAAATACCTAGGAATCCAACTTACAAGGGATGTGAAGGACCTCTGCAAGGAGAACTACAAACCACTGCTCAATGAAATAAAAGAGGATACAAACAAATGGAAGAACATTCCATGCTCATGGGTAGGAAGAATCAATATTGTGAAAATGGCCACACTGCCCAAGGTAATTTATAGATTCAATGCCATCCCCATCAAGCTACCAATGAATAACTTTTTTCACAGAATTGGAAAAAACTAAAGTTCATATGGAACCAAAAAAGAGCCCAGATTGCCAAGATAATCCTAAGCCAAAAGAACAAAGCTGGAGGCATCAGGCTACCTGACTTCAAACTATACTACAAGGCTACAGTAACCAAAACAGCATGGTACTGGTACCAAAACAGAAATATAGACCAATGGAACAGAACAGAGCCCCCACTAATAATACCACACATCTATAACCATCTGATCTTTGACAAACATGACAAAAACAAGAAATGGGGAAAGGATTCTCTATTTAATAAATGGTACTGGGAAAACTGGCTCGCTATATATAGAAAGCTGAAACTGGATCCCTTCCTTACACCTTATACAAAAATTAATTCAAGATGGATTAAAGACTTAAATGTTAGACCTAAAACCATAAAAACCCTGGAAGAAAACCTAGGCAATACCATTCAGGACATAGGCATGGGCAAGGACTTCATGTCTAAAACACCAAAAGCAATGGCAACAGAAGTCAAAATTGACAAATGGAATCGAATTAAACTAAGGAGCTTCTGCACAGCAAAAGAAACTACCATCAGAGTGAACAGGCAACCTACAGAATGGGAGAAAATTTTTGCAATCTACTCATCTGACAAAGGGCTAATATCCAGAATCTACAATGAACTCAAACAAATTTACAAGAAAAAAACAACCCCATCAAAAAGTGGGTGAAGGATATGAACAGACACTTCTCAAAAGAAGACATTTATGCAGCCAAAAGACACATGAAAAAATGCTCATCATCACTGGCCATCAGAGAAATGCAAATCAAAACCACAGTGAGATACCATCTCACACCAGTTAGAATGGCAATCATTAAAAAGTCAGGAAACAACAGGTGCTGGAGAGGATGTGGAGAAATAGGAACACTTTTACACTGTTGGTGGGACTGTAAACTAGTTCAACCATTGTGGAAGACAGTGTGGCGATTCCTCAAGGATCTAGAACTAGAAATACCATTTGACCCAGCCATCCCATTACTGGATATATGCCCAAAGGATTATAAATCATGCTGCTATAAAGGCACATGCACGTATGTTTATTGTGGCACTATTCACAATAGCAAAGACTTGAAACCAACCCAAATGTCCACCAACAATAGACTGGATTAAGAAAATGTGGCACATATACACCATGGAATACTATGCAGCCATAAAAAAGGATGAGTTCATGTCCTTTGTAGGGACACGGATGAAGCTGGAAACAATCATTCTCAGCAAACTATCGCAAGAACAAAAAACCAAACACAGCATGTTCTCACTCATAGGTGGAAATTGAACAATGAGAACACTTGGACACAGGACGGGGAACATCACACACCGGGGCCTGTTGTGGGGTGGGGGAGGGGGGATGGAAAGCATTAGGAGATATATCTAATGTAAATGGCGAGTTAATGGCTGCGGCACACCAACATGGCACATGTATACATATGTAATAAACCTGCACGTTGTGCACATGTACCCTAGAACTTAAAGTATAATAAAAAAAATATATATATAAAAGAACTTAAAGTATAATAAAAAAAATAAACCTAGAAAAGAATCTGGAAAAAAAAAAAAGAAAATCTGCTTTTTGGAAACAAAAACCAAACACTTTGCCATCATACTAAAAAACGAGAAGTAAAAGTAAGGAATATGGGCCGGGCACGGTGGCTCACACCTGTAATCCCAGCACTTTGGGAGGCCGAGGTGGGTGGATCACCAGGTCAGGAGATCAAGACCTTCCTGGCTAACACAATGAAACCCTGTCTCTACTAAAAATACAAAAAATTAGCCGGGTGTGGTGGCGGGCGCCTGTAGTCCCAGCTACTTGGGAGGCTGAGGCAGGAGAATGGCGTGAACCCGGGAGGCGGAGCTTGCAGTGAGCCGAGATAGTGCCACTGCACTCCAGCCTGGGGACAGAGCAAGACTCCATCTCAAAAAAAAAAAAAAAAAAAAGGTAAGGAATATGTTCTTATAATTTTATCTTTCCTTTTTAACACAGCAACTACAAACGTCATAATGTGATTAATTTATATACCATAAACCATACTAAGTAAATGCTAGTAAATTTTTAAAATAACCAAAAAAAAAAAAAAAATTTGAGAAGGTTGATAAATTCTCAGTGGCATCCCAGATCAGATTTCTCAGTGTTGGAATCAACAACAATGGATCAGCAGTTATTGGGAAAAGCTAGTGATCGCTCAGCCATTTAAAAAGTC
The DNA here is from genome assembly GCF_000001405.40 of Homo sapiens. Taxonomy (NCBI): domain Eukaryota; kingdom Metazoa; phylum Chordata; class Mammalia; order Primates; family Hominidae; genus Homo; species Homo sapiens. The sequence continues at coordinate 19,567,828 of NC_000009.12, forward strand.
ATATTATTTCTTGGTTCCACAGAATATACAAATGAAGCAAAAACTTCATTCCTCTGTGAGAGTATTTTAAAAATGCTCTCTATTGCCACGGTAAAGACTGTATGGCAGAAACCTCTCGGAGATGAGGTGACAATGTGAAATTAGTTCACTTGTAAATAGGGTTTTTAAAACAGCAGGTTAATTACACAAGGCAGGCTAAAGTCTCAGGAGAATAACAGTGTGGTGTATGGGGCTCATAATTTCCGCTAATAAAGTCAGGATGCGCACCTCACTCTTAACGGAACTTGCTAAAAATACAACTCAAAAGGAAATAAAACTAACAAAATGAAAAGCCATTGAATCATGTCCATGAAACTGTGCTTCAGGTGGCCTGATCATCCCGCGTTCACATTTTCCTACTGACTCTGGAGGCCCAGCCCTAATTCACCCCATCACCCAGACTTTCCAGCCTGGAAACCTCAGCATCATCTGCAGCTTCCTTTTCTTGTTCACTTTCTATGACCAAGTCAATACCAAATCTTCCCAATTCTGGCTCAGAAAGGACTCTCAAATCCAGCCTTGCCGTTCATACTGCAGCTCATACATGGTCTACCAATAGACGCCTTGCCATCTGGGCTATTCAATAGCCATTAAAAATGTTACTCAGTACTGCTAATAATAGCATACACCTAAGCAGTGCTTATAATGTGCCAAGAATGGTTCTAAGAGCATTTATCCTCACAACAGTGCTATGAGATAGAAACCATTATTATCCCTGTTTCACAAAGAGGGAAAATGGATAACAGGTTAAGTCACTTTTCCAGGGTCACACAGCTGGTAAGCAGCAGAGCTAGGATTTGAATTCAGGTGGTCCATCCTCAGAGTCTGTGTGATAGTGACCAAAGCACATTGCTCCTGTATTCATTTAACCCATTATTATTTTTAGTGTTGCTGCATTTTTTTTGGAAAAGGTAATGCAATTGCCTGGTTCAACATTGAAAAGTTATAGAAGGGTGCATATTAAAAAGCTTCCTTTCCATCCCAGTTTCCTACCGCCCCAGCCCCTGTTCTGGAAGTAAGTAACATGACTAGTTATTTGACAGCATTCCAAGCAAATGTTTATATGCTATTTCCCTTCTCCCCCTTTCTTTCCGTGTACAAATATACTGGATACAATTTGGCATGTTGCTTTTTTCACTAAACAACATGTATTGGAGGTCATTCCATAGCAGTACATGAAGAGCTTCTCATTCCTTTTCTTTTCCTTTCTTTCTGTTTTTTAAGACAGATGGTTGAAACTAAGGATGGGCAAACGTTTTCTGTAAAGGGCCAGATAGTAAATATTTTAGGCTTTGAGGTCCATATGGTCTCTGTCACATATGCTGCTATTGCTTCCTGTTTAAAAAAAGCTTTAGAAATGTAAAAACCCATTCTTGTCTCATGGGTCGTACAGAAACAGGCTGCAGGCCAGATTTGGCCTGTGGACCACAGTGTGCCAATCCTGGAACCACAGGTTCTTACCTCACCTCCCTTTGTCTAGTAATTTTCTATTCTGATCCCTCTTGACCATTCTAAGAGAATTGTCTTTCTATAAAACAAATCTGACACTGCCACTGCTCCCTCTAAATCTTCTGCAGCTTCCCACTCCCAAGAGGAGGGTGAAGTCCAGACTGGTTGGCAGTGCGCACAATGTCCTTCATGATCCACATACTTCTCCTCCCCTCCACGTCTATCACACCAGTACGTGTCATCATCAGCTCTTTCCCTCAAGGCCTGCAACAACCTCTTTGCCCCACTATTGCCATAAACCCTCCTTCCCTCAAATGCAACCTCTAAGACACCGTGGCGCCAGGGATCTTTTACAAGTGCAAATCACATCTGCTGACTTCCAATGGCTTCTTGCTGCCCCAGACAGAAGTCAGCTACCCTATCATGATCTACAAGACCTACCAGCTCTGCTTGGCCCTCCTCTCTGACTTCATTGCTACCATGCTTCCTCCTTCCACTCCTCTCTCTCCAGCCATACTGATTTTTCTGTTTCTGAAACAAGCTGAGTTTATTTCTGCCTTTGTGGGTGCTGTTCCTTTGGCTGGCTCCTTCTTGAACTTCAGTCTCAGTTCAAATGCCATTTCCTTGGAGGCCTTCCCTCATCTCCCAACTCACAGGAGCCTCTCCATTTTCCTTCCATCCTATCACACTGCTTTGTTTTGTTCATGGCCTTTGGGGCCATGTATAATCATGTTGGGTTGTGTTTACATTCTCTGCTTTGCTAGAACACATGGGCATCTCCAGTGCCCAGTACATTGTCTGACACATATTAGGTAAACAATCAAAATTTTCTGATTAGATAAACAATGGAAGAAATTTGAGCCAACTTACCTTTTCTAGTGGATATCTCCTTACTCCTCACCTTGTATTTTAGGCTCCAGTTCTATCCTCTTTCTCTCCAATCACTAAACATGACTTTCCCTTTTAAGGTTTTACACCTTTGCACATGTTGTCATTTTGGTTATTTCTTCATTCTTTGAGGGACAAACTCCGACTCACCCATCAACACCCAGCTTGAATGTTGCCTCTTCTATGGAGTTTTTACATCTCCTCTATTTAGGACCAACTTCTTCCTTTGGCAGGCTCTCAGAGCACTTTGTATAGAACTCTAAGATCATACCAGGTCATAATTATTTACCTAACACAAACGTTCACTCATTATTTATACCCTGAATACTCCCCAAATATTATATACATAAAACCATTTCACTTTACATACAATGAGCTCTTTCAAGGAAAGGACACCTCGAATGGTGTTTTAATGATAAATATGAATACATAATATCAATATTTAGCATCTAACTCTGTAATAAGGGCTTTATGTACATTATTTCATTTAACCCTTATGATAGCTGCAATGAAGCAAGTACTGTTGCTATCTGCACTTCACAGATGAGGCAACTAAATTAAAGCTCAGGGAAGCTAGGTAACTTGACCCTGGTGGATCTAGAATTCACTACCAGGCTGTCCTACAGTGGGCCATGGTGACCTGCAGGCCCAGGTCACCTGATTGCTCTTGAGGTCCAGGTCATCTGATTGTAAGTGAAGACCTGATTGCTCTTGAACTCTGAGCCTAGCAGGGTGGTGCACAAATCTGTCCTGTTCCCCTTTGTGGAGACCTAGGGCCACAGCTCTGCTCAGAGAGGGGTCATCTGGGACTCTTTTGCTCCCCTGCAGCAAGGTCCTCCCTTGCAGGGGCACAGATGTCCCTCTGTCAGCCAGATGGAGAGGCATGGGGATGAGGCTGCCCTCTGCACACCTATGACTGTGCCATCCCCAAGGGCAGCCAGATGTCCTTGGGGCCTGCCTCCTGCTGCCACACGCTGCTTATCCATGTGGACATAAGCTGCTCTGCCAGCTCACTCTTGAGCTAATGCAAAGGGACCACAGGGCTCTGGGCAGGAAGGTAAGGAGCATAGAAGGCAGAGGAGACAAGGGCAGAAGGAGTGGCAGGCTCCTTATTCTTTCTGTTAAATGAAGAAACTTTCCTTAGGAAAGAAATACGTAATTTCTATCAGAGAATAAGGGTAACAGGCAACAATTAGCATTTTTTTTTTCTTAAGAAGTGGCTGCTAGGTTATATTGACTGTAGTCTGGTTTCTATTTGCAGGCACTGTATCACTTTTCAGCTCATTGGGGGAAGTTCTGTCTAGAGAGTGCTTTCAAACTTTAGGGTAGTGCTACTCCAAGTATGGTCCTTGGACCAACAGCATCAGCATCACTGGGGAGCTCATTAGAACTGCAGACTCTAGGCCTCATGGCAGACCTGACAAATTCAGAATGTGAATTTTAAGATGACCTCCCCAGAGAATTTGTAAGTACATTAAAGTTTGAGAAACACTGAGCTAGGTAAAATGCAAGTTTTAAAATGCCTAATTAACATGCAAGTTTGGGGCTCCAGGTCTTAGAAATTCTGATTCGCCTGATCAGGATGAGATCCAGAAATCTAACAAGCACCAAAGGTGGTTCTGCCTACATTTTGAGCAACTGTGTTCTAGAGAGAGTGGTGGAAATTGTACAGTTGGACGGTCCTGAGATGAAATCTCAGCTCTACCATCTACAAACTAGGTAACCCCAATTAACTACTTCATCTCACTGAGCTTCAGTTTCCTCAACTATAAAATGGAGCTACTATCCGGGCGCAGTGGCTCACGCCTATAATCCCAGCACTTTGGGAGGCCAAGGCGAGTGGATCACCTGAGGTCAGAAGTTCGAGACCAGCCTGATCAACTGAAACCCCATCTCTACTAAAAATGCAAAAAAAAAAAATTAGCCGGGTGTGGTGGTGCGAGCTACTCAGGAGGCTGAGGCAGGAGAATTGCTTGAACCCAGGAGGTGGAGGTTGCAGTGAGCTGAGATTGAGTCACTGCACTCCAGGCTGGGTGACAGAGTGAGAGTCCGTCTCAAAAAAAAAAAAAAAAAAAAAAATGGAGCTACTAATGCCTACACCTTCAGCTGTGAGGTTAAAGGTGATAACATATGTTGATATGGTTTGGCTCTGTGTCCCCACCCAAATCTCATCTCAAATTGTAATCCCCATATGTTGCGGGGAGGAGCCTGGTGGGAGGTGATTGAATCTGGGGGGCAGATTTCCCCTTTGCTATTCTCGTGATACTGAGTGGGTTCTCATGAGATCTGGCTGCTTGAAAGTGTATGGCACATCTCCATTCCCTCTTTTTCTTTCCTGCTCTGCCATGGTAAGACATGCTTGCTTCCCCTTCACCTTCTGCCATGATTATAAGTTTCCTGAGGCCTCTCAGTCATGCTTCCTGTTGAGCCTGTGGAACTATAAGTCAATTAAACCTCTTTTCTTCATAAGTTCTCTATAGCAGTGTGAAAATGGACTAATACCTATGTAAAATGCCTAGTACCGAAGCTGTGGCAAATAGTAGGTGTTTGATAAATGTTAGGTTTTACAACTACTAGACTGAAAAGTTCAAGTGGTTGTGCCATTGAATAATGGGTTGGGCCAGAGAGTGTTAATTTCAACCACAGGGACAGAGAAAGCCAAAGGGGGCTCACTGAGTCTGATGGCTGTGGTTTCTCTATTACTTAACACAGACCTTAAAGACACAGAGAAAGGATTAAACTGCAGCAGGTATCAAGCTTTATCATACATTAAAAATCACCTTGGATGCTAATTAAAAATGCTAATTCCGACGTGCTGCTTCCCAGTGATCCTGTTTCACCACACCTGGTATATGGCCCAGGGATCTACATTTTCATCCCCAGGAGATACTGATGCATGAGTCCTTCAACCTCACCTGGAGAAACAGTGGCTTAGAGAATATTCATATTCATTCAATAAATGTAGAGGCTGCTGCATGTGGGACCCTGGGGTGGCACTGGGAAATACACACAAGGATGTATAAGGCCCTACCTGATTCCTGCCCAGCTGAGAGCTGGGGCTTCCAAGGAGAATATAGGGTCTGTGCTGCCACGCTAGGATATCAGTTAAGAACAACAGCCCAGAAGAGCAATGGAGAAAAGCCATACCTGGGCTTCTGCACCTTCAATGTTGTGGGAGAGATTTCCATTTTGTACAGGTTCTGAAGCATCACTGGATGGTGTCATTTCAACATCTGTGCTGGTGCTGTTTGGAAGCTCAATTTTTTCTGTGATATAATTTAAACACACACACACACACACACACACACACACACACACACACACACAGAGAGAGAGAGAGAGAGAGAGAGAAAGCAAATGGAATCAATGGGGGTAAAGAGCAATATTGAAAAGAGTTTCCTAAAATGTTGGGCTAAAGCAGAGGATAGTGGTGTCCCAGGGGCGATAAGGCCCAGGGCTGATATTGAGCCAAGCGGGAAAGGATTTTTACCGTTCTTCCCCATGTCTTTCAGTATACGGCCTGCCCCCTTAATAGCGCCCTGGCTTCCTGCTCTGGCATGACACTTTACCTTGGGTGCCCTATCAGCTCCCATGATATGCCTTTCTTGAGCCTAGGCAAATTTACCAACTAGCTACTCAGGAAACATGAACATAGACATTTTAAAACCAAAACCACACGCAATCTACATACTATTGTTTACACCCTGGACTGTACCCTTCAGATATTTTCTTACAGTAATATCGTTTCTTTGATACTGTACTCTGGAAAGGATATTAGCTAGGGCTTCAGGGTCCTAGACTTTACCCTGCTTTGATCGGGTTGCTATCTTAGGCTAGTTCCCTTCTTCCTCTGGGACTTGGGAATCTTATCTGTGAAATAAGAGGGTTCGACAGGTTGACCTCCAAGGGACATTATGTTCAGCTGTAATTCAGACTCTGTGAGTGGAAACTCTTCCAGTGCCTAGGTGGCCATGGGCAGGGCAGCCTGGTGAATACAACTTAGCACACTCCACACCTGAGCATCCTACTGCAGGCAAGGCAAGGGGGAGCTCGACAAGTAATAGAGGCCAAAGGCTGTGTCATTCCTGAATCAGAACATTTAGCTAGAGTAAAGCCAGAGGGTCAGCAAGTGCAGATTTGACACTTGAGAAGTGACTCTAGGGTAATGGTTAAGCACTGGGAGTCTGTAACACTGGGAATCAGACAGGCCTGGCTTCATATTCTGGATCTACAACTTGTGCTGTTTCACCCTTTGCAAGTGACTCAACCTCTCTGAAATTCAGCTTCTTCATCTGTAAAACTGGGGTGATGGTAACAATACTACTACTACTATTACTGTTGCTACTACTACCACTAACAACAACAATATGATCAAAGAGTATTTCTGTAAAGATTAAATAAGAAAATGCATATAAAACACTGTAGCATAGTGCCTTGTACAGAGCAACCAAGAAGCATAAACTATTTGGATCTTTATTATAGTGCCTGCCTTTCACTAGAATAATTTTTTTTTTGTCATGACAAAGAGGAGTACCATCAGGTGATCAATGTTCCAGCACCACTGAGGTCTGCTGAACTTCATCGCGAGGGAAATTAAAAGGTTCCTATTGAAAGCACACACTCTGGCTGTTTTGGGTCAAATCATGGATTTTGGGATGGAATGAGGCTGTAGTATGCTGTCAGGGTTTCTGGGGGTATCAGAATGCTCATCATTGTCAGATCCGAGCAGTATCAGCTGCTCATCAAACATAAGAATGTGCTTTTTTTTTCCTAGCAACTTCAGAGGGACTAGACATTTCCATCACTGGTGCTTAAGAAAATAATTTGAGAGTTACATAAAAATTGTGGAGTTTGAAGCAGCCAAATTTTGGAAATCATAGGGAAATATTTATGTTTATTTATGTATTTAGTTGTGGAATATAGACACATGAATAGATTTAAATACGGAAAACCATAGAAACTCAAATTTACTTTATCTTTCCAAGTTTTTAGTAGTGACAGCGATACGTATGTGATGTGCTGCATGTGGCTATGCCAGTTTATCTTAGTATGCTTGATTCAGTTATTTAAATAAAAAATCATGAAGAACCTTGGGTGAATAAAACTCTGTTTGGAGAATTCTATTGGCTGATGTGATAAAACCTTAGGATTAGCCTGCAATGGTCAAATTGACCCTAGCAACACAAAATACTGGGTAAAAGGGGAGTTAACATGTCCAAGAACAGAGATGAACAGATGAGCAGAGACTGCCTGCCAGGCATAATATCTAACCTGTGTGTGCACATCTTAGCTTATAAAGTGCTTTTACACAGCAGGCTGAAGGTTCATAATAAAAGAAAATATGAAAATAAATCTTGGACTTACTTTGAAAAGCATTAGCTAGTTACAAAGTCATTCAGAGACCCAATAACATTTTCTAGTTCAAAGTCATTGAGAGCCCCAATAACATTAGAAGAATCCTTGGCATTAAGTGTCCTACCTCCTTAAAAAAGATTAAATCCAAGTCTAAGGTTGGCCAGTCATTAGGAGGAGGAGGACTGCGACTGAGCCCAGGAATCTAATTCTTTTACTCCAAGCTACCTCATTCTATAAAAGACAAGTCAACATGTGAAGCAGAAAAAATAGCTTGTGTAGTTGAATCTAAACATCACAAACAAAACTCAACCTATGCGGTAGACTTTCATGGTGTGGCTTTACATTTTTATAGTACAAAACCAAAATATGCTTATTCTGAAAAACTTTATAGAAGCATAAAGAAGCAGAAAAATATATATATAACTCATAATCCCAGCTTTAGGAAGTAACTATTGTTAACATTTTAGCTGACTTCTTTCCAGTTTTTCTTTTCGTATCTAATTGCATCTTAACTGTTTCTCAGCCAAAAATTTTCCCTGAGGTAGAAGTTGGGATAACAGGAAAGGCAGAAACTCTTCTACGGAGTGTCAGTATTTTGAGAGCAATGCTGTTGAATTTTGTCTGCAGATAATTTTAGTTACTTGGGTAATAGCTTCGTTTATAGCATAGATCCAGATCAGGTTAAATTTAGTTTGAATTTAGAATAAGAGAGCTATATTATAGTTACAGACAGGAGAGAAGGAACATCATGTTCCATTTTAAAATAAGATGCCTGAATGTCACAATCTTGTCATACAGGAGCTCTGCAAAAGTCAGTGGAAAGAGACCTGGGGGCTGTTACTGCTGAATTCTTAAAAACGAGAGGCAGCATCATCTCAAAAGGACTCTGTCACTCAGTTCAGGAGTGACCAAGTGTGTGCCATAAGCAATATCACAGGTATAAAAATCTGGTTACCAGTCAAGACTTACAGAAAGGGGACTCTCACCTTTGATTAAACATTAAATGACACTGTGTACGTGTGCGTGTATGCGTGTGCATGTATCCTGTTTATGTGGAATCCCTGAAATACAGTGATTTTCTATTCTTGAATGGAGATGACTAGTTAAGAGATGGTTTTACTTCAGGTTCCTCAGAGAATAAATTTACTCTTCTTGGACTTCTAGAGTTACTGGTGACATACTGTGTCCATGCATACCCTGTACACACTAGGGCAAGAGGGACTCATTTCCTGTTGCACAGGGAAGGGCTGTGCTGCAGCGGTGTGTGTGTCTGCACTGAGTCAGGGGTGCCCACACTGGTCCTGACTCTCTGCTCCCCTCGCTTCCCCCAGGAAAGGTATGGGGTGGATGTTTCCCTGCACTCACCCACGTGGTTGGCAGCCCCATTCTGCCTCTCGTTCTCATCCACATGACATTTCTTCTTGGCGATCTTGTGGAGAATTGAAGCCTTTTCTCTGAACCTCCCTGAAGCAAAAGAAAGTGGCAGGAAGGAGACACAATGAGAAAGAAGAGAGTCTCAGGGCCAAGCAGGTATGTGGCCTCCTCAGTCACGCTGCACTAATAGCGTGACCACTCCATTCTGTCCAACCCCAATGCACCAGGACCTTCCTGAAGGGTACTTTCTTGCCTTTGTAGATTTTTCAGCCCAATTCTCTATTTGAGAATCTCTTCCCTCCCTTCCCAGTTGCTCACAAAATTAACAAAAGCACCAAGCAACACTAAAGCTTCCCTACTGCTGAGATCCAAAACAGGTCTAGAGAAACAGAGCTGCTCTGGAGGCATGGCCATTTCTCTGAAATTAAATGCTCATTCCAGACCAGATTTTGACAATGGGCTGGGAAGGAAAGCCAAGCCCAGGGGTCCTCTGATTTGACTTCAGTTTTCAAACATTTACACTTTGAGTATCCCTAACTGAAAAAACCAAAATCTGAAATCTGAAACACTTCTGGTCCCAAGCGTTTCAGATAGGGGATACTCAACCTGTCTTATAATTAACATTGCTGTTTCTAAACGAGTAAGGAACATGCATCACAGCTTTCCAAATTAGCTGAGTCAGCTGCAATTAAGGCATTAAGAAGGCAACTGATTCCATTTGTGGATTTAGGGCAAGGAAGGATCAACTGAGTGCAGCAAGTAATGTTGGTGATGAGATGCTTTGGGAATGGTGCTGGACATGCATATTTATAGCAGCACAATTCACAGTTGCAAAGTGGTGGAACTAACCCAAATGGCCATCAATCAACGAGTGGATAAAGAAACTGTTATATATATATTATATATAGTTATATATATAAAATATATATATAAAAATATTCCAACATATATATATGATGGAATACTATGCAGCCATAAAAAGGAATGAATTAACAGCATTTGCAGTGATCTGAATGAGATTGGAGACTCTTATTCTAAGTGATGTAACTCAGGAATGGAAAATCAAACATCGTGTGTTCTCACTGATACATGGGAGCTAAGCTATGAGGATGCAAAGGCATAAGAATAATACAATAGACTTTGGGGACTTGGGGGGAAGAGTGGGAGGGGGACGAGGGATAAAGGACTACAAATATGGTGCAGTGTACATATGGTTGATGGGTACACCAAAATCTCACAAATCACCACTAAAGAAATTACTCATGTAACCAAATACCACCTGTACCCCAATAACTTATGGAAACATAAAAAAAGTTACTAGAAAATTGCCATTCTCAAAGTAATCATTTTAAACAGCTGTAACACAAGTGCGATGTTTCATTTCTTCTTTATTATTGACATAATAAGTAAATGCATGCAATAAGCCAAAAAAAAAAAAAAAAAAGCAAGCAAAAGTGCAGAGATTAGGGAAACAGCACATTCCTCTTCTTTTTATCCTTTATTTTCTTCCTTGGGAACATTCAAGGTATAAAAAAATTCTCATTTTAAACTGATTATTGCCTAGATTCAGATATAATGAGTATCTCAAAACACCACAACCCCTACAGTTTTCCCACGATGTATTTTTTTTTTTTCCGGCTTGTGTTCTCTAGCAGCATATTAACAGGGGATCTCATTCTACTTTTTTATTTAGAACCAAACCAAACAAATATGTTTCTCCTGGAGAGCTTCTTTTCCTAGGATAAAGCATGGCAGATTGGCACCCACTGCCCACCTCCATGGTTTGGAATCATGGCGTGTGGTCATGGTGATGACTTGTGTGACTGGCTGGGAGTGACAGCACCTGTAAACTAGAGTCAGACCAATGGACTCCAATGGTGAAAATGACACGAGCTGTGACCCTTTCTGCTCACGGCTCCATTAGTCACAAGCCTGGTCTCTTTGCCACAACAAAGGCAAAGGCAATCTCTAGGCCATAAGTACCTTAGTCTAGGCAATGAATGTGCACCACTGAGTACACTCTCAAAAGAAGTAGGAAAGGAAATATTTCATGGAGAAAAGGAGGTTGGTGTGTGGCTTGGGCTTCCTAAGGAGTGAGAAAGAAGGATGAGGTGATAGGCACGACTCCATCCATGAGGAATGTTGAAGGTCAGCATTAGATTCACCACCCTGGAAGGTAGCTTGAATTTGGTTGTTTCTATTTAATTTCCAAGGGAAACTCTGGGAAGAAAAAGGGAAAAGAAATCCTGGAGACTAGGAAAAGGAGGTGGTAAAGAAGAACAAGAACAGAAAGGAAAAATAGAGAAAAAGAAATGCAAGGATGGAGGAGGCAGGCAGGGTCTATGATTGCCTGAAGGTTTTCCAGGCTGTGTGGATGCAAGATACTTTCCTGGCTGCCAAACCTAGTCTTATTTGAGGACTAGATAAACAGATAATAAGAGTGAGCTTGAGTACTCTGCAGTCCTCAGCCTAAAGAGGAGTTACTTTTTGCAGAAGGCAATTCCAAAAAGTCCCAAATCATCTGGTTTTCCACCCAGAAGAGGAAAAAAGGAGGTTCTGAAACTTTATTGGAGATGATGCTTCTTCTAATAAAATCATCCCATCATGGTCTCAGGGTTATTGTTTGAACTCAGAACATCCTGCCACTCTAAGAAATATAGATGATCAATATTTGCTATTGGAAAATTATCTGTAAGATAATAATAAAGCAGGAAAGCATTCAGAAGCGGCAACAAATAGGTCTGTGGAAATAAAACCTAAAATAACTCAACTCAAATAATGTCCTAAAGTCATGAATCATGACACAGAAAATATTGGATAGAAACAAGCTAATGACATATCACTTGTGGTTATAAGAATCTTTTCAGAGTTTAGGTGTGTGCCAGAGAGAAATGGTAATAAAAGGGACCCAAAAGCCTGGAAGGGGAGCCATGCCCTCTGCCAGGAAGCATCTTTCAGAATAGTGTTGGCCACTGGCACTCATGGGCTGGTTTTCCCCAAATCTCCAAGGAAAATCTAGGAGAACAGGGTAGGAGATAACCCTAGAATTGGAATTTTATAGGTTCTCAAATATCTTACAGGCCAGTGAGACTGCATGTTACTCTTTTCCCACTGCAGCAGCACCTCAGGTTTTCTGTGCTATTGAACAGTAAGAGGGATTAGCGTTATTTGTGTCCTCTTGCTGCCTTAGGGGCAGCAAGCCAAAGCAGCAAGGCTGCTTGGGAGCTGTCTTCTCCACAGACCTCTTCAACTTCTGCAACTCAACCTCCCTCCTAGATGATTCTTTGTCGCAACTAATATGACCTGGCAGCCATTCCACATCCTAAGCGCTGACAATGGCTGCGCCATAGGCTAGAAGGATTTTCCGTTAAAGATTAGTTTCTAGAAAGGCTGCAGTTGAGGGCCCACCTTCAGAATGTGGCACACATGTGTAATCCTTCAGGGTGGTGGGGCAGAGCCTGACAAACCAGATTCGCTGATTCCAGCCCACTGGATACGCCTGAGATCATCACAGGGCACCTTTTGAGAAATGCTGTGAGGATGAGGCTAACAGGATATATGTGAGCGTGAAGGACCTGGGGCAGAAGCCAGCAGAGAACCTGTGATTTTTGAAGTGATCCTCTCTGCCTTGGGGTAGGAAGACATGGCATTTTCAGGATCTGTTCATTCCCAAGTCACAAACTGTGAAGAACAGCAAACAAGGTGTGTGTGTCGGGACAGCACAATTTCATGCTTAAATGGAGGTTAAATGGATGTGATTGAGAGGTAGGTAGATCTGAGTTCAAGCCCTAGCTCTCTCACTGTCTCTGCTGGGCGATTTGTGGTGAGTTTCTACATATTTCTGTGCTTTAGTTTTCCCATCTGTTAAGTAGGGATTCCAGTGGTATTGGCTGATCTGTTAAGCAGGGATTCCAGTGGTATTGGTAGAGTTACTAGTGACATACGATGTCCATACATGTCCTGTACTCACTTGGGGAAGAGGGGCTCATTTTCTGCCTGTCATCCAGGGAAGGGCTGAGCTGCAGGGGTCTTCTGTGAGAAAATATGTGTAAAGGGCTTATCACATTGTGTGGCATTGAAAGAACTCTGTAAGTTAGAGGAAAAAGAGAATCAAACAGAATCTAAGGGTGATGTAGTCCTGAGTTGCTGTAGGAGAATTGTTGCCATCCTCTCTTCTCTCAATCCACACAGGCCGAGCTGGAGAATCAGCCACATTCAGACCCAGGAGTTTAAGCATACAGGGCCTTGTTGGACTGGTGTTCAAGTTTCAGTGAATCCCCCAACACTTGATTAGAAAAAGGATCATTTTAGATCTTTCTGCAATTGAGAAGGTCAAGGTGATAGAGCTGGCTTTCTGGGCTTAAAAGTTGATACCTCTGCAATCTTAAAATGGGGACATGATGATCAGCTTTCCCTCATCACCTGCAGGTCCAAAATTCAGACCAAGGGACTACTGCTGCAGCAAAATGGATTTGCTCAAAAGAACCTCATGAAGCACCAGGTTCTTAACCCCTCTCCACCTCAGGCCCAGAATAAGTAAGATGGAGCTAAGAAGAGCATCCAGCTAAAACAGTCCTTGGAAGGTCCAATGGGTTAATACCCATTGCATGTTTCAATGGCCTCTGATAAACAGCAAGTGCTTAGGAACTGCTATTCAGAAAGGGTTGCTATCATTATGGAAGTAGATGACAGGAAATTCTTCTCCTAAATTACTGAAAAGAAGATTGATATTTAAAATAGAATTGATGCCTAGCACCTGCAGGTGCAGACCTTGGTGGTAAAGGGATTGCTCAGATATTTCAGGCACAGATTCCAAATTGCCATAAAGGGTGGCATAGAGGAACGAATCTAAGAAATGACTGTGTAACATTGAGCCTGCCAAAAATGAATTATGATATTTTTGAGTACTTTTCAAGGTGAGTGAAGGAGTTATTTTTAACATGTTTCAAGGCAACTTTAAAAAATATACTCTCTTGTGGTCTCTTGTGGTCTAAACCCTTAAAGTGTTGTATTTTTACATAGCTACAGATATTTGTATAGTTAAAAATCTCAGAAATAGCAAACTGCTCAAATCGTGAGGCACCTACGTCAAAACCTAGTATATAATTTTAATATAGTTTAGCTTGGTCTGAAATTTGCAAAAGAGTACCAGCTGAGTGTCCTCAGAGGAGTGTATGTTGAGGGGGTGGTAGGGAAGTGCGGAAGTAAAAGATCCAAGCATAAGAGCTGAATGTGAATTTCGAAAAACAACCAGCAATCAAAATCCTTGACCAGATCATTCTGACATAAAACAGAAGCTTCATGCTGCATGGAAAAACAACGTTTGGAGGGTCTGTTCACTCAAAGGAAATGAATTTTGTTTCTCTTCTGCTGTTAATTAAAACAGCCCCTTGGAAATTCCCTCCCTCCCATCTTTCCCACCAAGTCTATAATAGGCAGGGTTACTGGGGTGGTGATCAGATTAACTTCCAGCTGCTACAGAACATTCTAAGCATCTGCAACACAGAAACAACGATGGGACAAAAGAGAGAAAAAGATGCAAAGAGAGTGGCCAAACACAGCTCGGTGAACAGACCATGGCTTGGGAGAAGAAAGGAAAAAATAACACAGGAGGAAAAACTAGAAATCAGCCTTTTAAAATCTATTTTTGTGTTTTCGGTTCTGCCTTTCTTGTCTCTTTCTTTGAAGTTTATGGCTTGCCAGGTAGCTTAAAAAGCAAAAGTGTGTCTGAACTTTCCTCCCATTTATTCCTTTCCTTTTTTTTCTGGAAGCAGAGACTTAAGTTAGGCATAGACTTCAGTTAAGCCTTCATCACTCTCAGAAGGCTTGCAACAGAACTGGTGTGGCATCATGAAGTTATCCTGGGCTCCCCTGTTTCTCTCACACCCCACATGCCATCTACCAGCAAATCTGGTGTCTCTATTTTTAAAATTTTTCAGAATCTGACCACTTTTTCCTTCCACCCCTTTCCCACTCCCCACTCCGCACACCCACCCAACCAGCACCAAGTCACATAGGAATAATTCTGCTGGTCTGAGTCTCCCCCTTCTACCCTCCCCTCTCCGCCCCAGCCAGTCTCATCCCAGCATCTTTAGTGATCAGTAAAACAGAACATGGCACTTACTTCTCTGCAAAATCCTGCAGTGGGTCCCTAGGTCAAAGTGAAAGCCAAAGTCTTACTGATTCTGTGCAGTGAAACTCATCCTGACTGCCCTGATCTTGTACGCTACCCCTCTCCTCTCTCACTGCTCCAGCCACGCTGGTCTCTTTGCTGTTTCTTGAAAACGCTGTGCACAATCTCACCTCTGTGCCATGGCATTGTCTGGCCCCTCTACCTGGAGTATTCTTCCCCCAGAGGTCCACAGAGCTTGTTCAAATGTCACCTCATTGAGGCTTGTCTGAGCAGCCTATTGAAATCTATAGCTTCTCTCTCCAGCATTTCTTATCCCAGGTTTATTTTCTCTAAAGTAGTTATCACCGTCTAATATACTATATCATTATGACTACAGATTATTTGGTGCTTTCCACTGGCAGCAGACAAGCTTCAAAAGGGCAAGGTTTTTCACTGGTTTTGTTCACTGGTATATCTCCAGTATCAGATTGGGTGCAACAAATCCTTGTGTTCATGGTTTCTAGGCAAGTAGATGAGGTTATGACTCTGTGATGTGCTTCCTGTACGCCAATGACCCAGAGTAAATGTCTTTAGGACCTCCAAGCCCATGGCCCCAGTGGAACTGAGTGTCTACCTATGGGGCCCCAGGAACTTTCTAGAGGTAAGTAGGAGAAAAATGGGGTGTACCAGGTGTTTATACTCCAGTGGTGGAAGGCAGGGGAGACACATCAGTTGTCCCCCTCTGCACATCTCCAAGGTCAATAAGGTGCATGTGCAAAGGAGCCCTTTCCATAGGACAGAAGGTTAGGTGAACACCATAAAGATCAGGGCAGGGAAAGCTGGGCCTTGGCTCCTCATTTTTTTTATTAAGCTGCCCCTCATTCATCAAGGCCTAACTCAATGTCCAACCTGAAGGTTTCTCTGCACACACCCCTCTTTTCGAAGTGGAAACCCAACATTCTCATGGCACTTTGATTGTACATGTTACAGTCCTTATTTCAGCTTGCTGCCCACATGCCTGCTTTCCCCAGCAGAGAGCAGTCTTCTCTGGGAGAGGGATCTTCCCTCTGCCATCTTTAGTATCCCTTGACAAGTGTCCTATAATCATGCCTCACCCATCACAGGCCTACACTGTCTTGCAGTGAAGCTCTCACTATGATCAGCTCCTCTGGGAAGTCAAGCTTCCTTTCAAGTTAGTACAAGTCACAAACTAACACATAGCAAATAGTAAAAAAAAAAAAAAAAAAAACAAACAAAAAACAAAACAAAACAAACAAACAAAAAACAAAAAACCGTGCTATGTACTGGGCTGTATTTGGTGAATAAGACAGATCTGGCTGGTTCCCTTGTAGAGTCCATAGCCTGAAGTGAGGAAGAGACTTCATATTTGTGCTCTGATGGATGGTGGAGGCCTTCTTACGAGGGTATGGAGGCCCAGAGAATAAGAGTGAAAGTTCCTCCACAAGAGATGCCACCTAGCAACTAGAAGAAACAAATCCTCTTTTATTCTACCAACTATCTTACTGGAACAGTTAATTTACCTAATAGAGGCAGGCTTAATTTTTATTCTTAAAAGCAAAAATTTTTTTTTTAATTATTGTAAGTTTTAGGGTACATGTGCACATTGTGCAGGTTAGTTACATATGTATACATGTGCCATGAAAATTTTAAAGAAATTTTTATTTCTTAAAAATAATAATTTCATCTTAAACAAAACCACCAAAAACAGAATTTTATTTATTCCCAAATCTGTCTTTGAAGTACAACCTCTAAATTATTTTTTTCTAATTTTTGTGAAGCATGATGCAAACTACTTATTACAGGGCTACACTGATATTAGTAAAAATTAAATTACTCTGTAATAAAGTATTTTGTAAAGTGTCTTTAGTAAATATTTTGTTAATGAACCACATAATAGAGATGATTAACGACATTTAATTATATTAGATTTACAGACACAATCATAGGAGTAATTTCTGTAATTAATGAGAATATATACATAATTATATCTCAAGTGGTGACCAAACCCATTATACAATGAAATGAGGCAGCGGAATTTCCTTATTAAGAACTTTTTCTCCCCACTTATGTCTGCTTAGCATAAAAAAAGACTTTTTTTCCTCATTTCCTCTACACTCATTAATTGGAATTCTGAAAGTAACACCTGTCTTGTCTCTCTTACTTAGTATTCAATTATTTATTTACATAGTATAAATGTGTGCATATTTCTTTTATTCTGTGGGCCCATTATTTATTCAGTTAATTAAATTGTTTCAATCTTGACCACTGGGATATTTTTCAGATTGGCTTCTGTGTTCAGTCAACAAGCTTCATCCTTTTCAAAGCATTTCTTTATTTTCTGGCATCACAAGATGTTTCAATATCATTTTGTATGTTTCCTGGTTCAGCACTTGGAAGTAATCAGTTCTCCAGAAGCAATGACTCCTTTTATTGGAAAATGGTATTTAGAAACCAAGATCTGAGAACTATGTGTGCTTATGGCTACTAAGATGTCATTGCTCCTAGCCTTTCTTAGTGGACAGAGCTAAGAAAGATATGCATGTATACTGAATCATGCATATCTACATCTACATTTATCTCTGTAGCTATAGCTGTCTTTATCTGTTTATGACTTTTGGACTTTAATTGTAATAGAAGTAACTAACATGTTTTTCTAGCAGCTTTGCCCTCCAGTTCCATTTAAACATTTGCTCCATTTGAGAGCCATCCTGATGCAAAGGGTAAATGACAAATCCAATGCTGTCTTTTCATATGGTTACCCACGTGTGCCCATTCAGGCTTTCTTTAATAATGTTCTATAAGAATGACCTTTGTGGCCACCCATAAAGGATGGATCAGCCCAAATGTGAATTTGTTCTACCATCTTTCCTAGCAGGGTCACCTTATCGTTAGAAATATGAACGTGCTTTTGTAATTGGTCTCCCAGTTTTCAATTGCATCTCCTGCATCCTCCTGATTTACTCTTCACAAGGCTTGGAATTCTCCACACTTCTTATCTGTCTTATTTCTTTTTAAGAAACTTAAGGAATTTGTCTTATTCCTTTTCAAGACTCTGCTTTAGGCATCTCATCCTTCTGGAAGCCTTCCCTGAGTCCCTCTCCCCCATCATAGCACCTGATACCTATCCTATCACGGCACTTGTCATAGAGCCTCAGAAGTGTTTCACTGACGCTCTCCCCAACTAGCCTGTGGGGCTGTTAAGGATAAGGATGCTGTTCTCCATCTGTGCCCTCAATGCTCACTGCCTAGGCTGGTCCTCACAAGTGTTTGTGAGTATAGCAACATTAACACAAACAACAAAGAATATGACATTGGGGGCTGTGGGTGTGAGAAAGTGCTCAGATTTTTCGCTATATGAAATGATATTCTGTGCTTACCTTCCTTTTTAGGGGTACAGAAGGAAGAAAAGCCTAGAAACACATTGCGGGAAACTTGCCAGACTTTCTGCTTGATTAATGCTGTGGTTAAGTTAAGTTTCCAAAGACTAATAGTGTTTATAATTAATGTTTATTTTAATACCCCCTCCCTTTTTTTATAAAAAGATAATCTAATTGAGTTCAGATGTAATTGGCATTTTACAAACCAAAAAAACTCCCAGCAGGTATCAGACTGCAGAATATGATGTTTCAGGAAAAGGGCCAACTTACTGATCGTGGCCGTTTCTGACAGTGCTTGAGAGCTGATGTTCTTTATCATTTTAGATCACCTGCTTCATTGTTTTAGGAACTTAATCTTTTGAACATTTCAATCTCATATATACAGATACAAATGGCTCACACAAAGAAATTCTCAGAGGTTTGCCTTATTCTCAGATTTGATTTCTGAGCCAGGTAGAGACTGCTAGACAGAAGCTTTAAATGTCTTCTTTTGTTCCCATCCCTGGAACTCTGAATGTCTAAGAGGTAAACGAATGAAGAATCACTTTACTAAAAAGGCAGGCCACATATCCTAAGACCTGCCAGCATTTAACCCAACTACCTCCTAATGGGCATAAAAATTCTCTTCAGAGTTGTTTTGTCAAAGCCCATATTTTGGGTATGTGTCTCTGCAAGTGGGTTGTGACATTATTCATTTGGGGAGAGCTTTGATCTGATTTACCGTATCTGGAAAATAGTAGGTGCTCAAGAAATAGGTGTTGAAAGATTATGATGACCTATATATAAAAAACAGAATCAAACAAAATAATTCTTTCTTTTGAGGAACCTATATATTACCCAATCATTTATTTTATTGTAAAGTGGAAGATTTTATATTTGGCTAACATGTATTCAGTAGTTGCCCCTATTTTGTGAACTTATAGCATGTATTGTCCCCTGGGTTTCATATGTCTATGAATTTTCACTTAATCTGAGTTCTTAGTTTATATTTTAATTTTAGTCCTCAACTTTACATTGTAATCTGGTACCTGTAAATCTCATGTGAAACGTGGGTTAGCAGCAGAAGCACTGGCACATGCTGAGAGTCCTTAACTAAAGGCTTAGAGGCCTATGACTAAAATGAGATGATTAGGTTTACTTCAGATCTAATCAAAAGAGAAACTTACCATGCCTAATTGAACATGCCAGCCTCCAAGTATAACAAATTCCCACCTTTTTTTTTTTAAAGAGCTTCATGGTTGAGGGGAATCATATTATTAATTTATAATAACAGATTCAAGTTTGACTGACGAAGGCAACTTAAATCTTCATCTCTAGAGATGTCAGTAACACACAAAAAGAAGCATCCACAATTTGCCTTCTGCTGCCATTTAACACCTTCTACATATGCAATGTGACAAAATCTGCCTTTCTTTGCCAAGTCCAATCTTTCTGCTTTTACTGCTGACAGTTTAGATCATGAAAATAAGATGCAATGAAGTTTGAAAAGCTGGATGTATTCTAATTAGAAGAATTCCTTGGTCCTGGTTTTCAGGAAGACTGTGGCTTTACCCACATAGCTGGTTTGGTCTTTCTAACAGACCTGATGCTGGTTGCTAGCTGGTTAGCCTGGTTATGCACACAGACTAGCCTGCTGTCTTCCTAAGATCCAGCCCCAGGGAGATGCTTATAAGAATACATCTCTGAAGCAGTAATGTGGCTAGTACTGGTTCAATACAGTTTTTTTTCTTTTTTTCTTTTTTTTTTTTTTTTCTGGATAAGGCCCAGCCTTACAGAGAACATCTATTCAAGTGCCCAGAAAAATCCTCTGGTTATGAAAGTTTGAACTGTATGAGTTAAGCCATAAACTTGGGATGAATGAAAGATAGCACGATATTGGAAATGGTGTCTGTGCACAGTAGGGGCTCTCTGCTTTGGTAATTGCAAGGTAGAAAGTCAACTTGCAGTGTGCTTCTCAGACTTTCTGTAGGGATAGCAATGATCTTGAGGTATGAAGGGCACACACTGCAGTGGAAATTGGAGATTCTGTGTAGGAAATCGGCCTTGTCATTTAATTTAGAGAGGTCAAATACCTCTACCATAACTGCACTCTGTATTTAACTCAACTCTGGTAAAAACTCAGGTTTCTAAAACAAGTAAATTAGAAGGTAGTTGTTATATTACAAAGGCTTATGTGCTTTGTAATGAAGCCAATCTGAGTCTCTCTTCAAAGGACTTATTTAAATTTGCCATCTGAGGCCCCGCGTGGTGGCTCATGCCTGTAATCCTAGCACATTGGGAGGCTGAGTCAGGTGGATCACTTGAGGTCAGGGATTCAAGACGAGCCTGGTCAACACGGTGAAACCCCGTCTCTACTAAAAATACAAAAATTAGCCAAGCATGGTGGCGCCTGCCTGTAATCCCAGCTACCTGGGAGGCTGAGGCAGGAGAATCGCTGGAACCTGGGAGGCGGAGGTGGCAGTAAGCCAAGATTGCGCTACTGCACTCCAGCCTGGGTGACAGAGTGAGACTCTGTCTCCAAAAAAAAATTTGCTGTCTGAGGCTCTGCAATTCATTGTTAGTGTGAGCATAAATTGGTGCAATTGTTTTGGAGGGCAATTTGACAAATATCTTTCAAATTTTGAAATGTGTATACTCTTTGATCTGGCATTTCTATCTTCAGAAATTTATTTTATATGTATATGTCTTCTACTCAGTAGAATTTGCTCAATGGCCAAAGAGGATATTCATGTAGCATTGTTGTAATAACTAAATAAATCAACAAGGAATGAAAATATCCTAAATGTTCAACAGGGTACTGATTGAACCAACCATGGAACAGCCATGCAGTGAAATACTAAGCAGTTGTTAAAATGAACGAAGAAAGTCTAAATGTGCTGATGTGGAAAGATCTCCAAGATGCAATTAATAACAAAAGCCAGGTTAGAAAAGAAACTGATAAAAGTGGTCATCTCTAGGGAATGGATGGAATCTGGGGTAGGAAAGAGATTCACTCTTATTGTCTTTCCTTATGTAGTGTTTGCTTTTTTACTTATGTGTGCATGTAATGTTTTTATAACAAAAAATAGTTAAAATTAATCCATGATTTAAGATTTCTACTGTGGTAAACGTTTGGATTTGTAACCAAAAGGGAATATATATTTTTTCATCATTTTAAAGGTCTGTTTCACTTATGTAATACACATTAGGAACTATCTAATGTACTATTTGCTATATTTAACCATATTAATAAAGACTTTGGATATGAACTAGATCAAATAATATACAAGCCTTTTATTTCAGATGCTGTGACCTAGGAACCTACCTACCATAGTCTTGGTGGCAGCTTACTCAAAATGCAAGATCAAGTTTTCATAGGGTTTAAGTAGACTGCAGATCAATGTCTATCATTACACTTGATACAGAATCTTGAGCATTGCAAAAGAAGGGGCATCAAAGCATCCATTATCTGAACACTCTTTGGGTGGAGGCTTCCCTGGCTTCTCTAGACAAAGAGACTCACTCCCTTCTGAGGCAGGCCATTCCATCTTTGGATATGTCTGTAGGAGAGGCCTTCCTATGCTGGGCTGAACTCTCTTTCTCTGAATTTAGGAAGGCTGATGTGCTTTCCTGACCAGCTAGACTTAAGAGGGTCCCCAAAACTCCCCTCTCCTGGAAAGACAGACCCTACTTTACCATGGCAAACTGCCCATGGGACCAATTTGAAGAAAGAGGCTGTGGTAACAACTAACTTCTAAAACATTTTCAAATTGTTTCCTAACTACATGCTACATCCTCGTTCACTTTAGCAGAGCTTCCACGTCATTCATCAACTTCCAGACCCTCATATCCAGATGGCCCTGAATGTCCCCAATCTGACTCAATCTCCCACTCCTGCCAACAGTAAATCTCCTAGATCCTTCACCTTTTTTTTCTGAAAATTCTCTTTGTCTTCTTGCTCCTACTGAAACTTGACTATTTCCTGAAGGCCCCTTTTCTTCTGCAGCCCTTGAAAAGTGGCAGCTGCCTGCTCCTCCAAACACCCTGCTCTCCATCCTGCCCTTCCTTATTACTTCTAGCCCACTTTTCCTCCCTCCTTGGGAGTACAAAGCAATAACCACCCCTTCTACCCAAGCGGACTTCCTGGTCTCCCTCCATTCATTCCTGAAGATCGTAGAACCTAGCTTATTATTTTCCTCTCTGTCCTTACTTCTGTTCCCATCTGTGATGACTTTTTTTAGGTGAGCCCTGCAACACCTGGCTCCTTACCTTAGTGCCTTCACCTACTCACTCCCAGCTCGTTTTGTCCTCATTCACCCACTCCTGTGGTAAGCCTACACCTCATCACTAGCAATAACTGCACCACTTCCAAAACCCCAATTTGATATTAAGTTTTTGGCAAGTCAAAAAACCCCCAATTTGAAGCATCCCACTTTCTGTCCACCACTCACTTTTCTCTTTCTACTACAAGAAAGTAGTAGATGTTCTTTGATCTTACTGGTCAATTCATTGATGCGGTCACCTTTTCACTGCCCTCCTTTAACGTGTTCTTCACTCGGCTCCAGAGACACCATTCTATCCTAGTTTTCTTCCCACCTCAGTCTCCTTTGCTGGGCCTCCCCTTTTTTCCCGGACTCTAGACTTTGGAGTCCCCAGGGCTCAATTCTTGGCCTTCTCTTCTCTATCAATTAGCTAGGTATTATAGTCCAGTTCTGTAGCTTTTAAATAACACGCATATTTTATGACCCCCAAATTTACATCTACAGCTCTGCCTGACCTCTATCCCATGCTCCATACTCCTACACCCACCACTTTCTCAACATCTCCATTTGGATGTCTCATAGGCATCTTAAATTTAACATGAGTGCTCAAGCTCCCTCTTATAGCTTGCTCTATTCTCAGTCTTCTCCACCAACACACAGTTATATGAAAGTGAGATGTCCCTGTTGAGAAGAGACTGCAAGTTGCCTATCCAATATCTATTCCATTTTCATTTCCTAATGACATAATGCCTAAATTATTGGGGACAGCAATTCATGCAGTTTAACAAACTACATTTCCAAATTGCCTTGAAACTAGGTAGTCATGTGACTGAGTTTTGAGCAAATTTTACTGAGAGGGTCTTCAGGGAAAGCTCCTTAAAAAGAAGACAAAATATCTAGAGAAAATCACTTTGACCCTTCCTCCTTCCAAGAATACAGACGTGATGGCCAGAGCTCAACAGCCACCATCTTGGACCATGAGGTGCCCTTGAGGTTACAAATCATATACGAGGGTGGTGGAGCAGAAGGATGGAAGGAGCCTGGGTCTTGAATTATTGTGGAGCTGCTAGAGCTGCCATGTCTTGTCTGCTACTCGAATTCTTACACTTGAGAGAAAAATAAACTTCCATCTTATTTAAGTCACTGTTAATTTGGATTTTCTGCTATATATAGCTAAAGCTATTTTGCCTGATGTATCAGTGTGTATGACACAATCTCATCCTTTCATGCAAGGATTACAATGTCCTATGAAGGTCACAGATAACAAGAAGGACTTATTTTAAAGTAACATTATTTAGTTGATATATCCTGGGCAATGAAAAACATTGCTGAATGGTATTCCAAAACTTAATTTCTCTTTGAAAATAATTAGACTATTTCACTGCAACTAAGAACATCAAATGATTGGCTAGACAATGTGACCTTAAGATACTTTTGTTTCTTTGAAATAATGGGGGTTTTCAAAACAGCCACATGCCTAATTTAGGACCCCATGATTCATGTAAGACATTATTAGTTTTTCAGCTTGGTAAAGGGGCAGTTGGTTGCCATGAAACAGTAAGCTTAATTTAATTATGGAAAAGGTCTTTATAATTTTTTTGCCCTTGATATCACAACTTTTCTACCATTTTCTCCCTTATACAAATGAACAAGGATTGACTTTTTAAATAGTGGTGAAATTATTTTTCTGGAAATGTCTTTGGTTAAATGGCAGAGAGTTTAGGACAATACAATGGAGACAGCTTTCCCCACATATTGCTTCATTGCAAGATATTAGTTGGGATATCTACCGACCTACCTACCTACCTACCCACCTACCTACCTACCTACCTACCTACCTACCTACCTACCTACCTACCTATCTACCTATCTACCTACATGTCTCTGTGAAACATTTACCTTTGAAGAGCAAAAATTACTAATTCTATATACTGCCATTGGTGGAAAGGTCTTTTCTCCTTTTAATCCATCTGTCCCATCACACAAACTTGCCTACTTTTGAACTAGCATTCTATATTATTATTCAGAATAATTTTAGGAAAAGAGCCACGTTCAATTTATTGAGAATTTTCTAGAGTAAGAATGGTATGAAATTTGGGTATCTGCAGATGAGAAATAAGCTATGCATTATTAACTTTAAAAGTTGGAGATTGCTCTTCCAAAAATATGCAGTATCACTGTATGAGAAGATAAGGTGACTGCTGCCTGTGTAGGGGTAGCTGAAGTTACCAAAAGACATTTTTGTCCCTAGAAACATCTTATTACAGGGGCAAAGTCCCTGGGAGGAGTAAAGCTCACTAATTTATCATGTCTAGCAAAATGTCTCATTCAGAGAAGGTGCTCAGTTATTATTAAGTGAATGTGCTAGTACAGGTGGCAGGTAAGACAGGTTGTCATCTTGGGACACATGAACATGGCAGTGGAGACATCGCCTGCCAGGCACAGTGCTGTGAGCTTTATGAATTCTGCCTGCCCTCACTTCCCAAGATAAGAAAGATGCCTTCCACTGGGCTGTTCCAGCACCTAGGGTCTACTCATCTCATGCCTGTGTCTCCCACAAGGTCATGAGTTCTTTAGGAGAACTGTGTTTAATCTCCTCCGCTCTGCCCCCAATCCAGCACCTGGTACATACTGGCTATTGATGAACAAATTCATGAAAGAATGAATAAAAAAGTAGATAAAATTTGGATTGGCTTGGGGTGGGGAGAGGAGGTTGGGTGTGGCCTCGGGAGCTGCTCCAGTGAGGTTCTAGAGCATCTTAGGGCTGAGGGAGACAGGGGAGGGGGAAAGGGCTCGGAGGGCAAGGAGAAACTTTTCAAACGTCATGATTTTGTCTTGCGTGTGAGAGTAAGTATATTGTTTTATTAAAATAACCTTTTCATGGCACAGTGTTCATGTAGAAAGAAATGCTTTCTTCAATAGCTCATTGTTGTCCACACCGTGATGCCCTCATTCTTAGTCTATGGTATCCATCAAGCATTTCTTCCCACTCCCTATGCTGTAGCCAATTCCATCTGCCCCTGTTCCACTCCCCATCTTGTACAACAAGCTGCAGTGGAACCCAAAGGGCGGGGCTTTGGGGGGACACAGTGCTGAGTTCAGGGTCTGCATCACCACTTATCACCTCTGAGTCCCAGAACAAATTAGTCTGCTTCTCTGAGTCTTAGTTTCCTCATCTAATAAAATAACTCTTTGAGCCTTGGTTTTCTCCTCTTCAATAAAATACACTTTTATGATCATTATGATAGATGATATAGAATATATATAAGCCCACAGCACTGCACCCAGCAGTGGGAGACACCCAGTGAACGTTGGTGTGCATCTATCCCTTCATCCTTTTCTTAGCCTAGTAGTTCACCCTTCTTTCCTGATTTACCTCATATTTACTAATTCTTTAGGGCCCAGTTTAAAGATCACCTTCTCCACAAAATCTCCTCCCACACCTCACCCGCCCAACTTCCATGGAAAGCAATCTTTCCTCCCCTGTAGCCTGTCATCTTCTGAACACCTGTGGTACTTACCACTTTCTTCCTGGTGTCTCAGTGATTGCCGTGTGTTATTTTTTCCCCCCAGTCTGTAAATTCCATGGGGTCAAACTGCCCACCCTTTACTCTTATTTCCCCAAAGCACCCAGCAGAATAATTTGTACACAATAGGTGCTTAAAAATAATAAGCTGAATATATGTAGCACAATTCTCTATATTTAGAAATCATCTTTCAGTTCTTTTTTGGATACAGGGTGGTATATATAATGCATCTTTCCATTTGGTCCACTTAGGGAAAAAACAAAACAAAACCAACCAACCAACCAACCAAACAAACAAAAAAATGACCCAGGCTTCATTGCAAGTCATGACCTCACACAACATCCAGAGAATTCCCTGGAAACAGTTATAAATAAGGACTTGTCACATGGACAATCACAACAAAGCCCTGCTCAAAAGCTAGTCACAATTCTAAAATTGTGCAAATGCTTAACTGGAAGGGGTATTTCTCAAAGGCTAGCTAGCTAGTCCACAGTTATTGCCCCAAACATCTTTGTCTTTATTATACTTCCTTAAATTGTACAACATGAAAGTGACATAAATCACATATATTATTCTTATTTTCCAGTGGGAGGGGAGAGACCCTTGAGAGTTTGAAGAGGCCATGCCTGGCTTCTACCAGATCTGAGGTTACTGAGCTGGCTTTGAGCCTTTTAGATGGAGTACCAGAATTAGGTTTAAGCCAGACTTGGCTTGTCATGGAGGTACCTGTCGAAGGATGCAACTTTACATGGCTGGATGGACAGCTGCTATTCCAAAATATTCTTTTTTCTAGTACTTGAGAGGGATTGCTATGTATTTAGAAAATTTAAAAATCTTTCAGAGGTTCCTGTTCTAGGTGAAGGATTAACTTCAACCAGCGTTTCCACAAAGGTTCCATATCAGAAAGTCTGGGAAACACTGTCTACTCCATCCCTCTTTACAATTTATTATATGCTGCAGTACACAGCAGCATAATGAAAACTCTGAGAAGTCACGTGATAAAGAGATCTATTAAACTTAACTCAGAAGCTCTCCCACTTATTTATGGAATCAGCCTTGCCTTTTTGCTTTTTCTTTTTTTCCTTGTTGTTGAAAAATTCTTAGTGACATCCTATGAAACCAGCATTTCACTTTTAAAATGCTGCCTTTGCAGTTATTACCCATCACTGTAATGGGGATAAATTTTCAGCTAAGAATGGGACACAAAGGGATATGCGTGAGGGGATGGGAAAATCAAGAGAAGGATAAAGTATGTTGAGGGTGACCCAGGGAGGGCCCCCAAACACAATTTGACAGTTTTGCTCAGGGCCAGCCATGGTTCTCATTTCATACATGATTTTGACTGTGTTTTCCTGCTTCCAAAGCCCGGTTGTTATCAAGTGATAGAATCAGATTGGAAGTAGAATTTGCATCTTCGTCTTATCTTAAATTGTCTGGTGTAGGGAGGAAAGAAAGGGAACACTTGGACAACATTTGCTCAGATGAATGTGAGAAGAGGAAGGAAAGGAGAAGGGGATGGCAGGGAAACAAAAGTACGTAGGAGGTAGGACATTAATGATAGAAGGTAATGGACAGGATGGAGGAAAGAGAGAAAGTAAAGGGCTTGACAGGTCAGGTGGATGCTAACAAACTCCCCCTCCTAAGCCAAGAATAAAATAATAACTGGGACAGGAGCCTTCCTTAAATGTATAAATGGCTCCTTCTATCCCCTTGGTAGCAGGTACTTATTCCTACATGTAGGGTTCTGTCATTGGACCTCTTGCTGCCCATGGGTCTGCATTTCCCCAAGCTGTTGGTAGGGCCCAGTGTGAGATCCTAGTAGTGGTCTGCTGCTTTAGAAAATATCATGGTGGTTAATTTAAAGCACAGGGCTAGCAAAAGAGAAGGGCCTAGGTGTTGTGCAAAAGCCAGAGTGGAGAGGGGCTGGGAAGGGGCTTCCTCTTGCCCGGGGTTGTCAGATGTTTCACTTCTTGCATGCAAAGCAACTAGGAGATCTTTGGCAAGCTAAGGCAGCTTAGAATATTAGAAGCTGAAAGCAAGATATGCAACACATTTGGGAGTTTCTCTCTCATGCTGAAGAATAAGATGAACTGATTCCTCTGTGAGGGTACCTTTCCATTTCTTGTCAGTATCCATGTAAAAGTCATGTAAAAAACCTTAAATGTTTTTCATAACTTACAAATATTATATATTTTTAAAAAGTCGCAGTATGTATGGGATGAAATAGGGGTTAAGGCAATAGGACAGCTCCCTTTCCAAGAATTCAAAATCTTCACATTGCTGTTCCATGGCAAACCTACATCAGAAAAGAGATTCTTCCTGGGACAAGGCTATGTTCTGGGACAGTGCCTGGAATTCATTAATAAATACATCTTATATAAATCTCTACTCAGAGAAAATGGTTAAAATGATATGCCTATCCTCATGGAGTGGGAACCCTCATGTAGACAATGCTACTGGATGGAATGGTGGACCCAGCCTCTCAGAGTAATGCTCCTATCTGAAACAATAGGGACTGCAGGGAGACAGGCCATGAGCCTACAGTCCTCCACATCAGAATCAGGTGTCTAGCTGGTTCTGGGTATAGAAGATACTTCAGATCTTTCATTCCTTTGCATAAATCAGAAAACCACCAGAAAATACATCCCCCTCTGAAATAAAGGACATATTAGAAAATTATTGGATGAATGTTTCTATATGTTTTGTGAGCATGTGGGGGAAAGTACTGGCGCAGTGGGTATTTGTGTTTACATTACTGACACCATTTCTCTGAGTGTGTTACATAATTATGATGGTTTGAATTGTCTGAATGGAATAACATGATTACCCATGGTATTGCACGTCTCCAATTCCAAATAAACACAATGGCAAAAACTAGACAAAAATGCAGAAAGAATAGTAAGTCACACAATGTCACTGAAGTCATGCAGAGAGGAAAAAAAAGAATAAAAAATGGGCAAGCAACAGACACCATAAATGTAAAAAAGCCAATGCATACAATTCTAAAATCATTCTTACCTTCTTCAGTCATTGTGTCATAATATTTTAGTTTTCCATATGATCCAAGTTCTACAACATCACAGTAAAAGACACAAAGATAAGGAACGAGCTATAATGCAAGAACTTTGTTTTTACACATTTTTAATTAATCAGATTCAGAGTTATACTGTCAAATTTTGCAATCGTAACTATATGGAGATGTGCAAACATGGGCCATGTGGC
Source organism: Homo sapiens (assembly GCF_000001405.40). Classification (NCBI taxonomy): domain Eukaryota; kingdom Metazoa; phylum Chordata; class Mammalia; order Primates; family Hominidae; genus Homo; species Homo sapiens. The sequence continues at coordinate 19,597,433 of NC_000009.12, forward strand.
AGACAGCTTTCACGGCCCATTTTCAGAAATCACTTTAAATATATTATGCTACCGGGGGTAGAGTGTGCCCTGCATTACAGAATAGGGCACAGTTATCTTAACATCCAATGAAACAGAGTATTTGGCAAAGATAACTTCACCCCAGGTCTATTGTAACCCTGTAATTTTTATAGAGGTGACACTCCGAGAGAAAGGGACTGAACAAGGACAACGTCCAGGCTCATGGAAGCTTGCAGACACTGTGATTCCTTGCCACAGAACAGCAGTTCAAGAAGTTTATTTCACAGCTTTTCTCCAACAGAACCATTTCCTAGAGAAAAAGGAAGCCTACCTAGGAAAATCTAACATGAAAAACCACGTTCTAAACTTCCCTTTCTCTTCTTATATTTTAGACAGACAACACAGAGTGCTCTGGGAGGAAAAAGGAGGCATGTTCCCAGGGAAGACCACCAGCTCAGATAAGTGACAGGGCAGCCACAGCTCCAGGACTAAGGCATTGGTGGCTGCTATGTAAACAGCAGGAGGCAGGGCAAGGACCATCAGCTCCCCCTCTGTGTACACATCATCAATGGACTCCCCCTATAATGGAAACCCCTGGCAGAATGTGAGCTGTTTTGAGTGAGCTGGTGGGAGTGGCAGCTGCAGTTGAGGGGAGAGAAGGAGTGGGATACACCATTTCTGTTTTCTTCAGTTTTAAAATAGCAACTTTTATCCTTGTTTGTCTGAAAATTCTAGATTGTTTTAAGCAATTTTGTGAGCAGGTTAAAAATATATTTTCTGGTCATAACACCACTCTCCCAATAAACTTCAAGACATTAATTAGACTCAAGAGATAGTTCTGTAGGATTCTGCAGAATGCTCCCATGGCCCATTAACTGGGCCAGCTGCTGGGAATCCTCATATGAATAAACTTAAAATTGATGGGTTTTGTGTGCAAGATGAAGGATCTAGCTTAAAATGCAATAATAAATATTCGTGTATTTCATATTTGTATGATACATCATTTACACATTTTTTCATGTGCCTAGATTTCTATCTAAAATTGTTTTAATACGCCAGCACAAAATTATATCTTGGGGAGAAAAATCACATGTTTATGTTTCTACGAAGAGCTGCCTATTCTGGACACATTACAAAAGATGCAGGTGCTTCAAAAAGAAATTGAATTTTGTATAAATAGAAAGAAAATTTTTTTCATGACTTCTGGGGATTGCCATCAGTGAAAAAAATATATACATACGTGTATATATATGTATATATATATATTCTGGTATTTTAAGAACAGTATTATATATTTGACATTGCACAACTTCGGAATTCTTAAATGACCTAAATACCTTCATAAATATAAAACACATAAATATAAAACATATGTTCATAGTGGCTTCACACATAATATATGTGTTTGCATGTGTGAGTAATCTTGGAGTAGATTAACAAATCACATCAGCCAACTAACTGTTTTGTGACCTCTCTTCCTTCCCTGAGGTAAGCAGTGGAATAAGCAGCTGGCATTCTCTACCATTTGCTCAGCAAACAGAATATGAGTGGCTCTGTGTTTGCAAAGTTGGATGTAAACTATATTCTACACAGTGACAATACACCATTGCATTTTTATGGATCCATTTTTGTAGACGCAAACCTCTGTATGCACACACTTATTTTCACATATCAATCCCAACTTTCAAATATCTGCTTGTGGCAGATGATATTACTCCTCACCTCATCTCTTGCAGAATCAGGTATAAATAAATACATTCATATTGTTTAATTATCATTTTATTTGTACATAGTTGGAATTGGAACTGTTCATATCGGACAAAGCTCACACATTCTCGACAACGTGGCAATGTCTAGATCGCTTCTTAGCTGCTTCCTTGGATATGATGAATGAGACTGAAGAACAAGAACTAGGCAGAACATAACAAAAATGAGTCTAATGATGGTGGAAGAGAAGGAAGAAGAGTAGTGAAAAGCTGAATAACAGCAGGTGTTGTGGCAACTCAAGGCGCACTGAGGAAGCAGTGGAAGGGAATGGTATCTGCCCAAACAAAGAGAACCATGTTTACAGTTTACTGAAGAAAAGTCAGAAAAGAATGGAGATGGAAACCAGCCTGCTAGAATACGGTCTTTAGCACTAACAGCAACAGGATGGTGAGATGGTGAACTCAGCAGCAGCATCCTAAGGAGGATTGGGCAGCATCTCCAGGAGCCACAAGGCCCTCCTCCCTGAAGCAGGGACTCAGGAGGTGCAGAAAGAGAAATGACATGCGACTAGGACAAAAAGCATGCATGCATAAACCAGAGCTCATCATGCACTTGGCTGGGGTCCTACAGCCCATGATGCCTCCTGGAACGTACCCTTGCCCACTGTCTATTGACAGCCTGTGGCAAGACCTAGTCTTGCTGAGAGGACCCGGGAGGCGCTCACCGGCATAGGAATGTGGCTTGCAACCAGCACACTCTCCATAATGAATAACTAAGGCACTTTGAACATAATTGGATTAGGATTCAAACTGGGGCTAATCCAAGGTTAGTTTTTTTGGGGATAGGAGGAAAGAAGTAAGGGAGTTCAAGAGTCTATTAGTTAACATTATCTAGCACTGTTCGCTGTATCAGTGAAGCAAGAGGCAGCTAGGATTGGAAGAGCCATACATCACCTGTGAATGTCATTCTGGGTACCACCTGGTGCCTCTTCTCTATAACATTTCTCTAAGAAGCCACACAGATGGAGAAGAAATTCCAGAACCCTGTGGTCGGTGTTTGAGATGAGCCTGTAATCCGATTGTAAATGCTGCCCATTATGAGAATCACACTTGCTTTCATGCCACCGTGGTGGAGCCCACGTTACTGAGATGTGATGATCCCATGACCAATTTTCTCCCTTACGTATATTACTACCCCTCTAACTCTGTATCACACTAGCCAAAAGAGTGACTTTTTTGTTTTGTTTTAAACTTTACTTTGGGGAGGAATGAAAGTTGCCCATTAGATGTAACAACTCCCAATTGTCTCACAGGGACAGATCTCGATTATGGAAAATATGGTGAAAGTCCTGAAAGGTAGGTTATAATCACAGAGGGAGATCTGAATATAATTATGTAGGAATTATCATCCTCGAACAGTGAACAATAATGTGTGGTCATTACTGTGGATCATGCAGATGGTTCATAATGAAATGCCCAAGCAAGTCCCCAGATTCTGCAACTTCTTATAAATTTGCCACTTCATTTTCAGCCTTGCTTCTCTGTGGTGTTGCTTAGCAATATCAGTGGTTACTGATTTCTGTCTTGTGAGGAGCTGACTCAGGCCATATTTCACCTTATTTTACATGCTCTGGATGATCAAGCAAGAAAAATGGGACCTAGATGTGCTTTTCTGCTGCTGTCCTTTTGAGGTGGGCTGGGGAGGGGGAGAGCGTAGGATTGAATATGCAGGTTTCTGAAAAGGATTTTTAAAGAAAAACAATAAGCAACCTAGACAAGAGAATCAACCCAAAACAATCTGCCTTTTATGAGTATTGTTTTGAGAAGTGAAGCCAGCTGGACTTCCTGGGTCTAGTGGGGACTTGGAGAACTTTTCTGTCTAGCAAGAGGATTGTAAAACGCACCAATCAGCACTCTGTAGCTCCATTGTAAAACGCACCAATCAGCACTCTGTAGCTAGCAAGGGGATTGTAAAACACACCAATCAGTGCTCTGTAGCCAGCAACGAGATTGTAAAATGCACCAATCAGTGCTCTGTAAAATTGCACCAATCAGTGCTCTGTAAAATTGCACCAATCAGTACTCTGTAAAATGCACCAATTAGTGCTCTGTAAAACACACCAATCAGTAGGGTCCTAAAAGTAGCCAATTGCAGGGAGGATTGAAAAAAGAGCATTCTGATAGGACAGAAATCGAACATGGGTGGGGACAAATAAGGGAATAAAAGCTGACCACCCCAGCCAGCAGCAGCAACCCACTTGGGTCCCCTTCCTTGCTGTGGAAGCTTTGTTCTTTTGCTTTTCACAATAAATCTTGCTGCTGCTCATTATTTGGGTCCATGCCATCTTTAAGAGCTATAACACTCACCACGAAGGTCCACGGCTCCATTCTGGAAGTCAGAGAGACCACGAACCCACCGGAAAGAACCAACTCTGGATACATTTTTACTGTGTAATTAAAAATCTCAATAACAATCTTAAGATAATTTTAAACACTGACACTGTTAGAATATTTTTTTTTTTCCTTTTTCACAAAGTCCAGGAGATAAGTGATGATATAGCATGAGGGTTGCATATATAGTTTGGAGCCTTACAGACCTTGACTTGACAACTGGGTCTGCCACTTGCTAGCCATGAGACCTTGGGCAAGTTACCTAATGTATTTGAGACTTAGTTCTCACACTTATGCAAATGAGAAAAATACTAGTTGTATTCTAGAATTGTGGTGAGAATTACAGGTGCTTAACCTGTAACTGACAGATAATATTCACTAAATATATGGTAGGTATTATTATGACTTTAGTGCATCAGTTGGTTTTCCTTCAAATTAGGAAGCTCCCATACATAGTACTCTTCTGATCTTCAAAAATCAGAGTGAACTTTGGTATCAAGAGACCTTATCATTATAATGCAGAACAAGGAGATCTTGTAGCACAGTGGAAATTTTGGAGTCAATAGATATGGGTTCTAATCCAGACTTTGCTTTTTATTACCAGTGTGACTTTGTAGTAAGATAGCCTTTCACAACCTTAGTTTCCTCATCTGTAAAATGGGGCTCATTCTAGTACGTCCCTCAATATGTTGTTGTAAGGAGCTTTGTGCTATGCCTGGAACATTGGAAGTGCTCAAGCTCATACATATAGAACCCATCATTCTATGATTGGGCCAAAATCTAGTAAGTGATGAGTTGTCCAGACTAAGATAATATGTCACAAGTGACCACCCAGGATTTGAACCTTGTTCTAACATCCTTTTCACAAGTTTATATTGGAGAAGAAGCAGGTAAAATGAGAATGACAAAAATAATGACCAATGATGTCATGCCAAAGGAAGTCTATGAATGTCATTTATATTCTTTTGTATAATCTAACATCAGGTACATTGAGACCTGATGTCAGTTACATTGGTATTATTTAAAGAATGTACAACTCAGAGAAAGAAATGACATAAAGATATTAGGTTTTGGTTTTTGAAAGGGAAGCTCAAAAGGGACTTCAGCTGTTCAGGAAAGTGGTATTGTCCAGTGGTTAAAAGAGTGTGTTCTGGGGTCCAACAATCCTGGGTTTGAACCCAGCTCCATCAGTTTCTACCTGTGTGGTCTTGGGTAAATCATTTAGCTACTCTGAACTTCAATGTCCTTATCTGTAATATGGTTATAATAAAAGTTCTTATCTTATAGGATTGATGTGGAAAATAAATAAGTTAATCTGTATAAAATGCTTAGCCCAGTGTCTGGCAGGCACATGGTAAATATTCAATAAATATTAGTTATTCCTGTTGTCACTATTATTGCCTCCCCATGCATCAATTCAGAGTTCGAGCTGAATATTCAACATTTTCTCTGGTCCCTTTTTCAGCTCTAGTTTGAAGGGAAAAAATAATATTAAAGATAGTGAAAAAATATGATTTGAATAGCAAAGAACATAGAATATCTGAAACCATCCATGCAACAGTTGGAATTCATTTCTAATTTCAGAAAATCTGTTTGAGCTCTTCTAATAGAGTATTTCTAAAATGTGTTCTTAATTTTTTGTGGGGGTAGGTGGATGGGGGGTTAGGAAACTAACATTTTCATTAATGACATCTATCATCTTGGGTACATTTTTGCTTGTCTATAAATTGAAAGATTACATTTACAAAATCAAGCAAAAGGTACTTTCTCATTAAATCCTATCAATTCTGGGCTGGGGGTTACAAACACATTTATTACCCACTCTTAGAAGTGGCAAAATATTCCATTATCTTCCTCTGCTTTTTTTAAAAAGGATTTATGAAGTGCTGTGTACAGATAGGCCTGTTGGTTTCTTTCATAGAAACAGGAGCTTGGTTATATTACATGTGACTAAGATCCACAGGGTGAGGGGAGGGAGGGGGGCACTAAGGTGATGCTGATGCTTCTGTAAGCCACACTCACAATCCAACCAGTCACAAAGTCTAATTCCACCCCTAAATATCTTCAATTCTGTCTTTTCTGCTCCATTTCCACTGCCCTGGCCTTATTCTGAGGCTTTGCCTAGACTACTGCAATGGTCTTATTTGCACTCTTCTTCCCTTATCTTTCTTACCACCTGTCTACCCCCAGCACCTTTCACCTATCTTTCTCATCATTATCAAGGTAATCATTTCTAAACACAAAGTGAAACTATAACACCTCTCAATCCTGCACATACTGTGATTTTGCGTTGGAATTTTACTACGTCTCCTAATTTACTGAATCTTTCAGAACCCCGTTGAGGTTCCCTCCTCCATGCAGCATTCCTGAATGCCCCCATCCCTAACGTTAAGTCACTTTCCTCCTGTGTGTCTGTTCCAACTATACACTTTTGTTGTTGTGCTCATCTTATCAAATGTACCTTAACCTACTTGTTTTCTGCCCTTTAAGGCAAAGAGTCATTGTACGCATTTTGTTAATTTCAGCACCCAGCAGAGTAAAGGGGCACTCTGTATGCGTTCAACAAATGCTGCTAAGTTGAATTAAATATCTATTTAAAGTGCTCTGTTAATCTTCCTCACCTTTATTACCTTTGGTACTGACACCTATGATTCTTCCCATTTTAGTGTTCTAATTCCACAGCTTCAACTATTCTGGCTTATAGTGTCTCTATGGGGAGGAAGCCCCATGGGGTGGTCTTGACTCTTGGAATCCCCTTCATTGCTTCAGTGAAGTAGGAGGACTTACATCATGCAGAAGAGCCATCAGGAGAGTCCTCAGCACACAAAAGACAAAACAGCAGCACTGTCTTTAAAAAATGGCAATGGAAACTACCAGTGCACAGAATAGATGCTGCATGCTGGCTAGAGAACAACTTGGATATACTCCTGGATCCCATCTTGTGGCCTGGCTGGATTCAGTGGTTTTTGCTAGGCAAAGAGAATCAGTGCTAATTTATATCCAGCTATTGGGTCAGCAAAGCCGAGTTTCTACCCTCTGGTGCATGAAAGCATCCAATAATATTAGAAAAATATCCAAGGGAGGAGAGGAAAACCAGTAAAATGAAAAACAAACAAACAAAAAAACTCCAGCCATCCAAGAAGGGAAAAAGGCAAGAGATAAGAGAAATATGAGAGGGCAAGGGAATTTGAGAACACAATGAAATTAAGGGAAAAAGGACTGGAAGACATAAAATTAATGCCACTGATGTGACAGTAATTCAAGGTAAAAATCCTCCTTACAATGATATATTCTACACTACAGTATTGTCTGGCATGTTATTTTCCTGAATACTTGGTTCTTTACCACAATAGAAACAATCACTCCAAATTATGAATAATTTACAGGAATAAATTTAAAGTAGAATGTTCATACAATCCTTTAAATTCCATCTGTTGTAAGTATAAATCCATGTACCATTACTCCTATTAAATACTAGACTGTATAAGTGGGATTACATAAGTCAGTTTAAAATCCAGGATGCAAAGAAAGGGTGGAAGATTAAGATATCTTTCCCAAATAGTTATGCATCTTAGATTAAATAGCAAATGCCTGCCAGTAAACCAGAGATCTGGTTACGCAGGAGGAGCTAGGGCATGCCATTATCTTTTGACCCCCAAGTGACACCCAAAGGGTGGCCTAAGAATGTTTCACCAGAATTAAAAAATTAATAGAGAGAATAAATGCTTCTGTAGATTTTTTATCAATATATTGGAAAGATACATTTTTTAGTCTGCTGAACACCTATGGACCCCAGGTAGAATTTTTTTCAAGTCTGCTCAATAGCTATGAACCCAAATGAAATCTGGCCTTTTGGAAGGAAATGAGTTAAGTATCATGTGACATGATTTCCTTCTCATTGTACAAAGGACAGGAGAACTCTGTAAATACAGAGATTAAAATTATACAGCTTTGGGATAACTTTTGCTCAATGAGAAGCTGATGAATAGAAAATCGGTTCCCATGTTATCTTATAGATAGGTATACCAGGACCTGAAGATATGGCACATGGTAAATAGGCTTCTTTTTCAGGAAAGAAAATATAGAAAAGATAATTCAAGGTCTTATGATTGAACCACTGAAAGCTGTCTAAAATTTTGATGGCTGCAAGAAAAAACGAACAACTGACAGCAACTTATTGGGCAAATGCCTACAGAGAACTAATGATGTGGCAAGCACTGTTCTATGTGCCCTACAAATAGCATTCCATTGAATACACTTAACAGCCCACGACAGATACCATTATCTTTCCTATTTTACAAAGGAGGAAGCTGAGTTACAGAGAAGTTAAGTAACTTGCCCAGGGGCACACAGCTAGTAAGAGGCAGAACTGGGGTTCAAACCAAGGTGGCTGGCTCCTCATTGTGTCTGCTCAGTAACTAACTCTGCTACTTCTCCCAAGAATCTGATGGGAAGAGGTCACCATGCACACCCCAAGCAGGGTAGAGAGGGTTTTTCTAAATGGGCACATTGTGTGATGTCACCTTTGAACTCCTAGAATCAGGTCTTCATGGTGTAATCCTCACTAGCATTGACAAGATGGGGTTTAGCTCTCAGGTCAAGAAAATAGTTGTAACCTATTCCAGATAGGAAACCTTGCATGACCTGCTGCATCACCTATGGAAATGTGTTGCATGAAAAAAAAATCCATAACTGGATAAAAGGTTTTTTCTCAGAAATGGCAGAGGAGAATTTTCATCATAAATAATTTTCTAAAATGAGATTGATTTACTATGGAATTTAACTCCTGCCAATACTGGTTGTTATGGTCTCAGGGCCTTAGAGTAGAAAGCAAAGCTACATTCACTATTGGTGTTTTGGGCTTAAGTGCTGCCATCTGGGAGGTCAAAGAGAAGTAGCCACATAGGTTACTGCAACTGCATATCTAAAGGCAGGTTCAACAACAGCACTTAAACTGGCATTCAGGGAGTTAACTAGTCTGGGGCAAGCACTGGCTAAAGTTCCCCCAGAGTCTTGTCTACAGTGGGGGCCTGTAAAGGAGAACATTCCCAATGGGGTTACCACTCATATGTCAGCTTGCAATGGAAATATGTTTCGTAAATGAATATATGAGAACACACACACACACGCACACACACACACTAAACAAGTCTGATATAGACCTGTAAACTATATAAGCAACAATGCTGATTGACTCTTTACAAATGTGTATGTGCACGTGTGTATAACATAGCCTCCTTTGAGCCCGGGGACAACCTGTGAAGGACCGTTTGTTGTGGGTGGGAGAATTCTTTTCAATGGCTGAAGTAAAGAGGCAAGATTTGGTGGATCTGATAATGTGAGGTCAGGAGAGAAATGGATCCTGACAGCCAGTTGAGGATTGAGTTTACAATATGATCAGCATGTACACATGAGTGTTGTGGCCAGTGCAAATCCCAGATGGAAGAGTCAACTAGAAAATGTGTTCCCTAGTGTCAGAGAAAGTCATCTCATCACAGAATGCAAGTCATTCAACCTCATGAAGTGAGGCCCTGCTACTTATTAAACACTCAGAGGTGTCTTTAGTGTAAATGCCTTTCATTTGGGAGAAAACACCTCTGGATGCTCTCATATCACAGATGATGTTTATATAACAATACACATTTCGAATAGGAAGTCTTTGGTAAATGAAAGTGCTTCTTCACCTTCAGTGACTGCCCCCATCCTTTGGTCCCCCAAGTAATTGCATCTGTGACAGCTGCTTTTTATCTCTGGGAACTCTGAGTCCTCCCTTCTGAAGGAGTTCCCTTTTGAGCATAAGTTCCAGAGGAGAAAGATGAAGCTCTAATTTTATGGATACTTCATTGTCCTTTTCCTTCTTCATGATATCTTTGAGCTCAAATGCCATCAAAATCATTTTTTTTTGGGCAGGGTGCAGTGGCTCACAGCTGTAATCCCAGCACATTGGGAGGAGGCCAAGGCAGGTGGATAACCTGAGGTCAGGAGTTCGAGACCAGCCTGGCCAACATGGCGAAACCCGTCTCTACTAAAAATACAAAAATTAGCCAGACATAGTGGTGCATGCCTGTAATCATAGCTACTTGAGAGGCTGAGGCAGGAGACTCGCTTGAACCCGGGAGGTGGAGGTGGCAGTGAGCCAAGATCGTGCCACTGCATTCCAGCCTAGGTGATAGAGTGAGACTCTGTCTCAAAAAAAAAAAAAAAAAAAAAAATCAACTTTTTGGCCACATACCTTGTGGCCTTTGCTTCAAAGCCAACCTTTTCATTGGAGAAAGAAAGAGAGAGGGAACTTTTCTCATACTCAAAAGCAGTTTATTTCAGTAAGACAATTCACATTCCCTTATGGCTCAAATAACATTAATTTATAATGTGTACAACACAAAGAGAGATTCAGTTTCAACCATGTTTCAAATTCAAATATGAGAATAATGCTTTACTATTCCCTAAAGAGAGGAGCTATTTAACTTGTCCTGTGTTTGCTCTATGAGAGGCATTAATGGCCTGTCCTCCTCTATCCAGGGATTGATACTACTGTCATATTAGTAGACCACGGCCAGTAGATTGGATTTTATTTTTCTCCAGTGAAGATTTTCACTCATTTGCCTATTCATTTACCAGGCGGAGGCTGCACGCAAACATCTTGGTAGTATAAGCTGATCTAAAATTTAAGATAGAAAGATTACAAAACTGCTTTTGAGAGACACCTTCTCCACTTTTTGGATAAAAGGGGGCATGAAATGACTTTCTCTTGGGACCAAACAAAAATTTATGAAAGCTCATTTTGAAGCTTTTTTTTTTTTTAAATAGAAGCTAAGAGAAATAAGCTCTGGTATTTGGTGAGACAAAAAGCAAACCCAGCAAGCAAGTGACAGTTTAATCTTAGTGTCAGCTTCAAGTTAACATTAAGTGTCTGTGTTAAAGACTTGGAAAGCCTTTACAGAACAGACAGATGTGTGAACATGTGTGGCCACAGATAGAGTCCTGTGTGAGTGAAGTCTCCAGGCTCAGAAGTCAGACTTGGGAGCTGGGTGACTATGAACAAGTCATGCCACCCCTTGGAACCGCAGTTTTCTCAGAGGTAAAACATGCATATGACTTCCCATAGCCACTGCTGAGAGAATTACATGAGATGACTTTCGGGTGTGTGGCACAGAGTGGGTACTACAAAAGTTCCACTTTCTTGTTTTCCTTCTCTACCATCTCTGAGGCCCTTAGTTTCCTGCACTGAAATCTCTCTCTCTCTCTCTCTCACACACACACACATACACACACACACACACACACGCATAGACACTCGCACATACCTAGCACCCCTCGACAGGAGAGACTGCTAGAGCGTTAGTTCAGTGGGCAAGGAGCTACATGCCTGCTCATCTCAAAGGAACCACGTTTTGGTTGGGACAATACATAGTTTGGGGTTTCCCTGAGCCAGCTGGTTCCTCTGCTCATCCAGGCTCCTTACCTCCTTCAAGAACCTGCTTTCAAAACTCACTTTCTCCAGGAACACTTCCCTGAAGGCCCTTCCTCAGGGTTCACACAATGATCTGGATTTCCTGAGGGTCTGGCAAGCCTTGCTTGCCTGCAGCCAGTGCTCACTGTGTCCAGTGCCGTGCCTGCTGTACATCCACCAGGGCGCTTGCCATGCCAGAAGGCCACTTACATGAATGTGCGCTCTCACTGCTTCAGGAATGAGGGCCATGTCCCTTCAGTTGGGGATTCAAATGCTCCAGGAAGCCCCTCTCCTGCCCCGCTTGGTGCCTCACCAAGAGCAGTTAGTGAATCTGGCCAGGGCAGTGGTGCTTATACCCTATGGCAGTGTGCCCCTCCAGGGCCACCTCAGAGGAGACCCCGGTGGCCTCTGATCCAGCCTCTTCACCAGCCTCCTGAATACTTCAGCCAGAACATCTAAAAGCTGCTCTTGATGATGCTTTTTTGTACTTCTTTGTTGAAAGTGTTGGACACTAGGACTGGGATTGAGTTGCATTTAGAGTTTAATTTGGAGAGAACTGACATCTTTATAATAGCATTTATTTAGATCTTTTATGTTCTTCAGAAATGATGATTGTGATGATTTTTGCCATAAAGTTCTTAAATATTTCTTTTGGGTTAATCTTTGGTATTTTATGGTTTTGTTGCATTTGTGAGTGGGGTCTTCATTGCTTTCATGTTTAAATAATCCTTTAGTTCACCAGTCCCCAGCGTTTTTGACACCAGGGATTGGCTTTTGTGGAAGACAATTTTTCCATGGGTGGGTGTGGGGTGAGTGGTGGGGATGGTTTCAGGATGAAACTGTTCCACTTCAGATCATCAGGCATTAGATTCTCATAAGGAGCCGCAACCTAGATCCTCACATGCACAGTTCACCATAGAGTTCACGCTCCTTTGAGAACTGAATGCCTCCTCTGATCTGACAGGAGGTGGAGCTCAGGCGGTCATGCTCACCCACTGGCTGCTCACCTCCTGCTGTGTGGCCCAGTTCCTAATGGACCATGAACTGGTACCAGTCCATGGCCTGGGGGTTGGGGACCCCTGCTTTAGTTCGATTACAGGTGCATTAGGTGAGAATTATTCCTACTCCTATGTTTCTTAAGGTGTCTAGTGCATGAATTTATTAAATATTGGTATTAGTAATACAACTGTTGTTACAATGAAAAAATGTAAATGAAAATTTGAATCTACACAAGGAAGGAGAAATTACTATAATTGTAGGAGAGTGTACAAGAGCCCACAGAAAATAAGTAAGAACCTTCATTTTTTTTGCAATTTCCTTCTCAAACTCAACACCAAATTGAGGTGGATGTTATTTTACAGGTGTTTGATTTTGTAAAAGGAATGAATGGTTAAAACAATAAACATCTTAGCTTCTTGTTGCGATGATAATTCTCTGAACATATAAAATTAGGCCTGGGGAATGTAATAAAGGAAAGAACAGTGTATTAAAGAGAAGAAAATGAAAGGAAACGAGAGAAGAACAAAGCATTTGGATGGAAGAGAGGAACAAGGAGATGGAAGAACTCATCAGGAAGGTGTGAGGCAGACAGCAAACATTTCCCATTGCAGCAGTGACTCCAGGACTAGAGAGAGATATATTCCATTATGCAGCAAATACTGACCAAGCACCTACATAATAACATCATTGCTGTGCTGGTACTATACAATGGTGGCCAAACCAGATCTGATCACTCTTCATAGCTGCAAGAGAACCATCAAGTAAATAGAACTTTGTTGGTCACTACAACAGAGCCCTTTGACAGGGCATGGATTAAGAAAATCTACATGGCTAGAGACATATAGTTCCCTAGCAGAAAAATTATAAAGGCAAGTACTCATTCAATTCATTTAGCAAATATGTACTGGGGCCCACTTGTGCCAGACACTAGGGATAGAGCCAAGCCTGCCCTGAGTCCTGCTCTGTTGGAGGAATAAGGGTAGAGACAGGCAGCATACAACAAATACATACGTTCACGGGGACAAGTGTTAAGGAGAATGCAGAGCAGGGAGAGGGAGAGTGAGAACTCGGATTCACTTTCATTGTTTTGCTTCTGATATTTTCAAAAGGTTGACTGAGTAAGGCCTCTGATCAGGTGACATGTGAAGGCTGACTTGAAGGAGGGGAGACCAGGAGCCAACTGGATATCTAGAAAAAGGGGGAACATGTGTAAGGGCCCTGAGGCAGGAGTGTGCTTGGGATTTGGAAGGAGCTGCTAGGCAGTCAGAGAAGCAGAACAAGGGAAATGACATGTGAGAGAAAAGAGAGAAGGGTAGAGAAATGAGGAGACAGGAAGGAGGGGAGACGAGGGGGCAAAGCAGGGGAGGAAGGGAGGAAGGTGAGAGACGGGCAGAGAGAGATGAGGGAGAGGAAGGAGGGGAAGGAGGGGAAACGAGGGCAGAGAAGAGGGAAGGAGGGGTGAGAGAAGAGAAGAGAGGATAGGAGGAAGAGAGGAGGCGGGAGGGGAAAGGCGGAAGGAGGTAGAGTGGGAAGTTGCAGGGGTTCTGGGGCCGCTGTACGCTCTAGGGCTTTTGCTCTTGGTGAGATGGTTTTGAGCAGAGGTGGGGTGTGATCTGACTTACATTTTAGGGGATCCAGGATTCTTCTATGGACAAGTTTGGGGCATGCCTTTTCTGGGGAAAGATTCAGGGCCACTGTGAAATAAATTGGACTCATGGGTCAGCAGACAGCCCTTCAGAAAGAGGGAAAAGGGGAACTTCCATCTCTTCCCTATAAATTGAGAACTCAAGAAGACTGGACAAAGTTACTAGGGATGGGAAGAAGAAGGTGAACACATTTGACTCTAACTGGGCTCTACTATGGAGTTACATAATGTGGTCCTGGGAAAATAGATTTCCCCAAATCGATCTCATCTGAGAAGCATGACACTTGTGAGGAACTGCTGATGAGAGGTGGGGGGAACAGAGAGTATTAAGCAGCAGGGCTGGCTCTGACAACCTGCATTAAAAAGCTGACTCTACTATCCTAGGACTGTGGCTTCAGGCAGGTAAGAAAACCACTTGGGGTCTCAGTTTCTTCATCTATAAAATGAGGATAACAGATTCTCTCTCATGGGCTTGCTGAGAGAATTGAGTGAGATAATGTTTGCAAAGCACAGTACCTGGTACCTAGTAAGTGCTCAAATGTGAAAACCAAACACTATTATTATCACTATTACTCTCTGGAGCAAGCAAGATTCTATACTGAGGTCCTTTTCTGTCCATTTCTTAATAACATTTAGCATTTAACTGGCACTTATTCTCTGCCAGGCCTTGTTGTAAGTGCTTTTCATATACTAGCTCACATACTCTTCATTTGTTTTAGTTTCCTTTTTTTCTAATTTAGAGACAGAGGTCTTGCTATGTTGCCCAGGCTGCTCTTGTACTCCTAAGCTCAAGTAATCGTTCTGCCTTAGCCTCCAGAGTAGCTGGGATTACAGGTGTGTGCCAACATGCCCAGTGTATATTAGCTCGCATACTATTAAAACAACCCTATGAGGTAGGTATTATTACTCTCTTTCTACAAATGAGGAGGTTGAGGCACAGAGAGGATAAACAAATCATCCAAGGTCACACACCTAGTGAAGGACAGAGCTGGGACTAGAACCCATGGGGGTCTAGTTTCAGTCAATCCTCACTCTTATTAAATGCTGTACTAGACTACCTCTCTGCTCATTCACTGCTCATAGTTCTTTATCAAAGACAGGAAACAAGCTGGGTATGGTGTCTTGTACCTGTAGTCCCACCTACTCAGGAGGCTGAGGTGGGAGGATCACTTGAGCCCAGGATTTCAAGTCTAGCCTGGGCAACATACCAAGACCCTGTTTCTAAAAACAAACAAAAACAACTGATAAAAAACAATTTTCATCTTGAATCATGTATGGGATCTTCTGTGTTTGGTTTCCTACTACTCAGCAGATGGAGAGAATGGCTTTGGAACCAGATCAATGTCGGTAGAGATATAACATCCATCTGGGCAGGTCACCAAGCTGCTCTGGGCCTTGGTATTTATCCATGAAGTGGGGATGATGAGATATATAAGAGACAAGTGTTCAATAAGTGGAAGCTACTATTGCCAATAGTGATAATGCTACACTTTGTTCAGTAAAAATACTACCATATAGTAGACCCTCACTTTTTAACAACTTTGTTATCTCTTTGTTCAAGGTGGTAATTTTCACCCCTGAATTTCTACTAGTCATTTGCCTTGTGGTGACTGTGATTGATCACCAGAAAAGACTGTGGTATTCCTTTCTCTGAAGTCTTTGGGAGAACATATATGCCTATATGCCTGCCAAACACAACCTGCCAGTTCCTGTCTAGAGATGGCAGCCTGGGCTGCAGAAGCTTTAGAAGCAGTTCAAGACCACGCATTTTACAATTTTCACTTCTTTGAACTGAAACCATCAAGGCACAGGATGAGGAGGACATGAAGGTGGAGAGAGGAAGATATCACCATTTTTTCTCTACGCTCCTCTTTCCCCAAAAAGGTCAATCCTAAACATCTTTATTCCCAGCATTCTATTTTCTTCTCCTTGTCCCAAACCAGAGGAAGAGAGAGCTTTTAAAAAACCCTCTCTGGCAAAAGAGGTTCTTTAAGTCTTCCTAAGTAGAAGTGGTAGCAGTAGTAGTAGTAATAATAATATCAATAACAATAATAATAAAATCCATCCCTGGTCCAGGGATAGGTCAGAGCTCTTGTGATTTAAGCTGGTGTCTACACCAGGAGAACAAGGAATGCTGGGTTGGACATGGGGTTACACAAGGAGGCAGAGTAGCAGAAAAGAACTACAAACACAGACTGTGAGTCAGGCAGATACAGGTTCAAATTCTGGCTCTGCCATTTACTTCTTGTGTCACCTTGCCTTAGTGGGGCATAGAGCCATAGCCTCTTTACATGTCAGTGTCCTCTGAATGATGGAGTAGGGCTCATGGAAGGATTAATGAGATGGTTTATATAAAGCACTCAGCATAGTGCCTGGCCTACAGAAAGTACTCTGCAAATGTTGGTTGGTGCTATCATTTTGAGACAAATGGTAGGAGAAGATACTTCTCACTGCAAAACTGCAACATCCAGCATCCTTGTTTTTAGGTTCATGAAGATGTACCCCTGAGCAAATATAAAGGCTTGTTTAGAGAAAATGTTAAAATCAATATAGGACACTGAATTTATTAGAAAGATCAATTCAGATAGCCATCCTGTGATCTCAAAGACCAATAATTCTAGTTCCCCAAGGTTTTCTTATAAAAGAAAGAAAATATTTATTCCAACCATTCATCTGCCTTAAGCAGATTCCATCTTTTCATGAACAATGTCCTGTTCAGAGTTTTGTGTCCCTGAAAAGGCACTGTTCAGCTATGTTTGAACTAAACCTTCACCTAGTCAGGCCAACTTTGTCCCCCCTACATAATGTGGTCCATCCAGAGCACACCAAGGAACAATGAACAGTGGAACCAATAAACAATGTATGTCACTGAAACAGACTGGATCACATCCAAGGTGGTTTCACCATGTTCTTTGGTATTCCTCCCTTTGAGAAGTGAAGTCTAATTTTGTCCCCATGAGTCTGGGCTGGACTTAGTGACTGCCTGACTGATTGAATGCAGTACAACTGACATCCTGGGATTTCCCAGGCTAGGTCATATAAAGCCTTGCAGCTTCTGCTTGGTCTTCCTGGAAGGTTTGCTCTTGGAACCCTTAACTACCATATAAAACATGTTAGTCTATCCACATGGAAAGGTCCTGAGACCACAGGGGGAATCAGGGGACCCAGTTGAGCCCAGCTTTCCACTGTGCCTTCCTTTGTAGGTGTTAAGCTTGAGTGAGGTCCTTTCAGACCTTCTAACCTACCCATCTACCAGCTAAATACCATCAAATGACCTCCAATGATGCCACATGGAACAGAAAACTCACCCAGGTAATCCCTGCTCAAATTTCGAATCCACAAAATTATGAGTAATAAGATGGTGGCAGTTATAAGCCACTAAGTCTTGGGGTGCTTTGTTACACATCAACAGATAATAAAACGCAAACACTGCTGGACTCTTGTGACTCAGGCTCAGAGGCGGAACCAACCACTAATGAAGGCTTTTGGCAAGGGCTCATTCACTGGATTTTGGAAGACAACAACACCTGAGTGGCACAGATGAGACAAAGGGGAATGTGTTTCTGTAGGCCATCTGTCCTAGATGCTGCTTTCAAATGAATTTGAATAGTTCCCTTTTGAACATACACCAAATGCCAGTAGTGCCAATGCACTACCCAGCCAGGTGAACACCAGTGACATGAACGAACTGTTCTTTAGTGCTACAAGGAAGCTACTGACTGCAGCGTTCATGCCATCAACTTGGTGATGTAACTAGCATGCTCTTTGTTGTTAGAAGGTGACAGTTTGGCACAAGGACATGTGAATTCAAGTGATTAGATGCAAACTAAGAGAGATGACTATTTCTGAGAGCTGTGGGTTAATTTTTTGGCTGTTCTCGGAATGGAAAATGATTGTGAATTTTGGGGGAAAAATACCAGAGCAATCTGTTTTCTTGGCCGCCTGCTATGGAGCAATTTTAAAGCATTGAAGTGCTTTCCATATTTTCTAATCACTCAAGTCCAGAGCTGATTATGGCTCTCAGCATCTCTCAGATTCACACCACTGTAGCCTCCCACATCTTTCAGGGAGAGGTTTCACCTTGAAAGCAGGTGCCTGGATTCAGGAGGCACATCTTGCTACAGCAGGAATACAGTTTAATTGTAGCACAGCTCCACAAGGGCCAGGCGTTTTGGAAAATCACTGATGGCCCAACTCTGAGACAACCTAGATTCACTTTCCCTTATCTCACAAAAACAAAACATAACCTCTTCTCCAAACAGAAAAAACAAAAACAAGCCCTACCAGAAACTGAATTCTTCCAAACAAAAACCAGGAACATTTAGATTATTGAGACCTGTGGGCAAGGACATGACCACATTCACAGGCGTGCACACACACACACACACACACACACACACACACACACACACACAGTTGCATATGATTAAACATCTCTAGAAGGAGCTTCATGAAACTGGAAACTGTGGTTTCCTCTGTGGAGAATTGGGGAACTGGAGAAAATTAGAGGGTTGATGAAGGAAGAAGACATTTTTTTTCACCTTAATCTTTGGAATATTTTGAATTTTTAAAAATCATATATTGTGTTACTTTTCAAAATAATGAAGTAGAATAATTCCAAACCTGCATATGGCAATTAAGATGTGCTAGGCTGTGTATTTAACGCTTTGTGTATATTCACATTTTAATCCTTACAATAACACTATGATGCAGACATCATTATGTATTTTCCTGATTTTACAGATGAGGAAACTGAGATACGGAAAGATTAGGTGACTTGTCCGAGGTCACACAGCTAGTAAATGCAGAACTGGGATCTGGACCCAGAGTCTGGTTCGGGAGTCTGTCGTTTTAATTGCTACATAATACTGCCTTGCCCAAAATAAACATACTCAGGCCCTTTATCATACTTGAGTTGGAGTAGATAAAATTGTTCCTTTCTTCTCTCGCATGGTCAATATCAGGTCAATATCATGACTTTGAACAAGTTGCCTAATCTTCCTGAGCCTTCATCGCTAGTATGTACCAGGTATTCTTCTAGGCTTTGTGGGTAACTAGTGAATAAAATAGAGTCCCTGGTCTCAAGAAACTTCCTGTATCCTGGCAGAAACAGGCAATAAATAAACAATCACAGAAACCATGATATAAGCAGTAAAGAAAAATTAAAGGTTCATTGGCAGATGAGGATTGGGAACCCTGATTTATGCTGAATGGTCAGGAAGTATTTACACAGAGTGCTGAAAAATGGGCAGGAGTAACGCAGGGAAAAATGGAAGGGGGTGGGGGAAAGGAAAATATTATAGTGGAGAGAACAGCCTATGGAAAAACCTGGGGCAGGGAAGGGGTGTTTGTCTGAAGACAGAAAGGTCTGTGTGACTAAAACAGAGTGAAATTGAGTTTGGAGCAAGAGGCAGATCATGTAGACCAGCGGTCCCCAAGCTTTTCTACACCAGACACTGGGTCTTGGGGAAGACAATTTTTCCATGGCCAGGTCAAGGAGGATGATTTGGGGATGAAACTGTTCCACCTCGGATCATCAGGCATTAAATTCGAATAAGGAGCACACAACCTAGATCTCTCATGCACAGTTCGCAATAGGGTTCGGCCCCCTGTGAGAATCTAATGCAAATGCTGATTTGAGAGGAGGGGGAGCTCAGGCGGTAATGCCTGCTGTCCTCCTGCTGGTACCAGTCCGTGGTCTGGGGGTTGGGGACCCCTGTCATAGACCATGATTTGGCTCACGTCCCACCCTCCAACTGCCATCTAACATGTTTGAATTGTGCATCCTATCAGCAAAATTTTTAAATGTATATAAATAGGTATCTATATTCATATCTATATCTATATTCCTATTATATATAGATACAAGTACTAAAACATGAACAGAAACATTTTCAAAAATAGAAGCTAAGAAGAATGACAACGTAAATGATGAAGGTGCTGATATTTTCTCCTTGCTTCCCAAAGGATCGTCTTGCATATCTCCTGATCTACCTCATCTTCACCCCGGGACTACAGCTCTAATCCAGAAAGCAGTATGGCCTGTTTTAAGTGAGATTCAAAGAAACAGAACCATGAGAACTCTCCTGACTTTGAGGGGGGCTCCTTTTGCACAAACTACTAGTTGTGCAAGGATTTCACAATTTTCCTAAGAGCCCTGGGAAGCCACTGAATGTTATAAGTAGAAATGACATAACCTGATTTACTTTTTAAGAAGATTACTTGGGCTGCTGCATGGAACATATGTCTAGGCAGTGGCAATGGAAGAACTGAAAGACCAGCTAGGAAGCTACTGCAGGAATGCAGGAATGCAGGCAAGCGATGGAGATGGTTTGGAATAAAGTGCTGCAGGAGGGAGAGCAGTAGATACATTTGAGATCCATGTTGGTGGTGCTATATTTTGTGAAAGTAGAATAATAATGTTAGCTATGAAGCATTATTGTGAAGCATAAGTTTACAGAGGTGAAAATGCTTTGTCAACTGTAAGGTGCCAAAGATAACTATTAATATTACTATAGATGATGAAACCAAATACTAGAGAGACCCTAACTTGCCCAAAGTCACACAACTGCTTAGTAGTTGGGAGGAAGGAGTTAAAGCAGTCGGCCTGCAATCTCTTTACTCCCTTCTCTGGGGGTATATCCCAGGGGAAAGAAAAGAAGGCTCATGACCAGGTCTAACATCCTTGTCAAATGGACCTCCGTGTAGATAGAGTAATGATATTTAGGATGTCCCTGGCTAAGAATTACCTCTAGTAAACAGATCCCAGGACCTGTGGAGGAAGGCTTCTTGGAGAATATCACATCAGCTATACAACTCTCTGTGGTATAACAGGAAGATGATTTGTGATTGAAACGCCCCATGCTCTGCAAGGAGAGGCGACCCTGTGTTCCTTACCTATTATTCTGAGTGAGGTGCATGTCCAATGAAGGAAGATAGGTCCTTGGGAGCCACTCTTGGGTCACAGATTTTTCTTTACCTCATATGAACTTCTTGATTGCTTATATTCTTGAAATTATTTAGCAAAGCCTTATATTGGGTAAGATCTCTGATTCATACAACATGATTCGACAATCAGATCCCCTGGCTTCATTCAGTGGCACGTATCTATTTCCTAGGCTGTATTAGCTCCTGTGTAACATTGAGCCCAATTATAAAGTCCAAGGATGAAGGGAGAACATACTTGGTTATATTTGAACCCCTTACTAGTGACAAAACTAATATTTATTTGACACATCCGATATCTATCAACTTGAAAATAATTTTGGGGAATATTTATGCAGCTGAAGAAACACAATGTATTTGGCCTCATTGTGACTGAGTAACACTGGAAGTACACAATAATGGGTTGTTTGTGATGGTTCATGTGATTACACTGGGAAGTGAGCCAGGCTTTTTGGGTCTCCAATGACAGCTCCTAAGCAGTTCTCAAAGACAGGGCTTTTTAGATGCATAGATGCTCACCTCCCACCCTCCAATTGCCAAAGGATCAGTACACTCTCAACGTTCTGCCATGAACATCACTCCCCAAACCACTCATGGACCTCCTAAATCATAGAGTTCTTTTTCTCTCTTTTTTAAGGTGCACAATTTATCTTCACACACAATTTTGTTTTGAAACTTAGAAATGATGACAAAAGAGAACTGTTACTTCAGCTGGAAGGGAGGGAAACCTTTTTGTCCTCTCTGCTTCATAACAAACTATATTTATGCTGGAGGCATCAAAAGATAGAATCAGCACACGGACCTCACATCCTACTCCTGGTACAAAAAACACTGATGGTGAACTGAGCTGTTGCAGATAAAGCACGTCAAAGGGCCAGGGCTGCTTCTGGCAGAAGCTAAACAAGAGGAGGCTGGCAGGCGTGCATGACGACAGCACAAACACGTTTTATGCAGAGAAGCCTTTTGGCATCCTTTTCCCCCCAAACAAGTTCCCAAACCAAAGCTTGATGTTTACCTTCGGCGAGTGGGTCAAGGGTGTGTATCATGAGTTGGAAGATGCTATTCCTCATGAGACTGTTGTGGAGGGAGGCAGAGCTTCCACCTCGCTGGAGACGCGGCTTAGCCTGAGCAGAGAAACCAAAGAGATGGTTAGTCTCAGGAATGAAAGACAAGTGCATTATAGACAAGATCCTCACCTAGTCTGGTGGCCACTCATTTCTGTCGCATGATCACACAGTATTGAGCCAAAGATTTTCAAAGCACATTTCAAAGCCCCTGAGGGAATGGCTCTCTCACATTCTTTCCTACTAAATGAATGCATTGCTTCCCTTTTTAAAAAGAGCTTTGTAAATGCCAGACAATGTGTTATATGCTTCACATCCCTTCATTTATCTTATTTGCAAAATGAACCCTATGAACTAGATGCTATTATTTATTCTTGTTAGATAGATGAGGACATTTCATCTCAGACAAGTGAAATGAGGTGCCCAAGTCACACTGACAAGAAGTGGAGGATGGAGGAATGGATCCCAGGTCTGCTTTTCTCAATGACTATTCTCTAAACCAGTGGGTGGTCTCTAACATTTTTGAAGTATGCATCCTATCAGTAAAATGTTTAAATGTATATAAATAGGCATCTATGCCCATATCTGCATAGATACACATACTAAAATATGAACATATAAAAACACTTTCAAAAATACAAGTTAAGAAGAATAACACAGTAAATGACGAAGTGCTAATATTTTCTCCTTGCTTCCCAGAGTCTTGCACATCTCCTGGGCTACCTCATCTCTACCCTGGGACTACAGCTCTAATCCAGAAAGCAGCATAGCTTGTGTTAAGTGAGATTCAAGGAGCAGAAGCTCTTATCATGAAACCATGAGAACTCTCCCGACTTTGAGGGGGGCTCCTTTTGCACAAACTACTAGTTGTGATCCGTTGGCCAAATAAAAGGAACTGGTACGTGACAAGGAAGAATGAGTATCTAGAGATAAGGTTACTGACAAACTCTTTTTCTTCTATCTTCAAAAGCAAACAACCTAAAAACTCCCAAACCCTCTGTATTTTGATGGGTTTTTATCCTGAATAGGAACTGCTGTCTCCCCGTGGTTGATTTTGTGTTGATCATCACAAGAGAAGACTCTCTGAGGCAGCCAAGCTTTATAGACAGACAGATTTAAGGAGTTGAAAGGTATCGTAATGTAAGGGAATTAATTTCTTATTGAACTTTCAGCGTAAAAGTTTGACAGGTAAATTTTCTGGGGCAGGTAAAAATAAAATACTATTCTCCACTATGTCTTTCAAACTTCTGCATAACAGGGTTTTCCAAAATATTCCATCATACTCCAGACCCACAAGGGGGCTTCCCCAAAAATGTCCCATAAGAGACCCCATGATCAAATACATATTGGATATATATTGGAAAGTGCTATATCCTAGACCAACTCACCTCAGGGTTTCAAACTACATCATTAGACCACTAAGTCTAACACTAAAGAAATCTGTTTAACTTGATTAACTTGGGCAGTGTTTCCAAACTATTATCCATAGGATCTTATTTTGTAAAACACTTGTTAACAATCATGGTCCACACATTTGGAGACAAACATGAAACCCGTAGAAAGTATGAGTAAAATATCACTATGAGATACCAGAAGAAATCACATTGCCAATTCAATAGGGATGGAAAAGAATCAGTGGGGATTACTGGTGCCTCAATGGTGAACCAGATTATGGCTCCTTAATAGAAGAGATTGAGTCTGTATCCGTGTTCTGGTACTGGATCAGGTGTATTCTATGGGCTCTCAATGAATGTTATGTCTTTGCCCTGAGCATTACAGGAGGAAGGACAGGGTCATATGTATCTTTATTACTAACTCTTTTGGCCTTGAAAGTCTTAAACATTTTTTAATGCATTGTATTATTAGTTATAGAGGATTCAGATGATTACGGTTCAAAACATTTTAGGAGCAAACTTAGGAGACCTGAATAAAATGGAAATGTAATCACTGTTTGATGGCTGAACACAATAATTCTGAAGGTTGTTTCTTTACGATGGTGCAAAATCTGAAATGTGATGTGTTAATTAAATAGGAACTCGAAAATGTGTTTATCAATAATAACTCGTCATAACTATTATGGTCCTTATTCTGCGAAACTGGAAGAACTCTGGTGTGGAGATCTTCATTTGAAAAAGATTACATCTAGAGAAGTACTGAAAGCATTCTTTTGTGTATTATATATACATTAAGTATATAGGTCTCATGCAGCATTTCTTTCTTTTGATGAGACCAAAAGAAATTTCCAATCAAAGTATGTGCATGCAGATACACAAAGAAAACAAATATTGAGCATTAGATCCCACACTACCCCCAAATATTAGTTCAACATCCCTTGGAATGCAATTTGGAAATATCTCACTCTTCCAACTTCTACAAAAGTTCATACCAAATGGAAGAGAAAATTCAAACTTTTGAAACCTAGTCCCAGAAGGCATGTGTCCATGAATGCCAGAATTCAGTCATCACTAATTGTAGCACGGAGTAGAAGTACACATCAGGGGTTAGATTATTTAAGTATTCCAAGGGAGAGAGTAATGTGTTGAGCACACAAACCCGTCTCACTCCCACCCCTGCCCCACGCTCTCCACAGGCACACAAACAGGTACAGACAAAGCCACTGCTTCCTACCGGTAGAGTTGGTTCATCCTTGTCCCTGGCTGCAGATGGCTGCATAAGAGAAAAAGGCAAAGACAAAAGACAAAGAAATAAATAAATGAAGAATCACATATGGCATTTACATTTAATAACAAGCATCAGTATAGGGGAAGATTTCATTCTTTCTGCTCCTGGGATGAGTTAAGCCAAAACAGGGGACTAAGGATGTATATTTTTAGCCAAAATATAATGGTTTATTTAGGTACATGGTTCATTCTCCTGAAAGGTCAAAGTTGAATGGCCAACCCGAATGTCCAGCAATACAGAGCAGTTAAGTCAACTGTGGCCCAGCCATGCAGTGGAATACTATGTGATCATTAAAATGAATGAGGTAATTCACATGTTCTGACATGGAAAATATCTATTGATAACTGAAAAAATTAAACATTTATAAATATTTATTGTTTCATTTCATAAAGGAAAATAATTAATATTTTAGTGCATATAAAGAAAAAAATTCTGAAAGAATGATACCAAACTGTTATTAGTGGTTGTTACTGGGGGATGGGATTGCAAAGAAATGTCATTTTCTATATGTTTTGGGGGGAGTCAGCATTCATTGCTCCATGTATTATGAATAAAATAAAGCTCACAGAAGTTAGGCCACTGCATTAAAGACTAGGATCATCCCATATGGAAATCAGATAACCCATCTTTCCTTCTGTTCCCATCACCTCAAGTTTTCTATTCTAAAAAGAGAAGTCTCTGTCCAGTTGAGAAATGTGGATTAGAACACAAGGGCACATAAAGGCCTGGTAATCTGCTGGAAGCGAACGCAACTCAGACAAGGGGGCAGTGGAATTCTACCGACATGACCCACCTGGACAGCTTTTACTTCCTTAACTCAATGGCAACTCTCCTTCTTCGCCAGAACCGGGGACCACCCTGGGATCTTTCCAACGAGATACAGGTGCCTGGTGAATAGTTCCTCATACTTAGACAGCACCTTCGTCACTTCACCTCAACTACAGGTGCAGACAGCAAGAACAAACTGGAACCCTTCCCCTGTCTGGCCTTCTGGTCCTCCCCATTAGGGTCTAAACAGACGTCTGTCTTCAGGAATAATCACATACTTGGAGGAGAGTAGCCAGATGCAGAACAGTTTTAAAACCTTCATGTGCTCTAGGCTTTCTGTTTTAGGGTCTACCACACCTACCATGTAAAGATATTAAGATGTCCCCACATCTCATCTAAAATATTCAATTACCTAAAATATACACTTTTGTGTAAAAAAAATAGAAGGGATTCTTATAATTTTGAATTTCAAATTATTTGCTATGTGCCAATCATTTAAGTTAGGATTAGCATGCTCAAAATCTTGCAAAGTGAAAAAATCAAATCTACAATTTGTTTTCACATGTAATGGATTTTTAAGAAGGTGAAATTCAACACTTAATGAGGTTGATGTTAAATATTTTGTGGACATTCAATTAGACATTTAATAATTTTGATTTTTGTAGACACCTTTTTGGATTCTGGAGTCAATACCAATGTGTTTTTTTCCCCCTTCTGGTTCCAAGCATTTTTATAGGCTCTTGAAGAACTTGCAAGTCTCAGACATAGACAGAAGGGTTCTGCGTTGGTGGTAATTTCTGAGCACAGCCTGTGGGCATCACTAAATTCGCCTTAACCCTTGGGTTGGGGGCTCTCTCTCAATGACTTCTCTAAAAACGCTAATAGGGAAATATCCTGATGCCCTAGTTCCCAAGAGCCTGCTTGCAGAACTGGAGTGGACAGGAAACTGTCCTTTGATTTCCCACTTTCCTCTGAACGGCACTGTATGATCCTGCTTCTCTCTGGCAGGTCCTCTCCTTTTCTTTCCTTCCACATCAGACAGCTCAACAAATGGCCTCACAGTCTACAGGGCAATCCCCTAGGGAAATTTTCCAGGGCAGCAAGCTCAGCCTTTAGACATACATTGAGATTAACCGTCAGAGCACGCCTGGTCAGTTAACAAATTTACACCTTGTGGCTAAATGGGAGACCAATAATTATGAGCTGGAATTGATACCACAGTGTTGACACAGAACATGAAGGAACAGGATGAAAGCAGGGAGAGAAAAAGGTGGGCTTTATAAGGGCAGAAACGTCACCAGCTGAGAGTTTGAATTTTAAAAAATATATCTAAATACATGATTAAGGAAGGAAAAAAAAATCCAAACCTGTCTTTTGGTCTGAAAAGAAGAAAAAAATATCTACTCTATCGACTTCCTTTTTCTCTCACAGCAAGGAGGATCATAAAACATAAAAAGTGGAAGGAAAATGCCTGTACATAGATTCTTCAGAGAAAAAACTGAGTGCAGAGACAGGCCTGAAATTCTCTATAAAATATCCCACTGTTTAATGTCTGCAGTTGACATCATTCGTTTTCTTTCAAGTGTAATCTGCAGACATGAATATACATCAGGGTATAATATGTAAATTTAGGTATACACACAAATGGCAGCGGAGGCCATTAAAACACCCCTCTACTTTCCTTTTATGTAGCCCTGTTGCAAAAGAGATAAGAAGTGTGACATATGATGGTAATTGCCCATTTCCAGGGGCTCACCCACATCTACTGATAATTCGAAGTTCACCTGACTTAGCCTTGCTCTAATTGCATCCTGAAGCAGCCTCACAGTCCTGACAATATACAGCTGATTACGTTACAAATTCAATTTTAAAGGGGTTTAATTACACGGGAAGTAACTAGTGAAGGTGACAAAGAAATGATTTTAATGTGTATAGCCAGTGGGTTTTGGGTTGGCCTAGTGTTGTGAATTTATTTTCAAGGCCATTAAATACATGGCAAGTTTATTCTAACCCATGGGATATTACAGAAGACAACTTCTTCAAAAGAAGACTAACATGACTCTAAGGATTAATCTTGGCATTCTTATGATGCATTTTGCTTTTTAACCCCCTTAATTTTAAACACACAAAAATACCACTCATTTGGGCTGTATTAATATGAAAGCCCAATTCCTGGTAGTCAGCATGCTATGGATTGGCTTAACAAATTCCTATAAATAAATAAATAAATAAATTTAATGAATACATTTATAAATAAATTTCCTATAGCTGTAGAAAAAGTCTGTTAAGCCAATCTATAGTACACACACAACTATTCTTTGAGGATTGTTTAAAAGAATTCATAAACTACATCCTGAAGGTCTCAGATCAGGGCTTTGGTGTGCCAACGCAGACTCCCCTCACCATTTATAACAGCAAGACTTTGGCAGGCCATCATCTACTTATGAGAAAATATTCTGTAATTCAAACCTTTATTCAATTAAACTGGCCCCCTTCTCAATGACTCAAATTAGTCATATGGTGACTGCACTTAAATTGAGCAACTGGAAGATGACTTTAATCTCTATTGTCCTTCCTGGTGGAAATCCCATTTCCTTTTTTTTCTTTTCTTTTTTTTTTTTGAGATGGGGTTTCACTCTTGTCACCCAGGTTGGAGTGCAATGGCATGATCTCAGCTCACTGCAACCTCTGCCTCTCAGGTTCAAGCAATTCTCCTGCCTCAGCCTCCTGAGTAGCTGGGATTACAGGTGCCCGCCACCACGCCCAGCTAATTTTTGTATTCTTAGTAGAGACAGGGTTTTGCTATGTTGGCCAGGCTGGTCTCAGACTCCTGACCTCAGGTTATCCACCCACCTCAGCCTCCCAAAGTGCTGGGATTACAAGTGTGAGCCACCGCGCCCTGCTGGAAATCCCATTTCTTTATAGGAATTTTGCTACTTATTTGATAGGTGTTTTGAAATTGTCCATTTATGCTTGCATCCCAGATAATAAAATGCATAGCCCATTTGGATAGCATTTTGATGCTATAAATCAGTCCCAAGTCCTTAAATCTTCTTTCTTCCTTTGATCCTTGAAAGCGAGAAATGATTTTGCTGACTATAAAGTGTAGTTTTGATGGATCTTTGTACATAGCCTTTCACCACATACAGGCCCCTAGTCCCACCTCACACACATAAAAATTAGGCCAATACTGCAGTCCAGCTGCCTCAGGGCCACTCAGTAAGAGGATACTAACATGTCCATGGTTCACTCTGGTAATTATCTACTTACAAATCACATATCAAATGGGTCACCATGAAGACTTCATAGGACAAAAGACAAGTGTGTAACTAAGGGATTTTTTTTTGGTCAATGACGTGGCATCAGATATAGAAGAACAATAAACAGTTCGTTGCTAAAGCTAAGTAACAGCTATAAACTTCCACCACTTTAACATTCCACCAAGTCCTGCAAAATGGGCCTAAAATGCATTATGCCAAGGACCTGGAAGCATTATAAAGTCTATAGAAATAAACTTAAACATATTATTTTGTGAAAAATATAATCTGAAACAAATATGCCCATGATTAGAATATTAATCCAATATTCCAATGGACATGAATTTTAATGTCTTAGAATTCAGGAAGATCTGGTGAGGAATGATTTGAATGACTGATTTTCATTTAAAAAATTAACATGAAAGTGTAAAATGATGTTTCCTTTTTCTTTCAATACACTACTGTAATAAATAAAAACATTCAAAATGTCTCTCCTTGTTAAAGATGAATAAACCTCAAAGCCTATTGGGAAGACTAGATACAAGGTGCAAAGTCCTCAAATCTGAAATATAAAAGGAAAAACACCCTACTACCTCTTAGTCAGATGGAAACTCATCTCTTTCTCCCTCCTTTTACTTTGTCTTAACATAGTCCCTAAAACATTAAGGGAGGGGAGATTAAATAAATTCCTAGACAAAGAAAGAAAAATTTAAATTCAAATTACTTTGACTGGTTGCTGGTAATTATCTGACAATCATGGCCCTTCTGCAAAGAAGGAATCTCAGAGAACAATGAAGTGCTGAAGATGACAGCCCAGGGTGCAGGAGTACCCACTTTACAATCCGGTTTAAAGAAATACACTGGGATGGACAGAAGGGGTAGAAATGATCTAAGTAAGAAGTGCGGTAATGAAAGCTCACATTTTGGAAGCAAAGCCTTTTGATGATTTGTTTGGATAATCTTCATGGTCATGAAATATTTGAGATAGTAGAAAAATTTTTTGAGAAGAATAGATATCTTCGCCAATATGGAAGGAGTAGAAGAGAAATTGTTTAGAGACAGTTAAAGAACAATTTGGAATATGGAATACTCAGTAAGGCAAGGGGGCCAGGGTGACTTCATTAAGCAGAATCTAACTGACAAGTTAAATCTACACAATTGTAATCAGAGTCTCCAAAATTTCTTGATCATATACCATTATCAGATAGAGGCTTGCTCTGTTGTTGCCCAGGCTGGAGTGCAGTGGTGCGACCATAGCTCCCTGCAACCTCAAACTCCTGGGCTCAAGCAATCCTCTTGCTTCAGCCTCCCAAGTAGTTGGGTCTGTAGGAAAGCACTATGATGCCCAGATAATTACGAAAAAAAAATTCTTTTATAGAGGCCAGGGTCTTGCTATATTGCCCAGACTGGTCTCGAACTCCTAGTCTGAAGTGATCCTCCCACCTGAGCCTCCCAAAGTGCTGAGATTTTAGGTGTGAGCCACTGTTCCCAGCCTATCTACTTATGTATCTATGTGCTACTGGCAACCATTGTAAAAACATGGACTAATTTATTCCCTCTTTTAAAAAAGATAACAAATAGTAGTCTTAATATTTTTTTCTTGCATTCCAAATAATTATCTTGTGCACTCCACTGGAACATTAGCACAAACTTTTAGAAATGAATTCTTTCAATGCCTCTCACAGAATTGACAAGCTATATGGAATGTATTAATATCTTTTACCCAACTCCTTCAGTTAGCCTCCCTAATACTGGAAGCTGTAAGATCCTTGAGGACAGGATTCACCTCTTTGCCTTCCATGGTCCTTAACTGTGGCTACTTAAAATGCAATTAAGAGGCCTGGGTGAGTGAGAGCACCCTGGCAGAACAGAACTGTGTGCTTCTGGGTCAGTTACCAGAGCTCCTCAGCTGCTTGTGTCACTGGCTAAATTAACAGTAATGGTGATTATTTAAGTCTACCTATTAATGTCTACCTATTAAATCAATTAAAGGTTAATCTTTCTTATTAAGTATGTACATAGAAGACAGTAATCCTCATCTTACAAATGGAGAAAGAGAGGCAAGAAGGGCCTCAGGCTATTTCTGTACTTAGGATACTAAGCACCAGTGTTAATTCACTTAATTTAGGAATTAACAACCCGACTACCCCTGCTATCTCTTGCCTTCCCCTGAAAAATCCAGATGTTCCTAATTTACTTTGTTGTACCATTTCAGCAATTCTCACAATTGCTAATGAATAATTTTGATATGCCAATCAAACACAATCTGCTAGTGGTGTTCTGGTATTAGTCACACGAATTTCCTTTGACTAGTAAAGAATGCAATATGCAATCATCTATTAAGTCCTGGTTGCCTTACTTCCTTTAAGGAACGGGTCTAAGACAGGAGGTGTCCAACCTTTTGGCTTCCCTGAGCCACACTGGAAGAAGAACTATCTTAGGCCACACATAAAATACGCTAACACTAATGACAGCTGATGAACTAAAACAAACAAACAACTCATAATGTTTTAAGAAAGTTTAAGAATTTGTGTTGGGCTACATTCAAAGCTGTCCTGGGCTGCTTGTGCCCTGCGAGGTGCGGGTTGGGCAAGCTTGGAGGATGTGATTTTTTAAAAAGGTCTAACAAATGCTGGTGTGCAACAAACTACAGAATACTTTGTAGCAAATGAGGCAGATTTCAGTAATAATGTGTGCCAAGTGTTATATATATAATATCTCATCGAATCCTCACAATAATAGGTATTATAAACATATACTCCCCCTTTCAACACATGAGGACCCTGAAGCTGATGGAGTTGGACAATTTTTCCAAGGCCACATAGCCAGCAAGTGGCAGAGCTCAGATACGAACTCAGACAGTTGGGCTCCAGAGCCTTCCTAAGTGCTGGGGAAATGAGAAAGTGGCATTTTCCTTGCAGTGACCTGTGAGGAGGCTGCAGACAATACAACTTCAAATATAGTAAAAAATAGTTCACATATATTAAGAACTGTTATGAGCTCTGACTTCCAATGGAGGTGAGAAAATAGTGGCAAGTGATTGTTGTGAATTTAGAATGAAAGCTTTGATTTGTGTTTATTTTGTACAAAAAGCTAGTATCTGGGAGTAGAGAAAGTTACAGAGGCTATTTTGTCTCTTCCAGCATCATTACTTAGAATCACTTACTATTGTCATGATTTACTATTATTATTTCTGTCTCTTGAAGGTCATAGGGGCACTTTTTATGCCTTCAGAACGGCATAGATTTAAGTAAAACTGCAAATGAGTTGCTCCATATATCAAGTTGACTTGTATTAAGGAGTTGATAGCTCAGCAGTAGGTGGGAAAAAAGGGCCCCCCTGGTGGTCCCAGTTATCACTGCGGTCATGAGACATTCTATATTTAGTTTATTTGGAAGTTCGGGTGGGCTCAGTCTTTGATTTATTTCTGACACTTCAAGGACTAGTGCTATTTCATTGTTTCAGGGAAAGAACAAGCTCAAAAAATGAAAATAGTCACTCTTGGTGTTTAAAGCTTCAGTGGGAGAGTGTGAATGGCAAGTTTTGAATAAAGAAAATTCATTCATTTAACAGTAATTATTTGATAATATTTATCACACACTTATATATGGCCAAGGATTCTTCTAGGTTCCTGGGATTTAGGTGTGGCCCAAACTGGCAAAAATGTCTGTCCTTATGGAACCTGCATTTCAGAATAAATATGTTATATCATTAAATTAACTAGATAGAAAGGGTAGGTAGTCATTATTAGATCACTTAAAATTAAGTGTTACATTTAAGAATATACTTAAGAGGATTACCTGTGGCCTAATCATTACTTTTGTAGTCACATTTTATCACACATTTATTAATTCTAGATTTAGCATCTATTCTTGTTTAGAGAGAAGCTGGCAAAGACTATAAAAGTGTAAAGAACAAGCTTGTGTCTATAAAATTATAAACAACACATATATTAATAGTAGAATTCACTGAGCAAAGGGCATTAGATATTTAAAATGCATTTTAAAACTGATATAATTGAAGACATAATTTAATTTTTGATAATATTAACAGTAACAAAATTTTTTTGCCAATCTTTTATTTTAAAAAAGATTAGATTTTTTAAAAATAAGAAACTTTGAACCTCAAAGAGAACAAAACCCCACAATTTGAATGTAATATAGTGATTTTTATACGTATAACTTTTCATATTTATAGTCTTCTAGCTACAAACAATGCAGCCTCATTAATATAGCAGATTAATTCTTCACCACGTTTTAACTTCCGATCTCAGAAATATCAACGGTACCATATCAGTACCTGATTCCAAAAGGACCCTGGCACAATTTCCATATAGGCAAAAAAATAGAGATGCCAGATTTGCTGAATTTAGTTTTGGAATTTCCAGGAAGCAAAAACATCATATAAACCCAATTTAAATATTTAATAATATAAATGCAAATCTAAGTAAACTTGGGGAAAAATAAAGGGCACAAATATCAAGCATACAACACTTTCCGTTGAAAATGCACTGATAATGAGAACCAGTCTCACTCCTTGATCTGCTCTTCTTTCCCAAGAGAGGCCAAGAGGAAGCTAAACTCATTCATGTCACGAAGATGAGTTATAAAAGTGGGACGCAGCAAGTTCGTTTCAAGCACTGCCTGGCTACTTCCACATTCCATTTCCACTGTGTGTCCCCTCCTCCCCACTTCCTCCCTAGTTCATTCTTTTGTATTATTTGTCTCATCTCTCTCTTTTTCACTATTGAGCACCCTTCTGAGGGCAGAGACCATGTCTATTTCATTTGATATTATTCCACAGTACCTAGCATAGTGGTGCTCAATGCTCAGTAAATGCATGTTTAATAATAAATAAGTTAAATCAGATCTTATATATTTTTAATGAGCCCATATGCTCATCCATAATGAGGCTGAAGGTAAATAGCTTCGTCTTGGTCCAACACTGAATTGTGTCACTTTCCTCCTGGCATTTGATACTGCGAGTGACCCACTGCTTCTTGAATCAGTCTCCTCCCAGGTATCTGGCATGTGTGCTCTGACTAGGTCACTACTTCCTCATTCCTGTGGAAATGCAACAATATCAAACCTCCCTTCTTTGAACTCCTGTGTTAAAGACATCATTTCACAACGCTCCCAACTGCTTGTGTTTGCCATTTTGCCTGCTTTGTTGGACTTGTAAGCTTCTTGAGTGAGGGGGTCTTACATATTACACATCTTTATACTTCCAATTTTGCCCACCAGTGTGCTGCCACCCCACGGATGCTCTGCAAACATAGAAGTTTTGACTGCTGGCCATAAGCGGTGAGACTAGAGCTTTGAAAGGAAGGAGGATTCTCAAACATGCAGGAAACTCACCATGAGGCACAAAAGAATTGAGGTGACTGGGTCCAGTGTTGGGGCCTACAGTATGGTCAGCGGAAACCATTTGACTAATACAGAGTGGCATCATTAAAAAATTCTCTGGCTTCATCCCTGGGACCCTGTGCCCAGACACTGCTGTACGGGTCCTTTAACCTGAGAGAGCCAGTCTTTCTTTTGGTGGTCCAATTGGACCTGTACTACTAATGGCTGAGGTGAGTGCAGTAGGGGTCCTCTGTTTTGGCTGGTGAAAGGGTTGAATGGAATAGGCCCACCATGCAGTGAAGTGGAGAACATGGCAGTAAGAAACCGTTCCACTG
Source organism: Homo sapiens (assembly GCF_000001405.40). NCBI lineage: Eukaryota > Metazoa > Chordata > Mammalia > Primates > Hominidae > Homo > Homo sapiens. The sequence goes on from NC_000009.12 coordinate 19,632,020, forward strand.
GGTGTTGACCATGATACACCTGGCCATCCTGGAAAACAGAGTAGATGGTAAGGACTAGGAGTCCCATTAGTGGGGCTTGACATGAGGACAGTTACCTTCTCAATTGTCCCTGGGGCTGATGCAGTTTAGGGTAGAGTGAGTCAAATTAAGATTCAAACTTATCCTCAACATCTCAGCTCACTCCCTGCACCCCATCTGCCATCCTTTGCTGTCATAGGGAGTCCAGGCAAATTGTCATTTTATCTATGCCTACCTGGGATGTTACCATGTTATTCCCTCTTGCTCCATTTGCCAAATATCCTCCTTCACGGCATTTAAAAAATCACCCATTCATTCTTCATCACATGTTTAATGAGCATCTTATATGTGCTACATTTTTCTAGGTGCAGGGATAAAACAGTGACCAAAATAGCCCAAATCCTTGCTTTCACGGAGTGTATATTCTAGCCTAGATCTCACTTCCAAGACACATTCTTCCAATTAAGTAGCAACAGCAGCAGTTAATATATGAAATCCTTGCTGACCTTTATCGAGCACTAACTACAGTTGAAATACTGGGCTAAATGCTCATTCATAATCTTAGGTGGCAGGTATTATTAGGAAACATTTTTAATAACTTCTTATTTGGAAATAATTATAGATTCACAAATAGTTGCAAAAATATGTATAGGGTGGTCCCATGCGCCCTTTACCCAACCTCCTCCAATGATAACATCTTGCACAACTATAGTACATCATTAAAACTAGGAAGTTGGCATTGGTACAATCTATGGAACTCATTCAGATTTCACCAGTTATATGTGCACCTATTTGTGTTTGTGCATAGTGTGTATGTAGTTCTATGCAGTTTAATTATATGTGTAGCTTCATGTAACCACCACTGCAATCAAGATAATTAACTATAACATCATCACAAGACTCCCTTGTGCTATCCCTTTAGGTCTACACCCATTCCCACACCTGCCTGCTAATCCCTGGCAACCACTATTCTGTTATCAATTTCTACAATTTCATAAATGTTATATAAATGGAATAATGTCATATGTATACTTTTCAGGTTTGCTTTTTCCATTTGGGATAATTTCCTTAGGGTCTAAGTTATTGTATGTATCAACAATTTGTTCCTTTTTATTTAGTAATATTTCATGGTATGGATATACCACAGTTTAATGATCTGCATGTTGAAAGGCATTTTGGATAGTTTACCATTTTGGGCTATTGTCACGAAAGCTGCTATGAACATTCATGTATGAGTTTCTGTGTAACTATGTTTCATTTATCTGGGATATATGCCCAAGAGTACAATTGCTGGATCATACAATAAGACCATGCTTTTGTTTTAAAAAACTGCCAAACTATTTTCCAGAGTGCTGTACCATTTTACATTCTTACCAGCAATGTGTGAGTGATGAAGTGTTTCTGCTTTCTAGTAGCAATTGATATGATCACTATTTTGAAATTTTATTCTTTCTAAAGGTGCCGTGATATCTCATTGTGGTATCATAGTTGTTTATTTTCATTTTTATTTTTGTAAAGACAGTGTCTCACTATGTTGCCCAGGCTGGTCTTGTACTCCTGGGCTCAAGTAATGCTCCCACCTGGGCCTCCCAAATCGCTGGGGTTACAGGCGATCAACTTTATTGCAGTATTAGCATGAGTTTCTGTAATGGCTTATGATGTTGAACATCTTTTCGTGTGCTTATTTGCCATTTGTGTATCTCTTCAGTGAAATGTTTGTGCATATATTTTGCCATTTTCTAATTGGATTGTTTGTTTCCTTAATGTTATGTTTTATGGGTTCCTTGTATATTCTAGATACAAGTCCTTTGTTAGACACGTGGTCTGCAAATATTTTCCCCCTGTCTTTAATGTGTACTTTCATTCTCTAAAAAATGGTTTCTGACAGAGTAAAAGTTTTTAATTTTGATGAGGTTGAATTTTATCAAATTTTCCTTTTATGGATCAGTTTTAGGTAGCAAGTCTAAGAATTCCTTGCCTGGTGTTGGGAGCTGAATATTTTCTATTTTTTTCCTAGATGTTTTATAATTTTATGTCATGGTCTATTTTTTGCCTATGGCTTTTCCATTGCTATTATGCCCTATATTTATTTATTTATCTGTACCTCAATGGATGCAAATATACCCATTTTAAAGATTGGGGTAAAAGGCTGAGTGAGGTTAACTAACTTGCCCACAGCAATACAGGTAGTATGGAAGGTACTGGGATTGAAATGCAGGCAATCTAACTTGAAACTGCAGCCTCTTTTTTTTTTTTTTTTTTTTTTTTGAGACAGAGTTTTGCTCTTGTTGCCCAGGCTGGAGTGCAATGGTGCGATTTCAGCTCAATGCAAACTCCACCTCCCGGTTTCAAGCAATTCTCCTGCCTCAGCCTCCTGAGTAGCTGGGAATACAGGCATGCGCCACCATGCCCAGCTAATTTTGTATTTTTAGTAGAGATGGGGTTTCTCCATGTTGGTCAGGCTGGTCTCAAACTCCCAACCTCAGGTGATCCGCCCACCTCGGCCTCCCAAAGTGCCGGGATTATAGGCCTGAACCACTGCGCCCGGCCAAAACCACAGCCTCTTAATGACTTTACTTGCCTGCTCTAAGGCATATCTCTTTGCATTCCCCAAGTAAACATAAAACACACTGATTTCACCCTCTATGTGGGACAGAACAAAATGTATTCAGAAAATAGAAGTCATCTAATCTTTATAGAACTTTTTAGGGAAACCTGGAGCTTTAATCATTATCATTGCTTTGAACAAAAAGTACATAATTTAAAAAATAAGTGATTATTTTCAATGTCATGCATCCCTCTAATCTTATTAAGACAAGAGTTATCTAATCTTATAAAGCATAAAATAAAAAAATAGAGATGAAATTGAGATCTACCATTAAGTAAGGTTACCACTCAATTTTTGCTGATGAAGTAGTAATGGATTGATGATGCTGGAGATTCACCCTTAAAATAAAAATTCTGGTTCCAGACAGTAGCTGTGGTTTCCTAGGACATATCTTATCTGTTATCTGTCAATAGAACAACGGAAATTGTGCACTACTGAAAACAGATGTAGCCTCACATTCACAGAGATGGAAAAGATGTGCTCTGGAAGTCCTCACTGCGTTACTGTCAAATGAAGCCAGGAGGTACTGATATTATATATTACAGTCAGCACCAACTTCTTGGCCTAATGTTCAGCACTATTTTCATTGTTGGAATTAAAAATCTGTTCTAGAATTGGGGGAAAAATGACATGAGAAATATCCCATCAAAAAGCTTTTTTTCCTAATTACTATTGGCTCTGAAATTTTGGCTTTAGCCATTAGAAACTTCTCAAGATGGTTCTGGTGGGCATTTTGTTTTGTAGCAGGTCCCATAGTACAAGCTTATTGCCCAGAGAGGATCTTAAATGCTGTTAATAATCATACAATATTGTATAATATTATCACCAGAAGTTTACTACTTACTAAATTATAGGAGCATTGGATATCTTTGGAAAGGATTTAATTAAATTACAACAAAAAATATCCTGGACCTATGGGAAAATGACACTTGCCAATGAAAGAAAACCCAGTCCCAAAGTGAAAGACCGTGCTTATATTGACATTTCTCTCAAAATAATGAGATTTCATTCTCCAAGTTCTTACAATAAAAAATTTCAAACATAGGAAAAGCTCAGAATAGCCAGAGTTCCACCATTAGATTCATTTTTAACATTTTCTATGTTGGCTTTATCAATATGTCTATATTAATAATTCTTTATGAGTAATTTTAAAGTAAACTGCAGATGCCACGACATCTTTGCCTTTAAACGTTTCATATGTTTATCTTCTCAGGATATGGACAGTCTTCTATATAGTCATAACAACCATGTGTGTACATTTTGTATGTATGCAGTAGGTGACTTGTTGCCTTAGCAGGTTAACGTCTGCTACTGGTGTGTATTTTTTGACATGGTTAATTTTCTTGGTGTTTACACTTTCGTCCCCATGGTTAGTTATTAAATATATGTAATACAAAGTATCTGTTTTATTTGTTAAGATCTCCTTCCTTCCCTACTTTGCAACCAACCCCTGAGGGCAAATCAACAAAAATCATTTAGTTCATTAAAAACAAAGTTGCTCTAGACAAAAGTACCCATTTGCTGACTGCTGTTTGGTATTGGCTTATTGGTAGACAATACTAACCACACAGACATTTATAAATACAAATACTATTTAGTGCTAGGTGTCCTTTTCTTTTCTTCTCTTCTTCTCTTCTTCTCTTCTTTTCTTTTCTTTTCTTTTCTTTTCTTTTCTTTCTTTCTTTCTTTCTTTCTTTCTTTCTTTCTTTCTTTCTTTCTTTCTTTCTTTCTTTCTTTCTTTCTCCCTCTCTCTCTCTCTCTCTTTCTTTCTTTCCTCTTCTCTTCTCTTCTCTTTTCTTTTTTGGAGAGGGCATCTCACTCTGTTACCCAGGCTGCAGTGCAGTGGTGTGATCTCGGCTCACTACAACCTCTGCCTCCTGAGTTCAAGCGATTATTCTCCTACCTCAGCCTCCTGAGTAGCTGGGATTACAGGCAGCCATCAACTTGCCCAGCTAATTTTCGTATTTTTAGTAAAGACAAGGTTTCACCATGTTGGCCAGGCTGGTCTCGAACTCCTGACTTCAAGTGATCCACCTGCCTCACCTCCCAAAATGCTGAGATTACAGGTGTGAGCCACCACGCCTGGCCAGTACTAGGGTTTTTAATTTGGAAACTATAGTCTGAATTTAGGTGGGGGGACAGTTTGTGAAATTTCTGACACCGTCTAGTTTTGTGTGTATACAAACTTTTAGGAGGCAGCGGGAAGAGTGTCCATAACTTCCATCGGAGTCTTAAAAGTGTCCATGACCCTAAAAAGGTTAAGAATAATTGATTTAAGTCTTTCAAAATACCCTTTGGAAGCTGGAAAATACTAATTGGAATAATTATTTGGAATGTTATTTGGAAAAACTATTTGGAATATCTTCCAGCATCCAAAGGGTATGTATCTTGAAAGCCTAAATAATATCCAAATAATACTAATAGCATTAGTATCAAATGCTAACTGACGGAAAGGAGGAATTCCAAAAGGACCCGTCTAGCCCATCCAGTTGACAGCCTGGTGCCACTGAAATGGGTTCTGGCACAGGCAAAGAACAGAGTAGAAGGCAGCACAGAGCATTTTACTCACACTGACAAGTTCTCAATTAGTTCAAGCTCTTCAGGAAAAAGATCTGAATGTCACTGCAGATGGTCCAACTCTATTCAGTGGGCAGAGACTGGGCAGGGTGCCGGAGGTCTGCCCTGGGCATCAGGCACCAATGGTGCCCAACTGTGTTTGTTCTAACTGTTGCCCGACTGTGTTTTTTCTAACTGTTGCCCGACTGTGTTTGTTCTAACTATTGCCCCTCTGTAGGCTTTGGTAGTCTTGAGGGTGGTTTACATCTGTGATTGCATTCACCTTGAAAAAACACACAAGGGGGAAGCAGAAGAACCCAAAACAAATAAGAAAAAGTCTCCTTTTTACCTGACTGGTCATTTTGGAAATGGGTGCACTTCCTTGTAAGTACCAAAGGAAATAAAGGCATGGAGAAGTAGTACCAGGCACAGTGCGTGGTGTTTTTAAGTAGTTGTTCCCTAGTTTTAGAATGATCAGTATCTCCTTAGCTTCTTTGTTTCACAGCTGGAAGGAAGTGAAGCTCAAAGTGATGGAGCAACCGGATGGTGTAAAGACAGCGTTTACTCAGTGAGCAGGGCTGAGATTAGAACCTGTGTTGGTAAAATGCCATTTCCCATCACACTTTGTTGTTTTATAAATATGCGGTGGGAGAGGACAGGTGTGGAATACACAAATGCAAAAGAACAATCAACCAGTGAAGTCCACCTGTATTGGGGGGTAGTTTGCTTGCTGTGCTTTATTTTGTGCTAGCTTCTGTTGAAAAATGTACAGTGAGAGAGAAATCAATAGCACTTAGCATTCAAATTACTTGACTTACATGCATTATTCATTTAATATTTATAGCTCCATAAGCATTCTCAATCCATTTTACTGCTGGAGAAAGAGAGGCTCAGTAAGAAGAGTAAATAGCCCAAGGCCTCAGATGCAATACCTTGTAAAGTTGGGGGCCATACCCAGGGCTGTCTGGCTCTCATCCCTGCAGGCTTGAGGTTATAGGTCAGGTGAGATTGGAGAATTGTTAGCCTCTGGGTGGACACAGACTTTCAGACCATTGGAGAGCACTGAGTTGGAGAAAAAGGTTATTTTCCTCCATTTGAGCCCTATTATAGTCAATGCACACATTCTTGACTAGTTTTACAGGAAATCAAATTTTAGTAAGTTGAATTTACCTTTATTGCCAACGGATATTCATTTGGCAGATGATTATAACACTTTCTTTTTACCTGCTCTCTCTATTGAATACAAAATCCACAACTAAGCATTTAAACAACCTGGGGGAGCTAAGGGAATTTCTATTTTGTTTGTTTTCTTGGTAATGGAACAGTTATTTCCCAATGAGTTAGACTGTGACATTTTTATTTCTAATATTAAATATTAAAAATAGAGTATAATTCAAAAGGGTAAAGCTATGGGATGACACTCAGAATAAGGGGAAATATTTTAAAGAGTCCTGACTCTACCAATGACTAGTTCTGTGGCCCTCACTAGTTACTGGAGGACTCTAAGCCTCAGTACCTACACATATTAAAATGTGGATGACAGCTATCTCAGAGGGTTGTTTAATCATCAGATTAAATAAGATGACATTAAATAAGATGACATACGTAAAATTCCTGGATCCCTACAGGCACTCAATAAACAGATATAAGAAAATAAAATAAGAATCTCCAACTGGAGCAATTAGCTATCTAAACTTGGAGATGGCAGGTAGCCAGGTCAGAATTTCTACCTTTGAACAAATCCTGAATTGCTCTGAAGCTTAAGGCCAAGAATTTCAGTTTATTTCAGTTTCACATAAATATGAAGAACAGAGCAAGTCAATCATTATCATCCCAGATGGGAACATAATCTGCTTCAATTTCTCCATGGTCTTATCAAATGATCGCTATTCTGCATTTGCAAGTGGTTTTTTCCCCCAACAACAACAAAAATTCTCTCCCACAGATCTTCATTCCCTCTCCTCCTCCATAATAACCTTGTTAAAAAGCACCACTTTATTATAGGTAATTGAGTGGATTTTCTAACTTTATTAGCTAATTGTGGTAGTTTGCAAAATGGCTGCAATTCTTCTCTTCCCTATAATGAAGTCCTTTTGCAATGGTGACTTTTCAGGTCCCTCTATCAGTAGGTAAAGTTTGTTTTCCTTCCCCTTGTTTTGGATTAATCTTGTGACGCTTTGGGCAACAGAATATGGTGGAAGTTCTCAGCTTAGTCCTCAAGAAGCCTTGCATGCCCGCAGATGGTCCTTATACCTCTGCCCAGCTGCCATTTGAACAAGCCTGGGGTGCCCGGCCAGCTGCCCCCCACCATGCCAGCCATCATCTGGTCAGAGGACAGAACTTACAACTAAACAGGGAGGCAGATATTTTGGGGCTGTGTATGTGCATGGGACACGCCCAGGTGTTTTTCTCACCGATAATCTTGTATGGACATATGGGTCACTTTAGTAATATCTGGATAACCTATTTCCATCTGTAATGATGACAGCATTTTGCCTTAGCAATTCTCAAGTTTCACATAGGGAAACTGAGACAGACACATCTCCTCTAGTATAAAAGCTTGGCTAAGATGAGAGCCAATAGTTTATAAGCTCTGCTGAATTCATTTATTCACAATGTTATAGTCACAGAGGAAGCAAACCAACCTTTGAAACATAAGGCATAGTAGAGGGAGGAAAGACTAAGAGAAAGAAAACAGTTTTTTGTTAACTTGGAAAACCTACAAATATTTATTCTGTTAATCAAGCCCCAAACCATATGCCCTCTTAAAAATATGTTTGTGAATGGATTTCTAAGATCCTTCATGCTTCAGCATAGTAACTTGAGTTTATTAGATGAATGAAGAAATTAAAACTGCCTGGTTCTTTCAGTTGATAACCTAATAAATAAGGAAAATCTTTTTTCTCTGTTGAAATCACAAAATAAAATTATGATCATAACATATTTAAGCAGTCAAAAAGCATGATGTCTTATACAATTTTAATCTGCCTGGAACCTTTCCATGAAAGCATCATCAGTTTTATCTAAAAATGGCTCTCCTGCTGTTATTAAACCATGTGCCTTGCTGAGTACTCACTGCATAAAGAAGAGCAGATTCATTTGGAAAATAAGTTGAATCTTTATCTTTTCAGATATTAAAGTTGGATGCCTTTCTCTCTGTACTGCTATAAAAAACACCTTCATATTACTTGGGTTTATTTTAAGTTGTTTAAAAAATTTTGAAAGCATAAACTAATATTTATGTTTTCTGACCACAAAAGCTACACAAGTTGACTGGAAAGTATAGGCGTTGATACGGGGTTGGCAGAGCCAGGACAAGGATGAGATGAATGTCTCACTTTGTCTCCTGGACAAAATTTAAGGCAGTACCAAAAAACTCAGTATTATAGATAAATAACATAATGCAATATTTCAAAAAATAAATATTAGTGCAAAATAAAATCTACAATGAACAAAATGTCAAGATTTTAAGTAAAGACAGCTCTTACCTTGCACTTGAATCTTCCCTACTCATCTTACCCTAATCCTGGCCCTGGTTTCAATAAAACTTTATTTACAAGAATAAGCAGCTGGTTCATGAGCTGTAGTTTGCTAATTTGTTTCTTTAAATATTGCATTAAAATATTTATTTTGATGACCAAGATTTTGGGTACCCCCTTAAATTTTGTGCCTGAGTGCCATCCTCACCTTACCCTAATTCCAGCCCTGGGTGTTATCTTCTATTCTAAGTTCAAATGGTAAGCTAATGAAAGTTTTAAAGCAAATGACTGATAGGATTTGATTTAAGTTATACAAGTGGGCTTTGGTTGCTGTGTAGTTTGGCGGGAGATCTAAAGTGGGGACTGGGAGAATAGTTAGGAGGCTGATGCGTCAGTCTAGTGATTTTGCTCTGGTCCAGACCAAGTCACCAAAGACCATTCAGATGTAAAGATGGTGGCCACTTCCCTGTCTGCATATCTACGTGACATCTCAGCATTTGTCTTACTCCTGTTGATTCTCTCATGGTTGTCCCTCTGCTTTACTGACTTCTCAGTCTTGGGAACTCTGCCCTCTTGTGTTCTCACACAATCCCTTGGCCTTAAATTCCATCAACAGAATCTCTAGTTCTGAATTTGTCTCCTCCAAACATGCATATCCAATTCCAATTGCCAACTCACCATTTCTATTGAATGTCTAGTGGGCATAATAAACTTAACAAAACCAAAGTTCACTTTCAAAGATGTCTTTCTCTCTGTGCTGTTTGGATTAGTTCAATCACAAATTTAGATATTACAAAACATCTTCACATTTCTTGTTTATTTTAGGTTACTTAAACATTTTTTTTTTTTTTTGAGATGGAGTCTCACTCGGTCGCCCAGGCTGGAGTGCAGTGGTGTGATCTTGGCTCACTGCAACCTCCGCCTCCTGGGTTCAAGCGATTCTCCTGCCTCAGTCTCCCAAGTAGCTGGGACCACAGGTGCGTGCCACCGTGCCCGGCTAATTTTTGTAGTTTTAGCAAAGACAGGGTTAAACATTTTTGAATACTTAACATATATGTGTTTAGGCTATAAAAGCAACACATTTACTGGAAATTATGTCTATTCCCAAACCTGTTACTCTTCCAGCTATCTTCCAGTAGAGAATGGCACTACCATTCTACTCAGCTGTTCAAGCCAAAAAATTACTGCTTATTTCTTTTCTTCTCCTTTTCTCCCACATCCAATCCACCAGCAAATCCTGTCAATTTTGCCAAAATGTGCCTTCATTTTTTTAAATAAAATCAGCATCAGCCTCAGTAGGCCTACTAAGGGTATAGCTTCCACACATTAGGGTAGAGTCTGACTCGGTGGAAGGAGCAGTCGTTGGGAGGGAGGGGAAGTGTGTGTGAGTAGGAGTGTTAAATTCCCAGGTCAGGGTATAGGGAGAGACTGGCTTGGCTTTGGGGAGGTGAAAGCTGCAGGGTGGAGAGAGCTGGAATATGCCTGGGCCTCTCCAGGTGGGACAGAGACTAGGAGATGTCCCAGCTTTTACGCTTACACACACATTCTCTCTCATCCTACCAGCTGGGTCTGCACAGCTGGACCTGGGACCAGAGGAGGAAATACGCCAGCAGATCTTAGTAGGTACAGCTAGTTGGTATTAGAGGGAGCAGAGTGATCTCAGTGAAGATGTGCCCAGTCATCAGTCTGGCAGGGGCCAGAGCAGACAGGGTTGGTGACAAAGCTCAGCTGGAGCTCAGCATGTATGAATTTAGCATCCATGGCCTACACAGGGCTGACACCAGCTGGCAGTGTACAAAAATCACAGGGTCAATTTTCCAAGCTAAGCGTATACTGTACACTCCTCTGAGAACCAAGTTCACTAATGCAGAGGCCACTTAAAGAGTAGTTATGCCTACAGGTCCTGCTTACATTGACCAAATAGAGTTTGTTTCATTGTTTGCTTTGTTGTTTAATTTGGCTTTGAGAATGGTTTATATGAGAGCGTATTCTTTTTTTTTTTTTTTTTTTTTTTTTTTGAGACGGAGCCTCGCTCTTTCGCCCAGTCTGGACTGCAGTGGCACTATCTCGGCTCACTGCAAGCTCCGCCTCCCGGGTTCAAGCCATTCTTCTGCCTCAGCCTCCCGAGTAGCTGGGACTACAGGCGCCCGCCACTGTGCCCAGCTAATTTTTTGTATTTTTAGTAGAGACGGGGTTTCACCGTGTTAGCCAAGATGGTCTCGATCTCCTGACCTCGTGATCTGCCCGCCTTGGCTTCCCAAAGTGCTGGGATTACAGGCGTGAGCCACCGTGCCTGGCCAGTATTCTTTTTTTTTTTTTTTTTTTTTTAACATATCTGAATGAATTCATCAATCGTCTGCCTTATAAAAAATCAGTGGATTTATTCAGTGATAAAAACCAGTAAATTTTAATTTAGTAACTACTGATTTTGCATGCTTTTTGCATATCAAATGTAAGTTGTCAGGACCCTATTAATATGAATATTTTATCTAAATGTTACCCATTTAAAAATTATAAATATTTGTCTTACTCATACCTGCATTTTACTAAACTCATTATCTATAGTATAAAACTATTACGTATAATCTCTCTTTCCCACTGAACTATCTGCAGAGATCAAAGGACCCATTATTCAGGCCAGATGTTTTCATGTTTTTTAAAATTAATCTTGTTTGTATAAAGTATATTTAGCTTATTTTTTGACAAGTCCCTGATATTCCAGACTTAATGGGTACCACCACTAAATCTGAATAATTGATGGAAATGTACCTAAAATGGCAGCAAATTGAGCATAGATCCTTTGGGGTATATTTCTCTGTATGCAGGGTGTTTGCTATTGATGGGCCAGCAAGTGAGCCTAATCCAGACGTGTCAGATGATGGAGAAGGGCTTATAACCATAGACACTGTGTCCAGGATAACAGCCCCGAACTCTCTTCCATCCTTTGGAGTAGGCAGACTTGTCATGTCTGAGCTTTCTCTCTGTAACATATATTTACTCAAAATAACTATGAACATCTGTGTATGCCTCTCCAGTCTGCAAAGAACTTGTAATATATCTCTATTAACTTGTTGCTTAGGACAGCAGTTGTCAACTTTAAATTTTTTTCTGCAAAACATGAGGGTGACATTGACATGTGTGACACTTGTGCATCGATGTACCCATCATGTGATGTGTTTAATCCACAGATTCAATAGAATTTTACATCTTTGCTTCCTTCCTACTTGAGGAAGCTTGTTGGAACTCAACTGAGTGGGACTGAAGGTATTGAGATCACTTTGAAATTTCTCTTATTTGTAAAAGTAAGTTGATGAAATTGGGCACTTGAGTCATTGTGAATAATAAACTGCATCTGACACATTTCACAACTAAAGACATTCCTGTTCACCTCAACATCTCAGTTGTGAACTTATAGCTTAGTGAGTAATAGCATCTCCCATTGAAAGGAAAAGATTTACATGTTGAGAATAAGGTGGAGTGTTAGAAATGCCAATAAAAGTAATGGCATGTGTGGTGGTGGGGAGAGGTGATGCTAGAATTGCTGATTTCTGCTCTCTTCTGGAAGCCAATAAATAAAGTTATTAGGACAGTCCAATTCATGTGAATGCAGGTAGAAGACTGGCTTCTGAGGGATGAGAACATCCAGCCTAAGTAGATATGTTTGTAATTTTTGAAGGTAACATTTATTGTTTACTAGTGCCTGGCAGGGTCTTTGTATTTTTACATAGATTGAATCATTATAGTAAACCTATGAGATCAGTTTTGTTTTCATCCCTATGTTACAGATGGGAAAAATGAGGGAAGTGAGAAAGGGAAATATTCAATCACTTGCCCAGTGCGTATGATTGTAAGTGAACAAGCTGAGATTTGAACTCAGGCAGTCTAGATTCAAGGTCTGTGCTCTAATTTATCGTGCTGCCCTCTATCTCCAATTCTAGCCTGTTTAAATTTAAATTACAGTCCTCACTGTTTTCCTCGCTTGACCTTGGCTTATGTATATTTTCTCTATATTTTTATGTAAGCAATATGCTTGAAACAACAAGTTCATGTTTTTTTTTAAAAACATGACATTTTTCATGTTTTGCCTAATGAATACTTGTAAATATCAGAAAATAAATTCTTTATATAAAATATTTGTTATTATTAATGCTACTTTTTGCATTAAAAATTTTCTAGGTGAATGACTATATTAGTATTCTCATTCTGTGATTTCTGAAATCTAAAAGTGCATTTACTGGAATAGGGTCTTTTTCATGCATTAAGCATAAATTGGAATTTTCAGGCTAAATTTGAACAGGCATGAAACTATACAAGGAGAATCAGAAATATACAGTGCTTAAAGGTGAGAAAAAAACACTCTGTTCTTTCTATTTTGTATAGCTTTTTTTAGATGCTCCTCATGTCCACTGGTGAAAAGAATGGTTTAAGTATTCAAGCTCCACACTGCAAAGGTATGGACAGAGGGGCAAGTTACTAAGGACATAAAAAATGCTTGGACATTGTAATACACCAGCTCCTAGAGATTACCTTAGCTCCAGTATGAATATAATCTATATTCGCATTCATTTGTAAAGACCAAGCTATCTGGAATTTCTGCCATTTTAGGAATATCTTGTATTGGTGGTTCATGATTGTAAAATTATTATTATCATTTTAGACTTAAAATTTATTTGCTCTGCATATAGTATGCTGCATAGTTACAACTAATATTCGGGGCTATGATTTTGCATAGTTTAGTTTGTGAGTTTATGGCTGTAAGAGAAAAATAGGGACATATTTCATATGTTGTAGTAAATTCTTCACATAAACATGGTGTGGTTTTTAAACATTGTGGCAAAAAAAATGTGTTTTAAAAACATAGTGGCAATGAAGGGTGTGGAAGAGATGGGGCTTAGGATAGGGGTGGGATGGGTGAGCACTTTCCAGGTGAGTTCCGGTGACAGTTCTCAGGCCAAGTACAGAGCGGCATGGGGGTGGGGACAGTGGAGGACATCCCAGCGGCCCAAGCACCCCATGGCTCTGGATACACCCCACACCGCAATCTTGGGCTTCTTATATTGATTCTGCAAGAAAGAAGACTTTGCACTGATGTTTGACTATGAATCACAACTACAAACTTTTCTAGTCTGCAAACAATTTCTAAAGCAGTTATTCTTGTCCAGTCCTCTATTTTTAAAGAAGAAGAAAAGGATCCCTAGAGAAGTGACTTTGAAATGCACAGGGCACTGGACCTGGGTCAGATGATTCAATCAGTGTCTTGTTTCTGCGTCTTCCTACCTGTGTGATCTTGGGAAAGGCATTGGCCTTTCTGGCTACAGCTTCTCCACTGATAGCTTTGTGATCATCCTTTCTATGGATGCTAGGAAGATTAAATGGGACAATGCACATCAAATCACCATGGAAATGATGTACAGCTGTACAATCACTGCTTCAAAGCAACTTACTCTAGGCACACAGCTAATCAGAATGCAAGGAATTCTGGCCACTTTGTGTAACTAATAGTCATATCAGTATGTTCTGGTGCCTATAAATCTTCTTAGATGCTTCTTTTCCTCACAAACTAAAATATAAGCCATTTCAGTTTCTTGCTTGTTTGTAGACTCCCCTCGAAGAAAATCTGAAGAGAAATTGTGCTTTTACCCAACAGATCATTTCCGTTCCCTGAAATTGCCCTTGCCACAAATTATCACAAAAACTGGTATCCTCCTCAGCAGCATGCAGGGGGCTGTCACTTCAGGGCTGACACACTTTCTCTCCTTCAGAGAGAAATTTCTCTAAAGCTCTGAATGCTGAATTCAAAATATCAGTGCTGTCAGGCCAGGTTTGCCTTTTAAAGAAAGGTCATTGCTGTAAGGGACGGATCTGTGTGCAGGCCTCAAATTGGGTGGGAATAGATTGACAGACATACTGATTCACCAGAAAGATTTTGATGGATAATAACAACCTTTCCTCTTTCAAGGGTGTGCTTAGGCAGATAGGAATAAGATATAAACAGAGTCTCTCTATTCTCTCTCTCTCCCTCTTCCCACAATATTACTTCCTTGGCATGTTTAGAGTGAAAATAAGTTTTCGTGGCTTTTACAGCCTTAAAAATATGGCTGCAACCAATTTTCCCAGGTATGTATTTCCCACTGCAATTCCTTCCCTCATCCCAAAACACATATATGTACACATGCACATACACTCACACACATGGAGGGAAAGGAGTTATCAATTCTTTAGTTACATTACTTAACTGGAATACTATCTGTGGCCCATTCCCCTGTAGAAGTCTGCCAAATTTCCATCCATTCTTTAACTCTCACCATTTTCATGAATCATTCCAAGATTTTCCCAGATAAAATTAATTTCCTTTCTCTCTCTCTTTCCACACACACACACACGCGCGCACACACACACACACACACACACACACACACACACACACACAGAGTCTCCCTGTACTGTAGGAGGGTTCATAGCCTTCTTTGATTATCAATGTATTTTTATTTCTGTTTCCCTACTAGGTTGTGAACTCTTCCTTGACAAGGAGTCTCAGACATCTATGTATCCCCCATAGAAACTAAGCATTTATTAAAGGTGTTCACAGAAATATTTAGCTGTTACAACTCTTCAAAGCCACCCCTTTTTTCTAAATCTCAGAGAACTTAGAGATGGTCTGTATTAGGGTTTCCTATGTCTTCTTCACTGGAAATTTTGGCCAAAGAGGACAAGACTACAAACAGGTCTCTAAAACTGAAGAAGTAAGAAGCACTGGGAAAGATGAGAAACATGTGGACATCCATGGCTATGTTTTCATGTGGCAGGTGTCCCTGACACAAGGTACAGCAGCAAGCATTGCCCAGAACATGGCTACTGGCTTAGCAATGCCATGGAGGGGATGCAGAAATGGGACATTAATGGCAATTTAAGGGCAGGACAACATGTACATATACAGATACAAGAGAAGAACATTTCTGGATTTAGATGAAAGGGGAAAACAAACAAGATGTATTACCAGTAGGAAAGGATGAGTACCCAGTTAATCCATTAGATACCATTTATATTTCAATTGTTAATGCCAATCCCTTAAGTGAACATAGGTTCTCACCTCTATATAAATCATTAACTTCTATTAGTAGATGAAAAAATACTTGATTTCACAAGCAGCACAAAGAGAAGGCCTGCAATAAACAAGGTTATAGGGTATCTCACTTGAGTTGGACAATATCTATTTTATAGTGAATATTCCAATAACGATTGTGAATCCTGAGTTTGAACTTCCTTCCTCTTCCTATTGGTGGTAGTGACAGGGAACATGTATGGAAGGCAAGAAAGAAAGATAAAAGATAAGATGAAGAGCCAACTAGCCAAGCCAAGACAGCCTTATTCACTAGTTCTCATAAATAAAAATGGTGCTAACATTAACTAAAGTGGCATAAACTATAGTAGGCAGTGGGCAATCATTAGTTTACGCAATAGACTAACAACCCATTAAGGTAGATATTATTATCTTCATTAGCCACATGGGGAATAGAGGTGCAGCAAGGTTAAACAACATGTTCAAAGGCCGTCCAATTAATCAGTGGTACTGCCACATCTGTCTGATTCTAATAAAAAAGGGAAATCTGCCAAATAAGAATAATACAGTTCAAAAAGTCAGATTAAATGAATTCAGAGAGGTAGCAGGAGATTCAGTGAGGAAACTGAGTTAAAAAACCCCTAAATCCCCTGAAATCTAAGCACCCAAAGGAGTTGGATGGCACTTATGGAGATACTTTCAAAACACAAGAGAAAAAGTTGAGGTAAGAAAAAGAATCAATTTGGCTAAAACTAGAACCTACACCAACATAATAGAAAGCTAGGTAACAAGGCAACTAAACCAGGTCACTTAAGCAGAAGTGAAGAAAATAAAATTCACCTGTAGAAAGAAAGCCCAGAATAGGAGACTATTTTTAAATGGGAATTAGTTGGAATAGGATAAGCATTATTTAATTCTACTGGGCAGGAGGAACCGAGGTAAACACTGATTTACTGACAAGGAGGAACATCTAATTAAAGAGGACACTTTTAAGATTAAGAGGTTAGGGTTGGTTATTGGGTTTTATGTTTTTAAAACATTCTATAAAAGGGTCAATCTGTATTCAGTTTCACAGACTGAATCTGTATGCAGTTTCACACAGACCACCCACGTGTGTTGGCAGATCCAGAAAGCTAGAATAGGGAAGGAAATGACTCAAAGTTATTTAATAAAGCTGATTTCACTCAAACTGTCTTGGCCTAAAGATATTTATTCCAAAATGAGAGGGCTTAGTGAATTTTGTCATGTTTGATTAAAAACCAAAAAAAAAAAAAAAAAACAAAAAACCCAGTAATTCTTTGGAAAACATGGGTGATGGGAAAAGTGGACATCATCTAGAAAAGTTCCAAGGTCAAGGATCAGTCAGACCAATTTAAAAACTAAAAACAAATCAGTGTCAGATATTAGCCAACTTGTAAAAACTGCAAGTGTTCAGAGGTTTGGAACTATAGCTAAATAGCTTTGATAATCAGGGTACACAAAACTTTGTACCCTTGAGATGACGGAGTAGGCTCTTTGAATTTACTTTCATGATAATTGACGGGAAGTATTCAACTTTTTTTTTTCCAGATAATATATGTTGATCTGTAGCTTGAATCGTTACACACAAAAATATGTTGGGTATTACAAAATTGAAAGAAAGATAGAAAATACTAGTGCACTTTTAAAAAGAAAGCACTAATGTTATACCATACTGCTTTTTAAGGCACTAGAACCATATGTTCATGATAGGGGTGGGGGTAGGGGGTTGGTGAGAATACTATGTTTAGACCTCAATGTGGATTTTCTTTCAGAATTTGAAAATCACTGCCAAAAATATGGTCTAGTATACACTGACATTTGGAGAGAGTACAACTGGATCAAAGGCTTCCTCAAACATAGGTTTCATTTGGTCACCAGTACTAGCATGTTCAAGCTTCTCTTTACAATCAAACATTTCTTAGGTCCACTTATTCCCAGTGGCATGTGGTTCAATGGTTCAACAAGGAAATATGGACAGCGGAAAGAAATAAGATTTAACTACTGGCACAGAAAGAACTTGTCCAATTAGCACAGTTTGCCAGGTGGTTATCTTGGATCTAACTCCAAGAATGACACAATATAGGAGCTATCCCTCCAAATTAGGTCTGAATTCAGAGCAGTATGAATTTGTAGTAATCATCCAGTTGCTAGCTATTCTATTCAGCATGTCATGCTCACAGGCAAGTCTCATGGCCAAGGAGCAAAAGCTCTAAAAGCAGACTGCGGGGTTGAATTCTAACTCTGGCGGGGTACAACTGGTGACATAACATACACAGCAAACTGCTCTAAACCTTGATCCTCATAGGGAAAAAGGAATATGGGGTTTTACCTCGTAGGCTATTTTGAAGATGAAAGGAGATCATTCATATAGAGGGTCTTGGCACCTGGTAAATGCTCAACAAATGTAAGCTTTTATTGGCAGATTCTTTGGCAACAGACTCGAAAGCTGAAAATGTAAGAAACCAAAGATGTAATACTTCCAGAAGACAAAAGCATAATGGTACTAATTGGGTCTCAGGAGTCTATGTTGGCAGTAAAGGGGATGAATGCTGAAATCATCCTGTCCACTGGGTAAGAGAAACAGAGCCCAAAATGGATTTCTGCAGGTACCCAGCATGGGGACACTTAAGTAGGGATCACACGAAGACCAAGAAGAACAACCCAGTGAGTGACCATAGCTACCATTTTGCTGGGCCACTGGCCCATCATGTGCTTAGCCTGCAGTTGTGAACCAGCCCTGATAATCTCCCACGCCCATCAGCCTCCCATCCCAGAGAAACAGCTTGGGTGTGATGATTAGGGAGCAGCTTGTGGCTATGAAAGGGAGAGAGAGCAAAGCTAACTGGCCAAATGGGAATTGAAGCTGTGACCTTGGCCTCATTAAAACAGCAATGTTCTGGAGTGGATCAATTTTTCACAGACAGCCAGGCCATCTGCAGAGAAAACAAAACATGGCACGCGCACACACACACACACAAATAAAAATACAGAAACAAACAGCAACTAGGATTCACAACCGAAATAAAAATTAATTCACAGGCATTGTAAACATCAGCTTCTAGTGTGTGTGTGTGTGTGTGTGTGTGTGTTTGTGTGTGTATGCCAGCATCAAATAGCTGTCTATAAAGTCACTTCTGTTGGCAGGGTTGAAATGCTTCTGAAGTGGAGAAGTATGTCTTTAGCTTACATTTGAAGAGATCTCATAGTTAAGTGGTCAACTTGTATTGATAAGACATCTATACTCCTCACAGATAAATAATGTGCCACCTTATAAAATTTGAAAACTGGAAAATTAGTACCTTTTCAGAAACAAGCTCAGATGTAGACCTAATAGTATTAGGTAGCACAGATCTGAAGCCCCGATTACCTCATCTGCAGTTATCCTATGGTATGCAAGAAGCCCTCTAAGTAAAGCTACAACACCCTAAGTGGAAAGCACGTCAGCATTAATCACATCTAATTATAAAGATGCGAATACTTATAATAGTACTTATTAGGTACTACTCATTGTTTTAAGCATGTTACATATATTGCCTACTTCAATTCTCATAATAACCCAATGGTGAAGGTGATGTTATCATTCCTATTTTATGTACAAATATATGAAACAGAGAGAAATTAGACAACTCGCCCTAGGTCATATGGTGAATAGAATGAGGATTGAGACTCAGGCAGTCTAACTTTGAACCCATGTTCTTAACAGCACTTCACATTGTAGCCAGTGAGGCCTCCTGGGAAAAACATGACATTAGACAGCAAGGAAATATGGTTTGCTGCTGGGGAACCCCCCACGCCCACCATCATCAATTTCTTTCTCTCTTTTCCCCGTTTTCTCCCTATAGTGTTAGTCTATGGGAAGCAAACTTTCACTACTTTTTAAAATTAGGTCAAAAGGCAAAACAAAAACATACCGCTGCCAGAAACCCTAGAGATAATATAACCAATGCCTTTATTTTGCAGATGAGGAGGTTTAGGGTCAAGCTAAGATTAGGATTGAGGGCCCTAAAAATTATTGGGATCATCAAACCCATGACAGTGCCTGCATTAGCAGCATCTACCCGCTCCTGATTCTTACAGGTTTCTCTATGACATGCGCCGCAGGCTTCAGCAGCTGCGCTCTTATAACTCAGTTTTCATTCCTAGTTTCATTCATCGACCACACGGGTTTCCTCCCCTGCAAATCTTGGTTCTTCTCTTCCATTTGGGCAGTCCTCTGTGAGTGAATTATTTCACAAGTAAATTGCTCGATTACAGGAGATACCCACACTACTTTGTTCCATAAAATTATACTAAGTGTTCTGCATAGAGAGGAATTTCAAATCTTTTTGAATCTTTATTGTTAAAGCTAATTGGTAGTACCTTATATTTAATCTGCATGTGATTAGAAGTTACTGACTACTATACTCTCATGTTTCATCAGTTTTGGAGGTAGGGTACTTCCTCTAGCTCCTGGCTTTTTGTTTGGTGAAGATAACATTTTAGAATTTGATATTACCATGGTAGGCTGAATACTGGTCTCCAAAGATGTCTGTGTCCTGTCCTAACCCCAGAAACCTGTGAATATGTTTGTTTATATGGCAAAAGGGACTTTGCAGATGTGATTAAGTTAAGGATCTTGAGATGGGGAAATTATTCTGGATTATCTGGTGGGGCCCAATGTAATCACAAGGGTCCTCATAAGAGGGAGGCAATGGAGTTAGAGAAAAAGGAGGTGTGACCATGAAACCAGAGGCTGGAGTGATGCACTTTGAAGATGGGGGAATGGGACGCACACCAAGGAATGCAGCTCAATCTCACTAGAAGATTGAAGAGGCAAAGAGACAAATAAATTCTCCTCTGCAGCTTCCAGAAACACACCCCAACCAACATCTTGATTTTAGGCTTCTGACACCCAGAATTTTAACATAATCAATATGTGTTGTTTTAAGCCACAAATTTGGTTGTAATTTATACTGGTAATAATAGGAATTTAATACAATCACCCTTGTTCAGATCCTCGTGCCTATTCAAAATTAGCATCCATGAAATCAGCTTTTCCTCTTTGTAGTTTATCTCACCAGATTCAATGATCATTCATCCATTCAGTTCATTTAACCAATATTCGTGAAGCCCCTGCTATGTGCCAGGCACTGTGATTATGTGAGCAGAACGATGAGACAAACCTTCTCTTCCATCCTGTTTCAACCTTCTCTTCCATCCTGTTTCAATATCTGCCAAGGAAAAGGCAACCCTTCCCATAGGGCATCTTACTTGGCTTTGGTTTACCCACAGTGTTCCAACTTCAGACCTGAAAATGACTTATCATAAACTTGGCTCACCTCGGGCTGCCTCACTGCTCACCCCCCAAACTTGGACATGTACAGCTAAGTTGTAAGCCTGTTTCCCTTGAGGACAGAGGCCTTTTACACTCAGGGCCAGTCTCAGATAACAAAGTACACAAGACTTGTCTTTGAAATCTTTCTCAACAGCATGGCCAGAAGTGTGTCCACACTCTCCTGTGTGCTGTAGCTCATTGACGTTCTGTTAGGACACTTAATCACGTGCAATCATTGACTATGATCACAGTAGTAAGACTGTCTTTTCCCTTCATAATCCTCTTGAGATTGGGGACTCATTCACATATGTGTCTTCTTTGGTGCCTGACTCATGATAGGTGCTCAAGAAGTGTGCTGAATGGATGCAACTATAAGCTAGTGCTCATCAAGGATAAATATCCCTGTGTGTGAATGCATATCCTCATGATTTACCAATGCTGATCAATAGTCTTCATTCCAATAGCTTTCTTTCCAGGTGAAAAGTTGATCTACTGAAGTTACCCAAATGGCTATGCTGACAAGCTTGATATAAAATATCAAATATCAGTAGAATCTTGAGCTTGGAGTTGAGTTTAGACTTTTATTCCAAGTCCTGACTTTAACGTTGTCATTCATCTATCATCTTTGTATACTTGGGCCCTGGCACAATGCCTGGCATATAGTAGTTGTACATGGTATGTTTGTGGAATAAACATTCCAATGTGACAGCTGATGCTTGAAATGCTGAAATCTCCCTTATACCCTGTATCCAGTCTCACCTGCTGGCCCTCAAAGTTGCAGCCTCAGAGCCAAGGTGTTTTGTGAGTGATTCTACATCTATGCCAAACTATGTGTCTGACTTTTAAAAATTGCCTTATTAAGGCAAAATTTACATACGAGTCACTCATGTTTAGTGCACAATTTGATGAGTTCTGGCAAATGTCAAGGTCGTGTAACCACCACCACCGCACTCACGATACAGAACATTTCCATCACTTCAAAGAAGTTTCTCCATGGCCCTTTGTAATCCCCAACCTATGACCCCAAGCAACCATTGATCCACTTTTGGTTATTACAGTGTTGCCTTTTCAAGACTTTCATATAGGATGGAAATCATACAGAATGTAGTGGAATCATATAGAATGTAGCCTTTGATATCCCGCTCTTCCACATGTTTCTGAGATGCATTCGTCCTGCTGCTTGAATAAGCATGAGTTTGTACTCTGTCTTGCTTGGACCTTTGGCTTCAGTGTGATCCTGATATTTGGCCTGGCTGCCTTGCCCTTCAGCACCTGTGTGCTCCCAGGAAGCTAAGGGTTCCTAAACCACAGCCTTTTCTCCTGTGTGAGAGACCATGACTTTTGACCACCTGGAGAACATGGTTTTCTCCTCAACTGGTTAGTGGCACCACTTCTCTGCCCATTCGATTGCTCCATTGTGGAATCTGGAGGTTCTCCTCCATCTTCCCTCTCCCTTAGATATATTATCCATGAATTTCATTCTAGGTAAAGGAATGGGGCATGGCAAATGATGGTATAACATGTTGTTCTAACATTTGTCCGGCAGGTCTGGGAATCTTGCACCAGCTGGTAATTCTTTGTGACCTCCTTGAGAGTAGCTGTCCTTTTTTTTCATTTACCTATGTATACCCTTTGAACCTGCCCCCGGTGTCTCCAACCCAGCTTATAATCCTAGTTCCATGATTGCAATGATGTCCAACTGCTTTGCCCAGTCCAGAGTTATTCCCTTTGGCCATTTAAATGCCTGGCACAGGCTCTCCGTACTCACACGGCAATGCAAGCATCAGTGTTCACTGTGGAGACAAACAAAAGGGACCTAATAAACCATGTCTGCAACATGCATGTGAGTGATCATGCCCTCATTTTCTCAGGTCCAAGCTCAAAAAAGCCACTTTCCTTACAAATACTCATTGCATACAGCCTGTAACCTACTTATCACCTGTGACTCATATTAGTTTCTTGTAGACAGATAATGTAGACAAAACAAAACAATTTTTAGGTAATGCCCAAATAGTCCATTCACCTTGAAATTATAATTCTAGGCCTTACACTGTGTAACACTGTCTCAAATTCAGAAGTATGGAAAAATAAGTATCTATCACCCCAGAGGGGAAAATTCTTCACAAAGCCCATCCACCTGTTGTTTTGGTAGTATGTGAGAAGTGAGCTCATGATTGAACATTCTTTGTAACCCGAGGTTTTTGGTGGCATTTCATCCAGCCTAAATAGCCTTGGACAGAAAACTAGAAGGTAACAAAACTACCACAAGCTGATCCATTCGCATTCTAAAGACGTAGACGTTGATAGGAAGGCAGGTAGATGACTTTCACACCATCTTCACAAGAGCAAAAAATATGTTCAAAAATGAGAGGCCAAATTAAGAAAGGTTAAATTATGCCTAATGGTCTCTATTTCCTAAGCAGGGAAGGGTGTAATGAGGACTCTTTGGAAAGTCTTCCATTAGAAATGGCACTTGAAGTGAACAGGTTTCAGTTATCTGTAAAATGTACTTATTTATAATTCTTATTCTGTGATGAGGCTGGATAAATAAGGTATCAGTGCACTAATTGGTGAAAAATTTTATTCACTACAGATTTATGGAGTTGTCTAGTGATGTGAATTCAGTCATATAAACTTCCTCTAAGAAACCACAAGAAGGCTGGTGGATAATGGGTTTCAACTCCCCTGCCACTTACAACTGGTGGGTGGAGGTTGCCTGAGTGCTGTGCTGAGAGCAATTTTGAGTTCATATCTGGCTGGACTCAGTGGCAGAGGCTGCTGAGATTGACTGGTGATGTCTTCCACAGGTATGGGAGAAGGGCACCGTGGCTTGACAATCTCATGTTTAACATTCCAATCTAAAGGTGCCATACTTGATACTGAAAAATGATCACAGGTAGTCATTTGTTCTAACTGCCCCTGCAGAGCCTAAATCACTGTCTCCCGGTTGGATTTCTAAAGCCTCGTCTGCAATTATGACAAGTGGGCCCTTTCAGAATTATTTGTGCAAGACCTCAGACTGTCAGATTCAATACTGTGAACCAGAATGTGTTTCTCTCTAAACCAGGGAATGGATCATTTCCATAGAGAGAGCTTTTATTGAAGTCAAATTGCTATGTAAGACACTGCAATGAACAGAATAAAAAGTCTTTGTGGTTGTCAAGGCTACAACCAATATAAAAAAATGAAGATGGAAATACTAAAAACTAATACCTGGGAAATGTGGAGTGCTATGTGTGGTTAATTCTGTTACAGTTAGATCAGTCTGACTTTATCCTCTATTTGCAGCCACTACAACCTATGTGACTCATTTTGGCCTTCAAAACTCTAGTATTATTTTCTCTTGTGTTTGGCCAGTCTAAAACCCTTTATTCTAATGTCTCACTTTCCATCCCAAGTCTTTCTTTATTCATTCAACTCTCTTATTATTTCTTGATCCCAAATACTCTCATGGAAATCCTTCTCCTCAAGTATTTACTTTCTTTAGTCTCTTTTCCAGATTCTCACTTCTCCTATTTGGAAAATTCCTATGTTTTTATCCCCCACCTTCAGAGCACCACAGACAAGACTCATGCTGCTTCTGTGTTCTTTGTTCTTATCTCTCTGCATTTCCTTCCCAGTTCCTCCTCTTTTGAAATCTGATGTGGAGACACAGTTTCCCTTCACCTCCTTCTCTTTACTCTTCTCCTTCCTTGCAACTGTGGTAGTTGAAATGCGTCAGTTTCTCTTTTGCCTCCTGCTTCCCATCCCCAGCTTCTGTGTTCCGCATCCACCGTTACCTCTCACCTGCCAGGTGGAGCTGAACCCCTTCCATTGTGTCTGCCATCCCTCCCCTCCCACCTCCTCAGGGATTCACTAGGGTGACACTCCCTCTGGTCCTTCAGAAGCTCCTGGGTACCTGCCTTCTGTCTGACGACAGTTTGTTGGCTGGTGGTTTTGGGTTTCTTCCCTCTGCAGTGGCTGAATTACTGCCCCCATCTCTGGCTTCTAAGAATTGCCTCTCAACTCCAGACTATAATCTCAACTCAATCTTAGGAGAACCTTTAAACAACTACTGAAGAAGAGTCCGTTTACATTCAGAACATGACAGATGCCCGGCTATGACCTGGAGAGTGGTGCATCTGTCGTGTATTGAGTGCTACGCTTTAGGTGGAAACTCAACCTGGCACTCCATCGTCCACCATTATTGTTTTAAATCTTATTTCCTCTATGATCCTGTTTGTTGTCTTATTCCTTCTCCCACAATCTGATTTATACCCTCAGATCTACTCACAGTTCTCTGTGTATTCTTTTTTTCATGTTTTTATTTTTTATTCATTTTACCTTAACTTTTGGGATACATATGCAGAACGTGCAGGTTTGTTACATAGACATGTACCATGGTGGTTTGCTGCACCCATCAACCTGTCATCTAGGTTTTAAGCCCCGCATGCATTAGGTATTTGTCCTAATGCGCTCCCTCCCCTCGTTCCCACCCTCCCTGTGTATTCTTTGAACAGTTATACTTGTTTTGACTTTGCTTAGGCTGTTGCTTTCCCTTATCCCTAATCTCCATAACCCCAAATCCTGCTTTTTCAAGGCTCAGCTCAAACACTACTCTTTCCACAAAATCCTCTCAGATGTCACACTGCAGAACCCTCAGTCTTTTACTTTCTTTCTTTCTTTTTTTGAAACAGCGTCTTGTGGCGTCATCCAGGACTGGAGTGCAGTGGCACAATCCCAGCCCACTGCAGACTTGGACTCCTGGACTGAAGCAATTCTCCCACTTTATCCTCCCCAGTAGCTAGGACTACAGGCCTGCACCACCACACCCAGCTAATTAAAAAAAAATTTCTGTAGAGATGAGGTCTCACTATGTTGCCCAGGCTGGAGAACTTCTTATGAGTCTTAAAATGTCCCTGATTCCTGCTTGTAGTGAGAGTTATCTGTGTCCTGCTAGACTGTGAGTTCCCAAGGCCACAAACCATAGCATCCCCCAAACAATGTACATCAGGCACTGGACTGCTCCTACCTCCATTATGGAAATTACCTCAGCCTTTGCCCAAGCTGCCCTCTGGCAAGTAGAGGTCACAAGTATTAAAGAACTTTCACTTGGGTTGATGACTCAAAATATCAGAACACATTCCTGGGAAAAATGCCTATTTACGTATTTGTATCCATTCACAAAGGTGATATCTCTACCCCTCACATTTACCAGGTTGATAAGTGGTGGTGGGGAAGCTGGCTCATTTGAAGATGATCAGAACCATAATAAAACAATAGCTAATGCCTGTTTATGTGTTTGTATCCATTCACAAAAATGATACCTGTACCCCTCACTTGTGCCAAGTTCATAAGGTAGTGGTGGGGAAGCTGGCTCATTTGAAGATGATCAGAACCATAATAAAACAATAGCTAACATTTATTATTACTATGTCCTGAGCACCAAGTTAAAAAGCCTATGAGGCAGGCACTGCTATTATCCCCAGTTTACAGCCAGGAAAACTGACACTCGGATAAGTTAACAGGTTAGGTTAATTGTTCTCTGTTTGCCCCTCCATATCAAATCTTCACTCTCTTCACTCTGCTGTATGCTCCAGGAGGCCAACATTTAGGTGTTGAATCAATGATATCCTGCCCTGGGGCTTCCTATTGGACTCAATCAATGGGAGATACCAGTGGGAGACCCAGGAGACCAGAGGTTGGGAGGAGAGAGAGCTCGGAATACTGATTTTCTTAGCTCCCTTCTGTCTAGATGTAAAAGGCCAAGGGCTGGTTTCTCTCCCCAAGGCCACTGTCCAGCAGCCCGTTTCTACAGCCACAGGTATCAGAGGGTTCCAGTTTCCCTCTCTCCCTTGAACCTTCACGCAACGAACGTACACAAGTGCTTTGTAGACCCTTGCTGGTTTCCTGGAACTCTACTGTTTACAAGTTGAATTGTGTCCTCTCAAAAAAGCTATGCTGAAATCCTAACCCCCAGTACTTTAGGATGCAATCTTATTTGGAAACAGGATTGTTGCAGATGTAATTAGTTAAGATAAGGGGTAGGGAGGTCCTAGTCCAATATGAGTCGAGTCCTTAGAAGAAGATGGTGGTGGAAGACAGAGAGACACACAGAGGGAATGAAGGCAGAGATTCCAATTATGCAGCTGTAAGCCACGGAATGCCCAAGACTCTTGGTGAACACCAGAAGCTAAGAAGAGGTGAGGAAGGATTGATTCCCTTACAGGTTTCAGAGGTAGCATCACCCTTCCAGCACCTTGATTTCAGGCTTCTAGGCTTCAGAACTGTAAGAAAATAAATTTCTGTTTTAAGCCGTTCAGTTTGTGGTACTTTGTTATGGCAGCCCTGAGGAACAAATACATTTACTTATGTCTTTGGAAATAGTCCTTTCATTAAATTCTCTTCAATTATTTTTTTGAGTGTGCTGCATGTTTTCTGCTGGGTCCCTAACCTTCCTAAGGTGAAAAGGCTAGGAACTGAATTCAGGGCTGTGAAGGTAAAACTCAAACGCTTATCCTTTATAATAATACTAATAACAATCATGGGTAAAACTTACATAGTGCTTATATTAACTCCCTTAGTGCCATTTAACCTGACGACTAGGGCTGCAGACTGTATTTTTAACACTGATGACATGCCTGATTTTCAGACCAGGTGGGTCTGTGTTAACTGGCAGAGCTGTGATGAAAAGTGAGCTCTTAAGTGAGCTGATTTCCTGAAGAGGCACAGACACACTTGGAATGGTACAAGTGAAATCCAGGGCCCACAAGGGTCAGGATTTTAAACATGCTTGAGAGTTTCTCATGAATACCATCAGAAGAGCAGCTGGGCAAGAGCTCAGGTGCTGACCTCTATTACCATCAAAGCCTAAAACTACTGGACAGTACCCTCATTTTTAAGGTGAACAGGGAGAGACTTACGAGGGGACCAAGACTTTTTTGAATACAAATAGACTGGCCACTTGACAAGCTGGAATTCTCCCAGATGCAAAAGAAAGAGAAAGCAAACGGATGAAAGATGCAGGTCTGAACGTTTTCCTCTGCCGCACAGGATTTCTCTGCCTGTTGTCCCTTCCGGACCAGCTCAGTGCCTGTGTCTCTACATATCCCAGTTCCTGCCCTAGGGAAGCAGGTGGAGGAAGCTGCTGTCTGAGTAATGACTGCTCTAACATTTCTTTTAAGGATGACACTATTTTTAGAAGTGACTCATTCATATAAGCAGGTATGGGTGAAGGGGCGGGAGGCTCTAAGTGACAACTTAACTCTTATGTCTCAGTGCATTTATATTTATTCTTGTACTTTAATCCTTCTTTTAACGGGCACCACAGGTCAGTTGTGATTCAGGGCACCAATGAAAACAGACATTTCTCTGGAAATAATTTAAAGTGTTTTCCATCCAGATACTTCAGAAGTGAGAAAGTTCTCAAAATATAGGAGGGAGGGCAAGAAAGGGAAAATTGGGAAGGACTGCTGTCATTTTGAGGAGGGGGACAGGTGAGGGAGCAGCTAAGTAAAGAGAAAGATTGAGGGAATTCTACTTCAGATGTCTCGTGCTTTCCTGTGCAGTAACAGGGAAAGCACTGTATTAGTAACTGGATGATTTAGAAGCCTTGGAGTGAAAGCAAATCATTCTGAAAAGGCTGCTTCCTGATTCGGAGACTCCATTTTTCCTCTTATGAAAGGAAAGTGTATTCTAGAACTTTTAGCACAACCAACACCCCCAGCTTTCAAACCTTGGACACTGGGCAAAGCACTTTATAGGTTATCTTATTTAACCCTCATGAAACTTTTATGAGACAGGTAGTGTTATGACCCCATTTTACAGACAAGGAAGCTGAGGCTTGGAGAGGTTTTGTAATTTTTTTAAGGCAACATACTAATAAATGGCTCATAACTCATGTCTGTCTGAGCTCGGACATCCAGTAATTCTGGCCCAGTGGGGTATGGCTAGTACACCAGAGCCTGCCAGCTAGTGTTGCTGCTACAAGAGCTAGTGTTTGAAATACTTACAGGCCTTGCATATAGGATTTATTGCTTTTTGCTCTTGTGAGAAACTTCACCTGTGTGAGTCTATGGGCTTGCTGGTTAAGAGAAACACGGTAAAAAATCTTGCCATTACCAGCACTTAGACTTAAATGACCTTTTTTTTTTTTGTGATTCTTCCTCATCCGATACAAGTTAATTCACCCATGACTTATCTATTCCCATATTAACATATTTTTGCATATTTGTTATTTAACCGACACCTCTAATGACCAGTCCTTAACCACATTGTTGTTGTAGAGTATGAATCCCTAAATATCATTGACATCTCTGCATAAACTACTAGATAAAGTCCCCAGCATCATATCCATGCAGGGTCTTGCTTTATCATCTTTTGGATGGTTAAAGAAATGTCAGAATTTATTGTAAAATCATCACGTCCAGGGATATCCTTCTTCTAAGTATTTTAAAAGCAAGAATGAAAAATACAATGTTGGACCAATTCAGCTCAATATTTCTTGCTGCAGAGTATCAATGTGGAGCATATCTTCCTTGAACACATTTACATTTACAGTTCCAAGAAGTCATTGGGTTAAGGAAGTCCAAATAAAGGGTGTGACAGGAATAATCAATCCTCTGAGTTTTTTCAAAACTTTAATCATGGTTGGGATTTTGGTTTTCTCAAAGGCAGCCCTTGACAAAAAACCATCAAAAATGACAGATTAGGGATCCCTCTGTTGTAATTTTCCATCGTTGCTGCCAATAATGGGCAAGTCTGTCTACTGACCCTCAGGAAGCCTATCAACCTATGTGAGTGTAGATTCCTGAAAATATGTTGTTTTATCAAAACACATCCGAGAGCTTTTCACCTGCTCCATCCAGACCACCTAAATAGACATTGCACATTCCACCATATTCTCTTTCTTCTGGCAAATCCTTCACCTTTATGTGCACCTGAGCCTTACTCATTCTTTACAGTAGTGTTCAAGCTCCATGTCCTTCTCTGCTATTCCTGGCCAAGATCTTTTGATCTCTAGACAACTGCTGTCCAACAGAAATAAAATGTGAACTGCACATGTCATTGTGAAAATTCTAGTAACCACATTATAAAAGTAACAAGAAACAGGTAAAAATAATTTTAAAGACATATTTAACATAATCGAATATAGCCACATTATTATTGTTTCAACATGTAATCAATAGAAGAATTAGTAATGAGATATGAGATATTTACTTTTTTCAGCATCAGCTTTCTGAAAACCAGAGTGTGTGTTAATACAACACATTTCAATTCAGACTAGACACATTTCAAGGGCTGAGTAGCCATGTGTATTGGATAGCGCAACACTGGACCGCATGTTCTGAGGAGGACAGGGTAGTTCCTGGCACACAAGTGGACTCAAATACTTGTTGCTTTCAGCTCTTACTCCTACTTACATTTATCTCTGTTCTGTCAGTTTGAAATGATCACCATGCCCGGTGTTAGTTACCCTCCAAGGCACGCACACATCTCCTCAACTAATTTACAAGCCCTTGGACAGAGACGAAGGAGTGTGCTTTAATTTTCCGCAGAGTACACTGAGATGCTTGTAGTCCCTAAACCTGGAGTTCCATTGCAGGCCTCCTCATCTTGGTGCATGTTGTTACCTGTGCCTGGAATGTTCTTTCCCCTTCTCTTTTGAAAAGTAACACCTGTTTTCAAAAAGCACCCTGTCCCCTACCACCTCTCAATTTGATTTAATGCCCATTTTCTGAATATCTTTTATCAAAATTTATGTTATATACTCACAATTGCTCCTTGGTTTCATTCACTGCCCCATGAGCTGTTTTGTGTGTGCACGTGTGTGTATGTGTTATGTGTATATTCCATGTCTAACTGGTTTTAGATCACTAATACCAAATACTGTCCCTATAAAATGAATGCAGGAATGCTACATAGCATATGCTAAACAAAACGTCAGTTGATCTTTATAACTGTGAAAGAAAATAGGTTTCTGAGCTAAGATACGCTCTGCATTTATCACCTGCAAAATAGGTAAATGGCTAACTGCCCAACATACTGGCTCATTTCCTGGAATAGGAAAGGGAAAGACAGAACTTTAATTCTCCTGACACCCTGCAAGTGAGGGGCTGCTACCCACATTTTACAGATTAGGAAAAAGAGGCTCAGAGAGGTCAGGAGACTTGCTCAAGGCTGCACAGCTAGTGAGTGCCATGAGAGGAATAAGAGTCCATGTCTGTGTGTCCCTGAAGCTGATCTTTGTGCTGAGGTCCCAGTTCCCACAAAGTTCTAGAGCAGAAGCCTTCCGATCGCTTCAAATAAACCCTAGCTCAGGGGTAGTCTCTATACAGATCATGGGAGAGAGCACAATGCATAGCCACAGGTCTTTTCTGTTGCAGTCCCCCCACCAGCAGAGCCTGCCCCCTTCCGCAATCTGTCAACTGTGAACGGTAGTGACAGAAGATGCCTCCTGACTTGTCAACAGAATAGGCTCCTGGGGACCTGGGAATGGATCAGAACAGCAGTAAAGGCCCTGGGTCCACGTCCTGCAGGGGGTCAGGCTGTCAGAGAGCAGGGGTCAACTCCAGCTTTTGAGTGTGAGAAACTGCTTTACTGTGCCCTCCTGTTTCTGCAATGATGCTTTCTCCCTCATTAAGTGCGTCTGCCACTCTCTGTAATGGAGTCTGCCCAAACATTGCCTAATAGCACTGATTAAACTAAGCATGCATATGCCTGGCACCATGGTTGCTGCTATCACAGGAATCCCAGGGCTGCTGAGACCAACTGCAAGACACTGAAGCTGCTAGTAACAAGCCTGATGGCAGCAGGGCACCAGGGTGCAGATCTGAATTTGCAAAGAGGAATTGATTTCCCTTCCAATATCCTGTCTCTCCTTCTAATAAGCAGGTGGATGGACGAAAGCAAAAGAGATGGCAAAGCTGCTCTTAGCTGCACCTGCCATCCTGAGCACTGTGGTGCCTCGCCTTGAAATGGTCATGACCGTGTAGGGAACATGGATGGGTTTCCTCAATCAGTTTCTCTGCCAGCTTAGTCTGAAGTCACATCACGCATAGATTAACACCCTTGGATAAACCTAAAATCTGAGTTTGGATTTTGGTTTGTTTTGTGATAGTCTGTATATCCTGCTATAAAGACACTCAGCATGTAGGAGTCAGAATCAAAACATAAATTAGGAAGATTATTTTTCTTTGTTTCACAACGGCTTTGATGCAGGGTTTCTTTAAATGGTAAGTTTCATTGGTGCATTTAGAATAGAAGTTAGCTTACAAATAAATTTTTAAAGAAAAAAGTCTGGCTGTAAAGCAGCTGCCATTTACAGCATGGTATCTGTGAGGCAGGCGCTGTGAGGAACACATGACACACATGAAGTCTGATGTTCACAGTAACCCTGAAAATTGGATATTAGCATTCCTGTTGTATAAATGAGAAATCCAAGGTTTGAAAGTGCAAAGTTATCAGGCAAATCTGGTGAAGCAGGTTGAATTGTGTCTCCCCAAAAGATATGTTGAAGTCCTAATCCACAGTACCTGTGAATATGACCTTATTTGGCACAGAGTCTTTGAAGATGTAATGAAGTTGAGATGAGGTCATACTGGATCTGGGTGGGCCTAAATCCAATGACTGGTGTCCTTATAAGGAGAGTGAGAAGAGAGATTTGACACAGAGGACAGACACACAGAGATGAAGGCCATATGATGATAGAGGCAGAGACTGGGGGTGATACAGCTGCAAGCCAAGGAATGCCACGGATTGCCAGCAACTCCCAGAAGCTAGGAAGAGGCAAGGAAGGGTCCCTAGAGCCTTCAGAGTGAGCATGGCTCTGCCAATACCTTGATGTCAGACTTCTAGCCTACAGGACTATGACAGAATAAATTTCTGTGGTTCTAAACTGCCCGTTTGTGGTAGTTTGTTTCGGCAGCCCTAGAAAACAAATACGCCTTGTAACACCAGGTTTGCTGATTCTAAGGATACCTCCTCTTCCTCATAGAATTTCAAGGCTGCCTGCTGTGTGGCTGTTGATACTGCAGGCCCTCACTCTTACCAGTAAGATCCGCCTGCTCTTGAGGAAAGCCGGTGAGAAGCAGTAGACAGGGGAATGACACCATCTATCTGAGGTGAGTTTTGCAAGGCATGGCCCTGGATAAAGGGGAATGCATGGGAGATTGTTTAGAAGTGTTGTTATTGTCCAAGGAAAAAGTAGGCGGTTTACGCTCACTGGTGGCAGTGGAGATGAGAAGAAACTGATGACTTTGAGAGGTGCTGAGAAGGCAGAACTGAAGACTGCTAGCACTTCAGATGTGGGGGCGAGGGTGAGGGGCTGGCAGCTGGGATGCTCAGGTTTCTGGCCTGGGTAACTGGGTGGGTGTTTATGCCATCGTGAGAAAGGAAGTTTATCATGATTGATCTAAACCTAATAGACTTCAATTGAAATGCATTGGTGGTAGAATTCTCTATGGAAACAGGCTTTAGAATCAGGCAAAAGTAGATATGTATTGCCTGTAATGCAACACACTAGCTAAGAGACGTCGGGTGAATCATTTAACCCCACAGGTTTCAGTTTCCTTATTTGTTGTTGTTGTTTGAGACAGGGTTTCGCTCTGTCACCCAGGCTGGAGTACAGTGGCATGATCATGGCTCACTGCAGCCTGACCTCCTGAGCTCAAGTGATCTGCCCACCTCAGCCCTCAAGTAGCTGGTACGCGCCACCATGCCTGGTTAATTTGTGTGTGTGTGTATGTGTATGTACATAGTGCATTCACATATATATATATGTAGACACAGGGTTTTTCCATGTTGCCCAGACTCCATGTGGTCCTGAACTCCTTGGCTGAAGCACCTCACCCACCTCGGCCTTCCAAAGTGCTGGGATTACAGGGGTATGCCACTGCACCCGGCCCGTGTTCTCATTCATTAAAAGTGAAGGTAATGATATGAGTTAGTATATGTAAAGAGCATATGGTATGCAAATAATCAGAGGTTAGCTTTTATAAAATATTTTATAAGTAATATGATGCTCTCCTTTGGAGCATTTCAATGATACATCTTACTCATTTTTATTATTGGCCAGGCACAGTGGCTCACATCTGTAATCCCAGCACTTTGAGAGGCCAAGGCAAGAGGATCGCTTGAGCCCAGGAGTTGAGATCAGCGTGGGCAACATGGGGAGACCTCATCTCCACAAAAAAATACAAAAATTAGCCAGGCATGGTGGCATGCACTTGTAGTCCCAGCTACTCAAGAGGCTGAGGTGGAAGGATCACCTGAGCCTGGGAGGTTGAGGCTGCAGTGAGTTGTGATTGCACCACTGCACTCCAGCCTGGGAAACAAAGTGAGACACTGTTTTAAAAAAATCATTATTTTAAAATAAAGTAGAGAGGATCTTGTTTTTATTTCCTCAATTGAATGTGGGAGAAGTGTAGGGAAACTGTGGAATATAGACACTAAGGATCGGTGCAAGCTCCCTTTAATATCTCAAGAAAATAAAAATAATTTTCTAGTTCTGTCTGTTTGTGCAACTATAAGGTATTTTTAGTGCAGAGTTTAGAAAGCCCAGCAGTGTAGAGAGTATATATTTCTTTATTTCCAATAACTCATGGGAACAGCATGTACTGGTAACAAAATAGCACTTTCTCTTGACTAGCAGCTTTTTTTTCCCCTGTCTAAAGGGCTACTAAAACCATTATGTTTTTTTCAATGCAGGACATCTTGTCCTTTCCCTGAGGTTATAGTACTTGGTGCCTTTCATGATTTCAGATGGTAAACTGCTTCCTAAGTGGGACTCTGTTCTTTGTCTAAGACATTTTATCTTTTCTAAAGCACAGTGTTCCCACCATGACAAGTGCTATTTATGTGTACATTATCAGAGCTACACAAACAATAATTCTTACTTTTCTTGAAATATTTAAAACAAAACACTCAGTACAAATTAATAAAGATCAGGTACTTTTAATATTTGTATAACTGGGATCTGTTCTTTCAGCTAAGATACTCATAAATCTAGATGCCATTATTAAAAAGAAGTAACTCGATTTTCTGGACATTTAAAAACACAACCTCAATGATTTATCACATAAAAAGAGAAAATAAAACCTTGAGTTAAGGATCATAACGAAAGAAAGAAGTTGCTAAAATCATGACAGAGAGCTTGCCAAAGCCATGCCTTCTGCAACCTGGTTATTTCCCCTTGTATTTTCTTCAGGTGTCTCAAAATAAAAAGTATTCGAAACTGAATGCACTGTGATTTATCCTTTCTACCTTCCCACCCAGGTCCATCCTTTCTCCCACATTTCCTATCTTGGTTAATGATTCCATTGCCCAACCAGAGGCCTGATATTGTCCCGAACACTTTCATTCTTATTGCCCAGGTCTGACTGGTCATTGCATCCTGGTAGTTCTACCTCCCAATTACTGCTTCAGCTCCTTCCTTCTTTCCACCCCTATGTTTGCTCCCTGGACCAAGTGTTCTTGAACTTCCATCATAGCCCCTTAGAGGTCTTCTAGCCTCTAGTCTTGGAGCTCTCCCATTCATTCTCTACTTCAGTCCATGGGAGCTTTCTAAATTGCCCCATTCTTCCCCAGTGAAGCACTGGCCCCAAGACCTATAGACTGGAGGGTCAGCTCCCTGGAATGGCATGAGAAGCCCATCAGAATGATCTCTTCCTCCTGTGAAGCCTTATATTTAAGTACTCCTTGCCCCAGCCTGCACTTGGTATTCCAGCTGTTCCATGCTGTCTGCAGCCTATCAACAATACCGTGCTGCTCCTCTCTGCCTGGAAATGTTTTTCTCTGTCTTGTCACCCTATAAAATTATTCTTAAACCCGCTGCTAGTTCTGATAGTTCTTCCTCTAGCAAGACTTCTGGGACTTTTCCTTCTCATCCACTGCCATCTCAGCAGCCCTTTTGTATCTTGACCTTCTTTCTATTCCTGTACATTTCTTACTGTATTTTTAATGTTTTAATTCCCACATCTATCTCCTTGGCCACA
The DNA here is from genome assembly GCF_000001405.40 of Homo sapiens. Lineage (NCBI taxonomy): Eukaryota > Metazoa > Chordata > Mammalia > Primates > Hominidae > Homo > Homo sapiens. Next base: position 19,668,048 of record NC_000009.12, read on the forward strand.
TTGGAAGCTCCTTGGATGTGGAGGCTCTTTCTAAGTCATTGTTGCCTCCTCAGGCCCTAGTGTGGACACACCAGATACCCAACAACTTTTGAAGTAAATTATGATCTCAGTTGTTCATTGCCAACAGTCTGTTACTCCTTATCTTCCACTACTCTACATCCCCCAATATATTTTATTTTGCGATCCCACCAGGCTCTTCTTATCTTTGTCTTATAGATGAGAACACTGAGGCTCAGAGCATGGAAGTCATTCCCAATATCACACTGCTAGTAAGCAACAGAGTCAGGATTCAACCCCAGAGCTGGGTGAAATTGCACAGCCCAGATGCTCCAGTGCTCCTCCCTGCTGCCTTCACAGAATATAAGCAGTAGATTGGGACCAATTTCCTCAAATCGCAAAACATTTCCGTACCTGCATGCCTATGCTCAATCTTTGTTCTCCTCTACCTGTAGAATTCCTACTTCCCCTTTAAGTTCTAGTTCAAATGCTGTTGACTGTTTGAAATACACATTTTTCTTTTTTGAGACAGGGTCTCCCTCTGCAGTGGCGCCATCCATCATTGCTCACTGCAGCCCTCAAATTCCCAGGCTCAAAGTATCCGCCTGCCTCCGACATTTTCTGTTTCTGTCAGCTTGAAATAATAGTTTCCTCTCCTGTGCATCCTACGATATCTTCACACACAGATACACAACCCTGAACCTTCTCTTTCATGGCCTCCACCATATTCTAGCTCATATGATAGTTATTCCTGCAAGAATTTCTTCTTTGTTAAACTGAAGTGCCTTTGGTGCAGAGATCAGGTCTTTTTCATTTTTCTGTGACCATAGCCCCTAATATAGTGTTATGTATATAAAAGTACATAGTACTATTCAGTACATAGTACTGAATGAATAAGTGAATGAGTGCTATATTTCATCAGCCTGTCTCTGTTGGAGAACAGAAGGTTTTATAAATATTCTTGCTCCCTCGGCACTTGGCCTGGTAATTTGAAGATAAGATCTGATCAGGTATTTGGCTAAATTGTATTTATATCTTATACGGTATAGTTATTCTTCATAGCTTGAAAGAAGAAGAGAATAAGAGGGAAAAGCATATGTAATTTGGGTCTTCAGGTCTGAGTCCTTGAACTCCAAAACCAGGAGAAGAAAAAGAGAAAGAGAGGCTCACCCTTGCTCTGGAGACTGTTCTCAACCAGGAGTGGAACACAGCTCCCTTGTGGTGCAGGAGGAAATGTGTGAGTGGGTTGGGTGGGGAGTGGTGGTGGGTTATGGGGAGAAGTGCTGGCATTCACATAAGTGGTCAGAACCCAGCAATACTAACGGCCCTAAAATGCACTGGGTAGTCTCACAAAACACAGAACCGTGCTGTCCAAAATGTCAACAATGCAGATATTAGCTTTTTAAAATTGCTACCACAATAAATAACCACAAACTTAGAGACTTAAACTACACAAACTTATTACTTTAAACTCCTGTAGGTCAGAATCTTACATGGATCTCACTGAGCTAAAAGCAAAGTCTCTGCAGGGCTGATACTTGCCTTCAGGCTCTGGGGGAAAATCCATTTCCTTGCCTTTCCCAGCTTCTAGGGGTTACCCACATTTCTTGGCCTGTGGCCTCTGTCCTCTATCTTCAAAACCAGCAACAGCAAGTTGAGACCTTTTTCCACAGAATCACTCCACTCTCCTCTTCTGCCTTAAGGACCCTTGTGATGATTAGACCCATCTGGATAATACAGGGTGCTCTGCCCATCTCAAGGTCAGCTGATTAGCAACCTTAATTTTATCTGCAATCTTAATTCCCTTTGCTATGTAACATAAAATATTCACAGGTTCCAATGATGAGGATGTGGACATCTTTCGGGGCCATCATTCTGTCTACCACAGTGCCCCCACATTGGAGAACATCCCACAATTATTGGTCCTTGGTGATTATCTTCTGTGTTAGATGGGTCTGCCTCAAGACAGGCATTCAGAGAATAGCCTGCATTTAGAGAGCTCTGAAATATATACCCCAGTAAAATCCTCAGCACTCTGTGAAATATCATTCCGTCTCACAAGTCCACAGCCTCCACACCCCTTCCCATCTCTTGTGGCACCAATGGAAGCCATCAGGAACATCAGATCTCAGTCTTGAGACCCCTTTTCAATTGTAGCTGTAGGTGGTAAGTACAAGTAAGAATGAAGGTCATGGGGAGACATGTTATCTCATCTAGCCTGGGTTATTCCTTATTAAGTTTTTTGACATCCTAGTTCCCAGTGCTGATATTGACAAAAGCTTCCAAATATAACTATAGAACAAAATATTTAAAGCTATTTATTATTAATGTAATCTTACAAAAATCAACTCTACAAAAACCACATAGTCTATCAACCTGGGAAGTGAAAAGAACTCATAATTTCCTATGCATGATTTTGCTCCTCAAATAATAATAACTATGATGGCTACCATTACAAAGTGCCAGGGACTTTATGCCCTATTTTATTTATTCCTTATGACAATCCTATTTCATTGCTATTATTATTCCCATTTTACAGATGGGGGAATTTAGATACAGAGAGATTACATTATTTGTCCAAGAGCATATAGCAAATAAATGTAGTCAGAATTTGATCCTAGCTCTACCAGCCTCTAGAACATTCCCAGGCCCATAAATATAGGTTAGGATGAAGAGGCAGACATGGCCCAAACTCTTGTATGTCTCAGGGTAAGGATAATTGTTCCATGTGTCCCATAAGTTGCTGTCACTGCCTAGGTTACCAGGTGGTAGAGGAAGGCCTGCTTTATCTGTGCTCGATGAACCTTATGGCTTTCTAAGGAACATTTCTGATATCCCTGATAACAACTGTTAATCCAGCCACCAGTGCCAAGACCTCAAACTAATTAGCCTAAAAAGTCAGATTAGAATGGGGTTAATTCTGTGATCATTTACTATTTACAAGGAGGTTTGATAATAAAGAGAAACTTAGATCTTTGTTTCAAAGAGCTTTCCTAAACAGCAGCATTTACTGTTTGGAAAACCAAACATCACATGTGAAGAATGATGGTGGTATTTGGATGGAAATCGCGTTGAATTTGTAGATTGCTTTTGGCAGCATGGTCATTTTCACAATATTGATTCTACTCATCCATGAGCATGGGACATGTTTATTTGTTTGTGTCATCTATGATTTCTTTCAGCAGTGTTTCATAGTTTTCCTTGTAGAAGTCTTTTACCTCCTTGGTTAGGTATATTCCTCAGTATTTTATTATTATTATTTTTTGCAGCTATTGCAAAAGGGGTTGAGTTCTTGATTTGATTCTCAGCTTGGTCACTGTTGGTGTATAGCAGAACTACTCATTTGTGTTCTTTAATTTTGTGTCCTGAGACTCTGCTGAATTCATTTATCAGGTCTAGGAGCTTGTTGGAGGAGTCTTGAGGGTTCTCTAGGTATATGATCATATCATTGGCAAACAGCAACAGTTTGACTTCCTCTTTACCAATTTGGATGCCCTTTATTTCTTTCTCTTATCTGATTGCTCTGGCTAGGTCTCCCAGCACCATGTTGAATAGAAGTAGTTAGAGTGGGCATCCTTGTCTTGTTCTGATTCTTAGCAGGAATGCTTTCAACTTTTCCTCTTTCAGTATTAGGTTGGCTGTGGGTTTGTCATAGATGGCTTTTATTATCTTAAGATACGTCCCTTCTATGCCGATTTTGCTGAGGCTTTTAATCATAAATAGATGCTGGATTTTGTCAAATGCTTTTCCTGCATCTATTGAGACGAACATATGATTTTTGTTTTTAACTCTGTTATGTGGTGTGTCACATTTATTGACTTGCAGATGTTAAACCATCCCTGCATCCCTGGTATGAAACCCAATTGATTATGGTGGATTTTTTTTTGATATGCTTTTGGGTTTGGTTAGCTAGTATTTTGTTAAGGATTTTTGCATCTATATTCATCAGGGATATTGGTCTGTAATTTTCTTTTTTTTGTTACGTCCTTTCCTGGCTTTGGTATTAGGGTGATACCGGCTTCACAGAATGATTTAGGAAGAATTCCCTCTTTCTCTATCTTGTGGAATAGTGTCAATAGGATTGGTACCAGTTCTTTGAATGTCTGATAGAATTCAGCTGTGAATCCTGGACTTTTTTTATTGGCAATTTCAAAATTACCATTTCATTCTCACTGTTTGTTATTGGTCTGGTTCAGAGTTTATATTTCTTCCTGGTTTAATCTAGGAGGGTTGTATATTTCCAGGAATTTATCCATCTCCTCTAGGTTTTCTAGTTTATGCATGTAGAGGTATTCCTAGTAGCCTTGAATAATCTTTTGTCTTTCTGTGGTATCCGTTGTAATAGCTCCTGTTTTGTTTCTAATTGAGCTTATTTGGGTCTTCTCTCTTCTTTGTTAATCTTGCTAATGGTCTATCAATTTTATTTATCTTTTCAAATAATCAGGTTTTAGTTTCATTTATCTTTTGTATTTTCTTTGTTTCAATTTTATTTAGTTCTGCTCTGATTTCTGTTATTTCTTTTCTTGTGCGGGGTCTGGGTTTGGCTTGCTCTTGTTTCTCTAGTTCCTTTAGGTGTGAACTTACATTGTCTATTTGTGCTTTCAGACTTTTTGATGTAGGCATTTAAGGCTGTGAATTTTCCTTTTAGCACTGTCTTTGCTGTATCCCAGAGGTTTTGATAGGTTGTGTCACTATTATCATTCAGTTCAAAGAATTTTTTAATATCCATCTTGATTTCATTGTTGACCCAATGATCATTCAGGAGCAAGTTATTTAATTTCCATGTATTTGCATGGTTTTGAGGGCTTCTTTTGGAGTTGATTTCCAATTTTATTCCACTGTTGTCTGAGACAGTACTTGATAAAACTTCAGTTTTCTTAAATTTATTGAGACTTGTTTTATGGCCTATCATATGGTCTATCTTGGAGAATGTTCCATGTGCTGGTCAACAGAATGTATATTCTGCAGTTGTTGGGTAGAATGTTCCGTAAATATCTGTTAAGTGCATTTGTTCCAGGGTATAGTTTAAATCCATTGTTTCTTTGTTGACCTTTTGCCTTGAAGACCTGTCTAGTTCTGTCAGAGGAGTATTGAAGTCCTCCAATATTAATTGTGTTGCCATGTATCTCATTTCTTAGGTCTAGTAGTAACAGTTTTATAAATTTGGGAACTTCAGTGTTAGGTGCATATATATTTAGAATTGTGATATTTTCCTGTTGGACAAGTCCTTTTATCATTATATAATGTCCCTCTTTGTTCTTTTTCACTGCTATTGCTTTAAAGTTTGTTTTGTCTTATGTAAGAATAGCTACTCCTGTTTGCTTTTGGTGTCCATTTGCATGGAATATCTTCCACCACTTTAAGTTTATGGTGAGTTCTTGTGTGTGTATGTGTGTGTGCGTGTGTGTGTGTGTGTGTGTTTGAGACACAGTCTTGCTCTGTCCTTCAGGCTGGAGTGCAGTGGCACGATATCAGTTCACTGCAACCTCTGCCTCCCAGGTTCAAGTGATTCTCCTGCCTCACCCTCCAGAATAGCTGGGATTACAGGTGTGCACCACCATGCCCAGCTAATTTTTTGTGTTTTTAGTACAGATGCAGTTTCGCTATGTTGGTCAGTCTGGTCTCGAACTTCTGACCTCAAGTGATCCACCTGCTTTGGCCTCCCAAAATGCTGGGATTACAGGTATGAGCCACTGCGCCCAGACGTGAGTTCTTATGTGTTAGGTGAGTTTCCTGAAAACAGCAGATACTTGGTTGGGGAATTCTTATCCATTCTGCCATTCTGTATCTTTTAAGTGGAGTATTTAGGCCATTTACACTCAATGCTAGTATTGAGATGTGAGGTACTATTCTATTCATGTTATTTGATGCCTGAATATCTTGTTGTTTATTTGTTTATTTATTGTATTTTTGTTTTAGAGGTTCTGTGAGATTTATGCTTTAAGGAGGTTCTATTTTGGTGTATTTCAAGGATTTGTTTCAAGATTTAGAGCTTCTTTTAGCAGTTCTTATAGTGCTGGCTTGGTAGTGGTGAGCTCTCTCAGCATTTGTCTGAAAAAAGACTGCATCTTTCCTTCACTTATGAAGCTTAGTTTCTCTAGATACAAAATTCTTGGCTGATAATTGTTCTAAGAAGGCTGAAGATAGGGCCCTGATCTATTCTAGATTGTAGGGTTTCTGCTGAGAAATCTGTTGTTAATCTGATAGGTTTTCTTTTATAGGTTACCTGGTGCTTTCACCTCACAGCTCTTAAGATTCTTTCTTAAGTTTTGACTTTAGATAACTTGATGACAATGTGCCTAGGTGATCTTTTTGTGATAAAATTTCCCAGGTGTTCTTTGAGCTTCTTGTATTTAGATGTCTAAATCTCTAGCAAGGCCGGGGAAGTTTTCCTTGATTATCCCCTCAAATATGTTTTCCAAACTTTTAGATTTCTCTTCTCCTTCAGGAACACCAATTATTCCTAGGTTTGGTTAACATAATCCCAAACTTCTTGGAGGCTTTGTTCATTTTTTTAAAAAATTCTTTTTTCTTTGTCTTTGTTGAATTGGCTTAATTTGAAAACCTTGTCTTTGAGTTCTGAAGTTCTTAGTTTGTTCGACTCTACTGCTGAGACTTTCCAGTGCATTTTGCATTTCTCTAAGTGTGTCCTTCCTTTCCAGAAGTTATGATTTTTAATGCTATCTATTTCACTGAAGATTTTTCCCTTCCTATCTTGTATCTTTTTCAAAATTTCATTGAGTTGGACTTCATCTTTCTCTGCTGCCTCTTTGATTAACTTAATGATTGACCTTCTGAATTCTTTTTCTGGCAATTTAGGGATTTCTTCTTGGTTTGCATCCACTGCTGGTGAGCTAGTGTGATCTTTTGGGAGTGTTAAAGAACCTTGTTTTGTCATATTACCAGGATTGTTTTTCTGGTTCCTTCTATTTGAGTACACTATGTCAGAGGGAAGATCTGGGGCTCAAGGGCTGCTCTTCAGATTCTTTTGTCCCACAGGGTGCTCCCTTGAGGTAGTGCTCTCTCCCTTCCCCTAGGGATGGGACTTCCTGAGAGCTGAACTGCAGTGATTATTATTTCTCTTCTGGATCTAGCCACCCAGTGGAGCTACTGGGCTCTGGGCTGGTACTGGGGGTGTCTGCAAAGAGTCCTGTGATGTGAACTGTCTTCAGGTCTCAGCTTTAGATACCAGCACCTGCTCCAGTGGAGGTGGCAGGGGAGTGAAATGGACTCTGTGAGGGTCCTTAGTTGTAGTTTTGTTTATTGCACTAGTTTTGTATTGGTTGGCCTCCTGCCAGGAGGTGGCAATTTCAAGACAGTGTCAGCTGCCATAGTATAGGGAGGATCAGGTGGTGGGCAGGGCCCTAGAGCTGCCAAGAGATTGTGTCCTTTGTCTTCAGCTACCAGGGCAGGCAGAGAAAGACCATCAGGTGTAAGCATGGTTAGGTGTGTCTGAGCTCAGACTCTTTTCGGGTGCGGCTTGCTGTGCTGTTGCAGAGGATGAGGGTATGGATCTCAGGCTAATGGAGTTATTTTCCCAGAAGGATTATGGCTGCCTCTGCTGTGTCATGAAGGTCGCCAGGGAAGTGGGGGAAAGCCGGCAGTTACAGGCCTCACCCAGCTCCTACACAATCCCCAAAATCAGTCTCGCTCCTACCGTGCCCCCACAAAAGCACCAAGTTTATTTTCAGCCAGCCGGTGAGCAGGGCTGGAAACCTACCCCAGGCTGAGAAAGCAAACAGGGTTTTCAGGTTTTGTGCCTCCCCGCCTGCTGTGGCTTCGTGCTGTGTCTGCACTCCCTATTCACCCCCTCCCCTGACTTCTGTCCAGGAAACTTCATGTTTGGTCAAAATTGTTACAAAGTTCAGCTGGAAGTTTCCTTCTTCCTGTGGTCTTTTCCAGTTCCTCTGGCAGCACTCCCCAAGAGTACTTTACTTTGTCTTACTCTCTGAGACAAACTAAGAAATGGCTTCCCTGGGGACCAAGAGCCCATAGGGCTCTTCCCACTGCTACTTCTACCCCTGTATTTTGCTCAGCTCTCTAAAATTTTCTCAGCTCCAAGTAAGGTCAAATACTTCTCTTGTGATCTGGACCTTCAGGTTCCCCAGTGATGGTGTGTGTTCAGGGGTGGATGATCCCCCTTTCACACTTTCACACTTCAGGCACTCACAGTTTTTTGGCTGTCTACCGGGGCCTGCAGGAGCAATCTGCTTCCTTCAAAGGGTCTGTAGATTCTCTTGGCTTTCCTGGTATGTTCCTGCAGTAGTTCTTGGAGCACAAGTTCACAATGTGAGTCTCCACAAGCTGCTCTGTCCATCTGAGTGGGAGGTGCAATTTAGTCCTGCCTATTATCTGCCATTTTCCTCCCCATGCCGTTGCCAGAATCTTAACAGATAGACCTGGAAATCTGAAGAGCTGGGCTCTGTCCTGGCACTGCGGCAGCTGACTGTGTGCCTTTGTTTCCTTGTTTATCTATATCTTCTATTTTTTTTCCCACAATGGAGGCACTTTTTTTCCACATGTGTATCTTATATGGTAGGAGAAGTTCTTAAAAAGAGTTTTTCATTAAAAATTAGGTAAGTAAGATAAAGACTAGGGGAAGCAAATAAATAAATAAACCCTTGATTAGTGGAGATGTTTACTATCTGGCAATCCCATTCCAGTTAAAATGTCACATAAAAAACGGATACAATTTTGTCCACTATTGAGTTGCATATTAGGAAGGATAGATTTGGCTTTGGAAAGAAACTATTTTATTATTTAATAGTTAATTTCTTAACCTAAGAGAATTCTTTATTAACATTTTTAACAATAAAAAAGTTTTTCTTCAAAGAGATACCATCTCACACCAGTCAGAATGGCTATTAATAAAAAGTTAAAAAATAACAGACACTAGTGAGGTTATGGGGAAAAATGAACACTTAAGCACTGTTGGTGGGAGTGTAAATTAGTTCACCCACTGTAGAAAATACTGTGGTGATTCCTCAAAGACCTAAAGACAGAAACATCATTCAATCTAGCAATCCCATTACTGGGTATATACCCAAAGCAATATAAATCTTCTATTCTAAAGACACATGCACATGTATGTTCACTGCAGCACTATTCACAATAGCAAAGACATGGAATCAACCTAAATACCCACCTATGGTAGACTGGATAAAGAAAATGTAGTACGTATACACAATGGAATACTCTGCAGTCGTAAAAAAGAATGAGATCTTGTCCTTTGCAGGGACATGGATGGAGCTAGAGGCCATTAGCCTCAGCAAACTAACACAGGGACAGAAAACCAAATACCACATGTTCTCACTTACAAGTAGGAAACTAAATGATGAGAACACATGGACACAGGGAGGGGAACAACACACAGTGGGGTCTATCAGACGGTGGAGGGCAGAAGGAGGTAGAGTATTAGGAAAAATAACTAATAGGTACCAGGTTTAATACCTGGGTGATGAAATAATCTGCACAACAAACCCCCATGACACAAGGTTTCCTGTATAACAAACGTGCATGTGTACCCCTGACCTTAAAGTTAAAAAGTTTTTCATTAGAAAATTCAAATTAAACTGAATAAAACCTTCAATTCTCATGAATTTTGGCAATTTAAAATCAAATAAACATTCTGCATCATATTTTAAAAACTATACAAATACATTTACATATCTAAATATTGTATACAATATACAAAGTGGTATACATTACACATAACACACATTCTATATTATGTGATATCTATTATATATTATAGATTTGTATATAGTATAAATATTCTATATAAACATATACATTTATTATATACTATATTAATATAAGCAAATACATATACAAACATATATAAGCAAACATAAGCATATAAAATATAAACACACACACACAAGCACACAAAACAATGACCAATGACAGAGCCAGGTTCCAGGCATCAGACGCCATGGAAGGAACAGAGGGCTTCAACCAGACAATCCTGGTCTTAAATCTTATCTCTGTCGCAGTAGCTTCGCAGATCTAGCTTAAGCAGATGACTCAACCCCTTTGAGTCTCTTTCCTCATCCCATCACTCAGGCTAATAACTGACTCCCAGGACTGTTATGAAGATTAAATGAGAAGATGTGGGTGGCAAGCCTAGCGCAGAGCAGGTGCTTAATAACGGAAGCCCTCCATGGCTGCTTTCCTTTGTTATTCTGACTCTAAATTCTGTGTTCTTTCCACTACACCACCCAACAATCTAGTTTGTGTAGCACACAGAACCTTCTCCTACATCTATATCTGGTAAGAAGCTTTGCACCTCATTCTGCAGCTGCCTAACCTGCAGGAAGTTGCATCTCACTGGCATGCATCTGTAGACTTCAAGACTTTAAAACCTCCTTACCAACCTGGGCAAACCCATGAAATGATTAAAACAACCAAATAAAGCACTAGCCTTTTGATTTCTCTTTAACTTAGTGGTCTAGTGTAACCCTTTATTTTTCTATTTAAAAAACATTGCAGGTTCTATTTCTTGTCTTCGTTTCTTGAATTTTACTGTTCATCCAAAGAAAATCAGAAGCATTTACCATAGCATGTTGAGAAGACATCTGAAGATCTCCCTATAATTAATAAATACAGAGCCTTTGCCTTTTCAACTAACAGAAATTAGGTGAATCTGCTAAATAGTTCATACATGCTGGCATTTTTAGTTATGTTAAGATTTCACTCAAAGCTCCTCTACAAAATGTCTGGAATGAAGAGACTGCCTATCTGAGAGACAATAATGGGTTTCTTCTAAATACCTTCTCATTGTTCACAGAATTGATAACATGCTAGGTGGGATAAAAAAATCAATTGTGTAAAATGTGGAGTTGTGAATAGGAGGTTAATGAAAAATAATATATTTCAGTCAGTCTGTGCTGTCACAAAAGACACGCAAGTGAAGAAAGTAAAACTTATACAACTGACTGAATGCTGAGCTGATGGAGTTGCAAATGATGACCAGATGTTCAGGTTCTAATCCTGCCCTGATACCCTCAAGATGAGAACATCGACTTTTCCATTGAGAAAAGGGACCTGGCAGGGGATTGAGGCAGTCACCCACCCTGTTATCCGAGTTTGCATTATTATAGGCCAGCTTGTGGCAGGTTTTTACAAGTTACAGTTTACAGAATACTTACCTATACATACCAAAGGGCAATAGTGTCTTTAGGTTTATTACATTATCAATATTGGTTATCTCTAAGGATGCATAAAGGTTTATTTCTATTACTTCCTTGCTCTTCTGCACCTTAGTTTCCTACCTATAAAATAGGGATAAAACACACCTTCCTTAGAGGTTGTTGGAGGCCTGAATGAGATATTTGCCATGTGTCTTACACAGTACTGGGGAGGCTGGACAATCATAATAAATCATGATGGTTAAGTTTCTGTGTCAACTTGATTGGGCTAAGGGATGCCCAGATAGCTGGTAAAACATTTCTGGGTGTGTCTGTGAAGGGGTTTTTGGAAGGGATTAGCATTTGACTCAGTAGACTGAGTAAAGATCACCCCCACCAATGTCGGGGGGCATTGTGCAATCTATTGAGGGCCCAAATGGAATAAAAAGGTAGAGGAAGCACAAATTTGCTCTTTCTGCTTAAACTGAGACATTTGTCTTCTCCTGCCATTGGTCATTGATGCTCCTGGTTCTTGGGCCTTCAGATCTGGAATGAATCACACCACTGGCTTTCTTCGTTCTCCATCTTGCAGATGGCAAAACTGGGATCTCTCAGCTTCCACAATCACAATAGCTAATTCCCACAACAAATCTCCTCACATATACTGTGTGTGTGTGTGTGTGTGTGTGTGTGTGTGTGTGTGTGTGTGTCTGTGTCTATGTGTGTATGTATTCTATTGGTTCTGTTTCTCTGGAGAACCCTAACCACATAAATGGTTGCCATTCTTATTACCACAGAAAGGAACCTTAACTGGTCATTGCAAATGCATCTAACATAAAGTAATTAGCTATTATGGGCTCTTCCAACTAAACATGAATTTGGCAGCACATACTAAGTACTTACTGTGTGCCAGACAATATTATTCCAGCACTGGGGCTACAAAGAATTCACAGTCTACAGGGAAAGACAATACAGAACTCTATTAACACTGAGAAGTACTGAAAGTAGGCCGAGGTCCCTGTGTGTAGTGGAACCAATAGGAGAAGCATCCAACCCTAACAGAAGAGGTGTCCCTTCAGCTGAGTTCTGAAGGATGATAGCAGTGGAGGAGAACTGGGCACTTCAGGTAGAACTCACAGTCTACGCAAAGGCATGGATGCAGAAAGTATCAGGGCACACAGAGAGAAGAGTGTGGCTCAGATGACCACAGCCAGGCAAACCCACTGCCCAAAGGCTGAGGTCAGGGATGAAAATGAAGGAAGCAGACCACAGGGAGGTTTGGGTCTGCCACAGCTCCTTCTCTACTGTTGACAAGGTTCAGCTGAAAATCCGAGTTTCTTTGTACAACTTTCGCTCATTAAAATGGCTGTTAACAATAATGCTTTAACGCCACTTTCTTAAACATTATGAGAAATGCAGATAGTTCTATAACATATATATATATATATTCATAGCTAACTTTATGAAAGTATATATTTCATTTTGGGGTCCCTTACCTCTACAGTCTTTCCCATGACTCAGATTTACTTATTTTAAGGCAAAGATTCATGGCTTCCAAACATTTGAAAACTCAATTTCACAATGTTGAGAAGTTCACAACTAGTGACAGTTATTTCTTTCTAATCAAGAAATGATCAGACATTTATGCTGACTTTAAACTCAAAATATATACCAGAGTTGTGTGTGTGTGTGTGTGTGTGTGTGTGTGTGTGTCACAATGCACTCAGAATCTGACCACTTCTGGAGGCCTCTACTATTACCACCTGCCCGATAAGTGCAATAGCCTCTGGCTTATTGGTCTCCCTGCCCTGTCTGCCTTCATCCCAGCTTGTTCTCAACACAGCAGCCAGAGTGACCCTGCACAAAATGTTGTCAGAATATATTTCTCCTCCACTGAAAGCCTTCCAAATGGCCCCCTATCTCAGAGCAGAAGTCAATGCCCTTATAGAGAGACTCCAGATCTACAACTACCTGCTTCCAATCTTACCTCTCTGACCTCACCTGCCTTGCTTATGTCTCTCCAGCTGGAGAGAAAGGTATCCATTATTCTCTCTGCAATGCTGTTTACACTAGCTATCCACATAGATCTCTGTTATCTCCCTCCCTTCCTTCAAGTCTTTGCTCAAATATCACCTTTCTCAGGAAGGCTTTCTCCGGTCCACCTTATTTAAAATTGCAACCTCTCTGCACCGCAGAACTCCCTATCTCTTTTCTCTCCTTCATGCTTTTCCATAGCCCTTCTCATCTACTAACATCCTATCTCATTTACTTATTTTGTTTATACTATGGCTCCCTCTTCCAGAATGTAATCTCCACAAGGGCAGGGAACATTGTCTCTTTTGTTCCCTGCTGTAATCCCTAGCCTAACCCAGTTGAGGTGTGGGGGCAGTGCAGAAAGCAAACCACCCACGGTCCTGTGGAGGAACTGGGTCTCCCTGGGATTTCCATGTCTCCATCTTCTTTGCCCCTGGTTCATACTGCTCAGCTAAAAAAGGTTTTGGAGGAAAAACATTCTTTATGCAGCACAATCCATAAAAATAAAGCAGTGGGCAATAATAGAGCCCACTAGTAGAACATTAGCAGGCTTGGCTGTCATCTTTGTTCTTAGTTAACATGAGCATTTCAGAGACATATTGAGGATCTATAGATTAGTGAGTGGCAAAATCATTTGCTTTCATTCTCTAGAGACTCATTCAATTAACCTTTATCTAAGAAGCAGTATATTATGTTCGCAGAATATTTGAGAGAGGTGTAACAAACACTAGTTTGCAGAAACAACTCCTTCATGTAACAGAAATAGGAACTGATTGATGGGTTCTGCCAGGGTGATTGATCGTCCTTTCTTCTGTCCAAATTTGCTAGCTTGATTTTACGTTGACATTTCTTATGCAGTTCTCTCTGCCATGGGTTAATGGGAACTGGGACCTAGAGAGCCTCTGAAACTCATTATCTTGCATCATGGATGTGCTTTATGTGAACATTTTTTCCAGAGCTAAGATTCTAACTATAACAATGCTCACCTGCAGTGATGAACATCCACAAATGTTCCCTGGGCCAGGAGTAAGAGTCTCAATGTCTAAGGCAGCACACGTGAAATGACATTGAATGTTTGTTTTGGTGCTGATAGTAGACGGTTGCATACAGAAGTACAATAACTGAGAATACAACCTGGGCCCTTCTGTAAGCCCAACCGGGAGAAACATTACCTTAAATTAAATTGCTAATGGATAGTAGCAGGAATAAAGATGCCAGCAATAGCAACCCTCACCTTCAGAGCTCTTTTCCCCTTCTGTAAATTTTAACTAAAATAGTAAAGGGGAAAAACTTCAACACCAAACCACAGAAGTGGAACATCTCAATCTCTGTGGCCATGGTATGCAGAAAACCCTGAGGAAAGGCCTGTTTCCATGGCAAAGTATAACCACTACATTATATAGTGTGACACAGCAATAATACAGGGAGCAGGAGAAACACAGCGTTAAGTAGAGGTGACCTCTAAATACACAAACGTACTGTAAGAAATATCCATAGGAAATATCATGGCATCTTTAATTTGGGATTAAACAGATGTATTTAGTTGATATTAAAATACATTCATCATGAAAACTAATTTGTCTTTATTCTAAGCAAGTTATGGAAGAGGTGGAAAATTTTTGAAGGTAGGGCCAAAGGGAAACCCCAGAAAAGTCATGACTTACATCCATTTTCCATTCTTTTTACTTCATGTATTGATTAGCTGTACTGTCTCAGAGTGAGATGGATTAAAAAACAAAACAAAACTGAAAGCAGCTGTTTCAAAAAAGGTTTAGAGTAAAAAATACACATTATGAGTGCAGTAAAGCTAGGGACCCACCGTGAAAAATCAGCTACACAAATTTCATTCCTAGCATAATGCTGATGCAAAATTTCAGTGCAGGGCATTTGCCAAAGGGAGAGGAGGGAAAGGTTTACTATGAAATCCTTTGAAAGGACAGTACATTAACTATTGAACACTTACTGTATGCTAGACGCTGTAAGTGCGGCGAGGTAAAACTCTGAAAGCAAATCCCCCACAGGCAAGATGCAGTTTAGTGGGACAGAAGGATGAACCTGAACAATTATAAAACTGATAGCAGGAAACACAGGTCTTTGCTCCTAGAGTGCTACTGAAGCAAAGGGAAAGGAACTATTGCCTCAGCATAGGTTTCTGGGAGATTACATGGATGTTGAGCGGTATCTTGAAAGATGGAGGAGCTCATTGTCTTTATGGAAATGGAAGAGTCCAGAAAAGGTGATGGGCATTTGGTCTGACCACACCTAGCCATTGTGATCAGGTGATCTTCATTTCACATTCAGTGTCCTGCCTGGAAATTGTGCTCTGAACTTTTTTTTTTTTTTCAGTTTCCAAGAAACATAAATTTATTTTTTCATGAAATGTGTGTTCAACCAAACCTCACTAACACAACAATATTTAGTTCATTTTCCCACTTATTTTAAATGGAGGCTTTCAACCAGAGCTTCTGAATTAGCAAGGACCGCTATACCACGTGATGAAAATCTAGCTAAGCATAAGCAGAACTGAAATTTTATATAGCTAGAACAGCTTTCTTGTGCTGAGATGGGAGCATTTAAAAACATTATTTTTTTGAGGCGGGGAGGAAACACTTAAAAAAGCTGTTGGTGATTTCATGGTTACCGGTCCTGGGCCCAGGGGCTCCACACCTCTTTTTGTTTCTCTTACTTCCTGGCAGTTCCTCCCTGTGTCTGGCTTTTCACCATCTCCCCTCCTGGGGAGTAGCCCTTGGAATACTATGGTTACAAGCAAAAGAAACTTCCTGCTTAATTTGGAAAGGGCAATTTATTGTAAGGAATGGGGAACTCACTGGATTGAAAGAAAATCAAGAATTGGGTTTAAAAACAGTAGACACAGGGTGCTCTAGGGGACCAGGCAGCAGGAACTGATGGGCAATCTTTTCAGGATGCCCCTGCAGGGCCAATAAGCTCCAACTTTTTTTTACTGTTTTGTGACATTTCATTCAAATTTCTGAGGCCTGGGAAAGAGACAGACAGTCCTCCTTGGACGATGTGGTTTGTTCTAAAAGAGGCAAGAATCCCTTCCCCCATTGGAAATCAGGCTGCTGCACTGAAGGACATCCTCTTTCCTCTTCAAGGAAGTTCTTCTTCTAGAACTAGGGTAACATCCTTAAAGCAAACTTCCATTCAGGACTCTTGATGATGCTCTTTTTGATCAACATGATCAAAACTAGTTTCCGTGATGATCAAAGAGAGATGGAGTGCTTTTCCTGAAGCATTCAGGACATGTGGCTGGGGAGAGCAGTACCTTAAAGACCCACACTACAAGTGAGCATAACAGCACCAAATAACTAAGGAAGGGGAAACCCCAGTCTATCTGACAGGCAAAGGTGACCCTTGAACATTTTAAGGGTTTCAGGGTAGTGAGTTTCATCTAGACTTGTTGATATCTGGAATTTGGGTCTTTCATTACGAAAGACAAATTGTGAAGAAAGTAGGTATATAAGAAACCTGGAAAACGCAACCCAGATGACAAGATGGCAGCATTGCAGAGGTGAGTTCATATCTGGTTCTTGGTTGGGTTAACAAATTCACTATGTTTTGAGGAGAAGGATGCCTACTCTTACCACTCCTGTTCAACATGGTACTAATATTCCTAGCCAGAGCAAGCAGGCAAGAGAAAGAAATAAAAGGCATCCAAATAGGAAGACAGGAACTCAAACTATCTTTGTTTGCAGATGATATAATTCTACACCTGGAAAACAACACCCTCTCTCCAAAAGTTCCTATATCTGATAAATAACTCCAGCAAAGTTTCAGGATAAAAATTAATGTACAAAAATCACTAGCATTTCTGTATAAGTACTGCATGCTAACTGACTGCGCCACTGGAGCATGCTAAAAATCACCAGCATTTCTAAACACCAACAATGTCTAAGCTGAGAGCCAAATCAACAACACAATCCCATTCATAATAGCCACAAAGAGAAGAAAATACCTAGGAACACAGCTAACCAGAGAGGTGAAAGATCTCTACAATGAGAATTACAAAACATTGCTCAAAGAAATCATAGATGACACAAACAAATGGAAAAACATTCCATGCTCATTGATTGGAAGAATCAATATTGTTGAAATGGCCATACTGCCCAAAGCAATTTACAGATTTAATGCTATTCTTATCAAATTACCAATGACATTCTTCACAGAATTAGAAAAAGCTATCTTAAAAATTATATGGAACCAAAAAGGAGCTCAAATAGCCAAGGCAATCCTAAGTAAAAAGAACAAAGCTGGAGGCATCATGTTATCTAACTTCAAACTATACTACAAGGCTACAGTAACCAACACAGAATGGTACTGATACAAAAACACATAGATCTATGGACACATAGACCTATGGAACACAATAGAGAACCCAGAAATAAAGCCACCCCCAAACCATCTGATATTCAACAAAGTCAACAAAAAACAAGCAATGGGGGAAAAGACTCCCTATTCAAAAAATGGTGCTTGGATAACTGGTTAGCCATATGCAGAAGACTGAAACTGGGTCCCTTCCTTACTCCATACACAAAAATCAACTAAAGATGAATTAAAGACAAATGTAAAACCAAAAACTATAAAAACTCTGGAAGATAATCTAGGAAATACTGTCTGGACATTGGACTTGGCAAACATTTCATGATGAAGATGCCAAAAACAAATGCAACAAAAACAAAAATGGACAAATTGGACCTAATTAAACTAAAGAGTTTCTGCACAGCAAAACACACTATCAACAGAGTAAACAGACAACCTACATAATGGGAAAAATATTCACAAACTAAGCATTCAACAAAGGTATAATATCCAGAATCTATAAGGAACTTAAATTAACAAGCAAAAAACAACCCTATTAAAAAGTGGGCAAAGGACATGAACAGACACTTTTCAAAAGAAGACATACACATGGCCAAGAAGCATATGAAAAAATGCTCAACATCATTAATCATTAGAGAAATGCAAATCAAAACCACAGTGGGATACCATCTCAAGCCAGTCATAATGGCTATTATAAAAAGTAAAAAATAACATGCTGGTGAGGTTGCAGAGTGAAGGGAATGCTTAGACACTGTTGGTGGAAATGTTAATTAGTTCAGCCACTGTGGAAAGCAGTGAAGTGATTTTTCAAAGAACTTAAAACAGAAGTAACATTTGACCCAGCAATTCCAATACTGGCTATATACCTAAAGTAATATAAATCATTCTACCATAAAGACACATGTACATTGATATGGTTTGCCTATGTCCCCACCCAAATCTCATCTTGAGTTGTAGTTTCCATAATCTCCACGTCTTGCGGGAGGGAGCCCATGGGAGGTAATTTAATCATGGGGCGGTTACCTTCATGCTGTTCTCATGATAGTGAGTTCTCACAAGATCTAATGGTTTTATAAGGGGCTTTCTTCCCTTTGCTCAGCACTTCTCCTTCCTGCCGTCATGTGAAGAAGGACATGTTTGCTTCCTCTTCCACCATGATTATAAGTTTTCCAAGGCCTCCCCAGCCATGCTGAACTGTGAGTCAATTAAACCTCCTTTCTTTATAAATTACCCAGCCTTGGGTATGTCTTTATTGGCAGCATGAGCATGAACTAATACACATGTGTATGTTCATTGCAACACTATTCACAACAGCAAAGACATGGAATAAACCTAAATGCCCTTCAACAGTAGGCTGGCTAAAGAAAATGTGATACATGTACACCATGGAATACCATGCAGCCATAAAAAAGAATGAGATAATGTCCTTTGCAGCAACATAGATGGAGCTGGAGACCATAATCCTATGTGAACACGGGAACAGAAAACCAAATACCACATGTTCTCACTTATAAGTTCAAGCTAAACATTGAGTACACATAGACACAAAGAAGGGAACAATAAACACCAGGGCCTACTTAAGGGTGGAGAATGAGAGGAGGGTGAGGATCAAAAAGCTACCTATTGGGTACTATGCTTATTACCTGGGTGACAACATAATCTGTACACCAAACCCATGACACACAATTTATGTATCTAACAAATCTGCACATGTTCCCCGAACCTAAAATAAAAATCAAAAAACAAAACGGAACAAGTTCACTGTGTTTGGGGTATGTAATGTATAAAATGGCATGTTACTCACCCCTTGTGTACATAGTCCTCAAGTTACTTAAAGTTTATGAGCCATTATGAAACTCTGTAGGAATTCGTGTGATAGACTCGAAGGTGAAATCAATTAGGGAGCAAACAGACAAATTCCTTTGTCCATTTGGGTGGTCCCACATATCAGGCCATAGCTATGACGGAAAATGTTTCCTGACTTCCTCACACCGTTCACATTCCTCATTCTGAAACATTGTACCAATGTGTTCCACGCCGTGTTTCTCAACTTCTTCTTGAGCTTCCAACTTTGGGATCATAGGACCACTTTCCTGTTTGGGGTTTTACCTTTACACTTGACTTTGGTACTTACTTGCTCTCTGGCTTTGACCTTTGCATTCCTCCTTGAGTCCAAATCAGATTCCTACCAGTTACTACTTTCAGCTGTCTTGATTAGCACCCCAAGTCATTAGGATTGGATTTGAACCCTATAATTTGGGTGACAAATGCTCCAGTCAGGTGCTGTGACCCCTCAGGATCCAGGCAATGACAAAGGTGCTTGCGTTACTTAAATGTTAATTCAGACAAGGCAGTTCAGTGGGGAGTCATCCCTTTGCCCCATGTGTGTCTTCTAGTGTTTATGCATAAACACTCTGTACTTTCCAGTAATTTATCTCTCTTCTTTTACCATTTCATTAAACTGCCAGGCAATATTTTTGTATGCTTTCGAAAAGCTCTGTGAAGGCTCCTCTCAGTGATGGGTGAAATGATTTCTAAAAATAACCTGCAAATCAATTTGTTCAGCTTGTAGCTTGTATAAATCTTGAAGTAAGGTGCTATTAAATGTGCAAAATAAAATATTTTAGTTTAGAATATGTTACTAATACCCTGCGAAAAGAGCCCTGGATTTAGAAAACAGGACTTGATAATCCTGGCTTTATGGATTACTGATTGTGTGGCTTTAGGCACATCATATAACTTCTCCAGAGCCTCAGTTTCTTTGATTGCAAAATGAGAGAATAACATCTCCCTCATTGTATTGTGGCAAAGTACAATGAGAAAACATGAAAATGGTGCCGATAGAAAGCTGGGTATCATTTGGTAGACTTACTACACATTTGTTAATCTTTGTTTGAACACAAAACCTAAAAGTGATTCCAAGTAGTCACTGGGGTATACGGAAAAGCTGTAGGAAAGTTTACTTTTTTAAAAGAGTTGCATAGAAGAAAAACAAATAAACAAACAAAGAAAAAGAAAAAAGCTGCATTTCAGTTAAGTTGATTAGAAAGAAAATTTCCTTAGAATGAGTTTTGTTTTTATCTTCATTTTAAGGACGCAAAGCAGAATGTGTTGCTGGTGAATAGCTTTCATTTAGGAAATGCACTAGGAGTGCATTTGCAGAAATTTTTGAATATTATTTTACTGATATAAGTTTCTTATGTGGCCCCAACATACATGTCTTTCCCTAAGCCAGAGGAATGCCTCTTATTTTGCATGTCCCTGCATGTCATGCTCAGAGATACCAGAATTTAAATTCTTTTAGTCTGTTACTTGAATAAATACAGTCTCATAGTGTTAAGCTCAAATTGTTATTGAGTACACAATATATATTACCTCAGTCCAAATTTTACCCAAACATGAAACTTTAGATTCTATGAAACAGATTAATATACATTTATCAAAACTCTAAATTTATAATGAAAGTCCCTTTGCTGAGAGAAAAACCAGCATATTAAGCATTGCTTTAATCCCCAGCTATTTTCCTAGTTGTTTTACTTTTATTATTTCATCACATTTTCAATATGACAAATATCATCATTGCCATTTTACAGATAAGGTAACTGAGGCTGAGTGAAGTGAATTAAGTGGCCTAAGTTGTAAATGGTACAGCTTTCTTGGCTCCTTAGCCAGTGCGCTTCTCCACGGAGAAGTGTAGTGGTTACACCAGGACTCCCGAAGAAGGAAAAAAAGAGCAAATAAATCAGCCATTTATTCTACAATTCTGCTGTTTTGAGCTTTTCTCAAAAGGCCATATTCTTAGTTAACTCAATTTAGTCTCAATAAGATTGATACAGCTCCTATGATTTGATATTCTGACTAGTAAGGGGAGCTGCTGAAAGCATTTTGGATATTAAGGAATTATTGGGCACTTCTTTCAACATGTCTGACTAATGCTCAGAATATTCATTTTCCTACAGAGTACGGGAGTGTGATAGATGACGTCATGTTTATTACAGTTTGCAGGGAATAAATGCCACAGGCCCATTGACATGCTGGGGAAAGGGCTTGTCAGTGTGGCACATCTAATATAATCTTCATCATAAACAATGGCCTCCACTTCTGGCCATGTCCAATGTGTAAGGCCCTCACCTGGATCTGATATTTTCTCCTGCCCAGCACCTACCTCTCCTCTTTTTAAAATAGCATCTCAAGTGTCTTAGAGGCTCTCTCTGTTTGGGTTAATTTTAAGTGATACATAAAATTGACTGGGCCAAGGGATGCCCAGATAGCTGGTTAAACATTACTTCTGCGTGTGTCTGTAAGGGTGTTTCTGCAAGAGATTAGCAATGAGTTGGCAGGCTGAGTAAAGCAGATAGCCCTCTCCAATGTGGGTATGCATCATCCAAACTACTGAGTGCCTGAACAGAATAAAAAGGCAGAGGACAGAGCTGGAACCTTGATCTTTTACTGCCCTCAGTGCTCCAATTCTTAGGCTTTTCGAATTTCCAGACAGACACCAGCTTTTCTGGCTCTACAGCTTGTAGATGCCAGATCATGTGATTTCTCAGACTCCATAATTGTGTGAGCAATAACCTAATATCTTATAGTAAATCTCTCTCTCTCTGTAGCTTTATACATGTAGCTTTATACAAACACACACACACGCGCATGCATACACACACACACTTCTCCTATTGGTTCTATTTCTCTGGAGAGCTCTGACTAATACACCCTTTCTCCTACTGTGGGTCCGTTTGATTTAGTAGGGGATGGATCCCACCCTCGGCTTCACGAGGATGCATGACTCAGGCTCATTCAGTAAGTAGGCCCCACCTCTGGGCTGTAGGGCTTGCAGGGACTGGTAAGAAGCTGGATACTTGACTCAAACTGGTGAAATGCTGAGACTGTTGGAGGAAGCACTGGAAACAGGGGTTGTCTTTCCTCTGGGGATGGTAAGCTGATGAGATGTAAGCTAAGATCTACTGGTGGCTTTCTTGTTTACTGTACAAGGAACCTGCCTGAGAATAGAACTAACTGACAGAAAAGCAAAGTTGAATGCAGAAGACACACAGAAAGAGGTAAAGGCCAAATGGTACTGCCTGAGGCCTCCTTAGATCTAGCCATTCTGTAGCTACTGGACAATTCAGTTTCATAAACTACTGTGGCTTTTCTCTTTTTTCCTTTTTGCATAAATGAACACAAGTGATTCTGTAGGCTTTTATATATTCAGTCTGGTTCCAAATCCTTTTCCCCTATAATTCACTAGATTACACCTGATGCTGAATAATGAATGTGCACAGTACACAGTGGATTTCGATAGAATGGAAAAGTGGATCAGCTGGAGTAGTACAGCCACCACTAAGGGAGGCGTATTGTGTGTGTGCGTGTGAGAGAGAGAGAGAGAGACAGAGAGAGAGACAGAGAGAGAATGTGTATTGGCAAAAGAAAAAGACAGTGTCACATTCAAACAACAGGTTCATATGATAATTAGTTAAATAATGAAAACCTTTGAAGCTGCCCAAGATAATTTCAGGCCCCAGACGTCCAGCACAAGGTGTTCCACTCAATTTTAGTCCACTGGCAACACTGAAACATCCTCCTTTGAAGGTGTGAACAAGAAAGGATGAGAAGAGCCCTCACAAATATAGGATGCACCTGCATGTAAGGGAAACTTTGGAAGGGTCTTTAACTACCTCAACCAAAAAAGGAAGTTCAATAGACAAAGGCCTCCAAGGATTGAACAATGCACAGTGTAGCCACATGCCAGCCCCCTGAGACTCACACTAGTGGGGCTCCCACAGGACAGGGCCAGGCTGTGAAATCTCCCATGGGCAGAAAAGAGATGTGAAGAGAAGAGGCTATCAGAAAATGAAGAAAAGGACCATAGGGAATCAATCTTTGGAAAAGCAGGGCTCAAGGTGACTGAAGACCACAGTGATGGTTGTGTTCATTTGCCCTCAGTCATCCATGCACTACCATCATGGTTTTGCCATAGCTGGGTTCTATCTCTGCGATTATTAACCTAGTACTTTAAGAGTAGTTTAAAGGACTCACTTTTCTTTCACTTCCTCGTTGCTTCTAAGCAATAACTTTTGAGAAATGGGTTTATTTCTCTGGTTAAAAGTACAGAACCAGTTATATACTTTCCTAGTATATGTTAAAATAAGCATATAATCATTAAAAATGTTTGTGGTACCACCTAAAATCTTTTCAAATGTCACAGTACTGGATTCCACTCATTGGGCAACACTAGTATATAGGACAAGGACTGGAGTTCAAGTCAAGAACAAGGATGAGGATAAAAGTTGCTTCCCTTGAGATGCTGATATTGTCCAGGGATATCAGTTTCATCACTGCTTTCCTGAAAGCTCTACCCCTCCCCTCTGCTCAGGGCACTCCAATGCCTTTATACTACAAGGGAAGATTGTTTGCAAGCAAACACTGGAATTATAAAAATGAGTAAAATGGTCAAATGTGGAGCTTTTAACAAGAGGTAAGTATATTATTGTTACCTCCTGTCTTCAGAAAGGGCTAAAGAATGACCAAGGAGTTCACTGCATTAACCTATCTGTAAAAGCAGTAGATACCAAATGTCATACTTATGTCATAGATGAATGGCAATTATGTATGCATAACTAAAAGTATAATTTAAAAAATTCTCTCAAGGCTTATCAGGAAACCACATTAAGCAGAACAAGTCATGTATCTTTAAAAGCCATGAACTATGTTGTCAAGTCACAAAACAGTTGCCACTTGAACTCTGGGAACAGACTTTCAAAGACAGATTTCTACAGGTTTTTTTCCACTAGAATTTTACAGACACTAATAATGACCTCACTAGATTTTCTTTTGATTCATGCTAGAAAAAATAGACTGTAATTTAGATATTGTTTGAAGATGGACTGTAATACCATACGACAAAATTGAAGCCACCTTATTAGTTTTTTTTGGTCTTTAAATTTCATGTTTAGCTTCACTGTGGATAAAATATGCCAGCAGTAAAACATGAAACACGGCCTTCTCTTTGAATTGCAAAGAAAAGATGCTTTATTTATTTTGTGACTTCAGGTGGAGTAATGGTTTCTCATCCTTCCAATAATCACTCTTTATTCACTCAGCCTGCTTTATTTTTCTTCCTAGCACTTGTCACTATGCATCACATTCTTATTTGCTGTGTTTATTGTCTCCTTCCTCCACCAAATGTAAGCTCTTTGAGGGCAGGGACTTTATATTAGTCATGTAGTCTCCCAGCACCTAGCAAAATGCTCAGTACATAGGAAGTGCTCGATAAAAATTTGTTAGATGAATGAATGTTGATTAATGACCAAACGTTTACAATTAGCAAATTGTCTCATTTTTCAAGCTTTACTCATCAGCTTCAGATCCAAAAAATACATACTTGTTAGCCATTTGACCTTAGGCAAGTCACTTAACCACATAACTTCTAACAGGTTGTGTTTCTGTCCATAAAATGGGGACATTATTGACTGATAGGGCATTTGTGAGCATAAAATGAGGTAACATCCATGAAAGTGTTGGTTTGTCTATCTTTTATTTATTTACTTATTTATTTTTATTATTATTATTCTTTAAGTTCCAGGGTACATGTGCACAATGTGCAGGTTTGTTACATATGTATACATGTGCCATGTTGGTGTGCATATACCCAAAGGATTATAAATCATGCTGCTATAAAGACACACGCACATGTATGTTTATTGTGGCACTATTCACAATAGCAAAGACTTGGAACCAACCCAAATATCCATCAATGGTTTGTCTATCTGTGTAACCAGGTCTCTGATCATTCATTTGTCTATATATGAATGCAGCCTGTTGGCAAAGGATTTGGTCCATGGTAGGTGCACCATGACTGTTTACTAGTTTATTAATTTTTAATTTTAATTTTGCTACAGGAAGTAATGATTTCCTTTTCAGTTGTTGATGGCCCTGTCTAAAACCAAGGACAAGAAATCACTAGATGAAAGCATTGCCTTTATATACCTAAACTCTTACTCTTTATATATCTTCAATATAAAGAGATTTAAAAACGGTGTTTTTTCCAATCAAGTACATTTAGAGGACAAAAATAAGAAAAGGACATCGACAAGACTGATAAGCACTAAAGTCATCTTCCCTGTCCCTCCTAAAAGGTCAGTTTCATTTTGTTTTTAAGATGCTTCTCATGTACAGAAGACAGTGTTGGGAAAAGATGAGTTTGATTTTTATAAAGGTGATTTCCGAGGCACTCTTTATTTATTTATTTATTTTTTAAAAATAACTTCTTCCCTTTCTTCTTTCCTTTCTTTTTCTTTCTTTTTACCTGTCTTTGTTCATTAACTAGAATTAAATTAAGTTTTTGGTTATTTCCCACAAGCAAGATAAATATCTAAAAAACAGATAGGTTGGGGGAGGAAAAATGGTCAATAGAAACTTTCTTAGAAGATGAAAATGTATGTTAAATCCTCTTCAAATTATAATTTTCAAATTCTCACTGCTAAGACAAAATTAATTAGTTCAACTAAAACAGAGTTGCCAATTAAAACATGGTTAACTAGGATTCTCTAAAAAAAAAAATCCCAAATCTTACACTGTTCATTCTAAATAAACATGCTTTTAAAGATTAGGAAAATAATTACCTATTTGCACAGGAAAATAATAAATGATGAAATCTCAACAGATAGGGTAAAGATATCATAATATTATCTTAGCAATTGGCTCAATCACTTCCCACTCAGTTTAAACGCTTTAATAAAAGGTATTTTATACAAGGAAAGTCCTAAATCAAGGTTATTACAGATTACATTTATGTAAGTATTTGTTCTCTCACTAATGGAAGATTTCCTCTCTAATATTTTTTCTAAATAATTTGTTAACCGGAGAAGAGGAAAACAAAATATTTTTTTCTAAAATTCTATCGAGGACTTATAATTTATTTTACTTTTATTCTCTGATAAAGAAAAGGCTACAGGGAAACTAGCAGGCGAAAGACTTTCTAAATGTAAATGCTGCCCAAAGAAAAAAAGAACTGTGATTAGATTATTAGGTATAATATGCATCAAGGGTTAAAATTCATATACGGAGAAATGCATGTCAATTGCACATATTTTAAAATTCACTTTAGGAATTTATCATAAAGAGTTCAGATATGCACAAAGATAAACTTCATGGCAATATTAGTTACAGAGGTAAAAGAATACAAATCCTTGTTTCCCACAGCATTCAGGCAAGTGAGACTACCCTATGGAGACAGGAGGCTGAGCATCTGCAGAATTTAAACTAGGAGGCTTGGACTCAGAGATACCAAACACAGCCAAGGGCAAGCATGGCATACAGAGTGAAAATGGAGGAACTGTGCAAATTGCTGTACTAGGCCCCTCATCAAGTTGATTTCCCTGTTTTTTTCTTTTTCCTCCGGCAAAGATGGGAGCTGGGGAGAAGCAAATGACCCCAGAGAGAAGGCCGTTGGGGATTTAAATTTGGGGCAAATAAAAAGGCCGGCCAGCCATATATTTATCCTAGAGCAGCAGTTCTAACTGGAATGGGGCGGGGGTGGGCTTCCCCAGGGGTTAGAGACATTTTTGATTTCCATAACTGGAGGGGCATGGTGCTACTGGCATCTAGTGGGTAGAGGCTAGGGAAGCTGCTAAACATCCTATAATGCAAAGAACAACAAAACAGCCCTCACAACAATGAATTATCCAGCCCCAAATGTCAGTAGTGCCACTGTAAAGAAACCCTGTAATAGAGTGAAGCCCACAGTTCACACCTGTCCCATGCCTCCATTACTCACACAGGACTTCCAAAGGCTCTTTTGGGCTTTGGAATATGATTGGCTTGCCTTTTACCAGACACTTGAGGAAAGCCCTCACAATGAAAGTCAAGACAAAAACCCACAAACATCAACCAAACAACTGAATAAGAAAAAAAGTATTGGAGAAAACAGAAATCATTAAAAATCTTAAGAAGAAAAACTGTAATTGATACAACCCAATCTGAAATATAATTTGGCAATATCTAGCAAACTTGAAGCTAAACCCACGTGAAACCCAGCAATTCTGCTTGTAGGGATTTGTCTCAGAGAAATTCTTGTACATGTCACTAGGAGAGATGCACAGATTATTCATAGCAGCATTGCTTGTTAGTAGCAAAAAAAAAAAAAAAAAAAAAAAACCTAGAAAAAATCTAATCATTCACCAAATGAGAATGGATAGATTAATTATAGACTATTCATATAATTTGAATGCCAAAATCACTTAAAATGAATGACTTAGAGCTAAGTATCTCAATACAGATACACTTCATAAATATAATATTGACTTAAGGAAAGCAAATTACAGGGGACCACATTCATTAAGATACTATACAAAGTTAACAAGCTTTGAATAAATACATGCAACAACTTTACTATATCTACTTTAAGGCAGGGGTCCCCAGTCCCTGGGCTGTGGACCAGTACCAGTCTGTGGCCTGTTAAGAACCAGGCTGCACAGCAGGAGGTGGGCAAAGGGTGAGTGAGCATTACTGCCTGAGCTTTGTCTCCTGTCAGATCAGTGGTGGCATTAGATTCTCACAGGAGCAGGAACCCTATTGTGAACTGTGCATGTGAGGGATCTAGGTTGTGTATTCCTTATGAGAATCTAATGCCTGATGATCTGAGGTGGAACAGTTTCATCGCAAAACCATCCTCACCACACCCCTAAGCCCCAACCTCGGTCTGTGGAAAAACTGTCTTCCACGAAACTGGTCCCTGGTGCCAAAAAGGTTGGGACCATTGCTTTAAGGATTCATACTCGTCTACCAAATCTATAAGGCAATACATTTTAGCTATCCTCCAGACTCAACATGGGAAAAACAGGGAAATCAACTTGATGAGGGGCCTAGTACAGCCATTTGCACAGCTCCTCCATTTTCACTCTGTACGCCATGCTTGTCCTTGGCTGTGTTTGGTATCCCTGAGTCTGGGAGGTTGGCAGGAAGGAAAGTAACTGGGATGTGTATTCAGAGAACTTTGAGTATGTGATGTTTTATTTCTTAAGCTGCATTTTGGGTCTACTGGTGTTTGCTATATTATTCTATATCTTTTGTATGTTTTAAGTTACATTAAATAAAACCTATTTTTAATATCATCCGAAAGATAAAAGAAAATATTGCATCCAGGAAAAAGCAATGTCTCATTCATGAAGCAGGAATTTAACTCCACAAACATAGCACTTCTAAGAAAATCTAATGTGTAGTAAAGCTATTACATGTTTTAAAATATAAAATTAAAATGTATGGGCTTTCTTTAAAACATTTGTAATTTAATTTCAAATATATAATTTAAATTTAACCGTAATGGCATCATTTTAGAATTGAGTTTTTCTTTTCTAATAACCAGGTATATAAGGTAACTTTGTCATGTACCTGGTTTGAAAATGTTATAATAGATCCCAATACATCATATGCCATGTCGAGCTATTTTCTTTTAAGTGTTCTTAATACTAAGCATTGGGGTAAATTTTTAATTGCTAAAAAGTGTAACTGATTATATTTGAAATATTTAGCAGTTATGATCCACAATAACAATTCTAGGAAATTAAAAAAATAACATGTTAGTCAATGTTTTAATTAATATATTAAGAACCTACACAAGTGATTGCATCAATGGCTATTGAAATTGAAATAATGACTTCTGAAATTATTTTAAAAATATCTTTTTCTAAGAACATATGGACACATGGTGGGGAACAACACACACTGGGGCCTGCCGGGGGTGCAGCGGGAGGGAGAGCATCAGGAAGAATAGCTAGTGGATGCTGGACTTAATATTCAGGTGATGGGTTGATCTGTGCAGCAAATCACCATGGCACATGCTTACCTACGAAACAAACCTGCACATTCGGCATATGTACCCCAGAATTTAAAATAAAAGTTGAAGAGAAAAAAATCTTTTCCTTGGCACTATTTTGTTCTAACCAGAGAACTAATTTAGGAATTGAGAAAAGCATAAAAAGTATCTGTTCTTTTTAATTGCATAAATAAGTGATACAAAAAAAGTTCTGAGTGAGTTCTATAAGTAAATATTTTAATTTCCTTACACTGGCTTAGCTAAAATTATCATTTTGTCATTTTAGAAATATTGTATTATTATACCAAGTAGTGAAACATTTAAAAATATACATTTAGCAGGTTAAAATAATCATGTTCATCTTTTAAAGAAAAAGATCCTCAAAGAAGACACAATTCATACTTTCCATTTTTCATTGACATCATTAAGTACTCATTTAAATTAGTTTCGGAAACTGAAATAACTTTACATTTTTTTGATATGGTGGCAAAGTTCACCTGAAAAAACAATTTCTAATTTAATCATTCCTTCATACATGGTATGTTCCCTCTAAAAGTGACAACTCTATACTTCTAATATATGTAAATATATATTAAGACCATGGCCAATAACAAAACAAAACAAAAATGAACAAAAATGTTTTAATATGGAAACATTTTTATGAAATTAAATTTCCCTGGCTAGTTATTGAAATTTATCTTATTTAAATGATTTAAGTTTATTCTAGCAAGTGCTTCTAAGGTGGAGATGCTAATACAGGTTGAGCATCCCTAATCTGAAAACCCAAAATCTGAAATGCTCCAAAATCCAAAACGTTTTGAGCACGGACATGATGCCATAGATGAAAAATTCCACACCTGACCTCATGTGACAGTTCTCAGTCAAATTGCAGCCAAAACTTTGTTTTATACAAAAAATTAACAAAAATATTGTATAAAATCACCTTCAGACTATGTGTATATGAAACATAAATAAACTTGATGTTGAGACTTGGGGTCTAATCCCCAAGACCTATCATTATATATGTATATGTAGATATTTCAAAGTCCAAACAAAAAAATCTGCAATCCAAAACACTTCTGGTTCCAAGCATTTTGGATAAGGGACCGTCAATCTGTATAGCTGTGTCTACAAAAATAAAATGGTAACCAAGAAGAACTCTAAAATTAGATTTGTAAAATCTCCTTCAGCTCTAATATTTCATTTACTCATCCCTTCATCTTTAATGACTTCAGTCATTCATTTGTTCGCTCCTTTTAGAGACTTCCTATGTGCCATGCAGTGTGCACTCTGGGGATATAAAGAGAAACAAAAGAAATTTGCTTTAGCTATAGTACATCAGTATGAAAGGTGGGAAGGGATCACAAATCCAAATATCAAATACACACAGAGTTCACTCTCTGTATTGCAGAAGGAAAGGAATCCTGCCTAGGTGACATGGACCCACCCATAGAGACCTTTTGTATGGGAATTGTACCACTGCTCTAGCACTTTGCTCACAAAGTATGGCATATCACACTTCCATTCATTTATAGTGGAAGACATGGAGGCACAGAGAGGTGAGAGAACTTGTCGAAAGTCACAGAGCAAGTTAGAAGGCCAAAATCAGAATATATGGTCTATTGTAATATTTTCAACAAATGTATTGAAAACTTGGCAAGTGTCTGGCTTAGAACCAGGAATGGGGACTACAAAGATGAATAAGATGGAATTCCTGCCTAGAGGTGCTTATGTTCTGGTGCTGGCAGTTCCCAGACTCGGGGGTTCTGGCAATTACTGTAACAGCTGATTATCTTGGTACCTACTGCTGGGTCTCTGAGTACTGTGTTAGCATATAAACAAACGTGGAACTGCATGGGGACAAGAACGGCTGGCAAAGTAAACATGGGAAAACATATTCAGTGTGGCTGTAATCTGTAAAATGCAAATTCAAAGAAGAATTTGTTTCTACCTATCCATCTTGCAAAAGTCTTAAAAACACTCAAAATGGAGAAATTGCCCCTCTCATCCACTGCTGTTGGAAATAAAAATTTTGTGTTTAGATACCAAAGTTGCAGCATTATGTACAGGCTTATAACCAGGAACAATTATGTTCAACAGTAAGTGAATAATGTTTCACTAAATTACGGTTACATTCATGCAATATTATGATACATGAGGCAGTTTCTTAAGATTACTTAATGACCTGGGAAAATATTCATCATCCAATGTTAATTAGAAAACCAGCATATTAAACTATATATGACATGCATTTTCTAAAAATACTTTTCTAAAAATACAGTATGGATGCATATCTGTATCATAAACACTGGAAAGAAATGTATCAAATTAATACTTGTGATTATTTCTGGGGGGTGGTATTACAGATGATTTTTATTTTTCTCCTTTGTATGTTTTCCAAATTTTCTGCAAGGAGATTCCATTATTTAATAATTTAGAAAAAATAAAAGTAAGTCTTAAATTTTTTTTTCTGACTAGATGATTCTCTGAAATAAACTAACTGCTCCTGACTGGTTTCAGGACACCAATGACTCAGCCCCTTCTGGTTAGGACACACGGGTGCACTAGAGAGGTCCTGAGACCTGAGCTCCATGACCCAGATTTGTTTTGCTGCTTACTGGCTGTGTCTTTCTGGGCAAAAGAGTCCCGAGCCTCTGTAATTGTATTTGTAAAATGTGGCAATTGACGTCTGCCTCACAGATGAAGTTTAAAGACAGTATAAGAAAAATGCTTTGAAAAGTACTATATAAATGCAAGCTATGTCTCACCTGAGACATAGATAAGACAGAGAACACACTCAAATCCCAAATGACCAACTTCTTGGTTTTATGACATCACTTAAATGACAGAACCTCTTTGAGCCTTAGCCTCACAATTTGTCAAGTAGAGATATTACTGGCTTCTTCAGAAGGTGGATGTGAACTAAACACCTTTTGCAGGACTCAGTAAATGTTAGCTTTCTTCCTTTCTTAGGCTCTGTCTTTCCCCACTCCACTCTTACTCTGAAACAAGGATTTAAAAAAATGCTCTGGCATCAGCACTTTCTATTCTAATTTTAAAGCATATTATTTACTTTGTTTTTTTGATATGTTAAAAATGTATGGATTCTTTTTCCTTTCTCCACCCTTTTACGATGTGGACAAACAGCAAACACAAAGTAAGCAGAACTTGGGAAAATCAATGTGAGGACTGTGGACAAATTTTATGGGGTCATTTGAGCCTGAAGTTTTCCACAGAAAGCTCTGAAACTCTAAGCACTTTCCTTTAGGGCAGGCAGAGTAGGAAGGGTAAGAACGTCCTTGCTTTGGTAGGCTGAAATTATTTCAGCAATTAGATCTCCCTAGATTCTGGATTTATCTAAATATACCTGTGACATTCTGTAAATGTGCAGAACTCAGAACTTCTCAGGCCTGGTTTCTGTAGTGTCAACTGACAACCACATGCTTTGAAATTTTGTTTCCTTTAATTAACCTTCTCCATTTTCAAATCAATTTTCTCACTTCCTCATGGTGTTACTGCTATTCTAAGAAATGCAGACCTAACGGATCAACATTTCAAGACTCCAAAGGTTCGTATGCCAAGCCTGGAACTTTGTACACAAATAGATATCCAAGAATACTCGCTGTTCATTCTGTATACCCAAACTTAAAAATTCAAGAGCTAAGATTAAAGTATCAGAGGATTGAGTCCTAATTTACTATTTGAAATCTGGTCTACCTTGTATAAGAATCTTTTCTTGTGGGAATGTTGAAGATTTTTGAGAAAGAGAACAACCCACTGAAGGCCCTCCCTGTTTAGGGAAGATTAACCTGTTAGGTGCTAGTAGATTGATCGAAGGGGATGATCTGCATGTACCATGACTGTGAAGACAGATTAAAAAGGAAGAGGCAGATAAAAGACATATTGTAGCGGAATCCGCTAGTGCCCAGTCCATTTTTCCAGAGTCTTAGCACTTCACTGTGTTCTGGCTGATTTCTAACTGCCAGCGTCTACCCACCTTTAGTTGAGTGCTAAGGAATTCATACCCCCATGCCAAGCAGCACTTAGTCCACAACCGGTAGGAGTTGATACATAAACAGTCCAGCTCCCCCGCACTTTGGGTGGAAGAACTCTGAGCTGTGTTGTATTAGTTTCCTACTGTTGCTGTAAAAAAATTACCAAAAACTAAAGAGGCCTAAGGAAACATGAATTTATTACTGAACAGTTCTGGAGGCCGTAAGTTTGAAATAGACCTTACTGGGCTAAAATAAAGACGCAGGTTTGAAGACAGTACACTATTGCTTTGCAGGATGCTGACCAATCTTCTGGCACAAGTAGACCCAAACTGTGGTCAGCTTATTCTTTGAAGGAGCCTTCTTGAATTCCTCTTCTCTTTATAATCAAAACCGAGACAGGAGAATGTGCTGGTGAAAATTCCTCCACACTATGCTGAAATCAATCATATCAGGCCTCATCTTAATCCCACTTAATTTAACTGAATCCTGCCATTTGATCTAATCCATCTAATTTAATCCCACTTTGGCACAATCCAAATCTAGAATACTTGAGTCAAATCATCTAATACTCCAAGACTAGCAGTAGCCTACCGTGGATGGAAAACGATAACAAAGTTACAAGGTACATAGAGTCAGAATCTCTTGTTTTTCATTCTGGCTATAAAAAAACCACATGATCTTAGACTAATCACTTAATCTCTCTCTGACCGATTTTATTTCTTCATGTAAAGACAGAATTAATAAAACTCCTTTTTTGAGAGATTTCAGAGTGAAATGGAAAACTGTGAACTTGCTTTGAGTTCTAATACAATAGCACTAATCATGATGATTTGAAGGACAGTAAACCTTTTGTTTTTCCCATGAATGCAGGTTTTAGTCAAATGCCAGCATTCTCTGTACACTTGGTGCTCCTAAAACGTTTATTGTTTTTCATAATGAAGAATAATGTCTTATGCAAAGCAATCTATTCACAAACCTTCTCCCAGTTGGAACTGATATATGTTGAGCCATCTCAGTTATTCTGATAAAGCCCCTCACTACATTTGTATCTAACTTCATCACAAACAAATGATCTCGATACACTTTGGGGTTCTGCAAGATTTAACAACCCATGGTGACTTGTCGCATAACAGAAAACTTGACTTTTTGCTCTATTTTAAATTACATTTGAGTATTTTTTATTGAGAATCTATTAAAACTAGGGCTCCCAGAACTGGTCTTTCAGTAGTTTACATAATAATAGCTACAATAACAACTGATGTCTGCGTCTTGCATTATAGTTGGCAGTGGCTTCCTATAGTTAGATGTTGCCCAAACTTCAGTCATTTTTATAACATCAGCATGATATTTTGCCATATTTTCTTAATTTACGTGGTACTAACTACCAAGTGTTTTATCTTGAGTTACCTTTTAAAATTTAAATGTTTATTTAAAAAGTGAACTTCATATCACTACCATACCTAGAAAACAAATATTGCTTGCCATAAATAGAAAATAAATAAATTCATTGATTTAGGCATGCCATAAAGTATACATATAGCAAAACATCATGTTGTGCACCATAAATATATACATTTATATTTGCAAATAAAAAATAATAATTTTTAAAAAGAAAGTAAATAAATGCAATGCAATGAAAACAAAACAATATTGTTCAGTTCCTTTCTATACTGTTGTTGGGTAAAAGTTCCTGAGCTTGAGATACATTCTTTTGTGTTTGTGTGTGTAAGTGTGTGTACTAGAGAGAAAGAGAGAGAGAGATACTCGCATATCTTATATCAAATTTAGATACAAACTCTACATTGAGACTTTTGGTGAATTATTTACAATTTTTGGAAATGACATGATGGATTAGAATCTTAGTAAGCAGTGCAGATACTGTATCCATTTTACAGATGATAAAGCTAGGGCTCAGAGAGATTACATGACTTATTTCTTCAATACTCAGTAAATGGCAGAGCTGGGCTTCAAACACGAGCCCTTTCATTCCAAATCCTGTGCTTTCTCTATTGCACTCAAACCTTCTTGGAGTGAGAGGGGTTGCAGAGGGCTTAGATGAAGCACACTAAAGATCCATTCCCTCTGTCATTCATAATCCAGTCAAGGAGATGAGAGGGACCAAAGTCATATATTTAAGTTGTATCAAGAGAAAGTAGGAAAGTATGTTTTGACATAATTGGCCCAAAGAACAATGGTGAAAATATTTAGCAAGTGAGCTCACTGTAAGTTGGACTATTAGGGAAGACTTTCTGGAAGAAGCAAGATTAAAACTCTTGTGTTGAAGGGTGGATAAAATTAGATGAATTGAAGATAGAGGTGAAACCATTTCAAGTGATAACAGTGCTTTGATCAGAATAATCAAAAATATCAAAGCTCTGTCTTGGTTCACTGCAGATAGGGGAAAATGCACATATATGACAGGAAGTACTATGGCTACATTTTATAGTCTTATGTGCTATGAAGTATGTAATCATAGCACATAAGAATGAATCACTATTTTGTAATCCTTAAAAATAAATTATTTCCTTCAAAATATGTATGACTCAGCAAACTATCTACAGGACTTTTTCTCCTAAGGAAATAATGATGGATATATGCTAATATTTGTAAGAATGTGTCTCATCCTAGCAGGGCAATTGGAAATAACTCCAGTGTTTGATCATATAGGGCTTAGTTATATAAAATCAACTGCATCAATACTGGGGACCCTGTGCAATCTCCAAAAAAGATTTCAACCTTTGCTACTAAAACGTGATCTGTGGACCAATATTTTCACCTATACCTGGAACTTGTTAAGATTCAGTTTCTGATGTAGTAGGTCTGGGGGAGCGCCTGAGATTATGCATTTCCAACAAGTTCTCCAGTGATTCGCACATGCATTAACATTTGAGAAGCAGAGGCACATGATTAATGACATGGAAAGATATTTGCAATTAAATGAAATAGGGTGATTTCATAATTAGTTCCATATGATACTATATTGGTAAATTTTAAAAAATATGCATACATTCACACATAAGAGAAGGAAATAGGGAAAGAGAGAGAGAGAGTGTGTGTATGTGCAAGACAGACAGATGGGAAGAATACATATTAAAATACCAACAGTGGTGGAATTACTGGAAATTATTTAAATTTTTTTCCTGTGTTTGTGTATTTGCATCTATTATGAACATGCCTCTTTCAAAATATAAATAATAAAACTATATTTTCAATTCCTTTTCTGTTTTCAGAATTTTACTGAGTTCTTTCTGGAAAAATAAACAGGAACCAAGAGGCTGAACTGGAAGAAAACAACTCACAACTCACAGGGATTTAATCAATGTAACAAGAAACTGTCAGAAGAGAGAAAGACTTAAAAGATAAGAATTTTCCACTAAGTGTGAAGGAGGTCTGTGTAACCTTCATGTCCCTAGTGCTCTTGGAATTTATTTTAAAAACCAAACTTTTTTTTTTTTTTTTTTTAAGTAAGGCTATAAAGCTCCAGGAGCATAGACATTTTCAAAACTGCCAACTGGGAAAGTACTTTCAGGATGAAACAGATCGGTTTCCCTTAACAAGTATTTCTAGTGGTATTACTCTGAGTTCTGGTTGGGAATATTCCAGCAATGTCACTTAGAAGTTGAAAGAGGACCCAGCTGCTTTGTCAGAATGATTCTTTGCCTGCCTTCTCCCTTGGAAAATTTACCTTAATCTTTATTCATTTCTGTGAGTTGTCCCCATTTGGGTGATCCCTTTGTTCTCAGCATATGATGGTAAGAAAAGGATTCAGATTCCAGCTTCACTATTTCTTTGCTGCTGGGATATTTAGGCAATGGAAGTAAGTTAAGATGATTAAATGACATAATGCAAATAATGATTAAATGACATAATGCAAATAAGACATTTATTATAAAGGAAATACTTAAAAAGTTGACTGATTGGGAACTGGCATTGTGGCGTGACTATGAGGACTCTCTGGGGAAAGATCAACTGGTCCCAAACAGAACTGAAGAAGAAGCTGTTCAACCACCTGTGGGTATTGAACTGGGAGTGGTGTCTGAGGTACTGGGTGGTTGGGGCTGTGATAGACCAGGGGCTGCTCATGCAGCACCACCTCAAGAAGTGGGCATCCAGTGCATGTACCAACATTACTCTGTCCAGGAAGAAGCACAGAAAACTTCTCCAGCAGATCCAGCTTGCCCAGAAAGAGAAGGCAGCCATGGAAGTGGAAGCCCCCCAAAACTAGCCAGGACTAGTGAGCCACAGCTCAAAAGGCAAAAGAGGACAAAAGCCCCCTAGGATGAAGAAATGAAGGACCTTTGAACATCTTTATTTCTGCCTTCATTTCGTTATGTACCCAGTAGTCATTCAGGAGCAGGTTGTTCAGTTTCCATGTAGTTGAGCGGTTTTGAATGAGTTTCTTAATCCTGAGTTCTAGTTTGATTGCCCTGTGGTCTGAGAGACAGTTTGTTATAATTTCT
Organism: Homo sapiens; assembly: GCF_000001405.40. NCBI lineage: Eukaryota > Metazoa > Chordata > Mammalia > Primates > Hominidae > Homo > Homo sapiens. The sequence goes on from NC_000009.12 coordinate 19,705,816, forward strand.
GTTCTTTTACATTTGCTGAGGAGAGCTTTACTTCCAACTATGTGGTCAATTTTGGAATAGGTGTGGTGTGGTGCTGAAAAGAATGTATATTCTGTTGATTTGGGGTGGAGAGTTCTGTAGATGTCTATTAGGTCTGCTTGGTGCAGAGCTGAGTTCAATTCCTGGGTATCCTTGTTAACTTTCTGTCTCGTTGATCTGTCTAATGTTGACAGTGGGGTGTTAAAGTCTCCCATTATTATTGTGTGGGAGTCCAAGTCTCTTTGTAGGTCACTAAGGACTTGCTTTATGAATCTGGGTGCTCCTGTATTGGGTGCATATATATTTAGGATAGTTAGCTCTTCTTGTTGAATTGATCCCTTTACCATTATGTAATGGCCTTCTTTGTCTCTTTTGATCTTTGTTGGTTTAAAGTCTGTTTTATCAGAGACTAGGATTGCAACCCCTGCCTTTTTTTGTTTTCCATTTGCTTGGTAGATCTTTCTCCATCCTTTTATATTGAGCCTATGTGTGTCTCTGCATGTGAGATGGGTTTCCTGAACACAGCACACTGATGGGTCTTGAATCTTTTTTTTTTTTTTTTTTGAGACGGAGTTTCGCTCTGTCGCCCATGCTGGAGTGCAGTGGCGCGATCTCGACTCACTGCAAGCTCCGCCTCCCGGGTTCACGCCATTCTCCTGCCTCAGCCTCCCGTGTAGCTGGGACTACAGGCACGCGCCACCATGCCCGGCTAATTTTTGTATTTTTAGTAGAGACGGGGTTTCACCGTGTTAGCCAGGATGGTCTCGATCTCCTGACCTCGTGATCCGCTCGTCTCGGCCTCCCAAAGTGCTGGGATTACAGGCGTGAGCCACCGCGCCCGGCCGGGTCTTGATTCTTTATCCAATTTGCCAAGGAGAACAAAGACACAACATACCAGAACCTCTGGGACACATTCAAAGCAGTGTGTAGAGGGAAATTTATAGCAATAAATGCCCACAAGAGAAAGCAGGAAAGATCCAAAATTGACACCCTAACATCACAATTAAAAGAACTAGAAAAGCAAGAGCAAACACATTCAAAAGCTAGCGGAAGGCAAGAAATAACTAAAATCAGAGCAGAACTGAAGGAAATAGAGACACAAAAAACCCTTCAAAAAATTAATGAATCCAGGAGCTGGTTTTTTGAAAGGATCAACAAAATTGATAGACCGCTAGCAAGACTAATAAAGAAGAAAAGAGAGAAGAATCAAATAGACGCAATAAAAAATGACAAAGGGGATATCACCACCGATCCCACAGAAATACAAACTACCATCAGAGAATACTACAAACACCTCTATGCAAATAAACTAGAAAATCTAGAAGAAATGGATAAATTCCTCGACACATACACCCTCCCAAGACTAAACCAGGAAGAAGTTGAATCTCTGAATAGACCAATAACAGGCTCTGAAATTGTGGCAATAATCAATAGCTTACGAACCAAAAAAAGTCCAGGACCAGATGGATTCACAGCCGAATTCTACCAGAGGTACAAGGAGGAGCTGGTACCATTCCTTCTGAAACTATTCCAATCAATAGAAAAAGAGGGAATCCTCCCTAACTCATTTTATTAGGCCAGCATCATCCTGATACCAAAGCCTGGCAGAGACACAACCAAAAAAGAATTTTAGACCAGTATCCTTGATGAACGTTGATGCAAAAATCCTCAATAAAATACTGGCAAACCAAATCCAGCAGCACATCAAAAAGCTTATCCACCATGATCAAGTGGGCTTCATCCCTGGGATGCAAGACTGGTTCAACATACGAAAATCAATAAATGTAATCCAGCATATAAACAGAACCAAAGACAAAAACCACATGATTATCTCAATAGATGCAGAAAAGGCCTTTGACAAAATTCAACAACCCTTCATGCTTAAAACTCTCAATAAATTAGGTATTGATGGGATGTATCTCAAAATAATAAGAGCTATCTATGACAAACCCACAGCCAATATCATACTGAATGGGCAAAAACTGGAAGCATTCCCTTTGAAAGCTGGCACAAGACAGGGATGCCCTCTCTCACCACTCCTATTCAACATAGTGTTGGAAGTTCTGGCCAGGGCAATTAGGCAGGAGAAGGAAATAAAGGGTATTCAATTAGGAAAAGAGGAAGTCAAATTGTCCCTGTTTGCAGATGACATGACTGTGTATCTATAAAACCCCATTGTCTCAGCCCTAAATCTCCTTAAGCTGATAAGCAAATTCAGCAAAGTCACAGGATAGAAAATCAATGTGCAAAAATCACAAGCATTCTTATATACCAATAACAGACAAACAGAGAGCCAAATCATGAGTGAACTCCCATTCACCATTGCTTCAAAGAGAATGAAATACCTAGGAATCCAACTTACAGGGGATGTGAAGGACCTCTTCAAGCAGAACTACAAACCACTGCTCAAGGAAATAAAAGAGGATACAAACAAATGGAAGAACATTCCATGCTCATGGGTAGGAAGAATCAATATCGTGAAAATGGCCATACTGCCCAAGGTAATTTATAGATTCAATGCCATCCCCATCAAGCTACCAATGACTTTCTTCACAGAATTGGAAAAAACTACTTTAAAGTTCATATGGAACCAAAAAAGAGCCTGCATCACCAAGTCAACCCCAAGTCAAAAGAACAAAGCTGGAGCCATCACGCTACCTGACTTCAAACTATACTGCAAGGCTACAGTAACCAAAACAGCATGGTACTGGTACCAAAACAGAGATATAGACCAATGGAACAGAACAGAGCCCTTAGAAATAATGCCACATATCTACAACCATCTGATTTTTGACAAACCTGACAAAAACAAGCAATGGGGAAAGGATTCCCTATTTAATAAATGGTGCTGGGAAAACTGGCTAGCCATATGGAGAAAGCTGAAACTGGATCCCTTCCTTACATCTTATACAAAAATTAATTCAAGATGGATTAAAGACTTACATGTTAGACCTAAAACCATAAAAACCCTAGAAGAAAACCTAGGCAATAACATTCAGGACATAGGCATGGGCAAGGACTGCATGTCTAAAACACCAAAAGCAATGGCAACAAAAGCCAAAATTGACAAATGGGATCTAATTAAACTAAAGAGCTTCTGCACAGCAAAAGAAACTACCATCATAGTGAATGGCAACCTACAAAATGGGAGAAAATTTTCGCAACCTACTCATCTGACAAAGGGCTAATATCCAGAATCTACAATGAACTCAAACAAATTTACAAGAAAAAAACAAACAACCCATCAAAAAGGGGGCGAAGGATATGAACAGACACTTCTCAAAAGAAGACATTTATGCAGCCAAAAAACACATGAAAAAATGCTCATCATCACTGGCCATCAGAGAAATGCAAATCAAAACCACAATGAGATACCATCTCACACCAGTTAGAATGGCAATCATTAAAAAGTCAGGAAACAACAGGTGCTGGAGAGGATGTGGAGAAATAGGAACACTTTCACACTGTTGGTGGGACTGTAAACTAGTTCAACTATTGTGGAAGTCAGTGTGGCAATTCCTTGGGGATCTAGAACAAGAAATACCATTTGACCCAGCCATCCCATTACTGGGTATATACCCAAAGGATTATAAATCATGCCGTTATAAAGACACATGCACACGTATGTTTATTGCGGCACTATTCACAATAGCAAAGACTTGGAACCAACCCAAATGTCCAACAACGATAGACTGGATTAAGAAAATGTGGCACATATACACCATGGAATACTATGCAGCCATAAAAAATGAAGAGTTCATGTCCTTTGTAGGGACATGGATGAAACTGGACACCATCATTCTCAGCAAACTATCGCAAGGACAAAAAACCAAACACCGCATGTTCTCACTCATAGGTGCTGAACAATGAGAACACATGGACACAGGAAGGGGAAATCACACTCTGGGGACTGTTGTGGTGTGGGGGGTGGGGGGAGGGATAGCATTAGGAGATATACCTAATGCTAAATGAGGAGTTAATGGGTGCAGCACAACAACATGGCACATGTATACATATGTAACTAACCTGCACATTGTGCACATGTACCCTAAAGCTTAAAGTATAATAATAATAAAATAAAATAAAAAAAGAAATGAAGGACCTTGAAGATGAGAGCTAAACCTCTTCCTCTAGAAGATTCTCAACTGGATCCAGAAGGACTCAGTGGTTGTTTCAGAGGACTTTGGCAAAAGCAGTGCCCCTTTTCACTCACCAGATTTCCTCCTCCCTAATCCTCCTGTGGAAGGATGTCTTTGGGAGAGAAGAGGGTACAGAAGAAAGATTGGAGAGGGGCCTCTTTACAAGTCAACTCCATTTGTAATAAAGCCCTAGCACTCTGAAAAAATTTTTTTGACTGATTAATTCATCATTCAACAACTGTGTACCATGTGACCATCATCTGCCCCTATGGGTAGAGGATGCAAATGATCCCAGACATGTTTCCTTACCTCAAGATGCTTTCAGGTAAGGGGACATAACCAAGGAAAACACAATTACCTGCAGTGTCACAAGTGCCATGACAAGGAGAGGGCCCGGTATCACAGGGGCAAATAAGAGGAGTACTAGCCCTATCAGGGGGGTGGTGGCGGTAAAGAAGTCTTCCTCACTGAAGTGACATCTACATTGAGATATAATGGACCAGTAGGTCTCGGCCAGGAATAGCTGAGAAGTTCCAGACAGTGGGAATAACACATTTACAGGTTCAAATATGAGAAAGAACACAAATGTTCAGGTGCTCAACAAACTAAAAGTGCTAGGATATGAGTCTGGGGAGGAAGGTGGGGGCAGTAGAAAGAAGGAAAATGATATGAGGGATCTGTAGAGCCTGGTCATGAATGGGCCTTGTCAGCCATGCGGAGGAAGTTTCACTTCATCCAAAAGGCTGTGGGAAAGATCAGGGTCAAATATGGTCTCATGGGGGTTTTAGGCAGATCGCTCTGGCCACAGGTCGAGAAAGACTAGAGACAAGCCAGGAGGACTGCAAATCAGCCAGCTAGGAGGGTGCTGCAGGAACACAGGGACAAATGATCCTACCCTCAAGCCAGTGAAATGGATGACTATACATGAAATGAGATTGGTGATTAACTGGAAGTTGGGAGATGATGGAACAGACTCAGAGAATGTACTTAATAAATGCCTATTTTCTTTTCTTCTCCATAGAGATCTATTGGCCACTTCAGGCCAAGGAAAGATTAACCCAGTAGTAGCAGAAAAAATATTTTCTAGAAGCAAAATAACTGTGTGCTTAGCAGTTCTGTAAGTAAGGTCTGGGAATTCTTGAGGGTCACTGCATTTCTATTTGAGGGGTCTGTGAGGTCAAAACTATTTTCATAACAATTCTAAGATGCTGTTTGCCTTTTTTGCTTTTATTCTTTCACAAACATGCAGTGGATTCTTCCAGAGGCTACATGATGTGTGATAATGCAATTGCTCTGACGGCTAAAGTTGTATGTGCTTGGATTTTCTTGAGCTTTAAATTAGTCCCAGTTTTAATTTCAAATATAGTAAATACAGAAAGATACAGTCCTCATGACAAAAGCTCTTTGGGGTCCTCAATAATGCTTAAGAGTGTAAAAGAAACCTGAAGCCACAAAATTTGACAACCAATGCCATAAACATTTAAAGAACATTTTAAAGGCATCCACTACCAAAAGCTTAAAAAAATTATGAGTGAGGATAAACTCTACTGATTGAGGAGCCTAATTCTTATCTTAGTTTTGTTGTCCTTTCAAATCTGAGCCATTGCTGGCTTGATATAAAGATAATGCCTAGGATTTCATTTCTAGAAGAACACATCCAACTAACAAAATCAAAGCACATACCATACAATGTACTAAGTAGAAATATGAAATCCATGTCCGCAATTCTGAATATACTTTCTTCTTTAAACTTATTTTTAAAGTTGGAAAACAGAGTCACTGAGTAATACTCATACCTTAGAACAAAATCTCTGTTGTGTAGGCAGAAAAGCAAAATAGAAGCGATAATGTGGGCAAGTGGAAAATAACACAGTGAGGAGAAATGATACAAACTAGACTCAGAACCAGAGCTCTAAACGCAAGTTGCCAACCCAAAAGGACTTCAGGATCCCCTATGAACCATTATTTCAAAAAACAAGGGCAGTTGGCTAGCCAATCAAGCATAAATCTGGTAGTCATCCACACATCATTTGGAGAGGCCTGGAGACAATGGAGGACAGTTTTCTGTGCCCCTGAACAATACCAAAGTGGCTGCCCTTCCAAGATGTCAGTAGGTGTCTCAGCACAAAAAGTCTGGGGAAGGTCAGGATAAGAGCAATACAGAAAACGGCTCCAGAGACTGAGGTCAGTCAGTTCCACGTTTAGGACGAGGATTCCATATGGCTGTTAGGAATGTGATGTGGCTAGTACACTGGAGGAACTGAATGCTTAATTTTATTTCATTTTCACTAACATAAATTCAAAGAGCCATGAGTCTAGTAATGACCACACTCGAGAACTCTATTCCAGAACTTTAGTGAAATGATCTTTGCAACCTGTGGAGAGCCAACTATAAGATCTCCCATCATGGTGCAAGATGGGTTTGAATGTACTTTTCAGGTAAACACATATGTGAAATCCTTGTTTCCCACCAAAACCCATTCAGCTGCCTAGGACATCTGCCAGCAAAGCCAGCTAGTTCTCCTTGGGGAGTTTGGAATAGGAGCTTAGTAAAGAGGGAAGCAGAGCAGACAAATGAGAGGCAGGAGTCTTGCCTGTTACCCTATGTGACCTGGCCCTGAGCTATCTTCCAAATTCTTTTCCTGATCTGTAGCTGCTTGTCACTGTGCTCCAGCGACACACACCCTCTAGTTCTTCCTAGAATATACCAAGCAAGTTCCCATCTCATGGCCTGTTGTGTTTATTTACTTTCTTCTTATCCTGGAATGCTCTTTCTCTGGATCAGGGTTTCTTAACTTCAGTGCTAGTGACATTTTAAGCTGGATAATTCTTTGCTACAGGGACCTGCCCTCTGCAGCATAGGGTGTTTAGCAGCATCCTTGTTCTCTATCCACCAGATGCCAGTACCATACTTACCCCAGTTGTGACAATTAAAAACTTCTCCAGACACCAAATGTCCCTGGAGAGGCAAAGTCACCCTGGTTGAGAATCACTGCCCTAGATATCTGCATGATTCACTTTCTCACTTAATTTAGTTCTGTACTCAGATGTCACCTCCAGGGAATCTTTTTCAAAACCCTACACCTCTCTGTCCCCTTTCCCTGTTTTATTTTTCTTCCCAGTATTTATCACTAGCTAACATCATATCAGATACTTCTTTGTTTCTTGTTTCTTTGCCTGCTTTATTTACTGCTGTATGCTAGCACCTAGTATCTAGTTGATTGGTAGATGCTTTATAAATATTTATTGCATGAATGAAGGAAGGAAGTACCTGCGCCATTTGTAAAGTCAAAAGAGAGACAGGAAGTTTGCATTCTGGGAGAATGGACACATGTCACAAGCAGAAAAGCTGTAAGTCAATTTAGCTATTAAAATCTGTATTGGTTGTTATATAACAATGATAAGGCTTTAGCACATTTTCTAATAATGGGCATACTTTTACTGACCTTCTCTAAAATTATGCTTTGAATGCGAAAATAAATTATAATTTTAAATGTATTTGTCAACCACTTTTATGAATAGTATGCAAGTTTGAGACCTAAAATTGCGGTCATTTCATATCATCAAGAATCTATGTTCTTACCTGATTTTAACATTGATGTCTATTTGCCTTTGAGCAAAAGACCTTTTGATAATGAGAAGAAGTCCTGATGAAAGGCCTGCATTTTCCTTCATAGTTATAAATTGAAAATGTGTTTCCAAGAGGTTTTTATTAGCATTACTGAGTGTAAGCCTATCAATTCAGTAACTCCAGCCCTAGGAAATTTAATCATGTGCTGAAGTCCTTACTTACTGGTAAGATTGAGATTTTTTTTTCCCCCCGATGATTTGTTATAATCTTTCTGAATTCCTCAAGAATACTAGATGAATTTATAAGATGCTGACTTTCTTCTGGAAGAACTGTAAATATTCAAAAGAAATTACAAGCACCAAGTAAATTGCACATTTTGGAGACTAAGGGAAGAAAATCCCCAAACTGTTGGTAGATGGTCAGAGTATTCTCCTACAACCTGGATCTAGCCAATTATTAAATGAAGTTCCATAATACCTCAGTTCCTAAAAATCTCCGGGGACTAAGAACTTCTGGATATATTAACTAGAATTTTTAAAAGTTAAGTAAATCTACTTTCACATTTTCAAGGTTTTTACTGATGAAAGTCTTTCTACAACAACACACACTGCTATCCTTTTTAATAATAGAAAATCTGGAACTCTGCGTGTGTGTGTGACCTATGGCCACCCTTTTGTGAAGCTGTGCATATGCACAAACAAGGGTGGGTGCAAGTCTCAGAATTAGGACCCCAAAGGTGGCCCTACAAGTTGATTCCTCTTCCAGATGGGGTGCAGCACTCGCAGAACCATAAAGGCAGCATCCCAAGCCTGCCTTGTAAAAAAACTGACTGCTGAATCAAAAACCAAGAGCAGCCCTTCCCTTTCAGGGTTATCTTGATTCTTTAAAATAAAACAAAATAAAATAAAATAAAATAAATCGCCATCTTTACTTCTGTTTCTAGAGTCTCGTCAACTTTTCAGTAGTCCTCTAAACCTTGTTTGTGATTTGTACAGTCAGCCATTTTGGCAACCCACATCACTTACCTTTTCCCTTCACTATTTGTATGGAGGAGAAGCATTCCTTATGAGTCATTTGAGTATTAAAAAATTTTTTTTGCGTATATCTATTTAAGATATACAACATGATGTTATGAAATACATATATAGAGTAAAATGGTCATTACAGTGAAACAAATTAAGATATCTATCATGTCACAGTTATCCATTTTTCCCCTCTGTGGCAAGGGCAGCTATAATCTACTCATTTAGCAAGTATCCTGAATACAGTATGCTCTTATTAACTATAGTCTTTATGTCGTACATTAGATCTTTAGACATGTTTGCCCTACATATCTGCTACTTTGTAGAGTAGAGGATTAACAGTGGTTCTCAGGGGTGGGGTGGAGAGGAAGCAAATGGAGAGATGTAAGTCAAATGATACAAAGTAATCCAAGAATTTATGTGAGAAGAAGTGGGAAAAGTCTATTTCTAAGGTGCCTCAACCTTTCCCCCTAACTCCATCCTTACCACCACCACCACCACCAAACACCGTAATAATAATAATAATAATCAGGAAATTAACACTTCTAAACACCTGATGCCAGACTACATTGTTTTTGAAGTATTTCCCAATGTCAAGCTTTGAACAGAATTATAGATACCTACAAAATACATTTTCATGAACAAGTTTGAGTGTTTTGTATAGTATTTGCAAGGAATATCAGAGTCCTCTTGTATTTTCTTTTATAATATTTTGCTTTCTGAAAAATATCTCAGTTGATACACTGACAGGCAGAAAGATGATCAAAGATATTAACCCTGCCCCTTCAAGATTAGAGTCATAATTGCCTAGCTGGAGAGGGACCGAGTATCCTCAAGTAGGACTCAGGTTTGAAATAATATTTCCCTGAAGGTACAAAAAAATGATGGAACCCCTTGGGAAGTATTCCACATCCATCTGTGTATTAGCTTGTTCTTTGGAATCAACATTATGGCTCCTCAGATACCTCTGTGCTAAGGATTTTTTTCTGAAAGTCGAAAGTTTTATTTTTCTACAAGACCACTCCCTGTAGGCACAGTCAACCTGTCCTCATTGTGTTTGAACCCAGGTACAGTCCACAAATAAGCTGGCAAATGTGACCAAGGCACACCATTACATGCTCCTCAGAGGGCTGGAGGGTACTTATAAATGCATTCTCTTGAAGAAAGAAGCAATTGGCAATTTTTATACAGCTGCATTATATGCTGATTATGTACAAAGCCTAAAACCAGGCAAAGTACCTAGCAGAAAATACCCATGCATTATTCAACTAATACAAATCTGTTGTTTTTCTAATTTGCTCTTCCAAACATGTCTTTTCAAGTTCTTTTGAGTTGCAGTTGTTTTGAAGTGGGGGAGAAGAAAAGTTTTCTCTCTTTTCAGGGACAAAAACTCAAATAAAAGAGGTACCCCCATTCAGCTAATCATGGCAGCTTTAACAATATATGGGCAAAATATACAACTTACAAAATTAGAGGCTTTATGAAGAGCCTCCCTTTATAACCAAGTTATTTTAGAACAGAGAAAGATAAATAATCTACTTATCAGGCTAGGTTTTCCAGGCTTTCCCATTCCAAGTCACTCTATGTTTTCTTTCCTTCTTTTTCTATTTCTCCCTTTTGCCTTTCCTAATCCATATCGCAAGATACCATGTGCAACACGCTCACCCCTATTTAACTGCACCTGTTCACAGTATTCTACAGTCAAAAGCTCTACTTTTGCAGCAACTTTTTATTGATGAATGCATTTTATCCTGATTACATGACAATGATGATGGCTTATTCATTATTTCATTCAGCATACTTATTGTGGGCTTACTATGTGCCAGGAATTGTGTGGGTCCCAATGATAGATAGAACAGGGTTCCTAGCTTCATGGAGCTCCCATTCACTGGTTAACTACATGTATGAAGGCTTTCAGTAAATTTTGTTTGCAGTGACATTCTCCTGTGATCCCAGGGGAGATCTGATTTATCCTCACATCAAATATGACTCTCCTGAACAACACGGTGGTGTTCTTTTAGGGCTGATGTCTTATATTTGCCTTTAGGCCAATCATATCTTAAGAGACTGCTGAGACCTAGAATAGCTTTTTGATAAGCCCCTTTGCCTACCTCCCCTATCTGACCCTTTCTTTCTTACAGGCTCTTGGTGTTTACAGTTTATAGCCACTATCATCATCCCCATTCCCATAGTCTCTTTTCCTTTCCTATTCTTCTGTTGTTTGCCACATGTTTTCTGCTTTTTTATCTTTCTTTTGTCTTGGCCATATCTGAATGCTTTCAGTCTGGTCCATCAATGGCACTACTATAATCTCTGAGTTTCCAGGTCTTCTTAGTTACTATTGTTATTTTTGTATGCTCAAAGGCTGGGTAAAATATTCTTTACAACACACATTCATTGGTTCCACCACTGCTCCTTTCTCCCCCATCAAACATAGTTCAGTGCTATTCCAGATGTTTGAAGCTGTTTGTGATCTGATATCTGAGTTCTGGATAATGAACTACTGCAGCTCACTTTGCCAGAGACAGTGAGAGTTCTTCCCGACATATGAGGTGGACTCACAATATTTGATAAGATGTAGAGGCAGAATTAGAAGGTAACAGTTAATGACTAGCATCCTGGAAAACAGGCCAAAGGGCTCCAAGTTTTGCAGTGTATTTCTATGCAAACTTGAGCATATTGTGCTGGTTCACTGATTCTCAAGTTTTCAGAAAAGAAAATGGGAATGTTAGATCACAAAGAGAGATACACTAAGGTTCCACAGGAAGAAGATGCCTCACAAGTAGCCCAGTACACTCCAGTTTATTTTGAAATGGTGATGGAATGAAATGGTTAGGTAAGTTTAGTTCTTTGATTAACCGAGAATTACCATATGCACTATAGATGAATTTCTAATTTTTAAATAATCAGGATAAAATGCATTTATCAATAAAAAGTTGCTGCCAAAGTGGTTGCCTCAGAGGTCACTAAGAACATAACAACCAAAAAATCCTATTGATTTGTCTTTTTAAAAGAGTTATAGAAAAATGGAAGTCTATACAAAGCCATCTACATTCTAATGTTAAACTACTCAACAATAAAGTTACATAGCATCCTGTTCACTTGTTCTGGGCCTAATCTATTGCTTGAGATTCTAAATTTTTTAGCTGACTTTTAAATTATTTTCTTAGTTGTTTTGTACACCTTCTCCTCTTTTTGCTATGACTAAAATCATCTGAAGCCTCTTGCAGTGATTATACTGGAGTAGGCTTTTCCATTAAAGGGTCATCAAATAATTAGTTCTTCAGTGACCCCACTAAATGAAAATTCCACTAAAAACTTTAGTTACAAGAAGAAAATCCTACATGTGTTAAGATCTAATCAGATTGGGATGTCTAAAGACAAATATAATGGCTAGATGATTTAAAACTTTTTTTTTTTTTTTTTTTTAAAACGGAGTCTCGCTCTGTCGCCCAGGCTGGAGTGCAGTGGCGCAATCTCAGCTCACTGCAACCTCCGCCTCCCAGGTTCAAGCGATTCTCCTGCCTCAGCCTCCTGAGTAGCTGGGATTACAGGCACATGCTGCCACACCCGGCTAATTTTTGTATTTTTAGTAGAGATGGGATTTCTCCCTGTTGGTAAGGCTGGTGTCGAACTGCTGACCTTGTGATCTGCCTGCCTTGGCCTCCCAAAGTGCTGGGATTACAGGCTTAAGCTACCATGCCTGGCTGATTTAACACTTTTTTTTTTTTTTTTTTTTTTTTTTTAGACAGGGTCTGGCTCTGTCACCAAGGCTGGAGTGCAGTGGTGCAATCGCAGCTCACTGCAACCTCTGCCTCCCAGGCTCCAGCCATTGTCCCACCTCAGCCTCCTGAGTAGCTGAGACTACAGGTGTGCACCACCATGCCTGGCTATTTTTTTTTTTTTTTTTTTTTTTTGTAATTTTTGTAGAAACAGGGTTTCACCATGTTGCCCAGGCTGGTCTCGAAATCCTGAGCTCAAGCAATTGGCCCGCCTTGGCCTCACAAAGTGTGGAGATTACAGGCATGAGCCACTGCGCCCAGCCAATTTAACACTCTTATAGCATCACACGTTACTTTGACTGACACCTGTGGTTCTTACTGGCAGCCAGGCTTATGGTCACTGCATCACGGACACTGAATGACTAGACCTCGACATGAATCTCATACATGTTCAAATGCTTATGTAAAGTTTCCTGTGGGAAGGCTTTCTTTTAGTTCATTGAAAGATGACCCATTTTCAGTCCTCTTCAACTTCTGGAACTTTAAAGTGTGGTGTCAACTTATTTCCCTCATGACTCTCTCTGAATTTATGCTGGTTTCTTGCCGTTTGAGATTTTAGAGCTGGTCTGTGAAAGTGGGACACATTTCCCTTGACACATTTCAAACTATTTGAGAAAGAAGAATCCAGGTGCAATAAGCTGTCACACTGAATATTAGAAGAAAGCAATCAAGTCCTTTGTAAAAGGAGTCTCAGTCACCTCTCTTCTACCTCTACTTCATATAATACCACAAATTGCAAGGCTCCTGAGGAATCTTCCTTCTGGGTATAAACTGCTAAGACTTTATTGCTTGAAGAAGTTTTCTGGGGGCATAGCTTGCTAGCCTGGTGCTCATAGTCACAAGACACTCTTTTCCTTGGTTACTAGCATTGAGCTTTGGGTAGGAGCATCTCATTATTCCTCTGGGGACTTATTACAACACTCTTGTCACCAAATTAGTAGATAAGAAAGTGTGGCTAAGATGTTAAAACCTTGAAGATAATTTGCTACCTGGTTGTAATTTCTTTAGCACTATTATTCTTGTTCTTGTCTGACCTAGACTACTCCACATCATGTTTTGCTTTATCTGAGTTCTTTACAACACTCTCAGAGAGGAGTTCTGCCTTTAACCATATTGCTTCCTAGACTTTTGTTGTACAGAGTGAGAGCTGAGGCTGAGAAATGAGAGGAACTGGACTGCTTGAGAGTTTGCACTTAAAACCTCCATTAACGATAGAGGAGAAAGGGCCCAGAAAGTTGAGATGCAGAGCAGAGAAAGAAGGAACCAGCCTGGGTTGCACTTAGGAATTTATGGAAAGTTTCATTTTTAAAATTAAGGTCAAATCTTGAGTACTTACAAGAATATCAGCAAGTTCACTGATTAAATAAAAGGAATTTCAAACTAGACAAACTTCATATAACTACCTAGATGTCTGAGAAGGTTTTTATCTCATGTTTTTATTTATCCTTTTGAATCATGCTCTCTTTGGGTTTCCATTAGTTGCACATAATAGAATTGATCACACCTAGAAACTGTGTTCATCAATGCACACACAAAATATATACATACATTGTTATGTGATTGCAAGCAAACCACAGTAGCTTTCATGGTCTCAGTCTTCAACTGAGGTAACTCTGAAGTCCTTCCAAATCCCACTGAAACTCTATGATATGATTCACATAATGAAATTTCTACAGAGGCTGGGAAGTGACATAAATGAATGAACTAGGCTGGAGGTAAACCGGAAAGGCTATGTTGCTAGTACTATTAGGTTGGTGCACAAGTAATTGTGGTTTTCACCATTAAAAGTAAGTACCAACCTAATATGATCAAGAAATGTAGGTAACCCTTTCTTTGCTATATTGCCTTTTTTCTATTAAAAATTTAAATTTGTAATTTATTATTATCTTTAATTTCAACGTGTACCTCCACTATCTAAAATAAAAGCTGAAAATATTACATCTTAAGAACTCCTGGGTGTGCCCCACAAAACCCAACCACACTGATCTGGGGCTTTGGGGACATCACTTTGACTTATTCTTAGAATCTACAATAGTTTACCAGACACTGTGAAAGAGCTGCAAAAGATGGTACACAAACTGTTCAACAATGGCGTGGAGAAGAAAGTGCTGAGACACCATGGTCTGAAAATTCAAGGTGGAATTTCACAGTGAACACACGGATTATGAGCCCTGAATGAATTCCTAACTGGTCCCTGAGCGTTGTTAAACTGTGGAACTGCTAGAAGAAAGCTGTAGCTGTCCATGGTGCTTAAGAATTTTCCTCAATGCTGGAGTCTTGGAGTCTGTGGTATGGAAATACTTTACACTGAACATATTGTATATTAACAATTACAATGACAACCCCCCCCCCCAAAAAAAATCACCTTGATGTGGCTCAAGAGGATTCAATGTATTTCTGACTCATCTCAATAACAAACACTTAAATAGAAACTCATATTCTTGATTTTCTTTTTGTAGTTCTAAAACAATTTGTGTATATGTGGAATGATGTGTGTGTGTGTGTGTGTGTGTGTGTGTGTGTGTGTGTGTGTGTTGTATCTCTAAAAGCTTCTACCAGCATCACATATTTCCTTGATGTTAATATTTTCAAGATTTGATTGTCTACATTCCCAAAGTATAGTGCTTGACACAAGTGACTGTTTAGGTACCAGCAATTCTGCTGTGGAGTGTGTACAGGAATATCAGTTTCTGATCCTTCTTCCCATAAGTTTAACTCTATGGTAACAATTACCTTTTATAAATTTAAGAAAAATCACTGTTGTTCAAAGTAATGGGATTTAAAATTCCTCAGAATAAACTAAAAAGAAAGAAAGAAGTTGAAAAATCACATCTAATCCCCAAAATTTCCAACTCTGAAAATCCCGCTTTAAAAATACAACTCACCTGGTTTATTTTAAAATGAAACATCAATTCTGTATATTCATAGAGACCCAGAGCAAAATGATTTCAGCTGGATTTCAGTTACAGTAACCCTTTTCATCATAAATATTCTAAAATGCTGACCCTCTGTTGATACTGGCTAGAGGAATTTTTGTGTGTATTTGAAATTACTTATTATTTTGGAGCCAGTGCTTTAATTTGACTGGTGCACCAACAACAAAAGAAGAGAAGACAGAAATATGTGTTCCAATATAACTAAACATTAAAGTCTTCTTTCCTTTTTCACAATGAAGTTTTAAAAGCTTTAACCATGAGATGATAAATCTGATAAAATCAGGGCAATTAATAAAGAAATTAAATAATAAATGAAAAGAAATCTTAAAAGCATTAAAATAGGAGGCTCTTTAAAGTGTCATTTAATCTCCATCATTTCAGATGCTTTATGTGTCTTCATCACATCATTCCTATGACTTTCTAATGAAACAGTTCTATGGTCCTCCTAAATTAATCATTCCAACACATAACAGCCTTCATTTTGAGAATAGTTTCATCCTATTTAATCTTTGCCATATAAACTTTATTTCCTTTGTGAGCCTTTATGTTTGTGTATTGATAGAGAAAACGTTGTCATTATTCTTCACATAACTGAAAAGTCACTAAATTAGTGAGGTTCATTGCTTTTTTTCAGATAAATAGACCTCATATTTTCAAACTCTCTTTGTCTGTCTTTTACTCTCCATCTTCTAATATAAGGTTATTTTGCATAATACTTTTCCAAATTCCTCATACCCCATTGGTTAGGCAATCCCTCCTGAGAGGGGAAAGCATCCTAGAGACTACCTGTCAGATGCTATTATAGTTTTCGTACATGTTACTTCCATGGTCATGCTCAAATCCAAATGGAAATTACAGAGAAGAGTATTTAAGTAGTTCTATGTATAGTAGGAAGTGGGTGCTAATAGATTTCCTTAGGTGAAAAAACCTGGATTTCAGAATGCTGAAACAGAGGAAATCAGATACCATCTTCAAGAGTGTTCTTTTGGAAAGTTTATGGGATTATCAATTCTCTTGAAGTAATAAAAATATAACTCTTCATAGCTGTTAATTGAGCTGAACTGAGAATGCTAGGTTCAACATATATTTTGGTATCACTTTAAAATAAAAATATTATGACTTTCTATATAATAACAAATAAAAATCCTGTCTCCTTTGGCACTATTACATCTTTGACAGAAAAGCTGAAAATAGTTGATTAATATTTGGTTTGTAATTCTGATGGTATACCTAAAAAGTGCAGGATAAGTCAAGATAATCTTTAAAGGAATCATGGGGTATTTATCGAAAAGAACCAGTTAATAATGTTACAAGATGCCCATTAGGCACAGGCATGTGAATTAGGTTCTCTGGGAAGTTAAGAAATAGGATATTAAAAAAAAAAAACCACGATATTCAATCCCTATCTTCAAGGTACTAACTTTTAACTTGAAGAGCCTATGCAACGGAAATTCCAGTGTCAGCATCATATGACAAAACAAAAAAGAAGATGACCCCCAAACAATCTTAGCACATATGTATTGTTGACTTTGGCTGGGAAGGACAGGCAGAAGGAGAAATGTCAAAGAGTTTCTAGAGCATTTGGAGGTGCTAGACCCAGGTGAAGCTCGTATGGAAAGACAGATTTTGACTGATGTTGTGAAAGGCTATTTTCTTGTCCTAATAGAATCTGGAAGGTCACCTCTGAAAGTAATGAAATTCTTTCTGCACTGCAATAAGATTGTTCAATTTTTAATTCAAGGAAAATCCCAAAGCAAACAGCACATAAAATATTGGGGCTTGGGGGTGGTAGTGATAAAATTATCATCAACATTTAAAGACCTGTCAATCTAAGCATGCACATGGATCCATTTTAAAATAAATTATATTGTTTTTCAATGACAGATGCCATTTTTATCATGCACATTCCTGCAATTTAATTTACAATAAATCTCCAAATAGCTTAAGGCAATTATTTTAGGTAGTGCTTTATCTAGCAGTCATGTCATTTGCTTTCTTATTCTATTTTTGTTGCACAGATGTGAAGGAGTTTTAATGTATTTCATATTTCTGCTAACAATAAAGAAAAATAAGATGCACCAAAAAAGAATGAGCCCACAGGACATCTGGTACTCTCACCTCATTTAAAAAAAATATTTAATACAGGTGTTTGTATTCCAACCATTCTATCATATTCCATTTAATTTACAGTCAAGGTTCCCCACCAAACCGTCTTAAGCCATAAGCTGTGTCTTTCATCGTCTCATAATGACTTTAACATAGACTCTGTGAAATAAGCAATTTTTGCCATATGACTTTAGGATCGAGTATAACACTAGAAGGGACTCCAAGAAATATCGGGGCTATTACCTTGTGTCCCAGTATAGTTGAATCAGATATGGACATGTCATTTACTGTCTTATTCATAGAATTCTTCTTGAAATCTAATTTCAGGAGAATTTCTAGTAATAATTAATAATAGAAGTCCAGGGCCAGAAGCAAAGAGAGAAAAAAAATTATAGCAAAATTTGCAACTCAAAAAGTTTTTTTCTACATCATACTTCAGGACAGTAGTTAACAAAAAAAGCTTAATTGGACAAACATTTTTTGAGAGTCTACTAGATACTGAGTGCTGTATAAGGTATGTCTCTGTTGATGTGAGCATTTTGCCATACTATTTTTTATTAAAATTTACATTTGTTGGAATGCATTTAACTATTTATATGCCTTTAATTTATAACCTAACTCATGATATAATCTGATTTGTGCTACACTCATAATAATGTCAACACCATTATAATTTTTGCCATAATCTCATAATTTAATTTCCTATATAGTGATATCAATACTGACACATTTGTTCCACCTGGGACAGAATGTTAATGCTTTTGGAGAAGAATTTAAGAGCAAGTCCTTCTGGAAGACTTCTTTTTTGGATAATTCAGAACTACAAAGTTTGGTGGATACAGAATCATGATTAATCTCACACTTGGTTAAGTGCATAGCTGATGTTGCTCAATCAGACTTAATAAGGAATGCTAGGAAGAGAATGATGCTTCTACACAGCAGCATGTGATAACAGCTGTTTTCCAAACATGACACAATAAGAGCAAGTCATTATCTTTGAGAAAGGTGATGCCTTCAAAGATTAAAATTCAATAAATATTTGAAAGACAACTTTGCACAATTTTGATTTGTAAAAGATGAACTGGGGAAATGTCTAAACAACTTGACATGCCTTTTGCCTTTTTTGGAGTGTGGGTAGAGGTTGGGAGGAGACCCTGCTAAAAGCTAACATTATTAATACAAGGTCTGATATTTTACTTCCTTTTCAGTAAAATAATGCCAAGTGTCTTTATGACATTTGTAAACGGAGAACATTCAGCTTATGCCCAATCTAATTACCTCCAGTTGCTTTTAATTCCAATATACCCACATTATGAAGTTCAGGAAAAATTCATTCTTAGTTTAAAAAGGGAAATAAAAAATATTTAAAGTCTTTCAATTTCTGGTTTATGCACAAATTTTGACATATTTAGAAATTCAAACCTCTTTGAAACCAATAAGGCGTATTTCAAACACAAACACCAGTTAGATTAGATACCATTAAAGGGAGACTAATAAGCAAACTACAGTTAAATCCAAAATCCTACACAACCTCAAGCGCCAGTCAAATCTCACCTCTTCCTTGTAGCCTCCCCAACACTCCTTGCCAGAGGAGCTCACGTGCTTCAAAACCTTTCCAGCGCTGGTCTGCACCATCCAAAACCTCTGTCTTATACTGTAGTTATATTTATTCAGTACTGTACATGCCAGTGGGGTAATTTTGTACCCCTAGAGGCATTTTTCAATGTCTTGGGACATATTTGATTGTCCCAACTGGAGAGTGCGTGTGCTACCAGCATCTAGAAGGTGGAGACCAGAGATACCGCTAAAGATCCACAGTGCTCAGGTAATTCCCCCCACAACAAAGAAATGGTGCTCGGGCTGAGAAACCCTGATTATATCCTGCACACTGTACATCTGGTAAGTGGTTAATTTTATATTGCACGTTATAATTACATATAACTCAATCAGTTGTTTTCTCAGTAGCTAAAAGAGTGAATGCCAATCCAAATGTGCCTCCTCCAGAATAAGTAAGTAGTTTAGGTAAGAATTTGGCTCAACATTTTATTTTTATTCTATCTTGGCTTAGGATGACATGCATACAAACTCTGTTGAATGTTTTGATAAAAACTTTCAGAGTTGGAGGTAAACTGTCTTCATAATAAGCTATTTTCCTAGGGCTTCGTTATATACAGCACAGCATTTTTTTACAGCATTTTATTTTATGTGCACATTTATTTTTGCCACTTTTTAAAGGAAATATGTGCAAGAATATAATGAGACGGTATATGAATAAAGATTGCAGCATTAAAAATACATATAAAGGCCACCATGACTGCAATTTTTCATGAGTGAGAATTTGGTGAGAATAGTTTACATGCTCTCCTCAATGTTTCTAAAGACACAACACTGAATGGAAGTAATATGGACCCACAGATCAGCACTCAATGTAGCATATCTTAGAACAGCTTTTTCCTTACTCCCAGGATACACAGCTGCTGCCCATATTCCCCTCTGGGGTACAGTTATGTCAGACTTGAAAGAAAAACCCAATTCCTGCTCTGCCCTGGTCCTTTTATATCCAGACGTATAGAGCATTGGGGAAAAAAAGTATGCTTTCAGTATACAGGCTTCTTATTAACAAGGAATATTTATAAACACTGTGACCTCCTGATTCCTGAAGCAAACTCAGCTCTAGCGAGGCCACATCCTCACTGAAGAATGAAAGCGGAGTCAAGGCCTATGAGCCCTGATCAAGATTTCTGCCTGCAGCTTTATAGTTCCTCAAAAACCAGTCTCCCTGGAGTCACCTCTTTGCGCACAAACATTTCACACAGAACATTGCGTAGGATTATACTTTCTCTCAATAGGTAGTCTTCTTGCTGCAGTAATAACATTCTAATTGCCTGGAAAGGAATATAACTTCAAGAGTATATGCAACCAAAAGGTAAAAGTAAAAGACAAAATCAGGTTCTATAAACTCTAGTTCTATATTTTCGTGTGTGCGAATGTGTATAAGCTTGTGTTATTCTCATTTATGTTGATTTTGTTTGTTCATCTTGTTTTATTTTAATAAGAAAGCAAATAAAATTGCAGTGTGGTTCCAAAGAGCAATCAGAAAGCACAGCACTCCCTGCACAACAGGAAAAGGAACAGAAGAGAAGGTTGTGATTGGCTCCTGGAGACCTCAGCAACCTTCTCCAAACTGAACAGAGTATAAAATGTGATTTTGCTCTCTTCATAATGATTATCAAATTCCTGTTGGCTAATACAATTATTTGGCACTAAATATCCTCTACTTGTCATGCATATGACTCACTTAAAATCATTACAGGATGGCATTATTCACATATGGTTAACATAGCTAAATTCATTTGCAGTTTACCAACTGTTCTATAGAATATTTTTGCACCCTGTAGAATTGATCTATCCCAAGGCATATTCAACGTGATATACACAGCCTTTCTTTTCTTTTACACCAACGGAGGATTTTAGGCTGGCTTTAAAGTTCTAATGAATGCTCCTGGGTACATTTTGTTTTTTCCTTCATGTCAGAAAGATGGTATTTTATTTATCCCTAGGTAGTACATGTTAGATCATCATACTGTCAGAGACCTCTGTGAAGTCAATCCCAGATTTATTGCTTGTTCCCATTTCCTTCAAGCACCTACAACATTTGGGCTGAAACTTCGTCATGATTAAAGAAGCAAAGATTGTATCACCTTATTTATCAGGAAAGAAAAGAAAGCAGTTCTGTGTCTGTGGGCTCTACCATTCCTAGGTTCTTCCTATCAAGCAAATCTGCTGGCATTTAATGCTATGGCCTCAGTTTAAGTTGACATACATATTAGACATTTTTATGTGGATAAAACCAAAGAAGAGGGGGATCTGTATACAGTGATATTTTGATCATCACCCATGAAACAAAAAAAGAATATTTTAGATATAATCCAAATTTTTGAAAAGTGGCCTTAAATAACTTACATCACATTAAGCCGGTGATCATTTTGCATTAGAGTTTTAATTCTCCCCACTATCTTCCCTAACTCATTTTTCCCCATAGCATTTTGCACTCTCCTACACACTACATCATTTAGTTATTTATTTTGTACTGTCTTCCCTCCCCTACAAGAAGGGAAGCTCCAAGCAGGCAGGGATTTTGGCCAGTTTTGTTCCCTGCAGGAGCTCAGACACTTAGAACAATGACTAGCATGTGGCAGACACTCGTACCTGTTTGTTGGATGAATGAATATGACATCTTCCACTCTTTCTCCAATTATTTTTTAGGCATTCAAGTAATTTTGCTATAAATCCTTTTCCAGAAGAAAGAACTTTTTAAAATTAATTTATCTTAAGTGTGGAAAAGAAGACTCTGAAAAAATATCCTATAGTAATTTACCTTACATCCCTCTCAGCAAAGGTCTGATCAGTTTTACATTTATTTAAAAACATGGTTATTTACTTTTGAAAATCAGAAACTACAAATCGAGATCATTTCTATCTCTTTCTCAGAGGGGAAAGGGGCTACTTCCAGTCTTTGTGGTATATCCCTAAAAGTTCATTAAAGTGAAAGAAAGCAGGTTAACCCTGAGGACCTAAACAGCTCTGGGAGGTCAGTGTTATCAGCCCTTTTCAAGTGAAATGGCTGAGGCTCACAGGCTTCCACTGCTTGCCAGGTAAGGAAGTGGGGACTGGGAGTGGGATTAGGTGTGTCGGCTGTGGAGGCCATGACCTTTCTGATCCGTAGTCAGACACATTATCCATGGCACAACTGGCCTTTACCCAAGGCTGTGCCCTTTCTAAGAGCAGCAGTTCCACTCCAGGACCAAGGCGTACAGTTCCTCTATCTCTTGGGTATTTAAGGTTTTCAGAAAGGCAGATGGTCTCACTTGAGTTGCTTCGTATGACTGGCATTTTTAATGAATTAGTGACAGAAAAAAAAAAAAAAACTTGACTCACTCCCAGCTGGATAACTTCACAAATGCCAAGCTGAAAGGAATGATATCTCATAAATTCAGGCAAATGGGCATTAAGGGGACTAAGCTGGCTGTTCTTTTAATATACCGAGTATTAGCATTTTCCAGGGCTTCAGGTCGGTAATGCAGTTTCAGCTCAGGAGACTACACCTTTCATTAAAACTCTTTTATTCTTTCTGCTTTGCTATAATGAAAAAATCTTAACCTGTCACACCTGTAGTGATTATAGAAGGGTCTCAACTCTGGTGGGGAGAGAAGCTCAGAACAGGCATGTATAATTTTCAAAGACCACATAACTGCTTCAAAAAAAATGACAGCTGTCACCAACATTTTACATCCAAAAACAAGTTTAATTGTTCAGACTGGTGTTTTAAAAAGCTCCAGTTATTGGAAGGCTCCTCAATTTTTGTATAGCCAGAGACTCAAATAACTCTAGGCTAGAAGGTTTTATTTACTGATGAGAGAGGGCATATTCAATATCAAAAAATTGTCATTTTTATTTGTTTGCATTGAGGCTGAGACTAAAAAGCCAAGCAGCACACCAAAAGGAGAAAATTTACTGTATGCAAATTAAAAGCTAAAATAATTGCCTGCCATGAAAAGAAAAGTGAAGCACAGGAGCCTGAGGTAGGCCATATTTGACTTACTCATCTTTAGAACAATCTTAATGCCCATCGTTTCACCTTCCACATAGTAAATAGTAAATGTCTGGTGCATGAATAAGAATAAGAGGAACTGAATAGACATTTCTCAAAATAAGATATACTAATGGCCAGCAAATATATGAAAAAATGCTCCACATCACTGATCAGGGAAACGCAGATCAAAACCACAAGGAAGTATCATTTCACCCCAGTTAGGATGGCTATTATCAAAAAGACAAAAAATAACAAATGCTGGTAGTGACTCTTATACACTGTTAGTAGGAATGTTAACCAGTACGGCCGCTATGGAAAATAGTATGGAGGTTCCTCCAAAAACTACAAATAGGACCACTGTATGATCCAGCAATCCCACTATTGGGCATTTATCCAAAAGAAAGGAAAGAAGTGTATTGAAGAGATATCTGCACTCCATATTTATTGCAGCACTATTCACAACAATGAAGATATGCACTAAACCTAGGTGTCCAATAACAGGTGAATGGATAAAGAAAATGTGTTGTACATACAAAATGGAATACTATTCAGCCATAAAAAGAATGGAATCCTGTCATCCACAGCAATGTGGATGGAACTTGAGGATAAGTGAAATAAGCCAGGAGCAGAAAGTTAAACAGCACATGTTCTCACGCATATGTAGAAGCTAAGAAAAAAAGGGGGTGATCTCATAGAAGTAAAAAGAAGAAAAGAGGATACAAGAGGCTGGATAGGGAAGGAGGAAGGGAGGGCTAGAGAGAGATTTATTAAAGGATATAAAATTAGAGCTAGAGACCTGGAATAAGTTCTAGTGCTCTATCTCAACTATAGAATGCCTATAGTTAAAAATATGTTAGATAGTTTCAAGTAGCTAGAAGAAGGATATTAGACATTACCAACACAAAAAAATAATACATGTTTGAGATGATGGATATGTTAATTACCCTGATCTGATTACTATACATTATTATATGGATCTAAACATCACTAGGTACCCTATGAATATGTACCATTATCATTTGTCAATTGAAAACGTAAAATTAAAAAAAAATAGAAAAGTACTGCCATTTAAATGAATGAATGCCAGGTCACTTTACCCAAGGCTGCAGGGTACCCACAGCAGCACAGGTGTCTCCCTCACTTCCTTCAGGCCTCTGAACAAGTGTCACCAAAGAGAAGGTACAGAATGCAGTGAGAACCATGACAATATTTCATTGCCTTTAATGTAGAATGAGTCTTTGGAAAATATTTGAATGTGAAAATTTATCTTGAAGGTAACTTGGCAATATGTATCAAGATCAGTAATGTGCAGGCTTTTGACACAGTAATTGCATTTATCCTACAGATAAATTACATAGTTATATTTGTAGGATAAATAATTACATAAATATATGATAATTATTTAACGTATATATTTATCTGTCCATGTATACAGAGGTAGAATTACAAAGATGTTCAATGTTATATTTTTGTGATTATAGAAAACAACCTAAATTGCCCACCAGTAGGCGAACAGTTAAATGACTTCACAACCTTAAGAATGCTAGGCCATTATTTCACAAAATGAGGTAAGTTTATACATAGCAACATGAAAACATATCTAACTTATATATTAAATTTAAAAAGCTAGTTGTAGAATTTTATATCTAGTTTAAGAGTCATTGTTTTATTGCTTAGAATACACACATATGTATATTGACAATGGTTTTCATCCCTTTATTGCCTGAATTGCTAAAATATGAATATATTACTTTTGCATTAAAAATTTAAACATGCTTAAAATATTTTTCGATGCATATATTTTCTAAGCATAAATGACTACATTTAAAGTCACATTTAATAGTGTTTAAATCATCACTCCTACTCCTTTCTACACTTAAATCCTATAACTCTTAGGTTTTTTTTTTTACCTTTGATAATAAAATTTTTTGACAATGGAAAAAAAGATATTCATCTTTCAAGCACCTGACCTACTTAAAACTGTCACACTTTTCAGTTCATTTTGCTTCATAGTCCATTTGTTCAAATGCTAAGTGATAATTGATTTGTCTTGAGTTCATCTTTCAAAATAAGCCAGCATAAAACAAACTAGTATACAACATAAGGCAGCTGATAAATCAAGTTTAGCAATTCTTCTCATTTATATATTGTCTCGATATCAAGCCCCAAATAAACTTTAGAAGGTGGTCTAGCTGGTGGAAAAAATATGAATTTTAGAATTATGATTTATGTTTGAATCCTGTCTCTGTCATAAACTACTAGTATAACTTATCTTCTCTGAGCTTCAGTTTCTCCATCTGTAAAATACATTTCTTGTGAGGATTATACATAATGCTATGGACTGAATGTTTGTGTACCAACCCCACCCACATTCAAATGTTGAAGCTCTAACCCCCAATGTAACTGTATTTGAAGATAGTATAAAGAAGTAATTTAAGTTAAATACAATCATAAGGGTGGGGCTTTGATCTAATATTTGTGTCCCTATAAAAAGAGACACTTAAGAACACTTGTTTCTCTCTCTCTCTCTCTCCGTGTGTGTGTGTGTGTGTGTGTGTGTGCATGTGTGCACATGCACACAGGCTATACAAGAAAACAGCAAGAAGTTGAACATCTATGAGCTAGAAGAAACCAAATCAGTGGATACCTTGATCTTGGACTTCCAGCCTCCAGTACTGTGAGACATAGATTTCTGCCGTTTAAGCCACCCAGTCTGTGGTATTTTCTTATAGCAGCCCAAGCTGACTAATACATGTAGCATAGGTAAAACATCAAATATAATACCAAGTACAGGGTTGACACCAAATAAATGGTGACTGCAGGCTGCCCACACTTTTCTTTGCACAGCAACCTGTTAGCAGGACCTCACACATACTGGAACTGTGTTCTCACTTTGCCTGGCAGCGTAACCTATACATTGTGAGCCAGTTTGTCCAACCACTTGAGCAAATATTATCTCTTTTGTCTGTGAAATGAGTATGACAATATCTACCAGGGTTGTGAGGATTTGAAAACATGGAGGAGAAGCACTGAGATTGGGTTGGCACATGGCAGGTGCTCAAAAATGATACCTATTGCTGTGTTTTTTATGGATGTCCAATATAAGACCTTAAAGAACTCCTTGTTTTGTTAAAAAAAAAACTCTTCCTGGTGAACTTTTAGACAGAACTGCAAAAGGGCAGGTGCAAATATTTGTCCAGCTATGGTCAGCCCAGCCCCTGACCCCTAGTGGGCACATTATGTCTGCTGCCAAAACTTTCCAAGTGGTTTAGCCCCCCTGGCTGGCATTGAAGAGGCAGAGGTTGTGGGATTAATTTCCACAGTCTGATTAGCTTTCAGAGAAAACTCTGACTTGTAGCTTGGAATGTCATAGTGGCCTGAGACCACCTCTTGAAAAAATACTAGCAATACTGGCTATTAAAGAGCATGAGAACCCCAACCCATGCAACTCCATCAGGGCTGGCAGCCTTTCTTATTTTTTTAAATTAATTAATTTCTTTTTGATTGACAAATAATTGTGTATATTTACGGGGCACAGTGTGATGTTGTGATCTATGCATAAATTGTAGAAAGATTCAATCAAGCTAAGGAACATATGCAATGTCTTAATGAGGCTTTGGCAATGTCAGTCATACATTAGTATATAATCCTAACGTCGCAATCTGAGAGCTACCTCTCCCCCGTGTCTGTGCTGGTTCTCCCTCTGCAGCCACTTTGCCAATCACATTTCAAATGCAGAACCCAGGCCTGCCTGTCTCAGGGCAGACCATGAAACAGAGACACTGGCTGCCAGGGTCACTTTTGATTGCAGGGCCAGCTGCCCTCCCATCTGCCTGTCAGGCTGGAGAAAAGGCTGAGAATTGAAAATGTGAAAATAATGCAGCCCCAGTGTAAAAAAAAATCCAGATTTTTCAATTGCCATTCTGCGAGTAAAACCTAGGAATTAACCTGTGGCCTTTTTGTTTTATTGTTTCATAAATGAGTAATAGCTAGAGGGAGGTATCCCTTAGACCATTTCAGGCCCAATTGCTACAGAGAAGAAAATGATACTATGAAGTCACATAAGGATGACACATTTTAGAAGTCTTAAGATGTGACTCTTTTTTTTTTTTTTAAACACGCTGGGCATGTGAGCTACCTTCTGGATGGTATCTTGGTCCAAGTTTCCAGAACTACTGCCCTTTGGTGCCTGAGTCTCAATGATGGGGAGAACAGGGCACTATAAATTCAGAGGCTCTGGATTTAGAATTTTCTTGGAACAATTCGGTATACCTGTTATTTGTGAATGCATTTCACATCATTTGGATATTGTCAGAACATTACTGACCTAAGGGTATCAGAATCAAAGCTCTTGATTTTCTTCAGCCCAGAATGCCTCACCAGCAAGATGATCTTCTTTCCGTTCTCTTACAATATCCCCTTCAGTCATCCAGCCCATTGCCTCCTCACACCTTTAAGTGAAAACAGGTCTGATTTCCAATGACAATCTGTGAAGGAAGCCTACAGAGAACGCAGCTTGCTGCACCCAGCATGAAGACTAGCACAGCACTCACACCTCGCTCAGCACCCAGGATTTGCACAGGTGTTCAGGAAGCATTGAATGAATGAAAAATCATGAATAGAGGAAATCTGCCCACTTAGTTATTTCTGGAGTGATCCTGGTATCTCTTCCAAGTTTTCTTGTTATAAAAATAATCTTACTTGTGGTTTGCAGAAGTTCTCCAATGTCCTCTGGACCCCTGATTTTCTCATTCTTAAGACTCAATGGTTGTCTCTGTTGGGCACCTCTGACCTACGTTTGTGGTTTAACATATATTTATTGAGTGCCTTCTCTGGGCCAAACCTTTGTGAACAAGGTAGAAAACTCCCGTACTTTTGAAGCTTATATTCTAATGCTACAGATGGGCAAAAACAAATAAATACTCTTATTTCAGGTAATAAGTCCAGGAAGAAAAACAAAACAGAATAAGGGAATGGAAAAGAAAGGGGTGGGGTGAGGTTACTTTAATTATGATGATAGAGGCAAGTCTCTCTGAGGAAGTAACATTTAAGCAGAGACTAAATAGAACAGTTTAGGGATGTTCTTAACTACATGCAGGGATGTAGTTAGAATTAAAATATGTGTAGCCAGTTTTCCCAGCACCATTTATTAAATAGGGAATCCTTTCCCCATTGCTTGTTTTTGTCAGGTTTGTCAAAGATCAGATAGTTGTAGATATGTGGCATTATTTCTGATGGCTCTGTTCTGTTCCATTGGTCTATATCTCTGTTTTGGTACCAGTACCATGCTGTTTTGGTTACTGTAGCCTTGTAGTATAGTTTGAAGTCAGGTAGCGTGATGCCTCCAGCTTTGTTCTTTTGGCTTCGGATTGACTTGGCAATGCGGGCTCTTTTTTGGTTCCATATGAACTTTAAAGTAGTTTTTTCCAATTCTGTGAAGAAAGGCATTGGTAGCTTGATGGGGATGGCATTGAATCTATAAATTACCTTGGGCAGTATGGCCATTTTCACAATATTGATTCTTCCTATCCATGAGCATGGAATGTTCTTCCCTTTGTTTGTACCCTCTTTTACTTCGTTGAGCAGTGGTTTGTAGTTCTCCTTGAAGAGGTCCTTCACATCCCTTGTAAGCTGGATTCCTAGGTATTTTATTCTCTTTGAAGAATTGTGAATGGGAGTTCACTCATGATTTGGCTGTTTGTCTGTTATTGGTGTATAAGAATGCTTGTGATTTTTGCACATTGATTTTGTATCCCGAGACTTTGCTGAAGTTGCCTATCAGCTTAAGGAGATTTTGGGCTGAGATGATGGGTTTTCTAGCCATATGTAGAAAGCTGAAACTGGATCCCTTCCTTACACCTTATACAAAAATTAATTCTAGATGGATTAAAGACTTAAATGTTAGACCTAAAACCATAAAAACCCTAGAAGAAAACCTAGGCAATACCATTCAGGACATAGGCATGGGCAAGGACTTCATGTCTAAAACACCAAAAGCAATGGCAACAAAAGCCAAAATTGACAAATGGGATCTAATTAAACTAAAGAGCTTCTGCACAGCAAAAGAAACCACCATCAGAGTGAACAGGCAACCTACAGAATGGGAGAAAATTTTTGCAATCTATCCATCTGACAATGGGCTGATATCCAGAATCTACAAAGAACTCAAACAAATTTACAGGAAAAAAAAAACCCCATCAACAAGTGGGCAAAGTATATGAACAGACACTTCTCAAAAGAAGACATTTATGCAGCCAAAAGACACATGAAAAGACACTCATCATCACTGGCCATCAGAGAAATGCAAATCAAAACCACAACGAGATACCATCTCACACCAGTTAGAATGGCAATCATTAAAAAGTCAGGAAACAACAGGTGCTGGAGAGGACGTGGAGAAATAGGAACACTTTCACACTGTTGGTGGGACTGTAAACTAGTTCAACCATTGTGGAAGTCAGTGTGGCGATTCCTCAGGGATCTAGAACTAGAAATACCATTTGACCCAGCCATCCCATTACTGGGTATATACCCAAAGGATTATAAATCATGCTGCTGTAAAGACACATGCACATGTATGTTTATTGCGGCACTATTCACGACAGCAAAGACTTGGAACCAACCCAAATGTCCAACAATGATAAGACTAGATTAAGAAAATGTGGCACATATACACCATGGAATACTATGCAGCCATAAAAAATGATGAGTTCATGTCCTTTGTAGGGACATGGATGAAGCTGGAAACCATCATTCTCAGCAAACTATCGCAAGGACAAAAAACCAAACACCGCATGTTCTCATTCATAGGTGGGAATTGAACAATGAGAACACATGGACACAGGAAGGGGAACATCACACACTAGGGCCTGTTGTGGGGTGGGGGGAAGGGGGAGGATAGCATTAGGAGATATACCTAATGTAAATGACGAGTTAATGAGTGCAGCACAACAACATGGCACATGTATACATATGTAACAAACCTGTACGTTGTGCACATGTACCCCAAAACTTAAAGTATAAAAAAAAAGAATTAAAATATGTGATAACAGTAACGCAAACAGTGGGAGAGATTTAAGTGAAATTAAAATATTCTGAGATTCTTAGTACATGCTGTCTGGAAAATGGTAAAAGTACTCATTTATATTGGGCTTTTGTAAGTTAAGCATGCATTATATGTTCTCTACAATTTTAATAACGGAATAATAAAATAGGGATGGGAAACAAAATATAATAATAATACTTGATTAATCCAAAGAGTAGCAAAAAAAGGAGAGAAAAATAATATAGTCTCAGTAAGAGAAAACAGATGATGGATTTAAACCCCAAATATACCCAAAATTACATCAAATGCAAATTGATTAAATCTAATTAACTGATTATAAACAAAACAGTGCAATCAGTACCCAATCACCTGCAGCTTACAAGAGATACATTTTGAATATAAGAGCTTGAAAATGTTGCAAGGATAGAAAATTCTAGATAAACATTAACCAAAAGAAGTCTGGTTTAGCAATACTGAAATTAGACAAAGTAGACTTTAAAGCCATAAGAATTTCTAGAAATCAAGACCAGGCCAGGCATGATGCATCATGCCTGTAATGCCAGCACTTTGAGAGGCTGAAGTGGGGAGATCACTTGAGGCCAGGAGTTCAAGACTAGCCTGGGCAACATAGTGAGACCCTCGTCTCTAAAAATAAAAGTAAAAATAAAAATAAAACTAGCCAAGTGTGGTCGTGTGCACCTGTAATCTTAGCTACTCAGCAGGCTGAGGCAGGAGGATCCCTTGAGACCAGGAGTTTAAAATTATAGTAAGCTATGATCATGCCACTGTACTTCAGCCTGGGTGAAAGAGTAAGACCCTGTCTTAAAAGAAATAATCTTATACCATGCAAGAGTTAACCCATCATGATGATGTAATAATTCTCAATTTATAATGTCTAATAACATAGCTTCAAAAAAGACAAAGCAAAAATTAACTGAACTAAATGGGAAACAGACAAATCTGCAAATATAGTGGGAAATTTTAATACACTTCTGCCAGGAATTGATAGAGCAAGCAAAAGAAATCAGTATTGAACAAATAATATTTGAAGAACATGATGGACAAGGACATCTGCTACCTTTTCCTCTTTGCAGCACTGCACTAAGAACTTTGCCAGACACATCTAGGCCCATTTGCGGGGACAGGGGCATGAAGACAGATAGAGGTCCACATTCTACATATCTGAATGTGTTAATTTAATAAATTTAAGAAGCTAAGAAAACTGTCAAAATATATTTTCTTCTCCTTCCTTGACAAATATATCTTCATGGTAACAAAATAAAATTATGATTATTGTTTATATATGACTGAAAATTAGCAAAATGTCAAAGATTATTATATTTAATTATTATGAAACATGCATGGGTGTTCTGTTGATGGCCATGTGTGAATGATGGTGTCATAAAACAAAGGCATGAATAACCCACCACTATTACATATTTATTTTACAAAGTATTTCCCATGCCTTTATTTTAGCAAATTTATCTCGTTACAATAAGATATCCATATAATCGGTACACTACTAACAGTAATGATTTAAAAGGTTAAAAAATAAAATGCAATTGCATTCAAGGTGTATACATTTTGATATATTTTTATAAAAAATAAGAAACATCTAGAATATCAAAAAATTATTTTTTCAGGTTTAAAAATGCTGTTTTTCTAAAATATTCAACATTATACGTTAAAATTAAAGGCAAGATGCAAATAAATTACTGAGTTTCAAAATTTTAAATCAATATTAAGAAAATATGACATTTAAAATTTGGTTTTAAAAAATTTAATGAATTTTATTAAATATTTTTATAAAAATGAAACTTTTTCAGTTCTAACATGGAATGTCCTTCTATATGCCAATGAAAAGAATCACCATGAAGCTTCACAAATGTTAGGTCTGGAAGTAAATATATGAAAATTTAAGAATAACATAAATTGTTTCATACTGCAAAATATTGCTCAGATGGCATACACAATTACTCAAAAAATGTTGCTAATTTACGAATAACTTGCTGATCTTCAAAATTAAAAATCAGAATGCAAGATGAGTGAGGAAAAAAAGCTCAGACCTACTGGGAGTCAATACTATACTTCATTATGCAAGGAATCTATGTAGTCATGCTATCTAGGAGGATAAATTTGTCAAGTTAATTTGTCTTTTACCTTAGTGCTTCTGTCACTACAGTCTTCTTTCATGGAAAAGCAGTGTTTGTCCCCACTATCAACATAAGCACAACTTATAAACTTTCATGGCATCTGGATGTTGTTACATTTTGTTTCAAAACTGTAGGGCAAGAGATATGGAGAAATGTTTTTCTGGAGTGGGGGCTGGATGATGTTAGGGTAAAAGTGGACATTTAGGGTAACAGATCCCGAGAGAGAGAGAACGCATGCATTCTTTAATAAATGTATTGTGGTCAGTGGGTGGATTTGTGATATGTTGGTCTAAAAGTGGTATCAGTTTTAACCAAAACAATAAAGCAAAAAAGAAAAAGAAATGAAAGGATTAGAAAGGCAGAAATAAAGCTGTCATAATATTCAGAAAATATGGCTGTATATATAGAAAAGTATCATTATTATTTTCAAATAAACTATTTGAATTAATAACTAAATTCTATAGAATTTCATCATGTGAATATACTACAATTTATTTATTCATTCTACCATTGATGTACAATTAGGTTGTTTCCAACTCTTGGCTATTACAAACAAATTCTCAGTAAATCAATTATATTTCCATATACAAGCCAAAAACAGAAGATGAAAAAATTAAAAAATATTTTATTTAAAATAACATAAAAATCATATATCTAGCCAGGCGTGGTGGCTCATGCCTGTGATCCCAGCACTTTGGGAGGCTGAGGCGGGCAGATCAAGAGGTCAGGAGTTCCAGACCAGCCTGGCCAATATGGTGAAATCCCACCTCTACTAATAATACAAAAATTAGCCAGGCATGGTGGTGCGCACCGGTAGTCCCAGCTACTCATGAGGCTGAGGCAGAAGAATCACTTGAACCAAGAAGGTGGAGGTTGCAGTGAGCCGAGATCGTGCCACTGCACTCCATCCGGGGTGACAGAGTGAGACTCTGTTCCCTCCCCAAAAAATCATTTATCTAGGAATAAATCTAATCAAAAATGTGCATGACTGCTACAAAAAACTACATTATTTACAGAAAACAAAGAAGTCTAAATCAATGGAAATATACAAAATGCTTATGAACAGAGATTCTATATTGTAAATAAGTCATTTCTACTCATTAAATTATAGTTGAATGCAATTCTACTCAAAATTCTATCAGGTAATTTGAAAGTTGACAAGCTAATTTAAAATTTATTTGAAAATTTAAAAGGCCAAAAAGAATCAAGAAAGTTCTGAAGAAGAACAGAACTCAGTAATGTATACCATCAGATATCTCAATCTTTATTACAATTAAAATAAGATGGTATTAGCAGAAGGACATACAAACAGAGAAACCAGAAACAAACTCATACTTATACCATCACCTGATTTATGACAAAGGTGAAACTGCAGTGCAGTGAGGAAATAATAATCTTTTCAATAAATAGTAGATCACTTGGATATTGATATGCGGGAAGAAAAGAATTTCACCCCTATCTTACGTCATAAACAAAGGTCAATTGTAGGTGGATTATAAAGCTAAATGTAAAAGGTTAATAATTTTAAAAAAGCTTCTATAACACAGGTGAATATCTTTATGACATTGGGGTAGACAAAAATTTCTTAAACAAGACTAAATAAGCATTAACTATACAGAAAAAGTCTGATAAATTGGACTACGTTAAAACTAAGAACTTTATATTAACAAAGTCACCATTAAGAGAAAGAAAAGGCAAGTTAGACTGGGAGAAGATATCTGCAGTGTTTATGTCCAATATAATATCTATATCCAGAATATATAAAGAACTCCTACAAATCAATTACAGAATATATTCAAAGAGCCAATTAAGCATCAGAAAATGTGCTCATCAAGGGCAGGCAACTCAAAGTGACAATGGGGTACCATGACACGCTGACCAGACCGGTCAAAATGAAAAATACAGACAATGCCAAGTGATGGCAAGGATATAGAGCAATTAGAACTGGTGAAGGTAAAATAGTACAACCACTTTGAAAAATTCTTAGGCAGTATTTAATAAAGTTGAATATATACGTATCCTAAGACCCAGCAATTCCATTCATGGTATGTACCCAACAGAAATGCATACAAGTGTGTACCAAAAGACATGTATAACAATGTTCATAGTAGCATTATTTGTAATAGTCAAGAGCTGGAAATAAGCCAATTGTACATCAATGGTAGAATGGATGAATAAATTGTAGTGTATTCTTACAATGAAATACTATAGAGCAATAAAAATAAAACTATGGCTATATGCAACAACATGAATAAATCTTACCAACAACGTTAGATAAATGAAGTCAAACCCCAAAATGCACATATTCTATGAATCCACATATGCAAAGTTCACAATAGGTGACAGTGGCTACTCCTTTGGGAAGCAGTGAGGAAAGAACTAAGAGAGTACTACAGAGGGGGCTCTGGGTGTCTGTAATTTCTATTTCCCAATCCAGGTGGGGTTTACATGAACATGTTACTTTGTGAAAATTCATTGAGCTGTAACTAAACATCTGGAATTATTTATGAATGAAATTATATATAACTCAATGGGAAGCTGGGAGGATAGGGAGGAGGTATGGGGGCTAAAGAAAACATGGAGTGGCCAAATGCTTACAATTGTTATTGCTGGGTTACGGATACCTGGGTGTTTGTTTCACTATTCTTTCCATTTTGTGTATATTTGAAATTTTCCATTATAAAAAGGACCAAAAAAAAAAAAAGAGAGAGAGAAAACTATTCACAGAGACCCACAACAGCCTCATCATGGTTTTTACTGGCCTCTCTCACTGAACCATTGAATCACAGTTTTATTGGCTTTATCTGAAGGTAAACATACACTGTGGAAATGGAATGTCATTTGAGGGCAAGCATTAAGATGTTGCTATCCTCTGTATGTCCTTCCTGGCACCTAGAATGCTGTCTCACCCTTCCTGGGCACTTAAAGGTTTGGTTTCTGCTGCTGCCATCAGCTAATCTTGCCTGAAAAATTGTGTGCTATTGATTCCGCTCTTGCCTCTTGACTCCAAACCCACTCTTGTATTTTCAGGCTTTGTGACACTTGAGAGGATATTTTGCAAACCACGCTCCTGATTTGCCAGTTGGCTTTCCGGTTCTGCCAAAAAGGGGAGCTAGAGGGAAGTGGGAAGCCTGTAGGAAAAAGAAGGAAGAGGTTTGCTTCTTCCTTTTTACTTCCTGTGCACTTCCTGTTTCCTGATTTTTTGGGATTCGTCCCAGAGGTTGCATTGCCTTCTCTTCACAGCAGGTGAATTCAATGGCGCAGTTTTTCCAACACTCACATAACAGCCTCAACACTCTCTGCTCCAAGTACCAGCTGAGCAGCTCCCTCCTCAAGTTTCCATGTTTTAATAATTCTAGCCTTTTCTCTTTGACCCTCCAGGCCTAGGAGTGGCAGCTGCTTCCTGCAATTCTACCTCCCTGGGACCTGAAAGTTGTTTTACACTTTAGATAATTAACAACTTTCTACCTAGTTAACAATTCATGTTAAGCATGCTCTGTTGAAGATGTGAGTTCTGCCTCCAGAATGGGTCTTGACTGACACAACCTCCAAGAGTTATATACTCTGTCCTTGCTGCCTGTGTGATGACATACAATTTGTTGATTATTTTCTCTTATTGAGCATACATTTGTGTAAAAAATCAACAGCTTTTGCTTCTTATCCCCACCCCATGTAAGCAGAACAGCAATTTCAATTATTTGAAAATTCAGCTATCTCAATTTATATTTTAAAATATGACTATTGAAAATTAAATAATTGAGTTTTGCTTTAATAATAATGTAGTTAGTATAGTATGCAATGGGACAATTTTTGACAAAGTATATCTGAGCATAAGCCACACATCTCTCACAGGTTCACACTATTTCTTTTAAAGCTCTCCATTGTGAATGAAACTGATACAGCAATATTTGAAATTCAGAGGCCAAAAAGCCAAATTCTATCTCAGAAGCAATTGCCATAAAAGTGTTGATGTCATAAGCATATGAAAGCCACAAGGTAGCTGCTTAATTGAAAAGCAGATGAGAGGAAAGCTGCATTTTACATGAATAAATACTGCCACAAACAAAGAGCACCCTGTTAAGAATTTAGGCAAAATGTGCTGTGGAAAGATGGACAGGTATTATCCTAAGGAAATAATACAGTAAATGACAATGAATTCATCTGGATTAGACTATTTCATATTAGCAGTCTGTTCTCAGTTGCCCATCCTTTCAGAAGGTGTGAAGACCAGAAATAAGACCCTCAATAGTAGATACAGAAATTATCTTCTTAAACTGATAGATAATGCCCTAAGTTAGGAACTTCAGGAGAGAAAAGCCTATGTTTAAATTTTCCTGAGATCATGAGGTTCACATTCAATGAATCCCCCATACCTGTTCTTAAATTTTTTTTTAAGTATAGGAAGGTTGGAACCTTTCCTTAGTTTAAGTGTATAATAAGTGGCAAAAGAGGGATTAGACCCTGGTCTTCTGATTCAGGGCCTGGCCCTCCTTTCATGAAGGTTCTCTAGTTAGCATTAGAACATGCCTTCTTCAGGAACAAGGCCAACTAAAAAGCAACCTGTGAAAGAAATCAATGAACTATCCCCTACCTCCACATACATACACCTGTCCTCAGGAATGTCTCTCACAGGACATCTGGATCAACTGGACTCTAATGGGCCACAAACATACCTCTAATGTTGAGAAACTGTCACTACCTTTGGAATGGCTGAATGCTTCATGGAACCATCTTGTTTTGTTTGGAGGGAAACAATGGAGACTATTTACCAGCAGATAGAGATCCCAGAGGGAAATGGGAATTTCCAATTAAAAGTAGAGGATCCTTATGTTACTGTTTCGATGACGGGCTTAGGAAAATTTAAGTGTCTCTGATATTTCCCTAAGTCTGAAAAAACTGTTATTTTGAAAAATGGAGGAATTGTGTGCTTAACAACTATCTTACAAGACAACAGCTTGTAAAAATTAAAAAGTAAAAATTGGTTCCACTGTCTGCATCACATCAGCATTAGAAGACTGAGCTAAGAAAGTAGTTACGGCTGAGTTGGACAACTACAGCTGAGGTTATGTCATAGGGTTAGTCAGTTTATCACTTCTATTCATAGTGAACTTGATCATACACTGATGTGTAATCCACCTTATAAATTATAGAGAATTTTAATTAGCTGCTTTTTAAGGAAACAGTATTTGAAATACAGCTAGCACCAATTTTCTGCAATTCTTAAAGCAAAGATAATTTACCGTACTATAAGCTTAAATTTGAAGAATGAATGTTCTTTCAGTGGCATTTCTGAAACTTTGCTATTGACCTAGGTTAGGGGACAGAATGGGTGTGCTGTCGGGGCTGGGCAGAGGAGTGTAGCCCAGAGCAGTTACTGCGCAGTACAATTTATTTGAAGCTGGTGTTATATTCAAAAAGAGAGAAAGATTTTGCATTCTATAATATGTTCTTGTTCACATAACATAAAATATTCTGAATTACTTGCTAAGTAAATTATTTAACTGCTGCCCTCCTTTAAAATATCTACCAATAAAATTAAGCTCAGGTCCTAGGGTTCTGTTTATCCTGAGGCACACTACTGCCTCTCCCAATTCAAAAAGCATGGACATTTAGACGCAATTCTTGGCACTATAGATACTCTACAGAAGGATGGATCAACAGTATAAATGGACGGGTACCTGGTTTTGGTGGGGGTGCAGGTAAGGAGGATACTTTCTCACTTTATTAGCCCATGTATAAACTGTGGGGTTATGTTTATTTGATTGCTTAGTGGCTTAAAATGAAAAATAGCTTTGTGCCCTTAAGAGACCAAAACCCAGTCCTGATCATCACCGCAACCACTCACGCTGCACAACATTGTTAGAGGGGACCCCCCACAGTATACCTCACCTCATATGGGCTGGCAGAGCTGCTCTGTGATGTTACAATAC
Organism: Homo sapiens; assembly: GCF_000001405.40. NCBI lineage: Eukaryota > Metazoa > Chordata > Mammalia > Primates > Hominidae > Homo > Homo sapiens. The sequence continues at coordinate 19,744,111 of NC_000009.12, forward strand.
ATCAATGACACCAAACTTTCTCTTATTTTCCCTAGGACCTATGCCCTCCTCTCTTAGGTTCAGAAGAGGGTCTTGTCCATATTACTGAGAGGATAAAGATCATCATCTTTAATTCAAAATACTGCTTCCTTGACTTCTATGTTTTCTATTTTCTCCCTCACCATATCTAGGGATGGATGTTCCCATTTCTTCTTCAAGCCACCTCTCGCACTGTGTGCTTGATCCCATCTCCTTCTTCCTCTTTCTGGTCCTTGCTCATGTTATGATCACAACACTCCAGCATCTTCAGTTCTTCTCTATCCTCACACTGGGAGTTTGTATGTTTACCTTGTTAGATTTTATGGTTGCAGACTCCTATGCTCGTAGAGGACTGGTGAGTCATCAAAGAAGGGAAGGACCAGACAGGGGTTGTTTAACCCAAAGCATATGCCCCAAGGAAAGGGGACAGCCGCTACTTGGCTCCAACTGATGTTGTCACATGGAAAGGAAGACCCCAAGTTGTATGATTTTCCAAAAGTAGATGGGAATCTGGATTTACATATGAAATCTGGTAAGTTTTAAATGTTGACTACAATTTAAAAAATTGAACACTGTGGCTTGTTTCACTGTGGATGAAACAAATACTTCATTAGCCCCAACTATAAGTTTCACCTATCCATCTAAACATTCATTTTACTCTGCTTCCCATTCAAATACCTTGTTACTTCACTCATAAACTTCCCAAACATCTAAGCCTGTAACTATTGGCTTCTTTTCCACATCCACGGTTCTCTCCTTATCCAACTTCAATATGTTTCCCACTCTTCTGAAAGTGTATTCTTGAAGGTCACTAGGAAGTTTCTAACTAGTTGATATGGTCTGGACATTTGTCATCCAAATCTCCTGTTGAAATGTGACCTAGCATGTTGGAGGGGATCCTAGTGGGAGGTGCTGGATCACAGGGACAGATCTCTTATGAATGGCTTAGTGCCATCCCTTTGGTATTGAGTGAGTTCTTGCACTGAGTTCATGTGAGATCTGGTCATTTAAGATTGTGGCACCTGCTCCACCCCTCTTGCTCTGATGCACCTGCTCCCTTAGCCTTCTGCCATGGTTGAAAGATTCCTGAGGCCCTTCCCAGAAGCAGATGACTGTGCCATACTTCTTGTACAGCTTGCAGAACCATGAGCCAATTAAACCTCTTTTCTTTGTAAATTACCCAGCCTCGGGTATTCCTTCATGCAATGCAAATAGACTAACACACCACTGAATACTCTGGAATACTTGTGTGTATGTACATATCTCCATACATCCTTAAAACAATAGTTTCAAGGAGTGATTCCAAGAGAAGTAATATCAGCATTGTCTGGGGGACCTGCTAGAACTGCAGAATTTCATGCCTCTTCCAAGACCTAATAAATCAGAAACTCTGGGGGTAGATTCAGCAATCTATGCGTTGATAAGCATCCAAGGCGATTGTGATGGCTGCAAGTTTCAGAACCACTGCCTTAAAATATACCTACCTGTGAGTGTACCTGTTGCCAGAGAGCAATTAATCTATCCCTCTGAATTTTGCCCCACAGCTTCAATTCCTTTTCTACATGCTGGGAAAGACCTGCATTGATATAACACTTTTTATTAAATGTTTTTTCATATTTTATTACCTAACTCCTATAAATAAGAACTTTACACAATAGGCAAAGCAAGTCAAAAAAGTTTATTATGCCCATCTAACCATCATATGTAAATGTAAAAGCAGCAATAAGAGATTAAGTGACTTTCTTAAAATCATAGTTAGGAAAGTGTCAGAGTTAATATCAATCTAGTTTCCTGACATATCATAGCCCTTTCTTTCTGTGTTTTAGAAATACTATTTTTTTCTACTTGTAAGAGTCTAATACATTAGTTGAAGAAATGCTGGAAAATACAGAAAAGACTACAGAAGAAAGTAAAAAATCATCCAGAATTCTACCACTGACATCATGCATTTCCCTCCTCCAATCTGTTTTTTTTTCTCTCTTTTTTTTTTTAAATGCACAAGTGCATGTGAGTGCAGATGCAATCCTCTTTCAATTACAGGACACAACACTGTCAGGAGGTAAGCGGCTCTCTTGTTCTCAGTGCCTACGACAACTTTCCGATGGGACCATAAATAAGAAATTTAAATAATTATTTTATTTATCTTTTGTTCATCAGAGCTCTACGTAACTCCAAAAGCAGATGCAAAATCTAAGTGAAATGAAATCAGCATTGCTGACTTTTATTATAGCCATGACATACAGGAAAAATTGCTAATCCCTTATGAAAATATTCAATATCTCTATGCTCTTAGGGGTGCCTGAGGCAACTCCTAGTGCAGATAGCATGTGGAGTCTCATGGTGACTAACTGTAATTGAATTCAATAAAAAACTCCATTATCATAATAGTCTAGGGTGTCAATAAAATTGATACTTCTATAATAGGAAAAATATAAAATATACCCAAGGGCATACAATGGGAAGCTTTTAATTATTATTATTGATCCAGAGAATTATTTTTCCCTGATTCTGGCATTACTCTGAAATCCAGTATTTCTGTCCTCACTTGTTTATCTCCCTTTAAAAAGCTAAGGTCAAAAAGTCTAAAGAAAATTCATGGGCAGGCCAAACTAAGTGCTATTTCTGACAAATAACATTTATTTGGTGCTTATTTTTAGTCACACTTATCTTGTTGATTTATGAGACAGCTAGCAAGAACCTTTGCAAAAGTGTTTTGAGTTCCTTTTGGGGGTTCTTATAGGAGTCCCTAACCTGCTAGATCTGTATTTCAGAATGTAATTCCAACAATGAAATCAACAATTTTATTTCAGAGCAATACAAAGGAAAAAAGCCAACTAACAAGAACAATCCCAGTTGTTGAGTGTCTACTGTGGGCCAGTACTATGCTGGTACTCTCCAAATCATTAGAGTATAACCTCTTTTTAAAATTACAAAATATTTTAAACACTCAAAATGGCATACAGAATGATATAATAACCAACAATCAATCTACTACCTGATTTATTCAAATTTTAATATTTTTAATATTCACACTTACTTGAAAGAAGTAAAATACTCCAGATACATGTCAAGCCCTCTGTGTTCCCTCTTCATTCCACTTCTCTCTCTCCCTTTCCTCACCATCCTGAGTTTGATATCTATCATTCCCATGTACTTTTTATGCCTATACTTTCTCTCTCTCCCATTATATACATATACAGGTATGTGTACGTGTTTAAAACATTTCTATAATAGGTTTCATAAAATACACACACAATTTGCTTGTTTTTGCTGTGTTACATTATGCAAGTCCTTATACATATACTTAATCTCTTTAGGCCTCAATCTCTTCATCTGTAAAAGAGGGATAATAATCCTACATAGAAGAGGACTAACTAATACTGATAAAGTGCTCAGCACAGTGGCTAGCATGTAATCAGCATTTAATAGAAGTTAGTCATATACATATTATTATCTGACATATCACTTTGCCTTTCAAGAGATTAGCCAAAGGAAATTCTTCTTGTCTTACCTGGAAATTAACTTTTACTATGAGTGTCTTCTCTAACTCATATATTTCTACCTGCTCCATGTGACACAGGACAGATCAAATGCAAATGTGTCACCATAGACTGCTTGAACACACTTGTGATGGCACAGACATGTACATACACACACCACACACACGAAGGCTAACCATGTGACAGGAAGTGACTGGAGCTGCTCTGGGTCAATCCATTTCACCCACACATATCAGTGAGGTGTTTTGATTATTTTCATTTTATATATGAGGAAACTGAGGCACAAAGAGGTTAATAAACTGCCAGAGATCACAAAGTTAGCAAATACTATCATGGCAAGATGCTCTATGCAAGCAGTCCTGCTCCTGAGTGTGTGCTAAGGGCTGACACTCAGTTGCCTCTTGACTCTTAGCCTATACAGATTTTCCTATTTGCTGGTTCTGCAAAATTCGTAAGTTCACTAAAGAGATATGCAATAGTGAATATCATGTGTGTTCCCAGGTTATTTATTGAATTATTTACCAAAAGCAAATATCCAAAGCCATTTGTTCTGGGCAGGGGCTCACACTCAGCTCAGCTGAAGCAGATATAAAGATACTATGCAGGAGAGCAGATCTGTGATTTCAGTTGCCTGAGTACTCCTATTAATACAAGAAAAAATTCCCATTGCACTCATGCAAGCCAGCAGGCACATTTTCCTCTTTACCATGAGACTTGTTTCTTTATACTCAACAAGATGACAAAACATTAATCCCTTCCCTCTGAAAAGTATAACACAAGAAGTTTTAGACTGGCCTCCATTGATGTAGTGGGGTAAGTGGTGGAAGAAATTGTTGAGTCACCATTGTGAGCACGTTTAATGAAAGATCTGTGAGTCACAGCTGGGCAGTAAGATTGTGCAGAATGAATGCCTGCACAATCTTAGGTGGGTTAATGTTAAAATTATGATCGTTGTGGTTTAACCTGATAATAAATTTCCAGCAATATTGGTCAGTCCCTTCATCTAGGCAGCCTAGGCCCAGATGTTTTTATTGTCCCTTTTTTGATTTTTTTGTTTGTTTGTTTGTTTGTTGGTTGGTTGGTTTTAACAACACAGCTAAAGACATCCTCCTGGCTTCCTGATAGCACTGGCCTCACCAGAAGTGATAAAGCATTCCTAGAAACGGAAGGAAGGATGAATCACAAAGTACAGTTCAGCCACAGAGGAGGGTGATAAGCAACCCTTCTTTGTTTCAAATGGAGACAGCTCAGGAGGAAGTTGGTTTGTGTTAAATTAGAAACAACAAGAGCCTCCTCCTATCTGGAACAGGTTGCTGTACCAGATTGTGTAAGTTCCTTCTCTCTAGAGACCTTGAAGTACAGGATAAGACACATTTGATCAGCACAACCAGCTTCCAGAGTTATTTCCAGATGCCATCATAAGCCCCTGAGGTTCTCATGAATCAGCAAAATTGCTTTGGGCATTCTAGATACCGACCCAAGTTACCTCTCTTTTTTGCTCTCAGCTCAGGTTGCTTAGGTGAGAAAGGTTAAAATAGACAACAAAAAGATACACAATCCATATCTCTTGAATCCTCAGCAAAACACAGGCATTCAATTCTTTTAAAATGAGATAAAAGAACAGCATACATTTCATTTATTTTGGCTTGTCTTCCTGTTAGAATACTATTAAACCAACCAGAATCTTTTTTGACCATATTTTTATATTTGGTTGGATGTCCATTTTTTAAAAAGGTATTTGTGTGTATGTTCAAAGGATAAAACAAAGACCACCAGAGATTAAAAAGAAAACAAGACAAAACTGAGTTTATTGCCTGTGGGATAAGGGAGAACCAGAGCTCAGCCACATCATCCAAGAAATGAGTTTAGCTGGTCTCTTCCTGTGCTAAAGACAAAAGGGACTGCTTATTTCTTACTAGAAGAGATTCTAGGCATTATAAGAAATGTTCAACGTAGATTAAATTTAGGGGTAGCCATATTTAGCAAATAAAAATTCAAGATGCTCAGCTAAATTTGCATTGCAGATAAACAATGAATCATTTTTAGTATGTCCCAAATATTGCATGGGATAAACTTACGCTAAAAAATGACTCCTTGTATAATGAAAAACGAAACTTACCTAGCATCTCATATTTTATCTGGCAACTCGAATTAGTGGGACTCAGTGGGGTTTGGGGTCATGCAGCAGCAGCTAGTCCATATGCTCACAACTGGGACTTGCTAACATTTTTCTTTAACAGTGTAAAGTAAATGTCACACTGCAGTGCATTCTGCTAAAGGGACCATAAACCAAATTCTCCCACCTGGGATCACCCGTTGTGATCAAGTCCAGAGGAATATACCAAGTTGGAGAGCAAAGCACATGCCTGCTAGACCCTCCAGGAACTCAAGCCAAGGTCAGAGGAACTGCAGTTGCCCATGCTTCCCAGACCAGGAGAATCAGTTGCTGGACACTGCCGGAGTACATTAGTGTCAGAAGGTGGTTCAAAGAAGTCTTTGAAGACAACTTCAGTTTTTAGCTTGTAAAGCTGACTGGAAGATAATGTTTTAACTGAGGTCCAGAATACAGGAAGATTCACTGGGAATACCAGAAAGGCCCAGGGGCCACTGCAATCTCTTTCTGTCCTCCCCAGTTGCCTAATGAACACTTCTATTTAAGCATCCTCTGCTTGGATATCCTACAGTTCTTAAACTCAACATGCTCAACACTCAATTCACCCTCTTCCTCTCCAAACCCATTTGTCCTCCCATAATTCCCAACTCAACTACAGATAGCATGCGAAGACTCTAACAGCCCCAGGCTAGAAGTCTCCAAGTCATCTCCAAATGCCACTGCCCCCTCATACTGCAACTAATCAAATGCCAATTCCTTTTGATACTATGTCTCCTTTAGTTCAAGTCATCATTGTCTCTGATCTCAACAACAGCAAAAGGGTCTGAACTGAGCTCTGCCCCCGTCCAGCCATTTTCCCTTTTGGTGTACTCTTTTCATCGATATCTTTATAAAATGCAATTTTGAGAATGTTTCTCTATTTCTAAAGTACCTCAGCAGCTTTTCATGCCTAGAGGATAAAATCCAAATGCCTTCGGGGAGACACAAAGGTCCTTCAAGGTCTGGCTTTGGTCTGTTTCCAGCTTCTCGACCATCACTTTCCCCCAACAACAGATGGTGCCAAGCTACCGGCCAGGTGTCTGCCATCTGATGCTCTTCCACATCAAGATGACTTTGCACAGACAGTTCCTGTACCTGGAATGTCCTCTGCCTACTCTGCTTTTGTCTGGCAAACTCACTGAAGACCCTGCTCTAGTGTTAGACCGGCTTCTGGTAAGCCGGCTTCCTTCTCGACTGAAGATTTAGCTGCACCCCTAGTTTGTATACCCACAGCATTCTGTGCCTGCCTTCACTATGGGGCTTACTGTTTTATGCTGACTGTGTTCGGTAACATGTTTGTCTTCCTCGTAGGATTATGAACCTGGGGGAGGGAATATGCCTTATTTGCTTTGAACCCCTATGACTTCACTTAGCGCTGACGGTAATAATTATAGCAGTAAAAGTTATTGTAGCCAACACTATGTGCTGGACATTTTTCTGGGGGCTCTTTATCCATCTTAACTTGTTAATCCTCACAACAACCCTAGGAGGCCAGAGCTACTATCATGTCCATATGACAGAGAAAGAAAGCAAGGCAGAGATGTGAAAGGCGGCCAAAGTACTATATAGTTAGTAAACCGGTGGTTTCCAAATCACCTACAAAGTAGAAGCACCTGAGAATATTTTTTCAAAATTTAAAAGTCTTGAGTGGGTTCCAGCCCACTGGAGAACCACTGAAGCTGAATTTTTGGTGGGCTGGGACCTGGAGGATCCTATTAAACTTTCCCAGGTGATTTTACTGTGCAGCCAGCCTTGAGAACCACTGATCTCAAGTTCCTAAGAAACTTCAGCCAATGCTGGGGAGAAAGGAGAGAAACCAAATCATTTTTTGGGGAAAAAAGGGATGCAGACATGGGGAGTAGAGAGTTCCATAGCTCTGCAGCCATGGCCCCAAGTGTCCCACCAAGCATGAGACTTGTAGGTGAGCAGAGTACCAGGCTCACCTGATATGCCAATCTGCCCTTCCTGAACATTACGGATAGGACCATGGCTCTTTCTTTAGCAAATATGTGTCTGGAGGATCAGACGTAGGAAGGGTGGTGGAGCTGGCTCCTTTCTAACTTGGCAGTGCACTTTACCAAGAGATAGAAGAAGACTTGGCTGAATTAGGCATTTCTGAGCACAGGCATTATAATTCTGCCTAATCTTCAAAGACAGAATGAACTTGTCCTGCTCCTTTCTATGTACCAGCTGCTTCTCTGCAAAGAAATCATTCATTCCTTCCCTCAAATTAGAATGTACAATGTGGTAGCCACTTTCCACGTAGTCAAAAGGTTGTCAAATGGCAGAATTAGACCTGAAAATGTTCATTTGATGAGTGCTTGCGACACGTTTGCTTATGTGTCATCAGCGCTAGATGCTTTCCAGGGAAGAAATAAGAACGGAAACTAGAGAGAAGAGGTGCAGAAAGAATGAGGACTTGATCCAGGATGGAGCTAGGTAGAACAGGGATTTTTCTTGGTAGATAGAAATATACAGTAACTCACCCTAGGAAAGGGTGAGTTACTGCAGATCTCATCAGCAGTGGTCAAACATGGGGCAACAATGTGGGCTTATGAGGTGATGGACAGATCAATTCCGACTCGAACACCAAGGGGTTATGGCAGAATCTGAATGAGAAAAAATGAAGATTCCCTATGACTGGAGAAAAGAGGCTGTGTCTTCAAGGGTTAAGTCTGTCAAAGCGATCATCATGGCAGATAAGGATGCCATTTAACACAGACCATGCAGTCACGCAATCCTGGGGAGCTGGACCCTGGCCCAGCCCCTTGGGAGCGCCATCACACTTGGAAAACTCCTTAAACTCACCGAGCCTCAGTTTCCTCCTATATAAATAGACTTAATAAAAAACCTAACTCATATGGTTGTGGGGAGGAAGAAATAAAGAGTCTGCATTAACAATAACAGCTAACACTGAGAGAAAGAGAGAGAGAGAGGGAGAATGAATCTATGTGTACTCAATTCATTATATCCTCACAACAATCTTAGACACTAGGTACTATTCCCATGCCCATACTACAGATGAGGAAACTCAGGAACAGAGAAATTGAGTGACTTCCCCAAAGTGGTATAGATAATAAGTGGCCAAGCCAGATTCTGACCCAAGGCAATCTAGCACCACCTGCAATACTAGGCTCCTACTGCAAAACTATGCTCAAAATTCTCTATATGGATTAGCAGACAAAATGAGGACAAATAGCAGATGCAAGAAAAATGCAAGGGCCAGAATCTCTAAGGATTTCAAAGGAGGTCCCTGATCCCTCAGGTGCCAGGAGTAAGATTTAGACCTAGATCCACATTTTATCATATTCCGTCCTTTTCTTTGCATACTCTAGCTGGATGGGCCTTGAATGAGGACACAAAAGGCACCGTTTGAAGTCCCCAGACCACTGCTGGCTCCTCCAACTCAGCAGGCAGGGAGGACAGGAGCCTGCAGCAGAATCATTTCTCATCTAACCACCTCTCTCAACCAGTGCTCCACCAGGCAGCACATCTGATTTCTCAGATTCCTCAGTCCCAGCATTTGTGAAACTGGATTTTATCTGTGTTGACAATCAATAAAGCTTTTAAGAATAGAGACAGCTCTTGTTCTGGAGAGTTCTAAGTGCTGGTGAGCAGATCTAAGAATGCAGAAAAATATTAATGACCCTCAACTATTAACATTCCCAAATAGTTTGTTCATTTTCATACAGTTGGGTGCTTATTAGTCAGACTGGCACAAAACTAATCTTTATTTTTAAACCACCATCTTCCTTTAGTGTTGCATTCATTTCTATTTTTTAAGAAATGAATTAAATTTCATTACTGTGAGCAGTAGTATCTGAATCTCCAAGTTTCATGTACCCTTAGGCACTTCCTTGCTTTAATATTTTCTTATTTTTTCCACCAAGCACACTGTTGGCCTACTTGGCCACCTCTTTAGAATAAGTTATATTCCTTTAAAACTACCATCCCACCAAAGGTATGTACTAGTGAGAAAAGCAAGCCAAGGACCAGATGGGCATCCTGTGTCACCTGGATATGTATCGGACAGGGAGAGCACAGCAGTTCCTTCAGATTTCTCTCTGTCACATAAAGTGGCAGGGGATGAGACCCACAAGCACTTTCTGGCTCCAAAAATTGGCATCTGGCAGCATCTCCTTCCACCTGCATCAAACTCCAAGCTTCTTTTAGAGAACCAAGCAGTATTTTTAGCAGCAAAGGTATGAAAATGACTGATTACATATTTGAACATGGATACAAAAAAGCACACTTAAAAAAAATTTTAAAAACTCCTATCCTTTCCACAACATTAACAATTTAAACTACACTATGAAGGTAAAAAAGCTTACTACTCAGCTTTCACCAAGGTAAGCCACTGAATGAATTCCTCAGAGATTCTGTCAAAGGAGCCACATCCTCAGTGGCAGGGTAGAAGAAAGGATCCGCCTGCAGCCACAGGCCCTGCCCCACTCATTGCCTCCCCAGGACTACAGTCCACTCTTCTAAGAGCCAGTCTCTTCCTGAAGCCACCCGTCTATCCTCCTTCCCCAAGGCATGAAGAGCGTAGGACTTGGAGCATGACAATCTCATGACAGCCTGGCCAGCCCTATTTCTCACTGTGTGAACTTAAGCACTTCAACTGAACCTTTGAGCCTTGAATTCTTCAATGACAGCGGGACTGGTGCCCAGTGTCTATTCCACTTTCCTTCTAGCATGCCTTCCTGATCTGCAGAGGCTTGGAAATCTGACAGTACAGATGCCCTTGCAGCTGGGTGCAGGGTTTATTTAGGTTCAGCCAATCAGACACTCTCAAGCTGGATTTAGAAGGTGAAAGTCAGGTTAGAGGCTGTGTTTCTGCTCTTTCTCCTGGAAATCATGGGAGGATTTTTTTTTTTTTTTTAATAACCTGTGGTGTTTTGTAACTAGGATCCTAAGCACTGAATGGCAGGGCCCTGGTGGTGGTATGTGCCAAAATGCAACTCCAAGCTTCTTTTAGAGAACCAAAACTGTGCCAAAATGCACAGTTCCAGTGGCAGCATCCCGATTCCTCTCCTGCTCGACAGGCAGAAGCAGCTCTCTTCAGGCAGACCAGTTTTACAGTGAGGTCCGAGACATAGCACACTGAGACCTAGCCTGCTCCACAGGCCTTTCAATGATTTTATAAGCATCCAATTCCTACATTAAAACCTGATCTCTCTTTAAAATAATAAGATGGTTTCTATTTTCTGCAACCGAGCCTAGACTGATATACCTCTCTAACCTTCTGAGCAGGTATAAAGACTGAAAGATGAAAGGCAGGCAAGAGAGCACAGCAGTTAAGAACATAAGCTCTGAGCTCAGATGGCCTGGGCTTAAATCCTGGTCCCGCCTCTAGCTTGATTTGCAACCAGGGGCAAGTTCCTTAATCTCCAGTTTTTACATGATGGGGATACTACAGGATTACATAAGATAATACATGTAGAATCCTTGCCAAGTACTTGGTCCCTAGTAGGAATTCAATACATGTTAGTTTTTTCTTGTCCTAAGTTCTCATAGGACCCTCTGTACACTTCTATTATTGCAGTTATCCCATTGATCAATTCTCTGTGAGCACAAACCCAGAGGACTGTTTATCACATATAAGTAAAAAGTAGAACACCCCAAATTCTAATCCACGTGACTTGGGAGCAACCTTGAAGAACTGAAAAAAATAATTGAAACTTATTAAGTGAAAACATAATTGTATCTACCGTACTGTGTTACGGAAATAGTGTGAAACAGGTGGCCGGGTGTGGAAGTATGACAAAGAGGGGAAATTACAGCAAGAGTTGGCCAGGCCTGTCCAACGGTGCTGAAGGATAGAGGAAATCTTGGCTGGGCAAATGCTCCATTTTCCTCAGTAAGGTCATCCCTGCTGTGGGTCAGAGTCTATCAAGCTATTTTAGCAAAGCAACACTTCTTAAGTCCACTACGATGCCATAATCTGGCTCCTTAGTTTGTTATCTGTAGACAGCCAACGTGCTAGTCAGAACAGTCAACTTCACAGTTTAATTCCTAATCGTAAATTAATAGATTGTCACCTGGTTATTATAATTTTACTCACCTACAGTCAGATACGGCACTGATTTTACCTTTCCATTTGGTTTTAGCGATGTAGCTCTCATTGTATTACAATGGGCTGTAATTGGATTTGTATTAATATATAGCAGTCATAATGAGCTTGGTTCACATAAGTCCACCTAGGAGAGACAATCCCTTTGCAGTGAGCTATCATGATCAGGTTTATGATTCCACTGGGCTGAGGGCCAGGTTCCTGACCATGGCAAATTCACCAAGTTACCTGCTACCTGCTAACTGCTTTGAGTGCCCTGTGTGTCCAGCAATAACCTTCAAATTTGAGCACTGAAACTGTATACAATGATCTGCTTTCATGTCTGTGAAATGACCATTCCTAAATCAGATTTTACCTCCAAATGCCCAGCCAGGCACATACATAGTTGATATATAATAAATATTTGATGAATGAATCCATAAACAAATGGATGTGCCCTTCTGCAGAGGAGTTTTAAAAAAACTATAGAAATGGCAAGAAAGAAAATAAATCCAAAGGGACTCTGAGAAGAAGAGAATCATAGGCTTAAATATTTTGTGGTGATTCTTTGCAAATATTCAAAGCTTAGCTATTGATATTCTAACATTTTTGGACAGCTTTTTATATAATGCTGTTATCATGAGTGTATTAATTTTCTATTGCTGCTCTAACACATTACCACAAAATTTGATGCTGACAACAATATTTATATATTATCCTACAGTTTCTGTTGTCAGAAGTCCAGGCCCAGCATGGCCCAGCTGGGTTCTCTGCTTGGGCAGTCATGTAATTATGTGACAACTAATTCACCTTTGAGAAGCACTACTGATTATCCTAAAGTTCCAGATTATTCTGGAGCTAAAAACCAGATTTTGTCTGGCTCCATTTCAGACCAGGCTCTTTGAAAGAAACTTTGACTTAAGTCTGTTCACTTCAATCGGAAAAAGATGATGTTTCTCTAGTCTTTCTCTAGCAAATGCTCAAGTTTAGGGAAGTGTTTTAGGGAGAGAAAACGTGACATCAGAAATGTATAAAACTAGAGCTTGATATTCACACTTCTTTTACTGAAGCTTTTTTTTTTTTTTTTTTTTTTTAGAGACAATGGTCTGACTCTGTTGCCCAGGCTGCAGTAAGTGGCACCATCATTACTCACTGTAGCCTCAAACTCCTGGGCTCAGGCAATCTTCCTGACTCAGCCTCCAAAAGCATTAGGGTTACAGGTGGGAGGCATTGTGCCCAGCCTGAAACTTTTTAAAAACAGAAATGCCTACCTCAAAATTCTGGAGTCAATTCATTCAATTTACCAACTCACAATTGAAACAACTGACTAATCAGATGATAACAGGTTGTAAATTCCTTGAAGGCAAGACTGCGTTTCATTTGTCTCTGTACCCCGAGAACTGAGCATGGGGATTGTTGTGTATTTAACATACTGTATGTTTAATAAATTTGAGACCTTTGGATGAAACTAAACATGGCAGCAAAATACATGGCTGTATAAAAACACTTGTCAGTAGCTGAAAAATTTCACTGATTCATAAAGTTAGTTGCCAAGAAGAAAAAAAATTGTAAAGCAGTTTCTTTTGTTTCTTCTTTTCTTTCTCCTCCTCCTCCTTTGTCTTGCTTTAAATTATGTTCACCTAAAATTCTAGAAGGCTATTTTTTTCTTTGTTAGCAAATAGATGCAAAGCAGAAATAGTCCAATGATAATTAAAAATTAGCTTGAGGTAAGGGCCAGGCCCATAACTGAAATAAAGAAACATCTAAAATACCCCAATAAGCCAGTGGAATTTCCCAGTCTTTTAAAGTCACATAAAACCCAGTAGAGATCTTGAAAAAGATAAAGACATACTACTATCATTTATTTGTCTTCACCAAAATTCACGTTGAAATTTGATCTTCAGTGTGTGCTGAGGATGTTGGGAGGTGGGGTCTAGTGGGAGGTGTTTGGGTCATGGGGGATGGATCCCTTATGAATGGCTTAGTACTATACTCTTGGTAGTGAGTTCTCCCTCTGGCAAGACTGTATTATTACTCTTGAGAATAGATTAGTTCCCTCTAGAGTGGGTTGTTACAAAGCCAGAATGCTCCTTGGGTTTCTCTCTGCACATGTCCACTTCCCCTTTTACCTTCTTTTTCATGTTAGAACCCTGTATGAAAGCCCTCCCCAGAAGCCAGGGCCATGACCTTGAAATTCCCAGCCTGTAGAACCATGAGCTAAATAAACTTTTTTTCTTTATAAATTATCTAGTCTCAGGTATTATGTTATAGCAACACAAAACAGACTAAGATACATACCAACAGAGAAAGTGAAGAGATTTGATCACTGCGTCTATGCTAGAATAATTTTTATATAAAACAGGAAAAACTGGTTTATAGAACATTAAAGAAAATAACCTACCTACCAATAGACATGGAGTCCTGTGTCTCCTGTGACCTACCAATAGACATGGAGTCCAGGCTTTTTGCCTGAACTAAGTCTGTGAAGAAGATAGACACAGGGAGTATCCATCAACCCCAGTTTCCCATCCCATCACTCTTTGTTTGTCCACATGAATAGGACGTCAGCCCTTCTCTGGAGCAGGAAAGGAGGAACAACCATAAATAACCTGTTTGTGGGATCAGAAAGTTTTCTAATTAGGACTATTCTACACAAATTCTGAACTTTCCTTATTTATTTTCAGTAGGTCTTTACTTAAACAAACAAAAAAAACCCCCTAAGAATTAGAATATAACATTATTTGGAAAACTCTCCTTGCTATAAAGCAACAAGAGATCAAGGTTTCCTTCTTTTGAAAGAACCATAGGAGTAGTGTATATTTGAAAGGTTTTTGAACGGGATTGGCTTTTGTAAGTGTGAGGGTCCAAGACGAAAGAAGAAACTTATCAGGATTGGTTTGTTTTTAATAAAGGAAGGTAATTCCTTTTAAATAATGCTATATTCAGTAAGAAAGAAATCAAGACAGTCATTTCACTTCCTGCTTATCACTGCTGTCAGTAATTCCTGCTAATCAGAAAGTTGGAGCTAGAACACATTCTCTTGTTCTACTAAGGTAAAGTCGTCTGTTCTCCTTGATTCAATAGCTTACCCCATACCGCAATGCACCTTCCTTCTGTTTCTGGGATAGACTGCAAAAAGTGCTTGCCTAACTCTTTTGTGTCAAGATTGCACAGCAATCAGTATGCAGCCTATTGATTTATGTGAAGACTCTCATCTTGCCAAGCAAAGAGAAATAAAGTACAATTAGCTTACTTTGTGATCCTGCTGTTTACAAAGAAGATCAAACAAAAGACACCTACAAACAGCCACTTAGATCTGGAATACAAAGCACGATGCTTCTATTTAGTTCCTGATTCTTACCATGTCTGCCATATGGTAGCAAGTTGGCATAACCTAAATACCAGAGAATCTTGTTTTGAATTTCTACAACCATATCTGGGTTTCTCAGTATTGGTGTCCAGCCCATCAACAGATGGTGCCCAGCATTTTACCCATTAAACACCATGATCTCCATAACCATTTAATAATGAGATTGGACCAGATAAGATCAAGGAATAGATTAATATTCTGCACAGATTCTGCCAGCTTTTCAACTGCAAAGTGAATTTATGGATTGAATCCTCTGAAATTATCCCATAAAAGCAGAACAATATTCTTTAGTCAGTTCACAAAACAGTGTTTGGAGGAAAATGGCAGCATTGCAGCCATATGGACACTTGCACTTGAATGATAAAATTGGACAATGTAAAAACAGATTACTTAAAATTAATTGCTGTATCTCTTTAAGTAAAGAATACTCTAGTTGACTTTGGTTTTGACATCAGTCATTTACTCAATAATTATTTACTGGGTATCTATTATTTGCCAGGCACTCTTTTAGGCATTAGGGATTCATGTGTGAATAAAACAGATTTCTGCCTGAATGAAACTTACAGTTCACTGACTTCTTTCTATGTTTCCACCATAAACCATATACTGGCATAAATAGGGCTCCTGAGAAAGTGAGTGAACCACCCTTGAGGCCCATCAAACTCCATATAAACACCCTGCTATATCCTTTTGTTAAAAAATAATGTGGCCTTTTAAAATAAGATAGATTAATGTTTATCATCCTGCTTCCTGGCTTCTCAAGCAGTACAGATTTTGGTAATTCAATCTGAGCCACATAACTTTATTTTGTTGAATGTTGGTGTGATCCACAGATGATTTTCAATATTCACCAAGGAATTTTTCAATCAAATTTTGGAAATCTGTTGCCTCCTATTTTATTGAGAAAATAGAAACAAAAAGACAGCTTCTCCAAGTCCCACCAAGACATTCACCCATTACCTGTAGCTGGGCAATCACTCGGCTCCCTCCTTACTATTAAAATGTGGGCACTTGTCAGGGCCTTTCCATTTGTGTGCAGGATCCCCCGCCCATTCCCCATCCATTCAAGGACAACGCACCAGTAATTCTCCCTCTCTTGAATTATCAAATCTTTCCTCTGCTGTGTAATTCCCATTACCACACAAATGTACTATAAATTTTCTTACTTTTATTTTTTTATTATACTTTAAATTCTGGGATACATGTGCAGAACGTGCAGGTTTGTTACATAGGTATACATGTGGCATGGTGGTTTGCTGCACCCATCAACCTGTCATCTACATTAGGTATTTCTCCTAATGCTATCCCTCCCCTTGTCCCTGACCCCCCCAACAGGCTCCTGTGTGATGTTCCCCTCCCTATGCCCATATGTTCTCATTGTTCAACTCCCACTTATGAATGAGAACATGTGGTGTTTGGTTTTCTGTTCTGGTGTTAGTTTGCTGAAAATGATGGTTTCCAGCGTCATCTATGTCCCTGCAAAGGACATTAAGTCAGTCTTTTTTATGGCTGCATAGTATTCCATGGTGTATATGTGCCACCTTTTTTTTAATCCAGCCTAACATTGATGGGCATTTGGGTTGGTTCCAAATGTTTGTTCTATCGCAAGGACGGAAAACCAAACACCACATGTTCTCACTCATAGGTGGAAATTGAACAATGAGAACACTTGGACACAGGGTGGGGAACATCACACACCAGGGCCTGTTGCCGGGTGGGGGGAGGGTGGAGGGTTAGCATTAGGAGATACACCTCACGTAAACGACAAGTTAAGGAGTGCATCACACCAACATGGCACATGTATACGTATGTAACAAATCTGCATGTTGTGCACAGGTACCTTTAACTTAAAGTATAATAAAAAAATAAATTAAATTTAAAAAAATGTTTGCTATTGTGAACAGTGCTGCAGTAAACATGTGTGCATGTGTCTTTATAGTAGAATGATTTATAATCCTTAGGGTATGTACCCAGTAATTAGATTGCTGGGTCAAATGGTATTTCTGGTTCTAGATCCTTGAGGAATCACCAGACTATCTTCTACAATGGTTGAACTAATTTACACTCCCACCAACAGTGTAAAAACGTTCCTATTTCTCAACATCCTCTCTAGCATCTGTTGTTTCCTGACTTTTTAATGATCACCATTCTAAGTGGCGTGAGATGGTATCTCATTGTGGTTTTGATTTGCATTTCTGTAATGACCAGTGATGATGAGCTTTTTTTCATATGTTTGTTGGTTGCATAAATGTCATTTTTTAATTTTTTTATTTTATTTTATTTTATTTTATTATTATACTTTAAGTTTTAGGGTACATGTGCACAACGTGCAGGTTTGTTACGTATGTATACATGTGCCATGTTGGTGTGCTGCACCCATTAACTTCTCATTTGGCATTAGGTATATCTCCTAATGCTGTCCCTCCCCCCTTTCCCCCATCCCACAACAGTCCCATGTGTGATGCTCCCCTTCCTATGTCCACGTGTTCTCATTGTTCAATTCCCACCTATGAGTGAAAACATGCGGTGTTTGGTTTTTTGTCCTTGCGATAGTTTGCTGAGAATGATGGTTTCCAGCTTCATCCACGTCCCTACAAAGGAGATGAACTCATCATTTTTTATGGCTGCATAGTATTCCGTGGTGTATATGTGCCACATTTTCTTAATCCAGTCTATCGTTGTTGGACATTTGGGTTGGTTCCAAGTCTTTGCTGTCGTGAATAGTGCCGCAATAAACATACGTGTGCATGTGTCCTTATAGCAGCATGATTCATAATCCTTTGGGTATATACCCAGTAATGGGATGGCTGGGTCAAATGGTATTTCTAGTTCTAGATCCCTGAGGAATCGACACACTGACTTCCACAATGGTTGAACTAGTTTACAGTCCCACCAAGAGTGCAAAAGTGTTTGAGAAGTGTCTGTTCATATCCTTTGCCCACTTTTTGATGGGGTTGTTTTTTTCTTGTAAATTTGTTGAAGTTCCTTGTAGATTCTGGATATTAGCCCTTTGTCAGATTAATAGATGGCAAACATTTTCTCCCATTTTGTAGGTTGCCTGTTCACACCGATGATAGTTTCTTTTGCTCTGCAGAAGCTCTTTAGGTTAATTAGATCCCATTTGTCTATTTTAGCTTTTGTTGCCATTACTTTTGGTGTTTTAGTCATGAAGTCTTTGCCCATGCCTATGTCCTGAATGGTATTGCCTAGGTTTTCTTCTAGGGTTTTTATGGTTTTAGGTCTTACGTTTAAGTCTTTAATCCATCTTGAGTTAATTTTTGTATAAAGTGTAAGGAAGGAGTCCAGTTTCAGCTTTCTGCATATGGCTAGCCAGTTTTCCCAACACCATTTATTAAATAGGGAATTCTTCCCCCATTGCTTGTTTTTGTCACATTTGTCAAAGATCAGATGGTTGTAGATGTGTGGTGTTATTTCTGAGGCCTCTATTCTGTTCCATTGGTCTATATATCTGTTTTGGTACCAGTACCAAGCTGTTTTGGTTACTGTGGCCTTGTAGTATAGTTTGAAGTCAGGTAGCTTGATGCCTCCAGCTTTGTTCTTTTTGCTTAGGATTGTCTTGGCTATATGTGCTTTTTTTTTTTTTTTTTTGGTTCCATATGAAATTTAAAGTTGTTTTTTCTAATTCTGTGAAGAAAGTCAATGGTAGCTTGATGGGAATAGCATTGAATCTATAAATTACTATGGGCAGTATGGCTGTTTTCATGATATCGATTCTTCCTATCCATGAGCACGGAATGTTTTTCCCATTTGTTTGAGTCCTCTCTTATTTCCTTGAGCAGTGGTTTATAGTTCTCCTTGAGGTGGTCCTTCACATCCCTTGTAAGTTGTATTCCTAGGTATTTTATTCTCTTTGTAGCAACTGTGAATGGGAGTTTGCTCATGATTTGGCTGTTTGTCTATTATTGGTGTATAGGAATGCTTGTGATTTTTGCACATTGATTTTGTATCCTGAGACTTTGCTGAAGTTGTTTATCAGCTTAAGGAGTTTTTGAGCTGAGACAATGGGGTTTTCTAAATATACAATCGTGTCATCTGCAAACAGAGATAATTTGACTTTCTCTTTTCCTATTTGAATACCCTTTGTTTCTTTCTCTTGCCTAATTGCCCTGGCCAGAACTTCCAATACTATGTTGAATAGCAGTGGTGAGAGAGGGCATCGTTGTCTTGTGCCAGTTTTCAAAGGGAATGCTTCCAGCTTTTGTCCATTCAGTATGATATTGGCTGTGAGTTTGTCATAAATAGCTCTTATTATTTTGAGATATGTTCCATCAATACCTTGTTTATGGAGTGAAGCATGAAGGGGTGTTGAATTTTATCAAAGGCCTTTACTGCATCTGTTGAGATAATCATGTAGTTTTGTCACTGGTTCTGTTTATGTGATGGATTATGTTTATTGATTTGCATATGTTGAACCAGTCTTGCATCCCAGGGATGAAGCTGACTTGATCATGGTGGATAAGCTTTTTAATGTGCTGCTGGATTCGGTTTGCCAGCATTTTATTGAGGATTTTCATATTGATGTTCATCAGGGATATTGGCCTGAAATTTTCTTTTTTTGTTGTGTCTCTGCCAGGTTTTGGTATCAGGATGATGCTGGCCTCATAGAACGAGTTAGGGAGGACTTTCTCTTTTTCTATTGTTTGGAATAGTTTCAGAAGGAATGATACCAGCTCCTCTTTGTACCTCTGGTAGAATTTGGCTGTGAATCCATCTGGTCCCGGGCTTTTTTTGGTTGGCAGGCTATTAATTATTGCCTCAATTTCAGAACTTGTTATTGGTCTACTCAGGGATTCGACTTCTTCCTGGTTTAGTCTTGGGAGGATATATGTGTCCAGGAATTTATCCATGTCTTCTAGATTTTCTATTTTATTTGCATAGAGGTGTTTATAGTATTCTTGGATGGTAGTTTGTATTTCTGTGGCATCAGTGGTGATCTCTCCTTTATCATTTTTTATTGCGTCTATTTGATTCTTCTCTCTTTTCTTCTTTATTAGTCTGGCTAGCAGTCTATCTACTTTGTTAATCTTTGCAAAAAACCAGCTCCTGGATTCACTGATTTTTTTGAAGGTTTTTTTCTGTCTTTATCTTCTTCAGTTCTGCTCTGATCTTACTTCTACTGGCTTTTGAATTTGTTTGCTCTTGCTTCTCTAGTTCTTTTAACTGTGATGTTAGAGTGTCAATTTTGGATCTTTCCCACTTTCTCCTGTGGGCATTTAGTGCTGTGAATTTCCCTCTAAACACTGCATTAGCTGTGTCCCAGAGATTCTGGTACATTGTGTCTTTGTTCTCATTGGTTTCAAAGAACTTATTTATTTCTGTCTTAATTTTGTTATTTACGCAGTAGTCATTCAGGAGCAAGTTATTCAATTTCCATGTAATTGTGTGGTTTTGAGTGAGTTTCTTTATCCTGAGTTCTATTTTGATTGCACTGTAGTCAGAGAGACTGTTATGATTTCCATTCTTTAGCATTTGCTGTGGAGTGTTTTACTTCCAATTATGTGGTTGATTTTAGAATAAGTGCTATGTGGTGCAGAGAAGAATGTGTATTCTGTTGATCTGGGGTGGAGAGTTCTGTAGATGTCTATTAGGTCCTCTTGGTCCATAGCTGAGATCAAGTCCTGAATATCTCTGTTAATTTTTTGTCTCATTGATCTAATATTGACAGTGGGGTGTTAAAGTCTCCCACTATTACTGTGTGGGAGTCTAAATCTCTTTGTATGTCTCTAATAACTTGCTTTATGAATCTGGGTGCTCCTGTGTTGGGTGCATATATATTTAGGATAGTTAGCTTTTCTTGTTGCATTGATCCCTTTACCATTATGTAATGACCTTCTTTGTCTTTTCTGATATTTGTTTGTATAAAGTCTGTTTTATCAGAGACTAGGATTGCAACTCCTGCTTTTTTTTTTGCTTTGCATTTGCTTAGTAAATCTTCCTGCATCCCTTTATTTTGAGCCTATGTATGTATTTGCACATTAGATGGGTCTCCTGAATACAGAACACCAATGGGTCTTGACTCTTTATCCAATTTGCCAGTCTGTGCCTTTTAATTGGGGAATTTAGCCCGTTTACATTTAAGGTTAATATTGTTATGTGTGAATCTGATCCTGCCATTATGATGCTAACTGGTTATTTTGCCCATTAGTTGATGCAGTTTCTTCATAGTGCCGATGGTCTTTACATTTTGGTTTGTTTTTGCAGTGGCTGGTACCTGATTTTCCTTTCCATATTTAGTGCTTCCTTCAGGAGCTCTTGTAAGGCAGGCCTGGTGGTGACAAAATCCCTCAGCGTTTGCTTGTCTGTAAAGGATTTTATTTCTCCTTCATGTATGAGGCTTAGTTTGGCTGGATATGAAATTCTGGGTTGATAATTCTTTTCTTTAAGAATGTTGAATATTGGCCCCCACTCTCTTCTGGCTTGTAGGGTTTCTGCAGACAGAACTGCTGTTAGTCTGATGGCTTCCCTTTGTGGGGAATCCAACCTTTCTCTCGGGCTGACCTTAACATTTTTTCCTTCATTTCAATTTTGGTGAATCTGACATTTATGTGTTTTGGGGTTGCTCTTCTCGAGGAGTATCTTTGTGGTGTTCTCAGTATTTCCTGAATTTGAATGTTGGCCTGCCTTGCTAGGTTGGGGAAGTTCTCCTGGATAATATCCTGAAGTGTGTTTTCCAATTGGTTCCAATCTCCATGTCACTTTCCGGTATACCAATCAAATGTAGGTTTGTTTTTTTCACATAGTCCCATATTTCTTGGAGGCTTTGTTCATTCCTTTTCATTCTTTTTTCTCTAATCTTGTCTTCATGCTTTATTTCATTAAGTTGATCTTCAATCTCTGATATCCTTTCTTCCACTTGACCAGTTCGGCTATTGATACTTGAGTATGCTTCACAAAGTTCTTGTGCTGTGTTTTTCAGCTCAGTCAGGTCATTTATGTTCTTCTCTAAAGTGGTTATTCTGGTTAGCAATTCCTCTAACCTTTTATCAAGGTTCTTAGCTTCCTTGCATTGGGCTAGAATATGTTCCTTTAGCCTGGAGGAGTTTGTTATTACCCACTTTCTGAAGCTTACTTCTGTCAATTCGTCAAACTCATTCTCTGTCCAGTTTTGTTCCCTTGCTGGTGAGGAGTTGTGATCCTTTGGAGGAGAAGAGGCATTCTGGTTTTTGGAATTTTTAGCCTACTTGCTCTGTTTTTTCCTCATCTTCAGGGATTTATCTACCTTTGGTCTTTGCTGTTGGTGACCTTCAGATGGAGTTTTTGCATGGTCATCCTTTTTATTGATGTTGATGCTATTGCTTTCTGTTTGTTAGTTTTCCTCCTAACAGACAGGCCCCTCTTCTGTAGGTCTGCTGGAGTTTGCTGGGGGTCCAATCCAGAACCTGTTTGCCTGCACCAGCAGAGGCTGCAGAACAGCAAAGATTGATGCCTGCTCCTTCTGGAAGCTTCATCCCAGAGGGGCACCTGCCAGATGCCAGCCAGAGTTCTCCTGTATGAGTTGTCTGTTGACCCCTGCTGGGAGCTGTCTCCCCTTCAGAAGGCATGAGGGTCAGCGACCCACTTGAGGAGGCAGTCTGTCCCTTAGCAGAGCTCGAGTGCTGTGCTGGGAGATCTGCTGCTCTCTTCAGAGCCGGCAGGCAGGGACGTTTAAGTCTGCTGAAGCTACGCCCACAGCCACCCCTTCCCCCAGGTGCTCTGCCCCAGGGAGATGGGAGTTTTATCTATAAGTCCCTGACTGAGGCTGCTACCTTTCTTTCAGTGATGCCCTGCCCAGAGAGGAGTAATATAGAGAGGCAGTCTGGCTACAGTGACTTTGCAGTGCTGTGGTGGGCTCCACCCAGTTAGAACTTCCCAGTGACTTTGTTTCCACTGTGAGGGAAAAAACGCCTACTGAAGCCTTAGTCACGGCAGGCACCCCTCCCCCGATCAAGCTCAAGTGTTCCAGGTCGACTTCAGACTGCTGTGCTGGTAGCGAGAATTTCAAGCCAGTGGATCTTAGCTTGCTGGGTTCCATGGGTGTGGGATCTGCTTAGCTAGACCACTTGGCTCCCTGGCTTCAGCCCCCTTTTCAGGGGCATGAACGGTTTTGTCTCACTGGCATTCCAGGCACTACTGGGTTAAAAACAAAAAACAAAAAACTTCTGCAGCTAGCTCAGTGTCTGCCCAAATGGCCGTACAATTTTGTGCTTGAAACCCAGGGCCCTTGTGGTATAGGCAACTGAGGGAATCTCCTGGTCTGCGGGTTGTGAAGACCATGGGAAAAGGGTCGTATCTGGGCCAGATAGCACTGTTCCTCACAGCACAGTCCCTCATGGCTTCCTTTGGGTAGGGGAGGGAGTTCCCCAACCCCTTGTGCTTCCCAGGTAAGGTGATGCCCCACCCTGCTTCTGCTTACCCTCTGTGGGCTGCATGCACTGTCTAACCAGTCCCAGTGAGGTGAACCGGGTACCTCAGTTGGAAATACAGAAATCACCTGCCTTCTGTGTTGGTCTTGCTGGGAACTGCAGACCAGAGCTGTTTTTATTCAGCCAACTTGACCAGGAACTTATCTGTAAAATCTCTTACTTTTAAAAAGAAAAATCACTTGATCTCTGTTTTAGTTCATCTTTTGTTGGTTATAAAAGAATACTTGAAACTGGGTGATTTATAAAGGGAAAGAAGGAGGCTGCAAAGTCCAAGGTCTAGAGGCTGCACCTGCTAAGAGTCTTCTTGTTGGTGGGGACTGTCTGCAGAGTCCTGAGGCAGCATGGGGCATCGCATGGTGAACGGGCTAAGTGTGCTAGCTCAGGTCTTTCTTCTTCTTCTTATGAAGCCATCAGTTCCATTCCCACAATAACCCATTAATCCATTAATCCATGGGTAAATTAATTGATTAATGAAGACAGGGCCCTCAAGACCCAATCACCTCTTAAAGGCCCCACCTCTCAATACTGCCACATTGGGAATTAAGTTTCAACATGAGTTTTGGAGGAGACAAACATTTAAACCATAGCAACTCTATATTTTTCTTCCAGCTTCCATCCCCATTTGTTCATCCTCCCTTACAAATACCTCTAATTCACATTCTCTCACTTCTTGAACCCACTTGGCCAGGTTTTCACCCAAGCACTCCAAAGCTTCTCTTACCAAGTCGCCAATGACCTCTTCATTGCTAACCCCAATGTTCAATTCTCTGACCTCATCCTACTTGGTCACCAGTTTCTTTTCTTTGATATAGTAGCCTCCCCTTATCAGAGGAGGATATGTCCCAAGACCCCCACTGGATACATGAAACCTCAAATGGTACTGAACCCTCTCTATATTTTGTTTCTTAAATTTGATAACTGAGATGGCTACTAAGTGACTAATGGGTGGGTAGCATCTACAGCGTGGATACCCTAGACAATGGGATTATTCACATTCTGGGTGGGACAGAGAGCGACAGCACAAAATTTCATCATGCCACTTGGAATGGCAGCACTCAACTTAAACTCATGAATTGTTTATTTCAGGAATTTTCCATTTAACATTTTCAGACTGTGGTTGACTGTGGTTGACCGTGGGTAATTGAAACTGTGGAAAAGGAGGGACTACTGTGCTTTCTTCATCTGGCTTCCCATTCTCCAGTCTTCTTCCTTCCTCAGTAGCTGCACCTCCCAGGCTCCCTTGCTGGTTTCTCCTTGTTTTCCTCATGCTTCAATGCTATGAATCCCAGGACTTAGGCCTTTGAGTTCTTCCCTGCTACATTCATTCCTGGGTGATTTTATTCCATCCCATGGCTTTACACATTATCTACACTCTCGTGTCTGAACTTGTATTTCTAGTCTGAATTCCAGACTCATACCCAACTTCCTACTCAGCATCTCCATTTCAATGTTCAAGTTAACCATCTTAAACCCAAAATTGAACTCCTCTCTTTTCTACTTGAAACCCACTCCTCCTGAAGTCTTCCCCTTTTCCATTAAGTGCAATTCCATTCTTCTAGTTACACAGGACAAAAAATCTCAGTGTCACCCTCGATTTCTCTCTTTTTATCCTTCCCTCACCAAACCCATCAGCAAATGTCGTTAGCTCTACCTTCAAGATACGTCCAGCATTTGATCACTTCTCACTGCCTCTGCTGCCACCACCTGGGCCAGGCCACCACTGTTACCCACCTGATTCATGGCACCAGTGCCTGAACATGTGGGTCACTCTGCTCACACACTTGACCCTACAGCCTGTCTCAACACTTCCACTGTCTCTAACATGAGTCACAGTGAACATGAGTCAGACTTTGTCAGTATTTCTTTGGGTATTATCAACATTAATTACTATATTACTTTCATGCCTGCAGACACCATGAGGTAAAGTGTTGTGTTTTGACCCTACACTTACTGACCCCAGACAAATATATTTTTCTATGTTCTTATGGTTCTTCCGATGCTTACTGCCACTGACTGTGTTACCAATGTAATCAGCAGGGCTGCATCCTACGCTGTGCATTTGTGCACTACCCAGAGATGCATGGCTGAGTGGGGATCAGAGCCCATGTTCCACACTCCAAGCCATGAGTCCTGGTGGACACTGCATCTGTCCACCCAGAAAAGATGGCACCTTTCTTTTTGCACAAAATGCCTTTTGCTTAACACGTCCTACACCTACAGGTCTGTCTACACTTGTGTCTGTGGGGGGTTGCCTGTTCTATTTGGTCTGCTCAGTGCAGGGAGCCTTTTAAAATCTGCTTAAAGGCACTAAATAGGTCAGTAGCAGGCACTGTGCACACTGTGCACTTACTTTAGTTACTTTAGGTAACTTACTTACCTAAATAAAGCAAGTTAGGTTTCCAGGCTCATAAAGAAATTAGAAGAAGCAAATGCAGTCTATATTGTCCCATGTAGACTGCATTCGCTGCTTCTAATTTCTTTATGAGCCAGGAAACCTAACTTGCCTGATTTCTGTATATGACCAAAGTAAGCAGACTTTAATGCAGAGTCTCAAGAAGTTGCTGTATGACTAAGTGCCTGGAATTTAGAGCATTGATCTTCTGGCATCTATTTGGCCGTTCAAAAGTTCTCTTGGTTTTGGATCTCGGTTCTGTTCTGGACATCTAAGTAAGATACTTCTGGATTAACGGAAGTTTATGGGATTAAAATCATACCCAAATATAGTTTGCCAGAAAGTGCTTTATTAATCTCTCAAGATTAATACTATATGCATTTTTTTTCAGGATAGTCACATTAGAGCAATCCTTTCTATAAAGACTATTTGAACTTTACACTAAAAATGTGCTTGAAATCATTTTAATCTACTTGTCACAGTCTCTTCATGTCTGCAGTTTTGTTCTAGCATGGGCTCAGATAGTGATCCATTCCTATTACCTTACTAACTATCATACTATCCTACAAGACAAGAGAAAGGTCATCTGCTCCCACTTCCTGATGGAGAAAATTGGAAACAGATAAATGCATAGGTAACTTGTAAAATATTGGAGCATGTAGTGAGACAGTAGCACATAAAATATTTTGAGATAGGTTTATAGAAACTAAAACTTAACATTGACCATTCAGTGAGTCAGTAAGATCCTCAGAAAGATATTTATTTCCCAGGACTGATGAGGTTAAAGATAGAGAAGAGCAACTCATAGCACATTACAAATACTTAATATTTTTTTAAGATGGTAAAAAACAGCTCTTTAAATTTCTGTAACCCAACTCTTAGACTTCAATAATTTCATTAAGAGGCCCCTTACTAATATTTTTTAAACAAGCTATTCAACTCCAGAAGATTCATCCTGTGATCCACATTTGCAAGAAACTGGACTGAGATGGTGGTACGGTATTCTAAGCAATGTTTTATTAAAAATAAATAACCAAAAGCAAGTATTGGGGCTGCCGAGAGAAGGAAGCATCATTCGGTAGTGGCATGTGGCAGAGATGCCAATCCAAGGTGATTATGCAATGAGCATAACTGCCAATAACACTTACTTGGGGCTTGTCTCCCAGGGAAACGGAGATAGAGTTGGATTAATTTTTAGCCCAGTTTATGATTCTGCACCAGGGAGGCATGTGGTGTTATTTCCCAGGGCATTTAAATTCTTCCTCCTAAAGCACAACACTATCTTGTCCTGTTCTATTTATTTTCCTCAAGTGTGTGTGACTTGCAGAGCATTAACACGCCAAAACATATGTTTCCTAAGCCTGTTCTCCCATCTCACCTTCACTTAGACTTTCAAGGTCAGAGCTATTTGTGGCTATCCACTTAATTGGACTTAAAATAAAAGGCAGCAGAAAATAGTAGATTTGTAATGGCCCTTCATAGTAAGCATCAAAAGAGCAGCCTGGCTGCTCATCTGAATGCTATTTAAATAAATCTGCCTCTTATTATAAGTCAGGGCCACAAAACTCCATCCACCATGCCACCAGTTACTGTGTAGCTGACACAAGCTAGAAACGAGAGCGAGGATGTTTCCTGAGCCCCCTGGAAACCACTGGAGCTTTGAACCAATTGTGCATTTTTGTATAAAGCATGATCATGTGGTTAAGTTCTCTTTGCCCTCGGAATGTGCACATTAATCAGCTTTGTGCAATTACTGTCCATGCTAGACAAGGACAGAGTAGATCATTACTGCTATTGTTATTTTTTACCGTATATATGGAGCTTCATACAATTACAAAGTGCTGTTCAAGATGGATGCAAATGTTCCTAGGGCATGGAATGGGAGGAGTTACATATATTGGGGGATAGAAGGTGGATGGGCAAGTTTGGTCCATAACCAAGATGTATAAAGCTAAGGGCCCAGTACAGACAGCAAAACAGGCAAAGTTCACATCTTGGAGCAAAGGCCTGTGGCCTAACTGCTTTGCTGGTAGGGCTTCTGGGCAAGAAGTAGGGAAGATTTTATGACGAGAAAGTCTTTTAGATAAGGCAGAGAAGAATCAGGAGCAGGCAAAGAAGGATGATGCAGCAACCAGATGACAGGCATCCTGGGTCCAATGTTCAAGTAGCTTTGCATTCCCAGGTTCTCTATAATCAGGAAGTCCTGGGCCCCAAACAACCCCTGAATCCTCCTCCAATTCTTAGCTTCAGGGGAACAATCTTTTCCAAGGACGAGCTCAAAGGAAGAAACAGCTTTAGGGTTGATCCAAGGGTCTCAAATCACTCTAGATAAAAATGTGCTTAGAAAACAAGATAGAACAGCTTGGTAGGGGTTCCCAGGCTAGGAGCTGCTGTATCTATGGAGCACATTTCTTAAAAGCTCACAGAATGGAGGAAAATATTTGCAAACCATATATCTGATAAGGGGCTTGTAACCAGAATAGATAAGGAACTCTGAAACTCAATAATAAGGCAAATAGCCCAATTTAAAAATGGACAAAGGACTTGAGTAGACACTTCTCCAAAGAAGCTATACAAATGGCCAATAAGTCCAACGTTATCATTAATCAGGAAAATGCAAACCAAAATCATGAGGTATCACTTTATAATCACAAAGATGGGTATAATAAAAAAGCTAATAACAAATGTCGGCAAAGATGTGGAGAAATCGGAACTCTCATACACACAGGAAAGCAAAATGGTCCAGGGGCTTTGGAAAACAGTTGGCAGTTCCTCAAAATATTAAACATAGAGAACACATGACCCAGCAATTCTACTCATAAGCATATGCCAAAGAGAACTAAAAACATGTATTCACACAAACACTTGTAAGTAAATTTCACTTCAGCATTATTCCTAATACCCAAAATGTGAAAACAATCTAAATTCATTCACCAACTGATGAAATGTGGTGTACCTATATAGTGCAATATTATTTGGACATAAAAAGGTTACAACATGGACGAACCTTAAAAACATTACGCTAAATGAAAGCAGCCAGTGCAAAAAGCCACATATTATATAAATTCATTTATGTGAAATGTCCACAATAGGCAAATCTATACTGACAAAGTAGATTAGTGGCTACTGGGGGCTGGGCAGAGGGAGGAATTGGGAGAGACTATCAGTGTGTACAGGGTTTCTTTTTGGTGATTAAAATGTTCTAAAATTAGATAGTGATGATGGTTGTGTGACTCTGAATGTATATGCTAAAAAACACTGAATTATACAACTAGGGTGAATTCTATGGTAAATGAATTACATCTCAGAAAAGCTGTTATTAAAAAGTCAATAGAGAAACATTATATAAGGCTAGAAGGCAAAGAGAACTATTTTGGGCCACAGCTGGAATAAACTGGCTTTTAGAATTGAAATGCCTTACCTACCCTGATGCCCACACTTGCAACCTGAGGGGACAGGAGGGTTTCTAATGATTCCTCTTTCATAAGTAGGAAATTAGTCATTTGCTGCTTGAGTTTAATACATAAAACACTACATTTTATGACTGATTCAGGCTCAGACTTTTTATCATGAACACTCATCATCACCACTATCAACTTCTTGAAGCATTAAGCGCCCTTTGGCCTTCTACCTATGACACCAAGCTAGGCACCAGATACTGCAAATGGGACCAGTTAGTTACTAAGTCAAGGGGAGTGATTCAATCCAAGACAGAAAACACAGATGCTGGCAAACCAACATCAGTCACAGGTATGACTAGATAGGTGCATGAATAGCTAAGATTAAATATTGATGATACACACAAGAGTGAACACATTTATAGGGTGGCAAGAAGAGGGCTCAAGAGAATTTCATGGTTGAGCAAGGTTTAGTTTCAGAGATAGGGAACTATTTCTCTCTTAATCCTCTGCAAGAATAAAAGGAAAGCAAGGTCAAGTCCAAACACTGAGGATTTGACTGTTAGTTAGGGATTGGTTGGGGAACTGCAGATTCATATGGCTGCAAGGGAGACATCAAGAGAGAGGTCTAGGAAATGAAACCTAGGAAGTAGGCAAGGCCCTGAAATGGCAATAGGAAAACACTCTGCAGGGAAAGATAGGACTGAAGAAGAGTAGGCTTGTAGCACAGAGAAGGGACTCAGAGCAAAAGAGACCAGGAGAAGTGTATCTTTGGTGGGTTGGGGAGGAGGAGGGCAGAAACTGGATTCTGCTAAACACTTTTCCTGTTTAATCTCATCAAAAATTCATACCCTCCCTATGAGGAAAATGCTATTACTTTAAAAATTTATGGATAAGTAAACACAAGCCCAGAGAGGTTAAGTAATGTATCCAAGATCACACAGCTAGGAAGGTCTATCCAAAATAATCTCTGTCCTAGGCCTAAATAATAATTTCATTGTGTTAACCTTTAGCCATCATCGGCCGTCTCGGAAAACTAACAGGTTCCTGGAATACACCAATATTCAATGTCTATTACGGGCCTGAAATAAGTGGTTCAATATATATTTGGTTGCTATCAGGTGGTACGGAAAAAGAAAACCACCTCAGCCTATGTAAGTTGCTAGAACAACAGATGACAGTTTATAAGTGGGAAAAACGGTGCTTCAGGTTTTAGCTGAAGGTGAAACCTGTATTTCTACCTACACCCTGCTTGTCTAACTCAGTGTCCATCAAGCAGTAAAAGAGAAAGTTACTTACAGAGAAGCAGAAACTCATCTGGCCCTTTCCAAGAAGGTCCTGTAGATGGGTAAAGAAGCCCTCATTACTCCTCCAAAGGAAGCGATCCTCTTTAATTGGGTTTCTTAATTGGAAAGGCACTCTGAAGGAAATAAGTTCAGCGATTCATGACCTAACTATCTCTTCTGTTGGCCAACCCATAAGTACAAGCAAGTATACTTGTTTCTTTCCCATTAACAGAGAAACACAGAGTTATCAGAGCTGGCAGTATCTTGGAGATAAACTAGTCCTTTCATTTTCAAAGAGAAGACGCTTGGGGCAAAGTGCCTGGCCCAGGGTTACGCAGCCAGTGTCTGGGATGAAAGGGACTTCTTTCCAGGCTTAGTCCTGCTGATGCAAAATTGTGACTGCACCCTTTAAAACTGTGAACACTACATTAAATATGGCCTGGCGCCCAGATCCTTTCCAAACCCACCAGTTTTTACCCATACAAGAACCATGTCTGCATCATTTGGTTTACAAATCCAATCCTTCATAAAAAGGAAACCCACCTAATCTAAATGCAGCTTCTTGTCTAGATTCTGCTTTTCTCTGATTTCATAACCTCTCTGCTTCACCCACATTTCTTTTCCACCTGATGACAAGCTCACTGGGAACCAAGAATGACTGGAGGCTCAGCAAGCATATCATGCTGTGATCTATGCCTTTTTTACTCTGCAATCGTTCTATCTCAGAGCCAGAGAGCAATACATGGTTTGGTGAGTGTTGGCCTCAGGATTCTACAGAAATCTGCATTGGTCAGAGTTAGCCAAATGGACATAGATGGTGTGTGTGCTTGGAGAGGAAGCATTGATGATGTGTGGATCTAGGTCTAAATGGCTGAAAGAGTCCCAGTCATGAAGATTAGCATGGATTTATATGTATTTAATGGTCCTTTTAGATCATGGCTCTGAAATGCTAAATAAATTAATTACTAAAAGGAAAAGCTGAGGGTAAGAAGCAAGGCCACCACCAGGCCAAAAGACACCTTTGCGGAATTAAGAAAAGGCACCCCTTCCTCTAGGCAGCCACAGTCCCACATCAGTGCATTCCGCTCATTCAGTAGAGTGATGTCTAGCTTCCTTCTCCTATTCTTCACCTTGATCAAACAGATGCCCTTGTAGAGTACACAACTAGTACAGCTTTGCAGGGCAGCCCTGCTGAAAGAAAGGAAGAAGGAGAAAAAAACGTTCTTAACATAACTAAGGCCACAGCCCTTTGGTGGTCCATGAAATTATTTTAGAAAGTTGACACCAGTATTTTTAATAGAATGAAAAATTTACAAAATATAAAAGTGCCTTATGCTTAGATTTTATCTTTATATGGATATGTAAATATGCACATATGTATGTGTGCATGCATGTGCACATACATATTGGGTTGAGAGTAAAATATATTTACATGGGGCATGGTCAAAAACATTTGAAAGTCACTGATTTGACAGCTCACAATGTGAAAAGTGAATCTAATTTGGAGGCCTGCTTCATCTGTATTTTTAAGTGCCCAGTGAGAAGCACTCAGGTACAAGAGAACTAGCTTGCAGTTTGAAATCAGACAGGCTCAAGTTCAAACGCCATTTAAATATCACTAAATTTGAACCTTAGGCAATCATTTATGTTTCCCAATCCTCAGATTCCTGATCTGCAGATGGAGGTGATAATATTTATTTCAGAGTGTTGATGTAGTAAGTACCTGGTATTAAGCACTGCCTACTTTTCAAATCCCTCTCTTCTCTTGACTTTGGAGAGACCTATAGAGACCAGCAGTCCAGGGACACACATGCAGCTGCCCAGGATAGTTTTCCTTGTCAGAAGCCACAAATGCTGAGGCGGTCTAGCGTCCTACAGTAAACTTTATATGACTTTTTCCCATGCACGTTGTTCTTCCATCTGTCTGGAAGAGCTACCTCCCACAGCATGCTTAAGCTAAAATTATTGCTTGGTCAAGTCAATTAAATCATTTGAGAAAAACTACTACATGTAAGTCAGTTAAGAAAAAGAGTTGGGTGATATGGGCATGGCTAGACTCTGGTCTTCTGTTTAGGGTGAATGTATTAGATTGCTGCTTTGGCCTGGTTAGAATATTCCACGTTGTAAATATTACAGCTCCTAAGGATAGAAATGACCAGCTAAAAATCTGTTAGGTCACTGAGGGTGAATCTCCCACATTCCAGATGTGGCAATAGGGTTCCTTGGAGGTACAGAATCCCCCTTAGGTTAAATGGCCAAGGAGCACATCCCAGTCCCTGAAAACTTCATTTCCCAAATCTTCGGTCATGAGGACTCCTCTTCAGAATAATTCTCCCATTAAAACAAAAACAAAAACAAAACCTGCAAAAACTGCCTGGCTCCATTTAGGTGTGGAAATGGGGAGAGAGAGGAGAGCTAAAGTTAGTGATTCTCAGCATATATTTGTAAGAGATCTTTGTGTGAGTCATCACAGCTAGCTTTAAAATTGACACAAAGGACACAGGAAACTGGCAATCTATAAAAGAAAAATGTCATTCTTCATAAACATATGTTTCAAAGCCCAGACTCCCAAATAAAGCAATGCACATTTAAAACAATTAATTAAAATGCTACGTTTCATCTATGAAATTGGAAAACATTAAAAATTATAATATTCAACACTACTAAGTATGTAGCAATGTGGCAGAAACTTTAAAAAGCTGATAAGCCTTGACCCAGAAATTCTGCTTCTACGAAATCAGAAATTCATGTGTAAAGCTATTTGTTGTAGTATTTTTTATAATGTTAAATATTGCAATAAATGGCAACATGAAAATGGCTTTCTATATTATGATAATACTAAACAGTAAATAGCATTTTAGAAAAACATTTAATGATGGGGAAAAGGCTCCATAATAGGCCAAAAATTTGTAAAAACCTTAAAATTGTATATATTCAATATGGTAAATATAAAATTTTGTATGTCCAATATGTTCCTATTTATTTAAATACATAGGTGTGTATATATATGTCTATGTACATATGCATGTGTATATGTATGTGTATATGAGAAGTTCAGAAGAATGCTATATGCGAAAATGTGCATAGTCATCTTTGGATGGTGCAATGAGAGAATATAAACTGTTCAAAATTTTCTTTTTTATATTTTGATGTGTTTTTAATACTCTTGTACAATGAATACATAATTTTGGTATCTGATAAATATATTATTTAAAAGGCAAACCTAAAATTTAAAGTGGCCTCATATAACTTCATGTTAGAATTGCTCCTCAGATTTGAATGACTAAAACTTGCTGTTTCTAGGATTTATTATTTTGATGAGAAACTTTACTATGATGGTCAGGCTGTATTAAACATTGAGAGAATGCCATTAAAATTCCATAACAGTGTCACTTGTTGTATGCATTATCTTTTGAGAAATCTATAGTCTGAAATTTCTGGCAATAGAATAACAAACCCTTCTTAATATATTACTCCCTAAAATGTTGGAATATTACACTTGAAATATATTTTTCAAATATCTAACTATTTTATTTAGTGAGGAATAAGGGATTCTTAGAACCCAGAACACTGACCAAATACAAGTCCAGAAATGTCTGTATTGCTTTGCCTTCAAGGTATTTGCCATTCCTTAGCAGCCTAAAGACTAGGTTTTTAGAAATACAAACATGAGGCCTGATAGCGGGAAGGGAGTTCAGAGAACTTCTCTATCTGTAAGCTGAGACTCCTGAAGGGTTGACACTTTCAGTAAGCAAATAAGAAAAAAAAAATCTGCCTCGCAAAGGGAGATGGTAGGATGTGTCTATTTGAGTCTTGGTTTTTAGTGCTGCTGAAAGTTGAAGATGGGGAAGAAAGATGAATCTCCCTTAAGAATTTTTAAGCACAGGCTCGCTCATACGGGTTTGCAGTCTGAATTTACACTACCTGGGTAGTAAAAAAGTCAAACATGTAGCTTAGAATGGCCCCAGTTGGTAGTACTCCCGGACCTTTGACAGGAGAGCAATCCTCTCTGGAGGAATGTACTTAAAACCCAGGCCTCAATGGAGTTCCACAGGTAAAGTCCCAAGAAACATATGCTCAAAGTTTAAAAAAATTTCATGGTTAAGAATCAATAAAACAACAAAACTAGACCCACAAAGATATTGCCACAAAATTTATCAACAATGAAATACAAAATAAATATACTTAACATGTTTAGAGGAATAAAAGAGGCATTAAAAGTATGATGAAATTAGAAACAATGAAAAGCTACCTAACAGATTTGAAAAAGAGCCACATAAGACTTGTAGAAATGAATAATATAACTAAAATTAGAAAGTCAATAGATGCGCTTTAGAGCAGATTAGACAAAATTAAAGAGAAAATGAGACGCTAGAAGGTAGATATAAAGAAATGACAAGAATGAGGATCACAGATAGAAAACCATGAACAGTGAAAACACGTGGAAGGTAAGATAGTACAAGATACGTCTAACTGGAATTCTAGAAGGCAGACTATAGGAAGATTGGGGTAGAGGCAAAATTGTTGGGAGGCACTAATCCTCAAAATCAGGAAGCCTAATGAGTCACAAATAGAGGATACCTAAATGAGAAAATCACACCTGACATATCTTAAGGAAAATGCCAAACACTCAAAGCAAAAACCTTAAAAGTAGTAAAGGAAAAAAGATAAATTTCTTATAAAGGAGCAATGTTTACATGGATGGTAGTCTTTCAACAGCAAAAACGGAATTGAGAGACAGTGGAATATTATTATCGAAATTGGACGAGAAAATAATTTTCTACTCACTACTTTTGTCCTATATTTCAAGAACAAAAGTGAAATAAAACTCTAAGTAAATAAAAATCAGGTGCATCTACTATTAACAGATTAAGAAACATCATGAATGTACATCAGGAATAGAGGGAAAAAACTGTAGATAAAAGGTTTGGTATACAAGAAGGAATGAGGAGGGGAAAAACCAGTACATATGTGGATAAATCTAAAAATATTGATGGTAAAATGACAATGTCTAATTTATGAGGCTTAAAAAATGAAAGTTATAACTCAATAAAGCTGTTTACAAAACATCAAGGTAGGCGGGCGCGGTGGCTCACGCCTGTAATCCGAGCATTTTGGGAGGCCGAGGTGGGAGGATCATGAGGTCAGGAGATGGAGACCACCCTGGCTAACATGGTGAAACCCCGTCTCTAGTAAAAAAAGTACAGAAAAATTAGCTGGATGTCGTGGCGGGCGCCTGTAGTGCCGCTACTTGGGAGGCTGAGGCAGGAGAATGGCGTGAACCCGGGAGGTGGAGCTTGCAAGTGAGCCGAGATCGCACCACTGCACTCCAGCCAGGGCGACAGAGCGAGACTCCGTCTCAAAACAAAAATCAAAAACCAAAAACAAACAAACGGACAAAAAACACATCAAGGTAGAGCTTAAATTCTAGACTTCGAATTATATACAATGGGTGAAGTGGTGACTGAGTAATTTTCTAAGGTACTTAGGTTGTTTAGCTGGAGCGTAAACATCTTAATTAACTTTATAGTATGTTAAGTTAAATACACAGGTTAAAATTGCTTTTTCTTTTTCTTTTTTT
Organism: Homo sapiens; assembly: GCF_000001405.40. Taxonomy (NCBI): domain Eukaryota; kingdom Metazoa; phylum Chordata; class Mammalia; order Primates; family Hominidae; genus Homo; species Homo sapiens. The sequence goes on from NC_000009.12 coordinate 19,780,283, forward strand.
TTTGAGATGGAGTCTCACTCTGTCGCCCAGGCTGCAGTGCAGTGGCACGATCTTGGCTCACTGCAATCTCTGAAGCCCGGGTTCAAGCAATTCTTCTGCCTCAGCCTCCTGAGTAGCTGGGATTACAGGCGCCTGCCACTGCGCCCAGCTAATTTTTGTATCTTTAGTAGAGACGGGGTTTCACCATCTTGGCCAGGCTGGTTTTGAACTCCTGACCTTGTGATGCACCTGCCTCGGCCTCCCAAAGTGCTGGGATTACAGGTGTGAGCCACCGCGCCCGGCCACACAGGTTAAAATTTCTAAGGCAAGCATCAAGATAATAGAAATAGAGTGTAGGCTCACGCCTGTAATCCCAGCACTTTGGGAGCTGAGGCAGGTGGATCACGAGGTCAGGAGATTGACACCACGGTGAAACCCCGTCTCTTCTAAAAATACAAAAAATTAGCCGGGCGCGGTGGCAGGCACCTGTAGTCTCAGCTACTCAGGAGGCTGAGGCAGGAGAATGGCGTGAACCCGGGAGGCGGAGCCTGCAGCGAGCCGAGATCGCGCCACCGCTCTCCAGCCTGGGCGACAAAGCGAGACTCCGTCTCAAAAAAAAAAAAAAAAAAAAAGAGTGTATACATTCCAAACTATTAAAGGGAAAAAGAGAGTTAGAAAAAAAATTCAAAAAAAGGCAAGAAAAAATTCTAAAAAGAAACAGAAAGGCCAAAATAAATAGAAAGTATACAATAACATGATGAAAAAGAATCCAAATGTTACAGTAATCATAGTAAATATAAACAAAGTAAACTTTCCGGTTAAAAGACAATGCTTGTGAAACTGAATTAAATAAACTGCATGCATATTCTGGTTACTAGAGACTTACCTAAAACAAAAGAAGGTTGAAAATAAAAGGATGGAAAAACTAAACTTGCCAAAACCACACTCTGGATGTACTTGTGTCCCCAGTAGCAAGAGAATAGCTTAACACACGATCCCATTCTTTGCTAAAGTTAAGATACAAATTATCTAGTTCTAACAAAAAAGAGGGGAAGGGGACAAAAGGAGGGAAGAGGAGAGGAAAAGAAGGACAAAGAGAGGAATAGATGAAGTAGGGGAAGGTGGAAGGGAGAGATAATGGTGACTCCAGTTCTCTAGGATTCACAAAGTTTAGGTCATCTGTTGCCAGGGGAAACCAGAATAGCAAGGGAAATGGCCAAGGGCAATTTGAACTGTGTGTATCAAAATCCACTGGGCCCTTCTGGGTCTCTCAAAATGCCTAGTTCACTCTCTGAATCACAAGCAGTAACTGACGGGTTTACTTTTAGGATAAGTAGAGGGAAACAAAATAAGGAAAATATCACCATGCTGTATCCCTAGATAAACACACTACTTTCACAGTCAGTTAAGAATTTTAATGCCTAAGTTTTTTTCTTTTAAGAAATACAGAGAATTAGTTTCCAAATCTATCAAGTAATACATCTTTTTATTTAATATAAGGACCATCTTACCTACTTTGAAGTTTGTATATTAATTTTACTAATTAATAAATTCTGTGTCTTAAGCAAAGTTGAGGCAACACATGTATACTTATACAATTATTTATGGTTTAGTACTTTACAAGAACTACTTCACTTTATGAAGAATGTTTATAATAATTTTGTTTTAATCCTGATTTTCCAAAGAACATTAATCACAATTTGAATTGCTAAAACCCTTTACAGCTTTTCAGAAACACACAAACTGAATAAAGCAAAGCACACCTAAATTACTAAGTAGTCTGGCCCTCCAACTATCCAGCTTTAAGCATCTTTATTTAGATTGTGCCCTTCATTAGAACCAGGCCAACTTGCTGTCAGATTACAGTGCCAAGTCTAAGACGAAGTTAAATACCATGGACAGCTGCTTTCTAGGCCAATGACAGCCTAGCACCATAACAGATCAACGGCCCCCAGCAGCCAGGCTAGGAGCATAGCAAAATGAGCCGAATGATCTGAAACTTAACTGCTTCACATCCTGCAGGATTCAAACTTATTCCTAACCAGCTATACAGACATTTTAAGAAGAGAGCCCCAAACATCTATAAATAAAAATACCCCAAAAGCAAAAGTCTCTGCTTAGAATGGATATTGCTAAGTCCCAGCCAATGAGCTACTCACTTTAAGCAAAATTCCAAATAATAAAATCTCAGGATGAAATAAAGACATTTTGAAGTTTCCTTGGAGTTAATGTTTGACCCATTTATATTCACTGTATGTGAACTAGAGCTTATGAATATTATAATACAGCAAATATTATATAACCCTAAGGGGTATGACGGACTGCTTAACTCAAGGATTCACTGGAGCAAGTTCAGTCTTCAAGGAATGTTTTATAACTCTTGAATCTAAAATAATTTATTCCAACTCATTTTTCACTTAAGAATGAAACATAAAAGGAAGGCATTAACATTCATTGAAAACAACCCACATTTTCCAAGGATCATGCTAGATGCTTAACATTCATTTCTTCATTTAATAATTTTACCAATCTTATGAAGTAGGTATCATTATTCTCATTTTCCAATTAGGAAACTGAGGCTTAGAGAGTTAAAATGACTTCTCTGAAATCACTGGGCTTATTACACAACCAGGCTAAAGACTCTTTCCTTTTTGAGTTAAAGCCCCAGGGTCTCTTCACTGTGTCATGATGGTATATAACTTTTTAAAAAGGGTAGTAGCATCACTAAAAGAAATAACAATAATAAAAATAAGAACCACACACAAGGTAGAGAAATTTAAATGAGATGAGAAACTGTTGCTTTAACTATGAAAAATAATGCCAGTTCATGTTTTTCCATGCTTCACAGTTACCCTATGATGTACATCATCAACAATGGAACCAAATTAAGATTTTATATTTGCCTATGAAGCAAGTAGTTTCAAGGATATTCACTGCCTAGAGCCCAGCAGAGTTGACTTTTTTGCAAGAACCATTTGATGATTTGTATAAGAATATCTAAAATGTGATTCCTCTACCTTCCCAAACTCCCATGTCCCATAATTTTGCAAACAGGACAATGAAGTGACTTTGCATGAAAACATGCTTAGTATTTTGCTTCCTAAATTCTTGTACAGCACATTCCTCTCTAGGAAGACTCCACTGAAGGCCGCATTTGGCTTAAAGTCTTTTTTTCCTAGATGTTTTGGTGATGTCAGAAGCATTAATTTCTGTAAGAAAGGTAAGCTACACAGTCAGAATTCAACTCTGCAGCCAGGTGACTAGATGACCACACTCCAGGATTCATCCCCATTTCAGGATGAATCAAATTACATTAAAATCACATTCAGAGATGTGATTATGTTCAGTGCCTGGGGGGGAAAACCTCCCTAAGTTTCTGCAATCAGGCATATGATAAAGGCTGTAATTACAGAAAAAATTCCAGCAATAATTCAAAAGTGAAATTGGCAAGTGGTATTTCCTAAAGGAAATCACACATCCTTATGCACGTTCCACTTAAAAACGTGTGACTGTGCTCTGGCATTTTTTTGAGAAGTACAAAATAAGACATAGCTTTGTTTAGAAAAAAATCTCTACTTCCATTAGTTAACCAATGTCAAAAGAAACATTAATGACTAACTGGAATAAATTAAAGCTATTTGGTGCTAAATGGAAAACAATACAATGAACACATTTTGGGGGGAAATCAGAAACAGAAATAGTTATGAATATAACCTGCTTTCTTTTTCAATCAAGTAAATCTAGAATTCCCAAATTTTAGAACACACAATATTAAGTATAGCACAAAATTATGGATGCAAATAACAAGGGTTAAGGGATGACAACCTGAATTTCTGACCTTAAAATAATCATAAAAATGACATAAGTCACCTAATTGAGTAGGTAAAGATCATTCCAGGGCTACTTTAATGAATGGTTTATAATTGACTAAATACAGTCTATAAACCTATATTTGGAAAGCTATTTCTAAAACGCATGAAAGCATCTTCCACTCCACTAAACCATCTTCCACCCCACTAAAATCAGAATACAAAATCCTTCCGCAATCCTACATATACCATTGGATTGCTCTGCAGATTCATTTTTCATAAATGTTGCCAATATAACATTCAGCCAAGTCTCTAAGTTAATGAAGTTCCACTAGGGTGTAAGAAAACAAGAAAGTACTGAGTTCTCAAAGAGACTTTTCAGCATTGATGCACCCAAGAAATTTATAAGACATCGAATCATTTCCTTGCCTCTAAAAAATAAGCATTTCCTTGACAATCGTTCAGTACTTTAATTGGAATAAACACAAGACTATCAATGTACACCACCCAAACGGACTCGAGGAGAGCACTTGAGGGATCACCTTTTTGGCTGCTAAGTTAGAGTAGGGGAGAACTTCCAATGATGGTCCTATTTTATGCCCTGAAGGAGATGTACTCAGTTGTCACATCTGAATGCTTGTTTGCCGTATATTTTGCTAAATGATTTTTTGGTTTTACTATAGTTTCTAACAAACAAGCATACGAGAGAAATGTTAGAAAATATGTAGTACAAGTAGAAATATTGCTAGTGTTTTATCCTGCCCTTTGCTTCCATTTCATGGCTGCAATGAAAAGGACGGTCATCAAACTTGGCTATAAAAGAATTATGCAAATTTAACCATATTAATATCATTTTTCTTTTCTTTTTGAACAAAATCTTTCACCCCCTGCTCAAATATCTGTTTTTTGCATATATGAGAATTTTCCCAGATGCTGGCATGAAAAGTCTATGTAGGTATTTTGGCTTTCTGTTTAAAATCACATTCAGAGATGATATTCCACTGCTAGGATATAAATCAGAACTCCATTACAATACCACATACGATTGTATTGATGCCATTTGTCCACTATTTAAAAAAATAATTTAGGTGTTTGCAGGAATTACTTCTAAGCTCTTTACCAATCTGCTTTCCACTCACCTAAGTGGTAGGATGGCCACGATTGTTATTAAAACTCCCTCAAATTCTACTCTAAAAATAGTTGAAGTCATGTTTATTATGGTGTGCAAAGTGGGTCATTGTGATGCAGAGGCAGATGGCAGGGCTGGCCAATGATTCTCTTTACAATGGATGCTGATCAGTTCCTGGTCAAGTGACCTAAGACATGATTGTGTCAATCAAGAAAAACAGCCATGACAACAATAATGACAAGCCCTGCTGGGCTAGGCTGCTGACTGGAAGGTACAGCTACGGTGACACAAACTTTCTTCCTCAGACATCTCTAAAGAGATGGTTCTTTCTTGGTAATTGCCATGTGTTCATTTAAAAAGAAAAGGCCTTGCAACTTTCTAGGCACATACACACTTTCCTATGAAAATTAAATTGTTCACAAAATCATTATGCCCACTTTCAGAAAATAAGAGACAAATAACTGCTGAATTGGCTTTGGGAGGCTTATGTAACCTATATTTACAAGTGTTTTACTCTGAAGCAAGTAGCTGAGGAACTTAGTAAACATCTGCAAGAATACCCCAAAATTATTTTTTCCACTGCTATGTTAGTCTAGCTATCACAGAACTGCAGAATCAATCTGCTATCCACAAGAGCCCCAAACACCATCACATCAAAAGAACTGCAGATCTCAAAAACATAATAATTCAGAACCGTAGTCAAGAAAAGCATTAAATAAAAATCCACCACCACCAACCTTTGCTTGGGCTTCTGGTGCTGTCACCTTGACGACCTTATTGCGGTTTATCATTTGCTTCACCCATTTTTCTACTTGGACGTTGAATTTCATGAAAACCACATAGCAAAAATAAGCTGTTAAGAGAAGCAAGCTTTCCCACCACATGATGACATTATCCAGGAAAAATATGATCAGCATGATCAAGTCAACAATGTAGAAAGACACATCTCGAAAGAGCGGCCACCATGTCAGGTTTAAGATTTCTCTAGAAAACAGAGCACACATGCCAATAACAAAGAGGATGTTGAATACTGCTGAACCTACAATTGTGCCTATGCCAACGTTGCTGTGAGCGATAAATACCCCTATGAGAGATGTGAAAAGTTCTGGGGCTGACCCTCCTGCAGCCATGAAGGTGGCTCCAGCCACATCATCAGAGATGCCCAGTTTTTCAGTGATGACAGTCAAAGAAGGAACAAAGAACTCATCACAGACAATGGCTAAGGCTATGAACATGTAGATCATTCCAATGACATGCAGAATGATCGCACCTTTTCTTCTCTCCTCAAGGGAAAAGATGTCTTTCGGGTAGTCTCCTTGGGCGTGATCTGTACTATTCTCAGACTCGCCTTCCTTAGAAAGAGGTGGCTGTGGAGTATAATCCAGAATCTTGTCATTTAAATCTAAGAGAGTTCTCTGATGGTAACCCTGTGCTACCCTAGGGCCACTTACAACACTGGCCTCTCCTGTGCTCTGTGTATCTGTCTCAGAAAAGGCACTGATTGAAAATGAGACAGTGCTAATGGCTACCAGACCCATGAAAAGGCCTAAGACTCGAATTAACTTCAGTTTTTTCTTGACACTATAATGTCTTCTGCAGCCAGACAGTGACTCATCCAAACACCATTTCTCTAGGGAAGTGATGGTGGTGCTTTGTTGCAGATCCATCCTGGGTCTTCTGGTGGATATGGTGATCTTCCAACTTTAGACTCAACCAGATGGTTCTTTCATACTTTTCCTTACTTTATAGTTAACGATGCTTGTGGGGTACTTTCACAATCAGGGATTGTTATGCTTCACAGGAAACTTTCATCATTTATGCTTAAATAAAAATAAAAACGAGAATAAGTAAATCATAAAATCACGTCTTTTTAATAAAGATCTTTGCAGATATGATAAAGTCCTGTCCTGCAGCTGTGCGATCTTGGGTAAGTTACTTAACTTCTCTGTGCCTCAGTTTCCTCATTTAAAATGGGGACAATTACGGTACCTACCACCCAGGATTGTTTTCAAGATGAGTAAAAACATATGTAGCACTTAGTATGGGATGTGGCACTTATGAAGATGTATGTATAAACCCAAATAAATATTTTGGTAAATCCAATGTTAGGTGCAGAGAAGGCAGATGTAAGAATAAAAATTTTACAGGTGAAAATCTATCAGATTATCTCACCTTAAATCATGTAATAACCTTCCAGTGCTATAAAGGTACCTAGACTTCTTTCAGAACTGTCTAGGTACTTGGCAACTAACAATTATTCATTGTTTACTTTTGGTCCAATTACATAATTCTCAGTTGTAGGCAACTTTTTCTGATTTAACCTATCATTTGGAAAGTGAGTGATTCTTTAATTTAGTGATCTTTTTTCTGCACACATAATGATATCAGATCTTATTTTTCATAAAAAGTCTCTCCTTTATCAGATGCGGGAAAGTAGTCCTTTACAAATTTAAGTTTACAAAAAAAAATTCTGGTGACATGCACAAGCTGCCTTCCCTAAACATCTAGACATTGTTTTCAGCTAAATATTTTTTTTAAAAAAACAACCTTTAGTCATATTTAAAATAGGCAGCTTAGTAAGTCAAAGAACTCCCAATGCAGTGAAATAACAAGTAGGCTATTTCGAGAGACCACATGTGTATTTCATAAACAATACGCAAGTTGTAGCAATACCTCTGTCCACAAAATCTGCCCAAAATAGCCCCACCACTGACTTTAATAGGTTAGATATCCAAAGCAGAGTTTTCTTTCTCTATCCCACGGAGGAGATGGGTAAAATAGCCAGACTTGACAGCTGATATTCTGAAGAGTTCTCTTTTTAGTTTTTCTTTAAAAAGACTATTCTTTTCCATATCAACGATTTCATTTTGGAGGCAGTCGCTGAGATAATCTCAGGTGTAAAATAAGCTAATTAAACACACGCCACTTAAATACTGAGATTAGCTGGAGCTCAGGTTTTCAGAGCAAAGCAAGAGCACAAATCAACCCCGCTGAGTTGCTGCTACTCCTGAGATAACCCGACCCCATCACGGAGATTCCCAGGTGGCTGCGAACGTCAACGCTTAGCAGGAACGATTAAGCGATTCACAGCACTCAGGGGATTGTGTAAATGCCCGGCCCGGGCGACCAGCAGGGACAGATTCAACTCCCCGGGCGCAAAGTCATCTCCAGCCCGATCCTCGCTCCCCCTGAAAACCCACCGCTCGTCTCCCCGGGAGCTGCCTCCGTAGGAGAATGTTCGCCCCCAGCCGCGCCCCAACTTTGCCTTGCGTGGTCCCAAACTTTCCCTGGTGGATTAATAGGAAAATAAATCTAAAGGACAGACGCCCCACCTGTGAGCTTGGAGCTGGGTTGCATTTGGTGAGGCGCTTGGCCCGCATCCCCCTGAGTCGTTTGTAGGTGGCTGGGGAATGGAAGCGCCCCTCTGCGCGTCTCCCCCGACGGCAGGCCCTGCCCCACGCCCCCCATCCCAAGCCAAAAGCAAGGGTAGGAGAGGCGGGGGCTCCAAATCCACGCCCCGGAGCACAGAGAGTTGGCTAACTCCTAGCGGGGCCTGGGGCGCCCACATCCACGGCAGAGCCACCTGTGAGCCTGCAGAGCAGCAACGGGATGCGCGCAACCGGGATGCGGGGACGACCGCCACAGCGGCTACAGCGGCAGGCGGGGCGCAGCCGCCCGCACTTACCAGGATAAGATGGGAGGACGCGCACACGGCGGGGCCCCCGAGCGCGGCCCGCCGCTCCAGTCCGCCGGCCCTCCGCCTACCCGCTCTGAGGCCCGGGCTCTGGCTCGCACTGGCTGCCGCTCTCGCCAGCCGGGCTGGGTTCGGGAGGAGACTGAGCCGCTGTGAGCCCGGCGCTCCGAGTCTGGCGCTGCCCGGCCCCCGCCGGCCCCTCCCTCTGGGCTGTGCGCTGTGCGCTGGGAGCGGGGCCGCAGCGCGCTCAGCTCCCGAGTCCTTTGCTCCACGCCTCCTGGGCGCAGAGGCGACGCTGGCAGCCGTCTCTTAGGAGATTTCTCCGCAGTGTGGACGGGGGTCAGGATTTGCAGGCGAGCAAGGGCAGAGAGGAGAAATCGTACAGGTCGGTGACGCGCCTAATTCACAAAGCCTGAAAGTGCTGTCAACTTTGGGGTCATCTTATGCTGGGCACCGCCTCTCCAATTATCTGCAAAAAGTGATAGCAGTCGCGCTTTTCTTTAGGAGGCGATGTGATGTGTAATGGTGGAAAAGACGTTCAATGAAAAGGCACGGAGGCCTGCAGGACAGGCTGTTGGGGTCCAGGGTTTCTTGAGTGTTGGATTTGGATGCTTGGGACACTGCAGGGGCTTCAGTCTTGCAGGGTGACCTTTCATTTCATGGGTGATGAAAGTGAGACCCAAAACCCCGTGTCATTTTGAATCACTGACAGGCTTCGGCTTTTGGCCTCGGGATGTCCAGCCCAGTGCTCCTTCCTGTCCTATCTGGAAAGCAAGATCCCCTTGACCACAAGAAATAGAATCAGGCTTGTTGGGGATGAGAGACTAGAATCTGGGCCAAAGAATGGAAGACGGTGGTAAGACAAATTGGTAGTGAGGGAACCCCTTTTACCCAACCCTGTGACCACCAGCAAAGCTGCCAAGAGGTACCCAACTCGTGAAGCTCTGAAAGCTTTTCGCACATTTTCCCCTCTCCTTACCCTCCATCCTTCTGTTCTCTCCCCCATCCAAGAGGGTTTCTTCATGCCCTCCTTACAATGGGGGTAATGGGTATATCCTGAGAGCTCATGACCTCTGACTTAGAGTACAGCTCTGTAGTCAGACCTCTGGGCCTACTCATCAATAAGTAAAGGGAAGCCTAGGGAACTTAGAAATATTTTTCTTCCCCCCACCCCCCAATCAAAGCCAGGCATTCAAGACTCAACTTTTCTTTTTCTTTCTCCTTTCGAGACTGAATCTTGCTATGTTGCCCAAGCTTGTCTTGAATTCCTGGGCTCTAGCCATCCTCCAGCCTCAGACTCCCAAGTGCTTGCAGACTATAGGTGCCTGACTGAATTTTTTTATCTTTAACTTTTAATTTAGAAAATTTCAAACATATACAAATGTAAGAAAGTAGTATAATGAATCTCCATGGGGCCATAACCAGCTTGAACAATTATGAACTCATGGACAGTCATATTTCATCTATACCCCTTTTTCCTATGTCATCATTTTGAAGCAAATCCCAGAGCATCATATCATTTTATCTGTAAATATTTTCAGAAAGCAAGAAAACTATCAACTACCACTAGGGTTGTGTCAAGAAGGGGACAATTCAAATAGGCTGTCACTGACCAAAGACGGGCTAATTTGAGCATCAAAAAAAAAAAAAAAAAAGATAATCGCAATTGTTTAAAACACATCAAACATGATTATATCTATTAATTGATAATATTTTAAAAACAACTGAACAGATTGATTGCTTGATGGTTCAGAGGGAACCAGCTCATAATTTTCAAAACTGTTTTAGGAAAAGGAAAACAATTGTGCATTTATTTTGCCTTTTCTATACAAATTGGACCTCTGGGTAACCAATTAGGCTTTATTTTTACCCTGCCTTTGTCTACTTTCCTAGTTTAACAATCCTATTCTTCCCTGAGGCAATAGGTGCCTCTGGCTACATGGGGTGCGGAGGGGAATATCACAATGTCTAGAAGAGTTTTTCTTATGTTATCTTCTAGAATTTTTATGGTTTCAGGTTTTTCCCCTACAGCTCAGAGATGACCCTGAGTCTTGATTCGGTGAGAAGAGGAATGAGATCCAGATGAAGACCTCATGAGTCCATAGATTGTATTGGCTGGGATTTGCACTTGGTTGCACATAATAAAAATTCATTCTTGGTGATTAAACCAAACAAGAATTTATTTTTCTCATGGTAAAAAGAAGTCTGAAAGCAGACTGCCCAGGGTTTATAAAATAGCTTCAAGATGCTATCTGGGAACCCAGATCTTTTGATCTGTCTTTCTTAATGTATGGCTTTATCCTCATGGCTACAAAATGGTTTATTCTTTTGCATTACATCTGTGTTCCAGGCAGGAAGAAGGGAAAGAGTGAAGGGTGAAAGGCAGAAGGCCTCCTTGCTAGGCTTTGTCTTTTTATTTAGGAAGGGATTCTGTCAATGCTTCACTTACATTTCACTGATCACGACTTGGTCACAAGACATAGCTGCAAGGGAGTGTAAACAGTATTTCAACTGAGCACATAGTCATCTTTTAGAAAATCAGGGCTCTCTTAGTAAGGGAGAAGGGGGAGATAAATGTTGTGGGAGTGACTACTCCTACACAGTTCCAAAGCATCTCAATGAGATCCATATTCGACTCAAGATTTGACAGTTGACCAAGAACTTGGCAATTAATTGCCACAACAGTTGAGAAGGCTACAACTTCCATCCTGGTAGTAATGGAGAAAAGCAGGGCCTGTCATTTGTCCAAATCACACTACGTGGAAGCAGAGGAATTGAATAACAACTGTAGGTCTCCCAGATCCACAGACCTTATTGCCTAGTCATAAAGAAAGGGTAGCTTCAGGAGAAAATTTACTACCATCAAATGAGTTATTAAACAGTAGCATTTGCTAAGAGACTCAAGTAGATTAATCAATGGGTCTCTTTTTAGAAATTATTAAGGAGCTACTTCTTTATATTTGTAGATACTTGTGTAAGTATAAACATTAGTTGGCCTCATATTTACCCTTCTATTAGCTGTAAGATTGGTTTTAACATATAGTTTATAGGAGTAATTGGTATTACCAGTTAAGAACAATGGGCTCTTTTTGTTTTGAAGAGGAGGCTTTCAAAAATCAGTAATGAATTTTAAAAATCACTAGGTCATACCTAAGCTAATAAAGGATTTTTAATGTAAAACTGCCAAAGGGGTGCTAGTTAATAGTTTTGCTAAGCACCCATATAATTTTCACATAGTTATCTAGGCTGGCATGATTTAAAATAGGTTAGGAATATCCCCTTGCCCCATCTGAAATAACATCCCCAGGGGGCCACAGTGTCTACAATTCCACCATTAGAAATTCATTGCTTTGGCTTTATATTTTATAATTTCAGGAATTTTTAAAGAAGCAAGTAGCTCTGGAGTCATAGTAATGATTAGCAATTTTTTATTGTTTTTGACTTGACATTCAGTCTCAAGGGAAAAAAATTCTAGTAAACTGTCATGAGCAGAAGGTGAAAGAGATGGTTGAGGGCCAGGTGTGGGTGTGGTGGCTCACGCCTTTAATCCCAGCACTTTAGGAGGCTGAGGTGGATCACCTGAGGTCAGGAGTTTGAGACCAACCTGGCCAACATGGTGAAACCCTGTCTCTACTAAAAATACAAAAAAAAAAAAAAAAAAAAAAAATGCTGGGTGTGGTGGCAGGTGCCTGTAATCCCAGCTACTTGGGAGGTTGAGGTAGGAGAATCACTTGAACCTGGGATGCGGAGGGTGCAGTGAGCCGAGACGGCGCCATTGTACTCCAGCCTGGGAAACAAGAACAAAACTCCATCTCAAAAAAAAAAGATAGGATAGCTGAGTCAGAAAGTTGTGGGCAACCCAGGGACAAAATAAAGTACAGTACTCATACTTACTTTGTTAATCATTTCTTTCTTCATTCTCTCCACATATACAACCTTTTTTCTGACTTATTAAAATCTCTAGCTTCTCTGTTATTAAAATTGCAGGCAGTCAGCACACTTATGAAGTATTCAATGTGCACAAAACCAGTAGTTCCAAACCTCGACTTTAGCTAAACAAAAGAACTGGGGTTATTTTTAAAAGACTCCTGACAATGACCCTCACTCTCCTCCCATTACTGTGAGCCCCGTGAGAACAAAGAGTCAGTATCATGCATTTCTCAGCATCTAGCCCTGCGCTTGGCATTTTGGCTAACACATATCTGTGGAGTGAATTAAGATGATGGCAAATACAGTTACTTAAAGGAAGGTGAGTCAATCAGGAGGATGTAGGTTATGTTATGATAACAAAAAGTTCAAAAATCACAGTGGCTTAAAACAATGAAGGTTTTTGTTTCTCACTTGTGCTACCTGTCCTTTGTGAAGTTTGCTGTGTCATCCTAACTCCTAACCCCAAGCTGGTCACTATCTAGAACACTGCCATTTGCTGTTGCAGGGAGAAAAGATGCATGGCAAACCTAGAACTTGCTTTTAAAGCTTCAGCTTGGAAGTGGTGCATCACTGCTGCTAGTATCTCATGGACTGAAGCAAATCAGATGGTCATATCTATTTTCAAGGGAGCAAGAAAGTGCAGTTGCATTGTGTGCTTCAGAGAAGAATGGAAAGATTTGGTGATGATCAATAATAACTACCACAATGGGCATCAGTGGTGGAAAAAGGGAACTGATATGTTACACACCTACCATGAACTAGAGTGTTTGCTAATCTCTTTTCAATCTCATCAGTTTTATCACTATTATTATCCACAGATGAAGAAACTGAGGCTCAATGAGGTTAAGTAGCTTGCCCAATAACAAACAGCTCCATTTGAATCCAATAATGTCTCCAAAGCCCGAGTTCTACTATTCCTCATAGTATATGATAGTCCCTGCCTAACTAAGAATTAGTTGCATTTTTCCTGTTGAGATTATATACTTAGAACCTATAGATTTCTTCTACCAACAGCCCGTCAACAATCAAGGATAGTTGTCTACTTCCTAAGAGGATCTGCTTTGCTTATTTAAAAAAATCACAGATATAAATATCAAAATATCCTGATGTTCTTTAAGAAATGTTCTCCTCAGGCCTCTCAGCCTGGACTGATTTTGTTTGCCTTTGCATTTGGCTCATTTTTTGTCTGGTGGCTTTCCTTTTCAGTGCAATGAGAACCATAAAAGCAGAAAAAAATTTCTGTGGGATTGAGGGATGAAAGTGCAGGCTTCTTTGCTTTTGACGGAGATTTCTGCAACAGCACTTAAGGCCAACCCCTACATGATTGCTCTTTCTTCTTTTCTTATTCACTTACGAGGTAAGAAGTGATGAATGCCTATTATTTTTACATTAGGAACGGGAATTTTTCTGGCCTTAAATGCCCAGGAAGCCCTGAAATTAAGCTTCTCTTTGCAATACCAGCTCAGCTTCATTGCACCTGAGCACCAAGACAGGTTATAGTTATTATCCTAAGTGAATTAATGCAGGAACAGAAAACCAATACCACATGTTCTCACTTATAAGTGGGAACTAAACATCAGGTACACATGGACACAAAGAAGGGAACAATAAACATGGAGGCCTACTTGAGGGGGAAGTGTGGGAGAAGGGTGAGGATTGCTGATTACCTGGGTGACAAAATTATCTGTACATCAAACCCCTGTGACATGCAATTACCAGTGTAACAAACCTGCCTGTTTACCTCTGGAACCTACAAATAAAAGTTGGAAAGTTAAAAAAAAAAAAAGCCACAGTGTGAGTTCTCCAAGGGCAGAAGTGGGGTCTGTCCATTTCATCAAGAGACTTGGAGTCTCAACCCTTGGCTACTATTCCTACCGATGCCAGCAGGGACTTCCTGAGAGTCCCCCAGGGTGCTTCCTTGTCTCTCAGAGGCACACCAGTAAGGAAATAAGGATAAATAATACTGGTAAAGGAGGCATGCTGGAGAAGAGGGTACAAAGGCAGGACAGCCCACTCGGAAAGCAAGCAAGGAGCATTGCTCTTTATGACTCAAAAAAAAAAAAATAAAAAATCGTGCTCCTGCTGCCTTCTTTCCTAAGCTAGACTCTACCTATTTCTAGTTCAGAATTTCAACATAAAATAAAGCTTAAAATACTGGAAAAGAGGAGCCATGTGCCTTGAGCCTCAAACATAGGACAAGCCAGAAGGAAGGTGCTGCTGTGTCTATGGTTTCTGAATACTGAACTAAAATACTTGTTTTATTCAATTCATAAAATTGAAAGGAATGTCACTATTTTCCCAGCTCGGTTGTGGAGAGGGGTCTCAAGTTGTTCAGCTGGAACAAAGCTTCCTCCATCTCCTCCATACAGTATGTACATATGTGGTGGGCGTAGTGGGCTGGGGAGTATCCCTCAGCATCCTGACACTGTGTGAGCAGGCACCCCCCACCACCCCCACCCCCGGCCCAATGCCAGGATTCAGGTAATAAGCCTGTTTGGGGTTCATGCCCACCATTCTCCAAATTGGCCTTTCTTAGTAACAACAGTGACAGTTCCTCTCCACTTGCCTCTCTTTTTGCTCATCTCTCAATTTGTTTGAAGCCAAGATAGGAAGACACGTGACATATATTGAACCCCTCAAATACTCCACATTTATATTGAAAAACTGTAAATCTTTCTCCCTGAAACTTCTGCTTTCTGGTCTCTAGAAAGAACCATATTCAAAGGTTTTAGCTGTTTTGTTTTTTAAAGTTTTTTTTTCCAGGTACTTAGGACCATCTTTCAAAGTAATGAGGTCACTTTCCTGTCTCTTGATTTTTCTGATTTTGATGTTACCTACTAAATTCTTATCAGGGAAGAGGTGGATTTCTTCCTCTCACAATATTCTCCCCCCTCCCTCTCTGAAGCCTCCATCTCACCATATTCCCTCTTCCATTCTTCCCATATAGTTATATTACCACTTGGAATACATTAATAGCCACCATTTACATCCTATAATTATGTAACTATGCGGCACTATTCACAATAGCAAAGACTTGGAACCAACCCAAATGTCCAACAATGATAGACTGGATTAAGCAAATGTGGCACATATACACCATGGAATAATATACAGCCATAAAAAAATGATGAGTTCATGTCCTTTGTAGGGACATGGATGAAGCTGGAAACCATCATTCTCAGCAAACTATCGTAAGGACAAAAAACCAAACACTGCATGTTGTCACTCATAGGTGGGAATTGAACCATGAGAACACATGGACACAGGAAGGGGAACATCACACACCGGGGCCTGTTGTGGGGTGGGGGGAGGGGGGAGGGATAGCATTAGGAGATATACCTAATGTTAAATGACGAGTTAATGGGTGCAGCACACCAACATGGCACATGTATACATATGTAACTAACCTGCACGTTGTGCACATGTACCCTAGAACTTAAAGTATAAAAAAAAAAAATCAGTTGAGCTGCATAGTATACTAATTCACCCCAAACTCTCTGATATAACTGTTCATTTCCCCTCACTGTTTTCAAACATGTCAGTTGAACTTCCTGTTTCTTGTTTCTTCCTTGACAGCCCATGCCCAAGTTTTACATCTCCCACATGGTACTCATTCTAGGAATTTTCTGTTTCTCTTCTTTGTGTTAAAAACCCTGTGTCCTGAAGCCTCTTTCTTGTTTACTCCTTTGCTTTTTGGAGCACAGCCTCCAGTATCTTCCCCAGAATGGGGCACAGGAGGAAAATGTTTGAATCCTTGTGTGTTTTTGATGTCTTTATCCCACTCCCATACTCTATTTTCAAAGTATGGCTTTGTGAAAATCTAGGTTAGAAATCATCTTCCTTCCATATTTTTAAGGCAATCCTTTCTTCACTGTATTTGACATTTCATTATTTCTGTAGAGAAGCCTGATGTCATTTGAATTCCTGGTCCTTTTTGATGGAATCTATTTTTTCTTTTGAGAAGATCTTTAAGTCTTTTTACTTGCAGTGTTCTATATCTTGATGATAATGTACCTTGGAGTGGATCTTTTCTCATTCATTATTCTCTGCCTAGAAACTCATAAATATCTGGGAAATTTGTTTTGTGTATATTTAAAAAATTTTTCTTCTCTCCATTTCTCTTTCCTTTTTGGAATCTCTATTATTTTGATATTTACCTTCCTTGCCTAGTCCTCTAATTAAGGCTTTATCTTTTCTCCATTTTCTATTCATCAACTTTGTCATTTAACCCTTCTCTTGGTAAAAAGTCCTCACATTTTTAACTTTTGAGAAGTTCTATCTTATTCTTTGCATATTTCTATTACAGTTTCCCATTTTTATTTCATAGGTCTAGTAGCTTCTCTTATGTCTCTGAGATAATGTAAGTTTCATGAGGTATAAACTTTATTTGGTTTGTTCATTACTTTATGTTGAATGCCTAGAACAATGAGTGCCTACTGTAGTAGGTGTTCGATAAGTATCTTTGAATTAATGAGACTATTTACTGTAGCTTATTGTGTATTTTCTTCTGCTCCCTGAAGTTTCTGTTTCCCACAAGTTCCTTTTTACTATATTTGTTCTGGCCTGGTTTTCATATCACAGGCCTTTCTAAAATATCTGGTGATCTTTGGTGTCTGTTAATAATTACGAATCAGGCATTAAAATGCTAATGAAAGCTCTTGCTTGGATGCGACCTGCCAAGTAGAGGTCTTTACTGTAGAGTAATCAAGTGAGGATGCAACCATTTCACTTCCAGAAACACATGTCAGTATCTCTGCATAATTTCTCTTAGGCTGATCAATTTCCCCAGGGCAGGTTCTCTAAGCTCTTCTCTGAAGTATTTGTGTTTGGCTGCCAGCAGTATGAGAGCTGAGCTAAAAAAGAGGCTAGGGGACTTTATTATTCACTTTATAGATTTTAAGGTAGCTTACCCTTATCTTCAGCTTTGCCTGATGTCCTAGAACAACTCTGGCTTAGCTTCTACAGAGAATCAACCTCCCCCTTTTTGCCAGCGTGGGAAGGGGCAGTCTCCTGGCCATAAAGGATGGGGAACGGTGTTTGCAGATATAACTGCACCTTTAAGATTTTCAGTCAAGCTTCTTATTTTCAGCCCCTTCTTGTGCCTCTGCTCTATTGGTTTTCTATTGTAGGCTGTAACAAATTACCACAACCTTTGTGTTTCCAAATAACATACATTTATTATCTTACAGTTCTTTAGGTCAGAGGTCTTGTATGGGCGAGTTCTTTCCTGGAGACTGTATCATGTTTATATAGAATTGGATCTTATTTTTTAATCTGAGATTAAATTTCACTTAATAAACTAGTTTATTCATTTTAGTTGCTTGAAGTATGTTTTATCTAAAATTTGTCATCTCATATGATATTTATGTTTTTAATGCTTCATCATTTTCTTTCATTTGTTCTTTTATATAATAAATTACACTTGTATTTGCTGATTTGTCAATGTTAGTAGTATTGATTTGTTGCTAAAAACAAGGCCATTTATGAACTTAACATTCTTTCTTAAAATTCCTTTCCCAACTTTATAGAACAAAATAATTCCTACAGCCATAGTTAGCCTTAGTCCTTTACTGAATAAGTTGCATAATCCATCTGCTTCTTCCAAAATAAGATTTTCTTACTTGTACAATTTTTATATTAATTCATACCTTGGTTAGCTGGATTTAATTACCAAGTCATTTTTACAAAGAGGGCCTATGAGTGAGATCTTTAATGTTGATAAATCTTTCCATTGCTTTTATATATGAACAATACGTTTGATCAAATCCTTTATACCACACACACACACACACACACACACACACCCCTGGAAATTGCAGATACTGTTCCACTGACTCTGTCACCTGGTTTGCTAATGTAGAGAAACACATATCCATAATTTTTTCACTTGCTTTATCTGCTCATATGTATGAAGTATTCTTCTTATCTTTGAAGTTCTGTAACACAAATGGCAAGTCTCAGTGAAGATCTATAGCTATAGCTATTTATACCTCTCTCTACTTTTTCTCAAATAAGGTATGCCCTTTCTCTTTGAAACTTTACTTTATTTCTGGTTAAAAAATGTGACTTTTTTCTGTTTCTAGTTGTATCATCTTCTTCGGGAATAATTACAATTATGCACATATCCCCTTTCCATCCTCTGTAGAATCTCCTCCCTCATTTTCATCTTCTTGTTGTATTTCATTTCATTTTATTTCATGGGATTTTCAAAGAAAGCTTCTACACTATTCTACTAACTCTTTTTAAAAATAGGTTTTATTCTACTTCTTGCTGTTGCTAATGGTAGTTTTATTTCTACTGTTTCTATTTGTTTTCTTATATTCAATTTCTTTTTTCAGCTCTTCTAACTCATGCTTTTTTCCCCTACTATCTCATTTCTCCAGTTTTATCTTTCATTCATTCTCTTAGCTTTTTTTATTTTATCTACTTAGAAAAAGCCCTTGTCACTTTTATTTCTGAGAGAAAATACTTTGCTGAAGTATTTGCCTGATACACTTTTTCTGTTTCCTAAAGTAATTCTTCTTCTGTATATTATTTATCTGCCTTCTGCATGTGATGTTTCTTTCAACGCCTGCCACGTTCTGTGTTTATCTATTTGGTAGAATCCATATTGTGTCCTTTACTCACTCATCTTTTACTGTGGTAAGTTCTCTACATGCCTGCACTTAGCTCATGAAGTTTGGAGAGGAATGGGAGGTAAGGAATGAGGTGGAGTCATCTGAAATACCTGTCAGCTTAAAATCAGCTTAAAACCACAGATAACATAAAATCTATAGATCCTCTGCATGAGCCAGATCTTGCCTTAACTTTTAGCCTCCTCTAACTGCAGTGAGAAAGCACATCTAGATGAGCTCACAGCATGGCTCGTAATGAAGTCTAATAGATTGCAGATGTTTTGTGTTTAATAATTTGGTGTTTATTTCTATTCAGTCCACTTTGGTCACCACTATAAATATGCTTAATACGCTCCCCTCTCTCCATCATACTCTGTTTTTTTAATTGGCATATTCATTTCTTTGGGCTGCCTCAACAAATGACCACAAACTTGGTGGCACTGAACAACAGAAATTTATTCCCTCACAGTTCTGGAGGCTAGGAATCTGAAATCAAGCATGGTTAAGGCTCCAGGGGAGAATCCTTCATTGTCTCTTTCTAGCTTCGGCGGCTCTGAGAAATTCTTGGCATTCCTGGATTTGTGGCTGCATCATTGCAGTCTCTGCCATCTTCTTCATATGGCTTTCTTTTCTGTGTATCTCTCTCTATTCTCTTCTTATAAAGACACCAGTCATTGGATTTAGAGCCCACTCTAAATCTAGGATGATTTCTAAATTTGGAGTAGATCATGTTCTGAGGTTTCAGGTGGGCATGAATGTGGAAGGCATTTTTCAACCCACTACTTGTGGAATAGAAGTCCAGGTCTGACAAAATAATATGTTGTGCCCACATTCTGGCCCCTGTAGCCTTGCCAATCCATGATGAGAAAGTGAGGCCCCAAGGTATAGCCTTTCCTACTCTATTAGTCTATATCTTCACTTTTTGTTGTTGCAAGCAAGAAATTAGATTTCTCTTGCCTTATCACTTATTTTGAGGGAATATTATTGAGCTCTGGAACTTTATTACTTTTTAAAAAATTCTTTCAATTTGTCCAAATGTCATTGTACTTTGCAAAAATTCTTTCTCACTGTTAGTTACAAATAGAGCCATTTCTTGGGTTAATTGTGTATGGAATTTCCTTCACTGTATGATTTTGTCTTATTGTTGATTTGGAGGCACTTTTATGAGGTGAGTGGGAAAAACATGTATTATACAGTACTACTACATTTACTGAAAGACTACCTTTTTTTTTCAAAAGCTGCCTAATATTTTATCTCACATATGAATCATAATTTATTTAGCAATTCCCCTATTACCCTATTGTTGTTTTCCAGTTATAAATAATGATGTAATGGACATAATTATGCACATATCTCAGTGTGGAAAGATTCTCTTGTTTCCTTTGGAGTATGTTTCTTGCTACTGGGAACTATCTGGGAATTAATCTGTGTCTCTCTTTCATGAGTGGGATGGAGAGGATGAGTCTTCTCTGCTGATGTTCTCCCATAGATCACTCCACTTCTCTCAATAACCAGTGGTGAGTCTACCTTATATGTAATCCACAGGGAGGGCCAATGGGCCTCCAGCCTTGTCTTGGCTAAAGTCCATAGCAAAAGTATTGTTACCAGGGGGTCCTTGCTCCCAGAGCTCCCAAGATGGTGGCCGGCCGCTTCCAAAATGGGGGTGGGCCACTTCCAAGATGGTGGCAAGCCTCGTGTTCTCTGACCTGGGGTTCTTGGCCTCAGATATTCCAAGGAATGGAATCTTGGGCCATGCGGTGAGTGTTTTAGCTCTATTAGAAGCCCTGGGTCACGGAAGAGAACTGTGGAACCCAGTGACTAGTGTTCAGCTCGATTAGGATGAACCCAGGCACATAGCTGTGCAGGAACAATGGCAAGCCTTTAGCCTGACTGGGAGTGGCAGTGGGTGCCTCGCTGGTTCAGGAGCACAGCAGACACCCTGCTGGATGCCGAGGGATGGAAGTCAGCGGCGGGTCTGCAATGGCAGCAAACAGCAGTGGTGGACGGTGAGCAAAAGCTCAGCTCGAGCCATAACAAACACGGACCAGAAGAGTGTAGTTGCAAGATTTAATAGAGTGAAAACAGAGCTCCCATACAAAGGGAGGGGAACCAAAGAGGGTAGCCGCTGCCAGCTCAAATTCCTGGGTTTATATCCTGATCATTGTCTCTCCCACTGTGCTCTCAGGCAGTAGATGATTGGCTATTTCTTTACCTTCTGTTTTTGCCTAATTAGCATTTTAGTGAGCTCTCTTTACTATCTGACTGGTCAGGTGTGAGCTAAGTTGCAAGCCCTGTGTTTAAAGGTGGAAGTGGTCACCTTCCCAGCCAGGCTTAGGGATTTTTAGTCCGCCTAGGAAATCCAGCTAGTGCTGTCTCTCAGTATTAGGAAATAATCACTGTTTTTTTTTCTTAAATACTTCAGGTTTTATTAGTTTTCTATAAACCAAGAACATATCAGACTGCAGTAGAGGTCGTCCTTTATTAAAGATAATTCTCTTGCCCCTATAAGGAGAGGCCCATGTAGATCTAGAGCTGATAGTGGACAGGTTGTTTGCTAAAATATTGAAATACTTCTATACCACTTGGCACATTATGTCATAGTAACATGATAAGCAGCTAAGTTGATTTATAATATAAACTTTAGAGTAAATTTATTAGTTGAAGTGAAATATTGTAGGATGTCTCAACAACCCCTGATATATGGGCCACCTGCCACAACATCTAAGAAATATTTGTAGCTCTATGACTGGTTGGCCAATGTCTAGTAAACAATGCAGATACGTTGTGTATTCTTTATAAAACTCTGTATTTTGGGAGAAGCACCAGTTTATCTTCATCATGGAATTATAGTTCCTATTGCATCTGAATAGTTTGGTTTTTATTTGTCTTTCATAGCTACTGTGTTGTAAATCTTGTGTAAGTGTATATTATATTGTTTTAAAAATAAGGTCTTATAATATACTGAATACAAATACCCAGGATGAAGGAACAACGAAGTCTGGATATGTTTCTCAACATTTCTGTTAAATACAATGAATAAGAATTGTTTGGATCTGTGGTAACATGGAGAAGAAATGATATCACAATTATATTATTAAAAGGTAGAAATGTTAAATGCTTAAATATTTTATCTGATTAGGAATAATGATCCATTAAATCTCTTGGTTTAAACAAAGGAGACACAATCATTTATTAAAAACCATCAAGAATGGGCAAAATAATAAAAATGTTTAAAAGTTTTAAAAATCAAATTCTTGAAAAAGTAAATGAAATTGTGCGGAAGTCCAGAAAAATAATGGTCAGTTTTAGGCATCAATATTTAATAAAACTTCAGAAAAATAATAATGTTAAAATGGACATGCTATGGTCTGAATGTGTGTGTACCTCAAAACATATATATTGAAATGTAATTCCCAATGCAATAGTATTAGGAGATTGGGCCTTTAGGGGGTGATCAGGTCATGAGGATGGACCCCTCATGAATGGGATTAGTGCTTTTATAAAATAAGTCCTGGGGAGCTTCTTTGCCTCTTCCACCACGTGAGGATGCAGAAAGAAGTTGCCACATGAAGCAGAGAGTGAGCCCTCACCAGACACTGAATCTGTTGACACTTTGATCTTGGACTTCTCAGCCTCTAGAACTGTATGAAAAAAAATTTCTATTCTTTATAAGCCACCCCATTTATGGTATTTTTGTTATAGCAGCTTGAATGGACTGAGACAGGACACATTGTGATATATATGTGTAGTTCTGGCTTGTTAAGAAGATATGTACTGAAATGAGAATGCTTCTTTTGGAAAACATAAGACAGTAAAATTTTAATTATTATTGACAAAGCTTCATCTGCTCTATATAAACAAACATTTTCTTTAAATGAAAAATTCAGTACTTTGAAGAGAGAATTGAAAATTGCTCTTTTGTTTTTTAGTCTTGGGATGCTGACATATAAAAGATCTATAAAAGTATTTTGTTGATGGTGCTTGAGAAAAATTGATTTCAATGAAATATATTGACATAAAAACCTTACTGGACTTTACATAGTTGTACCAGTGTAACGTTAGGGAGAAAGTCTGGAGTTTTAATTATAATTTTTAAAAAATCTGGATATTTTAATGGGGCACTATTTAAGTAACCATATTCAATCGCTTATGATTAATGCCATAAAAATATAAAATAAATGTTTTCTCAATAACTTTATATTTACTACTTTTCATCAAATAAACATCAGAGAGAATTACCCAATAATTCAGAAGAGATGAGAAATGAGATAATAAAAATTAGAGAAATATTTGCACCTCAGTTGTCAGCTTATGGTGCTAGAGTTGAAAAGCAGTTTGGAGATTATGCTATTGTTAGAAATTGTGAAAGGCCATAGTTAAATTATTTGAGAAACTAAAAAGAATTTGGAGCATTGGGGTTTCTATTAATAAAATAACTTAATTGAGATATAATTCATATCCCATTAAATTCATCTTTTAAAAATATACATTTCTCTTGTTTTTAGTGATGAAAAAATGGCCTTTAGTGAGGAAGAAATTTTATTTAGTGAAGAAGAAATGATATTGACAATAAACTAATCTGGTACATCTTCCGATGTTGTGGAAAAATAGTGAAGCGTGAGTCCTCTAACATCGTTATTTTCAGTATTGTTTTGGCTATTCAGGGTCTCTTGCATTTACACATGAATTATAGAGCCAGCTTGTTAAAGTGGATAGCCTGTGAGAGAGTCAGCTGGGATTCTGATAGAAATTGTGTTGAACTGGTAGATCAATTTGGAGAGAATTGCCATTTTAATATTAAGCCTTTCCATCCACAAACATGGAAATTACTTATATTTATTTAGGTCCTCTTTAATTTCTTTCAAAAATGTTTTGTACCTCTTGAAAAATTTTTTAAATGAATATATACTATTTGTGCATATTTATGGGGGTACTCTTTTGTTAAATTTAATCTTAACTAATTTATTATTTTCAAAGTTATAAATGGAATTGCTTTCCTAATTTCAGTTTTCAATTTTCCATTGCTAGTATATAGAAATATAATTGACGTTTGTATATTATATCCTACAAACTTGCTGAACCTGTTTATTCATTCTAATAGCTTTTGGGGGAGTCCTTAGGATTTCCTATGTTCAAGATCCTGTCATTTGCAAATAGAGAGTTTAATTCTTCCTTTGTAATGAAGATGCTTTATTTTCATTTTCTAATTGCACTGGTTAGAACCTCAAGTACAACATTGAATCAAAGTGGTAAGAGCTGTCTTATTCCTGATCTCAGGGGGAAGGCATTCAATCTTCCACCATTAAGTATAGTGCTGGCTGTGCATATTTCATAGATGGTCTCATCAGGCTGAGGAAGCTCCCTTCTATTCTTAGTTTGTTGAGTGTTTTAATTTTTAATCATAAAATCATGTTAGATTTTATAAAATGCTTCTTCTGTATCAAAATGATCATGTAGCATTTCTCCTTTATTCTACTAATGTGGCATATTACATTAATTGACTTTCAGATGGTAGGAGATTTGATTTTAATAAATGATATTCTAACAGAAATGTCAGCACTTCCTTTAACTTTACAAGAAAGAAATGTTTTAATTATTAAAGCTGACATAATTTGACAAACCAGCATAGTGATTGAACACAGAATACTAACATATTATTCTTGACTCTGGTCAGCACAACATGATATGTGGTATAATGGTGTCAATAATGGAATAATTTTACATAAGTACCCACCTACATTTCATGGAAAATATTGACACATTTTGACTTTGTCACTCATCATATTGACTTACCCTCTTTAGCTGTACATTTTCTAAGGATGCTTATGTTTTACATTGAGGTAGTTAGTATAATTGAACATGACAATACCATAAACAGACATTTCTTGTGCCATTTTTCTAGAGACTACTATCCAAGGCAACATAAATCCATTAATCAATACCTTAATGTTTGATTGTTTATCTAACAATAAATTTACCCAACAATGATATTATGCAGAGCAACATTACTTCACCTTATTAAAAAATGCATTTTAGGAGATTCACTCAAAATGAACATACATATGGTTGATTCTGTTGGACTATGCTCTGTCAGGGCAAGTACGTTGTCAATGTGATGGCCCCAAACCTTTGAATAGTACCTGACACATAGAAGGCTCTTAATAAACATTTGTTGCCTGAGTGAATGAATTCAATCCCTTGCTGTGAGCAATTAAACATAGTGAGCGATCAAAACAAGAAATAAAAATTAGGTTACCCTGATTGGTTCTTTTTGAACCTATGATTTCAAAGGCATCTAGGGAGTCAGGCTATGAGCTTGATACTTTTTTTTTTTTTCCACTGTTAGATTCTGGTTTTGTGTGGCCTAAAGCTCAAACACTTTCATGGGTCTGAGTTTTAAAAAAAAAAAAAAGCAAACTTACTTATAGGGCATTTATAGGGTTGGGCAAGTGTGGGTCCCTGAGGCTTAAGCTTTATTATCTTCAGAGTGAAATGTCACTATAGATTCATGCTTGTTGAATGAATGAATAAAGTCTTTTTTTCCTCCTAAAAATTAAAGCAAAACTTTTGTATTACCTCATTTTACTTTGACTTTGGCTCTTAAATTAGATAAAATTAGAATAGGCATAATATTAATCAAGTATTAGGATAACTCTGACTAAAAAGAGTTAATTTTATTTTAAAAATATAATTGTCTAGGAAAACTTTAGCAACAAGTGAAATCCTGAAATTTAAAGCTATAAGGGGTAGAGTGGAATCAGCTAGGTGTGAAGACTGGGTAAACAGTGGAGGAGTGCACCCGCAGATCAGGCATCGGGAGCTTAGCTTCTAGCCATTAACTAAATGTGTGATCTTGAGTATATCCTACAGAAATTCAGAAAATATGATTAGTTGTAGAGTTTATTTGAGTACAAAGCTTGAGGGCATGCACTTGGGAAGCACAGATTTCAAAGAATGGAAATCAATGCTTTGAAATATAAAGGTTTGGGGTCATTTATATAGACAGGTTTAGGGAAGCTTAAGAAAACGTCACCATCTTTCTATATAAGGTTTACTGTGTGGTTACAATGAGTTTAGGATAGAATTGGTTGAGATAGTCTTTTTCTTTCAGTAAAGGTATATTTAACATTCCACAGTGAAGAT
The DNA here is from genome assembly GCF_000001405.40 of Homo sapiens. Lineage (NCBI taxonomy): Eukaryota > Metazoa > Chordata > Mammalia > Primates > Hominidae > Homo > Homo sapiens. The sequence continues at coordinate 19,806,581 of NC_000009.12, forward strand.
ATAACATTCATGAGATCTTCTGAGCTATCTGATCTAAGTTAGACAGAACAATATAGGAGAGTTAATCTATTAATATAACAAAGGTCAGTGATTAGAAGGGGAGAAGGTCTAGTCTCTGGTTTCTTCTAGTCATTTAAGAACAATGAGAAAGAGAGTTAATCCATAATCTAAGAAGCAGAAGTTGCAACTCTGTGCCATGCGACTCACATCACAGTCACAGCTCTCTCACAACTTAAAGTGTTTTGGGGATTCTAACAGCTTATAGATTTTATTTATTTTCACAAGTAGGTCCCTCCTTTCTTTGCAGATTCAGTTTTCTCACCTGCAAAATAAAGACTCCGTACTAGACAAACTGAGACTCCATCTGCTTTGAATTTTGATGCCTGTTTCTAAATAGATGGATTTGAAAACTCATTTCTGTAATCACAAAATCACATGTCAAAACAGACACTGAAAGAGAAAACATAGGGAGAAATGCTAATTTTACACTACATCTTATATCTCATTTGAGATTTTCCTTTATGTTAAAAAAGAAATGAAAAGTGGACTTCATTTGAATTCTGTCCTTTTTTGGAAACAATCCTGCTGATCTGACTCTTGAACTTCATAACCCAAGTGGAGTTATTTATAATGCCAGTACTTTAAGTTAGTAAAGTGGTGCATCTTTATGGTAACAAGGAACAAAAGGAAGGTGATAGATTTGAAATTTATGTAAGAACTTGGCTTTTGCCATTTATCTGAACACGACATCATCTTCTAGCCTTTTCTGTTAGTACAGGAAGTTGTTTCCTAATTTGGTTATTCAATGTGATATTTTATTTTGCTTTTCTCACATCCTTTAGGGAGAACTGATATGTTAGAAGAAAAAGTACAACAGTGGATTCTATTAGAAAGAACAAATGAGAAAGAAATTAGGTATATTTAGGAGAAAGGATAAAATGAATGGCTCAAGTAGGCTTGTAGCTGCAACCAAATCAAAATATAAAAGGGTTACTATGACTACAAAGGCAGTATATTTGAATAAAAATGGATATGAAAGTCTCTTTCACATGCTAATCGAAATTGGAGGAAGTCTGTCATTTCAAACTGCAGACAGTCTTTCTCCACCTCTTCTTCTACATTATGGCTTTTGGATTGAATCTGCTTTAAACGAAACTATTGCCCTGTGAAACTGAAAAGCACTTGGAGTTCCCTTGTGTAAGGGCTAGTTTACACCAGTTCTAGCACTGTGACTCTGATTCTTCATTTGTTCAGGGTCAGAGCCTCAGAACCCACCCCACTCGTTTTTTGTTTGTTTGTTTGTTTTCTGATGAAGAAAAAGCACAATGATCCACCTGAAACATCTTATCTTTAAGGTATAAGTCATCCCTTCTAAATGGTTATTCCTTTCAGTTAATTCAGAGAAGACTTATAGAGCAAATTCTAAATGCAAGGCACTGTGGGGAAAGACATTTGTGGGGAAAGATAGATAATTTGGATTCTGCTCCCCAAGGACTCCCTACAGATGGGGAGTTACTGAGTAATCTTTTTGGGTTCTTTCTGGATCTTGCTTCAGGCACCTAAGAAATAGCCACTGTTCCTTGTAGTTAAACATAGATTGTGCTGGAAGGTGCCCGAAATAAAACCAGTATGGTAGTGTCAGCATTACCAGATGACACAGATGTACTTGAATTAACTGCAGTATTCTTTCTCATCTCTGATAAATTTAAAAAACATACATGGATTCTGCTTTTAAAAGGCATATGAGTAATGAATTGGAACTTACTTTATGTCCCATGAAAGAAATGGGTGACATTTACATAGAGTATTTGACTATAGAATTCTTTGCCCTTAGAACAACAGTTAACAAGTTTAAGAACAAGAGTTTTCTGATTTAGTGTGGGAAATTGTGAGAAAAATGCTAACCCGTCCAAACCCAAAGAATGGACTCAGAAGCACAAAAAACAGCAAAAAGTGAGACTTTTAATAGCGGTTTTGCAAGATCCGATGGATGTCTGGTAGGCAGACACATCCAGGGCAGCTACAACAGGTAATTTATCTCCTAGCACACAAGTCCCTCCCCCAGTTCCTCATTGGTTGAGCACTATGGGGTTACAGTCTTTCAGGATATCGCCTAAGTTTCATTATCCCCCTTATAAGGTTATACCCCAGTTCCATTCCCTGCTTAAGTTTTGATTTCCCAGTAATGAAACTTTCTTCCCTTTTATGGGCTGACCCCTCCTCTACATTCTGTTTGCTTATTATGACCTTCTAGGATCATGAGCCATGTGATGTGTTACATCCGCAGGCTGGCTGCCAGTGTTTAGATTTACCATGCCTTACAAATGGACCATTTAAAATGTTTTCTTACAGAAATGAACATTTCAAGATTATTTAATGCCTAGATCATAATAAAGACTTACTGAGGATGGGCCCCAATCTCCAAAGATTGAGGTTCTGAATCTTATTTCTGGTCCAGTCATAACCTGTGGTTACATATTTGCAAATAAATGAGTTAATGAGTATACCTTTGGCTTTTTTGTTTTTCTGTTGTTAACTTTTTAATTATGTACATGTATAACTTTAATTTTTTTTATACGTCCACAGGAGTCATCTGGGTGATGGAATGATAGGATAGTTTTGGTTTTCTTTCTAATATCTATGTATTTTTTAAAATCCATCAACAGTGGACTTAGAAAAAGCAAAAGAAAACAACAAAATCTGTTGGATTTCTAAAAAAATTACACAGGTACAGATTAAATGCTCTGAGATGCAACAGAGTAAAAATAAATAAAGACGTTAACATGTTAAGGATTTACAAAACTAACGTACCTGGTGGAAGATTATTTTCTCAGTATACCAAATGATACAGGAGTTAAGAAGAAATTACGTAGGCAGATAGTGAGGGTATGGAAGCCCTCCGTAAGGATTTTTTTAATGAAAAGCAGCCCCAAATCATTTTCCTTGCTAACAACAGCAGCCTATAAAATCGAGCTGCAGACATAGATGCCTGCAGTTGTGCCAATCATGTTCAAGATGGCGGCTCTGTCTTCCCTTCTCTTTGTCAGCCACATGTACAGTAAGGAGCGGACAGGATGGCAGGAGCCAAGGGGAAAGTTCATTTTCATAATAAGATTAGGGTGGGGCAGCCAGCCTTCCCCTGCACTATGTAAACGTCATACCTGATCGAACCGATCTGTGAGCCCTATGTAAATCGGACACCACCTCCTCAAACCTGACTATAACTTCCGTTGCATCAGCCACCTGCTGGTCTTTCCTCTTGGAAGTTCCCTCTCTCTATAGAGAGAGCTGTTTTACTTTCTCTTTTCTTTTACCTATTAAACCTCCACTCCTAAACTACTCGTGTGTGTCCGTGTCCTAAATTTTCCTGGTGCCAGACAACAAACCCCGGGTATATACCCCAGACAACGCAGCCACTTCACAATGAAGAGTCTGTAGAATATTTCAGTTTGGGAAACTCCGATCTAGCTCTTGGGGCATAGAGGCCACACTGCTGGCTAGAACTATAGCAAGCAGCAAAGAGAAATTTAACTCAGAGAGAGTAAGTGGTATACTGAAGTCTAAAAGTGGGGAGAGGTGGTTCCAGGGATTAGTGAGGGTAGCTGGGACATCCCCAGCTCCCCGAGGAGCACCTGTGCTCATGCCAGGCACAGTCTCAGGAGAACAGATACCCCAGCCACTGGAAGTTTGGACATCCACAGCAGAGGGTCCTCAGTGCATGAGAGTGAGCTGCCAGGTGGAGCAGGTAAGGTTAATATTTGCAGGTATTTTATCTGTTAATAAAAAGTGTCTGTTTTTAGAGACTAGTCTTTTTAAAAGAAAAACCTGTGTAAATAGGAAATAACACAAGGAACTGTGATTAAGCCAAACAGTTCGAGACAAAATAGGAACTGTATCAGGAACATGAAGAACTGATCGGCTCTAATGGTCACTGGAGGAAATGGGTTCCCACAGTCCATCGGTGTTACACATTTCCATAACTATGTAAAAAGAGGGTACATCTATGTGTTCCAAGATGCTAACTTACTTTAATGTCTGAAGAAAGAGAGCTGATTCAGTTAATGCGTCCGCTTAAGTAGCCAGTTATAAGGAAAACCATAATAAAATCCATAGCTCTTTTGTATACAACTGGTAACTTGTTAGAAAACAAAATGGACAATGACAGTTTATCATAATAATTTTAAAAACTATGTAATAACCAATATTGAGGATAATCTTAAAAAAATGTGTGAGGTCCAAAGAAAGAAATGTACAAAATTTGTAGCATAGTTGACTAGAAAAATAGGTATATAAAATATTAATCACATTTTTATTCTTTAAAATTTTAAAATAAAACATACTGGGAACGTTTCTAACTGAAATGTTTGAAAATAAAATTCTTCTTCTTATTCTCTCCACAACCTCTTTCACTCCGCAGTGAACAATCTGCTATGTATCTTTCAAATAAGTTACGGACTGAATGCTCATTTGCCCCACAAAATTCATATGTTGAAATTGATGTTATTGAGGTGGGGATTTGGGAGGTAATTAGGACATGAGGGGGAACCCTCATGAATGAGATGAGTGCCTTTATAAGAAGAGGCTGAAGAGCTAGCTCCCTCTCTTTCTGCCATACAATGAGAAATTGACAGTCTGCAACCTAGAAGGGGACCCTCAACAGAGCCCAAACATATTGGCACCCTGATCTCAGACTTCCAGCCCCTAGATTGTGAGAAATAAATTCTGCTGTTTAGAAGCTACCCAGTCTATGGTACTTTGTTATAGCACACCAAACTAAAACAAAATATTTGGAGTATTTATTTCAGTTACATTACTGAACTTAAATTTGCAATGGGTTCATTTACATATAATGTAATTACAGTTATATTTGATTTGATATATCAACTTGCTATTTGACTTACCTATTTTTCTATCTTTTTCTTTCTTTTCCTGCTTTCTTTGGAATTAATCAAATAATTTTTATTATTCCATTTACCTCAGCCTTCCAAAGTGTTGGGATTACAGGCATCAGCCACTGTGCCTAGCCTCTATTAACTTTTATTTTTACATTTATTTTTTACCATTTTTTCAGAGGTTAATTTCAGCGTGCATCCTCAATTAATTTTAGTCAAATATGGATTATCTTTTACCACTTTTCTGATAACATTAAAACTTTAGATACTTTTAACTTAATTATCTCTGTGCTTTTATATTTTATTTCTATACATATTTTAAACCTTGCAAGACATTATTATTATCATTGCTTTGTATACTCAATATTTCATTTTTAAAATCTTTTTCATTGCTTTTCTTTACTGCCTGCATTTCTGTGTTTCAATCTGGAATAGTTTTCTTTCGGGCTGAAAAACTTTCTTTAGTATTTCTCTTAGTGCAGGTTTGCTGATAAAAATTCTGTTTTGTTTATTTGAAAACATCTTTATTTTGCTTTCATTTTTGAAGAATAATTTCACTGGATATACAGTTTTAGACTAAATGTAATTTTCTTTAATTTCTTTCAATACACCATCTCATTATTGTCTGGCTTTCAGAAGTTCTGGTGAGAAATTACTTTCCATTTAATTGTTGTTATTGTTGTTGTATTTGAAGATAACATACTGTTTTTTCTTAGCTGCTCTGTGGAATGATTTCTATTTTTTCAAATCACTTTTGGAAATTCTTCAATCCTTTAAAATTTCTTCAATTTTCCCCCATATTCTTTTTTCTCTTCTTTTGGGAATCCAATTAAATTTATGTTAAACTTTGTATTATGTGTATTGTACATTCTTCTAAATTTTATATCCTGTTTTCTCTTAGTGCATCACTCTAGGTATTTCCCAGCAATCTATCTTCTACTTCACTAATGCTCTCTATTGCTATCTCTAATCTCTTGTTAAACCCATGATTTGAATTCTTACTTTCAGGTATTATGTTTTTTAGTCCTAGAACTTTCATTTGATTCTTTTTATGAATTCTAATTATATAATACATTTCTTTATCTTTTTGTCTGTTTTCTCTAACATATTAATCTTGCCATTTAAAAATCTTTGATAACTCCAATGTAAGAACCACCTGTAGTTCTACATCTGTTGTCTAATTTTTCTCTTAATTTTGTGGCATATGGTACTGTCTTTTGGAGTGTATAATAAATTTGACTGAATGTCAAATATTGTTTATTACTAGATAGCCTCCAGATAATTTTATCTCCTTCCAGAAAGTATTCACCATTTTTTTTTGACAGAAAAAATTGGGTCTGATAATCTTATTCTGTTTAGCCACTTTAGTTTCAGTAAGTGTCTGCCTACTTCCGTTATTCTTTGCTCCTAAGGTGTATCCCTCCAGGGCTTTCAACGAAGAGCCTGATGTATTTTCTGGGCACCTGAAACGTCCTGAGTTCTAATCCTTGCCTCTTAGCTGAAAACTCTGTTCTGTTTTCCAGAGGCTTTCTACTTAGCTCCTTAGTCTCCTGCTCAGTTTAGTTTCAGAATTTGGTAAATGGTTAAAAGAGGAACCAGCCACATGTCAGGCTTAGTTCTCTGCCCCTGCCTTCCTCAGAGTTTTTGGCCCAGGATATTTCTAATTTTGATTTTCCAGCCCCATGACACAATCAAAATCTCTACTGGTTTCCCAGTTAGCAGCCCTCTGTTTCTGCAAAGCCTGGAATCTCAATCACCTCTTGCCCTGGCTCAGAATGGGCAAATACCCTCAGAGAGAAGCAGTTGCAAATGATCAGCTCAACTCACTTCTCCATCATCTTCCTCTTTTTTTTTTTTTTTTTTTTTTTGAGATGCAGTCTCACTCTGTCACCTAGGCTGGAATGCGGTGGCACGATCTCGGCTCACTGCAATCTCCACCTCCTGGGTTCAAGTGATTCTTGTGCCTCCCTGAGTAGCTGGGACTACAGGCGCACACCACCATGTCTGGCTAATTTTTGTGTTTTTTGGTAGAGAAGGGGTTTTGCCTTGTTGGCCAGGCTGGTCTCAAACTCCTGGCCTGAAATGATCTACTCACCTGAGCCTTCCAAAGTGCTGGGATTACAGGTATGAACCACCACGTCCAGCCCATCTTCCTCTTTTCAAAATTTAATCCTTGTTGTGATCTGAATGTTTGCATCCCCTCAAAATTCATATGTTGAAACCAAATCATCAAAGTGATGATATTTGGAGGTGGGTGCCTTTGGGACGTGATTAGGTCAGGAAGGTGCAGACCCCCTGAATGGGATTAGTGCCCTTATAAAGAGACCATAAAGAGCTAGCTAGTCCTTTCCACCATGTGAGGACATAGGGAGAATGCACCATTTCTATAAACCTGGAAATGGGCCCTCATCAGACAGTAAATCTCAGGCACCTTGATCTTGGACTTCCCAACCTCCAGAAGTGAGAAATAAATTTCTATTGTTTATTAGCTACCCAAGGTCATAGTACTTTGCTATAGGGGCCCAAATGAATTATGGCATTTCCTATAGTTCTAGTGGCTTTAGTAGCCCCTTAATGGCTTTAAACATATTTGTTGTTTGTTTTATATTTTTGTTTAGCTTTTCTAATGGTTCTTATTGGGAATATTGGTCTGCTGTAAGTTATTCATCATACCCACTGATATCTCATTGTCCAGACTCTATAATATGGTCATATCTCACACTGAGAAAGATAATTATTTTTTATTTTGAATGACAATATGCCAAATAAAAATCAAGATTCTGTCCTCAGGAAAGAATGGGGAGCCTGGATGTTGGGGTAAGCAACTAGCACTCTGTTCCAAAGTGAGAGGTGGAAGCCAGTTATAGTCTCATGGAAGGATAGGGAGTGGTTTTCACATATACTGGGGAAATGAGTTGCCAGAATCCACCTCTGACTTACGAGAGCTCATAAAACAATAATAACTTGGTTAACATTTGTTATCAAAATCATCCAACTCTCTATGTTCAGATCCATGCTTACCAAACAACCTTGAGGTAGTAATTGAGCTTTCCTTAGAGACTTGGAGAGAATGTGCTAATCCTCAGAAATGAATCTTCCAGTTCATTTGGCAGTTGTATTTCTAAAGGTAAATAATCAAAACCAGTGTCTAGGGCCATAATCTGCATGATGAACCAGTCTTTTTTGGCTCACTTTGCCCTGGATAAAATGACAAAATATAGTTTCTTGACCTACTAGAACTTGATTGCTGCTGTGATTCTCTTATGAAAATATTGTCAGCATTTAGACATTAGGAATCTCTTGCTAAATTTAGCAGCAGGTTCCTGTCTATGAAGTAAAAAATGAATCCTGTTTAGAAAAGAATCTTGAAAATGATGTCTCAGTTTCTAACAGAAAGGTAAAAAATTTTATAAGAGTGATGAACACTGAAAAGATAATGTCTGAAAACAGTTTTCTCCTTATGTTAGGTTTGGAAAATGTGGTCTTGAAATTTGGTGAAAATACAACTCACAGAGAATTCTAAAAGACTATCCCTCAGACTGATTGGTCTGCAATTTGGGATTTATGAAAAATGTTTGCTCTTTTTAAAGATAGAGGAGAATTATAGATTTTGGCTAATCAGAGAGAACTTTCCTATTAAGTTAATCACTACAAACCCTGGGCCCTAAGACACAGAAGAGATTTAAATTCTGAGAGTAAGAGCTCTCTTGGTACCCAATTCAATTTTATGGGAATAATCAGATGATTAAGAGAAAAAAGTAGTGACTCAAGAGGTCTTTGGGATTCTCCTGCAAATTCTGAACAAGGCACTTAATTTTTCAAATTCTCATTTCTTCCTTTTCCAATCTGTTATGGAAGATAAAATCTGGCCTCTGAGGATACATTGCTTGTACTAATGAAATAATAACTGGAAAGATTTTGTGTTCATTGGATGGGTTCTGGGACAATTTCCCCAAAACCTGTTCCTTCCTAATTGTCAGCTCACTTAAAATTCAGCACTTTATTACTGTTTTTGCATCATTTTGAGTGCTCATATCCTTTTTTTCCTTTTAAAACCCCTTTTAAATATTTTTAGACACTAATCCATTTAGTTCTTAATCTTATAGGCTCAGATGTATGCCATGGAACCTATCCCTAGAAAAATGCGTTATGCACAAATCCACAAACTTTTGCCTGCAGTTTCAAAAGAGTCACCGGCTCTTAAATTAAAGGAGATATAACACATTTTAAATTCTTTCATATATATGGTTGTTAAGTTTTGAACACTTTGTTAACAGTTAGGCTCTTTTGTATCCCTAAGGATATATTCCTACTTCTGAATATTTTACTTTTCACCATTTCAAGTTCATAACATCACACTGGATTATAAAACAAAGAAATATGTACAATAATTGTAGCCCATGTAATGGGTAATGGAGTATAAGTATTAATAATTCCAATAAATTCCATGTTGGGACAGGTGTGATTATCCATGTATTTTTTGCCCCTTTTTTTTTTTTTTTTTTTTTTACCTTAATCAGAATGTGTTATTTCCTGATTGCTTTGATGGCTTTTCCCAGGCTTACCTGGTTTGTGACAACCGGCTGCTAAAATCAACAATCATGCTGATTTCTTTTAGTTTTTCACGAGTGTGCTTTCTTACTAGGAGTATTCTGTGCATGCTTTTCCTTCTGTCTTTCTTTCCTTCTTTGCATAGTTAAATCCTCCTCAGCCTCACCTAGTTGGCGAGTGGCTTTCCTCCACATGGTTATTCAGGGACTCAGGCTCTTTCTGTTTTGTTACTCCACTATCCCCTAGGATCTTAGAGTCTTCTACTTCAAGCAGGGGAAAGAAAGATAAAGAAAGCATTCATTTATAATATCCTTGACCCAGAAGTGACACGCATTACCTCCAAACACATTCTGATGGTAAGAGCTACTCACATGGCTCTACCCAAGGTGCAAAGGTGTTTGAGAAATGGGACTCCTGAATGACCAGCCACTTCCTAGGGTCATCTCAACACTGTGGAAGGGGACACATTAATTTTTGGTGGTAGCTACCTGTATTACACCATGCTTGCATTGCTATAAGGAAACACCCAAGACTGGGTAATTTATAAGAAAAGAGGTTTAATTGGCTCATAGTTCTGCAGGCTATATAGGAAGCATAGCACTGGCATCTCATCTGCTTCTTGTGAAGCCTCAGGAAGCTTACAATCATGGCAGAAGATGAAGGGGAGCAGGCATATCACATGGCAGGAGCAGGAGCAAGAGAGGGCAAGGGAGGTGCCACATACTTTTAAACAACCAGATCTCATGAGAACTCACTCACTATGGCAAGAACACCACCAAGAGGATGGCACTAAACCATTCATGAGAAACTCACTCCCATGATCCAATCACCTCCTACAAGGCCCTACCTCCAATACTGGGGATTACAATTCAACATGAAATTTGGGTGAGGACAAACATACAAACTATATCACTACCTATCTCTGCCACTCCATGATGTACCACAGCATGTAGCATAGTAGCACTTAATAAGTATTCATAGAATGCATGAATGAAAAAGGAATGAATGCAATTGTTTGAAGTAGTTTGTGATTCGTATTATAACAATTTCACATCTGGTGTACAGAATTTGGAGAAGCACATACTATCAAAATAATCATCTGGAAGACACTGTGAGTTCTCGGTTTCATATATCAAAATGCACCAGGAGGGGCAACTTCACTCTTAAATCTCTGCTTCAGTCTGCCAGCTTGGATCATTCCACACATTTATCAAAAGAAATGGAAGAAGCAACTATAGGGAGTTATGCCTGAGACTCCTGCTTGAATTTTATCCTGCCCATTTCATACTGTATCATGAGTTAATTGCCCAAAAGAGGCAAAAGATAGTATAACATCAGAACAGAAAAAGAACCAATCAAAAGTGGGTGGAATTTGGGTTAACTGATCATTGAGCAAACCAACCTGTTCCCATTGGATGACTTTATATATCTATATGCAATATATAAATTATATATTAAATTTTATGTATATTCACTTAACATTTTATGTATATTCATTTTTTATATATTCATGTATATTAATTTTATAATGGCCATATGAAGTATTAGAGATATGGAATTAGGCATATATAGAACACATCAGGAAACTTTTTGCCTCTTCTACATTATAGCTAAGATTTGATTATAAAATATAGAGTTTGATTACGTGGCAAGTGAAATTCTGCTTGCACCAAATCCCTAAATGTTAGCCTTATAATGTATCTTTTTATTTATTTATTTTTTAAGAGACAAATTCTTGCTCTGTTGCTCAGGCTGGAGTGCAGTGGTACAACCATAGCTCACTGCAGCCTCTCACTCCTGAGTTCAAGGGATCCTCCTGCCTCAGCCTACTGAGTGAGTAGCTGGGACTACAGGTACACCCTACTACATCCAGCTAATTTTAAAATCTTTTATAGGGATGGAGTCTATGTTACCCAGGCTGGTCTTGAACTCTTGGCCTCAAGACATCCTCCCACCTCAAGTAATCCTCCCACTTTAGCCTCCCAAAGTGCTGGCTTTACAGGCATGAGCCACCACACTAGCCTATAACGTATCTTTAAATATGTACCTTTACTGAGGAGTTAATCTGATAAGATTAACAAGGACTACGAGATTTATTTATCTTCAATCTTTGGTGCAATACCTGGTGCATTTTAGAGTCTCCGGCCTTGTTTTCCACATTCTTGTAACATTCCTCCAGTTCATCCAGCTCTGTTTTTCACAAAGTCTCTAACTCCTACCTGCTACAAGGTGCTTCATGTTCTCACCAGTCTTAATTTGTGTGGCTAGCTAGGAGAGCCAGAGAAGCAGAGAATCTGTAAGCTGGAAAGGACTTCAACTTCAATGGGATAAATCTGCTCTTTGATCTGATGAATGAATTCAAAATAAAGAGTTAAGGACTTCACAAACTCTCACTGTTTGCTGACGATATGATCGTTTACCCCGAAAACCCTAAAGACTCCCCCAGAAAGCTCCTAGAATTGATAAAAGAATTCAGCAAAGTTTCTGGATACAAGATTAATGTACACAAATCAGTAGCTCTTCTATATACCAACAGCGACTAAGCAGAGAATCAAATCAATAACTCAACCCCTTTTATAGTAGTTGCAAAAAAATACTTAGAAATATACCTAACCAAGGAGTCGAAAGACCTCTACAAGGAAAACTACAAAACACTGCTGAAGGAAATCATAGATGACACAAACAAATGGAAACACATCCCATGCTCATGGACAGATGGAATCAACATTGTGAAAATGACCATACTGCCAAAAACAATCTACAAATTCAACACAGTCCCCATCAAAATACCACCATCATTCTTCACAGAATTAGAAAAAACAATTCTGAAATTCATATGGGAACAAAAAAGAACCTGCATAGCCAAAGCAAGACTAAGCAAAAAGAACAAATCTGGAGGCATCACACTACTTGATTTCAAACTATAGTATAAGGCCATAGTCACCAAAACAGCATGGTGCTGGTATCAAAATAGGCACATAGACCAGTGGAATAGAACAGAGAATCCAGAAATAAACCCAGATACTTACAGCCAACTGATCTTTGACAAAGCAAACACAGACATAAAGTGGGGGAAAAGACACCCTTTTCAACAAATGGTGCTGGGATAATTGGCTAGCCACATGTAGGAGAATGAAACTAGATCCTCATCTCTCACCTTATACAAAAACCAACTCAAGATGGATTAAAGACTTAAACCTAAGACCTAAAACTATAAAAATTCTAGAAGATAACATTGGAAAAACCCTCCTAGACATTGGCTTAGGCAAGGATTTCATGACCAAGAACCCCAAAGCAAATGCAATAAAAGCAAAGATAATAGCTGGGACCTAATTAAACTAAAGAGCTTTTGCACGGCAAAGGGAACAGTCAGTAGAGTAAACAGACAACCCACAGAGTGGGACAAAATCTTCACAATCTATACATCTGACAAAGCACTAATACCAGAATCTATGACGAACTCAAACAATCAGTAAGATCAAAATCAGTAAGAAAAAAACAATCCCATCAAAAAGTGGGCTAAGGACATGAATAGACAATTCTCAAAAGAAGATATACAAATGGCCAATAAACATATGAAAAAATTCTCAACATCACTAATGATCGGGGAACTGCAAATCAAAACCACAATGTGATACCACCTTACTCCTGCAAGAATGGCCATAATAAAAAAACCAACAGTAGATGTTGACATGGATGCAGTGAATAGGGAACATATCTACACTGCTGGTGGGAATGTAAACTAGTGCAGCCACTATGGAAAACAGTGTGGAGATTCCTCAAAGAACTAAAAGTAGAACTACCATTTGATCCAGCAATCCCACTGCTGGATATCTACCCAGAGGAAAAGAAGTCATTATTTGGAAAAGATACTTGCACACACATGTTTATAGCAGCACAATTCACAATTGTAAAATCGTGGAACCAACCCAAATGCCCATCAATCAATGAGTAGATAAAGAAACTGCAGTATATATATATATGTGTATATATATATATATACACATATATATATATACATATATATATATACACATATATATATATATATATATATATACAATGGAATACTACACAGCAATAAAAAGGAATGAATTAACAGCATTTGCAGTGACTTGGATGAGATTGGAGACTATTATTCTAAGTGAAGTAACTCAGGAATGGAAAACCAAATATCATATGTTCTCACTGATATGTGGAAAGCTAAGCTGTGAGGACGCAAAGGCATAAGAATGATACAATGGAGTTTGGGGGTTTGGGGGGAAGAGTGGGAGGGGGCAAGGGAGAAAAGACTACAAATATGGTGTAGTGTATACTGCTCAGGTGATGGGTGCACTAAAATCTCACAAATTACCACTAAAGAACTTACTCATGTAACCAAATACCACCTGTACCCCATAACTTATGGAAAAATAAAATAATAAATTTAAAAAAAAATTTTAAAAAAGAACTTACTCATGTAACCAAATACCACTTGTCTCCCAAAAACCTATGGAAATAAAAAGTTTTAAAAAATAAAAAATAAATAAATAAATAAAAATAAAGAGTTAGGGACTTCAGAAGTGATTTGTAATAGAAAAACTTTAATTAAAAAAATTACCAGGGTGATACATCTGACACAAGGTAATGGATTAATGGTAAAAGTAACTAAGGATTCTGTGTGTGTGTGTGTGTATTTGTGTGTATGTACATGTGTCTATGTGTCTGTGGGTGTGTACAGGGGATTACATTGCTGAGTAAAGTTTATGTGATCAGAAGAAGGCCTGGACCCTTCAAATCATGCTGGACTAGATTACCTTTGCTTACAAATCTACATGTTCTCAGCATATTCCCATTAAAGAGCTTAGTTGTAGCATTTATGTTTTCTGCAATATCAAGGAAGCAGACACATTTTAGACCCCAGCATCATATTTGCATAAAGGAGTTCTCCACTGAATAACCAAATTTTTTTCTAAGATGTTATATTTTTGAAAAAATACTTTTATTTCAAAACCTCTGAATGGCTTTGGCTTGCTTTTGAAATAAAATGGTAAATTTTTTTAGTGGATAGTTTCTGAAGGATTGTTATGTAGGAGAGCTTTACATATAGGTGTGAAAACAGCCAATTTAACTGCCTACACTTCTGTATCCCCCAGAGTCATGCCTATTTGTACTGCACTGTGAGGATTCAGAAACAGAGAGAAAAAGCTGGTGCTAAATCTGAGGGGTAAAAATGGAATTTGATTCCCAAAATGAAATTTGATCACATAGAATTTGTAATCTAGATTCTGCATCTAGAATACAGAAATAAATGCACAGTGTCTTCATTTTGTTTAATTAACATATTAGTGATGATTGTCCCTATTGCTGTGCATCTTATAGATTGTAAACGGATTTATTTTTTGCCTTTCCACCTGGATTTGGAAGTACTCAAAAGAATCTATTAAGAATGTGATATCCCTGTGATCTTGAAAGATACAAACGAGAACAGGACTGGCTGAAAAACACTCAGAATGCTCTGTTTGATAATTGGGAGTAGAACTTCTGAAGTCTTAATGATCCAGGCCAAGATTTAAATCTTAACTTTTTATCAGCCTTCAGTGTTTTTAATCTAAGGAATAATTATCTTCCTGTATTTCTATTTCTTAGATCAGAATTTTTAAATGCCATCCTCATTAATTTTCTAATAAGATTTAAGTTGAAACAATGTACAATATTGTATATCCTAACTTTCTTACAAGGGGCAGGAAGCAAGGTTATGTGCATGGCCACGTGTTTGTAGATACATGTGTTGAAATAGGAAGTATCCTAGTATGTATTTAGATAAGAAAAACTTACATACTAGTGTTGACTTTGAAATTATAACATGTATACCTACATATTCTTTGTGTTTATTTTGAAGTTTTGAAAATATACAGGACTGTTAATAAAAAAAGAATGTGATATCAATTTTATGAAAGCCCTCACCTGAGGATGCTGGGGACTTGATATAGTGTGCAAGACATTTAATGGTATGAGGCATCATCTATAGCAGTGGTTCCCAACATTTTAAAATACAAGGTACATTTTGAAACTAAGAAAAGCATCACCAGCTATTGTGTGCTGGAAGTTGTACTTTTTGCATCTATTGATTGAAGAATAACCTAGTGATAATGCCTATTCTTAGTAATGCTTTAAGTTGTATTTACATGTTATTAATAATGATAGAATCAGCATGTTTTTGTAGAAGTACAAGAACTATGTATGAGGGGAATGTTATCCATGCCAATCAGGCTTGGCCTGCATTTTAAACTTGTAGACCCTTTAACGGCTTGTCACCTATGGACCAGACAGTGCTGGCTTAGACTAAAAATATATAATTGATGATAGGAATCTTTTCAGTTGTTATGAAAATTATTTCTTGACAAAGTCCTGAGAGCTTTAAGTAAAACATTTCTTTCAGGGCCTGTGACTGATGCTGGTCTTACTCTCCCCACCGATGTCTCATCTTTTCTTGATGCAAAATCTGACCTAATCCCATGTGAATCTAAAGGTTTATCTTTGCTGGAATGATACTCTTCACCATGAAGTTGCAATTAGATTGGTGTTCTGTTGCACCAAAAAACTGGCTAGGGAAAATATCAGGCCTGATTAATTAACTAGGTAATGTGCTGAACTACAGCCCACTTTGCAATGTCTCTGAGACGATGTGATTGCATAGGCTAATGGAAAATAAGTTTATGGGCTCAGAATTTAAAAATAAGACTATTGTTTACAAGGACTTCATCACAGAATGTAAGGGAGTGCTCACTAGTCAGAGGAAAGGTATCATCATATCCTAGTTCCTTAACACATTAAAATGATAAGCTTACTTCCATTCATGCAAAACCACGGGCCCCTTCTCCAAAAAGCTGGAGAAGAAAGGCCTCCAGAGACTTGGATAAAGGCAGCCTCCTTCCTTCCTCTTCTCCTTCTCAGGAGTCAGAGCTGCACAGCTATCTAAAACTCACCCACCCTTCCCACTCCTCCATCTTCCCCTCTTTAACAGGAATTTCCCCAGTAAAATCTTTTCCAATTCTAGTCCCTTCTGGGCATCTGCTTCTCCAAAGACCAGATCTGCCATACCACTTATTAGCTTGGTTGAGCTACTTAATCCTTGTAAGTATGGGCTATCTTAGCAGAACACAGGTAAGATAATGGTATTTAGATCCCCCTATATGTTTTTTATTTTTACATAATTTCAGATTTACAGAAAAGTTGCAAGAATAGTGCAAAGAATTTATGAATACCCTCACCCAGGTTCCCTGTATTAACATTGTGTGTGTGTGTGTGTGTGTGTGTGTGTGTATTCACAAACACATAATTTTGAACCCTTTAAGAAAAAGTTATAGGCGTGATATTCCTTTACTTCTAAATATTTCAGCTTGTGTTTTCTAAAAGTAAAGAATTTTCTTACTTAATAATAATCACAGTATAATGCTTAATCAAAAATTAACATCAAGCTGGGCATGGTGGTGCATGCCTGTAATCCCAGCTACTCAGGAGGCTGAGGCAGGAAAATCGTTTGAACCAGGGAGTTGGAGGTTGCAGTGAGCTGAGATTGCACCACTGCACTCCAGCCTGGCAATAGAGCAAGACTCAGTCTCAAAAAACAAAACAAAACAAAACAAAACAAAACACATCAGACGAGATCAGGAGTGTTGAGAGTGGTATGCTGAGCCCATATAGCCAACACAGTCCTAAGCAAAAAGAACAAAGCTAGAGGCATCTTGCTTCCTGACTTCAAACTATACTACAAGGCTACAGTAACCAAAAGAGCATGGTACTGGTACCAAAACAGATGTATAGACCAATGGAACAGAACAGAGGCCTCAGAAATAACACCACACATCTACAACCATCTGATCTTTGACAAATGTGACAAAAACAAGCAATGGGGAAATGATTCCCTATTTAATAAATGGTGCTGGGAAAACTGGCTAGCCATATGCAGAAAACGGAAACTGGACCCCTGCCTTACACCTTAAATAAAAATTAACTCAAGATGGATTACAGACTTAAATGTAAAATCTAAAACCATAAAAACCCTAGAAGAAAACCTAGACAGTAATATTCAGGACATAGGCACGGACAAGGACTTCATGTCTAAAACACCAAAAGCAATGGCAACAAAAGCCAAAATTGACAAATGGTGATCTAATTAAACTAAAGAGCTTCTGCAGAGCAAAAGAAACTATCATCAGAGTGAACAGGCAACCTACAGAATGGGAGAAAATTGTTGCAATCTATCCATCTGACAAAGGGCTAATATCCAGAATCTACAAGGAACTCAAACAAATTTACAAGAAAAAAACAACCCCATCAAAAAGTGGGTGAAGGATATGAACAAACAATTCTCAAAAGAAGACATTTATGCAGCCAACAAACATATGAAAAAAAGCTCATCATCACTGGTTATTAGAGAAATGCAAATCAAAACCACAATGAGATACCATCTCATGTCAGTTAGAATGGCAATCATTAAAAAGTCAGGAAACAACAGATGCTGGCAAGGCTGTGGAGAAATGGGAATGCTTTTACGCTGTTAGTGGGAGTGTAAATTAGTTCAACCATTGTGGAAGACAGTGTGGCGATTCCTCAAGGATCTGGAACTAGAAATACCATTTGACCCAGCAATCCTATTACTGGGTATATACCCAAAGGTTTATAAATCATTCTGTTATAAAGACACATGCACGTGTATATTTATTGTGGCACTGTTCACAATAGCAAAGATTTGGAATCAACCCAAATGCCCATCAATGATAGACTGGATAAGGAAAATGTGGCACATATACACCATAGAACACTATGCAGCCATAAAAAAAGATGAGTTCATGTCCTTTGCAGGGACATGGATGAAGCTGGAAACCATCATTTTCAGCAAACTAACACAGGAACAGAAAACCAAACACTGCATGTTCTCACTCATAAGTGGGAGTTGAACAATGAGAACACATGGACACAGGGAGGGGAACATCACACACCGGGCCTATCAGGGGGTGGGGACAAAGGGAAGTGAAGCATTAGGACAAATACCTAATGGCTGTGAGGCTTAAAACCTAGATGATGGATTGATAGGTGCAGCAGAACACCATGGCACATGTATACCTATGTAACATACCTGCATGTTCTGCACATGTACCCCAGAACTTAAAGTAAAATTTCAGAAAAAGTTAACATCAATTCATTTCTATTATCTAATAGCCATTGTTTTAACCATTGTCTCAATTATATCTTTTATAGCAATAGAAAGTCCAAGATCAGGCTCTAGAGTTTCCCTTTTATTTTGCCTGGAGTAATTCTATAAATAATTTAGTAAGTGCTCACTAAGTGCCAGGTGGGCACTGACAAGACTAAGGTGGGGAACAATGGGTCCCATTGAATGAGGAACTTATATCTACTCTGGGGAAATAGACACCTGACAACTAGTTTATGATTTAGGCTGTAGTGTGGTAGGTGTGGAGATTCAATGGGGACTCATTCAATATGGGATATAGGGTCTAACTGAGCTTATATCTACTCTGGGGAAGTAGACACCTGATAACTAGTTTATGATTTAGGCTATAGTGTGATATGTGTGGAAATTCAATGGGGACTCATTCATTCTGGGATGTAGGGTCTAACTTCAGCATAGAAGGTAGAAATAGCCCAGTTGCAGTCTTACGTCCTGCCCCACAACAAATTCAGAGCAGCCAGATTGTGTCTCTTGCACTAGAACAGATTTTTTTTTTCAGTTAAGAAGCTGACAAAGTAATTATTTTGCTTGTAGGGATCATGTTGTCTAAAAAATAATATTTTTAAATACCAAAATCAATTTTATCTTGGTAAGAGGCTCACTCAGTAAGAGGCACATGGGAAAACTGAAACCCTTAAAAGTGATTCAGGCAGGTCCATTGACTCAAGATCTCTCTAGGCACATGCCTATTGCCCATTGAGGTGTGAATTACCTCCATGGGTTAAATTGTTGATGTAGTTTCTGTTAAATATAGAATATGACTCTGAATGACTATTCTCCTTGCTCAGGGGATGGAAAATGATTAAAACAAAATGCCTGCTCTGAATGCAATTAAACCAGGGAAAATAAGACCAGAACAAAAATGATCATAACGCAAAATATGACAGAAGTAGTTTCAGAAGAATGATGCATTGCAAAAAAAAAAAAAAAAAAGGCTCAGCAAACACTTCATGGAAGAAGTGGCATTTAACATGTTCATTAAAAGAAGAAAAGATGTTTTCTGGATACAGTAGGGGAGTTACCTTCTGTTATGGTATTAGCATAGGTTAAGAAATAGAGACAGGAAAGCACTAGAGTGAATGGGATATCCAAGTGTAGGCAAGAGGGAGGAGTCCCATTCAGCAAGATCTTCTGGGACTTGAGGTATTTGTGAGAGAATAGAGAAAGGCAAGATTGTCTTACTTGATTCATGCTGCCACAAAAAAATACCCAAGACTGGGTAATTTATAAACAACAGAAATTTATTTCTTACAGTTCTGGAAGCTGAAAAGTCCAAGATCAAGATGCTGGCACACCTGGTGGCTGGTGAGGGCCGTCTCTGCCTGCAAGTTGGCCCCTTGAAAACTACTTCTTCTGGAGGGGACAAACACTGTGTCCTCACATGAAGAAAGGATCCGAAGGAGTGAACTCATCCCCTCAAGCCTTTTAATAAGGCATTAATCTCATCCATAAGGGTAGAGCCCTCATGGGCCAATTACTTTCTAGAAGGTCCACATCTCAGTACTGTTGCATTAGGGATTTAGTTTCAACGTGATTTTTGGAGGGAATGCAAACACTCAAACCATAGCAAGGATGGAGAGAGATTCAGGGCAGATTGTGAAGCACCTTGGAATGTGGTCTCCAGTGAATCTCCTCCTGGTTCCATGTGTGAGTCCTGGGAGCAGTTTGTTTCCCTCCTTACTGTATCTTCTCCTTTTCCTGTACTCCCTGCTTTTCTTGCTCTTTTCTCTTGATATATAGAGACATTTTCAACAGAGTTCTTTGCCAGGTAGGACAGACTTTCCTACACTCTTGCTTCCCACACACTCAGCTCTAACCCACTTTGTTAAAATACAAACTTTTTCATGTTTCTAAGTTGTCACAAAACCACCAGCATGAGGGACACTAACACACACACAAGGCTGAGAGGAGTCATGTGGGTCATGTGAGGAATAGGCCGTGCATCAGCTTTGGTCTGTCGTCTCCCAACAATGCATCTTGATGAGATAAGTATATGAAGCTCTGATTAGGTTCAATATTTTAGTCAAATGAGCTGTTTACCTCCACTCCCCAATGTGTCAGTGTAGACGCAAGATGACTTGGATGAATATGTTAGAAACTTTGAGTTTGCAGGGGTGCTTTCTTCCTGAGAATGGCAAATTAGGGCTGCTCTGAAAAGTTACCCTAGTTTTGTTTTCTTGTTAGGAACATTCAAATGAGCATGAAGAAAGAGCAAATACTTACCAGTGGTAATTTAAAAATGTATATATATATATAAAAATTAGCTTTATTGCCATATTTCTTTGACTCTAAGATGTACATTTTCATATATTTTTACATTTCTGGAATGGAAGTAAGGCTACATGCATGTTTAATGTGGCATCTCTGTGTTTTCCTTCTGTTCTACCTCCCTCCCTCATTCTGCAAATCAAACAAACAACTCAAAGCTCTCATTAAATTGCTGTCTTACAATCAAGGGAATAAGATGATATTTTCTAGTTCCTCACTCCTGTCCCCCAGAGACACCTTTTCTGCTTATTAGCTGGGTGAGAAGAAATCATCTACTTTAAAATGTCCTACTGAGGGTTAAGCATCCTTCCCAAGAGGATGCTACCAACTCTGGAATCACCCATATATAAGACATGTCTAGACTATTTCCATCAGCTGAGGCCCTTTCTTCTCCTGAAAATTGAGATTCATCTGAGTAATTCTCACATGTGCATGTCCTCTGCCATCCAACTGTCCTCCTCAGAGGCTTCATGACAGAAAGCAGCGAGGGATTAATTTTTAACAACCCAGCCTGGTTTTATGACGGTCAACATTATTATTTTTTAATGTACAAATAGTCCTATGATGATTCCATTACAAGTAGAAGTGCAGGCACTTTGGTAGATTGGTATATTTATCCTTAACAAAACTAAATATGGATACAAAAATACAGTGAATGAAATCTAGTATTGAATAAGATCTAGTATTCAGTAGCACAACAGAGTGACCATCGTTTGCAATAATTTATTGTTTATTTTAAGATAACTAAAAGAATGGAATTGAAATGTTCCTAACACAAAGAAATGGTACATGATTAAGGTGATGGAAATCCCAATTATTCTGATTTGATGGTTACACATTGTGTGCCTGTATCAAAACATCACATGCACCCCATAAATAATAACTATTTATTACCCATACAACTATTATTTACCCATAATAATTCAAAATAAAAAATTAAGAATAAATAAAACAAACCAAAAGAACCTGAATATGAATTAAATATTTTTAAAAACAGGAAATGAGTTTCTGTTCTCAGTACTCTGTGAGTAAATTCATTAATGAGAGGGGTTCATATCTAGGTTCACATTGGGACTGGGCAAATCATATCCTGTTCCTGCCCTTACTCTCCCCACCCCCAACGACCTCGAGTTTTAAAACTGGATAAAATCTGGTGGCAGTGCACAGATTGGACAGCTGCAAGGAATTACAAAAAGTGAACAGGTGTCACAAAATAACACATTGCTTGAGGGGGTGGGTAAGTGGAGGGGAGGAGATGTTGGCAAGTCATCCAGCATCAGCTGCTTTGCTGAAGTTGTGTGTGGGATTAGCAGAGGGGAGGGTCTGCTTGCTGCTCAGGCTCAGAGAAGCCTTGGCTCCATCCCAACATCCTATTTGCAATCTAGGTGGGGCTATTTTAACAAGTTCAGCAAATCTCCCTCCAGATCCCTAATGGACACCCTGCAGCCCTCTCCTCTACTGCCTACTAATTCCCAGACCGACTGGCTTCCTCTCTCATACTTTTACCCACCCTTCCTTTTCATCTTTAACCCTTTGCTCGAACTCCTTTTGGTCTCTACACAAGAAATCTAACTTTCCTTATCAAATTCCCATCATGGAGACAATACCTTCTTCATGTACCTGAAACTCACGGGGTATGAGGGTTTGCATAGCTCTTGTTTCTCTGTGTCACTTTTCTTGCTACCTCTGCCCTCTCTTTCAAGACTCTTTCTATGAAGTCCATAGGGTGCACTTGCAATGGCCATATGAAGGGGCACAGAGAGCAGTTTGGAGCACCGGTGTGGTTGATATAGCTTCCCCCACTCAGAGGTGATAAGACCTAAGAGCACATTGGGTGGTTGAGAAGACTAAATGATTTGCTATTGAAGAGCATCTGACAGAGGACCTGGCATGTTGCAAGCACTCAATGAATGATTTGAAAGGCATTGACATGGTTTGGCCAATGCCTTTTAAGTAGAAAATGGAACCTAAAAAGCTCTTTAATTTTTCCCACCTTACCGCAGCTGTTAGAAAGCTCAGGAAATTTCTTTCTTTTTTCCCCTTAAAAAAAAACTATAAGCTGGGCATCGTGACTTGTGCCTGTAATATCAGCTATTCAGGAGGCTGTGGTGGGAAGATCACTTGAGCCCAAGAGTTAGAGGCTGCAGTGAGCTATGTTTGTACCACTGTTCCAGGCTGGATGACAGAATGAGACATTGCCTCTAAAATATAGATATATACTTAAAGTTTTATATATATATGTGTGTGTGTGTGTGTGTGTGTGTGTGTGTGTATATATATATATACACACACACACACACACACACACACACACATATATAGAACTTTTTTAAACTTCAATTCTTCTGGTGTAATTATTCATTTCCTTCCTTTCTCTTTTTATTAAAGTTTGAGATTTTATTTTATTTGGATTCTCCAGTTTCAATCTTTCTTTCTTTCTTTTTTGATATAAGAGGAAGAGTAAATAAATACAACCTGAAACAATATCAGCCTACTTGGCTCCCTTGGCCACCCAAGGGCAAGGGCAGATGGGTGATGAGGGAGCCAGTCCACGGTGGATGAGTTTTTCTTGTAGTTTTCCAGCAGAGTTCCAAGTTATCTCTCCAGGGCTGCCATGCAGGCCTTGAGGCCACTTTGAGTAGAGCCCACTGACATCACCTATCTGAGATACTGGGTTTTATGGCTAAAAGAAATTGCTAGACACTTTGTTTTGTTTCACATATGTCAGGATATCCTTGCCCCAAGGAAAGTAAGTTCTTTCCAAAAACTCCTCAGGAATCTGGGGCCTTTTTAATCAATTAATATATTTTTTACATTAACACATTTGATATATTTATTTGCCATGAGGCATTATGTCAGATTTTGACATGCATTAATTTGTTAGATTCTCACCATACCACTGTGAGATAAGAATTAGTAGTAGCTACATTTTACAAATCAGGAAGCTGACTCTTAGAAAGGTTATATAACTTATCCCAAATGACACAGCTACGAGTTGGACCAACAATCATTCATTCGAAACCTCAATCCACAATAACACTGGTATATTTCAGGGTAGAATGAAATTGACTGAATCTTCCAGGAGTCTTCCATTCTATGAACCAGCAAGGCCACAAAAAGTTCATCTGAGCAGCTCTGCAGTGTGGCAGATCATCTAGACCCGGCAGACTCCAGACTCCTGCCTTTCCCTAACTGGACATTGCAGGGACTCTGAAGATTTCAGCATTGATGCATGAGCCAAAGAGCCAAGCAGAGGACACTGAATGAATGGTGTATGCCTGACTGTCTTAGTCTGTTAGTCCTGCTATAACAAAATACCTAAGACTGGGTAATTTATAAGCAATAGAAATATATGTCTCACAGTTCTGGGGGCTGGAAAGTTCCAGACCAAGGCATCAGCAGGGTTGATACCTATTTGGTGAAGGGTATTCTCTGCTTCCAAGAGGGTGCAGTGTTGCGACATCCTCCAGAGGGGAGGAGCACTGTGTCCTCACTTGGTGGAAGGAAAGGAAAGGAAAGGCAAAAGAATGCCTCCTTTAACCTTGAACCCTTTTATAAGGGTACTAATCCCATTCATGGGGGTTCTGCCCTCATGACTTAATCATCTCCCAGAGGCCACATCTCTTGATACTATTGCATTGGGGATTAAGTTTCAACATGAGTTTTAGAGGGGACATCATCATTCCAAGCATAGCACTGACTGTAAGAAATTCTGGTCACTAGCTAGATTAAGTACCTTATGCATTGTAGTCTGGCTGCCAGGGGAGAGTGCCCATTCAAGACCTTCTTGTGTTTTTCTTCTCCTGAAAGTCTGTATGAAAATAAAGTCCACTGTTTTTTATAGCTCTTTTAAAATTCCCCCACCACTCTCACTCTTTAACTATCCTTTCCACATGAAATACCTCCTTCCTGCTGGCAGATAAAATAAGGCCACTTATAAGCCATATTGAAACTTGAAGAAAAAAATAAGCATGCATTTTTAAAGCATGTCCCTAAATAAATTTGAAATCAAATCAGTTCAAACAACTGTAGTGCTACAAATATCATAAGATTCTCGATGACACTGCTTCATAGGTTTTTTATTTCCCCAACAGAATTTTTAAAATGATTTCTAATTAGGAAGACAACATTGTCTTTAAAATTATTCAGTGATTCAGAGACAAAGAATACAAAAGGACAAAGACTTCTGGTAGTGAGAAAAAAATCTCAAGCCTTCACCATGCCAAATATTTATTTTCCTTCTGAAACAATGTTATTGCTTTCCAAATAAAGAAACCATTTAGAGCCAAGATATGCCATTCAAATCATAATTGCATTTCCTTGCTAAACTTAGAATAGAAGAATGTATTCAATAAAAATGTTAGTAACTCTAGAAGTAAACATTTTGCTCATGATACATATCAAATTAAAAATACTCTAGCATAATGAAAAAGATAGCATTGCTGATCCAGCATTAGTTGGACATTGTTTTTTGTCTGTTTGTTTTGTTGTTTGTTGTGAAGTCTGTAGTAGTGCAATAGATTTAGATCACATCTTTGCCTGTCTGTACTCTCTCACCCAGGCATTTCCAGAGCCATGAAATGCCAAGGCATGGTCAGAGAGGCCAGTTTCAGAATAGGCAGAATCTAATTGCCTCAGAAAGAGAAGAAATCCCAGATTTTGGTCTGGTGAGCAGAGCATTCCAACTGTAACCCAAACACCAGTACCATTTAGAAGTTAAAGAAACCCATAATATATGTCTTCAAAGTAATTTGGCTGATTTTAAATGACTAACTACTTCAAGTTGTATCAGTGAATGTTATAGTTCTATATACAAACCTACTTAATTAAACATGTTGTAAGCCAGATATGAGTCATTTAAACAAGTGATTAGTAACGGATTCTGTCAAAATGATCAACCAAGTCATGTTGTGTAGACTAGAAATTTCAAAAGTAAGGTCAGGGACGAAAACAAGAAATGGGGAAACGATTCCCTATTTAATAAATAGTGCTGGGAAAACTGGCTAGCCATATGTAGAAAGCTGAAACTGGATCCCTTCCTTACACCTTATACAAAAATTAATTCAAGATGGATTAAAGACTTAAATGTTACACCTAAAACCATAAAAACCCTAGAAGAAAACCTAGGCAATACCATTCAGGTCATAGGCATGGGCAAGGACTTCATGTCTAAAACACCAAAAGCAATGGCAACCAAAGCCAAAACTGACAAATGGGATCTAATTAAACTAAACAGCTTCTGCACAGAAAAGAAACTACCATCAGAGTGAACAGGCAACCTACAGAATGGGAGAAAATTTTTGCAATCTACTCATCTGACAAAGGGCTAATATCCAGAATCTACAATGAACTCAAACAAATTTACAAGAAAAAAACAAACAACCCCCTCAAAAAGTGAGCAAAGGATATGAACAGACACTTCTCAAAAGAAGACATTTATGCAGCCAAAAGACACATGAAAAAATGCTCATCATCACTGGCCATCAGAAAAATGCAAATCAAAACCACAATGAGATACCATCTCACACCAGTTAGAATGGCGATCATTAAAAAGTTAGGAAACGATATTGGGAGCCAAGATGGCCGAATAGGAACAGCTCCAGTCTACAGCTCCCAGCATGAGCGATGCAGAAAATGGGTGATTTCTGCATTTCCAACTGAGGTACCGGGTTCATCTCACTGGGGAGTGCCAGACACTGGGTGCAGGACAGTGGGTGCAGTGCACTGTGTGTGAGCCAAAGCAGGGTGAGGCATTACCTCACACGTGACGTGCAAGGGGTCAGGGAATTCCCTTTCCTAGTAAAAGAAAGGGGTGACAGACGGCACTTGGAAAATTGGGTCACTCCCACCCTAATACTGCGCTTTTCCAACAGGCTTAACAAACGGCACACCAGGAGATTATATCCTGCACCTGGCTCGGAGGGTCCTATGCCCATGGAACCTCGCTCATTGCTAGCACAGCAGTCTGAGATCAAACTGCAAGGTGGCAGCGAGGCTGGGGGAGGGGCGCCCGCCATTGCGCAGGCTTGAGGAGGTAAACAAAGCAGCAGGGAAGCTTGAACTGGGTGGAGCCCACCACAGCTCAAGGAGGCCTGTCTGCCTCTGTAGGCTCCACCTCTGGGGGCACAGCACAGACAAACAAAAGACAGCAATAACCTCTGCAGACTTAAATGTCCCTGTGTGACAGCTTTGAAGAGAGTAGTGGTTCTCCCAGCACGCAGCTTGAGATCTGAGAATAGGCAGACTGCCTCCTCAAGTTGGTCCCTGACCCCCGAGTAGCCTAACTGGGGGGCACCCCCAACTAGGGGCGGACTGACACCTCACATGTCCGGGTACTCCTCTGAGACAAAACTTCCAGAGGAACAATCAGGCAGCAGCATTTGCGGTTCACCAATATCCGCTGTTCTGCAGCCACCACTGCTGATACCCAGGCAAACAGGGTCTGGAGTGGACTGCCAGTAAACTCCAACAGACCTGCAGCTGAGGGTCCTGACTATTAGAAGGAAAACTAACAAACAGAAAGGACCTCCACCCCAAAAACCCATCTGTACGTCACCATCATCAAAGACCAAAGGTAGATAAAACCACAAAGATAGGGAAAAAACAGAGCAGAAAAACTGGAAACTCTAAAAATCAGAGCGCCTCTCCTCCTCCAAAGGAACGCAGCTCCTCAGTGCAATGGAACAAAGCTGGATGGAGAATGACTTTGACAAGCTGAGAGAAGAAGGCTTCAGAAGATCAAACTACTCTGAGCTAAAGGAGGAAGTTCGAACCAATGGCAAAGAAGTTAAAAACTTTGAAAAAAAATTAGACGAATGGATAACTAGAATAACCAATGCAGAGAAGTCCTTAAAGGACCTGATGGAGCTGAAAACCATGGCATGAGAACTACATGACGAATGCACAAGCCTCAGTAACCGATGCGATCAACTGGAAGACAGGGTATCAGCGATGGAAGATGAAATGAATGAAATGAAGTGTGAAGAGAAGTTTAGAGAAAAAAGAATAAAAAGAAATGAACAAAGCCTCCAAGAAATATGGGACTATGTGAAAAGACCAAATCTATGTCTGATTGGTGTACCTGAAAGTGATGGGGAGAATGGAACCAAGCTGGAAAACATTCTGCAGGATATTATCCAGGAGAACTTCCCCAATCTAGCAAGGCAGGCCAACATTCACATTCAGGAAATACAGAGAACGCCACAAAGATACTCCTCGAGAAGAGCAACTCCAAGACACATAATCGTCAGATTCACCAAAGTTGAAATGAAGGAAAAAATGTTAAGGGCAGCCAGAGAGAAAGGTCGGGTTACCCACAAACGGAAGCCCATCAGACTAACAGCGGATCTCTCGGCAGAAACCCTACAAGCCAGAAGAGAGTGGAGACCAATATTCAACATTCTTAAAGAAAAGAATTTTCAACCCAGAATTTCATATCCAGCCAAACTAAACTTCATAAGTGAAGGAGAAATAAAATACTTTACAGACAAGCAAATGCTGAGAGATTTTGTCACCACCAGGCCTGCCCTAAAAGAGCTCCTGAAGGAAGCACTAAACATGGAAAGGAACAACCAGTACCAGCCACTGCAAAAACATGCCAAATTGTAAAGACCATCAAGGCTAGGAAGAAACTGCATCACCTAATGAGCAAAATAACCAGCTAACATCATAATGACAGGATCAAATTCACACATAACAATACTAACCTTAAATGTAAATGGGCTAAATGCTCCAATTAAAAGGAAGAGACTGGCAAATTGGATAAAGAGTCAAGACACATCAGTGTGCTGTATTCAGGAAATCCATCACACATGCAGAGACACACATAGGCTCAAAATAAAGGGATGGAGGAATATCTACCAAGCAAATGGAAAACAAAAAAAGGCAGGGGTTCCCATCCTAGTCTTGGATAAAACAGACTTTAAACCAACGAAGATCAAAAGAGACAAAGAAGGCCATTACATAATGGTAAAGGGATCAATTCAACAAGAAGACCTAACTATCCTAAATATATATGCATCCAATACAGGAGCACCCAGATTCATAAAGCAAGTCCTTACTGACCTACAAAGAGACTTAGACTCCCATACAATAATAATGGGAGACTTTAATACCCCACTGTCAACATTAGACAGATCAACGAGACAGAAAGTTAACAAGGATATCCAATGATTCAACTCAGCTCTGCAACAAGCAGACCTAATAGACATCTACAGAACTCTCTACCCCAAATCAACAGAATATACATTCTTTTCAGCACCACACTACACCTACTCCAAAATTGACCACATAGTTGGAAGTAAAGCACTCCTCAGCAAATGTGAAAGAACAGAAATTACAACAAACTGTCTCTTAGACAACAGTGCAATCAAACTAGAACTCAGGATTAAGAAACTCATTCAAAAACACTCAACTACATGGAAACTGAACAACCTGCTCCTGAATGACTACTGGGTACATAACGAAATGAAGGCAGAAATAAAGAAGTTCTTTGAAACCAGCGAGAACAAAGACACAACATACCAGAATCTCTGGGACACATTCAAAGCAGTGTGTAGAGGGAAATTTATAGCACTAAATGCCCACAAGAGAAAGCAGGAAAGATCTAAAATTGACACCCTAACATCACAATTAAAAGAACTAGAGAAGCAAGAGCAAACACATTTAAAAGCTAGCAGAAGGCAAGAAATAACTAAGATCAGAGCAGAACTGAAGGAAATAAGAGATATAAAAAACCCTTCAAAAAATCAATGAATCCAGGAGCTGGTTTTTTGAATAGATCAACAAAATTGATAGACCACTAGCAAGACTAATAAAGAAGAAAAGAGAGAAGAATTAAACAGACGCAATAAAAAATGACAAAGGGGATACCACCACCGATCCCACAGAAATACAAAAGACCATCAGAGAATACTACAAACACCTCTACGCAAATGAACTAGAAAATCTAGAAGAAATGGATAAATTCCTCAACACATACACCCTCCCAAGACTAAGCCAGGAAGAAGTTGAATCTCTGAATAGACCAATAACAGGCTCTGAAATTGAGGCAATAATGAATAGCTTACCAACCAAAAAAAGTCCAGGACCAGATGGATTCACAGCCGAATTCTACCAGAGGTACAAGGAGGAACTGGTACCATTCCTTCTGAAACTATTCCAATCAACAGAAAAAGAGGGAATCCTCCCTAACTCATTTTATGAGGCCAGCATCATCCTGATACCAAAGCCTGGCAGAGACACAACCAAAAAAGAGAATTTTAGACCAAAATCCTTGATGAACATTGATGCAAAAATCCTCAATAAAATACTGGCAAACAGAATCCAGCAACACATCAAAAAGCTTATCCACCATGATCAAGTGGGCTTCATCCATGGGATGCAAGCCTGGTTCAACATATGAAAATCAATAAATGTAATTCAGCATATAAACAGAACCAAAGACAAAAACCACACGATTATCTCAATAGATGCAGAAAAGGCCTTGACAAAATTCAACAACCCTTCATGCTAAAAACTCTCAAAAAATTAGGTATTGATGGGACGTATCTCAAAATAATAAGAGCTATCTATGACAAACCCACAGCCAATATCATACTGAATGGACATAAACTGGAAGCGTTCCCTTTGAAAACTGGCACAAGGGCCGGGTGCGGTGGCTCACGCCTGTAATCCCAGCACTTTGGGAGGCCGAGGCGGGTGGATCATGAGGTCAGGAGATCGAGACCATCCTGGCTAACAAGGTGAAACCCCGTCTCTACTAAAAATACAAAAAATTAGCCGGGTGCGGTGGCGGGCGCCTGTAGTCCCAGCTACTCGGGAGGCTGAGGCAGGAGAATGGCGTGAACCCGGGAAGTGGAGCTTGCAGTGAGCCGAGATTGCGCCACTGCAGTCCGCAGTCCGGCCTGGGCGACAGAGCGAGACTCCGTCTCAAAAAAAAAAAAAAAAAAAAAAAAAAAAAAAAAAAAAGAAAACTGGCACAAGACAGGGATGCCTTCCCTCACCACTCCTATTCAACACAGTGTTGGAAGTTCTGGCCAGGGCAATCAGGCAGGAGAAGGAAATAAAGGGTATTCAATTAGGAAAAAAGGAAGTCAAATTGTCCCTGTTTGCAGATGACATAATTGTATATCTAGAAAACCCCATCGTCTCAGCCAAAAATCTCCTTAAGCTGATAAGCAACTTCAGCAAAGTCTCAGGATACAAAATCAATGTGCAAAAATCACAAGCATTCTTATATACCAATAACAGACAAACAGAGAGCCAAATCATGAGTGAACTCCCATTCACAATTGCTTCAAAGAGAATAAAATACCTAGGAATCCAACTTACAAGGGACGTGAAGGACCTCTTCAAGGAGAACTACAAACCACTGCTCAATGAAATAAAAGAGGTTACAAACAAATGGAAGAACATTCCATGCTCATGGGTAGGAAGAATCAATATCGTGAAAATGGCCATACTGCCCAAGGTAATTTATAGATTCAATGCCATCCCCATCAAGCTACCAATGCCTTTCTTCACAGAATTGGAAAAAACTACTTTAAAGTTCATATGGAACCAAAAAAGAGCCCGCATTGCCAAGTCAATCCGAAGCCTAAAGAACAAAGCTGGAGGCATCACGCTACCTGACTTTAAACTATACTACAAGGCTGCAGTAACCAAAACAGCATGGAACTGGTACCAAAACAGAGGTATAGACCAATGGAACAGAACAGAGCCCTCAGAAATAATGCCACATATCTACAACTATCTGATCTTTGACAAACCTGACAAAAACAAGAAATGGGGAAAGGATTCCCTATTTAATAAATGGTGCTGGGAAAACTGGCTAGCCATATGGAGAAAGCTGAAACTGGATCCCTTCCTTACACCTTATACAAAAATTAATTCAAGATGGATTAAAGACTTAAATGTTAGACCTAAAACCACACACACACACACACACACACACACACACAGATTAGCAGGGTGTGGTAGCACACGCCTGTAATCCCAGCTACTTGGGAGGCTGAAGCAAGAGAATTGCTTGAACTTGGGAGGCGGAAGTTGCAGTGAGTCGAGACGGTGCCACTGCACTCCAGCCTAGGCAATAGAGGGAGACTCTGGTCTCAAAAAAAAAAGAAAAAAAAAAGTGTTTTGTTATTTTCAGTGTACAAGTCTTTCACCTCTTTGGTGAAGTTAATTTCTAAGCATTGTATTCTTTTTAATGCCATTGTAAATAAAATTGTTTTCCTAATTTAAAAAAAAAAAAAAAACCCTAGAAGAAAACCTAGGCATTACCCTTCAGGACATAGGCATGGGCAAGGACTTCATGTCTAAAACACCAAAAGCAATGGCAACAAAAGCCGAAATTGACAAATGAGATCTAATTAAACTAAAGAGCTTCTGCACAGCCAAAGAAACTACCATCAGAGTGAACAGGCAACCTACAGAATGGGAGAAAATTTTTGCAATCTGCTCATCTGACAAAGGGATAATATCCAGAATCTAGAATGAACTCAAACAAATTTACAAGAAAAAAACAAACAACACCATCAAAAAGGGGGCGAAGTATATGAACAGACACTTCTCAAAAGAAGACATTTATGCAGCCAAAAAACACATGAAAAAATGCTCATCATCACTGGCCATCAGAGAAATGCAAATGAAAACCACAATGAGGTACCATCTCACACCAGTTAGAATGGCGATCATTAAAAAGTCAGGAAACAACAGGTGCTGGAGAGGATGTGGAGAAATAGGAACAATTTTACACTGTTGGTGTGACTGTAAACTAGTTTAACCATTGTGGAAGTCAGTGTGTCCATTTCCTTGTTGCTATTTCTGTTTCAGCAACATGCTCAGAGATAGGGATGATTTCTATTAGGTGTAATGGCAAAGTGCTTCTTCCATTCTTGCTGTACCCAGGGAATGCTGTTAGGTACTATAGTCTGGATTATATTTTTCTTTTTTTTTCTGTATTTCTCTATATAGAACCACCTGACACATTCTTTTGTGTAGTGGATTGATAATATAATTCATGTAGCAAATATATTCTAAAAACAGAGGAACAATAATTACAATCGTTTGAAGTAAAGGTCAAAATCTGAATTCGTTTGAAAGTGACGGAGGAAGATCATGAAATTTAGGGACTTTTTACAGTTAATGAAAGTGTTCCCTTCAGGCTCCAAAACACAGCTGAACTGTAGCAATAATTTCAAGAAATTATAGTAGTAATGAGCTGCATAATAATTTTTAGGTCAATGACAGACCACATAAATGAGAGTAGTCCCATAAGATTATAATGGAGCTGAAAAATTCACCTAGTGATGTCATAGCCATTGTGTTAACTGCCTACAGTATTAATTACAGTAGCATATACTGTACAGGTTTGTAACCCAGAAGCAATAGGCTATACCATATACCTTAGGTTTGTGGTAAGCTATATCATCCAGGTTTATGTGAGTACACTCTGTGTTGTTTGAACAATGATGAAATCACCTAAGGATGCATTTCTAAGAATGTATACCCATCATTAAGTGATGCATGACTGTGTATCATTTTCAGAATGGCAAAATAGAACTCAAAACATAACAAAATCATGGGAACTTAAAGGAGAATTGAATTTGTGACTCAAAGACTCTGCATAGATGGTTAATTGTAGTCATTCATAACTCATTTTTAACAGTATTCCTGTACATAGACTTTCTTTAAAAGTAATGGAGGTAAACACTACTATTTCCCTAGGTAGCCTCTTTCAACAATTTACGATCCTTATAACTGCGACTCTTTCTAGAATTAAACCAGTACCCAGGCTTGAACAGCAGTAGTCATAATGAGAAATAACAGGATTAGAAAACCCACACTAAAAATGGAAAGAGGAACTACAGGCCTCTTAATTCGAAATGTTTGAGGAGAGACTTAATACTTCCCAATTTCCCTATTCAGCTATACAGGAGCTTTTCCTGGGCCCTTAGCTAATCTCTTTTATGACTTGATTTCTGGGGAATGACCTTGAATTTTTCTTCTGGTTTAATGAACAGATATTCATCAAATTGGGATTACAGATTGTTTTGTAACTTTATATTTATTTTGCATTTAAATTGGTATCCAGTTTTTCATTGAGGTAAAATTTACATAGGATGAAATGTATTTATTTTAAGTGTGTCATTCAATGAGTTTTGACAAGCGCATATTTCTGTGTGACCTCCACCCCAATCAAGCATACAACATTTCTATCACCCTAGAAGGTACCCTTGAGCTCCCTTCCCCTCTCTCTGATTTTTATCATCTTAACGTTAGTTTTACCAGTTACAGAACTTTATAGAAAGGGAGTCATACAGCATTTACCTTTAAACTGGCTTCTTTTGCTCAACATTTTTTTAAAGAATTATCCATGTTGCTGTGTGTATCAGGAGTTAATTCCTTTTTATTGATGAGTAATTTTCCATTGTACATAAGGGAATATATATCAATCTTCCTGTTGATGAACAGCTGGATGGTTTATAGTTTTTTTTTATGAACCATAGACTTTTCAATCACCATTGGCTTAAATGAACACAAAGAACATCTAAGTTTTCTATAACCACTCAATAAACACGTATTTATTAAGAGCTTACTCTGAGCCAGGCATTATTTTAAATGCTGAGGATGCAAAAATGAACAAAAAAGCATCTCTGTTTTTGTGGAGATTGTTTTCTGGAGAAGAGACTAAAAATAAGTAAGACAGATATAACATTATATGTCAATAAGTGTTATGGAGTAAAATAAGGCAGAGAAGGGGAATAGGGAGTGTGAGGTGTCCAGGGATGCCATCACTAAGGGGATGGCATTTGGGCAAAGACCTGAAGGAGATGAGGGGCAAGTCATCTGGATATCTGGGAAAGAAGCATCCTTGGTAAAAGAAGAGCAAGGTGAAACCCTTCAGGCAGACACATACCTGGTCTTTTCAATGTGCATAGGTGAAGTGCCCCTCAAAGGGATTGGTAGATGATGGGTTAGGGGAGGGCATAATGTGCTAGGTAGGATGACATGCCAGTTATCAATTTATTACCTCTCAGCTCTTAATTCACCTTTTTGGCCTGTTCTTTGAAATTGGATCTGTGCCCTTTAAATAGTTTTTCCTTGCCAGGTCACACTGAAGCTTTGTCAAGTGAGGACACTGAATAGGATTGGAATATTGGTAACAAGGAAGTCTGGGGAAGAGGTATATGGCTGGATCTCTCTGAATGGACACAGACTGCAGATATTTGTACCCAATATCAATGCTCATCAACAGGCATCCATTGCAGAGGAGACTCTTAATAATCAGGGGGGCATAATTATTCATTCTGTGGATATCAGTAACACCAGCCACCCTAGTGCTTATTGGGCCCATGAATAAAGTGTCTATGGTGGCAGGGATGGAGGCTAAGCATGGGCTTAACAGCATGAACTTCTCCTTATGAAGAATTATCTGTCTAATATTACTGTTGAGTATCCAATCTGCCAACAGCAGATACCAAGATGGAATCCTGGATATGCCACCATTCCCTGTGGGAACTGACCAGTCACCTGGTGACAGATTGATTACATTAGACATCTTCTATTATGGAAGTGGCAGAGATTCATCTTCCTAGGAAGCATACATATTCTAAATAAGAATTTACATTTCCTGCTCATAATGCTTCTGTCAGCACCGCATCCAAGGACCCTCAGAATGCCCTATCCATCATCATGGATTTCTGTACAGTATTGAGTCTGATCAATAAACTAATTGTCTACAAAAGAAATGCAGCACTGGGATCATAACTGTTGAATGAACTGGTCTTACTACATACTCCATGATCCAGAAGCAGCTAGCTTAACTGAAAGGTAGAATGGCTTACTGAAGACTCAGTTATGATGTAGTTAGGAGACAACACTTGAAAAGAATGGGCTCTATTATACAGGAAACGATTTATGCTTTGAATCAGAGGTTATTATATGTTGCTGTCCCCATGGCCAGAATACATGGGTCCAGAAATCAAGGGATGAAAGTAGGAATGGCTACTCTCACAATTCCAAGTAATATCTCACTCACAGAAATTCTGCTTCTTATCCTGGCAACTTTGAGCTATACTGGTTTAGAGACCTTAGTCTCCAAGGGGGGGATGTTCCCACCAATGAACACAATGGTTCCACTAAACTGAAATATGAAACTACAACTTAGAAATTTTGAGTGCTTTATGCTACTGAACCAATAGCTGTATTGTATATATTGTGCTTTTATCTATTCTACACAGTCCTTCTATCTGACAGTCCCCCTCTAAAATTTCTGATATCTCTCCATTCTTCAAACACAGCTCAGATCACTAAGCTTCCACTAAGCTCCCAAGTTCCTGGGGATCTCTCCCTTCTATAATAAATGATTTTATACTTTATAATGTTTTTCCTAATGTTGGATTATCACTTAATTATTATGTTTTCAATGTTTAGATTTTATATCCCCCAGCTGATTGTAGGGTCATTTGAAGCCAGAACTGTGTCTTTGTACTTCTGTATATATCCCGTGGTAGTGTTTCTCAAGTGCTGGTGCCAGTCCATGAACAATGCTGTCATCTGTTTAGGGCAAAAGGGAAAAAATAAAGATATGCAGCCAGGTTTTTTTTAAAAAAGCTAATATGTTCTAGTTAGAAGAGTGTCCTTTGTCTTGAAATTGTGCCCTTCATACTTTAAAAAAAATAATTTTGGGCCAGGCGCAGTGGCTTGTGCCTTGTAATCCCAACACTTTGGGAGGCCAAGGTGGGTGGATCACCTGAGGTCAGGAGTTCGAGACCAGCCTGGCTAACATGGTGAAATCATGTCTCTACTAAAAATACATACACGCACACAAAGTAGCCAGGCGTGGTGGCGCATGCCTGTAACCCTAGCTACTCAGGAGGCTGAGGCCAGAGAATCGCTTGAACCTGGGAGGCGGAGGTTGCAGTGAGCTGAGATTTTGCCATTGTGCTGCAGCCTGGGCAACAAGAGCGAAACTCCATATAAAAAAATAATAATTTCAACTTTCATTTTAGATTCAGGGGGTCCATGTGCATATTTGTTGTGTGGGTATGTTGTGTGATGCTGAGGTTTGGCGTGTGATTAATTCCATCACCCAGGTAGTAAGCACAGGGCCCAATATTTGCTTTTTCAACCCTTGTCTCCCATCCATCCCTCCCTATTCTATTAGTCCCCAGTATTTATTGTTGCCATCTTTATGTCCATGAGTCAATGTTTAGCTCTCACTTACAAGTGAGAGCATGTGATATTTGGTATTCTGTTCCTGTATTAATTTGCTTAGGATAATGGCCTCCAGCTGCATTCATGTTGCTGCAAAGGACATGATTTCATTCTATTTTATGGCTGCGAAGAATTCCATGGTGTATATGTATGACATTTTCTTTGTCCAGTCCACTGTTGGTGGGCATCTAGGTTGAATCCATGTCTTTGCTATTGTGACTAGTTCTGCAGTGAACGTACGAGTGCATGTGACTTTTTGGTAGAACAATTTATTGTCTTTTGGATATATACCCAGTAATGGTATTGCTAGGTCAAATGGTAGTTCTGTTTTTAGTTCTTTGAGAAATCTCCAAACTGTTTTCCACAGGGGCTTAATTAATTTACATTGCCACCAACAGTGTATAAATGTTCCCTTTTCTCCATAGCCTTGCCAGCATCTGTTGTTTTGTGACTTTTTAACGATAGCCATTCTGATTGGAGTGAGATGGTATCTCATTTGATTTGCCTTTCTCTAGTGATCAATGACGTTGAACATTTTTTTCATATGTTTGTTGGCTGCTTGGATGTCTTCTTTTGAGCAGTGTCTGTTCATGTCTTTTGCCTGCTTTTTAATGGGGTTGTTTTCTGCTTATTGAATTGTTCAAGTTCCTTATAGACTTGGGATATTAAACCTTTGTCAGATGCATAGTTTGCAGATATTTTTTCATTCTATAGGCTGTCTGTTTACTCATATGATAGTTTCTTTTGCTGTGCAGAAGCTCTTTAGTTTAATTAGGTTCCATTTGTCAATTTTTTTTGTTGTTTTTGCAATTGCTTTTGGGGATTTAGTCATAAATTCTTTCCCAAGGCCAATGTCTGGAATGGTGTTTCTTAGGTTTTCTTCTGGGATTCTTATATTTTGACGTCTTACATTTAAATATTTAATCCATCTTGAGTTAATTTTTTTATATGGTGAAAGGCAGGGGTCAAGTTTCATTCTTCTGCGTAAGGCTAACCAGCTATTCCAGCACCATTTATTAAATAGAGTCATTTCCCTATTGCTTATTTTTGTTGACTTTGTTGAAGATCAGATGGCTGTAGGTGCACAGCTTTATTTCTGGGTTCTCTTTTCTGTTCCATTGGTCTATATGTCTGTTTTTGTACCAGTACCATGCTATTTTGGTTTCTGTAGCCTTAGTATAGTTTGAAGTTGGGTAATGTAATGCCTCTGGCTTTTTTTTTTTTCCTGAGGATTGCCTTGGCTATTCAGGCTCTTTTTTGGTTCCATATAAATTTTAGAATAGCGTTTTTTAATTCTGTGAAAAATGACATTGGTACTTTGATAGGAATAGCATTGAATCTGTAGATTGCTTTGGGCAGTATGACCACCTTAACAATATTGATTCTTCCAATCCACGAGCATGGAACGTTTTTCCATTTGTTTTTGTCATCTATGATTTGTTTCAGCAGTCTTTTAAAATTCTCCTTGTAAAGATCTTTCACCTCCTTGGATAGATGCATTCCTAGGTATTTAATTTATTTTTGTGGCTATTATACATTGGATTGTATTCTTGATTTGGCTGTCAGCTTAAAAGTTAGTGGTGTGTGGAAATGCTACTGATTTTTGTACATTAATTTTGTATCCTGACACTTTACTGAAGTTATTTATCAGTTCCAGGAGCCTTTCGGCAGAGTCTTTAGGGTTCTTTAGGTGTAGAATCATGTAATCAGTGAAGAGAGATAGTTTGATTTCTTGTTTTCCTATTTGTATCCCTTTTTGCAGTCTATTGATTTTATTTATGCTTTCAAAGAGCCAACATTTGTTTCTTTGACTCTATTTATGGATTTGGGGGACTTGATTTCATTCAGCTCTGCTCTGATTTTGGTTATTTCTTTTCTTCTGCTAGGTTTGGGGTATGTTCTTATTTCTCTAGTTCCTTTAGGTGTGATGTCAGAACATTATTCTGGGATCTATTTAACTTTTTGAAGTAGATGTTTAGTGCTATAAGCTTTCCTCTTAACACTGCTTTTGTTGCATTCCAGAGATTTTGGTATGTTGTTTCTCTGGTTTCATTTATTTCATATAATTTTTTATTTCTGCCTTAATTTTGCTGTTTATCCAAAAGTCATTCAGGAGCAAGTTGTTTAATTTCCATGTAACTGTGTGTTTTTAAGAGATCTTCTTGGTGTTCATTTCTATTTTTATTCCACTGTGGCCTGAGAATATGTTTGGTATGACTTCATTTTTTTTTCTGAGTTTATTGAGACCTGCTTTATGGCTGAGCATGTGGTCGATCTTGGAATATATTCTGGGTGCAGATGAGAAGAATGTATATTTTGTGTTTGATAGGTGGAGTATTCTGTAGATGTCTATTAGGTCCAATTGGTCAAGTGTCAAATTTAATTTCAGAATTTCTTTGTTAGTTTTCTGCCTTGATAATTTTTCTAACATTTTCAGTGGGGTGTTGAAGTCACCCATTATTATTGTGTGGCTGTCAAAATCTTTTTGTAGGTTTAGAAGTACTTATTTTATGAACCCAAGTATGCCAATGTTGGGTGCGCATATATTTGGATAGTTAAGTCTTCTTGTTAAATATAATCCTTTATTATTATGTAATGCCTTTCTTTGTCCTTTTTTACTATTGCTGGTTTAAAGTCTGCTTTAACTGATACAATAATAAGGACACTTGTTCTTTTCGTTTTCCATTTGCAAGATAGACTTTCCTCCAAATCTTTACCCTGATCCTATGGGTGTAATTACTTGTGAGGTGGGTCTCTTGAAGACAGCAGATGAATGGGTCTTATTTTTTAAATCTAACTTGCCACTCTGCCTTTTAAGTGGATTGTTTAGACCATTTACATTCAAAGTTAATATCGATATGTGAGGTTTTGATCTTATTACAAAGTTGTTAGCTGGTTGTTTTGTGTGGTTGCTTTATAGGGTCTGTGGGCTATGTATTTAAGTGTGTTCAGCAATTTTTATTTATATTAAGTGTTGGAACAGAAATGCAGATCTGGGGCTGGGCACAGTAGCTCATGTCTGTAATCCCAGCACTTTGGGAGGCTGAGGCAGGAGGATTGCTTGAGCCCAGTAGTTCAGTAACAGCATGAGAAACATAGTGAGACCCCATCTCTGCAAAAATAAAAAAATGAGGCATGGTGGTGCATGCCTGTGGTCCCAGCTACTCGGGAGGCTGAGGTGGGAGGATCACTTGAACTTGGAATGTCGAGGCTGCAGTAAGCTGTGATCGTGCCATTGCTCTCCAGCCTGGGTGACAGAGCAAAATCCAGTCTCTTAAAAAAAATGCAGATCTGGCTTAGGTTCTGTTCATATAATTTTTAGGTAAAAACAGCTTCTCTAATTATTTGACATTATGTAATTATTATATGGGACTATTTATAGAGCAAAATGTCTAATGCTATATAAATGCAAGTAAATATGTGGCATAAAAAGATAATCATTCAGAAGGTAACAAAGAGTATAAATTTCTGCATTTTTAATAAAACTTCTGTTTATTTGTTAATTTAATATTGCCCATTATTTAAATAGCCCTGAGGGAAGTTTCTCTTGAAATTTTATGTTGGGAAAAAATTTATGTGTTCCAAAGAATAAATTGCATTATTTATCAGATAATGCAAACCATATAATTATAATGTTTCTCTTTTAGCCTTGGCTACCAAGAAGTTCAATGGTCAACAAAACTCTCAATTGCATTACCCTATCTTCTCATTGGTTGCTGATATAAATCTCTCCCTCTCTCCTGGGTTATTATTCTCTTTTAAATGTTAAAGAATAGTGTTTACATATATGGGTTTGTAAGGTAATTTGTCTCAATTACTTATGGAAAGTAGGAAAAATAAAAATAATAAATGCATTACCAATAAGTAGATCTCCACACCGGAGAGAAGACTGGGAGCTTACACAGAACGCAAGCATGATATATATTTTGCTACCCGCACTGGAGGTAGTTTACCATCCTAATCCTTGTGATTTTTGACTATTTTCATTTTTTCTTCAGACCAGTAAACATTGACCCAATTTGTACTTGTTTACCATCCTAATCCTTGTGATTTTGACTATTTTCATTTCTTTCTTCAGACCAGTAAACATTGACCCAGTTTTCTCAGAACAAATAGACGGTGAGTTCATGGGACCCACAGTCATTGTTGGGTCATTTTATGTTTGGATAGACAAGGCTCTCAGCCTCGGATGGCGGCAGAGGTTCATCCCAGCTTTGAATCTTATTGTCAAGGGACTTCTCTTTTTCAACAGGAAGCTACTGTTCAAATTTGACAACCATCAGCAACTACCTTGTTACCACAATTCTTGTATGATATCAGACTGTGTCATAATTTCTTGCCTTATTATTTTAACTATTCTGAACAAGTGGATTTTTCTGAATTTAAACATATTCACTAGACAATACTAAACTTGTATAGAAGAGGGGTTTATTTTGTTTTTAGCTTTCACCAACCAAAAATAAGCATTGATTTCTGTTTTGTTTTGTTTTTTAATTTTTACCAACCAAGAGGAAGCACTGATAGAGGAAGAGGTTTAAATTGTAGATTTGCTGAAAATATTACGCTAAACATTGGGTGAGAAAATGAGTGGGTTCAAAGTTTGGCTCTGTTATCTCTTAGCTGTGTTATTACCTGTACAAATTATTTATTTTCCTCTTGGTTCTGTTTCTTCACTTATAAAATAAGCAACAATTTATTATTGGTGTGGAGAATAAATGACACATATAGCAGTGTACGTAACATATTGCATATAAATGATATGTATAGTATATGTAAAGTATTGTGTGTAAATGATATATGGTATTGTATGTAAAGCACTTAGGATGGTCCTAGGCAAGAGTTAGCTATTATTAACATTTTAGAATTATAGAAATGTAATTATATATAATAAGCATTACAAGTGAATAATTTAAAAATTTGCTTCCTAAATATAAGTTAAATGTAATTTCACATAAAGGGTAGTAGGTGAGATAAAAAAATGTAAAAACCTTCTAACCACAAAAGATTGTTCTTCATTATTTAAATGGTTTCACACTTCCTTGTGGTCAATGGAATTATATCCACTCATTTTTGTGTCACCGACTTGACCTGAGCATTTATTAAATAGAAGATGTTCAATAAATGTTGACCTGAAATAATCTGAATTCTAACCAGCTGCTATTCAAAGGCTACATTTATTGAGATCCAAGGATGCCCCAGGCACTGGGGATACAAAGATAAATAAAACGTGGATTCTGCATTCAAGGGAAGCACACCCTAGAGTGGGAGGCAGACATGTAAAGAAACAACTGCATCCCCAGGGAAGTGGCACAAGCGAGAAATGTGTACAGGGCTGGGGGCACTGAGTGGGCAGAGACCCTGGGGAAGGGTGGCTGTCAGAGGAGGTTTTCCCAGTAGTGTGCCATTGCATCTTTACCTTCCCTCTGCTCTGCGTTTGGGGATTAGATAAAGTCAGTGAATGAGGCAAGAAAAAAACAAGCACATATAGGGCCAAATTACTCTTAAGAAAACTCTTAATTGCTCACTAAGAATACATAGAATAAATCCTATGAAGATACACGTCTGTACACTTGTGAAATGTCTCTGATAATGTAAAGCATATAAGTAATATTTTACAGTATTTTAATTGTTAAAATTATTATTTTTCTGAGACACTATTGTTCAACTCAATTTAAAAGTGTAAATGATGAGCTTCTCCTGAAAATAGAAGATAGGGCCTATGTTTTAACAATATTGGCTAATGAAAAGACATTGTACTACTATTACATTTATGACTAGTTTGTGAATGTTTCAATAGAGAAATAAAGCACACTGGGGAAAGAAAAGACATATCTAATTTTAAAAATGAAATGCATTATTGTAAAATAGTTATGAATGTGAGTGAAAATAAAATTTACTCACCAACGTGTAGGCTATAGCCTAGAAATGCGTCTATTTTTTATGCTATAGACTTTCTGTCATGTATCCAACTAAACGTCTCTGTCCTTCTAAGTCTGGAATGTTATGACTCTGAGAAGACATAAATATAGCTGGCACCAACCTAAAATGCAAAGACCAAAACACTGAGATAATATTTTATCAACAATCAAGGATATTTAAAGTGAATGTCTCTGTAATGAATTTAGATATAGAAAGTTCTTTAATGGTCGTTGTGAAATAAAAAGTAAAAAGAACTGATACATGTGAATAACATTTGAAAGGCAGTTAGCACATTTCCAGCAGGCTATTTTTCCAGAAAAGGGGCCAGAAATCTAAATCATAAGAATAAAAACTGCTTTTTTTTTTTTTGTAGGATGAATGTTATGTAGGGCTATGTTTCTGAGTAAAAGCCTGATGCTCAGTTCTTTATAAGAATGCTCTCCTGAAATTATATAAATGCCTGTACACTTATAAAGACCTTAAAATAATTAAAAATAAATTAAGCAGTCATCATAATAGTTAATAATTTTAAATTACATTTAATATGATAAAGTAGCATACAGTATTATTCAATGCTCTCATCTTTATAATTTATAGGTTATACTGCAATAAATGTAAAGTTCAAAGAATTTTTCTAATTTATATTTTGAACATTTTCAAATGCAAGGAAAAGTTCAGGAGTAGAACATTTGAATTGTGTAGTCACCATCTAGATAACAAACTTTTTAAATGTGCAAAGCATATATATATGAGCAATGCTATCTCCTCATAAATATGCATACCTTTTATTTATAGCTTTATTGAGGTATAATTTACATATCATAAAATTTACCCTTTTAAAGTGTACAATTCAATGATTCTTGGCCATTCATAAAGTTGCTCAGTCATCATCAAAATCCAGTTTTAGCACATATCCATTATCCCCCAAAATTTTCTTGAGCAATTTTCAATCTTCCCTCCCATCCCAGCCTTAAGCAACTATGGATCTGTGCTTTGTTTTTA
This sequence comes from Homo sapiens, assembly GCF_000001405.40. Classification (NCBI taxonomy): domain Eukaryota; kingdom Metazoa; phylum Chordata; class Mammalia; order Primates; family Hominidae; genus Homo; species Homo sapiens. The sequence goes on from NC_000009.12 coordinate 19,850,669, forward strand.
TAAATTTGCATGATCTGGATATTTCATATAAATGGAATCATACAATATGTAGTGTTTTATATCTTGCTTCTTCCATTTAATGTAATATTAAGTTTTATCTATTAAAAACATAGCATGTGTCAATATTTCATTTATTATTGCTGAATAGTTTTCCATTATGTGGATATGTCACCTTATGTTTATCTAGTCACCAGCTGATGGATATTTAGATTGTTTCCAGTTTTTGGCTATTATGAACATTCCTGTACAAGTACTCATGTGGGCATATATATATATACATATATATATATATATATATGTATATATATATATATATGTATATATATATATATACACATACATATATATATATATACATATTTTTTTTTTTTTTTTTGAGATGGAGTCTCTTGTTGCTCAGGCTGGAGTGCAATGGCGTGATCTCGGCTCACCACAATCTCTATCTCCTGGGTTCAAGTAATTCTGCTGTGTCAGCCTCCCGAGTAGTTGGGATTGTAGGAGCCCACCACCATGCCAGGCTAGTTTTTGTACTTTTTAGTAGAGATGGGGTTTCACGATGTCGGCTAAGCTGGTCCTGAACTCCTGACCTCAGGTAATCCACCTGCCTCGGCCTTCTAAAGTGCTGGGATTACAGGTGTGAGCTACTGCGCCTGGCCCAGCATATATATGTATTTTAAATTTGAAGTTCCAAAGTACATGTGCAGGATGTGCAGGTTTATTACATAGGTAAATGTGTGCCATGGTGATTTGTTGCACCTGTCAACCCATCACCTAGGTATTACTAGTTATTTGTCCTGATGCTCTCCCATCCCCCACACACTGCTGACAGGCCCCAGTGTGTGTTGCTTCCCTCCCTGTGTCCCTGTGTTCTCATTGTTCAGCTCCCGCTTATAAGTGAGAACCTGTGGTGCTTGGTTTTCTGTTCCTGCATTAGTTTGCTGAGGATAATGGCTTCCACCTCCATCCATGTCCCTGCAAAGGACATGATCTCATTCCTTTTTATGGCTGCATAGTATTCCATGGTGTGTATGTACCACATTTTTAAAAAATCCAGTTAATCATTGGTGGGCTTTGAGGTTGACTCCATGTCTTTGCTATTGTGAATAGTGTTGCAATGAACATACAAGTGCATGTATCTTTATAATAGAATTATTTATATTCCTTTGGGTATATACCCAGTAATGGAATTGCTGGGTCAAATGATATTTCTGGTTCTAAATCTTTGAGGAATCATCACAGTGTCTTCCACAGTGGTTGAACTAACTGACATTCCCACCAATGCTATAAAAGCGTTCCTGTTTCTCTGCAGCCTCACCAGCATCTGTGGTTTCTTGACTTTTTAATAATCACCATTCTGGCTGGCATAAGATAGTATCTCATTGTGGTTTTGATTTGCATTTCTCTAATGATCAGTGACGTTGAGCTTTTTTTCATATGTTTCTTGCCACATAAATGTCTTCTTTTGAGAAGTGTCTATTCATGTCCTTTGCCCACTTTTTAATGGTGTTTTCTTTTTCTTGTAAATTTGTTTAAGTTCCTTGTAGATTCTGGATATCAGACCTCTGTCAGATGAATAGATTACAAAAATTTTCTTCCATTCTGTAGGTTCACTCTGATGATAGTTTCTTTTGCTGCGTAGAAGCTCTTTAGTTTAATTAGATCCCATTTGTCAGTTTTTGCTTTCATTGCAATTGCTTTGGACATTTTTGTCATGAAATCTTTGCCCATGCCTATTTCCTGAATGGCATTGCCTAGATTTTCTTCTAGGGTTTTTATACTTTCGGGTTTTATATTTATGTCTTTAATCCATCTTGAGTTATTTTTTATATAAGGTATAAGGAAGGGGTGCACTTTCAATTTTCTGCATACAGCTAGCCAGCTCTCCCAGAACCATTTATTAAATAGGAAATCCTTTCCCCATTGCTTGTTTTTGTCAGGTTTGTTGAATATCAGATGATTGTAGATGTGTGGTCTTATTTCTGAGTTTTCTATTCTGTTCCATTGGTCTATGTGTCTGTTTTTGTATCAGTACCATGCTGTTTTGGTTACTGTAGCCTGGTAGTACAATGAGGTGAAGTAAAATGATGTCTCCAGCTTTGTTATTTTTGCTTAAGATTGTCTTGGCTATATGAGCTCTTTTTTGGTTCCATATGAATTTTAAAATAGTTTTTTTTCTAATTCTGTGAAGAATGTCAATGGTACTTTAATGGAAATAGCATTTAATCTATAAATTTGGGCAGTATGGTCATTTTCATGATCTTGATTCTTCCTATCCATGAGCATGGAGCGTTTTTCCATTTGTTTGTGTCCTCTCTTATTTCCTTGAGCAATGGTTTGTAGTTCTCCTTGAAGAGGTCCTTCACTTCCCTTGTTAGATGTATTGCTGGGTATTTTATTCTCTTTGTAGCAATTGTGAATAAAAATTCATTAATAATTTGGCCCTCTACTTATCTGTTGTTGGTGTATAGGAATGCTTGTGATTTTTGGTTTTATATCTGAGAACTTGCTGAAGTTGTTTATCAGCTTAAGAAGCTTTTGGGCTGAGATGATGGGGTTTTCTAGATGTAGGTCATGTCATCTGTAAACAGAGACTATTTGACTTTCTCTCTTCTTATTTGAATACCCTTTATTTTTTTCTCTTGCCTGATTGCCCTGGCCAGAACTTCCAATACTATGTTGAATAGGAGTGGTGAGACAGAACGTTCTTATCTTGTGCCGGTTTTCAAGGGCAATGCTTCTAGCTTTTGCTCTTTCAGTATTACACTGGCTGTGGTTTTGTCAAAAATGGCTTTTATTATTTTGAGGTATGTTCCTTCAATACCTAATTTATTGAGAGTTTTTAACATGAAGGGATGTTGAATTTTATCGAAGGACCTTTCTGCATCTATTGAGATAATCATGTGGATATTGTCTTTAGTTATGCTTATGTGATAAATTACATTTGTTTATTTGCATATGTTGAACCAGCCTTGCATCCCAGGAATGAAGCCAACTTGATCATGGTGGATAAGCTTTTTTTATGTGCTGGTGGATTTGATTTGCCAGTATTTTATAGAAGATTTTTGCACCGATGTTCATCAGGGATACTGGCCTGAAGTGTTCTTTGTTGTACCTCTGCCAGGTTTTGGTATCAGGATGATGCTGGTCTCATAAAATGAGTTACGGAGGAGTCTATCCTTTTCAATTGTTTGGAATAGTTTCAGAGGAAATGGTATCAGCTCCTCTTTGTACTTCTTATAGAATTCAGCTGTAAATCCTTCTGGTCCTGGGCTTTTTCTTGTTGGTAGGCTATGTATTACTGCCTCAATTTCAGAACTCATTGGTTTATTCAGGGATTCAGCTTCTTTCTGTTTCAGTCTTGGGAGGGTGTATGTGTCCAGGAATTTATCCACTTCTATATTTTCTAGTTTATGTGCATAGAGGTGTTTATAGTATTCTCTGATGGTTGGTTGTATTTCTGTGGGGTCAGTGGTGATATCCTTTTTTATCATTTATTATTGTGTTGATTTGATTCTTCTCTCTTTTCTTCTTTATCAGTCTAGCTAGCAGTCTATCTATTTGATTAATTTTTTCAAAAAACAGGTTCCTGGATTTGTTGATTTTTTTTGAAGGGTTTTTCATGTCTCTATCTCCTTCAGTTCTTCTCTGAGCTTAGTTATTTCTTGTCTTCCTCTAGCTTTAGAGTTTGTTAGTTCTTGGTTCTCTAGTTGTGATGTTAGGATGTCAATTTGAGATCTTTCTGGCTTTTTTTACATGAGCATTTGGTGCTATAAATTTTCATCTTAACACTGCTTTAGCTATGTCTCAGAGATTCTGGTACATTGTCTCTTTGTTCTCATTAGTTTCAAAGAACTTCTTGATTTCTGCCTTAATTTCATTATTTACCCAGGAGTCATTCAGGAGCAGATTGTTCAATTTCCATGTAGTTGTGTGGTTTTAAGTGAGTTTCTTAATCTTGAGTTCTAATTTTATTGTGCTGTGGTCAGAGAGACTGTTATGATTTTAGTTCTTTTGCATTTGCTGAGGAATGTTTTACTTCCAATTATGTGATCAATTTTAGAGTAAGTGCCATGTGGTGCTGAAAAAATATATATTCTGTCATTTTTGGGTGGAGAGTTCTGTAGATGTCTATCAGGTCCACTTGATCCAGAGCTGAGCTCAAGTCCTGAATATCTTTGTTAATTTTTTGTCTTAATGATCTGTCTAATATTGACAGTGGGGTGTTAAAGTCTCCCACTATTATTGTGTGTGAGTCTGAGTCTCTTTGCAGGTCTCTAAGAACTTGTTTTATGAATCTGAGTGCTCCTGTATTGGTGTATATATATTTAGGATAATAAGCTCTTCTTGTTGAATTGAACCCTTTACCATTATGTAATGCCCTCCTTTGTCTTTTTTAATCTTTGTTGGTTTAAAGTCTGTTTTGTCAGAAACTAAGATCATGACCTCTGCTTTTTTCTGCTTTCCATTTGCTTGGCAAATTTCCCTCTATCTCTTTATTTTGAGCCTATGGGTGTCTTTGCACATAAGATGGGTCTCTTGAATACAGCGCACTGATGGGTCTTGACTCTTTATCCAGCTTGCCATTCTTTATCTTTTAATTGGGGAATTTAGCCCACTTATATTTAAGGTTAATATTTTTATGTGTGAATTTGATCCTGTCATCATAATGCTAGCTGGTTATTTTGCAGACTTGTTAATGTAGTTGCTTCATAGTGTCATTGGTCTGTGTACTTGAGTGTGTTTTGTGGTGGTTGATAATGGTTTTTCCTTTCCATATTTAGTGCTTCCTTCAGGAGCTCTTGCAAGGCAGGCCTGGTTATGACAAATTCCCTCAGCATTTGCTTGTCTGAAAAGGATTTTATTTTTCCTTCGCTTATGAAGCTTAGTTTGGCCAGATATGAAATTCTGGGTTGGAAATTCTTTTCTTCAAGAATGTTGAACGTTGGTCCCCAATCTCTTCTGGCTTGTAGGGTTTCTGCTGAGAGGTCTGCTGTTAGTCTGATGGGCTTCCTTTTGTAGGTGTCCTGCCTTTCTCTCTGGCTGCCCTTAACACTTTTTCCTTCATTTCAACCATGGAGAATCTGATAATGTGTCTTGGGGTTGATCTTCTCATGGAGTATTTTACCAGGATTCTCTGGAATTCCTGAATTTGAATGTTAGCCTGTCTTGCTGGGTTGGGGAAGTTCTCCTGGATAATATCTTGAAGTATGTTTTTAAACTTGGTTCCATTCTCCCTGTCTTTTTCAGGTACCCTGATCAGTCATAGGTTTGGTCTTTTTACATAATCTCATAGTTCTTGGAGGTTTTGTTTGTTCCTTTTCATTTTTTTTCTCTAGTCTCGTTTGCCTGTTTTATTTCAGAAAGATAGTCAAGCTCTGAGATTCTTTCCTCTGTTTGGTCTATGTGGCTATCAATACTTGTGGTTGCATTGTGAAGTTCTTGTGTTGTGTTTTTCAGCTCCATCAGGTCATTTATGTTCCTCTCTAAACTGGTTATTCTGGTTGACAGCTCTTGTAATGTTTTATCATGGTTCTTAGCTTCTTTGCATTGGGTTAAAACATATTCCTTTAGCTCAGTGAAGTTCATTATTACCCACCTTCTGAAGCCTACTTCTGTCAGTTCATGCATCTTAACCTCAGCCCAGTTCTGTGCCTTTGTTGGAGAGGAGTTACGATCATTTGGAGAAGAAGAGGCACTCTGGCTTTTTGAGTTTTTAGCAATTTTGTGTTGATTTTTTTTCTCATCTTCATGAGCTTATCTACCTTCGAACTTTGAGGCTGCTGACCTTTGGATGGGGTTTTTGTGGGGTCTTTTTTGTTTATGTTGTTGTTGTTGCTGTTTATCTGTTTTTATTTTAACAGGTAAGACCCTCTTCCATAGGGTTTCTGTGGTTTTCTGAGGGTCCACTCCAGACCCTATTCATCTGGGTCCCTCTTGCACTGGGAGGTGTCACCAGTGGAGGCTGCAGAATAGCAAAGATGACTGCTTGTTCCTTCCTCTGGGAGCTCTGTCCCAGAGGGGCACTGACCTGATGCTGGTGGAAATGCTCCTGTATAAGGTGTCTGGCAGTGCCTGTTGGAGGGTCCCACCCAGTCATAAGGCACTGGATCCAGGATCTGCTTAACAAAGCGCTCTGGCTGCCCCATGGTGGATCGGTTGCGCTGCACTGCACTGGGGAGAAATCCCCCTCATCTGGACAAATCCCCCTTATCTGGACTGCTTGGCCTCTTCAGAGCCAGCAGGCAGGAAAGACTAAGTCCACTGAGCCACAGAGACCACCACCGCCATGTGGGCATATTTAAACATTTCTTTTAGGGTTGGGGAGTAAAATTGCTGGGTTGTATTTTAACTTTATTGTTAAACATGGATTTATTATCTTACAGTTGTGGAAGTACAAAGTTGAAAAATCAATCTCACTGGGCTAATGTTAAGGTGGTGGTAGAACTAGTTTCTTCTGGAGGCTGTCAGGAGAGAATCTATTTCTCCGCCTAGAAGATGAAGCTGAAAATCTTCTAGAGTTTACTTATATTCCTTGGTTTGTGTCCACTTCTTTGCATCATTCCCAACTTTGGCTTCCATTATTACATCTCCTATTACTGACTTTGACCCTCCTAACTTTCTCTTCTAAGGACCCTGTGGTTACAGTGGGCCTAGCAAGGTAATCTAGGACAATCATCTTCCCATCCCCAAATCCTCAATTACATCTACAAAGTTATTTTTATCATGTTAAGTAACAAATCTCCAGGTTCTGCAGATTAGATATGAACATCTTTTGAGGGCCATTATTCAGTCTATCACAACAATATTCAGTCTTCCAATTCATAAACATAGGTTGCATTTGTATGTATTTAAATCTTCTTTAATTTTTCTCAGCAATATTTTTTAGTTTACAGATACAAATTATGCACATATTTGTTAAATGTATTCATAATTATTTTACTCTTTTTGAAGCTATTATAAATGGAAATGATTTATTAATTTAATTTTCAGATTGTTGCTAGTGTATGGAAATGCAATTGGGTTTTAAATATTGATTCTGTATCCTGAAACCTTGCTAAACTAACATTACTTCAGTAGGTTTTTTTTTTTTTTGGTGTGCAGATTTATCAGAATTTAGGATTTTCTAATTACAGACAGACTCATATCATCTGTGGATAAAGAGTACTATTTCGTCCTTTGCAGTCTGGGTACTGTTGCTATATTTTTCCTCATTTCACTAGCTAGAACCTCCTGTATAACATTAAAATGGCCATACTGCCCAAAGGAATGTGCATATTCAATGCTATTCCTATCAAACTACTAATGACATTCTTCTGAGAATTAGAAAAAAATCTGTTTTAAAATTCATGCAGAACCAAAAAAGAGCCTGAATAGCCAAGGCAATCCTAAGCCAAAGGAGCAAAGCTGGAGATATCATGTTACCTCACTTCCAACTATACTACAAGGCTACAGTAATCAAAACAGCATGTTACTGGTACAAAAACAGACACGTAGACCAATGGAACAGAATGGAGAGCCCAGAAATAATGCCACACACACACAGCCATCTAATCTTTGACAAAGTAGACAAAAGCAAGCAGTGGGGAAAGGACTACATATTCAACAAATGGTGCTGGAATAATTGGCTAGCCATATGAAAGATATTGGAATTGGACTCCTTTCTTACACCATACACAAAAATTAACTCAAGAAAGATTAAAGACCTAAATATAAAACTTAAAGCTCTAAAAACTCTGGAAGAAACCTAGGAAATACCATTGTAGACATAGGAATGGGCAAGATTTCATGACCAAGATGCCAAAAGCAATTGCAACAAAAACAAAATTGGCAAATGGAACCTAATTAAAGAGTTTCTTTACAGCAAAATAAACTGTCAACTGAATAAACAGACAACCTACAGAATGGGAGAAAATATCTGCAAAGTATGCATCTGATAAAGGTCTAATATCTAGAAGATTCATTTAAGGAACTTAAATGAATTTATAAGCAAAAATCAAACAGCCCCATTAAAGAGCAGGCAAATGACATGAACAGATAATTTTCAAAGAAGACATACATGTGGCCAGGAAACCTATGAAAAATGGTCAACAGGACTAATTTTTAGTGAAATGCAAATCAAAACCACAATGAGAGACCATCTCACTAGTCAAAATCAGTATTATTAAAAAGTCAAAAAATAGCAGATGCTGGCAAGATTGTGGAGAAAAAGGAATGCTTATGCACTGCTGGTAGGAATTAAAATTAATTCAGCAATTGTGGATATCAGTGTGGCAATTCCTTAAAGAAATTAAAACAGAACTTCCATTTGACCCAGAAATTTCATTATTGGGTATATACACAAAGGAATATAAATCATTCTACCATAAAGACACATGCATACATGTTCATTGCAGCACTAGTCATAATAATAAAGACAAGAAATCAACCTAGATGCCCACCAATGGTAGACTGGATAAAGAAAATGTGGTACATATATGTCATGGAATACTATGCAGCCATATAAAAGAATGAGATCATATTCTTTGCAGAAACATGGATGGAACTGGAGGCCATTATCTTAAGCAAAATAACACAGGAACAGAAAAATAAATACTGAATGTTCTCACTTTTAAGTAGGACCTAACAATGAGGACACATGGACACAAAGAGGGGAACAATAGACACTGGGGATTACTTGAGGGTGGATGATGGGAAAAGGGAGAAGATTAAAAAACTACCTATTGAGCACTATGCTTATTACCTGGGGGACAAAATAATCTGTACATCAAACCCCCAAGACATGCAGTTTACCTATGCAACAAACGTGCACGTGTATCCCTGAACCTAAAATAAATGTTAAAAATAAAAGATGAGGGGTAGAGCAAGATGATAAAATAAAAGGCTCTGCCAATTCCCCTTGCCCCCTGCAAGCACACCAAATAAACAACTATCTACATGCACAATAAATCACCTTGTAAGAACCAAAAATCAGGTGAGCACTCACAATACCTGGTTTTAATTTCATATTACCAAAAGAGACACTGAAGAGGTACAAAAAACAGTCTGAAATCAAGGACATCACCCATTTCTCATCCCCTTGCAGTGGCAGCATTGTGAGGAGGGTGTTTCTGTGCTCTGGGGAGTGTGAGAGCCAGCAACTGTAAGACATTAAACTTAGTGCTGCCCTTGTTATAGCAGGAAGCAAAACCAGACCAAACTCAGCTGATGCCCACATAAGGAGGGTGCATTTAAACCAGCCCTAGCCAGAGAGGAATTGCTCATCCCAGCATCAGAACTTAAGTTCCTACAAGCCTTGACACCATGGGCTAAAGTGCTCTGGGTTATCAAATAAACTTAAAACATAGTCTAGGACACAAAGACTACAACTCCTAGGCAGTCCTAGGACTGAACTGAGCCCAGAGACAATGGACTGGGGGAGCATGTGACCTACTGAGACACCAGCCAGGGTGGCTAAGGGAGTACTGACATCATCCCTCCCCTAACCCTAAGTTGCACAGCTCATGGCTCAAAAAGAGACCCCTTCCTTTGCCTGAGGAGAGGAGATGAAAGAGTGGGGAGGACTTTATTTTACATCTTGGATACCAGTTCAGCCACAGCAGGATAAGGCAACAGTCACAGTCATGAGACCCTTTTTCCAGGCCCTATCTCCCAGACATTTCTAGACACACCCTAGACCAGAAGGGAACCTGCTGCCTTGAAGGCAAGAACCCAGTCCTGGCAGGATTAATCACCTAACTGAAGAGCTCTTGGCCTCTGACTAACCAGCAGTGATACTCAAGTACGATGTTGAGGGCCTTGGTAAGACACTGAGACTTGATGGGTTCAGGTGAGACTCAGCACATTCCCAGCTGTGGTGGCTATGGGTCAAGATTCTTTCTGCTTGAGAAAAGTGGAGGGGAAAGTAAATAAAACTTTATCTTGCACCTTAGGAACCAGCTCAGCTACAGGGCGATAGAGCACCAAGTAGCCATTAGAGTTCTTGATTCCAGGACTTGGCTCTTGCATGGAATTTTTGGACCTGCCCTGGGCCAGAGGGGAGCACAGTCCCCGATGGGTGAGTCCTAGACCAGGAGGCATTCATGACAAGCTAACTGAAGAGCCCTTGGGCCTTAAGAGAACATTGGCAGTTGTCTGGCAATATTCATCGTGGGCCCGAGGTGGCAGTGGCCTGAAGGTGAGACTTTTCTGCCTTTGGAAAGGGGAGAGAAGAGTGGGAAGAACCGTGTCTTGTGGTTTGAGTGCCATCTCAGAAGCAGTACAATAGAATACCAGGTGGACTTCTAAGGTTTTTGACTCTAGCCTGGATGGCACCTCTGGACCCACCCAGGGCCTAGAGGAACTTGACGCCCTGAAGGGAAGGAGATAGGCCTGGCTGGCTTTGCCACCTCCTGATTATAGAGCCCCAGGGCTTTTAGCATACATAACTGGTAGCCAGGGAGGGATTACAGCAGGGCTTGGGTAAGACCCAGTGCTGTGTTGGCTTTATGTGTGATCCAGTACACTCCTAGGGATGGTGGCTACAGGGGGTGCTTGTGTCACTCCACCCTCAGCTCCAGGTGGCTCAGAGCAGAAAAAGAGATTCCATTTGTTTGGGAAAAAGTAAGAGAAGAAAACAAAAGTCTCTGTCTGGTAATTCAAAGAATTCTTCCAGATCTTGTATAAGACCATCAAGGCAGTACCTCTACAAGTCTGCAAGAACCACAGCACTACTGGGCTTGGGGTCCACCCTAAATCAGATACAGCTTACATCCTAATGCCCAAGTCCTTTCAAATATCTAGAAAGCCTTCCCAAGAAGGATGGGCACAAAAAACCTAGACTGTAAAGACTACAATAAATACCTAACACTTCAATCCCCAGACACAGATGAACATCTACAAAGATGATCCAGGAAAACATGACCTCATTAGATGAACTAAATAATGCACCATGGATCAATCCCAGAGAAAGAGAGATATGTCACCTTTCAGACAGATAACTCAAAATAGCTTTCTTGAGGAAACTCAAAGAAATTCAAGATAACACAGAGAAGGGATTCAGAATTCTATCAGATACACTTAACAAAGAAATTGAAATAATTAAAAGGAATCAAACAGAAATTCTGGAGTTGAAAAATGCAGTTGGCATACTGAAGAATGCATCAGAGTCTTTTAATAGCAGAATTAATCAAGCAGAAGAAAGAACTAGTGAACTTGTTGAAGACAGGCTATTTAAAAATACAGAGTCAGAGGAAACAAAAGAAAAAAAGAATAAAAACCAATGAAGCATGTCTACGGGATCTAGAGAATAGCTTCAAAAGGGCAAATTGAAGAGTTATTGGCCTTTGAGAGGAGGTAGAGAAAGAGACAAGGGTAGAAAGTTTATTCAAAGGGATAATAACAGAACTTCTCAAATCCAGAGAAAGATATCAGTATCCAAGTACAGGAAGGCAACAGAACACCAAGCAGATTTATCCCAAAGAAGACAATCTCAAGGCATTTAATAATCAAACTCCCAAAGGTCAAGGGTAAAGGATTCTAAAAACAACAAATGAAAATAAACAAATAACAAACAATGGGGTTCCAATATGTCTGGCAGCAGACTATTCAGTGGAAACCTTACAGGCTAGGAGAGAGTGGTATGACATATTTAAAATACTCAAAGAAAAGAACTTTTACCCTAGAATAGTATATCTGGAGAAATTACCCTTCAAAAATGGAGAAATAAAGACTTTCCCAGGCAAACAAAAGCTGAGGGATTTCATCAACACTAGACCTGTCCTACAAGAATGCTAAAACAGTACTTCAATCAGAAAGGAAAGGATGTTAGTGAGCAATAAGAAATCACCTGAAGGTACAAATCTCACTGGTAATCGTTAAGTACACAGAAAAACACAGAGTGTTATAACACTGCAACTGTGGTGTATAAACTACTCTTAAGTAGAAAGATGAAATGATGAACCAATAAAAATAATAATAACAACTTGTCAAGACATAGTACAATAAGAAGGTATAAACAGTAACAACAAAAAAATTAAAACGTGGAAGGGATGAAGTTATGGGGTACAGTCTTCATTAGTTTTTTTTGCTTGTTTGTGCAAACGGTGTTAAGTTGTTATCAGCTTAAAATAATGGGCTATCAGATAGTATTTGCAAGCCTCATGGTAATTTACCTCAAACCAAAAAGCATGCAATGGGTACCCAAAAAATAAAAAGCAAGAAATTAAATCACATCTCCAGAGAAAATCACCTCCACTGAAAGGAATATAGGAAGGAAACAAAGAAAGAAGGAAGAGAAGGCCACAAATCAACCAGAAAATAAATAACAATATGACAGGAGTAAGTCTTTACTACAAGAAACACACTTCACCTATAAAGACACACACTGACTGAAAATAAGGAGATGGAAAATGATATTCCATGCCATTGGAAGCCAAAAAAGAGCAGGAGTTGCTGTACTTATGCAAAATAGATTTCAAGACAAAAGCTATAAGAGAGACAAGGTCGCTATAGAATGGTAAAGGGGTCAATTCAGCAAGAATATTTAACAATTTTAAATATATATGCACCCAACACTGGAGCACCCAGATACATAAAGCAAATATTATCATAGCTAAAGAAAGAGCTAGACCCCAATACGATAATAGCTGAAGACTTCAATACCCCACTTTCAGCATTGACAGATCTTCCAGACAGAAAATCAACAAAGAAACATTAGACTTAATCTGTACTCTAGACCAAATGGATCTAATAGTTATTTACAGAACATTTTATCCAAGAACTGCAGGATGGATCATTCTCAGAGAGAGACCATATGTTAGGTCACAAATCAAGTCTCAAAACACTCACAAAATTGAAATCATATCAAGCATCCTCTGACCATAATGGAATAAAACTAGAAATCAGTAACCAGAGGAATTTTGGAAACTATACAAATACATGGAAATTAAATATTCTTCTGAATGACCAGTGGGTAAATTAAAAAATTAAGAAGGAAATTGAATTTTTTTTTAAACAAATGCTAACAGAAACACAACTTACCAAAATCTATGGAATACAGTGGAGCCATAAGGGAAGTTTATAGCTATAAGTGCCCACATCAAAAAAGAAAAACTTCAAATAAACAACCTGATGGTGTATCTTAAAGAACTAGAAAAGGAAACCCAAAATTAGTAGAATAAAAGAAATAATAAAGCTCAGAGCAGAAATAAATGAAACAGAAATGAAGAAAATATAAAAGATCAACGAAACAAAAAGTTGTTTTTTTAAAAAGTTAAACAAAATTGACAGACTTTAGCCAGACTAACAAAAAAAGAGAGAAGATTCAAACAAATAAAACCAGAGATGAAAAAGACATTAAAACTGATACTACAGAAATTCAAAGGATCGTTAGTGGCTACTATGAGCAACTACATGCCAATAAACTGGAAAATCTAGAAAAAATGGACAAATTCCTGGACACATACAACTTACCAAGATTGAACCATGAAGAAATCCAAAACCTGAACAGACCAATAACAAGCAATGAGATTGAAGCCATGATAAAAAGTCTTCCAATAAAGAAAAGCCTGACTCAATGGTTTTACTGCTGAATTCTACCAATATTTAAAGAACTAATACCAATCCTAAAACTATTCCAAAAAATAGAGGAGGCAGAGGGAATACTTCAAACTCATTCTACAAGACCAGTATTACCCTGATACCCAAACAAGACAAAGAACCAGAAAAAAAAACAACAACAAAAAACAAAAAACAAACACTACAGGTCAATGTACCTGACGAATATTGATGCAAACACTCTCAATAGAATATTAGAAAAACAAATTCAAATTTAAATGTCACTTATCATGACCAAGTAGAATTTATCCCTGTAAAGCAAGGATGGTTCAACGTATGCAAATCAATTAATGTGATACATGATATCAACAGAATGAAGGACAAAAACCATATGTTCATTTCATTTGATGAAAAGGCATTTGGTAAAATTCAACATCCCTTCATGATAAAATCTCTCAAAAAACTGGGTATAGAAGGAACATATCTCAGCATAATAAAAGCTACATATGACAGATGAACAGCTAGTATCATATTGAATGGGGATAAACTGAAAGCCTTTCCTGTAAGATCTAGAACATGACAAGGATGCCCACTTTCATCATTGTTATTCAACATAGTACTGGAAGTCCTAGCTAGAGTGATCAGATAAGAGAAAGATATAAAGGATATCCAAATTGGAAAGGAAAACATCAAATTATCCTTGTTTGCAGATGATGTGATCTTATATTTGGAATAACCTAAAGACTCCACCACAAAATGCCTAGAATTGATAAATTTAATAAAGTTGCAGGATACAAAAATCAACATACAAAGGTCAGTAGCATGTCTATATGCCAACTGAACAAAGTGAAAAAGAAAATTTAAAAAGTAGTCCCATTTACAGTAGCGACAAATGAATTAAATACGTAGGAATCGACTTAACCGAATGAATGAAAAATCTCTATAATGAAAACTATAAATCACTGAGGAAAAAAATTGAAGAGGACACCAGAAAATGGAAAGGTATTCCATGTTCATGCATTGGAACAATCACTATTTTTAAAATGTCCATACTATCCAAAGTAATCTACAGATACAATGCAATTTCTATAAAAATACCAATAACATTCTTCACAGAAATAGAAAAAGCAACCCTAAAAATCAATCCCAAATTTATATGGAACCACAAAAGACACAAAAGACCCAGAATCGCCAAAGCTGTCCTAAGCAAAAAGGAAAAAACTGTAGGAATCCCAGTACTTGACTTCAAATTATGCTAGAAAGATATGGTAATCAAAACACCATGGTACTGGCATAAAAACAGACACACAATGGAACAGAAGAGAGAACCCAGAAACAAATCTACATACCTACAGTGAACTCCTTTTTCACAAAGGTGCCAAGAACATACACTGGGGAAAAGATAGTCTCTTGAATAAATGGTGCTGGGAAAACTGGATATCCATATACAGAAGAATAAAACAAGACCCCTATGTCTTGCCATATACAAAAATCAAATAAAAATGGTTTAGACTTAAATCTAAGACCACAAACTGTGAAACTAGTACAGGGAAACATTGGGGAAATTCTCTAGGACTTCAGTCTGGGCAAACATTTTTTGAATAATACCCGATAAGCACAGGCAACCAAAGCAAAAATGAACTTATGGGATCACAGCAAGTTAAAAAGCTTCTGCAAAGCAAAGGAAACAATAAACAAATTGAAGAGACAACCCACAGAATGGGAGACAATATTTGCAAACTAGCCATCTGACAAGGGAATAACGAGAATATGTCAGGAGTGCAAACAGCTCTATTGGGGGGAAAAATCTAATAATCCAATTTAAAAATGGGCAAAAGATTAGAATGGACCTTTCTCAAAAGAATACATACATATGGCAAACAGACATATGAAAAGGTGCTCAACATCATTAAACATCAGAGAAATGAAAATCAAAACTACAATGAGATGTCATCTCACCCAAGTTAAAATGGCTTATAGCCAAAAGACAGGCAATAACAAATCCTGGCAAGGATGTGGAGAAAAGGGAACCCTCATACACTGTTGGTGCGAATGTAAATTAGTACAGCCACTTTGGAGAACAGTTTGGAGATTCCTCAAAAAACTAAAAATAGAACTAGCATAAAATCCAGCAATACCACTGCTGAGTATATATCCCAAAGAAAGGAAATCAATATATTGAAGCTATATTTGCACTCCCATGTTTGTTGTAGCACTCTTCACAATAGTAAAGATTTGGAAAAAACCTAAGGGTCCATCAACAGATGACTGGATAAAGAGAATGTGGTATTTGTACACAATGGAGTATTATTCAGCCATAAAATATAGCGAGATTCAGTCATTTGCAACAACATGGATGAAAGTGGAGATCATTATGTTAGGTGAAATAAGCCAGGCACAAAAAGACAAACATCACGTTTTCACTTTTTTTTTTTTTTTTTTTTTTTTTTTTTGAGACGGAGTCTCGCTCTATCGCCCAGGCTGGAGTGCAGTGGCGTGATCTTGGCTTACTGCAAGCTCCGCCTCCCAGGTTCATGCCATTCTCCTGCCTCAGCCTCCTGAGTAGCTGGGACTACAGGCGCCCGCCACCACGCCTTGCTAATTTTTGTATTTTTAGTAGAGACGGGGTCACTTATTATTTGTAGTATCTAAAAATCAAAACAATTGAACCCATGGATATAGAGAGTAGAAGGCTGATTATCAGAGGCTGGGAAGGGTACTGGGGGGGTTGGATGGGAGGTGGGGATGGTTAGTGGGTTAAAAAAATGAATAAATGAATAAGTCCTAGTATTTGATAACACAACAGGGTGACCATGGTCAATAATAATAATTTAATTGTACATTTAAAAATAACTAAGAGTATAATTGGATTGTTTGTAATACAAAGGAAAAATTCTTGAGGGTATCTATAATATTCCATCTTTCATTATGTGACTATTATGCATTGCATGCCTGTATCAAAAAAATCTCATATGCCCCATAAATATATACACCTGCTGTGTACCCATAAAAATTAAAAATTAGGAAAAAAGAAGTGGCAAGAGCTGATAGTCCATCATTTTTTCTTTAAGTAGCTTATAGAATTCATCAGTGAAACAATCTGAGCCTGGGATTTACTTTGTGGGAACATTTCAAAATTATGAATTCAATTTACTTAGTTGTTAGAGGATTATTCAGAATTCCCATTGCTTTTTGAATCGATTTCAGTAATTTGTGTCTTTCTAGGAATTTGTTCCTCTTATTTAAGTTGTCTAATTTGTTAGCATACAATTGTCGTAATATTCCTTTTTAGTTTTTTTTCTCTTTCTAAGATTGCTAGTGCTGTCTCCTCTTTCATTCCTGATTTTGGTAATTTGGTCCTTCCTCTTATCTTGGTCAGTCTACCCCAGTGTTTGTCAATGTTATTAATCATAAAAACAACTTTCAGGCCGGGCGCAGTGGCTCACGCCTGTAATCCCAGCACTTTGGAAGGACAAGGCAGGCAGATAACGAGGTCAAAAGATCCAGACCATCCTGGCTAACATGGTGAAACCCCGTCTCTACTAAAAATACAAAAATTAGCTGGGCGTGGTGTTGCACGCCTGTAGTCCCAGCTACTCCGGAGGCTGAGGCAGGTGAATCGGTCGAACCCGGGAGGCGGAGGTTGCAGTGAGCCAAGATTGCCCCACTGCCCTCCAGCCTGGGCAACAGAGCGAGACTCTGTCTCAGAAGAACAAAAACAAAACAAACAAAAAAAAACTTTTGGTTTTGTTTTAAAATTGTGTTTTGTCTTTTGATTTTCTACTTCATTTATTTTTATTCTATTACTTATCCTTTACTTCTGCTTGTTTTGGGTTTATTGTGCTCTTTATTTTACATTTTTAGGTTGAAACTTAAGTTGTTGATTTGAGATCTTTCTTCTTTCTGACATAGGTGCTTAAAACAGTAACTTCTCTCTGATAGTTGCATTCACTAATTATACATTATAGTAAGCATTATGCAACCCATAAATTTTGAAAAAAATTGTTTTCATTAATTCAATGTATTTTTGAATTTTTTTCTTGTGATTTATTCTTTGATCTATTAGAGGCTTATTGTTTATTTTCAAATATTCTATTGTGAATCTAATTTAATTTCAACCAAGATTTGTGAACATACTTTTTATGATTTTGATATTTGTAAATGTATTGAGATTTGTTTTGTGGCCTAGCATATGGTTTCATATGGTTTATCCTGGAAAATCATCTTTGTGTGCTTGGAAAGAATTTGCCTTCTGCAGTCACAAGACGGAATATTCTATAAATGTTAGTTAGGTCAATTTGATTAATGATGTTGTGCAAGTCTTTTATGTCCTTGTTAAATTTCTGTCTAGCTGTTCTTTCCATTTTTTGAGAATGGGATATTATTTTTGTCTATTTCTCTTTTCAGTTCTGCTCATTTTTTTACTTAACGTATTTTGAATCTTTGTTGTTAGTCGTGTATATATTTATAATTGCTATATCTTCCTAGTCGTATTCATGCTGGTTTCATTATGAAATGACCCTGTTTGTCTCTAGCAATTGTTCTTTTTCTGAAGTCTGTATTTTCTTATACTAATTTAGCAACTCTAGCTCTCTTTTGGTTACTCTTTGTATGGTATATCATTTTCCATTGTTTTACTTTTAACCTATTTGCTTTTTTTAATGAAATATGTGTCACTTTCATTCAAAGTTGAATTTTCTTTTTAAAAAATCTAGTCTGATACTCTCTGCTTTTTGAGTGGGTGTTTAGTTCATGCACAATTAATGTAGTTATTTATGTGGGATTTTTTGTTGTTGTTGAGACATGGTCTCACTCTGTTACCCAGGCTGGAGTGCAGTGGCAGGAACACGGCTCACTGCAGCCTTGACCACCTGGGCTCAAGTGATCCTCTGGCCTCAGCCTCCCAAGTAGCTGGGACCAAAGGCATGTACCACCATTCCTGGCTAATTTTTTATTATTAGTGGAGATGAGGTCTCCCTATGTTACCTAGGCTGATCTCAAACTCCTAGGCTCAAGCAGTTCTCCTGCCTCGGACTCCCAAGATGCTAGGATTACAGGCTTGAGCTACTGCACCCAGTCTATTTATGGGACTTATGTCTGCTATTTGGCCTTGTCTTGTTTCGTATCTTCTGGCCTCCACTATTTTTGACAATAATTCACCTCTTACTCATATTCTTGTTCTCTTGTACTTGAGCATTCGTTTTTCTCTTGCTCCTTTCAAGATTTTTTCTTTGTCCTCCAGTAGTCTGACTATGACTACAATAGTTTTTTGTCCTTCTGCTTTCCCTTCACTAACTTTTACAGGTTGCATAAATGTTTTTGGTGTAACATTTTAATTCCTTTGTTGATTTTTAAAAATTATAATTTCAAAGTTAATTTTTTAGTGGTTTCTGTACATATTACAATGTGTATCTTAATTTATGATAATCTATTTCAGAATGATACTGAGTCCTGATAATTAAAAAAGCTGTGTCCTTTTCCTCCCTCTTCCTTTGTGCTATCCTTGTCATATGTATGACAACTCTATATGTCATAAATCCAACAACAGTGTAATTATTATAAAGTCATGTCTTCTTAAAAAGTTAAAATAAAAATATCTTTGTGGATCTTTTGTATTTTCCTACAAATTTATCATATTTAGTGCTTTTCATTTGTTTGTGTGCATTCAAGCTACTGTCTGGTGTCACTTCCTTTCAATCTGAAGGACTTCCTTTAATATTTATGTAAAGTAAGTCTCCTAGCAAGGAACTTGCTTAGTCTTTCTTCATCTAGGGATTTCTACACTTCATCCTTACTTTAGAAGGAGATAATTTTAAAAAATGAAATATAATCACATAATATAACACTCTGTCTTGTAAAATTTACAATTCAGTCTTTTTTTAGTTTATTCATACTGTTCTGCGGCCACCACCCCTATCTAGTTTTAGAACATTTCACCATCTCACAAAAGAAACCCCGTACCCATTAGTAGTTATTCCTCATTTTTCCCTCCCCTTAGTTTCTGGAAGCTACCAGTCCACTTTCTTTCTCTATGGATTTGCCTATTCTAGACATTTCATACAAATGGAATCATAGCCTTCTATAACTAGCTTCTTTTACTTAGCATAATGTTTTCAATGCTCATCCATGTTATAGCATGTAACCACAGTATTCCATTCTTTTGATGGCTGAACAATATTCTGTTGTACAGATATACCACATCTTGTTTATTGATTCATTTAGGTTATTTCTACTTTTTAGCTATTATGAATAATGCTGCTATGAACATTTATGTACAAGTTTTTGTAGGGTTATATGTTTTCATTTCTCTTGGGTATATACTTAGGAGTAGTATTACTGAGTCATATGGTAATCCTGTGTTTAATCTTTTAGAGAACTGTCACACTGTTTTCCACAGTGGCTGTACCATTTTACTATCCCACCAGCAGTGTATGTGGATTCTAGTTTCTAAACATTCTCACCAGTACTTGTTATTTTCCGTTTTGTGACTATAGCCATCCTATTAGGTATAAAGTTGTGTCTTGTAGTTTTCATTAATATTTACATCATGGATAATAATGTTGAGCATATTTTCCTGTATTTATTGGCCATTTGTATATCTACTTTGGAGAAATGTCTATTCAGATCCTTTGCCTATTTTTAAATTGGGTTATTTTTTCTTTTTATTGTTGAGTTGCAAGAGTTATTTATGTATTCTGGATACAAGTCCTTTATCAGCTTAGATGATTTCCAAATATTTTTTCCCATCCTCTGGGTTGTCTTTTGACTTTCTTGATAATGTTTTTTGATGTACAAAACTTTTAATTTTAGTTTCTTTTTTTTTCTGTTGTTTGTGCTTTTGCTGTCATATCTAAGAAACTAATCCAAGGTCAGAAAGACACCTGTGTTTTTTCCAAAGAGTTTTATAGTTTTGGCTTTTGAATGATAGTTTTGCTGAATATAAAATTTTTGGTTGGGAGTTCTTTTCTCCATTCTTTGAACATGTAATTCCACTGCCTTCTGACCTCCATTATTTCTGACAATAAGTTATCCGTTATTCATATTGTTGTTGACTGAACATAATTCATTTTTTCTTGCTGCTTTCAAGATTTTTTCGTCTTTCAATAATTTGACTATAAATTGTTTAGATGTGAATTCTTCTTATGTTGATGGTACTTTGGGTTTGTTTAGCTTTATCCAATTTGAAGAACAGAAAGATTGATGTTTTTCCACTGGTAGTTTTTTCTTTCTGTTCTTCAAATGGGATACATTCTATTGATATACCTTTAAATTCACTGTATCTTTCTGCTGCTATCTCACATCTGCATTTGAACCCCCTCTGGTGAATTTGCCATTTCAGTTAATAATGTGTTTTTCAATTTCATAATATCCATTTTATTCATATTTGTATATGTGTGTGTGCATGTGTGTAGATACTATATATTGCATGAAACAATATACAAGATTAGTTGTTAATTGAAAAAAGGCTAAAACTATGTGTAGAAGATGTTTTACTTTGTGTAAAAATAAGGTATTTTTATTATTATTTATCTATACTTGTGTTTTCATAGAATGTTTTTGGAATAACAATAGTTTTTCTGGAAGGGGCAAGAGAATTTGGGATATTATCTGGAGAAAGTTACATTCTATTGTAAGCTCATTTTTACTGGTTATTTTTTAAAAACATATGCAAAATTTTCTTATTTGGTGGTAAAAACTACTTACAGTTAAAGAACATATTTAACAAACTTGCAATTTTGAAGACTTTTTTTTTGTGGTCTTCTTTGGTTTGGTCCTAGTACATAGTCCTGTGGTTGTTATATATCAGGATTCTCTTGGTGTATGGACCAATTAATTTTAGTAACTAGATGGGGCCCAAAGCTGGCATTTGACCAGGTGCACTAGGAGTCAGGTCCAATTGTGGAACCTGGTGGCTAGGATGGTATGGTCAAAAAGGATGCTAGAGAGCTCCAATATGTAGTAACAGGAAGGCAGGCAGTAACTATGGGAAATATAGGAACATGCATTGTTTAGAGATTCAGGCAGTTACTCAGCTTTGGAGACTCCTGAGATCTCATTCCATAGACTGCTATCCAGGGAGGGGACTCAAAGCCTTGGAAGGAGATGGAGTTCTCAGTATTATGGTGATTATGCCTAATTCCTCACTTCAAATCATTCCGAAGGATAAAGGAGGAGTTCTCACTCTCACTGGGCAGGTGCCAGCACACAGATACACATTTCTAGTGATTGAGGTTGTTGTACCAGTGTATGCATGTGTTACCTTCTTTTCTATTTCCTGCTGTCTGTCTCAGGTCGTTTTCCTCACCTCTCCTCTCATTTTCTGTCCTTCACTGTACCCACCTTGTCTCATACGGCTCTGAGAGGAGGTTGCTGATGTGTTTTTGTTTGTGATAACTCCCTGCTAAGGCCTTGATCCAGAACTCTGTGCTCCAATTCAGTTTTAACAGATGTAGACATTTGGGCGGTAGGGCCTAGTACAAGTAGTATAATATTAACCTGTTTCTTATATCTAATAATCCTTGTTGTATATGGCAGCTCTGTTGGAAACTTCAAGTGGAAGGGATGATTGACAATGCAGGATTTTGGCAGTCCTGGGTCTTCTTGTAAAAATATTCCCTTATACCATAGCAATTTCATAGCAAGTCCTAACAGGGGTCAGAGAAGAATCAAGTTTCCAGAGCCCCGGTAATAAAGTCAGTCCTGTAGTGCTGGAGATTAGCTCCTTAAATCCCTCATGTCTAAATTCAAGATTGTTAAGAGATCTGAACTGGTCAAAGATGTTGGTTAATGGTTAGGTAAGAAGAAGAAGAATGATTCAGGGCATTATAGAAATAAGCATAATCATTAAAAATCAAGTTGTTTGTCCCTCTGTGTTTGAACTCAGAAAGTCTGAAGAAGCAGTATGGCTTTAGTGGGAAAGGATTATCAAATCAGGTTTAAATTTCTGCCATGCATTAAATAGTTGAATCTAAGTAAGGTGTCCCTTCCTCCCTTCCTCCCTTCCTCCCTCCCTCCCTCTCTCCCTTCCTTCGTCTTCCTCCTCTTTCTCTTTCTTCTTTTTCTTTCTTTTCTCTCTTTCTTTCTTTCTTCTTTTCTTTTCCTTTCTTTCCTTCCGTCCTTCTCTTTCTTTCTTCTTTTCTTTTCCTTTCTTTCCTTCCTTCTCTTTCTTTCTTTCTTTCTCTTTCTCTCTCTCCTTCCTTCCTTCTCTTTCTTTCTTTCTCTTTCTCTCTCTCCTTCCTTTCTTTCTCTTTCTTTCTTTCTTTTTCTTTCTCTCTCTCCTTCCTTCCTTCTCTTTCTTTCTTTCTTTTTCTTTCTCTCTCTCCTTCCTTTCTTTCTCTTTCTTTCTTTCTTTCTCTCTCTCTCTTTCTCTCCTTTCCTTTCCTTCCCTTTCCTTTTCCTTTCTCTTTCCTTTTTCTTTCCTTCTTTCTCTAGAGACAGGGTCTCATATTCAGAAGAGAAGCTTCACCTCCTAAAAGGAGGGATTAGATTCTACTATGTGTGAATTTTAGAGACAAAACTCAGTTTTATCATGAGAATTTGGAGCCTACCCATAGTAATGGTGGGGAAGGGGGATAAAGTATATTACACAGCTCTGAAGCTACAAAATGGTCTGACTGAACTCCATGTACTTGCCGAATGCCCCAAATCACCAAATCATCACGTCTCAATAGCCATCAAAATCCCAGTTTCTAAAAACAACACTTATTGGCTGCTTTAATGATAATTTGTGCAACTTGTTTCTCTAGATCAGCAATTCTTAAAAATTTTGAAGCCATAAATCCCTTTAAACAATGGCTGAAAACTACAGATTTCAATTTAAGGTAAAAATTCTATAAACTCGTACATATGATATTGTTCTTTTTCTTTTCTTTTCTTTTTTTTTTTTTTTTTTTTTTGAGACAGAGTCTGGCTCTGTTGCCCAGGCTGGAGTGCAGTGGCATGATCTTGGCTCACTGCAACCTCTTTCTCCCAGGTTTAAGCAATTCTCTTGCCTCAGCCTCCTGAGTAGCTGGGATGACAGGCGTCAGCCACCACACCCAGCTAATTTTTGTTTTTTTAGTAGAAATGGGGTTTCGCCATGTTGGCCAGGCATATTTTTCAATCAATATAATTCATTGCTCTGGAAATTTATTTCCTCCACAAATACAGAATAGAGAAGTGTTGCCCAGAAAAGATAATATCTCCCATTCTTATTTTTCATCTAAATATAATTGAATACTTGCTAGAAAAGTCCAAAAATTCAAACAAAATTAAAAGTAGAATTTGATTCTGAAGGTTTATGGCAAGATAAGGAGGTTGCTGTTGGCCTGTACAGGAAATTGGAAATTGTATAATGATCTTGAATATGCAAATATGCATGCCTTTGACCCAAATACTTTTCAAATTTTCATGTCAATGTCTGAAAATGTTTAGAAAGGTCTGTGGCATCCACATCTCTCTTTGCCAGACAAGGACAGGCTTATTTCTAGATACTTGAGTTCCCTCAAGATTCTTCAGGTTGAATTTACACTACATCATTTCATTTGTCCTGATCTCTGAGGTCAGCTTTGTCTGCGTCTGAGTTATTGATGATATCTTAGCAATGGAATGAAGTCTTCTTTATCTGCATTTCCAAATTGTAAGCAAATAATTTGAGCAGAGGTATTGTTCTTCAATTTTTGTCTTTAAATTTCTGCCTACAATGAAACCTCTAAGGCTTTATTTATTCTCCTCAATTTACAGAAGCACTTCTAGCTTCAGAGAGTTAGCTTAGTTAATTTTGTTTTCTATGTCTAACTTTATCTTCCAGAATTACAAAAAAAAAAAAAAAAAAAAAGCTCAGCCAAAAGTTTTTGCCTTATGTATTTGTTTTTAACTAGCATTCATATGGTGACTTGATGCCTTCAATGGAAAGTTTACTCTTGCCTATGGGCAAAAGTATTACTGAGAAAACCAAATCATAAATGGATACCTTTGTGTCAGATTATACTGAACAAGCTTTCCTTTTCTCTCTCAAAGAACTGAAATTTCCTCCTGATGCTTCAATCAACTCTTTCAAGACTTGTGTTAAAAAATACCAGTGTACTTCTGCTTAGTAGATAACATTTTAATTTTGCTCTCATTTCTTCATAAAGTCATTTGAAAATGAGGTGGATGAAGCCCTGACTCTGACGAAATTGAGGACTTACTTTTAAGTAGATAATGACAAAACTTAGTTCAAGATGGTTGGCAGAGTCTCTAACTGAAAAGCATACCGATGAGGACAGCAATGAGTCATTATGACATACGGAGCCTCTTTGTTCATCAAAGCATCAACCCAGATGTGTTACCAAGTCCTGCAAGGGCTCCATCTGTGAGCGGAATATCAAGATTATCCTTATGGGGAGGTTTTCTTGGCAAAGAAACTTGTCACCATTTTGAAGACAGTGAGGGCCTTTGAGATTTCAAAATAGGGCTCAAGAAAGAGGAATTCTTTTATGAAGTACAGGCCTGCACCCAGCAGCTGAAAATCAGTTGTGAACTACAGTGAGAAATATAGTGGTTGCATCCAGTTGCATATTGAAAGGAATGATGAACAGCTGCCAATTCTTCTACGAATGTGCTTAAAATATGAGAAGAATCTGGGGCTAGATCATGTCACTTGAATGACACACTGCTTCAGATTCCTTTCTCTGTTTCAAGTCATACATTCACTCAATCATTTCCAAGGCACATGGATTAACCAAGGCTTCTCCAGTTGTGCATGGTAATGTGATAAGCAACCTTATCCAATACTTCAAAACAAAGTTTAATGTTTGGGAAAAATGCAAGAGTTAGTAGAATACCAACACTTTCTCCAAAAATATCCTCTATCTAATATACTTGCAGCATGTCAAGTCTTCCTTTAGTATTGTTAGGGCCAACAGATTTGATTATTAAAGCCAAATCAAAGAGCATATTAATATTATGCTTCTTGAATATTTTTCAATTTAAACCAGACAACACCTAAACATAGAAAGATTTCTGTAATTGTGAATGTGGTTCAGTGGCCACAAGGGCATGTTCAATAGGTAATAATAAGACATCATTACATGAATTAAAATCCTGAGGATATACAACAGTATCCCATGCCATCTCACATTTACTTAGAATGAGATAATATCTCAACATATGGATTGACATTAAAATGTATGTTTATTGAAGGCGTGTGTGTGTGTGTGTGTGTGTGTGTGTGTGTGTGTGTACATGTGTGCCAATTGTGGTAATTCATAGAATTCTTGGAAACCATATATAAGGGGCTATGTGAAGACCCTCTGGCTGAATTCTTTACAGCCTTCTTCTGGTTAAGTCAGATCAGCAGCAAATTGTGTAGTTAACCCATTTTAAATTGGCTTTCCATAGAACTGCTTTTACTGAATGATGATGTCTCCAATTTATAGTGAGGATCATTGTAAGAAATAGTTTTATAAAGCTTGTTGCTATGTTAACTAATAGATATTATGAAAGATGTTTTTATTACATTACACAGCTTTCTCTGTCTCGCTCTCTGTCTCTCTCATAGCCATGGGAAAAGTTAATTTTTGTCTTATGGGACACCTTGAAACACAAAGTGAGTCATGTTTCCTTCCACAAGGGTTGCTAGAAGATTTAGAACCATATTTGTGGTTCACCAAAAATATTGAGTCAATATTTTTGAAATCTTGATCTAAGTAAGTTCAAGCTGCTATTTTAAAGCTGCCAGCTGTTTTCTGCTTCATTTTTGAGAAGGACTATTTTCTTCATTAGGAGAAATATTTTCATTTGTCTTTTGCAAAGGTAAAGTCAAAAATTTTATTTCAGAATGGAAAACTTTGGACAATATGGGAGCTAAATTTCTCTCTATATTAATATGAACCTTTGCCTTTCTTTAGGGGACTCATGTCTGTGCAGATTATTACGCCATTGTCTGAAAGAAGGGCCTGAGACTGAGGGTGAGGGAAAAGTGATGTTCCTCCCTTTTTATTGGGCCCCAGTGAGGGCTGGGTTTCTTGACTTCCAAAAGGGAGGGAAATCAGAGGAAGAACAATTCTTCGGTGGGAAGCAAGCTGGAGACTGCCATTAGACTGAGTTTGAGGAAAAGGAGAGACAGGCTGGGAAGAGAGAGACTATGGAGGTCCATAGTTTGTATATGAAAATGGTCAGTGCCTCTAGAATCTGTAGGCTAAACTATGGAGTTTGGCTCCATAGTTTAGCCTACAGATTCTAGAGGCACTGACCATTTTCATAACCAATTTAAAATTTTCCTTTTCTTTGTGGCAACTTCTTTGTGATAGTTCCCTTACTTTTAGTAAAGTCATATACATTCCAGAAACCGACCTCAAGTGTGGAATTCCCTAATGTTTGGAGTGAAGGAGTATGGGAATGTAGTGGCAGTCAGGACAAAGCTGGATCTGAGATGGCCAGAAGTGACTTGCCCAAAGTAAGACAGCAAGCTGAGGAGGGAAGTAGCCCCCAAGATAGAACTGTGGCAGATGGAAGCTTTCTGCAGAGCTCCAGAAACACTCAGAGACAGGAACCTGGAGGAAGACTGGATTGCCTGTGGTCACCTGGAATGGATATTTGGATTCTTGCTTTGGATATTAAAGGGAACAGTGAAACACAAGGGCTGAAGTAACTGGGACTTCTAGGTTACAAGAGTGTACAACTTTGTGGCGTACACTTAATTTACACCTTCAACCCTGGTTCCATCTTATTTTCTCATCCTTATTTTCTTATTACTTATTCTTATAAATTTATGTATGTGCTTATTTAATTTTTTAAAGATGTGAATCTATGAGGCTTGGGGGTAACACCAGAAAGGGAAGATATTTTTGGCCAGAACTCATGGCCACAAAGGCAGCAGACCTGTTACCACCCTGTGCAGAGGCATTTTGGGCTCGATAGATCCAGAGTGCTCCAGTCAAGGGACAACAACACCTACTGCTCTTACTTTTTTTTTGGAATGAGCACAAAAATGCCCTTATCAGCAAGAAGACTTCTTATTGCCAAGCTGCCAGAATTTAGGCGGCTGCAGTTTGCAGCAATCCTGGGAAAACAGCTCCATAACACCTGGAGACTTTGAGGCCAATAGGAAATTGAAGCCCTTGCTGCTAGGGGAAGGATTGGATGCAGGTTTCCTAGTAGGAGTAGGAGTGGGGCCAGTTCCATTGGATAATCCAGGATGAGCACTTGGATTTTTAAAAAATTAATCCTGCTTATTACTCCATAACATCTTTAGAAATTATCTTAAGAAAGCAGAATAGAAATAATTAAAAACAAAATAAGAAATAGCATAATGATCATGACAATCTTTTATATGGTTTAGATTCGTGTCCCCACCCAAATTTCATGTAGAATTGTAATTCCCACTGTTGGAGGTGGGGCCTGGTGGGAGGTGATTGGATCATGGGGGTGGATTTCCCCCTTTGGTGCTGATAGAGTTCTTACCAGATCTGGTTGTTAAAAGTGTGTGGCACCTCCTCCTATCTCTCTCTTTCTCTTGCCCTGGCCATGTAAGACCTGCTTGTTTCCCCTTTGCCTTCTGCCATGATTGTAAGTTTCCTGAGGCCTCCCCAGCCATGCTTCCTATACAGCCTGTGGAACTGGAAGTCAATTACATCTCTTTTGTTTATAAATTACCCAGTTTCAGGTATTTCTCTATAGCAGTGCAAGAAGAAACTAATATAATCTCCTTCCCCTTCTCCCCCAGAAAACCCCCAATTATGCCACACATAGAATATTGTCTTCAAAATAATTCTCTCTAGAGCATGAAGACAACACTCCATAATTCAAAACATGTTGGACTTCTCTTTGGAGACCACCTTCAAAACCATGTACCACCACAGGAAAAAACTCCATCATTACCTTATTGCAATTAGACATTCTGTCTCAGTCTGCTAATCTTTATTCCTCCTTGTCTTTTTTTCTGTTGAATGCATCCCCTCCCACCTCTGTCCCTTCCTCATCTTTTACACAAGCAGTAGTAATATCCCCAGAGAGGTCATGCTGAGGCTGCTACTTGCAAAGAGCTAGAGATGCTGAAACACAGGGCTGTGAGGCCAGACAGGCTGGGAGTCAAGGAAGCAATTTGCAGCAACCCCGAGAGGAGACTGATGGTGGTAAGTTAATTTGTATGCAGTCTGCAAAGAGCTATTTTATAGCTGAGTGCTGTACGGGTGAATCATGGTAGGTTGGGATTGCTGTGGCCAGTCAAATTGCTTTGAATTTAGGAAAACCTATATAGAGCATCATATAAATACCTGGTGTAGTCATTATTACCTATTTAGTTTAAAGGAAATAGCAAGTTATTTTGGGTTACAATGGAACCTTGTTATAAAGACTTGAATGTTAAAATGTTGTTGGTTTTACATATCTGAATAGTAATTTTTTCATTTGCCTCATAGTAGTAATAGTAGTATCAGAAAATATTCTCCCCAAGCCAAAAATGCAACAACTGAAAAACATGGAAGAAAAAAGCCAGTAGGGGGCACGCTGATTAGAACTAAATGCTCTTGAGTCAACTCTATCACTGTTCCCTCCTCCCCCTAAGAAGTAAGAGTTATTTCAAATATGAATTCAAAAGTCAGCATATGGAATTTTTATTTTCTTGTTTGCTTAGAGGATATAAGTATTTGCAAAGTAGAATGAGTGAATTTTATAATAAAATTAGCAAGTAAATAATAATGTCTTTTATAATTACCTTGATCCCCTCATTTTTAAATATAAAAATGCCCTTTCTACAGTCCCTCTTAAACCTGGTTCTTAACATTTTCCTTGACTATCAAAATAAGATATTCTGAAAGGTAGACTAAAACATGAAGAAGTAAAAAAATAACAAAATAAAATGACCTATAAGAGGAGTTCCTAGAGTCAAAATCTACTTATGTTTTGATTTATTTTTTCCACTGTTTTCCTGTGTATTTCCCTATGACTATTTAAAAGTGTAAGGCAGTATTATAATGCAATTACTTTTTTAAAAGAGAATTTATGGCAATGTTGTGATGGCATGAGAGGTAGCATGATATGTGTTCTTCTTAGCCTGGACACAGCATTCCAATCCTTCCAAGAGTAAACTTACATTAACACATGGAGAACCAGGGAAGTAACTCGGGACTGGTTGGCATGCAACTTTTCATCATATAACTTTCAAAGTTATCATCTGATTGGGCTGGTGTACATCACCACACATGGAGCATCCTTAGTGGATGAAGGGATTTAACCTTTCTTATGTCCACTTTTACATAATTACCATTGGCTTGGACTCTGACCCTTGGGCCAATATGTCATGGCCACGGAAGTGGGGCTGCTTTTTCTTAGCACATAGTACAGTCTCAGCATATGTGGAATTTAGTTTATAAAGTCAATGTGAAAATCTAGGTGAGAGAAGTTGATGTGACTTAGGATAGTAGCTACAGAAAAGGTGAAAAAAGCAGTTGGATTCTTGGTATACTTAGAAGCCAAGCTAACATTATTTGCTAATGGGATGAGTGTGGGAAATGAAAGAAAGAGAGAAGTCAGGGATGGCTTGAGCAACTGGCATAGACAGGGGCCATTTACTGAAGGAGGCTATAGGAGGAAGAGATTGGGGGGATTGGATATGTTAAGTTTGAAATTCATCTTAACGATCAAACCAAAGATTTTCAATGTACAAATCTTGACTTCAAAGGAGTCGCAGGATGTAGAGGTATAATTTGGGGGTCATCAAGGAGGTGTGTTGTGTAGTGCTTAAAAGCAGCTACTCTGGAGCCAGATTGCTTAGGTTCCAGTCTTGGCTCTTTTCTCTACTAGCTGTGGCCCTGGGCAAATAATTTAACTTCTCTATGCCTCCCTTTTCCTTCTGAGTTGAGGATCATAATAGAAACAATCTTAGTGCTGTTGTGAAGGATGATTAGTATATGTCATATACTTAGAACTAGGCACAAAGTAGGCATATCAACCATTTGTCCTATTATTATCACATAAGTATAGTTCATATTTAAAGCCATTATACTCAGTGAGATCACTTGAGTCTAGCAGGAAACAGAGTTCAAAGACTGAGACCCGAGATCCTCCAATATTTAGATTGTAGGAGGAGGGGAAGAGACTAGACGAGACTTAAGAGTGAATAGGATAAGAAGAAAGAGCAAATAGTGTCCCCAGAAGTCAACTGAAAATATCTAGAAGAAAGCAGAGATAAAAGTATCATGTGCTGTTGACAGGTTAAATAAGATGAAGCCTGAGAACCATCTACTGACTTAGGCTACATAGAGATTTTAGGGGACCTTTGCAAGAGCTATTCTGATGGGAAAGTACGGCACAAAAAAGACATAATATGTAAAGGATAGTGTTACAGACTTGTATCTTTATACACTAGAATTCTGATTATTTTGGTAAGGAACCCCCACTATGACAGCGCCTTAGAGATTGAGACTGTCCGAGGGCACAGCAAATTCACAACCCTTATCTCACGTTAACTTAGGGGTACACACTTATTTAGTGGAATGTTAGGCAACATTGCCAGTACTCTTTTAGTAGTTATTTTTCTCATTTTATTTTTTGCTGTAGACAGAGTCAAATTTGCACATGTCAAATCATGTAATACCACTGTCTTATTACAAGCTAAGTCAACATTAGACATAAACAACTGCTAAGGGTGGCTTCCTCAAAATGGAACTTGGGAAGTGGTTGGCAATTTTGGTTTCATGGACTCAGGAGTATATTTGTCCCATCCCCTGCTTTCTTCATACAGTATTAAATAGTGAGCATTTCTGCATGTTATTAATTTTTTTCACAAATGTCATTTTTAATAACTTTAATAATTCAACCTATGCCTATTCCATAATTCATTTAACTATTCTTTTGCACATTGATGGTGTTTATAATTTTTAATCGTTTCAAACACCACCATATTAATCTGTCATACATTAATCTTTGCCATTCTCTCTATTTCCTTGGGGTAGAGGGTAGTTCTCAAAAATGGGATTAAAGCATGAATATTTTAGAGGCTGCTGTTAAATAGCTTTCTAGAAATATTATACCAATACAAGATATGCCAACAGAGATAAAGTGCCCACCTCACCACACCCTGGCCAATACCGAACATGCATTTTTAAGTTGTGACAGTTTTTCTCCATGAATAAAGGTATCATACTGGTGTTTTAATTTTCAGTCCAAAGGTTAGCATCTTTATTTGCTTATTAAGCATTGTATTTTTTTCCTTCTGAAATTTTTATGTTCCAGTTCTTTGCCCTTTTTTGGTTTTTATTACTATGGTTCTATGTCATCTTGATATGTGTGGATCTCTTCCTTGTGACTGATAGCTCATAAAACTACTTTTCCCTCCACGCCCCCCACCCACTTTCCTTAGTTCCCTGAAAAGCAGTAGGCACAAGAAATGGCATGGAAATCACAGTCCTGACTTTAGGCAAATGTTCAGCGCTGCCACTGTCAGCTTTAACTTTCTGGGGATTTGGTCCCTCTGCAAAAGCTTCCTGAGGATCTACAGGTTAAAAAAAAAAAAAAAATAGAGAATAGGTTTCCACCACCCAGTCATTTACTGGGCAAACACTTTCTAAAGATATATAAAACTCACCCCACAGGTTAGAGAATTTAGCTCAATGATTCAAATAAAAGCAAGCAGCAAGCAACATTTAAAAATGTCATCTTTTAATATCTCCTAAACTGAGCTGTGCCCTGCTGGGTGAAAAGGCTACTCCACCAAGCAGCCGATGCAGGATTCCTTTTAGAGCTCTCAGTGCCTAGCAATATGCAGGAAGACTGATGAAAATAATTGCACTGTAAGAGAATCTGACTAAACATTTTTTTAGCAGAAATCCCAAATACGGCATAATTTTATGGACGGTAGCCTTCATGCTGTGCGTTAGATCTCTATTTATTACAAATATTTGATTAAACATTTGTGACTTAGAATATCAAATGATTAAAAATTACC
Organism: Homo sapiens; assembly: GCF_000001405.40. Taxonomy (NCBI): domain Eukaryota; kingdom Metazoa; phylum Chordata; class Mammalia; order Primates; family Hominidae; genus Homo; species Homo sapiens. Next base: position 19,883,109 of record NC_000009.12, read on the forward strand.
TAACACAAGAGTTATAGCAACCAGGATTTTGTCTACTGCCTTAAGAACTGCTAGAACATTAATTAGGAATATCATGTTTGCACCAGGCAAATGTCTCTATTTCTTAGATATTGCGATGTGCCAATCTAAACCATTTTATCTATCCCAATGGTGACTCATTGAAAAGATGATAAACTTCTAGTATCATAATTGTTATGTCTAGACTGAAATTACATACAGGTGCAATAAATGCTTTCCTAAATTGTGTACAAATCAGAGTCTTACAAATTTAATAGAGATAAGAAATTTGTATTGTAAGCAATTAAAATAAAAACCAGACTGTAGCATTTTGTAGGGCAAATAATTATTTCACAAGTAAAGAATCTATACCTAATTTATCTGCAAACCATGTGCACTTGCTCAAGTCATTTACCATTTTGGGGGCTCAGTCTCCTCATCTGTAAAATGATGTTTCTGTACATTGTTTTTTTTTTTTGAGATGGAGTCTTGCTCTGTCGCCCAGGCTGAAGTGCAGTGGTGCTATCTCGGCTCACTGCAAGCTCCGCCTCCTGGGTTCAAGCCATTCTCCTGCCTCGGCCTCCTGAGTAGCTGGGACTACAGGTGCCCGCCACCATGCCTGGCGAATTTTTTGTATTTTTAGTAGAGTCGGGGTTTCACTGTGTTAGCCAGGATGGTCTTGATCTCCTGACCTCGTGATCCGCCCACCTTGGCCTCCCAACTCTACACTGTTTTAGATGTATCTCTAAGGCTCCTCCGACTCTATCACTGTTCTAATATGTACCATATATAGACAGAAATTGGCCTTATTAAAGGTCTACCCTGTAAAAGGTGCTACTTATTCTGGAAAAAGTCATCTCAGGTCTCAGTCTTTGACCCTTATCTCCTGCTAGACTGAAGTGATCTCATCGAGTACAATGGCTTTAAATATCAACTATACTCATGTGATAATAATAGGACGAATGGTTGATATGCCTACTTTTTGTGCCTCATTCTAAATATATGACATACACTAATTATCCCTCACAACAGGGTCAATGCATCCAGTCTAGAAATTCATCTATAATGATCTTTTTACTTAGGATTTTATAACAATGTGTATTAGTTTATAATAGCTAAACCAAAACTATACAATTAATTTTTAAGAAATTCAGTGTTTATGAGCCCTATTCCTAAAGAAGTTTGTTTCCTCCATCACATCCTACAAAATGCCTGCTAATCAATACTGCTGCTTGATGATTACTGGATGACAGCGTCTCATTCTGTGTACACCATCCTGGTTCTATATCTGGGTTTTGTGTTTTCACTCTTCTGAACACTGTTGTATAGTTGAAAAAGGAAACTATGAGCAAGTTCTCCTACTCTACACATTTTTAAATTTGAAAGTTTTTCATTGTGAAATCTGTATTAGCCAGACACTTAGTTGGAAGTGAATAAAGTGCAACTCTTATGCTTATGTATATATGTATATATATTCCTAAAATATATTCTTATATATAAACATATGGTTCCTGGCTTACAATGGTTCTATTTATGATTTTTTCAAATTTATAATGATGCAAAAGTGATATGCATTTAGTAAAAACCATGTTTTGAGTATCTATACAACCATTGTTTTCACTTTCAGTACAGTATTCAATAAATTACATGAGATGTTCAACACTTTAATATAAAATAGGCTTTGTGTTAGATGATTTTGCCCAACAGTAGGCTAATGTAAGTACCCTGAGCATGTTTAAGGTAGGTTAGACTAAGCTATGACGTTCAGTAGGTTAGGGGTATTAAATACATTTTTGACTTAGGATTTTTTCAACTTACGATGGATTTATTGGGATAAAACCACACGGTAAGTTGAGGAGCATCTGTATTCTTACAGAGTGGACAAGGTTGGATGGGACTGGCCATACAGGAGGACTAGAATTTTTTCAGGATGCTGTCTCTCAATTCTCATTCCTTCTGCATGTCAGCTTTATCCTTGTGAGTGTCTCCATATGGCAGTGTATGTGGCCAACAGTGTCGCTGGGGACATATCCTTATAGATCTTGGCAAGAAAAGAAAAAAGTTCCTCAAGAAGAACTCTCACTGGACCCGTTTAACTGTCATGCCCTTCCTGACCCATCACTGTGGCCAGATGCATGCTAACGTGTTTAGGTGGGGAGGCACTTCCATTATAGTAAGGAAGAACAGTTCTTCAAAGGAAGGGGAGCTATGCTATTACTGGAAGAAGGTAGGCAGGGGCCTGAGTAGAGAGAAACACTAGATGTTCACATGGAATCATGGTTGTTTCAGGTGGATGATGATGCTTTAATGTATAGAGAACTTACAACTTATAAAACATGTTCACATACAATGTCTGTTGGTCCTCACAGAAACTCTATGAAAGTTCGTTCTTATCCTCTCCCCATTTTATAGATGAGGAAACAAGCTCAGAGTTGTGCAGCTTGTATGTGGTGTAGTGGTAACTAAGCACTTAATTATGATTGAGGATAATTTTTTAAGACTTCTATTTTAGGTTCAGGGGTACATGTACAGGGTTGGTTATACAGGTAAACTGTGTGTCATGGGGGTTTGGTGTACAGATAATTTCATCACCCAGGTAGCATAGTACCCGATAGGTATTATTTCTGTGCCTCTCCCTCCTCCCACCCTGTACTCTCAATTAGGCCCCAGTATGTATTATTCCCCTGTATCTACCCACGTGTTCTCATTGTTTCGGTTCCATTTATAAGTGAGAACATGTGGTACTTGGTTTTCTGCTCCTGTGTCACTTTGCTAAAGATGATGTCCTGCAGCCCATCCATGTTGCCGTAAAGGACACAATCTCATTCTTTTTTATGACTGCATAGTATTCTATGGTGTATTTGTACCACATTCTCTTCAGCCAGTCTACCATTGATGGGCATTTAGGTTGATTCCATGTCTTTACTATTGTGAATAGTGCTGCGAGGAACATATGTGTGCATGTGTCATTATGGTAAAATGATTTATATTCCTTTTGGTATAGACCTAATAATACGATTGCTGGGTCGAATGGCAATTCTGTTTTAAATTATTTGAGAAGTCGCCACACTGCTTTTCACAATGGCTGAACTAATTTACGCTCCCACCAGCAGTGTATAAGCATTCTCTTTTCTCCACAACCTCTCCAGCATCTATGATTTTTTGACTTTTTAATCATAGCCTTTCTGACTAGTGTGAGATGGTATTTCACTGTAGTTTTGATTTGCATTTCTCTAATGATTGAGCATTTTTTTATAGGCTTATTGGCTGTGGGTATGTCTTCTTTTGAAAAGTGTCTGTTCCACTTCTCAAAAGAAGACATTTATATGGCAAACAAACATATGAAAAAAAGCTCAACACCGCTGATCATTAGAGAAATGCAAATCAAAACCACAACGAGATACCATCTCATGCCAGCTAGAATGGCAATTATTAAAAAGTCAAGAAACAACAGATGCTGGTAAGGTTGTAGAGAAATAGGAACGCTTTTACACCATTGGTGGGAATGTAAATTAGTTCACTGTGGAAGACAGTGTGGTGATTCCTTAAAGATTTAGAACCAGAAATACCATTTGACCCAGCAATCCCATTACTGGGTATATACCCAAAGGAATATAAATCATTCTATTATAAAGATGCATGCACATGTATGTTCATTGCAGCACTATTCACAATAGTAAAGACAGGGAATCAACCAAAATGCCAATCAATGATAGACTAGATGAATAAAATGTGGTACATATACACCATGGAATACTATGCAGCCATAAAAAGGAATGAGACCATGTCCTTTGCAGGGACATGGATAGAGCTGGCAGCCATTATACTCAGCAAACTAACGCAGGAACAGAAAACAAAACACCACATGTTCTCACTTATAAGTGGGAGCTGAACGACGAGAACACATGGACACAGGGAGGAAAACAACACACACTAGGGCCTGTAAGGGGACAGGGGAAGGGAGAGAATCAGGAAAAATAGCTGATGCGTGCTGCGCTTAATACCTAGGTGATGAGTTGATAGGTGCAGCAAATCACTATGGCACACGTTTATCTATATAGCAAACCTGCACATTCTGCACATGTACCCTGGAACTTAAAATTTTTAAAAAGTGTTTGTTCATGTCCTTTCCCCACTTTTTAATGGGGTTGCCTTTTGCTTGTAAATTTGCTTAAGTTCCTTGTAGATTCTGGATATTAGACCTTTGTTGGATGCATAATTTGCAGATATTTTCTCCCATTCTGTAGGTGTTCTGTTCACTCTGTTGATAGTGTCTTTTGCTGTACAGATGAATGGGCAATTCTCAAAAGAAGATATGCAAATGGACAACAAACATATGAAAAAATGCTCAACATCACTAATGATCATGGAAATGCAAATCAAAACAACAATGCAATACCACTTTACTCCTGCAAGAATGGCTGTAATAAAAAAATAAAAAAATAATAGATGTGGGTATGGATGCAGTGAAAAGGGAACACTTCTAACACTGCTGGTGGAATGTAAACTAGTGCAACCACTATGGAAAACAGTGTGGAGATTCCTCAAAGAACTAAAAGTGGAACTACCATGTGAGCCAGCAATCCCATTGCTGGGTATCTACCCAGAGGAAAAGAAGTCATTATACGAAAAATATACTTAAATATGGAACCAGCCCAAATGCCCATCAACAAATGAGTGGATAAAGAAATTACATATATATGATGGGACACCACTCAGCCATAAAAGGGAATGAATTAATGACTTTCACAACAACCTAGATGGAACTGGAGACTATTAAGTGAAGTAACTCAGGAATGGAAAACCAAACATTGCATGTTCTCACTCATAAGTGGGAGCTAAGGTATGAGGATGCAAATGGACTTTGGGGACTCAGGGGAAAGTGGAGTGAGGGACAAAAGCCTACAAATTGGGTTCAGTGTCTACTTCTCGTTGATGGGTACACCAAAATCTCACAAATAACCACTAAAGAACTTATTCACGTAACCAAATAGCACCTGTTCCCCCAAAACCTATGGAAATAATTGGTTTTTAAAAAGTATCCTTTCCAACCTTTTAGTGGGCTGTTCACCTAGTCACCCTGTAAACAAACAACATGCCTCCATTATGTTTTAATTTTTCTGGAAAATGTTTATATAATAGAATGATGTTTCTTTTAAGTCCATTCCTAAGTAGGTGCAAATGACTTGAACGATCTTCTCATAACTTTCCTTTCATTCCATTTTCCAAAATTTGCCCTTATTTCTTCTGCCTTTCTCTAATTTTCTGACCCTTTTGTTCATTGATAAAACCTAAAGTGACTGAAGAGTATGCACCAAGCAACCCATTTTTTTCTCCTCTTTTATTTATAATAAAACCCCCAACCTCATGTGTAATGTGACTTCCCTATTTAGAGTGATTAAATCTTAGTGGCACATTATTATCTGTGGGCTTTTAACTTTTGATTCTGCAGTGTTTCATTAAATATGCCATTTATTTGTAGGCCTAAGAGGGATTCTGGAAGAGTAGAAATGCAAAGGACCTAATTCCGAGAAATTTTGGTACTGATCTTGGTTTTACCGCTTTCTAATGTATGATCCTAGGGGTGTCAGGGAAGCTGAACCACTCTAGGTGATAAAGTACAGAATCTGCTGCCTCGGTGTCTAGTCGTGGCCTGAAGTTGCTATAGATCAACTGAGAAGGCAGTTGGGAAGAAATGCCAAATGCCCTTTCACATGAAGGGTAGAATGGGACAGGAAAACAAGGACAACTGGAACCCATGAGGACAATCTGGAATCCACAAGCACAAATTGGAACCTGGTCTGTTTCTCCCTGAATCTAACCCTGTGACACAGGTATCCTGACAACCTGGTAGCCTTCTCCTGGAGAATCTGGTGGAGCCACACACACCCCTGGCTCACGAGTCAGAGAAGCTAGAGGAGGAGAGCCCTGGCCCCAGACCATCAGTGTGAGCTAGCACAGTAGAGACACTGAATAAGCAGGTGCCTGGCACCGTGCATCAACCTTCAGAGCACCTTGGCTGCTGCTTCTCTTCTACCACCCAATCTCTGCACAAAGTTCTCCTGGGAACATCCCCAACCTGGATTTACACTGGGAAGGATATTCTGGGACTTGTAGCTTCAGCTTAGCTAAACAAACATGGTATAAAGCCAGTACAGTGGGTGTGTCTATAATCCACCTGAACTCCATTTCCTCATCTGTAGTGCAAGTTTATTATAGGGGAAAAAGCATCCTTAGCATTTGGTTGGTGTTCCATAAATTGTAATTATTATTATTATTATTATATAGATGTAGCATACTCAGATTGACTTTCTTGATACTCATCACCTGAAAGGAAATACAAATTTAATCCTTAGTAGTTCCAAAACAGTCCATAGGCCTCCATTCATGCTTAGCAATCACCAAAACTTCCTCCTGAGAACGCTTCTTCCCCTATTGTCTTTTCAGGGGTGAGGGATGGGGTCCCCATTGCTGCTTCCAAACCATTTTTCCTCGTTCCTCCTTCAACCCAGGATTCTTAAATTATGCCATTAACATTTTATCCCTTCTTGTTTCTATCTCTACCAACTTGCCACTCACACTGAATCATGAATTGATGGCCCTGGCATCTGTCTTACTGTCAGTTTTACCATGGTGGCTGTCAAAATCCTGGATGACTTCCACACCTATGCCAATGATTCATTCTACACTTTTAGTTTTTTCTTTTGCTCCACGTGGACCATTTACACTTAGGGTTGTACTGTAGATGTTACTTCATCAATACCGGTTTTGAAATATCTATTTAAAGCATTGTTCTTTCTACCGACTATCTCTTATCTTCCTTTCTCAGTTATTCTGGTATTCCACCAAGCCTCATCAAATTGCATTTCTAATATTTTGATCCATACTTCTCTTTGCACACAGTTCATATCTTCACTTACCTTCTTACTTAGTTTAGAGTTTATGGACCACCAATATAACCTCTCCATTACAAACCCCAGTAAGTTGCACACCCGTCTCTTTCTCTATCATAATCGCCTTAAAAAATCCCAACCCAGTTTAAACCTAAATATCTGTTTACTCAATGCTGGCACCCAAGCCAAATGCTGGAGAAAGAGTCAATAAGAGGGAAGCCACAGTCTTCTCATAACCTAATTTCAGAACTGACATTGTATTGCTTATGCCATATTCTATTAGAAACAAGTCAATAGATGTAGTAAATGATGAAGGGAAGGAAATTGCACAAGGGCATGAATACTAGGAAGGCAGGACCACTGGAGGCTATTTTAGAGGATGCCTACCATATCCAAGTTGCCAGTGATCCAAATCTCACCAATGTCAATGGGCAATTTTCTGCCCTCATCCTGCTTGACTTCTCAATGTCATTTGATACAATTAATTACTTCCTTATTAAAATACAAGGTCTCTGGTTTTGTGTGTCAGCATATTTATTGGTTGGGTTTTTCTCACTGATGACTTCTTCTCCTTTACTGACCTCTAAATATTGAAATGTCTGAAGGCTCTTTCCTTGGTCCTCTTATCTTGATACCTACATTCTTGTGTGATCTCATTCCATCACATAGCTTTTTTAAAAATTAATTTACTGTTTTGATACAGGAGTCTCACTATGTTGCCAGGTTGGTCTTGAATTCCTGGACTCAAGCAATCCTCCCGCCTCAGCCTCCCAAGTAGCTGGGACTACAGGCACGTACCATCCCATAGCTTTTAATAGTATCTGTATTCTGACAAATCTCACATCTGTGGCTCCTCCAGTACCTTTCTCATTAGCTACAGAATCATCCATCCAATTGCTCACTCGACATTTTTTTCCACTTGGATGTCTGATAAGCATCTCAAACTTTGCTTATATGAAAAAAGGATGATTGATTTCTCCCAAGCCTACCTTCTTCTCTGATCATCTCCTACCCTAATATCCCCCACTTGTTAAGTAAAACACCTTTGATTTCTCTTCTTTGCACGTACAATGCATCCAGTCCATCTACAAGTCCATTATTCTCTCCTTCCAAAATATGTGCTGAATCTTACCTGGTTGGCCCATCTCCATTACTGTAGCTGTCACCTGGACTACTAAAGTGGCCTCCTGTCTCTTCTTTTCTTCAGTCTTGTCCTGTTCACACCAGCCTCTGCAGAGGGAGCCACAGAAAATATTTTAGAGCATAGGTCAGAGCATGTCACTGTCCTGGTTAAAACCCTTCAAAGTCTTCCTATTGTAATGAGAATTAAATCTAGAATCTTCCTTCACTCTCTAATATAAAACAGATATATTAGTCTGTTTTGTGTTGCTATACAAGAAACTCTGAGACTGGGTAATTTATAAAGAAAGAGGTTTATGTGGCTCACAGTTCTGCATGGCACCAGCATCTGCTTCTGGTTAGGGCTTTAGGAAGCTTCCACTTGTGGTAGACGGTGAAGGGGGAGAAAGCATGTCACATTGTGAGAGAGGGAGGAAGAGGAGGCAGATATGCAATGCTCTTTTAAATTACCAGCTCTCTGGGCTTGGCATAGTGACTCATGCCTGTAATCCCAGTGACTTGAGAGACTGAGGTGGGAAGATCGCTTGAGACCAAGAGTCCAAGGCTGCAGTGAGCTATGATCACGCCACTGCACTCCATCCTGGGTGACAGAGCGAGATCCTGTCTCTAAAAAAACCAATACAAATTAAAAATAAACAATCAGCTCTTGAGAGAGCTGAACTAAGAGAGCAAGAACTCACTCATTACCTTAGGATGGCACTAAACCATGCATGAGAGATCAGCCCTCAAGACCCAAACACCTCCCATTAGGCCTCACCTCCAATATTGGGGATCAAATTTTAATATGAGATTTGGAGGGACAAACATCCAAACTATATAACCAGATAATAAATAAGCTGCCTTTTTCAAACTCATTTCTACATCTTCAACTCAGCTCACCTCTTCAGATTGAGTTCCCTCCCTTCCCTTTTTCTCTTCGTTTGTCACTCTATGCCAACATGGGCCTTCTTTTTGTCCCTCCCTTATGACTAACTAGTTGTACTTCAGGGTCTTTGCACTTGCTTTTTCTTCCGTTTAGAATGTTTTTCCCTATAATCTTTGAAGAGCTGCCTCTTTCTCATAGTTCACATTCTACTAAACAACCTGCTTTCTCAGTTACCTTCCCTGACCATCCCATGTAAAGTAGTGTCTGTCCCCTGCTCTCATCCCAAGGCAGTTCCTATCACATCCTATTTTGTTATTTTTCTATAATATTTATCACTACACAAAATTACTTTATTTCAGTGTTTTGTGTCTGTTTTATCCCTCTCTCCCACCAGAAAATGAGCTTCTAGAGTTTGGTTCTTTGTCTCTCTTGTTCTTCACAATATTCTTAGTGCCTAGAGCAAAGCCTGATGCCTCACAAGTGCTCTATAAATGTTTGCTGACTGCCTGCCTGATTCAACCAACAAATGTAATTGAATATCCACTGTCCACACATCCTCAAAACAGACCCTTAACTTTTACTGTTAAGAGTGACCTAAGGACTAGAGAAATCCACCTAAGTGATTACCAAGGGGCTAATGTCCAGTTCGTTTCTAATGTTCATTATTATCCACTTAATTCACTGGATCAACTGTTGTTTTTTTTTTCATGCCTAGAAAAATTTTTGGTTTGTTTTTGTATTTACGCATGGAGGAACTGAAGCTTGGCGAGAACAAGAGTGAATTTTGGCCCAAGGTCACACAGATGGTAAGTGGCACATCAGGGGTTAGAACCCAGTCTGGCTGTCAATAAAACTGTACCCACCCAGGTGCTTCTCCAAGGGCTGAAAATCTGCCTCATTTGTCTAACAGGCTGCCCAAGTCCCCTTAGATCATGAGAGGGACAAGTGACCAGGCAAAACAAGGGGGAGGTTTTGTTTCCTCTAGAGGGGAAGAAAACATGTAGCCCCTATCTAGAGAAAAATCCTCTCCATGGTTTCCCCAAACACATTCCACCAAAGAGAACTTCGTCTTTAATAATGTTCCCATTTTGCTCCCATTTTGGTCCAGCATGTAAGAAAGTCTCTATGAATGGTATTTTGAGTGGCGGGCAGAGAAGCAAGTAGGGCAGGGAGTATTATCTTAGGGTAGGATAACTTGAAAGATATGAGATTGCTTTTACTATCATATTAGCTTCCCTGCCCATCATCAGAGTCAATTCTGCTAGCCTTGCTCTCTAGCAAGGAGCCTCTCCATTCCCCATCAATCCATGCATTTCTTTCCCAAGGCTGAACCATATCTGGAAAACAGCCATGTTCCATATAGTTCCTGGGAAGGCTAGGCCTCAACACCACACATCTTGGATCAGATCAGTACCTCCCTATTGGTGCAACTGTTGGGGAATAGGAGTTTTTATTCTATTAAAGTTTTGGAGACACTCATGGAGCAGGAATTTTGAATAGGCAGAAAACATTATTATAATAGTAGCTACTGTTAATACTACTGGATATCTGGCATTATTCCAGGTGAATTAAATGTATTTATTCTTATAATTCAGTCCTTTCAACAATTATAAAAATATATGTTATTGTCCTCATTTTTATATATAGGAGGAAACTGAGTCTCAGAGGGTTTAAGGTTGTATTTGCTGAAGGTCTCATTGTTGGTATTAGTTAGAATTAGCTTTGACTGCAAGTGACAGGAACACAAGATTGGCTAAAACAAAATGTGAGTTGTATTTTCCTCTCTCACGCCACACAGGGTTAGGGTCAGGCTTCCCAATTGTCAAATTGCACCTCATGTTTCTCTGCCATCCGCCACACAGGGGTTCTGTCTGATGGTCCAAGATGGCTGCAGTGGGTCACCACCTACTCTCTAGTAGGAGGAAACAAAGGGAGAAGAGAATTTCCACTTCTCTTAAGGACACTTCTTGGAAGTGACAAACACTACTTCTACTTGCAACCATCGATCCGAGCTATATCTCAAAGACTTGCCCAGCTGCAAGAGAGACTGATAAACATAATCTATTCTGGGTGGCTACGTGTCCAGCTAAATTCAGGATTTATGTTTTTGAGGAAGAAGGGGAAAAGGGATGTTGAAAGACAATTAGCAGTCTGGCACAGAAGGGATGTGGACTCAGGGCTATGTGGTCCAGAGACTAGAACCTTTCCGTCATCTCACACTGCTTCTTGAGCACCTTGGCAGCCAAGGAGAGGAGGCAGAGTGCCAAAGATAGTTTTTCTGTGTGTCCTGAGGTGGCCTGAGGGCCTCTGAAAGTCAGCCTCTGAGACACATGCTATAGGCTGTCTTAGATATTTCCTCGATTTTTTGCTCCCCCAGCATTTTGAATACGTTTATATATTCATCCATATGTTATCATTGTTTATTTTCAGTTTTCCTGAATCAAACATTGGCAAATTGGTAACATTCATTACATGAATGACTGAATTGATGAAACGGCCAATTTTGTTTTTTTTTATCTCTAGCATAATGTCTAGCATTTTACAGGTATTCAACAAATATATGTTTATTGAATGGATGCCTGGAGAGCCAACAACTTTCCTAATTCAATTTTTTTTCTAATTTTGAGTAAGCACAGCCTACTTTCTCAGCATATCCTTTTCTCTTCCAGGATGGGAGAAGAGAGAAAACAGAAAAGACAATAGAAAAAGAAAAAATGGGACAAGGTATATTTATTATACAAGTTCTCTCATCCCTTACTTTCTTCTCTCCATTTATTTTTGATACCACAATCATGAATTTTCCTATCCAAATGGACTTCCATAATACTCTTTGAGGAATGGCCTAAGAATGCTACCTTCAAGCAGCCTGATGACCACCGAACTTAGAAATATTTGGAGAAGTTGCAACAAATTTTATTTTGTCAAAGCTTACATGATTTCTCTTTGTGACATTTTCTTCCCCGACAACCTAAATGAAATTGTATATTTCAAAGCTTTCAAGACAAAATAAAAGTTTGAAAATCCCTTGCAAGTTAGTACTGGTAAATTCATAGTTATTTTAACTCTATAAAGAAGTAAACATCATCACATTCCTCATGAAAAACTCCAGCAAGAGCCACTGGCACGGTTTGAATATAAACAACCAGCACTAAATGACTTCATCAAGCTACAATCCCTGTGCTCAGCGATTTAGAGGAAATCAGCAGCTTAACCAAGGTTTATTTTGTTTTTTTTTTTTTTCTTTTGCTGAGCAATTGGGGGCCAAAAATAAAACACTATTACATCAAACTGCAGACAAATAAAAATCTGAATACATTTGCTGTCTTCTCAGGGCCTTTCTGAACCTAATGCACACCGGAGAGCCCAAAGCTGTCAAGATGTTTCTTGCCATTAGGCACTGGGGGATATTGTCCAATAAGTCCTGCTGGCATTGTCAGTTCTGAGGGTAAAGTAGGGGAAAGTTCAGAAGGATGTAAATATTTTCTAATAGATGAAAGTGATATCTAACACATTCCCCTGCCCTTTTCTTTCTTTCTTTCTTTCTTTTTTTTTTTTTTTTTACAAACAGTAAGAAACACTTTATTATAACTTTACAATATATAAATAGCTTGGGTCAAATCTGTGCTTTCTGGCAGCCGGGCACCAAGTCTGCTCCCCTGCAGGCTCCTGCCTTCCTTCACATTGCACTGTTCATTGGGTGGCTCTAGCCTGGGGCCTGGTGGTCGAGGCTGGAGTCAAGGGGCTGGGCGGCCCAGTCCCACCCTCCATCTCCTCATGCGGTGGCCTGTGCCTGTCATCTGCTTGGGTTGCAGCTGGTGTGGAAGGACCGCTCCTCAGGGGTCAGGCCAGCAAAGAAGGGGTGCAGCAGGGCCTCGGCCAGTGTGATGCGCCGGGCAGGGTCAAATTCTAACATCCTCCTCATCAGGTCAAACAGCTGCACGTGCTCCAGGGAGTCTTGGAGCATGTAACTCTGCTCAGGGACACAAGGTGCCTCAGTGTGACGGCAGGGTCGTGGGAAGCCACAGCAGGTCCCCTTGCCTCTGGGATGCCTTGCTGGACTGGATCGAGGAGGCAGTGATGCCTCCTTGGAGGACTCTACTTCCGCCCTCCTGGACAATGAGCAGCTCCTTTCCTTTCATGCCTGTTTAACGTTTTGCTCGGAAGGCAAGATGAATTATCTGCATTAATTAGCATGTTGAAAAACTTCTGGATTGCCAAGTGTGTTCCTGTGGGTGGTGGGAAACATGTAAATAGGATGTACAGCAATCTGTTGAAAAGAGCCAATGTTTTTTACTTTGTGAGTACATATGAAATGTGAAACAGCTTAGTCAGGTATGTGGCACTGGTCTTTCCAGTTAAACAGATGAACATTTGTCTAACAACACTGGTGTACAGTGCTTGAGCTTTGAAATGCCAATTTGCTCAAGACACTAGGCATTGTTAAAAGAACACTCTTTGGGAGACAAGTTAAATCATTATCATCTCCAGCATACATAACAGTTATTGAACACTAAACTAATTATTTCATTTAATTTTCACAGCAACCCTTGGAGGAAAGTACAACTGGTATCATCACCATCTAACAGATAACAAAAATGGAGCATTGGAGCAGTTAGGTAATTTGGCCCCAAACCACAAAGGTACTACATGGTAGAGTCAGGATTTGAACCAGGTCAGTCTGACTCTCAGAGCCAATATCCTTCACAGCATTATGGTGAAGACTTTGTCCATCTTCTTAACTGGATGGCATTACAGGTGTTACTTAGCTTTGCTGTGCCTCTATTTCTTTGTCTATAAAAGGGGAACAACATTAATTTTATATCATTGATTTGTGAGGATTAAATTATATACTGAATATAAAACATTCAGTAAAATGTCTTGTTATGCATGTCATGTTATGATTATTCTTTTAAAGTGTCTAATTTAAGAGTTGGGAAAAATCTAATTACCATCCACTTTTCTCATTTGGCGAGTAGGAGTTGGACTGAGTAAATGAAATGTATTGCCAACAGAGCTCACATTCATGGACCTACACTGATAGAACTTGGAGGAGTCCACATCAAGCCTTCTTCATAGTAATTGATGAAGAAATTGGGGTCCAAAGAGTCCAGTCGTCATTGGGACTATAGACTGGGAAACTGGGCCTTGGTAGAACTCTTCAAAGTTGCTGATGTGCCTTTCCGTGTGAGTACAATGAACTCTTATCTACCTTTTTGCTTTCATTTTCTTGCTGGAATGTGTCCTTTGTAAACAGTGACCCCATATTGTTATCAGTCAAGTACATGTTAGTTCAACATGTTGTTTTTCATATTTATAAATGTGAAAAATAAAATTTTTATCTTCCCAAAACTTAAAAATTCCTTGCCTATGAAAGTTTACTTTTCTTTTAGACATGTACTAAAAGAAGCACAGCTTACATAGAATCCTTTAAAAGCCAATTTGAGGAAGCAAACCCAGAGCAATCACAATTATAGATGTATATGTCAATATATTTAAATATTATTTAAAACAGTGTATTTTGTAAAGATATGTATTTTTACCTTGAAAGTCCATATAAAACAACAGTTCCAAGTTAGGATGGGCAACAAACATGTGTCCTCATTATATTTGATTTTTTAAAGTTTATTATTAAATAGAAAGGTTCTAATATTCGGGTCTATTATGTTCACAACACTTTAAATCGTTCCCATTTTATCGTCAATAACCCCATGAGGTAGGTATTATGATCCTTATTTTAAAATGAGGTAACTGAAGATGTTTGGTAATTTACTGAACATCCTACAGCTACAAGGGACAAAAGGGCAAAACTGAGACTGAAATCCAAATCTTTACGATACCCAAAGCTCGAGATTTTTCCATTGTTCCAGGCTGCTTTGAACAGAATTACGCACTACAGTTTATTTTTACCACGCGTGTTATTCCCCATCCCACTTTTCCTTTTGCTGATTGTATCAGCCACAGTCCGGTCAGGGAAAGAGAATTACACATCTTGGAAATCATGACTACAGCAGAGGAATTGGATTTTACACAATTGTGGAAGAGTTGAGAAGTAAAGGCCTGGCTGGAGGAGGGAATCAGAGGGTCATAGAATAATCCGTAGCCACTTTCCCTGAAGCACTAGTGCCTGGAGTGAATCAGAGATTGTGAGGGGATCTGAGAAGCCTAGCATGTCTAGCTGCCCCCTGGGATTGCAAAGAAGCAGCTTGTGGAAGGGTCTGTGGATGCTGGCACCTTGTGGAAGCTGCTGCCCCCACAGCTCTGCAGCCAGGTATGTGTATCATGCTTAATAGGACAAAGGCCAAACTCAACCACTGGACAAAGAAGACTCCTCATGATCTCTTTTCTGTTGACTTTGGCTGCTTCATCCCATAACACTACCTTACCACATTTTTCTTCAGCAGTGCAAACTGTACTCATCTTACAGGTTTTGTGTGAGAATCCAATGAGATAAAGAATAGGCCTGGCGCGGTGGCTCACGCCTGTAATTCCAGCACTTTGGGAGGCCAAGGCGGGTGGATCACGAGGTCAGGAGATTGAGACCATCCTGGCTAACATGGAGAAACTCCATCTCTACTAAAAATACAAAAAATTAGCTGGGCGTGGTGGCGGGCACCTGTAGTCCCAGCTACTCGGGAGGCTAAGGCAGGAGAATGGCGTGAACCCAGGAGGTGGAGCTTGCCGTGAGCTGAGATCGTGCCACTGTACTCCAGCCTGGGTGACAGAGCAAGACTCCATCTCAAAAAAAAAAAAAAAAAAAAAAAGAATAGGACAATGTCTAGGACAATGCTGGGCACAAAACAGGTGACCAATTATTACTCAACTTCTAAGTTATAAACAAGAGAATCTACTTCAGCTGGTTGAAGCATATGATAAGTTTATTCCAGGTTATTAGGTGGCTCAGAGGAGGCCAAATCAGCCTGGTGAGCATATGAACAGAAACAATATCCAAACTATACTATGGGTCTGTCCTAGCAGCAAGCCTGCTGCAGCTACCACTAGGCACAGACACCACAACAGGCACCGCTAATGCTGCTCCCTGACTCCAGAGTTGCCACCACTGTCATTCCCAGAAACCAGAGTCCTCTGTATCAGCCTCACATGAAAATAAAGTTCATGCTGTTGTGTTCTCACCCTGCTGTCTTCTAAGTCAAAGTCTCATGGATGTGTCTGACTGGTAAAGCCTAAGTCACACACCTATGCTCTTGCCGCAAGGGAGACTGGGAAAGTAAGAGAGAAAGGGGAAATTGCCCCCTTGGAAACTTGTCAAAGACTGACTCTCTGCAGGCTGCCTTTTAGAAAATGAGCTGCTCCTTTGCAACTGGATGGAAACTGGCTATAGCCCAGGATTAAGGCACTCAATTCTGGCCAACATGAGTCTTGGATCCCAGGAGAAGGGCTGGTACTTCCTGAGTCTTGAATGCAGATTGAGGTGCTGGGGCTCAAGCCAAAGTCTTGCTATGTTATACAACTATAATAGCAAGCCTTGGTCCTCAGCTTCTTCCTTATACCAGGAGAAGGCCAGTTACCCTCACATCATGAAAGCTTGGGGCAGTGATAATAGAGATGTTTATAAGATATAACAATGTCACAAAGAGAGCCAATGTTCTACCATGTAGTATTAGTTCATTCTCATGCTGCTAATAAAGAAATATCCAAGACTTGGTAATTTATAAAGAAAGAGGTTTAATTGACTCACAGTTCAGCATGGCTGGGGAGGCCTTAGGAAACTTACAATCATGGCAGAAGAGAAAGTAAACATGTCCTTCTTCACATGATGGCAGCAAGGAGAATAAGCAAAAGGGGGAAAAGCCCCTTATAAAACCATCAGAATTCACTCATTATCACAGGAAGAGCATTAAAGTAACTGCCCCCATGATTCGATTACCTCCCACCAGGTCACTCCCACAACACATGGGGATTATGGGAACTATTAATCATCTTAATACAATTCAAGATGAGATGTGTGTGGGGACACAGCCAAACCATATCACATGTTATATGACTATTGTACCCTGAACCTTCACTACTTGAGGGGAGGGGCCATTGCTAATCATGTAGTTCATAAAAGTGCCATGGCCCAAGGTTGCAGTCTGTCTCTAGGAGTCTGCTGTCTGGCCCTGTTAAGCCTCTGTGCTCTGCCCTAGAATGCAATGGATTACAGGGCCCTGCACAACTGCTACTGCTTCTATCTTTATGAGCTCTATTTATTTATTCATTTAGCCAGTTCTGATGTGTGTGATAAATGGCATTTTCACTTTTTACCCAAGAACAAGTAACTGGCTTCCACCTTTGGGATGTGAATTTTTCACTGCGGAAAATTACCCAAATATAGGAAAGATAGTAAAAAATACTGGGTTATCACAAAGCCTGACAGATATCTACTACTCCAAATAAATGTTAATTTATAATTAATTTCCCCTCCCTCTTCCCTACTCGCCTATTATTGGTGGACTCCATTATCTTGGGGAGTTGATTTTGGCATCAGGCAGGCCTGAGTCCCAGTTCTTCTTCTACTAAAACCATCAGGCCTTGGGAAATTAACATTATCTCTTATGAGTCTCAGTTGCTCATTTGTGAAATAAGGCATACTAGTAAGACTTATTTTAAAGGATAATTGTTATAATTAAATGAAACAAAGTATGCAAATAACTTACTACTATGTCAAGCACTTAAGAAACACCTAAGAAATGCAAGCAATTCTTACAGGAAGACTTCAAGGAAAGTAGTTCTATCATGATCTTTATTGTTTAGGGCTTGTCTGGTGATAATCTACTCTATTCTCTTACTAACACTTACCCTAAAACCCAGTTCCACTGACAATTTTGGGAAATATGCTCTTCATCAATGGAAGAGTGAGGAGGAGAGAAAGGAATGGAAAAACACATAAGGCTCGTGGAAGTTCATGCCCATATATCACAGGTAGACAACAAACTCAATTTAAATCACAAAAGTGCAAAGCAGCATAGTGCAGAGCAAAAGTTGGCCTTGTGGTCACAATCCAATGCTGAATTTCAGCATTCTTTTTTCCTAGCTGTGGGACCTTGACACTGGCACTTGAGACCCACTAATTTATTCATTTAGCCAGTCGTGCAGGCAACAAACATTATTGATCACCTGTCATGTGCCAGATGTGAACTGGTGTGAATGATACAGAGAATTTTGTAAGGGAGACAGGCATGGTGGCAAATACTCATGATTCACTATGAAAGATGTGATAATAGAGATGTTTACAAGATATAATGATGGCACAAAGGGAGTTTAAGACTTCCTGGGTGTAGGGGAGGACTCAGGGGATGCTGTACACAGTAGGCAGCATTGCAACTGGGTTTCAAATACTGTTAACTAAAAAAATCATGAGATCTATAAATCTGGAGAAGAGACTTTATTTCTTATAAGGGTTACAGCCTGTAAATATGGTTCTCCTGCAGGCTGGGAAGTATAGCCTTTGGCAAAGACCAGAAGACAGATACTTCAAAGGAGGTCAAAGGAGGAGGGGTTGGGGCAGGAGCTTTATGATGAAATGGGTTTGGCTAATTATACATATTCAGCAGGTTACAAGAGGAACTATAAATATTCATGAAAGTGGTCCTAAAGCATGTGTATTCACTACACACACATGTAACATACGACCCATGTTCATTGTGTTGGTGGAGACTTAATATTGTAGTATCTACAATTAGGCCCTAGATGTCAAAGGCTGAAGCTGGGACATGAAGATAATCAAGTGTGCAGACTCTCTAAAACTGGCCAGAACTAGTCTGTGGTTGGTGTTCTTCTTAACAGGAGAAAGCTACTGAGATAAGTCTCTTATCTAGCCAAAGCTGTGGTTATGGCTTGTGGAACAGGCGGGGTGGGAGGGGGGACTGAGGTGGTGTTGGTCAGTTAGTCAGTAGGCAATGGTGGCAGTGAATTGAATGTGACTGAGCTGCAATTGTTTGAACATTGCTTACCTTGAGGCCCCGTGCTTGCTGGGCTGCCACAGAACAAGAAAAACCTTGTAGAAGTTAGAGCATAGTTCATTCTTTAAGGGTAGGGTGCAGGACTTAAGTAACCCTTGCCTGGCACAGCCTTAGGCCCTGTTTATAATTTGGTATTTTATTGTCACAAAGAGTCTGTTCCGGCTACTTTAACATTAATGCTGGTTGGTTGTGTCTAAACTGCAAAAAGGGAAGGGGTATAATGAGACGTGTCTCACCTCCTGTCCTGTCATGGCCAGGAATTCAGTTTTTAAGGCTTCTCTGGGTTCCCTCTGGCCAAGATGGTATGATGGTGTCCATTCAGTCAGTTGGGAGGCTTGGGATTTTATTTTTAGTTTACAAGACTGAGTAAGAATTTTCAAGGCAGGCAAATGGAAAAAGGACATTTTAGACAAGGAGAAAAGCCTTATGCCTACACCTTACAACAGATGAATCCTGCCCTGACAGAAATCAAAGGGCCTAGATAATCAGTAATCAGATATTTTTTTAATGGGTAAAGCTTTTAACAGCAGAAAACTCCTTATCCTCCTCCTCATCATGATCATCATAAACATCAATAACCGAAGCACCAGTAAGCAGTTAAGTTTAGGTCCACAGGATTAGCCCAGGCAGAGTGAGTGTTCTTTGTATTTAATAAAGGCTCATTCTGGAAGAGGATATTGAGTCATTTGCCTAAGTCTCTGGAATTTTCACACTTTTACTACCAGTATCACATATCGATGAATATTATTCTGGAGACCTCCAGAAAGAGCCATATTTTCAGAGTGAGAAGGCAGGAATAAGAGGTAATCACTATATTACAATTACATTAGAAAGGAAGAAATTGGTTACATGAACTAACACTTCTGAGATATAGTGTGAGTATGGTTACAGATATAACATATTTGACATAGTAAACCAATGTAGTTTTATTTCCTCCCTAAATCACGTTCCCTTGCAGTCTTTCAACTTCATGGCTAAGCTGTGAGGCTCATTACTCTAGGCAAAGTGAGGACAGATCCTACCTAGGAAAAAGAGTCACTGAGTATCAAAGTCTATAATAAGTCTTAAAAATCAGGCTTTTTTTTTTTTTAATAAGCAGGTTTTTCAATTTCTTTAACTCCCATTATCAGATCGAGTGCCAGACCTTGTGAGACTCAATTATTCTGAGAGAGCGTCTTGGTTAGCTCGTAACAAAATACCACAGACTGGGTGGTTTTAGCAACAAACATTTATTTCTCCCAGTTGTAAAGGCTGGAAGTCTGAGATCAGGATGCCAGCCTGGTTGGGTTGTTGGTGAAGGCCCTCCTCCTAGTTCACAGACAGCTGCTTTCTCGTTATAACCTCACATGGCAGAGAGAAACAGAGAGAGAGAGAGTGAGTGAGCTCTGGTCCCTTTTCCTCTTCTTATAAGGACACCAATCCCATCATGCGTGCTTCACATTCATCTAGATCTAATTATCTCCCAAAGGCTTACCTCCAAATACCACCACATTGGGGATTAAGGCTTTGGAATATTAATTCTGGGAAAACACAAACATGCAGTCCATAGTAGGGAGGCATAACTCAGGATATGGCAGAAAGGAAACAAAAGCCCATCCCTTCTCACTCAGGTAGGCTGCAGCAAGAAAAGAGACAGAGGTAGAGCTAGCAGGAAGCACTTTATGATCCTCAGTTTTCCCTTCTTAAAGATTCCCTCTGATATGAAATCTCAGAAATATCCACAGAGCCATGAGAAAATGATGGGCATTAGAGATGGATGGAGTAAGCGTTAAGTCTGAAGGAGTCCTACACGAGACCTCTTTAAGATGGTCCAGTATATGGCAAAAAAGCGGTGGAAGGGAGCTTTAGAGGTCAGTATGAGGCTTCACTCTATGCTCCTATGCCTTGCTTAACATTCAGGTAACCCAGGTATTCTCCCATGTCCTTGTGAGTAGGTGCACAGAATGCCAGAACTATATAGAATCAAAAAGCCTCTCATGCACAAAGATTTTGTAACTAAGGGAAGGTGGCTGAGACCATGGATGTTAGCAGTAAGGGCCAGTACATCACCTCAGCAGGTCTAATGGGACAAGTCATACCTCAGTGGTCAGCAGCCTAGAAGCTAAACAGCTCGGACATGTAGCAAAGACCTGCCAGGACCTGTATCCTCACTCCTTGAAGTATGTGCAAGGACCAGCAGCATCAGCATCACTTGATCTTGTTAGATATGAAGAATCTTGGGCACCATCCTGGAACTACTGAATCAGAATCTGCACTCTGACAAGATGAACATTTAATTCATGTCACATTTAAGTTTCAGAAGCAGTGATCTAGAAGAGATTGTATGGATCCAAGGCCTCTGCCTCTCTCCTCTAACCCATCATGAGATTATACACCAAAATCACCCTCTGTAGCCATGTGCTCTCTTAGAGAGAAGCAAAAGACAGGGGAGAAAATGTGAAGACCAAGAATTATACAGAGACTCAGTTTTCTAAAGACATCTGAATTTTTGAATTGGACCAAGTTTACTAGATTGGACAAAAACTGGTCCCTAGAGATTAATCAGAGGTGGAAAGTGAAACTAAATTTTCTTTGCCCATTTGAAAATAGTAGGGTTAGACTATAAGACCTGCCATAAAATGATCGTTGCATTTGGGGGGAAAATAGAGACTACTTTCCTGGTTTTTGATGTTTTCATTACTCATGATTCTTCTCAGTCAGGTAAAAATGAATGCTGCATACATTGTATGGTTTCTCATTTGCTGTTTCATATTCCTCACCTATTTTATAGTCTCTTGGGCATTTACATTTTTTGACTCATTTCTTACTGAATGGATCCACACTTCTTTTTGCACAGTAGGAGATGCAGCTTAAAGCTGAACTTTTTTGCTTTTTTCTGCCCTGGGATTTAGGCAAGTCTGGACATATCTACACAGCTGGTAGAGGAGGCTGGCAGGACTCTATTTACTTAAAGGAATAAAGACCCATTTAGTAAAGAATTAATCTTAGAGGAAGAGAGTGGAGGTAAAGGAAAAAGGAAAAGGATCACTGGGTCTCAAAGTATAATATATAGCAAGTCTTGAAAATTAGATTTTTTGTTGTTGTTGTAAAGGAGTTTCTAAGATTCTTTTACTCTCAATTAATAGATAAAGTACCAGGACTCTTGGGACTTATTGATGCTTAGAGAGGTGTCATTCAGGATCTGACAGGGAGGAAACAAAAAGCCCAGCCCTTCTGGCTCAGTTGGTTCATGGACAATGAAAAAGAGTGGGGTCTCACTCAGACTGTCTCTTACTTCATCAAGGAAATGAGGGCCCATTAGGCATAACCTCCTTCAGCTCCCCGGTATTGTCCCTGTAAATAGCTATATTAATATTCATCCAGAGCAACTTTTCTCTTGTCTCAGAGGATGCAATGTTGCACATTTTGTCAAGTATTTCCCTTAACTCCATCGCTTCCCACCTCTTTTTTTTTTTTTTCTTTTGAGACAGAGTTTTGCTCTTGTTGCCTAGGCTGGAGTGCAATGGTGTGATCTAGGCTCAACACAACCTCTGCTTCCTAGGTTCAAGCAATTCTCCTGCTTCAGCCTCCCGAGTAGCTGGGGTTAGATTACAGGCATGCGCTACCACACCCGGCTAATTTTGTATTTTTAGTAGAGACGGGGTTTCTCCATGTTGGTCAGGCTGCTCACGAACTCCCAACCTCAGCCTCCCAAAGTGCTGGGATTACAGGTGTGAGCAACCGAGCCCAGCCCCCTTCCCACCTCTTTAGGGACCTCCTATTTTCAGAGAGAAAAATCTTTTCCTCTGTCCTCTTAGGTTTAGTTCCTGAGGATCTGCAAATTAAACTAACAAAACACAGATTAACAGGAGGAAAGAACATAATTTGTATTAACACTTATGTGCACAAGAGGTCACAGAAAAGAAGTGAAACTCAAGAGAATTTAACATCCCACTGTCAACATTAGACAGATCAACGAGACAGAAAGTTAACAACGATATCCAGGAATTGAACTCAGCTCTGCACCAAGCAGACCTAATAGACATCTACAGAACTCTCCACCCCAAATCAACAGAATATACATTCTTTTCAGCACCACACCACACCTATTCCAAAACTGACCACATACTTGGAAGTAAAGCACTCCTCAGCAAATGTAAAAGAACTGAAATTATAACAAACTGCCTCTCAGACCACAGTGCAATCAAACTAGAACTCAGGATTAAGAAACTCAGTCAAAAACACTCAACTACATGGAAACTGAACAACCTGCTCCTGAATGACTACTGGGTACATAACGAAATGAAGGCAGAAATAAAGATGTTCTTTGAAACCAACGAGAACAAAGACACAACATACCAGAATCTCTGGGACACATTCAAAGCAGTGTGTAGAGGGAAATTTATAGCACTAAATGCCCACAAGAGAAAGCAGGAAAGATCTAAAATTGACACCCTAACATCACAATTAAAAGAACTAGAGAAGCAAGAGCAAACACATTCAAAAGCTAGCAGAAGGCAAGAAATAACTAAGATCAGAGCAGAACTGAAGGAAATAGAGACACAAAAAACCCTTCAAAAAATCAATGAATCCAGGAGCTGGTTTTTTGAAAAGATCAACAAAATTGACAGACCGCTGGCAACACTAATAAAGAAGAAAAGAGAGAAGAATCAAATAGACGCAATAAAAAATGATAAAGGGGATATCACCACCGATCCCACAGAAATACAAACTACCATCAGAGAATACTATAAACACCTCTATGCAAAAAAACTAGAAAATCTAGAAGAAATGGATAAATCCCTCGACATATACCCTCCCAAGACTAAGCCAGGAAGAAGTTGAATCTCTGAATAGACCAATAACAGGCTCTGAAATTGAGGCAATAATTAATAGCTTACCAACCAAAAAAAGTCCAGGACCAGATGGATTCACAGCCGAATTCTACCAGAGGTACAAGGAGGAGCTGGCACCATTCCTTCTGAAACTATTCCAATCAACAGAAAAAGAGGGAATCCTCCCTAACTCATTTTATGAGGCCAGCATCATCCCGATACCAAAGCCTGGCAGAGACACAACCAAAAAAGAGAATTTTAGACCAATATCCCTGATGAACATCGATGCAAAAATCCTCAATAAAATACTGGCAAACTGAATCCAGCAACACATCAAAAAGCTTATCCATCATGATCAAGTGGGCTTCATCCCTGGGATGCAAGGCTGGTTCAACATACGAAAATCAATAAACGTAATCCAGCATATAAACAGAACCAATGACAAAAACCATATGATTATCTCAATAGATGTAGAAAAGGCCTTTGACAAAATTCAGCAACGCTTCATGCTAAAAACACTCAATAAATTAGGTGTTGATGGGACGTATCTCAAAATAATAAGAGCTATCTATGACAAACCCACAGCCAATGTCATACTGAATGGGCAAAAACTGGAAGCATTCCCTTTGAAAACTGGCACAAGACAGGGATGCCCTCTCTCATCACTCCTATTCAACATAGTGTTGGAAGTTCTAGCCAGGGCAATCAGGCAGGAGAAGGAAATAAAGGTTATTCAAGTAGGAAAAGAGGAAGTCAAATTGTCCCTGTTTGCAGATGACATGATTGTATATCTAGAAAACCCCATCGTCTCAGCCCAAAATCTACTTAAGCTGATAGGCAACTTCAGCAAAGTCTCAGGATACAAAATCAATGTGCAAAAATCAAAAATCACAAGCATTCGTATACACCAATAACAGACAAACAGAGAGCCAAATCATGAGTGAACTCTCATTCACAATTGCTTCAAAGAGAATAAAATACCTAGGAACCCAACTTACAAGGGATTTGAAGGACCTTTTCAAGGAAAACTACAAACCACTGCTCAATGAAATAAAAGAGGTTACAAACAAAGGGAAGAACATTCCATGCTCATGGGTAGGAAGAATCAATATCGTGAAAATGGCCATACTGCCCAAGGTAATTTATAGATTCAATGCCATCCCCATCAAGCTACCAATGACTTTCTTCACAGAATTGGAAAAAACTACTTTAAAGTTCATATGGAACCAAAAAAGTGCCCGCATCACAAAGTCAATCCTAAGCCAAAAGAACAAAGCTGGAGGCATCACGTTACCTGACTTCAAACTATACTACAAGGCTACAGTCACCAAAACAGCATGGTACTGGTACCAAAACAGAGATATAGACCAATGGAGCAGAACAGAGCCCTCAGAAACAATGCTGCATATCTACAACCATCTGATCTTTGACAAACCTGACAAAAACAAGCAATGGGGAAAGGATTCCCTACTTAATAAATGGTGCTGGGAAAACTGGCTAGCCATATATAGAAAGCTGAAACTGGATCCCTTCCTTACACCTTATACAAAAATTAATTCTAGATGGATTAAAGACTTAAATGTTAGACCTAAAACCATAAAAACCCTAGAAGAAAACCTAGGCAATACCATTCAGGACATAGGCATGGGCAAGGACTTCATGTCTAAAACACCAAAAGCAATGGCAACAAAAGCCAAAATTGACAAATGGGATCTAATTAAACTAAAGAGCTTCTGCACAGCAAAAGAAACCACCATCAGAGTGAACAGACAACCTACAGAATGAGAGAAAATTTTTGCAATCTACTCATCTGACAAAGGGCTAATATCCAGAATCTACAATGAACTCAAACAAATTTACAAGAAAAAAACAACCCCATCAAAAAGTGGGCAAAGGATATGAACAGACACTTTTCAAAAGAAGACATTTATGCAGCCAAAAAACACATGAAAAAATGCTTATCATCACTGGCCATCATAGAAATGCAAATCAAGACCACACTGAGATACCATCTCATACCAGTTAGAATGGGGATCATTAACAAGTCAGGAAACAACAGGTGCTGGAGAGGCTGTGGAGAAATAGGAACACTTTTAAACTGTTGGTGGGACTGTAAACTAGTTCAACTATTGTGGAAGTCAGTGTGGCGATTCCTCAGGGATCTAGAAGTAGGAATACCATGTGACCCAGCCATCCCATTACTAGGTATATACCCAAAGGATTATAAATCATGCTGCTATAAAGACACATGCACACGTATGTTTATTGTGGCACTATTCACAATAGCAAAGACTTGGAACTAACCCAAATGTCCAACAACGATAGACTGGATTAAGAAAATGTGGCACATATATACCATGGAATACTATGCAGCCATAATAAATGATGAGTTCACGTCCTTTGTAGGGGCACAGATGAAGCTGGAAACCGTCATTCTCAGCAAACTATCACAAGGACAAAAAACCAAACGCCGCATGTTCTCACTCATAGGTGGGAATTGAACAATGAGAACACATGGACACAGGAAGGGGAACATCACACACAGGGGCCTGTTGTGGGGGACGGGGAGGGCGGAGGGATAGCATTAGGAGATATACCTAATGTAAATGACGAGTTAATGGGTGCAGCACACCAACATGGCACATGTATACATATGTAACAAACCTGCACATTGTGCACATGTACCCTAAAACTTAAAGTATAAAAAAAAAGAAGTGGTTAGACTTTAGGTTTATATACAATTTTAATAAGGGAAAAAGGTTTTGGGGTTTAAGGGACTATAAATTATGGAGAAATGACTAGGAATATATGAGGGAACTAATGAAACAGGAATATTTTAGAAAGGTCTGTTTATGCAAACTCATCTCTATGTTGACTTTCTTTCTCTGGTGATTAGAGTCACTCTTTTCTTTGTGGCAGGGAGGGCATCTTCACAAAGGTAAATTTATGCCCTGATTTTAAGCACATGATACGAAGACAGAAAACCCTTCCTGCATCTGTTGATTTTCAATTGCTTTCAGCTCAAAAAAACGGTTATGCCAGAGTGGTGTATATTGGGGTGGCATGTTCTAATACCCCTCACTATACGGAGCACAACTTCCCTTTGTTATGGCCTTATTCCTCCCACACTTGCTTCTTTCTCTCTTCCTGCAAACATGTTCAAATTTTTCTCATGTCAATGATCCTTCCACTGGCCCTTCCATATTCACTCAAAATAATATTTATTGAGTGCTTACCAAGGGCAAGCATTGTTCTAGATGCTGAGAGTATTGTGAGCAAATAATGCAGATGTAATCTCTGTCTTCCTGAAATGTATAGTCTAGCGTCACCATACTCTCTAGCTACCATCCAATCTTATTTCCTCTTCATCTGAACCTCAGAGTAATCCATGCTGCCTGATCTTCCTCCTGTGATCTCTTCTTAAATTAGTGCCATCCTATCATCGAAGCCAAAAACCTAGGAGCTCATCCTAGTTTCATCCTGCTCCTTACCCTTCCTATCACCAAATCCAGCTGATATGATCTAAAAATTTTCAAAATAATTCCGCTTCTCTCCATCTCTACTGCCATGTTTCTATACTGGCCTTAATCACCTTTTGTTCATCAGTGGTTATTATAACTGGCCTTCCTGCCTCTAGTTTTAGCTCCATTAAATCCACCTTCCAGACTGAGGCTATAGAGTTCACCCTTATGCTTATAACCCCTCAAAAACATTCTCAATTTCCTATAGGATAAAGTGCAAGTTCCTCAGTGGGGCCTCATATTTTTGTCACTGCCTTCATCTCCAGCCTCACTAACTCCCTGTACTCTCTCTACTTGCAGGTCTCCACATATAGCATGCTTGGTATGTGTATGTACTTAACCCTGTAACTGCCTGGAACAACTTTTCTCAGGCCTTCTTGCCCACTGTCACCTCGCTATATCTACCTTCAGATGTTCCTAGATTTATTTTTCAAAGCTCTGCTTTTAGTTACATATAGTACTCTGAAAAGCCTTCCCAGAGAATCCTTCCTGGAGGGAAGAATTGTTGTTCTTCCTCTATGCGTCCATAGTAGCTTTTACGTTATTTTATAGCTCTCTGTTCTATCTTTCTCACCAGGCAGTGAGGTCCTTTTTTTTTTCTTTTCTTTTCTTTTATTTTTTATTTTATTATTATTATACTTTAAGTTTTAGGGTACATGTGCACAATGTGCAGGTTAGTTACATATGTATACATGTGCCATGCTGGTGTGCTGCACCCATTAACTTGTCATTTAGCATTAGGTGTATCTCTTAAAGCTATCCCTCCCCCCTCCCCCCACCCCACAACAGTCCCCAGAGTGTGATGTTCCCTTTCCTGTGTCCATGTGTTCTCATTGTTCAATTCCCACCTATGAGTGAGAACATGCGGTGTTTAGTTTTTTGTCCTTGCGATAGTTTACTGAGAATGATGATTTCCAATTTCATCCATGTCCCTACAAAGGACATGAACTCATCGTTTTTTATGGCTGCATAGTATTCCATGGTGTCTATGTGCCACATTTTCTTAATCCAGTCTATCGTTGTTGGACATTTGGGTTGGTTCCAAGTCTTTGCTATAGTGAATAGTGCCGCAATAAACATACGTGTGCATGTGTCTTTATAGCAGCATGATTTATAGTCCTTTGGGTATATACCCAGTAATGGGATGCCTGGGTCAAATGGTATTTCTAGTTCTAGATCCCTGAGGAATTGCCACACTGTGGAAGTCAGTGAGGTCCTTTAAAAAAGTGATTGGCAGATGGTTGGTGCTGAACTGTTGTGGAATCAGGCATCAGATAAGCCTTGATCTGAGCCTTGATCTTCTTCCATGATTGAGTGAGATTCCCTGAGCTACTGATATGGCGTCCAGTCTCAACTGTGGTTTTATCCTAAAGTGTCATTGAATATCCAGCTTCTCTTCCTAGCAATGAGACATTAATGGCTCTATCTTAGCTTTCCACTCAGCCTGTCCTATGGTAGGAACTCCACTTGACCTGTGGTTATGGGAGACACATCTATGATGCACCATCGCTATCACTTGTCTAGATCTTATCTCAGCACACTGGGTTCTCTTTCCATTTACACTAAAATCAGACATTTAAGGGTGAACTTGGGGGTTAAACAAACATATGTGGATACATTTGAGAAACAGACCATCAGCATTACATGCCATTGAGCCTTTTAGTGTCTGAGACCTAAGGTTTTATTTGTTTACTCACCCAATCATTTTATATAAATGTATATTTATATTTTAAGCTTTCTTTTAAAGCCACTGCATAGCTTCACTATGACCAGATAATGAGAATTCTTGACAATGGAGTGTCGTGGAGGTATTCAAACCCCCGGGGTGGGGACCGAGGCCAGCAGTTAGATGTTAGGCAAACTCTTCTGCTGAGACACATGCTTCCCCTACACAAACACAGATACAAATGTCAGAGCTGGAAAGGAGACCTTAGGGATCATCCTGGTGAGCTATCATTTTAGAGATGCAGATACTGAGCCTATTAAAATTTTAAGTCAGTGCCTTCAGATGTTATCCCATGGATAGTGATGGGTAGCATTTGAATGTCCTGGAAAAATGGTTACAAATAGTGTATGAATTCCCTGTTCCTATCCCATTGGCAGGGATTTAAATCAGGTATAGGTTGGAAATCATCGGTTTCAGTAATTTGTCAAGTTATTGGCTCACAGTCAGGATTAGAACATGGGTTCTCTGCTCTCTACAGTACAACAGATGGCCTTCCTCCATCTATCTAACCATAAACAATTCTATCTTTTTTCTACTGAATGCACGTGGGACCCTCACTTGGTCACACATTTCTTGCTATTCCTCCCAGATTTGTCCTATTCACAAATTGGATAAATAAATCATCTTAGTTTTCACATCGTTTATAAAATGTTCACAAAGACAAAACAACACTGGAACCTCCCAGCTCACATTAGAACCTCCAGTGGTGGATACTATCCCATCAACCTGCATCCCTTTGGGATTCTTCATTTGCCTAATTGATAATTTTTCCTTTTGAACTCAATCCAACCCTTATTTCTCTATTTTGTCCCAAAATGATGTTATGAAAGATGTCAAATGCCTGGTTGACATACAGAAACATTATATCCAACTTTTCCCTCAACTTACAGGCTTGTGAAACTATCAACAAATCATTTGTAAAAATTTAAATGAACCTGATCTCCATTTATTAATATTCTCTCCTTCTTCAAAGCCTATGACTCAGGTCTCCTGGTTTTCTTTATATCTCTCTGACAATTACCTCTCTAATTCATTGGCTATTTCTCTATTTTTCTTAGCCCAGTTTCTATCACTTCTACATTCTCACATCATTTTACATACTCTTCCCAGGTCGTCTCATCTAAATTGAAGAATTCAACCACTATCTATTTGCTAATGACTCCAAGATCTATGACCAGTTTTTCCAAAATATAGGCCCCATATTCTCATCTACACCTGAATGTTTGGCTGCAGGCTTATACCAGAGATACCAGTCATTTTTTTGTTTGCCAACATTCCCTTCTTAGAGACGTGCCCACATCCCATAAAGAGTAGTCACATAAATCACTCTGACTTCATCCCTCAGGCCATAGCTGACTTGGCCAGAGTGGATATCTCATCCAAGCTAGTCCAGTCAGATTCCCTTGTGTGGGAATCAATCACCTCCATCTGTAAGGTGATTTAGGGCTTGGAATTGTGTCCTGAGGATAAATAAGCAGAGAAAGCCAGTATACAGGGAGAATCCAGAGATTAGGGCAGACATGCAAAGGGAAGCAAAGCAAAGGACATCGTGATTTCAGAAAGATAGAGATGGAGTAGGTGGCTGCCTGAGAATTTTCCAGTGCCAGCAAGCCTATGCTTTATTGCTTTCATTGTATTTCATGAGATTAACCATCCTTTATCAAATACAATTTGAAAACCTACTTTATGCCAGGAACTTTGCTAGGTATAAGAGAAATTTTGTTGAATAAGGAAACCATGGTCTATGACTCCACAAATCTACATTTGAATGCCTTCTCACAGTAAATTCTTGTTTCCTTGCATTTACTTGAGTGTGTTTCTTGCATTCCATCAATCCATACTTAATTCTTTTTTTTCTTTTTTTAATTTTTGTTTTCCTGGGTAAGCACTTAATTCTTACTGTATCCCAAACCAACCTCATCTTCCTCACTATGCCAGCTCCTTCTCCAAAAAACCTACAATCTTGATCAGCGGTGGTATGCCCAATCTTGATTAACTGGGTAGTATGCCCAGTTTTCAAAACCAGAAACCTCACAGTTGCCCTTTGTTCCTCCTCTGCTTCACTACATATCTAGTCCGTTACCAAATACTTTGGGTTCTACCTCAAAATGCGCTTCCTTTCAGATCTTACTTTTTGTCCTTACTTTTATCTTGTCCAGGGTTAGATTCTTGACACCTGCCACTTGAGTGTTTCAACCACCTCCTGTCAGATCTACCTGTTGAATATCTCCCTACACAGCTCATCCTCCATGATGTCATCAGACCTCTTCCTAGGATCCATACTGGATCTTGACACATGCCTCCTAAACATGTCCACTGGCTTTCCATTATCACGAAAATAAAACCCATACACCTTATACAAAAGACCCTACTTGATCTGGTCCAAATTCCTCTCAATTGCTCTCTCCCACAACTTGTATTCCAGTGATTTCCAGTCACTAAACATGTAGCATTTTCTGAGTTTGCTCATTTTTAATAATATACATTTCCTTCTGTCTAAAAAGGCTATCCTCAGGTCTTGGCCTGGCAAAGTCATCTTTTAAGACCAGCTCAAATATCATCTATTCTGAGCCAGGCAGAGGACATGTTCTCTTAAGGCATTCTGTTCACCCCTCTGGCATAATCTAGCCGAGAGTGACAAGAGATTACGATAATAATCCCTTATGACCTTGCCTTGTTGTTAACAAAGTTATCTCGTTTGAACCATATAATGACTCAGATGAGGCAAGAAGGCATCCCATTTCATAGATGAGAAAATGGGCTCAAGACAGCAAGTATCCTCCCCAGTGTCATGTGGACAGGATGGGATCCAGATTTTGTAGCCAGAATCTGGCCACATAAAAGATCTGAGCTGAGGTGCTTCAGGAGTTCTGCACACATTTGATTTGTATTTTATTTTAAAACATGTATTTTAATAATTTAAAAAAAAGATTGATATAAAAGTCACCATTTTAGCCATTTTAAAGTGTGCAATCTAATAGTTTTTAGTATATTCACAATGTCGTACAACTGTTACCATTAAGTAACTCCAGAATATTCCCATCACTCCCAAAAGAAACCCTATACCTCCCAATCCCATCCTCTACCTGCCCTTGGCAACTACTTTTGTCACTATGAATTTACCTATTTTGGATATTTCACATGAATGAAGTTATATAATATGTGACCCTTTTTTGTCTGGCTTCTTTCCTTAGCATAATGTTTTCAAGTCTCATATATGGTGTAGCATGTATCAGCGCTTCGTTCTTTTTTATTGCCTAATAATATTTCATTGCATGAATATACCACATTTTGTTTATCCATTCATCAATTGATAGACATTTGGGTTGTTTCCACTTTTTGGCTCTTGTGAATAATGTCCCTATGAACATTCCGGTACAAGCTTTTGTGTGAACATATATTTTCAATTCTCTTGGGCATATACCTAGGTATAGAATTGTAGGGTCATACGGCAAATCTTTAACTTTTGAGGGATTGCCAAACTTTTTCCAGAGCACTGCACCATTTAATAATATATTCCCACCAGCAATATATTAAAGGTTCCAATTTATCCATATCCTTACCAACAGTTATTTTCTTGGCTTATTATTATGATGATGATAGTAGTTCTAGTAGGTATGAAGTAGCATCTCATTGTGGTTTCTTATTTGCCTTTTTCTAATTCCTAATGAGCATCTGTTCACATACTTATCAGCCATTTGCATATCTTCTTTGGAGAACTATCTATTCACATTCTTTGTCCATCTTTTAATTGGGTTATTTACCTTATTCTTGAGTTTTGTGAGGTTCTTTATATATTCTGGATATATATGATATATTATTTGCACAAATTTTCTTATATTCTCTGGGTCATCTTTTCCCTTTTTTGATAGTTTCCTTTTATACATAGAAGGTTTTAAGTCCAATTATTTATTTATTGTGCTTTTGATGTCATATTTTAAAAACTGTTGCCTAACCAAAGGTCATAAAGCTATATCACAGCTATATTTTCTTCTAAGAGTTTTACAGGTTTAGCACTTATATTTTGGTAAGCCTTAGATCCGTTAGAGATAATTTCTATAAATGGTGTGAGGTAGAGGTCCAAATCACTCTTTGCATGTGAATATTCAGGTAACCTGGGATCATATATTGAAAAGACTATTCTTTCCTCATTTAGTGGTCTTGGAATCCTTGCAAAACATTTATTGACCATACATGTATGGTTTATTTCTGGACACTCAACTCTATTCCATTGGTATATATGTCTATACTTATGCCAGTACCATGTCGTTTTGATTACTACAGCTTTGTAGGAAGTTTTGAAACTGAGAAGTGCGAGTCCTCCAACTTTGTTCTTATTTACTTCAATAATTTAAAAGCATGTGTACATCTTCTTCTAAAAATTTTTTTAAAGTACTATGTGCTTATTTTACACAAGTTAAAAATTTACCTAAGAATTTAAGATAAAAATGAAGGCAGAAGGCAGATATTGTCAACTCACTGTCAACATTTTGAAGCATTTCCTTCCACTTTTACAAATGTGTCTGTATGTACATCTAAGTAAATAAATAATACACATTTTCATATTTATGGAAACTGAAATGCATAGTTTTATATCTGCTTTTTTCCACTTAGCATTATATTGGGAGCAATTTTCCAGATTATTAAATATTCCTGGAAAATGTCATTTTTACAGCTGCATTCTATTATATGGATGTATAATAGTCACTTCTCTAGAGCTGGACACGTAGGCTATTTCTAGTGTTTTTCTGGCGTAAATGTTGATGTAATAAACTTGCTTATATGTCTTTTTGTGCATGTTTAACATCCTTCTTAGGATAGATGCTATAAGTAGAATCACTGGGTCAAAAATTTTAAGAATTTTAAGAATCTTGATTTTTATGGTTAAATTCTGTACCATTCCTAATGAGTTATATGAATTCCAAGTTCTTTATGTATAGGTGCAAATAACTTACCTGTTTTTTTTTTTTTTTTTTTTTTGTGCCTACATTTAATTTTGGTAATTAAATATTTTGACTTATGGAAGCTTCAGATTTTCCTTGAAATTATATCTTCTAAGTTTTTATTCTTATTTTAATTTTGTATTTTCTTTAACTGCTTTTAGATTGGAATGTCCTTATTCACAAAGGGACCACAGACATTTATCTCCCTCTACTTTCAGGTTTTGTTTTGTTTTGATCTCACATAGCCATCTGAAATTTATTTTAATGTTATTTCTTTAGGAAATATCTAATTTGATTCTTTCCTGAATTTTTAGCCATAATATTTTCTTTGTTATGGTCTTAAAGTTTATATTTGGTAGAACTGATCTTGAGTTTTCTTTTTGTGTGGTTTTTTTTTTTTTGGCATTTAGTCTGCACTTTTGCCTCCAGATAAATTTTATTAGCACATTGTCAAATTTTTGAAAAATCTCACTGAGATTTGGATTGAGATGACATTAGACCTCTAAATTAATATGACATCTTTACAGTATTCATTTACCCATCCAGGAACATCATCAATCTCTCTATTTTTATGAATCACAGCCAGGTCTTGTGATTTTTTTTCATATGGATCATGCATATAAGCTTATCCCTCGGGTTTTCTGTGTGTCTTATTAAAATCATGAATAGAAACCTTTTGTTGTTTTTGTTGCTTTTCTACTTAAAACGTATTCTAACAAATACTTAACAAACGTTTCAATTTGTATTTTTGTCTCATATCTATATCTTGATAGTTTTTCAGTAGATGCTTTGGAGTTTTAAGATTATGTGATATTATTTGCTTATAGTTATTACGTTGTCTCTTCATTTCCAGTAACTACAAATGTGGCTTTTCTTTTTCAAATATTAGTAGAATATTTAGAACTTTAACAACAGTATTATATAAGTGTGGACAAAGGGAATACTTATTTTGTTCCTTTGGTAATGGCAATGCCTGTAGTGCTTGTTTTGCTATTAAGAGAATAACTATCTATTGGCTTAAGATAAATATTCTTCCTTGTATTAAGGAAGCATCCTTCTATTCCTGGTTTACTAAATTGTTTTTTTAAATACAAAATTTGAGTTGAACTTTATTACAATCTTGTCATTATCCTTCGAAATAATCATATTTTTCTTCTTCTAACAACTGACATTATGTGTGTGTGTGTGTGTGTGTGTGTGTGTGTATACATACACATATATGTATTTCCTAATATAAACCATCTTTACATTCCTGGGAACTATTTTATTTGGTTGTAGTATAGCGTTT
The DNA here is from genome assembly GCF_000001405.40 of Homo sapiens. Taxonomy (NCBI): domain Eukaryota; kingdom Metazoa; phylum Chordata; class Mammalia; order Primates; family Hominidae; genus Homo; species Homo sapiens. The sequence goes on from NC_000009.12 coordinate 19,918,255, forward strand.
ATTTAAGTTGGTGCTGAATTTTATTTGCTAGTATTTAGCACTTCTCATTGTTATATTATGAAAGACTGGCCTGGCATTTTTGTTGTTGTTTTGTGCTATTTGTGTCATCTTTTAATAATGTGGCTATTCTGCCTTTATCAAAAAAAAAAAAAAAGGAAAGTATTCTTTTGTCTTCTATGCTTTGAGAATGTGTGTGGTTTTTAGATTCATTCCGTGCAGGTTCCCCCTCTTGCTCCCTAGCTCACATCCTCCACTCTCCTTTCCACATCTCTGATTTCCACCACTTCTCCCCCATGTCACTGTGTTGGAGCGTGGAAGCTCTAAAGGTGAGATGCAGGCTGAGGTTGTCTGTCTGCTGCCACTGAAGAGTCTTGCGTGTGTTTCCCCAGACTCCAGGAGTGTATGCCATAAAAGGGTCCCAGTGAGAGTCATCTTAAATGTATTCACCAAGAGAATCATATGAATCCAAGACCCACCCACATGTGGTCCAAGAAAAGCCCAAAGCCTGGGAGGCAGAGAGTCCACATGACCAGCCAGATGCTGCCTTGTCTGCCTCAGAGGAACTGCCCTTACCATGTCTAACAGGAAGAACTTCTAGGAAACCACCAAACGCCTATAAAAAAGGGGGCCAACCACTGTGCAACCACCACATAGAAGGTACTGCTGCCAGATTACAATGTTCTGGGCAAGAAAGATAATTTGGGTCATAAGGTTTCTTCCTCTCTTCCCCAGGATCTGAAGATAGGAGGTGAGAAAATTTAAATTAAATGAAGGTTGGAGTTTTGATATCACACTGAATGGGATTTTAATTATTTAACAATTTCAGGAGAACTTTTATTACCAGAAAGTACCTAGAAAGCTATGGAACCTATCCGAGCTTGCTTCGGGGAAATGACTTCCGAGGAGAGTTAGAAGAGGTTGTGGTGGGAAAGAATAGTGCTGGCTGTGGCTTGCTCCCGGGGGGTTCAGCTTAGTAAGCAAACAGGCCCAGAGATGCACTTAGAGAACAATCACCACGAGTGATTCCATGCCTTCTTTCACACACAGTTATTTTTAGAATATTCGACTTTATTATGCTTTCGGAGGTGATGGCAATGTACCAGTTAAGCTCAATCTTGGACATTGTGATGTGCTTTTATTGCTACAGTCTCTAATTGAAATAAAATGGAAGAACAAGGAAAGCATTTAAAGAGAGCAAGAAAAATAGCTCACATGGGCTTGTGGCAAAAGAAAAAATATCTAGATACCAACATATACTTAGGACAAATTAAAAATACAATTACACATCAAAACATACAGTTTGTGGAAAAAACCTCTTTTTTTCCAAAAAAGTCTGTATTAATTTATTCTCACAGTGCTATGAAGAAATACCTGAGACTGGGTAATTTATAAAGAAAAGAGGTTTAATTGACTCACAGTTCTGCAGGGCTGGGGAGGCCTCAGGAAACTTACAATCATGGCAGAAGGGGAAGCAAATATGTCCTTCTTCACATGATGGCAGCAGGGAGAAGTGCAGGGCAAAGGGGGGCGGAAAGCCCCTTATAAAACCATCGTATCTCATGAAAACTCACTAGAACAGCATGCAGGTAACCGCCCCCATGATTCAATTACCTCCCACCGGGTCCCTGCCGTGACATGCTGGGATTATGGGAACTACAATTCAAGATGAGATGTGGGTGGGGACACAGCCAAACTATATCAGAGCCCAATATATTCAATATATTGGAAAAATTATAATGGAATGGAATGGAATGTGACACTTTTTACTTTGATCTGAGTATTTTCAATATCCTATTTATTTGTGTTATTACCTTTTAGATCAGAATCTAAAAATAATTTGGGGTCCTTGATATAGTCATGCAACATTTGATATATTTCCTTTTTTTGAAGTTTCTGCTAAGAAAATTTATCAAATTGATTCATTTAAGTGCAGGGGCATAGAAATAAATGATCTCCTCCATTACCCAGAATTGTTTAAAATCATTTGGTAGACTCTCAATATTTCTTGCAGATTGACTTTGTTTATTTGTTTGTTTTTGGTCAATGCAGTATGGCAGAATGAAACGGAGTTAGTTTTTGGACAATTTTCATAGTTGCCAATGATTAATTCATCAGTCGTGATTTTTCAAACTATTAAATACAAAGTCCATGTCTTAGACTGAGTCCCCCAGATGTAGACCCTGAGACAAGGATTTGAGTTCAAGCAGTTTATTTGGGAGGAGATCCCAGGAAGTACTGCCATGGAAGTGAGGAAGTGAAACAGGGGAGGGAAGCAAACCAGCATTGGGTACGCTGAGGGCCAACGTACCGCTATGGGCTACCTGCTGGGAACCTCTGGGAGCCTGAAAGGAGCCCACCTGCAGTGAGCTGGTATTTATCTGCCGTCTCCCTGGGCATTGGTTGAGAGCTGTTAGGGCAGGGTTGAGTGTTAACTCTCCACGCTTCCCACTAGCCTGTGTGTGACACATATCTACAACTAGAGAGTCCTGGGCAGTAAGGGACGACACAACAGTGAGTTCTAGGAATGACTGACCTATACAACCTACATGACGTGTATCGATCGGGAGCCGGATGTGAGAGACAGAAGACTGAGTGTAAAATCATACAGTCTAAAGCCAACCTGGGTTCAAACCAGATCTGCTCCTGTTTGTATGTGACCCTGAGCAAGTTATTTAATCTCTTGGCACTCAGTTCCCTCATCTATAAAATAAAGATAATCATATTACCTACCCTCATAGGGTTGTTGTGAGGATTGAGTCGATATAAGTAACAAGTTTAGAATAATGTTGACTCATGGCATATACTATTTATTCATAATTATTATGGGGGGGGGGTGTTCCAAAGTAAATCATCAACCTGCCACCAACAGTGCACCTGTAGTAAATGGTTACCATTTACCTGTCTTCTCCTCACCTTTATTTGATAAAATTTCATTTAATGACCTTTCTATAGTTTTACTATCTTCACTAAGAATTTAGAACTTACATGGCCGGGCATGGTGGCTCACACCTGAAATCCCAGCACTTTGGGAGGCCGAGGTGGGCGGATCATGAGGTCAGGAGATCGAGACCATCCTGGCTAGCATGGTAAAACCCCGTCTCTACTAAAAATACAAAAAATTACCCAGGCATGGTGGCGGGCGCCTGTAGTCCCAGCTACTCGGGAGGGACAGAATGGCGTGAACCCGGGAGGTGGAGCTTGCAGTGAGCCAAGATTGCACCACTGCACTGTCTCCAGCCTGGGCGACAGAGCGAGACTCCGTGTAAAAAAAAAAAAAAAAAAAAATTTAGAACTTACCATGCCATGTGCAATATGCAATATTGAATAATCTCACTTCAATTGAAAAATAAACCTCATTTTTCATGCATACAGAGAAAAATGTATTCATCATCATTTTGGGGGATCATTTAAATCCCTCACCTGAATGCATTTCGGTAAAGTTTAGCTGAGGGGGTCTTATATTTGCCTAGAGAGAACACAATGTCTAACCATGCATTTCCTCAGGGAACTCTACGGTACAAGGCCTCTTTTCACCTTGTAAAAAGAGACTCCAAGCCCTGCTGGCAATTCACAATACAAAAAGGATATCTTATTGATATGAAAGTTGAATTTAATGTGATAGGAGCAAATCACTTTTCAAAGTGGCCAAGAGAGGGGGAAAGGGTTAAGAAGTCTCTATTGATGTAAGACAAATTAAAAGCAGAAATATAAGAAATGACGCTCCTTCCCAAGAATCCTATGAGTGGGTTTTTGTGGTCTTAAAATGTACCTTGATTCATCTACTTCTGTTCATGCATGTTTGCATGTACGTCCTTCTCCAAGCAGCTAGAGAAAATAAAGTTGGATGCATCAGCCTGTTCCCATTGTTTCAGGAGCAACCATCCAGTCTTTTAGATTCTAAAAGCCTAAAGATTCTGAAAGTGGAAAATTTATTGTTTCACTCAAAAATTCCATAAGCCATCTTCCTAAGTATGAAATAGCTTCAGGGAATTCTATTTTTTCTGATAGTTTGTCACTAAGTATTTGAGTCCATGATTTTCAGGGGAGCCAAGAGATCTCATACCAAATTGCAGGGAATTCCTATGATGTTTTTTAAAAGCAGCCATTTAGTGTTCTTCTCTGATTTGCAGACATGCAATAAAATCTTTTTATGCACCCTATTTATTTTCCTAGACATTTAAATTTTTTCATGCCCAGCATGCTCAATAATTCAAGCAGAGTTGAAAATGGCCAGGTTTTACCTTCCATGGGATTATCCTTGGGGACTGAGGGTTTAAAAGAATGACAGCTATGAAAAATCCCAGGCCTCCTCCCAGCTGTGCACATTGAACTGTCTCTACTGAAAGCAGTAACCTCTGCCTGCTTCACAGGAGGGATTGGCGAGCATCCTAACAGTCACTGTAAATCACAGCCCATCACACAGCTAACTCTAGAGCAATGGGGCCACCTAGACTCCAAATATGGAAGCGCTGAAAGGAAAAAAATCCCTTCTGGGATTCATTCCTAGAGGCTCCTTGAGATCTGGATATTGAGAGGGTAAAAGAGGAGCTTGTACATGTCTGAGTCTCAGGTGATCAGAGACAACTTGAATGCATGAGGATTTTTCTCCATAAAACACATTAGATATTAACTTTTAAATATTTATAAATATTTACATGAAATATCTTAAATATTAAAAATTATATTTTTATGAGTGTGTTGGCCTAAAGATGAATATATTCCTGTTATATATTAAATATTATATATTTATATATATAAAACATTTAATTTAACCTACCAGTTTTTTAAAAAAAATGTTAAAAGAAATAAAGACATTTAGACATTTTTCTGGGACCTTAAAAGTATTGTGGGCCCTCCACACTGTGCCTAGTGGATAAATTGGCATGGCTGGCACACACTAGGGAGGTCAGGGATTTATAAGGCCTAGAAGCCTTCCATCCTTTAGACTGTTAGAATGTTCTGAAAGATGTCCAAGGACACCCAAGGACTTACCATACTTTCCTGCATTTCATGAATTTCTTTCATATTTTAATGTTTCCTTTAATGCATCACATAATAGATGACACGTTTAACATTGAGGTGGTGGGACTCTGTTCCTTTAAAGTCTTCATTGAATTGATAATACTTTTAAAATATACAGTATCTTAGAATGGAGGAGGCATGGTATCCAGCCATGATGAGGAAAAGCAGCCACCCCTGCGCCCTGGGACCTTTCCTGACCTGGCTCTTTCCACTCCCTACCTACCCAGCCACACATCAAGAAGCAGTCCTTTGTCATTTATTAGCCCACCTTGGAAGCCACATTGCCGCAGTTCTGCTGTGCTCTTGGTTGAAGCAGTCACAAGCCCACCCCACTCATGGAGGAATGACAAGTTCACATTGTTGAAGAACATATGAAATGGGGATATAGTTGTTGTCACCTTTGGAGAATGTGATCTGCCAAACATCCCCCAACAAAGACAAATAAATAGATAGTTGGATCATTTCTTTCTTTTTACTTTTTTTCTGTTTTGAGACAGAGTTGTTCTTGTTGCCCAGGCTGGAGTGCGATGGCACAATCTTGGCTCATTGCAATCTCCGCCTCCCAGGTTCAAGTGATTCTCCTGCCTCAGCCTCCCGAGTAGCTGGGATTACAGGTGTGCACCACCATGTCTGGCTAATTTTTGTATTTTTAGTAGAGACAGGGTTTCACCAGGCTGGTCTCGAACTCCTTACTTCAGGTGGTACACCTGCCTCGGCCTCCCAAACGGCTGAGATTACAGAGAGTTGGATCATTTCTAAAGGGAAGTGGGTAGCAAGGGTGATGAACAAACAGAAATTACACTGTGTTCACTCCGTTATGCCACCGTCATGCCTGTGAGGGAGCAGAGCAGCTGGCTGTACAATTTCTTTAAGGAACATGGATATATACCCAGTTGGTTCAGGCAATGGGTGTTACTATCAAACTGTTTGCAGAGGAGTAAGGAAAACAAAAATGAGAGTAGCCAGGATGTCCTTCTCAGTCAGCTGAGATGTGACAGCTTGTTTAGGGTGGTTGTGCAATTTCAGATGTGTCATCCCCAGCCTCAGATATCAGTGTTTCTCTTTGCTAGAGCTCTACCATTATGGCTGCTTTTGGGGGAGTCCACCACCCCATTTCTCCTGCAGTTACCAGTTACCTTATTCCCTGCTTTTCCCCTTTTCTTGACTTACACCCCTTGTGGCTTCTAGAATGTCATCTTGGTCAGGTTTCCATCACTGATCTAGTCAGCTGTGTCCATCAGTGGGATCAGTGCTTCCAGATATCTACCCAGCAGAAGCCACTGAGGGTGTGGCTCCTCCTCAAGAGCCAGTAAGGACCCCATGAGGGTGTGACTCCTCCTTAAGAGCAAATAAGGATCCCATGTCTTATGGCTCAAAATAAATACTTTTCATTGCCTGCAGATGTTAATTTCCTAAGGTTAGGCCCAGGGTGAATAAAGGAGGAGAAAAGAAGACTGAATCTCTGAGGGTAAAACACAGGACAAAGTGAAATGACTTCTTCACCAAAGTAACCACCAAACTGCCTAGCATCTTCCTGCTCTCCTGTCTCTGGGAGAGTCTATTGTTTGCCCCATAATTACTATCCTTCAGCTCATTTGGCTCTTAATCATGCCTTTGAATGCAGCACAGACAGAATGAACCCAGCTCTTCTGACTGTTCTAGGCTCAGTACTCTTGAAAGTCAGGCTTCAAGTAGAGTCAATTCTAAGGGGTCTTTGGCCCCAGAGCAGTCAATGCATCAAAGTGGAATTTTCTATAGCATGCTTGGACCCTTGGCATCCAGCACCAAAGTAAAACACAGCTTGCCTTACATAAGGGAGCCTACATTATCACTCCCAGAATAACTGGTGACCCCACAGACCTGCACAGATGTGCTGTAGAACAAACAAACATCAGACGTTCTCTATAAGGACAGGTCTAGGCTGCACCTTTATCTATATCCAGTCAAAGATATATAGATTTATAGTGACCCAGAAAAGAATGCAGAGGAACCTGGAGAAAGCACCCTGCTGCTTAGATCTACAAATTTTGTTCATCTCATATATATAGGCACAGACAAAAAGGAATGTTGACAGGCTGTATTTACTTGATCTTTTTGTCATCTCTTAGAATCTAATACATGTGAAAATTTTGGCATAGGTAAGCACAATTACTTGTGGTAGACATATATATTTGTGAAGCTGTAACTCCTTGTGTATATATGTTTTATTCTTTACACATTAGTTCTTGCTGCCAAAAAGCTCTACATTTTATAATTCAATCAGCCAACACCTGTACCAAGATTTGGTCACTGGGAACTTCAAATATTTCGTATTTGAGAATGGGGAAAGAAAATCTGCAGAAAAAAAAATTGACCAGAACCTGCGTCATGTATTTTTCACAGGAAAGCTAATTATTAGAGGAGGATAAAAACCTGAGGTTCCCTGACTAGGGAGTGGAGTCTAGACAAGGGATCTGATGTGACAGGGTTCCTTCTCTATCCTCTTCAAAATGTAAGGAATGTTTGGCTTCTGGATTGTGTCAGAAAATAGAAGTAACAAATAGTCTTTATTCATAAAAAACTGGCTTTTCCTGACAGAGATTTTAATCGTGTGCTACACACGTGAATCCTTTTTAAAGAAATTGCTAGGGGCTGGGGAATTTCCAAGCCAACCTCCATTAACCTGCAGATTGAGCAAGACACACATCTGTTCTTTAATTGCACAGTATTTCGAATCAAAACAAACAAGCCCTTCCACAGAAAAGGGCCTGTTTTCCTGGTGATGGTTTTGGCTCGAGTTACCCTTTGTGTTGAGTATGTCTACTCTTCAGGCCATAAGGTAGCGATCTCACCGACACCTCCCTGTGTCACGATTCCCCTTAGTAGTCTGTGCTGCAGTCACTAAGCATGACCACTAGATGGCGGGAGAGGACTGAGTTGAGGTTATGGCGGCGGCTCCTTTCTCCCTGCAGGGTGGGAGGAACGCTGTTGTCTCTTTTTCTTCCTGCCCCTTTGTTTGACTTCACCATTCTCTGTTTCCTTTTCGCTCCGCTGTAGTTACGTGACTCACCTTTCATTCAGTACCTCCCTTCAAGGAAAGCCCTGTCTCCTGTCCTTGGACTGGGATCACACAGAGTTCTTGGGATGACCCTGGCTCTCCCGCGCCAGCCGCTCTGCTGCCAAGCGCAAGCATTCGCTCCCAGATGCTTCGCCCAGTTCTTTGCAAATGTCATCCAATCAGTGTCCAGGTGTTCACGGCTCATCACTGGCTTACTGCTCTGGTCTACATAGCTTGGGACATTGCTGTTTATGCAGGTATAAAAAAAAAAAAAGAAAAACAAAAGAAAGAAGGAACGGCAGCATCACAGAATGTGAATCAGAATATTAGTCTGTGGTACTGGGAGAGAAAAAGAAGATTCCCCAGAGAGGATGAAGACCAAACAGACTGCAGACCTGCCATCTCTCTACACTGCACTTGGATTGGCCATTTGCTGTATGCACCCGGGAAAAAAATTCAGAGGACCATGCTGTTGTGATAGCTGACCTAAAGACATTCTGGAGAGCACATGAGTTTGATTTTTACAAATGACTTAATAATCTGGGGGACCAAGCCAGGGCTGCAGAGTCTGGAAGAGCCCCCGCCAGCGGTGAGCAGAGGAGGAGGAGACCCAGAGTCAGGGGTGGTAGAGGAACGGGGTTTCCCAGGCCTCTTTTCACAGCAATTAGAGGTCTGTGTTCTCCTTGAGGCAGGGGCGTAACTCCCACAAGTGTTAATGAGATTTAACGAAGAGAAAGGGAGACTCCAGAGCTGCATTTCCAGTCGGGGCTTCCACAGCAGCAGAAGAGGACAGAGTTCTGCTGCTTCCAGCCGGACCTGGCAGAGAGTCCTGGAAGCCTGGACCTTAGCATGTTACCTTCATCAGCAATTCCACACTCCAGCCGGCATCGTAAGTCCCCAACCTGTGGTCGCCTAGCCCCTTCTACGAACCTTGTGAAGAGAAGCTGCCTGTGCCTTGGGCTAGAAAGTTCTCTCGCACTCTATCCAGTGCTTAAGCTCGCCTGCCTAGGTTTACATCCCAGCTCTGCTGAGTTTCCAGCTAAGCCTAGTTTCCTCCTCCAAAAAATGGAGATAATAAATGGCACCTACTTCACTTGCGGATCTAATGAAAGTCAAGAGCTTAGCACAATGTTTGACCATATAAAGTACCTCTGAGTGATGATGATGATGAATTTGGGCCTAGAATTGACATCTTAGTCATATGAGGCAGAACCTAGTTCTAAGGAAACACACCTCAGTGCCATGATAGAAACATTTCATCATGAAAACCTAAGCAGTTGTGCAATGAAAATCCCTGTCATTTACAACAATTCCCCCACCCCCCACGTACTTGGGATAAATTAGAACCAGGATGGGCCAAGTTTCTCGTCTCGCCTCCTCTTTTCCTCAGTGGCAACCGTGTGATTTATGGCTCTGACGGGAGAGCCAACCAAACTCAGTTGTTTCAGCTGATTGTCCCCGTGAGTTTTCAGGTTGATGTGAAATCCAATGGGGTGTGAACTGAAACCCAAGATCTCCTGAAAGCCCCATGCACTAAGCTCAGTAAGGGACCAAACCAAACCAAACCAAAGCTCCCTCCCTCTTGCCTGGCACTCCTGGAGCTCACAAAAAGCCTGCCACTTGTGAGCCTGTGTGCCTGGAAGGGTCTGCTGCACCTGGCTGGGGGCCCCTGGGCCATTGTTTTCCTGGCAGCAGCAAGGAGGCAGGTCTTCGGCTCACTCCTGGAGCTGGCCCCACACCAGCGACCTCAGAAACCAGGCAGGCTTTCATCCTGGGGTCTCCTAGGGGTTGGTTACACAGAGAGAGTGAGGCTTTGTTGGAAGACTCTCAGAGGCCTGGCCAGGTTTTCCTCTCACAGCCAAGAAGCAGGTTCTAGTTCTTTCCAAACCCTTGATACCTTCTAAACTGAAAAGCGGCTGCCCACTCAGAATTTGGGCTAGGCCATGGAGATGCTAAAAACCTTATCTTTTAAAAGGGAATTGTTACTGTCTCTCTGAAAAGACTGCAGGGTTTCTAGGAGATTCTGAAATGATGTATACAGCTAGAGTCTAAAAAGGTGGAAGGAGAGGTTTCTGGGTAGGGGGTTAAAAGTGTAAGCTCTGGAGGCAGGCAGACCTGGGAGCAAGTCCCAGCTCATACTCTTCATAGCTGAGTGACCTTGAGAAAGTCACTCAATCCCTCTGAGGTTCTCTTTGTTCTTTTGCTCCCTGCTCACTCTTCATCTTACCCTGTCTAGCCCAACGTTTTTGGTAGTTCATGTTCCAGTCAGAAGAAAAGACCAGTGAGAACTGGGATTTATAATAATTACAATCATCAAAATTAACTGAGTACAGTGCTCAGCAATTTATATCAATTTCATGTAATCCTGAGAACCCTTTTATAAGGTAGGCATTGCACTGATTCACATTTTACCAGTGAGGAAATAGAAGTTTAGGAAGGTTGCCAAAAACTTAGAATGACCTTTCTAAAATATGTCTGGTTCTATTAGTCTTTGGTTTAAAATCTTACCATGGATTTATCTTCAGGATAAAATAAAATTCTTTAACACAGAAAAAAGGACCCTTCCATGCTGTGAGCCTTCAGGATTCAGTGGTTAACCAGTATCATCTTTCTAACTTCCTGACCTGCAAGTCTCCCTCTGACCACACTGAGCTTTCACCCTTCCCTAGCTGACTGAGGTGTTCTTGCACCTCCAAGAATCTGCACACAATCTTTTCTTCTTCCTTCATATCCTTCTGGATCTGGCTAACTCTGACTATCCTTCAAGACATGGTTGGGTATCGCTTTGTCTGGAGAATAACCTGTATGCCCCCAAAGATGGGGATAAACACCCTTTCTAGATGATCTGGTAGTTTCTGAGTCTGCTTCTAACAAGGTTAACTCCAAATTCCTCAGCCCAAGACTGAAGGGAACTCCTTTCACTCCTTTTACCCTGGACTCTCACCCGTGCAGCTCTCTGGCAGCCGGAAGTCCAAGATGCCCATGGACTCTTAGCAAGCCATTCACAGTCTTCATTTAGGGAATTTTAGTAGAGTCTGCTGAATTTGTCTTAAATAGGCTGACTACAATGATTTTTTAAAATGTATACAATCATGCACTGCATAACAACTTTTCAGTCAACAACAGATCAAATATATGATGGTGATCCCAGGACCTGAAAATATCCTATTGCCTGGTGACATTATAGCCATCAGCATGTGGTAGAGCAACACATTACTCACTTGTTTGCCAGTTGTAAAAAAGAATAGCACATACAATTACATACAGTACGTAATACTTGATAATAATAAATGACGATGTTACTGGTTTGTATATTTACTGTACTATATTTTTCACAGTTATTTTAGGGTGTACTCCTATTTATTAAAAAAAATGTTAACTATAAAAAGCCTCAGGCAGGTTCTTCAGGAGGTGTTCCAGAAGAAGGCATTGTTATCATAGGAGGTGACAGCTCCATGCATGTTATTTTCCCTGAAGAACTTCCAGTGGGACAGATGTAGAGGTGGAAGACAATTATACTGATGCTCCTGACCCTGTGTAGGCTAATGTACATGTTTGTGTCTTGGTTTCTAACAAAAAAGTCTAAAAAGCAAAAAATATTAAAAATTTTAAACAGAAAAAAGGTTATAGAATAACGATATAAAAATATTTTCGTATAGCTATACAATATATTTGTGTTTTAAGCTAAGTGTTATTACAAAAAGTCAAAATTTTAAAAATTACAGCGTTTATAAAGTAAAAAACTTTATAGTAACAAAGGTTAATTTATTATTGAAGAAAAATTGTTTATACATTTAGTGTAGCCTAATTTTACAGTGTTTATAAAGTCTACAGTAGTATACAGTAATGTCCTAGGTCTTCACATTTACTTATCACTCACTCACCAACTCACCCAGAGCAACTTCCAGTCCTGCAAGCTCCATTCATGCCCCATACAGGTATACCATTTAAAAAATCTTCTATAGCATATATTTACTCTAGTGTTTCCACATTGAGATGTATTTAAATACACAAATATTTATCATTGTGTTACAATTGCCTGTAGTATTGAGAATAGTAACATGGTGTACAGATCTGTAGCCTAGCAGCAATAGGCTATACCATACAGCCTAGGTGTGTAGGTGGCTACACCATCTAAGTTCGTGTAACACAATGACAAAACCACCTAACCATGCATTTCTCAGATTGTGTCCCCATCATGAAGTGACCCATGATTGTACATCATATACTGCCCCTAGAGTCTTCTCAGTGGCCATCTGGCTCAGAAGTTTTCAATCTTTCTTAGGACAAGGACTGCTTTCGAATTTGTGGGAAGCAATGGATGCTGTTGGGGAGGGGGCTGCACATACAGACATATTTACTAAAGGTATTATAATTTCAGGAAGGTTCACAGATCCCCTGCAGACCACTCAGGAATTCTGTTAAGAATCCCTGATGAAGTCCAACTTTCTCATTTGTAGCTAGGAAACAGGGTGCCAGAGACTTGCTGTAATTGTCCACATTCAGATAGCTAGAGAGTGATCAAGCTGGGATTTATATCCAAGTGTTCTGGTTCTTTTAGCCTGTGTTTATTTTAAAGATTAATAATGGGGGAAACTATTAATTTTACTGCATCCCACAATTGGTCAAGCATAGATTACTAAACCTTTGTGCTTCCATATAGGATTGGCATTAGCAGAATTCATTGACACTAGCAATGACCAATAGTGATTGAAACCTCCAAGAAAAGACATTAAATAATCATGATAACCATAGAATGTTACTTAAAAGGGTAGGAAGCAAAACCTCATTAAACAAAAATTAAAAACACTTAAGAATGACAATATCAATAGCTAAAATCAACACCAACAGATACAAGACCATCCTTCCAGCCAAGTAAGACAATCAAAAGGTGTGGAAGGTCAGGTTGCAGTCCTGATCAGTCAGGCATTCAAACTGGACTGATAATTATCAAAGTGGAAGTTCACAGAAAGAGTTATTATAATTGAGGAAGTAAAAAATCATGTAACTTCCACATTCAATACTGTAATTTAAAAATAGATTTTTTTCACAATAACCATATACAAAATAATGTATTTAACACATAAAACCAACAAGAGAAAACCCACAATTCTTTCTGATCACACAAAAATCTATTTAGAATGTTAAAATTATTATTTTTTCTCTATGCCTTTGTTGTTCTACTTAAAGTATACAAACATCATACTGACATAGATTACTTATTCACTTACCAAAAAGGAGATGTAGACAATAGAACATCTAAATTGACTGAAAAATCTACCAAGGCTTTTATATTTAAATCACAGGCAAAATGGTACATGTTATCTTCAAATTAGGGTGACTAAACATTTTGGTTTGCCCAGGACTGTCCCATATTTGGCATGGGAAGTCCCATGTCCACAACACCCCTCAGTTCCAGGCCAAACAAGACAGCTGGTCACCCTACCTCAAACAACAGCACAAACAACCAGAATAATTATGTTCTTTAAACTCTCACCTTATATACAATTTATAAATAATAACAATGAATTCATTGAATAAAGAAATAAAATATTGAGTTGGCTATTTTACATTATAGACTGAACTGGGTTTTTAATTTAATTTTATTTATTATTATTATTATTTTTAGTTTTGAGTCTTACTTTTTCCTCCCATGTAGAAAGAGAATTAGTTTTGTTAATTTAAAAAATCATCCATTATGCATCAGCCATCATGGTCAACAGCTGAAATTTCTCATGTATTCGCATACCACAATACGGTCCCATTAAACATGAGCGTATTGAAACAAACAAATACTAGAATAAATTCATGCAGTAAAACTCTAAAAAATAGTACCGAACCATAGGAGAAAAAGGAAACCATTTAAATAGTCAAAGTTGTAAGAAAAATATTTTTGTTCTGAAATGGTCTTGGTTTCTTTTTCTTAGGTGAGAGTGTGTTGGGTAGAGATGAAAGCTTGGGAAGGATCGTTAAAATTCCGGTAGATATTTTTTAACTGCCACTAATTCACTGCCGAATAATGTTATACAAATTATGTAGCCCAATGTTGTCTTACGTGGAGCTTCTTCAATATCATAGTGAAATTTAGCTGGTAGCAATATTATGAGCCTGAATTAATAATTTTAGGGGCCTGCTAATGAAGCAGCTGTAGCCAAAAAAACCAAGGTGGGGAAATATCTATTAAAATGACATCTTGCATTCCTTTATGGTTTATGGAAGTTTTCAATGTATGCTATGATTATTTCCATTTTATTGTATGGGTGACTCACGGTTATGAGAATTTACCTAAGTTCACTTCGTGGGTATGTGGAAGAAGAGGGCTAGAACTCAGAACTTCTGACTTCTAGTCTGGTGCTGTCTTTAGTTTTCAACTCTTGCCACTGTGTTTCAGACTTTGCAGGCCACTGTGAGTCTGACACCTACAATACCCTCTCTTTGAAAAAATATACATGTGCATAGGTCCTTTCCTATCAGTTATAAGGCCTGGGACAAGCGTACAAAGGGAGAGCCATACACCTTATGCCACAGGTTTTTCCTCATCTCACCCCGTCCTACTCTGTCCATAATACTCTCAGATTCCCCCGTCATCACTGGTTTCACCCTTTTAAGTCCTTCAAAGGAACCTAAGGCTGGAAGGCCAAGTTCAAATATAGAATTGTTGGACTCCTTGGAATTTTTCTCTGGAAAGTGGTGGCCTTCTCATCCTTGGCCTTCCCAGCCCTGGGGCAGGAGGTGGGGGCTGCGGGGAGGATGGACTTGGGGAAGAGGCTTGAGCTCTTTAGGTAGAAAATTCCCAGGTTCTAGGAGCAGAACCATGGGCCAAAAAAGGAGGAAGCAGGCTTATAGTGGGCACTTTGCTTGGACCTCTGGAACATCATGTCCTGTAGAGAGGGGCACAGCCAGAGTAAGGCATGCTAAGGTACCCCTCTTGCCTGATCTAAAAGCAACGGTACTTGCACACATACTCAAACAATTCTATATACAACTTCTGGGATTCACAGGTGTCCTGTAGCTCTTCCTTAGATCACAAGTTAAGAACTTCTGATATCATCACTTAAGAATAGCAGTAAATCCCACTTGTATTGCTCTTAATAAAGTATAAAATGCTTTCACACTCAAAAGCTCATAATCTCATTTATTTGATTCTTAGTTCCATTCATTCATTCATTCATTCATTCATCCATTCAATTCATTCATCTACTTGTCAAAGAACGCGCCGGGGGTGGGCTATCAACTGTACAGGTAAAAACAGATCCTTTCAAAAGATTCCACAGTTACCACAGGACCCAGCAATACTACTCCTACATACATATTAAAAAGAAATAAAACACATGTCTGTTTAAACACTTGTACATGCATCTTCGTAGCAGCATTACTTATAATAGCCAAAAAGTAGAAACAACCCAAATGTTCATCAACTGATGAATGGATAAACGAAATGTGGTATATCCATACAATGCAATATTGTTTCACAATACAAAGGAATAAAGTCCTGGTGCATGCGACCATGGGAATAACCTGAAAACTTTATCCTAAGTGAAAGATGCCAGGCACAAAAGCCACATGTAGTATGATTCCATTTATGTGAGATTCCCCAAACAGGCAAATCCATAGAGGCAGAAAGTAGATTAATGGTATGCTAGGGGTATGCAGGAAAGGAATAATGGGGGCGTGACTGCTAATGAGCAGAGGGCTTTCTTTTTTGGGGTGATGAAAATGTTCTGGACTTAGTTGTGATGGCTACTCAACCTCCTAAGTATACTGAAAACCACTGAATAGTACACTTTAAAAGGGCGAATTTTATAGTATCTGAATTATACCTTAATTTTAAAACAGATTTTCAGAGCAAACTAAAACAGATCTTGTTCTTGCTTTTATGACGCCTACAGCCTGGCTCTCTGAGAGGTCTCTGCACTTATTAGGGCAGTTTCCAAGACGGGGTGGCCGGGCCTCAAAGCAGGCCCATCATTTTATCCGTCCCCTTCCCAACAGGCCAGTGAAGGATTTGGCAGGAAGCAAACAGGTGGCTTCATGTCTCAGCGTCGGTTTTCCAAAGCGGCCTCCATGGGCCGAGACACATGCCCTGCACCGGTGTGAGAGTGTATCCCGGACCCCCGCGCACCCCCGGGCTCCCGCGCACCACAAGGACCCCAAGCAAATCCTGGCCCCCATTGCAGCTCCCAGGTCCCCGCGCACCCCCGTTCCGGCCCCCGTGCACCGTGCGCGCCCATGGCGGGGCTCCGGAGCCTCCTGCGCTGCCTGCCAGGCAGCGTGCACAGCAGAGGCCAAACAGGCAGCCAGCACCTCCTGCCTCATTTAAGTGGTAATTTCCTTTGGGGGTTTCATTCAAGTGCAGCCCTGGGAAAATCGCGGCGAAGAGCTTTCCGAGAGGAAACGTTCCCTACGCTTCCCGGAGAGTTGTAAAGCTCGGGAACTTTCTCTTTTGCTGGTCGCCAGCCTCTACAGAGTAACGAACCGAGCGGGGCGTGGCGGGGAGGGCAAGCGTGGCGAGTCCGTTTCTGTCTTCTCCTCCAGGGAAAGGAGGAGCGGTGAGTGGTGGAAGAGAAAGATTTTAAATTGGAGTTTTGGAGGCGGGAGAGCTGGCAGGGGTCTCATGGCCTTGAGATATGGGCGTCTTGGCGCCTCTGGAACTTTGTTTTCCTCGTGGGAAAGGAGGAATCGATTTCTTTCTGTGGGGGCCCACTACCACTTATTTTTATTTTATTTATTTATTTTATTTTATTTTATTTTATATTTTGGTGCTGTTGTTGGTTCTCCCTTTAGTCACGGGGCAGGATGGGTGGAAAATATTTCTCAATATTGTGCCTGCGTTTGCATCACTTGGGTTGCTTGTGAAAAATAGATCCCCCAGCTTCCAGCCTGACCTACTATATTGGAAATCGGGATTGGGGGGTGGGGTGTGTGTGTTAAAGACAGGGGGGTTCTAGCATAAAAATGTATATTTTTTAACAACTTTGCTGGATGATTGTTAAGCATACTAAAGTTTAAGAGCCTCTGGTAGGCACAAAGTCCTTGCTGCTGAAGAGGATCTGAAAGAACTGAAACCAAAAAACAAAACAAATAAACAAACAAAACAAAAAAAACCCAGCACTTAAGAGCAGCAGGGTTGAAAGGGAGTGGGTAGATAATATAAACTAATGTCTTGTTTGAGAAAAATAAACAAAACAAAGCTGCCACCTGATTCCTCATTCAATCACCACCCTACTCATTCACCTGTCCTGGGGTGCAAGCTGAGTGGCTGCCTGATTAGCAGCCCTTGTGTGTGTCCTCAGGACGAGGCTTCTTGTCTGTCCAAAGCGTGGCTGGTGCTGAATGGCATAGGAGGGTAGGTTCCTTGGCTGCCACTGACGTTGCCTTTACCAGAGCTGTCAGGAATGCTCTTCTGCCAGGTCCCCCACGTGTCTGATGTGTGTCCTAGTGTGAGGAACTCATAGGGAAGGGAACCACCAAGTTAAAACATGGTGAGGTGTTCACTGAGATAGACCTGTAAACCTCATCCCACTGACTGAAGTCAACCCAATCCATTACCCTGAGCCCTCGAAGCAATCTCCACATGAGAAGCAACAGGAGACGAGGAGAAAAAGCTTCTCTAAAGGAAAGAAGGAAGATTTAATAAGTGCCTTAAAATATTTAGGAAGGACAAATTTTGAAACTTAAGGCTTTAATCACAAAGAGTTTTGAAAGAAATTCACTTGAGTATGAGGGTACATGTCTGCAACTTGTTCAAGCATCAGCTTAAGCTCAAATGTTAAATTTAACCATAAACGAGGCTGCCACCATAATAAACCTTAGAGCCCACCGTGATACCAGAGGCCTACTTAGCCTGTATTACCATCCTTTATATTTTTCGGGACTCCTTAACTATTTACTTTCGTATTCATCATGAAGACTTGCTGACCTCATTCTTCTTGAATTTGTGTTGTTAGTTATCTTCGATTTATTACTATTATTATTATTTGAGACACAGTCTCCTTCTGTTCCCAGGCTGGAGTAGGGTGACATGATCAGGGCTCACTGCAGCCTTGACCTCCCAGGCTCAAGCCATCCTCCTTCTTCAGCCTCCAGAGTAGCTGTGACTACAAGTGTACACCACCATGCTTGGCTAATTTTTGTATTTTTTGCAGAAACGAGGATTCATCATGTTGCCCAGGCTGTTCTCAAACTCGCGTGCTCAAGCGATCCACCTGCCTCAGCCTCCCAAAGTGCTAGGATTACAGGCGCTCAGCCTCTTCACTTTGTAAAATGAGACAACTTACAATAGTACAAACAATTAGAAAGCTGGAGTGGGAGCCTCTGATTAACAGGTTTATATATTATTTAAAGTTGCAATGGTATGAACTGTAGAAGAACTAAAAGTAATAATGCAAATATAAAACATTTGGAGGTGGAGGAGGAAACTTACATTAAATGAGCTAAATCCTCCCCTTTTCATATTAAGGTGTCTAGAGATATTATCTCAAGATGATAAATGGGGAAAAAGAGGTTAAGCCTCTTATCTAGATTTATGGAGGTAATTGCTAAAAGAACCAAAAACAAACAGTTAAAAGAGGTTGAATCTGGGGAGTGGGATGGGGTGGAGGCAGAGAGCAGAGAGGTAGAGGCTGCTGCTTTTCAGACCTTAAATTCTTCTGTCCTCACTCGTATGTTCCCACACATATGTATTACTTTAGTGGATTTTTTTTAAGCAAAAACCAAAAAGTCAGGAGAAAGGAAAATATGGTAGGAACATAAAATTGAGTCAAGAATTAGGCCTAAAAACACATACCGCATTGATTCACACATTTGCTGCAGCTGGGCCACACATTTGGCTCTGAGCTGTGCCAGAGCAATTATAGAGGGACCCCTGGTCAGTCCATGTATAATATCCACAAGATGAAAACAGACCAACTGGGAGAATTTTGGCTGCTCCTTGCTATTAAAATATCAGAATGAAATTTCTTCCAGGGGTCTTCCTAAAGAAGGCATGGAGAGATGATTAACATCCTCAACAATGTCTTTGAAATGTACAGAATAATGGTTTTCACGTTTTGTTTTTTCCCTTAGAATTCTCAACCCAGATTGCTGGTGTCACACTCAAGTGCAACTTAGATAAATAATTCCATGAGAACTCAGCTCCTTGCTTGATATAGGGATAGATTTTGGAATATCTTGAAAGATACATGCAGTTTTGTACTAGCAGAATTGTTACTTTTAACTTTAAAAATTTCAAATAGAATTTCTCTCAACTGAGCTATTGAAAATTATCAGCTGAAAATGAGTTTAAAACTATACTTTCTAATGAACACCCGGATTACAGCTAATCAATGTTGTCTGTTGAAATATATCTATGTATCCTAATAATTGAGAGACAGATATTTTGTTTATGATATTTGTGTCTATGCAAACGAAGTGCTATTATGAACACAACTATATTTACATATACACATTTCCTGTGCTTCTCTCTGGATAGCAAAGCTGTGTTCTAATGCTGTCTTCAGGATGTATATGGTTGGGGACAGCCTTATAGGTGAAATGTTGTATTTCTGGTACTTCAGCAATTAGATAATATTGCACAGAAAGTCAAATATAACTTTTACACTAACAATTGTGGTTTGCTTATTACAAAAGCAATATGTTTATTAAAAATGAAAATACATGAAAAGAAGAAAACAGAACAGTATAAAAACAGTACAGAATAGAAATAACAATATTGCATTTATTAATAGCATTAACTATTAGTGAGTCTTTTCTATACTGTATAGATTAAAAATGAAATAATATTTTATAGTACTCTTATAGACTGTGATTTCCTTTAATACCAGTGTCTGTCTTCCCATACCATTAGATATTCTTGCAGAAAATCTTTTTAAAAGTCTGTATAACCCATCATTTTGGTGTATATTTAGGTTATCTAGCCAGTTGCCCACTGTTGGACATTCATTTCAAAAAACATGATATAGAAACTCAATATTAAAGGTTGAATTGATAGGTTCTTTAATATACTATTTCCCAAAAGAAAAGTCTGAGAAAACTGAAAGATATTCTAAACTGGATAGACATTTTTTACAGCCCCATTTAACTTACATGGACAATAGTTTTAACTACCATTTGTCTTCCCAATACTGTGACACTTCCTTTCAGTTTGAAAGAGAAATTTCATGGTGATTAATAGAGGTATGGTTTATTAAAATGTTTAAATTAAAAAGTTGACTATGGACTCTGGAATAGTCTCCTTCTGCTTCACATTTCTAATGTTATTAGTTAGGTAAGACACTAACACTCACCTAGACCTATAAGTCTCCAGGTCTCTTTTCCTATTTTAACACTTCAATGACTAGGAAATATGACTTCCTCTGTTGTTAACCCTCTAGTGATTCTTTAATTGCTCCATGGATCCTTGGTGTTTTGTAAACTGAGATGACTGAGATGTTTTATTGCTACAATTTAATAATGTATATATTTTCCAAGTTTCCAGAAAAAAAGTTGCTAGATAGAATTTTCTCATTTTAACATTTTGCTCCGCACATTTTACTTAAAACTTTGGCATCCGCTACAGCTTGTCTTTTTGAGACTATGTACAAAACAAAACAAACAAACAAACAAAAAACAAAGAAATCAACAAAACCCAAAACTAAAAATATCTTACAAATAGGCAATAAACAAATGGTAATGGAGAATGGAAAAACTCATAAGGTATCTGTTGTTTAGTCCCACTAACTTTATTTTCATGTCCGTAACTATTATGGCAGATCACACAGATAAATATGTAGGTGATATCTGTCTTCTTCTAGTAGTCTTGTTTCTGGATTCTAGTGTACATAACAGAATGGAGGATATAAGCATATCCTGGTGTTCTGGAATGAGTATAGTGCCACCTAAGTGTTTGGCCCTCTAAACCTGAGAACAAAGCAGTTAGGTTTTGAGAAATGTGTCCTTAGGTGATTTCATCATTGTGTGAACATCATGGAGTATACTTATACAAACCTAGATGGTATAGCTACTTACACGCCTAGGCTATATGGTATATAGCCTATTGCTCCTAGGCTATGAATCTGTACAGCATGTTACTGTAGGAATACTGTAGGCAATTGTAACACAATGATGAGTATTTGGATTCTAAACATATTTAAACATAGAAAAGGTACAGTAGAAATATGGCAGAGAAGATTAAAAAATGGCACAGCTGTACAGGGCGCTTACCACGCCTGGAGCTTGCAGGACTGGAAGGTGCTCTGGGTGAGTCAGTGAGTGAGTAGTGAGTGAATGTGAAGGCCTAGGACATTACTGTAAACAACGGTAGACTTTATAAATACTGTCAACTTAGGCTACACTAAATTTGTAAAAAATAAAGTAATTGCACTATGACATTTCCACAGCTATACTATCACTAGGGGATGGGAATTTTTCAGCTTCGTTATAATCTTAGGGGCCCACTGTCCTACAAGTGGTCTGTTGTTGACCAAAATGTCATCATGCAGCACGTGACTATAATGCTGTAGGTAGAAATAAACTGCCAGCCCCTAGTGAATTACGGCTATGCTAAAATCATGACTTCTGCCAAATCCCTTCTCCAGAAATCCCTGGCACACTCAGATAAAATGCTCCAACTCACACAGTGTGTTTTGCAGTAGCACATGCTTCCAAGTTTTTCTCCACCCCAGGCTTTAACAATAGCACTTCAACTGATTGAACACTTCTCTGTACCAGCTATCTCACTTCTCACGACACCCTTGGGGGTTTGAGGGGATGCTCCCATTCCCATCGCACCCATGGGGAAGTGAAAGTGCAGAGTAAAAAACTCATCAAAGGCTGCAAAGCTGTAAGTGGCACCGCTTGCATTGTTTTCCTTTAGGGTTTTTCTCTGGGACACTCCCAGCTCCTGTCTGAACATAGTAGTTAAGAGGCATCTGGTAGCTCTTGAATATGGGATTGTGGAACTAATAATCCAAACAGGGGAACAGAAGAGGCTTTTGCCAACTGTTCCATATAAGCCTTGCCACATGACTTTTGTACAGAATAGTCAGGGGGTACTTTTATAAACAAGGCTAGGTGAACATTTGAAGCCTTACTGTACTTCATACATTGGCCTAGAGGTGGGCTCCCTTCCTAGCACCTATTTACTCTGTGACCTTAGGTAAATTGTATGTTCTTATTGAGTGTCAACTTCCTCGTGTAGAATTTTAGGGGTTGGACTACATGAGTGCTCATGTCTCTCCCAAATTCAACCTTTTCTGACACTGTAACCCTCACCCCTACCCCCAACCCCAAAAGGCTTGTGGAATCTGTTTTCCTACTGTGCTTTCCACACGTGTCTCTGTGGGCTTACTATGTCAGTGAGTTTATAGATTCAGCTCTGAGGATTGCTGACAAAGGGCCATTTGTTGCACTCACACTCAAGGTGAGAAGTTACAAAAAGGTGATTTTATATGGGATGGGCTTCTGGCCTACAATGCCTGCTCCCAAGGGTGCCCTCTCAATGCACAGTTCAAAGCACTGCTGAATGCACATGCTGATTTCAGTGTGGCTTTTTGTAAAGCCAAACGCCACTGACAACAAAATGGGAAAGGCTCTCTCATTTTTATTGTATTCCTGGCCATTCCAAGAGTCATTTCCTTTCCTTTCAGGGAGATAAAGAGACATATATTATGTGGGCAGAAGATGCTGTGTTCTGGTCAATAACGCAGGCCACAGAGGTCAATGGCTTTAAGCCAAGCCTGGCTGAAAGCTGCCATAAATCTTCAAAGGTTGGGGGAGGAAGATTTAGAGACTGATGTACACTGGCTGAGAGGAGGAAAGACACTGGTCATAAATGGCCCTCTAAAAAAGAACAGAGTATCAGTCCCATAAAATTCTACAACAGTCTATATGGGGTCCCTGGAATGGGGAGAATTTTGCCCACCCAAGTTTTACTATGGAGTAGAGACAAATAAAAAAAATCTGAAAATAAATCTCCAAGGCCAACCCATCCCTTGAGACTGAAACTTGAAGCCTTCTTCTCTGATTTTCCAATTCATCAGCATGTTTAGTGTTGATGAGCTGACTCCAAGCTTGATGACACAACCCTTTATGGGGTTCCATTTTGTCTGGTCTTAACTTTTTTCTCTGTCTTTCTCAAAGCCTACTTTAGTAATTGAGTTAATATAAAAACATCACATATTCAAACTCCACCTCCACCCACTACCAAAAAGCACCTGCTTTTGAAAGCCACCAGATTTATTTACCAGTTTTTGTAGAGGACTGGGAGTGTGTGTGTGTGTGTGTGTGTGTGTGTGTGTGTGAGAGAGAGAGAGAGAGAGAAAGAGAGAGTTGTAGAAACGAGGGTGGCTTTACCTCTTCTAAACACATGTGGGCTAAAATGCCCATCAATGTAGTATTTGTAATTCCACATTTACTAGAAGCACATGACAAATAACTTTTTAATAAAATTACTAGAGATATTGTAAATAACACGATACTGGATTATTAGATGAATGTGTCTGCCAGACCGTTCTGTTTCCATTCCATTAAATGCATGATAAACACAAGAAAATACTATAAGGAATCAGTACTAGGAAGTTTAATCCCACAAGGGATACTTTGTGGCCTGTGTATGTGCATGTATACATATGCATATTTATGTATACAATAAGGATTTCCCTCAAAAGATAAAATATGAAAATGTAGGGATTTTAGACAATGAATAATTACTTTAGGGACTTAAAAAATCTTACATTATGTTTTATTTACTACTCTGACTCTTCACTTTGGTTGGCATTTTGCAAGCCTTCACATAGCCCTGAATAATTTTCCAAGCCTTATGCATATTTTATCTCATTTTGTCAACCCTCTGAGAAACTGAAACTCAGTAAGAGTAAATATCTTGTTTAGTAATTTTCAACAGCAGAGCTGGGGAAGAAATAATTCTAAACCCCGAGAATGCATTTATAAGTGACTGCATCCATGCTAAACACGTTGTGAACATTAACTTATGATTCTCCCAATAAGTCTCAAAGATTCAAGTACTAAAGATTCAAGTACTATTATCATTGCCATTTTACAGATGAGGAAACTGAAGTTTAGAGAGGGTGAATAACTTGTCCAAGGTCACATGGAGAATCAGTGTCTGATTCAGGACTTATGTCCAGGTGATATCGAGGTCACATTTCCTCTAGGATGAATTTGAAAGGAAACTTCATTTCAAGTCACAATCCAGGTGGTGGGTACATTTATACTAACTGCAGAAGAATATGGGAATTTCTTAGGGAAAGAAAAAGACAGCTTAACATGGTGAAACAGCGCATCGCATTCTTAATTTAACCTAGCGAACACAATTGCCATCTCAGATGAGTATTTAGCAGCAAGAAGATATTTATAATCAGATCTTCAAAAGTATCCTAAGGCCACCATTTATGTCTACGTGGCACTGTGCCCAGGAAGATGTCATGTGCCTCACAAAGTCCCTACTTACTCTAGAAGAATTTAGTGTAAGAGAAAGTAAAGCACATTTTGCTGCCATAATGAAGGCAGGGAAGTCGTGGATGTTTATTGTGTAGCCTACAGGCGCCGATGAGCCAACAAAGACTTGAAGTTGTAAACAAAATTCACTATCTCCTCCACTGGTTAGATCCAAAGAATGACCCCGAATGAACATTCTAGAGAAACCTAGAAATCTCTATCAGGGAGTGAAGTGATTAGAGCAAGAAATAGATCCTTTCAGAAGCTGAAGAAATTATTGTTGATCTGCATGAGGGTCTTAGAATATTAAAAAATAAGTGCTTAAATGCAATATTAACAATTTTGGTATATTTTAAATGATGACATTTACCTGATAATGCTTTTAATGCATACCTCTAAGTGCAGTGCCCTACAAATGTGCTACTCAGAGAATAATTACAGGACATATAAAAATATTAATTTATAATATTCCATTGGGGGAATACTCCATTAATGGGACACTCATTTAAAGTTGTATGATGAATGACTTTTTTCACTGTATTAAAAAGAACAATTAAACCTGGGCTTTCATGTACTCACCCCTAATTACTTTCTACCCTGGAATAATTTTATTCCACTATTCTACTATTCTAGCGATCTTTCATAACCTGCTCCCTGGAGGGAAGTTGGAAGAGGAAGAACTATTTATTTTCATTATATTTCTTAGGTCCCTTTTCATTAGTTCTCTTTTTACTATAATTCAAGGCTTTTTAAAATTGTTTTACAGTATATATACTGCTTTTGAGCCCTGCAACTGCCCAAAATGCACTATTAGTTGCTAGCAAGAATCATACTAAAAGAAAACTCAAGAGTGCATTTGTGTCTCTTCTCTAAAATAATTAGGAGAGCACTTTGCAGCTAATGTTCTGCTAATCTATCTGTATTTCTGACCCAAGACACAGAATGGTATTATTTTCAACATTCTAAGTTTCATCAGTGTCTCAAATAAGAAAGATGCTACCTTTTATTTTTAAAAAGTTAAAGCTATTTAGCCTTTTCTCTTCACTAATACTTGAAAGCTACTCCAACTTATCTCTTCATTCATTCATCAAAAATGTGGTTAATATTCTACTCAATGTAAGACACTGAGTTAGAAGTTGGGAATAGAAAAATGATTTTTAAAATATCCCTGCTCTCAAGGAGCATAATTTGAACACCACATTTTTCTACCAATTTAAACATTAGATGATTCAAAGGAGGAATATAAGCAAATTAATGCAAGAACAGAAAACCAAATACTGTATGTTCTCACTTATAAGTGGAAGCTAAACATTGGGTAATCATGGACATAAAGATGGCAACAACAGATGCTGAGGACTACTAGGCAGGGGAGGGAGGGGAGGAATGGTTGAAAAACTAACGTTTGGGTACAATGCTCAGCACCTAGGTCCAACTCAACTTTAAAAAGCAAAGGTAAGTGAAAGACCTTCTTTAAGTAATCAAAGCAGCTCAAATTTTTCCAGCAAAAAGTCTTAGTAGAAACAGTCTCAAAAACGGCAAAATCAAAGTTTAAAAGCCACTTACAATGTCAGCAAATGATTCAGAAGAATTCTGAGAGGTAGTATCAATTTATAGCCCAAACCTCAACATCATGCAATATACCCAGGTAACAAACCTGCACATATACCCCCTGAATCTAGAATAAAAGTAGTAGTAAAAAAAAAAAAAAAAAAGGAAGGATGCAGGATGTGAAAAGAAATGAATTTGACTTATCAAAACAAGTACAACTAAGAAATAATGGTTTAATATAGGTTTGAAAGAAATTTTAGTTAATAATAGGATCCTCTTCTCATTGTCAGGAAGGTATTTCAAGACGTAAACGCCATTTTCCACCAGTCTTACCCCTTTGCAACATCCCATATGGGACGGTGCCTTTCTGAAGCTTCAGTATCCCTTTGTTTCTATTAAACCATGAGGCATGATGTTCATTCCAGTATAATGCGCATGCAGGTGCCAAGAGGCTGGAGGTGAATTGGAACTTAAGAAGCCTTTTGTCACTTAGATTTGTCTTCGTTAATCTGTTCATGATGTGTGTTTGTGTGAGACTGTATTTATTTGATAGTTACAGGAAAAAAAGGACCATTCTAAATTGCTGGACTTAAAAGAGTCAGATTTCTATTTGAAGAAAAAGGTGCCTAACTTCTGTTTGATTCACCCTGTATGTATCTTATCAGTAATCTCTCTCTAATTTGGATGAACTGGTCTTCACACATCTCTTTTGTGCATACAGAGTGGTCTTGATCAGTCACATCATACACATCTCATCTGCTTTTCTTTGAATTAAAGAATCCGGACAGCAAAATCAGAACACTAGCATGGTCACCACAGCATTGAGGTGTCCTATACGAGCATAAAAGACATTAAAATCCAGACTCGGCTGGGACAATTTTATTTGTGATTTTCCTGAATCAGGGACAAGATGCCTTTGTTTTATAAAGAAAATATGAGCAGGACCAGGCTCTTCTAGCACAAAAGCAGGTGGAGGAATATACACTCCCTCCTTAGCAGGGAAGGGGAGGGGAAAAGGAAGGAGGGAGGGAGGGGAGAGAGAGAACATAAAAGATTGAGCAGGGAAGGGCACAGCACGCCTGTGGAAATGGACTCCTTTCGTGTAAAAACAATTACCCAGTTCCTGCAGCTGTTCACTAGACTTAATGCCCCAATGCATTTTGCATTTATCTTTCCTTTCCCCTTTTCCATGTTCATTAATTTCCACAGTTGAAACCAGAAGTGAAAAGGGGTAATTCTCCCTTTGCTATTCAGGGTAGACCACAGCAATTACCTTTGCTTGTGGCATGCTTAGTAAATGCCAGACACTAAGTACCTTACTATATCATCACATGGAATCCTCACGATACTCCTTTGAATTAGGAGTGACCACCCCTAATTTACAGATGAAGAATTGGAGACTCAAGGATCTCACAGCAAGAGGCAGAGCCAAGATCTCCCCAAAGCCCACACTTTGAGTTCCCAATTCTCAACTAGCTGCTGATAATTAAAATGGAGGTTTCTTCCCATTACAGTGTGAATAAACTGGTTTTATCCATATATCCCTCAGGGACTTGGGCACCAAGGAAACTCCATCTTTTCCAAAGGAGGCTGCCAAGTTCCTATTCCACATCAGCTGTAGCTTTAGAAGTAGACTGGCAGTTTAGGGATTGTCTGTGGTCTGGGAATCATCTCAAATACAGTAGAGAAGATTGTCACCCAAGGTCCCAATCAGTTTCAAAAGTAAAACTGCTAGGACTTTAGAAATGTTCAAGTTTATTGTGGTCAATGGCAAAAACTGGTAAAATTTCTTTGCTCGCTACTCCCTGCCCCTTTTTAACCCTCATTGAATGGTTCATAATTGGCCATGAGCAAAGGCGGCCATCCCTATCACTAAGTCCATCCCCCAGCTCACCCCCAAGGACTGCTGGTAAGTAAAACTGCTCAATAATTAAGTGGAGCCCTAATTAATGAGTCTGATTCCTGCCTGACACGGGCACATTTTTAACCTGGTAAACTCATTAAACCTCTGGTCTTCATTTAGCCATGGGTGACCAGAGTATCATAATTTCAACTAAGTGTGCTCAGTGACTTAATGGGCCTTGAGTTTCCCACATTCCCATAGTGTCCCATCTGAGGAGCTCAATCAGTATCATTAGAAGTTTATTTAGTGCAAGGAGAGATCTCTGATCTGTCCTGAATTCAACTGAAGGCTTTAAAGACGAATGAAAGCAAACCGCTGGCTCCACAATTTCAAACGACCCATTTTGCCTTAACCGTAAATCAGCTAAGGAGTCTGAAATGCAGACAGTTTCCAGACAGACCAGGTCATCTCCTGAGTTAATGAGACAACCTGTGCTTAAGCACAGTGCCTGCCTATACCAGCAGATGCCAGCACTTCCTCTTCTCAGATAAGAAAGGGCCCAGGGATTTGGTCCCCACTCCACACATTCTGAGATTTTTAAAATAAAGGCAGATTAAAAGAAAGAAAACAACACACACACAAAACACAAAGATTGTTCTCTATCTGCTTTCATTCTCAGTTTCTGCCCAGTTAATCACATCAAAGAGAATTCTCAGAAAGAGCTGTTTTCTCATTGTTGTTACTGCTATGTTTGTGTGAATGTGTGGATGTCTAATAAATAGCTTTCTTCTAATGTAAAAAAAATTCAAAACTCAAACAAGCCAGGGCTAGTTTGGTTTCTAGGTTGTCATAAAACCCCTGTCAATAGCAAGCTCCCAGTAAGTGTTTTATAACAGTGACAGCTTTGCAAATACTGTAACATAAGTAACTTGGACTGGGTCAATACATGGCAGGGAAATCAGACTGTGAGATGGTCGAGCTGTTCATTTTGGCTGTCTTTACAATCAATCAGCCAGACCAACTGAGCCTGCAGTGATACTCACTGATTATTGAGAAAGCTAAAACAAATGGATTGGCTGTGCTGTCTGCCAAGGCCCATTCAATAGCTACAACCTCTGTCTGGATACAGACAGGTGCCATCTTTTGAAAGCCAAAATTATTAGAAACAACTCTCAGGTTTATCCAAAAGTAGGCTGCACTGTGGCTGCCGGAAGGAAGGAAGGAAGGAAAGAAGGAAGGAAGGAAGGAAGAAGAAAGAAGGGAAGGAAGGAAGGAGGAAGGAAGGAAGGAAAGAAAGAAGGAAGGAAGGGAAAGAAAGAAAGGCAGGAAGGCAGGAAGGAAGGAAAGAAAACAAGAAAAGAAATTAGTTCGGCCGGGTGTGGTGGCTCACACCTGTAACCCCAGCACTTTGGGAGGCCGAGGTGGGCACATCATGAGGTCAAGAGATTGAGACCATCCTGGCTAACACGGTGAAACCCTGTCTGTACTAAAAATAAAAAAGAATTAGCCGGGCATGGTGGCGGGCACCTGTAGTCTCAGCTACTCGGGAGGCTGAGGCAGGAGAATGGCGTGAACCTGGGAGGCAGAGCTTGCAGTGAGCTGAGATCATGCCACTGCACTCCAGCTTGAGGGTCACAGCGAGACTCTGTCTCAAAAAAAAAAAAAAAAAAAAAGAAAGAAAGAAAGAAAGAAAGAAAGAAAGAAAGAAAGAAATTAGTTCAATGTATTTCAATACACTTTGTTGGATAGATTTTACAGAGCAACCCATTGTAGAAAGCCAAAGTTTATAGGCTTTGGTGCCAGGCCACAGCAATAATAATTTCTGTCTCACCCTAATTGCCTCTTTGTTTCTTCTTTGGTTATCTTTTGCTTTTGTGCTTAATTCAAAAGCCTGTAACAGAGCAATCATCTCAAACATATTTCCCAGCTGTCAAGATAAAATTCTTAAAAAGAAATCCAAGTTCCAGAAGTGGAATGCGGGACTCTTAAGCCCTTTCTTATAACCTGCACAAGTGACTGGATGTATTAAACTACCACAGTTCCTTGCAATATTCTTTACTTCCAGCCAACTCATCTGTGACTGCTGGAAGGATAAGTGTATTGTGTGAGTTGCCTAATCCAAATGTCTCTGAGTTGCTAGGTTTAGGCCAAGATGTTCCAATAAAAATGAAGGCAGGCTCCCAGTCTTTGCCTAAAGCTGATTCAAATCACATCTACTTAGAATGAATTATCTTCACAATATTTTCTTTGGGGACTTCTCTGGTTGTAATAAAGATAACAAACAAAAGCTGCTTATCAACATTTCCAGTTAGAGAAAAACGAAAATTTTAAGTAAAATAAATATATGTGAGAACAGTATTTCCAACTTCATTGAATTTCTTTAAGGATCTGGTAGAGATTGAAGAATAGATTGACTGTTAAGAAAACAGAGCTAACGGGCCGGGCGCGGTGGCTCACGCCTGTAATCCCAGCACTTTGGGAGGCCGAGGCGGGCGGATCACGAGGTCAGGAGATCGAGACCACGGTGAAACCCCGTCTCTACTAAAAATACAAAAAATTAGCCGGGCGCAGTGGCGGGCGCCTGTAGTCCCAGCTACTCGGGAGGCTGAGGCAGGAGAATGGCGTGAACCCGGAAGGCGGAGCTTGCAGTGAGCGGAGATCGCGCCACAGCACTCCCGCCTGGGCAACAGAACGAGACTCCGTCTCAAAAAAAAAAAAAAAAAAAAAATGAAAACAGAGCTAACAAAAGGTGGGGTCTCAGAGATTTAAAATGTTTATTGTTTATTCATCCTAAACTACTAACTCTCTTTGGGGTATGCAAAAATTGGCTCCCCACCTTCCATTTATTTATTTATTTAATTAATTTTATTTTTGAGACGGAGTCTTACTCTGTTGCCTAGGCTGGAGTGCAGTGGTGCCATCTCAGCTCACTGCAACCTCTGCCCCCTGAGTTCAAGTGATTCTCCTGCCTCAGCCTCCTGAGAAGCTGGGATTACATGCACCTGCCACCATGCCTGGCTAATTTTTATATTTTTAGTAGAGACGCGGTTTCACCATGTTGGCCAGGATGGTCTTGAACTCCCGATCTCAGGTGATCTGCACGCCTCGGCCTCCCAAAGTGCTGGGATTACAGGCATGAGCCACTGCGCCTGGCCCCCACCTTCCATTTAATCCAATCTTTGGAGGAATCAAATTAAGGGGATGACAGTGGTGCAACGATTTTTCCTAGATATGAAGGAACTCATGTGCAGGCCAGCAAAAGAAGATAGAGGGAAATGTATGTGATCATACTAACAAGAAATACATAACAAAATGTGATGAAATAGTCAAAGGCTTTCAAGTCTACTGTGTTGGAGACTGGTAGTTGCCTCACCAATCTATATTCTTCCATTTGAAAAAAAATCACTTAAGCAATAGAATCTCCTGAGTTTTATCTGAGTGGCTGTCCAGTGGAGACTGCATTTCCCAGCCTTCCTTGCAGCTAGGTGTGATCTCATGACTAAGTTTGGCTAATGAGTAGTGTACAGAAGGGTCATGTCCTCAAAAGGAAGCTGCTTGCTCTTCACTTTCTCTTTTCCCCTTCCCAAGGACTGGAACATAGACATGGTGGTGGTTCATTACTGACCATGTGGATTAGAACAACACCTAGTGGATAGTGAAAAGAAAGAAGACACTTGGATCATGGATCACCTTGTGGAATGACACTATCCCACAACCCTGGACTGCCTACCAGTCTGCATGTTTATGAAAGAGGTGGTTTCACGGAGTGCCTTGCTAATCGAGTGTGGTGTTTAGACCAGCAGCGGCACCCGGGAACTTATTAGAAATGCAGAATCCCAGACCCATCCACTGAATTGTATAATTCGCATTTAAAAAACATCTCCTGACAATTCATATGCACATTGGAAGTTGACGAGCATGGGTATAGTGGTTAAAAGGATAGATTCTGGTGCCAGAGCCTGGGTTCAAATCCAAATCTGTGACTTAATTAGTTGTGTCTCTTTGGGCAAATTATTAAAATTCTATGTGGCTCAGCTTTCTTATCTGTAAATTAAGGATATTAATAATATCTTCCTTATAGGGTTGTTGTAAGAATTATATCAGGTAATATAAGTAAATATATAAAGCTATCAGTTGGTATAAAGCTATAGAAGAGTTTGCTATTATTTTTATTACAAAAAAACTTCTATCTTGTTTAAGCTATTTGGTCTCTGATAAAGCTGTCAGACTTACAGATTTATTATAAAATCTGTCCAGGGCCAGCAAGGTTTTTGCATAATAGAGAGACTTTGTAACCACAGGAAATCTGCAAACTAACATTTTAATAAATCCATCCACTGTTAAAATAATAGGTCTGGGTGAAGATTTGGAGAAGGGTAGAAATTGTGTCAAGTCTTATAACAACCACGTATCTTGGCACTTTCAGGATAACCTTTGCAGTAACATGTATTCATATTCGATGAACATTTATTAAGCATATACTTATGTGTCAGGCATTTTCCTAGGTACTTGGGATGTATCAGTAAAGAAAACTGACAAAAATCACCCCCCTCATGAAGTTCATATTCTACTGCAAGTGTGGGAAGTGGTCTGGAGATGGGGAGTATCCATCAAGTTTAGATTTCATTATCAGGTTGTGGCTCAGACTATGTTTCCTAATTACTAGCTTGGAAAATGTAAACATCATAACAAAAGGAAGTGAAAAATAGATTGAAACATCCCGGAGCCTATGAGATTGTGGTTACTATAAAATCTGTCCAGGGCCAGAAAGGTTTTTGCAAAATGGAGAGACTTTGTGACCACAGGAAATCTGTATTCCAAAGCAAGTCAGAAGCACATCTGACATCAAAGGTTCTACCAACTGTAGAGCTGGGATGTTCTCCAGTTAAGTTCTCTGGATGATCTTACACATTGCTGAAGAGCAGGTAAGGGGCTCCTCCATCAGGCCTTTGATGAGTTCCCGCCAGGAAGTATCACTTCATCATTAAGAGGTTTGGCCATAATGGGAACTTACTTCATAGAACTTTTGGGGAAGTGTCCAAATCTTCCACCAATTTCTTTAAGATTGTATTGTTGTTTTTCTTAAGTTGTGTGTGTGTGTGTGTGTGTGTGTGTGTGTGTGTGTTTTAACATATTCTGGATATTTTTTTCAAACCTGTGACTTAGCTTCTCATTTTCTTAACAGTGTCTTTAGAAGAGGAAAAGTTTTTTATTTTTACAAAGTCCAACTTACCAATTGTTTCTTTTATGGCTTAGTGTTCGTACGTATATATGTTCTAAGAAATATTTGCTTAACCTAATGTCACAAAGGATATTTTCCCCCTTTTTTCTCTAGAATATTTACAGTTTTAGTTCTTATATTTAGGTCTATGGCACATTTT
The DNA here is from genome assembly GCF_000001405.40 of Homo sapiens. Classification (NCBI taxonomy): domain Eukaryota; kingdom Metazoa; phylum Chordata; class Mammalia; order Primates; family Hominidae; genus Homo; species Homo sapiens. The sequence continues at coordinate 19,951,520 of NC_000009.12, forward strand.
GAATTAATTTTTGTGTAATGTTTGAGGTAAGGTCAAGATTTATTTTTTTTTTCTATATAGATATCCGGTGTCTGGTGCAGTTTGTTAAAAGACACTATCGTTTTTCCATTGAATTGCCTTGTTAATTGGCCATAAAAAGATTTATGTCTGAAGTCTATTCTGTTCCACTGATTTTTATATTTATACTTAAAACAATATCACAGAATCTGGATTATTGTGGCTTTGTAAATCAAGAAATTAGGTAGTATAAATCCTCCAAACTTAGTCTTTCACAAAATTGTCATGATTATTCTCGTTCCTTTACCATTTGATATAAATTTTAGAATTTTCTCATCAATTTCATCTCTTACAACCTCACAAGGATTTTAATTGGGGTTACAATGAATCTATGGATCAATTTAAGGAGAACTGACATTTTTACAATGTTGAGTTTTCTAATCCATGAGCATGATTTATCTCCATTTATGTAGGTATTTAATTTCCTTTGGCAATGTTTTGTAGTTAAGTGTGCAAGTCTTGCAGAATTTTGTTAAATTTATTCCCAAGTATTTTATTTTTGATGCTATTATAAATGGAGTTGCTTTTAAATCTTAATTTCTAAATTATTTATTGATGGTATATAGAAACAATTGATTTTTGTATATTGATGTTGTATCCTGTATCCTTACCAAATTCATTTGTCTTCAGTAGCTTTAGATTCCTTAAGCATTCTCTTCATACATAAATATGTTGTCTGCAAATAAAACAGTTTTATATTTTCTTTTCCAATATGCAAGGCTTTTATTCATTTCTCTTGCCTTATTGCACTGGTTATGACCTATAGTTCAAGTTTTGAGAGTGGATATCCTTCAATTTTTCTAGATCTTAGATATAAAGCATCGAGGCATTCACCACTGTGTATCTTAGCTGTAGTTTTTTGTCACTATTGTCTGTCTGGTTTTATCTTGAAAGTGCCCTTAATCAGACTAGTAAATTCCATTTCATTCCCGATTTCCTCAGAGTTTTTATCATACCTGAGATATAACTTTGCCTAATGGCTTTTTTATATCTAACAAGATAATCACATATTTTTGTTTCTTTCTTGTGACATATTATCTCATATACATTGTTGGGTTTGGTTGGCTAATATTTGCCAAGCATTTTTTTTTTTTTTTTTGCCAGTGTTCATGAGGTGCAATCGTCTGTAGTTTTCTTGTGTTTCTTTGTCTATATTCAGTACAAGGGTAATACTGGCTTTATAATATTAGTTGGGAAGTATTTTCTACACCTCTGTTTTCTGAAAGAATTTGTATAAGACTAGTATTAGTTCTTCCTTAAATGTTTGGTAAACTTTTACTCATGAAGCCATCTGGGTCTGGATTTTTAAAAATATATGTTTGATAAGGTTTATAATTACAAATTTATTTTTTAAAGTAGTATAAGGCTATTAACATTCTCTATTTCTTCTTGGGTCAGTTTTTGAAAGTTTTATTTTTCAAATACTGGATCAAATACTTGGGTCATTTCATCCAAGTTGCCAATTTATTATTCATAACATTGCCTTATTATCCCTTTAATGTTTTTAGCATTTAATGTATTTAGCATCTGTATCTTGTCCCCTCTTTCATTCTTGACATTGGTAATTTGTGTCTTCCCTGTTCTTTTAGATTGGTATGACTATAAGCGTAACGATTTCATTGATTTTTCCCAAAGAATATTTTTTCTGTTGTTTGTCCATTCTCTATTGTATTGATATTCCTTCTCCTGCACAGCTCTAAGTTAGTAAGTGAGAATTGATCTTAGAAGCACATGAAAACATATGGGAAACAAAACAAGGAAAAATATTTAACAACTATAGTTTTCAATGTGTTCAGCTAGATATCATGGCAGATCTGAGAAACACACATGTAGTTCTCTGTGCTTAAGGATATTATTATCTAGTACTCTGCCTCTCAAACGTTTCCATAAAGTTATACCAAATGGCAGGAAAGATTGAATAAGTACTTTTCATGACATAGGGCAGATATTCTCAGACGTTTTTATGTTCATGGAAAACCTAGTGTCTCAGTTTTCTCAAGGCACCTCAGATCAAAAGAAACCTACAAAATTCCATTTATTAAGTAGATAGGTCCAAAATCATTTAATTTTTATTTCCTAATAACAAGTAGCCATTAAATAACAATACAAATATTTATATTCAAGTCTTAAATAACTACAATTACTTATTAATGGGATATACACCTGTTAGGCACTGAACAACTTTTAAAACTTTGGACTCACATACTGCCTATTTGTTTTACATTTATTTTCATGCATTAGTTGCTTTTTTTCATGGCAACTGCTAAAAACCCAGCTTATCAAAGATATGATGTTATCAAAAGAAATGTAGTATAATCTAATACTGAAAATATTATCCTGAGCTAGTAGTTTTCACACTGTCCTATTGATATTGAATATCTCTACTTTTTCCTAAAAAAAAAAAAGTATCCCATGATGCCCCATTAGTTCACCGTAGTTCCCTGAGGTGCCTCAGCACAGTTTGGGAACTATGGGTCTAGGGTAAAAAAGAAGAAAGCTCCTGAGATCCAAATTTCCTTGAAAGTTTAAATATGTTAAATCTTTAAGATTCATCTGAAGTTTTTCCTCTATTAAATGATACATTTGTATTTAAACATGATTTTACACTTTATAAATTTCCCTATATTTATTTTATGGATCCTTGTATTCCCTGAGATATCATAGCAGAGTCCTGGGGATACCTCTACTGCAACTTGAGAGAGAAGGATCTAGCTATGGAAATAAGATAATGTATGCAGATGAGAGGTTAGCCAAAAACCCAAGGCAACTCAAACACTAATGCTGGATAAGGAGGAAGTAAGACAATGTAACCAAGTAATTTACAGTCTTAACCAGGATCTTTCTGAGACTGAAAGGGAATGGTACCAATAGTAATTGGGAAAATAGACATAAACATAGGCTATCCCAGATAAACAGGGAGGCATGTTTCCCCAGGAAAGATTGGAAATCATTGATTTTGCAAATATAGTGGGACTATGCATGTATTAGCCAATAAAACATCTTCCGCCAGATTTTTTTTTTTTAAATCTAGAGAGTCCATATTATATCCACCTCTAGTTCTAAGAATACTGAAACATTTCCCTCAAGATTGCAACCCCTTCTCTAGGGAAAATAGCATAACCAGGTCTTATTTTTCACACAATGCCTAACTCTGAGGAACATCTTTCAGTGAGGAAGCCTTCCCTACATTCTTCTGAGAGGTGCAGTGTTGTTGCCTCTTTACTGGAGAAGTTATCCTCTTCTGCCCACATCTATAAGAAGAGAATCTGGAACCAGTAACAACCAACAATCCTGTGGGTTAACAATTACCATTTAAATCAGCAAACTGACATCTAAGGAACTTAAAATTATGTATGTAGATGGTAATGCCATCTTTTCTTTTACAGGAAAAAGAGGAGGCTGCCATTTTTTTTTAGTTTTTTAACTATATACTCAATTCTAATTCTGGTAAAAATTATTTTATTTCTCTACATTTTTGATTTAGCCACTTTAATCAATTCTAAGATACAAATATCTTTATATTATGCTCTTTCTGAAATTAGGATGTGTCCCACAATTAATGATATATCATAGTTTAATTGGATTAGGTAATTGTTTCCTGTGTGGTGGCACATAACATAATGATGTATCTTTATAAGTAATGGGGTCTTAGATTTAAAGAGATAAAGTTATTATTCCATAAGAGAAAGGTGATACTATTCATGTTGGAGTGATGTAAAGATTCAACAAAAAAATTTTGTTTACAGGTAGTAAATATGGTAGAGTGAATAAAAAACTAGGATATGAGTAGAAATTCTCAGGTTTTTTTTTTTTTTGTTTTCCTTTTTTATTGAGATGTTAGTAAGGGTTTTTGTTGCCAAAACAAGTGAGAGATACAAGCATAAAAGAAGACACAGATAAGTTGTCTTGATAATTTTAGACTCTAAGATCTCTCTATGGAAAGGTCAGCTACTTTTGTAGACAAGATACTATCCAAAATAAAAACAACAGGTATTTGAGGCAGTGTTCAAGACAATGACTGAATACATATGTAATATGTAAAAATAAAAATGTAGATTCCTATTTTCTTTCCTCAATAAGCTATGTGAGCATATAAAGGTATGGGTCTGCTTTTGGGGAAAAATGCTTTTCTATAGAAAAATTCTAATTTCCTCCATCCTCTCCCAAAAAAAGGTTTTAAGCCCTCAGATGAGCAAGGAAATCAATCAGGATAACACTAGTTTCACATGAACCTCAAGACTATAACTATAGTTACTATCTTCTTTTCTTAAAAAAAACTTTAGCTTCCTTTTATCTGTACCAAACCAGTACACTAAATTTTCTCCCTTACAAAATTTTCAACCAAGTTGGAATTAAATTAATCTCACTGTAAAATACAAGAAAGAATAGGTAAGCCCAGTGTTTGCTCTGTGTAATGCATAAAACAGAAGCATTTCTCCAACAGCACTAGCCCTAGAGGTACCACATTAAGAACTGGCTGCAGGACAAAGTGATCCCTTAGGTCTACTAACAAGGCAGGGAGAGGAGAGTCCAGTTTCAGCAAAGATGAGGATTCCCTGCTACGCTCTACGTTTAGCTTTTAGTTGTAGCCAGATCTCAAACAGATCCTAGGTCCCCCTAACTGACAAGGCCAGAACATAGTACCTTCACAGGGTCAAGAGGGCCAAAGTTGTCTAAACTAGTCAGTGAACATCTCTGCTCCATAATTTGTTAATGCTCACAATGATAGCGCTACAGGCATCAAGAAGCCTGGGTTTTGGAACAACTTACACATTTGTTATAGCAAAATATTTGTGTCCCCCTGACATTCCTGTGTTGAAACCTAATCACCAGTGTAATGGTACTTAGCAGCGGTGGCTTTTTGGTTGTGATTAGGTCATTGTATTAGTCTGTTTTCACGCTGATAAAGACATATCCGAGACTGGGAAGAAAAAGAGGTTTAATGGACTTACAGTTCCACGTGGCTGGGGAGGCCTCACAATTGTGATGGAAGGCAAGGAGGAGCAAGTGACATCTTACTGTATGGCAGCAGGCAAGAGAGAGAGCTTGTGAAGGGAAACTCCCGTTTTTAAAACCATCAGATCTCATCAGACTTATTCACTATCACGAGAACAGCATGGGAAAGACCCGCCTCCATGATTCAATTACCTCCCACCAGATTCCTCCCATGACACATGGAAATTGTAGGAATTACAATTAGAGATGAGATTTGGGTGGAGACACAGCCAAACCATATCAGTCATGAAGGCATAGCCCTCATGAATGGGATTGGTGCCCTTATAAAATAGACCTCTCTCGTACCTTTTGTCATGTGAGGACACAGCAAAAAGATAGCTGTCTATACACCAGGAAGTAGGCCCTCACCAGACACTGCATCTGTGGAGGCTTGGTCTTGGACTTCCCAGCCTCCGGACTGTGAGAAATAAATTTCTGATGTTTATAAGCCATCCAGTCTACGGTATTTTGTTGTAACAGCCTGAACTGACTAAGACAACATCATTTACCTAATAAGCAGTGATAAACGTTCTTGTCTAGAGTAAATGATACGAAATATAATACATTACTGCTGAGGTTATTTAGTCTGACTTTAAATTAAAGCAGTACAAATGACTTCTTCCATACAATAAAGACAAACTTTGTACTCATGCTTCTCAAAGCCAGTTGTGTCTCTAGATCTAGCCTCAGTTTAACAATTTTTAAAAAAAAATACCTTTCCTAGGTCAGCGCTAAGATGAAAAAGGAGTAGCGAGCAAAACACTCTATATCCAGAATCCCTGTAATAGAAAGAGCTCTAGAATCCAGCAGGTTCAAGCACATTCAAGTTTGAGATTGTGGTCTGTGGCAATCGTTTCTGTCCTTCTATCTCTGGAATGTTCATCTTGGGTGGCTTGAAGGTTGCTGGATTCACAGCCATTCAGTTGGCCTGGATATAACCTGAGCATAGGTCAGTTCCACTGGGAAGGGCCACTGTGCTCCTTTGTAGCCCAGGTGACAAAGCCTCCTGAAGCAGACTCCTGAGGTGGGGGTGGAAGTATGGGGGTCTTTGTTCAAAACTGCTCCATTTATCTGATGAGTCTGTCTTTATCCCCATTTCTGAAACTGGACTTTGCTGGAATTTGGACCAGATAAGGCTGTAGAAGAACCAGAAGTGAACCAGTCTCGGTTTTTGCTTAGGGAAAGAGTCGGGGTGCTGCTTGGAGTGGACAGGGTCATTCAAGCGGCCTCTCTTTCTTCGTTATTTCTTCCCGTTTGGTTTGTGGAATGCTTCTGTCACTCAAAGGTTCTTGATCTCCTTGGTGGGAGGAACTTCGTGGGGTGTGTAGCCAGCATCATTCGGCCTTGTTTGTTGCTCAAAATACTGAATGCTGTCCTGTGTGTTTTGTAATAATTCATGATGACAATGGTAGCTCTATCCTTCACCACCAGGATCTTGTCCATACTGTCAGTGGCCATAGGATCATGGTAGGGGGGACACACAGTCCCCTCTTATTCCACCAAGGTACTGAAATAACTTGTTTCCAGGGAATGCTGCTCATGGCTAGGGAAGAGGAATCAATGTGTAGGGTCTTTGAGGGCATCCTCATAGCCTGGCAGTTACAGACTCGTGGGGAGGGATATCTTGCCTAGGGAACCCCTAGGCTTAAGAGCCGGCTCTCCTCGTTGTCTTGAAGCCACTGAAAAACTAGGATCCAGGTGATTTAGAGCTGAGTGCCTGCCACCACAGTGAAATGATGTGACAATTATGCTGACAGATACTAACGAGGAACACCACCCAGCTGTTGCAAATTAGCAAGGCTTCCCTGGTAAAGTCCACACAGAGGTCTGTTTCTTTGCCACCATGGGGATTCCTGCAACCCAAGCTCCACAGTACAGACAGAGGCTTTATGGTGCAGTCAGGACCCAAGCCACGGTGTGCACGGCACTGTACTGTACTCCAGGCAGGTCTGAACCTCGGGTGCAGATCGGCGAGCACGTGCTGTGCAAGTCTAGGATTCCAGTGTTAACTTTCCTCTTTACTAGCTAAGTGACACTGAACAAGACACAATCTCTCTGAGGCTGTTTCTTTGTCTGAAAAATGAGGATCAAATACCTGCTCTGTCTATTTCATGGGGTTCTTGGAACATCAAATAGTCTTTGTTCTCATTGGTTTTATGAATCATGGAGGCATAATATAAATGTGTGAAATAAAAGACAAGGCATGTAAAAATACTGTGTGAGATTTAAAGGGGCACACAAATGCAAAAATTACTGTTTGTGACTTTTTAATAAACGCAAGGTAAAATATCATTTTTATATTCAATTAAATCCAACCATCATTTTTGAGGCCCTGCTTTAATACATGATTCTTTGGGATGTAGTGTTAAATTATCCACATGCACCCTAAGTCTGAACAATTTTTGTGTAGCAAGTCCCCCATCCCCTGCCAAAAAAAGCAAAGCTATAGCAACCAGTGTTCTGGTGTTCTATGGCCTTTTTTCCCTAAGATCCACACTTTGCTTTTCGCTAACCCATCTCTCACTGTAAATGTGTACAGGAACAAGATGTGAGTACCGTAGATTAAGGCTAGAGATAATTGGCAGAACATAGGAGAAGAATCAGTGATGAGGGAGAAGGTGGGAGAGAAAAAGAGGGACCTGGGAATTGGAAAGAAGAAAAGACAATGTACAAATAAAATCAATCCTCCCAATTGTGGCATGCAGAGAGAAAGAACCAAGCTACAAAAATGGATTCAATCAGATTCAATCAATCAGATGCCAGATGGACATGGCTTTAAAAAATGAGGCTATTATCACTGAAGTTCATTTGACAGAGCTTATGTATAAGAGTCAAGCGATGATCACTCTTGTCTACAATCATAAAATAAGGTGCCACGGTGATTTATCACTTTACTCTTCTAATATAACCCAACCTTTAGCAGTGTCTATAAATTTGGTTCCTACCTTTTGAAAACTCTTACTGTATCACTGTAAATTAGCCCATTCCTTGGCACATACTAGGCATTTGATAAGTGTCTGGTGAATAAATGAACTGAAAGAATGCAGACCTAGTTATGTTATTTTATCTTTTCATGGTGTTGAAGGATTCAAAACTAGAAAATAACACTCCCCCTTTCACCCTCTTATTTCCTCAAACACAAGACTCTTATTTAAGATTCCTCTAGTCTATGCAGATAACTTAACAATTGCTGGTACTCACTGAATGATTACTGTGCTGGGTAGTGTGTTAAGAAGTTTACACGATCTCACTCAATCCTTGCAACAACAAGTGAGCACGTGATTATCCCACTTTAAAAATGGAGAAAGTAAAATTCAGGGAGGCTACCCTTAGAAAGGGAAAAAGTTTATACACCTAGTAAGTTGGGATAAGGGTAACCAATTGGATATGCTTTTCTTTAATAATTATATTTTCATAGAAAAGGCTCAAGGAAGCACACCAAGAATTACAACTACCCTTTTCTAAATTGCAAAGGCCTGCAGAAAGTGTGTCCGTTGAGGATAAGCTATTGGCAGTGACCTTGAGGACAGAAGGAGTGGCTAGAGCAGGAGCATTTCATTGTTTCTTGATGCCAACCAAAGTAAGAAATGCATTTTATATCCTAACACACACATACACACACACACTCACACATAACCACACATACGTATGTACATAACTGAAATAAAACTTTTACTGAGCAATGCTTACTGCCACTATGTGTGACGCATGATATTTTCCATTCTGTTCCCTTCCATTTACTTTTCTTTCCTTCCCTTCCCTTCCATTCTATTCTATTCTATTTCTTTAAATGCTGTTTGGGACCCACTTATAATTGACTTCACTGTGCATTCGTGTGTAATGAGCTGCAGTTTGGAAACCAATGAGGTGGAAGGCAATAAAATTAGTAGGAAGAGAATGGAATTTTGATTCCCTTGTGAGACTGGAACCTTGGGCTGCTATTGTGTGGGCTAAAGCAAATAATAATTTCTTTGAACTTCAGTTTCTCACCCATAAAATGGGGGTAATAATACATACCTCAAAGGGATGCTGAGAAGAGTGAGCGACAAACATACACACCTACTCTAGTACTTAGTGTGTCCCACAGATGTATGGTGACAGCAGTGTAATGAGGTGGTTAGGAATGCAGAATGCTGGGCCCTGTCACAAACTAGCTGTGTGATCTTAGGCAAATCACATAATCTCCAAGCTGTGGTTTACTCCTGTGTAAAAAATGAGGAAACAGTAGTATTTACTTCACAGGGTTGTCGTGAGCATTAAGTGTGATAACATATGTAAAGCTCTGAGCACAATGCCTGGTGTGTAGTAAGTGCTCAATAAATTATTGGCTATATCATCTATTCAGCAAATATATCTATTATTATTGCCCAACTACTTAGAGCTACTCTGGAATGCCCTAGACTAGGTGACAATATATATTTTGATGGGACAAATTCAGGATTAGAGGGGTGGGTGTGTGTGTGTGTGTGTGTGTGTGTGTGAGTGAGAGAAAGGAGAAAGAGAGAAGAAAGGAGAAAGAGAAGAAAGGAGAGAGAGACAGAAGAAAGGAGAGAGAGACAGAAGAAAGGGGAGAGAGAGAGAGAGAGAGAGAGAGAAATAATACATATGTAACAAACCTGCACGTTGTGCACACGTACCCTAAAACTTAAAGTATAATAATAATAAAAAAAAAGAAATCAGAATTACTCTATTTTACTCACTGGTATCTTCAAGAGGCCAAATCAAACTTGGCTGCAGCAAAGGAAAATATTTTTAGTAAAGAAAGGTTAGATCCAAAACTGGATTCCCTCTCTTTGTTTTTGACAGTATTTCCACAAAACCCAATCTTTGGCATGGGGTTAAAAGCCTTTTTTTTCTTTCCAATAAGTAGACTTAACAAAAAAATGAATAAAGGAAAGAACTCTACATATTAAGTAGTGGAAAGTAAGTTTCATCCTTTGGAGGTTAGCTAAAGAACTCTATGGCATGGCCCCACACTCCCTAAAGCCTTCCTTCTTGCCACCTGTGCCAGGTAACCTCTAAGATGCCCCCAATACTTCCTGGTATTCATGCTCTGTGTAATACTCTCTTCCTGTCAAGTGTGGATTGGACTAAGTAACTCATTTCTAACTAATAGGATAAAGTGGAAATGACAGTGTATGACTTAGAGACTATGTCATAAGAGGTAATATGGCTTCGCCTCTCTCTTCTGGAGCTTACTCTGAGGGAAGGTAGCTGCCATGTTGTGAGCAGCGCCATGGGAAGCCCATGTGATGAAAAACTAAAGCCTCCCACCTACAGTCAGGGAAGTGAACTTGGAAACTGATCCTCCAGACTCTTCAAAAGAATGTAGTCCCAGCCAACAGATACCCTGAACCAGAACCACCCAGATAAACCACTCCTAGATTCTTGACTCTCAGAAACTATGAGATAATATATGTTGTTTTAAGCTGCTATGTTTGGGGATAATTGTTATACAGTAATAGATAGCTAATATATCACCCTTGAATCTTGCTTCCCACACCATCTGTGTTAGGTCAGTCAGTTAATGATTCATTTATTCTCTCATTCATTCCATGAACTTTTATGGACTGCTCATTATGTGTTGGGCAGTGTGACTGTCTTCAAATCCTCACTTTAAGGAGTTGCTCTGTTCTGTTCCATTGATCTATATCTCTGTTTTTGTAGCAGTACCATGCTGTTTTGGTTACTGTAGCCTTGTAGTATAGTTTGAAGTCAGGTAGCGTGATGCCTCCAGCTTTGTTCTTTTAGCTTAGGATTGACTTGGCGATGCGGGCTCTTTTTGGTTCCATATGAACTTTAAAGTAGTTTTTTCCAATTCTGTGAAGAAAGTCATTGGTAGCCTGATGGGGATGGCATTGAATCTATAAATTACCTTGGGCAATATGGCCATTTTCACAATATTGATTCTTCCTACCCATGAGCATGGAATGTTCTTCCATTTGTTTGTATCCTCTTTTATTTCATTGAGCAGTGGTTTGTAGTTCTCCTTGAAGAGGTCCTTCCCGTCCCTTGTAAGTTGGATTCCTAAGTATTTTATTCTCTTTGAAGCAATTGTGAATGGGAGTTCACTCATGATTTGGCTCTCTGTCTGTTATTGGTGTATAAGAATGCTTGTGATTTTTGTACATTGATTTTGAACCTGAGACTTTGCTGAAGCTGCTTATCAGCTTAAGGAGATTTTGGGCTGAGACTATGGGGTTTTCTAGATATACAATCATGTTGTCTGCAAACAGGGACAATTTGACTTCCTCTTTTCCTAATTGAATACCCTTTATTTCCTTCTCCTGCCTAACTGCCCTGGCCAGAACTTCCAACACTATGTTGAATAGGAGTGGTGATAGAGGGCATCCCTGTCTTGTGCCAGTTTTCAAAGGGAATGCTTCCAGTTTTTGCCCATTCAGTATGATATTGGCTGTGGGTTTTTCATAGATAGCTCTTATTATTTTGAGATACGTCCCATCAATACCTAAGCCCTCAGAAATAACGCCGCATATCTACAACTATCTGATCTTTGACAAACCTGACAAAAACAAGAAATGGGGAAAGGATTCCCTATTTAATAAATGGTGCTGGGAAAACTGGCTAGCCATATGTAGAAAGCTGAAACTGGATCCCTTCCTTACACCTTATATACAAATTAATTCAAGATGGATTAAAGACTTACATGTTAGACCTAAAACCATAAAAACCCTAGAAGAAAACCTAGGCAATACCATTCAGGACATAGGCATGGGTAAGGACGTCGTGTCTAAAACACCAAAAGCAATGGCAACAAAAGCCAAAATTGACAAATGGGATCTCATTAAACTAAAGAGCTTCTGCACAGCAAAAGAAACTACCATCAGAGTGAACAGGCAACCTACAAAATGGGAGAAAATTTTCGCAACCTACTCATCTGACAAAGGGCTAATATCCAGAATCTACAATGAACTCAAACAAATTTACAAGAAAAAAACAAACAACCCCATCAACAAGTGGGTGAAGGACATGAACAGACACTTCTCAAAAGAAGACATTTATGCAGCCAAAAAACACATGAAAAAATGCTCACCATCACTGGCCATCAGAGAAATGCAAATCAAAACCACAGTGAGATACCATCTCACACCAGTTAGAATGACAATCATTAAAAAGTCAGGAAACAACAGCTGCTGGAGAGGATGTGGAGAAATAGGAACACTTTTACACTGTTGGTGGGACTGTAAACTAGTTCAACCATTGTGGAAGTCAGTGTGGCGATTCCTCGGGGACCTAGAACTAGAAATACCATTTGACCCAGCCATCCCATTACTGGGTATATACCCAAAGGACTATGAATCATGCTGCTATAAAGACACATGCACACGTATGTTTATAGCGGCACTATTCACAATAGCAAAGACTTGGAATCCACCCAAATGTCCAACAATGATAGACTGGATTAAGAAAATGTGGCACATATACACCATGGAATACTATGCAGCCATAAAAAATGATGAGTTCATGTCCTTTGTAGGGACATGGATGAAATTGGAAATCATCATACTCAGTAAACTATCGCAAGGACAAAAAACCAAACACCGCATGTTCTCATTCATAGATGAGAATTGAACAATGAGACCACATGGACACAGGAAGGGGAACATCACACTCTGGGGACTGTTGTGGGGTGGGGGGAGGGGGGAGGGATAGCATGAGGAGATATACCTAATGCTAAATGACGAGTTAATGGGTGCAGCACACCAGCATGGCACATGTATACATATGTAACTAACCTGCACATTGTGCACATGTACCCTAAAACTTAAAGTAAAATAATAATAATAATAATAAAAAAAGGAGTTGCAGTCAAGTGGTGGATATACAGTGGGCAGACCATTACTGTTTAAAATGCTAGGTGCATGCTAAGTGCCACTATGTGGTTTTGATAGAGGGCCTTCAGGACTCAGAGGAGGAACAAGGACTTCCTGCCTGGGCAAATGAAAGGATACAGAGAGGAGATGGCACTGGACCTAAGCCTTGATACCAAGGTATGATGGCTTTGCCATATGTCCACTTGGTTGGACTGAACTGCCTTCCCCAGAATTCCCTTTCTTCTATGTTTCTAGGCTGGGTGGGGCACAAGGGAGATTCCCACCCAAGGAGAAGGGAAGCAGTGGCCATTTCTTAGTGCACAGGTGTGTGGGGCTGCTAACTCACTTTGTTGGCGTGAAGCAGCAGCTGGCCTGCCATTGCTCTACCTTCCCCTGTGGTCTTCTGTAGCATGTCTGACTTCCAGGTCAAGTGTGTGTTTAGCTCTGGGATAAAGGGCTTCAGCTTCTGAAGGATACTCTCATCAGTAAGGTGAGAAGCAACGAGACGGGACACGGTCCTTTTTTTGCTTGAGGTGCCAGCCTACTCCTGATTTTCTCTTCCTGTCTTCCCCATGGAGTTCAAGCTCCAGCCACATGTAGAGACAACAGCCTTATGGAGACTGCGTAACCAGCTCCCACGATCGTGTAGATCGTGTAAGCCAGTTCCCTGTGACACACAGGTGGAAATGACGAGAAAGAGCGTTGGAGGCAGAGGGAATAACAGGAACACAGGAGTGGAAGAGAAAAGGTAGAAGTAATACCATAACCACTTGTATAACACCAGTAGTGACCAATCAGAATGAATCATTACCCCAGCACTGACCAATCAGAATGAAGGCAGACCGCAGCACTGGCCAATCAGAACAAATGCTTGCCACAGTGCTGAAGCAGGGTCCTGGATGGCCCGGCTGTGTCCCTTTTAGTTACTGAATTATAAGGTCTTACTGAGGAGAAGTCTGAGTGGGTCTTGTGGTGGTTAAAAGTATGGGAGTGGGGATCAGAGAACCAACTATTTGCCAACTAGTACAGAAATGTTTTAATATTTCAACAACTTGCACTATCATACTGATGCATTCCAGCTAAATAGAAGCTCTGAGAAAATATGCGTGGTGTGTGTGATGCGTAGCAAGTTGTTTAATGTTGCTGGCTCGTGGTATGGCTGTAGTTTTAACCACCCGGTGACTCAATTCAGTGAAATTGATTTAACCTGTTTTGTCTTAAGTGGCCATAGTCAAAATAGCTATGAAAACAATTCCATGGCAAAATGCTATTTTATACCAATCACAGATGACCAAGAACCTATGCTTTCACTGAATGAGGGATCAAAAAGCAGGAATTTTAGCCAGTGTTCTGCTACTGTCACATTGTGACCTGGGAAAGTCATTTACCACGACCCATCCTGCAACCAGAAGGAATGGCCTTACTTGGGCTTTCCTCTGTGTAATCTTCTTGAGACTGGAATGATCCTCCATTCCTTAAAACTATGAGTAAAGACATATTTCACCCAAGAAACCTGCCCTACATCTCATTGGCTCGGCATGAAATTTTTAGCTTGTGGTAATTATTTTACATGAATTGATATTATATTCCCTGTTCTCTTTAGGTAGCATCACAGGTGTGCAGCTTATTCCTCCTTTTGATTGGCTTGATCTCTCAACAGATGCATAATTTACCGGACATCCCTTTTATACTCTGTAATGTCCCCTGCTACCTAGAGCTCCGCATACAGCAGGTGCTTAATAAATACTTAAGCGTCCATATAGCATTTTGGTAAATGTTCCAGTTCCAAATAAAAATCAAACAGGATATTTTTGTGTATTTAAGGGTTTTGGATTGTGTCTAGCGTGGTATTTCTCTCTACTTCCCTTCCACTGGCATGAATAATTAATAATAGAGTTGGAACTCCGTGTGTGCATGCCCATAATAGTATTTGTGTGCATATAATAATGGTGTAAAACTTAACTCATTTTGCTTCAAATAAAAAGCCATTCCTGTTTAACAATTAGCGGGTATGAACACAAAGATCATTTTAGCATCTTAGAGCCAATAATTTCTTGTAGCTAAGCTAAAGCTACCAAAAATTAATATTTATCATTAAGGAGAAATTCAAATCTTAAACAGAGAAAAATAATACAATCAACTCTAGACACTTAAATATTCTTGTCCTTGGAGAGTTAGGGCAGTTGGGCTTAATCTGCCACATTCTCACTAATAAAAATGTCACTATTGAACTCACTGTTCTTTTGGAAAATGAGAAATACAAATTGAACATTCTATAGGGAAAAATCAATACAGGAAAGTGTTGGACTATGGTTTTAAAATAAGCTTCTAAACCCAAACAAAAAGTAGATATACAATTAACAGAGTAGTGGAATGCGAATGCAATTGCTGAGAGTATGAAATTTTGAATATGAACTCTTTCCTCTCAAGCAATTGAATTAGTAGAAGAAATTACTAAGAAAAAGCTGAACAGAGATGACTACAAATAAATAAAAATTTTAAGCCTTTTGATATTACTGTGAGACCAATTTTTCTTCTTAAGCCTGGAAGAATTTCTGAAAAATTCTAAGGTAGGTGTTTGATCTTTTCTGCTTGACTTATTTTTTCTACTTAGCACATACACATTTATTTGAATTTGAAAATGTTTACTGCACCCATGTGTAAAAATTAACATATATATTTACCATGACCTTGTGATGTATACAAGGCAGAATGGAATGAGAATATTTCTTCTCCAGTCTATTTCTCTGGAATAAATCATAAATTGTTCCATTGTTATTAAACCATTTTTTAATAGTTCAGCTCCCAGCATTAGCATCAATAAATTCCTCTTCTAAATATAGAAAGCAAGTCACTATTTTCTTTAACTTTCATAACCTCATCCATTCCTTCAACTAGTTTTTCACTTACACATACTTGTACACATACTTGTATGTGTAAGTGAACAAACTGGTTTTTAATTCTTAGCAAACTGCTCATTCCCCAACAGATGAAGTGTCTCTTAATCTATGCCAGTGCTCTTTAGTCAGAATTGGTCTTCTGAGTCTATATTTTGCCCCCTATCACTTTGCTTTCATAAAGAGCATCACAGAAGCTTATTCATTAGCATTCAGAGTCAGTCTCTAATGTAGGGGTAGCTCTGATGCAATTTACGTTTAGTTCTTTCCATGCTTCCAGTTCTTTATATCAAGCCCTCCTGTTAGCTCTGAGGATAAGTGAGCCAATTGGAAAAGGTTTTGAGCCCTTAGCAAATCTCATCATAAGATATATCCAAACACTGTAATCTGAATGCAATCTTCATTAAGAATTTCCACCACCTGCTTGCTGAAGCCACAGCACAGCTCCACTCATAATCACCATGCAGGGGGCAGCATTAGTTAATGTCATTAGACAAATGTTGCCATCTCCTTGTGCATGTTCATTAGCACCAGGTGGGAAAATACAGGCATGGAAATTTTGGGTTGATTCAGGCTTGGACATTATTTATTCAGCTAACTTTCTGAGCATCCTTGAAAAACCAAAAAGGTTGGATTTGAAATAACTTTTTTAAAAACATACTTCAGGGGCAGTGTCAGAGTTCAACTTCACTAATGGAAGTAGAGGGTTACTTTCCCAGAGGTATGGCATTGGGTAAGTTGCTTACTCTCTTGGTTTCCCCACCTATAAAATAGGGAGGATAATTTTATCTACCTTATAGGGTTTGTATTCAGATTAAATGAGTTGATACAAATAAAGCACTTTGAACAGAGCCTGGTTTGTTTTCATCATCATAATCTTCATCATCATCTTTGTTATGCTAACTCTGCTTTCCATTGTTCATCTGAGCACACCAGGGAGCCCACAGGGACCCACATGGGCCACAGAGAGTAATTTGACTCTGAAACACAGCAGCTTTTGTTTTCTTTTCTTTTTAACCTACATCCTTGGAGCACTTACTAAGTGCCAGTCACTATGCTAAACTGTTTGCAAACATTTTCTCATGCAAACCTCACAACAAGGCTAACAAGATAGATACAAAACTGTATTACAATTTCCATTTTATAGATGAGGAAATTGGAATTTGGAGAAGTTAATTTGCTTATAGAAATAAGGTCCACAGACTCTAAGAAGTGGATAGACTTGTATTTCATACTAACTTTGTTTTAGGTGTTATATTGACCTCAAGACCAATTATGAAACAAATATTTAGAGCTGGAAAGCCTTTCCCATTCATGTAGTGCACATGTAGGAGTTAAGACTTAGAGAAGTTAAGGACTTCACCCAAGGTCACACAGCCAGCTGTGACTAGCTGGCATCAGAACATTTACAGAGGTCCTTGGCCCTCTAATGCTCTGCTTTTTCTCTATATATTATTTTACGTCATTAACAGATTGCTCCAAATGTGAAAATATTCAAACTGTGCATTCATCTCAAGGCATGAGTTTCTGCAGCAAGGAAATCATTTATATAAATGGAAAATTAACTGAAGGGAGAAAAGAAATACTTGGGATAGGTTTTTGAAATTTAAACACAATTGCTTAAGTAACATCTTAAAAGATGGCATTAAAGTCATACCCCAGAAGCCACAAATATGATAATAAAAGGTTTACAGTGGCTGTTCTACCAGACATTCTTCAATCCCATTTTCTTTCCAGTGTTTATAACTAGCACGGAACTGAGGCAATTAAGAACAGCTTTCTTTCAGCTTCTCTAAGGCTTCTTGTGTTTTAAACCTGAATTCCTGAGGCCAGGGAGGAAAAGGGAATTCCCTAACCTCTGCGTCCGCCACCTCCTTTGCCACACACACACACACACACACACACACACACACACACACACACTTCTTCCTCCCAGAATGAAGAATTTCCTTCATTCTTTTCCTTTTTCATCTCTTCTGTCTCACAGCCTCCACTCCCTCCCCCAAAACCTAAACTTCAGAACTTGGCTCAGTGACATTCCCTCAAGATCAAAGTTAAATGATAATTTCCATAAAAACCAAAGTCATTTCAGTCTCACTATCTCTCTGAAAGTCTGAGTCTCATGCCAATAAAGCACAAAAAAATTCCACACTCCCTTTCTCTTCAATATGAAAGTCCATGCTCCCTCTTCCTTTCTTCTGGTGTCTCTTCACTCCTCACACATTACTGCTTTTCTGCAGAGATGTCCACAGTAAGTTCCACCTTCTAATTTAAGATTTAGCTACTTCCAGTGCCTCTTTTTCTCTCCTGGATAGGCAATGCCTGTGAGGATTGAGGCTACAGTAGTAAGAAAAGAACCAAGAAGCAAGGCGGTAGAAAGTTGGAAGACAGAGAGAGAGAGCAGTGATGAAGAGGGGATTGTAGGAAATTCACATAATTACTTCAAATATTAAAGATCATAGAGCTTGTAAGTGACTTGGTTAAAATACTAACTCAAGGCTTTTTGACCTGAGTCAAACAAAATCCAATTGTTGAGAATATCATAACAAAAGGGATGAAGACTGGTCCCAATAGGAGTTATGAGCTATACTAGGGATTGCAATATAAAGTGTCTGTGCAAGAGTGTGAGTCAGTGACATAAATATGGGGAAGAGTGGGAGAGACTACAGGACATCATGATACCACCTTTACATATTTCTGTGGCCTTGCTTCACACATCTTCAGAAGGAATCCTCTACCTGACCTTATTCAGCACAAATAATGGGCTGAGAGCAACAGCAAGCAAGCTGCAGTCTGGACAAGGCCCCTTCCCTTCTCACTGCCCCCATCACCCCTCCACGCATAACCACAGATATGACCAGGTAGCTCCTTTATTGCAAGGTGAATGAGGAGGTTCTGATTTTCCCCTGAAAGTGGAAGGGAACCCTTTCTGAAATCACTGATATTTTTCAGGAATCCTTCCACAAAGTCACTAACTGGAGAGTTAACTGATAGCAGGGGGAGTACATATTTCCCTTTGTCTAAGATGTCACCAAGTTTTATGTAAATTAAAATAATTGTCTCCCTCAAGAAATGGAAATAGTAATACTCCATTTAGTTGTGAAGTAACTTCAGAAAGAGAAAATACAGGTGTGTGAGTGTTTTTTCTTTTTCTTATTTGAAAGGAAAATATCAAATTCCTAACACAGAAAATCTCCCTGAGAGTCTGCCTCCAGTAGGAAAGCTTATTTTGAATTCTGCAAGTTTTATGAGAAAAGCATTAAGCTCTAATAAGTAGCAATTTTAGTATTATTCCTTGGATGTTAAGTTCATTTGTTGAGAATACAATAATACCATGGGATGAAGACTGGTCCCCATAGAAGTTATAAACTATCTTAGGAATTATGACATGAAATGTTCATATATCAATTATAAAAAATGAATCTATTTTCTGTTGCTCCATTTTCAGTTAGTAGGAGAAAAAAAGTATTCTACAGAGTCTGTTTAAACAAACAGAAAAATGAAATCCTAGAGTATATATTCAATAACACCTTGGCTTGATAGACAGTCCTGACTTGGAAGTATGAATCAACAAGTGGTTTTTCTGATATGATTGGACAGAAATATAAGATAATGGAAGGTAGAACTAACATTTCATGATCATACTCCTATGTCCATTGTCACCTAACTTTGTAGTGCTATCCCACTCCTATTCTGGGCTCAGCCTTATGACCTGGGTTGGTCAATGGGATACTAACAAATGTGGGGCAAACAGAGATCTGAAAAGCACTTATGGGTTTCCACTTGTTCTTGTCCTCTACCATAGCCATAAGCATGTATTTGCATTATCCTTCTGCTCGCACAGAGTAGAGCAAAAGTCACCTCAGTCATCCTAGCTGAAACTATCCTAGGTCAGTCAACAACCAGCCAATCCCTGCACAAGACAAAAAGAATGTCTTAGCTGACCCAAGATCAGCAAAATCTCCTAGCATGCCTTCCAGATGCATGAGTAAAGAATGTTTATTGTTGTGTCATTTGTGGTGGTCTGTTATACAGCATGATTATGGTACTAGATAACTAATACAAAACCTACAGTGATGAAATGGTTTCTGGATATCAAAACATATTGTATATTGTGTTACATGTTATATGAAAGCTACAGTAGGGATATGTGTTAAGACAGACTGGTAGGCCTGTATGGCCAAGCCACTTCCAGGCAGGGGAAGGATTCTCACTTAAAAGAGATTATTCCTGGTACCAACCACTCAGGGAAAAGCAGTGTCTCCCCAAGTAGAAATTGAATCTGACAGTATGGACCATTGTCAATTGGATGATATGGCAGGGTCTCTCCTGGGCAGGAGCATTTGTCTAGCAGGATGTTTCTCTGAGAGGCCATTCAGAATGACACTTCTGCTGTGTGGGGACTGACCAGGAGCTGAGCAGTGAAGGACCCACGAGGTTCCATGTGATCACTTTGGTAATGATGATGATGATGATGACGATGGCTGACACCAACTGAGCAGGTTGCTTATTATGTCCCAGGTAATATACTCAGCCCTTGATGTATGTCAACTCATTTAATCTTCATAACAACCCTATAAGGCAGGCATTTTCTTTCCCTCATTTTATACTTCAGGAAACTGAAACCCAGAGCTAGAATATTAAGTGACCTTTGTCCTTTGACTAAGGACAAAATAACAACTAACAAGTAGAGCTAGATGGCCACAAATCTGGCTCAAGAACTCTATTCTAAAGAGCTTAGGGAACCAAACAACAAACAAGTTGAGTAAGGACGAGGACTTTATACTTTGTTAGCTGGGTTGCTGATGGTCCTAGTACTATGTTTCTGACACTGCATGGTCAGGAATTTTTCACCACTATGAGGCCAGTATCTTGGTGGCAGTAGGAAGGGAATAGAAAGAGAGAGAGAGCTACTGTGGCAATGAGAGTGAGAGAGAGAGAAAGAAGGAAGAAAATCTTGATGAGAAGGTAAAGTTGGGGCATGAAGTCAAATGCCGTTAGTCAGGGGGCTTTACTTTGTTCCCAGTTTTCCCAGGAGACTGTCTACAGGTGCTAATTCCTTAGAGGTTCTGGGTTTAATTTTACTGAAGAGGTGGTACTTCCTTATGTTTTGTATGTGCCAGGCAGTTTTGTAAGCTTTTCACATACATTATGCATTGAATTCTAACTACAACCTTTCAAAGAAGAAAGGGACTTTTATCCTTAAAGATCAGTGCTATTCGAAGTGTGATTCCTGGACGTGTGGCAGGCTGTGAACTCTTTCTTTCCAGTCCACAGCGAGATGATACAGAAATTAAAAGTGGCTGTTTAGAAGCTTTTAGAGAGAAATTTTCTGCTTGTTGAATCTAATAATCTAAAAAAATGAGTGCATATCTTATATGTCTACATTTTCTATTTAATTTTCCTGGTAATTCATATATTTTACAAAAGTATTTTTCCTCAAATGGATTGGAAATTTAAGAAATACAATTTGGGAAGTACTATTCTATACCATGGAATTGAGGCTCAGAGAAAGTGAGCAACCTTGCCAAAGTTTCTGTCATTACGAGAAGAGCAGCAGGACTCAAACTCAAGTCTTAATCTAATGCCCAAATTAATGTCCAACTTGACTCTACCTGCCCACACTTGCCTGTTTAAATAACGATGTTAAGCTCATCTTTTGGGGGGTGGGAAGAGGATGATGGGATCTTTCAACTGGTGATCAGCCAGGCCATCACAAAGTGTAGAAATAGGACTTTAAAAACCAAAGGGAAGCCAGGTGCAGTGGTGTGCGACTGTAGTCCCAGCTACTCGGGAGCCTGAGGTGGGAGGATTGCCTGAACCCAGGTGTTTGAGGCCAGCCTGGGCAACACAATGAGAACCCCATTTCTAAAAACAAACAAAAACTAAATCAAAATGATGCTACCAGTGTTCTTGTGTAGCAGACACTGCAATGTGCAATGCCATGGCATTTATCCGGGACATGATTTATGCAGCATGACTTGGAAATCACAGTGAAATCTTTTCTCTTGCTCCTTCTGCAACTCCCTAAGGGAGAAAAATAAGAAACACATAAAATTCTCATTTAAGAAAAATTATTTAACAGACCCTACATCCAGTGAAGCAGTTCATTTTGTGGTTGGAAATTCAAAGGAATTTTTTTCTATCATCTGTTAAAAGAAAATCATGCTGTGATTACAGCAAGGAGTAGTAGATAGACGTGGGCGTTGGAGCAAGACACACTTAGATTTGGGTCCTGCCTTTACCATTTTCTTGCTATGTAATCTTGGCATCATGCTAATATTTCTGAATTTTGTCCTCATTTGTAAAATGTGAATAATCCATAACTCACAGGATTTGGGGATAATTTAATAAAGGTAACTCACATCAATTACTTTCATCAAATACAAAGTAGAAGGATAATTATACCAGATACCTCCAAACCAGATACATTTTACCCGCTTGTTTAAGATTCTTTCAAATGCTGTGGCTATACAATTTCAAAATAATTAACTAAAAGGTTGTTTAAAATTGTTTAGTTATTTAGATAGTAGGTTTTTTTGAAGTACGGGATAAAACAAGGTTATTGGACTCAATTTTAAAAATTGACTAGCTAAATGTTTGCATGTTTTGTTTCCCTATAGAAAAAGTGTAATAAGTTAGGATGATATTCTGGTTTATCATACACTGAAACTTGTTTCATTAAATTTGTGATCTATTCACATTTATAGATTATTGATAATCTTATCTCATAAGGATGTTGGAGAGTCATAAGAGGAAGTCAAATTAGATTATGTAATATATGGTTTCCGGTATATGATAAGCACTGAATAAATGTATTTCTCCCTTATTCTACTTTACTTATAGGTGCTATAATTTCTAGGAGAATGCCACTCTATAGAATTTAATTATATACAATTACTACTATTGTAGATTCCTACATTAAGACTTAACAGAATGAAATAATTTCTACTTGGAAGGTAGAAGTACAGTGATTTAACACTGCTATGAATTTGTCCTGAAACCCTATAGTGAAATTTCTCCAAATGAACAATAATAAAATATCTATGATAGACAATTTTTAAGGTCTGTACTCCAAGCAGTTTCTAAAGTGGCAGGGAGCCTTTGGCATTTCCTCAGTAATTGGTCCCTAAATTGTGTCAACAAGTGCTTATGTACTCTTTACAGTTTTGCCTGCTTTTGCCTTTAACCATTTCAATATTCTTTCCTGAGCAAAGCATAACCTACGCTTTAGAACATTAATTGATTTTTCCTTGCAACATCCTAGGGGGTCTGAAGACCAAAGCCTCTTTGAAGAGCTCATTTTAGGCAACATTGGAAACAATTTCAGAACACCATATAGGATTAGTTAGAAAACCACTTGGAAACATTTGGTAACTTTAGTTCTACCATCATGCTGTCACTTAGGTTGAATCTACAGATTTTTGGATCCTTCTAGAGCACACATATTAACCAGCTCACAGAGTTATTTAAGCACTAAATGAAACTAGGTCTGTAAAAGTACTTTCCAAACTACCAACAATATGCAAAGGCTGCAAAATGGTCAGATATTATTTCGTAGGATGCTTTTGCTTCCTCACAGTCCCGTCAGGGTTACAAGATGGATGCCATGGCCAAATGTCACAAACTCATATGGCAGTGTCCTAAGCAGGAAGGATGGGAGGAAGGCTCCTTTTTATCAGGTAGGAAAATCTTTCCCAGAAGCCCCAACTCCAGCAGGTTTCCCATAAGTTTTTGTTGGCTAAAACTGGGTCACATGGTCATCCCTAAGGGAGGGTAATGGAATAACCAATCTCAGCCAAGTGGAAACAGGATCACCATGGTTGGTTTAGGCCAAAAGAACACAAAATGGTCTGATTTAAAGGTCTGTGATATTTAGGCTCCAGGTCTAAGAGCCTAGCTTAGCTTTTTTGGGCTCCCTTACTTCCTGTTCCATATAAATAATTTCATTTTAACACTCCCTAGACATACTGACTATATATTCTGATGTCCCCTCTTAAATATAATTATTTCCCCAAAGAAACTATGGCAATCTCAAAAAAATCCTCCAGTGTGCCTGAACTCTGCTACATGAATTCTTCCATGTTCATCCCTATACTTCTTGTCCATCTCGTGCAACATGGAATTGAAGGGAAATAATGAGATTTGGAATCAGATGGACCTGTGTCTGAGTTGTGGCTACATTGCCTCTTAGTTTGGTTAAGTTGTGGAACTTCTTTGCACTTCTATTTCCTCATCTGCAAAAGGAAGACAAAAATATTCAACTTACAGGGTTTAGTACAAGGATAGAAAGTGCCAGGCGTATAGTAGGCATCCAAAACAGATGATTCATTTATGTTTATCTTTATTATTATGACACATATCCATTTCTGTGATTGCTTTATCTCTAAATCTGGTTCCAACTTTTCATTTGACTCATTTGGGTTGGAGACTTTTTTTTTTCCATGTTCTGCTTTTGTTTTGTTTTGTGGCTTATCCTGGCTTTAACCCTGTATAGGTGGCCCTCCATATCTGTGGGCCTGCATCCTCAGATTCAACCAACTTCAGATTGAAAATATTTAGAAAAAAAAATAACAATATGACCATAAACATACGTTTTTGTTTGTTTGTTTGTTTTTTTGAGACAGTATCTTGTTCTATCACCCAAATTGGAATGCACTGGTGTGAACATGACCTCCTGGGCTCAAGCGATCCTCCCAAGCAGCTGGAACCACAGGCCCGTGGCACCACACCCAGCTAATTTTTAAATTTTTAACTTTTTGCGGTAACAGAGTCTTGCCATGTTGCCCAGGCTGGTCTTGAACTTTTGGCCTCAAGCCATCTTCCTGCCTCAGCCTCCCAAAGTCCTGGGATTACAGGCATGAGCCACTAAGCCCAGTGCAAGTTAAAAAAAAATACAGTAAAACAATTATTGTTATAGCTTTCATATTGTATTAGGTATTGATATGGTTTGTCTCTGTATCCCCACCCAAATCTCATCTTGAATTGTAATCCCCATGTGTTGGAGGAGGGGCCTGGTGGGAGGTGACTGAATCATGGGGGCAGACATGCCCCTTGCTATTCTTATGATAGTGAATGAGTTCTCATGAGATCTGGTTGTTAGAAATTTTCTGAGTGTAGCACTTCCTGCTTCACTCTCTCTCTTCTGCTCCACTATGGTAGGACATGCTTACTTCCCCTCCACCTTCTACTGTGACTGTAAATTTCCTGAGGCCTCCCAGTCATGTTTCCTGTCAAGACTGCAGAACTATGAGTCAACCAAACCTCTTTTCTTCATAAATTACCTAGACTTAGGTAGTTCTTTATAGCAGTGTGAAAACAGACTAATAATTATAAGTAATCTAGAAATGACTTAACGTATAGAGAAGGATATATGTACATTATATGCAAATAGTCCACCATTTGGTATAAGAAATTTGAGTGTCCACAGATTTTGGTATCTGCAGGGGTCCTGGAACAAATTCCCTGTGGATATCAAGGGACAACTGTACTCTTTCAGGACATGCTCATTGGTTCCAGTATTCTGCTATTTGTCTGTTGATTTCAATACAACTCTGAATGAAAGATGCTCAGATCCCTGAGCCCTAGTCTGGAAGATACAGCAACAATAAATGTTTGTGAAAATGAAAAAAGAAAATAAACATAGTGAACATATTTTAAAAAGTGCAATAAAGATCAGCAAAGTCCAACTACAGTCACAACAAAGGCTGGCCATGTCAGGAAAAAATATATGCAATATGTATTTTTTACACATAAAATAAGTTTTTGTGACATCTTTGAACGTAGATTCAAACAAAACATTTCTATATTTGTGTGTGTGTGTGTGTGTGTGTGTGTGTGTGTGTATGAGAGACAGAGAAAGAGAGAATTATAAATTGCATCAGGCAAAATGGAAATTGGTGATTCTGGATAAAGGGTACATGTTAGCTCCTTGTACTGCTTTAGCTGCTATGTTGTATGTTTGAAATTACATAAAAATAAAAAGCGCTTAAAATGCACAGACATTTCAATGAAATACTCACAACTGAAGTGCGTATTGAATATATTAGAGTGGGTGGCTTGGGATGGTGGGAGTTGAGATAGAGATAAAGGAGAAAAATAATGAAATAAAACCAGAGTGGGGTCTTGAGATAGCTGATTGATGATGGTCGTGGAGCATGAGCTAGAGAGAATGATGGCCTTTTCTCTCTGCAGCAAGGTCAGAAGGGGATGATGAAGAGATAGGTACAAGTTCCTTGTATAGAGAATAGTCTGGACACTCTTCTGAAATATTAACTTGGGCGTGACTTGCTGAATCTTTCCCTTTCCCATGTGTGTCAGGCAAGTAGCTGGACTCTTGATATTTCCTGCTTCAGGGATTTTCATAGGGCAGAAAGCAGGAACAATTTGAAGGCAATTGTATCTCCTGTCTTTTGTAAAAGCCTAAACCAAATGATCTTCAGCTGAGGGGTGCATTTGAAGGTATTTAGAAAGAAGAGGGAGAGACTTCACCTAGAATAAAAAGGTCAGAGAAGGAAGGAGAAATCTAGGGCAGGTGGGCTCTGGACACAGAGCTCCCAGCCCCACAGAATAGTCGTATGCCCTAATTGGACCAGAAAAGACCATGTTCCTGGGATAATGGGTATCTTAAAGATAGTCAGGGTGGACAGATAAGTGATGGCTAGGATTTTCTCCCTGATGTTCTGTGGCTGGGTAAGACACTTTCAGAGCCCTGAGGGGTGTCTTGGTAACTTACATTTCCTGCCGGGATAAATAGATGGGTGTTCAGACTTAGATTTAATTTGATTGCAGAGAACAAGAGATTTTCTATACTCTTGAATTTGTCAACTAAAAGTCCAACGTGCCTCAAACATGTGGTTCTATTTACAAAATAGCCATTTACAAAGCTGGTTTACAACCATATAACTGTTTGTAATACTCTGTATAATATTATGTTATCACCTGCATCATATGATCATTCAATACCATCTTTAGCAAAAGGACAGAGGGGCCACTTTTATCAGTTCCTCAAGAAGAGAGCCTTGGAAATGATAAATTCTTATGAACTATTGTTCAAAAATAACCCCTGGTTATCTTTAGCCTGCTCCAAATGCCCTTCCCTCGCCCCTCTTTTTTTTTTAAAGAATGTGTCACTCCAGTAGATAGAGGAAATGTGAACCTAGTATAACTTCTACAGTCTTTAGAAAGCCCAGGGTAGGGGACAGGCAACAGAACAGGTAAAGGAATGGTGTTCAAGCAACTGACCAATGTCATGTTTCCTAAGAAAAATTCAAGGAAAGAAAAGGGTATTTTTTTTTTCTTCAGAGTATTTAACAATTTTAGAAATATCAATTGACTCCCAACTTTCTTTACACAAACAAAAACTGAAGGAGGCAGATATCCATATCTAATTCTTAGGGGTAAGGCAGTGAAGAAAAAAGAAATTAATTCTATAAATTGGCAGAATTGAGGTGATTGAAGAGAAAACTTATATTCTTGCTAAATGAGCAGCTGGGTGGGAGGACAAGAAAGGAACAAAGCTAGAAAGGGTAGATGGAGGCAGAAAGGGGCAGATAAAGAGCTCTACTGAACAAAAAAGGCACATTTCTCTGCATGTTTAGGAAAAATGCCTATATCCTGGTGGAAGAAGACTTAAAGAAAAATCTGGTTTATAAAGTGTCAACAAAGGTTCAGACATGCTCGATGTGCTTGTGTTGGCATGTGTGTGCTCCGTCTTTTTTAAGTGGTAAATTAGATCTTTGTCTACAGGTAGGTGTGTGAAGAGCAGAGGAATAAAATAACGAGCCCAGTGAATGCAAGTAATGAAGACATCTCTTTCTGGCAGCTTTTCAGCATTTTGAGCTTGAACCTGACATGACAGCCTGTCCTGGCTTACCTGGGATTGCTTAGAATAGTGCTTCTTAAACTTTCATGTGCATATACATCACTTGGAGTGATTAAAAATGCAGGTTCTGGTTCAGTGTGTCTGAGGTGGTGCCTGAGTTTCTTCATTTCCACTAATTTCCAGGTGATGCCAATGCCACTCCTCCTCAGACCACATTTTGAATAGCAAGGGAATGGAACACATCATCACAGGTTCATATATATATTCAGAGATGCAAAGTATGTACATACACACATGGATTTGGATACGCTTATGGGTGCACAAAGTCATTTGTTCATTTGTTTAGACAAATTTTGAGTGTATTGTTTTAGGGCAGGTACTGTACACATATAGACATACACGCTTTTTAGGAGTGATCTTTGCAAATGGATTTTAAAAGCACAAACGATTTCTTTGCTTCCCCAAGGCATTCCATCATTCTCTAGCATCGATCTCTACAAATGGCCTTGCTCTCTTACTCTTAGTTACTAGCTGACTTTAGGATGGGCAGCTGCTGTCCGACATTATTTATGTACGGGAGATGATCCCAATATCCTAAGGTAATCCTCTCCATTGCCTGAAATTCTTAAAATTGCCATAAGACATAGAGATGAAAACATGGGTATTGGAATCAGGAGGCCTGGGTTTAAATCTTGACTTTGTCACTCACAACGCAACTTTAACCTCCATGAGCTCCAGTTTCTGCATTTGCAATATGGTGATAATAAAGTTTCCCTCATGGGAATGGCTACTCACCAAATTCAACAAATATCTATTGTAGGTTGATTGCCTGCAAAGGACACAGAAATAGAGTTGATTCAATTTCTCAACTGAAGGAACTCACTGCCTAGCAGAGAAAGCAAAGACAGAAGACGCATGTAAAGGAAATAGCACGAAGAAATGGCTAACTTACTTTTTGGTGGGACTAAAGGCTTCCTGGAGGAAGTGAGAGCTAAGTTGGGCTTTGAAGGATGGGAAGAGTTACATGGTGGAAAAGGAGAGAATCAAGTGATACTTTTCAAATTTAATCTGCATCTAAATCACTGAAATTGCAGATTCTGACTCAGCACCTGAGGTGGGGCATGTGATTCTGCATTTCTAACAAGCTCCAGTTAACGCTGATAGTGTTGGTCTCTGGATCCACACTTGAAGAAGCAAGCAGGGCATTTTAGGTTAAAGAAATACCAGCACAAAGGTGACAGTGAAAAGCCACATGGTAGGTTTGAAGGACAGCAGCAGCTCAAAATGGTTGCACCATCAAGTGCAGGGAAGGAAGTGACACTGGAAAGCTGGTAGAGTTAGAGCAAGTGAGAATTACATGAAAAGACAAAAGTAAGTCTTTCTGGCACATAGTGGACACTCAGAAATGGCTTATTTCCATCACCCATTTTACTCAAATTCCCACCAATTAGAAAGGAATAGAGAGAATGTTTAATATGAGGTGGTAAGATATTTGATTTCTCACTTCCATTTGAGGCCTGAGTCTACTTAATTTATGAAAATTAAGTAGATAAAAAGACATCTAGATGGTCATCTTACCTGCCTCAGAGAAAGAAGGTGATTCCCAGGCTCAAACAGGATTAAGCAGAAACCACTTCACAGAGCCAAATATCCCATCAGGACAAAATTGTTGAGAGTTAAATGGGATAACATGTACATTCCTAGCATGTCATAAGTGCTTAACTAGTTTCTCCTACTTTGAGTGAAGGAAGCCTCTGTATATTACGACTTCAATCCATGGGACGGATAACTTGTATTCCCATCCCAAAATACTACTCCTAATCACTTCACATTATGAAAGTTTTATTAAGACTTTTATCTCCCCAAGAGGGTAACACTTGTTACTCTCAATCTCCCCTTTATAATGAATGCACCTTGGAGCAATAAAAAGATGCTGATGGAGTATGGAGATAGGACAAACCAATAAGAAAGATGTAAAACTTACAAATAAAGAATTTCTTATTTCTTCAGATTGTTTCAAAATGCTAAGATACCTTTAAAAGCTTTAGAAAAATATGATGAGTGTTCTCCAAACAACTTCACATATATGTAGCTCACTGGCCCTGATTACATTAATTCATCATTCATTCTTTCAAAGAACATTTCATTGAGCACTTAGTATTGTCAAGCATTGTTCTAGTCACTGAAATACGAAGCAGAACAAAATAGAATCTCTGACTCCAAGGTTCTACTAATAATATTGCAGGAACTCTCTATAGTATTTAATTTATTTTGTAAAAGAAACAAACAGACCTAAGCAAACACGGCAAAGCATAACAATGGTCAATTCTGTGTGTTGGTATGTGGAATATTTGCTCTAGCATTTTTGGTAGTTTTTTTTAATTTTTGGAATCTCTCAAAACAGTAATTGTATTTTTAAAAATCCCCTGTATCAGTGAACTATTTATACAATAAAGCTGCATAACAAACAATTCCCACATGCAATCATAGGTAGTTGATCTAGGCTTGGCTTTAAGGGATGACTCTGTTTCAAGCTGTGTCACTGGCTACACTTGGCTTCTCACTAAATTTGGCTTGGGTCTGCCCTATGTGTGTTTGTTCTGGTGCCCAGGCTGAAAGGACAGCAGTTACCCATGGGAAGTTCTTTACAAGGCAGTATGGCAATCCAACTGAACAGAACATTTTAAGTCTCTGCTTGCATGGTGTCTATTAATATACATTTGCCTACAACAATTCACTTATGTGATCAAGCCCAATGTCATGGGGAAGGAAAGTATACTCTCCCTACCCACTATGAGATTAACCAGTCAGATGGTCAAGCCCAACATCAGTGGAGGAGGGAGAACAGAAGGAGTAAGCGTGTCTTTAAAATGTCTATTATGCTCTCCAAACCAGTGGAAAAACCTGAGCTAAATATCTGAGAAGATTGCAATGAGTGAATAATGCAAAGGTGTGTTACTCTGGCTAGGGGGAGGAGAAGTGTCTGGGAAGACTTCATGGAGGAGGTGATACTTGAGGAAATGTTTTCCAGATATACAAGATGGGCAATGGGTTTCATGTAAAAGAAACAGAGTGTACAATGACACAGAGGCCCAAAAGAGCTTGATTCATACTGGAAATCAAAAGCAATTCCTTATGAATGGAAGTGTGAGTGTGTGCAAGGTGTGCATGTTTGTTGGCGGAGGAGAAATGAGGAGGTTGGTGGGTTTCTAAAACAGAGCAGAATAACCCATAAAGGCAAGCACAGTCAGTTCACAAAAGGCCTTGAACCTCATAAACAGGAGTTTACATTTTATCCAGCAAAGACTTGGGGACAATTAAAAGATTTATAGCAGCAATGTGACTTGAGATGATTGATATTTTGGAAAAGCACTATGGCTATAAAAGGAAGAATAGACTGGAGGGCGATGAGTCAGGAAAGAAGAAAATTAGTTAAGATGTGATTAGACTGGCTTCACTGGCGAATTCTACCAGACATTTAAGGAAAAATTAATACCAATCATTCTCAAATGCGTCTGAAAAATAGAAGAAGAGGAAACACTTCCTAACTTATTCTATAAGGCTGTATTACCCTAATACCAAAAGCCAGACAAAGACAATAAAAGAAGAAACCAATATCCCTTATGATTATAGAAGTGAAAATCCTGAACAAAATACAGACAGAAGAAATCTGAGAACATGTAAAAGGCTTATATACTATGACAAAGTGAAATTTATTCCAGGAATGCAAGAATCATCCAACATAAGAAAATCAATCAATTTAATACACCACATTAATAGAATAAGAGAATAAAACTTCATGATGTGGAAAAAAGATTTGACAAAATCCAACATTCTTTCATGAAAAAACACTCAGAAAACTAGAAATAGAAGAGAACTTCTTCAACATGATAAAGGACACTTATGAACAGCCACTGTTAACATCATATTCAATGGTGAAATATCAAAAGCTTGCCCCCTAAGATTAGGAACAAGACAAGGATGCTGACTTTTACCATTGCTATTCAACATTGTACTGGAAGTTCTAGCCAGACAATTATGAAGAAAAATGAAATAAAAGACATCCAAACTGGAATGAAAGACATAAAACTATCTCTATTCACAGATGACATGTTCCTATTTATAGAAAATCCCAAAGGATTCATATACAGACACACAAAACCCCAATCCTACTAGAGCTACTAGACTTCAGCTAAGTTGCAGGATAAAATAACAACTAAAAAAAACTCAGCTGTGGCTGGGCACGGTGGCTCACACCTGTAATCCCAGCACTTTGGGAGGCCAAGGTGGGCGGATCATGAGGTCAAGAGATCGAGACCATACTGGCCAACATGGTGAAACCCCGTCTCTACTAAAAACACAAAAATTACCCGGGCATGGTGGCATTCACCTGTAGTCCCAGCTGCTCGGGAGGCTGAGGCAGGAGAATTGCTTGTACCCAGGACGTGGAGGTTGTAAGTGAGCCAAGATCGCACCACTGTACTCCAGCCTGGCAACAGATTGAGACTCCATCTCAAAAGAAAAGAAAAAAATGTTTTATTTTTTCATCCACTGGAAATGATCAACCTGAAAAAGAAATTAAGAAAATAATTGCATTTACAATTGCATGCAATTGAATATAAACACCTAGAAATGAATCTAGAATATAAAAATGAATATAACACTAGAATTTTAAATCTAAGGAGGTGAAAGACTTGTACACTGAAAACAACAAAACATTGCTGAAATAAATTAAAGAACAACATAAATGGAAAGACATTCCATGTTCATGAATTGGAAGATAATACAGATAGTCCCCAACTTACAATGGTTAGACTTATTGTTTTTTGACTTTATGATGGTGTGAAAGTTATACGCATTCAGTATGCTCCTCAACTTACAATGTGGTTATGTCCAGAGAAATCTGTAATAAGTTGAAAATATCATAAGTCAAAAATGTACTTCTGACTTACAACATTTTCAGGTTATGATGGGTTTATCAGAATGTAACCCTGTTGTAAGTTGCAGAGCATCTGTATTGCTAAGATGGAATACTACCCAAAGCAATCTACAAATTCAATACAATCTCTATCAAAATTCCAATGACTTTTTTTTTTCAGAAACAGAAAAGTTCATTCTCAAATTCACGTAGAATTGCAAGGGGCTCTAAATAGCTAGAATAATATTGAAAAAGAAGAATATTGGAGGACTCACACTTCCTGATTTCAAAGCTACAGTAATTAAAACAGCACGGTACTGGCATAAAAAGAACACACAGACTAGTGAAATAGAATTGGAAAGTCCAAAAATAAACCCAGGCCAGGCACGGTGGCTCACACCTGTAATTGCAGCACTTTGGGAGGCCAAGGTATGTAGATCATCTGAGGTCAGGAGTTCAAGACCAGCCTGGCCAACATGGTGAAACCCCAGCTCTACTAAAAATATAAAAATTAACCAGGTGTGTTGGTACATGCCTGTAATCCCAGCTGCTCAGTAGGCTGAGGCAGGAGAATCTCTGGAACCCAGGAGGCAGAAGTTGCAGTGAGCTGAGATCATGCCACTACATGCCAGCCTGGGCAATGGAGTGAGGCTCTGTCTCAACAAATAAATAAATAAGCCCAAATATTTATAGCCAATTGATTTTTTGTTAAGGGTGCCAACATCGTTCAATAGCAAAAGAATAGTCTTTTTAACAAATGGTCCTGGGACAACTGGATATCTACATGCAAAATAGTAAAGTTGGACCCCTACCTCACACCCTCCGAAATATTTAAGGGGCAAGGCAAGAGGAGTATATGGGAACTTGTAATTTCTGTGAAATTTTTCTGTAAAACTAAAACTGCTCTAAAAAATAAGTATAATTTTAAAAATAAGACATCAACATGGTGAAATCCCGTCTCTACTGAAAATACAAAAAAAAAAGACATCAATGCACACCACTAGGATAGTTCAAATTTTAAAAAGACTGACAATAACAAATATTGAGGATTTAGAGCATCTAAAAATCTTGTACATAAACAACTAAACCTGATGGGAAGTGAAAATATATGCTCACTTTGGAAAACAGTTTGGCAGTTTTTTAAAACAGTTAAACATGTATTTACCATATGATTCAGCAATTCCACTCTTGGCAATTTGTACAAGAGAAATAAAGACATATGTCCATAAAAAGGCCTATTATGAAATGTACATAGCAACTTCATTCACAAAAGCCAAACATTAGAAACAAAAGTCCATTGACAAGGGATTGGATAAACAAATTATTGTATAAACTTACAATGGAAATACTATTCGGAAATAAAAAGAAATGAATTACTGATACATATGACTTATATGAATCTCAAAAGTATTACAAATGAAACAGCCAGACACAAACACTATGTACTATATTATTTCATTTATATGAAATTCTAGAAAAAACAAAGCTATATTGACTTAAAGCAAATTAATTCTTGCCAGGGACCAGGGTCAGAGAGGTTACTGACTATTATAAAAGGCAAGGGAATGTTTAATGAGTAGTGAAAATATTCTAAATTATGGTTGTGGTGGTGGCTAAATGATTGTTATGCATTTGTCAAAATGTGTCAAATCTTACACAAAATTTGGTAAATGTTATTATATATGAAGTATACTTTCATAAAGATGATTTACAAAAGCATTATTAAAAAGTAAAAAGTGAACCAATGACTTAAACACAAGAGCTAAAACTATAAAACTCTTGGGAAAATAGGGGTAAATCTTCATAGCCTTGGATTTGGCAACAGATTGTTGAATTTAACACCAAAAGCATGAGCAACACAAGAAAAAATTTAATAAATTGGATTTCATCAAAATTAAAAACTTTTTTGCATCAAATGATATTATTAAGAAAGTGAAAAGACAACCTATAGGATGGGAGAAAATATTTGTAAATCATATATCTGATAAGGGCCTAGTATCCAGAATAGATAAAGAATCATTATAATTCAACAGTAACAACAAGAACAACAAAACTCAATTTAAAAATAGGCAAAGGACTTAAATAGAAATTTCTTCCCAAAAGATATACAAATGACCAATAAGCGCATGAAAAGATGCTCAACATCATTAAGGAAATACAAGTAAAAACTACAGAGGGATACCACTTCACACCCACTAGGCTAGCTATAATCAAAAACTAGAAAATAAGTATAAGTGAAAATGTGGAGAAATTGGAACCCTTGTACATTGCTGGTGGGAATAATGTACAAACCAATAATATATTGTTTGGTTGCTGTACAAAACTGGCCGTTCCTCAAAAAGTTAAGTATAGGATGACCCTATATAGGACCTAGCAATTCCATCTCTAGGTATGTAATCCTAAAAGAACTGCAAGCAAGCACTTAGCAAATACATGTACACTCATGTTAATAACAGCATTATTCACAATAACCAAAAGATGGAAAGAACCCAAATGTCCATCAGCAGATAAATGGATAAACAAATTGTGGTATATATATATCCAATGTAATATTATTCAGCCACAAAAAGGAATGAGGTACTGACGTATGTTACAGTATGAAGGAGCCTAGAAAACACTACGTTATATGAAAGAAGCAAGACATGAAAGATTACATATTGTATGATTCCATTTATACAAATTATCTTGTAAATCTATAGAGACAGAAAGCAGATTGGTAGTTGCCCGAGGCTGGGGGAGGGGGAAACAGGAAGTAACTACTTAATGGGTATAGATTTACTTTTGGGGTGATAATAATGTGTTGGAATTAGATAGAGGTGGTAGTTGCACAATATTGTGATTGTACTAAATGCCATTGAAATGTTCAGTTTAAAATGGTTAATATTATGTCAATTTCAACTCAGTTAAGAAATAAAAAGGATACTGTTGGTGCTGATGAAAAATAATGAGCTTGAACTCAAGCAGAGGCCATGACAAAGGAGTCAAAGAAGCAGAACAGGAGAATGGTAATAGACAGTGGAGGGTGGAAGGGGGAGTAAAGGGTGATGCTGAAACTCCTCGTGTGGAAGAGCTGATGCTCTGTTGATATAGATTGGAATGTGGAAGGAAGATGGGGTTTGGAGTGTGGGGGACAACGAGTTTAGTTGGGTCATGAGGGTTGGAGGTACCTGTGGAGGTGTGCGGGTAGAGAGGTCTCACTGTCGGGTGGACCTCTTTGCCACTGGAATATAATGGGAGAGAAGAGCTATACGATACCTTGGCAGACAGACCTTATTAGCAAAATTCTCTTCTGAATGAAAATATTGATAAAACAAGAAGTCACTAAATTCCTACCTTCCTATTACTGTGACACAAGTCCTTTTAGTAAATTAATTTTTGCCATTTTAAGTGATTAGTGAGGATTGAGTATTATATAATATTAAGGATTCATCTAGGAACATATAGCAAATCTATTCCAGAGCCAAAATCTGTCCAATGCTCACACTTTCACCATTCCTGCTTAAATGCCCCACTTACCAGGTTCCACTTCACCACTGACGGCAGCATTTGGCTCCTTGGTCTCCTGAGGAAATGTATCCATTTTCCAAAAAGTCTCCAATTCCAGATAATTAGCTGGAACAGGTATATTGGTATCTTAAAGCCAGAATGAAGTCATTGCTCTGAGGAAACTGTTAGCCTGATAATCCTGCATCACACATCAGTATTCTCTGTTTCTTTTGGCCACTTTTATTGCCTGTTTTCATCCAGTTATCACGCTTCCCCAAAGAAAACTGAAGCCACCAATCCTTACATAGAGGAAACATTTCCTTCGCTGTAGGAGCACTGAACCAGCGACACCCATCTCTAAATTGTTACCACTCCTCATCTTGTGTTCGTGCCCTATAAGCTTAAAACTTGGAATTTATTAGAAATGTCAATTGCATTGAAAACAAAAACACTTTTGTAAAAGTATGCTAAAGGCATTCAAGAATTGAGGAAGAAATTATGACTGCTGTGGAAATAGTTCCTTATTCACATCTGGAAAACATTTGCTAGGGGCACAAGGAGGGATGGATGAACTGCAGGTATGCATAGGAATTTAGGGTTTTTTTCCTTTTTTCTTAAACTGCCTTCTCTCCTACCACCCCTTTGGCTCCTCCTTAGTCTTCCCAGACAAGCTACCTTGCAAATCTGCCCTTGCAAAGTTCTCCCATTCCAATTTAATTCCCTCTCCTCTTTTGTAGATGATTTTGAGCCACACAGCCCCAGATGGTCAGTCTGGGAACAGACACAGGCTTTTTCAAAGAGACAATATTGATTCCCTCTAGACCCACAATGACCTCTTTCTTCTAGCTCTTCTTACTCCAGTTCACAAGGCTTTTAATCCCCACTGAACACAACACTTCAATATGGGTCAGAGGATGGGCCACAACTCAAAATCAACTGTTCCAATCCAGGAAGTTTCGACTGGCACAATCAGCGTTCCATTAAGCAGGGTCTGGTGCCATTGTTTTTTACAAGGCTCTCACCAGCTGGCCTTGCTATGCTTGGCTAAGAATTAGACAAGGGAGGGAGGATCTGGCTTGAATAGGAAGAGAGACAAGGCTGGCTTTTAAAGGTGACACCCTAAGGACAAGCTTGAAGGGACAGGGAATAGGCAATGTCTCTCACAGAGGTGGTTCTGCTTTTGTGGAAGTACCAATGCAGGCAGGAGAGAAACACGTTGACACACACATATCAGGCTCTGAAACAAAACCAAGATCAGAAGAACACTGAATCCACTCAGTCCAAATCACACACTCCCCTTTCACTCCAGATCTAAGGAAAACCTCCTAGGAGGACATAAAACATAAACATTTTGGTTAAAACTTTAGTTTTCACCATAGGCTTGTGCCACGCAAAGATGCTCACAGACATTAGATTTTCTTTTAGGAAGCTAACTTTCTTAAGTGTGTGAAGTGTCATTTATCCAGCAGCAGAGAAATAAAAGATGTCCTACTTACAAATTCTGTGGTTTGCTGGCATACCAACATTGTAAAAATGTAAACAATGCTACATGAAAAATTTTATAAAAATATATTTTAATCATAGATGTTAATAATAAATATGTATTTACATTATTCCATGTGTGTTTGGTAAGTAGAGTTCATTAACCATAATAACTTTATATAAGGAGAGAATATTATAAATGGTTTTGATCATGAGCTCCAGAATCATTAGAACTCTGTCACTCACTAAGTACCTTGGAAGAGTCTCTTAGTCTCTATAAGCTTCATTTTTCTCATTTTTAAAATGAGAGGGAGGTGATAATACTACAATGAGAATGAGTCGCTCTTAACATAAAAAATACTTAACATAATGCTGACACATCATAAGCACTTACTAAAAAACATGAGTGCACTACTATTACTAATTTTTGATGATCATCATAAAGAATGTCAGTTATGACACCTAGTCCAGTCAGTCCTTTTAGATAAGAGTTTGTTAAAGTGGATGTGAATTCCATAGTGTTCTTAGGTTATGCTTTATACTAAGTGATCTGTCACTATTCCTGGTCCTCCCTGTTTCTTAGCCTTTGCTTCTTACCATGGTATCTTATAGTTCTTCCCTTGCTGCTTTTAATCTGATCCCTCTGTCAACTAAGAAGAACTTTCCCTCTCTCCCTTCTCTTGCAAAGGAACCTAGACAACTACATGGGTCAAGTCAGTAGATTTACATTTCCACCCAATTCCAAATAAGCATGCTAACCCTTCAAGATGTTCTTGTACAGAAAAGTGCATGGGCTTTGTAACGATAAGTTCTTTCAAGCTGCATAATGGTCTCTTGGAGTGAGGACATTTCCACTATAGAAGCAGGTAATAGCACTATGCAGAGAGGGAATGGACAGCACAAAATCATAGAGACAGGTAAGTGCCTAGAATGTCAGAGAAAAGTTAGAATTTCCTGTGGCTAAAACATAGGTGGCTGGGAAAAGGCTGTGAAATGATGAGACTGGTGAGCTAGGGCTCAGTTCTTTAGAGTTATGTATAAGACTAAAAGAATGACTAAAATTATAAACATTTTCAATATTTTAGGTATTGTGTTAAGTGTTGTGCCTGCATTATCTCATTTAATCATCACCATAATCCTGTAAAATTTGTAACATAATTATGCCCATTTTATAGATGAGGAAACTGGGGCTTAGGAGGATTAAATCAGTGTCTTAGGGCCTATACAAAACTGTAGTAGTCTCCCCCTTATCCATGGTTTTGCTTTCCATGGTTTAGGTTACCCATGGTCACCTACGGTCAGAAGATATCAAATGAGGCTGGGCACGGTGGCTCGTACCTCTAATCCCTGCACTTTGGGAGGCCAAGGTGGGTGGATCACGAGGTCAAGAGTTCGAGACCATCCTGGCCAACATGGTGAAACCCCGTCTCTACTAAAATACAAAAAAATTAGCCGGGCATGGTGGCGGGCACCTGTAGTCCCAGCTACTTGGGAGGATGAGGCAGGGGAATCACTTGAACCTGGGAGGCAGAGGTTGCAGTGAGAAGAGATCACACCACTGCACTCCAGCCTGGCGACAGAGCAAGACTCCACCTAAAAAAACAAAAAAAAAAAAACAAAACAAAAAAAAAAAAGGAAAAGAAAAAGAAAATATCAAATGAAAAATTCCATAAACAATTCATATACCTTAAATTGCATGTCATTCTGAGTAGCATAATGAAATCTTATGCTGGCCCTCTCCATCCATCCTGCCCAGGACATAAGTCATCGCTTTATCCAGTGGATCCACGTTGAATATGCTACCTGCCTATTGTTACCTAGTAGCTGTCTTGGTTATCAAAAAAAAAAAAATAGTATCAATAGGGTTCCGTGCTGTATTAGGGTTCTCTAGAGGGACAGGACTAATAGGATATATATATATATGTATGTATATGTATGTATTATATATACTATATATGTATGTATATGTATGTATTATATATGTGTGTATACATATATACATACACACACACATATATACACACATACATACATACATACATACATACATACATATATGAAAAGGAGTTTATTAAGGAGTATTGACTCACAGGATCACAAGGTGAAGTCCCACAATAGGCCATCTGCAAGCTGAGGAGCAAGGAAGCCAGTCCAAGACCCAAAACCTCAAAAGTAAGGAAGCCGACAGTGCAGCCTTCAGTCTGTGGCTGAAGGCCCAAGAGCCCCTAGCAAGCCACTGGTGTAAGTCCAAGAGTCCAAAAGCTGAAGAACTTGGAGTCTGATGTTCGAGGGCAGGAAGCATCCAGCATGGGAGAAAGACAAAGGCCAGAAGACTCAGCCAGTCTAGTCCTTCCATGTTCTTCTGCCTGCTTTTATCCTAGCTGCT
The DNA here is from genome assembly GCF_000001405.40 of Homo sapiens. Taxonomy (NCBI): domain Eukaryota; kingdom Metazoa; phylum Chordata; class Mammalia; order Primates; family Hominidae; genus Homo; species Homo sapiens. The sequence goes on from NC_000009.12 coordinate 19,991,400, forward strand.
GATTAGATGGTGCCTACCCAGATTGAAGGTGGGTCTGCCTCTCCCAGTCCACTGATTCAAATGTTAATCTCCTTTGGCAACACCTCACAGACACACCCGGGAACAATACTTTGCATCCTTCAATCCAATCAAGTTGACAATATTAACCATCACAAATACTATCCATGGTTTCAGGAATTCTCTGGGTGCCTTGAAACATATCTACCATATATAAGGCAGGACTACTGTATTTGGTTCCAAATGCTATGCTTATAACTACCATCCTATACTGTCCTAAGAATTAGTCTGTGGTAATAATTTTCACTCATTGTATGGGCAATGGGGAGACAGGAGAGGTTTTAAGTGAAAAAGCAATATGATGAGATTTATTTTTCGGAAAATAAGTCAGTGGTTGATTATAGAGGAGAGAAACTGAAAGCAGGGAGAACAGTCTAGACATTCAAAATAGACATGAGCAAGACTTAAACTGAGTCTTGACAGTGGAGATGGAGAGGAGGGCAGAGACCCTAGAGACATTTCCCAGGTAAAAGCAACAGGACTTGGGGACTGGATGGATGAGGGAAAAGGAGAAGTAAAGTAAGTCACCCAAGTTTTTAGACTGCTGAATGAGTGAATGGTATGCTTCAACCATCTATGTTGGGGCAGCATGTCTTATTCTGTCCTCTAGGAAATAGAAATATTAATGTTATCACTTAAAAAGGGGCATGTTATCATACATGATTGGATTAAACAGCATTGTTTAATACAGGACTTGTCAACATCTTTAAAAGCTTTGTGTATTGAGAATCTCCAAGAGAACAACTCTGTATATACCGGGGGGATGTCCAATAGGCTTGGTCATATAGGTCTGAGGCTCAAGAGGAATACCTAGAGGTAGAGGTTTGGGGCTTATTTTCTTCAGCAGCAGATCTTTGATGACAGCATTTCTGTATTTTCCACCATGTCTGTTTGCTTGCTATGTGTTGCTTATTGAAGATATTTTTACAATTCTAAAACTGATGGCTATGCATCATGAGTTGAAAATGCAATGTGGATGAGAACTAAAATATATCTACCTCTGGGTGAAACCAAATCATTTTATATACAAACAATTTACCGTTCCATTCAAATTGGCTAGTCTTTGGAACCACTGAAATAAACTGTTCATTAACTGATTAAAAACATCTGAGATAAGATTTGATTAATTATTTTATGTGCTTCTGCAAGAATCTGGGGAATCTTGGACTTCACTGGAGCATAGGTTCAGATTAAATTCATCTCAGTTGACTGGGTACTTACTCATCTCATAGGAAAAAATCACTCATGCCACTGTTAGTAGCATCACATCAGTCCTCTGCACATTGGCAGAAATATGCTCCCAGCTGCACAAGTATGTGGTTTCTCTGATCATACAGTAAATGTACTTGTGACCTTAAATAACCCACAAGGGTGTGAATGTCAGAGCTGGGAATCCCTTCCTGGGAACCGCAGGACAATCTGTCGACCTATCATTTTTCATCAGTGTGGGGTAGATTAACTCTTGCTATCAAAGTCCTACCAAAACATCTAGTGCCACCATGGCTCAGTCAGTGGTAGCCAACAAACTAATGTCAGCCTTATTTTTTTCATTCTTATTCTACTCAAACCTTAACCCATAGAGAGAAGTGCTCTGTACGCTTTATAGATATTAACCTTCAACCCCATAAGGTAGCATCATAATTGACCCTATTTAGTAAATGAGGGAGATGAGGTACAGAAAGATGAATGCAGTTGCCCAAGATCACAGAGCCTCACATAGCAGAATGATTCTTTCCATCCACAGGGCATCTGAAAATGGATCATATTATAATACTTCCAGCAGAATTTCCCGAGCTTCGTTCACATACTGCATATCCACATGCTAGCTTTAATAGTATTTATTTACTGTATTTAAAAAATCAATACACTTTAAAAACTTTAGCTTTTGTCCAAAGAATAGAATATATAAACTCACAGCATTGATGTGGCAGTTAAATCTTTCCTCTAAACCACAAGAAAATGGGCTCATGGCTATTTTAAATTTTTGTCTTTCCTAAAATTTATTTTATAACCATCTATGGATGCTCACTTTTCCTCTGAGCAGCTTACACCATAAACTAGAAAGTTATTCATTCCGAACATTAAATATGTGCAGTCATTCAACACGGTTAACATTTATAGAGTACCTGCTACTATGTTCAGGGCAGCGTGCCACATTAATTCTTCATTCCACATCTCCTCCTCCGTGAAGCTAAACCTGATAAGCAGAGCCCACACAGAGTTCTACCCCATCTTGGTCTGAGAGTGTGCAGGAGATAATTGAGCATTTCGTGGTCCTGTTCTATTCCCTAACTATGTCTTCTCTCCCAGGAAAATGTTAGTCCCTCGAGAATATTACCATTAAATCTCCCATTACCACTAGTAACAGAGCCTTGAACTTCATGCTAGTGATTGAAAACACAATCATTAATGCCCATGGTGAAAACAGTCAGATCTAAAAACAGGAAGAGAAGGAGAAACACCCAGTTATTGAGACCCCACTATTGCTGAGCATCCTTCCATCATTATCTTACTCGTTTGTAATTAATCTTCACAGCAGCCGTGTGTACTAGGAAACTGAGGTAAAGATAGACCAAGTAGATTGCAGAAGTTCACATAGCTGGCAGGTGGCAGAGCTGGGATTAGAATGGTGATCTGCCTGGCTCCAGGTGAGCTGCTGTTTCCATTGCAACAGGCTGCTGCACCTGCTTCTAGTGGAAAAGAACACATTAAATGGAGTGATGACAATCTCCTTCGTCAGGGAAAGACACTGCAAAGTCTCATTATCTCAGCTGTCCTCTGCTGCCAATTGCTAAATTTTAAGGCAATAACAAACTGTGACCATTGGCAAAAAACAAAAACAAAACAAAAAAAACAAACTATGGAAAGACAGCCTTAGCATGAATAACCAGGGTAATTACCCATGCACACAATAAATTCTGTGGGCAAGAGTCCTGACCAAGCTCTCACCCTCCTTTCTGAGTCATACAAATTCCTGACTAGAACACTGCCAATTGGTTTATGTCCCAATGTGTTGGGCACCTGTGGGTCTAGCAGCTGCAAGGTTTTTCACGTTCGCTCATTCACAGTAGTTTAACAAGTCATGCCTAAGAGGAATTGAGGACCAGGCTCTTGACTCTGTTGAAGCATCACTTACCACTCTCAGATTGAGAGCCAGGAGTTGGCATGCTATGAGGGAATGCCCAAGTTGGCAAGCAGAGTGGCTTCCCAAGGACCTCTGAGGGCCTCTGCATATGTGAGGATCGGACATGGGCTGCCATCTACTTCCCTGAAGATAGTGTGGCTTCATGCACCGGTCCTCAACAACTCTCTACAGCACCCTGAGCTCCTTCCTTTAGTCTGCCCTAGAACCAGCTTATGCTATTGAAGCCTTTGCACACTCTGCAGAGACATACTTCACTGAGAGGTCTCTTCCAATGTACCAATATACAGAGTGAGCGGGTGGGATTTGAGAAGTCTGTTTTCCAGAGAATGGAGATATCACTAATTAAAAATGACTAAAACAACACCCTTTACCTTAAAATGTCATGGACATTGAATTTCAGTAGGAGGAAATGCCATGGCGATTTAATTTGGCGGATGGTGAGGGGATTTAACCCCTGTGGTAGTTAATATCTCAGGCCTTTTTTTTTTTTCTCCATAGAAGGATAATTATTTCCCTTAAGTAGGAATATGATAGGGATTGAGGATTGAAATCTGGTACATAAACTTGCAACAAATATTGGCTCCTTTTTTCCTCTTTCTTCTTTCACGCGTATCTTTTAGACTTAAAAATCATATCTCAATTTAAAAATTAAAATATTAATCAATTCAACATTAAACTTTTCCCTCATGACTTCTATTTTAGAAATATGTTCATCCTTCAGTCTCTTTTATAACACACATGCCACAGAGGTAAAGAGAGCGTGGAGGTTATGTGTGGGTGCCTTAGAATGTCCTGGCTCTGGGGAAGGAAAGAAAAACAGAACTTTATTCCCAGAGTACACTCATCCTATGAGCCACAGGACTTAGGCTGTGATGGGGCCATGTGAGAATACCTGAGGACCAGGGTCTTTTTCATAAGAACACTAGATATTTTGAGCCAACTCCCTCCTACTAGCAAGGAGAGGTTAAGAATGATCATAACTAATGTTCATTTAGGTACCAGACATTCTTTGAAGCATTTAACACATTTAAACTCTTTGACCTTCTTTACAGAAATATTATTCTGCTATAATCTTTACTGTAGACATGAGGAATTTGAGGCACAGAGCAGTTAGCTAGTTAGTTCAAGATCATCCAGTTGATAAGTGAGGGAGCCCATATGCAAATCTAGGCAGTGCACCCCAGCATCTAGCCCTCAATCACTCACCATTTCCTGATGTTCAACAGATGGGGCAGGCATCATGTGCTTAGTCAAGGCAGCCTGGCCTAGGCCCCTCTCCTCTTTAGAGATGAACATGCATACACACTGCTGAGCTAACTTCTTAGAGGCTATCTGGGGAGAAAGGTAGACTGGATTCTTTGGGTAAAGTAAAGGGAAGGTTGGAAGAGAACCACTACTTTCAACCTTTTTAAGAAGATGCATGCTTCAAGACAGGTGTTTCAGAGACATAGAGCTAGAAGAGTAAAATTAGCAAAGATGCTTGTAACTGTGCATGCATGAACTATGTAAGGAGCATGGGGTGTCAGATAGGGTAAAGTTGGGAAAGAAATATGGTGCTGTGAAGAAAAGGCTGGCTTCAGATTTCAGAGAATTTTCTTTGCATCAAAGGGTTTGATTTTACTGTTCAGGGTAATGCTTCACCAACTTTTCTATTCTGTTTTAGGAGAGTGATTGAATATTTTCATAAGTCCTGGGGCATGGTCAGAAGCCAGTGACTCCTGTGAAATTCCTCTGAAATACCATATTTAGTCTCTAATATTTGAGTCGATTATGTGTTCCACTCCGTAACATATTTATATTTGTTAATATATGAATACATCACATTCATCACTCTTGGCGTTAAAGAAGATCCATCAATGCCAGGTGCGGTGGCTTATGCCTGTAATCCCACACTTTGGGAGGCTGAGGTGCGTGGATCACCTGAGGTCAGGAGTTCAAGACCAGCCTGGCCAACATGGTGAAATCCTGTCTCTACTAAAAAAATACAAAACTAAGCCAGGCATGCTGGCAGGTGCCTGGAATCCCAGCTACTCAGGAGGTTGAGGGAGGAGAATCGCTTGAACCTGGGAGGTGGAGGTTGCAGTGAGCCGAGATGGTGCCACTGCACCACTCCAGCCTGGGTGACAAGAGTGAGACTCCGTCTCAAAAAAAAAAAAAAAAAAAAAAGGAGATCCATCATGATTATCCTATGCCTTCACACCCTCCATAACGAGTAACACCTTACCCCAAGTGGTACGTTTCCCTGGTTTGAGAATTGTAGCTCTAGTTATAAGGAGCCATTAGAAGGTATTAAACTAAGTAGCAACATTATTAGATTTGAATTTTAGAAAGCGCTCAGTGGTAAAAGCATGGAGAATGAAGTAAAGGAGAACAAGACAAAAGAGAGGGAGACAACGAGTTGGGAGACTGTCCATTATTGCAGGCAAAAGATGGTGAAAAAAAAAAGGCAAAAAAAGCAAACAATTTGCTGAGCTCTTCAACTAGGCATGCTTCTTGAGAATAATTACGAGAGAGAGCACAGAGCATTTTCCTCAAGACAAGAAGAGAGATTTAGAACTTAGTCATCACAATTTTACTGTTTCTTCTTAATAATTTTTGGAATCTGGTCTTGGTGCTAGATTTGCAATAATCAGACTAGGTGTGAGTTTAGGGAACCAGCAAAGCAGGGGCACAGAAAGAAAGAGAAAGAGAAAGAGAGAAATTAGAATAAAGATAATTCCAGTACCCATTTAAGCTTTATGTCACCTCAAAAAGTAAGTTTACTTTACAGTTTGATACAACTTTGATTTTGACTTTCATATGGAAGTGGACGTACCATATTAGTTTAGGTCATGATACCTTTTACATTCTTAAGCTATTCCTTGGAGTGAGGAACTGAGGTCCCCATTTGTGAGCCCAAGAAGATCAGAGGAGGTGGTCAGGATCATTCAGCACACTCTCAGCAAGTGTCAGACTCACCCAACAACAGAAAGGGAAACCCCAGTCACAGATCCACTATTATAGAAGGGGAGAGGTAAACAGAGAGAATTTACTGAGTGGTTAGAAATGATTCCACTCATGAAAAAACAGGCGTACAACAGCAGCTAGGAGTGAGCAAGACAAACTCCAGTCTTCAGAATTACACACAGATTCAGCTCTGTTGAGATCTTACTTGATGACATGGTTGGACTCAGGCAACACATTTTATTTGCCAATGAAACTGTATTTGGATAAATAGTTAATTTGCCTGTGTCCCTCACTGCAAAAGAGAAGCTCTTATTTCCTTCTCAGTTTGAATCAGATTTGAATCAGAATTTTATCAATAGAAGATTCAGCATTAATTTTCTCTGGCTCTTTCCAATAGGCCCTCCTAGTTACTATCTCTTAGTTCATACCTGGCATCCTTATATTTTTGGGAAAAAAGCCAATACTATTAAGGATAAGCCATACAATAATAAAAATTATATTAATAATAATGCATCTCTCACTATTTAGCACTTACTCTGTGCCGGAAGCTGTGGTAAGTAATTTACATTCATTGTCTCAATTGGTCTTCACAATGAAACAACAAAATCTGTAATTATCATTTTCTCCATTTTAGAGATGGGAGATTGAGATTTAGACATGGCAGGGCTAGGATTCAAACTCTGGCAGATGAACTCTGAGTGTGCCCCTCTTCAGAAATGGGTCTTCCATTCAGACCCATTCAGGGGTTAACTCAGCCTGAACTCGCCCACACATACCCTGTTTTGAGCTCAACTTCCTTCTGGCAGCAGTACTTCCTGAAGCCTGTCAATGATTCACTTCCGGGTCACCTCTACCCTCTGTGAGCCTTGTGAGACATTTTAAATGCCAGAGCCACATTCATTCATTGTAGCTCCAGCATTTCTTTTCCTAGGGACATGCTATTTTCATTAGGATTAAAACAGCCCCCAGCAATAAATATTAAAAACCTGCCCAGTGAAAAGAGCAGCTTCCTCAGAAGCTTATGAGGATTAGAATTTTTAAGCAGGCCCCGCTTCCTATGACCACCCCTCTTCTCCATCCCTTTGTGTGCTCCCACATGGGTGTGCTTTCAGCATCAATCAGATTTGCTGTTTTGCTCAAATCCGTTCATACTAATTGTCTGCCCATATTGCTGTGTGCTCTGGACAGAATGGTCTGGGAGAAATAGAAACTCACTCCTTCTCCCACCCCTGGGGGGATTCAGATTTTGTGTGCTTGATCTTTGTTGGTGGCAAGATAAAAATGCTTGCTATACATAGCAGCTTTCCTCCTTCATGTTCAACGGCAGCCCTGATGATGGGGGACCTCAGCCATCCTATTTGTTCTAAAGCCACCCACAGAAGAATCAGACCAGCAGAAGCCAGAAATAAGCTAGCTGGGGCTGCAAGTCTCTTTGTGTGTGGTGATATAGCAGAGAGACTTGGGAAAGTCAATTATTTTCAGTATGAGTTTTGGTTCCACTGCTTCATGGTGTAAGATGGGGATCCCCAATTTGTTCATCTGTAAAATGAAGATGCTAATGCCTACCCACTGGGGCTATTGGGAGAATTAAAGACCTATATAAAGTGTTTAGTGCAAGACTTGGAGCAGGGAGCCACGGCTTTGCCTGTCACTCCTTCGCCTCCCTGGCTGGAAGCCTGAGTAGTAGGTGAGGCATTTATTATCCATGTTCATTAACATCCCTGAAGACTTGTGGTTCCTGTATTGAAAACCACACTGAGTGTTCCCAGTTAATTGGGTGTCCTTGGGCCTGAGTTTCTCTACACAAATATATGAGCTTGGGATTTTTAAAAAGTATACAGTAATTATATTCTTGGACAAATGGTACCTTTTCTAGAAAAGCACAGAGAATTCTTTCAGCACTCAGGGCTAGGTAGGAATTGCTTGATGTATGGGTAGCAACTCATAGTAACTAATGATTTACAATAAATACTCCAACAAAGAAAAGTCTGAGTAAACTCTATATTTCATCCTCATGGCAATGAGCTACAAAAGGTTTGCATTTTAAATCAACTGGTGGTTGTACCCCAGAAGGATGTGGTCTAAATAGATTTGTGTGACAGGGTAATTACTCATCACGGAAAGGATCCCAGCTGTCATCATGGTTTCTCACTAAGCAGTCAGTGAGTGAGCAGTTATGGAATTACAGGGCTGACCTCCTGTGTCCTGCCTTACAGTCATCCTGAGCCAGAGTCACAGAGTTTCATCAGGGGGACCCAGGAGGCACAAAGCAGTCAACACCCATGGCTGAGAATCAAAGTCTAGAAGGGGCCTGTTTTCAACCTCTTCATCCGGGTCACTGGTGGCAATTTTGCCAAGTGACTAAAGAGCTAGACTAGGAGTTCCCCAGTTCAGGGTCTTAATGGCCTGAATGTTCAAGACAGTGTGGAGAGGTTCAGAGACTGCAGTCTTTGGGGTTACACAGACCTGTGCTGGAGTCTCAGTCTTTGGGGTTACACAGACCTGTGCTGCTGCTCACTTTGTGATCGATCTGCAACTAAAAAACCACATTTCTCTGATTTACTATTTTTCTAGCTGTAAAATGGAGGTAATAATTCCTACTTTAAAAGATTTTAAACTAGTATGTATGGAAATGGTTGGCACTTAATGAACATTATTATTTCACCTTTTGAAGTACCATTAGGTGCCAGAAACTGTGCTAAGCATATTACATGGACTTTGCTCATAACAGTTCCCTATTTTATGGATAAGGAATTGGAGGAATCTTGCCCAAGTAGCTAGTATGCAGCTAGTTAGTAGCAGAGACAGAATTTGACCTAGGCAGGTTGGATCCAGACTGCCCTATAATCATCAGAGGGTGAAAACATACCTTCAACTGGAGTTTCAGAGACTTTTGTGCCAGTTCTTGATAAACATTGTATAGGTATAAACTCTATCTTCAAAAAGTTTATCCAGTCTCATTGGAGGACAAGGGAGAAACATCAGAACACAAACGGCCCTGAGAATAGACCACCTGGCAACAAACAATAACTGCTGTAGGAGCTCAGTGAAGATCAGGAACTCACGACACATGGATCTCTTCTCCCGCAGTCTCCATATCTGCCACATTTTTTTGCACTGGAGTTTCTTATGTGTCAGTGTTATATAATTTTAAGGCTCTGATTTTGAACTAAAGAATGGACCCCAGTTTTGCCTTAAGCATAAAGACAGGAAATATACATGCCCTAGAGACTAAGTTAACAGTAAAATGTGAGACTGTTCCTCCTCTATACACAGAGAAAACTTTCATGGGAAAAACAGGATCACTGTTGAGACAGAAAAGTTATGTATGAGAGGGTGTGGAGGACGGAAGGAGGCAGGAAGCATAACTTGGAATTATTGCTTTTTAAGCTTAGAAGGGTCATCTGACCCTAATGGATAGTAAGATGAATATTATCTTGGTATCCAAGAGCAAAGATCACGTTTTGAGGCCCTTTCTCTCCCCATCCATTGCTCTAATGGGCCCACCCTCACTTTAAAAATAAACAATCAAATGCAAACGTGGCAGTTGCATTTTGTGGGCCACAAAGGAGAAAGTTAAAGCCTGGAGGATCAGCACTTCGTTTCTGATGGCAGAGCCTGCATTGTCCCTGCTGCGCCACACATCCTGTCCTCTTAGATCCAGCAATGAGTGGGCTGAGGATAGGAGGGAGTGTGCATCCACCTTCCTGCAAAGCTGCAGGTTTACCTGTGGAGAGTGCTCTGCATGCCTCACAACGCACCCTCTCACCCTCCTGGCACTCTATTTTGGCTCAGGTCTGCATGGAGAGAAGGGAACTGTCCTGCGGAAGAAATCTGGAAGGGGGTTAAGCCTAGCAGGAAGGGGAAGAAGCCAAGGCAACCAATTAATTTTCCTTTGCTGCTTAAATCATTCTCGCCCAATCTGCTGAGCTGAGAATAAGCATAACTGTCCCCAAGGTGTCAAGGCCCTGCCTTTTTTGGGTAAATCACATGGGAATCAAAAATAGAACCACTGTGAAAAAAGGCGTCTCAGTCCACCCTCCACTGGCAATGGCTGAGTTTGGTGGATATTCATCTCTATTCCATGTCATCCGCCAACTTTGAGGCCTGCTTGCCACATCACCAAAGAGGTTGCTAAGCATCTTCCTACCGAGTCTTTAAGATTTGTTACATGGATTTGGGCATTATACAGACATGTCTTTTATTTATGATGCCTCTGGTTAAAGGTTGCCTCTCCCAAAGAAAAAAAGCTTCACAAAGCAACACCTACTTTGATCCAGCACTAAAATATTTAGTAGAGTGCTATCTCCCAAAATGTGTTTATTGAAACATCAGTTCTGTGATATATTCCCAGAAAAATGTACTTCATGGAAAATATGTAAGTCCACATAAGAATACTAAAGGTAAGAATACTGTTTATGTGAGTTTAATACAGCATTTCTAAAATTTATTTATTGATAGAATTCTTTTGATTTTCAAAAGTTTGAGGCAGTCCTCAGGGCTGAGGACTAAAGCCCTGCTTTAGTGGAACATACTTAGGTAAATGCTGATGAATCCACAAGGATTGTTTTAGTACCACCACCTCTGGTGCAGAGACAAGCATTCTGCTTGTCACCACAAGATTTCAACATCGGAAGAGTAATAGTAATACCAATAGCACTACCATTTCACCCCAACTCTGTGTCTACGTAGGCTGTTGAGCCAGCACTGATGTACCAGTAGTTGAAAGGTGTCTCTGAGCAATGCACAAAAGGCTGCCATGTTAGAAAAATGATTAGCACTTTATTCTACCAAAAGGCTTACTGCAAGCTACAAACCTTTTTTTTTTTTTTTTTTCAGTAACAATTATTAGTTTGGTACCCTTTTGAAAAGATAATAGCATAACACCAGGAAAATCTACTCAGGGTATAATCAGGCATAAGCACAAAAGGAGTGTCACTGCACTTACTGTTAAAACAAACTCAGGTACCCTTATTAGACCCATTTTGTAGATGAGTAAACTGAAGATAACATACTTCAATGTCCCACTGCTGGTACATCACAGAGTTAGGACTTGAACTCAGGCAATCATAGTTGAGAGCTCACTCTCTTAACCACAGATGGGACAGGTAAATGATGGAAACTCCAGACTGGTGCACTCACAGTGACTGTCACCAAGGAGGTCACAGAAGTTTCTGGTTTGTCTTCTTCCATATATAGAACAGCCAAACACTTCTGGATTTTTCCTCCCTCCTTGCCCACTGCCCATGTCTGGTGGTTTCAGGAGGGGACAACAGCAGGGCTGGCTGTATTCCACATAACAGGGTTTTTCTTAGCTGTAGCCTCCACACACATCCTCCACCTACCTGTAGGGCTGACTCTACGGATGTACAACCAATACATTCACAAATGGCCCCGTGTTTAGATGGCTCTGTGCTTGGTTTAATGGTCTGTTGTCAGCATCCTGAAATTCTTAATAGCTTTCGAAAAGGGGACCTGTACTAGGCCCCATAAATGATAAATCTGGTTCTGCCTGCCTATTTGGCATTCATTTTGTTTGTTGAATTAGATATGGTGGTGAGGGAAGGATTTTGTGTAACAAATCTATATGAGAGGATTCCCCCAAAATGTATAAAGAATGGTCACTGCAGATAATATATGGCAACTAACCAAACACTTGAACACGTAACACACTTATACAAAACTATGCCCATGACCACAGGCAAAATGATGCTTGTAAGACTCTAATCCAGCAATTAGCCACATAGCCACATATCCACAAGTCAGCCAAAATCCACTCTTGTTTTCTCTGTCGATATGGTGAGCATGCTATTGTCAGAGAGAAATGCACCACTGTAGGAGAAACTACTTCGTCTTATGAGATTTGATTTAGAAATTTCAAGCTATCAAAATGTTCCTACATTTTGGTACAGTAGTCCTACTTTGGGGAATTTAGACTCAGGAAATCCTTTTTTTTTAAAGTATGAACCCTCATATTCCTTGAGGTATTAGTAAGAAGACAAGAGAAAACCCCCCAAATGTTCAAAAACGGGGTATGATTAAATAAATTATAGATTCCACTTGATAGAATGAATGTCAGGGGTTGGCATTTAAAGGGCCAGGCAGTAAATACTTTATGCTTGTGGGTCATAGGGTTTCTGTCACAACTACTAGCTCTGCTGTTGTAGCATGAAAGCAGCCATGGGCAATACAAAAATGAATGGATGTAGCTGTATTCCAATAAAACTTTATTTATAAAAACAGGTAGTGGACCAGATTTGACTGGCAAGAAGTAGCTTGCCAATGCCTAGTACTATCATTTAAATGGTGATTATGAAGACTGCCTGAATGTGGGATGTTTAACGAAAAAAAAAAAAAACAGGATAAAAACTTGTGTGACCATAATGATTACAACTGCATATATGTATATGTCTATGTGTATAGAAAAATCTGGGGAAAAAACCTTACATATATGTAATTAGTTGGGCTAGAGTGCTAGGATTCTGGGTAATTTTCTTTTCTTTGCCCTGAGAGAGATTTTCTCAGCCTTGATATTCTTTCACATACAGAATACTGACTATGTATAAAACAGGTATAGACACAGACCCCTTCTAATGAGTACCAGCTAACAAGCACCTAATAGATGATAAGGGAGCATGGGCTGCACTCATGCAATCGCCATTTGCTTCATAACCTTTGCTTCCCAAATACTTAGCCTCCTACCTTTGGAGGTTTCCTTCCATTGGCCTAACACCAGACATGGGCAGGACATTTTTGTTGACCGGTGTTCAGCTGGGCCTATGACCACTCTGTTGGTCAGGCTTTTCCAGGGAAGCTGGTCATAAAACAGCAGCTGAGCACCTGCAGTGGGAAGAGTGGGGAAAGAGAAGTGACATTGTGACATTCTTTAAGAGGAAAAAGTATAGTCCTAACTATCTTATCATGAATCCATCCAGTTAATAACAGAATATAGGCTGCCATAAATTTGTGTATGAGACTACCTGCCTAAAGACTCTCATTTTGTTTTATTGAACAATGGGATGATCTCCATTAGTGGATTTCACCATATACAGATGTAGTAAAAATCATTAATATATTTAAATTTGTTGAGCTGGAGTTTTATAAGGGATTTTTTCCTTGAGGAAATTGATTTGGTTTTGTATATGTGTTCATGGCAATATGATATATCTTGTCTCATTAAATTCAAAGAATGAAGGATTATAACAAAACAAAGTAGGCACTGCTTTTATGAAGCATGCCCAACAATGTGCTGTGAAGATGATGATTTTTTTTTTTCTTCCTTTGGGATTTCATAATTGAACCTGAGTTGATGTAAAGAGGAGATTTCTGAATGAGGAAAACTTGAAAACAATATCACTTTTTTTGAAAAAAAAGAAGCATCTGTTTTCTTTATCCTTGAAGTATCTGATACTAAATAAGAGATTTTCTCTTTATTGCTCCAGTCTATTGGTTATCACAATGAAATAATTTCCTAAACCATACCTTTGTTACTGGTTGTCAGCGAAATAGTTATGCTATGTCCAAATATGGGCATTAAAACTTAACATCAAATCCATAGAAAGGAGGGTGTCTAGAGAAAAGTGTCTTTAATTGTAATCTACATGCACCTGATAATCACCTCAAAAATTAATTAATAATTACCATTCACTTTATCCATAATTAATCACAAAGTCAAGCAAATTGGAAAGCCCTTTTTCATTTGAACAAATTGTTGGACTTGGGAAATTATCCCATAGCAAGAACTGGGGCAAAGATGACTAACCTCCTGGCAATCCTAAAAGTGTTTAAGGAATCAAAATAATTAAAAAAACAAATTTTGAGGGCTTACTCTGTGTCTAATATTGTGCTGAGGACTTTACATATGTTAGCTTGTTTAATCTTCACAGTGGCCTAAGGAATAGACGCTGATATTGTACCCATTTTACAGATGAGGAAATACACAATAAGATTAAGTATCTTGCTTAAGATCACAAAGTTACTACATTGCTGAGCAAAGACTTGAACTCAAGTTTCTGAGACTCTAAAATTTCATTTTTTACCTAGTTCATTATACTGCCAAACCAAAGGGAAGGTTCTAAAGGATGAGGTGGGGTGGGGTGGGACAGGGTATTTCTTAAGTGCATCAAGGGAGGGTTCTCCCAGGAAGTTCTATTAGATGTAAATGGAGAAAAATAATTTTACATTGTTTGTAGAACATGAAATTATGCTGAAGCCAAAGGCCAGTGATTTAACCAGGTGCTAAAGAGAGCATGTAAATGGGAAAATCATGAATAGTCAAAAATAATCAAGAACTCCGAGATCCCATTCCCTACTCCATTAAAAAAAAAAAAAGACAGAAAAGAAACAAGTTTATTTGTCATATGAAAATAACCCAAAGTGAGGGTAGGGCATAGGGTCAGCTGATAGCCAGCATATCAGTACCTCCTTTTAGGAAATTTGTATATATATTCTGTCATACCACATATATATGCTTATGTACACACAAACATAGTCACATATTAAAATACCCAATTTATCTGGCTTAATAAGAAACTACATGATATACATAGTAGAATACAATATATACACATAGTATGTTAATTAATCAAGAATATATTTTATATATACCTACTTTTCATATTTATATATTAATATGTAATTAAATTTAAAAATTAAGCAAATAAAAATGTATTCTAAATTTATCTACTTTCTATATTTCCATATTCATGTTATTAAATACTAATTTAATATGCAATTAAATGTATATTAATTGCTCAGAGTATTCATCAGAAACATGAAGGGTAGTGGGTGAGGGGAGGGGGGATGGTTAATGGGTACAAAATATAACTAGATAGAATGAATAAGATCTAGTATTTGATAGCACAACAAGATGACTACAGTCAAAAATAATTTATTGTACATTTTTAAATAACTAAGAGTATAATTGGATGTTTGTAACACAAAAAAGGATAAATGCTTGAGGGGATGAATAGCCATTTATCTGGCTGTGATTATTAAGCATTGCATGCCTGTATCAAAATATCTCATATACCCCATAAATATACAAAACTACTATGTACCCACAAAAATTAAAAAATAAAAATAAAAATATTCTGTTCAAAATTCATGACTTTAGACCTCATCAAGGCCTAGGGAATTCTCTGTCTCTCCATTACATGACACCAGACTACCATGCTCTTTGAAATCTAAAGTCTGAAATTTTAGGGGCAGTCTATACAGTATCAAGAAAAATCGTGTATGCCTTGGTACTACAAAGATCTGGAATTGACTCCCAACTGTGTGTTCCTGTGTAAGTTGCTTAAGTTTTGCAAGCCTAACTTTTTTTATTTATAAAATGGGTACACAGTGCTTGCCTTCCTAAAAGCATTACTGTGAGGATAAAAGAAAATACATATCAAGGACCTATAACAAAAGTGAGTGCTCAGTAAGTAGAAATTATTTTTACTACATCACTGTTTGTGTCAACATCCTTGCTTTCTACTGTGGGTGTTGCTTTCTCTAGTAAAATCCCAACTCTTAATTAGCTGACTGTATCATGCTAAGGACTGGTAAATCAGATGACAGCTGATAAAGTTTACTAGAATTATGCCCACAGTAAGAATAAATGGGCTCTGAGCAAATAAAAAACAGTTTTCACAAGATCAATTTTGACTGTTGAAAATCAGACTCCCTGCTGCAGTGCTCTGTTCTAGAATCTTGAAAAGAGATGTAATAGGTTTCATCTTCTGTGCCAACAGTGATCTCTTGGAAGTGGCTGCTGGTAATGCTGGGTTGAAAAGGATTCTGCACCTGAGTCCTACTTTAGGGTGAAAAGGTGCATTGATTAACTGGTAATGTCTGCCTTGGCAAGGGAAGGGGGTGGGGTAATTTGTGTGACATATGCGCCCCATGTTTTCTAAGTCTAATCTAGGTTCTCAGGCTCTCCAAATCAGTTACCTTTATATAAATGGTGTATACATGTGTGAATATATATGTATATAAATTCATATACATAAATCCATATAGGTGTTTATAAATCCATTTATGAGTATATAAAGTAACTACTTTATTGAAAAATCTGAATGCAATGGGGATTTCAACATGAAACTATTTTATGTTTCACTAATCACTCTTCTCAACAGTTACATCAGAAGTCCCTTTGGGCATATTCCATTAGTTTCTGTTAAATTTAGTTATTTAAAATAGAATTAGTTCAGCACAGTTTTAAAGTCTAATCCCAAAACTATTATAAATCTCCTGTCCTCTTCTGCAGCACAAGCTTGATGTGTATTTTAAGAGACTTGCACAGGTGAGGGCAAGTGGGCTTCTCTTTTAATTCTTCTTACTCCTCTCTTTTTTTTTTTTTTTTTTTTTTTTTTTTTTTTTTTTGACAGAGCCTCACTCTGTTGCCCAGGCTGGAGTGAAGTGGCATGATCTCGGTTCACTGCAATACCCACCTCCTGGGTTCAAGCGATTCTCCTGCCTCAGTCCCCCGAGTAGCTGAGACTACAGGTGCGCACCACCATGCCCAGGTAATTTTTCTATTTTTAATAGAGACGGGGTTTTGCCACATTGGCCAGGCTGGTCTTGAACTCCTGACCTCAAGTGATCCACCCACCTCAGCCTCCCAAAGTGCTGAGATTACAGGCTTAAGCCACTGCGCCTGGCCCCTCTTCCCTCTCTTAAGCCTGACTCTGGGCTATGTCCTCTCCCCACCCCTATCCACTTGTGGGTCTCTGTATCCTTTGGGAAGAGGAGCTGGGAGGGGAACAAGGGAGAGGATGAGGTGTCTCGCTGGCTGTCTACAGAGGTGTCTTTGGACTCACTCTGTCTTCGCCTGGCTCTGTCTGCCACTGGTGACTTCTGTACATGGATATTCTCTATTGGTTTTAGAGGATGGTGGTGAACTTCACTCTACTTCTTCATTGCTGAAGGATAACTGTATCTACATTTGTCTCCCACCACAGTTCCATACTTCCAACCCCCTTTCCAGATGAGGCAACTCTCACTACATAGCCACCTTGGCAGCTCCATGACTTCTGCTTCCTGTACTGGTGCCCTGGAGAAATCCTCTTATATTCCCTAAAAGGTAGAGTGTGCTCCCATCTTCTTCCCAGGAATATGACATCTTTGTAGTCCAGCCTGCTATCTTCAGAGACTCTAGGAAAGAAGCAGCCTCTAGACTCTATATTCACTCATGCCCCAAATTCCAAATTCCAGAGGTTGCATTGAGTTCTCCCACTTACTCCACTTCCATCCTCTACTCTACCCCACTGGCAGCACTCAGGGCCTTCAGTTTCCCAGTTCAGAAGAACATGCAGAGAGTGATGTTGGCAAGACGGGAAGAATAGGAGTTCTCCGGCTTCACTCTCCCCCACAGAAATCCAACTGGCAACTGTCCACAGGCAAGAATACCATCCTGAATATCCAAGAACTCAGGAGTGAGGCTGAGACACCCCCTTAGACTGCAGAACTGAAAAAAGCTATGATTCAATGGTAAGAGAAATGGTTCTCATTGAGCATACTCCTCCTTCCTTAAGCTAGCATAGTGCCATGCACAAAGAATTCTGGACTCATGGTTTCTATAGTGGGAAAAGTGAGTTGGAGGTGGACATTCAGCCTCCCCACCATTCTGGGACCCTGTGAAAGAGGCTCACTCCAGTCTCATCCTATGGGAAACACTGAGAGTAACAGCAGGGCTATACCACCTGGGGTCAGTTAGAAATAAAGAATGGGGGTGTTTAGCTACTCTGGAGGCTGAGGCATGAGAATCACTTGAACCCAGAAGGCAGAGGTTTTAGTGAGCTGAGATTGGGTTGCTGCATTCTAGCCTGGGTGACAGACTGAACTCTGTCTCAAAAAAAAAAAAAAAAAAAAAAGCGGGCGGGTGATAGAGTTCACAGCAACCATCACACAAATCTTGGTAGTTGCTCTGAACTTTGGCCAATGGAGCAATGGAGGTGCCACATCAGAGAAACTACCCAATAGCATCACACTACAGAAAACATGGTCCACAGGTCCTTTAGCATTGAATCCCTAGCCAGCTTCTCCACACAGCCCAAGTGCTCTCCCTAAGTCTTCCCTAGGTCGAGAGGCAACTGTAGGTCAGTAATGACCAGAGAAAGGAACATCTGTCCCTGTCCAATGCTAGTAGTGGAGAGGTAACCCAACTAAGCCCTGGTTCTCACATTAAGCCTTTCCCAAGTCAGGAGGCAACCGGCAATTACCTGGGGAGGGAGCATCTGGCCCTGCCCAACTCCAGCTGCAGCATGATTACTCAA
The DNA here is from genome assembly GCF_000001405.40 of Homo sapiens. Classification (NCBI taxonomy): domain Eukaryota; kingdom Metazoa; phylum Chordata; class Mammalia; order Primates; family Hominidae; genus Homo; species Homo sapiens. Next base: position 20,009,808 of record NC_000009.12, read on the forward strand.
CCAAACCTCAGTGTTCTGGTTAAGCTTCCTCTAGGCCAGCAGGCAAGCCCATACCCACACATATCTGTGGAGCAGAGCCTGTGGCCCTGCCCACCTTGTGTGGCCAAACAACAAGCCCAGAGACCTCACTCAACCTTGGAGTCCATTGCATGGCCATGCTGAACCACAAATTCCAAACAATAATACTGTCTAG